>NC_000005.10:27580548-37580548 GCF_000001405.40 Homo sapiens
TTTGCCAAAGGGTAATAGTGAGGAGGACCTGTCTCCTCCCCTTTGATTTCTGGCCCTGTGAATCCTGGCTTTGGGGAGACAACACATTGGTCACTGGTTCTGAGCATATAACAAATTGAAGAGGGCATTTCCCCAGCAGGGTAACACATTATCTTCTTTCTGAAGCCGTAACTAACTTTCAAGATCATTCTGCTGTTTCTTCAGGACAGCTGCTTCAGGCTGAATGGGAAAATAACCAAATCACTGAATTTCATCACCATAAACTCAATCTTCACCTTCATTTACTAGAAAATGAAATTTTTGGTCAGAGACCATGCTGTGTATCCGCAATGTTACTGACAGAAAGGCAAATGCATATCCAAGCAGTGTCTATTTCAGTGAGGGGAAAAAAAACAGTGCTATCCCTTGCCTGATTAAAGTTCTTCTCTGTGATCGCTGTGCAACTTGGTATCTGGCTGATACCCTGGAAAACGGTGTCATATTTTTCGCTCAGGGTTGATCTTTCTTATGGACATGTTCAAACAGAGGTTCAAGTGACCTGGACAACGGAAAGTCCATTTTATTGAGCTCGTGAATAACCTTCATCGCTGTCAGCATAGTCACTTGGTTCATAAGCACAATGGACAGGGTCTAAATATGAAATAGATGGCTGGGGATAGAGGCTGACCAATACCCACTCAATAGATCGTCTTATGTATCAGATTTTTAAGTTCTAATTCTGCTTTCAATTGTCTGACCCTCTTTTGAAAAACTTCAATCATATGAAGCCATATTGTTTCAGATTGTAAAACTTGGTCTGCTAGATCCCATTACAAAGCCTAGGAAAACACTAAGTACATTCTCAAAATCATTTTTTCCTCACCTATTCAGCTTTGCAAATAGACATATGGACAAAAAATTCATGTGGGTTTGTTCATTTCCTTCATTTAAAAAATAGGCAGGTTGGCAGCGCGACGTGAATGCAATTTGCTAACATTACTGCATCATATATTGCCTGTGTTCACAAGTTTTAATTTAGAGAAACTATAGATTTCACTTTAATATTAGTTTTTACCTTGAATTTCAAGTGCTTTATATTTTACTTTGGTGTTTAGACTTTAGATCGTCACCTTAGCATTTAGCGGTGCATCAGAAGTTAGGACAATGCTCATGAAGTTTCCTGTCTGTGGAAGGCCGAAATTACTCAGACTCCACAATCAATCAACTCTCTGTGAAAAATGAGTTTTATTTTCAAACACATCTAGAATTTATATTCTACTTTTTTGACATACTAGCATTCATGGAAATGTTCTTTTCATGAATTTGAAATATCATGAAATTGACCTCTGAACTATCACTCTATTGCCATTATGTAGTGATTAGTGAGTTACATTACCATATTTTGTGTGTTTATTAGTTTTCCATTTTTATTTGGGTAATGTCATAATTTTAAATACTGCTTCTTGAGCAAAATTTTCAATAGCGGCAGTATTTTAAGTCCTTTGAAAATGTGAAGACTACAGCTACAAGCAAGAAGTAAAAAAGTGTTGTAGGAACTGCTAAAATACAAAGGAGAAATTAAATCCTTAAGTAAAGCCACCTGCATTTGTTGCTGTGACAGGACAACTTTTCTAAAAATTTGGATTGAAAGCAAAGATGAAAATACGCAAATATAAAACCACCCTCTCCTTATTTCCATATCATTAGGGTTTTCTTCAACTCTGGTATCTGTCAGAACATTATCTTTAGCTTAAAAATTAATTCATTTTCCTCCAAGGCTTCTCAGAAAAGTTGACAAATTTCAAACAAGTGAATCCATTCCACTTCGCTGTGAACATCCTCATCCTCATTCTTCAAATCAGCCAAACAGGAAACAAAAACAAAAACAAGACCATCACTATCTGAAAGTTCAATAACCCTGTTACTCTTCATATTTACCAAATGTTTAATTACAACTTGTAAGAAATAATTATCTGCACTAATAAAGATTAAATATATTGTCTTGAGCAGTGTAATTGCCTCCTGCGCCCAAAGATGTCCTTGTTACTTCTGCTTTGTTACATTACATGGCAACAGTAACTTGGCAGATGGAATTAAGTTTATGGATTTTAGAGGGATTATCCTTTTCTAAATCATACGCATAATTACACAGGACCTTAAATATGAAGGAGAATGGCAAAAAAAAAAATAAGTGAGTCAGAGAAATCTAGATATGAAAGAGGCAAAAGAGGTTGAGGCTTGAGAGTGACTTCAGCTGCTTTCCCTAGATTTGGGGGTAGAGCAAGGGCATGGGTTTGGGCAACTTCTAGAAGCTGGGAGTGGCCCTCAGCTGGCAGCCAGCAATGCAAGGGTACCCGCAGCCTTACAAATTTCAGGAAGTAAATTCTGTTAACAATGTATATGAGCAAGTAAACATTCTTCCCCAGGGCGTCCCTAAAGAACTCGCTCCTTCTTCAAGGATAGAAACACAAAGCTCAGCCTACAACCTAGGAATGAGACATTCAAGTCACAGTATTAATTAATACACTAGTTAGCTCCAAGATCCCAAATGAATTTCTACTCCAATATACAGTATAACCCTGATAAGAGATGACATATCATGGGACATGATTTCTACACAAAGTTCGCTCAAGGAAACAAAAGTATGACCTGAAGAAACACTAGATTAAATAGTGGGTCATCAATATGAGTTTTCTTAAAGAGGTGGTCAGGAACTTTACCCAATATGATCATACATAGTATGTTCCCCAGAAAACTTAAAATGTTGATGCTCCCCCATATTTTGTATTTGACAATACAGCTGTATATCTTCAGCTCTGTTATTTCTGGGTTGTTTCCCTTGATACTGGTAGGTCCTTGCAGATTTTCTTCTTCATTATTTCAAGCGGTGAATATAAATGACCCTTCTGATTGTATTTCTGGTTTGCTGACCATATCTGGTCACATTAGATTATGAACAGAATTCTAGGCCCATTTTCCTTTCTTGAGAGAAGCCTATTGAACTCCTGGGGCATGTATTTTCTTTTCTTGCTCTGACCCCTTTTCTATCAATGAATCTTAAGGAGTATTTCTGAACAGAGTAATTCCACAGCCAGTTGCAGAAGATTCACTTTAACATTTGGCATTTATTGATGAAATTAAATTTCTTATTTATCTTGATGACCTTTAGTTCCTTTTCCCGAGAAAAGAGCTGTCATCAGTAATATGTTTAAAGTCCTAAATGCTTTTCTATGTTCAAATATATACATATACTGTTACGATACCTACTAGAGTGCTGGAGTCTATGAGTTTTTATGTAACTGGGATAATACAATTGCACTATCTTAAAATTTGCTTTTAACCTCTAGAAAGAATCTCCTTAGGTAAGTATATAAAGTTTCATTTCCTTTTTTACAATGGCAGCAAAATATTTCATAGTGAAGATATAAAATAGGACAGTAATTTCTTTAAAGTTATTTATTAAAAAAACTTCAAAGTTTTGTTAGAAACATGGATTGAACTAATATGCTTGTATAGCCCTCTTTGTAGAATAAAAGACTAACCAAGAATTAGCACGTCAGGGCCAAAATATTTGTATTCCAAAAAATGATATTAATTTACACTCACATGAGGTTCATTTTTTCTTTTAGATTGCCCAGGGGATAACTGAAATTTCATACACATTTATCTCCCCAAAACAAGCCTTAATTTGTCAATCCCACGCAATCTAAATCACTGAAGAAAAAATAAGTGTTTTCCTAATTGTTTCATAATTTTCAAGACATTTTTTATGCAATAGAATCAATATTACATGTTATAATAAAAAACAACAGTAGTTCCATTTTTTGTTTTTCAGATAACTAAATTTTTAAAAGTCTTTTGTAAAGTGAAGTATTTTATCTCCCAATGCCCATAATTTTTAAAACAGATTTTTATAGGAAGAATTAGTTATAAAGTCCTAAATGAATGTCTAACTAAGTTGCCTACCTCCCAAATATCATTTTGTGTCTGACGGAGTAGAGTTCTTATGGCTAGTGATGTTGCTGCTTTGTTTATTTTTTTCTTTAAAATACTTAACAGGAGCTACAAGGTTTTTTGGTATCATGTCATAGTTACTTAGTAAATATTTGTTGGCAAATGCACATATATATTTTATAGATGTGATTTTATTTATTTTTAAAATTTCAACTTTTATTTTAGATACAGGGGTACATGTGCATGTTGCTATATGGGTATATTGCACCCAGTCAATGAGCATAGTACCTAGTAGGTAGTTTTTCAACCCACATCCTTCCCTTTTGTTACTCCTCCCCTCTAATAGTCAGCAATGTTTATTGTTCCCTTGTTTATGTCCCTGTAAGTTCAATGTTTAGCTTCCACTTATAAGTGAGAACATGCGATATTTGGTTTTCTCTTCCTGCATTAATTTGCTTAGGATTATGACCTTCAGCAGCATCCATGTTGCTACAAAAAAATGATTTCATTGTTTTTATGGCTGTATAGTATTCCATGGGGTATATATACCACCTCTTTTTACCCAATTCACCATTGATTGCCACCTAGGTCAATTCCATGTCTTTGCTTTTGTGAATAGTGCTGTGACAAATATGAGTGCATGTGTGTTTTTGGTATAATTATCTATTTTCCTTAGGGTTTATACCTAGTAATGGGATCACTGGGTTGAATGGTATTTCTGTTTTAGGTTCCAAACTGCTTTCCACAGTGTCTGGACTAATGTACATTCCCACCAACAGTCTCTAAGTATTCCCTTTTCTCTGCAGCCTTGCCAATATCTGTTATTTTTTGACTTGTTAATAAAACCATTCTGACTATTGTGAGACGGTATCTCATTGTGATTTTGATTTGCATTTCTCTGATGATTAGTGATGATGAGCATTTTTTATATGTTTTTTGGTGGCTTATATGTCTTCTTTGGAGAAGTATCTGTTTATTTTCTTTGCCCACATTTTAATAAAGTTGTTTTCTGCTTATCGATTTGTTTATGTTGCTTATAGATGCTGGATACTAGGCCTTTGTCAGATGAGTAGTTTGTGAATATTTTTTCCCATTCTGTAGGTTCTTTGTTTACTCTGTTGATGGTTTCTTTTGCTGTGCAGAAGATCTTTAGTTTTATTAGGTACCACTTGACAATTTTTGTTTTTGTTGTAATTGTTTTTGGGGATTTAGTCAAAAATTCTTTGCAGAAGCTGAAGTTGAAAAGGGTATTTCCTAGATTTTCTTCTAGCCTTCTTATAGTTTGAGGGCTTACATTAAATCTTTAATCCATCTTGAGTTAAGTTTTGTATATACTGAAAGGTAAGGATTTAGTTTCATTCTTCTACGTATGACTAGCCAGTTATCCCAGTACCGTTTTTTGAAGAGGGAGTCCTTTTTCTATTGCTTGTTTTTGTCAGCCTTGTGAAAAATCAGATGATTATATGTGTGTAACTTTATTTCTGGGTTTTCTACCATGTTCCATTGGTCTCTCTGTTTGTTTTTCTACCAGGACCATGCTGATTTGGTTAGTGTATCTTTACGGTATAGTTTGAAGTTGAGTAATGTGATGCCTCTGGCATCATTCTTTTTGCTTAGGATTGCTTTGTCTGTCTATTCAGGTTCCTTTTTTTTTTCTTGTTCCATATAAATTTTATAATAAATTTTAGAATAGTATTTTTTTTCTAATTCTGTAAAGAATGATATTAGTAGTTTAATAGCAATAACATTGAATCTTCAAATTGTTTTGGGTAGTATGGCAATATTAACAACGTTGATTCGTCCAATTCATGAGTGTGAAATGTTTTTTCATTTATTTATCTTGTCTCTGACATATGTTAGCACTGTTTCATGTTCTTCTTGTAGAGATCTTTCACCTCCTTGATTAGCTTCATTCCTGGGTATGTTGGGGTTTTTTGTGGCCATTATAAAGGGGATTACGTTCTTTATTTGACTCTGTCTGGGAATTATTGGTGTGTAGAAATGCTATTGATTATTGGTACATTGATTTTTTATCCAGAAACCTTGCTAAAATTATTTTTCAGTTCTAGTAGCCTTTTGGTGGAGTCTATAGGGCTTTCTAAATATAGAATCACATCATCAGCAAAGAAAGATAGTTTGACTACTTACTTTTGTATTTGAATGCCTTTTCTTTCTCTTGCCTGATTGCTTCAGTTAGCACTTCTGATACTATGTTGAATAGGAGTGGTGAGAGTGAGCATCCTAGTCTTGTTGCAGTTCTCAGGAAGAATGTTTCTCAATTTTGTCTGTTCAGTATGATGTTGGCTGTAGGTTTGTCATAGATGGCTTTTATTATTTTGAGATATGTTCCTTCAATGCCTAGTCTGAGAATTTATATCAGGAAGGGATGTTGGATTTTATTGACAGCTTTTCCTTTATCTATTGAGATGATCATATGGTTTTTGCTTTCAACTCTGTTCATGTGGTGAATCACATTTATTGATTTGTGTATGTTGAACCAACCTTACATCCCAGGAATACAGCATACCTGATTGTGACGAATTAATTTCCGATGTGTTGCTGAATTCAGTTTGCTAGTATTTTATTGAGGATTTTTGCATCTATGTTCACCAGGGATATTTGCCTCAAATTATCTTTCTTCATTGTTTTTCTGCCAGATTTTGGTATTAGGCTGATGTTGGCCTCATAAAATACATTGAGGAGGAAGCCCTCCTCTTTGATTTTTTTGAAGTAGTTTCATTAGGATTGGTATTAGTTTTTGTCGTTGTTGTTGTTGTTGTTGTTTTTTGAGACGGAGTCTTGCTCTGTTGCCCAGGCTGGAGTGCAGTGGTATGATCTTGGTTCACTGTAACCTCCTCCTCCCAGGTTCAAGAAATTCTCCTGCCTCAGCCCCCTGAGTAGCTGGGACTACAGACGCGTGCCACCACTCCCGGCTAATTTTTTGTATTTTTAGTAGAGATGGGGTTTCACCGTGTTAGCCAGGCTGGTCTTGATCTCCCTCGTAGGTCTGATAGAATTTGGCTGTAAATCTGTCTGGTCCAGAACTTTTTTTTGATTGGTAGGTTTTTTATTAGTGTTTCAATGTTAGAGCGTGATATTTGTCTAGTCAGTTTCAATCTGTTCCTGATTCAGTTTTGGGAGGTTGAGTGTTTCTAGGAATATATCCATTTCTTTCAGGTTTTCTGAGTTGTGAGCATAAAGTTGTTTATATTATTTTCTGAAGACCTTTAATATTTCTATGGTATTAATTATAATGTTATATTTGTCTCTTCTAATTGTAGTTATTTGGATCTTCCCTCTTTTTTTCTATCTATGTATCTATCTATCTATCTATCTATCATCTATCTATCTTCTTTAGTGTTTAATGTTTCAAATAATCAACTCTTGGTTTCTTTATATTTTGTAGGGATTTTTGCATAAGTTTTTCTCTAATTTTAGTTATATTTTTACTGCCAGCTTCGGGGTTGATTGGTTTGTTTGTTTCTTGCTAGTTTGTCTAGGTGCAATGTTAAGATTGTGAATCTGAGAGTTTTCCAACTTCTTCATGAGGGCATTAAGCGTTATAAATTTTCCTCTGAACACTGCATATGCTGCATCCCAGAGATTGTAGTAAGTTGTATCTTTAATTTTACTAATTTCAAAGATTTATTTTTTATTTCTGCTTTTATTTTGATATTTATCCAGGAGTTATTCAGCAACTATTTGTTTACTTTTATGTATTTATGTGGTTTTGAGAGCTCTTCTTGATATTCACTTCTATTTTTATTATAATACTGTCCAAGACTGTTCTTGGTATAATTTCAATTTATTTTTAATTTATTGAGATTTGCTTTATAATGAATATGTGGTCAGTCTTAGAATAGGTTCCATGTGCACATGAGAAGAAAATATTTTCTGTGATTGTTGGGTGAATTGTTCTGCAGAGGTCCAGTTGTTCATGTGGTCAAGTGTCGAATTTAAGTTCAGAGTTGCTTCATTACTTTTCTGCCTTGATGATCTGTCTAATGCTGTTAATGAGGTGTTGAAGATTCCCAGTATTATTAGGTCATTGTCTAAGTGTTTTCCTAGGCCAAAGAAGAGTTGTTTTATAAATCTGGGTACTCCAATGTTGTGTGTGTATATTTTAAGATAGTCAAGTCTTCTTGTTTAATCGTACCCTTTATCATTATATAATGCCTTTCATTGCTGTTTTTATTTTTCATTTTTTGTTTTAAATCTGCTTTATTATCTGGTATAAGAATGGTGACTCTTGCTCTCTTTTTTGCTTTTTGTTTGCGTGGTAGATCCTTCTCCATTTCTTTAAACCTGTGGGTGTTATTCCTTGTGACATGAGTACACTGAAGACAAGAGATGATTGGATCCTGTCTTTTAATCCAGCTCACCCACTCTATGTCTTTTAATCAGGGCATTTAGCTCACTTACATTCAAGGTTATTATTGATATGCGTGATTTTGTCCCTGTCATCATGATGTTAGCAGGTTTGTATTTATACTTGATTACCTACTTGCTTTATGGTGCCTGTGAGCCATGTGCTTACATGTTTTTGTGGTAGGAGGTCTCATACTTTTAGTTCTAGGTTTAGCACTCCCAGGGGACCTCTTGTAAGGCTGGCCTAATTGAAACAATTTTCCTTAATATTTGCTTGTCTGAGAAGGATTTTATTTCCCCTTCATTTATGAAACTTAGTTTGGCAGGATATAAAATTCTTCGTTAAAATTTATTTTCTTCAAGGATGCAGAAAATAGAGCCCCAATGTTATTTGGCTTTTACAGTTTCTTCTGGGGAATCTGCTGCTAGCCTGATGGGGTTTCTCTGTACATCACTTGTTCCTTTTCTCTCATTGCCTCTAAGGTTTTTTCTTCTGTGTTAACCTTAAGGAAGCTGATGACTATGTGCCTTGAGAATGGTTGTTTTCTATAATATTTAGCCAGGGTTCTCCGTATTTCTTGTATCTGCATGTCAACCTCTCTAGTGAGATAAGGGAAATTTTCTTGGACTATATTCTCAAATATATTTTTCAAGTTGTTTATTTTCCCTTCTATTACAGAAATGCCAATAATTTGTAGATTTGTTCTCTTTACATGGTCTCATATTTCTTAGATGTTTTGTTCATTTAAAAAAATCTTTTTTCTTTAATATTGTCTAAGTTGATTCAAATAACAAGTCACTGAGCTCTGAGACTCTTTCCCCAGCTTGTTCTATTCTGCTGTTAACACTTGTGATTGTATTATCCTTCTAGCGATTATTTTCAGGTCTAGAAATTCAGTTTGGTTCTTTCTTAAAACAGCTATCCTGTCTTTCAGCTCTTGGAACATTTTACTGGATTCCCTGGATTGTGTTTCAACTTTCTCATGAATCTCAATAAGTTTCCTTGCCAGCCAGATTTGAATTTCTGTTATATCAGTCATTTCTGACTGCTTAAACGCCTTTGCTGGGGGCTCGTTTGTAGGTAAGGAGACACTCTGGCTTTTTGATCTACCAGAGTTCTCATGCTGACTTTTTCTTATCTGGAAGGGTGGGTGTTCCTGTAACTTTGGTTAAGTTGAATACAGTCAGTTGGCTACATTTCTGCATGCTTTCCGAGGACCAGCGTTCTGTATAGACTGTTGATGTGTGGGTAAATTCTTGTGCTTGGTTTCATAGGTGTATATATTGGCAGGATAATTTCTGGTGTTGTAGTTTGGGCTGCAATGCGGTAGATGGCCTTTAAGAATAATGGCCGGTAGCTAGGCTGATACCCAGCTGTGGAGCTCTGTTGTACTTCCTTGCATTCATGGGGTTGCTTTGTGGTGGGGATGGAAGGGACAGCTCCCTCACCAGGTCCACTCTTGGGCTTTGGGGGAGCCCCTTCTGATTGCTGGTGCCACACCCACATTTCTTCCCTTAGATATTCTGGGCTGTGGGTCCCTCTCAGGTAGAGGCTGTGACAGGGAGCTAGGCCACCCTCTTTCCTGACTGGTCCTGCAGAAAAAGGACAACCCACTCCTTCCCCAGCCCAGGAGGCTCCACATCGACCTCCTGTCAGTGCTCTGCAGGTGAGGACTCCTCCCCAACTTGTGTGCCTGCCACAGATCTCAGCTCTGTACTCCCAAACTGTGCACCACAGCTTTGGGGTCACTGGGATATCCTGTGGCCTGGGTCAGATTCTAGCTATGCTGGGAGATCCAACGTGCCGCCAGGTCACTGGGAAAGTACTTTAGATAGAGCAATGCACTCAGGCTGAGCTGGGGAGGCTGCGCTGCGCACCTACTTTTGCGGGCAGCTAGGCATGCCCCAGTCCTGTGGAGAAGCCAGCCCCGCTCTCTCCTGGGTTAGAGGTCAACTGCAGCCAGCACCTCCCAGAGGGATATGGGGAGCCCTGGGGAATGAGCTTCTGTGACCATTCTCCACCAGAGCTGCCTAGTGCCCAGATGCTCCCAGGGCTCCACACTGTTGAAGGGCCTGCTTCTGCTTCCTCCCTTGGGAGATCTTCCTGCCAGCTCACATGTCCACTGGGGATGTAGGGGTCCCTTGTAGCTAGTATCCCAGATGTCCATGGCAAGAGTGAGCTATCTTTCAGTTCCCTCACTCACCCTTTTCCCAGGGGCTTTTCAGTGCGGGAAATCAGTCCTAGTGTTTGGGTACCTGACATGGGGTTCCCAGCTTCCTCTCTATTCAGCTTTGGCTTCAGCATTACCTCTCTATCTACTCTTGCCCTTTTCTCTCCGATCTCTATATATGAGACTTTATATGTAAGAATTAAAAATCAGGATACAATACATTTTTAATAAGTCTTATTATTCCTATATTAAATATAGGAATATGTTAAATTTTTAATAAGTCTTATTATTCCTATATTAAAAATGACTAAACTGAAGTAGAGAGGTTAACCTTTCCCAAGCTCATTCATTTAGTTGGGATATGGTGGATCTAATTGCTGAACTTGAGCTCTAAAGCAACAAACTAATCATAGCATACACAATAAACATTGTAGTCTTTTATGGATATATCTAATATTTTATACATAAACTATATTTTAATATGTTACTTTGCCGACAGATTGACACTAAAAACAGAAACACGTGAAGAATAATAAGAAATCAAGATCACAGGCTAGTAGCAGAGCTGCTTGCTAATGGAATGTATTGGTTTTTCAAACACATTGAAATAATTTTGTCACTGTATGTCGTTGCTAACATGTTTTCAAAGACAAGAAAATGGGCAATTTTTATTCTCCTCTTTCAAATAATTTAAAATAATTCTTTGTATTAGTAGATTAAATTATATTCATTATAAAGGTAAAATAATTTATAAAACATACATGGATTATGAGTTATTGTTGTCATGCCTGTATATTTTCTCATTTCAATTTTTAAAAATTAAGTGTAATTTGAACATTAGCTAAAAAATAACAAAGTTGCTTTCAGAATCATTTACCATATTAAAATGCTGTGATTCCAGAATTGTTCTATTCCACATCCTACGTTACTTCCAGTTTTATTTTTAAATAGTAAACAAACATAAGCCATGATTTTGTATTACCACACATCTCAACCCCTTTACCTCAAAACTATTTCTCACTGGTGTTATGATTTTTTGTGAGGAATAACAAAAAGCAATTCTATGATTATCTCCTAATCCGTATTTCTTTTATAGCATCATTGTGGTGGGTAATATCAGATTTACTGGTGTACTGAAAGTGCACTACTTAAAATTATTTTAAAGCTTAAAAAAGTCAATAGATCTTGATTAAGATATACTGCTAAGAAATTATTCTGCCCTGCTTTCACCTTTTGAAGTAGACCCAGGACAAACATACGATATATTAAAATATATTTCTAAATTTACTCTGTTTGTGCTTAATAGCTTTCACTAAGAAGAAAAATAGTGGTACTTGGCTTTTGTCCTCAATGTACTTATGAATGCCTTATCTGCAGAAAGCCACAAACCAAGATGGGCACATTCCTTTTGTCCCAGATCATTAAACTGAGTGAACCATGCATATCCTTGAAACACTTCTAAGGAAAATGGAAGAAAGGGAATTAAACCTTGATGCCCTTAGGTTATATAACTTAGCCAGTCTCATTTAACCTCCTGCAACAAGAGCTATTCATATTAAGAAGAAATTTGCTCAGGAAATCATATTGATTTCAGGCACTTGAAAATATAATTATTGTGTTATTTTTTGAATATATAATAAAATTCCCTTTATCACAGTTTGGATCTTTGCCTATGCTTATTAGACTTAAAATGTTTGTAATATTGATTCATAAAAATAATTTGATTAATTTTAATTGAGACATGTCATTTTTATTTGAGGATGCTTTCTGTATTAAAACAAATGGATACCACGAAACATGGCCTCTTAATTTTTAGACAGTATTTTTAAAGTAAGAAATACAGTAAGTTCTATTCTTTAAGCTTTAAAAATTCACAATTAAAAAAAATCTACTCAGTGAATAAACACAAATGCATGAATAAATAGACCACCACACACAAACAGAAACAGGCTATTGCCAGTCTAGATGTAAAATTTAAATAAAAGATATTATTGTCCTTCCTCATATTTTTGCCCCTAGATTTACTTCTACTAGAGCATATTTTCTTGGAAAATAAAATAAAGTTAGTAAATGTTTTACAGGTGGATAAGTGTTCTAGTGGCTAAGTTATTTGTGTTTATCACCCAGATCTATAAGTTTGCCCAAACAGATGCCAGAACCCATGTGAGCTTGCTCCTCTGTAAAGTTTAGTAAAGAGAATTGAATATAAATAGGCTGTTTTTTTCCCTAGTGCCTTATAGGCTGTACTATGTATGCTTTTTAAGAGTTTTTCCACCTCAGAGAAGGAACTCAACAGTATTCTATTTTTATTTTCTGTTGGTGAGAAAAAAAAGAAAGTTGTTATGAAAGTATTACATTGAACACATTTAAATGATAAGTTTGAATTACCTCACCTCTGCTCTTGAATCAGTTTGTGTCTTTCTCTAACAAAGAACCTCAAAGGAGAACATATATGCTATCTAGAATAATATGTCATTGATTTTTTTTATGACTGTCCTAATCCCTTTCACAGCTTAGTATCCCTAAAAGAAAAAAGTTCATATTTTCCAGAGGTCCCCTTGCAGCAAACTCAGACCAAAGCTTGTTGGTGTTTCTCTGACCATGAAAAAAAAAAAATATGTAAATTGTTAAGATGAAACACTTAAGTTTAATGCTGGAAGAACGTCTACCATTAACATGAAAATGATTGTTTTAAACTTACAAAACTTTTTTTTAACTATAAATAATTCAAAGTAAATTGTTGACTTTAAATTCTACCACAACCAGAAAAAAAAAAAAAGGAAAAGTCACAAGGAATTATTAAGTGACTTATAGGAAAAAAAAACTTCTAATTTTTTGGACACTGAAATGCAATGTGAATATATTTTTGTTTTATTAAATAGGAGCAGTAATATTGGCACAAGCAAAAAAAAGGTTTGTGTTTCTTAGAGTAACAGAAAGCTTGTAGTTTATAGATACAGATATAGAAAACTAAAAGGTTATCGTATCTCAATTGTCCTGTTGATAACCAGAAAAGGAATGAGAAACTGTTTTACACATTTCACATGATGTTATAAATCTTGAATTTTCTATTAAAATATAGCCTAACATAACCTAGAATATACAGATCATTAAGTTATTCTTAAGGATTAAAAAACATAGAACCTTGAAATTGTCTTATTTTTTCCTCTCCCAAGCAGCTTATTCTTCACGCATGATTTTTTCTAACCTTGTTTCACATAAAAAATGTCTTAACATCTATTTCAATACAGTCTACTGCTCTTTCATTTTTGACAGAGATCTAAAAGAGTTTAAATACCCTCTGGCATCCTGCCAGGAATCAGCTGCAGGTAGAATGGTAGACAGAATCAAACAGTAAACAAAGTTTCGACCCACTGAGAGAGCTTCTCCAAGCTAGATAATAAAGATACCAGGTTTATATGCTAGTTTTTCTTTAGGGAAAGAATGTTGGACAGTTTCCTGTTGATTGATTCTCTGAATCTTTATCTTTCATGTTGATTGATTCTCTGAATCTTTATCTTTCATGTTCAATCTTTCCAGTCTTTGCTACTATTTCTACTGTTCTTTCAAGTAAGAGTTTGATTCCCAGAAGTGCTAATATTGGTTTCTTCCTGGATGAGAAAGTTATGAAAATCTTAAAGCCAGTGAAATGGGGTTTTTACATCCTCCATTCATATGACAAGTTTATTATTGACTTTGAACATTCTTTTACTGGGTTCCATTGCAGTCATCTTGTAGTAGTAAACAATCAAAAAAATAGCTTAACAATTTAATTTTTTTACAGTAAAAACGAATTTTTGTATGGGCTCTCAACTTTATGCCAAGGGAAAAGCTAGCATGCGGAATTCAGGAAAGCCTAGTTTTAGCTCTCTTAGAGTGACTCTTTTTCCACCATCTGTGTTGTATACAAGCCAGTGATGAGCATGGGACTTATTATGGAAAAAGAGATTAGTCTGGGCCCTACAAGCTGGCTTCCATCACTTCAATTAGTATAATCTGTGTTCTTTTCATTCTTTCCAGATTTCTGGGAAGATCCTTCTTTACAACTGAGAGCCATTTTTGTTAACGAAAATGTGAACACTGCTTGCCAGTTTCCAATGGTGCTTGCATTCACATGGCTCTGTGTCTGGTTAATGGACACAACTGTGGTTTTAGTTCTCTTCCAGCCTCTTCTTCAATACAGTTGTGTTGACCCTGAAACAGTCTAGTAATTTTTAATATCATTTTTTATGAGGGTAGGGAGAGCTACTTGAAAAGGTACTTATATTTCTGTTACATGAACGAAGAACTTGTGGAGTAAGATGACAGGAAGATAATCAGGTTTAATGTTAGCCTTGTATGGCTAATGTTTAATTAAAGAATCCCCTTCCTAGCCTGTGTAGCCATCATGAAAAATCAACAGTCTATAATAGAATCAGATATCTAACCTCTTACCATTTTTAACTCTAAGATACACATAAAGTCAAACTTCATGTAATGCTTTTAAATATACAAAAGTGAAGCCCTGTCTCTAGTTAAGAAATAAAAATAAAGACATCTTTTAAAAATACAAATAAAAAGTAAATGTGTGAAAGCATATTTTTTCCAGCTGTTTCAGTGAATGGGCATAGTAGCTTAAGAAAAGTATTTCAAAGGCTAATCTTAAGGCAACTCATGTCAATAAGCATTACCCATCCCAACTCCCCAATACCAGCCTTTGTAACATAAGCAAAGAGTTTGCCAGGAAGGAGAATCAAGGAGTTTGTAGGCCCCATAAGAACTGCCTTGGCTTTTCTCTACCTACTCTGCCCCTCACTTCCACCCCAAGCCAAATATCCCCAAGAGAAAAAGAAGAGTACATTATTAAGTAGTGACAGCTCCCACCCTTGGAATACAAAGGGCAAGGCAGTTATGAGTTTCCTGTAGATCAAGTGGTTCTGTGAAGAGATGGCAAAGTTCAAATTAATTAGATGGGACTCTTCCCAAGAAAGCAGACAGCTAGTCAGTACAGTTTCAGGGATCAATGGAAGAATGTTGTCACAAAGTTTTCTGTCTGGTAGCATAGCACCGACTTCAGTATATTAGTCCATTTTCATACTGCTATAAAGAACACCTGAGACTGGGTAATTTATAAAGAAAAGAGGTTTAACTTACAGTTCCCCATGGCTGGGTTTTGGGGAGGGGGGTGGTCCTCAGGAAGCTTACAATCATGGCAGAAGGGGAAGAGGAAGCAAAGCACGTTTTACATGGTGGCAGGAAAGAGAGAGAGCAGGGGAAACTGCCATTTTTAAACCATCAGGTCTCATGAGGACTTCTTTACTATCATGAGATCAGCATGGAGAATGCACTCCCATGATCCAATCACTTTCCACCAGGTCCCTCTCTCGAAACATGGGGATTATAATTCAAGATGAGATTTGGATGTAGACACAGAGCCAAACCATATTAGTCAGGGAACTCCAAAGCACAAGGAACAATTGAGGGCTGTAAAAACTCACAGATTCATTCCAAGGTAAATCAGAATTTGGATGCCTCATATGCAGAGCAGGAACAGTTAAAAGCGAATTGTAAATAGCATAAACTGTATCAGTTATTCCCTGTATTATTTTCCTATTGCTATGCAACAAGTAACTAAGGAGTGGCTTAAAGCAATGCATATTTATGACGCTAAAGTTTTAATAAGTCAGAAATCCCTTGGGATTTCATTGGGCTAAAATTAAGGTTTCAAAAAGCTACTTTTCTATCTGAGACTCTAAGCGATAATCTACTTCCTTGGTCATTCATTGACAAAATTTAGTTCCATGTAGTTCTAGGACCGAGGTCTCTGTTGTGTTGCCAACTGGAGGCAACCCACATCTCCTAATATCCTCTCTCAGTCTTTTCGCATACTCTGTACATCTCAGAGTCATCAACAGGGTGTAGAATCCTTCTTACATTGTCATCTTTCTTACCTGCCTTCATCAAGTCATCTCTCTTTGATTACAGCTGAGAAAGATTCTCTGCTTTCAAAAACTCACATGGTTAGATTGGGTCCACTTAAATAATGTAGGGTGACCTTCACATTCAAAGTCTGTAACCTTAATCACATCTGTAAGATTCCTGTTGCCATGTAAGATTCACTGTCACAGGCTTCAAGAATTTGTAAATATACAACAGTGGAGGTCATTATTTCACTTACCACATCTTTCTTTTGTTATCTTCCTCCAAGCCCTGGAAAAACCATAAGATGAAGAGAGTTATGGTAAATGAATAACTACCACTATTCAGGCACTGCCAATCCCAATATCTCAGTGCCCTAAATTGAGAAGACAAAGAAGGTGTAAATTTTGGATGTGAGTTTGGAGTTTATCTTTGGACTGAAAAAAAGTTGTGTATTACTTCAGATTGACCAGAAAGCTGTGGGATCTACCCAAGAGCACATCAAGAGGTAGAAAAGGGAAAGCTAGAGAAAAAAGCAATTTTCATTTGTGTATCCAAAATAGATTTAATCCATTCAATGAACCAGTTACACATACTCGATATTTTAATAGTTCAATGTTATTATATTATTAGCAACATAGTTATCTGGGACTAGCAGAGAATATATACTCATTTATAACAGATTTACTCTTCCCTAAGATAGGGTTGCAGTGATGGGAGGAAAAATAATCTTTGCTCTTATTCATCTGTAGCTCTTTCAATGACATCATTTAATTAAAAAAATAACTCCTTAAAGTAGATAAAAATAAGAAACATTATTTATTTAAATATGTGTGTCAGAAATTATACAAAGTACTTTAGAATTATTATCAGTTTTAAATCTCACAAAAATAATTTATTTTATTTTTTACATTTTTGTTATAAATATGAGGAAGCCAAGGTCACACAAGGTCTCTCAGGTCACACAGCCAGTACATGGGAGAAGAAAACTTGAATCTGTATTTCTTTTACTTTAAATGGGGGGGTTAACAAATATAAATATATTTTTTCTTCCATGTTTTCCATAATGATATATTTCTGGATACATAAGTGACAAGCAAATTCTATATCCCATTAAAAGTTTTATGGCAGGGCAATCTGAAAGTTGAACTCATTACTTTAGAAAAGCATGAAAGCAATTAGGACTTGGCTCTCTGCATTTCTTTTAAATTATGGGACTAGATATCATATACAGAAAAATGAAGTGAATCAATTTGTCACAGAATGAAAAATGCAGTGATAAAAGTTTGAGAAATATCTTACAAGCTGAGTGGCAAAGAATCACTTTGTTTTTATTTTGTGAAGAATTTTTGGAACAGGATAATAATACAACCTGCATGTAACTGGAAGAAGCTATAAACAATATTCAACACAAGACAGGTATTTATACCTCATGTCACTTAAAATACCACTAATTACATATAACAGTTGTAAAAATACTATGTTTCCAAATGGTAGGCATATTTGAAAATTAAGATACTTAAAAATTAAACTTTATAGCCATATTTAGAATCACAAATTAAGGCATGCCTTGATGTAATCTTTGCAGATGAAAGGGAATGAGTTTTTGGGCAGATGGGCTGGAGCACAGGCTAGATGAATACAGAAAAGGAGCACTCCAGGTTCACCTAATAGGGAATAATATTTTAAAAGTGAGTCTAAAATGTGGTTAGTAGTGTATTAGGGAAAATACTCTAGCTGTTATAACCAAAAATCTCAAATTTCAGTGGCTTGAAAATCTCTCTTAAAGGATTCTCACTCATACAAATTCCAAAGCTGATGTATCTTGACACAGTAACTCTCTTTCAAGTGGTGACTCAGGGATCCTTTCTCCTTCTATTTGTACCAGTGCAGGGAAGCATTGCATACTCTTTACAGAGCTGAAAGATAATGGAGAATGCTGGTGGAAATAGTGAAGATCCAGGAAGCCAAGTGTTACATAATTTCTTCCATATTTTATATTATAAAACTGGCCACATGGTATCACATAAGATAGGGCAGGGTAGGGAATGCAGTTGTCTTATGTGCCCAGGAAAATATTGTAATGGATTGATTAATACATGGCATCATCTTGCCCATAAATTCTGAGAAAATTTTGTGCTGTTTACCCACAATTAAAGATAGCTTTAATGCTATATTCAGTATCAGTTTGAATTTCCAAAAACCACAAGATGAGTGAAGTTAGACCAGAATTTCTCAAAACATGGTCTGAAGACTCTTCTTTCTTCATTTAGAAAGTCTTCAATGTCAAAACTATGTTCATGACGATGCTGAAACCTTTTGTTTTGCCTTCTTTCTATCATTCTATGTATGTGGTAAAGTTTTTTAAAGGCTACATGACATATGCTTGTATATTTTTGTTTTTTTGAACAAAAAAATAGTGCTAGTTTCAAATGTGGTAAATGAGAATAGGTCTAATCTGAAAAATCAAAGCTCTTTGGTATTTTAAATAATTCTTCAGAGGGTAAAGAAATTCAAAGCCAATATGCTTAAGGACTTAAATGGTGATGATTAAAAAACAGATAAAGGTATTTAAGTTAGAAATGGAAACTAAAAAAATTAAATACTACAAATAAAAATTATAGTATCTTAAAAAGAAAAAAAATACTAGGCCTTTAACATTAATACTGGACCCTGCAGCAGAAAAGATTAGTAAACCTGAAGCATATTTCTATATAAACAACAGAGAAATTAAACTTTATGAAATCTCAGTGACCTAAGAGAAAATATTAAGAAAAATTACATGAATTTAATTGAAGCAGGAGGAGGAGAGAGATAATAATGCTTGGTAGAATAAAAAATACATACATACAGTTGTGTAGCACTTAATCACCGTGATATATCCTGATAAATACATTGTTAGGTAATTTCATCCTTGTGCAAACATCATAAAGTGTACTAATTACATAAATCTAGATGGCATAGCCCACTACACACCTAGGCTATATAGTATAAGATATTGCTCCCAAGCTACAAACCTGAATAGCATGTTACCATGCTAAGAAAAGTTCTATAGACAACTGTAATACAATGGTAGGTGTTGGTGAATCTAAACATATCAAAACAGAAAAGTAAGGTGAAAATATTATATACAAGGTTTTATAAATGGTAAACTTGTATAGGGTACTTTCCATAAATAAAGCTTGAATGGCTGGAAGTTAGTTGTTCTATGTGAGTCTGTGAGTCAATAGTGAGTGAGTGAATGTGCAGGTCTAGGACCTTACTGTATACTAATATAGAATTTAAAAACATTGTACATTTAGGCTACACTAAGTTTATTAAACAGTATTATCTTTTCATTGATAATAAATTAACCTTAGTTTCCTACAACTTTTTTACTTTAAAAACTTTTAATTTTTAAACACTTTTTGACTCCTGTAATAACACTTAGCTCAAAACACAAATACATTGTACAGATAGATAAAAACATTTCCTTTCTTTATATTCTTATTCTACAAGCTTTTTCCACTTTTTATTTCTACTTTTTAAACTTTTTTTGTGTGAAAAACTAAGACATAATCATATACATTATCTTAGGCATACACAGGTCAGAATTGTCAATATCACTGTCTTCTACCGCTACATCTTGTCGCACTGAGGTGGCTTTAGAGGTAACTTTTCAATATGTAGAAAGAGTACACTCTAAAATAATATTTAAAAGTACAATATAGTAAATATATAAATAACGTTATTATTCATTATCATTATGAAGTGTTATGTACTATACATAATTGTGTGTGCTATGCTTTTATATGACTGGCAGCACAGTAGGTTTGTTTATACCGGTATCAGCAAAACCACATGAGTAATGCATTGTATCATGACATCACTAGGCAATAGGAATTTTCAGCTCTATTACAATCTTAGAGGACCACAGTCATATATGCAGTCCATCATGGAACAAAATGTCATTATGCAGCACATGACATACTCTCTCTCTATATATATGTTTATAAAACACATGCACATATATATGCGTATTTATATATCTATATATACAGTATAGATTATCTATCTAGACGTGTGTGTATATATATAATATATATCAGTTGAAATTTTCCTAAATTTGACAAATTATTAGATCAACTTATACATCCAAGTAACTAATTAATTTCAAATAGCATACATTTGATTTGACCCACTTCTAGACACAATCTAGTAAGCCTGTTGGAAACACAGATAAAGAGAAAATACATAAAGCATCTATAGAAAAGTGACATTAAGTTAGGGGACAACTATGTGAACAATGGTTGATATCATATCAGAAATAATGGAGGCCAGAAGTTAATGGATTGGAAGATTTTAAGTTGTATAAAAAAAAGCAAAGTTGAGACACTATGTGCAGCAAACATGTTATTGAAGATAGAAAATAAAATAAAGACATACAACATCTGAAAGGAATTGTTGCCCTCCAACCTGTACTTCAAGAGCAGAAAGGAAATGACATCAAGTAGAAACTGAAACCTACATAAAGGAATGGAGAAAGCTGGAAAAGTTAAATGAGTTGCTATGCAGAAGATTATAGATCATTTATGTTTCTTTGTCTCTTAATTTGTTTGATAAAATACTGAACACTGGGGAAAAAACTAGTAACTCTGCATTGTGAGTATGTCATCTATAGAAATGTAAAATATGCATCAATAATAGCACAGGGGACCAGAACATACATCAAATTTTACTGTTGTAATTTTTTAAATGTATATGTATTTATACAATTTTAACTCTGAGAAAACTCTAGTAAATTGAGGGTTATATTGTCATCTTCAGAGCAAGTACAAATTGGTGATTTCAAAGAGATGACTAACCAGTATTTGAGCAACCAAAAAGAAAGCAGAAAAGTAGTTAAAGAGGGAAATAAAAGATGCGGCTAGGAGAACAAATAGCATAGAGCAGTATGGTCACCTTTAATTCGACCACATCAATAATTATATGTACATAGACTATAATGGCCAAAAAGACAGGGATTGTCAGGCAGGATTAAAAGCATAATAAATCTTCTATTTGAAGAGGTATACATTTATCACCAAAACATGAGAATTTTGAGAGTAAAAAATTGAAACAAAACCTATCAGAAAAATTGTCGGCACAAGAAAACTATGGTAGAAATATGTTAATGACAAAGAAAAATAGGTTTCAAAAAAGTGGCCATTACTAGAGAAGAAGAGAAACATTTAACAATGATACAACAAGTTTATCTGGAAAATACAGCCAATCCAAATGTGCATTGCCTTAGTAGCAGAGCACCCAAACACATAAAGCAAGCCCAGCAAAACTGAATATAGATATGGACCCTTCACATTTACAGTTAAAAATTTTATCAACATCATCTCAGTAACTGGCAGTAATTGTAGACAAAAAAAATTAAAATATAGACTTAAACTATCAAACTATTGGAACTAATTGACATTTTTTAACTCTACAGCTAAAACTACAGAAGAAATAGTTTCTACTACTACAAATGAAATGTTCTCCCAAATAAATCATATGACATGCTTTAGAAAAGACTCATTACATTTCAAAAAATATATTCTCCATCCACAACAGAAGTAGAGATAATAATTATTAAGAAATCTAAAAATAATCCCAAATACCAGAAAAAAAAATAGTAAGTGGGTCAAAAAGGGAATCACAGGAAAACTTAGGAAATATGTCAAACTAAATGATGATTAAAAAAATTAGCTGTATGTGACTAAAGCTGTTTATAGAGAAAAACTATGGCTGTAACTGCTCTTATAAAAACATTTTTAAAGTTTATATCAATATGTAAGTTTTCATCTTTAGAAAGCAGAGTGAAACAAAACAAATTAGGCCCAAAGTAATATGAAAAAAACACAAAATAATTAAAATAACGAAGTTATAAATGAAACTGAGAAAGACAAATTATAGAGAAAAATTTTTGTCAAAATTTGTTTTCTGAAAGATTAATGCGATTTATAAGCACATAGAGAGGCTGAAAAAAATTGAAAGTGATAAAAATGTATGAGCAATATCAGACATGAAAGGAGACATACCACTGCATGTATCATAAACATTTAAAGGAAAATAGGAGAACAGTAATAGGCCAAAATCTGACATGCAAAATCCTGAAAAATGTGAGTTGTTCAAATCTATCTTAAAACAAAATGATTCTATAATAAATATTCTTGCAATGAAAAATAAATGTAAAAACAAAACAAAACAAAGGCCCATATGCCCACACTGAAAATTCAAGTAAACATTTAAAAAAAAACAAAAATATCAATCTTACTGAAGTTTTTTCAAAAAAATAGAAGAGAACTCCCAGAATAACTATAATATCAGAATCTGAGAGAAAAATTACAAGAACTTTTTTTTTTAATTACAAAACCGGATACAAAAGTTCTTAGCAAAATATTAGCAAATTGAACCTAGCAATAGTAAAAGAATAATGCAACATGATCCAATGGAGTTTATCCCAGGAAAACAAGTTGCTTTAAGATATGAAATCAAATTAGCAACATTCATCATCTAAATCAAATAAAGGTGAAAATCATGTTATCTCAATGGATGAAGAAAAATCAATTGAGAAAATTCAATAGCTATGTATAATCTATACTATAGGAACAAAAGTTGTTTATCTGTCAGCAGGTATGTCCTAAAGTATCTACAGTTAATAAATAAATCAAAGAAACAAAATAGAAAATTTTGAAACAGATCTACATGACTAGTCAATTGATTTTTAACAAAAGCATAAGGAGATTGAATTGAAAAGGACAGTCTTTTCAGCAAGTGGTGCTGGAAGAAATGGATAAACATATAGAAAAATGAGCCTTGAGTCTTAGTTTACACTACTCCCCAAAATTAATGCAAAATGAATTATAGGCTTAAATATAATAACTTAAACATTTTAGCTAACCTTAAAAGAATAAACAATGATCTATTGCATTTAATTAAATTAAAATCTTCTACTCCTGAGAAGACACCAATAACAACATAACAAAGAAAAATGCAGATTAGGAGAAAATATTTTCAATAACTATAATGTGGGCATTATTTTAGAATGTATAAAGAATTAATAAAAATCAATAACATAAAAGCAAAACATTGGAAAAAGAATAAAATAAACAGATATTTTTATTGTCATTCATATATGAAAAGGAACATAATATCCTCAGTTGCGTGAAATGAAAATTAAAAACATAATAACATATTACTTCATACCCACTAGTCTGGGTATAATATCCAACACTGTGAAAGATATATACACAAATTCAATTACAATCATGCAATGGAATACCACTGAGCAATGTGGATGAATCTCAAAAACATTAGTTTTAGAAAAAACAAGGTAGGAAAATTAAAAGATTGCATACTTATGATTCTACCTATTTGAAGTTAAAGAACGGACAAAAGTAAGCTATGGCAAATGAAATGACAGCATTTATTTCTTATAGGTGAGGATTGATTAGAAAGCAGTTTATTTTCAGGAGAAAATTAACCAGATTCAAAATAAAGGAGGGCAAGAATGAGATAAACAATATTCTGCCAGGAGAATTGTGATTCCCCCAACCTCTGATACCCACAAGCCCCAGAACACTAGGAACCAGCAGTGATGCTTATATCTAATAAGAAAGAAAACTGTGATTTATTTATTGATTTACTTATTTATTCATTTTTGCTTTATTTGGAAAAGTGAACCACAACAAGAGAAAAGATCTCCAGATACTGATTTTATGTGCCTCAGCCAGAAGATACTGTATTAATAGATGCCTGTTGCAGCAAGCCAAGAAAATAACCAGTCCAGACTGAGGCAGGATAAGTAAGTGTTCACGGAGTTTTATCTTCTGAGGAAAGAACATTAATCTATTACTTATGGGGTATGACCCAGTGAAGTGCAATTGTTGAGAAAATATAATGAAAAACAAAATCTTCTCTCTACCTAGAAAATCTCCCCACAAGGATGGAAAAGAAAGAAAACATGACGATTATTGAATAAGACTTCAACCATGATGCATATCACAGGCAATCTCCTAAGAGACTGCAAAGACAGAGGAATCTTCTCACCCTTTTATAAAGCCAAGCAAATATACCCCATCATGAACAGGTCCTCAAAATAACAACTAGTCCTCTAGTAAGAGCACTTGACAATGCCATTTGTCACATGTAGTTCATCCTAAATTCATTTGGTAGTTTTAATGACCAACTGTGGTAGCTAATTTGGCTTTATGCAAAAGAAAAATAAATTTCTAAGCATCCACCAAAGTTAGCCTCCCACCGTCCCTCAGGAAATGGGAGAAGTACTATTTTCCTTGAAGATTTCATTTCAAAGAAATGCTTCCCACCAATTCCTTGAGAAAGACATCCCTGGGTTGTAAAGCTGCTGAGAGTCTTATTTAAACTTTCAAAAGGTGTACAGCATTTCAAAGAGCAAGGGAAGACCTTATAATTACAAATTTTCTAATGTAAATGCTCTAAGAAAAGAGAGTGGCAGATGAAATCTCCCTTATTTCTAATGGAGAGAATTATGCTTCTTACTTTTAATTTGTATTTACCCTTACACGAGTGAAATAAAAACTTCCTCTGCCTTAAAAATACTTAATAGACTCTGCTGCAATTTTAAAAACTTATTTAGAAATATTGAAATAAACTGAAGACATCATCAGTAAAATGTCCTTTGAAGGATAGTATTGATGTCTTTTATAATGGAGAAGGAGAGATGGAGCACGTGAAAGCTCTTTGCAGTTTCTGTGCAATTTTTGGTAATTTTAAAACTGCTATGAAAAATAAAATTTATTAATCCTTTTAAATGTCATAAAAACTGTCTTTTAAAGAATGGACTAATGGAAAAAGTAGACACAAGCATTTTCTGGGATGTTTAATTCAGGCTTAATTTTCACCGATTTTTTTAGTTTTCACTGTATTACCACGTAAAACTTCGATTAAACATTAAAGTTTAATGCAAAGAAAAATCATATTTCTCACATTCTTTACTCAATGACTTTTTAAATGCACTTTACTATGTCCAGAACTGTGTTTTTGTCTCTGCCTATGTCGGCAGCCTTACTTCACTGCAATCTCCCTTTATCTCACTAGTCTTCAGACATGTTTATTATTATCTTAGTATTTTATAAGTCATAAAATTTGACAAATCATTCCTTGCCCTAGGCTTTCTCCAAATGGAATTCCCTTTTCTCAGCTCCGCATGTGGGGAGCTAATATTCATTCTCAGGTCACAGCTTTCTCTGACTCCAATAACTTAGATCACTCTGCTTCACTCTTTCAGGCGACCTTATGTTCTTCTACTTGGAACTCATCACCCAGAAGAGTACTTAGGTTATTGTGATTACTTAATTAATATTTGTTTAATGTTAGTACTTTTGAAAGAAATGATCTAATGGATTGATTGTAGCTCCGGTAAAAAATTTGAAACCTTCATGAATTGAAAACACACAAAAAATAATACTATCAATCTGAACACCCTTGAATCATTAACTACTTTGATTTAACATCATCTAAAATATAACATTAAAACTTGAACAATGTAATGATATAAAGGCACATAGAATGTAATCTATTAATTAAAACATAGTATGAAATTCGAAATAAAATAGTTCAGTAGGCAGTGAATTGCACACAACTCACTGGAGATATCAAAATTATTTAAATAGACATAGAAGCTTTTGATCAGTTTATTCTATTGCTATTTAAAATTACTTTGCCATTGAATTTTATTCAGTTAAAATTGTCAAGTTTTCAAATATTTCACAAAACTCTCTTCAACATTCTGAAACAAAATAAAACTTTAAGGAGACAACATTGGTGTCTCAGTATGAAGCAAGGCTCACCGCATGGTGAGAATGTAAGACCAATAACCATCCAAATCAATGTGGACTTCACACTTAATAATGGGTTTTCTTCTTTGCCATGGCCAGTAACATATATCAATAAAGTAAAAGCCTTGTCATGGAGGAGGAAAGTGGACAAAACTATGAAATGCTAGAAAAAACAAAAAATTAAAAATAGCTAATATGTTTAAGTACTTAGTATTGACCAGATATTGTGATCTAGAGAAAGAAAGGAACAGAGGAAGGAGTATAATTTTTTTTACCCATTCTGATTTATAGGACATAATAAAACAAGAATTTTCATGAATTTAAATATTAATTACGAAAATAACGTCAGATAGCAATTTATTCAAAGCATATCCCATTCCCAGTTCAGAGGCTGAATATGTGCCCACCAATTTCTTTCTTTTTTTTTTTTTTTTGAGACAGAGTCTCGCTCTGTCGCCAGGCTGTAGTGCAGTGCTGCGATCTTGGCGCACTGCAAACTCTGCCTCCCTGGTTCAAGCAATTTTCCTGCCTCAGCCTCCCGAGTAGCTGGGATTACAGGCACATGCCACCACTCCTGGCTAATTTTTGTATATTAGTAGAGACCGGATTTCACAATGTTGGCCAGGCTGGTCTTGATGTCTTGACCTCATGATCCGCCGCCGCGACCTCCCGAAGTGCTGGGATTACAGGCATGAGCCACCGCACCTGGCCCTACCAAATATTTTAAATTGCCATTATCATCCTTGTTATTAGTATATGCCTCAAGTATCTTTTTATGTGAATACAGACATATGCAATAATAGAAAACATGATTTATTAAGCTCCTACAATATGCTAAGGTATTTTAATTATTATCTGTAGATAGATGAGAGTTAGATACATAAATAGAAATATTTACATAATCCTTTCCTTCATTTTAGAAATGATTAAACTAAAGCATAGAAATTTTGAATTATTAGAATTATATAACTAGGAATTAAGAAAAGGTAACTATAAAACAGAACTCTGTGATTCTAAAATCAATTGTATTTTCACTCTGTCATTCTATCTTATATGCAGGTATATGCACAGTTAGTAAAATCATCAGGATCGCCACTTTAAAAAATGCAACTACATTAGTAATAAAGACCTCTAAGTTCTGTAGTTTTCCTAATATAACATTTTCATTAGAATAAAATATTCACATCATTACACATACTATATTGTCAGTGCTTAGAGCAAAATCATAATAATAGGGATTGTGAAAATATGATTACTGATTAAATTATAGATCAAAGTGATTTAATAATTATTTTACTGACTACTTATTTGTGTTTGGCTCCTACATGTTTACAAAGATATGTTGACTCATTCTCTGTAACTTTTTCATTAAATTTGAAAGGTGTCTATTGATTGAAACCTCATTTTATGAAAGCTATTACAGAAGTTAAGTAATTTTTCAAAAGTCACACAGATACCATGTGGCAGAGAAAGGTTAAATGGATGCCTTCCTAACTCAAAATCCAAATGCAAGGTGGTGGTCATCATCCTACATCACCCTTAAATAAATAGAATATAAATTATAAAACTAGTGGCAATGTTGACTTCATAGCTCTCAGGACCTCCTTTTTCAATATTTAGTCACATGTAATGCCAATATCTTTGTTAAATTCCTTTCTTTCCAGAATTGCTACTTGAAAGACTAATGGCAATACTAATAGGTAGATCCTGGTCAAATTGTTAAAATAAATATGAATATTTATATTTACCTCCAGCTCCTGCTACGTACTGGCCTGTCAATGTGCTCCAATCTTCACAGCTTTGTCAGGCACTGCAGGTTGTCTACACAACTGCTATCTCATTCTCTCTCAAATGAACCTCACTTTTGTTTTGGAGCCAGTGCATCCAGCCACACAGGATAACTGATTTAACTAATCTAGTCATGATACTCTTACTCCTTCTTGCAGTGTTTGAGCTAGGAGTTGGTCTACTTCTCACAGTAGAAAAAATCACTTTCTAGAAAGTTAATAAAATGTGAACACTCCATATTAATTTTTAACTGCGTTATCTGTTGTTGTGTCTGAGAGTATAACAGCTAACAACACAGATAAATCCCTTAGCTCATAGTTTTTCATTTTTGGGGGAAAGAGACACGATACACACAATAGATGAAATAAATGAGTTAAATGTATTATATATGAATAAAATAAAGCAGATAAAGGAAAAAGGGAATGTTAAGCATGTGATATAAAATTGAGGCTGGGGCAACCCTCACAGAACAGTTTAACATTTGAACATAAAAGTAGAAGAAGTATGAGGGCAAAATATGTAGAGAAGTGGATGAAGAACATTCTAGCCAGCTGGTGCAGGCAAGTACAAAGGTCCTGAGGCAGAAGAGTACTTGGCATGCTCATCGCAACACAGGTGTAGTGGGAATGAAGAAGAATGAAAGGGAAGGTAGGAGGCGATGACGTCAGAGACATTGCTTAGAGCAGGAGCAACATCTTTATTCAGGAGTTGGGCTTTATTCTGCATAATAAAGAAAAACACCAGGGGACTTTGAGCAAAGCATGATATGATATGTGATGCCTTAAAAGGATAATTTTCACTGAATTGAGAATAGAATGAGATGGATGAAGGCAGAAGCAGAAATTCCAGAGAAGAGGCCATTGCAGTAAATAAGATGAGAGATGGCAGTGGTTGGTCTCACTGATATGTGCATGTAATCCCTCAAGAGAAATGAATAATCTTATATGTAAATTTTAAACTAAAAATTGTTGATATAATTTGAAGAGGTAAAGAGAGCAGCAAAGACATTTTAGGCAAGAACAAAGTGAAGAGTCACCGTGGCATGGATAATCATGAGGTTTTAGAATGAGAAACAAGAGAATGCTCAATAGGCTCTGTTTTTGAGGAACTACAATGACACGCTAGAGAAACAGTAGCCATCTTCATGTCAATGTGCTGCTTAGCTAGGTCTGCTGAGACTGATCCACCATCCATTGCAATTTGGTCTCATAATTTAATGAATTAAGTTTTTTTTTAATTTTATAATATTTTCACTTCTTTCTTTGCCTGTCCTCACAATTGACCCCTTAAAACTGAATAACTAATTGAAAAATATGTGGAGGAGATTTAAATCCATTTGGCCTGGGAATTATTCAGCCAGTAGTTAAAATTTCATGCATTCCTGTGAACCTGAAAATGAAGAATCTTTAACCTCAAGCTGTTATAGTCTGAAGGACTCCTGGGCTTCTGATTGAGATATACACCAAAGCTGAAAATTGTTGATGGGCTTTATTACACGGAACTCTCAAAAATGAAACTCATGGGTGTCCATGAGGAAGTCTTCTAGTGCTTGGATACAAACACACCTGAAAAACATAATACAAATGAAAGGAGATGTACATGGCAGGTGGAAAAAAATGTCTTTTTAGGTACCCTCAGCAAAAAATGGCAACAGCCAGTGGGGTCTGGTTACACCTATAGCAAGAGGTAGGGTCTTGGCCACCAATACCACGATTAATGGCAGGCAAGGCAGGACTTTAGTATTAAAAGCATTTGAGCCTCTGGCTTCAAATTAATATGTAAATTATATAATTTTAATTTGAAAGTCAAATTCCTAATCTCAAGAACAAAGAAAAGACTAGAGAGAAAGGAAAGCATTCTGATAGGTTAAGACCCAGTTCCAACTGATTCCATGTAAGCATAACTTTAAAGCAATAGTTAATTATGTCAGCTCTGAAAATAAATGTGGTTTTTAGATAGGTGTCAGAAGAAAGCTCAAGAATTTAACACTGTAATTGTTTTTAGAGAATTAATTATAATTGTGGTTATGCATTTGTTGTTTATTATACAGTTTGATGAGTAACAGCACAATTTTTTGAAATACAACAACAATAATAATATAAAAATAGTTACTACTTTTGAGGACACGTTATGCAGCAGGTACTGCAGTACAACTCATTGTGTTTTATCTTGTAGATCAATGCAGTAAAACTGAATGATAGGTACCATTAGTAAACTTTCAAGGACAGGAAACTGAGTTTCAAAGAGGGTAAGCAATTTGTCCAAGGTCATGGAGTCAGCAATTGGTTTAAATCTAAAGCTTGATCCCATTGACTAAAAATCTCCCTGTCTCTTAACTAATATGCAATGGAAATGTCTTTGTTCTGTCCATGTTCATTGTTTGTGTTCCAAGCCAAACAAATTGTGACAGGGAACCACATATGAATATTAAAGATGAATGGATGCTTCTGAACCAAATGCAACAGTGGTTCCTGCAGAGAAAGAGAAAGTTATTTAGGTGTCTATGAGTGTAGTGGGGGAAGAAGTAGAAGGATATTGTAATTGGCATACATTTAAGAAGATTTCAAAATTGTAACCTCTTTAGTAAGGTATCCAGATGATTCGTGTTAGAGATCCTGATCAGTTGTATTTGGTCACAGATTAGGAAGTTAATGCCTAGAAGAGTGTTTCTTGGATACTTCATTACCCTCAATATGATTCCTGGAATCAACCCTGAGCCTTATATTGTGATGTCCAGAAATCTTCATTGGAACAAACATTCTCTTATTCTTAATTACAGTATTAGGAGAACTTCCCATTTTAAATTATCAAAGTATTTGCAAAAGTTATGCACCTAATTACTGCCTGAGACAGAATTTTGGTTTCCTCATGTCATCAGAATCACTTACAAGGCATAATATTTGTGATGCAATCTTTGAAGAAGCTTGGAGGAACCACTGTTTAAGTTGTATAGCCAATACTCATGTGTATATAATGGTAAGTCTATAATAGGGGTCAGGTTAACAAAGCTGCACTATACAGTAGTCCCCCTGATATGCAGTTTCACTTTCCAGATGTAGTTGCTCACAGTCAAGTGCAGTCAGAAAGTATTACATGGAAAATTTTAGAAATCAATAATTTATGTGTTAAATTATTAGCTTTGAAGAGAAGCCCACTGCTATGTTACAATACCTAAGTCATTTGCCTCTCTTAGTCCCATTAATGTAGGCATGTAATAATCTTGCATTTTCACAAAAAGAGTGAGTATAGCACAATATGATATTTTGAGAGAGTGAGAGTGCCCATATTAATAAAACATTTATTACAGTATATTGTTATAATTGTTCTATTTTATTCTTATCTAATTTATAAATTAAACATTATTATAGTTATGTATGTATAGGAAAAAAAACCACCAAGTATACTGGATAGGGTTCAGTACTATATTCAACTTCAGGCCTCCACTGGAGATCTTGGGACATACCACCTGAGGATGAGGAATTACTGTATTGGGTGACAGAAGTTAACCTAAATGGAAAATTCCTGGGGACTTCAGTTTTTTATAGTTTGAAATTGGGAGGCACTAAAATTGCAGAGAAGCTGAACTGACTTGCTTTTTCCTGTCTTGTACTGAGTTTGTCATGGCCTCACATTACCTTTCATGTAGTTGGAGAGAGAAAGCTTCTTGAAAAAAAGTAGAATCATAGTTTTGAATATCATCGAAGAGTAAGGGAAGTTACTTCCAAGATAAAAATGCTAAATCTCAATCTTAGGAAAGTAACCAGAAAGAATGTTGCACTAATATAAATACATGATTCATACACTGGCAAAAGAGTAATGGGATTAAACTTCCAAAAAAAAAAAAAATAAGGACCTAATGCTGATAATTGCTAGGTTTGATAATATGATGACGTTTACTGTGGTTTCTGTAGTTCAGTATTTCGTAAGTTAACCTTACCATTAAAACCATACCTAAGTTATACAGTTGAGAATTCTCAAAAACCTGTTATTTTCAAGTGAAATTATTTCTAATACAAAAGCATCATTTGTTTTTCAATCTGCTTAAACTGATAACATCATACATTTCAAATTCTTTGATTTCAGATATATAAAATATTTTTTCTCACTCTCATCTAGACTGCTAAATATTAAATATACTATGCATGGAATTTTTTAGTTTTTCAATAGGTTGCATTATAGAATGGTCTTGAAAATTTCAGTCTTCCTACAGACAAACTGGAAAAACAACCTATAATTTTTAATGCAGAAGAATGTTTTTATAAACATTCTGTTCTGTTTTCTTTTTATATTTTGTAGTGTAGATGCCCAGCATCTTGACCAGAAACATCTTCCTGGTGACATAATGTCGTGTTTCTCTCTTCCCCATCTCCTTCTGTCAAAGGCTCCTAGAGTGCAGTCCTTTCTTTAAGCAGATGAAATGTGTGATCTCCTTTGAGGTTAATTTTAATGCCATTTCATCTCTTTGTGGAAATGAGATTAGAATTCTAAATGTTCAAAATCCAACAGCCTTTAATGAAAAATGGTAGGAATTATCACATACCTAGAGCTTAGAAAGGATGGAAACGTATTTGCATATTATTAAAGATCTGAATAATTTAGACTATTTTTAGATTTAAATTACTTAGAGGATTTTAGAAAAGCTCAATATAAACAGCTCAAGAAAGGCACTTACTAGTCCTGATTTCAGCAATTTTACATCATTTAAGCACTGTCATGGAATGGTTCAGTTGTCACAAAGACAGCATATTTTAGACCTCAGGTCAATATTAGGAAAATATTGACATTTAAAAAAAGATTAATATAAAAATTTGTTACATTCTTTTTTATTTTACTTATTTTTATTTTTAATTTTGTAAGTTCTGGGATAGATGTGCAGAACATGCAGGCTTGTTACGTAGGTATACATGTGCCATGGTGGTTTGCTGTAGCTATCAACCCACCATCTAGGTTTTAAGCCCCGCACACATTAGGTATTTCTCCTAATGCTCTCCCTCTCCTTGCCCCCATCACTTGACAGGTCCCGATGTGTGATGTTCCCATCCCGGTTTCCATGTGTTCTCATTATTCAACTCCCACTTATGAGGGAGAACATGCAGTGTTTGGTTTTCTGTTCCTCTGTTAGTTTGCAGGGGATGGTGGCTTCCAGCTTCATCCATGTCCCTGCAAATGACATGAGCTCATTCTTTTTTATGGCTGCATAGTATTCCATGCTGTATATCTACCACATTTTCTTTATCCAGTCTATCATTGATGGACATTTGGGTTGGTTCCATGTCTTTGCTATTGTAAATAATGCTGCAGTAAACATATGTGTGCATGTGTCTTTATAGTAGAATAATTTATATTGCTTTGGTTATACAACCAGTAATGGGATTGCTGGGTCAAATGGTATTTCTGGTTCTAGATCCTTGAGGAATCGCCACACTGTCTTCCACAATGGTGGAACTAATTTACATTCCCACCAACAGTGTAAAAGTGTTTTTATTTCTACACAGCCTCGCCAGAATCTGTTGTTTCCTGACTTTTTAATAATTGCCATTCTGACTGGCATGAGACAGTCTATCATTGTGGTGTTGATTTGCATATCTCTAATGATTAGTGATTGTGAGCTTTGTTCATGATTTTTGCCTGCATAAATGTCTTCTTTTGAGAAGTGTCCATTTGTTTGTGTCCTCTCTTATTTCCTTAAGCAGTGGTTTGTAGTTCTCCTTGAAGATGTCCTTCACATCCGTAGTAAGCTATATTCCTAGGTATTTTATTCTCTTTGTAGCATTTGTGAATGGGAGTTCATTCATGATTTGGCTCTCTGCTTGTCTGTTGCTGGTGTAAAGGAATGCCTGTGATTTTCGCATATTGATTTGTATCCTGAGACTTTGCTGAACCTGCTTATCAGCTTAAGGAATTTTTGGGCTGAAACGATGGGGTTTTCTAAATATACAGTCATGACATTTGCAAATAGAGACAATTTGACTTCCTCTCTTCCTATTTGAATACTCTTTATTTCTTTCTCTTGCCTGATTGCCCTGGCCAGAACTTCCAATACTGTGTTGAATAGAAGTGGTGAGAGAGGACATCCTTGTCTTGGGCTGGTTTTCAAAGAGAATGCCTCCAGGTTTTTCCCATTCAGTATGATGTTGGCTATGGGTTTGTCATAAATAGCTCTTATTATTTTGAGATATGTTCCATCAATACTCTCAATAGTTTATTGAGAGTTTTTAACATGAAGGACTGTTGAAGTTTATCAATGGCCTTCTCTGCATCTATTGAAATAATCATGTGGTTTTTGTCATTGGTTCTGTTAATGTCATGGATTACATTTATTGATTTGTGTAAGTTGAACCAGCTTTGCATCCCAGGGATGAAGCTGACTTGAACTTGGTGGATAAGTTTTTGATTTGCTGCTGGGTTTGGTTTGTCAGTATTTTATAGAGGATTTTTGCACCACTGTTCATCAAGGATATTGGCCTGAAGTTTTCTTTTTTTGTTGTGTCTCTGCAAGATTTTGGTATCAGTATGATGTTGGCCTCACAGAGTTAGGGAGGAGGAACTCCTCCTTCAATTGTTGGAATAGTTTCAGAAAGAATGTTACCAGCTCCTCTTTGCACCTCTGGTAGAATTTGGCTGTGAATCGGTCTGGTCCTGGGCTTTTTTTTTTTAAATTTTTATCTATTGTTAGGCTCTTAATTACTGCCTAAATTTCAGAACTTGTTATTGAACTATTCAGGGATTCTAATCCTTCTTGGTTTAGTCTTGGGAGGGTGTATGTGTCCAGGAATTTGACAATTTCCTCTAGATTTTCTAGTTTATTTGGTAGAGGTGTTTATAGTATTCTCTGATGGTAGTTTGTATTTCTGTGGGCTCAGTTGTGATATCCCCTTTATCATTTTTATTGTGTCTATTTGATTCTTCTCTCTTTTCTTCTTTATTAGTCTAGCTAGCGGTCTATCTATTTTGTTAATTTTTTCACTGATTTTTGAATGGCTTTTTGTTTCTCTAGCTCCTTGAGTTCTGCTCTGATGATAGTTATTTCATGTCTTCTGCTAGCTTTTGAATTTGTTTGCTCTTGCTTCTCTAGTTCTTTTAATTTTGGTGTCAGGGTTTCGATTTGAGATCCTTTCAGCTTTCTGATGTGGGCATTTAGTGCTATAAATTTCCCTTTTAATATTGTTTTGCCAAAAGATTTTTGTATGCTGTCTCTTTGTTCTCATTGGTTTCAAAGAACTTCTTGATTTTTGCTTTAATTTTGTTATTTACCCAGGAATCATTTAGGAGCAGTTTGTTCAATTTCCATGTATTTTTGCGTTTTTGAGTGAGTTTCTTAATCTTGAGCTCTAATTTGATTGCACTGTGGTCTGAGAGACTGTTTGTTATAATTTCAGTTCTTTCGCATTTGCTGAGGAGTGTTTTACTTCCAGTTATGTGGTCGATTTTAGAATAAGTGCCACATGGCACTGAGAAGAATGTATATTCTGTTTATTTGGGTGGAGAGTTCTGTAGATGTCTATCAGGTCCACTTGATCCAGAGCTGAGTTCAAGTCCTGAATATCCTTGTTAATTTTCTGTCTCATTGATCTGTCTAATATTGACAGTGGGATGTTTCTCTCTAAACTGGTTATTCTAGTTAGCAGTTCCCGTAACCTTTTATCAAGATTCTTAGCTTCCTTGCATTGGGTTAGAAGATTCTCCTTCAGCTCACATGAGTTTGTTATTATCCATCTTCTGAAGCCTACTTCTTTCAATTCATCAAACTCATTCTCCGTCCAGTTTTGCGCCCTTCCTGGAGAGGCGTTGCAATCATTTGGAGGAGAAGAGGCATTCTGGCTTTTGGAATTTTCAGCGTTTTTGTGCTGTTTTTTCCTCATCTTCATGGATTTATCTACCTTTTATCTTTGAGGCTGATGACCTTTGGATGGTGTTTTTGTGGGAGGTCTTTTTGTTTGTTTGTTTTTAATGTTGTTGCTTTCTGTTTGTTAGTTCTTTTTGTCGTTTTTGTTGTTCTAAACAGGCCCCTCTTCTGCAGGTCTGCTGCAGTTTGCTGGAGGTCCACTCCAGACCCTGTTCACCTGAATATCACCAGTGGAGGCTGCAGAACAGCAAGGATTGCTAGCTGCTTTTTCCTCTGGAAACTTCTTCCCAGAGGGACAATGGCCTAATGCCATCCAGAGCTCTCCTGTATGAGGTGTCTGATGACCCCTGCTTGGGAGGTCCCTCCCAGCCTGGAGGCACTGGGGTCAGGGGCTCTCTTGAGGAGACATTTTGTCCCTTGGCAGAGCTGGTGCACTGTGCTGGGAGCATCTCCCTTGTCTACATCAGCCACTCTCTTCAGAGCTGGTAGGCAGGAAAGATTAAGTCAGCTGAAGCTGCAACTGCAGCTGTCCTTCCCCCGAGGTGCTCTGTCCCAGGGAGATGAGAGTTTCTGTAAGCCCCTGATTGGGCTTAGGAAATACAGTGTATTTCCTGCAGAGATGCCCTGTTCAGTGAGGAGGAATCTAGAGAAGCAGTCTGGCCACAGTTGCTTTGCCACACTGTGGTGAATTCCGCCCAATCCAAACCTCCCAATCTCCTTAGCACTGTCAGGGGAAAACCACCTACTAAAGCCTCAGTAATGGTGCATGCCTCTTCCCACACCAAGCTCCATCATCTCAGGTTGACTCCAGACTGCTTCTGACAGTGAGAATTTCAAGCCAGTGTTTCTCAGCTTGCTGGGCTTCATGGGAATGGGACCTACTGAGTAACACCGCTTGGCTCCCTGGCTTCAGCCCCCTTTCTAGGGCAATGGATGATTCCCCTGTATTGCTGAAGCTCCAGGCACTGCTGGAGTATGAAAAAACTCCTGCAGCTAGCTCAGTGCCTGCCAAAACAGTCACTCAGTTTTGTGCTTGAAACCCAGGGCCCTGGTGGTGTAGGCTCATGATGAAATCTCCTGATCCACAATTGCAAAAATCCTTGGGAAAAGCATAGTACCCAGAGTGGACAGCACGGTCCCTCAATGCTTCCCATGCCTGGGAGAGGGAGATCCCCCAGCTCTTTGTGCTTCCTGGGTGTAGTGATGCCTCACCCTGCTTCTGCTTGCTCTCCGTGGGTTGCACCTGCTACCTAACCAGTCCCAATGCGATGAACTGGGTACTGCAGTTGGAAATGAAGAAATTACCCACCTTCTGCATTGGTCTTGCTGGGAGCTGCAGACAGGAGCTATTTCTATTCAGCCTTCTTGGCCCCTCTTCCTAAATTCATATACTCTTTTTAAAAACTGGTTTTCTTAGATTAATATTTTCTGTTATATTTTCTACAGTAGTCTATGAGTTCTAAGTATTTTGTTCAGTTTTCTCATAGGTAAAAATGTAAAAATAACATGTCTGTCTGTACTGTTGTGAGAACAACCTGGTGGATAAACACTGTAAGTACTTGGTATTGTTATCTATGACACAGAGATGGTGAGAAAAAAAAAGTTCGGTGTTAATAAAGTAGCATTTTTAAAATTAAAGATAGAGATTAACAGAAGAAAAATATATGTATAATCAAATAATACAGACTATATGCTTTCCCAATCCTCAGGGAAACTAGAATACATTTTAAAAAAAGAAGTCATTTTCATTTAAAAATTAAAATGAGAAAAGTGGATGATAAAGCAAGGCAAAAAGGGTCATTCTTTATTTGTGACTGTTGATTATAAAAATAACCAAGAATCTGAAAAATAAAACTGTAGTTACTTCTTGTCTATGGAAGGGAATATAATGCTAATATAATAAGGAATTTTAAGCAGTTGCTTTCTCTAATCAAATCCAAGATCCCCATAATCATGTCCTTTGCTGTTATAAGTCTCCTAATTTTTTAGTCATCAAGAAGGGCCTGAAGATTACCTAATTTGTTGTGGAAACTCACTTAAAGATAATGGCAAGCTGTTGGTTTAATTAAAACATTTTTTCAGAAAATCTTTTGAACCTAGAGGAAGAATTACTACATAACTTTAACTCTGAAAATAACATTTTAACAAGGCAACTTAAATGCCTGATCTGAGATACACTTATTTTAATTATTAATTTCTATCTTTTCATTGCTGTGTAATGAAATAGATTTTTTTAGTATATTTGTATGAATTTTAACACATGTATAGATTCATGCACCCACCATAGTTAGGCTATGAAACAGGACCATCACCTCGAAAAACAAACTTTGCCATATCTTTATATTCATACCCTTCACTCACCCATAACCCCTGATGACCACTGACCTAGTCTCAATTCCTATAGCTCTAAAATTTTATTTTGTTTTCAAAGATAATATAAATGGAATCATACAGATAGAACCTTCTGAGATCAGCTTCTTTCACTCAGCATAACCCATTTGAGATTCATTCAAATTGTTGTATCTATCAAAAGTCTATCTATTTATTTTTTTTGAGACGGAGTCTCGCTCTGTCGCCCAGGCTGGAGTGCGGTGGCACTATCTCGGCTCACTGCAAGCTCCGCCTCCCGGGTTCACGCCATTCTCCTGCCTCAGCCTCCCGAGTAGCTGGGACTACAGGCGCCCGCCACCGCGCCCGGCTAATTTTTTTGTATTTTCAGTAGAGACGGGGTTTCACCGCGTTAGCCAGGATGGTCTCGATCTCCTGACCTCGTGATCCACCCGCCCCGGCCTCCCAAAGTGCTGGGATTACAGGCGTGAGCCACCGCGCCCAGCCAAAAGTCTATTTATTTTTATTGCTAAATAGTATTTCATTCCAAACCATTGTCTTTAGTATTCTATTTGCTTACTCATTATCCTCTCTGGGGATATTTGGGTTGTGATTCATTTTGGCAGCATGAATATGCTTCAGAATGTCATGTGGTTTTCCTGTGGGCATAAACTTACTTTTGGGCAAATACTGAAGAGTAGCATTTCTTGGTCATATTTAACATATGTAACTGTTTAACTTTATAAAAACTGCCAAAGTGTTTTTCAGGATGTGGAATTTTATATCCCAACCAGCAATGTCTGAGAATGTGAGCTGTTTTACACCCTCCTCAGTGCTTAGAATTGTCAGCATTATTTTTATCCATCCATGTAATTAAGCATGTAATAATATCTCATTAGGGCTTTTTTGCATGTAATAATATCTCATTAGGGTTGTTTCATTTGTTTCTTGTGTTTAATGTTTTATCTTTATAATGACTAATGATGTTGAACGCCTTTTCATGTGCTTATGTACCATACTTATATCCTCTGGTGAAACATTTGTCCATTTGTTTTGCTTATTTTTTAATCGAGTGGTTTGTTTTCTTATTGTTGAGTTGTGAGGGTCTGTTATCTATTCTTGATACATAACACTGTGGGACATGTTATTTGCAAATATTTTCTCCCATCTGCACCTTGCTTTTTTATTTACTCAATATCATCTTTCACAGAAGAAATATTTTCAGTTTATCAATCTCTAAGCCTGATGTACCAGTCTCTAAGAAATAAATCATACTTATGTTGGTATCTTAAGGACTAGTTACTTGAAACCATATCAGGGAACATCAACATACTATAAAACTGGGCCAAAGAGATTCAAGAGCCAGCTCCAGTGTCTGGTCTAAAGTAGGAGTCCCCAACCCCCAGGCCACAGGAACCAGGTGGCACAGCAGAAGGCTGAGTGACAGGCAAGTGAGCAAAACCTCATCTGTATTTACAGCTGCTCCTCATCCCTGGCATTACCAACTGAGCTTCACCTCCTGTCAGATCAGAGGCTGCATTAGATTCTCAGAGGAGCATGAAGCCTATCGTGAACTGTGCATGTGCAGGATCTAGGGTGTGTTTTCCTTATGAGAATCTAATCCCTGATGATCTGTCACTGACTCCTATTACCTCTGTCTAGATGGGACCGTCTAGTTGTAAAAACACAAGGTCAGGGCTCCCACTGATTCTACATTATTATGAGTTGTATAATTATTTGATTACATATTATAATGTAATAATAATAGAAATAAAATGCACAATCAATGTAATACACTTGAATCATCCCAAAACCATCCTCTCCCCACACCTTGGTCCATGGAAAAATATTCTTCCACAAAACGGGTCTCTGGTAACAAAAACAGTGGGAGACCTTTGGCGAAAAGGGTTAATGTTTCCTTTTAGAAATCACAGAGCTACTCTAGATATTTTCCACCCATAGGTAGCAGCCTAAGGGAAGTATGTCTGAGCAGTACAGCCACTCTACAGCTTTTTTTCCTACCCAAAGTGAGGTCAGAAGACCTAACAAAAACCATCCACATGAATCGTTAGTATATCTTTCCAGAAGTAGCTTCCTACATTCTATTTCATTTCTATTTGTTCTATCTCATTGCTTGATTTTTTTTTTTACTGGTTTGTTTGCTTGCTATTTTACAATTTGACCCTGCCTACTATCTCTTAGCTGATTCCTACCCAACTCCAGAATCTGCAGCCAACAGAAGATTTATCACTGAGACCAACCCAACCTAACTCAGAAAATGACCCCCAGACTTTAAACAGTTCCAGAAATATTGAATGGCACTTGGTTGGACTTAATGCTTCTAACTTTTAGCTCTTTCTGTTTTTTAAAATAACATTTTAATTTACATCTGAACGTAGAGATTCTCCATAACCTATATATCTATTGTTTCCTTTGGCTTGTTTTTTTTTGTTGTTGTTGTTATTTGTTTTCTTAACAAAAACATCTTAGAACTCTCATAGGAATTCTTTGGAATAAAGGTGAGTGCAAAATAATGTAGGCATAACGAAATAAATAAATGGTATGAAGTGGTATTTTCATATTATTTATCAATTTAAAACTGCCTTTACACGTGATATTTATTTTAAATATCTTACATAGTTTAAAATACAAATCTGTATTATACTGAAATCTGAACTACACAGATTTTAGTTGAAGCATATGAGTTTTCACTGATAAATTCAGAGATTTAATATTTAGCTCATATTTTGAATATATCTGCAGAAAATAAACTAAACTTAAAAATACCTTTCCTCACTAAAGGGAAGTAATTACATTTAAAGCTTTTTGAAAGCCATATTTATTTTCAGAAATGATTTTAAATATCTTAAGAAAAATGAAGGATTCTACGTGTAAGATTGAAATGTTTCATACTAACAAAGAATCTGTGTTTTAAAAATAAAAATAAAACAAAAAGTTCATATATATTTCTGTTAGACCATGGCTTCATATTAGTTAATGTGGATGAGAAAATTATCATATTGAAAATCTTATGAATACCCATTAATAAGTATCACCTTTTTCTATTCCAGATTTAGTGTATAATTCTTAAAACCCTGAAATGTTACAGATTTAATTTGACCGACAGAAGCAAAAGTAAGTGTGACACTTTCCAGCAAGGGTACGTCCATATTCGAAGAACAAAAGACATGGCTCTAAAAATATACAGTTCCAAGTGTTTTTAGCGACTTCCAATATTATAAATTAGTTTTTTAAAGTTAGAATATTTCGTTACATTTAACTGTTGCAATTATTATTATTAATTTCAAACAAACAACTTCTAATTTTAAACTCATAATTTTAGCAAATATTCTTAAATTATCATCTTTAGAACAGGGCAGCCCTATTTCCCAATGTGATAATACTTAACCTGTGAAACAAGAACCACCTGAATAGAAGAACTTATATTTCAGTCAGGTATTACAAGTGCCAACAGCATCACTGCAGCTGATGATTTCTCTAGTCTCCTATAGTTCCAACCAAATCTCTTGCCTTTCTTTCCTGCCTTTCTAACTCCAAACACATAATTTTATCTTAATTTATGATTCTTTTCTCTCTACTTGCAATTTTGACTTCCTGTGATTAGAGCCAATAATGCATCTCTCAATATCTCAAAAGGACATCTATATACTCCCTTATCAATATAACATAAGCATAAATAAACATTGTAATTAGCAAGCATTAATTTGTTGGAGGAACCCTACAAGCTCTATAATTTGTTGATAATATATACATGTGTTTAATGGGTTTATAATTTTATATTTATAAATGTGAAACCCTGTATGCTTTTAATATAATTATTAATGATCTGAATACATTGTCTATTCAGTAGTGAAAAACCTCTTTTTAAATATCTATCTTCATTCTAGGCTTTAATAGTTACATAGGACACTACTTTTGCTGACATTTAAATTAAAAAACCCACACATTTGGGAGAATTAGGCTTACAAATGCCAACTCGTATAATTATCAGAAAAGCCAATTTAGTAACCAGATTCATTTTAATACCTTTTTTTACATATTTTCATACAAGGAAAATGTCAATTCAAACTACTTGAAAACTGAAAAATGTTATGGCATTTTAACACCTGTATGTAAAAAAAAAAAAAAGAAAAAAAACCATAAATTGGCAAAGTAGGATAAGCCCAAATCATGCTCTTTTGTTATTCATTTGAAAAGAGTATCCGACTGCTTATATAACTGTAAGGATACCTTATAAATTTAATAAGCCATTGAGTTAACATGGGAAAAATAATCTTCTGTCAAGAAACTAAGAATATAAAATAGATTCTGGAAAGGTAAAAACACATCAGTTTGTGCTATTTACAAAACAAGATATAATATTTAAAAAAGTGACTAATTTAAGATAACCTATAGTAAAATATTATAGTCATGAGAACACTTTTTATTTTCTTATACTTGAAACGATATGCATACTATATATAGATTTAAGGAAGTATATATAGTAATTACAGAAAAACAACAAATTAATAACAGTCAAACATGTAACCATCACCCAGAAACAATTATTGTTAATATATTGTCATTGTCATCTTTGTTCCAAATGTTCCTATCTTATTTCTTATTCAACAAATATTCTTTGTGGCCCTCTTGATGTCCTGCATCACGCTAATGCAGACAAGCAAAGATTCCCTGCATTTAAGTTCTTGGTAGTCTTCTGGGGAATTCTGATATTAACAAATATGGAGTGACTATTAAGAAGTTAAAAGAGAAAAACAGGTAGATGGTGGTCTGGGAGCAAATCATAAAAAAATATGCAGGGGCATTGGCAGGCAAGGTTGTCCTCCAGCCATGACAGCTGAGGTAAGGCAGAGTCACTAAGTGGTAAACTATTAAGAGTGATGCCGTGAAATATGGAGAGTGTTCTTGACAGAGGGGCAAGTGTGGTATGAGTGGTGATGGGGTCACCTCCCAGCAACAGAGCTATCCAAAAAGTCTTTTGGGAGTCTATTTGACATGAAGATATACTAAAGAAAATGTATCAAAAAGGAGTTTTGGATTCAATGTTGGGCTTTTCAGACAGTACGATCAACCATTCTAATGAGCAATTGTTGCCCCACACACCTGCAAGACATAACCTAGCTGGGCAGAAATACACCAAAGGTAGGAGGTAGCTTGCAGAAACATCTGTCTGGGAACACTGGCTGGTGGTCAGTGGAGAATGTTGCTTGTTGTGCACCTCTGTCATGGGGTCATGTTTTTTTCGTTTTCTAGCCTAGCATATGAGCATCTCAAGACAAAAGATGGGACAGATAGTAAAGAGCATCTGGCCAAAAAGCCAGATGTTATAGTCTGAGTATTTGTGTCCCTCAAAAATTCATACATTAAAACTTAACTCCCAAAGTGATGGTATTAAGAACTGGGGCCGTTTGTGAGGTGATTAGGTCATGAGGCCTCCACCTTCATGAACTAGCTTAGCCCTTGTAAGAGGGCTTGAGGGAGGCTATTTGCTCTTTCTGTCTGTTCTGCCATGTGAGAACACAGCAACAAGTCACAATCTATGAAGCAGGGGGCTCTCACTAGATGCTGAATCTGCTGGTGTCTTGGTCTTGGACTCTTCAGCCTCCAGAACTGTGAGCAACACATTTCCATTGTTATGAATTACCCAGTCTAAGGTATTTTGTTACAGTAACTCCAGCTCACTAGGACACAAGGCTAATCAGGATGATGCCTTGAGTCCAGAGCACAGAGTACTGAAAGGAAGCCATCTCTCTGTAGCATGACAATGGATGATAATAGCATGCACTTTTAGGAAGCAATTAATGGAGAAGTAAGAAAGTGGCCATGTCAGAAAGAAGGAAGTGAGAGAAGCAATAGGAGCAAGAGTAGGCTCGAGGAGGAAAACAAGAGAGTCCTCAAGACATACAACGTGGAGGAGGGAGAAGCAAGAGAAGCAGGGGTTGCACTTTGGGACCTTAGTGGGGTCTCCTGGGGCCCCATTATCAAAACCCACAGCAATATTTGTTCACTTGATTCTCCCCAAGATGCAGAAAATGTAATTTGAAAAGCTGAAAAAGTTTGGAATTAGATTAGGTTTAGCCGAACAGCCTCACTGTCCTTTGAAACATGCTCAGTTCCTTCTGATTTATGAAATGGATAACAAGCTTCATGATCACCAAGAACATAGTAAATGTAAATAATGTCTAGAGGATCAAAAGCAAGATTTGTTGTTGCACATAACCCTCTTCTGATTGCCCTTGACTCTTTTCATATTCACCTTTTCCAAAGTTCTTCATTCATTCTTGTAGATTCATAATTCAATGTGGGATTATCACGTTTTAAAAAAAGCACTTTAGTTTTTTTTTTTTTTTTGTAAGGCAGTTCTTGCGACAGTTTTTTCAATATTGGCTTGCATAAAATGTCTTTTTTTTGTATTTTTGGGAAACATATCAAGTATAAAATTTTAGTTTGGTGTGTTTTGTCTGTGTTGTTGGTTTGCCTTTTAGCATTTTAATAATATCACACCATTACCTATGACATCTATTTTTTTGTATCAGCCATCATTTTTATTAGTGTATCTTTAACGTGTCTTTCTATTTTGAATGCTTTTAAGATTATTTTATTTATCTCTGCTTTTCAGTAGTTTTGCTATGATTTACTAAGGCATGATTTAACTTGTATTTATCCTACTTGGGGTTTGTGTTCCTTTTACTTTGTTTTTTGTTTTTTTCTTTTTTTCCCCGAGACGGAATCTCACTCTGTCGCCCAGGCTGGAGTGCAGTGGCGCGATCTTGGCTCACTGCAAGCTCTGCCTCCCGGGTTCATACCATTCTCCTGCCTCAGTCTCCCAAGTAGCTGGGACTAGAGGTGCCTGCCACCATGCCCGACTAATACATATATATATATATACACACACATATATATATGTATATATATATATATTGCATTTTTAGTAGAGATGGAGTTTCACCGTGTTAGCCAGGATGGTCTCGATCTCCTGACCTCATGATCTGTCCGCCTCAACCCTCGGCCTCCCAAAGTGCTGGGATTACAGGCGTGAGCCACCGTGCCTGGCCTGTGTTCCTTTTTCAATTTGTGAGTTAAGCTTTTTCATCAATTTGAGGAAATTCTCAGCTATGATTTCATATAGGAAAATTAAGGGAATAGAATGCCTGAGAGGCCAACTCACATATTAAAAAGTTATGTGTAACACACAGGTTTCATTTAAAGCCATCAGAAGGGTATGGCAGGCTGAATTATGGCTACTCAAAGATTTTCATTCTCTCATCCCCAGGACCTGTGAATATGTTATCTTACATGGCCAAAACGACGTTGCAGGTGTGCTGAAAGTCACAAGTCTTGAGATGGGAAAATTGTCCTGCATCATCCTGATGGATTACATCTAATCCCATCGGTCCTTAAAAGAGAAGAATCTTTCCCAGGGAGAAAGATATAATATGAGAAGGACTTGACCCTGTGTGTCTGGCTTTGAAGGTGGAGAAATGTAGTCATAAGCCAATCAACGCAGCTGTCTCTAGAAGCGGAAACTACCTTCAGTACAGAACCAGCAGGAAAACAGAAACCTTGGTCCTATAGCTGCAAAGAACAGAGCTCTACTAACCACAGCAGAGAGCAAAGAACAATTGCCTTAGAGCTTCCAGAAACAATGCAGCAGATCACCAATTTCCTTTTAGTCTGGCCAGTTGTGTATAAACCTTCTGACCTATAGTATAGACCTGTGAGATAATAAATATGTGCTGTTTTATACCACTAAGATTTTTGGCAATTTATTTTCAGAGCAGTATTAACACAGGGAAGAAAAGATGACTTAAATTATTTTGGGGAAATTGGCTACCAATGTAGAAAACAGTAAATAAAATTTTCTTCTGCCTCATAATGCACAAAAAAGTTGATTCTAAGTGGATTAAATGCTAAGTGTCAAAAAAACCACATTAAAACCTTTTGATGAAAATGTTTTTATAGAGAAAAATTTTAAAGGGCTACCTGTATGGTCAATACAATATTGAGATTTGCAATAAAATGTTAAAAAATGAATTGATATTTAATTCATGTAAGATCATAAATTAAAAACTTCTCGGCCGGGCGGGGTGGCTCATGCCTGTAATCTCAGCACTTTGGGAGGCCGAGGCGGGCGGATCACGAGGTCAGGAGATCGAAACCATCCTGGCTAACACGGTGAAACCCCGTCTCTACTAAAAATGCAAAAATAAAATTAGCCGGGTGTGGTGGCGGGAGCCTGCAGTCCCAGCTACTCTGGAGGCTGAGGCAGGAGAATGGCGTGAACCCGGGGGGCGGACCTTGCAGTGAGCCGAGATCACGCCATTGCACTTCAGCCTGGGCGACAGAGCGAGACTCCGTCTCAAAAAAACAAAAAACAAAAAACAAACAAACAAAAACATTATACTCTTGAAAGGAATTTGAGACAACGATAACACAAGTACTGTTGGAAAATGTATAAATTGTTACAATCACCTTGAAGATAAATTGCCAAAATGTAGTAATGTTAAAGATGTGTAAAATGAAAGATCACGCAAAAACACAACTAAGTATATTACCTGAAAAGTTTTTCACGTCAGTAAAAAGGGGCATCTATGATAATAACTATTTCAGTGCTTAGGAAACCAATTATTTTTATTTTGGTGCTTGTTTCTTCTAGCCAGAGTTTCCTCCATTCAGACAGTGGATCCAGGAACACAAAGAAAAACAAAATCTGCCTAGAAAACATAATTGTTTATTACACTGTTTAAAGCTCATTGTTGATTGTCAGTAATCCTTAGAAAACACATAATTTTTACTGTGTCCTTCAAGGTCCTACAATGTCTGGCTTCTGCATACCTCCCCAGCTCTTTCTTATAGCTTTCCTTTCTCTTTTTTTCATAGTCCATCATTCTTAGTGACTTTCAGTTTCTTGAGAGTATCAATCTTTTTTTTAACTTTGTTGCATGAAACTTCTAGTTTTTTCTTCCTGAAATGTTCTTCCCCTAATGATCCCTCTGCTTAATAGCTGATCATTCTTCAAGCCTAAAATGTTACTACTTCTTAGTCTGCTTTCTGTTGCTTGCCCTGCAACTGGACAAGTTGTAAAGAAAAGGGATTTGTTTATTATGACTATGAAGGCGGAGAAGTCCAAGGTTGAGGGGCCCACATCTGATAAGAATCTTCTTGCTGGTGGTGGTGGGCGGCCTCATATCTCAAGGGGGCTGCGTGTACTAATGTGCTGGCTCAGGTCTCTTTTCCTCTTCTTTTAAAACTACCAGTTCCCCCCCCCCCATGATGACCCATTAATCCATAATCTATGAATGGATTAATCTATTCATGAAGGCAAAGTCTTCATGATCCTATCACCTCTTAATATACCTATTTTTCCATACTGCCACATTGAGGATAAAGTTTCAACAACAGTTTTGGAGGGGACATTCACATCATAGCACCTTCATAGCAGCTTTTCTTGATATGCAATTGAAATTATGTCTCTAAATGCAAGTATGTAATTAAAAATCATAATTATTGTCAAGACAATATTTTTATTTAATGGCTAATCAATGTTTTCTAAACAGTCAAATGGAATCCCTATTAGGCTCTGATAGTATTTCCATGTTGTTCACAATTAAATCACAAGATCTAACCAAATGTCTAATATATAGTAAAGTTTAATATCTATTGATTGACTAGCTTCATAAAAATTATCTGTATTTAAAGCTACACAATGGAAAAATATGATTTTAATGGATTTTTACTATGCTCTATTGAAATTCTATGTTATGAATTTTTACTATGCTCTACTGAAAAAAGATATCCTCTGAATTCAGACACAGTCAGGCTTGCTTTTCAATTCTGCTCATATGTCAGTGATTAAGTTATTCATCTTTACACTGTATTCCTTTCATACGTGTAAAGTAGATGTAGCTTACATATATATAATTATACCTATATATCTATGTCATATTATATGGGATTATTCAGCATAAACATAAAACACATCCTTTAGCAATATCTTAGCACACAGTACTTGCTCCAAAATATTACTTCCTATTCTAAACAGTGCATTGTATTATCTGATATTTTTGTCTGATATTTCCTCACTATATCTAAAATGTTTATGATGATTATGAAAAATAAATCTAAATATGAAATAGTATAATTTTAAAATTTCATCCAAGTCAATCTGTTTACATTGCTAAATGTGAAACCACCTTGGAATTTAGTGGCTAAAAACAATAATCCTATTATTTGCTCAGGAGTTTCAGCAATTTGATTGGGCTCAGCTGAACACTTCTTCTGGTTTTTCACTCCTGGGGTAACCCATGCAGGTGCAGTCATCTGTGACTCAACTGTGACTGGGTGGTCAAATATAGCTGCACTAACTCTTCTGGTCATTGCCAATTGCTCCACAGGTATTTTCAGCCTTCTGTACAAGAGAATAATGGTCTTTAAATGTTGATTTCAGAGAAACATTTAATAAGGGTGAGAAAAGAAGTCACAAAGCCTAGAAATTTACAGAATCAGTTTTGCAGCATTCCATTGGACAAAACAAGTCATAGAGCCAGCCCAGTCTCAAGGATTGAGCAAATAAGCCCCAATTTCTTGATAAGAGAATCTGTGAAGTCATACTACAAAATGAAGCAAGAATTATTCTGGTCTTTTGTGCAACTACTCTACCATACCAAGGAACTGTTATGTAAAAATATTTATTAATTTTTGACATACTTCTTGCATTATTTATACATCATGAGTAATTTTAAAATAATGGTTTGACAATAATTTATTTTATGTTTATTAAGTTAATGCTAATCATAATCATTTAATATGACATTTTGTGGGAATTTATATAACCCAAATTATATTTGAGTATAATACATTAATATTAATGTGCATCATTTAGAATTACGTGATCAAATTAAGCTCATTCCCAGAACTTTATATTTATGTTCCTCAATTACAGTAGCCATGTAATATATCATTGTGACTATTACACAGAGTACTATATAAATCTTGCATTATCTGATTGCAGTGATATTACTATTATTCTTGGAAGTCTTCAATCATTCATAAAAGGCTATCTTCAGATGACCTAAGGTAAAAGTTTGCTTCTTTTCTCCTCTTTAAAGCCAATAACCAAACTGAGGGAAAGCAAGAATAAGAGAAAAGAGGAGTGGATACCACAGGAAGAATGCACTCTCAGAAACTCATTAGGGGCTGACATTCATTGAAGACAAATCAATGAAGAAAATTAGAAAAATAGCTCTTACCTCCTCTGGAGTATTTGAAATTAGTTAATAGCAAATACCTTACTAAGGTATTTAAACCATAGGTTCTCAGGCTTAATTATGAAAACCAAATATCTCAAAGATTATTGAAATATAATTTGCTGGGATCTACCTTGAATATTCTGATTCTTTAAACATGGCAAACTACCTAGGTATTTGAAATCATGCTCTCTGGGGAAGACATATGAGATTTGATAAAGATGTATAAAATAAATAATAAACAACTCCCAGTGACACCAATGTTCTACTTATTAGGTTACCGTATTCTAACCCAATAGGTTCTCTGATATTTGAGACCCCAAATTCTAGTTTTTTTTAAAAAAAAAAAAAACAATTTCACATATCTCTAGCTTTATGTAATGTTATAAAACATACATTTATTTTAAAATTTGAAAAAAGAACCATGGACATCTATCTAGTGATATGGAAGTGGGACAGACAAGTGCTGGAGGAGAAAGGTGGGTCCCTGGTGAGGGCTCCATCCCGGGGCCTGTGCCCACAGACCAAGGTGAGACAGGCACTCCTGCCTTTGTGCCAAATGTTGCGTTTCCCAAGACGACCCTGGCCTACCATGCCCCCCTTATAATACAAAGGTCATAATTAAGCCTAACATAATACAACTATCCTTCATACAACCGGGACACACCAAATACATTTCCAACCCAAATACTACTACATGAAGTTAACAATACTTAAATGCTGATGTGAAGGCAATAAATCTTATTTCATATGATAAAGGAGAAAGGAAATAAAATGAAGTTTTTTTAAGTACAAGTGTATACATGCACAAACATATTTTTAACAAAAGAAGGAGGAAATACTTATGACAGTTACAGTTCCCGCAGCTAGTCACATGGTCATAGCTGCTATTGATGACTATCTTCTTCTACTACTCATTCTGTATTCCCTTTGCCTTCAGCAAGCACCTCAGCAGGCTGTGGTGTTTTTCCTGGTGGAGTAACCCAAATCTTCATTCCTGAAGGGTCTGGGTCGTTTGCAGTCCTACCTGGATTGAGCTGTTGTAGTTTCCCATTGACCTTAATCACAGGACATGGTAATATTAACAGATGCCCTAATGGATCTCCTATATTCCATGAATACTCTTCCTTACCTCCACTGTGGAGTAGTAAACTGATTTCATCTTGATACTTAGGGTCAGTCACTCCAAATACCTTCTTAGCCTGTTGATTGAAAGGTAGGAGGAGGAAGTATCCAGGTGGCAATCTTAACGTCCAGTTTAATGGAATCATTGTTGTGTCTCCTGGTGGCAACGTTCCCCACTCTGGAACAAAAACCTCCAGGCCAGCAGAATGTAATGTCATGGGAACAGGAAGCAAAAATTTTACTAGCAGATCACTATGGGTGATGGTGAGTGGTGCCACTTCCACTTCCACACCTCGATTTCTGGACCCATGAATCTTCATTTACGGGAGAAACAGTACCATATATTGGATGCTCATTCAGAGCATACAGGGCCTTCTGGAGAACTTTATCTCAGCCCTGCAAAGTTTTGTCACCTAGTTGGCATTGTAATTGTGACTTCAAAAGGTCATTCCACTGTTCTATCAATCCAGCTGCTTCAGGATAATAGGGAACATAGTAAAACCAGTGAATTTCATGAGCATGAGCCCACTGCTGCACTTCTTTAGCTGTAAAGTGAGTGCCTTGGTCAGAGGCAATGCTGTGTTGAATACCATGATGGTGGATGAGGCATCCCATGAGTCCACGGATGGTAGTCTTGTCAGAAGCATTGCATGCAGGAAAGGCAAACCCATATCCGGAGTAACTGTCTATTCCAGTGAGGACAAACTTCTGCCCTTTCCATGATGGAAGAGGTTCAATATCATCAACCTGCTGCCAGGTAGTTCACTAATCACCTCGAGGAATGCTGCCATATCAAGGGCTCAGTGTTGGTCTCTGCTGCTGGAAAATTGGGCACTCAGCAGAGGCCATAGCCAGGTGAGACTTGGTGAGTGGAAGTCCATGTTGCTGAGTCCATGCGTCACCTCCATCCCTGCCATCATGACCACTTTGTTCATGGGCCCATTGGGTGATGACAGAGGTGCTTGGGAAAAGAGGCTATGTGGTGTCCACAGATGGGTTATCCTATCCACTTGATTATTAAAATTCTCCTCTGCTGAGGTCACCCATTGGTAAGTACTGACATGGGATACAAATATCTTCACAGTTTTGACCACTCATTGAGGTTCAGCCACATGCCTCTTCCCCAAATTTCTTTGTCACCAATTTTCCAATCATCATTCTTCCAAGTCCCTGACCATCTAGCCAAACCATTGGCCACAGCCCATTAATCAGTATATAATCAGACATCTGGCCATTTATTTTTCCATGCAAAGTGCACAGTCAGGTGCACTCCTCGAAGTTCTGCCCACTGAGAAGATTTCCCTTCACTGCTGTCCTTCAGGGATGTGCTAGAGAGGGACTGTAGTGCCGCCGCTGTCCATTTTTGAGTGTTGTCTGAATATCGTGCAGACTCATCTGTGAACCAGGCTCTGGTCTTCTCTTCCTCTGTCAATGTATCATAGGAAACTACCCATGAGGTCATTGGTGCAGGCTGGGGGAGAGAGGCCAGGGTGGAAGGGGTGGAGACCATGGGCATTCGATCCACTTCCTCATGTAACTTACTTGTGCCTTCAGGACCTGCTCGAGTCCAGTCACATATATACCACTTTTATTTGATGATGGAATGCTGCTGTGCAAAACCCACTTTATAGCTAGATGGGTTGGAAAATACCCAGTTTATGATAGATAGTTCGGGTCACATGGTGACTTGATGACCTATAGTCAAACGTTCATTATCCACCAAAGCCCAGTAACTGGCCAAAAGCTGACTTTCAAAAGGAGAGTAGCGATCTGCAGAAGATGGCAGGGTCTTGCTCCTAAATCCTAGAGGCGTCTGCTGTGATTCACTTATGGGGGCCCACCAAAGGCTCCAAACAGCATACCTATATTTCACTGACATCTTAAGCACCATTGGATCTGCTGGATCATGTGGCCCAAGTGGCAGAGAAGTTTGCACAGCAGCCTGGACCTGTTGCAGAGCCTTCTCCTGTTCTGGACCCCACTCAAAACTGGCAGCCTTTCAGGTCACTCAATAAATAGGTCAGAGTAACACAACTAAATAGGCCCACTAGGAATCGTACCTCTTTCATGGTTGTAGGATGGGCCAAATGCAGCAACCTATCCTTCACCTTAGAAGGAATATTTCCACAGGTCCCACACCACTGAACCCCTAGAAATCTTACTGAGATAGAAGGTCCGTAAATTTTAGTTGGATTTATTTTCCATCCTCTGGCACGCAAATGTCTCACCAATAAGTCCAGTGAGTTTGTTACTGCTTGCTCACTGGACCTAATCAGCATAATGTCATCAATGTAACAGACCAGTGTGATATCTCATGGAAGCGAAAATCTATCAAAGTGTTTCCAAACAAGATTATGACACAAAGCCAGATAATTTATCTACCACTGAGGTGGTACAGTAAAAATATATTGCTGTCCTTGACAGCTGAAGGCAAATTGTTTCTGGTGGGCCTTATGGACAGGAATGGAGAAAAAGGCATTTGCCGACTCAGTGGCTGCATACCAGCTACCAAGAGATGTGTTAATTTGCTCAAGCAATGAAACCACATCTGCAGCTACAATTGGAGTCACCACTTGGTTAAGCTTACAAGAATCCACTCTCCTTCTCCAAGGTCCATCTGTCTTCTGCACAGGCCAAATGGGAGAGTTGAACGGGTATGTAGTGGGATTCATGACCTCTGCATCTTTCAAGTCCTTTATGGTGGCACACTAATCTCCACAATCCCTGCAGGGATGCAATATTGTTTTTGATTTATAAATTCCTAGGTAGAGGCAGCTCTAATGGCTTCCATTTGGCCTTTCCCATCATAATAGCCGTCACCATACAAGTCAGGGAGCCAATGTGGGGGTTCTGCCAACTGCTAAGTATGTCTATGTCAATTATGCATTCTGGCACTGGGAAAATGTCTACAGGATGAGTCCAGGGAACCACTGGAACCACTATAAGTGGGACCTAAGCAAAAATTCCATTAATTACCTGACCTCTATAAGCCTCTACTTTAACTGGAGGACCATATTAGGTTTTGGATCCCCTGGAATCAATATCAGATCAGAGCCAGAGTCCAGTAGTATCCAAAATGTCTGATTATTTCCCTTTCCCCAGTGCACAATTACCCTGGTGAAAGGACAGTAGTCTCCTTGGGGAAGAATGAGTGAAAGATTCACTGCATAAATTGTTGGTATTCAGTGGTGTCCTACTTCAAGGGGACCCGACCTCCCCTTCACTCAAGGGGTTCTGGGTCTGTAAACTGGCTCAAGTCTGGAGACTGATTGAGGGGCTATGATTCTCTCTTTTTACAATTTGAATTAGTTTTCTGTCCATTTGACCTAGAAGTTTTCTGCTTGTATAAATTAAGTAGGAATGCAGTAGGCTTCCTATCAATTTCATTTCTAGGAACCCCATGGTTAGTTAGCCAATGCCAGATCTCTACACAAGTAAGAGTATTCTGATTGCTGCTTTGTCTCTGCTGTTTGTCCATTACAGTATCTACGCCCACCTTGCCTTTGACGGTTGAGTGCTGCCATTTGGCCCCTGCCATCCTGGAATCAAATTATTCCCATTGTATTTTACATTTTTTAGTTGAGTGACTGCAGTTCCTACCATTAGATCTGACATACAGAAAAAAGCAATTACAGGGCTCTTCAAAGACGCAGGTACCGCCCTCACAAATCTATTTCACAAGGCATTGGTCAAGGGTATATCTTCTGGACCCTCCCAGCTTGGATGAGTAGTTCTAAAGTGACTAATCGACTCCACCAGCTTAATCTTCCTAAGTCTTTGGATCCCTTTCTCTACATTAAACCAAGGGAGATCAGATATTCTCAGCTCACTCGCAGTGTGCCATCTTTTAATCCATATTTCAGCTAAAAAAGCAAATAAACTATTAGAACCTTTGTTAACTCCCTGAGCTGCAATATTAAATTCCAAGTCCCTACTTAGTGACCCCAAATCAATAAATTCAGCCTGATTCAATTCCGTATTCCTTCTACCATTCTCCCACACCCTTAATGTCCATTCCCATGCCTTTTCTTCAGATTTCTGCTTATATAAATTAAAGAACTCAAGCAGTTCTTTTCGAGCGTAGTGCACCTCCTCATGGATCACACTCTCAACTTCACCTCTAAGGGCCCGCTGTAACTTTAGTCTAGTTAGAGGTCTAGAAGCAAACATGGGTGTTGGAGGTGGCTCCTGAAGAGAATCAATGTTATCTTGCCTGGCAACTGCCTTGGGGGAGGCCATCACTGTTGCCTCAGGCAGGGCAGGATTTATCTCCTCAGACAAAGGTGAAAAGGCGAATGGCAGCATGGGTCAGGCAGGTGATGTGGCCACTACTGGAGATGGGGCAGCTGTTTCTTTTGGCAAAAAAGGTCTATCAGAGTTTACAAGCTCAGTGTCCTCAACTTTACTAGGGTCTCGCCACATGTCTGCATTCCATTCCAAGTTGCAGGGTTTCATTCTTTTCCAGTAATACTCTCACTTCAACAGTAGCCACCTGGCGAGGCTGTGCAGGCACCTTTCATTGCAGGTCAGCCACTCTCATGACAAGAACTTGTGTCTGTTTTTCTACAATTCCAGCTCTTTCTCTACAGGAGATATGACTCTCACTCAGGGCAGTCTTAGCAGATTTGAGGCTCAGTATCTGCTTCTGAAGGTGGGAGATAGAATCCCTGAGTTCGTCATTTTCTTTCATCACTTTGTCCACTGAATTTAGGAGCAACTAACCAGCTTCATTATGTGTGTTGGTTCTCCAACTATCTTCAAAGTTATTATGTATAGTCACTAAACTCCGTGCCCCTCATGAACAGTGAACCAGGAGTGTCAAATGCATTTGTTTTGCAAAACTCTCTAAACAGTTTCTGCCAAGGACTATCAGTGCTCTTCATAATATTAGAAGTAGAGTCCTTAGCATTTTGGGGTCTAATCATATTAAGCAACCAACTGTAGAAACCCCAAAACCAATGAAAGAATTCCATTCTTACTCTTCTGTTGCTCTAGAATCACTCCTGGTACCAAAATTCGTATTAGTCACGGTTCTCTAGAGGGATAGAACTAATAGAATATAATATATATAATATGTATATTCTATATAGAGGGAGATTTTATATATATTATATATAACAGATTATATATTATATAATTATATATAAATATATTATAATTATATATTAATATACTATATTATAATTATGTATTAATATAATATATTGTAATTGTATATTTAATATATAATATGTAATATAAAAATATATTATATTATATATTACATCATATATAATATATAACATATAATTTTGTGTGTGTGTGTGTGTGTGTGTATATATATATATATATATATATATATATATATATATTTAGAGAGAGAGAGGAGTTTATTAAGTATTAACTCACACAATCACAAGGTCCCACAATAAGCTGTCTGCAGGCTGAGGTGCATGGAGAACAAGTTGAGTTCCAAAGCTGAAGAAATTGGAGTTTGATGTTTGAGGGCAGGAAGCATCCAGCATGGGAGAAAGATGTTTGCTGGGAGGCTAGGCCTGTCTCTCTTTCCACATTTTTCTGCCTGTTTATATTCTAGCCATGCTTGCACCTGATTAGATTGTGCCCACCTGGATTAAGGGTAGGTCTGCCTTTCCCAGCCCACTGACTCAAAGGTAAATTTCTTTTGGCAACACCCTCACAGACACATGCAGGATCAATACTTTGTATCATTCAATCCAATCAAGTTGACACTCAATGTTAACCATTACAACTATATTATGCACCACAGGAAAAATAAAAAAAGTATTGTACTTAAAAAAACTAAACAAAATACTAAAAAGTGAGATAATCATTGTTCATATGGTTATATATTTGTCCATAAATTTTCAGTATATTGATTTGCAAATAATTTGATTTTATTATACTTTTACTAACGTATCACTAAACATTATACCAAAAACATATATCTATGCTAGAAAAAGTTTGTCCCTACCTTAAATTAAACAGACTGCTATTTAATTTAGAAAAATTAAAAATCTAAAAACATATTCGATTTAAAAATAATTCCTATATTGCATATTGGTTGTGAAATATCATAAATTCTGACATGTAAAACAGTTGTGTTTAAGCATTGGTCAACCCTTGTTTTTTGTTTTTTTTTTTCTGGGACAAGCTCTTACCCTGCCGCCCAGGCTGGAGTGCCGTGGTGTGATCTCCGAGGTTCCAGTGAACCCTATTTCTTTCTTTTTTTTTTTTTTTTGAGACGGAGTCTCGCTGTGTCGCCCAGGCTGGAGTGCAGTGGCCGATCTCGGCTCACTGCAAGCTCCGCCTCTCAGGTTTAAGCCATTCTCCTGCCTCAGCCTCCCGAGTAGCTGGGACTAGAGGTGTCCGCCACCACGCCTGGCTAATTTTTTGTATTTTTAGTAGAGACTGGGTTTCACTGTGTTAGGCAGGATAGTCTCGATCTCCTGACCTCGTGATACGCCCGTCTCAGCCTCCCTAAATGCTAGGATTACAGGTGTGAGCCACCACGCCCGGCCCAGTGAACCCTATTTCTTAAAAACAGTTCTCAGCCGGGTGAGGTGGCTCACGCCTGTAATCCCAGCACTTTGGGAGGCCAAGCCGGGGTGGATCACTTGAGGTCAGGAGTTCTAGACCAGTCTGGCCAACATGGCGAAACCCCATCTCTACTAAAAGTACAAAAAAAAATTGTAGCCAGGCGTGGTGGTAGGCTCCTATAATCCCAGCTACTCGGGAGGCTGAAGCAGGAGAATCACTTGAACCCGGGAGGCAGAGGTTGCAGTAAGCCGAGATCATGCCACCTCACTCCAGCCTGGGTGACAGAGGGAGACACTGTCTCAGAAAAAAAAAAAAAGTTATAAAATGAGATCATTTTTCAACTACATTGACCTTAATAAGTGTAAATTGTTGACTGGATTAAAACAACACATAAGATATACTTATCACATCAAGAATTTCATAGTACCAAATTATACCATATGTCTACCATAGTTTAACAAAAAAATTATACCATATGTCTACCATAGTTTAACAAAATCCATATGTTTGTGGTTATTTGGGTTTTTTCAGTTATTCTTATTTTGCACAATTCATATTTACCATAAATTTGAAGATTTATGAGTTCAGTTTTACAAATTACAAGTTATTCTCATGTTAATCAAATTATTTCATTAGAGAGCAACTCTAGAAGTAGAAATGTTTGTCAAAATATATATATATATCACATATTGATACATATTAATAAAATACTTTTCAGAAATTTTTTATAAAAACTTCTACCAAAAACATATAAGAACATGTATTTCTTTCTATCCTTATCAAAGCTTCTTACTACTAATATATATATATATTCCTACTGCTTCTATATTATAATGTTATAATATATAAGTACTACTATGTTAATATTATATATATAAAATAATAAGTAGTACAAATATATATATATATTATCCCAGTTAATTTAATGTTTTAACAAAAAGGTCACATTCTATTATAATTACATTTACTTATTAAAGTAAAAAAAATAACTACCATAACTCCACAGTCTAGAAGTCATATGCATTTATATTATGCATATATATGCATATATAATATATATTATAATATATAATATAAGTAGTACTACTTATATATATTTTCACATAATTACAGGTTAAATTATTTTTTTATGATTAATCATGAAGAAACATCTTTTACATGTATATTTGATTTGTTTTTTGTGAATAATCTGTTCATGCTCTGATCATACACACTGTGAAAGGAAAATAAATCTTGGAGCCCCAAAATCACTAAGCTAAAGGGGAAAGTCAAGCTGGGTACTGCTTAAGGCAAAATTGCTTCCCATTCTATTCAAACTCACTCCTCTTCTCACTGAGAAGACAGAGGCTTTCATGACTGACCGGTGCCCTTTCCTGATGTGACTGAGCTAGTATTTGTGATACAAGTCAAAGGTTTTCCCTCTATTTCCTCTCTTCTTCTCAAGCAGAAGGAAGGGGTCCTTTTTGGAGTCATGAGCTGTGGAACGTGGAGTTAGGGGAGGTGTGGCACCAGCACTCCCTTAGCTACCCCACCTGGTGTCTCAGTAGGCTGCAAGTCCCCGAAGTCCCCAGGCTCTGAGCCCTGTTCAGCACTCCTGCAACCTTGGAGTTGCAGTCCTTGTGGCCTAGACTGCATTTCGAACTTATTGAGATCCCCAGAGCACTTTAGCCTGTGGTAGCGAAGCATGCAGGAACCTAGGTTCCAACTGCTGGGATGAGTGAGTCTTCTCTGTTTAGTACTGGGCTAAATGCTCCCTCTGTCTGCTGGCATTGGCTGAGTTTTTCCGGCTTTGCTTTCTTCTATAACAGAGCAGGACTGAGTTCAATGCACTGTCTCACAATTGCTGTGCTCTTCCTCTCCCAAGTAGCTCAGATTCTCTCTCTGCACCAAGCTGCCACTGCGGGGGGATAGAGGGGTGGTAGCAATTCAAGACTTTTTTCTACCTCCTCAGTGTCTCTTTCAGTGACATGAAGTTAAAACCAGGTACTGTGAATGCTCACGTAATTTTTGGTTCTTATGAAAGTGCTTTTATGTGTAGATAGTTGTTAAATTGGTGTCTTTGTGAGGGGATGATCAGTGGAGGCTTCTATTTTGCCATCTTGCTCCACCTCCTCTTGATAAGTTTTCTACCATGTGCAGGTGACTCTTGGACAACATAGGTTAGAGCTGCGTGGGTCCACTTACATACATATTTTCTTTCACTCTGCCACTCCAGATATAGCAAGACAAACCCCTTTTCTTTCTTCTTCTCCTAAGATTCCTCAACATGAAAACAACAGGGTAAAGACCTTTAAAATGATCCATTTCCACTCAATGAATATTAAATATATTTCATCTTATGAGTTTTTAAATAACATTTTCTTTTCTATAGCTTGTTTTATTGCATGAATACAGTATACAATATACAGAATTGGTTAATCAACTATTTATGTTATTGCTAAAGCTTTCAGTCAACAGCAGGCTATTAGTAGTTAAGTTTTTTGAGAGGCAACGGTTATATGTGAATTTTAAACAGTGCAAGGGTCATCCCTAGACCTCATGTTGTCTAACGGTCAACTGTATATTAATTCTTAACTCTTTAAATGAAAAACTGAGTGCAAAACTTAAAAGCTGATTGGGAGCAGTGGAGAAGCAGGAGTTGAATGTGGAGGAATTTTTTTGGTTTTTTTTTGTTTTTGTTTTTTTTTGAGACGGAGTCTCACTCTGTCGCCCAGGCTGGAGTGCAGTGGCGCGATCTTGGCTCACTGCAAGCTCCGCCTCCCGGGTTCACGCCATTCTCCTGCCTCAGCCTCCGAAGTAGCTGGAATCGAATTGGTCTCTTTGTTTTGAGAAAACACGTGTAGAATCTAAATATTCCATTTTACTCTTTTGGCCAAGCATTCCTCTAGAGAGCATGCTTTACTCTATTATTTGAGCAGGGAATATAGGGCTCTTGGCCACAGAGGTGGTGAAACAAGCTTTCTGGTAGCATTCCGGGAGCTAGAAGATTTAGATTTCTGAGAAGCCCCACTGTTCACAGTTCAAGCATCTTTTCTCATCCCCTGGAGTGCAATGTGCCTCAGGCCCAGATATTGTATGTTTCAATTTTTTTTTAGGGAATAAAGCCTCCATCTCCGGCCTAGGTAAAAAAGAGGAATTGCAATTCTGAATACTTTATATACAGACTTCGAATAAATTCATTAATATTCATCCCATTTCTCACCTATGCATTTTGAGGTACCCACCTCATACAATTTGGGAATATTTATTGGGTCCTACAGTGTGAAACAGCTTACATCACTTTTTTGTAGTAGATATTAAAGTACCTGATTGTTTCACGACTCCATCATTTCAAATTTTCAAAAATTAACTGACATCATGAGTGTAGTTTTCTCCTTTTCTATTCTTTGTATCATTAAGACTACATTTTGGTATTTGTTTTTTTAATAGTCAAAACACAGGGCAGTGTACAAACAATGTGCTCAATCCATTTCATTTGTTAAGACTATCATCCAAACAGTTTAGTTGAGCATTTGGGTTTCTTTGTTTTTTCATTCTTTCCTTTCTTTTTTTCCTTTTCTGAATAGACAGGCTCATACAGACAGTTCTCACTGATAAATAGTTAATATATATTTTATGTTGTGACATCCCATATTCCTGGGTTTACCTGGAAATTTATTGTTATTATTACTGAAACTATTACTGACCTTTGTTTATGAAAATCAATTCTGGGTTTTCTAAAGCTGTATAGAATTTAAATTCTATTTATATGTAAATTAGATATAATTGCATTTGTATAAAATTTTTAAAAATATAAATAAAAGTATCAAATTAATAATTTTTTCACAAAATATAAATATTTATACAAATAATTCATTCACAAAACATAAACCATAAACATTTTTGCATAGATCACAGTAAAAAGAAGTTGATTTCAAACTTAATAATAACAGACAGGCTGGGCACGGTGGCTCACGCCTGTAATCCCAGCACTTTGGGAGGCCGACGCGGGCAGATCACTTGAGGTCGGGAGTTCGCGACCAGCCTGTCCAACGTGGAGAGGACCGCCCCCCCCCACCCCGCCCCCACAAAAAATACAAAAAAAAATAATTAAAAAATAATAATAATAATAACAACAGACAAACAGAGAGCCAAATCATGAGTGAACTCCCATTCACAATTGCTTCAAAGAGAATAAAATACCCAGGAATCCAACTTAAAAGGGATATGAAGGACCTCTTCCAGGAGAACTACAAACCACTACTCGATGAAATAAAAGAGGACACAAACAAATGGAAGAACATTCCATGCTCATGGATAGGAAGAATCAATATTGTGAAAATGGCCATACTGCGCAAGGCAATTTATAGTTTCAATGCCATCCCCATCAAGCTACCAATGACTTTCTTCACAGAATTGGAAAAAACTACTTTAAAGTTCATATGGAACCAAAAAAGAGCCCGCATTACGAAGACAATCTTAAGCAAAAAGAACAAAGCTGGAGGCATCACACTACCTGACTTCAAACTATACTACAAGGCTACAGTAACCAAAACAGCATGGTACTGGTACCAAAACAGAGATATAGACCAATGGAACAGAACAGAACCCTCAGAAATAATACCACATATCTACAACCATCTGATCTTTGACAAACCTGACAAAAAGAAGAAATGGGGGAATGATTCCCTATTTAATAAATGGTGCTGGGAAAACTGGCTAGCCATATGTAGAAAGCTGAAACTGGATCCCTTCCTTACAACTTATACAAAAATTAATTCAAGATGGATTAAAGACTTAAATGTTAGACCTAAAACCATAAAAACCCTAGAAGAAAACCTAGGCAATACCATTCAGGACATAGGCATGGGCAAGGACTTCATGTCTAAAACACCAAAAGCAATGGCAACAAAAGCCAAAATTGACAAATGGGATCTAACTAAACTAAAGAGCTTCTGCACAGCAAAAGAAACTACCATCAGAGTGAACAGGCAACCTATAGAATGGGAGAAAATGTTTGCAATCTACTCATCTGACAAAGGGCTAATATCCAGAATCTACAAAGAACTCAAACAAACTTACAAGAAGAAAACAAAGAACCCCATCAAAAAGTGGGCTAATGATATGAACAGACACTTCTCAAAAGAAGACATTTATGCAGCCAACAGACACATGAAAAAGTACTCATCATCACTGGCCATCAGAGAAATGCAAATCAAAACCACAATGAGATACTATCGCACACCAGTTAGAATGGCGATCATTAAAAAGTCAGGAAACAACAGGTGCTGGAGAGGATGTGGAGAAATAGGAACGCTTTTACACTGTTGTTGGGACTGTAAACTAGTTCAACCATTGTGGAAGTCAGTGTGGTGATTCCTCAAGGATCTAGAACTAGAAATACCATTTGACCCAGCCATCCCATTACTGGGTATATACCCAAAGGATTATAAATCATGCTGCTATAAAGACACATGCACACATATGTTTATTTTGGCACTATTCACAATAGCAAAGACTTGGAACTAACCGAAATGTCCATCAATGATAGACTGGATTAAGAAAATGTGGCACATATACACCATGGAATACTATGCAGCCATAAAAAAGGATGACTTCATGTCCCTTTAGGGACATGGATGAAGCTGGAAACTATCATTCTCAGCAAACTTTTGCAAGGACAAAAACCAAACACCACATGTTCTCACTCATAGGTGGGAATTGAACAATGGGAACACTTGGACACAGGAAGGGGAACATCACACACTGGGGCCTGTGGTAGGGTGGAGGGACAGGGGAGGGATAGCATTAGGAGATATACCTAATGTAAATGGTGAGTTAATGGGTCCAGCACACCAACATGGCACATGTATACATATGTAACAAACCTGCACCTTGTGCACATGTACTCTAGAACTTAAAGTATCATAATAAAAAAAGTTCTATTTAATATTTTATGAGACCTGTCTTTTTTCTCTAATGATTCTCATTATTATATGTTTATAAAGTTTTTGAATACCCCTTCTGTCCCTATATTTTGATGGTCAATTCTTTAAATTGAAAAAAGTGATTAGGGTGTCCCTTATAATCTTTGTCAAATATAAGTAAAGATAGGGAGCAATTAAATTAAGTTTTCTAAATGAGTGGAAGAAAAAACCCTAACCTGTGAGTAAGTAATCTATGTTACTTTATCTATATAGTAATATTTATAATTTCTAAAATAAATATAAATATAAAATTTTCTTAAGATATCATAAACTTATTTGCTGCCTGTGTTTCAAGTAATTACTTTGACAGAATTTCTAACATTTCAAATTTTGTATATATGGATTAGTTTGAATTTTTAAAAATTACACAGTGACCACTTTTTGCAGTGACCTACTATGAATTAACATACACTGAACGTGTTAGAAAAATACAGACTGTTAAAAAGCTAATGCACTGTTATCTTTTTAAAGTAAAACTAAATCCACTGTCTCTTTAAATTATATTTGGAAATATTCTCATTTTGACAGTAACTGATAATTTTACTTTTTTTAATGTCAGTATATCATTAAAGCAGCTATTAAGCCACTAATAGGCACTTAACATTGTGGTCGCTTATCATAAATAGCATTAACAGTTCTACAACTTTTTCTTGCAGGTCACTTAATACATCACACAAAATTAAATTAAGTGTAATCACATTAAATAAAATTAAAATGACAATAACTAAGTCCAACAGGTTCTGCATATGGGCAGTATTAACAAAGCTTACAAATGACTTATGAAGTCAGTTTTTAAGAGTTTAAATTCTACACACATAATTATCATAATGTTTCTCAATTTTGTCTTGCTCTGAACTGTTTAAAAATACAATTTGAATATGCTTGAGATATAATTTTTTGGTGAAACACATATCTAAAATTTAAAAGATTGAAATTTAATGACCACTACAAGCAAAACAGAAGAACAGAAATTTAGCTCTCTATCTTGTCTATCACCTATCAAGAGCTAGAACAGTAGGAAATTATTTCTACCCTGGCATGAAGCTGCAGAAAATTTACTGTCGAGAGATGATTTTCCTTTTAACGCTGCAAGTCTACATTATGCATTATAGTGATAGTTACTGATGATCTGTTTCCTCACTTAAAACACATACACATAAAATCTAGCTCTTTATATTGTCTCTAAAATTATTCTAATAGAAATGTTTCTTATTGCATACGGTGAACTAATATAACCTTCTAGAAATTATAAATAATCAATATTTAAATTTATATTGCATTTTCCTGTAAGTGTTCAAGACTCTTGGACACATATTAAACAAACATGCTAAAACAGATTTTCCTGCTTTGTATCTAATTTTTCAAAATATAAGGTAAGTTATAGTTGGATTTTTAACCTCAAATATTGCATAAATAAAAATATTAATTGGAATTGGTTATAAATCATCAATGAATATTAGTATTTAACTCAATTTTAACACATAGTATCTACTTAAAAATATTTTCTGAGTAAATAATTTTCTAAGTAGTACATCCCACTGTTAATTAATATTGAAAAAGACTCAGAAATTCAAGATCTATTTAGAAATCTATTAATATGTAGTCTTAAAAATAGCCATCCTTGACTTAGCTTTATCATTGGAAAACATAGGTAATTCCAAAGGAATAGTGTGAAAAACTATAATATTTCCTGAAAAGAAATAAAACAGTGCTTATCTTTAGTAGAATGTGGTTTATAAAAACTTATAACATAGAGGTTGAGATAATGTGCTTTGAATTCAGGACAATTAACCTGGATTTTAATCATGGCCCTTGCCATTAGGTAAAACCCTGGGCAAGATTCTCAACCTCCCTAAAACTTGTTTATTTGTAGAAATGGGAAAATAAGGTTTATATGGAAAGATAATGTGGTATTTAGAAAAGAGTTTACAGGATATAACTCATAATAGGTAGGTACACCATAAAATAAGCGCTTTTATTATGTTTAGTACCTGTACTTAACAGGCATCATTAAGAGAAAGACATTGATGTTATCCTTGATGTGAAAAATTGCCTATTTCCCATGTGAAAACATGTAAAACAGATAGTAATTAATTTACGTTTTACCTCAAATAAATAATTGCATCGGATTATTTTATTTTTTAAATAAATTACATTGTGTTTATTTGAGGTTTATGACATGATGTTATAGAATCCGTATAGATAGTAAAAGAATACTATTGTGAATATTAACATACCTATCATCTCTCATAGTTTTTTGTGACTAGAGCAGATAAACTCTACTTATTTAACAGAAACCCTAATACAATTTTATTAATTTTGGTCCTTATGTGGTACATTAGCTCTCTAGAATTGTTCATCCTACACATCTGCTGTTTTGCATCCTTTGACACACATCTTCCTATCTCTTCTGCACCCCTAACCTTGGTAACTACTGTTTCATTCTCAATGAGATCATGCAATATTTTTTTCCGTGTCTGGCTAATTTCACTTGCCATAATGTCCTCCAAGTACATCTATTTAAAACTGAATAATATTCCACTGTGTATATGGACACATTTTCTGTATCCATTTGACCATCATGGGCAATTAGGTTGTTTCTTTATTATAAATAATGCTGCAATGAACATGGCAGTGCATATATTTTTTATGAGATAGTAATTTCACCCAAAAGTTTTTCCATTCAGGTTCAGAACAAGGCATGGATGAGCAATCTCCTCACTTCTATTTATCATAGTACTAGAAGTACTAGCATGAGCAGTCAGAAAAGAAAAGAAAAGACATCAAGTAGAAAAGAAAAAAGCAAAATTACAGTTATGTTTTACTTAATGACGGGGATGTATTCTGAGATATATGTCATTAGGGGATTTCATCACGTGTGAATATCATAGAGTGTAATGTATGGCCCACTACACACCTAAGCTATATGGTATAGCCTATTTCTCCCAGGCTACAAACCTGTAAGCGTGTTACTGTATTACATACTGCAGGCAATTGTAAAACAAAGGTAAGTATTTGTGTTTCTAAACATAGCTAAATATTGAAAAGGTACAGTGAAAATATGGAATAAAAGATTTAAAATAGTACACCTGTATAGAGCACTCACTATGAAAGCAGCTTACAGTACTGGAAGTTGAGTGCTGAGTGAATATGAAGGTCTAGAACAATACTCTACACCACAGTGTTGTGTCATAAACACTGTACACTTAGTATACATGAAATATATTTTTAAAATATATTTACTAATAAATTTACCTTAGCTTACTATACCTTTTTTAAATTTCTAAACTTTTGAATTCTTTAACTTTTTAAATCGTTTATAATAACACTGAGATTAAAACACAAAGACACTGTACAGCTACACATAAATATTTTCTTTATATCCTTATTCTACTATTTTTAATTACTTTATTTCGTTTTTACCTTTTAAATCTTTTTGTTAAAAACAAAGAAACATACACACACATTAGCCTAGGCCCACACAGGGCCAGAATGAACAATGTCTCTCTCTTCCATCTCTATATCTTGTCCCACTAGAAAGACTTCAGGGATAATAACACACATGGCTTTGTCATCTTCTGCAATAATGCCTTCTTCTGGAATACCTCCTGAAGAACCTGCCTGAGGCTATTATACTGCTAACTTATTTTTTTAACTAAATCAAAGGAATACAGTTTAAAATAACAATAAAAAGTATAGTATGGTAAATACATAAACAGTAACATAGTCATTTATGATTATTGCCAAGTATTATATACTGTGCATTATGGAATTACAGTATTTTTGTACGACTTGCAGCACAGTAGATTTGCTCCCATCAGCAAGACCACAAACAAATGAGTAATAATGCCTTGTGCTTATAATGTCATGATGGCTACAATGTCACTAGGCAACAAGGGTTTTTCTTTAGCTCTATGTTATTCTTAAGGGACTACAATCATATATGGTCATGAAGAAAGTGCTAAGCAACACAATACTGTGTTTTTATTAGTAAATGGCATATCTATATGTAGAGCACCCTAAAGGCCTCACAAAATCTTTTAGAACTAATAAATAAATTCAGTAAAGTTACAGGATACAAAATCAACACACAAAAATCAGTAGCATTTCTATACAAGTAATGACCCAGATGAGAAGGAAATCAAGAAAATAAGCTCACTTATGATAGTGTAAAAAAATAACTAGTAATAAATTTTACTGAGGAGGTGAAAGATTTGTACACTGAAAATGAGAAAACATCAATGAAATAAATTAAGACACAATTAATTATTTCTTCATTAAAACATTTTCTTGCACGCACACCTATTTTCTATGCATGATAGTAGGCTCTGATAGCATAATATTATCAAAGAAAATCTTTATGTGTATGCAGTATACATGTATTCTCCCTTTAGAAAAAAAATGCTTGTTCTTTATGTCACTTATATTCTCTAGAGTTCCCTTATTTAAATGTTAAAGTTTTAGAGAATGGCAAATTTTTTTTATCTGGTTACAGAGTACAATACAATACTATTATACTATTTACACATATATGTGTGTATATATGTATATAAAACCTTGATCTTTACAGAATAAGACATTATTAATAAACTCATTTCTAATTTTCATGATGTTCACTTCTCTAAAATCTAAATATTCTCTTTAATTCATTAGTCCCAGAAATTGCAAGTTAACGTATATAGTTTAGTGCAAATCAAGTTTAACTGAACTTTTGTTTGGAAGCATCATTTCTTATTGTGTACTGTTATATGTAATTACTATAATACTTTTAGGTTTAGACTGTATATACAAAATTAAATTATACCAGACAATTTTTGAGGTTGTGTCAATTGTTTTTTAAAATTATTATGCTATTATTTGTAGATGGATTTCAGCATGTCTTTAACAGTGGTTTCCACCTTTTTTTTTTTTGAGACCGAGTTTCACTTTTGTTGCCCAAGCTGGACTGCAATGGGGCGATCTAGGCTCTCTGCAACCTCTGCCTCTTGGGTTCAAGCAATTCTCTTGCCTCAGCCTCCGGAGTAGCTGGGATTACAGGTGTGTGCCACCACGCCCAGCTGAATTTTTGTATTTTTAGTAGAAACTAAGTTTCACCATGTTAGCCAGGCTTGTCTTGAACTCCTGACCACAGGTGATCTGCCCGCCTCGGCCTCCCAAAGTGCTGGGATCACAAGTGTGAGCCACTGCGCCTGGCCCACCCTTTATTTTTACATGACTTTTAAAAATATTTTTATGAAGAAATCTGATCTTTTATCTATCTTAAAACAAATACCAGTATTTTTCCCTGAATTTTTAGGAAACTATTTTAGTTGCTTACAAGCTAGCTTTTATTATTTCTAAATTTTTATTTATATTTTGAAATCACAAAATGTGTCTACTTATTCTTCAAAGCTCAAATCTTGTTACAACTTTTGTAATGATGCTGCTTTTTTATTACTCGATTTATCCCAACTGTATATATTTATATGTAGATATATATGTACGCACACATATATAGTTTCAAATATGTAATAAAAATATCTAGTAAAATATGTATATGCATTCTATTTTGTTTAACATTAGACATATCACAAATAGCCCTAGTTTGAAGCCATTAGGAATGGTGGTGCTATTAACATTTTTGTATGTTCTTGATGCATATGTTTTTTACTTATATAGTTATTCAAATCACTAGATGTAAATATAGGAGTAAGTTCAGCTTCAACATCTGATGCCAAACACAAACAGAGAACTAGAAAACAGCAAGAGAAAAGTGATTCATCTTGTATAAGAACTCCTCAATAAAATTAACAGCTGACTTCTCACCAGAAACTATACAGATAAGAGGGTAGTGGGATAACATATTCAATGTACTAGAATAAAAATACTCTTCCAAGACTTTTATATCTGGCAAAATTATTCTTTAAAATTAAAGCAGAAATTAAGATAGTGCTAGATAAACAAAGCTAGTAGAATTGGTACCAAGCCATATTTCCCTAAAATAAATATTAAAGGTTATGCTTCATGCTAAAATAAAAAGACACAAGATAGTAACTTGAAACCAGAGAAAAAGATAAAGGATACTGGGGAAAGTAACTATGTAGTTAACGTTAAAAGACAGTTTAGATTTTTTATTTGTAATATTTTTCTCCTGATATGTAGCTTAATAGACAACTGCATATAGCAATAATTATAAAGCTGTTGATGGGTTTATAATACATAAAGATGTAATCTATATGGTAATAATAGCTAAAAAGATGGGGGATAAAGATATACTGGAGCAAAGTTTTTGTATAATTTAAAATTGAGTTAATTCAAACCAATTTGTATCAATTAATAAATTAATTATAATTCCCAAGGCAACAACTATAAAAATAAATTTTAAAATTAAAATAAAGAGGAAGAGTACTAAAATAATATACTAGAAAATATCTATTTAACAAAAAATGTGGTAATGATGGAATGCAGCAATAAAAATATATTGGACATATAGAAAATAAATATCAATAGGGCAGCTGAAAAGTCCTGTCTCAGTAAATGCATTAATATAAATGGAATAAATATTCCAATGAAAAGAAAGAGATTGGCGGAATGGTTTAAAAATGATGCACTATATGCTGACTATTAGAGACTCACTTTAGATTCAAAAGATAAATAGGATGAAAACATCATACAAACAGTAACAAAATGCTATGCTAATCTTGAACAAAGTAGACTTCCAGATAAAAATTGTTTCTTGGAGATAGAATGACATTTTCTAATGACAAAGACAGAATCCATCTTGAAGACATACAAATTACAATGAAACACATACCTAATTAGAGGCTCAATTGTTTGAAGAACAGCTGACAGAATTCAAGAGTGTAAAAATCATCAACAATAACTAACAGACCTTAATATCCCACTTTGTGAAACGTATAGAACAAAATGGAAGATCATTACAAAAAAAAAAAAACAAAAACTGAAAAAACATAGGAAAATAATCGACACTAACAGATATGTATGCAATAATCTTCCCAACAACTACAGAATATACAATATTCTCAGGAGCTCATAAAATATTATCCAGGATAGACCTTACCTTAGTTCATGAAATAAACTTCAATAAAATTTGAGTTGAAATTATATAAAATATGCCCTTAGACCAAAAGAGAATATTAGATATCAGTAACAGAAGAAAAATTTGAGTTGCATAATTATGTGAATATCTGACAACAAACTTCTAAATAACCAATGGGTCAAAGAAGAAATTATGAGAAATAGAACATAATTTGAGAAGATGGAAACAAACGTGTAACAAACCAAAATCAGTAACCAAAATCAATGGGACAAAACTAATCAATGGTAAATTAGAAACTTATAGCTACAAACACCTATATTAAATAAGGTAAAAAACAATAAAACCAAAAAAAGCAGAAGGAAGGAAATTAAAGTTTAGAGAGAAAACATCCTTTTATTGTAGATGGGCATTCAGGTTGATTTCATATCTTAGCTATTGTGAATAGAATTGTAATAAACATAACAGTGCAGATGTCTTTTTGACATACTGATTTTAATTATTTTGGATAATGATATGCTTAGGCTTTGTGTTCCCAACCAAATCTCATCTTGAATTGTAGTTCCCATTATCCTCACATGTTGTGGGAAGGACCTGATGGGAGGTAATTGAATCATGGAGGCAGTTTCTGCCATGTTGTTCTGGTGATAGTGAGTGAGTTCTCATGAGATCTGATGGTTTTATAAGGGACTTTTCCTCTCTTCACTCAGCACTTCTCTCTTTTGCTGCCATGTGAAGAAGGACATGTTTACTTCCCCTTCTACCATGATTGTAAGTGTCCTGAGTCCTCTCCAGCAACGTGAAACTGTGAGTCAATTAAACCTCTTTTCTTTACAAATTACCCAGTCTCAGGTAAGTCCTTATAGCAGCATGAGAATGGAGTAATACAGTAAGTTGGTAAGGTGCTGCTACAAGCATACCCAAAAAAGTAGAAACGACTTTCGAACTGGATAACAGGCAGAAGTCAGAACAGTTTGGAAAGCTCAGAAGAAGACAAAAAATGTGGGAAAGTATAAAAGTTTCCAGAGATTTGGAGGGCTCAGAAGACAAGAAAACAAGGGAAAGTTTGGAACTTCCTAGAGACTTGTTGAATGGCTTTGACCAAAATGCTGATAGTGATATGGACAATTAAGTTCAGGCCTAGGGGGTCTCGGATGGAGATTAGGAACTTCTTGGGAACTGGAGCAAAGGTAACCCTTGATATAGTTTAGCAGGGAGGCTGGCAGCATTTTGCTCCTGCCCTAGAGAACTGTGGAACTTTGAACTTGAGATAGATAATTTAGGGTATCTGGCACAAGAAATTTTTAAACAGCAAAGAGATCAAGAATAAGCAGAGCATAAAAGTTCAGAAAATCTGCAGCCTGATGATGCAATAGAAAAGAAAAACCCATTTTGTGGTGAGAAATTCAAACCTGCTGCAGAAATTTTCATAAGTAACAAAGGAGCCAAATGTTAATCACCAAGACAATAGGGAAAATGTCTCCAGGGCATGTCAGAGACCTACATGGCAGCCCTCCCATCACAAGCCCAGAGGCCTAGCAGGAAAAAGTGGTTTCATGGGTCTTCCCATGGCCTTTCTGCTGTGTGCAGCCTCAGGCATTAATACCCTGCATCCCAGCCACTGCAGCTGTGGCTAAAAGGGGCCAAGGTATAGCTCTGGCCATGGCACAGCAGGTGCAAGCCCCAAGCCTTGGCAGCTTCCATGTGATGTTGAGCCTGCAGGTGCACAGAAGTCAAACATGGAGGTTTAGGAACCTCTGCCTAGATTTCAGAGGATGTATAGAAACACCTAGATGCCCAGGCCAAAGTTTGCTGCAGGGGTGCAGCCCTCATGGAGAACTTTTGCTAGGGTGGTGCAGAAGGAAAATGTGGGGTCGGAGCCTCCACACAGAGTCCTCACCGGGGCACTGCCTAGTGGAGCTGTGATAAGAGGGCCATGATCCTCCAGATCCCAGAATGGTAGATCCACCAATGACTTGCACAGTGCACCTGGAAAAGTTGCAGACAGTCAACAACAGTCTGTGACAACAGCCAGGAGGTGGCGCTGTACCCTGCAAAGCCACAGGGGTGACACTGCCAGAGGCCTTGGGAGCCTACCTCTTGCATCACTTGCATCAACATTACCTGAATGTGAGACACGGAGTCAAAGGAGATTATTTCAGAGCTTTAAGATTTAATTACTGTCTCATTGGATTTCAGACCTGAATAGAACCTGTAACCCTTTGTTTTGGCCAATTTATCTTATTTGGAATGGATGTATTTACCAAATTCCTGTACCTGCATTGTGTCTAGGAAGTAACTAATCTGATTTTGATTTTACAGACTCATAGGCAGGAGGGACTTGTCTTGTCTCACATGAGACTTTGACTTTTGAGTTAATGCTGAAATAAGTTGAGATTTTGGGAAACAGTTGGAAAGGCATAATTGTGTTTTGAAATCTGAGGACATGAGTTTTGGGAAGGGCCAGGGGCAGGATAATGTGTCAGGCTTTGTGACCCTCCCCCCAGATCTCATCTTGTAGGTTTTTCCTAAGGCCTATCTGTCATGGGAGAGGCCTGGTGGGAGGTAATTGAATCATGGAGACGGTTTCCACCATGCTGTTCTCATGACAGTGAGTGAGTTCTCATGGGATCTGATGGTTTTATAAGGAGCTTTTTCCCTTTTCGCTCTGCAATTTTCTCTCCTGCTGTCATGTGAAAAAGGATGTGTTTGCTTCCCCTTCCGCCATAATTGTAAGAGTCCTGAGGCTTTCCCAGTCATACAAAACTGTGAGTCAATAAACCCCTTTCGTTTATAAACTACTCAGTCTTTGGTATGTCCTTATAGCAGCATGAGATCGGATTAATACATATATTTACTCAGTAATGGGATTTCTTTATTATATGGTAGTTGTATGTTTCATTTTTTGAGGAACCTGCATACTGTTTTCTATAATGGCTGTAATAATTTACATTTCCATAAGCAAGGTGTAAAAGAAAATCAATAAATTCATGAATAGAAAAAAAGTAGAGATAACATCAATGAAACCTGATATTGGTTCTTTGGAACCATCCAAAAATTTGAAAACCCCACCTAGACTAAGCAAGAAAAAAAAGACAAAATCTGAAATTACCAAAATCAGGAATGAAAGAAGTTTGCTAATGACATAATTAAAAAACATTCAGAAATCAAATGAAATATAAGGACATACTCTGAATAAGTGTATACTAATAAATTAGATGATCTACATAAAATAAATGCATTTTATGAAAGACAAAAACTACTGGGACAGACTCAAGAAGAAAAAGAAAACCTAAATAGGCCTATAATAAATAGAGATTGAATTAGGAACCAAAATACATTCCCTGGAGGAAAGTCTATGCTCATATGGTTTCACTAATAAAATCTACATAGTGTTTAGAAAAAACTTAACACTGACCCTTCAAAAACTCTTCCAAAAGTATGAGAATGAGATATTTCCAACATCATCCCATGAGGCCAGTCAATCCTTAATATCAAAATGGCACTTCCTGCAATAACATTGCAGGAAGAGAAAACTACACTTGAAAAAATTATTATGAGTATTAATGCAAAAGTCCTATAAAATACTAGAAAACCAAATCTAGAAATATATGAAAAGATAATTGGTCAAGGAATGCAAGTTAGTTCATTGTATGAAAATCAATCATTGTAATATGCCATCATAATAAATTAAAATATATGGCAGGGCACGGTGGCTCAGGCCTGTAATCCCAGCACTTTGGGAAGACGAGGCGGGCAGATCACGAGATCAGGAGATCGAGACCATCCTGGCTAACACGGTGAAACCCCATCTCTACTAAAAATATAAAAATTAGCCAGGGGTGGTGGCAGGCACCTGTAGTCCCAGCTACTCGGGAGCGTGAGGCAGGAGAATGGTGTGAACCCAGGAGGCAGAGCTTGCAGTGAAGCGAGATCCCGCCCCTGCACTCCAGCCTGGGCGACAGACCGAGACTCTGTCTCAAAAAACAACAACAACAAAAAAAACAAAAAACATATATATGTATACATAGGTGTGTGTGTGTGTGTATCACATCATAGCAAATAGCACATAATATTTTTAAGATATGCAAAAAGAAAGCATATGACAAAACCCAATACTCTTTTTTGATAAAAACATTGACATTACAAATGGAAGCAAATTTTCTTAACCTGAAAAATCACTGAAAAACTAAATGTTTTTCTGCCAAGTTCAGGAACAATACAAGGATGTCTACTTGTCACAACTTCTATTTAACACTATTGGTGGTTTTATCCAGGGCTACTATGCAAGAAAAATAAATGAAGACATTCCGATTGAAATACAAGAAGTAAAACTCTCTCTAATCACAGATGACATGATCTTGTATGTATAAAATCCTGATGAACCTACAGAAAATATAAGACTACAACTTATCTACAAGTACAGTAAGACTGTAGAATGCAATGTGAATGAAATAAAGAAAGTGTATTTTTTAAACTAGCAATAAACAATCCAAAAATTAAATTATAAAAACATTATTTTCATAGAATCAAAGTTAAAAAACAATTCTTAGAAATGAATTGAACAAAACAATGGGCAAGACTGTATACTACAAACAGCATAGAAAGAAATTACAGATGGCTTAGATAAATAAACATATATTCCATGGGCATGGATAAGAAGACATAGTAGATGATGTTAATAAGATATAAATTTACCTACAGTTTCAACACATTTTTTTTTCAAAATCCCAGTTGTTATTTTTGTTGACATTGACAAGTTGATGCTAAATCTATACGAAAATTCAAAAAACTCAGAATTGGCAGCAAAAAATCTTGAACTAAACAAAGATTGATGACTTACACTTTTCAATTTCAAAAATTTCTAGAAAGCCTCAGTAATCAAATTAGGCCTGATACAGGTATCATAGTGGAAACACTGATAAATGAAATAAAGAAAGTACAGAAATAATTGGCTATTTGAGGTACATTTACTTCGAAATACGTCTAAATGAATGTAAGAGCAATTCACTTTGTCAAAGCCAGAAAGATGACATTTTGGAGCGCTTTCTCTTGCTCACCACCCCCACATCCACTTACTCTCCAAATTCTGGAATTCTGAAATTCAAAATTCCTCACTAATCTTTTTTTACTCCTCCTGCCCTTCTTGTTGTCTTTGTTTACTCTATGATAGAATGCATAGATTACAGTTAAAGTGCCTTACTTGCTATTTCTGTGTTTACCATCCTTCCCTCTACATGTACAATGTGTTATTAAGTCAAATTTGATTGTGCAGCTATTATTAGGAACTAACTATAAAGACCTCCTATTGCTTTCAGGATAAAAATCTAAACACACTATTGTGGCTTTTGAAGCCCTACATTAATTGAGCCACTACCTCCTCAGTATCATGAATGGTGCCATCTTGCAACTATCCCCTTCAGCTTCATTTTCCACACAAATGAGTTACTCAGTTTTCCCAGTGTACATACTGCTCTTTCCCACCTTCAGGCCTTCTAATTTGCTATGCACTCTTCTGAAAATAGTTTTTCTTTGACTTCTTATTTAGTTAAATACTGCTTCTAACTCAGGTATCACTTTATAAATCATTTCTACTTTATAGAATTAACTGAATTCTCAAGTCTCTTTTTTTACTCTTAGAGAAAACTAAGCTTACCTCTTTTAATAAGCAAACCACAATTTAATGTATCTATCCATTACACTAGTAATGTGAACCCTACCAGTATAACAATTGAAGATCATATGAACAGTTGTCATTCATTGCTACAAGTGCCGAGTACACAGCAAAAATTTTTAAAAACCTGTAAAATAGCTATATAGCATAAATAAAACGTTTCTTTAGGAAAGTATCCTTTAAAACATTCAATACATGAATTAAATGATGCGCAGATTTACATTTTGCCTCTGCCTGGGACATTTGCTTTTCAAAAATTAAATAATTGACTTTAATTTTTAAAAGTGAGACATCAGAAAGACTAAAATACTCTAAATTTTCCACAAAGTTTCATTTAGGTGGTTTGTTTTATATTTATTTAGTTTGTCTAGTTTGACATAATACCTTGTTGCAAGAAATCCAAGTGAAATAACAGTGGTCATCCATGCTTGGTGTGCCTAAAAAAGGCTTAAAATAAATAAACATATAAAAGTACAAATATAGATATGATGATCATATTTTGTTGCTATGTACTATAAAGTCTTTTTATTAAAGTTGTTTTTTAATTCAGATGGTTTTGTTTTTATTTAACTATTTAATACATACAAAGGATATTTAACAATTAATATTGGATAAAATACAACAATAAAATTAATACAGATGAATACACCTCCCCCCAACAAACACACACCCACAGAGAAAAATCTGAAGATTTTATATCAACTGTGTACATGATCCTATCTCACTCTCTGTGTACTCAGGAAGTAATAATTTTGCTTTTATGTAAATTTTTCAATTGCTTTTAGATATATTGCACATAAATATGTAACCTTAAATAAAATGCTATTGTGCTTTATATGTCTTCGAATATTATTTGAAGGGAATTTTATATATATAATATATAATTAATAGATAACAAAAAATTTTTCATTCCTTGTTGTGAAACACATTGAGTCCATTTATTGCTGTAATAAATATTTCTGTTGTGAACTTTATTACTGAACTACCTTTACATTCATGTACTAGATTGCTTCTTATGCATATGTCTAGATGGTTTTAAAAATGTAAACTACTTTTAATGGGTTTATAAAACTTAGATTTTTTTCCTGCAATGTATGAGATTTCCGTTACATTAATCTTTACCAACCTCTGAGGTAACCAGAACTTAAACATTTTGTTTGACTGGAGCATGTAATTTATTGATTTTTGATTTTTCATTTTCCACATTGTTGATGTTTTAGTATAGTTTCCGGACAGTTGTTGGCTATTCAGATTTCCTCTTCCATAAAATCACTATTTAAAAATTTTGCCCACTTATTTTGTATTTGATTGGTTGATTATTTAAAAGAGTTCCTTATATATTTTTTATTAAAACCTTTAACATTGTAAAATATATATAATTTTTTCTAGTTGGTAGTCTATCTTTTTGTTTTCTACACAGTAAATACTGATGAATTCTTAGTGAAACATATCAATCTTTTATTTAAAACTTTATGATTTTTGACTCCCAGGATTTCTTTTTTCCTACTAATCATAAATATATAACATGCAATGTTTGATAATTTTATTTTGTTTTTATGAGTTTTTAATACATTTAGAATTGCTTTCTCGGTTTGAAATGAAATAGAGATAAAATTATATTTTTATACGAATTAAAAGTTGCTAGGGCCAGGCGCGGTGGCTCACGCCTGTAATCCCAGCACTTTGGGAGGCTGAGGTGGGCAGATCATGAGGTCAGGAGGTAAAGACCAGCCTGACCAAGGTGGTGAAACACCGTCTCTACTGAAAATACAAAAATTAGCTGGACGTGGTATAATCCCAGCTCCTGTAATCCCAGCTACTCAGGAGGCTGAGGCAGGAGAATCACTTGAACACAGGAGGTGGAGGTTGCAGTGAGCAGTGCCACTGTACTCCAGCCTGGGCAACAGAGTGAGACTCTGTCTCAAAAAAAAAAAAAAGTTCCCCTCGGATCAATCAATAAATATTTCCAAGCCCTGTTACTCCTGTTGTTAAAGACTGGCGGTGCTTTTCAAAGTTTGAGAAAATTATAGCCTTTGGGCTTTGATTGCAGCAGAAAAGTAAACATCAATCTAAGAAATCACTCAGCAAATTTATTGCTTTGACAATTAATATAATGTATCTTTAAATGAAAAATAAAACCTGTCCATTAAATATTTTTATTTGTGCCTGAAATATATTGAACTTGCCACATCGATCCATTAAATTATGCTATATAGTTAGAATAAATTTTAACAATTTTTGTTTTATAGTATGGGATACAAGTTTTTTAAGAAAACAAATTAATACAGAAGTATATGAGTGATTATTCAGTATGACATTTGTATCTTAGTTGAGCATTTGAGCATAATTTTCTACTCAAATAACTTGTAAGTGGAAGATTAATCACACTGTAACTTAACCTGATTTTAATAATTTTGCTAGCTTCATATATTAGAAAAATAATCACAAAATTTCTCTATTTTACCTAACATATATCAAATTTAAAATAATAACATTTTGTGTTTATTTTATACTACAATTTTTGCCTGTGATAAACTGGATGATATCTCAACCACTTAGAGAAATTCGTGCTGACTTTTATATACATTTTGTTTCAATATAAATTCTTGTCATGAATCAAAAGTACCTTCAAGAGAAAATGATTTGAACTAAACAACTCATATGATTTGGAAACACTTTTATCCTAAGTCTTTAATCTAAACTTCTTGACTCAAACAGAAAGGGATTTTTAACAGTCCACTCCTTTATTATTTCTACTGAGTTCTATCTTAAAATTGAGAATATGTATCCCCAAAGTAAAATCTACACATATATGTTTTTAAAAAGCATGTATTTATCTTTGGAAATCATTTTTCCTTGATACTTCTCTAGTGCTTCTTTTAGACTAAATGCAGGAAGTGATTTGTTTTTAATTTGGTGACAATATCTATTAAACCAATATTTAAAGTATTTCAAAATACATTTTCTCTGTATTAAAATATCTATCTCTATTTTCTATGAGTGTTCTACTAAAACTATTAAGCCGATTAGAATGGATTATTATTTCATAGTACAAATTTGCATTTAGGAAAGGAAGGAAAACTAAAAGTATTAACATTTGGCTCTATTTTTTTGTGTAGGGGGGTTGTTTTTGTTGTTTATTGAGCCAGGGTCTTGCTCTTGCTCTGCTGCCCAGGTTGGAGTGCAGTGGTGAATCATCGCTCAATGCAGTCTCTACCTCCTGGGCTCAAGCAATCTTCCCACCTTAGCCTCCTGTAGAGCTGTGACTACAGGCAGGTGCTCACCACTCAACCCGACTAATTTTTTTGTACTTTCTGTAGAGATGGGATTTCGCTATGTTGCCCAGGCTTGTCTCCAACTCCTGGGCTCAAGTGATCCACCTGCCTTGACGTCACAAAGTGCTGGGAATACAGGTGTCTCCAGCAGACTTTTTGATTGTTTCTTAAATTATTTGTCTTGCAAAGTAGGTGATAATATTTGACCCAGCAATCCTGTTACTGGGGTTATACCCAAAGGATTTTAAATCATTCTACTATAAAGACACATGCACATGTATGTTTATTGCAGCACTCTTCACAATAGCAAAGACTTGGAACCAACCCAAATGTCCATCAATGATAGACTAGATAAAAAAAAAAAATGTGGTACATATACACCATGGAATACTATGCAGCCATAAAAAAGGATGAGTTCATGTCCTTTGCCAGGGACATGGATGAAGCTGGAAACTGTCATTCTCAGCAAACTAACACAGGAACAGAAAACCAAACACTGCATATTCTCACTCATAAGTGGGAGTTGAACAATGAGAACACATGGACACAGGGAGGGGAACGTCACACACTGGGGTCTGTGAGTGGGTGAGGGGCTACGGGAGGGACAACATTAGCAGAAATACCTAAAGTAGATGAAGGGTTGATGGCACTTGTATACCTATGTGACAAACCTGCAGGTTCTGCCCAGGTATCCCAGAACTTAAAATATAAAAAAAAGAAAGATAGAAAAAAAAAAGATACTGCAAAAAAAGTACCAAAAAGAATGTGCGACAGTAGGGAAAGAAGTCTGAGTATAATCCGTCTCTGATTCTAGGACATTTCACCTTGTATGAGTGGTGACTTTCTACTGATTGAGTCAGGGCCTGGTTTCAACCTTCACACAGCAGGGCCTGCACGCAAAGTAGCAGGGAAGAAGGAGCGGACGCCTTATCGGCTCTGCACTATTGCTACATCCCCACGAAAAGAAACTTACATTTGTTTATTAAAATGTGCTTCTCTGTGTATGAAAGAAAAAGAAAACATTAAAATCTAACATATATGTGCAAATGGGGAGGGGTTTCACATTAGTTACTCACTGCTTAGAAATTTTTTTTCTTTAAACTTTCATCACTTTATTTCCTTTGAAAATTTGCCTTCAATTAAAAAATTAATTATTTATAAAATTTTTATTGGTACATTATAGGTGTATATATTTACGGTATACATGAGATGTTTTAATACAATATGAAATAGGCACATGATGGAGAATGAGGTATCCATTTCCTCAATCATTTTTGAAATACAAACAATCCAATTACATTCTTTGAATTATTTTAAAATATACAATTAAGTTATTATTGGCTATAGCCACCTATTGTGCTTTCAAAACATAGGTCTTATTCATTCCTTCTATTTTTTTCATATCCATTAACCATCTCAACTTCCCCACAAACCTCCCATTACCATTCCCAGCCTCTGGTAACCATGCTTCTACTCCCTATGTCCATGGTTTCAATTGATTTGGTATTTAGATCACACAAATAAGTGAGAACATGAGATGTTTGTCTTTCTGTATCTGACTTATTTCGGTTAACATAATGATCTCCGGTTTCATCCATGGCCTTCAAGTTTTAGCCTGTGCTTTCACTATCTTCTTAAATCTGTCATTCTACTCTATTTTGTCAATCATACTTTTCTACTCTTTACTACTGCTCTCACTTTTTTCTACTGTACTTGAAAAAAGCCCACATTTTTTTCATATTAGACTAAGCTTTCATTAATCTGGCTTCCCCTAAGTTCATACTTTCACTTTACTGCCAACTATATCCAACTGGCTTCTGTCAAACAAAAATACATACTTTTGTCAAACATAATGTATGTTTCCTTTAAAAAAAAAAGCTGTCTTCGTTTATGCTGTTTTGTCGACTTCCCCGTTAAGAGGTTAAGCCTGTCAGTACTAGAACAAGGCAGATACAGCTTCATGTCATCAGATTCTGCACTTAACCTTTCAAAATGTGTGTGTCTTTAATCGATGTAATGAATGTGGATGTTTAATTATTCAGATGATAACTAAATGGTGTATTTCTCCAAGGAATATTTGTTATAGATGTTAATTATAGATAAAAGAGATATACCATACTGAGAAATATGTCATTCTTGTTGACTTCATTAGTATCATTGTCATTTCTGAAAATAGCTTACCATTTATTCCTGATTACCTTGAAATGGAGAAACTGTTACAGCTGCATACTTAAATGTTTCAGTTTAATTTGACTGGAAACTGCTCAACAGTAAATTTTAGTTGGATACCCTCGGTTTTCATTGTTTTAGGCTCATGCCGTTGAACTGTAGGGAGACTGAATCGTAATAGAGAAAGCTCCTGAATATAAAAAGCCAATAACTTCCATTGCTATTTCCACTCTGAGCAGAAATTTTGAAATTATATAATTTAAAAGTTATGAGTTCTAGTTTAACCAACTCTTTATATAGAATCTATACAGACACCGAGAAAATTGGAAAAAAAAAAAAAAAGGAAAACGATTCTGGTAAATCATCTAACCTGTCTTGGAAGCTGGGTTTAGAGCTCTCTTTGGGAAAACTTAGTGAACACCAAGGTGAGCAGGAGCAGACCATGAGATAAGCGTCATTATTTAACTGAGCAGCGAGGAGATATTACAAGTTTATACAAAGGCATGAAAGTCTAGTTTTGAATTTTAGAAAAATTCAATCCAGTAGGTAAAAATTCGTTATGAGCGGGAATGATTTTGGTGTGAGACTTCCATTGTACCCCATAGGATTACTATTTAGAGTGGGGAGACTTCCTGCGCCTGAAGTGAGAGATTAGTTTTAGGATGCTAAAAAGACCCCTGGGAGTTGAAGACAGCATTGAAAACATCTTGCCACCTCATCAAGCCACCTTTTAGGAAGGAAGAATTTGTATTAATACAGCATGCTCATCTACTTATAATTTTAACATGTCAGAGCTTGCATCCGATTTTTATAATCTAGGAGATTCTGGGAGAGCAAAGAAAGATTTAACATGTTTATAGAGGGAAAGAATACTTTTCATTGGTCTTAAATTTTATATATATATTTATTAGACATACATGTACTAGAAAACTGCTATGTTCTGCTGTTACAAGAGTGAATAAAGAGAACATGTGTATGCTGACTCTCATGAAGCTTTGAGTCAAGTAAGTGGTATATGTGATGAAGCATGCTAGGGATAAATGGAAGATTTTCAGTTGCATTTGGGAAGTAATCTTGGCAATAGAGACAGACCCCATGTCAACCAAAAATAAATAAATAAATAAATTAGCTGGGTGTGGTGGTGTGTGCCTGTAGTCCCAGCTACTTGGGAGACCGAGGTGGGAAGATCGCTTGAGCTCAGGAGGTGGAGGCTGCAGTGAGACATGATCATGCCACTACACACCAGCCTGGGTGATAGGCTATGTCAAAAAAGTAAAAACTAAAAATATAAAAGAAGCTACATTAAATATATATTACCCATAGAACATCATAGCTTAGACTAGCTTACCTTAAACATGCTCAAAACATACGTAATAGCCCAAAATTGGACAAAATAATCTAACACAAAGCCTATTTTATGATAAAATATTGAATATCTCATGTGATTTATTAAATGCTGTAGTGAAACATGAAAAACAGAATGGTTGTATGCTTGCTTAAAGTGCTGTTTCTCTAAATGTGTATACCTTCTGCATCATCATGAAGTCAAAAAATCATTAAGCAAACCATGGCAAGTCAGGAACGGTCTGTACTTGAAAATATCTTCTATACTTAACATCTTCAATTTCTCTCTTTCCAATCTCTGTTGAATGCCCTGAATCATCCCTTGGGCTTCACCATGCCAATAAACTTATATTTTCAACGGCACTGGTGGCTAATCCTCAGTCCTCAACTTGCTTGACCTAGGAAAAATGTTTAGTCTTTCTACGTGATATCCAAGCCACTAATTTTTCTTGGGCTTTCCTTTCCAGTCTTCTTTGCTGAATCCCACCCTTCTTCCTGATCATTTAATATTAAGGCCAGTCATTGTATGATTTCCAATATTTTTGTATACTTACTCGTTTGTGGTTCTCATTCCTTCTAAAGGTGTTCGATGACATTGATACATCGACCACTTCCTTGTTCATATTTCCTGTTTCTCTCTCCTACTCTCTCATTTTTTCTGTTCACCTGTGTACACGATATCACCACATCACCTCTCAAACTTAATATCTCAAAAACCATACTCCAGATATCCACAACAAGCCTGCTCAATCTACACCCTTTTCCATCTCCTTTGATGGCAACTTCATATTTCCTGTTGTTCAGCCCAACAAATCTGGACTCTTCCTCGATTATTTCTCCCAGCACACAAATACTTTACCAGGGAATATTGGTTTTCTTATAAAAATATAGAGGGAGCACTACCTATGAAATTTGCTCACAACAAAAAATAAACTTGAATTTAATCACACATGTAAGTTAAGTTACAGAGTATATGATGTATAGAAGAACAGTTAGACAATGCTATAGGAAAGCAATAAGATGAATAAAAATGTGGAACATTCTGTGTGGCAATTGACAGTGCTTCTGTAATAAGACAATGACATGGGATTAAAAAGTGGGGGAATTCTATATTTGTTGAGGCTCAAGGCACACAATGAAGTGCAATGGCCATTACTGGAAATTTCATAAAAGGACATTTTTGATAAAGTAGGGAAGTTTGATATATACCGGATATTAGATATTATTGTTATGGTTAATGTTGTTAGATGTTTTATATAAGGGGAATATTCTTATATTTTTTAATATTCAGCTATCCTGGGCTGAGGATGTTATGATATATCAGATTTATCTCAAGAAGCTTCCACAAGAGAAGGACAACAAAGAAGGTGATAGATGAAACAAGTGTGATGAAGCTAGATAATTGTATCATAAGGGTGAGTCTGATGGGGCCTGGCTACTATTCTCTCCTCTTGGTGTATGATGAAAAATATTTTAAGCAAAAATGTTAAAATAGAATCTAGAATCCAACTAAATCTCACCTTATTTATTGTGACTGTACCGCTCCGTGTTAGTCACTCCAATTTTGATATTTAAATTTCATGAAACTTAGTTCTTTATATTTCTCCCAAGTCTTTCTGGCTCTATTTTCACAACACTTACATCATCCAGGAACTGCTTCTACCCTAGGCCTACCAACCAAACATTACCTATCTTTTCCTTCCAATCGCAATGGAATAAATTCACTCCTTTTCCAGTGTTTGGTGGACCATATCTCACCACATCAGTAAATTTTTCTGTTTACATTTTTTTTCTTTTTAGTACTAATTTCCTTACTTGAGTTACAGTATTTTCAGTGGTTGGAGCACAATAAAGGCATATAAAACTATCAAGGAAGACTGAGAAGGAATTGGGAAACAATCAAAGATGAAAGGGCCAGAGACAATGTCCATGACCAAACCCATTAAACCTAAAACTTATTTGAGAAACAGGTCATAGTTAAGGAAATGAAACTTACCACAGAAGACACCGTGAAGCTTATATCTGGAGTTTTTTGCTCTGTTTATTCTCTTAGAATTAACCATTTAAGGTAGTGATGCAATTTTAGTATTTTTGCTCTACCACATATATCTTCTTATTTCTCTGAGTGACTGCATCTTTAATGAGCAAATATTATAATACTATCAAGTGAAGAAAAACTTTATAAAAATGATTATTAAAGAAAGTGACTTAAAATTGGATCAATATTCTGGTTTTGAAAACAGTAAATGGTTCTGTTCACATTAGGAAAAACAGTAATATTTTGCTAAATTGTATCATTTTTCTTAATATTTAAATAAATTACATTAAGCTTAAATCCTTAGATGTTTTATGTTTTCTTTTAAAAAATATTAATATAGAATATAACTTCAAAAGAATTGGAAGATTTCAGGTAATGTACTTCTAGCACAGTCTATAGAATATATTCTGGGGGAAAAAGTAGACTTTCTGCCACTTTCTGTGTGCTACATAAAAAAGTGATTATGTTCACTCCATGAAATTTCCTTGAGTTAATTAAGTTACAAGAAGACTAACTGAATAGCCCTGTTTGTTTGAATTTTTGGCATTGGTACTGTGAATAAGTGAAATTGATTTTCTACAGAGTTATTTTCATTCAGTATTACCAACTAGGCTCTGGCTCTCTAAGTATGACAAACATGTTTTTAAAATGGATTATTTATAAAGCATAAGGAAGAACATTTTGGAAGACCATAACAATACCCATGAATAATGGTTGTATGAATTAGAAGTTTGATTTTGGAGTACAATATCTCTATGTTTTCAATAAGCTGTTGAGCAAGCCAAGGATTCTTAATTCAAAGCACATTCAGCATTTATACAGACCCAGCTTTTTATTCTCTTGCTCTGTTTTCAAAGATGTATACAAAATTAATATAAACTCTCTAATCACTTACACAATCTGGGAGCATAGAATATAAAAAATAAATGGACCAAACCAATTTAACTGTCTTTATTAGAGCAAAATATGCTAAGAAATTTTATCAAGGTGACAAGTAATTATTTGTTGTATATAATTATACAGAGAGTTTTAAACAGCTTTTTATAATAAATTGGTATAAAGAAATCCCACCATCATGACCAAAGACAGTATCTTGCTAAATGGCCCTGAAGTGTCTTAGTTACAATTTCTAACATTCCCTAGCAAATTCCTAAAAATGATTTACACAATTAGAGACTATTTATAGAGAGTAGGTTCACTGATATACTTACATCTGAATCCTGGAAGGGGTGGAGTGAGGAGGGAGTTATTCCTAACAGAAATCAGTAGCCTATGTAGTAAGGATAGGGGAAAGTAATCATTTATTTACCTAACTACATTTTAATCAATATATTAGCATTTCTGTTTTGGAGTTCTCATTCTGTAACCACTTGTTTCTCTAAAATGAATTGCCTAACCCACACAAACAAAATGAGGAAAATCACACAAATCATATAGAACAGGGGTCTTCATTTTATGACACATGTACCTATGGCATTACAGAAAAGCTTTCTAAAAACTCATGCACACATTATTTTAAAGGAATATTTTTCTAGATACTTAACTTTTATATACTTTTTCCTAGTTGATCTGCTTGACAACTATTGTTCCTATTTCAATCTTCTCCTTCACTAGTGTGCTTCTGTCATTTTTACAAGTACAAGCACATTTTACATCTCAATAAGGTATATTGCCCTATACTGTAAAATTTTCAGAACAATTAAGAAGAGAGATAGTTCTAAGTGTAATACTTAAAGTCTTTCTTACAAAAACATCATAACCCTGCCATACACCTAAATTAAATACATTTCCAATAAAATTTATTTTATAATTAAACATTTCCAAAAGTTGCAATATATCTTATTATTGTGGTCAATGGTGAACTATTAAAAAATGAATGCTGTCTTAAACCAGGAAAACACTTTATTGGCATAGGAAATATTTTAAAGTGTATGTAAATTATAAATAATTTAAATATAATGCACACAACACACTCTCTGTTTTTAAATATATATAAACACATGTATAAAAATATTGAAGAAATGTTTTAGAGAAGATAAACTTAAAGCAAAGTTCAAAGATAAAAAATACAAAATATATTACTATTTAAGAGGAGCTTGTTTATTTGCTCTTTATATGGTTGCTTGAAAATCACTCTATTAGAGTAAATGTAATACATCTGAAAGTAATGTAAATTTTAAACAACTTAAAATTTGGTGGGGAATACATCCTTTGTTACTGTTTACATTAATAATAAAAATTTAAAAGATCAATTAAAAATGTGACAAGAATATAAAAAATTAATATATAGATTCAAGAGAAAAAAAATTGAAGATAACTAATCCAGAAGCCATTCTATTTGTCTATTCTGCCTGGTCTGTGATCTGTAATGTATTTATTGCTTTAATTTCCATAAATACTGTGGCTTTGTGTCAGCTTCTGGTGTTTTTTAGGTACACTGATAGGCAAACAGGGTTGGATTCATTTTGCAAGGCTTGACATCAATTTTAATGCTCTCAAAATGCATACCACGGAAGGCAACAACTCTGATCCCAAGGTTCTGGTATTGTTTTTCCAGGTTTATCAATAACTTGTCTCTGACTGCCAGGACAGATAACCCTAACAATGAACACCATTGGGTCATATATTAATTATTTTATTTATTTGTATTTTTAATTGACGTATGACATTGCATGTTTTTTTGTAATGTAAAATGTGATGTTTCAAAGTATGTATACATTGTGAAAAGGTCAAATCTAGCTAATTAACAAATACATCAACTCACGTAGTTATCATTTTTCTGGTGAATACACATAACATTAACTTTCTATTTCTCAAGAATACAATATATCATCATCAACTACAATCGTCTTGCTCTACAATACATCTCCTGAAATGTATTCCTTCTATCTAACTGTAAGTATGTGTTCTCTGATTAACATCACCGCAACTCCCCTAGACCCCTAGCTCTGATATCCACCATTGTATTTTCTACTTCTATGAGATCAATGTTTTTACATACCAGTAGGAGTCATATCATGATATATTTGTCTTTCTGTGCCTGGCTTATTTCACTTAACATATTGTCCTCCAGGTTCATCCATGTTGCTCACAAATGACAGAGTTTTCTTTTTTTTATTGCCAAATAATATACCACATTTTCTTTCTTTATTCATCTATTGGTGAACATTTAGGTTGATTCCCTCTCTTGGTTACTGTTAATGGTACCGCAATGAACATCGATATGCAGATGTCTATTCAAGATAATGATTTTATTTAGTTTGGATATATACCCGTATGGGATTGATTAACCACATGTTAGTTCTACTTTTAATTTTTTGAAGAACCACCTTATTGTTTTCCATTATGGCTGTTTTAACTTACATTCTCACTAATAGTGTGTAAAGATTCCCTTGTCTCCACATCCTTGCCGACCATTTTTATCATGCAACTTTTTGATAATAGCCATCCTAACCAGGTGCAGTGATATCTCATTGTGGTTTTGGCTTGCATTTCCCTGATGTTTAGTGATGTCGAGTATTTTTCATAGACCTGTTAGTCAACTATGTCTTATTTTGAGAAATGTCTGTTAAGGCCTTTTGTCCATTTTTTAATTAGGTTATTATTATTTTTATGCTTTCGAGTTATTTGAGTTTCATATATATTTTGGATATTAACCCCTTTTCAGATATATAGTTTGCAAAAATTTTCTACCATTTTGTAGATTATCTATTTACTCTGTTGAGTGTTTCCTTTGCTGTGAAAAAGCTTTTTACGGCCGGGCTTGGTAGCTCATGCCTGTAATCCCAGCACTTTGGGAGGCTGAGGTGGCTGGATCACCTGAGGTCAGGAGTTTGAGACTAGGCCTGACCAACATGGTGAAACCCCATTTCTGCTAAAAATACAAAATTTAGCCAGGCTTAGTGGCGCTTGCCTGTAATCCCAGCTACCTGGGAAGCTGAGGCAGGACAATCACTTGAACCTGGGAGGCGGAGGTTGTGGTGAGCCGAGATCACGCCATTGCACTCCAGCTTGGGCAACAAGAGCAAAACTCCGTTTCCAAAAAAAAAAAAAAAAGCTTTTTATTCAAATGTAATCCCAATTGTCTATTTTTGTTTTTGTTGCTTTTGTGTGTGTGTGATGTCCTGACAAAAAACGACTTGCTTACACCAACATCATGAAGCATTTTCCCTGTTTTCTTCTAGTAGTTCCTAGTTCCAGGTCTTAAATTTATGTCTTTAATTCATTTTGAATTGATTTTTGTGTCTGGTGAGAGATAAGGATCTACTTTCATTCTCTTGCGTTTGTATATTCTGTCTTCTCAACACCATTTTTTGAGAAGATGATCATTTCTCCAATGTGTGTTCTTGGCACATTTGTTGAGAATCAGTTGGCTGCAAGTGCATGGATTTATTTCTGGCTCTCTATTCTTTTCCATTGGTTTACATAACCATGTTTTTAAATTATACTTTAAGTTCTAGGGTACATGTGCACAACATGCAGGTTTGGTACATAGGTATACATGTGCCATGTTGGTTTGCTGCACCCATCAACTCGTCATTTACATTAGGTATTTCTCCTAATGCTATCCCTCCCCTAGCCCCCCACCCCCTGACAGTCCCCGGTGTGTGATGTTCCCCACCCAGTGTCCAAGTGATCTCGTTGTTCAATTCCCACCTATGAGTGAGAACATGTGGTGTTTGGTTTTCTATCCTTGAGATAGTTTGCTGAGAATGATGGTTTCCAGCTTTATCCATGTCCCTGCAAAGGATATGAACTCATCCTTTTTTATGGCTGCATAGTATTCCATGGTGTATATGTGCCACATTTTCTTAATCCAGTCTATCATTGATGGATATTTGGGTTGGTACCAAGTCTTTGCTATTGTGAGTAGTGCCGCAATAAACATATGTGTGCATGTGTCTTTATAGTAGCATGATTTATAAACCTTTGGGTATATACCCAGTAATGGGATTGCTGAGTCAAATGGTATCTCTAGTTCTAGATCCTTGAGGGATAGCCTCACTGTCTTCCACAATGGTTGAACTAATTTACACTCCCACCAACAGTGTAAAAGTGTTCCTATTTCTCCACATCCTCTCCAGCATCTGTTGTTTCCTGACTTTTTAATGATTGGCATTCTAACTGGCGTGAGATGGTATCTCATTGTGATTTTGAATTGCATTTCTCTGATGACCAGTGATGATGAGTATTTTTTCATGTGTCTGTTGGCTGCACAGATGGCTACATAACCGTTTTTATGCCAGGAACATGCTGTTTTTGTTACTATAGATTTATAGTATATTTTAGTCGCATAGTGTGATGCTTCTTGCTTTATTACTTTTGCTTGAGTTTGCTTGTGGTTTTTGCTTATGTTTTTGTAATGTAAAATGTGATGTTTCAAAGTATGAATACATTGTAAAAAGGTCAAATCTAGCTAATTAACAAATACATCACCTCACATAGTTATCATTTTTCTGGTGACTCCACATAACATTAGTGGTTTCATTCAAATTTTAAAGGCTGGCATGAGTTTGTATTACTTAGGTGAATATGGTTCCATAGTCATTTACGTCAAAGAGAAAGACAGGCTACCAAAAAAATCTATGTTTTATGAGGATGTGAAACACATAACATTTTCTTGTGTTTTTTCCACTGTATTAAGTATTTTCAAAAGAAAATTATTCTTTTCTTTTTCTTTGTATTAATCTTTAAGTGTCCAAAGTTTTATGTAATTCAAGATGTGAAATTCAGTGAATGAGATGTATTACTTGCCAACAGTACCTATTAAAAACCCAAATATTGGCAGAAATTTAAACACTGGAAAGATTTAGATGAAGCTTGTGATTATATAATTTTTAAACTAATGTCATTTTTTAAAAATATTAGTTGACGAGCTATTTTGGAAGTAAAATTATGTAAGGGGAAAGTACTAAAAATACATGTATAATTTACAAACTGTTGAACTGCGAACAGATTCTTGACCTTGGAAAGATGGTAATCTTCTATTACCTATCTCAGGATTTTATCCTTTGCAACCAGGAATTTAGGAAGCCACAATATCAGATAACTCAGTACTGATACCCCACCATCTCCTGTTGTAAAATTATTCTCCCACCCAATTTATCAAGGTTTTCAAAAAGAATTCTGTATCATAAATCTACAGTGAAATGTCTCAGTTAAGGACTTCAGTATAAATGCAAACACATACTTAACAAAAAAAAGCATAAATAAGAATTATTCAAATTATATAAAATGTGATACCAGATGGAAAGTGACTTTACTCCTATACTTAATTCAAATATACAAAAACGGTTACTGATGATGTAAAAGTTATACAGTCCATTGAAAGGCATATGCAATAAGTTGAGGTTTTGTAGGCAAGTACTGAGTCATACAGGGTACAGGTTACTTCTTGGTTACTGAGGGGAATCTTTTTTACTATTGTTACTGAAGAAGAATAAGAAATTTCATAAAATGCAAGCTCACTGGAGAGAAAGGAAGAGAAACATTGACACAGGATTGCGCTGTTCTTACATCTGAATATTCTTTGTGAGATTTTTGAAACTACACCTTTGTATCTCCTTTTTTTTAGACACCTCTGTGTGTGTATTTGAACTTATCTGTTAATTCTTCACCTATGCATATTGGCTCGGGCTTTCTGTGAACATGATCAGTGGTGCACAGGGTCAAATCCTATATGGCTTCTAAAGCATCCCACCCACCAAAGGGTCCCAAAGACATTGAGGAAAGTCTCAGAGGGACCCAGTCAATAATAAACTAGAGAGTTTTTTTCCAGGAGGGAGGAAAGAGGTGACTTACAGAAGAGGTCTTATTGATTTGAGATAGATAGTAAATCATAAATGGCTATTAGCATTGATTACCAATAGTATAACTAGATAATTTTGAAGCAGAAAACAAAAGTCTCAGAGAAGATAAACTACTTTCTTTTTTTTATTATACTTTAAGTTTTAGGGTACATGTGCACAACATGCAGGTTAGTTACATATGTATACATGGGCCATGCTGGTGTGCTGCACCCAGTAACTCGTCATTTAACATTAGGTATATCTCCAAATGCTATCCCTCCCCCCTCCCCCCACCCCACAACAGGCCCTGGTGTGTGATATTCCCCTTCCTGTGTCCATGTGTTCTCATTGTTCAATTCCCACCTTTGAGTGAGAACATGTGGTGTTTGGTTTTTTGTCCTTGCGATAGTTTGCTGAGAATGATGGTTTCTAGCTTCATCCATGTCCCTACAAAGGACATGAACTCATCCTTTTTTATGGCTGCATAGTATTCCATGGTGTATATATGCCACATTTTCTTAATCCGGTCTATCATTGTTGGACATTTGGGTTGGTTCCAAGTCTTTGCTATTGTGAATAGTCCCGCAGAATGGTAATTGACAGAGTGAATTTATTTATTATTTTTCATTCAAACCTGATATGTTTGATAGTAAAAAGGGAAATGCTAAAATAATTACCAAGTGTCAACTTATCTATGGCATGCCTAACACAGGTTTATTCTGGGAAAATTAGGTTTTTTTGTTTTTTGTTTTTTCCCAGGTTGAAATGTGTGACTTTCTCGACCTAAAGTTCCTCTCGAGTTCGGAAAGCTTCTTTCAAGACTCCCAGGCTAGAAAAGTTCTCAAAGATATCATGAAAACTAATACATCATTCATTTCTGAGCAAACTTAAAAAAACTTTAAGACTCCCAAATACAAACAGGATCATATACATCCCATGGAATTGAAGGCACATCTGTCATCTCAAGAGTATCCCAGGTTAGGGTACAGGCGATAAACTTAATTATTCTCCCAGCATTTATAGGTGCCTAAATATACACTGTGACCCAAAGCTTAGCTTGAGACTTTAAAAATAAATTTATACTTAAAAATTAACCTTTAAATTTTTGTCAAATCTAATATTTACTGGCTCATATCTTAAAGATAAATTTATGTCAGTAAACATATTGCACTTTCCCTTCACTAGGAAATCATTCAGTGTAGAATTTGGTGGAATTACCATTTAAATCATTTTATAAATCCTCACACAAACTGATATTGCTATTAGTTAATGTGAGGATTTAGCAATGAAATGAAAAGTTACGTGCAAAATTGGTATATACAGCCTGTGTTTAAATTCATCATGTCTGTGAAAGTCCAAAGAGAGTACTTATTACCCTTTCTATTATTATTTGTTTCTCAAAGTTTTAATTATAAATACCAATCATGGAAATACTCTTATAGCACTGATATAAATGCTGCTTAACTCAACCTTTGCATCCTTATTTTTCTTAGACAATATTTCGAGGAGGGATTTATTGGTTTAAGGGATACAACTATTTCAAGACTTGTGGTACTTTTAGCCAATGAAATAGACAAACATTAATGTAAGATTTAGTATTAAATTATGTATAACTTTTTATACATTGTGATTTTGATATATTTACAGAGTCTATCCACATCTCAACAATATGATTTTATAATATTTTCTTCACTCCTCAAATAAATCCTGTACCCAATGGTAATTACTTCCCCTTTACTTCTCTCCCCATGCCCTGGAAACATAAACTTCTTGCTGTCTCTATGGATTTGTCTATTCTGGACATTTTCTATAAATGGCCTTGCTATTATTCTTAAACCTTATTTTCTTAACATTGATTATTGTTTAAAGATTATTTCAGTAGAATTCAAAGAAAAATACGGCACTAAATCAAATTAGCACCATTTTACCATTCTACAATTACGTACATAGATGAAAAAGTGTGCTATTTTCTATACTTTACAAAGAAAAGTAGGTAAATGTAATGACTAAAAAAATAAAATAACAAGCAGTAAAACATAATATTGCAAAAGGAGAAGGAACAATTTGAGTGTGCTTACTTAATCTTATTTAAATCTCCCTAAAGGAACAGCTATTGTTTCTTTCCTAGGATAATCCTTCCTTGCTCACTCATGTAGCTCCTTATGTAAACTCTGAGCACTTTAATTCGGAACTACACATTTCATTTCAATCCCTTTACTTAACCCAGCAGGAAAGAATTAATTTACACATTTCAATAGTATGCAGTACTTTATTCCACTATTCCCCAACTTAAGCTGCCTTCCCTAAATATTGCGTAAGCCTGTGGTAATTTGGTTTCATGTTTTTTATTTAAATTATATACATTAGTACTACTGAAAGTAATCACAATACAGTCTTTTAAAATAATCAGAAGAGAAGCAGACTGAAAGTAATTTAAATTAAAACACATAGCAAAATTATATGGCTTCCTAAGGAAGAACAGTATTATAATTACAATTTAGGAAATAATTACAATTTAGGAAGGAAAAGAAACCCAATTTATATTCCATTTTAATATTGGACTATAGGTTACCATGCTACATACAAGAAGAAAATACAAGAGGAAAGATGAAATGATTATTCAGACTGTGTAATATATATATATATGTGTGTACATATATGTACATACAAAACTGATTTACTTAAACTGTGAATTTAGTGATAATAAGTTCTTTTTTCTGTCTTATGGAAGGACTTTATAGATTTGATATTTCTGTAATAATATACACAACTGTGGCCCAGTTACTCCTTAATGTTTAAACTCCTAACGCTGTAGTAAAACTAAATTGACAAGGTCAAGGTAATTGACTTTCGGTCCTGATTCTGGTACAACTGGCTTAATGATGTAGCTTGATCTTTCCCAAACTCAGTTTCATTTCTGAACTATTAGGGCTGTATAGCACTTCAGCATTTCTCAAACATTTATACATCTTACCTCTTATGTAAATTAGAAGACACATTTGAAAACACTAGGCAGATAACTTCTAAGTTCCTTTTGACTTCATTTATTTATTTAACAGACATAAAACGTGTTAGAAAGTACAGTCTTAGAACAATTTCTGATTACATACACCACTAATGAAAAATTTACTTTTTCAGTGAAATTTCAGGGTTTATTTATTGCTTCCAGCATTTTCACATGAAAAATACACTATTATAAATTTTCCTTTGTGATCTGTGTCAAATATGACCAAAGGTGAAAAGTGTTTTAATTATATTTTAGATTTATGGAGTAACCACATAATTTATTGTCCAAACCAGGGCTCTTTCGAGAGTAAAATGAGGTGATAATAAAAAAATACACCAAGAAGACAATGTTTAAAATGGGAATGTCCTGGGCAGTGAGACATATTTTCATCATATTTGTAAATAGATATGTAGGCAAAATGCAAAATAACCTTACAGGAGAAAATATAGCTTTAAATGTTATCTAGTAGATATATCAATATACACACCAATTTTACTTATTGTTAGCTTATCAAGAAAGAATGCTCTCTTTTGGACACTTTTCTGTTGTTGTTTGGCATTTTGTCTGTTTCCACAAGTCACTTGCAAATGATATTCAATGTAAATATCAAATCAATCCGGATAATGTCAGAGCAGCAATTTGGTGGTCCCTTCTCCAATATAAAGACACTAGACATTATCCATAATGCCCCGCACTCACTACTCACTCATATACATTGCCATGACTGAAGTTTTATGTCCCCTCAAATTCCTATTTTGAAATCCTAATCCCCAAAGTGATGGTATTAGGAGGTGGGGTCTTTTGGAGATTATTCAGTCATGAGGCTGGAGCCCTCATGCATGAGATTAGTGCCATTGTAAAAGAGAATCTAGAGGGATCTTTTACACCTTTCAGTCATGTGAGAACACAGCAGAAGAACTAGAAAGCACAGCCTCACAAGACACCAGATTTGCTGGCACCTTGATCTGGGACTCCCTAGTCTTCAGAACTGTGATAAGTAAATGTTTGCTGTATAAGCCACCCAGTTTATGGTATTTCTGTTGTAGCAGCCCAAGTGGACTAAAACAACATTTATAATTTCATTTACTCAAGTAAATAATATTCAATTAATTAAAAAATAAAAGTAGGTACACCTTTACTTAAACATATATCGCAAAGCTTAGAGCAATAGAATTTGAATCAAGTTTGCAATATGACATGAGGGTTCTGGTATGTACTTTGTCCCTTGGTATCAAGTTTATTTCTCTAAATAGTTTATGTTTTTAAGTTTGGTTACCTGTCAAAAGGGGAAAAGAAAATTCTACTTGTAAGTATAGTTATAAAGTAGAAATCCTGTAGTTATGTATGTAACGATCTTATAAAATATAATCAGACTGTTGTGATTGTTTTATATATCAGTGGACATATATTTCTAGTAACACATTTATACATGTAAACTTTAAATTTTAATTATTTGCAGTTCTATGTATGGGTATTTCACTGACCCTCTGGGTCTAATAATAATAATGCAGTTACTAAGTTATTCTTCCAGTTCTTTTCCTTAAGGGTTAGTTGCATTTTCTATGTGATATATATGTATATATTCAATAGAGAATACCTGAGTCACCAACAGTCTAAATACAATAAAATTGTGCCCACATTGTAATGCACCACTTTCTTCAAGCCCAGTGCCATTGTGCACCTATTCAATTTTGACATAACATTTTATTTAAAATGTGGTAAATTAGTATGGTGTGATGTCTACAATAAAAACTTGGCTATGGTTGCTTCATATAATTTAAGGCAAGTTTTTTACCCTGTTAAATTTTATGTTTATAAATATACTTTGCTGACATTATGTTCATGCTGGAAATTGAGCAGGAAAACTACATGCTACATTTTCAGCAATTGCTTGGACTATTTTACATAAACATATCTACATATCACTATATATATATTACTATAGAGATATATCACTAGTTATCTGTTACTATTTCTCTAACAACACTGTAGGAGGAATTATTGCTTATTTTCTGCCTTTTGTTTGCTGGCATAATCATAGAAATATAGCGATGGAGAAGGAGGTATGTTACATATCAAGACCTGCATGTCCTAGTTTTTTTTTTAATCCATGATATTACCCAGTGTTCTCTAAACATGCTATTATCTCTGCATCATAATAATGCATGTTAAAATAGGAATAAGTACAGCAAAAACTATGATGAAAACAATAAACAATTAAAAATACATTAGTCTAATTGATACATGCATTTGAGAATAATCCTGCCTCTTAATAAAGATGTACCGATTTATGTAGTTCATGCATCCCACATTTATAAAACTTCTGTGTGTTATTAACAATATTTAATTGAATTATTTTTAAAAAATGATAATTTCAGTATATTTAGATAGTTGTGCAAATACATTGTTTTTAATTTTTATGTTATAAAAGCCATTTATGATGGTTATTCTCTCACATAGAAACTTTGAAAGAAAAGGAAAAAAATGTTACTTGTTTGCAGATAATGGAACAAGTTAGATCATTACTTTCCTGGAAGTTAATCGATGCATTCTCAATCATAATGATATGTTGTCAGCATATTGCCAAGGAAATGACACACATATAATGTAAATGACAAGAACTATCAATGCATCTCAAAATGTACAGCTAAGTGGTAAGGCATAAACCAGTATTCCTCATTGCTACATATGCTATTCATGAGAAGACATGGAGAGTCTAATTAAGAAGGACTAGGGTTAATAATATTTCCAGTAATCTTATAGGAATTATGTAACCTAAATCTCCAAATAAATACAAAATCACTTTGTTACTTCAAACATTAATTTGGACTGAAAGAATAAACTTGATATTCTTGGGGTTTTTTAAATAAAAATTCATAAATAACTTTCATTTATTTTCACATCTAAGCTCATTATATGTCCATTTGATATATAAGAAACCTTAGAGACCTACAAAGAGACTTAGACTCCCACACAATAAAAATGAGAGGCTTTAACACCCCACTGTCAATATAAGACAGATCAACAAGACAGAAGGTTAACAAAGATATCCAGGACTTGAACTCAGCTCTGGACCAAGCGGACCTAATAGACATCTACAAAACTCTCTACCCCAAATCAACAGAATGTACATTCTTCTCAGCACCACATCGCACTTATTCTAAAATTGACCACATAATTGGTAGTAAAAACACTCCTCAGCAAATGTAAAAGAACAGAAATAATAACAAACTGTCTCTCAGACCACAGTGCAATCAAATTAGAACACAGGACTAAAAAACTCACTCAAAACTGCAAAACTACATGGAAACTGAACAACTTGCTCCTGAATGACTACTGGGTAAATAACAAAATGAAGGCAGAAATAAAGATGTTCTTTGAAACCAATGAGAACAAAGACACAATGTACCAGAATCTCTGGTACACATTTAAAGCAGTGTGTAGAGGGACATTTATAGCACTAAATGCCCACAAAAGAAAGCAGGAAAGATCTAAAATTGACACCCTAACATCACAATTAAAAGAACTAGAAAAGCAAGAGCAAACACATTCAAAAGCTAACAGAAGGCAAGAAATAACTAAGATCAGAGCAAAACTGAAGGCGATAGAGACACAAAAAACACTTCAAAAAATCAATGAATCCAGGAGCTGGTTTTTTGAAAAGATCAACAAAATAGATAGACCACTAGCATGACTAATAAAGAAGAAAAGGGAGAAGAATCAAATAGACACAATAAAAAATGATGAAGGGGATATCACCACTGATCCCACAGAAATACAAACTACCATCAGAGAATACTATAAACATCTCTACACAAATAAACTAGAAAATCTAGAAGAAATGGATGAATTCCTAGACAAATACACCCACCCTCCCAAGACTAAACCAGAAAGAAGTTGAATCTCTGACCAGACCAATAACAGGCTCTGAAATTGAGGCAATAATTAATAGCCTATCAACCAAAACAAGTACAGGACCAGACGGATTCACAGGCAAATTCTACCAGAGGTACAGAAAGGAGCTGGTACCACTCCTTCTGAAACTATTTCAATCAATAGAAAAAGAGGGAATCCTCCCTAACTGATGTTATGAGGCTAGCATCATTCTGATACCAAAGCCTGGTAGAGACACAGCAAAAAAAAAAAGGGAGAAAATTTTAGGCCAATATCCCTGATGAACATCTATGTGAAAATCCTCAATAAAATACTGGCAAACAGAATCCAGCAGCACATCAAAAACTTATCCACCATGATCAAGTCAGCTTCATCCCTGGCATGCAAGGCTGGTTCAACATATGCAAATCAGTAAGTGTAATCCATCACATAAACAGAACCAACGACAAAAACCACATAATTATCTCAATAGATGCAGAAAAGACCTTCAACAAAATTCAACAACCCCTCATGCTAAAAACTCTCCATAAACTAGGTATCAATGGAACATGTCTCAAAATAATAAGAGCTATTTATGACAAATCCATAGCCAATATCATACTGAATGGGCAAAAACAAGAAACATTCACTTTGAAAACCAGCACAAGACAAAGATGCCCTCTCTCACCACTCCTATTCAACATAGTGTTGCAAGTTCTGGCTGGGGCAATCAGGCAAGAGAAAGAAATAAAGCGTATTCAAGTAGGAAAAGAGGAAGTCAAACTGTCTCTGTTTGCATATGACATGATTATATATTTAGAAAACTCCATCGTCTCAGCCCAAAATCTCCTTAAGCTGACAAGCAACTTTACCAAAGTCTCAGGATACAAAATAAATGTGAAAAAATCACTAGCATTTCTATACACAAATACTACACAAACAGAGAGCCAAATCATGAGCAAACTCCCATTCACAGTTACTACAAAGGGAATAAAATACCTAGGAATCCAACTTACAAGGGATGTGAAGGACCTCTTCAAGGAGAACTACGAACCCCTGTTCAACGAAATAAAAGAGGACACAATTAAATGGAAGAACACTCCATGTTCATGGATAGGAAGAATCAATATAGTGAAAATGGCCATACTGCCCAAAGTAATTTATAGATTCAGTGCTATCCTATCAAGCTACCACTGACATTCTTCACATAATTGGAAAAAACTACTTTAAAGTTCATATGGAACCAAAAAAGAGCCTGCATAGCCAAGACAATCCTGAGCAAAAAGAACAAAGCTGGAGGCATCACGCTACCTGACTTCAAGCTATACTACAAGGCTACAGTAACCAAAACAGCTTGGTGCTGGTACCAAAACAGATATATAGACCAATGGAACAGAACAGAAGCCTCAGAAACAACACCACACATCTACAACCATCTGATCTTTGACAAAACTGACAAAAGCAAGCAATGGAGAAAGGATTCCCTATTTAATAAATAGCACTGAGAAAACTGGCTAGCCATATATAGAAAGCTGAAACTGGGTCCCTTTTTAACACCGTATACAAAAATTAACTCAAGATGGATTAAAGACTTAAATGTAAGACCTAAAACCATAAAAACCCTAGAAGAAAATCTAGACAATACCATTCAGGACATAGACATGGGCAGACTTCATGACTAAAACACCAAAAGCAATGGCAACAAAAGCCAAAATACACAAATGGGATCTAATTAAACTAAAGAGCTTCTGCACAGCAAAATAAACTATCATCAGAGTGAACAGGCAAGGCAACCTACAGAGTGGAAGAAAATCTTTGCAATCTACCCATCTGACAAAGGGCAAATATCCAGAATCTACAAAGAACTTAAACAAATTTACAAGAAAAAACAAACCACCCCATTAAAAAGTAGGCAAAGGATATGAACAGACACTTCTCAAAAGAAGATATTTATGCAGTCAACAGACATATGCAAAAATGCTCATCATCACTGGTCATCAGAGAAATGCAAATCAAAACCACAATGAGATACTATCTCATGCCAGTTAGAATGGCGATCATTAAAAAGTCAGGAAACAACAGATGCTGGAGAGGATGTGAAGAAATAGGAATGCTTTTACACGGTTGGTGGGAGTCCTAATTAGTTCAACCATTGTGGAAGACAGTGTGGTGATTCCTCAAGGATCTAGAACTAGAAATACCATTTGACCCAGCAATCCCATTACTGGGCACATACCCAAAGGATTATAAATCATTCTGCGATAAAGACACATGCACACTTATGTTTATTGAAGCACTATTCACAATAGGAAACACTTAGAACCAACCCAAATGTCCATCAATGATAGACTAAATCAAGAAAATGTAGCATATATACACCATGGAATACTATGCAGCCATTAAAAAAGGATGAGTTCATGTCCTTTGCAGGGACATGGATGAAGCTGGAAACCATCATTCTAAGCAAACTATCACAAGGACAGAAAACCTAACACTGCATGTTCTCATGTTCTCACTCATAAGTGGGAGTTGAACAATGAGAACACATGGACACAAGGTGGGGAACATCACACAGTGGGGCCTGGAGAAGGGTGGGGGCCTGGGGGAGGGATAGCATTAGGAGAAATGCCTAATGTAAATGATGAGTTGATGGGTGCAGCAAGCCAACATGGCACACGTATACCTGTTTAACAAACCTGCACATTGTGCACATGTACCATAGAACTTAAAGTATAATAATAAACAAATATATATATAAATAAAAAATAAAGTGTACACATCTAGAAAACAAAAGAAGAAAGTAAACTGAACCATAATTTTGAAGATTATGAAAATGCCCCAATGAAAAATAATAAAACATAAGTATAATGTGCTGTGAAATATAGTATTAAAGACTTGTCATTCTTTTTGATCAGAATACAAGTGCAAAGTTTTTCTCAAATCAGAGTACCCAGACTTTTGCTGAGTTCATATTCCTGTATTTGTTGCCTCAATATTTTTTCTTCATTTCACAACATATTTGGACACAAATCGGACAATCTAAGAAAAAAAAATACATCCTGGCTGCATGTATTGGTCCATTTTCTTGCTGCTGATAAAGATATACCAGAGACTGGGCAATTTACAAAAGAAAGATGATTAATGGACTCACAGTTCCATGTGTCTGGGAACTGTGCAAGCTGAAAGGCACATCTCACATAGCAGCAGACAAGAGAAGATAGCTTGTGCAGGGAATCTCTCCTTTATAAAACCATCAGTTTTCATGAGACTTATTTACAGTCATGAGAACGGCACAGGAAAGACCCGCCATGATTCAATTACCTCCCACAGGGTCCTTCCCACAACACATGAGAATCGTGGGGGCTACAACTCAAGATGAGATTTTGGTGGGGACATAGGCAAACCATATCATTTCACCCCTGGCCCCTCTCAAATCTCATGTCCTCACGTTTCAAAAGCAATCATGCCTTTCCAATAGTCCCCCAAAGTCTTAACTCTTTTCAGCATTAACTCAAAAGTCCACAGTCCAAAGTTACATCTGAGACAAGGCAAGTTCTTTCTACCTATGAGCCTGTAAAATAAAAAGCAAGTCAGTTACTTCCTAGATACAATGGGAACACAGGCATTTGATAAATACACCCATTTCAAATGGGAGAAATTAGTCAAAGTAAAGGGGCTGCAGGCCCCACGCAAGTTCAAATTTCAGCAGGGCAGTCATCTTAAAGCTCCAAAATAATCACCTTTGATTCCATGTCTAACATCCAGGTCACACTGATGTAAAAAGTGGGCTCCCACGTCCTTGGGCAGCTTTGACCCTGTGGTTTTGCAGAGTACAGCCTCCCTCCTGGCTGCTTTCATGGGCTGGCATTGAGTGTCTGAAGCTTTTCCAAGTGCACGGTGCAAGCTGTCAGTGGATCTACCATTCTGGGGTCTGAAGGATGATTGCCTCTTTTAGCTCCACTAGGTGGTGCCCCAATAGAGACTTTGTGTGGAGGCTCCAACCCACATTTACCTTATGCACTGTCCTAGCACATGTTCTCCATGAGGGCCCTGCCCCTGCAGCAAACCTCTGCATGGGTGTCCAGGCATTTCCATACATCTTCTGAAATCTAGGCAGAGGCTCCTAAACCTGACTTCTATGCACTCGCAGGCTCAACATCATATGCAAGCTTCCAAGCTTTGGCAACTTGCACCCTCTGAAACAATAGCCCAAGCTGTACCTTGGTCCCCTTTAACCATGGCTGGAGCAGCTAGAACTCAGGGCGCCAAGTCCCTAGGCTGCACAGAGCAGGAAGGCCCTGGACCCATCCCAGGAAACCATTTTTCCCCAGTAGGCCTCTGGGCCTATGATGGAAGGGGCTACTGTGAAGACTTCTGACATGCCCTGGAGACATTTTCCCCATTGTCTACGTGATTAACATTTGGCTCCTCATTACTTATGCAAATTTCTGCAGCTGACTTGAATTTCTCCTAAGAAAATGGAGAAATTTTGTCTTCTATTACATCATCAGGCTGCAATTTTTTTGAACTTTTATGTTCCATTTCCCTTTTAGAACTGAATGCTTTTCACAGCACTCAAGTCACTTCTTGAATGCTTTGGTGCTTAGAAATTTCTTCTGCCAGATACCCTAAATCATCTCCCTCAAGTTCAAAGTTTCACAAATCTCTAGGGCAGGGGCAAAATGCTGCCACTGTCTTTGCTAAAACATAGCAAGAGTTACGTTTACTCTAGTTCCCAACAAGTTTCTCATCTCCATCTGAGGCCACTTCAGCCTGGATTTCATTGTCCATATCACTATCAGCATTTTGTTCAGAGCCATTCAATAAGTCTCTAGGAAGTTTCAAACTTTTCCACATTTTCCTGTATTCTTCTGAGCCTTTCAAACTGTTCCAACCTCTGCCTGTTACCCAATTCCAAAGTAGCTTCCACATTTTTGGGAATTTTTACAGCAGTGCCCCACTCTACTGGTACCAATTTATTGTACTAGTCCCTTTTGATGCCTTTGATAAAGACATACCTGAGACTGGGCAATTTACAAAAGGAAGAGGATTAATGGACTCACAGTTCCATGTGGGCGGGGGGGTCTCACAATCATGGTGGAAGGTGAAAGGCACATTTCACATGGCAGCAGACAAGAGAAGAGAGCTTGTTGAGGGAAACTCCTGTTTATAAAACCATCAGATGTCGTGAGACTTATTCACTGTCAGAACAGCCCATGAAAGACCCACTCCCATGATTAATTTACCTCCCACCAGGTCCCTCCCACAACACATGATAATTGTGGGAGCCACAATTCAAGATGAGATTTTGTGGGGGGACCCAGCCAAACCATATTACTGCATTTTTGTGTCAAATGTTTGAGGGACATAAAGGACTGAGGAATCTATTCTGTCAGTTCTTAACTGTAACACTTTTACCACAAATAAAAGGATTATTATGCACACAATATTCTCTAACTTTTACCAGAAATGATTATCCAGTACTCCCTCGTAATGTGTTTAATAGCCCATTAAGACTAAAATCTTCTTTCAAATCACTTAATATCTGTTGTTATATGGTCTTGTGTGTGTGTCTTCAGCTAGAGAGGGGAAGAATATTACTGGCCCTGTTCTCAGAGAACTCACAATTTCATAGGAAATCAAAGAAGCAATCAAGTAACAAACATTGTGATATTTACAACAGTAAAGGTATCGCAGAGAAGAGAAAGAATAATTTTGTCTGTAGTAAATATTTATTGAGTTGCATATGAGCCTCAATCTAGATAAATATATTTATATGACATAAGACCAACAAAGAATTGTGATCCAAAAATTAAAAAACTTTATCATATATTGTTGTGGGGAATACAAATATATCAACATAATGTCACAATAAGCTATGAATGAGTTATCCATAGTAGAGCATATCTGAATTCCCCATGAACATATGATTTTATAAACTTCACTAGTAATCAGAGAACTGCAAATTAAAATAAGGAGAAAAAATAACCCCACACTGAGTTGAACAGCAAAACCACCAATCATTCAAAAAAAATTGAAAATAGTAGTATTGTACTAGTAGTACTAACCTCAGCAGTAACAGGGTGTCAAGGGGCTTATTATACATTCTTGACAGGGTTAAAAATTAGTATACAAAATTTGGGGAGCCAGTTAGCAATACTACATAAATTTGAAAATCTGCATTGCCTACTCATTTATATGCACATATGGATAAAAAGACAAATATAAGCTATATCTGTATTAGTCATTAATTGCTAACAATTTAAGAATCCATTAATAAGAGAAGTAACAAATACACATATTGTAGTTTATACACTTATATATTTATTTATAAAATGGAATAGTATTTCATAGTTAAACCAAAAAAGGGAACAAATAGCAAAAAGATAGTGAGAATATAACTCCATTTATTTAAAGTATTGACATATAAAAATGATAGAATATACATTCTGTGCGGTCAGTATGTACATGCTTTAAGCCATAAAGGCATTTATGGACATAACCATTGTGCTAGTTTCTCAGTATCGCCATAACAAAGTATCACAAACTGGGTGGCCTAAAACAATAGAAATGTATTCTCTCACATTACTGGTAGCTAAAAGCCCAAAATCAAGGAATCATCAGTGCCATGCTCCCTCTGAAAGCTCTAGAGAAAAATCTTTCTTCACCTCTTCTTAGTTTCTGGTTATTGCTGGAAATACTTGGCATTGCTTGGCTTGCAGCATCATGACTCTAATTTCTGCCTTTATTATTACTTAGTCATCTTTGCTTTGAGTGTCTGTATCTCTCTGTCTTTCTCTATTTTTAAAAGAACACCAGCCATCGCATACCTAATCCAGTATCACCTAGTCTTGACTTGATTACATCTCAAATACCTTATTTCCAGATAAGGTCATATTCATAGGTTAACAGAATTTCAACATACATTTTTGGAGAACATAATTCAACTCAAAACAGCCATGTATGTCTAGAACTTTAGAATTCAATAATGTAGAAAACAGAAGAAGGTGAGATTGGACACTGGCCATTGCTAATGCTGATTATTTTAAATGTAACCACAATGCCTTTTGGGAATGCCAATTTTTATAAGATGCCATGGATAGAACCCAGGGATAAAAACTTTCACATGGGTTCTTTCTGATTTGATGGGCGTCCATTAATAAAGTTGTCAGAACCCATTGTATCAAACCATAACATGAAACATTTATTCAATTATATTCAACCCTTGTCTTAGTCTGTTTTCTGTTGCTATAACAAAACACCAGACTGGATAATTTATTTAAAAAAAGAAACATTCTGCTCATGGTTCTGGAGATTGGGAAGTCCAAGAGCCTGGCACTGGAATTTGCTCAACATCTGGTGAGGGACTTCTTGCTGCCTCAAATTGTGATAGAAGGGTGGAAGGGCAAAAAGTACATTTCAGCTCAGGTCTCTCCTCTTTTTATAAAGCCATGGGTCCCATCATGGAGTCTACCACATCAACATATGAATTTGAGGATTAATTTTTCAATGTATGAAACTTGGGGAACACATTCAAACCATAGTTGTTTCTACCATTTTATCTTATAACACATTTCTTGTTTAATCATTCTCCAAAGCCAGTCAGCAGTATTCAATACCTGTACATGATTTTACTAGAGATACACCATGCCTTTTATCATTTTCCTGCTATATATGAGAAATAGTGTATTGGTCATCTTGCTTTTATAACTTAAACATGGAAAAGTTAATTATATTAGATCTTTATCTTTATTGTTTTTAGTGATCAGTTTCACAAGATATACTTTTAGTTCTCATTTATTTTTATAATATTCCTCAAAATAGCTATTTGAATTGAAAAATGAAAAACTTTTCCTGACAAAAAGTATATCTGATTTGGCTAACTGGTTTGACAGTAAAGATTGGCCCTGCCAATGAGGTTTTATGACAGATATTTTTCATAAATGAGCTAAATCTGTAACTCCAAATTAGTGACAATACATTTAAAACAAGAAATAAGATCAAAGAATGTTATCAAAAAGCACTGTTTTGGCAAAGATATAATAAAACTAAAAATTTGAAAAAAAAAAACAAATGCTTCAACACTAGAGGCTTAAATTGGGATTCTGCTAGCAACTCAGGATATATGGACTTACTAGTTTTTATATTTTCATGTTCACAAAGTCTCAAAACAGGAAGATCATTTTACTTCAGACTAATTCACAGCAGTGTTCATGGCTTTTTCAAAAATGAGAAGAAAATTCAGGTAATGCTCTTTGACATATAGTCTTACTTTTTTGTAGAACCATAAGCTGTTGAATTTCATAGGAAATCAAGAAAGAAGAAATATCTTAGAAATTGTATTACCTTATAAAATCCCAGTGCTTGGGTTTATTAAGATACATTAATCTTCAGTGCTAAACAGGTAATATAATATAGTGAAGATCTTTTAAAACATGTGTCACTAACTCTTTAAGTAAAAGAAAAAAATTAAAGTAAAATATTTATTTGCACTTAGAGCAAAAGTCTCTATAATAGTTGACTGTCAGCCTTTAAACCAGTGCCTTGAAATGAAGTAGCTTTCTTTAAACCTGCTTATGTAGGAGAAATACGTAAAGATAGGCTACTACCTTTTCTTTCTTACTAACAGACCTAAGCTGATGTTTCATTATGTATTCAAAATTAACCTTCCTCTAACATTAAACATGACCATCCAGGCTAAAAGCAAACTCAGTTTTTCCAAAAGTCTTCCTTGACAATTACAGACCAAAGATTTGCTCCCTTCTTTGTGCTCTCAAAGGGTATTTGCTTCCTGCTTAATGTATTCTGTACAATAAAATAGTTGTTTGTATCATGATCTAATTCCATATTAATTTTTGAGTCTATTTAGTTTAGAATAATAATTTATTTATTTTTCTATTCCCTGGAAAAACAGACAAAATATTTTGCATAGAGAAGAAGGTCACTAAATATTTTTTAAATACCTATTGTTGAGCGAATACAGTTGAAAGACCACAGTTAGCACAAACGGGAACCTTGGGCGTCCTCTTTCTCATCTTTAGTAAAATAACATCTTCATTCTTTAGACACGGGGAATAAGGACTTGCACATTATTTAAAAATTTAGTAATGTCTTGTTTAAAAAAATGTCATAATATTGACTCTGTTCCACTAAGTATATCCCTATTTTAATTATTACTCTGTCTTCTCAAATGTTCCTTTCATTGGCTCTTATATTAAATAAAATCCCCCACTGAAGGTAAAAAAATAATCCCCAAAACTTTTCTACCATTTGACAATGGGTACATAAAAGGTGTTGAAAATTCAAGCCTTATATTCTTACAGATATTTTAATTTCAGCATAATTTTTATTCAACCCATCGTAGTGGCATCATCTACATCTTTTGATGTCATTCATGTCTTAGAAATATCTTGTTGAGTGAGTAGGCACGACAATTCTAGATATTGTTCTAGATATTTGCAATTAACCAGACCAGAGATATGATCAGGGCTAGGGCATAGGTCCATGAGGGAAAGAGTTGACAGGATATAAATTTACAGGGTGTATTTAATACATTTTTAAAGGTCATACACTGACATGACTTTTAAGGCTCATGAAACCATATTAGGTTAATAAAACTGTAAATAAGACCATCAAAACTATACAGAAGGTAATCAAAAACATGGCGCATTTATTTTCACTTGTTTCCTCCATGACATATGGGGGAAGACTCATACCCTTAACCTCGCCGGGTCATATTCAGAGTTTTCTATAATATTAAAGCCTGACTATACTCTGGCAACTAGGTATGAGGAATCTTATCATCTACAGAGGAAAACAGATTTCTTCACACATAATCTGATTCTATTAAGAAAGCTGTTCTCTTTCATCTGAATAACACTGTGAAGGTAATTTACAAACAGTCCTATTTGAAATTGGAGAAATGTTTTCTTAATGATTTCTATCTGAAAGCGTTGTGATTTTCCTAGTACATAGAAGGAAGCAACGACAGTCATCTACTTATTCTACCCATTTACCTTCAAGCACATGCCCAAATGCCTTTTCAGATCTGCAGAGCAGGCACTTGACTATTCCTGTCTGTCAGGAGCAAATAGCAAAGAAAAATGTTTCGTTTTCTTCTCCTCTGCTCTAAGACTGCTCATTAGTAGTTTAACACTTTATGTATTCACACTTGTTTCTGTAAAGAGGTAAGCATCCCTGTTTTCAACTGAAAGCAATTACATAGATTTTTGTTTGATTTTGCTAAGTGCATTTTACTGCTAAAACCTTCTCCTATATTTAGAACTTCAAAAGCTAGTCGATCTAAACTTCTAAGGAACACTGTTTATATGTCTAACCAAGCAGTAAATGTAGAGGTGAATTACACTAATTATGTTGACAAGTGCATTTGCAATCAATAAATTAATTCAATTCCGGTAACTAGCACAATAAGTATGGATTTGCATAAAATAAAAACTCAAGGGGAAATATATGAAATATTAAGAATAGTTGGAATAACTAATTAGCTATTACAAATTTTACTTTATTTTCAATAGTAATGCATACTTACAAGCATTATCTCAATTATGTTATTTTTACATAACCATAGCTCCAAATTTATGGCAAATCACAAAATCAAGTTTGAAGAGATTTTCTATAAAATGTAAAATTAGTGACACTTAAATATTCCCTATATGTACAGTAAAGCTATTTTTAATCTTCTCTTTTTTTTGGGGGGTTTGCAGACAACTTAAAATAGGCCAAATTATATAAAACAGTATTCAGTCAGACTTTTTTTAGTACTGGGGAAGTACCAGTGTTTAAAGTCTTTTAAACATTTCTCTGACCACAACAGTATTTTATATTCAATAGAATTTTAAGACTAATCTAATAATGAGGTGTTCATATTTTTCTGAGCAGAACTATTTTCTGCATTATTTATATAATGATCTGTGTATGTCTATAAATCTACATAGACTAAGAGCACTTCAGTGATGAGCATTTTTAAGAAAGATATCCCTCTTTATTTTCATCTTCTTCTGACCATAGAAACACACAAGAAGTTACAGCAAGTTTAATGTAACAGAAGGCAGCTCACATTCTGGAATTCTTTGACTCATAATCTGTAGTTTCTGTAGTTCTTTACACTGACAAGACAATGTTAAAAACATTTGCAACTCTAGCCAACCAAGTGAATACAACAATTCTTATATATCGTTGTGAACAGACTGTAAGGTGATCTTTAATTTCCTACCTCCTGTTATCTACCCCTCTGTGTAATTTCATCCTGTTGGATGCAGGCAAGACCTGTCCCTTGCTTCTAATGAATCACTCAATTTGGTTATATTATATGGTAAAGAAAATGAGATGCCACTTCTATGATTTTATTATCCTATATAAGATTTTATCCCAGCAGACTCTACTGAAAGATTCTTCTGGTTGACTAAACAGCCGTGTTAAGGAAGCCTCTGGGGCAAGGAAGTGGGGAATGGGCCCTGGGAATTCTGACCTGGGTCTAAAATGTGAAGTTTGCCTCCAGACAAAAGCCCAGAAAAGCAGAGGTTCTCAGTCATGCAGCCTCCAGTAAATGAATTCTGACAAAACTTGAATAAGCTTGAAATCAGATTCTTTCCTAGTCAAGCCTCCAGATGACATAATCCAGCTGACACCTTGACTGTAGCCTTGTGAAACCCCGAACAGGGCACCCAATAAAGCTGTGCCCAGATTCCTGAACTACTGAATGGCCATGAGATAATAAATGTGTGTTATTTCAAGATATTAAGTTTGTGTTGTGATAATTATCTATGCAGCTAGGAAACCAACATGCCTATGGATATAATAATAATAACCATTATTATTATTATACTGCTGTGGCCTGAATCTTTGTGTCTCCCTAAAATTCACATGTAGAAATCTAATCACGAATGTGCCAGTGTCTGAGCCTGTTCAGACTCTGCTATAACAGAATATCATAAACTGGGTGGATTATAAAGAGAAATTTTTTCTTACAGTTCTGCAGGCTAGAAAGTCCAAAATCAGGGTGCAAGAATGGCTGGGTTCTGGTGAGAGCCTACTTCCTGGTTCATAGATGATTGGCTTCTTGCTGTGTCCTCACAGGGTGAAAGGGAGCAAGAAAGTTCTCTGGGATCTCTTTTCTAAGGGCACCAATTCTATTTATGAAGACCCGAGCCTCATGACCTAATCACCTCCCAAAAGCTCAAACTCTTAATACTATTACATTGGGAATTAGGTTTCAACTTATAAATGCGGGGTGGAGACAGACATTCAGACCCTAAGAGTTGGGTTATTGCAATGATATTAGGAAATGGGTCTTTTGGAAGTTAATTAGGTCATGAGGCAGAACCAGCATTAATGGAATTATTATCATTTCAAAAGGAGTGCCAGAGAGTTTCATTGTTTCCTCCACCATCTGAGGACACAGAGAGAAAACTCTGTGAACCAGAAAGCACAGACACAGAATATGCCAGTGACTTGATCTTGGACTTACCAGCCTCTAGAACCATATGAAATAAATTTCTATTATTTAAAAGTCACCAAGGGATTGCATAAAGAAAATGTGGTACATATACACCATGGAATGTTATGCAGCCATACAAAGAACAAAATCTTGTCCTCTGCAGCAACATGGATGCTGCTGGAGGCCATTATCCTAAGAGAACTAATGCATAACAGAAAACCAAATACTACATGTTCTCTTTTATAAGTGGGAGCTAAACATTGGGTACACGTGGACATAAAAGTAAGAACAACATACACCAGGAAGTACAAGAGTGGGAAGAGCAGCAGGGGGACAAGCATTAAAAATCTACCTGTTGGGAACTATGCTCACCATCTGGGGGACAGATTAATTTATACTCCAAACCTCAACATCATGCGACATATCTTTCTAATAAACCTCCATATGTATCCTTTGAATCTAAAAATAAACATTAACAAATTAAAATTTTAAAAAAGCCATCAAGTTTATGGTATTTTGTTATAGCATTCCAGAAATAATAAGATATATTTTTATATCTCTCCAAATTAAAGTATAATGCATCAAACATATCAAATAGAAATATCCAGTTGTTTAGATGTAATAGTTTTCTTATCTTTCTTAATAATCAGTGTCACAAAAATGAGTTTGATAAAAATGCTGATTTGTTTTAGCCATCTTAGATACACACTTGACCAAGTCACAAAAACATCGGGTCATGAAGTCATCTTTCTGCAATATCCTGAGTTCAAATAAATCTTGTAAGTCTGTCTGGTGGGAAAATAAAATGGTGGAGTACAGAAGGCAACATTTGTGGAGCAAATTTACGAAGAAGTATCAGGAATACAAGTGGAAGATTCAGCAAGCTGCTTCTTCTAACTGCAACTCCCATCTCCACCCAATGCAACACAGACTTGCTAAACTGGAATTTTTTCTATTTGAAAAATGCTCTGGAACTTCAACCTTCAAGGGAGAGAGTTCATTCTCTAATAATAAGTAGATCCATGTTAGTAGGAATTAACTAATTTTTTTACACACCAAAAAAAGTATTTTGGACTCCCAATAATTTTAAAAACCTACATAAAAAGATTTACATTTTTGAAACAGAAGACTATATTGATTTTGTTATGACATGTTGAGATACTCAGAGATATATTTTATAGAAACTAGTCTAGCGAAGATCAATAAATTTTGAATGTATTCATCTCAAAAAAAGATTGTGAAATAAACATGGATTGCCTATCAAAACAACATATGTTTTATGTCAAACTAGGTTATTTGATGAGGAGGTGTATACTAAATCTTTCAGCTTCTATACATGCCACAGATATGTTAAAATATTAATTTATGATTAAAAATGCTATAAATAACAATTAAGTGGCCTTTGACAAATATTGCACTTAAAGGTTTAAAACATAGTTGACGTCTGTTAATCAGGAAATGGAATGTACTCAGCAGTTTCCTTGTAAAGTTTGCATTGTAATTATTTTATGGAGGACAAAACAAATGAAAAGTGTAAAACTGATGCTACTTATTTTTCCCCATTGAGGGAATTTCTGCCATATGTTCCATGTTCAGTACACACAAATTGGTTATTGCTATGTCTGTCTCACTACTCTGCTCACAGAGCCATAACAAAGCAAATCCATACATGGGCCTCTTATTCAGGCATTAGATTTTAATACATTCGTCTAATGTTTTCTAAAAGGCCTCCATTCTTGGCCAACTTCTATTTAATATATGTATTTTTTTAATTTTCCAAGTGAATGAATACATTTTGCTGAGCAAATTAATACTTACTTAAATAAATAAAATGTATGGGAGGCCGGAAGCAGTGGCTCATGCCTGTAATCCCAATACTTTGGGAGGCCAAGGTGGGTGGATCACTTGAGGTCAGCAGTTTGAGACCAGCCTGGCCAACATGGCAAAAACCCATTTCTACTAAAAATACAAAAATTAGCCAGGTGTGGTGGCACACAGCTGTGATCACAGCTACTCAGGAGGCTGAGGCAGGAGAATTGCTTGAACCTGGGAGGCAGAGTTTGCAGTGAGCTGAGATCACACTACTGTACTCCAACCTGGGCAATAGAGTGAGACTCTATCTCAAAAAATAAATAAACAAATAAATAAAATAAAAATAAAATGTATGGGAAATACTCACTTGAAATACTCAGAATCCTAAAAAAATCTTAATGATAGGTTGAATAAAGATTTTGCTTAAATAAAACATATTAATAAAAGTCCTCCATTTTGTTATCTAACTTTAAAATACAGAAAAATTTGACAAGCCTCAAGGCAAGAAAACAATTTAGGCCAGGTGTGGTGGCTCATATCTGTAATCCCATCAATTTGGGAAGCCACATCAGAGGATTGCTTGAGGTCAGGAGTTCAAGGCCAGCTTGGGCAGCATAGTGAGGCCTCTTCTGTACTAAAAATTTGAAATCCTTAACAAAATATTAGCTAACCAAATCCAACAACATTACAAAAAGAAAATTCACCATGATCAAGTGGATTTCATACCAGGGATGCAGGGATCGTTTAACAAATGCAAGCCAATAAATATGATATACCACATAAACAGAATTAAAAACAAAAATCACATGATCATCTCAATAGATGCAGAAAAGCACTGGACAAAATCCAGCATCCCTTTATGATTAAAACCTTCAGCAAAATTGGCATGCAAAGGACATACCTTAATGTAATAAAAGCCATCTATGACAAACCCACAGGCAACATAATACTAAATGGGGAAAAGATGAAAGCATTCCCTCTGAGAAGGGGAACAAGACAAGGATGCTGACTCTCACCACTCCTCTTCAACGTCGTACTGGAAGTCCTAGCCAGAGCAATGAGATCAACAGAAAGAAATAAAGGGCATCCAAATCAGTAAAGAGGAAGTCAAACTGTCCCTGTTTGCTGACCATATGATCGTTTACCTTGAAAACCCTAGAACTGATAAAAGAATTCATCACAGTTTCTGGGTACAAGATTAATGTACACAAATCAGTAGCTCTTCTATATACCAACAGCAACCAAGTGAAGAATCAAATCAAGAACTCAACCCCTTTTACAATAGCTGAAAAAAAATTCTTATGAATATACTTAACAAAGGAGTCAAACGACTTCTACAAGGAAAAGTGCAAAACACTGCTGAAAGAAAACACAGATGACACAAATGGAAACACATTCAATGATCATGGATGGGTAGAATCAATATTGTGAAAATGACCATACTGCCAAAAGCAATCTACAAATTCAATGCAATCCTCATCAAAATACCACCATCATTCTTCACAGAACTAGGAAAAAAAAAAAAAAAAACACTTCTAAAATTCTTACGGAACCAAAAAGAAAAACAGAGCCTGCATAGCCAAAGCAAGACTAAGCAAGAAGAACAAATCTGGAGACATCACACTACCCGATTTCAAACTACCCTATAAGGCCATAGTCACCAAAACAGCATGGTACTGGCATAAAAATAGGCACATAGACCAGTAGAAGAGAATAGAGAACCCAGAAATAAACCCAAATACTTACAGCCAACTGATCTTCGACAAAGCAAACAAAAACATGAAGTCAGAAAGGACACCCTTTTCAACCAGTGGTGCTGGGATAATTGACTAGCCACATGTAGGAGAATAAAACTGGTTCCTCATCTCTCACCTTATAAAAAATTCAACCAAGATAAATTAAGGACTTAAACCTAATACCTGAAACCATAAAAATTCTAGAAGATTCCACTGGAAAAATTCTTCTGGAAATTGGCTTAGGCAAGGATTTCATGACCAAAAACCCAAAAATAAAAGCAATGAAAATGAAGATAAATAGCTGGGACCTAATTAAACTGAACAGTTTTTGCACAGCCAAAGGAAGAGTAAGCAGAGTACACAGACAACCCACAGAGTGGGAGAAAAGCTTCACAATCTATATATCTCATGAAGGACTAATAACCAGAATCTACAACAAACTCAAACAAATCAGTAAACAAAAAAACAAACAAACAAACAAAAAAAACAGTCTCATCAAAAACTGGGCTAAGGACATGAAACTATCTTTTAAGAATAGACAGTTCTCAAAATAAGACATAAATGGCCAATAAACATGTGAAAAAAATGCTCAACATCATTAATGATCAGGGAAATGGAAATCAAAACCACAATGTGATGCCACCTTACTCCTGCAAGAATGGCCATAATCAAAAAATTTAATAAAAGTAGATGTTGGCATGGATGTGGTGATCAGGGAACACTTCCACACTGCTGGTGGGAATGTAAACTAGTACAGCCACTACGGAAAACCGTGCGGAGATTCCTTAAAGAACTAAAAGTAGAACTACCATTGGATTCAGCAATCCCACTACTGGGTATCTACCCAGAGGAAAAGAAGTCATTTTTTGAAAAAGATACTTGCACACACCTTTATAGCAGCACAATTCACAATTGCAAAATCGTGGAACCAACCTAAATGCCCATCGGTCAGTGAGATCAATGAAGGGATAAAGAGGTCAATGAGGTCAATGAGAGGATAAATGCCCATTGGTCAATGAGGTCAATGAGGGGATAAAGAAATTGTGGTGTATATATATATGTATATACCACATATGTATATATATGTACATACATATACACCATATATGTATATACATGTATATATGTATATATGCATATATATACATGTATATATGTATATATGCATATATATACATGTATATATGTATATATGCATATATATACATGTATATATGTATATATGCATATATATACATGTATATATGTATATATTTAATGAAATACTACTTACATGTATATATAATGAAATTATATACGATGTATATATAATGAAGTTATATACGATGTATATATAATGAAGTTATATACGATGTATATATATAATGAATTATATATATGTAATGAAATACTACTTATATATATATATATAAAATGAAATACTACTCAGCCATAAAAAGGAATGAGTTAACAGCATTTGCAATGACCTGAATCAGAATGGAGACTATTATTCTAAGTGAAGTAACTCAGGAATGGGAAACCAAAGATTGCATGTTCTCACTGATATGTGGGAGCTAAGCTATAAGGACACAAAGGCGTCAGAATGATACAATGGACTTTGGGGACTTGAGGGGAAGAATGGAAGGGAGCGAGGGATAAAATACAACGTATATGGTGCAGGGTATACTGCTCTGGTGATGGGTGCACCAGGATCTCACAAATCACCACTAAATAACTTACTCATGTAACCTAATACCACCTGTACCCCAATAACTTATGGAAAAATTTATATATTTATATATATACACACACACACACACACACATATATATATAAAATAAAATAAAAAATTAGCAAGGCATGGTGGTGTTTAACTGTAGTCCCTGCTACTCAAGACACTGAGGCAAGAGGACAGCTTGAGTCCAGTAGGTAGAGACTGAAATGAGCTATGATTATACCACTGCATCCTAGCCTAGGTGAGACAGTGTGACACTGTCTCTAAAAGAGAGGGAGAAAAAGGAGGGAGGGATGAAAGAGAAAGGGGTGGGGGATGAAACCAGCAATTTTAGTTGGCTGTAAATTTATTATGGATTATCACTGTAAAGCAAATAAATGTTATTTGCTTTACAGTTATTCTAATCTGCATTAAGGTTTGCTAAGCCTTTAATGTGTCCACTTCAAAATTCAGGTGTTAAAACTTAATAGCCAAGGAGGTGGGGCCTTTAAGAGGTGATTAAGTCATGAGAGGTCGTCCCTCATGAATGGGATTTAGAAGCTTCAGGCAGCAGCAGTATTGGGCTTCCTTGCCTTGTGCCTCTGCAATGTGAGAACACATGGCTCCTCCCCTCCAGAAGATGCAGCAACAAGGCGCTATCTTGGAATCATAGAGCAGTCTTAAGAAGATAACTGAAGGTGCTGGCCTCTTGACCTTGCACTTCTCAGTTTCCAAAATTGTGAGAAATAAATGTATTTTCTTTATAAATTACCCAGTCTACAGTATTTTGTTATAGCAGCACAAGTAGAGTAAGACGAAGACAGAGCCTCATATTAATTTGTGGTAAATTAGAGTTAAATTCCACAAGAATTCAAATTGTAATAACATGTCATTAGCACACTAGTCCGGTTCTCAAGAGATCAGGCTAATGTTCTTATCTTGGAGAAATATTGAGAGAAACACAGTATGAGAAAACAATACCAGGACATTTGTTTATGAGAACCTCACTTTGACTGATTATAAAGCAGTAGGTTGCTCCCAGGGTCCTGAGAGGTACATTTTGAAGTGAGAAGACTATTGATTTTGTTGTTTCAATGCTATCTCTCTGGAAACTTACAATTGGCTCCAAATAACTGGAAATTTCCTGACTCATTCCCTGTTGGTGTCCTGGAAGCTTCACCTAGCCACAGTAATCAAAATCATTTGGATCTCCCAGTGGGACTTCTGGAACACTTGGAGTGCCTGTGTTGTCTCTAGTTATGTTTTTATTCTCAGTAAGTCACAAAGAATAATTTTAAGGAATCTTCTTTTTTTTGGATCTCACTTATTTAAATGGGGGGCAATACATTAAGAAGAAAGCTGAAAGGTAAGACTAGAACAGTTACCTAGGTTATCTTTGATTCTAAGAAATACAGCATGAAAATTACACACATACAGAATTTGCTTTAAAATAACCATTCCAATACTGAGATTATGTTGGAATATACCTGGATGTAATTACTCCTGTACACTGTTATTTAAATTCACCGCTGAGAGACTGACAACTGCAAATATTGTATACAAAAGTCAAATACTTTATAGAAATGGATTACTTCCACAAGGTATCTCATTCCTGATTTTCTATGTTTTTTTTATGATCCAAAAATCTTTAAAATGATAAAATAGGTAGAAATTGTAAGATTATTTTCGAAAATTTATTTTTATTGTATACATTGAAAGTATACAACTTGATGTTACTTATACTTACAAATTAACACATAAGTATCTCTCTTTGTAATATGAACACCTAAAATATACTCTTATTCTCACGTTTTCAATGCACAATAAATATGATTAACGATAGTCTTCCTGCTGGACATTAGATCTCCAGACTATTTCATCCTACGTAACTGTAAGTCTGTGCTCTTTGACCTACATTTCCCTTTTTTCTCTCTCTCCCTAAGCCTGATAACCGACATTCTAAATTCTCTTTTCATGCATTTGAGTTTTTTTTAATTCCCCATATGAATGAGATAATAAATTATTTGTATTTCTGTGTCTGGCCTGTTTTATTTAACATATATAAAGTCCTCCAAGTTCATCCATGTTGTAGCAAATGAAACCGAATAATATTCATATACAATCACAATTTCTTTATCCATTCATTTCTTGATGGGCGCTTAAGTTGATTTCATATTTGGTGATTATGGATAATACTAAAATGAGCACACAAGTGCAGACATCTCTGTGAGGTGCTGATTTTATTTCCCTTGGATATATACCCAGCAGAGAGATTACTATATTATATGGTAGTCTTATTTTTAATTTTTTTTGAAGAGTTTCTATACTCTTTTCCATAATAGCTGTGCCAATTTACACTCCCACCAACAGTGTACAACGTTTGCTTTTTTGCCACACTCTAGCCAACACTTGTTCTTTTTTGTCTTTTTGATAACCATTCCAACAGGTGTGAAGTAATATATCTCATTGTGTTTTTGATTTCTCTGATGTTTAGTGATGTCATCACTAATCATTAGTGAACACTTTTTGTGTATCTGTTGGCCACTTGTCTGTTTTCTTTGCTAATGCATATATACAGGTCCTTTGCTCATTTTTTAACAGAGCTATTAGGTTTTTTCTTTGGGTGTTTTTGTTTTTGTTATTGAGCTGTGTAAGTTTTTTGTGTACTTTAGATATTAATCTCTTATCAGCTACATGGCTAAAAAATATTTTCTCCTAATCTGTAGGCCCCTTTTTTATTTGAAAAGTAGAATTCTCATTTCTTGGACATAGTAGAAAGAAAGTGCTTGGAGATTTGAATAAAACAAATTTGATTAAAAACCCTAATTTAGTCATGTTCAAGTTAAGGAATTTAGGCAAGCTACTTAAACTCTTGGGAATTCGTCTATAAAATAGGGATAAAATAAAATTACAGTTATTGCTGCAATTGCAGAGAACATAATTACAGAATGAAAATTGCAAGGCTGTGAACCTCAACAATAGAGAAATGTGGCAAATAAAAAGTACACAATGCTAAAAACTGAACATCATGTGACTGTCTTGTCTAATGTATTCAATAAGACCCAACATAACCATTTTGAATACATAAAGATTATAGACTCTGAAAATTCTATTTATAAAATTGTCTTGTATTTATTCACTCTTTAGAGTTTTACATTACAGTGTGTACATATATTGTAGCCCTTTATATTTCAGATTTATCTCCATGCCTCTAACCACATGTGAATTCTTGTGTTGGAAATGTTTCCTAGGCACTTTACTACCTGTCTCACAATGGCTTGCTGTACTTCACTTAAGGTTATAGACCATTAAAAAATACTATTTGTGTAGATTTACAGCAGGGATAACTTTTGATTTTATCCTTAATGATATACACATGTCATAGAATAAACGAAGTGTCCTTGTATTTTATTGATTAATGTGATATTTTAATATATTTGTGCTCCATCTATTTTATATTTTGTGTTAATAAAATATTACTTGTTGAAAATCTAGCAGGCACACATTTTTTCTCCATCTGTTTTTAAGAAGAAAAATAGAGCAAATAGGAATCACATTAGCAGGAAAAAATAGTTTCCATATAAATTAGTATTTTAATCTCAGCAGAGAGTAGATGAAAAAAGAATGTTCAATGTTGATCAGTTACATTTCTATTAACATTATTTTTTGATGCCACTATAACCCAATTTGTGGCCATTATGGACCAAAGATAAGATGCTAAAATGGGCTATTTTAAACAAACACCTTACATAATTTAACGTAGCAGTATTTTTCAACTATGTTGTCCAAGGCATAATGTTAGATAATGGTGATAAAAATATAAATAAGCAATAGTCGCTGACCTCAAGGACAGATTTCAAAAGACATTAATTTAAACAGATACTGGTGATCTAATGAGATAAAGATTGTTATGAAGGCACATATAAAACTATAAAATTCTATAAGAACACAGACATTGGAACAATTGAGCTGCTTTATCAAAGGGATTCAATAATAAGAAAGATAAATAATTCTTTAAGAGAAAGAATTAAGGTAGAATAGAAAACTACATTAAGTTACAGTTATAATAAGAATTTAATTATATTCTACCCAGAAATGTTCCAAAAGAAATTTGAGAAAAACTGTACATTTCCATTTATCAGCTTTGAACTGAAGTTCTGGGCCTAAGTGCATTATCAGGACCTAAGCAAAGCAGATAATTTTGCCAAATTCCTAAGGGCAATAAATCCTAAGAATCAGAGAGTTCAAAACAGATTTTGTGAACTAGCCTCAGCAAATCATAAAAATGACAGTAATGTTGAAAAATGACAGCTTATAGATAACTCTTCCTGAGTCAGTAAACTTGTTCTTTTAATATATTTCTACCTTGATCCATGCTCAATTAATAAAATTAAAAACTTTTAAAAGCAAAAATTTTGCATAGTCATTCTTTCTTGAGTGTTTTCTATTATATTAATTTGAATAATTTGCTTATCTTCACCCTTTTCTTTTTTGAGAGTTTTTACATTGAAAGAGTCCAAGAGATCTAGGAATACTTTAAGAAATAAATAACTCAAAAAAAAATAAGAACAGGCTTATTTAAAAAACAGGGTTTATAATAATAAATAAATACTTGGAGAATATTGCAAAAAATGAAAAATTTAAATTATAATACAAATTATTGGGGAATTTATCTTTTTATATGCAATTTTACTGCTTAATATTTTTTCCTTCAGTGGTTAAAATCTGCAAACAGAAATAAATGCCTAAGACAAAAAATTAGTGTACTACCAACAACTAATACCTCTTGCTATTTTATGATGTTCAGGCACAAGTGAAATTAAAAATATCACAATTTCCTCCTAATTAGACCTCCTGGCATTCACCTGTTTCTCCTCTTCATGCTATTTGTGTTCGCCAAATTTCATATATTCTTAGGTCTCCTACACATAGTTAATTGAGGATGTAGATTCATCATTTTGGGTTTATGTCAATAAGTAATACCTCCGTTATTTTCCCAATTATGTGTTGAAATCATTGAGAATTTACTCAAAAGAGCAGTTGGATGAGCAAAATATATTTATTGCTATGTAAATAATTTAAGAGAATGAGCCTTACATCTTTTTCAGGTGGGCTTCCTGAGAATAAGGACTGGAATTAAAAAGAATCACTTATCTCATCCCACACACCATCCTGAGGCCCAGACAGCCTGCTGAGGAAACATCAGGTCCTCTCCTTGATGTGAGCCATTGAAAATGACAAGATGGAACTGGAGAATACCTGCAGTTTGATTCCCCAACAGAAAAATGGGGAAGATGGGGTATTTCACGTTCAATTTCTCCTTCCACATCGATGAATAAGAATAGATCATCCCTCCTCTGATGAGAGGAATGAGTAAACAGGAAGACTGAGGTCAAAGAAGATTGTAATACTAAAATTCTGTCTATATGAAAACAAAAAATTAGGTTAGAAAGAAGTGGTCACCTGCACCGTAAGAATTGATAGTGGACTATAGACCTTGAGTTTGAGTGGAAAAACCCCATTTCTCCAATAAAAATTGTCTTTGTGAGTTGACTAGCCTCATCAACTGGTGTGATTTGCTGTCTAGTTAATGAGGAAGGAATAAGGCCATTTCATCATAAGACACTCAAATGGGTGTTTCCTTCCTCCTCCCTTCATTGTGGAAACTCAGAGAATAAATCGCTGTTATGATTGGGGACAGGTGATCTCATTGCTGAATTCAAATGTTTTAGTCAATTTAGTTAATTTTTTTAAGAGGTGAGGCCTTGTTGCCCAGGCTGAAGTTGAACTCTTGGACTGGAGTAATCCTCTCACCTCAGTCTCCAGAGAAACTGGGACTACAATGCCACCACCCTGGGCTAGATCAGACATGGTTTTTTTTTTTTTTTTTTTTCCCTCCTGCCACATAACGGATTACCACAGACTTAGTAACCTGACACCCATCTATTATCTCTCCATTCTGTAGCTCAGAAATCTGAGTAAGTTCAATGGGTTCTCTGCTTAGAGTCTTGCAGGCTAGATCAATGTGTCAGCTAGAGTGAACTATTATCTGGAGATTGAGGAATCTGCTTGTAGTTTATTCTGGTTGTTGGCCAAATTCAGTTCCTTGAACTTGTGAAACTGAGGTTCCCTGTTACTTGCTGGCTAGCAGCAGACGCTGCTCAGCTCTAAAGCCGACGTGCATCACTTGCACATGACCCCTTCCACCATCAGATACAGATAATGCTTCAAAGCTCTGATTTCCTTTTCTACTGCCAGCAAGTGAAAACCCTCTGCTTTTAAGAATCTAGTGTGATTAGTAATCCTAATTACATCAGCAAGATTCCTTTGCCGTGAAACATGGCACATTAGGGGGCATGACATCTCACTGTTTTCAAAGTCCCCTGAATTAGGGTGGAAAATCTTGGGGACCTGTACATTTTTAGAATCTTGCCTACCAGAAAAAATTTTAATCACTTCTCCTGTGTTCAGTCCTATCCATTTCCCCTGACTACATGTTAATTTCTGCCTTCAGTGGAACTTGTGTTCCTCTGGTTTCTGAACTACCAACTTGCTCTTCATTAGCAGCCTCATCTGCAGAGAAATGTTCTCTTTCTCAGCTCTGCTGCATCAGTTACCATCCTCTCACTTGCTTTTCACTCTAGAACATTAAGGACATCTCCCTGTTTGTTGCCTGATTGTCTATTCTCTGTTCTTTTATCTATTCCTGTAATATACTTACGTGTTTTCTAAATGTATCAAAGATAAATGTGTCATTCAATCCACTGTGTTTAAACAGATGTCCAGATTATTTCCTCCAGGTTGTACTTTGTGGTGATTAGGCAGAACTAATAAGCAGTTAACGCAAGTGACGATGTACTGCACATAAAGCCAGATAAATTTGGTCTTTTTGGAGTCAGCTTCTGCAAGTGTTGCTTTCAAAGAAATGCAAGTCTGCTGAGAGTCTTGAGAAATTTTATAGAGAGAGCGAGAGAAATGAGGGAGGGAGGAAGGAAGGGTAAAAAAAGAAAAAAAATAAAGAATGGAAAAAAACAAGGAACACTAGATGTCTCATTGTCATCCCACATTTCACATTCCTGTACCCAACTTACTCCTACATTTGCATCTTATATGTGAGATTTTCTGAAATCAGAAAATCCTGGACATTGAATAAACCCCAGCATTATGTTCTATTTAGGATATTGGTTGAGACAGTCTCAGGATGAGCTAAATTTTACAGTTTTCTTTATTTTATCTAAATTCTAGAACAAGTTATAGACTATAACACTTATCTTACCTTTCTGTAAAATTAATTAATTAATTTATATAAACCACGTTTACAGAGCTCTTGAAATGCCTGAATACTATTTTATTATAGGTGCTGGAGATTTTAGAATAATCATGGTAATGATAACACTAATAACAGAAAAACAATAATTAAGGGAACCATTGCTAGGTATCAAGCATGGTGCTAAGCATTTCATATGCATTATGAAAGGGCTTGACATTTCATATTTTGTTCCTAATTGATGAAACAGAGGTTTAATAAATTCAGCAATTTGCTAAAGGCCAGAAATCTAGGGTTAGATTTGGGCCCCTGACTTAGGTCTATCACAAAAGTCTATGTTCCTGGTTAAAATAGTAGGCTGAATCATGTTAAGCCAAGATAATACATTATGAGTTTGAGGCAAAGGACTTAGACTTCAACATAAGTATGTAACAGGGGAAAACCCAGAAGCTTAGAGGTCAATACACAAATTAATATCACTTCTCAATTATTTTCATAATGATACGATTTATCTGAATTGCATTTCTTTCTAAGGTAAGTCCTAACATTTTTGAAGAATTAATATGTGTTCATAATGAATAATGAAAATAGGTAAGGTAGATTTGAGAAATATAAAGCATTTTAGCCAAGAAAAGGCCTGGATGGTTACATTAGGAAGCATTGGGTAATAAGGAAGCACGATGAAGGCACTGTGGTGCCAGAGGCATAAAAGTTTGGGACAAGGGCAAATAAATAATGCTGGGTTCCAACAAAGACAAATCTCTTGTAGCATATACTGTCTGTATTCTCTCAATTATCCATTCCCTCATTCTTACTTGCTAACAGAACCATATATTTGAAAAGATAACCATATCATCAGTTTCAGGGAAAATTATGAATTATTTAAACCAAACAACCTCTTTGCCTCACTAGTGACTGATTTTGCCATATTAGCCAAATCTTGATCTGATAAGAAATGAGGTTTAGTGGTGGAGGAGCTACTGGGAGAGATCTCTTTCCTCTAAAAAAGACACATTTAAAATGGATCCTTCTGTACCTAGGATTATATTGAACACTCAAGGATGTCAGCCTAACATAAAAGTGAAGATCCGCAGAATAACGAAACAGAGAGAAGGTAATAATTTCCATCCTTAAGGCTATCAACCGATATAAACATCTCTAATAGTTACCTTTCTTCTCAACTTATTCTATTGTGAAATACATTTTCTTAGTGCAAGCTAGTTTGTAATAGCATTAGCTGAACTTGTAGCCAAATCATCCTACACGTTACACATCTCATACTGATATTTGTGGTTTTCTAACTAGGCTCTGTGTAACTCACAACCTTAAAATACCAAGACGAACTGTATTTCAAAGTATAGTGCAATAACTGAACTGATTTCTCCATATTTACTACACAAAAAACAAGAAACAAAGCTGGAATGAGTGAGGGGATGAGCTAGCTTGAGTAAGCTAACTCGGCCATAACAACTTGGAATTTATGGTTGGAATTTAGATAGATATGGAATTAGCTGTTTACAGCACATGATGTGCATAAGGGATTTATGATCTACAGTTTACTGATTAATATAACTTGTCTTTAAGGTTTCAGGACATTTGTTCCTTTTCAAATTGGTTTAAAGCAAATCAAAGAACTGAGGACTAACCCTCATAATTACTTATCAATAGAAAGTAAAGGAGAAAATGAAAGAACATTTAAATTCTTCTCCCTTGGTCCCCATGCCCTTTGATCTCTGTTTTATTGATGTGTTCCATGTTTTTTTTTTTTTTTTGACTGAGAAGGAGCTTATTAGATGTTCTACTTTGGTGTAATCAAAATAAAATATGAGAGGAATCAAAACTCTTTAGTTCAAAACTGGTATGTTTTATTCCCTTGATTCCAGTAGCGAAGTATAATCTAACGCTATGTCAACAGATACATATACATTTTCAATCAGATTATGCATTCATTCATACAACAAATATTTATTAAATATATCTTTCGAGTTCAGGCATTCTCATAAGTGGTATTAAAGTAAAAAGAGAGAGAGAGCAAGAGAACTGTCCCTAACTTCCTCAATTTATATTTTAGAGGTGAACATTTTTTTAAAGTAAATATTTTAAGGAAGTATTTATGCAGAAAAGTAAAGCAGAGAAATGTCACAGCCAAAGCCAGTTATATGAGTGTATATCTGGTATTGGAGAATGACATTTTATAAATGATAATGGGAGAAGACCTCACTATAAAGACAATATTGAGCAGACATCTACATGAAGGGAGCATGCAAGTCATATAATTACCTGTTTAAAGAACATTGCAAGCAGAGAGGGAAGAAAATGCAAAAATATGGAAACTAATATGTGAACTTGTTTGAAACTTTTCAAAGAGACCACTATCGCTGGAGAAGAGTGACACATCAAGAGAGAGGATGAAATCAGAGATGTATTAGAGGATCAGGTATTGTGGACCATTGTAGGCAATTAACTTCAAAGATGTTTGTTTTTATTCAAAGTGAGATGAGAAGTCTATGGAAGGTCGTGCAAAGGGTGTGACATATTTCCAAATGAAGTTTCTGTATGCAATTTTTTCAAGATCATTCTTTTTTGCAAGGAGCTGCCATATGCATTATAAGATGTTTAACAGCATCTCTGGCCTGTACCCACTAGTTTTTCCCTAATTTTGACAACAAAGCATACTTCCAGACGTTACCAGGTATCCCCCATTAAGGGGTAAAATATCCCCTAGTTAATAACCAATGTTTTAACAGGATTACATTTTTAGAAACTCTCTAATGATCTGAGAAACATGAAGGCAATTTGGTAAAGGCTCTTGCTAATAATCAAAAAACACTCTATGGGAGAGTGGAGTCATCATAATAGTGAATATAGTGAGGTGTGGCTGGATTCTGGGTAGATTTTAAAGTTACAGCCTACAGTATTTGTTGATGTAGAATAAAAGAGAAAGAAAGGAAGAACAATTATTACATATTTTTGTCTTAGTACCTATAAAATTGGAGTTGCTGTTCACTAAATTAGGGAAGGCACAACCAAAGCAGTTTGGGGTTTGACAGGATATAAATCAGGACATATGTTCTGGACCTGATAAGCTTGGTATATTTGTTGGACTTCCAAGTTGTGATGTCCAATAGGGATTTGGGAAAATTAATGTAGAGTTGAGGAGGGATATCTTGATTGGGGTTATACACTTGAGAGCCATCACTGTAGACACTAAACCTTGTAACTGGGTGAGATGAATCATGCAATGAGTATGACTAATACTGAACCTAGTCAAATGTTAGGAAGTTAGGGAGGTATTGAGAAAGCAAAGAAGACTGAAAAAAAATTGGGAAGGTAAGAGTGAACCCATTGCAAGTGATGTTAGGAAACATGTAATGAAGCCATCAAAACATAGTTTATAGAAGAAAGAAGAGGCAGAAAATTTCTTAAAGGACATGTGAACTTGGTTCCTCTTTTGGTGGGTTAGTGTGATGTTCATCTATTACAGTGTGCTCCAAACACACTAAAAAGTGAGGAAATAACATATAATTTACGGACAATTCATTTAAAAAGGTCTGCCATAAAAGAGAATAGGTGGGTAACTGTGGAGAGAAGTAGAATAAAGAAAATCATTTGTGTGTTGGTGTGTGATTTTTGTTTGTTTGTTTGTGTTTTCAAAACTAGGAGGCATTGGAATAGGCTTGCATGCTGAAGGGAATGATTCATTTGAAGGGAGAAACAAGTGCAGACTGAAAGACAGCAATTGCTGAAGCAATATACACAAGTAAGCTGGAAAGGATGCAATCTAACGCAGTGGAGAAGGGTTGGCTTCCGCTGAAGAGTTCATCTGTGATAAGAGGAGAGAGAACGAAGCATGTGCTTAGCAATAAAGGTAAGCTGGTGTGGAGATTGGAGCATGCGAAAGCTCTCTTGTGATTACCTGTATTTTCTTGAGATTGAGAGTAAGGTCTTCAGCTGAGAGACTTGTTAGAAAAAGAGCTGGTTGAAGTTTAAGGTGAAAAATGATGTGAAATAGTCATTTAAAGACTAAGGGATTGTTCTAAAAATAGAGAGAAGGCTTCTTGGGACCAATCAGGGCTAAGTTTTGTGGGTTTGATATGACCATATGAATGTGTGTAAATATATTCTCTAATATAAAATATGTTTAGCAAGTATCTTTGTATTTAATCTATATGTTACTTGGATTTTTAATTAATTTCCCAGCACATTCATCTATACCTTTTTATAAATGTTTAGATGGTCCTCAAATATAGCTCAGTTAGAACCTTTATTATATTAATCCTAGGCCTAAATATACTTTAATCTGAAAGGATATGAATATCACTTGAGATAATTAAGGAGATCACAAAATCTACATGCAAAATAATCACTATCTTGAAAGTAAGATGGCTTATAGAAGAAAGGATTATAAAATATGGTAAAATTTAGTCATAAATTATACAAGCCTCTATCAGTCTTCTATGACGCTGTGTCCTAAAGGCATAAGCAAGTCATTCAATAACATAAAATAGGTTATCTATCTCAGTATAAGAGCTCTAACTAGATTTTTTAAAGGTATGAATAACATACTTAGGATTAGTTAAATTAATTAATGGAGAGTTTTTATAAGAAGAGCTTCATTGGGTAGGTGACATTTGTTCTGTACCTTAAAGAATGAACAGAATAAGAGTCAAACACAGACATAAGAGACTGGAAAGACATTTTGGGGAGGGTGTGAGGGAAGAACAATTGATTCTGGCTAAAACCCCTTCCAAGGGAGGGCAAATAAACAGACCCATAGCTACTATAGAGTTTATTAAATACCTTGAGACATTTCTGAGGTATTTGGAAGTTGCTTTAGACTACAAGCAGCTGACCTTGTTCAAGGTAACCTGGCCAGGAAGAATTCCATAAGCTTTCTACTTTAGAAAGTTAATTGCATGGAGGATGGACTGAAACGCGGATGACTGGGTACAAGAAGGTCAGTTAGCTGATTCATGCAGTCTGATAGTTCCTGAGGAGGCTGACTCAGTGAGGTTGGTAAAAAAGCAACCAGTTTAAAGGAAACATTTAAAGACTTTGGTGACCCGCTGAATGGGGAGGAGGGAGTGATAAGTGACAGAAAGGATCAGTTATATCTCAATAGTTGTCCTTTGAAACTGCTGTCTTATGACTTTCAGTGAACTAGACTTAGAGGATTTAATTAACCTATTCAAATGATTCATATTCACATGTCAATGTGATTAATAAAATAAATGTTTTGAGAAAAACGAAGATACTTTCTCTCTACTTATCTCAAAGCAGATAAAACCTAGATAAAAATTTTTTGACCTCCTTAATAAATATGTTTAATCAGATTTTTAAGGATTTTCTGATAGTTGCTTGTGAAATGGAGTTGGTTTTGGTTGATCATTGGGGAAAAAAAAGGCTGCATTTCTTTCGTTCCATATGATTCTATGATTTCTACTTTTACTTGAATACCCTGATGCTTCTTTATTTCTAGTTCCTACAGTGCCATAGACTTCAGAAAGCAGCAGTTAATAAAATAAAAGCCTAGAGCATACAAAATGTTTTTTTTATTAGCTCTGCAGTTGAGATAGCCAAAATTTCAAAGTAGTAAATCCCTTATCTTTAAAGGGTAAGAGGCTGATCAGGCAGTTCATATACTAAATCCAAGGGCAGCAAATTAAATAGCCTCTGAAAATTAAAAATCACTTTACAATGAACATTCTTATCACAAAGCAAACCATAATAAATAACAGGCCATCTCTTTTCTATTGTAAAGAACTATACATAGTAATTGGGCTAAATTAATTTCAATGAGACTCATGACTTTCTCTCTGATGAAATTAGTATAAACTAACAAGACCTGTGAACTGTTAAATTTTTGAAACCACTGGATTAAAATCATCAGATTATTAATTCTATTTACATCCTCAGTTGTAGCTATTTTTTTAAATCACTAAAAATAGTAATGCTGCCAGAAATAAATATGCTGCTGAGGATTTATCTCCTTATAGATTTGCATTTAAACAGTCAGACATCCACATTCTTCACCTTCCTGAATATAAAACTAAGCTAAACAATTGACTTAATTATAATCAAGATATTGTGGCACATTTACCACAAAGAATCCTTTTAAATTAATAATAAAAGAAATACTTTGGATGGAACATTCAAATGTGATTTGCAATTTCTTGATATTTTACAGTCATTGTTTAAAATTTGCTAGTGCATGAAATATAATAGTTTTTAAAACCAATATAAAGTAGAATGGGCTTAGAAGAAAATAGGAATTTCCCAAAGAGAAAAATTGTTCTTTGAAAAACAGTTTAATTCATAAGAAACTTGTCTTTCTGAACACCAAAAATGAACAAATAAAAACCAACAGAATGGTCAAAACTCCATAGAAAAAAATGATGCTGATTTTGATTAATTTATTTTATGGCCTTTGCAGGTTTACTGTTACAAACTGGAAATTATGCATACATAACTATACTTATACACTGATAATTATATGAGTATACCTGTAAACCTTTTATAATTTTTGTTTTGAACAAATATTTTTTCATCTATTTTTCATGAATGGTCACAATTGGATTTTTGATGCCAAAACACAGCAATCGAGTTTAGAAAAGAGCCCATATTCTCTTAGACCTTGAATTATTTTTCCTACTTGAGAAGTAATTCTCAACATTAACATATGTTGCTATGAACTGATCGGAAGTGTTTGGGTCACAGAAATCAGCACAAAAACGCTTTAAACAGCACCAAAAATGCCTCAAAAGGCTTTTGCTACTAAATGAAATGTTGTTAATCATGGAGTAGTGTATTGAGATGGCTTTTTAAAATACACGCATGTATCATCTGATTGTGCTTTGCTTGAGTATACTCCACTTTTTGGCACTTTGCATATATTGTGCTTTTTACAAATTGAAGGTTTGTGGCAACCCTAAGTTAAGCATGTCTATTGGCAACAGTTTTCCAATAGGATGTGCTTATAATATGCGTGAAAAATTTTAGTAATTCTGGCAACATTTTAAACTTCGCCATTATTATTATATCTGTTATGGTGATCTGTAATCAGTGATCTTTGATGTTACTATGGTTATTGTTTTGGCATTCCATGAACCATGACCATATAAGACAGCAAACTTAATTGATAAATGTTGGTGTTCTGACCGCTCTACCAACTAATAGCTCCCTCATCTCTCTCCTTATCCTCAGGCCCCTCTATTTCCTAAGACACAATAATATTATCATTAGACTAACTGATAACTCCACAATAATCCCTAAGTGTTCAAGTGAAAGGAAGAGTAGCACATTTCTCATAATCTCATTTGAACTGGTTTGAACTTTCAAGTCTCTTTGTTTTAAAAATACATTTTGTAAGGTGATAGCTTCCATAGATAGTGATTCCTCTGATGGATCAGGGCAAAGTTAGTTGAAATTCTTCCATTCTGTGATTTATACTTCAATAATAAAGGATTCACCATTCTAATGGCTATTAAAAACATCTGTGATTCATGAGAGGAAATCAAAATATCAACATAAACAACAGTTTGGAAGAAGTTGATTGCAACCCTCATAGATGACTTTGAGAATTTCAGGACTTCAGTAGAGGAAGTATCTGCAGATGTGGTGGAAACAATAGAGAACAAGAGTTTAAAATGGAGTCTAAAGTTGTGACTGAATTGCTACAGTCTCATGATAAAACTTGAACAGACGAGGAGTTGTTTCTTACGAATGAGCAAAGAAAATAGTTTCGTAATATGGATTCTACTCCTGATGATGATTCTATGATCATTGTTGAAATGACTACAAAGAATTTAGAATATTACATAAACTTAGTTGATAAGGTATTGACAGAGTTTGAACAGATTGACTCAAATTTTGAAAGAATGTCTAATGCAGGTAAAATGTTATCAAACAGCATTGCATTCTTTTGAGATATCTTTTATGAAAGGAGAAGTCTGTTGACATAGCAAACTTCATTGTTGTCTTATTTTTAGAAATTGCCATAGCCACTCCAACGTTCAGCAATCACCACCCCAATTAGACAGCAGCCATTATTATCGAGCCAATACCCTCCACCAGCAAAGATTACAATTCACTGAAGGCTTGGATGATTCTTAGTATTCTTGAGCAATAAAGTACTTTTTAATTAAAGTATGTACATTTTTTAGAAATAATGCTATTTCATATTTAATAGACTACAGTATAGTGTAAACATAACTTTTATATACACTGGGAAATCAAACATTTGTGTGACTCACTTTATTGTGATATTTATTGTATTGGTCTGAAACTGATCTCACAATATCTATGGGGAATGCTTGTAATATATAATAGCTATGCATTGTGACCTTGAGTGTGCATGTGTGTATAAATGTAATTTTTTAAAGCAGTGAAGTGTGAAAGCAATGCACTTGAGTTAGAAACTTCACTCTAACCCATGTTCTACCGCTTTTGTTTTTTAGTGGCTGAATTCTTTGTCCTTATGAAATTTCTAAAGTAAAAATAATATAGTGAAGTAAATTGGGTAGAACTTAGGCACCCTCAGGTTTTCTTAGAGCTTAACAATCTCATGAAACTCCAAACATGAAATCTGGCAACCTGGGACTCTGAAATGAAAGCGTATTTCCAAGTTATATTTGTGGCAGGACCACTTAATAAACTGTTAAATTATTATTTGCATTTCCATGTTTTTTTCTTCCTCAGGTTACATATATTTGGGATTTGTAATTCTTTGTCCTCCAAGAGTTTGGAGAAGCTTGAGTTAAATGAACATTTTGTTTTCATAAATATCCAATGCAGTGAGGGGAAAATACAAGCTGTTCTGGAGCGGTTGAAAGAAAGCAGAGAATGTGGAGGAAGTAAGTATAAAGCAAGAAATTCCCAAAAGTAAAGAAAAGACTAACACTTGTGATTCCTACCAGTGATGATGGCGCTGATTCCTAGCTGTGCCCTAGAAAGGTAGTAAAACCTCAGAGGGGAATGGTTAAATGGTAAACCCAGAGGTGTTGCACTCAAGCTCAGCAGTTTCCAGCCTTGTTTGAAATTTTCAAGTCTTTTTTATGATATTGAAACAGCCGAGAAATATACAGGGTTTTTTTTTTTTCCCTAATTACTTGGTGTAAAGATGGAGAAAGCTTCCCATAATACAGTACAATAATAGACAAGATAGAAATTCTCAACAGTTCAATGTTAGGATTTCGGTATTGCACTTGTCTTGACAAAGGACAGGCAGACAGATCAAAAGGTACAGAGTGACAGAATCAAAATTTCAATATGTCTTACGTAATGCAGTCTTAGAACAAGGTGCACGCCCACAACTCATTTAACCTTTTAACAATCAAAAGCGCTTAAACATCTGACCCTAAACTACTGTTTAATTTCGTTCTTTTAAAGAACGGTTGGCCGGGCATGGTGGCTCACGCCTGTAATCCCAGCACTTTGGGAGGCCGAGGCGGGCGGATCACGAGGTCAGGAGATCGAGACCATCTTGGCTAACACGGTGAAACCCCGTCTCTACTAAAAATACAAAAAATTAGCCAGGCGAGGTGGCGGGTGCCTGTAGTCCCAGCTATTCGGGAGGCTGAGGCAGGAGAATGGCGTAAACCCCGGGGGGCGGAGCCTGCAGTGAACCGGGATCGCGCCACTGCACTCCAGCCTGGGCGACAGAGCGAGACTCCGTCTAAAAAAAAAAAAAAAAAAAAAAAAGAACGGTTTAGCTATTGAACTTGTTTCCAAAAAGCTTGAAATACGTATTTTAATATTATGAAATAGATCTTGTGGTATTTTTTGCTTTCTTCAACCATTAGGTTTCAAGTATGAACCATAATTCCAAATGTCCATAAATTATCATATTTGCAAACCTTAAACCAATAGCAGAATAAATTATTTCCCTTCTGCAAATCCTGTCTGGAGTTCTTTTTCTTTTTCTTTCTTGGCATACTATTTTCCACCTTTCCAAATGTCCTCATGTTATTATGTGCTCACACTTCCAACAGGGCAAGCAATGATCATTTCTGTCTGGAAGGCGTAACTGGTCCATGTATAATGGAGGAGACTGAAGGAGATCTGTGAAGTGTGTGCCTATAAGAGCTACTCATTTTAGTTTTATGAGTTAGGAGTCAGAACTATGGTTTTCTCTCTATTTTTTTTTCTTTGCCTTTTAAAACCTAGCATTTTATAAGTATTAAGTAAGGCCGTTACAATTCAACTTTGTCAATGTTGCACCAAACATGGGCTTTTAAACCAGATGTGTTCTCAATTAGGATATCTTCTAAAATTCAGGTAGTTTACAATTTTTAGTTGCTAATATTGTGAAGAAAAGAAGTGACTTCCAGACTGTGTGTATGTGTGTCTGTATACATAGATACATCTCCTCACCTATAGTGTACATATTCACACTCAAAATTCCATGCTTTGCTCTTTTTATGGTTTTGGTCATTGGCAGCAGGAAATATATTTTTATCTTGAAGTAATTGTCCTTTTGACTTCAAGTGACACACATCAGGATTAATTAAAAGTTAATTGGCAAGTCTTCCAAATGTTAGCTCTATACTTTTAAAAATAATCTGTATATGTCAGCTTCAAAATCTCGTAAAAGCAATACAGACAGGTTCTTCTCCTGCCGAATGAACAAGTAAAAATTTCTTCTGTATTTCAAGGGGCTTTTTTTTTCAGTGTGAGAAATCTTTTTTGAAAGAAGTCTCTTTCTCATTTGCAGATCATAGGACTATTTTCACTTCTTGTCCATTCTCACATTTGGATAAAACAACTTTGTTTTTGAATGCATACATAAGCCACCTGGCTTGCTTTTCATCGTCAGCCTAATGGGTGAATGGAATGAGACTACCAGCAGCTTGAAGCAAATCTAGAAAGGGCTGTTCTGACAATTTCTAAGTCCTGAAAATAGCACACTGCCTTTCTGATAGTGTATTCAATTCATTTAAATGGTTGTGCTGAGGGAAAATCATTTCTCCTTCTGTTGCTCCTGCCATTATTTTCTGCTTCTTTTGCCATTTGACTTGATTCACTGACTCTAAGATCTCCGCCACCTTCCTAAACACAACTTGAAAAAAATTACTTTGTCAAGGATGAGGGCTTTTCTATTTTTTCACTGATCAAATTCAATTGCATATTTAATGATTTATTAAAATATACATATACAACATAACATAGATATTTTTGCAACTGGAGATACATTGATAAAAGCAGCACATTGGGCAGTGTAAATTGTCCAGATAGGGTGGAACTCAAGCAAAATCCACAGTAGTGCTTACAGGCAGGCTAATTTGGGGGAAGAAAGAATAAAAAAAGGATGGGACATCCGTTTCCTCCACCTTTGTAAAGCATTTATCATTTTGAGGTAGAAACAGTAAAATGTTTCTTTTCAAGATTTTTAGTTTATACTTTTGAGATTTTTTGTTATTGTTCTTGTTGACTTACAGGTGTCTCAGTTTCAGGAAACACTGAAAGTGACTTAAACAGATACAGTACAAAAGGATACATTGAAAAATCACTTGGAAAATAAATGGCATGGAAAAAAATGGCAAGCGGAAAGACCATGTAAATCCAGCAGGGAGTACACAGAACATGTTTTGGTCAAAATTATTTACTAAATCTATTACTAATGGATGGCTACAAATTATCTCAAACCAACCTCACAGTTAATGCAAAGAAGATGGCACAGTCAGTTAACTAATTTATGACAGTAATAAAATCAAATTAGTTACTTAGGAGAGAAAAAAATTACACCCCTACTAAAACTAACTTCCAGTTAAATGTCAGTAAAATCACTGTTTAAGGGGTTGGAATAATGTGGGCCACATATTATTTTCCAGTATTGTCAATAATACTTAATTAAATTAGCTAAATAGTTTTATTGCATTACCTAACATAAGCCAGATAAATATTGGAGTACAGTAATAATAACAAAGGAAACACTATGCACCATAACCTTGACTCAGTAATTTTTTGATATAAAGCCCTTCAGTTGATTTTGATTTACAAAAGCGAGAGAAAATACAGAATTCTCTAGTGAAGACTGCTATTTGATTAATCAAAAAAAATTCCCCACCAACTCTGATTCTTCTATTATTTTTTATAAGCATCACTATCCAGAGGCCTCTTTGCATCTCAACTCCTTCAGCTTATTGTAACCTGCTTACTTCAAAACCAATATATGAGAAAAAGTACGTCCTAACGTAAATCTCCACAAGTTTATCATTTCTATATTGTACTGGAGGTTCTAGCTAAAACAATTAGGTAATTAAAAGATAAAGAACCCAGGCCGACAGTGGTGGCTCACGCCTGTAATCCCAGCACTTTGGGAGGCCAAGGTGGGCGGATCTCGAGGTCAGGAGATGGAGACCATCCTGGCTAAAATAGTGAAATCCCGTCTCTACTAAAAATACAAACAAAAAAAAATTAGCCGGGCATGGTGGCGGGCGCCTGTAGTCACAGCTACTCGGGAGGCTGAGGCAGGAGAATGGTGTGAACCTGCCAGGGTGGAGCTTGCAGTGAGCCGAGAAAGCGCCACTGCACTCCAGCCTGGGCGACAGAGCGAGACAGAGCGAGGCGAGACTCCGTCTCAAAAAAAAAAAAAAAAAAAAGGAACCCAGACAGATTTAAAAGGGAGAAATAGGACCACATTCTTTTGCAGATTACATGATCTTATATGTGGAAAATTATAAGAACTACAAATAATTGCAAAAACCACAATTTCTTTTGCACCAACCTGATAATAAATTAGTTCAGAAATATTTCAGGATACAAGATCAACATACAAAAATCAATTTGTATCCACTAATAATGAAAATTTGAAAATACAATTAATAAATTATTTGTTTTTATAAAAATTATAAATGTTTTACAAAGAAGTACAAGACTTGTATACTGAAAGCTACAAAACAGTATTAAAAGTAATCAATAAATAGACATATCATGTTCATTGCATTATTTTAAAATTGATTTGCAGATTCAACACAATCCCTATCAAAATCTTAGCTTTCTTTACTTCAGAAATTGGCAAGTTGATTGAAAAATTTATCTGAAAATGCAAAAGACCCAAAATAGTCAAAAATTCTTGAAAATAAAGAAAAATTTGCAAGACTTACATTTCCCAATTTCAAAACTCACTATATAGCTTCAGTAATCAAGATATCGTGTTAGTAGCACACTGTAGATGGACATTAGTGAAACAGAATTCTGAGTCCAGAAACAAACTCTAGGTTAATAGTAAGTTGATTTGCAACAATGAAGCCAAGAAAATTCCATGAAAGAAAGAATAGTCTTTGCAACAAATGGTGCTAGGGCAAATGGAAACTCATGTACAAATTAATAAATATGGAATGGTACTTCATAGCATGTAAAACATTAACTGAAAATAGATTACATACATAAATTTAAGAGCTAAAATTACAAAGCTATTAGAAGAAAATATAGGCATAATTATTTTTCTTTTTTATATTTATTTTCTCCACTGTACATACATTTCTTTGACCTTGGATTAGGCAGTGGTTTTTAGATATAATATGAAACTGCAAGCAATAAACAGTAAAATAAAATAGTATTCACTAAAATTAATAACATTTGCGTTACATCTGTACCTATAATATATTAAAACTCTTACAACTAAACAGTAGAAATACAAATAGCACATTCTTTTTTTTTTTTGAGATGGAGTCTTGCTGTGTCACCCAGACTGGAGTACAGTGGTGCAATCTCAGCTCACTGCAACCTCTGCCTCCTGGTTTCAAGTGATTCTCCCACCTCAGCCTCCCCAGTTCCTGGGATTACAGGCAAGGACCACCACACTTGGCTAATTTTTGCAGTTTTAGTAGAGATGAGGTTTCATCACATTGGTCAGGCTGGTCTTGAACCTCTGACTTCAAGTGATCAGCCCACCTCGACCTCCCAAAGTGCTGGGATTACATATGTGAGCCACCATGCCTGGCCACAAATAGCTCAATCTTAAAAAACAGACAAAGGATTTGAATTGACATTTCTCCAAAGAATGTATATAAATGCTCAATAAGCATGTGAAAAAAAGGATCCACATAATTGGTCAAACCATGAGATGCCACTTCCTATGCAATAGATTATCTAATCAAACAGATGGAAAGTAAGTGTTGGAGAAGATATGGACAAATGGGAACTCTCATGCATTACTGTGGGATTGCAAAATGGTACAGTCACCTTGGAAAACTGTTTCAAATTACTTCATAAAGTTATACATAGTGTTAACATGTGATCCATCAATCCTGCTGTTAGGTATAAACTCAAGATAGAAAACAATGTATGCACACAAACACACAAGGAGATTCAAAGCATCATTAGTCACTATAATCATAAGGTGAAAACAACCCAAAATTTCCATCAATGAATAAACAAAATGTGACTTATTTATGCAACAAAATTGTATTCACCACAAAAAGGAATGGGTTGTGATACATACTACAAGATTAATGAATCTTAAAAACATTAGGTTGGCTTTTCCTATTGTCTGTTGTTTATTTTTGTGTGCTTTTTTTACTTTTTCTATGTTTTTGTTTATTTTTGTAGTTTTGAATGCTCTTCCCAGGTTTATAGCGGCAATGAAACTGAGACTATGCTCATAAGCTCAGTGTTTGAATCCAAAGCATCTTTAAGATATTATTCAGTCAAGTACTGTTCACTCTAAAGGGAAAAGAAAATTAATCCAATTTATTTTATCAGACATAAGCCATTTTTGGCTCCAGGGTTCTAAATATAATTACTTCTTTTAAAAGGTGGCTCAGAAGGGAAATTGGAACTCTTCTTAGGACAGGGCTGAAAGACTGTCCTAAGCAGATCAAAGGTGAGAAACAGCTTGGGAGAGCAGGGCAATTTTATGGGAATGATCCAATTTAGGAGTCATTAAACAAAGAGTTTTGCTGCTATTATTTTTTTAAGTATAGAAATGAGAAGTGATAACTCTGGTTTGTGATGGATTGGCAAATAAGAAATACAATCAAAGAAGGAAGTTTCTCAAGAATATGTGCTGATGAACGCTCTACAGTATATTTTATTTCAATTACCTGGGAATAAATGTAACTAACCTATCCTTGGCAAAGTTTTTCTGTAGGTATCAGGAAATCTTTACTGAGAGACAGGAAAAGATAGAGCAGTAAATCTTTATCGAGCGACAGGAAAAGGTAGATAAATATAGGAGAAAATGAACCACCTAAGATTAGTCTATACCAATAATAACAGGATGAAATTTAGAGTCTGTTGCATACCAGTTCTTGGAAGACATACAAGTTATTAAAAAAATCATATCCCAATTTCTCCAACAATCCCTTAAAAATCCATTTAAAAAACATAATTTGAATCACCATTTTCTGAGAACATTAAACATTTTTCATATCTTTGCCTTTGTTTGACCAACTACCATTATCATCACTTTTATTTTGAAGTCCTATAGACATATGTAGCCAGTTGATATTGCCATCTCCTGCCTTAAAATCCCCTCGTACTATTGCAAAAAAAAAAAAAAAATGGCTCCTTCATGTGCTCTGTGGCTCCATTATAACTTAAATTTAATTAAGTTTATTCTATAGCACTTACTATATCTTTGTGAAGCATATAGTAAACTCCTGACAATTATCCTGTAGCACCTAGAGATAGTAAATGTCTCATGAACTTTTCTCCTCCTTGAATGTCTAACCATTTATTTGCATATAGTAGATAAAATCAAACGATATTTATTTAACTAAATTTTACTTTTTTATGGCATATGAGATACTGACGGATTTCAAAGGGATTAACTTTCAAATAAACTTAGGCTGAATAAATGAATGGAATATTTTCTTTTAATTAGCTTAACTAGTAAATTTGCATGAGTGACTGTATCTCATTTCTGCTTCCAATTCTATTTGCATTTTGGCTTGTATATTTATTGTGGAAAACAGAAAGGTACCTGTTCCAGGAAATTTTGGCCGGTCAACTTGATGTCCAGAGATGTTCTGCTCCACATTTGGCTCCTCCATTAATTTTAATAGCTTCCTGTAGGTCTTGAGCTTAATTGTAAGGTACTTCTTGGTGTAATAACTGTCTTATGACAACAATTTATTATTTAAATTTTTTAAGTATGGAGAACTTAAACAATAAATAGAAACAAAATTGGCCCCTTAACTGAGAATACCTTCTGTTAGTGTGGCATTTTGCTTCTCTCTGTTTTAAATCAGAGACACAAAATGATGCAGTTAGGTTTACCTGGGTCTACTTCTTTGAGAAAATAGGTTGTGAATAACTGTGGCAAAATAATAATTTGCCATCACATTTTCAAAATACAATGAAAAAGAAATATCAAGTTTTTGATTGTTTTGATTATTAAGATGTTTAAAATCTTGTATTTGAGATTCTTATCTTTTAACCTGTGTTGACATTTTGTGTGCTTTAAAATGGACCACATACATTCAGGGGTATTTTAATAAAAATAATTATTATCATAGGAAACTGACATCTTTAATTATTATCTTTACTTATTTTTCTGCTTATAAACCTATGAATATTTATTAAATACAATTTTCAATTTGATCAAGTATTTTAAATGACTTTTTACATAAGTACTCTAACAAAAGATGAGGTTTTTTTCATAGCCTTCTATCTATTGTACAATTATCTTTTTCAAATTCTGTTTTGTTTCTTAATTTGCCCCCTCCAGTGTCTACATCCCACTCTTATGGCAATATGATATTTTTGTGAGAAACGTGTGAAAATTTGCAAGTGCAAGGAAAGGTACAATAAAATCTAACAAATAGTCAAAGCCCAGCTGCACTTCATGTTTAAACTGCTTTGCACTGCTCAACAAGAAGCTTTTGGTGAAACTCTGATAAAACCCTTCTGTCACCCTCATCAATTTTATTCATATTTCCCCAGCTCTCAGCTATAGATTATAGGGGAGTTTGTTGGAAACCAAATGAGTGAAGTATGCTTGGTAATGGTTGGTTCATTCCCTTTTTCTTCATCTCTTCTACAATTCATGAAGTGCCTTTTGAATTTTGTAAAGCAGTTTTTAGATCAGTTGGAAGTCAGCAAAAATTTAGCATTAATGAGTTCATTTCCACAAAAATTGGCTTATTACCATGCAGGCTTCCAGTGTTTTATGGTTGTGGTTTTATAGTCATTTCTTTTATTCATTTATAAAGATATTCTCTTACCTGCCACATGTGCAAATAATGAGACCAGTAAAACATCCACTTTTTTAAAAGTTATTGCAAGTAAGAAAAATATAACTTCAATAATTTATAGTAACTAAAGTAAAATAAAAGTTGTATATAAAAAATTACATATGATTACTGAGAAATTGTATTAACCCTATTATTTTATAAAATAAATATTATAGTGGTTATTCTATTAATAATAAAATATCAAATAATAGGGTTTTATGTATAAAAGAAATTCTAGATAATTATAAATTTAATTGAAGGAAGATTATAAGTGAATATAATTATAAGTATGTTTAGGAAATGTATATAAGAAAGTTATGTATTCAACAGAGTCTAATATATTTAAAACACAGATATATGAAAACAAATTTTATATAAAAATCATTTAGAACAGCAAACTATCAATATTATATATTTTGCTAGTTGATTTTCTAGTGTATATATCTATCATGACTTCTAAAAGTGACATTACCTGCATATTCCTTCCCAGTTTTCTCTTAGTTCGTTATCTTTCCTTGATACATTAACATCTAAAAGTAATATAAAATAAATTTTTTATCTTCAAGACAGAAGAAAATTTGACAACGGTTGTGAGAGGCCTGTATAAGGAAAACTATGAAATAATTCCGATTAAAACTAAAGATGACATAAATAAATGAAGCCCAGGAATGCAGACTGCCTCTTGATGCTTGCAAATGAAGAAAATGGATTCTCCCCTAGAGCCTCCAGAAATAAATGCAGTTTCACACCTTGATTTTAGCAGTGAGACCCGTTTTAGACTTTTGATCTCCAGAACTGTAAGATAGCATATTTGTGTTATTTTTAGCTACTAAATTTGTGGCATTTTTTTTATGGCAGCAGAAGAAAACTAATGCAAAGTCTTCACTGTAGTTTTGGATGAGGACTACTGCTCAAGCACGACAATTCTTATGCCTCCACTGAAGACCCTGGGTGTTCAACACTGTTTCTGCACTCTCATGGATTGTAAATCAAGCATCTCCCATCCTACATGTCTTCTGATAATTTTTCAGATATTAGCTCCCAAATAGTTGTTCTTACACAGCCAGTTGTTCTTACACAGCCAGTTCTTCTTATTGGTCAGATATCCAAAGAATCAAGTTGGCCCTATGCAGATAGCAGGGAACCTGTATGCTGGGCAGTTCTCTCCCTTCTGGTACTCTGCCTCAGTCTCTTGGAATTTCAATTGGTAGGTTGAAGATCTCAGTATTCTGCTTGAGTGGCTCCTTCTTTTGCCACAATTCAGAAAGTGTCCCACAAAGAGAGAGCTGAGGAAAATCATACCGTGTGTCTCATTTGTTTTCCTTCTTTCAGGGATAATATTTCTCAGCTTCCAGTTGCCAAAATTGTAAAAACAGACTTGTTTTATATATACATCTTGCCCAATTTTTCTACTTCATTCTAGTTCTGGGCCATTTCTGGTACCAGTTTCTCTGCCACAGCCAGATGTGAAAGAAGAAACTTAATTTATGATGGATTAAAACATACATATAAGTGTCTGTTTTCTTCACAATTCCATTCTGTTGCATTTGTATGCATTAATTTCAGAAATTTGTTTGCTCACTGTTTAGTCACTGTTTAACATCTCACTTATTCACATTCATATTTACATTCATATTCATGTTCATTCTTTTAAAAGCTTTTTTTTTTCTTTTGTGCCTTCATTCACTTTTTCAGGCACATAAACATACAGTCTAAGTACTTTGCTAAACTTAGCAAAGAGAAACTTCAAAACTTAATGTAATTTTCACATCATGCTTGAAGTGATTAGCCAGCTTTCCAGGTAGGTTGTCATAACCTACACTCAGGCTAGCCAGCAGCAGATTTTTAACTTCAGGGATAAAACCTAGAGAATCACCTGAAAATCTCCAGAAAAATATATACAAATTGCATTTTTCTCAGTCTTTTTTTTTGTCACCACCAGCTTGTGGAAGGGTAAATAACAAACATATTTAGGAGAATAAAAAGAATTATATATTCATGCTTCCTGTTACAACCTCCTTTGCTTACATACCAAAGAGAAATTAGGACAATTACTATTTACTTTTCTACTTCATGCCTTATTCTATAACCAACATAAATCCTGAAAATTTGCCTATGAGCATCTTTTAAAATTAAATATACCATTGTGCCCCAGTTAATGATTCTTTGCCACAAAATTTAAATAATTAAATTGATAGCCCGCAAATGTATCAACTTGTTTGGCTGAGTTCAAAATTTGAAGTAGCAGTCTGCAGCAAATCTTTCAGCTTTATGTAGTGCTCTTTCAGGTTAGGTATAAGAATATAAATGGTTTATTCTGAGAATCTAACACTAACATTATTATTAGCTCATTCAACTTGTGAATACAGGGGTTTGCTTTAATGCCTTCAAAATAATGTAAATATAATTTATATCATATGTAATTCATTAACTATGGTTTTTATGACTGATTTCATCATCATGTAGAAAAGCTGCAATAGAATATTGTGAATTCAGGACCTCCTGAGAAAATTGGTCATAAATTTATTATTTTAAAATATAAGAGCAATGATTTTATATGTATATATATATACATAGTTGGCCAGGCATGGTGGCTCATGCCTGTAATCTCAGCACTTTGGGAGGCTAAGATGAGTAGATCACTTAAGGTCAGGACTTTGAGACCAGCCTGGCCAACGTGGTAACACCCCATCTGTATTAATCTGTTTTTACTCTGGTGATAAAGACATACCTGAGACTGGGCAATTTAGAAAGGAAAGAGGTTTAATTGGACTTACAGTTTCACGTGGTGGAAGAAACCGCACAATCATGGCAGAAGGCAAAGAGGAGCAAGTCACGTCTTACATAAATGGCAGCAGGCAAAGAGAGAGCTTGTGCATGGATACTCTGCCTTATAAAGCCATCAGATCTCGTGAGAATTATTCACTATCATGAGAACAGTGCAGGAAAGACCCTCCCCTGTAATTCAATCACCTCCCTCCAGGTTCCTCCCACAACATGTGGGAATTCAAAATGAGATTTTGTTGGGGATACAGCCAGACCGTACCACCGTATATACCAAAAATACACAAATAAGCCAGGTGTGGTGGCATGTGCCTATAGTCTCGGCTACTCGGGAGGCTAAGGCAGGAGAATTGCTTAAATCCCGGAGGCAGAGGTTTCGGTGAGCCAAGATAGCACCACTGAACTCCAGCCTGGGCGACCAAAAAAAAAAAAAAAAAAGAGATATATATATACGCTTGCTTGATGTATATATTTGAAGCATCCCAACACTGTGTATCACTCAACTTAGGCATAAGTCATTTTCTCATAAATATATTTTCTACATTAAAGTACTTCTGCAAAAAATATTCAGAAATATGGATAATTATGTTTATTAATGTTGAATGTATTCTATGATGAAATTGATGAGCTTTTTATTTTGACTTCCCTACAAGAAAACAGCCTGGTAATTTTCTGAAACATAGTACAATTCACAAATACTAGTCTCCTAGAAAGTTCCCCCATTGTATGTGGTAAAAAATTACTAATTAAGTTTATATTTGCTTCTGCCTATGTGTCTGAATTTATCATATTTAATATTTATAATAGCCCTACAATCCATGATAAAATATGCCATAGAAAATACGTACAGCAACATCAAAATCTAAGATGACTGATATACATGGCAGAACTCTTATTTTTTTTTATTTTTTTACCCTTCTGCTAATGATCCTAATTTGAAATCCCCACGCCAAGAGAGGAACCTGATGGAACGTGATTGGATCATGGTGGCAGTTTCCCCAATGCTGCTCTCATGACAGTGAGTGAGTTTTCACAAGATCTGGTGGTTTAACAGGGTTTTGCAGTTTCCCCCCGCCCTCCTGCTGCCATGTAAGACTGCCTTGCTTCCCCGTCACCTTCCGCCATAATTTTAAGTTTCCCAACGCCTCCCCAGCCATGCAGAACTGTGGGTCAACTAAATGTCTTTTGTTTACAAATTACCCAGTCTCAGGTAGTTCTTTATAGCAGTGTGAAAACAGGCTAATACCGGCCGTTTGTAAATTCTAGGGCTTTGTCCTGTTCCAGGCACAGAATATTATTCTATAGGAGGTCTCTGGAGTGATTTACTTGGTAAAGAATAATTGGACATGATTATTGTTGAGAATCTTTCCCATGCAATATAAAGGGAAGTGTGGGATGGGTTTTGATTTGTTGTTGTTTCTTTCTTTTCCTGTTTTTGGCAATTTATTTTTATGTTACTGAGGAAGCCAAAATAGAAATATTCCCTTTTTTAAGTGGAAATGTTTTTATACTGGTAGATGCAGTTATCAGTATATGATGCTTATCACTACTGAAGTCTAAAGGGGGAGGCAGGTGTGTCACAAAGATTAGCTGTGTGGTATTGCGTGACTTCAGAGTTAACTGTGTAACTATTCAGCCTCTGCCTTCATTGTTTCAGAGTATTTTAATGACTTTTCATCATTCACTGAATGTTATTAATTATGTAAATTTTAACATATTACATTAATAGAAGTATATGAATCTCCTGTTAATAATATACATTTCTAGCAATAGAATTATTTACTAGCTGTTATTTATTACATAGAAGAGTAGGAAATCTTAAAATGTTGATATCTAAAATTATTAATGTCATAAAAAATATTTAGTGAAAAGGCACAAATCAAAACCACAAAAAATATACGCCTTATTCCCATAATTATAGAATTACAGTTTCTCTTTCTTCTCTCTTTTTGACTCTGTCTCTTTGTCTCCCATATGATATGTTTCCTCAACTGATGTGCATTTGATATTATCTTAAAGCCAGAAGTTCATACAAATCTAAATTTCTCTCTAAAATAAAACTACATAAAAATTGAGCATGCTGAATAATAGTCCCATTGTCTTAATTAAATTTCACTAAATCAAAATGTTCACAGAGAGTGGGCTTGAAATAAACACTTAAAATATACTCTATTTAAAAAAATCATTCATGCTTACTGTTAAATACCATAATGTATCATCATTTTTATATCACAGAAGCAGAGACAGAACATTTTTGTTGTTGATGTAAGAAAATGTTCAATTCTGTGAGAAATAATTATGTCAAAAGTAATTATCTGGGTTTCTGTACATTATTAACAACAGGTTTAATATTTATTAAAAATTACAATTATCTTTCAAATATGTGATTATAATTAAATAGGAAACACAATACAACTTTCTGTTAAAATTACACTTCCTTATAAGAATATTAATGCAGAAAAACTGGCTTTCAATATTTAATGATTTATCTCTATAATTTAAAATTCACACACAATTTTAACATATGTTTAAAAGTTTATTCAGAATACAATGAGTATTTTCCAACCAAACAAAAGATTTGAAGTTATTGGTTACTATTTCTCAGTAAAATTCAAAATATGACTTTTTTTTGGCCCTTTAGACTATATATATATATACATCCTATTAGAAGATATACAACCTTCTTTATATTTCAGTTAAATAAGTAGGGTTGTGTTTGCATGCAATCAGTTAATTATAACAATAACAAAGACCACTTTGACTCTACTTATGTTAAAATGGGATTTAGTAGACTTCCTAAGTTCTTTTCTGTTATTATTTTCATTAATTTTCACTATGCTCAGCAGTATTGGTACTGATTTGCATTCCAAAAGATAGTTTCAAATGGTATCATGGATTTAACATGAAACATAAAAGCTAAGAAATTCAAAGTTAAGCTCATATTCGATTTTGTTATAATCCCATTAAAACTGGGCTATTATTTTTAATTTGCATATTTTTCATTTATAATGCCCCCTAATAGGTTTGGCCTTAATGCTCAAAGAGACAGAATAAATGCTTTAAGACTCAAGATTTTAGGGACTTTGTAGAATTCTTTCTCCATCTGTGACTCTCTTTACCCTAGCTTACTTTAAACTGTATTTACTTTGAAAAAACAATCCTTCTTTCATTCAACAATATTCAGTGTTTATTTACTAGGTGTGGCACTTAGTTTGTTCTCGAAAATTCATAGAAAAAAATTCATAATATCTTGCCAGAAAAATTCTTACAGTGTAATTAGGAAGGCAAAAAGTGACCTCAAAAGTTAAATTTCTAGTCATAAGTACTTTGAAAAAGATACTCCTTGTAAGATGTCCAGAGAAATGACATCTAAGTTAGACTGGGGACAAGTGAAGTGAATATATTTTGAAAGTTTCTTGGAGAAGAAAAATTGACTCAAAAAGAAATAGTGAAGGAAAAGAACTTCCAGTTATAGAAACTCACCTTGCCTTCTGATAGATTCCTTTCCCCTCTGGTGTTCTCTCTGCAGAAGTAGCCTGCAAATGAAGGTATGGTTTCTCTTATTTTGAGCAAGATAGCTTTAACATTGTCCTCAGTTTGAGTAACTTTTAGACACTGACTCTAGGCTTCTAGCCTCCCTTCCCTTAGAGCATTTACTTAAGAAAACTTTTAAATGCAAATTCTTTCCCTGCCCCTTTGAGATGTAAATCTTCTCCCAGCCTTTGGCCAGTTTTATTACCAGCTAATACCTTTCTCAAGAACCTGGGAGCCATCCTTTTGAAATGTAATACATCCAGAAAGATAGTGCCTTATCTTCCAGTCTCTCTGTAGAAGACTAATTTCAATAACCACCAATTAGCAAACACAGAAGGTCTAAACACACTGACTAACTTCTCTATTACTATCTTCCAGTACTTTTCCACTAGATCACCCCAGGACTTGAAAATTTTCTTGACTCTTGTTTCATCAGAGTTAGATTCAGTCTCTTTTCTCTATTGAAATAGTCACGAATAGTCTCCTTTGCCTGTTGACCTGTTGGGTGCAATTTTTCTTTAGGAGTTCCAAAGTATAATTTCCTCATGAACTAACTTCGAAGTAAATTGCATGGAGTCACTCATAATGAGAAAAATAACATGTAATTTATACAATGGATTTTGCAACTTACTGTTATTTTTGCTACCATAAGAAGTAATGAGCATCTCAGTAGCAGAAAAGCAAAAGTAAAATATAAAATATCCATTAAGATTCTCATCTAACTTTTCACAAATTTTAACCTAAATGTGCAGCATTGATAATAATCTTAATGATGTGCAAGACTACTGTCTTATTTCTTTTTGTGTTGCTATAACGGAATTCTTGAGACTGGGTAATTCATTAAAAAAAGAGAAATGTTACTTCTTGTGGTTCCGGAGCCTGGGAAGTTTGAGATCAAGGTGACACATCTGGTGAGGCCTTATTGCGATATCATCCCATGGTAAGAGGTATCACATTGTGAGGCAGAGCAAGAGTCCTAGCTCAGGTCTCTCTTCCCCTTTGTTTATAAAGTCACAGTCCCAACATGGAGCCCCCACTCTGATGACCTTACATAATTCTAATTACCTCCCAAAGAATCCTCCACTTAATACTAATGACGATTAAATTTCAACATAAAATTTGCAGGAAACATCCAAACCACAGCAACTAGTGTGTAATTTATGGGAATTGCTGAAAGTGCTATCAGTCTATTTTCTGTGCTATGAAAGGTCAGAATTCTCCTTAGAGGGATAAAATTTATTTAATGTGGTAATGACAGTGTAGATTCATGATAACCTCTTATAAAGGAAAACTATCTGTTTAACAAAAATGTATAACCCTAGAAGATACCTTTGGAGAGAGATACAACAATCATAATTTCAAAGATTAGTTTCTACTCTGCCATTTTCAATTATGTAACTTGTTTTTTAAAATTAATTAGTATACTATTTATACCAACACTACTATACTGCTTTCAAAATGGATGCATAAATTTATAACAAAAGACAGCATACAGTTAAACCATTAAATTCAAGGTAAAATAGCAACACTCAAATGTCTTTTTGTGTTTATGGCTGTGCATCTATATGTGCGTATGTACAATGTAAGAAAATCATTTATAGACCACTATCAAGGGCAAAGTTCTACAAAAATGACTTTAGCATTCACTTCAGTTCTGGATTCTACTAAATCATTGTCTTATAAGTGTCAAAAATATATAATTATTTAAATGTAAAAATGTTTATTAATGTCCCAGTGTCATTTTTCTTACATCTGTGAGCTTGTTCTTTTAAGAATTCTGCTAAATAAGCAGAGGTAGAAAAGGCACATTTGTTTAAGCTTAGACTCACTTTTAATTGCCCTACCTCATAAATCAACAACATAGCAAACTTGGAAAAGAGCTTTTTCCTTTTAACATCCATAGCCTTTATGTATTTCTGAGCAATTTCAAATGGTTAGAAAGCTGTCTGCATCAATTCATAGCTAATATGTTACCAAAGCATAATCTTGTCTTGAGAAGATATTCTCCTCCTTGAAGTTGCTCCAGGAAAAGCAAGAGAGAAACATGATATGGAGCAAACCTCCATTAGAAAATATAGACCAATATTTGTCCTTTTTAAGTTTTCATTTCTCTCCTTGACTCTTCATATAAAACTAAGGTAAATAAAAGTTACCTGTGCTAGGCCCAGCACCGTGGCTTACGCCTGTAATCCCAGCACTCTGGGAGGCCGAGGTGGGCGGATAACGAGGTCAGGAGATCCAGACCATCCTGGCTAACACAGTGAAAACCCGTCTCTATTAAAAATACAAAGAATTAGCCAGGCGTGGCGGCGGGTAGCTGGGACTGCAGGCGACCAGCATGGGCAACACAGTGAAACCCCCTCTCTACTAATTACAAAAAATTAGCCGGGCGAGGTGCGGGTGCCTGTAGTCCCAGCTACTCCGGAGGCTGAGGCTGGAGAATGGAGTGAACCTGGCAGGTGGAGATTGCAGTGAGCAGAGATCAGCCACTGCACTCCAGCCTGGGCGACAGAGCGAGACTCCGTCAAAAAAAAAAAAAAAAGGTACCTGTGCTAACTTAAAGCTTCTCAGTTGTAGGGAAGTCGTTTATAGCTGTCTAAGCATGAGACATATACATTAAATGTATTAATACTGAAAAAAATTTAAAATAGTAACGTGTAGTTAGGCAAAAAAAAAAATTAAATTTATTATTTAAGGAGTGGCAAGATGTTAACTTAAATTGCTGTACATTTTGGTTAACATCTCGTCACTCCTTAAATAAAAAATTTAATTAATTATTTTTTACTTTTTAAATAACAATAAAACCATTCTCATAGATAATGACTTTTAGCTCTATTTTATTCAAAATGGATATAATTGCAATCTCTTATTAAATATTTCAGTGCTAGGTGTAAATAAAATCTATCTATTTAAAATACAACAAAATAATAAAACAATTGAGGATGAATACAGAAAATTAGGGTTATCCTGTCATTGTTTTATTTATTTATTTATTTTTTCTTTTATTCTACTTTAAGTTATAGGGTACCTGTGCACAACATGCAGGTTAGTTACATATGTATACATATGCCATGCTGGTGTGCTGCACCCAGTAACTCGTCAATTAGCATTAGGTATATCTCCTAATGCTATCCCTCCCCCCTCCCCCCACCCCACAACAGTCCCCAGAGTGTGATGTTCCCCTTCCTGTGTCCATGTGTTCTCATTGTTCAGTTCCCACCTATGAGTGAGAACATGCGGTGTTTGGTTTTTTGTCCCTCAGATAGTTTGCTGAGAATGATGGTTTCCAGCTTCATCCATGTCCCTATAAAGGACATGAACTCATCATTTTTTATGGCTGCATAGTATTCCATGGTGTATATGTGCCACATTTTCTTAATCCAGCCTATCATTGTTGGACATTTGGGTTGGTTTCAAGTCTTTGCTATTGTGAATAGTGCTGCAATAAACATATGTGTGCATGTGTCTTTATAGCAGCATGATTTATAATCCTTTGGGTATATACCCAGTAATGGGATGGCTGGGTCAAATGGTATTTCTAGGTCTAGATCCCTGAGGAATTGCCACACTGACTTCCACAATGGTTGAACTAGTTTACAGTCCTACCAACAGTGTAAAAGTGTTCCTATTTCTCCACATCCTCTCCAGCACCTGTTGTTTCCTGACTTTTTAATGATCGCCATTCTAACTGGTGTGAGATGGTATCTCATTGTGGTTTTGATTTGCATTTCTCTGATGGCCAGTGATGATGAGCATTTTTTCATGTGTCTTTTGGCTGCATAAATGTCTTCTTTTGAGAAGTGTCTATTCATCTCCTTCACCCACTTTTTGATGGGGTTTTTTTATTCTTGTAAATTTGTTGGAGTTCATTGTAGATTCTGGATATTAGCCCTTTGTAAGATAAGTAGATTGCAAAAATTTTCTCCCATTCTGTAGGTTGCCTGTTCACTCTGATGGTAGTTTCCTTTGCTGTGTAGAAGCTCTTTACTTTAGTTAGACCCCATTTGTCAATTTTGGCTTTTGTTGCCATTGCTTTTGGAGTTTTAGACATGAAGTCCTTGCCCATGCCTATGTCCTGAATGGTATTGCCTAGGTATTCTTCTAGGGTTTTTATGGTTTTACATTTAACATTTAAGTCTTTAATCCATCTTGAATTAATTTTTGTATAAGGTGTAAGGAAGGGATCCAGTTTCAGCTTTCTACATATGGCTAGCCAGTTTTCCCAGTACCATTTATTAAATAGGGAATCATTCCCCCATTTCTTGTTTTTGTCAGGTTTGTCAAAGATCAGATAGTTGTAGATATGTGGCATTATTTCTGAGGGCTCTGTTCTGTTCCATTGGTCTATATCTCTGTTTTGGTACCAGTACCCTGCTGTTTTGGTTACTGTAGCCTCGTAGTACAGTTTGAAGTCAGGTAACGTGATGCCTCCAGCTTTGTTCTTTTGGCTTAGGACTGACTTGGCAATGCGTGCTCTTTTTCAGTTCCATATGAAGTTTAAAGTAGTTTTTTTGAATTCTGCAAAGAAAATCATTGGTAGCTTGATGGGGGTGGCATTGAATCTATAAATTACCTTGGGCAGTATGGCCATTTTCACGATATTGATTCTTCCTACCCAAGAGCATGGAATGTTCTTCCATTTGTTTGTATCCTCTTTTATTTCATTGAGCAGTGGTTTGTAGTTCTCCTTGAAGAGGTCCTTCATGTCCCTTGTAAGTTGGATTCCTAGGTATTTTATTCTCTTTGAAGCAATTGTGAATGGGAGTTCACTCATGATTTGGCTGTTTGTCTGTTATTGGTGTATAAGAATGCTTGTGATTTTTGCACGTTGATTTTGTATCCTGAGACTTTGCTGAAGTTGCTTATCAGCTTAAGGAGATTTTGGGCTGAGAGGATGGGGTTTTCTAGATATACAATCATGTCATCTGCAAACAGGGACAATTTGACTTCCTCTTTTCATAATTGAATACCCTTTATTTCCTTCTCCTCCCTGATTGCCCTGGCCAGAACTTGCAACATTATGTTGAATAGGAGTGGTGAGAGAGGGCATCCCTGTCTTGTGTCAGTTTTCAAAGGGAATGCTTCCAGTTTTTGCCCATTCAGTATGATATTGGCTGTGGGTTCGTCGTAGATAGCTCTTATTATTTTGAGAAACATCCCATCAATACCTAATTTACTGAGAGTTTTTAGCATGAAGGTTGTTGAATTTTGTCAAAGGCCTTTTCTGCATCTATTGAGATAATCATATGGTTTTTGTCATTGGTTCTGTTTATATGCTGGATTACGTTTATTGATTTGTGTATGTTGAAGCAGCCTTGCATCCCAGGGATGAAGCCCACTTGATCATGGTGGATAAGCTTTTTGATGTGCTGCTGGATTCTGTTTGCCAGTATTTTATTGAGGATTTTTGCATCGATGTTCATCAGGGATATTGGTCTAAAATTCTCTTTTTTTGTTGTGTCTCTGCCAGGCTTTGGTATCAGGATGACGCTGGTCTCATAAAATGAGTTAGGGAGGATATCCTGTCATTGTTGACAGGAAATTTTAATACATGTTTTAACAATTCAGAAAATGGTGATGATTTAAGTAAAACTTAATTGATTAATTTAAGGCAAATTTCAATTAACTTTTCTTTTCTATATACCATACCGTGTTTTTTTTAAGACATAGAACATATTTGTTTTCTATGTGTTCAAATTAACAGATAGCTTGGTGTTAACAAGTAAACTCAAAACTTTGTGGCTGATATTCAGTTTCATGCAAAAATATGTAATACTTTTTATATTTTATGAGAAATATTATTCAAACAATTTGATACAGACATAATACTTGTTGATTTTTCCAACAAAATTGTAGCATTGCAAATGACTCCAGGTAGATGAAATACATAAGCTATAAAACTGAATAAGAGATGTGAAAAATAAGTATTTTTTTCTAAAGAAAGCAACAATATATGTAAGAACATTCAACCTTAATTTTAAATTCTTTAGAGGAAAAAACAGATAGCATTAGATCATATTTATCAATAACATATACAGTTTAATATTACCTAGTATTCTGTGCTATTAAACCACTTTCAGTAAGCAGTTATTCATGACTCAATTGAAATGCATTCACTTTTAAATAGATTCTCATATGAAACTCATATGAAAGTATTATAATTTGAAGTGCTTACTCAGCATACTTAGCCAGTTCTCACTACATGATTAAAATTTTAATAATTTATGCTTGATTTATTTTTTGGCTTATCTTTTTTTTTTCACCCTACAATTCAGGTTTTTTCAAACTTTATTGTGCATAAAACTTTCTAGGGAGCTTGTTAAAAATAAAGTTTTCTAGTCCCTTTCCACAGATTTTCTGATTTAGTAGGTTTGGGTCAGAACCAAAGAATCTCCATTTTTAACAAGCCTATCAGGTAATTATTATAGATATGATTCCTGGACCACAATTTTAGTAATACGCTTTATCGTAACTATTCATACTCATTCTTTTAAACATTTAGCTTAATTTCAAACCTGTTCTTTCTTTACATCTTTGTCTGTCTGTTTCCTCTTTGTTTCTATCTCTGCCAGTTTCTTTTTTTCTCTTCAATAAATTAAACTTGGAAGAATTGTAGCAAAACATAAAATAATATGTTGAAGTGATTGTATAAGGATTTTTTTGCAAATTTCTACCTCAATGTCTTAAAGCCATAATGAGAACTCAAGAAATGTTATTTTAATCATTGTAATTATGTTTTCAGCTCCCTTGGTTGCATTGTTTTAATTAAAACCTAATATTTATTACTCACAACCCTTTCATTTTGTTGTTCTGAATTAGGACTTTAAAAAAAGGACACTTTTATAATTTTATCTCCTATTTGTAAAATAGTACCTACTATAACATAAAATTACTGTATTTTATCAAACTGATGGTACCATTATTTTAGTGTATTTAGTGTATTACTAGTATGGAAACAAATACTGCAATTAAATTATACTTCAGTATGTTTTACTTATTGCATTTGAATTTTAGATACATGAACATTAAAAACATGCGTCTTAGAATTATGGAAACATGCTAATTTAGTAAATAATATCGTAATTGTTTCTTAAGAATTCTTTATTATTTAACTTGCAAACATGGGCATTAAGCATTTCAGCATCAATTTTGTGGTGGTTGAGATCATGTGTTATTCTTTTGGAATTATTCTCCTAAAGCTTCAAAGTTATACTCATATTCATTGCATGTCCTATTGACTTATTCTATAATTAATCTCCAATCTCCAGTCAATTATAGCTTATTCAAGCAACTTTTCTGTAGTAATCAAGATCATTTTATTTCTGATACTTCAGACTACAGATAATAGAGAAGTTGAAAGAGACTGGGTTATGCATCCGTTTAGTTCCTTATTTTGGCTGTTAACTAGGTGTTTAACTTAATATCTGTGAAGCTTGGTTGTTTTTAACAGTAATACATACAAAAGCCTTTGCATAATATAGTTTGAATCACTTTTAAATATCTTCTCAATACCAATTATTTTTGACTAATATATATGCACTTAAGATACATCATTTTAAAATGGTAGCCTTCAACACAAATTGAATTGGAATCACCAGCTAGGCATTTTCCAACTATACATACTCATTTCAATTTCTCTCCCAAATATACTGATGGGAATAGATCAAAACAGAGGGATGGAGATGTTTGCTTTCAGACACTTCTTTAGCTCCCTGATGATGTGCAGCCCTGAGGCTAGGAAAGCATTTCCATTCATGCATTCCTTTTTCCTTACACTGAATGCATCTTTATAAGTTGCATGCTTATATTTGTTTGGGTTCTTCACTATGCCAGCCAGAGGGAACAGAGCAAAGATAAGTAAAGAGATGGACTTTAACGCCATGGGACCTTCACATTAACTGTGTGTGCTCTGGGCATGCTGGCAGGAAGTTGGACTCTGAAGTTAGTGCTGTGCTGGAGCTAGCCTATAGCAGCTCATGAGAACAAGTTGTTAAGTGTTCAGGAATTGTTAACCTTTTAGGAATTTTGCAGATCTATTGATGTCATGTTACTTGAAATCAACGATGGTGGAAATATTTACATAATAGAAATCAACAAAGGCAAATATAAAAATTTTGTTTTGTCCCACAAGAGTTGGTCTTAAATATTTGTTATCATGCCCCTCTTTCTAACATAAGATAAGGACACTCCATGTATTCAGAAGTTGGAAGAGGTATCCATGAAAATCTCCTGAATGAAGTGTTGTATAAACTGAATAGACAGGAAGACAAGATAGATCTTCATGGAGAGAGAAGGGTTAAATAGCATAAACACAAAAACACATAGAAAGGATATGAGACATTGAATACAATGAAATAAGTTCAAATATGGCTTAAATTTTAAAAACAGTAGAATGACAGAAATTTAAGATGTGGAAATGAGGTGAACAATTTTGTAAAAACTTTCCAATCATATAAATATCTTGCCTTTTATTTCAAAGGCAATGGAATATAATGCAGGTTAATTTAATGATATCTGCATTTAAAAAATAAATTTAACTTTTTTTTGCAGAATGAATTGAAGAAAAATAAACGTTTTAAGTAACTGGATGCATTTTTATTTCCTTAGTTAGGGAGAGAGATGATTTTTGGCTCATATCATAGTGGCAATAGAGATGAAGAGAATTTGATATAACGCAGAGCTCTTTAGTGAAACTGACAGGATTTTTTAATAGGGATATGTGAAGCAACAACAGTAAATGGGGAAATTATTACTTATAGATTTCATACTTAATCAAATCACTCATTTAGTGAGTGTTATTGAGACATGAGGCACACAGAGGCAAAAGTGGGAACTAAGAAAGATTTAGAAATACACATTTCATATGTTTAAAGTCCCTGTACAAGTAACATTCTCACAGAGACATTGAGAAGGTAGGTAGATGAGAATCTGTAGGCCAGAAGGAATTTAAAGTGTGACGATATCCATTTGGGAGTGATGAAAAGAGAATGCAGCCATACAGTAGAATAACATAAAAGATACTTTCGAAAGCTTGTCTCACATATCTGTTTTTATGTAGCAAGCCACCTTAAAACTCAATAGTTTAAAAAATTAACAACAGTTTTGTTTACTTCCCTTCCATTTGGGTCAACAATTTAGACTGGGTTTATGGGGTGCTTCTTTGGTTGCTTTCAACTTAGGGCACTCAACTCATCGTCTTGGGCTAAGGGCTATAAAATAGCCTTTCTCACATGATTGGCCCTTGGTGCTAGCTGTTTTCCAGTCCACACACTTCCATCAGGCTGGTTTGGGATTCTTCACATGGAGTCTTCATTCCAAAAACAGCAAAAAGCAGAGTAATCCTCTATGGCCACACCTTTCAAGCTTTTGCTGACATCATATCTGCCAATATCTCAATCACCGAGGAGAGCAAGAAACCCCACCTTAGTCAACTTGAGAAGAAAGAACACATGGGTGTGACTACAAGGACACAGGACACAGTGGGGGCTACTTCTGTAACAATCTACAAGAAACTTCAATGGTCAAGTAGAAGACAAACTAGTAAAGAAGATGGAAAGGGGACAGCTAGAATATTGATAAGAGGAAAAATAGCAAAAAGAAGCAATGCAAATGACAAAGAAAGTGAGAATGACAGAGAACTTTTAATATAAGAGAAGGTTACATTTTTGGTTGCATGATGTATCTTTATGATTTCTTTCATTCGTCAGTTTTATGTCAGGTAGGATTACATTCAACTGTACCTAATAAAAAAGAAAAAAAAAGCTCTTTTTGTGGCTTAAACACAGGCATATGCTATAACAACATTCGATGAGGTTCAGATACAGGTTGTTCGGCCCTGGTATTGTGGCTTAACAGGAACTAGACTCTTCCTTGCCTCCACCATTTATATTGCCATCTTCCAACTTCATACATGTTGTCTCATTATCGCAAGATGAGTTCTACTAACTATTCCAGGCAGGTAGAAGAAAGAAAGGAAAAGAAAAGTAATGGGTTTATTTTAATGAGATTATGGGAAGGGCTGCTTCTAGCTCTTTCTATTGCCTAGCATCCTGTAATGTGGTCACGTCTGATTTCATGAAATGAGGAATACTAGAGTACATTTAACTGGCCACAGGGCCACCACAGAATCAGAGTTCTGCTAACAAGGTTATTCTATATGAAAACAGCAGAATCTGCTGTAAGTTTCTATTTAATTTGACATACACGTTAATGCTGTGTTGTTTCTAAGACCCTAGTACTTATGACATTCATGTGTCTCACCCTTCTTTATTTACACAACACTTAATGATTTTATATACTTTCAGGAATAGATTATCTGACAAAGTAGAGGATTTGTTATTTAGTGATAATAAGAAGCTAACATTTATTGAGCATTTAATTTGTACCCAGCAATGCTGTGTTTACACATTTTACATCAATTAAATCCTATAACAATCTTCTGAAATAGGCACTGATATTGTTATTAAATTTAAAGATAAGGAATTCATCAGAAAGGCATTAAGTAATTTACTCAAAATCATGTAATTAACAGGCTTTTAAAATTTCTTACATAAAAATACAAGTTCTTACTGGTATAGTGTATAACACTGCCCACCAGTGTAATAGAAAGTATATATGAAAGAGTGCATTCAATTTAGTATTCATATTTTAACCTAATATGAGATGTTTAGATAAATACATTTTCTAGTAAAGAAATAGTTTTTAATGTGAAAAATTTCAGTCTCACTGTATCGTTTTTAAAATATTACTTCCTTCTTTGATTTTCTGTTCAATTATACCCATCACATCAAAATATTCTATATGTTAATATTTTTAGATTTCTACTCATGCTTCGATATTAATAAATTTGTATGTTGCATGCGATTACGAGAGTTTGCTTTCAAAAAAATCTTGATCATTTTAATTATTATGCCAAATAAACAATGCTATTAAATTTTAATAATCTAATGGGGGATAAAAATATTATATAAGAAGCCTTCAGTATTTTAGCATGTTTCGAATGTAATGAATTTAAAAACTTTAGATATATTCAAATCTCAAGTAATTCCTTTTATATAAAATAATGTGAGGCTTTAAATTATTAAGCAATAGAAGCCTCTTGAGTCCATGACTACTATTTGTTAATAGCCAAAGGTATATTTAAATATATTTATCTTATAACTACAAAAGAAAAAAAGTAGTAATATGTTTTTATTGTGCCTTTTCTTCTAAAATATAAGAAGCATTCTGAGAAAGTCTCTCATGGTAGAAAGCCTGCATATAATGAGAGAGTCAACTCAGACAAGTATCCTGCATTTCTTCAAACTATAAAATAGCTAGTATCCCGAGGACTTGTGCTGAATCAACTTTATTTAAATAGAATATTGCTGCATGTTCACAAGAGAAGGCCATACCTTTTCCTCTGCATAATAATATAAGCCTTTATGTTTTTCAGAAAGAAAATTCTCAGAACATTAAAGAGAGTAGAAACTCTCATTATTCAAGAACTTAGGTAGAAGAAATGTGATGACTCTGAATTCAATAAAAGGCAAGTTTTATTCCAAACAGTGGATTCATTTTTATTAGGCACTCTATGTTTTTATGGTAATTGCCAGTACAGTTTATGCAGGGAAGTCTGAGATATGGACTAATATAAGTTTCACAATTTTCTATACAAAGAAAGTAAGATAAGCCTATCTCATCTGTAAGACTGATAATATGATCTTGCAATCTAATTTTCTCACAATATCCATTACATAGACTTAAAAGTTGAATGTTTTATGGAATTTCAAAGTTAAATAGTTTTGCTATATTAACCATATTTGTGTGCATTCTTAACACCTTTAAAAATTTGCATCATCACATTTTATGATCTCTTTAAAAGCTTTATTTAATGCTATTTCTAACTTTCAGGTTAAATATTTTAAGCATTTGTATATCTGCTGCTACCTCCAGTCAACCTCTTTAAAAATTCTATTTCACTAAAGTCAATTAAATTTCCTTGAGTCAATTTTTATTGTACACCTAAAATGTGCCAGGCACTGTTTCTGACAAAAAAGATAAAATGACAGTTGAAATAATCCCCACCATTGATGTGCTCATTGTTTAATTCATCTTTTATAATTAAGTATCATTCATTAAACAGCTACTCTTATTCAATAACTATATTTGTTCCTAGTTATAACACAAGGTTACTCCAAACAGACTTTTCAGGTTTCTGATAATGTCTGTCTTTTTAAAAAGATATGTGGCTGGTGGTGTTGCCATGTATGAACATAAGAAGAGAGGCAGATGTGATGAGAGATGAGGGTTTGTGATGTAGCAAATGGCTAGATCACGTCTTATGTTTCATAGTGTAGATTCTATGCTTTCAGTTCGGAGAGAAGTCTCTAATAGCTTAAAGAAAGAAAATAACATGATTCAAATTATGTTTATAAAATTATTTAAAAAGAAGGAATAAAAAACTTGGAGCGTAATAGAAACTCCATATGGAGAAGCTAGAGGAGAAGCAATATCCAAAGACAGCATTTTAAAAATAATAAAAAGCATCATTCTTCAGACTAAAGAAGGGGAGTTTGGGGCAAGATAAGTATATATAAATGTACATCAGCAGATCAGTTAGGACATAGGGACTCCTTTTAAAAACAACTAAAAATGCACATTAGTAGATGGAAAACATACTTCTCAAGAACAAAACTATATGCCAGGAAGCAAGAAAATAATATATTTAAAGAGCTGAGAAAATATGCTACCAACCTGTAATCTTATACCACGATTAACTATTATTTGATTTATACACAATAAAGTATTTTCAGTAAAAAATAACACATAAAACTAAGATAAATGAACTACAAGAACTATAAAAATTGGCATTTCAAAAAGAACAACATTGAATCTAGGTAGGAAGAATAAAATGTAAGATAATTTTGAAGAAAACAAATTGCACAATATAGAGATATTTTTAAAATTTTTGTTAATTCTGGAGGTGGAATATGTTGTCATTAACAAACTCAGACATCATACGAGACAGGAGGGAGAAGTAACAGATTTAAACCATTTCCCGTTTGCTCCAAGAATACTGACCAGCAGTGCTTGCAGCTTCAGTGTTTACCCCCAAATAACTTTTCTACAAAAGATCTTGATTTTATTATTATTTTCACATCACTTTAGTATATCACCTTTCAAAACAAAAGACATCATTCTATTTATAGCATTCTGTTTTTTGTAGAGGTATTTCCATTTACAAAATATAGTAATTTTCAATCGCTGAAAATGTCAAGTTTTAGAAAACATAGCATTCCTAAGTGTGATATTAACATAGTTTTCATACAGGTATTAGCTGAAGATTTATTTGATGAATTCAATTTTTCCTAAACAGATGATTCTGATGATTCAGACGATTCTGAAGTTAGTTCTGTTTAGAAATAAACAGAACTAACTTTTATATTTTATATTTTACTTTCATGTTGGAAATCAGTCGGATTTGCTTCAGCCTCAAAGAGAATGTTTATATAAAATTAAATGAACACAGGCAGTGAGCTGCACGTTTTTTTTTCCTAAACACAAAAAGGGTTCAAGATTTTTCAGCATTGTTCAGCTAGAGGGTGAGGATACAGTTAAATTTCACCTTTTAAGAAAAATGTCTGTATGCTTTAAAAAAAAAAGAAAAACAGATGAACACTGAATGAAAAATGGTAGAATACAGAAATTCTATACCTTTGGGTTATGGGGAGAAACCAAAGGAAAAGAGCAGAAAATGTGATCAATCCAATGGGAGGCAGAAAAAGAGAAAAGATAGAAAAATGAGAGATAATAGCAAAAAATGTAGTAAAAATGATTACAAGTAGATTACTGATAACAATAAATGAAAAAAATTTACCATGACACTTAATGAAAATTACTAACAGAAAGAATATAAATATAAGTTAACTAATATACAGATTAATAAAGATACATCCAAATAAAAATCATACAAAAAGTTATAAGATACATGATGGAAGAATAAATAGATTAATAAATTGATAGATTTCAGATAGACAAACGCATGTAGCTCAGGTAAGTATAAAACAAATGATGCTGGATTGTTCATATTAATGTTAGATAAAATTATCTTATATGAAACATCATTGTTAAAGATTAAGGTAGATACTAAAATAGAGTAAAATATAAAATTTCCAGTAAGTCATAACAATTGTAATGTAGCATGCAGCTAATAATAAAGCTTCCAGGATACATGAAGCAAAAAAAAAAAAAAAAAGAAAAGTCAAAGTCAACATAATTTCAAAGATAACTGACAAATATCCAATCAGAATGAGAAATTCTAACACATTTTTCATAGTATTAGATTAGGAAGAAAATTTTGATAAAAATCGAAACAATTGGAACAATATAATTAATAACTTTGACTGAAGATACATGTATAAATTACTATATCCAATGCACAGAAATAGAGATAATTTTGACCTACATGAGAAATATTTATGATATTTTAACATAGACTAGGATATAAAGAAACTCTCAACAATCTCCATGTATTATTCCATTTTCACACTGATGATAAAGACATACAAGAGGCTGGGCAATTTACAAAAGAAAAAGATTTAATGGATTTACAGTTCCACATGGCTGGGGAAGCCCCACAATCATGGCAGAAGGTGAAGATCAAGTCTCACATGGCAGCAGAGAAGCAAGAGAGAACTTGTGCAGGGAAATTCCCGTTTTTAAAACCATCAGATCTCGTGAGACTTATTCACTACAATGAGAACAACATGGGAAAGACCTGCCCCCATGATTCAATTACCTCCCACCGAGTCCCTCCCATAACATGTAGGAATTCAAGATGAGATTTGGGTGGAGACACAGCCAAACCGTATCACTCCGCAAAATAGCAAACATTAGAACTTGTTCTTTAATCAAAATCCAATTAAATTAACATCATCGGCAAGCACAGAACAACACACAACAGCAACAACAAAACCTTTAAAATAAAGGTTTTTTACCCCCAAGATGACAGATTAGGGGCTTTTAGCATGCCTTCGCTACTTGGAAACAGCAAAACAGTGCATAAAGATCTACTTTGAGAGCTTTAATTCAAGAAGGAAGATGGTATTTCATCAGAAAAATGAAGAACAACCCAGACTCCAGAAATGACAAGGTGGACAGCCGTCCTTGTGATGGTGATTGACTGATAAAAGTGAATGAAGCCCCAGTAAAGGAGAGGGGCAGTCAGTCTCCCTCTGTGACTTACCTTTCCACTAGGGATCTGTGTAATTCAGAACAAAAAATAGCACCCTATTTCCTCCAAGCCCTGGAGCCGACATGGAGAGAGGCTGAAAGACAGAGAGAGGAAAAGACCCCAGGAAAAGCAAGCTGCAGACATTTTCTCAGTTCCAGAACCAAAAGAAGAGCACCATTTTTTTATCCAGGCTCATACAAAGTCAGTCACTGTTTGGCAACCAGCAGTGGCACCCACAAGAATTTTAGTCTTGGGCCAGAGATTGTAATTACTGCTCTGGAGTGGGGTAAGGGCCCACATAGCCAGAATTGAGTGGGAGTGTGGACAGTGCCCCAGAGATGGGCACTGGAATTGGGCTCTCTGGCATCACAAAACTGGACTAGGAGGACAGTTGCTGAAGCTGAGATTTCTCTTAGCGAGTGAGATGTGCAGCTAGAAACGACTTTACAACCTAGAACCAGTCTGCATATGTCATTGCTGGGTGTCTCAGACTGCTCCCTTGGTCAGTTGGGGGACAGTGCCCTACCAGTTTCAAGGAGTAAAACGGAGGTGAACGCCGGTCACTTAGAGATCTAACCCTCGATGCAGACTGCCCCTAAGGGGGTGAGGAGCACAGCCTACCAAAGTCCCCCTGAGTTAAAGGAAATAGAAGTATGGTGCTAGCCTCTGAAGGCAACATCACCAATGTTAGGCATGGACTTGGAGAGGAGATCATCTCTAGCCTCCCACAGGAGCTCTTACCATTAGGATCCAGGTAGTGTGCTGAAAGACACTTCTCAGGTTTCTCCCCTGGTTCTGAGAGGTGACAGCGTGCTGGCAGTCCTCACAGCCCTCTCTCGCTCTCGGCGCCTCCTCTGCCTGGGCTCCCACTTTGGATGCACCTGGGGAGCCCTTCAGCCCACCGCTGCACTGTGGGGGCCCCTTTCTGGGCTGGCCAAGGCCGGAGCCCACTCCCTCAGCTTGCAGGGAGGTGTGGAGGGAGAGGCGCCGGCGGGAACCGCGGCTGCGGGCGGCGCTTGCAGGCCAGCTGGAGTTCCGGGTGGGCGTGGCCTTGTTGGGCCCTGCACTCCGAGCAGCCGGCCGGCCCTGCCGGCCCCGGGCAATGAGGGGCTTAGCACCCGGGCCAGCGGCTGCGGAGGGTATACTGGGTCCCCCAGCAGTGCCAGCCCACCGGCGCTGCCCTCGATTTCTCGCCGGGCCTTAGCTGCCTTCCCGTGGGGCAGGGCTCGGGATCTGCAGCCCGCCATGCCTGAGCCTCCCACCCCCTCCGTGGGCTCCTGTGCGGCCCAAGCCTCCTCGACGAGCACCACCCCCTGCTCCAGGCACCCAGTCCCATCGACCACCCAAGGGCTGAGGAGTGCAGGCGCAAGGTGCGGGACTGGCAGGCAGCTCCACCTGCAGCCCTGGTGTGGGATCCACTGGGTGAAGCCAGCTGGGCTCCTGAGTCTGGTGGGGCCTTGGAGAACTTTTATGTCTAGCTCAGGGATTGTAAATACACCAATAGGCACTCTGTATCTAGCTCAAGGTTTGTAAACACACCAATCAGCACCCTGTGTCTAGCTCAGGGTTTGTGAATGCACCAATGGACACTGTATCTAGCTACTCTGGTGGGGCCTTGGAGAACCTTTATGTCTAGCTCAGGGATTGTGAATACACCAATAGGCACTCTGTGTCTAGCTCAAGGTTTGTAAACACATCAATCAGCACCCTGTGTCTAGCTCAGGGTTTGTGAGTGCACCAATCGACACTCTGTATCTAGTTACTCTGGTGGGGCCTTGGAGAACCTTTGTGTCAATACTCTGTATCTAACTAATCTGGTGGGGATGTGGAGAACCTTTGTGTCTAGCTCAGGGATTGTAAACGCACCAATCAGCGCCCTGTCAAAACGGACCACTGGGCTCTACCAATCAGCAGGACGTGGGTGGGGCCAGATAAGAAAATAAAAGCAGGCTGCCCGAGCCAGCAGTGGCGACCCGCTCAGGTCCCCTTCCACACTGTGGAAGCTTTGTTCTTTCGCTCTTTGCAATAAATCTCGCTACTGCTCCCTCTTTGGGTCCATTCTGCTTTTATGAGCTGTGACACTCACCACGAAGGTCTAGAGCTTCACTCCTAAGCCAGTAAGACCACAAGCCCACGGGGAGGAAGAAAATCCGAACACATCTGAACATCAGGAGGAAGAAACTCCAGACGCGCCACCTTAAGAGCTGTAACACTCACCGCGAGGGTCCGCGGCTTCATTCTTGAAGTCAGTGAGACCAAGAACCCACCAATTCCAGACACAGTTCCACCACACTGAGAGTGAACTTATAATGGGGGAAGATGCTTTTGGTGCTTCTTCATTGCCTCTGACTTCAATGAGGATAAGCACAGGCAAAGAGTGAGAGCCTACCCCCTGGTCCTAACGCTTAAGCACCATCTACTGAAGTACTATCTGAATTACACCACAAAACAAAAGTATGTCACTACGACAAGCAATGTCTGAAAAAGCCACTACACGAACCCATCTGCCACCAAAGAACTGTACAAAGCCTTCACTCTCTGAAAGCACCCAGAAACAAAGCCAATCAATCATACACAACATACACCATAGTTGTACTCTCAAGTGGTAAAAAAAAATCAGGAAGCCCCATTCAAACAAAAGCAAATAAAAAATTAGCTTCCTCAAAAGAGAAGGAACCAGTACAATAACTGCATCATGACAAAAAGCTAGAGTGTTCCATCACCTCCAAAGTCTTATACTACCTCCCTAGCAGTGAATCCTAACCAGAATAAAATGGGAAATGATAACTAAAGAATTTAGAATAAAAATACAAAAGAAACCCTAAAAGATCTAAGAAAAAGTTGAAATTCAACAGAAAGAATCCAGAAAAAAATCCAGTATTTGAAAGACCACATACATATATTAAGAAAAAAACTGAACAGAACCTCTAGAATTAAAAATTTTTCTACAGGAAACATACAGTTGTAAGCCTTAACAACAAACGAGACCAAACGGAAGAAAAAACTTCAGCGTTTGAACACTGGTCCTTTAAATCAATCCAGTCAGGGACAAATAAAAAATATGTTTTTAAAAATGAACAAAGCCTTTGAAAATATGAGATTATGTAAAGTAATCAAATCTATGACTTATTGGTATTTCTGAGAGAGAAGAAGAGAAAGTAAGCAACTTGGAAAACATATTTGAGGATATAATTCAATAGAGACCCCTCAATCTTGTTATAGGGGTCAACATGCACATCCGAAGAATCCAGAGAACTCCTAAAAGGTACCACACAAGATGTCAATCCCCAAGGCACATAATCATCAGACTATACAGAGTTAATGCAAAATAAAAAATTTTAAAGGCAGCTAAATGGAAGGGCCATATTACCTGTAAAGGAATATCCATTAAACTAACAGTAGAAACCTTACAAACCAAAACAGAATGGAGGCTCATTTTTAGCACTCTTAAACAAAATGCTAGTCAAATATTTCATATCCTACCAAACTAAGGATAAATAAAGTCTTTCCCAGACTAGCAATATCTAAGGGAATTCATCATCACCAGACTAGCCTTACAATAGATGCTTAAGAGAATTCTAACCTGGAAATGAAAAAACAATTCTTGCTATCACAAAAGCACATGTAAACACACAGCCCACAAAGCCTATAAAGCAACTACATTATGGAGACTCCAAAACAACTAGCTAACAACACTACCACAGGAACAAAACATCAAATACCAGTGTTAACTTCGAACATAAATGGCCTACATGCTCCAGTTCAAAGATAAAAATGGCAAATTGCCTTAAAAAAAAAATCTGCCCTTTTGCAGTCTTCAAGAGACTCATCTCACATGTAGTAACTCCCATAGGCTTGGAGTACAGTAATGAAGAAAAACCTATTATACACATGGAAAACAGAAAGGATTAGATGTTTTTATCCTTGCATCAGATAAAACAGACTTTTAAACCAACAACAGTAAAAAATAAAAGGACAAAGAAGAGCATCACATAATGATAAAGAGTTCAATTCAACAAGAAGACTTGACTATCCTAAATATATACATAACCAATATTGAAGAATCCAGATTCATAAGTAATTCTAGATCAAAGAAAATACTTGGATGCCTACACAATAATAGTAGGAGACCTCAACACCCAAGTGAAAGCATTAGACAGATCGTCATAGGAGAAAACTAAAAATAAATTCTAGACTTAAATTAGACACTTGACCAATTGGATCTAACAGGCATCTACAGAGTACTCCACCCAACAACCATCAAAATCACAAAAACACATGATAACTAAACAGCTTTCTCCTGAATGATTTTTGAGTAAACAGTGAACTTAGAAAGTAAAAAAAAAATCCTTTGAGATAAATGAAAATAGAGACATAAAATACTGAAACCTCTGGGATGGAGCAAAAGCAGTATTAAGAGAAAAGTTTATAGCACTAAATAACTATGTCAGGAAGATAGAAAGATCTAAAATTAACAGCATAATCTCATACCTAAAGAAACTAGAAAAACAAGAACAAATTAAACTCAAAGCTAGCAGAAGAAAAGAAATAAAATCAGATAAAATCAGACAGAAACAAATAAATGTGAGAACAAAAAAATCAATGAAAGAAAAGTTGGTTCATTGAACACATAAAGAAAATTGATAGACCACTCAGGGACTAACAAAAAAGAAAAAGAGAAGATACAAGTAAGCACAATTAGAAATAACAACGGTGACATTACAAACAATCCCACAGAAACTGGCAAGATTCTCAGAGACTACTACGAACATCTCTATGTGCACAAACTAGAAAATTTAGGGAAAATGGATGAAATTCTAGTAAAACACATTCTCCTAAGATTGAATCAGAAAGAAATAGAAATCCTGAACAGATGAATATTGAGTGGTAAAATCGAATCAGTAATAAAAAAAAAATCTCAGCACCGGAGGGACTCATAGCCAAATTCTACAAAACATGCAAGAAGAGTTGGTACCAGTTCTTTGGAAACTATTCCAAAAACTCAAGGCAGAGAGATTCCTCCCTAACTCCTTCTACAAAACCAGTATCATCCTGATTTCAAAATCTGGCAAATATACAACAGAAAATAAAACTATAGGCCAATATTCCTAATGAAAATAGACACAAAAGTCTTCAACTTGCAAATTGAATCCAGAAGCACATTAAAGAAAGTTGATTCATCAGGATCAAGTGGGCTTTATTCCTGAGATGCAAAAATGATTCAATATATGCAAATAAATAAGTTTTTAAAATTTATAACCACATGGACAGAATTATTTTTATCACAACATAAATTTAGAAACAAGAATTATATGATTATCTGAATAAATTCAGAAAAAGCATTCAATGAAATCTAACATCTTTTTGAGATAAAAACCCTCAACAAACAAGGCATTGAAGAAACATACCTGAAAATATTAAGAGCCATCTATGACAAACCCACAGCCTACCTCATACTGAAATGGCAAAAGTGGAAATGCTTCCAACTGCAATAAGACAAGAACGTTCACTCTCAAATCTTCTATTCAAATGGTACTGGAAGGCCTTGCCAGAGGAATCATACAAGAGAAAGAAATAAAAGACTTTCAAACAGAAAGAGGAAGTCAAATTATATGTCTTCAGTGAAGATATGATTCTACACCTAGAAAATCTTAAAGATTCCAACAAAAGACTCCTAGACCTAATAAACAACTCAGTAAAGTCTCAGTATACAAAATAAATCTACAAAATCAGTAGCATTTCTATACACCAATAACATCCAAGCTGAGATCCAATTTATAAATACAATTTTATTTAAAATAGCCATAAAAAATACATATCTAAGGAAACATCTAACCAAGGAGGTGAAAGATATCTATAAGAACTACAAAACACTGCTGAAAAAAGATAGACCCCCCCCCCCAAAAAATTAGGAAAGCATTCCATGGTCATTGATTGGAAGATTCAATATTCATGATTCTCTCAATGTTAAAATGTCCATATTGTCTAAAGCAATCTACAAATTGAATGTTGTTCTTATCAAATTACCAATGTCATTTTTCACAGAATTAGGAAAAACAATTTCTAAAATTCATATATGTATTACCCCACTCTTGATACCAATTTATTGTATCAGTCCATTTTCATGCTGCCAATAAAGACATACCCAAGACTGGGTAACATCTAAAGGAAAGGAGATTTAATGGACTCATAGTTCTATGTTCCTGGGGAGGTCTCACAATCATAATAGAAGGCAAAGAAGAAGCAAAGGCATGTCTTACATGGTGGCAGAAAAGAGAGATTTTGTGCAGAGAAACTCTCCCTTATAAAACCATCAGATCTCATGAGCCTTATTTGCTATCACAAGAACAGCATGGGAAAAACCTGCCCCCATGATTCAATTACCTCCCACTAGGTCCCTCCCATGACATGGGAGAATTGGGGAATTGTGGGAGCTACAATTCAAAATGAGATATGGGTGGGGACATTGCTAGACCATATTATTATGGAAACAGAAAGGAGTCCAAATAGCCAAACCAATTCTAAGCAAAAACAACAAAGCCAGAGGCATCACATTACTCAACTTCAAACTATTCAACAAGACCAGAGTGACTAACACAGTATGATATTGCTACAGAGAGACACACAGACCAATGGAACAGAATAGAAAACCATGGAATAAACCCATATACCTCCCACCATATCATCTTTGGAAAAGTTGACAAAAATAAATAAAATAGGGAAAAGATACCTGATTCCATAAATTGTGCTGGGAAAACTGGCTAACTATATGCAGAAGAATGAAACTTGACCCCACACTCTCACTATATAAATATATTAACTCAAGATGAATTAAAGACTTAAATGTAAGTTGTAAAAATCCTAAAAGATATTTTAGGAAATGCTCTTCTAGACATTGACTTAGTGAAGGAATTTATGGCTAAGCCCTCAAAAGCAAATCTAACAAAACAAAAAATGAATAATCGGAACTTAATTAAATGTAAATGCTTCTGCATAGCAAAAGAAACAATCAAGAGAGTATACAGACAACCTACAGAATAGGAGAAAATATTTGCAAACTGAATCAGACAAAGGACTAATATTCATAATCTATAAGGAACTTAAATAAACAAGAAAAATAACAACCCCATTAATAAGTAAGCAAAGCATATGAACAGACATTTCTGAAAAGAAGAAATAAAAATGGCTAACAAACATATGAAAAAATGCTCCACATCACTAATCATGAGAGGTACAAATCTAAACCACAATGAGATATCATTTCAAACCAGTTAAAGAGTGACTATTTTGAAGTCAAGAAATAACAGATATTGGTGAGGTTGCAGAGAATGGGGAAACTTAAACACAGTTGGTGGGAATGTAAATTAGTTTAGCTGCTGTGGAAAGCAGTTTGGATATTTTTCAAAGAACTAAAAAAGAATTACCATTCAGTCCAGTGATCCCATTGGTGGGTATATAACCAATGGAAAATTAATCGTTCTACCAAAAAGACACCCTCATTCACATGTTCATTGCGTCACTATTCACAATAGCAAAGACATGGAATCAAGCCAGGTACATATAAATGGTGGATTGGATAAAGAAAATATATACCATGGAATACTATGCAGCCATAAAAATGAATGAAATTATGTCCTTCACAGCGGCAAGGATGCTGCTGGATGTGATTATCCTAAATGAATTAACACAGAAACAGAAAACCAAATACCACATGTTCTCACTTGTAAGTAAGAGTTAAACAATGAGTATGTGCAGACACAAATATAGGAACAATAGACACTAAGGACTCCATGGCAGGGAAGGAGAAGAACAAGAAAAATTTTCTATTGGGGAGCAAGTTCACTATTTGGGGGATGAGATCAATAGAAGGAAAAACCTCAGCATCACTCAATATACCCTGTAAGAAACCTGTACATGTATTCCCTGAATCTAAAATTTAAATAAATAACATTTTATTCAAAGAAGAAACCATAATAAAAATATAAACATATTTATAACTGAACACTAATAAAATCTTTGATATTTAAGATTTTGTTATGCAATTAAATTGGTTTTATTAATTACAGTTCTCCAGGGAAATAGAACCAACAGCATATTTTACTGGTTTACGGCCTGTTGGCCTACTAGTGTAAGTCCTGGAGTCTGAAGCACTGAGAACCAGGAGTCGCAATTTCTGAGAGCAGGAGATAATGGACGTCATGTCTGAGCTCAAAAATAAAGAGGAAGGGAGAATTCACTCTCCTTCTGTCTTCTTTGTTATATTTAGGCCCTCACTGGATTGAACGATACCTCCCTACATTGGTGAGGGCAGATTTTTGCTCAGTCTGTTAATTCAAATTCTAATCTCTTCCAGAAACACCCTCACAGGCACATCCAGAAATAGTGCTTTACCAGCTATCTGAGCATCTATCAGCCTAATCAAATTGACACATAAAATTAATCATCACGTTGGCAATTAGAAGAAAATGGAAGCTCCAAAAGCCATATATATAATATATATATATGCATTTATCAAACTCAACTAATATGCAATTAATATTTGTACACTTCATTGTATTCAATTTTACACAAAAAGGCAACATTTCTTTAATCCTGGTTAATAAATGCACTCTATAATACCTAGGATGAGTGTACCAATATCTGTAATTTACTTTGAGATTCTTCAAAGAATAAGATGAATAAACAGATGTGTTAAACAAGAGTGGTAATGTTAATGTTTGAGTATGTAGGGACTCAGCGTAAAATTATTTCATCTTTGTACTATGTTAGACATTTTTAAATAAAATATTTTTAAAGATATATAAAGTTTAATAAACTTAATCGAGAGTTAAGTACTGCATTACAACAATGCAGTAGTAAAGATTAGTAGTGTTGCACATAGGGCTATTGATTTTGGAGTAAAACAGTGGTCACCCTCCTTCTATGGACATGGAGATGACACTTTGTATCTTATAGTTATTACTTAGAAGGGACCAAACATCACTGCCTCATTGTCATGCTATCTCTTAATATTGCGCTTAGCAAACATTTAATTATCTAGCATTGTCATAGACAATGTACGAGCTTGGGAATATACATACCTGAATTTTAGTCTTCAGCTTGGGCACATCTTGTTACGCTATATGTTTATTTTCAGGCCATATACTAAATGCCTATTTTATTAAATACCTACCCTGTTTCAGGCCATATATTAAATGCCTAAATTATTAAATATCTATCCTGGCAAATTGCTGACCTAGTTCTCTAGGAATACAAATGTGAATAAATCTCTGTCTCACAAGGTAAGGAGAAAATGTTGGTAAGGTAAAGAGATGCAAAAAATAGTCAATATTTCTGAAGAGGTAATTTGTATTAGATAGTAGAAATGAAGATGGTCAGAAATATTTTGAAGGTAATGCCATCAGAATTTCCAAATGGAAAGGTTTATGGTGAGTGAAATAGAAAAAGAGAGAGAGAGAGAAAGTTAATATATGCTATTCACAGGATATATTTTAAATTTGGGGGGAAATACAGCAATACTTAAGATTTGTTAGACATTTTGTGAACTACCAGATGAAAGAAGTTCACTGTTTTAAGATTAGATTGCACTATATTTCTCTCAGTGATATAATATTTTGTAGAAGCTTGTCTTTTTGAAGTTTTTGTGTAAATGGGAAGTATAGTACAAAAATCAATGTAGAAAAAAAGGAAAGTGGTGGCTGTCTAATCAGAACAATTTCTTAGCAACGTTCAAATAGACTTAGACTTCCACACAATAATAGTGGGAGACTTTAACACCTCACTGACAATATTAGACATACCATTGAGGCAGAAAATTAGTAAAGATATTCAGGACCTGAACTTAGCACTGGATTAAATGGGCCTGATAAAGATTTACAGAACTTACCACCCAGGGCCTGATACAGATTTACAGAACTCACCACTCAAAAACAACAGAATATATATTGTTCTCATTGCCACATGGTACTTACTGTAAAATTAATCACATGATCAGAAGTCAAATACTTCTTAGTAAATGCAAAAGAGCTGATATAACAGTCTCTCAGACCACAGAGCAATCAAACTTGAAATCAAGATGACAAAATTCACTCAAAACCTTACAGTTACATGCAAATTGAATAACCTGCTCCTGAATGAGGAAAAAAATGAAATTGAGGCAAAAATTAAAAAGTTACTTGAAACTAATGAGAACAATGGTATAATATACCAGAATCTCTGGGACTCATATAAGGCAGTGTTAAGAGGGAAATTTATAGCACTAAATGGACATATCAAAAAGCTAGAAACATCTTAAGATAACAAATTAACATCAGAACAAAAAGAACTAGAGAACCAGGAGTAAACAAACCCTGCAATTAGCAGAAGACAAGAAATAACCAAGATTAAAGCTGAACTAACCAAGATTAGACATGAAAAACCCTTCAAAAAATCAATGAATCCAGGAGTTTTTTTTTTTTAAAGTAACAAAATACTTTGTATCAGCCCAAAATCTCCTTAAGCTGATAAGCAACTTCAGCAAAGTCTCAGGATACAAAATCAATGTACAAAAATCACAAGCATTCTTATACACCAATAATAGACAAACAGACAGCCAAATCATGAGTGAACTCCCATTCACAATTGCTTCAAAGAGAATAAAATACCTAGGAATCCAACTTACAAGGGACGTGAAGGACCTCTTCAAGGAGAACTACAAACCACTGTTCAATGAAATAAAAGAGGATACAAACAAATGGAAGAACATTCCATGCTCATGGGTAGGAAGAATCAATATCGTGAAAATGGCCATATTGCCCAAGGTAATTTATAGATTCAATGCCATCCCCATCAAGCTACCAATGACTTTCTTCACAGAATTGGAAAAAACTACTTTAAAGTTCATATGGAACCAAAAAAGAGCCCGCATCACCAAGTCAGTCCTAAGCCAAAAGAACAAAGCTGGAGGCATCACTCTACCTGGCTTCAAACTATACTACAAGGCTACAGTAACCAAAACAGCATGGTACTGGTACCAAAACAGAGATATAGATCAATGGAACAGAATAGAGCCCTCAGAAATAACGCTGCATATCTACAACTATCTGATCTTTGACTAACCTGAGAAAAACAAGCAATGGGGAAAGGATTCCCTATTTAATAAATAGTGCTGGGAAAACTGGCAAGCCATATGTAGAAAGCTGAAACTGGATCCCTTCCTTACACCTTATACAAAAATTAATTCAAGATGGATTAAAGACTTAAACGTTAGACCTAAAACCATAAAAACCCTAGAAGAAAACCTAGGCATTACCATTCAGGACATAGGCATGGTCAAGGACTTCATGTCTGAAACACCAAAAGCAATGACAACGAAAGCCAAAATTGACAAATGGGATCTAATTAAACTAAAGAGCTTCTGCACAGCAAAAGAAACTACCATCAGAGTGAACAGGCAACCTATAAAATGGGAGAAAATTTTCACAACCTACTCATCTAATAAAGGGCTAATATCCAGAATCTACAATGAACTCAAACAAATTTACAAGAAAAAAACAACCCCATCAAAAAGTGGGTGAAGGACATGAACAGACACTTCTCAAAAGAAGACATTTATGCAGCCAAAAAACACATGAAAAAATGCTCACCATCACTGGCCATCAGAGAAATGCAAATCAAAACCACAATGAGATACCATCTCACACCAGTTAGAATGGCGATCATTAAAAAGTCAGGAAACAACAGGTGCTGGAGAGGATGTGGAGAACTAGGAACACTTTTACACTGTTGGTGGGACTGTAAACTAGTTCAACCCTTGTGGAAGTGAGTGTGGTGATTCCTCAGGGATCTAGAACTAGAAATACCATTTGACCCAGCCATCCCATTACTGGGTATATACCCAAAGGACTATAAATCATGCTGCTATAAAGACACATGCACACGTATGTTTATTGCGGCACTATTCACAATAGCGAAGACTTGGAACCAACCCAAATGTCCAACAATGATAGACTGGATTAAGAAAATGTGGCACATATACACCATGGAATACTATGCAGCCATAAAAAATGATGAGTTCATGTCCTTTATAGGGACATGGATGAAATTGGAAATCATCATTCTCAGTAAACTATCGCAAGAACAAAAAACCAAACACCGCATATTCTCACTCATAGGTGGGAAGTGAACAATGAGAACACATGGACACAGGAAGGGGAACATCACACTCTGGGGACTGTTGTGGGGTGGGGGGAGGGTGGAGGGATAGCTTTAGGAGATATACCTAATGCTAATTGACGAGTTACTGGGTGCAGCACACCAGCATGGCACATGTATACATATGTAACTAACCTGCACATTGTGCACATGTCCCCTAAAACTTAAAGTATAATAATAATAAAATAAAATAAATAAATAAATAAAAAATTAAAAAAGTAACAGAATACATACACTGCTATCTAGGCTAATAAAGAAGAAAAGAGAGAAGTATGAAATGAACACAATCAGAAATGAAAATGAGGATATCACCACTGATGCCACAGAAACACAAACCACCATCAGAGAATACTATAAACACCTCTATGCAAATAAACTAGAAAATCTAGAAGAAATGGATTATTAAATGCCTATCTGACAAATCACTGACTCAATTCTCTAAGAATACAAATGTGAACAAGTCTCTGTCTCACAAGGTAAGGAGAAAATCTTGGTAAGGTAAAGAGATGTGTATAATAGTCAATATTTCTGAACAGGTCATCTGTATTAGATGGTAGAAATGAAGATGTTCAGAAGTATTTTGAAGGTAAATTAAAAATATTTAAATTCCTGGACACATACATCCTCCTAAGACGGAACCAGGAAGAAACTGAATCCCTGAATAGACCGATAACAAGTTCTGAAATTGAGACAGTATTAAATAGCCTACCAACCAAAAAAAGCCCAGGACCAGTTGGATTCACACCTGGATTCTACCAGAGGTACAAAGAAGAGCTTGCACCATTTCTACTGAAACTATTTCAAAAAATTGAAAAGGAGGGACTGTACCCTATGAGGCCAGCATCATACTGATACCAATATCTGTAAGAGATACAACAAAACGAGACCAACATTTTTGATGAACATCGATGCGAATATCAGGTCAATAGCCTTGATCAACATTGATGCAACAATCCTCAATAAAAATACTGGCAACTCGACTCCAGCACAAAAAAAAGCTCATCCACCACAGTCATGTTGGCTTTATCCCCAGGATGCAAGGTTGGTTCAACATATGCAAATCAATAAATGTGATTCATTACATAAACAGAACCAAAGACAAAAACCACATTATTATTTCAATAAATGCAGAAAAGGCCTCCAATAAAATTCAACATCCCTTCATGTTAGAAACTCTCAATAAAGTAGATATTGAAGAAACATACAGCAAAATAATAAGAGCCATATGTGACAAATCCACAGCCCACATAATATTGAATGGGCAAAAGCCGAAAACATCCCCCTTGAAAAATGGTACAAAACAATGGCCCTCTCTCACCACTTCTATTCAAACTAGACAATACTATTCAGGACATAGGCATGGACAAAGTTTTCATGATGAAGACACCAGAAGCAATTGCAACAAAAGCAAAAATTGACACATGGGATTAATTAAACTAAAAAGCTTCTGCGCAGCGAAATAAACTATCAACAGTTAAGTAAACAAGCTAAAAAATGGGAGAAAATATTTGCAAACTATAGATCTGATAAAGGTCTAATATCCAGCAAATCTGAGAAACTTATATAAACTTATAAGAAAAAAACAAACAACCCCATAAAAAGGTGCAAAGGACATGAACAGATACTTTTCAAAATAAGACATTCATGCAGCCAATAATCATATAAAAAAAGTTCAACATCACTGATCATTAAAGAAAAGCAAATAAAAACCACGAGGAGACACCATCTAATACCAGTCAGAATGGCTACTGTTAAAAAGTCAAAAAATTACAGATGCTGTCAAGGTTGTGGAGAAAAAGGAACGCTTATACACTGTTGGTGGGAGTGTCAGTTAGCTCAGCCATTGTGCAAAACAGTGTGGAAATTCCTCAGAGACCTAAGAGAGAAATACTATTTGACCCCGCAATCCCATTACGGGTATATACCCAAAGGAATATAAATTGTTCTATTATAAAGACACATGCATGCATTTGTTCATTGCAGCACTATTTACAATAGCAAAGACGTGGAATCAACCTAAATGCCCATCAATGATAGACTGGATAAAGAAAATGTGGTACATATACACCATGGAATATCATGCAACCATACAAAAATAATGAGATCATGTCCTTTGCAAGGACGTGGATGGAGCTGGAGGCTATTTATACTCAGCAGACTAACACAGGAACAGAAAACCGAATACCACATATTGTCACGTGTAAGTGAGAGCTAAATGATGAGAGCTTATGGACACATAGAGGGAACAACACACACTGGGGCTTTTCAGATGGTGGAGGTTGGAAGGAGGGAGAGGATCAGAAAAAACTTGCTAATGGGTACTAGGCTTGATACCTGAGTGATGAAATAATTTGTGCAACAAATCTGCATGACACAAGTTTATCTATGTAACAAACCTGCACAGGTTCTCCTGAACTTAAAAATAAAAGTTAAAAAAAAAAAAAAAAAGAAAAGTCAAGCCATTGACTGGTAGAAAATATTTCTAAAGCACGTATCTGATAAAGGATGTGTATCTTGAATATATTTAAAAAATTTCAATACTCAACAATGAAAAAAACCCCAATAACAATTTGACGCAATATATGAACTGACACCCCTAAAGAAGATCTATGGATTGCAGAAAGGCATAGAAAATGATAGTCAACATCAACAGTAAATTGATGGCATCAATGGATACCATCTTTGGATATTTATATGGATTGATAGTAAATTGATGTTGACTATCATCTTCTATGCCTTTCTGCAGTGACACCACATTGTAGTTTTAATTATAACTCACTTAATTGTAATTAAAACAATGTAAGAATCGCTAAAGCCAAAAAATGAAAATATCAAATACTGGTGAGAATGTGAAATAATTAGTACTCTGACATATTCCTGATGAGAACCTGAAATGTTATGCCTGCTTTGAAAAATTGTTTGTCAGTTTCTTATAAATTAAACATGTGTTTGTCTTACTACGTTTGACCCTACTCCTAGTTGTTACCCAAAAGACATGAAAATATATACCAACAGAAAACCCTGTATCTGAGTCTATAGTAGCTTTTTCCACAATAACCACAAACTGGAAAAACTCAAATGTCCTTCAACTAACAAATATAAAAATAAATTTTGATACATCTATCTATGTAATGGAATATTACATAGCAGTCAAAGATACTAAATTACTAATAATATGCAAATACATACACCAATCTCAGAATCAGTGAAAAAAACCTAGCAGAAAAAGCTACTACTTGATGATTCCATTCATATGACATTCTGGAAGAGGCAAAGCGACAAGAAAAAAACGTAAGACCGGGCACAGTGGCTCACGCCCGTAATCCTAGCACTTTGGAAGGCCAAGATGGGTGGATTACCTGAGGTCAGGAGTTAGAGACCAGCCTGGCCAAATGGTGAAATCCCATCTCTACTAGAAATACAAAAAATGAGCTGAGTGTGGTGGCACACACCTGTAGTCCCAGCTACTCTGGATAGTTGACAAAGTTTGGTTTGGAAGGAGAGGATTAACTAAAAAAAGGTCACAAGGCAACTTTTTGTGATAATATGGTGATTACATAACTACACATTTGTCAAAATTATTGACCTTCACATTTTTAGAAGTTAAATTTTACTAAATGTAAAATATATTTCAATAATCCTACTTTTATACACTTCAATTTTCTTTTAAAAGACATATCTGACAGACACATATGTAATCATTTCTTCACAACTTTCCAAATAATGCCTCCAATATACTCAATTATAATTTATATTTAATAATCTCTCATATCCTCTTCCAACTAGTATAAGAAATGTAAGAGACAAATTGGATGTCTTGGTTTCTCAGTTATACTACAAATATGAATATACAACTAAAATGTATTCATATTTATGCTACACAAAATGCAATGAAAAGCCAATTTAATTTTAATCTAATAATTTATAAATAATCTGCACATCATGTCCTGCCAAGCACAGAGGGATACAGTAATAACTAGTAAAATGTTTTCCCCTCCCTCTGTTCTCTTCTGGAGCAACACATAGTTGCATAGATGAAAATTGTCGCCAGCCTCCCAGCTGCTAAGTTTTAATTATGTTATCAGCTTAATACAGTTAATCAGCTGTCAAATTTAAAATATCACTTTCTCTGCTTTTATTATTTCCTAATCGTCCCCACCTTCTTCTTGCAATTAGTGTTTAGCTGCACATAATTTTTTGTTTAATTTTCAACATGCTTCTAGAGCACAGCTGGCACATAATATAACCTTGAAATTTAAAGCTATAATAATAATTATTTTTATTATTACTTTTCACAAAATATATTTTTATTTTATGTGATTAAGAGGACATTTACTTTTCCTTTGTAGAAATTTATGTTGCAATCTGTTAAGTTTCATTTGCAACATTATAGTCATAGAATATTTCTAGTCATAGTTTAAAATGTGTGCCAATATTTTACGTTTTGAGGAGATTTTAGATATGAGCTACACAATATCAACATTCAAAAATAAATATATTTAAGGCCCATACTATGCCAGGCATTATGTTAGATAACTGGGATTTAATAATGTATAAAAACAGATATGTTCTTTGAATATAGAAATACTCTTTGTATACCAAATAATTTAAAATTACTGATTTTTCTTTAAAAATATATGTAATATTTTTAGTCATACAAAATGAATAACAGAAGCACACTTCAATAGGGACAAATTAGACCTCTCTGGTAAAATATCAAGGGCTTAAGTGAAAGTAATGTTGATAAAACATACATTTAGATTTGACACCCAACTGTTAACATCTGAAATTTTATTAAATTAACATATAAAACAAACGAATGATTAGTCCAAATGTAAAAGTTACCAAAATTGTTTCTCCAAAAAACTCTTTTAATTTGAAGATATTTACCTGAAAGAAGAGGTTCACGTATTTTCAGAGAGCATATCTGACTTTTAAAGAACAGGTAATTCTAATGAGATTTTTAAAAGTCTTGTCCGTGAAATAATAATAATAGTAAAACAACAATACCATCAATATAATTGAAAATGTCTTAGTATATTTATAAAGTCAACATTATCATAAAAACATGCAATTTGCAAAAGAATAGGCACACATTTCCATGAAATAAAATAGAGGGTCCAGAAATTTATCATACTACATATAGGATTTCAGTAGATGAATACATTATTTCACAAGCCAAATAAATACCCACATGAAAATAAAACTAGACAATTATCTCCTATGACAATTCATTCAAAAATACATTTTCAGTGAATTAAAAGTTTTTTTATTATCATTCCTTTATTTGTTCATACTTGGTGAGATACTTTTAACTAGGCAGGCAGCAGAAGCTATAAAGGAAGAAAAATGAGCTATTCATAAAAATGAAAACTTAACACATTTTAAAAGCACAGGTAGTGGAAAACAAGACATTAGAAAAAATATTTGCAGTCCAAATTAAATACAAACTCTTATAGTTTATCCGTAAAAACCCTGTGTATAGGCCGGGCTTGGTGGCTCACACCTGTAATCCCAGCACTTTGGAAGGCCGAGGAGGGCGGATCACGAGGTCAGGAGATCGGGACCATCCTGGCTAACACGGTGAAACCCGTCTCTACTAAAAACACAAAAAATTAGTTGGGCGTGGTGGTGGGAACCTGTAGTCCCAGCTACTTGGGAAGCTGAGGTAGGAGAATGGCGTGAACCCAGGAGGAGGAGCTTGCAGTGAGAGCCGAGATAGCTGAGATCACACCACTGCACTCCAGCTTGAGCGACAGAACAAAACTCCATCTCAAAAAAAAAAAAATAAAAGCCAAATGTGTATGTACATGTATATTTATATATACATATATACATATATACATAAAGTTGTATATATATATATACATATTTAAAGTTGCATGTATGTGTATTTATGTATTTAAAACTATATTTACAGTTACTCCAATTAATAGTAGTCAATTAAACTTGACACTAATTACGTGTCATCTATTTCAAGAGTTGGTAAATTTTTTAAAAAGGCAAAATAATAAATATTTCAATCTTTGTAGGCCATATGATCTCTCATATATTCAACTCTGTTACAAAAGCAGCCACAGATAATAGTAAACAGATGGGTTTGGCCACATTCCAATAAGACTTCATTGGGAAAAATATACGGTGAGCTAGATTTGGCCATTTGCCAATCCCTGTATTATTAGAATTATGATTTTTTTTTTTTTTTGAGATAGAGTCTTGCTCTGTCACCCAGGCTAGAGTGCAGTGGTGCAATCTCGGCTCACTGCAACCTCCGCCTCCCGGGTTCAAGTGATTCTCCTCTCTCAGCCTCCTGAGTAGCTGGGATTACAGGCCTGTGCCACTACGCCAGGCTAATTTTTGTATTTTTCCTAGAGACAGGTTTTCACCATATTGGCCAGGCTGTTCTCGAACTCCTGACCCCAGGTAATCTGCCCGCCTCAGCCTTCCAAAGTGTTGGGATTACATGTGTGAGCCTGGCCAGAATTATGATTTTAAAATAGACAAACTTGGGAAGAGAAATAAAAAAGAAAAAATTGCATTCTCAAAGTGATGGCTTGCCGAAGCCTCATCAAAAATTTCTGCTCTTTCTTTTTTAATGTGCAAAGAATCAGAAGTGCTGTGAATTGGCTCTATTTGGGGCTGAGGTGGATGAGAGAAAAAAAAGGAAGGTAATTTGGGGGGATTCATTACTCTATTTGGATTTGTTAGGGAGGAAGGCAGGTGGGATTTTTCTTCTCATTCTTATCTCTTTCCTTCTTCCCGTCCCAGAAAGAAACTAAGAATAATAACCAAATTATTAAAATGACTCACCGCCCTTCCAATAGATTCCCTTTCTCCCTAGAACCTTGCCCTCTTCCCATACTCACACTCCCAAACTCAGAGTTTTGCAAGCAAAGTTGAATTAAAGAATACAATTTGGGGACATAGGTCTGAATGAACACTTCAAATTTCTGACCTCTGAATTTTTGATTCTTAGTTGCTCAGGCAGGGACCATACCTGACCTAAGTTACTCAGTTTCAGACACCAAAGAGCAGGTCAGCACTACATGTACATCTTCTGCAATTTTAATAATAGAGAAGCAGAAAGTATAAGAGAATAGTATTCATCAACTTAAGATATTTACTTCTCTTTACTCCTAATTAAGTGTTTTTGAAGAAGTTCTTGATGTATAAAGTTAATATTTATGTTAGTGATTTCAGTATCTTGTTTAATAACTCTACCCTATGCTCATGTCTTGAAAATATTTTACTATGTAGGCTTTTGTATGTGTATTTGTAATTCATAAGAATTTATTTCTATATACATTATGGGGCTGGAATACTTCGAAACAAAATTCATCACAGACCCAAAAACGGAAATTCAAAAAATTCTCACTTCTCTAAGATACTCATGAGAATATTGTCAGCTGCATATCTATGTCCTCTGATAGGCTGCAACTTAAAGAGCTGTCAATGTTGGCACTTTTAATATCTTTCATATTTGTATTTTATGTATTATTATATTATATAAGAGATACATAACATACATATAGGTAAATAAAATGTATGTATGTATATTATGTATATATTGAGACATTTATATCTATTTAATAGATCTGTATAATATATACATGTATGTATATGTGTATTTCATACATTTCCAATTATAAATTGAAATAAATAGGCAGGGCACAGTGGCTCATGCCTATAATCCCAGCACTTTGGGAGGCCAAGGCGGGCAGATCACCTGAGGTCAAGAGTTCGAAACCAGCCTGGACAACATGGTGAAACCCCATCTCTACTAAAAGTACAAAAATTAGCCAGGTATGCTGGTGGTGGGTGCCTGTAATCCCAGCTACTCAGGAGGCTGAAGCAGGAGAATCAATTTAATCCAGGAAATGGAGGTTACAATGAGCTGAGATAGCGTCACTGCAATCCAGCCTGAGTGACAGAGCAAGATTCTGTCTCAAAACAAACAAAAAAAGTAATAAATAAAATGAATATTTTAAAATATATCTGATGAAGTTATTTGTCTTAATGACTACAGAAACATCATGGATAGTATGCATATGTTTTCAAGCATGCTGAAGTAAATCAACACATATGGAAGAGATAACTTATCTCTGTGCTCATGTGAACAGCATCATGAATATCAGTGTGACTTGACTATAGCAACAACATGGGAAAACTACCAAAATAAATTATACTAAACATGGAAGTGATATTCACAGAAGCAAGATATTTCAGAATGCATCTCCTGCTGTCCAGCTCAGAAAAATACTTAGTCTAGAAACACTAAAGAATTTTATTTTCTTTCCCATATCCTGACTTTATGCTCACCGAGTATAATACTATATATTATATACTATAATATATAGTGATTTTAGTTTTTTTTTCTTTTTTTCTTTTTTTTTTTATACAGAGTCTCGCTCTGTCACCCAGGCTGGAGTGCAGTGGTGGATCTCGGCTCACTGCAACCTCCGCCTCCCCAGTTCAAGCGATTCCCCTGCCTCAGCCTCCCAAGTAGCTGGGACTACAGGCGCCCGCCACCACGCCCGGCTAATTTTTTGTATTTTTAGTAGAGATGGGATTTCAGCATGTTAGTCAGGATGGTCTCGATCTCCTGACCTTGTGATCCGCTGGCCTCGGCCTCCCAAAGTGCTGGGATTACAAGCGCGAGCCACTGCGCCAGGCCGATTTTAGGTATTTTAAGCCAAAAACATAACACTACACAATAAAATTACTTCATTGATATTTGGCTCATAAAATTAATGGGGGTTTGATGGAAGAGAGTTAGAGAACTGGTAGAATTCCATGCAGTTCTGCATTCTAAGTGGCAGGAAGCAGACACTGGGCACTTGGTAGGAGCAGTAAGCTTTTTGTGCCAATACCGCTGGTCCCATGGGTTTGATGCTTCACCCTTTTCACTTACAGCTTGGAGATCAGGGCTTGAGAGGCTATTTAGTCCATCTTAGGTTTAGTGTCTGCCATAAAATGTAGCAGAGGAAAAATATGGCCTCTTATTTCCTTTCATGGAAGATGGCTGTGAGATTGTCAGGCATCAGAGATTGTCACACTGCTAAGTACAAAAATAGGCCTTTTCTTGAAAGGAATATCTAGATAATTATTTTTAAAAATAGAGGAAGAATATAGGCAACAATTGTGAATGTTGGATAACAAATTAAAAGTAAAAATTATGCTACCCAAGGAAATGCTTAATAAGTAACCTGACTTCTCAAATATTCTGTTCCATGAGAAACAGCAGATAGGTTCTTAATAAAGTCATTTCTATCCCAGAAACTGTAAATATAAATCTACATTTTTCATGAATAAGCAGGCATATAGTTTATTCAACATTTATGTCTGAAATTGGTCAGTATAGCCTAATAGTTAACATACCTGTGGATTATTAGACTACCTAGTTTCTCTAACCAGAAGTCTGACCAGTCAATAGTTTTCAAATAATTTGTTGTTCTAGTTTGTTTAGACTGTTATAACAAAATTCCAAAGACTGAGTAGCTTCTATGCAATTATTTAATGGGTACAATGTACATTATTCAGGTGATGATTACACTGAAATCCCAGACTTCACAGCCACACAACATACCCTTGTAACAAAGCTGTACTTATACCCCTTAAATTTATACAATTGTTTTTAAAAGAGAGAAATAAAGATATAAATTAAAGAAACAAACAAAAAGGCAGTAGTGGAGCCAAGATGAAGATGCTGGCTAAATCTGTGTCTGGTGAAGGCCCACTCTCTGGTTCATAGATGGCACCTTCTCTCTGAACTGTCACATGGTGGAAACGGGAACAAGTTCCCTCAGGCCTCTTTTATCAGGACACTAATCCCATTCATGAATGCACTAACCTTATGATCTAATCACATCCCAAAGGCCCCACCTGCTAATGTGATGGTGATAAACATGGGGGTTAAGTTTTGACATATGAATTTTGAGGAACCGTAATACTTCTTCAAACATGAAATCCTGGGACCCATGCTATAGAAAGGTCTGATAATGCATATTTAGCTATAGTTCTTTTTACACTTAGAACTGCACAATAAATTTGTCTGATAAGTGAACTTTCATTGAATTGATTATTTTTCTTTGTGTTTTCTGTCTGGGATGCATTCTTTTAGAAAAATTTCTCTGCAACCCTTGATGTATCAAACCAGAAAAAAAAATTAATGTAAACTGACACACTTAAAAGAAAAAATAAAAACGTGGAAGTAGCTAAACCCAAATTGATTGAAGTTGTAATTTTTCCTCAGCTAATAGTTTTATCTAAGCATTAAACTTCTTGTTATATAAGAAATCTGTTTGCAGGATTCTTTGCAAATATATCACCCTTGGGAACAGCAAGATCACCTTCCTGACCCAATCCTGATGGGCTGTACTCTTCAAGTTTCTCCTGACTAATGTGGACTTTCTGGACGTGTATTGCTGTGTGCTGGCCCTGTCCACATCGAAGTTAGTTTTCAGGCCACTGGCATTTTACCTTTCAAATTTATTGCATACAGACAGAACATGTCTCTTTCCTCTCCTGGGATATTTAACTCAAGCAGTCTTGAACTTGTAGCCTGACCCTAGTAGTCACATTATCAAAGCAGATGGTACAATGCTTTGTCTATTCTGAGAGAGTATTCACCACAAAAATTAGAGTACCCTTATGAATGCCATCTATAATGGCAGAGTCTAAGTTTTCAGAAGGCTTATTTTGTTTTTACATAGGAGAAAAACTACATTCTCATGGAAATATCCAGTGTAAAGGATTCCACATTTGTTATATGCCTGTTATGCTTTTTGTTGTTACTAGTTAAGAATATAAATCCTCTTCCTTTCACTCATGTTTATTTCTCTCTCTGTTAAATCTGTCTCACCCTAAACCCTAGTCCTCTGGACCTATTCAAATTCAATGAACTTTATTACCCCTTGAACAACCACTCACTCCCATAACCATTTCTTAGAATTTGTTTTTTCCTGAACTATTTTGTTCCTGAAGTCACAAACTCATAAAATACTCCCCAACCACAGCCATTTACAAATCCTGTGCTCAGTTGTTCACATGACACTTGCTATATTATTCTCTTCAGGCTGCCATAACAAAATGTCACAGACTATATGGCCGAAATGACAGAAATCTATTCCCTTGCCATTTTGGAGGCTAGAAGTTCCTGATCGATGTCCAATAGCGTTGGTTTCTGAGGAGGGCTTTCTGCTTTCTTCCTGGTCTGCAAATGGCTGCCATCTCTCTGTGTGTTCACTTGATCTCTTCTTTGTGTTTGTTCAGAGAGAGAGAGAGGAGAGCTTTCCAGTGTTTCCCTCTATAAGAATACTAATCCTATTGAATCAGGCCCCACCCTTATGACCACACCGAACTTCATTCACCTTCTTAAAGTTTCTAGTCATCTCCACTTATCCCCGCAGAGGATACCTTCCAAGACTTGCAGTGAATGTCTGAAACCACAGATAGTATCGAATTTGATTGCTGTCAATCAGAACATGTTTTTCATGTCTTCCACCCACAAACATAACGCTTTTTCCATGTTAACTAAGCATTATTCCTGCACCGTGGCTGTAGCTTTTGCAGTTTGAAGTGTGACAACCAAACTGGCACAAATTCCTTTCTCCTTTTTCACAATTTCACAGGTAGAAGATTCATTTTTACCATAGCAATTTCAGCATAGGATATTTTTTTCTTGTTAAGTGAAGAATTTTCACTTAAAGGAAGCACTTTATGGCTGCTCTTTAGCATATCCCAATTGCCTGCATCACTACTCTTGAGCTTTGGGACTGAATAACATACTGAGTAATGTCAGGGTGACTTGAACACAGGCACTGAAATACTGTTACAGGTAGTTAGGAGGCATGAGCCGGGCAGGAGAGGGCTCTTCCCCCACCTACCAGGAATATCAGGTGATGGTTCAACAGTTATCACATGGCCTCTCTATAAATGATAATTTGACAGCAGGTCCCAGGGGTAAGCCAAAAGAGCTTCCAGTAAAATCTCAGATATTGGGAAAGTGAAGCCGGGCATGTGCACTAAGAGACAAAATGGTGAAATATTATTTTCCCAGGACACTTCACCAGAAAAGGGAAAGAAGCTTCAGATGGGCATGAATACAACTTCCTAAACACATTGCATGTGCGCACTTCCCAAGGGTAAGGAGGACACTGCACTGCGCATGCAGGCAGCCCACCCTAAGGAAAGAATCTTGGGAAAGGGGCCAGCTTATAGAGTCCTAGGATCAAGGTTAAACACTGCACTTGACCTTCAGGTGCCCGCTTGGGTCTCTTCCAAGTGAACTTTCCTTTCTTTCGTTCTCTAAAGTGTTTTTATTTTTTTTATTTTTTTATTTTTTGAGACTGAGTTTCACTTTCCTTGCCCAGGCTGGAGTGCAATGGTGCAATCTCGGCTCACCGCAACCTCCGCCTGCCGGGTTCAAGCGATTCTCCTGCCTCAGCCTCCTGAGTAGCTGGGATTACAGGCATGTGCCCCCACACCTGGCTAATTTTGTATTTTTAGTAGAGACGGGGTTTCTCCATGTTGGTCAGGCTGGTCTCGAACTCCCAACCTCAGGTAATCAGCCCGCCTCGGCCTCCCAAAGTGCTGGGATTACAGGCGTGAGCCACTGTGCCCGACCTCTAAAGTTTTTAATAAACTTCCACTCCTGCTCTGAAACTTGTCTCTGTCTCTTTTTGGGGCATATGCACTTCAGTCAAATTCTTTCTTCTAAGGAGGCAAGAATTGAGGTTGCAGCAGACCCGTACGGATTCACCACCAGTAAATTGAGTCCCTTCCACCAGTAACAATACCACAGCAGTTGATCTGGGAATCCAGAGGGATTCTAAGTGTGTCATGGGCGGATAGTGTAGACAGAGTGGACCTGCTAGACAAAGGAAGGATTCACATACTAGGCAAGAAGGAGTGGGATGGCTTGAGATTTCATCACACTCCTTAGAATGAGACACAATTTAAAACTTATGAATTGTTTATTTCTGAAATTTTCCATTTAATATTTTTAGACCATTCTTGACCATGGATAATTAAAACCGTGAAATGCAAAACCATGAATAAGTCAGTGGGGGGAGTTACTGTATTTCCAAATACATTCACACTGAGGGTTAAGGCTTCTACATAAGAATTTGGGGGAAGAGCAAAAACAGTCAGTTCATAAAACTGTTCTGTGCAATAATATCCCATTAAATATCTATATTTTTTCTCCTTCTACTACTTTGTCTATCCTCCCTTTCTGATTCTGCTTAGTATGTATATTATAAATATGATCAAGCCATTTGATAATATCAAAAGGGCGGATGAAATTTTGTGCCACAGAATGTAAGCTGGATAAGGAAATGAAGGCAAGAGAGAGAAAGGAAAGGCATTAAAGAACTACAGGTGACTGTGGAGCACAATAATAATTATCATTATAGAAATGGGCTAGAGAATCAATAGGTGTTTGTAGACAACAATTTTTGATTGTTCAAGTTAAGAATACACAAGTACAGTAGCTTTGATTCACAATCAACAGAACGTTTGCGTAAAGTATAGTGAACATGAAGGGTTATCTCAGGGCTCTGAAAACAATAAAAGGCATGTTTTGTTTTGTTTGTTTCCCTGTGGTTTTTTTTTTTAATAAAACTTTAAAATTATCCAAGACGGTAAGATTTATGTTTGGGAAAAATTATTGAGAACTATGCGTAAAAGTTTCATTGGTTAGAAGAATTTTAAGGGTTAACTAGTGTCTTAAGTATTCTGAAATATTAGAAGTATAGGGAATGCATATTTTCATATGTAGTCTGATTTTAGACTATAATTGATTTAGGTCTATGTATTTTGAAATGACTGAAGTAATATTTTAAATTCCTATGTATTATTTAAGTCTTAGGTTAAACTTTGCCACTTTCTCTTATTACTCCTCTGTACTGCTGTTCATGTTTGGTGGGCCAGTCCTTTCTAGTTTCTTCAAATGTCTCTAACATTGAATATTTTCTACTCCTCTACTTATTTTTGTGTTGGTATGTCTTTCTTATCCACCAGGCTCTTAAGGTACTAATCATAAAGTAGGTAGAGCTTGGCAAAGCTCTTAAGGTAGTAAATATAGTAGGTTTCTTGAATGAATGGATGAATGAATGATGATCTCCTGTTTTAACGTTTTATATTTGGTGTTTGTTTGCTTGTTCGCTTTATTTATGACAAACTCATGTTCTCAATACTGGGAGAGAAAAAATTATTTTAAAAATTAGCACCAAACTTACTTATTTTGAGTTTTAACAACAACAAAAAAAAAAGATTTTGGCATTATTATGAGAGTTCATGTTACCAAAAGTTAATCATTGTCATTTACACTCCAAATGGATAGTGATGTAACTGATGAGTAGTATATTTCTAGTATTGCACAGTAAAAAAGAAATTAATTAAAATAGAAGGAAATAATTCTTGTTCAGAAAATGTTCATTGAATATTATGGATATGTAAATTACCATTAATAGGCACTATGTTTACAGCAGTGAATGAAAGAGAAAAAAATAAAATCTCTGCTCTCATGAAGTTCAGACCCTAGTAAATATATTCATCATTAATCAGTGGCTCTTCTACTCATGTTAAGTTTTTGCGTGTACCTATGAATTGATATAAATACAATTATATTGCACATATTTTTCAATAGCCTATATTGTGCTTTGCAAAGTAATATTTACTTTCACCTATTGTGTTTCTGTTTTTTTTTTCGTAATTGTAGTAATGATTTACAAGTTCAAGGCTCTTAGATCCCTGATCTTATGAAAATGATAATTTAATATTTGTTTTTCCCCGTATATTTAAACCAACACTTCCCACTTCCCAACAACTACCCATACTCTAAAGACACAACCTATTATATCAAAACAGAATTTTTTAGCATATGTCTGAACCGAAGTCATTGTCCAAAAAATAATTTTCAACAAAAATAAAACTGTTTATACTTTAAGTATATAGCACAAGTTGTTGGAAGGCAGTTGAATATGCTCTATTTTCCTGTGTTCTAAAACTAATTTTCAGAAGGTAAAGACAACTTTGTATACAAAAAACGTATGTGGCTTATGAAAACACATTATTTAGTTCCTTGCCCTAAAATCTACTTAGAAATTAAATGATATAGATTTGTTTTAAATTTAATATCTAACTTAGCTGGTTATTTTAAAAACTAATTTATAACGGAAGCTTATGTATTTTAAGCATCGGTTTCAAAGAATCAGCCAGCTTCACAGTCATAGGATGCCCCAGGTACTCTCACACTGTGGCCTTTCATTTTCATGTAATGTGTTCTAGAAAAACAAATTTTGATGTAGTCCCTGCCTTACTCTTAGCCCTCTGTGACTTATAAAATCAAGTAATTAACATAGTTTGAAATAAAATCATTTTACTCCAGATTGTCATAGCACGTTTCTCCTACATCTTTGTGCCTGATTTGACCCATGGTGCCTGACCCTGTAAACGATTGCTTTACATAATACGTGGAGTGCATCACACCACATGACGGTAGCATAAATCTCCCTTTTAACAAACCATGTCACAGTGGGAAGACCTCATTTCACACATTACAGGAAAAGAGACAGTTGGAATCATTAATCAGTGATGAGGGGAAGCACATGTGAAATGAGTTTGGGGTGGCTGAACATTTCTCCAATTACCAGACTATATTCTACTGGGAAAAGATGATAATAAACAGGAGACTGAATATCCTTTGCTTCACTCTTCTAGGAAAGAAAGACAATAATTATTAAAATGAAATGTTCACTGATTTGACACATACAGCAGAAAATGATCTAATGTTCATAGAGTTTGGTAAGTTATTTCTGAAACAGAAAAATATACAGATCTTAAAAGAGCAAAAATATGATAGTGGCACATGTAAATTTCATGATGCAATCCTCTCCTTGTATTTTAATTTCTTCAGAGAAATTAGTTAAGTGCTATCTACCACAATTAGAGAAAAATGTACATTAAATGATTAAGTTGTTATAAAATTAGGAAATGAGAACATGAAGAAGATATTTCTAAGAAAAGAAACAGCCGAGGCTTATTTTATAAAAAAAGTAGTGGTGCCATTTTGAAAACAAGGATCAGGTGGCTTCCTTTTCCAAATGCTAATGACTGTGTGCACACTCATGAGCATATGCACATGCACGCACCAATAGACCTCCTAAGGATCAGCCATCTACAGTATATGTTTGTACTCTAGTTGCATTTCCCTGCTTTCTCCACATTCATACGGATGCATATAGTTAATGGTTGCTGCCCATAATCAGTATTATCCCCTTAGGATAAAATTGTTTCATTTACAAAGAAGCAGACAAAGGGATAATTGTGGTCTAATCTGTAAAGCTCTGTCTATTTTCTGTAATATTTACAATAAGGAAATGTATATGTGTGTGTATATATATGTGCGTGTGTGTATATATGTGTGCATATGTATATATGTTAATTTTTCTGAAGGCAGTGGTGTAAGAAAGAGAAAATACACAAAGAACAATATTAAAATATTTAAATTAAATGTTAAATAGTTTTGTTTTTATTTTTTAATATCTCAAAGTAAAACAACACAAAATCTTAAAACCCTTACAAAGGCTTTCCACATTAATGTTTCCATTTCTTAACATTTTCCCACAAGTTTGAATTCTGATCCTTTGCAATAAAGTCATTTCTTCTAACTCCCTATTATCATGTGACTTTCCACCAACATTTAATGTAACCCTAGCCCTATTAATATAATTTGGTTTAATTCCATGATTATTCCTTCTTGATGCCATATTTTAAAACAATTCTATCTTCTCTCCGGTAAAATGTCCTAAGAGGAGAAAAAGCCATTAGGCTTGGCCTTTGAGGCTCCAAGTCCTTTAAAATTATCTAAGGGTCAGGTCTCACTTCCTCCATTAAGCAAAAATCCAGTAAATGTGGCTTTGAGCATTTCATGTATGGTTTATTTTGACACCTCCATACCAATATATCCTTCTCTTTCTCTCTCTCCTTTTTGTCTCTTTCCTGTCTTTTCTTTCTCTCTTCTTCTTTCTCTCAGCCTTGAGTAACAATGAGAAGCCTCTTAAGTCGGTAGCTGTTGATATGGGAACTGAATGCTACCACATAAGACCATATTCCATGCCTATAAAGACCCTCCCACAAAAAAATGCAAAACCTGCCAATAGGGTAACTTAAAAAAAAAAAAAAAAAAGACCCTCACACACACATACACACCAACATGCACACACAGGTATATTTACAGAAGACTAAAGAGCATACAGGCTATTGATGTTTATAAGAGATTTTAACAATTACATAATATTTTTATGATACCTTAATCATAAGCAAAAATATCAATAAAAATGTGGAAAATGGGCCAGGCGCAGTGGCTCACGCCTGTAATCCCAGCAATTTGGGAGGCCAAGGCAGGTGGATCACATGAGGTCAGGAGTTCAAGATCAGTCTGGCCAACATGGTGAAACCCCGACTCTACTAAAAATACAAAAAAGTTAGCCAGGCGTGGTGATGGGCACCTGTAATCCCAGCTACTTGGGAGGCTGAAGCAGGAGAATTGCTGGAACCCAGGAGGTGGAGGTTGCAGTGAGATCACGCCATTCTAGTGAGATCACTGCATTCTAGCCTGGGCGACAGAGCAAGACTCCATCTCAAAATAAACAAACAACAAACAAACAAAACAAACAAACACACAAAAAACATGGTAAATGCAGCTTATGGGGCACAGAAATCAGGTAAGAGATAAGGTAGAGCAGGGGAATGCTTTTTTTAATTCTAATCATTAAATATGTGTTTAAGTACTTAATTTTTACATTACATTGATTTAAATATGAAAGTTAAAAAGCCATGTTAGGAGGTTATAGCTCTTGATCAGATGACATAAGCACACACCATTCTGTCTCTCCCACTACATGTAGTTATTAAACCTAGACCGAATGCTAGGAACAACTATCTTAAAATTGAATAGTAGGAGGCAGATTGGGGAAGAAGGCCAGGGTTTGAATTTCCATTGAACTAGCTGTGCTTACCTTTTTCTCTCTCCTGCATCCCCATAGCCTGAACTGAATCCCACAACCTGAACAAAAAAGTGAGCACAGGCCTGCTGATAACAAGAGTTCCAGCAGAAGCTGTGGAAGACTGAAAAATGGCCCCAAAGATACACAGGTCGTATTCTCTGAAACCTGTGAATGTTTTTTTTTTTTTATATGGACAAAGGAAATTTGCAGATGTTATTAAATTAAGGATCTTGAGATGGAGGGATTAACCTGAATTAACTGGATGGGCCCTAAATGTAAATTACACAAGTGTCTTTAGAAGAGGGAAATAGAGAAAGATTCGACTGTAAAAGAAAATAAGGCAATGTGATTTGTGAAGCAGAGATTGGATTGATAAAGCCATAGGCCAAGGAATGCTAGTGCTATCAGAAGGTGGAAGAGGCAATGAATAAATTTTGCCCTGCACTCTCCAGGAGGACCAGCACTGCCCACACCTCAATTTTAGCACGTAAAACTCCTCTCAAACTCTGGAACTACAGAACTGTGAGAGAACACATTTCTGTTGTTTTAAACCACTAAGCTTAGGTAATTTTTTATAGCATGCTTTAAACTAATAAAGAAGCCATCTGGCCACATGGTTAAGTAATGGAACTCCAGATGCTGAGAGAAAGTGGAGGATCCCTCCAACTTTTTTGGTTAATATTTTCTTTGTTGTTTCTTGTACTATGCCTAAAGAAATTCTTTGGCAGTGACATCGGGGACACCAACAACATTCCGTCTCCCCAAGAGAAATCAAACTCTAAGGAAAGAAAATATTTTTATTTCAGAGTTGAGGAGCTGTGGCCCAAAGGCTGTGGGGTGAATATTCATTTTTATTTTTCTTTATCTTTCCATGTGCTGCTTTATCCCAGATATGGGCACATTTGCAGAAAGTGCAACAGAATGAGCTAAGTAATGCCCAAGCTTTCTGGCCAGAAGATAGAAGAGAGAAGCTTCAGAGAACAGAAATTAGTTGAGAGATTTTCCAGAGGGAGGGGCTTTAGAAAGTGAACTCTTATTTATGATGAAAAACTAAATGTAATAAAGTGTAGTAGAGGAAATAGTAATGATTTCTTGTACGTTTTAGATATTTTTTGAATGAGTTGTGACTGATGTGATTCTGATAATTTTCAACAACATGTCATATTTTATTTAAAAGAAAAAGCATGTATTTATATTTATATTCTAATACATGCAATCTTATAATAAGGTTTTGGTCATTAATTGGCCCTGAACACTTTATATGATCATTATGATCTGACTTGTCTAGATTATTAAGCAATTCACCATATCTAAATCACTACTATTCATTTAATTTCACTTCATCAAACTATAGTTAATAAACTAAGACACCAGATAAAAAACTTGAACCATATTGACATTGAATAAAGAAATATACAATACTCTGGCATATAGTTAGCCTTTAATTTTAAAGAAATAAGAAAAGGAAAAAAGGTGAAGTATTAAAACAGAAATGAAAATCTTTACCTATAGTAACAAAGCCTTACCTATTTCTTGGACCATACCCAGAAGTAAGTTATATGAATAAGATAATAAAACTTTCAGGTTCACAGATTAAAGAAGAAGTGAAGGACTGAGAAATATCTGAGCACATTTATATTTCAGAAACAAGTGGGTTGTGTGTCAGAATTGTGTTCCTGAGTCAGTTGTTTTGGACTTAAACACACATCTCTTTTACAAACATTGTTGTCCATGGGATTAGCTCCCCAAGCTACTCTACAAAATTCTCTTTTCTATAAATTACCTGAAGAAAAATATGAATCACACATCTCTATGTATACTGTGATTCCAGATTTTCCAGTCACTGTGCTTCATTACCCAGAGTTGACATCTCAAAATCTGTTTCCCCTCCACACGTACCATAGTCATACTAAATAATTAATCTAGGTTCACACTTTTCTACTTCATCAACTTACCTTCAGCCATTAAAAGTATAAAAAAATCTAAAAGCACCTAAATAAAATCAAATAAGCCTAAATGCTTCACTCACACTTATTTGGTTATTTGTACAACATTTGTACTTCTCCCTTAAAGCAGCCTACTTTGGCTATCAGAATCATTTGGACTAAAATCCTGAACTTCTTTGGTTTGTTGGTCTGCTTAATGCTTCCTTTTCCTTAATCTACTTTTGAAATTTCAGGGACATTAATTGCTACTTTTTGTTGTTGTTGTTGTTTGTTTTTGTTTTTGTTTTTTGTTTTTTTTTGGATGGAGTTTGGCTTTTGTTGCCCAGGCTGGAGTGCAATGGCTCAGTCTTGGCTCACTGCAACCTCTGCCTCCGGGGTGCAAGCAATTCTCCTGTCTCAGCCTCCTGAGTAGCTGGGATTACAGGTACCTGCCATGACACCCGGCTAATGTTTTTTTTTTTTTTTTTTTTTTTTTTGTATTTTTTTAGTAGAGATGGGGTTTTGCCATGTTGGCCAGGCTGGTCTTGAACTCCTGACCTCAGGTGATCTGCCCACCTCAGCTTTCCAAAGTGCTGGGATAGGAAAAAAAAAAAAAACAGTTTTGGTACTCTATCTTCATTATCAAATTTACCTAGTTTATATGGCTGCCAAGCTATACCATATTTGCCAAGTTAATTCTTTCTCTTATTCTCTGCAGAGAAATATTGTTTCTTTAAAATAGCCAACCCTTCCTTTTCATGACTAAATTTGCTTCCTACATTTCAGATTGAAACTGCTTCAAACTTCAGCCATTATAACTGTAAATATATTTGAAACCACATTCCTTCATCAGTCAAGTTTGAGTCAAGAAAGTACAAAGTGCTCTAAATATTTCAAACTGGAAGGGATAATATTTAAGTTAGGTATTAGCAAGCCTATAGAAGAGCTGGTAGAATGAAAGACAGAGAATAATGCCACTGTTTTTCAGAAAGTGAAGAAGCTGCCACCAATAGCCTCGGCCACTAACAGCACTAAAGTACATTTGTTAAATAAAATTTCCAGAATTAGGGAGAAATTTGTGTCTACTTTCTGCTCTTGGGACTCCTATCCTTCTGGAAGACAATTATAGCTTCCAGTCTGTGTATGTTATGCACGTACCTCTTGATGGTGGAATCTAACCTGGCATTATGTTAGTTAGAAATCTGAGAAAAACCATTCTCAGGTTTCCAGTCCGTATGATACCAGGGAGAGTGTAGAAGTTGAAATTGCTGAAGCTTAATTGACTACCAGAAATCTGGCTCACCACTCTTTACTTTTGCCAACAATTGCAGTGGAAGATATAGCTTTCTCAGGGTGAGAAATAAGACTTCATATATTCTTTGTATTGCATCCATTTCTGTGCTCTCTAGAGACATTTTTCTATCAATTTTCCCTTCTGTTACCAACGTCTTCAAAATATTTCTGTTTGCTGGATCCCATCAGCATTTAAACAAAATCAGTTTTTCTCTCACCTTAGAGAAAAAATCATTAATAAAATTTTATGCATCCCATGTACTCAGTCTAATTAACATATAAGTTTTCACTTTTGTGAAGTCAACCAAAATGTTTAATATTTCTTATGTAATTTCTCTAAAAGTAAGTAATATCTACATTTATATTACAAATAGTTTTTACCATTTCAATATACTGAATGCTTCTAATAGTGAAAAATAGTTTGGAAGTTTTAAGCATATATGCTAATAATTATATTATAGTTTTCAATAATGTCCTATAAGTTGCTACAATGAAAAGTCCTTCAAAAATTAAATCAGGGCTAATCAAGTAAGTTTTATTTGTCCTGTGGGATATTGAAGAAAATTATCACAGTTAAAGTGTAGATAAAGCAGCTCCATGTTTTGTTACAGAGAAAAGTTTAAGTTACAGCCTCCTAAATCCAAATAGTTGGAATGATTATGTCTGAGGAAGTGTCATGTCAGATCTTCTAGAAGCACAGCATCTGTCCTAAGTCCTCGCTATACTGCAGACACTGATTATACATTAGAGATCTCTTATTCTTGTCAGTGTATCTCCTTAGTGTCAACATTTTTCAATGAACAAACAATCTGGTACTTACGATTAAGTATGCACCACATTTGTGAATTAAAAATATCCGGCCGGGTGCGATGGCTCACGCCTGTAACCCCAGCACTTTGGGAGGCCAAGGCGGGGGGATCACAAGGTCCAGAGATTGAGACCATCCTGGCTAACAGGGTGAAACCCTGTCTCTACTAAAAATACAAAAATTAGCTGGGCGTGGTGGTTCCTGTAGTCCCAGCTATTCAGGAGGCTGAGGTAGGAGAATCACTTAAACCCAGAAAGTGGAAATTACAGTAAGCCAAGATCGTGCCACTGCACGACACAGCGAGATTCTGTCTCTAAAAAAAAAAAAAAAAAAAAAAAAAAAAAAAAAAAAAAAAATTCCACCCATTGCACTAAGGCTACCTAGGCTAAGAGCTGAATTTAAGTCTATTTTCAAACTTAAGACTGTGAAAATAGAATAGGAGTCAGTTTCTTGGAAGTCTCCATGAATTACGCTGATAAGACCTTAGACCAGCTATGAGATTTATTCTGTACTTTTGAAATAGCTAAGAATACAAAATACTATGCAGTTTTATAGAAAAAAAGTTATTTTGGAATTTACTTTTAACTTACATAATTATAATGTTAATGTCTTACTGTAATGAGAAAAATGAAATCTAAAATTAGAATCAAAACAAAAGATGAGTTGCTGCCACTGGCTGTCAATAATCAGTTAAGTGAAGATATGTTGTACCAATAGAGTACCATTGGTATATGTTATACCAAAACTCTTAATCTGAGAATTTCTCATTCAACAATTATTCATTTACTAGGCAATGAATGAGGACCTAGAAAAATAAAAAAATACTAAGAGCAGTTATCATCTTTTGTAAGAGTGACATTTACAGTGTATTAGTCAGGGTTCTCCAGAGAAACAGAACCAATGGAGTGTGCGTGTGTGTGTGTGTGTGTGTGTGTGTGTGTGTGAGAGAGAGAGAGAGAGAGAGACAGAGAGACAGAGAGAAAGAATGAGAAGAAGGAAGGAAGGAAGGAAAGAGAGAGTGAAAGAAAGAAAGAAAGAAAGAAAGAAAGAAAGAAAGAAAGAAAGAAAGAAAGAAAAGAAAAGAGAAAAGGAAGACTTATTATAAGAAAAGATCTCCTGTGATTATGAAGGCTGACAATCTGAGTATTTCTGGGGTGAGTTGAAATGTTGGAGGCACACACAGAAGAACCAATAGTGTAGTTCCTGTTTGAGTCCAAAAACTTGAGAACCAGGAGAGCTGATGGTGCAATTCCAGTTTAACAACTAGCAGGATGAAGACCAAGGAGGAGCTGATATGTCAGTCTCAGTATGAAGGTAGGAAAAATTCTCCCTTACTTGGAGGAGGTTCGGCCTTTTTGTTCTATTTAGCTCCTCAGCTGATTGGATGAAGCCCACTCACATTAGGGATAGCTAGCTGCTTCATGGTCATCCTCCCTTATCTGCAGTTCTGCAGTTCCATTAACCCATGGTCAAGCATGATTCGAATATGTCAAACAGGAAATTTCAGAAATAATTCATAAGTTTTAAATTACATGCCATTTGGAGCAGCATGATGCAATCTCACAGCATCCCACACCTTCCCTGGTAGGACGCTAATCACCCCTTTGCCAACAGATCCATGCTGTATACACCGCCTACCCCATTAGTCACTTAGTAGCTGCTTGGTTCTTAGCTTGGCTTTTGCAGTATAGCAATGCAGCAGCAGTGCTGGTGTTCGAGGACCTCTTATTGTACTTCACAATGGCTCCAAAGTAGAATAGTGGTGATGCTGATAATTCAAATATGCCAAAAATAAATTTTAAAGTGCTTCCTTTAAGGGAAAAAGTGAAAGTCCTCAACTTAACAAGGAAAAATATTGTATGTTGAGGTTGCTAAAATTTTCAGTAAAAGCAAATTTTCTATCCACGGAATTGTGAAGAACAAAAGAAATTCAGGATAGTTTTGCTGTCCCACCTCAAACTGCAAAAATTACAGCCACAGTGTGTGATAAGTGCTTGGTTAAGATGGGAAAGGCTTTACATTTGTGGGTGGAAGAAATGAACAGAAATATGTCCCAACTGACAGCCATGAGATTCAGAACTATTTGTGGTTTCAGGCATACACTGAAGATTTTGGAAGCTATCTCCCTTCCAAGGATAAGATGAAACTACTGTACTCAGTGTACCAATGCACAAGTTTATCTCATCCAAAACACCCTCACAGAGAGACCCAGAATAATACTAAATAGCTAAGTACCCAGAGGACCAGTTACACACAAAATTTATAATTACCTGTAGTTAGAGTCCAGTATAGTAAAAATTTTTGATATCTGCATAGAATGCTGTCAAATATATAGAAACTGCAGTTTTAATGTATACAGTGACTTAAAATTTAGAGTAGATTTTCATAATTTTTTATACCATTGAATCTTAACAATTTTTTATGGTATATACTCTTACCTTTATTTTTCGAAGTGACTATATATATAATTAAATTCTACTTTGATTGTTACAGAGGATGACATTTTTCTGTTATGTTAATTTTATTTAAATTATATTTATGAATTTATTTTCCATATATTCCATACTGAAAACTAGTTTATAGTAGTTTTTGATATATGCTAATAATGTTTATAACTAGAATATAGTGTTTTCTTCTGCAGCATTTGCTGATTGAATAAATACATATTACTATTGGTTATATGCTGGTCTACAATGCTCTAGTTTGATACTATATCCAGATGAATACAGGTACAAAATGATAAGTGAGTAATTAATGAATAGATGCCGTTTAATTATACACAAGTGCAGGGTATAGAGCTTCTGTTTGATATCACAGTTGATTTCAGTAGAGCTAATCACCAATATTATAAAATTAACCTTTCTAAATATTTTAACAACTTCTGAATTTATCATTTAAAATGGTACATGATTAATAAAAGGTCAAATTATTCTGTGATCATCAGAAGCTCATATGTATATTATCCTTAAGACATAGATTTTCAAGTTAAATATTTTAGTATCCACATAAAGAAATTATCTAAACATCAGTGGTATTCCTCTTTGACAAATAAAACCATAGTACTTGAAAATTTCTTTATTATTTTGATAAATGTTGAGACTTATACCATAGCCACTTGGATTGGAAGTGTTTATCATGGAAGAAAAGGGTATGGGCTTTCTAATCAAATAGTCTAGAATATTCTTTTAAGCTTTAGCACTTACGAGTGACATAATCTCAAGCAATTTACCTCCTAATGTTCAGATAGGTGGGTGATAGACAGGTACACATCTAGTACAGAGTTTGACACAGAATAATTGCTAAATTAATACAAGTTTATTCTTTCCCATAAATTTTGCATCTTGTTGAATTGTGTGTATTATCCATGGGTTGGAAAACACAGAGTGAAAGCCAGAGAGAGAGAGAGAACGCGAGGGAGCACAAAAGAGTATCTCTGGGGAAAACCTAACTATCTGCATACAAATGCTGCCTCCACTTTCGTTATGATTAAGTTAAAAATAAATTATTGTTGTTGATTAATATATTCAGAAATAAACTTTTAAGTTAAACCATTGCTATTTTATAATTCAAATAACAATAGTTTACTTTCCATTTTCTTCAAACTTATAAAATATATTAATAATTATATGCCTTTAAAAGTAAACTCTCTCTATATGGAAATGGAAATACAATATATTGTTTAAGATTGAACAGTGGTAACATAAACACTGGGGATTAATGAAGTATCTCTTCCTTTCCTTTATGCTTTCTCTACTAACTTATACCTTTCTCTAGTAAGGCACAGGTAACATTTTATATTCATACTTTGACAATAAACTTTATATAAAAAATTTGCCTTATCAAACCTAACAATGAAAGATCTGCCACAATCTAACAGCACAATACTTGCTTATTCAATTCAATCATTCCTATATTCAAATTAAAATTATATTTCATCTTAAGTTCTCAATTTGCTACTTGAGTACCATAAAACAAGCTGGATTATGATCATCATCATATCCAACATATTCTGAAGACATGGGAGATGACTGCTAATCAACTATGAAAAAATTCTGACTATAATACTAGCAGTAAGAACAGGTGAGGGGCAATTACAATTCTGCAGAGGGAAAGAAACACAATGTAACACACATGATTGATGTTTCTCCACTTAGCTTATTTTTAATAGTACAAACATGGCCAATTTTTATTTATTTCGACAGGCTTTAACACATGCACATTTGAAAAATTTTAATAGTCTTGATATTTTGTTTTTCAGAAGCGAATATAAAAACATTCATATTAATGTTACACTTTTAATGCCTTTTCTGACTTTTTAAAAGAGAGACTCAAAATGCATTCTGATCCATATTAAAATGTTTGTTTTGTAACAACAAGCCCTATGACATTATGTCTTACAATATTATGTGTGCTAATCTCCCGAGACCTCTTGCCTTAATAAATTGTCAACCAACTGGGAGGTGATTTTCATTCTTGACATTCAAAAATCCCACTTCAAAGTAAAGTGCTGTCATAATGGGAAGCTTAATTCAAATTAACTAAAATCAGAGAGTCAGAGTTTTCTGAAAGCAAAACAGAATCCAAGAAACTTTTGTCATGTAAGCACTCTGTTGTGGTGAATTCCCATAGGTTTATGTTGTCTTGGCATCCATTTTGAATACAAGTTTAATTTCTTCATACCAGAAGCAGAGTCCAATTACCCTTAACACCGTTTCTAGATCTACATCCCACTGACACGGGTCAAACATGGGCCAGAGATAAGAACTTAGAAACATCTTTTCTGACTAGTATATTTGACTCCCTGCTTTCTTGCCACTTTTTTAAAATGGAAAATTTAGGCATTTGTCCTTGAACTTGAAGTCACCCACACTCTATTCCCTTTTATATACCACTAGTTACCACTCACTCAATCTCTCTCTGTCTTTTTGCTTGACTCTTCATTCCTGTCTTGGATGACCCAGGGACAGAGGACTGCCCTCATTATTCTTTCCCTGCCCAGGTTCAAGTAGAAATCTTTGAACTAGTTTCCTGTCATGGTGGTATATGGAATATGTGCCTTCCACTTGGAAAACTAGGGGCTTCTCCAGCCCAGGATTTCCCTGGAACACCAGGGGGAACACAAGGTCAGGCTCTCAGCACCACAGTGATGGTCAGACAGGCATAAAACTGGACATGCTCACACAAGAACCACACACAAGGGCCTCTGACAGTATAAACAAGTTTCTTGTGCAAGGACCTGTACTCCGTTTCCCAGGTATCAGATTGGACCACTAAGCATAAGGCCATGTGCCAGGTAAAAGAAGTATCTCATGGCAGACACCCTGTAAACACTCACATCCTGTTCCTCTTCATTTCATGTTAAGACAGGGTTGCTAGGGTTGCTAGCCACTCTGGTACTGGAATCCCAATTTAGCTAGGCACTCTCAAAGCATCTATAAAGTCTAATTCTTTTTACTTTTATTAATGTTTGTACAATATCAAGTTAACATAAATGTTCTCTTACATGTGTGCCTTTCATAATACTAATTCTTGTAGAAATGAAAGCCTCTCTAAAGCCATTTTAAGAATTTAAATAACATATACAAGCACAATTACCTTGAAGATCTGAGAATGGTATCTCCAGCTAATGCTGTTATTCCTTAGTGGTATTTGCCTAAGTGAAGTGAAAAATAGTCAAGAAGGGATGTAGAGTTGTTTGCAGGATGCTTTTATGAACTTAACACATCAATTGAATCAAGTCACAAGGTAGACACCTGTGTCCAAAAAGCCCTTTTGAATGTCTGACAACTAAATGGCCAAGTAAATATAAATATTTTTGTCTTGAATGCTTTCTTGAGAAAATGTTTATTAGTTTTCATATGGATGATGGTTAAGCTATTGCATATATTTATTTTAAATCGTAAACACTATTGCTATATTTACTTTTCATTTATTTAGAAGCAAATATATTGCAGGATAATATGTTAACTTTGAACTATAAGTATGAAATTTGAAGTATTGTCCACTAAGATTAACTTTTATATACTTAATAGTATTGCCATTTTTTTCTGATAGAAAAATTAAAAGTGATAGTCACCTAATTATCACTAAATAATTATAGAAAGGTTTATACATTTATAGTTTTAAGTAGGAAAGGAAGCAAACAGTTATTCAGCTACTACATTCAAATAGTTTATAATTTATCATCCCTTTCTAGGTAATATTGCAGTTTATATTTACTAACAAAGAGTTATTTATTTAAGAATATGTAATAACATAAATTGAATTTATAAATAGTGAATTCAAATTATTGCATGTACATTTTAGTGTCAGAAGGAAATTCAGATGGTAGTACCATTTAGTAAATAATTGTTTTGGGGCTGATCTTTTTTGAAAAAATAAAAGTAGTCTCTTCAGTTAATCAAATAACTAGTACTAGATACAAGTATTGAACACTTGAAGAAACACAGGTGTTTCCACAAAATTTAAAGAATAATTATTTCGTTCCCCAATATGTATGGGTGTCAGTGTTTTATCCAGAAGGAATAATATCACATTTAAGAATTAATTCAAAGAATAATAAATAAAATATAGTATCATAATAAAAAACATTATCAATAGGGAAAACAAAAGCCTTGATAAGACCATAAAACTAATGATCAATTATAGATTTGTGTAGTTAATTTTAAAATATTAATAAAGGCAAAATAAATGAATATGGATTTTTATGTGAAATATTATAGTGATTTCTTTTTCCAAAATCCTAGGTAATATAAAATAGAATGGGATATTTTGAGAATTGTTAATAATGTCTTGAAACTAAGCATAGTTTATGGAAGAAAGCAATGTGGGTTTTAAAATTTGTTTTATTGGCCGGGCACAGTGGCTCACACCTATAATCCCAGGACTTTGGGAGGCCGAGGTGGGCGGATCTCCTGAGGTTGGGAGTTTGAGACCAGCCTGGCCAGCATGGTGAAACCCTGTCTCTACTAAAAATACAAAAATTAGCCAGGCATGGTGGCAGGTGCTGTAATCACAGCTACTCGGGAAGCTGAGGCAGGAGAGTCACTTGAACCCGGGAGGCGGAGGTTGCAGTGAGCTGAGATAGCGCCACTGCACACCAGCCTGGGGGACAGAGTGAGACTCCATCTCAAAAAAAAAAAAAAAATTGTTGTATTAAAATTTATGTAGATCAGCGGCTCTCAAATGTGACCCTTGTTAGAAATGCATATTTTCAAGTCTACACCAAATTATGAATCAAAATTCTTCAGTGGGGACTTGCAATCTTGTAATCTGTCTTAACAAAAAGTGATACTTTTTAAAGAAATGAATGGACTAAGTTTGTAAAATGCCCAGCGTGACATCTTGAATATATAAAAGCTCAAATGTATTGAAATTGCTTACAATTGCTACTCTTACAATTTTTTATAATTGCTATATTAATATTGTATTAATTGTATTTAAAAATATTTTTAGACTCATTTTGACTGAAGTCTTTTTTTATTGATCAGCATTATTTGTCTAATATTTATGTAGTATTGGTCTATGTCTTGAATTTCTACATGGAGGTATTGATTGATCTATGCACATACATCATCATTAGACTGATTTTAATTTTAACCCTTTGTATTACATATTACATTGTACTACCTTAGTGAGTACATCTTCTTGTTATCTTTCAATACATTCTTATATCATTCATTTGTGGTTCTGTGGGTTTTTTTTGTTTGTTTCATTTTTAACTCTTGTATATACATGACATGGTATTATATTCTGAGAAAACTGCAGTAGATAGTACAGAGTCCCTGTCTCACAACGTGTAGTTTTCAGTGAGAGAGACAGATCATGTGGTTTCACAAACCACTTTAGTAATTATCTCTTGCTCTCTAAGTAGGATGTATGATCTCTGTCCCCTTGACTTCTTAAGTATCTTTCTAAGAATTTCTCAAAATTTGCTACTTTAGATCATGAAATATCTTGCAGATAATTGGGAGAAGAAAAGGTGTTATTCTTTCCAATCTTAAAAAAATAATAATTAGAAAAATCTCTCTCCAACATTGTTTTCCTCTGTGTATTCTAGTATTCTGCCAGCTGACTATGATTTTGTGATTGTTCTTGTGATGGTTAATTTTTATATGCCAACTTGGCTCGGCCAGTGTCTTAGTCCATTTATGTTGCTATAAAAGAATTCCACAGACTAGGTAATTTTTTAAAAAAATAAATTTATTTCTCACAGTTTTGGAGACTGGGAAGTCACATATCAAGGTACCAGCATCTGGCAAGAGCCTTCTTTCTGCATCTTCCCACAGCAGTAAACAGAATGGGAAGAGTGCATGAAAGAGGGAGTGGAAGAAGCCTATATTTATTCTTTCAGCAGGAACCAACTGTTGCAATAACTAACCCACTCCTGGGATAGTGACATTAATCTATTCATGACCTAATCCCCTCTTAAAGGTCCCACTTTTCAACAATGTAAAATTGAGGATAACGTTTTCAACACCAGAACTTTGGGGGACACATTCAGACCACAGCAGCCAGGTTGACATGTTTGCTCAAGCATTATTCTGAATGTTTCTGTGATAATATTTTTTGGTGAGATTTACATTAGGCTGGTGGACTTTAAATAAAGCAGATTTTTCTCCATGATATGAGTCAAGCGTATTCAATCTGTTGAAGGCCTAAAGGGAGCAAAAGTCTGACCTCCCTCTAGCAAGAGGGAATTATCCAGATGTCTGCAACATTGGCTCTTCTTGAATTCTCCAGAAGATGGCTTTTGTACTTAAGCCACAACTCTTTCCTGCGTCTCCAGCTTGCCAGCCCTCCCAGCCTCCACAAATAGATGTTGGACCCATCAAACCTCCACAATTACGCGGCCAATTTTTCAAAATAACTTATACACACACAAACACACACACATATTTACTTGTGTTTGTATAATTTATTTTGAAAAATTTATTTTGAAATATATATATAAATAAGATATACATTATGTATTACATTTAGATAAAGTAATACATACATACACACCCTTTTTGGTTCCGTGTTTGAAGAATCCTAATACAGTGATTGTGAGGGTGTGTGTGTGTGTGTGTGTATTTAACTGTGTGTCTTGAGGGCCTATGCAGTTCCTCTGATAGCATATGAAATATATGGCAGGGGCTGCTTCATGACTAAGGTTAACTCCCTAAATGATTGTGAGTCCGACTGTAACTGCTTGTATGGCTGTGCTTGTGTTTTTCTATGGATGTTTGTGTTTTGGGGGTTAGTGTTAGGATAATAAGTGTATTTACATGGTATGAGGCAGAGAATTGTTTATTTGTGAGAGATTCACTCTCACCTTCTGCTGCTAAAAAATTAATGTAATTCTGTTATGTGTAGAATAATAATAATGATAGGTAAAATTATAAACTTAGATATATTTATTCAACCATTATTTTTGTATCAGATATTTATGCGTTACATCGTATTGTTAATGTTAGAGTGAAAATGGTGAACACAAATATTTCATATTTTTATGAGATGAAGAGTCAGGTGGGGCCCTAAGAGATGACAAAAAACAGGCTCAGGAAAACAAAATTTATTATACTAATAGGTCTTAGAGACTGGAGGCATGGCATGACACTCAGGGCCACAAGAAAAAGACACCACGCTGGGCAGGAGAAAAAATGGTGGCAAGGAGGAGGCTTGGATTAGAGCCTTTATTGGGATTTCTATGAAAAAGAAAAAGCAGAGTTCACTGGGGCGGGGGACTCACCTTGCAGACCCAATGGGATAGGGGAAGTCTGGCCTTTTGGAACCACTGGGGTGGGAGTACCATCATCCAGAACTGGGGGTGGAGGTCCCGCCCCCACAGCTCTACCCGGCAGAGGTCATACCTTCAGGACTCTGCCAGGTGGCCCTGTCTTACAGCTCTAGGTGGCTGTGACCCCACAGCTTTGGGCAGTAGCCAACTGGCCTTTGAAAATAAGGCATTGTACCCTCTCTTGAAACCAAAAATGCAGCCCTAATAATCTCTGAGTCACCTTTGGTGTCATTTTTTCCTCTGCTTGAAGAATAGTATATGTTCTCAGTCTAATAGCTCTGTGGTCCCATTCAGAAAAATCTCAGAAGTCCAACAGTCTATTTTTATTCCTTACCATCTTCTTCCCCTTCAGTTCCAGCTGATAGTTTTCCTCCTGGCATGGCTGATTTAATTCACAGTTTACACTCATACTAATCTTTTTGTCAGACAAATGTTTGGCCACACTCTTAGTTCTCCCCTAAATATACTTATTTAGATTTTACAATATGGATAGGATGAGAAATTTTCAAATCTTTTAAGTTCTCTTTTTGCTCTGCTTACCAATTTTATCTATAAGTCATTTATCTCTTCTTGAATTTTATTACAAGTAGTCAAGCCGAACCAGACCACTCCTTCAAACAGTTGACTTAAAAATTGCTTCAGCTAAATATCCAGTTACATTGCTCAGAAATTCTCCCTTTCACAAAATACTAGAATATGAACACAATTCAGTCACGTTCTTTACCACTTTATAATAAGGATTGCCTTTTCTCCATTGTCCAATAGCTTGTTGCTTGTTTCCATCTGAGATCTCATGAGAAGAGCCTTTCTTATCTACAGTCCTGCAAACATTCTGTTCAAAATTACTTAGATATTCTAAAAGAAGACTGAGGCTTTTTATAGAGCTCCTCCTTGTTTTTTTTCTGGTCCCTCATCAGAACCACTCTTCATGGTTCAATTATGGCAATGCAGGCTTCTAGCATTCACCTCAAAACTCCTCCAGTCTCTGCACATCACCCAGTTCTAAAATTGCTTCCACATTTCTAGGTATTTGTTACAACAGCACCCCCATTTGTCAGTACCAATTTCTATCTTAGTCAGTTCAGGCTGCTATAACAAAAATAGCATACACTGGGTAGCTCATACATGTAAAGAAGTATTTCCCAGTGTTCTGTAGGCTGAAAAGTCCAAGGTCAATGCACAAGCAAACTCAGCATCTACTGAGGGCCTTGTTCCTATGGCTTATAGATGCTCATTTTCCAACTGTGTCCTCACATGGCAGAAGAGATGAGGAAGTTTTCCAGAGTCTTTTCTATAAGGTCACTAATCCCGTTCTTGAGGGCTCTGCCCTCGGGACCTAATCACCTATCATAGGATGCATCTCGTATTACCATCATTTTAGGAGTTAGAATTTTAACACACAGATTTTGGGGAGACACCCACATTCATTCCATAGCAGTAAGAGAGGCTGTATTTTTCTCATAAGAAAATGTTTTATTGTTTGTTTTCTGTTTTTATTTAAAATGTCATAACCTGATGGCATGCCAAAACTATACATATATATACACACATATACACAAAACAATAAACAATATAGTCTTATTGACATTATTATAGTTTGTTAAAAGGTACAGCAAAGAACAAGTAAGTAGAAAAACAATTACTAATTTCGCTTGGTGCTGTAAAGTAGAACAAGTGAGATTGTACTCAAGTGTAAGAGAGGAAGGCGATCAATACATGACTCTCTGGGAAGGTAATATTTAAGGTGAACATTGAAAAATGAAAAGGAATTAATTGTGCAAAGAACTGGGGTGAGACTGACACTAGTGGAGAAAATAGTGGTCATAGCCAGGGCAGGAGAGAGCTCAGCTGATTACAAATAGAAAGATCATCATTGTGAACTACAGTATTTGGTTATTCCTTGAGTCATCTTTAATGTGCCAACAAAAAACACACTTGCCAAACTTGTCAGCTATCCAGACCTATGTATTTATTTTTAGCAACTGAACAACCAAAAAAAAATTTAGAATTAAAAATGGCTTTTTAGACCTCAGAATTCATAAATGTTAAGTGATGAATTTCAACTTAGCACTTAACGAATCCAAACACTTCCTACATCAAGATCTACCTAAACTCTGTTCTCTAACATTTATATTCACATCTTCCCATTTTGGGAGGCTGAGGAGGGAGGAAAGCTTGAACTCAGGAGTTCAAGACCAGCCTGGGAAACAAAGTGAGGCCTCATCTCTATGAACAATAAAAAAATTAGCCAGGCATGGTGGCACGTGTCTGTGTTGCAACTACATGGAAGGCTGAGGTTGAAAGGTTGCTTAAGCTCGGGAGATTGAGACTGTGGTCATCCATGTTTGTGCCACTGTACTCCAGCCTGGGTTAGAGAGTAAGACTCTCTCTCAAAATAATTAATTAATTAATTAATTAAAAAGTTCACTTTTTCCTAGGCCTACCTTTCCAGTCACTTCTCAGTTTACCTTATTTATATGGAAATGTGTTTTTGAGAAATTACCTGATTATTTTCTGAGCTCAAGTTTTTTTCTCATATCTAATATTTACCTTACTTATTGTTTTTGCTTTTATTTAGCTCTCTAAAATGTATCCCCGATTTGATTTCCAGCTTAAATCCTACCAGAATAACTATTCAGCCTACCCAGAATAAATTATGCTTTCATTTTAACTCTTATATTGAATATCTGTAACATTTAATTAGCTATTAACCAAGCACTGCCTTCTATTAAGTCCTTGAGTTGTTCTTGCTCTTGTTATTTCTATACTTACGTATTTAAGCTTCATCTCACTGTTAAATCAAGTTTAGCCTAAAGCTGCCTCCTTACATATTTTAAATTTGGCCCAAAGTTTTCTCTGTACATAATGAACTATAACCTAAATAGAGTCATAAACAGACTTCAGACTACTGTCGTGCCAGTCACTGAGTTGTGGCCAAAGGTGGCTAGCTGTTCAAGTTGTGTTCAAATAAGGCAAACACCGAGGTGTAACCAATCCGGCTGTTTCTGTACCTCACTTACTTTATCTGTATCGTCACTTTCCTTTTTCTGTCCATAACTCTTCTTCCGCCACATGGTTGAGCTGGAGTCTCTGTGCCTACTCTGGCTTTGGAGACGACCTGACTTGCGAAGCCTTCTTTGCTCAATTAAATTCTTTTAAATTTAATTTGGCTAAAATTTTTCTTTTAACACCACTGAATACAACGTAAATTTAGGTTACAGAAAATGCCTTATCATATTTGTAAGCCCCACAGTATTTAGTTGGACATTTTAAAATGTATTTTCACCTGTGGGAAAAGCATCACTGGAAAAAAAAATTAGGCCTATTTTCCAAATTACTGTTTTTTAGCACTGCAAGAAGGACATTTCCCAGGCTCTCAAAACACAGAGTTGAGGCAATCGAAGTCAATTAATTAATGGCAAAGATTGTTGTTATGGGTTGAATTTCTTTTTTCCCTCAGATATATTTGAAAGTTCTAACCTTCAATATCCGTGAATGGGATCTAATTCGGAAGTACAGTCTCTGCAGATGATCAAGTTAAGATGAAGTTTTAGCGTCAAACCCAATCCAATATTACTGCTGTCCTTATAAAAAGAAAAAAAAATGGACATAGAGACAAACGTGTAGAACGGTAAGATGGTGTGAAGACACAGGGAGAATGTCCTGTACAAATCAAAGAACACCTGAGGCCACCTGAAGCAAGGAGAGGTGCATAGAAAAAAAACTCCCTCACAGCTCTCAGAAATAACTGACACTGCCATCACATACACTTTAGACTTCCAGCCTCTAGAGCTGTCAGAAATAAGTTTCTGTTGCTTAAACCACTCATTTTGTTGTTCTTTTTTATGGCAGACCTAGCGAATGAATACATGTATTTAATACAATATTTTAAAATGAATTTAAATTCAATTTAAATCTGTAAGTTTGCAAAAATATTACTTTGTAAAAGCAAAGTAAACAATTTGTGTGTGTTTGTACTTCAGCTTATATAGAGGGGAATCAAACTAAAATGGCTCTAAGTGTATATATTATATATACATATATATACTTAGTATATATTCTATATATATACTATATATAGTATACTATATATATGGTATATATACTATACAGTATACTATATATATGGTATATATACTATACAGTATACTATATATATGGTATATATACTATACAGTATACTATATATAGTATATATACTATATATGTATATATAGTATATATACTATATATGTATATATATTGTATGTATACATATTATATATATGTGTATGTATATAGTATATGTATATATATGTATACAGTATACTATATATAGTATATAGTATATATAATATATATAGTATATATGTATATATAGTATACATGTATTATACTATATATAGTATATATACTATATATAGTATACATGTATATATACTATATATAGTATACATGTATATATGTATATGTATATATGTATATGCATATATGTATATATGTATATATGTATATGTATATATGTATATATAGTATATATGTATATACTATACATATATAGTATATATACTATATATACTATATAGTATACTATATAGTATATATAGTATACTATACACATATAGTATAAATATACTATATATGCTATTATATATACTACATATAGTGCATATATATACTATATATATTATATATTCTATATATATATTCTATATATACTAAGTATATAATAATAAATATATTTAAATAATATAAATTTATTAAATGTACTTTTAAATAATATAAACATTTTAATAATACAAATGTTTTAAGTATATATAATGTATATATTAATTTATATATCACATATAATATATAATATATTAATTTATATGTCATATATAGTATACAGACTTATATAATATAATTTATATATTTATATAATATAATTTATATTAATTTATATTATATATAAATACATATATACTATATATACTTACATAGTACACATTACTTATATATACTTATATAATGTAATTTATATTAATTTATATGTCACATATATAGTATATATTATATATTAATACACCATATATTAATGAGAACATTTATATTATTTAAATGTTTATATTATTTAAATGTACATTAATACATTTATATTATTTAAATATATTTAATACATTTATATTATTTATCTATATACATATAGATACATGAGAGAGACAGAAGAAGGAGGAGGAAGAAAAAGAGAAGGAAGAGGAGGAGGAAGAGGAGCAGTGATGAGGTAGAAGAATATAATCAAAATCACTCTCTCCTATTGGCTTATTGTTCACTATCTTCAATTTTTTTCTTCTGTTATTGGTGCTTTCGACAATTCAAATGTGACTAAAATGCAACAACATAATACCTTTGATACTACTTATTTATCTTCTATTTGCATGCTATAGTGAGCTATGAGATGGTTTAGAAAATTGAAGTTCTACTCTCTCCATCCTTTAGTTTTTGAAAAACACAGAAACAGAGGTTAACTTAAATTTTAAGTAAATTATATTAAACAAACAGCAGTCAATGATCTAAATAACTAATTGTCTGTATTACATGTGTTTAGCCCCTGAAAACAGAAAGCAGACGGATCATTAAGGCAAAGGACATAATACAATAACGTATTTGTTGTCTTAATCCCCTCTTATCATACTGATTAACTCATTTTTGCCCTGATGTTCTTCCAGAAATAAGATAAATATTACTCTCTAAATGCCCTCACAGTGCTGAGCTGCATGCATTTCCCTGCTTTTCCTCTATGCCAGCTTTTCTTTGATGCTGAAGTTTCAGAACATTTTGTGCATCTAGGCATATTAGGTATAAAAGCTTTTAATCACACTAATTCCTCTAACTGTTCCTAATCTATATCTAAGTCTCTCATCTGTTTCTATTCTGACACAGCTGCTGCTGGACCTAAAAAAAAATGTTTCTTACATACTGCTTTAACTGAGCTGAACTCAGAATTTAACTAACATAGATCATTGTTTCTTCCTTTCTATGATATTTCCCCCTTGACCATAGTGACTACTCACTTATCTATGATGAAGGTTGATTTTTAGATTCTCTCCCCACAATAGACTTCATTAGGCTACTTTAAGTTTCAGTTGGCAAACATTTGGGAAAAAACGGACATATGCTTACTGCCTTCCGATAGATATTTGTTCTTTTTTTTTTTTGTCTATTTAAAATTTCTCTCTCCATTGTGGAGATTTAAAATAATTTTTGGGACTCGAGGAATCTTCTTAAACTCTATTTTTTTGTTTGTCTTTGTGTCATTTCATTACTCAAAATACTTCCCTCAGATTCTATTTCTGTCTATTCTGAATGACTTCCCTTCTTTTCTTCATAAGGGTGGTACTCATTCTTCCTTCTATCTTTTACTATCAAGACATTTTAAAAATATCTTGCTATTTACCCATTGTAAGCGCCCACAGTAAGAAATCATTTATTATTATTTAATAAATGTAGTTTAATTTTGCACTGTGAAAAAATGTGAATTCCAGAGATTACATTAAAAGCAAACAAAATACATATTTGCATAGCTTAAGTCTCCCAAAAGGAAAGGTAATTGGTAGTGAAGAGTAAAATGGTGATGTATGGGAATATAATAAATGTAGGGGGCAAATTAAAATTTTAAATAAAATTATTTATTAAAGGATAATGGTCTTCTGGAAGAATAAGGAGGATATTACTTTTTTTTTTTTTTTTTTTTTTTTTAGACGGAGTCTCGCTCTGTTGCCAGGTTGGAGAGGAGGACATTACTTTCTCTGAGACAAAAAAGAACATACTTGACACACCTGATAAATGATACAGAATAACAATTTTTTAAAAAAGTTTCTTCAATGATTTAAAACACATTTACACTCAATTGATTCAGTGTATAAACATTATTGTGTGACTGTGGTGGATCAGTCACTATAATAAATAACTGTTATACTAGACAAAAAATTTTATCTTTAAGAATTATCAAAGTACATAAAAAGTCTAGAATATTTTAATAAAGAGATTATATACATTGATAATCTAATTCTCAATTTGAAGACTGTGGTAATCTTTAAGTAATGTAATGGATGCTGATAATCTAGTGGTTAAATTGTATAGTATATTTATTTGTTTGAAATGTATTTCTCTCTTCACAGATTATTTTAAATGTAAACCTTCATATTAACAACACCCTGTAAAATTATATGGACCCATTTCAGATAATAAAAAAGTGTAATTGTGCTCTCAAAATAGACACTTTTAATGATGATGACAACATTGAGAATTTTAATATAAGGTATTATTTATTGACTGTTTAATTAGAACTGTGCTATATTTTATATATGGCTTATTTTATTTAATCTGCATTACGGCCCTATAAAAATGACGTTAATTTAATTAGAAAAAAGAAAAGGAGTTAGGGAGATCAAATAACTTGCGGAGAATAGCCAAGAAATTGTAAGTAGTGAAGTCTTTATGTTTTGTAGTCTAGCACTGACTGACTTTAAACCCTAGCTTTTATTCTTTTTTGCAAATGCCTTCCTTTTATTTTTATTTTATTATTTTACTTGATAACTATTTTTGACATGAGTATTGGCTATTTTGGCTCAAGCCCATACTAGTACTTTTATTGGAATTGAGATTGTTTAAAATGAGAGAGCAGAAAATGTTCGTTCAGAGTAATCTGTGGAATCAGACTTATCTCACTTCATCCCCAAGAGTTTAATTCGTACAACAACCCAGAGGAGTCATAAGAAAGCCTTATTAAAACCAAGTAAGTAGATTTAAATCATAATTAACTTGCCTAAGATTACATTACTTGTAAACGGCAGACTAGAAATTTAAATAGATGGAACACTCACTCCAAAGACTGTGTTGTAAAACTCTATGATATGCCCTCTTTTAAAAGAATCCCTATTATTTTAGAGAAAAACTTGGTTAATCAGAATAGAAGTACCTTAAATTACATTAAACTGTATTTGCTTTAAGAATGCAACAGGCAAGAAGGAAGTGACTATAAAATGATTGATTTGGATATAAATACAATAAATATGCTCTATGTCTTTGAAGTATTGCGTTTTTAATGCATCATACACCTTTAGATTTCTGAACTAGAGATATTGCACCATGAATTTAATGTAGCACTTTTGAATTACTAAAATACATTGATATATTTATTTAATTACTCCTGGAAAATAGCAGACTTTACAGTTATTAAAAAATAGACCTAGAAACCACAAGATAATTAATGATAAGATAGATCAATAAATTATGTTTAGAAATATAGAGACTTTATAATTACATGTTAGGGGCATTATCAGATTAAACTTAACTGTTGCATTTCTGGATCTTGAATAAAGTGTAAAAATTAAAGGGGATTTAGAAGGGAAGTATATTTATTTAGGAAAAAAGAAAGACAAAAACTAGGTTATCAAAAATAAGTTAGCCAGATTTTCATGAGAGTAAGAGAAACACTGAGAGAAAGGAGATGTGAGAGAAAATGAAAGAGACTATAGAAATTGAGACAAATTTAGGTGAACTCTGATGGCAATGTGCAATGTTTTATATTCTTATAAATGGCACAACGATGGTACCACAAGTACCAATACAAAGTTTTGGTGAGTACTTTTGGTGAGATTGCATCTACCTCACTCAAAATTGGAACAATACTCAAACTGAAGCAATTATCTTGTAATGAAGAAAAATATAAATATGGAAGAACTTGATAAGAAGTTTGGACCACAAAGAGTAAGGTCAAAAAGTAGAATATTTTAATTATCATTTTTTAAAGTTTGTCTTGAATCATTGACCTTGAGAATTCTGGTAACCAATTACCCACCACTTCTTCCACTAACTCTGGTCATGTCAGTGTGGGTGATATAGCTTGTCATTGCATTTTTGAATTGTCTCACTTAATCTGGTCACCAACATAGTAGCAGAAAAGTCCAAGGTCTTCTGGGGAAAGTCCAGAGCCTTTTCATCTACTTCCAATTGCAAGTTGTTCTGATATTAATACGGTCAGGTTTTCTGTTGCCTAAAGTTCTCGCTATTGTTAGCATTAATAAGATTATTTAAATGAGTACAAATGTGTGGGTCTCAAGTAATGTGTTCTCACCACTACAAAAATAAATAAATACATAAAAATAAAGACTCAACATAAATTTAATTCAATGAAACAGAAAGTTAGATTAATCAGGGGTTCTCATTTTGCTACATTTAAGTTGACTTTTTCCACTGACCTTTTCCATCCTTCTTTTCTTCTTTTTAAAATTGTTTTACTAAATTTTGAATTTTTATGATAAAATACTTTAAGATAATAAATTCTGTTTTATGCTATTTAATACTTAGTAAGCAAACAGTATCCCTACTAAATAACTATTTATATAGAATCTTTATAGAAGTTTATCATTTAGAAAAACAGCAACATATTATCTTAACTGACTTTAATGCTCATGTTTTCCCACATGGAACGTCAGTGTTACATTTTTTGAAAGCCCTGTGCAGACATATGTTTCGATTTAATGATGCATCACATTAAATAACCTTTTTTGGGGGGAGGAACATAATAGTTATCATTAAGTTTTTATAAAATTTTACTGTAAAAAAGCCATAAATATTCTTTGAATAACATGAGAACAAACAAGATCTATCAAAAAAATTTAAAAATATACTATAAGGGGAGTGACATAATTAAGATGGTGAAATAGAAGACAGCCTGCTCATTTTCCCCCAAAACAGCAACAATTCTGCACTCATCAATAGTTAAAAATCTTTCTTCAGGAGCTTCAGGATTCAGGTAGGAGTTTGTGAACTCCAGCAGAACACAAGACCTTGGAGGGTTGTTTTGAGGGCAAACTGACACCCAGGTGGCTGATCCACCAAGGTCGCTCCTGGATTCAAGCATGGAAATGGCCTAGCCTTTCAAGGGGCTTGGGTACAGTCCCATTTGGCTTTCAGCCTGCAAGCAAAACCATTTGCCAAGCAGTCTAGAAGGAATCATGCACACTAGTACCTTGAAGGAAAGGGTCATCTGTCCACTGACACCAGTAGCACCTGAAAGTGGCCCTGTGGCTCTGCTTCAGCCTTCTTGAGCTGAGATCCCAGCTAAGAGTGGCTTATACAAGGATACAGAGAGAGAATCAGCCATATGTTGCAGTCTGGGCCTCCCTGATGGGCTCACCAAGCTCTGTCACAGAGCATATCCCATGAGGACACAATCTCAACTGTAGCCTTTCTCACTGCAGTGAGGAAACTATACCATCTGCGCAGGCACTTGCTGGGAGATGTGCACCCCTGTGAGCCAAAAAGACTGGGCTCTACAGCCTCTGCCCCACATTGGACTCCAAAAAGCCCCATCTCAGCTCCAGCCACTGCCTCGCACCCCTATGTGGCAACAGGAGAACTATGTCAATTTTGCAGAGACTTGTTGAGGGATACATGGCTCTCTAATTTAATAGGACCAGGCTCTCCAGCCTCAGCCCCATAGAAGATCCCAAGAGAGCTCAGTATTGGCTCCAGCTCCTCCAGCTGCAGTTGGGAAATTATCCCATATGTACAGAGTTCTCTTGGGAGCTGCATAGCTTCTGAGACACTGGAACTGTACTCTCCAGTCTCTGTTCTACAGATTTCGAGGGGGCTCAGTCTCAGCTTCAGCACCTCCTGCTGCAGTCCATCTATGCAAGGACTTTCTGGGAGATGTGTGCCTGTCTGAGTGAATGTGACAGGCAACTTCCATCCCACAACAAATCTGAAGGAGGCCTCACCTCATTTCTGGCAATTTCTGTTCTAGTCAAGGACCCATTCTACTCATGCAGAGACCTACTGAGAGGCATGCTTACCTGGGCTACCAGGACAGTCTTCTGAACTCAGGGCCCTGGCCAGCATACCCACACAGCCCCAGTACCCTGCTTGGGTTTTCCCCTCATACATTTGGGCCACAAAGCCACATCAACCACAGAGTACTTGCAAGACTTGTGACAGGCCTTGGCTTAGAATATCGCATAGTTCTGAGATGGCTGAAGTGACCACAGGTTCAGGAAACACAACAGTCAGTCTGCTTAGAAGCCCTGGAGATCCCTCTGAAGAAAAACAGGCACAAACAAAGCCAAATTGCATAGACCAAGATGAACACCAAATCTCTCAATGCACATTGATATTGTCACACTTCCACAGACATCAAGGACATTCAGGGTAGCATGACATCACTAAAATGGACAAAAAAATAAGGTGCCAGAGACTGGCGCTAAAGTGATGGGGATGTGTGATCTTTCAGACAAAGAATTAAAACTACCTGTTTTAAGGAAGCTCAATGAACTTTAAGAAAACACAATGAATCAATTCAGAATTTTCTCAGATAAATTTAACAGAGAGATTGAAGTAATTTTAAAAATCAAAAAGATACTCTAGAGCTAAACATTATAATGAATGAAATATAAAATACAAACAAATTGATCACATGGAAGAAAGAATCAGTGAGCTTGAAGGCAGACTATTTAAAAATGCATAGTCAAGGGAGAAAAAAAGAAAAAAAATCAAAAGGACTGAAAAAAGCTTACAGAATTTGTCGTACAACATCAAAAGAGCGAAAATGTGCTGTTAAAGAGGGATCTGAAAAACAAAGCATTAAAAAGCTTTTTTAAAAAGAAGAAAAAAAAAACAACATTAAAAGAAAACTTTCCAAACCTGGAGAAAGATACAACTATCTATGTACAGGAAGGTCAAAGGTCACCAATCAGATGCAACTAAATATGAATACCTCAGTACATATAATCAGAATCTCAAAGGTCAAAGACAATGAGAGGATTCTGAAAGAAGCAAAAGAAAATAAGCAAGTAAAGTATAAGAAATACCCAGTACACCTGGCAACAGACTTCTCAGCGGAAACCTTGCAGGCTAGGAAGGAGCGGGACATTATATATAGAATGCTTAAGGAAAATTTTTGCCAACTAAGAATATCATAACTGGAAAAGATTTCTTTCAGAATTGAGAGATAAGGCTTTCTCAAAGCTGAGAGAAAGTTTCACTACCAGATATGTTCTACAAGTATTGCTAAAGGGAATTCTTAAACCAAAAAAAAAGAGAAAAAAACAAGATGCTAGTGTGATTGTTCACTAATATTGTAAATATGAAGTATAATCACCTATATCTTTACTAGGAAGACTAAAAGATAAAAATAATTAAAAATAATAATACTTAACAACAATTTGTCAAGGTAGGCAATATAAAATGCAAATTGTGACATCAAAAATTTTAAATGTGGGGAAAGAAGGAAAGTAATGTGTATGGGTTTTGTTGTTAATATGTTTCATTTTTTCATATTGTGACTAATATTAAGTTGCTTTAAGTTTTAAATAACTTGTTATAACAGTTGGATATTTTTGTAAATCCTTTGCTAATCACAAAGCAAACTTATAATACACTATTTTTTAAAAAAAATAAAATATACCACCAGAGATAAAGGAAGACAACAATAAATACAGCAAGAAAGCAAGAAAGAATGAAAACAGAAAAGGAAGGAAGGAATGAGGGAAGGAGCGGAGGAAGTAAGGGAAGAAGGAAAGAAGGAAGGGGAGGAAGGGGAGGAAAGAAAGACAGAAAGAGAAAGAAAGGAAGGAAGGCAGGCAGGAAGGAAGGAAGGAAGGAAGGAGAGAGAGAAAGAAAAAGAAAGAAAGAGAGGGAGGGAGGGAGAGAAGGATGTTATAAAACAACTATAAAACAAGTAGTAAAATGGCAATAGTAAAATGGCAATAACTTATAAATATATAAATATATAAATTATATAAGTATATATAGGTATATAATATATATAACTATAAATTATATTTATAGCAAATACATTGTATAATATGTGTATTGTAATATATATAGTATTTGCTTTAATTATATATTATATATAATCTTTGCTTTTACATATTTATAATCTTTGCTTTAATTATATGTCATATATAAATATAATTATATACGTATGTGAGAAAATATAGACTTTAGAAATTTCAATAAAATAAGGTTTTAATTATATGTTGTTACCTTATACCCTTTAGATATATTTGTTTGTTATTTAAAATTTTTTGAGCAAATATAGATAGCACTGAAGATCAATATTAATAGGGGGCTTAAAAGTTTTAATGAACTTAAAATCTAAAACAAATTAGTATTCAACCAGCTAAAATTAATAACAACATAATTAACAAGTAATTAATTTGATGAGTAATTGGCTTTCATAAATACATAAATTAATGTTAGCATGGAAGCATATTGACAATGATAAACGTAATTCTTCTTGGAGCCTTGTGTATGACTATGGAGTGTCTATGACCATGCCACATAATAATAAATTATTTGTAGTAGATTGAATTTTTTTGCATTTAAACTTTTTAAGATATTAAATAAAATCCTTTCCTTTGTAAGAGAAACCTGAACTCCCACAACAGATATTTGAAAATCATAGTTTCACAGATTGCTGCACAAAGTAAACAAAAAAAGTTTGTTTTAGGCATAGAGATATATTTCAAACTTCATGATGAATGATACCACTGTTATAGTTTAAACGACCCCAAAGGTATTCCCAAAATTCATGTGTTGAAAACTGTCCCCAGTGCAACAGTGTTGAGACGTGGAAACTTTAGAGGTAATTAGGTTATCAGAGCTCTGCCCTCTTGTCATTATTGTGGGAATGTATTAGTTATTTTGCAAATCTATTCATGACAAAATGATCAGATCAGCCCCTTTCCCCACCTTCTCCCAGGCATGCGCATGTGTACACATTCTCTTGCAGTTCTGCCTCCTGCCATTACATGATGTAGCAGGAATGTCCTTCCAAATGCTGGCCCCTCAACCCCAGCTTCCAGAAATAAATCTCTGTTCTTTGTAATCCAGTCTCAGGTATTCTGTTACAGCAGCCTAAACTGGACTAAGATGGCAGCCATTACTGGAATCATTTTGTCTAAAACTTGATGATTAATTCTTTGCTTGTTATGCTTGAAATTTATTTATCTTATAGCATTTTACTTGAGTGATTGTTATTTTAAGTCCTGCTGAAAGGTAAATTGAATGTGGTACAAGTTATGCATACATGTATAACCGGAATTCAGCTTATGAATCGTGGACAATAAAAGCATCCTATAAGAATATAACATGGATTAGTTTTAGAGAGTCTAGAAAAATCAAATATAACATAGCCTCAAAAGTCCATGTGACCTTTTCCAATTGATGCTTGAGAAATGATTTATTTATGAAAGAAATTGCTTAGTCTTCAGATAATTGGCCAAACCAGCGAGGTAGCTTCTATTTGGCCAGTACGTTTCTTTCTCAAAGGTAACCTTATATGGGTTAGTTCTGTTTCCTAAGTTGATCCATCTTGCATATAAATGTGTACTTTGGAAGTTATGCTATAGACCAAAGAGTGAGAGTAAAATCTACCATTTAAGTGTATATATATTTATTTTGGAATTTAGAAAGAAAAAAACAAAAGAAAGAACAGGTGGAATTCAACCCAGCAATCTCATTACTGGGTATATACGCAAAAGAATATAAATCATTCTATTATAAAGATTCATGCATGCGAATGTTCTTTGCAGCACTATTCACAATAGCAAAGTCATAGAATCAACCTAATGGCCATGAGTGATAGACTGGATAAAGAAAACGTGGTATCTATGCATTAGGGAATATTATGCAGCCATAAAAAAGAATGAGATTATGTCCTTTGAAGGGACATGGATGGAAGTGAAGGCCATTATCCTTAGCAAACTAATGCAGAAACAGAAAACCAAATACTGCATGTTCTCATGTATAACTGGGAACTAAGTGATGAGAACACATGGACACACAGAGAGTAACAACACACACTGGGGCATATAGGAGGGTGAAGGATGGGAGGAATAAGAGGATCAGGAAAAATAACAAATGAGTACTAGACTTATTCTCTGGGTGACAGAATAATCTCCACAACAAACCTCCATGACACAATTTTACCTAGATAACAAGCATGCACACGTACCCTTGAACTTAAAAGTTAAAAAAAGTGAGTGGAAAGGAAAGGCCTTAGCATTTTTTTTATATATATGGTTCCTGGCTGGGAAGTATAAGGGGAAAATTTCAACTGCCTTTTAGCTTAATAGATTTCTGTTGTTTTCTATAGGTATGATTGCTACAGTTACCTAAAACTTGATCTTATTTATAAGTGTTATCTTATTGTTTGTTACTTTTTTGAATTTAGAAAAAATCAATAAATGATGAATCCTGGCAAGTGTTTAATGCCAAGAAAAAAGTATATAATTTTTATTTCTGTTTTTCATACAAATTAAAAAATCAAACTGTAAAGTAAATATAGAAATTACTATTTAACTGTTTCATTTCCTCTGATATTTTTCTGCTTACTTTGTAAATTTTTATGTATTATTCCTAGTTTCATGAGTTTTAATGATATGTTTATTTTACTTAAATTTTAATTTCATGCATTTTCTTTTTCATCTCAACAAAACTTTCAATTTTACATAATCAGAATGAAGGGAATTACCAGCTAAAACAGAATCTTTCAGAGGATTAATTTAGCTTTGTAAAGTCAACTCCTTTGAAATGACTTTTTTGTTGAATTGGGAGAATTAGTAACTTTTTCCCATGAGTTATACAAATAGCAAAAATAAACAAACCAAAAAAAACTTTCTAAATAAGAATGCTTGCTAATCTAAACAGGATGAAATTGGAGATGAAGGGTAAATTTGAGCATAGGATAAATTTATCTTATACAATGACATTTATAGAAGTTTTTTAGTACAAAGTCAATCATCACTTCAATAGGGATGTTCAGGAAGTTTATGATTGATGGATTCAGATTTATGTGAACCTGAGCATCGCTATTCAATGCCAATTGAATACTTATTCATTCAGTTTAGTTATCATTAATTGAAGAATATAATTGGCAGATGTTTAGAATAACTTATAAAATTATTTTATGATAATTCATGTACATATTTATCCAAAATCATCTCAGACACTGCCATCCTTTTCTGGGTCCTTTTCTGGGAACTTTAATGATAGGTGGTCACTAAAAGTTTGAAAATCAACACTGTTTCCTCAAGGCAGTAATACAGCAGAGGGCATTTGCAATGCAGGCTTTTAATTATTATAATTTTGTTGCTGCCCTTATTTGAGGTAAGTGGAAAGCCACCAATTCACCTTCACCTCCACTGTTCACAGTTTTCTCACACCATGACTTCACTGAGACGTAACCCGCAGTTGCCAGGATGGCCCTAATGCCACAAAGTATTGTCAAATTTAGCTCACTGACCTCATTGTCAGAAAATTGCTAGACAGGTGCCACCATATTATACAATATTGAAGATAAAAAACTTATCACCCACACTTTTCTCACTTACAATAATCTTTTGAAAACACCTCTCATTGAAGTGTGTAGATTTCTGTTATGACTTGAAGTTAACTGACACCTCTCCTGACATGAAGTAATCTTTTAAAAGTCCCTCAAGGTTTGGTTCTAAGACCTATTGACAATCTACATTTTTTCCCTGGGTAACATCATTACTATACCATCTACATTATAGGTTCTATATTCTTTAAACCATCATATTTACATATTCAAGCCCAATTGTTTTTCATAAGTTCATGCTTGTATGTCACACTGCCTATTTATCATTATTTGATAGTTCACAGTCAGAGAAACATTACAACATGTTTGAAGCTTGCTCACCTATACCTCCTCTACCTGTTCACTCTCCCAGCATTGTGAATAATTACATCCCTGTCTGCATACTTACCAAAGCCAGAAACTAGGAGCATTCCATTTGAAATTTTTTTTTAAAACCAATATATTTAATGGCTCAAAATGTTCTGTTGATCCTTTTTTCAAACACATGTTTATATACTTCTCTCTCTCTTCAACCTTTGACCATTCTCAAATGTTTTGCAATGTTATACAAGCCTATGACACATTTACCTCTGGGGCAGCATCTGGTGAGGCGCCCCCTCTTATGAAGATCATTTTAGATACAGTGACCTTCTAAATGGCCCTAGAAAATTTTATGCTGTTTTATACTAGGCATGTCTGCCCCTTCGGACTTGAAAAAAAATTATGTAGTTCTTTTATTCTGGCTCCTTCCCATCTTTGATGTCTTTGATGCTGTCATTTAGAAGGTCTTTCCTGAACCCCTTGCCCCATTAATCTTTACCCATTACTAGTTATTTCCTTCTTAGCTCTTATCACATGTATTATTATTTTTTCTTTTCTACTTTCTTTATTATCAATCATGTATAATTTAAATTTGGTAATAAAATACACTTGCCTGTTTTACACTCGAATCCAAAACATAGGGCTGAAACATAAGAGATTCTTAATAAATACCACGTAAATAAAACCATAAAGTGTATCACATTATTTTAAAAAATGTTTTTATAAAATTACATAGTAAAAAATGGTAGATTGTAGAAAACTAAGTTAATTGTCTAACACCTCCTACTCCTCATTCCTTTCCCCAGAAATCAGAACTCTTAGTACTCTTAGTTCTTCCAATTTTTGGTTCCAGGTCTCTAAATTCTATGTATGCTGTAGCTATTATTTCATGCGTCAACGTTAGATATTGACCACTTTCTGCTGGAGTGAGTGAGGATTTTCTCATGAACTCATATCCCTTCAATCTTCATTCCCTAATTGCTTTCATTGCTAGTTCATCACCACTTTCATTTTCTTTAGTGGACATACAAATTTAATCTTCAAAACAACTTCCTTTAAGAATAGGCTGACTCTTCTGACCATTCAGTTTTTAATATTTATTTTCAACATTTATGTTTTCATTATTTTGTTCATTTCAACTCTCCTCTTTTTACCTCCAAACTCTGTTCACTATACTTTTAAATTCAAAAAGAAAAATAATGTTTAATTTTTAGTTTATAATCATATATGACAATAAAAGTTTAATACTAAATGATAATGGCTACATGAATATTAGAATTAAATATTGTATGTGCTGATGATATGGTAGAATACAATTCCTTCTCTGAGATCCCAATTCCATAACCCAGAAGCCAGTAAAAAATATATACTCATGATAAAAAGTCCTATGTTTTTCTGTTATTCTCTCTCTCTTTCTCTGCCTCTCTTTTTTTCCCTCTCTTTCACACACATGCGTGCACACACACACACACACACACACTTACCTTCTTATCCACTCACCTCTTCTTCCAAATTAGACCATGGTTTGGTTGACTTCCTATTTTTAACATTACTTTCATGTATAATTTTTGTTGTCTTTTTTGCTAGAGTAATGATTGCTGCCATTGTATTGATTGATTACATGCTCTCTCTTTCTTATATCATTAATTTCACCTAAAGTGTGGATTCTACCAAAAAAATCTATAATCTGCCTTTTCTTTTCTTTTTACCTCTTTCAAAGACCCTGGACCGCCTCTTCTTTTTTTATTGTGGTTGTTTTCCATTTCGTCTCCTCTTCCGTCTACCTGAAACTCATGTCTCTTCTCTTGTGGATCAGTCACTGTATTCTATATTCTGTGTCTTCTTTTTTAAAATTTTTGTACTTTAATATTTGCTGGATTACATACATTATCAAGTGAGTTCTAAAAAGTGAATATGTTGGGCATAGCCATACAGACAGAGAGACAGAGACAGAGAGATGTATGTGTGTGTTGTGTGTGTATGTGTGTGTGTAATGTCTGTCAGTGGGTGTATATGTATAAATATATTGAGAGAGATGGGGAGGAGAGAGGGAGAGATCTATTAGTCACTAGCAGAGAGCAGAGTACAAGTTGAAAAACACAAAAATAATCCAATAAGTGATTGACGATGAAGAAAGATTTATAGAGAGAAAAATGATTATAAGGAATGTGGTGTTCATAAACTAGAGAAGCGGAAATAGAGAACAATGAGCCATACTAATGCCAATAGACTGTGGTTAGTCAATTCAACTTAGTTCACAGAAAGGCGTGAGCTGTGATGGAAATTGTGGATGTGGCACTGGTAAGAGTTATTAGTAGATCTCCGTTGTATCCTGCAAGTAATCATATTTTACCTGAGATACTGTCAAGCCTAGTTGATCCTTTTCTTTCAATTATTTCTGGCTTTCGTCTGAGTTCTTGCTTTCCTTATTGCTAATGCCCTAGAATGATACCTTCATTATCTGAGTTAAACTTAATGGATATTGCTCTTCAGAATCAGAAGAAATTTCACTCATCTACGTGGAGAGCGTGAGAAAGTAAAAGACAAATATTTAAGTTTCTATCATGTTTCCAATTTGACTTGTAAAGAGCTTGGAATTTGCCACTTCTATCCTCACAAGAAAAAATAACAAACAAACTAAAAATCAACTTCTTTTCTTACATCCGTCAGATAATTGAAGTCACAGGGCAAACTGCTTATCCTAAAATTGAAGAAACAGACAGGCAGATAAGAAAAATAGTACTTTACCTCAGTAGAAGCCTAGGAACAGAAGCCCACAGATAGATAATAACTTAGGGAGACTTAAGCTGTACTTGACAAATTGATGGAGGCTCAATGTAGAATAGTTTGAGAGTAAAATACTCCAAGGGGGCCCAGACTCAGGGGAACTTCTACACTTCCCAGAGTTTTGCCACTAAGGAGCCCTACTCCTTCTCACCATAAAGATGGAAGATAAACACCATCCTGATTTCAGTGCAGAGAGGGGAAATATATTTTTAGATATGCTCAGAGCTCTCTGTTATCCTTCACAGGGCCTGTCCTCAAGTGAAACTATTTCACTGGAGCCTAGCACTACCAGGCTTTACCAAAGCCTCACCAATGTGGAGAAAAAGAAATATTCATCTCTAGTTCCCTCTGTCCTTCCACATGGGGCAAGAGAAATAGCCAACTCAGCCTCACTAAAAGACTAAGACCCAATCATAGAATTAGAGAAGGCTTCTCTCTGCCAACACCTTCCCATCACATCCATAGTGTTCCTTATAATTACGAGCTATTACGGTTAAAACATCTACAAGCCTCAGAATCTATTTAACGAGTCTCTAGGAAAACCCAAAAACAACAGGGGAGACAACAACAAGCATACTAGAGGAAATTTTAGCCTCGACGCTAAAGCTACAGCAGAATGCAAACAAAGCTGAACTCTTAGCCACATAAATATAAAATTAAAGGCCAACATACCTCACTGCCTTTCACCCAATACATCATATTCAACCTTCATCAGAAGACTGTAAGGCATTTTCTTTTGTGTAGTTAAAATAAGAAGGTGATCAAAGTATGATTTCACCAATCAAATGTTTTATTTCCATACAAAGATATTTCTAGAATTATTTTTCACAATACTTAAAGACAAGGAGAAAACGGTAACAAATCTCAGGGAACATACTTGACAGACAGGGTACATTAAACACATAGTGAATAAGTTCCAATTTTGCTTAGAGTCCAGTATTAAAGACTAGTTGCTAAATTACAAATGGAAGCAGACCTCTGTGCATGTATAGTGTAATAGAAGTTTGAGGCATACCAGGGTGTCGTTCTGTTGCTCAGGCTGGAGTGCAGTGGTGCAATCACAGCTCGCTGCAGCCTCGACCTCCTGGGCTCAAGTGATCTTCCCATCTCAGCTTACTTAGTAGCTGGGACCACAGGCACGTGCCACCACACTCAGCTATTTCTTTGTATGTTTTGTAGAGACAGGGTTTCACCATATTTCCCAGGCTGGTCTCAAACTCCTGGGCTCAAGTGATTCTCCCACCTCGGTCTTTCAAAGTGCTGGACTTACAGGTGTGAGTCACCACACCCAGCCAAGGCACACCTTTCTATGTGATGGGTTAACCATCACAGTGGAGATTCACAACAAAGCCCAAGGTCCCTAATGCTGGGGAGCAGTTCCATGGGACATGGGCAAGGCTTTGGAGAAAACCTTACAGGCAGGCAGAGAGTAGTCCTTGCCCCAGTCTACATTGTCAAATTGTATGTCAAAATATTGGTTTTACATGTGTTTGAAAGTTCAGTAGTTGAAGCCAATGGCTCACACACGTGCTCTGATAAGGTGTGGTGTAACATTTTCGTGGGGAGAGAGATTACAACTATGCTTTTTTATCACACCAAGTCATGTGGTCTCTCATTTAGCAAACACCGTAACTGTTTGGAATCACTTCAGTGTTACACGACACATGCTAAAAGGCATGTAACCTAAATTTGGTAATGAAATACATTATTAAATAATGAAATGTTATTAGCAAATTCCAAGAAGATCTAAAAATCTGAAATCACTAGTCTAAGACATACTGAGACGAATGGCTGAAGTTGAAACCAAAGATAGAGGATTAATCTAGGTTGTCAAAGAATCTACCCTGTTGAGTATGAATTTTATTCTATAGTTAAGGGTATGTGTTTTTTAAAAAAAATATTTTTAAATATGCACTTTACATGCTAACACTGTAGTGTCAGAAAGAGCAATTATGACTCTCAGTTGGCACATATCTATTATATATTTCTTTTAACATGCTGAATTTATATTTTTCTATAGATATAAAATCTTCCAATTTTTTTTCTCTGTCATCTATGGGATGTGAGAATAAAAGGAACTAGCATTGGTAAGCTCACAAATAAGCTTCTACGGATATTTGCAATACGCTTTGCATATTTTTCACTTTAAAGCAACATTCTAGTTAAGAATTAAGAGGAATATGATTTATTCCCTGCAAAATAACCTACATATTCTTTAATATAAAACATAAATATAAATGTGCTTCTTTTACCTAAAGTTTTTGTAAATACGACATTGATAAAGAATAGTAAACTGTAAAGTGCTAATATAAATTCAAACACATGCACACACATTACCACTTCCTACATACCTTGGTGATCTGAGATATGTGGTCTTCAAATTTTAACTTTATTATTGTTATTTTTATTTTGTTAACAATGAAATTATATTAATAGCAGCCTTATTAATCATAACATTAGAAATCATATGGTTTGAACATAAACAAAATAATTTCAATAATTTCATGGATTCTTACAAACAGATCAATGAGATGCAGACATCACTGACGAAGAAGGATTGGTACATTATTTTATTGGCAGTCAGACAAGCACCGACTAACTTTCCTTTTTCATCTGCAAATGTAAGGCTATTAGAAGTTTGTGGCAGAAAGAATAATTACACAGTTTCCTGTATGGAAGTGGCAGACAGAAAGAGAATGAAAGTTCTCTTCTGTTGGTTCACTTCTTGGAAACAACCAGTATAATAAAAAACTAGAGTGGGTCATTTTTTTTTCCTTTTTTAAAGAATTACACATGTACACATGAGTCCTACAAGCAAGAGCTTGCATTGTACAAGAACAGTGACCATTAGAATTTTTTTTTTAGGTTTTAATTTATATTTTACTGACAGGGGAGAGAAGAGCTCCAAATGCTTTCTATAACTCTTTTGTGTACTGATAGAATTTTCTATTCTATTTTCAACGATGATAGAGAAATAAGTTTTCTTTCAAATATTTCTCATTTATTTTGTTCTTACTAAAAATGCTCAGTCTATTTAGCAGTATGTCTATTTTGTTTATGAGAATGAGCTGTGACTTGTTCAAAGTTATCATTATAGTCAAGGTTGGAATAAGATTTTGTAATGCCAAAGTTTGCAGCATATAATGCCTTCACGTTAACATCTTATTTCATACCGTTGTCAATGTAAATAATACTTTATCCATTTAGAATTAATTCTGCTTTTCATAGTCTTTCAATGCTGGAAAAAGAAAAACAACTCATTATTTTTACTACATTAAAATTTGACTCTGGAAACATTTATGTTCCCCAAAAATATTTTCTTTAAATATATTTCTTTTTTGTTTCATAATGTAAGGATATAGTTCATGATGATAAAGAAAATGAAGACAATTTAAAACATAACTGTAGAATCCAAATGAATAGTAACCTCTGTGGGTCAAGTTTTCAATAGAATAGATGGATGAATAAGTAGATATAGATAGAATTTGATTAAGTAGGGATTTGGTGTTTTTTGTTTGTACGAGTGAATGTTGGAAAACATGGGAGATTGGCAGAAATGAAAGTACAAGAATCTGTCCAAGAATTTTATGGAATTCCATGTAAGATATTACAGTGGCTTGCCTAGAAAAGTGGATCTGGAGGTAAAAATAATTATAGAGGTCTTTAATTTGTATATTAAAGAGTGAAATGACAGGACTTACTGATTGATTAGGTGTGCTTCACAGAGTGAGAGAAAGAGGAGATATCAAAGAGTATTCAAAAAAATTTAACATAAGCCACACAATAAATGAGTGGGGGGATAAGTGACATGGAGGGCATAAGTAGATTAGTATGTTGTTGAGAGATGTATTTATTTTTGAGCATTTTGTGCCTTCATGACAAAAGTTGGAATGTCTTGTGTGTAAATATATACACCTATATGTTTGATTGTTTTATAGGTAATTCTAGAGTAGGAAGAAAGGACGGAGTTAGAAATTTAACCTGAAACCATTGGAGTGCATGAGTTTACTGAGGGAAAGTGTGTTGAATAAGAATTTGGGAAAAACAGACAAACAACAACTATGAAAACTTAGGGATAAGGTATAGCAAGAAGAATCTGCACAGTTAATTGAGAGACAGAGTTTTAAAATAAGTAGAGCATGGTAACATAAAACCTAAATAAAGTGTGTGCTCTAAAATAAAGGAGAAGTTAACAGTGTTAAATGATTCTTAAAATATATGCAAGGTAAGGATTAAAAATGCTATATTTTATTTAGGGACTTTTGAGACCTTGCCGTGGAAAGATTTATTGGAGTGCTGGGTTAAATTTCAGTTCTTAATGTGCAAAGAAATGAATGGGAAATGATGTAATGTGAGTGAATAAAGATACTTATTTTTAAATGAGACTTAAAAGCAGCTGGAGTGTGATATTTCATTAACTCACGCATGCGCTTGTGTTTGTGTGTGTGTGTATGCTTCACGTTTGTTTGCTTTACAATATGGGGCATATTAACAGTGATAAGAACTAAGAAACAGAAGACCGAGAAAGCACAAATAATCAATGAAATAAGATTCCCGAGAAAGTCAGATGAAATACAAATCAGCTCCATGTCAGCCAAGATATCTTCTTCCCCAGATTTCCACGCTGCAGAAATTTTTAGTCTTTAATATTTTAATGTGCATTTGGAAGCACCAAGAGGAGAAAGCACTGAGGTCATATCTGAGTCAGAACTTCCTTTCCAAAAGCTGTTTCCCTCTTACCCAACAGTATTATTAAACCAACATAGAATAAGAAATGGAAGGCTATTTATTTTGCCAAATAGCGAAAGTACATTGGCTGTGTTTTACTAAGAAAAACTGCAGTATGTTATCATTTCCAGGTTTATACTTAGCTTGGAAATATGCGTCTTCTATAAAGGAAATTGATAATTGAATAAAAAGTCTACATTAACATTCCCATCTCATAACCATACAATGTGCTCATTGAGTCAAATGGCAGCATGACCTGCTTAATTTACATGGTTTTCTCCCTTTTTCTCATAGTAAATATAATAAGAAAAATTTGAATAAGAATAATACCATATGATTCTACTGTACTCTAGTATAATATGCAACATTCTCCAAATTACTTATTTATTACGTAACACATTTTACATATTACAGAACTGCATTTTACCTAAGGCAGGGCATACACATTCTCATTCAAAATGGAACAAAGTATACAATATATTCTCTTGAACACTGTACAGAATGTGAAGGACATTCCAGAATTAGGGCTACCTTAGTCACTGCAGAAACTATTAGAAACAAGTAAGTGATTTGTTTTTCTCACTCTTGCAGACAGTAAAAGTAAATAGAGCCAGGCACAGTGGTTCATGCCTGTAATCCCAGCACTTTGGGAGGATGAGGTGGGCTGATCACCTTAGGTCAGGAGTTCAAGGCTAGCCTGGCTAAGATGGCGAAATCTTGTCTCTACTAAAAATACAAAAATTAGCCAAGCATGTGGCGTGCACCTGTAATCCCAGTTATTCAGGAGGCTGAGATAGGAGAATCACTTGAACCGTGAGGCAGATGTGGCAGTGAGCCTAGATCGTGCCACTGCACTCCAGCATGAGTGACAAAGTGAGAATCCATCTCAATAAATAAATAAATAAATAAATAAATAAATAAATAAATAAAGTAGCAATGCCATTTTCAACACAGGTACTGAAAAACTGTTAGAAAGCATTGGACATACAAAATGTAGGTATCTAAAAACATAATTTTCGTATTGAGTGCTCTGATTTTGCTTCTGTTAATCTCTGCCAGTGATGATTGGAAATGATTCACCAGGGTGAATCTTTTTTCCCACTAATGCACATAAATCTAGTATGATACTATCAGCATGGATAACAAGCCTATGTACAATGGATGTGTCTGTGAGAGCTGATTCCCATTGAGATAAGCACTTTGAAGTTAGCTCAATATGAGTTTTCTTTGTTCTCTTTGATAGAATTATAAACTAAAGGATCACATAAGATTATCATTCCTAACAATCTATATTCTAAGACGCAAATTGAATAGTGTATTCAAGAATTCTAACCATACACACAAAATGCCAAAAAAAGGAGATACTAGAATAAATGTGAAACCATTATTTTAGGAGAATAAACTATTCATCACTATTCTTTATAATAAGCTCACTGATTTTTGTGCCTTTGAAATAGCTATAGTAAATTTTTTTGTGAGCATATGTATTTTTTTAATAAGAAAAACATACCCCGTAGCAATAATAGCCAAAAAGGACAGCATAGATTAGAAAACAGACATCACTCTTACTCCTGTAGAGCAATTCTACAGAATTACACACTATGCAAGTTGGTAAACTCCATAAGGAAACTCAAGAGAAATCCAGTAATAATTTAACTTGTGTTATGAATCTCTGGATGCAGATTTCCCATGAATGCATTGGTTACAGCTAGAATTTTAAAAAATATAAGGGCTTCCATAATGCTTCCCTTAGTTTGGCATAGCATGTAGGCTTTGTGTGGCATGAAAAGGTTCTGATACGGAGTGCCTGTGCGCCATGTAAGACAAATCACGTTTAGAACAGAGATAATGCTTTTCTTTTTTGTAAAGGTACATATCCGTCCACTGGTTCAAAGGTAAGTACTAAAATAATGTCTAAAATAGGAAATGGTAATAGGAAATGTGGATAAAGAACAAAACAGATACTTAACAACAATTCACATGGTAAATAAGGTTAATGTCTTCAGCATCTTCAAGGAGTAGACTTCTTAGAAATCAACTTGATGAAGAAAAAAGTTATTTATCTCAGAATAGAACTTTATACAACCAAAAAGGTCACATAGTGAGTAGGCATAAGCTACTTCTGATTGTCAAAGTAACTATAGTTTTTGTTTCTCTACTAAGCAAGCTTTCTCCATTATCTTTAGTTTCACCATGGGTGTGATCCAGAGTGCCTTGTTCTACTGCAAAGAGTTTCAGGATGCTTTTCCCATGAGGGCTTAATCAATATAAAAAATTCCCCATGAAGATAAACCAGACAAAAACAACGTGAACTAATTTTCCCTTCATCTATCCAGTAAATCTACTGTGATAATAAGAACTGACCCATGTGTTTGTGGGTTATAAGTAATTACAACTGACCTAATCAAGATTAAGAATATCTAATGAAGAATATATGCCAAGTCAGGAAGAAATTAATAATTTATTATGGAACCTTAGCTGAATTTTTATTTGTTATAGGTGAATAAGGATTTTGAGGGTGAGGGGGACTCTTGATATACACTACTTCTTTGCAGAGCTCTGGCACAAGTTAGACTTGTATTAGAACACCAAGGCAATGGTAATATAAATTTAGCAGGCTCTATCAATATTTACAAGTCTAATAATTTATCTAACATCTTTAATTATGCTATGTCAATGTCTTATACTCTTTCTCTTTTGATATCCTTAAATCATAATCCAAATTATTTTGAGATTCTACTATATTCTAGGCACTTCACTATGTGAATAAATCTCAATACTTCTTTAGTAGTCAGAGAAGTATAAAGTTAAAAGATTATTATCACTTACAAACACTTACAAATAACAAAAGTGCATGGAATGAAGCATGAACACTAGAGTATTTGGTATTTGAAATTTATCTTCAAAGGGGATTTCTAATTTAACCCATATTACAGAGTGAACATTTGAATGAATAAGATAGTTAAAACAGCACAGCATTTATATAGAGTAAATAACATTGTTTCTTTATATTTTTCCTGTTTATATTTTAGTGATTCATGTAAAAGTAAGTTGAATGGAAGCTGGGTTCTTCCAGTATACTGTTTTTTAGGAAGTGACACTGGATCGAGACTTTTTAAAGGTTATAGACTGTGGATAACTTAGGCATCTGTTGAGCATGGTTATCAATGTGAGTGAAGATGGGAATAAGTATAATTTAATTAAGCAGAATGACAAAAAAAGCATAATGGACATTAAAGGAGAATGGATTAATTCATCAATGATTTTGTGGCATAATAAATAGACATAGGGAGATACAAAGGATCGCATAGTGTTTTTCCAAATCAGATTTAAACTTCCAGTAAAAAATGAAGCTGCCTTTCTAGCTTGTAGTGATTTGTAGTTTCTACATGGAATTCAAATTATTTATTTTGAATTTATAAATTTGTGTCTCCATACAAAAGGTGCAATACAAAACCATTACCTAGAAGACAGTGTGGATAAATAAAGTTAAAACACTTTCATGAACATTTAAATAAGTAGATGACATTTTCTTCATCAAAGTTCACAAGGATGTGTAACATAATTCTATGTCAAGTCCTTAGATTATTTGAAGGAATTAGAAATAATGTAGGGGCTAAAATATAAAGTGTTATACAAGCCAATGATTTTGCAAAGGGGAAAGCAGGACTGCTGAGGCACAGTCACATGTGGGAAGATATCTTCCCAGAGGCAGGCTAAGGGCAGGAGAAAACATTGTCCCTATTAATAGAAATTCATAGTTGTCACTCAAGGAGCAATTATATGTACATGGAAATGTTCCTCTAGGTGAGAGAATGGTGCTGTCAGAAACAATTTTTCTATGATCATGCAGCATATTTGCATTATTGACTCATCCATGTGAAATTCAAATGAAAGACTGCATTAAAGGATGTGAATTCATAAATGTGCTTCTCATTTAAGTTTAAATATTTCAGAAAGTGTGTTTACTTGCACATTTGGGCATTGTATTTCTTGCAGATGACACGAAATAATTCGTCTAAAACAAGAAATTAGTAAAAATAAGGATTGGATATAAGAACATCCTTAGAGAGAATTGTTGGAGCTGGAAATATCACAGATATTTATCTTAAGATTTGTATAACCTCCTCTTACTTAGAAATAATGTTTCAATTTAAAAGAATAACAAAGGTAATATAGGGTTTTCTTATATCCTTTGCCTAGCTTTCATTACTGTCGAAATCTATGCTTTGGAATATATTTCTTTGGATTTGTTCTATTCGAGGTTTACTTAGCTTCTTAATTTTGTAGGTTTATATGTTTTGCCAATTATCAAAACTTAGTAATTATGTTTTGTGCAATTACAAACTCTATTTAGATTTTCCCTATTTTCCCACTAATGTCCTTTCTTCTCTCCAGGGTACAATCCAGGATATCGCATTGCATTTAGATCACATGCTTCCTTAGCTTCCTTTACTCTATGACAGTTTGTTTATTGTTTTTTCTCCATGACCTTTTGAAGAGTACTGGACAGGTAATTTACAGAACATTCTTCTACTTAAATATGTGTGAATACCACAAAGTGGAATGCCTTCTTATCCCATTATATCAGGAGGTACTAGATATCATGTGAAAATCATTAAGTTCAGCTACACTCCAGAGGGGAAAAAAATCATGCCTCATTTCTGAACATGTGTTAAAAACACCACAGCAATACAATATTTTTAGGTAAATACTTTAGAGCTCTGAAACTTCTGATATTCTTTAAAGTTTTTGAATAAGAATTTTAACAATGATCAGCCTGCAATACTGTAGTGCTCTCATGATGATTTTCTTTTTAACATTTTTTTTATATTTATGAATCAGAATTCTCTTATAAGGAAGGTTTTTACCTTCTCTTCAATTTATTTATGAAATTCTTTATTATATTGGTTTGAATTCTTTGATGTTTATTTTTGTGTAACTCAGATGGCCACAAATTATCTTAGTTGACATTCTTTTGAGGTTGTCTTGAATTCTCCTTTATTCTTAAAGGTGTGTTTTTTTTGTTTTCTTTTTTCGTTTTTTTTTTTTTTTTTTTTTTTACCTGATGTAAAATTCTGAATTGGCAGTTTTATTCCTCTAGGATTTGAATAGTACTGTGTCCTTTAATTCTTATCTCCCGGTTTTTAATAATATATCTACGATCATTTCTATCGTTTCTCTCTTGTAGGTATTGTGCCTTTTCTCTCTGGTTTCGAGATTTTTTTCTGTGTTTTTATTTTTCAGCAGTTTTGTTACGGGGTGGATCTTTGTTCTTAGAGCTCCCAAGATGGTGGCAGGCCGCTCCCAAGATGCGGGCGGGCCACTCCTAAGATGGCAGCAAGCCTTTTGTTCTATGACCTGGGGTTCTTGGCCTCACAGATTCTGAGGAATGGAACCTTGGGCCACGCGGTGAGTGTTATAGCTCTATTAGAAGCGTGGGTCACGGAAGAGAATCTTGGAACCCAGCAACTAGTGTTCAGCTCGATTAAGATGAACTCGGGCACTCAGCTGCGCAGGAACAATGGGAAGCTTTTAGCCTGATTGGGAGTGGCAATGGGCGCCACCTCGCTGGATCAGAAATGCAGTGGACACCCTGCGGGATCCAGAGGGGTGGAAGTCAATGGCTGGTCTGGGATGGTGGCAAACAGCAGTGGTGGACAGCGAGTGAAAGCTCAGCTCGAGCCATAACAAACACGGACCAGAAGAGTGTGGAGTTGCAAGATTTAATAGAGTGAAACCAGAGCTCCCACATAAGGGTTTCCCCTCCCTGCTCAAATGCCTGGGTTTATATCCCGATCATTTTCGGCACCCGCCCCCTTCCCCCCCTGAACCCCCATGCTCTCAGGTGATATATGATTTAACTATTTCTTTACCTCCTGATTTTAGCCTAATTTGTATTTTAGTGAGCCCTCTTTACTACCTGATTGGTCTGGTGTGAGCTGAGTTACCAGCCCTGTGTTTAAAGGTGGGTGTGTTCACCTTTCCCAACTAGGCTTAGATTTTCTTAGCAGGCCTAGGAAATCCCCCTAGTCCTGTCTGTCCGTTTGATTATAATGTCTCTTGTCCTATACTTCTTTGGACTTACCCAGTTTGAGGTTTACTCAACTTGATTTTTTTATTATGCAGGTTTGTGTATTTTTGTAAGTTTTTAGATATTTTCAGCCATTATTTATTTATATACTTTTTCAGCCTCATTCTCCTCCTTTTCTTCTAGGATTTCAGTGACACAAATGTTTTATTTTTTGCTATATTCCCACAGGCCCCTGAAGCTTTGTAGACTGTTTTTATTCTATTTTCTCTTTGTTGTTTAGATTGGTTGATTTCTAAAATTCTATCTCCATATTTACAGATTCATTCTTCTATCTTACCCATTTATCCTATACAGTGATGTTTCTGCCACCTCTATATCTACCCTCAGGGTAGATTTTTTTCTTTTTTTTCTATTTCTTTCCATCTACTTTCTCTGCAGTGAGTTTCCACCAGTGCCTGAAGAATACACTTGTTTTGTTGTTATTCCAGTATATTAAGACTTTCGTTCCATATGGGAAAGATGGGAGATAGATCTGGAAGGATTTCTGCAGTGCTGGTGCCTCCTACCTGAGTCTACACCACATGGGAATGGTTTCTAAGGATTCTCCCTGATCTTCCATGTGAGCACCTGGCGGGGTTCCAGGAGGAACAGCCTGAAAGTGCAAGACTAAGAAATTCCTTTTTGTCTCTGGTCAGCTGGAGTTTAACACTCTCATGCTAGCTCATACTTAGCATATTGCAACTCATTTATACTTTCCAGTTGAATCTACTAACTAGATGTTATGACATTGAAAGGTGTCTATCCAAGATAAGCAAAGGTCTAGATTCTATCTCCCTCCTCAAGGACATACATTTTCTCAGATTTTAGGTTAAGTTGCTTGACCTTCAGTTCTCTGATGGTTTCAAGAAAAGTCATTAATTTGTAGTTGTATAGCTTTTTTTATCTTGCTCTAAGGGTGGGAGCAACACTCCAGTTCTTTCCAAATCTGATTGGAAAGCTGAAAAGTGGTTCTGTTAGAGGCATTTAAACCAGAGCAACTCCATCTTAAACAGGAACTGGGTAAAATGAGGCTGAAACCTACTGGGCTGCATTCCCGGACGGTTAAGGCATTCTAAGTCACAGGATGAGATAGGAGGTCAGCACAAAATATAGGTCACAAAGACCTTGCTGATAAAACAGATTGCAGTAAAGGAGCCTGTCAAAACCCACCAAAACCAAAATGGCCATGAGAGTGACCTCTGGCCGTCCTTATTGCTACACTCCCACCAGCACCATGACAGTTTACAAATGCCATGGCAATGCCAGGAAGTTACTCTAGATGGTCTAAAAAGGGGAGGCATGAATAATCCACCCCTTGTTTAACATATCATCAAAAAATAACCATAAACATGGGCAACCAGCGGCCCTCAGGGCTGCTCAGTCTACGGAGTAGCCATTCTTTTTTTCCTTTACTTTCTAAATAAGCTTGCTTTCACTTTGCACTGCAGACTTGCCCTGAATTCTTTCTTGGGAGAAATCCAAGAACCCTCTCTTGCGGTCTGGATAGGGACCCCTTTCTGGTAACAGTTCCACTTTCAGATCAGCATTTTAAAAGGCTATAATGAGGGATGTTCTTATCCTTAGAAAAAGATTTTTAAAAAGCTATAGGAACTATACAAAGGATTATAAAGCAAAAATATAAAAACATGTAATCTGTCTGCTATCTCTTCCCAAAGACATCTCCTTAATACTTTGCAAGTTAAATAAAATAATCAGAAGAGTTATTCTTTTTTGTTTTACATAAAATTCTAAAATTTAAATGACCAACTTGAAGAAAATTTTATGGAAAATTCTATTAAATTGGTTTAAGCAGAATAATAGCGCATTGGATTCATTTATTTTCCACCTAGAGCAAGCATTTTTTTGACAGATTGATCAAAACAGTAGGATAGAAATTGGTAGTACTTTTTTCATAAGTTGAAAAAAGTAAAATGCACATTAAGGTAACTGGGTAATTTCTATATGAATAATAGTGTTATTATATACATACAAAATTGAACAGGATCATTCAATTGGATGAATTAGAATTAATTATACCATGTCTTATTTAATTATAATTTAGCATTTCAGCATGCTTTATAACATAATCTTCCTTAGATCTGATGAAACATAAACCAGTAGATGAAACATTGATTTAGTTAACTTAACCAATGTTATCTCCCTAAGCAACTGTAGAGTTGTTTTCACTCTTTATCAAACACATTTTTCCTCAAATACAATATTGCAATTACAGGCCATGCATGAAAATGTCTGTGCATTGTACTAGTGCCAATGAGTAATCTCCTGTTTGGGGCTATAAACATTTCAGTTCAGCTGTTCAATGCGTGTTTACATAATCTCACATCTTCCCACTCAACAAAATTTCTAAAAGAGCACAGCTCAGTGAAAAATTGAAGAGAGAATGATGAGTGGAAAACAAGTCTATTCTTAACAAGCTATAATCAAATCATTACATGAAGTTCTATTCTTTATTCTGCATTTGGTATGATAGTCCTTCAAGTGAAAGAAAAAGAATAGGGAAAAAAGTTGAAATATAATGTTACAATTCAAATTTAAATTCTATGTATCTTAAAAAATAGATGCTGAGTCACAAAAAGGAAAGTTATTAACAACATTTTCAAATGGCTCTGTAAGATGTTTTGTTTCCAGATACGAGTTACATAGGGATTATTGCCAGCAAACATTTGTTAGGTGCCATACCTTGAAAATCACAATAATTTATTTAGTAGGTAACATGTTACATAGATTTCTAAACCCAATATTCAAGAACACAAATGTTAAGCTGGATATTAAAAACAAACACTGTCAAGAAAAGTATAGACAGCTTCCACCAAATCACTTATTTTGATGAATTAAATTTGAGCTCTTTTGGTCACCAAATTCTGTTTTTGTGTATTTATTAGAAATGAGTGGATGTTGAGAAGGATTATGGGGCAGAATGTGGGACAGGAAGGAAAGAGGCTTTTGATCAATGATTAGAAACTGCCATACTAAAGGATAGGAGGTGACAGGAGTTGTGTTATATACTTAAAGGTGACCATCTATTCTGTTGGCAACAAACTTAGATTATACCTGTTGTCTTAAATTCCCATTCCGATTTTTTCAGGTTTTTTTTTTAATAACGAGATACTCTTTCTTTTCTTCCTTAACCCTTTCCATATGCAAAATAATGTACACTTCCTTTCCATGAGCAAATTGTGCATTTAATGAAAACTTAAGTATTATATTTAAATTTCTCAAGACATAAGATGAATAGATAACATGAATAAAATGCTTGTCTACATTCACAACCATGATGGAAACTGTAGGAATGGTCTCGACCACAGGAAAACCAAAAGACATAAATCTGTTGAGGAAATGGTAATAGTTATTTTAAGAAGATTATCTCCAAGGAAGAGAAATTATCACAGTGCTTGTCAAAGAATTCTTTGCATATCACTTTTTGAAGTCTGTCTTCCCTTTTAGATGAAATTACTACTATCTTAAAGTGATTTTACTCATATCTGAAGTTTTCTTTTGTACATATGCAGAGTGGAAAAATGGGTGTCAGCGTGTTATCTCCATAAGCTAAAATTTAGATTTGTTTTTAAATCTTGGTTTCAACTGTAATTGTTCTTTCTCCTTCTACTGCCAGTTATTGATCAGATTTAGAAGTGTTTGCTGGATTTTGGTTGTATTTGGTTCAATGCCAATTGAAAATATTTAGTAAAATATTCTATGATTAAAACAGCAACAACAGCTTTTGAAGCTTTTTGTAAATTGCAGTTATTGAAAACAAATATTTCAAAAGGAAGCTACTTACAATTTTTCTTCCAGAAGCAAAAAAGAACCTGAAAACATTAAATAAAGCAAACTGAAATATTGCACATGGTTTAATTTTGAAGTTTGAATATCTTTTTTTTTAATTTTTGTATTTTATTTTACTTTTTTTTTTTGTCACCCAGGATGCAATGCAGTGGCATCGTCTCTGCTCAGTGCAACCTCTGCTGCACGGGTTCAAGCAACTCTCCTGCCTCAGCCTCCCGAGTAGCTGGGATTACAGGCACCTGCCACCATGCCTGGCTAATTTTTGTATATTTTAGTAGAGACAAGAGTTTCGCCATGTTGGCCAGGCTGGTCTTGAACTCCTGACCTCAGGTGATCCACTCACCTCGGCCTCTCAAAGTGTTGGGATTACAGGCATAAGCCACCGTGCCTGGCCTGATGTTTGAATATCTTAACTTGTTGGAAGCATACTTTTATAGAACACACATTTTTAAATTGGGTCAATGAATATTCTTGAACCTAAATGGAGTAAATCTGAAAAGGTCTTTCACTTTTAAGTCTACAAACTCTGGAAAAAGTATTGTTAATAATCGTAAGTAAAGGGAGCTTATAAAACAAGTTGCGTTTCATAAAATGTTTATCAAAAAAGATACTGTAAATGAAAGAAAAAATGCACCATCTGTGAAAATGCTAGAGCTTAAGTATTTACACATTAAAATGCAAAAAGAAAGCTTTAAGAAAATACTTCATTAGTAGAATTTGTTTTCAGTTCAACATTTTAAGATAAATTACTTTTTCAATAAAAAACATGGTTTAAATAAAAGACCATCTCAGTTTCAAATTTTGCGATAATAAAATACAATTTTGAAGAGGTTACTGGCACTTTTATAAAAAATAAACTAATATGATCATATTGAAAATAAATGTATAAAAATGTAATTATTAGAAACAATTAGAAGTTAAGAAACTAATCCATGTAATAATATGTACAGTACTTTCTCTGTTCATTTTATTTGTAATTTGTTGCTCACAAAATAAAAATAAAAATTTAAAAAAATCTTGTTTTACTATACTGATAAGTTTATATTTGTTTTAGAAACAATTTTATTTTTGAAAATATAGTAATATAAATTCTACACCCTCTGAAGTAATAATAGTGGTGAAAATGAAATGTTTCAACATTAGATCATTTTATTTAATTTGTTTTCCCTTTCACTCTCAAAAGTGTCTCTGTTTAGATGATAAGCTATGTAATCAATCACTTATCAGTTAACCTTCCTTTAGACTTTTTCTTTCACCATCAGGATGGGAATGGAAAGAGAAACTGCAGGAGTTCACCACGTTTCTATTTTAATTGCCTGAGTCATCTGGGATGCTCCTGTGCGTTCTGAATGCTTTCTGGAAAGTACACTTGAGTAACAGAAGTTAATGGTCATGAGTGAGAATCAACATGATATAGATGGAAAATGCTGTGATGAAGCTACTCCATCACACCATGGCTGCTTTAGTACCACATTGGCTGCCTGCCTGAGTCAAACATTTAAAGGTTCATTTGTTGTTGGAGGAGTAACTCATTTCAAAGTAAGGGGACAGTGGACTTTTCCGCAAGTTAAGGACCAAAATATGTTCAGATGGTACTACGTAAAGATGTGTGAATTGAAAACAAGAGTAACTGCAGGTCAGGTAGAGAGAAATAATCAGAAAATGTCCTTCTTTTTATGATAAAATTGAACATCCATTGTGTTCCAGGTAGTAGATAAAAGTTGTGAAGTAATTACAGTCTCTATTACATTGAGTATATTTTAGAGACAGATATTGAAATGATAGTAAGATATTTATAAGTAAACAAGAATTTATGATACATCGTAAGTGACAATCAGAAGTGTAGGAAATAAAACTATGAACACTGTAATCTTATTACAGTGGGATTTATTTAAAAACAAAATAAAATAAAAACTTATTATAGAAAAATCTAAGTAAGAAACTGGATTCTTAATAACCCAGTTTTTGAGTTACAGTGATACATTTTCTGCTAAAGTTGGCTGCAGATCTGAGGTTTTCATGGGAGCATGAAAGACCTTATGAGAGTCTTCAATCAGAACAGCATGTGCCTATGTTCCCAAGGACCTGATAATCATAAGCAATATTTCAAGGCTTAGATCTATCACACTAGCATTAAAGAATTTACATACTTACCTCTCAGATTCCATCTCTGAGAGGAATATCTAAGCTTTGGTATTCCTGGCTAAGTCCAGACATACAAATCAAGAAGGAGATTCTTGATAAATTGGTAATAGAGCAGAGTATCATCTCCATGCATAAGTGTCTTTCAGATCTTACAAAGGGAAGTAGATTTATAGACTTGCAAATATGTGGGAGGCACAATAGAAAAATATGCTCACAGATAACAAGAAATCAAATACATTGTTCATAAGCTGCTTGGAAGAACAGAGTTTTTCTTTGCAAAATCCTGAAAAGAGCTGAATCAGAGATAATAACATATTCATCTGAGAATATGGCTTAGAGAGCTTCATGTCCCTGTAAATGAGACATATCCTGTAAGGAAGCAGAAAATCAGCAAGGGACGACAGCAACTGCTGAGAGGTAATGAAATATATAGAGGATAGGGGCAAGAAGATTTCCAGCTAAAGCCCTCTTTCTCTGAAACTTGAGCTGGAACTTCTGACTCCTTACCAAGTCAGGGAACGATCAAACAGAAGAGAGCACATGGACCCTATTGCATCCAGTTTAGGGTATCAGTGAGAGAACAGCCCAATTCTGCAAAGGTAAATAAATAAGCAAAGAATTCTAAGGCATGAACAAAGTTTAAACAAAGAGAATTTGCAGAAGAACCGGATTAATTCCAAAGAATGAAAGGCAGATACTCATTTTGTTACACAAAGTGGGTCTCAAGAGAGCCAATCAGACAAATTTCCTTCCTGAAAGAAATCCTCAAATAATATGTGTTCATCACAGTTTTTTGTTTGAACATCATGGAGTTAGCTGGCCACTCTGCTGGTTAAAATTAGGAGCCTGTGGAACTGAGTATGTGAGAGAAGTTACTTTCAAAATTTTCAGGTTGATATGTAACAGGGAATAGACACACAAAGAAGAGAAATATTTTAAATGCAATTCCTGGTCAAGGGGCTTCATAGAGCACTCAGTTTTTAATGCATAATCTACAGGGAAAAAAAACATTCATATGTTCTATCTGCTTAAACAATTCACTCATGAATTTCACTGCAAGGCTGCAAGAAGATCCATCCAAAAAACAATCACACTTTGAAAATACTTAGGAAAAATGCTTGACCATAAGATAAATTTTATATTTCCCAGATAATGCCTGGGTACTAAACAATTATTTTTCAAAAATGTAAAAATATAAACACAATTGAGTAATTACAACTTCCATTCATTGCAAAGAAGGGGAAGGTCACAGTGCATGAAATAAAAGAATGTAAGTGTGCATGACAAAATGTTCTAGGTTGATAGCTCAAGAAAGTTCTCTCTAAGATAGAAACATTTAAGCAGAAATTTGAGCAATAAGTAGAGCTTAATTATGAGAAGTATAGTAGAAGCATGATTCTTCTGCCTAACAGAATAAAGGAAGAGGTTGGGTTAAGAAATGACCTGATCTACTCTAAGAAATGATCAAGGCCAACATGGTAGTTACCTAGACCCCAAGGAATAAAGCCCTGTCAGAAGCTAGAGACCTGGTAGGTTCTAAGATTCAGTCATACGGGCCTTTCAGGCCATGTGGTTAGTTAATTATTTTTTTTGTTTGTAATATATTTAAAGATTTTTTAAAAGACATAGTGTCTTACAGTTTTACTACAGTGTGTCTAGATGTGTGGATTTATTTGAGTTAATTGCCTTTGGCTCTCACTGGACTTTTAAAATGAAAGAGAGATGCTAATCTTAAAGCCAGCACAATTCTCAGCAATTGCCCTCAATAATAGCTTCTCTGCCATTGTGTCTATGCTCTTTCTCAAAAACACCTATTGATTGTTTGACGGAGTTTCTCAATCGCCCATCCAGGGATTTATACTTGGCTTCTATTCTATTCTTTTACTGTTTCTCTTTGCTAACTTAGAGTGAATTCTTGAGTATAACTAATTGATCAATTTTCTTTGACTATTACTAGATCAGAGCATATCTAATTTAGGAAGTCTGAGTTTTCACTTTTGTTTTTTCCTGTGGCAATCATAGTATCTTCCTTTACAAGGAATTTAATTTGGTTCATTTACAGTTTTTAGTATATCACGCCTGTAATCCCAGCACTTTGGGAGGCTGAGTCAGGTGGATCACGAGGTCAAGAGATTGAGACAATCCTGGCCAAAGTGGTGAAACCCCATCTCTACTAAAAATACAAAAATTAGCTGTGCATGATGGCATGCTCTTGTAGTCCCAGCTACTAAGGAGGCTGAGGCAGGAGAATCGCTTGAACCTGGGAGGCGGAGCTTGCAGTGAGCCCAGATCGCGCCGCTGCACTCCAGCCTGGGCTACAGAGCGAGACTCAGTCTCAAAAAAAAAAAAAAAAAAAAAAAGAAAGAAAGAAAAAAAGAAAAAGAAAAATTTTCATCCAGGGTGTGGTGGCATGCCTATAGTCCTAGGTACTCAGGAAGCTGAGGCTGGGAGATGTCTTGAAGCCAGGGGTTTGACGTACACGAGCTATGATGATGATATCTGTGGATATCCACTGTACTCCAGCCTGTGCAACATAGTGAGACCTCATCTCTTGAAAACAAAAAAGCCATATATATATATGTACATTTTATTGTTGTAATGATCTGTCAGTTACTTTATTTAATAAGTAAAAACCATTATTTTCTCTCACTTTCTTTGAAACCTTTGTCAGCTTATTATTCACTATAATAGGTTTTGGTTTCCACATTGGGTGGGTGGGGGTGGGGGGGTGTTACTTTTTAAGATCTGTGATCACTTCTTCCCAACCCATTATTTTATAGTTGCTTTCCCCAGTCCTGGGCCCCTCAACTTTGGGCTGTTGTTCAGAGGAAACTAGGGAGAGATCATCCCTCAAGTAGCCTAGCCCGATACAAAGTTGAATGGTTATCATTTTTCCTCTCACTATCACAGGGGAGCAGTAGCTATAAAAGTCACAGCCATAGGGCTCAGTTTCTGATGGTTTATAGTCTTTGTTTCTGGGTGCAGAAGGGCCAATTCAGTGAGTAGTTTAGCGCTGTGAGCCTCGTTTTGATTTCCTGCAGTGCATGGCCACTCGTCCACCAGAAATAAAACTCAACACCTATTCCTAGAAGTGAAATTAAGCAGACTCATAGTTTTAGCTTTTGTTTCCTAACAGTAACTTGAAAAGTTTATCTGGTTTTTGAGTATGCCCATAGTCACAAATATAATATAATATGAATTGAAATCATTTTATGTTAGAGAATACTTAATCCAAATTACATTTTTGAAAAGATCACTCCTGCAGCTATGTCCAGAATGTATTGGTGGTGCTGAAAGTGAAAGCAATAATGAAAGTATGGGAAAAGAGAGATAACCACAATGACGTATTTGGACATAAAGAATTAAAATAATAATGTGAACCATGTCAAGTGTAACTTACCTCACAGTTTAAAGTGACAGTACTCATTACAAGATTATTCATTATTAATAGAAATAACAACTAACATAAGGGAAATCCATACCCTTTAATTAATTCCTCTCATTTTTATTCATCTGTTTTTAGGCTTCAACACAGATCACAACTATCTTCATTTTTCACCCTCCCTTTATAGAGTTTCATGTTTATGTTGATTTATTTCATTTTTATATTCTCTGACTTTTTTGTCTTTAGGTTAATAATTAATCATATTGTTGTGTCATACAAGTCTTTTCTTATTTTCTCAAAAGCAGAATAATGTGTCCAATTTTATTCCAGTAATAACATTTCTGCCATTAAATAGAATTTAAAATACGTTCTGTCTGTAAACCGCAATGTTGCTGAGTATAAAACAAAATTCAAAACAAAAGGGAAATGAAACTATAGATGAGTCTAAGGAAATTCGATGACCTCCTTGAATTTCCTTTTGCCTTTAAAGATTTAATACTCATATTCATCACTATAGCTCAGATATTTTGCCTGTACATAGAAAAATAAACCATCTTGCTTTTTAAACTTATATTTCCTTTAAACAATCCAAAAACAAAAGGTAAAAGAGCTGCACTGTGACATATATTTTTTATGAAAACAATAGTTTTCTCAATTGACGTTATTACTCAGTCATTTAGACTGTTCAAGGCAATGAAGATATTGAAAATGTCCAAAATTAAAGAGAAATAGGAGGAGCCTGAAAAAACTGGCATACACGGTTTTCAGGAAAACATCCTGCAAGCATAATCTAGATCTCACTGCCACGGTCATGGTTATTTAAAGAGTGTCATTACATATACCCTCAAAAAGCACTGGAATAGTATAGCATGATAAACATCTCACAGGTCACCAGAGTAACCTTAATCAATTTACCAAAGAAAGTAGCTTTTCAATGAAGAGTTTTTAAGACATTTAAAAATTCTTAGCTGAAAAATCAATACTACTTTTTATAATTGTTCTATGAGGTGGTTAAAATTATAATTATTCTGGACGTGCAATACTAACTATAAATTATCTAAATGCCATGACACATGTGTGAAAAAAATTTTTGTATAATATTTCATTTAGAGATAGAAATATTTACTCAAATATTTTAAAGTCTACAGTTATCTCAAAATTTACAAAATTGTAAGTTAATTTGTAATTGACTCTCCTCCTGTTCCCCTCTCCATTTCACCTTGCATTTCTACGTCTTTTTCAATATGGTCATTTTCGTTGGGACAAAGAGACAGATATTTATATTCTCTTTACGGTAACAACTTTGCTTGTTACTCTGCCCTCCTACCTTCTTGATGGCATTTGCCAAGGCTTAACACAGAGCTTTTCTATTTGTACATCTGCCCTTCACCGAACATAAACCATGTGTGGCAATCTCAGATCAAAAACCTACTGCTGGTAGTGGAAAACTTTGCTGATTGTAATTGAACTTCCTTCTTCCCAGGAACTGTACAACCCGCCCCCAACAACCAAGCTCAGGAGGAACTTTAAATTTCAAAGTTAAGGGAGAATTTTCTGTGTGTACATGGCTATGCTGAATATATCTGAAATTCTTGCTATTTTGTCAAGTTACGTTCCTGTAGTTCTTTTTTTTATTTGAATGATAATTTATAATTTCTTTAATGGCATATAATTTATTCTTTTCTGACAAATGGGCTTTTTTCTTAATAATTAGTGTACATTTCATAATTCTTTTATTTTTCTCCTACTCATTTTTTCCCCTTTTAAAACTGCACTTAAATTTACAGGAGTTATGCTTAAAAGAAAGATAAGTTATTTCTTCCTTTTCATTGAACTAGTTCTCTATAATTATTTCACTTCATTCATATTTATTTACATGTGATATATTTTTATTTCCACTAATTAAAATGCAGGAAATTACAAAGATTAATATCAAAGCATGAATGCACCACTGGAATTGACCAATAATTTTGTGATGTTTATTACAGCTATATTTTAAAAATAAACATAGGATTGCAAATACAGATGAAGTGCTCTAGAAATCTATCCAGAGAGAGACAATAAATATTACAAGTTGTTTACATTAGGCAATAATTTTCTACATATTGTGATAAGTAGAATAATGTTCCCACCCCAAAATGTCAGACCCAAACCCATAGAATCTATGGATAGATCCTGTTACATGGTAAAGGTGAATTAAAGATGTAGATGGAAATAAGTTTTCTAATTAGATGATTAGCTTAAAATAGGAAGATTATCTTCGGGTTATCCTAGCGTCCTAGTGGGCCCACTGCAATCACACGTGTCCTTTAAAGCAAGAGTGAGGCAGAAGAGGAGTTAGATAGAGGTTTTTTTGAAGATGCTGTGCTGCAGGCTTTAAAGATGGAGGAAAAGACCATAAGCCAAGAATATTGGCAGCCTTTAGAAGCTTGAAAAGGCAAGGAATTGAATTCTCTCTTAGGGGTTCCAGCAAGGAATGCAGCTTTGCCAACACTGATTTAAGGACAATGAGATTTCTAACCTATAGAACTATTGTAGTATATTTGTGTTGTTTTAATCCACTAAGTTTGTGCTAATGTTTTATAGCAGCACCACTAGGAAGCTAAAACTAATACACATCCACTATAAAGGTATGTTTTCAAAAACCATTAATTGTATTTTTATATAATTAGATTTTACAGTTTATCTATTTCCTTTACCTACAAATCACACTGCCTGATTATATTCACTAGTCTTGTCTTTAGTTGCTTTCATGAGACTGAGTATGACCAATATGATGTGAGTAAAAGCAACCTACACCACCTAAGATGAAGCCTATTGAAAAGATCACAGAAAATCCTCTACACTCTCTGTCCAACATTTACTGACTGAATACAGAGGAGTAGGAGATCCTAAAAGCTGGAGAACCCCATGATCAAAGGGGGCTTGATACCTGAATGACTGTATGGAACACAGCCCTTACTCTTTTTTTTACTGCTCACATGTAACAGTCAGCTGTGACATGACCAAAATTATAAGATAAGTTGCTGACATTTCACATTGTTTAATCCTTGTTACTCTTTCTCCTACCTTCTCAAAGGCAGTTCCCTAGTCAGCATGACTTGAAAAGCACAATATCTAATTCTAACTAAATTTTTGAGATTTTCTTTCCATACAACACTGTATTTGATACTTGATGAGGCTATATAAACATTTAATTACTTATTTCAATTACTAGCAAGACATCATTGTAATAATAAACTATGATGTAATATATTTATCCATTTTAGTAGTAGTTTTGGGAAGATATACACACAAACACACATATATGATATATAGATACATAGTAACTGTAGTTTGGAAATATACATACACACAAAAAAAGAGAGATAGACATGTATGAAATAGTTTGGGTATATATATACATACATATAGAACAACTTTGCAAATTCTGAAACAACCACACTATAACCAACAATATATCCCAAAACTAATAATATGGATAAATAATTTTTAAAAGTTGGTAATAATACAGCTTTTTGGAGATTTTGCCAAATTGCTCTCTGATTTTTTCTTAAATACTATCAAAACTGAAATCACTACCAACAATGTAAAGGAGCTCAAGTTGTACCTATCCTTGTAATCATAAGGTACTGCCAAAAAATAATAACATACATATAAAATATAAAGTTTCATCCCCAGTTTGTTTTTAATTGCCATGACTATTAGATTAGCAGGGTGGGGTTATTTTGGCATTTTATTGCCTTTGTAGATCTCATTGCTCTCGATTGCCTGTTAGAATTTTGTGAAAACATTTTTAAAATCTCAGTTTAATTGTCACTCATTGTTCTGAACTTAGTCATATGGCTACACTTGATTCAAAGTGGGAAATTGACATTTAACTTGTATTTTTCTCCCCCAAATAAAAACTAAGCCATATTACAGTGAGAAAAGGATAAGGGGGAGATTGGACGAATAGTAGTGGTCTCTATCTTCACCCATTTTTATAAATTTAAGTTGTCTATAAGTTTTAAAAGTAGATGCAGATATATGGAGAGTTGCCTCCAAATTTATGTTTTAGCTCATTAAAAAAAACTGCTTTCTTCTATCCTATTTTAAGATACTTGCTCTAACATTTTTATAAATGCATTGCATTTTTTAATTTAAAAGTAACATTTATTCTTCTGATTCAGAAATTTACTCTACTTGGGGTTTTTGTTCATGATGGATATGAAGGAAAAATCTATCTTTTAAAATATGGATAACATGTTGTTTAATCACCATTTATTAGTTCTTTCCTTCTCAGTTTTATTTTTTAAAATTTATCTAACAAATACTATATTAATTTGCATTTGATTTAAAAAATAATGATTTTATATAACTATTAGGGTTTACGTGAGTGTTAGAAGACTTGGGGAGTGAAGTTTGGGGAGACTCAAAGAAGTCAGGGAAGCTACATCGGGCCAGTTAAGGAAACAGATACTAGACACTTTTATTAAAAGATTCTCAGTTGTAGTTCTCCTAATGTCAGTAGGAACCTGCAAGCAATTCTTAGGATTCTTTGTTTCCATCAACAATCTCAAGCTACAGCTTAAAAGTTATTTGCAAATCACTGTCAAGAAGCTACTATGAATCACAAGTCTGCACATTCCAGATATCTCTAGCCTCATCTGCTTGGTATGGAATCTGAATCTCATCCCAGAATAGCAGAAGGAAGGGAATTCTAGGAAATACTTCTAGGAAATATGGTATCAGCTTTTTCTCTTTTCTGCAGTTCAGAAGGAGGACAATAGAAGTGAGAAGAGGGTTGTTTAAAGCCGAAAATTCAACATAAATGCCATGTTTCCACTTCTGATATATACGGATGTTGTATATCTTTATACATTATATATTTGTATATATATAATATGTAAGTATATATATATAATTATATCTATAGTATATATAAATATATATAATATGTAATTATATATATATAATATGTAATTATATATATATATATAATATTACATATATAATATTAACCTTTAGACCTTGACTTGGGCAAGGCTTCTTGAACTATGAAATCTTTCTAGTTACCTCTGGAGAACAGCCCCAAGTTGTGGGGCTCAGAGTTGAGGGAAGACAACCACATGTAAAAAAATGTGAATATTTTCTTGATGGTATTGAGATAAAGATGTGAATCCAGAAGAACTGTCATAGAAAAGGCTACATTTAAATGTTGCTGGTTTTGAAGATGGAGGGAGCGGGCAATGGGTCAAGGTATGTGGGAGAAAATGTTCAAGAAACAGAAAAGAATAAGAAAATGGATTTTCCCATAGAGATCCAGAAAGAAACACAGTGATTTTGACACTTTCCTTTTTGGCCAAAGATACTGTTGCCGTTTTTATAACCTATAGAATTGTAAGATAATAAATTTGTATTGTTAAAGCCACGAAGTTTGTGGTAATCAATTACAGAAGCAATGAAGAAGATTTAATATTTTTATGACTCCATTTTTGAAAAATGGATAATTTATATGGTTATTCATATATTTTATATTTCTGGCAGCAGTACTTTTTTTTTCTACAAAAAGAGTTTAGCTCATCTTTTGAAAATATTTATTCTCAGATAATTTTTTTTTTTTTTTGAGACAGAGTTTCGCTCTTGTTGCCCAGGCTGGAATGCAATGGCCCAATCTCAGCTCACCGCAACCTCCGCCTCCTGGGTTCAAGCGATTCTCCTGCCTCAGCCTCCCAAGTAGCTGCAATTGTAGGCATGCACAACCATGCCTGGCTAATTTTGTATTTTTAGTAGGGTCAGGGTTTCTCCATGTTGGTCAGGCTGGTCTCAAACTCCCTACCTTAGGTGATCCACCCACCTCGGCCTCCCAAAGTTCTGGGACTACAGGCGTGAGCCACTGCGCCCAACCTATTCTCAGATAATTTAATATTTTGTTACTACTCCTAACTTGCTATTGGTGATCGATATACAGACTATTGCATTTAAATGAACATTATTTTTTATTCAGACACATTGCTGAGCTTCCATAATGGTTCTAACAGTGAATAAACTATGAAAGACACTTTGTCTAGACCAATATTTCCTCACCTACTTACAATATTTTGTTTTTTAAATTTCAGACTCTGTATAGACAAAAAAGACTCTCTAGAATTCCTGATGAAATAAAAATGAGACCACTAACTAGTGTGTATTAACAGTACAAGCACTCATTGGAAGATCCTTATGTGGTTAAAGATTCTTCCTTAAATTCTTAGTTTGTAAATATATATATATATATATATATATATATATCCTTAAGTTTTGTTAATTTTAGTTAAATTATTACCTATATTAGTTCACAAAATAATATTTTGTGATTTTCTTTCTTAAACTTTCAGTGTAGTGAGTAACATATATAATTTTTATACTTCAAGTCTTGATGAAAAAAATAATAGTTATTGTTTATTATTTTGCACCTGTTTCTTAATTCAAGTTACTTATATTTATTTGAGAAGTTTGCATACTTGTGCATGAGATAGATGTATGCATTATACTTTTGTGTACCAGAACATATGGATATGATAAATTCTGAATTTTGTAAAACAACTGTTACAAGCATATTGCTGACATTTAATGAAACTATTTTTAAAAATTTTAATGTTGTTTAGAACAAAATGTATAAAGCTAAAAAAAACAATTATTTAGTTTTATTTTCCCTCTCTTCTGCTCTTGTTGCATGTACTCTCATACCCATTCAGTATGAATTGAATGGAGCTAGATTATCACATAGCATGCACTTACTGAGGTTTTGCAGTCTTCCTTTCCTTGCAAAGAGTCATGCAAAACAGATACGCAATCAGTGTACCTGTATTTCTTCAATATTTCAGAAAACCTTGAACTCAAAATGTTAACAGTGACAAATCTTAGACAGTTGCATATATTCACATCTCACTATTATACATAAAGAAAGCTAGCTCTCTAAGGAACATATTTGTTTGAATTCTGTAATGTAAGATCTGACAACACAGATTTGCTACTTGGCTTATAGATGCTATTAAACACTCCAATCTGGCAAATGTATACTCAGAGAGATTATTCTCAGAGCAGGGCAGATAGTGTCATAATGGATATTCTTTAAGACAAATCCAACAGCCTAGATAGAGGGAAATGTGTAAAAATATTTTCAACATCAATCTCAATTCAAAACTCACTTCAAAACTTAGTGAATGGAAGTTCAGTGGAAATTACATTAATGGGATGACAAATAGAATTTTTTTTGTGTTATCCTTTTTGCCTAATTTATCATATCTTTTGACTTAACATATATAATGCTTTCAATGCTACCACATTGAAATAGCTGCACAGAGGATCATCAGAGCATATTAGTATTGATTTTATTATTTGAAATTAGTGTCGACAAAGAGTCAAACGCTGTAAAATATTTTAAGAGATTTATTCTAAGCCAAATATGAGTGACCATGGCTCACGACACAGCTCTCAGGAGGTCCTGAGAACATGTGCCCAAAGTGGTCGGGGTGCAGCTTGGTTTTATAGATTTTTAAGGAGGCATGAGACAATGAAACATCAATCAAATACATTTAAGGAATACAATGGTTTGTTTCAGAAAGGCGGGACAACTTGAAAGTGGGTAGGCTCCCAGGCTATGGGTAAATTTATACAGTTTGTGGTTGAAAACTGGTTGAGTTTTTGTCTGAGAACCTGAGATCAATAGAAAGAAAATGTTCAGGTTAAGATAAAAATTGTGGAGACCAAGGATCTTTTGAAGTCTCATAATGACTGCCCTTAGAAACAAGAGATGACAAATGTTTCCTATTCAGACCCTGTCAAAGGTGCTAGACTCTCAGTTAATCTATTCAGAACTGGAGGGGCCTGGAAGGAAAAGATCTGGCTACCTTAGTAGGGATTCTTTACAGATGTGAATTTTCCCCCGCAAAGGATGGCTTGCAGGACCATTTCAAAATATGACCAAAAAAACACATGTTTTGGGGGTGAAATATTTTCATTTTATTCCTCATCTTGTAATGTTATGCCAGAGTCAGGTTGGGAAAGAAGTCATGATATATAGGGTTAAATAAAACCTATCTGATGAAAATTTATTGTTTGTAGGGCATGACTCCCAAGACCTCTTAGATGGGAATTTGGGTGAGATAAAAAAAAAATCAGAGTTTAGGCCTAATTAGGAATAGAAAGACTGGATTACCTTGACTACTTAGTATATCTAACATTTTTTTTTGTAAGCTGGACTATGGATCACATAGCAATTTTTGATTTAATATAAAGTCAATTAAAATCAAGACAATCTTCCATTTGATTGGAGTAATTTGGCAGCAGATTCAAAGTTAGAGTAGCCATTTTCTATGTTGCTTTGCATACTAAGAAATATTAATTGTTACCAATGGTATTTTATTTCTTTTCAATATTTCTAATGGCTGATACCAATCCATATTTTGCAAACATATGTATCTACAAGGCCTTCATAATGAAATTTGAGCCATTCAATTTTTTCTTCTCTTCTATTTTGTGTAAATAATTATCATTATCTGTTCCATTGAGTCAGAAAATAAATCCGAAAGGTCACGTGGTATTGCATATGGGACAAGTAAGCAAGCAGAAAAACAAACTAATACGTAAAATGGAAAGGCCAGGTGCTTAATTGCCTTAAGTGGTTTCTTTTTCTATTTATTTCAAATAAATGTACGAGGAAGTGTGCATCTGTGTTTGCAAAGAAATACGTTATAAATGGATATTTACATTTTAATTTCTAAATTTAAATTAACAGAGCAAAGGAAATTGTTCATGTTTATTCTAACTTTAATCATGTTATTCTTTTCTTGCTCTAGGTCTGTTTAAAATTATTCATTTAACAACATTTTTTAAGTGGCAAGTGCTAGCCCAGCACTTGGGAGAGATACATCAGTGAACAAAACAGACGAGATCCATGTCTGCAGAGAGATTTTATTATATAATAGTATGTGGGGCCAGGCACAGTGGCTCACGCCTGTAATCTCAGCACTTTGGCAGGCTGAGGCGGGCAGTTCACTTGAGGTCAGGAGTTTGAGACCAGCCTGGCCAACATGATGAAACCCCGTCTCTACTAAAAATACAAAAATTAGCTGCGCCTAGTGGCGCATGCCTGTAGTTCCAGTTACTCCGGAGGCTGAGGCAGGAGAATCGCTTGAACCGGGGAGGCAGAGGTTGCAGTGAGCCGCGATGGCGCCACTGCACTCCAGCCTGGGCAACTGAGTGAGACTCTGCCTCAAAAAAAAAAAAAAAAAAAAAAAAAAAAGGATGTGGGAAAAATAAAGACAAGCAAATATGGTAAGTAATTAAGTTATGTATACATTATAAAACAACAAACATTTTTAAAAAAGCAAAAGAAGAGGGCTGCAGGAAATTGGGAGGGGAGGGATTGGTTTGCTGTGTTAGCTGGGTTGTTCAGGATAGCATTAAGAAGTTGACAAAGATTCAAGAAGATGAAGGTATTAATTAAGGAGATGTTTCAAAAAACATTCCAGGCAGATGGAATATCTTGTGCAAAATCACTGAGAGAAACATACCTGGCCAATTCACAGAACAGGAAGTGGGCCAAGGTCGTTGTTGAAGGTGGACAAAATGAAGATGGCTCACGCCTGTAATCCCGGCACTTTGGGAGGATCCCCTGAGGTCAGGAGTTCAAGACCAGCCTGACCAACACTGTGAAACCTCACCTCTACTAAAAATACAAAATTAGCCGGGTGTGGTAGCACATACCTGTAATCCCAGCTACCTGGGAGCCTGAGGCAGGAGGATTGCTTGAACCTGGGAGGCGGAGGTTGTGGTGAGCCAAGATCGCCCCATTGTACTCCAGCCTGGGCAACTCCGTCTCAAAAAAAAAAAAAAAAAAAAAAAAAAAGAAGAAGAAAATGAGGTTAACTGGTAAACAGAGCACAGAATATGGGGTCTTTACAGATAAGTGTAAGAACTTTAGGTTTTATGAAATTAAATGGGAAGTCTTCGCAAGGTACTAAGCAGAGAATACCATTAACAGAATGCTGCACTAATCTAGGGGAAATGTGATGAGGTGTAGCATTGGGGAGAATGAGAATTCTTCAGTATCTGGATAAATTTTGAAGAAAATATTTCTGGGGATTGAAGTGTGAAGTGGCAGAGAAAAAGAAGAGTAAAGAATTATTTCAAATTTTTGTCCTGAGCAACTGGGAAGACGGATTTGGCAGAAATTTAATGGGGAATAAATAGATGGTAATTGAGATCATGAGACCACAGCCCTGAGGACATGAGATGACACAGGAGTGACTGTAGAAGAGAAAAGTAGATCAACGCTTCACTTTGGATCTTTCCAACATTAAAAACATTAAAGAGAAGCAAAGACACCCGCAAAGGACACAAAAAAGGACAAGGCAGTGACATAAGAGGAAAGCCAAAATATGTTGCTGTCCTAAAAGCCAATGAAAGTGTTTTAGGAAGGAGGGAGTGATCACCTGTGCTCAAATCAGCAAATAGGTTACCTAAGACGAGACTGAGAAATCAGTGAATTCAGCAGTTGGAGGTTATTAGTGATGCAGTGAGGGAAAAACATCTGTTGGATATAAAAGAAAGAAGTAGACTGAACAAATATGACCTTTCCTTTTTGGCCGTTTGGTACAAAGAAATAGGAGAGAAGCTAGAAAGAAAAGTTGATCAAGATTATATATACATAGGCCAGGCGCGGTGGCTCACACTTGTAATCCCAGCACTTCGGGAGGCCGAGGCGGGCGGATCACGAGGTCAAGAGATCGAGATCAACCTGGCCAACATGGTGAAACCCCATCTCTACTAAAAATACAAAAAAAATTAGCCGGACATGGCGGTGGCCGCCTGCAGTCCCAGCGCCGCTGCGGAGTCTGAGGCAGGAGAATGGCGTGAACCCGGCAGGCGGAGCTTGCAGTGAGCCGAGATCGCGCCACTACACTCCAGACTGGGTGACAGAGCAAGACTCCGTCTCAAAAGAAAAACAAAACAAAACAAAACAAAAATTTACACTCCAGACTGGGTGACAGAGCAAGACTCCGTCTCAAAACAAAAACAAAACTAAACAAAACAAAAATTTATATATATATATAAAAATATGGGACAAATAAAACCATGTTTTTATGCTAACAAGCTTGATTTCGTACAGAGCAAAATATTGATAGTTAATCTGTGGGTATATTTGGCAACTGAATTTTTGTTCTAACTCAGGCAGTTTCGTAGGTGAAGTTGCAAATGCCATTCGTTAAGAAAAGGAAGAGGAGGTTCAGGGGATTGATAAGCGAGAAGTTGTGAAATAGACATCCGGGAGCATCGGGGAGTCTTTGTGTTGAAGAAAGTCCATAGGATTGACTGGTAGCCTTAAGGGCCCACTTGAGGTTTGTGGTCCTCTGTTTATTGTGGGACCAGCCATACATGCAAAGTAGAATGTGTCTGCATTCAGCCTTACCTGCTGCATAGATATGGGCATGGAGTAGGCAGATAATTGTATTTAACTAGGGTTGAAGTTTTGCACAGCAGAAATAAGGAAGTAAACAGGGGCTGAGTAAACAAGTGTGCAGTGAGGACAGTAATTATACTGACTGACAATGGCATTTAATCTGGGAAAGAAGAGGAATGAGGATATCAGTGAGGCTGGGGATGCAGGAAGGAGGTAGGAAGGATGAAGAACAGCAAAGGTCAGCAAGCTATGGCTTGCAGATGCATTCAGCCTATCAACCGAATTAGTAAATAATGCATAATTGACACAGTCATGCTCTTTTGTTTAAGCACTGTGTGTAATTATTCTTACTCTACAATGGCAAAGGCCACATTACCCAAAGAGACTGAAATGTTTGCTACCTGGACCCAGGTCCCACATTATGATTTTTGTGAACCCCAGTACTTTTAAATTTCTTAGCCCTTCTCTCTCTCTCTGTAATGATTTATAGATATACAGATATAGCTATATATCTACAGGTATATATAGAGATAGATATCTATTGGTCTATATAGATAGATGATTTTTAGCTCTCTCTGCTCTCTGCTTCCATGGAATAGCTCTCTGTCTCAGTAAAATATATTATTTATATTTATGTATTTATAATATCTATCTATCTATCATCCGTCTATCTATCTACCTATCTATGTTTCTGAGAGCCTCTGCTTACTGGGCCTCATGGATAAGTCTAGTCATTTATAGAAAATGTTTGCCAACCCAAAACCCTAGAAGAGATGTTCAATTATATACATATATATGTGTTAAATATACACATATATATATATTTAACACATACATATGTATATAATTGGAACCAGGGTTCTAGAGAAAATAAGCAGAAAACATAGAAACTGATGGAGGAGCATGAATGAAATAAAAATTTTTAAGGTTTAAAAGAATGATTTTCTACCTATAGCACTATTTGCTTGAACGATATCAAAACGGAATTATGCATTTTACTACAACTGGCTCTGACCAACTGTGATGCTAAAGAGCTATGAACTTCCATCATGTCTGCTCCGTTCTATTTGCCAAAATGGGTCACAAATCCAGCCGTGATTCAAGACATAGAGAAGCAGATTCTATGTCTTTAGGGAGAAGAACTGAAGAATTGCGTTGCTCAGAATGCAGAAACAGAGAGCAGTGACTGTTGAGGGATTTTCTTTTGCCCCATATTTCTTCTCCAGCTTGACTTTCAAGCAAGGTTGCTCTAGGAATTCTGGTAATTATCCCGAAAGTATTATTTCTTGAGAATTCCTTAGGGAAAACAACCAAGCCAGATAATTCTGCAGTTAGGATCACTATTGACAATTCTCAACCGCATATCATATGGCCAACCAATTTTTAATACCCTATTTTGAATATGAACACATAACTAAGAATTGCCAGACATCTCAATCTAAGAAATGTCCACAGAACAATAACAACAAAAAAAATAGAAACAAGCAATTTTGATAAAAATTATTATGCAGGGAAAAGAAACCTTTAAAAAATGCCAACAACTTTGTATATATTACTAATAAAGTATGCATATTTATATATAATCACATATATTTAATATCCATAATATACCTTTGTGTACACATATACACATAAAATAGTGTCACAGTAAATGCAATTCTTGGAATATATCTGTTTCAAAATTAACCCTAATTACCTCCTCAGAACTTCAGTATCATGATTTTTAAGTTGAATTCCCCACAAATGCTTTGTTAGGCATTGAGGGGGTGATCTTAGTCTTTTTAGCTCGGTATACTGTGCTTCCCACACTTATCCTTCCCCTTGCTATGAGATAAATTATGAGAAATTTACGTTAAATTCAAAGGAACTATTAATATTTTAAGGGAAAGAATTCATGGCCTAGACCTAATCACATAGTGAGTGTGGTAAAGAAAACTAACAGATCTTAGAAAGTTTTTCCCTGCGGAATCCAACATGAGTCTACTCACGCAGTAACTGGAGTAGAAGAAAAATATTAAACGTGCTGAATTTTCGACAGGACAAAATAAATGAAACATACAAAAACTGCAGATTTGAAACTTGGGGTACACAAATGTAATTCACTGTTTTCTCAAAACCATAATAGGAAAAACTATGGTTGCCCAAAGCACTGCTGGCCAGAGATTCTTATGCATGTAAATTAGAATTGATTATTCTTTCCGATAAGTGAGTGGAAGGCTTGTGGGCCTGAGTTAATGAGGGATGTTCTCTGAATAAGTAAAATTTCGGCTGAGTGCTTACAGAAGACAGGAATCTGGAATGGAAAAGATGCACGGATTATTTTCTTCCAAATGTCAAGGACGATTTAAGTAAAGGAACAGAGGTGGGAGAAGGCACAATATGTGAAATGAATGAAAACTAGATTTGTCTAGGTATAATATAAGGTGTAGGCAGGAAAGTTTTAGAATCCAGCTTGTAGTGGTTAGATGAGTGAGCAGAAAATAATGCTGCAAGGATTTGTTCTTGACCTTCATGAAGGCATATGGCACCTACCTGCATATATTTTAGGAAATAATGAACTAATATTCATGACAATAATGATATTTTATATTGTACAGTGCTTCTAAATATATAACATGTGAAAATATGGACCTTTAGTTGACTATGAAACTTATAGCAATCCTGTAGTATACAAAAGTCAGATGTTTTTAAATTCACTTGCATACTCATTTAATTAGTTCTCCTAACATTTACTGAGCATCTTGTATGTACCACGCCCCATTTTATGCTCTGGAAAAAAGAGCATGAATGAGGCACCCCTCTTATTTAAAAGAACAGTAGATTGAAAAGTAAAACAATCTTTGGTGAGAGGCAAACATACAAACAATTTTCTGTGTTCTAGGAGCCTAACATATTTTGCTGAATGCATGGGTAAACATATAAGCTAAAATTTTAATTTTCACCATTTTAAATTGACATTCTATAATTCAAAGCATGCTATATACATAATATCCAAAAATCTCCACGATATCCCAGTAAATGATGGGAAGATTACAACATAGATAGCACAACCTATCTGCAGGAATAATTTCTTATTTTAGCTGTGCATATAGTTATAGCCTTCCTGTCAATTATCTTATAAGATGCTTAAAAGAGGGGCTTAATGTTTGAGTATTATTAATTATTACTTCTGGAGGGGATGATAATATCTTGCAGAAGACAAGACTTAATAAACTTAAAATGTCATTGAATTTAGCAGATGGCTTTGCTAGTGATATATTAAAAGGTACTGTTTAAATGACGATATTTAACATTTTATTTGTATTCAAGATTTAAAAAATAAGGCAATACACACATAGAAAATTAACCAGACAAAAATAAACTAATTTGAATCAGATCATTGTTCATTTGAAAATGGAAAAGTAGAGAATATTCAAGCTGCAACATATAAACTATACAGACAGGTTTATATTTAGACTGCCATGTTTAGAAATGCTGTTAATTTTATTTATACTTTTATTCGATTTCAGAATTTGTAAAAGAGGTTTTCACATTACATTTAGTTCTCAAATGTATTGTCTCTGTAGAGCAGGGGAGTAAATTAGGAACAGGATTCACTGAATTACAAATGAGTAGAGTTCTGTAGATTTGGAGATTTACTATAATGTAAAATGTTAGACATGGACCTCTGAGCCGCAAAAGTCTTCTTGACTTCAAAGGTAAGTACTTACAAAATCTTAATCATTTTGTTCTTTTTGGCTCTGTACATACTGAAATATGGCGATTTCGGCACAGTAGTAAGTAACTCAGATGATTCAGTGTTAGGATACCTTCTCTGAAGATAAAGACCTGACCGTGAGAACAGTTCTCTATGATACACTTTACTGAATTAACCTTAACAAATACAGGGTTCCAGATCATTCCTGGAATCAATCTCCAAGTAATGCATGCATATGCCAGGGAAATCATTGTGTGGTTCTAGATCTTCATCTGAGCTGTGGATATGGCGAATTAGTCAAAGCTATTCCAATAATGCTTAGATTTATCTTTCTTAATCCTGGAAAGCCTACGACGCCTGCGCCATGCTCTTGTACCCAGCCATTCTTCTATTGTTTTCTCAATGCCGTATAACTAACAAAATGAGGAGGATGTCTCCAGGCCCTACCCTCTTGTAAAATGAATGAAAGAAGGGTATCACAAAACAGTCTGAAAACAGCATAGTACTGTCAGAGGCATTTGAACCAGAGCAATTCCATCTTGATGAGGGCTGGGTGAAATAAGGCTGAGACCTACTGGGCTGCATTCCCAGGTTAGGCATTCTTAGTGACAGGATGAGACAGGAGGTCTGTACAGGTCGTAGAGACCTTGATGATAAAACAAATTGCAATAAAGAAGCCGGTGAAAACCCACCAAAACCAAGATGGCGACAAGAGTATCCTCCTCACTGACCCCAAGAGTGGGTCGTCCTCACTGCTCATTATGCACTAATTACAATGTGTCCACATTAAAAGACACTCCCACAAGCACCATGACAGGTTACAGATCCCATTGCAATGTCCGGAAGTTACCCTATATGGTCTAAACTGGGAAAGAATCCTCATTCGGGGAATTGCCTACCTCTTTCCCAGAAAACATGAATAATCCACCCCTTGTTTAGCATATAATCAAGAAATAGCTATAAGTATCATGTAGCCAGCAGCTCAAGCCACTGCTCTGTCCATGAAGTAGCCATTTTTTTAGACTTCTACTCTCTTATAAACTTGTTTTCACTTTACTCTATGAATTAACCCCAAATTCTCCCTTGCTCAACATCCAAGGACCCTCTCTTCGGGTCTGGATCAAGACCTCTTTCCAGTAACAGTGCTAGAAACAACACAAATCCCTGAGAACATAAACACATTGAAAATACTTATTATATGCCTGTCATGTTATATTTTTTACATACATCTTATCATTTTATGCTCACAACTCTATATAAACAGCCTTCTTATTATCTCACTTTTAAAGATGAGAAAACCCAAGTTTACAAAGCTCAAGTACAGTCCAAAATCACACTTAGAGTAAATGACAAAGAATTAAACACAAACTTGTTGAAGTTCAAAACACACTGTAATAGGGAAAATAGAACACAATATCCATTTTACCTATACTCAAAGAAAACTACATAATAAATTATTATCTAATAGTTATACTTTGCTCTTTTTGAAAGCTGTACCCTATCACTTTAGTTCACTTGGTGCTTTTGATAAATATCAGAATTTCTCCATCCTGGATATAGTGACATTAGGGATTATATTTATTTTTAAGCTTTAAGAAATACTTCATAAACATTTTAGAAAGGGTCAAAAATTGCCTTGTGAAAATTATAAGAAACTTATAAAATATGTAAACAGAATTCTTCCCTAAAACACATATATTTCTATATGCATAAAACCTTGAAAATATATATAGTATATATATATATAGAGAGAGAGAGACAGAGAGAATCCTATATTTCAGTGTGTATGTGTGTGTATATATATATATCAATATCACAAATTTATCACAAATTCTTGAATCCTATATATATGTGTATATAAATAGACACAATGAAATGTTGAATCATATATATATAAAATACGTATCGAATCATATATATATATATGATTTTTAGGAACAACAGCTTACAGGGAGCCATGGCATGCAATTTTTTTTAAAATTACTTTTTTTTTTAGAAAAATTACTTTTGCTTTTTAGATCCCTTATGTAAGCCATATAAGAAATAAGTAGCAGATAATTGTTTTTTCATCTTTTTAATAAAAATTATGTTCTCATTGTTTATTGCCAATGTCATTACATGCATTTTTATTATATAGTCTATATGCAAAGACCATTAATTAAATATATTAACAACGCATTAAAAAGTAAAAATGCGAAACAAGATTATAAGCTTGGTATCGTTTTGAACAGAGGTCTCAGAACTGTGTCTTCAATTGTGTTCTAGTAAACATTTTAATCGGTAACTTGGATGAGCATATAGAGAACAAGCTCCTATGTTCATTAGATTTGTGGGTCACTGGAATCTTGAAGGATTAGTGAATGCATTGCAGAATAATTATAATACAGAAATGATCTTACAATACTGTAAGGATGGGCTGAATTGAACAAATTAAATGTAGTAGAGAGGCACACATGGAAGATACCATACTTGGATCCAAATTGCAAATGATATAAGCACTGAATTAGCATCAGCATGTGACAAAAATATTTAAGTGATTTACAGGACAGTAAATTCAATGTGAGCTAGCCTGTGATGTGGCTTTCAAGAACACTAATCAGGCAAGCTCAGAATAAAAGAAAGCGGAACTCAACTGAGTGTGTATTATTTCTGTTCAGATATTTCTGTTCAGATAATATGTGAGTATTGTTAATTCTGACTACTACATTTTCAACATGATAATAAGAAATTCTGGGGTATTCTATTTAGGACAGTCTTCACTAAATAATTGAAATATCTTACAAAGAACATTTAAAGGACTGTTATATTCTCGAAGGATATAACCTTTAAGGAGGAATAATTTTCTTTGAGAAGAGAACGGAAAGCATGAATGTGTTAATTAGACAGGCAGCTTAAGGTAGGGAGATGATGTTTACCAAACTTTAAAAAAAATCATTTAGAAAAGAAAATGCATTTGATATTCAGAGTTTGAATTGTTTGAACGAGAACCAGTGGGTGAAAATGACCAAGGAACCTATTGGGCACATATTTGTTTGCTTAACACCTGTGATGCCTTATACAACACAGCTATTCTTCCAGGGCCTGAGTGTACATATGAAGACGTTGCCCTGGCCAGGAGACATCACATAGTTTAGGGTCTCAAAATAAGAATTTTGTTTTTAAAATACCACTTAAGTATTCCTTCTAATTTTGACATTTTATGACTCTTTTACTTATGATTTCATCATATCTTAGCAATAATTATTTTTACAATCCTAATGATATATTTAAACACCAACGAATACTTCTTGATGAGTACAGATCCTCATCTGATGACTTGCATTGTAAGCAAACAAAACTAAATTTCCTAACTAACCTACAGAGCAACTGAAGACACTGCTATAGTTGAGATACCAGGCATGTTTCTTTGAGAACCCAGCTATTTCCTTCTGTGGCAGAGGTTCTACAAAATATATTCAGGCTTCAGTGAAAATATTTGAGCATGTGGTTTGACTCAGCCAGAATGTGAACACATAGATGCTACTCAGCAGAAAGAGAAAACCTCACCTTTCAATGGTTTGATAGAAGTCTTTCCAACCAAGCGACTAGCTTTCACATATACCCCTATGATCTGATTCTTGTTAAAGAAAAATATCACACTGGACCATAAATCCACACGAGTTGTTTTTGTTGCCACCAATAGGGAAGAGGGCACAGACGAAGTATGGGTACCCCTGCTTCGTGGAGACCAAAGGCTGGAGAGTTGTTAAGAGCTGGGAGGGGAGCAGGAAGAGATCATAGGCCTCTTTCTTTGCTGGTTCACTTTAGCCAATGGAAAGTGGAAAGTAACCTTTCTTCTCTCTTTATGACAGAGCCAGTTTTACAACTTGGAGCAATATGCCCCCAGAAGTTCAACTCCTACCCTCCCACAAAGACTGAGAGATAAGGACAGTGCTGTCTTCCTTGACAATGACATTTCAAAGGGATGCCCCCTAAGTGGTTGAGAAAGATATTACTGTGGTATAAAACTGTTAAAAAGCCTTTTAAAAAATCTGAATCTCAAAGGGGCAGATAAACTTTGCGATGACAAATTTCTAAAGTAAATGCTCTAAGAAAAGGCAGGTCAGGGGACTTCATGCAGGAGGAAGCCTGTCTAAAGTTTAGTCAAGCAGGGGAGCATTTTAAGGCTGTCTTGGTCACCCTGTAAGTCCAGAGAGCTTTCCTATCCTAAGTGGGATGACTCAGTAAGTGTTAGACTCTCTCTGGAAAATAAGGCCTCAGAAAGGCCAAGATCTTTCTCAAAATGAAAGTTTACTTAGTTTTCCTTGTGGATTTGAATATTTTATTACTGGTGATTCATACGCTCCTGAGACAAAGTATACCCAATAAAGTGGATATAGCCATTTTTCGAGAGGTTAGAACAGAACATAGGGAGAATATTCACTATTCAATTTCTGGAGAAAGCTTAAGATTAGTTTTAAAGAAAAATAATGCGAAAGCTAAAATTTTCATTGAACAAAGTGGGAGATACTTTTTGCTTTGTTTTGGTTTTGTTTGTTTTTTAGATAAAAAAGGAAAGGGTTTAGATAACTCACAGCAATTTTTACTGTACGTGGTGGAATAATAGGGTAAGACATAAATGGAGTCTGTCACATGAGCAATGAAAATGTCATTCTAAACCTTGGAATGGAGAGAAACCTGGAGAAATAAGCAGAGAATAGAGAAAATTTGTAATTATGGTAAATATCCTACCTAGAACCCTAAAAGGAGATGTAATTCTCCCCAAACCCTCAGCTAACCACATGGAAGATAGAGGTGAGATATCCAAAATACCAGATGGGTTCAGGAAGAATAATAAATCAAAACATGTCAACTATCCTATTTAGAATTCTGTCTGGATTCTACATCAAAGCATACCTTGGGAGCTTGGGTGGCTATACTTACGTATAAATGGTGGCATGACATGGTTAAGCCATGAAAGTCCCCAAGATATAACTCCTATCTCTGCCTGCAAGTGATAAAATGAAAATGCAGATATCCCCATGCATTTCAACTGTATAATTGCCTAAGTGTTAAAAGGTGCTAGAAGGGAAGAGTCCTGGGGTCAAAATGAGTAGGGTACAGAGTGTGTGGAACTTCAATGAGGGAACTTATCAAGGACTGCGGTTATCACCAGTAGTTGTCAGAACAAGACCAAAGGCCAGTTAGGGCCAGTTTCTGCCTGGATAGCAGTAGATATGCAGAGCCACGCCAGAAGTTGGGTTTCCTGGAAAACTGTTGCTGAGATTCAGAGTTCCATGTCAGAGGTTCATTAAGGAATACTCTGAGGAGCGTCATCAATGAGGACAGCAGCACTGGGCATAAAGAGACACTGAGCTGAGTGCTGAAACTCAGGCAGTCCTTCAGAAATGCACTCACTGAACCAGAATCAATCAGTCTTCGTATGCAGGCTGCTTCATGACTTGATAGGTGGCAGCTTTTTTCCACCCAGGGAAATACCGATATTAGGGTTTGATATGGTTTGGACTTTTCCCCACCCAAATCTCATCTTGAATTCCCACATGTTGTGCCAGGGAGCCCGTTGGAAGTAAATGAATCATGGGGGCAGGTTTTTCCTGTGCTGTTCTTGTGATAGTGAATAAATCTCACCATGTCTGATGGTAATTATAAGGGGGAGTTTTCCTGCACGAGCTTTCTTCTCTGGTCGGCCACCATGTCAGACATGCCTTTCACCTTCCACCATGATTGTGAGGCTTGCCCAGCCGCCTGAAACTGTGAGTTCTCCATTAAACCTCTTTCCTTTGTAATTTGCCCCTTCTCCGGTATGTCTTTATCAGCGCCATGAAAACGGATTAACACGGGGTTCATTGTTCAACCTTCAGCATGCACCATCCTCCGAAGCTGGAGGAATAAATGCCTTGGTCCTGAGGAGAGACTCATAGAATCTCCAAGGCCATATCAGGTGGAACAACTCAGCAGAGGCCTTCTAGTTGATAGGCTATTATACAAGATTTCTCCAGGAAGCAGAAACCTCTAATAAAGCAAGACAGAGGGGAATTAGGAGATTTATCTTCATTTCTACCAAGTACCTGGTAGCCACTACCAGTCTAGGACCACTTTAAATGAACTTATTTGAGTTATTTTGAGCTATGCAGATAATGAGGACTAGAACTACAAGGCTGCAAAAGGTCAGGCTGTAGTTACATTTTCATGCAGTCCTTTTATTATTACACACCCATGTAGTGTGTGTGTGTGCGCGTAGTTTATTTTTGGTTCATCCTTAACTTCAGGTTGCAACACTATGAGTGTCTCAGCTTAATGGCAGGGGTGGGGGTGCTCTCGTCTTAGTCTCCTAATTTTAGGCAGGTTTAGGATCCTTAGCTCTTTCTCTCACACCACAGAAAGTCTTGAAATCTCAGCACACATTCCATAGAACAGCAAATGCTCTCAGGGGAACGCTCTTCTTTTTTCTCAATTTGACTTTTTAAAAGTTATTATTTTAGAATCAATGGGTACATGCGTAGCTTTGTTACATAGGTATATTGCTTAATGCTAGGGTTTGGGCTTCTGTGGAACCAATTACCAGAACAGTAAGCATAGTACACATTGGGTCTTTTTTCCACTTTTCCCTTTTCCCCTCTGCCCCCATTTTGGAGTCCCTGGTGTCTATAGTTTGCATCTTTATGTCCTTATGCTCCCATTGTTTAACTCCCACTTGTTAATGAGAACATGCAGTTTTTGACTTTCTGTTTTGGAGGCACTTCACTTAGGATAGTGGCCTTAAGTCCCATTCATGTTGCTGAAAATCACGTGATTTTTTAATCCTTTTGTGTCTGAGTAGTATTCCATGGTGTATACATAAGTGTGTGTGTGTGTGTGTGTGTGTATATGTGTGTGTGTATATATATATACATATATATATACACATGTCTCCTTCATTGCTGGAAACTCAGGTTGATCTCACGACTTTTCTATTGTGAATAGTGCTGTGATAAACATACATAATGTAGGTGCCTTTTGAGAAAATTTATTTTGGGAAGGTAGATACTCAATAGTAGGATTGTTGGATCAAATGATAGTTCAGCTTTTATTTCTTGAGAAATCTCCATGGTGTTTTCCACAGGGGTTGAACTAATTTACATTCCCATCAATAATGTATAAGCATTCCCCTTTCTCCCAATCCTTGCCAACATGTTATTTTTTGACTGAATAGTGCCCATACTGACTGGTGTGAGATGGTATCCCATTGTGGTTTTAATTTGCATTTTTCTGATGATTAGTGATATTAAGCATTTTTTTTTTTCATGTTTGTTGGCCACTTGTATGTCTTCTTTTGAGAAATACCTGTTCATATCCTTGGCTCACTTTTTAATGGCTTTGTTTTTTTCTTGTTGATTTGTTTAAGTTCCTTATAGATTCTGGATATTATTTCTTTGTTGGGTACATAGTATGCAGCTATTTTCTTTCATTCTGTAGGTTGTCTGTTTGCTCGGTTGATTGTGTCTATGCTTTGCAGAAGTTCTTTAGTTTTTAGTTTTATTAATTCCCATTTGTTGATTTTTGTTTCTGTTGCATTTATCTCTGAGGTCTTAATCATACATTTTTGCGTAGGCCAATATCCAAAAAAGTTTTTCCTAGGTTTTCTTTTAGAATTTTTATAACTTAAAGTCTTCCATTTCAATCTTTAATCCATCTTGAGTTAATTTTTAAATGTGATGAGACATTGAGGTTCCAGTTTTATTCTTCTACATACGACTAGCCAGTTTTCCCAACATCATTTATTGAATAGTTTTCTTTCCCCATTGTTTATTTTTGTTCACTTTGTCAAAGATCAGTTGGTTGTAGGTGTGTGCCTTTATTTCTGGGTTCTCTATTCTGTCCCATTGATCTATGTGTCTGTATTTGTACCCGTACCATGGTGTTTTGGTTACTATAACTTTGTAGTATAAAGTTAGGTAATATGATACCAACAGATTTTTTTCTCTTTTTTTTGCCTAGTATTGCTTTGGCTACTTGGACTCTTCTTTTTTTTTTTTTTTGGCTCTTTATGAATTGTAGAATTGGTTTTTCTAATTATGTGAAAAACAATTTGGTAATTTGATAGGAATTACATTGAATCTCTAGGTTGCTTTAGGCAATATGGTCATTGTAACAATATTGATTTTTCTAATCCATGAGCATGGAATGTTTTTGCATTTGTTTGTGCGGTTTATAATTTCTTTCAGCAGTGTTTTGTAGTTATCCTTGTAGAAATCTTTCACCTCCTGGGTTAAGCATATTCCTAGCTTTTTTTTTCTTTTTTCTTTTTTTTTTTGCTATTGTAAATGGGATTGCAGTCTTGATTGCCTCTCAGTCTGAATGCTGTTGATGTGTAGAAATGCTATTGATTTTTGTAGACTGATTTTATATCCTGCAGCTTTGCTGAAGACATTTATTATTTCTAGGAGTCTTTGGGATGAATCCTTAGGGTTTTCTAGATATAGATAGAATCATATTGTCAGTGGAAAAAGATAAATTGACTTTCTCTTATCCGATTTGGATACATTTTATTTCTTTCTCTTGCCTGATTTATCTGGCTAGGCCTTCCAGTACTAGGTTGAGTAGGAGTGGTGAGAGTGGACATCCTTATCTGGTTTTAGTTGTTAGAGGGAATGCTACCAGCTCTTTCCCTTTCAGTATGATATTGGCTGTGGGTTTGTTACAAATAGCTCTATTATTTTGAGGTGTGTTTCTTTGATGCCTAGTTTGTTCAAGGTTTTAAATCATGAATGGATGTTGGATGTTTTTGAATAATTTTTCTGCATGTATTGAAATGATTATATGGTTTTTGTTTTTACTTTTGCTTATGTGGTGAATGCATCTATTGATTTTTGTATGTTGAACCATTTTTACACTGCAGGCCAATATTTCTGATGAAGATAGGTGAAGAAACTCTCGATCTAACATTTTTTTTTTTATTTATAGGTTCTTACTATATCGTCAGTTCTTTAAGACATTAAAGAATATTTTTCAAAATATCTTCCAGCCTTTTTGTCTTCATTAAGAGAGCTGATCCAGATTCCTAATAAATGTTATAAACATAAAGTCAACACTTTAATGTAATTACATTAAGAAAAAACTAAGCTATTAAAATTACAACATTTTGGAAAAACTCTGATTTTTTAACAAAATGTAAAACATTACTTTGAAATACTCTATGTACTAAAATTATATGTCTATGTGTGCATATATGGAAAACAAACATTTGAAAAAAATCAATGACTTATTTACCTCATTTTATTTACACTCTACCTAGTGTTTACACAGAGCTAACATCAAATTACAGGTATAGTATAAATTTTATAAATATTACCTGTAGAAATAAAAATAGGACAGAGCACAGTTGCTAACACCCATAATTCTAGCACTTTGAGAGGCCCAGGCATGTCAATCTCTTGAGTCCAGGAGTTCAAGATCAGCCTGGGCAACATGTGAGACCACATCTCTAGAAAAAAATACAAAAATTACCAGATATGGTGGCACTTTCCTGTAGCCCCAGCTACTCCAAAGGGTAAGGTGGGAAAATCATCTGGGCCGAAGAGATCGAGGGTAGTGAGCCATGATCTTGCTACTGCACTCCAGCCTGGGTAACAGAGTGAGATCCTGTCTCAAAAAAATAAAGAAATAAAATAAAAACAGTTTCTTATGCTAACTCTAGTGCTTTTATAATATTAGGGACAGCTATGTACTGTATATGGCTCTCTTAAGCCTCCTTGTAAGTCATCTTACAGTTTTATGCTTAAGACAATTAAAATTTATTGAGAGTTTTTGGTGATGATTCAGTGGAACTAATTTTAAATCAAAATATTTTTAGAACCCCTTTTCACAAACAATAAATTTTATCTCTAGTAAAATAAAATAAAAAAAACCAAAAACACTTTCTTATTAAGTGCACCCATATTACTTTCTTGTTTAATCATGTTGATAGGAGAGAAAATTATAAATAATTATTAGAGGAACTCATCTTTCTTGAGAAGTGGTCCCGGCAAGTCTTAGAACTTTCCTTTTGTAAATGTATTGACTTCTCACATCAAGACTTTGAAACAGGCACTAGAACACTGTGCAGTAGACAAGAGCATCTGTTTTGAATCCAGAGATTTTAATTCAAATGTTCCTTAATGTCCTTCTGCCTGTGTAAATTCAGGTGAGTTAATTAAGTCATTGGCAACTATCAAATATAAGCAGTAATATATAAATCTCATGTGATTGTACTTAGGGTCACATGAATTGATTTCTAACTCTTTCAGTGCCTGAATGATGTCTGACACATAATAAGCTCTTAAGAGATACTAAAGATGATGAAATTGAGGCACTGAAGCTTAACTAGGTTTCTTATGTCACAAAGATATTAAGCCCTACAGAAAGATGTTGCACTCTAAACAGGAAATATGAAGAGAATTTCATTAAATAAAAGCAAGTCATGTAAGTATAGGCAGAGTTTAAGAAAACCATGCAAGAATAAAGCAATATCCCTTAGCATATGACAGCATATGACCCACAGGCATGGAGGATAAATAGCGGAAACACAGTACTGCTGTCTCACTCTTACTCTATGATTACTTATTCTCGAGGAAGGCAACTCAGTTTTTACATTATCACTTTGTTGAGGCTTTTTCTGTCTTCTCTTTCAAATATACTCTCCCTATATGTGCTACTATAATTTTAATGTAGCATGCATTTTACAAGTTTTTGTTATTGGTGGTAGAAAATTTGTCTTGTGTTTATCGCTATATCCCCAGAGATTAGTGCAGATTCATACACAAAATATAAACTAAATAATTTGTAGGAACAAATAATCAGTGATGAACCTAGATTTCCCCACTGTAGTTTTTCATGTGGGTAGACTAACTTATATAAGAGTACGCTGAAATAATTGAGTTAGGAAAAGTTAACATGATACAACACAAACACTGACCATTATATGTTAATGGCTAATATACCAAATAGTATGTTTATTTTCTCTATTCAGAATTCTATAAAAGCAAGCAATTAAATTTAATATTTAATTGCATCATTTAATAAACAGCTATATTGCAAGTGAAATTACCACATTATTTATTTATGCTACAATATTTCATATCCAAGTTTTGTGAAGCAGGCAGTTTTCTAGACCCTTTAAAGAAATACGTTTATACTGGATAAATAGAGCCTTTGGAAAAGATGATATTACTCAGCTGAAACAACTCTGCCTTAATAAATTTAGTGGTGCCTGATTCTTTCAGAACTGTTTGCTTTTCTTTTTGTCGGCAAGTGCTGATCTTATTTGAACAGGTGGAAGAATGAAAGACAAAGTGAATGTGTCTCATGGAAAATATTTTGAACACATTATCTAAACTTTACCAGGATTGTTAGTGCTAATTTATAGCATCCGTATGTAAAGAATGTCTGTCCTAAATTTTCTTTGTAAAATAAACTGTCAGAGTTTTTCTTCTTGGTAGTTTACCAAATTTTGAAAAAAAAGTGGTGATTTTTATTACTTTCTTTACTTCCCTTAATGACTAGCACCATATTGTTTTAAATTAGATGTAATATAAGCAATATTCCCATCACTGAATTTTAAGAGTAAGGGACATTGAGGACTGTTTTAGTTGTCCAGCAGACTGATAGTTTCCCTCTATCTGCAGTTTTCAGAAAAAGACTGTAACGGTGACTAACTTGAAGAATAACTGATAAGAAAAGGATATGTGTATAAGCAGATGTAGCACTGGAACACTAGATTTTCCAGTAAATGCCACTGAATATTAGTCAGAATAGAAATAAGTATGTGTGTGAATTGTTTGCCTGTGTCCCCACCCAAATCTCATCTCGAATTGTAGCTCCCACAATTCCCATGTGTCATGGGAGGGACCCAGCGGAAGATAACTGAATCATGGGGGCAGTTTCCCCCATACTGTCCTCATGGTAGTGAATAAGTCTCACCAGATCTGATGGTTTTGTAAAGGGGCATTTCCCTGCACAAGCTTCCTCTTGCCTGCTGCCATGTAAGATGTGACTTTGTTCCTCCTTTGCCTTCTGCCTTGATTGTGAGGACCCCTCAGCCACGTGGAACTGTGAGTTCATCAAACCTCTTTTTCTTTATAAATTACCCAGTCTCAGGTATGTCTTTAATGTCAGTGTAAGAGCAGGCTAATGCAGTGTGTATCTATATGTGTTTGCATGTGTGTGTATATATCTCTATGTACTCAGCATAAATATGTTGGTTTAACATTTTATATACATAAGTAAAGTAGTACTTATTAGTGAAAATAATGCAAGTTAACTGAGAATGAAAATTATTTCATAGGGGTTTCTATAGTTTAAGGAGATTAATAGATGTGTTATAAAATTTAGAATTTCCTACTTCAAGTCCAATACAATTTTATTAAACCTTGCCACTTTCTCTAATGTTTATTCCACAGAAAGATGGGTTAAATTAAACATATGTGGCATGAATCATTTATGCAGTTCCAATTGACACATTTGAAAACCTGCCTCAAGAGATCTGGTTTGTTTTCTAGCCTTGCCACATGAAGATGGCTTGCAAACATCCAAATAGAGTGAACATAATAAAACAAGAGCCTGGCTACTGAATATGGAAATCCATCATTGTCTTTGTGTGAAAGCCAAGATAAGTGCAGTGAGCTTCTTAGAAGCCACAAGTCTTTTGCCCAAGAAGTCCCCAGTATCCTTGACAAACTTAGAGAGCCCTAATGCTTTCATCCAAACTTCTTTCTCCCTCTCCTTCACTGGGTTAGAATTGTATCATGCTCTGAAGACTCACCCAACCCTTTCATCCAACCTTTTCATTTGTTCTCATAGGTGTTTCTTCTAATAAATTTTTGCAGATTTTTGAAATTCTTCCTCAGCAGTTGCTTCCTGCAGGATCTGAAGTAACCCATTGTGGGACAATGTTTTTCCTATTTAAGGAGAGATGGACTTGATTAGCCATTAACAGGTAAGATATTACCAGAAAGTTTGGCGTTTTCAATTCTAATATTTAATTCAACAAACTTAAAACATGGCAAGAGATCAAAAGCCTGAGATTTTTTTATGTAATCTTTTTAACTTGCTTAAACCACAGAAACGTTTAGACGCTTGATATGTGTGGTGGTTAACACTGAGTGTCAACTTGATTGGATTGAAGAATGCAAAGTATTGTTCCTGGATGTGTCTGTGTGGGTGTTGCCAAAGGAGATTAACATTTGAGTCAGTGGACTGGGAGAGACAGACCCACCCTCTATCCATGTGGTCACCATCTAATCAGCTGCAAGAGCAGCTAGAATAAAGCAGGCAGAAGAAGCTGGAAGAACCAGACTTGCTGAGTCTTCCGGCCTTCATCTTTCTCACATGGTGGATGCTTCCTGCCCTTGAACATCAGACTCCAATTTCTTCAGCTTTTGGACTCCTGGATTTGCACCAGTGGTTTGCCTTTGTCCATAGACTGCAAGCTGTACTACTGGCTTCCCTACTTTTGAGGTTTTGGGACTCAGACTGGCTTCCTTCCTCCTGAGCTTACAGACACTCTGTTGTGAGACTTCAAATTGTGATTGTATGAGTCAATACTCCTTAATAAACTCTCTTTCATAGATATTTCTGTCCTATTAGGCCTGTCCCTCTAGAGAACCCTGACTAATACAATATGTTTTTATATTTCTAATAGAAAATAGAAAAGTATAGCTTAGGAAATCCCAAGTTTGGGGACATCATCACTGGCAATAATTTTCTGTAAAGAAAATAAAACTCATAATCCGGGTTGCTGGGAGAACAGTGACCTAGTATAATCCTGAAAATTGACCATGAATACACCCTATGTATTCGTTTCTTATTGCTGCTGTAACAAATTACCACCTACTTAGTGGCTAAAAAAACTGGCTAGACATAGTGGTTCATGCTTGAAATCCCAGCACTTTGGGAAGCTAAGGCAGGAGAATCACTTGATTCTGTGAGTTTTAGACCAGCCTTAGGAAACATAGTGAGACCCCGACTCTAGTAAATACTAAAAATAAGCCAGCTGCAGCAGGCAGTTGATGTCAGGGTATCATTTGAATGCAGGCGTTTGAGGCTGCAGTGAGCTGTGATTGTGCTACTATGCTCCAGCCTGGACAGCAGAGTGAGACTCTATCTCAAGGAAAAAAAATTCACATATTTATTACCTTACTGTTCTTGAGGTAAGTAATGATGTACAACATTAGTCTTGTTGGGCTATAATCAAGGTGTGTGCAGGGTTGGTTCTTTCTGGAATCTCTGCAAGAGAATCTGTTTCCTTGCCTTTTACACCTTCTGGAAGCTGCTTGCATTCCTGGGCTAGAGACCTCTTCCTCTCATCACTCAACTCAGATTATCCAGGATATTCACCATCCCAAGATCCTCAATTTAATCACATAGGCAAAGTCCTTTTCTGTGTAAAGTAATATATTAACTAGTTCTGGGGTTAGGATGTGGAAACCCTTTCTTTTCAACCCTCCTAAAAACAGAGAGAGAAACATTGGATGATAGAAACCATTGTCCAGACATAAGAAGCAGTTTATAAGTAACTTTGTTGTTCTGACTCAGAAATCTGGAACTCTCCCATAAAATCCGTTAATTAGTCTGAGACCATACAAGAAAAAGGGAGTTGCCCTTGATCTTTGAAAAAGAATGTTTTATGAAATGAAAGGGCAAGTAAAAGCTGAGGAAAAAAATTAGCAAGCTCAAAATTAATCTAGACATAATATATTTATATTAATACTATCCTCAATTTGTTCTACCAACTATGTTATAAAATCTTTCTGCTTGTTTTTTCTTTCAAATAAGAGGAAAAAAATTTGGTAGCAAGCATGCTTTCTTTTATACTCAAAAGTGAGAGTCCCTGAAGAATTTGCTTTTTCCAAATTATATATGACAAGCATGAATTCATAATGTTTTTCTCATCTATTTTCTTTAATAAAAAATATCTCAGTGTGATGTTCAAGGAAAGGCTGCAAATCTTATATAAAGATATTTCTTTTTAACTTATATCATACAAACAAAATAAATTTAGATAAATGAATTGCCTTGAAAATTGTGATAATGAATAAAACAGAACCTATGCCTAAAGAAAAGGACACAGGAATTGTTCAGGTTGACTTTTTGTTGTTGTTGCAGTTATGTTTAGACTGTTATATTTCCCAAGTAAACTTCTTATGAAAGAGAAAAATTCTGAATAGAGCCTAAGTTTGTGTTGTAATTGACAGTAAAGTAAAGAGTAAATATTACCTTTAGTATATTAAGTAAAATAGAGCCTAAGTTTGTGTTATAATTGACAGTAAAGTAATGAGTAAAAATTTCCTTTAGTATATTAAATAAATGCTCTTCATTTTGAGAAAAATATGTGATATCAGTTGAGGGTTAATTTAAAATGCTGTAGTTTAGGCTGGGAATGTGTTCAGAATAATTTTTAATTCCAATTTTCTACAAAACATATATATTGTAAATGTATACATTATTCTTCAACCATAAAATCAAAGCTATGATTATGTTAGATAGTTTCACACCAATCACTGATAATTATAGTGCATGATAAATTTGCAAAAAGCAAGAAAATATTTTACATATATTGTCATTATTAGAAAAATTGGTATATTAGAGTTGTAATGGCTTTTAGATCTCAAAATATAAATAATACTTATTTCAATTAAAATAACATTACATTTACACACACATATATACATATATATATTTAACTATATAATTCCAATACCTACTTATAACACTTTCTCATTAAACCAAGTAAACTGGCCTGGACTAAGGCATTAAAACCATTTTCATATATGTATTTTACTTTTTCCCCCTACTTGTTGTGAATATTTAAAATCGAAGTTGATAGAAGAGAAAAAAAAGAGGTATTTATCAATTCAATTGTTAAATATAAATTTATCCTGACTCTATTCTCGACACCAGCTTAGTCATATGGGGCAGATATAAAACCAAATTATCTTGATCTTAAATAAGGTTGTAACTTTGAATAAGGTTGTAACTGTGATAAAATCAAAATTATTAACAGTAGTTTATTATGTGGCATAGATAGAAAGATACATTTACAAAGTATAGCAGTAGAGAATAATGAACTCTCTATTGTGACATGAATTAAGTAGAAAACATATTTCTAAGAAGTTAGCGCCTTATCTAGGCTTCAAAGATGAAGATGAGTTTTCAAAGAAAGTAGAGGTCATGATTGGGGGGGGTTATTAATAAGAATAAAATTATTATAGGCAAAGAAGAGAATATGAAACAGTAAGAATTTCAAAATCACATGGTATATCCAAGAAAGCCCAGAAGTCCTGTGACATTTGTGAAAAAGTGTGAGTCAATCTATGGATATAACTGAGAATAGAGAAGAATATGGGATGCAATAAAAAAAACCTCGCATGTTGTATTAGAGTCTATAGACTTTAGTTTGTATGAAATGGGGATAAATTAAAAGGCAGGAGAGAAAAATGAAACTCTTTTTAATCACGTTAGCATTCAATTGGGAAGAAGTTTGAGAGGGCCTGGCCTAGAGCAACGGTAGACTAGTAAGAATGGTATTATTTTGAGTGATAATAGAAATAAAAGGCAAAGAGCTGAGGCAGACTAAATACTAAAATGTAGAAGTGGTAAGACTTGGCAACTATCTATGGAAGGACAGGAAAAATTTTCATATAACTCTGACTTAGACAATTCTGTAAGGTGGGCTCCTAAGTTGACATTGACAAATGTATTAACAAATAAAATGTAATGGGGGATGCAGGAATATCCCTATCAGACTTTCTAGGTTTGAGGTGATTATGTTAGCTTAAGTAGAGTTATCAGGAAGGAGTTGGATGTAGCCGATTAGAATTTCATCTAGGCACATGTTGTAGAATTGAGAGTTTCTACAGCAGAAACATGATTAAAAATTTTACTATATAGTCTTGGGAGAAGAAGAGGAACACTAGTCTTGAATAGTAAGGTGGAACACATTAGAATAGAAAGCGTACAGGGAATATTCCTATGGTTTGCCAAAACAACATTCATTGAATTGATGCTGGGGCAAAATTAAGTTACAGCCTGTTAAAAACTAAATTGCAGATAAGAAAATGGAGACATGTGAAGTATAAAAAGTCTTCTAAAAATGAAAACCCAAGGGACAAAGAAGTATTTTAGTGTGTGTTGTGCTAGAAAGGGAGAATTTTTGCATGGGGTACAGATATGAACATTTTAGTAAACTCAATAGAAAAATAGTACAATAAAGGCTGTTAAGATATGAGAAATATGAAGGGAGACCGATGGAGCAATTGCCCAGATTAGATAAATGAGGACTTGCTTTCTATTGAGAGAAGAAGAAATAGGGCAAAGTTGTATAGAAAGAAGTGAACTTAAGCATGATGGAGAGCTGCTGGCGATTGGAGGGCTTTGTAGTAAAGTGAAATTTCATGTTGGTATTTGAGAATGGTAAACTATTTGAGGATTTTTAAGATAATATTGCATCTCTTTTGAAGGAAATGGAATAAGGAGCTGAAAACACTTGTGAACTCCAAAAATCTGAGACAGGTCTCAGTTAATTCAGAAAGTTTATTTTTCCAAGGATGAGGATACATGCCTGTGAAACAGCCTCAGGAGTTTCTGAAGACATGTGCCCAAAGTTTTCAGAGCACAGTTTGATTTTATGCATTTTAGAGAGACATGAGACATCAATCAACATATGTAAGATGAACATTGTTTGGGTCTGGAAAGGTGGGACAACTCAAAGCAGAGGTAAGAAGACTCAAAGGGAAAGGGGTCTTCCAGGACATAGGTAGATAGGAGACAAGTGGTTACATTCTCTTGAATTTCTGATTAGTTTCTCCAAAAGAGGCAATCAGATATGCATTTATCTCAGTGGGCAGAGGGGTGATTTTGAATAGAATGGGATGCAGGTTGGCCCTAAACAGTTACCGGCTTGACTGTTCCCTTTAGCTTAGTGATTTGGGGGTCATGATATTTATTTTTCTTTCACATTTCCCCGCTTTTCGTTTTAAAAAATATTTTGGAGAAAGCATTTTAGAAGAAAACGAGTCTCTGGTCTCAGGTTTTGTCTGATCTTTCATGTTTAGGATGGTTTATTCCTAGATGAGTAGGTCCCCTATTATTAACAAAGCTCATTTTTAGCAGGTTGTGAATTCTCATGTCCTATGAAGAGAAAATAGAAGGAGGAAGGGAGAAAAACAACAACAAACAAAAGAACAATCCTGGAAAATGCATATAGACCACATAACTCTGAAGTTCATACATTAGTAGGCAGGTATGAAAGTGGCTTATGTATATAAATAGGTTGCTGTTATTTTCTTCTGAAATTTAAATTGTTTAGCTTCAGTTCACAGGGCTTTATGAAAACATACCTTAGTTTTTGGTGACTCCAAATTAGAAAAAATGAAAAAAACATCGATACATCATTTTGCAGACTTGTAGCTTAGAAAAATTAGAATTTTGTCCAAACTGTAGAAAATAATACAAATGGAGAAACATTAGGCAAGACTAGAATCTAACAACAGATATACTACAGTTTTTGAAACATTATTTTTTCCTCTTCAGTTTCCCATTTTTACTAAAGATAAATCATGGTAGGGCTGATTTTCTTTGTAATACTTGGACTAATTATTTGTATACAGTGTGGCAAGAATAATTATTTTTACATAAGCTTTCAAATTGGCTTTGATGGAACTTTGTTCCATACTAGGAATCTCACATAAGGCTTTTTTTTTTTTAATTTCTTTTGAGATAGAATCTCGCTCTGTCCCCCAGGCTGGAGGACAGTGGCGTGATCTTGGCTGACTGCAAGCTCTGCCTCCCGGATTCACGCCGTTTTCCTGCCTCAGCCTCCTGAGTAGCTGGGACTACAGGCACCTGCCACCACGCCCGGCTAATTTTTTTTTTTTTTTTTTTTTTTTTTTTTTACTAGAGAAGGGGTTTCACCATGTTAGCCAGGATGTTCTTGATCTTCTGACCTCATGATCTGCCCTTCTCAGCCTCCCAAAGTACTGGGATTACAGGCTTGAGCCACTGTGCCTGGCCCAGATAAGGCTTTTTTAAAGCTGAGCTAAGCCATGGATTTGTGCCATCAAATAGCTATGTATTCGGTGAATTTCCTCTACTCTTGAGGTCCCGAGATAAACCTGGGGCTTCTGAGCCTTTCAGAAAGTGACATACTTTGCTTAACACAGGTCAGAAATCTGGTACAGAGACTGTGTACACAGAATATGAGGCCAGTTGTTACAAGGGCTTTATTGGCATCATAAGGAAAGAACACCATTCCAGTCAAAACCTTGGTAAAATGACCAGTTTCAAATGTGCCTGTTACATATGCAAACAGATTCTTATTGCACTCATGCAAATAACTATATTGCCATAAGTTAAGAATACTCACAAATAGCTTCCAAATTCTGGGGAAATTAGGTAGAGAGAAACAAATATGTTCCAAATTTTGTTCAGAGGAGTATAGTAAATTATTAAAAGCTGTTAATAGCTCGAAAGAAAAGTTGTCTTGCCTCTGAAAATAACAAAACAAAGGATCAGCAATGTTTTAAGCAAAAAGTCAAAAAGATTACCTTATTCTTCTATTAGTTCAGTTGATGCAGTCAATTCCTGTTCTGCTTGATACTCATGAACATTTTAGCTCTCTATGAGAGCTAAAGTAAAATGCTAGGATGAGTGTTATTATTTTATTTTGTAAACTCTACATTATGTCTTGATTAATCAAATATGTACAAATGCCATTTCTACATATTTTTTCAAGATTTTACTATAATTTCTATACATATCCTACTTTTTTAAATCTGTTCAAATACTCTTTATGTTATCTTTAACTTTAATATTGCCTCTATATTTATCTCCATAGTAAGGTAGATACAAATATTTACATGCTGTTAAATTCTTGGGGAAGTTATTTTGTAATAGGTTTAATGTTAGTCAATTCACATGTATCAGATATGCCTATGCAATTGCTATAATCACATTTTGCCTCATATTTTCCCGAAGAGGACATTCACTTCCTTCATTGCCATTTTGTAGATTAGCAAATTTAAAGAATAATGTAACTTCATGTATTAAGTATTTGGAGAATAATTTATTATGTAGAGTACTGGTAATAAGGACATTTTGTTTCCTGCAGCTGGGTCATGTAATTACATTGTAATTACATGGCTGCCTTATGTGTTACAACCAAATATCTAATTTCTTCTATTTTTCACAGCTTCTATTTTTTATCCAATATTTTGGTAACAATCTAATTCTCAAAATTACCTCATAACATGGTGGCAAAGTTTACAAAAATGCTGAAAAATAATATATATTTAAACATAGGTCTAGGTCTATTTGCTGAACAATTTTGCCAATTAAATTGATTATTTTATCACTTTCCATTGGAAAAAAATTATTCCCAGTTACTTCTTCCCCCTTCCCTTCATGCACACACACTGACAAAATGCTACAACCAATTTGACATTCACCGTGAGAGGTTTTGTCTACAAGCCCACTCCTAGTTCCAATTACATTAGACCTTCCGTATCCTTGGGTTCTACATCAGTGGGTTCACCAACCAACTTCAAATAAAAATATTAAAAATATAATAATTTCACAAAATTCCAAAAAGCAAAACTTGAATTTGTCTTGTGGTGAGTACAAGGCAAGGTTGAATCCACATTAATGAAGTGATGTATAGATATTGTATTAGGTAGGATAAATAATCTAGAGATGATTTTATATAAAATCATTTTATAAAAAAAGTTTGAGCATCCATGGATTTTGGTATCTTCAGTGTTTCTGGAATTATTCCCCCATGAACATGAAAAACTATATTCTTACCATTAGTCATGTATTTGTTGGGGAGTGAGAGAAAAAGAAAAGAAACTTGCCTAAGTCAATTTAATACATATGTACACTTCAATTATGTTATGATCTAGAATTGTAGGACAAAATCTTAGTGTCTGTGGCAGGTTATGAACTAACTTCTTCATATTTCTCTTATGGCATAGGTGGTCTTTCCCTCAAAATTACTAGAATTTTTTTCCATAAAGAGACCAATACTACTTATTAGACTAGCAGATGGAGATAGTTAATGGCACTAACGTTTATTTACAAGGCCAAAGCTGGGCAGGGTCCTCCATTATAACTCATCTGGTAAGCTACTGAGTAGCCTATGTTGCCTCCCCATGTGTGGTCTTTCCTAGTATGATTATAAAAAACATTTTTTTCCTAATCCTCACATCACCATGGAGAGAATTTCTATAAAGCACTTTGAGAATAACTAGTGTATTTAGGACATAGACAATAAATATAAACATTTTTAAAAGGGTATTCAGTTTTTATTTACAAATTAAAGGTATTTATTTGGAATATTAAAAATCAGAAGCTAAGTCAAAGCCAAAAATACAGTCACCGAGATGAAAAGAAACAGGATAAGAAGAATCAATAAGAGATGAGGATGTGCTTAATTGCAGATGGACATAATGGACAAATTTTGCAAATAAACAAGGAAGAGAGTGACGAGATTAGTAGCCATTTTAACATGAAAAAAATTTACATCAGTATGAAATAACTTCAAGAGACCACACAAACGCACCCCACCAAAAAAAAAAAAAAGAAAACAGAACAAAAATAAAAATAAGATAAAAAGAAAAGAGCAATGGTAGCTATATCCACCACATAGTATATCTTTCTTGCCATCTAGACCCCAGCAGATCAAACAAAGAAGAGTTCCTTGAATGGTTGCATTGCAAAGGGTGGGACTTGATACTCATAATAAGAAGTCTTCCCTGTTGGACCAAGACAGCTGATGGCCTGCCTGTGCAATAGAGGCGGAAACAATACTATTCACTAAGTTTCTTATGATATCCTCCCTCCACTTCTACCACAGAGTGACTCTGAATAGAACAAAGTGAATGGACAGGGAAGTCTCAGGCACTCAGAACCTCTAGCTTTTCTCCCCAGGCTTCTATCAAGAAAATAATTTGTAAATATATGCTGGACTGTATGTCACTTTGTACTCTGGTGTCCTTGTACTTCAGTTCACTAGGAATATGCCTAAGGTCTTCATTCGCTCAAGGAACTTCTCATTTAGTAAGGCAGGCACCAGCCTCCTGCCCTGGATTGCATGCAGCATGTCTTCAGCTACCAGCTACTAAATGGCACTGCAGAGCCACAGCTACAGTCACCAACCTTGAAGAGCAGGTAACTCCCCCAGCCTCTGGTCAACATCTCTTAGAAGCAGCAGTGCCTGCAATACAGCAAAACTTGTCTGCATGAAGGTGAAGATATATCTCAGATATTGCTGATTTCAATACAGACCACCACAATAAAGTGAATGTCCAATAAAGTGAATACTACAGTATAGCAAGTCATACATTTTTTGTTTCATCATATAAAACTATCTTTATATTATACTCTGGTTTATTAAATGTGCAATAAGATTATATCTAAAAATACTCTGGTTTATTAAATGTGCAATAAGATTATATCTAAAAAGACACACATACTATAATTTAAAAATACTTTATCGATAAAATGTTAAGAATCAACTGAACCTTCAGGGAGTAGTAATCTTTCTTGCTGGTAGAGAAGTCTTGCCTGGAAGTTGATGGCTACTCGCTAATCAGGTGGTGAATGGCGAAAGGTGGGCTGGCTGTGGCAATTTCTTAAAATAAGACAACACAGAAGTTTGCCATAACTGACTTTCCCTTTCACAAAAGATGTTTCTGCAACATACTGTGCTGTTTGATAACATTTGACTCAGCAGAATTTCTTTCAAAATTAGAGTCAATTCTCTCAAACTCTGCCACTGCTTTATTAACTGAGTTTATATAATATTATAAGTATTTTGTTGTCATTTCAACAATGTTCACAGTATTTTCACCAGGAGTAGTTTTCACGTCAAGAAACCACTGTCTTTGCTCATTCATGAGAAGCAAGTTCTCACCTGTTAAGTGTTATCATGAGATTACAGCAATAAGTCACTATTTCAGGACCCAGGTCTAATTCTAGTTTTCTTGACATTTTCACCACATCTGCAGTAACTTCCTCCTGTGGAATCTTTAATCCTTCAAAGTAATTTATGAAAGGTGCCCTCAACTTTTTCCAAACATTTGTTAGTGTTGATATTTTTACCTCCACCCAAGAATCATAAGTGTTCCTAATGGCACTTGGAATGGTAAATATTTTCTAGAAGATAATCAATTATTTGGCCCAGATCCATCAGAGAAATTGTAATTAATAGCAGTGATAGAATTACAAAAGGTATTTCTTAAATAATAAGACTTTTAAGTCAAAATGACTTTTTGGCAGAAAACTAGACAAAACTCTGGACATAAATTCAACACTTGGGCAAAAGGACGTAATAGATATCTGCAGAACATTCCACGCATGAACCACATAGTATACATTCTTCTCATCTGCACATGGAACATATTCCGAGCTAAATCACATGCTCAGCCATAAAGCAAGACTCAATAAATTCTAAAAACAATCAAAATTATACCAACCATACTCTCAGACCACAGTGACATGAAAATAGAAATCAATACTAAGAAGATCTCTCAAGACCACACAATTTCATGGAAAATAAACAGCATAGTTTTGAATAACTTTTGGGTAAGCAATAAAATTAAGGTGGAAATAAAAAAATTCTTTGAAATAAATAAAAGCAGAAATACAACATACCCAAGTCTCTGGGAGGCAGAAAGAGTAGTGTTAAGAGGAAAATTTATAGTGCTCAAAGCCTGCCTGAAAAAAAAAGAAAGATCTTTAATTATCTAACATCACAGCTAGAGGAACTAGAAAAATAAGAACAAACTAACTCCAAGGCTAGCAGACGAAAATAAATAAATGAAATCAGAGAACAACTGACAAAAAAAAATGAGACTTCAAAATTCAAGAAATCAACAAAACCAAAAGTTTGTTATTTAAAAAATCAACAAGATCAATAATAGACTGCTAGCTAGGTTAACAAAAAAAAAAAAGAGAGAGAGAGAGAAATTCAAATAAGCACAATCAGAGACAACAAAGGTAACATTACAACTGATTCCACAGAAATACAAAAGATCCACAGAGCCCATAATAAACATCTCTATGCATACAAACTAGAAAATCTAGAGGAAATTCTTGGAAACACATAACTTGTCCAGAATGAATCAGGAGGAAATTAAAACCCTGGAAAGAACAATGTTGAGTTCCAAAATTGAATCAGCAATAAGAAAAAAAAACTAAAAAAATATACAGACCACATGGATTAAGAATTGAATTCTACAGACATGCAAAGAAGAGCTGGTACCAAGTCTACTGAAACGATTTCAAAATATTGAGAAGGAAAGACTTCTCACTAACTCACTCGATGAATACAATCTCATTCTAATACCAAAACATTCAAATATGCAATGAAAAAATACCACAATAAGCCAATATCTCTGATTAACATAAACAAAAATCCTCAACAAAATACTAGCAAGCCAAGTCCTGCAGCATATTAAAAAGTTAATTCATCATGACCAAGTAGTCTTCATATCTATGATGCAAGGTATCAATAAATGTGATTAGCTACATAAATGTATTAACACAAATCAATAAATGTGATTATGTAAATATAATTAAAAGAAAAAAAATCATCTCAATTGATATAAAAAAAAGCTTTTCATAAAACCCAGCATTCCTTTATGATAAAAACCCTCAGCAAACTAGGCATCAAAGGAACATACCTCAAAATAATAAGATCCATGTATGGCAAACACACAGGCAACATCATACTGAATGGATAAAAGCTGAAAGCCTTTACCCTGAGAAGTGGAACAAGACTAGGATAACCTTTCTCACCTCCTATTCAACATAGCACTAGAAGCCCTAGCCAGGGCAATCAGACAAAAGAAAAGACATCTAAGTTGGAAAACAAAGGAAAAACTGTCTCTCTTCACTGATGATATGATTCTGTACCCAGAGAACCCTAAAGAGTCTGTGAAAAAACTACTGGGACCGATAACTTCAGTAATGTTTTAAAATACAAAATCAATGTACTAAAATCAGTAGCATCTCTATAGAACAATAACGTTCAAGCTGAAACCCAAATCAATAATGCAATCCTATTTACTATAGCCACAAAAAGACAAAATACTTAGGAATACATTTAAGCAAGGAGATAAAAGGTCTCCACAAGGAGAATTACGAAACACTCTAAAAGAAATCATAAATGACACAAACAAATGGAAAAATATTCCATGCTCGTGAATTAAAGAATCAATATGATTAAAATGCACATATTGCCCAAACCAATCTACAGATTCAATGCTATTCCTACCAAACTACCATTATAATTAGAAAAAAATTCTAAAATTTATATGGAACCCAAAAAAGAGCCTGAATAATGAAAGCAATCCTATGCAAAAGGAACAAAGCTGGGGGCACCACACTACCCGACTTCAAACCATACCACAAGGTTACAGTAACAAAAACAGCCCGGTATTGTTGCAGAAATAGATCAATGGAACAGATCAGAGAATCCAGAAATAAAGCTCCAAACCCATAGCCATCTGATTTTCAACAAAGTTGACCAAAAAAAAAAAAAAAAAGAAAAGGAATATGGAAAGAACTCCTTATTCAATAAATGATTCTGTGATAGCTAGAAGGCCATATATGGAAGAATAAAACTAGACTTGTTTCTTTCAACACATAGAAATATTAACTCAAGATGGATTCAATACTTAAATGAAAAACCTTAATCTATAAAAATTCTAGAAGAAAACCTAGGAAGCACCATTCTACACATCATCTTTGGGAGATAATTTATGACTAAGTCTTCAAAAGCAATTGCCACAAAAACAAAAATTGACAAGTGAAAACTGGCTAAACTTAAGAGCTTCTGTACAGCAAGAAAAAAAAAACTATCAGTGAAGAAAGGCAACCTACAGAATAAAAGAAAATATTCACAAGCTATGCATCTGACAAATTCTAATATCCAGAATCTTTAAGAAACTTAAATAATTCAACAACAAAAAAATAAAGCGTCTCATTAAAAAGTGAGCAAAGGACATGAACAGACGTTTCTCAAAAGAAAACATACAAGTGGCCAACAAACATATGAAAATATGTTCCACATCACAAATTATCAAATAAATGTGAATCAAACCACAATGAGATGCCTTCTCACACCAGACACAATGTTTATTATTAAAAAGTCAAAAACAACAGATACTGTGAGGCTGAAGAAAAAAGGAAATGCTTGTACACAGTTTGTGGGAATGTAAATTAGTTCAGTCACTTTGGAATGTGGTTTGAAAATTTCTCAAAGTACTCTAAAGCAGAAATTTATTTGATATATGCTCAGCAACCCCATTATTGGGTATGTATCCAACAGAAAAGAAATTATTTTACCAAAACAATACATGCAATCTTATGTTCATCACAGCACTATTGACAGTACCAAAGACATGGAATCAATCTAGGTGCCCATCAATGGTGTATTGGATATAAAAAGTATTGCATATATAACCATGAAAAACTATATAGCCATAAAAAATACAATTACGTCCTTTTCAGTAACATGGAGGCAGCTAGAGGACATTATCCTAAGCACATTAATGCAGCAACAGGAAAACAAATAACACATGTTCTAATTTATAAGTGGGTGTTAAACATTGTGTACACATGGACATAGAGATGAAAAGAATAGACACTGGAGAATACTAGAAAGGGAAGGAGGGAAGTGGGTAATGGCTGAAAAACTAACAATTGGGTACCATGCTCACCTCCTGGGTGATGGGATCAATCATACTCCAAACCTGTGTTGTGCAATATACCCATGTTACAAATCTGCACATGTACCCCCTGAATCTAAAATAAACGTTAAAATTATAAAATTAAAAAATAATTTAATTAAAAAATTTTTAAAAACACACAAAAAAACAAAGTGACTCCTTCATGAATAGGCTGAAGAATAAATTCAGTGTTAGCAGGCATAAAAACATTGATCTCCTGTCCATTTCCATCAAAACTCTTGGGTGACCAGGTGAATCGTCAGTGAACAGTGGTCTTATAATAGTCAGGAAACTATGCTGTAGGCAGAGGTACTCTCATTAAGGCTTTGTTATGCCATTTATACAGCCCAGGCTGAGTAGATTTAGCATAATCCTTAGTTTCACAGATCACCGTAACAGATATAATTATAATGAAAAAGTTTATTATCAAAATGTGACAGAGACATGAAGAGAACACATGCTGTTGGAAAATGGCATTGATAGACATCCTCAACACAGGGTTATCACAAACATTAAGCTTGTAAAAATATGCTGCATCTGCAAAACACACAAGGCAAACCACAATAAAACAAAGTATGTATCGGACAGTGTTTATAATTAAAGGATCCATTTATTTTTATCTCTTTTAATTATTTCTCTTATCAGTTAATAATTCTGTTTTTTTAATTATTTATTTAAAAGGAAAACATTTTGTTCATATTCCTGAGTGAATTCATTCATTTATAAAGGATAAGTTGTAGGTAAATTCATTCTTTATAAAGGATAAGTTGTAGGTAAAGTTGTAGGTAAATAAATGAAAGGAATTCTATGTACCTCTCATCTATCTCTCTACTCTCTATATCTATTCTATCATCTATCTATCTATCTATCTATCTATCTATCTATCTATCTATCATCTAATCTAACTATATCTATCATATATTGCTGTTTGAATGCTATGTTTTAATGTTGGACCCTTCCAAAGCTCACGTTGAACTTTAATTAGATGTGAAGCCTTTAAGAGGTTATTGAGTAAGGAAGGATCTGCCCTTATGAATAGATTAATCTATTCAAGGCTTAATGGATGAAAGGGTTAAAGGATTAATGAGTTATTATGAGAAAGAGACTGGTTCATTTATGAGAAGAGAGAGACCCGATTTAGCATGGTCCCCTGGCAATGTGATGCCTTGAGCCACATCTGGGCACTCTTCAGAGTGTTTCCACCAGCAAGAAGGCCCTCACCAGATGTGGTCCTTCAAAGTTGTACTTCTCAACTTCCAAAGCTAAAAGAAATGAATTCATTTACCTAAAATTACCCAGTTTTAGATATTTTATTATTAGAAACAGAAAACAAATTTAAATATGTATCTATCTTTGTTAATAATACATTGTTATGAGCAAGGAACCCTGGAGTCATAATTCCTAAATGTGAACCCATGTACAATACATTTTGTTTTGATGTATTTAACAGTTTATTCAATATCTTGGTTTCCTCATTTTGAAATGGAGATAATAGCATACCTACCTCATAAATATTTGGGGACTACTAATGAGTGAAAGTATATATATATATATATAGATAGAATAGCAAACTGTCTCACCTGTATCTAATCACGGACTTGTTCATTTTTTCAAAAATCTAGCTATTGAGAGAATACTTTTTTCTTATTTTGTTTACTACTGTATTCTCAGTGTCTAGAAGAGTACATGGCACAAAAAAGGTGCTCAAAATATTTTCTACATAAAATAAAATAAGAATAATGAAAGATAATCAAAACATATATAAAGATGAAAACAAAGCAGATAGATTGATGATGTATATATTAAAAAACATTTCTGTGCTGAACTTAAAAATCAAATATTCCAGCAAGACTATTTGTCACAAGCTTTAACAGTAATCTTATAATAGTCTTTATTTTTATCAATTTTATCTTATATTTCTCACTGCTGTCATTTAACATATTTTAGAGTAAAATAATTTGGTGTCTATAATTTTACATCACATTAAAGTTGCATAGTGAAAAAATGGTCAATAAAGTATATTTTAGTCATTTCATTCTGTATGAATCAATATTTGTGTGCTTTTTCAGACTCAATCAATACATTCTACTTTTTCCAGAGACCCGTGACATCAACTTTATAAATATTTATTTATGTAACTATCTGCCTATCTATGTACAGTCATGTGCTGCAAAATGAGCTTTCAGTCAACAAGAGACCACATATATGAGGGTGGACCCATAAGATTATGGTGTAGCTGCAAAATTCCTATTGTCTATTAATGACTATATTTGTAATTATTATTTTAGAATGTACTTCTATGTATAAAAGAAGTTTACTGTAAAATAGCCTCAGGTATGTCTTTCAGGAGGTGTTCCAAAAGAAAACATTGTTACCATAAGAAATGAAAGCTCCCAGTGTGTTAATGCCCCTGAAGATGTTTCAGTGGGACAAGATGTGGAGGTGAAATACAATGATATTGATGATCCTGATTCTGTGTAGGTATAGGTTAATTTTGTGTTTGTGTCTTAGGTTTTAACAAAAATATTTAAAAAGTAAAAAGCAGATATACCTAATGTTAAATGATGAGTTAATGGGTGCAGCACACCAACATGGGACATGTATACATATGTAACTAACCTGCATGTTGTGCATATGTACCCTAAAATTTAAAGTATAATAAAAAAAAACTTATAGAACAAGGTTAAAAAGAAAGATGATAATTTTGTACAGCTTACAATGTGTTTGAGTTTTAAGCTAAGTATTATTACAAAAGAGTCAAGAGATAAAAAAACTAAAAAGTTTATAAAGTAAATAAGCTACAGTAAGCCTAGGTTAATTTATTATTAAAGAATAAGAAATACAGCCAAGATGGCTGACTAAAAGGAGTGGCGGTCAGAGACTCCCACTGAGAAGAATCAAACAGCATGCAAATCCTACACCTGCAACCAAGGTATGCAGGTTCTATCATCAGGTGGTTTGCGTGACCCATGGAGAGTAAGGAAAAGCAGGATGGTGTGTCAGCCCACCTGAGAGCCTTATGGTGCAAGGGGAGCCTCCACCCCCAGCCAAGAGAGGCAGTGAGTGAACATGCTACCAAGCCTGGGAATCTGTGCTTTTTCCATGGATCTGTGCAACCCACAGATCAGAAGATCCCACTTGTGACAGATCATTGTGACAGAAAATTAACAAGGATATCCAGGACTTGAATTCAGCTCTGGATCAAGTCGACCTAATAGGCATCTACAGAACTCTCCATACCCAAAAAATAGAATATACATTCTTCTCAATTACCCTAAAATCGACCACATAATTGGAAGTAAGACACTCCTCAGCAAATGCAAAATAACTGAAATTATAACAGTCTCTCAGACCATGGCACAATCAAATTAGAACTCAAGATTAAGAAACTCACTAAAAACCACACAAGTATGTGGAAATTGACCAACCTGCTCCTGAATGACTCCTGGGTACATAATGAAATTAAAGCAGAAATCAAGAAGTTATTTGAAACCAATGAGAGCAAAGAGACAGTATACCAGAATCTCTGGGACACAGCTAAAGCAGTGTTAAGAGGGAGATTTATAGCTCTAAATGCCCACATCAGATAGTTAGAAAGATCTCAAATCAATACTGGAACATCACAACTAAAAGAATCACAGATATATGAGCAAACAAATAAAAAAGCTAGCAGAAGACCAGAAATAACTAAGATCGTGGAACTGAAGGAGATAGAGACACAAAAAATCCTTCAAAAAATCAATAAATCCAGGAGCTGTTTTTTTGAAAACATTAATAAAATAGACCACTAGCTAGACTAATAAGGAAGAAAAGAGAGAAGAATCAACTAGACACAATAAAAAATGATAAAGGGGATATCACTACTTACCTCAAAGAAATACAAGCAACCATCAGAGAATACTATAAACACCTCTATGCAAGTAAAATAGAAAATCTAGAAACACTTCTATGCAAGTAAACTAGAAAATAGATAAATTCCTGAACACAAACACCCTCCCAGGAATAAACTAGAAAGAATTTGAATCTTTGAATAGTCCAATAATAAATTCTAAAATCGAGACAGTAATAAATAGCCTACCAACCAAAAAAAAAAAAAATAAGCACAGGACAAGATGGATTTACAGCCACATTTTTCCAGAGGTACCAAGAGGAGCTGGCACCATTCCTTCTGAAACTGTTCCAAAAAATGGAAAAGGAAGGACTTCTCCCTAACTTATTTTGTGGGGCCAGCATTATTCTGATAGCAAAACCTTGCAGAGATACAACAAAAAAAAGAAAACATCAGGCCAATTTCCTTGAAGAACATCAATGTGAAAATCCTCAATAAAATGCTGGTAAACTGAATCCAGAAGCACATCCCTTATGAACAAGTTGGCTTCATCCCTGGGATGCAAGGCTGGTTCAACATATGCAAATCAGTAAATGTAATTCATCGCATAAACAGAACTAATGACAAAACCCATATGATTATCTCAATAGATGCAGAAAAGATCTTTGGTAAAATTCAACATCCCTTCATGTTAAAAACTCTCAATAAATTAGGTATTGATGGAACATATCTCAAATTAATAATCATTTATGACAAACCCACAGCCAATATCATACTGAATGGGCAAATGCTGGCAGCATTCCCTTTGAAAACTGGCACAAGTATGCCCTCTCTCACTACTTCTATTCAACATAGTATTGGAAGTTCTGTCTAGGGCAATCAGGCAAGAGAAAGAAATATAAAATATTCAAATAGGAAGAGAGGAAGTAAATTGCTTCTGTTTGCAGATGACATGATTTTATATCTAGAAAAGCCCATCATCTCAGCCCCAAAGCTCCTTAAGCTGATAATCAACTTCAGCAAAGTCTCAGGATACAAAATCAATGTGTGAAAATAACAAGCATTCCCATACATTAACAATAGACAAGCAGAGACCAAATCATAAATGAACTCCCATTCAAAATTTTTAAAGAACAAAATACCTAGGAATACAGCTAACAAGGGAAGTGAATAACCTCTTCAAGGAGAACTACAAACCACTGCTCAAGAAAATAAGAATAGACACAAATGAATGGAAACACATTCCATCCTCATGAATAGGATGATTTAATATTGTAAAAATGGTCACATGGCCAAAAGTAATTTATAGATTCAATGCTATACCCACCAAAATACCACTGGCATTCTTCACAGAATTAGAAGAAACTACTATAAAATTTATATAAAAAACAAAAAAGAGCTTGTGCAGTCAAGGCAATCCTAAGAAAAAAGAACAAAGCTGAAGGCACCTTGCTACCTGACTTGAAACCATACTACAAGGCTACTGTAACCAAAACAGCATGGTACTGGTACAAAAATAGACAAATAGACCAGTGTAACAGAATAGAGACATCAGAAATAACACTGCACATCTACAACCATCTGATCTTTGACAAACCTGAAAAAAAATAAGCAGGCCGGGTGCAATGGTTCACGCCAGTAATCCCAGCACTTTGGGAGGCAGAGGTGGGTGGATCACGAGGTCAGGAAATCGAGATCATCCTGGCTAACATGGTGAAACCCCATCTCTACTAAAAATACAAAAAATTAGCTGGGTGTGGTGGCAGGCGCCTGTAGTCCCAGCCACTCAGGAGGCTGAGGCAGGAGAATGGCATGAACCCAGGAGGCGGAGCTTGCAGTGAGCCAAGATCACGCCACTGCACTCCAGCCTGGGTGACAGAGCGAGACTTCATCTCAAAAAAAATAAAAAAATAAAAATAAGCAATAGGGAAATAATTCCTTATTTAATAAATGGTACCAGGAAAACTGCCTAGCCATATGCAGAAACTGAAACTGGGCCCCTTCCTTCCACCTTATACAAAAATTAACTCAAGATAGATTAAAGACTTACATGTAAAACCCAAAACCATATAAACCCTAGAAGAAAATCTAGGCAATAGCATTCAGGACATAGGGATAGGCAAAAATTTTATAATGAAATCGCCAAAAGCAATTACAACGAAGTCAAAAATTGACAAATTGGATCTAATTAAACTAAAGAGCTTCTGTTTAAAAAAAGAAAGTATCATTAGAGCGAACAAGTAACCTACACAATGGCAGAAATATTTTGCAATCTACCCATCCTACAAAGGTCAATATCCAGAATTTACAAGGAACTTAAACAATTTTACAAAAAAAAAAATGAAAACCATTGAAAAGTGGGCAAAGGACATGAACAGACACTTCTCAAAAGAAGACATTTATCCAGCCAGTAAACATATTAAGAAAAGCTAAGCATCGCTGATTATTAGAGAAATGCAAATCAAAACCACAATGAAATACCATTTCACACCAGTCAGAATGGTGATTTTTAAAAAGTCAAGAAACAGCAAATGCTGATGAAGCTGTTGAGAAATAGGAACACTTTTACACTGTTGGTGGGAATGTAAATTAGTTCAACCATTGTGGAAGACAATGTGGTGATTCTTCAAAAATCTAAAACTGGAAATACCATTTGACCCAGTTATCCCATTACTGGGTATCTACCCCAAAGGAATACTAATCATTCTATTATAAGGATACATGCACACATATGTTCATTGCAGCACTATTCACAATAGCAAAGACATAGAATCAACCCAAGCGCTTATCAATGATAGACTGGATAAAGAAAATGTGGTACATATACACCATGGAATATTATGCAGCCATTAAAAGGAATAAGATTATGTCTTTTTTAGGAACATGGATGAAGCTGGAAGCCATCATCCTCAGCAAACTAACACAGGAACAGAAACCCAAACACCACATGTTCTCACTCAAAATTGGAAGCTGAACAATGAGAACACATTAATATAGAGAGGGGAACAACACACACCAAGGCCTGTTGGGGGCGTCATGGTGAGGGAGAGCATCAGGATAAATAGCTAATGCATGCAGGACTTAATACCTAGGTGATGGGTTTATAGGTGCAGCAAACCACCAAGGCACATGTATACCTATGTAACAAACCTGCATGTTCTGCACATGTATCCTAGAAATTAAAATGCAATAAAATTTAAATAAAAAATACATACATTTAGTGCAGCCTGTGTACAGTGTTTAGAAAGTCTACAGTAGTGTACAATAATGTCCTAGACCTTCTCGTTCACTCGCCTCTCTCACTCATTGACTCACCTACAGCAACTTCCAGTCCTCCAAGCTCCATTTATTGTAAGTGTCCCATACAGGTGCACCACATTTTATCTTTTACATAGTGTTTTGACTGTACCTTGTCTATGTTTGAATATGTTTAGTTACACAAATACTTACTATTGTGTTACAATTGCCAAAGTATTTAGTAAGTAACATGCTGTATGGTTTGTAGCCTAGAAGCAATAGGCTATCCCAGATAGCATAGGTGGGTAGTAGGCTATGTCATCTAGATTTGTGTAAGTACTCTCTACAATGTTTATACAATGATAAACTTGCCTCATGACACATTTCTCAGAATGTATACTGTAATTAAGTAATGCATGACAGTCTATATAATTTCAAAATATTTTATTCTTATTTTAGACACATTGTTTCTTTCCCATATTTTAGCCAAATATATATTATGTAAATATAATTAAGTATAGTCCATATGTTTGGCATAATTGCAGTTTTATAGAGTTGCAAAAATACTGAGTAACAAATTCAGATCTTCACCCATTAAACACATCCTTGTTTCCTACTCAATATTCAATTATTCTTTGTAAATTGTCCAGTCACAGAATCATTCTATCTCTAATATAAGTACCTTGAGAGTTAGAAAATTATAGCTCACATATTTACAGATTCTTATAAAAGATTTATATATTGGAGAGCCCGGGGATACATAAATAATATAAATGGAAATTGTTATTTGAAGCCAATCATTTATTTACAGGACATTCATCTAATTTTTGAGTCTAGACTGAAGCACAGATTATTCTTCTCATGTTGGTTTTCAAAAAAACTGTCAAATATCAAAGCAAGTATAATAATTTGTGTATTACTGACATTTGATTTATGATAATATGCTACTATTTTAAATATTTCAAGCAATAAAATAATACATGAAACTATATTTTTATATTTGTTTATATTATAAATATGTATGACACAATAGGAATTACTTATGAATCTTTTAAAATAGATTACATGTTAGAAAATATTTTAGGTTAAGTGTCCCACTTAGCAGTAAAGACCACTGGCAACATTATTATCAAAAACATGACAGAATAAAGAAAGAATTACAGGATGTGGTTTCTTCTTTTCTTAAGTGCAGTTTTAAGTTCACAGCAAAATTAAGAAGGTACAGAGATTGCTCATATCCTTGCCCACACATGCATAGTCTTTAGCATTATCAGCATCCCCTACCAGCATGTACATTTGTTACAACTAATGAACCTAACTAACACATCATTGTTACTCAAAGTTCACCATTTACATTAGGGTTCACTTTTGGTGCTGTACGTGCTATGTGTTTGCACAGATGCATAATGACATGTATCCACCATTATAGTATCATACAGAGTAGTTTTACTGTCCTAAGAATCGTCTGTGCTCCACTTAGTCATCTATCCTTCCCTATCACCCCTGGGAACCAATAATTTATTTCGATCTCCTTAGTTTTGCCTTTTAAAGGATGTCATAGAATTGAATCACACACTGTGTGCCATTTTAAATTGGCTTCTTTCAATCACCATTATGCTTGTTTTTCCTTTATCTCTTTCTATGGTTTGATGGTTAATTTCTTTTTTGGTGCTATACAATATGCTATTGTTTGGATGTACCGCCTTTTACTGAAAGCTATCTCAATGCTTCCAAGTTTTATAAATTATTAATAAAATTGCTATAAACATCCATGTGCAGGTTTTTGTGTGGAAATCAGTTTTCAACTCATTTGCGTAAATGCCAGGAAGAATGATTGCTAGGTTATACAGTAAGAGGCTATTTCATTTTGTAAATAAACACCAAACAGTCTTCTATCATTTTACATTCTCACCACAAATTTTTGAGAGTTTTGTTGTTCTACATCCTCGTGAGCATTAGGTATTGTCAGTGTTCTGGATTGTAGCAATCAGTGTTATCTCATTGTTTTACTTTGCATTTTCCTAATGATCTATGATTGTGAGCATCTTTTTATATGCTTATTTACCATGTGCCTATCTTCTTAGGTGAGGGTATCTGTTACGCCTTTGGCCCATTTAAAAAATCTTATTCTGTTCTCATTGAAGAGTTTTAAGAGCTATTTGTACATTTTGGGTGTCAGTCCTTTAAAAGATATGTATGTTTTTGCAAATATTCCCTCCAAGTCAGTGGATTATATTTTCATTCTCTTGACAATGTATTTTGCAAAGCAGAAATTTCTAATTTTAATGAAGTTTAGTTTATCAATTATCTCATTCACAGATTGCACTTTTGGCATTGCATCTAAAAAGTCATCACCCAACCCAAGAGCATGTAGATTTTCTCCTATATTATCATGGAAGAGTTTTATAGTTTCATATTTTACAGTTAGGTCTGTGATACACTTTGAGTTAAGGTTCATGAAGGGTATAAGGTCTATGTTCTTTTTCTTTCATGTGAATGTCCAGTTTTTTCAATATCATTTTTTGAAAAAGTATCTTTTCCCCATTGCATTGTTAGTCAAAATCACTGGACTATATGTATGTGGATTTATTTCTCTATAGTCCATTCCATCAGTTCATTTGCTTCTTTTTTAACCAATACCACACTGTCTTCATTGCTGTAGTTTTAAATACATCTTGAAGTTGAGTAGTGTCAGTCCTTCAGCTTTGTTCTTCTTCTTCAATATTGTGTTGTCTATTCTGGATCTTTTGCATCTCTGTATAAACTTTAGAATAAGTTGGTCTTAACTGCAAAATAACTTTCTGGGATTGTGATTGGTATTGCAATGAATCTATAGATCAAGTTGGGAAGAACTGACATGTTGATAATATTGAGTCTTGCTTTCCATGAACATAGAATATCTTTCCACTTATTTATTTTTTTGACGACTTTTATGAGAGTTTTGGAATTTTTCTTTATTATGTCTTATACATATTTTGTAACATGTTTAAGTATTTTTATTTTGAGGAATGCTAATAGATGATAATGTCATCTGTGAACAAAGATAGCTTTATTCTTTTATCCCAAACTCTATATATTTTATTTATTTATTTTTCCTTATTGCATTACTAAGACTTCCAGTATGATGTTGAAAATCAGTGGTGAGAGAGGACATCCTTGCCATATTCTTGATCTTAGCAAGAAAGACTCAAGTTCCTTACTATTAAATATAATGTTAGCTGTAGGTTTCTTGTAGTTTTTATTTTTCATCAAGTTGAGGATGTTTCCTTGTATTTCCTAGTTTTTGAGAGTTTTTACATAAATGGGAATTGGATTTTGTCAGATGCTTTTTTTTATCTATTGATATGATCATGTGATTTTTCTTATTTTGCCTACTGATGTGATGGATTACATTAACTGATTTTTGAGTGTGGAACCAACCATGCATACCGAGATAAATCCTACCTGGTTGTGGTGGATAGATCTTTTTATATATTTTTGTGTTTCATTTGCTAATATTTCCTTTTTAAAAATAGAATAGTTTTTTAGTCCTCTGCAGATTTTTACTTTATATAGTTGAGATTATCTTATATATGATTTTAACAATGGTTGACACAGCACTCTTTACAAGTTTTATAAGTAAGTTGTTATGTCCACTATCTTTTCTTTAAGGCTTTTTGCATCTATGTTCATGAGAGATATTGGTCAATAGTTTTTTTTCTTTTTCTTTTAATGGCTTTTCTGGATTTGGTATCAGTGTAATGCTGCCTTCACTGAATGAATTAGAAAGTATTCCTTATTTTCTCTTCTGAGAGAGATTCAAGAGAATTAGTATTGTTTCTTTCTTAAATGTTTGGTAGAATTCACCAGTGAACTCATCTTGTTCTGATGTTCTTTTTCAGGTTATTAAATATTGATTTAATTTATTTAATAGACAGAGGCCTATTTGGATTATCTATTTATTTTTATGTGTTTTGACAGAGCATGCCTTTTAAGAAATTGGTCTGTTTTGGCTGGGCTTGGTGGCTCATGCCTGTAATCTCAGCACTTTTGGAGGCCGAGACGGGCAGAGAGCATCCTGGCCAACATGGTGAAAACCTGTCTCTACTAAAATTACAAAAATTAGCTGGGCGTGGTGGCGAGCGCCTGTAATCCCAGCTACTTGGGAGGCTGAGGTAGGAGAATCACTTGAACCCTGGAAGCTGAGATTGCAGTGAGCGGAGATTGTGCCATTGCACTCCAGCCTGGGCGACAAGAGTGAAACTCCGTCTCAAAAAAACAAAAACAAAAACAAAAACAAAAACAAAAAATTGGTCTGTTTCAAATAGTTTATCAGCTTTGTATGTATGTAATTGTTCATAGCATTTCTTTGTAACTTTTTAATTTTTATAGATTTAGAGGTGCAGAGGTACAAATTCAGTTGTGTTACATGAATATATTGCATAGTGGTGAAGTCTAGGCTTTTAATACAGCCATTATTCAAAGAGTATACATTCTACCCATTAGTTAGTATTTCATTTCTTCCTTTCCCTCCACCCATCCACACTTTAGAGTCTCCAGTGTCTATTAGTCCATACTGTATATCCATGTGTACCTATCGTTTAGCTCTTACTTTCAGGTGAGAAAGAGAAGTTATTGATTTTCTGCTTCTGAGACATTTCACTTAGGAAGATGGTCTCCAGTGCCATCCATGTTGCTGCAAAAGACATAATGTTATTCTTTGTTATGGGTAAATAGTATTATATTGTTTGTGTGTGTGTGTATGTGTATGTATCTATCACATTTTTTCTTGTCCAATCATCTGTTGATAGACACTTAGGTTGATTCCATGATTTTGCTATTGTGAATAGTGATGAGATAAAAATGTAAGTGCAGAAGTTGTTTGACATAATGGTTTATTTTCCTGAAGGTAGATACCCAGTAGTGGAATTGCTGAATCAAATGGTAGTTCTATTTTACTTATTTGAGAAATATCCATACTGTTTTTCATAGAGGTTATACTAATTTACATTCCCACAAATATGTATAAGTGTTTCCTTTTCTCTGTTTTTTCACAAACATCTATTTTTTCTTGACTTCTTAATAATGGCTATTCTGAGTAGTGTAAGATGATTTCTCATTGTGGTTTTAATTTGCATTTCTCTGATGCTTAGTGATGTTGGGCATTTATTCACGTTTGTTGACTGCTCTATGTCTTCTTTTGAGAAATGTCTTCACATTCTTTGCCTTCTTAATAAGGTTATTTGTTTTATTTCTTGTTGAGTTATTGAGTTCTTTATCAAATGCATTATTGGAAAATAATTTCTCCCACATATCATCATTTTAATGACTATACAATTCAAAATGGCCCTTTTTCATTTTTGATATTAGGAATTTGTTTTTCTCTCCTTTCTTCTTAGTGAACTTGACTCTACAGGCTCAGTGATTTTATGGATCTTTCCTAAGAACCAGCTTTTGGTTTTCTTGGTTTTCTGTATGATTTTCTGTTTTCAGTTCAGTTGACTTCTGCTTTAATTCTTATCATTTGTTATCTTCTACTCACTTTGAGTTTAACTTGCTCTTCTTTTTCTGATTTCCTAAAGTGGAGGCATAGGCAATTGATTTTATACTTTTTTTTCTTTTGTAACATGTGAATTCAATGCTATATATTTCCCTCTAAGCACTGCTTTTACTGCATTCCTCTAATTTTGTTGTCATGTTTTGTTGTTATTTAGTTCACTTTTTAAGTGTGGTGCTGAGTGAAAGGCAGCTTACAACTGTTTATATTCAATCAGAACAACTAGAAGGAAGGAAGAGTGAGAATTTTGAAAAAATTTTAAGTTAGAAAATACAATTTAGTTTTAGTTTATGTAAATAATAGTACTCTCATTAACCATCACCACTTTGTCTCCTCCCTTGCTACCTTTCCTAGCCACTGGTAACCATCATTCCAACATTGTACTATCTCTGATATAGTTTGGATATTTGTCTCCATTCAAATCTCATGCTTAATTGTAATCTCCAGTGTTGGAGGTGGGACCTGGTGGGAGGTGTTTGGGTCATGGGAGCCGATCACTTATAGCTCGGTACTGTCTTCATGATAGTTAGTGAGTTCTCAAGAGATCTGATTGTTTAAGTATGTGGCATCTCCCCCCACTTACTCCTCCTCTCTTTCTTGCTTTTGCCAGGTGAAGTGCTTGCTCCTCCTTCACCTCCCACCATAAATAAAAACTTCCTGAGATCTTCCCATAGGCAGAGGCTGCCACTGTGCTTCCTGTGAAACCTACAGAAATGTGAGCCAATTTAATTTATTTTATTATTAATTACCCAGTCACAGATATTTCTTTATAACAATGCAAGAACGCCTAATAGAATCTCCATGAGTTCGATTTTTTTCACTTTTATCTCCCACAGATGAGTGAGAACATGAGAGTGTTTTTTTTTTTGTATGCTTGACTTGTATTTCACTTAATATAATTCCTTTCTGTTTCTTTCATGTTGTTGCAAATGACAGGATTTCATTAATTTTACAGTTGACTAATACTTCATCATATAATGTACCACATTTTCTTCATCCTTCCATCCAGCGATGAGCACTTAGGTGAATTCCAAGTCTTAGCTATTATGAGTAGTGCTGCAATAAGAGAGCTGCACTGTTATGAATAGTGCAGATAGCTCTTTGACATTCTGATTTCTTTATTTAGGATATATACCTAGCAGTGAGATTGCTAGATTATATGGTAGTTCTATTTTTAGTTTTTTGAGCAACCTCCATAATGTTCTCCTTAGTGACTGTATGACCATTTTAACACGATGAGATGACAACTCTTTGTAGTTTTGATTTGCATTTCTTTGATGATTAATGATGTTCAACATTTTCTTTTCATAGAGCTATTGTCCATCTGCACATCTTCTTTTGAAAAATTTCTATTCAGATCTTTTGACCATTTAAAAAATCTGATTACATGGAATGAATGTAGTATTTGATAACACAACAGGGTGACTATAATCAATAATAATTTATTGTCTATTTTAAAATAACTATAAGAGTACAGTTGGCACTAACACAAAGAAATGATAAATTCTTGAGGTGTTAGCTATCCTAATTACCCTAATTTTTTAGTTATACATTATATGCTGGTATCAAAATATCACATGTATCCCATAAATATGTACACCTATTCTGTACTCACAATAGTTTAAAATAATTTAAAAAATGATATTTCTCTCTGGACACCCTGCTTGTCAGATTTTAATTTAAAAAATGATATTTCTCTCTGGACACCATGCTTGTCAGTTTTTTTTTTCATTTTGTTAAAACCATAAAATGTTTTGCAAAGAAGCTTAAAGAACTACTGAGAAACTCTTGAAAACACTTTAAATCATTTCTAAACACAAGGAGGACTCTAATAATTAAAATAACTGAGCAGAAATAAAAATGAGCAGAAAAATGAATCTTAACAAGTAAACATACTTCTTTATTCTCTAAATTAAATTCTAGAATACTGCGATAAAGTATCAAGCACAAAGAGTGCATCTGGGAATTTCAAATAAGTATTTTCTAAAGGTGGTAAAAATTATTTCCTTATTATACAACTGGCCACATGCATGATATTGAATGAAAAACTTCAACTTTTTGGCTTATGGATTTTAATTAAATAATTCGAAGGACTGAACAAATTTGTTATTTAATTCTAAAGCTATCTCTGACCATTCATATTGGTTTCTTGGAGGTATTCTAAGGGCTCTGACGGCCACTGGGAAATTACAGAATAAACAAATTTACTTTAGGCTTCACCTTCCACAATTTTTCAGCTATAACAGCACTTTTTGAACTTTGAATTGCTTTTTAATATATTGCGATTTTGTGTTAGATGTCACTTTCATGAAGTTTTCCAGTCTTTAACGACAAATGGTTCAGAAAATGTTGGACTGACCATTCTCTAAAATTCAGTGATTTTCTTGATAAGAAGCTAATGCTTATTTTCTACATGTTTAAAATACTTTCTAAACAGATATTTTAATAAACTATTAGTATAACTCTTAGTGATATTTGGAAATAAATAATTTGATGTCTTAAGAATTGTATATATTTAAATTAAATATTATATTTTTATTTTTAAATTTAAATTTATATACAAATATATAAATGTCTATATATGTAAAGTTAATATTTACATGGTGTCAATATTTAAGTTAATATACATATAAATTTAAAGGCATAAATTGATTAATATTTATGAAATTTACACAATATTTTATGTATATTAGTATTTAAATTAATACACATAAATTCACATGTATATTTATACTTACATATAAATATATGTTTATGCATATACTTATATATATTCACATATAAATATATGTATATAAATTATAAATTATACATATATTATATATACATATATTTATATGTAAATATATAGAAATAAATATACACGTAAAAGTATAAGTATAAATATTAATATAAATATATATACATATATTTATGTACATATATATTTATATATAATATAGTACATATATGCATAAATATAATATCTATATTTATATGTATATAAATGTATATACATATATACATAAATATAAATATACAGGTAAATTTATATATAAATACTTGTAGGTATACAAATATATGCATATATATTTGCATTTATATATTTAAATATATGTAAAATTGGGTAAAAGATCATTATACATACATATGTATAAATGTAGAAATTTATTCACTTCTGCTAAAAACATTTTGTTTTCACACCAATAAGACACTAAAGTCATGCAAATAACACAAAGCTTCTTGCAACAACTATATTTTTCTTCAACTAGAAAAATATCTCTGCAATGCAAAGAATACAATTCCATTAATTAATTAAAAATGACTCCAGAGCACAAATATGAGTTTTTCTTTCATTTTTTTTTAAATTGTACTTTAAGTTCCAGGGTACATGTGCACAATGTGCAGGTTTCTTACAAATGTGTACATTTGCTGTGTTGGTTTGCTGCACCCCTTTAACTCATCATTTACATTAGGTATTTCTCCTAATGCTCTCTCTCCCCCATCCCCCCACCCCATGACAGGCCCCAGTGTGTGATGTTCCCCGCCCGCCCTGTGTCCATGTGTTCTCATTGTTCAATTCCCAGCTATGGGTGAGAATATGCAGTGTTTGGTTTTATGTCCTTCTGATAGTTTGCTCAGAATGATGGTTTCCAGCTTCATCTACGTCGCTACAAAGGACATGACCTCATCCTTTTTTATGGTTGCATAGTATTCCATGGTGTATATGTGCCACATTTTCTTAATCCAGTCTATCATTGATGGACATTTGGGTTGGTTCCATGTCTTTGCTACTGTGAATAGTGCTGCAGTAAACACATATGTGCATGTGTCTTTATAGCAGCATGATTTATAATCCTTTGGGTATATACCCAGTAATGGGATCACTTGGTCAAATGGTATTTCTAGTTCTAGATCCTTGAGGAATTGCCACACTGTCTTCCACAATGGTTGAACTAGTTTACACTCCCACCAACAGTGTAAAAGCTTTCCTACTTCCCCACATCCTCTCCAACACCTGTTGTTTCCTGACTTTTTAAAGATCGCCATTCTAACTGATGTGAGATGGTATCTCATTTTGGTTTTGATTTGTATTTCTCTGATGACCAGTGATGATGAGTCTTTTTTTCATGTGTCTGTTGGCTGCATAAATGTCTTCTTTCGAAAAGTGTCTGTTCATATCCTTGGCCCACTTTTTGATGGGGTTGTTTGATTTTTTACTGTAAATTTGTTTAAGTTCTTCGTAGATTCTGGATATTAGCCCTTTATCAGATGGGTAGATTGCAAAAATTTTCTCCCATTCTATAGGTTGCCTGTTTACTCTGATGGTAGTTTCTTTTGCTGTGCAGAAGCTCTTTAGTTTAATTAGATCCCGTTTGTCTATTTTGACTTTTGTTGCCACTGCTTTTGGTGTTTTAGTCATGAAGTCCTTGCCCATGCCTATGTCCTGCATGGTATTGCCTAGATTTTCTTCTAGAGTTTTTATGGTTTTAGGTCTAACATTAAGTCTTTAATCCATCTTGAATTAATTTTTATAAGGTGTAAGGAAGGGATCCAGTTTCAGCTTTCTACATATGGCTAGCCAGTTTTCCCAGCACCATTTATGAAATAGGGAATCTTTTCCCCATTGCTTGTTTTTGTCAGGTTTGTCAAAGATCAAATGGTTGTAGATGTGTGGTGTTATTTCTGAGGGCTGTGTTCTGTTCCATTGGTCTATATCTCTATTTTGTTACCAGTACCATGCTCTTTTGGTTACTGTAGCCTTGTAGTATAGTTTGAAGTCAGGTAGCATGATGCCTCCAGCTTTGTTCTTTTTGCTTAGGATTGTCTTGGCAATGCGGGCTCTTTTTTGGTTCCATGTGAACTTTAAGTAGTTTTTTTGAATTCTGTGAAGAAAGTCATTGGTAGCTTGATGGGGGTGGCATTGAATCTGTAAATTACCTTGGGCAGTATGGCCATTTTCACGATATTGATTTTTCCTATCCATGAACATGGAATGTTCTTCCATTTGTTTGTGTCCTTTTTTATTTCATTGAGCAGTGGTTTACAGTTCTCCTTGAAGAGGTCCTTCACATCCCTTGTAAGTCAGATTCCTAGGTATTTTATTCTCTTTGTAGCAATTCTGAATGGGAGTTCACTCATTATTTGGCTCTCTGTTTGTCTTTTATTGGTGTATAGGAATGCTTGTGATTTTTGCACATTGATTTTGTATCCTGAGACTATGCTGAAGTTGCTTATCAGCTTAAGGAGATTTTGGGCTGATATGATAGGGTTTTCTAAATATACAATCATGTCATCTGCAAACAAGGACAATTTGACTTCCTCTTTTCCTAATTGAATACCCTTTATTTCTTTCTCTTGCCTGATTCCCCTGGCCAGAATTTCCAACACTATGTTGAATAGGAGTGGTGAGAGAGGGCATCTCTGTCTTGTGCCAGTTTTCAAAGGGAATGCTTCCAGTTTTTGCCCATTCAGTGTGATACTCGCTGTGGGTTTGTCATAAATAGCTCTTATTATTTTGAGATATGTTCCATCAATACTTAGCTTATTGAGAGTTTTGGCATTAAGGGCTGTTGAATTTTGTCAAAGGCCTTTTCTGCATCTATTGAGATAATCATGTGGTTTTTGTCTTTGGTACTGTTTATGTGATGGGTTATGTTTATCGATTTGCATGTGTTGAACCAGCCTTGCATCCCAGGGATGAAGCCAACTTGATCTTGGTGGATAAGCTTTTTGATGTGCTGCTGGATTCAGTTTGCCAGTATTTTATTGAGGATTTTCACATTGGTATTCATGAGGGATATTGACCTAAAATTCTCTTTTTTTGTTGTGTCTCTGCCAGACTTTGCTATCAGAATCATGCTGGCTACATAAATGAGTTAGGGAGGATTCCCTCTTTTTCTATTGATTGGAATAGTTTCAGAAGGAACGGTACCAGCTCCTCTTTGTAGCTCTGGTAGAATTTGGCTGTGAATCCGTCTGGTCCTGGACTTTTTTTGGTTGGTAGGCTATTAATTATTGCCTCAATTTCAGAGCCTGTTATTGGTCTATTCAGAGATTTGACTTCTTCCTGATTTAGTCCAGGAATTTATCCATTTCTTCTAGATTTTCTCGTTTATTTGTGTAGAGGTGTTTATAGTATTCTCTGATGGTAGTTTGTATTTCTGTGAGATCTGTGGTGATATCCCCTTTATCATTTTTAATTCATCTATTTGATTCTTCTCTCTTTTCTTCTTTATTAGTCTTGCTAGCAGTCTATCAATTTTGCTGATCTTTTCAAAAAACAGCTCCTGGATTCATTGATTTTTTGAAGGGATTTTTTTGTGTCTCTATCTCCTTCAGTTCTGCTCTCATCTTAATTATTTCTTGCCTTCTGCTAGTTTTTAGATTTATTTGCTCTTGCTTCTCTAGTTCTTTTAATTGTGATGTTAGGATGTCAATTTTAGATCTTTCCTACTTTCCCTTGTGGGCATTTAGTGCTATAAGTTTCCCTCTACACACTGCTTTAAATGTGTCCCAGAGATTGTGGTACATTGTGCTTTTGTTCTCATTGGTTTCAAAGCACATCTTTATTTCTGCCTTCATTTCATTATTTACCCAGTAGTCATTCAGGAGCAGGTTGTTCAGTTTCCATGTAGTTGTGTGATTTTGAGTGAGTTTCTTAATCCTGAGTTCTAATTTGATTGCACTGTGGTTGGAGAGACAGTTTGTTGTGATTTTTATTCTTTTACATTTGATGAGGAGTGCTTTACTTCCAACTATGTGGTCAATTTTGGAATAAGTGCGATGTGGTGTTGAGGAGAATGTATATTCTGTTGATTTGGGGTAGAGAGTTCTGTAGATGTCTATTAGGTCTGCTTGGTGCAGACCTGAGTTCAAGTCCCGGATATCCTTGTTAACCTTCTGTCTTGTTGATCTGTCTAACACTGACAGTGGGGTGTTAAAGTCTCCCATTATTATTGTGTGGGAGTCTAAGTCTCTTTTTAGGTCTCTCAGGACTTGCTTTATGAATCTGGGTGCTCCTGTATTTGGTGCATATAAATTTAGGATAGTTAGCTCTTCTTGTTGAATTGATCCATTTACCATTATGTAATGACCTTGTCTCTTTTGATCTTTGTTGGTTTAAAGTCTGTTTTATCCGAGACTAGGATTGCAATCCGTGCTTTTTTTTTGCTTTCCATTTGCTTGTTAGATCTTCCTCCATCTCATTATTTTGAGCCTATGTGTGTCTCTGCATGTGAGATGGGTCTCCTGAATACAGACACTGATGGGTCTTCACTCTTTATCCAATTTGCCTGTCTGTGTCTTTTAATTGGGGTATTTAGCCCATTTACATTTAAGGTTAATATTGTTATGTGTGAATTTGATCCTGTCATTATGATATTAGCTGATTATTTTGCCTGCTAGTTGTTGCAGTTTCTTCCTAGCATTGATGGCCTTTACAATTTGTTATGTTTTTGCTGTGGCTGGTACTGGTTGTTCCTTTCCATGTTTAGTGCTTCCTTCAGGAGCTCTTGTAAGGCAGGCCTGGTGGTGACAAAATCTCTCAGCATTTGCTTGTCTGTAAAGGATTTTATTTCTCCTTCACTTATGAAGCTTAGTTTAACTGGATATGAAATTCTGGGTTGAAAATTCTTTTCTTTAAGACTGTTGAATATTGGCCCCCACTCTCTTCTGGTTTGTAGGGTTTCTGCTGGGAGATCTGCTGTTAGTCTGATGGGCTTCCTTTTGTGGGTAACCTGACCTTTCTCTCTGGCTGCCCTTAACATTTTTTCCTTTATTTCAACCCGGGTGAATCTGACAATTATGTGTCTTGGGTTGCTCTTCTCGAGGAGTATCTTTGTGGTGTTCTCTGTAGTTCTTGAATTTGAATGTTGACCTGCCTTGCTAGGCTGGGGAAGTTCTCCTGGATAATACCCTGAAGAGTGTTTTCCAGCTTGGTTCCATTCTCCCCATCATTTTCAGGTTCACCAATCAACGAAAATTTGGTCTTTTCACATAGTCCCATATTTCTTGTAGGCTTGGTTTGTTTCTTTTTTTTCTTTTTTCTCTCAACTTCTCCTCTCTCTTCATTTCATTCATTTGATCTTCAATCACTGATACCCTTTCTTCCACTTGATCGAATTGGCTACTGAAGTTTGTGCATGTGTCACGTAGTTCTCATGCCATGGCTTTCAGCTCCATCAGGCCATTTAAGGTCTTCTCTACACTGTTTATTCTAGTTAGCCATTCGTCTAATCTTTTTTCAAGGTTTTTAGCTTCCTTGCGATGGGTTCGAACATCATCCTTTAGCTTGGAGACATTTGTTATTACCGACTTTCTGAAGCCTCCTTCTGTCAACCCATCAAAGTCATTCTCCATCCTGCTTTGTTCTGTTACTTGCGAGGAGATGTGATCCTTTGGAGGAGAAGGGACACTCTGGTTTTTAGAATTTTCAGCTTTTCTGCTCTGGTTTCTCCCAATCTTTGTGGTTTTATCTGCCTTTGGTCTTTGATGATGGTGACCTACAGATGGGGTTTTTTGTGGATGTCGTTTTTGTTGATGTTGATGCTATTCCTTTCTGTTTGTTAGTTTTCCTTCTAACAGTCAGGTCCCTCAGCTGCAGATCTGTTGGAGTTTGCTGGAGGTCCACTCCAGACCCTGTTTGCCTGGGTATCACCAGCGGAGGCTGCAGAACAGCAAATATTGCAAAACAGCAAATATTGTTGCCTGATCCTTCTTCTCAAAGCTTCATATAAGAGGGGCACCCAGCTGTATGAGGTGTCAGTCGGTCCCTACTGGGAGGTGTCTCCAAGTTAGGCTACATGGGAGTCAGGGACCCACTTGAGGTGGTCTGTCCAATCTCAGAGCTCAAACACCAGGTTGGGAGAACCACTACTCTCTTCAGAGCTGTCAGACAGGGACGTTTAAGTCTGCAGAAGTTTCTGCTGCCTTTTATTCAGCTATGCCCTGCTCCCAGAGGTGGAGTCTACAGAGGCAGTTGGGCCTCCTTGAGCTGCAGTAGCCTCTACCCAGTTCGAGCTTCCTGGCTGCTTTGTTTACCTACTCAAGCCTCAGCAAAGATGGACACTCCTCCCCCAGCCAGGCTTGCTGCCTCGCAGTTTGATCTCAGACTAGCAGTGAGCAAGGGTCCGTGGACGTGGGACCCACTGAGCTAGGCATGGGATATAATCTCCTGGTGTGCCGTTTGCTAAGACCATTGGAAAAGTGCAGTGTTTAGGTGGCAGTGTCCCAATTTTCCTGGTACAATCTGTCACAACTTCCCTTGGCTAGGCAAGGGAAATCCCCTGACAGCTTGCACTTCCCGGGTGAGGCGATGCACCACCCTGCTTTGGCTCGCCCTCCGTCGGCTGCACCCACTTTCCAACCAGTCCCAGTGAGATGAACCATGCACCTCAGTTGGAAATGCAGAAATCATCCATCTTCTGCATTGATCACGTTGGGAGCTGCAGACTGGAGCTGTTCCTATTCTGCCATCTTGGAACGGAACTTGAGTTCCAAAACTATGTGTTTTTCAATGTAACATATATGAAAATCCAGAATTACACCCACAATTTAACCTGTAGTAATTCACATCATAACATTGACTTAACAAATGGTTTATGTCCTCTTTGAAATAGAATACATTTTATATAGAGTTAAACTTGTTGATTTTCATTTATATAGCTATATATTGAAAACAAGAAAAATATTTCTTAAATTTTGTAATAATTGTAGAAATCGATACTGCTAAAAGAAAAATTGAATTAGGCAAATTTTTTATTATTTTATTTTTGCCAAATTTCTTTAATTTTTCTAATTTTTAAAAAATAATTCTTATTATTGAACATGAACAGTTTGTGAATTATGAGAAAATGATTCTACCAATTTAACCAGTACCCAGATTAAGGAATACATTTTAACCATATTTAAAAAACTTCTTTTTATGCCCTTTCTCAATCATCAATATCTCCTTATTCCACAAAAAGAAAAGCCATTATTTCTAACACCATAAATGAGGTTGCCTGAAATTTATATAAATGGAAAAATACAGTATTCACTTTTTTGTGTCTGGCTTCTCTCTGTCAACTTTGTTTGTGAAATTCGTCTGTGCTGTATATAGCTGATATGGTTTGACTCTGTGCCTCACCCAAATTTCATGTTGAATTGTCATCCCCAGTACTGGGGGATGGGCCTGGTGGGAGGTGATTAGACCATGGGGGCAGACTTCCCTTTCGCCATTCTTGTGATTTTGAGTTCTCTCCCGCTCTGGTTGTTTAAAGGCATGTGGCACTTCCCCCCTCCTTCTCTCTCTCCTGCTCTGATATGTGAAGACATGCTTGCTTTCCCTTTACCTTCCGCCATGATTGTGAGTTTCCTGAGGCCTCCCAGCCATGCTTCCTGTACAGCCTGTGGAAGTGTGAGTCAATTAAACCTCTTTTCTTCATAAATTACCCAGTTTTAGGAAGTTATTTTTAGCAGTGTGAGAATGGACTAATACATAGCACATGTCAATTCAGTTTCTTTCCTATTCACCTTTGAACAGTGGAACTTACTGTAATAATGGATATGTTCTATGTCAGGCAACTGATGTGTCGGGCAGCACCGCTATAGTGAATAACATTATTGAAATATTTTTTTCGATCCACTGTTGTAGAACATTAGGGTTTTTTTAAATGGGGCTATTATAAACAGTGGTGCTATAATACATTTGTCCACATCTAATGGTGCACATATGTACTCATTTTGTTATACCTATATCTACCTTAGAGAATGTGTATGTTCCAATTAAATAGATAGTAATAGAGATTGTTTTCAAACTATTTGTACTCATTTAGTTACACTGGGAACCATGAGAATTCTTATTGCTCATTGAGCATTTCAACCCTCAGCATTATTGTTTTGTTTTATTTTGTTTTTCTCAGTTTCACTTATCTAGAGGAGATGCAGTGGCATCATATCATGATTTATTTTACATTTTCTTGATTATTATTGAGGTTGAAAAACCATTATATTCTTATTGACCATCTGGATATCTAATTCTGTGAAATGCTTTTTAAATTACATTTCCAATTTTTTCAGTATGTTATTAACTTGTAGAAGTTAGATACATTCTGGCTCAGACCCTTTGTTGGGTTTATGTCTGGCATATATCTGCTACTATTCTGTTGTTTTCTTTGTACTTTTACAAAAGGTCATAGCGTGACCCAATTTATTTTATTTTAATACAGTTTGATTTTTAAATGTTTTTCCTTAAGATTAGTACCTTTGGTGTTACACAGTCATCTCTTGGTCTCTGCAGGGTATTGGCTCCAGGAACTCTTAAGTTTACCAAAATCCATGAGTGCTCAAGTCAGTAATAGAAAATAGCATAGCATTTGCATATTACCTGCACATATCCTCCGTATACTTTAAATCCCCTCTAGATTACTTATAATACCCGATACAATACAAATATTATGTAAATCATTATACTATATTCTTGTCTTTTGTATTATTTGTTATTGTTGTACTCTTATTTCTTTTAAACGTTTGAATATGTCTGATTCATGATTAGTTGAATTCATAGATGCAAAAGCCCCATGTACAAGGGGGCCAAATGCATATGAAAAAAATTTTGAAATTTAAAGCCTTGTAACTGCTCTTTTATGTTTTATTCTAGAAGATTTATAGTTTGATCTTCCACTTTCAGATATGCAATTTGATTGGGATTAATTTTTAAGAATATAATAAAGTAGAAGTTAAATTATTTTTCATAAGACCAGGCAGTTGACTTAGAAGAATTTACTGAGAAGTTTCAACTCTTTTTCCTATCAAGAGTCCAGATATGTTTGAATGTTTTATTTTTTTCTTGGCACTCACTCTTCTGCCCAGTTTATTTATTTGTTATCCTTGCACCTTGCTCTTGTTGGTGAGATTTTTCTCTTAGTTTGACCTATTGATGACCTATAAGAAATATAGATATTATTTTATTATTTATTTTATGCAGTCACATTATTGAGCACCCTAACGAGGGAATTTTCAGGAAGGCTGTGCTGCCGTTTGCAATGGTGATATTGTTTTCTCATCCTTTACAGTATTCGTGACTGTGCATGTGTGTGTGTACATGTGTTATTATTTTGGCTAGAAAATTCATATCAATGTTACCACAAGTGGTGATGGCACACAAGCATAAACAATTTATTATCTTGAATGTAAATACAGCTATTGTAATGATTGTATATGATATTGAATTTATCAAGAAAAGAATAATATTTCCAGGAAATAATATTTTTAAACAAAATAATAGTGAATATAATAAGGGCAATACTAAAAAGAGGATTACAAAGTAATCTTAAGAGTGCTTATTTTTGTGAACATTATTACACTTCCTGCTCCTCTTGAAATTATACAACAATAGATTGACGTGTTGTTCACTTCTTCATGGGTACAGGATTTGTACTTTATTTGTAACATATTGGATGCTTAAATGTTATTTGATATGCATGTTTGTTTCTGCTTATATTTAAATATTTTATATATTATCTTGGATTAGTGGCTGTGACTAAATTGGTAGAATATATTTAGAGTATATAGATAATTTTGCCACTAAACATTTCTCTTTTTTTCATCCTAAATGCAATAAAATACATATACAAATTAAATGTACCAGCTTAACTGAGGGTATCATTGTAGGAAAACAGGCAACGGAAGATAAATTCCTGTTTTAAATATAATAACCTGTGGTAGCTGGAAAATTAGAAGCATGTCCTAATATTTGGGATAAGAGGGCCAGTGAATTGGGGGAGTATAAGTCTGAGTAATGTGTTAGGGCCGCTGGGGTGAGTAGTTTTCTTCAGTTCAAATAATATAATAAAAATAGACTCACTGAATGTCTCCAAACAAGAACTAATAAATAGAACTGTTTTCCTTTAAAAAATGTGTTGTGCTGAGATAGCTGCAATATGCAGCCATACATGGTAGTGTTAAAGAGACTGAATGTAAAATCTCTTAAAACCCTCCATTGACTAAGTGTCTTACTTTGGAAAAGCCATTTAATCTCTATAAAAATTAAATTCCCTTATATGTGTAAGAGATAACATACTAGTAACATTACAGAATTTTATAAAAATTAAATGATACAATCTTAGTAAAATTTACAATGTATTGCCTGCTGCCTAGTATAAGCTTAATAAATGCTAGCATTATTTATGTTTTTGTTATTTTGCTGTCCTTAAAGTTATAGCCATTCAAATCTGCAGTCACTGAAAAGGACATTAAAATCCTAAAATAGGTAGATTACTTTACAAAGAGTGTTTTATATACCAGCAAAAATATGAGTCAATTTTGAATTTCCTTACTTCTGGTTTGCTAACACTGTTTGTAGTTAACATAGTTCAATGCTAAATTATTGCATGGGAAGGAAAGCAAATAATATTTAAATTATTCAAATGTTTGACTAAGCTGGCAATAATAATTCATTCTAACTTTCTGATCAGTAACTGGAAAGGAAAGGGGCAGAAATGCATCACTCACTGAATATTTTACAATCCATTTACATAAATATTGGTGAAATGAATGATATTTTAAAAAAGCACACAACTCTACATCCAATAAAATATGCTACTCTCATTATTATCAACAAGACAGGTTCTAAAAGTGTTGGCAGATCTATACATTTAGGTTAGTAATATTCAGTTATTCACTTTTATGCTTACATAAATATATCAAGCATAGAAATATGTATTTGTGAATGTGCTGTAATCTATTTTTAAAGCATATATTGAGAAAAGGAATGGTTTCTTGCACAAGACTAAAAAACAAAAGGGAAATTATGTGTTCACATGATTACATGCCTATATAATTTATTCTAAGTGCATGAATATTAGATCAAATTCTACTTCAAAATCCTAAAACCAATTGTCGTAGTTATAGGTAGTGATAATATTACACTGACAAAGACGCACAAGGAACTGATTTTAGAATGTTTAGGACTACTGTATGCAATAGGACTAACCGAATCAGTGGCTGCAGGAAAAATCTACTAAATTTACGGAGGCTATCATTAAGTTTATAAAGAAATTACTGAATAAAATTTGATTAAAAAATCAAACTATACATCATTTGTCATTCTATTTAAATAGGTAGTTTTGGTGTCTGGAAAGATTTGTAAGTTTTTTTTAACAAATACTTGATAAGCCACTTCTGAGTTGAAGATGGATTAGAAAACTTAAGTTAAAAAAATAAAGAAGTTAAAGCAAAATTAAAAGTAAATTAACAGAGAAGTTGCTGTCATTTATCATACCTTAATAGAAAAATTCTCTCTCCTACAGAATTTAGTATTCCATCATCTTCAGTAATCACCTTTGTAGTTTTGAATGCTAGTAGCTTCTTCATTTCAGAATAGTCACATCAATCACCTCCTAAAGATTTCTAGTCAGTGGAGTTAATAAGAATTGTGCACATCAGCTGATGATTTAGGAGAGGTGAAAAAGAAACCTGTGATAATACAGCAGTCAGAGACATTATGGGTGAATCACTGAGGAAAATTTCAGGAAAATGTCACAAAAATATTTTTTGATGAATTCGAACTGAGGTATTTGTTTCTGCACTTTGATATAAAAGGTTTTGAATCAGTTATGTGTGTTTCAGTTAAAGCAACTTCAAAAAAAGTAGCAATGTTTATGGTTTGTGTAAGCTTGCAGAATTAATGGTATTTGGTCATTTGCAATTAGTTAATTTTTTTAATTATATGCCTAATATCTATTTTATATATAGGGCTGTAAACAAGAACTTATAGAGTTTTTTGTGCAATACAGACCAAAATAAGTGTTTCTCCAATTCAATGTGGTAAAATAATTAAACTGTATAACATATTCTTAAAGTTTATGTAAAATTCTAGTGCATGCCTGTGTTTATAGAGCTCCAGCTGTCAAAACTCAGGGAAAATATCATAAAGTGGAAAAGCTCTATAAAAATCAAATAAAAGTAGTGATAATACACTTTAAAAATTGTTTACACACACAAATGATGGCAATTATAAATAGTATCACGTTTTATCTAATAAAAGTTGAAGTGTTTTAAAATATGTGTAAACTTAAAAAATCCTAAGGCCATTAAAATGGCATTCAAACATTAAATATATAGAAAGAATGTTTGGTTTAAATAAAATGCAAATGCTAGTATATAAAGACACTATGCATTAAATAAAACAGTGGCATGACCACCACAAAGTAGCTTAGTTTATAAATAATTAATAAATCCTAGGTAAGGTTCTGGTAAATACTGCAAAAAAAATGAAAAAGGTAAGCTAAAAGATATATACCTTTATAAATATACATACTCTTGTATCTGTATGTCCATATATATAAAGCTATATATGTATATGCATGTATACACCTATAAAAAGCTGATTGATTTCCAAATTGACATTTATATTTTATAAACATACAGAAAATATAAACAAAATGTAAATGTACAAATCTTCATAATCCCACCCAATACAAACAGCATTTTCATTTTGTGTGAACAGTATAAGAGTATAAGGAGTACAGTATAAGAGATCATACAGATACAGTATTTACAATAATACATTTTCAATGGCTTGATGATACATTATCTTCTCTAAGGTCCATAATGTTTTTAATCAACTTTGAGTTTGTCACCCTACTATCCCCAAAACATTTAACATACCATTATTTTTATATTTACACCTTATGCAAATCCTGTGACATTTCTGTCAGCTCTTAATGTTAGGTTTATAACGAATACAAATATATATGATTCAAATATATTGAAATACCTTTACCTCATTAAATGTTCTTGGAAAGTGCATTACTTACAGTAAAAGTATCATAGAAAATATCTTTCTCTGAAATGTTAAAGCCTCTACCAAAAAAGTTGGTCATAAAACCATTTTAGGCAGATATAAAGTCCCCCTTTTTTTTTAAAAAAAGTAATACCTCCTTAATTATACAGAAAGTTTTATACTATTTTACATACAAATCACTTTATATTTTTCCTTTCATGTGTTTTTATATATTATATTGAAGCTTAATACTGCAATAAAAGTCTGAAAAATATAACTGCAGTACTTGAAGCCGCCTCCTCACTGCAACCCAAAGGAAACATACATGTGTAATGACAACCCAGATCAAGATACAGCATGTTACTGGCACCCATAAACCTCACTAGTACTTACTAACAGTTCACTACTCCCCTGAAAATTTAACCAATATTCTCACTTGTATCACTTTGCAGTAGGGGAGTAATGATTCCCAAAGACGTTGATGTCTTCTTCCCTGGTGCTTATGAATATGTTGTTCCATGGCAAATGAGGATTAATCATGAAGAATTCATTCAGGTTTGCTCTTCAGCTCACCTTAAAATAAGTAGAATATCCTGGATTATGCAGTTTGTCCCTGTGTAATCACAAGGGTGGTTACAAATGGAAGAGGGATGTAAAAGAGTCAGAGAAAGAGAAAGAGTTGTGGCAACAGAAGCAAAAATCTGAACAATCATTGGCTTTTGAGATGGAGGAGTGGAGGCACAAACCCAGGAATGAAAGCATCCTCTACAAACCAAGAAAGGCAAAGAAATGGAATCCCCTTGGAGTCTCCAGAAAGAATGCAGCCTACTGACACATTAATTTTTCCTCAGTGACACTCCTTTCAAACTCCCAGAGTCCAGAACTGTAAGAGAATATTTTTGTGTTGTTTAAGCAAGTAAATTTATGGCGATTGGTTACAGCAGCAATAGGAAACTAATACACACTTAGATTACTTCTTTTTGAATTTTATATAAATTGAGAATACAATCTGTACTTTTTGTGTCCAATTTCCATCACATAGCATTATAATACTGATAGTGATGTATAGGGCTACTTCATTCAATTCACTACTGTTTAGTATTCCATTATAATAAAACACCAGAATATACTGGAAAATTTGTGTCTCTTCTAGTATTGTTGACCTTTGTGGAGTGTGATGGTTAATACTGAGTGTCAGGGAAACAAAGTGTTGACCCTGGGTGTGTCTGTGAGTGCATTGCCAAAGGAGATTAACATTTGATACAGTGGGCTAGGAAAGGCAGACCCACCCTTAATCTGGGTGGGCACAATCTAATCAACTGCCAGTGCGGCTAGACTACAAGCAGGCAGGAAAATGTGAAAAGAGAGACTGGCCTAGCCTCCCAGCAGACATCTTTCTCTTATGCTGGATTCTTTCTGCCCTCAAACATCAGATTCCAAGTTCTTCAGTTTTGGAAATCGGACTGATTCTCCTTACTCCTCAGTCTGCAGACAGCCTATTCTGGGACCTTGTGATCATGTGAGTTAATACTTAATAACCTCGTATTCCATCTATATATTCCCCATCTATATATTCCTCATATTCCATCTATATATTACTTTATATATAATTATATATTAATATTAATTATATTATATATATATATATATTCCATTAATTCTGTTTCTCTAGAGAACCTTGACTAATACAGATTTTGGTATCAGGAGTGTTTCCAGAGGAACAGACTATTAAGGATGAAGTTATTTCGTTGGTTTTAGAGTTTCTGGAGTTGGCTGCTTAATATGATTAGACCCCAAAATGCTAAGGACTCTGCTTCTAATAGTATGGAGAACACTAATAGTCTTGGCAGAAACTGTTTAGAGAGTTATGTAAAATAAATGCAATTGACACTCCTGATTCACTGCTAGTGAGAGGCAAGGAGTTTAGTGACTCCATACATAATACCTCTGACCATACAGGGAGAAATAAGGAACACAGTGAAGCTGGTTGGTTGCTCCTAAGTGAAAGAAAATGGTCAACTCAGGGATTCTATCTCCTAGCTTCAGAAGCAGATGCTGAGCCTCAAATCTGCTAAGATTGCTCTGAGTGAGAGTCTTATCTCCTGTAGAGAAAGAGCTGAAATTGTGGAAAAATAGACACAAGCTCTAATCCTGCTAGTGGTTGACCTGCAACAAAAGGAGCAGGCACAGCCTCGCCAGGTGTCTACTGTTAAAGAGAGGGCATTCATTGAAAAGAATGGGACCCTGCAACTTGGAATGGGAACAGATGGGAGGACCTTGATGAAGCTGAGGACACTGAGTTTTTAAATACTGACAAACAATTTTTGCCAGAAGAAACAGTTTCCCCATCCCCAGTAGTGGCAACATCTCCCTGGTCCAGGCTACCATCAGCCTTTCCACCTTTGTCTGAGGAGATAAACCCTGTGTTGCCTGAGGCAACACTGATGGCCTCCCCTGAGGCAGTTTCCAGGCAAAATAATGTTGATTCCCCTCAGGTGCCACCAGCAATACCCCTGTTTGCTTCTAGACCTATAATTCAACTAAAGTTCTGGTGGGCTCCTAGAGGTGAGGTTGAGAGTGTGACCCATGAGGAGGTGCACTACACTCAAAAAGAACTGCTTGAGTTTTCTAATTTATATAGACAGAAATCTGAAGAAAAGGCATGGGAATGAATATTATTAAGGATGTGAAATAATGGCAGACAGAACATAGAGTTGAATCAGGCTGAATTTATTGATTTGGGCCCACCAAATAGGGACTCTGCATTTAATGTTGTAGTTTGGGGAGTTAAAAAAGGTTCTAAAAGTTTATTTGCTTGGTTAGCTAAAATATGGATTAAAAGGTGGCCCACAGTGAGTGAGCGGCAAATGCCTGATCTCCCTTGGTTTAATGTAGAGGAAGGAATCCAAAGGCTTGGGGAGATTGGGATGGTGGAGTAGATTAGTCACTTTAGACCTACTCATTCCAGCTGGGAGGGTCCAGAAGATATACCCTTAACCAATGCCTCACAAAATAGATTTGTGAAGGCAGCACTTGCATCTTTGAAGGGCCCTGTAATTGTTCTTTGTAAGTCAGATCTAATGGTAGGAACTGCTGTCACTCAACTACAAAATGTAAATACAATGGGAATAATTGGATCCTGAGGTGGCAGGGGCCAAGTGGCAGCATTCAACCACCAAAGGCAAGGTGGGCATAGCTACTGTAATGGATGGCAGAGGCAAAGCAGCAATCAGAACAGTCTAACTCTTGTGGAGCTCTGGCATTGGCTAATTAATCATGGTGTTCCTAGAAGTGAAATTGATAGGAAGCCTACTGCATTCCTACTTAATTTATACAAGCAGAAAACTTCTAGGTCAAATGAATAAAAGACTAATTTGAATTTTTTAAAAAAAGAGAGAATCACTGCCTCTCAATCAATTTCCAGACTTGAGCCAGTTCAAAGACCCAGAACCCCTTGAGTGAAGGGGATGCCCCATCCTTTTGATGTAGGACCCCACTACATTACTGACAATTTATGCAGTGAATGTTTCTTCCATTCTTCCCCGTGGAGATTTCTGGCCTTTTACCAGTGTAACTGTGCACTGGGGAAAGGGAAATAATCAGACAACTCATGGACTACTGGATGCTGGCTCTGGGCTGACATTGATTCGGGGGACCCAAAGTAGGGGCTTATGGAGGTAAGGTGATTAATGGAGTTTTGGCTCAAGTCTAACTTACAGTGGGTCCAGTGGTTCCCTGGACTCACCCTGTGGTCATTTCCCCAGTGCCAGAATGCATAGTTGGCATAGACATATTAAGCAGCTGGCAGAACCCCCACATTGGCTCCCCGACTGGTAGGGTGTGGACTATTATGGTGGAGAAGGCCAAATGGAAGCCATTAGAGCTGCCTTGACCTAGAAAAATAGTAAATCAAAAAATAATACCACATCCATGGAGGGACTGCATAAATTAATGCCACCATGAGGGACTTGAAAGACACAAGGGTTGTGATTCCCACCACATCTACATTCAACTCTTCCATTCAGCCTGTGCAGAAGACAGATGGATCTTGGAGAAAGACAGTGGATTATTATAAGCCTAACTAACTGTTGACTTCAATTGCAGCTGTGGTACCAGATGTGGTTTCATTGCTTGAGCAAATTAACACATCTCGTGGTACCTGGTTTGCAGCCACTGACTTGGCAAATGCCTTTTTCTCCACTCCTGTCCATAAGGCCCACCAGAAGCAATTTGCCTTCAGCTGGCAAGGCCAACAATATACCTTTACTGTCCCGCCTTGGGGGTGTATTAACTCTCCAGCTTAGTGTTATAATCTTATTTGGACAGACCTTGATCATTTTTTGCTTTTACAAGATATCACTCTGGTCCATTACATTGAAGACACTATGCTGATTGGATCCAGAGACCAAAAAGTAGCAAACACACTGGGCTTATTGATGAGACATTTGCATGCTAGAGGTTGGGAAATAAATCCGACTGAAATTCAGAGAGCGTCTACCTCAGCAAAATTTCTAGGGATCCAGTGGTGTAGGGCCTGTGGAGATATTCCTTTTAAGGTGAAGGATAACTTGCTGCATTTGGCTCCTCCTACAAGCAAGCAAGAAGAACAATTCCTAGTGGGCATGTTTGGATTTTGGAGGCAACACATTCCTCTTTTAGGTGTGTTACTCTGGCTCATTTATTGAGTAACCCGAAAGGCTACCAGTTTTGAGTGGAGTCCAGAGCAGGAGAAGGTTCTACAACAGGTCTAAGGTGCTGTGCAAGCTGCTCTGTCACTTGGGCCAGATGACCCAGCAGATCCAATAGTGCTTGATGTGTCAGTGGTAGATAAGGATGCTGTTTAGAGCTTTTGGCTGGCCCCTATAGGTGAATCACAGCAGAGACTTCTAGGATTTTGGAGCAAAGCCCTGCCATCTTCTGCAGATAACCACTCTCCTTTTAAGAGACAGCTCTTGGCCTGTTACTGGGCTTCGATGGAAATGGAACATATGACTATGGGTCATCAAGTCACATGTGACCTGAACTGCCTATCATAAACTGGGTGCTTCCTGACCCATCTAGCCATTAAGTGGGTCGTGCACAGCAACATTCCATCATCAAATCAAGTGATACGTTAGTGACCCGGTTTGAGCAGGTCCTGAAGGCACAAGTAAGTTACATGAGGAAGTGGCTCAAATGCCCATGGTCTCCACTCCTGCCACCCTGCCTTCTCTTCCCCAGCCTGCACTGATGGCCTCTTGGAAAGGTCCCTATTATCAGTTGATAGAGGAAGAGAAGACTAGGGCCTGGTTCACAGATGGTTCTAAATGCAGAATGGTATGCAAGCACCACCTGAAAGTGGACAGTGGCAGGAGTACAGCCCCTTTCTAGGACATCCATGAAGGACAGCGGTGAAGGGAAACCTTCCCAGCGGGCAGAACTTTGAGCAGCACACCTGATTGTGCACTTTGCATGGAAGGAGAAATGGTCACAAATGGAATTATATACTGTTTGATGGGTTGTAGCCATAGTTTGGGCGAATGGTCAGGGACTTGGAAGAAGCATGATTGGAAAATTGGTGACAAAGGAATTTGGGGAAGAGGTATGTGGATGGACTTCACTGAGTGGTCAAAAACCATGAAGATATTTGTATCCCATGTGAATGCTCACCAAGGAGTGACCTCAGCAGAGGAGAATTTTAATAATCAAGTGGATAGGATGACCTATTATGTGGACTCCACTCAGCCTCTTTCCCCAGCCACCCTTGTCATTGCCCAAGGGGCCAATGAACAAAGTGGCCATGGTGGCAGGAAAAGAGGTTACACATGGGCTCAGCAAAATGGACTTCCACTTACCAACGCTGACCTGGCTATGGCCACTGCTGAATGCCCAATTTGCCAGCAGCAGATATCAATATTGAGCCCTCAATATGTCACCATTCCTCAGGGTGAACTGCCTGCTACCTGGTGGCAGGTTGATTATATTGGACTTCTTCCATCATGGAAAGGGCAGAGGTTTGTCCTCACTGGAATAGACACTCCAGATATGGGTTTGTGTATTTTGCATGCAATGCTTTTGCCAAGACTACCATCCATGGACTCACGGAAATGCCTTATCCACCATCATGATATTCCATAAAGCATTGCATCTGACCAAAGTACTCATGTTATGGCTAAAGAAGTGCATCAGTGGGCCCATGCTCATGGAATTCACTGGTTTTACTATGCTCCCCATCATCCTGAAGCAGCTGGATTGATAAAATGGAATGGCCTTTTGAAGTCACAATTACAATGCCAGCTAGATGACAATACTTTGCAGGGCTGGGACACAGTTGTCAAGAAGGAAGTGTGTGATCTGAATCAGTGTCCAACTTATGGTACTCTTTCTCCCATAGCGAGGATTCATGGGTCTGGAAATCAAGGGGTGGAAGTGGAACTGGCACCACTCACCATCTCCCATAGTGATCCACTAGCAAAATTTGTGCTTCCTGTTCCCAAGACATTATGTTCTGCCGGCCTAGAGGTCTTAGTTCCAGAGGGAGAAATGCTGACATCAGGAGACACAACAAAGATTCCATTAAACTGGAAATTAAGAGTGCTATCTGGACACTTTAGGCTCCTCCTACCTTTAAGTCAACAGGCTAAGAAGGGAGTTACAGTGTTAGCTGTGGTTTTTGACCCAGCCTATCAAGATGAAATCAATCTACTACTCTACAATGGAGGTAAGGAAGAGTACGCATGGAATGCGGGAGATCCATTAGGATGTCTCTTAGTATTATCATGCCCCATGACTAATATCAATGGGACACTACAACAGTCCAATCCAGGCAGGACTACAAATGACCCAGACCCTTCAGGAACGAAGGTTTGGGTCACTGCATCAGGAAAAAAAGCACAACCTGCTGAGGTACTTGCTGAAGGCAACAGGAACACAGAATGGGTAGTAGAAGAAGGTAGTCATCAATACCAGCTACGACCACGTGACTAGCTACAGAAATGAGGACTGTAATTCTCATGAGTATTTCTTCCTTCTTTTGTTAAAAACAGGTTTGTGCATGTATACTCTTGTACTAAGAAAATATATTCATTTTATCTCCTTTTCCTTTATCACATGACATAATATTTATTGACTTTACATCAGCATTTAAGTATTGTTAACTTTCTGTAATATTATTTGGTTTGGGGATTGGTGCTTTTCAGTTGTACAAAGGGTAGTTGTATTATGTTAGGCATAATTCTGACTTTACTATTGTCTTCATTTGAAGATTATGTGTGATTTCAGGAGATGTGTATGGGTTCAAGTTGACAAGGGGTGGACTTGTGATGGTTTACTGAGTGTCAACTTGATTGGATTGAAGGATACAAAGTATTGATTCTGGGTGTGTCTGTGAAGGTGTTGCCAAAGGAGGTTAACATTTGAGTCAGTAGGCTGGGAAAGGCAGACCCTCCCTTAATCGGGGTGGGCACAATCTAATCAGCTGCCAGCGTGGCTAGAATATAAGCAGGCAGAAAGATGTGAAAGAGAGAGACTGGCCTAGTCTCCCAGCCTACATCTTTCTCCTATGTTAGATGCTTCCTACACTTGAACATCCGACCCCAAGTTCTTCCCTCTCCTTGCTCCTCAGCTTGCAGATGGCCTGTTGTGGGACCTTGTGATCGTGTGAGTTAATACTTCATAAACTCCCCTTTATATATACATCTATGCCATTAATTCTGTCCCTCTAGAGAGCCCTGACTAATACATGGTGTTTGCAGTTTTGGAAAAATTATAAATAATGCTTCTTTGGACATTATTGCACATGCATATTAGAGAAAAATCAAAGGACAGATAGGTAGACAAAAATGCAGACATAAACACATATATATGTGAGATTGTTTATATATGATGTACATTAAAGGACATTTTCACAAGCTTTTGCAAGTGATTGTACCCATTTACTCTTCCACAGTCAATGAATAAAAGGTGTTCCACACACATCTTCAAATACTTAATATTGTTTGTCACAGTCATTTACTTATTTATTTATTTGCTTGTTTGTTTATTTCATTTTAGCCATTCCATTGTGAATGTGGTAGACTATCATTGTGGTCTCTATTTGCATTTCTCTGACCATTTTGTTTTGCATGAAACCACATATACGGATGCAGTGGTATCTAGGTTACCTTGTTGCTTTTTTAAATTGTGTTTTGCTGATAAATAATGATGCTGAGTATCTATCTCTGTGATTATTTGCTATCTATATATTATATGATGAAGCATCTTGTCTGATCTTTTGTCCATTGTTAATTTTTTTTAATTATTAAATTTTAAGGGTTCTTTGTATATCTTCTGGATATAAGTCCTTTGTCAGATATGTGTTACAATTGTTCACTCTAGAACTTGGCTCACATTTCTGTTGTTTTAAACATCTTCCACAGACAAAATTGATAAAGTCTAATTTTTCATTTAAAAAATTATGAATCATGTAAATTTATTGCTAAGCCCAAGTTCATGCAAGTTTTCTTGTGTGTGTGTGTTTATTTTTTTCTTTTTAGAAATCTTACAGTTTGTTTTACATGGAGGTCTATGGTCTAATCTGAGTCAGTTTTTGGATAAGTTGTAACGTATGTGACAAAGATCAAAGATCTTTTTTTTTTTTTTTTTTTTTTTGCATTCAGACATCTTTTTATTCCAGCACAATTTGTTGAAGAGTCTGTCAATTCTCTATTGAATTGCTTTTGCATCTTAATCAAAAGTAAATTGACCATGTCTCTATGGTTTTCTTTTTGAGCTCTTAATTATTTTCTCTCATAACAAATGACTTTGTTGAATTTTATATATTTATTAAATATTTGGATGCATTCATTTGTCAACTGTCTGTCCAAGGTTTTGACCATTTGTTTATTAGATGATATGCTTTTCAAATGTATTTTCTTTAATACTATGAATTTCTAGGAATTCTATTTTTAGATAATTCTTTACTCTTTTTATTAATGTTAACTTATTTTTAGTTAATATATTCAAACGCTGAATATATTATCTATTTTTAGTTTACTTTTTATTTTGTTTTATTTTTTACTTTCTTGGTATAAATGCTATGTTGATTTATCTTTCATATTTTTACACTATTGACTTTTTTCTGAATATAGCTTTTTTTATTATATTTCCACCAAATACCCTTTATCTTCACTAAGCTTTAGCAGGTTTAATCTGTACTCTCTACTATCTTCATTTGGAAGGTTTTATTTTAATTGTTACCATGCTTTTCCCAGCTTCCCTGAATTTTGGCATATTCTCAGAATTGTTTTTGTAATACCAATCCTTGAAGAATATTTTTCTGCTTCTGAAATTTTAGTTTCCTCAAATTACACTTTATCTGAGTCTCTTTAAACACGTAGGCACTTTCAACTACATATCAGTTGTTTCCCCTTGTCATTAAATATTTTGTCTCCAGGGGATTATGCGTTTAAAAAATATGCTAACACCAAAAGTCTGACATGAAATTTCCCTATCTCTCTATTTTCATAATGTAGTATATAGCAGTTGTTAATTAATATACCACATTTTATTAAAATTACAGGTTGATTTGTCTTCTTTCCTTCACTCGCTTGTAAAATTTTTAAGGACATAAACTAAGTTTTATCTTTTGATCCCTAGAACATAGTAGATATTTTGTCATAGAGTTTACTGTATACTTATCTATCTATCTATCTCAGTATCTATTATCTATCTACATAAAGAAACATTTTTAACACATTTTCTCTATGATTTTTTTTATTCCCTCAGGGAAAATCTCCCCTACTCATTTACAGCAGGTTATTTTCACAGACCTTGCAAATGCATATGAGTTACTCAGTAGAGAGTGAATTAAATACCAAGAAAAATCAATGAAGCTCTGAAATAACTTTTAAAGAAATGATACACCTTAAAGTTGATGCAAATGGCAAATATGGAATAGATGCTTTCATGTCATGCTAGCAGATACGGCATTGTAAAGGTTTTAAAGTCAAGTGGTCTAGGGATTACATCTGGGCTTTTAATCACATTAGAACATAACTTTGAACATATTTCTGGACTCGTTTAAATCAATTTGCTCATCTTTAAAATGTATGATTTTACAGTAATTTTAAAGATGGTATTGCATGACAAGATAATATATGTAACAAGCTAAGATCAGTATAGATTTTATGGCAAATAATAAATGGCATCTATAATTGTTGTATTGCTAACACTACTTTTATCATTTCTACTACCAAGATTATCTCATAGTTCTGACTTAAGGATATAGTTACTGTATTCATTATAAAGTCTACAGTGATATGTTTTATGTGGTTTAGGCATGTTTTGAAGAGCCTCACAGATTTCTAGATCTATGAGCAATCCTGAGCATTCCTCACCGTTGGCATGCATGTTAAGGACAATAAATTGAATAGCCCACACTACTTTCTGGTTGCTAGCACCTGGTAACTTTAAACTCCCTGCCCATGCCATCTCATTCATTGCCTTTAACATATTCTTTTTGGAAGACAAATATTTACTGAGTGTGTACTAAATACTAGGTGTGAATTAAATGGTGTTGAACAAAAAAAAGGTATTTATAGTCGGAAAAGAGACAACAAACAAGTTAATAAATACCTCGTTGATAATGGTAAACATGAAGAATAAAAACGAAGTGTTATCATAAAAGAGGCAGTTTATGGGGAGGGGTTATTTGAGTCATAACAATCAATAAAGTCATCTTAGATAAGAAGACAGTTGAACAAAGAGCTAAATAAAGTGAGACAACAATTACTCCCATAAAGAGAAGGGGAGAACATTCCAGGACAAGAAATAGCAAGACCTAAAATGCACAATGGGTGTGTTTGAAAAGTCCAAGAAGTACAAAGAAGGCCGAGTTGGAAAAGGTGTGTGAATGAATGAGATTGTAAAGTGATGAGGTCAGAGATCCAAACACAAGAGTGTTCGGTAACTATATACTGTAGAGCCATATACAGCATAATGAAGACTTATAATGTTTTGTTGAGTGAAATGTAAACCATTGGGAGAATATGAGTAGAAAAGTCCAACAGTCTTACTTCAGTTTTCAAAGTATCACTCTGGCTGATGAGTAAAGACTATAATTTAAACAGGCAAAAGTAGAAGCAGTGAGACCAACTTGGAAGTTGGTACTATTTTCTGAGTGATGAGTAATGCTGACTTGAAATAGAATGACAGAATAAACATTTCAGAACTTAGTTGTATTTATTTCAAATACTAAGCCAAGAGAAATTGCTAGCAGATTGATCATGGAGAGATGTAAAAAAAAAAAAAAAGACCAATGAATACAATTAAATTTTAATCTGTGCAACTGGCATAATTGAGTTACTATTCAGAGAAAGGGATAAGTTTGGGGAAAGATACCACTTTTCTTCATATAGAAATAAAAAATTTAGTTTTGCACAAATTTAATTTGAAATGCCCTATCAGATTTATAATTGGTAAGCACCACTTTAAGTTAATCCATTAAAAAGAGAAAATTTATTTTTGTGGAGACTGTATCTTCTTACCCTGAAAAATAAACCTCGATACATTTTATTTCATTTATGTTCAGTAAAATTATATTTCATGTTTCCTGAAAAAACATATGCAAGTATTGATTTTAAAAGAAGTAATGACATAAAAGCATTGACCTCATATTTGTCTTTTTCATTATATTTGAAGTGTATTATTTATTTAAAAGTTAGCACTTCGTGAATTTCTGTTGGTATTTAATCCATTCTCTAGTGAAGAGATAAATGCACATGCATTTCCATTGTCTACTTCTTTTATAGTTTCCTAGTCAAACACTACCAGATCCTCACATGTCAATACCTTTGTGTGAGATTTGGGAAACTTATCATGATTTCTAAGAAAACTTTCATCTCTTGCAAATCTTACAATCTCATTTCAGAAGTAATTGCATGATTTCATTGCATTGTATTTTTTGCTGTGGATACTTAGAGAGAAGGTGAGGCTAATAAATTGAGATGGTGGACTAGGATAAAGGCAAAAGATAAATATAGGCTAATTTTATGAGGACTAAATTCATTAGTAAATAATTTTATTTCGTGATATCTCTGATGTCACTGAGGTACATAGCAAGGTTTCCCCATATAACATAAACAGGCGTTTGTCTTCATAGGCTGACCATGCTGTTAAGGAGAGTGATCCAAGTAAGCTTTACTCTGTAGATAACAAGAATCACCCAGCATCCTTTGCAGCAGCACCACACTAACTTACAGTGTTGGAAACCTTTTCTCAATTATATAGGAATGCCCTTTAGGCAGAGGATGACTCATAACTTTCTATGGGTAGACATGCTCGACATTAGGATTGCCAGAGGTTGTCATGTTTCCCTGATTTACATGCATCTGAATAATTTTCCCTCGTTCAACCTAATTTATCAGTTTTGCAGCCCCACTTTTATCTCATACCGTCATATAATCTGGCCAAGTTCAAGTCCAACATTTTATCTGCCTCTGTAATCACCTACTCATGGAAGAGTAGTTTTCTACTTTTGAAAAAATATGTATTGGCTGGGCGCGGTGGCTCACGCCTGTAATCCCAGCACTTTGGGAGGCCGAGGCGGGTGGATCACGAGGTCAGGAGATCGAGACCATCCTGGCTAACACGGTGAAACCCCATCTCTACTAAAAATACAAAAAATTAGCCGGGCGTGGTGGCGGGCGCCTGTAGTCCCAGCTACTCGGGAGGCTGAGGCAGGAGAATGGCGTGAACCCGGGAGGCGGAGCTTGCAGTGAGCGGAGATCGTGCCACTGCACTCCAGCCTGGGTGACAGACAGAGACTCCGTTCAAAAAAAAAAAAAAATAGAAAAAGATATATTATCCATTTATTGGTTGATGGACACTTAGGCTGATTCCATATCTTGGTCATTGTGAGTAGTGCTACAATAAACATGGGGGTGCAAATATCTCTTTGATACACTGATTTCCTTTCTTTTGGATATATACTCATTAGTAGCATTGCTGGATCATATAACAATTATATATATATATATTTTTAGAAACTTTTGTCGCTGTTATACTCATTTGCATTTCCATCAACAGTATATAAATACTTCCCTTTCTTTTCACCCTCGGGAGCTAAAAAAATAATTGATGTCATGGAGGTAGTGAATACAATCATTGTAACCAGAGGCTAGGAAAGTTAATGGGAAGGGGGCATTAACAGGTGTAGTTAATGAATATGAAAATGCAATTATATGTAAGGAATAAGTACTAGTGTTCTGCAAAATAGGGCAATTACAGTTAATAATTACTGTATGTTTTACAATAGCTAGAAACTTTGGAATGCTTCCAACACAAACAAATGATAAATATTTGAGGTGACAAATATCCCGCTTACCCAAATTTGATTATTATATATCACATACTTGTATCAAAATATCTCATATACCCCATAAGTATGTACAATTATTTACTACTAAAATTTTTAAGGAAAATACATCATGAAGGTTTATTAAATTGAAAATTACTCAAATAGCATGTAAATATTAAACCAGAGACAAATTACTTAAAAATTAAAAGCTGCTTTATATGGCAGGCCTTCATGAAGGGGAGAGTAGTCATCCATAGTAGTAAAATGTTTCATAATTCTTGTAAATTACATACAAAGAAACACAAACACATACACATACCCACAGTGGTATGCTGGTAAATGTTTACCAGCAGACTACACAGGAACAAAAGATAAGATATGTAGCCTTTGCCAATTTCTGTGATAGGAAAATTTCTACCACTGCAATTTACAAGTTTCTTCTGTTAGTTTCTTAGAAGTGTGATATGGTTTCAATATCTCATATTGAGTTGTTAACCCCAGTGTTGAAGGTGGGGCCTGCTGGGAGGCGGTTGGATTACAGGGGTGGATTTCTCAGGAATGGTTTTAGCACCATTCTCTTAGTGCTGTTTTTGTCATAGTGAGTAAGTTCTTATGAGATCTGGTTGTTTCAAAGTGTGCAGCACCTCCCCGCTTATTCTCTCATGCTCTTGCTCCTGCCACGTGAGAAGCTTTCTCCCCTTTTGCCTTCTCCCATGATTGGAAGCTTCCTGAGGCCTCCCTGGGAGCAGAAGCTACTGCGTTTCCTTTACAGCCTGCAGAACTGTGAGCCAATTAAATCTCTTTTCTTTATAAGTTACTCAGTCTCAGATATGACATTATAGTAGTGCAAGAATGAACTAATATAAGCTACCATAACAAAGTACCACAAACTGGGTGGCTTGAAGAACAGAAATGTATTGTCTTACACTTCTTGAGTCTTAAATGTCTAAAATTGAGGTGTAGCCAGAGCTGATTCCTTGTGAGGACCCTGATGGAAAGATCTGTTTCTGTTCTTTCTCTTCGGGCTTGTAGATGGTCATCTTCTCCTTTAGTTCTCTTCACATCATCTTCTCTCTATACACGTCTCTGTGTCCAGATGTTTCATTTTTATAAGGACACCACTCCTATTGGATTAGGGTTCACCCTAATAACTTCATTGTAACTTGAATTATTCTTTAAAGACCCTACCACTAATAAGGTCACATTCTGAGGTACTGGTGTTAGGACTTAATGTGTACATTTGGGGGGAACACAAGTCAACCCATAACACTGTCTATGCAATGTATCTGAACATTGAATTGGGAAAAGATTAATAGTAATAGGTAATTGTTAGTCTCTCCACCATTTTGATACAGTAGACAAAAAAAAAATCAAGAACATAGATAAGAGTTAAATTTAGTAAAATAATTAGAAAACAATAGGTTGTATTTATTACCTTGGTTTTTGATACATTTATTTCTTTATACATACATTAATTTTTAATAATGCCTGTGTTTAACAATCAACTTATAAAATTCTTAGAAATTTAAAAATAAGCTGTTGAGAGCCAAGATCAGTCATTCCCAAGAAAAGTATGTGCAATTTTTCAATTGTTTAATGTGAAGTTAAATTCTAAGCTTTTATGCCCACTTAATTCCTGTCTTCTCTCAGATCACCTCTTTACTAAACACTAAAAAAAACTTATGCATACAGATTTTTATTAATAGTTTGCTTGTCTATTGGTGGTAATTTTTAACTTATGTTTTTTTAAGTCAATGCCCTTGTATATAGGACATTGTACTTAAGAATACAGATGAGTCATTTCCGGTAAAAGTACACACAATCACTCACTGTTTAATGTCAACATAAATTCTAGGCTTTTATGCCCACTTAATTTCTACCTTCTTTCAGATTACTTATGTAATAAACACTAAAACATTTGTATTATGTATGTATATTTTTATGAATAGCTTGCCAGTGTATTGACGGTAATTTTAAAGTTATTCTTCATTTGAATCAAATGCTTTTCCATTTGCAACTACTGAGCTCATTTATACTCAGTGAAATTTGTATTTGTTAATATAACATAGACTAGAATAGACAAGATACATGACAAAAACTTTTTAAAATTCTAATATTAATTTTTTATATACTAAAATATGATGATTCTTAACTCTCATAGGTGTTTAAAAGTATAAGAATGTTAAAAAATTACCTGCATAAGTATTAACACATTCATACATACTCAAACTTATACATATAATTTGAATGAATTTATAGATAATTCATAGCCAATTTCAAGGTGACAGTCATGAACACCTTTTAAAACATTGAATGTAACACATATAAAAAAGAATTGTCTTTCCAATAACATTTTCCTTGGATAATTACACTTACAGATTAACCAGGTTGGCCAACATGGTGAAATCTAGTCTCTACTAAAAATACAAAAATCATCCAGGTGTGATGGTTAGCACCTGTAATCTCAACTACTCGGGAGGCAGAGGCAGGAGAATCGCTTAAGCTTGGGAGGCAGAGGTTGCAGTGAGCTAAGATCATGCCACCGCACTCCAGCCTGAGCGACAGAGCGAGACTCCATCTCAAAAAAAAAAAAAAAAAGCTAAATGTTATCCTTATAAGAGATTAGCAGGATGTAAAGAAAATTTACATGCTGCTTAAATAGCCATGTGCTACACAAATTATCAATTGGTTTATACATTTATATCGAGAGTACAATGATAGTTATTTCTTTAAAACTCCATAGAACTAAATCATTTGCGTATTAAGAATATTTCTTGTTAACTATTTTATTAGTTTTAAGAAATTCAATGAATACTACAATGCAGATTTTATTTGTATGTCTATGCACACAAAATTAAAAAAAATAAATGATTTAAACAACTTTTCTGTTGATACAGTGGCTAATTGTTAACCAGTTTTAATTCATATATTTAGTTTGTATGCTATGATTACTAACCATTAGTTTTAAGAAATAAAAGGCACAATGAACAGTTCTAGTTTTTAAAAATAAATAAGCCCTTATTTTTTTCTCAACATATGATCATGGAATTTTTAACCTTCTTTTTCTTTTTAGTTTCCATGGAGCATTTCCAAGTGATGTCTTACTTTTTTTCTATAATGACTATCAGCCCCCGAGGATTAACTCTATCGCATCTACCACTTGGATTATTGAAGCAGTCTTTTAACAGAATTAATTATATCATGCATGTAATGCTCCAATGCAATATAAAAACGTCTTTCAAATTAATCTTACTAAATTTTATATCTGACTACATAACTGTTCTGCTCAAAAAGTCTTCAGTGGACTCCCAATTGCCTTTTTCTTCAATAAAATCTCTGAATGAGCTTTTGAAACTTCAATTCAAATATGACATAAAATTACATTTGCCGACATTTATTTTTTTATTTATTTTTTTTTTTTTTTTGAGACGGAGTCTCGCTCTGTCGCCCAGGCTGGAGTGCAGTGGCACGATCTCCGCTCACTGCAAGCTCCGCCTCCCGGGTTCACGCCAGTCTCCTGCCTCAGCCTCCCAAGTAGCTGGGACTACAGGCGCCCGCCACTACGCCCGGCTAATTTTTTGTATTTTTAGTAGAGACGGGGTTTCACCGTTTTAGCCGGGATGGTCTCGATCTCCTGACCTCGTGATCCGCCCGCCTCGGCCTCCCAAAGTGCTGGGATTACAGGCGTGAGCCACCGCGCCCGGCCTGCCGACATTTATTAAAAATGATTTACTGACAGCACATTTTATGATGCATTATGTCAAACATTTGAGATTACACAGATAAACTATACAATATCTTATTTTAAATGGAACATAATCTAATAATACACATAGCAAAGTCAATCTGATATGGAAAAATGTATGTGTGCTAACAGAGTATTTAGGAAAAAAAAAAAAAGCAACTACATTGAAGACTGATAAAAACCCTTATGTGGAAAGTACTATCTAGTAGAATGTATTCTTCCCAGTGTATTGAGCCTAACCAGAATGCCTTCCAGAGCTGAGGTAGTGTCAACTGATTATTTCAGCTAACATGGGATATCTTTTGTACTGCCTTTCCTAATTGGATAATTTCTTTCATAGGGATAACGTTCCACATGGTAAATATAAATAGTGAAATATGTCTTTTGGAAACTCTGTTAAGAAACTAAATGTAGCCTAATTTCAGGGAGACCTCCCGAGTCCTCTGAGAGCAATGTGATCTAATATTTTCTTAAATACTTCAACAACTTATATGACCATTCCTAATATAGCCATTATCTTTATAGAGGGGAAAGGATAAGGTTGGATATACAACTGAGGACATTTCCAGGCAAAGTTTTGAAGGAGTGGCTTTGTTTCTCTTTGCTGATTATAGTAAATATGAAGGAAGGAGAAACATTGAGATGACAAACAAAATAGAAATAGAACTTCATAATTTTGAAAATTGTCAGCTTGTGCAGAATTCAAAAGATGATAAAATTAGGAGGTTCATTGTCAGGAAAGTGTGCTTTGGAGAGAAAGCCCAGGTTGGGGCTGGACCTTTGTTTAGTGTCTTGATAGGATCAAAAGGTCAGAGTTTTCTTTCACGCAGAGGTTTATTTGAAGAAGTTAACATGACCAATAACTAAACATTGAAATATTTACATATATTAAATGGTCTTCGAATAGTACATATATTAATATATATGTACAAATATTGCACATGTATATACACACACAATGAAGTATATTAAAAAAATGCTCAATATCACTAATCATCAGAGAAATGCAAATTGAAACCAAAATGAGATATTATCTCACACTGGTTAGAATAGCTATTATCAAAAAGACAGAGGATAAAAAGCGTCAGTGAGCATATGGATAAAAGGGAACCTTTGCACACTGTTGGTAGAAATGCAAATTAGTACAGCCAGGGAAGTTCCTCAAAAAATTAAAAGTAGAACTACCATATGATCCAAACATCTCACTACTGGGTACACATACAAATGAAATGGGGCAGTATGTAGAAGAGATATCTGCACTCCAATGTTTATTGCAACACTATTCACAATAGCGAAGATATGAATGCAAATTAAGTGTCCATCAGTGGATGGGAGGGCATCATGTTAAGTGAAATAAGGCAGGCATAGAAAGACAAATATCACATAGTATCACTTATATGCATAATTTTAAAATGTTGAACCCATAGAAGCAGAGAGTAGAATGGTGATTACCAGGAGCCTGAGTTTGGGGATACGGGGTGAAAAGTTAGAGGAGAGGTTGGTCAAAATATGCAAAATTTCAGTTAGGTGGGAGTAATAAATTTAAACAAGCTATTGTACAAGATGGTGACTGTAGTTAATAACAATATATTGCATTCTCAAACATTTCTGAGAGTAGATTTTAAGTTCTCTCACTACATATACACACAAACACACACACACACACACACACAAAACACAGGCAACTTCAATGTAACCATTCCTCAATGTAAATACATTCCAAACTACATTCGTACACAGTAAATACATGCAACTTTTATTTATCAATTTTAAATGTATTTAAAAGAAGAATTATGTATAAAAAGATAAAACTGAATTTTCTGGAAATAAATAGCTACAATTAAATTGTCTTTTATATACTCACAGATATGTACAATTGTCATGATAGTTATTATTGGAATATTTTCATTATCTCAGAATAAACCCTCTACCTCCCTGTTACTACCCCATTCACTCTTTTGTTCCCATGCTTAAGCACCCACTAATACGTTTTATTTCTATATAGGTTACCCTATTCTGGACTTTCATATCAGTGGACTCATATAATTTTTGAACTTTTGTGACTAGTGTTTTTTGTTTAGCATAATGTCTTAAAAGGATGATCCAAGTTGTAGCATGTAGCAGCCCTTCATTTCTTTGTGTGACTGAATGATATTACATTTTATGAATATACGATACTTTATCCCTTCATCTTTTGATGAATAGAAAATTGTCGTAACTCACTTTTTTCAATATTTAATTTTCTTATTTCTACAGTTGTTATGATTCAAAGTAAAATTCCATTAAGCAATTTAATATAATCGAATATTTTATAAGATTTCTAGGTTGATATTTGTTGGTTGTTTTGTTTGTTTTTACATTTTACTTCATACTGGATCTGAATTCATTTTGCCATAGGCTGTTACAATTATCCTAATAGATATGATTTTTAATAGTTTTCTTTACTATTTGATTCTTACATCTTTCCATTTTTCACATGAATGATTTTCATTTTACTATTTCATATCTTTTTGTCTTAAATATATTTTTGTCTTAAATATATTTTCATATCTGGTTAAATATGTATTTCCCTCTTTTCTCTGTTTGAAAAGTATTGTTTTTTGTCTTGTATATAACATTTATAATTGCATTACCAACTTAAAAATCATCTTTAAATTTTGCTTTCCATTGTTTCACGACAGCAAAATTTGGAGAAGGTTTAGATCTTTTTCCCCACACCACTATCATTGTGTAGCTTTTGGTTAGTCAAAGCTCATTTTTAACATTACAGTTGTATAGTTTTATGACACTTAGGTTATAGAATTTCATTGTAAAGCGTATTTCAAGACTTTATTTTTTCTATCATTAATTCAATATTTTCTGATATTTAGTTATTCTTGGATATATAAGTTGCTATCATATATTTAGATTATAGCTAACTCTTTCTTTACCAAACTCTTATTAATTGTAATTTTCTTATTTTCTTACTTTTTCTAGATGTTATATTATTATTTTATATCTTAATGGTTTAATAACTAAATGGGTCTTCAAACATTACATACCTTAAATTTTTCCATTGAATATTTTATATGAATAAATTGAATAATATTGCATTTGCAAATTAATAAAGCATCTTCATAGTCTTCTGCTACCAAAGATAGTCTCTATTCCTTTGCAATATTCATCATCCTCATGTGTTCTGAAATTTTCTGTTATAAAATGTCTCGGGGAATCTGGGAAAATAGCAGAGTAGGAAGTATGAGGAATCGGTCTTTCCACCTACATAGCGTGGACAAAATCAGTCTGTCTGATATAACTATTTTGGAATTCTGGAATCTATTAAAGCCTTGCAACTTCCAAAGAAGGAACTGTGGTAATTTTGGACAATTTAAGCTCTTCGCACAGTATTAGTTCCCTAGCTCTGTGACAGGCAGCTGTGCACTTGTTCCTGGAGAAACCTGCACACAACTTACAGGAGCCAGGATGGACAAAAATAATTCTGGTTTCCTCCTCCAATATTGAGGTACTGGGCACTGATCTTTGACTGGTGCTTTTTATTATTATTATTATTTTTTTAATCACAGAAGTACAGAGAGATACACAGCCATCGTTATTGCACCTTTTATCACTATTACTGTTTGTCCCCCTACAGCCTGAAGTGACTTCCCGAGGATTTAAAGAACCAGCATCATTTTTCTTTCCTTCATTTCTCTCTCTCTTTTGGAGGCTTGGGGAGGAGACAGACATTAAAGACTAGGACATTCAAAAGCAATGGAATGTACAAAGGAAATTAGAATGTGACTATATATGCTCAGGGAAAGGTATGAACCCACAAAAAACTGAGAAGCATAAATTTACACCACAGGCTGATATTTGACATATAGACCCTACAACAATCAAGAAACAGAAACGATAAAGATAATAACAGAAAACAACAACCTCTGGGGAAAGAGAAAGGCAAATTTCAGAGTTACCACATTATTAGATTCAGATGTCAGTTTTCAACAAAAAAAATTACAAGACATTAAAAATTACAAGAGAGAGCCAGGCATGCTGGCTCATGCCTGTAATCCTAGCACTTCGGGAGGCTGAGGTGGGTAGGTCACTTGAGTTCAAAACCAGCCTGGGCAAACATGGCAAATCCCCATCTCTACCAAAAATATAAAAATTAGCCAATCTCATAACCCAGTCTCTAAGTAAATAAATAAATAGATTAAAAATTAAAAATAAAATGATTAAAAATATAAAAAAGACAGAAAATTATGACCATTGAAATAAAGGCAATCAATTAACATAACAGTTTCTGAAAATGAAATTTAAAAAAAATTGACAACAGGGATCTAAAGACAGATTCAAGCAGGCAGAGGAAAGAATCAGCAAAATCAAATATATTACAATAAAAATTATTGAGGTAGAAGAACAACAAAAAAGAGAATATTGAAGAAATGAAGAAAGCCTAAGGGACATGTGGGACATCATCAAGAGGAATAAATACCCATTGAGGTAGTCTCAGAATGGGAAGAGAGAAAGAACGGGGCAGACAGACTATCTGGAAGAAATAATGGCTGAAAACTTTTCAAATTTTATGAAAAATGAATATAAACATCCCAGATACTCAACAAACTTTAAGTAAGATGAACTCAAAGAGACCCACACTATAACACGTTATAATACAGCATTTCAAAGACAAAGACAATGAGAGAATCTTGAAAGCAGTAAGAGAGAAAAAACTTGTCACATACAAGAGATCGTCAATAAGATTATCAGTAGATTTCTCACCAAAAACTTTGAAGGATAGAAGGCAGTGGGCCAACATATTCAAAAAATACTAAAAAAAAAAAAAAAAACAAAAACAAACAAAAAAAAAACAAACTGTCAGCCAAACTTTGATATCCAAAAAATGTCTTACAAAAGTGAGAGAGAAATTACGACATTTTCAGTTAATTAAAGAAGGAATTTGTTACCACTATAGCTGACCTGAAAAATATACCCTGGGGAATTCTGCAGGGCAAAATGAAAAGAAACTGGACGGTAACTCAAATCCGTATGAAGAAATACAAATCTCAGTGAAAGTACATATAGGGGCAATTATAAATGTTAGCAATATTCTAGCAAGGGCTTGTAACTGTACATTTTTGTTTTCTACATGATTTAAGAAACTAATACATTTTAAGAAAACAATTATTAGTCTAAAAGGTAGTGTTTTTTTTTATTTTCATTTTATAGAGACGGGGTCTCGCTATGTTACCCAGGTTGGTCTTGAACTCCTGGACTCAAGTGGTTCTCCTACGTTAGCCTCCCAAAGTTCTGGGATTATAGGTCTGAGCCAACACGCTTGGCCTTAAAAGCTATTGTAATGTTTAACTCTGGTTAGTTACTCTAGATTTTGTTTTCTATATAATTTTAAAGACAATTCATTTAAGAGAACTACCAGTTTATGTTTTGGGGAATACAATGTATAAAGAAGTAATTTTGTGTCATCAAAAACCAAGAGAGGTAGGAATGGAGTTGTTGAAGGATAAGAATTTTCGTGTTACTGAAGTTAATCTGATGTACCTTTAAGGCAGAGTGGTATAACTTTTAGGAGTATAGAGTTTCAATTTTATAAGATGAAAAAAGTTTGGAGTTGGAAGGTGATCAATAATGGTCACCTAACACTATGAATGTATTTAATGACAGTGGACTGGACATTTAAAAATAGTTAAGGGGTAAATTTTATGTTATGTACATTTTACCACAATAAAAATGTTGGAAATATTAATAATTACCCAATTACAAAATGGGGCAGGATGTTAAGAGGTTTCTTTTAAAAAGTTATACAATTGGCCAAAAAATATTTAAAAACCTCTCAATATCATTATACTTAAAATAATGGAAGTAATAATATCATTACCAAATAATATCATTATGGAACTTCAAAAGAACAAGAAAATAGGAACACTTTTACACTGTTGGTGGGACTGTAAACTAGTTCAACCATTGTGGAAGTCAGTGTGGCGATTCCTCAGGGATGTAGAACTAGAAATACCATTTGACCCAGCCATCCCATTACTAGGTATATACCCAAATGACTATAAATCATGCTGCTATAAAGACACATGCACACGTATGTTTATTGCGGCACTATTCACAATAGCAAAGACTTGGAACCAACCCAAATGTCCAACAATGATAGACTGGATTAAGAAAATGTGGCACATATACACCATGGAATACTATGCAGCCATAAAAAATGATGAGTTCACGTCCTTTGTAGGGACATGGATGAAATTGGAAACCATCATTCTCAGTAAACTATCGCAAGAACAAAAAACCAAACACCACATATTCTCACTCATAGGTGGGAATTGAACAATGAGATCACATGGACACAGGAAGGGGAATATCACACTCTGGGGACTGTGGTGGGGTGGGGGGAGGGGGGAGGGATAGCATTGGGAGATATACCTAATGCTAGATGACGAGTTAGTGGGTGCAGCGCACCAGCATGGCACATGTATACATATGTAACTAACCTGCACAATGTGCACATGTACCCTAAAACTTAAAGTATAAAAAAAAAAAAGAACAAGAAAAATCCACTGCACAGTCACTAGCATGGAAATAATTTAAAGTATATATAATATGCATTAGGATGTAGAGAAATCAAAACCTTTATATATTGTTAGAAATATAAAATGATGCAGCCATTCGGAAAACGGTCTGACAGTTCTTAGAAAAGATGACCATAAAGTTGCCATGTAATACAGCACTCTCACTAGTAGGTATGCAACTAAGGGAAATGATAAAACGTAAAGCATATACATGAATGTTCATAGCAGTATTATTCTTAACAAAAGGTCAAAACAGCCTAAATGCTATCAACTGATGAACGCACAGATAAAATATGGTACTCCCATAGAATGGAAAAGTATTCTACCTTAAGAAGAAACAAATAATTGATACATGCTACAATCATGGATAAACCTTGAAAACTATGCTAAATGAAAGAAGCTACACATAAATAACCACATATTGGATAATTCCATTTTTATGTTCTTGAATAGGCAAACATTATTCCATTTATATTGACTTAAATAGGCAAATCCTTAGAGAATAAAAGTAGAGTAGTGGTTGTGTAGAGCTGGGGGAAAGGACAATGGAAAATGTTCATGGATGCAGATTGTCTTAGGGTGATGAAAATGTTCTAAAACCATGGCGATGGTTGTACAACTCTGAATATACTAAAAATTATTGATTAAATAATGGATGGTGGTATGGCATGTGGATTATATCTCAATCAAGATGTTTTTAAAATTTAAAATGAACATGTTTCAGTTTATACTTTATTCCACAGAACACAGTTCTTAAGGATATTAGTAATTAAGCAAGCCAATTAAAATATCTGAATTTAGCAAAGTCAAACAGCCTTTTTACGGTACGGCTGAACAGAACTATTAAAATTCTAATGTGCACTACAATTCTTGTGGATTTTATGTAGGAAGTAAAGATAACTATTGACCTTGAAGCGTTTTATTCTGCTCTTCTACTGTTAACAAGTAGTACTTATTTCAGGGAAACAACCTTTGGAAAACGGTATTCTACGACTGGTCTTTTCTTTCCTAGTCTGGTATAAAATGTTGTGCACAACTTTTATTGTTCTTCTTTTAAGAGTCATTTTGTATTTGAAAAGATTATTAGATTATATATTTTCACTGGTTCAACTTAAATAAGGCTTTAAATTATGCACAAATTGATTACTTACTTATAAACTACTCTCATGTAGATGGGTGCATATTAATGAAAATCTATAGGCACAGATATAAAGTGATGCTGTTTAGCAAAACCAGAACAAGCTATTTGAAGAATATGATATATAATATATTAAGAATATTGCCTCTGACCAACGATATGTTCTGAAGTTTAGCTGGCCTTTAAAATAGTTTCATATATTCATAATATACTTTTATACATGAGTATTATATAAATTAAATTAATATTTAATGTTTTATATTCTTCAAGGAAGGGCATTATGCTTGGTGTGAAGATACCTTTAAAATGGAGTGAGATACAATTTATATATATCCAAAAACTATAATTGCATTTTTTTAGTGTGGTAAGAACACTTAACATGAGATCGCCCCTCTTAAATTTTTAAGAGCACAATACAGTATTATTATCTATAGGCACCATGTTGTACGGTAGATTTCTAGGATTTATTCATCTTGCATAACTGGAATGTTAACCCCTTTAAATAGCATCTCACCAAATTCCCCTCATGCCAGTCCCTGGCGAGCACCAATGAATACTGGATAATTATTTTTATCAATGAAAGCAACATTAATGGCTAATCTTGTCACTTCCCGGATTGACTTGATCAATTTCACAGACAGTATTCTCATCTAGGTCTTGTATTTGAAATCTATGCTCCCTAAGATTTCTTCTTCTAAATTCTTATTACTTATATCTCAGTAAGTTAAAAAAATGATTTGCCTGGCCTGACGTGGTAGCACCTGTAATCCCAGCACTTTGGGAGGCCAAGGCGGGCAGGTCACGAGGTCGGGAGTTCGAGACCAGCCTGGCCAATATGGTGAAACCCCCGTCTCTACTAAAAATACAAAAATTAGCCAGGCGTCGTGGTGTCTGCCTGTAATCCCAGCTACTCAGGAGGCTGAGGCAGAAGAATCGCTCGAATCCGGGAGGCGGAGGTTGCAGTGAGCCGAGATTGTGCCACTGTACTCCAGCCTGGGTGACAGAGCAAGACTCCATCTCAAAAAAAAAAAAAAAAAAAAAAAAAAAAAAAGCCTTGCACTATATATATATCCATATACCAAATTAAATTGTATTACAATGTGAAAATTTGCTTTAAAATATGCTCTTATCTTCTTTAAACTGTCTGTGATTTTAGGAATTTAATATTGGCAATATTTAAATAATGCAAATAGTTAAGTCGGCTCCTATTTCTGTGACTGTTTCTGGTTCTATTTATTGTAGAAAAAGAAAGAAAAAAATAACTTTCCTTAAAAATTTCTAACCACAAAGGGTATTCAGTTTTGTTGCTGTGGGAGCATCTGGCATCTGCTTTGCTTGGATAATCCTGGGAACTGAAACTTTCAGCAGCCGAATGAGTTCCTTAAAACTTCTTGGGCCTTGGTGGCTGTAATTTTAATGATGATCAGCTGTCATTTTTATACACAGAATTTCATTACAAGATAGTGAACTTATTTTTTTATAGTGAACTTTTTTAAAGCGCTAATAAGGTAGATTTTGAAGCGATTATTGTACAATGCCAAATCAGTAATTTACAAACAATAAAAAAGTTTTTAGCATTAGGTTCCATTTTTATTGTAGTTAAAAAAATAGGTAAATGCACTTGGTTGTTTAGATATATTCTGAGTGATTATGTATAAAGAAAAACTAAGTATTTAAGTTTCATCTGGCTCTCTCTTGTTTGCCTCACATTATAGTATTTCAATCGTGGAGAAATATTTTTGTAGTGAGTTTTTCTGTGTCTTTTTATAATTCAAAGTTCTAGTGTGATATGTTTGGTTTTCTCACCATTGTAGTTAGAGAGGTCAACACATGCAAAATATGTGACCATGCACAATGACACAGACTCTCATTGATTTCTCTCAGTACATGTTTAATTTCTGTTAGAATAATTCTGCCATATTTTAAGTTGGGGGATTTACAGCACTCATAGGCATTTCTACTTCTAGGAAGAACTTTTAGGCAGTGATTTAACTTATTGTGAAACTGGGATAATAATGCTTCTTCTGTGCTTTGTCTCTGTAGCATCCATTGCATGCATTCATATATCCCTTTTGAGTAAATAAATTAATGAATCGTCACTCTTCTACTTTGAAACAATTGTAGTTTAGGCATAATGATTGATAAGAGGAGGGAAAGCTGAATTTTAGCCTTCCTTTCTCCCTTTGCTGAGGTTGTATGTATGGTGTACAAACTGCCCAGCTGTAGGCTGTTGTTCTGCATCCAGTCTTGCTGTCTGATTGCCTTCATATCTGATGTTTGCTCCTGGATATCCTTTATCACTGATAGTGAATTTCCATCACACTTCTCAATGGCCAATGATCCCAAAGTTCTTCTTACGGCTTGCTATTATACAAGCCATAACATATATATGCTATTATACACACTTTACTAATTATATCTGGAATTGTACCGCATTTAAAAAGAAGGGTAAATGAAGCAAACTCACAGCCAGCTACCTAAACCTTTAGATTTCTTTCATTTATTTATTTTTTGCCTGGTGGATCACTTTTACTAAAAGATTAGTGCCATTCTTTTTTTACTCATTCTTCTCTTATTCATCTACTATCAAAATGTGGTCTCACATTTATTCTAAATTCACTGGAAAACTTTAATTGGATTCAATAACATTTAAGAAGGTACTTATACTGGCCAATTACCCTCAAATTTTAGGTTGAAAAAACATAGTAGTACGGGACAAGGGAGAAAGAAACTTTGTTTCTTCAATTTTTTCAAAATGTGTTTCCTTTAAAAGTTATTCAGGATGAATTTCCACTCTTTCATCTGATATGCTAATCTGAGTGTTCATTACAGAATATTGTTTATGTACTTTAAAAACTACTTGGGAAGCATTACATGACAGCTGTCTTCTTAATATCCTCACAGAAATTAGTTCTTCTATTTCAGGAAACTATCCCAGTGATCCCAATACGGCTCCCTAAATAAATATGTAAATCTATTTCAGAATCATCCACAGACTGTATATTATAGATGTCTGTGATTCAAAGTACTTGCTTGCTAAAATATATACCTTTACACAATGATAATATGCAAATGGATTTAACTTGATATGATTAAAGCAATTAAAACTAATGATGCAATAAAAATAAAAGACAGGTAGATAGACACATATGCAAAACTTATTCACAGTAATAACCATTCTGCAATTAAATTTTTCTCAATAAAGTTAACACTTTTAATTAAAGAACTCTTGCGATTTACTAATTTAAATATTTATGTTATAAAATAAACATCTGCTTGTAATAAAGTTCACTTTTACTATTTTAACATTAGTCACTGACTGAGAAAATTCTTGCCTGAAATGAATGAAAGCAAAATTGTGGAAAAAATTAACAATGTCACAATTACCATTTTTGAATAATGGTTGAAGATGTTATTATGTATAATCATTTGTGTAAATTATTACTATAATAAGCATAAATGCTTTGTCATAGGTATAATTTTAAATTATTTAAATAAAAGAATATAACTTATGAAACAATACATGAAATCTTTCATTAATTAATAATTCCTATTTAGGTGGAGAAAGAATCCTTTTTTCCCCTTAAATTATCCTCTAATTTGGTGCTTTTACGGCTTTTTGTTGCAAATGATCAGTATACGTATTGCTAATAGTTCCTTTGTAGATTACATATTGCATATGTCAATAAAATGTGTAGAATACATATTGTATATGTCGAAATTTATATGTCATTTAGAAATGACTATATCTGATTATACCTATGTATAAATTTCAGTTAAACTTTTGCCTCCTGGTCAGAGTAGTTCTACATAAAACTCCTCACTTTGCAAACTTGTAAGGCCATTTAAAATCAACATTCTGACATATTATTTTAACACTGCTCTGTTTTCATTTTTAAGTGACATTTTAACATAGCAACGACAAAAAAATACTGCTTAAATAAAATTATTTAAAGCTCTTTATTGTGGTCCATTTCCCATTCTTTATCTTAAAATACAATTTAGTGATGAGTGTTATAAAATTTTATGCATTTAAAAATAATTAATGTAGAGTAATTTTTAGGATATTAAATCAATAAATACTCTGTTTTAAATAAACAATATTATCAGTTATATTCAAGAAATAAAATTCATAAATAAAAATGTATTAGAAGAAAATCATGATTCACAATGTATGTAATTGCCATTTATGATAGCTAAATTCAGTTGTAATTAATGCATTACATTGTCAATGACTAGATTTGACAAAATATTTTAAAAGTACAAGTGGTGTAATAGTGCAGACATTTTGTGAAGCATTATATTAATTTTTAGGTAAATAAGCTTGCAGTTTTTTATAGGCATATTAGAAAATAACGTCCCTATATCAATACTAGAAAGAAATAGTGCCCAAATTGTAGGTTTGAGAGGTTTTAAACCACTTAAAAATGGGAGAGAGCATTTTGATATAATTTAGTGTAAGTTGAAGTATCCTATTAATCTTCCCAAATCCAATTATTTCATTGATTTTTAAAACTATAAAGAACAAATAGATATCTTTTTGTTTAATCAAATATGCTCCTATAAATATAAGTAATTTATGATATGTTATTTCGTATTATCAGTTAAATAGCAATGTATTCAAATTTCCACTAAAAATGTCTAATACAAGTAGAAAAAAACTACATAAAAAAAGATAAAATAATTTTATATAAACATACTTACTGGAACATTATCTAAATGTTTCACCTTAAATAATACATCTATTTTCATAACAGAGCTCATGTAAAATGTGTTCCTTATGGATGTTTGAACCATTTTGCAGAATATCTTCTTAATTCTATTTGTCAATGTTAATTATTTTTTAATAGAAGGAAAGACATAATACATCACAAAATTAGCATATACTTATATTTTATCTCATATTTATTAATTGAGGTTTCCAATATTAATATAGCTTTAAGATGATAAGATTTCATCAAGAACCAATGCAGCTATTATTATTTTAAAAGTATTTTTCTTATTAACAAGTACTGTATGTATTTTATTTATTGAAAAGACTATCAAAAGTAGAGAAGTATAAATAAAATAATAGTAGTAATCTCTTTCCCAAATAACCACTACTAATTTTCTCCTTATTTTCTTTAATGCTTTATTTTCTTTGTGTATGTTTATTCTGTTAATTTATATCAAAATGCAATGTTAATACAATTTGCCCCCTCACAAAAAGGGATGTATTCCATAATCATCAGATATTTTGATACTGATCTCTTAATGGTTTTACTTAATTTCCAGACTTTTATTTCAAGATGTATTTGTTTTTTTTATAGTGCCTTTCTAACATAATTTGATGCAAAATATTTTAGTAAGAATAAAATTCTGAGACTTTCAATACTATCCCCTATTTTTATATGATTTCTTGCTAAATTGCATACACATGAATTCTTAGATACTTGCTATATAGATAAAGATACAAAATTTGGCACGTACGTGAACTCTGACCTACTCCACTATTTCTTCATCAATGGCAAATGCACAATACCTTAATGTAGAGAAGAAAGAACAGGAGATTTCTTAGTATTCACTATAAGGAAGTAATTAATTCAGTGTCCTATCTTGATCCGGTTGCTTTTTCAGGAGCTATTAAATATATATTTTATAGGAAAATTGTATATTAGATGTATCATAAGAGCATAACCTCTTATTTACTTAGGCCCATGCAAATTCTAATGAAACTGCTTTGATAATGCAACACGTCCTATGTTTGATAGATTTTAGAACTTTGAATGGAACCTCAAATGATTTCATATTGAGTTTCAAGTTCCAGATAAATAACATAATTTTTGTGATTCACATTGTAATAAGAATCTTACTTTTTCCAGGTAAAATGGCATGCATTTTGAGGATAAAATGCTAAGATAGTTTTTGTTTGCATTTATTCCTCATTAGATAACTTTTTCCTTCTGTCACTGCAAATGAAACTAAAAGGCATTCAGAACATCTTCATCTGTCAAACAACCTATATGTACTAGATGAGTACTTTTTAAATGGTGATTTGCATACAAATCGCCCAGGGATCTTGTTAAAGGGCATTATTTGTAGGTCTAGGGTGGGGACCTGTGATTCCACTTTTCCTGCAAGCTCTCAGGTGACGCTGAAGCTGCCTGGACACAGAGAAGTTTGAATATCAGTTGTACTCAGGAAAGAATCCCTCAATGGCTAGTCCTGGTAAGTTTATATCCTTCATAACAGATGTGTCTATATAATCTGTGTATGTCTCTAAAGAAAATGAACTTAGAATCCAAAGGCGATCTAAGTAATTGTGTCTATAGATACAGTTATTTTACTGTCTGTAGATGGTATGGTATTTCCAGCCACCTCCACCAATTACAGCAGATTGATCAATGCCATCTATTCTACAGAGTCCTCTATTTCTCTCTCTTCTGCCATGTCTTTCGGCTAAATGCAAAAAGAAAAATTGAGAGAAAGAAGACTTACAAATTTGAATTTCCGTGTTTCCACTTTTCATCCTTATTTTACAGTCGATTAATGAGTCCATAAATGAACATTTTGTTCTCCCCCATGTTAATTTAACTTTTGTTCTCCTCTGATGTAAACTTTAATTGTTTAAGTACTCTGTCTAGTTTTATGACAATTATTGTTTTCAGTTTCACTTCAGTGAATGTCTTCACTCATACATTTTAGATTTATTCAGTGAGGAGTTTGTCCACAGTATACATTCCAAATAAGTATTACTTTAGAAACAGTATTTTATTTTAGGATGAGTTATAGCATACACTATTTAGGAGGATAGCTTATTTATTTATTTATTCTCATAATTTGGTTTGTCAGTATAAAGAGTACTGCTTTCCTCATAATTAAAAGTAATTTTTAAAATATTATAGATATCATGTGCAGATTTATTTTAGTGAAACCACAACCATATTAGAAAGGCAGTCAGCCTAAATTTACTCAATAATTTCTGAAAATACATTCCTCATTATTAATAGTTTCTTTCAGAGAAGCTATAATTTTACATAGATTTCTATTTTTATCTATGTCCAACTTAATTTCTACTGATTAAAAAATACTCGTTTCAAAGATTTATTTGCAGAAGAAATGCCAGTTTTTACTAAGCAATAATATTTGTAGCAAAGAATGGTCTTTTGAATACCTCTAAACACTTATTTATCACTTGGCACAGTGCCCACTCTAGAAGGACTCAATTAACGTTCTTTAATAATTGAAAGAATAAAATTGATGAATAATGAGAATATAGATTGTATTGTTACTACCTATTTTATCTTGCCTCATAAATGAGTTTAGGTTAAGCCTTCCAATTTATGTTATAATACACCAGTTTACATGATAAAGAAAAAAGAGAACATGCAGGAACCTATATTGAAAGATTTTGGAACTGCAATATCGACTTAAATTTTTCAATGTGTGGATTCGTGCCATAATTTCAATTACACAGTATGTGTATGCATGTGTTTATATATTATGATGCTTTATTTCTACTATGTATTCATTTATTAATTTATATAGTATTATGACGAAAATAAAAGAGGATAACTTATATGGAATGCAATAAAGTATTTTCCTGGATGCAAATGATTGTGTTGTCATGCAGCAGTTAGAGTGATTCTCAATGCCTGATATATCTTTATACCTTCCAATTCAGGCCCACTAAATAACTATCATGCTAGTATTATCAAGTAAATTTATTAACTATAAAATTGTTAATCAGTTGATTATAATCATAACAGCAATCTTAACATGTTTTAATTAAGTAACAGTATATAGAAGGCATGGACCTAATCTATATGAATCTTGACTCTGAATTAGGTACTAATCTTATCCTTCTTTTATGGATGAGAGACTAAGTAACTTGCCCAAGGTCAAGGAATTAGAAAATGGCAGAGTTCAGACACAAAACCAGACGGTCTGGCTACAGTTTTTTCTTAATCACTAGGTCATCTTGCTTTTGACTGCTATGCTTCCATGTCCTAGGCACTCTGACACCTATTTTAAATGCAGTATATTACTAAGGTTCTCTATTTCCCTACTGTTACCCTTACATGTGGCAAAACTAACTTGCTTATTCCTGTGTAGCCAGTGAAAAATAGAGCCAAGGCTCAGTCACAAAACAGTCTGTGACTGAAGCCCATTTGTCTAATTATGTACTACCCTATCCATTCTCTGTGTTCAGTCGCTATACTTAATTTAGTTCCAAATGAATGCGATGGGTTATACTTAAATTTAACAGAGGTGAAACTCACCCTTCTGAAGATTTATGGGGTGCGAAGATAATTAGATGAAAGACAGATAGTAGATTAGATAGATAAATAGAGAGGAGAGAGAAAAAGAGAGAGAGATACGCAAATAGCTCAAGTGAAAATAAACCAAATGATGCTGGATTACTCACATTAACATTAAATAAAATCAACATATATATCTTTCTAAAGGATGAAGATATAAATAGTTTGGGTAATCCTGATAATCATACTTGAAATTTGGAAGGTAATAGAGTAAGAAACAAATTTAAAACTAAGATGTTGTGTGGACTATTCTGTAGACAGCAGGCACACATGCTTAATTCAAAAGATCACAGACTTTGGAGCTAAAATAAACCAGAGATATCGTTTCTTTTTAAAGTGTTACACATTTATTTATAAATGTAAGATGATTTGGTTTGGGGAAGATTAATTATGACTATGAATTGAAAGAAATAAGCACAGTGCTAGGGATGTAGTCAGTAGAGTATTTCTTTGGATTTCCTTCATTACAGATTCTTGGTAGTGAGCACTATTTTCTTGGCATACAATAATTTTCTTTTTCCTTATTCTTGAAGGGTATTTTTAATAGATGTAGATGATGATGTCCATAGGTGTATTCTTTTGATATATCAAATAGTTCATTCTGCTGTCATCGTTGTGGCAGTAGAAAACTCATAGATGACTTTTTTTTTTTTTGGAGACGGAGTCTCGCTCTGTCGCCCAGGCTGGAGTGCAGTGGTGAGACCTTGGCTCACTGCAAGCTCCGCCTCCTGGGTTCATGCCATTCTCCTGCCTCAGCCTCCCAAGCAGCTGGGACTACAGGCGCCCGCCACCACGCCCGGCTAATTTTTTATATTTTTAGTAGAGACGGGGTTTCACCGTGTTAGCCAGGATGGTCTCGATCTCCTGACCTCGTGATCCACCTGCCTCGGCCTCCCAAAGTGCTGGGATTACAGGCGTGAGCCATCACGCCCGGCCCATAGATGACTTTTATTACTGCTCTCTGAATGTAATATTTCTTTCACTTTAGTTAGTCATAAGATTTTCATTTTGAATGTGGTCCCTGTTACTTAGATTCGGTAAAATTTATATTCTTCCCGATTACATTGAGATTCCTATATTTATAAATTGAGTTCTTCACCACTTCTGAAAAATCCTGATCAATATTCTCTTCAAAGATTGTTCAGGTCCTATTTTCTGTCTCCAGTTTTCTGGACACCAATTAAACAATTATTAGACCTTCTCTCTTTATCCTATGTCTCTGACCTTATTTTACATATCCTATTTTTTTTCTCCAGACAATACTCTAGATGTCTTTGGACATATTTTCTGGTTCAACAGTTTTGTATTCTTCACAAAAACAGATTGAACATTACAATATACTGATATTTTGAAGACATTATTCAGCTTGTTTGTTTTCAGTTCCCACTGCAATTCCCATCAGTTACTACCTCCCTCACACGGCCATTCTACCTTTTGTGTTCTTTGTATCTTCTAGCAAAGACCAGATAATGCCTTCTTTCAGAGTGTTTTCATGTAAATATATCTGTTCTGCAAGATATAGTTTTACAGAACTTAAGGTGTATATTCTACTTAATTTTACAATAATCAGAGGACCTAGCAGAACACTTTACGTGAAAGTGGATTGCTTACCCTGGCCAATTTTTTTGTTTTGTTTTAACTTTGAGGATAAAAGTATTTTGAGTTGAGAAGAGTTTCAATATTTTTTGTTGGCATACATTTAAAATTTAATCATGGAAGTTTTGATAAAATGTAGTTAAATGTTTACTTACAAATTTTACATTTTATAAAGTATGGAAGGTTGTGTTAAAACTTGGAAATAGCAAACAAACTTGGAAATAGTAAATAAATAAATATCAGTTAAAAATTAGTGGTAAGGTACTAAAAGTAAAATGCATTTAAAAATGCATAGTCCATTCTCAGCTTAGCTTCAAAAGTGAGAATGAGATATTTTTAACTGATAAAACTTAATGGTAAGGTATGAAAAGTGAAATGCATTTAAAATTTTTTCACTGATAAAAATTCCTGTACAGTCAAAAAGCAAGGATTTGGTTATATATATGATACCTCTATTTAAAAAAATACCAATAGTTTACAGTATCCTCCAATTTTATTTATTTATTTTTTTACTTCTTTGTAGTGCTCCAAACAATCTGCAGATGGGTACAGATAGGCTTGGGAAACAAGTTGAATGAGAATTTTTTTTGCATTATTTAGATTTCCTTTGCAGGTTTTATTTCATCGTAAGAGGCAGGTATAATGTTTTCATATTTGCCTGCATTATTTTGATATGTATATTTTACTTTTTAATAAAAATATAGTATTTATTTATTAAATAACCCAGAAAATACTTATTAGATGCGTATATTTATAGCAGAAAAATACATTTAATATATATTTTTCCAATTTATAGCAACATGTGATGCAATATTTATTTGAAAAAAATTCAGACACAAAAACATTGTCAGAGAATGTGCAGAAATAGTCACAAATGAACATTATATAAACAGCAAATCATAATAATATTTTATGATGAAGTGTTTTTCAACATTCTTTGATTCCTTTTCTTTCATACCAAACATTTAAATCACTCCAGGAATATTGTAGAGACGTGAAGATATTTGGAAGGAATATTTTCATATTGTGATATTGGTGGAATGGTATTAAAATGATGGTAATAGCAATGGGCTGAGGAAGATTTGTAAATGAGAAAATTAGAAAATTTAGATAGTAAGATATATTTTAAAGTTTCTGAAATTTTAAATAGCCTATAGAGGTCAGCATTGCTTTTTCTTCTGGAATTAACAAGGAATAAAAGTTAATCTGTTGAAACATAAAATGCTACTCTTTCTACATCACATTGTAGGAAAGCCACATCCACATATGCAACCAAACAAATGAGACCACATACTAGTAATGCAAGGATTTTAGCCCACATTTAATATCAGTATAACTCTCTTCTCCAATCATCTATGCAAATGCCCACAACTACTGCACTCCTAAAAATAACAGTGAAAACATTACCTATTTATACTAACCGCATGGTCAGTTCCAAACTACCACATGGTCAGTTCCAAACTATCTACAAGATTAGGAACAGGGTCAGAAGAAAAGCTGTGAGAAACATTCCCATGAGCATAAATTTGGGTAAATATCAGGTCTTTCAAATAGAACACCAAGAAAGCCAATTCATATCAGCTACTACAGGAGTTGAAGAGATTTCTCATTGTTGGTAAAAGGAAATTGAAAATTTCTCTAGGATATTGCTACAGTCTCTTTGTCAATGGCCCTGAAGCACTCATCAAATAGTTCATGCTTGCTATCAGTTTTTTGCATGTATTATACGAACTGATGTCATCTTCAAAAGCTTCCTTCCAATTTATGGCCACTTTAAATAAGATTCTGTATGTAAACCTCTAAGTATCTCTTATTACATGCTTCTGTTAAACACTTTACCTATTGTGATGGCTTCAACTATCAACCCTTCTCAGATGAATCATAACTGATCTCCAGTCCTATCCCTTCTCTGGTAAAGCGATTTTACATTGCAACTGGTTACTGAGCATCTACTTCTATGCACAATAGACACTAAAGAACAAACACATTCCAAACAATATACATTATTTTTACTCTATTTTCTTGCTTTGTGCTTTATTTCAGCTAATAGTGTTACTATCTTTACTAAAACTCAAATCTTTAATAGCTTTTTTTTTTTTTTCAGACGGAGTATTGCTCTGTCGCCCTGGCTGGAGTGCAGTGGCACAATCTCAGCTCACTGCAACCTCCATCTCCCGCATTCAAACGATTTTCCTGACCCAGTCTCTTGAATAGCTGGGATTACAGGCGCGCACCACCACGCCCAACTAATTTTTGTATTTTTAGTAGAGACGGGGTTTCACCGTGTTGGTCAGGCTGGTCTGGAACTCCTGACTTCATGATCCACATGCCTCAGCCTCCCAGAGTGCTGAAATTACAGGTGTGAGCCTATCTTTTTTTATTAATCATATATATAGTGCCATATAACAAAGCAATTTCTCATCACAATTTAAAAATAGCTCCTAGGTTTGTCCTTCATCTAGTTATCAATCTCCTTCAGATTATTTGTAATTTCATGGCCCTGGCTTCCCATGGAGTTTGTAGAATTAGTGTCTTCACTGGTCTGTCTCACATTTCTGTCGTCTCTGATCTCCTTAAAAGCTGCCACTTGATTTAACTTCTTAAAGTAATATTATTAACACCTGCTACCAAAATTCTGCCTTTTTTAAAAGTCAGAAACACATATATCTGGGGCCAAAGTCTAGACCAGTATAAATAATGCAAAATTTTTCTAGATAAGTGCCATTTTTGCTTACATATTCTATACTTATTTGCAATAAACAATATTGCATAACCATATACTCTTTAAAATGAAACATGATCTTGTCATTTTCCTATATTAACATTCCCTCACCCTTAACTTACAGCAGATATGATCAGAAAATACCTGAAAGAACATTATTTTGCAGTAATGTAAAGAATGTTATGAGGGAAAAAAAAACTGACTTTCTGAGAGGCACACTGACAGACCTAAGTTAAAATGATAGATAAAGAAAATTTATTCCCTGGGTGATCACATTTTCTCCATCTGCTGCATTATATTAGAAACCTGCTTAATTTGCTTTTCAAATGCTAGCTAACAGCTGGTCTAAAGGTTTTCGTATTTCCTTTTCATGGTCCAAAATTTGTATGTTGCCTTTTAAACTGAATTATCTGTTTGAAATAATAAAAATAAAATCACACAATGCTGAGCTATAGTAGTAATTTTGTACATTATCTTGTAGATAGGTGTTAATTTTATATGATTTATCTAGATTAATATAACAAAAAAAGTATATTGTTGTACCTTCATTCAGGCTTTAAATAAACCAGACCAAAAAACATATAATTGCCGTATCATATATATAGATATTTCAAATGTGCCATGATCAAAGTTGATATTATTAATATGTCAAACTTCATAAAGATTTGATAAAAACTTTGTATGAATTCAGATATTCTTAAGGATTTTTTTCTTCAACAAGAAGATATGCAATAAAATAATTTAATGTGTTTTAAAATATGTCTTTGCCTTTTTTAAAACTCTGATCTTAGGCAAAAATGTTAAAAGTGTTTTTCAGGTTATAAAATGTTCATGCATTATGAATTATAGATACTTGTTAGAAATGCCTTTTTTAGAAATGCCTTTCCTAGATTTTCTAACATATATAAAGTTAATAATAATTTCATAAAGTATGCTAGTGATTTATAAGCTGAGCAGATGTTATGATTCTGGGACCTTTCAAAGCTACTTCAGTGGAACATACAGTGGTTAAATATCTCCAATATTAATAATTGTTATAACAGACACTTATATTATGTACCAATAATTTTTATAGTATTTTATAGTAGTTATATTTTCTTGAAAATGGTTAGTTTGAATATGCATTTGTTAAATACAAAAATAGATGATATAAATTTAACTTCTTGGAAGTTCTAAAAACATTGGTGATATTGGAAGCCAGATTTGCTTGAATCTCGAGTTTTGAACAATTCACTTATTGAATCACTGGCCCAGAAAATGGACCTCTAGGCCCACACCGTGTGATGCCAGAAGCCATTGCCTCCGCCCTGGGGACTTTGTTTATCTAGATTTGAGAAAAAGGATCTGCGGTGCAGAGGCAATAAAGGTTCAATTGACATACAGACTAAGGTGGGATATAGAAACCTCCTGTTGGGACATGCTTAGATAAGGTTAAACACAGTTTCTCTATTCGTTTCTCATATAGTACAGATGTCTCTTTTTCATCCTGCAATTTCTGCTGCCCTGAATTATTCTTGTTCACAAAGCTGAGTTAGGGTGGTCCCTCTCTTCTAGCAGTGCCGTTATGATTAAATGAATAGTATTCTGTTTTTCAAAGTTGTTACTTCACATTACAGAGATTCAACAATTGAAATAAAATTGTTTTTCTCCAGTGCTTTCTGTGTAATGGCTTCTACCAGTTACTTATTAATTCAGGAATAGATTTTTCCATCTCCCTGGGCTACAATTTTAACCTGCATTTGTGGGGATTTTTAATCAAATGTTTCTCTCTGCTCCCTTTTGCATTTCCCAGTTCTAGCATTTCAGAGAAGAGATTTAGCCTCGGTCAAGATGCTTTAAAAGTCAGTATCTGTAAGTCTTAGACGGACACAGGATCTTAGCTCAGCTTTCATAGAATTCGTTTCTACTCAGTTGTTATGACAGATAAGAAGGAACTGGAAGCCTTGCTAAGAAACTAGGACCAGTATAGAGCTGCTATGTAGGTATTTAAAGCATCTAGATCATCTGCGCATCTGGGTTGCAAGGAATAGGTCACAGAACTAGTGGCTTCCAGGGCAGAGAAAAAATACAAATATAATAAGATCAGAAGCTGCATGCACACCAGGTGGAAGGAGTCATTTCTCAACATTGAGGTAAAAGTTTAGCATATTACAAAATGAGACTGAAACCCTCCCAAAACACTAATGCTAGCTTGGACTTAGGTGAAGATGATTATGTCTACTCCAAATTTTACTTTTCCTGTTTAGGTAGTTAATAGTCTCAAGACCCGGGATTGTAGGTGTAGGGAAATATGTCACAAGTTAAGTCACACAAATCACACAGGAGTCAGCCCGAACATCGTATTTTTCAAAAAAAATTCTCTCATTCCAACAGAGTAGGTTATGTTTATCATTTGCTTTCATATCACACTGTGTGTATTATTACTCTCTCATTTATCCCTTATTAATTTGGTATCTGACATTCAATAAAACACATCAGTAAATATGTATAATATGAAGGAGTAAATGAATATACTGTTATCTTAATGTCAAGGAAGGAGTAGTTGAAAAAGTGAAAAGAGTGGATAAAAGTGTTATATGTTGCAAAAAAAAATCTTGTAGGTTTTGTTAATTAGGAGGCTTTAGCTAACCTTAGTGAGATAATTTTAATGAAGTAAGGAAAACATAACCTAAATTTAAATAGTAAAGAAAAGGTGATACGCTGGAAAAATGAGCATAGACTACTCCTTCTAGAGACATAAATATAAAGAAAAGAAGAAAGTTATGTGATAATTAGGGAAGGATATTCGGTGGATCAAAGAACAAGTTCAGAGAAAGAGAAATGTTAATGAAATAAGCATACTAGGAAATTGATTAATTTCCTGTGTAATACAGCAGGGAATATGACACCAAATGCAGGTGGTAGTTGTAATTAGCTTTTATCTGAGGTCAGATTCTCTGGAAGCAAGAACCTAGGATAAGGATTTATGCACAAGTGATTCATTAAGGAAATGTTCTTAGAGAAACAATAAAGAGAGTAAAAAAAAAGCATGATAGAAGAAAAGTCCAATAAGACTGTGATTTAAAGTGAAGTTGCAGCCCCATCCTTATTCTGCAAAAAATTCAAAAATGAAAATTACACATCAGAATATCTCTTACTTCTGGAAAGGTGGCTGGACTTTCACACTCCTGTGTCACTGAGTCATTGGCTAGAGACTATCCTGGGAGGGCATAAAATCCCAGGGGAGAGCACTTTCAGTAGTCCGTGGTTTCAGAGGCCCACGTTAAGAGCAAAGCTTCTGTGAGACAAAAGTGCAGAAAGGGAAAGGGAATCTGAGAGGATCTTCTATGCATAAAACTGACAGTAACAGCTACAGCTTTGGATAGAAGTGGTTTGTTTTTTTTTCCTTTGATACAGAAGACAAAAATAGAGTTCAACATATTAAGTTTTTTAGGAATGCAAGAACTTAACGCAGTTAGTTTCAGATGGCTTCTGTTTTCTCATGGAGGTAGGTTGTGACTTCATCTGCTATAGCAAAGGAGGTTTAAATATTTTAAGAAGATCAGAGGAAAGGCTCAAACGATAGTAAAATATATAAGAAGAATAGCTCCTAATACATACATACATACATACACACACACACACACAGAGAGAGAGAGAGAGAGAGAAATTTACTAAAATTGTAAAATCCACAGCTTGCAATAGACAATTCCGATATAAGACTTTATCAACACAATAAGGCTTGATCCCCTACAGAGGGATAGCTTACTGAATGCAACTAAAATAAAAATTCATATATGTCTAGAGTTCTAATCTGTTAATTTTCAGTAAAAATATAACTACTACATGGATAACACATCTTTTTGTCATAATGTCTATTGAAATTTTCTCTTGCTTCCATATATTTTGAGGAGGCCAAGTTATAGTCAGAAGGGCTTAACGTGGTCAGATGGTTTTGCAGATGGGCTTATAATACTTGAAGTATTTAGTTGGCTGTTGCTAATGATTATGGCTGAGATTTGCCTTTTGTTCTTCTTCCATGAGTAACCAACCCTTCCCAAACTTCGGGGTGTCACTCCTTACTGACATTTATTAATACATTCAATTAGGTTTCACTTAAGTTTAACCCAGCAGGTGACATTCAGCTCTTTCAGATGACTTTGAATAACTGTGTTTCCACTCACTAATGTTGGTTTTTGAAGTTTAATTTTCATGGCAATAATTTCAAGAAGAGACTTGTAAAGGAAAACACTAGCAAAGTGAAAAATAATTGATATTAATAAGTTTCTAGTTGCAAAAATTGGAGAAAAACACAAAATCCAATATCTCACCACCTATTTACATTTGTAAATTATTTCACAGAAATGATTAATAGCATTTTTACTATGAAATTTAAAGGCACTGTCATTTGATGAGTGTAGCAGAAATTAATTCAGGGTTGGAATTGTTTTGTGAGAAATGGAAACAATAGACTAAAAAAATGTACACAGATAATACACTGAGTAAACTTAAGAACTTAACTCAGGAGTGTGCCTGGAAACATGATTGAGCAAGTTTTGGATGTAGGACAGGGCAAGGGAAATAAGTATGCCTGGAATACGTAATCTAAAAAGTGAAAAACTACCTGAATAGGTAAATTCGTGACTCCAGGAAAATAAAAAATTGACATTGAACAAAATAATGTTCTATGGAACAAGAATCTGATGTACAGTTGAAGTTGTTATAAAAGAACAGGTGGGATGAGGTTGATGAATAGGGAATAATGATGAGATAGAAGGATAATAGAACTCAAGATTTCAGAGTTGTTAAAAGTAGGAACAGATCTGTGTGTTAAGGGTAATTGAATAAATGAATTAAAGAGGAAAATGATTGTTTCCTTAAAAGTTGACATTAAACTATGCATATATGAATACCAGGAAATACTACTCAGCTATAAAAAGTAAAATATTTCTGATATATGCAACAACCTGGATGAATCTCTACAAAATTATACTGAGTAAAAAATGTTACTAACATAAAATTAAGTACTGTATAGTTCCATTTATATGACTGTCTTGAAATGGCATAATTACAGAAACAGAAAAGAGAGCACTTGTTGCCAGGGATTAAAGGCAAGAATAATGAATGGGGAGGCTGGAAAGGATGTGGACCTGGCTGAAGCATTATTGCTTGAAGATAATTAAATGTAGTTGAAAAAAATGGTTTTCGACACCCACAGGTCAACTAGAAGCATACTAACCACTTTCTTGGTCTTATTTTCTGGTAAGAGAAATTATAGATTAAGGAATATCCTTCACTCATGGATGCTTCAAAGAAATTCATATTATGCTAAGAGAGCAAAAGGACAGCAAAAAAAATAATAATAATTGACAATGCTCAGTGATGAAATGAAGGAATTGTTTTAATGCAAAGAGGGCCAGACATCAGAGAAGAGTTTGAGACATAAGTCGGTTATGGAAGTTTCATTTCATTATGGGGATTACATGTGGTGAAAGAGGAAAGATGTATGACGCTGCCTGTATAAAAGAGTCTTATGGCCATTTCATCAACATCTGATTACATTAGTCCTAGTCCCAGTAGAAATTTCCATCTCTGTCAAACTTGCAATGATGAAGAAAACTGACTGATTGAGACAAGTGAGAATTACAGTAAAAACAGTGTTATAATTAGAGATTACTAAAGGGTTTCTTATGATGTAAAATGAGTCATCAAACTGCAAGGAAATTAGAGGATTGATATGTAGATTATGGGGCCATCTGCTGAAAAGTATAGATTTATTTTCTTTATCATGGATGCATATACTCTTTGAGATTTGGCATTGTAAAACCTCTGAAATTTTTATATGACTGCACACATACACACATTTACAGATCATGAAAATGCCTTTGTACTTAAAGTATCTTCACCCTTAAAAACAAATGAGTCATCATCTTGGTCCTCTGTATTACAGTACATTTGAGTCAGTTTCAATAATTAAGGTGATCAAAATATAAATTTGATAAAATAGTTGTATCACATTAAAATAATAAACATTCTTAACAATTGGTATATTAAACTGAAATTCACATTATAAAAAGACATGCACGTGTGTGTAAGTTAATATGCATTATACATGGTCACATATACTACAGATTTGATCTATCCATGTGTACACATACATAAAGTATTCTTTTTCAATTTTCTTTAAACTAATCATTACTGTGCCAAAATAAAAGGTAAGCTTTACCCTTCAAGAAAATCAGGAAGACAAGCTTTTCTATCATGAATCTCTACAACTCCCCCTACCATATGTGCGATATTTACACAAGGTGATTTTCTAGTTCCAAAGGACTGGTCCTCTTTGTTTCCTCCTGGTTGCTGGAGAGGGAACCCAAGTGTGATCCCTTTGGGACTTCCAATCCCTCTACTGCTGCTATAAGTGACAGAATATATAATGCTACCTCTGGCCATGTTGAAAGTCCAGTGTAGATACAGAAACCACTGCTACCATAAATGACAGAATATTATGCTACCTCCGGCCATGTTGAAAGTCCAGTGTAGATACAGAAACCTAGGCAGTCTAAAGGTATCCCCTGCTTTCTGCGACAGTCACTTTTGGCACTTTTGGTGCTTGAAATTTCTGTTATTGATGAAAACAATCACTTATTCTGATGACAGTCATGGAATAAATTTCCTCTTGTCAAAATTAGTATTTGAGGTTACCATATTTTTCTATTTCACTTATATTATTTCTGTGATGTTCAAGTAAATTGTGTCAATAAAGGCACAGCATTTTTAAAAGGGTGAATGAAAAGCCATTTTCTGTGTTTAGAAGTAGTAAACAATATTTGCCACCAAATGTTGCTTTGTTGTTAAACACGTTTTTCTCAAAAGTAGTTAAAGTTGTAAATATATTTATCCATGACAGACAAGCATATGGTTATCTTGCTCAAAGGAAATAAACAGCTGTTGTACCCTAAAGTTATAAATATGTTGGGAAGTACCACTATTTTGGGATTATATAGATGAGGAGTATTATAACTTCTAAATAACTGATATTGTTGTATTTAATTGAATACTTGTCATGATTGGATAAACCTCCAGCAATCATAAAGATTTTAGTTGTTGTTATAGTTTTTTCATAAAAATAAAATTAATTCTATTATTTTAATGCAATATATAATATCGACCTAAGGTATGGAAAGTTATAGGAATGGAGATTTGAAAATTGCAAGGAAAGCAACTTTTGAAATATATCATTTTGGTGGAGTATGTCTGTTTGTAGAAAGCAAAGTAGAAACCCAGACGTGTCTTTTCATGCCTGTCATTTTCAATGCTTCCTGTACTTAAACTATAATTTATCACTTTTTACCATCTCTTTGCACTCAAACTCTGGAAAAGTGCATTGAGCGTACAGTAACAATTATTTCTATTCTTTCTTCATACGTTCAACTTTCCCTGACCCTTTTAATTTTTCAGCCTAATTAATCTTAAGTTTAGTTGGTGGATTAATAAAAAATATATTTTTAAATGAATATTTTGATGACCTGATGGGCTTAAGATTACAGGGTGACTTTCAATTATAAATGTAAAATTTCATTAATTTTTATATAAAAAGTTTAACATATGACTTAAGTATCATATTGGCTTTAAAATATCTATATTCAATTTATTGAAGTTTCCTCAACTCTAAAGTTTAATTTTCATATGGTAAAAATTAAATATAAAAACTAAATTATCAAGCCTGTAATCCCAGAACTTTAGGAGGCTGAGGCGGGTGGATCACGAGGTCAGGAGATCGAGACCATCCTGGCTAACACGGTGAAACCCTGTCTCTACTAAAAATACAAAAAAAATTAGCGGGCGTGGTGGCGGGGCGCCTGTAGTCCCAGCTACTCGGGAAGCTGAGGCAGGAGAATGGTGTGAAACCGGGAGGCAGAGTTTGCAGTGAGCCAAGATGGCGCCACTGCACTCCAGCCTGGGCGATAGAGCGAGACTCCGTCTCAAAAAAAGAGAAAGAAAGAAAAAAAACTAAGTTAATGTTATATAGTGCTTATAATAACATGCTTATTCAATAATGACTTGATATAACATTCAAAGCTGTAGGTCAAAAGTTAAATTTACATACCTTAATTTTGGTACTATACCTTAGGATATTAAATATAATCATAAAAGACTTGAACTATGCATACAAAATAATCAACAACAGATTATTTCTATTCTTTAAATTATTATGTACAATTTGTATTCTGTTGCACAAGCTACCTCTGGATTAGATTGAAATCCATCTAAAAAATATTTTAGAATAGGTCATAGAGTATGTAAGTTTTAAAATGTTTGATAAGAACAATAAGATCTATGTTAAAATAGCCAATAATTATTGTTATTTTCTCATGTTTTCATTTATTCCATTGTTTACTGACCTTTCAGGCACATAAAATAGGATTTAATTTCCTACTTGGTGCATAGTACTTAATATTAGATAATCGATTAGTTATAAATAGAAAACCTATGAAAATTAATTTGGCTTAAAACCATTATTGATAATGTAACAAGAAATTCGTAAAATAAAAGGTTAACTTTTGTTAATGTCTTCTAAATGAATCTGTGCTTCAATGCTGAATGTACAACATCAGCAATAAGATTCAGAGAAATCACACAACTTGCTTTAATTTTTTTTATTTGTAAACTAAGGAAGAGCACTGTTGGGAAAGTCTCATTGCATATTTATGTGAAGACCTTTTATTTTTATAGTTTCTAATATATATTTTAAAAATAATTATAAATATTTTGCAAGTAACAGATTTCTGTAATTATTCCATACATTGTGCGTGAAATAGTAAACACTACTGCTACTTTAAAAATACCTAAATATGGATTTTGATATATAGATAATACTATAATTTACTAGATATATATTATACTCATATTTCAAAGTAGTATCAATTGCTCAGTGGTTAAGAATATGAACCTGAATGATTAAATGGGTTCAAACTTACAACCATGAACAATTTATATAATCTGTTGGCCTTGGTTTCTTGATCCATATAAAACTGGCATAGTAATTATATTTACAGTATTTGGTTCTCACAATTACCTTGAAGTAGCCAAGGTATACTTTAAGTATATAAAAATATGCATACTGTTAATATTTTATATATAGATATTTATGGAATGAATATACTAATTTTTATTGTATATGTTATTTCTCACAATATGACTACTCTTGTTGATTCAAAAGAACCCTTCTCAGAGAAATTTGAAGTGAAAATATGGGTTAGTGCCTTTTTAAACCTGAAGTAACTGTCTTTGATCAATATAAACCTTGAGAATAGATACTGAAACAGCAAATGGGTATACTGTTGTTTTCACTACAAATGGATCATAGAAGAGATTTTGCAGAATAACACTCAGCTGACAAGATCCTAGCAAGTACATAAAAATTCCCTTCATTTCTGATGTCAGTGTGAAGTCCACTTAAGTGCACAATTTCGTGATTGACTAGTCATTGTCCTTGGTTGAATTTATTTGAAGTGATGGTAAAAAGATCTTTGGTTTTCCAGCTGCTGCTCAGCAGCCATAAATCTATATGGAAAATACCAATTCCAGTGAGGTCTTAAACTTTAGATTACACATGTATCTTTAAGGCAAGAGTGCAACAATTCTAAATGCATCAATGTTGCATAATAGAACTTGCAAATTAGCTTTTCAGTCAGGAAAGACTGATTCTTTATTCAAATAATTGCTTTTAAAATAAATAAAATGTTTGTATCTAGGCACCACAGAAATAAACATTATAAAACTAAAATTAACTTCTTCACATTGAAGACATAAAAATGTCTAGGCCAAGTTTGTTCAAAATGAAAAGTTTTAAACAATGTATTTATTTATTTATTTATTTGAGACGGAGTCTCGCTCAGCCACCCAGGCTGGAGTGCAGTGGCGCGATCTCGGCTTACTGCAACCACCGTCTCCCAGGTTCAAGCGATTCTGCCGTCTCAGCCTCCCACGTAGCTGGAATTACAGGCACTCGCCATCATGTCCGTCTAATTTTTCTATTTTAATAGAGACTGGGTTTCACCATGTTGGCCGGGCTGAATTTATTTATTTGTTTGCTTTTCAGAGTTAGGGTTTGACAAAAGATACAGATATTTTTGGAGTTTTGTTACACATCTTGATCCTGATAGGTACTAAGAGTACAAAAACATTCAGGGACTATTGATATTAGAATACATGAAGATTAAAGAAATCAAAACACCCAAATCAATTTATATATTTGATGTGAAAATTAAGAAATTAGTTATTTGACCCCACCTCAAACTGTGCTTCTTCCTGATTTTTTGTGTAGTTAACTCCATGAAAGGAAGTTAATTCCTGTACATTTATATTAATAACTATATATTTTTATGTTTATCTCTGAAAAATATACAGACTAGTATTTTACAGGGAATTTTTATCTCTCAGAAAATGAGTGTCAGTAATAATTATGACTATTTCTCAAGATGTGCAAGATAAATGATTTGAAGTAAGGAAGAGATTATGTAAAAAACGCAATTCAAATATAATAAATATTTGATAATAGTATTTTCCAGAACACAGACTAGAGCAGCCTGTTCATTGTTCTTGTAGTGGTGTTTATAAGAACAAATTGAGGCTCATATCTGAATTAATGTGTTAGTTACCTATTGCTGCATAGCAAATTACTCCAAACTTAGTGGAGTATCTCTTAGTTTATCAAACTATTATCTCATAGTTTCAGTAGATTAGAAATATGGAATGCACATTAGTTGAGTCGATCTTGCTCAAGTATTTAATGTGGTTGCAGTTAACATACTGGCAAAAGCTACTGTAGGTCTGAAGGTCTAAAGCTTTGAAAGATGCTCTGCCAAAGTGGCTCACTCAGGTGGCTCTGGGCAGAAGGCCACAGCTTTGGTCTATTGGCCTTTGGCAGCCTCAATTCTTTGTCATGCGGGTTTCTCCATAGGCTGCTAAAATGTCTTCATGTCATAATAGCTATCTTCCTTGACAATAACTGCTGTGAAACAGAGAGCAAAAAGAAAGCCACAGTGATGTTTATGATGTGGATGCCTAAGTTACAGATCATCACTTCTGCCTTATACTATTCATTAGAAGCAAGTAACTATGTTAAGCCCACGCTCGAGGAGGGGGGTGTTAGGTTTTACCTCTTGATATTTGAAGTATCAAACCATGTGTGGTCATGTAAAACCCAACCCAGTTCACCCTCTAGCCACAGACTATTTATATTTATCCCATATGCAAAATATATTCACCCCCTCACAAAGGCCCCACGGATTTTATCCTATTATACAATCAGCTGGAACTTCAGGATATTGCCATCTAATTCAGTTCCATGTGTGGATGGAGCTCATCAGGTGTTGTTTCTTAAGTACATCTTGATTGCACTTCCTCTTGATCTAAAGATTAGTGAATTCAAGATACATATTTTTTTTCACTTCATATAACCCACATGCAATGGTGGACAGACCTAGCATAACACACACAGATAACTCTTCAAAAAGAGAAAAACAGAAGATACACGGTAGTCACACCCTCTACACCATATGTCATATACTCTATGCATATATACAGAATATAATATGCTTTATACACACACGTGTGTTTGTGTGTATCACAGATCAAAATAATAAACCTAAAAGCATACATTTTTAGAAGAAAGGATATACAAAGTATTTGAAATCTTGATTAGGCAAAATTAAAAAAAAAAAACTGGCACCAAACGCATGATCTATAAAGTAAAAATTTGATAAATTGACTACCAATGTTAAAATATCTTGAAAGCCTTCAGTGAAGAGAAAATATTTGCCAACTACAAGTTTTATTAAAATATTTGTATCTTCAATATACAAAAACCTCAATAACTAAACATTTTAAAAAACAAGCAGTGGGTGGATCACCTGAGGTCAGGAGTTCAAGACCTGCCTGGCCACATTGGTGAAACCCTGTTTCTACAAAAATACAAAAATTAGCCAGGCATGATGGTGGGTGCCTGTAATCCCAGCTACTCGGGAGGCACGAGAATCGCTTGAGCCGGGGAGGTGGAGGTTGCAGTGAGCTGAGATGGCGCCATTGCACTCCAGCCTGGGTGGCACAGTGAGACGCCATCTCAAAAAAAAAAAAAAGAGAGAGATAGAAATAGTATGAATTTTAAGTAAACATGTGAAAAGCTGTTGGATATCATTATTCTTAATCATATATTTGATTCATAAATCATAAACAAGGTGATATATCAGCACACGTGTATTAAAATGGCTATGTTTAAAAAAATGGTATAATTAAGTGCTTTCTTCATAATTGACACAAACTGGAAAGAACCCAAATTCTATTAACTGGTGAATGAAAGAATAGCCAGTTATACAGTGGAGCATTGCTCAACAATGGAAATGAAGTAACTACTGGTATATGCAAAAGGGCGAGTCAAGCACAAATGCATTATACTAAGTGAAAAACACTAGAAAAAATATCATTTACTCTGTGATCAACTATATATGACATTCCAGAAAATGCCAAACTGGAGGAACAAAAAACAGGTCGGTCGCAAATGGCTGTGGTTAGGGGCATTGTTGTCTACAACGTGTAGACAGCACTCCTGTGTAAATTGTTAAGATATTTTGGAGTAATAGAATTTTTCTAAATGTTTATATTGGTTTTAATTATATTAATATAGGTTTTCTTCAAAATGCATATAATTGTATGCTAATATTAATTTCAAAATGCATGAATTATTTCTCAATTAAAATAAATAATAAAGATGGAAAAATTGCTGAAAAACTGTTCTCAATTTCTAAACCAAATAAATCCTCTAGGTCATAATTAATGGGGGAACAGCTTGTTTCCAGTGAATTAAAAACAAAAAAAACTATAAATGTTAAAGCTGCACTCACCTAAGGGCCAGTAATATTTTGTGTGAATTATTCAAGGAGACTATAATACTGCAATATTATCAAGAATCTATTTTTATATGGAATTTCTTATTGGGCCTGTCCACAAGCCTGAGTAGAGTCAAACAAATATTTATACATGACAAATACTCATGTTTTTTAGTTATCAAAACTCTCTAATATTCTCATCCTTAAATTATTCTGGACCAATTTTTTACCAAACTTTGATCAGCTATTTTTCTACCTGTTTCGCTCTTTAGGGTGGGTAACCCTTGAAATTTCTATTTCATTTAAAATGAAAAAAGCCTACTCTGTAAATTGTTAAGGGCAATTTATTCTGACGATACTTCTCAAGTGAAGGATTCTCTTTACAAGCTTCATAACAATGAATGGGAAAATGTATGTTTTCCAGCTCCTCGTCTGCTTATATAAAGAATCTATTTTAAAAACATCCTTCCCTCCAGTCTTTCTTGTGTGTTCATGGAACTGAGTATTGTGAAGCTATAGTAACTTTTCCTTGAAGTAACAGAAAAATATTCAAGTAGTTGAACTCTGATGTTGGGGGAAAATTTAAAAAAAAAAAAGAAATACTATTAAAAAAAAAAAGAACCATCCTAATCTTCCTGGTCATAAACCAAAGAAGTAAACAAGTTACCACGGAAGAGATTTCATGCCCAACAGTCAGCTAAAGCTTGGCTTCATGCTCAGACTTTTGAAATCCAGCCAGATCAGCATTTGTTCTGCTCCAGTACCCATGCTGAAAGTCAGCCAGTTCCTTAACTTGATCTTAAAAGTCTGTCAAAATCCTGAACCTTCCTAGATTCTAAAAGCCATTAAATTCCTTAACTCCTTAGACTTAGGGAAATTGTTTTCTACAAGTACAATTCTCCCTGTTTAGTAGCACATTCAGATTTCTTTCAGATATATACCTGTAATGGTCCCTTCCCTCAACATCAACCCACAGTGATTGAAGATAGTCTTCAGCAAATAACTAGCCCAAACTCCTAAGTGAATAGCTGGAGAATTACTACAAAGCAACTAATCATAATATAGCTTTTAGTTAAAGTTATGGTTTAGGCTATGCATTTAGAATATCAAAGGAGAAAAAATAACTAAAAATCATCAAGTAGTAGAACAGCCTGAAGGAGAAAAAACTATACAGTGGAAAAATCACCAAAGGATAAGCATTTGGTCAAAAGAATATTACAGTCACTTAAAGAATATTTTAACATTTTGATTATTCCAATACCCGGGCCAGATCTGGGACCTGCCTCCATCTTTTTTGCAGTTCAGATAGCATAAAGTGTGAGTCAATGCCTGATAACATAATAATGGTACCATCTGGTCAGGTTCTACCTGACTCTTGGGCACATTCTTGAAATTATAATACTTCAATTTCCAGTTATAAGTTACCATGTGTCATTTGGTTACACAACACACCATACTCTTTTTTTATGGACCCACACGTGCATTGTCACTCATCATTCACTGAAGATGTTTACATATTTTACAATTTTATTTATGTTAATTATTTTTTCCAACTCAAATGTTATTCAATCATCAAATAATCTTCATCCATTTCTTGTTTTTTCTTCCCCTCTTATACCTCTTGTGAATCTTATTCACTTTAAAATCCCCTAAATCACAGCTCCTAGATTGGTAAAGGCATCCATTGCTGGGAAGGTGGTGCACCCCACCTCCATGAGAAGGAAGTTCTTATGCTGAGGAATCTTCACCTGGCTGTTCATTTGTGTGCGTTAAGTGTGTTGCAGTCTCCGAATTCTGAGCCATTGTAGTAAATTATTATTGAATTTGAGGAGGAGGTTGTGGAAACCCTCAACTTATAGCTGGTCAGTCAGAAGTACCATAGGCACAGTCTTGCAACTGGCTTCTAAATGTGGGAAAGTGGAGAGGGGGTAGTCCTGTGAGATTTAATTATTTAGCTGTGAGGTCTGTGCTAACTCTGGGTAGCTAGTATTAGAAATGATTTAAGTGTTGAATACCAGTTGACGTCTGGAGAATCAGTCAACTGGTGGTTGGTGCTAATAATCCCACAGAACAAAGTCCACATACATTATCAAAATGATTACCAAGATGGAATTATTCTTATGACTAAAATAAGTTTAAAACAAAAAAAGTACTATGGGTTTAATTTTATTTCATATTCTCTATCCTAATTTTATTTTTAAGCCTCCAAGAGTTTTCTATTTCTTACCTTCCTAAAAATTCTGCCATCTTGACATATCCAAAACTAAAACAGAAAAAGACAAAATCTTCAGTCATGGGCTGTGCAGGATTCAGGTGGTGAATGACTGATTATTGTCAAGTATGGTAAGTAGTTTCAAAATCCAATATATATAAACTACATGCATAATGGTGAGAAGCTTTTTGTCATTAACTTTATCATATGTTATGTTTCATAATTCTTGTGAATTTAATTATTGCATAGATGATTTTTTGACATTTAATACATTTTGCAGAATTATTCTGCATTATTACTCATTATTCTGTCATTCTGTATATTCACATTATATGAAAATACATTGGTATTATTTGATATCTAGGCATTATTAAAATTCTGTTGTAACTAGTAATACCATCTATAGGTTGTCTTAAAGAAGGAATTAATCTGTACATTTAGGATAATCAATCCAGGACAGTTGGCAATATTATTTTATTGGAATACCTTATGGTTCCTTTTATTTTTTAAATTTTTTGAAAAAGTTGTGGGTGGGAGCATGAAAAGAGCTACCAGTGCTTATCAATTGGTAAAACACAAATATCTAGTGATAATAGGTGGCTATCAGAGATGATTAACTGTTTAACTCCTTTTCTATCTGGTCTTTTTTTTTTTTTTTTTTTTTTTTTGAGACATAGTCTCACTCTGTTGCCCAGGCTGAAGTGCAGTGGCATGATCTCAGCTCACTGCAACATCCACCTCCCAGGTTGAAACGATACTCCTACCTCAGACTCCCAAGTAGCTGGGATTACAGGCAGGTGCCACCATGTCCAGTTAATTTTTGTATTTTTAGTAGAGACACAGTTTCACCATGTTGGTCAGAGTGGTCTCGAACTCCTGGCCTCAAATGATCCCTCTGCTTTGGTCTCCCAAAGTGCTGGGATTACAGTCGTGAGCCATTGCACCTGGCCTTCTATCTGGTTCTTACATGCTGATATTATCTTTCTGGTTTTGTCAGCTTCTAAGATTCTAGGAGCCTATTGTTTTCACATATTACAGGAAAAAAATGCATCAGATAATGTCGATCACTAAACAGAAATATTATATAAAGGGGCCAGGCGCCGTGGCTCACTCCTGTAATCCCAGCACTTTGGGAGGCTGAGGTGGGCGGATCACGAGGTCAGGAGTATGAGACCAACATGGTGAAAACCCGTCTGTACTAAAAATACAAAAATTATCTGGGTGTGGTGGTGCACGCCTGAGAATCACTTGAACCTGGGAGGAGGAGGTTTCAGTGAGCCGAGATCGCGCCATTGTACTTAAGCCTGAGCGACAGAGTGAGACTCTGTCTCAAAAAAAAAAAAAAATTAAAAATAAAAAGAATTTTAGAAAGAAACATATATAAAGGAAGAAGCAGTTTGTGTGTGTATGCATCTCATATTTGTTACATATGCTTAAAATATTCTTTATGCTTACCATTAATTTGAATACATGTCCCTTTCTTTACATGTTGTATTATTTTCCCCTGTGAATTTCCAAGGTAAAAATCTCATTCATAGATGCCACACTTAAAAATATCACTACAGCATCAACTTGTTCCAATTTAATGACTATTATCAATATATTTCCTCTTTTGTTTTTCCTGCTCTTGGATATTGTACTTTTCCATTTTTTAAAATTAGGAATTCTACTGGGAAAATCACATTTTCAAAAGCTACATATTTAATTAAATAGTCTTGCAGATTTATAAGAGCCAACTTATTCAATTTAAATTTTAAAACACATATTTTTCATCTAGTTTTTTTTGCTGCTCTTTTTTTAGTTAACTAGCATTGCTAATGATGTATTGTTATTAAGGTACTGTTTCAGTCATTTAAGAAAGCTCTAAAGAGGACGTTTTTGAAAACTTGGTGTGGTTGACTTAATATTCGGAACCAGCAATTAATCACGCTTAGAAAATAATACATATTTAGGCCTCCAAGTAATTTTGGGGAAATTTGCACAACTAAAGCATTTTACAGATATGGGCTACATAACTCAATTATGATAAAAACCTTTGTTCGGGGGACTGTTTGTGCTACAAGGGAATTATCATTAAACATTAAATTCCAAAAATGATGGAACCCTAAAACTGAAGTCAAATGCTGTTATAAAGATTAACTTATTGTGTGGGAGTATTACTTTCTCTCTCTACAGCTCCATTTCTTTTTTGGTAAATTGGAGGAGACACTGACATTCTCTAAACTTAAGAAGCAAAATTTGAATATAAATACAATCTGTGTGATACTCTGTGTTTTCTGGAAAAAAACAAAATGGGCTTTTTTGGTGGTTAATATAAACTCAAATTATTATGGTGAGATATGAAAAAACTACCTTATCATATGTAAATTAGAGTGTCAAGGATTGGAAAGATAAGCTGACTACCAAGTTCAGCAACCTAATTGTGAAAGTTTTGCATTTTTTAGAATATAATTTAGTTGAAACAGCTTTCTTTTTATAAGGAATTTAAAGAAATATTCACATTTCATTTCTTTGGACTGTCAGTCTGAACTTGCAAATCAAAAGAAATTCTGAAAGTCGAGTCTGATTGTCTAAAACCAAGTATTCAAAATTATGGAAATACACCTCCAAAGAAATGAAGGAGAAATCATAATGAAGCTGCTTTCTCCTTTGAATATATTCTTCTAAAATGTTACAAAATAGAATATATAATAACTTAAAATATTCTTATTTAAGTTTGAAAAATTCTGCTACCTCAAGTAATCAGAAAACTTTACATTAACTTTCTACATAGGTTTGTCTGTAAAAATGGGTAATGTTTATCTTGACCAAAGCAAGAACATATGACAAATTACTTCATAAACAGAGAACATATTTTTTTCTCAAAACAAACTGATGATACGTCAGAGCTGACATTGAATTTGTGCTAATTTGGCATTTCTGATGAAATTGTTATTTAATTGAATAACTTATTCAAAGAACCCAAAAGTTAAAGATTGTATATCATCTGATAGCAATTAGCAATCATTGCTTAATTTCATACAAGAAGTTAAAAGAAAGAAACATGTTACTAAAATATGGAAACTAAAAATGAGAGCTAGTCATTTACCAAAATCTCAGGGACATGGGGACAATTTTTCATGATTGCAGCATCACTGCCATTGATATTTTTCTGGAATGTGCATGCTGTACTGTTTATTGGACGAATGCATAGATGGTTATAAAAGGATCAGGAGAAAATTTTATTCACCCTACATTCTTTCTTAAATGGAAGACCTGAGGGATCAATTAATTGAGACAATGAGGACCATCTGTCATGACATTATAAAAAATGAATTTTGACTTGGTGAAATGCTCAACTTTCTTCCTCATTCAGTCCCCAGTTATGATAACACTTAATCAGCCTAATCATTGCATATGCCCTTGGAAGATCTAACTTCCATTATTCAAGGGAAGTTTGTTTAAAGATGAGAATACATTGTGTCTGGGGATACACAGCGACCTCAAGCAAATTACTTAACAGGCCGAGAAGAGCCATTGGAATAGATAATTGGTAATTTTGTAAATCATGTGTTATGCTTTTACAACCAATTATAAACAATATCTAACAGTGTTTGGTGTTTAAGACGGTCTGAAAGATAGCAGAAGACATCACAAATACTATTTGGATAATACTCTATGTAATTCAAAGTCTTGAAAATATTCCTAAATTTAACCCTATCTATACAAAATTTCAAAGTAGTAAAGCAGCTCTACATCTTTTGAAAAGTTTGAAAAAAAAGTCTTAAAAATGAAAGAAATGCCAGCCAGTTATATTTTATTTCTACAAATTTAAAGCAATTTTAGTTACAGGCATTTTTTAAAAAAGGATTGTGAGTTAATTAACCAAAGACTGCCACTCATCTGACATGCTTTAGAAGAAATAAACACACACTCACACACACACGTACACACGAATGTTCACATGCACACAGCACATATATTTGTTGTATTCTGATGAATTGATTGAAAGAAAAAAAGAAACGTATACTGCATGCTTCCTAGGGACAGTGTTGAAAAAAAATCAATAGAGGAAGAAAATCTCATTTTCTATGGTTAATATAATCTTAAATTGTGATTGCCATTTGTTATGCTTCTTTATTTCCTAAGAAATTTATTATAAAAATTTCCTGCATACAGTAAAGTTGAAATGATTTTACAATAAATAGCCACATACACATTACTAGATCTACAGTAAATACATTATTAAACTTAATTTATTACATACATATTCATCTATCTACCCCACTATACAGCCATCATTTGTCTTACTATGCTACCCATTTAAAAATTAATTGTTGACATCAGAACACTTACTCCAAAATAATTCAGTGTACATGTGATTAACCAAAGTTCATTTTTATTTATAGACAATTTTTTAAGCAGAAATGTAAAGACAATGAAATGTAAAATGTAAGTATCACATTAAGTTCTGACAAATACACACATTGGTGTAATCCTAAAGCTTACCAAGACATGAAACATTGGCAATACCCCATAAAATCCTGTTAGTTTCTTTGTTGACCCCTAAACACAGACGTTGTCACTGCTCTTTTTCCACCATACATTAGTTTTTCCTGTTTTAGAATTTCATATAAATGGGTTCATGAATTATATCTTCTTTGTGTATAGCTTTGTTCATTTTAACATATTTTTGGAGATTTATTCATGTTGTGAATTAGAACTTTCTTTTTGTTATTTTTTATTTTTCTAATTTTTGAAAAACAAATTGTATTGTGGACATTTAATGTATAGAAAGTGATGCTATGTGACACATATAAGCAGTAAAATGGCTACTATAAGGAAGCAAATTAATATATCTATCATCTCACATAGTTACCTTACCAATATTTTGTTTTTGTTTTGTAGAAAGAGGAGATAATTAACAACTGCCAACCAGTTATATTCTCTTTTTTTTTTTTTTTACAAATTAGAAGCCATTTTAAGTACATGCATTTTTTTTTAAGTGTTGTAACTTAGTTTACTAGGGGTTGTCATTCATCTGACATACCTTAGAAGAAACACACACACACACGCACACACACACACAAGAATGTGCATGTTCATATTCCATTATATAGCCATATCTGTTCCATTGTATAAATGTGTTAGATTTTTCTCATCCATTCCATATACTCAGTTTTGCCTTATATTAATAAAGCTGCTATTAAAATTCTTGAACAATTTTTAGAGTATGTGTTTCCATTAATCTAGAATAAACATTAAATGTGAAATTCAGGAGTCATGTAATAGTGTTTACTTTTTAAAATATGAAACTCTCAGAAATTTTTATGACTGTTGTTATAATAGTCAATATTGTGTTGCTCCAGATTCTCACCAACATTTTGGGTTCTCAGACTTTATAATTTTTGTTACTGAGGTGGGAGTACACTGAGGCCGCATTATTGCTTAATTTGTAACTCCAGGGTGAAAAATTGTTTTGAATACTTTGGTATATGTGTATTTTATTTTGTATTTATATATCTTTTTCTGTGAACTGTCTATTAAAGTTTCTCATTGCTATTATGGTGGTGGAGTTTTATTGTTATTCATAGCTAAAATAGCAATCCTCTGTAAGATATATGTTTTGAAAATATATTTTATAGTCTGTGGCTGTCCTTTTAATTGAGATAACATTATTTTGGATAATTTTTTATATTTTGAAATGATCTTATTTATAGCTTTTTAATTTACAGAGTAAAAAAAATCTTTTGCATATCTCTAAATTGCAAAGATCATTTATAATGTTTTAAATTACAATTTTAGCTGACATAATCCAATTTATGATATATATCACATTAATGTTTACATATATTGTAAGTTAGGATTCCAAGTTTACTTTGGTTACATATGGCTATCCAACTGTTCTAGCATCATTTCTTGAAGACTTTTTTGCCATTGGTTAGCTTGGACAAAATTAAAAATGCATACCACAAATATAATGACGGTTGAACTGTGGGTGTATTTATGGCCTTTTTAATCTACTATATTTTTCCATTTGTCAAACTTAATGTCAATATTACTCTCTTTAATTTACTTTAGCTTTTGGCTTAGGATTGACTTGGCGATGCGGGCTCTTTTTTGGTTCCATATGAACTTTAAAGTAGTTTTTTCCAATTCTGTGAAGAAAGTCATTGGTAGCTTGATGGGGATGGCATTGAATCTATAAATTACCTTGGGCAGTATGGCCAGCTGGAGGCATCATGCTACCTGACTTCAAACTATACTACAAGGCTACAGTAACCAAAACAGCATGGTACTGCTACCAAAACAGAGATATAGATCAATGGAACAGGACAGAGCCTTCAGAAATAACGCCACATATCTACAAATATCTGATCTTTGACAAGCCTGAGAAAAACAAGCAATGGGGAAAGGATTCCCTATTTAATAAATGGTGCTGGGAAAACTGGCTAGCCATATGTAGAAAGCTGAAACTGGATCCCTTCCTTACACCTTATACAAAAATTAATTCAAGATGGATTAAAGACTTAAACGTTAGACCTAAAACCATAAAAACCCTAGAAGAAAACCTAAGCATTACCATTCAGGACATAGGCATGGGCAAGGACTTCATGTCGAAAACACCAAAAGCAATGGCAACAAAAGCCAAAATTGACAAATGGGATCTAATTAAACTAAAGAGCTTCTGCACAGCAAAAGAAACTACCATCAGAGTGAACAGGCAACCTACAAAATGGGAGAAAACTTTTGCAACCTACTCATCTGACAAAGGGCTAATATCCAGAATCTACAATGAACACAAACAAATTTACAAGAGAAAAACAAACAACCCCATCAAAAAGTGGGTGAAGGACATGAACAGACACTTCTCAAAAGAAGACATTTGTGCAGCCAAAAAACACATGAAAAAATGCTCACCATCACTGGCCATCAGAGAAATGCAAATCAAAACCACAATGAGATACTATCTCACACCAGTTAGAATGGCAATCATTAGAAAGTCAGGAAACAACAGGTGCTGGAGAGGATGTGGAGAAATAGGAACACTTTTACACTGTTGGTGGGACTGTAAACTAGTTCAAACCTTGTGGAAGTGAGTGTGGCGATTCCTCAGGGATCTAGAACTAGAAATACCATTTGACCCAGCCATCCCATTACTGGGTACATACCCAAAGGACTATAAATCATGCTGCTATAAAGACACATGCACATGTATATTTACTGCAGCACTATTCACAATAGCAAAGACTTGGAACCAACCCAAATGTCCAACAATGATAGACTGGATTAAGAAAATGTGGCACATATACACCATGGAATACTATGCAGCCATAAAAAATGATGAGTTCATGTCCTTTGTAGGGACATGGATGAAATTGGAAATCATCATTCTCAGTAAACTATCGCAAGGACAAAAAACCAAACACCACATGTTCTCACTCATAGGTGGGAATTGAACAATGAGAACACATGGACACAGGAAGGGGAACATCACACTCTGGGGACTGTTGTGGCATGTGGGGAGGGGAGACGGATAGCATTAGGAGATATAGCTAATGCTAAATGACGAGTTAATCAGTGCAGCACACCAGCGTGGCACATGTATACATATGTAACTAACCTTTACATTGTGCACATGTACCCTAAAACTTAAAGTATAATAATAATAAAATAAAATGAAATGAAAAAAATTTACTTTAGCTTTATATTAAGTATGGAAATTAGGTAATGTGACTTAACCAAATTTGTTTGTTTTTTTTTAAAACAAGGCTGCTTTCTATTTTCTATATTCTTTACATTTCCATATGTATTTCAGAAGCAACCAATCAATATCTACCAAAAAATATGCTTAGAATATTACCAGATTATAACATCTATACATCTAATTGGGAAACAATAACATAATACTTAACTTTCCAACACAAAAATAAGATAAATGATGAGAACACGTTCTCTCTCAATTTATTTGGTCATTTTTTTATCAATAATATTTTATAGTTTGCAAGTATAAATATCTTGCATATATTTTGTTAAATGTTTTTCTAATTGTTTTAAATGTTATTATAATCAAGAGTTTTAAATTTTTATTTTATAATAGGTTGCCATGAGTGTTTTAAATGTTGTTGAACTGATTCTGACCAAGATAGAATCACAGATCTAGATTTATCATCCCATCATAAATAATTTTTAAATAAAAATCTTCCAAATTTAATAACAAGTATACACCCACATATTTAAAAATGTTATGCCTCATTCCCTCCCAAAATTAATAATACTACACTAATATACATTAAAATGACCTATAACTGCGTTGCAGTGGAGTTTCTTCAGGGGAAAAGAACAAATGCGTTAAATGCAGAAAACACATTAAAAGACTTTTTGTTGTAAACAAAAACAGCAGAAAGGATCATCAGAAGGTTATATGTACTTTAAAAAATGTTTATCTTCCTTTTAATCATGTTTATTATTACATGTTTTTGTATCTATAACCCAAAGAATAAAGAGGGTGAACATTTGATGCTGGTTGGAAAGAGGATAATTTCAGTAATAGAGAATAGAATCTAGTGCACAAGAGGAGAGTGGGAGTGTAAATAGGCTGTCTCTCATGATAGGGTAGAAAGTAGGGCAGTGTACAGGAAAACAGATTGATAATTGTGGAGGTGGCAGTGGGGGCAGGGTCTCTTCAGTTTGCTTCTGTTTTGTCAATGAATAAAAAGAAGATTGTGAAAAGAGGATGTAGATAAGATGCAGAATTTTGATGAGATAGAGAAATTTTAATAGTTGATAAGGACAGTGGAGGAATAAATAGGTTTTGTAAGAATAGTAGATTGCAAGTTTGCTTTCTCGTTAACTTTATTTTAATTATAGGGGTATATGAGCAGGTTTGTTATATAGGTAAATTCATGTAATGGGGGTTTGTTGTATAAACTGTCTCATCACTCAGGCATTAAGCCTAGTACCCATTAGTTATTTTTCCGAATCATCTCCCTCCCCCCATACTCCACCCTCAGGTGGGCCCCAGTGTGTACTGGTCTCCTTTATGTGTCCATGTGTTCTCATCGTTTATCTCCCACTTATAAGTGAGAACAGATGGTATTTTGTTTTATGTTTCTGCATTAGTTTGCTAAGGATAATTGCCTCCTGCTCCATTCATGTTCCTGCAAAGGACATGATCTCATTCTTTTTTATGGCTGCATAGTATGCCACAGTGTGTATGTACCATATTTTCTTTATCCAGCCTATCACTGATGGGTATTTAGGTTGATTCCATGTCTTTGCTATTGTGAATAGTGCTGCAATTGAACATACACATGCATGTGTCTTTATAATAGAATGATTTATATTCCTTTGGGTATATATCCAGCAATGGGATTGCTGGGTCAAATGGCATTTCTCTCTTTAGGTGTTTGAGGAATCACCATGCTGCCTTTCACATGGTTAAACTAATTTACACTCCCACCAACAGTGTAAGTGTTCTTATTTCTTCATGTTCTCTCCAGTGTCTGTTGTTTCCTGGCTTTTTAATGATAGCCATTCTAACTGGCTTGAGATGGTATCTCATTGTGGTTTTGATTTGCATTTCTCTAATGACCAGTGATGATGAGCTTTTTTCCGTATGTTTGTTGGCTGCATAAATGTCTTCTTTTGAGAAGTGTCTGTTCATGTCCTTTGCCTACTTTTTTTATGTGGTTGTTTGTTCTTTTTTTCCACAACCTCACCAGCTTCTGTCATTTTTTGCTTTTAGTAATAGCCATTTTCACTAGTGTGAGATGGTATCTCATTGTGATTTTGATGTGCATTTCTCTAATGATCATGACATTGAGTTTTTTTCATATGCTTGTTGGCTACGTGTATGTCTTTTTTTTGAAATGTGTCTGTTCATGTCCTTTGCCCACTTTTTAATGGGGATTTTTTAAGTGGAAATTTGTTTAAGTTCTTTATAGATTCTGGATATTAGATGTTTGTCAAATACGTAGCTTGCAAATTTTTTCCCTTTCTCTAGGTTGTCTGTTTACTCTGTTGATAATTTCCTTTGCTGTGCAGAAACTCTTTAGTCTAATTACATTCCATTTGTCAGTTTTTACTTTTTTTGCAATTGGTTTTTGTGTCTTCATCATAAAATCTTTGCACATTCCTATGTCCGGAATAGTATTGCCTTGGTTGTCTTTCTGAATTTTTATAGTTTTCAGTTTTACATTTAAGTCTTTAAACCATTGTGAGTTAACTTTTGTATAAGATGTAAAGAAGTTCAGTTTCAGTTTCCTGTATATGGCTAGCCAGTTATGCCAGCATCATTCATTGAATAGAACATCCTTTCGCCTTTGCTTATTTTTCTTTACTTTGTAGAAAATCAGATAGTTGTAGGTGTGTGGCTTTATCTCTGGCCTCTCTGTTCTGTTCCATTGGTCTATATGTCTGTTTTTGTATCATTTGCAGGCTGTTTTGGTTACTGTAGCACTGTAGTATGATTTCAAGTTGGGTTGTGTCATGCCTCCTGATTTGTTCTTCTTGCTTAGGATTGCCTTGGCTATTCAGGTTCTCTTTTGGTTCCATATGAGTATGAAAATATTGTTCTCTAGTTCTATGAAAATGTCATTGGTAATTTGATACGAGTAGCATTGAATCTGTAAATTGCTTTGGGCAGTATGGTCATTTTAAAAATATTGATTCTGCCTATCCATGAGCATGGAATATTTTTTCTATTTGTGTCGTATCTGATTTCTTTGAGCAGTGTTTTGTAGTTCTCCTTGTAGAGATCTTTTACCATTCTGGTTAACTGTATTCCTAGGTATTTTGTTCTTTCTGCAGCAACTGTGAATGGCACTGTGTTCCTCATTTGGCTCTCAGCTTGCCTGCTGTTGGTGAGTAAGTATGCTAGTGACTTTTATACATTGATTTTGTATCCTGAGACTTTACTGAATTTGTTCATCAACTTAAGGAGCTTTGGAGCCAAGATTATAAGGTTTCTTGATGTAGAATCATGTCGTCTGCAAAGAAAAATATTTTGAATTCCTTTTTTCTAATTTGAATGTCCTTTATTTCTTTTTCTGGCCTAATTTCTCTGCCCAGGACTTCCAATACTATGTTGAATAGGAATGGAAAGAGAGGGCATTCTCGTCTTGTGCCGGTTTTCAAGGGGGATACTTCTAGATTTTGTCCATTCAGTATGATAGCTATGGATCTGTCATATATGGATCGTTATTTTTAGGTAAATTCCTTCAATACCTAGTATTTTGAGAGTTTTGTGTTTAACATAAGGAGGTGTTGAATTTTATCAAATGCCTTTTCTGCATCTAGTGAGATAATAATGTGGTTTTTGTCTTTAGTTCTATTTATGTGATGAATCACATTTATTGATTTGCATATGTTGAACCAACCTTGTATCCCAGGAATAAAGCCTGTTTGGTCATGGTGGAAAAGCTTTTTGATATGCTGCTGTAGTTGGTTTGCACATATTTTGTTGAGGATATTTCTATCAATGTTCATCAGGGATCTTGGCCTGAAGTTTTCTTTTCTGTTGTGTTTCTGCCAAGTTTTGGTATCAGGATGATGTTGGCTCATAGAATGACTTAGAGAGGAGTCTCTCCTCCTACGAGCTATTCTTTGTACATATGGTAAAATTTGGCTTTGAATCTGTCTGGTCCTGGGTTTTCATTGGTTGGTAGTCTATTTATCACTGATTCAGGTTTGGACCTCATTATTTGTCTGTTAAGGGATTTATATTTTTTTCTGGCTCGGTCTTGGGAAGATGTATGCTTTCAGAAATGCATCCATTCCTTCTAGATTATCTAGTTTATGTGCATAGATGTGTTCATAAAATTCTCTGACGTTTACTTGTATTTCTGTGGGGTCAGTGGTGTTATCCCCGTAGTCACTTCTAATTGTGTTTATTTTGGATCTTCTCTCTTTTCTTTTTTATTAGTCTAGGTAGCAGTCTAATTATTTTATTTTATTTTTTTCAAAAATCCAATTCTTGGATTTGTTAATCTTTTGAATGTGTTTTCAAGTCTCAGTCTCTTTCAATTCAGCTCTCATTTGAGTTACTTTTTGTCTTGTCCTTGCTTTGGGGTTGGTATCTTCTTGGTTCTCTAGTTATATTAGTTGCGATGTTAGGTTTTTAAATTTAAATTTTAGCTTTATGATATGGGTATTTACTTCTATAAATTTGTCTCTTAACACTGCCCTAGCTGTGTTCCAGAGATTCTTGTATGTCGTATCTTTGTTCTCATTAGTTTTAAAAAGATTTTTCATTTCTGCCTTAATTTCTACATTTACCCCAAAGTTATGCAGGAGCGGGTGATTCAGTTGTCATGTAACTGTATGATTTTGAGCAAATTTCTTAGTTTTGATTTCTAATTTGATTGCACTGTGGTCCAAGAGTATGGTCGTTATGATTTCAGGATTTTTTTGCATTTGGTGAGGAGTGTTTTGTGTCTGATTATGTGATTGAATTTACAGTATATGTCATGTAGAAGTGAAAAAAATATATATTCTATTCCTTTTTGGTAGAGAGTTTTGTGATGTCTATTAAGCCCTTTTGATCCAGTGCTGAATTCAGATCCTGAATTTTTTTTTTTTTTTTAGTTTTCTGGCTTGATAATCTAATAATGTCAGTAGTGTGTCAAAGTCTCCCACTATTATTGTGTGAGAATCTGAGGCTCATTGAAGGTCATTAAGGATTTGCTTTATAAATCTGGGTGTTCCTGTGTTGGGTGCATAAATAGTTTGGATAGTTAGGTCCTCTTACTGAATTGAATGCTTTATCTTTATGGAATGCCTTTCTTTGACTTTTTTTATCTTTGTTGGTTTAAAGTCTGTTTTGTCTGAAATTAGAATTGCAAGCCCTGCTCTTTTTTTCCATTTGCTTGGTAGATTTTTCTTCATTCCTTTATTTTGAGCCCATGCGTGAAATTGCACGTGAGATGAGTCTCTTGAAAACAACATGCCACTGGATCTTGAGTCTTTATCAGGCTTGCCACTCTGTGCCTCTGAATTGGGCATTTAGCCCAATTACATTCAAGGTTAGTGTTGATATGTGTCCATTTGATCCTGTCATCATGATATTAGCTGGTTATTATGAAAACTTGTTTGTCTGGTTGCTTTACTGATCTGTGTACTTCATTGTGTTTTCGTAGTGACTGGTAATGGTCTTTTCTTTCCATATTAGTGTTTCCTTGAGGAGGTCTTTTAAGGCAGGTCTACTGGTAACCCAATTTCCTCAGCATTTGCTTGTCTGAAAAGAATCTTATTTCTCCTTCACTTATGAAGCTTAGTTTGGCCTGATATGAAATTCTGGGTTGGAATTTCTTTTCTTTAAGAATGTTGAATAGTAGCCCTGAATCTCTTCTGGCTTGTAGAGTTTCTGCTAAGAGGTCTGCTGTTAGTCTGATGAGGTTACCTTTGTAGGTAAGCAGACCTTTCTCTGTTACTACCTTTAACTTTTTTTCTTGTATTTCTACCTTGGAGAATCTGATAATTACGTGTCTGTGGAATGAACTTCTTGTGAATTATGTTACTGAGGCTGTCCCTATTTCCTGAATATGAAATTTGGCCTCTCTAGCTAGGTTGAGGAAGTTCTCATGAATGATATCAAAATGTGTTTTCCAAGTTGCTTTCCCTCTCCCCATCTCTTTCAGAAATACCAATGAGTCATAGATTTGGTCTCATTACGTAATTTCACATTTCCCAGAGGTTTTGTTCATTTCTTTTCATTGTTTTTTTCTCTATTCTTATCAGTCTTCTTTAAGAAAGCCACTCCTCAAACTCTTAGATTCTTTCCTCCACTTGGTCTGTTCTCTTATTAATACTTGTGATTACATTGTGAAATTATTTTAGTGTCTTTTTTAGCTCCATCAGGTCAGTTACATTCTTTTGTATACTGGCTATTTTTCTGTCAGTTCCTGTTTCATTTTATTATGGTTCTTTGCTTCCTTGATTTAAGTTTCAACGTATTCTTGCTTCTCAATGATCTTCATTCCTATGCATATTCTGAATTCTATTTCTGTAATCTCAATGATCTCAGCCTGGTTCAGAACCCTTGCTGGAGAGGTGTTGTGGTTGTTTGGAGTAAAACAGGCAATCTGACTTTTTGAGTTGTCAGAGTTCTTGCACGGGTTCTGCTTCATTTTGTGGGCTCACCTTTCTTCAATCTTTGTATTTGCTGACCTTTGGTTGGGTTTTTTAAAATTGTTCTTTTATCCTATTTTATGAGATGGAGGGTTTGATTGTGATATAAAGTGAATTCAGCCAACTGGCTTTACTTCTTGAAGATTTTAGAGGGGCAGTGCTCAGCTCCCAACTCCTGGACTTTGTGCTCTAACTCTTGGGGACTTATATCAGGACAGTCTCTGTACTCTGGCTTCTCAAAGTTAGGAATCCACTGCACTGAGATGGGGGCAAGGTGCTCTCCAACTGCTGGTCACTACACTTTGATGGGTTGTGTCAGCTAAAGTGTTTCGCAATATGGTAGCAGTGGAATTTGTACTCAATTGCATGTGCCAGCATCAGTGGCAAGGGCAGCATGTTAGGGTGCACACTCGTCAGCTGCATCTGGGTGCTAGCAGGTGCGGGAGGGCCCGCCTCTTTGCGGACATTTACCCCAGTAGCAGAGGCAGTACATTTTGTGGGGATAGGGAATCCTGCTGGCAACTGTGTGCACACTCTTGCTGTTTGTGGTGTCAACAAAGGGGTAGGGTACTGGTGGGCACAGATCTGTGTGCATTCTTTATGTGCTACAGGCAGAAGTGGGAACTCTGGGCAAGGCAGGGTCTGCTGTTCTCTGTTCCTAGTTTCAGTCCAGCAGCAGTATTGCCCCGAGGGACTTGTGCTGGCAGGGGTGAAGTTGGCTGGCTTTGTGCTTGCGAAGGCTCTGACTGCAATTGCAGTCCAGCAGGTTAAGGAGGCACAAAGTGCACTCCTGCCACAGCAGTGAGAGAGTAGGATGCACACACACACACACACACACACATACATACACACCACACACACACTGGCAGGGCAAGTAAGACTAAAACCACCCATGCACACATGCACCAGCAATGTGATGTGGAGGGTTGTGGTTGGCTGGGAGCAAGCTGCAGTGTGGGTAGGAAGTGGGCAGGCTGGTGCATGGCTGTAGGAGCTGCCCCACTGGAGTTCTTCTCTGATTAGGCATGGTCCACCAGCACAGGATCTATGATGTGGGCCCCCAGTGCAATCAAGGTTGCCCTGCAAGCAGATCTGATCAGGTTATGGCCCCTGGAGAGGCCAGTAGGCCAAAGGGTGCTCAGGTCATACCAGCACCATCTAATAAGCAAGACCGCCCTGTAGAGTTTAGGTCCCACACTTCACCTCAGGCTAAAGTCTCTTATGGGTACAAGCTGAGCCTAGGGAGATGGGCTTCCATGACCATGCTCTGCTATAGATATTCCCATACCAAACCTTCTGGACTTTGCTTCAGCTGGCATGTTGCCCCTACCACTTCTGTAAGCAGTGCTCTCCACCACCTCAATTATCTGTGGTTGTCAAGGGGAGTTGAGAGATCTGTGGCAGGAATGGGTTGCTCCCAGACAGTTCAACTCACTTGTTTCCCCAGAATTGTTGGGGGCCAGTAATGAGTCCTGGTGCACAGTAACTTTATGTAGAGTTTCTAACTTTCTCCCTCTTCAGCTTAGCTTCTGTGCCTTCCCTTTGTCCACTCTTAACACCTGTCCTCTGAAGATTGGTTAGGAATGTGCCAGTTGTCTTTTTGGGAGAAGCTGAGGCAGGGCTTGCATGTCTGACATAATGTAAAAGAGTCTTGGAACATGTCCGGGGTCCAGGGTCTAAAACCCTTCATGGCCTTTGGAACACCAAGCTCTGTGCGAAAGGGTGGAAGTTTGCCCTGCCTCACCGTAATCTAAGCCCAGGGCATAAAACCCCTCATGGCTTGGATGGAATCCAGGGCACAGGGCATAAAACCCCTCGTGGCCTCCGGAATGTGTCCAGACTTGCTGGCTTCTTGCTTCTAGCACTCCCAGGCTCATAGATCAATTGTATCTTAAACTAGAAGAATATGTTCCCCATTATTTCAAGTAGCAGAACATGTTCCATATGCTTCAAAGGAAATGCTAAACCATCACAGCTATAGATCATAAGGTTGATGCACCACTGCCTTTCAATCCCCACATCCTCACTACCTGCTTCTTTGTTTGATCACCAATAAATAGTGTGGGCTTCCAGAGCTCAGGGCCTTCACGGCCTCCATACTAGTGTTAGCCCCCTGGTCCCACTTTATGCACTCTTAACTCATTCCTTTGACTCTGCCAGACTTCGTAACCCCCAAGGCCTGGTGTTGTGTCTGGCCACCCCAACATGTCTCAGTCCCTCAGTGGTAGCAGTTCTACCTGGCTGCAACTAGTCTGCCACCTTGCCCTCAAATCCACATCTTTTTCTTGTATGGTATTCATACATTGAAAGTGTTATTAGCCAATGTTAATGTGTGCATTTTATTTTAGATTGTGTTGCCAAAGTATAGGTATTAATTATGAGATGAGTTGTATTTGACCAGTTTTGTTAAACAAATAATAGATGGGAATGCTAAAGCAATGTTGTACTATAATGGTATTATTATTAATAACCATTATTTAATGTCAGATGAAACTACTTCTCATCTTTTTAACATCCATAACAGAGAAGGATTATTTTTCAATTATTAATATGCAACTTAGACTGATTTTGCTCTGTTTTTCATATGTTCTTAGGAGCTGCATGCAGATATTTACCTATACATCTCTGCATTACCTAGAACTAATGCAGTATCACCAAATCTGGTAGTTTTGCTTCTATTATTGCCTTTCCCATCATGTTACCTACATTATTATCAAAGCGAGTCATTAAAACAAAGACAACTAACTGTGGTAATTCTATAAAGATGTCTTAATGATCTCTGCAGAGCTGTTATCTAGAGAAACAATAACTAGTTAAAATCATAAGGTTAAAATCTCTGGACATTGTTCTAAATACATTCAACAGGTGAGAAAACATTTAATCAAGAAAGTCTGTAAAATCAATTTAAAGACTGTAAGAGGCTTTGGCACTTGAGCTATAACTGACTCACTCTCTACCCCTACTTACATCTTAGCATGATAACTCCACTCTGAGTAAGTATGACCAAAAGAAAGAGCTTCCCCTCCCCACCATCTCTCAGTAAAATTGCTACAGTATCTCCTCATGTAAGAAAGGCCACTAGCATTCCTAATTTCCTCAACTCTGTGCTGAACAGGCTAAGTTCCAGGTGAGTGACCAAGAGGTCAGTGGTTTCCTTTCTTCACTTAGGAAGAGGACTGAAGCTTTACTCTTGAAATAACTGAGAATAATGGGGCCCTGATCATTCTCTCCCCAGAATTCTGGTAGGGAGAAGGTGCCATGCCAGGAGATGTAAGCAAATAAAAAAAGAGGCTACTGCCCTTACCCAGAACCCTGATGATAAAGGTAGATGTAATTTTTGGAGCAGTGTGCTACTGAGTTCTCTCCCAGCTCCTGAAAAGTGGCTTGAAGATTTTGTCCAAAGGGACAGGTAGGACATATTAATAAAGCGATCTGAAGCTCTCATCTAAAGAATATAGTTTATTTTGCACAGAATATAGAAAATTCAAGCTTCAGGAGTTCTCAAAAACAATGGAATTTTGGTGGTAAGCAATTAAAAGGAATATGTGTGCCCCATGAGAGCAAAACGCTAAGCCATGGCCAGACAGTTTATCTAAGAGGACCAGGGAAGAAAAAACTATGAAGAAAACTCTTGAGACCAGATCAATCTTTAAGACTTGCTTAAAAACCTATCACGTATGTAACAAACCTGCACATTGTGCACATGTACCCTAAAACTTAAAGTATAATAAAAAATAAATAAATAAAAAATAAAATAAAATGCTTAAAAAAAAAAAACCTACCACAGAGAAGGAATCTAAATTTAATTGGATCAGACAGTGGAGGTTTCAGATCATTGTCAGAAACAATAGAGCAATTATTTGGCAATTAGTAGAGGCTAACAGCTTTTTTAGAAGGCAGTGGCAGATAGCTTGAGAGAGAGAGAGAGAGAGATTAGGAAAAGAGATATTCACAGAAAACCCTGCTGAAACCATTGTCTTTGTTGTCATTCCATGGTGACTGTGTTCATGTCCAAGGCTGTGCCCTCTGAAGAGTAAACATCAAAGGCTTCGCAATGATTGATAAATAGATTTTACTATTTTCAATAGAGCCAAATCACTGAACAAATAAACAAGCAAACAACAGGAAGCCCCAGAAAGACGGGGGATTCAGCTTCTAGTTGTTGTGTATATTATATAAAATGTCCAGCTTTTAATAAATAATTATAATACATGTAAAAAATAATAAAATATGCCACATATCTGGGTAGGTGGGCGGTGAAATAACAAAAACTGTCCAGGAGAGGATGCAGATGATGGACTTAAAGAACATTTTAAAGCAACTACTAAAAATATTTTTCCATAACTGAGGATACTATTCTTGAAGAAGTAAAGAGAGATAGGATAACAATGCCTCATCAAATATGTCTTTTATTTTTCATGTGGAGAATATCAATAAAATATTAAAAATAATTTATTTAACTAAATGAAATACTGGAGTTTCAGAAGACCAACAAGGATAAATAAGACTTGAATGTTATTAACTAACTGGACCTAATAGACTTCTCTAAAACATTCCACTCAACAGGAGCAGAATACACATTATATCAGGTATACATGGAATATTCTTCAGGATAGAACATATGCTAGGCCATACAAAAATCTCAATAAATTTAAAATGATTATTTTGTATAATTGGAATTATGCAATATATGACCTAATATGGCTGGCGTCTTTTGCTTAGCATGTTTACTATATTTTACTATGTTGTAGCAATAACAGTACTACATTTTATATGAATGATAAATGTTATTTATCTCAGTGATATTTCATAGTTTAAAGTCTAAATGATATTTCATTGTTTGGAGACATTATATTTTGCTTATCTATTTAGCTTTCTCTATGTCCCCCATTTAAGCTGTTATCACAAATTACATCTTTATACATTGTGCTTCCATTAAACCACATTTATAATTATTTGCATTTGTCCTTAAAATCAGAAAGGAGACAAAAAGAAAGTAAAAACAAAAAATACACTTAAACTGTCCCTCATTTTTACCCATGCAGTTTCTTTACTTGCTGTTTTTTATTTCTTCATATGGAGTTGAGTTAGTGTCTATTGTTCTTCATTTCAGCCTGAAGGACCTTCGTTTCCACTTGGTAGGAAGTTCTGCCACCAGTGGTCTTTCTCTATTTTTGTTTATCTGAGAATATCCTCATTTCTCTTTCATTTTTGAAGATAGTTTTACCAGATACAGAATTTTTATTTGACAAGATTTTTGTTTGTTTTGTTTATTTTGTTTTTGATCCAGCACTTTAAATATACCACACCACTGCTCTCTGGTCTTCATGGTTTCTGATGAGAAATCAGCTTCTAACCTTTTTTATTTTATTTTATTTTTGAGACGGAGTCTCACTCTGTCACCCAGGCTGGAGACGGAGTCTCACTCTGTCACCCAGGCTGGTGACAGAGTGCAGTGGTGCCATCTCAGCTCACTGCAAACTCTGCCTCCTGGGTTCAAGCAATTCTCCTGCCTCAGCCTCCTGAGTAGCTGGGATTACAGGCGCGTGCCACCACGCCCAGCTAATTTTTTTGTATTTAGTAGAGACGGGGTTTCACCGTGTTGCCCAGGCTGGTCTGGAACTCCTGAGCTCAGGCAATCCGCCCGCCTTGGCCTCCCAAAGTGCTGGGATTACAGGCATGAGCCACCGCGCCCCGCCAGTTTCTAATCTTACTGAGATTCTTTCAGCAGGTTGAGTCACTTCTGTTGTGTTGTTTTCAAGATCTGTGTCTTTGACTTCTGATTGTGTGATTGTGATGTGTGTCTCAGCGTAGATCTCTCTGAGTTTATTCTACTTGGTGTCTATAAGACTTGTATTAATTAATTTTATATCATATTTGAGCAGTTTAAACCATCGTTTCTTCAATGTTTCTTCCTTCCCTTTCCTTCCCTTCCCATTAAGCATATATTAGCATGATTGAAGATGTTCCACAGGTCTCTGAGGTTCTATTTATTTTTCTTTATCCTTTTCTTTCTGTTCCTTAACCTGAATAATCTCAATCAACCACGATTTTGTTTCACTGACTCTATTAATTTGTCTTTTTTTTTTCTGTGTCTGGGCCATATTTTATTATTTCTTTGCATGTCTTGTAAATGTTTTGTTAAGAATCAAACCTTTTAAATAATATACTGTGGTAACCGTAAATATGATTCTCTCCCCACCCCATGATTTTCTCACTGTAGCTGCATTTTGTAGCTTTATTGTTCATTTGTTTAGTGACTTCCTCAGTGAATTTAATATATATATATATATATTTTTTTTTTTTTTTTTTTTTTTTTTACCATGTATGACCCTTCAAGCCTCTGTTCCCTCAGTTTAGTAGTTAGCTAATGTTTGGACAGAGAATTTCTTAAGTGTCTAGAACCAAAAATTCTTTCAGTCTTTGCTTATATCCTCTCTGTGGCAGGGAATAGCTGACTATGTCCTAGCTTTCACTTTTGGCTTCTGTGAAGTCTCAAGGTCACCTAGACCTGAGAGCTTAGGGCCTCCTCTTATATTTCTTGACATGCACACAGCCCTGACCATACATGTGGCCTTATAGATTCCTAGGAATATAATTGAGCATTTTAAAACCTTTACAGACATCTTATTTCACAGTCTTTTCTCCCAAGCTTTGCCTAAGGCTTCAGCAATGTAATCAGCTGGTAAGTATTTTTGACAAATGTTCATCTGGCCCTGGAAACAGTTTTGCCACTAGAGCTAGTTTCCAGTTAGACAAAATAAAGACAGGCCCTTTAAGCCAATCTTCCAGGAACCACCAGATGGGTCAAAATGTATAAATTAAAATTCTTTATGAATGAAGTATTTTGTTTACTATATGCATTATATTACAAAGAATGTACACTGTTATTTTCATGGATACTGCTGAGCAAGAGAGCAAAGGATAGGCCTCGGGTGAGTTAAAACATCACAAAGTTTTCTATCATTACTGAGAGTTAGCAATTTTTAAAATTAACATTCTCTGGAATGTTAATTTTGGATAATTTCCAGAGTTCTGAAAAAGTTGACTTTTGATAGTTTTGTTCTTTTTTATTGCTTTCATGGAAGAGCAATATTTGGAGGTCCTTACTCTACAATCTTTGCTTATTTCATAATTCAATTGATTTTTGAGTAAGAGTGCCAAGACTATTAAATGAGTAAAAGGATAATCTTTTTAACAACTGTTACTGGGAAAACAGGATGTCCTCATGCAAAATAATAAAGTTGGACCTCTGGCAGTACACGGTGGCTCACGCCTGTCATCCCAGCAATTTGGGAGGTGTAAGCGAGTGGATCGCCTGAGGTCAAGGGTTCAAGACCAGCCGGGCCAACATGGTGAAACCCTGTCTCTACTAAAAATACAAAAATTAGCTGGGCGTGGTGGCGTGTGCCTGTAGTCCCAGCTACTCAGGAGGCTGAGGCAGGAGAATCTCTTGAACCCAGGAGGCGGAGGTTGCAGTGAGCCGAGATCACACCACTGCACTCCAGCGACAAGAGGGAGACTTTATCTCAAAAAAATATAATAATAATAATTTTTAAAAAAAGTTGGACTTCTTTCTCATGATACTCAAAATGTATCATAGATATAAAAGTAAGAGTTAAAACTATAAAAGTCTTAGGAGAAAATTTAGAGATAAACTTTTTGTGTCCTTGAGCTAGGCAAAGTTTTCTTAAACATGACATTTAAAGCACAAGCAAGAAAAGATAAATAAGTAAATAAATTAGGGTGGTCTGCATTACATTTTCTTGTGCTTCAAAAGTTACCATCAAGAACATGAAAGACAACCAAAGAGTAGGTAACAATGTTTGCAAATTACATATCTGATAAGGAATTTGAATTCAGAATATAAAAAATAATTTTTAAATTTAAATCATGAGACATGCCATAGCACAAAAGTTGTAACGGACCTTTTTTTCCAAAAAGGATAAACAAGTTACCAATAAACATATTAAAACAGTCACAGCATCATTAAGCAGGGAAATGCAAATCAAAGCCACAATGAAATGCTATTTAATACTTATTTGGATGGCTATAATAAAAAATAATAAAAAGTGTTGGTGTGGATGTGGAGAAAATGGAGCTCTCCTACATTGTTGGTAAGAATGAAAAAGACTTTATTCACTTTGGAAAAGTGTTGGTAGGTCCTCCAAAGGTTAAACACAGAGATGATATACCATCTAGCAATTTCACTTAGATATATACTGATATGATTTCATTCTGTGTCCCCACCCAAATCTCATCACGAATTGTAATCCCCATGTGTAAGGTGAGGTACCTGGTGGGAGGTGATTGATTGGATCATGAGGATGGATTTCTCCTATGCTGTTCTCACGATAGTGAGTTCTCATGAGAGCTGATGGTTTTAAAGTGTGGCACTCCCAACATGGCTCTCTGTCTCTCTCCTGCCACCATGTAAGACATACCTTCCTTCCCCTTCACCTTCCGCTGTTAGGTTTCCTGAGGCCTCTCCAACCATGTGGAACTGTGACTCAATTAAACCACTTTTCTTTATAACTTACCTGGTTTCACGTACTTCTTTACAGCAGTGTGAAAATGGACTAATACATATAGCAAATATAAGTAAAACATATATCCATAAAAAAACTTGTGTACAATGCTCAGAGTAGCATTGCTTATAATGGCCAGTTAGTGTCAACAATCCAATTTCTAGAAACTGATAAATTAATAAACAAAATATGGTATATCCATACAAGAAAATACCATTCAGCCATAAAAAAATGTGAGTGTTGTTAATGATATAACATAAATGAACCTAGAAAACTTCATGTTAAGTGAAAGAGGCAAGGTATGAAAGACCACATAATGTTCAATTTCATTTATATGAAATTTATGAAATGTATAGACAAATCTATAGAAACAAATTAGATTAGTGTCTGTCTAGTGTTGGAGAGTTGGGGTAAAATGGGGAATGACTGCTAATTGACCTGGACTTTTTTTCTTTTTTATGTAGTAAAACTTTTCTAAAAGTGAATGTGGTGATTACACATCTCTGTGAATATACTGCATAATATTGAATTGTACATTTTAAGGGGAACTATATACTATGTGATAACTAAATAAAATGTCATGCAGTAAAAATCTGCAATGTCAATGTCATGCAAATAAAAAATCTGCAGAAATGTGCAGATTCAGGTATTTACAATTGTTGATTTTATCCTGAAGACACTTCCCTTGTGTAATACCATAGCTAACCTTCTTTTAGCTGTTATATTTCCACTTAAACTTCCCTTCAGCAAATGAGTCTTCTTTGACCATTCTATCAAAACAAAAAAATGCTCCGCATCTTGCCACTACTCTAGCCTTTCTTATGATGCTTTAATTTCCTTTACATTTCCATTACCTGATATTATATCAAATATTATATCAAATTACAGGCACGAGCCACCGCACCTGGCCAAAACATTTAATTTATATATACTATATATGCATGCATACAATACATACACACATGTGTGTTTATGTGTATGTGTTTGTGTATCTTGAAATAATTCGAATATGTACTGAATTTCTGTGCTGAATTAAAGTGTCCTGGGACAAATGAAAATATTACTCAAACCTAAGTTTAGTTTTTTTAGTCTGCAATTTGTCTAATTGCAAAAAACTAATTCATGTATACATTTACATTGTATTGTAGTTATATAGAATATATAGAATATAAAGATTTTTTCAACATAAATCTCTTTGTTCTCTTGACTTTTAATATTATTACTGCTTACTATTCCTTTAAGAAGAACAAATGTTGAAATTGATTAAATGTCTTAAAAAAGCAAGCTATGTATAAATGCACATGTGACTAGTGAAGACATATTTCAATTAGGAAACTGATACTAATATCAACTGACACGATGCTCTTGGAATCTCTCTCATACTGTAATGCTTGTAGTAGTTGACCCCAACTAGGACATTCATTTGTATAGATCATGCTTCTGATTATTTAGCAATATAAAATATTTAGGAATTTTTAATAATCTGTTTGTGCTTGATGTTGGTGGATGTGTTTGAATAACTTTGTTTTATGAAGATTGTCGGTACCAATAAATAATTTTCAAGTGTGAAGTCTTGACAACCATTTTATTCATCTTTTCAATCAAATGCAAAACTCAGTTGTACCAATATCTTTTAATTGCTTGGCCAAAAGTAGCAAACATCTGCTCATACACAAGGTGATTCTGAATTAGTAACCAAAATAAATAATGCTTTGTATTTTCAGATGCCACATGATTCAGCAGGTTGAATATATCTGTGTTATATATCAAAAGACCACAGTTTTATGAGAAATTGGCATAGTGCTATCAAAAGTGCTGTTTCTGTTCTTGAATGAGTAAAATGTTTTTTTAAATCTTAAATTTGTATCTACACGCATGCACGAATATAATAAATTCATAGAATGCTATGTGTGGGGGAATTTGCTATATTGCTAACAGCTATGTTTGTGAAAGTAAAGATTCCAAAGCATGTAAGTTTAGATATCAAAATGTTTTCTAGGTAGGTTTTGAAAATATGACTTGCAAATGTTTGCACAAGTTAGTTTACTTCTTTTATCATTATAGACTTGTTTTATAGCAGCTGATCATGAAAAAGAAAGACTTCAATTTAGTTAAGCATGTTTTTTTCTTCAGCATGTATTATTCATAATAAAGAATATTCTTCAGATGAAGTAATTTCATCGTGTTATATAATACAGCAAGGCTTTAAAGAAAGTCTTGCTGCATCGGTGTTAGTTTTTTTATGAATAGAAATGGATATCTAACATAAAGTCTAGCTTAATAAGAATTGAAATCTTTGGTGAAACTGCTATTATTGAAACTTTTACCTAGAATTTACTACAGTTATGAGTAAACATCATATACTAAGATATACTTATATTCTGATAATGTAATAGAATATTCCAGCTAGAGATGGAAGAGCATAAACCAAAAAAATGGTTCTAATGTAAGAAACATAAACTAGAGAGAATAAATCATCAGCCGTATTCCCAGAGCTTTTCATCCAAAGCACGCTTTTTCTTTTGTTGAAACTGAGATTATTATTGGTTTATTTTGATCACGCCAGCTTTGTGATAAGGATCTCTTCAATTTAAATTATTCTTGAGTAAATGAAAGACTATGCTGCCTATATAATATATTCAGAAACCATAGAAAACATTGTAAACTCTTTATAAGCTATAAATATTTGTATTTATAACTTGTAGTTAATTTCTTTCCATGCAAAATATTTTGTGATTGACTTTGCTACTTAAATTTCTTAGGCTATAACTGAATTGTAATTCCATACATATTAATAAAAAAGGCCAGCATTTTATACCTATTAAATTAACCAAATTGTAGCAATAATCTTAATGTAAAATAGTTTACAGTATACTCCATATGTCTCTAAGATGCTGTTTTGTAGAAAATACAATAGAACATATTTGAAATCATAAGCTTATTTGCCCTTTGGAGCTAATATAAAACAAGTAGAAGCATAGGTTTATCACTTGAGCTTATCATATTTATTTGAGGTAATATTGATATTAAAAATCTAATTATTCAATGGCAGAAGCCATGAATAAGTTAAATTTTCTTTACTTGCTATTCCATGTTTGTTAAAATAAAAACTATAAAGTTTGTTTAGGAAAATGAAAATGTATATAATAAAAAAATAAAGCAAACAGGATGTTCTTAGATTGCCTTACTTATTAGACTAAAAAGGTCTTCTCTTTCTTCAGGACACAGGCTTTAACCTTAGGGACTGTTTAACTGTAGTTTTGCATTTTCACATGGGTAATTTAGTTTAATATGCTTGCTCTGAGTTAGAACAGTTTTTATAAATATTACAGAGTTTTATTTTATATTTCTTGGCTGAGTAAATGTTTCTACTATAGGATGTAAAATATACAATTTGGCATAGTGTGAATACACTCCAAAATATCATGTGCTTTTGTGGTGAAATTACTCATCAAAGTGATGAGTATTCATAATTTTTGTAATAGCCTGCATTAGAAATTTATTTGCACTAGCCCCTCTTTGTTCTTTTATACACCAAATAATATCCAGCTTTTCTGGTTAAACTGCTGTCTTTTCTTGTTTATGAATGTATCAGTTTCCTATGGTTGCTATAATAATTTATCCCATACTAGGTGGATTAAATCAATATAAATATATCCTCTCACAGAGTCTAGATGTTCACAGTCCAAAATCTGGCAGGATTGCGTTCCTTTAGGTGACCTGGAAGAGACTCCATTCCTTACCTCTTCCCATTTTTGGTAGCTGCCAGAATATAACTCGTAGGTATATCACTCCAATCTCTGCCTCCGTCTGCACATTGCCTTCTCTTCTGTGTGTCTTCTCTAAACTTCCTTTGCCTCTCTCTCATAAGGATATCTGTGATTGCATTTACACCCCACCCCAAGAATCCCGAAAAAGCCCTTACTGTCAAAAGACATAATTCAATCACATCTTTTGTTATATAAGGTAGTAGTCACCCTTCTGTCACAGTATGTGATATTGTCTGAGACTCTAATATAGACTTTTTTTTTCTTGGAGGAGAGCACCATTTAGCCTGCTATGATGACCAATTTTATTTTCCAACATGTGCTTTGAGGGCATTATATCAGGACCTATCTACTCTTATGCACAGACTAAACCAACCAAATATATTAAACCAGTGTATTAGGAAATTCATGCTTTATTGAATAGTTAAAAATTTGCCTGCATTTGCAAACACAGAAATCGCTACATTAACATAATTCCTTTCACTTCATAACAATATCATTCTGCAATGCCTGCTTCTTCCACCCTTACTACATTTTATGCTATGGAAAGTTGCCAACTTCTCTATGCTCAAATACAACATCTACAGAACATGACAAGGTATGGATTAGTTCTCAGCAGTTTTTACAGCAAATTATCACAACTTGGGTGGTTTCAAAACACAGAAATTTATTTTCCATAGTTCAATTAGACAGGTGTTCAAAATCAACATGCTCCCTCCAGAATCTATGGGAGAGAATCTGTTCCTTACTTTATCTTCTCTAGTTTCATCCTGTCACCATGTAAGAAGTGTCTTTTGCCTTGTGCCATGAGGCCACCTCAGCCACATGGAACTGTGAGTCCATTAAACAAACATGTTTTTCTTTATAAATTACCCAGTCTTGGGTATATCTTTATCAGAAGAATACAAACACACTAATACAGCAATTTTAAAGATACTGATTCTTCAAATCCATGAGCATGGGATGTTTTCCCATTTATTGGTGCCATCTCTGATTTCTTTCAGCAGTGTTTTGTAGTTCACCTTGTACAGATCTTTCACTTCCTTGTTTATCAGTATTTCTAGGTATTTCATTGTCTTTGTGGTTATTGTAAGTAGGATTGTGTTCTTGATTTGATCCTCAGCTTGGATGTTGTTGGTGTATGGAAATGCTACTGGCTTTTATACATTGATTTTTGTATCCTGAAACCTCACTAAATTATTTATCAGTTCTAGTAGCCTTTTGGCAAGGTCTTCAGGATTTTCTAGGTATAGAATCATATAACTGGTGAAGATAGTTTGACTTCTTCCTTTCCTTTTTGGGTGCCTTCTATTTCTTTCTCTTATCTGATTGCTCTGGTTAGCACTTCCAGAAGTATGTTGAATAAGAGTGGTGAAAGAGGCATCCTTGTCTTGTTCCAGTTCTCAAAGAAAATAATTCCAGTGTTTATCCATTCAGTATGATGTTGCTTGTGGGTTTGTCATAAATGGATATTATTATTTTGAGATATGATCTTACGTTTCTAGTCACTCAAGGTTTTTTTTATTATTATGAATGGATCTTGGATATCATTGAAAGCTTTCTTTGCATCTATTGAGATGATCATAGAGTTTTTGTTTTTAATTCTGTTTAGATGGTGAATATTTATTGATTTGTATATGTTTTACCAGCCTTGCATCCTAGGAATAAATCCTGCTTGATTGTAGTATATTTAGTCTTTAATATACTACATTCAGTGTGCTAGTGTTTTGCTAAGAATTATTGTGCCTGTGTTCTTCAGGAATATTGGCCTGAAGTTTTCTTTTTTTTTAATTGTGTCTGCCAGATTTTGGTGTTAGACTAATGCTGGCTTCGTAGAAAGAATAACAGAAAAGCCACTCCTCCACAGTTTTTTGGAATATTTTCAGTAGGATTGGTAGCAGTTCTTTGTACACCTGGCAGAATTCAGCTGTGAATTCATCTGGTTCAGGACTTTTTTTGGTTGGTAGAATTTTTATTACTGATTCAATTTCAGAGCTCAATATTGGTCTACTCAGTGTTTGAATCCCTTTCTGATTAAATCTTCGGCAATTCTTTCTGGAAATTACCCATTTTCTCTAGGTTTTCTAATAGGTATGCTTAGAGTTATTCATAGTATTCTGAGGATCTTTTGTATTTCTGTGGCATCAGTTATGTCATGTTTATCAGGTATGATTGTACTTATTTGGATCTTCTCTTTTTTTGTGAGTCTATGTAGGGGTCTTTTAATCTTGTTTATTTTTTGAAAAAACAACTCTTGGTTTTATTGATCTTTTGTATGGATTTTTGCATCTCAGTTTCATTCAGTTCTTCCCTAATTTTAGTTATTTGTTTTCTTCTGATAGCTCTTAGGTTGTTTCCTTCTTTTTTTTCCTAGTTCCTATAGGTACAAAATTAAATTACTAATTTGAGATATTTCTAACACTCAATCAAGGCATTTTAGGGCTATAAACTTTCCTCTTAACACTGCTTTAGCTGCATCTCAGAGGTTCTGGTAGGTTATGTCTCTATTAATGCAAATAATTTTTTGATTTCCGCTCTAATTTCAAGGTTCATCCATGAGTTATTTAGGGGGAAATGTTTTAATTTTCGTGAATTTTTGTACTTTTGAGAGATCTTCTTGAAATTCATTTATATTTTTAATGCACGATGGTTTGAGAGTGTGCTTGCTATGATTCAAATTGTTTTGAATTTGTTGAGACTGTTTATGAACAAGAAAGTGGTCAATCTTAGAATACATTCTATGTGGAGATGAGAAGAATGTCCATTCTGTGGATGTTGAGAGGAGTGTTCTGTAGATGTCTACTAGGTCTATTTGCTCAGATGTCAAATCTAAGTCCAGAATTTCTTTGTCAGTTTTCTGCCTCAATGATGTACCTGGCACTGCCAGTGGGTTGTTGAAGTCTCCCAGTCACAGATATTTGTGATTATCTAAGTCTTTTTATAGTCCAAGAATACTTGTTTTATGAATCTTGATGTTCCAGTGTTGGGTGCATAGAAATTTAGGTATTTAGGCTAGTTAAATAAAAGTGTTCTTGTTGGATTTTACCCTTTACATTATGTAACGTTTCTTTTTTTGTCCATCTTTAATTTTTATTCTTCTAAAATATGTTTCATATTATTTAAGAATAGTGACTCTTGCTCTTTTTGTTTTCCATTTACATGGCAGATCTTACTGCATACCTTTATTTTGGGCATGAGGGTGTTAATATATAAATTTTCTTGAAGATTAAAGATAGTTGCATCTTATATTTTTATCCACCTTGCCACTCTATGTCTTTTAAGTGGGGCATTTAACCCATTTAAATTCAGGGTTAGTATTGATATGTGACATTTTGATGATGTCATTTTGTTGTTAGCTTGTTTTATATTGGCTTGATTGTGTAATTGCTTTCTAGTGCCTGTGGCCTATGTACTTATGTGTGATTTTGTTTTGTTGTTGTGTTTTGTAGCAGATGTTGTTCTTTCAATTCTATGTTTAGAACTTCTTTTAGGATCTCTTGTAAGGCTTGTCTGTTTGGATTGTATTCCCTCAGCATTTTTCTGTCTGAGAAGAACGGTGTTTCTCCTTCACTTATGAAACTTAGTTTGGAAGGATATAAAATTCTTGGTTGTATTTTATTTTTATAGGACAATGAAAATAGGTCCCCATTCTCTTCTTCCTTGTAGGGGTTCTGCTGAGAGGTCTACTGCCAGCCTGATTAGGTTCCCTCTGTAGGTGACACTTCTCTCTAGCTGTCTTTCGATTCTTTCTCTTCCATTGACTTTTTAAAATCTGATGGCTATGTGCCTTGGGGATGGTCATCTTGTATAGTATCTCACTGCAGTTCTCTGTATTTCTTGGATTTGCGTGTCAACTTATCTACCTAAATTAGGAAATATTTTGTGGACTACATCCTCAAATATATTTTTTCAAGTTGTTTATTCTCTCTTCTTATCTCTCAGGAATGGCAATAAATTGTGGATTTGGTATCTTATTCTCATATTTATTCCAGATTTTGTTTTCACTTTCTGAATTCATTTTTTTTATTTTCTTTGACTGGGTTGATTTGAAGAACTGGTCTTTGATGCTGGCAAGTCTGTGGAGAAAAAGAAATGTCTATACACTGTTGGTGGGAATGTGCATTAGTTCGATCACTGTGGAAAGTAGTTTAGAGATTTTTCAAAGAACTTAGAACTGCCATTTGATTTAGCAATCCATTTACTATGTATATACCCAAAGGAATAGACACATGCACTCATTCATTTAAAACTGCACTATTCACAAATAGCAAAAAAATGTAATCAACCTAGGTGCACATCAACAGTGGATTAAATAAAGAAAATGTAGTAGGTACATATATACTATGAAATATTACACAGACATAAAAAAATGAAATAATGTACTTTCTAACAACATGGATAGCGCTGGAGGCCATAATCCTAAGCAAACTCAGTAACAGATAAGCAAAGTCTGAACATTTGCACTTTAAGTAGGAGCTAAACATTGAGCAACTGCAGACATAAATATGGAACTAATACATACTGCAAGCTACTAGAGTGGGGAGGAAGGGAGAGCATGGGTTGAAAAACTACCTATTGAGCACTATGCTCAATACTGTAGTGCAATATATTCATGGAACAAACCTGCCACATATACTTCCTGTACCTAAAATGAAAGTTGAGGAAAAATGAGAGAGCTCAAATAAGCATATGACCTAGAGGAAAAACAAATGACTTCCTACACTAACATTTGAAACCTACCACTGTTAGATATTTTGGGCACCAAAAAAGTATTCTTTACAATGTCCAATTTTTATTTTAATTTATCTTTTGCTTTTTTTTTCCGACAGCCAAATTTTGGTTTCAAAGAAGTCTGACCTTTGCTTTTTTTTTTTTTTTTTTAACAGCCTAATTAATCTTAGTTTTGGATGGGATATTATTAGTCATTTTGAGGGTATTCATTTTATTTACTGAAAATGTATGCTCCTTTCCCAGCATTATTTCTTTCTAATTGAGGGTTTGTTATTGTTTTTTCCTTCGTACTATTGGCTTATCTCAAATAATAAAAAATTATATCTGAAATTATCTTCTAATCTTTACAAATAGGGGCATCTACTGAGATATGTTGTTTGCTTGCATATATTTCCTTAATCTAAGTAAAACTTTTTGCTTCTCTGACAATGATTAAAGGAGCTCTATTAATAATGAATGACGGGTGTATAAGTATAGGTTGTTTCTAAGGTTGTATGAGGACAGTGCCTTCTTGGAGTGGAGATAGCCATTTCTGTGGGCAAGGTATCCAGGGTTTTTGCTTAGGTCCCGGGTTCTACTCTGGGTGTCTCCAAAGGCGATTTTCTTCAGTATCTAGATGGGGGCGCACAGAATTTTTCAAAGGAGAAAAATACAGAAACAAGCTGCTAGGTAAAACAGGTACAGAGATACAGCTGTTTCACAGCCCTTAAAACATCTATCCTAAGAGTTTCAGGACCACTTCCATAAGACAAATAACAATAAAACAAGAAATGGAAACAACACAAAATTATACCGTCTCCCTACTTCTCATCGTGGAGCTAATCCAATAATGACCTGAAGGTAGAAGGCCCACTTCCTTTTTAAGGCTGGCGGGGGGAAGGGAGGGGCTCCTTTGCTTATACAAAAGAGCAGATTTCTGTTCCACTGAATTTAACTATCTCTACAATCATTATCATATGCATTTTATTTCAAGAAACACTTACATATGTAGGTGATATGGCCTTTGTGATTTTTCAACAGTGAAATTCATGGTAATTTTTAGAATTACTTATTCAGTTTTTTAATGAGATTCTGGTACTAGGAATAATAATCACCTATGTTCAATCAACCATTTTGATTATGAATAACCACTGATTTTTAAGGGAAGTCAAAATCAGAAAAAAAAAACCGTTTACCATAATGATAAGGGAAATTACATTACTTCATAGAAATTGTCTGAACAAACCTTACCAGCTTTTAATAAGTTTTTGTAATACAAAATTATTTTCAGTTTTACTGGACTGTTTTCTCAATTGCTAATGTTTTTTTTTAATAGGTAAAGTTTACTTTTCATTACTTAAGATTTGTAGTACTTGTTATTTTATGTACTTGTCTAAACAGGCAGAGAAATAATGATTCTTGGTTTAATTTGTATTTGTTTGGTGATATAAAGCCAGAACTCTAGAAAATAAGAAAGCAAACGGCCCATGATGGCTTTTATCCTATAGATATGTTTTGGACGTAAATTTTTAAATTCTTTTCATATTTTAAAAGTTGAAGATTTTATTTCATATGTGAATTTCTAGCTTCTTTTAAAAATAAATTCAACTCATCTGGCAATAGTGGATAAAGTACAATTGTCATATGAGAAAGATAGCTGGAGCTAACAAAAGGTTATTCTTCGAAAATGACATCTGTTTTCCAGTTTGCCTGAAACTTTAGGACTCTCAATTAAAGACAAAACTATATTTTCACAGTAAAATGTAACTCATTTCTACCCATTGTATTGTATCTGACTTTATCAGGACTTTGAATTTAAAACATTTCCTTAGTAAAGCAAGATGAAGGAAATTATTGTACTGCTACCAATACATTCTCCTGTATTGTTTATATAGAAGAATATATCTATTTATGCATGTGTGTGTACATATATATAAGAATACATCTTTGCATTTCTTCTTCATGAGGAAAGGGCAAAAATAAGACAAGACCGATAAGCAGAAGAAATGCTTTGCTTTTAGTGTAATAGTGTTAATTCACATTATATTCAAATATTGCTATATAGAACAGCAATAAAATTAGCAAAGTGACATTGTTCTCTGCATGCTTTCTTTAAGTATTACTGAAAATTACTTTTCTTGTGGAATTGACTGTCAATTAGTAACCACCAGACGGTAGCCATCTTCTTAGTTTTCAATTTTTAGTGGAAATAATTCTCATATAGTGCTGCTCCTTTAACAAGCACCTTTACCATGCGAGACGCCTATAAAAGTAATTAAATTTGATAGTCTCATTGCTTTTAAGCAAAGCCATATGGTGTACTTAGATTGCAAATTCTAATTGAAGTCAATGAGATTTTATGTAGAAAATACTTTTGAAAATGTAGCTGTGTAATCAAATATATATACAATGCACCACTTTTATCTTGACAGAAGTATCACCCAATACCTTTTCTCATTGTCTTTTTCATGCATACTCTAGAGCATTATAGCCAAACTATGTCTTGTCATGAAAAATAACTTTAAAATTAATGATAATAGTTGCTTGTGTATGTCCAATAGATCTTTTTTATTACCCCTCTAAATTTTAATATTGCAATAATCCCTGGAACTGTGTCTTGTATTGCAAGAGCAGTATGTAACTGAGACATGACCCAATTCATTCACATTTTTTGTTCTATTATGCACTATGAAATGAAAGTTCCATTAAAAAAAGCTGTACATGTAGTGTGAAAAAAGCAAACAAAGAAACAGCCATAGCCATAGCCTTACTAGCTTTTCTTATTTCAAATCAACGTTCAGAGAGTTTTGTGTCCCCAGTGTAGGTTGAGAGAGAGAGAGAGAGAGAGACAGAGAGAAAGAGAAAGAGACAGAGAAACATGGAGAGAGAGAGAATGACTCACTAAGAAATATAAATTAATGGAACTACAGAAGAAAGAAGATAATGTGTCTTGTCAACCTCTGGGCTGTGGTCATGTTCTTTTATTGGATTTAGAATACATTGGATTTGGGTGATTTTTTTACCTACTCTGGCAAAAGGTGAATGTTATAAAGCTAGACAAAATTTCAAGGCAGAGGAAGTGATGAAAATATGAGAAAGGTATTATCTATTCAAACCTTTTTGTGGGTTGAGATTCTGTTTTTAAAAACAGTTAAGCACTCCTCACAGGGTTACTGAGTTCTATACTATTTGAAAAGCCTTATAATTAATGATAAGCTCTCAAAGATGACAGAAGTTACTACAGTGACCCAGAAGGATTAAGTTTCCTCAATTCTAATTGTCAGATGTCCTAAGGACAGCTATGTGTGCGGAATGCCTGCGCTAAAAAGAATTTTAAGTATATTCATCTTCCATTTCAGGTAAAATGTATGCCAGTACAGCCATTATGGAAAACAGTATGAAAGTCATTCAAAAAATTAGAAATAGGACTACCATACAATCTAGCAATCTCACTTCTGAGTATATATTCAAAGAAAATACAGTCAGTATTTCAAAGAGACATCTTGACTCCTATGTTCATTGCAGCATTATTCAAAATAGTAAAGACATATAAAGATATGAAAACAATCTAAGTGTTCATCAACAGTATGACAGTATACGTACAATAGAATACTACTCAGACTTTAAAAAGAAGAAAATTCTGTCATTTGTGACAACATAGATAAAATCTGGAGGATATTGTGCTAAGTGAAATAAGCTAGGCACATAAAGACAAATACTGCATGATCTCACTTATATAGAGAATCTAAAAAACTCAAACTCATTGAAGTAGAGAGTAGAATGATTGTTAGCAGGGCCTTCAGGGGGTGGGACAAATTGAGGGGATATTTGTCAAAATGTACAAAGTTTCAGTTGGACAAGAGGAATAAGTTTTAGAGATCTATTATACAGCATAGTGAGTATAGTTAATAACAATGTATGGTGTATTTAAACATTGCTAATAGATTAAAATTTAAATGTTTTCATCACCAAAAAATGATGTTTGTGAGGTGATTGATTAATTAGCTTTATCTCCACAATGTGTACATATATGAAAACATTGCATTTCACCCCACAAGTATATTGGCATACAAAATTGTGTCAATTAAAAAAATGCAGATATCCAACTGAACATATTTTAAAAAATAAGTTACTGTGCTCCAAAAACTAAAAGTTAAGACCAAATTTCCTATGATAAAAATTTGGATTTATTTCACATACAAATAATACAATTGCATTGAGGGGGAGTATTCAAAGTTTAAAAACTTTGCATCCTACTAATAATAAAACTGACTTCCCAGTCACATTTGACAGTAGCATTAATGTATATGAAGATATGATGTTATACCTATACACAAAACCAAATTGGTTATAGTGAAATGCATTATTTAATATCTTTTATATGGTGTTATATGTAAATACTATCAGTATTGCAAAAAAGCTTTAAGAATGAAAATAACAATTGGCTACATAATATCCCAAGTTCATTGATTATTGAATTTCTCTGTTTAATCTGTTTGTTCTTTAATGTTTATTTTAAAATAAACCTTTAATTTTATAATACTTTTAAATTCACAGAAAATTTGCAAAATTAATACAAAGAGGTTCCATATAACTACCCCAATTTTATTCTATTAATAACATATATTAGTATGGTATGTTTGTCATAATTAATGAAAAAATGTTGATACATTATTATTAACTAAAGATCTGTATTAGTCCATTCTTGCACTGCTATAAAGAAATTCCTGAGGCTGGGTGATTTATAAATAAAAGAGGTTTAATTGGCTCAAGGTTCTGTAGGATGTATAGGAAGCATGGTTGGGGAGGCCTCAAGAAGCTTACAATTATGGCTGAAGGCAAAGGGGATGCAGGCACATCTTATCTTACATGGCAGAAGCAGGAGGAGGAGAGTGAAGCAGGAGGTGCCACTCACTTTTAAACAACCAGATCTTCTGAGAACTTATTCAGTATCTGGAGAACAGTAAGGGGGAAATCCACCCCAAAGATCCAATCACCTTCCTCTTCCAACATTGGGGATTACCATTAGACATGAGATGTGTGTGAAGACATAAATCCAAACCATATCAAGGTGATTCCTAATATATTCAGTTTTCCTTAGTTTTTACCTAATATACTTCTTTTTTGCCCTGATGGTATCATACAGGAAACAATATTATACTTAGTTATCTTGTTTCCTCAGGATTCTTGTGGCTGTGGTAGTTTCTCAGGTGTTCCTAGTTTTAATGATCTTGAAAGCTATGAGGAATATTTGTCAGGTATTTTATACAACGCCTCTTAATTGGGATATGCCCTTATGTCTTTCTCATTATTACAAAAGAGTTATGTGTTTTTGAGAGAAAAATCCCAGAAATAAAATATCATTTTTATTATCTTATATCAAGGATATATGCCATCAACATGATTTATCACTGTTGTTAATCTTGATCATCTGACTGAGGTGGTATTTGCTGGGTCCCTTGACTGTACATATCTTCTTTGTCTTCTTTCCATACTGTACTCTTTGCAAGAAAATTATTATGTACTAACCATGCTTAAGAAATGGAGAGTTGTCCTCTACCTCCTTGAAAACAGCGTATCTATATAAATTATTTGTAATATTTTTCAAAGGATATTGTCTATGCTCTTACATTTATTCACTTATTTATTTGTGTCAGTATGGACACGTGAATATTTTATTCTTTGGGTCATAATCTAATGCTAATTTATTTATTTTGCTGCTCAAATTTTTCCAGCTTTAGCCTTAGAAAACTCATTCAACTGGGTCCTTTTTCTCTTTCACATAACCCCATTGTGTGTGTGTGTGTGTGCGTATGTTTATGTTTCAAACACTTTCTTACTTTCTATAACTGTATGATGCTTCAGGCTCATCTTAAATAGTCACTGTCTGAATGCTAAAAGCTGCCGTTTCTTCAGCTTTACTGGTTTCCTCTAATACTGAAGAATAGTATTAGAATCAAGATCTGGTGCTAGATGTCCTCATTGCTACTAGGATGTCTCTGGTTATATGCTCACTCAACTGGCAGAAAAGGGTATATATATGTTTATAGTAACCCTTGTATGGACACATAACTATATATCTATATGGGTATTTATACATATCTATAGATATTTGTATGTGTAACATCTGTATCTATATTATGCCAAATGTGAGTTTGCATTAACACCTTCAACTCGATTTCATGACCAAATATGTTATTTTAGCTTTATGCCCTTGTTTTCTGTAACCTCTCCCTCCAAAAATGAGAAATCAGACTCCCATAACTTGACAGCTGTTTACTTAATTGTTTAATTCTAGTATTAGGTTGGTGCAAAAGTAATCGTGGTTTTTGCCACGAGAGTGTAATGTTTTTGCCATTAGAGTGTAATGGCAAAAACCGCAATTACTTTTGCACCAACCTAATATAAACATGTATAGTGGTTTCATAATTGTTAATCCACACCCCTAAATATGTGTATTTTAAAAATTATACTGCATCAAAATATTTGTTTAGTCTTTGAAATGCTTGGAAAACCAGGTAATGGTAAACTAGCATATACATATTAAACATGTTTGATATAATTATTTATGTTAGATTGTATATAAGATGGAGCTGTCTTACGTCTGTTAGGCCATCTCTATGCTTATTTAAAGTTTCAAATTCCCCTCATAACACCCAGAGCCAGTTATTTTACATTATTTATGTATGTGGTGGCTTCTGTCTGTTTTAAAGGGTTATACAACCTGGCTTGGCTTTGTAACAAGTGAGATATAAAAAGGCACTGCTGAGCGTTTTGCTTAAGCTCTTGTGAAACTAAGATTTCTTGCATATATCTTGCTGGTTATAATCTGGATAAGTGCATCCTGGGGAGCTGTGCTTGGGAGTCTCTTAGTCTCAACTGCTTATCTGAGCTTTTTTATACTTCCCATATCCTTTGCCTTTATGAAAGCTCTATATAATATGCTTTATGTGAGTACGCTCTGTTGAGTCTTGTTATTCAATCATAGGACCCTGTGACAAAAATGCATTGGAATACCTAAGGAAGGATTTGTTACAATAAATTTAGTCTCATGCAGAACTCAGACATTCGCATAACTGGGACCCAGGAGAAAATCGAACTAAGAGTGTGATGACCGTAATAAATTCCTACTTTTCTCTATTCTTTCTTTGTAATTATGCATGTCATTTATCATATTTCTTTAAATTTTGTCATTTTCTGACTCTTTAAACACCTTGGTAAGAAAAAAAAAACAAACTATCTTAACTTGTTCATAAATTTCCCTGGGACAAACTCTTATTCATGTCCATTAACTCTTCCTAAACACACATCACTTCTCAACAAAACACTGTTTATACTGCACCAAAATATTTTTTATAACACTGTGTCCAAGTGTGAAAGGAATAGGAAATGAAATTGTCATTGGCCTAACTGGGATCAAGTGATCATAAATAAGCAACTCTGTCCAACATCAGAATGAAATTTCTTTCACTGGAACATCGGCAACAGATTAAATGTAAAGGAATGGGGGAAATTAAATAAACCCAAGTATTTATGCTATATTGTTTTAATGACATGAGTAATACAAATTTTCTTATGCTTTTCACTTATAATTCATATTTTTTTAGTTTTTCATATGTTCTAAGCCTATCTTGAATTTCTTTTCATTGGAACATTTTCTCAGTTAAAATATAAAGTTACATGAAACTAGTGGCTGTAATATTAACTAAATATGTGGTCCTAAAATATGTTTGCATATTGTAGAAATTTATTTCCAAAATTTCTCATTTGTTTGTTGTGAAACAAAACTTTTTAGTATTTTTTTCACTGTATTTAAATTTAGGAAGTCACTTCAATTTCACTTTGGTCTACCTTTACTTCATTTTATTTTATATTTGATTACTTTTAAATTTTAAAATTCTTAAGATGCAAATTTCAGAGTTAGTTAATGTCTATGTTTCTTTTACATCATGTTATCAAATGGTAATATTTCTCTATTTTTTCTTCTGTACAAATTCATAGGTGATATTTCTATCTATATCTTAATTATACTATAATAGTAAATTGAGTATTAATTTTTAATCTAAATATTGAAATGTCACATTCTGTTGTTTGTGTTTTTATATTGTTTTGTTTTGTTTTTCTTTCTTTCTTTTCTAAACACTATACATGTGTTCCTAAAATGTCTGCATTATAGTTTTTCTTTATTAGGGTCATACTCATGATAGAGTTGGGACAGAACATTTCTCTCCTGTTCATTGTTTTTATTACAACAAACCTAATAAAAACTGTCCACTAGTCTTAAATATCTTAGCTTCTTAATAAATAGAGTAATGCTATAGTAGAAAAAAATACCAAACATAGATGAAAGACCTTAAGTTCTTCTGATTGAGGTGTGTATGGTTAAGATATGTGTTTCTTAAATTATGAAGAAGAGGTGGAAAAAAGAAGGGATAGACTTAATATTTGTGTCTTTCCCAAAATTTACAAGTTAAGTTTTAATACTCAATATAATGGTATTTGGAAGTGCGTGGGGAGGTCTTTGGGAGGTAATTAGGTTTGCGTGTGGTCTTGAAGATGGAGTCTTCAGGATGGGATCAGTGCCCTTATAAAGAGAAATCAAAACTCTCTCACTCTCACTGTCTCTCTTTTCCCCCCTCTCATGTAAGAACACACCAAAAAAGATAATCTGCAAGCCAGGAAGAGGATCTTAACCAAGAACTCAACCATGCTGGCAGCCTTATCTCAGACTTCTAGCCCCTAGAACTGTGAAAAGTAACATTTCAGTCTATGGCATTTTGCTATAGAAGCTTAAGCTGACTATGACAGAAGGACATCATCATGCTTCAGATGGAATTTTGTAACATCAAGGGCAGAATGGTGACTGTTATTAGTTTTTCTATTCCTTCTTTGGACTGATTTAAAACACAAATCCAGTGCTCATTGTTGCTGCTTTCTCTTTTCACACATACTATGAAGTGGTGTTGTGCAGTGCTGGCATTGTCATTAGCTTCAATTCACTGTAATTGTTTTTCAGTCCCATTTAAAGCAGGCAATAACTGTAATAACTTGATGTATGAAGCTCTCCTTTCTGACACCCTTACCAACTATGTGTTATTTCCCATGTGTTGTGTGGATTCCTGTAAAACTATTGCTCTAGCTGTTCATTTTTTTTTTCAAATGTTTTATTAACTTCTCTCCTGAACTTATGGCCTCTCTTTTTCAGTCACTAGTTGGGTTCTTATGTCCTGGAGTTGCTCTTATATTTGAGATGCTTCATCATATTGCATACATGTGAGAAAAAATCAGAATGGTGTCTTCTAGGGCAATGCAAATAATTAAATAGGAGTACAGAAAAAGACAAGGAGTTTGTATTCTGTGTTTTTCTTTATGAGTCACTGCATTTAGTTGGATGGAAGGTTTCATGTTGAACTCGTGTTCCTTGGTAGCCCCAAGCATAGTCAACCAATAAAAAAATCACATATAATCTTATTGTTCATTTCATTATTTACTGCTTACAAAAACATTTATTCATTACAGAAAGGGTGCTTTTAAGGTAAGAAGGATGGTGTTATTTTGTTGCATGGAAAATGTGTTTATCAAAACTGTCTATATGTCCAGTCAATCATGCATCTTATTTTAACCCCAGAAAAATAAATAAATGAGTAAAATTTCAATTCAATAATGCTTTCATAGGATAGTTTTTTAATTTAAAAATGTTTTATGTGATTTATGAGTATTCATTACAGTAAAATTATATGTTCCTTAACAATAATCATAGCTATTTGACTGTATATTTTTTACATTATAACAATAAGTGCATCTAATGTAGGTACCGTATGCTTTATATGCTATCACACAACCCTGTAGGGCACTCTAGAGTAAGGAGCAATGAATGATCTATCTATGAAAGTTCACCTTAATTTAATGTATTTGTAGAGATAATTAGAATACTGGATCTGTTCATTAACATTTCAAATCTCATTTAAATGTAAATTGTAATATTCTCTTTTTCTGCAACACTAGGTAGTTAGTGTCTTTCATGAGTAATAAGTAATTTGTTCCCCATTAGGTACAAGAATGGATAAAGAGATAAATCAAAATCTGATGAGAGTCACAGTTAGAATTGTAACCTACTTGGTAGAGAGAGTTAAAAAAACACTATTTTCACTATTTTTCATTATTAAAAATAAAACAAATTCGTATTTCAACAGCTTTACTATTAATTAGTTTCCTTTTTGGTAGCTGTAATGAATACATGTTAACTGAAAATATCTTTGTTAGATTATATGAAAAATTAGATTTAATTTTACAGTATCCTTTTCATGGTAACTCAGATCTTAAAAACCTGAAATACAACTTATTGCTTATTAAACAGGTTGAAAGTAGGAAATCATTAAAAATTTAAGTAGTATAAACCACATACAAAATGTCCTCCTAATATCATTCCACTGTAGAAATAGATTTTTAGAATTCATTTACATAAGAAACTTGTTTATTTTCAATAAAATGACCTCTATGTTCATCAGCCTTGCCTTACCCATACCTACCCCTTTGTTTTTATCGAGTAACCTTTTTACAAAGTTTAACAACAATGGTAGTACTAACAGTAACTACAATGGTAGTTATCTTTTTACAATGCTCTTTTAAAAATAGTGTTTTCTTAATCAATTAAAAGTGTTTCTGATAAAAACTTATACAAAATTTATAAAAAGTTTTAATAAATTTAAAGTTAAATTAAAATTAAATTTCTATAATTAAAAATTATAATTTTTTTCTATGTGTATATATATCTATGTTAAAATGTGTGTGAACAAATCTATAAGTTGAATATGGTGTGAGACTCATCATGAAAATTTAGTATATTGTTAATATTTTATATGTTATACAAATTTGTCACTGTCTTTGATATCTAATTAATAATCAATAATTTTTGTCTCACCTACAACATTTTAGAGAAGGCAGCACAGTGCCATACTCAGGACTTAGAGTAGGATCAAATTTTAGCTTAGTGACTTTGTTCATGTGACTTATCCTGTCTATACTTTCGTTATTTCATCAGGAAAGGAGTAACATGGATCTACATACTTTACAGAGTTGTTGCAATGATAAATTTAGTGTAGTAAATTACTTTGAACATGTTAAGTGTGCAATAAATATTATTTTATAATGTTTCAATAACTCATTATTATTTAAAATACATAAACTCATGTATGAGTAAATATCTTATCTAGTTTGCTTTTATGGGTAGATAATCATCATATTAACTTTCAGAATTATTTTTTAGCTAGCAGTCTAGATCTTAGCATGGTTTATGCTATAGTATGAATAAATGTGTCTCCTCAAAATTCATGTTTTGAACTTCTAACCCCCAATGTGATGGTATTAGAATGTGAATTCTTTAATTGATAATTAGGCCGTGTGGGTGAAGGCATCATAAATGGGATTAGTGTCCTTATAAAAGAGGCCCAAGATAGCTTTCTTGCCCCTTCTACCATGTGACGTTACAATTAGAAGACAGCCATCTATAAGGAAGTGGGCCCTCACCAGACGCTGAATCTGCTGGCACCCTAATCCTGGACTTCCACACTCCAGAATAGTGAGAAATAGATTTCTGTTGTTTATAAGCCACCTAGTCCATGATATTTTATTATATAGTCTGAAAATACTGATAAAGGCTGATTACCAACTTAATATCATATTTCTGCTATCCTTCTTGCCAGTCTTTACTTGCCTTTCAAAAATAGGAGTTCCTCTTGATCAGTACTGTTTGCAGTTACTATCTGTGTCAGGCTAGGGCTGAAATAAAGAGAGACAACAATACACATTATGGGAAAATAATCACATTATCCCCTTATCCAAAGCTATACTTTTAGCATGGTGGCCAAACTGGCTGAATCAAATGGCAATCCTAATGGTATTTTAGCTACATCCTCTTGTGAAGATGAAGTATTATCTGACAAAGCCATTCGTTTAAAATACATGACTATCACTTTATTGTTTCTTCCATTTCTTATGTTTTATGATTTATATTTGATGGGCTTCAATTATGCCAAAACTTTTATGGAAAACCTGTATTACTTACTTATAAAGTGCTCTGAAAAAAAAATTGAACTCTTACAAACAAGACCTATATGAATAAACATAACTATAAACTTTATGATTTTATCAGTATAAAATACTATATTTTAATTATGCATTTTTATATTTTCCCATTTCATGTAGCAGCATGATAGCCTCATAAAAGACCATAAAATATATATTGATCATTTTGAAATAAACTGTTATTTCTCCTAATTCCTTCTCCTACTCCAGAGCCATTTTCAAAGGAGCAATTTTTTTAAACATTTCATAACAATTACATTTAACTTTGTCTTTATTCCATGTTCAGAATACTATGAGAGAGACTTGACATTGTGATCGTGGATCCAGCTTTTTGCAATATTGATCTGCAAAATATGTAAATTAAACTAAAGATAGAGCATTCAGATTGTACTTAGCTCTCAGAATTAAGTACTCTAAGCCTCCTATACTTAACTGTTAGCATTAAATACTCTGAGCCTCCTGATTGAAGATGTGAAGCAGCTGAAGAAAGAGTGCACAGGACCTAGATAACAAGCACAGTGAAAAGATGTGTGGTAAATCAGTGATATAGCTTATATAAGTTGAAATTGTTTCTGTCTTCTTTAGTTCATCTTTTGCAGTCAAATGTTCATCATGTTGACGAGGGGTCAAGAAGCTATACTTAAAATGTTATAACACCTCCCTTATCTACTGTGTATACTTTCAGGCTAGATGTCTTTTGGGTCAAGAAGCCGTACTTGAAATGTTATAACAACTTCCTTATCTGCTGTTTATACTTTCAGGTTAGATGTCTTTTGGATACTTCTGTGAATTCTGAACATGGGATCAACTGATATCATCAGGGATTGTGTAGCGAAATTGATGACAGTGAGAATATTGAGGCAAAGACTCCCCCATCCTACAGGTACTTTTTTAAAAGGTATTTTGGATTAAAAGTATGATAAGGGCCAGGCACATTGTGCACACCTAAAATCCTAGTACTTTAGGAGGCCAAGGCAGGAGGATCACTTGAGACCAGGAGTTCAAGAGCAGCCTGGGCAACATAGCAAGACCCCAATGCCAGAAAAAGCAAAAATAATTAGCCATGTATGGTAGCACACGCCTGTAGCCCTGGCGTCCTAGCTACCTGGAAGGCTGAGGCAAGAGAAAAGCTTGAGTCCAGGAGTTCAAGGCTACAGTAAGCTATGATCATGCCACTTGTAATAGTCAGTATTCTCCAGAGGAACAGCACTAATAGGATAGATGTATATATGGGAGTTTATTAAAAGTATTGACTCACATGATCAGAAAGTGAAGTCCCACAGTAGGCCCTCTGCAAGCTGAGGAGCAAGGAAATCAGTATGAGTCCCAAGACCTCAAAAGTAGGGAAGCCAATAGTGCAGCTTTCAGTCTGTGGCTGAAGGCCTGACAGCCCCTGGAAAACCACTGGTGTAGGTTCAAGAGTCCAAAAGCTAAAGAATTTGGAGTCCAATGTTCAAGGGCAGGAAGCATCCAGCATGTGAGAAAGATGAAGGCTGGAAAACTCAGCCAGCCCAGTCCTTCCACGTTCTTCTGCCTGCTTTTATTCTAGCCACACTGGCAGCTAATTACTTTGTGCCCACCCTGATTCAGGGTCTGTCTGCCTCTCCCAGTCCACTGACGCAAATGTTAATCTCCTTTGGCAACACCCTCACAGACACACCCAGGAACAATACTTTGCACCCTTCAATCCAATCAAGTTAACACTTAATATTAACCATCACACCACTACACTCAACCTGGGTGTCAGAGCAAGACCCAGTCTCTTAAAAAAATAAAAATGTGTTGAGTATGTATGCACTGGCAATGTTTATGTTGGCATGGTTGCCACTGCATTCAAATTTGGAACAAGTGAAAGTTTTGTGGCATGTGACAGATTGTATCAGTGGTATTTTGATGATTAATATGATCCTTATTCAAATGGCTAAACTAGTAGAAAAAGAAAGCCAAAGTGAAAGAGAAATGACAAATGGTCCCATTATATTTCTGTTATAGGAAGCATTGGCAAAATGAAGCCAGGGAGGATGGAGGCTCTAATCACATTACCTTAGGATCAGTTTTGGAAACAAGATCTGGCTCACATCACCATCCTAATGTTTCTGTGAAGACTTGGAAAACATCATAATCATAGTGTTTACCCCATGAAGCATTTAGTAACAAAAATTACAGCTTCCCAGGCTGGGTAGAGGGGTAAAGAACTCTACTGTAATTGAGGACTATGGTGTAAAATAATTAAAATATTTCTAGAGAAATAGCAGAAGACACTTGAAACATCTGCTTTTATTCAAACCTATCATTTCTATTTTTACAGAAAAATCTATTTTGTATTCAAATTTACTCTTATAAATCATAAGATTTAATGATTATGGATCTAATAACTTTATTTGTCATATTCTATTGTCAATGGCCTATTATGGTAAGTACTAGCTGATCAGTAATTAGATGTGATATCCAACATTTATTAATGTATGAATTATGCTTAACAAATTAGCACAAACGTAGTGCTTAGAATAACACGTTTATCATGTTTATTATCTTGCAGTTTCTGAAGACAATGAATCTGGCCATTGCTTAATTGGGTTTTCTAGGGTCTCTTGCAAAGCTGTGATCAAGATGTGAGCTATGGACAGTCTCATCCAAATGCTCAAGTGGGGAAGGATTGACTTCCAATCTCATGTGGATATTAACAAATTCAGTCCTCAAGGAATATGGGACTCAATCCCTCAGTACTTGTTTGTTATCAACGGAGGCTGCCCTCAGTTTCTTGCCATGTGCACCTTTCCAACACACGAAGCTTCATCAAAGTCTATAAAAAGAAAGGCAATAGAGATAGTCTACTAGCAAGACAGTAGTCTCAATTACCTACAACTTCATCACATTAGAGATATTCCCTTACTTTTACCATATTCTCTTGGTTGTAATTACATCATTAGGGAATTACTTTTAATCATGATCATAGCTCACTGCCAGGGGAAGAGATTAAAAAGGATGCGAAGAAAATGAGAATAATTAGGGGACATCTTAGAAGCTGCCTTTCCAAGTGATAACTGAAATGTGGTAGCTTTGCCTCTCTTTGAATGAGTAAAAGCCATAGTTAAACAAGTCAACATATGAAAGATAATTTGTACTCCTTTCTCTACCACGACAGAACATATTTGCTAATCTGGTTTGGGTTGCTTTAAACATCATCTGCATTGGATTTGTTACACAATAGTCAGTACAGACACTTCTCAAATCTTGTCTTCTCTACTGAAAACAGTGAATGTTTTAGATAAAGGTCTTTTCAGATTGATGCTTCTTATGTGGCTTTTATTCATGGGAGAGGGAGCAAGAAAGCATACAAGTCAAAGTGGTAGATATAATTTCTTAATTACCTCACATTGGATATGCAGGTGAAAAAACATTTTGAAAATGTCTCAAAAAAGAACAAGGTAAGAAAATAAAGAAATCCCCAGCCTCTGTGTAGTTGTAAACAAAGATGGCTGAATTGAGTAGAATTTTCTGCAGGTCCTTAAAAGAATGGATCAATATAAATAAAACAAATGAAGTTTTGTCAAGGAAACTAAGGATGTAGATATTGCCATTATTTAAAATGTTGATATTTGTTTTATTGTGAAATTTTTCATTAATATATTAATATTGCTGAATTTATTGTCCTTCTACCCTTAAATTTTGCATTACTGGCAGACCAATCTTGGCCCCAGATCACTTTTTTACTAAGTCTGAGGAGGAATGAAAACCCCTATTTATAAGTCAAGTTTCTAAAAACAAAAAACACACAAACAAAAAAACATGTGGTCAGTTTATCCCAATGAAGATAAATTTACAATACTGATGTAGAGGAAGAATTAAAATAAATTGTGCTGAAACGTGGTGACAAATTCACCTTGGACATAAATGTGACAGAGAAAAAATCAGTGTCTCAAAAACTAGGATTATCTACCTACGGCCTCAGCAGAAGATGACTGGCTGTATGCCACTCTCAGACTTGAGTGGCAACAATTATTCTGTGGGTTGTTGAATACAGATTCTCAACAGAGTTATACGCATCATGACCATGAAGGGACACATTCAGAACTGACAATGAGATTGGGAAGTTACACAGATGCTGTGATCAAAAGTGGCCAGTAACAATGAAACTACAACCAGAACATGACAAGTCAACAGTAACATTGCTCGTGATACCTAAGCCCCAAATCATAATTGGAATAGGTTCGTGTGATGTAGCAGTTGGAAATATTGCTGTCGTTGCTTGAATGTAAATTAATCAGAAGACATTCTTTAAGAACTAATTAGATACATGAAACTGGAACCACTGGGACTTTCTCAGACATTTTGGGTGGTGACTATTAAGCTATATGTATTCCCAGAAAGCACCAGAGAAGTTCAACCTTTAGTAAAGAAATGATAAAACAAAACAAAACCAAAACCAAAAACAAAACAAAACAAAAAAACGAGGTGTTTTATAGCAATTGACTAAGTTCCAAGTTGGCCAGAGGATATCATGAAAACAGAAGATTGAATCAACTAGTGTTCAGATAAAATTAACAGAACCAGACATTGATTCTAAATCAAAGAGTTTTCACAGGCCAAAACATACAAGTAAATTATGGTTGATTTAACTAAGGCCTTATCTTTCATCCCCCAAACAGAGAGGAGTTTAGTTCAATTGCTTTATGTGGAAAGATGTGAAACATAAATTCAGGAGGATTCATAGAAGAGATTTGCTACTTTGGTTAAGAGTAAACTGGCTTATTACACTGATGATATTGTGATTGAGGAAAAATAAGAAGTAGCACTGAGAGCAGTGCTGTCACTGGGGAAAGCATGTGTTTGGCATGTTTCAGTCTCTTGCTGTCTTCTTGGGTCAGGCTCTCAGTTGCCTTCTGCCTCCACCTCAGCTCAGTCACTGTTACCACATCCAGCCCCTGGAGGGGGCCTGGGTACAAGCACAGGAAAGTCGGCATTAGGCATGTGGTGTCCCACACACTAAGTCATGGTATGGGGAGCTGAGGGTCTGTGAAGGTCTGCACTCAACACTTGAGTATCCCTGTGCCCAAAGGAGTATGACATTAAATAGCAAATATAGAATGTCATGATGGATCAAGTGACAGTGGTTAAAAATAAGTAAAATGTTTTCCTGTTTTTTGAAAGAGGCCCCAACTGTTCCTTGTAACTGTGCTCCACCATCTATTTAGCCACCCTTAAATACGAGGTTTGCTAAGAATAGTTATTCACATAACATATAGGGGTTGATTGTTACATCCTTCAAACAGTTAATTCAGAGACCAGTAACCACCATGAAATTTTAGGAAATCACTAAATTATACCACTAGACATATCCCCTCAAGCATTGAAAAACAAATCATTGTGTTTGAAGAATCCCACAAATAAAGTGACGCACAGAATGTAATAGGCTTATTTGTGTCCCGAAGGGCATACATTCTGTTTGAAATGTACCCTTGCTTAAGGTGACCAGAAAAAAATGATCTAAATAGAGACTTGAGGAGCATAAGGAATTGTAGGACTGACAAAAGCTTGCTAACAGCACAGGGAAATTGGTCCATATATGCTGTAATGGTTACTATTGAGTGTCAACTCGGGTGGATTGAAGGATGCACAGTATTGTTCCTGGGTGTGTCTGTGACGGTGTTCCCAAAGGAGATTAACATTTGAGTGAGTGGACTGGGAGAGGCAGACCGACCCTGAATCTGGGTGGGCACCATCTAATCAGCCAGCTCAGATACTATAAAAACAGGCAGAGGAACCTGGAAGGACTAGACTGGCTTAGCCTTCCGGCCTACCTCTTTCTCCCATGCTGGATGCTTCCTGCTTTCAAATATCGTACTCCAGGTTTTTCAACTTTGGGACTCATGGATCTTTGACCACAGACTGAAGGCTGCACTGTTGGCTTTCCTACTTCTGAAGTTTTGGGACTCAGACTGGGTTCTTTGCTTCTCGGCTTGCAGAGGGCCTATTGCAGGATCTTACTTTGTGATCATGTAAGTCAATGCTCTTTAACAGATTCCCCTTTATATGTACATCTATCCTATTAGTTATGTCCCTCTAGAGAACCCTGAATAATACATATGGTATACTTGATATTAGAAGTATCTGCTATACTGTATGCCAGGTCTTCTTTACTCCTTTGAATGCACCAAAAGTAAATGTGAATGAATCTCAATAAAAAGCATTGAAAGGGCTATGATGAGAATGAGGATACTTAATCTGGTGGTGATAATGTGTTGTCGCCATACTAGATTTCCGAAAGGGCTGATTGTGAGAAGCATTATGACAAACACAAGCTGATATGTTTTTAGTAGTAGAATAGGCATGATTTTTATGACTTCACTCAATTGCATTAAAATGGGAAATGTGATGCTGTGTGTGGGAGGGAAGTTAGGGGTGTAGATACTCTGTAATCAGTAAATCTCTCTGCTATGTGCATTATGTAGACAATTTCTCTACAGTTGACTAGTGATTTTCTTCACAATGTTAGGCTTACAGATTTGTTCCTGTTTGTAGAACTGCAGTGTCAACTAACTCAGTAGAAGATAATAATGTTTTATCAATAATATATTTATATTTTGGGGACTAATATCTCCTATATTAAGCAATATGTATTTTACCTTTTATTCCTTATATAATAATATGCACCCTAAGGATATTCTGTGTTTATTAAGTGGTTTTCAGAATAATGATGTAATTAATGGAATCTTTCTTTTAAATAACACTTTTGGAAACAATATTTTATGTTTATGTAAATTCGTGTAAATTTAGAATGTTTTAGGTGTTTAGTTCCTAAAGCAGAATATATGTGATGCATGAAATGTACATTTTAAGGGCAAATACATATTGTAAGTTGTCATGTAAATGATTAGCAGTGGGATACCATAGAAGGAATCTTGAACCATGATTCACAAAGTTGTACTATAGTGATGTTCTGTCATTAATTCTTTGTATGTCCTTGTGAATATTACCTAAGCTCTCTGAACCTCAGTTTTCACAGTTATAAAACAAAAGTGATGGACTGGGTTGCCTTAAATGTCTTTTAAAAATATTCTATGCCAACTGTAAGCAGCCTAAATAAACACTTGATATATTGATTGTAATAATACCAGGGTTTTTTTTTAACCTCTTACAATTAACTACATTTTATTTATTTATTTTTCTTTCACATTATTTTATACATCCATTGCTATGACAATTTAGAAACATGAAAACTACAAATTATAAGCAAATTCATAGACAAAATTATTAAAACAGACTAAAAGTGATGTAGCATATATTACTAGACCTATAAAATTTAATTAAAAATCATCATGCAAAGAACATTCCAGATCCAGATGATGTCACTTATGCATTCTACTAATTTTTTATAACTTCAACTTTTATAGTAGATTCACTTTATTTTAATCAAGGAGTACATGTGTAGATTCATTAGCTGAGCATATTGCATGATGTTGAGATTTGGAGTATGAATAATCTCATTACCCAGGCACTGAGCATGGTACCCAAGTGTGAGTTTTTCAACACTTTCTCTTCCCACTCTCTCTGCCAAGTAGTTCCCAAGGTCTATTTTTGCCATCTTTGTGTCCATAAGCATCCATTGTTTAGATCCCACTTATAGGTGAGAACATGTGTTATTTGGTTTTCTGATCCTGCATTAGTTTGCTTAGAATAATGGCCTCTAGCTGCATCTGTTGTTGGTGTATAAGATATGCTACTGATTTTTGTATATTAATTTTGTATCCTGAAACTTTACTGAAGCAGTTTATTAGTTCCAAGAGTCTTTTGGCAGAGTCTTTAAGGTTTTCTAGGTATAGAATCATAACATCAGTGAAGAGAAATAGATCGATTTCTTCTTTTCGTATTTGGACACCTTTTATTTCTTTCTTTTGATGATTTCTCTGGCTAGTGCTTCCAGTACTATGTTGAATAGCAGTGATGAAAGTGGGCATCCTTGACTTTTTCCAGTGTTCAAGAGGAATGCTTCCAGTTTTCACCCATTTGTTATAATGCTAGATGTGGGCTTGACATAGATAATTCTTATCGTGTTGAGGTATGTTCCTTTGATGTGTAGTTTGTTGAGGCTTTTTATCAGTAAGGGATGCTGGATTTTATTGAAAGCTTTTTTCATGTTTATTAAGATGATCACATGGTTTTATTTTCTAATTCTGTTTATGTGGTGAATCTTATTGATTTGTGTACATTGGACTAGTATTGCAACCCAGCAATAAGGCCTACTTGATTGTGGTATATTAACTTTTTGATATACCGCTTCATTGAATGTGCTAGTATTTTTGTTAAGAATTTTTGTGGAATACACAGGAATATTGGCCTGTCATCTTTTTTTTTTTTTCATTGGGTCTGCCAGATATTTCAATAAGGCTGATTCTGGCTTCATAGAATGAGTTAGGGAGGAGTCTTTCTCCCTTGATTTTTGGGAATAGTTTCAGTAGGACTGGTACCAGCTCTTAATTGTAGATCTAGAAAAATTAACTGTTAGTCCACCTTGTCTGGGGTTTTTTTCATTGGTATGTTTTTTGTTTTTTTGTTTTTTACTGACTCAAGTTCAGAACTCAATATTAGTCTGTTCAGTTTCAATTTCTTCTTGATTTAAATTTGGGAGATTGTGTGTTTCCAAAAATGTATCCATATTATCTAGATTTTCTAGTTTGTGGGCATAGAGGTGTTCATAATAGTCTCTGAGGATTTTTTGTATTTATAAGGTATCAGTTGTAATGTCACCATTGTTATTTCTGATAGTGCTTATTTGGATCTTCTCTTTTTCTCTTTGTTCATCTAGCTAGCAGTCTTTTGGTCTTGTTTAAGCTTTCAAGGAATCAACATTTGCTTTCATTGATTCTTCGTATGGATATTTGAGTCTTGATTTCATTCAGTTTTGCTTTCATTTATTTCATTTCTTCTGCTAGCTTTTGGGTTATTTTGTTCTTGTTTTCCCGGTCCTTCTAGGTGTGATGTTAGATCATTAATTTGAGATATTTCTTACTTTTTGAGGTAGCTGCTTAGCACTATAAACTTTCCTCTTAACACTGAATTTGGTGCGTCTCAGAGATTGGGGTATGTTGTGTGTCTGTTTTCATTTATTTCAATTTTTTTTTTTTATTTCTGCCTTAATTTTATTGTTTACCCAACAGTCATTCAGGATCAAGTTGTTTAATTTCCATGTAATTTTGTCATTTTGAGAGACATTCTTGGTATTATTTTTATTTTTTATTCCACTGTTGTCCAAGAGTATAGTTGGTGTGGTTTTAATTTAATTTAATTTATTTACCTACTTATTATTATATTTTAAGTTCTGGGATACATGTGAGGAACGTGCAGGTGTGTTATATAGGTATATACATGCCATGGTGGTGTGCAGGACCCATCAACCTGTCATCTACATTAGGTATTTCTCCTAATGCTATCCTCCTGTAGGCCCCATCCCTCAACAGGCCCCAGTGTGTGATGTTCCCTTCCCTGTGTCCACATGTTCTCATTGTTCAACTTCCACTTATGAGTGAGAACAGGCGGTGTCTGGTTTTCTGTTCCTGTGTTAGTTTGCTGAGTATGATGGTTCCAGCTTCATCCATGTCCCTGCAAAGGACATGAACTTATCATTTTTTATGGCTGCATAGTATTCCATGGTGTATATGTATGTGTGCCACAATTTCTTTATCCAGTTGGGCACTTGAGTTGGTTCCAAGTCTTTGCTATTATGAAGAGTGCTGCAATAAACGTATGTGAATAATTAATAATTTATAAATTTATAATGTATAAATTTATAATCCTTTGGGTGTATACCCAGTAATGGAATTGCTAGGTCAAATGGTATTTCTAGTTCTAGATCCTTGAGGAATTGCCACACTGTCTTTCACAATGGTTGAACTAATTTACACTCCCACCAACAGTGTAAAAGCATTCCTATTTCCCCACATCCACTCCAGCATCTGTTGTCTCCTGACTTTTTAATGATTGCCATTCTAACTGGTGTGAGATGGTAACACATTGTGGTTTTGATTTGCATTTCTCTAATGACCAGTGATGATGAGCTTTTTTTCATATGTTTGTTGGCTGCATAAATGTCTTCTTTTGAGAAGTGTCTGTTCATATCCTTTGCCCACTTTTTGATGGGGTTGTTTGTTTTCTTTCTTGTAAATTTGTTTAAGTTCTTTATAGATTCTGGATATTAGCCCTTTGTCAGATGGATAGATTGCAAAAATTTGCTCCCATTCTGTAAGTTGCCTGTTCACTCTGATGATACTTTATTTTGCTGTGCAGAAGAGCTTTAGTTTAATTAGATCCAATTTGTCAATTTTGACTTTTGTTGAAAATGCTTTTGGTGTTTTAGTCATGAATTCTTTGCCCACATTTATGTCCTGAATGCTTTTGCCTAGGTTTTCTTCTAGGGTTTTTATGGTTTTAGGTCTTACTTTTAAGTCTATAATACATCTTGAGTTAATTTTCATATAAGGTGTAAGGAAGGGGTTCAGTTTCAGTTTTCTGCATATGGCTAGCCAGTTTTCCCAACACCATTTATTAAATAGGGAATCCTTTCCCCATTGCTTGTATTTCTCAGGTTTGTCAAAGATCAGATGATTGTAGATGTGTGGGTTTTTTTCTGAGGCCTCTGTTGTGTTCCATGGGTCTATCTATCTGTTTGGTACCAATACCATGCTGTTTTGGTTACTGTAGCCATGTAGTATAGTTTGAAGTCAGGTAGCATGACGACTCCAGCTTTGTTCTTTTTGCGCAGGTTTGTCTTGGCTATATGGGCTCTTTTTTGGTTCCATATAAAATTTAAACTAGTTTTTTTCTAATTCTGTGAAGAAAGTCAATGGTAGCTTGATGGAGATAGCATTGAATCTATAAGTTACTTTGGGCAGTTTGGCCTTTTTCACAATATTGTTTCCTCCTATCCATGACCATGGAATATTTTTCCATTTGTTTGTGTCTTCTCTCATTTCCTTGAGCAGTGGTTTGTAGTTCTCCTTGAAGAGGTCATTCACATCTGTTGTTCTTTTTTGGTTCCATGTAAAATTTAAACTAGTTTTTTCCAATTCTGTGAAGAAAGTCAATGGTAGCTTGATGGAGATAGCATTGAATCTATAAATTACTTTGGGCAGTTTCGCCATTTTTACAATATTGTTTCTTCCTATCCATGACCATGGAATGTTTTTCCATTTGTTTATGTCTTCTCTTATATCCTTGAGCAGTGGTTTGTAGTTCTCCTTGAAGAGGTCCTTCACATTTCTTGTAATTTGTATTCCCAGGTATTTTATTCTTTTTGTAGCAATTATGAATGGGAGTTCACTTATGATTTGGCTCTCTGTTTGTCTATTATTGGTGTATAGAAATGCTTGTGATTTTTGGACATTGATTTTGTATCCTGAGAATTTGCTGAAGTTGCTTATCAGGTTAAGGAGATTTGGGGCTGAGATGATGGGGTTTTCTAAGTATACAATCATGTAATCTGCAAAAAGACACAATTTGACTTCCTCTCTTCCTATCTGAATACCCTTTATTTCTTTCTCTTGCCTGATTGCCCTTGATCGAACTTCCAATACTATGTTAAATGAAAAGGAGAGGTGAGAGAGGGCATCTCTGTCTTGTGCCAGTTTTCAAAGGGAATGCTTCCAGCTTTTGCCCATTAAGTATGATATTGACTGTGGGTTTGTCATAAATAACTCTTATTATTTTGAGATATGTTCCATCCATACCTAGTTTATTGAGAGTTTTTAGCATGAAAGGGTGTTGAATTTTATCAAAGGCCTTTTCTGCATCTATTGAGATAATCGTGTGGTTTTCATCATTGTTTCTGTTTATATGATGGATTACTTTATTGATTTGCATATATTGAAACACCCTTGCATCCCAGGGATGAAGCCAACTTGATCATGATGGATAAGCTTTTTGATGTGCTGCTGGATCCTTTACAGACAACCAATGCTGAGAGAGATTGTCACAACCACAGCCTGCCTTACAAGAGCTCCTGAAGGAAGCACTAAATATGGAAAGGAAAAACTGGTACCAGCCACTGAAAAAACATAACAATTGTAAAGTCCATCGACACTATGAAGAAACTATATCAACTAACAGGCAAAATAACCAGCTATCACCATAATGACAGGATCAAATTCACACATAACAATATTAATCTTAAATGTAAATGGGCTAAATGCCCCAATTAAAAGACACAAACGGGCAAATTGGATAACGAGTCAAGACCCCTCAGTGTGCTGTATTCAGGAGACCCCATGTCACATGGAAAGACACACATAGGCTCAAAATAAAAGGATGAAGAATACTTACCAAGCAAATGGAAAGCAAAAAATTGCAGGGGTTGCAATACTTGTCTCTAATAAAACAGACTTGAAACCAACAAAGATCAAAAAAGGCAAAGAAGGGCATTACCTAATGGTAAAGGGATCAATGCAACAAGAAGAGCTAACTATCCTAAATATATATGCACCCAATACAGGAGCACCTAGATTCATAAAGCAAGTTCTTAGAGACTTACAACAAGATTTAGACTCCCACAAAATAATAGTGGGAGACCTTATCACCCCACTGTCAATATTAGACAGATTGAGACAGAAAATTTACAAGGATACTCAGGACTTGAACTCAGCTCTTCACCAAGAGGACCTAATAGACATCTACACAACTCTCCACCCTAAATCAACAGAATATACATTCTTCTCAGCACCACCTTGCACTTATTTTAAAATTGACCACATAATTTGAAGTAAAACACTCCTCATCAAACGCAAAAGAATGGAAATCATAACAAGCCATTTCTCAGACCACAGTGCAATCCAATTAGAGCTCAGGATTAAGAAACTCACTCAAGACCACACAACTACATGGAAACTGAACAATCTGCTCCTGAATGACTACTGGGTAAATAAGAAAATTAAGGCAGAAATAAATAAGTTCTTTGAAACCAATGAGAACAAAGACACAATGTATCAGAATCTCTGGGACACAGCTAAAGCAGTGTTTAGAGGGAAATTTGTAACACTAAATGCCCACAGGAGAAAGCAGGAAAGATCTAAAATTGACACCCAAACATCACAATTAAAAGAACTAGAGAAGCAAGAGCAAACAAATTCAAAAGCTAGCAGAAGACAAGAAATAACTAAGATCAGAGCAGAACTGAACCAGATAGAGACATGAAAAACCCTTCAAAAAAATCAATGAATCCAGGAGCAAAAATAGACTGCTAGCCAGATTAATGAAGAAGAAAACAGAGAAAAATCAAATAGACACAATAAAAAATGAAAAAGGGGAGATCACCACTGATCCCACAGAAATACTAACTACCATCAAAGAATACTATAAACATCTCTATGCAAATAAACTAGAAAATTAGAAGAAATGGATAAATCCCTGGACACATACACCCTCCCAAGACTAAACCAGGAAGAAGCCAAATCCCTGAATAGACCAATAACAAGTTCTGAAATTGAGGCAGTAATTAATACCCTACCAACCAAAAAAAGCCCAGGACCAGAAGGACTCACAGCTGAATTCTACCAGAGGTACAAACAGAAGCTGCTACCATTCTGTCAGAAACTACTCCAAACAATAGAAAAGAGGAACTCCTCCCTAACTCATTTCATGAGGCCAGCATCATCCTGATACCAAAACCTGGCAAAGATACAACACAAAAATAAAATTTCAGGCCAATATTCCTGATTAACACCGATGTGAAAACCCTCAATAAAATACTGGCAAACTGCGATTTTAATTTTTTAAAATTTATTGAGATCTTTTATGGCCAAACATATGGAATACATTCCGTATGCAGATTAGAAGAATGTATATTCTGTGGCTAATGGGTGGATCATTCCTTAGACATCTATTAGGTCCAATTGCTCACATGTCAAATTTAAGTGCATAATTTCTTTGTTAGTTTTCTTACTTTTTAAACAGAATGGAAACAAATTTCCTTAAGACTTCAAGTACACACCTACATAAACATTAAAATCACTAACAGTGTTTTACAATAAACTTGCACTACCATTTACACTGGATAATTTAAACTCAAATAAATGTTTATGTATAAAGACAGACTTGCCAGTTTTTATTTCTTTTAAAAATTTACTTGTATACATTTTAAAATCTAATTTTTAGCCTTAGGAGGATAACATTACCTGTTTCACTGTCTGTTGGGGACTATACTGTAAGTATAACACTGTTTATTGTTGGAAAGAACAGCATGCAATCATACCTGTGAATTTGTAATGTGTAATAAACATTAAAGTATACTGATTCTTTGATTTTCTTTTCTCAAGTTATCACATAAAATGCTAGTTTTGCTGTTGGATAAAAATTTCCACACCTAAATTCATTTTATTTTTATTTCTTTTTGGAAATGCCCCCCAAAGTAAAATACATATATATATATATATATATATATATACTAACAAATGAAGGGCCATTACATACCAATACAAAACTAACTGAACTATACTTATAAGACTTCCGTTGTGAATTTGGCATGGGTACATAGCCAAATATAACATTTAGCCTTTTGAGGAATAATCATTTTGTAGTTACTGTTCAATATTCATGGAAGCATAAGAGAAGCATGCTATTTAAACAAGGAGAAAGAGGTTTATATATTTACCCACCAAATAATCTGTAAATAAAGAATAGAGAGCCTGTGGACTGACACTTTTCATGTGAAAGAAGATCGAGTTTTTCCATATTATTAAGTAAATTCACTTGTGAAAGATACTCATTTTTTGGTGAAAGACCCTCTTCATAAGCACGTCTTTCTAAATCAGTGTTTTTTGCTTAGATATATAAATTGGCAACCTGACTCTTAGATTGCTTTCACTACAAGTCAATGTTTGTTCCCAGCGTTAATATAGTCTAGCTACCTGAGTGAACTTTGCTCTAATTTCTTTCCAGAACTTTTATTCTAAACTTTCCAAAAATCTTAGGAACCATCAATTCATTGACTTTCGAGTTGCCCTTATCATAATAGTCTTTGAGTTTAAAATGGGATCATCAACAAATCACAAAAACAGTGACTGATTTCACTACACCTTTGTTTTCCATTTTGGTGCTTATGCTAGGGTCTGATTTTGTACTTTCTAAACTAAAATGATCATAACATGATGCTATTTTTTTCTATTCATATTTTGTTGACAGTTATAGTTAAACATCTGCTTCTTGGTTGGCAAAGTGCCATTAGTTGCTAAGTTTCTCTCCTCCAAAATGACACAATTTTCTTTGCCTGGTTCTTTTGTACACCGATAGTCTTTCGGTTACTCATTCTGTCCATCAATATATAGAACTAATTTTAGGTGCCAAGTAAAAGTAACTTATGCAATGGGAGAAAATTGAAAGATTTTTGAGGTTTGAGGCACTGGGTGCCTATGTGGTTATATTAACATATAACCGGTTATTTTTGACATGTTTATTGATATTGTATCTTATTCTTAATATCCAAATCAGTCATGTGAAACAATAAAATTTGTTCATTTTAGAAATGCTTAACACATGGCTTATTTATGAGAGTGTGGACTGGGCAGTTTCTGGAACTATTAACAATGCAGAGCTTTAACCACCAGGGATCTGAAGGGGTAAGAGGGAGGAGGGCAAGAATGTTACCATAACACAAAGAGAGAACTGCACAAAGAGAGCCTCCATATAAGCTGTGAGTTTTTATCAAAGCACAGCACCAGAGTGCAATAAGCCTTCAAAGAGGGAGCTGAGACAAACGTACCAATTTCATTCACCTTCCTCCCTTCCTTGTCCTGCTGGTACTCCACTTTGACCATCAGTCACTAGGGAAAAAAGAAAAGGAGTCTTTTGATTTAGTAAAGATATGTCAGTCTTGGGAACAAAAGTGAAGGTAGATTAATGGAAGTTGCCTACACCTGTTTTGCACCATAACATCTACCATTGTCCTCTCTTCAGTTAAAAAATTGTGTAACAGAGGACATAAAAAGGCCTGTTGGTTACCAAATTTTTCTGGTATAATGGTAATACAGTCATATATCCACATGCAAATTAAAATGTTACCTACCACTGTACTCTTAATATAGCAGACAGATATAGGTCAGTGCAATTAATATCATAGCACTTCTACTGTCCTCAATTCTGCAATTGCTTATTAGCTTAAATTGGCAATTATTGTTGCTTCCTTCAACTGATATTATTTTCATATTCCCTTTATGTTCAACTAGCATTTTACCTAACATGACTTTTTAGCTTGTAGAGTGATTCATACCTTTATTTCTGCAGGAGTTTCGTCTCTGACGGTCTGGTCTTTATTGCCACAGTTATCCATTGGTCAGGATTATTGAGCAAGAAAAGTAGGCACCCCAATTAATTCTCAAGGTTTCAAATGATATTCTCTGTTTCTGTAATGTCCAGCAGCAATCTACTTTACCACTGGTAATTAGAATTCCCTGGCCAGTGTCATTCATCATCTCTGCTCATTCAACCAGCAATAGGAGGCCAAATATACACAGTCCAGTCTCAATTTCAGATTTAATGAAGCCGTTACTATGTTCCCTGTTGGAATCATTTATTTGGCCACTGGTGACTCTCAATCAAGTGAGCCCCAAATCATGGTACAAAAAGAAAAGAAATGTCTCCAAGGGGCTATTTTGCTCATGGTGTGATCAAAATATTGCTAGTTGCATTCATTGTTGTCATATTGTGACAAAGTTGGTACCATAAGCTGGCTTCTGGTTTAAAATAATGACTGAAGTCGTTTTCTGAGACAACTGGCCAAGTTTTCAGGGTGTTATTTCCCAGTTGATGTGGTAATTGATTCTTCAGTCAGGCATTTCACTGCTCTATCAAACCAGCTGACCCCAGGATTAATTATTTCTTTAGGCATGAATCCATGACTATAGTGCAAAATTGGTTGTCTAGAAAGAAGAGATTATTTGTGGAACAAAACCGGTACAGGTGAAATATTATGCATGTCTATGAATGTTGGTGCTGGCCACAGCACTATAGCCAAATAATGCACATCTATTACCTCAGTATGTCTGTTCCAATGTTGAGAAAGCATTGACTGTCCATGATGAAAGGTGTTTAGTGCCATTACTCAGCTATTGAGAACTGTCTGATTGCCATTCACCCCACCACATCCACGGAATGGTGCCACATCTGGAGTTATGTGTCAACCTCAGCAGTAGCAGACATTCAGCTGTGATGTCAATAGGACCAGAGTGGGTGAGTGAAAGTTCATATTGCTGAGGCCAGTTTTGATCTTGATCATTGCCATCATGAGTACTTGGTACAGAGGCCCTTTGAACAGAGGAAAGGGTCTAACTGGCATTTACAAGATGGGTCTTCACATCCTCCTTGTTACTTAGATCCCCTTCCACAGATATATACATTCATGTGGACATCAAAGAAAAAAAAATCTTCATACTTTGTTACCAACTTTTCAATTTTATTACTCCAAGTCTGTAAACCACAAGCCAAACTATTGGTCTTTACACAGGAATGACTGAATATAAATAACACATCATGCAGAGTAATCAGGAAATCAGGCTATGTGGATTTGTCTTTCATTTCTATAACCATAGATAATATTCCATGGGGGCATACAATAATTTTTTTAGGGTGAGATGAAAAAGCAGCAGTGTTATGGACTGAATTGTGTCCTCTACAATTCATAGGTTGAAGCTCTAAACCCCCAAACCTCAGAATGTGACTGTATTTAAATTCAGCCTTTAAAGAGGAAATTAAGTTAAAATGAAGTCATTAGAGTGGAATCCAGTCTGACTGGTGTCTTTATAAGAAAAGGAACGTAGGAAACACAAAGAAATACCAGGGATGCACAGGCACAGGACCATGCGAGGACACAGTGAGAATGTGGCCATCTGCAAGCCAAGGAAAGAAACCTCAGAAGAAATCAAATTTGTGGACATGATGATCTCAGACTTCTCAGCCTCCAGTTCTATAACAAAATTAATGTACCTGATACAAGACACCCAGTCTGTGGTGTTTTTTTAGGCAGCACTAGAAAGCTAATCTAAGTAGAAAAAGGTATCAGAGAATTCCGAAGCAGTACATGTCATCTGAAACTACACGTACTGGTCTTCCATTTAATATGTTCATTTTAAAATGGAATCTTTCAGTTCACATTGTATTTTATGGATCAAGGAAACAATTAACCTCCAGTTCAAGATAGATTGTTCAGGTCAAATATTATCTTGGTGCAACTATAGTTATGGTTAGGTTATTAAGCTCAATTAAAATGCAGGTTCAAGCCAAACTCTTTTTCAAATAGAGTAGCTGGCCCCTGTATTTCACAATAAATATTATTTTGTTATTTGGATTCTGTTTTTAAGTTTGTGGGTTTTTTTCCATGCTGTTGTGCATACCTGTAGTTTATTTATATTGCTATATAACACATCATTATGTTAGTAAATTATCATTTCTTTAATAATAAATACACATATAGGTGGTTTGCAATTTTAGGGGACTGGTAATAATGTTATTAAGTACATACTTCTACATGTTTTCTGTTTCACTTGTGCATGCATTCACATTAGATACTAATATGGTTTGGCACTGTGTCTGCCCCAAAATCTCATCTTGTAGCTCCCATAATTCCCATGTGTTGTGGAGGGACCTGGTGGGAGGTAATCAAATCATGGGATTGGTGTTTCCCATGCTGTTCTCATGATAGTGAATAGTTCTCATGATATCTGATGGTATTAAAAACAGGAGTGTCTCTGCTTTTCTTTTGCCTGCTACCATACACATAAGATGTGACTTGCTCCTTTTTGCCTTCCGCCATGATTGTGAGGCCTCCCAAGCCATGTGGAACTGTAAGTACAATAAACCTGCTTCTTTTGTAAGTTTCCCAGTCTCAGGTATGTCTTTTATCATCAGCGTGAAAACAGAATAATTCAGTAAATTGGTAGAGTGTGGCATTTCTGAAAAGATACCCAAAAATCTAGAAGCAATTTTGGAACTGGATAACAGACAAAGTTTGGAGCAATTTAGAGGGCTCAGAAGAAAACAGGAAAATGTGGGACAGTTTGAAACTTCCTAGAGACTTATTTAATGGCTTTGACAAAAGTGCTGATAGTAATATAAACAATAAGGTCCAGGCTGAGGTGGTCTCAAATGCAGATGAGGAACTTGTTGGGAACTGGTGTAAAGGTGACTCTTGTTATGTTTTAGCAAATAGACTGGTAGAATTTTTCCCTTGCTCTAGAGATTTGTGGAACTTTGAACTTGAGAGAGATGATTTAGGGTACCTGGTGGAAAAAAAATTCTAAGCAGAAAAGCATTCAAGAGGTGACCTGGGTGCTGTTAAAAGCATTCTGTTTTGAAAGGGAAACAGCATAAAAGTCGAGAAAATTTGCAGCCTACCTATGCAGTGGACAAGAAAAACCCTTTTTATGAGGAAAAATTCAAGCTGGCTGCAGGAATTTGCATAAGTATCAAGGTGCCTAATGTTAATCCCCAAGATCATGGAGAAAATGTCTCCAGGCCATGTTAGAGACCTTCAGGGTAGCCCCTTCCATCACAGGCCTGGAGTCCCAGAAGGAAAAGTGGTTTTGTGGGCCAGGCCGAGGTCCCTGTGCTGTGTGCAGCCAAGAGACTTGGTGCCCTGCATTCCGGCTGCTCCAGTCGTGGCTGAAAGGGGCCAACATAAAGCTTAGGCTATGGCTTTAATACAGAAGTTATTAAGAAATTATTTTCGGACAGCTAGAAAGGGTAAGAGTTCTCGGTGGAATTTTCCCCTAATAAAAAGCAGCCTCAAACCATTACTTCTCTAACAGAAAGCAGCCGGAAGAGTAAGGCATAGAAATGCAAACTAGATGCTTATATATGTAAATGCTGGCAGCTGTACCTGTAAACCAGGTATATTCAATATGGTAGTTCTTGCTCTCTTTACTTTGTCACCACGTGTACTGGTATCATGGCAGCCGCCAGGTAAAACCACGTGTGCAGGCATCATGGTGACTGCCAGAAAGAGGCCACATTTGCATAATAAAAGACCAAGATGGGAGGGCCAGTCATTTCATGGGCTATGTAAATGGCACACCTGGTCAAACCAACCCCTGGACCCTATGTAAATCATCCACCACCTCAAGCCTCTGTACAAAATTGATTGCCTCCCACTGCAAACTGGAAACCCTCTCGGGCAACCGGCTTTCTCAGCATGAGGACGCATTTTCTCTCTCTCTTGTTCTTTGTCTATTAAACTTTCTGCTCTTAAACTCACTCTTTGTGTGTGTCCATGTCCTGGATTCTTTCTCAACCAAGACAAAGAACCAGAGTATATACCCCAGACAACAGAGCCATTTCACTGGGGTGCTCATCTGAGATAGGAAACAGAAGAGAAGATAGAAACTTCAGAGTGGTACGTATGAAGCGAACCTCAAATCTGTCCTTTAATCTCAAGACCCTCTTCAAATCAGTTTTCCTTTCATGGAGTTCCTAGCCATCGTGCAAGGCTGGTAGAAGTCCTGGGACAACTGGAGACTTCTGGGCAGGGCTCACCCTGGCGTTATTCAAAGGCTTCTGGACTGAACCCAGCCTCTGACAGCCCATCTAGGGGTTGATAATTGGTCTCCAGCTATCCTGTTGCAAAATTTTTCTTTCTTTTGCATCTGCGGTTGTTGTGTCTCTGTGTGTACAATGTGCGGGAAATTTTACAGTTCAGGGAAACAGTTCTGTTAGGAAAGATCAGCAAATGTTCTAATTCAGTAAGCGTCGCTCTACCATGTCCCTGGTGAGCACATGGCATTTCTAACCCAACAGCACGACCTAGTGGAAAGAGAAATCCTCTTCATGTGGTGCATTGTGGGTCCTTTACCCTAACACTGCAGCTTCCCAATTCCCCTCTTTTTGCACTGCTAGAAAAGCCCCATCTATGAACATGAAAGCTCTGCCTTCAACAATTAGGAGTAAAATGTCCTCTGTAGCCAAATTTTAGTACCAATACTGTCCCAAAAGCAGGAAAAATCACCAATGGGTCCCTACGTTCATCTAAGGTACCTATTCTGTCTCCAATTAGGACAGTACTTAATTAGGAAGGAGGTTATAAGTTCAGAAGTTAACCAGAACCATTTTTGTAAGGGTAAATGTTTTACCACAGGCCATAATAGCAGACGATCTAGCACATTGTCTCCATTAAAGAAAGCTTGCCTAAAGATGACAGTTTTTCTGGAGATCCATTTTTCAGGGAGCCAGGCAGATCACACAGGCAGATATGCTAAGGCTGAGTGGGTAAAACGTGGCTAATCCTATCACTTAGTTCAGCTGGCTCCATGGCTTAGAGGACCATGCCTACAACCATGGGCGGCACATTTAACATGGTGGCAGGACCCAGGAACCAAAGAGAAAGAGGGGACGCTCCCACTCTCTTCCCCTCCACCCTGGGTCACAATGAAAGGAGAGACTGGGGAGACTAAAAGGATACTTTTATTCCTACTTCTTTTTCTAGATGGGTAACAGACCGTTTTCAGCTTGTACCCCTCTGGAGTGCACTCTGAAACACTGGAACTTTTTTAACCTTAGGACTTTGAAGATAAAAGCAACCAAATTTATTTATTTATTTATTTATTTATTTATTTATTTATTTTTTGCATAAGGGCATGGTATTTTTACTAAACCTTTACAGGAGTTGTAAAATCAACCCAGCTTTTTTAACAGGCATATCAGGCAAGGCTATAGAGAATGATTTCCCAGAATTAGAAAAGCAATTTCCAGGGGAAACATTTGAGAATTCCTCTTATTTGGGGCCACCTAAAGTTCCCTTCTCATTACAGGACTTTAGGCAAATAAACGAAGATTGGCAACCCCAATAGGTATATAGAAGCTTTCCAGAATTTAACTCAGGTGTTTCACCTCACATGAAAGGACGTTATGCTGCTGCTAAACCAAATCCCAACCGCATCTGAAAAGCAGGCAATTCTGCAGGCAGCAGATAATTTCAGAGATGAGCAATATCACCTATAATACATCAAAAGGGAATAAAGGAGAATAGCGAAAACACCATTCCCAATAGGAAGGGAAGTACTTCCTATTGACAAGCCTGATTGGGACCCCACTAGCTCTGCAGATGAATGGAAAAGGAAGCACTTTATAATACACATTCTAGAGGATATATGAAGAACTAAGGCCAGACCTCTTAATGCCTCTAAACAGTCTATGATAGACAGAAAGCCAGATGAGAATCCTGCAGCCTTTAGGGAAAGACTGAGAGTGGCACTAATAGAGCACACCTCCTTATCCCGATAAGGGACAGCTCATTTTAAAGGATAAGTTTATTACACAGGTAGCTCCTGATATTAGAAGGAAACTACAGAAGCAAGTTACAGGACCAGATAGTACCTTACAGAACCTCCTGTATGTGGACATTTTGGTCTTTTATAATAGGGACCAGGAGGAGGCCCAAAAGAAAGAGAGGAAGCTCAGGAGAAGGACAAAGGCTCTAGTAGCTGCTTTTCAGGCTTGCAAAGTCCAGGATCCCTGAAGTGTATCCACTAGTCACTATCAGTGTGCCAAGCCAGGGCATTTTAGAAAGTGTGACAAAACAGCAAGAAGAAGCCACTTTGACCCTGTCCAGCCTGTGGTGGAGACCACTGGAGATCACACTGCCCCCAGAGGTGGAGGTCACCAGGGTCAGAACCTAAACTATATAAAGAAGGTTATAAAGAAAGAGATTTTATATAAGAAAGGATAAGAAAGGATCTTGTATGTTAAATTCTTGTCCTAAAAGGAAATGACTGGTTGTTTAAATGGAGAATGTTTAGGATAATTCAGAAAGTTTGAGTATGTTGTAAGAGGGCTTAGGAAGTCATAAAAGAATTTAATAATTAAAGGAAAGAAATCCCCAAGATTAACACTAAAGTTATTTTAGCCACTCAATAGTATATTTTTCCCAATCATATCGCAAGTTATGAAAATGGCCTAAACCTAAGATTATTCCCTACTGGCAAATCAAAGTGGAAAAGAGTATGCTACTTTTATATTAACAAGTCTGGTCATGTACAGCGACATCTAGTGGAGGCCAGCCAGTATTACAATCCATTGGTGTAACAGGTATCATGCAAGTAAAACCACGTGTGTAATCACTATGGAAACCAACAGGTAGAGGCCACATTTGCATAATAAAAGACTAGGGTGGGAGGGCCAGTCTTTTTGTGGGCTACATAAATGGCACACCTGGTCAAACAAATCCTCTGGACCCTATGTATATCATAGGGTCTCCTCAAGCCTCTGTAAAAAATCAATGGCATGCCACCACAAACTAGAGACCCTCTCTTGAGCAACCCACTTTCTTAGCATGAGGAAGCTTTTTTTCTCTCTCTTCTTTGTCTATTAAACTTCTCACGCCTAAAAACACTCCTTGTGTGTGTCCATGTCCTGAATTCTTTCTCGACCAAGACAAAGAACCAGTTATATACCCCAGACAATGGAGCCATTTCAGCTTCAGAGGGTGGAAGCCTCAAGCCTTGGCAGCTTTCATGTGGCGTTGAGCTTGTGAGTCCACAGAAGTCAGGAATTGAGATTTAGAAACCTCTGCCTAGATTTCAGAAGATATGTGAAAATGCCTGGATGTCCAGGCAAAAGTTTGCTGTAGGGGTGGGGTCCTCATGGAGAACCACTGCTAGGACAGTGGAGAAGGGAAATGTGAGGTGGGTCCCTCACACAGAGTCCCTACTGGGGCACTGCCTAGTGGAGCTGGGAGAAGAGGGTCACTGTCCTACAGACCCCAGTATGGTATATCCACTGACAGCTTGCATCTTGCACCTGGAAAAGCTGCAGACACTCAATGCCGGCCCATGGAGGCAGCAGGGAGGGAGGGTGTACCCTGAAAAGTCACAGATGCAGAACTGTCCAAGACTATGGGAACCTACCTTTTGCATCAGCATGATCTGGATGCGAACCATGAAGTCACAGGAGATCATTCTGGAGCTTTACAATTTGACTGCCCCACTGAATTTTGGACTTGGATGCAGTCTGTAGCCCCTTTGTTTTCTCCAATTTCTACCATTTGAAATGGCTGTATTTACCCAATGCCTGTACCCCCATTGTATCTAAGAAATAACTAACTTGCTCTTTATTTTACAGGCTCATAGGTGGAAGGGATTTGTCTTGAATGAGATTTTGGTCTTTGGACTTTTGAGTTAATGCTGAAGTAAGTTGAGATTTTGGGGGACTGTTGAGAAGGCATGCTTGGTTTTGAAATGTGAAGATACGAGATTTGGGAGGGGCCGTGGGTGGAATGATATGGTATGGTTCTGTGTCCTCAACCAAGTTTCATCTTGTAGCTCCCATAATTCCCACATATTGTGAGAAGGACCTGGTGGGAGACGACTAAATCATGGAGATGGATCTTTGCCATGATGTTCTCATGATAGTGAATAGGTCTCACAAGATATGATGGTTTTAAAAACAGAGTTTTTCTGCACAAGCTCTTTTTTTTGCCTGCTGCCATCCATGTAAGATGTGACTTGCTCCTCCTTGCCTTCTGCCAAAATTGTGAGGCCTCCCCAGCCATGTGGAACTATAAGTCCAATAAACCTCTTTATTTTGTACATTTTCCAATCTCAGATATGTCTTTCTCAGCAGTGTGAAAATAAAATAATACAGATACATACCTTACATGTGGAATTGCTGAGTCACAGAGAGCAAGTATTTTCAATGTCATAAATACAGCCAAACTATTTCCCCAAAATATATACAATAATATAAAATCCTGCTAGCAGGCTGAGGGTTATTAAAGGTTTCTGTTATTCTTCCTTCCTTCCAATACTTTAATTTTCAATGATTTAATTTTAGACATTCTGTTGTTTATTGATTTCTCCTTGTAGCTTTAATTTGCATCTACTTAATAAATGAAATTAAACACCTTTTCATATGACCACTTGGCCATTAGGTAGTCTCTACTGTGACATGCCTATTCATTTATTTTGCCAATCTTATTACTTTTGTGTTAACTTTCTAATATTTATTAGTTACGTGGGTCACAAACATCTTCTTCCCTCTGTAATTTCTCTATTTTGTCTCATAATTTAAATACATCTGCATAAGTACAATGTTGAGAAATATTGATGTAAATAACAGAAAAGCCATGTTTGTTGAAAGTGATTTTTCACCGATTTACAGCTCACAGTGGTGAAGGAAAATAGGAGAGAAGGTTCAAGTGTCACCCCAATATTTAAAATTATTTAAAACACAAATATATCAAAATATCTCCTGAAGATAACGAAAGGAGAAATAAAGAAATAAAGAGAAAGGGAGAGTGAGACAGAAAGAATAAAGAAAGAAAGAGAGAAAGAAAGAAGAAAGAAAGAAAGAAGAAAGAAAGAAAGAAGAAAGAAAGAAAGAAAGAAGAAAGAAAGAGCAAGCAAGCAAGCAGCAGGGAGGAAGGAAGGAAAAAAGGAGAGAATGAGAGAAAAAAGGAGAGAGAGGAGGAAAGAAACAGAAAAATGCAAAAGAAGACAGAGGAAAATGGAAAGGGGAAAGAGGAAAAAGGGAAAGGAATGGAGAGGGGAGGAGAGAAAAGGAAAGGACAGGAACATATTTCCTTCATAACTCAGTAAATGGTTCTAAAGTTATCCCAGTTACTCAAGCCCAAATCCTAAGAGGTCAGCAGTGTTTCTTCTCTTTCCTTTATCTTTCACATGTAGGCATGTACAATTGTTCTCCTTTCATATGCAATCCACAATATCTCTACTTTCAAAACATCAGAAAAAAAGGCCAGTGTGGCTGAGTATAGTAAGAACAAAACGGTATTATAAAGATTAACAGACATTGGTTTTGTCTGGTTTTATTGACTCTCATGTTTCATGGCACAAATTTAGAATGTATTCTAATAGAAAAAAATAAGTTGTTCTTATAGTCAGGAAACTTAGCTAAAATGTTACCTTCTTTGAATGGCTTCCTCAAAACTAAAATGCAACATACCCATCTCTCCAAATCAACCCAGCTGTCACTTTCTCTCATATCACTTTTTTTTTTGTCTGCATGGCACTCATAACTACATGAGTAGTTTGACTCTGTATATTTTTGTTACCTATGAAACTCCATGAGAACAGAGATTTGTCTTTCTTTTACACCTGCATTTCTAATACAAAGAGAGTCACTGACATAAAGTAAGAACTCAACATATTTGTAGAATTTGTATTTGTATAGTCTGATACAACTATATGTCTAGAATTTGGGAAAAAGAGGAAGTAGATTCATTATGGTAATTTATTTCTCTTAGTTTGCATCAATCACAAAAATTAAAAGTTGAGAATATTTTTTATTGTTTTTTATCTCCACCAAACTACACATGTGTTTTAAGACCATGACTAGCAGGAAGAGAGAGGAACACAGAATAATTTCTCATAATCCTAGCTATCATGAGATTAATGGAAACCATATAGGGTAATATCCAAGGTTGAAAACATAAGGTGCAATCTTATTTAATGTAAAAATGTTTTAACAAAAACTTTTTGAGTGACTGATTGTGTAAGCTTTTTAATCAAATAAAAACGGTCACATTACTAATGGCTGGACATAAAGCAGATGGTCATGTTCATAGCTATGACATTATCTCAGCAATCTGTAAACCACTGCTTTTATGAGAGTGAACTATTACTTTAATTTTGGTCAACATCTGTGATTTTTGCATTAGAGAATAACCTGGCAATAAAAAGAACAATGGTGCATACCAGGGGTGCTGGATTGCTTTTTAAAAATTTTCTCACATGGCATATTTAAAATAAAGCAAGATGATTGCACTTTTATTAATGCCACAGACTGACAATGGGATGTTCATGGCTCTCATCTTTGGTTATGTTATTTCCAAGTACCCAATTATCTTTTACTGTATATGGAATTGAAAGGTACTACTTGTATTTAGAAGGAGGGAAATGAGACACATTAACAGTGAATATAGGATTTGTTTTGTGAATGTGAATACTTTCTCTTCCTGTCTTCACATGTTTATAAAGTTATATGTTCCAAAAATAGGCATTCAAACGTCAGAGTAATAAGGTTGCAATTTCATGGAGGAAGAGACAGATGCAACTCCCAGATAATTGGAATTGAGCTCACAAAGTTATCTAATAATTCATCACAATTGTTTTTTCTCATTTCCTAGAATGGGCTAGAGCTGCTTATTAAATAATATCTCCCATACAGCTAGGTCACTGTTACTCTTCAGCTGTCTCTGCTAACACTTGTTACCCATTTGTAAAGTTACTTCTTAATCTGAGTTTCTTTAAATTTCCATACAAACCTTTATTACAGAAGGTATATCAACTTATACCATAGTATTAAATATTTTAGCTGCTCATTTTTTCTGTTATACTATAAGGTCTTTGATGGTAGGAATTAAGTTTATTCATGTTTAAGAGGGTAGACGTTAGTCTATTATAACAGGGATTTTGGAGCCAGATGGTCTCAGATGCCCTTGAGTTGAGCTTTCAAGATAGAAGCAATATGCCATTGAGCAAATTAACTATCTTCTTTCTTTCTCCATTTCTGATTTGTAAAAGGGAACAGTAAGGGACTGGAATTTTAGGGATGTGATTAGGGTTAAATTAGTTAATATTCTATCTCCTTAGTTGTATATCAAGTTTTCCCTACAGTGTCTGGTATTTAGTTAGAATTAATTGGCTATTTGTATCTTTATCACTGAAATCCCATGGGAAATTTCAACCTTATGAAATTCCACTGCTTGGCACAAATAGTGTGCCAGTAATTATTTGCTCATTTAATGAAGGCATCAACAAATGAATAGTAAAAAAAATAGTGTACCCTCTTTCTCAAGGAAAATTAGATTAAGCAAAATTAATTCACAGTTTAATTTTCTAAATTAAGAAAGGGGCTAATATCCATAAATCTTCTACATGGTTCACAAAATTCTTCATGTAAGATTTCATTTTGTCAGTAAAGGGACCGCTTAAGTAACTCAATTATATTTGGTGGGCAGCAGCCAAAATAATTTAAATTAAGGTTGTCTAAATGAAATCCATAATGCACTTTATATTTCGTGGAGTGTTCATTACTTGAATCTTCATCTTATACTGTTGGAAAACATGACGCAGTAATGAAGAGTCACTTTAACTGGTTGAAGGAATCACACAGATGCTAGAAAAATCTAAAATTTTTATTCTAAGAAGCAGTAATTAATCCAAGATTATTTTCCTTCTTGGTACCTCCAATGCTCAGGTGCTCCTCTTGCAAAATTTAGGTCTCCACAGTAGAGAAGATAAGTGAGGACCAGATAGGATAGAATTAGGGCCAAGTCAAAGTGAGACTGTCATAGCTGGAAAGAGCTAATAAGGATGAAGATAACCAAAGTATCTAAAAATCTTTGATTAACAGGCACAAAATCATCTATTTATTTAGCAAATACTTATTGAGCTCCATTTATGTAGTAGGCACTCTTTAAGATACTAATCTTAGCTGTGGGCAAATAGTACAATATACATATATATGAGAGGCCAAGTGCATGAATAAGAGATAGGAATTCCTAGGGATACGTCACAGAAAATCAACATTTAAACAGAGATATAAAGGAGATAAGATGCAGTGAGGGAAAAGGATAAAATCTGAATATTAGAATAAGTTATTTGGGGATTAGTTGAGAAAGTGCAAAAACCATTAAGTGGCAGGGTGCCAGGGTGAAGGATGAAGAGCAAGGAGTCTCTGTGATGGAGTGGGGAGAATGAATGAAAAGCATTGGAAGATGAGACTAGAGAATGTAAGGCAAATCCTATAGGATTTTTTTTTCAAGATTCTGCTAAGATGCTTTTATTCTGAGTGAATTAATAATATGTTAAACAGTTCTAAGCAGCAAAATAACTCACACTTTTTCATAATATTCTGACCTTCTCTGTTGAGAATAGACTGTAAGGAAGAGGGAGAGAGTGACACCAGAGGCAATAATCAGTCTTAGAGAATTAGTATGTGTATCAGAAAGACACCAAAGAGGATTGGGAGGAACTTGCCACACTGTAGAAGGCACCACTGGCACACTCATTGAGAAACTCCTTAGCAAATGCAAGAAGGGGCCCAGAAGACTCACCAGTATATTTATTTCTTTACTTACAAATAAGATAGGCATCAAGTTTTATTTTCCATTTATTATTTTTAGATTGATTACAAATATTAATATTTTACTATTGGATAAAAAAAATGAAGCTTTGTTCTTTCCATATTTTTTCTGTATGGCAATATAAGTTGTGCTAATAAACATGGATGCTGCTGAAAGACAGTCCTTGGCATTTACTGCACTGAGTCAGTATTGATCATTGGTTCAACCTCTCTATATCCTTTTTTGTTAAATAGGAAATTATCTTAGTTTATGGGAGGTTGTGATGATTTGATGAGATAATATTTGGAAAATAGCAGGTATGTATTAACTACTCAATAAATACAAACTAGCACTGTTATTTAAAATATTCAATTATGTAGAAATTATGGAATTATTTCAAGTAATCTTGATGAGAGTTGATGGAGTATGGACCAAGTATTAGCAATGGAAGAGAAAGTGGTAAAAATTTTGTATGTTTTGTGATATATATATATATATATATATATATATATATATATATATGGATCATATGTATGAATTCTTTGATTTTACTTTTGTTATTTATATTTGTTATTTTTATACCATATTTTTTCTTTATATTTGGTTACTATCGTTTTCTTTTTTTGTGGATTTTCTCTGTTGGTATTTGAATGATTTGTATGCAGTAATGAAACAGCATACATTAATTCTTTAATTTAGAGAATTGCTAATAATTATAACTTTCTAAATCTACTCCTCCCTCCGTGTTGTCTTGGTACATTCTGTGAACCAGGTCAATATGCTTTTTAAAAACTGTTTATAAGTCTGATAGTTTTTCTTTTCTTTCATAAAGGATTCTTGCCTTCTGTTTTATAACCTTATATTTCATGATTCACTAATACTTTGTTTTTTTTTTCCCAGTGTGTCATCAGCTTTATAGATCACACTTTATCTAGCTTTTGAGTTAGTATTTTGATTTAAGTCTCTGTTGCTTGAGGTTTTAAATTTTTTCTAAAGCCTATTACATAGATATTAATCGATCCTTGAATATATATGATTCTAGTACCTTTACAAGTGAACGTCTATTTGAGTAAGTATAGTATTCTTGAGTAAAACTACTTTACTTTTCTTATTTTTTCTTCTCTTTTTTTGCATTTCATTCAGTCTCTAGTACATACAATTGGGTATTTCTTTTCATACCATTTTTCCCTTGAGTATCTCAATTGCTAAATAATAAATTATATTCTTTGTAGCTATCACCTGTGTTATGTGAGAAAACAGATGGAGATATTTACTTTGAATTATAAACTGATTTATCTAAACAGTTTAAAATATACATGTGACTATAGTTTAAATGTGTCCCCTCCAAAATTCAAGCGTTGCCAGTGTGATAGTATTAAGAGGTGGGACATTTAAGAACTGATTATGCCATGAGGGTTTCTTGTTAATGAGACCAAAAGCTATATAAAAGATGCTGCATGCAGAGTTTGGCTAGCTTGCTCTTCAGCTCTTTTGTCTGTGGGGCCAGAGTGTTCTGCTCTTTCAAAGGATGCAACCTCACTAGACAACTGAAACTTGTGGGGGTTTTAATCTTGGACTTCTCAGCCTTCAGAACTGTGAGAAATAAACATCTGTTCTTTATAAATTACCCAGTCTCAGATATTTTGTTATAGCAGCACAAAATGGACTAAGATACATGTAATCTCAAAGGAGAAATAAAGAAGAAAATATTTGAGCAGATTCTGTGGGGTCATATGTGTGTATATTTGAATCACTGGGAGAGCAAAGAAGTTTAATTAAGCCAAAGTTACTTCCAATTGCAGAGGAAAGTACACCAAATATTAGAAGGGCCACAAATTCCTACATATCCACCACGCAACATTTTACCAAAATAGGATGATAAGTTCATAGGATAGGCTGTTCCATGAAATACCTGTCAGGTTGCGTTTGTGAAAGCTGAAGTTTTTTAATGAATTTATTTGCATTTCTGAGTTTATTTTTCCTATATACATCTTGGTATGTAGTTTCTAGTAGAAGTGTGATGTCCTTTTGTGAGATTATCATAATAATATCTGACTTCTCTTGAGTGAAGGCCTCAAAGTACATAATACAAATAAAAAAGGAAAGATATAAAGAAAACTTATGTAAATCTTTACAAACTTTGTCTAAATCTTTACAAACTTCCCCAGCAGAAGGCAGGATGCTACTAAGAGTGCCATGTGCAGAATGTTCGTGTGCAGCACACGCATACACACACAATCAGTGGTCTCAGCAGAGCGAAGTCATTCGCATTGGCCCTAGATAAAAGCATCCCTCACAGATGGGGATGATAACTTTGATGAAGCACCTTCACTGTTGGAAACTCTGACCTTCTAGTCACCAGCCAGATTGTTTACAAACAGATAATTTAAAAATAGCCTCATAAACCAACCAAATCATTAGTGCTATAATGCCTTTTAAGTTATAGATACTTTTAGGATCTATCTAGAGAAAAATAGATGAAATGAAGCTATAATATTAATCAGCTATGAACAGTATATTTTCAGCATTCTCATCATTCTTTTCTTTATAGTTTTAAATGCACTGTTATCTATTTCCTGTTCTTCAGTAGGTAAAATTATCCAACATTCTTCGTACTGTGACAGTATTTCACTCAATTTGCCATTTAACCTTAAATTTTGTCATAGGGTTTTTCACTCTCTACAGATAGACTTTTCCTTTTTACTGAGCTTATGAGTCTTTTAGAAATATAAAGATATACGATAGCTTATATTTTCAAAAATGTACCTGCTTTGTGATATATGCAAATATTTATTTTCTCATGCTGAATAAGATAAAAGTTTAAAATACTGTGAGTTAAAAAAACAGGTCAATCTTAGCTAATATTCCAGGCGGAAAATATAATAACCTTGACATTTTAATTGAGTTCTTGGAAAAATAATAGAATTGGAAAGTGGAAGATACAGTTAGGGTATTTAAAGAGCAAGTGGATGCAAAAGCAAGGTGAAAAGTGCTGCATGTCACACATTTGACTAGGTTTTACAAAGTGGTTAGGAAAATTGTGACACCTGTTCATGAAAGGAAAATACATGGAGTCCATGAAATCTAGAAGAATGATAACAAGAGATAGTTCTCTTAAGGGGGTGGCAGTGAGAATGAAAAGAGAAATTGGATGTTGCAAACATGAGAGTGAGATGATGAAGAGAGTGTGTGTATATACTGGGGAGTCAGAGGACATAGTTATAGACTCACAGTCATTGTAAAAAACAATGAGGCAGCCAGAAAAAGAGAAGTGTTGGAAAAAAAATAAGAAATTAAACATTTTTAACCATTAAATATATTTATTTTGAAAAATCTGATATTTTGCATATCTTTTAACAAAAACAAAGTCTCATAAATGTGGTTGAGAGAAAGGTTTGCTTGGGGAAACAAGACATCTATTGATCAATCAATTGATCAGTCTATTTATTTTACTATCTTGTGTTGTGTATGGGTATATGTGAAATGGGGATAATGCAGGGTAGAGAGAATAATGAGGTCTGTAAGGGGTAAGGTTTTATGTAATTCACAAGGGAGATCCACATTGATAAAGTTAAATTTGAGTAGAGATCTAAAGGGAGTGAGGTAGCAATACATGACTATCGGGAGGAAAAATACACTCAATGGAATGAGCAAACATCAAGGGCCTGGTGTGGGAATAAACATACTTGATGAATTCCATTAGCCACAATGAAGCCATGGTAGCTGGGCCAAAATGAGTGAAACCAAGAGTGCTTTAAAAAAATGAGGTTAGAAGCTGGGCGCAGTGGCTCATGCCTCTAATCCTACCACTCAGGGAGGCCAAGGCGGGCGATTGCCTGAGCTCAGGAGTTCGAGCAGAGCCTGGGCAACACAGGAAACCCATCTCTACTAAAATACAGAAGAAATTAGCCGGGCGTGGCGGTGTGCGCCTGTAATCCCAGCTACTCGGGAAGCCGAGGCAGGAGAATTGCTTAAACCCGGGAAGCGGAGGTTACTAAGACCGCACCACTGCACTCCAGCCTGGGCGACAGAGCAAGACTCCGTCTCCACAGGAAAAAAAAAAAAAAAAGAGGTTAGAGAGGAAATCTGTAAGCTGGCCTTCCAAGGCTTTGACAAATCTATGGGCATTACTCTACATAAGATCAAAAGCCACGGCAAGGACTTAGAATAGTAATATATTACTTAATTTTTAGCAGGATTACTCTGCCTTGGTTTAGAGAATTGACTCCAAAGAAGTGAAGACTGGCAGCCAGGGGAAAGGCCAGGAGATATTGCAATTGCTTAGGTGAAATATCACCGGCGTCTTGGACCTGCATCATTGCCTGTACAAGATAGTGAAAGAAACCAGAATCAGTATATAAATTCAGGATGAAGGAGGGAAGACTTTCTGAGAGGAGCTATACAATTTGGAAGAATGATGTTGCAATTTCCTGATGTGAAAAACATGGAAAGAAATAAGGTTGTACTGGAAAATCAACAGTTTTGTTTAAAACATATCAAATGTGAAATGACTATTAAACATACAAATGAAAGTCAAAAGCACACTTGTATATGAGTCTGAAATTCAGGAGAAATTTTAGGGATAACACAAATTACTGACTGTGCCTATGTCTTTTAATCTACTTCTGTGTTTCTCAGTGTATTTTTCTCAGGCTCTGCCTTGCTAAAATGTTCACTTCCTCAGTGGTGGTCCTTTATTAGTTGCAACCTATGAATGTTCAAAGTTCAAAGTTTATTCCAGGTATATCCTTTTTCAAATGAGTAATGTTAACTTTGCATTTGTTTTGCTTGTTTTGTGAACCCCATGAGTTGCTTGGACTTATCGTTGGAGTTACCATTCTACCCTGAGCATTGTCCTATAACATAAAAGCTATTTTTGTGTGTGTGGGTGAAGATGGCAGGGGAGAGTGAGGAGGGAGCTATAAGAGTAGTACTTTTCTCATCTTTAAAGATATTATATATTACTTCCTACGTAATATTTTCCTGGACACATTAGGTAAATTGCTCTTTGAACACATACATACTTTAAGCAGAAGTAACACAGATTAATGGTTATACAATTAAAGTCTGCATCAGAAAAACACATAGTTTGGTTCTAGGCTGTGTACATTCTGAAGAAACACATAGTGAGTTTTCTAGCATATGATAAGAGCCCATTCCATAACAACAGTAGTAGTAATAACAATGACATCAACTGTAATAACTACAAATTAACTATAGCCAAGAAGATGATAAAGCAAAGTGATAACAGCTGATCAAAAAAGATAATCATAAGAACATTGACAGAAAGAAAGGGTAGGATCATACATCCGTTTGTTATATGACATTAAATAAAAATATTATGGCCAAATTGAAGATTTTCTGGACAAAGAAAGAAACTTATATGTATATTTTAAAATTTCTTTATGAATGATGATGCTTCTGGTTGGTTTTATATATTTCCTATGTAGGCAATTAAAATGTGATTTAGCCAAAATTTGCAATCATTTTAGTCATTTAAATTATTAGTGTTCCAGCTATAACATTCACTAAACTTGGTTAGTAGTTGCAATAGTTACTTGTTTTTTTAAAGATGAGAAAATGACCCAATGATTTCCTGTCTCATATAGTCAAAAATCTGTCAAGAATTCAAAGCCTAACTCATAAATACAATGTTTCACAATGCTTGGAAAATATTTGTTTTTTATTGGTGACATATAAAATCTCATTGATAGTGTTAGAGACTTTTATATTCCTGTAAAGCCTTAGGAAAAAAACACTTTATTTTGCCAGATTACACTGTTAGTACTTTGCCTTTAATGCCAATTATATAACATATGACTTGATGTCCCTATAACTAATACTTCCAGAGTTTATGTTTAACTTTATGTTATATCAAATAATTCCATAATTTTGAACATTTTTATTAGATACAGTTTCTCTTTTTATGCCAAAATATTTCTTCAAGCATTTACACATTTTATAATGTATTGACCCTTCTGTTTACCTCAAACACATATAAATGGTAAAATAATCACTTTCTGCTTTAGAGATTGTCACTGGCATATTGTAGAACTCTAAAGTGCAAAGTAATCATCAGGATACTGATGTTTGCACTATTTCTATTAGTAATTAATGACTTAAATGAACAGTAAATGTACACTTATTATAGGTGCAGGTATGGATTGAATGTACACCTATTATAGTGCAGATATAGACTGAAACACACTGACATAATTTACTAGAGACTCTTCTCACTGGAGGATGGCAGAACAGGACTCTCCAGTGATTGTGCCCCTGTAGAAACATCAATTTGAACAACTATTCACATGAGAAAATACCTTCATGTGACATAAGAAAACCAGTTGAGAGATCACAATACCTGATTTTAGCAAAATAATAAGAAAAGATGCATTGGAGAGGGTAGGAAGAGCAGTATCTCATTGCCTTTACCATCTCTCCCCCATCCCCAAGCTGTGAAGCGTGGAGAGAGATGCCATCTGCTTAAGGGAAGGAGAAGAAAGTGTGCATCGACTTTGCTTTGAAACCCAGCAGCAGTCCCACCACAGAAAAACACAACACCAGACAAATCCCCGTGGCCCCTGATTCCATGTTTGTGCCTGTGGATGAAAGTTCTAGACCTTCCCTGACACTAGCAGGGAATCCACCATCCCAGCAATTTGAACCTGTGTCCCAGCCTGCTTCACCACCATGTGACTAAAGTAGTCTCAGACCCCCAAAACATTCTAGCAGCTAGGAAGGTCATGGTGGCCATAGGCTTTGGGTAAGCTCTTGCACTGTGGTGATCTGGGAGGCTATGAGCTTTAGATATAACTCAGCACAGCATCAACTGTGGCAGCCACAAGTATGCCTGCATCACAGCTTTAACCCCAGGCAGCACAGAGATGAGAAAGTTTTCCTGCCTAGGAGAATAAGAGAAAATTGAGTAAGGGACTCTGCCTTGGAACACAGGGAACACCCCTGGGTATGATCTTTTACAGGTACATCTGAGTCAGGACCACAGAGTCTGTGAGACAGTTTTAGCAAACTTGGCCTTAGGGTGCCCTCTGTTGCTATTAGGGCTGTAGTAATCACAGGATTAGAAACTCTAACAGTCAGAATCCATTGATTCTTGGAAAGCCCTCTGAAGAAGGATGGGTACAAGCAGGCCGGACAGTGAAGACTGGAATAAATACCCAATTCCTTAATGTCCAGACATCAACAGGCATCCACAACCATCAAAAATAATCAAGAAAATACGACCTCACCAAATGCGCTAAATAAGGTACCGGTGACTGACCCTGGAGGGATATAGATGTGTAGTCTCTCAGACAGAGTAATCAAAATAGCTGTTTAAGGAAGATCAACAAAGCTTAAAAAATAAAAATAAAAACCACAGAGAACAATTCAGAAATTTATCATAGCAATTTAACAAATAGATTAAAATATTTTTAAATTAAAACAAAAATTCTGGAGCTAAAAATAAAGTTAAAAGACTGAAGAATGCATTAGAGGGTCACAACAGCAGATTGATCAAATGGAAGAAAGCATCAGTGAGCTCAAAGACAGGCTATTTGAAAATACACAATCAGAATAGAAAAAAAGAAAAAACAACTGACAGGATCTATGAAATTTATCAAAGAACAGGTGTGTTATTAGCATTCAAGAAGGAGTAGAGAACTAGAAAGAGGGAGAAAGTTTACATGAAGGAATAATAATAGAAAACTTTCCAACCATAAAGAAAAGTATATTAGTCTGTTCTCATGCTGCTAATAAAAACATAACTGACAATGAGTAGTTTATAAAGAAAAAGAGGTTTAATGTACTCACAGTTCCACATGGCTGGGGAGACCTCACAATCATGACAGAAAGCAAAGGAGGAGCAAAGGCATGTCTTAACATGGCAGCAGGCAAGAGAGAGTGTGCAGAGGAAATGCCCTTTATAAAACCATCAGATCTTGTTAGACTTATTCACTACCACAAGAACAGCATGGGAAAAAACCACCCCCATGATTCAATTACCTCCCACCAGTTTCCTTCAACAACACGTGGGGATTATGGAAGCCACAATTCAAGACGACATTTAGGTGGGGATACATCCAACAATATCAAAAGTTACAAATAAATATACAAGTACAGAAAAGTCAAAGGTCACTAAGCAGATTCAACTCAAATGAAACTACCCTCAGGCATATAATGATGGAATTCAAATGTCAAGAACAAAGAAGGGATCCTAAAAGCAGCAATGGAAAAAAAAAACAAAAACAAAGAAGAAGCAAATACCTTATAAAGGAGCTACAATACACCTGGCAGTAGATTTCTTCACGGAAACTATAAAGGCCAGGAGGGAGTGACATGACATTTTTAACATGCTGAAAGAAAAAAACACACACACACACACACAAAACTGCCAATCAAGAATATTATACGCATCAAAGCTGTTCTTCAGGCATAAATTGGAGACAAGATTTTCTCAAACAGTTGAGAAAATTAATCACCACTATACCTGTACTAAAGATACGCTAGGGAGATTTATTCAGTCTGAAAGAAAAGAGTGCAAAATCTAACCAGAAAATATCTGAAGGGATAAAACTCACTGGTAAAAGTAATTACATAGATGTTTAGAACACTCAAATACTGTAATTGTGGTGTGTGGATGACTCAAATTAGTACGAAGACTGAAAGACAAAACTATTAAAAGTAATAGTAACTACAACAATTTGTCAAGGGATTGGCAATATAAAAAGATGTAAAGTGAGACATCAAAAAGTCAAAATATGGGGAAAATATAAAAGTATAGAGTTTCTTAGACTTTATTTTATTTGTGATTAAAGTTAAGTTGTCATCAGTTTAAAATAACTTGTTACAGCTGTAAGATGATTGTGTAAACCATATGGTAACCACAAAACACATAATAGATACGCTAAAAATAAAAAACAAGAAATCAAAATATTCTACTAGAGAAAATCACTTAACCACAAAGGAAGAAAGGAACAAAGCATTTACAAAATAACCAGAAAACAAATTAAAAGTGATAGTCATAAGTTCTTACCAATCAATAATACCTTATTAAAATACATGAAGTTGCTCCATACATTTTTTAAAGCACCCAACTACGTGCTGCCTGCAAGAAACTTACTTCACCTATAAAGACTAAATTTCTAATTAAAATACATCAAGTTGTTCCATATATTTTTTAAAATTCCCAACTACATGCTGCCTGCAAGAAACTTACTTCACCTATAAAGACACACATACTGAAATTGAAGACATGAAAAAGATATTTTCTACAAATGAAAACCAAAAAAGACCAGGAATAGCTATACTTATGTAAAAATATACTTTAAGCAAAAAATGACAATAAAAGACAAAGAAAGCTATTAGACAGTGATACAGAATTAAATATATTGGGTAAATATAATAATTGTAAATATATATGCACCTAACACTGGAGCACCTAAATGTGTAAAACAAATCTTAATAGATATAAATAAAGTTGACTTCAATACAATAATAGTAGGAGACTTTAAAACCCTACTTTCAGCAATGGACAAGTCAGCCAGCCTGAAAATTAACAACAATAAAAAATGAAACTTGAGCTGCACTCTAGGCCAAATAGACCTAACAGACATTTATACAACATTCTATCCAACAGCTGCAGATTACACATTCTTCTCAACAGCAAATGGAAAATTCTTCAGCATAGATGATACGTTAGTCCACAAAACAAGTCATAACATATTTTTTAAAAGTAAAACCATATAAAGTATTTTTTTTCTGACTACTCTGGAATACAACTAGAAATCCATAGCAGGATGACCTTTGGAAACTATACAAATACATGAAAATCAAATAACATTCTTAGGAGAAACCAATGGGTCAATGAAGGAATTCAAAAGAAAATATAAAAATTCTTTGATACAAATGACAATTTAAACACAACATAGCAAAACTTAAAGAATGCAACAAATGCAGTTCTAAGAGAAGGTTATAGTAATAAATGCCTATGTCAGGAAAAGAGCAGAGAAATCTGAAATAAACAACATGTTATCAAGGAATCAGAAAAACAAGAACAATCTAACCCCAAAACTAGCAGAAGGAAAGAAATAATAAATATCCAAGTAGAAATATATGGAGCCTATAGGAAATAATTAGAAAGATCAACAAAACAAAGTTTGTTTTTCTAAAAGATAAAAAAAATCATCAAACTTAGCTAGATTAACTCAACAAGAGTGAAGACTCTCAAATAAAATAAGAAAAAGGAGACATTACAACTAATACCACAAAAATACAAGAATTATAGGAGAATATTACAAACAAGTATATGCCAACAAATTGTAAAACCTAGAAGAAATGAATAAATTCCTGGACACATAAAATTTACCAAGATTGAATCTTCAGTAAATAGAAAACCTAATCAGACCCATAAGAAGTCAATAAAATATCTCCTGTAAAAGAAAAGCCCAGGATCTGAGCGCTTCACTTCTAAATTATACCAAACAGTTAGAGAACTAATACCAATTCTGTTTACTTAAACTATTCCAACAAATTGAAGAGGACAGAAAATGTCCAAATTTAATCTAGGAGGCCAGTATTACTCTGATATCAAAACCAGACAAAATCACATACTCACAAAATAATAAGCCAATATCCCTGATAAATACAGATGCAAAAATTCTCAACAAAATACTAGCAAACCAAATTCAATTAAAAAGATCATTCATCATGATAAAGTCGGATTTTTTTCCTAGAGAGGGAAGAATGGTTCAATTTACCAAAGTCAATAAACATGATACATGACATTAACAGAATCAAAGAAAAAATTCATATGATTACCTCAATAGAGGCTGAAAAAATATCTGATAAAATCTAACGTCCCTTTGTGGTATAAACTCTTGACAAATTGAGTAGAGAAGGAACATACCTCAATATAATATAGGCGATATACAACACACAGTTAACATCCTTTTTTATTTTGTCATGTTGAAAGCACATATCATAAGTTTCTCATTGTGTCTATTCTTCTTTATGGCTTGCTCATCTCTAATTAAAAAATATAGGATTCTTATGGACAAATCTTTGCTCACGATTTTTGTTCCTAATGCAACACTTCTGTATTCTCAAGTTCATTTATTGAATAAATGAGGTAGTTAATTAATGCAAAAACTATCACTAAGTCAGTAGGTCCTTCTAATCTCTTTAAGAAAGTTAAATAATAGTAATGTTAAACAGTATTTATCCTTGAAAAACTTGACACATTTCATCAGTGCACAAATACTGTCTATCAATTGTAAGAAACTTTGCTTAGGATAAATGTGAGGTATTTCTTATTTAATGTAATTATAAGATAATTTCAGATTCATTGCAAAAAATCAGGATTACCTTAATTTTAAGTAATTAGTGAATTTAACTGATAATGCGAAAATATAAAACTTTTAAACAAAAGTAATTTATAATTTAATAGTACTTTATAAATTGTTTTTGATACTTGTTACTGTAATTTTCTGAGGTACCTATAGCAAACATTGTTATTGCAATAATCAACTACATTACACTATTAACTATTTAAGGATGGCGAATAAATCTGGATTTGCTATGCTGGTTAGCATAGCAAATGCTATCGATAATCTTATGTTGAGTACAAAATTGTGGAAAATAATTTCAGCAGCACAAAAGCGTATCTTAGTGAACAATAATATCTATTTCATTCAGGCAAATTATCCAATATCTGTGGTTTAAAGTTTCATGGTCTCAGTGAAAATCTCACACTTCAGTACCTTTGTGTCTATAGCTTTAAATTAATATTTATTGCCCTTCTAGAAAAATGAGTAATCCAGTAGAGATAGACAATTTTGGTATGAGGCAAAATATAGTCTTAACCTAGAATTGGTTTTAATCTAATTATTTTAGGAATATTACTTTTCTCATCTCTAAATGTGTTTGCTGACTGTCTTTGTTTCTCCCTTAAATAATTAAGGCTTTCATGAAAGCTAACTAGAGACTTTATAATGTAGACAAATGTTATAATTTAATTTTATGTTTAGAAACAAAACTTCCCCAGGTCCCAAATTTCCAATACAAGTTTTAAAAGAAACCACATTTTTCTTTTTTCAGGAACTAGACAAAATAATTCCTAAAAGTTTTCTCTTTAAAGCTAGTTTTCCTGGAGCCCTTTATATCTGATTAAATATTGAAGCCAATAAAACATGTTGGGAGGTAAAAAAGTACACACAGTTTAGGAGTTGGATGCTGCTGATCTTTGTTGTCTTATCTCTAATGCGAGCTGTGTTTAAGAACAGTGACCGATGTTTCTGTCCACTAATACCCACTGTCTATTAGCAGGCATCCTAACCCTCTCTTCTCAAATATGTCCTCTTGATTTATCAAATATGCTATGCTGAACTTTACTCTGCCTCTTTTCTATGTCCTCTTGTTCTATTTTCTCTCAAATCAACTTTTTGTTCTCTGTCTCCTATAAATTTACTTTTGGTTGCTTTTCATCGACACTGCCATTCTTCAGGGAAATTATCTATTCTTGTGGCTTACACATTAACTTTTGCTAATGCTTCACATACTTATCAGTTCTGCTGTTTTGCCAGAGGATAAACCCCATATACATACAATATACTAACTCGGTCCATGATTTTAATAGTTTATTCGCAGATGACAGATTCACGCAAAAGAGCTGTCCAAAGGCATTGTGCAGAAAATGAGAAGCCCTACCACGTAGAAAACGGTGGTATCCCATCAATGATTACCGGCCACTCCTCAACAGAACTTCACAGCTTTCAATCACCTATGCATAATACTGACAGCACAGATTGTATGGCATAATATCGAGAGTGCAGATTTTATGAAATTGCATGATTTTGTCAGCATGCACTTATGTGATATAATTTTGTTTCTGTAATGATTTGAAAATTTTCCAAATCACGATAAACAGCATTTTAGAATAACTCTTGGAATGGCATCCCTTGTTGATACAGTCTACATCTTGATATAAAACATAACTTTATATCTCAGATGTTATTTATTTTAGGAGGTATTGGTCATTTTTTTTTTTGCAGCATTGCTTTTCTTATAGAACTCTGAAACAAAAGTGCTTCCAAATTAGGGTGAGCAGTGCATACTTTGTTCACTAAAAGAATCTGCATAATGGCATGCAACCTGTATGTTGTTTTTGGACTAGAATATTTATTTGATTTAAGTCTGTGAAAGCAAAAGAATTTTAAAAATGATTACTTGTGGTATTTCCATTATGTAAAACAGCACTAGTCACAAATAAGTAATTCAAGATATATTTTAAATAAATGAATGAATGGTTAATTAATTAAGGAATCAGGGAATTCATTTTCCGATATTTGTCATCTTTCACCACACTGATTATTCAGTCCTTCTTTATCTCTTTGCAGCTCCTAAGTCATCTCTTTCAAGAAGTAAAATGGGATTACCTGGTCCTCAAATACTGATAACTCTTCTATCTGTGGAAGACTATATTCCCATAAATTTCAGGTCCTCAAATACTGATAACTCTTCTATCTGTGAAGGACTGTATTTACATAAATCACTCCCAATTAACCCCAAATCAGTCCTATATATTATAATAGGTTTGTGTAGAACACACTCCACTTTCAGGAACCTTTTACCTCTGCACCTATTTCTCATAGAAACTTTCCTCCAAGATTACCTAATTTCACTAGCAAATGAAAATTACTAGTTATGAGGACAATTTCAAATCTTCAACTTAACTAGAATACCATCTCAATGGTATTGGTTGGAATAATTTTAACATAACATGAAATTCCCTTCAAATGGGTAGGCATTTTAAATGAAAATGAAGCATTTTTTTAAATGCTTCATATGGCCCATAAGGTTAAAATTTGTATTAATACACTTTGTACCTGGACAAGATCTGGGGGTACAGGGAACTGTTGAACTTCACTTTGCAGTTCCAACAACTTTGAATATTTTTCCTAACCTACAAGATTTAGCATGGATACAGAACTACAATTATAGTGTTCAATATTCTAACTAAAATGGTATTTTTTCCTCATGAGAAAAACCCTGTATATCATATATAACATTACCAATGAGATCTTTAAATCCCCTTGAGTACTCAGAAAACTAAATATTACTTGGAACTGAAGATTGCCATTAATACAGCAATCCTTAAAAAATTTAAAAATCCATATTCACTCATTTACCAAAAAACGTTTATATATTGAAATCCAAACTGTGTAACTGATTTTGCATCCAAATAGTACTTTAGTTTTTCCCTAAATCAATCATATTTTCTTAATTTTTACCTCAATCCACAGGGGAGAAAGACTTCCATCAACTGTCATGTTTCTCCAGTTTCTAACCAATTCCATTAGAAAAGTCAACTATTAGTAGGCATAAATAGTGTCAACTTAATTTGTATTTTCTTAGAAACTAAAGTTGTTAATCTTCATTTTACTTGGGTAACTACAATGTACTGGAACACTAAATCAAATGATAGGTATATGTTCACATTGCATGGAAAGCTGTTATATTTTATGCAAATGATTTACATCCCATTAGCAGTGTATGAGAATTGCAGTTGCTCTACATCCTGTACAACACTTGGCTATGATCAGCCTATTTAATTTTAGCCATTCTAATAGATGTGAACATTTGTATCTCACTGTTGACTTAATTTGAATGCTTTTTACTACTAATATTGCTAATAGCATTTTATGTGTGTATTCGACATTCACATACCTTCATTAGTAACTCTTTGAATTATCTGTCCTGTGTTTAAATTAATGGTTTTCTTATTATTGAATTTCATGAGTTATTTATATATTCATGATACAAACCTTAATCAGACATGAACTTTGCTAATTTTTTTAAATTGATGATTGAATTCTTTATTCTTTTAGTAGTATATTTCAAAGGGTAATTTTCATTTTGACGAAATCCATTTTTCAACTTTTTAATCAGGATATTTTTAGGGTTTTTTTATTTTTCTTTTTTTCTTTTTTTTTGTATTATATCTAAGAAATGTTTGCCTAATACAAGGTCACAATTATTTTCTCTTATATTTTTCTCTAGAAGTTAAACACCTCCAAATGTTTTCACTTAAGTCTATGAAAAATGAGTTAATTATATGAGGTATGTTACGAATTAAAGTTTAATTTTGATCAAATAAATATCCAGTTGTGCTAGAACCATGTGTTGAAATGATTGTCCTTTAAGTAGACTGAACTTGCAATTCGGTGAGAATCAGTTGATCTTATATCTGTTAGTCTATTTGTCCGCATTTTATTTTTTCCATGCATATATTTGTCTACCTTGATGCTAATAACATACTGTCTCGAGGCATATAACTTAATAATTAACATGAAGTCAAACAATATACATGCTCCAACTTTGTTATTCTTTGAGCTGTTTCATTTATTATATGTTCTTAGCACTTCCATATGATTTCAGAAATAACTTCTCAATTTATAATAAATAAAAAATAGCCTGCTTGCAGCCAGGCGCAGTGGCTCAGCCTGTAATCCCAGCACTTTGGGAGGCCGAGGCGGGCGGATCACGAGGTCAAGAGATCGAGACCATCCTGGCTAACACTGTGAAACCCCGTCTCTACTAAAAATACAAAATTTAGCCGGCGCCTATAGTCCCAGCTACTCAGGAGGCTGAGGCAGGAGAATGGCGTAAACCCGGGAGGCGGAGCTTGCAGTGATCAGAGATTGCGTCTCTGCACTCCAGCCTGCGCGACAGAGCGAGAGACTCCTTCCCCCCACCAAAAAAAAAAAAAAAAAAAAAAAAAAATAGCCTGCTTGCTAGGATCATGATGAGGACAGCATTGAATTGACAGATTGCTTTGGAGAGAATTGACATTTCAACTATGATGGGTCTTTTGATGTACGAACACAATACAGCAATCTTCTATTTTAGATCTGCCTTAATTTTACTCAGCAACATTTCCTCTTTTTTTGTTTGCCTTTTGAGTATACACTAATTATGCTTATTTTTAGACAGACTTATCCTTAAGTATATACATATTATATATAAAGTATATATATATAAAGTACATATATATATATATATATAGAGAGAGAGAGAGAGAGAGAGAGAGAGAGAGAGAGAGAGTCTTGTTCTATTGTCTAGGCTGACCTCAAATTCCTGGGCTCAAGCAATCCTCCCACGTCAACCTCCAAAGTAGCTGAGACTACAAACGTGCAGAGCACCATCCAAGCTAAATAGAACATAATTTTACTAGTATTTCTAATTATGTATTTTATTTCCATTTTTGAATGTTCTTTGCAATAAATTTTAGTTTTATCTTGATCTTGTGCCCTATAAACATGATAAACAACATTATATTTATTGGCATTTTTGTATATTTGACCAAAGTTTCTATTTAGTTTATATAAATACTCTGAATTAAGTTGGTATTACTTCTTCATTTCCAATCTGTATGCATTTTTTTCCTTTTTTCTTGCTTTACCTTGAGAAAGGGTATAAATGGGGAAAAGGCAAGTTGCTTCAATACCCAACTTTCTCTTTCTACTTAATTTCTCATGTGGTTACTAGCCTGATATTCTTTCCAGCGGTAGGAGCCAATCTATTTCATTTTTATTTAATGTTTAAATTTGGTCTCCTAAAATTTTTAATAAATACACCAATGTAGAAAAAGATAATACTTTTTTTTTCTTGCCGCAGAGATTCAATATCCACATTATATGCTGAAAAACTGACCTGGGAACCCTCAGGAAAATGTTACTTTTCAGCACTTTTGTGGGATTCGTTATCTCTTGTTACAGCATACAAAAGTTATGTTCCATCCTGGATCTTGGTGGTTTCTCCCATAATTTGAGAAAAATACTAGACTTTTGGCAAACTAAGGGAGAAGGAAAATGCAAATGCTTTGAACATAGGAATAATAAGGCAGCCAAAGGGTATGTGTCATAATACATCCTGGGATGAATCTGAGGTCACACAGGCTAAGCAGACGTAGAACATGTCAGGTTTAGCAATCATTATAAAGAGTTGAAGTTACATTTTTATCAGGGAGATGGCTTTGAGGATTTTAAATGAAGACAAATATAGGTTCTAATTTATGTTAAAATTTCAATTCTAAGATTTGATGAAGAATGGATATCAGGGCAGCAACAATGAGAGTGAGGAGATCAGAACTAAGCTATTGGAAGAGATGGTGAACTGTCTATTGCTATGGTAATAGAATTGAAAAGAAAAAGATTAAGAATTCTTTTAATGATAAAACAAAGGTATTTACTGATGAATTGGATTTAGAATGTAGGCAAAAGTGGGAAATCATGGGTAAATTTTGCATTTTGGATGATGCATTGAATGGCTGATGATACTACTTACTGATATGGAAGAGAACTATGCATGAGTTCGATCTAGAAGAAAGGACGAGATTACTGTTTTAATGTGCTAGGTTTCAAATACTAAATTAGAAATGCAAGTGGAGGGATTATGAATGAAACTGGTTAAAAAAATTAAAGTGCAGGATAGAGGATATAGTTATAAATCTGAGAATTGAAAAAAAATGGGATTTGATAATATTGAGAAAAAACTTAAATAGAGAATAGGGAGTTAGACCAGGCTTTCATCATCAATAACAGGCCTGTGTAACAAAATAAGAAGCAGGGGTCAGTATGTCAGAAAATCCAAGCAAAGAAAGTATCTTCTACATTAAATGTCACTGATAGATAATATACAATGAGGTCAAGGGAGTATTTATTTTTTGGCAACACTGAGCTAATGGACGACTTTTCTAAGAATGAGTTTAGTAGCATGATAGAGAAATAAGTCATTCTTGGGTAGGTGGAATACTGTCTGATGAAAAAATACTTTTTCACTGGTTTCTAAATGCATTTATTTACAGCTATTTATGTTAAATATTTCTTCATCAATTTCTCAATAATTTGAAAATTCCTTTATTTCTAAATATTGTTTGATCAATTCTTGGTATTTATTTTAGCAAACTATCAGAATCCGAAGAATTACAATTATTGGAGCCTGCAGAATCAAATTTGATATATCAAAATAAGAGCTAACAAACCCTTGGTATACGTCTTGTCAGGCTGGCTTCAAACTCCTGATCGCAGGTGATCCATCCACCTAGGCCTCCCAAAGTGCTAGGATTACAGGCGTGAGCCACTGTGCCTGGCCCACCAATGACTACTTTTGAAAAGGGATATAATGCCCATATTGACTTGGGTAGATCGGATTTTTTAAATTATTCGCTGCTGAGGTATAATTTAGAATATTAGGTGAACAAAAGTTGAATGACGATGTAACCAATTAATGGTTATGAGCAATTAACATTGTGTAAGTGAACAGCAACAACAACAAAACAAACTAATTTAACATTAGAAAAATTAGAATAGAATTATTAGGAAGAAAAACAACATTAATTACATTATATTTTGTTGTGTTCTTCAATCAATCATGAGAATGATGCTCTTAGCCAATGCACACTTAAAAATATTAAATATTTCAATTTTAATTATGAAAGAAATAAACTTTTGATATTATTATAAATATTTTTGACATGCTTTTTTGTATACTTAGGAGTTGCGTATACTATTCACAGTGGAGAGTATGCATTATCACAATGCTGTTTTTCATCCTATACTCAGATGCCTCCAACTTCCTCCCACAAAAATACTTTGCTTTGCTATTTACAGCAGTTAATAAGGCAGTCAATAAGATCAAGATTAATTCTGGGAATTAAAGTTTGGGAGTAATATAAGGGATTTTGCAGCTGCCACTGTGTACTCCTTTGTATAATTATAACTTTAATTTTGCTCTGCATTTCAGAACAAGGACTTCTTTTTTTTCTAAATTATAAGAACTAAAAACAGTCCAGTTTTGACAAGTCATGTTATTATATTCTTATAGACTCTTTCTGGAATCTATTCTTTAGTATCAGGGAGAATTGAGTGTACTGGTCCTTTGGGAGGGCTTTTTATGATTCTTTTGTGTCTAAAAGAAATTATGAATAGTGTTTTCCTCATTTCTTTCATTTTCAACTACATTTCATAAGGCTGGATAAGCATAATTTTTTTCCAGCTGTTTCTATGACTGCTTATTTTTTTAAGCACAGTGTTTGCAGCACTGATTTCTAATTCATAGAAAATTCAGTGTGCATTGTTCTTACTCAGTATGCATATAACTAAAAGAGACTAAATTGGTTTTAGAAAGTTTAGGTACTTAAAACTCTGATGATATATGTGAGCCTGTGTTAATCATTAAGATAAAGGAAAATGCATTTTTGCAAATGTTCTCTTTTTCTGCATTAGTCCTTCTTTAAAAAATTTTTATGGATAAGGATAGTTTGTTTTCTTAAAACGACAAAAATTAAGTAGTCCTCAGTTGTACAGAATAGATTTGCACTGTGGTCACAATAAGAACAAAGTTTAAAAAATACAATTTATTATGTAAAATTTTGGCTTTCTTGAAAAATTATTATTAAAATCACAGAAATAATAGTTAAGTATATTGATATCTGTGATGTTATTGGCACAAACTTCCAGTTCCATTAAGTCAGTTCAAAATCAATTTGTTTGCCTTAAAAAGTGAAAATCTTAGATTATTTCTTATTTTATTTTTCTTGAGAAAGTAGTATACACAATATACAAGTGGACTTTAATCAGTAATAATAATCACTAATAATTTAGTTGAAGTCTTATCAGTTTTTACCCAGTATACTACTCCTACCAACTCCACATTGGTTTGACTTCTCATTATTTTTGGATATTCTCCTGTCCTCATGTGTTCTCCATGTTTCCTCCTCCATTTTTTACTTAAAATAACTTGAATTTGAGAATGTGGTAAAAATCATTTCTCATTAAGATGAAATGAGATAATCCATTCAAAACAATTGATTTAATATTAGCATATCGTAGGCATTATATAAAATGTTGCTAATATTATGTTGAATTTTCCTTTTTGCCTTCTATTGGAATAATAGTTCTCTGTGCTGGACTTCAATCTATACTTTAATAACATTATAAGATTCTCTAGCTAACTTCAATCAGAAAATTTTGTGAAATGAATTAGGTTCAACAATGTATTTCTAGATTATCAAATACACGGAGACATAGACTAAAAAGAGCCCCATAATTATCCTTGTAAGGTCTATGTTGTTGAAATCTAATGTACACCTCAAAACCTCAGTTAGTTTCTTTGTGGTCCCTTGCTTTTAATTTTTAAAAATGTGAGAAAGATCCAGTAGAGTGGGAGAGTTTCAATATATTATATTTTAAGAGAAATTAAAAAATAGTTTTTAGTAATGAAATCTAAAACACTGGGGTAGGTATTTGAACAGAAATAGGGCTATCTTTTTTACTAAGTGAATTGGAAATAACTGTATAATTTGTAAAATGAGTAAATTTCAATCAGATCATTACTATTTTCTAGGTATGTAACAGTGAAAAAGGGAATTGGAAATATTCGTGGATATTCAGAGAAAATTAATAGATTATTTGGAGTTGCCATAATCTAGTTATAATAAATCTACTCATATGTCCACATTGGTAGTTGTTTGACTTTCTCTAGCAGTACCAGGTTACTCTGCTTTAAGAATGGACAAAACAGAAAGTTGAATTCATTCAGGAATTGGAATTTATTCAAGTTGTGAAACAAAATGAAAGAGTGGTTAGAGAGTTTGGATTAATGGAAAGATATTTCTGAAATGATAGACCAAGAAATCTGAGATTAATGATGAGAGACATGAGGAAAATGAATGGATGTAGTGAAAGTGGAGTAGTCTGAACAAGGTTGTAGAACAGTTGAAGTGGAAAAACTGAGTGGAAACAGATTGAAAGCTAAATGTTTATATGTAGAGTGGAATGTTTGCATGAGCAGTCTTGAAGATGGAAGCAAGACAACTGGTAAAATTCAAGTTATGATTTTGGTATGTTTTCTTATTTGAATCAAGGAGAAAAATCTTTATGCATGAAAAATTTGAATATCAAAAAGTCCTGAGTTTTACAGGTTATCCCATGTGTACTGAAATCACCAGGATAAAACATGCAAAAGAGAGCAATGCTTTAAATCAAGTGGCAAAGCTTTCTCTTGCTCTGTCCCTCTTTCTTTCTTTCTTTCATTTCTGTTCTTTACTTGTCTATTACTGTTATTTAATAAATAAGAAGAAGTTCCCCATATGTTGGTAGAGAATGATAACATGCTTGCCTTCATTGATAAACTGCAGAAATCTCAAAACATCTATTGTTAGGAAAAAATAGATGCCAAAAGTCTATTTGAATAAATGAGGATCACATAGTTTATCAAGCCTCCCTCCTGCACTGAGAGTCATAGGGATATAGGAAACAAACAGCCATCATATGAAAGCCCTCAATGAAAAGTGCCATCAGGTTTGCAGATTGGTTTATAGGTAAAAGAAGAGGAGCTACAGAGTGTGCTTAGATCAATTGAGATCATAAGGAAGATTGCTTACACGATGTTCACATAGTAAAGTCTGAGAGCTGAAGAGATATGATGAGATCAATAGTGGGACTATGCTGGCACATTAAGGTTTTGGCTGATGAAAGGAAGGTGATTATAAGAGAAACTCTTAGTCCTAAAGGTCACTTGGAGGAAAGATAGCTCTGACCCAGTGCAAAGTTCCATTGGCGAGAGTCATGGTAGATCTGTGTATAGGATATACAAGCAAAACAGAACAGAATCATGTGATCCGTAGCTATTTTTTCCCATACTCCAGAAGACAGCTTAAAGTAGTAGAAAGAATAAGGGATTTGACATACTACTCACCTTGATTACAATCTCAGTTCTTGCATATATTATGAGTATGGGATACAGGTTACTGTGAGGATTAGAAATACTGTATAAATAGTATTTGTTTCTTAGAGATATTCTTCTTCTCTTTTTCCTGGATTTTGAGGAAATCTGTGGGTTAGGGAAACCAGATAGCCTGATGCTATACCAGCTCTGCAAAGTGAACTCTCAGACATTGTTGAGCCAGTGGAAACAATAGCTTGTAACTTCTCTAATTTTCAAAACTCTGTACCTATCTCCTGCTAATCACAGGAAATCTATGTTTTTCTTAAATTATTTCTTGTGTTTGCCCTGAACACGTAGTACAAATTCTTTACATCTGCAGAATTGCAAAAGCTACTTTTGTAACTACTAAAATTATTGCATTACAATGATTTTTCTCTGACTGAATAAGCACATATGATAATTATTTCTGAATGAATCTTCTGAATCCAGAATCATTTGTTTATGCTTTCCATATGTATGTGGTCCCTAAACTTTAGTACTGACCAAACATCTGAGGTGCTTCCTTAAAATACAAATAGCTGGATCAAACTCCAGAGACTCAGATTCAGGAAATCTGGGTTTGGTGCCTGGAATTTGCAACTTTTACAACATCACAGATAATTCTAGTGTAATCTATCTATGGAATACATTTTGAGAAACTGAGTCCTCAACCTACTGTAATTCTAAAGTTAAATTGAAAAGGCCATGCTTCCTCTATTTTTGAGAAAAATAAATTTATTGATCCAACTAACTGTCCTAAACTTTAAGACTGTATTAATTCTTTCCATCTATGAGCATGAGATGGCTTTCTATTTGTTTTTGTCCTCTTCAGTTTCTTTTATCTGTGTTTTATAGTTTCCCTTTATAGAGATCTTTCACCTCCTTAGTTCAATTTATTCCTCAGTATTTTATTTACTTTTTGTGTGGCTATTTTCAATAAGATTGATTTCTTATTCAGCTTGATTTCTTATTCAGCTAGTTTGAAATTAGTGTATAGAAGTGCCACTGATTATTTTATTAATTAATTTTGTATCCTGCAACTTTACTGAATTTGTTTATCAGTTTTGAGAGATTCCTGGCACAGTCTAAGTTTTTCTATATATAAGAGCATGTCATCTGTAAAGAGGAAAGATTTGCCTACCTCTTTTCCAGTTTGGATGCCCTTTATTTCTTTCTCTTGCCTAATTTATCTGGCTACAATTTCTAGTATTATATTGAATAAGAGTGGTGAAAGACATGAATGCAAATCAGATCCAAATGAGATATCATCTTACTCTGTTTGGAATGGCTATTGTCAAAAAGACAAAAGCTAATGAATGCTGGCAAGGATGAAGAACAAAGGGAATTCCTATTCACTGCTGATAGAAATGTAAATTAGAATAACAATTACGGAAAACAATATGGAGATTTCTTTTAAAAAAATTAAAAATAGAACTATTATACAATCCAGCAATCCCACTGCTAGGTATTTATCCAAAGGAAGGGAAATCAGTGTATCAAAGGATATGTGCACCCCCATGTTTATCACAGCACTATTAACAATAGCTAAGATATGGATTTAACCTAAATGTCTATCAATGAATAAATGAAGTAAGAAAATGTGGTGTCTGGTTTTCGGTCCTTGTGATAGTTTGCTCAGAATGATGGTTTCCAGCTTCATAGGTGGGAACTGAACAATGAGAACACTTGGACACAGGGTGGGGAACATCACACACCAGGGCCTGTCGTGGGATGGGGAGAGGGGGCAGGGATAGTATTAGGAGATATACCTAATGTAAATGATGAGTTAAAGGGTGCAGCACACCAACATGGCACATGTATACATATGTAACAAACCTGCACGTTGTGCACATGTACCCTAGAACTTAAAGTATAATAATAAAAAAAGAAAATGTGGTATATGTGGTCAAGGGAATATTATTCAGCCATAAAAAATAATGAAATACCATTATTCATGACAACATAGATAAACCTGGAGGGTATTTTTATTTACAATAGGTTAGGCACAGAAAAATAAAAGCTACATGTTCTCACTCATATGTATGAGCTAAAAAAGCCTGAGGAAAGTTATGGAAGGGGGATAATCAGGAGAAGGGAGGATATGGAGAAGTTGATTAACAGACAGAAATTATAGCTAGATAGGAGAAATGAGCTCTAGTGATCTGCAGCACTGCAGGGTACACATGGTTACATATAATTTATTTTATATCTTCAAAAAGCTAGAATAGAGTATATTGAATGTTCATAACACAAATAAATAATATATATTTGAGGTAATAGAAATGCTAATTATTATAATTTTATTATTTCACATTGTATACATGTATGAAAATATTACTCTATATTTTATAAATATGTACCATAATTACATGTCAACTAAAAATTAAAAAGGAAAAATTAATTGTATCATTAAACCTAAATTCTAAAACAATTGTTTACTTCTTAAGTTCTGAAAACTGCTCCTGGTTATTGGTACCTCATAAATGTATATGGCTAAGCAATCATGGGAAACAAAATTCATAAATCCTCCTAAGAGTTTTGTGTTATCTTATTATAAACTACATGTTCTCAAGAAAAATCACCAGGAGCTATAATATGATGAGCAATATTTTTTTCCAAAGAAGTTCAAAAAAGACAGCTAAAAGAAAACCAATAGTTTCTTAAACGTGTCAAGATAAGGGAAGATTTATAGCACAAATTCAATTATATAGAGACTGTCTATTTTAATCTAAAGTCTCTGAAATTACCAGTTTAAACACGTCCATCAGTAAATAAAATTTACACAACAATAGCCATTTTGTGTTCAAAGATAACAGAAAATTATTTTTTATATTAAATGATGCATAATTAGGACTATAGAGAAGGAGTTCTGGTGTATATACAGAGAAATGAAAATATAAAAACATATGCTTGCCAGTGAGATTAAAAGATGACGTATTATTACCATGTTGGTAGTATTGAAGGTTCACTTAAAGGAAATATACCTATTTCTTGGTGGGAGGCACACGTGGAACTAAACTGCTTGGGGTCAGAATCCAGCTCTACTTTTATTTTGCTCTTTAGCTTTGGTCAAGGTCCTTTACTCAGCATCTTTTGCCCCATTCCACCTTCTGTGTTTGCCCGTCTCCTGGAATTATTAATAAGACATAAAAATAGGGATCAAAGTGCTTCATTCATTCAGGCTACTGTAATAGAATACTGTTGATAGCCAAAGATAAATTTATTTCTCACAGTTCTGGAGGTCAAGAAGTCCAAAACCAAAGCACTGCTAGATCTGGTGTTTGGTGAGGGGCAGCTTCTACATTCATAGAGAAACAATTTTTTTTTTCACTGGGTTCCCACATATTAGAAGGGTTGAGAGGAGTTTCTGGGCCTTCTTTACAAGTTTACTCCCCAAATGTCCCACTTCCTAACACTATCATATTATGAGTTAGTATTTGACCCCCTGAAGTTTTATGGAACAAAAACATTCAGTCTGTTGCATAAAGTAAATCTAATTATTGGGTTAGGGACTTGAGTAAAAGAGGTGACATTGTATTTTGGATCTTGAAAGAGTTGTTTTCCTCTGAGATGGTGGTACTCATTTCAGGGAATCAAGGATTAACATTAAAATAAGTTTGTGTCATGACTTCCTGTTAAAAGATAAGAATTTAACTGGGCATGGTACTCATCTATAGTCCCAGCTACTCAGAAGACTGAGGTAGGAGGATCACTTGAGCCCAGGGTTTGAGACTGCAGTAAGCTTAGATCATGCCACTGCACTTCAGTCTGGGTGACAGAGCAAGATCCTGTCTCAAAAAAAAAAAAAATTTGTTGTTTGTTTTGATTGTTTTATGTTTTTAGTTTTTCTTTATGCTTGTCATATGGGAACAAACAATTTAAGGCTGCATGCAAACAGTACAATTCCCATTAGCTAACTATCAAGTGATGCAGTAATGTCTTATATAGCCACGCAGTTTTTTAAGGTTGTGCTATGTGGGTAAAAAAAAAAAAAAAGGAACTTAAAGGGAAGTACTCCTCATTCATTAACTTTTATCTTGACAACTATGCAGCAGGAACAAGATTTCATTATAGAGTTTTATCTCATGGCCAGTGACAAAGAGATTAGTAACCCAGGATGTAGCTAACAATGGTTGAGGTGTATGGGAAATAGAGTAGTAACTACTAAATTACTGTACAATGACTGGGAACAAAAGCCTACCTTTATTGAGTATATTAGGGCAGTTGCTTTCAAACAATACTAAAATATTTGACTCTTTTTTTATGCTTTCTAAAATTGCAATTCTTGGACCGTGGTTCGAGCAAAGGAACATTTTGAGAGAAAGTCTCAGGAATCATATTTCAACAACATTGGTCCCTCCCTAGTCTCTTCTCCCAATGTGTCAGGTCCCAATTCTTTCTTCTTTCTCTCCTGTCTGTTCCTTCAGTCTCCACCCTAAGCTCTGAGTCCTTTCAATCCTCCTTTTCTACGGACTCATCTGACCTCTCCCCTTCTCGCCAGGCTGCTCCTTGCCAGGCTGAGCCAGGTCCCAATTCTTCCTCAGCCTCTGCTCCCCCACCCTATAATCTTTCTATCACCTTCCCTCCTCACACCCCGTCTGGCTTACAGTTAAGTTCTACAACTAGCCCTCCCCCACCTGCCCAACAATTTCTTCTTAAAGAGGTGGCTGGAGCTAAAGGCATAGTCAAGGTTAATGCTCCTTTTTTCTTTATCCGATCTCTCCCAAATCAGTTAGCATTTAGGCTCTTTTTCATCAAATATAAAAAGTTAGCCCAGTTCACGGCCCGTTTGGCAACAACCCTTAGACGCTTTACCACCCTAGACCCAGAGGGGCCAGAAGGCCGTCTTATTTTCAATATGCATTTTATAACCCGATCCACTCCCGACATTAGAAAAAGCTCCAAAAGTTAGATTCTGGCCCTCAAACCCCACAACAGGACTTAATTAACCTCACCTTCAAGGTGTACAATAGCAGAGTAGAGGCAGCCAAGTAGCAATGTATTTCTGATTTGCAATTCCTTGCCTCCACTGTGAGACAAACCCCAGCCACATCTCCAGCACACAAGAACTCCAAATGCCTGAACCGCAGTGGCCAGGCATTCCTCTAGGACCGCCTGCCCCAGGATCTTGCTCCAAGTGACGGAAATCTGGCCACTGGACCAAGGAATGCCTGCAGCCTGGGATTCCTCCTAAGCCATGTCCCATCTGTGCGGGACCCCACTGGAAATCGGACTGTTCAACTCACCTGGAAGGCACTCCCAGAGCCCCTGGAACTCTGGTCCAAGGCTCTCTGACTGACTCCTTCCCAGATCTTCTCAGCTTAGCAGCTGAAGACTGACGCTGCCTGATTGCCTCGGAAGCCCCCTAGACCATCACGGCCGCCAAGCTTCGGGTAACTCTCACAGTGGAGGGTAAGCCCGTCCCCTTCTTAATCAATATGGAGGCTACCCGTTCCACATTACCTTCTTTTAAAGGGCCTGTTTCCCTTGCCTGCGTAACTGTTGTGGGTATTGATGGCCAGGCTTCTAAACCTCTTAAAACTCCCCAACTCTGGTGCCAGTTTGGACAATATTCTTTTATACACTCCTTTTTAGTTATCCCCACTTGCCCAGTTCCCTTATTAGGTTGAGACATTTTAACTAAATTATCTGCTTCCCTGACTATTCCTGGGCTACAGCCACACCTCATTGCATCCTTTTCAAACCCAGTTCATAGCCTCCTTCACATCCTCTCCTTGTATCTCCCCACCTTAATCCACAGGTATGGGACACCTCTACTCCCTCCCTGGTAATCAATCACATGCTCATTACTATCCCATTAAAACCTTATCACCCTTACCCCACTCAATGCCAATATCCCAACCCACAGCAGGCTTTAAAAGGATTAAAGTCTGTTATCACTTGCCTGTTACAGCATGGCCTTTTAAAGGGTATAAACTCTCCTTGCAATTTCCCCATTTTACCTGTCCAAAATCCGGACAAGTCTTACAGGTTAGTTCAGGATCTGCACCTTATCAACCAAATTGTCTTGCCTTTCCACCCCATGGTGCCAAACCCATATACTCTCCTGTCCTCAATATCTCTTTCTACAACCTATTATTCTGTTCTGGGTCTCAAACATGCTTTCTTTACTATTCCTTTGCACCCTTCATCCCAGCCTCTCTTTGCTTTCACTTGGACTGACCCTGACGCCCATCAGGCTCAGCAGATTACCTGGGCTGTACTGCCGCAGGGCTTCACAGACAGCCCCCATTACTTCAGTCAAGCCCAAATTTCTTCCTCATCTGTTACCTATCTCAGCATAATTCTCATGAAAACACACATGCTCTCCCTGCTGATTGTGTCTGGCTAATTTCCCAAGCCCCAATCCCTTCTACAAAACAACAACTCCTTTCTTTCTTAGGCATAGTTAGGTATTTCAGCCTTTGGATACCTAGTTTTACCATCCTGACTAAACCATTATATAAACTCACAAAAGCAAACCTAGCTGACCCCACAGATCCTAAATCATTTTGCCACTCCTTCCCGTTCCTTAAAAACAGCCCTAGAAGCTGCCCCCACACTAGCTCTCCCTAACTCATCCCAACCCTTTTTCATTACACACAGCCAAAGTGCAGGGCTGTGAGGTCAGAATTCTTACACAAGAGCCGGGACTGCACCCTGTAGCCTTTTTATCTGAACAACTTGACCTTACTGTTTTAGCCTACCCTTCATGTCTGCTTGCAGCAGCTGCAGCTGCTTTAATACTTTTAGAGGCCCTCAAAATCACAAGCTATGCTCCACTTACTCTCTACAGTTCTCATAACTTCCAAAATCTATTTTCCTCCTCACACTTGACACATATATTTTCTGCCCCCCAGCTCCTTCAGCTGTACCCACTCTTTGTTGAGTCTTCCACAGTTACCATTGTTCCTGGCCCGGACTTCAATCCAGCCTCCCACATTATTCCTGATACCACACCTGAACCCCATGACTGTATCTCTCTGATACACTTGGCATTCTGTCCATTTCCCCATATTTCCTTCTTTCCTGTTCCTCACACTGATCATACCTGGTTTATTGATGGCAGTTCCACCAGGCCTAATCACCACACACCAGCAAAGGCAGGCTATGCTATAGTATCTTCCACATCTATCATTGAGGCTACCACTCTGCCCCACTCCACTACTTCTCAGCAAGCCAAAATCATTGCCTTAACTCAAGCCCTCACTCTTGCAAAGGAATTACGTGTCAATATTTATACTGACTCTAAATATGCCTTCCATATCCTGCACCACCATGCTGTTACATGGGCTGAAAGAGGTTTCCTCACTATGCAAGGGTCCTCCATCATTAACGCCTCTTTAATAAAAACTCTTCTCAAGGCCGCTTTACCTCCAAAGGAAACTGGAGTCATTCACTGCAAGGGCCATCAAAAGGTATCAGATCCCATCAGTCAAGGCAATGCTTATGCTGATAAGGTAGCTAAAGAAGCAGCTAGCATTCCAACTTCTGCCCCTCACGGCCAGTTTTTCTCCTTCTCATCTGGTCACTCCCACTTACTCCCCCACTGAAACTTCCACCTATCAATCTCTTCCCACACAAGGCAAAAGGTTACTGGACTAAGAAAAATATCTCCTTCCAGCCTTACAGGCCCATTCTATTCTGTCATCATTTCATAACCTCTTCCATGTAGGTTATAAGCTGCTAGCCCGTCTCTTAGAACCTCTTATTTCCTTTCCATCATGGAAATCTATCCTGAAGGAAATCACTTCTCAGTGTTCCATCTGCTATTCTGCTACTCCTCAGGGAGTGTTCAGGCCCCTTCCCTTCCCTACACATCAAGCTCAGGGATTTGCCCCCACCCAGGACTGGCAAATTGACTTTACTCACACAGCTTGAGTCAGGAAACTAAAATACCTCTTGGTCTGGATAGACACTTCCACTGGATGGGTAAAGAAAGGCCTTTCCCACAGGGTCTGAGAAGGCCACCATGGTCATTTCTTCCCTTCTGTCAGACATAATTCCTCTGTTTGGCCTTCCCACCTTTATACAGTCTGATAACGGACTGGCCTTTACTAGTCAAATCACCCAAGCAGTTTCTCAGGCTCTTGGTATTCAGTGAAAGCTTCATACCCCTTACCATCCTCCCACCTCTATACAGTCCAATAACAGACTGGCCTTTATTAGTCAAATCACCCAAGCCATTTCTCAGGCTCTTGGTATTTAGTGGCTCCTGGTTTTACCTCAAATCGCCATTTTTAAGTCTCTCTTGAAGTGGATAGATCTTCAGTGGCAAGGTACCCTCCAGAACTTTCACCCTGATGAAATCCTATTCTTCCCTTTTATACTCACTCTTATTCTGGTTCCCGTTCTTATGCCACCCTCTACCTCTCCCCAGCTATCTCCACCACGCTATCAAACTCACTCTCTCCTGGCCGTTTCTAATCCTTCTTTAACAAACAATTGCTGGCTTTGTATTTCTCTTTCCTCCAAAATCACTGAGGCCCTGACTTACTCACTGCTAAAAAAAAAAAAAAAAAAAAAAAACAACAACAACAACAAAAAAACGGGACTCTGTATATTTTTAAATGAAGAGTGTTGATTTTATCTAAATCAATCTGGCCTGGTATATGACAACATAAAAAAAAATCAAGGATAGAGCCCAAAAACTTGCCAACCAAGCAAATAATTATGCTGAACCTCCTTGGACACTCTGTAATTGGATATCCTGGGTACTCCCAATTCTTAGTCCTTTAATACCTGTTTTTCTCCTTCTCTTATTTGGACCCTGTGTCTTTCGTTTAGTTTCTCAACTCATACAAAACCACATCCAGGCCATCACCAATAATTCTATACAACACATGTTCCTTCTAACAACCCCACAATATCACCCCTTACCCCAAAATCATTCTTCAGTTGAATCTCTCCCACTGTAGGTTCCCACGCCACCCCTAATGCCACTTGAAGCAGCCCTGAGAAACATCGCCCATTATCTCTTCTTACCACCCACAAAACTTTTCGCTGCTCCAACACTTCACTATTTTGTTTTGCTTTTCTTATTAATATAAGAAGACAGGATTGTCAGGCCTCTAAGCCCAAGCTAAGCCATCATATCCCCTGTGACCTGCATGTATACATCCAGATGGCCTGAAGCAACTGAAGATCCACAAAAGAAGTGAAAATAGCCTTAACTGATGACATTCCAGCATTGTGATTTGTTTCTGCCCCACTCTAACTGATCAATGTACTTTGTAATTTCTCCCACCCTTAAGAAGATTCTTTGTAATCTCCCCCACCCTAAAGAAGGTTCTTTGTAATTCTTCCCACCCTCGAGAATGTACTTTGTGAGATCCACCCCTGTCCGCAAAACATAGCTCCTAACTCCACCACCTCTCCCAAAACCTATGGTAGCTAATGATTATCCCACCACACTTGTTGACTCTCTTTTTGGACTCAGCCCGCCTGCACCCAGGTGAAATAAACAGCCTTGTTGCTCACACAAAGCCTGTTTGATGGTCTCTTCACACGGACGCATGAGACAACTTTTAGTACTTCAGTCTGACTTTCTAAACTAAAACCTACAAAACAAATAGTACCAGATAAATGCCTGCTATTTTCAAATACTATTTTTAAAATTTAGTTACAAAAAGGGTTGACATCATTTTAAGTTATGAAAATACAGAATGTGTCACTGATTGCCAGTTGTTGTTCAGATCCAGCCTTAGTCAGATTTATTTGAAGAAAAAGATTACCATTTTATCAAAGTTGGATGTCTTTCCAAGCACTTTTTTTTTACTAATTATTTTTGGAATTTCAGGGAGTCAGGAGCATTTGAATTCACTTATAAAGGGATTAAGAATGAGATGGAAACATCTGCTCCTGTGAACATTGTTATTTTTCCTGAGCCCCGATTTTAAATAGAGCAGTTTTTGTTGTTATTTCAAAAGAATTAGTGCCCAAGCAAATTAAAGATATATTTGTTAATAAATTACATACGTATTGTACATGTGGCAATAGATAATCATAGGACAATATAGAAATCTAGAATAGTGGTAAGAAAGTAACTCTGTTCCTAAAAGAATTGGCAAAAAAGTAGATATAATCATGCTAGATAATTGTGTTTCCCTTTTAAAATGAAAGTTGCATGCAACTACAAAATTCCCTTACTTTCCTTGAGACAAAGTTTACAGTGTTTCTGAAGCACTCGATTGATAATTAGCTTCCATTTTTATGTGTACTATTTTAGAAATAATCATTTGCCAAGTTCTGATGATTAAAATGTACATTTTCAAATCCCCAATAGAATACTGTGGAAAATGTGATTTTTAGGAGGAAAGATCCCAAGCCTGGAGGCTAAGGTTCAAATCCAAATCTATTTCAAAAACATAACTTTGGGCAAGTTACTTAACCTCTCTGTTCCTCATTTCACTCAATTTGTTATAAAAATGAGATAATAATCCATATTGCATAGAGCTTTTTTGAGCATTTAATTAATTAATACATGTAAAGCATAGAGAAAGCAACATTTTTACTTATGAAACATTCATATTGACATTTCCCTAAAGTCTTCAACTAAAATTTAGTCTTTTGAGATTTTATTCTCTCCCTTGCTCTCCTGTTCTCTCTGTGCATATATCTCTGTGTGTATGCGTATATATGCACACAGATATTATATAATATCTTTTCATATATTATATATGCATATATTTTATATGTATCTTTTTATGTGTACACACACAGTTTTTTTTTTGTAGAGTTTCTTTTCATCCCTTTCATATACATAAATATTTTTAGCTTCCTTTTTTCCCCCCAAATTAGAGTTCATAGTTATCAAAAAAAATTAGAAAGTCTGGATTAGGGAGAGACTTTATTCAAAAAGGCTATTTGTATTAGTTCTTTTTCATGCTGCTGATAAAGACATACTCAAGACTGGGCAATTTACAAAAGAAAGAGGTTTAATGGTCTCACAGTTCTGCATGGCTGAGGAAGCCTCACAATCATGGCAGAAGGCAAGGAGGAGCAAGTCACGTTTCACATAGACGGTAGAAGGCAAAGAGCGAGATTGTGTAGGGAAACTACATCTTATAAAGCCATCAGATCTCATGAAACTTATTCACTATCATGAGAACAGCACAGGAAAGACCTGCACCCATGGTTCAGTTACCTACCACCAGGTCCTTCTCATAACACAGGGAAATTTGAGATGAGATTTGGGTGGGGAAACAGTAGAACAAAATCATTCCACCCCTGGCCCCTCCCAAATCCCATGTACTCACATTTCAAAACCAACCATACCTTCCCAACAGTCCCCAAAAGTCTTAGCTAATTTCAGCATTAACTCAAAAGTTCACAGTCCATACATAGCCTCATTGGAGACAAGGCAAGTCCCTTCTGCCTAGGAGCCTGTAAAATCAAAAGCAAGTTAGTTATTTCTTAGATATAATGGGAGTACAGGCATTGGGTAAACACAGCCCTTCCAAATGGGAGAAATTGGCCAAAACAAAGGAACTACAGGCAAGTCCAAAATCCAGTAGGGCAGTCAAATCTTAAAGCTCCAAAATGATCTGCTTTGACTCCGGGTCTCACATTCAGGCCACGCTGATACAAGAAGTGGGTTCCCATGGCCTTGGGAAGCTCCAATCCTGTGGCTTTGCAGGATATAGCCCACTCCTGGCTCCTTTCAGGGGCTGGCTGGCACTGAGTATCTGTAGCTTTTCAAGGTGCACAGTGCAAGCTGTCAGTGGATCTGCCATTCTGGGGTTTGGAGGATGGTGGCGCTCTTCTCACAGCTCCACTAGGTGGTGTCCCTGTAGGAACTCTGTGTGGGGGCTCTGATCCCACATTTCCCTCCTGCACTACCATAGCAGAGGTTCTCCATGAGGGCTCTTCCTCTGCAGCAAACTTCTTCCTGGAGATCCAGGCATTTCCATGTATCTTCTGAACTCTAGGCAGAGGTTCCCAAATCCCAATTATTAATTTCTGTGCACTGGTAGGCTCAAGACTATGTGGAAGCTGCCAAGCTTGAGGCTTGCACCCTTAAAGCCACAGCCCGAGCTCTATGTTGGCCCCTTTAAGCCAAGGCTTGAGTGGCTGGGATGCAAGGCACCAAGTCCATAGGTTACACACAGCAGGGGGATCCTGGGCCTGGCCCACAAAACCACTTTTTCCTCCTAGGCCTCTGGGCCTGCAATGGGAGGGGCTGCCATGGAGATCTCTGACATGCCCTTGAGATATTTCCTCCATGGTCTTGGGGATTAACATTCAGCTCCTCGTTACTTATGCTAATTTCTGCAGCCAGCTTGGATTTCTCCTCAGAAAATGGGATTTTCTTTTCTATTGCATTGTCAGGCTGCAAATTTTTTGAACTTTTATGCTCTGCTTCCCTTATAAAATGGAATGCCTTTAACAGCATCTAAATCACCTCTTAAATGCTTTGCTGGGTAGAAATTTCTTCCACCAGATACTCTAAATCATCTCTCTCAAGCTCAAAGTTCCACACACCTCTAGGGCAGGGGCAAAATGCTGCCAGTCTCTTTACTAAAACATAGTAAGAGTCACCATTGCTCCAGTTCTCAACAAACTTCTTATTTCCATCTGAGATCACCTCAGCCTGGAATTTATCATCCATATCCCTATCAGCATTTTGGGCAAAGCCATTCAACAAGTCTCTAGGAAGTTCCAAAGTTCCCGACATTTTCCTGTCTTCTGAGCCCTCCAAACTTTTCCAACCCTTGCCTGTTACCCAGTTCTAAAGTCACTTCCAAATTTTCAGATAACTACAGCAGTGCCTCACTGTACTGGTACTAATTTACATTATTAGTCCATTTTTATGCTGCTGATGTTAATCTACCCGAGACTGGGCAATTTACAAAAGAAATAAGTTTAATGAACTTACAGTTCCACATGGTTGAGGAAGCCTCACAATCATGGTGGAAGGCAAGTAGGAGCAAGTTGCGTCTTATATGGATGGTGGCAGGCAAAAAGAGAGCTTATGTAGGGAAATCCCACCTTATAAAGCCATCAAATCTCATGAGACTTATTCACTATCATGAGAACAGCAGGGGAAAGACCTGCCCCCATGATTCTATTACCTCCCACTGGGTCCCTCCCCCAACATGTAGGAATTCAAGATGAGATTTGGGTGGGGACACAGCTAAACCATGTCACTATTGTAATACAGAGAATTCTCTGACCACGAGATCTACAAAGTCTCAAAATCATACCAAATAAATACTTTTTTTGTACAAGCAGGGCTATCAAGAACTTTGTAGGAAACTTTGTAGTTGGTACAGGTGAACAGATAGCATTATCAGGGATGTCTAACAGAATCTTCCACTATTGTATTTAACCCGTTTCTCAGGATGAGCTGGAAAGAGTGGATGTTCTGCAACTTAGTTTTCACTCAAGCTAAGGGGCAAACCAAAGTCTAGGTACATGTGGAGAGAAGAAATGCCTGACTAAATTTTGTTCAAGGCAAGCCAATAGATAACTAATGGGCAATTTTGAGTAGTTGGCTATGACCTACAATCTATCCCTCCTCTGCAATAATCAGTAGATCCCTACTTCAAAATGAAATGTATTGAGATACTGAACAATTATTATTCATTGTAGATTCAACAGAAATATAGTTTATCACTAAAGAGACAAAGAATCGGAGATAAAATTTTAAATAATAGTGTAAAAATGAAGGCTTTTTATTTGATTTTTAAATCCCTTAAGGGTAAAATTTCTTCAGAATTTGAAAAGAGGTATGGGAAGTAAAGGAATATCAGCATAATACCATTAATTTTATATAATTTTAAATTGTACTTGGCACTGCAATTTACTAAAGAAAGATTTTTTTTCTGGAAATACTTATATCTTAGAATAAGAAATTGAACGATAATGCTTTCAGTTACATGACAGTTAAAATATTTTTTCCCAAAAGAATAATTTCAATTTATGAAGACTTGCCTTTTTGATCATTGTTAATATAGCCAATATATTTAGTGTTTCCTAGTAGACTTAGCTTTTACGATATTCAACATTCCTTTCAGGTAAATCAAGAATTTGATCTATTATGTTTTAGCAGATATGGCTTATATATTGATGATTTGAATTCAATTATAATTAATGTGTAAATATATATATTCATTTATATATATACATGCATAAATAGGCTTTAGAATGTTTATGTACTTAATATATATTATACAGAAGTGATACAGCTAATGGGAAGGAAAGAAACATTTGCTCAGTGACACTGTGAAAATTACCTAATGCTATGGCAATAAGAAAAATTTAGTGTGTATAAACACACACCTTCTCATGCCAATAAACTAGTATGATTCCAAAATGTTAACGTTTTTATATCTGAGTTCTGAAATTAAGGCTAATTAGTATTTTTTGAAGATTTCTTCATTAAGTGTTTATTTTTATCAAGAAAATAAACAAGTATAATTCATTAATTTTGTGATCAAGCTATGAATCACACCTAATTATATGGAATTCTGACTTTTTAACTTTATTCAGTTATATTAACACTGGTACATTTATGGTTAGAAAATTATAATATACATAGATAGGTAGATTGTTGGATAACAGATATAAAAATACATATATAGAGAGGTTTTTATGTTACACAAAACCAATATTGGAAATATTTTGTACTGTATCTTCAACATTAACTTTTTTCTCATTCAATTAGTATAATAATCCTATGAAGTAGTTATAATGCTTTGTGTGTTACATATAAACAGATGTAGTGCCATGTTCATATTCAAATATCTACAAAGTAGAATGTTGCCCAGAATTTTCTGACAACTAAAATTGGTAGTTTTTATTTCGATTATGAACTGCTTTAAACAGTGATTATAAAAATTACCTATGGTAATTAAAATATATACTCCTGGACTAAATATTACAGTGTGTGAATCAAAGCTCCAAGAAGGTTCCTAGAATATCATTTTAGCATGCACCTTGGGTAGTGTACAAGTCACAGAAACAAAGTCAGTAAAAGGAGATATATATATATATGTATATATACATGTGTTATATATGTATATATGTGTATGTGTGTGTGTTTATATATATATATAGAGAGAGAGAGAGAGAGATTTATTATGAAGAAATGTCTCATGCAATTATAGAGGTGGAGAAGTCCCATGACCTGCTGTCTGCAAACTGCCACTGGCGTAGTTTAGACCGAGTCTGAAGGCCTGAGAACCAGGGGGTTGATGGTGTAACTCCCAGTGTGCGGGCAGGAGAATACCAATGTCCTGGCTCAAGCAGTGAGACAGAAGGGGCAAATTCTCTCTTCTAATGCCTTTTGTTCTATTCAGGCCTTCAATTGGATGATGCCAATCCACACTAGTGAGAGAAGTCGGCTTTTCTGAGTTCACCAATTAAAATGAAAATGTCATCCAGAAACGCCATCACAAACACAGCCAGAAATAATGTTTGGCCAAATATCTGCCCTCAATCTCTCTGACCCACACAAATTGACACTTAAAATTACCCAGCAGAGGTAATTTTTTTAATTCACAGTGAGTGAATGTGCAAAATGATATGTAAACCATTGTTTTTTCTTTAATAATTTTATAGAAAATTAACTAAAATGGAAATTTAACTCAACATTCTTTCACAATATTTTTTTTTAAAATTATATGTTTAGAATGGATTTTGCACTAGACTTTGTGCTAAACTAAGCACTACTTAATACCTATTTTCACACTCACAGCCATACGTCAATAGGTTGTATCTCTTATTATGCTCTTTAATGGACTAAGTTACTTAAAGAATGACATGTAGCCAGTAAGCAGGAGGCAGTATTTAACTGTAACAATCAGACAATCTGTGACATCCAGATTTGATTGTAATCTCTATTTTATAGTATGCCACTTCTCTTGTTAGTTATGTAAGTCTCTCTTCATTATAAAGATTTTTTTCTATTTTTTCTAAATTCAATATCGATTATTTCTATACACCTTAGGATATAATTCAGTGTGATAAAGAGCACTACACTTTCACAATTTAAAAAAGTCAAGTTATCTTTATTTGTATAAAATTGAACAGAACTCACGAGTCTCCCCTTTGGTTATTTTCATTCTCATCTAGCACTACTATTCTAGGCTTCTCCAGGAAATTTTATCTGTCTAAGATTATCAATATTAGCAAATCAGCTATTCTAGATCTGTGCGTATTGAGAGCTTGAGTATGTGTTATTTATTAAATAATTTTAAAATGACAAAAACTATCATAAAAACCAGTATTCATAGATTCCATCTAATGCAATCTCAGATGAGTCTATCACCCTAATTAATTTTAATACTCTAATTCCTGGAATATTAGTACAGAGAGAAGGAAAACATTAAGCATCTATTTATGTATCTATATATAGATATATCCATTTAAATATAAGCAAATATGAAGCACACAAATATACTTATACACATGCATACATACATGGATGAATGAATGGACAGATAAATATCTTCTTATATTTTTGGTATTGTTTTCTCATGGACTCTTTTAGCCAATGAGAACTACTAGAAAAATTATATTATTTTTCAATCAGTGATTGTAACGCATTATGTTCAAAATGCTCTCAGCACTTCCACGAGTTTAGAATGACTAATAAGACATTTTGTTTACAATTTCTGACTTTTTGTTATTTGTTTTCATTTTACCTAATGGTTTTTACTCAGTGGCTGATACAAGGTGGCAATTAATAAGAAGATTATCAAAATGAAATTATTACCACAATGAAACACAGAAAACATGTTTTACTCAACGTTCCAAGCAAAGAAGTGTTCAAGAGAACAGAAGGCAAAAATCATCATGCAATTGGTAGAAGTCTTTTGATATTACAAACAGTTTCAAAAGCAAAACTGAAACCTAGGAAAATTAACTAATAAACATAGGAGTACACAATAGAAGCAAAATGTTCTGAATGCATGAATTGACTTTGGGATAATTAAATAGATGGAAGATCTATACCACTTACAAAATGTTGATACTGCATCTCAGTGAAAATTATATAGTGTAACTTCTGGAATTCCTGTTCCACTTCCAAACTCAAAATGGTTATACATGTGTGTAGTTTTTAATACATAAGATTTTAAAGATATCATTAGTCATAAGATAAGCAAGATCTAAGTACACAAATGCACACAGACACATAAATTTGTATTCATATATTTGCATGTATTTATTTCCACAGTCCTTTGTGATGGGTATTATTATGCCTGTTTTATACTTGAATAAGCTAAATTTTAAAAAGTGTGATTGATTTTGTCCACCTAAATAGCTTTTCTGTGGCATTTCCACCTGATGATCAGTGTTTAGAGGCCTTGAGTTTCTAATAGGTCAGCATTTCTCAAATCATGTTTCACGTAATGTAATATTTGCATAGGGTTAATAATTATTGGAATAAAATCATTCCGTAGTTAAATCAGTTTGATAAATATTAGATTAAACAGTGTTAAATGGATTTTGTTAATTTAATACTCCCCAGAGCTATTCACACAATAATGTCTATTGTCATAGTCCTATTTGTACACAGAAAACTAAAATGAAAAATAATATACACAAACTCAGTCTTAAAATACTTCCTTACAAAATAATAATAATAATGAATGTAACTTAAAATGAACACTGCAAAAATACTAACATATTTTTAAAAATTCTTCAGAGGATATCTATGTACATACGGATTAACAGTTTACTTCATGATGAATATGATCCAAATTTATATTATTTTTTTAAATCCTTGTGATTAAGTACATTTTTGTAATAAAGTTTACAACTTTAGAATAGTTTAGATATATGGAAAAATTGGAAAAGTAATACAATTCCTTCCTGAATACCTCTTACTCAGTTACTCAGTTTCCCCTATTATTAAAACCTCACATCACTATGTTTCATTTATCTCAATCAGTGAAGCAGCACTGATACATTGTTCTCAACTGAAATCCATCCTCTTTAACATACCTCCCTTAAGCTTATCTGTATGTTTGCTCTTTGTTTTGAGCATATCTTCAAGTTCTGGAACTACCAGATGCTCCAGGCTCATGTTGTATATTTTCTGCCCTGGTTTTATACTGGATTTTGAAATGATATTCATTTGCTTTGTTCTAAAAAAGTTTGCATGGCAAAAAAAAAAAAAAAAAAAAAGAGAGAGAGAGATAAAGAATTTATTTGTATTCAGTTTGAATTTGATCCTGAGAGTATTCCTGATCTTCTCCCTCTTTGCTAAAGCAGAATGTGAACCTAAGAGTCATCTAAAAACATTTATATTAATGGGAAGAGGTGTTGTGGTTTTTACCTATTTCAGTCTACCGGTAAATGAAAAACATGTCTGTCAGGAACTCAGGAAGGAGCCTGGGATTTATTCTGAGAAAACTAAGCAGGCTGGCAGCTTTACTTCTACAGTCTCTACAGAGGTTTGCAGCATATCTGAATTTGAAGGAAAAAAAAAATCCCAGAATGTTAAGCTGTATTTTCAAAATGTGATTCCTACAGATGTCAAAGTACTGTCTCTCTAATTTTACCTTCATTATGCAATGCCTTCAGGCTCAGGCTGTGTAACTTTTCTATGAAGCACTTAATCTCTACTCAGGCCCCTTAGGAAGATGTAATAGCAATCAGTAAATAACAGTGCAGAAGCTGTTGATTACTATTGAATAAACCAAAATGCTTTCCATACATTGCAAACTAAAAATGGATCACTCTCATCACTTATCTTTTTTAAATGACATTTTAAAGTCTAAGGGCCTTATTAATCAATCCTTTTATATAATGTTTTCCAAAGGTGTGCATGTACCTTGCTTAGAAAACAGAAGAGAGGCAGATATAATGAGAGTCTTCTGAGGAAATTAAATTAGATCAGTACTCATAAACATTAGGCACTTGATAAAGAATTTTTTGGAAAAACAAGGATACTGAAAAGAGAAGCAATAGAAAGACAAAAATAAAACTAATTTAAAAAATTAAACGGTTTTTGATAGCTATTTTGACTTCTACAATTTTTTGAAATTAAAATTCTGAAAAAGTCATTTGTTCAGGATATTGTAAAGGATGCCTAAGGCCAAGTGTTTAAACTGCACCTATATGGCTCCAGGATATATGCTTTCCTCACTGTACAAAAAAACCCTAACAATTGACAATTTGATAACATTTTAGACAAAACAATAGCATTTAGCTGTTATTTGCAAAGGGGCATGATTAGATTTTCACTTTTAGTGCAGAGTACATATGACTTCATTAAAATAATCATTGTATTTATAGAAAAATTTGAAAGATAATTTAAATATGTTGAGTGAAAATTGAGAAATGGGTATTTGCTCAAAAGATTTTATTTACAATGTTGGTATTTTTCCACAGCTTTATGGAGGAATAATTGGAAAAATTAAATGACACATAATTAAATCATACAATTTGAGATGTTTCAAAAGTTGTACACACCCACGAAGCCATCAACACAATCAAGATGCTGAGAGTACCTCTCAGCCTTGTATTAGTTTGCTAGGGCTGTCGTAATAAAGTTCCTAAGACTAGGTGGTTTAAATATCAGAAATATCTCATGATTCTGGAGGATAGAAGTCCAAGATCAAAGTCTCAGCAGGGTTAGTTTCTTCTGAGGCCTCTCTCCTTGGCTTGTAGATGACAGCCTTCTCCGGATTGTTCAATTATTCTTTCTTTGTGTGTAAATCTGTGTCCTAATGTATTAGTCAGGCTTCTCTAGAGAAACAGAACTAATAGGATAGATATATTCCAAAGGGGAGTTGATTAAGGAGTATTAACTGACATGATCACAAGATCCCACAATAGGCTGTCTACAAGCTGAAGAGCAAGACAGCCAGTCCGAGTCCCAAAGCTGAAGAACTTGGAGTCTGATGTTGAAAGGCAGGAAGCATCCAGCATGGAAGAAGAATGTAGACTGGGAGGATAAGCCAGTCTAGCCTTGTCACGTTTTTCTTCCTGCTTTATATCCTGGTCATGCTGGCAATTGATTAGATGCTGCCTTTCCCAGCCCACGGACTCAAATGTGAATCTCCTTTGGCAACATGCAGACACACCCAGGATCAATACTCTGCATCCTTCAATTTAATCAAGTTGACACTCAGTATTAACCATCACACCTAATCTCAACTTTTTATAAGAATACTGTCATATTGTATTAGGATCTGACCTTATAACCTAATTTTAACTTCATCAACTTCATCACCTTGTTTTTTTTTTTTTTGTTTTTTTTTTTTTTTTTTTTTTGAGATGGGGCCTTGCTCTATTTCCCAGGCTGGAGTGCAGTGGTGTGATCTTGGCTCACTGCAATCTCCACCTCCTGGGTTCAAGCAATTCTCCTGCCTCAGCCTCCCAAGTAGTTGGGATTACAGGTGTGTGCCACCACGCCCGGCTAATTTTTGTATTTTTAGTAGATACGGGATTTTGTCATGTTGGCCAGGCTAGTCTGGAATTCCTCTGTAATCCCAGCACTTTGGGAGGCCAAGGCAAGGCGGATCACTTCTTTAAAGATAGTACCTCTACACAGACACATTTTTAGTCACTGGGGGTTCGAAATTCAACATGGGGGCTGGGCGCGGTGGCTCACACCTGTAATCCCAGCACGTTGGGATGTGAGGCAGGTGGATCACCTGAGATCAGGAGTTCGAGATCAGCCTAGCCAACTTGCTGAAACCCCATCTCTACTTAAAAAACAAAAACTTAGCCAGGCATGGTAGTGCGCTCCTGTAATCCCAGCTACTCAGGAGACTGAGGCAGGAGAATGGCTTGAACCAGGGAGGCGCAGGTTACAGGGAACTGAGATTGTGCCATTGCACTCCAGCTTGGGCAACAAGAGTGAGACTCCATCACAAAAATTAAAAAATTAAAAAAAATTTAATAAAAGAGAGAGAACTTCAACTTAGGAATTTTGAGGGGTATAATTCAGCCCAAAACAATGCTCAAGATCCCCTTGAAATCTCTCTGGCTCTACCCCCTTCCCAACCCATTTCCTTCTTGCCACAGGTAATTACTGACCTGTTCCCTGAAACTGTAGATGAGTTTTCATGTTTAAAAGTTTGTGTTTATGAAATAATGCAATATATACTCTTTGTTGACTTCTTTTATGAAACATATTTTTTTTGTGATTCATCCAAGTTGTCATTAATTTGTATTGTTTTAAGTACTATTTAGTTTGTTTATGTATTCAAATGTTAGTGGACATTTTGGGTTATTTACAAATTGGGGTCATTAAAAATAAATCTTCTATAATCTTTCACATACGGTTTTTATAGGGACATATATTTTTCTTTCTCTTGAGTAAACACCTAAGAGTGAAATCGTTAAATCAAAAGGAAGGTATATGTTTAACTTTTTAAGAAACATTAAAATAGTTTTTAAAAATGGTTTACAATTTTATGTTCCAGACAATAGTATGTGAGAGTTTCAATTTCTCCACATCTTCATCAACACTTGATGTAGTTCTTTTAATTTTAGATATTCTGATAGATTTATAGAGGTATCTTATTTCTCTAATGACCAATGATTTTGAGCATATGCTCATTTGCATTATCTTCTTTGTTAAACCATATTTTCAAATACTTTGCCCATTTCTTTATTGGGTTGTTTACCTACTATTGAGTTTAATTAGATTTTAATATATTCTAATTACTTGTCTCTTGTTATATATGCCACTTGCTTTCCCTATTTTGTGGCTTGTCTTTGTATTTACTTACATATATTTTTTCCAGATAACAGAAGTTATAATTTTAATAAAGTCCTTTTTTTAATGTTCTTTACTGGATTGTGCTTCTCACGCCATATCTAAAAAATATTTTCCAAGCCCAAGATTACAAAGATTTTCTATATGTTTATTTTAGTAGTGTTATAGTTTTAGGTTTATACGTAGGTCTATTACCTATTTTGTTTAGCAATTGGACTGTAAACTAGTTCAACCATTGTGGAAGTCAGTGTGGCGATTCCTCAGGGATCTAGAACTAGAAATACCATTTGACCCAGCCATCCCATTACTGGGTATATACCCAAATGACTATAAATCATGCTGCTATAAAGACACATGCACACGTATGTTTATTGCGGCATTATTCACAATAGCAAAGACTTGGAACCAACCCAAATGTCCAACAATGATAGACTGGATTAAGAAAATGTGGCACATATACACCATGGAATACTATGCAGCCATAAAAAATGATGAGTTCATGTCCTTTGTAGGGACATGGATGAAATTGGAAATCATCATTCTCAGTAAACTATCGCAAGAACAAAAAACCAAACACTGCATATTCTCACTCATAGGTGGGAATTGAACAATGAGATCACATGGACACAGGAAGGGGAAGATCACACTCTGGGGACTGTGGTGGGGTTGGGGGAGGGGGGAGGGATAGCACTGGGAGATATACCTAATGCTAGATGACGAGTTAGTGGGTGCAGTGCACCAGCATGGCACATGTATACATATGTAACTAACCTGCACAATGTGCACATGTACCCTAAAACTTAAAGTATAATAAAAAACAAACAAACAAACAAACAAAAAGAATGGTTAAAATTTCTGACATCTAAATCTAGTAGTATTTCAAATGAATGAGCTAGATTTGAACCATACAAACAATTCTCAATAGGTTTTTTCAAAGGAAAGCTGAGGACTTCTGTAATCTGTTTCTCACTTTGATATCTCCCATGACACTAGATCTTATAGTCAACTGCCTGATGTAATTATAAACTGTTTATCCTTCAGGCTCCTCAAAGCCATAATATTTGAAATATAATTTACCATGTTGTTCTTTCACTTCTCCTACAAACCTGTTACTGTTGTAGTTTCAACATCTATTGATGTTGCTGTCATCTGTATTGCTATTCAAATTAGATATGGGATTTATCCAATTTTCCTCTCTCATTTTCTTTTTTCATCACTAACCCTTATCAAATAGCCAATTTGCTAAATGAAAAGTAGATTAACAATCATTTTATCTGATTGAAAAGTGTTATTTTGGAGCATTTTATTTAAAACAGATAATTTCAAGTAGTAAATACTTTTTGTTTCAAGAGATCTTTCCTTTTTTGCTCATGTATGCTTTCCTAGTTTTAAGATTTATGCTTACTTTACACTTTTGCTGATTATCTTCAATTTCAAAATAATCTTACAAAGATATTTGACAGCATCCCAACAGTCTTCCAGCTGCCTCTGCTACTAATGAAAAACATATGTGGGGGAAAGGCAATATGGCCAACTAGACACAGCCAGGTGAAACAGCTCCCATGAAGGGACCAAGACAACTGGTGTGCAGCTAACAGATCTTCAGAGGGAATGCACCAAGAATGAATGGAGGGAAGACACAGAAGGTGAGCTAAAGGGGGAGAAAGCTGGGAGCTGTACATGGGGTTACCACACACCAGGACTTGTTTTCCTCCCCAGTGGCTCAAGGGGAATGGGTGAGTTGAACTGGCAAGGAGCAATTTTCTCTTGCCACAGGCCTCTGGAACCTCAGTAGGAGGAGACCCCTTGGCCGCCACAGAAACTCGAGTTGACCGGGATAGCTGCTTAGAGAAGTGCTAGGGGCAACAAGCAAGCTGATGTATAGCCCAGAGGGCCTGGTGCAGGAATGCCTGTAGCACAGCACGGCCAGAGACAGCCATCTTCTTAGGCTCAATTTGTTCCCACAGGAGACTTCAGCCCTAAAAGATCTGTGGGTCCTGAACTCTGCAAGGCAATCTTGCCCATAAGATGGCACTGGTCCAACCTGAGCACCCCTTGGTCTGCTGGCCTTTTCTGGGGCCCCAGCCTGGCTACACTTGCTTGCAGGGCAGTCTCAAGTTCTGTCTGGGCCCAATCCATAGCATCTGTGCCGGTGAACCAAGCCTAACTGGTAGAGAGCTCCAACGAGGTGGCCTCTACAGACATGCACCAGCCCACAAGCTCTCTCCCCAAACTGCAGTTTCCCCTGAACCCACGACAACCTCCCACATAGCTTTGCTGGCATGTGTCTGCACTGGCAGGTTTTGCATTTCTTGCCCTGCCAGCATGCAGGAGGGCAGTCCACTCCACCTCACCCCACCAACCACCATTGTAGACAGAGTTTTGATGGACACAGAGCCAGCCAGTCCTGTTTCTGCCAGGGCCCTGCCCTTCACTAACACTACAGAGACAACTGTGAATCCTCCCCCTGCCCTGAGTGACCACTCCTGCTTGTGAGGCACAGAAAAGGGACTCAGACCCATATCTACCAGTAACCTGCCATTAAGCCAACACCACCTCTAGCACAACTGTGCACACAGTCACCAGCAGGGGTGCCCTGCTCCCGCCAACTGCATTGCCTCCACCACTGTGGTGACAGTCTGCAGGGAGGCAAGCACCCTGGCATGCACTAGCACTCTACCACAGCTGCCGCTACAAGGTCAAATCCTGCTGTCATGGCACTATGAAATGCTTTGTCTGAGACCACCCATTGAAGTAAAGTGATCCGTGGTCTGGGAGCACCCTGCCCTCACCCAGTGCAGTGAATTCTTAACATTGAGGAGCCAGAGAACAAATTCGTGTCCTAATATAAGTTCCCCAGAGTTAGAACATGCAGTCCAAGAGTTGGGATCTGAGTGTCGACCCCCTAAAATCTTCTAGAAATGAAGGCATTAAGCAGAATCCACCTTATACCATAATCAAAACTTCAAGGTAATCAAATGGGATAAAAGAAAAAAAGAAAGCATCCAAAGGTCAGCAACTTCAAAGATTGAAGGCAGATAAGCCCATAAAGATGAAAAAGAATCAGTGCAAAAATTCTGACAACTGAAAAAGCCAGAGTACCATCTTTCCTTCGGATAACGCCTCTCCAGCAAGAGCTCTGAAACAGGCTAAAATGGCTGAAATGACAGAAATATAATTAAGAACATGGCTAAGAATAAAGACTGAACTACAGGAGTACATTAAAACCCAATCCAAAGAAGCTAAATATCATAATAAAACAATACAGGAGCTGACAGACAAATAGCCCATATAGAAAATAATGTAACCAACCTGAAGGAGCTGAAAGACACACTGTAAGAATTTCACAATGCAATCATAAGTTTTAATAGCAGAATAGACCAAATGAAGAAAAGAAGCAGAGAGCTTGAATACTGACTTTCTGAAATAAGATAGTCAGACAAGAACAGAGAAAAAATAATGAATTAACAAAACCTCTGAGACACGTGGGACTATATAAAGTGATTGAATCTATGACTCACTGGTGTCCCTGAAAGATATGAGGAGAATGGAAACAACTTGGAAAATATATTTCAGGATATCGTCCATTAGAAATTCCCCAACCTACCTAGAAAGCCCAACATTTAAATTCAGGAAATGCAGAGAACCCCAGTAAGATACTTCACGAGAAGATGGTTCCCAAGACACATAATCATCAGATTCTCCAAGGGGGAAATGAAAGAAAAAATGTTAAAGGCAGCTAGAGAGAAAGGTCTGATCACCTACAAAGGGAAGCCCATGAGACTAACAGGAGGCCTCTCAGCAGAAATTCTATAAGGCAGAAGACATTGGGGACCAATATTCAACATTCCTAAAGAAAAGAAATTTCAACCCATAATTTCATATCCAGCCAAACTAAGCTTCATAAGCAAAAGACAAATAAGATCCTTTTCAAAGGAGCAAATACTGAGGGAATTCATTACCACTACAACTGCCTTACAAGATCTCTAACAGAAGAACTAAATATGGAAAGGAAAGACTATTACCAGTCACCACAAAGCACACTGAAGTACACAGACCATTGACACTATAAAGCAACTGCATAAACGAGTCTGCCAAATAATTAACTAACATTGTGATGACAGGATAAAATCCACACATATCAATATTTATCTTGAATGTAAATTGGCTAAAAGCCCCAATTAAAAGACACAGAGTGGCAAGCTAGGTAAGGCACCAAGATCCATTGGTATGCTCTCTTCAAGAGACCCATCTCACATGCAATGACATAGATAGGCTCAAAGTAAAGGGATTAAGAAAAATCTACCAAGCAAATGGAAAATAGAAAAAAGCAGGGGTTGCATTTATAATTTTAGACAAAACTGACTTTAAACCAACAAAGATCAAAAAAGAAAAAGAAGAGTATTCCACAATGGTAAAGGATTCAAATTAATAAGATCTATGTACTGTTTTTAATACTCTCAAATATATAAAAAAATACTAACTAGCTTCTTAGCCTAGATATTGTTTCCTCTGGATAATTTGTTCTCTTTGTTCATTTCTGTCCTTGTTCATAATAATGTAGTACACAGTATTTGGAAATTGGCACTTCACCAAAGTGATATTTGATTTTGAAAATAAAATCTTGAACCAATATTTAAAAAAATACAGCTAAGTCATTCTCACATCTTTTTAAGATTACTGAATGAATTTCCAGTGGCAACAGATACATATGTATATAACATTTGAAACAGTTAATAAATTATAATGATTCTTAGAACATATATGATATTTTAATAAAGATATTTTAATTGAGGTGCATTAAAAATCAAATTAAAATTTGCAATTCCAGCTTGTCTGTTAACTTTACAATTTTATCTCATTTTGATATTTCACCACAAGTTGAAGAACTACTTGTAACTGGTATCCCCAAGGAGGAAGGAGATGCAAAGTTTGATTTCCTGAGGCAAGTATGTTTAATCTCACTTATGATTGAGTTTTTTAGTAATTTTCGTGACACATACTTAAAATTGTGAGGAGAGTTTATTCTTTTCTTATTAAAATTTGAATAATCAATGTTTCTCTAAAGCTTTTGTTTCTGGCATGTACTAAGCCAACCGTTAAAACCACCACTGGAAAAGGATCAATAAAAATGCTTGGAGAGAATTTTTCTGTATTATAGATACCTTTGCTTCTTCTAATTTAATGATATTTTATTATATAGCTGATATGTCATTCAATTATATAATGCTAATATCTATATATGAGTAAATATGTGTGTGTGTTTGTGGACTTTAATTGCAAAAATACATATATGATGCTATTTGGATAATGTTGGGTTTAGGGCAAGACTTTCTAAACACTATATTAATGGAAGAATAGTATATTTTAAAAATCCCATTTTGACCCAATTATCTTTAAAATTAAAAATAAAACTAAGATAGAAACTACAACTACACTTCCATACAAAGATAGATTAATAGGAAGAAAACAAATCTTTATTAGCTGCCAAGTAGCTATTTTTTTAAAAGTCTAATTACATTAGACTTTTTACAATTAGACTGCACACTTTATAATGAGTAAATAATTTTAGGCATTTTTATATTAGGAAAAAATACATCTAAGCCACTCCTTTAAAATGGAAATGTGTAGTAATATGCCAACAATTCTTAGTACCCAACAGAAATGCAACCTATCATTTTCAATGTCTACTCAAAAAGTTTATGCAAAACATATAAATGGGATATCTAAGATAAGTATTATATAATTTGCTGAGTTTGATGGCCAAAGGAAATATATTATGTATCTATTGTTGCATTATTCTAAAACTTATTGGCTTAAACAATGCACATTGATTTCATAGTTTCTGAATGTTGACAGCAGTCAGTTCCTCTTGGGTTTTGTGGCCTGGGGCCTCAGGTCACAGTCTATTGACTGGAGCCTGCACTTTATTCCTCGCTACATGTACGTTTCGTACATGGCAGCTCCCAAGAAGGCCATACAGACAGTCTCATAGTAAGGCAGAAGTCACAGTGTTTTGTATCCTAATCACAGAAATGATGTCTCAACACCTTTGCTAGATTCTACTGGCTAGCAGCAATGGAAAGAATGGGTTAGAATTTATAAATTGAAGGACTTGGCCATTTCCATATTTTGACACAAGATACCTTTATTGGCTTTTATTTTGTTTTCGGTACATGTTTGTATGGGAAAATTAGATCCAGTTAAGTGAAAATGATGTGTTAAAAAATAAACTTAAGTAACTGAATCAGATATTTGAAGGGTATAATTTCCTACTCAATCATATACTTTAGTAAACTGTTAATTTCTACTACTGAAAACATTAAAACTTGTGAAATTATTGCCCTCACAGGGCATAATAATTTCTATTTAGCTTCCAGTTTCAAAGTGACTTCTATCCTTATCCGCCATTCCCCACAGTCATAAAATTGGAAAGTGATCTGAGCCTTGAAGTGAAATAAGCTCAATTCAAAGTGTGACATCTATATTATGCCATATAATAAAATGGCAACAAGGTCATATCTTTGCTATCAATTCTGCTAGTTTTAGCTTTCAAAGTCTATTGAAAAGCTTTACAATTTTTAGATTGAACTATTTAAAACATATTTGAAAAATCTGGGTATTTGTTAAAAAATGGAGAAGAGATTTTGGTAATAAGATGGATGTATTCTGGGAAGGGTAGAGAAATGAAAAACACAGCATTTAGTTAAGTTTATAAAAAATTAGCGATCTTTTAAAATAAATAAACCTGATTAATATAGTAAGGTGTTAATGATTACAAAGAATTTTCTCATAGAAAATGAAGGAATATGTTGTTGTAACTTGATTAAGTAAAAAAAAATTAGTAATAGTTGAGCATTTTAGTGTTTGTTTGAAACTTTTCTACAGAGATATAATTTTAATTCAATGTATCTTTTAAAAAGAATAATAGAAAAACCAAGTTTATAAAGCATAAAAATTAATGATTAAATACATTAAAATATTTGGTTTATTATCTAAGTTTAAAGACATTTCACTATATTGTAACTTTATGAGACTATCTAGCTTAGCATATTATTAGAATTTACAGATTAGAATATATTTTTCCTTTTAAAAATATACCTCATTCATAACTCATTCTACGAGGCCAATATCACCGTGATACCAAAGTAGACCTGACAGAAAAGAAAAACTACAAACCAATATCTCTCATGAACATACATGCAAAAATCTTCAACAAGATATTAGCTAATTGAATACGAAACTGTTTACAAACAATTATACACCATGACCAAATATGATTTATTTGAAAGTATATGAGGCTGGTTCAACATTCAAAGATCCTCACATCAATAGTCTAATGGAGAAAAATCATATGATCATATAGGTAGATTCAGAATAATCACTTGTTAAAATCCAATGCCCATTTATGACAAAAGCTCTTAGCAAACTAAGAATAGAGAGGGATTACCTCAACTTGATAAAGAGCATGTACAAAACCTATAGCATATACAATAAGAAATTTGATGCTTTCTTAGTAAGATCAAGAATAAGGCAAGGATGTTGACGCTCACCAGGCCTATTTAACATTATACTAGAAGACCTAGCTGATGCAAGTTAGATGTTAACTTCACCAGATAGCTGATAAAGCATTATTTCTGGGTATGTTGGTGAGGGTATTACCAGAAGAGATCAACATTTGAATCAATGGACTGAATAAGGAAGAGCCACCATCACCTAATGTGGGCAGGCACTGTTCAATCAGCTGAGGGCCCAGGTAGAATAAAAAGTCAAGGGAACGTGAATTACCTCTCTCTTTCCTCAAGCTAGGACATGCTACTTTTCTTGCCCTTGGACATCAGAACTTTGGGTTCTGCAACCTTTGTACTCCAGCGGTGCACCAGCAGCCTCCAAGTTACTCAGGCCTTTGGCTGCAGACTAAGAGTTATGCCATCAGCTTCTCCTGTTCTGAGGCCTTCAGACTTGGACTGAACTACATAACCACCTTCCTTGGCTCTCTAGCTTGCATACAGATTATCATGGGACTTCTCAGAATCCATAATTTCAGGATTCAATTTTCCTAATAAATTCCCTCTGATACATCCCTGTCTATCCTATTGTTTCTATACTATGTGCAAATTGGGAAGAAAAATTAAATTGTTTATGTTTACAAATTATGGTTGCTTATGTAGAGAATAAAAAAATCTGAAACTAATAAATGATTTTAGCAAGACTACAGGATATAAGGTTAATATACAAAATTAATTTTCTTATATACTAACAATAAAAAATTGGAATTTGAAATTAAGAACACAATACTATTTGTATTGACACAAAAATGAAATACTTTTGTACAAATCTAATAAAATGTGTAATATCTATATTAGGAAAAACTATAAAACTCTAATATATATAAAAGATAAATATATATATATATATACACACGCACAGAGATATTCCATGTGTGTGAATACAAAGACTCAATATTGTCATGTCAGTTTTTCCCAATTTGAAATATAGATTCAATACAATCTTAATAAAAATGCCAGGGGGTTATTGAAAAATTTATTCTAAAGTTTATACGGAGAGTCAAAAGACCCACAATAGCCAACACAATAGTGAAAAAAAAAAAAAGCTAGAGGATGAACACTACCTGATGTCAAGACTCACTCTGCAGTTACAATAATCAAGACAGTGTGGTATTGGCAAAAGGACAGGCAAACAGATCAGTGCAACAGAATAGAGATCCCAGTAACAGATACATAAAAGTTTAGTTAACTGGTCTTGGACAAAGGAGCAAATTCAATTTAATAGAGAAAGGGCAGTCTTTTCAACAATCAGTACTGAAACAACTGGACATTCGCATGCAAAATATAAATCTAAATAAAGTTCTTACACCTTTCCCAAAAATAATCTCAAAATAGATCATAGACCTAAATGTAAAATACAAAAATATAAAACATCTGAAAGAAACATAGAAGAAATCTAGGCAACCTTTGGTTTGGCAATCCAAGGTGACCCAAAATATCAAATGCTATATGTCCACACTTTGATAAAATTATATGGGATGACACTGGGGCTTGAACTATGTTCAGAAATTATTCATATGTAATAATCAGTGTGATTACATAATTCTGAAATGAGACATAGGAAAACAAAATGAACAAAAGAGATAAAATCAAAGGATTCTTAAGCATTATCTTAGTTACTTGTGAAAAAGATGCAGGTGACAAAACCAAATATAATGATGCTACCAATAATTTCATTAAGAAAATTCATAAATTTCTTAATTTCATTAAGAAAATTCATAAATTTCTTAATTTCATTAAGAAAATTCACAGTATTCATTTATTGATACTATGTTGCATTTATAAACTATTATAGTGTTTTAAGTTTTGAACTAAAATTCTTTGATTGAAGTAATCCTTCATATAAAGTTATCAATGTATCTGAAAATTTCATAGAAATTATTATATTGTTATTATCATCAAGACTCATTATCACCTTTCTTCTCATCATAGCTAATATTTAGAGAGAGAGAGAGAGAGAGACGACTGAAAATAATTATAATAAATATTCATTTGTTGATAAAAAATGGAGTACAAGTCACAAATCTCAATGTTTTCTTAAACTGCAGGTACAAACCTTCCTTACTTAATTCTTATTATGACTATATTTTGTTTTCTTTTGCAGTAATTTAATTATGATGATGACATATTGTCTCAAAACTAGTAAGTAATAACGGGTATTAAGTTCCAATTTTCAATGTAAGGATCTGAGGTGAGCTAACATGAGGAAGCTTTTACTTAGGAACAGGTTGGGAGGAGTCCATTTGTATGGCTTATACACGTAACTGGATTAGATGGCTAATGGGATTTAAATGATCTTGACCTGCTAAATTTCCTTAAAACTTCTAATTCCACCATCTCTTTCACAGTTCCAGATTCACTCTGTGGGCTCATATCTACGATTCCAATTAACTTAAAACAAATAGATTTGATATATTTGAGAAACAAAAAGAATACAAAGTGATCAGCATTTAGACTTGCCTTCTTTCACAGCCGTAGGGCCACAGTTCCCTGAGGCAACTACAGGCAGAATTTAATAGAAGAAAATAAATTTGAAAATGTGTAGCAGAGGGCCGGGTGCCGTGGCTCACGCCTGTAATCCAAGCACTTTGGGAGGCCCAGGCAGGTGAATCACCTGAGGTCAGGAGTCCAGGACCAGCGTGGTCAACATGGGGAAACCCCATCTCTACTAAAAATACAAAAATTAGCCAGGTGTGGTGGCATGGGCCTGTAATCCCAGCTACTCGGGGGGCTGAGGCAGGAGACTCACTTGAACTGGTGAGGCAGAGAGAGACTCTGTCTCAAAAAAAAAAAAAAAGTGTGTATCAGAGGCTTGAGATACTGCCTAAAAAAAAGTCAGACTGGGAGACGTACAAAGCCCTAGTGCTTGGAATAAAGAGCGGAAGAAAAGATTGCTACAAAAGGGATCCTGTGCATAAATTTTAATGGTTTAAGTAATTGCATTTATGACTTACTGAGTAAAAATGTAAGGTACTTTTATCGTCCTCTAAATGTATTACCAGTGAAAATAGCCAGTTTTTAAGAAACAGTAACTGACACTTTCAATGTCTCCTCTTAAAAAGGTCAAATATTGCCAGGTATCATTTCCTGCATCAACTGGCCTCTTCAATGATATATTTCTGAATATTTTTGCATGTTTTGCTGTGTGTAATGCTACTACATCTATAATTGCACTACTATTATAATATAGGACAATTCAATTAAAGTGTTTGTTCAACCTAGACTTTTGATTTATGAGCCTCAATCGGTTGCCTTCTTTATTTACTGAGCAATATATGACATGAACCAAATCTCTCTTAATCCTTATAGAGAGGCTGAAATAAATCATACATGTCTCGCAGAAGCTCTGTCAGTGAACCTAATGAAAAACTGAAGTAGAACATTTGAATTGATTCCATCGCTTTCCTAGACTTTTTCTTTTTTATTATTTTCTAAGACTTTTCCTTTATTGGGGAAGGAACTTTTAGAGATGTGGCCAAGATCAACTGCTGTACCTGGCTTTCCATTAAAAAGTCCTAAGGGTGACTTTGTAGCTTTGAGTAAGAAAGAAATAGTTGATCATCCTGAAACAAATTATTCCTTGTGATTTAAGCAATCAATTTAAATTGATAACTGTCCCTGGAAAGTAAATCACTTGTTAATCGCTACTTTAAAAGTAGTAAGTCAGCCAGAGGTAGTGGCTCACGCCTGTAATCCCAGCACTTTGGGAGGCCGACACAGGTGGATCACGACGTCAGGAGATTGAGATCACCCTGGCAAACATGGTGAAACCCCTTCTCTGCTAAAATACAAAAAATTAGCTGGGCGTGGTGGTGCGTGCCTGCAGTCTCAGCTACTTAGGAGACTGAGGAAGGAGAACTGCTTGAACCTAGAAGGTGGAGGTTGTAGTGAGCTGAGATGGTGCCACTGCACTCCAGCCTTCTGATGGAGCAAGACTCCGTCCAAAAAAATAAAAATAAAAATAAATAATAAAAAAAAGTAGTAAGTCTTCGGGCGCTGTGGCTCACGCCTGTAATCCCAGCACTCTGGGAGGTCGAGGTGGGTAGATCATCTGAGGTCAGGAGTTCGTGACCAGCCTGGCCAACATGGTGAAACCCTGTCTCTACTGAAAAATACAAAAATTAGCTGAGTGTGGCGGCATACACCTGTAATCCCAGCTACTCGGGAGGCTGAGGCACAAGAATTGCTTGAACTTGAGAGTCAGAGGTTGCAATGAGCCCACATGATGCCACTGCACTCCATCCTGGGAAATAGAGTAAGACACTGTCTCAGAACAATTTGTTGTTATTTTTTTCTTATTTCGGGTAGTAAGCATCTGAAATAATAAAATAGAAACAAGAAAATAAAGCGATGCATAACCTGATCTCCAGAGATACATGCTAATATTTCAGGGTATATCCTCCTAGTGTTTCTTCTTTGCATATGTAAATAGATATTTCTTCCAAATTGAAAATATATACAATATATATTTTTCTACTCTGATTTTTAAATCTTTTTTTTTAACTTTTAGGTTCAGGTGTACATATGCATGTTTGTTACATAGGTAAATTACGTGTCACAGGGGTTTGGTAAACAAATTATTTCTCACCCATATAATAAGCATAGTACCGTGTCTGGAATTGGTGGGTTCTTGGTCTCACTGACTTCAAGAATGAAGCCGTGGACCCTCGCGGTGAGTGTTAGCAGTTCTTAAAGGCGGCGTGTCCAGAGTTTGTTCCTTCTGATGTTCGGATGTGTTCAGAGTTTCTTCCTTCTGGTAGGTTCGTGGTCTCGCTGGCTCAGGAGTGAAGCTGCTGACCTTCGCAGTGAGTGTTACAGCTGTTAAGGCGATGCCTCTGGAGTTGTTCGTTTCTTCCGGTGGGTTCGTGGTCTCGCTGGCTTCAGGAGTGAAGCTGCAGACCTTCACGGTGAGTTTACAGCGCATAAAGGCAGTGTGGACCCAAAGAGTGAGCAACAGCAAGATTCATTGCAAAGAGCGAAAGAACAAAGCTACCACAGTGTGGAAGGAGACCCAGCAGGTTGCCATTGCTCTCTGGGGCAGCCTGCTTTTATTCTCTTATCTGGCCCCACCCACATCCTGCTGATTGGCCCATTTTACAAGAGACGATTGGTCCGTTTTGACAGGGTGCTGACTGGTGCATTTACAATCCCTGAGCTAGACACAAAAGTTCTCCAAGTCCCCACTAGATTAGCTAGATAGAGTGTCCACACAAAGGTTCTCCAAGTCCCCACCAGAGTAGCTAGATACTGAGTGTCAATTGCTGCATTCACAAACCCTGAGCTAGACACAGGGTGCTGATTGGTGTGTTTACAAACGTTGAGTTAGATACAGAGTGCCGATTGGTGTATTTACAATCCATTAGCTAGACATAAAGGTTCTCCAAGTCCCCACCAGAGTAGCTAGATACAGAGTGTGGATTGGTACATTCATAAACCCTGAGCTAGACAAAGGGTGCTGATTGGTGTGTTTACGAACCTTGAGCTAGATACAGAGTGCCCATTGGTGTATTTACAATACCTTAGGTAGACATAAAGGTTCTCCAAGTCCCCGCCAGACTCAGACGCCCAGCTGGCTTCACCCAGTGGATCCCACACGGTGGCCACAGGTGGAGCTGCCTGCCAGTCCCAAGCCCTGAGCCCGCACTCCTCAGCCTTTGGGTGGTCCATGGGACTGGGTGCCATGGAGCAGGGGGCGGGGCTCGTCCGGGAGGCTCCAGGGGCACAGCAGCCCACGGCAGGTGGCGGTGAGGCTCAGGCATGGCGGGCTGCAGGTCCCAAGCCCTGCCCCGCAAGGAGGAGCTAAGGCCCTGCGAGAAAAGGAGGCAGCTAAGGCCCGGTGAGAAGTCGAGCACAGCAGCTGCTGGCCCAGGGGCTAAGCCCCTTACTGCCCGGCTGGCGGGGCCGGCTGGCTGCTCCGAGTGTGGGGGCCCGCCGAGCCCACGCCCATCCAGAGCTCACGCTGGCTCACAAGCGGCACGCACAGCCCCGGTTCCCGCCTACGCCTCTCCCTCCTCACATCCGGGCAAGCTGAGGGAGCCGGCTCCGGCCTTGGCCAGCCCAGGAAGGGGCTCCCCCAGTGCAGCCGCCGGCTGAAGGGCTCCCCAAGTGCCGCCAGAGTGGGCGCGGAGGCCGAAGAGGCACCGAGAGCGAGCGAGGGCTGTGAGGGCCGCCAGCAAGCTGTCACCTCTCAGTACCGCACAGGTAGTTTTTCAATCTTCACCCTCCCATCCTCTGCCCTCAAGTAGGCCCCAGTGTCTGTTGTTCCCTTCTTTGTGTTCTTCTGTACTCAGTGTTTAGCTCCCATTTATAAATGAGAACATGTGGTATTTGGTTTTCTGTTCCTATGTTAGTTCGCTTAGGATAATAGCCTCCAGCTTCATCCATGTTGCTGCCAAGGACATGATCTCATTTTTTTATGGCTGTTTCGTATTTCAGGGTATATATGCACCATATTTTCTTTATCCAGTTTACCATTGATGGTTGTATAGATTGATCCTATGTCTTTGTAAAGGAATTTCTTGTGACAAAAAATACAATACACTCTGATAGTGAACGTTGAAGTTTTCATTCCAAAGGAAGAGGAAGTTATCTGACAAATGCCATCGGATATTTCCCTACCCTTAATTTTTTCTTCAGGAAAAGAAGAAGATACTACTGGAAGGAAGAGACAAATACAGCTCTAAAAAATTTTGCTAATAACATAGTTTCTGGTTCTGAGGCAGGCCTCTTTTCTCTGCTTCATCTATCCATTGGAATTTGACAAAAGCATTTTTGTGATGATGTTAGAAGTTTGGCACAGAGAGAGAACTCAAAAATCTAGTGGGTTATTTTGTTAAAATTACCAAAATGGATTAGATTTCATACTATAGGCTATGTAAACATCTGTGAGGCATGATCTCGGAACACAGGACCATCTTTAAACGGGTGTTTCAACCCAATGTGCCTACTCTCGTAGGTGGGTATGATCTGTTTCCCTTAAGTCGTGAGAAGATCCATCTGTTCTATAAAGACTTCTAAAAGATAAACGATCTGAAAAGTAGAAATTTCAGAATTTTTATAGGCATGTGTGGGCCATTGCGCTTTATGTCCTCAAGTCTCTCTAGAAATGCAAACCAAAAGTGTCAATAATGCGGAAAGCGTACCAGCGCTGGCATTTTAGCAATTTACCTTTGAAAATTTCTATTGCTTTTTTATCCCTAAAGTCAGGTTTATAGAATGGCTTCTAACAACTTTAATATAGGAAACATGATTATTTTTCAATAATTTTTTGGGGTTGGTTTACTATTATTATTTATTATAAATATTACAATGATTATTGTTACACAGAAGTGTTCAGCATTAGGAAATTTAGACACTATCAAGTGAAATGCTTGTTTTGAAGCTAAACTTGTGTGTGTATGTGTGTTTAATAAGCATCTATTCTATTTCTTTCAACAATACTATGCATCTGCTTGACATAAAATATGTTAAAACATTGAAGATGCTCTAACTCTAATGAAAAATAAACATATTTATGTACAGATAGAAAAATATATAAATGTTGCTAAAACAAAAATATGCCCTGGAGTTCTCAATTACCTTCCCTAAAAGCAGGGAATATGCTCAATCTTGGCATAGTTAAGGAGTAGCATAAAGAATTGTCAACCCATAGAAATAGTAGGGCCAAACAGTTAATATGTATAGAACAAAAATAGCCTTTCTGAAAAATAATTTGTCCAAATATATGATTTAGTTTTGTAAATCTTGAATAAAGTGTGATTCATGAGCTACCCAAATTTTGTTATCAGTAATGCTTTAACTAAACTAAAAATTTAACTTCACCCCAAATTGGAAATGTTCATATATCAATAATCCATTATTCTAACATCTTTCCTGGTTTTGGTTTAATGTTCCATCAAGAGTAAGATGGTTAACTATCTACTTTTCTTTTTGTTCAAAGTTAGAGAGATAGCAAACCACCAAATTAATAAATCACTTTCTGGCATTACTAATAATTATGTGGCTGATAATATTAAATGGAAACATGTGTACTCCTGCATATAACAACTAAAATTGTTAGTATCAGCTGAATTTATCAGAGAATTAGACATATCTGTCTTCAGGCAGAACTCTCTGTGAGTATCTGAGAAAATACAAGTTTTTACTCCTTGGAATATTAACCATGATTTTAATTTACATGTAAATATTTTCTCATTTCTATATATCTTTTAAAAGTAGTTAACAAAAATTAGTTTGGCATACTTTGTGCAAGGTTATATCATGTATTGCTTTTATTTTCATTGTCTAAGTTCTTAGTAAAAAAGTCTGACAAAAAGTAGATAGATTTTTGACTCATAGAGTGAGAAAAATGTGGGAAGAATTAAAGTCAAGAAACACTATTCCCAAATAACGCTTGTAATAAAATATCAAAATTTATGATTTACACAGTTATTCTTTTAAAGTTTGACTTTTTACAGTTTTTGAGATATTGTTCACCTATATAACAAGTGATCAAATTAAAGTGCTTTAATTTCAATAGTTTAGTGTATTAAGACATATACGACCATTACCACAGTCACTGTTAGAAAACATTCATCATCCCCAAAAGAATCCTCACATTATTTAGCTATCACTTATTTTTGCCCCCAGTCCTGCAGACTGAAGTAACCCCTAATCTAGTTTTTAAGTTGCAATAGATTTGCCTCTTCTGCACATTTCATATTAAATTAATCTTGTGATATGTGGTCTCATGACTGTTTTACTTAGCGTAATGTTTCAAAGGTTCTTATGTATTCTACTGTGTATCAGTACTTCATTCCTTTCAATGAATAAATAGTATTCTGTTGAACTAATATATCATATTTATTTATCCATTCATTGTTAAGGAACGTTTGAGTTTTTTCTTTTAGTTTAAGTAATGATACTATGAATATGTGTGTATTGTTGGATCATGCTACTATTATATTTAATCCATTTGAGGAATTCTCAGACTGTTTTACAAGGTAGGTATACCATTTTCTATTTCTACCAGGAAGTTTGAGGGTTCTGATTTTGCCACATCCTTCCCAATATTTTTTATCATCATTTTATTTTTTCTTTATAGTGGTTGTTAAGTTGCTACTACATTTTAGTTTTAATTTCCATTCCCTTGGTGACTGACTATACTATGGAACACCTTTTCATGTGATTATTGACCATTTATATATCTTTTATGAAGAAATTTCTGTTCAGATTTTAATCTCATTTTTTAAAATTGGTTGCCTTTTTATTATTGAGTTCTAAGAATTATTTTTATATCTTAAATGTAAGTCCCATATGAGAAATATGTTTTGGAAATTTTTTTTCCATTCCATAGGTTGTCTTTTTACTTATGTGACAATGTCTTTTGAAACAAAAGTTTTAAATTTTGATCAAGTCAAATTTATCTAAGTTTTCTTTTTATGCTCATGCTTTTGGTGTCACATCTAAGAATTGTTTTGCCAAATCTGAGGTCACAAAAATTAAAGCATAAGTTTTCTTTTAAACATTTTATAGTTTTTATTATATTTTGGTGTTTGATCCATTTTGAGTCGTTTTTTGTATGTAGTGTGAGTTAAGAGTCCAACTTCACTCTTTAGCATGTGGATATCCAGTCATCCAAGAACCATTTGCTAAAATTTGTTAAAAAGTTTCTTCCCGAACAGAATGGTTTTACACCCTTGTCTAAGTCAACCATAGACATGTTGGTTTATTTCTGGATTCTCAATTCTATTGCATTTATCTTTACGTCTACCGTTACCTGAGTACAATACCATCCATCGATTACAGTTACCTTGTAGTAAGTTTGGAAATCAGCGAGAGAGAGTTCTTCCCATTTGTTTCTCTTTTTCAGAATTTTGTTGACTATTTAGGGTCCCTTGCTATTTCATATGAATTTTAAAATTACTTGTCAATTTCTATGGCTGGCTATGATTCTGCTCAGGATTTTATTGAATCTATAGACCAATTTTTAGATTATTGCTATTATAAGAATATTAAGTCTTTTGATCCATAAAATCAGGATTTTTTTTTAACCTATTTAGAGCTTTTAAAATTTATTTCGACAATGTTTTGTCATATTTGGAATATAAGTTTTTCACTTTTTATGAAACTTATTTCTAATTATTATGCTCTTTTGATGCTATTTTAAATAAAACAATTTTCCTGATTTCATTTGAATTATTCATTCCAAGTGTGTAGAAATACAATTGACTTTTGTATAGTGATGTTATATTTTGCAACGTTGTTACAGATATTTATTAGTTCTAATTATTTTTAACAGATTCCTTAGAATTTTCTATGTACAACATAATGTCATCTTCATATAGATATAGTTTTACTTCTTTTACAAGACAGAAGTTTTGTATTTCTTTTTTCCTTCCTAATTTCTGTGGCTAAAACCACATGTACAATATTGAATAGAAGTGGTGGGAGTGAACATCCTTGTTTTTATTGTCATCTTAGAGAGAATATATCCCATCTTTGACCATTAGTATGATTTTAGCTGTGAATTTTTTATAAATGGCAACGATCAGGTTGAGGAAGTGCTCTTCTATTCTTAGTTATTGAATGTTTTTATCATGAAAGAGAGTTGGATTTTCTGAAATACATTTTCTGAGTTTACTGAGATGGTATGTGCTGTGTGTGTGTATTTTATTGACATAGTATTGATGGCAATGGTGGCCCATCTGGAGTGGCCACTGAGAGGTCACCAGCTGCAGCAGGGGAGGCATGGCTGGGGCTACATGTTCTGCAGAACCAGCAGGGGCTGACAGGGGCCGGGAGCAGGTGATCCCAGCGGGAGCCCCGCATACCACTGAGTTGGTGGGGCAGGAGCCCACACTCCCAGGTGCAGCTGCAGCTGCCCAGCTGTGGCTCCTGACCTAGGCACCCCAGCACTCTAGAGGTCCAGGAAGCCCCATACTACTGTAGGTTTTAAAGTGCCTGCTCCCACTCCTTGGCCTCTTCTCTACCTCCAGTGCCCACTCTGTGATGGAGCAAAGTTGTCGACCTGTCCCAATAGCTGAGCCCAGGCCCTGTCACCACGTCCCTGGTGTGCACATTCTTGTCCCATGCCACCTCAGCTCCCTTCAGAAACTGCCGCTGAGGCTAAAACTTTGGGGACCAATGAGCACAGTAGGGAGGTCATGGGGCTGAGGACAGCTGGGCTCAGTCCTGTGGGTGTCCCTCAGCACAGACAGCTGGGGCACCCCAGGTAGGACGTTGATGGGGGTGGGAAACAGACAGGTTTCTAGGTGGGAAGGGGTGCTCCCTGGTGAAAACCCGCCTTCAAGCCAGGAAAGACCTGAAGCCTGGAGGCTGGGCTGCCAGTTGCAGGTGGAGTCCAGGGCCTGGAGTAAGAACTTCATTGATGTCTTTCGGCCAGTCGTATGGTGCTTTTTCCGGCCCACCCATGGCTACCCATGGACCTGTGAGCATTCACTTCTTCCCTTCTGAGCCCATAAAAACCCCAAGACTCAAACAATCTCAGAGACTTTTGAAGAAAACCTGTCTGTGGATAGGAGCTACCCACTTTGGGTCTCCTGTCTGCTGAGAGCTATTCAGTTGCTCAGTAAAGCTCCTCTCCACCTTGCTCGTCCACCAGTTGTCCACCTAACCTCATTCTTCCTGGATGCAGGACAAGAACTTGAGAACCACCAAACAGCCAGAGTGAAAGGAGCAATAACACTTTCCTGGGCGGCTCACCAAGCTATGGGTGGTGACATGTTCCTTGATTGTGGGAGTGAAGAGTGGCAACCCTTCTGGGGGCTCAGACTTTGGGATGCCCTGAGCCAGAGCTGCTGTAAGAGCCCTCCTGCCTCCCACTGGCACCAGGCGGCCACCCCACATAACAGCAGCAGGGCTGGGATAGCCCAGGAGCCATGGGCCAGAGTGAAGCAGGGCAGTAGGACTGAGACAGCTTTAACATAAATGGACTGAAACACACCCCCATCCTCTACTCACCATGCTGCAAGTGGCAAGGAGAGAAGAGCTGAAGCCTTTCTGGGGGCCCAGACCTTGGGGCTCCATGCAGGGCTGTGACACATTATAACACCCTCGTTGGGGCTCTGTGGTTTCGTCATCTCCAAGCTTTTGGAAGCCACCACGTTCCCCAGTGCCCACAGAGGAATCCATTTACAATTCGCCTGGTTCAGCTGCAGCCTGACATGGAGCTTCCCACCCTGCTGTAGCTAGCATGCCTGGTGGTGTACAGTGGATGGACCCCACACTTGCTTGAGCACACACCCCTCACTGCTCTGCGCCTGGCTCACCCTTGGCAGGCGTGGGATCCAGGCCGGTGGCATGAGCCAAGCACAGCCTGCCCTACCATGTGGGTGGAACAAGCCCAGCGGGCAAGCAGCGGCACCACCAGCCACAGAGGTTTCCACCTGGTGAAGAGACACCGTCAGGATCCTGTAGCGTTTTGTTTTTTTCATGTTACACCAACTTACATTCCTGGGAAATATCTCATTTGATCATAGAGTATAGTTATTTCTGTGTGTTGCTGAATTCAGTTTGCTAGTATTCTGCTGAAGATTTTAGATTGATATTCATGAAAGATATTGGTCTGAAGTTTTTTTTGGTATACTTGTTTTTTGTAAGAGGTTATATTGGCCTCATAGAATGAGTAGGACAGTGTTCCCTACTCATAATTTTCATAAGATTTTGTAAAGGATTGGTATTAATTCTTCCTTAATTGTCTGATAAAAATTTACCTGTGAAGTGATCTAGGCCTAGGTATTTATTATTATTATTATTACTAATTCAGTTTCTTAATTTGCTATAAGTATATTTAGTATATTTAAGTATATTTAGATCTTTTTTTCTTGAACCAGTTATTGTAGTTTGTGTTTATCTAGGACTTTGCCAATTTCATCTAAATTGTCTAATTTATTTGTATGCAATTGTGCCTAATATTCTAATTATTTGTTATGCTTATGGATTTTTAAAATTCTTAATTATTTTACAATCATGAATATATACTGATTTATATTATATATAAATAAACATAAATATAAATAAGCATTTTTTGGATCAGATAATCAAACAACATAAAAATAAGCATTTTTTCCTTTGATCAGATAATGAGGTATATAATACATTTATAGATTCAATAATAGTAAACCATCCTTTTAATTTTGAGATAAATAAAAATGTATGGTGTTTTATGTTTAAACACTTTGGGGGGTTTTTTTATACTGATAATTTTTTTTTAATTTTAGGATTTTTTTCTATATATTTGTGGATTAAGTGGTCCTGTGATTTTTCTTTCTTCTAATGTCTTTATCTGGTTTTAGTTTCAATGCTACACATATCCCAGAATGAATTGTAGATAATTGCCTTTATTTCTATTCTGGAAGAATTTGTATATAAATGAGATTATAAGGTCTGGGCAGGTAGTAGAAAGCACTGTAAACATTTCTGTGCCAGTGCCTTAATTTGTGATAAAACTGTGCCTGGTAGTCCCAATAAAGTTCCTTCCCCTTTGATTAGTCTTAAAATGCAGTTTTCATAAAACTGCTGAATATGTGCCCAGTGTTTTTGGCTGTGAGATACACTGTTAGAAGTAATGTCAAATATCAGAGTTATTCCTTTGAGATTTTCTTCTCTTCAATATTTTACCCTTCAAGTTCTCTCTATCCATGTAACTCTCCAATGCCTTCACGGAGATATTTTATAATACATATCCCAAATTTTCTTTTTATTATTGGCAGGATGGTTCATCTAAAACAAGTTAATTTGACATTGATATCAGGATGATGCTGGCCTCAAAAAAAAATTTTTGACATTGATAGAGGTAGAATATCTGATAAGTGTTTGTATGTGTGTATTTTCACATGAAAGCATTTAATCTATATTTTATTATTAATTTCTACCTTATTTTAATTATGGTACAAAATTATAAAGAATTAATTTTTGAGATTTGCATAATACTTTTTTAATTTTTTGAAATTATTATATATGTACTTCTGGAAGAATTATGTATATTAGGTGAAGCTTCGTAACCATTTATTGGTTAATAGATGGGTATTCTATAGCCCTTCCTTTTTCATGGGGTTGTCAAAATATTTTAGTAGGAATTGGTTTCTGTTGCCTATTTTGTGATTCTGTTTTTTTTAATTGATTTTACTTTATTTTCATGTGAGCTCTCTATAGTCTTTTTTCTTTAACAACAATGCAGATTGCTAGCAGAAGTGATGAACTGATTCAGAAGAAGAGAGAGAAAGGAAAGAGAGGATTGGTCTTTGCTAATAGCTCCCAGTATTTCTGGAGATCACTATGTTCTACTTTATTCGTTCCAATGCTTTTTTTTTTTTTTTTTTTTTTTTTTTTTTTTTTTGAGACGGAGTCTCGCTCTGTCGCCAGGGCTGGAGTGCAGTGGTGCGATCTCGGCTCACTGCAAGCTCCGCCTCCCGAGTTCAAGCCATTCTCCTGCCTCAGCCTTCTGAGTAGCTGGGACTACAGGCGGCCGCCACCATGCCTGCCAATGCCTCTTTTTAACTCTATCTCTGCGTGACGGGAAGTTGGATAATCTAATGGCCTAGGTTTGTTTTACCTTGCAAGAAGAGAAGAACTGAGGAGGGAGTAGGGCTGAGAATGAGCTACAGCAGGGCGGGGGGTGGGGGACGTTTTTTCTAGATATGTTAGACACTGTTATGTTTACACATTTGCTCTTTGAAAAAAAATACCCAAATAATGTGTGAATAAGTTACTTTCTTTAACATGTATGTTTAAATGAGAATAAACTCAGAACACCAGAAAAATAAGAAACAAACTATCTCAAATGTGAAATACTTTTTACTCTTCTAATTAAAATGATGCTGTGAACACTCTTCCTGTCACATTGCTTCCTCATGAGGGAGTCGTTTTTATTCCATTCTTAAGTGCTATTTAAAGAGTTATTTCTTCTTGTTAACTGCAGGTTAGCAGTAACAGGAAAGCATTTTTTCCTTCAATCTGATTAAAAGAAAAAGTACACCCAATATGGCTTATCTTTATTTCCAATTTTCTGATAAAATTTTATTTTATAACATTGATATCTTTCATTTTTGTACCCTCAGAACCCTGATCAAAACATTTCAATCTTTTCTTCCATGATTCGTATCTGTCTTTGTTATAATGGCATTTTTGTGTTTTTCATCTCAACACTACTGCTTTTGCCCATTTTAAAACTTTTCAGCAGTTCTTTATTAAGTATATTGAAACTGCATGTGAAAATTTAAGCAGAAGTAAAAGCTTATTTCATGGCCTATTAACATAAAAGTAAATAGACTTTTTTTTTAACCAAAAAGCTTTATTATTAAACACTACTAAATTAATTACATTTATTTACAGAGCACACTTGGGGATTTACAAGTGTAGATTCTCACATTTTGCCTATGAGTAAACATCCCATTTTCTGATCAGTCTCCAGTATTTGAAAGTTACATTCCTAACTCCATTTCCTCTTTGAATTACGACTCTATTTTTGTGTTAACATTTTTGGCAATTTTGCTATAAAGCATTAGCCCATATAAACTATTTCCAAAGCCTTTCACTCTATTACCTGATCCCCACAAATGTCTCTAATGCCTCTGTATTACTACCTTCACTAGCTAGACCTAATATTCTTAGTTCATTTCTTGGTAGCATTTACCATTGTTCATTATTCCTTCATGGAGGCAGTTTTCTTTGGCTTCTCTATGTGATCACACCCTCCTTTATTTTTACCCTACTTTGTACTATTCCTGACTTCTTTGCTGGACTTTTACTTATTTCCCTAACTCTGTAATTTAAAATACCTCAGGATCAAACTTTGATCTTCTTTGTTCTCTTTCCTGTCTCCTTTAATGATCTCATCCGATGTAATGACTTTAAATACTATCTTTATGCCAAGGACTTTGAAATTCACATCTCTAGCTGAAAACTCTCTCACGAATTCCACACATGATTTCAACTGCATACTCATTACAGCTACTTGGATGTCTGGTAGACACCTCAAATTAAACATGAACAAAAGTAGACTGCTGATTCTCTCCCCAAAACTTGCTTTACCCACACTTTTCCTTATATCTATTCATGAAAACATGATCCTTTCAGTGTTCTGGTCTAAGAGCTTTTATTCATCTTGACTCCGCTTTTTCTCTCATGTTACATTCAACCACCAGGAAATACTGGTGGCTTCAAAATATATTCAGAGACATACATGGACCACTTCCCATACTTTCATATTAATAGCTTCCATCTTTGTTCAAGTCACAACTATTTCTCTCCTGAATTACTGCAGTAGCTTCCTAATATATTCTTTACTTCTATCCTTAACTCCTATAGATTATTTTCAACTAAAGGAAACTACAGTGGTCCTTCCAGTTCAGGGTTGCAGGTAGCCAGAAGCTATCCCAGCAGCTCAGAGCACAAGACAGGAACCCATGCTGGACAGGACTCTGTCCCAGCACAGGGCGCACTCACACTGACACTCACACTCACTCAGATTGGGAACATTTAGACACACCAGTTCACCTAATGTGCACATCTCTGGAATGTGAGAGGAAACCAGAGTACCTGGAGAAAAGCCACTCAGATACGGGGAGGCCTTGCAGACTCCACATGGACAGTGCCGTAGGCCAGGGATCAATTTTTTTTCTCATCAACATTGTAACCAAAGTCGTTGAATGAAATCATGTTATTAGAGGACCTGCTGTAGTTGGAATTATATCATACTTAGTTCTTTTAGATTGGCTTCTTTCATGTAGCAATGTACCTTTAAGAGTCTTTCATGTCTTTGCATAGCTTGTTAGCTCATTATATTGTCTGGATGTACCACAATTTGTTTATCCATTCACCTGTTGAAGGATATTTCAGTTGCTTCCAAGTTTTGACAATTAAAAATAAAGTTACTATAAAAAAGACATCATTTTATCACTGAAAATTTATCAGTGGCTTCAATTTCACTCAGCATAAAAGCTAAATATCTTAAATTGTTCAATAAGACTCCACCTGATTATGTCACTTCATTGCCTTTCTGACTGTATTTCTTATTGTTTCTCCTTTCGTTTCCTCTGCTGAAAATGTCTAACGACATTGGTGTTCTTATTATTCCTTGATTATGCTGGTTATGCTAGCTTCTTACTTCTTTTGCTCAGTCCCGCTGATTACTAGAATAGTCTTCTCTCTGTTATTTCTATAGTTAATATAATCATTTTCTTCAAATATTTATTTAAACATTACCTTTTTATTTTAGTCACACAGAGCCCTCAACTTCCCCTTATTTTACTGCACTGCTTTTTCCCCCTATATTACTTACTCTAGCATAAAATATCATCACTCTTTTATTATTTCAATTTTAAAATGGTCTTCCTTATTTTTTTCATGCCCTTAAAGTAAACTCAATATGGACAGGTCTTATTCCTGTTTTCACTTTGCCTAATACGTTGTATATATTCAATATACACTCCTCTCAAAAGGTACGAAAGGGTATGTGATTGAATGATCATTGATTTTGCTATCCTTTTATTATTGATATTGTCAAACAAAAAATAAATTTAATGTGAACTGTGCATTATTCAATGATACAATAAAGAATAATGCATATGATAGATTAAACAGTGATTTTACATCAGAGGATTTGGATCCCTTTTCAGTTCTACCAATATATGTGAAATTTGGACAGATACGTTAAAGTCACAGTTGTTGTATAAAGTATATTTACTGAAATGTATGAGTTTTAAAATTTCAAGATTCTAAAGATTGCATTCAAGATTGTTGATAAGATCTCAAAAGACACAGCTGTGGAACCAAAATAAATTCTACACACAAGTGAAAAAGTGCATGTTTGTGCATTGATTGTGAGTTTGTTTTGGGATACATAAATGATTACAACACAGTGGTTCAGTGATGGTTCTGGAATCAGAATACATGAGTTTTAAATTTATCCTCCAGAAATGAAGTGGCCTCTGGCTAGTTACATAAACTTTGAAATTCTCAATTCCTGTATCTATAAAATGGGGTTCTTGCAGTGCTCATCTATGGATTTACAGCAGGAATTAAATTAGATTAACAGTGCAACTAGAAACCTGTTCCACACATGATAAGCATTCAATAAATATTTTATATTATAGAGCATTGTGTTATTCAGTGTTATCCAGAGAAATAGAACAAATAGGAGAAACAGAACCAACAAAACCTGATATATAGATATCTATGTGTGTGTACATGTATACATATATAGATAGATATCCATATTTTAGGTTATGTTGTGTGTGTATGTGTGTGTGGATGCGTGTGTGTATAGATAGATAGATAGATAGATAGATAGATAGATAGATAGATTTCTTATAGGAATTGGCTTATGATATTATGGAGTCAGGAATTTCCACCATCTGCCATATGCAAGATCGAGAACTAAGAAACTTGGTGGTATAATTCAGTGCGTGTCCAAAGGCTCTAGAACCAGGAGTCCTGATGTCTGAGGGCAAGAAAATATTGGTATTCCAGGTCAGAGAGAGAGAGAGAGAGAAATAATTCAACCTTCCTTGCGTTTTTGTCCTATTGTGGCCCTCAATGAATTGGGTGATGTCCACTCACACTGATTAGACAATTTCTTTCTCAGTCTACTGATTAAAATGCTATTCTCTTCAAGAATAAAATCTCAAGTACACTCAGAAATAGTTTACTAGCTACCTGGGCATCCCTTAGAGAGTCAAGTTGACACATACAATTAACCATCATACACATACAGAGAAATTTTAGAAGAAATTACATCCAATATGTTGAAGTTCCACATGTGAGAATTCTTTCAGGGTGTACAAGGCATCAAGATTTATTACCCTGCAAGAGTTGGAGTTCAATCAAAATATTTTAATGAGTAGAAAAGATTAGTGAAGTACAGTGTGGTCGAATCAGATATACGTTTACTTTAAGCAAAATCAACTGTACCAACCCAACATTAAGTGAGCAGTTATTAAGATATATGTATATTTTACATTATTGCTCCTAAATGTGAGACAACTACTTGAGCTGATTACCATCCTAGTAAAAGGCTATATTTCATCAAATACGAGTAAAAACTCATGATGTCAAATTTAGTAACTATATTTCATTTTGTTCTTTTGAGTGTTTTAAGGGGTTTTCCAAGATAATGTTGACTATAAATGGATTTACTCCATGTGCTCTCTTCCAAATATAACTCAATATTTTATACTTAGAAATGTATTTTGTGGTGAGCCAGATGGATCTGTAAACAGATGTTAAAATAAAATATTATAATTAAAATAGAAATAAAGGATAGAAAAGCTCTGTTCTCTAATTTTATTGAATGGAGGAGGTTTTCTATTAAAGTAGCCCAATGATGAAGTGATTAGGATTACATTAAGAAGAAGGAAGTTAAAATATTCAATAATGCACAATCAAGAAAAAAAATCAATATAATACATTACGTAAATTAAGCATACTAGAGGAAAGCAAGGTGAAATAAAGTCTCAGATCAGGTTGTCAGTGACTATCTTACAAAGATTAAAATTAGTATCTCAAGAATATTTATTTTTAAAATGTCCAGTATGTTGATGAGCACATCATTTTTCCATGTTAAACCTCATTTTCCCTTTTATCATAATGTGTCTTTCAATGGTAATGTGCAAACTTCATTCTATATAAAATCTGTCCCTGGGCTGCTTGGGCAAAGAAGAGGTTCACAAGTCTTTAAAAAATACTAGAAGCCAAAACTTGTTTACTCAAAGATCATTTCTTATATAACTTCCTTTCATAATAAGCTTTACATTTTAAGAGATGACAAAGTCTATTAATGACTACCAAACTAAATGTTCTACATACAAGTGAAATGCAATATCTTTTATATTTTTCTTCTATATGAGGAATATAAAACATGAATATTGTTTTAAAGGTGAGTTGCAAGTGAATGCTTTTTGATCTCTTGAATTTTAAAATTTATTTGCATTTATAACATAGTTATTTTTAAGATGTTCTTGTCATTGTACTCCATACACATTTTATGATTTTTTTTCTTTTTTTTATTATTATACTTTAAGTTTTAGGGTACATTTAAACAATGTCATAATAGATATGCAGTCTATTAAATAGTTGTAATGCTTGTAAGATAATCTGTATCACTCGGTTTTAACTTTTACATCTTAAAACCAATTCTGCCTACATGGTATTATACTTATATAATATTATAATTACTTTGGGCATGCTAACATGACTAATGAGAAAATATAAAAGTATTTGTAACTTACCATAAACTAAGCAAAATAAATGGCAATATACTTTGATTGTAATCTTTATCATTCTTAGAAATAAAATAAACTTATAAAACTAAAATATGTGTATGCACTTTCTTGAATAAAGAAGGAACTCTACAGGTGATACATTTGCTAATATTGCTGGAAAATTCACTAGAATGGCAAATTCATTATATGGAATGCTATAATAGTGAATGCTATTAAATGGGAAACTGATTGTAAAATGTACCACCGTGAAATCACTCTGATTTGTAAGTGTTAATGAAGAATATTTTTATAACCTCAATAAGTACTCATGTATTTTTATACATATAATATGTCTAAGTATTGCCCAAAATTTATTTTTCTATAGAGAAATTTAAGAGTTAGAAGTTCTGATTTGCCTTTTGAACAATGATGCACTGTAAGAGATGACTCTAACTAGAAGAAGAATCACAGTGAATATTCTTAGTGGAATAATATGCTTAATATGTTCTCCCCTCTGCAAAAAAAAGCAATAACATAAACCTGAAAGGAAATGTAGTCATTAATCATGCAGTTATACACAATTGATCACTCAGCATAAAGCTATCTTTCAACATGAAATTGTTTTATATGTTCACCATGGTTTAAATAGCAGAGATCTAATTTTAACTACCACAGATATTTAAACAAATAGTTGAGAAGGTATATTTTATTTCTAGAAATATTATGTATAAAATATGTAAATATTATATGCATCTTAGTCTCCATACTATCTATCCATGTTTATATGTGTGTATGCATTTGTGTGTATATGTAAGCCTGTGTGTGTCCCCACATGGGATGTCAGGCTGGTGTGGGGCTCACAGAAGCAGGGGAATTCTGGTTTAAGATTAAAACCTCCAATGATATGAAAAGTAAAGCTCGGCATCAGAATTTTGAGTCAACAGCCAGATATTTTAGGTAATGGTAGTAGCTAATCCTTGGGACAAAATGATTTTCAGACATCAGTTTATCCTGGATGTATCTAAGTAAGAGCAAAGTAACTAAGTTTTTTACCAGGCTGGAAATAGATTACATCAACAGAGTTGTTGGAATTTCAGTCTTTTAATTTCAGAAATTAAACTCCTTCTATGATAGTATACCATTCTTCTTCTCTAACATTCTGTTTTTTTTTTGTTTTTGTTTTTGTTTTTTTTTTGAGACAGCATCTTACTCTGTCACCCAGGCTGGAGTGCAGTGGCTCAATCTCAGCTCACTGCAATTTCCGCCTCCTGGGTTCAAGCAATTCTCCTGCTTCAGCCTCCTGAGTAGCTAGGATTACAGGCATGTGCTACAATGCCCAGCTAATTTTGTATTTTTAGGAGAGATGGGGTTTCTCCATGTTGGTCAGGCTGGTCTCGAACTCCTGACCTCAGGTGATCCACCTGCCTTGGCCTCCCAAAGTTCTGGGATTACAGGCATGAGCCACCGCACCCGGCCTGTTCTTCTCTAACATTCTTAGAACTCCTGAATTTAAGAAACTTAAAATCAAATATAAATATTGTCCATCTCAGTTAGTACTATCCCATCTAACCCTTAGTTAATAGATAGGGCTAAAAAACTTAATAATATTTGCAAGTAGTAATATATTACTTACATGTCAATATATTCCATAAAGCAATTACTAATATATCAATATTTTATAGTGTCTTAAATGTTATTCATTCATTCATCTGACAAAATCTACTAAGAAGCTGTTATAGGTCAAAGCACTTTACTAGACCCCAGGACTAAAAAGAAGAAAATGTCACTGGTACCTGACTGTCATCAGTCATCGTTCAGTTATTTAAGTGACAATCATCCTACTGAACTCCATATTATTCAGGTGTTTTGCCATTTTATCCTATGTACTGTTTTTAGTAGTGGCTCAAATGTTCTTTCTTTGCAGCCAAAATTCAGATCACATGAGGTTTAAACAATACATTGTTACAGTCAGATAGTCATTAATTTATGATTGTTGTGTCCTTAGATTACTATTTGAAACAATTTAGCAAATCAGTTGGACTCCATGGTAACACATACATACCAGTATTACAGCTAAGATGAAGGAAAGTAAGTTTGTCGTTTTGTTAAATGATTTGTTAAGTAAGTGTTTAAGCAATTTGTATCTGTATACTTAAACATATTTCTTGGTACTCAACTCAGTTGTATGACTTTATGTCTGAACATGAGCTTCCTAATTTTAAATGAAGAAATGTTACAATGTTCCTTCCCAGGATTATTATGATAAACAGTTAAGAGATTATATAAAAACTTTTTGGTTTATAAAGTTATACAAATTACTATTTATGCAAAAGCAGTTGTTAATTCACATTTGATATCTTAATTTACACATCCCAAAATATTCCTTAAGGAGTAAGGATAAATTGAAATTGACTTATTATTTACTAATTCCTTTAGAGAAGAAATTACATTAAAAAAACATGAATTATTCCTGTAAGCAAAGGTATTCTGTGTTCCCTGGTCTTCAGGATACTGTCTGAATATGTGTCATATTAATAGAATCTTAACAAAGCTGACATAGTATGAGGACATAACTATTAAATTTTGACAAAATATATATTCAAATATTTAATATATTTCATTTCCATTTACTCTGCATTAATGTTTTTACACACATCTAATTAAAAATTTCTATAGGACAATGCATAATTTCTTGAGTGCTCTCAGTTGCTCAAGTAGGTATTATTATAAAAATAAGTAATTCTGAATAAAAGTAATTTATTTTTATTTTATGTAGATTAAGACATAAATTAGTATAATTGTATTTTGCCAACACATTAATGGAAAATGAGTAAATCAGAAATTATTTATTTTAACATTTCTGGCAGAGCCACAAATTTATTCACACTGTATTAACCTGTGAGAGAAAAGTGTATTTTCTGACTCCATTTAAAGCCTTCTGGTTCTTCATTAGCTCCCACCAGATATAGATGAGGGGAGAAATATATATTTAAAATTATCTTATGTTATTAAGAGTGCATATTGAATTTATGAAATAAAGTTTGGCAACCATCAGGGTGAACATGTTTGTGATGTTTGTTGAATTTATATTTTAACTCATGTATTTGATATTTTGGTATTATATTTTGAATATTCATTCATGTTTTTACTCCTTAGGCAATGCCTATTGTCTATGAACTATTAACTTTAAACATATAATAATGATGATTGTCACTATTTATAACTTTGTAATTGTAGTAATTACAATTGAGTTTGTTTTTCTCTTTTTCTTTAGTCTTTCCAATTAAGTTTCAGTATCAGAGATGTTTTAGATATATTAACAAGTTTGAAATTTTAGGTTTTCTATGTTCGAATCTTATTAACTAGTTTAGAAAATATATATGTATTGGATGATTGATGAAACTTACCCCCCCCCCAAAAATTTAGACCATCATATGATTTGACTGTGTCCCCACCCAAACTCATCTTGAGTTGTAGCTCCCATAATTCCTCCATGTTGTGGGAGGGACCTGGTGGGAGATAATTAAATCATGGGGACAATTTCTCCCACACTGTTCTCGTGGTAGTGAATAAGTCTCAAGAGATCTGATGGTTTTATAACGGGTTTCCCTTTTCGCTTGGCTCTCATTCTCTCTTGCCTGCTGCCATGTAAGATGTAACTTCTTTTCTTCTTTGCCTTCCACCATGATTGTTAAGTCCTCCCCAGCCACGTGGAACTGTGAATCCATTAAACCTCTTTTTCTTTGTAAATTACCAGTCTCTGTTATATCTTTATCAGCAGCATGAAAACGGACTAATGCAGACCAGGACCCAATTTTTAAGTTTTTTTTTATTTGTTCTCAAATGTCATATTTTTGTTGACTTATTTTTATTTGATAATGTATGCCTTCCAAAAAAAAAATCTAGGGAAACTGCATTTTCCCAGCGGAAATTTTCAAGCATACTTAAAAGTCATTGGCTATTTCTGGTGAAAAAATGACCTTATAGCTATTGTAAAATCATATCTGTATTGTTTAAATATTTTCTTTAGTTGAACAGTTTATTTCTTGTTGTTTGATAGATTTATTTAAAGCTACACTTTATCCTCTAAATAGTACACCTGCATCTTACTAATTTTATCATATGTGAAAAAATTTTAATGACTTTCAAATTATATAACTTCTTATAATTTGAAAAAAACAATTCTTCCTGTTTACTTTTTTGGATGTTGTTTAGTGATATTTCTGGCATACTTTCCTAAATTAATTAAATATTTTAAATAATATTCATTTGTGTAAATGTACTGAAGTTTTGTCAGCCACTAGGTGTCAATTTTATTAAAAGCCCACATCTGCTTAAAATGCATTTATTCTCTGTACATTAACAGTTTTTTAAAGTTATATTATTCTAATCTTTTATAGTTTTCTTATCTTTTTGTACATTAATATACCATGAGGTTATTATAAGATATTAAATTATAGTTATTGCTGTATCTATAGCTCCCTGTAATTTTATCAATTGCAATTATCTATTATGTTTTATTGAGATGTTAATTCATTTACATGTATAAACATTCTCTTGATTCCCATCTTAAAGGCCAAGGTGGGCGGATCACAAGGTCAGCAGATCAACACCATCCTGGCTAACATGGTGAAACCCCATTTCTACTAAAAAATACAAAAAAAAAAAAATTAGGTGGGCGTGGTGGTGGGCGCCTGTAGTCCCAGCTACTCAGGAGGCTGAGGCAGGAGAATGACATGAACCCGTGAACTCGGCTTGCAGTGAGCCGAGATTGTGCCACTGCACTCTAGCCTGGGTGACACAGCAAAGACTGTCTCAAAAAAAAAAAAAAAATTTGTATAGACGAGGTCTGACTAGGTTGCGCAGGCCAGTCTTGAACTCTCAGCCTCAAGCAATCATCTTGTCTCAGTCTCCCGAAATGGTGGGATTACAGGCATGAGCCACCATCCCCAGCCACCATTTCATTTTCATTTCTCTGATGAACACCATTAGCTGATAACTCAATTTTCTTATCAGTGTCAAACATTTACCAATGACTGTATTTTCTGTAGAAAAAGAACATTTTCTACCCCTCTAATCTATTGTTCTTTCTGTCCTCCTTCCATTGGTCCAATATTAGTTTCATCTGAAATACTGTATGTTAATTTCTATGTTTATACTTTTATTGTTTGGCCATTCAAAAAATCCAGCCATCAATAGATATTTTATTACAATTGTATTTTTATTAGAATTGCACTTCCATGGTGGGACTGGTGGTTTATTTTCTATGTCTTGTTGCTTCTAACTTGGATTAATTAATCTTCTTGCTGGGAAATCCCCAAAGTAATTTCAAGGTCGATCTTTTTGTAGCAATTTTCCTGAGTTTCTCAATGCCTGAAGACATATGTAATTCATTCTCTTATTTAACTGAGAGTTTAGATGAGAGGTGAATTTTTTTTAAATTTTCCGTAAAGGGCAAGAGAGTAAATATTTTAGGCCTTTCAGGCCATTTGGCTTCTCCCTCAATTACTTAACACTGCTGTTATAACAGAAAAGCATCCACAGACAGCATATTAATATCTTAGCATGAATGAATATGTTCCAATAAAATTTTATATACAAAATAGGAAGCAGGATGGATTTGCTCTGCAGGCCATAGTTTGCTGACACTTGGATTGGATTTAAATCAAATTCTGTCTTCACCTTATGTTGTTGTTTACAGATTTCATTACTTTGTCTTTATTCACCAGTTGTATATTTGATAGATTTAAATTGACAGATTGTTTTATGAATGATATCCTCATTTCTCCAAGAAATTTTAGAATTTCCTCTTTTTTTAATCCTCTAAACTTCACAATGTGTGTCCAGCAGTCTTGATATGGCTTTTCTATTTTTCGTTTATTGTTACTGTCTTTGTCTTGTCTATTCTGTTCAAAACTTTATGAATATTTTCAATCTGTGTTTAGTTTATTACTTCTACAAATATTGCCTCTTTGCTATTTATACTAGGCCTCTTTCTAGTTGTTGATCTTCTAATCTGGTTTTCTCATTTTTCTATCATCTGATGCATTTTTACATATATCTCTGATGAATTTTTCACTGATTTCCAGTGTACCACTTGTTTGCTACTGTATTATTCTGCCATTCACTTGTAACACTGATTTCTTTAGTTTAACACTCATGTTTTTCATATTTCTAATGACTTCTTGTCAGTCTGAATATATTGTTTATGTTCTTTAAAAGTTTACTTTTTTCCCCATTAATTCTCTTCCTCTATGCTAGATTTTTCTATTTGTTGATTCTCCCCCACAGGTCTTTTTCCTCCAAGGTTGTCTCACTGTTTTGCTTGTGATTTTCTCTCTTTTTTTCTCTTTGGGTGTCTCCACTGCTGTGGCGAGGTAAACTTACCGTGCCATATTGCTATGGTTTGAATGTGTCTCTCAGATTTCTTGTGTTGGAAACTTAATCCTCAAGCTCCTATTTTGATTGGCGGTAGGCCTTTGGGAGGTAATTAGGATCAGGTCACCAGGGTGGATCCTCATGATGAGACAGGTGGTTTACAAGAAGGGAAAGAGAGACCTGAGCTGGCATGCCATTGCCCTCTCACCATGCATGCCCTCCACACAGCAAGAAGTCCCTGCCCAAATGTCAGCATCATACTTGTAGGCTTCCTAGTCTCCTAAACCATGAGGCTAAACAATTTTTATTTTTTGCAAATTGCCCAGTCTGTGCCCAGTCTGCAACAGAAAACAGACTAATATGCGTACTTTGTATTGTCTCAAGTAAGATGTAAGATGGTAAATATGGCAGACTTCAGAAGAATTTCTACCTGCAACATGGGGCATATGCTCCTCATCTTTCCTCCACTCCACTCCTGGTCGTCGTTGAGTACTCCATTCATTTCTGAACCTATTCCCTTATCATTTTTTATATCTGTGGGCCTCTAGTCTTTTGTGTCATTACCACGGGAGACAAAAGAGGGGAAGTTCAGAGACTCTAGCCTGCCATATTGTTTTGGGGAAACAATTCTGGCTACACATGGGAGGAATTTCCAAATAAAAATAATACTGTCATCTATTAATCATTGGTATTAATTAGAACTGTGCTACAGTTTATATGTTACTATGGTTTGAATGATGATGGCTCCTCTATAGTTGATGTTGAACCTTGATTCCCAATGCAACACTATTAAGAGGTATGTCCTCTAGAAGGTAATTGAGTCATGAGGGCCCTGCCTTCATGAATGGCATTAGATGCCCTTACAAAATGGCTTGACAGAGGGAGTTTGCTTCTTTTTTGCCTCTTCTGTCCCTTCTATGATGTGATGAAACAGTGATCTTCCCCTTGTAAGAAAGCAGCAACAAGGCTCCATCTTGGGAGGAGACAGCAGTCCTCACTAGACACCCAATGTACTGGTGCCTTGATCTACCTAGCTTGACAGCTTTGAAAAATAAATTTCTATTATGTATAAATTATCCAGCCCTAGGTATTTTGTTGCAGCAGCATAAAGGGAGCATGACATGTGATTTAAACTTATGAGATTAACTGAAGAAACGGAAGCATGCAATACAATGCAGATATGGCTTTAGGAGAGCTTTACTTAAAGCATAGAAATGCTGTTGTGAGAAGGTTGTGCTTATTTTCCAGAGCACCCTAGTTACCTACTTGGGGAATTGGTTTCATCATATGCAAGATCAAAAAGTAGATTAGATTACAAATTATCTGACACTTGTTGGTTACTAAGAAATGTTTACTATTGTATGACACATATATTTTACAGATAATTTTGAAAGGAAGCATGTTTTTCTCAGAGCAGAAGTTTCCATGTTTTTAAAATCTATGTTTATATAAAATGTGTAAATGAAGATTGTCAAGGGACAGGAGTCGTAACCCTTTGAGGCCATTTTGGTCTCCAGGCTCTTTGGAGTGTAATATGGAAAAGACTTCAGATTTGAATTAACTTAGGGATAACAGGTGCCTAGCCCCTCATAGAGAAATTATTTGAATGTTCTTGAAAGTCAGCATTCTTTCTTTCAACAGTTTCACTTTATTATAAATACTTTATAATATTTTAAGTAGATTAAATTAATTGAATTAAAGTGACATATAAGCTGGTAAAGCAGAATAAAATTATTTTCCTTGATACAACCTCTTCCTATTTCATCTGCAAATAATATTCAAACTATTGTTCACCTTTTTAAAAAGTAGTTATTTCAAACATTCCAAACCTCCTTTGAGGTTAGTTACCTTTCCTCCCCCCTCAATTCAATTGCCTGAAGAACACCAATTAAACATATTATAAAACTATTTAATTTTGTGTCAACCCACTAACATCATACTTGTGAAAGTATAAGTTACAATAATTTTTATTAACTAAAATTTGAGAGAACAAAGTGTTTGCACTGATATTATTGGGTTTTCTTTCTTTCTATAATGAAATTAGTCTAGTAGCTCTTGAGTTTCTACAATTTTGGAAGGCCTAACACAAGGATAGACTTGTATTAACTTTGACCTAAGAGACATATAATATTGTAAATTACTCAATTACAAGTAAATTTTCAGAACAACATTAAAAATTGTATTCACATTAATTTTTAAATAATGTTCCGAATACTTAAAATAACATACATAATAGTAACATTAAACTTATACAGGTATTCGATATTTGATCATCTTCTACTAGTCACCAAGAGTTAATACCATTGCAATTGATCTATATAATTGCCTGATCAAATTATCATATAGTGATATTTTTGGCTTAGAATTTTAGTACAAATCTAGTCATTTTGTCTTGCTTATATACTTAATTGTAAACCAAAAAGCATTACTTTTTTATACTGATGGCTAAGTAATTTATGCAGGTAATTAAAGAAGTGCTTCAATTTTCATTAAGTCCTTAAGAGTACTCTCTTTTCAATCTAGATTAAGCTTAATAGAGTCATTTGGATGCCCTTTTCACTGATTTGGAGTTTTGTTTGCGAACGAATTGGTCTTGTAAAACTTATTGACTTACTTTCAGCCTATTTTCTCATTTTATTGATCTATTAAAATATTGTCAGTGCCATAACAAGCTTACTTAAATAACTTCTCATTAGAATCAAAGATTTCCTACCCTTCTTATATAATAGTAAAAAAAATTAGGTGCAAAGACTTACTGAATATAGACATTGTTATCCTAGGCATTAAAATAAAAATTGTAAAAATTAAAAATACAAGCACAGAAATTTTCATTATTGCCTTCCTGTTATTTGGTAGACTAAACTATTTATATAAAACATATGTTCTCCTAGTCAGAATATGAATGATACTGACATTATAATAAAGACAATATAATAGAATTTATTTATACTGAAGTAAGCCATTTGGTTTATTTTGTTTATTTAGTTGTTTTGTGTACCTCTCATATAGATTCAGTAGTTATTCTTGGACAATATTATTTTCCTTCTAGGATACCTTCTACATGTTACTTTTTTCTTCTAGGGCACATATAGAGAAATTTAAAAAAACCCATTTTTTTTCTGAAATAGAAAAAATATTATATAGTACTCTGAATTAAAATTACCAAATATAATTTAACTCTATTTAAGCCATAGCATAGAATATAGCTCTACAGTGTTTACCTGAGTCAAAATACACAATAAAATTGGAAAGATAGGCTGAAATTCTGGTTAGAGATGATATTCAACACCATCGTACTTTATTTGAAAAGAAGTTTTATGTTTCAAGTTATATATTCTTCTGCTTCACTCCGTAACCTTTACCATGTCATATACTTTGGTTTTCCCTGCTTATTTGGTAATTTCATATATGAAAATGTAAAAATTCCTGGTGAATTGCTTCACTTCTTGACTTCGCCCCCAATGAGAAGTCGGCTGTATACAGAAAAGAGTCATCTGTAAGATTTACTATTCAATATCTTAGACTATTTTTCTTTAAGAGACTTTTAAAAATAAATAAATGGAAGCAAAGGTTTCACTCAATTTAACTAATTATTTCAACTGTATGAGCAGGTATATGTGTCAGGTGCTGTATGTATTAATAATTCAAACACAGATCCTGCCCTCATGGATATTTTCATCAATTACCGGGGAATATCACAGTCTTCTGAGTGTCAATCACCAGAAGTTTGCCTTGTTTAAATCATGTTTTAAAACTTATCCATCTGTTAAAATATCTTAGAATTAGAGATCCTCGCAAATTATTTTTTATTGGTTTTCACATTTATCTAGATATGATTACACATGTGATACAGACAATGCTAATTGTTATCTGAAATTATATTCTTCAAATACATTAGTAGTTCTGCAAATATATAGGCACTTTTTAAAGAGAAAATCTATTTTTATTCAATACAATTCTAGGAGATCTAGGTAAAATACTGAAATCTGTTATAATGCAAATATAATATAAATCTTAAGATAAATATATTACTACAAAGAAATTTAGTAAATAAGTGAAAGACAAAGAAACTTCTACATGCTATTTTTTGCTAGATCTTAAAGTCTACTCTAAACATCTTATGGTTATCTAAATTTAGAATTAATGTAAATTATGACTACCAGCATTTATGAATTGTTATATTTATATATTAAGTCAACATTTTTGGCAATATAAATAAAATCATTTATTTAGAAAAGATTTCAAATTGTGTTGGCTAAAAAAAGTCATGACACATTTACTCATTACATCACTTAAATTACGGAAATCATCATTTTACTTTTATAGAAATACACAATATTCATTTTTGAAAGACAGTAATTTAGAATGAGATCATAAAGTGAATGAAATGAGATAATCAGAAAGTTAATATCAAATAGGTTTTGAGATTAAACTCAATGACCGAAATTTTTTCAAATGTTTACTTTGTAATTGTACACGTTGTACTGTCTCACACAATGTTTGATTTATTCCAAAGTTGTTTGATCCTGAAACAATAATAAGGTGACAAATGTAACCTTGAGACCACATCTTATTGAATAATGAGAACATAAAGTTATATTTCAAATTTTTGGTTCAATTTTTTCTTGTTCAAACTTTCCAGGAGAGAGCTCAGAGTCCAGACTCAGTTTTCGGGAATCATACTCCAGATGTGAAAGTTCAGGATTACCCTATTCTTTGAACACTGTAATACAGGGAAACTACTTCCAACACTGCATGAGAGATGCCATTTTTCTTGATTGGTTTGTCTAGGCTTCATTTGCCAACTATCAAGAATGTACAACCATCTGGATTTATGTATGCTAATCTTTTTGACATGAGAACGTCTATTCATTAAGTTTCCTCAATTTGCTAGTGATAGAGACCATTCTATCATTCATTATTGCTAAATTCCAGTCAATGAATAACTCCTTTGTATTAATTTATTCTATCTTATTTTTAAGGCATAAGCCAGTCAATAAATATCCTTTTAAAAAGTTTAGAAGAATTAATGAATCGTCTATTTAACAAAAATACCTTACTCAAAAGTTTGTTTTTATAAAACTGCATGTGATTAAAATCTCAGGATTGTCATAATCTATTTCTTATCCCCCTCCTTTATCAATGTGTAAGATTTTTGAGATAATTTGACAAGTTTTTACATTATCCCCGATTGAAAAGCTCTTAGGCCAGGATACTTGTGCTAGGCAAAAACTGCATTTATTTTATTCCCTCAGTAAGACTCTTTAAAAAGTTTTTGGCTTTGACATAATTGAAATTTTACTAGAATTTCAGTTGGTACAATATCTCCTTGCTTGCCTCTTCTATTATTATAGATGTTATGAAAAGGAATAATAGGGAGAGTGACAGTGGCTCACTTCAGGTGATGAATTATATTTTTATTCACCTAAAACTATCATTTGTTTCTGAAGGTTAGACATTATTCTCTATGTCTATATGTCTGATTGACAGAAGTATATTCATGAACATGTAAAAAAGCACACTCATCTCCTACCTGTTTTATTTTTCTCCTTCCTGACCAGTAAAGAACCTTGCCAAGCCACTATAAATTAACTAATAAAGGGAAGCTATGACAAAATTTTATAGATAGAGGTAACTCATGCCTCTCTTTTTATTCTCTGCATAATACACTAAGTAACAGCTTGACATAAGAACAAAGGGATGGGAAAGTTGCTGCTGAAAGCACATAGTATTTGATCTTTGTCATAGAGAAAGGAAATATATTTAAATGGTAGCTTAAATATGCTTGTAAAAAAATGGAAGAGATTTTTATCAGTGTTTGACATATATTTATTATAGTACTACTTTTTTTCTGTCAAAATAAATAAAATCCTATTTTATTTAGTAGTTTTAAATGTTACTTTCTAAGAATTTTTTTAATAGGAAGATTTTTATTGGGTTCTAGTTGTGGTTGACTAATTTGCACAATTCTGTTTTATATTTTTGCATCAGTATATAGACAAACATTCCAAATATTTACATGAATTCAATTTTTTAAAATAATTTATTGAACCTTTTATTTAGCTCTTTCTGGTTCAGAGGGTCTCAGTTGAAATAATTGTAGATGTAATAAAATTTTTATAATATGTTCACTTAACAAAATTCTTAAATAGACTTCAGCTATGTGTTATAAAAATATAAATGTTATTTGAAACTGAACATGTTGGGCGTCTTGATCTAGCCAAAAAAAATAATATGTTAAATGCCTCTCATGTATCTGTAATTTTTCTTTTTTTTCACTGCACATATTTTAAAAAGCTAGATTAAAATGACCAAAGTTCTCCATGTATCAGTTTTCACAATTTCTGGTTTGCCTATTGAAAGAAAAAAATAAGGTGAAGCTTATGTGCCATTGTGATTTAAATTATACACAGATATTTTAGATAAAGGTAAGAGTTGAAGAGCTCAAAAATAGCATTTTATGAAATATTAGAAAGACCTGGTCGGGTGTGGTGGCTCACGCCTGTAATCCCAGCACTTTGGGAGGCTGAGGTGGGCGGATCATGAGGTCAGGAGATCGAGACCATCCTGGCTAACATGGTGAAACCCCGTCTCTACTAAAAACACAAAAACAAAATTAGCCGGGCGTGGTGGCGGGTGCCTGTAGTCTCATCTACTCAGGAGGCTGAGGCAGGAGAATGGTGTGAACCCAGGAGGCGGAGCTTGCAGTGAGCGGAGATTGCACCACTGCACTCCAGCCTGGGCGACAGTGGGAGACTCCGTCAAAAAAAAAAGAAAGACAGACCTATATTTGTAAAAGGCAATGACAAGGGTAAATTAAAGCGAACATAATAATACTCTTACATGAATCAATCATTAACCAGCTATTTTGGGAGAAAGTGAGTAAGGGTAACTTCAGAGTATTTTAAAGAGAGAACTCTGTGCAGGGCTACCATAAAACTGTGATGTGATCCATTTACACCATGAAACTATGGTGTGATCCATCCTTTAAAAATAAGGTGGAAGGAAGGATAGAGAGAAGAAGTATTTCATCTGTTAATTCACTAAATATTGTCATAGGAAAGATTTGATAGTTAAACCAAAGAAGTGATAATATGTGCAGTGCAAAGAAAGCGGCTGTCAAATAATAATAGCCCAATCAGACCAGCATCTATAAGGGGCCATTTGGGATAAGAACCACCAGAGATATGAAATAACTTCTGGACTCCTTGTTCTAAAATTGGTCAGAGGAATCCTGGCATAATTTAATTCTGGGAGAACAATTATCTAACACATCATATAAATATTGAAATAATATAAATGCATAATATTTACCTACACGTACTGTAAAGACAGTCCATACAATTTTATTTTCTTTCTCCAAAAGGATATTATTCAAGAAGTATGAATGTATGGATACTTAACATGTTAAAAAATGTATAATGTAAATGCTCACCAGAGACAATACTTTTAGAATTACAAATAGTCATGCTTGCCAGTTATTAATAACATTTTAATATTAGTCTAGATTATGCAATACATCAATAAAACTAAAATAAGAAAAACAATTATTGCATCAAAATTATTTTTGAAGATCAAATATTACAACATTTACATAAAATTAATTAAGAAACATTAAAACTTCAGTGTCTAATAACAACATAGAAAGAGTTAGGCACAAAAGTATTTTTCAAAATCAACTTTCGAATATACCAGACATTAAATTGAAGATACATATCAAAATTAATAAAAGTTACAAAATATATAAAGTGATGATCTTAATGGATAAAACACAACTTCTAACCTAAAGATATAAAAGAACTGGAACACAAATGTGGCATTTCCTACAAAGCAACACAATTTAAACACAGTTCTTAATTATTTCTTGTATATTAAATGTTATGCCAAAATATGAAGGCAGGGAGGTAGGCAAGAGTATAATTAAATGCAAACCAAAAAAACACAAGTACCTTGGAAAATAAACTGATGAGAGTAGATAAGAAATCTTTCAAAAGGAAGAATACAAAATAGGAATCTATGAAAAAATAATTTTTTAAATAAAAATTACAGCAAAATATTCAATAAGATAAAGATACTAACACCCCTATTTACAACAGAAAAAAGTCAATAAAAATATCAAGTAAATGATTTTGTTAAGCGATCAAGAATTATAATTTAGATAATTAAAGAAATTCAGAACATTTTTAGGATACAAACTTCAACAGATTTTCCAGCTAATTGAGTAATTTAAGCTCTTCCAGAACATATTCAAAAGAATCTATGATAATGTAATTGAAAGTGTATATTTCCTAACATTTTGCATTTGTAAGAACCAGCACATTAATAATTGTAATTTTTATAGCTATTCAAAATAATATATAATGATTGTCTGAATAGATGGGATTATAAAGACCATGAAATGACACTGATACTCATATAACTCATATATAAAATAATTGTGCCAAATTATTATATATCAACATGAATTACTTCCTCCAGAAATTTTTATATTAAATAAGAAATAGGAATATTTTGGAATGTGATTCTATGTATGCATTTTAAACAGTGAATTTCAATCCTTAATTATTGCTCAATGATGAGTCATTATATGATTATCACAGGGTATCTTCTGGCCTGTTTCATTTTTCTCTAAGTCAGTATTCTTTGATGGTACAGAATTTTCCAATGATTAAAGTATAAGTAAAGGGAAATAAAACTCCAAGAGAAAAGGATTACTTTAAAGTTGCTATCAGAATACAGTCATAACTATAATATAAATTTTGAAAATGCCTTTTTATATATTTAAAAGACAAATATATTTTAAAGGAGAAACTGGTTCTTCACCCTATGTGAAAAAAAAGACTTTGTAAATAACATTTTATTATTATTATTGCATACAATTTTATTAATTATAATTGCTTCTATAGCATCTCTTGAGTATCTAAAATATTGTAAACACGTTGCTAGCCAATGCCTGTTAGTTAATGGAATAAAAGATGTATACAAATATTTTTCAGAGTGACTCAAAAATATATCTCTCAAGAGCTCTTGTTTTGGTGAATTCTTTGGTTATTTGTCATATTGAAAGAGAATGTTTATATATAATATAAATCTTCTATAATATATTATATTTTATATATATATATATATATATATATATATATATATATATATATATATATAGCCCCAAATGAGACAAAACTAAGACTTCAAAAGGAAACTTACCATGATGAAATAAGATCTTAAATACTCTTGAAAGTTACATCAGGTCCCTGACAGAGGTTCAGCACCCTCACACTGATTACTTAGGCTTAACAACAAAATCTGATTCATGTGAAGGCGTTAATACTTAATTACTCTGCCATGGTATCTACAGACTTGGGGAAATAATAGCTATGCATTGAAACATGATAGAAACAAAATTTTACCATATGAGTAAAGAATGGCATGACATTGTATTGTTGGCAAGAATTTGAAGCTATTTGTAAAACTTCATTCTGCATTGCAGAATCATGAAGAGGCATTAGAGAAATGTTTTTAAGAGGATAGACAAACTTGAAAATTCTCTTTCTCATTATTGAAAACAGAACAACTTAAGATTGAATAAGCAGAAAGGATTCCTGAAATATTCAAGTGATGAGAAGCTGCAATAAAAGAAATCAAAAAGAGCCAGAGTTGTTAATGAAGTCAGTAAAAATTAAAAATATATTACTGTGTTAACATTGCCACCAAGCTAAGAGAAGATAATAAAAATATAAAATATTGGTATGTAATAATCATGTACTAACATAATATGGTATGATAATGATACTATGAATTGTGCGTATCTGTATGTATAATTAGAAAGTGAGATAGAAATGGAAAGAACACTTAAAAATAAGTAAAATTTGTCTTTAAAAGTAGTGATTTCCATGTTGATATATTTGAGGCAGTTATTACCTATATATACTTTTCTGTTTTCCAGCTTTTTAAACAGTACAATTATGTTACATGTATATCAAAAAATAGCATTATGATATATCACTATCATGAGAAGTAGGTCTTTAAAAATTAAGGAAAATATATATTATTATATAAACTTTTAATTATGAACATTACATTTTCTAATGAGTTGGCATTAATCTGATTTATAGACTATATAATATTTCAAACATTACATTCTTTAACTATTGCCAATCTAGCTAATCTAGGCAAACTGTTTGATTTAATATATAACCATTATTTAAATCAAAATAACTATGTCAATTTAAACATATGTGTCATACAATACTATTCAAGTATTGACAAAATAAGAAGATTTCCGACAGAACTCTCCATCAAAAGGGTAAATATCAAAATTATTCAATTAAATTGACACTATCCAAAAAAAATCTGACACTTAAAATTTAGGCTTATTTTTGTATACAACCATTTTTTTGGAGCCATACATTTCTACTTATTTGACATCTTAAATTTGTAAAATATTGACCTAAAGGCAATAAAATAAAATGGCTGATTTTTCTTTGATTCATTCTGCCTTTTGAAACCAGTTAAATGATTTGCAACAAAGTAAAACATAAACATTGCACATTTTCCTTCATCACCCATTTCCCTAACAGGCAAATCATATACAAGTAGACTAATTTGTATCCCCTAATGTCTTGTGATGTATGGCATTAAGTATAAAATGCCCTTCTAATTACATTGTTGGGCTCCACTGGAGCCTGTTATACTTGTATTTTCCTACAGTGAGTCTTTTAAGATTCAAGAGGTCTATAGGCTTGCTGTGTCTGGTAGGTTAGTTAGACATAATGCCTCAGTGCCCCCACTGAGCCTATTTTGGATAAAATGTTAAAAAGAGAAAAAGTTATTCAAATGTAAGTAAAAGGCAGCACATTGGTGTTCATTTTCAATTAACCCTTCTATTTTTGAGAAAGTAACAATATGAAGAGTATGATCAAAACATATTTTTAAAAAATCATTTTAACAATGAATGAATTAATCAAGCACTGAATAATTCTGAGATAAGTTTTATTGCCTTTTTATTTTTCCCTTCCAGCAAGATGTGATTACAATAGGGAAAACAGAAAAATACCTGAATGTCCATGTTTTCAATTAGAATGTTGCAACAATTCTCCATTCCTTTTTTCTGTAATATTTGAATATTTCATATGCCATTGAAAAAAAGGTTAAATGTTAAGAAAATGCAATTCTTGCTTTACTTTTTTACCTAAATTGGAGAGACATGATCATCAATTAACCTTCAAGCTTAAATTAACTGAGCAAGCACATACTTCTTTAAATGTGTGCCACCTTTAGTAATATTATTTAAATTTTCATGATGAACTGAAACTATATTTCATAAAAAGATATTTTTATCTTACTTTCAAGGATATGATATTCTAATAAGAATCTCCTTAAGCCTCTAGATTTTAAAAATTTCCAGCAACTACTCACATGATAGTTATTCATATGGACTGAAAAGTATTTAGCACCTAAAAGTTTTAGACTATAACTTGCCAGTCTAAAGTCAATAGGAATGTCAATTATTATAGAATAAATAAACTGATAATGTCTCTAATTAATTTTATAAAGGCAGAACATATTATCTTTAGATTTTCATAAATTATTCTATACAAAAGTGAAACGTCTATTACTCAAAATGCATGCTTATGAAATCGTTAAGGTAAAAATCATCATTTTTTTCAATAAGATATATTTTTATATAGTCATCTTCTATATTTTAATTTAAAATGCAGCTACCCTTTCAAAGTGTACATTCTTTGTGTTTTTTGATCTTTGTTGGTTTAAAGTCTGTCTTATCCGAGACTAGGATTGCAATCCCTGCTTTTTTTTGTCTTTCCATTTGCTTGGTAAATATTCTTCCATCCCTTTATTTTGAGTCTATGTGTGTCTTTGCATGTTAGATGGGTCTCCTGAATACAGGAGACCAATGGGTCTTGATTCTTTATCCAATTTGCCAGTCTGTGTCTTCTAATTGGAACATTTAGCCCATTTACATTCAAGGTTAATATTGTTATGTGTGAATTTGGTCCTAACATCATGATGCTAGCTGTTTTTAACTCATTTTGCACATTAGTTGATTCAGTTTCGTCATAATGTCATTGGTCTTTATGTTTTGGTGTGTTTTTGCAGTGGCTGGTACCAGTTTTTCCTTTCCATGTTTAGTGCTTCCTGTGCAAGTCCCCCAGCTCCTTGCACTTCCTGGGAGTCGTGATGCCCCACCCTGCTTCTGCTCACTCTCTATGGGTTGCACCCACTGCCTGAATCAGTCCCAATGAGATGAGCCGAGTACCTCAGTTGGAAATGCAGAAATAAACCACCTTCTCCGTTGGGCTTGCTGGGAGCTGCAGACTGGAGCTGTTTCGATTTGGCCATGTTGGCTCCTCGCCCTACTGGGCTTAAATTTAAGCACTGTATTTATGCTAACCAAGTGTTCACAATTATTTATTACTTGACTTGATCAAGCTTTAGTCAGACTTCTTTTTTTCCAAAGGCCCCTGAACTTTGGCTCATAGATAAGCTTAATCAGGACAATATTTTCCCTTAATGCGTCATTCTGACTGAAGAAATAAATATTTTTCTGTTAAACCATCTTTCTCATATGTGCTCAACTCCACTGCTCACCCTCCACCTCCCTAGATCCCCAAAACATCCTGCTAGCTATGCTTACCTGTCTCTATTTTTAATACATTTTCCCAATTGTAGTCATCTTTTCTAACAATATCTCTCTTTACCTAAATTCAGATTTGTTTTTACTTGTCACTGACATTTTGCCTTCACGCAAAATCTCAATATACTCGATAGAATTTGCCACATCTGGTTAAGAATTAATGAATTAAGTGTCAAAATATATAATGAGCTGAATATGTAATATTTGTCAAAAATAAATAAATGCAATGGGCCATTCAGAAGAATCAATAAGACTATTCTTAGCTTACATTCAAAAAAGAGTAAACCCTGGCTACAGTACTATATAATTCCACACTCTGCAATTGGAGAGAAATGGGCTTAAGATAGAAATAAGTGTAATTAAAAGACTGAAAATCTCAATGGAAGAAGCAAGATGAAATGAAATGAAATGAAGTAATACCCTTTGGGGTCATAAAATGCATTAGGGAACATGATGTAAAGATACTAAACAAGTGCTCTTCATTTCTTCTAAAAAAGATAAAAATAAATAATAGTGATCTGTGGTCATAAAAACTGAGGTTAGGGTGCTATAAATACTATTTACATATCCAAATTGAATATTGAATATAGTGAAAATATGATAAATATATTGGTTAGGAGGACAGTAAGAAAAGAATTTTTCTTTTTCTTTCTGATATCTCAGTTGTGGTACTGCTTTTAGGCGAAGAATAATATAGTTCAATAGCTCTTTCACAGTAATGATACTAAAACTTTTGAAGCGTGATGTTGGTTTTCAAGTGGAATTATTTTTATACCAGCTTGCATCTTTAAGATTGTAACGGAGAAGTGCTTGTTAATAAGGAAACGTAGGTAATTATTACTAAGGAGAAATAAGGTTCCATTTTACTTTTAAGAGAGCAGTTATAGCTGAATAAAATACACTGCCACTATTTATATTCTACAGACAGAGTTACTATTCATTTACTTTGATTTATTGTGTTTCTATTTTTTATTCACCTTAAATTACATTTTATTGTTTCCATCTTGAACAGTAATAGTGTCATCATCATGAATGAGTTTCTCACATCAAAAAGTGTGTTCCTGCTGCTTTCCATCTGCTTTTCTTCCTCTTTAACCTTGCTGGGACATCTAAAGAGATGCATAATAAATCAGGTAAAAGTTCCTACTATAAAGTATCTTTCATTGTTACATGCAGAACTCAAAAAATCTAGTTAATTTGCAAATAGGGAAAAAACTTATACTTTTTATATTCATGGACAATCTGCCTCTTATTTTTCCTTTTATTATTGACATTGCAGTATCATACCCAAAGAAATCCCAAAATCATAAGAGCACATCATGATGAACTTTTACAAATGTTTCAAATTTAATAATCTGTTCAAAAAAAACTAGGGAAAAAAAGACTGTACAGTCAACACATGGTTGCAAGCCCATAAGGCACAGTAAAATGTTTGTCTTCTAAAATTTCAGACACTGAATTTACTTATACTTTCCTGCTGAAAATTCTATGAGATATATTATACTTCATTTCAAATTTCCTTAAAGTTTAATCAAAGGTATGCCCATCTTCACAAGTGCTCTATTTTTAAAGATATAATGCAAAAAAAAAAACTTTGTAAATGATACGTCATTTGATTTGAATGAACCATTTATCCTTGTAGATTTTATTGCTCTGGGAATGAAAGTGAAGAACTATAAAGAATATATGCATACTTTCAAACTTTTATTAATGCATTGAGGGAGTACTAGATCATTTTTTTGCTTTTAAAGACATGGAAGTGAGTAGAGGTAATGTAACAATTTGCATAGGCAGTTCAATCAACTCATTCCTCCCACCACAATTCATTCAGTTGAGCACTTTGAATCTTATGAAAATATATTGTGAATATAAAAATAAATGCATGTATATATGTGCATGCATTTGTATGTACACACAATATTTTCTATATTACTGTATTTGAAATGCATTTCTTTTCTAATACATATGCAATTTGGGGCAGGTAGAAGTTTCACTCACAAAAGAAATGTTTATTTTCTCAATGTACTCAGCCTTGCCTACATTTGTTCCAGTAACCTTGTGCTATCAAAGTCCTGATTGGACTTCTAGCTTTGATTTTTTTTTTTCCCATCAAAGCACTCAAAATGCCAAATCTTGGCTCTCTGACAATACCACCAAAACAATCTGTTGATTAAAACAAAGTGGAATTTATTGCTTATCACAATAAGATGAAGTGTTGACAGACTCTTACTAGCATCTCAGAAGGGTATAAGTGCAATATTTTTTAAGTTGGGTGGGGAGTCTTGCTTGTCTTTGAGTATAAATCTTGAGAGAGTCAAGAGTTTCGAGGTGTATTAATTCATTTTCAGACTGCTATAAATAACTGCCCAAGACTGGGTAATTTATAAAGAAAGGAGATTTAATTGACTCACAGTTCTGCATGACTGGTGAGGCTCTGGGAAACTTACAGTCATGGCGGAAGGTGAAGGAGAAGCAAAGTATCTTCTTCACAAGGTGGCAGGAAGGAGATATGTGAGTAAGCAAAGGAGGAGAACCTCTTATGAAACCATCAGATCTATTGAGAACTCATTATCATCAGAACAGCATGGGGGAAACCGCCTCCATGATCCAATCGCCTCCACCTGGTCTCTCCCTTGACACATGAGGATCATATGGATTATGGGAATTACAATTCAAGATGAGATTTTGGGTGGGGACATAGACAAACCATATCACAAGGCTAGGCCTTAGAGAAAAGTCTTGCGGAGTCACTGAGCCTAGTTGAACTATCTATTTTTAGTAATTGAATACTTTCAGGAAGTTTCTGAATCAAGTAGTAAAAGTTACGCAGAAATATGCATTCTTGAACAGATGTTTTCCAGCATTACATGATCATATTAATGTGAGAAATACAACAGTAATACTGATTGTGCTAGTGAAGTCATTAAGCTATGAGGGTGCAGATGATTTGATTGTTAGTATCCAGGTTAGTATCAATCACCTTTTGTTGTCATTCTTCAGTTTAAGCTGAAGGATAGAACATCAACATCTGGAGAAGTGGTCAGTCCATTTTTCATTTCCTACGAGGTATTATAATCACATTGTATTAGTCCATGTTCATGCTGCTGATAAAGACATATCTGAGACTGGGAAGAAAAAGAGGTTTACTTGGACACACAGTTCCACGTGGCTGGGGAGGCCTCAGAATCATGGTGGCAGGTGAAAAGCACTTCTTACATGGCAGTGACAAGAGAAAATGAGGGAGAAGCAAAAGCAGAAAACCCTGATAAACTCATCAGATCTTGTGAGACTTATTCACTATCATGAGAATAGCACTGGAAAGACTAGCCCCCATGATTCAGTTACCTCCCCCGGGTCCTTTCCACAACATGTGGGAATTCTGGGAGATACAATTCAGGTTGAGATTTGGTTGGGGACACAGCCAAACCATATTATTCAAATCTCATGTCCTCACATTTGAAAACCAATCATGCCTTCCCACAGTCTCACAAAGTCTTAACTCATTTCAGCATTAACTCGAAAGTCCACAGTCCAGTTTCATTTGAGACAAGGAAATTCCCTTCCACCTATGACCCTGTATAATCAAAAGCAAGCTAGTTACTTCCTAGATACAATGGGGGTACAGGCATTGGGTAAACACAGCCATTTCAAATGGGAAAAATTGGCCAAGACAAAGGGGTTACAGGGCCCATGCAAGTCTGAAATCCAGCGGGTCAGTCAAATTGCAAAGCTCCAGAATGATCTCCTTTGACTACAAGTCTCACATCCAGGTCATGCTGATGCAAAAGGTGGATTCCCAAGGTCATGGGCAGCTCCACCCCTGTGGCTTTGTAGGGTAAAGCCTCCCTCCTAGCTGCTTGCAAGGGCTGGCGTTGAGTGTCTGCAGCTTTACCAGACGCATTGTGCAAGCTGTTGGCGGATCTATCATTATGGGGTCTGGAGGATGATGGTCCTCTTCTCATAGCTCCACTAGACAGTGCCCCAGTAGGAACTCTGTGTGGAAGCTCTGGCCCCATATTTCCCTTCCACACTGCCCTAGCAGAGGTTCTCCATGAGGGCCCTACTCCTTCAGCAAACTTTCTCCTGGGCATCCAGGTTTTTCGATACATCTTCTGAAATCTAGGCAGAGGTTCTCAAATCTCAGTTCTTGACTTCTGTGCACCAGCAGGCTCAACACCACGTGGAAGCCGCCAAAACTTGGGGCTTCCACCCCTGAAGCCACAGCCCTAGCTCTTCATTGGCCCCTTTCAGTCATGACTGGAGCAGCTGGGACACAGGGCACCAAGTCTCTAGGCTGCAAACAGCTCGGAGACCTTGGGCCTGACCCACAAAACCACTTTTTCCTTCTGGGTCTCCTAGCCTGTGATGGAAGGGGCTCCCATGAAGGTCTCTGACATAGCTGGAGACATTCCACTCCTCCCCCTCACCCACCCCGCCCTGCCTCCCATGGTCTTGGGGATTAACATTAGGCTCCTTGCTACTTAACACAAATTTCTGCAGCCAGCTTGAATTTCTCCTCAAAAAAATGGTTTTTGTTTTTTTTTTCTACTGCATTGTCAGGCTGCAAATTTTCTGAACTTTTATGTTCTGGTTCCCTTTTAAAATGGAATGCTTTTGTCAGCACCCAAATCACCTTTGGAATGCTTTGCTGCTTAGAAATTTCTTCCTCCAGATACCCTAAATCATCTCTCTCAAGTTCGAAGTTCCACAAATCTTTAGGGCAGGGGCAAAATGCCTCCAGTCTCTTTGTCAAAACATAAAAAGAATTGCCTTTGTTCCAGTTCCCAACAAGTTCCTCATCTCCATCTGAGGCCCCCTCCACCTGGACCTTATTGTTCATATTACTATCAGCATTTTTGTCAAACCCATTCAACAAGTCTCTAGGAGGTTCCAAACTTTCCCACACCTTTCTGTCTTCTTCTGAACCCTCCAAACTGTTTCAACCTCTGCCTGTTACACAGATCCAAAGTCACTTCCAAATTTTCAGGTATCTACAGCAATGTCCCACTCTACTGGTACAATTTACTGTATTAGTCCATTTTTATGCTGCTGAAAAAGACATACCCAAGACTGGAAAGGAAAAGAGGTTTAATTGGACTTACAGCTCCACATGGTTGGGGAGGCCTCAGAATCATGGCAGAGGGTGAAAGCCACTTCTTACATGGTAACAACAAGAGAAAATGAGAAAGAAGCGAATGTGGAAACCTCTGATAAGCCCATCAGATTTCATGAAACTTATTCACTATTATGAGAATAGCATAGGAAAGACCAGCCCCCAAGATTCAATTACCTCCCCCTGGTTCCCTCCCACAACAGATGGGAATTCTGGGAGATACAATTCAAGTTGAGATTTGGGTGAGGACACAGCCAAACCATATGACACCATATTAAGTATTTGAGTGTATTTGTTTCAACTCCATGAGTGTCAAATTTTCCAGTTCTTTTACTTGAAGGGTCACTTTTTAGATCATTTGACAGGACAGCAGCAATACATGAGAATTTAAACTTTGGAGATTATACACTTGAACACAACAAAGTGGAAAATAATAATCAAAAAAAGTTATATTAACAGATCCTGTGATTCAGTTTTTAAGAAAAATCTTAATTCCTAAAGTAAGCTAAGGCCCACTTCCTAAATTGCTCTGAAAACATATATTAATTCCAATCTAAAGAACCCACAGAAATATGTGGCATTATTACCCAAAGTATCTACATTTATGGCTTTTTATTTTTTTTAGATCCTTTTAGAAGATTAAAATCCAAAAGATTTGTAGGGATTGAGTATAATATTCTTCTCCTTAAACAACACATGCTCTTTCTTGAGAAGGTGATATTATGTTTTGGAGACCTATTCCAAGCAAACTAATTTCTAATTTAGTGAATCCTTTGGTCTAAGAGTTCTGTAACCTTGACAACTTGACCTAGTTCTCTTGCTGTCCTCAGACTATGGCATGTAGTATCCTCCCAACTTTGAAGGCCTGTTTTAAAGAATAAATTGAAGAGGCTTAAGGACAATAGAAGGCAACTAGAATTTCTCTTGAATAGTTTAGAGTTGCAGGTTCCTAGATGTCTAGATTATTATAGTGTTTGCCACGTAAAAAAGGCACATAGAGGTTGAGCCAAATTACACAGGAAATCAACTGATTGTTAATAGAAACTGGTATCAAGGGAAGCTTGGTGGCCCCCATAAGAAAATGTGCAGACTCATCAAATGAGTTTGATTATTCAGTAGCTAAATCATGAGTAAATTGCAACTTGTTACTGACTCATGCCAGTAAGTGAATAAAGATGCAAAAAACAAATTTTAAGAATGTGGGACTTATAGGTAGCAAATGTGTATTAAAATAGTTCAAAACTTTAAGCCAGCCAAAAGAAAACAAAGTAGCTAGGAAAAAAATATGCATACGTGTTACAATGTGACAACATGCCCCTCTAGCTATCTGGGTCTTGTTCTCTGGATCTTGAGTGGAAACTATCTACCTCCTGATGTCTATTTGCTTCTCAAAGATTTCTAAGCATCTTCAGCCTGAAGGTTTTTATCTTGATAGTCTTCAAGTGATTTGAGAATGGCTCATGTCTCTACATGACAAACAATGACTCAAGGACAAAGCCCTTGGCATTTTCACTGATGTGATAATTGTAAACCATATTTGATAAGGTTCTTTCTAGTAGGTTTCAAATTATGTCTTGTTCTGATACATTCCCAAGGAACCAGTTGTCCAGAATTTGTTTATGGAGAGATAGTTTAGTATGATGTTGTGAAATGGATGCCAAGATTCAGTGAGAATACTAAGTGTATTGCCAGAGAGTGAAAATTTGAGTTGGCAATGACATTCTCAGAAACACAGGGTGGCGTCTAAAGGCTTTATATAATTTTTAAAGGTAATAATAAACCCCGAAAGTGCTGATCTCACTGGAATTAAAAGTAATAGCAATACCATGGGCAATGGAAGTTTAAGCGTCTCTGAAAGCATTGCCAATTTTACTTTCAGAATTTCATTTGTACTTACTCACTGTCTTTTCCAAAGATCAAGAGGGATCGGCACAGTTAAATTTCTTATTAATTGTCCAGATTTTAAGTTCCGGTAAAATGGGTGCTTTTGTCATTAGTTATTTTGGAATCTCCTAGGTTTAATTATGAAATCAAGTAATTATTTGTTATTGTTAGGACAATACCTCTCTGGCAAGGAAAAGCTTCAATTAGCTTCGAGAATAAACACAAAATGATAAAAACTTATTTAATACATATTGCAGGTAAGTAGTATAAATTCTATTAGGAGATGTTAAAAAAATCCTCAATCCAATGTATAGGAACCTGTCAATATCTCACCTTTGCAATTTAACTGGGTTTACAATTGCAACATATAAAACATGCACCAGAGACACTGTCAAAACTTTTAGTCAAGTTTCCAAAAAAAAAAAATTATTGCTTGAGAACAGTGGATAATTTGTATTTATTGTGGTAAAATACTAAATGGTTCTGACTAATATTATTACATTTAGGAATGCTAGCAAAAAAAAAAAGAGCACAAAATTATCTCTTGAGGTTTAACATACAATAGGTAAGTGTGTACTTAAATATCTTTTTTGGATCAATAATATATTTTAACCAGTGAGGGTACACTGCTTTTCAACATAACACATACCTTCACAAAACTGTCAAGAAACATCACCATATTTTCTCTGGCTTAGGAGGGTGTTTAACTAAGATAGAAAGGGTTGGGGGAGGATGGAGAGAGAGGGATACATAGACAAATTATTGTACCAGTATTTGTGGTTGATCTTGAGTAGGTTTATATTGAATACTGAAAACTATGGAACATATGTTTTAATTTAATTTCACAGAATTAACATAGGAAGAATGTCTTTATCTTTTTGTGGTAAATTTGATAAACGACAGAGCTCTCAAAATAGTTTTAAGTTAAATGCTCTTTGGAGAATGTCAAGACAAACTTAAATTATTTCCATTATTTTTACCTTTATAAAATAAAGGACCAAATCTTTATTACCTGTGAGCCAATACAGGAAAGCCAAAGATATTTTAAACATAAAATACATCTTAAAATTTCTATATTCTGAATTTGAAGCTTGAAAGGAAAACGCAAGACTTTTCAGGAGAGAAGCATTACATTTTGTAAAGGTAAAAAGTAGTTATCAATAATATTTACAACCACAGTCACAAATACTACTAATCATTAGGAATCATTTTGCTAAAATAAGTCAGTAGGTAATGAACTTAAAGTTTCTAACTGACATACAAAGAAAAACCCATACCAATGCTACTGAATCTATTCTGAAATATTGAGGAGGAGGGACTTCTTGCTAACTCATTCAATGAAGCTGGCATCAGCCCAATACCAAAATCTGGCAGAGGCACAACAAAAAGAGAAAACCTCAGGCCGAAACCCCTAATGAACATGGATGCAGAAATCCTCAGCAAAATATTAGCAAGTCAAATCCAGCAGCACGTCAAAAAGCTAATCCAACACAATTAAGTGGGCTTTGTTCCTGGGATGCAAGGCTGGTTAAACACGCACAAATCAATAATGTGATTCACAACATAAATACAATTAAAAACAAAAACTGTATGATCATCTCAATAGATACAGAGAAAGCTTTCGATAGAATCCAACAACACTTCGTCATAAAAACCCACAAAAGAATAGACATTGAAGGAATATACCTCAAAATAATGGAAGTCATCTATAACAGACCCACAGCTGATATCACACTGAATGGGCAAAATCTGGACGCATTCCCATTGAGAACTGGCACAAGACAAGGAGGCCCACTCTCTCCACTCCTGTTCAACATCTAATAGAAGTCCTAGTCAGAGCAATCAGGCAAGAGTAACAAATAAAAGACTTCTACATTTAAAAAAAAATGTGAAACTATCTCTCTTTGCTGATAATAAGATTCTACACCTAGGAAAATCCTAAAGACTTTATCAGAAAGCTCCTAGAACTGATAAACGATGTAAGTAAAGTTTCAGGATACAAAATCAATGTACAAATTCAGTAGCATTTCTGTACAACAACAACATCCAGGCTAAGAGCCAAATTAAGAACACAATGCCACTTACAATAGCCACAAAGACAATGAAATACTTAGGTCTACAGCTAGCTGAGAAGGTGAAAGATTTCTACAAGGAGAACTACAAAACACTGCTGAAAGAGAGATTACACAAATAAATGGAAAAACATTCCGTGCTTACGGATTCGAAGAAGCATTCTTGTAATAATGGCCATACTGTCCAATGCAGTTTACAGATTCCATGCTATTCTTGTCAAAATACCAACACCATTCTTCAAGGAATTAGAAAAAATACGATTTTAAAATTCATATGGAACCAAAAAAGAGCCTATATAGCCAAAGGAATTCTAAGCAAAAAGAAAAAAGCCAGAGGCTTCACACTACTCAACTTCAAACTATACTATAAAGCTACATTAATCAAAACATGTTGGTACTGGTACAAAAACAAATATGTAGACCAATGGAACAGAAGAGAAAACTGAAATAAAGCCACTCACCTACAACCATCTGATCTTCAACAAGGATGACAAAAACAAACAATGGTGTATATATTCAATGGACTTTGTATTCAATAAATGGTGCTGGGATAACTGGCTATCCATATACAGAAGATTAAAGCTGGACCTGTACCTTTCACTATATACAAAAATTAACTCAAAATATATCAAAGATTTAAATGTAAGACCTTAAACTATAAAAATCCTAGAAGAAAACCTAGGAAACACTTTTCTCAATTGTTGGCCTTGGCAAACAATTTTTGGCTAAGTCCCCAAAAGTAATTGCAACAAAAACAAAAATTGACAACTGGCACCTAATTAAACTAAAGAACGTCTGCACAGGAAAAGAAACATCAACAGAGCAAACAGATAACCTATAGAATGAAAGAAGATATTCACAAACTATGTATCTGACAAAGGTCTAATATCCAGAATCTACCGGGAACTTAAATCAACAAGCAAAAATAAATTTTCCCATTAAAAAATGAGCAAAGGACATGACCAGAAACTTCTCAAAGGAAGACATAAAAGCAGCCAACAAACATTTGACAAAATGCTCAGGATCACTAATCATCAGATAAATGCAAATCAAAACCACAATGAGAAACTCACCATTCAGAATGGCTATTACTAAAAAGTCAAAAAAAAAAATAAAAAAAGATGCTGGGAGGCTGTGGAAAAAAGGGAATGTTTATACACTGTTGGAGGGAATGCAAATTAGTCCAGCCACTGTGCAAAGCAGTCTGGAGATTTCTCAAAGAACTTAAAACAGAGCTACCATTCAAGCCAGCAATCCCATAATGGGGTATATACCCAAGGAAAAATAAATCATCCTACCAAAAAGACACATGCACTTGTATATTAATTGCTGTGTTATTCACTATAGCAAAGACATAGAATCAACCCAGGTGCCTATCAATGGTAGATTGGATAAAGAAAATTTATGGCATATACACCATGGAATACTATTCATCCATCATTTATTTAATTCCATAAAAATAGAATGAAATTATGTCCTTTGCAGCAACATGGATGCAGCTGGAGGCCATAATTCTAAGGGAATTAGTGCAAAAACAGAAAACCAAATACTGCGTGTTCTCACTTATAGGAGGGAGCTAAACATTGAGTACAAGTGGATATAAACATTGTACAGTAGACATTGTGGTCTACTAGAAAAGAAAGGGAGGAAAAGAGGAATGGGTTGAAAAACTACCTATTGGGTACTATGATCATTACATGGGTGATGGGATCCATACACAAAGCCTCAGCATCATACAATATTCCCATGTAACAAACCTGCACATGTACCCCTCATAAATAAAAATTGAATTTTTTAAAAAGCTTCTAACTTTAGTCTAAAATATAATTAATAAATTATGATCTTAACAGACAATAACAATCTCTTTAAGAAAAAAATATATATTTATCATATAGAGTACACATTCCAAACTTCTTATACTTTTAAGGAAAATCCATGTATAAATACATTTTAACAGAATGAAATGGCTTTTATTTGATTTTGCACAAAAGTAAAAATCCTGAACAGGATATGGACATTTCTGCCTAATTTGTTCTGTAACTGCTTATTCAATCTCCCTTAATACCTTATATATTAGTCAAGGTTCCCTAGAGGGATAGAACTAATAGGATATATGTATTATACATCCTAATATATACCCATATATAAAATAAGATATGTAATAAAACAAGATATATATATAATATACCCTATTTTATATAAGTATGTATATATACATATGTACATATATAAAATAGGATATATTATATACAATATAAAATTATTATATATTATATATGGAGTTTTTTAAGTATTACTGTACATGATCACAAGTTCCCACAATAGGCTGTCTGCAAGCTTGAGGAGCAAGGAGAGTCAGTCTGAATTTCAAAACTGAAGAACCTGGAGTCTGATGCTTGAGGGCAGAAGCATCCAGCATGGGAGAAAGATGTAGGCTGGGAGGCTAGGCCAGTCTCGCCTCTTCATGTTTTTCTGCCTGCCTTATATTCACTAACAGCTGATTAGGTTGTGCCCACCAGATTAAAGGTGGGTCTGTCTTCCCCAGCCCACTGACCCTAATGTTAATCTCCTTTGGCAATACCCTCACAGACACACCCAGGATCAATACTTTGTATGCTTCAATCCAATTAAGTTGACACTCAATATTAACCAATACAAGTCCACCTTTTGTCAGCTTGAACCTATACACATCTCCTGAGATGATATATAATCTTCAAATAAAGACAATAATAAGGTCAAAATTACACGTAACATAGTACAACTATCCTTCGTACAACCGGAAAAGCACCAATCCCCAACCCAAATACTATTACCTAAAGTTAACAATACTTAAATGCTAATATGAAGTCAATATTTCTTATGTCTCATGATGAAGGAAAAGGAAATAAAATGAAGATATTATCTTAGTACAGGTGTATACATGCACAAACACATTTTTAATAAAAGAAGGAGGAAATACTCATGACAGTTACAGTCCTCGTTTCAGCAGCTGGTCATGTGGTTGTAGCTGGTATTGATGGCTGCCTTCTTATACTACCCGTTCTGTATTCTTTTTGCCTTCAGCAAGCACCTCAGGAAGCCATAGTTTTTTGTTTGTTTGTTTTTAGTTTTGGTCTTTTTTTCCTGGTGAAGTAATCCAGACCTTCATGCCCGAGGGTTCTGGACTATTTGCAGTCCTGCTTGGATTGGGCTGTTGTAGTTTCCCATTGACCATAATCACAGGGCATGGTAATACTGAGCAACACTCTAATGGATCACCTGTATTTCATGCATACTCTTTCTTGCCTCCATTATGGAGTAGTAGACTGATTTCATCTTGATAGTCCAGATCAATCACCCCAGCCAATACTGTAACTCCCTTTTTAGCCTGTTGACTTAAAGGTAGGAGGAGCCAAAGTGTCCAGGTGGCAATCTTAACTTCCAGTTTAATGGAATCTTTATTGTGTCTCCTGGTGGCAGCATTCCTCCCTCTGGAACTAAGACCTCTAGGCCAGCAGAATGTAATGTCACAGGAATAGGAAGCAAAAATTTTGCTAGTGGATCACTAGGGGTGGTGGTGAATGGTGCCACTTTTACTTCCATCCCTTAATTCCTGGACTTGTGAATCCCGGCTATGGAAGAAATAGTACCATCTACTGGATGCTGATTCAGAGCATACACGGCCTTCTGGAAAACTTTGCCCCAGCTCTGCAAAGTGTTGTCACCTAGTTGGCATTGTAATTGTGATTTCAAAAGGCCATTTCACCATTCTAAGAATCCAACTGAGTCGGGATGATGGGAAACATGGTAAGACCACTGAATTGTCTTACCATGAGCCCACTGTTGCACTTCTTTAGCCATAAAGTGAGTGCCTTCATCAGAGGCAATGCTGTGTGGAATACCATGATCATGGGTAAGGCATTCCATGAGACCATGGATGATCGTCTTGGCAGAAGCACTGCGTGCAAGGTAGGCAAACCTATATCCAGAGTAGGTGTGTATTCCAGTGAGGACAAACCTCTGCCCTTTCCATGATGGAAGAGGTCCAACATAATCAATCTGCCACCAGGTAGCTGGCTGATCACCCCGAGGAATGCTGCCATATTAAGGGCTCAGTGTTGGTCTCTGCTGCTGGCAAATTGGGCACTCAGCAGTGTCTGTAGCCACTTCAGCCTTGGTGAGTGGAAGTCCATGTTGTTGAGCCCATGAGTAACCTCCATCCCTGGCACCATTGCCACTTTGTTCATGGGTTCATTGGGCAATGACAAAGGTCACTAGAGAAAGAGGCTGAGTGGGGTCCACAGAAGCGGTCGTTGCATCCACTTGATTATTAAAATACTTCTCTCCTAAGGTCAACCATTGGTGAGTGCTCACATAGGATACAAATATCTTCTCAGTTTTTGACCACTCATTTTCACTTAGCTACAGACAAATAATCTCAGATTCTCTGCAAGTTACCAAGCTCTTTTCTTTCTCAAAAAAAGCACATTTTGTCAGATATACTATTATTGTTTTCACCAGTGAAAACTAGAAAAAAGAAAACCTGAAACTTTATTATATTTTCCCGTGAGCACACATTTCATTTTATCCTTACAAAATTTCATGTGGCAAAATATATAGGTATACAATAACATTTTCAAAGACATTTGAAAATTATTTATTCACTGTAGTTATTTTATAATGCTAAAAATTACAGGTACATTAAAATAACGTATGATTACTAAAGTTTGTTTTCCTCTTTCCAATGTGCCCAAGTATTCACAGAGTATCACTCAGTTTTTACATTTAAATATGATATTAGTGTTAACTCCCTAATTCTATATTTAAATATACTACTGATCATATACATATCGGTCTGTATTCTAGAGTTGGCAAAACATCTACAGTAAGATGTTCATAAAATAGGTAGACAGTTCAAAAAAAACAAAACGCTTTGAATTCATATTTCGACTCAGTTGATGTATACAAGCCAAAGACCCAAGAAACAAATATGTAACCAAACAAAGCTGGATTTCTTACTTGTTGAAGCATTTGAGAAACCATAAGAATATTTAGTCATTTTTGTAGTGTCTAATACCTTTGTTTCTAGTCTCTAATTTAAAAAGATCATGAGTTATTTGGGTTTCTTTGTTCTGTTCTATCTATGTCACAGAGAGTTCTAGTCAGATGTTTATTTTCTGTGAATTGTTAATATGGGTAGGAGAACCACATGACCTACATTGGAGAAATTAGGCCAGTTACAAGCTGTCATCTATCAGGTACAATTATTTCTTTGTCACTCTTTACCCTTTACTATGTTAAAGATTAAATACAAAAGTGAATCAATTAAAACATTAGAACAATAGATTTATAAATTTAATTTTAGTATGACAGAAAACCAAATAGTTATATAATTTGAGACAAATAATTTTGACTACAAAAAAAATCAAAGATGTCTGCAGAAGAAAAATCATTAAATATTATGTGGCAAAATTGATAGAAACATTTGCAGTAGATGTAATAAGAAAATGACTGATTCTTCTAAATAAAAGTTGCTGTAAATAAATTAAAATATTATTGGTGATCCAATGAGCAATGGATGTGAACTGGCAATTTGTAGAAAAAAAATTATAGTTGGCTTATACATATTTTAAAAGATGCTTCTATTCTTATAAAGGAAATCACAAGTTAAAATGACAGCGAAACATTGCTTTCAGGTTTTGGTTGGTTGTTAAAGGGTTAGAGAAATAGTCATTCTCGAGATGGTATGCATTTAAATGTATGAAAGAATTAAAATATATTCTAATGGATACAGGAGGGAGGCAGGGAAATGCTGGGTAGAGAAGAACGGGTTCCTGGCTAGGGCTCCACCCCCAGGCCTGTGTCCACAGACCTAGGTGTGGACAGATATTTCTGTTTTCCTGCCCAAATGTTGCATTTTCCATACCACCCTGGCCCATCATGCCCCCATCCTGTGCCTATAAAAACCCGGAGACCCTAACAGTTAGAGACAGAAACAGCTGGATGTCAAAAGAAACACATGGATGGAAGAACACACAAGTGGCTGGAACTTGAGAGAAGCATGCTGGCAGAAGAACACACCGGCAGACATCAGCAGATGCTGGAAGGCCATCTATGGTGGAAAAACGTAGAAGGGAATCTGGCTGGGGCGGTCAGAGGAGAGTCTGGACATTGAGTGGCCCTACTCCAGGGGAATGCCACCTTCCCACTCCATCCCCCTTCTGGCTCTCCATCTATCTGCTGAGAGCTTCCTCCATTCAATAAAACTTTGCACTCATTCTCCCAGCCCATGTGTGATCCAATTTTTCCGGTACACTAAGGAAAGAACCCGGGAATACAGAAAGCCCTCTGTCCTTGCAATAAGGCAGAGGGTGTAACTGAGCTGATGAACACAAGCAACCTGCAGACATCAAAACAGCCCACTGGGGCTTCAGGAGCTGTAAGCATTCACCCCTAGACACCACCATGGGGTCGGAGCCCCACAACCTGCCCGTCTTCAGTCTTCATGCTCACCCTAGAGGTTTGAGCAGGGAGATACTGAAGAAACGACAGGGGGACATTTTCTGCTTCTCAATGATTTATGAAAAGGGAAGTACAGGCCGGACATGGTGGCTCACGCCTGTAATCCCAGCACTTTGGGAGGCTGAGGTGGGAGGATCACTTAAGGTCAGTAGTTCAAGACCAGCCTGGCCAACACTGTGAAACTCTTCAATAAAAACACAAAAATTAGCCAGGTGTGGTGGCACATGCTTGTAATCCCAGCTACCTGGGAGGCTGAGGTACAAGAATCACTTGAACTTGGGAGGCAGAAGTTGCAGTGAGCCAAGATTATGCCACTGCACTCCAGTGTAGGTGATAGAGTGAGTCTCTATCTCAAAAAAACAAAAAAAAAAAAAAAAGAAGAGAGAAAAGGGAAGTATATCACCATCACCGTAAGAAAATCAAGTGTTATTTCTAATAAATTTTATTTATTAGTGAGATTTTATAAAATTCAATGTTATTAATTGCATATGATGGGCACCTGATTGTTTTATATTTATTTTTCATTATGTAGTATGTTTTCTACATTATTATTCAATTATGAGAAAATTTAATAATTCAGTATAGAAATAAAACACAAGTAATGTAGGTTTTCAGGAGGCAAAAGGAAAGTTACCTTAGTTGAGTGAAATTCACATATTTGTTCCTTTGTTTAAAAAAATTGATTTGCTTACAGCTACTGTAATTAATATGTAGTTACTTAAAGGGGTGTGCTGCTGTTACAGTAACCTAAAATATGCAGGCTTTTCATTGCTCTTAGGTAGCAGCAGTAAGGAAACCTATCTGAGTCTGGGAAATGGTGACTTACGCTATTAATGGGGAAATTAATGCTTCATAATTCTGTCACTTATAATGACATGGAAGTCACACCAAGTTGGACTATATATTAAGTCTGCTGTTCTAAGGGGAGATAATGCTAAAGTATGTGTTAGCTATTCTAGGCTGAGCTTAGCAAGACATAAGTAGGGGGATTGCAGGCAATAAGAAAAGGGAATCAAGAGAGCCCAAATTGTAGAGCTTTGGAAAAGCCAACTTATCCAGACTTCCAATAGTAGCAAATAAAATATTTTAAATAATTTTAAAACTGACTAATTATATCTTCTGCAGAAGTCACTCTTTAAAAATAACCATTTGTCATTATAAAATTTCAAATTACGTTAAGGTTAAATCCAAAATTTAATATATTTTTCTTGTAATATGTTTTATTTAAAAACTATCAAATATAAATGCCAGCTGTACATTTGCACAAAAGAGATGAAACAGTTCTTTTTCAAGGGATTTTCAATAAACCCTGAAGACCAGAGCAGCATCTCTGGTTAAAAATTTCAAACAGTCCATGTGTTAGTACTGTACGTGGTGTGATAACTTAGCATATGTAGTGTTTGATGTTTTAATTATAAGACCCAGGTTTTAATTAAAGTAAACTTTTTGCTTTAGGCTAATGGAGACATATTGTTATAATATATTTATAGTAACAGATGATTATCTTAGTAACATTTTGTCTGCAGATAAACAAATCTTTAAAGGAAATGGTGTTAATCTATTGAGTATTAAAATATAATATTCCAATCTTCCTTATTCACAACTGCAGCCTCAAAATGCACTGCAAAGTTTAATATTTGCCAGCACCTTTTTGTACCTACAAATAATTGCCTGCAGACAAGGTGAAAATATTGTTTTCAACAGAAAATTTTTTGAATGTTCATTATAGTTATGATCCTACCTTGGAGTGAATTTTAAATATTTTGTGTGGCACAAGTCTGTAGTTATGCTTATGTGGACCAAGGCAGTGATTACTCTGCTAACATTTTATGGAGCATAAATAACTTTTGCATTTACTTTCAATCACCCATATTTTGATATAATATTATATCTTCGGTATACTAAGTTTCACATCTGCTTATTTCTCATTCATTGAATAATTGTTCAATACTTTATTGACTTAAAAACATAAATGGATTAGGTAAAGTCAGGTTAATTTTCTCTCTCTTTAACTTATATGTAAGAGAAGAGAAGCAGTGAGATATACGTATTTTAAGTGAATTTATATGTGAAGAGGGATAGCTATAGACTCATCTTAAATTGCCTGACAATTTATTTTGTATGTTAAAATTGTCAACTAAGAGGAGGGAAAAGACCAGACTGTTAAGCAGTACAAGGTGTTGGGTAGGGGATCATTTTCAATGTTTTCAAACAGTGAGGCTACAACATAGACAGCTAGATGTTTCCCTGAGTTATTTTGAAGGTAGGATCCATCAGTAAACCAGATAAGTTCAGCGTTTAAATCAGGGATTTCCTATAGGTCCTGTCTGGGGGTTTCTAAGTTATCAGTTAGGGGTACACAGTCATGTGGCATCTTGTCAGAAGGAAGAAGTAAAAGTGGCAAGATTCAAAGAATTGTAGTCCGTAACATTTGCAGTACAGGGTGATAATAATAGGATTTCATAAGAAACGAGTTTCCTCGCAAGAGACAAGTTGGGTATGATGAGAGTTGAGGAGGGCCTCAATAGAGTGAGACATAAATAATTAACAGATTCTATCCTTAACTGTTCAATTGACTTTAATAAATATGCAGTGACTGCAATGGCTTGCATACAGCATAGGAGTATTTTCTCCACAGATTTGAACTGTTGGTTGTAATATTTGAGGGGTTGCTCTTGGTGTCCTTACTTTGGGGAAGAATCACTAAGGTGTTTCCAGTTGGTTCATAAACAGAAAGGGAACAGAAAAGGTTAAAAGCAGGATGTTCTAATGCAGGGTTCTCAATAGGACTCTCCTTAAAATGCTCAAAAGAGGAGGAGACTTCTTTAGGACATTGTAGAAGTTTGGGATGGTCAGCTTTTAGAGAGAATATAGAGGCTGAGCCATGACAGATACATCTGGGGTCCATTGTTTACATTTATTGTAGGGGTCAAAGGAAAACTTCCTCTTCAACCTCTAAGTTGCTGCAAATAGACTGACAAAAGGGAGATTAATAGGGAAAAAAGGCACACAGGTTTATTAATGTGCACAGAGGAAAAATCACGAGTGATTACCACACCATGGAATACAAGATGGTTATATATCTTTCTTATTAGGAGAAAGGGAGATGGAGAAGCGTTAATGCTTCTAGTGTGGTAGTAAATCATCTTTAGGAGAATTCAATAGGCATGCAGAACACACAATGATCTAGGACAAAGTTTGTTGGGCCCACAGAGCAGACAATGGTTTGTAACATATCTTTCCAGGTGCACAGTTAGACTTCAATCTTTGTTCCTGTGATAATAGTTCAGCTAATGAAAACTCACGGAAGGAATCAGAGGCAATTGTTTTCTTCTTTGGCATGTCCGAGCTTTAGGCATATAAGGGAACTTCAGAGAACAACTTCATCTTGTGCTTTGGGAGACACAGAGGATTGAGAGGCAGAAGTGGGAAGCGGAGGTCAGAGAGACATTGAAAGTTTTCTTCTTCAGTTCAGCATGTCAAAGGGCCATATTTTGGAGTATTGGTTGTTGACCCCCAATACTATCTTGGTAATCCCAAGACTCACTGGAGTTGTCTTTTGGTAACACAGGTAGGAATAGCCAAGATTTATTTTATTCTTTGAAGATCAATCAGAAGACTCTGTCCTGAATTGTAATGTTCTAAATATTTTACTTATGGAAGACAGAGAGTTCTAGCTTCTTTTTTAAAAGACTTTATGGACTTTGGTGGTTAACTTCTTTAATAGTTAGAGGCTTTTCTCTATGGAGGCCTTTAGGGTGGAGAACAAAGTCATGTCCTTCACATATGCAATACGAAGAGAATGCAGAGGAAATTCCAAATCTGCTATGTTTTCTTTTAAGACTTGGGAAAAGTACATGGGTCTTTCAATATACCCCTAAGGCATTACAGTTCAGATATATTGCTTTCTTTCCCAGGTTAAGGAAAAAGAACAAAACAAAACTGGCTATCTGGATCAACTGGGATGCTAGGAAAAGCACTGCAGAGGTCAGTCACAAAGAAAGCCTAACTATCTGGTGGTATGGCTGGTAGAAATGTGTGTGGGTTACTTATAACAGGATGGTGGGGTATTATAATTTTATTGATGTCTGTAAAGTCTTGGACAAATTTCCAAATCAGTTATTTGAATTTTGTACTGGTAGGATTGGTGTATTAAATTGCCTAGTGTATAAAATGATTACCCTTGCTTGGGGTAATCCTCAATAATTGCCTTGATTTCCTGAATGGCTTTCTGGCATGAAGGTATTGTTTAGTATTTGGAAGTCTTTTTGTTTCATCTATCTGTATTTTAATTGTTGATACTGATGAATGTGATCAACGGCAGTGGTGCGCTGGGACCATATGTTTTCAGGGATAGAGTTGAGTAAGTCCTAAAATGTTTTATTAGGAGAAATTTCCTCTTTGTGTTCCAGAAATAGAAATATAGGGACAAAGTGTTCAGTGGGTTCCTAGAGGATTGCCTCTTAAGCAGTTTTTGTTTTTTATTTTCCAATGCTAATGTCATTTTCCGTTTTTGAGAGAAAAAGAAAGTGAGCTCTATGAGTTTCAAAAAATCTCAGGTACTTAATTTAATGGAAGCTAAGGGACTAAGAGCAACTGGTGAGAAACCTGTAGTTCTGTGACTTGAAAGTCTGTAAAAAGAGAATAATAAGTAAATTGTCATCAGTTGATTTGAAACCCCAACTATTTGCATTTTGTTTTCCAAGGAAGAACAGAAAATGTAGTTGAGTTTATTATTGACAATGTGGCCCTTGTATCTATGAAAGTTATAAAGGCTTCATATTTAATGATTTCAATTTCACGTAAAGTCATAGTTAAAAGAAAGGGGTAAGCCTCCCTGGAAGCATCTCTAGCATTTTGTCTTACAAGAGAAAGGAAAAGGTACATTTTCATGTTATTATCTGAATTACATTCCCCCAAAAAAGTGATCAAAATTTAAAGTAAAGGAAAAAATACATATAGGAGTTATTTAAAGATCCTCATCTGGGTACCTTTATATGCATTTACACAAATGAAGAAAACATTTTTAAAGAATGTATTAAGATATTTTCCAATTAATATTTTGTAATTTTAATTTTTCTATAATTAATATGAAATGTAATCTGAAATTAATGGCAATAACTGATTAGGCTATAATATTTGTAGTGATTTCTCATTTAAGTTAGGAAAGATATTTAAATGTGACACAAATGGTTCTGCTATTTTCCTGGCCTCATATCACAGTTAATTTCACTGTGACACATAAAGGTGAGTTTAAGAGATTATGTTTTCTATTATAAAAGGTTATTAGTTACTAAGTTGAGAAATATTGTACATGCTTCAAGAATACTGTCTAAATGACCTCTCTAGAGTACACATTGTTTTTTTTTTTCATTTTCCTTCCATGTATTTAAAAAAGGCCCTTAAGTTTACATTCATAAAGAGATGTTTAGCCATTTGCATTTATCAACCACAACTTTGTATGACACCAGAGAATGTAATGACAGACAAATGATTTGAATAATTAATTTTAAACCTCCCACATTAAGTGACTCAACATCTGGCAAATTTACAAGAGAAAAACATTAGAGTTTTTATGACAAGTAGTCTTTATTCATTCACTGTAACTAATGTTTATGAGCTGCAGTATGGAAACCTGTTCTGGTTCTCTATGCCCCTGCCTTCCCCATGGATAATATTACGGGAATGAAAAGTTTTGTGGCTCAATTAGGAAGTAAACACATGTAAACAAATACACACATAAATAAAATAACATTTTTTACAGTTTGTACAGCTGTCAAATAAGTTTTTTGTATATTGTTTAAGCAACCAATGTGTTGACTTGATTTGAATAATAAAGAATAAGCTTAAGATAAATTTGGGGTATTAAACATTAAACATGGATAAAAAACAGTGAATATATAAAGGGGAGAGGGTTGTTCAATTTTTCATAAATAAATTTTAAATACTCATTACATATTTGAAAGACATATATGTGTGTATGTATATACATGTACATATATGTCTCATAAAGCAGAAACTACAAAAACACAGCACCATAAAAATAATATCTGGTAAATTTTCTTGAATGAATTTGCATGTGGACACATATGCAGCATTCTCAAAAGAAGAATATTTTAAAAATTATCTGATTTACTAAATAGTCATTTGTCTTTAAAGTGTTATAATTTATTTCTGGAAATACTGACAGGAAGAAGAATATAGAAAATGATTTTACTTTGATTTAATATAACATATATATCTGAATCTTTGCTTTTTAAACCAATAGATGACTTCATTAATAATTGTAAATGACACATTACCATTGGGAATATGTACTTTTAGAAATATGTTTCTGCAACTGAACATTAAACAGATTAAACAGTGTAGAGGAGGAAATATATTTTTTTCTTTTGGTCTCATAAATTATTTGTTGGACTGGACTCCTGTAACAAAAGACAGATTAACAAGAGATAAACAAGCCTAAATTTATTAGCATGCATATTTTGTATGTACAGATGTTCCTCAATTTACAATGCTCTTATGTCCCAATAAACCTTTTGTAAGTTTTCAATATCGTAAGTCAAAACTTTTCAACTTATAATGGGTTTATCCAGATGTTATTTGTTTCATCAAGAAGCCCACTGAAGACCTATTGTTTTCACACTATCATAAGTAAAAAAATATATATATATAAGTTGAATTATCATACATCAAGGAAATTCTGAATATGGGACACACCCAGAGAATGAGTAGTTCTCAAAGAGGTGGGTTTGCAATCCAGGTTATATGTCATCTTCAACAACAATAAATTTTTAAGGAAGTAACAAGACAAAGGAAAAGGAATCTTTAGGGGTAGCAAATCAAGGGAAGGCAAATAAATGGCACATAATGGCTAGTTAGTAAAGCTTGTTAATGTAGATTCCTCTGGTATCATCCTGTAAGAGTCTAAAGTTTTCTTCAGTGGCTAACCTTTGTTCTGCCTGTTGGAAGCATTTGGTCACAGGGAAGAATATCTTCTGTCTTTGTATATCCATGTCTTGCTTTTAGGCATATAGAAGGATGACAGAGTTTTTCTCTACCTGCTTCTTTGTAATTGCCTTCACCTCTATAGTCCCTGATATTTAGGGGTGGTATGTTTTATTCTCCCCCACTAGTGAACAACCAGAGCATCGTATTGGGTAGTGACATACACACACTCTTGGAAATATGCAGGAATGAACAACAGAGCTACTCAGATGAACAGCTAGTCATGCAACACTGAAAGCTGAAGAGATCAATTAAGTAAAACAATTACGCTTGCTTGTTAAAAATAAGCTAAACCAAAATATTGAAGATTTTGCTTTATAATGATGCTTACCACTTACAATTATCAAAATCTTTTCTTATTTCCATTAGCAGTATTAATTTCTCTTAGCAATATTTGATAGAAGTATCGTGGCCTATGTGGGTATGTTATCTGCTGATTGATTTCATCATCTGTCAAATGTTTTTAAAATTATTTTAAGTTGAATTTTCCCCTTAAAAATACGTTATGGAGATCTGTTTCAATATGCGTCATAAATATTCAATCCAGGAAAAGAAAAAAAGATCCACTACAAAATCATTATCTTACATTTACTTTCTACACAAATTCATATGATTGCTTTTTTGCTTATGAAATACACTCAAAATCTACTGTGTTTTTGGAGTTTTTTTTAATTGAGATTTGCATTACATCAAAATAATAAAATACCTTTGAATACATAAAATCTATTTCTGAAATATTTATCTGTCCAACAGATGGAATTTTATGAAAAGCATCCTATTTAAACATTTTTAAGACAGTACTAGGAATATGGTATTGGAGCTCAAAAACACATATCCCAAACCATGGCACTTTGACATGCTGAACTGAAGAAGTCTTCTCAAGGTCTCTCTGACCTTCACTCCTTCCTCTGGTCTCTCAATGCTGTCTCTCCTAAAGCACAGGATAAAATTGTTCTCTAAAGTTTCCTTATCTGTCTAAAGTTCAGATCTGCCAAAGAAGAAAACAATTACCTCTGGTCCCTTCCCTGAATTTTCATCAATTGACTCAGATCACAAAAAGAAAGATTGAAATCTGTCAACAAACCTGGACAGACTTTTGTCACAAACCATTATCTGCTCAGTGCGCCCAACAAACTTTGTCCCATGCCATTGTAAGTTCTTCAAGCCCATTTAATTCCCCTAAAAATCATTTACTACCTCTCTAAAATTATCCACACTTCCTGAATCCCCTACCCCCTTAGAAGTAGGATATATAGGTGTATGTACCCCATTGGGATATTGGGCAATCATTCCATGATTCTCCTCCATACATGCTAATAAATTTGTATGCCGTTTCTCCTACGAATCTGCCTTTTGTGAATTGGTCTTTCAGCAAAACTTCAGAGGGTGAAGTTTTCCCTTGGCCCCTACAATGACTTGATTAGATTAAAAATTTAAAATATCACATTAAAATGTTTGTTATAGTACCTGTAATTTTATTTGACATTTTCTCTCTGGAAAGTTATAATTGCTTCTCAGATGTCATGAATCATGTGATTCAATGGTTAGAGATCTATTTTGTTTGAAGAAGCAGCTAGAAATAATAGCAATAATTATTTACACACAGGTTGATGGATATGTAAGCAGATAAGGAAAAAGAGATGCATACTGAAACTGTATTTATCTTATACTTTAAAGTAAAGTACATTTTATATTATTTTTATCATAAAATCATGAACTATAATTTCTTTAGAAAAATATGGAGTGACCATGATTTATTCATGTCTTCTTCTAAAGAACCATATTATTATTGTACAAGTTGACAAAATTGAAAAACTACAAACATAAGATTGAATAAAATATCATGTCATTATATAAACTGTGAATAATTCAAAACAACATGCATTTCTTTTGTATTCGTATAGTAGGAAGTTATTTCCATCTTGAACAAAAGCAACTCAGAATTAAATAAGCACTATTTTTACTACTTCTAGAGCATTATAAAACAGTTGCTGTTATATTGGTGTTTTTCTCACTGCCTCATTCTGCATCACTGCTGCATTTAAAGAACAATGAGACACTTCTTACTGTCCAAAACTATTAATGCTACAGCTATAGTCAATTATATGTTTGATCAGTTATTAAAGCTAGAAAATAGAGCAAAGTGAAACTTCTGTTGGATTAAAATTAAAATGTGTGTAATACGAAAAGTAACTTGTGTTTTTTCTAATATTTCAGAATTCTTTACATGTTTTTATATGTAGTTTTATGTTTCCCTTATAAAAACTACATATATTGAAAAATGTCCACCTTATGGAAAAACATATCTATAAAATACAAAGAGCCATATGTTGCTTTTCTTATGCAATCCCTTGTGCTTCTTTTAAATCGTCTTTTAAAACCCAATGAACCTCATTTTAATATTAATTGTAACACTTGGCACTTAGCGCTTTTCCTCTGAAGAAAGCCAAAGCACTTAGCGATGAAAAATCTCAGCCATCAACCAGGACAAATATGTGAGGAAGGACTCCATAAATGAAAAGCCAATTTAAACTAGGAAGCGATTTGAATTCATACCCCTTTCAATTGGGCAACAGGAAAAGAACCAATTTTTCACCAACTCTAAAGATTTGCAGCAGAAGATAAAGGTAAATCACTACTCGGTCCTTGTTGTTCAAAAGACACATGAGAAAGAAGCAATAAGAAGAATTACACACTAAACCTATCTACATGAAGCTGATAAAATGGATTATAGTGTGCCAGGCATGGCCAGATCCATTCCAAGGAGCAAAACTTCTTAAGTAATATGCATACTAATCAGAAAACCCAGGAGCACAGAAGAAAAAAATACAAACACAGACACAGACACAGACACATACACACAAACACATTACATTTGTTCTACACTTTTTTGTATAAATGGTGGTTAAATGTAGTCCTTAATGTCAGAAAGAACTTTGTTTGATTTTTTATTCAGTACATTGCTAGCTTAAAGGCTCTGAGCCTTTATGCCTTCATCTGAAAATTGAGGACAATGGCACATTTCTTGCCAGACTTGTAAAATTATAATTAAAATAAGGAATATATATGGTTTTGTTATAAATAAAGTTTCAGTGCCTCAAAAGAAATAGCACTCGAATATAAAATTTCCTTTTTAATTCTCAGCAGGGCAATGTACTTCTATAGAAGGGTGCGCCCTTACAGATGGAGCAATGGTGAGCGCACTCCTGGACAAGGGAGGGGAAGGGGTTCTTATCCCTGACGCACGTGGCCCCTGCTGCTGTTCATTCCCTTATTGGCTAGGGTTAGACGGCACAGGCTAAACTAATTCCGATTGGCTGATTTAAAGAGAGTGATGGGGTGAGTGGTTTGGTGGGAAAAATGGTTATGGCAGAGCAGGAAATTGGAATGAGTCAGGGTGGAAAATGAGCAGGTAATCCGAATGAGTCAGGGTGGAGCAGGTAATCAGAATGAGTCAGAGTGGAGCAGGTAATCGAAAAAGGTTGCTTTATGAGGAAGTTAAATTTAAAAGTAGAAGACAAAGAATTGAACACACTGACATTGATTCTTTGAAGAAAAATTTAGAACTTATATCTAACAGTTTTTTAAAAGTTAGTTCTTTGTTCATTGAAAGTATTCAATAATGGTAAGTATTATTACTGTATTTACACAGAAGTAAATTTATAAAAATGTATATATTTCATGTTTACTTCAATTTAATATTCCTAATTGAAACATATATTTTGTAGATATTTTAAATATGTATCTCTATTTTATTAGAAAATACAATTATTTTAAATGGTTTTATGATCTCCTGCTTGTTATCAATTTGTTTTTGTATGTCATTATTTGGAATTTTAAAGTATCCTTTCTAAACTCAAAATACAGAACTCATCTTTCTCTATAGTTATCTTTTGCTCATAAAATTATAAACAAATTTTACTCTATATTAAAATATAAACTTCTCTGTATGCAGGTACTTATATTTGATTATAGTTTAAATTCAACATTCATCTGTAATATCCTCAAAAACATAAGTACTCTCAACTTTTCTAAAGTAATTTTACTTTCAAAATACATTATCAATAGTAAGGAAAAATATTTATGTATAATTATCTCTGTGAACTAAGAATGTCTTAATGTCAGCAGAAGTGTTACAGGAAAGGGGCCCCAATCCAGACCCCAAAAGAGGGTTCTTGGATCTCATGCAAGAAATAATTCAGGGTGAGTTTGCAGTGCAAAGCAAAAGCACATTTATTAAGAAAATAAACTGGTGAAAGGACAGCTACTCCATAGGCAGAGCAGGTAGTTCCTGAAAGTAAGAGGAGGAACGCATCCACCCTAGGTACAATGCTTGTATATATGGGTAGATGTACTCTGCTACAAGGGTTTCTGATAAAGAATTAATTTTCTAAATTACTATATTTTGCAAGAATCAATATTATTATCTTTAAAACAAAATTAGGAAAGCCTTTGTTCATCAGATATTGGGATATCTGGACACTCCCAAGTCTGGGTCTGTTTAGTAAATATTATTAATTTGTTCCCTTAACGATAAACACCTAGAGGCTAGGAATGTCTAACTTTCTGGGAATGCAGCCCAGTCTCCGCCTCATTTTCCTAGCCCTCATTCAGAATGGAGTAGCTCTGGTTCAAACCCTTCTGATGATTAGTATTTCATTTTTTACTTTAAGTAAAATTATATATATATATTTTTTCTTATATAAAATGTTATGTGTGTGTGCATATATATATATATATATGCACACACACACATATATATATACACATATATATATACACACATTATATATATACACATACATATATGTATGTATAACACTGTAAGTCTCTAACATACATTCTTAAGGACAAAAGCTCCCCTTCTTTTGTAAAATTTCTTTGAATCTGCAACAGGACCTCAGGATAATTTTACCCTTCCAGTCTTCATGCTAGGTTCTACTCTTTCTCAGTAAGGCCATTGACTAGATTGCCTTTATTTACCTGACAATTTCATGAAACAATTGTGTGTTAGCTCCACCTGTATTATCCAGTATTTGACTATCTTTCCAATTAGCCAGTTCATTCTGATGAAAAGGCCAGTTATTTATCTATTTCATTATAGTATTTTTGTATTATTTGCATTCTACCTTACCTCCTTATATATCCCTGAATTTATATAGCATCTAATAACTTTTAAATAACATTTTAATAAAGTCATTTGCATTCAGAAAAGCACTCATGAAATTTGTGGGAACTATTATTATGAATCAAAAAGTACAAATTGTCTTTATTACAGCAATCAATGCCAACTCTAACTTTACTTGGAAGCAACATCTATACTTTTTTCTCCATATTTCAAAAAATTAACTTTCAAACCAACAATAATACAATAGACATTTTTAGTAACTACAATAATTATATTGACTTTAATCAAGAAAAAAACCCTCAGCTTGTGCAATTATTTTGACATATTAGATCTCTTTTCACTATTTGCTATGGTTTGAAGCAAAAACCATGTGTTGGAAAAAGCATGTGTTGGAAACTTAATTGCCAATACAACAAGGTAGGGAAGTGGTGCTTAATGAGAGGTGATTAGGCCTGGAGCACAGAGTGAATGAATTAATACAGTCATTGCTGGAGTGGTTTTGTTACAAAAGGGTAAGTTCAGCCCCTTTTCTCTTTCTCACCCTTTCTTACCTTTCCACCTTCTATCATGAGATGATATAGCAAGAAGGCCGTTGCCAAGGTCAGCACATTTACCTTGGACTTTCCAGCCTCTAGAATCATGAGTCAATATTTCTGTTCACAGTAAATTATCCAGTCTGTGGTATTCCGTAACAGCAGCACAAAATGATCTAAGACACTATTGAATCAACTGAATTTATTCACTTGTTTACCAACTAAAGTAATGCAGGAGGAAGAGTATCAGTAGGCTGCCTTTAGCACCCATATCTATGCTAAATAATAGGGTGTGGGCTAGAGAAATCTGAAGGCCACAATGTATAAGCATGAAATAGAATCAAACTCTGAATCTATTAGGTAAATAAAGTTAACTGATGGAAACATCCAGCATAATGACTGTTGTCTTAAGACCAGCACACATTATAATAAAAGTTCCCATTTTTTCTTTGAAGCTATATCTAGATATCTATTACTATCAAGTCCTTCATCTTCTACATAAAGAGGAGACTTTAGCCATTAATTTACAATGATTCATCAGATATTGGTACTTAACATTGTATGGAAGATTACTCCATTATTTCAGAGATGTTCATGATTAGATAAACATGATTAGATTAAAAATATGTAGTATAACAAACTAATCTGTTTATCATGAAAAATTCTGACTCTGCTTAGGAATCAAAAAATCCTATTTTTTGATTGGGGCTAGCTTGCAATGATAAATCAATGGGTTAAATAACAAATCATACTACCTTAGTCTTTAAAATTTTTAAGAATAGGTATGTAATATTTCAATAAATATTTATAGGGCACTAATGATGTATGAAACTTTTCTCAGCCATCAAATATCACATAATCACTGTTTTTATAACATATATATTTCAATGGCTATGTAAATGAGGAGAGCATTGTAGCTGGGGAGTGAAATAGAAATATTACTTCTTGAGATAAATATTAAAACATTGTTCTGCACCTCTGTTTTCACTTTAGCAGGTATTTAAGCACTGTTTAAATTGAAAATTTCAAGAGACTTCTAATTATTAGTTTAGCAAGTTTAACAGAATAGATAATATTCATCATCTTTTATATTTTTCTTGTTGTGAGGGTATTTGAGGTTAAATAATGCACTTGTCTATACAACAGCAAAGGAAAGTTGTTCCCAATATTAATGTCTGATATCAAGCTTTTCAGAAGTCTACTAACTCAAGTGGTCTGTAGTTGAATACACTCTAATGCCAGGTGGAGTATCAGAAAATGTGTATGAGGTTTTAATTATCTGAAAACCCAAAATGAACTGCTACTCATGATACCTGGGGATTTTAATGAAGAGCATACATATGTTCTTCTTGCTAATTGAAGATGAGCTTCATTTTAACGAATTTAATCCCCTGGGAATTTAAACATTAAAAAAGAAAAGGATTGAAAATAATTTTAAAAACCCAAGATAAACTTTGCTAAAACTCTGCCTTTTGAATTGAAAATTATTGGAGGTTTCATATGGCAAATAATTGGGTTGAATATGTAAAATAGCTATGATATAGAAGTTTACAAATGTATAAGTGCTATTTTCTTACAGTTAACAATAAAGCAAAATTCAAACAAAAGGTTAATAATATATGTGAATAAAGTATTAGGTCTCCAAATTGAAATCAGATTATTAGATGAATATAAAAATTGAACTGTTAGTAGAACATTAATAATCATTAGCATTTAGAGGTAGAAAATTCTTAGATGTAGAGTTTAGAATAATTAAAGTTTTACTTTGTAAGTAGCCCACATACAGATCATAACAACTTTAAAAGAAGAAAAAAAAAGTGCCATTTGAAAATAAAAGCAACACATTGAAATTGAGAGGGCAAGATCAATGTAAATGCCCTTTAAATACAATAAATACTAGTCATTGTTTCTAAAAGTTGCCATGCTTTGGAACATGAGAAATACTAAAAGTTAGCTTGAAGTCACATGATTGATTCAGTCATGGTTCTATGCACAAGTTGTCACAGGAGCAGATCAGTGGCTAATTCAAACATTGCTTTAATAAAACCAATGTTGATAATTCCCTTGGAGTAACCAGAAGTGTGAGTATGAAACACCAAAAAAGAAGTTGAAGCAGGACAGAAAAAAGCCTTTGTCAGAGGAAAAAAGAAGTGTAATAACTATAAAGATGTTTATGAGGGATGGTGGTGAGTAGCCAGAAGAGAGGGTTGATACCAGACTATGCATATAAAGAAAGGTCACAGGGTGAGAGCAGACAGCTACTGGCAAGACCTACTCCAGAACCACCCACAGTAGACAGCACAGTGCTGTTCCACCTGGAAGGTGTGTTCCTTCTTTTATGCTAGATAATGTAGGCCATAACCAGTTGATGCCATCACACATGTGTTCGAAGGAACTTTCAATATTCTGATTTCACATTTATCAATGCTGCCATTATGACAAGATGACAAACCTTAGAGGTATAACACAGCATCCAATAACTGCAACATGTAATATAGGCCCCCAATTATTGCTCAAGAGAAATCTATCATTCTTTAACAATCTACTCTGAATTCTAGAATAATATTAAAATAAGTTAATCATTGTTTTCAGTCTAGAAAACCATTAATTTATTTCTAAGATGCATGTAGTTCTCAAGCCATAACATGTCTCAAGCACTGTATTTATTTTTATGTATTTATTTATTTAAACATTTTTAAGACCTAAGAGGTAAAAGTGAGATTGGGAGTAGGGGGAACGGGCTTATAACCTGACATCTGTAACTCATCACAGAGGAGAAGAAAGTTTCACCTGGCAAGTGAGCCATAGTACTTACTTGGCAAGATATGCAATACATGGTAGGCCCCAAAACAGGAGAGGATTCTCTTAGCAGATATGTAGAACAGGGAAGCAGATAGCAAAAAATTGTCTTGTTTGATGATCCAGTAAGTGGAAAAGCAACTTGTAGAACTGCCCAAAGAAGTTTTGTTGGTCTCTAGCCTCCAAATGGAAATTAAAAGGAACCATCTCATTCTTTGGAATGGAGTATCAGGCACAATATGCACAAAGCAATGATGGAACTCCATTCTTACATTAAGAGCTACAAGTCAGGGTTTAATTATTAAGATTATGTATTCCACAAGTATTTGGTTCGAAAAATAGGACGAGACAGTTTTGACCAGGGCCCTACTCAGAATTTTTTTTTTTTTTTTTTTTTTTTTGAGACGGAGTGTTGCTCTGTCGCCCAGCCGGGAATGCAGTGGCACGATCTCGGCTCACTGCAAGCTCCGCCTCCCAGGTTCACGCCATTCTCCTGCCTCAGCCTCCCGAGTAGCTGGGACTACAGGCTCCCGCCACCACGCCCGGCTAATTTTTTTTGTATTTTTAGTAGAGACGGGGTTTCACTGTGTTAGCCAAGATGGTCTCGATCTCCTGACTTCGTGATCGACCCGCCTCCGCCTCCCAAAGTGCTGGGATTACAGGCTTGAGCCACCGTGCCTGGCCAGAACTTTTAAAAATACTGCTTAACTTGGGTTTGGATTAGTTTGTAAAGTTTCAGGGGGTCCAAGCAAATGATGTTGAAAAATTGGAAGACAAGAGAATGAAGTGAGGTTGTTAAAATATTGAAAATAAATTTTATCATAATTTTCAGCTCTTTTAAAAGGACTTATTCGAGTTTAGTATCTAGTCATCTGAGGGAACAAGTGGGTTTATCATTCTAACATCATTATATGGTTAGAGAAAAATAACAGAAAATTAAATATTTTTATCTTTAAAACTTTTCTGTTCAGATATTTTGAATCCATGTCCAATTGTTTTATAATTTTGATTAATGCATATTTGTTCTCTGGTAATTGCTTATTTTTCCATCTTATTGGGAAAATATAATTTTTTATATAACTCATCTATCATAAGTGCCTGCGTCAATATGCTTTCTTTAAACCAAATGTATGACTACATGTTTACATAATAAATAAGTCATTTTAACTTCCAATAAAGAATATATTATAGCTCAGCTAAACTTTACTTAATTTCTTTAAGCATATGTATGGAATAATCTATTCCTATAAGTATTTTTGTTTCATTTGGAATTTTTCTACAACCCTGTGTTTGCCATAAAATTAAAATCACCACTGAATCAACATGAAGACTTTTCAAGGACAAGTAATATGACAATGAAGGAGAAATAGTTTAAATTGTTACAAGGATAAATACCCTTCTTTGTCATGACAATAAAAGTGCTTGCATTGACTTAAGTTCCTATTGAATCAACACAGTTTTAATGCTGGCAGCCTCATCTCTGCTATAAACATCCCTGAAAAATTCATTTGAAGGTGAAAAAGGTTCTAGAATGACAGTTCAGCTTCCTCCGGGGAGGTCAAGAATTATATCTGGTATTGTGTTTTTTTACTCCTTCCATTGTCTTAAATGAAGCAATTAAGTACAAATTATGAAAAGCTTTGACATAGGACATAGTTATACTCAGGAGTTATCTCCTGTTGAAACACAAGACAAATACCAGAAAGTGTCAATTAAAACCTTTACGTATGTTTTTTTTTTTTTTTGCTCTGTGATACTGGGGCTGGGAGTTTGCTAACTTCATTTCCCAAATGCCTTTGCTAACTTCCTGTTAGTTAGGTTCTACCAATCAGTAGCTGTGATGGAAATGGGAAAGTAGGAGAAGGTGGGGGCGGGAGTGGGGGGCCAAGTCCTTGCCAGTTCCTCACACTGAGACTGAGCCCCAGGCTGACTCCACTTACACAATGAGCACCCCCATTACTCCAAGCACCAAGCTTTAGAGAACTCCATTCCAGTCAATTCTTAAAACATCATTTTTCTTTTGTCTCCTACCAGTCTTAGGGCAACTGGTTTATGTAGTTATTACACTCTGGATTACATTAAAGTTTCCTTTTTTTTTTTTTTTTTTGCCATTTAGCCATTTAACTTCAGTGTCACCTTTGTTTGAAATACTTCTCACAGTTTCTATTTTCTTAAAGTCTCTCTTTCTGATAAAATACCTAATTTCTTTGCATCTCTCTTCCCTTTTTCTACTTCCTTGGGAAAACTTAAGAGCCTCATTCAACATACATAGCCATCTATTTCAAGTAGCTAAATCCTACTGAAGAAGCATGAAACTGAGCAGTCTGGGTTAACTTTAAATTTATAATGAAAAATCTCAAATGGGATACTGACAACTGTCCTAAAAATGCTTTCTCATTTTCCTGGTATGTAGCATATAATATGATACTTTTTATACACTTCAGTTTATCACAGCATTTGCTCTCCCCTTATTCTTCTCTCATAGGTCTTAAATTATTTAAAAATAAAAAATAAAAAATGAATAAATAAATAAATATAAATAGAAGCACTCAGACAGGGATTGTTTCCATGAACAAATACATCCATTTACCTGTATATCCATCCATCTTCATTTTTCAGTTTGGTTTCATTGTAACTCAGGCCAATTTCTCTACTCGTAGTCAGAATCTTATACTTCAGTGTTGCTCAAAGACTCTGCTGAAAATATCTCTTTTTCCTGGATCATCAATTTCTGTGTGTCTAATCAATAATCATTAGCATAGTTATGTGGTGTTTCCTTCTTATAAAATATCTTCCTTTAAACTACAGTTCTTCACAGCCAATGCCTTTTTCTTTGCCCCTTTCACAGTAAAACTCCTTGATGGTTGTTTAGATTTACTCTTGTGTCCTCATTTATTTTTTCAAAACACTCATAGTCTGACTGATGCTACCTCTCTATTCAAACTGACGCTAACAAAATCCCCCAAATGTTCACAATGTCAATTTCAAAAACAAATGACCTGTCATGGTCTTTCTCCACTTCTCAGAAACAGGGACTCAGTGACCACTCCGTTGAGAACTCTCACTAATAGTTTTTCTCTACCTCACAGACCATGCCCTCTCATGTCCCCTTTTCTGGTCCTTGCTCTTCTGCATTCACAAAGTTGATAAGATCGCTTCTTTGCACTGGCTCTTCTCTTTCTACTGTCTTATCTAGTCCAGTGGTTTTATCTATCATTTATGCATTAATGATACTCTTGTTAGTATCTTGGGGCTACGTATTTCCCCTGTCCCACAAACTCCTACATGCTGCTTATCCTACATCTGGAGAAATTTTTCAGAGACAACTCGTAAATCACTTCTTCTCTAGTTTCTCTCTTCTTCCTCTATTTTATGGTATATATAGCTGTGAAAATATCTCATTTATTCATTTCCATCTTATTTACTTAATTCTCAGCACTAGAACATAAGTTCCGTAAAAGGAAGGGCGTTTTTGCTTTGTTCACTGCTGTGTTACAGTTTCTGAAAAAGTGACTGTCTCATATCAGTAATGCTATAAATTTGTGTTGAAACAATAAAGGCATGAATAACCCCTGATAAATCTTTTGTTGCCTGGAAAAGTACCTACTTGTGGAACGTATGCACTTTAGCCAATGAAGTTGGAATACTTACATGACTATTTGAGTGAAGATCTAGTATAGATCAGAATTGTTGCTTAATTGGTATAATGTCTCAGTTATGCAAGATGCATAAGGTCTGGAGATGTACTGTACCACACAATGTCTACAGGCAATAGTATGGTATTGTGCACTTAAAAATGTGCTTAAGATAGATCTCATGTTAAAAGTCCTCATCACATAAACAACACAAAAACACAGAGGGACACAAAGAAATTCTGAGAGGTGATAAATATATTTACTACCTTGATTGTGATAGTGATGTTACAGATGTATGCATATATCAAAACTCATCAAATCGTATATGAGAACATTCAGTTTTTGTGTGTACAATTGTACGTCACTAAGGCTATTTTTAAAGATATAGATAGGAAATACCATTTGCCATTTTTCCTCTTTTTAGGATGTCTTATTTCTGTATGCTTGAATAAAATATCAAAGAATATCAGTCGTTCAATTGCTAAAATATCACTAATTATATTAAAATTATACATTTGAAAATATTGTCAGTCTGATCCTTTCTTACCTAAAAGTGTGTGCCCATAAAATTTATAATAATAGCAAATATTTATCAAGGATTTATTGTTGATAAGACTAAATTTAATACATTATTTTATTGAATACAAACAAAAATATTGTGGGATAGCATATAATATACAAGATATATATAATAGTTAATTATCAGTTTTACACACACACAGGCTTAAAGAGATAATTTCACTGGACTACATCATCCAGCTAGTAAGTGCAAGGAATTACAGCCTAGGAAACAGTATATACAGAACCTTCCTAAAGGTTAGTAATTGTTGGAGAATTCCTTTGTTACATTGAATTATTTATTTAATCTGCTATGAAATATTTCCTATATAAGAAATTTTCCAAAAGCCCATGGATCCTTCTTACTATTCATAAAATTTATATTGTTTTGCTTTCTTTATATCAAATGCCAAATGCAGTTTGCGAAACTGCTTAACATTTCCATTTATTTTACTTTTCCTGTAGAAAGTTTGTGTCCTTTAGCATAAGTAATTCTGTCTCTAAGCTGGCTATTTAAATACTTCATATATTTAGGTTTCCTTCATGAATCTTCAGCGTATAGTTTAGGCAAAAATTACAACTCAGCTACACAGTGTGTTTTATGTTTGGATATAGATGGAATTTTTATTAAAATTTGGAGTTTGTGCTAAACGTTATTTTATTGTAGCAATAAAACTTCACTAACTTTGATCAGATGACTACACAAATAACCTATTTTAAACTCCCACAGTATGCAAAAGAAACAAGCTTATAGAGCCAAGACAATAAAACACTTTAAACAAGAACAAATTCAAGGTTCATAGAAAGGAAAGTCATGTGTTAAACAGTTTAAATAATATCAATTTTTCCTTTTAGTACAACATCACAGAGTTGAAAAATTTAAAGCAAAGAAATAAAAATAAGCTTAATATATACCTATGTAAAGGCTGGATCAGAAAAGGGTTATAGAAGCCTTGTGATATGACCCTCTCATTTAACAGCATTGGAGTTTCTGCTCCAGATCCTTAAAGACATGACTCCTGACTTCAAGTCCTGTGGCCTTTTTAAAACTAAAAAATACCTCTTCTAAGGAATAGAAAATGTATATTTACATGACTACAATACTAGAAAAAATATCTAATGCACACACACATTACTTTCCTGGTTGGTTTTTATACTTTTACAAAATTAACAGAAAATACAAATTCCATGCTTATGGACCATGTGGTCCTGTGGCCACCATTCAGCTCTGCCTGCTGTAACATGAGAGCAGTTGTCTTTGTCAGTTTGTGCTGCAATAACAAATACCCTAAACTAGTGGCTCATACACAGAGATTTATTTCTCATAGTTTTGGAGGCTGGGAAGTCCAAAATCAAGGTGCCGGCAGATTTGGTATCTCATGAGGGTCCATTTCCAGGTTCATAGATAGCACCTTCTGGCAGTTTCTTCACATATTGGAAGGAGCAAACAAACTCCCCTGGGCCTCTTCTATAAGGGCACTAATGCCATTCATAAAGACTTCATCCTCATCACCTAATCATCTCCAGATGCCTTACCTCTTAAAACCATCGCATTGTGGATTTGGTTTCAACGTATTAGTTTTGGGAAGAAACAAATATTCAGGCCATAGCAGACTCCATAGACTGTACATAAATGAATGGGCATTGCTGTGTGACAGCAGCAGTTTTATAAACACTGAATTTTAAATTTTGTATCATTTTAATATTTTAAGAAATACTCTTTTGTAAATTGTTTTTCAACTGTTAGAAAACATAAAAAAAACAAAATTCCTAGCTTGTGGTCTGTATGAAAGCAGGTAGTAGTATGGATCTGACCCACAGGCCATACATTGCAGACCTCTCTTCTATTTGAGTGGAAACCACTACCACTCCACATTGCCTACCATAGAGAGGTGTTTTTTTTTTTAATTGTTGTTCTGTTTTTGTTAAATGTTTAAATAGGCATTTTATTTAAACAGATACAGACAAATTACTGATGCAGATATTTTAAAATTTAAAAAAGCATAGCATATTCTTTAGCTGTAAAAAAATTTAATTAATTCCAGTAGACTTTGTATTATATTCTTCATCAAGATTGTTTTGAATTTAAGATGTTGGTAACTATTTCATTTTAGAGAAATTAGCATGACTAATTATTTTTAATTTCCTTCTAGCTTATGAACTTTCTGAAATTAGAAAACAGGTTTTATCAAATCTGGTGGCATTTCAGTATTTAATATGATGTTTTATGTCTTGCCACTTAAAGTGTGGTCCTCAGGGTAGTCTCAGTATCACCTGGCATCTTATTAGAAATGCAGACAAACTTAATTAGAATCTGCATTTTAATGAGGAATTCTTATGCACATTATAGATTGAGAAGGTCTGTTTTAACATACAATGAACATTTTCATGTTAATAATAAATCATTAAAAATATGTCCTACTATAGTAATGTCCTTAATTTCTGGGCAGATATGTTTACTTAAAAAAATATGGTAGCCTAATGCACTATAAAGATACTCAAGTATCACACATACCAGGTGATCACACATACCTGGAGCTGATATTCATTCCTTGCAACCATTTTGTGGATGAAGGAAAATGTTTAGTCTATATAAATATTGTCATGGGAATTCAGGAAAAGAATGTTACCATGTATTCTAAATAATTTAGATAATTAAAAATTTTGAGAGAAACTTCTGCATTACTATGTCGTTGATTTCTTGTAATGTCATCTGGATACATTTTGCAAAACGTAATCTTGAGGATCATGAGAGCTACTCTTACTCTAGACAGTGAAAGTTTAATTTGTTTTTAGAAAATATCTTACTAATAATCAAAATTAGCAAATTTCATTCAAATTATAAAGGCTTTAAGGTCTGCACTTAGACTATCTTTGAATAAATATAAGACATATTACTATTGTATTCATAAGTACTTGATGAAAATTGAATAATTTACTACACATATTTAGTGAGACATAGAGGGAATAATGGCCTTTTCATGAAATTCTCTAGTCCCCTCTGCACCCCCTCCAATTAAATTATTTATTTTTCCTAGCCACTCTCTCCCCAGTACCTCTGCAAAGTTTCCATAGCTATAAATATCCTCAAGTTATTTATAGGTATTGTGAAATGATGATATTATGTAATAGATTATATTCAGCAAATTAATCTAATGAGGATGTTAGGCAGATGATCAAATAATTTGTTTTGTGTTAGGCAATTGAATGTTTCCATAGTTCTCCAAGTAGAAGATGCTGCCCATAGACCTCATGTGGATATTGAGCTCATGGACTAAAATAAAGCATGCTAAATGGTTGTGACAAATACATTCAAATACATTTTTCTTATATTAGCTTACATTGTTCTTTTTTTCCAAGAGTCTCTGCTTGTGAAATCACATGCACATTAATTTTTTTTTAGGTCTTAGCAACAAATTTATAAAATAAAACAAACATTTCAGAAAAAATATTATTTAGCTAAAATGAAATTTTATGTATTTTATTTGTATAAACATATAATTACTGAGCACATATTTAGTATCTATTGTAGTAGCACCCCATTATCCATTAGGGATATGTTCCAAGACTTAAAGTGGATGCCTGAAACTGCAGATAGTATTGAACCCTATATGTACAGTACTGTACTATGGTTTTCGATCAGATAAGCTAGATGCTACTAAGTCACTAATGGGTGGATGGTGTATACAGAGTGGATACCTGGGACAAATGGGTGATTTGCATCCACCTGTGAGAGCAGGAGGGCTTGTCTGGAGATTTCATCACACTACTCAGAATGGTGTGCAATTTAAAACTAATGAGTTATTTCCTGAACTTTCCATTTAATATTTTTGGACCACAGTTGAACATAAGTAACTGAAAGTGTGGAAAGCAAAACTGTAAATAGGTGGATATAGCATATTATTATAACATAAATAGGTGGATACCTAGCATACTGTATATGCTAGTCATATTCTAGGCTTTGGGGGCATAGTGAAAATAAAAGACAAAATTCCAGCCATCATTGAGCTCATATTTTTGTGTCTAAACTTAGCTAACCCCTACAATATGCCACGTTGTTTTTCTTACAACTTCATTTTCTTATAAGATACACTTATAATGTCCACATTACAGAGAAGATAAAAAGACAGAGGGCTGTAGTAACATTCAAGATGGAACAGTTAGGCATGGGAAAATTAGGGTTCTCAACTCATCCAGTCAAGGTTGTAGAATTTTTAACAACTATGCCTTTATTCCCAAATACACTACCTATAAGGCTTGATTAATGCCTTCTTCCTCAAACTTCAAATTTTGCTGGTATTCCCAAGATATGCATGTCACAGATTTGTTATTTCAAAAATAATCAAATGATTACTCTCTCAATTGACTCTGATTGATGACAACAGTTTTCAGTAAAGATAAACCAATATATATATAAAGACAATTTTTAGTAAGTATGGTTCTTGTAGCCAGAGAAAAGAGGCACTGTTATTGAATATTATATTTAGAAGTCACAACCTAGAGGAGATAGACGAACAGACAGACTAAATGGCCATGAACAACAGATGGTGGAACTGGTGTATTATTTTCTAAAAATGTAAGCATTTTAAAAAAGAACAAATTTTAGTATCTTTGTATTTATAAATTATGTTCCCAAGGTAAATATTACTCAGTTAATATTCAATGACAAAAAATCAGTAAAGGATCCTCAACAATGGCAAGAGTTCAAATGTTTGAGACTAGTCTAATGCACATATATGGTTATACTTCATATTAGTTACATATCACATGATCATTAACACCTAAGACCAATGAGTGGATTATTTTTGAATATAATTATCCTATCTAAATATACTCAGATGTTGCTTACAGAAGGCAAATTTCTCATAATGCACATTTCTAATCAGTAAAATTAGCTTACAAATTGCATACATTTTCCAGTTTTAGACATAAATTATCTTAGAAAAAAGTTTATAATGCTTAATAAAATTATTCTCTATTCAGCATATCAGAGAATCCTCTATTCGGAATATTACAAATATAATTTGAAGATCAGCCTAATAAGTGGCACTTTAATGGGTTATCTTCCACTCATTATAGCTTTTAGATTTATGAATCTGAACTCAGCTATTATTGAGTATGTTTATTTACAAGTCATTATTTAAAAGTTTAAAATTCTTACTTTACCTGTTCTATTTTTTAGAGATACTGTGTAATCTTATTATAGTTAGTTCTATCTATTTAGATCAATACTAGGAATTCAGCACAGGTATAAAGTATTGCTGCACTCATTAATAAAAAGGGAATATATTCTATCCTTTCAATAAATATGCATTGTTCAGATTAGTGACTTATATTTTTGCATGAGGAAAATCATATTTACTCTCTGTAGTTGTGAGTTTGTTCACAACACAACTTAGATATATAAGGAAAATATAGGTAATTTATTTCTTTATAACTGACTTAATCTCATTTTATTCAAGGCCCCAATTCTGCTGACAGCAGAGAAAGTAAGTAAACATTCATATGGACAAACAAAAACAAATTTTTTCAGCTTTACTGAGGCATAAATAACAAGTAAAAATTGCGTATGCTCAAGGTATACAAAGTGATGTTTATATATACCTATACAATGTGAAGATTTTCACAGTTAAGCTAATTAGTGTGCCCATCACCTCATGTATTAATAGCTACTTTGTCTTGGGTGTATGAGAATACTTGAGATCTAATCTTTTAGCAATTTTCAAGGATGCAGTACATTATTATTAACTGTAGTCATCATGCTGTATGTTGTCTCCAGAATTTATTCATCTTATAACTGCCAGTTTGCAGCCTTTGCCCAAGATCTCCCCATCTCCCCCACACCCCAATCCCTAGTAACAACCCTCTACTCTCCATTTCTATGAATTTAACTTTTTAAACTATTTTAAATAATACCTCAGTCATCTCAGGTTTAAACTCTTTCAATCTGTAAGCATCCATGATATAATAACCCATCATTGCAAAGTCACTGGAAAGTACATGTTATCCGGTTTTGCTTGTTTTATTTTGTCCTTTAATGCCACAGACCACTTTGGCAGAGGAGTAACTCCTATTGATGCACTCTCATAACAGTGCTTTTCATAAAAATACAACACAAGTAGAAAGTATTAAAAGTAAAATTATCATTCTGAAATATAGTTCTCAAAATCTTAAAATGTAGTATAGTAATAAATGTGATTTCTCATCAATGAAGTAAATAGCAGAAGCTATCGGAAGCTCTAATAATTTCTCTAAGTTTGAAGTAGTAATCATAGTAAAATATAATTTATATCTGCAACAATGTAATACAATATAAAAATTTCTATGATTTCCATTGGTGACTAAATTGCAAATATAACTATACTACTGTGTTTTATTGCTTACATTACAAATTAATAGAAATGTTAAATTTCATTTACAGATGATTGAAAACACTTTTTTTTTCACATTCGAAATTAGAAATCTCCTAACATCCTCAACTGAAGATCCCCTTTGTAAGGGGATCTTGTTTGACATGTTTTAGTTCTCATTCCAATAATGATTTTTTAGAAGGCAACATTTCATATTTACTATCCTAAGAACATGGCAAGTGAAGGTGTTAGGGTGGTTTCACTAGCCATCTTTGATCGAGAGCAGCAGGTCTGGGGCTGGTTGGAAACTGCTGCTAGTTTCTTGCCCATGGGGTGGGTTTGGCTCTCTCTTGTCATCTACTGATGAATGCAATGACAGGGGAAGTCATAATCTACACTTTGACAATTTCAGGCTCTTTATATTGTCCTTAGTGACTTGACCCCACTTTAGCTTTCTCTAGAGTTAAGCATCTAAACCATATTTCTTGCTGTGACTCTCCTTTAGTTACCATCCAGGCAAACTGCCCAAAATTTCTTTATCTGACATCAGAGTGAATTACCCACTACAGTAAATGCATATAGAAAACTCCCAACCATTTAGCTTGTTTTTCTGTTTCGCAGCCTCAGAGGCTGGGTTTCTTTCGCACTGTGAGCAGGTCATGGAGAGTCAGGAGAAGTGCTGCTCAGAATCACTGTCTCATTTTGTTACATCTTCTTTACTGCATGAAACCTCAGGACCAATCTGTGAAGCAGTCTTCTAGGAGTCTAAATGGAACGTGGCAAACCCAAAACGTCTGAAAAACTATCGGTGTCTCCCTTCCTATAATCCTCTGAACTGGAAAAAAAATTTACCCTTCCCCTTTTTTTGACATAATATGATGATAGTTACATTCTACACTAAGTTCTCTCTAGTCTATGGTCTAATAAAATATTATGATATGGTCGACCCTCCAAGAACTGTCCTGAATATGCTCACACAACCTACAATTATTCAAAACTCTCTCCTCTTTCTTTTTATATCAAATCAAATTATCAAAAGAATGGTTTTATTATGGGGTTAGCATGATATAGACCATTTCATATTCACCAGTATATATTTTTTCCTTTGTAATAAATGTCATTGATTAAATATCAGGAAGACAACAGGCAACAGGATATTAAGGAAAGGAAAATTACAACACAAAATGTGAATTCCTATATCATGGCATATTGGATCATTCTAAAAGTTAAACTGAAACTAAGATTTAAGGAAAGCAATTAAGTTTTCAGAACTTTGATTTTCAGTTGCTTAGTTTATAATAAAGGTTGAACTTTTGGAATCGAAGCAGATGGAAGTCTGTTTGATAGACTCTTCTTATTCTAACATTCCACAGTCATTTGTGCAGATTCTGATGGGTTTGCAGAGCTGTAAGAAGCAACATATATTATGATGTAAATGCCATCATTATGACATATGCTTAAACTTCTGCTGAGAAATAAATAAAATATCTTGAAATGCCTGCTGTTTATCCCAGCTGTTTATTTCTCACAGCCCATAAATGGAAAAGTCACACAGTTTAGCATTTATATGCTGGAGAGGCGTTTGGAAATAATTAAAATTCTTCCAGAGACTACTTTCTTTTTGTTCTGAATTGGAATTAACTTATAATTTCAAGAAGAGAGGGCAAGCGCATTAAGTGAGAATAAATAAAATATTTTCTTCCTAGGAAAGTGAAGAAAACATCTAGAATTAATTTTTTTCTCCCAAATTTCTAATAGTCTAATAAAAAAGTAGGAAGACATATCGGAAGCAAGCATGGGTCACTCAAACTATATGCCTCGCTGCATTTCCAGTGGAGACACAATTACCACCGGGAAACCTGCTCCTGTGAGTAAATTGGGTTGACTGCAGTAATTCTGACTTACGTTCACACTAATACATACAAATAAGAGACAGTCAAGGAGTTGCATTTTCCTTACTAAAAAAAAGTTAAATATATTATAAAATAAAAGTTAAGTGTTCTACAATTATAAACTAATACATATATTTGTGTATAAATATTTTAATAATTACTGTTTAATCATAAATGTGCTACAGATACATAGCCATTGAATATATGTTGCATTTATTTAACATTAAATTTAAATTTCTTATTTTTTAGGCACAGCGTGGCAGTATATTTGAGTTTGTTACTATGACAATGGTTACATGGAACAGTAGATTTTTCTCTACCTCCTCATCTTGACTAACTATCACTAGATTAGATAAAATTCTAACATGATGATAGTACATGCTATTTGAGAGAAGTCTCACATTTAAAAATGATATCAGATCGTTAATTCCAATTTTTAACATTGCCTATCTAAAAGGACATAAGAACTTCTAAAACTTTTTGTGGTAGATTAACGTAATCTAGCAATCAAAACACATCTCATCTTTATTATACAAAATAATTGTAGAGAAAATAATATTTGAATTACTTTCACTGTCGAATTAATCCCACCATTCCATGCCAAGATTTTTAAATTAAAACAACTTTGATCAATCAAATGAAGTTACATATATATATATATATATATATATATATATATATATACACACACACACATATATATATACAGGATCCTTTAAGACATAATACATTTAATTAGTTCTGTGAATCCATTCATAAACATCTTTTCCTATAGATAAGCAGGTCAACTAATTATGATTTGTTACGTAGAAAACAAATTTTTTTACCTATGAGTAGGCTTGATGTATGTTTATGTATATGTGTTGTGGTGACTTTGCCTGTGTAAAAAAGTAAAATAATCAGTTTTTAATACAAACATATATTGATTGTTTAATATGAATAATGCAGTCAATAAACATTGACTAAACCTTTGCCTCATTCTTCATGTGGTAAAAACCTGCATTATTCGTTCATCGTTTTTGAGATTTACACACAGTGTGCCTGAGAAATAAGTTGAGGGAAACTCCTATTTAAAGTTTAACAGTTATGTGGCTCAGAGATTGAAATTCTAAAAAAGATTTGGAACTACTAGTTTTTATAAAGCTTTTCAATTTTAATAATTAAAAAGTTCACTCACACAACCATTTTCTTCAGTAATTGATTGTGTTCTTTTCCAGGAAGATGGTTTAAACAACAATTTGGTGGCAGAACTTAACTGGCAGAAACATATATTTTACATGACAATTCCATATAGATAACACTCTACTTAGTAATCTTGATAGAGTCCAACTTTTTTTTAATATGTGGCATTTAAGCTCAGTGTCCCAACAACTAGGGAAAAAGGTCATTTATATACAAAATTTACAAAGGTTAAAATTTGTGAACACTAGCATATAATCAGTGTCTTTGTTTTTAATAATTTTGTCCTTAGAAGACCTCAAAAACTAAATTTATATCCTCTCTAAAGTAAGAGAAAATTGAGACTGAATCACTTATTATCATAAATATGCTTAAAATATCACTAGAATTTATAGTGTAATCATGAATGTATTCATTTTTTTCAACACTTATGTTAGGCAGTAAAATTTTCCAAAATTTTAGTTATTTAAAATTTATTCTGATCACTGGTGAAATGAATTATATCAGTCAAATTCAAGAATATTTTTAGTTTAATAATTTATATTTTTCTACTTAATCCCAGAATGTTAACTTTTTAATGTATATTTTAATCAATAAATGATTTCTATTTTTATAATATTATATTTTATTTGGTGTTATATAGATATATTTAGGGAATATATATTTAGAAGTTACATACATTAAAAGAAAAAATTAAGTCATAAGCTGTGGCAGTATATTTTGGCTTTATCAATGAAAGAGAATTGATTTTATCAGGATACTAACTGTAGGGAATATTCTTGTGATCTTAATCTTCTTCAAACCTTATTGAAATTATCCGACCAAGAGTGTTCTCTTTTAACATTTAAATAGTTCCAGCATCTGAACTCCACTTTTTATCCAAAACATTTGACTAAACTGCCATCAGCTTTCACCTAATTAAATTGACAAAACTTTAAACACAATATTCACTGAAATAAAAACAATATTCATAAAACAAACCTCATTCTTCACTTTTAGTTATGCCTTGCTTTCTTAGTTTTAGCTGTAGAGGTCCTGTTTCAGATTTGTGGATCCATTTGCCTTTCCATATGTTGCTCCCTCTTTAGGTAGTTCCTTTGCCTTATCTCTACCCAGACAAATTTGAATCATTAAGTGTCAGAGTCACATTCTCAGTAAAAAACATCCTGATCACCATAACCAAATTCAATCTCCGTACTGCATGTTTTTAGAACATGAGGTACTTCCTTTCTTATATTCCATTGTCATTCCATAGCACACGCGCATGCCAGTGTGAGATTATGTACCTACTTTCTCCATGACTCAATGGCAAATTCATAAGAAAAGCATCCTAATCTGATTTTCATTAACTTTGATTATCCAACAGAGAAGTTGAATAAGAACAGTAACGTAGAAAGCATTTGTAAACATCATAAAATTGGGTAATACAGAATAGAAAACATTTCACAGGAAACCGACGATTCTAATGACAGTGTCATAGTTCAAGAGAAAAAGGTGCCAGGAGCGGTGCCTCACGCCTGTAATCCCAGAACTTTGGGAGGCTAAGGTGGGCAGATCACGAGGTCAAGAGATGGAGACCATCCTGGCCAGCATGGTGAAACCCCATCTCTACTAAAAATACAAAAATTACCTGGGTGTAGTGGCACACCCCTGTAATCCCAGCTACTCAGGAGACTGAGACAGGAGAATCGCTTGAAACTTGGAGGCAGAGGTTGCAGTGAGCCGAGATGGTGCCACTGCCCTCCAGCCTGGTGACAGAGCGAGACTCCCTCTCAAAAAAAAAAAAAAGAGAAAAAGAAATAGACTCCAACTCTGGTTTGGAGGAGTGGCAAATAATTGGGGGCCATCTTTAATTCTTTAATTTGCTACAGAATGCTCTCTGGTTAAAAATTAATTAGGTAATTTCCATTTGCAAAATATGCCCTGGACCTTCAAACTTTTATCCAACCATGGCACAACCTCAGGCTCTCAGTGCAAAATCTCATTATCTAAACTAAGCCTTTGTGTGTGAAACTTTGGCACAAGCTCAGGCTCTCAGTGCAAAATCTCATCTAAACTAAGTCTGTGTGTGAAACTTTGGATACAGAACCTCAGGGGCAGAAATCTGTGACTTAAAAAAAGTCATGTGAAATAATCACACACCCAATATACAATGTGAGAGAGTGTATGAGTTTTCTGTAGCTGCTGTTACAAATTCCACAAGCTTGGTGGCTTAACACAACATAAATTCCTTCATCAATAGCTGTGGAAACTAGAAGCCTGAATTAAGGCAAGGCTATGCTCCCTCTGAAGGTTCTAGGGGAGAATTTGTTTCTTGTATCTTCAAGCTTTTGGTGGCTTTCAACATTCCTTGGCTTGGCTTGCATCTCCTGTTTCTTACTTTGCATTTCTTTTCCCTGCATGTGTCTGTCTCTCATCTTAATCTGCCTCCTGTTTGTAGGACATATGTGATGGCATTTACAACACACCTAGACAATATAACGGAAGTTTCTCCTTTCAAAAGTCTTAACTTAATCATGTCATTTGCTGTAAATAACAAATACTACCTTTTTGTTATGAGAAATAATATTCACAGTATTTGGAAATTAAGATGGGGATATATCTTTTCGGAAGCCACCATTAAGGCCAGTAGAGATAGAAAACAACATCTGTAGCAGACATTCTTCCTTTTTTTTTTTTCTTTAAGAAAATGAATCAGAAAGCATAGAGCAGGCATTGTTTCACAGCAATTTTGAAACTGAGTCAGGCACATGTTGCCAATTCTCCTTTCTCTGAGGGAAGGTAACGTTTGGGCCAAGTTCTCATCCTCAGGAATTCCTCTTTTAGGTATTTTGCTCCAATGGCTGGGGACTTAGCTATGTGTTATTGTCTATTTTTTTTTCAACAAAGAAAAGGCTTACACTTCAACTGAGAAGTTTTCTCAGTTTATTTCCTATGTTTCACTGGCCCAATGACATCTTTATATTTTAAAGTGTCACTGTCCCTTTGAATCTAAACTAGCAGTTCTTCTGTTTATGTAATTCTCCTGAAAATGCTATACGTTTTTTAATCTATGAAACTTATCGGCATTATGTCCTTTAACAAAAGCCATAACAATAACCCTTTTTGCGATAGGCCACTGTCTACTTTGGGCTATGTGTCAGGGTACAGAATTACATGCCATTTAGATACTTGGAGTCCTTTTGAATAGTTAAGTAAATTTATAATTCAATTCCTTTGTTGTTGATTTTTTAAATTAAAATGCTTATTAAAGGGTCTTCAGTCTATACTGTTGAGTTTACCTTGATGTTTTAGGGTCAGTCAGTGCCTTTGATTAGACATCTTCTGACGCCCAGGCCTTTCCTTACACTGAGAATTCTTTTTCTTCCTCTGCTAAAGAAGCTGATAATGAGAAATAGTTTTGCTTTCCAATCCCACAAAAGTACTCATTTAGATATGTTATCACCTTCCATATCAAATAGTGTTGCAAAACATTCTTCCATATATAATATGGCCCACCTTATTTTCAACCCCAATAACAATATTCTTATTGTCTTTCCAACATTCGATGCCAGTTTTTTTTTTTTTACAGTCAATGCAAGGTAAAATATCTTAGATTTTTATACAGTAACACCCTAACTCTAGCACTATTAACTGTATTTGATAGGATTCGTCCAAGGAAGTAGAGCCAGTATGAATATTATGGAATAAGGAATTCATAATATAAAATCTCACAAACTATATCAGAAGCTAGGAAAGTAGAAGAATCCAAAGTTGAAAAATTAGACGAAAATTTGGTAACAAGACTCGAGGAATATGGGCATAGGTAGGTAAGTTAGTAAGTAATGGAGAATCTAGGACACCTGCAACTGGAGTGGGGCTATGAAGAAGATGTTGTAGAATAGCCTATGGAAATAATGTTGCGTCTATACATTTCTATGGCCATAGTCAGGTGTTCAATGGTGAGCTTGGGGCCTCTATGCTCAGCAGGGATGGCAGTTAGGAGGAATATCTGGCTGTCAACAGGACAGCAGGGCAACCTGAAAACTTCCTGTATGTCACTGCATCAAATAATAGTGATCTTCAGGAAATAATGACTGCTGCTTTAACTCTACCTTCTACATATCACAAAAAAATTAGTTTTTCAGCCAATTGTAATCCAAACAAAGCCACAGGATTACAATAAATTTCAAGTTTAATATGTCAGAAATTAACACAGCTAGACATTAGCTAAAGCGGTGAGAACAGATTTTATTCAGTAACTACTGACAGTAGGGAAAGAGCTGAGCTGCATCTCAATTTTGCAGAGGGGACTGGACATTTTAAAATAAAACTGATAGAAGGGAGATAGCAGAGGTCCAGTAGATTCAAAGAAGTGAAAAATTACAAAGGATTGGTCAATGTGAATGTGGTGGGGCCAGCTGTGTCTACTAGCTGACAGTTATCAAGTGAGAATTCTAGCTTCCCACAGAGACTGGAAGATAGAGGCCCTGTCTTCCCAATGATTATATTTAAAAAAAAAATGACTCTTGGACCTTTGAGAGACATACTTCTGAGTTGTAAAAAATACACATTTACAATGGCAAGATGTTTTAAGTAAATGCTCCAAGAAAGGGAGGCCATTTGTCAGGTATCACCTACAACAAATAAATAGTAAGTTCCCTGGCAGTGTAGATCTTTCTTAGGCGGATATTTTAATGGAATGCTAGGGCCATCGAGGAACATGGCCTTATGCTGCTAGAAGCCATGCTAGGGTTTGATCAAGTCTCTTGGTGTCGGGATTTGGACAGCGTTGTTGTGTTCTTAGACAAAGCTGATCCAGTAGGAACTGGGGCTGTCAATTTAGGAAGGCCATTGCATAGATAAATCAATTGTATTTCTATAGGCCAATCACAGTTGGAAAGTTAAACTTTAGGAAATTATAAAATTTAAAATAACATCCAAGCATGTCAGATATCTTGGGGGAATATCCAGAATAAAAGATATCTTTAAATCTTTAAGAGAAAACAAGAAAATGTTATTGGATGAATTTAGGACAAACTAAACCAATGGTAGGATGTACCATGTTCATGTAGTTAAAGACTCAATTTTGTAAGACATCAGTTCTTCCCAACTTGATCTATGGCTTCACCTTTTTCTGAGTAAAATTTCAGTAAGCATTTGTTTTTGTAATTTTTCAAATGATTCTGAAACATCTATGACTATAAGAATACAGAGTAATAGAAAACTAACGAAAGTGTCTTTATTTAAATTCTTAGAGACAGGTAAACTTTGGAATTTGCTAAATACAAATTAAGTGTATTGAATTTCATTCTGAGTACTTAAAACTCTTAACTTGGGATGTGAGTAGTGGCTCATGCCTGGAATTGCAGCACTTTGGGAGGCTGAGAAGGATGGATCACCTGAGGTCAGGAGTTCAAAGCCAGCCTGACCAACATGGTGAAACCCCATCTCTACTAAAAATACCAAAATTAGCCTGGTGTGGTGGCACATGCCTGTAATCCCAGCTACTCAGCTCAGGAGGCTGAGGTGGAAGAATTGCTTGAACCGGGGAGGCAGAGTTTGCAGTGAGCTGAGATCACGTCATTGCACTCCAGCCTGGGTGACACAGTGAGACTGTGTTTCAAAAAAAAACAAACAACAACAACACAAAAAAACTCTTATCTTTATGTCACTGAATTAAAGTGCCTATATGTATGTATATTTCCTTAGATATTCAGTTGTCAAAAAATACATTTTGCTGTGAAAATGTGTGATTTCACTAGAGTCTTACATTCCCATTTTACATGAGTGAGAAATAATTCATTCAACAATTCCATTCGATAGCTGTTTAAAAAGTGATATAAATGTGAATGTAAAAGGAGCTCTACATTTGATTTTTGTTTCAATATTTATACTGAAACTGAGCTATCAAAAGATCATGTGTAATCACAAGACTGTGCAGTTGCCTCTTAGTGCAGACTGAATAAACATTAAATAACCTGTAATACAAATTTAAAGCATATATTTATCCCTTGTTTTCTCATTGTTAAATTAAAATTGATGAGAAATAGATTTTATAGAAAACAATTTTTTTTTACTGATCATGGGATAAGAACTTGAATGTAAGCCATCACATCAAGAAGCTACTTTCTCCATATAGTCATAAAAGCCTAATATCAGAAATCCACCAAGCACAGCTCCTGAAGGAAGGGTGGGAGTAGGAGAAAGACACAGAAGATTAACAAAACTTACATATTGAAAAAATAAAAACAAGTCAAAAGGGAAACTTGTTAAGAATTGTTTTTAATATTCCATTAATAAAGATAACTAGAATATCAAGTGTTCCTTATGTTGATATACTGCCATAGGTGTATGTACTCTTATATTCTCTAGTTCACATATTTATTTTTACATTATTGGTCTCCACTGAGAATGATACTCAGCCCATCCCTCCACAGGAGACACTGGACAGCATCTAGAGACCTCCTCTCACTGTCTTACTCCCATCCCCGGATGTCCTCGACATGTTTCAAATTACCCACAGTGCTATGAGAATTCATGATGCTTCATTTAGGAAAGAACATATCATTCCTGGACCTAGGGAAAGTTAGTTTTTCGTTATGAAGATGGATATGTTGCAACTCTGAAAAATTCCTTATTAGGATTTTTAAAAATAATATTTTTTATTTACAATCTATATACCCAACAAAGGTCTAATATACAGAATCTGTAAGAAACTTAAACAATTCAATAAGCAAATAATAATAATAATAATAATAAAATAACCCCATTATAAAGTGAGCAAAAAACATGAGCAGATACTTCTCAAAGGGGACATGTAAGCAGCCTACAAATACATGAAGAATTGCTCAGCATCGCTAATCATCAGAAAAATGCAAATCAAAACCATGATGAGATACCATTTCACACCAATCAGAATGGCTATTATTAAAAAGTCAAAAAACAACAGATGTTGGTGAGGCTGTGGCGAAAAGGGAACATTTATACACGGTTGGTGGGAATGTAAATTCATTTGGTCACTGTGGAAAGCAGTTTGGAGATTTCTCAAAGAATTAAAAACAGAACTACCATTCAGCCCAGCAATCCTATTACTGGGTATATAGCCAAAAGAAACCAAATTATTCTACCAGAAAGACACATGCACTCACATGTTCATGGCAGCCCTATTCACAATACCAAAGACATGGAATCGACCTAGGTGCCCACAATGGTGGTTTGGACAAAGAAAATATGGTGCATATACACCATGAAATACTATCCAGCCACACACACACACACAATAAAATTATGTCTTTTGTAGAAATACGGATCCAGATGGAGGCCATTATGCTATGCAAATTAATGCAGAATGGAAAACCAAATACTGCATGTTCTCACTTATAAGTGGGGCCTAAATATTGGGTACTCACTGACGTAAAGATGGAAACAATGGACACTGAGGACCACTAGAGAGGGGAGCGAGAAAGCGGGGAAAGAGTTGAAAAACTAACTTTTGGGTACTGTGTTTCGTACCTAGGTGATAGGATCAATCGTACCCCAAACCTCAGCATTACACAATATAGCCATTTAACAAAACTGCCCATGTATCCCCTGAATATAAAGTAAAAATGATGAAATTAAAACAATAATACTTTTTTTATTGTTTTCTCAGTTCCCCTCCTGATATTTCTACATGTAAGGCATTACACACTTAAATAATTAATTTGAGTCATTTCTTACTTTATTCTCTCCAAATTTTATATCTTTAGAAACAAAAACCTTGATTATTACTCATGAATGTAACTTACCAAGTATTCACTAAGGGGCCAAGGGAGATATCAATAAAACTATAAAACTTCCTTATTGCAGCTATAGGGAACACAGATAATAAACAAATGTGCTATAGATAAATAAATAAAAACACACATATACAAAACTATCTGTTATATAATGCACACACATATATTTTGTTTTTGTCATGCTAAATATGTGATTTTTAGTAGACATCAAGGTGGGGAGACCTAGCAAGCAGTTTGAAATAAAGTGCTGGGGCTGGGAACGGTGGTTCACTCCTGTAATCCCAGCACTTTGGGAGGCCGAGGCGGGCAGATCACGAGGTCAGGAGATCGAGACCGTCCTGGCTAACACGGCGAAACCTCGTCTCTACTAAAAATACAAAAAAAAATTAGCCGGGCAAGGTGGCGGGCGCTTGTAGTCCCAGCTACTTGGGAGGCTGAGGCAGGAGAATGGCCTGAACACAGGAGGGAGAGAGAGAGAGAGAGAGAGAGAGAGAGAGAGAGAGAGAGAGCTGGATAAAATAACATTAGAGATATTGATTAATGAGTCAATATTTTAAAATACATAGTGAAAAGGAAGGAAGGAAGGGCTGGATAAAATAACATTAGAGATATTGATTAATGAGGCAATATTTTAAAATACATAGTTAAAAGCACTGGTTGTTTCGAGGAAGACTAAGGTAAAAGGTACCGGGACAAAGACAACACAAGGAAGCTAAGGAAATAAAATAGGGAAAATAAGTGAATTAAAAGAAGAATTGGGAAAGTAATATTGTGGAAATTAACATTATATTTTAAGAAATCAATATTCCTTTATTCCTTTTTTTTCAGGAAAAGTAGAACCAAAGAGTCAATTTCAACTACTTTTTTTGTTAAAAGATTACATATGTGTCTCTAGATATACAATCTGTGAATGAATAAATGCATATCTAAATGCATATCTAAATGCATTTCTAAATGCCTATCTAAAATACCTCCAAGATCTAATACAGTCAGAGGCTTGAAGATATACCATTGTCTTTGTCAAAATAGTTTCAGTGGAACACTGAAAAGGGGAAGTAAGAGTGCAATTATTTGAAGAGTGACTGCAGAGTTAGAGAATGGGGAAAGCGGGGAGATGTTGGTCAAAGGCTATAGAGTCTCATTTATGTGAGATGAATACGTTCTGGAGATCTGATGTACAGAACAGTGGCTACTAAAAATATTGTATTGTTTACTTAAAATCTGCTGATAATAAACCTCCCATCACATACACAGATAAAGTCACTATGTGAGGTGATACATATGTTAGCTTGATTGTGATGATTATTTCATGATGTTATGTTTACCAAAATATCAAGTTCTACACTTAAATATATATACTTTTTATGTGTCAATTATACATCAATAAAGCTGAAGAAAAAAGTAGATGAAGATTATTATCGGTATTCTCAGAATGGAAATAGAAAACAAAGAATACATAGGAATAAGAGTAAAGGCAAATGTTCCTCAGAGCTTGGCTAATTGACTAGAACTGTGTTTTAAAATTTGATGTTAAAGGCTGCCAGTGAATCTTGCTTAGACTGCACATTCTTTGGGAAGTAGTCATTGACATTTCTGTTGTCCTTGACTTGGCTAGATCACTCTGATGTTTTTTCTCTACTTAACCCATTTCAGAGTTTATTACGGGGCTTTGTATTTTTTTCCTTTTCTTTGCCAGATCGCTTATGCTAAGGGCAGTGATGGTTTCCATCGTGGTCAGCATTGTATCCCCGGCGCCTAGCACAGCACACAAAACAGAGCATGTGAACAATTATGCCTTTCTGCTTAGAGAACAATAATAGGCTTGAATTAAGAAAGAAGGACTTTGCTGGGAACATTTATACAATATTTGGGGACCTTTATGCTGAGGCAAAGGATGAAGGAGAGAACGAAGAATGCTAATAAAAAAGCCAATTAAATTATTCACCATATTCCTAAAGTAATTATGGAAAAAAGCAAAATTTGCTGTGAGCTCCTCAATGAGTGTAAATTTCAACTGGCTCAAAAACAAGCGAGAATACAGTGCAATTGAAAGACTTCTGACTGTAGTCAAAAGTGAGATATTAATGGCAATTCTGGAGTAAGTTCATGAGTTGGCCATGGAGAGTTCAGCTGAAGTTTATAGCAGTTTAACAAAATAGAGGCAAAGGAAATAAAAAACTATGCTTCAGGAGCAGCATATTTATCACATTAAAATTTCCATAAGACACTTGTAATCCCAGCACTTTGGGAGGCTGAGGAGGCGGGTGGATCACGAGGTCAGGAGTTCAAGACCAGCCTGGCCTAGATGGTAAAGCCCCGTCTCTGCCAAAAATGCAAAAATTAGCCAGGTATGGTGGCGGGCGCCTCTAATCCCAGCTACTCATGAGGCTGAGGCAGAATTGCTTGAACCCAGGGGGCAGAGGTTATAGTGAGCCGAGATCATACCACTACACTCCAGCCTGGGCGACAGAGTAAGACTCCATCTCAAAAACAAAAACAAAACAAAACAAAAAAATTCCAATAAGATAACAGGAGTTTTAAAGTTCCAGCCTTCTAGGTTCCTAAAGGTAAATATGCAGGTTTAAATTCTTCAGATGACATGATTAAAATCACTGGAAATACCTGTTTCATTTTCTTTAATATACACTTATTTTATGCATGTAATTATCTGTCCATTTTTTCATGATTTTTTCTATCAATTTATTTCAGCTTCTTTATTTTTCAAGACCCAGATAAAAGAATATTTTTCCTTTTTTTTTTTTCTCCAATGCAATGTGTAGTATTGCCAGAGATTAGGCCAACTATAAAGTTAGAAGAAACACAGTCTTCAACAACACCTGACTGCCTTCCCTTCTCACATCAATTGCAAATCCAAGAGACTTACTACAGGGACTCCAAGAACCCACTATAGGTTATCATATTCATGGTTATGATTTATTATAGGAAACAGATACAGATTAAAATCAGTCAAAGAATGAAGCTAAGAGGGCAGAGTCTGGGGAGAGCCAAATGCAGAGCTTTCATTGTCTTCTCCCTGTGGAGTCAGGAGGTGTTACTCTATCAATGTGTAGTAATACCCACAGAGTACTGCCAAACAGAGAAGCTCACCTCAACTTCAGTAATTAGTTGTTCCCAAGTCTCTAATTGCTCACCTGGTTGACCTAATTCAAATGATGCTGTATGGATCAAAGCCCCGCCGTTTATTACACTGTTGGTCATTTCTATCCTGATCACACCCCAGCCTAATCCAGTGTGGCCAGCAACCACCCCACACAAAGACACACCTGGCTGGCATTACATTCCAGGGAGATTCTGTTCCAAAAGGCAAGGGCAAAGACCAGATCTCTTTTTGTGCGAAGGTAAATTCCTTATGAGTACATTTACCAAAGTTTATGTTTAGTTTATAATTTTAAGAATTTACATCAGATTTCTGTGATTGTAGACAGAATTGTTTGTAAAGTCATTTGTTCTATTATTCTGCTGAAATATTAACAAATCCTCACTAGGAACATGGAAAAAGATCCAGTCCCAAAGGAGAAGGTGGTATTTGGACACAGTCCCACTTACATGCCAGCCCTAAGATTTGCTTTGGCCACTTCACTATCTTTGGCATATCAGAGAGTTAATTAAATTATATGCTTTTCTTATAGAATCATTTGTACAGCTCCTATGATTAATCTTCCACAGCCATTTTTTGTAGTAATTTAAAATTAGACTTTAATGTAGTTAGCTTATTTTTATTGTATGTGTTCTGTGGTATTAGAAAAATGCCACTCAATTTATTGAAATTTAATTCAAATATTGTTATCATCCATAAATCTTACCTTTATTTAGTAAAGGCCTTGCCATCATGGGATGTTTTTCCATTAGAAACTTTGACAAATGCCTTGTAACCATAGAAATGATTTGTGAGACAGCAGGAGTAGCCAAAATAGATTAAATTAATGTGTTAGGTTTAGTGTTCACACAGCATGCTTTACTTTAATTGATTACTCTGTGACCAAATTTAAATTACTAATATAAGTGCTGATAGAGGAAAATGAAATTTTAATAAAACACCCTTTGTATCATAGTAGCAGATTAATCTAAGTGAAAAAGCTATCATTTGTAATAAGCTTTTAAAGCTACTTTGATATCTTAAATAGAGGCAAGGTTAAAGAGCTTATAAATACAAAGAGCAGAATACGTTGAAATAATTTAACAAAAAGTCTCTGCAATTAACTTTGACTTATGCATTTACACTTTAAAACTAAGTAATATAATTAAATCAAGAAGTGGAAATAAATTTTTTTCTAGTCTTGAAATTGCAAAAGATTCATTTGTCAACAGGTTATTTAAAATAAAATGATATCAACAAATATCACAGAAGGAGTAAATGAAAACATAATTAATGAACTTTATAACTGAGTCTCAGAGTCCATTGATTCTTACATGTATATAATCTTAGTATAAATAATTCATGGATAATGTACATTTAGTTATCAAATCATCAATCATCCTCATCATCAAATAAAAGTTTTTGAAATATGGTTCAAATAAATAACATTGATAAATATTACCACATCATAACAATGACAAAAACAAAAATACCCATAATTATACAAATAAGAAAATGCCTCGTATGGCAATATTGATAGTAAAAGTGAAGTAACATTACAGGTAATAAAAGATATTTTATGCACTCATAAGTCATATCTCATCTAAATTCCAGATACTTTTATAATTATTAACTTCCTTCAATTTTTAACTTGAAGGTATGTTACAGAAAGTAATTCTCTGTATGCTATGAAATAAATAAAAAATGTAGTAGTCTCATGGGTTATTATGACTGTAGTACTTCAATTGTGTCTTTGGCTCCATTGAATTTAATATACCACACGTTAAAACTGAAAATAAATGACTGGGAAGAAAACAAATTACTGGGTTTCCTCCTGCTCCCCATTGTTTCTTCTGAAGTGACTCAGGGAGAAGATGGCAATGTTAGTATGTTACTACTGAAAAACAGAAGGTACAATCAGAGGCAGCTACAATAGGCATGCATTCATTGCAGCCACACACTTAAAGGGACTCCACACTTGGTTCAATGTTCCACTGTTGCCATCTTGAAATTTTTAAGAATCTTTGCACAAGGGACCCTGCATTTTCATTTTGCACTATGCCCACCAAATTTGATAAGCAGTCCTGTATACATAGACAGCCGTAGATAGTGTTAAACTGTGTAGGTGACATTAATGTGGAAATTTGTCATTTCTGTGTAAGAGAAACAGTGATTGGGCATCACTGCTGGCCATGTAGAATAAATGAACCATTCACTTCAGGAATACTTGATGAGAACATGACTGTTGTCTAAAGCTCTGAATAAGTCCATAACCTCCATTTTATTCCTTTCTATGAAGTCTGGCTCTGCTGAGAATATTCCCACTGGCACACTAGTAAAGAGCCCATTCATGACAAACAAAAAATAGAAGGCGTGCTAATATCAATATTTCAGGAAAATTCAAGGGAAAAATTAAATTCACTACAAAAAGGATTGTTCTATAATGGTAAATGCACAATATAATATGAATGCAAACTATTTTAGTATCATGGGAACATGATTAATACGGAGTCTTACAATGTAAGTGTAAATCTTTAATTCATCTCTCAAAATAATATAATATCAGAAATGATACAGATTTTGAAGAACATAATTAATAATCCTGAGTTAATAAGTTTATGTGGAAATTTATAAATTAGATCAAATAGACATGTAAAGATTTCTCACATGTTCAGTAAGCATTCAAAATTGATGTTCTCAAGGCTATAAATAAACTATAATCAATTACTAAAATTAGAAAGAGACTATAGTCTCTGGCTTCAGTGCAGTAACTCGAGAAATTAATAAGCTTAATACCACACACAATAACCTCTGAAAATTATAATATAAATCTCATCTATATAACTCTATTTGCTCTGAGAGGAAATCAAAATCAAAATAACTATTTATAATTAAGGACTTGCAGAACAAAACATAACAAATATGTAATATATATATAAAGATCTAGTCAAAGAAAACATGAAAAAATATAAATGTTTTTATTATTAACAAGAGAGATTAAATATGTGTCATGTCATTAAATTTAAATTTATTTATTGGAAAATACTGGAAAAAAATTTAATTAAACAAGAACTAGATAACATTCAATGTTTGCATATTATTAATATATGTCAACATTTTTGAACTAGTCAGGGTCTTCTGGAGAAACAGAACCAACCAGCCAACAGGAAATGTATATATTTATATTTATATATAAAGAGACTTATTATGAGGAATTGACTCACATGATTATGGTGGTTGAGAAGTTCCGTAATCTACCACATACAATCTGCTGAAGACACAGGAAAGCCAGTGATATAATTTCTAGTTCCAGCCCCAACACCTGAGAACAAGAGGTGCTGATGGTGTAAGTTTCACTCCAAGGAAAGGAGACCTATTTCTCAACTCATGCAGTGGTAGTGCCAGATAAAAGGAACTATAACTGATTCTTCAAAAAGCCATTCCACCATTCTACATCAGGCCAGCTACAAGATGTTGGGAGACATGATAAGAGTAGTCCCATTAACATGGGCCAGTTGCCACACTTTTTTTTTTCAAGCTGTGAAATGAAGCATTAAAGAATCATAATCAGTTCTGTGTAAAATTACCATAATGGTGAAGAAGGTATTCTATAAGTCCAAGGATGGTAATTCTTTTGAAGTATAGCATACCACCTCATGGGTTACATGTTGTATCTTACCTTTAGGGGTCTGCTGGGAATTAAATCTAGTTATATGTGTAGAAGCAGAGAGAGGTGGTGGAGATTGGTTCTGAGGTGAAAGCATTGTCTTGCCTGACAACTTTCCTAGGAAAAGCCACTACAGTTTTCTCAGGCAAGGAAGGATTAATCCCCTTAGATGGGGTGCAGAGGTTGATACCACTGAGAATGGGGAAGCCTCTTCCACTGGCAGAAAAGACTTGTTAGAATCCATGAGCTCAATTTCTTCTGCTTTGTCAGGGTCTTCCCATATATCTCCATCACAACTGACAGGATCCCATTATTTTCCAATTAATGCCCTGACAAATCCCACGAGGCTTGGAGTTCAACTTGCATTGTTATTCAGCCAGTCACATAATGAGATTCTGTATTTGATTTTCAACAATCCAAGTCCTGTGGCTACTGGAGATAAGAGTCTCTTTCCAAGCACACATAGAAGATTTTAGTTCACTTATGTGCCACTCGAGCTAGGAATTCAAACCTCCGAGTTCATTATTTTCCTTCACCAATTTGTCCAGTGATGTTAGGAGCAACCAGTTAGCCTCATGATATTCATTAGTTTTCCAAACATGTTTGAAAACAGTTTTTTAAACTGTTTATATACACAATGTCCCAGCTCCTTGCTTCTTATAAGTGGTTGATTAGGAGTACTCAAAGGAGATATTTTGGATATCTCTGCTACCAAATCATGCCACAGATCATTGGTGCTATCATTGCTACAAGAAACAGAATTGTGTGATGGTTACTTTTATGTGTCAACTTTGGATTAAAGGATACCCAGATAGATGGTAAAGCATTATTTCTGAGGATGTCTGTGTATTAGTCCGTTCTCATACTGCTATAAAGAATACCTGAGAATGCATAATTTATTTAAAAAAAGAGGTTTAATTGACTATCAGGAAACTTACAATCATGGCGGAAGGTGAAGGGGAAGCAAGACATGTCTTACGTGGTGAGGGGAGACAGAAAGAACGTAGGAGAAAGTGCCACACTTTTTAAATAATCAGATCTTGAAGAACTCACTCACCATTTTGAGAACAGCATAGAGGAAACCACCGCCAAGATCTGATCACCTGCCATCAGGTCCCTCCCTCCACATGTTGGGATTACAATTCAAGATGAGATTTGGATGGGGACACAGAGCCCATCCATATCAGCCTGTTCGGGTGTTTCTGGAAAAGACTGGCATTTGAATTAGTGGATTGAGTAAGGAAGATTCACCCTCATCCAGTGTGGGTGGGTATCATTCAGTTGGCAGAGGACATGAATAGAAAAAAATGGAAGAGGAAAGGTGAATATGTTCCCTCTTCTGAAGCAGGGACAACTTTCTTCTCCTGACATTGAACATCCAGGTTCCTTGGCCTTTGGGTTTTAGAACTCGCATCAGCAGTTCTCCAGGTTCTCAGGCTTTGGCCTCAGACTAAAAGTTACACTACTGGTTGCCCTGGTTCTCAAGCCTTTGGACTTAAGCTAAGCCAAACTACCAGGTTCTTTTGTTCTCCAGCTTCCAGATGACCTACTGTGGGACTTCTCAGGGACTTCTCAGCGTCCACAATCATGTGATCTAAATTCCCCCATATGTATAAATTATGTGTGTGCATCTATCTGTATGTATGTATGTGTGTGTATGTATTCATATATATACAAATGTGTGTGTTCTCTTGCTTCTGTCCCTCTAGAGAACTCTGATATAAGTCATTATCATTTTAAAATCTAATCATATTAGAGTGCCAAATCCAGGAAATCCAGAATAAAATTAGAAAACTCATTCTTAAAATTGTGTTCCTATAGAACCACTCTTGCCCTGTAGGGGCAAAGGATCTCCAAAGAAACAGGACCAATAAGATATACACCTATAAAGACACACACACACACACACACAGACACACACACATACAATTGTTCCTCCGTATCCATAAGTTTAACCAACTGTGGATCAAAGATACTAAAAAAAATGCATTTGTACTGAACATGTACAGACATTTTTTCTTGTCATTATCCCTTAAAGAATACAGTATAACAACTCTTGCAGCACATTTACATTGTACTTGGTATTATAAGAAATTTAGAGATGATTAAAAGTATACAGGAGGATGTACATAACTGTATGCAAATACTCTCACATTTTATATTAGGATCTTAAGTATTTAAGAATTTTAATATCCATGGAACCAATCATCCACAGATACTGAGGGACAACTGTACATAGATAGGGGGAGATAAATTTTTATGAGACATTAGCTCCTATGATTACGGAGACTGAGAAGTCTCATGTTCTGCCATCTGTAAGCTGGAGACCCAGGAAAGTGGGTGATATGGTTCCAGTCTGAGTCCAAAGGCCAAAGAATCAGGATAACCAATATTGTAATTTCTAGTCCAGTTCTGAAAGCTTGAGTAGGCTGAGGGACTGGGAAGCAGGAGGAACACTAATGGTGTGAGTCCTGGTCTTAGGGCAAAAGAAGACCAATGCCCTAGCTCAAGTAGTCAAGTGGAGAGAGTGAATTCTCATTGCATCTGCTTTTTTTTCTATTTAAGCCCTCAATGAATTAGATAATGCCTAGTCACATTGGGGAGGGCAATTTGCTTTACTCAGTGTAGTGATTCAAAAATTAATCTCTCCTGGAAACACTCTTGCAGACACATCCAGAAATAATCTTTAACAATATCTGAGTATCCATGGCCCAGACAAGTAAACACATGAAATTAACCATCACAGCTCTTCTAAAAAATTACATAAATTATCTATTTCAGTGCTGAATGATACTATTGTTTATTCACCTTTGAGCAAACTCAAGGACAGAGAGGTTAAGTACCTTTCCCAAAGTCACATAGCTGTGACAATGGAAGAGCTAGTTTATGAATGCAGTCAGGGTAGGTCTGTAACCTGGGCTGTTACCCTATAGACTCCACCCTCAATAAATAGTAAAATAGCCCACACTGACTACATGTTTTCCACTCAATGGCCCTTATTCTAAGTGGTCTAGACATTTTAATGCATGAAATAAAAGAATAAATGAAAAGAGAACAAATGAAAACATAAAACTACAACATGTTAGGACTGTTATGCTCCACATGGACAGTGTTCCTATTGCTTCAATTACAATTGTACTCTTTGGGGACATAAACTATTGTCCAGTAATTTTTATTTTATGGATAGGCAGGTTATTTTAGGTAATCTTTCTCACCCTCTTTACTTTTTATTGTTGGTGGAGGGTTCATTGGATTTAGATGTAAATGAAACCCTCGTGGAAACAACAGGAAACAGAAATCTTGGAACTGAAATAAAGCCCACATCAGCAGATGCTGGGAAGCAAAAAATCAAGTCTAAGGAAATACAATAGGTTTAGTCTATTAAAGATATCACCAGTAGTACCTCTGCCAAGACAGCTATGAGAGCTGCCACAGCTAAACCTACCATAGCTATTACTGCTGCATTCACTGTGATGGCCCAATAAACAAACCTCTCCCACACTCTTCAGTCCCCATTGAGAGGCCACATGAAAGGGTGAATGTCCTGTTGGTTAAGACTGGGTACAAGTCTGGCCATAGCACCCAATGAAGTAGCTGCTACCTCTACTTCTGCAAGAGGTATTAAGTGAGAAATATATAATTGGCATAAAAATCCTCCTCTGTTAGTACATACATAATAAAAGAGGGGTATTTGGCAAGCAGCCTTGCCAGGCAACACCCATGTGCCCAAACAACAAATGCTCACATTTAATAATACATGGTTGTTAGCATCTCTTGTGTTTCCATGAGATTTACAAGGGCAGAAAATATTTTACAGTTATCTTTGTTACCTAAATATATATATTATAATATATATTATAAATATATGTAATACATATTATAATATATAATATTATATATATATTGAGCTGGAGTCTCACTCTGTCACTAGGCTGAAGTGCAGTCGCCCCATCTCGGCTCACTGCAACCTCCACCTCCCGAGTCCAAGCAATTCTCTTGTCTCAGCAGGTGGGACTACAGGTGTGCACCACCACACCCAGGTAATTTTTGTATTTTTAGTAGAGATGGGGTTTCACCATGTTGGCCAGGGTGTACTCAATCTCTTGTCCTCGTGATCTGCCTGCCTCGGCCTCCCAAACCTAAGTAATTTTTTAATTCCTTAGAGACTGGATTAATACTTGAATGAATGAATGATAAAAAGTACCTTTCTTTCTAGAAATTTATACAATGCTTCCACCAAACAAGACACATCTATTAGATATATCAGGGTAATAGCATCATACACAGCATAATTCATATCTTATACAATTCATAGTTGAAAAAAAATTAGTTTGCCTTGTCTATCATCAGAATTCAAGAGAAAACTATATTCATACTGAAAGGCAGCAAAAATGTTAGTATATTGTTTATGTGTTGTTGACACCATGTATCATTTCCTGCAATATGAAGAATGACAAATTGCAAATTACATGACCTGTGAAATACACTGTCATTTACCACAAGCCTTTCTTCATGAGTTTTATATAGTAGGACAAATAGGCTGTCAAAAGAAGAAAGAAGTGACTTATAAAATTGCCATCTAGTTGAGAGGCAGGTTCTTGTATGAACATTCTTTTAAAAAATAAGAATGTTGAATTTTATACATATATTTTTAAATGTTCATGGGTACAAACTCTAAATCCATACAGAGAAAAAGTCATGCAGTAAAGAATATCTATTTTGAAAATGTGAAGTTAGCTCATATTTTGGTTCATTTTAGATTTGGGCTTGAATTTGCACAAGGAATGGATTTGAAATGAAGAGTTTAAACATGATTATTCTTTTACTTGGATCAAATGAAGAGAGAAAAAAATGGCCTTTGAACAATTTGGAGTGAGAGATGCATTGACAGATTCTTTGTGAATTACTATTAAGTAACTTTTCAATAAAATTTACATAACATTCAGAATTCCACAGTAAGTTAAAGAAAAAAATGAAACTGGTAAGATAAAATAACACAAAGGAGATATGAAAAGTCACAATTATTCATTCATTATATGATGCCATATAGGAAAGTGTAAGCAAATAAATAATGTGTGTTTCAATATACTAATATATAGCATTAAAAATGTTTGACTCGCCGAGCGCGGTGGCTCAAGTCTGTAATCCCAGCACTTTGGGAGGCGGAGGCGGGCGGATCACGAAGTCAGGAGATCGAGACCATCCTGGCCAACACGGTGAAACCCTGTCTTTACTAAAAATACAAACATTTAGCCGCGTATGGTGGAGGGTGCCTGTGGCCCCAGCTACTCGGGAGACTGAGGCAGGAGAAAGTCATGAACCCGGGAGGCGGAGCTTGCAGCAAGCCGAGATAGCGCCACTGCACTCCAGCCCGGGCGACAGAGCGAGACTCCATCTCAAAAAAATAAATAAATAAGTAAAGTTTGACTCAGAAAAATTCCTTCTATAATAGAGATCCATGAAATTTTATATGTAAGTTCTGCTTTAATCAATTTACAAATGAAACTTTAAAATTGTCGGGAATAAATTTAATTCGTTCATTCATTATTTCAACATTGTGAAGAAGAGATTTCACAGGCCAAACAGAATCAGAATTCAGTTTATTTTACTGACTTAGAGGGACACACATGAATTTTGAAAATTTAAAATACAGTTGGCCCCTGTACAATGCTGTGGTTAGAGTCACTGATCTTATACAGTTGACAATCCGCACATAACTTTTGACTCTCCAAAATCTTAATCACCATTAACCTACTGTTGACTGGAAACCTTACCGATAACATAAACAGTTGATTAACATATATTTTGTATATGTGTTATATACTCTATTTTAACAATGAAGTTAGAGAAAAGCAAATGTTACTAAGGCATCATAAGGAAGAGAAAATATATTTACTCTTTACTGAGTGAAAAAAGAGCATCATAAAAGTCTTCATCTTCATCATCTTCACATTGAGTAGGTTGAAGAGGAGAGCAAGCAGGGAGTTTGCTGTCTCAGGGTGGCAGAAATGGAACAGGTGCAGAAGGTAGAAGGGGAGACAGGAGAGGCAAGAACAGTCATTGTAACTTTACTGAAAAACTTCATATAATTGTGCCTGTGCAGTTTAAATTTGTATTGTTCAAGAGTCAACTGTACAAGTAAAATTGTTTCTTTGAGAAGTGACTCCCTGTCCTCTTTATTTTGATTACTTTAGAGATGTGATAAACTTGCAGACATATTTTCAACCATAAATTCCACTTTTTGTTAGATTTCTTAAGATGGCATTTAGATTATAATCATTAATTTGGATATTACAAATATCCCACATGGAAAGGCAGGTTTCAGTCCCATCCAGGGCAGTGAAGTTGGTTGATCTGTAAGATTAAGGATTGGCTGTGGTGAACTTAAGGGCATTGCCTGACCAGAACCAATGGGATGAAATGTTAAGTCTGGGAAGACTCAGAAAACTGTCAGTTGCTGTAAAAATACAGACGTGGTTGCATCACTAAAGCATCAGTCACACGGTGGTCCATAACACCTGGAACTTGAATAACACTTAAACCATTTTATTTCAATCACATTTTGATTTATTTTTTTTTACTTCTGTTAGTGCTATTCTTATAGATTTCTGATTTTTTCTTTTTACATGGAATGAACCTGTCAAATATGCCATACAGTTTTCAAAACTGCCTTTATGTTTACCGTTGCAATAATTCTTGTGATTAGTTAAGGAAGAGATTTTTTTTCTTATTTCTGGAGATTAGTCGTTAGGTCCATAGTTGTTTTTTTTTTGTTGTTGTTGTTGTTTTGTTTTCTGTTTTTGTTTTTCCCCTCTTTTGTTCCTCTCCAGCAAGAAAGTTTTTATCTACAGACAGTATTTTCATGTTTCCGTGTGCCTTCTATTTGACCCAAATATTTAACAATTATATTTTGTCAGCTGGATTCATTGAATCTGTCTCTTTCTCTTAATCACGCTGCTTTAATCATAAGATAAAGTATGTAGTTATTGGAATGGGGGCAGTTTATCAAAAAATTATTAGTAACAGGTGAATGGAGCAAATGGGAATTAGCTATCAAGAGAAATAGAGCTCTAAAGAATGCAAGAAAACCAATATAGAAAGCAACCAGTGGTCTTAGAGCTAATGTATAGTACAAAAGGAAGGAATACATTTAGGAGAGTTCCTCTTCTCCCATACTCCACCCTCCTCCTCATGCCTCTCCCACTAGGTCAGGCCTCCTGGAGCAGGTGTGGCTGTAGCCCAGCAGATAGTGGAGGAGTTCACTAACATTCCACAGGGTGAGGCTGGCAAGACGGAAATTGCCTCCTCTGGTGTAAAGGAAACAGGAAAAGCTGCATTTGGGTTAGGTGGAGTGCAGTTGAACTTGCTGGGAAGCTGGCTAGCATACACTTAAGGATGCTATTGAACTTGATGTCAAATCAACTTCAGACCCAGAGAACTAGCTCTCAAGTTGACTTCAGCTATTTGCTGAGGCTTGCTCTAGCTTCAGTGTTCTGAACAACAGGCGAGCACCTCTGTGACAAAAAGAAAAGAAGACACACGCGGACAAGAAGCCCCTTCCCCATGCAATATCCTTCTAGTGTCCTTTACTGTCAAAACTTAACATCTTTCGAGCTCGTAAAGAAGGAATGCTTACAAAAAAATAATTATTAAGGATTTAATACTGAAAAATCATTCAAGACTTAGTATTTTATCTTCAACCAAGGCAATATCATTCAGGACATAGGAACGGACAAAGATTTCATGAGAAAGATGCCAAAGCAATTGCAACAAAAGCAAAAATTGATAAATTGGACCCAATTAAACTAAAGAGCTTCTGCACAGCAAAGGAAATTATCAACAGAGTGAACAGACAGCATACAGAATGGAAGAAAATGTTTGCAAACTATGCATCTGACAAAGGTCTAGTATCTACCATCTATAAGGAACTTAAACAAATTTATAAGAATAAAATAACACATAAAAAAGTGGGCAAAGGACATAACAGACACTTTTCAAAAGAAGACATACGTGGCCAACAATCATATGAAACAAAGCTCAACATCGCTGATCATTAGAGGAATGCAAATTAAAAACTGTAAGGAGATATCATCCCAAACCAGTTAGAATGGCTGTTACTAAAAAGTCAAAACAACAGATGATGGTAAGTTCATGGAAAAAAAAATGCTTATAAATTGGCTTATACATTGTTGTTTGGATTATAAACTGGTTCAAACATTGTGGAAGACACTGTGGCAATTCTTCAAAGCCCTAAACAGGAATACCATTCGACTCAGCAAACTCGTTACTGGGTATAATATCAGAAGGAATATAAATTGTTCTGTTATAAAGACACATACATGTGTATGTTCATTGCAGCACTCACATTCACAATAGCAAAGACGTGGAATAAACCTACATACTCATCAATGATAGACTGACAAAGAAAATGTGGTACATATACACCATGGAATACTATGCAGCCATAAAAAATGAGATCATGTCCTTTGTCAGGAATATGGATGGAGCTGCAGGCCGTTATCCTTAGCAAACTAACACAGGAAAAGAAAACCAAATACCGCATGTACTCACAAGTGGGAGCTAAATTATGAGAGCACATGGACACATAGAGGGGAACAAACACACTGGGGCCTATCTGAGGGTGGATGGTGGGAGGAGGGACAGGATCAGCAAAAATAACTAACGAGTACTAGGCTTAATACGTGGGAGAAGAAATAATCTATACAACAAACCCCCATGACACAAATTTACCTACATAATAATCCCGCACATGCACCCCTGAACTTAAAAGTTTTTTTAAAAGGCTTAGTATCTTATCCTAAGCAGGTTGAAATTTGTGTATTATCACAAAGGCAATGTAGAGAAACTCATTATCTTAAGCAAATAGGCTGAAAAATATCTATTTTTTCAGGTCAAGATGTCGGTTTCAGAAAGTTATGAAAATATCCATAGATTAACATCAAAGAAAGTAATAGAAAAACACCAATGAAAAGAGGAACCAAAATTAATAGAGTGAAATCCAAATATACTGTTGAGAAAAATCAATAAGCTCATTTTTATTTGGTATGCCACATCTTTTTATTGATGTAGTTTATAAGTATCTATAGCTTCTACCCGAAGCTACCAAAGAAGTCAGCAGCCCACATAAGATTACAAAGCATTGTATTATGTATCTATAGGTTTTATTTTATTTTTAGTTGACACAATAATTGTACATATTTATGGGGGAGAGAGTGATATTTTCATACCTCTATACAATGTGTAATGATCAAATCAGTGTAATTAGGACATCCATCACCTCAAATATTTACAATTCCTTTGCATTGAGAACATACAAAATCCTCTTTTCTAACATTTTAACATATATAATAGACTGCTATTAACCATATTTACACTACAGTGCCATAGAACAGTAGAACTTATTCCTCCAAATAGCTGTTATTTTGTGTCCATTAAAAAGCCTCTTCCTATCTTTCCTTCCCCACTGCCCTTTGCAGCCTATAATAACCGAAACTCCACTCTCCACTTCTGTGAGCTCTGTTTTTTTAGCTCCCACACAGGAGTGAGAACATGCAGTATTTATGTCCCTGACTTATTTCACTTAAGATAATGTCCTCCAGGTTTATATATATATAGTCACAAAAGATAAGATTTCATTTATGTGTGTGTGTGCATGTGTGTATATATGGATAGATACATGTATGTATATATATGGATAGATCTATGTGTGTGTATATATATAGATACATATATGTATGGATAGATACATGTATGTATATATGTATATATCTATCTAGTCACATTTTCTTTATCCATTCATTTGTTGATGGTTATTTACATTGATTCTATATCTTGGCTATTGTGAGTAGTGCTGCAATAAACAAGAGGGTGCAACTATCTCTTCAATATACTGATTTCCTTTCTTTTGGATAAATACCCAGTAGTGGGATTGTTGGATCACATGGTAGTTCTATTTTTCATTTTATGATAAACTTCCACATTGTTTTTCAAAATGTCTGTCCTGATTTGTATTCCCACCAGCAGTATATAGGAGTTCCCTTTTCTCTGCATTCTTGACATTTGTCACTTTTTTGATAGTAGTTATTCTAACTGGGATGATATCTTATTATAGTTTTGATTTACATTTCCCTGATGATTAGTGATGTTGAGCATTTTTTTCATATACTTGGCCCTCTGTATATCTTCTTTTGATAAATCTATATTCAGATTCTTTGCCAATTTTAAAATTTGGATTATTTTGGGTTTTATTGTTGAATTTTTTGAGTTTCTTATATATTCTGGGTATTAATCCCTTACCAGATAAATGGTTTTCAAATATTTCCTCCATTCCTGCAGGCTATTTCTTCACTCTGCTGATTGTTTCCTTTGCTGTGCAGAACCTTTTTAGTTAGACATAGTTTCAGTTGTCTCTTTTTTGCTTTTTTCCCTTTTTATCTTACCCATAAAAATCTTTGCCTGGATGAATGTCCTGAAACATTTTTTTCTAGTAGTTTAACAGTTTTGGGTCTCACATTTAAGTTTTTAGCCTCTTCTAGTTGTTTTTTGTATGTTGTGAGAGACAGGGGTCTGGTTCCATTCTTCTGGATATAGGTCTCCCATTTTCCAAACATGATTTATTGAAGAGTGTCCCTTTCCTCAATCGATGTTTTTGGCATGTCATTTGAACATCAGTTGGCTGTAAATATGTGTATTTATTTCTTGATTTTCTATTTTGTTCATTGGTCTGTCGGTTTTAATATCATTACTAGGCTGTTTTGGTTGTTCTTGCTTTGTAGTATTTTTGAAGTAAGGTAGTGTGATGCCCCACTTTTGTTCCTTTTGTTCAGGATTGTTTTGGCTACTCAGGGCCTTTTGTTGTTTCATATGAGTTTTAGTATTTTTTTTTTATTTCTGTGAATAATGACTTGGTATTTTGTTAGTGATTGCATTGCATCTGTAGATCATTTTGGGTAGTATGGTCATTTAGCAATATTAATTCTTCCAACTCATGAGTATGGGATGTCTTCTCATTTGTTTGTATCTTATTCAACTTTTTTATCAGTCTTTTGTTGTTTTTATTGTAGAGATGTTTCACATTCTTAGTTACATTTATGTCTAGATATTTAATTAGTTTTTGTAGCTACTCTAAATGGGCATGATTTCTTAATTTCCTATCCAGAAAGTTCATTATGGGTGTATGAAAACACTACTGATTTTTATACATTGATTATATATCCTGCAATTTTACTGAATTCATTTATCAGTTCAATTTTCATTTATTTGCAGTTTTTTTTTTCTTTTTTCTTTTTTTTTTCTGGAGCCTTTAGGTTTTGCTATGTATAAGATCATGTCATCTACAAAGAGGGATATTTGCCTTCCTCTTTTCCCATTTGGATGCCCTTTATTTTTTTCTCTTCCCTAATTTCTTTGGATCGAATTTTCAGTACTATGTTGAATAAGCATAGTGATAGTGGGCATCCTTGTCTTGTTTGAGTTCTTAGAGAAAAAGCTTCAGTTTTCCTGTTAAATATGATGTTTGCTATGGGTTTCTCATACATGACCTTTACAATTGTTAATGTAACACTGCACAGAAAAGAGGAAAGAAAGATATTTAAAATGAATATAATTTCAAATTATATGTTTATATACATGTAAGACTTTCCCCCAAGCTCACATTATACACTCAGTTCTATTCTAGAGAAAACAGCATATGGAAACATAAAGCTTCCTGAAGATAATATTGTTGAATACCTACCTGACACAAGGTAAGGCGATGCTTTATTGAAGAGGATATTTAAAGCATAGGGAAAAATTAAAATATTGAGAAATTACAATAGATTCAAATAAAGGACTTTATATATTGAAAATATGCTGCTAAGGAAGCTAACAGGCAAACTGCAGCATGGAAGTAGATCTTTAGATATTTACAGTACATATAACTTATAATGTTCTTTAATGCAGAGCATTTTTATGTGTTTACATGCACACATTCATATATATGTGCATGCACATGAGTGTATGTACATATAAGATAAAAAGAATACTTGCTCAGAGATTTCTCAAAGAGAGTATTCAAAAGGACAATACAAATATGCACATAATTTAAATATCATCTGTCTTCAAAAAATGCAAAATAAACCCATAATGGGATACCTTTAAACACACACCTGATTGTTTATATTAAATATTGGATAGAATGTGGAGCAACCAGATCTCTTAGACAACATGTTGAAAAATTATTTGACTGCCAAGCTGATGTATTTTGTATGATGCACCCATTGCATTGCTAAGTATATATCCATCAATTATATGTACATATACACCTTAGACACAAGTCTAAGCATGTTCTTGACTGACAAAACATGGAATTACCCCAAATCCTCATCTAAATTAGAATTGATAAATATTATGATATATTTGCACAGTAAAATAACGTATAGTAATAAAAAGGCACAAATATCTACAGAGTTACATAGTCAACGTCAAAAAGACAATATTGAACAAAATAAAGAGAAATTAACTCATACTGTACAATTCCATTAATATAAGCTAAAAACCAGGGTAAAATAGTTTAGGGTGCTAGAAGGGAAGATAATGGTTAATTTTAGAATAGAGAGTTGGTATGCCTGAATGGAGAAAAGGATGATTCTAGGGTGTGAATAATAGTCTGTCTTGTATATGGTATATATTTTGTCTTCATTTTGTGTATGTTTTTGCACATATTTGATTCTATTAGGGTTCTCCAGAGGGACAGAATTAATAGGATATATGTATATATGAAAGGGAGTTTATTATGAAGAGTTGACTTACATGATAACAAGGCAAAGTCCCACTTAGGACATCTGCAAGCTAGGGAAGAAAGAAGCCAGTAGTGGCTCAATCCAAGTCCAAGGCTTCAAAAGCAGGGAAGCTGACAGTACAACCTTCAGTCTGTGGCTGAAGGCCTGAGAGCACCCAGCAAACCACTGTTGTAAGCCCAAGAGTTTAAAGGTCAAAGAACCTGGAGTCTGATGTCCAAGGGCAGGAGGAACCAAAGGAAGCATTCAGAATGGGAGAAAGATGAAAGCCAGAAGACTCAGCAAGTCGGCTTATCCCACCTTCTTCTGCCTGCTTTGTTCTAGACATGCTGGCAGCAGATTGAACGGTATCCACTCACATTGAGGGTGGGTCTTCCTCTTCCAGTCCACTGACTCAAATGTCAATCTCCTCTGGTAACACACTCACAGACATACCCAGAAACAACACTTTACAGCTATCTAGGCATCCTTCAATCCAATCAATTTGACACTTAAAATTAACCATCACAATGATACTCCAACTAAAATGATTTTTTTTTAATTTTCAGAGATCAGGAAGAAAATAAAAGTAAAGTGAGTGGCACCTATACTTGAATTTCTTGGACCACATATGAAAAATATTTCATATCTATTGTCTATAATTCTTGAAGCACTGCTATATCCAGAACTATTTCTTTAGATGTCAAGATAACCAATATGTCTGATGTTATGAACTGAATGTTTTCATCCCCCCAAAATGGGGGTGGTGAAACATTTCAACATTTGAGTGTTGAAATCCTGATTCCCAATGGATTTGGTATTAAGAGCTGAGGCCTTTGGGAGGTAATCAGGTCGTGACAGTGGAGAGCTCATGATGGGGTTAGTGTCCTTATAATAAGAGACTAGAGAGAGCTTATTTTTTTTTCCTCTCTGTTTCTCTATCTCTGCCATGTGAAGGCATAACCGGAAGACAGCCATTGGCAAATCATGAAGAGTGCCCTCATAAGATACCAGATCTACCGTCAGCACATTCATCTTGGATAAATGTTTGTTGTTTAAACGACCCAGTCTGTGGTATTCTGTCACAACAGCCAAAACTAAGATAACTGGCCATGGGAAGAGCAATTGCAATAAGTTGCAGAGGGGAAGTGAATATTGAAATAATGTAGGGGAAGGGCAAACACAGAATTCAGCAATCGCAAAAAACATTAATTCTAGAATTACTGACTGTCATGGTGGTAGGGACTCTAGAGGGAGCATGAGCACCACCTTGGTTCCAAGTTGAGTGGTGAATTTGTTTGTATGGATGACTTAATTATTTCTTTTTTTAAATTATACTTTAAGTTCTAGGGTACATGTGCACAACGTGCAGGTTTGTTACATATGTATACATGTGCCATGTTGGTGTGCTGCACCCATTAACTCGTGATTTAGCATTAGGTATATCTCCTAATGCTATCCCTCCCCCTTCCCCCCATCCCACCACAGGCCCCGATGTGTGATGTTCCACTACCTGTGTCCAAGTGTTCTCATTGTTCAATTCCCACCTATGAGTGAGAACATGTAGTGTTTGTTTTTTTGTCCTTGAGATAGTTTGCTGAGAATGATGGTTTCCAGCTTCATCCATGTCCCTACAAAGGACATGAACTCATCTTTTTTTATGGCTGCATAGTATTCCATGGTATATATGTGCCACATTTTCTTAATTCAGTCATCATTGATGGACATTTGGGTTGGTTCCAAGTCTCTGCTATTGTGAATAGTGCCGCAATAAACATACGTGTGCATGTGTCTTTATAGCAGCATGATTTATAGTCCTTTGGGTATATACCCAGTAATGGGATGGCTGGGTCAAATGGTATTTCTAGTTCCAGATCCTTGAGGAATTGCCACACTGTCTTCCACAATGGTTGAACTAGTTTACAGTCCCACCAACAGTGTGAAAGTGTTCCTATTTCTCCACATCCTCTCCAGCACCTGTTGTTTCCTGACTTTTTAATGATTGCCATTCTAACTGGTGTGAGATGGTATCTCACTGTGGTTTTGATTTGCATTTCTCTGATGGCCAGTGATGATGAGCATTTTTTCATGTGTCTTTTGGCTGCATCAATGTCTTCTTTTGAGAAGTGTCTGTTCATATCCTTCGCCCACTTTTTGATGGGGTTGTTTTTTTTTTTTCTTGTAAATTTGTTTGAGTTCATTGTAGATTCTGGATATTAGCCCTTTGTCAGACGGGTAGATTGCAAAAATTTTCTCCCATTCTGTAGGTTGCCTGTTCACACTGATGGTAGTTTCTTTTGCTGTGCAGAAGCTCTTTAGTTTAATTAGATCCCATTTGTCAATTTTGGCTTTTGTTGCCATTGTTTTTGGTGCTTTAGACATGAAGTCCTTGCCCATGCTTATGTCCTGAATGGTATTGACTAAGTTTTCTTCTAGGTTTTTTATGGTTTTAGGTCTAACATTTAAGTCTTTATCCATCTTGAATTAATTTTTGTATAAGGTGTAAGGAAGGGATCCAGTTTCAGCTTTCTACATATGACTAGCCAGTTTTCCCAGCACCATTTATTAAATAGGGAATCCTTTACCCATTTCTTGTTTTTGTCAGGTTTGTCAAAGATTAGATGGTTGTAGATCTGTGGTATTATTTCTGAGGGCTCTGTTCTGTTCCATTGGTCTGTATCTCTGTTTTGGTACCAGTACCATGCTGTTTTGGTTACTGTAGCCTTGTAGTATAGTTTGAAGTCAGGTAGCATGATGCCTCCAGCTTTGTTCTTTTTGCTTAGGGTTGTCTTGGTAATGTTGGCTCTTTTTTAGTTCCATATGAACTTTAAAGTAGTTTTTTCCAATTCTGTGAAGAAAGTCATTGGTGGCTTGATGGGGATGGCATTGAATCTATAAATTACCTTGGGCAGTATGGCCATTTTCACAGTATTGATTCTTCCTATCCAAGAGCATGGAGTGTTCTTCCATTTGTTTGTGTCCTGTTTTATTTCGTTGAGCAGTGGTTTGTAGTTCTCCTTGAAGAGGTCCTTCACATCTCTTGTAAGTTGGATTCCTAGGTATTTTATTCTCTTTGAAGCAATTATGAATGGGACTTCACTCATGATTTGGCTCTCTGTCTGTTATTGGTGTATAAGAACGCTTATGATTTTTGCACATTGATTTTGTATCCTGAGACTTTGCTGAAGTTGCTTATCAGCTTAAGGAGTTTTTGGGCTGAGACAATGGGCTTTTCTAAATATACAATCATGTCATCTGTATGGACTACTTAATGATTTCAAAAAATTTTATTTTTGATCACAAGTGTTATTTGAGGTTATTACTGAAAAAGAAAATGAAAACAAAATAGGATAAAATCAGAAAAACCAAAGCTTTTAAAAACATTTAAAAGCTAACTTTTAGGATGCATATATAGAATACTGTAGTCTAGATTCTATAGATTATAACAAATATTGTATTTTAAAGTATGATAATAGAGTATGTGTTGATTTTCAGTAATGTAAAATTAACACATATTATATTATCATACTTTAAGTCTTTTCACTTTTTTTTAAAATAAGATTGTCTTGGCCATGTTTTGCTCTTTGAGTTTTCATATACATTTTAGATTCATCTTGTTAATCTTCACACAAATATACACAAAAACATACACACATACACATAAACTATGTTTTGAAATTTCTGGCAGTTTTTGGTCTTTTAACATTAGATGAAATATATTTAATGTCTTTTGTTTTTACGAATTCTCTGTCTATATATATGTAATATATATGATGCTATATATATCATTGTTATATATATGTAACAAGTTGCAGAGGGATATATGTAATACATATTATTCTATGTATAATACTACATATATATTACATATATATCATATATATCAATGCTATATATAGGATAATCTAGTTTACATATATGATATGATATATATAGTCATATACATATACGATATATGTATAATCATTTTAAATGCATCAGAATAATACACATTGTAGTATAAGAAAAATTATTATCCACTAATTAAAAAGTTCTGTTTCCAGGCTTTCAGTATTAGGAACCGTAATGAACAGTTCTATGCATAAAGGTAATCTAAATTATATTTAGAATTTTTAATATAGTGTCTATAAAGTGAACTGTTAACGTGTGTCTTAGTTCATTTTTGCCTTTATTTAAGGAAACAGCTGAGACACGATAGTTTATAAAGAACAGATATTTATTTTCTCACAGTTCTGGAGACTGGGAAGATCAAGGCTCCAGCCTGATTGGTTGTCAAGTGAAGGCCGCTCTGCTTTCAAAATGGCACCTTATTGCTGCATCATCTGAGGGGAGGAATGTTGTTTCTTCACAGGGCTGGCTGGGGGAGGGAGAGGGGCAAGCTAGCCAAATGCTTCCTCAGCATTTTTTTTTTTTTTTTTAAACAGAGTTTCACTCTTGTCGCCCAGGCTGGAGTGCAGTGGCGTGATCTCGGCTCACTGCAACCTCCGCCTCCTGGGTTCAAGTAATTCTCCTGCCTCAGCCTCCGAGTAGCTGGGACTACAGGTGCCCGCCACCACGCCCAGCTAATTTTAGTATTTTAGTAGAGACGGGGTTTCACGGTGTTGGTCAGGCTGGTCTCTAACTCCTGACTTCCTGATTCGCCCACCTCGGCCCCCCAAAGTGCTGGGATTACAGGCGTGAGCCCCTACGCCCTCCCTGAGCCCCCTTTTACAAGGGCCTTAATCCCACTAACGAAGAGAGTAACAGCTGTTAAAGGCCTCACCTCTTGATACTATTACATGGGAAACACCTAGAATTTAGAGGTGACACATTCAAACCACAGCAGAGGATACGTATTATTAAAATTAGTGGTAAATTGTTTTCTTATACATAATTTTAAAACTGTCTATTCTAACCATGAACACAGGTGAGTATACCACAGACTATTCCAAGAAGAGAATGTCATAGCATCAATTTTTCTTTATTCCAAAACATCATTTAAGTATTATCTTTCAGACTTTAAGGGGAAAAGCTCTTGCAGTTCTCTCTCTCTCTTTCTCTGTGTGTGTGTGTGTGTGGTGTGTGTGTGTCGAGGAGAAAGCAAGGCAGATAGAGGAACGGGTAGAGAGAAGGAGAGAGATAAACTAAGGATTGAAAAGACAGTACAGCTATATCTCCTTTTTTATTTTGGTATTTTTATTTATATATATATTTATTATTTATTTATTTTATTATTATTATTATTATTATTATTATTATTATTATTTAGATGGAGTTGCTCCCTGTCGCCCAAGCTGGAGTGCAGTGGCGCGATCTCGGCTCACTGCAAGCTCCACCTCCCGGGTTCACGCCATTCTCCTGCTTCAGCCTCCCGAGTAGCTGGGACTACAGCGCCCCCACCACGCCCAGCTAATTTTTTGTATTTTTGGTAGAGACGGGGTTTCACCGTGTTAGCCAGGATGGTCTGGATCTCCTGATCTCGTGATCCTCCCGCCTCCGCCTTCCAAAGTGCTGGGGTTACAGGCATGATCCATCGCGCCCGGACCTTTTTTATTTTTTTAGCTTTGTAAAGAATCAAAATACTAATAATGTTATAAAAAGTTTAAGTGGTATTTTAAATAATGCATGTTATAATTTCATAAATTGATTCTTTTTGTTTTCAGTTGACTCAGATAATGCACATATAATTTTAGGGCTAACATACAAGGTTATTTTTAGAACTTCATGAGCTACCTTATTTTATAGCAACTACCATAATGAAATAATTTGAGAAGTTTTTCTGAAAGTCCAAATTTGAGTAGATTAAAAATAATTTAAAATTTTCTTTTCTTTGGATGAAAGCTTCTTTTATAGTGCAAATATATTTTAATTAGAAATTTACATTTAAAAATCACATTAAAATAGACTATTTTTACTAACTTAAGCCAGAGTGTAAATAATATTAATGCTAAATACGTATTTTTCAAGAAAAGATTCAAATGAACTGTGACATTTAAGTGCAAAGTTCCAACGTTTTACAATTGTCCTTTGAATAAAACTTGAATCAGATTTTCTTCATTCCAGCATCAAATCTGAACATTTCAAGAGGTAAACAGTGATTCTTTGATGCTTTACTTCAAAGCATCCAAAGGAAATTAATCAAATTAATCCATCCTCTTTTCTATTGGCAACATTTTTTTTTTTTTTTTTTTTTTTTTTTTTTTTTTTTTGCTGCTTTGGATTCAGGGCATTTCACAAGACCCTAATGAGTACTGAGAAGAGAAAAAAAAGTATTAAATGGTGGTATTAGGAGATTGCAAAACTAGTGAAATGCTTTTTTTAGACTAGATTGGGAATGCAAATGAGTGAAGGAGGCCCCAGGTGTCTTGGAAAGACTGCAAAGTGCACTGCCTCTGGAAAGGTGGCAGCTGCTACCCAGCAACCGTGGATCTTTGCCACATTGGAATTCAGAACCAGGTTTGGCAGATATTCCAATGTTTCTAGAAATGACAGAAACTTATATTTTAATATGATCTCTCTCAATTTTTGAATGCTGGTGTTAACAAAAGGATTCCTTGTGAGCCAAACAAAATAAGTTGGAAAGCTTCTCCTTGTTAAGTGAACAGAATGTGACACTGAAAAAAAAACACCACTTGACCGCAGCTATTTTAATCAAAGTCCTTAAAAGCATTTTTTAAAAATATTTAAGGGATAATTTTTTATGTCAGTTTTTTGGGGAGGTAACATCAAAAGAAAATTATATTGCCTACCAAAACCATTGTTGAAGGACAAAGGAACTTTAATCATGTTGTGAATGTAAGCTTCCTTATCTATTTCTCAATAATCAGATAATTGTTTCTCATTTGAAGAGGAGGAGGGATACTTGAGAGATTATTTAAGAAGTCACTGTAGTACAGTTATTTTCTGAAACACAGAGAGACTGCCTTTCAAAGCATTGTTTGCCTAAAATATGATCTCTTTCCGTATCTTTTCTAACCTCTCTAAAGGAATTACAGTGTTTGCAAAATCATTGCTGTAGGCATAGTTAAATCATATCAGCTTTATAGCCAGGCTCTCAGATCCTGAATCCACGTTCTGGTGTTTACTAACTATTTCACTTTGTGTATATTACCAAACTCCCTTGGAATCTCAGGTTCCTCATTTTTTAAAGTAATGGTCATTATGCTACTTACCTCCTAGGCTTGTTATGAGAATTTTATAAGGAAACCTTTAAAGCCATCAGCATAACAACTGGGAAATAAAAAGTGTTCCATGCATTTTAGTTTTTATTATGTTGTTTGAAGTCACTTTCTTTTTCTAGTTAATGTAGAAATACCGTTGTGGGTGTCAAAAGACACAATTTTCTCTCAACTGAAACTTTACATACCTATAGCAATTACCTTCCTGGGGAAAAATAGTATTTTTAGTCACTGCTACACATATGTAATGTATTCTTTAAGATTATCCTATCCCATCTCCAATACTTTTTACATTATTCTAAGATTATATTATATGTGGTATTGACAATTATCTGGTTATTAGACAAAAATGGATACACTAGAACTCAGAAAAATTGCATGATCTATCTAGGACCATTTTTTTTAATATGGCAAAACTAGAACAAAAATGCAAGGTTTTGTTTTTTTTATTGTATATCTCTATCTGACTATATTTCAATCACTTCAGTTGAAAATATAGATAATAAAATAATGCCTTAATTCATAAAATGTTGAATTTTATGAACTAAAAATTTCTGAATTTTAAACTAAAAAGAAAGGAACAAATGAACAAGAGAAAGCCAATATTTTTATAGAGAAACAAATTTTGTCAGTTAAGCTATAGTGTGACAAACAGCTGTCTACCTGTTAACCAATTCTAGATGATTGGCATAGTTTGCATTTACATCCAGATATTTCAGCATTTTGAGATCTAGATTCACACATCCACAGTTAACAAAAATGATCCATAGAAGATCACATTTCATGGGTGTTACAGTTTGAATGTTTGTCCTCTCCAAAACTCATATCCGAAATTAATCTCCCACGTAACAGTGTTGGAAGGCACGGCCTAATGGGAGGGAAGAACCCTTGTGAATGAATTAATGCCGCTGTAAAAAGGGCTTGTGGAAGTGTGCTCATCCTCTTTCTTCTGACTTCTGCTGTATAATGATGCAGCTAGAAGGCCCATGCCAGGTGCCAGTGCCTTGGTCTTGGACTTCCCAACCTCCACAGTTGTGTGCCAGTAAATTTGTATTCATTATAACTTACACAGTCTCACGTATTGTATCAGCACACACACAAAAAAGACTAACATAATGGGGAATATGATTAAAGGTCAACAAATTTATTTTGGCTTCCTCTAAATAAATATTTTATAAATGCCACATTTTCATAGCATTAGAAGTTTTAAACAAAACACTTGTAAAGAGTGGCCTTGTGACATTGATGATTTTAATATATTATCTTGTCTTTTTCTAATGAAGAAAGCAATGCAGTGGTCAACTTCATTTGAATTAAGGGAAGCTCTCTGACCATTTGAGATAGATTTTATTTTGAAGGATGATATTATGCTAAAATAATATGGGATTGTTCTTTATTTCTTAATAAGAAAAATGAGAAAAAGACAATGTTATGGAAATTGTCATTTTACACTGTACTCAAAAGAATAAAAGTTATATATAGAACCTTGAATTGCTTTTCTCTCTCCTCAGCTTCTAGTGTATCTTAGTATTCTGAAGATTGGGAACTTCAACTTCGCACAATACATCCAACTAATGAGATTGCAGAAACATTGTGCTCTCCATCATTTCCTTATCAGCGACAGTCAGTCCATTAAAAGCTCTAACCCCAAGAAGAGAATTTCATTTTTAAACTTTGCATTCTGAAAACGGGCTCCCCTAGACTGTTAATAGATAAGATGGATGCCACATTTGGTGACAGTTCACAACACTTGCCCTCTGCGAACTGTTTTGAAACCAGCAACAGACCTATTAGCTTCTTTTACAAAGACGTTTTATTGATCTATTTAGTGAACTGTGAAATTCTGAAGGAAGTTCTACTTTTATTTACCTGTGTTTGTTTCTTTACACAATGTATTATAATATGCATACTGTTTGTTTGTGGTCTACATTTTAATTGTATCTTTTCAGAAAGCTTGAATAGATTTACTAAAAGCAATCTTCCTTTGGGTAGTGGCACAATTTGTCCTTTTAAGAACAGAAGGGTGATGATTCATCTTTGGATGCCTAACTGTTTTGCCCAGGATAAGGTAGACATGCTCACAATTGAAAGTCGGAATTGTAGGATAATCAAAATAGCCTTTCTACAATTACCATGAGCCAATTTAAGAAGAGAAATTTAACAAACTACAGCCAATGATATGACTTCACTTCCTAACAAACAAAGCAGAAGACCTTAACTCCCAGCTTGAGATCCCATGGGAACAACCATAATTGTAGGCCAAGACATATAGGGAGAGTTAAAGTCTTAATATTTGAGCTAGTTTTATAAGTATGGATATATATGTGTGCCATTCTGTTACGGATGTGTTACAGGAAAGGGGTCCCTATCCAGGCCCCAAGAGAGGGTTCTTGGATCCCGTGCAAGAATTCAGGGAGAGGCCGCAGTGCAAAGTGAAAGCAAGTTCATTAAGACAGTAAAGGAATAAAATAATGGCTACTCTATAGACTGAGCAGCACTGAAGGCTGCTGGTTGCCCATTTTTATGGTTATTTCTTGATTATATGCTGAATGTGGGATGAATTATTCATGCCTCCCCTTTTTAGACCACCTAAATTATTCATGCCTCCCCTTTTTAGACCACTTCCTGACTTTGCCACAGCGTTCGTAAACTGTCATGGTGCTGGTGGGAGTGTAGCAGTGAGGACGACCAGAGGTCATTTCTGTGGCTGTTTTGGTTTTGCTGGATTTTGACCGGCTCCTTCACCACAACGTGTTTTATCAGCAAGGTCTTTGTGACCTGTATCTTGTGCTGACCTCCCATCTCGTTCTGTGACTTAGAATGCCTTAACCATCTGGCAATGCAGCCCAGTAGGTTTCAGCCTCATTTTACCCAACTCCTATTTAAGATAGAGTTGCTCTGGTTCACAGGCCTCTGACAGATGGAGTCAGAAAAAATCAAAAGAACTGAATTCAACTCCAATATGCCTCCTTAAGAGAAGGCTTCAGAAAATAGTAGAAAAAAAAATCATCTGAAACTGTTTTCCTTTTGGGACCAATGGCATATAGGCCTCTTGTCTAGCTGGTATTTAGTAGGTATGGGGAATAAGGGCAAAAATCTAGACTTCTGGAGCTGCAATCAATAAGACGTGTCTTTGAGATATAAAATAACCAAGGTCTTAATCAATTTACACTTACAATGATTTGGTGATACAAAGGTAGAGAAATAAATATCCCTAGAAATGGTGATACAGGAACTGATTTATAGTACACAGAAAATAGGACACACTGAGCAATGTTGTGAGTAAAAACAAACACACGATGTGCTGAAGAGGTAAACTCTGCTGTGTTGTCAGAGATTAAGATTAAAATCTGTTTACAAAGTGTAGCGAAAAAGGGTTCACTCCCTTTGGAGAATTCTAGGTACATTACAGAACACTTATTAGAAACAATATCAAAGACATATTTGAATGAAGTGCCTTGTATTGAAATGGAATTATTTCCTACCTTTAGTGGAAATGGCTGTCATAATAACTCAGGGGCTAGGAGCACTGAAAACAGATTAGCAGGGTAGAATTATCAAATAAATTTACTCACATTAGAATTAATGTTAATGATAGTCAACACATTGATAATTTATTCTATGTGTGGTCTACATTATATAGCTTGTTTAATTTCTTTAACCTATGAGGAGAAGCTGTATATTCTCCTAATGTATTAGACTAAGTGTATGAATAAATTTAGTCTAATTTATTAGACAGATTAGTTATCTTTCCTAGGATTATAAACTAGAAAGTATCGTAATTATGGTTTGAAGCAAGATAGTATGATTCATAACCCATATGATTAGGAAATAATTATTAGTGATTATGGGGATATATTATTTGATACTAAGAGACTCAACCAGTTCCTCTAGGCATGGAGGTAAAGTAAATTTTTTTTTCACATAAAACTTTACGTGGAAAAAAACACATTTTGTTTTGCTTTATATTTTTATATTTATTGATTGATTTAATTTATTTCCTGAGATGGCACCTCACTCTGTTGCTTAGGCTGCAATGCAGTAGTGCAATCTCGGCTCACTGCAACCTCTGCCTCCCGGGTTCAAGTGATTCTCCCGCCTCCATCTCCCAAGTAGCTAGAATTACAGTCACGTGGTGTCGCGCCCAGCTGATTTTTGTATTTTTAGTAGAGACAGAATTTCACCATGTTGCCCAGGCTGGTCTTGAACTCTCAACCTCAGGTAATCCACCTGCTTCGGCCTCCCAAAGTGCTAGGATTACAGGCCTGAGCCACAGTGCCCGGCCTGTTTTGCTTTTTAAATAAACCTACTCTACATGTAATTTTAAATTTATAATCTACCCCTAAAATGTTACAATGCTATTCATAATTTAAGATTATTTACATACATTTATGTAATGTTTAGGTTAATTAAAACTGATCACTACTCTATGTCTATGGATAATTACAGAAAGTTGGTAAGTTAAATTTCCTGTGTTTAACCTAGATTATAAATTTTAGAACCAAAAAAATGTTGCAACACCCATTTGAATAACAGTAACTTCCTTTTACAAAGACCATGCTAGGTATAACCACCCATAGATATAGCTGTATAACATTTCATCATCACAGGTTCACTTTCTTGCTTTCTCCAGGAAACAAATGGGAGAGATATTAAATTTCAGAATAATGAGCTATAGCTAAAGCTCTTTATTCTGGGTGTCATTAGGCTAAGTGATATATCTATAATCTCCAACTTTGTCCTGTATCTTTACAACAAAATGTAATGATTAAACTAATACTTTCACAAACCAATGCATTCTCAAAATCACATTTGTCATTTTTTTCTTCAAATGTGTCTTACTAAAACATCTTTATGACTTACGACCTGCACTTTAATTACAGTTACATCCAGACTACATCAAATTATTTGATCCTGAAAACGTTTAGTTTTCACATGTATATGGCTTACCAAAATATCATGACTTTCTTCTCTTTGTTTTTACTCATCTCTCTCCTTGCCCCTCAAGGAGAGATGAGCCTCAAGGCTCAAATGTTTTCAGCAAGTATCATGCTTGTTTGAAAAAGGCCTTGTTAGGATTTTAGTGTTATTATTTTGCCATCTCATGTACTCCTTAAATTACATAATAAACTGCGACTCCCTATACATGTACCTTGTTTCTAAGTTCTCATTGTAGATTACATAAATGTTTTATGAGATCTAACCCTGATATGGCTAACAGTGATTTCTAATATAGTATCTACAAGATATCTCCAAGCATCTCAAGTGTAGATAGTATAGAAAAATGTAATGAACCAAAATTTACACTTAAAATAGAGAACAACTGGAAAAACATACAGTGCTTACCAAACAATATCTCTTAAAATACTCTGAAGAATACGGAGAGTTCAGTGTCTATACTTATCACTCCTGTGGGGGTATGGTAAATTCAATGGTAATTGAACTGGCCTAACCAGATTTTGATGGCTAAGTATAATCTCCAATTGGGCACAACTAAGAGATAGGCTGTCTTATCTACTTAATTTGACATAATTATCCAATATTCAATGCATCAGTCTCTCCCCATTGATAGTCATAAATTTTCTCTATACTGGGATTTTTAATTGATTGATCTGTATTCATTATTTTTAAACATGACATTTTACTGTAAGCCAAAAGATATGGTTTTATAGTACATTATGGTAGTTTCTAGGTCAAATACACTAAGCTTCTTTTCACATTTAAAATATTATTTTAATCCTTTTATATTCCAGGATATTTTAGAGTATAGATGGATTGAGATATACATTCTTTTTTTTTTATTATACTTTAAGTTTTAGGGTACATGTGCACATTGTGCAGGTTAGTTACATATGTATACATGTGCCATGCTGGTGCGCTGCACCCACTAACTCGTCATCTAGCATTAGGTATATCTCCCAATGCTATCCCTCCCCGCTTCCCCTACCCCACAACAGTCCCCAGAGTGTGATATTCCCCTTCCTGTGTCCATGTGATCTCATTGTCCAATTCCCACCTATGAGTGAGAATATGTGGTGTTTGGTTTTTTGTTCTTGCGATAGTTTACTGAGAATGATGTTTTCCAATTTCATCCATGTCCCTATAAAGGACATGAACTCATCATTTTCTATGGCTGCATAGTATTCCATGGTGTATATGTGCTACATTTTCTTAATCCAGTCTATCATTGTTGGACATTTGGGTTGGTTCCAAGTCTTTGCTATTGTGAATAATGCCGTAATAAACATACGTGTGCATGTGTCTTTATAGCAGCATGATTTATAGTCCTTTGGGTATATACCCAGTAATGGGATGGCTGGGTCAAATGGTATTTCCAGTTCTAGATCCCTGAGGAATCGCCACACTGACTTCCACAATGGTTGAACTAGTTTACAGTCCCACCAACAGTGTAAAAGTGTTCCTGTTTCTCCACATCCTCTCCAGCACCTGTTGTTTCCTGACTTTTTAATGATTGCCATTCTAACTGGTGTGAGATAGTATCTCATTGTGGTTCTGATTTGCATTTCTCTGATGGCCAGTGATGATGAGCATTTTTTCATGTGTTTTTTGGCTACATAAATGTCTTCTTTTGAGAAGTGTCTGTTCATGTCCTTTGCCCACTTTTTGATGGGGTTTTTTGTTTTTTTCTTGTAAATTTGTTTGAGTTCATTGTAGATTCTGGATATTAGCCCTTTGTCAGATGAGTAGGTTGAGAAAATTTTCTCCCATTTTGTAGGTTGCCTGTTCACTCTGATGGTAGTTTCTTTTGCTGTGCAGAAGCTCTTTAGTTTAATTAGATCCCATTTGTCAATTTTGTCTTTTGTTGCCATTGCTTTTGGTGTTTTAGACATGAAGTCCTTGCCCATGCCTATGTCCTGAATGGTAATGCCTAGGTTTTCTTCTAGGGTTTTTATGGTTTTAGGTCTAACATTTAAGTCTTTAATCCATCTTGAATTGATTTTTGTATAAGGTGTAAGGAAGGGATCCAGTTTCAGCTTTCTACATATGGCTAGCCAGTTTTCCCAGCACCATTTATTACATAGGGAATCCTTTCCCCATTGCTTGTTTTTCTCAGGTTTGTCAAAGATCAGATAGTTGTAGATATGCAGCGTTATTTCTGAGGGCTCTGTTCTGTTCCATTGATCTATATCTCTGTTTTGGTAGCAGTACCATGCTGTTTTGGTTACTGTAGCCTTGTAGTATAGTTTCAAGTCAGGTAGTGTGATGCCTCCAGCTTTGTTCTTTTGGCTTAGGATTGACTTGGCGATGTGGGCTCTTTTTTGGTTCCATAAGAACTTTAAAGTAGTTTTTTCCAATTCTGTGAGGAAAGTCATTGGTAGCTTTATGGGGATGGCATTGGATCTGTAAATTACCTTGGGCAGTATGGCCATTTTCACGATATTGATTCTTCCTATCCATGAGCATGGAATGTTCTTCCATTTGTTTGTATCCTCTTTTATTTCCTTGAGCAGTGGTTTGTAGTTCTTCTTGAAGAGGTCCTTCACATCCCTTGTAAGTTGGATTCCTAGGTATTTTATTCTCTTTGAAGCAATTGTGAATGGGAGTTCACTCATGATTTGGCTCTCTGTTTGTCTGTTGTTGGTGTATAAGAATGCTTGTGATTTTCGTATATTGATTTTGTATCCTGAGACTTTGCTGAAGTTGCTTATCAGCTTAAGGAGATTTTGGGCTGAGACAATGGGGTTTTCTAGATAGACAATCATGTGGTCTGCAAACAGGGACAATTTGACTTCCTCTTTTCCTAATTGAATACCCTTGATTTCCTTCTCCTGCCTAATTGCCCGGGCCAGAACTTCCAACACTATGTTGAATATGAGTAGTGAGAGAGGGCATCCCTGTCTTGTACCAGTTTTCAAAGGGAATGCTTCCAGTTTTTGCCCATTCAGTATGATATTGGCTGTGGGTTTGTCATAGATAGCTCTTATTATTTTGAAATATGTCCCATCAATACCTAATTTATTGAGAGTTTTTAGCATGAAGGGTTGTTGAATTTTGTCAAAGGCTTTTTCTGCATCTATTGAGATAATCATGTGGTTTTTTTCTTTGGCTCTGTTTATATGCTGGATTACATTTATTGATTTGCATATATTGAACCAGCCTTGCATCCCAGGGATGAAGCCCACTTGATCATGGTGGATAAGCTTTTTGATGTGCTGCTGGATTCGTTTTGCCAGTATTTTATTGAGGATTTTTGCATCAAGGTTCATCAAGGATGTTGGTCTAAAATTCTCTTTTTGGTTGTGTCTCTGCCCGGCTTTGGTATCAGAATGATGCTGGCCTCATAAAATGAGTTAGGGAGGATTCCCTCTTTTTCTATTGATTGGAATAATTTCAGAAGGAATGGTACCAGTTCCTCCTTGTACCTCTGGTAGAATTCAGCTGTGAATCCATCTGGTCCTGGACTCTTTTTGGTTGGTAAGCTATTGATTATTGCCACAATTTCAGCTCCTGTTATTGGTCTATTCAGAGATTCAACTTCTTCCTGGTTTAGTCTTGGGAGAGTGTATGTGTTGAGGAATTTATCCATTTCTTCTAGATTTTCTAGTTTATTTGAGTAGAGGTGTTTGTAGTATTCTATGATGGCAGTTTGTATTTCTGTGGGATCGGTGGTGATATCCCCTTTATCATTTTTTATTGCGTCTAGTAGATTCTTCTCTCTTTTTTTCTTTATTAGTCTTGCTAGCGGTCTATCAATTTTGTTGATCCTTTCAAAAAACCAGCTCCTGGATTCATTGATTTTTTGAAGGGTTTTTTGTGTCTCTATTTCCTTCAGTTCTGCTCTGATTTTAGTTATTTCTTGCCTTCTGCTAGCTTTTGAATGTGTTTGCTCTTGCTTTTCTAGTTCTTTTAATTGTGATGTTAGGATGTCAATTTTGGATCTTTCCTGCTTTCTCTTGTGGGCATTTAGTGCTATAAATTTCCCTCTACACACTGCTTTGAATGCATCCCAGAGATTCTGGTATGTTGTGTCTTTGTTCTCATTGCTTTCAAAGAACATCTTTATTTCTGCCTTCATTTCATTATGTACCCAGTAGTCATTCAGGAGCAGGTTGTCCAGTTTCCATGTAGTTGAGCGGTTTTGAGTGAGATTCTTAATTCTGAGTTCTAGTTTGATTGCACTGTGGTCTGAGAGATAGTTTGTTACAATTTCTGTTCTTTTACATTTGCTGAGGAGAGCTTTACTTCCAAGTATGTGGTCAATTTTGGAATAGGTGTGGTGCAGTGCTGAAAAAAATGTATATTCTGTTGATTTGGGATGGAGAGTTCTGTAGATGTCTATTAGGTCCACTTGGTGCAGAGCTGAGTTCAATTCCTGGGTATCCTTGTTGACTTTCTGTCTCGTTGATCTGTCTAATGTTGAAAGTGGGGTGTTAAAGTCTCCCATTATTAATGTGTGGGAGTCTAAGTCTCTTTGTAGGTCACTCAGGACTTGCTTTATGAATCTTGATGCTCCTGTATTGGGTGCATATATATTCAGGATAGTTAGCTCTTCTTGTTGAATTGATCCCTTTACCATTATGTAATGGCCTTCTTTGTCTGTTTTGATCTTTGTTAGTTTAAAGTCTGTTTTATCAGAGACTAGTATTGCAACCCCTGCCTTTTTTTGTTTTCCATTTGCTTGGTAGATATTCCTCCATCCTTTTATTTTGAGCCTATGTGTGTCTCTGCACGTGAGATGGGTTTCCTGAATACAGCACACTGATGGGTCTTGACTCTTTATCCGACGGGCTTAAAAAAACGGTGCACCATGAGATTATATCCCGCACCTGGCTTGGAGGGTCCTATGCCCACGGAGTCTCGCTGATTGCTAGCACAGCAGTCTGAGATCAAACTGCAAGGTGGCAGTGAGGCTGGGGGAGGGGCGCCTGCCATTGCCCAGGCTTGATTAGGTAAACAAAGCAGCCGGGAAGCTCCAACTGGATGGAGCCCACCACAGCTCAAGGAGGCCTGCCTCTGTAGGCTCCACCTCTGGGGGCAGGGCACAGACAAACAAAAAGACAGCAGTAACCTCTGCAGACTTAAATGTCCCTGTCTGACAGCTTTGAAGAGAGCAGTGGTTCTCCCAGCACGCAGCTGGAGATCTGAGAAGGGCAGACTGCCTCCTCAAGTGGGTCCCTGACCCCTGACCCCTGAGCAGCCTAACTGGGAGCCACCCCCCAGCAGGGGCACACTGACACCTCACACAGCAGGGTATTCCAACAGACCTGCAGCTGAGGGTCCTGTCTGTTAGAAGGAAAACTAATGAACAGAAAGGACATCCACACCAAAAACCCATCTGTACATCACCATCCTCAAAGACCAAAAGTAGATAAAACCACAAAGATGGGGAAAAAACAGAACAGAAAAACTGGAAACTCTGAAAAGCAGAGCGCCTCTCCTCCTGCAAAGGAACACAGTTCCTCATCAGCAACGGAACAAAGCTGGATGGAGAATGACTTTGATGAGCTGAGAGAAGAAGGCTTCAGACGATCAAATTACTCTGAGCTACGGGAGGACATTCAAACCAAAGGCAAAGAAGTTGAAAACTTTGAAAAAAATTTAGAAGAATGTATAACTAGAATAACCAATACAGAGAAGTGCTTAAAGGAGCTGATGGAGCTGAAAACCAAGGCTCGAGAACTACGTGAAGAATGCAGAAGCCTCAGGAGCCGATGCGATCAACTGGAAGAAAGGGTATCAGCGATGGAAGATGAAATGAATGAAATGAAGCGAGAAGGGAAGTTTAGAGAAAAAAGAATAAAAAGAAATGAGCAAAGCCTCCAAGAAATATGGGACTATGTGAAAAGACCAAATCTACGTCTGATTGGTGTACCTGAAAGTGATGGGGAGAATGGAACCAAGTTGGAAAACACTCTGCAGGATATTATCCAGGAGAACTTCCCCAATCTAGCAAGGCAGGCCAACGTTCAGATTCAGGAAATACAGAGATATACATTCTTAACCATGTTTAGGTATGTGTATTATTATTTATACTTTTCTTTGAATAGTATTAAACATTGATTTAAACTTTATCAAATATAAAAATATTTTTCTGAAGGTTTAATTGATATTTAGTGAGACAACATTTGCTTATTCAAAAAATTGATATTCAATCTATGCTTTGAAAAATGCAATGTCCATTTCAACCTATATCTGAGAGTCGTTTAAATGCTATATGATAATTAGTTGATTTTAGATATACAGCTAATTCCTCACTAAGCCACATTATATAAGCCATTCTGTATCTTTTTAACATGGTAGCTTTTAAAAAAAATTATTCATTATTATTGTACTGTTCAGTATTTCTTCTCATCTATTAGTCAAAAATTTGCTAATATATTACTCAATAGATTAATGTATTCTAATAAAAATGATTGTATACAATTAAATATATTCACATGGAATCATCAACAACAATCCGTTATCATTTTGCAATTTCTATGGCAGTAGACGGGAAGCTTTTCCCATTAGAGATGTTTTCTGAAGAGATCTGGCAAGACTTTATACAATTTTTAAACAAATATTCTAATACATATCAAATAACACTATTTTTCTGTTGTTTAAATCACTTACTTTTGTTTTTTTACTTATATACTTTGCTATACTGATTTTCCTGATGCTTCCTTGTTTTTGTTTTTTTTTTATGAAGTCGTCAGTCAGGTGCAACCACAAGAGGGGACACAGAAGAGTGACCGGAAAACAAAACGTATTATATTCACATGTTCGGGAGAGATAGAGTGACAGCATGCAACGCAGGGGACCATGTGAGAGGAGCACCAATGGCACAGGCTCTACTAAGTAGTGTTACTGAAACAACAGAGGTTTGGTCTAGGTCCTGTTGCTTGCCATACAGAAAGCCAATCAGTGAGTCAACCAATATTTCCAGGAAAGAAGGCATTAGTATGGTGTTGCAGCTGAGGAGATGGGAGATCAGTTTCAAATCCGTCTCCTCAACTGACTAAAATTAGGAGTTTATTTAGCAGGGAAGAAGTGTAACCATGTGAGGTAAAATGGAAATTAGAGAGGGGTAAAGAAGAGGAGTTAGTCAACAGGAAGTAGGTGGACAGTTAGGCAATCACGATGGGTGAAAGGGTCTGGCATTTCAATGTCCAGATGCTGTCATCTGATGAGTTTCAGTGCCTTGATACTATCTGGGAGCCCTATTGGTTGGTTTCCTGGGAAAGGGACTTGGGTAAGACAAAAGTAACATTCTCAAGTTTTAAGACTGGGAGGATCAATTTCTATGTTCATTCAAAAGAAACTATAAACATCAGTTCTATGGGACAATTGAGCTGGTTTCACAGGTGTGGAGTTGAAAGAGCATAAAGACCCAGCGGCAAGTGGCTTTACTGGGGTTCAGGGTGGTGAACACAAGCAAAAGGTGCAAGACAATTTCCTTGATACATTTGAATGTCACGAGGCCACAGCCATGTGAGGGCAAGAAAGGGAGCTTGTAGCAGGGGCTAGTCTTATCATGCTGGTATGCCTGGTTACCTTGGTGGGGTGTTCACAGCCTGTTTGTGTGAATGTTGAGACAACAGGAAAATATAGAGATTTAAAATTACAATAGTCTGTAAATTTTTTTTCCTAAGTGATTCAAAAAGTAAGAAATTTTGATTTTTTTTTTGTTTTGCAAAGCATGTAATCATTAAAAGCTTTTTCCTTCCTTTATTTATAAAAGTCAATACATGGTAGTCACATTTTAAAATTTCTATGTCCTTTTAAGTTCTTAATGAAGTATAACGTCTGTAGAAAATTGTGCCCATATCGTAAACTTCAGTGGATTCTATAATCAGAAGACACTTGTTTAATCAGTCAGATCAAAAACAGTATAATGCCATCATCCCAGAACATTCTCATTTCAGTCACTAGTTAACTACTCACTTGACATCTAAAACCAAAGGTTAGTGTTACACTTTTTTTGTATTTAATATAAATGAAATTATTCATTGTGTACATAGTGTATAATTAATCTCATTGTGTGACTATTCCTCAATTAACTTATGTCTTCTCCTGTAGCTGGGCATTTGGGTAGTTTTTAGTTTTAGCTCACAAATAATGCTGCTCTGAATATTCTCCTGAATGTCTTTTATTGAAAATACTGATGCACTGCTGTTCGGTTTAGGTATGTACATAGGCACGGAATTGCTTTTTGAAAATAAGTATGTTCGCCTTTTGCAGATACTGTAGAGAGTTTTCTGAATCAGCCTTCTGCTTAAGTTTTGAGGTACATAATTTTATTTAATATTTATAAGAAACTTAAAAGCTCAGTTTTTATTTTCTTAAACATTCACAGATATGTATTTTACTTTTATAATATTTTTATTTATATTATTTAAATTACATTATTAATTAAAACTTTATAATATTGTGGTAAGAAAATGTGACTTAAAACTCTATTTATACATTTTCAAAGTTGGTTGTAACCTATTTTAAAATGTCCAAAATATGTTAGAAACATAAGAAACAGTTAGTTAGCTACATGAAGTGATAAGTACAGAGAAAAATCAGTCTACAGTTACATAAATCCCTGACACCATTTTTTTCTATTGCCTTTTTATTGTTTTCCAGTTTTTTGTTTTCTCTTCACTATTACTGTGTTCCCTGTTAACTTCTCTTTGAACTTTTTTTTTTTTTTTTTTTTTTTGAGGGAGTCACGCTCTGTCGCCCTGGCTGGAGTGCAGTGGCGAGATCTTGGCTCACTGCAAACTCTGCCTCCCGAGTTCATGCTATTCTGCTGCCTCAGCCTCCCTAGTAGCTGGGACTACAGGCGCCCGCCACCATGCCCAGCTAATTTTTTTGTATTTTTAGTACAGACAGGGCTTCACTGTGTTAGCCAGGATGGTCTTGATCTCCTGACCTCGTGATCCTCCCACCTCAGCCTCCCAAAACGCTGGGATTACAGGCGTGAGCCACTGCACTGTGCCCGGCCAACTTCTCTTTGTACTTTTAATATTTCTTTCATTTTCATGCATGTCATATAGTATTCAATGGTTTCAGGTTAATTATATCTCTATTTTAGACTGGAATATTTGTCAATATTAATTGACATTTCTTCTATTCTTTATTACTTTTAAAAAAAATTCTACCTTGTATATAACTCTTTATTTCTTTGTCAAAAATTTGGGTAATTTGGTTTCAATTGTCTCTATATTGGAAGATCTTTTGTCTTTTAATTTAAAATATTAGACTTTGTGTTTCAGGAATTTAATGAAAAATGTTTATTGCTGTAACACTTATAACTATGTTAATGTTCCCTTTTGTCTTATGGCCTCTATTGTGGCTGTATTTTTATATTTTATTTTACTTTCTTAACAGTTTTTTTAATCTCATTCAAATCTATTTTTGGCTTTTATGTGTTCATTGTAGCCTGTTTTTTCCATGTGATCTTTTTTTCCTATTTCATAGATATTACATATTTTTATATGATGATGAACAGCAAAAGATTTCTTAAAAATTTCTTCTAGATTATTGATTCTTTTGTCTGACACATATGCACTAAGCTCTCACTATGTTCTAAAAACTGTTCTTGTTCTTGAGAATAGACCAACTATTGAGACTAGAAAATATCCCAGCACTTGAGAAGTATAAATCATGGCAGGGACAGCTGGGGTGAGGGGGAGGGGGCAATCAATAAACAATGTAGAAAATAAAAGAGAACTAACATAGTAGATTAAGAAATTGATGTTTGAACAAAATCAAACAGATCAAGAAATTTTCAGAGTGCACTGGGGCAGCTGATGTCCCACAGTAGTCAGGAAGGGCCTCTGTTAGAAAGTAAAACTGAAGGAGTAAGCCAATTCTGTGGGTGAAGTCATATCCAGACAAAATAATTATCTTGTTCAAAAGCTCTGAATCAGGGCTTGTATAAAAACACATATCCTTACCTGTGGCAAAATGTTATTTCCACATACGTTTGCATCTTAATATTGTCAAAGCATCATTTTTAAGTCTAATACAGTCCTTGCTCCAATTATCACAAATGAGGGGAGAAATTCATTTTTCCTCCTTTGGATGAACTTAATCTGAGTAACTCATCAGGGATTTTTAAGGTATATGATGACCTGCTGTTTGTTAAAATAAAACATAAAGAGCTGGTTAAAATAATTAGAAGTTGATTTTTTAATTATTAACTTAGAACCACTTTGTATGCTTCCAATTAATTTAGAAGTTGCCACTCAAAGGAAGGAGCATTTAAGTAGCATTTGATCTTCAGAAATAAATGCTTTGCTAAGTCATCATAAGCTTTTTAAATCACTCTCCTTTGAAAAGAAAAGAATGTGTTCCTTTGTGTAATCCAACTTAAACCCTAAAGTTTTGCATTGTGTTCAAAGGAAGTTTGTTCAATTTTCTTCGCAAAATAAATATATCTAGATACACAGTAATTTGACAGTAGACTAGAGTTTGACCATATTTCACAGAAAATTAAAAATTTGCTATAGCATTTAATTTTCTGTAAGAATGATTAGAGCTTTGATGTTCAAAGGACAGATCTAACAATATTAAAGCAGTATCAAAATGCATATAAAGTTCTTTAAGTTAAATAAATATTAGCAACTTTAAGTAAATGTTCACAACTTAAAATTCTACGAATGTATGTGTTTGTGTAATCATTGACATAATTAATTGGTATAAAAAAGCCTGATTCAAACTTTCAATGATGAATTTCTGTGGAAATATTACCCTTAGAACATGTAATACAAATGCCCACATTTGTCGCTTACAAAAGGGCAAGAAGAAAAACTGATTGTAAATGCCTTAAGTATTATCTCAGAAAAGTATTTTTACTAAGCTACCCTAAATAGGAAACTTTGTTTATTGTACACTTGAGTCTTTAGTGGGTGAAAATCAATTATAAATTTAATGCCTTGCAAACAGCACCTCTGTTTATCTTTCATACACTTTAATCTGATTTTACCACCTTTCTAGCAGTGGAAGATCCCCCAATTCATTGCACTAATAAGTAAATAAACGGGGTTTCCCATCAAGGTTCTCATTTCATTTTAGAATCCAACACATTTTTTATTCAACATTTTATTATTTTTTCCCAGCCCCAACATGTTATTTACTATTTTCTTCTGTATTTTAAATATGCCTTTTCTGAATTTACCACTATTTCTCCAACATATTCACAATAAAAACTTGTAAATTTATTTTTCAAATTCATGCTAAAGTATCAAAGGGAATGGGCTAAAGTTACCGCCTAAAAAGCCCCTCAATCCTTTGATGTAATGCCTCTCCTCACAGTGTTCGACAGACAAGATTTTCACTTTTATGTTTCTCCACTAGAGAAACAATGGGAATGTTAGAAAAACTTAGAGAGAAAGTTGATCTCATTGAAAAATGATTTAACATTTGAAAGTATTGGCTGACTTACCCTAATATTTGAGTTCATTTCTCTTTTGAAAACAAAAAGCTTTTTATTCCTTTTGGTAATCCAACCTCAAGCCTAAAAAATCTACATTCAGTTCTACATTGGCTTATAATATTTTTGGCAAAACAAGTTTTCCCAGTATCATAAAATGTGTCTATTTGACTGAAAAATAAAATGGTTCTTAATTACTTACAATAATTTCCCAAATAAATCATATGTAAATAGCTATTTTGTAACACTGACGATAAAAAGAATATCATATACTTTTAAGGCAGGACAAATCTTTATCATCCTTCAATTTATATATTTGGGTAAGCTCATATTTTGCCAACAATCAACAACTTCGAAGGAAATTGCTATAGGGCAATTTAGAACAATTTTTTAGCCCTTTTTAAGAACAAAACAAAATTAGAAAAGACAAAAATTTTAAAAATTCATGTTAATTTTTCTCATATACTGACTCAAGCTCTCAAATGGAATCTATATTTAAAAAGTAGAGGATTATTGATTTCAAGTGCTATGGGAAAAATGACACACAGAGTATTGCAAAATCTATTTCAAACTGGAAAGAAGATTCTTGAAGACGTAAAATATAAACAGTGTTGACATAAACAACCTGGTTTAATAGTAGCCAATAGCTGAGATATATCTGTTTAAAGTGGAACAATTTTTAGCAGATAATTTTCTGTTCATAAAACCAACTGCCTATACACACAAACAAAAGAATGCTCACATTCTTTACCTGCGCTTTCAAACATAATTTAGCGTTCTGCAGGAGTGTGAAACTGTTCATGTTATGACAACTGTGTTTTAAAGATTTAAAAAGTAAATCATCACTTGGATGTTTCTAAAAACAAAGGTGCATGACTCAAGACATGTAATGTCTGCCTGATTTTATCCACTCTCTTTGATAGATACTTGTGTATGAGACAAGTTTGGATTCTAGTGGTTCAATCGCTGTTTCCTTACTGTCCCTGTTTTACTATTTTTACTAGGACAAAATGCTTGCTGTATTTTTCTCTTCCACATTAAGGGATACACTGAAGCATTTTACATGAATACTATAGAGGTAAAAAAAGATGATTTAGTAACAATGGAACCACATATATATATACACATATATACACATATACACATATATACACATATATACATATATATATATCCTTTATACTTCTAATCTTTAATATTCTTAAAGAGAATAACTATTGCTTTAAAATTTTAAAATTCAATGATCTTATTTGGTCTATGTCATGTCTACTCAAAATTTTGGTGTTATAAGCTAATTAATATAGTGACATTATGACAAAACGTATCAGACAATTAATTAATCCAGCTAAATATTTAATGAGAAATTTTATTGACAGAAAGATCAAATGTAAGGTTCAGTTGCTACTTAGAAATAAAATACAAGACATCTTTTCATCCTCTCTTATAAAAATTATATATATATATCTTGTTTATCACTTATGAATTTATCAGTTCATTTGTACAAAAATTGGTTTCAAACTGTTTAAAAAATCTGTCATTTTTCTGGCTAGAAAAACTCTGATGTGGCAACCACTCTATGAAAAGTGGATTTTGCGAGGACTCCACCTGTTATATAAAGCAGCTCCCTATTGTGTTGCTAGATGTTATGCACCAGCTTTAAGACAAATGGCTCAATATTACATAGCTGGTTTAAGAAACAGGCTTTCCCAGGGAAATGAAAACTTACATAGAAAACCAGCCTGCATAAAAGTAAATGAGGCCAAATCAAAACCACAATGAGACTCCATTTCATGCCCATTAGAATGGCTATTATAAATCAACCCAAAACAATTTCTAAAAGAGCTAAAAATAGAACTGCCTTTCAATCCAGCAATCCCAACAAGTACTGGTAAGGATGTGCAGAAATTGAAGCCATTGTGCATTGCCAGCGGCAATGTAAAATGATGTAGCTGCTAAGAAAAAGAGAATGGCAGTTCTTCAAAATATTAAACAAAGAATTACCATACAATCCAACCATTCCACTTTAGAGAATATACCCTATAGAATTAGAATTGAAAGCACAGGTTTGAACAGATATCTGTACATCCATCTTCAAAGAAGCATTATCCAAAATATCTAAAAGGTGGAAGCAACCCAAATGCCCATCGACACAGGAATAAATAGGCAAAATGTGACATAAACATACAATGATGTATTATTCAGCCTTAACAGGCAGATTATTCTGCAAAATGCCACAGCACGGATAAATCTTGAAGACATTAGGCTATGTGAAATCAGCCAGTCACAAAAGGGCAACTATTGTCTAATTCCACTTACATGAAGTACCGCTAGATGCAGGAGGCAGATGAGCGAGGGTCCCCGGAAAATGTCTGACCCACCCCACAAGTGTTTTCTTCAGATGCTTTTGTGCACGGGAGGAAACCTGTCCAGGGTCTTATCTGCACATGCTGGCAACAGACTGGGGCCGGCTTGCACACTGGGAGAATGGTGTGGGGCCATGGGAAGTTGGTGCCTTGTGCAGTGAGGAGGAGCCTGGACTCTTCAGCTCATATGTGGTGGCCTGGTATTCAATCTGTGAGGTGGGAGTCTGTTGACAGGATGCCTTTTCTTTGCTGAAAGATTTCTCTTAATAAATTCTGCTCTCCTCACCTTTCAACATGTCTGTGTGCCTAATTTTTTCCTGGTCGTGGAACAAGACCCAGGGTTTTAGCTGAGTTAAGGAGCAAAAATCCTGCATCAGTAACAACAGTAGTCAAATTCATAGAGACAGAAAGTAGAAAGAGACAGACAGTAGACAGAAGCTGGGGTGAAGGGGACTGGTGCGTTATTTAATGGGTATGGAGTTTCAATTTGGGAAGATGAAAAAGTTCCATCGATGGATGATAGTGATGATTGCACAACAATATGAATATACTTAATGCCACTGAACTGTTTGCACTTAAAATGGTTAAATTGATTTGTTACGTTTTATGTATATTTTACCATGATAACAAAAGAAAGGAAGGCATGGGTTTTCCTTCCATCTTTGCCACACACGGAGATGGATGACAAAGCCAACGTGCTGCTGGGCTCCTATGGTTAGTCTGATTTTTCTTGGAAAGACTCACCCCTGGTCTTTCTTTTCTTTTATAGGTTCAAACTTCAAAGCTTGTCAATTTGGAATATGCAGAGTGCTTGATGCCAAGAAGTATCAATTTAGGATGCCACTTGCCTGTATGCATTATGTGGGCAAACCAGATTCCCAGCATCCAGAGATAGCTTGAGACCCATAGGATTTTGTAGTTGCTTTTGTCAGGAAGTAAAGCCACATTTCTCATGGGGAAAGCTAAGAAAGTTCCTCTTGATAGATGAGGGGGAGGCCCTTGGTCTCAGTGAACTCTTTGTCTGGTTCTCCCGGGGTGAGCTCCTGAGTTTCTTCTGCCTCTTGTACTGCATAACAGTCCTGCCCGTTGTCCTTCATAACAACAGGGAATTTTTCCATAGGAAAACATGTTATGTGGGCTAACAAAATTTCATTTTAAAATTATGACATTTTGCCCAAATGAAGACACTAATCAACTCAATCCTCTTCCCATTCCTATTTTACCATTGCTTCTGTTTTTTCTTGATTTCTATGACAATGAAGACTTTAAATTTCCTTTTGTCTTTATGATTGTTCCTGCTAGTCAATTCTGTCTTCTGACCAGGCCCTAAAAAATATTTTGCAGTCATCTATCCTCATATTTTTCTCTTATATATGATACAATTATATTAATGGATGTAGGTATTTTAAAAATTATAAAGATACGTTTATTTGCAATGATGATTTAATAAGCTTATTTTCTCTTTCTCCAGAAATACCGATCAAATAATATTCAATAACAAAATGATACAAACCTACAAAAGGAAGGGCACAGGACAGGAAGAAGTATGAACAAGAAAAAAAAAATAGGCTGGGTGCGGTGGCTCACGCCTGTAATCCCAGCACTTTGGGAGGCTGAGGTAAGCAGATCATGAGGTCAGGAGATTGAGACCATCCTGGCCAACAGGGTGAACCTCGTCTCTACCAAAAATACAAAAATTAGCTGGGTGTGGTGCCGCGCGCTTGTGTCCCAGCTGCTCTGGAGGCTGAAGCAGGAGAATTGCTTGAAGCCGGGAGGTGGAGGTTGCAGTGAGCCAAGATCGTGCCACTGCACTCCAGCCTAGTGACAGAGCGAGACTCCGTCTCAAAAACAAACAAACAAAAAAAAAAAACTGGCCCAAAACTGATAAAAATGCAGTCTGAATAAGTAGAGCAAAAGGCGCAGAAAATGTTTCCTCTTAGAAGAGGCCTTGAAGACTTTATATCTGAGAACTAAATATAGCAATTTTATTAAGTTATATATAATAATATTGAGATTTTAAAATACAGTGATGGAAAAACTAGAACACTTAAAGATAGAACAGCCAACTTCTCATCAGAAATATGAAAGTTATAAGGCAAATAGTTTTCACAGTATAGTTCTAGAACCAGCAATATTGGCATCACTTTGAACATGATTAGAAATTCAAACTCTCAAGACCTACCCAGATCCACTGATTTGGAAACTATATCAGTAATCTGGTTTTTTTAATAATTTTTTTAATTTGTAATTTTTTAATTATTATTTTTGTAGAGACGAGGTCTTGCTGAGTTGCCTAAGCTGGTCTTGAACTCCTGGACTCAAGTGATCCTCCTACCTCGGCCTCCCAAAAGCAGCAATCTATGTTTTAACAGACTCTCCCTGTGATTCTCATGTGTGTTTATGTTTGAGAACCACTGCTTCAAGACAATGAGGTCCTTATCTACCTGCTAGAGCCGGGGATGTTTACTAATGGACTGATATATTACCTAAGATTTCGGCTATGATTTAATACAGATATGAGAAGAAATATGATGTTCATTTTAAGATGACTCAGATAGTGTTAACTAGGGATGGATTAAATTGAGAGCCCAGGCTGGAGTGCAGTGGCGTGATCTTGGCTCACTGCAAGTTCCCATCTCCAGAGTTCACACCATTCTGCTGCCTCAGACTCCGGAGTAGCTGGGACTCAGGAGCACGCCACCACGCTCGGCTAATTTTTTTGTGTTTTTTTTAGTAGAGATGGGGTTTCACCGTGTTAGCCAGGATGGTCTCGATCTCCTGACCTTGTGATCCGCCCGCCTCAGCCTCTCAAAGTGCTGGCATTAGAGGCGTGAGCCACTGCACCCTGCCTAAATTGAAAGTTTACGGAATCTGGGCTGGGCACGGTGGCTTATGCCTGTAATCCCAGTACTTTGGGAGGCTGAGGCAGGCGGATCACTTTAGGTCAAGAGCTTGAGACCAGCCTGGCCAATATGGTGAGACCCCGTCTCTGCTAAAAAAATATAAAAATTAGCTGGGCATGGTGGTCACCTGTAATCCCAGATACTTGAGAGGCTGAGGAAGGAGAATCGCTTGAACCCAGGAGGTGGAGGTTGCCGTGAGCCGAGATTGCACCACTGCACTCCAGCCTAGGCAACAAAGTGAGACTCTGTCTCTAAATAAATAAATAAACAAATAAAAAGGTTTACTGAATCTGAAATGTTTGTGATCCAGGCAAAAAGTGCTAAATATCTAATACAGGGAAGTAATTGGGAGCTCTGTTCTTTCTGCTCAAATTTTCTGTTAACATAAACTGCTCTAACAAATAATATATTACTTTTGAAAATGTACTGTATTTTAATCTGCTGTGGGTTGCCTTTAACAACATGAATGGATACTTAATAAGAAAATGTCATTTTAATCATTTATTGGCTTTTTAAAAAATATATATGTAATAGAAATTTATATCCTAAAATATATCCTTTTGCTTTAGAATGATGGCAGAGCTATATAACTTTGGCAAATTTGGGTGGATTATATTCGAATCACTAATTGCTAATACTAAATTATCTCACTAGACCTTTTAACACTGTGTTTGTTTTTTGTTTTTGTTTTTTGTCTTTTTTTGCATATTGCTTTTATTTTGCAGAAAATGTTTTGCTGATTGTCTTTGGCTATTTTGTCAGAAGAAAAATATAACTGTTATAAGTTTAACAATACAAGATACAATTACATGTGCTCAAAATAAACTCATTCTAATGGACTGAATGGTGAAATTTCCATTTCAACTAAAATCTGTTGTTCTACACAATGGATTGATTATATCCTTAACAGCTCAATTACTATCTGAAAAGTACTCTAAAGCTATAAGAAATAGAATTAAGTGTGATTTCATGTCACTAAAGTAAGATCAGTGGAGTTTATAAATGTTAATATGTCCAAGTCATCTGTATGCTATTATTAGAAATAAAAAATAAATTTCTGGACCCTAGCAAATATATGTTTATAATGAATTAATAATAACAAATTAGGCCAACTGAATTTTCCTTGCAAACTCAAATTCATCTGTAGTATATAAACACAGCTATTGTTGACAATGGGAAAGGAGTGGGTTATTTTTTTTTCGTAAAAGCAGAACACATATTCTTCATACTTTAAAATGATGTTAATATGTTTTTTCCCCTTGACCTGTAAGACTCATTTTTTACTTAGTAGATCAAATCAACACTGGTTGCCCCACACAAAAAAAGTCAGTGTATCTTTTGAAAAAAGGCTTTACTTTCAGAGAAGATGATGACAGGGATATCCATGAGTTTATAAGGTGGGCTTGTGCCAATGCATGATATTAGCTGTCAAGACTATCTGTGGTCATGACAGGATCTTCAGATAGTGGGGATTCTGGGAAGGAAGGACCTGAGACTGGATAAAAGGGGCCCAGTGTTCAGTGGACCTTGGAAAAAAAATGGAATCCCATCCAGTTAGATAGCCCAGCTCTCTGAAACCCTGGTGTGCTGGTACCCTACTTGCAGACCAGCGGTTGAGGAACTGATGAACTCCTGTTTTGACTCATGAGTAGCATCCTGATCTGTGCAGACATCCCAAGGCTGGACCAATTGTCATGGGATTGGAGCATGAATAACATGCAAATGACTTGTCAGAACAGGTTGGAGAGTTGGGGTAGGAAGGGGAATAGTGTTTCCTCAGAACAGAGTGTCTTTTACAGCCATGTGGGAAGGAAAGTAAAAGAGGACTTCCAAATCAAGGATGGAGGTTGAACAGAAGGTACTGGTTTTAGGAATAAGCCATTTTCATTAAGAATACTCAGATTGCTGTTTGTCTCCAGGTTTTTCCATCATATCATTGTGAATACTGCTTTTCTCTGCAGAAAGAAAAGTCTTTGCAAATTGATTGTATCTAACTGTAGGAGCTGGAACCTCCTCGTTATGTTAAGCCATCACAGATGTACACTGGATTTGGGGAATGAAGTAGCTGGTGATCATCCCCTCTGGAAATGTTCCTTTGGGAATTTGAGGTTCATATTTATGCAAGGAGTTCAACATGATCTGGCACCCTCTGTTGAGCTAATTCGTGAGTTTGACTTTGATGAAGGAAACAAGTGCCCTTTGATGTCTGGAGAGTCAGAGTGGATGTAGATAGAGCTAGGGCTGGCAGTTTGGGATTACCCCAGGACACCCACTCTCTGCCCACACACTTCCAGCGGTGGCCAGCTAGATCACAAAGTGCAGGAGGAAAGAATATATGGTGTTATTGTCCAGGCCAGACAGATTCAGCTTCAGCTCTGGAAAAACTCTTCTGTCCTTCTTGGTGACATCATCTGGAAGTGCAAACACATGTAGCTCCTGGGCCAATGCTTGGGGCTACCCTCCTCACTGTTGGCCTGCAACTTGCTCTCCACAGAGCTCAGCCAGTTGTTCACCAGGTACTGCAGGCTCTTTCTAAGCCCCGTGCACAAAGGGAGCTCCTCTTCTTGACTACCTGTCACCACAGTCCCCTATAACTCCAATTCGCTACCCAAGAACTACTATCAACTCCTTTCAATGGCCACTCTTCCAAGACAAGGAATTTCAAAGGCCCACAGGACCCAGAAATAGACCTGAGATGCGAATAAATGTGGAGATTTGTAGGGAGGGGGTAAGGACAGAGGAGTGACAGTAAAGGTTATTCCACCCGAATGCCTGCAAGGCACCACTAAAGTCCTTTGTGGCACGGCATTTGTTTTGAAAAATTACAAATTAGGCAATTGACCAGCACATAAATATTTATAAAAATTATAAATACAGCCATTAATTTCTTGGAAGACCTTTTTTAATCAAAAGAAGCACTTCAAATGCCTCAGAACATAAGTTATACATACATCAGGATTATTATATCTTGTAATTTTCTATAATATTTTGTTAGATTTTTATACTGTTTTTAAGTGTCTTGGCCACAGATAATTCAAGTTTGATATATATTTGGAAGGCTTCTTTAAAGGTTTCCTATGAGAGCTGCAATTTTTGACAATTTAGAAGTTATAGACACTTTTGGATGGTAACTTAGTAAAGTACCATATGCTGTGAACATGACTTTTTGTGTTTTCCAAGCAACACTGGGTATGTCTGTGAACCTGACCTGCACAAAGTAGTTATTTCAGTTCTTTAAGCCTCCTGCCAAACTGGTGTAGTAGCTTTTAATATGGGCAGATGGCCACTTCAAAACAAATCAAAATACAATATTTGGTCTCTAAACTTATCTGAATTCAAATCTTTGAATATGAATGCTAGCTCAGATTGAATTTCAGGTCCTGCTAATTGTTTTGATGTAGCTAGGCAGTTTGCATGAAACATGTTTGATCAAATAGCTAACACAGGCTTCACTTCTTAGTAAATAGTTGTGTAATGTCCCTTCTGGTGCTTTGTTAAATGTGATAACAAAGTTAAAATATAAAAGTATTAATCTGCAGCTCCTATGGAGTATAAAATGGACAAATATATATTAACAAGAAACACCAATCTAATTCAGAGCCTATGAATGCATGGTTTATTGCTGAAATCTGGCAGAACTTTTAAACGTTTAATCTGCAAGTAGCATCTAAGAGAAATATGATTAAGAGCAAAACATGTAAGTGCAGTGGTTTATAACAGAGTAGCTGTGGCACAAGCTTCAAGCAAACAAAAGTAATTACGTTGATTTAAGCGGTTCCTTCCCATTAATTCTCACACTTCCTTGTCTTTGGACTTTGTTGTCCTTTTTTCCTCCCTGCTTCCCTCCCTACTGTTTTCCCTCCCCCACCTCCTTCTTCTCCTCCTTCTTATTACTCTACCCCTCTTTTTCCCTTTTCTTTTTCCTAGTTGATCTCTTTAAAATGCAGTAGTGGGTTAAATAGATTGTTTAAGATTAACTAAATTGATTATAATTAAATAACTACATATGCCATTAACACAAGATGCTTTCCTGGGTCACTCAGAGCTAAAGAATGCAGATTTCATATATTAGATGGATCAATGTTTGTTGTAAATTATATCCATTATATTATAAGCATCATAATGAGAAAAATGCAAATAAAACTGCAGTCATTTTTCCCCCATAAGATTAGAAATATATGAAAAATTTGATAACACACCCCAGACTAAGAGGGAAAATAGACTAAAGGGAAAAAGACATTATTGTATTTAAATGGTACTATTCCTATGGAGTTTATTACATATGCTTTTATCTTTGGCTCAACATTCTCACTTAATGGAGTCTTTCCCGGGACCAAAGGTAAACTGACATTACTTTGGAATAATATAAGGCAAACATTTTTCAATGCAACAATATTTTTACTAGTGTAAAATTGGAATCAACCAAAAAAATTCAACAGTAGAATTCTTGTTGGGTAAATTGTAGAATCTTTGCACTATGTACTACTGCATTATGTATCTGTTAAAGGCATTGGGAGAATCTTTGTGTAGTTGATTATATATTGTATATTCTGGAGTATAAATTGTTAAGTAATAAAAGGAAATTGCAGGCTGGATGTGGTGGCTCATGCCTGTAATCCTAGCACTTTGGGAGGCCGAGGCAGGCGGATCATCTGAGGTCAGCAGTTCGTGACTAGCCTGGCCAACAAGGCAAAACCCCATCTCCACTAAAAATACAAAAATTAGCTGGGCGTGGTGGCAGGTGCCTGTAATCCCAGACACTTGGAAGGCTGAGGCGGGAGAATTGCTTGACCCCGAGAGGCAGAGGTTGCAGTAAGCCAAGGCCAAGATCGCACCATTGCATCCCATCCTTGGGGACAAGAGTGAAACTCTGTCTCCAAAAAAAGAAAAAAAAGCAAGCTTAAAGCAAAGTTTATTTAAGCATAGAAGCACAGTAATACACTCTCAGATGGAGAGCAAGCTGACTTCTACGAAGTGAAGTCAGCCCCTCTTTACAGAGCTAAAGGTGCTTGTATTGGGTTTGTGGGGAGGAGTGACAGGATGATGTCATTTGATCGGCAGTTTGTGGTTATATAACTAAAGTTAAATTGCACATGTTCTTACCCATAATTCATACAGAAAAGCCCACTTGGAGAGGGGGTAAAATCACATATAAATTTTATAATAATGATGGTATGATGAGCTTGGGGTTAACTTGAGGACACAGTTCCATATTACTGGGCATGTGCCACTTTAGGGAATTTCCACCTGTGCCCTAGTTTCTCTTTCTACAGGATGTGCTGGCCACAGACTTTACCACAAACTCCATCCATTAGGGTGAAGTTAGGGAGGTCTTAGGGCTGAATGTTGGTGGGCCAGGGGCTGTCTTAGTGACAGTCTTTCTGCTCTCCTCCTTTCATTCCCTCCCAGCTGCTAATATCTATTTAAGTACCTAACATTAGAAACACAGAACTACAAATAATCTTACACTACATTCAGTTATTCTTTGATCATAATAATATTGTTGTTACTAATTTGAAGTGATTATAAATATATTGCAAGGTAATTGAAATAGTCCAGTCCATCACTGTTTTTAATATCTAAAATGTTTCAATATTTTTAAAAGGTACAATTATGAAAATTAAAAAAAATAACAAAACTGCACTTTTCAGTTTAAAGTAGATATATTTTCAATTTAAAGTAGGTATAATATACATATTAAGTGGGTTTATTATTTTCCTCTTTAAAGTTAGTATATCCTAGCTCTCTCCATTGAAAAAGTCTGGAAGCAGTAACAACATAATAGCAATGAACACTCCTTATAAACAAGATATTGGTGTCTAAGTACCATCAAGAAAAGAAATCTAGGGTGCCTGGAAGTGATTCTATGTAGAAGCAGGAAATTACCTAGGCTGCTTTGTAGTGCCAGAGATAAAAAGCTATAAACATGATGGGGGCTGATCAGATAGACACAGGTGCCAGCCTGAAGGATTTTAGGTCTAAGATGAGATTTTTTGAGCTTCAAAAAGAATGATTAGGGCTGAGCGCGGTTGCTCATGCCTGTAATCTCAGCACTTTGGGAGACTGAGGCAGGTGGATCACGAGGTCAAGAGTTTGAGACCAGCCTAGCCAACATGTTGAAACCCCATCTCTACTAAAAAAAATAAAATAAAAATTAGCTGGGCATGGTGGCGCACATCTGTAATCCCATCTACTTGGGAGGCTGAGGCAGGAGAATCGCTTGAACTAGGGAGGCAGAGGTTGCAGTGAGCCAAGATCATGTCACTGCACTCCAGCCTAGGTGACAGATCGTGACTCCATCTCGGGGAAAAAAAAAAAAAGAATGGCTAAAATTTATTATAAAATATTTGAATATCTGAAAAGTATTGCATTTATAAGATATTTAAAAATTATGAAAAGAAAGAGAGCAAAACATTATTGAAAATGTTGATAAGATTGATGTTGACAAATAAAGTGAAAGAATTTAGCATTTAGTATATGTTCCTGATTTAAACTCTTTCTTACAGAAATCAAATAGCCATAGTGTAACAGGTAATGTTCTTCTTTATATAAGAATTCCAGATAAGAAATTCATTAAATAAATCAGAAAAAAATGAAAATATAAATTTGTAATTCCAAAGAAAAAGTTACCTAGGAAATGGTCACCAATGGATGGAAAGAACATAAAATATAGAATCAATAAGAAAGATTACAATAAAAAGAATTAGTTGTATACAACCCAAACTCACCAATCACTAATCAGTCTTAGCATTGGTAGTGTAAAAATATCATGTGACTCCTAGCATGATGCAATACAAAATGTTTCAGCATTCCAATGACATATAGCTGTCAGAATAAAATTAAAGCTGAATTTACCTGAAATGTTAAATTTACAGTAAATATGGGGGAGGGTGAGAAGAGAAGTTAAACATGCAACAAGAGAAACCGGCCAGGTAAACCCAGAAAATAAGTAATCTGTAGAAAAAAGCAACTAATTTCTTCAACAAGCAAAATGCATGGGTCCAAAGTATGTTAAAAGAAACTTAAATAAAACCTAAGAGAATAACAACAACAAAAAAAAAATACAGTGAGTAGAACTTTTATAATCCTGATTCAAATTTTAATATTGTAAAAATATAATTTTAGACAACTGGAGAAATTTGATTAGAAATGTGCTTTGAAAGAATTATTGGAGTTTTTATATGAGTACAAAAATGGCATTGTGGCATTATGCCTGGATTACTGTATAAAATTCAGAAAAATGAAATGTTACATTTAGAAAGCATTACTGTTGAAACTAGATGATATACAATTTCATATTACACAGTGTAAATAGAGTTTTGTGCACTTTCTGTATTTATCTTTCAACTTTTGATAAAAAGTTAAAACAACAGAATAATTTGGTATCATTTTATATACATATTGTATTCATTCTTATCATTTTTATTTATGCTTAGTCCTACTACTAAGTACTAAGTACTGATAAAATTTATATTAGAAAAGTTCAATATTTATTTCTCAAATATATATTCACTTGATTCCCACCTTCTCAGTTTGTTTCTTGTCCTCTCTAGTCTCTCTGGGCCAAATGAGTAGGGTTCAATTTGTTTTGCCACATCCAATCTGTTACTCTTGTTCTTCAGATTGACTTAACAGTTAGATTTGTAAAATGTAGATATTATTATGTATGTTCCATGATTAGACATTTACAGTTGTATAATTTGATTCACTTCCATTTACTTCACCTCAGAAAACACTTACTCAGCATCTATGTTTCAAAATTGCATGCAGACATGAGTTTCATAAAACCTATACTGGGCTACATCTTACCAAGTCTACTACCCTAATCTTGGCCTTTTAAGTGGACCTTAAGTGTCAGTTAAATCACAGCTTCCTCATCTGATGGTCAAACCAGGCCCCATCTTATCATCAGTTTCCAGTTTTCTAAACACACCAAGTTCTTCCAAGTATCCACACCTTAGAACATTCAAATTCTTTGCCTGGATTCTGCCCGTTCTTTCTCTTTTCTATTTGAACACTGTGCATTATCCTTAAGATCTAAGTAAAATGACAGCTCTTATCCCTTTCTCAGAATGAATACCTCTCTTGATACCATGTTTTTCTTCTTCTTTTTAGTAATTATCTCAATAGCTCACTATAGCAGCTGTACCAATCCCCTCGTAAGCACAGGCATTCTTCATTGTTAATATTCACATTCCCATGGCTTAACACATTGCCTTGCATACTAATAGGTGCCCCCCAAATTTTGAATTATTTGAATAGAATATTAAAGTTTCAAAACTTCAACTGCATTTGATTTATTCAGGCACAGCTTTCACTCAAACATAAAATATTTAGTGATTTTGCATTGTTAGGTCATCTACCTGAGTCATTTATCAACCCTAATATGTTTGAAATATTACTGTGTTTTGTGACTTGCTTCTGCTTTAAATTCTTTTCCTCCTCTTCTGAATTATGTTTGTTTTCAATATCTGTTTATGTATTTCTGCATTTTTTATGTAAAGGCATAGTAGAAATAAAATAATACTAGGTATCAATAAATATTTTTTCATTGTAGCTGAAAACTTGGACAAGACAAGCACATACAAGCTATAAGTATCAATACCTTGAATTTAATGAAAACAGGTTATTTTTTCACTAACTTGTTTTCAAGATATTGATACTTATGGTACATATGTTTAGTCTTTCCCAAGTATTCAGCTACAATGAAAAAATATTGATACTCAGTATTATTTTATTTCTACTTCATCTTTCTACAAAGACATGCAGGACTACATTAATAGATATTGAAAAAGGTTATTGAAGCAATAACCTGTTTTCATTAAATTCAAGATATTGATGCTTACAGCATTTTTTCACAAATATAACAAAAATCTATCCAATATGTTGAACCATACGAATTGCTATTTGTGTACGTAAATAGTGGTCAAATATTATCATTTTCATAGAGCCCAGTGTGATGTCTAACTACACCTCTGTTTCTCACAATATTTTAGTATTCAGTAAGTTCAAACCTCATCATCAATGTTGTCTTTTAAATATTAGAGAAATTTTGATATTTGTTTTAATTAGTAAAATTAGAACACACATTACGAAATGTTAGCTTCACATGTATTATATTTGTGAAAACCCTAAAATAATTATAAGATACAAGATAGCAAATGAAATTCAGAAGAAACATTAGTTCAAATTGACAATAATGTTAAATATAAAATTTCAAAGCAAATATTTATAAAATATGTCTTCTACTCTCTGTTTTCTTATTTTTTTGAAATCTTATATTTACAATTATAGTTATATGCATTTAAGGAACAGAGTCAGCTGATTTACCATAAACAATTGAAAATTAATTAATGAAAATATGTCTCTCAATTTTTACTATCTTGCTATGGATAAATTTAATCAAAACTAACAAGATTTTCAATTTGTAAATACTGTAATGAAATTGACCATGATTTTAATGCACTGAATGAGTATATAATGTAAAAATAAATTGTAAACTTTATTATATATATTTGTATTATAAATCAATAGCTAAGATGCATGGAATGTTGATAGGAGTGATTATCATATTGGAAATCTGACTACCTAGTTTCTCATCCAATTATTTAATTTTCAAAACCCTTTTGGGATACCGAAGTTAAATCACTATTTAAAAAAATACTATGCTTTTTGCATGCACTTTTTTCAAAGATAAAGTTATAACCTGTCATAGCTTGCATTTCTAAATTTAGAAATAAAATATTTTCAGACTTTTATTATCTTGATCATTTTATTTTGAACTTTTTAAAAAATTAAAATTAAAATAAAGAAATATGTTTTATCTAGTAATAATAGTCTTTATTGACTTAAATCAAAATAAATGTTCAGTGATTATTTTTAATGATACTCCTTATTGGGAGACATAAATTATGGAAAACTAATCAAACCTAGAGAAGGAAAATTACATCCTTTTACTTGTAATACATTTATTGATAAAGGTGTGTGATGTGGTGCCAAGATGTGCGACTAAATGATTTTATAGGTATATATAAAAATTATGGAAATAAAATGAAAAAAAACCGGAACATTTATTTCAGAAGATATAACTAAGGGTTTCTGAGATAGGATTACAGATCTAGCCCCTCCCTATTTGTAACAAAGCTATAGTGACTTATCTTTTACTAGAAGAGCTGGGGGATTTAAACATAGAATAAGTGGATGATTTATTTCAGAAGCACAAATATATAAACATTGATGATAACTTTTTTTCAGAAGTGAAGCAATATTTAAAATTCATAACTTCAAATGTTAGACATGAGTGTTATCATACTTTCACGCTAAAGTTATGTAAGTCTTACTCTTTATTGTATATTCCCAGTGAAGTGTAATCTTTATTTTTATTGTAGCTATTTTCATGAAAGCATATTTTTATACAAAACAAAATTTCCTAAGTAAAAAATATAATTAATTAAATTAAGAGCACATTTGAGTTGGAGTGTGGCTATTGAAACTAGGAAGGCATAATTAGGGCATGATCCACTTCGTGGGAATTTAGTCTAATTGAAAGCCAATTATTTTATTTACTTGTAATTCACATGATGCACTTGTTAATAGATGCAGCTTCTAACCAAGTATCTAGGAGGGAACGAAGAGTCTTGGGTCGGTGATATTTGCAAATTCAGTGGTATAAAGCAAGGAAAAAGAACATTTTCATACGTTAAAAAATGTTTGAAGAAATATTTATATTTCTGGTTCCTGATTGGTAAATTGCTTCCATTCTAAACTTTTTATATTAATTCAACAGTAAGTATCTTTATACCATAAATCACTATCAATTATAAATAAGTAGAGTTTTACTGTTCAAATATTTGTTTTTATCAAGTAATATATGCATGTGCCATAAAATAATCACATGGTGATGAAGATCTTATAAAGAAAATTAGCACTCTTGTAAAACCTTCTCACTTCCAAGTTTAGCCTCCAGAGGAATTCTTTAAAAATTGCTTATATTTCAGTTATTTATCCTCTATAACAATAGATACTGTTGTATGTTATTTTCTTAACTTAGCAAAATTAGATGTTTGTTTGTTTATTTATTTATTTATTTTTATTTTATTTTTTGAGACAGCATTTCACTCTTGTCACCTAGGCTGGAGTGCAGTGGCATGATCTTGGCTTACCATAAACCCCATCTCCCAGGTTCAAGCTATTCTCCTGCCTCAGCCTCCCAAGAAGCTGTGATTACAGGCATGTGCCACCATGCCTGGCTAATTTTTTTGGATTTTTAGTAAAGATGGGGTTTCACCAGGTTGGCCAGGCTGGTCTTGAACTCCTGACCCCAGGTGATCTGCCTGCCTCAGCCTCCCAAGATAACAGTTATGAACTCCTTGATATTAATATATATTTTGCCCTTACTCAAATCCTCTCCTCTATCTCTGTGTTTGACAATTGTTTTAGTTTTTTCTATCAATTATTGTAAGATAAACAACATGATTAAACTATAATCATTTTATCATCTTTTGATTCACTTTTAACCTTATGTAATATAAATCCTCTTCTCTCTCTACCAAATTTTCTCCATATTTTATTTTGTATCAGTTATACTTTTATATTTTTGTAGTTCTTTCTTTCATTCCATCCTTTAAGCATAACATTGCCTTTCCTTGACCTGAACAATGACTCACAATTGAAAGCCAATAAACAACATTTGCAGTATTATTGTTGTGAACATATTCGAGAATGAATACCAATTACCTTTCCATCTATATGTGTTCAAAGTCACAATTCAAATACCACTTGTGAGACAATGTTACATTAATAGGATTTCTTCCATTGGTAAAAATTGTGATGTTTGGAAAATAATTTTCATCCTCAGTTTCTTTCATTTCTAGAGTTCATATTGACCATCTAAACAATCATATTAACGGCTTTCATCCTCAACATCTGTCAACCTTAAGCCACGCTTCTCATTCTGTTCAATGTCTTTTTTTTCTTTGATAAGTCCTACTAATGATCTGTACTGGAATTTCATTACTTGCTGTATTGATTTTCTCTCTCTTTTTTTCCTTTTAATGTATATTTTCAAAAATTTCTTATTGGCCAGGTGCAGTGGCTCATGCCTGTAATGCCAGCACTTTGGAAGGCTGAGGTGGGTGGATCATTTGAGGTCAAGAGGTCGAGAACAACCTGGCCAATATAGTGAAACCCTGTGTCCACCAAAAATACAAAAAATATTAGCTGGGCTTGGTGGTATATGCCTGTAATCCTAGCTACTAGGGAGACTGAGGCAGGAGAATCGCTTGAACTTGGGAGGCGGAGGTTGCAGTGAGCTGAGATCGTGCCACTGCACTCCATCCTGGGCTACAGTGTGATGAGACTGTTTTTTTTGTTTTTGTTTTTGCCTTTTTGTGTGTGTGTGTGTGTTTTTTAATTAAAAAAAGAAAGAAAAACTTTCTTTTAGTGAATTTATGTACCAGTTTTTTTTTTTTCTTCCCTTAAGCTCATAATCAAAGATCTTCCTAAGGTATGACACTAAAATGTGACATTTCTGAGCCTTGGATGTTAAAAAAATATATTTTTTAGTTTGTTTTTACACATCATTGATATTTTATAAGTGGATAAGAATTAAATACGGTATGAATTGTATTTTTTTAGGTTGCTTTATTTTTTCATGAACCTTTCCCTTGAGGTTTTTAGGATTTTTTTTTAACATGAATGTTGTCAGTGCAAAAAATTAGTTCTCGATTTTAGCTTGGTGTATCCCCATATATATAGTAAGATGTTTGAGTCTCCTATTTAGTTTATTTTTATATTTTAAACATCCTTGTCTTTCTTGTCCCCTCTACTTCCTCTCCATTAAAAAATAACATCAACTTTATTGTCAGGCTTTTGTAGAACTTCTATTTTGCCAAAATACATTTACTTTTTTTTTTTAATCTCTACCTTTTTTTTCTCTGTTTCTAATGATTATCATAAAATCTTTTATGACCACAGACGTCTATTCATATTTCTCAAGCAAAGATTGCACTGGACAAAGGTAACTGTATTAGGACTATCGCAATAGTGGAGAGAAGCCAGAACACAGTCTGAGCGCAACTCCATTGAACCAAAAATCTCGGGAGCTTTTAAGAGTTGAGATGAAGGAATTACATGCTATGTGTGTTTGCTAACTGACATACCCAAAGTAAGGGTCAACTTTCTATCTTCATAACAGGAAGCAGTTTGACAACATAAAACAAGATCCCTCAAAAAGTTAGGATCCTACTCTCCCAAAAAAACAGGAGCTATGAGTGCTAGCTTCCTGGATGATTAATTTCAACGAGATAGCTCCCAGGTATTTGAAAAGACTTTTCTGGGTTGTAAACTGCCAAGAGGCAGTTTTAAAACATGTAAATCTCTAAAGGTACAGAGAAGGAATTTACAATTGCAAGTTTTCTACATAAAGATTCTAAGAAAAGGGAGTGTGAAGTCAGGAAGAAATCTGTCTAAAGTTGAGTCAAGCTGAGGGACACGTTAAGGCAATCTTAGTCAATATATCTCTAAAAGCACACTTAGTAGGCTTCCCTCAGTTGATTGCTAAATAGATCTGTCTTCTGGTTGGGTCTGTACTCATATGGGGCGTAGTGGAACAAGAGGAGGCACAGAGTAATATTTTCTTTGGACTTGGTCATAGGAGTCAGTCTAAGTCATAACAATACAAACATCAAACTGGCAAAATTCTTGTTCTATGATATCAACGATAAGACTACAATTCTTATTTAGCATTTATATGTTGCTATTTGATTTTTTAAATAAAATGTTATTTTTGAGGTAATTATAGATTCACATGCAGTGCAGTCATAAAAAATAATACAGTGGGATATCATGTATCCTATACCCAGTTTCTGGATATGGTGATGTCTTATCTTGCAAGATGATGGTACAAGATCACAACCAGGACATTCATATATTGGCATCGTTAAAAAGGAGAATAATTCTGTCATCACAATGGTTGCTTATGTGGCCCCATTATGATACACCCTCCACTTTATAACCCTTGACAAATAATATTCTGTTCTTCATTTCTATAATTTTGTCATTTCAGGAATGTTATATGAATAAAATACTACAGTATGAATACTACAGTATGTAAACTTTTACATGTTTTTTTCCTCAATTTTTTCACTTTTTTTTTTTTTTTTTTTTTTGAGATAGAGTCTCACTCTGTCACCCAGGCTGGAGTGCAGTGGTGTGATGTCGGCTGCCTGCAACCTCCGCCTCCCGGGTTCAAGCGATTCTTCTACCTCAGCCTCCCGAGCAGCTGGGACTACAGGCGCGCACTACCACACCGAGCTAATTTTTGTATTTTTAGTAGAGACAAGGTTTCACCACGTTGGCCAGGATGGTCTGGATCTCTTGATCTCGTGATCTGCCCACCTCAGCCTCCCAAAGTGCTGGGATTACAGGTATGGGCCACTGCGCCTGGCCAATTTTTTTCACTTTTAAAAAATCAACTTACTTCTCTGAAATTCATTCCAGGTTTTAGTGTCTATCAGTAGTCCATTCCTTCTTACTCTTGTGTAGTATTTGGTGGTATGGATTGAGGTACTGTAGTCTGTTTAACCTTTCACCCACTGAAGAACATATGAGTCATTGTTTGTCTGGGGCTATCACAAATAACTAAACAGTCATGTACCGGTTTTATGTGAACATAACTTTTCATTTCTCTAGGATAAATCCTCTGGGGTACAATTGCTGGATCATACATAATTGCACATATTTTTCTTAAGAGACTGCTAAACTGATTTCTATAGTGGCTGCACTATTTTGAATTTCCGTCAGCAATATATGAGGGATTCAGAATCTCTATATCCTTCCCAGCATCTGGTGGTGTCACTCACTATAGGGATATTATTTTGGCAATTATAAGTGTGTAATAAAAGCTCATTGTGGTTTTAATTTGCATTTATCTAATGGTTAATGGTGTTGGTAAAATATCTCTCCATGTCTTTTGTCTGGTTTCTAATTATCCACCTGATTATAGTTAATAATTATTTTATTAAGTTTTTAGAGTTCTTTACATATTGTACATCATAGCCCTTTGTCAGATATATGATTAACAAACATGTCTCCCATTTTAAAGCTTGTATTGTGCCATTAACAGAGGCTTTCACAGAGCAAAAAGTTTTAATTTCAATAAAGGCCAATTTATCAACTATTTCTATGCATTGTATCCCGGTGTCAAAATCGAAGAACACTCAAGATTCCAAAATCTTCTCCCAAGTTTTTTCTTGAAATTTTATAGTTTTCCATTTTATATTTAATTCCATAATCAGTTTTGAGTTAATTTTCATATACTGTATAATACTTATGTAAACGCTCACTTTTTTGTGTGCGTTTTGCTCTAGCACCATCGGTGAAAAAAGGCTATCTTTTCTCCATTGAATTCTTTTGGCACTTTTGTTAAAAATCAACTGGGCATATTTTGGGTCTATTCCTGAATTGTCTTCTCTTTGTCGTTTAGCTATGAGTCTATTCCTCCATCAATACCACATAGTCTTAATTACTATAGCTAATAAAAGAAATCTTAGAATTGGATAGACTATTTTCTCCCACTGTATTCTTCATTTTGAAAATTATTTAAGATCTTTTAATTCCTTTGTTGAATTCCATATATATTTTAGAATAATATTGTCTATAACTACAAAAACTCTTACTGGTGTTTTGATGGGAATTGCCTTAAATTCATAAATTTTATTAATCTTGGTAGAATTGACATTCTTGCTATTATTACTGGCTAAATTGTGCCCCATCCTGTCACGTAATTCATGTATGACCACCTGATATGGTTTGGCTTGTGTCTCCACCCAAATCTCATCTTGTAGCTCCCATAATTCCCATGTGTTGTGGGAGAGACCTGATGGGAGATGATTGAATCACGGGGGCAGGTCTTTCCCATGCTGTTCTCATGATAGTGAATGGGTTTCACGAGATCTGATGGTTTTAAAAACTGGAGTTTCTCTGCACAAGCTCTCTTTGCCTGCTGCCATCCATTGAAGATGTGACTTGCACCTCCTCGCCTTCTGCCATGATTGTGAGGCCTCCCCAGCCATGTGGAACTGTAAGTCCAATAAACCTCTTTCTTTTGTAAATTGCCCAGTCTCAGGTATATCTTTATCAGCAGCGTGAAAATGGACTAAAACACCACCAAAGCTCAGAATGTGACTGCATTTGTGGATAGCGTCTTTAAAGAGGTAATTCAGTTAAAATGCAGTAATTCAGATGAGCCCAAGTCCAATATAACTGGCGTTCTAAAAAGAGTAAGGACAGAGACACACACAGAGGAAAACCATATGGGGGCACAGAAGGAAAGAATGACCATATAAAAGACAATAGGAGAGAGACTTCAGAAGAAGCCAACCCTGCTGACACCTTGATTCCTGACTTTTAGTCTTCAATATTGTGAGAAAATAAATTTCTGTGGTTTAAGCCATTTAGTCTGTGGTAATTTGTTATGGCAGCAGTAACAAACTAAAACACCAACGAATCTTCCAAACTATGAACACTGTATGTCTTTCCATTTGTTTCATCTTCTTTGATTAATGTCATCATTTTTAGACTGCAAGTCTTGTTCATGTTTTGTCATTTTACACGTATTTCATTTTTTTGAGCAGTTATAAATGTCATTAAACTTTTAATTTCAGTGTCCATGTCTTAATTTTGTGTATATAGAAACACAAATAATTTTATTTGTTATCTTGTGTTGTTCACCTTACTGAATTTATTAATCTCAGGGGGATTATTTTGCACGTGTACGTGTATGACTACATTTTCTAGATAGAAAATCATTTCATCTGCAAATAAAGACAATTTTATTTCCTTTTTTTATATCCATATATCTTTTAATTACTTTTTTTCCCTTAAATTACTTTAATTACTTTTTTTTGTTCATAGTATGAGAAGTCCTTGTCAGAACTTCTCATACTATGAACATGGCACATGTATACGTATGTAACAAACCTGCACGTTGTGCACATGTACCCTAGAACTTAAAGTATAATTTAAAAAAAAAAGAGTAGTGAAAGTGAATATCCTTCCCTTGTTTCTGATGTCGGGGGAAAGTAATTCTGCCTTTCACTATTAAGTACAATGTTAGCTGTAGGTTTTTTGTTTTTGTTTGGTTTAATTTTCATTCTTTTTTTGGTAGATGCTCTTTATCAAGTTGAAGAAGTTCTTCTCTATTCCTATCTTTCTCAGAGTTTTACTTACAATCAGTAATGGGCTATAAAATTTGTCAAATTCTTTTTCTGCATTGAATTATTTGATCATGCAATATGTTAGGTTGTATATTTTGTGAATTACATTAATATTTTCCAATCACTGAACCAGCCTTGAATTCTGAGATTAAATGTCATAGTATATAATTATTTTTATATATTGCTATATTGTATTTATTCATATTTTTTGTTAAAAATTTTTGCATTTATTTCATGAAGTATATTGGTCTCTAGTTTTTTTGTGTGTGTATTGTCTTTTTAAAATTTTGGTATCACTGTAGCTTTCTAAAATGAATTAGAAAATGTTTCTTCCAGGACAGGTGGTGTAGCTCACGCCTGTAATCCCAGCACTTTGGGAGGCCCAGGCAGGTGGATCACCTGAGGTCAGGAGTTTGAGACCAGCCTGACCAATATGGAGAAACCCCGTCTCTACTAAAAATACAAAATTAGCCAGGCATGGTGGCTCATGCTTGTAATCCCAGCTACCCGGGAGGCTGAGGCAGGAGAATCACTTGAAGGCAGGAGGTGGAGGTTGCAGTTGGTCAAGATCGCGCCACTGCACTCCAGCCTGAGCAAGATCATGCCATTGCACTCCAGCCTGGGCAACAAGAGCGAAAATCCCTCTCAAGAAAGAAAAAAAAGAAAATGTTTCTTCCTCTTCTATTGTCTAAAAGAGATTTTGAATAATTTATGTTAATTTTTCTGTAAACATTCGATAGAAGTCTCCAGTGAAACTACATGCAACTGGAGATTTGCCTTTTAAATTACAAAATCAGTCCTCTCACACGTTATAATACTATGCAAATGATTTATTTTACAGTGGGTGTGTCAAATTGTGTGTTTTTAAGGATTTGGTTCATTTTATTTAAGATATATTTATACGTGTAGGATTGTTTATAGTATTCTTAGTATAATTTTCAAGTCTGCAAAGTCTATAGTGATATCCCCATTTCAGTTTTGATATTCATAATTTTTATCTTTTTCACTTTGTCAGATTTGCTAGAGGTGTGTCAACTTGATTGTTTTAAATAATCAGTTCTTTGTTTCTTTGAGTTTTTAATTTTAATATTACTGTTATTATCTTTGTGATGATTAAAATTTTCTATGTTTAATTTATATGGATACATAATAGTTGTACATATTTATGATGCACATGATATTTTGAAACAAGCACACAATGCGTAATAATCAAATGAGGGTAATTGGGATATCCATTAACTCAAGGATTTATCATTTCTTTGTCTTAGAAACATTCGAATTTCGCTCTTATTTTAAACTATGGAATAAATTACTTAATATTATTAACTATAGTTTTATGGCTTTGGGCTTATTTTGCTCTTCTGTTTGCTCTTTTCAAATGTATACTGTTATTGCTGCTCACTTTCATTTCAGCATTGCTTTTGCTGTGTCCCAAAAAGCTTGATACTTTGTATTTTCATTTTTATGCGATTCAATTAATTTTTAAGTTTTCCTTAAAATTTCCTTTTTAACACATGGATTATTTAAAGTGTGCTGTTTCTTTCTCAAGTGTTTGGAGAATTTACTATTATTTTTCTGTTATTGTATTCTACCGTCATTGTATTGTGGCTGGATAACTTGTGCATAATTTTAACTCAAATTTGTTGAGGTAAGTGATACAATGAAAAACTTGTTTTATGGCCCAGTTATGCTCCATCAGGGTATGGAATCCAAGGGGTGCTTGAAAAGAACATGTGCTCTGAAGTTATTGGTGGAATAGTCTATAAATCTCAACATTTTCCTCTTGGTTCATTAAGTTTTGAATTCTTCTATATCCTTGCTGATTTTCTGTCTAGTTATTGATCAGTTGTTGAGGGAGGGGAGTTGAAGTCACCAACTGTATTTGTGGTCCTCTTTATTTCTTCTGTCAGTTACAAGTTTTGGCTTTATGTATTTTGCTGCTCTACTATTTGCTACATGCATATTTTGAAGTACCATGTGTCATGGGTGGATTGGTCCATTTCTCATAATAAAATTTCTTCTCTGCCCTTGTAATTTTGTTTGCTCTGAAGTCTATTTAAATATTCTGATACCAACACAGTGATTCCCACTTTCTCTTTATAAAATGACTTTTTAATCCTGCTTTTCAATAGGTCTACATCATTATATTTGAACTTTCTTGTAGAGAGCATGTAATTGAGCAATGTTTTTAACCCACTATATCAATCTTTCTTTTAAATAACACATCTATACCATTTGTATTTTATGTAATTATCGCTGTTTTTAAGCTATTTTTCTTGTTTTCTGTATTTTCTTCATTTTTCCTTCTTGCTCTGGCTTCTTGTGATTATTTAAACATTTTCCTTTAGAATTCCATTTTGCTTTGGCTGGTATTTTTCAGTGTGTCAATTACTGTATAGTTTTAGTGGTTCTACTAAAAATTGTGAATATATATATTATATATGTATATATATTTTATATATAATAGGAATGTATATTTAATATATAAATTTTAGTATATTGTATATACATAGTATTTATATATAACTATATATTGTATATACATAGTATTTATATATAATTATATATCATATTATATTTATATAGTTACATTAATATGATATATTATTGTTGTATGTATAATATGATGTATATTGTTACATTAATATGATATATTATTACATTAGTATTATATTAATTAATTAATATATTATTTATATAATATTAGTAATATAATATTAATGTGTTAATATATTAATAGAATTAATATATTCTATTAGATTAATTCTAATAGAATTAAATTCTAATAGAATTAATATATTCTATTAGGTTAATTCTAATATAATTAAAATATTCTATTAGATTAATTCTACTAGAAGTAATAATAATTAATAGAATTAATATATTAATAGAATATTCTATTAATATATTATATAACATCTATGCAATATATAATAATATATATATGATATATAATACTATATACAATATCTATAATGTACATTACAATATTAATTTCATATATATAATATATCATATAATATATTAATATAGTATATTATGTAACATATTAATATATTATATGATATATAATTATATTTATATATTATATTAATATATTACTATTTACATGCTGTAGTAATATATTAATATTAATACATTATATTATATTAATATGATATGTGTGATATAATATGATATCTATAATAAAATAATATATTAATATAGTGTATTAGTATTACATGAATATAATACATTATATTAATATGATGTATTAATTATATATGATTTATACAATATATACAATTGTATAATATGTATATACCAGGAAAATATATGTTGTATAGTGTATCTAAATTTTAGTATAGTATATAGTATATATAAAGGTATATAATATATACTAGGCATATAGTATCTATTATGTATTACATATAAATTTTATATAATACATAAAATATAAAAATGTATAATATATAAAATATAAATATTATATATAAACTTGGCACAGTTTAGTAGTGTCATTCGTTTACCAGTTTGGATGAGATATAGAACTTTACCTACTATTAAGTTATTTTCCACTCTTAAATTTTTAAGATAATTATCTTAAATATTTTCTTGATATATATTTGCAGTCAAACTAAATAATTTTAAAATTATTGCTTCAATTATTAATCACAATTTAGAAGACTCAAGAGAATAAAGTAGTTCTCTTGTACATACCCATATTTTTGCTCAATGTACTTTCTTCTGATGTTTCAAACTTTCTTTTATCATTTCATTTCTGTTTGGTAAAAAATTTAACTTTCATTTTCATTGGGGCAAAGTAGAGAAAAACATGATTTTGGTATGACATCTTTAATGAGATACACCACAGTTTTATTTCTATTTTGAATGATTTTATGTCTTCTGCAAGATTATTTACAATGAAGAAAATTGAAATATATATGTAATTACTACTAAATCAGCAATATAGTTATCATGTTCTGAAAAGTTGGTATTTTGTAAGCTAAAAACACATGGGGAAAATAATTTTAATGTTTAAAATTGGAATAACAAAATATTATTAAAAATTTACTCCAGCCAGGATTTGCACTAGCAAACTTAGGATACATAAAATACAGCTGTATATATAACCCATTCAAATGGTTCTGAATTGTTTTCTTGTGAGAAATTCTAAATGTGTGTCTCTCATTCAGATCTCACTTCTGATATGTATTGTACTTCCCATTTGCTGATTTCATTGGAAAACTTACAATGATCACAAACATGACATTTCTGAAACTGAATTTAATCTCTACCCCCAAATTCAATTTTCTTCAGTCTTCACCATTTTAGTAAATGGCACAGCTAATGACCACTTATCTGAAATAAATTTTTTGACTTTTCACTTAATTTTGAATCATCAGTTTCATAATTTCCATCATCATTTATGTTAATTCCACCACAAATATATATCTTGAATTTACTTCTACTCATTTCTGCTGCCAGCACTATAGTTTAAAGCATCAGAATTGGTAAAAAAAAAAAAAGTAATATTAAATTATCTCCCCACTTTTGTTCTTGCCCTTTTCAATCTATTCTTCACCAAATACTGTATGCGTTAAGCTATTCCGATAGAGACACATTTGTATATACACATCTATCTCCCTGTCGATCTATATCTTACATCTATACCTCTCTCTCTCTGTCTCTCTCTCTTCATGTGTATACATGTGGATCCTAAAACTTAAACAAAATTGGGAGTTATATTTAAAGTATATAAATGCAAATTACAAATGGGAAAGTAAGCGCTGAAGTAAATACTTTTATAATGGAAAATCCTCCACAACATAATATACTATAAACTTCAAAAAAGGCAGAAAATAGCATGACATTTTTATTGGTTAATGCCAGCATACCTCATATATCTCTATTGTTCATATTTTTAAAGGAATACTTATTTGATCACGCTTACACTTGATGGCAATTTTGTAATATAATTTTCTACAGAGAGAATAGGTAAATCTTTTTATTACTGTGGTTGATTTTTTTAACTTAATAATTCAGAAAAACTGTACAATGTAGTATTGGCAAAATCTTCTAAATTTTCAGAGGTTTCGTCAAGCTTTGCATACTCTCTGTTAAGGAGAGGACTTTAATTTTAAATAGGACATCAAAATGAACTAACTTCTGCTTGGTGTTTTCTAAATCTGATGATTGAAACAATTTTCCATTGGCTAACTTCTGTTTTCATGCATTTATAGCATTTTTCCTTAATCATTCACATGTCTGTGGTACCAGGTGTTTAAGACAAGTTCAAAGAACAATAGGACTTCATCTGCTTCACATTCATGACCTAACACCAGGTGACTGAGAAGTAGGAGTATTTCTGGGAGCCATGTCTATCCTGAGTCATCTGGCATTCATAGCATTTTCTTTTCCTTTTGCATGTAAGTCTTTAAATGGCTAATTCTTCACCATCTTTTATATTTCACTTCCAATGTCATCTCTAGAGAGAAATTCATAACTTTCAATTCCAAATTACTCATGCTACTCTTGAGTTTATCCCCTTAGAAAATAATGGCACTTACCACCATCTGACATCATTTCAATCTCTCTTCCTCTCTTATGAATCAAACCTTGTAAAAGGAGAAGAGTTTTCTCTGTTGTGCGTTTTGTTCCCCCAGACTTGAGCAGTTTCTAGTGTATATTATGTATGACTAAATATAAATGTGAATACATTTGTATAGTTGTGTTTCTACTGTGTCTTACTTACAATAAAGTTTTTTATGAGAGATAAAATGAAGGGGAAAATATTCCTCCTTAATCTCAATGTTTATCATTAAAAAAACTCCTTGGAAATTTTTCGAAAATTAGTAGTTTCAATTATTGCTATTAACAACTTGGTTTAAGGAGAAAATATGCTCATTTGTGGTGAGACTTCCACAGTAAGCAGGCAAACCTGAACCAGAAAAGAAATTTAGCTCCTGGTAATAAGTTGTGATGTTCAAGATAAAAGTACATATTCTTTAAGCATGACTCAATTAACATGTCTAGTATGAATTTTCATATTTTATCCCTTTGATTTTTTTCACATGGTACCATCACAATAGTTTATTTATGAAAACATTTTTCTCAGAAAAAGATATCTCTCTGGCTCACTCTCATTTTTACTTTTTACTCTGATTTAATGAATTTGAAATCTTTATGTAATGCTAGGTGTCCTATTTAATATTAATGTAATTTGTACAATTAAAAAATGCAAATATTTTGTCAATAATAAAATCTGGTAAATAAAACCTAACAATTATTAAATAAGTATGAATAAGTTTCAAAAACCTTCACTATAATTATCAAAGTTTAAAGATCAGTAAAACTTAAAAAAGCATAATTCCTGAGGGCAAAAAAAAAAAAATAGATAACAATCTCCCAGGATACCATCATTTTTCTGTTCTATGTATACTACTCATTGAATCATGTCTAGTTTTCAATCCGTGAACTAAAAAATCAAAGACTTTGCAATTCCACTCATGTGTATGCATGCACACACATAGCTGTATACCTATACTAAAGAAACACTTATATGTTTTCACTTGTAGATATGTACAAGAATGTTCAGGCTGGGTGCAGTGGCTCCTATGTATAATCCCAACACTTTGGGAGGCTGTCAGGAGGATAGCTTGAGGCCAGGAATTCCGGATTAGCCTAGGCAACACACTGAGATCCCATATCTTTATAAAAATTTGGTTAGCTGAGCACGATGGTGCATGCCTGTAGTCCCAGCTACTCAGGAAGCTGAGGCAAGAGGATCACTTGAGCCCAGGAGTACCGAATTGCAGTGAGTTATGATTGAGCCACTGCACTCCAGGCTGGGCAGCAGAGCAAGACACTGACCCTTAAAAAAAAAAAGTTTACAAAGGCAAGCCCAAATGTCCATCTACACAAATATGAGTAAACTACTCCTAATATATTCCTTAAATAGAATTCTATAGAGTGGTGAAAATAGCTATAGTTAATATGATATTTGGATCTTAGAAATGTAATACTGAATGAAAAAGCAAGTCTCAAATGTCAACTTTATAAATTTCCAAAATACGCCATCTGAAACAGTGCTTATGCAGTTTAGTTATTAAGAAAAACTTTTTTTTTTAATCAAGAAAGTAGTTGTCGTAGAAGAGGAGTCCAAGAGTGTGAGGCCAGGAGTCTGAAACCAGCCTGGGCAACCCATTGAGACCCACCTCTATAAAAGAAAATAATAATTATTATCTGAATGTGGTGGTGCATGCCTGTAGACCGAGCTACTCAGGAGGCTGAGATGGAAGGATTGTCATTACTACTTTATTACTGCTGCCAAGGTAGTGTGTGCCTGAGAGGTTAACTATAATTGCACATTCTATTTGTTAAGCTAGGCAGTGGATTCTATTTCTTAAACAGGGCAATGAATTCACCCTCTTATATTTTTATGCTCCTCAATATACATATGCATTGCACATTTTTGCTTATTTTATGAAAACTTAATGTTTTATATTCTGTTAAAAAAGTAAAGGATGAAACATTTTAAATTCCTGCAAAACAGAAATGCACTATTGGATATGTATTTTCCATAAATTTTTACTTCTATTTGTTGTAACATATAATACTTATTAGAGTTAAAATGAAATGAGTGATTTGCAGCAACACATCTACTCAGAAAAATACTATTTCTAGCATGATCTAATATATTATGTTTTTGTATTAATAATGTGCCTTAGAGTAATGAGCTCCATTTATGAAAGCAAAAGTAGAATAAAGAAAAGTGAAACCTGTTTAGCGTTGGCATGAAAAATTAAATTATGACAAAATGAAATTATCAGAGATGTAAAGTATAGATGAAATATGGAAAATATGTGTCTACTACAAGAACAGTTTCCATGGATATATTAAATGCCAGGTTTAGATTTATGAATAAAAATTACAATTCTGAACAACACCAGGAATATATTTTTCAGTTTCCTCCACACTTTTCTTGATTATTTTATTCTTCATACCCTTCACCTTTCCTAGCAATGAGATTATACTACCTTGGAAGAAGTAATAAATAGGGATAATATTTGAGTTGTTTCATTAAAATATTATAAATTAAAAGCCATTGATATTAATCTACATCAGTTCAATTATTATCTGAGTTTAAATAACATAGCAGTGTATATTATAGAAATTTTAGAATAATTTTGAATGTTATGAGTTATCTAACTAAATTGCTACAATCATTTATGTTTGAAATAATACATTCAGAACTTAATCACAGATAATTTCAGTTATGGAGGATTCATTTCTTCATTTAATAAACATTTTTGAGTGCTATGTTTGGATTTTATTTTTAGGATAGTGCATGTCTATCATGTAGGGATTCTCTAAGAAGTGATTACTTTTGAAAACACCTAATGTCTTCGGTGACTAGCTAATATATCCTAATAATTCAACAACAAAGGAAAACATGATGTCCCCCCTCTTTCTTCTTTCTTCTTTCTTTCCTTCCTTCCTTCCTTCCTTTCTCTCTCTCTTTCTTTCTTCTTTCTCTCTCTTTCCTTCCTTCCTTTCTTTCTTTCTTTCTGTTTTCTTTCTTCTTTCTTTCTTTCTCTCTCTCTTTCTTTCCTCTTTCTCTTTTCTTCCTTCCTTCTTTTCTTTTTTCTTTCTTTCTTTCTTCTTTCTTTCTCCCTCTCTTTCTTTCTTTCTTTCCTCTTTCTCTCTCTTTCCTTTTTTCTTTCTCTCTCTTTCCTTTTTTCTTTCTTTCTTTCTTTCTTTCTTTCTTTCTTTCTTTCTTTCCTTCCTTCCTTCCTTCCTTCCTTCCTTCCTTCCTTTCCTTCCTTCCTTCCTTCCCTCCCTCCCTCCCTCCCTCCCTCCTTTCTTTCTTTCTTTCTTTCTTTCTTTCTTTCTTTCTTTCTTTCTTTCTTTCCTCTTTCTCTCTCTCTCTTTTCTTTCTCTCTCTTTTCTTTCTTTCTTTCTTTCTTTCTTTCTTTCTTTCTTTCTTATGTTAGGCATGTCAAAGGGTGAACAGTGATGTATATTGTGCTGTGAAGATTTCTGGAAGTAAATGTTCTTTCATAGAGTTTTACAATGAAGTTGTGTACAATCTGGTAAACTCTGATTTTTGCACACACCACAGTTTTCTTGTTAGGAACCTAATAATTGTATTCGTTTCAGTTCTAGAAGTTTTGAAAATAGCAGCATAAATTTTTGACTTCTCCACAAATTTCCTTCCACTGCATATATATGTGCATGTATGTGAGTGGTCATATATTACATATACTTATATGTATATGTATATTTCCTGTGACAACGGAAATTTTCTCCTTTCCATGTCACTGACAGTGATATATTAACTAGATTATATTAATCAAATTAATGCTATATTTGCTATTAATTTAGAAATTATTCTTGCTTATCTCATTTCTTATACATATTTGATTAGCCTAGTGGCATGTCATTATGAAATATAATATTTTGACTATAATTTTTCTATAAGAAGTATAAAAAGGGCAACATGATACCTTTTATATATTACTGTATAAAAGGGTAATATTTATACAAATAAATATTTAATCAATAATTAAATATGGATAATCAATATTTAATAGTAGAAGCAGAAGAATAAATCACACCTCCCAGAAAACACTACTACTTATGTTTCAATAATTTACTCTTGTCCTACTACTATTTTTCCATTGGCAATTTTAAATGCGTGAAGTAGGTGGACTCAGTGGATGCACACATTGGTGAATAGCATCAACCATCTACATCTGTGAGCCCTTGGACTAGATAATCAGACAATTATTGGGGTCTATTGAGATAGTACTTTACCATTCTCTTGGTCATTGAGGCATAATCTTTGAAAAGTAGTATTTTCAAGTTATCACACTTTATATAATATTGGGGTGGGAAGCACTGATATTTGTAAGAGCTATTTTATTTAGGCCAGCATATAACCACAGAAGTGGTAATCAGACATCTCACAAAGAATAGTAGATTACTTCAAAATTGTGATCTTGATGAACAAATTCCATGATTTCTGTCAATACAAATGTGGGGGTAGAGATCTGGAGAAGCCATATTTTTAACTTTACCACTTGGAGTTCATTCTCTGGAATTATATGATTATTTATCATGTGTAATTTCCAGTAAGCACATTTTGCAAGCACTGTAAGAGGTGGCAAGAAAGTACAAAGAGACTTGATTCTAATATCACTTAAATAACTGAAGCTCTGTGTAACTTAGAAGAAATTTATTTAGCCATGTAGAGTTAAAGTTTCTCCATCTGTAAAATGGGAATCATGATGGCAACTCTTAATAGTTTCAAGGATATCAAATGAAATAGTATGAGTAGCACATTTTGCAAGAAACCAGAACTGTTAGCAAGCCTGGTGTCAAAACAACTCTATATCTACCTATATAGTTAGAAATAGAGATAAAGATAAACAGACATAGACATAGAAATAGACATTGATACAGACATACACATAGACATAGACATAGACACAGACACAGACTGATATAGATGTAGACCAAGACCTGGACAAAGACATAGACATAGACATAGATGTAGACAGTAATATAGACACAGACATAGACCTAAACCTAGACCTAGATCTAGACATAGACATAGATATTAATACAGACATACATATAGACATAGGCCTAAAGATAGACATCGACATGGACATAGACAGACACAGACTGATATAGATGTAGACATAGACTTGGACATGGACATAGACATAGATGTAGACACTGATATAGACATAGACACAGACTGATATAGATGTAGACATAGACCTGGACTTAGACATAGACATAGACATAGACACTGATATAGACACAGACATAGACATAGACATAGAAACTGATATAGACATAGACATAGACACTAATATAGACATAGACATAGACATAGACATAGACCTAGACCTAGATGTAGACATAGATATTGATACAGACATACACATAGACATAGGCCTGAAGATAGATATTGACATGGACATAGACTGACATAGACTGATATAGATGTAGACATAGACCTGGACATGGACATAGACATCGATGTAGACACCAATATAGACACAGACACAGACTGATATAGATGTAGACATAGACCTGGACATAGACATAGACATAGACACTGATATAGACATAGACATAGACATAGACCTAGACATAGACATAGATATTGATACAGACGCACACATAGACGTAGGCCTGAAGATAAACATTGACATGGAAATAGATGGAAATAGACAGACACAGACACAGACTGATATAGATGTAGACATAGACCTGAAGATGGACACAGACATAGATGTAGACCCTGATATAGACATAGACACAGACACAGACTGATATAGATGTAGACATAGACCTGGACATAGACATAGACATAGACATAGACATAGACATAGTCATAGAGAGGAGTGGGTGTACACTGTGGAAAAATAAGATTTCTATTTCCAGCATCCTATTTTTTGAAAATAACGTGGACTGGATTTTGGTGGATTTGACTAAAACACTAGAGTACAAGTTGTCTATAAATAGTTCTTATGAAGAACATAGAGGGGCTTTAAGTTCTTTCTGAATGGTGTTGAGGAATTGAGCTTTGACCAGACTCCCTTATATAGGGCGACAGAGTGAATGTTAGCAACTCAAAAAATCAAAGAAAGCTTGCTGAGTTTATTAGTCTGTTTTCACGCTGCTATAAAGAAATACCTGAGAATGGGTAATTTATGAAGAAAAGAGGTTTAATTGACTCACAGTTCCAAATGGCTGAGGGGGCCTCAGGAAAATTAGAATTATGGTGTGAAGCAAAGGGGAAGCAAGCTTGGACCTTCTCACATGGCGGCAGGAGAGAGAAGAGTGAGGAGCGAAAGGGGAAGAGACTCTTATAAAGCCATCACATCTTACAAGAACTCACTCACTGTCACAAGAACACCATGGGGGAAACCACCCCCATGATCCAATCGCTTCCCATCAAGTCTCTCCCTAGACACCTGGAGATTATGTGGATTACAATTCAAGATGAGATTTGGGTGGGGACACAAAGACTAACCATATCACTGAGTATGCTTCTTTTTTTTTTCTCCTAATCTTTGTGACCACCGTATTTTGTCTCTGTTACTGTCTTTAAATAAAAAGCAATTTTATTACCTTTGGGTGGGAGTGAGGGCTGGTGAGAATGGGTATCTATTCCTGACCACTCCTTAGTTCTCATAATCTGATCAGTTGCTTTCAGTTCCATTCTTTTATTTTTCTTACTTTATCACCATCCACCCTTCTTCCCTAGCAGATTCAAACTTGTTATTCACAAATGGCATAACTTTGTGCATACTTTACACTCAAAAGTTTTCTTTATAATCAAAGTATAAATTGGCTGATTATAAAATTCTTGCATCGCATTTTCTTTCTGTCAGTGTATTTTAGATACTGATCAAACAGTCTTTTTGCATTGACTGTTACTGTAGGAAGTCAAATCTAACTTGATATTTTACACTAGTAGGAAGCATGATTTTTTTTCTCCTGGCTGATCCTAGGATTCTTTCTTTGTGCTTGAATTTTAACAACTTTGCTAGAATATACTTTGATTTTGAATGTTAGGTATCATTATTTCTTGGTACCCTATGAACACCTTGATTCTGCACTTTCAATTTGTCTTTGTTACAGAAAAGTTTTTTTAAACTGTACTTTTGATTATTTCTATATTTAAATATTTTATTTGCTTATTCTTAAGAATACCAATAATGCATGTTAGTTATATATTGTTTGTAGCCTGTCATTCCTTCTATGCTAATATTGACCTCTCTCTCTCTTTCTTTCTCTCTCTCTGTATGTAGTAGCCTCATAACTGCTTACGAGCATCTAACTCTTTCACTTATAATGGGCATGTATTGTCTGCCCTGTTTTTATTTTTTCTCATGTTGTAGCATTTCCAGCTCATTTCTATATATTTTGGACATTATTTAAAGTCTTCTTTGAACACTTTTTTCTCATGTTCAAATTGTGCTTATAATTTATAGAGATGATATTATCTATACTATGAAAAAGGAAACTTTTGTTCATTTTTCCTTTATTTTACTTTGACTATCTTTTCGTTAGAAATTTCCTTTTATTAAATAAAGGAAATAACTTCTGTGCATAGAACTAATATCATTTCTTTATAATTATAACTAATCTTTGAATTATTTAATTATTTTGTTTCTTGTCAGAGATTTTGGCAATTGTGATAACTGAGGCCACCCAGGGCTTGGATTCAACGATGTTGTTTCCAAACTCTTTCTCAACAAATTAGTTGGTTGACAGAAAATCTTCTGTAGCTAAAGATGGAAAAGGCCACTCTCTCACTGCTTAAATACTCAACGCTGATGACATCCATTGCTGCCCGAAATCACCATTTAAAAAACATAGCTTTATAAAATATAGGTTGCATACTATAAAATTGACCTATTTTAAGAAAAAAAAAATTAATTTAATATATTTACAGAACTGATCTGCTTTTCAATCCCTGTACCCCTGAATAAGCGTCTCTTAAGGTGGAGGTTCCTTGCCAAGAAAACCATGAATGTGACACCTTATTTTGCCCTTCTGGTATTGTCACTGTCAAAACCAGAGACGCCGAGAGAAGCAGAAAAATCATATTATTTATCCTTTCTTCCTCCAAATTCTGCTCAGTACCTCTCACTCACAGAAACCAAGAGGAATCCAACTAGCAATAACACCTAAAAAATGTGGTTTGCAGGTTTTCAGCCCAGAGGTATAAAGAAAGTGCAGAAAGGAAAGCAAACTGCTGAGAGCCTGTAGACAATATCCAGCATTAAAATCATGGATTGTCTGTCTCTATAACTATCTTTCTTTAATTAATGCAGCTTTCATTGGAGCAACTACCAAGCCATGATAGAAAAGGTAGAAATGTTTGCTTAGTTTTTTTTTTTTTTTCCAGCTTCCTGCTCCTCTGTTGCAAACATCTGGGTTCCAACAGAATGCGTTCCACTTTACCAAAACCTTCCTATAATTCTTGACTTCTTCCTCCAACTTGGAGAGAATACAAAAGATAAGATCCTTAACTTTATGGAAAAGTATATAAATCTGGTAACTGAGGAAGTTTGTGAAAATAAACCTTGTATACACTTTTCTGGTTCACTTTTCACACTTATGACTAGCATAATTCAGTTTTTGTTTGAAATTGTGACTATTTATTGTATTAAAGTTCAATTTTTCTACTACTGTATTCTTTTGGAGATTTTTCCTTGGGTTGTGAAAAATTAGCTGAAGTAAAATGCTCTTAGTTAACTATTTTTCTTTATGGACATTGTGTTTTCTCCACATCTAGCCCTGTCTGAAGGCAGTTCCTAATTGTGTCTCATGAGAAACAACACTGTGTGTTCATCCAATAGTTTTGTTGTTGTTATAAAGCTCATTTCATGTGTCTGGCCACAGAGGCAAAACCATAAATCACAGACCATACAGGTATGGTAACTGGTCATACATATAAGGACATGTCAAAGAAATGTTTGACCTACTGAAATATTACTTGCAAATGTCTGCATATGATACTTGTATTAGTTTCCTAGGGGTCTTGTAAGAAAGTACCACATACTGGGTAGCTTAAAACAATAGAAACTTATTTTCTTATGGATCTGATGGCTAAAGTCCAAATCAAGGTGTCAGCAGGGCCATCACCCCCCTGGAGACTCTAGGGAAGAATCCTTTCTTGCCTATTCCTGGCTTCAGATAGTTGCCAACAGTCCTTGCCACTCCTTGACCTGCAGTTGTATCACTCAAATCTCCATCTCCACCCTTACATGGCCTCCCTCACTGTATGTCTATGTTTGTCTGTGTTTTTCTTTGTCCTTATAGGAACACCAGACATGGAATTTAGGGCTCACTGTAATCCTATATGACCTCATCTTAACTTGTTTAAATCTGTAGAGACCCTATTTTCATACAAGGTCAAATTCAGAGAGATACCAGGATTTAGACCTTCAATATATCTTTTATGAGGGGCACACTCAGCCCACAATAGTATTTAATATTATTGGCACTATGGAGCTACCAGATGTGGTAGATTTTTAGGCCAGTGACAACTGATATTTGGTATAAAGATTTTCACATCAAATAGATTAAAATTACCTCAAGCAAATTTTCCAAAAATAAGAAATTCTCAATTTTGAAACTCCTTATCTGCTTATTCCATTTTCTATTTAAAATAAACGTTTAAAGGTTGATGTGTGTGTATTTCTGTGTGTGTACATGTGTATATACCATATGTATTTACATGAATCTTATATGCAGGGTTTTTTTTAAACATTCCTTCTTAATTTACTATGGTACAAACTCAATCTGGAGCTTAGACTACAGGAAACCAGGGTATGATGCTGAACTGGAAAACTAACACATGCATCAATTTTAATAACTCACTTAATTCAAGCAATTAATTTTTTCTAGTGGTGTACTTTTTTGATTTAATAATAACCAATTTTGATTGTCAGTTTTATATGTCAACTTGACTATGTTACAGTCACTAGTTATTTATCAAATGCTAATCCAGGTTTTGCTTTGCAGGTATTTTATAGATGTGATTAACATCTATGATTCTTTGGCTTTATGTAAAAGAAATTAACCCCAATAATCTGAGTGGGCCTGATTCATCTTGTTAAAGGAATTTAGACTAGAACTGAAACTTCCCAAAAAAAGATAAAATTCTGCTTGTGGACCACAGTTTCAGCTCATATCCAAGAGTTTCCAACCTGTTCTTTCTGACTATCTGCCCTACTGATTCCTGGTTTCACGTTTGCCAGCCAGTCCCCATTATTGAGGAAGCCAATTTCTAGTAATATATATTTCTATCTCTCTATCTCTGTCCCTATCTTTTTGTCTCTATCTATCTCTATGTTTCCTGGTTCTGTTTGTCTGGTGGAACCACAACTGATATACCAATTTGTGGAAAAGTTGGGCATATACTATGAAGAATATTTCCCCTGATTTATTGGAGAGTAAGTTGATCATCTAATGCCCTATTACCTCTGTATACACTGGAAGCGTTTCTTATGAACATGAACATTACACAACATAACCTCAGTACTACCACTGAAGTTATCAAAATCAGGTATTTAACACTGATACATAGCCACGATCTAATCCTCGGACCCCAGGTTTTTTTCAATTGTCTTTATAATGTCCTTCGTTGCAAAAGGGTCAAATTTTGAAGCAGATATTGCTTTGGTGGAATGTCTCTTCAGTATCATTCAGTCTGAAACAATTTCTTTATTTTATCTCTGCTTTTATGGTTATTTTGGAAACGTTCCAGAAAATTTCAGCCAAGTTACTTTTCAGAATAGTTTTCAGTTTATCTGTTTACTTTTAAGATTATCTGTTGTTTCCTCATGAATAAGTTTGTGCATCTTTGGTGAGAATTTCACAGAAAATATGTTTCAGTCACTTTATTGCACCTTATTCAGTGGTGATTATTTGATCGTTTGATCAAAATAGTATATGACCAGCTTCTCTACCACTGTCAATCTTTACCACTTTAAAATTAATAAATTTTGTGGAAAACTTTTTTGAAATCATGTAAAAATTTTGCTCCTCTTCAAATGTACATTATATTCATTCATTTATGTATACACAGGTGCATGATGCTTTCCTGTTAACTAAATGAATTATAATTCATCACTTACATTATTTATTCTGGTAATCAAATTCTGCCAGCATACCAGTGGGAGTTCATTCAAGCTGGCTCCTATGTGGTTTTGATAAATCCCCTTCACTCTTTGAGTACTTCCTTCCTTTCTAATACTTATCTTATACTGCCTATGCTCCAATGTAGAGCACAGTGGAGAAAATATGCCCTACAAAATCTGGGCCTAAATTATTTTTTCCTGTTTATTTTTACATTTTAAAATAGCTCTATTGAGAGATAATTTGCATATCCTACAATTTACTCCTCTAAAGTGTACAATTTGATAAGCTTTTTAATACATTCATAGATATGTGAAACCATCACTACAGTTGATTTTATAACATTCATTATTTCACAGAGAAACCCAGTACCCGTTAGCTATTACCCCTGAGTTACTGTTTTCATTTCTATTGGGTATATAATTTAGAGTGTTATTATTGTTGGATCATCTGGTAAAGAGTCACCCTCAGCTCTACCCATTACCATATGGCCCAATAATAATAACACTCCAAGTTATACATCCAATAGAAATGAAAACATATGTCCACACAAAAAAGTGTATGCCAATATTTATAACAGCATTATTCTTAAAAACAAAATATGAGAACAACACAAATGACCATCAAATGATGGATAAACAAAATGTAGAATATCTGTACAAGGAAATTTTATTTTTTCATGAAAATAATAAAGTACTAATATATACAACAACATGGATGAACCTTAAAAACATTCCTCTAAGTGAAGGAAGTCATCATAAAACACCAACATCAAACTAAGAAGCTTCTGCACAGCAAAATAAACATTCAAAAGAATAAAGAAACAACCTATGGAATGGGAGGAAATATTTGCCAACCATGTATCTGAGAAAGGCTTAATTTCCAAAATTTATAAGAAATTCAAACAATTCAACAGCAAAAGTAACCCAATTAAAAAACAAATAATTGGAGTTGACATTTCTCAAGAGAAGACATACAAATGGCCAACAGGTATATATGAAAGGAAGTTCAACATCACTAATCATCAGGGAAATGCAAATTAAAACCTCAATGAGACAGTATTCACACCTGTTACAATGGCTGTTATCAAAAAGATGAAATATAATAAGCATTGAAAAGAATGAGGAGAAAAGAGAACTTTTGCATGCTGTTGACAGGAAAGTAAATTAGCATAACCATTATGGAAATGTAATACTTTCCATTTTCTTTTTTTTTTGAGTGGAAGATTGAGATTTTTTTTATTATTATTATACTTATACTTTCAGTTCTAGGGTACATGTTCACAACATGCAGGTTTGTTACATATGTATGCATGTGCCATGTTGGTGTTATTAACTCATGGACTCATCCATTACTCATTTACTCATCATTTACATTACGTATTTATCCTAATTCTTCCCCTCCCACCCCCGCCACCCCATGTCAGACCCTGGTGTGTGATGTTCCCCACCCTGTGTCCAAGCATTGTCATTGTTCAGTTCCCACCTATGAGTGAGAACATGCGGTGTTTGGTTTTCTGTCCTTGCAATAGCTTGCTCAGAATGATGGTTTTCAGCTTCATCCATGTCCCTACAAAACACCTGAACTCATCATTTTTTATGGCTGCATAGTATTCCATGGTGTATATGTGCCACATTTTCTTAATCCAGTCTATCATTGTTGGACATTTGGGTTGGTTCCAACTCTTTGCTATTGTGAATAGTGCTGCAATGAACATACGTGTGCATGTGTCTTTATAGCAGCATGATTTATAATCCTTTGGGTATATACCCAGTAATGGGATGGCTGGGTCAAATGGTATTTCTAGTTCTAGATCCCTGAGGAATCGCCACACTGTCTTCCACAATGATTGAACTAGTTTACAGTCCCACCAACAGTGTCAAAGTGTTCCTATTTCTCCACATCCTCTCCAGCACCTGTGGTTTCCTGACTTTCTAATGATCACCATTCTAAGTGGTGTGAGATGATATTTCACTATGGTTTTGATTTGCATTTCTCTGATGGCCAGTGATGATGAGCATTTCTTCATGTTTCTGTTGGCTGCATAAATGTCTTCTTTTGAGAAGTGTCTGTTCATATCCTTCACCCACTTTTTGATGAGTTTGTTTGATTTTTTTCTTGTAAATTTGTTTAAGTTCTTTGTAGATTCTGGATATTAGCCCTCTGTCAGATGGGTAGATTACAAAAATTTTCTCCCATTCTGTAGGTTGCCTGTTCACTCTGATGGTAGTTTCTTTTGCCGTGTAGAAGCTCTTTAGTTTAATTAGATCCCATTTATCTATTTTGGCTTTTGTTGCCATTGCTTTTGGTATTTGAGTCATGAAGTCCTTGCCCATGCCTAGATCCTGAATGGTACTGCCAGGTTTTCTTCTAGGGTTTTTATGGTTTTAGGTCTAACATTTAAGTCTTTAATCCATCTTGAATTAATTTTTGTATAAGGTGTAAGGAAGTGATCCAATTTCAGCTTTCTACATATGGCTAGCCAGTTTTCCCAGCACCATTTATTAAATAGGGAATCCTTTCCCCATTTCTTCTTTTTGTCAGGTTTGTCAAAGATCAGATGGTTGTAGATGTGTGGTATTATTTCTGAGGGCTCTGTTCTGTTCCATTAGTCTATATCTCTGCTTTTGTATCAGTACCATGCTCTTTTGATTACTGTAGCCTGGTAGTATAGTTTGAAGTCAGGTAGCGTGATGCCTCCAGCCTTGTTCTTTTTGCTTAGACCTCTTCAAAGAGAACTACAAACTACTGCTTATCAAAATAAAAGAGGACGCCAACAAATGGAAGAACATTCCATGCTCATAGATAGGAAGAATCATTATCATGAAAATGGTCATACTGCCCAAGGTAATTTATAGATTCAATGCCATCCCCATCAAGCTACCAATGACTTTCTTCACAGAATTGGAAAAAACTACTTTAAAGTTCATATGGTACTTTCCATTTTCATAGTCTGTGTAACAGACTAATCTGGGACAGGAACCTTGAAAGATGATACTTGCTCTTCTCAAGAGTTAGTAAATGTTCAACGATCATTCTTCAAAAAGATGTGTCATTTTGACAGTATGATTCCATTTTAGGGAAAAAGGTAGCGTCAAAACTAAGGTAATAGTTGGATATGGGGTCTAAGTTTTTACAGATATCAGGGTGCCTGAAAAGGCATAATTGTCATCTGAACACATTAGGGCTTATGAAGATCCAATAATCACTGTAATTTTGGCCCAGCTCTGTCACAAAGGTTGTCAAATGTGTTTTAGGACATACCCTGTGGTTATTTATGTAGTTCCTGAGTGAAGACTTGGGATAGGTGAACTTCTAACCTAAAAGATCCTTTCAACTATTTTTCAAGCTCTTTGAACTGTGAAATATTGCCATTATGTTAAGAAGGGACTGAAGGAAGCCACTGAAATCTCACCCTATTCTAAAAGTCAGTAAATCACAGCAATACTCTTTTGTTCTGCTAGGAATAACAGAGGTAAGTGCGATATTCAAAGTCTTAAATTAAAACCAAAAACTGATAAATTATGATGGATGGCAGTGAACCTCCAAAAACATTAATGTAAGTCTCCATCTGCCATGCAGAGTATGGTTTCTTCATAGAATCATATCAACATAGCCTCTGACATTACATATGCCTCTACTAATTTGGTCTATGCTTTCTTCATGTAACCCATAGGCATGAACAAAACCATTTATAATTCATGTGAGAAAGATGATATCGTATATTGCCTTCTGTTGCAGCCACCTTTATTATTTTAGAATTCTGTAGAACAGTATTTTGGTACCTATATTGATAGCATAAGGCTAAGTGAATGCGGTAAGCAGGAACTGGCAAATGCTATAAAATCCATAGAGAGTCACATGGATCCTACATGATAGAGATAAATGCTATGTGTCAAGTATGTGTGATTTAGTAGCACATTGTATTCTGGACATGTCCAAAAAGGAAAATGACACTTTAAGCTTATGCCTGTTTGATTTAGAAAGTGCCATAGCTTAGTGTCCTTTCACACCACGGAGGATACTGGTCTGGCCTGTTTAATGAGTAACTCAGAAGGGACCAGCTCAAGAGAAGGCTATGTACCTTTTCAACGCTACACTGCAAACTGTACTTTCAAAGGGTCATATAATACGGTAGATTCAAGAGTGCTGGAAAATCCAGGGTGAATGAGGACACTGAGGAAATGTATCAAGTTGCAATATGAGAGTCTCAGTGAAGAATACTGTGGTTAGAGAAGAACATCTTGGGTTATATGGCAGTAAAATACTCTTAATTATTACAATTCTTCACATGCCACTGGGTTTGGACTGGGCTTGATGCCGAGTGATCATCTAAACAGATCTGCCCATCATGAACTGTGCAGTATGAGATACATTGAGCCAGAAAGTCAAGTGGGCACAGCAGAAGCCAGTTACATAATTGAAAATGATACATTCAGGAATAGGCCCAAACAATTGAGGAAGGCCCTTGCAAATTCATGTATTAGTCACCCAGATTTCCTGGTCACTTACAACAACGTGAATGGTTGCTTTTTCACTAACTCTCTTGCTTGAATCCATTTAGGTATTGTAGCTAGATACTGCCTATCAGGGCTCTTTATGACAAATGGTACCTATACCTCCCTTTTCTTAGAGAAAAAATGATGGCAAGTTTTTCTCTCAGCAATGGGAGACCGATTTTGTAACCCGAGAGCTAAAAATATTGCAGAGATAAGAACAGTTTCAAAAAGAGGAAAAGCACCGTTTTAGATATTCTGTTTTATTATCTCTTATCCCAGCTACCACTGAGAGGATCTATTCTGCAATATAAAAGAATGTCCCCTCAAGTTTATATGTTATGCCTCTTGCCTACATCGTGTCACATCTCTGTTGACATTAAGGCATATACTCTGATTCAGCTAACGTTACCAGATCAACTCATTCCATTTCCACTAGGACTTTCCTGGTATTAGCCCCAAAGTCAATCAAGAACCCAAGAACCACTACTACTCCCCACTCCCCAACCCCAGTCACAGGAAAACCAGGGCCCTTATCACTGTAAATACAACCTGCTGTTTCGCATATGCAATGCCAAAGTGAGGGAGAGTTAGTGCCATGTGGGGTAAATCTTTGAAGAATATGAAATGGAAACTGATAGATCAATGTTTTCTTCTTTAATACCTTGGTCTTGACATACACGTCATGCTTCTCAGATAGTCTCTTAGACTCAAGCAATCGGCAGCTGATAGTGGTGGGTGAAACAATATCTGTTTTGTTCCACCCGTTGTTTGGTTTCCCTCCCACTATTCCTCACCGTTGTTTCCTGAGATCACCTCCCCAGTAATGTATTTACGTATGCCTTTATTTAGGTCATGCTGTCTTGGGAAGTGTTGCAGGATGTATTCGATATTAATAAAATATATTTACTTGAGTTGAAGTACTAAAGGAAGCTGAAATAGTACTGAAAGGTGTGATGACTTTCAGATACATATGTATTCATCACAAGAGTGTTTTCTTAAAGGAGTAAATTATGACAAAAGCTTTAAGAGTTGGGAGCATTATACCTTTTAATGTAAAAAGCTACCTAATTTGAGTTGGGATTGAGTCAATTTATACCCTTCTTGGAAAGATCAGAGAATTAACTCACCCAGGCTGGAGTGCAGTGGTGCAATCTTGGCTCACTGCAACTTCTGCTTCCCAGGTTCAATTGATTCTCCTCCCTCAGCCTCCTGAATAGCTGGGATTACAGGTGAGCACCACCATGCCCTGCTAATTTTTTATATTTTTGATAGAGACGTGGTTTCACCATGTTGGCCGGGTGTGGTGGCTCATAGTAATCCCAGTACTATTGGAGGCTGCTGAGGCGGGTGGATCACTTGAGGTCAGGAGGTTTTTTTGTTTTGTTTTGTTTTTATGTTTATGAATGCTTGACTATCACCTCGATTCAGTTAATTAAAAAAAGAAAAGAGCGAAAGAAAGAAAGAGAAAGAAAGAAAAAGAAAAGAAAGAGAGAAAGAAGAAAAAGAAAGAAAAAAAGAAAGAAAGAAAGAAAGAAAGAAAGAAAGAAAGAAAGAGAAAGAAAGAAAGAAAAAGGCTTGTTTCTTTCTGTTTTATACTTTCTTCCAGAAATTTTTTTGACACGACCCTACTGTTCCCACTGTTTTCTGTGCTGAAATATCACATTCCTTCTTTGCTTGCTTCTCTGAGTCATTGGTTTGGTTGGATTTTGTCTTCAAGAAGTACAAATGGGTGTTATATTTTCTTAAATTTTCAGGTTAAGCAATGCATATGCTTTGTTTTTGCAATTGAATAATACCTTGGTTTGATATAAGATAGGGTCATATTTTATTTATCTGAAAAATTTTTTGGTAATTATTTTATCTTCTGGCACTGATTGGCACTGACGAGAGATGGGGGCTTAGCTGGAATTTTCCCCTTTTCCCCCATGAAAACGAATTGCTCCTTTTTGCCTGGTTGGTTAAATTTTTTTGTTATTCTTAAAGTTCTGCAATTTAAAATGGATATGTCTCAATGTCAATTACCTGTATCATTTTCCAATGTAAGCTTCAAATTCAGTTATTCCTTCTTTTATGAATTTATTTTCAGAAAAATATGTTATTTTAAATTATTTTTCTTCTCACTGTTAAGGTCTCCAGAAACAGCATTCATCTTTAAATTGGATGTTATTTGATATCCTCATTATCTGATGTCCTCTTCCTAATTTCTTCAAACTATATCATTTCATAAGTTTTTACTGTGCTTTTCATCAGTGATTCCATTTTTGACTACATCTATTCTCTTCCCTGCCCTGTCTAATTATCTATTTGTTCTGTGTGAGGTTTGCTTCATTCTCCATGAGTTTCCATAATTTTCATTTTCAAGTTTGAGTTCCTGTTTATTAAATTTATTTTCTTGTTAAATCACTATGGGAAAATTTCTTCTGTACGTTGAATTAGGTTATCTCTAAAATCTGATTCTTTTATATCTTTTTAATGCTAGTTTTCTCAAAAACAATTTTTTGGCTAAAAAAGTATTTTTTTCTGTAACTATCAGTCAATTTCTTTTCACCTCAGCTTTGCTTGTTGAGGGCTGTCTCCACATGATCCATTTATTATTCTCTTGGCCACACCCGGCGCCGGGGCTCACTCCTGTAATCCCAGCACTTTGGGAGGCCAAGACAGGCGGATCACTTGATGTCAGGGGTTTGAGACCAGCCTGGCCAACATGGTGCAACCCCGTCTCTGCTAAAAATACAAGACTTAGCCTGGGGTGGTGGTGAGTGCCTGTAGTTACAGCTTCTGGGGAGGCTGAGGCAGGGGAATCGCTTGAGCCCAGTGGGCGGAGGTTGCAGTGAGCCCAGATCATGCCACTGCACTCCAGGCTGGGCGACAGAATGAGACTCTGTTTCAAAAAATAAAGTAAAATAAAATAAAATAAAATAAAATAAAATAAATATATATGAATTATATATATATATGATTATATATATATTTGCCTTGACTTCCTTTCCATTTTAGTGGGAACTTGCTATTTGTATTGTTTCTCATTCATTCTGAAGGTTTACTTGAAGAAGCTAGGCAGTCCATCTTTTATGACACTGATAATTATCCCAGCATTGTGGTCAGGTTTATTTTGTGTTTTGTCAAATCTCCTGGACGGTGGATGCATGGAGGCCTAAAGCTCATGCCTCTGTGAGAGTTCCTTCTGGTTGCTTGGTCAACCTCTCCTGCTCTCCCTCACCACAGCAAGCAATCGAATTTGCACTCCCCCGCCCACACTCCTGCATGACTGAATGACAGGCATAGCGAGACTATGGTAAATCTTGTTAATCAATCCCAGAAGAAGAGGGCGTCATTACTCTCATAATGCATGCCTTTATCCCTCAAATGTCCTTTCATCTTAGAGAAGCTCTTGAGATAAGAAACAGCCTGCCCGCCTGTCCCCTCCTTTATTCCTAGGCAAGAAAAACAAAAATGTTGTATCCTAGAGACTTTTTCACGTTGAAGGCTAACATGTGTTAGTATCACCTAAATTTTTGAAATAATAAATGTTAAACCTAGCTTCTTAACAAGTTTTATCTTGGCTAAAAATTTAAAATTGGAAATAAAATATTATAATGTAGCAAATCTAAGATGTTGAAACCAAGTTCACCAGGCCCAAGTATTCTGAGTTGGAAATTCATGAGAGGATGTCTAATTTATTATAATATAAGGAAGGAAAAATTAACAATAACAAGGAACAAAAATGATCGCTTGAGTGCCAGAAAGAGTAATTTCCAATGTTAATTGAAGCACATGATTGAGTAAACATTTATTGAGTAACAAAACACCTATAAATAATTGTTTTGATGTAATAATAGTATATTATATATTTTGGGGCCTAAGGAGGACCAGTGCTTACATAGCTTATCTCCTTTAACATTGTATCACCTCTCAGGTACATTTTAGGTAGAGCGAAGCAAGCAATTCAGCCAAGACCACCCACGTAATTAAGTGAAGTCAAGTTTCCAAAGAGGCATGTCAACTCTAGAGTCTGCACACAGTCTCGAACTTTCCTTTCATGTGAACAGATGGAATTATCCCCTACCCTACAGCTCCAAATCTCACCTTGTCCTTATTTTCCTCACATGTTAACCTAACTGTATGGAATTATTGCCATCTACATCTTGGTCTTACATATCTCTGGGCTAATGTGTTATATGTTTATTTATCTCACTAATTTTCATACGCATTCACTATATAGTTTAAGTGTAAACTTCCTAAAACTCAATAGGAAGACAAATGCATTCATTTTAAACTCTCAAAGCACAGCTTGTTACAAATTTATATCTTAGCAGTTATCTTCATTACACAAGAGCCATTTATTTATATATAAATATTCATCACTTAACTCTAATTTTCTTGAAAATATAGAAGATTTCTTGTTGTATTCCTGATGTAGCACTTTGCCTGTCACTTAAGAGGAACTTAGTAGTCAGAAGATTAAGTTGAATGACTATAGGAAGGTTCTAAATAACATCTAATATTATGTGATAAATGAACACTTTAATACAAAAGACACTAGCTTGAAATGAGTCTAACAGTTGCAGTTGAGAAAAAGAAACATATGTTTTTAGCAGCATTTAAAGATTTATGTTCTCTCCACACAATTACTGCTTCCCCTCTTAGTCACCATTGAGTCAGGGGTTTTAAGTAACTCTACCTCAAGTAACTACCCCAACTTACTGGTGGTCTCAGCTGGCTTGCATTGGAGAAGTGGTTTTGATTATGACTCAAGAAAAAAAAAACAGATTTGCTTTTTCTCAGCAAAAGTTTAAACCAGCCTCACAATGCAAATACACCTAGTTGTTCAAAGCTGTAGATAGAGTGAGGAATCAAGATTCAAATTTTACTAGAACTCACCCTCAACTTGAGAGATAGGTCCTACATTCACCTTTAATTTCAGTTGTCATTGAGTACATTATGAAATGTATCATCTTCTAAACATACAAAAATAGCAATATACATGGAAATATGATGTGTCGTAAGCCAACATTCATCATTTAATATCTCAGGATATTAAAATATCCTGAGAAAAGGGCTCTGAAGTAATACATCTGCTGATCGTATAAAATTGCTTTGAACTGACTTTCTATCTTGTAACATCTTTTTTTCTTTTCTATTGTCACCTAAGACAATTTTCTTTCTCATGAGTACTCCTAAATTGTTCTTATAACGTTGTTATGGTAGTTTTCGTATTGATTTGTGAAGTAGAAATAGCATTGATAATAAACAAAGGGCATTCCTGTGAGTTCTGAAGGGGCAACAGTAGAAGAAATGAGAAAGCACAGATGCTGAACAGTTTTATTTATCAAAAATAAAAAGTTATGAATTTCTATGTTTCCTCAGAAATGCACAACTACTGTAGAGATTAAATGCAGAATCATTTTAAGAGATTAAAATTTATAAGTAACTCATGTATAATGTGGTTAAATGAAGAAAATCCTGAATTTTATTATAGCATATAGTGTACCACATTTAAATTAGCATCAATATCAAACTCTCAATATTTGACACTGTACATTTCTTAAAAGAAGAATGGTCAAGGCCAAGCACAGTGGCTCACGCCTGTAATCCCAGCACTTTGGGAGGCCAAGGCGGGCGGATCACAGGGTCAGAAGATCAAGACCATCCTGGCTAACACGGTGAAACCCTGTCTCTACTAAAAATACAAAAAATTAGCCGGGCGTGGTGGCACAAACCTGTAGTCCCAGCTACCCGGGAGGCTGAGGCGGGAGAATCGCTTGAACTTGGGAGGCGAAGGTTGCAGTGAGCCGAGATCACGCCACTGCACTTCAGCCTGGGTTACAGAGCGAGACTCCATCTCAATAAATAAATAAATAAATAAATAAAAGAATGGTCATAAATGTCTTAAACTAAAGTTTTCACAGCCAAACAAAGAAACAAACAAAAAAGAGACCTAAGGCTAGGATTCAAAGTCACTTTTTTCAATTCGATAAAACATGGCAACTGGCCTCATCCTGGGTGCTGGCATTACATATAAACATTACATATTATCTAGTTCTGATATCAAATCAGGTCTGTCTGCCCAGCACACAGTATACCAATCACTTAGACAATGAGTTTTGCAGCAGAGAAAGGGTTTATTCACAAGGTAACCAAGCAAGGGGACGGGAAAACAGATCTCAAATCTGCCTCTCTAAAGACTAGGTTTTAGGGATATTTATGGGATAGAGAAGCAAGGAAGTCCAAGGTATGGGAAAAGGTCATTGGAGGTACAAAAAAAGTGGGGCAATCTGTGATCTGCACAAGTGTGGCCAAGCTTCATGGCTCTTCATAGAATGAATGCTCATGAAATGCTGTCCCTAGAATAATCTGAGAGTTGAGTTTTTGGCCTTCTAACATTGAAAGGTCACTCATCGGACACTCACACAGGTCCAGTTGAAGGGTCAGTGGTCTCAGCTGGCTTGCACTGGACAAAACCTGATTCTAAGATCCTTTAAAGCAACTTAAGCAACTGTTACCATGGGGACCTATACATCAGAGATGTTATCTATAAGGGAGCTAGTGGAAGTTTAATTGTATATTACTCAGATACATAATTTTTACCTATACGCGTTTTAAAATCAACTACAAGTGACTAAAAATAAATAAGGCAAGTTGAGTTTGGCAAGTGTCATCAGGTTAGCCCTGGGTTTCAAGTCCTGAAATGTTATTACTTTCCTCTCTAATCAAGTTTAGTAGTATACTTTCTTTTTGAATACACTTAATTGGACAAAAAAGTAATTCAAAGCACTATTTAATTTATACTAATGCATAAACCTTACAAATCTGTAATTAATCTTAAAAATAATTAGGGTTATAATTTCTAAATTTTTCAAAGGATTTGTTCAATCTGTTTCTTTATCCATACAATGAAGACAACCATCACAGGATGAGAAAGTATATGCAAAGCCATTAAAATTTTTACTTTTGCCTAAAAAATGCTTTATAAATATTTACTATAATTAATAATTACTGTACAGGACACACTCTTTTCTTTCACAGAAGATGTTTATACTTTACCACATAAATTGTACATTTTTCATTACCTTTTTCTCTAAGCTCATTTTTTTCATGAGGTGTCAAATCTTTCTTCGAACACGAGACCTTTAAACACTAATTTTTAGCTCAATAAGTTTATGATGTATTTGTGTAACCATAAAACTTCAAGGATATTGCGTTTTTTTAAAATTACAGGTCTTTGTCAGAAAATACAAAGATTTACTCACACATCAAAACAAAGTAACTTCTAATTAAAAGAATACAATTAAATGGCTTAGACATTGAAACTTTTTAAATAGCATTTCTCATTTTGAATAATTTAGTACATTCTAACCTCGTTTTCCACATTCATAGCTAAAACCTTGAAGTTAATCCAATTCTTCCTACTCCATTCATTAATTTATTATACATTTTTATTATAAAATTTGGTATTTTCAGAATTGTAACTGTGAATGGACACATGCAGCAACCTCAGCCAGAGAAGTATATGATTACAGAGGTCTCAGTTCCTTTAGAAATTTAGATGTGGGCCACAACAGCTTCATGGGCATTTGACCTGGGCAATCACACTGGGCCTCATATTTAGAAGGCTTTCATGCATGGTTAACGATTGTGCTGTAATTGTCTTGAAATTCTTAATAATTTTTAAACAAGGAGCTTTGCATTTCATCTTGCACTGGGCACTTCAAATTATGTATCTGGTTCTGTTTCACAATGTTAGTAAGCTACTAAGTCCTGTGGTGATAGTTGAGTGTGGGGAGGTACAGCATGGATGGTGTAGGGGGAAGATAATGAGTACCAAGTTTACTCTGAAACCATCTGCAGTATTGGAGGCTATAATTCTTCCCACTAGACTCTCCTGTGAGTCTCCTTCCAGAAAGATGACCCCACAAGAACCATGGAAGTGGAGCTGCTTTGGAAACAGTCATGGAGAAGAGGATCTACATAGAACAAGAGATCCATGTGTGTTGTTTTGCTAATAGCCACATTCAAGAGAAACTTCCACAGAAGGAGTAACTGATTAGCAGCCTCCAACTCCTCCATGATCTTCAAAGAAGTTCACACAAGATTATGTGCCCCAGTGACTAAGCAATTTAGTGTAATTTGGCAGAATCAGAAAATTCTCCCCACTGCCAGATTGCTTTAACTCCTGTAATGGTAGACTGCTCAGGAACTCCCCATCAACTGTTTCTTTTTATATGTAAATAGATTAAATTCCTGCTGGTGTCATGAGTGACTTTTGTTTCTTTCACGCTGCTTTGCTTATGTATATATATATATTTTTTCTACAAATATATGTGCTATTTTAATGACTTAAAATTTAATATTATTGGGAATCATCAAGATGAACATACTTTGTGACTTTTAAAGTAGAGATGAATACATTGACCCACTGGCACTTACTGTATATAAAATGTAAAGCTCTTAGCTTTATTTGTACTCTATCATCAGGAAAATGATTCCAGTTTAGGTGTAAAACAAAAACTTCCAGCATCCTTTCTGCAGGATTGTAAAAAAACAATCTCAGGTTTATTCCATGTTTCGTGATAGCTTTTCCAGGAACTGCTGCAGCTCTAAATCAGTAGGCAATGTATGTGGACAAAGATTATATTATTTGTATGTGCTCTTCATTTAGTTAGATTGTATTGATTGCACGTTCACATTTCATAGTTAGTACCTTTTAGAATTAGCTACAACTTTTTCATTTCTGATTTAACCTTATAAATCATACTTTAAAATACTCAAACTGGCCAGGCAATGTGGCTCATGTGTGCAATCTCATCACTTTGGAAGGCCAAAGTGGGAGGATCACTTGAGGATAGAGGTTAGAGACCAGCCTGGGTAACATGATGAGACTCTGTCTCTACAAAAAATAAAAATAATAAAAAAAACTTAGCCAGGCATGATGCTGCAGACCTATAGTCCAAGCTACTTAAGGAGACTGAGGCAGGAGACTCACTTGAACACAGAAGTCCAAGGCTTCAGAGAGTGACGATCACACCACTTTACTCCAGCCTGGGTGAAAGAGTGAGACCCTGTCTCAAAATAAAATAAATAAAATAAAACAAAACAAAATATTCAGACATATGAGCATATAAGCAAAAATCTTATTGAATGAAATATTCTGCACTTCATATTTCTCTTGACATACTATTTCATGAAAATATTATTTTTGAGTGCTGGGAAAGAAAATAGAAGAAAACATAATTTAGAGGCAAACTTTATTAGAAAATATTTAGGATAATCAAAAAAACTAAATGTAAGTAAGATTTCTTTAATCTCGATTCGTAATTATTACAAACATATGTAGTTAGTTAAGTTTCTATAGCAAGTATATTGAGGCTCATTATTAAATCCTCCTTTGGCTGTTTCGCTTCTTCATTTCGAATCAGTCAGATAATCTTGCCAACTCTGTGTTTTAAATCTTTCTGGAAGCTCTCATCCCTACCCTATTTCCACTGGCACTGGGCTAGTGCTAGTGCTCATTATCTCTTGGATCAGATGCTCAAATTGTGGCCTCTCCTGTGACCATCCTCCAAGTTGCTGCCAGTGTGATTTTTCTGAGATGGAAATAGCTGCAGTGTGATTGTTCTAAGATGGAAATATGGTAATACCGCTGCAATTTACATATGTCATTGACTTCATAGTCTAATTCAAAATAAAATTCTTCTTTGGCAATATATCCAAGACCTTTGGTGATTTTGCTCCTGCTTGCTTCTTAACCCCACCCCTGTCAGTTCTCTCTATAAAAACTTTCTGCTCTAACTCTGCTGAACTACTTGTCATTGTTCAAAGGTTCCATGAGTTTGCACAACCCTGCAAGTTACATTTTCTGTTGCCACCACCTGGAACATATTCCTTTCCTACTCAGTTTCAAAAATTACAACTCCTTCCCTTTTTCCATATGTATTGTTTTCTAAAGCTTATAATTAACATGTGGATGCATTATTATTTTAAAAATACCTCAATGCAAAAACACATGATTTATTTCCTTTTAAATACTTCAATAGATATATTAAATTTGTTCCCCATTTATATACTAAATGCTCTTTTATTCCCCATTTAAGAATACGAAATAATTTCAGATGACATCTACTCTCACATGGGTTCACAGATTTCCTCCCAGCAAGCAAGCAGATAAAAGAACAGACAATTTATCCTGAGTTAAACACTTCCTTCTCCACCATTTGCTAGATGTTGAACAAATCTCTATCAGGAATATCCCTGTATTGTATTTGGCAAACACTATAATGTGTCCAGGAGATTCCTAAAGTCAGAGATCCTGTTCCTTTTCATATCCTAAACATCATAAATGTTACTTGCTACATGGTACGTGTCCATGTAATATTTGTACAGAGAATGAGAGAAGTCAAATAATTAGGAACTAAACAATTTTGATTATCCAGTTTTATTCTGAAATTTTTTTCTTTTTTTTTAGATGGAGTCTCACCATGTCACCCACGCTAGAGTGCAATGGTGTGATCTCTGCTCACTGCAACCTCTGCCTCCCAGGTTCAAATAATTTTCCTGCCTCAGTCTCCTGAGTAGCTGGGACTACAGGTGCGTGCCACCATGCCCAGTTAATTTTTTGTATTTTTAGTAGACAGGGTTTCACCATGTGCCACCACGCCTGGCTAATTTTTGTATTTTTAGTAGACAGGGTTTCACCATGTTGGCCAGGCTGGTCTCGAACTTCTGACCTCAGGTGATTCTCCTGCCTCAGCCTCCCAGAGTGCTGGGATTACAGGCATAAGCCACCACAATCAGCCCTATTTTGAAAATTTTAATCAAAATGATAGAACGTAATTGTTCATACAATTATCCTTGATTATATTCTTGTGTAAATCTTATAAGTATTAACATACAGTTCACTTCAACAACGTTATCATGTGTCTGTGTCTCAGGTGCATTGTTAGTTACTTGGAATAGCATAAATAAAACACTGACCTTTTATTAAACATGCTTTGATATTATGAGGGGTTAATTATATAATGGTTGAAACTGTTAACTATATTTTTTGCTACCTACAATTTAATTACCTAATAAGATATTTGGAGGTAAAATCCAATAATCCATGGCTTAGTCTTTTTTTTAAAATCTTTTGAATATATTCAAAATATGCATAATGTTGCAGGAATATGAGGAAATTTATGTATAAAATTGATTGAACAAAATGGTTACTCAGTTAATACCTGTGGATTGATTGAACAGATCATTAATATGAATGAATAAGGGGATTACAGTGTACACTCTATATGTCTTAGTCAGTTCAGATGGCTATAACAAATTACCTTAGGTTTGGTAGCTCATAAACAACAGAAATTTATTTCTCATTTCTGGAGGCTGCAAGTCTATCAGGGTGCCAGTATGCTCAGGTTCTGGTGGGGGCTCTCTTCCAGATAGATGGCAGAAAGAGCTAAACACTTCTTGCTACATGGTACTTGTCACATGGTACTTGTCCATGTAATATTTGTACAGAGAATGAGAGAAGTCAAATAATTAGGAACTAAACAATTTTGATTATCCAGTTTTATTCTGAATTTTTTTTCTTTTTTTTAAGATGGAGTCTCACCATGTCACCCACGCTAGAGTGCAATGGTGTGATCTCTGCTCACTGCAACCTCTGCCTCCCAGGTTCAAATAATTTTCCTGCCTCAGTCTCCTCAGTAGCTGGGACTACAGGTGCGTGCCACGATGCCCGGTTAATTTTTGTATTTTTAATTTTTGTATTTACCTCCAATAGATGGTAGATAGATGGCAGAAAGAGCTAGCTCTCTGACCTTTTCTTATAAAGGCACTAAGCCCATTTATGAGGGCTCCACTTTGATGTCCTAATTACTTTCCAAAGGCACCACCTCCAAATACTAGCACAGTGGGGGTTAGGATTTCGGCACATGGATTTTGGAAGGATGCAAACATTTAATCTATACTACATTTTTGTAAATAGAGCATGGTACTTCAATATAACAACAAAAAAGAATGAATAGGTGGAATTACTTAGGGTTTATCAACCTACTTTTTGCATGCAACATATAAAAATACTTAATATAAATTCCTTATACTTCCCAGTAAGCTATATTATTATAGTTTGTCTGCAAGTTACAACAATATAAATATTAATAAAATCAGTGTTTTTTTTATTTTTAATTTTTTTTAAGATGGAGTCTCAGTCTGTCACCCAGGCTGGAGAGCAGTGGCAAGATCTCGGTTCACTATGACCCTCACCTCCCAGGTTTAAGCGATTTTCCTGCCTCAGCCTCCCGAGTAGCTCGCATTACAGGTACCCACCACCACACCTGGCTATATTTTGTATTTTTAGTAGACATGGAGTTTCACCATGTTGGCAAGGCTGGTCTCGAACTCCTGACCTTAACTGATACATCTGCCTCAGCCTCCCAAAGTACTGGGATTATAAGCATGAGCCATTGCACTTGGCCTAAAGTCAATGTTTTTTAATATATAAGATTTCTTTAAGAAATTAATACTAGTGAAATATCTGAATGAGGATAGGCTTGTAGCATTTACTTTTCACACATCAGATGGGAAGCCCACTCACTAAGAACCATCCACAGTGCCACACATGGTCCATTCTAGTTAGTTCTATGATCCTACTTTCCCTTCCTCCATTAAACTGTATCTCTTTTTATTAACAATTTTTCAGAGTTCTGATCTGATCTCTGCATTATACATTGATTAAAATAATTTCTGAATGGCTAATATTTTTGCAAATCCCTTAAACAGGCTCTTTTATATTACCATGTGTGTTAGTTGCCTAATGTTATGTTCCATAACAAATCAACACAAATTTATAAGCTTAATACGACAAAAACATTGTCTCATGTTTCTGTTTGCCTGGCTCTCACAAGGCCAAAGTCAAGGTTGTATTCCTTTCTAGAAGATCTTGGAGACCATCCACTTCTGGGCTTATGCAGAATGTTAGTAGGATTCACTTGCTCATAGTTGTAGGGCTAAGGCCTCTGTTTTCTTGTAGACTATTTCTGTGAAATCTGGGATTGTTCATAGCTTCTTGAGGCTGCTAACGTTTTTTGGCTCCTGGCCCTGTTCCTTGTGCTTCAAATCATTCAGGCCTTACATTTCCAACTGACTATTCTGTTTTCCTCTTTAATATTTAAGGGCTTATATGATTCCATTAGCTCCATTCAGACAATGCAAGATAATCTTCCTATTTGAAATCTAAGGATAGCAAACATAATCCATCGGCAAAGTCCCTTTACAGCAGAGCCTATCTTAGTGTTGAATAGCCAGCGAACAGGAACCTTGGGAAGATATTTTACAATTCTGTTCACAGAATGTGAACACAATGCAATGACTTTTTTTTTTCCTCATAGAAAGTATATTAAATAAATGGACTACAAATATTGAGCACTTTTTAGCACATTATTCTACAATGATGCTCTGTCTCGAAAACAAGAGTCCAAACAAGCTTGGGAAAACAAGAAAGACCATGCATTCCTCATTACAAGTCTCATCCTCCCGCTCTGTCTTAGGTATTTTGCTGTTGTAAGTTTCTATTAAATATAGGTTAAATCTTGCTTTGCCCTATATTGCCCATTTCTTTGCTAAATGGTGTAAATGATTTTCAATCAGTCTCTTAAAACAAGCCAAAAAGTATCCTTGAGGATAAGTATTAAGAGTGCATAATGCTTTTTCCATTTGCAATGCAATTTTAACCCTTGGGAACTTCAGAGACTCAAGTATAAAGTGTGTGAGTATATGGCTATTATGTAAACTCAATCAGCAAAAAGAGCCATATTCACCTACCATCATTCAGAAGTTGAGGGACCCCATTTATGTCAGCTAGAATATATATTCACATACAAAACAAAATGAAAATCAAAAGCAATTTAAATGACAGATTGACAAATCAATAAGGCAACAAATATTTCAGAGGAAGTTCAAGGCTAGTACATATAGTTCTGTCTTCCTGCTCTGCCCTCTTTAGCGTGGGGGTTCTAGTCTCCCAGTCATAGAATGCAGCTGAATTTCTGACACTCTGCCCTTTTCCAGGCATAAAGAAGGGGAATGGATGAAAAAACAATGTACAGGTCCCTGGAATCTGGCCATCCTTTAAGGTATTCACCAAAACTCTACTTAGTGACTTATTTTCATCTCCTTGTTGGGACCATGGCATATTGCATTCTTTAGATAAAAGATGACTAGACAAATAGTGGGGCCAAATAGGTTGAGTTGGTGAACACCATTGTATTTGACACATTATCAACAAGTGAAGGCAATTGAGTCTATATTTCAATTTTTTTGTCTTATATTTAATAGAGAAAATAAGGGAGATTGGACCCATTTGATGAACTATTCTATGTTGTCCTGAAATTATTATGTCATTTGGATTGAAGGAATAAAGAGGATTGAATAGTCAAGAGGCTTCAGATAAGAAATGTAGAAAAGTAATTGCCAAAGAATGACTGATATGAATGTATATTTTTTTGTTTTATATCAAATTAAATCTTGTAAATAGCTTTAGCTTGACTTTCTGCTATGTTTCTGTTATTTTTGTTTCATATTATTTCTATAATTAGGTTAAGTTAATGTAAGTTGATATATGTTAATTCATACTATATTAAAACATCTAACTTTTGTAATATTATGTGACCGTTAACATTTTCTATAGCAGAGACCATTTAACAACAACGATTAAAAGCATGCTATTTTATACTTTCAGTTGTCTTAGTCCTTGAACTTAAAAATATGTAACCCCAGATCAATTAAAGTTAATACAAAGAATTTGTTTGGACCAGGAAAATTTTAAAAAAAGCTTTTTACTTCAATTCTGTTTTGTCCAAATGGCATAGGGCAAATGATGGGAAAAAAGCAAGAGGTGCAAGAGCTGAGGAAAAAGCAAGAGATACAAAACAATGACCTCTTAAACAGCTTGGCATTGTAACAACTATAGTCATTTGGAAACATTTTGGACCCTGAACCAAAGGACTCTATTATTATGTAGAATATGAGTGTCAAAATTTATAAGAGTAATCCTGAAATTGAAGGGTAAATTACTTAGCTATTATAATTTAACATTCTTGAGTGTTTATTTTAAAGTATACTACACAATATAAATACACATCTGGCTTTGTATTTCCCAACAACACATTGATTTTCAGCTATTTCAGTAATGGAATAGATCTCAACAAAGTACCATTTTATGATAGAAGTAATCATTTTTAGCGAGTTATCTATTTAATGCTACATCAAATTGTGAGAAATTTACTACTTTTATTTAGAAGCTGCCCTATTTTATATGCAAAAATTTTGTTTAAGCTGTTCCAAGGGCATGATATTTCAAGGGATTCTCCTATAATACATTTTCTTTGTATCTTTTGCTAGCATTTAAACGTTCTAGCAGTTAATACACATTAATAATTTAAAATTAGTCAGGTGAGAAGTTGTGTTTCCAAGATGGTGACATCTAGGAGACAGATTAAGTTCCAAACATGCTATAGTATAGTTATAAACAGATAAGATACTTTTTCAAACAAAAATAATTTTGGTAGACATACCCAGACACTGGTAACAACAGTTTAGCTAAAAAACTGACAAACTGGGAGGAGAATTGCAGGCTGGCAGGACCATGTGAAACACCTGGAGAGTGTGGAATGTGAGGGAGTCCTCATGCTCTGGCAGGTTCTTTCTCCATGAACCTCTCTGGCCTCTCACAGAAAAGGCCTAAAATAATCACTAAGAAGTGCCCAGTGTCATGGAGAACAGAGGGAGAAAACAACAGCCACGTAAGAGGAACAAGTACCACTACCCCTATCATCCGCCTCTATCTCCATGACAAAACAAAAGCCTTAATCTGTAAGAAGACAAGTAACACTACTGGCCTTATGGCACTGGCTAGTTTTAAGATCCTTATACCACAGGTGAAGCAGCATATAATTTGAAGGCAGAACCTGCTTAATTAAAGATATAGTCATTAAAGATGTAAAGATGTATATTTTAAATCCCAGATAAATCACTAAAAAATATAAAATATGTATCAGTAATAAATCAATGGAGGAGGTAAAATGACATAATCTAGTTTATCATTGTTTATTGATGTCAAGGTATGTAGAGCGTGGGTAAAAATAGAAAAGATGAAATGAGTAGAAAACATCTGGAAGTTGCTAAATTTTTAATCCAACAATATCCATAATCAAATTAAACATGAATGGCCTAAATATAACTTTCTAAAGACAGCAATTTTCAGATTGGATCAAATAGCAAACTATAATTTTATATTGTCTATAAAAGTGCAGTTAATTTATAAAGACAGAGATAAGTTAAAAATAATAAGATGAATAAAGACATACTACACAAACATCCCTCCAAAATTAAAATAGTTATATTAATATCAAAAAAGTAGACTAGCACAAGGAATAATGTCAGGAATAGAAGGAGCCATGATTAAGGGTCAATTCTGTAAGGAGAGATAATGGGTCTAAGTGTATGTATTCCTAATAACAGTTTCAAAATAAATAAGACAAAAATTGATGTTAGAAAACAAGTAGGCAAATCTAAAATTATAATTGCAGATTTCAATAATATTCTCTCAGTAATTGATAGAACAATTTGACAGAAAATCAGTAATAATATAGAAGACTTGCTAGCAAGCAAATATGCTGATTAACACTTATAAAACATGCTTCCCAGCAACAGCGGTATACACATTCTTTTCAAGGGCATACTGAACATTCTCCAAGGTAAACCATAATCTAAGCCATCAAAAACAACAACAAAAACAACAGCAACCAAAAACACCCAACCAACTTAAAATAGTATAAATCATACCAATTATATTCTAATAACATAATGAAAATTAGCTAGAAATTAATAACAGACATATATTTTAAAACCTCAAATTCTTAGAAATTAAATAACCCATTTCTAAATAACAGGGTTAAAGAACACATCTCAAAACTCATTAAAAATAGTTGAAACTGGCTGGATGCAGTGGCTCACGCCTGTAATCCCAGCACTTTGGGAGGCCGAGGCGGGTGGATCTCCTGACATCAGGAGTTCAAGACCAGCCAGGCCAACATGGTGAAACCCTGTCTCTAATAAAAATACAAAATAGCTGGGCATGGTGGTGTGCACCTCTAATCCCAGCTACTCGGGAGGCTGAGGCAGGATAATTGCTTGAACCCAAAAGGCAGAGGTTGCAGTGAGCCGAGATTGGGACACTGCACTCCAGCCTCGGCGATAGAGTGAGACTCTGTCTCAAAAAAAAAAAAAAGAAAAAAAAAAGTTGAAACTGAATAAGGGTAAAAATTCAACGTATCAAAGTATGTGGAATATTGTTAAAGCAATGTTTTCAGGGTAATTTATATCATTAAATATTTATATTAGAAATATCTCAGATTAATAATCTAATCTGTCAGTTTAATAAATTTAAAGAAAGTAAAATAAGCCCAAAGAAAGCAGAAAGAACAAAATAATAAACATTAGAGAAGGAACTAATAAAGTCAAAAATGGAAAAAAATAGACAAAATCAATGTAAGTGAAAGATTATTTTTTAAAAATTTCGGTAAAATTGATAAACCTCTACTTATAGTGACTGATATGGTTTGGATCTATGTCCCCACCCAAACCTCATCTAGTCCCCGATGTTGGAGGAAAGGCCGGTGGGGGAAGGTTATTGGATCATGGGAGTAGATCCTTTATGAATGTTTTAGCACCATCCCCCTACTGCTGTTCTCATGATCGAGTTCTCATGAGATCTGGTTGTTTAAAAAGTGTGTAGCACCTTCCCTCACCCCTTCCTCCTGCTTGGGCCACGCAAGATGCGCCTGCTTCCCCTTCACCTTCCGCCATGATTGTTAATCTCCTGAGGCCTTCCCAGAAGCAGAAACCACTATGCTTCCTGTATAGCCTGCACAACTGTGAGCCAATTAAACCTCTTTTCTATATAGATTACCCAGTCTCAGGTATTCCTTTATAGTGGTGTGAGAATGGACTAACACAGTGACCAAGAAAAAAAAGAGAGAGAAAAAAGAATTGCCCATAGTAAGAATGGGAAATAGAGGGCTGTCACTACTGACAACCTCAGCTCTCAGAGGAGTCCCTTGTCTTCCAGGAATCTGCATTAGGGTCAGCTTGTGACCTCACTGTAAACACAGTGATAAATTAAGAGTGATTTTTCTGTGAACCCATAGTCAAGTTCATTCCCTGGATTTTATGGTCTTTAAAGAAAATTCTCATGGCCACCACTACTTCAAAAACCTACGTGTTATGCAAATAAAGGGGGCGTAGGGCCATTATGGATTAGAAGAGACGAAAAAAGTTATGGCCAAGAAATCCAATATGTGATCTTTTTTTTAAATCTTGTATCAAAAGCAAACAGGAAATACAAACATCTATGAAACATATTCAGTGGGCTATTTAAGGAAAATTGGTATATTGGCTACATGGCATGTATATTAAAAACCATTTTTTGTGTTTCAGTGTTAAATTATTGAGTGTAACAATTATACTCAAGAAGTGATTAGGTAGAATATTTTTTAAAAGGAGATACATGTTAAAATACTTAAAGAGTGACATAACTAAAAACTAGTTTCAAATAATAAATGCGTAATCAAAATCTATATTGTGTGTGCATTTATGTTTAAATAGAGAGGGAGAGAAGTAAAGGATATATAGCAAATACTGAAATCTGGAGAATCCAGGTAAAGATAGGTAAAAGTAAGCTTTTAATTTTCTGAAACTTTCTTTTTTTTAAAAAAGTAAAATTTGTGGTAAAAATAATAACTGTATAAAGCATTCTTATTTTCAGCAGTTTTTAAAAGAGACAACAACCTCATGATCCTTATTTTTTTTTCGCTACAGTGTTCAATTTCCTAAGCCGTTATATATTTCAGCTCCTCGCTTTCCACCTGTACCTCATCCAAATTACAGGTGAAAGTTTGTAATTTAGCTACTACTTGGCATTCTTATTGGTTTCAGTTGAGGGTAAAATCCAGTTCCAAAATTGTACCTTGAAGATTAGCGTTGTAACTATCCACTGGTGGCTCGATCTTTCCAGAAAGTTGAGGCTGGGGCAAAGGAGTTATGTTCGACTTCAGGGAGCAAAGTGAGAGGCAAAGTTGGGAAAAGCAGGGGAAGAAAAGAGAACCAATACAAGAATGGATATTGAATTGCTTACTACTAAGTGGGAAAAATTGTGGAATACTATGATTACTCTTCATGTTTATTAACTTCATTTGAGGATCTTCTTTTGGAGAGGAGAAATGGGAATCAACTTGTCCACAAATTCTGAATTTTATTGTTCCAGGTTTACCCCTGGGGCATTAGCTCCCACACACATTTAGGTGATGCAAGAGAAAGCACAATTGAGACCTTACACCAGCTTTAACTGATAAGTCCTCAATGAAGGTAGGAGGGGCACCGGAGGTATTTTTCAAAGCACTGATGTGCCAACATGAAAGTTTTTGTGGTTCAAATAGAGCTTGTGGACACCTAGGAAACAGAAACAGGAGACAGTGAGGAAGAGAAGATCTGAATTATCAAGTATGCATGTGTAGGAATGGAAACAGTGGAGGTTGGACTTGTGGAGTCCCTCCTAACATATAGAATATAGCAGAAAACATGCCTTTTCATATCCAACATGACTGTAAAAGGACTTCAGCTTCTATCCTGAATGGTCTCTCTCACTCTCGCTTGAATGTTCTCACCCTTGGGAAAGCCAGCTGCCATGCTATGGAGTAGCTCTACAGAGAGGCTCTCATGTCAAAGAACGGAGGCACACCAACATCTGTATCAATGAGCTTAGAAGTGGCTTTACAAGCCCTGCACCCAAACCGTGCGTTTTTAGATGTGACCACAGACTCAGCAGGCCAACAGCTTGAATATAATCTGAGAATAGACCTAGAGACACAGGCTCTCAACTAAGAGACAGTGAGATTCCTGACACTGAGAAACTGTTAGAAAATGCATAATTATTGTTTTAAGTCGTTACATTTGCAGTAATTTCTTACACAGAAATAAATAATACACTCTCCTCTCGTATCCGTCTCTGCGAGCTGTGCCCCAGGCACAAAGCCTTAGGTTCTCCAATGCACCGTATTTTCCCTGATGTCTGAAGCTTCCTAACAGTGCCACCCAGATAAAATGCTCACTCTTAATACGTCTAAATAACCGCAGCTGCTGCCTAAAATGTAAACTGGCAAATACATGCCCTTGCAATATATTGTCATGATGTTTTATGCGTTTTTAATGTAAACTATCATAGTTCAGAATTATACTTTTTAATGATTATTTGACAAATTCCTGAAGTGCCCATTAAATCGTAACCTTCATGAAGACACGGTAATTTTTTTTTTCATTCTAGCATTTGACTAGGTCCTAACAGAGTTTTTTATTGGTATGTATTTATTCAACAACTTATGATTTCATGAGAGGCATATCCATTAGATAGGTGGTATAAAACTATGACAATTTACAGGTACGTTACCTGGAAAATTCTAGTAACACAACAACAAAATTAAAAAGAAGGCATTTGTTAAATTGTCTGGAGATCCAACTACATGCCCAAACTATTACTTTTCCTAATGAAAACTCATAGTCAGATAGGAAATATAATGGAAAAAAAAATCTTTTGAAGTAGAACCAAAAAAACCCTTATAATCTTATCAAGAAATTTGTAGAACTTCAATATTATTGAAGATTATTGAAAGTCTTAAAAGAACAGTTCAATAAATAGAAATAAATATAGTTATCTTGTTTGTGCATGGGAAGACTGTATGTTACAAATATGTTTCTGTTAGCCATATAATATACTAATATGATATTATATTTATAAATTACATGAAATATGTATATGTTTTTAATTTTCGCTATTAAAATTAATGATGACTCTGAATGGAACTGTTAGGTAAGAAGCGTTATCTGTGGGAGAGGTCTGTAATGTCAGAGGGTACTTTCATTGCTACCTACCTAACATCAGACAAATAGCTTCCTTTTTCTTAGACTAAATTCTTTATTACAGATAGGAATTTAATTTAGTAGAAACTCCTTTAAGATTTTTTATAAGGATTATGAAAAATCATTAATGTAAGTTCATAGCAGATCACCTGACAATTGCAAGGCAATTAATTTATATTTGCTATTGTTAGTGTTATTATTGTTACTGTTATTGGTATAATTAGTGCTGCTACAGCATTATGAAATGGATAATTCCTGTTGTGCCTTTTAATTGCATGGTAAAATGAGGACATACCATTTTTGAGCAGCGTCTCTCATCAAAATCACCTGGAATTCTTTTTAAGAATTTAGTCTTGTGTGTGTGTACCACATTATCATATTTGGGAACGGGGATCTGGAAATCCAATTTTTTTAAAGTGATTTTTCATTCACACTCAAGTTATAAATGGTAAATATGACAGTGTTAGCTTGTGAATTAAAGTTAGATTCTTGATGGGAATTCTAATCTACATGCAATTTAAATTCTAGGAAGTATCTAATTTTAATTTCTTTAAAGCCAAATGACTTTTCTTTTCTACTAATCAAATTCAAATTTATTTTATTGGTGTATTATTTCTTGCTTAATTTTTTAAAAGCATTTTTAAGATGAATTCATTAATCATACCCTTAATTTTAGTTAATGGAGAACTAAATTCCAGAAAATGGGTATGTAATTACAGTAAAATTAATCATAATAAAGTTAAAATAATCACATTTAAGGATGTGCAATCTCTTCTAATAGGGATTTGATTTCAACTTATATTTAAATAATTCCAAATATAATTCAAAGTACTCTAGTAATATATATGAAGTTAAACACTAACTGCTGTTAACTGTTTATTCTGTTCCCTCCTGGTAATATTTATAAAAAAGGAATGTGAAATTTGGGGGTTCAAGATGGCTGACTAAGAATATGTGTTAAGTTCTTTTTAAAATCACATTGAAATTACAAAACATCCACAAACTAAAATAAATAAGCCATCCAAGAAACTAAGAGTATTCCCTTGTAAGAATAAATTATTGAGATACTTCTATACAATACAAAGCCAACAAAATCAGAAGACAAATCTTAGCAAAAATATCCGCAATACAATATAGGCAAAATTAAGAAACCTCAAAATACTGAGATTTCGAAGCCTGATTCCTCAGATGCATCAGACCTGGAAACTGGAAGAGAATGGTCTTATAGTCAAGTGTAACTTTTATTAGTGTTGTTCCAGTTACACCTGTTATAATCTTCTGTATCTAGAGCATTTATTCCAGAATAAAAGAGATTCAGTCAGATTCTCAGAGAAGGTATTGGAGCTAGAGAGAGTGTTTAGAGCTGGGAGGTGTTTAGGACTATTTCTTGTTCCTGTAGGAAAATATCTTCCTTCCTATTCAACAGGAAAGCTGGACCAGACTCCAATGTGCAGTTACAATCAAAATCATAACTCACGTAAACTGAAACTGTATCTATTGTTTGGAAAAGAAAAATATTTAATATTGGACTTAGGGATTAAAAAGAAGCTACCTAAACAACTATTAACATTGGTAAATGTTAACCACTGTTATAAATTTATACAGAAAACTTATACTTGCCAAATATTTGAGAAGAGTATAGAAGAGAAATACCAGCTGGAACATATGAAATAATTATCTGTTATATAGAAGAATTAATGCAAAAAATGCAATTAACTTAATCAACATATTTATTAGTGTTTGAGAAGATGGCATTCCTACGAAGAATACCCTTATATGAAACCTAGTGATCAGTTTCAGAATTTAAAATAAATGCAAATGCAATCTCAACAACATAGACCCTGGTGAAAAATATAGGGAGAATATAAAATAAACAAAGAATTCAGATAAATAATTAGTAGGATGTTTCACTGAATTAAAAATCTTTAAAAATTGACGGCACTTTCATTTGAAACAGGTGAAAATAGTAAACACCCTAAATAATTATAAAATTATATGTACTGTAGAAAAAAGACATATTTACAATTTAAAAAATTTTGTGGCTACATAGTATTCCATGATGTATATGTACCACATTTTCTTTCTCCAGTCTATCGTAGAGGGGCATTTGGGTTGGTTCCATGTCTTTGCTATTTTAAATAGTGCTGCAATAAATATACGTGTGTATGTGTCTTTATAGCAGATGATTTATATTCCTTTGGATATATACCCTGTAGTAGGATGGCTGGGTCAAATGGTATTTCTGGTTCCAGCTCTTTGAGGAATCACCATACTGTCTTCCACAATGGTTGAACTAATTTACATTCTCACCAACACTGTAAAAGCGTTCCTATTTCTCCACAGCCTCACCAGCACCTATTGTTTCCTGACTTTTTTTTTTTTCTTTTTGAGATGGAGTCTCACTCTGTTGCCCAGGCTGGAGTGCAGTGGCATGATCTCGGCTCCCTGCAACCTCCACTTCCCATGTTCAAGCAATTCTCTACCTCAGCCTCCTAAGTAGCTGGGATTACAGTTGCTCGCCACCATGCCCGGCTATTTTTTGTATTATTAGTAGAGACGGGGTTTCACCATCTTGGCCATGCTGGTCTTGAACTCCTGACCTCATGATCCACCTTCCTCGACCTCCCAAAGTGCTGGAATTACCAGGCGTGAGCCACCATGCTCAGCCTGTTTCCTGACTTTTTAATAATCACAATTCTGACTGGCATGAGATGGTATCTCATTGTGCTTATTATTTGCCTTTATCTGATGATCAGTGATGTTGAGCTTTTTTTCATAGTTTGTTGGCCCCATAAATGTCTTCTTTTGACAAGTGTCTGTTCATATCTTTTGCTCACTTTTTGATAGAGTTGTTTTTTTCTTGTAAATATGTTTAAGTTCCTTGTAAATTCTGGATGCTAGACCTTTGTCAGATGTGTAGGTTGCAAATATTTCCTCCTAGTCTGTAGGAGAACAGGTTGCCTGTTCACTCTGATGATAGTTTCTTTTGGTGTGCAGAAGCTCTTTAGTTTAATTAGATCCCATTTGTCAATTTTGGCTTTTGTTGTAATTGCTTTTGGCATTTTTGTCATGATGTCTTTGCCCATGCCTATGTCCTGAATAGTATTGCCTAGGTTTTCTTCTGGGATTTTTATGGCTTTAGGTTTTACATTTAAGTCTTTAATCCATCTTGGTTAATTTTTGTATAAGGTGTAAGGAAGGGGTCCAGTTTCAGTTTTCTGCATATGGCTAGCCAGTTTCCCAGCAGCATTTACTGAATAGGAGATCCTTTTCCCATTGCTTGCTTTTTCAGGTTTGTCAAAGATCAGATGGTTGTAGATGTGTGATGTTATTTCTTAGGTCTCTGTTCTGCTCCATTGGTCTATGTATCTGTTTTGGTACCCATACCATGCTCTTTTGGTTACTGTAGCCTTGTAGTATAGTTTGAAGTCAGGTAGTGTGATGCCTTCAGCTTTGTTCTTTTTACTTAGGATTATCTTGGCTATATGAGGTCTTCTTTGATTCCACATGAAATTTAAAATAGTGTTTTCTACCTCTGTGAAGAATGTCAATGGTAGTTTGATGGAAATAGCATTGAATCTATAAATTACTTTGGTCAGCATGGCTATTTTCGAGATATTGATTCTTCACATCCCTTGTTAGCTGTATTCTTAGGTATTTATTCTCTTTGTAGTGATTGTGAATGGGAGTTCACTCATGATTTGGTTCTCTGCTTGTCTGTTGTTGGTGTAAAGGAATGTTTGTGATTTTTGCACATTGTTTTCGTATCCTGAGACTTTGCTGAAGTGCTTATCAGTTCAAGAAGTTTTGGGGCTGAGATGATGAAGTTTTCTAAATATAAAATCATGTCATCTGAAAACTTGAAGCTATACAGTCTGTGGTGTTTTGCTGTGGCAGCCCTAGCAAACTGTAACACCTGCGAGAGTCAGTTTTGGGTGTTAACGTGGATAGGCGATAGTCCTCACTTGTTCAATTACTAGTCTGTAAAGGCATTTTATGAATGTGATTAATGTTCTTTTCAGTTTATTCTAAATAGTGGGCATTATCTCAGACATTCTGGGTTGGACATCATTTTCAACTAGACACGTCTTCAGAGACAAACTGATGCTTTCTTGGAAGGAGAAGAAATTCTGCCTGTAGACTGCAGCTTTAGCTCATGTCCCAGAGCTCCGGACTGTCCTTCCTGACAGCCTACTCTGTAGATCAGACAATGAGTCTCTCTCTCTTTCTCTCTGTCCTTCTCTCTCTCTCTCTCTCTCTTCACACTCACACATGCACACACAAACACACACACACTGGCACACAAACACACACATACACTCACACAAACACTCACACACGGTACTGTTTCTTTAATGAAACCCCAACTGATACAGATTTTATTTATTTTTCATTTCTTAAATAAACTTTTTATTTTGAAATAACTGTATACTTAAGGAAATGTTAAAGGATAGTCCACAGAATTTTCATATATGCCCTTTGCTCAATTTCCCCATGTTACATAATCTTGATACTTTTGTCAAAGAAAATTAGAAATTAACATTAGTACATTCCTATTAACTAAACTAAGGCATCATTTACCTTTCATTAATTTTTGATTCCGATTTTATATGTGTGGTAGATTTCTTAGTTTCTAGGAGCTGCTGTAAGAAATCAGCATGAACTTGGTTGCCTAAAACAACCAAAATTTATTCCATTAATTTTTTCAGAGTTCTGGATGCCAGAATTCCAAAGTCACTGTCGCTGGACTGAAATCCCAGCCACACACATTCCTGAGGCCCTGAAGAACCAGTTCTTGACTCTTCCAGTTTCTGGTGGCTGCAGGCATTCCCTCACATGGGGCTCCATCACTTGTCTTCAAGGCCAGCACGCTTAAATCCCTCTCTGCCTTCCCTATGTGTTCAAAACTTTCCTCTCGGCCCCTTTTATAAGGGATGCATATGATGGCATTTAAGCCACAGGAGGATAATGCTTTATAATCCACCATCTGAAAATACGAAATTTAATCACATCCACAAAGACCCTTATAGTTTTTTTGAAACGTAAAGTAAACATTCACAGTTCCCAGAGATTAGAATAAGGCCCTGGATATCTTTTAGGGAGCCCATTTTCTTCCTATTACAATGCGATTACAATATTAGTAGATACCTACAGTAATAATTGTTTTATTTTAACTGGTATTGAGAAGTAATTTGATGTAAATATCTAATATTTACTTTCAAAACATTTCTAATTAAGACAGAAAAGGATTATAAGAAAGTTTCCTTCTATTGAGAAAGTGTATTTTTTGAAAGCACAGCCATCATTTTACATGTGTGCACTGTGAAGACAGGAAATGCAAATGAATGAACTCTTTATAAATCAGTGCATAAATAATAGATATTGTGAAAAATCTAATTCTAATAGAGCTTCAAGAATGTCAGAATGTATCATTATTAAGAAATTATCATAAATCAACAGAATAGGAGGAAAATTATTGTGTAATTATAACAAATAAAGAATAATAATCTTTTATTTCTCAGAATTAGTTATTAATATGAGCAAAATCCAGTATTATTACACATACATATTGGGAAAACTAGAAAAAATATTATCTTATATATTTTAAAAGTTTACAAGTTACCCTGAAGCAAATATGGGGAACTGGAATTCACAGAATATGTAAGAGAATTCAATGGACAGTGTCAATAGATAAATAAATGAAAGGATTGTTATCATTTTTTCAAAGTAAACTTTAATGCTGTTCATTCATCTTATTGAACTAGCACCTGATCCACTGAGAAATAGTCTCAATCTCATTAACTTGAGGCAGCTCACATTCCAAATAAAATAAACTGAGAGGAAGAAAATATTGTTTATAGGCAGTTTTTGTAAAAAAGAATGTCTATCAGCAGCTCTGTAGCTTGAACACATACAGAAATACATCTATTACATTTAACTAGAATGGGGCACAGTGAATCAGCTTCCCTGTTCTGAACTGCTTAAGGGCAGACATTTCATTTTATTTCTTCCTGGCTTTTCTGCATTAAAAACTGATTCCGTCTTTGACAGGTTGCACTGTAGATGGCCTTGTTACAGTGCACGGGCATTCTGGTGAATGACTTTGATTACTCTGGGACGAGGTCCTGTTGCTGTGAAAATCAGGTAAAAAATATAAGAATAGTTTCCTTTTTGTAAAGAGGAAAATGCCAGGAACTTTTCTTAAAACTCTAAATATACCTTTCTACAGAAATGAAAAAGAAGGCCTAAGCATCTTTTTTTTAATGAAATAAAATATTTTGCAAGTAACTGATAATCTGGTTTCTCAGAATTAAAGGACACTCTCTTTTTCTTTCTTTCTCCTTCCTTCCTTCCCTCCCTCCCTCCTTCCTCTTCCTTTCTTCCTTCCTCCCTCCCTCTTTCTTTCTCTCTTTCTTTCTTTCTTCTTTCTTTCTCTTTTTTTCTTCCTTCCTCTCTCTCTTTCTCTTCCTCCCTCCCTCTCTCTCTTTTCTCTTTCTTTCTTTTTCTTTCTTTCTTTCTTTTTCTTTCTTTCTTCTCCCTTTTGTCCTTCCTTTTCTTTTTTTTTTGCTTAAATTATCTTGTAATTTTATGTAAGTAATGTATTTTTAATTCTTCGGAGGTGATTCTGTTTTAGAAACAACACGAACAGCCAGTCTTTACAAATGGCTTTTTGAGATGATGGTAATTTATAAATGCTGAGCTCCATGAATTTAGCACTCATGTCTTTGGTAAATTTATAGAAATTCCACACTCTAGAAGCAAACTTGTGCCCAAGTAACTGGTAAATAAATATTTTTGAATGAATAAAAAGTAAGTCATATTTAGTTTGGGCTGAACATATGACATGCAAATTAATACAAATCTATCATTTCATTAAAATCTCAGTTCTATCTGGGCCCACTGAGTATTAAATAATGTACATTCTGCAAACACATTAATGCCTTTCTAGGTGGTATACTATTTGTCAATAAATAATGTGCTTGTTAATATACTGTCATTAGTTAAAATCCGAGAGTAGTTCACTATATAACAATGATTGGGCCAGGTGCAGTGGCTCATGCCTGTAATCCCAACACTTTGGGAAGCCGAGTCGGGTGGATCACAAGGTCAAGAGATGGAGACCATCCTGGCCAACATGGTGAAACCCTGTCTCTACTAAAAATACAAAAATTAGCTGGGCGTGGTGGTGCACTCCTGTAGTCTGAGCTACTTGGGAGGCTGAGGCAGGAGAATTGCTTGAACTCAGGAGGCGGAGGTTGCAGTTAGCCAAGATCGCACCACTGCACTCCAGCCTGGTAACAAAGAGAGACTGTTTCAAAAAAAAAAAAAGTTCAAGTTCATATGCTAAAACCTAACATGGATAAAAAATATAGATAGCTTCAGGAAATATGCCAGGTCAAACATTTATTTGATGAAGGATAATTCTTCCAAGACTATAATGCTGGCAACACTTTGAGCTATCAGCTATTTATTTAATAAAAGCAATCATATGCATTTTATTTTGCGTATTAACAACCTATACAATAAAATATTTCCCAAGGAACCTAATTACTCATTAGAAAGATTATTTTATTATGAACATATCTAAAATATTAATTTTATTGCTTATGGTATCTGAATGTATCTGTTACCCAGTCAAGTCAATGCTGGTATCATAATTAACCCAATGTCTCAGTTATACAAAAATAAACCTCAAAAATATACTCTTAAAGTATAACAAACATCAATGACCTTAATTCTTGCATTGAGATTTAATTAAGAGTTAATGAAAATTCTTCCAAAGAATGAGGCCTCAAGTTGAACTTAGTGTAGAGACAAATCTCACAATGAAGTTTTCTCCAAATCATGCTTTATCCCTTCTTTTTTCATCTTGGATTGGAATTTTTTGTTCATTTATATTCAAATCCCTTATGAAAAATTGCTTGAGTGTATTTGGCAGCCAAATTCAGAAAACTTGCCCAAATCTGCAAACATTGACAAAAAAAAAAAAAAAATCACCCAAGAGGCATTTGAAGAGACTCACAACAAACGTTTGGGTTCTGAGACAATCTTTACTAATTGTTTTCTCCAGCCACACGGAGATCACTGATTTTAACTATCTTCTGAGGTCTAGAGACTAAATATTTGTCAGCTGCCCAATTTGTTCTGAAAATGTTAGCTCTCAGGAGAAATCTTCGCCTTTCAGACCTGTCTCATCTTAACATTAGTCTCTACCTGTCAATGCCGCAGTATGTATATTCCTAAGAGATGACACAAAGAGCTAAGAAATTTCCTAATTAGGATAGAAGGGAATATCCGAGAAAGATATTGCTCCCTCTTTTTCTCTCTCCTCTCTCTATCACAAACACAGCATGTGGTCAGTAAAATGTGGATTTGTGTAATATTTACAAAGTTGCTTATCAAAGTTGGATCAAAGCACTTTAACTTTTAATTTATTAATAACTTCATTATAAAATTATTTGTAAGTAATTCAGTCATAGATTTGAAGACTACGATGGTATACACATAGCATTTTTTTTCTGAAAATGAAAACCTAATCAAGGTTTTAAATTTTCTTTTCTGCTGGAGTGCAAAACACACATAAAAAATGACAACTGGAACTATGTCTTTTTTTCTGGAGTCAATGTTATTTTCAAAAATACACTGTATTAAATTATCAGGATAACATTTGGTATTTAAAGTATATGTATTACTGTTTTTATAATAGCTAAAAAGGTATTTCCTTTTACCTGTACAAAACTGTTGAATGTTTTAATCAATTCTTTATGTTTTAGGGAAGTTATTTATTTTTCCTTTTTTAAAGGTAGAGTCTTGCTGTGTTGTCCAGGCTGGAGTGAAGTGACATGACCAAGCTCATTGCAACCTCTATCTCTGAGGCTCAAGCAATCCTCCCACCTCAGCTTCTTAAGTTGCTGGAGACTACAGGCATGCACCACCACGCCTAGTTATTTTTTTTTTTATTAATTTTTTTAAACGGCTGGTCTTGAAGTCCTGAGCTCAAGCAATCCTCCTGCCTCGCCCTCCAAAAGTGCTGAGGTTACATGTTTGAGCCACCGTTCCTGGTCTGGGAAGTTATTTTTAAAGTGTGATTTGATTTTTATTATCCCCTTGGAAAATGTGAGATAATATTTGCTTGCTTTCTTGTCCTTGTGTTCAATTTCTTTGTTTTATTCAATTTACTTTAGCTATATTTTGTTTTAAAATATCAAAATATATAATTATGTATAATCTTTTGTGAATTGTATCTTAATTATTGTTGCATATAAAGAGTTGTTCTAAATTATAATGTTTAATAAATTAAAGCAACTCTCTTTGAAAAAGGTCCATATATTTTGCTTCTTTAATATAAGCACATAATTTATAGTAAAGGTTACCAATAGTTTGAAGTTAATTTTTAACCATATGAAGTTAATTTTTAACACAATGCTCTTTTACATCCCTCGAGGAAATTTCATACACTCAAAAAGAATCAGTTTCTGAAACGCAGAAGCCATGTCTGTCAAGAATACAAGGAACTTACTACTGGAAAGTAAGGTACTATAGCATAATCTTTAACACTTTCCTGTCACATCCAAGATGACTACAGATCCTAATCAATTTTTTCCCTCAGAACTCTATTGAAAATCTATCCACATGATTTACTGGATTTTGGTTTTCATTTGTGTTTCTAGAGAAGAGTCAATTCTTCACATGATACTTTATTTAATTTTTGAAATTATAAAATACATTTAGAATGTTATACAGAGTTTTATATTTAATGGATAATAAAACTAAAATGAATTTGTGACTTGAAGACCTTTTTTCAAACTCCATCAAATTTTGCAGGAGTCATTATAATTAATATAACCGAGTAAAGTTAATATGAACTCTCAAAAACTATGGATAAACTAAGATAGAACTCTAACTTACCTAATCTATATACAATATAATTTGAACATTTGACATATACCTCCATCTCCTTCGCCAGCCTGAAAGTGGCATTATAGTTTAGCAGTTAAAGGCCAAGATACTGATACAAATCCTGACTTTGCCACTTCCCAGTTAAGTGGCCTTGAGTAATTTACTTAAATACCCTGGCCCTCGATTTCTTCATCTGTAATATAGGAATAGGACTAAATGTGTGAATTCTTGTGAAACATTTAGTCTCTCAATGCAAGGCATTAAAAAGTAAGGGAAATTGCTCTATTTTACTCACCAAGTGGGCTTTTCGTGATTTAAAGGATTCCTTTCTGTGTGAGTAATATGTGGACACACACATTGCTGGAAAAATTCATGTTACCACGAAACAGTCTGCATCCTGATGCAACAAGAAAAGCCTGAGAATAGCACTGTAAGACCCAGACCACACTTTGTGTTATCTGTATATCTAGAAGATCATTAGTAAAGTTTGATATTGGTTGAGATTTTGGTTCATATTCATCTGATTTTACAATCAGTTCTTTGTTATGTCATTGGCCCATAATTTGTGCTAAATAATTTTTGATTGACTACACATGAATAAATGAAGAGAAATATTTTGTTTTTTTTAAGTGAACACAGAAAGAAATAAAATTGACTATATTTACCATTTGCCAGAAAGAATTAGCAATTCATATGAATAGTTCAAATAACTTGTCTTTTGCATTTTTGCTATTCTAACTTTTTAAATAAAAGGAAATCATATTTCCATGATCACATGTTTTAAAACACTACTTTTTACCATACTGATCAATTTTGGCACCTTTGACCACATATGAGTGAATATCATTCTGGCCCTTATTTTGTTTTATTGATCTGTTTGCTTATCATTATGCTTTATAATTCTTAACCATAAGGATAAACATCCTTATGTAAAGTATGTTCTCTATCTTTATTTTTCTCCTCCAAAATTGTTGTAGGTGAATCAGCTTGTTTATTTCTCCAAAAAGAAGGCTGTTAAACCTATAGAAGAATTTAGGGATAATTTCATAATATTGAGTTTGTCTATTGCTTCTCAGCCTTTTGGCTAAGATCAAGTGTGGGGTCTCTCAATCAATGATCATGGTCAGAAAAGAAAAGAACTTTTATCTGAGGAATACAAGTTCTTTTAAACTATAAGGCCCAGAGAGAAAGTAAAATGATAAAGCAATCATGTCCTACTCCTCACTTTAAGCTATGTTTCCATCTCTTAAAACTGCTTACTATTGCCACAAGTAGCTATAAATTTACCTAATAATGGTACACCTGACACTATAACCTATACCCTATAGCTTAACAATATATAGCAAATCACTAATCAATGTTATTTCTGCAAAACAATGAGAATTGCTCACAAACAACTTTGGATCAGGCCATTCCATGTCCCCCCACCCCACCCTGTTTTTTTTTCTTTTAAAAACTGCTTGTAAAAAAGGCCAAAGGAAGCTCACATGCAAGATTATCTGGGTTTGAGCATTCCCATCAGCTGTCTTCACTTTGGCTCAAGTTAACTCTTTATATTTTGTGCCTCAGCCTTTTATTTTTAGATTGACAATGGTATATTTTTCCACTTACTTAAGTTTTCTCTAATTTCTCTCAGTAATGTTTTGCAATATCTAGTCCCTACAACTTACCTTTATTTGGTCAACTTTGTCATAAAGTATTTTCTGTTTGTTGATGCTACCACAATATTTTAAATTATTCAATTTTCAAGTTTTTATTGCTAGTATACAGAGTTTTGTGTATTGACATTGTAACCTGTCTCCTTGCTAAACTCACTTGGTAATTCTAGAAGCTTTTTAAATAGATTCCTCAATATTTTATATGTGTATAAACATCAACTGTGAATGAAGACAGATTTATTTATTCCAATCTAATATATATGACTTTTATTTTTTCCCTTGCTTAATTCTACCAATTGGTACTTTGAGTTCATTTTTGAATAGATATAGTTGAGAAATCAAACTAAAATCTGGTCTGATAAATATTACTTACTTGCATATTTGAGTTATTGGTGTGCACTGCAACCTAACCCAGTAGGTGAGCAAACTGAAAACCTAGCTTAGGAGTTTGCTTCTGCAACAGTAGCTGAGTCTTAGCCAATCACAGCGCAATATTCCAACCACTCACAGGTAGTCAACTGTTCCAACTGTGTTCAAATAAGGCAAATTCCAGCTGTAGCCAGTCCTGCATTTCTGTACCTCATTCTTCTTTTCTTTCTATAAATCTTCAACCATGAGGCAGCAACACCCTGGAATCTCTCTGAATCTGCTCTGATTCTGAGGGCTACCCAAAACTTGCAAAATATTTCTTCTGGCTCAATTCAACTCTGTTAATTTTAATTTGCCTAAAGTTGTAATTTTAACAAATTAAAAATGGAAAAACTTTGTTGTACCCTATCATAGAAGAAATAGAGGTTGGCAAGAAATATTTCATATAAGCAATGGGCTTTCTGGGCCACATACTTTCCATTACACCTTGTCTTAGCCCAGTAGTCTAAAAATTCTGACTCAAACTTATGGTGTTTAAATACTGTTCAACATTTATTTAGTGGGAACATGGATAAATTGATTTTCAATAAATACAATTACTATGGCACTTTATGAATATTACAAAAGATTTAAATATATTGTCACATTTTTGCTTATTTTATACTGCCTGTCATTTTTCATTTATCCATTATTGATAAATGGAAAACATGTGTCAGAAGGTACTCATACTCATCAAGTTTAGAGATAACATACATAGACATAGTTCCAAGTCTTGTCCCAGGCTAGGTTTGAAATGTTGTTTCTATTGTTTTTTTAATTAGGTCCACATTAAGAAAATGTTTTCAACTTGACCGTTAAGTTTTCTGTGCAGTTTATTTGATGTATTTTTCTAAGAAAACATAGTAAGAGTTTAAATGTAAACATTTAAATACACCCTTCATTCTTGTTAGGCACGTTCGGAAATTAAAGATGGTTGTGCTCATTGGCTCCTCTTGTTTACCAGGAATTGGTATAAGAATCAAGTTCAATTTGACCTCGCAACTTGAAACTAGGAAATGTGTATGACAAGATAAGAGATAGGAGCTAGCACAGAGGGTTAATTGTTTTAATGTCATATTCTGTTTAGGTGAGATTTGGTGTATATTACATTTTGTCATATTTCAAAAGAATAAAAAAGGTAATTGGCAACACATTCAATTATTCTAATTATATGATAGGGATCCTTAATAGATGGTAACCCCTGAAAGTTGTCTGGCTCACCTTTTTCCTTATCTGGCTGACTCTAACATTGCCTAGAGTTAAAATTCAGTTGTCTCTGCCTGTCTTTCCATTTAGACAGGGCTCAACACCATATATCTCATTGACTCCATGTCTTTTATCCCAAGTTTCAAAGGCATCTTCTTAAAATGACCCTGACTGTTTGGTAAAAAGGTTTATTAAAAACGTCAAAGAAGCTAGAAGCAGGTATTTGTGGGTAGGAACATGACTTTCATTCTGAAGTTTAAGGAACTGGGAGCAAGAGGTTATAAGCACCTTTCACATTGCTGTACAATTCCTCTAACTTCCAGAAGTAACTGGCTACTTGATCAAGAACTGAGAGTCCTGGACCTGGTGCCACATAAAGGAGGCTCAGTAGCTTAAACAGGTGGCTTTGGAGTCTCTGTCCCTATCAAAAGATGTGAGGGAAAAGTATGTAGCCTCGTCATAATTACAGAGGTGTCAAATTGGAATTGCTGATAACGCATAATAGGAGCCTTCTCTTGAAGGAGAGATAATTGTGGGTGATCCTCTGACAAAGCATTAAGAAAAAGGAATCTATAATATACATCTCTAATTTAGCATAAAAGAGTCTCTTTTATTGCCCTTTCATTGGTATTGCTACATAAGCTTTTATGTAATGTAAGGCTGCCTTTAAATAGGCATGAACTTTTCACTGTTTCATATGTTTCTCATTGTCACATTATCCTTCTCTTCAAACTCATTTTAATACTAGGTAAAAATTGAGTTTGTTGTTGCTGAACATGGTGTAAAAACCTAGTTACACATCCCTGAATAGTAAGATTTTCTCATATACACATTTTTTTTATAGATGCGAAGAAAAATTAATTGTCCATAAACACTCTTGTGCTCCCTATATGTGACTGCACTGAAACACTCAGTTTTTCTGTTCCTGATTCTTGCTTTATCCATCATTGTGGAGGAGTTTTAAAATACAGTTTATGTGCAGCTACACTTTATTGCATTTCTACCATTATGAGATTAAAAGGCCAATATCATTTTAAAGGTCAAAACTGACAGGTTATTTGCAGTATTTTTATAGTTCTGCATGGGGGAAAAATTAATTTGTTGCATCTGTTCACACTGGAAAAAAAAACTGTCTTTGGGAAACATAGCTGTGAAAGACTTTTTTAAAGGGAAGACTCATAGTTCTGCTTTTTGGAGTACTGCCTATAGTTTCAATAATATTATGAGAGCTAGAACATAAGTGTTAGTAACTAAAAGGTATAAATGTTGTGCCTAATAGTAGGATTATAAAATGCTTAAATTGTCTTTTATCCTGCTATCAATTTTATCTTATCTGTTTGTCCCATAAACATTACATTTTAGCCTTTGTTTCCTAGAAAGTAGAGCACGAGGTAATTCTTACATGCTAATTTTTATTGGTGGCATGAAAATCAGACAAAAGCAAGAATATGAAAAAAGGACAGAAAATAAAAGGTAGGGTTTTATTAAACTGAGCATAGTTTCAAAGAAAACAAATAGGATTTCTCTGTCGTGTGATATGTCTATGAGTTTACTCAGAACCACAGATAGCAGATCAGTTCCTTGAGGGAAGAAGAGAAAGACGCATCTATGTAGTATCTCCAGTCTCTTATTAATAAAAATCTTTGTAGAAAAATAATTCACCAGATCTGGGCCCCTAGGGGCACAGAAGTTCCCAGCTGGACCCGAGTTTAGCCCAGTTGGACTGGATGCTGACGTTGCTACAGCTCATGCTTAGGAGGGCACAACAGTGGCCTTGCCTGAGACCCATTTCTGGGTCCATGACTACTCCGAGACCGCTCCTCGTGTTCAGAGATGAGAGTCAGTCACTGCAGCTAAGGCAGGAAAATGAATGAGATCCAAGTTATTCTGGGTGGTACGTGAACTGAATCTTTATTAGTTTACCCTTCATACCAATTAAATAGCACTTATGCCTTTATATGGTACCCAAAGCTGTTATTAGAAAAAGAGACCCTTGCTTCTTTCTCAGAAAAGAAGGAACAAGTTCAGTTCTTCAAAGTAGTTGTCAATTTCAGTCTCCTCCAGAGACATAAAAAATGTTAGCAAACAAGATGGAGTCCTTGTTACTGCAGGTGGTCCCAGAAGCAAAACTGATATTTATCATCTTCTTCCTTTATCAGTCATTCTAGATTTGACTCACCTTTGGCCAGCACTTGGCTAGTTCTCGCTTGTTCGTCAGATGGAATGATGAGAACTTCATCCTCTTGGTGAGTTAGACTTCAAGTATCTTGCCCTCCTTAAGCTCTGATTGATGATACTGAAAGGAGGGGCCATCTGGGCTTCCTGGGTTGCGTAGTGGCTCAGAAAGCTGTGAAACTCACTGATTTCCTGCTTCAGGACTTACTTCGGTCCTGCATGGATAATATTGAAGATATATGCTTAAAATATTCCTAACTCCAGGACTTGCGCATGTGTTTTCTTCCCCAAGAAAACTATAAAGAGCGAAAATTTTGCTGTAAGCTTTCCTGCGCCCTCTCTCCCTCTCTCCCTTCCCCCTCCCCTAAAACTAAAAGGAATGTTAACTGCCCGTTTTTCTGTGACCAGGGGACCTTATCTATGCTTCCAATTCCAATTCCTTGTAAACATACTTTGTAAAGTCCTAAAAGATCCTGTCTCCTTTGCCATGCCGCTGCAAGGTCATAAAGCAGATAAAACCTAACTTGCAATTCCGGTTTTCCTCAAAATCTAGGACATGTCACAAAATAATTTACTGCCTTTATTTCTTCCTCTGGTAACATCTTCCTGCCGCAGGTATTTCCCGCCTTAAAGAGTTTAAAAGGCAATCACCCAAAACCAACAGTGGCTACCCGTTCGGGACCGGAGGCTTTGTACTTTCACTCTGCCGAATAAAGCCTACAGCTTTTTCTCTCTATCGGTCCATGTCTCTATCATTTGTCACGGGCAGCCGCCACGCCAATTCTTTGGCGTGGCTAGGCAAGAACCTTAGACGTTACAATACGACACATTTAAGGTTATCTCCCTTCTTTTCCTACTGGCCCAGTGGCCGGAGGAACTTAAATTGGCAAGGTGATCGACCAAGATTTTTGGTAAGTGCCCCTTGTGCAATTTGTTTTCTCTATGAACAGAGTTTTGGATCCTACTTACTAAGTGTGTGGTGACAGGAACATATATTTATCTGTAGGTCAGGGAGAAAGATGTTGATAAGGACTATCCTACTTCCACCACTCAGTTCTTAAACTTTTAATTGTTTTTGTCACAGGTCTGTTAACTCTCCTGCTCTCTGTTATAATGTTCAAAAGAACCTTGACCATCTTGATATTCTACAAACGTCATGTTGACCCACTATGTTAAGGATAGATCTGCTAATTCAACCAGGGAAGTAGTAAGTTACATGTATTCTATGTACTCTTACCTGGTGAGAAAGATACAGGCAAACCAGAGGGTAAGATATAAACCTTTCAAATATTAGTTGATCTGCCACACTTGTGATGTTTAAGTGAGTCTAGTGGTCCATCCCCAGGTAATTTTTCTAATTTATGAAATTTGTTTTGTACTTTGAGCCTCCAGCCACTAAAATAAAAAGATGTAACATTTAGTGGGCCTCTTGGATTTTGGAGGGGTTATGGATACTACTCTGACGCTTTACACAGTGTTTTAGAAGGTTGCTGGTTTTAAGTGGAGCAGAGAGCAAGAGAGGGCTCTGCATTTGAACAGCAGCCTACGAATTGGGCATATAATCTTGCAGGTCTGATGGTGCTAGGTGTACCTCAGGCAGATAATAACGCTTGGTGAAATCATGAAAGGTTCCCTACAACCGGCTGGTAGAAGTTAAAAAAAACTCAGGCCTGGTTAACAGTTTGGTGTGCTCTGTTGTTGCTATGGAAAATAGACTGCTGTCTCTTAACAGTGACTCCCCTCTCCTCTTAAACTGACCCTAAAGGGCATTGTTGATAGGATACACATCCAGTAGGCAGAGCTGTAAATGATGCACTCAACCATCCAATATGTGTGGAAAGAAAGGTGGCTCAAAGTATGGAAATAATCTAATTATTTTCTGCAGTGTGGTTGAAGATTCGATCATAAGGTCGGGGTCCTGAAATAAATAATTTAAAAGATCAGGGCTAGGGAGTTCCATGAAAAATGAATATGGCTTATGCAGACTCTTTAATAATGGCTGAATTGGAGACTATGGAAAGAGTATCAAAGTGCTTTATTTGCAGAAAGAAATAATATTTATTCTAATTCCCATGGAAAAAAGGAAGCCATAGAGGTAGGTGGCTCTTTTTACTGTTTTAGGCAGCCAGTGTCACAGTTGAGAAATAATTTTCTAAGAAAATTCTCGGCAATTCTAAATATCTATTTTTTTTAGAATATTGATTTGGGAATTTCTCTGTTCTGCATCTACACTTCTTTTTTCGAAGGCAGCCACCCACATCCACAACTTAAATGCCATCTATATACTGAAGACACCTATATTCAATATTTAGATCACTGGAGAGGAGGCAAGTCTGCTTGCAAGATAAAGATGGAGCAGCCAAGGATATAGAAAGACTGAGAGGAAAGAGTACAAGCTCAAAAGCTAGTCAAGAGATGGGAACATGTGCGAAAGGAAGGGGAAATTTCAATTGTATTGAATGTTGTTGCTAGGTCAAACAAAATTAGGAATCAGAAAAAGCTTTTTTGGAATTTCATAATGTGAAGTTGTTACAAGATATTGCTAATATCAAAGCAATGCATTGGAGTTGTGAGGGCAAAATGTAGATGAAGATTAACTGAAGAGTGAATAAGAAATGTGAAGGTGAAAACATTCTAAATCTGCTAAGAATCCCCAAAATAATTTTAAATGTTATGAAAAATATGTATTACATTTTACATCTTGACATCAGGCATAATTTTGTCATATGTTAAATAATAAATACTAATCTTCAGTATTGCTTTACCAGAATAATTTATCCTTCCAGTCTTTTCTTGCCAATTTTTGATCTACATATATCAAATGCACATTAACCCATTGCTATTTTTCTATTTTAACAAACTCTTCAGTCTCCTACCCTGTCATTGTGAATCTTCTGACTAATCAAAAAATAATAATTAGCATTTATTGAGACATAGTGTCTATTTTACCTGTAATATTTCATTGTATTCTCATAGCAATCTAATGGCAAATAAATTATTTTTACTATCATTCAATCTGAAACTCAAAGTCATGAAATGTGTAAGTAGGAGAAGTGTGTTTCAAAACCATTTTTTCTGACTCAGTATCTGTTTTTTGGACCACAGCTCTCTATTAAATCTTCACTGATCATTTCAACTACCTTCCCATTTAAATTCCTCATCCCATGAGCATCCCATGAATTAGCACTTCCAAGACATCATGACCGTGAAGTACCCTCTATGTCACTGCCCTCTTCCTTGCTTAGCCATCAACCTTGCCTTACACATCACTAGAATCATCTAGACCAAAAAGACATTAAGATTCATAGGCATTTGATTTGCCAATCGCATTGTAATTTTCTACTTAAAAACTCAACTATTTGCTTCCTTGTCCTCAGTTTCAAGGGACAGGTGCACTTTTTTTTTTTTTTGGAAACTTATATTCATGGCCTCTGCTTTGGGTTCTATCCTCTCCTGTCTTAGTACTGAAATGTTTCTGTAGGTTTAGGACATTCCCTCTTCTACAATTTTACTTCTCTTTCCAGTCACTCTTCTGTCTCTACATATAAAAATAAAGTACTTTCCACAGTAAGTAAAATGTAACAACAACAAAATTCCCAAATCTGTGCACTCCTGCAACTATCGCACTATGTATTTATTCATGTTTATCTCTGTATTCTGCCTCCTTTTATTCAAATTTTCCTCACCCAGGCTCTTCAATCACATGCAAACAGGTATCTTTCTCTCTTGGGCAGCTTTAACCAATGGTGCCAATAGCCAAATGTAATGGAAACTTCATATTTCTGACTTTATTTGATGTTTGTTGTATCAAGTATTATTAAGCATTTTCACCTTCTCTAAACTCTTTCCTCTACTGAAATTTTGTCATGGTTCACCTTATATCACTAGAAAACATTCCTCTCTATGTATTTTATGGGTTCTAAAGTTCCGTTCAAACTTAAGCACTGAATTAAACAGAAAGCTCTTAGCTGTTATCAATTGTGTTATTCCTAACATATAATAGGTATCCAATAAATGCTTGTTGTCCAAGGAATATATGATTACTTTCTTCGTCATCTCTTCCCTAGGCTTACATCATTCTTTCCTTATTTTTATCTTATTTGTTTTGTCTGCTTTTTATCTCAATTACAGACTCCACATTACATGTTCTCCCATTCATTTTTTATAGGTCTCTCTTCACTCTACGTATATGGATACCTATGAGGGTTGGAACCTTTTTTCTGTTTTGGTCTTTGCTGTGTACCTAGCTCCTAGCCTGGCACATAGTAGGCATTCAAAATATAATAATTAAATAAAGTAAATACATTAATTAATTAATAAATCAGTGTAAAACGACCTTCACAATATGACTTTAGCTGCCATAAAGAAACTATTATAATATTCTCCCGAGGACTCTCCAGCTCAGTGTGTTATTTTTCTAATTTCAAAGCATTTTTCATTTGTATCTGATGTTGTGGATTCTTGACACATTCATATAGCCATTTATTGGTCACTTACTTTATCAATCCTCATCTATATCCCACTAGCTTCAACATATTCACATTAAATATTCTATCTCCTATTAAAAATCCGTTCACTCTGACACAACAGATCTTAAAATGCAAATCTTATGTTCTCTCTTACTTCAGATTCTATGAATTCCCCCTTGGTTGAAATGAAGTTCATTGCATCAATGAAGATAAGTTTTTAATATTTGTCTCTACTAAATTAATAGTCTCATCAATCACTGGTACCCCCCCCAAATAAATATGAAGAAAAATTTTAAAAAACAGTATCAATGACCTAGCAAGAAAGCAAGCAGATGAAAACAAACCATTCTAAAATATATCACTCTGGTGTAAAACAGAAAAAGGGAAAAGAAATACAGAACAGAGGTGTTTTTTCATGCCTGAGGTGTGAGGAAAAAACTGTGAAAACGTCCCTAAGCCCCGCTTCCCCAGCTGACTTTCTTAACCCTCGCATATAAAAGTTATTAGCAAATAACTAGCTTAGGAAGAATATCACTCTGACAATAATTGAAACATGTTTATGGATATTTTATAATACAATTTTTAAAAAGCTAAAAATAATGAATAGATAAAAAAAGACATAAAACGTGTACATCACAATTATTGAATCAGAAATTAGAATAGCTGGGCACAGTGGCTCGTGCCTGTAATCCCAACACTTTGGGAGGCTGAGGCGGGCGGATCACTTGAGGTCAGGAGTTCGAGACCAGCCTGGCCAACATGGTGCAACCCCATCTCTACTGAAAATGCAAAATTAGCGGGCGTGGTGGCACACATCTGTAATCCCAGCTACTCTGGAGGCTGAAGCAGGGGAGTCACTTGAACCCATGAGGCAGAGGTTGCAGAGCCAAAATGGTGCCACTGCACTCCAGCCGAGGTGTCAAAGTGAGACTCTGCCTAAAAAAATTCAAAAAAAAAAAAAAAAAGAAAAGAAAAAGAAACAGGAGAAAAGAAAGAAATGAGAATAATCTGATACTTATTTGTTTTCTATGCTATGGCAGAGATTAAAGAAAATAGTTTTCTTTGAAAAAGGTGCTCAAATAGGAGGTTCAAGGACTCATATAAAAATAATGAGATAACAAAAGCCATTAAAAAGTGTCCTTTCAGAACTCAGGAATGAAAGGAATATGAAAGGAAAAGAAAAACAAATCTATAGAATGCTACAAGCTGAAAAGTAAAAAAAAGGAAAGACTAAAACCATAGTTAAACAGAGGAATGATTTGAGAAAATAACAATAGGGAAAATAAAGATTTATGTATTATTTGGGAGGAAATAATAGCTATATATGGAACAAAAAAAATTGAACTTATTAATGATGTTTGTTGTTGAGGAAGAGGAGATAATAAAGAAAAAAGCAGAAACACTTCAAAATATAAGATCCATTTATTGAAATAAAGAAAGACCTGAATCTGCAGTGATGCATTAATGAATAATCAATGTCAAGACATATCTGAAGGGAAATTATTGTACTTGTAGGATAAAGGAAGAGTCTTAGAGCTATAAAGGCAACAATAATAATAAAAATCAATTTACTGGTCAAAAGGAAAAAAAATCTTCAGACCTTGAACTTTCGTATGTAGACACAGTTTATTCCATTGCATCATTCCATTGTATAAATACAGCACAATTCATGTATCCATTCTATTGTTGATGTACATTTAAGTTGTTTCTAGTTTTGGGCTATTATATTCAGGGTTGGTACCAACCATTGTGTGTATATCTTTAGGTAAATACATATAGCTATTTTTACATATAGGCAGTGCTTCTGTGAAAGTTGACTTGCTGGGTCACATGGAATACAAGTGTTCAGTTTTAGTTCAATACAGACATTTTCCCAACATAGTTGGGCCCATTTACACTAGATGTTCAGTTTCTCCACACACTTGCCAACAATCAGTACTGCTTGGCTTTTTATTTAAGCAATTCTGATGAGTGTGAAAGATTTTAAATTAGAAAACACTAATCTAGAGAAGTAAAGTACAAGTTTACATAAAGGAAGGGCTTTTTGCTTATCAAAAGACACTATTAAGAGTTTAAAAAGACAAAGTTTAGCATGGGAAAATATATTACCACTCACACATTTACAAGGTACATGTAAAAACATATTTAAGTATTTCAATAAATTTGTTAGGAAAAGAGGTCCTGGACAAAATGAACAAGTGACTTGAACAGGTTTTGTACAAACAAAGATGTCTAATAACCAATAAATATATGAATATTTACCATTGATTTGAGGAAAAGGCACATTACTACTTATATCCATCAGAATAGTTAACATGAAACAGATTTTCTTTGTTTCTGCTTAGATCCTGGAGTCATACCAGCCAGACTTATCTTTAACTTTTGACTTTTTATTCTTTTGACTCTATAGATAGTGTAATTTTATTTATTTTTTAAAAATTTTGTGGGTACATAGTAGGTGTATATATTTATGGGGTACATGAAAAGTTTTGATACAGGCATGCAGTGCGTAATCATCACATAATGGAGAATGGGGTACCCATGACCTCAAGCATTTATCCTTTATATTACAAGCAATCCAGTTACATTCTTTTAGTTATTTTAAGCTGTACAATTAAGTTTTTATTGTATATAGCCACCCTGTTGTACTTTTTTTTTTTTTTAGACGGAGTCTCGCTCTGTCGCCCAGGCTGGAGTTCAGTGGCGCGATCTCGGCTCACTGCAAGCTCCGCCTCCCGGGTTCACGCCATTCTCCTGCCTCAGCCTCCAGAGTAGCTGGGACTACAGGCGCCCGCCACCACGCCCGGCTAATTTTTTGTATTTTTAGTAGAGGCAGAGTTTCACCGTGATAGCCAGGATGGTATCGATATCCTGACCTCATGATCCGCCCCTCTCGGCCTCCGAAAGTGCTGGGATTACAGGTAAGAGCCACCGCGCCACCGTTTGTTTTGTTTTGTTTTGTTTTTTTGACAGAGTCTAACTCTCGCCAGGCTAGAGTGCAGTGGCACGATCTCGGCTCACTGCCACCTTCACTTCCCGGGTTCAAGCGATTCTCCTGCCTCAGCCTCCTGAGTAGCTGGGATTACAGGCACGCGCTGCCACGCCCAGCTAATTTTTGTATTTTTAGTAGAGATGGGGTTTCACCATGTTAGCCAGGATAGTCTCGATCTCCTGACCTCCTGATTCGCCCACCTCAGTCTCCCAAAGTGCTGGTTGGACTATTAAATAGTAGGTCTTATTAACTCTTTCTAGTTATTTTTTTGTACCTGTTAAGCATCTCCACCTTCCCCGTCAACACTCCACTACCCTTCCCAGCCTCTGGTAATCATCGTTCTTCTACTCTCTGTATCCGTAAGTTCAAGTGTTTTGATTTTTATATCCCACAAATAAATAATAATGGATAGTAAAAATTTAAAATCCAAATCCTACCCCCCAAAAAGAGGCAGGATTGATGTCATAAATTTTCTTAAGAAGTTTTCTCCCCTTCTCTATCCAGGGCTCAGACCACTTCAGAAGATTTTTCTTGTGTTAAAAGCACGTACTTACTAATTTTTTTCTTGCTAACTTTTTCCATGCAAGTGTAATCTTTTTAGTGTCCCAGATTCATTGAATACATTGCAATGGACCACCTTGTGCTGGTACAATAGATTGTCTCCTATTGCTGATAGGACAATTCCAACCGTGGTAACTGGGATTAATTTACCATCACATGCCTTCAGGACATTCATGGGTTTACCAGTCGTTTACCTGTCAGGCTTTATGTTCATTTTCACGACCACTCCCCTCCTTCCTGGTTTAGAACTAAGTTTCAATAGTTAGAGTTGAGTCTGAGCTGAAAGGGCCTGCATATCACCATTCCAACTTAAAACATACATGAAGATAAAATTGTTGCACAGAACATGTAAAATGAGGATAGAACATAAGCTAGAAAAAAATCTATAGGAATGTCCATATTTACAAAGCAGGTGGAAAGAGAAAAACTCACAAAGGTAAAAAAGAAAGGTTAGTACAATTTAATAATCATAAACTTCACAAGCTTTTTGTTGATAAAAAAGAAAAAATAGTTCAATAATTGATACAAAGTTTTCTATTACTCAGAATTTTGATTGATTTGATGGGGCTCGAATATGACCAAATGCTGATAAGAAGGAGTCTTTTTTGAAGGATAGGCGAAAAACACTCTATACAGACAGGAAAAAAGTAATCAATTGAGGTATCTGAAATACTGTAAAATTCATGTTAGGAAGCTACAGCTGGCTATATTTTGTGAGAACTTTTATCGGTATGTGGAGAGAAGAACGTCACAAGAGTAAGCCATTGTAAAATGTTGCTATGACATCCTCTTCAAACCGGTCTCTGCAGCTACCCTGGAGAGGGGACCATTCTGCAAGTACTCTTCAACATACACTTTGAAGCTCTTTCTACACTACCTTTACAGGCCAGAGTGTATCAGTAGACATTTGGGGAAATAAATATCTGCAATCCTGTTTTTTTCATTTCCACTTTATATTAAAGGTCATCCCAATAATAAGGGCTTTCTGGCAAAGAGTAAACAAAAACTTGTTCTTTGAGCATTAAACTTGATATATTGACATGCATTTGAAAAGATAGTTTAAGTGACTCAAAATTTGCATATTTTTATACATGAAACCTACTCTCACCCCACCTTTGGCACTCAAAGTGACAAGATAAGAATAGTAGAGGAGAGTAAGTGCTTGGAATGCAGTTAAATGCAGTGTAAATGGATCCTTTTAAAGGATTACAGTTTTAATGGTTACTTAACCTACATATGACTCCATTTTTTTCTACAGAAGAATAAGAATAATATTTATTATTCATAAAACTCTTTAAATATGTCACTTCATTAATCTCCTATCACTACTTGTGACCTGAGAGAGAAAAGCTAGATGAAATACAGAAGCTTTAAGGCTGGCACTCAATTTTAGATATAGAAACTGATACCCCCAAAGGCTTGAGATAGTGCTATTTCAAGCTGTCATAGGAGTTGCAATGTCTCACAAACTAGAATTAAATAAGCTGGACATGTGTCTCACTGAGTTACTTAAAAATATAATGTTAGTATATTAGGACACACCAAAGCAATCAATATTTTATAAAACTGCTGGACTGGAATGTGGTTTCTGACTGGTATTAGTGTTAAATGCATTAACTTTAATGAAGAACTTAGTAATGATCTCTTAACAGCCTTATTGGGCTATGACTGCTTTTAAATGGCTTTTACTATGTCCTTGGAATTAATATGACGCATGTGACAAAAGCTTGTTCAGTGTTAAGAGAGGATTAGATGAAGGAAATTAATTAAAGCTTCCTTGCAACGTTTTCCCCTTGAGCTATTCAATATGCTGAAGTGGTCTGACAGTGTACCATCCTTTCGATAAATCTACTCATTAAATAACTCAATTGGGTTTAAACACACATTCTATTGTTTAAAAAAAATTAGACCATCACTTTTCTCCTTGTCTTTCTAACCTGACCCCTTCAAGCCTCTGCCATTTCTGTGATTCGTAATTATCTTTTAGCTTCAATAATAGGATAGACACAAAGTGTGTTCACGTATTTCAGAGTCCACCAATTCACTTTTCTAAGACCTGTCTTCAACTGAAATAGCAAATTTAAATAGCTAAGGGACATTTGTTTAACTGATCTCCAAGACAAGCATCTAGGATGATTTTCTAGACTGGTCATCACAGCCATCAGTTATGTCCTGTGACATTAGATGGAGCACAATTCTATGAATCATGTTAAACCCTATTCCTACCAAGCTTTAATAACTGCCATAATCATCACTTTTCAGTTTTCTATTTTATAAGTGAATAGCATTATCTGTCTTTAAATTTTCACAAACTGTGATTTACCTTGTTTTAGAAACATTATTGTTATATATTTATGAATTTTTACATAAATAATTATTTATAATATGAAATAAAAATAATATTCACAAAAGAAAAATTGTTTTCTTGACAAAAAAGACAACATTTTACTACGGCAATGCTCACAGTCTATGAACTATGAACTATGTCATAGTCTATGACAGTGTTAAAAATGAAATGGGATAAAATACTTCCTTAAAAATTATATCAAATTTGATGTGTTCAGGTAAACAAACATAAAATTCAGAATTCCTTACTAATCTCAATCAAATAAAAAGCCCAGGCTTTAAAATGTTAAGATGGCTGCTTTTTTTCTGTCAAGTATGTGGAGGATGTAGATATAAAGGCTTCCCTCTAAAACTAATGTTAGACTGTGCAGTATTTCTCTTTTCTTTCATCAAAATATTATTTTTTCTACACACACTGTTGGTAAGCAAAACCAACCTGGAAAAAGAGGAATATGACTTCTATTTAACATTTTTACTTGGTTAATCAGCAATAGATGATCATAGTTTAATTAAGAGCACTCAGACCAAAATAGAAATCGAAACTTGTTTATACAAATTTAACTACATGTAAACTTATAATTTTCTAATTAAAACTTGTATAGATATACTGCACCCCTGAATGTGAGCGTGTGCATGCATACACACACACATGCTCACACATACACATGAGCACCATTTAACCAAATTTCTAATATACTCGCTGATTGCATTGTAGTAATAACACTATGAGAAAGCTAGTAATGTTATTCTTCATTAAATTGGACTGTTTTTTCTGAAGTAAAAAATGAACTGATCATATTGACAAATTTTACGTAATTTATAACACTGACACACCAATATAGAAAAAAATCTTGTTTATATGTTTACTAATTTGCTTATCCTTTGTTTTAATCAGTATAAGACTGGTAATTTCATTGTTCCATGTATCACTTTCAAATTTTAAAATAACCATGATAATAAATCTGATGTTTAAGATTAAACATTTAAAATAAGCCAGAATACAAATTTGACCAAGTGAACTACATTAAGTGTATTTCAGGATCATGAAAATTAAGATAGATGACAGCTATGATTCTAAAATAAAATCTTGCAAATGAAATATTTAATGAGATTCAGAAACAATGCATTCATGCAAAATTTTACAAAAATCATTAGTGAGAAGCATAGTAATTCAACTGTCTTAAAACTTGTGCATAACATTTTACTTCAAAGAAGATCGGCAACATTAAAGCTCTCATACAAATCTAAATTCTCTATCTTGTTATGCATGGTAATGAATACTGTATTTTACCCAACAAAATGTGAATTGTAAAATTTTAAGACTTTTGTAGGAAAGCATAATCTGAGTTTCTTTATGGGGTTTCTAATACATAGGTTAACAACATAAGCACAATTGCAAACTTTATCATCTTTTGCTTGCACCTTAAAAACAGTTTACCTAAGTTAAAAAAAAGTCTGTTTTTCGTTCCATTATTCTTAAATAACTGTGTTCTGACTAAATAATCTGGAAGTTCTGTCTTTGAGGTTTTTTTTTAAATAGGATGAATTTCAAAATTATTCTAATTAATAATGATAGTGCCCTGTGACATTAAAGTCCTTAATTTAAACTAAAATTTAGATAACACATTGGCAACAGATAGGAAGCCCAAATATAAAGATTATTTCCATAGTTTGCCTAGATTTAGGTGGATATTCTAGTATGATGTGGTTCCCAGAAGTTGCTGTGATTTCAATATATCTATTTTTTGCAGGACTTTGTAGTATGTATTCTTACAGCACTTTCATTAGAATCAGGAAGAGTGCTTATTTCAAATATGGATTCCTGGATACCACCAGAGAGCAACTGAATCACAATCTATTTAGTAGAGCATGAATTTGCATGTTAACGACTTGTCCTGTCCTAGACCTTTATGCACATTAAGTTAAAGATTCTGTCAATTAGTTTACATAGCTCTCAGTCACAAATAGGACCCGGTGATCAAGTGTGGATAACATTTTGTATGTAACAAATTTTCTGTTCCACAAACTTTAAGTACAAATGAGGAAGAGTAGAAGACTCAAGATATGCCGGGGACATGGATCAGCTCAGTGATTTGCAAGCTTGCTAGAAGTCAAAAGTAAATCATAAATAGCTAGATATCCAGACAACCTACAGAATGAGAACCTCTTGGGACACAAGTTTGGTAATCAATATATTTAACTATCTTGTCTGGTGACATTTATCATTTAGGAACTTTGGATTGTACTTCCTAGAGTATTTCCAGGCTGGCCCTACAAAATAATCATAATTTTGATATTAATTGTAACAATTTCTAAATTGCAAATGTGGCATTTTATCCTTAGTTATTGCAAGCACTTTAATCTTTTAAATTATGTTCCTGATATCTTTTGATACCTTATATGCCCTTACTTTTTACTTATGATAGACTTAATACTGATTTCCTGTTGCTATTCCTATATTTCTCCAGGATTGTTTTTAATGAAGAATCATTAATGTACTCAATATTTGTACAACCTAGTCTGTGAGCTATTTGAGTCCAGTCATAATATAGTCCTATGTACACTGGCAAAATATTAAGGTTTTTTTTTACACATACAAACACACTAAAAGCACTTAAAAGGAGATAGATATATTTCCCACAAATTCAGTAACTTGAAAGATATGCGCAATTTATGTCATGAGATAGAAAGAAGAGAAGTAATTATTCTTGTTAACACACACAAAGATGATTGATTCCTGGCTTATAATTTAGAAAACAATTTAAGAAACACAAATGAAAACAGAAAAACTACAATTAGTCATTGCTCACTAAAGCAAACAATTGTGCAACCATGTAAAAATAATTATAGTTTAGTTCTTTACAGGGTTCATTATAATCCATGTAAAACCAAAAAAAGCAGATCTTTAAAAGAGGTTTCATTAAGAATAAAACATTATTTAGAGTATAAAATTGTGACCACCTTGCCTGTGTTTTGTCAATATGTTTTGGGTGCTGAGAAGCAGAGAACACAAAAGGCAGCACCATTTTCTGATATTGCAAGAGAAATAGAATGGTAAAATTTGGGAGGTACATGCTATACTAATTGTGTCAAGAATATAAAAAATGCCACCATATATACTATGAGAAAAAGAATTTTTTTTTTTTTTTTTTAAGACGGAATCTCAGTCTGTCGCCCAGCCTGGAGTGCAGTGGCACAATCTCGGCTCACTGCAAGCTCTACCTCCCGGGTTCATGCCATTCTCCTGCCTTAGCCTCTGGAGTAGATGTGACTACAGGCGCCTGCCACCACGCCCAGTTAATTTTTTGTGTTTTTAGTAGAGACGGGGTTTCACCGCGTTAGCCAGGATGGTCTCGAACTCTTGAACTCGTGATCCACCCGCCTGGGCCCCTCAAAGTGCTGGGATTACAGGCGTGAGCCACTGAGCCCGGCCAAAAAGTAAACTTTTAAATTAGGACATATCCACTTGGAGATATTGGAATATAGTGATTGTTTTTCATTATTTTTTAATTAAGTACTGTAGACAATAAATAGCATTAAATTTTCAAAAAGAATTTCACTTTAGCAGGATAAATTTGAGAACAGTTCTAATATTTCATACCCCAAGCATGCACATTAAGGGAATAGAGTCTCTGCAGCCTAAAATTACTAATTGTGTTTATCAGTGTAACAGGTCAAATTCAGCACAAAGGTATGGGAATGGAAAAAAGGTAATATAGACAGCAACTAGGCCAACAGCAAAAATACTCATACAAAAGCATTCACAGACTTTTACCCAGTCTAATTTCACATATAGATTCTGAGTCTGATCAACATCAGCCTTAGGCAATGAAGAAATAGAGTAGGGCGTTTAAATCAAATTTAGAATACATAAGATAACTAACTCAAATTATAATGGAGTTACAGATAACTAAACTACAAAGTTCCTAAAACATTGTAAGAAAGAACAAAAAGTAGGAATGTACACAAATATACCTACCAGATTGGGTTGTGGAGCTCATTTTCAGGAATTGGGGATAGGAACTTTGGAGCAAGCATCCCATGTGATAGATCTGATAGATATTACAAATGAGAGAAGATGATGTTAAGTATGTGTGCTTTGTATTATAAACACATTCCTTCTTTGTTGTTACTGAAAGCCTATTGTCAAGATTTAAGTTAATATTTAATTAATTTTCCCTCTGTTGATCTGTTGCTTTCCATGATACCATTCCCTTTTCCAGATAGGTCATCATAAAACTGTACATTTTTTATGTTCATTGATGATAAGCATAATGCTAGTGGTAATCAGAGCAATGAAACAGCCTTTGCAGAGATTACGACAGTGAGAAATGTCTAGCATGGCTGATTCCATCTTGCTTCTAGCCTCACAGGCTGGCTGGCTTCTCTCATCCAGGACATAGACCAAACTAACAATGGGAGGAATTTAGTTTATAGTTTAATTTTGAAGCAAGAATGATAATAGCCCCTCCTTAAAACTAATCCACTCCTTGCTCAGGGACTGAAGTCACCTTTGTAAAACTAATGAAAGGTATGAGATTAGGATTATGGGAAAGGCCTGAATTCTGCTAAATGTAGGTAGTTAAAGGATAACCAGCCATTTTTCCTTAGCTTGCTTCTCTATAATCTCTTCCTGCTCCAAATCGTGCAGGCAGAGGTCACAAAATTTGTGACTTCCCCAATTGCTTGGAGAGATACCATGACGACTGTAGAACCTAAGATTGGTCTTTTGAAATGGCTTTCAGACTTTTGCATTCTGATGACAGACTGATTCCATCTTGACCTGTGACTCATAACTCAACCAGTCCTTTGGCCCCCACCCAGAGACTGACTCAGCTCACAAGGTTTTTTTTCCCACACTCTCATGATGTTATCCTCAACCAATCAGCAGCACCCATTCCCTAGCCCCTGCCTGCCAAATTATCCATTAAAACCCTAGCCTCTGAGTTCCTAGGGAGACAAATTTGGGCATTCTTCCACTTGGCTGCCTTGCAATAATTAAACTCCTTCTCTACTGCAATAATGCTGTCTCAGAGAACAGGGTTTATCCGTGCAGCAGGCAAAAAGAACACATCAGGAAATTACAATAATGGTAGTGACTGGCCATTTCTATGTGCTGTGAATTCTGTTAATAATAAGTATTCTACAAAATGTATTACCTCACGTAATGAGATCTGTCCTGTTTATTACAAATAAAATAGATGAATAAAAATACATTACTCAGTAAGAGATTAATTTGTGAGTTTTTTAAAAACTCTTCTTTACTAGCTCCAAATATTTTATTTCCTATGATTCTTAAATAGACTTTCTTAGTCTTATATGTAGTGGAATGACCAAATCATGCCAACTCTAGTAGTCAGATATACTTTGACACATCTAAATAAGAGTGAAGAAAATTCTGCCAGGCCATAAAATCCCTTCTTCAGTGGAAAATTGGTGAGGGAGGATTACTCTGAATATAGAGAAAGTGGAGCCTAGAAGGGTTTATTGGCACAGTAGAGAGAAAATATTAGTCTGAAAACATACATTTTTATTCCCAATCTTCTCCAGCTCAGACTGAAAGAATATATTTCTTAGAGCTTGGCTCTAAGAAAATGTATGTGAAGAAATCTCATCTCTGATATATAGTCTACAAGTGACTTTGACAAAGTAAGACATTACCATTGACAATGCTGAAGTATTGCCAATGAGAAGGGCCGCTGTATAAGTTATGATAATATCTTTGGTAACAACAATATCGATTTTGTGTTGGTGAGGGAGGCTTAAAACTTAGTTTGTGAATCAAGCCTCTCTGCATATATGTACCCATGAGGAAAACCTATTATTCTTGAAAGCACCTATAATATAGCACTGTAGAGGTAGAGGATGTTTTCTTCTTGTTAGATTGTCTATGAGTAATACATTTTTCACTGGAATACCTCAAGTTGCTTCTGTTTTTAAGTGGAAAGATCCCAGGTACAATAATAGAGACTCTTCAAAAATCTACGGGAAATATTTTAGTCAGAATTATTTCTTCCATGAGAGAAAAAGATTATAAACCACATCAAGTCATTGGGTGACTTGTAGATTGGATGTCACTGGAACATCTCAATAAGAGTTGATGAGTAAGAAAGGCAAAGGCAAGCTTCACCAAGGTCTTTTCCTGGAATATGTATACTAAGAGTCTATGAAGCTTTTATTTTATTTTACCTGAGAATATAATCGTGATTGATTGATTGATTGATTTGAGACAGAGTCTCGCTCTGTCACCCAGGCTGGAGTTCAATGGCGTGATCTCGGCTCACTGCAAGCACCACCTCCCGGGTTCATGCCATTCTCCTGCCTCAGCCTCCCGAGTAGCTGGGACTACAGGCACCCGCTACCACGCCCAGCTAATTTTTTGTATTTTTGGTAGACACAGGGTTTCACAGTGTTAGCCAGGATGGTCTCGATCTCCTGACCGTGATCCACCTGCCTCGGCCTCTCAAAGTGCTGGAATTACAGGCGTGAGCCATTGCGCTTGGCCAATCTTTCTATATTTAAAAATTTATGTAATTCATATTAACATTTTTATGTGAAACATGTTTTACATAGTATTCTTACAACTCCTAAAATATTATAGTTTCTGTTTAGCTGCTGTGCTCTCTACCCTTCATTAATAAAACACACACACATACTTACTTTTATTTTTATTGCTTTTACATTTTTAGAAAAATCTAAAAATTACTACTTAATTACTTCACCTATAAAAATAAATTGATCATTTAATGAGATGCAATTTAAGGTACATTCGCTATTCATTTTGTTTTCTCATTCTTTCTTTCTATTTTATTTCCTCTTCTCTTTTAACACTGCTTCATAATTCTGTCACCCTTTTGCTCACAGGGAAAAAATGTGGCATTTTGTAATATCAAGTAATATGTGTTATAACTTTGCTAAACATCTCATCATCAGTTTGTTGCAAGAGATTTATAATTCAGATTTTCATTAAAAAAGAGAAAGAATCAACACCTATGTTGTGCTAAATCCTATGCAGCTGCTGCTACAGCAGCTTAAAACCATGTAAACTGGAAGGCATTCAGTACTTTGCATGATATACAAGACTGTAACTTCTTTCAAATGTTGTGATTGTTTTAAATATTAAGATTAAAATCTAAGAAAGCATGGTAAAATAAAATAACTTAGAAGTGTTCACATTTATTTTACGGAAAAGAGAGTTCTTTGAATCAGAAGCTAAATGAGTATCTATAACTGAAATTAAAATACCCAGCTACTCTTGAAATTGAAGTAGAAAAGCAGACTCTAAGAGGAATATTCTATATTAATGCATCTCCTCTAGTAATCTTAACTGTATTGCAATGTGCTTTTTGCCTAAATATCAATCTATTTGGCATTTTTATTACAATTCCGCAAATGGAAAGAGACGCAAATGAACCATTTACTGCCTTTATTTTCTGGGTGTAATCATGTTTCTGTTTTCCATTCAATGATAGTCAAATTTTTTATTCTAACATAAAACATTCTTCAGCATTAATGACCAGTTATGGTAAGGGCTTGATATTGTACCCTATGCTCATTTATATTATAATGTACACAATGCCAGAATCAGTTGTTTATAAACTTTAGTTGAGAGGTTAGAAAATAATACCCTAATGGAAAATGTTACATATTTTAAATAATGTTTATGGGCCAGCCAAATATAAGACAAACACCACTGTACATATATATTTTAAATTTACTGTATTTAAAATAGCAGCACTGAAGAAGGGAGATCTTTCTTTAAAGCACTATAATGTAGACTTAGTAACTTTTTTTAAAAATGTGCATCTTTCTATAGAAATTGCATGCATTTTCCACATTAAAGAACCTTGTAATTATGATTATTAATTTTCCTATATCAATGAAAGTTTTCATAGTCTCTGTATCATGATAAAAACAAAATAAGCTTATAAGTTAGTGTGAAAAAAGTGTTTCCTTTTTAAGATAGCTGGCTTTTTTTTTCAATGTAATATTACAAGCCCAATATATAGATCAATATTCTTTCTGAATATAGACATAGAATCCTGAAAAAATTTTGCATAGTGAATCCAATAACATATAAAAATATTTTTACGTGACTAGGTGGGTTTTATCCAAAGAATGTATCTTTGATTTAATTTATGAAAACTATTAATATAACACACTATATTAACAGATCAAATTACCCAAAGCATGTGATCATCTCAATAGACACAGAAAAAGCATTTGCAAAACTTTAACACTCAGTAGTAATAACAACACTCAATAAACTAGAAATAGAAGGAAAATTCTTCAGTTTTTACGATGATACCTGTAAAAAACTCACAGCTAATATCAAAGTTAATGATGACTGAATGCTTTATACCACAGAAGCACAAATACTTTTACAATAGAATAAAAAGAATAAAATTATTCAAAAGAAACTAAAGAAGATAAAACAGAGAACTGCAAAATATTGTTTAAAGAAACTAAAGAAGATAAAGTACATAAATACGTCCCATATTCATGAATATCCCATGTTTATTATTAGGTGGCAATACTCAAATAGACCTACATAGGCAATGTAGTTACTATAAAATCTCAGCTTTTTTTTTCAAGTATTGACAAGGTGATCCTAAAATTTATATGAAATGCAAAGGACACAGAACAGCCAAACAATCTTTAAGAAGAAAATCAATACTGAAGGACTCATACTTTCTAAACTTAATCCCAAACTGTAATAACCTAGACTATGTGGTACTGGCATAAGGGTATTCATATAGAACAATGGAGTAGAACTGACATCCCAGAAATAAATCTTTACACTTATGGTCAATTTATTTCTGACGAGATTGCCAAGACAGATTTGGGAGATAGTAGCCTTTTCAATAAGTTACTGAGACTGTTGGATAGCCATATGCAATAGATAGAGTGGACCCTTTTCTCACATAATGACTAAAAGTAACTGAAATTGATCATTGTGCTAAATGGAAAGAAAAAATATAACAGTTTTAGAAATATCATAGGAATGCATTTTTATGGCTTTGGATTAGGCAATGTTTTCTTAAAGATGATGCCAAAAGCACTAGTAACCACAGAAATAATACATAAATTGTACTTCAAAATTTCAACATTTTGCTTCAAAGGACACCATCGAGAAATTGAATATGCAATGTACAATGTTTGCAAATCTTATGTCTGATAAAATATATATAGTAGGATATAAAAAGAACTCTTAGAACTTAATAAAACTTTACCCAATTAAAAAATATGTAAAGGATCTTAGGCATTTCTCCAATGAAGATAGATGAAGGGCCAATAAACACAAGCAAATATGCTCAATGTCATTAGCCATCATGGAAACACAAATCAAAATCACAGTGATATACAACTACATACCCACTAAAATGACTATAATGAAAATAAAAAACAGGTCTTAGTGGTGAGTGGTGAGGTTGTAGTAAATTGGTGATGGGAATGTAAAATGGCACAGATCTTATGAAAACATTTTGAGTTTTTCTTAAAATATTAGATGTGGAATTACCCTATGCTATGGTGTGAATGTTTATATTCCTTCCAAATTCCTGTGTTGAAATGCTCATCCCCAAGGTGATGGTAATAGAGATGAAGTTTTGGGGAGGTTATTGGTTCATGGGGTGCAACCCTCATGAAAAGGGTTAGTGCCCTTATTAAAGAGGCCCCAAAGAGACTATTGCCCCAGCATATGAGGTTAGAGTGAAAAGATGGCTGTCTATGATGAAGGAGGCCCTCACCAGATACCAAATCTGCTAGCATCTTGATCTTGCCCAGGCAAGCTAATGCATGCTGGGCTCAATACCTAGGTGATGGGTTGATAGGTGCAGCAAACCACCATGGCCCACGTTTACCTATGTAACAAACCTGCGCATCCTGCACATGTATCCTGGAACTTAAAATTAAATTAAATTAAAAAATGGTTCAAAGATGAAAATACTGCTTCCTCAAGGAAGGCTTTTCTGATTCCCATCTGGGTCAGTATCTCTGGGTAATAGCACTCTACCCTCCTCTGTAGTGCTTGTAGGCTTTTAAATAAATCCATGTGTTTATCTGAAAAAATAAAAAGAAAAATGAAAAAGAAAAAAAAAGAAAAAACATCCCATGCTCATGGGTTGGAAGAATCAATATGATTAAAACAGCCATACTGCCCGAAGCAATCTACAGATTCAACACTATTCCCATCAAACAACCAATGTCATTTTTTACAGAATTAGAAAAAAAAAAAAACTATTTTAAAATTTATACACCCCCCCAAAAAAAAAGCCCAAATAGGCAATGCAATCATAAGCAAACAGAACAAAGCTGGAGGCACCACATTACTTTTGCCAGTAAAAAGTAGGAAAAGGACATGAACAGACACCTCTCAAAAAACAAAAAAAGGAAAAAACATACAAGGAGGCAAAAAACATGAGAAAATGCTCAACATCACTAATCATCTGAAAAGTGTAAAATTAAAACCACAATTAGAAGCTCTCTCACAGCAGTCAGAATGGCTACTATTAAAAAGAAAAAGAATAATAATAGATGCTGGTGAGACTGCAGAGAAAAGGGAATGCTTATAAACTGTCGATGGGAATGTAAATTAGTTCAGACACTCTGGGTAGCAGTTTGGAGATTTGCCAAAGAACTTAGAACTATCTTTCAACTAAGCAATAATATTACTGGTACTGGCTATATACTCAAAAGAAAATAAATATGTCTTTTTATAGGACACATGCACTCATATATTCATTGCAGCACTATTCGCAATAGCAAAGACATGGAATCAAGCTAGTTGCTCATCAACAGTGAATTCAATTAAAAACATGTGGTACATATACTCCATGGAACATTACACAGCCATAAAAAAGAATAAAATCATGTTATTTGAAGCAACATGGATGATACTGGCGACCATCATACTAAGTAAATTAATGTAGAAACAGAAAACCAAATACTGCATGTTTGCATAAGTGGGAGCTAAATTTTGGGTATTTAAAGATGTAAAGATAAGAAAAATAGGTAATGTGGAGTAATAGAGCAGACGAAGTAGGATGGAGGCAAGGGTTGAAAAAATTACTAGTGGGTACTGTGCTCACTATCTGAGTGATAGCGTACCTCATATGCCGAACTTCAGCATGACATAATATATTCATGTAAGAAGCCTGCAAAGGTATATGTTATATCATATATAAATATGATAATTAAAATATATAATATATATACTCTACATATAATGTTATATGTGATATATCTACTCTGTATGCTACATATTATTGTGTATAGTATTATTTATATATAATGTTATATTTCATATATTATACATATTCCATATATGACAAATATATATAATCATACATATATCACACACATATATATGTGTGTAATGCATGTGTGTAATAGATATATATCTATTATATCTATATATTGAATACATGTGAAATAATGTGTAATATGCACATACATATGTGACATATGTATGTTACATATTTTCACAAAATATATATGAAATGTAATATTATATATACTATATATAAATATATGAACTAAATATACATATTATGTGTACTATATATAAAGTATATGTACTAAATATATATAAAATATTATATAATATATAAAGTGTAATATATGAACTATATATAATTATATTATGTAACTGTAAATAAATATAATTATTATATCATATATTATATATGCATATAAATATACACAAGTAATTATAATGGTATAATTATATAAATATAATTATAAGTATATAAATTATGTGTGCATATATAATATATACATATAATTCATATAATTTGATATTATAAAATATTATTATATACACACATATATTTATAATAATTACATTTTATTTATAATTATGTGTATACAATATATACACACAGAATTACAATTAAATTATACAATTATATAATTACTTAGATAATTATGTAATTAATAATCATATAATTATATATAATATATGCACATACATAATACCTATAACTATAGTTGTATTTATATAATTTTCCAATAATTATATAATTATAAGTGTATATATAAACATTATATGTACTATATATTATACATGTCATGTACAATGTATAAAAATATACTATATATCATATATTAGACACATATTACATATGTGTACACAGTACACATTATTATATATTTAAGTAATAGCACATTATTATGTAAATAATTATATGTGTGTATATATAATATTCGTATTATATCTAATATACTTGTAAAATTATATTATTTTATTATATGTAAAATAAGAATGTATTACATTATTTACATGTAATTATTATATGTAACTATTTTACAATTACATATAATAGATACGTGTATATATTATATACACACATATAATTTTAACTTTTGCTTTTCTTTTATGTATATACTATATATACATATATTATACACATATGTATATACTATATACATGTTATACACTTATGTATATGTACATTATGTGTACAAATATGTGTGTAATATATGTATTTTTCTTATACAATATGTATATACACATATATATTATAAATGTATTATGTACTTCTCATAATTATAATATACAGATACCTATGTGAATGCTAGCAAAAACTATAAATTAAATCCAAAGAAAATGGAAGAAAATAAGAGTAAGCATAAGAACTAATAAAATTAGATGATAAATGTATTTTAATCATAATAATTACATTAAATAAAATTTAGAAAATTCAGTAAAAACAGAGGAAAAATATCCAGAAACTCAAAATAGATGTCACTAAATTGGTAATTTTAATAAACTGACAATTCAAGGAATTTCCAATATGGCTGTTCGTGTGATTTCATTCTTTGATGTTTCACCTTCTTTTGAAAACTTGCCTATTTAGGTTAATCCCCCCTTAGGATAATATAAGTTCTGATTAACTCACAGTCATTTTATTAATAATTTAATCACAGCATGTCCTTCCCACTACATGCACATATTCTGCGCACACTCAAGAGAAGATTATGCAGGTCAGTTATGACTGGAGGCAGAAATTTGGGGAATACCTTAGAATCTTCCCTTCCAGGGCGATCAAACATAGATTTTACTTAGCATAATTAGTTTTTGTAGCTATTTTGTATCTTATTTCCAGAGCATACACTAATTTTTTAGAAAATATTTCAAGTATGCTTGAACTAAAAGAAATGTGCTATTGTTTTAGTTGTATACCAATTTTGTTAAACCTTTCAGCCCAGAAGCCCCATTCACCCTCTCTTCTAGTAGTAACCACTAGAGAAATCACTCTCCTCATTTCTGACAACACAGATTATTTTTCTCAGGTGATTTGCAAGTTCTAGAATTAATCTTTTCTAATTTTATTTTTGCATCATCTTTCCTTCTTTTAAATTGTTCCAAAATTGACTCCTCAAAATATGTATTCCTGAGAACAGCAGATTGATTCTTAGAATTAGAAGTAAAGCAATTTTATTTACCAGTCAAAATGTTACTATCTTCTCTATTACCATCCCTTACCTCAGCAAATTTGATGATAAATTCATTGTTATATACGTTATTTGTTTTTCAGTTTCCATCTACGTATCACTTAACATGATTTGCCTTAATTTTATACTTTCATATTTTGTCTTGGGCCACATATGTAATACATTAACACGAATGTTAGCTGATGGGCTAAAGAACAAAAATTGCAAAAAAAAAAAAAAACTCATAATTTTTTAAGAAAGTTTATGAATTTGTGTTGAACCACATTCAAAGCTGCCCTAGACCATCTGTGGCCCGCGGCCATGGACTGGACAAGTCTGTGATGGTGGCCTCAGCCCATCTGCAGCCACTGCTGTGGGGATGTAAGCTGCAGCGGGGGAGGCATGTCTGGGGCTGCACGCTCCGTGGACTGGCAGAGGCCAGTAACAAGTTATGTCAGGGGGAGACCACACTCTCAGGCACAGCTGCAGCTGTCCAGCCACAGCTCTGGACCTGGGCATCCCTGCATTCTCAGGGACCTGGAATGCCCTCCGCCACCACAAGCTCAGAAGTGCCCACTCCCTGGCCTATCCCTGCTCCCAGCACCCACTGCTGTGTGGAGCAAAGTCAGAGCTCAGGCGATGTCACGACCTTATATATAACTGATTTATAAATATGAAAACTATTTTTAAATATCATTAGATGAAAATAATATCAATATATTTAATAAAGACTAGTACAATAGAGATAATTTACTATACCAAGGATGTTCCTTCTAGAAATTTCTCTGAAACTTAAGGTCACCACACATATCACAGAGTGGTAAAGGTTGTACAAAGGGACTATCAAAGTGTTGATATAATTAAGCACAAAAATTGTAAAAATTGTAAGAAGATTCTGAGATAATCTTTAAAGAAAAATATGGAATCTGAATTAGCTGAGCATATAAGAAAGGGTTGCCAGTCCATAAGGCATAAAATGGAAGGCCCAGTTGCCAATATGAGTTTTGTGTGTGTGTGTGTGTGTGTGTGTGTTTGTGTGTGTGTGTGTCTGTGTGTGTGTCTCTAGAGGGAGGCACAAAAGACAGAAATAGTAAAAATGACTTAACTAGAATGGTTTGTTGGCTTGCATGGTTAAGAAATAAACATGATTCTGAAAAGAACTCATTCCGCTGGTTAAAGAAAATTCTTAGACGCCATACAAAGGGGTTTAATTGATCACAGAGGGCTCTATAAAATGATAGTATTTTATACAATCAATTAAAATAGGAACACAAGCTCAAAATAGAGCCAATCAAAGATACTTGGGGTAACTGGACCTTAAGATAAGGAACTGAAGCCTTCGTATCTGGGGAGAGAGTATCCTGGACATGACATAAAGATGAAAGAGGGCCTGGCAAGGTGGCTCACGCCTGTAATCCCAGCACTTTGGGAGGCAGAGTTGGGTGGATCACTTAAGGTCAGGGGTTCGAGACCAGCCTGACAAACACGGTGAAACCCTGTCTCTACTAAAAATACAAAATTAGCTGGGTGTGGAGGTTCATGCTTTTAATCCCAGCTACTTGGGAGGCTGAGGAGAATTGCTTGAACCCGGGAGGCGGAGTTTGCAGTAAGCCAAGAGCACACCATTCATTGCACTCCAGTCTGAGCAACAAGAGCAAAACTGCATCTCAAAAACAAAACAAAACAACAACAAAAAAAGTTGAAAGAGAAAAGTTTAGGAAAAGAGGAGGTGCAAGAGCAATAGAAAACTGGCTTTTCTTTCATGACTATTAAATATGTGTGGTTGAGAGAAAAATAAAGTGCAAGTATTTTGAGGGTAGCTTTGAATACATAACTAGAAAAGCAAAAAGTTAGATCTCTGCTTGTCAATGTGAGAGTTGTCACCACAAAGCTGATGTTTGAAGTCACAAATGTAAATGAGCAATTTGGGAGAAGAACTATTCAATGAAAAGAATGGAGCCTTGAGCTTATTCTGTGGGCAACACTCTCAGAGAAAAAAGTCACACGCTACTCAACAGAAACTTGCTTAGTGGTGAGAAAACAGTGCCACGGCAAACTGCCCCAAGAGTCTGCACTAAAGAAAATAAATGGTTTGAACACTTTTACTACTTGCCTGGCATTTGTTATTAATTGCATTGACTGAGTGAGTGACTATTTGTGCAGCTGCTATAAAGTGAACTAAATTTCAGAAATAAAAAATATATGACATTCATTGAGTCAAAAGTAAGGTTGATGATTAAATGAAATACATAGAAAGGCATCAGTTTTAAATTGCACTTTAACTTCTTCTGGGGTTGAAAATATTTTTTATACTTGCAGCAAAATCCATTCAACTATATTTATAACACAAGAGAACAGAACTAGACAGACATAATTCAAACTAGCAGAGTCTGGAAACTTTCTATAATATTTGGTAAATTCCTAGAACTTGATTAAGGACATCTATCAGAATACAGAAATGGTTAAATTTTCTTTTTGGTTGGTTTAATAAATAATATTGGTGTCTTTCTTTTTAATTTTAAAAAATTAGTCCAACTATTAAAACTATAATCATAAATAATTCAAGTTACATAATAAATATATAAACAGACTCTCTTTTTGAGATTAAATCCTGCACAGGACAAAAAAAATTAGACAAATGTGATCAATTTGTTGTTTTTGAAGGAAACATACCAGTAACCTAGCTCAATATTAATGAAAAATTGAGTATTATTATATAATTATATAAAGATTTTGAAAAATTCTCATACGTGCAAGTGGAAATTCACCCTGCCACAATTTCAAATAGGCAAATAGAAAAATAGTGAAGAATCATTTACATAATGGACAAATGTAAATTGATTCTAGTTGTAGAGAGAAGCTCCCTGCTGCCTTGATTATATTTTGCTTTCCTGCTGCTACATGAGCTCACAAAAAAACTGAAAAAAAAAAAATTAGCATTGTGCCATTATGAGTTCGAAGCAAAGAAACAGCAGCGCAATGTTCCATTGATTTCTTCACCCTAAAAATCTCAGCTCATGAATTATCCTTGCTATAGTTATTTGACACATAAAATCATCTGCTTGAAAGATAAACTATGTGAAATGGCATATATGAGAATCCAGCTTTAACTGCTAACTTTAAAGAATTTAAGATAAAGGAAATTACATTTTATTGTGGTTGCTCATGATTGTTTGTTCAATGAGTTGTCACAGAATCCAATTTCCACATTAGCCATTTTCTGTGTAAAGAATTGATTCTCTTGTTTCATTTATAGTGAAGTGATAGTTCTACAGCCTTCTTGACTTATTATGAAAAGTATTTCCTAAATCACCAGTCTTATGGCAGATAAAACTTGTCTGTTTGCACAACAGTCCTTGTTCAATTTTAATCAGTCTTAAGTGCATAACTTTGCAATGAATCAATGTGAAAAGTATATTTCTAGTGATGTTTATTTCATAACACAATTATGTTTCACACAAATAAAATGGAAAATAATTCTACTTAATAAAAGGTAAAAAAATATAAAATAAATGCAACTGTAACATTCATAACCCAAAGAAACTCAGTGTTCTAGAATTACCCTGCCAACTAATATATAAATCAAATAAGAAATTTCATCTCCACATTCTATGAATGGAGAGCGGGTATGAGCAAATGTCTAGTGATATTCTCCACTGATAACCTCTCTGATATCCTGCAGCTTTTTTTGTAAGAAGTTTGACCTTTGTCAAGTTACTTAATCTTTTAATGACTCAAGTTCTTCAGTGAAAAACAGAGGAAATAAGTGTTCTTGCCTCATATTATCTAGTAGCAATAAAATAATAATGTAGATAAAATATTATTACAACTACTGTTAATGGCTGTTTTTATTATTATATATATACTTTTTAGAAAAAAATTCAAGGCAGATCGATTCTTGCCCAGAAATTGTATTTCCAGCTCCATCTGAAATCACCAACGTTGAGACTTATTGTTTGCAACTGCTGACATCATACCACAAACGTGGAAAAGGTCTTTTGTATTACTCCCCAAATTGTCAATACCAACTTCGATTACATGTAGTAAATAATTATTTAAGATTAGGGCACTGTTTTAGGCAGTTTGGGCTGCTGGAACAGAATACTATACACTGAGTGTCTTAAAAACAACACAAATTGATTTCTCACAGTGCTGTAGGCACTGGAAGTCAGAGTTCAGGGTGCCAGCCAGTTGGGTTCTGGTTATAACTAACTGGCTACAGCCTGAAACTTGTACTTTAAAACTTTATTTTACCCCTTTTCCTCTTTTCTCCCTAGAATCAAGATCAAGATGTAACCTTGAAGCTTACTGCAGAAATTCCCTTTTTTTTCCCCTTAGTCTTAGAATATAGCTTTGAGATGTACTTTATTTGAGATGTACTTAGTCTTAGAATATAGCTTTGAGATGTACTTTCATTTGAAAGGGAGATGTCCCTCCCTTTTGCACTGTATACCCCCTTACACTGTACACTTCTATCTAACTGTATGCTTATATCTAATTATGTGGTTCCAGGGGCTAATCTTGGGACTGATCATTCAGGGAGACCAGGATGCAAAATTTCAGACATTACCTCAAGGCTTTTAGTCTACAACCCGGCCATTTTTAGGATGATACCAGCCCCTTCTGACAGCCACCGGAACAAGAAACGCAGACCTTGTACTCAGCACCACTCCCGCATCCTCCATTCCAGGTCCCCCTATTTAACCCATTTTCTCAGCCTAAAGTTGGAAGCCATTTCTAAAGGCGCAAGCCAGCCAGTTCCCGACTGCTAGCTTTAGAAAATAAAATCACGTTTCTTTCACTGCACTTCAACTTTGTCATTGGCTCTGCAAGCGGTGAGCAGCCGAGCCTGAGCTCCGTTACATGGTGAGGGCCTCTTCTGGGTTGTGGAGAGCAGATTTCTCATTGTGTCCTTACATGGTAAAATGAGGCTGAGAGTGGTCTCTAGTCTCTTCTTATAAGGGCTTCACTAAACCCATTCATGAAGGTTCCACCCTCATGACCTAATTGTCTCCCAAAGGCCTCATGTTTGGCATCAGCACTTTAGAATTTCGACATATGAATTTAGTTAGAGCACAAACATTTAGTTTAGGACACAAACATGTTGTTCATTGCAGGCATAAAGGAGTAAATGATAACCAAAAACATCTTGGCAAATGACTTCACCAGGGGCTCTCTGGCCTCCATAGAGCACAGTTCTATATGTACAGTAGTATAAGTCATAGTAGTAAGTATAAGTAGCATAAGTAGTGCATCATAGCCTTCAAAGTCTTTTTTCTCTCACATCTTTTTTTCTCTTCCATGTTACCTGAAGTTTTAGGCTTCTCACAGTCTAGAAGAAAAACAAAAATCCTTTTAGAGGAAAATCAATATAATATGTATTATTCCAATTCCCACCATCTATTGGTTTACTAAAAAACAAAACAAAGCACATTTTTATGCCTATGAAAAATTCTATAAGTCACCAAGACACTGAAATGGTTATTTTGTATGCATTTTAATGTAAAAACTTATTTTTTATCAAATAAATTTAAAGTATTCTTTGCTTAATTCAAACTTCATTGCGTATAGAATTTTGAATAGTTGAATTTTTGTCTTTATTTACTTTATTAGATATAATTGATTTCCTTCAGACAAAAGCCAGTTCATGGAGGGCATCACAGGTCTCCTGATAACTGGTTGTGCCATGTTAAAGCACTTAATCTCTACCAAGGCTCAGTAGCAAAAGATATGTGATTTGTCATAAGGGGAATTATTAGTATCTGTAGAAACTGTCTTAGCCTTGCTCTAAAATTCCTAAGCTCCAGTCTTTGAATCATTTTTACCATCCTGCTAACTGCTCCGTATGGCATTTCTTTCCACCACACACAGTTGAAGCAAAATTAGTTCTGTTGGGTCATATGTTCCAGGAAACACAGGAGCTTTCAGAAATAGCAGACGGACTTTTCGTAGAGAGTTATTCTAGGTCTCACTCAAAACCGGCAGTTTTCCAGGATAACCAGTAAATAAGCAAGAATAATACAACCTAACAGAGATATACACGGCATCCCAAATCTAGAGAGGCCCACAGATTGTTACAACGTTTCTTAATAGTGGGAGGGGCCAGACATAGCAACTTGCTCTTCAACTTGGAAGGAATATTTCAACATGTTCCATGAGGTAGACCCCTAAAGATTCCACTAAGGTGGCAGGCCCCTGAGTTTCTATGGGATGCATTCCCCAACCTCTGACATGCATATGTCTTCCCAAAGTCTCTGGAGTACCTGGTACATCTTGTTCACTAGATTCAAAATCATTACATAATAAACATATAGAAGCAACATGACATCTTTGTTAACTAAGAGGTGTTTCATGTCATTATGGACTGGATTATGATAGAAAGTTTAACAATTGATATAACCCTGTTCTAGAACTATACAGAAGTATTTCTGGTCATGTCTGCAAGCAGACTATTTCTAATATTCTTTACTGAGATATATAGAGAAAAAGATTGTTTTCCAGATATATTGTTGCCTATCAGTTGCCAGGGGATGTGATGATTTGCCCTAGCAATGAAACAACATCAGGATTAGCAGCTACATCTGAAGTCAGGACATGATATTATTATTATTATTTTATTTATTTAGGTATTTATTTTATTATACTTTAAGTTCTGGGTTACATGTGCAGAATGTGCAGGTTTGTTACACAGGTATACACGTGCCATGGTGGTTTGCTGCACCCATCAAACCGTCATCTACATTAGGTATTTCTCCTAAAGTTATCCCTCCCCTAGCCCCCCCACCCATCCCCTGACAGGCCCTGATGTGTGATGTTCCCCTCCTTGTGTCCATGTGTTCTCATTGTTCGACTCCCACTTATGAGTGAGAACATATGGCACTTGGTTTTCTGTTCCTGTGTTAGTTTGCTGAGAGTGATGGTTTCCAACTTCATCCATGTCCCTGCAAAGGACATAAACCCTTCCTTTTTTATGGCTCTATAGTATTTCATGGTGTATATGTGCCACATTTTCTTTATCCAGTCTATCATTGATGGGCACTTGGGTTGGTTCCAAGTCTTTGCTATTGTGAATAGTGCTGCAATAAACATACCTGTGCATGTCCCATTGCTGGGTATATACCTAAAGGATTATAAATCATTCTACTATAAAGACATATAAAGACACATGGTATTATTTTTACTAATCCAATTTCATAATTGTCATTTCTATCCATCCGCTAAACATGAAAAACAGGAGAATTGAATGAGCTGTGATAGGAATTACCACTTCAGCATATTTTAAATCGTTAATGGTGGCATTAATCTGTGTAATCTCTCTAGGGATGCAGTGTTTGTTTTGTTTTAGTATTTTGTATGTAAAGAAAGGGCTAGTGGTTTCCACTTGACTTTCCCTGTCATAATAGCTTCCTTTCCACGGAACCAGAAAACCATGTGGGAATTCAAGTCAGTCGCTGATTATGTGTAATACAAACCTACACTTTAAAACTCAGAATATTACAATATATTGGGTTTAGGTATCCACTGGGCCCATGATGTGTTGGGCACTCTGTTGATCATCTGAGCTTTCTAAATCTCTATTCTGACTAGTGCCCCATGGTATTATTTCATTCTACAGAAATTTGTGAGGAGTCAGAGCCAAGATCTAGTGTCCTTGAGAAGTCTGATTAACTTCCATTTGTTAATGAACTGTAAGCCTGGTAAATATTTGCAGATCTTTTAGGGAAAGGTATGAGGGACATTTACAATATCCATGTTTGGCTATGTAGCTAGGTCTTTCCTCAAGGGGACTCAGACTTCTCTTCATTAAAATGACTCCGGTACCATAAATTGATTGAAGGGTGGCTGTAACTCTATTATAATCTAAGGCAGATTCTACTTAACAGACTTGGAGGTTTCTACTTATACAAATTTACTAGACTGTCCATCTATTTTAGTTCTGCGGATATGGTGATCAACTACTCAACACTAAAGATCTTTGAAGCATAGACTAGTCTGCTGCTTGGGCCCTGATCTGCAATAAAATTGCATTACTGTTTTTTCTTAAGGATTGAGTGCCACTCTTTGTAATCTGCCACGACAGTAGTTGTTACTTGTACAATATTTCTAGCCTATAGAAAGTAATTACCAAGAGGCTTGATAAGATGTTGGGGGTTCCACATAACTCTTTTTCTTCTACACCTAGTGAAGGCAAAGTATCCTGGACCTACCTGAGAGGTATTTCAGGAGATAACTGAACAGGCACGATATGATAAATCCACTGAACTTTCAATCTCTCTGACTTTGGGTACATTCCTCTAAAATATGACAGGGAAGTTCTGGTGTTTTAATTTCACTTAATGTAAGCCATTTCTGAGCCCAGGTTCCAGTCAACAACAAAGCAAAATGTTAAATCTATTCCAATCTCCTTGATTTCACATACTGAACCCAGTTTCTCTGCTTAGTGAGTCCATATTCGTCTATTATTCTGGCATCAAATCAATATTTTTTCTACCTTGACTAGACACATTTAGGATTATCTCACACTTGTTAGTTAGGTTTCTATAAATTTAGAACATCAAAATCCTATGTAATTTTATGGTATGTATAACCTGTTTTGTGCAATAGTTTTTGCACCACACTTTATGTATTACCGTTTGTTTTCTTTTCTTGTTACAAGTAATTACAAAGTATTTAACAAAATTTCTCTTCTCAACAAAGAGAAAAAAGGAGTTATTAATTATAAACTCCTACTAGAAAATATGTAGGAAAATTACACTTTACAGTTCTCCTTACCTTTCTCACCTTCTTATTTTCAACCGGTCATCATTAATGTTCAAATAAGAATGACATTATCATTAAGCCAAATCAAGAGATTCATAGACTGTTGGAAGTTAAGTCTGGTTACAGATATAGGAAGACTAAGAGTCATTGGGGATAGGACATGAGGATGATGGGAAGTTCCTTTCAAGGCAATTATCTTTTTCCGGAATCTTTCTGTTTTTATCCGTCCTAAATTTTAGGGCCTCAATTCTTCCCAACCAATTCCCTGGGTTTATGATGAAAGGCCTTATAAGTTTGAAAATTCAGTTTGCATTGAGTCAGCCACCTGCAACTTTACAACTTGGGTCTGGTTTTCAAAAATGTCAGCTGCGAAGGAGATGCTAATTTGTTATCTCAAACGGGAGATGAGGTTGTCTTTAGTGTTAGTAATAAAAACTTTCTTAGAGGAAATTTAGGCTGAAAAATAAATGTCTTGAGTTCACTATTTTTTTTTGCTTTATTTTTTTTCTAGTCCACTTAGAAACAATAAAAAAATTCAAAGTATAAAAATAATTTTTCTGCTGCATAATTCTGCCTTCTGAGTCTTGCAGAATGCTTTATTTGGACCATGCTAACCTACAATTATATAGGAAAGAGAATTTTGGGGAAAATCGTTCTGGCCTAGCTGAGTTGGCAAAGAAGAATTCCACTACATGATGGCCTATCTAGAAATAGTGTCTTCTTGGTAAGACTTTTTTTTATAAGAGAGTCGTAGTCACAGGACTATTTGATTTGTTACTATGGGTAAATGTTTTTTTTAAGCTTTTAGTTTCTTCTTAGGTTCGTTTTTGTAGGCTACATATTTCTAAAAAGCTTTTTATTTTCATCTCATTCAAATTTTATTTATTGACATAGAGTTCTTCATGGGATCTACTTTACTCCCTCCCAAGAGGAGGATTGGCAATTTCCGGAACATTTTTGTTTATCACAACAGTGGTTTTCTAGTGGCATTTAGTAGATAGAAACAAGAGATGCTGATAACATGCTAGAATGTAGAGGACAGCTTGTCTTACCAACGAAAAGCGCATCTGACCTGAAATGTTAATAGTGCAAAGTTTGTGAAACCTTGGTTTAAAGTGTTTATGATAACTTTTCATATAATTTTAAAAATCTACTGCATAGTTCATGTTCCCTCTTTGTATTTTACATAGGTAGCTTTCTCATTTCCCTTAAATTCTGATCTGATAAATTCTTATTCTTTTGACAACTTTTCAAATATGTATACCATTTTTGTTGTTCACAACAGAGTCCATCTGAAATGCATCCAGACATATTATTGGATTTTTTTCATCTCTTTGTTTAATAGATAGTATCTTCATAATATGTCATCTGTGAATGGGAGAGGAGGCAAAAGATGAATTGATGAGAACCTGAAGGCCAATATCATCAAGAGAGCAGAAATCCTTTCAATATATGAGATTCATAGGTAACATCTTGATTTTGCATAATGACAATATCCTTCTTATTTGGATAATAGCAGTGGACACTTGAAAGTAAAAAGGAGAAATGTTAATTTCTTCGTATAAAATCAAATTTTTCTTACATTTTTAGGAGGAATTTACAATTAATCATTTATTTTTCTCTCTGCAATGAGGAGTCTTGTTAAATACTCTGTATCTGTTAGTAACAAAAAAAAAAAAAAAAAAGAAAATGACCTCAAGTTAAAAATGGGATTTGGAACAGAAACTTCTGTCTACCAGCTCTATGAAATTCAAAGGATAGATATATTAATCTGAAGGATACTAGGATTTTCTTATATATTTTAAAATTTTACATATATATAAATTTTATGCATTTTAAAGTTTAGAATATAAATTTAAAATACGTAATTTATATTTTTATAACTACACTAAATTTATACATATTACATATAAATTATACTAAAATATAATTATTATTGTATATAAATTTTATTTTTCTTTGTTATACAAAAAAAATGAAAATTATTTCTGACACTACTGCATTTTTATTTTAATGAATTGAAAAAGATTTAGGTGTTACTTTATATAACAATAGAGCTAGAACTTTGGCGTACATTATGCTTGTTTGGGTAAGGCTGATAAAAATGCAAATTTCTGATTCCTCATTTAAAGATTTTGACTAAATTTCAAAATGGGACTGCTCTCTCTCCTATCTATCTATACACACCTTGGAAATCTCGGAAGTCTTGAAACATAAGAAAAATTATATTTTAACTTAAATACCAAAAGAGAGAAAATTAGTATATATAAACATACTATGATAGGTTTGTACTCAATACATGACAAGGAAATTCAGTCATAAGAAGAAATATCTATTAAGCATCTAAAATTTGAAGAAGACTTCTTTTAGGACAACATAGGTGCAGAAAACAACAACTAAATTACAACATGCATTTGTTGGCTTTTGCTAAGTGATGTTTTGGTTACAGACCACAGAGTTTCAGTGGGACACACGTACAACAAGTTCTATTTCCTACTATTGAGACAAGTTCATAGTGGGTTGAACGTGGATTTCTTTCCCATATTAATTTAAGGACCTAAGCCATAAAAATAGTCCCAATCAAAGGAACTTCTGCCTTCATGGAAGAGGGAAAACCATGAAAAGACTTTTAAAGATTTCCCTTGGAAGTGCCCATCCCACTTCTATTTATATTTTGTTAGTCAAACTGAATGTGAGCCCCACGGCAAAGCCTGGAGTTCATGGAATATGAATGTACCTCCCTTACAGTGAGATGCAATACATATTTTGAAAAATTAGTACAATCTTAAAATCTACAACACTGGCTTGCAGAAATTTTAAACATGATGTTGGAGAAAAATACTGTCTAAAATGTGTTTTTAAATATTTTAGCAAAGACACAACTAAAATTGTAGATAGATGTGTTAGTTAATTTTAACAGACATCCTAGAGTACATTCATTTTAAGTGCCATATTCACATATTCATGAAGTAATGTTGAATGTTTTGTCAGGGAGGGAAGAAGGGAGCCAGTTAGTATTATAAACTTTATTAATATTGGATCCGTATACTAAAAGTTCTAGGTTTCCTGGATTAATGTTAGAATTTTATTAATCAGAATAAAATTACCCTAGAAATAATCTGTATTTGTTTAAATAAGTGTTGGTCAAGATATGTTGATTTTTTGGTAATCTTATAGGTATAATTTTGAATATATAGATGGATCCAATACAAGACAAACTTCTAAGTGATATTATTGACCTGGGGTTTAGATTCAGAAGATTTTTGTCACTTGACTCTCTCCAGAAAGTTATCAATAAAATTTAATTTATGCCTTAAAATAATATTGTTTCTGTCAGAAACTTAATTCTACATGATTGTGTGAAGGTGATTAAAAGATAGAAAGCTAGAAATTTATTGAAGTTTAAAGAACAGATAGTATGAGATTTTGTATTTCCTTATTGATAAATACATGTATGTGTGGTGGAATTTTTTTTTCATTACTTGCTTTAATTTTTTATCATACACCCAGTAATGAGTTTACAAAAGAGGAAACCTATAACTCTCATCTACCACAAGGTACCTTGTGATTTGACCTGGCTCAGGTCAGTGTGCAGCAGAAAGAAAAGTGGGACCTGGAGAATCATGCTAAAAGACAATTATAATATATGATAAAATGGCATAAATGTACTTTTATAAAGAAGATACATTTACTTAAATGCATCTACTGTAAAAGCAATGGAAATAACTGATTACTACAAACTGGATAATTTTTAAATAATTCACAGGGGACGTGACTTTTAAATGGGGCCTTGAAAATTGTTTCATAGCTGGATACAGGCAGGATAAACAGGCAAGAGTGACAAAGCAGACAATAAAAAATTATGAAAGCATCAAAGTATGCTCTCTGTTACTGATTTCACCAAGCCAAGGTTCCAGGTCTTTTTTAGTCAGGACTTAAAATCAGTTAAAAGTGCAAATATGCAAAAATAAAACTGTTCAGGTTGTGATAGCATAGATAGACATTTATATTCTCATTTATATACTCACATAATTTAAATTTTAAAAATTATGATGAAACTCACTTTTCTATATATTATAAATTAATATTTATTAATATAATTTATAATATATAATTGCATATATTAACTGTTTTTATTTTCAATTAGTGTGAATTGTTAAGTCACTAATGTATAAATAGAATTGAGGTAAAAATCTTTCAAGGGCCTATGGAAGACTAAATATTTCATATATTTCCTCCAAAACTTTATACCTTCAAATAGTTGTACCATTCTTAGGCTACATATCGTAAATGACTACAGACTTAAATATTTAATTTAATCAGGAAAGACTAATTCCTGAAAAAAAAAGTCTTTCTCATTTGTACTTGCATTTTTTCTTCTTCTTCTATTTTTAAATTTTAGCGCAATCAACTATAAATACAAAACATGGCATAAAGCATGTAGTCTCTATCTTGGAAGCCATTTTCAATCTCTTTAAGCTTGGCATTGAGGCTACTTTTCATTATTACCTATCTCCAGCTCTGGGATTACTTTCTGTAGTGTTATTTCACTGTTTGTCCCTTGTCTCATCTGACATGTGTTTTCAAATTCTTCCTTCTTTATTTCACTGTTTGTCCCTCAGCTCATCTGATATGGGTTTTCAAATTCTTCCTTCTATTTCTCTAGTTAGGTTTATGTCATTTGGAACTATTTACTATATGTCATCTCTCTCTGAGGAAATCCCAGATAAAAAATTATTATACTTCATGGTAGCTTTTTAATTGTCTGGAAAGCAGTTCTGAACTTAGACATTTTTGTTTTATCTAGAGATGTTAGTGGGGTATGGAGTTAGATGTGTGAGTTTTTTCACAACTATTATGAGTATAATAATTAAATGCCCTTACTAGAATGAGATTTTGTGTGGCGATTCAAGGTCACTATATTATGATATTCCCACACTGCTGTAAAGACATACCTGAGAGACTGAGTAACTTATGAAGTAAAGAGGTTTAATTGACTCACAGTTGCATAGGCTGTACAGGAAGCACACCTCGGGAGGCCTCAGGAAACTTAGAATCATGGCAGAAGGTGAATGGGAAGCAGGCACTGTCTTTACTTGGCCAGAGCAGGGGAAAGGGAGTAAAAGGGGAAGTGCTACATACTTTGAAACAACCAGATCTTGTGAGAACTCACTAGCTATCACAAGAAGAACAAGGGAGAAATCCCCCTCCATGATCCCTCACCTCTTACCCCAACAATGGAGATTACAGTTCAACCTGAGATTTGGATTGGGACACAGACCCAAACCATATCAGTCACCATCCAGAAATTGGACGACCTTCTAAGAACACCATCCAAGACATAAAAATCATAATTAATTAAACCCCATATGTAGAGGATCCATGAAGAAAGAACATCTACACTTTCAGTGTTCTTCAAGCTGCTATAGTCTATAATGACCATAAAATAATCTACCACATATCCATGTGCAACTTTTATTCCTCTAACAGTTTTTAAATTTTTTACTGAGGATACCTTTGTATTTTAAATATATGTATTGCATATCATTCTGCTTACATACTGCAATAAATTCCCATTAAAATTAGAATCCCATTAGAATCTCTATACAGAATAATTTTTAACATTGCCTACAAGACATAATTCAATCTGTTTTACTTCTGTGTCTTCACTTTCATTTTGCCTTTTGCTATGGCCATTCTTTTTTTTTTTTTTTTTTTTTTTTTAAGATGGAGTTTCACACCTGTTGCCCAGGCTGGAGCGCAATGGCGCAATCTTTGCTCCCCGCAACCTCTGCCTCCCAGATTCAAGCGATTCTCCTGCCTCAGCCTCCCGAGTAGCTAGGATTACAGGCATGCGCTACCACACCCGGCTAATTTTTGTATTTTTTTTTTAGTAGAGACGGGGTTTCTCCATGTTGGTCAGGCTTGTCCATGGTTTTATTTTTCTACTTTCAACCTGTGTTTTCCCCTTCCTTCTGATACAATATTCTGCAACCAGGTCTCCCTGAGGCTGACTCATTTTTTTTTTTTTTTTCACATATCTGCTCAATTACACCTTTTCAAAGATCTTTTTTAAGCATAGAATTCTCTGGAATATTTTTCAGTTTATTTTTGCTGAACATTTATGCCAATCAAATATTATTCTGTTGATTTTATTTTAAACATGTTTATCGTAGCTTATATCTATAAGCCATAGTCTTTTGAACGACAGATATTTGAGGATGGGTATCTCACGTGATTTTTATTTGACATAAAATATGCACCTGCTTTTTAAAATCATATGGCAGAAATTAATTTATAATTAAAACAATAATTTTCCACTTCATTATTCCCCACAAACTGCACAATTTTCTAGCAGCAAATGCTTTTGATAGTTCTATTTTTGGTTCTTCTTGTGGGTACTTAGTTATTACTCTGCATCTTGAAAGGTGAAAACTAGAACCAAAGTGAACCATGTGATTTTGAGCGTCTTAATGGAGAGGTTAACTAAATTTTTAAAATATGAAGGGAAACAAAAATAATATATTAGGCAGTTTATTATGTATCTTTTTCTTACGAAATCAACATAAAATTTATTTATAATGCTTTTTTCCAAAGTAATAAAAGAAAATTTAATTTCATGTAGCAAATATTTAAGTGGGAGATGAAATATTACCAGGCTTTATGTCTAGTATCCAGGTAAATTATGTCATGTTTCAAGAAAAGTAGCTCTTAGGTGGAGACAAATTGAATTTAAAGAGATGAACCCAATTAACAAAGGATTCTTGTAACAGGTTGAAATGCCAAAACCTAAAATGATTCATTAAAGAGCATAGTTTTGCAACTATAACAAGATTATCTTTTTTTAAAGTGTTAGCTTTTCTGAAATTTTACTCTAGGAGCTAATTTAATTACTTTCTGATGCTTAAAGACTAAATAAGTGAAGAAATGATGCTATGTATATATATTTAGAATGTAAAACAAACAGTATCTTACTATAAATATGGCATATTGATGTCAAATAGTTTGTGCTAGGATATTAATAAAATATATTTTAAGAGTATGTATATTTATAGTAATTATTACATTTGTCTATTATTTCTTTTATTTGCAAAGACCATTTGAAATCTACTTTGTTACAAATTTCTGAATAAATTATAAAATTTTATGACTGGAATTAAGATATTCCAATCAATAGCATTTACAATCCAATAACTTTTTATTGACATTAAAAAGTGCCTAAATAATTTAAAGTGCAGAAATCCAATTTTAATCCTTATTTTTAAATTCAATTCAGTTAATTTTCAAGCTTTTACTTACAATTACTGTTAACCATCATAAGCAGTGACACAACAGAGACTTTTTAACTAAATTTATTTTAATAAAGATCATTGGTAATTTCCAATAACAACAGTCATGTTTTAAATTAGAGTAAAACACGCTGAACTGTTAAATTTTGTCAAGTTTAAGAATATTTAAATAATATGGATTTTCACATCATCTGAATTCAGATTTGCAATGGAAGAACATACAATACAGGCTTTTCAATACACAAGTTGTGAAAGCTAATCATAATTGTCAAAGAGGATGCCATAGATTCTAAAGGTTATGTTTGAATTAAAGTTCCACTACTAATTTTTAAATTCATTTGTTTATTTACCTATTTCTTCATTCCAAAAATAATTATTAACTATACCTTATTATCTGGTCAATGATTTACTAAATGCCTACAATTTGTGAGTTACCATTATACATAATGGAGTTAAGGTGGTTAAAAATTTCAGACAGGGCCGGTCATGGTGGCTCAAGCTTGTAATCCCAGCATTTTGGGAGGCCAAGACAGTTGGATCACCTGAGGTTAGGAGTTCAAGGCCAGCCTGGCCAACATGGCAAAACCCCTTCTCTACTAAAAATACAAAAATTAGCCAGGCACAGTGGTGGGTGTCTGTAATCCCAGCTGCTCAGGAGGCTGAGGCAGAAGAATCACTTGAGCCTGAAAGATGGAAGTTGCAGTGAGCTGAGATTGTGCCACTGCACTGCAGTTTGGGTGACAGTGTAAGACTCTGTCTCAAAAAAAATTAAAAATAAAATGTCAGACAGGATTCCTGCTCTTATTAAGCTCACACATCTACAGCTAATAGTATAAATAAGAGCTAGGTAGCAACAAACTCAACAAATTCATTTGGGATAATTCTAACACATTTAAAAAATTTTTGATGTCTTAATTCTTTTTATGTTTTAAGATTTGCTTTATAAAAATGAAAATTAATGAAAATTAAACCTATGAAAGAGCAATGGGATGGCAATAAAATGCTCATATTCAGATTTTTTTAATGTAAGAAGTCACAGCTAGGTTTATTGGTCAAAATTTTGTTTATATGTGTTTTAGTTATATTTGTGGAAGGGAAATCTAAGAGTTAATGTAATATCTGTGTGCAAAGGAAAGAGAGAAAGAAAGAGAGCTCTAGAAGAGCTTGGATATAAAAGCTCCCATCAGTAGTACTGGAATGATATCTATCCCCAAGTAAGTTGGTGCATGTTTGGACCTGGCCAGGTCACTTCAATAGACTTGATCACATAGAATTAATTAATAATGGATAAGGTAAATGCAAGTGTGCAATAGAAGTACAGTATTTTCAGTCTTGAATTGTTCCTAGTATTTGTCAAAATAGATAAGATAGATGTAAAATAATTGGAGGCAAACTACAAACAATATGAAAAAATAAGATTTGAAAACTTAACTCTTTTTAAGAAAATAATTCTACTAAATCCAGGAAGTAGTTTTCAAATGTTCATTCAGACTGCTAACAAGAATACATATTTAATTGATTAATCATATTTCTGACTTGCAATTGAATGTAAATGATTAAATATATTAATACATTCAATACATATCCATATTATATGTATTTATTCAGTTGTCTTATGTTTAACGTATATGGTTAAATTCAAATTTATTTTCTTTTTTAATAGTTTCAACTTTTATCTTAGATTCGAAGTGTACATGTACGGGTTTGTTACTTGGGTATATTGTGTGATGATGAGATTGGGAACAAGAATAAACCAGTCACCCAAATAGTGAGTATAGTATGCAAGAGTTAGTTTTTCAACCCATGCTCCCCTCCCTCCTTCCCTATCCCATCTAGTACTCCTCAGTGTCTATTGTTCCCTTCTTTATGTCCATGAGTACAAAATCTTTAGTTTCCACTGTTAAGTGAGAACATGCAGGATTTGATTTTTGGTCCTGCATTAATTCGCTTAGGAGAATGGACTCCAGCTGCATTCATGTGCTGCGAAGCACATCATTTCTTTCTTTTTATGGCTGCTTAGTATTCTGTGGTGTATATATACCACAGTTTTAAGATCCAATTTATTGTTGATGGGCACCTATGTGGATTCCATGTCTTTGGTATTGTGAATAGTGCTGCAATGAACATATGAGTGCATGTATCTTTTAGTAGAATAATTTATTTTCTTATGGATATATAACCAGTAATGGGATTACTGAGTCAAATGGCAGTTCTGCTTTTAGTTATTAGAGAAATCTTCAAACTGCTTTCCACAGGGCCTGAAATAATTAACATTCCCATCAACAGTGTATAAATATTCCCTTCTCTCTGCAGCTTCACCAGCATCTGTTACTTTTTGGCTTTTAGTGATAGCCATTCTGACTCATGTGAGATAGTTTCTCCTTGTGGTTCTGATTTACATTTTACTGATGACTAGTGATGTTGAGCATTTTTTCATATTTTTGGTCACTTTTATGTCTTCTTTTGAAAAGTGGTTGTTCATCTCCTTTTACCCACTTTTAATGGGTTTTTTATTATTTTATTTTATTTTTTTGGCTTGTAGAATTGTTTAAGTTACTTATGGATTTTGGATATTAGATCTTTGTTGGATGCATAGGTTGCAAAAATTTTCTCCCATTCTGCAGGTTGTCTTTTTACTCTATTCATAATTTATTTTGCTGTGTAGAAACCCTTTTGTTTAATTAGGTCTCATTTGTCAATTTTTCATTTTGTTGCAATTGCTGTTGAAAACTTTGTCATTAATTGTTTCCCAAGGCTGATGTCCAGAATGGTGTTTCCTAGGTCTTCTTCTAGGATTCTTACAGTTTGAAGTCTTACATTTGAATGTTTAGACATCTGGAGTTAACTTTATATATGGTAAAATGTAGGAACCCAGTTTCATTCTTTGGCATGTAGCCAGCCAGTAATCACAGCAACATTTATTGAATAGAGAGTCCTTTCCTCAATGCTTATTTTTGTCAACTTTATAGAAGATCAGATGGCTGTAGGTTTGTGGTTTTGTTTCTGGGTTCTCTATTCTGTTCCATTGGAGTACATGTACTTTCATACTATTACCATGGTGTTTTGGTTACTGTAGCTTTATAGTATAGTTTGAAGTCACTTAATTTGATGCCTCTGGCTTTGTTATTTTTGCTTAGAATTGTTTTGGCTATTTGAGCTCTTTTGCTTTCATATGAATTTTTGAGTAGTTTTTTCTAATTCTGTGAAGAATGACTTTGGTAATTTGATAGCAGTAACATTGAATTTGTAGATTGCTTTGGGAAGTATGGACATTTTAATGATATTGATTCTTCTGATGCATTAGCACGGATATTTTTCTATTCATTTGTGTCATGTTATTCTTTCCACAAGTGTTTTATACTTTTCCTTGTAGAGATTTTTCACCTCCTTGGATAGATATATTTCTAGTTATTTAATTCTTTTTGTGACTATTAAAAATAGAATTGTGTTCTTAATTTGACTCTCAGTTTAAACATTATCAGTGTACAGAAATGCTACTGATTTTTTAAAATTTATTTTGTATACTGAAACTTAACCGATGTTGTTTTACAGGTATGGAAGCCTTTTCATGGAGTTTTTAAGGTTTCCTAGGTAAATAATAATATTATCAGTAATAAGAAATAATTTGAATTTCTGTTTTACTATTTGAATGCCTTTTATTTTTTCCCAGGCTGATTACTCTGGCTAAGACTCCCACTACTATGTTGAGTAAGAGGGGTGAGAGTTGGCCTCTCTGTCTTGTTCCATTTCTCAAAGGAAATGATTCCAGCTTATGCCCATTCACTATTATGTTGGCTTTGGGTTTCTCATAGATGGCTGTTATTATTTTGAGGTGTATTCCTTCTAGGTGTGTTGGATTTTACATAATGCTTTTATTGCATTTGTTGAGATTATCATGTAGTTTTTGTTTTCAATTCTGCTTAAGTGGTGAATCACATTTATTAATTTGCATATGATGAACCAACTTGAATCCCAGGAACGAAACCTACTTGACTGTAGTGAATTAACTTTTTGATGTGCTGCTAGATTCTGTTTGCTAGTATTTGCTAGTATTTTTTTTTTTGAGTTTTGCATCTGTCTTCATCAGGAATATTTGTCTGTAATTATTATTTTTTCTTTTTGATTTTTCAGATTTCGGTGTCAGGATGATACTGGTATTGTAGAATGAGTTAAGGAGCAGTGTCTCCTTCTCAATGTTTTGGAATAATTTCAGCAGAATTGGTACCAGCTCTTATTTGTACATCTGGTAGAATTTGGCTGTGAATTCATGTGGTCCAATTCCTTCTTTGTTTTTTTTTTTTCTTTTGGATTGGTAGTTTGGTTGGTTTTCTTCTATTACTGAATCAATAGCAGAACTCATTATTGGTCTGTTCCTTGTTTTAATTTCCTGATTCAATCTTGGGAAGATGTGTGTTTTCAGGAATTTGTCTACTTCCTCTGGATTTTCTAGTTTGTGTACATAAAGGTGTTCATAATAGTTTCTGAGGATCTTTTGTATTTCTATGGAATTGGTTATAATGTGACCTTTGTCATTTCTGATTTTGCTTATTTAGATCTTTTCTCTCTTTTTCTTTTTTTATCTAGCTAGTGATCTATTAATCTTGTTTATCTTTTCAATGAAACAACTTTTTTTTTGGTATGGCTTTTGGGTCTCAGTTTCATTCAGTTCTTCTCCCATTTTAGTTATTTATTTTATTCTGCTAGCTTTGGGGTTTGTTCCTGTTTTTCTAGTTCCTCTGGATGTGATGTTAGATAGTTAATTTGAGATATTTATAACTCGTTGAGGTAGCTGTTTAGTGATATAAACTTTCCACTTAGCACTACATTTGCTATATGCAGTCCAGAGATTTTGGTGTAGTGTTTCTCTGTTTTCATTTATTTTAAATATTTTAAAACATATGCCTTAATTTTGTTGTTTACTCAAATGTCATTCAGGAACAAGTTGTTTAATTTCCATGTAATTTTGTGGTTTTGAGACATCTTCCAGGTATTAATTTCTACTTTTATTCCACTGTGGTCTGAGAGTATGGTTGGTATAACTTCAGTTTTTCTGAATTTATTGAGATTTGCTTTATGGCTAAGCATGTGGTCGATCCTGAAGTATGTTCTGTGTGCAAATGAGAAGTATGTATATTCTGTGGTTGATGAGTGGAATGTTCTGTAGATGTCTATTAGGTCTAATTGGTCAAGTGTCAAATTTAAATCTAGAATTTCTTTGTTAGTTTTCCACCTTGATGATCTAACATTGCAAGTGTGTTGTTGGCATCCGCTACTATTAATGTGTGGCTGTAGCCTTTTTGTATGTCTAGAGATAGTTGTTTCATGAATATGGGTGCTCCAATGTTGGGCACATATATATTCAGGATAGTTAAGATTTCTTGTTGAATTGAATTATCAGTATGTAATGCCTTTCTTTGTCCTTTTTAACTGTTGTCGGCTTAAAGTTGGTTTTATCTGATATAAGAATAGCTACCCATACTCTTTTTTCTTCTTCATTTGTGTGCTAGATCTTTGTCCAACTTTTTACTTTCAGCTTATGAGTGTTATTTAGTGTGAGGTGGGTCTCTTGAAGACAGCCGATGGAAGGCTCTTGTTTTTTTAATCCAATTTGCAAGTCTGTGCTTTTAAAACTGGAGTATTTTGGCTGTGTACATTTAAGTTTAATATTGACATATGAGGCTTTGATCCTATCATGAAGTTGTTTGCTAGTTGTCTTGTAGTTTCTGTTATGTGGTTGCATTATAGAGTCTGTGAGCTATGTATTTATGTGTGGGTTTTTTTGATAGTATTTTTCCTTCATTTTCCTTTCATTTTCATGTTTAGAACTCCCTTAAAAATCTCTTGAAGACTCACCTACTGGTAATGAATTTCCTTACTGCTTGATTGTCTGGAAGAGTTTTTATTTCCACTTTGCTTAAGAAGCTTAGTTTGGAGTCATATGAAATTCTTGGTTGGAATGTCTTTTCTTTATGAATACTAAAAAAAAGTCCCTAATCTCTACTGTTTTTAAGTTTTCTGCTGAGAAGTCCACATTAGCCAGATAGGATTTCCTTTGTACATGATCTGACCATTTTCTCTAGCTGCCTGTAAAATTTTTTATTTGGTGTTAACCTTGGACAATTTGGTGAGTATATATGCCTTTGTGATGATAGTTTTGCATAGTATCATGTAGATGTACTCTGGATTTATTGTACCTGATGTCTACCTCTCTAGCAAGATAAGGGGAATTTTCTTGAATCATTTATTCAAATATGTTTCCATGTTAATTACTTTTTCTCTTTTTCTTTCAAGAATGCCAGTAATTCAAAGATTTGTTTACAGAATCCCATACTTCTTAAAGACTTTGTACATTTTTATTAACTTTTTTTTTTTTTTGGCTGACTGGGTTTGTTTGAAAGACAGATCTTCAGGCTCTGAAATTCTTTCTTCATCATGGGCTAGTCTATTGATAAAGCTTTCAATTGTATTTTGAAATTCCTTAAGTGAGCTTTTCAATTCCAGAAGCTCTGACTAATATTTTTAAAGATATTCATCTCTTCTTTTCATTTCCTGAATCGATTTAGAAATTTGTGTTGATTTTCAACTTTATCTTGGATCTCATTGAGTTTCCTTGCAATCCATGCTTTGAATTATTTATCTGTCATTTCTGAGTTTTCATTTTCATTAAGGACCATTGCTGGAGAACTAGTGTAATCCTTTGGTAGTACCACTACCTTCAAATTTTTTATGGTGCCAGAATTTTTGCACTGGTTCCATTTCATATGGAGGTAATGGCATTCTTAATTTTTGTAATTATTTTCGTGTTGGTAGGATTTTTTCCTTTTTCTTTCTTTCCTTGTAATATTATTATTTTTTTTTTCTCCTTTCCTTTCCCTCTCCCCCTAGGGGTTGGGACTCTAGGGAATGTTGAGTAAGGGCTTTTGGTTTTGCTTCTATACTCCTATGCACTTTCAGCACATTTTATATTGGGCTGTGCAGTTGGATCTATAAGCCAGTAGATGACTTTTATGGGTAAGAGCCAGCTGAAACTAACATGGCTAGGAGAAGCTTGTTTATTGGGAGAAGATCTCTGTTTCCTCGGGCAATAGGCTGATCCATGGAGTGGTCTGAGCTCCCTGCTCAGCCTAGCATGGGTGGGGGACCAAAAGAGAGGGGCCAGCCTGGAAAAGCCCACCTACAGTTCTGCTGAGGGCAGGCACAAGCACTGGTGCTAAGGGACAATCCAGTGGGTGGTCACTGAGGGCCGAAAAGTGTGTGCAGGCATGGAGCTGGGAAACTTCCAGGGCCTCAAGTTCTCTGTCTGGGCAGAGTGGAGTGGTCCAGGCTTCAAATCCAGGACAGCAGGTATTTCAGGTGCATGGAAATATGCCTGGGCATGGACTGCAGACAGCCCTGCTGTACCTCTGTCTCTGCACAGTAACAGTGGAGCAGCTCAGGATGCTGATTCAGACAAGTGGGTGCTCAGAATACCTAGTTATCTGCCTGAGTGTGAAGTGAAGAGGGCACTGCTTCACTGTAATTTCTTCACAGGAAGGGTTGTACAGCTTAGGCTGCTGATCCAGGTGCATGGGTGCTCTGGCTGCTAAGTTAAATTAAAAATATGTTCTTCTTAATTTAATGTTTTAGCTTTCTGTGAAAAAAATTATAACAATAAAGTAAAATTAACAAATGTTTTCTCACTAAGGCCTTGGTGCTTTCAATGTCCATCTGTCTTAGATATTTTTCTTAAGTCTCAAAAACATATGTTGTTTTTCATTATATGTTAAATGTTTATTTCACTGTGAGATAATAAAACATAAAAACATGGAAAATACTACATGTGTTAATAATTAACTATAATTTTAAATGAGGAATATAGTGTTTTATTTGATATAGATATAATGCTAAACATTATTTTTATTTATTATTTTGCGGGTATCAATAACTTTGTAAAATAAGATTTTGTAAAGTCACACTTAAGTACTTACCACAATTTCATGATTATGGAATGGTAAAAGATCTATAATTCTTTTCATTTGTGCTATTTTTTTCTTAACTATATCACTGTACTCTAAATAACACCGTATTTCTCCTTTTTATATTCCTTTCTTAATTGTCATCATTAGACTATGATTTTTAATTGATGCACTAGATATTAAATTCTCTGAATCTCGAAATCACTCTTAATGTGGTTAAGTCAAGTGCACAAAAAGAATATGGATTGGTAAGTTTCATTAGCCTTTCTCTTTATGATTTATAGTCTTGTCTCTTGAATAATGCAGTTTGAGACAATATGTAAGGTCCTTCACAGTGAAGGTGCCTTTCCTCTCTTGCCACATATAAAGTATCACTTATTCCATTTATGAATATTAAAACACTGGCTTAAATTATAACAGCATCTTTCAGGGGTTATCGTTAGTACTTCAAGAACAAATTGAATATCTTTCATGGTAGATGATCACAATAAATGAGACAGTAACTTAAAAATTCAAGTGAAAATTCTCGGTAACATCTGTGACTTTTGACCCTAAATCAATTCTTTTACTCTAAAGGGTGAAAGCCAATACACAGATTGATGTTAAAAATTTATATTTAAGGTCACATTTTAAAATTGTATAAGGATTGTGTAGACAATTTAACAATAATATTTTCTAATTCTCATAAAATGTAGTTTCTGAATATATAATCTAAACCTCTTAATGTCTTGCCAGCAACATGGACGGAACTGGAGGTCATTATCTTAAGTGAAACAACTCAGAAACAGAAAATCAAATACAGGCATGTTCTCACTTATAAGTGGAAACTAAATAATGTGTACACATTGACATAAGAGTGTGGAATAATAGACACTGGAGGCTCAGAAGGATGGGAAAGTGGGAGGGGGCAGGGAGATAAAAAATTACTTCATAGATATACTGTACATTATTCAGGTGATAGTTACACTAAAAGCCCAGACTTCACCACTACCCAACATATCCATGTGACAAAATTGTACTTGTACCCCTTAAATGTATCTTAAAAGTCTTGCCTCTACTTCCTATTAACTGAATAATCCTGAACATAACTTTCATTTCTGCGAGCTTCAGTTTCCTTATTTTAAAAAGTTTATAAGTAAATAATTATACTTTGGGTTCCTTTGAGATTGGATGAGATCATAAAAAAAAAGAAATGTGGAGACTAATATATGTTGATTTTGGAATTTTAGAACAATAGAATAGTTACCAGTAACACCCTGGAAGTTTTGCATGATGGGGAAGAGTTTATTTGATGAAACTTGCAAACTCGGAGAAATTTGGATCCTTTAATTGAGAAGTATTAGTCAAAACATACCCAATGACTAAGTAAAAGACTTATTTTGCAACCAGGTCCATCATGTGCTATTTTAATTTCCATATTAAAGTTTATTTGTTTTCAATTTTAATACAGTACTCACTGTATAAGAAATAGGAATCTTATATGGAACAAAAACTCTCTGAGAAGCCCCTATCTTAAAGATTGATTATCTCAAAACCTGAAACAGAAATGTTCAAAACTACTACTGTCTCCTCAGTAGGTTATTTTCTGATAATGAACTAGACTTGCTTAAACTCTGTATTTTTCTTTGAACATAGCTTTCAAATTGCATAATTACTTAAGGTTCTAGATCATCTGGCTGCTTGTTAGTGTTTAAATGTGTTTGTAGACATATTATTTTGTTTACTTGGTAATTATTGTTGACATACTTGTCTACCTTTTGGCCAGCATTTACATAGTAACATTCTTTAGGAGACTACAAATAGTACCTTTTTCTATTGTATATGATTACCTTTAAATAAATAATTAACAACACACCAAATCTGTCTTTTTTATGTCTAGTGTTTAGGGACAAGAATAATTACTTTTTTCTGATATTGGTGATTGTGAGCTATGTTCTCTTGTGAATATTGCATTTTTTAGAAAGAAATGAGTGTCAATTAAAAGCAGTTGCCTGAGATATACTTGCCACATATGTGAGTATTTACTTCCTTTTTAGAATCAAGGGTAGAGATACATGTAGTAAAGTGACTGAAAATGTAACTAAATATACATGTATAGCATAATAATGTTTGCATGTTGTATGCCCCATGTATACCCAAATCATGAGGTAGAACAATCCCAGCATCCAATAAGACACTTTCTTGCCCCTAGAGCTAACTACTATCCTGAATTATCTCATCATCTATCAGCCTTGATTATTCTAGAATTTCCTATACCTGGAATGATATAGAACATACTTTTTTTTCTGTCATGGGCTTGTCTTATTCAGTAATTACGTCTGTGAGTTTCATTCATGTAAATATCAGGGAGTTTATTCTTTTGTACTGTTCCATAGTATTCCGTTATAATATTTATTCCAGTTTATTCATCCTCTATTTGTTAGGCAATTGGTTTTTTCAAGATTTTGACTATTATAAATAAATCTGTTGTCAATATTCTTGGTTTTGTGTGGACTCACTTCTCTTACGTATACACTGAGAAATGGCCAGTTGTCCAAAATGGTTTTCTACCTCTACCAGCAGTGTATGAGGGTTTGAGTTGCTCCTATATAACCCATATTTGGTATTTGCAGCCTTAATTATAGTTACTCTGGTGGCTGTATAATAATACATTTTTTGTATTTTTAATGTATAATTTCCCCACAAATAGTGAAGTTGACTTCCTTTTATTATATTTATTAACTAATAAAATACCCTTTTTCCTGAGAGCTCTTTGCTAAAGTTCTTTCCCACTGTTATTATTATTATTTTTCTTTTTTATTTGTGGATGTCCTTTGTATGTTTGGATAAGAGCCCTTCAAAAAATTTATATACAGCAAATAATTTTTCTATTTCTTGGTGTTTTCACTTTCTATATGATGCTTCTGGATGGACAGGAAATCCTAGTTAGAATAAAAGCCAATTTGTTAGTTTTCTTTTTTGGAATGCTTTAGTGTTTTTGACTCCTATATTAAAGATCTTTGCCTATTGTGACATCATGTAGATAACTTTCTGTGTTTTCCTTTCAAGGCTTTAGACTGTTTTTTCTTTTCACAGTTGTGTCAGTTTCATTGAATGTTGTAAAATAGGTGTCAGGTTTCCTTTTTATTCATTATGGATATCAAACTGCTTGATTCAATATCTCTTACTGACTGCTTGCTTCAACATCATTTACGTAGTTTAATTCCATTGACATCTTTTATACAAATCAAGTGAACAAATAAATAAAGCAAGCAATATATATTTTATATAAAATGTTTCTGATAAGAGCACATGGAAAGTGATTTAGGAAATTAAATGAGGTAACATTTATCATAACTATAAAATTAAGAATTCTAAAATGAAAATATCAATAAATACTGATTCTATCATCTTAAGTGAAATAATAGGTGAATTTAATGCCTAGATAATAGGTGGTTAAATTTGTACCCACCACTAATAAGAAAATAGCAACCTAAAAGCAGACTTGATGCTACATGAACTGAGAAGAATCTATGGATAAAAATCCAACTTCCGCTTCTGATTAAAAAAGGATGCAAAGCACACAAATGTGCACATACACATGCCTTGCTCTAACAAAAAAATGATAACTCAAGTGTGTAAAATAATACTATTCCTACATTCCTATTCATCTTCCTCATTCTACATACTTTAACACTGCCTAACTTTCCCAGTTTATGACTATCTTTTTCTGGTCCATATCTTTAAAATATGTTATTGTGGACTAAATTATGTTCCCCCAAAATTCGTATGTTGAATCCCTAACCCCAATATGACTAATTTGTAGATAAGGCTGTTAAAGAGAGAATTAAGGTTAAGAGATGTCATAAGAGCATAATGCAATAATACTGGTGCTCCTATAAGAAGAGGAAGATATATCAGGGCTATACATGCCGAGAAAAGGCCACATGAAGGTGCACTGAGCAGGCGGCCATCTGCAAGTCCAAGAGAGGGACCTCGGGAGAAATCAACTCTGCTGGCTCCTTGATCTTAGATTTCCATCATCCTGAACCGTAAGAAAATAAATTTCTGTTTTTTAAGTCACCCAGTATGTGGTATTTTCTTACAGCAGCCCAAGCATCTAACAAGTGTCAATCTTGTTTCTCTGTTTTATTTATGTACAATATTTTATTATTTTACTTGAGAGTATTATTATTGGGCACTAACATGTCTATGGCTCAGTTCCCCTGCCTCCAAACATAGAGTCAAATCTCGATTATCTTCTTGAAGAGAAGTCATGATTCTTATCACATTTAAAATAGGTTAAACGTGATAATTTGGCTGTCAATAAATTCTTATGAAATAGTTTGAGTAACAAATACTCTTTTAAAGGCAGGATTATATGCAAATTAAAATCTATTCGTTATTACGGTGTATGTACAGCACTGCATTTGAAATAAATGTAGAATCTATTTCATTTTGTAAATTGAAAACTTTTTGTAAATTGAAAACTATCAGCCACTTAAAATCACTGTCAAAATACTACAGATAGAACAATAAGAATGCTCTGTGTCTTTTAAAACAATTTTTAAACAAATTTTCTTTGACAACTCATACTCAAGATTTACTCTGGGGTCAAACTTAAGACTTTTTAAATCATTTTTTTAGGCTCTATAAGCACAGGCACATGTTTTAGTTAACTTTCTGTTATACTGATGGGGTATGTAATGAAAGATTGATTATTAGTGAATAGGAGCAATCTTAAGTTGACATAAAGTTGATGTTTCATTTCAGAAGAATGCCATGGAAAATCTGAAATATTTGTCCACCAAAGCTTGCCAGGTACTCTATTTCAAAATGACAAAATCATCTGGGTTTTGTTGTATATTTTACAAACATTGAAAAACGTATAGGCTAGTTAAACATTCCCCTCCATGCCAATTCTATTCATTTCCTACATAATCTAAATGTGAAAACAAAAAGAGCAAAATGTTACTATGACTTCATAAAGTATCATAGGGTAAGTGCTGCATACTATCCTATTTTTAATGTTTAAGAATAAATTAATTGACTTACCCTTGATAAAGCTGAACGGTTATGAGAGAGCAATAGACAGAAAGAGCATGAAGCTGCTGTCCTTCACAATGACTGGATTCTGTCTCACCACAAAGGACATGAGAAGAATTTACTGTGCAGTGCAAGCTTGTTTATGGATCTGTTAAGTATCACGGCTGAACCTGGTAAAGATGCAGATTGATGTGTATGTGTTAAAGCTAGTCTATCCTCAGGAGCTAGACAAACCAGAAGTAATTTCTTGACATGATCAAAATGAATTGTAGTTGAGACGGAAGGTCTGAGGTCAGAGCAAATGAAGTATGCCCTACAGGAGACCAAGGAATGATCGAGGAGTTCATGTGGATTTCACAACCAAATCTCTCTGTTGACATGCTCCCTTCTTTCTCTCTCTCTCTCTCTCACACACACATACACAATATACATCAAAACCTATTAAAGAGGAGGAGATTTAGAGCAAGGCAAATTTTGGGGAGAACTGTTTTATTTAGGGAAATTACTATATAATTTAAGGACTCTCATGGAGTAAACAATTATACACAACTAAACCTCATGGCCATTTAAAACATATCTCCACACTCTGCTCCCTCATCAGCAACTTATTAAGAGAGGAGGGTAATTTAAGAGTGTTTGCATACATCACATACTTAAACACAAATATAATAAAAATGATACATAAAATTGCCCAATAACTAGGAAGAACAGCTGAAAAGAGCTATACTATGCTAATACAACAAATAGGTCCCCAAATCTCAGTGGTTTTCAAGAAAATTTATTTGTTACTATTCTTACATGTACATATTGCAATAACAAATGGTGTTTCATTTCAATGTATTCTTCTATATTTTAAGATGCAAAGAAAAGAGAATGTGATAAAACACTCTCTACTTTTTAAATCTTTAGTATGAAAATAACATATGTCAGTTCCACTCTCATCACATTAAATAAAGCAACTCACATAGACATGTCAAGTTTAACCAGGAAATATGTATAATGTTTTGCATTAACTGATACCACAGATAGGGTAACGAAGATAGTTGAACACGAATATATCTTGCCATCTAAGTATAGCAAAATGATAAGCTCAGGAGCTTATCATGGATTTGGAGAGTTAGAGGACAAAATCAGTTTTAAAAATTGGAAATAATATTACTATTATGTAGTATGAAGACACAATTTATTAGTATTTTATAAATAATAAATTTATTTTGAACTATATTTATGAACTATAATTTTTGTCAGTCACTGCTACTCTACTGAGAAAAGAAAACTTTCATTTTCACACTAACAAAAACAACAGAAATTCCTACCCCAGCCACAATCCATAACATTTATTGGCCACATAGTAAAGATTGCTGGATTAAAGGAGAATAATATGTTCCTGAGGTATGACACTTGTGACTTGGAGTAGAATAAAGAGTAGCCTGAACTTGAGGTCACAGCTTAAGCAAAGTTTCTAGAAGACAATAGACAGAATGGTAATATGGGCTGTCCAGGATCACCACCCATTCCCGTGCGTATGCCTTTTATAATCTCCTTGAATCTGGGTGGAGTATGTGAATATTATGGATGTAACTCTCATGATTGGATTATGTTATATAGTAAAAATGAAGGGAATTTTGCAAATGTAGATGAAGTTGTAATCTCTTGATTTTGATTAATCAGAAGGAAAATTATTCTGTGGGGTTTACTTTACCAGATGAGTTCTTTAAAAGATACTTAAGACAAGGAAAACAATGGAGCAATAGAACACTAAAACACAACATTAATTTCACCATAATAATAAGATCCAGAAATGAAATTGATTAATGAAGGCATAGAATGTCTTTGTTGGGACTTATTTCAACACTTGTATCACTAGGAGAGGTGACTATACTGAAAAGGATATTTCAGTACATAGTAAGATTGCATGAAACACTTCAAGATAAAGGAGACATGTACCTTGGTACTAAAAGCACATAATTGTATAGCATATACAATATGTGGGACACAGCCCAAAAACTTTACATATGTTAATTCATTGGGGGGGGGGGGCACACATTAAATGAAATATAGAAAGAAATAGATTTATAGAAAGTATATTTGAACAATGAATTAATCTGAAGTGGTAAGGTTTACTTAGGTGTCTTTATCAGAGTGTAATAGGTGCATTTTAATTTTTAGAGAAAAAAATGTGCTCATGAATGGCTATTGAAATTTTGCAAAATGCATTGTTGCCTGCACCTTTTGATGTAATCTCACATTATGTCTTTGTTATATTCTTAACGTAGAAAGTTGTATCAATTCATTTGGAATGTTGAACTAACTTTGCATTCCTGAGATGAATCGTTCTGGTTCAGACATGCGTTATTATTTTTATATATTTTTGGATTCACTTAGCTAATACTGTGTTAAAACTCTACCTAGGGTTATGAGAGACATTACATCCTAATTGATTTTTATTATATTGTGGTGGTCAGATATTGGTACTAGGCATATGTAGGTCTCATAAAACAATTTAGGGAAGGTTCTCTCTTCCTCTTTTCTGAAAGCTGTTTAGTAATATGTTTGTTTTCCTGTCTTTTAGATTTTATAGAAGTGGAGAAATTCAGTTTAAGTGACAAATAAGAGCTAAATGAACAAACTAATTTATAACTGAAGTTTAGTAACTACCGTTTGGTAACTAAATCATGCTCAAAATGTTTCTCTCTTAAAAGCTTACAAAATGAAATACATTTTAATTGTTCAGTGCTTCTTTCTTAAATAAAGAACATTGGTCCTTGACAAAAAAACAATATTTATTAGACATTTTCAATTTTCTACCAAGAAAGTTAAAAGCAACTATGTATATCTATACACACAAGTTTACCAACGCAGGTTTCATATATATATATATATATATATATGGCAACCATGTTGTTCTAGGGTCAACTACACACACACACACACACACACACACACACAAACACACAAATTGGCTCAACTATATATATACTTGACCCTTGAACAACACGGGTTTAAACTATGTGGGTCCATGTATATTTAAAAAATAATTATATTGAAAAATGTTTTGGAGATTTGCAAGAATTTGGAAAAACTCACAGATGAACAACATAGCCTGCAAATATTTAAAAAAAAAAACAGGAAAAAATAAAGATGCAGTATTACATCATAACTGCATAAAACTAACTATAGTACATACTGTACTATTGTAATAATTTTATAGTCACCTCCAGGTGGTATTGCGGTGAGCTCAGGTGTTGCAAATATCCACTTAAAACACCCTGTGATGATCATCCTTCCCAGCTGAGCAGTTCGTCTCTCCAGTAAATCGTGTAACACAATAAAAAGTGATTTCTTGCAGTTCTCAAGGCTTTTTTTATATACATATATATCATGTTCAGTGAAATGTCATAAACCTTGAATAACACCTTGGGACCCATTGAAGCTGCCACTACTGATGCTGGAAGGGCTCCCAAGAAGCAAAAAAAGGTCATGACATTAGAAGAAAAAGTGTAATTGCTTGATATGTAACCATAGATTGAGGTCTTCAGCTGTGGTTGCTGCCATTTCAAGATAAATATTTCCAGTGCAAGGACCATTGTAAAAAAAAAAAAAAAGAAAAAAGAAAACTGAAAATTAGTGATGCTATTGCTGTAGCTACACTAGCAGGTGTAAAAAACTCGTAATTTTTGTGAAATAACTTTTTATCTTGTATTGAAAATGCAGTTTTTTATGGGGGTGCAAGATTGCTATTAAAAAGGCATACCTATAGACTCTACGATGAATTGAGAAAAGGCAAAGTCATTGTATGACAACTTAAAGCAAAAAGAAGGTGAAAGATCTAAAGGTGAAGAATCTTTTGCAAACAAAAAGAAGATTTGATAATTTTCTTTCTTTCTTTCTTTCTTTTTTGAGACGGAGTTTTGCTCTTGTCACCCAGGCTGGAGTGCAATGGCGCCATCTCGGCTAACTGCAACCTCCGCCTCATGGATTCAAGCCATTCTCCTGCCTCAGCCTCTCTAGTAGCTTGGATTACAGGCGTGTGCCACCACACCAGGCTAATTTTGTAGTTTTAGTAGAAACGGGGTTTCTCCATCTTGGTCCAGCTGGTTTTGAACTCCCAACCACAGGTGATCCGCCCACCTTGGCCTCCCAAAGTTCTGGGATTACAGGCGTGAGCCACTGTGCCTGGCCTGATTTGATAATTTTTGAAAGAGCTAACAGACACTGCACCAAAGGAATTAACAATAGAAGTCATAATGGAAATGAATGCTTCTTAACCAATGCCAGATGATGTGAAAGAAGACATAGAAGAAGCAGTACCAGGAAACGCATTCACACTAGTCAATCTGGTAGAAGCGTCCCAATTATTCAAGACTGGTTTTAACTTTTTTTTATGATGTGGACCATTCTATGACATGGGCATTGAAAGTAAAGCAAACAGTGAAGGATTGGTACAGAATGGAGACATTTTCAGAGAAATTAAAAAGCAAAAAATTAGATAAAATTATGATGTATTTCCATAAAGTTATGCCAAGTGTACCTACCTCTCCTGCCTTTCCTTCTACGTCTTTATTCTCTGCCACCCCTGGGACAGAAAGACCAACTTAGCCTACTTAACATGAAGATGATGAGGATGAAGTCCTTTATGATGATCCACTTTCATTTGATAAATAGAAATTATATTTGCCTTTCCTTATGAGTTTCTTAATGATATTTTTCTGTAGCTTACTTTATTGTAAGAATACAGTATACAGTACATATAACATACAAAATATGTTGATTATTTTATTGGTAAGACTTCTGGTCAACAGTAAGGTATTAATAGTAAGTTTTGGGAAAGTAAAAAGTTATACATGAATTTTTGACTTCACAGAGTGTCAGCACCCCTAAGCCCCACATTGTTCAAGGGTTAATTGTATATCTATATATATCTATACAGATATAGATATAGACATATAGCTAGATATATATATATACACAAACACACATACATATATATATACACACACACACACATACATATATATACCCACACACACATATATACACACACAGAGAAATATATATATATGTATATGTCTACATTTTTGTATACTTATATATACACACTTGAAATTGTCTCATGTTATTATTAAGCCTGAGACATTTCAAGATTCACACTCCTAGGGCTCGCGAATCAAGAGAGCTAATGATGGAGAAGTTCCAGCTTGAGTCCATGGAAGAAGACTGAGGTCCCATCTTGAAGGCCATCAGGCAGAAAAATGAATTCTCTCTTTCTCAGCGTATTGCTCTATTCAGGCCTTCAGTGGATTGGATGAGGCCCACCCACATTGGGGAAGGCAAAATTTGCTTTATTTAATTTATCAGTTGAAATGCTAATTTTGTGCAGAAACAGCCTTACAGACACAATAGTAATTTTGGATACTAATTCTGGATACTAATTCAGAGCATATAGTGCTTCTTGAAAAACCCTACACCAATCTTGCAAGGTATTGTCCACTAGATGGTGCTGTAACTCAGTCTTCAAGCGAACATTTCAGTATTCTATCAAGCCAGCTGTTTCCGGATGGTGGGAGAAAATTACTGTCTTAGTTAGCTCAGGCTGCTATAAAAAAATACCATAGACGGGGTGACCTAAATAACAGAAATTTATTTCTCATAGTTCTGGAGGCTGAAAGTCCAAGATGATTTGGTTTGGTAAAGACTCTCTTCCTGTCTTACAGATGGCAGCCTTCTTGCTCTGTCAGCACATAGTGGAGAGAGAAAGCTGGTGTCTCTTCCTTTTTTTTTTTTTTTTTATAAAGGCACTAATCTCACCATGAGGGCTCCACTTTCATGACCTCATCTAAACGTAAGTACCTTTCAAAGGCCCCACCTCCTAATACCAACATATTGACGGTTGAGCCTATAACACTTCTAAAGGGGGACATACACATTCAACCCATAACAGAAATTAAGTAGTAATAAAATATACAACATTGTTAAAAGTAATTAGATATCTTTTCCTTTATTTTATTTATTTATTTATCTTTGAGACAAGGTCTCACTCTGTCATCTAGGCTGGAGTGTAATGGTGTGATGAAAATTCACTGCAGCCTTGAACTCCCCAGGCTCAGGTGATTGTCCCACCCCAGCCTCCTGAGTAGCTGGAACACAGGCATACACCACCAAACCAGGCTAATTTTTGTGTTTTTCATAGAAACGAGGTCTCACTATGTTGCCTAGACTGGTCTCAAACCCCTAGTCGCAACTGACCCACTCTCCTCAGCCTCCCAAAGTGCTGGGATTATAGGGGTGAGCCACTGTGCCCGACCTAATTTAAATGAAATGATCTTAAACATTTTGAGGTACATAATTTTCTTATTAATTATTATTTAATCAAGAAAACAGATACAAAAAAACATTTTGAAGTGATTAGCTTTACTTGGAATATTTAAGTGATTATAATTACCGAACATTAAGAGTTACATGAAAGAAAGTGGTATATATAATGCATGCCCTAATAAGAAAATTTATGCAATAAAACGTAAGTTATTTTCTCATTATTTTTCTTTTCTGGTATAGTTTTGGCAAAGTACCAAGAATAAAATTTTTCTTACATGTTAGGTAAAACATCTTGTATATAATTGCATGTATTTTTAAAGTAATAGGTCATGTATTGTGCTTATTCAAAATACAAAAACATAGTAATTTTTTCTAAATCTCTAAAAGTTAATGTTATTTAAATTTAGTAAGCGAAATAATTTTCTGATTATTTTTTATTTTAAAATATTATAAATAATGGTTTTCTGGCAATCTGCTTTCTATCTCTGTCAATCATTACCTTTCAAATAGCATGATAACAACAGATGTTGATAATCTAGAAAATACCACCTCAATTCAAATACCATCTGAACAAAGCACAACCTGCTAAATAAAGCAAAGTCAACAATGGAAAAGTATTCTGACCTGACTTTTTTAGCTTTTAAAATAATAATTTTAACTTTCACTATAGTTTTTATCTGTCATCTATATTAATTTTCTTCAAGTTTATCATCTATATTTTCATGTAGTTGACTGTTAATATTTGCCTTAACTATAAACTGCAACATTTGCAGGTTTTCAAATTATCAAGAACTACTAATGCTTTAAACTTTTAGTAATACTCATAGTTATTGAGGCTGAAAATCTGAGATGAATAAATTTTATTTATTAAATGGAATAAATACTTCTCAAATTTCAAGTCCCCTCATAAAATTAAATGAGATTATATATCAAATTTAGTAAGTAGCACCATAATGCTGTTGCTAGAAGAAGCTTATTCAATAACTCAATTATTCCAATTATTCCACATAAGCCTCAGCAAATATGATTTCACTTTTACTCTGAACTTAAGGATTTTATTTTTATTTATTTATTTTTATTTTTATTTATTTATTTATTTTTTATTTTTATTTATTGATTTTGAGACAGAATTTCACTCTGTCGGCCAGGTTGGAGTGCAGTAGTGCGATCTCAACTCACTGCTACCTCCGCCTTCTGGGTTCAAGCGATTCTCCTGCCTCAGACTCCTGAGTAGCTGGGACTACAGGCAGGCGCCACCATGCCCAGCTAATTTTTGTGTTTTTTAGTAGAGACGAGGTTTCACTATATTGACCAGGCTGGTCTTGAACTCTTGACCTCCTGATCTGCTCGCCTTGGCCTCCCAAAATGTTGGGATTACAGACATGAGCCACTAGGCCCATCTTTATTTTTATTTTTGAGATGGAGTCTCGCTCTGTCTCCCAGGCTAGAGTGCAGTAGCCTGATCTTGGCTCACTATAATGTCTGCCTCCCAGGTTCAAGAAATTCTCCTGCCTCAGCCTCCTGAGTAGCTGAGATTACAGGCACCTGCCACCACATCTGGCTAATTTTGGTATTTTTAGTAGAGATAGGGTTTCCCCAGGTTAGCCAGGCTGACCTCGAACTCCTGACTTTCAGTGATCCACACATTTCAGCCTTCCAAAGTGCTGGGATTACAGGCATAAGCCACCATGCCCAGCCTGAAGTTAAGGATTTTTGAGAGCCCTCCATATTATGTCATGTACAAAAGCTTACATATGATACATAAAAATTATGTCTACTTGTATTAAAAAATCTGATTTGATTTTGTAGGTGTTTGACTTCTGACAACTTTTAAATATCATTTGCTTCCCACTTTTTTCTCTCCGATCCTTCCTCACATTTGAGTAAGTGATAGCAAATCCTAGGTGCTCCTTCCTTTAACTTCTGTAGTAGGTTCAAACCACTACCCTGATACCAAAAGGCAGGACATTACAAGAAAACTAAATTACAGGACAATATACCTGATATGGCTTGGCTTTGTGATCCCACCCAAATCTCCTCTCAAATTGTAATCCCCAGGAGGATCTTGTTGGGAGGTAATTGGTTCATGAGGGTGATTTCCCCCATGCTGTTCTCATTATAGTGAATAAGTTCTCATGAGATCTGATGGTTTTATAAGTAGCTCTTCCCCCTTTGCTTCCTCTCTTTTGCCTGCCACCATGTAAGACATGCCTGCTTCCCCTTCTGCCATGACTGTAAGTTTCCTGAGGCATTCCCAGCCATGAAGAACTGTGAGGAAAATACATCTCTTTTCTTTATAAATGACCCAGTCTCAGGTAGTATCTTTATAGCAGTGTGAAAACAAACTAATACAGCATCTGTTTTCACACTGTTGATAAAGATATGTGCAAGACTGGGCAATTTACAAAATAAAAAGGTTTATTGGACTTATAGTTCCACATGCCTGGGGAGGTCTCACAATCATGACAGAAGGTAAGAGGGAGCAAGTCACATCTTACGTAGATGGCAGCAGGCAAGAGAGAGAGCTTGCACAGGAAAACTCCCATTTTTAAAATCATCAGATCTCATGAGACTTATTCACTATCACGAGAACAGCACGAGAAAGACCTGCCCCCATGATTTGCCTACCTCCCACCAGGTCCCTCCCACAACATGTGGGAGTTCAAGATAAGATTTGGATGGGAACACCTTATCATTCCACCCCTAGCCTTTTCCAAATCTCATGTCCTCACATTTCAAAACCAATCATGATTTCCCTGCAGTCCCCCAAAGTCTTAACTAATTTCAGCATTACCTCAAAAGTCCACAGTCCAAAATCTCACTGGAGACATGGCAAGTCCCTTCTGCCTGTGAGCCTGTGAAATCAAAAGCAAGTTAGTTACTCCCTAGATACATGAGGGTACAGGCATTGGGTAAATACAGCCATTCCAAATGGGAGAAATTGGCCAAAACAAAGGGTCTACAGACCTCATGCAAGTCCAAAATCCAGCAGAGCAATCAAACCGTAAAGCTCTGAAATGATCTTCTTTGACTCCATGTCTCACATCCAGGTCATGCTGATGCAAGAGGTGGGTTATCATGGTCTCTGGCAGCTCTGGCCCTGTTGATTTGCATAGTATAGCCCTCCTCCTGGCTGCTTTCACAGGCTGGCATTGAGTGTCTGTGGCTTTTCCAGGTGCATGGTAAGTTGTCAGTGGATCTACCATTCTGAGGTCTGGAGGATGGTGGACCTCTTCTCAAGCTCCACTAGATGGTGTTCCAGTAGGGACTCTGTGTGGGGGCTCCAACTCCACATTTCCCTTCTGCACTGGCCTAGTAGAGGTTCTCCATGAGACCCCCACCTCTGCAGCAAATTTCTGCCTGGACATCCAGGCATTCCCATATATCTGCTGAAATCTAGGCAGAGATTCCCAAACCCCAATTCTTGACTTCTGTACAGTGGCAGGCTCAACACCATGTGGAAGCTGCCAAGGCTTGAGGCTTGCATCCTCTGAAGCTATGGCCCGAGCTCTACATTGACCCCTTTCATCCATGGCTGGAGTGGCTGGGACACAGGGCACCAAGTCCCTAGGCTGCACACAGCACAGGGATCCTGGGTCTGGCCCATGGAACCACTTTTTCCTCCTAGGCCTCAGGGTCTGTAATGGGAGGGGTGGCCATGAAGACCCCTGAAATGCCCTGAAGACATTTTCCCCATTGTTTTGGGGATTCACATTCTGCTCCTTGCTACTTATGCACATTTCTACAGCTGGCTTTAATTTCTCCTGAAAAAATGGGATTTTCTTTTCTATCACATTGCCAGGCTGCAAATTTTCCAAACTTTTATGCTCTGTTTCCCTTATAAAACTGAATGTCTTTAACAGCACCCGAATCACACCTTGAATGTTTTGCTGCTTACAAATTTCTTCCACCAGATACCCTAAGTCATCTCTCTCAAAGTCAAAGTTCTACAAATCTCCAGGGAAGGGCAAAATGCTGCCAGTCTCTTTGGTAAAACATAACAAGAGTCACCTTTCCTCCAGTTCCCAATAAGTTTCTCATTTCCAGCTGAGAGCACCTCAGCCTGGACTTTATTGTCTAAATCACTATCAGCATTTTGGGAAAAGGCATTCAACAAGTTTGTAGGAAGTTCAAAACTTGCCCACATTTTCCTCTCTTCTTCTGGGCCCTCCGAACTGTTCCAACCCCTGCCTGTTACCCAGTTCCAATGTTGCTTCTACATTTTCAGGTATATATTCAGCAATGCCCAACATTACTGGTACCAATTTACTATATTAGTCCATTTTCACACTGCTGATAAAGACATACTCAAGACTGGGCAATTTTCAAAAGAAAGAGGTTTAATGGACTTACGGTTTCACCTGGCTGGGGAGGCCGCACAATCATGGTGGAAGGCAAGGAGGAACAAGTCACATCTTATGTAAACGGCAGCAGGCAAGAGAGCGTTTGTGCAGGAAAACTCCCATTTTCAAAGCCATCTTGTGAGACTTATTCACTATCATGAGTACAGCACAGGAAAGACCCAACCCCATGCTCCCCTTACCTCCCACCAGGTACCTCCTCACATCATGTGGGGATTCAAGATGAGATTTGGATGGGGACACAGCCAAACCATATAAAATACAATCCCTGGTAAACATAGATAACAAAAATTATCAACAAAATACTAACAATCTGAAGTCAACAGCACATTAAAAAAATCATTCATCCTGATGAAGTGGGATTTATCTCTGAGTTGCAAGGATAGTTCAGAATGTGTAAATTTATAAATATGATACAGCATGTTAACAAAATGAAGGATAAAACCCATATGATCTTTTTATTAAATACAGAAAATTGACAAAATTAAACATCTTTTCATAACAAAATCTCTCAACAAATTAGATTCATAAGCAATCTACTTTATCATAATAAAGGCCACATAGACCATATATTAGCTCATAGTTAACATTGTACTCAATGGTGAAAAGTTGAGTTTTTTCTCTACAATCAGGAACAAGACAAGGATGCTCACTCTTATCACTTCTGTTAAACATAGTACTGAAAGTTCTAACCAGAGCAATCAGACCTACAAAAATAAATAAATAAGTAAATGGAATCCTAATTGAAGAGGAAGGGGTAAAAATGTAGATGTTTGATGATTACTTGATCATATATACAGAAATTCCTAAAGACACCATTAAAAACCCTTAGAACAAATGACCAAATAAAGTATACTTGCAGGATACAAAATTAACACACACAAATCAGTAGTGTTTCTATACATTAACAATGAACTATCTAAAAAAGAAATCAAGAATATAATTATATTTACAGTTGCTAAAAAATAAAAAATACTAAGAAATAAATTTAACCAAAGACAGAACTCTAAAATACCAATAAAAGGAACTGAAAATGCAAAAATAAATGGAAAAATATCCTATGTTGATGAATTGGAAGAACTGTTACTGCTAAAATTTCTATACTGCCCAAGTCAATCCACAGATTCAAGGTAATCCATATAAAAATTACAATGTCATTTTTTACACAAATAGAAAAAAAATTTAAAAATTTGTATGAAACAACCAAAAACTCTGGATAGCCAAGGCAATGTTTAGCAAAAAGAAAAAAGCTGAAGTTTTCACACTTCCTGATTTCAAGTGATATTACAAAGTTACTGTAATTAAAATGACATGGTACTGGCATAAAAACAGACACACTGACCTATGAAAGAGAATAGGGTGTCTGGAAATAAACCCACACATATAGAACTACAAAAGACCTTAAATAGCCAAAGTAATCTTGAGGAAAAAGAAAATAGTTGAGGGCATAACACTTCCTGATTTCAAAATATATTACCAAGCTACAATAGTCAAAACAGCATGGCACTTACACAGAAACAGATAAATCCACCAATAGAACATGACAGAAAGCCCACATATAAATCCACCTATTGATTTGCAACAAAGGTGTCAAGACCACACAATATGAAAAGGACAGTCTGTTCGACAAAGGATGTTAGGAAAACTGGACTTGCACATGAAGAATAAAATTGGACTATTATCTCACAGCATAAATGAAAATTAAGTCAAAATAGATTAGTTACTTAAACATAAGACATGACACTGTAAAACCACTAGAGGAAAGATAGAAAAAAATCTAAATGAAGGTGTTCTGAGCAATGATTTTTTTGGATTTGATTCCAGAAGCTCAGGCAATAAAGGCACAAATTGACAAGTGGGATTTCAACAAACTAAAATGCTCTGCAGAGCAAAAATAAATAAATAAATAAATAAATAAAAGAAAAACAAATAAAAAGGTAATCAACAGAGTAAAAAGACAACCTATTGAATGGGAGAAAATATTTGCAAGCCATAAATGTCATAAGGAGTTAATATCCAAAAATATAATGAACTCAAACACTCAATAGCAAGAAAACAAGTAATTCAGTTAAAATGGGGCAAAGAATCTGAATAGACATCTCTTAAAAGAAGACATACAAAGGGCTGACAGATATATGAAAAAATACAAAACTGATCATCAGAGAAATGCAAATTCAAAAAACAATGAGCTCTCACCTCACCTCTGTTAGAGTGGCTATTATCAAAAAGATGAAAGATAAAAAGTGTCTCTGAGGATTTGGACAAAAGAGACCCCTTGTACATTGTTGGTGGGAATGTGAATTAGTACAGCTATTAGTGAATAGACTGATAACGGGCTCTCAAATTGAGGCAATAATTAATAGCCTACCAACCAAAAAAAGTCCAGGACCAGACAGATTCACAACTGAATTCTACCAGAGGTACAAGGAGGGGCTGATACCATTCCTTCTGAAACTATTCCAATCAATAGAAAAAGAGGGAATCCTCCCTAACTCATTTTATGACACCAGCATCATCCTGATACCAAAGCCTGGCAGAGACACAACAAAAAAAGAGAATTTTAGACCAATATCCCGATGAACATCGATGCAAAAATCCTCAATAAAATACTTGCAAACTGAATCCAGCAGCACATCAAAAAGCTTATCCACCATGATCAAGTGGGCTTCATCCCTGGGATGCAAGGCTGGTTCAACATACGCAAATCAATAAATGTAATCCAGCATATAAACAGAACCAAAGACAAAAACCACATGATTATCTCAATAGATGTAGAAAAGGCCTTCGAGAAAATTCAACAGCCCTTCATGCTAAAAACTCTCAATAAATTAGGTATTGATGGGATGTATCTCAAAATAATAAGAGCTATTTATGACAAACCCACAGCCAATATCATACTGAATGGGCAAAAACTGGAAGCATTCCGTTTGAAAACTGGTACAAGACAGGGATGCCCTCTCTCACTACTCATATTCAATACAGTGTTGGAAGTTCTGGCCAAGATAATCAGGCAGGAGAAAGAAATAAAGGGTATTCAATTAGGAAAAGAGGAAGCCAAATTGTCCCTGTTTGCAGATGACATGATTGTATATTTAGAAAACCCCATTGTCTCAGCCCAAAAACTCCTTAAGCTGTTAAGCAACTTCAGCAATGTCTCAGGATACAAAATCAATGTGCAAAACTCACAAGCATTCTTACACACCAATAACAGACAAACAGAGAGCCAAATCATGAATGAACTCCCATTCACAATTGCTTCAAAGAGAATAAAATACCTAGGAATCCAACTTACAAGGGATGTGAAGGACCTCTTCAAGAACTACAAACCACTGCTCAACGAAATAAAAGAGGAAACAAATGGAAGAACATTCCATGTGCATGGATAGGAAGAATCAATATAGTGAAAATGGCCATACTGCCCAAGGTAATTTATAGATTCAATGCCATCCCCATCAAGCTACCAATGACTTTCTTCACAGAATTGGAAAAAAACTAGTTTAAAGTTCATGTGGAACCAAAAAAGAGTCTGCATTGCCAAGACAATCCAAAGCCAAAAGAACAAAGCTGGAGGCATTACACTACCTGACTTCAAACTATACTACAAGGCTACAGTAACCAAAACAGCATGATACTGGTACCAAACAGCATGATACTGGTACTAAAACAGAGATATAGACCAATGGAACAGAACAGAGCCCTCAGAAATAATACCACACATCTACAACCATCTGATCTTTGACAAACCTGACAGAAACAAGAAATGGGGAAAGGATTCCCTATTTAATAAGTAGTGCTGGGAAAACTGGCTGGCCATATGTAGAAAGCTGAAACTAATCCCTTCCTTACACCCTATACAAAAATTAATTCAAGATGGATTAAAGACTTAAATATTAGACCTAAAATCATAAAAACCCTAGAAGAAAACCTAGGCAATACCATTCAGGACATAGGCATGGGCAAGGACTTCATGTCTAAAACATCAAAAGCAATGGCAACAAAAGCCAAAATTGACAAATGGGATCTAATTAAACTAAAGAGCTTCTGCACAGCAAAAGAAACTACCATCAGAGTGAACAGGCAACCTAAAAAATGGGAGAAAATTTTTGCAATCTACTCATCTGACAAAGGGCTAATATCCAGAATCTACAATGAACTCAAACAAATTTACAATTAAAAAAAAAAAAGCCCCATCAAAAAGTCGGTGAAGGATATGAAGAGACGCTTCTCAAAAGAAGACATTTATGCAGCCAACAGACACATGAAAAAATGCTCATCATCACTGGCCATCAGAGAAATGCAAATCAAAACCACAATGAGATACCGTCTCATACCAGTTAGAATGGCGATCATTAAAAAGTCAGGAAACAACAGGTGCTGGAGAGGATGTGGAGAAATAGGAACACTTTTACACTGTTGGTGGGACTGTAAACTAGTTCAACCATTGTGGAAGTCAGTGTGGCGATTCCTCAACGATCTAGAACTAGAAATACCATTTGACCCAGCCATCCCATTACTGGGTATATATAAATGATTATAAATCATGCTGCTATAAAGACACATGTACATGTAAGTTTATTGTGGCGCTATTCACAATAGCAAAGACTTGGAACCAACCCAAATTTCCATCAATGATAGACTGGATTAAGAAAATGTGGACATATACACCATGGAATACTATGCAGCCATAAAAAATGATGAGTTCATATCCTTTGTAGGGACATGGATGAAGCTGGAAACCATCATTCTCAGCAAACTATTGCAAGGACAAAAAACCAAACACCGCATGTTATCACTCATAGGTGGGAATTGAACAATGAGAACACATGGACACAGGAAGGGGAACATCACACACCGGGGACTGTTGTCGGGTGGGGAGAGGGGGGAGGGATAGCATTAGGAGATATACCTAATGTAAATGACTAGTTAATGGGTGCAGCACACCAACATGGCACATGTATACATATGTAACAAACCTGCATGTTGTGCACATGTACCCTAGAACTTAAAGTATAATAACAATAAAAAAAGAAAACATTATGAAGGTTTCTCAAAAGGTTAAAAGTAGAACTACTATATGTACAGGGATCCCACTACTGGGTACATATCCAGAGGAAATAAAATCATGTTAACAAAATATCTGAACTTCCATTTCCATTGCAACATCATTCACATCATCAAGATATGGAATCAACCTAAGTATTCATCAGTGAATGAATGGATTAAAAAAATACGGAACATATACAGTGGAATATTATTCAGCCTTAAGAAAAAAAAAATCTGTCACTTACAACATGAATGAACCTGGTAGATATTACACTAAATGAGATAAGTGAGTCCCAGAAAGACAAGTACTGCATGTTCTGATTTATATGTGGAATCTAAAATAATCAAACTTACAGAAACAGAAAGTAAAGTGGTGGTTAGGGTGTGGGGAGGATGGAGAGATGTTGCTCAAACAGCACACAATTTTGGTTACACAAGAGGGGCAAAAAGGAAGTATTTAAAATAATGGATATACTGATTGATTGGTTTAATCATCCCACATTATATACACATATTATAACATCATTGTGCATGTCATAAGTATACACAATTATAATATGTTAATATACAGTGAAACAAACAAAATCACACACACAATTTTCTGCTCATGGGAAGCTTCAACTCTGCTTCACCCCAGAGCCAAGTTAATCTTTCCCTGTCCTCTCAAGCTGTTTTGAAACCTGGTTGGGAGCCACACAACGTTCTCAGAAAGAATCCTCATGTCAGCAGTATACTTTTCATTCCTTCTTAATGGATTTGTACGGTCTCAATACATCAGTCTCAATAGCTGAGACTGAGATCATCAGTCTCAATAGCTGAGACTGAGATCATCAGTCTCAATAGCTGAGACTGAGATCATCAGTCTCAATAGCTAAGCCAAACTTCAGGTAGGGGCTATCCTCTCTCTGCAAATGGTTACAACACTACTCTGTTACCTCTTGTGCTGAATTTATTCAGGATTTATTAATTAATAAAGCAGATAAAGTCTTATTTTAATTGTTAAGGAGAAGAAGTAGTCAGATGTTATAGTTACAATGTCTAATGTAAAAATTTTGCGTAAGTTAATGCAATTTATTTAGCTTTAATCATTAAAGCTCCTGAATCAAAAACTTCTCAATATCCAAGTAATATTTTGTCCAAGGTCAGGTCACATGGCTAGTCCAAGTCCTACTGATAAAATGAGGAAACTGACTATAGATAACCTAACCACTTTACAAAGGTAAAATCCTAGAATTCTATAAAATGCATTTTAATGTTATAGTGCATATTCTATTAAAGAAGAATTTGCAAAGTACCTTTTACATGACAATATATTACCTAAGCCATAAAGAAGTGCTTTTCAATAATAAATTGGAAAGCATTTTTTTAATGGCTCAGGTAGTATACTGCTATGTAAAAATCTCTTTTAAAGTATTTTAAAAGCTTAATTAAGAAATAAATACAATTTTTAAACTCTTGTATTTGGGTTAATTTGCATAATTGTCACAATAGAAAATACAGTTTCTGACTAGGCACTTAGGTCGCATGTAGGTTTTGCAGTATAGAGTTTGGTTTAGTTGATTCCCAGCTGGTAGGCAGTGTTAACTGCCAGGCAAATGAGTGTGGGAGGCTTCCTCAGATTCTTTTTTTTTTTTTTTTTGAGACGGAGTCTCACTCTTTCGCCCAAGCTGGACTGCAGTGGTGCTATCCCGGCTCACTGCAAGCTCCGCCTCTTGGGTTCATGCCATTCTCCTGCCTCAGCCTCCCGAGTAGCTGGGATTACAGGCGCCCACCACCACGCCCGGCTAATTTTTTGTATTTTTAGTAGAGACGGGGTTTCACCGTGTTAGCCAGGATGGTCTCGATCTCCTGACCTCGTGATCCGCCCGCCTCGGCCTCCCAAAGTGCTGGGATTACAGGTCCTCAGATTCTTTCATCCAGCCATTTTTTGTTCTTGGTAAAGTGTAAACTTGGATTAGATAGTTACCCTGGACAGTTGTACCCTAGCTGATGCTAACTTGACCAGAGAAAGTTGTTCCCCTGTCACTTGCCCAGGCTGAAAATTTATGAGCAAAATAAATGACTGCATTTTGCAAACAAATTGACTATGGTTCTTCTTGGATGTGTGATGGGTTTTAACCCTGCACTCAATATATATTCATTGAAGGGTAATATGACCAGGCTCTGAGGACACACTGGTGAACAAGTCAGGCCTTTGTATATTCACCAATATACCCTCACATCACGCACATACCCTCACCAAACAGTACTTTTATAAATAAATACACTAAACATGTACACACATTCAAGCATGTGTGAAACTAAACAGGCAAGCAAATGTTAATTGAATAACTGATATAAAAAGAGACTCCAAATAAAAATTTTTAAAAAATAATCCAATTCAGACTACTATGTAAAAACTTCTTTACTTCCATTACTCTCTTTTAAAATGTTAGTTTCTTCACTGATTAGAATCTCTTTTCTTTTTCTATTTCTGAAAGACTCAACAACCAATTTTCTAATCCCTGTTTTTATCTTCATTTAGACTTATTTTCACATTGCTTTTCTCTGACTTTATTTCCAAGTCACTGACCTGGTCATGGCAAGATGGTCTGTCTTGAAGTCCTATTGTTACTAACTTCAAGTCCCAAGGTAATCTTAAAAATTCAACAGTGTGGCTGACTGAGGTTTTATAACAAATTTTGCCTTCTGCACAAAATCCAGCAGAAGTTTTGTGGGAACGCTTTCAATGAAATGACAAAAATATGATATAATATTTCCTTTAGACAATCAGGCACACATTTCTCAACCACACACAAATGTCATTGGTTTCTGTTGAAACAAAAGTGTTGTCATTTTGACATCTGTACTGAATTGTTGATGTTATGTAAATTGTTTCATTTTTGTCTAAACTCTGTCTAATAGCATATATTATTAGATATTATATGACTTTAAAAGTATATAAATATTAAATATTATATAATTATATTATATAATTATATAATTATATAATATAATAATATAATAATTATATAATTATATAATTATTATATAAAATATTATATAATATTACCAAATTAATTTGGTAAAAGTGAGAATTTTCACTTTGCATTTGTTCCTCAAGTATACTTTGAATAAACAAAATCGGTTTCTCATTTACTATAAAAAAAGAGAGTGTATACTAAATGACCTTGTTGTTTTGAAAAATAATCAAGGGGTTAGTACGTTAAGGTAAATGATAAGATTTCTGACAAGCATTTATACAAGCATATCCCATTTGTTTAAAAGATATTATGTATATGAATTAAACTTGCAATTCTATGGGGCATTACATATATTATTTATTCTTTTTCTTGAAAATAATGAAGGTAGGTTGTAAAAAGTACATAGTTTATTATTGGATAGAAAATAAAAGTCACTTAACAAAAAGCTAAGAAATTTAGATTATAATTTTAAAGCTATCACTTAGTAAATGTGTAAACTTGGATCAGATAGTTTCCCTGGACAGTTATGCAAATTTAAATAATCAGTAAATAATATAGAAATAGTGTGTCTCCAGGGAACATGGCAGACTCATTAGTGAAAGTAGACGTTCTAAACATAAAACATTTCATAAAGCATTTATACTTTTGGCTAATATACTTTTGGCTCATGTAAAAGTGAGAAAAAAATATTTCTGTGTTCCCAAAACAAAAAGGAAACACAAGAGTCTGAATTACCCTGTAGAAATAAGAAGATTGGGCTGGGTGCAGTGGCTCATGCCTACAAAAATAACAGGATATAGAGTTAAAGACAGTGCACATGTCCAGTAAGTGGAGAAACAATCTAAGAATTTATAAATCATAAAAGAAAGTTACAGTCTTTATAAACTGTTCTGAATTATAGAAGATGAAATAAGAACTCTTGAAAATGACTTCAACATTGTAAAATTAAAATAGGTGAATTTGAAAAATAACGAACAATTATTATGTTGATGAAAAGTACACACAACAAAATTACACTGAGAAGAAACATAAAACTTAAATAATAGGTTACACTGAAATAACGAAGCTGCAAAAGGAAATTAATACATTGAAAGACATAACTAAAACAGTTTTTTAAAATTCTTCAGAGATATTGAAACATAACACAAGGAAGTTAGCAATGGGGCAAAAATAAGGTGCTTAGAAATATCTTCAATTAAAATACAAGAAGAGATAAGAGATGGAGGGCTTAACGTTGTTATTAAAATACTAGAGAAATAAAATGCATATGTGATGGCTTAGGTTTTTTTCAGAATTCAGAAAAGGTATTTTTTTCATACTGAAAAACACACTGAGTCACTAGCAGAGCAAATTTTTAAAACAAAACTATTGTATCCTTTTTCATTATCGCTTTTTGGACTCTGCTGCTTCATCCAAGTATTATTTATTTTCATGATAAATATCTAGAGGGAAAATTGTTAATAATAACTCTCATTACATTTGAGGAGTATTCATACTATTTTTACAATAAATGACAGTGATTTGGGTATGGAATTATAGTTTGACAATTATTTTTCTTAGCACTTTAAATAGATTATTCCACTGTATTTTAGTTTCTATTATTGTGTGTAAAAGTTATCGTCAGCATGACTACTTTTCAATTGTATGAAACCTGTCTATTCTCTTTTGTGTCTTTCAAGAATTTTTTCTTTATTAACCCATGAGAGAAATTTAAAGATATAATTTAATACTAAGGAAAATAATATAAGAAAGTGGAAGTGGGATGTGAGAAAAACTGACAAAAAAGGCATTGATAAAATTTGCATAAACTTTCATAATTATCAATAGAAAATACAATTATTTATATATTTTTAAAACAAATGTGGATTAAATATCAGAAACAATACTATGCAAGATGTGAGGACACAGAGAAAGTTTCAGCTTCTTAAAATTAACTTTACTGAAAAGAAGATAAAGATATGAATTAAAATTAAACACAGAAAGGCCTAAATTAATGTAGGTATTTACTATATTTGTGGTTTAAACAGTCTAAATCATAAAGACTGATTTGAAACATTTTGTTAATTGATATAACTCAGGAATTCTCAATAGGATTTTATTTTATAGTAAATATAACAATAGGTATATGTATACATCTTAATATATAATTCAATGTCATTTTGTACTCTTCCATTTGTTAAAAAAAAAAGTACTAATAAGTATGATCAAATTTCTCAACCTTGGCACCATTAATATCTTGGGCTGGCTAATTTTTCATTGCAGAAAACTGTCCTGTGAATTGTAGGATGTTAGCAACATCCCTAAACCCTACCTAGTACATGAAAGTAGTACACCTCAGGTGGTGGCAATCAAACCTTTGCAGACTGGGATGGCTATTATGAAGTAAAAAAACAGAAGATAAGTGTTAGTGAGGATGTGGAGAAACTGGTACCCTTGTGCATTGCTGGTGGGATGTAAAGTGGCACAAACTATATCGAAAACAATATAGCTATTCCTCAAAAAATTAGATATAGAATTACCATATGATCCAGCAATGACACATTTGAATATACATTCAAAAGAATTGAAATCAGTCTTGAACAGACATTTGAACAGCCATGTTTCTAACAGCATTATTTACAATAGCCAAAGACAGAAACAAGTCAAGTGTTTATTGATGCATGAATGAATAAACAAATGTGGTACATACATACAAAGGAACATCATTTAGCTTTAAAAAGGAAGGAGATTTCTGACACATGCTACAACATGAATGAATTTTGTGGACATTATGCTAAGTAAAACAAGACAGTAACAAAAGGACAATTACTGGAGGATTCTACTTATATGGAGTATGTAGAATAGTTCCTCCCATTCATAGAGACAAAAAGTAGTATAGTGATTGCCAGGGGATAGGGGAGGGAAGGGTAAGGATTTAGTGTTTATTGGATTCAGAGTTTCAGTTTAGGAAGATGAAAAGTTCTGGAGATGGGGAGTGGCGATGGCTGTACAACACTATGAATGCTCTTTTTTTATTTCTTTTAAAATAGGAGAATGCCTACAGAATGGGTGTTCTTAATACCACTGAGCTGTATACTCAAAAGTGTTTAAAAAGGTAAATTTTATGTTTTGTACATTTTAGCACAATAAAAAATAAAACTTCTAGCAAATACCCCAGAGGAAACAAAAACAAAACCAAAAATTCCCTTAATAATGCCAAATACCTCAGGGGGCATTATCCTCCCTTAAGAATCACTGAAGTATGACAATATCAAGTACTTTCAAATATGTAGGAAAACATAAAACTGATGTTTTTGTTGCAAATTGTTTCAGCTTTTGGAGAGAGATTTGACAATATCTCATATATTTAAAAATGCATATACTTATTCTATAAAACAGCAGTTGTATTCCTAAGTGTAAATTTGAAGAAATTTTCACATCTGTGCCCAAGGAGAGAGTCATAGAAATGCTCTTATCAGTGTAACTTGTATCGAAATAGCAGTGGCAACAACTTAAAGGTTCATCAACAAAACAATTTTAAATATAACCTAGTATCAATTTAACATGGAATACACTGTATTCCTACCTAAAAACAGAATGCCACAGATAATAGATACAACAGGCACCAATAATTTAACATTTAAAATATAATAATGCTATACTATCTAGGTATTTACAAACATATATATACTTATATAGTAAAAACCTGTAGAAATGAAATTAGGTGAATGACAAATTACACATTCTAGAGTGTTTCTGTGTGTTTGATGAGTGAAGGGTGGGGAAAGGAGTTAAGATAGTGATCACAGAGTGTTATAAAGAAAATTTTAAAATTATTTGTATTATTACTCAAATTCCATGGTGGATAAACAAATGCTTGCTATATCTTTATCATGTTCATGGTTTTTGTTTTGTTTTATTAAGACAGGGTATCTCTGTAACCCAGCCTGGAGCGCAGTGGTGCAATCATAGCTCACGCTCCCTGGGACTAAAGGCAGGCCCCACTTGGCCTGGCTAAATTTTTTAATTTTTTGCAGAGACAGGGGTCTCACTTTTTTGCCCAGGCTGGTCTCAAACTCCTGGCTTCAAGCAATACTCCTGATTTGGCCTCACAAAGTACTAAGATCATAAGCATGAGCCACCACACTTGGCAGACTGTGATTCTAAAATACTGTAAAATGTGTTTTAGAATGAAATAAAATACTATGTAAACAAAATCATGTCATGATTCCATAAACTTAATAGACTCTGGAACATTTTTTTATTTTGATTTTCATTAACCTGAGAAATTATATGCAGCGTCGTATTCATTTGGTCAAATGCCATTTTATAACTCTCACATGATTTGAAATAATATGAAAACAAAACTGTTTTTATGAAAAAACATTTAAATAAAAAGACAATTCTATGTTGTTAAGTATTTCTCTTAAGTTGTATTTACCTGTATAGTTACTAATATATTCTACTGAAGTCTATTTGCCTAGAAAATAATATGCTGTTCTACACATAGTTATTAAATTAAAATTAATTTATACAAAAGTTAAATAATTTTAGGAGTGAGGTTTTCAGACCTCATTTATAGCAATATGAATAGTGATATGCACTGTATCTAAAGAACAATTGATAGTAGCATGTGTATTATGAAAGTGTAGAAAATAAGGCTCAGAAGGCTGAATACTTTATGGGGGAGAGGGGTGTTTTTGACCAGCAAACTATAGGAAATATTCTGAAGGTGTTTTTTCCTCTGTACTGTATGTTGTTAAAACTTATATCTAAAACCTCAACAAAATTTGATGGTGAGTGAGAATTGAAAATGAAAACAGTAAAAACGATTTTTCTCCAGGTTCAAAGCTGTTAGAAATTCAGGCACTGATTGATTTTGACATGCATGACAGGTCAATATGCTATAGGTTCATAGAATAGACTGAATTTAAACTTTGGTATTTTGCCATATTTTCCTCATGTTGATAAATATCAATTTTAAATTTGTCAGATGAGAAGATGTCCTGTGCACTTGGTTGGAAAAGATACCTATTTATTTTTAAATGTCTTTCGCTCTAATATTAGATCATGAATTACTTGACAGTTGAAGATAGCAATGCATTTTGCTGATAGAAGTTTCTGGATTGATGAAAAAAATTATGGTGTTTTGCAATTTAAAATAGTAAAAAAGAGGTCAAAGTGATTTAGATTCTGAAGAAAAAGCCACTGTCAGAGTGAAGAATCTGTCATAAACTTCATATTATCTGCCAAGAATATTTAACTTTCACTTCAATTTCAACTTTTTAAATGATTTTGATCAGTTAGATGTCTTATTAATACTAAACAGTACTGAATGATAAGACTGCATTACCAAATCATACACTAGGCATTGAACCACTCCATAAACTTAGTGAAAAGGTAAAGTAACTTCTATATGTGCTCTTCACATAAGCACATTTCCTCCTGTTACTTAATTTTTAACGAGTTGAATAGAAGATAAAAGTATTTCTTTTTCTCTGTCATTAGTGTAAAAATATCTGGATTTTATCCACAGGTGGAGAAAAAATAAGCAGAGAAATGAAAAATACAGCTTTAAAAATTCTATAGGTTGGGCGCGGTGGCTCACACCTGTAATCCCAGCACTTTGGGAGGCCGAGGCAGGCAGATCACGAGGTCAGGAGATCAAGACCATCCTGGCTAACATGGTGAAACCCCGTCTCTACTAAAAATACAAAACAAAATTAGCCGGGCGTGGTGGCGGGCGCCTGTAATCCCAGCTACTTGGGAGGCTGAGGCAGGAGAATGGCGTGAACCTGGGAGGCGGGGCTTGCACTGAGTCTAGATCGCACCACTGCACTCCAGCCTGGGCGACACAGTGAGACTCCGCCTCAACAACAACAACAAAAGAAAAACAACGACAACAAAAGAAAAAAATATCTATAGATAAAACTTGTTGCTGTGGAAGTGTGTAATGGTCTAATGACTCTTAAATCTGTATCTCAGAAACATTGAGACTAATACCACATGTTCTCATCTATGAGTGTGAGCTAAATAATGTGTACATATGAACACAGAGTGTGAAATGATAGACGATGGAGACTCAGAAGGGTAGGGGTGGGTGGGAGACAGGTGAATGATGAGAAATTACTTAATGAGTACACTAAAAGCCTTGACTTCACCGCTACAAAATGTATCCATATAACAAAATTATACTTCTACTCTATAAAGTTATATAAATTTTTTTAAAAAGATTTTGTATTCTATAAGAACCAATAAAATTGACCAGTTAGGTTCTTCCCTTTTCAAACTCGATCAGATATTATCAGGCTTGAACTTCAGCATGTTGGGTTCTCATCTCCTCCCATAGAATAGTTTTCTAATCAATTAATTTGTTCACATTTCTTAAAGAAAATTAAAGCATAAATGTCTCCCAATTACATATTTTTACCTTAAAAGAACTCGTAAAAGCTTAACCTTTTATCATCATAAGAAAATTCTATTTAATGAACACATAATAACATAGAGATGAACTATTTATTTAAATACCCAGTTTAGGAAGAGTTATTCTTCTTCCTATGTAAATGGACCAGACACCATTCTGCAAATTGTTTAATAGGTTCCCTATTTATAGAGATGTAATCTATTAGTATAAAACTGTACATTGAAATTCAAAGCCCTAAGGGCATATTGAAATCTACTTGTCCATTTTTGTGTTTCCAAGTACTTACCAAAGTAGAAACAGATCAGCTATGTAATAATAAAATAAGATTGTTTGATCTGATTTTATTATTCACTCACTCCTTCATTTCACTGAGTAGTCTTTATACAATTTCTCCTAAACAGAGAAAATCACACATGAACAAAACAGATGAAAAACTTGACGAGTGAAAGTCTTTCTCCCGTTGTTACATTTACATAATATTTTCTTTTTAAAAATATATATCCCTATATATCACTTCAATAACAGATTTGAAACCATCACCAACAATGGACTTATCATTGTCAAACTCAATGACTTTCTGTCATCAAGCTTTATCTCTTTGTTTCACTTTTTCCTCTCTCATCTGCTTTCTCATAAAATTCCTATTACTTCTCTGCCTATTTCATTTATCTCTGCTTAGTCAACGTTCCTCTATTCATCTCTTACATAGAAATGTACCAAGTGTGTCCCAGTACTTTAGATTCTACTGCGATTATTATGAAAAAATAACTTACAAAATTCATTTGCATAGACACAGGTTCAGTAAGTCCAAAGAATTGCAGAAATATGCTTTTTAAAAATATCACAGGAGATTCTGATAGTTAATAATAGGACCCCACTTTGAGAGAAAACGTCTTAAAAGTAGAAATAATTTAAAAAGTTTTTATTTCAAATATGATCCTTTGTTATTCTGTGTATTTCAAATTAATTTTTAAAATCCATAAAACTATACGTATTAGAAATCTGTTAAATATCTGTCAAGTGCAAGCCAATCTTATTTAATTTCATGGCTCTAACTTTATTTTCATTGCTCTAAAATGTGGACAGCACAAAAAAACATTCATTGGGTACATAGTAAATATTTTTGAATAATTATATGAATAAATGCATGATTTGATCTTAAGCTAAAGTTTTCCACTGATCTTTAAACTCAATACCTAGTATTTATCTTTCTCTATTTGGCATTTTTAATGACATCTAAGATAGAAATCCATCCAAACTGCATAGAACAGAATAGGGGATTGTTAAAAAAAAAATTCTTCAATGAGAATTCTTAAAGCACTGGAAGGCAGATTTTATTCAGGACCATTGTGATAGGTATAAAGACCATTGCACAGGAGAGAGATTGGGCTCAACTCCTAATGTAGATAGCATGGCCAAATGGGAATTTATAGCCAAGAAGCACGGTAAAGGTCAAAGTATGGAAAATCACTAAGAGGAAATATCAAAGGTAACAGGAATTCTGGATAAGCTGACCTAATAAGATTGTAACTGAAGACAGGCCAGGGTGATCAGCCATCACCTGGAGGATAAAGGATGAGAAATCTAATGAGGTATGGTGATCTGCTGGTGATCAGATATTGATTGGATTAGCTGGATTCTTTAGCTGGGTTCTTAGCTAAATTTGTTTTTACAAAAAATTTGCCAGTTGGGTCTAGAAGAGGCTCAAGAACCTGACTAATATTTAGCTATGCAAAGAATTTTTGTCAGGATATAAATAGATACCCAAACAAAAATAGATTGATGGGAAAAATCAAAGTAGTATACATTTTTTTAAATTGTTAAATCTAATTTTTAAATTTGTTTTTAAAAATCAGTATTAGTGTTCCCAAATTTTCAGATGATTCCTGCATCTCACAATTCATTTTTTCTTTGTTTTTACATAAATTTTTAATATCAAGGAAGGGGTTTTGCAAAATTTCATGAACAGGGAAACAATGGCATGTGGGCAATTTGACAAAAGGGCATTGACTTATTTATATAAGACCTAATTGTTATACACAGATGGTAGCTGAGTCATACATTGATATACACTCATTGAAAATGCTGCATGAGAAAAATAAGAATAAATAGAAATAAATTGGTAGTTATTATTTTCCTATAATTCTATGCAATTTCTCAGAAACAAATCTGCAAAACAGAATCAGCAAAAATGAGTTTTTCAATATGATTTGGGAAGAAAATTGCCAGCTAGAACTCTATTTAAAAAATTACTAAGGGTCCTAACTTAAACCCGAACTGTGAAACAATTATACTTCTGAATCTTGTTACTTTCAGCATGATAATATTATTTCATTCTGAATGTATCTCTTCTTTCTGAGTGTGACATGATTTTGGATATCCTAATAGAATTTGTTAGAGTTATTTCCTTGGAATTTTTGGAGTATCAAGAATCTGGAGATGTGTCTATTTCATACCCAGGTACGTTATAACCACATGCCAGGCTGCATTAAACAATAACACAACTCTTGTGACTGCACCTTCCCCTAGTAAGCAGAAATTCCAGTAATAGCTCTCCATTCTGTCTTCTTAAATGATTTCACCTTATCTGTAGAGACTATAGAGACCATATGCAATCCTTCGATTTTGCTTAGTAATTCATAATGGCCCCCAAAAAGGAGTGGGAGATAGGTGGCAGGAAATAAAAGACCATAAGATAGGTTGGTGCTAAAGATTATGCTATTCAAGAAGCTTATAAAGGAGAAAATGTGCAACATGTTTCCTCATGAAATGAAATTTTTTCATTGTAAGTGGATTTACACATACATATACTTACACTCAGAGGCTGGGAATCAAAATGAGAAAATGATAATTAAAATGAGAAAATGATTACACAGAAAAAGCATAATTTTAAAAAATTTTTCAATCTTATGGCATTGTTTCTAATATCTAAATTTGAAAAATGATTCAAGACTGTCTCTTTTATTGTTCTTTGCTGATCAAGGGTGATAAAACATCCTAAGTTATTGCCATAGAAAAAAATATTATCTTAAAAATAATCTCAGTTAGTCATAAATGGTAAATACTGATAGACTGAACAGATAAATTGTAAAATAACTTAGATAATTGTATTACTATATCCGATGTGAGGGAAACTTCCTTGGGTTTATGATGCACCAAAAAATAAACAAGATTTGAGTGATAATTAAACATATGATTCCATTCAAAAACACTGTTTACTTAGTAAAATTAGGTTAAAAGTTTCCTTGCTAATTATATAAGAAGCCTGTGAGAAAAGCTGAGTTAGCTGGCACCACATTTACAATTTCATTACAACACCATTATATTTTTCTTTATCTTTCCTTCTTTCTCTTTTTTCTTCATTTTCTTTCTTCTTCCCTTTCTTGCTTCTGTCTTCCTTTCTTCCCTTCTTTCTTCATCCTTCCCTTCCTCTCTTTCTTCCTTCCTCCCTTCTTCACTTTTTCTTCTTTCTCTTTCTTCCTTTCTTTTACATTTTAGTTCCTGTTTTAAATTGAGACACACCTATGATTTTTCTAAAACTTCTGTTTCTACTACTCTGCCACTGTTACTAAGACCAAACATAGATTTTATTCATTGTGGTTCTTTTGTTTCAAATAATAAACACTAAAAATACTTATGCAAAATGATTCTACAAGCTCATCTATCATAACAAAAGTCTAGAAGGAATCTAGTCCTTACTTAGAAAAAAACCAAAGCCAAAAAAATTAAATGGTGTGAGGTATCGGGGAACCTGTCCCGATATTCATGTAGGTTCTTTTCTATTTTCCTTAAGCATCAGCTAGCTTGAGAAATAAAGGGACAGAGTACCAAAGAGAGAAATTTTAAAGCCGGGTGTCTGGGGGAGACATCATATGTCGGTAGGTTCCGTGATGCCCCACAAGCCACAAAACCCAGCAAGTTTTTATTAGAGATTTTCAAAAGGGGAGGGAGTGTGCGAATAGGTGTGGGTGACAGACATCAAGTACTTAACAGGGTAATAGAACATCACAAGGCAAGTGGAGGCAGGGTGAGATCACAGGACCACAGCACTGAGGCGAAATTAGATTGCTAGTGAAGTTTCAGGCACCATTGTCATTGATAACATTTTATCAGCAGACAGGGTTTTGAGATCAACCGGTCTGACCAAAATTTATTAGGCAGGAATGTCCTCTTCCTAATAAGCCTGGGAGTGCTATGGAAGACTGGAGTCTATTTCATCTCTGCAGTCTCGGCCATAAGAGACGACCACGCCCCAGGGGGGCCAGTTCAGAAACTCATCCCCAGGTTCACATTCTCTTTCTCAGGGATGTTCCATGCTGAGAAAAAGAATTCAGCGATATTTCTCCCATTTGCTTTTGAAAGAAGAGAAATGTGGCTCTGTTTCACCCGGCTCACCAGCGGTCAGAGTTTAAGGTTATCTCTCTTATTCCCTGAACAATTGCTGTTATCCTGTTCTTTTTTCAAAGTGCTCAGATTTCATATTGCTCAAACACACATGCTGTACAATTTGTGCAGTTAACGCAATTATCACATGGTCCTGAAGCAACATGCATCCTCCTCAGCTGACAGGATTGAGAGATTAAAGTAAAGACAGGCACAGGAAAGCACAAGGGTATTGATTGGGGAAATGATAAGTGTCCATGAAATCTTCACAATTTATGTTTAGAGATTGCAGTAAAGACAGGCATAAGAAATTACAAAAGTATTAATTTGGGGAACTAATAAATGTCCATAAAATCTTCACAATCCACGTTCTTCTGCCATGGCTTCAGCCTTTCCCTCTGTTTGGGGTCCCTGACTTCCCGCAACAGTCAGGATACCAGTCTGTACTGTATTTACATAAAATCCATACTTTCGTCTCTATCCTTCAAGTTACTTATTTTCTTCCCCAGGGGTCAGGAATTTTTTGCCCTTCGATTCATATGGTGGATTTTGATTTGTCCTAGATCTCATATTGACATGGTGAGTCAAATAGAAATTATTCATCTCTCATTTCCTCTGTTACAGTTTCAAATCCTGTAAAAACAACCCTAGTTATTCCAGCATTAGTAATTTACACTTCATAGAACATGGAATTCAAGGTTGGTGGAGATATGAAAGAAAAATAGATACTAGAAAGTAGTGATTCACATTTTTAGATCTTCAGAACTACTGAAAGGAAATGTGAGATTCCCTATAATTTAAACATAAAACCCAGCATCTGCTCATGACTAAGCATTGCAGAAAAGATGAAAACTGTTCTCAATTTTCAATAATATTGCAACCTTGTGTTAATAAAGAAGTAAATTTATAAGTAACATTACTATTATGCGTATTTTAAATTTCATGAGAAGGGTCAACATTGGAGGCCTTGCTTGGACACTTGTGTGCTCAGAATCCTGACCATGCTCACTGAAAACCAGAGATAAGTCAGTCTGCCAAAAATAAATAAATAAATGAACAAAAAAAAAGGAAGATGTCATGCTGGAGATTAACACAGATTGAGGTCTCCAGAGTTTGAACTACTTATTCTCTTGGCAGTTTTCTAGTTTCCACTATTGTGTTTTTCTCAAGCTGGCTAAATTTTATTTTTCTTAATCCCAACCAAAAAAACTTTTGGCCAACACAAAAACTAGATAAGTAGGGCATTTGGCAAAGGCCCTGAAGATCAGAATCATCTGATGTATTTTTTGGTGTCATACCTTCTTGATGAAATGTTTTTAAATATTGATGTTTGAATGTACTAGTGCAATGCAATAGTGGTAAATAAAGAAAATGAAATAGATTTCATAGTAAAAGGAAAACCAATTTTACTGTAATCTATTTTCATGGTAAAGTAAATATGTAGAGTATTTTTACAATTGTTTGGCCAATTAACTGAAAATAAATATTTCTTTGCTTCACCATGTTATGACACACATGTGAAATAGTAAATTACTGACTACTGACCTTTTAAATGGATGCCTCCATAACATGGAATGCACAGGAGAGACTATGCCAAAGTGATATTTATTTACTAATATTTAGAAAACTTTAATAATTAACTCATCAAAGGTTGAATATAAAACTGTACTTTCATAAGAGAAAAATTCTCTGCCTGTATCAGAGTTTCATTAGAGAAACAGAACGTGTAGGACTAGATGGATGGATGGATAGATAGATAGATAGATAGATAGGCTGTTTGAAAATAATTGTGGAGGCTGGCTAGGCAAGTTCAAAATCTATGGGGCAGGTCATCAAGATGTGAACACTGGAAGTCTGAGGCATGAGCTGGAGCTTCAGTCCAAAGGAAGAGTTATTTCTTCTCTGCCTCCTTCTTCTTCTTCTTCTCCTCCTCCTCCTTCTTGTTTTCTTCTTCTTTCTTCCTCCTCTTCCCCCTCCTCCCCTCCTCCTCCTTCTTCTTCTTTCTTCCTCCTCCTCCCCCTCATCCCCTCCTTCTCCTTCTTCTTCTTCTTTGTCTTCTCTTTTCTTTCTTCTTCTTCTTCATTTATTTTTTATTTTTTTTATTTATTTATTTATTTATTTATTTATTTATTTATTTATTTATTTTTGAGACGGAGTTTCACTCTTTTTGCCCAGGCTTGAGTGCAATGGCCGATCTTGGCTTACTGCACCCTCTGCTTCCTGGGTTCAAGGTTCAAGCGATTTTCCTGCATCAGCCTCCTGAGTAGCTGGTATTACAGGCATGCACCACCAGGCCTGGGCCTGGCTAATTTTGTATTTCTAGTAGAGACAAGATTTCTTCATGGCGGTCAGGCTGGTCTCAAACTCCTGACCTCAGGTGATCTGGCCCCCCAACCCCCGGCCTCTCAAAGTGTTGGGATTACAGGTGTGAACCACCGCACCCCACAGATTTCTTCTTCTTTAAGGAAGCCTCAGTTCTGTGTTAAAGACCTTTTGCTTGATTGAGTTAGGCTCACCGGACAATCTAAAGGAATCTAACTCCTTGATGTCAGATGTAGAAAATGTCATAATAGAAGCAAGAGATTGTAGTGATGGAACCATGAACTAAGGAACGCCAAAACATACCAGAAGTCTCAAAAAATGTTAAAAGGCAATCAACAGATTCACTCCTGGAGCCTCCAGAAGAAATCAGGACTCCTGACATTTTAATTTTAGCTCACTAGGACTCATTTCAAACTCCTGGTTTCCAGTTAGAGAAAATCCAATTTTGTTATCTAGATCATCAAGTTAATGATAATTTGTAATAGTTGTCATAAAAAATACAGCTATATCGTTTGTGTGCTTTTTCATAGATTACATATTTTATTCTGAATTTTAATGATTTGTATGCTTTCTTAGATGAGGAGAGAAAAGACAAACTTTCCAATTGTCATTTAAGAGTTGTGAAAATCACTTTCTGAACATCAAACATATTTAAAAATAACACTTAGTACCTCCTGAAACTTGTCTAAATAAATAATTTAATGCACATTTATTAAAATAAAAACATATCTACTCTATGTACCTGGTAAATGTCAGGATTTAAAAAATGAAATAAGATGTAAAATTCCAAGAGAAAAAAGTCAATTCAGAACTCTGTATCTGGTAAAACTATGCTTTACAAATGAGGAAGAACATGAGCCATTTCCAGATAAACAAAAAGCAAAGAAGTTTATTACCACTATACCTTCCATACAAGAAATACTAAAGGGAGTTCTTCCAGTTAAACTGAAAGGAAACTGGATACTAATTTGAAGCCATATGAAAGCATAAAGTTCTCCAGGGAAGATAAATACGTGGACAAATAAAAAAAATTATTGTAATTTTGGTTTGTAACCATTTTTTATTATACTATAGGATTTGAAAGGCAAAATCATAAAAATAAAATTATAAATCTATTTTAACGGCATTCAATATACAGAAATGTAATTTATGATATCAGTACCATAAGGGGGAGATATAAAGAAATAGAATTTTGTATGATTTTGTATGATGTTGCAGTTAACTTGGTATCAACTAAAACAGATTGCTGTAACTTGAGGATAATATGTATAATCACCAATGATAACCACTAAGAAAACATTTATAGAATGTACACAAAAGGAAATAAAAAGGAAATTAAAACTTATGACAAAAAATAAGAAGGCAGTACCGAAGGAACTGAGGGATAACAAAAAGCTGTAAAATGCATAAACAAGTAACAAAATGGCAATAGTAAGTTAATTATTTCAAGTGTAAATGATAAATGAATTAAAATTACAAATTAAAAAATGTTAAAAAAGAATTAGTTAAAAACACAAGAATCAACTATTTGATGCCTACAACACTCACTTTAGATCCAAGGACATGCATGGTTTAAAAGTGAAAGAATGGAAAATAATTTCCATGCAAATAATAACCAAAAGAAAGCAGGTGTAAAGAAGCCACAATGCAGAGGATGATAGAGGCTTCCAGAATGGCCTCTTCATGAGTTATTGGAGGCTCCACTTGTTTAGCATTCTCAAAATATAATCTGAAACAAAGTTAATGTTTGGGATTAAGGAGGATTTTTAGGTTATACCAGATAAACTGAAAATATAGAAATTGTAGTAATAGCATGGTCAACCCCTTAACTACTAGCAACACACAAAACAAGAGAACGTTGTGTAACTTAAAAGGATTCACTCTGGGATATAAGGGATTGAAAATACTATCATGACTGACATATAGAGAAGTTTCATTGATGGGAATGCACAATGAAAACATGAATCTATCACATGGGTGAAGGCTGGGTTACAAATATAAGGAACATTTAATCCTTAGGAGCAAAAGAAAATCAAGAGGATTCAATATATGAGTAAGACAGTCACAGCCAACAGAGAAAAATTACAAAGTCTTTCAGATTTAAAGAGTTATCTATTTTATTTTAATATGTGTTTTGAAAAAGTGAAATATATCATTATAGAAAAATTCTTTTAAATTTCAAGTTATGCTGCAATTCATGTGATTTATAGAAACACTTCACTCATCTTTGATAGTATTATAGAATAAATGTTAGTTATGTAGAATATTCCTAAGGAGTACTAGATTCACAAAAAATACAAACAAATATACTGTGTTACATGCATTAGGTTTTACTTATTCCTTCATTACATATAAACATGTTTGATTTTCATATAGTTCTGATAAAAGCAATAACATGATTATGATAACTTATTGTATTAGCTGATAAGATTAGTTGTGTTTTAAAGCTAAAATAATAATAATAATTCTATATTCTTTGAATCAATAATTTTCCCTCAACGGAGTAACTTTGTCTCTACTGATTTCTGTTTTTCAAGTTATTTTTCTCTAAGACAAGTGAAATTTCAATGTCTTAATAAAACTAAATATTGCTGTTTAAATTTTAAGTGATGATCCAAATTATGTGAATCCTAGTCAACTACAGACTATAAATTTGAAAGAATAAATTCTCAAAGTTTGTTCTATATTCAAACATTATTAGATGCTACTCCTATTGCTAATAATTGGCATACAAAATTTACACCTTCACTTCATAAAAGGAAAGGTGACATAAATAATTAGGTATTTTTGGTATGCTGTATATGGTTTCCATGAACTCAAAAGTCTTGTAAGCCTATCCCATTATTTGATATCCAAAGTGAAAGTCTCTCAAACCAGAGACAAGGTCGATATTAACTAGATTAATATTGCATAGGAAAGTGTTACCAGTTGGACTATTTTTCAATAGTTTTAGTTCTCTTTTTGGGGGGGATGTGAAGTGACATGCAAATATTTATGTAAGTGGAAAATTGATACAATCATTGTAATAAAATTGCTTATAAAAAGATTTAATTTATTGTCTATCTGACCATGAATAGAAATTCTTGCTCAAACCCTATAGATTGTGATGAAATTTCTCAGCATTGGAGTTGCATTCTAGTGGCCCTATACCTCTGGAATTTCAAAGATAGTAATTCACCCACAGATCCATTAAGTCTAGTGGGGACTGTGTGGGTGACCGCACTTTCTCCAGTTCCTAATACGTCTGACAATTCTCTGCATGGCCTCAGGCTATTGTGAAATCCTTTGAAATCTAGATGGAGGAAGACATGCCCCTATAGCTCCTGCACTTTTGAACTTTTAAACTTAACACTGCATGAATGTTGCCAAAATTTGACTTGCAACTTCCAAAGTTGTGGCCCAAGCTGCGTCTGGGCTCTTTGAGCCACACCTGAGGTGATCAAGGAGTTCTGCCAGGAATTCAAGGAGCAGAGACTTGAAGCAGCCCTGGGCAGTGAGCCAACATATCAAGGGTACTTGAGGCCTCTCTTGACATATTTTCTTGCTGTAAGCCTTGGCACTCTGTGTCTGTGATGGGAGGGGTGGTACCAGTAATCTCCAAACTGCCTTCAAGATGAGATCATTCTTCCATTGCCCTGATAAATGGCCCCTGGCTTTGTTCTATACATACTAATCTTTCTGTCAAACTTGGTTTTCTCTCCTGAAAATGCTCTTTCATCCTCTGCCACACCTCCGGGGTGAGATTCTTTCGAACTCTTAAATTCTGTTTCCTTTTTAGTTAGAAAATCCCTACCTTCAAATCATTTCTTTCTTCTTGAATTTTACTGTATGCAGTTAAAAGAAGCCATGCCAAAATTTGAATATTTTGCTATGTAGATATTCTTCTCCCAGATATCCTAGTTAATCCCTCTGAAGTTCTACCTTCCATGAAGTCCTAGGACATGGACACAATTCAGCCAAGGTTTTTGCCATTTGTAACAAGGATGATTGTTTTTCTCCAGTTTCCAATACTTTTTGTCTGAGACCTCATTAGAATGGCCCTTACCAATATTCTGATCATGACCACCTAAATAATCTCTAGGAAGTTTCAGACTTTCCATATGGGTCTTCTCTTCTGAGCTTTCCCCCAGAAATTCTCTTAATGCTCCATTTATGGCAATCTAGCATTTTTCTAGCCTGTTCCTCCAAATTTTTTCTACCACTGTCCATTAGCCAGTTCAAAACTATTTCCACATTTTTCAGTGTTTGTCATAGCAACCACCCCACCTCTTAGTACCAATTTTCTGTCTTTGTCTGTTTTGTGCTGTTATAACAGAATTTCACAGACTGGGTAGTTTATAATGTACATAAATTTATTGGCTCACAGTTCTAGAGGCTGGGAAGTGCAGACAATGGGACAAGCATTTGGCAAGGGCTTTCTGGCAGTGTAATCCCATGCTGGAAGGGCAGAGAGGGCTAGATAAAGTAAGAGATAAAACTTGAAGCCTCAAGCCCTTTTATAATCATCATGAATACATTCATGGGGTGGGGGGCAGTCCTCATTACCTAAACACTTCCCATTAGGCCCCATCTTCAAACAGTGTTGCACTGGGCATTAAGTTTCCAACACATGCATTTTGAGAGACTCATTCAAACTATTGCAATAGTCTTACATTAAAATCCTCATCTTTAACATTAATCATAGGTACATTCATATATGTACTCCAAATAAGGATTCTTCTCTGTGTCACCCTGATACTGTCAGTTACTGTAACAAAATAACACAATCCACGTATTATTTCATCGGTAGGTGTTTTGGCTTGCCCTTCATTTTACCTGGGCCCTGCAATGCACTAGAAGCTTATTTTTAATACCTCTGAAACAAACATCTAACAATTACAGCCTTAGAACTCTAAAACAGAGGACTATACTAAGGATTCTGAGACTAAGAATTTCCAGCACTCTCTAAGTACGAAAGCAGACGAGTTCTTGGCTAATAACATAGAAGCAACAAAACAAGCAGATGATTTTGAGTGGTAGCCTGCTACCGCAGAACCATCAGATGAGAATTAATTAAATACAACTGAATCAGAGTTATGAGCAAAATTTTATTTTGATTGTTTTCCTTGGGTTGTTTTGGTACTCCTTTTGATATTCTATATATTGAATTTTTGTATTATGATGTATTATTTTTTCTTGCTGTTTTATATTTAACCCTCAATTTAATAGGATACTTGAATTATTCTTTCAATAATCTTACTCTATTTACTTGTTCTTTTTGCTGTTACACTCTACAAATGTGCACTAAAAGACTACTCATTGAGAGATGATCTAACACAAAATCAATTGCACAATTTCGAGTTGTAGGGAATGGAAGCTCTAAGCCCTAAAAGGAACAGGAAGTGCATAGGGTTTATTTGTAGCAAAAATAAAATGTAGTTAATTATGGTACTTGGAAAAGCTAGCAAGATTCAGCAAGAATTCCACAGTTATTTACCCAATACTGTGATGCTATGTTTTTAAGGGTTAAAAAATGGGTAAGATCCAGTGTAGACTACAAAGTCATAAATATAATCAGCTACAGATAACAACTATAATTGGGACTGAAAATAGCTCTCTCTATAAATGTGTGTATAAATATGCATATATTTACATACATATTCCATATACCATATATTTAAATACACATGTATACATATAAATTACTATCTATAGACTATTTCAGATATTAGAAGACATGTGTTATGATAGCTCCTTTGGCATTTTAATCTAATTCTATTGAAAGGAGACACAGATGTGTCTTGCTGGTTGTGACTGACTACTAGTCCGGCTCTACTGCCCTCCTGCCTCTCAGGGTTTTATGCATAAAAGCTCTCTGTATGCGTCTTTCTCTGTGTGTGTGTGTGTGTGTGTGTGTGTGTGTGTGTGTGTGTATTTTTAAGTTTTCTCCTGCCTCATATTATTGCTTTTTGTATTAAAACTTCGCTTGCTTTTGCTAGACTGCTATGTGCTTTCATTTGCTCATAGTAAAACTGTCAAACGGTAAAGATTGGCCATATTGAAATACATGTTTAAGACTTTTCCTAGAAACGTTTTAAAAAAAATCCATCATTTCCTAATACTGTGGTTTATCGGAGGCACCACAAGTAATGGACAACATTAATGCATTTGCCTAATTGGATAGTAATATTTATATCTATGCTCTCAAAACTAGTAAAAAATGACAAAAGACTTACTTTCTTATTATTTTTCAAGAAACTCATGTTGTAAGTGCTTGGCCATATTTTCAATTTTTCTGGATAGTTTTGCATTTCAACTTGCTTGTATCTCTTAAGTATATATTATTAATAGCGTATTAAATGTGTGATCTTTCATAGACTTGCAACCTGAACGTACTTTGATAAAAGTTTTTAATGGAATATACCATTTCTGTTCACAGAAGCATACATTATGTTCACTGAAAAACAATTATTTTGAACTGTTAGTTCTTTTCTCAGTTCATTACTCTTTTTATATATCCTTCATAGTACTTACTCTTGCCTGTTTAATGAAGACATTTAATTTGAATTTCTCTGAAAAGCATTGTGTATTTATATAAACATATATAAAATCCTCAATTTTAAAAAATAGAAGAAGCAATTTTTACTTTAGTGTTTAAAAATGATGTAATTGTGATAATATGCACTGCTTGATTTCTATTTTTTTTAAATTTTACTTTAAATTCTGGGATACATGTGCAGAATGCGTGGGTTTGTCACATAGGTAAACATGTGTCATGGTGGTTTTGCTGCCCATATCAACCTGTCATCTAGGTTTTAAGCCCCATATGGATTAGCTATTTTTCCTAATGCGCTCCCTATCCTTCCCCGCCAACCCCCGACAGGCCACAGTGTGTGATGTTCCCCTCCCTGTGTCCATGTGTTCTCACTGTTCAATTCCCACTTATGAGTGAGAACATGCAGTGTTTGGTTTTCTGTCCCTGTGTTGGTTTGCTGAGGATGATGGTTTCCAACTTCATCCATGTCCCTGCAAATAATATGAACTCATTCTTTTTTTTATGTCTGAATAGTGTTCCATGGTGTATACGTGCCACATTTTCTTTATCTAATCTATCACTGATGGGCATTTGGGTTGGTTCCAAATCTGTACTATTGTAAATAGTGCTGCAATAAACGTATGTGTGGATATGTCTTTATAGTAGAATGATTTATAATCCTTTAGGTATATACCCAGTAATGGAATTGCTGGGTCAAATGGTATTTCTGGTTCCAGATTCTTGAGGAATTCCCACACTGTCTTCCACAATGATTGAACCAATTTACATTCCCACCAACAGTGTAAAAGCAATCCTATTTCTCCACATCCTCTCCAGCATCTGTTGTTTCCTGACTTTTTAATGATCGCCATTCTAACTTGCGTGAGATGGTATCTCATCGTGGTTTTGATCTGCATTTCTCTAATGACCAGTGATGATGAGCTCTTTTCTTATGTTTGTTGGCCACATAAATGTCTTCTTTTGAAAAGTGTCTGTTCGTATCCTTCACCCACTTTTTGATGGGGTTGCTTGTTTTTCTTTCTTGTAAATTTGTTTAAGTTCATTGTAGATTCTTGATATTAGCCCTTTGTCAGATGGATGGATTGCAAAAATTTTCTCCCATTCTGTATGTTGCCTGTTCACTCTGATGATAGTTTCTTTGGCTGTGCAGAAGCTCTTTAGTTTTATTAGATCCCATTTGTCAATTTTGGCTTTTGTTGCAATTGCTTTTGATCTTTTAGTCATGAAGTCTTTGCTCATGCCTATGTCCTGAATGGTATTTCCTAGGTTTTCTCTAGGGATTTTATGGTTTTAGGTTTTACTTTTAAGTCTTTAATCCATTTTGAGTTAATTTTTGTATAAGTTGTAAGGGAGGGGTCCAGTTTCAGTTTTCTGCAAGTGGCTAACCAGTTTTCCCAACACCACTTATTAAATAGGAAATCCCTTCCCCATTGCTTGTTTTTGTCAGGTTTGTCAAAGATCACATGGTTGTAGATGTGTGGTGTTGTTTCTGAGGCATGTATTCTATTCCATTTGTCTATGTATCTGTTTTGGTACTAGTACCATGCTGTTTTGGTTACTGTAGCCTTGTAATATAGTTTGAAATCAGGAAGTGTGATGCCTCCAGCTTTGTTCTTTTTGCTTAGGATTGTCTTGGCTATATGGGGTCTTTTTTTGTTTCATATGAAATTTAAAGTAGTTTATTCTAATTCTGTGAAGAAAGTCAATAGTAGCTTGATGGGAAGAGCATTGAATCTATAAATTATTTTGGGCAGTATGGCCATTTTCACAGTATTGATTCTTCCTATCCATGAGCATAGAATGTTTTTCCATTTGTTTGTGTATTCTCTTATTTGCCTGAGCAGTGGTTTGTATTTCTCCTTGAAGAGATCCTTCACATCTGTTGTAAGTGGTATTCCTAGGTATTTTATTCTCTTTGTAGCAATTGTGAATGGGAGTTCACTCATGATTTGGCAATCTGTCCATTATTGGTATACAGGAATGCTTGTGATTTTTGCACATTGTCAAATTTTGAAATTTTAGAAAAATAGGAATTAAGTAAATATTTTTAACTTTAGTGCTTAAAAATGATGTAATTGTGGTAATATGAACTGCTTGATATTCTAACAAATAGAGAAGTACAGCAAAGATTGATGAAAATGGAGAAATAAAATAGCATGTGCTATGTCTAAAGAACGTAGTCATTTCTCAGGTCATATTGATTTTTGCCTTTCAGTAGGAATTCATACCTACTGTTAGTAGATATATCACTTTTTTTAAAGAACATTATATAATTTTGTTTTATATGGCAGCAACTAATTTGATTTTAAAATTAGTTAATTAAAAGTCTTCTGCCAAGTCAAACACCACTGTAGAACTGATATTCTCCACATCCCCAAAGCTTACCACTTCTAATTTGAATAGTTAAGAATGTCAGTGATAATTTATGGGAACAGCATTGAATCTTTAAATTGCTTTGGGCAGTATGGTCATTTTAATATTGATTCTTCCTACTCATGAGCATGGAATGTTTTTCCATTTGTTGTGTCATCTCTAATTCCTTTGAGCAATGGTCTGTAGTTCTCTTAGTAGATATCTAGAGATCTTTCACCTCCCTTGTTAGCTGTATTCCAAGGTATTTTGTTCTTTCTGTGGCTATTGTAAATGGGAGTTGGTTTGTGATTTGGCTCTCGGCTTGACTGTTGTTGGCATATAGGAATTCTAGCAGTTTTTGCACATCGATTTTGTTACCTGAGGCTTTGCTGAAGTTACTAATCAGCTTCCGAAGCTTTTGGGATGAGACGATGGGGTTTTCTAGATACAGGATCATGTCATCTACAAACAGGGATAGTTTGACTTCCTCTCTCATCCTATTCGAAAAGTGTTTATACATTGCTTCCTCCTGATTTAGAATTTTAGATATTATTTATTAAGTTATTTCCATCAAGATTAACAGTCAAAAAGATGTTACTTTTAAATCAGTTATTTTTTAATTACGCACAGTCAGAATTATACTTACCTTTGTTGTTTTTACTAGGCTTTTTATTTGGTTCCAAATTATTACAGAAATCTCAATAATTAGATCAAAGTCTACCATGAGAAAATCCAGGAATTTTCTTTCATTGGTCCCAGTTAAGGTAGTTAACAGAAATTACACATGAAATTCTTCATTTGTGTCCTTCTGGCAAAATTATGATTACTTATGCAATCACCATTCAGAATTTCATTCTAGACAACAAAAAGTAAAATACAACTCCCCAACATTCGGTAAATTAAAAATTCTTATTTTTCTCGGTTTTTATTTCTTGTCCTTTTTTTTCCCTTGCTTCCTTTCTCACCTGATTAATCACCTATGAAAATTATTCTCACATTTTTTGAGCTTTCATTTTAAGAAAGTTAAAAAGATAACAACTTCATCTTAAAAATAATTAGAGTAAAACATAATTCTTAAGACAAATGTTCTGCAGCAAGTTTTCGTAATTTTCATAAAAATTAGAAATCAATATTGACATAGTTAACTAACATATTTTTTAAAGTGTGGGGTGCATTTGCTGCTTTGACAGCGAAAGGGAGAGAACTACATGCAATTTAGGGGAATACTGTGAATTTATATTTTATTTATAGCTGCTGATTTAGTTTTATTATGAATTAGAATACCTTGGAGGATTTCATGACTGTACAAGGAGAGACCATATCCTTTGCACTATCACCTATCAGCAAAATAAAATACAAGATATTTTTTAAAACCTGGGGAAAGATGGTTTTGGGATATACTGCCTGGTATACTAATTATTAGCCATATATGACTCTTGAGATTCAAAATTAAATTATTTAAAAGTAAGTAAATGTATACAAATTCATTTTCACAGTCACATTAGCCATATTTCAAGTGCTAAATAGCTAAATTTGACTAGTGACTATAATACTGAAGAGTGCATCTGTAGACTATTATCACAGAAATCTCTAATGGAAAGTACTAGTTAGATTTCAGATGGCTTATAGATTATTTTATTTCATTGACTAGTTGGAAGGAATCCTATTCAGTAGGTCTGGCAATGGAGAAGAGAACAGAATAAACTGTCTATTTTTATATAAGTGGAGTCATTTGAATAGCTCTTACTAATCAACAAATTGTTTCTCTCTTTTGTCGATCTAATAAATATCATGGAAATGAAGGAACATTATTATAATATGATTCCAAATACATATAGAAACCTGACTGGTCTTAGAGAAAATGAAGATAAAAACAGCAAAACCTTGCCAACTCTATTTCAGACTCAGGTTTACTAATTTGAGACACACTTATAAGTGAAGATGTATACTAAAAATATAAACTTGTTTGTGTTTGTGTGTTAGGGCTGCTATAATAAAAATACCACAGCTTGGTTTTAATGACAGAAATTTATTTTCTCACAGTTCTGAAAGCTGGAGATCTGAGATCAGTTGCCAGAAAATTTGTTTTTTTCAGAGGTCTCTCTCCTTAGTTGAGGATTCTAACTTGTCTGTGAGTCCTCACGTGGCCTTTCTTCCCTATGTGTGCATCTCTGGTGTTTCTTTCTCTTGTAAAAATGGTAGCCATATTGGATTTTGAACCCACTCATATGACCTCACTTAATCGTAATTACTTCTTGAAAGATTTGATCTTCAAATGCAGTCACAGTGGGGTTTTTGCTGTGGTTAGAACTTCAACATTTGAATTTTAGGGGGACACAACTTAGCCCGTCACACTATCTCAGCTTACTGAACAACACTTAAATGTGTCTCGTAGACAATTAAAGTCAATACAGGAAAATGAATTCATTCTATCTCCTTTCAAACCCTTTCTATCTCCTATATTTTCTGACTTAGAAAACTACATAGATTTCTTCTCCAAAAAAATATTAATCACTTCCTAGGGTCAAGTTGGGTGTGATTCAAAGATAAAGTAAACTGGTTGTACATTAAAGGAAAACACACTTTCATAGTTTCATCTCAAACTAACTTTCATGGTAGTTAGTATAATATCAAAATCAAGAATCAGAAATATATAATGATCATATAGTGTGTGTCATGCTTGAAATAGTCACAAGGGGTATTATTGTCTGAATGTTTTCATCAAACACCTTTTATCACTTATTCTGCCCCAGTTCAATAAATTGCTAAGTATTGTTGAGTTTTATCTCTCAAATCCACCTTTCCATTTCCATCTCTATTGCTTCAGTTTGAACCCTTGCCACCTTCCAACTGAACTATTGCATTTGCCTCCAATAAGTCTTTCTCCAAAACACCTCCTTAAAATGTTTCTCTTACGTTGCATTAAGATTGTCCGTATGAATGCATGGCCACAGCACTATCTTGACTGGCTGCTCTCATTTGACTGGGCATATCAAGATTTACTTTGATACATAGGGCCCTGGGTTAATCTTTTACTCAGAGATTTGGTGTCCAAAAACATGTCGGAGATGCACAAAATCACTTGTAGTTTATTAATTTCACCTTAATTTTCATACTTTTTGACTTTTCTCAAGCTATTCTCATGGTACATAACTCCCTATATTGCCTTTATCTAGTTGGAAAAATATGACTTATTCTGGGGGACTGAAGTATCACATTTAAGTTTAAAGCAATAAGACAATCTGCGCTAAGATGCTCCATAGGCACTTACAGCACGAAATAATGATTGGATAAAGAACATCTGGAATAGCCAGATGATGTAAGCATAGGAAACTATTTTTATGAAAAAACCTGTGCACTATGTGCTGAAAATAACAGTAGATTACTAGGAATGCTATTAGTAAAAATATAATAAAATGTGGTATAATTTTAAAGTATATTTTCTATTCACCTATATGAAAATATAGTTCTTATTTAATTGAATACTAATAAAGACATTCTGTAGTTTGAACATAATATGTTTCTGATTATCCCTTTTTAGAAAATTTAAAAATAGACACATATATATATAACATATTTGTTTTTCAATAGAGCTAAGATAATTACTGAAACATAATTATAAAAGTGCATTAGAAATAGAATAGAAAGGCGGGGCATGGTAGCTCACATCTGTAGTCCTAGCACTTTGGGAGGCCGAGGCAGGTGGATTGCCTGAGCTCAGAAGTTCAAGACCAGCCTGGGCGACACGGTGAAGCTTGCTCTCTACTGAAATACAAAAAATTAGTAGCCTGTAGGGGCGTGCGCCTGTAGTTCCAGCTACTCAGGAGGCTGGAGCAGGAGAATTGCTTGAACCTGGGAGGCAGAGTTTGCAATGAGCTCAGATCACACCATTGCACTCCAGAGCCGGACTCTGTCTCAAAAAAAAAAAAAAAAAAAAAAAAGAAATAGAATAGAAATAGAAATTGGTGAATACAAAAGAAGGTAATATTCCTATTTCTATATTCAGCCATAAATTCAGATTTATGAATCTGGAATACTGTAAATTTTTATGCTAATTTTCAGCCCATAATTGTAAGAAAATTTTTTTCTTTTTTCAAGGCAACTAACTTTTTAGGCCTCAACAAGCTCTTGATTCATAACAAATAAATTAGTTTTAGTCTAAAATCCATGGTTACAATAATTCCCTCAGCAATCATAGTTCCTGTTGAATATCCAAAGGTGATCTAATCCTGACTTTTTCAGTCCAGTCTCAAAATATTATCCAGACACAGTGATAAAGATAAAAAGATTTGGCCACAACTCAGTCTTAAAATTAGAGAGATTTGAAAACAACTGGAATATACTACTTGTTACCAGAATTTTTTGGAATTTGGTGTCTTGGAAAGAAATCACTGAGTCACAGTTGAAACCAGTTTCAGAAATGAGAGGCCAAGCAGATCTGTCCAGTAGGGACCAGGAATGAATTTTGTAGGTGTAAAAGGCACTACTATGGGAGATGAGTACAGTCAGGAAACAATGAACACTTATGGATCTTCTATGACCTAAGGGGTCATTCAAATTATAACTCTTGGTAATCTACTTAGGACAAAGGAAAAGAAGGATTTGAACTGCCCCATTTATAGGAAACAAGTACACTAATGCATTTTTTCCTGAGGTATTTGGGCACACTTGAAAAGCTGAAATCAATACACATTTTACTCCTTACAGAACCATCCCACACATGGGAAAAGTCTTGTAAATAGCAATAAACCCATTCTCCTTGTTGGATCAGCTGACTCTCTAAAGCCACTTGAGGTACTGTGTTGGAGAGTGGCTGGCATACTTTTTTTGCAATGCAACTAGAGTGGTCCAAATTGGGACCACTCTAGAGGTTCCACCACATGCTGTCTGCCATTTTTGAGAACCTATAAGGAGAATAAATTAAACACTTGAAGGTAGAAATGGTTGAATGTTCAGGGTTGCTTCAGTTATTTAGTAGAATATCTAGAACTAGTAAAACATTTGCCTTGGTAGGCACTGTGGCTCATGTCTGTAATACCAGCACTTTGGGAGGCTGAGGCAGGTGGATCACCTGAGGTCAGGAGTTCAAGACTAGCCTGGCCCACATAGTGAAACCCCGTCTGTACTAAAAATACAAAAATTAGCCAGGTGTGGTGGCATATGCCTGTAGTCCCGGCTACTCGGAGGCGGAGGCATTAGAATCACTTGAACTCAGAAGGCAGAGGCTGCAGTGAGCGGAGATCACACCATTGCACTCCAGCCTGGGTGACAAAAGCAAAACTCAGTCTCAAGAGAAAAAAAGAAAAAAAAGAAAGAAATTTGCCTTTAAAGAGAAGAAAATTAGATGCTAATGATATTTGGTCCTATAAAAATCAGTTCTTAATCAAACAAAAGTTTTATGAGAAGGAAAGATGACAGCCTCAATGGATGTAATAGCATATCTGGAGATAATTTACATGATTTTACACTTTCAATCTCATTTATATAAAAATGTAAAATGTATACAATGTTATTGCAATTGAAAACTTTTTTTATTTATTAAACTCAGTTCTCAAGAATTCTCTGGTATAGGGAATCTTTGCAGATCAATTATATCCAGTTGTAAATTAAGAAACTGACCTTACAGGTAAAATTATAAATAACTTTTCATTATTATATAGCTAATTCATTTCATTTTAATATGTGTGACATAATGTGGGGTAAGATCCACAGAAATAAGAGTTCCTGGTCCTAAAATACATTTTGCATTCATATTTGTGATTTGAGAGCATTGATTAGATGACATAATTTAATTTGTAAGTTAGAAGCATTGATAAGTGATATAATTAGGGATCTAGAAATGCTGATTGTAGAAAATATGATGAGAGCAGTGTTATTAATGCCTGAGTTCCTGACTTCCCATTTCCACTATTTTGAAGGAGATACTGGTTTTACTTAGGAGTTTTTCTCCACCATCTTCAAAGCACAGTTATTCTAAACCTGAAGTCTTTTTGGAAAGCACACAGCAGGAAAGGGGCAGAAAAAGTAGACGCTGGGGCTTACAGAAGGGTAGAATATTGTTCAGCAATTTTGGATACTATGAGGAGAAACTATAGTATAAGCATAAGGGCAATAAGACCTTAAAGAGTGACACTGAAAAAAAATGTTTTTATACATATGTAGACTATGTCATACAAAAAACAAAAAATCAGTTTATTTTAATTTCTATTTTGCTTCCCATGTTATTTTCTTTTAAACTCAATAGATGTCCAACCCTATAGTAAAAGTTGCAGCATTGTTCATAATTTCTTTCTATAGGTGTAATTAAATACAATGCTATACAGGTGTATGTAGACACGTAACTAAATAACTCAATATATATCAGCAGTCAGATTTGGGATTTACTTGCTTATGTTCCATGTGGCAGTATTAAATGTAATACATGACAATAATATGATTTAGATATTCTTCACTTAATAGAAAACATATTTCTAAAATGTTGTTATTAATTTTGTATGTTTGCCCATAATATCTTTTAGAACATACTGACATTTTACATTTATTTTGAAATATAGTTTTATTAAAAATACCAAGTTGATTCCCAAATGCACATCATTTTAAACGGTTAGTAAGAAGTCTTAAATTAATAATACTCAGAATCATTTAATTCCCATCAATTTCTAAACATTTCTGAAGTCCAAGTGAGTCACATCCTCCAGGAAGAGATACCTCAGCACTATTATTCTGTTTAAGTGGCATTATGTTACCTAGTTGATGCCACCAACATAGTAATGTGACAAAACACAAGTCCATGAGGCCAAAATTTTCAAGTTTATGAATTTTTCCTGGGACATATCTGGTTTAAAGAGAATGTGTTATTGAATGTGGTCCTTCCATACAATTTCGAGACAGAAAGTAGGCTAGTCAATAGGATAAGAGCTAAGCCTAGGCTGTACCCTAACTCATAAATCACACTTTTATTTATTGTGACTGGGAGAAAGGAATTAAACTGTGATTGATTTCTCTCCAGATTATAGGAGAATATTTCTGCAGGAAAAAAGCAAGCAATAGATGTCCTCTAATCTCTTTGTAAATGTAATGATAGCAGATCTTTCAGCAAACAGATTAATGATGTTTGCCAGAAGGAGAGTACTATCTATGGATTGCTCTTAGCAGAATGATCCCAGTTTAGCATATAGTAAACAAACCTGAAATCCATAGAGTTATAAGGCACACCACTCTATAAAAAAGAGATGTCTCAAAACTTAAATACAGAAGGTTATCCACAAGCCTCATGTAGAGAATTAATCTCAGACTGTGTCTGATGTGAATAAAAGGGTTTGAGGAGCTGACTGAATTTCCCAAACCTCTGCTCATTTTGGCTGTGCCCCTCGATGCCTTATATTCTTACAATTATTAATAAAGTCTCTGATTCATGTGAGTCTTATCTGAAAATTCTATTTTCGTGCTAGCAGAGTGATAATGTCCTAGGCTGCTCAGAGCTTATGGACAGGAGTATATGTTGTATGTATATCATCCAAGCCTACTGAAGAGCAAAGCAATAAACTGTTTTTTTGTCTCACTTTTTTTGTGATCGCTAGTGTAAATTGGTTTCCAAACTGTTTAGATGATGGCTGTAGAGTTATGAAGTGAAGCACTGAAAAGATAATATTCATTGAAAAAAAATAAAAAAAATACCTTCCATGTATCCTGTATAGTGCAAGGTTTGAGCATGGAGAGCTAAACATTCCTGCCCAAAACAATAGGCTATCCCCTTCATTAATAAATCATTAATATGAGCGTAGACATTTTTACATGCTAAAGCTAGAGAAAATTATATTTTGTCCTTTAGAACATACTGTAAGTGAATGTTTCTGTGTGTGCTTGTGCATGTATGACGGTATGGGCTTACACAGAGCCTTAAATATATAAGACAGCTTCAACTTCAAGTTGGTAGCATTTGCTAGCTTTTGAAATAGGATTATATTAGTTTTTCATCGTATTCAAAATTATTCATCTGATGAAGTTCTTAGGGCTAAAAAATGTGGTGTCTTACCAAATGTGAAGTAGCAAAACATCATAATGTTTTAATACTTATGGCCAATACTTAGTCCAGAAAATTAAAGGTGAACGTGTCAAAACAAATTAATATATTTTGTGGAAAGTATCTTCAAAATTCCAAAATTTTAGTACTAAATGTTCCATTTTAGACAGTGTATGATAAAATAAAATTTTACTGAGGAGAAAGTAATATAAATCCATCACTCAAGTAGTACAAATTTTATTTAAAATAAATACAATTTCTACTTCTCCCAATATGCCAGCAATTGCAAATTGTGATAGATATATTATAAATAAAGTAGGTAAGTTAGCTAGCAAACTGTAGCTCTTCTCTTAACTACGTTGAAGTATATTTGAAGTTTTCTATAAAGTGCTTTGCAAACTTGTTATGTGAGAAAAATTGCAGTGTAAGCAATGTTTAAAGAATATTTACTACTTAATTATTCCACTGGCATTTAGGTCCTGCCTAAAGAAATGGTTTCTTTAATTATCTGAAAAAGAAAAAGAACTTTAGACTAACATGTATATGAATTATCTGGACTTTTTCAAGAAACCTAACAAAGGACATAACGATAAAAATATTTTAAAACTTTCTGCTTCCTATTAGCAAACTGATCAGGTAACCTGCCATATATAAACTACGCAGATGTTCAGAGGTAATTATAATTATCAAAGCTATTAACAAAGTGTTGATTTATTCTTTAGTAAATAATAATTACTTAATGGAAGGCTACTACATTTTGTGTATTGAAATAAATTATTATTTCTGAAATTTTACAATTTGTTATAATAAGCTTTATGTAGGTTTTTCCATCTCAAAGGATACATTACATTCCTGTAAAGCTTTTATCTCATTTGACTTCAATTTAAAAATAGTTAAAATTAAATTAAAAACACCATAATAATATAATTATAATAGTAATAATAGAAAAACAATATTTTAATAATTATTTCTGGCATTCTGCTAAATATTTTTTATGTATGACATTTGCAATCATTTCTCTACCCCTTTGAGGAACTATTATTCTAATATCAATATAAATAGAACACGATTGCATACATTATATTATTTAGTTGTCAGAACTTCATTACAGTAGGCAGTCTTATTTTGCCCTTGTAGAGACAAGTAAATTTATCCTGAGAAGTAGGCCAGTTGCCTGAGGACACACAGTTTACAGTGGCAGGGCCCCAATATCCCCCCCTTATTGTCTGAAATTAATACACATAGCCATACCTTTATATTGCCTATGAGAAATGAAATATTAGTAATACCTGCCTAAAACAAATAAACAAGACCTCTAGAGTATTTTTACCAGTCAGGAAGTCAAATATGTATTATTCTATTTTTTTATTATACTTTAAGTTCTAGAGTACATGTGCACAACATGCAGGTTTGTTACGTATGTATACATGTGCCATGTTGGTGTGCTGCAACCATCAACTCATCATTTACATTAGGTATATCTCCTAATGCTATCCGTCCTCCTCCCCCGACTCCACTACGTCCTTGGTGTGTGATGTTCCCCACGCTGTGTCCCAGTGTTCTCATTGTTCAATTCCCACCATGAGTGAGAACATGCGGTGTTTGGTTTTCTGTCCTTGCAATAGTTTGCTCAGAATGATGGTTTCCAGCTTCATCCATGATCCCTACAAAGGATGATTCCTCAAGGATCTAGAACAAGAAATACCATTTGACCCAGTCATCCAATTACTGGGTGTATACCCAAAGGATTATAAATCATGCTGCTATAAAGACATATGCACACATATGTTTATTGCGACACTATTCACAATAGCAAAGACTTGGAACCAACCCAAATGTCCATCAATGATAGACTGGATTAAGAAAATGTGGCATGTATTGTTCTATTTTTATTTTATTTTTCTTTAAAAAGTGTTTCTTTCAAATATTTGATATCTCTTATAAAACAAATAACATTCAAGTTTTTGATGTAGTTTAACTATCAACTTATATTGCCAAGACTCTAAAATGTTTTGCTTACATATTCATGTGAGAGATTAAAAAGTATCAGAAATTTTCCTGTTTTAATATTTTAACTAATATTATAAAAGCCAAAAATGGTTGATTTTTATTTAATCTTGTTGTAGTCATATATTAGGGCTGCCACCACACATTAGGGTAAACTGGGTGGCTTGAAAGAAAAGAAATTTTTTCCTTCACTGATTGTTAAGCCAGAGTCCTAAATCAAGGTATCAGCAGCACAAAGTGCCTTATGAGAGCTCTGGGAGATAATCAGCTCCTCACCTCCTCCAGCATGGTGGTTCCAGTTATTCCTTTTGTTCCTGCCTAATTCCAATCTGCTCTGTCTACACATGGCTTTCTCCTCTGTGTGTCTTCTGTTTCTCAGAAGGACCCTTGTTGTTGGGTTTAAGTCCTGCCCTAAATCCAGGATAATCTCATCTCAAGATCCTTAACTTAATTACATCCACAAAGCCCTTCTTCCAAGTCACATCACAATACACAGTTCCTGGGGGTTTAGCACTTGCACGTATCTTTTGAGGGGCCCATTATTCAACCCACTACCCCTCTATTCAAAAGAAAGACTGCTTTGTTAATGGTGAGTTGATCTTATATTTATTAATAAAAGCAGAATGACTTTAGATATCCAAATTCAACCTCTTTTCCTTTCCTGAAAATTTTAAGAAACGCTAAAGTTTATTTGGCTCTCCAAAAAACAGTGCTGAATCTTCTTTCTGATTGTACTTAAACCTGAACTCAGACATATGCCTTTTGAATAGGGAATATCATTACTGCTACCAGAGATTATTGCCTGTATAAATAAAGGCTATGTACTTACTGGCTAGGAAGTGTAATGCATCTGCCCTGAGAGACTTCCTCATAGATAATTCTACTGAGGATTTTGTAGAGTATAAACATCAGGCTAATGCTAGGGTTCCAGAATCAGGCTATTAAGGTAGAAATATTGCTCAGCAATTTTCTCACTGTGTTATCTTGAATAGCTTACTTAATGAACACATCTAAGAAAGGCCCCAATTGGCACCAGATTAAAACTCAAGAGACAAAAAAGCTATGTTTCAATATCTAGATCCCTTAAATGCCCTTGTCTTCTCACTATCAATTGGCTCTGTGTGTAGAGTGTTGGGTTGGTAGGTCTCTCATCTAGAAAAATCACAAAAACATGTGTTTTCCCCACCCCACCTCCATGGCAACAATACCTTTATTTACTTGCATTTACATGACTATGTGAGAAAACAGACAGAATCAAAATGGAGTCACTTGTGTTAAAAATCCTGACAAACAGAACTGAGAAGGCTATGGGGGAGCATTCTTATGCATGGATGCCTGATAACAAGAACTACCACAGAAGACTGCAAAAACACAAACTTGCACAAAGGCCATTGCAACCTTACACACACACGTGAAAATACTGTGCAGGCATTTGCCCAACAACTCCCTGCCCAACTTTGTATTCGTGCCACCCTTGTTATCGATTCTTGCAGCCTAAGACAATTGATCTAAAACTATTATGTAAACCTCTTCATTAAAAAAAAAAAAAAAGTCTTTACTTCCCTGAATACCCACATGGTTTACTACAGCACATGTATTCCCATTGAAATTCCTATTCCCAAATAAATGTAATTTTCTTCTATGAAATAATCTCTCTGTTATTTAGGTTGACACACAAGAGGTAACTTAAGTTCTAATTTGCAGAAGTAAGTTTTGCTTTGAAGCGAATTTCTTCTTCTAGCAATGTACTTGAAACTACTGACAACTTTCTTTCCATATCCACTTTCTTTACAACTTTCTTTCCACACTTTCCAGGAATGTATTTGGAATGTAAAGGACAAGATGTACATTTTAAAGAATTTTTGTCAGTCTTTGGATCTCTTTGCATTTTTATCTTTTTATGTGTGTTTTGATCTAAAATACATTATAGGTGTTTAAAAGTATGTAATTCATTTATGAATTTGGTTAGTTATGAAAGTGAAGGATTATGTCTTTATTTTATTTTACTACACATACTTTAGCAAATAAGCATTGGGAATCTTTTCTGCTATCTTCATTTCTGCACTCTAAAATATCCTTTGACTTGGGCTATGATTTAAATTGCACGTACCTCTCCACAATTCATATGTTGGAACTTAAACCCCAAGGTGAAAATATTAACAGGTGGGGCTTTGGGGGAGTAATTAAGTCTTAAGTCATAAGAGAGTTTCCCTCATAAATGGATTAGTACTTTTTTTTTTTTTTTTTTTTTTTGAGACAGAGTTTCACTCTTTTTACCCAAGCTGAAGTGCAATGGTAAGATCTCGGCTCACTGCAGCCTCTGCCTCCCAGGTTCAAGTGATTCTCCTGCCTCAGCCTCCCAAGTAACTGGGATTACAGGTGCCTACCACCACGCCTGGATAATTTTTTGTGTTTTTAGTAGAGATGGGGCTTTGGCATGTTGGCTGGGCTGGTCTCAAACTCCTGACCTCAAGTTATCCACTTGCCTCAGCCTCCCAAAGTTCTGGGATTACAGGCATAAATCACCACTGCGCCCTGCCGATTAGTACTCTTATAAAAGAAGCTGAAGAGAGAGACTTAGTGCATTTTACCCTTCCTCTCTTTTGCCATATGAAGATAAAGATTTTGCCCTTATGACACATGATGACAGCAAAAAGAAACCATCAATGAGGAATGGACCCTCACCAGACACCCCACTTGCTGGTGCCTTGATCTTGGACTTCCCAGCACCCAGAACTGTGAGACACAATGTTCTCTTTTTATAAATTACCTAGTGTTAAGTATTGTGTTATAGTAGCACAAACGGACAGAGATAATAACATTTACACTCCATGCTCAAAAAAATTTTAGTGGATCCAACACTTCTTTAAAATCTAGAGAATAAAGATGCTTACATTCATTATTTTCAGTGTCAAGAATATTCCTACTTTGTTTCTTAAACACTATATGTTCACACACACACACATTATTTACAAAATGTATATAAATATAAAATAAATATAAATAAGCTATATGTGAATTTACATTTTGTTAAAATATGCTTTCCTTACTTTCAGTTCTTCATATTTTTAATGAAGTTCTTCATATTGCTCCCTGTAATTAAAATGATTCATTTTCTCTTATTCATATTGTTAACACTTATTAATGTTTTAAGGTCAGCTCATGTCTCAGTTCTAATAATCCATTAATTATTATAACCAACAATGAATTATGTATTAGCTTATATTAAGCTTTCGCATTTAGAAACAATTTAAATATTTTAATATTCTTATAAATATTATTTAATTCTTTAATTTTTGTGTCTTAATCTCCCAAACAAATTGAAAATGTCATGAGAAAAAGGACCACATTTTATACCGTTTTTGTTTTTCCTTTAAAACCAAGAAAAATACTTTTACAAACTTAAGACATAATTAAAGCAAATTAAACTTCTTAACTATCAAAGTTATTACTAGTTGAATTTTAAAATATGCAATTAAAAGTCTATTAATATGTTAAGGGGAATAATATGATACTCTTCAATTAAATAAACTGACTTTATAAATTTAAAATGTTACTAGTTCACCTAAGGAAAAAAGAGTGGTTCCTTGGAAGAGCTTAACCATTCAAATCAATGTCACCCATTTGCATGGCTTCAAGTGACTAAGTTTAAACTTAACTTTCTTTGTGAATTTTCAGAAACAAAAGATGAAGAAAAAAATGATGAGGCAGCTGACAGGCTAAAAGATGCTGTAAATATGGGGGAAAAAATCCAAAAAACAAAGTCAATAATACTGTTTCTAATAATAGCAGTTAAATGTTCTGAAAGAGTCCTCCCGGTAGCCTACATTTCAAAGCTATAGTTAAGTGAAGGACAAATTTGACATAAAGTAAATGAGTTGTGTTAGCAAATAGCTATTGATTAGCACAGTGCTACTCAATAAAAATTAATTTACATTAAAATATACATCATTATACTTTGATGTTGCTAGAAGGAAAGTAGTAAAGCTACTTTTTCTTTAACACTAAATCTGAATGCTCTGAAGGCTATTACAAAAATTACTGGCAAAGATTGTAATCCCGGGCTCCACGCCTGCCCTTATTTATAGTGTCAAATATGCTTGAAACTCTACTTTAAAATCTGGCTAAATATCTTGATTGGATTCTGTGTCAAACACAATTATATATATGAATAAAAACAGTTTTAAGTTTCAAGTACATATTTCAGTTTTATGTTGTCGTGTTTGCTTTTCTTGTATTTTAATTTCTATTTCAGATAATTATTAGCATAGACAATTTGTCAGAATACTTTATGGTTATATACATTTTCATGAAATCAACTTACGGGCTACATATGAATCTTTTCAATATTTTTTTCAAAGTTAATTAGCATAATAATCTCTTTATAGCTGCATTTTAATGTTTATACCTCTTCTGATCATAGGCAATTTACATTTTTTGCTTAAAGAGCTTTCAGAATCTAAGATAAAATTTTTGAAGTGGAATCTGAAATTAATATTAATGCATATTTCTGCACATTATTCATTATTAGGTGCTAATATATTGGGTAATTATTCTAATTCCCAATTGTGTGATTCAAAGTTTTTCTAGCATTGGAATGCTGTAGATAAGCTTGGATTCTGTCTCAGGACTGCTTGCATTTCTCATTTAGGTACATTTTAAGTTCAAGTATTTAGAAAATCTCTAAGTAATAAGTCTACAGACACACTCCCTGTGAAATTTTGCCCCGTTTCACTCTTTATAAACATATTTAGTGCTAAATTTACACTCTGGCATTTGTCATTTGTAAGTACGTTAGATAATTAAATATTTCAAATTAGGAGCGTATTTTAGAAATAATGAGTGAGATACGGAAGACTGTGACTATGAATTTAATTATTTGTAAACAAGATTTTATGACTATTTTCCCTTGTAGAATTACTTTTATTTTTCCTCTTGAGCCGTTAATTTTGCTTAAGCTCCTGGAAAAAGCTTTTTGGGGTTAGGTTTAACTGTCAATATTTCAGATATATGTGTATATAAAATAACACCTGAACATATTTGTGTATTTTTTTAAACGTGTTTTAAAATCAAGGAAGACAGAAACGTTAAAAATCACCACGGCAAACCTTACAAAAAAAAATTTTGGTGGATTACAGACAAAATTGTCTATGTATATATCATGTTGAACGCAAATTAAAAAATTCATTATATAAAGTCTGTTACACATATATTCTTTCTTAACTAACGTAAATTTTATTAAGTAAATATTTTCCTGCCAATTATAAGATTATATGTTATTCTTTAGTCCTTATTTTTAAGTCCTTTCTGACTAGTTAAAGATACCTACACATTTTTTGACATTTCTGCTATCAAGAGAATGGGTCTATGTCCTATACAAATTAAATCCATAATGAGATATCAATATACTAATACAAGGAAGGCAATACAACAAAAAAGGCAGATCACACTAAATATTTTCAAGGATAGAGAGCAAACAGAATGATTATGTACTGCTGGTGGAAACTCTCAGACGTTATCCTGCATTCTTTGCCTCCATCTACTAAACATAATGTACACATACAACAATTCCACATCTACTATATACCCCAAAAGTAATGCAAATTATGTTTACAAAAAAGTATATATAAGAATGTTCATTACAACATTATTTATAATAGCCCCACATTTTTACAAAGTGTGTGCAATGTACAAAAGTTCAAAACCAGCCAAATAAAGTCTATAGTTTAAGAAATCAGATTAGTTGTTACCCTTGTGGGATATGGAGACCAGAAGCAATCTCAACGGACTTCCGGATTACTGATAATGTTTCCACATTGGTATGCTGTTTACATCACTGTTTTGTGAAAATTCAGCAAATGGTACACTCATGATATATGTTACTTTTTATATTTATACTATGCATGCTTTGCTTTAATAATTTTTAAAAACTTGAATTATAGTATCTTCAGATAGTAACAAAGTATTATTTTCCTGTCTTCCAAGAACTCAGACTCAAGCCATAGATATTTATTTGTCATAAATTGTAGATAGTACTAACCCTTTTTTTTTTTTTGAGACAGTCTCGTTCTGTTACCCAGGCTAGAGTGCGATCTTGGCTCACTGCAACCTCTACCTCCCGGGTTCAAGTGATTCTTCTGTCTCTGCCTCCCGAGTAGCTGGGGTTACAGGTGCGCGGCACCATGCCCAGACAATTTTTTGTATTTTCAGTAGAGACAGGGTTTTACAATGTTGGTCAAGCTGGTCTCGAACTCCTGACTTCAGATGATCCACCCGCCTAGGCCTCCCAAAATGCTGGGATTACAGGTGTGAGCCAACATACTTGTCTAATAGTAATAACTTTTTTTTTTTTTTGAGACGGAGTCTAGCTCTGTCGCCAAGCTGGAGTGCAGTGGCATGATGTTGGCTCACTGCAACTTCTGCCTCCAGGGTACAAGCGATTCTCCTGTATTGCCCATCACCACACCCGGCTGACTTTTTTTTGTATTTTTAGTAGAGACAGGGTTTCACCACGTTGGTCAGGCTGGTCTTGATCTTTTGACCTTGTGATCTGCCTGCCTCGGCCTACCAAAGTGCTGGGATTACAGGCGTGAGCCGCCATGCCTGGCCAGTAATATCTCTTTAAGTGTAATTTATTAACCAGGTATTTAGTAGTCTTGTGTTGCAGGGGAAAAAAAAAAAGAAAAATCCACTAAAGGATCCAAAGCTAATCATTCAACAACTATTTTAAAACGATTTTCTTTTAAAAAATAATACATATTTATTTGATAATACTAATAATCATAGTAGAAGCAGAAATGATTAGTATTTACTAAGCACTGCCATATGTAGGCATTATATTATATTATTTATTTGAGCTAGCTGATTTCTCAAAAAAAAACAAAGATAGTTGGCATTAAGATTTTGTAATTATAAGAACTATATTTGCTACCAAAAACTTTTCATGTTTGTTTTCAATTTTCTACTTGTTTGTATCATTTTAATTAAGCAAATTGGTGAGTTATTTATGGTGTAAATATGTGGTATAACTTGGAGTTGCTACTCAGTTGTTTCTAGAAACAAGCGCCAGTGACTCTCAACTGCGTTAAGGTGAGTTATGTTATGTCTTCCATACACGAAGTACAAGAAGTGAATGTATTAGATGGAGTGGTTATAGTGGTAACCAGCCTCTAAGAAAGCTCTCAGTGACACCCACCCTCTAGTTTTTCATGCTCCCTTCTTGAGTATGATACATACTTTCTACTCACTGCTAACAGAAGAAGGCAGAAGGTATGGGATGTCACTTGTAAAATTAGACTGGCTTCCATTTTGGGCATACAATGGAGCCCTTAGACACTCTTTAACCTGTACTTTCTCAGAATTCTCACCCCAGGGGATGCCATATTTCATGTCAAGAAACAAAAGGCAAGGAAGAGCCAAAAATACATGAATGAATTTCAACTCAGACCATCCCTCCTCCCACACACATTCAGTTGAATCTCTAATGAAACGACAGCTCCAGGCAACAATAACCTCATGAGAGAACTATGTGAGGCACCCAGCTAAGTGTTAAACATAAACACAGCCAGACATTAGCTGAAGCATTGAAAACATTTTATTCAGTAACTACTGACAGGAGGGGAAAGCTCAGCTCGGTTCCAATTTGTGCGGAGGTGACTGGGTGTTTTAAAGGGAGAACGTGGGAGGTGGGCAAGTAGGGATCAAGTAGAGTCAGAGAAGTTGAAAGTTACAAAGGTTTGGTCAGTGTTAATGGATTAGGCCAGCTGTGTCTGCTTGCTAGCTGGCAATTATTGAAGTCAAGAATCAAATTCTCCCACAAAGGCTGGAAGACAAGAGCCCTACCCTTTCTTATGAATACATTTCAAAGGAATGGCTTTCAGGTTCTTCAGAAAGACACTTCTGAGTTATAGGAGATGCACGTAAACCTCAAAGTGGTAGATAAAGAATTTATGATTCTAAGTCCTTTTTAGTAAATGCTCTAAGAAAAGGATATCAGGGGCCTATCGTCAGGTGTTGGCTAGAACAAACAGCAAATTCTCTTGGTATCATTGAGCTTTCTCAGGCAGAGATTTAACTTGGGAGGAGGGAGACCAGGGTCATCCTAGGGACACAGCCTTATGCTGCAAGAAACCATGCTAAAGTTTGCTCATCTCTTAGAGCAGAAGTTTGGACAGACTTTTTATGTGCTGAGTTCTTCAGTTTCATAACGTACACCTGGATTTCTGGCCCTAGCTCACAGAAATTGTGAGATACTAAAAGTTGGCTGATAATGCATTATGTAGTAATAAATAACTAATGTAGGTTTCGCTTCCAGTAAGTAGCAGTAACAAACCCCTAACATATGGAAGTGGCTTTGGAACTGAACAATGAGCTTTGAAGAAATTGTTTGCAAAAAGTTGAAGTAGCTAGGACATGCTGTAGATTTTAGTCTCAAAGAACATGCTGATGAGGGCTTAATGGACAGTGACAACTACCTTATTGAAATGATAGCAAAGGGGATCCTTGTAATGCGGTGGTATAAATTTTACATGAAGTATAGTAAACTAGGAATGTGCCTAATGAATTGGGTCATCTAATATTTTAAAACAAATTATTGGCCAGGCACGGTGGCTCACACCTGTAATCCCAGCACTTTGGGAGGCCGAGGTGGGCCGATCAGAAGGTCAAGAGATCAAGACCATCCTGGCCAACATGGGGAAACCCCATCTCTGCTAAAATACAAAAATTAGCTGGGCTAGGCAGCAGATGCCTGTAATCCCAGCTACTGGGGAGGCTGAGGCAGGAGAATTGCTTGAACCCGGGAGGTGGAGGCTGCAGTGAGCTAATGCTACTGCACTCCAACCTGGGTGACAGAGTGAGACTCTGTCTCAAAAAAAAAAAAGAGAAAAATTTCTTGAAGATGTTACCTGACTTTTCACTTTGTAGAATAAAATGTGAGAAAAGACAGATAAATCAGAGGAAAAGCTACTAAATAAAAGAGAGTTAAACTTGAAAGTTTTGAAAATCTTCTTCATATACTATATTATAGCATTCATATTGTTAAAGCAAACTAAAAATAGCCTGAGAAGGACTCTATACTTCTATATTTGAATCTTTGTGGTCAAACTGTAATATAACTTAATATAAGTAGACAAGACTGAAAACCTAACTTAGGAGTATGCACCTGTAACAATAGCTGAGTCTTGGCCAATCTCAGTTGCCATACTTCAACCACTTATACAATGCTGAGTGTTCAAACTGTGTTCAAATAAGGCAAAGGCCAACCTGTAACCAATCCAGCTGTTTCAGTACCTTACTTCCAATTTCTGTATGTCCTTTCCCTTTTTTGTCTATAAATTTGTTCTGGCCACAAGGTACCACTGGAGTCTCTCTGAATCTGCTGTGATTCTGGGGACTGCCTGATTCATGAATCATTCATCGCTCAATTAAACTCATTTAAATTTAATTCAGCTGAAGTTTTTCCTTTATCAATATATTATCATATAGCCTCTTCAGAAGCTGTCTGGTAATAAAGTCAAGACATGATTTCCAAGCAAAGATAAAATCCAGAGCCCTGCAAGAAAAACATGGTCTAAAAATAAAGCCAAAACCAGAAATCTTCCTAAGATTTTAAAGGTATAAGGTATATATCATAGACCCTGTCAATTCAACATGAGGGCTTTTATGATAAGGGCATTCTATCTCAGAAGAAGGCAAAGGTAGGAAGAAAAGACCTGTAGTTGAGGTTTTTGTCTAATGGAGTATTTCCCAAGAAGGCTCACAGAAGACACACACATTGTTGGAAGAATTAGATATTCAGAAATATCACTAGCATTTACTGAGGAAGACAGAAACAGCACAGACTGAAAGAGTCCTTTGGACCTTCTGAATAACACTGGCAGAAATCAGGCAGAAAGACCTGCTCAGCAGCAAACACATGCAAAAGGAAGCATGGAGAAGGTTGGATAACTCAGACGGCATAATCATGAATTCAAAGGGTAACACAAAAGCAATGGAAAATTATTCCAGGGACTTACGTCCTATTCAAAAACTTCCAGCATTTGCCTAACTGGATACCAGGATTGACATGAGTCAGTGATTCCTTTGTGCTTTCAGCTGTTCCCATCTGTAAAGTGATTCCTTTGTGTTTCCATCTGTTTCTATTCCAAGACTGTCTGGAATAGTTATCTTCTGTCTATTCCACCCTTTCTATTGAGTGGCTTTAAAGTTACATAATATTCTTTAATTTCAAAGGGAGGGAACAAGTGAAACTTCACTCAAGAAGAAGTAGTTAAGGAACCAGGAAGTCTCATTCACATCTAGACCTAATATAGAAAATGAGATTCTCAGTTTTAAGCAGATACTATAATTAGAGCAGATTTTTTGAAAACCTTGGAAGGGTCTGAATATATTTTGGATATTGGAATGACATGACTCATGGGTGCCAAAGGACAGACTGTGATAGGTGACCTTTAAGTGGCCCTCAACTTTTTCACTTCCTAGTAGTCACAGCCTGTGTAATTACATCCCTTTTATTTTTATTTCGGTATTGAATATTAATATTTTTTCATTTTGGTAGTACATGATCCTGGACCACATTGAAAGATTTGAAAACATGAGGAAAAATATGGAAAGAAAATAAAAAAAATGAAAAGGAAAATTATCCATAAATCTGTCTCGCAAACCAATCACCCTTTAAATGTTTTATGCATTTTCTGCCATTCAACTTCCCATGTGTCATTTTTTCTTCTTAAAAATGACCATATGATATTCACAAAGTGGTCATAAATAAAGCTACAGTAGTTTCACATTTCACCAAATTGTTGCCAATTGTGTGCAATTGCATGTAATTCTGCAGACACCACAATAGTGCATAACATTTTCCTTTCTAAAGTCAAGATTTTCTTTGTTTATACATGTGATATGTGAACTCAAAGTACATTTCTGGTCTAATGTTATAATCTTAATGTAGCGAAGCTCTTGATTGGAATCAATCCATTATTATTAGATGCATAAACTTGCCTTTAATATTACTCAATAAGTAAATTATTGCTAAATTTTAAATATAAAATTCCATGGCTGATATTTTTCAAATATGTTCTGAGTGCTTTCTTTTCAGAGTAATTAGCTGGTAGGCTATAAGCTTCTATTGGTGATGCTACCATTGTTCAAACTATTTGTGGAATATTTCTCTTAAATATCTCTTTAGAAAGCACATATCAGTCTTATAAATGCCTTCAATATTTACATAGTTTTCTAAGTAAAAAATGGATTCAATTTCAAGAAACACACAAAAAGCATTTCAGGACAATTCTGGGTTAAATATTATTTTTCTAGAAAGATATTTTTAATATGCCTTGAAAACCACTCTGAACTGAATTCAAAATGAAGAGAAGGCAAAAAAGTTTTCAACCAGAAGAGCTTCATTGCAATATGGTCTATTCCTCCAAAGTTAATATTGTAAAGTTCAATATTCATTGGAGTCTATAAGCTTGGTATGCTTATAGAAATAATCTGTCACATTGTAATCACATTTAATACATTTCACTAATTGTGTCTTTATGGCTTAATGGAGTTATTTTTTCACCAAAAGTATTCAGCTTAAACAACATTAATGAGATCAAGCTTAATTTCCAACAGACTCAGTGAAATGAAAAATGAGGTTAGCTTGATTAAACGCATTGGCCAAAAGGCCAAACTAAATCCTTTTTAAGGAGAATTCAATGTCTCTGTTCTGTTCTCTTAAGACCTGGCACTCATGTAGTTTGTTTCAAAAAATAAGTTTTTAATTATTATTTCTTTGTATGCGTCTCTGCTGACATTTACCAGCCTTCACTCTGGCTTATCTCTCTGTGACTCGGTTTCCTATTTTGTACAATGGGAATAAGAATAATTACTTTGTGTTATTTTTCATAGCTTTAAATCCATCATAATGCATAGCAGAGTGCCTCACATATAGTAAGCACTTGATAAAATGTAGATATAATCAGTTTTCTATGTAATTATTTATTTAATTACATACCCCTGCCCCATCTTTTCTCTCTCTTATCTTCTTGGAAATATTGTCTTCTAATATCATTTGCAAATATTTTATCTCATGCATGTCCATCTTCATTTCTCATTGTTGGCCTATTCTTTCTTTAAATATGTTTACAAATTCAGTTTATTTACGGTCATACTTCACAGAATGAGAGCCAGTTTGTCTTTTTCAGTTGTTCTTTCATATTTAAAGCCGACTTATTGAACGAGGTGAAGTAAGCTAGCAGAAGTCATGTTTAATTTTTGTTTTACTCACGTGTCTTTTAAGTGTGTTTTGTCAAATCACCTTCTGTCAAATCACCCTGAGATTCCTCAGAATCTCAGGAATATCTCTGAGTTTTCTGCATACCCTCATTTACTAACACGCTGCAGCAGTCACAGATGTTAAAGAGGCATAGTCAAGTCTAATGTTCAAACCTCAGTTGTTCCTGACTTGGGTTTTATGAGACTGCAGTGGGGAGGGAGTGGGCATGATAGGATTATCATGTTTAGCTCATTTTCACCTTTACTTTTTCTCCTTATTTGCTTTTAATCTCCTGGTCCCAAAATGACAAAAGAAAGCACAGGGAAGGAGGAGCAAGGACCCTGTGGTTCCACTAAAGAGGTGTGAAACCTCTTCAGTGTTCTGCTTTATAAAGCTCTTTTGTGAATTTTTGAGGCTGTCTTGGAAAACTTCCACTGTATTTCTTTCTAATACAAGAGATTCATTTTCTTCTGGATGACCTTTCTCACACACTCCCCGGTAGTCTTACTGATATGATGACTCTGATTGGTAGCTGATTTACTTGGGCTGGTGTATTTTCTAGGTAATTCGAATTCAGCTAACTTCCATGGGGTCCACCTGAGTCTTGAGAAGAACTGCCAGAATCTGGAAGGCCAAGCTGCTCTCTGCATCCTCTTATCACTGGTAACCACTTCAAGTCCTTTATGTATAGAATGCTCCAGGGAGGTGGGTCTGGCACTCATCTCTTTATTCCACAATCTCCACTGGACACAGGTCATGTTTTAGAAACATTTCTCTTTAAATCAGTCCTTTACTTGATTGGAGACAGACAGGAAGGAAGTACACACCTGCACTTTCAATAAAAGGAAGAAAATAAAAGTGCTTAACATTCAACCAAGCATTCAAAGTAAATGCCCAGTATTTAATCTTCTTTTAATCAATTTTCTTACTTCCTTTTATATGCCCTCAACTTAGGTGAGGAACTTACGTTCTCCTGACTTCTTTATTTTGATATTGACCAAAATTATAAAGCTAAAGACAAATCTCACTTAATATCCTGAGACCTATTTATGCCCAGAACCGTTAAATATTTAATTCATGACTTTACTTTGAGCACTAGTTCTTACTCCCCTATTTTCAATTAGTTGGTATAGAACATTTTATTATATACCCCCGATACTGATATTAATTAACAAGTTTTTAGTTACAATTCAGTCACTAATTAGTTGAATTATCAGAAGCAAGTTAATCATATAGAGAACTGTTAAAGTTTAAGTGCCCTGAATAGGGTCTAATTTGTATACAGAGCTAAACTTGCTGAGTTCTCATTCTTGCACCATCTATAAGTCGTGTGACCTTAGAAAGAGTATTTAATCCTCTAAAGTACAGTTTCCTTTTGCGTGCATTAAGAATAATAAAGCCACACAAATTATGATAATTATCTCAGAGCATGCGTGTTAATCCTGCAGCTCTGTGTGTGGCGCATGATAAACACTCAGCATATCATTAACATTCCTAGTTTCTCTGTCTACACCCCTCACACATTATTATCTCCCTCATGTGGAATTCCCCATTGTGTGCAGTAACAAAGGAAGCGGTGCTGCCTTCAGAACCACAGGGAGCCAGTTTTTCCAGCTCCCTGCCTGAGCACAGTCATAGAGCAGACATGTATTGTACAGATGGGCAACCAGTTCCTTTTCTGGGACTTTGAAATTTGACAATGAAATGTGAAAGGGTTAGAAGAAAAGTCATTGCAAAGGCAGGGTAGACCACGGAATGGGGACTTGCCTTTGTTCCTATTGTTGAACACCAAGTCATACTTGTGGCCCCTGACCTGTAGTCACTTTGATGGCAGCAGCGGCCCATTTAAAGTGGCCGCTGCCAAGACACCAGCGGCAATGGGGAAGCACGGCCAGGGCTACGACGCTCCATGGAGCAGGCAGGACCCTCGCCCTTCCCAGGTGCCACTGCAGCCACCCTGCCACGGCTCCAGACTCGGGCTCCAGACCTGTGCTCTTGGGGGCCCGGGAAGACCCCTCTACCCCCGCAGGCTCAGAAGGGCCTAATCCCGCTGCCTGGCTTCACCCCGAGGTTGGCGCCGGCTTGGATTTCAGAAGCTCGGCTAGGGCGGCGTGCTCTATAGAGCCAGCAGTAGCCGGGGACAAGCAGGTGCCCCGACCTTTCTGAGCTGGTGGAGTGGGAGCCTCCCGGGTACAGCTGCAGCTACCCTCCCAGACGCGGACCTAGTTGTCTCTTCAGTCTGCACCGTCGAGGTCCTGGGAAGGGTCCCCCTTCGCTGCAGGCTTGGGGGTGTCTGCTTCCACTGCCTGGCCTCTCCCCACTCCCGACACCCGCTCTGATCTTGGAGCGGGGTCGAAGCTGTGCCTGGGCACTGTCACAGCCTGGCAGGGTGTGCACAAACTTGGGGCAGCGCTGACACGACAGCCCCCTGCCGCCTAGGCCACCTCCAAACTTTGGGCATGGACGACTGCAAGAGAGGAAGCCGAGGCGGGGATGAGGATGGCTTGGCACTGGCCCGCAGGTGCCCCTTGCTGCCTGCACCATTGCTTGGCACTTGCTGCAGGCGCACCTGGAGCTGCCTGCCCCATTGCAGCAGCTAGGATGCCTGACTGTGCACAGTGGCCAGACCCTACGCTCGCTCGCTAACACACGCCTTGCCGCTCTATGCCTGGCTCATCCTTGGCAGGTGTGGGATCCAGGCCAGTATCATGAGCTGAGCACAGCCTGCCAGGCTGAATGGGCAGAACGAGCCAAGTGCGCCCAAGCAAAAGAAGGGCAAAAGCGCCACCGGCCACAGAGGTTTCCGGCCAGAAAAGCGACAACCCAGAGATCCCATAACAACTTGTCCTCTGATTTTCCTTATCTTTTCAAATATCCAGAGTCGTCATTTTTTGAGGCATACAATCAGGCATCCTCAAAGATTCAATCATGATTATTGTTTTACTTATATCTGTCTTTTCTTTTAATGAGAAAAAAAGTACGAATTGGCAGAATGTTCAAAATTTAAAATGTTATGCCAATTTAAAATGTTATGCCATGTTGTTCCTATGACTGCTTCATTGCCTTTTTTCAATTTCTTTGCAGCTCTCTTTTCTCTGTCTTTCTAATAAAGATTTCCCCAGATTCTAGGCTTTGCTCCTGTTAAGTTTTTTTTCTTCTCTGCCACATATTCTTCTCTGACATTGACCTCCAGGAACAATCTGTTCTTCTAGCAGAGACATTTAAAATATCTATATTTCTAACCTGAGTTCGACAGTTACATTTCTTTCTCCAGTAATTACAGAATGCCTCTATTTGGATATTTAGCAAACAATTAAAAATAAATGTGACTCAGTTTGATTGTACCTCTTTCACTGACAAATGTTTCTTTCCAGTGTGTGCTCTATCTTGAAGAGCAATGCTGTCTTCTACCCTGTGACCCTTAGATAAATTTTTAGATATATTGTCTTCAAATTTCCACAGCCAATTACTTGCTAATCCTAGTGATACAACTTGACAAGAGTTTTTAACTTCCATTCTTCCCTTTGCAATACTGGTGCCCTAATTTGGAGCTCATTATTTTCTTCCTGAATTGCTGAATTTGATTCCTTACCATCTTCCTGCCTCCAGTGTCTACTCATTCAAAATACATGAATTATAAACTCTGCCACCAGAATAAGTCTTCTAAAATGGAAATCTAAATTTGACTATTTTTCTATTGCCCTCAAACACTTCCAGTGACTTCAGGGTAAACATATGAGATCTCACTTATGACAGAAATGTCATAAGTGCTTTGAGTAAAGTTAACAACAGGAAAAAATAATTTTTGCTGTTATATCATCACTAATACACATGCCATTTCTTGCCATCTTCACATAGTTTGAAATTTCCCTCTTTCCTTCTAATTGTCACTCCTTCTAGTCCTCCATCTCTTGTTTTCCAAGATCTTCTTAGTCCTTCCTACTGCACAGTAATTTTTCTAAAATCTAAGTTCCATGCTAAAGTAGTGAGGCAATGCATATTATGCCTTGGCCATCACAACTCATTTAATTCTGATGACACAAAGTAAGATATTTTGTATATAGATAGAGCCAGTGTTATATTTGTCATAGTTTTCAAAATCTAAAACAATCACATTATTTTCTTGCCTGCAAAGAGCTGATTCATATGGTTGGGATTAATGCCCTTCTAAAAGGGACTTGAGAGAGCCCCTTTGTCTTTTCACCATGTGAGGCCATAAAGAGAAAATGCCTTTTCTGAACAGGGGAGCGGGCTCTCAGCAGAAACAAAATCTGCCAGTGCCTTGATCTTGGACTTTCCAAACTTGAGAACTATGGGAAGAAATTCCTGTTGTTTATAAGTAATCCAGTTTATGGTATTTTATTATAGTAGCCCAAACAGACTAACAAATTGTCCCAGAAGACAATTCAACATTTATTTCAATTAACAAACTCTATGCCTCTTTAATCAAATATTCTCACCAGTGGTAAGCAGCAACATAAAAGGGAATGAAGATGAAAATTTCATAGATAGATAGATGGAATAATATTAAATTTCCTTTACTGATGTTTAATTCTCACACTTGCTTATTTTCTAATTTATTCTTTTACTATAATACATTTGTGGCAGATACTAAATGTTACCATACTATATTTCCTTCCTTTATAGATCTTCTTTAAACATTTTTCTCTAAGGCAAACATTTTCAAACCTAAAAGATCCATTTTAGAGTGTCTTTTGCATTAGATAGTCAATATGACTAAGAGATAGAAATAGAAGTACGAATGTGATACAGGACAAGCAAGCCCCCAAATTAGGGCTTAGCCCAGGAAGATTCTTGGCTTCACCCAAGAAAGAATTCAAGGGCGAGCTGGTGGTGTTAAACAGCAACTTTTATTGAAGCAGCAGTGTATGGCAGCAGCAGGGGTACTGCTCCACGCCAAGTAGGGCTATACCTCATAGACAGTGTTTTCAGAGTAGCAGCTCAGAGCCAGTTCTATAGTCATATTTATATCCACTTTCAAATATATGCAAATTAAGGAATGGTTTATGCAGAAATTTCTAGGATGAGGGTGATAACATCCAGGTCAATGGGTCATTGCTATGGGAAAGAGTGGTAACTTTCAGATGTTGCCATGCCAATGGCAAACTGACATGGCCCACTGGTATGCGTGTCTCATGGGGAGATGGCCCTTCAGCCTGCTTTAGCCAGTTGTCAACTTGGTCCATTGTCTGAACCCCACCTCTGGAGTCGAGTTCTACCTCCTACCTCACACCCTCTTCAGAGATTAGAAACTCCTCCTTAAATTTAAGAGTGCTGCAGAAGGGCGGAAGTCCATATGGTGTAACTGCTTCCTACTGAGTTTATGGGCAAAAGCCCTGCCTAGCATCGAAGGAGTAAAAATTTCTGGATACCTAATCTAAGGGTCCCAGAGGCAGTATGATTTTATTCTCCAGGTCTGCAGGTGGGATGGGTTGGGAGGCCTGTGTCAGCGTTGTCTTTACCTAGAACTGTTGTAATCTAGAAGACACGAACTTTATTACGAAGTTAAATAAGCAAGGGCTAAAGATTAGTAATAACAAGGCAGCTATTAAAGGTCCTAGGAGAGACCTTGGAAGGTACATTTAATTGTCAACCAGACAGAGTTGGGGTCAGTGCCCTAGTTATATCTATGTAACCAGCTAGCTTGCTCATAGGTCTTTGAATGTTAATCTCAACTTGTCCACAGTTGTTAATATATGTGCATAGGTTTTAGAAATAACTGCACAGTCTCCACCTTGCTTAGCTAGTAAATAATCCAACACTAGTCTGTTATCAAGAACTACATTCGCCAGAGTCTAGTGACTCTTGAATTCCCTTTAGTGCCAGATTTGTGTTGGTGGCTGAGGTTTCCAAGGTTTTAGTCAAGTTCCTTAGGGTTGACTCATGGTAGACAAAGCCACCTCAGGGCACTGCTAGTCTTATAGCTGCTCTGATTCAGGCTGGAATTGTTCCTATTGCTCACTTACTTCTCGTATTCTGGGATCTTACAGGGTTATAGACAGTGACCCCTGGAGAGGCAAGAGTTGCCAACGTATATTTACCTCTGTTCCAAGTTTTTATATAAAAGGTTAGCCATTGACATTGCCTTTGTTACACCTTGAAAAAAAGGGAGAATACAAAACAAAAATCAAAACCTATAACCCCCAACAGACCAAACAGATGTCCCCCTCCTAGACAAAGGTAATGGAGTTGGGCAAGCTCCCCCCAGCCTCCAAAACATTTCTAAGTGAAATAAAAGTCAAAAACCAAAAGCCAAAATAAGGTTACACATCAAGGAAAACCAAGAACATGAGAATTAAGCTATACTGGGAGAAAACACTGCTCCCACTGACTTTTAAGACAAAAAACACTTTAGCTTCAGGCTACAAGAGCAGTCATAAATGAGAGAAGAAAAATTCACAAGAGCTGATGACAAAATGTGAAGGAGGTTACATGAATCTGAGTAGCTTTAAAAAAATAGATTACAGGATTGAAAATAAAAATTTCTGGTAATTTAGCAAATTAATACCTTAAGAAAACTTGGTTGTGATAATATAGACCATTTTTTAAGAAGTCTGTAATAGATAATTTCCTTTGAATCTTTTCATAAATTCCCCTTTATAAATCTTATCATTATGGACATGGACCATCTACAACATGCTTGAACTTTCTGGCTTGTCCTATACTACCTCTTTCTTAAATAATCAGCCATTTTACTCTAGGACATAAATTAAAATTACTCTTTCTTTATACAATTCCTTGTTAAAAATACATTTTCTATACATAACATTCTTTACATCTCCCTTTTCTATTCACCAGTTTTTTCATATTTTGAAACTTCCTTTCAATAATTTCTATATTAGACAAAAATTATTTTTTTCCTCATAAAGAATACAATTCTTTGGTACATTTTATATAAACCTAGGAAGTAAGAATTTTGAATTGCCCACCAGACATTGGCATTCTATAGATGAGAATTATTTTGTCTTTTTATTTTTATGTATTTATTTATTTTTATTTATTTATTTATTTATTTTTGAGACAGGGTCTCACTCTTTCTGTCACCTAAGCTGGAGTGTAGTGGTGAGATCTCAGCTCACTGCAACTTTCACCTCCCAGGTTCAAGCAATTCTCCTGCCTCAGCCTCCCAAGTAGTTTGGATTACAGGCGCATGCCACCATGTCCAGCTAATTTTTGTATTTTTAGTAGAGATGGGGTTTATCATGTTGTCCAGGCTGGTCTTGTACTCCTGACCTCAGTTTTTTCGCTCGCCTTGGCCTCTGAAAGTGCTGGGATTACAGGCGTCAGCCACTGCACCAAGCCTTTCTGTTGTTTTTAAGAATTTAAACCACACAGCAAGCTCACAAAGTATCTATTCCACTTTCACTTTTGACAGGTATAACTAGACCACCTCCAAGAACCAAGATACTATGCAAAACTAGTCACCATGTAAAGCCATTTTAACCATTTGGAAGCCTATGAACATCGGTAATACCTAGGTAAACTATCTCAATGTTAAATTTCAGAACACAACATTCTCTTCAAGCTAATAAGCTTTGACTAGTTTTATTGAATTTATGCATGCTCTTTTATTTATAAGCCAACTTGATAATACGTTAGCTAGACACAATACATTTTGCAATACCTGTATATACACCTAAACAAGCACATTAAATAAAATGACCTATACAAGAAAACGGAATTCAAGTAATTAAAAAATTGGGACCCATCTACCTGGACAAATTTTATTTGTCCCAGTGGTTATGGAAAACAGGAAGAGACAGGAAAAAGATCTCATAGCGTTAAATAAGGAAAGGAAGGGGCAAACAGCATTGCTCAAGGGAAAACTCTGGAGTCACCAAGCCACTAGAGATCTCAGCCAGCAGTGGAGACACCAAAGAAACATGTTTGTCCAGCTGCTTGTCTGCCACTGTGGGAAGCTGTCTGTGGGGCAAGGGTCCAAGACTCCCAGTACACTTACTTGAGCAAGGCAGCTCTTTGGGACTAGTGCAAGAAGGTCAGCTCTAATATTGATGGGGAGCTCTATTTTTTCTCTCTCTCTCACCAGGGAGAGTTAGGACATTCCTATTGCCAATCACTCTGCTTATAGTAGGTACAGTGATTCTGGCTTAGGGGCCAGAGAGTCAGGGACATTCGCCTGGGCATTCCAGATGCTGATTTTGCTATATTTTCTTGAGATGGGTAACCCTGAGAGGGTAGGTGACTTAAATTAACTGTTTACTATTGTCCTTTTTGGCTATTTTTTTTTCCTCTCTTGCCCTATTTCTATTGTTATAAACTTTAAAGGCTACATTTAAGAGTTGGCTCACAGGTGTTTGAGGCCTTATTGCTGTTTTTGTAGCTTCTTCCTAATGTCAGGCGGAGATTGAGTAAATAAATGTATCCCCAAGGAGAGCTTGCCCTTCTGGGTAGTCTGGGTCTGCATTAGTATATTCCCTGAATGCCTCAATCAAATGATCCTGAAACAAAGAGGAATTTTCACATTTTCCCTGAATTATTTATCTAACCTGTCATAACTGACTGGCTTAATCACACAATTTTTTTCTTTACTTATTTCCCACAGCACAGGAAGCAGATGACAATATTTGTAAGTCATGACAAGTTAAATCAAAGAATATGGTAAACTTAACAAACTCCTCTATAAATTTTTCTGGATTCTCTCAAAACTGTCCAGATTTTTCCTTGTATACAGCTAAATTAGACATAGAAAATGGCATAAGTATTCAAGTGTTTCCTCACTTCCTTTAGCTACCTTCCACAATGGACACAGGTTTGACTTTAGGGACTGATATGGGGCCCACTTCTGGTGATACTGGTTGGTCTTACTTTCTTGGAAAGCAGGAGGTACAGGTTGGGGCTAGTTGATTAAGGGGTAGGTTGTTCTGATGACCTTGGGATGGAATCCTTCATTAAAGAACTGCTTGGACCCCCCTCAGAATTGGAGGAATGAGGAGACCCTGCAGAGGGTGTAGGCGTTTCAAAGGGAGCAGCTAGGAAGGCATCCCTTAGGCATGGATTTCTGGTGCCCAGAAGTAATGTGAGCCAGTAAAGGGCCATAAAAGCCTGTACGTAAGGGACCTCTTCCCATTTTCCTTCTTATTTACAAAGTAAGTCAAATAGTAACATGCCATCATATCATATAGAACCATATTTAGGACTAATCTATTGATTTTTTAATTTTTATTGAATCCAAATGGTGTTGCAATAGACAAATGAGTTTATTTTTCTTTAAACTGAATTTGAATTTGCTCCAAAAGCCTAAAGGATACACTAGTGACTAGTCCTCTGGGGTGCTTCTCATTGTCTCCATGACTAACAATTTTTATTAGGGGCAGAATTTTCCTAAGTCTAGCAAGAAGGAAAGCAACTGGGCCTTTGCTATTTTTTCCTTTTAATCTTCCACCTTCTATAACATATAGAGGGCAATGTGTTACAAAAGTGCATTGTGAGCTACAAATGAAGAGTTGGATGTTGAGCCTAAATTCCTTAGAGAGCAAGGATTGGGCAGAGAGGGGCTAAATAAATGTTGACTGTGGAAGGGTGGAAAGAAAGTGGCAAACAGCATTGCCCAAGGGGACATCTCAGAGGCTCTGACTTGCCAGCAAAGCTACCAAGTAGTGGAGACACCAAAAAAAATTCGGATGGCAACAGGTCTACAACTATAGGGGGCTGTTCCTCAGGCCAAGAGTCTGGGAACTCCTAACTCCCACTGTCTTCATCACTTCATGGTTGCTAGAAGGTGGAGGATGGGCATGCCCCCAAATTAGGGCTTCACTCAGGAAAGAATTTAAGGGTGAGCCAGTGGTGTTAAACAGCAAGTTTTACTGAAGCGGCAATGTATAGCAGCAGCAGAGGTACTGCTCCTATGGAGCAGGGCTACCCCATAGGCAGTGTGCCCAGAGAAGCAGCTCAGAGGCAGTTCTGCCGTCACATTTATACCAACTTCCAATCATATGCAAATTAATGGGAAGTTTATGCTGAACTTATTAGGATGAGGGTCATGATGGTTAATACTGAGTGTCGAGTTGATTAGATTGAAGGATGCAAACTGTTGATCCTGGGTGTGTCTGTGAGGGTGTTGCCAAAGGTGATTAACATTTGAGTCAGTGGGCTGGGAAAGGAGACCTACCCCTAATCTGGGTGAGCATCATCCAATCAGCTGCCAGCGTGGCTCAAATATAAAACAGACAGAAAAATATGAAAGGACTAGACTAGCCTAGCCTCCCAGCCTACATCTTTCTCCCGTGCTGGATGCTTCTGCCCCCAAACATCTGACTCCAAGTTCTTCAGTTTTAGGGCTTTGACTGGCTCTTCTTGATCCTCAGCTTTCCGATGGCCTATTGTGGGCCCTTGTGATTGTGTGAGTTAATATTTAATAAACTCCCCTTTATATATATATATACCTACTCCATTAGTTCTGTCCCTCTAGAGAACCCTGACTGATACAAGGGTGGTAACTTTTGGGTTGTCAAATCATTGCCATGGAAAAGGGCAGTAAGTTCCTGGTGTTGCCATGGTAATGACAAACTGACATGACATACTGGTGGGCCTGTCTTCTGAGGAGGTGCTCCTGTCCCAGACCTGTTTTAGACCTAGTTCTCAATTTGGTCCAGTGTCAGAGACCTGCCTCTGGAGTTAAGCTCTACCTCATACCTCAGATAGGTATTCTAAAAATTCTCTTATACAAATTTGCACCTCTGTGCTTTTTTTCTTTCTTTCTATTTTTTTAAACTTTTTTTTTCCAGCCTGTCAAATACGCATGATGATTGAGCTTCAGGAAACTTTTTGGATCAAGAGGTTTTTTTAGGAAATATATTTTTGAAGCTGATTTATAAATACAATAAAGCAGATAGAAGAATGCTGGATCTCTCTAGAAACCACCATATGAGCCCTGGACTGCTAACTTCAGAATATTTTTTATGTGATTGAAAAATTAATTTGTATTTTTTCAACAGTTTTCTGTTATATGTACCTGACCCCAATGCTAAATGTTATGTCTTCCCACTCCTTCCTTTACTTCTTCTCTGCCCCTGGTACATGTAAACACAGACACACACATAAAGGAAAACATTCTGGTAAACTGAAATCAATTCATATATAAAAGCCAGTTTTGTGCATCTCATCCCAAATATGCATTCAGTAACATCAGAGATGGTGGGCAATGATACCAAAGAACTTAGCAAACATAGTAAATCTTATTGTTTTTTATTTTTATAGTTTTAAACACAGACAACAGTTGTTAAACCCAGCAGAATTCTGTGCGTGTACACACACGTGCACAGACACACACACAGACACACAACACACATTCCCCAAAAGCTGCAGTAGACAATCCTGGTTTTTAGAGGTTATTTTGCCACTTGATTTTTTTCATTCTATTCTTTTCTGTCAGAAGACGATGCATCCATCTTCTGTTCACGTCACTGTAGCAATGTCTGCTTAGTAAACATCAACTTATTTTTCAAAATCCTCTATAAAAATAGTCACTTTATAAGACCTTTCCATATTGAACCACTCATATAAGAGTTAAATTCACCCTCCTTGTTCTCATCTTGAAATTTCTTTGTGCCACTACGTTGCTCATTAGAGTTTTTAGTTGCATTATTATCCTCCCACACCCCTGTCAGTAAGTTGAGATCTCCTGGAGGGCAGAAAAGTCTATCATTCTTTTTACATCACTCAATTCATTGCCTTCAGTTGAAACTGAACAAAACTTTGCGAGATTAATTGGCCTCATTATGAGTTTGGAAGCATCTGAGGATGAAGGATATTTTATTACTTTTCTTAGAGCTCTCTAATGTAGGCCAGATTTTATAGTACAGAAAGTGTATTTTTGTTATTGTTGTTATTATCATTTTATTTTATCTAAATGTTTCAAATGGTGAATTGATATTATACAGCATACATTTTTAATATAAGACTCATTAAACACATTGATCTATAAATTCACTTTCTCTGACTTATGAAGTGTTCTAGTTCATTTTTGTCTCATTTCAAATGTATGATTTAAGTTTACACATGCACTGTGTGATTATGAAATAAGAGCTGATAATATTCAGAAAATTATCCTTGTACACTGTCTGCGGATGTGTAAATTAGGAAAGCCATTATGGAAAACTGTTGGGGGTTCCACTAAAAATTAAAACTATAAATGCTATATGATCCAGCAATCTCACTCCTGAATATACACTAAAAAAACTGAATCACTGTATTGAAGAGATAGCTGCACTCACATGTTCATTGCCCCATTATTCACAATAGCCAAGGTATGGAATCAACCTGAGTGTCCATAAAAGGATGAATCAGTAAGGAAAATATGATATGTATATGTCATACTATTCAGCCATAAAAAGGAAATTCTGTCATTTATCACATGAATAAGCCTAGAAGACATTATGTTAAGTGAACTAACCCAGACACAGAAAGACAAACATTCTGCAATCTCACTCATATGGAGAATCTTAAAAAACTGAACTTAAAGAAGCAGAGAGTAGAATGGTGGCGACTAAGGGTTGGGGGGGAGGAAGGGACATTGGGGTGATGTTTGTCAATGAGACAAAATTTCAGTAAGGAGGAATAAGTCCCAAAGACTTATTGTATTGCCTGGTTACTACAGTTAATAAAATTTATTGCATATTTGACAATTGCTAAAAGAGTAGATTTTAAGTTTTACTACTGCAAAAAATACTATGTGAGATAATACATATACCAATCAGCATGTTTTAGCCATTCCACAATGTATACATATTTCAAGACATTCTGCGATATACAATAAATAATTTGTATTTATCAATTAAAAGAAAGAAAAAAAGTCTTTTCTTCATGTTACTTAATTTTATACTGTATTTCCTAAGCAATTATTAAAAAGTCTTAAAATAGGTTAAGCAAATATTTGATAACGTTGTATATTGTGTACTAATTCTGTGTTGTATGACAAGCAACATTTTTTTTTCTGACTCAAGTTATTTGTTGCCTTGGTGGTAACAAACTACATCCAAACCATAACACTGGTGTAAACAAACCTATAGCACTGCCAGTCATGCACAAGTATAGCACATATAATTATGTACAACACATGAAATGTGATGAGGATAAATGACTATAATATTGGTCTAGGTATTTACTGTACTGTATTTATTATTTTTATTTTAGAGTGTACTTTTTCTACAAAAAATTAGTTAACTGTAAACAGTCTCAGGCAGGTCTTTCAGGAGGTATTCAGCATGTTTTAGCCATTCCATAATATATACATATTTCAAAACATTCTGTTATATGCTATAAGTAATTTTTATGGTTTTTCATCTCCTTAGTAGGACAAACTAATGTTTTAATTCATTTAGTTAGAATACAGGTAAACCCATGTAAATACATAAATGCATATGTAGACAATTTACTTCAGATATTAAAACAGAGTTTTGCATCACTTCAGGAACAGGATATGATCTGAGAGAGGTATCATTAAGTGATTTCGTCATTATGCAAACCATAGAGCAACCATAGAGCTTGCAACACACCTAGGCTATATGTCATCTATTGCTCCTAGGCTAAATACCTGGATGTCATGTTACTCTACTGAATACTGTAGGCAATTATAACACAATGGTAAGTGTTTGTATATCTGAACATATATAAACATAGAAAAAGCACAGTAAAAATATGGTACAAAATATTTTTTAAATGGTACTTCTGTATAGGAGACTCAGCATAAATGGGACTTGCAGGACTGTTAGTGAGTGAGTGGTGTGAGTGAGTGAGTCAGTAAGTGAATGTGAAGGGCCAGAACATTACTGCATGCTACTCTAGACTTTATAAACAGTGTTCACTTAGGCTACACTAAATTTATTAAAATATTTATTTTTCTGTATTCAATAGAAAATTAATCTTAGCTTATGCGACATTTTTACCTTATAAATTTTTTAACTTTTTAACTCTTTTGTAATAACAGCTTAAAACACAACCATATTATAGAGCTGTACAAAATTATTATCTTTCTTTACATCCTTATGCTATAAGCTTGTTCCCATTTCTAATTTGTAAGTTCATTATTTTCACTCTTTAAACTTTTTGTAAAAAAACTAAGACTCAAACTCACACATTAGCCCAGGGCCTACACAAGATCAGGATTATTAATATTATTGTTTTCTACCTCCACATCTGGTCCACTGGAAGGTCTTCAGGGGCAATAACATGCATGGAATTTTCATATCTCCTATACTAACAATACCTTCTTCTGGAATACCTCCTGAAGGACCTGTCTGAGGCTGTTTTACAGTTAAATATTTTTTTTTTTTTGTAGAAAGACTACACTCCAAAATAAAAATAAGAAATATAGTACAGTAAACACCTATACCAATAACATAGTTATTTACCATCATCAAATATAGCATGCCTTTCATAATTGTATGTGCTGTGCTTGTGTATAACTGGCAGTGCTGTAGGTTTGTTTATACCAGTATTATGGTTTGGATGTAGTTTGTTACCACCAAAACTCATGTTAAAATTTGATCTCCAATGTGGAAGTGTTGGGAGATGGAGCCTAATGAGAAGAGTTTGGATCATGGGGATGGATGCCTCATGAATATATTAATGTCCCCCTGTGGGGGTGAATGAGTTCTCACTTTAGCAGGAATGCATTAACTTCTACAACAGTGAGTAGTTTAAAAGAGTCTGACCATCTTGGTTTTCTCTCTTGCTTCTTCTCTCCTGGTGTAATTATTTTTGCACACACTCACTCCCCTTCTGTGTTCTGGCATGTAGTGGAAGAAGCATGAGGCCCTCACCAAATGCAGCTGCCCAGTCTTGGACTTATCAGCCACCAGAATCCTGAGCCAAATAAACCTCTTTTCTTTATAAATTACTCAGCTTTAGGTATTCTCTTAGAGTAACATAAAATGAACTAAGACACCCAGAATCACCAAAAACATCTCAGGAAGGTGCTGGGCCATGAAGTTATGACAGCTACAACATCACTAGGCAATAGAAAATTTTCAGCTGTATTATAATCTATGTGATCACCATTTTATATGTGGTTCATTGCTGACTAAAATGTTATGTAGCACATGAGTATAGCAAAATAGTATATTATTTGCATCATTGTCTTACTACACTTGAAATTTTTAAATGTTATTGTACGTGGCCTTTAGGAAAATAGACTTTTAAAGATCTTTCACTTGAAATGTTTGTATGTTTACATGGGAAAAACATTTAAATAGATTTATGAAAATGAACTCAGCCCACACTCCACAATTAACTAGTTTTGTGCCTAAACTTCCCTGAGATTCAATTTTCTTCTATGAATGGTGAGAATAAGACTGTTGACATTGTTATTGAAAAGCAAATGAGATTGTGTGAACAGAATGATGTAAAAATTACGGTGTTATAAAATATACTTTTTAGTGTATGTTAAATGTTTCCTTGGTGCTGAGAATAAAGTGACAAATACAACAGACAGTGGAGATGATGGAGACTTTTTATTGTGATGAAGGTTGTATTCTTTGAGGATGACAAGATAAACTTGTTAACAGAATTGTTTACACTTGCTGTCTTTACCTCTTACCCTGTCTTCTCTCATTGGCTCCTTATTAGTTCCCTCACTCTGTTCTAACCCCTTTGGCAATTATTGCTTTTGTAACCACATTTATTGCAGCATTAGATGTTATTGGCTACTTTCTACTTCTTTCAATATTCTTTTTTTCCTTTCTACTGGGATTAGTCAGGGTTTTCCAGAGAAAGAGTACCAGTGAAAATTGTGTGTATATATTGTCAACCTAAATAACAAAAAGGAAAAAATTTCTCTTAATAAAAGGTTGTTTATTTGGAAAGATAGCATTGCAATGGGAATATGCACATTCAGGGAGATAAAGGAAGACAAAGGTTTTTGTTGTTTTTGTTGTTGTTGTTGTTTTAATGAGGAAGATAGCATAAGTGTTTTGAAATAATTGTCCTTGGCTACAAATATTAATAACAAATGGGACACCAGTCTAAAGTTAAACAGGTAGTTGCTAGTCAGATGCCTTTGCAAAAGTTTTTGTGTAAGGTTGTAATGGCCTTTGTGTAAGGTTATGATTTTTGTGGGATATTTATTATTATCATGTATATAAGTGTGAGAACTGTCTCTTCATGACCTTCTCTGGCTCTGTTTGTCAGGGTTTTCTTAGCATTAGTGACTCCACTTTTATTCTGACAAACTTCACATTTCTCCATTTGATCAAGATCTTTCTCTGGAAGCATCACTGACCAATTATTTTGCAGTTAGATTTTCATGTCCCTCAATGCTGGGATGGACCTATCCAGGATGCTGGTCTCATCCCACATTGGGGAAAGTTACCGGTGACTAAGTGTCGATGTCAAAATTCTTTTATCCACATTTGAGCAACAAGGGAGGTTTGAAGGGTGTGACTCTTAGGCTAAGTCTACCGGGAGTTCATGATTAGTTCAATTTTATCTGTTTCATCTCAATGTGCTGAGCTAGTCCTATTTTGTTAGGAGCTGTACTTCATCAAAAATTGAAGGGTGAAATAATCTAATTTAAATTAATTTAAAGGGGAAATACAAATAAAATTAATAGTAATATAACAACTCCAGTTTGCAAAATAATTTTGAGCCATAAATTTAGTCTTAAAACAAATCATTGAATAAATCAAATGACCATAGGAAATTAGGTCACTGTTGTAACCATGTGACCTGTTTTCTTATTTTGTGTATATAGATCTTAACTTTCCCAGAGGAATTTATCCAGGTACAACATGTGGTATTAGTGACAGCAAATAAATGCTCTTATTTAATAAATATATAGTACAGAATTTTTTAAGCTTAGGTTTTGTTAAGTTAGCAGCAGAAGCTATTAATTGTGATATTTCAATTATACCATTATCTTGTCAAGTGGAAAAGATAGCATTAAAAGGGGTAAAAATCTCAGTAAAACATGAAGTCTCATTCTGACATTTTGGAAAAAATCTGTCTACAGTGTAAAAACATTTATTTCTCTGGGCTTATAGTTTGAATGTCCTTAATTATGACATAGGGAAGTTTGGTAAACTTTTTATGTGGTTCGTACATCAAGCATGAGGCTTGTTTCTTAAAATTTGATGAGTTTTAACTTACGGGGCTTTGGGAATAGAGCAGCTCTTGTTTTGAGTTGTAGTTGTAGCAAAATATTGGAAGAAATTAGGAGAATTGAGGATCTAGTCCAGTCTACAGGTAGATGACCAGAACCTGAAAACAATGCACCAGGGTACACTCCAATAACAAATGGTTTATAGTTTTTCTTTTTAGAAACAACTTTTTTTCCCTTACATTAAATTTAGAAATCTCATATTTAATCTCTTCAGTCTAGGAAGTCAAACCAAGGTAGACTTTAGATTTTACTTATAGTCTTAAAGTTCTTGGGCCTGTCAGGAAGTGACAATTTGTATTCATTAATTGTAAGGCTGATAATTTTTGTAGCCAGGAATTTTATTCACATTCTTAAATATGGCATTGTATTTAAAGCCTTGGTAATATAATAAATGTTTCCAAATGTATATTGCTTATAAAGAAAGAGCATATTTTTATTAAACTTAGGTAAATAAAAAATAAGAATACTCACAAATCATTTCTGAATTTTGGAGAAATTAAGCAGGGAGGAAAAGTGTATACTTTCACCTTTGTTCACAAAAGCATACTTTTAAAAATTGTTATAAAATATAGACAGTTTATAAGAGAAAATTTTCTTAAATCTGAAAAACAAAATAAGTAACCAACAATATTTTAAATGAAAGTCTTAGAATCTATCATTATTAATTACTTAATTTCCTGTAATTTTTTTGTTTTGCTTAATCTTGATTAGAAGTTTTATGAACTCAACAATATCTTTATCAGACTTCTGGAAATTTTTATATTGTCTTTAAGTTATTAAAAATCTGTTTTTTTCATAAAAAATTATAGGTAATTGCAAATGTCTTTAGAAAAGAATTCAAAACAATAACTGCGGATGGCAAAAAATTAGCAATAGCCATGGTTAAAATCTGATGAAAGTTCTCAATTGACAAAAAAAAAGTAATTATTTCTCTCATGTGCAGAATTAAAGGATAGCAACAAGAAACATGACTGACAGTGTCATATCAGGACCATCAGACTTTTATGCATCTCATATAAACTTTAGAATATTTACACTAATAACATATACATACAAACAACTTTAGAAAAGAGTTAACATAAAAATCAAAATTATGATTGATAGTATATTAGATTTTCATAAATGTATACAGTTCCTAGAACACATATTAATAACATACCCATACTATAACTGAAAGATCTAGTATCATTTATCATTTGGCAATGCCTTCCACACAATTTACCAAAGAAGTCTAATCATTTAATATCTCTAAAAGATGAGATATCTGTTCTTTGAGGCTTCCCAGGAGCCCAACCGAAAAATCCCAAAGTTAATTTTGGGCCAAAAGACATAAGTTTTGATCCTGGAAAGCCCCAGAGATGTTAAAACATTCAAAACACTTGGTCAAAACAGGTAACTGTGAAATAATAGTCATTCTTTCAACCAGAGTGATATTCAAAATACTTCAAAAGCAATATAGGAATTTACATGAATATAAAATTTTTAGCTCTTTTAAAGGTCAGTTTTCCTAAATAATAAAAAACCTAATAAAGACAAGACAGAAAATTACCTCTATAAAATGTAAAATCTTTGTTTCTTAGGCCAGCAACCAAAAAGATGAAGGAAAACCTCATATACTGTGATCGCTTCTCCTCATGAAAAGCCTATTTAGATAATCCAGAAATCAAACCTGATAAAAATGGTATTCAAATTTGATCCAAAACAGGAAGGGTGTGTCCAGCGTTATGACTGTACACCATTATTATAGAGAAATGTAAACAAGATAGTACCTTGAGCAGGAGAATAGCCTGTGGACTTGAAATTTTGGAAAAGCAGTTTTTATGACAGCAAAACAAACAAAAAAAAGAAACAACAACAAAAACAAAAACAATTCTAACATTTTTTCTTTTTCTCTTATAGTTTCAAATGACGATAGGGTGAAATTTTTAATGCTAACCTTTTAGTTAGGTGAAGAAAAACAAAATGTCCAAGTAGTCTGGAATTAGTGACAAATCTACTTTTTGTTCACTTGTCTCCTTTGCTTAGTTAGCAAATGCAGGAAAAAAGGAATGTTACTTGTTTTTTAATTTCCTCTAGCTCTTTATTTTTTATTTTTTCTGTGTGGCAAAAAAAAAAATTCTCCTGGACAGATATATATTACACCTCTTTGCTCAAGATTTTGACTTGTTTGATCTTGGTCTGAGAGCCTAACTTATAACTTTCATAAATACTTATCTAGTTTTTCAGATTATTAATTTTTCAATGAAGTCTCCCATCAGCATACAAAATTACTAGTTAGGGAAACCTAAATTTTTATTTCTAAAAGATATTCAGTTTGTTGCTTACCATAGAGCTGTTGTAATTTGTAAAACCATTACTTTGAAAGCCCTTTAAACCTTAAAAAAAAAATCTTAACTAGAATGCCATAAACAGTGAGTTTTATCTTAATATCAGCGGGAAAGTAAGCAGATTCAAAGTAGTCAGAAAAAAACAAACAAACAAAAACCAGAGAGATAGAGAACTTAGAGGACTCTACCTGTTAATTCTATAATTGCTGGATTTTCAAGTTATTACCATTTGAGCTCTGAAGTTTCCTTGGTGTAATTTGTCCATCATTTTAAAATGCACGCAAGAATGGGCCATGGTAGGTAGCCAGCTGGAGTCCCAGAAAACCTGGCATGGCTTAATGTTTCTTATTAATCTCCTGAGAGCAAAGAATATCATATAAATCCTGTTAGGGAATGTTAGGAGTTAAAACCAGAGTTTTAGATGGTGGCAACCACCCTGGTTTTTAATTAGCTTCTTGAGCCCACCATCCAGAATGTTTATTTTTGCTCTTAGAATATTTTCAGAAACAAGGAAAAAAAAAAGTCAAACTAAATTAAAAAAAAATCAAGATGAGTGTTCACAAAAATTTTAACCTAGTCATGTAGATCTAACAAAATATTGAATTACGTGCACAAAACAGAAGTTATGCCTCACAAATAAAATGTAAATTCTGTGGAAACTAAGATTACTCAATTCAGAAAGACACTTTTCTTTATACCACAAATAACTTACCAGGAAACACGAAAAAATAGTCTTTCATAGTCCAAGTGGGATGCAAGTTTATTAAGCCAGCCTTATTCAACCAGATCTGAAATGAAGTTGAGGATCTCTACAACAAGGACATAAACTCAACCCAAGAGAAGACCCATTCAGACAGAAAAATGTGAGCCATAAAGCAGAGAACTCAAAGGGGTCAAACGAGTAATGCATGCCTGTAGCAAGATCCCTAATTCTTTCTGATAGTGATGTCTTTCAGATTTCATTTCTGGCACCATATGTATCAACTTAAATAACAAACAGAGAGAGGCTCCATAAAACAACAACCAAAAAAAAAAAAAAACGTGCTTTTTTGGGGTTAGAGCATTGCAATGATAATACATGTGTGACCGTAAACTATGTACACATTCAGGGAGGTAAAGGAAGACAAATGTTTTTAAAGATTGCATGACTGCTTTGAAATAAGTATCCTTGACAACAAAGATCAATAACAAGAGTGATGCCAGTCTGAAGTTAGACAGGTAGTTGCTGGGTAGATTTCCTTTCATGTAAGTTAGTGATGGTTTTTGTGCAAGGTGGTGGTTTTAGTAGAATATTTTTCCTAATCAGGAAAACAAATGTGAGAACCCTTTGCTTTTGGCATTTCCTGGCTCTATTTATTAGAGTTTTCTTAACAATAATGATTCTTTTTTTTTTTTTTAGACAGAATTTCACTCTTGTCGCCCAGGCTGGAGTGCAATGGAGCAATTTCAGCTCACAGCAACCTCTGCCTCCCGGGTTCAAACAATTATCCTGCCTCAGCCTCTGGAGTAGCTGGAATTACAGGTTCCCACCACCATGCATGGTTATTTTTTTTTATTTTTATTTTTTTAGTAGAGATGGGGTTTCACTACATTGGCTTGTCTCAAACTTCTGACCTCATGATCTGCCCGCCTTGGCCTCCCAAAGTGCTGGGATTACATGCGTGAGCCACTGTGCCCAGCCTGATTCTGACAATTTTTAATGTCATATACATATATATGAGAGAGAGAGAGACTGTGATTATTAGAAAAGAATTGGCTCATATAATTTTGGAGACTAACAAATTCCGTGATGTGCAGCTAGCAAGTTGGAGACCCAGGAGATCCAATAGTGTAGTTCTAGGCTGGAGACTGGGGAGCTCAGGATTCAGAAAGAACCATTGTTTTCATTTTAGTCTAAGGCAGGAAGACCAATGTTCCAGCTCAAAGACAGTCAGGCAAGAGAAATCTTCTCTTATTCATGGCAGGGTCAGCCTTTTGTTTTATTCATCTTTCAAATGATTGGAGAAGAGCCACTCACATTTGTGCGAGGAATCTGCTTTATGTACTCTACCAATGCGAAGGTTAATCTCATCCAAAGACACTCAAACAGACACATCCAGAATAATGTGTGAGCACCTGTGGCTCAGTCAAGTTAAAATTAACTATCACAATATCATATGATACTGTGTTTCTGGCCAATTCTTTTTGATTGACTACTCTTCCTAAATCTTATTTATGAGTTTTATTTTTCAGGATTTTATGCTAAACCTTTTTGGGTGATCTCAGGCATGTAAGTTGTAATAAAAAAAGATTCAAATAGTTAAATGAGAAAAAAATTAATCACAGTTTTCACTCAGCACAAGTGTTTATGAATTATTGATAGAATAAAAACTCCAGGCACAAATGAACCACCCTTTTATCGAGAGGTTGGAGAACATAGATACAGACCCCCAAAATTGCCTCCCATCTTCTATATTTGGGCATGCTTGGTTTCAGATTTAAAAGATGAGGGACCCTCTAGGCAATGTATGAAGAGGTAGTGACTGTACTAAGGAACCATTTCAGCAACCATATTTCTATAAATTCAAAAATGACTTTTTTCTTTAACAATAGATAACCTAGGTAGACAAGAAATATACTGCTAAAAACGTTTTATAATTAAGGACTCCATTATCTCTCTGATGCTAAATAAGACTAGTATCTTTTCTAGGAATCCTGACATTTAGCATGCTCAGAAGAAAATTAGATGGAGGTTATTCCTCTTTCCAGAAGGACTGACAGATCTTAAAAAATTAGTTAAAAGCCTGTATTTGGCCTTAAAATATAATTATCTTGGATTGCCTTGGTGGGCACAAGGTAATCCACATGATCCTCTAAAAGTAGAAGAGGAAGACAGAAAGGTCAGAGAGATGTGTCAGGAGAGGTGGCTGAAGATACTTGAAGAAAAAGAGAGACTCAACTTTTTTTGTAGTAAGACTGCCATATGGAAAGCATGAGAAAAAACTGCAAGAAGGCTCAGGAGCAAAGACTAACTCCTTGATGAAAGCAACTGAGAAAATGGGGATATTTGTTTTATAATCACAAGAACATGAATTGGGTTAACAACCTAAATTATGTTGGAAGCAGGCTCTTCCCAGCACCTCCTGGTAACAGCCCAGCTGCCTAACAGGTTGGTTAAGGTTTTGTGAAATGTAGAAGAAAATAGCTATTCAAGACAATCAGGACTTTTGACCTATAGAACTGTGACATAATAAATTTGTGTTGTTTTAAGTTATAGTAATTTGATAAGTGATGTGGTTTGGCTTTGTGTCCTCACCCAAATCTTCTTGAATTATAATCCCCACTTGTCAAGGGTGGGGCCTGGTGGGAGGTGATTGAATCATCGGGCAGTTTCCCCCACGCTGTTCTTGTGATAGTGAGGGAGTTCTCACAAGATCTGATGGTTTAAAAGTGGTAGTTAAAGTGCTAGTTTCCCCTGAGTGCGTGCTCTCTCTCTCTCCCTCTGTCTCTCTCTCTACGTCTCTCTCTCCCTCTCTCCTGCTGCCTTGTGAAGAAGGTATTAGATTCTCCTTTGCATTTGGCCATGATTGTAAGTTTCCTGGGGCAGTGTGGAACTGTAAGTCAATTAAACATTTCCTTTATAAATCACTCAGTCTCAGGAAGTATTATTATAGCAGTGTGAGAATGAACTAATACAGAGAATGCTACTGGCAGAGTGGAGTACTGCTATAAAGATAACCTGAAAATGTGGAAGCAACTTTGGAACTGGGTAACAGGCAGAGGTTGGAACAGTTTGGAGGGCTCAGAAGAAGACAGGAAGATGTGGAAAAATGTGAACTTCCCAGTGACTTGTTAAATGGTTTTGACCAAAATGCTGATAGTGATATGGACAATAAAGTCCAGGCTGAGGTGGTCTTAGATGGAGTTGAGGAACTTATTGAGAACTGAAGCAAGGTCACCCTTGCTATGCTTTAGGAAAGAGACTGGCAGTATTTTGCCCTTGCCCTAAAGATCTGTGGAACTTCGAACTTGAGAGATGATATAGGGTATCTGGCAGAAGAAATTTCTAAGCAGCAAAGTGTTCAAAATGTGACCTGGTTTATTCTGAAAGCATTTAGTCATGTATATTCACAAATAGATGGTTGAAAATTGGAACTTATGTTTAAAAAGGAAGCAGAACATAAAGGTTCAGAAAATTTGCAGCCTGACCATGTGGTAGAAATGAAAATCCCATTTTCTGGGGAGGAATTCAAGCCGGCTGCAGGAATTTGCATAAGTAATGAGGAGCCAAGACAATGGGGAAAATGTCTCCAGGTCATGTCAGAGATCTTCACAGCACCCCCTCCCATCACAGGCTCCAAGGCCTAGGAAAGAAAAATGCTTTCCTGGGCGAAGCCAAAGGTCCCACAGCTCTGTGCAGCTTCAGGACTTGGTGCCCTGCATTCTAGCCACTCCATCTCCAGCCACGGTTAAAAGGGACCAATGTATAGCTTGGGCCATTGCTCCAGAGGGTGCAAGCCTCAAACCTTAGTAGCTTCCATGTGGTGTTGGGCCTACGAGTATGCAGAAGACAGTAGCTGAGCTTTGGGAGCCTGTGCCTAGATTTCAGAGGATGCATTGGAATACCTGAATGTACAGGCAGAAGTCTGCTAAAGGGGTGGAGCCCTCGTGGAGAACTTCAACTAGGACAATGCAGAGGGAAAATGTGGGGTGGTAGCCCCCAAACACAGTCTCTACTTAGGCACAGCCTAGTGGATCTGTGAAAAGTGTGCCATCATCCTCCAGACCCCAGAATGGTAGATCTACCAACAGCTTATACCGTGTGCTTGGAAGAGCTGCAGGCACTTGACACAAGCCTGTGAAAGCAGCCATGGGGGAGCTACTGAGCAAAGCCACAGGGACAGAGCTGCCCAAGGCCTTGGGAGTCTATCCCTTGCATCAGCATGTTCTGGATGTGAGACATGGAGTTAAAGAAGATTATTTTGGAGCTTTAAGATTTAATGAGTGACCTGTTAAACTTTGAACTTTCATGAGGCCTGTGGCCCCTTTGTTTTGGACAGTTCCTCCCATTTGGAATGGAAACATTTGCCCAATGGCTGTTCACCCATTGGATCTTGGAAGTAACTAACTTGCTTTTTATTTTACAGGTTCATAAGTGGAAGGGACTTGCTTTGTTTCAGATGAGACTTTAGTCTTGGACTTTTGAGTTAATGCTGGAAGGAGTTAAGACTTTGGGGTACTGTTGAGAAAGCATGATTGGTTTTGAAATGTGAAAAAGACATGGGATTTGGGAGGGTCCAGGGGCAGAATAATATGGTTTGGCTCTGTGTTCCCTCCCAAATCTCATCTCAAATTGTAATTTCTACCTGTTCAGGGGATACCTAGTGGGAGATGGAGGCAGTTTCCCATATGCTGTTCTTGTGACATGAGGGCTTCCTCATGAGATCTAATGGTTTAAAAGTGGCAGTTTCCCTTGTGCTCTCTCTCTGTCTCCTGGTGAAGTAGGTACTTTCTCCCCCTTTTCTTCCACCATGATTGTAACTTTTCTGAGGTTGTGCAGAAGTACAAGTCAATTAAACCTCTTTCCTTCATAAATTGCTCAGTCTCAGGTAGTACCTTTATAGTAGTGTGAGAGCAGACTAACATAGTAAAGCAGCAATAGAAAACGAATGCAATGTCCAAAAACAAAACTTATTTTCTTCCTGCTCCCTTCACTCTTTCTCCAATTTTCTCTTCCTTTTGCTTTTCCAGTCTCATTCACCCAGTTTTTGGAGACAGAAATAAGCTATTTTCATTTGGTTCATTAGCTTCTTTAATCAACTATGAAATCTCATCTGTATCAAACCTGAAATATTTTTTGAAGTCACTGACTTTTTTTTATTTGCTATGCTATTCCATCCACCAACTTCCCTTTTTGAAATATCAAAAACGTATTCTATCTTTCTTTATTGTTTCAAGATTTGCTGTGTGGAAAGATATTCTCTGCTTTGTAGTCAGAGTAAGAGTTCTAAAATGTAATCATAGATTTCCTTTACTTAAAGACCTATAATATTGTTATGTTGATTGAGGGATAAAAATAAATTTTTAACATAACTTCATTAACAGTTTTGTAAAAAATATCAAATAAAAGCTTCTAAAACTGACCTAACCCCCATATTCAAAAGAGAAAATCAAAATCAAAACCACAGTAAAGAGACGGAGGTGGAGTAAGGGTTTAGAAGCACCAGCAAAAATTTTAAAAAATGTAATGTGTTTGTGTCCAGCATATCCACATTCATTTTATCTGTTGTACCACCACCTAAACAAAAAGCAACTAAACAAAACAAAATAAAATAACTGTTTATGACAGGAAACATGCTTCTGAAAGATGACCAAACCCTTTTTTCTTGAAAGTCATCAAGTTGGGAATGGCATCACACCAATGAACATGCCTCTAGAGGTCAATCAATCACTTATAGTCTCACCCTACTAACCACACATTTACAATTAACATCAACTTGCTTCCATATCTAAAAGGCCACTAATCATTGAAGTCCATACTTTCCAAGAAAATCTATGTAAGACAGCAGTTTGCTCTGCTCAGAAAGATTGTGCTTTTACAATGTCATTTTCCAGGATCTCAGTAAGCAATGAATTCAGGGGTGTGCATGGCTAATTTTAGACACCAACCGGCAGTGTTGTTGTTAGTGTTGTTGTTTGATGGAATATAATGATCTGGGCATCAATGATTTGGCTGATAGGAGCAAGATTGAAAGATAAAGGATGAGCCTAAAAAAGAGTGATATGGATGGATATGTGGAGAGAACACAAAATGTGAGAATTTTTGTGTCTTGTGTAATGCTTATCCAGAGCTATCCACACCAAAAAGTTTTCAACAACTAAAAAGAACAGTAATCCTATGACCACAAACATTTTGCCATAATAACCGAGATAAAGGAAGTGCAGGCGCCCACCAACATGGATTCTCATAAAGACTAATTTGCCTACTGCCATTGTGAGTATTCTAACCAGCCATCAGTAGAAACCAACACTATGTCTTCAATATACTACCATTTCTAAAGGTAGACAGTAAATTTTATCAGACCTCTTCCCTTCTGAAAGAAACAGCAACTTGACACCAATTTTGAATGAGTTTGCTTTCTGTGCCTGTACTGACATTTTAAACATCACTACATATGTTTTGAAGAATTCCCTATATCTGTGATATGTGCACAACATTGTGTGTAAGTTATTAACCCTTTCAGTATCAAAGGAAGTGCTTCAATGGTTGCATGGTCAAATAATCACCTATCTTACTACATATGCTGTCAGTAGAAATCTCCAATCTGTGAGCTCAAACAGCATTTAAAGAGCTCATCTAAGACAGAACATCACCACAGGTCTTTGCAGGGGTTCTAGCTCTCCTCCAGGATGCTGAGCCAACAGGCAGTATATGGTGTTTTCACTCTTGTAGCTATTAAAGCAGACAAGAATGGAGAACACTTTTAACAATCAAGTGGAAATATTTGGGTTTATTATCAATGCAACTGGTAGTCTGCAAGATTTGAGGTCCTGTTAGATTGCGTGTTTTCTGCCAAGGAGCACTGTAAGGTTTCTGCTGAATTTGAGTCTAAAGCTACCACTTGATCTCTTTTTTTTTTGTTTGTTTTTTTGAGATGGAGTCTTGTTCTATCGCCCTGACTGGAGTGCAGTGGTGTGATCTCGGCTCACTGCAACACCCACCTCCCTGGTTCAAGCAATTCTCCTGCCTCAGCCTCCTGAGTACCTGGGATGACAGGGGCATGACACCATGTCAGGCTAATTTTTTTGTATTTTTAGTAGAGATGGGGTTTTACCATGTTGGCCAGACTAGTCTCGTACTCCTGACCTCAGGCAATCCACCTGCCTCGGCCTTCCAAAGTGCTGGGATTACAGGAACGAGCCACCGCACTTGGCCCACTTGATCACTTTTAGTTTTCTCCGTATGAAGAATGACCAGTGTTGGAGGGGAAGGATTGAGGGAAAGGAATATACTTCACTGGCAGATTCCAATAATCATAAGGACCTATAACTACTTTCACAGAGTAGAAGGAATCTCAACCCATAAAATTAATTGCGGCATTTCTTGAAGCTTTCATGCTCATAAAAGTAACAGAGAATGTGAAATTACAGAAACTTCATCCTCAAAAGAGAAAGTGACTCTTGTCTCATATCTCTCTGTTATTAAGTTCAAGGTTATACCAAAAGGTAAGATATTCAGCCAGACACAGTGTTGTCTGGCTATGAGGGAAATATAGAATTAGCGACAAAGGAGAGAGGTAGATATTAATTACATATTCAACATAAACTACAGAAGTAAATATTTAATCCACTAACTTTCTTACATTGAATCTTTGAAGAGATTAGAGGTCTAGTTTTAAAGTGCCACAGATATAGATAAGATTTAGGCCAGGCACAATGGCTCACACCTGAAATCCTAGCACTTTGGGAGGCTGAGGCAGGCAGATATAGATAAGACTTAGGCCAGGTGCAGTGGCTCACACCTGAAATCTCAGCACTTTGGGAGGCTGAGGCAGGTGGATCACCTGAGGTCAGGAGTTCGAGACCAGTCTGGTCAACATGGTGAAACGTCATCTCTACTAAAAATGCAAAAACTAGCCAGGCTACTGTAATCCCAGCTACTCAGGAGGCTGAAGCAGGAGGATTGCTTGAACCCAGAAAGTGAAGGCTGTAGTGAGCTGAGATCACACCACTGCACTCCAGCCTGGGTGACAGAGTAAGACCCTCTCTCAAACAAAATAAAATAAAATAAAATAAAATAAAATAAAATAAAATAAAATAAAATAAAATAAAATAAAATAAAATAAAATAAAAAGATTTAATGGAGGAATAGAACAGGTCTGAATGGTGCAGGTATGGATTGTGTCTGACAGCTCTTGTGCTCCACTATGATTCTCAGTCTCATCTACATGTGTTTTTCATTCATATGGCAACGTCCAACTTTGCATAGGTCAAAATCAGCTTCAAGCTAGCGCGAAATGACTGTTCCCTTTATCAGGACTATGCAATCCAGGAGTGCAAGGCAGTTAATCATTCACGAGGAGAACTTCTTACCAACTAGGAATGAAAGCCTATGAATAAGTGCCTCCAATTTTTTTCCCCAGATGGTTGGTCGTGGGAACATTAAATATATCTTCTCAAGTGGTATCATGAGATAAAAGAGGCAACCAGCCATAAATGTGGCTGACTCAAACTGCATTTTTGCATTGTTTTTCTCTTTTTCTTTGATAAGATTTTCCTAATTCCTAATAATTTTGGGACACGTTTTCCAGTAAAGTGGATTCAGAACATTATTTGAGGATATGATTTCTGGAGAATCCAGTGTGCTGTGTGGTGCGTGTGTGTATGTGTACACTTATACAATTTGAAAATTTTTGGGGTGAAATTTTAGATTCTCCTTACTCTGTAAAAGTAATTTAAGACCATTATAATAACTGAACTCTGCTAGTAGAGGGTAGAGTATTTCCTTCTCGCTCCCACCCCCACCCTCATTATTTGGAAAACAAAATACTTAATAAAATTAAGTAAAATCAAACAGAGTATCTAGAGTCATTCAGAGTGAATGGTGTAGAATGGGTCAAGGGTGAGAGATAAATATAAGTAGAAACAGATTCTTGACTGCTTTTAAAGCTAAAGTGAAGATTTTCCAAAGTGACTAGAGAGTCATTGATAATTTCTGAGATTGGAAGTCACATTTTGAAAGCTGTGATTTAGAGAAATTAAACACTCATTTAAGAAGGAATGATGCATAAAATGATTTGTGTATGGTTGCCAGAAGAGAGGCTATTTCAGTAATCCAGGTGTAAGATGATGAGCTACAGAGCCAAGGTGGTGGGTGTTAGCAAGTAAATAAAATGACACATTTAAAGACATTTGGAGGGAGGGATTGACAAGATTTGATTGCCTATTAGATAAATAACTGACGAAAGAAGAAAATGTATTAAAAATAACTCTAAGAATATCAAGCTGTGCACAAATAATTTTCTTCCTGAAACTCTTATTTTTCATAAAGCAAATGATCATATATAAAGAAGTGGCTGTAATGTACTAAAAAGTGCAGATTTAGGAATCAATAAACTTATTCAACAGATATTAATTGGGAGTGTATTTTAGGCTAGGCACTAAATATTAGGCTAAGGCTAGCGTGTGGTGAATAACAGTGTATAAAACAAGCAAAATATAACTGTCCCTATTGTCATTTATTCTATAATATTAGAGGAAGGGAGGAAAGACCAATCAGAATAACATTATTTTCAAAAATATTACAAATGCTATGGAAAAGCAGAGCTTGGTGAGGAGGCTCAGAAGTGCTGGGAGGTAGTAAAAATTTTAATAGGGTAAATAGTAGGAGCCTCATTGGCAAGATAACATTGGAACGCAGACTAAAAGTGAGCCAGTTGGCTACGTGAGGATGTGCTCTCAAAGCAGAATGAACAACTGATGAAAAAATCCTGAGGCAAAAGTTTCAGAAAGAAAACAGAAGCCATCTTAAAGAGGTTCCCACAAACAAAATTTGGTCAATTTATAAATCTAATAAGGTTTTTTGACATGACCCTTTTAGTTTTTGAGCACATTCTTAGTTTCTGACACACAGAAAACATATTGGAGGGTTAGTTTGTATTTTATTATTCTCTACACCTGAAATTACATATTTCTCAAAGAAGCCTTGCAAACAATTTACAAAAGCATGACTGATGTCTAGTCATGCTCATTATTACGGTGGTGTCATTACTTCTAGGTCTTGTCAGCAGCCTGTGCCATCTCTACATCCATGATTCCATCTAGGAGTTTTAGGACACTTTTGATTCCAGCCCTCCCACTGCCAGAAGGGAATATGCCTTTTCATCTTGCCATGTTTGTATCTATAGCTCCCTTTTCCCATACAGAGTATCCAATTTCTCAACTATAACCAGATTTGTTAAAAAATTTCCTCTTACATTATGTACAACATTGTATTGGAGTTGAATCACCAATACCACTACCAATAACCAACATCCTAAGTTCAAGGTTTTTATTGTTATCCTTAGACTATATCTCACAGAGAGAGTATAATCCAAGTATTGTAGTCAAAGACACTTGAAATGACTCTGTATGTGTGTGCGTGTGCATGTTCTATATGTTATCAATTTCATATACTTATTGTTTTGTTGATAGTTCATTTTAATTTCCCCTTCTCTTAATATAATTGAGATTTAATTATATTGTTTGAATTTGGGAATCATATGGTTCAAAAATTAAAGACTCAATCTTTTTCTATCTCTACTATACCATTGCTTTGCTTATTGGTTACAAATTTAATTCGTTTTGTTTTTATGGTTTATGGTTTTGTTTCTCCAATAAAAGATTGCACATACATAATAATATGTCACATTTTTTGTTTTCTTACAAATAGCAGTACAATATATACATACTTTATTTTACACATTGCTTCTTTAAAAAGAGATTTTGTCCTGGAAATCACTTCATATCAGCTCATAAAAGTCTTTTCATCCTGTTTTACAGTTTCATAGTATTCATTGCTCCCTATATTGTAGTTTTCAACCGGTCTTCTGAGGTAAATTTTTAGACTGTTTCTAGTATTTCACAGTTTAAAATAATGCCACAATAAATATCTTTGCATGTGTTTGTATGTTGGAAGTATAATTTAAAGTAATTTTTAAAAGTAGAAATCCTGGCCAGGCGTGGTGGCTCACACCTGTAATCCCAGTACTTTGGGAGACCGAGGCAGGCGGATCACCTGAGGTCAGGGCTCAACACCAGCCTGGCCAACATGGTGAAACCCCATCTCTACTAAAAATACAAAAATTAGCCGGGCATGGTGGCTTGTGCCTGTAATCCCAGCTACTCAAGAGGCTGAGGCAGGAGAATCACTTGAAATCAGGAAGCAGAGGTTGCAGTGAGCCAAGATCGCACCACTGCACTCCAGGCTGGGCGACAAGATCGAGACTCCATCTCAAAAAAAAAGAATTGCTAGGTTATAAGTATAATTGCAAGTTTAGTTTTTTAGATGTCATATTCTGTACATAGGAGTTATACAAATTTTGCAGCCCCTCTAGCTATGTATAAGGGTGACTCAGCCTATAGCTTGCCAATAAAGTGCATTTTCAGGGTTTTGAATTTTTGTCATTGAAAGATGAGAAATAGCATCAGAGTATAGTTTTAATTTTCACTTCTCTGGTGTTGAGCGCTTTTTATAATTTTCAAAAGCCACTTCAAAATGTATGGGGGTGTGTGTTGATGTACTATTCATTTTATGTGTGTGAGTTTATGACTTCGGCACATTTTTTGATCAGTTGTTTAGTCATTTTTTACTCAATATTTAAGGAATTACTTATATAATAAGAAAATTGGCCCTTTTTATTATATTTATTACAACTTTGTTCTCCACTTTAACATTTCATGTTTCTAATTTTTTAATGCAATTATTTTATAAAGTTGAATATATTAATATTTTATTGCATCTGAATTTTTTAGTTACAATTTAACTTTGTTCTCTCACACTCAGATTAAAAGTGAATCCACATGGAGCTTGTTTTTACTGCTTGTATAATTTAGGTTTTTTTATATTTAGGTAACATTTATTTAGTGTTTATTCAGGTATATGTGTTTTTTAGGTATTCAATTTTATCAATTTTTGTTTTGCAAAATGGCTATCCAGTTCAGCCAACACCATGTAATAAAATGTCTACCTTTTCCTCTGCTATTTGTGATGTCATTTAATTGTATATGAAAATTGCCCGTGTACTTGGGTGTATTTCTGAACATTCTGTGCTTTTCCTCTGGTCTACATGAATTGGGATAGCTTAGTGTTTACGTTTTTGCATCTGACAAATCTAGAGTCCCCTCATTGACCTACTTTTCAGCTTATTCTATTATTTCATTGCAATGGACTAAATGTCTGTGTATTTCTAAAATTCATACTCTGAAAACTTAATATCAATGTAAAGATATTTAGAGACAGTGTCTTTGGGAGATAATTATGTCATGAGAACAGAACCCTCTTGAATGGGATTTGTGTCCTTACAGAACAAGGCTAGATAACTAAATAGTCCTATTTCTGCTATGTAAGGATACAAGAAGTTGGCAGTCTAAAACCTGGAAGAAGGTCTTCACCAGAACCCAATCATGCCAGCTTCCTGATCTCAGACTTCCAACCTCCAGAGTTATCAGAAATAAATTTCTGTTGCTTATAAGGCACCCAGTCTATGGTACTTTGTTTAGCAGCTCAAACTGTCTAGGAAACATATGTGTGTGTGTGTGTGTGTGTGAATCTTACAATCAACTGGTATATAGGTGAGGTAGGGGTATGCTATGTTTATTGGAATTGCATGAAATTGACTTATGTTTTACAAAGATTGCTTTGATGGTGTGTTTATGCAGATCAATGGTGAAGATTGTGAGAAATAATGGAAGTAGCATAATATTTTGCTATTGCAAAGCATTCATTTCATTTATTACAAATTATTTGGGGCATAAATATATATGGATATATATATGGATATATATGTATCCATATTCCATTCCATTCGAATGGAATGAAAATGAAATGTCCAGATGAATTGCATATAAGCTGTTACAAAAAAAGATTGAAGCTAATTATGTCTCCAAGTATCCTGACCTGAGCAATCAGAATGAGAATGTTGCTATCCATTAAGTGACAGAAAGTTGTGGAAGAAACAGGCTTGGTAAAATTAGTGAATTTTGAGAAGTTTTTTAAAAAAATATTTAAGTGAGATTTGGAATAGGAAATAAGATGGAATTTTGGGGAGAAATTTATACTGGAGTTTCTGCACAATGAGTCTTGCTATCTTTCCTACAACTGCTGGTTTTGATTTTAAGCACTATGTCCCCTCAAATTTCTCTATTGCCTTCCATTTGTTGAAATCATCTTACTTTGGTTATGTAAAGAATGTACGAACTATTTGCCAGATTTCGTACTGTATTTGCCTAAAATAACTTCCCTTTTAGGGATTATGAATTGATTAATCCTAGCCCTAATTTTGGGGTTTAAACAAATAGTAAAATGACATATAAGAGATTAGGCAGGGTAAAGTAGCTAAAGGTATAAATATCATGATGAAGAAAGGTTATAATAAATACAAGAATATGAAAAATATACCTTAAAAATAGATAGATACTTGGTACAGTTCTCCTTACTAAGCGATTCAAACAAATATGTCAAAATATAGAAATTTTCAATTTTCTTCAGTAATAAAAAGCAGATATGAGAAAATGCAAAAAAATCAACAGTTTTACACTTGATATTGGAATAGTTTATGACTTTTCCAGTCTTATATGTTTATTTTATGACTAAATATAATTTTTGTGTTTACATCCTCAAATAGTATTTGGTATACAATATCATGTGTAAAGAGCTGGAAATGAACACTCTGCCTGTAATATTTTTAGGTGTATATCAAATACATAAAGTATAAATAAAGTATTTCTCTTAGTTTGGAACCAAACTTCCGTGTGTGTGTATGTGTGTGTGTTTGTGTGTGTGTGTGTGTGTATGTGTATATATATATGATTATGTACCTAAATACGGTTAGGAATTTAAACGTGTTATAGATTCTAAACATTATTAAAGAACAGAAAAAATAATATCCAAATGAGGTCGAATTTTAAAAGTTGGCTTCATGTGAGAGGTGACTTTCTAGTTCCATAGATTGCGAAGAGGGAGAAGAGAATTATGGCTTTGTAAATGGCTGAAGTAAAGGCCAGGAAATAGAAATAAACCTAGTGAATTATAAATATTGTTATAAGTATGTTGATAAAATATATAATAGGAATATATGGAATACAAATAGAAATGATCACACATATTAAATATGTGGATGTGAAAAACATGTTTGCTCCAAAGTACCATAAAATGTATAGTTTTTTTCTTATTTAATGTGTGTTATTAAAATTATAATCTACACGAATAAGCTGCCAGTAAAATGCATTATCATGAAGAAGTTGTGGAACATAATTAGGAAATAACTTTTGAAATATTTGGGGAAATACGGTCGTGAGTTAAAATAATAGCGCATGGTTTGTTATTTAAACCTCAACAACTACTGACAATCAAATGGAAATAAGTAAATCACCTCCAAATTATAGGGGAATGTAACAGATATTTAAAAATTATTATAGAATCAGAATTACCAAAATAATGTAAATTATTAAGTACCTTTGAATAAAAATATAGTTCTAAGTTTTTTAAAGGTTATGCTTATATAAATAGAGCAGAATTGAATTGGACTCACTGGAGAATAATAGGTAAAACCTGTACATATGATTTATATGTATGATTAACAAATTGCTATATATTTTCACTTGAAAAATAAACACAAATATTTTACTCTTATAAGATGATCTTCCGTTGTTTGATATATAATTTACAATGAAAAGTTATGTCTTAGAAATCTAAGGTGTGTGTTACTCCAGAGTTTCTGGAAAATATTCATTTAGCATGTCTTCAATAGATTAGTAGAGTGCACTGACTTTTAGGCAAACCTATTGTATTAGTATGCTTGAGCTGCCATAACAAAATATCACAGACTTCAAAATACCACAGGCTTAAACAACAGACATTTATTTTCTAACTTCTGTAGGCTGAAAGTCCAAGATTAAGATGTCAACAGCATTGGCTTTTGGTGAAACCTCTCTTTCTGGTTTGCATGTAGTCACCTTCTTGCTGTGTCCTCAAATGGACATGACCTTTTTAATATGCCCATGAAGACAGAAAAATCTCTGGTGTCTCTTCCTCTTCCTGTAAGAACACAAGTTCTGTTGACTTAGGGCCCCACTCTATGGCCCAATTTAACCTTAATTACCTTCTTAAGTTACTCATCTCCAAATACAGACACATTGTGGGTTAGAACTTCAACATATAAATATTGGGAGACCCCAAATAGCCTATAACCTATACAGTCAGATTAAAGAGTAAGTAAATAGACTTACTGAGGAAAGTTTTAAAAATATCCGAAGTGGTTTTTTTGGCACTTTCATTCCAGTCTTTCTTTCCATAAGGTGGGGATGATGGAAAACAAATAAAGTGGTGGCATAGCAAATAATTCCCAATACTAACACTTTCTGTCAGTACTAATCCAGAAAGTTTTTAAAAACATATTTTTTGTGACAGCACAGATGAACTTGGAGGAAATTAAGTTAAGTGAAATAAGCCAGACACAGAAAGACAAGTACTGTATTTCTCACTCTTATTAGAAATCAAGAACAGTTGATCTCATAGAATTAGTGAACAGAATAATGGTTACCACAGAAAGGGGAAGTTGAGGGGGACATGATGAGGAGAGAACGGTCAATGGATACAAAGCTACAATTAAAAAGGAAGAAAAAATTATTCTGTCTTATTGCACAGGAGGGTGATTATAGTCAATAATAAAATATTGCATGTCTCAAAATAGCTAGAAAACAGAAGTTTGAATGATCTCACCACAAAGAAATGATAAATGTTTGAGGTGACGGATACGCTAATTACACTGATTTGATTATTACATAATGTATGAAAACATGGCATTGCACACCACAAATATGTATCATTATTACGTCAGTCTTTAAAAAGTAACGATAATGGCAATGCATGGAGATGTATGTGGAGCTTTCACTTTAGAAAAATTAACATCTTCATGAATACCACAAAAAATATAATTTTTTATCAATGTGAATTACAATTGAGTTTTCCTGAAGAGATAATAAGTACAAGTAAATTAATCCAAAAACTTATTTCAGTGGGTTGTTTATACCACTTAAAAAATTGTATAGTATATATTGTTGATGGAAATAATTTTACTGCTAATATATGGTTTTTATAAAGTCATTTATACTTCAAAACTCATTACTTCTATGAAAATCACAAACATTGTATTATTTTTATAATTATAATCTCATTTCATTAATGATGAGAATTTTAAATTATCAGAATTTAATGATACATTTCACTTTATGCTGTCATCAAGTATGAATGATGGTAACATTTAGCCAGTTGAGCTTTACATATACTCAGAGAGTAAAATGAATGTAATGTTAAGATACAGTTAAGAATTTCCTTCCATGTCTTCCACCTTTCTCTGTAGATAAAGACAAGGTTAATTTGGGCATATGTTTTTATCATGCAAAGTTTTGTTTGCCTTTTACTAAAATTGTATGCATCCATACTAACATACAGGTGTGTTTTATGTTCAAAAATTACATTTTTGGCAAGATATAGTGTGCAATATTTTATGCCAGGATTCAATAATTTAATATTTTTTTCTATGATTTCTTTGTGCCAACATATATAGAAGTAATTCATTTATTTAACTGTTACATTATATTTTTAATGACATTCTTTCTTCATTCTGGTAACAGAGAGGTTGTTAGGCCATTTCCTTTTCTTTTACATTACATTTTTACTGTATTTTTTTTTCTAGATTTATTCTGCTAATATTTTACTTAAAATTTGGAACTGCATACATACGTAAGGTTAGCCTATGTTTTTCTTTTTCTTTTCCCAGAAAACACTTAACTGGTTTTAGCATTAAGAACTATGTATTTATGTAGTCACATAATGTAATTGTGTATAAGCCACACACATTAAGGATTTTTTTCAATTTTTAAAAATGTTATGGATTGTGTTATAGGAAATAAGAAGTTTTTTTTAAATTTTTTGTTAAAAATTTATATAAACAAGTGAGCTTGGTTTTATATTTAATTGCTTTATTTTGTTGACTTGTTGAAATTTGTGAGTTAAAGATCAATACAAATTTTCAAAGCTGCGTGTGTCAGTTTTGGTTGAGGGCTGTCTACAAGTCATGGTTGATTTTCTCTTTATCACAAAGTTGATCATAATATTTTCTAATTACTTTTATATTTTAATTATATTTTAATCCATTAGTGGTCTTGCCCTATGTTTCAGTTTTGGCTATTAATATATGACTTTTTCATTCCTTTTCTCTCTTGATTACTTTTCCTAGAAGCCTATTTTCTCTTAGCCATGTTAGAGAGTCATATTTTTATTTGATTGTTTCTATTTAATTATATTATTTGTTCATTATTCATTTTACTTTTCTTATTGTATTTTTCTTTGAGTTTATACTTCATTTCTGAACTTAGTAATTTGACTATGTTAGCAAATTTGTTTTATGCTAGATAATTTTCTAACGTATGTTGTTAGCATTATAATTTTTGCTCCAGTAAAAATTCTGGTTGAATTCAATAAGTATTACATAAAGATTTTTCCTTTTTTTAAAATTGTATATATTTTCTAATTTCATGGATTATTTGTTTATGAGACAATAAAACTTCTCTAGCAAATTCTTGTTCACTTCAAAAATATATGAGCATTGGCCTCTGGGAGAAAGTGAAGATTTCCCCAAAGAAGTTCTGTCTTCTGAAAGATGGGTTTTTAACACACATATTTGTATGGACTATAAATACACGTTAAGTCAATAAATCATGTTGTAGGCAGGTAATCCTCTGGATAATGAAGGCTTATTATTTGGTAATAGAAATATTATATCATGATGAGATACTAAACCAGAGCCAAAAGTGTTTGGGCTGCTGCTTTGTTTCAGAAGTGGTTTGGAATGATTTTACAGTAAATATCTAGTTATTAAAGAAAAAGGTTCAGAATGATTGGAAGCAATTTAGTTTTAGAATAATTTCCCCAAGGATTATAAAGGAAAACTAATCCCTAGGTACTTTGAAGTCTCTCTTATTTGAACTGTTTATAATCAATGATTATTATGTAATTCTAAAATGCTTACATTTTTGGAAAGAAGAAATATATAAGGTTTTATAGACAAATGTCATTTGAAAACAATTTTATGACTGTAACTGACTTTTTTTTTTTTTGAGACAGTCTCATTCTGTCACCCAGGCTGGAGTGCAGTGGTGCAATCTCAGCTCACTGCAACCTCTGCCTCCTGGGTTCAAACAATGCTCGTGCCTTAGCCTCCTGAGTAGTGACATTTTCATTCATGGAATTAAAACCTGGGATCACTGACTTGCTGGCAGCCCAGGAATTATGCAGTCATTGGTCAGTGTTGGCCTTGATACCTCTGAAACCTCTTTTCAGTTTTTGTTTTCCTCTTACTAACCCCCGAAATTATATTCCATCACCTCTTCATTTTCATCATGTTACTTTTTCATGATCCACTGTCATTTTTTTTCTTTTTACTTCCATATCAAATTAATTCAGAGTGGGATGAAAGGTGACGAACATTAGCTTGACTACCAAGTGATAAGGCCTCAACAGTCCAGGCAAATTCTAGCCTAATTTCACATATGTAAGTAATTAAGCTCAAGGAATCCAAAAATAATTTTAATGTATGAACTGATGTTGAATTGGGTGAGTGAATAATTTCTGTGAATATTTTCAGATAAGTGACATTTAAAGAATGAGATACTAAATGATTTTAGAAAGCTGTTTAATTTTGCCAAAAATCAAATAGTTCACATTATTTTCTAGATTGATCTTTATGTTCCACTTTCTTTGTTTATTTGAGTACAATTTTAATTTGTGATATATTTGTTAGGAAGAAAACATGTATAATAGTACAGCTTAATTGTATTAACATTTCTACATTTCTTTTATCTAATACACAAAAGATAACTTTAAACTTATACCTTAAAACGCTATGAAAAAATCAAAGTAAGCCTTGTTCTCTGAGCAATGTAGTTGGTATGGTTCTTACCTGAATACCCAGAAGATATGTCCCCATCTAGAGGGCTCAGGATCATTTTGGTAGGTGAACAAGTGTGTTAGTCCATTTGCATTGCTATAAAAAAACCTCAGGCTCCGTAATTGATAAAGAAAAGTGGTTTATTGTGGCTTACGGTGCCACAGACTGTACAAGAAGTATGGTGCTGGCATCTGCTTCTGATGGGGCCCTAAGGAAGCTCCCAATTATGGCAGAAGGCAAAGGGGAAGCAGATGGCATCACATGGCAATAGCAGGTGCGACAGAGAAAGTGCCATTCACTTTCAAACAGAGTTTGCTTGAACTCAGAGACAGAACTCACTCATAACCACACAGAGAGTGATAAGCTATTCATGAAGGATCTGTCCTCATTGTTACAGTAGGTAGCTAGTCAGGCATAAGCAGGGCAGCAGAGGGCTCCCCCAACCCCTCAAGAAATGTCACGCAACCATCAGGTGATGGTCAGGTGGTTGTTACACTGTCTCTTCATAAAATAGTATTAATTGGTTGCAGCCAGTTACAGAGAAGGGTAGTCTCCCAATAGATAAAAACACCTGAAACTGTTGATCAGCAGTTTCCCGATAAGATCTCAGGAGTTTGGGAAGTGGGTCCAGACATGTGCATTAAGAAGCAAGATGGGGCCATACACAGTGGTTCATGCCTGTAAACCTAACATTGTGGGAGACCAAGGTAGGTGGACTGCCTGAGCTTAGGAGTTCCAGACCAGCCTGGGCAACATGGTGAAATTCCATCTCTACTAAAAATGCAAAAATTAGCTGGGCATGGTGGCACACACCTGTAATTCCAGCTACTAGGGAGGCCGAGGGAGGAGAATCACTTGAGCTTGGGAGACAAAGATTTTAGCGAGCCAAGATCACACCACTGCACTCCAGCCTGTGGCACAGAGTGAGACTCTGTCTCAGAATAATACAAAAAAAAAAAAAAAAAGAGGCAAGATGGCAGGGTTTGACTGGTGTATAACCTCCTAGAGACATTCGGCTATGTATGTGTGTGTATATATATATATATATATAGAGAGAGAGAGAGAGAGAGAGAGAGAGATGAAGAGAGGGAGAGAGAAAGAGAAAGAGATGGAGAGAGCGAGATAGATAGAGGGATGGAGAGAGGTGTATGAAAAAGGTTCATCCTATTTATAGAGTCTGAGAAGTCCAGACTCCAGAGAGCTGATGATGTAGTGTCAATCTGAGTCCAAAGGCCTGAGAAGCGGGAGAGTGGTTAGTGTAGGCCTGAGTCAGCATTCAAAGGCATGAGAAGACCAATATCTCAGCTCAAAGACTCAGTCAGAGAGAGAATTCAGACCTTCAGTGAATTGTATAAGACTCTCCCCAGTAGGAAGGCAATCTGCCTTACTCAGTTTAGCTATTCAAATGTTAATATCCAGAAATATCCTCACAGACACACTCAAAAATAAACTTTAACCAAATATCGGCACATGCTGTGGCTCAGTTAAGTTGACTCATACAAGTAGCAATCTCACTGATAAATGCTGATCTTCAGTTTTTTAACCACTCAGAGAGGTCCATTCACATACCTCTTCCCCCAGTGCTGATGTTGGGAATCCTGCCACCAGTACACATATCATACAGCTGCAACCATAAGAGTTGGAAGACAGCCTTTTTTTTTTTTTTTTTTTTTGTTTGAGAGGGAGTCTCACTCTGTTTCCCAGGCTGGAGTGCAATGGGGCCATCTCAGCTCACTGCAACCTCCACCTCCCAGGTTCAAACAATTCTCCTGCCTCAGCCTCCCAAGTAGCTGGGATTACAGGCGTGCACTGCCGCGCCCACCTGATTTTTGTATTTTTAGTACAGACAGGGTTTCATCATGTTGCCCAGGCTGGTCTTGAACTCATGACCTCAGGTGATCCACCCGCCTCGGCCTCCCAAAATGCTGGGATTATAGACATGAGCCACTTGTCACTATTACACTATGTTTCCTGATCCTATAAAGGTTGTGGCCAGTGTCTCCCTTGTTATACAACTCCATAACACCCAGGTTGGAGAACATCTCCTTGAGTGTGATGTCTTGTCCATGTCTCTGTATTGCCCTGTATGCAAGCAGTTCTGAGGAACATGTGTACCTCCTACAACACTTATGTCCTTAAGGATTCCCCAACAGATACAACTCCAGCAAGCTTGGTAAGTATGCTGCTTGTCTGTTTGCTCTTGTTATATGAAGAAACGACAGGGAAAACTGGAAAAAATTAGCACTCGAGATCTTCAAAAACACTTATTGATAAATGCTTACTTAATAAAGATTTGTTTTAGGGGGATTAGAAAAATCTTTCATAATAGTAAAAACAAGTGATGATAAGATGATAGTGAACAACTTGGAATTACGAAGACAGAAAAAAATGGAAGAGATCAGCAGGTTCTGACAAGAGCTCAAAAAAGAAATATTAAAAAACAAAATAAGCAGATACTGAACGCACAAACTTTCTGAGCTCCAAGTCTGGATCCAATAAGACTCAATTAAATAATGAGAACTAAAGTATTACTGAAAGATAGTGACTGATATTATGTGCTTATGTTCATAAATCAAAGGGAACCATTAAAAGAATAGTAAAAAAAGTTTTTAAAAATGGCTGAACATATAACAAACATTTAAATATTAATAATCTTTTTCTCTGTACTAATTACAGTCAATTAGTAATGAAGAAATGAATCTCATAAAACATTACAGCAAAAAATAAATATATGTTTCTTATGAACAAACAACAGATTATGTGTAAGGTCACTATAGATAAAACTATAAAATAATTTAAGATATAAAAATAGACCTGGATAATTGGAAGGAATACCTCATCCATGATGGATAACCTCTTTACCAAATGATGCTAATTTTCCCTAATGTAAATATGTCATATACTTTCAAACAAAATTCTTATTTTTATTTCTTGGACTTTGTAAGGTGAGTCAAGCATTTGTAAAGAAGAATAAAGGGTCACGGATTTTTAAAACAATTTGACAGAAGATCAAGATTAAAACATATGCTCTATAGGATACTAAGAGATATAGGGAGGTAGTAGAGCATAATGGTTAATATTTTTATATCTCAGTCTATACTGCCAGAACTTTCCAGTCATTAGCTATATGACCAGGAACTAATAACTTAATTTCTTTTTGCCTTTGTCAGTTCATATGTAGATAGGAAAAAGTAGAAAGTAAAGGCACTAATATCTCTGAGCCATTATAAATAGTGTCTTGTTAGGTATAGTTTTAGTTTGCTGTTTCCCAACAATATTTGTTGAAAAGACTATTTTTTTCCATTGTATATCCTTGGTATTTTTGTTGAAGAACAATTGACTGTAAATGCATTGATTTATTTCTGGACTTCTTATTCTGTTCCCTTGGCCTATGTGATTGTCTTTATGCCAGCACCATACTGTTTTGATTACTGTAGCTTTCTAATATAATTTAAAATCAGAAGGGTGAACCTCCAGCTTTGATTTTCCACAAGATTAATTTGGGCTATTTGTGGTCTTATGTGATTCCATATGATTGAAAGAACTGCTTTCTCTATTTCTGTAAAAAAAAAAACACTGCTGGAATTTCGATAGGGTTGTTTTGAATATGCAGATCTCTTTGGGTAGTGTGGAAATTTTTAACAATATTAAGTCTTCCAATTTATGACCACAGAATGTCTTTCCATTTGTTTGTGGCTTTCTTAATTTATTTCATAAAGGTTGTGTAGTTTACAGTGTATGAATCTTTCATATCTTCAGTTAAGTTTATTCCTAAGTATTTTATTATTTTTGTTGCTATTGTAAAAGAGACTATTTCCTTAATTTACTTTTCATAGTTTACAGTTAATATATAGAAACTTTACTAATATCTGTCTATTGATTTTGTATTCTGCAACTTTATTGAATTTGTACATTTGTTCCAACAGTTCTTATATAGAGTCATTAGGATTTTCTACATATAAGATGATGTTATCTGCAATCTGGGACAATTTTAGTTTTTCTTCTCTGATTCTGATACATTGTTTTCTTGGCTAATTGCTCTGGCTATTCTTTCCAGTACTGTGTTGACTAGAAGTAACAAGAATGGGATTGCCTTGTTCCTAATTTTAGAAGGAAAGCTTTCAGTTTTTCACCCCTAGAGGTGAGGTTCAGAGTGTGACCCATGAGGAGGTGCAATACAGTCAAAAAGAACTGCTTGAGTGTTCGAATTTATATAAGCAGGTATCTGGAGAACAGGCACAAGAATGGATATAAAAGGTGTGGGATTATGGTGGAAGAAACATAAAGTTGGATCAGGCTGAATTTATTGATTTGGGCCCACTAAGTAGGGACTCTGCATTTAACATTGCAGCTCAGGGAGTTAAAAAAGGTTCTGATACTTTATTTTTTTGGTTAGCTGAAATATGAATTAAAAGATTGCCCACTGTGAGCAAGCTAGAAATGCCTGATCTCCCTTGGTTTAATGTAGTGGAAGGAACCCAAAGGCTTAGAGAGAATGAGATGGTGGAGTGAATTAGTCACTTTAGATCCACTAATTCCAGCTGGAGGGGTCCAGAAGATATACCCTTGATCAATGCTTTGTGAAATAGATTTAGAAGGGTAGGACTTGCATCTTTGAAGAGCCCTGTAATTGCTATTCTCTGTATGTCAGATCTAACAGTGGGAACCACAGTCACTCAACCACAAAATTTAAATACAGTGGGAATAATTGGATCCTGAGGCTTCAGGGACCAAGTTGCAGCACTCACCCATCAAAGGCAAGGTGTACATAGCTACTGTAATGAACAGCAGAGGCAAAGCAGCAATAAGAATAGTCTGACTCCTGTAGAGCTCTGGCATTGGCTAATTAATCACAGTGTTCCTAGAAGTGAAATTGAGAAGAAATCTACTGAATTCTTACCTAATTTATATAAGCATAAAACTTCCAAGTCAAATGGACAAAAGACTAATTTTAACGATAAACACAGAGGATCATAGCCCCTCAATCAATTTCCAGACTTTAGCCTCTTTACAGATCAAGAACTGCTTGAATAAAGGGCAGGCCGGGTCCTCTTGAGGAAGGACCTCCCTACACTACCAGCAGTTTATGCTGTATATCTTTCTTCCATCCTTCTCCGAGGAGACCTCTGGCCTTTTGCCAGGGTCACTGTGCACTGGGGAAAGGGAAATGATCAAATATTTCAGGGACTACTGGACACTGGCTCTGAGGTGACATTGATTTTAGGGGACACAAAACATTATTGTGGTCCTCAAGTTAAAGTACGGGCTTATGGAGGTCAGGTAATTAATACAGTTTTAGCTCAGATTACTCTTACAGTGGGTCCAGTGGGTTCCTGTACTCATCCTGTGGTCACTTCCCCAGTGCCAGAATGCATAATTGGTATAGACATACTTAACAGTTGGCAGAACACCCACGTTTGCTCCCTGACTGGTTCGGTGAGGGCTATTATTGTGGGAAAGGCCAAATAGCCATCCAAGCTGCCTTTACCTAGAAAAAAACAATATTGCATCCCTGGAAGGGTTGCAGGGATTAGTGCCACCATCAAGGACTTGAAAGTCGCAGGGATAGTGATTCCCACCACATCCCCATTCAACTCTCCTATTTGGCTTGTGCAGAAAACATATGGATTTGGAGAATGACAGTGGATTATCATAAGCTTAACCAAGTGGTGACTCCAATTGTAGCTGCTGTACCAGATGTGGTTTCATTGCTTGGCGCAAATTAACACATCTCCTGGTACCTAGTATGCATCTGTTGATTTGGCAAATGCCTTTTTCTCCATTCTTGTTCATAAGACCCACCAAAAACAATTTGCCTTCATTGTCAAGGCCAGCAATATACTTTTACTGTGTTAATCAGGGGTATATCAACTTTCCACCTTTGTGTCATAATCTAATTTAGGGAGTACTTGATTGCTTTTCACTTCCACAGGATATCACACTGGTTGATTACATTGACAACATTATGCTGGTTGGAACCAGTGAATACGAAGTGGCAAACATACTGGACTCATTGGTGAGACATTTGCATGCCAGACGATGGGAAATAAACCCAACTAAAATTCAGGGAACTTCCACCTCAGTAAAATTTCTAGCGGTCCAGTGTTGTGGGGCCTGTCGAGATATTTCTTCTGAGATGAAGGATAAGTTGCTGCCTTTGGCCCCTCCTACAACCAAGAAATGCCTTTTGGGTCTATTTTGATATTGGAGGTAACACATTCCTTATTTGTTTGTGTTACTCTGGCTTATTTGTCAAATGACCTGAAAGGCTGCCAGTTTGAGCGGGGTCCAGAACAGGAGAAGGCTCTGCAATAGTTCCAGGGTGCTGTGCAAGTTGCACTTGGGTCGTATGACCCAGCAGATCCAATGGTGCTTGAGGCGTCATTGGCATATAGGAATTCTATGTGGAGCCTCTGGCAGGCGCCCACAGGTGAATCACAGTGGAGGCCTCTAGGATTTGGGAGCAAGGCCCTACCATCTTCTGCAGATAAATACTTTCATTTCAAGAGACAGCTCATGGCCTGTTACTGGGCTTTGGTGCAAACTGAAGGTTTGACTATGGGTCATCAAGTTGCCATGTGACCTAATCTGCCTATCATGAACTGGTGCTTTCTGACCCAACCAGACATAAAATGGATCATGCACAGCAGCATTCCATCATCAAATAGAAGTGGTATTTATGTGATTAGGCTTGAGCAGGTCCTGAAGGCACAAGTAAGTTACATGAGGAAGTGTCTCAAATGCCCATGGTATCACTCTTGCCACCCTGCCTTCTCTTCCTCAGCCTGCAAAGATGGCCTCGCAGAAAGCTTCCTATGATCAGTTGACAGAGGAAGAGAAGACTAGGGACTGGTTCACAGATGGGTCTGCACAATTTGCAGGCACCACCCAAAAGTGGACAGCTGCAGCACTACAGCCCTGTTCTAGGACATCCATGAAGGACAGTGGTGAAGGTAAATCTTCCAAGTGGGCAGAAGTTTGAGCAGTGCATTTGCTTGTGCACTTTGCATGGAAGGAGAAATGGCCAGATGTGAGATTATATACTGATTCATGAGCTGTAGCCAATGGTTTGGCTGGATGATAAGGGACTTGGAAGAAGCATGATTGGAAAATTGATGACAAAGAAATTTGGGGAAGAGTATGTGAATGGACCTCTCTGAGTGGTAAAAAACTGTGAAGATATTTGTATCACATGTGAGTATTCAACAATGGGTGACCTCAGCAGAGGAGGATTTTAATAATCTAGTGGATAGGATGACCCATTCTGTGGACACCACTTAGCCTCTTTCCCCAGCCACTGCTGCCATCACCCAAAGGGCCCATGAACAAAGTGGCCATGGTGGCAGGAATGGAGGTTGTGCACGGACTCAGAAACCTGGACTTCTGCTCACCAAGGCTGACCTGGCTACGGCCACTGCTGAGTGCCCAGTTAGCCAGCAGCGGAGACCAACACTGAGCCCTCAATATAGCACCATTCCTCAGGGTGATCAGCTAGCTACCTGGTGGCAGGTTGATTATATCAGACCTCTTCCGTTATGGAAAGGGCAAAGGTTTGTACTCACTGGAATAGACACTTACTCTGGATATGGGTTTGCCTATCCTGCACACAATGCTTTGCCAAGACTGCCATTCATGTACTCACAGAATACCTTATCCACCATTATAGCATTCCACACAGCATTGCCTGTGACCAAGGCACTCACTATTTGGCTAAATAAGTGTGGCAGTGTGTTCATACTCATGGAATTCACTGGTCTTACCATGTTCCCCATCATCCTGAAGGCACTAGATTGATAGAATGGTGGGATAGCCTTTGAAGCCACAATTACAATGCCAACTAGGTGACAATACTTCACAGGCCTGGGGCAAAGTTTTCCAGAATGCCATGTATGCTCTGAATCAGCTTCCAACAAGTGGCACTGTTTCTCCTATACCAGGATTCACAGGTCCAGGAATCAAGAGGTGGAAGTGGCACCACTAACTGTCACCCCTCATGATCCACTAGCAAAATTTTTGCTTCCTCTTTCTGCGACATTACTTTCTCCCAGCCTAGAGGTCTTAGTTCCAGAGGGAGGAACACTGCCATCAGGAGACACAACAACGATTCCATTAAACTGGAAATTAAGATTGCCACCTGGACACTTTGGGCTCTTCCTACCTTTAAGTCAACAGGCTAAGAAGGGAGTTACAGTGTTGGCTGGGATGATTGACCTAGACTATCAAGATGAAATCAGTCTACTGCTCCACAATGGAGGTAAGGAAGAGTATGCATGGAATACAGGAGATCCATTAGGGTGTCTCTTAGTATTGCCACGCCCTGTGATTAAGGCCAATGGGAAACTGCAACTGCCCAGTGCAGGCGGGACTACAAATGCCCCAGACCCTTCAGGAATGAAGGTTTGGGTCACTCCACGAGGAAAAAAAAATACGACCTACTGAGATGCTTGTTGAAGGCAGAGGGACTACAGAATGGGTAGTAGAAGAAGGTAGTCATCAATACCAGCTATGATCACATGACTAGCTGCAGAAAAGAGGACTGTAATTGTCATGAGTATTTCCTTCTTCTTTTGTTAAAAACATGTTTGTGCATGTATACACTTGTACTAATAAAATATCTTCATTTTATTTCTTCCTTTATTATGTGACTTAAGATTTATTCACCTCATATTAGCGTTTAAGTATTGTTAACTTTATGTAATAGCATTTGGGTTGGGGATTGGTGCATTTCTGGTTGTAGGAAGGATAGTTGTATTATGTTGGGTGTAAGTATGACCTTATTATTTTCTGTATTTGAAGATTGTGTATGATCTCAGGAGATGTGTATGGGTTCAAGTTGACAAGGGGCAGACTTGTGATAGTTAATACTGAGTGTCAACTTGATTGGATTGAAGGATGGACAGTATTGATCCTGGGTGTGTCTGTGAGGGTGTTGTCAAAGGAGATTAACATTTGAGTCAGTGGGCTGGGAAAGGCAGACCCACCCTTAATCTGGGTGGGCACCATTTATTCAGCCGGCAGCACGGCCAGAATATAACACTGACAGAAAAATGTGAAAAGACCTTTCTGGCTTAGCCTCCCAGCCTACATCTTTCTCTCGTGCAGGATGTTTCCTGCCCTCGAACATCAGACTCCATGTTATTCAGCTTTGGGAGTCAGACTGGCTTCCTTGCTCCTTAGCTTGCAAGCAGCCTATTATGGGACCCTGGGATCGTGTGAGTTAATACTTCTCAATAAATTCCTCTCTCTATATATATATTTATCCTATTAGTTCTGTTTCTCTAGAGGACCATGATTAATACATTTCCTTTTACCAAATGTTAGTATGCTTTTTTCTCCCTTCTCTCCCTTCTCCCCAAACAACCACATTCTACTCCAGGGGAAAAAAACTCTAAAACTCCTCCTACAATTGTATTCTTCTCAATTCTAGCATCTCTAAATAATCTACCTGCCAGCCCAAATATAGTTCCTTGTTGTCTAGTGACCCCCGCCGACCAAAACAAATTATTCTCTTAAATAACCAAAGAGCACGGTATAAACCACTTCTAGTATGAAATGGAAAGAATGCAGTTCACAGAGAGAAGTGGTAATTCTGGGCAGTGGCATCTTGTAAACATTGTTAGACAGATACTGAGATAGCCTATCATCCTGGACATGGGCAGTGTTTTATTAATAGGCTCTTAGTTTGTGGGCTGACTTAGTTTATGGGCTGAAATTATCCATGTTCTCTGTGTCTCTTGCCTCCAACCTCTTGGAGGTTCTTCATTAACCAAGATTTTTCTTTCCACAACTGAAGTGGATGTTGGAAAAATATATGTCTCTTGAGCTGAAGACATTTTGGAACCTACTCTGTACTCCAAAATATTAAGACTGACAAACAGTATAAGCACTTTTCTGGCCAGTCTTCTGGATTGTTTTTGCCTTTTTAGTATACAATCCTCAAGAAATATAGTACATTTCAGATCTATATTTTTCAGTTAGCTCCCTGGGTCAGAGAAAATACCCAACATTCTTTTAGACACAGAGTTCTCAAATCTACTTGATGTGTTTGCATTCTTGTCCCCAGGCCTTCTTCCTTGGCAACTTACTGGCAAACACCTTGAGTATATCATGCTTGACATGAAAACACACTGAATTAAAATGTGTTTTTCCCAAGATTTGTGTTGCTTAGTTTGCTAAGAGCTTTACTGATCCTTCAATGCTCAAAGCTTTTTAAAATTTATATATCTTATTGATTTTGTTACAAAATAAGCTACATATTCCATCATTTCATGTAAGTAATTTCTGAATTCATTCTTTAACATTTAATTTCTGCTTTCAAACTAACCCATTATTTTCTTAGTTAGCTTGTTTTTTTTGTTGTTGTTGTTTTGTTTGGTTTGGTTTTTTTGAGAGAGTCTCGCTCTGTCACCCAGGCTGGAGTGCAGTGGCATGATCTTGACTCACTGCAGCCTCTTTCCTCCTGGTTTCAAGCAATTCTCATGCCTCAGCCTAATGAGTAGCTGGGAATACAGGTGCATTCCACCATGCCTGGCTAATTTTTGTATTTTTAGTAGAGATGGGGTTTCACCATGTTGGCCATGATGGTCTCGATCTCTTGACCTCGTGATCTGCCCACCTCGGCCTCCCAGCTCACTTTTTTATCTTGCCGAAAGTATCCAATGATAGCCAACACTGCTACTGATAATTTCAATCAATTTTCCCAAAGCCATCAAAAGCAGATAGACTTACTTTCAAACTAATACAAAAAACAGCTTAAGCAATATTTTTGCTAGTGCATATGAAACCCTATCTTGCCAAAATATGCCATAACTTGCATCACCACATGCTATATTATCACAAGAGCAAAGCCGTTTTAAGTATTTTAAGGTTTTGTTTTTACAGAATTCCACTTCAACATACTAACTTCTATTATATATTAACAAAGGAAACACATACTAATAAACAATTCCCAAATCTCAAAGGCTTAAAGTAATAAAGGCTTATTTCTCACCCATGCCACGATGTGATTATTTGTTGACAGGCTTTGGGTTATAGGCATAGGCTCTGGTCCACTCCTGTGGTTCTGCCATTTCCCTGGGCCCGAGTTCTGTATTCTCGTCTCTATTTCTGGCTATAGACAGAGAATAAAGGAAAATGAAGGGGATACATCTGCTCTTAGCTCTTTAGCCCTAGAGTTGACACACAGCCCTTTAAAAAAAAATGTATGAGTACAAACTAATTGCATGATCTGTCCCAGAAACATAGGAGCTGGGAAATGTGTCCGGAAGTGTAGCGATGAAATACAGGATAAAACAGAGGGAGTGAGCAGAGCAGATACACAGTTACACATAAGAGAAAGTAAAATTAAAGTAGCTCTGTACTCACACCAAAAATAAAATTTGTGTGTGTTACAGACATAAACATAATAATAAACACCTTACACTTTAGGTATAATTATAGCAGAATACCTTATGACTCAAGATTGTGAAAGATTTCTTAAACGAAATATTTTCTAAAAACTTGTAGTGGACAATACTGTAATATTGATATGCATACAATTATTTTAAGAATTATTCATGAAAATAATTCATAAAAATGATTCATAAAGACATAAATGAAAGTTTTAAAAGCATACAAAAATATATTCAATACGTATACGTGATCAACAGTGCAATCTTTATTCTTTATTTTCTATATTTGCATAAGGTATGGGAATTTTCCACCATTCTCTCAAAAGGGTAATAGTTTGTTGGGATATTTCTGGCCTCATTCCACCACTTCTGTCATTCCTATTTAAGGAATGAAGAGTTGATTTCCTGATTAGCGAATTTGGGAGAAAAAAATTAACATTGTGTACATAGCCACTTTATTCTTGTTTAATAAAACCACCCATTAAGAAGTAGTCATTCTTAGCAGCTCCATGTGGTACACTTTCTAGGATAGGTTATGCATTTCGTGGCAATGCAGAATGCCTGGGCTGTCATCTGGAGGGGAAAGTTCAATTCAGTGAAAATGACACTAGAAGCCTCTTTGGCCACTATGCAACTGCAGTTTCCAATTCAATTCTATTAGTAATTAAATTTATATTTTACTCCCTAGTTATCTGATTTGTATATTTTCTCCTTAATGAATTCTGAACTTAGACAAGATTTAAGGGAAGGAAATAATTTACTATCCTAGAGTCTAGCATAATGATAAATATGTGGAAAATTAAGGAAATAATTAAGAGGACCTCCTTGTGGGCTAAAAATTAGATCAAAGTTTTGCCTTGTCTGGTGGGTTGGCTTTTAGGCTTTGACTTTAGTCAATGTGAGTCACAGGGTCCTTGATCACAATGATTTGTAGGAGTTATAATTGTGGATCTGATATCTACCTGGTATTACCAGCACAGTCCTTGATAAGTACAGATTTTTTTTAACCCGGTATGGTTAAACTTAATTATATCCCAATTTAAACATCTTACCTTATAGAGATTGGATTATAGGTAAAAGGGGGAGTGAGAACACAGATTAGTGCTTTATTTTTAAAATTCATGATTCTTGCGTATATTGCCTTTTAAGCCTTTATAAGTGAGAGAAAAATCTGTTGCTTTTATTATGTTTTGTAGTCAGACCTCTAAGCTATGATATTTTTAACTTTAAAGATGGTTCATTTATCAGAAAATTTGCTACACTTTTTAATTGCTTGCACTTTTTAATTCTAATGATATCTTTGTGGAAACTTTTTATTTTCTTATGTGCATTCATAACTAAAAAATAGTGGTTATTTTATTGATTCCTTTTTTATCTTTATAACATCTATTACTTTTTCATACTTTATCACTGGCTAGAAATTCAAGTTCCATGATCAATTGGTGATCTTAATCATCCTTGTCTTACTCCCTCAGAGAGTAATTTTTAGTTTTACTACTAGGTTTAGCACACTGATACCTATATTATATTAAGGAAGTGTTCTTTATTTCTTAGTTTGAGAAGAGTGTATCATCTGAGATGATTTGACTTGTTACAAATGCTTTTCTTCTGTAGTGTTTGAGAATATATACCTCTTAGGTACTCAATTAAGGTGGTCAATAATATTACTGAATTGCTAAATTTTCAAACCAACTTTGTATTTCTAGAATAAATCCAATTGTGTTTTATGTTATTTTTGTAAGTATTGCTGAATTGATTTCTTAATATTTTAATAAATATTTCCATTTTTGCTGATACATAAAATAGAAGTGCATATACATGTGCTTCAGATGGCCTACACAAAATTATTGTAGCATCATTGTTTTCTGTAGCTAAAAATGGGCAAAAATTCATCTAAATGCAAACATAAATATATTCTGGACTAGTCATGCATTAAAATGCTTAGGATCAGTTAGAATGAATCAAAAAGATCTACATGCAAAAGCACTCATAGATATCACAAAATTATACTGAGCAAAACATCCAGCTACAAAATAATACATTTGATGTGATTTCATTTATAAAATTTAATAAACACTCTGTGATTGGGGACAATAGCACTAGAAATAGGGGGTTTGATTTTGTTCACTAATTTCCTGAGCTTGAAGCTGTTATAGTTACTATCTTTCAGTCCTTTTAACCCTGACACATCATACCCTTGTCACCGTAGTCTTAATAGTTAAGACAAATGTGGCATGGGGCAGAAATTTAGGGCTGGTAGTAAGTAGAAAGATGTCTCCACTACATTTTCTAGTAGTAAAAACTGTGAGGCGACCCCTCTTGGGTGCTCTCCATTTCCCCTCTTCACTAGTTGCTAAGCTTGAAGACATAAACAGTATAGTTGGCTGATTAGCTTCATCTCCGTCTGTCTCATATTGCTGCCTTGCCTTCACACATAGAAATTTGAGTTATTCTTACTGGCAGGATTTCTGGAAGAGACTCAGGGGCTATTCAATAGAGAAGTTGAAGTTGTTCAGCAGTGCCCATGGTTCTGTAGTTCTGTGGATACAATTAGTTGTGTGGGAAAAGTGTGAAAGTCCATCTGCCCACTTATCTAGCTACATTTTCCAACACAATGTTTTGCATTTTATATCTTTATATCTATCTATCTATCTATCTATCTATCTATCTATCTATCCCATCTGATCTGTCTATCTAACCTATCTATCTATCTTGGTTTGATTTGTATATATGTTTCTTCATAGGTTTTGAATTTAGAAAATTTTAACTATAGAGTAATTATCACCTTTTTATACTCCACACCAGGAAAGATTAATATATCAAGAATATAATCATTTTTATGGATAGCGATGGACAAAAAGGGATGGAGGTTGTAAAGATGCCTGATTACATTAGTAATCAAGGATATGTGGCCCTTCCCTCCAACATAATAAAAAGAGATTTTATTTTACAACCACCAGAATACAAACATTTAAACGGATGCAAGAGTGCATGAGAATGTGATGAAATGGGAGGTAATGATGGAAGTAAATAAGCAGAATTTTGGAGGGCAATTCAATTGGCAATGTGAAGTGCATTTGAATAGGAACGTAACCTTTAACATCTAGGCATATGTTGCTAATAACCCACTACATGTACGTGCTTGAGAAGACACAGGTAGTAATGTCTCTCACAGCTCACAGTAATAGTGAATAATCGAACCAACTAAAATGCCCATGATGGATAATTGGATGTTCATACAATGGTGTATTGCAAATGAGTAAATTACAGCCTTATCTACCATTTTTAAATAAAAACTGTATATAACATTTACTAAATAGAACAGAAGGATATGTGATAATAAAAAGTAAATATTTATTTCAGTTTTTACTCTGTGTTGAGTATATTCTAACTGCTAACTCACCACACACAACAACTTGTTGAAATAAGTATTATCATCTCCATTATACAGATGCGAAAAATGAGACACCAGAAGGCTAAGAGTCTTCCCCAGGATCACACATGGCAAGCATGTGGAAGAGTGGATACTGAATAAATCTTGGTATTCCAGATATTAGGTTTTAAACTGGAAATCTCCATTGCATTTTATTACTTACACAATACTTATAATAAGGCATCATTTATATAAAATACAGAAACATAAAGTACAATGTTCTATATTGCAATGAATATAAACATATACAGTAATAATCATGTATACGATATAAGAAAAAGTGAGAAGAGTAGTTAAATCTAGAAAACAAGAAACAAAATTAGCATTGGGATTATAAAGATGACTTCAGTATTATGTGGTATAATATTCCCTAAAATTCCTTGAGGCAAATATAAGAAAGTTTTAAGATACTATATAAATGGTTGAGAGATAGTTTTTTACATATATATTTTACTGTTTTATTTCTGTGAAAAATATTTTATAAGATACTTTTACAAGAAAGTTAAATATTAGCAATGAAAGACTGAACATTTTATTTTACTCAATCCTCCTGAGGAAAACTAGAAACCTGCAGACACAAAAAATAAAAATAAAAAAACCTATCATTTGGAAGTCATCAGATATCCCCTAAGTCAGTGAGATATTGTGGTGGAGAATCTTGGGGAGGAGGTAGAGAATCAAGAGACTGGCATTTAGAGCGAATTTTCCCTTTGATCTGATTGTCAGTTTTTAAAGTTGTGGCTAAGAGCCTGAAAAAATCTGCATGGGATGGGGCAATTACAATTCAGAAGCTGCCGTGGTGCAAGGTCCTTGTGAACTTTCAGGTTCATACACAGAACTAAAACTTAAACATGTATTGTCTTTTTCTTTCTTTCTTTCTTTCTTTTTTTTTTGTTTTGTTTTAGATGGAGTTTTCCTCTTGTTGCCCAGGCTGGAGTGCAATCGTGCGATCTCGGCTCACTGCAACCTCTGCCTCCCGGGTTCAAGCGATATCTCCTGCCTCAGCCTCCCAAGTAACTGGGATTACAGGCTCGTGCCACCATGGCCAGCTAATTTTGTGTTTTTAGTAGAGATGGGATTTCACCATGTCGGTCAGGGTGGTCTCCAACTCCTGACCTCAGGTGATCCACCCGCCTCAGCCTCCCAAAGTTCTGGGATTACAGGAGTGAGCCACCATGCCCGGCTCATGTATTTTTATTATAAAATAACCTGAATATAATAATTCAACAACTGAATAAAAATGGATGACTCTAGAATTCTATCATAGTATTAGAGAAAATGCCTATCACATAATGTGTGCTATTCTTTCTCTTAACTTAAAAAAAAAAAATAAACTTTCCCTTAACCCTATTTCTGCTCTTGCAATTGTTCCTTTATTCTGTTCCTCTTCATAGCGAAACTATTTAAAGCAACTATCTGTAAGTCTTTGTCAGCAATTCCTTTTAAACATACTTTAATCAGGCTTTTAGCCTGAGCATTCTATCAAAACTGCCTTTGTCTAAGTTACCAGTGACCTCCAGATTCCTAAATCTAATGGTCAATTCTCAGTGTTCATTTTACTTGATACCTTGACAATATCTAGAATACTACATATGTATTAACTCGTTAATCCAGAAGTTCACTTTGTAAACTTACTGTAAACATAAACATCTGAAAATATGACAGTATTATATGCATGAATGTATTCATTGCAACATTAATAGTGCTTGCAAAGTATTCTAAATAAACTAACTGTCCAAGCATAGAAGATTAGGTAAATTAATGATGGTGCCTACACAAAATAAAGTACTATTAAGCTGTAAAATAAAGAAAGAGGAATAGCTCTATAAATATATATGGACTGATTCCTGAGAAACATTAACTGAATAAGAGCAACGTGCAAAGGAACATTTGCATCTGCTTATATTTACAAAAATATTAGAAAAATGAATAAACCATAAACAGATAAAATGGGTCAGGGAAAGTGACAGGAGAAAGCAATCGGGGAAAAAATAACAGCACTCTGAAAATTCCACTTTGTGTAGTTTTGGCCTTTGAGAGAATGTAAGTATTTTTTCATATTCAGAAAATCAAATCAAATTAACAAAAATGAGAAGAAGAGGAAAAGAACACCTAAAACTGAAAGTAAATTATAATAAGTTATAGCAGTTCTATTTTGAGAAAATAACCATTCAGAAAAAAAAATAATAATAAAGGATTAATCCAAGTAATTTATCGTTAGAATATTTCATGATATACACTTCATCTTGAATGTAGTTGGGTTGGTATTGAGGAAACTACAGAATCTCAACTCCTTGTATTTTTACTTTTGTAACAGAGGCATCAGTTATAGTTATACTACAGAAGTGAATAAAAAAGGAAAAGTGGTAGTATCATTTAGAGCCAAGTTTTTCACTTTGACAAAAAATACACACACAAAAAAAGAGAGAGAGAAAGATGTATATATATATATATATATATATATGTGTGTGTGTGTGTGTGTGTGTGTGTTTGTATACATATATGTATGAAATACATACATTTCTTTTGCCCTTACCTTTATCTGCTGAAGGGACCCAGAAAAAGATAAAAAATTATTAATGAACAAATCTAGGGCTGTAATACTATTTCCCACTAAAGTAGGCTGGGGCAAGATAGGAACAAGATGAACCTGAAATATTTTGTTATGCTAATTGTAGGGAAGTTCTTATAAAAAGAATAGGCACATGTTACAATGACATAGGAACCAGGCAGAGAGGTTTATGCTGATCAAACATAGTATAATTTGAATGCCCAAATCACTGTAAGTACAGTAATAATTTATAAATGATTGAAAAGTTGAGAATGCCAAATATAGAGAGATGAATACTAGATAGATAGATAGATAGATAGATAGATAGATAGATAATAGGCAGATGATAGATAACAGATGATAGATAGAGAGATAGATGTAAAAAGAGAGGGCCTTTACTTACAGTGGAAGGTGCAGTGTGAATGGTAAATGTGGAATAAGTGCTGGAGTCAGAAATCCATCATTTTGCAACCTCCATTTTAAAGATAGGACCAGGAAAAAATTGACAATGCATGCTAAACCCCAGGGGAAATTTTGATGTGGAGTAGGATATTTCCATGGTCCTAAAAGAGCTACTGTGAGATTGCTTATTAGTTGTATAGGACTGAAATGGTGCCAATAAAATGGTGAAATAGGAAAACAACTTGAATGGATTATCAAAGTTAATATGCCAGGAAAAGAGATAGATGGATACGTGCCTCCAGAAATCATATACTGAGGAGGAAATGACATCACTTATTACTCCAGCTGGAAATGCATAATCTGAGTGTAATCATGGAGGAATCTCAGGCAAACCAAAAGTGAAGAATATTCTATGAAAATAGTGGCAGGGGAATGGTGAATTTTTCAAAAATATCAATTTCATAAGAGGTACAGAAAGGCCATTGTAATTACTGCAAAATAAACAAAGGAAAATGACATGATACAAAAGGCAATACCTGACTCTAAAGCTGATCCTGTGCTTGGTCAATTGACAAAACAAGACTATTGATATTAGATCAGATAAATATTATATTGTATTTAATTAATGACTTCCAAACTTTTACTGTAATAATATGAGAATAACCCTCTTCTAGGAAAAAAAAAAGCACACTGAAGCATTTAGGAGTAAAGATAAAGAGCCATGCTCTATGCAAGTTACTCTCAAATGAGGAATCGTTCACTGACGTACTTAGTGATCCCTGAATATGCCAGACTGGCTCTCACATCAGGCCCTCTCCATTTGCTGCTCCTTATGTAAGGAAACACTACTCCCGAACATGCATCAGATATGTTTCCTTACATCTTTCAAGTGTTTACTCAAAGACCTGCATCCTTCTGAGAGTCATTCTCCGTTTAAAGTTTCCAGTCCCCCAAACACACTGCCAACTTCACATTTCTCTACAATGCTTATCATCGTTTAATGCAGTGTTCATTAATTTATTCATCTTTTTCCAATTTCCCATGATAAAATGCAAGCTTCAAGATAGCATGGATTTTTATATTCAGTTTGTTCTTTCCTATTGACCCATCTCCTTGAACACTGCCTCATTATAATAGGTGCTCAATAAAGACTTCTTTGATTTAAGATCTCCACCTTGGTTTCATTTGATATTTAGAATAAAATAATCTATGAATATTGTTTCTACCATTACCTAGAATAAACTTTATATGAGTAATAGCAGTGATCATTTTGTCTATTGTATTTTAATGAGTCGTATCTGGAATAGGTTAATATAATGCTACAGAAAGTGAAAAATGTCCACTTAGCTGTGAATCCTGAATACAAGGATCATAATGCTGAATAAAATAATTCTGAATTAAAGGCTTTATGATCCGGAAAGGTTTTATTAGCATACTATTTTACCTCTTAGAAACAAATGATTTCACTCCTGCTAGAAGTAGTAAATGGAAGAATTCACTGGTTTATTCTCATGGATATTTCTTCTCTCCTTCACTTAATGCACCTGAGGTGCTGCTGATAAGCAGAAATGAAATTCGACAAATATTCTTTAATTTATTTTTGCTTTTCAAGTGTGCAAAACACAGGCTCAAATCAGAAAGCCAGAAACCTTGTTATGATGTCAAAATAGGAATGAAATTAGAAGAGAGCATTTTTAGACAAAATATACATTTGTATGTGAGCATAAGTATTAAACCTCTGAGTAACAAATTAGCAGATTTCATGCCCTCTTGGAAGAACAATTGCATTATATTAGTCATTGATTTGGATAACTTTGACTTACCAACTGTTAAGTGCATAGGGGATTTTAGTAAACAAAACAAGTACTGTTTATTCCCTCAGTGAGGTTACTACATCACAAAGACATGGATTCAGTAATTCATTTAGAAATGTTGATATTGACTCACTTGTTTAGTTTTGCTTTTGTTGTGTGTGCTTTTGGTGTCAAATCCAGAAAATCATTGACTAGACCAATGTCAAGTTTTCTGCTGTTTTCTTCTAGGAGTTTTAAAATTGCACATCTTACATTTAATTATTTAATATATTTAGAATGTATTTTTGTGTATGTTGTAAAACAAGGATTTTACTTTTTATTTTATTTTTTCAAGTGGGTATCCACTTTTCCCAACACCTTACACTAAACAGTCTTTTTCCTCATTGTGTATTTCTGATATGCAATAGACAAAATGAGATGTAAATTTCTGGTAAGCATGCCATTGATATATGAGCTAGTCAACTTGAATTACAACATAAAAATGGGACCTCTAGAGGTAATCTATGGAGATTGGGGAGATGTTGATCAAAAGATACAAAATATCATTAGGCAAAGGAATAAATTCAAGAGATCTATCATACAACATGGTGACTATAGTAATTAACAGTGTATTGTATACTTTAAAATTGCTAAGGAAGTAGATTTTAAGTGTTATTACCACAAAAAAGGTAAGTATGTGAGGTGATGCATATAGTAATTAGCTCAATTTAGCCATTCCATAAGGTATACACATATTAAAACATCACATTATACATTATAGAAATGTAAAAATGTATATTAACTTAAAAATATTTTTAAAAAGTAATACTAACAAGAAACAGATCACAACAGATGCTATTTTATTTGAAATAAAAATTCTGCCAATTCAGTGATGAAAAAATTCCAGGTTGTAGTTTGATTTGTTAGAAAATATGCTACTGAATAGAAAGAACATTCTGGTATTTTCTATCCCGTAGGACAGTGTTGTGTTGCAGTTAAAATCTAATTGAATGGGGCTGAGAAGGTGAATGAGAACATTCCTAATACAAATAAGCACTTCAGAATATACCTGACAGATTGTAGCATGCATGGCATATGCAAATATACTTCTAAGATTCAGGGTGTTCGTGTTAATTGTGTGATCTTCAAGTTTCACAAGAGAGTGTGAATTGGGTAGAGTTTATTCATTTTGGAAATGCTTAAGAGAAATAAACTACCACGACATGCACAATATGTATCCCAGTAGCAACAGAGGAGTTCACAAAAAAAGTACAAGGTCTAAACTCACCATTATGCCCAGGAACCTGACGTACATTCTGGCTAAAATCGTCTATCTCTCTAAAGGTAATGTTTCATCTTTAAGATGACTTCCTTAGTTACACAGTACCTGGATTTATGGCTTATAAAGACACTATGCGCAGTGCTAGACTGAATTTTTCATGTTATTATTTGTATTTAGAATAGAGGTCACTGCTGCATTCACAAAAATTGCAGCTTCTGATGGTTTGGCTATGAGAAAATCAGTGTCCATTATCAGATAGTATATCTCTGAGAAACAGAGCCTGAAAATAAGTTAGGATTGTATGTCATGTAAATAAGTAGACATATAGTTTGTATATGTATACACATGCATGCATATATTGGCGAGGGGAAGCTTAACTTTTAGTATTAATTGTTGCTCACAAGGCTGTGGGTTAGCTGGGCTCACTCACATGTTTGCAGTCAATCCTGGGTCAGATATGCAGGTCTACTGATCTACATTGTACTGTCTGTTATTTGAGGTTCCTCTGGATTTCAGTTAATTCAGGACAATCATGCCTAGGTCCGCTTGGTCTACTAGCGTTTCTCCATGTGGTGTTTCATCTTGCAGGCAATCCCGTACCACTCATTTTTATGTGAGCAGAATTGCAATAGAGACGAGAAAAACAAAAAGGTCTGGAACCTAGGCACAGAACAAGCCTATCATCAGTTCCACTACACTCTGTTGGCCAAAGAAAGTCACAAGGCTAGCTCTGATTTAAAAACTCCTCAGCTCTAAATAGTATTTTCGTAGAAAGGACCACTCCACACTTACTATCCTGTCATTTTGTTGAATTCTCTGATCAGCATGTGTAACTGTGAGAAGCTTGAATGATTACTTCTATGTTTTGTTTATGCTTATTATCTATCTTCCCAGAGGAGAACTTTTTCCTTTTAAGGGTTTCTCCTATTAAGGGTTTTGTCCATTGTTTTAACCCCAGCAAGTTCAATGGCTCTGGGAGGGTTCATATGTTGTTGAACTCCAGCAAGTGAACTGTTTCACATCCAGGATTGAAAAGGCAGAAGGCGGGATAAATAAAACAAAGCTAATTTTATCATATTTATGAGCATATGTAAAAGCATCCAAAATGAGGTAATATGCATCTTAACATGCCAGTTCACCAGTTTATTCATTATTAGCAGAAAATTTAAAAAAAAAATAAGCCCTAAATAGTAATTTATTCAATAAGCAAATTATTCATTATTACATAGATCATGAAAGTTTTTATTTTTTACACGCTCATTTTAGGAAATAAAGCTAGATTTGTTAACTGTGAATTTTATTCTACTGCCTGTGCTTTATTGTACAGGGAAAATGAAATAAATTATCCACCTTAAATGAAGGAATATATTAATAAATTGTGATCACTTCTATTCTGTGAATCATCTCTTTTGCATTGTAAAAAAAATTAACGTCTCTCCCTACCCTGAATAATTTATGTACTTTCCTCAGTCTTTGCAGTAGCATAATAAATGTACTATATTCCCGGCAAGTTGACGATTCAATTCATAAAGCATAAAACATTTTTTAAGTGAGTTACCAGGTTGATAATTCTAAGTCATTCACCTACTAATTATCAACTAGGCTGTCATTCAAGTCATGCAATCTAAACCTTTTTCAGTTATCTGACTGATCTCTCTGCATTAGATTTTCATCAAAGATTACCAAGCAAGTATAATTCTTAATTTTTTTTGATTTCTCTAAAAAAGAGAGCTTCTGTTTCGTGAAGGCTTAAGACCTAGTGTCTAAAGGTAGATTCTCAGAGTCCTCATTCTGTTCTCTACCTTTAATAGTTATATGAATTTGGGCAATAATTTTTTTCTCTAAGGCACAGTTTCCTTATACATATGATGAGGCTAGGAAAGATTTTTAGTGTTGTAGGGTTGATAGAGTGATTAAGTAATGCAATTATTATAAATTGACCTGGACTGTATGTATCACATAGATATTTATAAGAAATATATAAATTTAGTTATTAATAAGTAGAATTTATAATTCATCAATTAAAAGGTAAATATTCTTTCATTAATATCAGGAATACATGTTGATTGTAATATTATTTCCTATAATTGATAATTTTCAAGGTGAGAAATTACAATATTTAATTTGATTGCAATAGAAACATGAAATGATGAAAAAGAGTATTACATACTGCATGATTTTTTCTCTCCCAACACAGATACGATGAAACCATAAACATATTTTCGCTTCATTTTTTAAAGAACTCAACCCAAAGCAAAGCTCGTGTTAAATGCAAATAAATGTTGTTAGTAAAATCCAGGCAATGAAAAGTTATGGAAACTGCTAACACAGATATACATAAGTGAATCCTGGGTTTCTTTCACTAAATGAACTACTGCAGATGTCAAATGGCTGAGATGGCAGAAGTTCGCTTTGATGTGGCCATTGAAGTAAATAAATAGATAAAACAAAACAGAGGTGTTATTCTCTTGTGTAGGGTAGACGTCTACTCTGCAAAATAAGCTATTTCCTATCCAAATTACAGTTTTACTTGTTAGCTCTTTTTTTGTTTTAATATATATATTTTTTATTATACTTTAAGTTCCAGGGCACCTGTGCACAACATGCAGGTTTGTTACATATGTATACATGTGCCATGTTGGTGTGCTGCACCCATTAACTCCTCATTTACATTAGGTATATCTCCTAATGCTATCCCTCGCCCCTTTCCCCACCCCACAACAGGCACCGCTGTGTGATGTTCCCCTTCCTGTGTCCAAGTGTTCTCATTGTTCATTTCCCACCTATGAGTGAGAACATACGGTGTTTGGTTTTTTGTCCTTGCGATAGTTTGCTGAGAATGATGATTTCCAGCTTCATCCATGTCCCTACAAAGGACATGAACTCATCTATTTTTATAGCTGCATAGTGTTCCATGGTGTGTATGTGCCACATTTTCTTAATCCAGTCTATCATTGTCGGACATTTGGGTTGGTTCCAAGTCTTTGCTATTGTGAGTAGTGCCGCAATAAACATACGTGTGCATGTGTCTTTATAACAGCGTGATTTATATTCCTTTGGGTATATACCCAGTAATGGGATGGCTGGGTCAAATGGTATTTCTAGCTCTGGATCCCTGAGGAATTGCCACACTGTCTTCCACAATGGTTGAACTAGTTTACAGTCTCACCAACAGTGTAAAAGTGTTCCTATTTCTCCACATCTTCTCCAGCACCTGTTGTTTCCTGACTTTTTCAAGAAACATAGTCAGGAAGTTCTGTATAGCAGAGAGCACAGGGAAGGAAGAGTTTTATTGCAGAGGCCCGTAACTGCAGGAGAGGGTCAGAGAAGCAGAGAACAGGGAAGATAAGCTACTAAACCAAGATCTGCAGCAGTATAGCCCGGAAAGATCACAGGGTGTGCAGACAGCAGGGAAAAGCAAGAGCGATGGAAAGAACTTAAAGCAAGACCTCAAGAGCACTAACATAGAAGGGGAAATTACCAAGAAGGGACAGGAAACTACGACTATTCACAGAATGACGGAGAAACATTAAAAACTCTAGTAATAACACTGATAAAGTAGGTATCAATTTACTAAAGAGGACAGTTAGTATCAACATGGAGATGTAAATGAACAAATGAAGCCATTCCTATAAATTAGCCACTGGAATCTGTGAAATCAACAGAAGATGTTACTTAACAAGATGACAGGTGTTAGTTCAGTACTAGTTTATGATATGGTTAGGCTTTGTGTCCCCACCCAAGTCTCATCTTGAATTGTAATCCCCATAATTCCCATAATCCCCACGTGTCAAGGGAGAGAGCAGGTGGAGGTAATTGAATCATGGGAGCTACTTTCCCTATGCTCTTCTTGTTATAATGAGTTCTCATTAGAGCTGATGTTTTTATAAGGCACTCTTCCCCCTTCACGAGGCACATCTCCTTCCTGCCACCTTGTGAAGAAGGTGCCTTGCTTCCTCTTTGCCTTCTACCATGATTGTAAGCTGCCTGAGGTCTCCCTAGCCATGCTGAACTGTGAGTCAATTAAACCTCTTTCCTTTAAAATCACCCAGTCTCTGGCAGTTCTTTATAGCAGTATGAAAATGGACTTATACAGGTTATGAATTCCCATTTAATAAAGTAGGATTGGTACAAAGAACAATCCTATCCTATCCATCCATCCGTCCATCCATCCATCCATCCATCCACCCATCCTTTTATCCTTGTATCCATCCATCATCAGTTGATAGTAGATGAATCAGTCTAACAATCATTCATTAAGTATCTAACACTGTGCTGAATATTCGGGATATGCACATGACAGGCATTTTATATTTTAAAACATACAGCTAGGTTCTGGTGTTCTATAGCACAGTAGGGTGACTGTAGTTAGCAATAATATAGTGTGTATTTTAAAATGGATAGAAGAGAGGATTTTGAGTTTTCTCACTACAAAGAAATGACAATGATTTTCTGATGATGGATACCCTAATTACCCTGATTTGATCATTATACAACATACACATGTATTGAAACCTCACACTGTTTCCATAAATATATATATATAAAAATTAATCATGTGTCAGTTAAAAACTAAAACTTAAAATATTTATTTGTATTTTTTAATTCTGGCTATATAGATTTATTAATAATGTTGAAAACTAACTTGAATTTAGTCATCTGTTATTTAAAGTTCAATTATGAACTCATTTTTAGCAGAAATGCTTAATGTGCAGACTCAGTTACACAGAAGTTTAACGTACTTACTGCCTATTCAGAATTATACTAAACATTTCATTATTGAGTATAACATTGTAGAGATGCTAGTTGGAATAGGGATATTCTTTTGGCAACTAATATTCATAATTACCGTAAAATAATTTCACTCTAAGTCCCTTAATCAACTATTTATTAAAAAGTATATTAAGGAATATAATTTTCTAAATACTGGTGTAATTTCTGTATGTGTATATGTATACATTTAACCAGAAACAATTCTCATGTTACAAAAATAACAAACTCTAAATTACATCTCTAAACTTACTATTGCTGTCTTTTTAAAGTTGGTGTTCATAGAAAAAGTGAAAAAGCCATTATTATCACAAAATATTCTGAAGAGAGTTCTGACATATGTTATGATTTAATAACATTTGTAAATAATATCAAAGGCCTAATGTATCATTCTCTTTTTATTTATAAATTATCCATTCAAATCTGTATAAGACATGAAAGTGTTTTAATGCACCATTATCACATATAATTTTGTGAACAAAAAATATCTTAGAAATAACAATGTGAAAAGATGCAAGCAAATATTAAAGTTACAGTAAATATTATTTAATTATATGCCTGTTTCTACATATTCCACTAAATATCAACAAATCTTTACTGATGGTGATGATAATTCTATGCTTGGCTGACAATGGAAAGTAGGATAAATTAAAGTAAAAAAAAAAAACCTAAAAACAAAGTTATAAATTATCCATAAAACCAATATTACCTATCTGACATTGCTGGTTAAAGTACCATTAAAAATTCCTTAAGCAGTTAACATTTTACTTTTATTTGCCTCCCTGTTGAGTAATCACCAAAAAAGGTGACACCATTTTAACTAAACATAAATAATCCTAGTTTGACTTAGTGATTGGGGTGGTTAATGTTATGTGTAAACATGCATAGGCCACAGTACTAGATATTTGGAAATACCAGTCTAGATGTTGCTAAGAAGATATTTTAGATGAGATTAAAATTTAAATCAGCAGGCTTTGAGTAAAACACATTAAGCTCCATAATGTGGCTGACCCTCATCTGATCAGTTACAAGCCCTTAATCAAAACGAAAATGAGGTCCTCCGAGGAAGAGGAAGTTCTGCCTCTAGAGATTTCTTCAGACTGCAGCTATAACATCTGCTCCTTCTTTGGTCTTTAGCCTCTTGGTCTGCAGTGTGACGTTTAGACTTGCAGGCTTCAAAATGACAAAATCAATTTATTTCCTTGAAATAAATCTCTCTCTCTCTTTCTCTCTGTGTGTGCCTGTGTGTGTGTGTAAAATACATATACCTTGTTGCTTCTGTTTATCTGAAGAACTCTGATTAATACAGTAAATGTAGATAAATTATTGGTTATTCTTTTAAACAACTTTATTGAGATGTAATTGATTACAAAGAACTGTTCATATTTAATGTGCACAATTTGATGACCTTGGACATATTCAAACACCCGTGATACTGTCACCACAATCAAGGTAATAGATATACCCGATATCTCTCAAAGTTTCCTTGTGTCCCTTTGTTTTGTTTTTAGAAATTAGTGATAATTTTTTAATATGTTGAGTAGAAAATTACATAATAAAATAGATTTCCTTGAAACTTTGAACACTCTTTATACTGGTGAGTATTACTATATGCATTCAGTGATTCTATTTTTATTCACTCGCTGGTAACCATAGGAAAAAATAGTGCTGAGCAGATTTTATCATTTAATTTAATTTTCATTTGGGGCAGTTTTCAGTTCAGTCAGGGTGACTTTTCAGACTTCGTAGTTTTTTTTATTTGAGAGATAGCATAACAGCATTGTAAAGCAATTGCACCAATTTACTGAAGGAGTCAATCCAATTTCTACAAGTTCACTACTGTCATTTCTGGTTTCTTGTACATGCATTGATTCTATCAACATAATCTTAGATGGTTCTTTGAATACCTGACTTTATTTCATTAAAAGCTGAAATCTGTTATCTACATAGATACTTGAGAGACTTGCCTTTCTATATTTTAGATGTAAATAAATTGGCAAATATATCCTAAAGACTCTATGGTTAAATACAAATTCCCTGAGGTTTGAGATACATGTATATGTATACATATTTTCAAGTGTGTGTCATTGAAATAATTCCAGAATTGTTGTTTAAAACCTGTATATTATACATATTTTTTATTCCTGACATTATTATTACTAAAATGTCATTCCTTTTATAATTTACTCAATTTATATAAACAGAAAACAATCACCATCTGTCTTCCCTTATACAAATATAATTTCAGAGTAGCAACTGGCTTTCTATCTATCACTTTTGGCACTAGCTTCTCAGCAGAGCTAGTAACTAAAAAAAGGGGGCTTAGCCCTCTGAGGTGTTCGTTGTGGCACTTTCAGAAGTATTTCTGTGGACTTGGAAATGATTTTGAAAAGATCGCTAGGGTGATGTTTTTAGTATCCCTGTTTGAGTAGTGTGAGACCAGAGAGTGTTGTAAGAAAATGTGATTTGGAGACGCAATCTGAAACACTGATTTATTAGGCACTATCAATAATGTAAAAAATATTTTAGCATGCATCCACTGTTGTACTTTTCCTCCCTTATGCCTCTATTAATTAAATTGAGATCATATTTAGTAATTCTCTTTCCTCTATTACATACGTAAATGTCATTTATTTATCCACAACTGAAGTTCAGAAACATCACTATATCAGCATACAATATCATACTCATTTCAAAAATTTACAATTAGATCAAATTTGACAGCTAATAAAGATCCAAGTGTCTTGAGAATGCTTGTTTAGGAAACCTAATATTTCAAGTTGATGTGTTTGCATTTATCCTTCTACTGCTTCCTAATGACTTCTTCAGTGTTGATGGAGTATAGTTAATACTTCATTGCTCTGAGTGTGGACATGAAAAATTCCATGTTAAGTACATGTTTAGATATTTGTCCTACTAAAATTTTAAGTGCTGATTCATTATTAGAATGTTTCTTCCTTAGTTGAAACACTTTTTTAATATTTCTCTTCCATAAGATAAAATTACATGTACATTTGTTTTTATTTGCCTTATAAACTAATCTTATATCTTTCCGAATTTATATTTTCCACCATAACAAATTTTCTTCCTTTGAGTTCAAGAAATCTACTACATCCTACTGCTGTTCGCAGTCACGTAATTACTAAGGAATTAAGATCAAAAATAATTTTCATAGTTTCATGGTAATCTTTCTCACATCTAAGTTCTGTACATCTTTCTAAAAGTTTTATTTGGTGTCCATGTATTTGCCATAGGGAAAATGGAGTATCCTGAGTAACCTCTTCTTTTCTGTTGAAAATTGAAGTGATATGTGATGCTTTCACTACAAATTCAGTCTACAAATATTCTTGCTTGCTTCCATCGTCTAGATGGATGTTTCTTTTTTCTTCTCCAAGATGAATTTGTCGATATGTACTCAAAATTCTGTCATTTTCAGTACCTTCTGGGAACTTGCTCAATCCATTACCCCATTTGTTTCATGGATCTTTATCTGTCTTGTTTCCATTGGCTCCCTCATAGGAGCTCATAAAACTCAAGCTTAAAAAGCAGCATTCACTCTGGCCCTGCTCCTTTCTAGATCTTATATCTCTTTACTTCCATAACAATGATAGAAAAACAATAGCCTACCCTTGCTCCTTCTATTTCTTAACCTCCTAATTATTTTTCAAAAATATTCTTCAATTTTTCATCCTTTTGACTCAATAATATACATAGCCGTCTCTTATCCTACTTCACAGTCGTAGACTATGTTTCCCAGCATCCTTGGTACAAGTCATGCATGATACCATGTTTGAGTTCTGGCCAATAGAATGTGGAAGCATGTGACATATGTCACTTTCAGGCCTGCCTTACAAAACTTCTTTCATAGTACTACAAGCTTTCTCTATTTGTTTACCAACTGGTTAACTGCAGAGACTCCAGAAGAAGGGTTTTCAAATATTGGAAAATAGTGGAGTTAAAGAAAAGCTCTAGTTTCAGAATTCTCAGTACAGTGATGTTGACAAGTTGTTCCTGTTTTCCTAGGACTTTCCCAATTTGAGAACTGAAGAGTCCTGCATCCTGGGAAACCCTTTGCATCTGAAACATCAGAAATTTGGTCAACCTAGGAAGAATGCTACCCACTGAAAATTGAAACGGACTGGAATTGAACAAGTAATAACCATTCTATTGTATTTAGACACATTTATTTGGAACTTATTTGCTATAATAGTGTTCTTGAAAAAATACCTAGCTTAAGTAAGACAACATCAATTACCTTCCTTCATTTTGCTTCACCATCCTTTTTTATTTTTATTTGTGATTACTACTATCACTTATCTATTTAATCAGTCCAGACGTAATAATTATCCTGTATTCCATACTTTTCATTAATTTACAGATTCATTCAAACCCTGTGTATGCTGACTCAGCCATCTAAAATATCTAATTGGTTTTTTCTCTATTTTTCTTCCCAGACAGTACTAGTTCATATTCTCCTATTTCCTCACTTGGAACACTGATATTAACACTTAGGTGCATAACATAATTATCCAGTGAGCTTGTGAAAGGTTCCCTAGACACACCTGAAAGGCTCTTATCATAGGTTCAGTGTGGAAGAGGGGATCTTATTATTTAAATTACCCCAATAACTGTGATGGTAAAAGTTACAGTTTAGAAACAGTGACCTGGAATTCTACTGAACCCTTCTTATGAGTGGTTTATGTAGTAATAAAAATCCCCTCTATACTGGGAATTTAGTAATGATGATTTTCTAAAGGAAAAAAATATTTTATATGTCTCTGTAGTAGAATAAATAGTTGTCCTAAAATAATCTGTTCTCAAATCTGTGGAAAAAAATATGCTTCCTCGCCCCTTGATTAAGGATGGGATTTTAAGTGTTTAGGACTTAAGGGGTTATATTTAAACTTTAATTCTCAAATGCAAGCAGTAGCCACAAAAAAAAAGGTACTCACCTCAACCTCCATTGGAAATTATCAAATGCTGATGATGATCCTAAACTCCCAAATCATACTAGTTTTCATATATAAAATTAACTTGATGTGGCTCACATGCAACTTCTTTCCATACTTATGTCTTAGAATTTATGGGGAGATCAACAAGGTGGCACTATTGAAATGGTCATTGTCATTTGAGATTAAAATACAGGGCAGACAGAAGATGTGTCATTTTTGGTGACACATCTTTGTATTCAAGTTGCTGTTTCACGTCCTTTTAAAGTAAATATATGTGACACCATCAATGTAAAAGCCAATGTTGTTACAATAGTGTACAAGGCCAGACATGGCTCCATGCTCCTTCAATGATCTTATCCGTCAGTTTCTCCTGTTCTTGCTCTAATCCTAGTATCCTGTTTCCCTTGTTTGTCTTCTGCTCTGTGCATTCTCAACAGAAGTGATCATTTTCCCACGGGCACATAAATGGATTCTTGGTGAGAGAAAGATGGTGAAAATAAATCTTACTTTTTCTTTGTGCTTACTCAACTCAGCTCAGCCCTCTTCTCCTTGGAATCACACCTTGTCGTGGCTAGCAAAAGCTTTCCTGTGTTACTCCATGGCATAGAATTTACTTTATCTGTTTCTACACTGTCTGAAACTGAGTGGCTAAGTATGCCTCGCTAAACCTACTTAACAAACAAATCCAAGTCCATGCTCTTCATCTTGGCCTTTATGCGTCATAAACATGATATTTTGGCCTGAACATAGCTTTGTTTTTCTTCTCAATTTGTTCAGAAACTGAGAAGAGAAAAATATATACAGGCAGTTTTCTTGAATAGGCCAACTTGTATGTTCCATAAGTTATTCTTTTGTGCACTTATTTATTCAATTTTTCACTTAAACAACAATATTTACTTATACTATTTATTGAGACTATGACATTGTATGCACTGTTCTAGTACTATGAGAAGTTACCATCTACTCTGTCAAATACAGGAGGTCCTTTTGAGGGAGAAAACAGTAATGTTGCTCCCACATTCATATTTGCAATAGTTCGTAAGACTGCACGTAGAGACAAGATCGGACTCCCAGTTGAATGTTCTGGCCAATAAATCAAATGCTAAGCTTCCTATGAATATTTAGATACTACCTTATGGCAAGGAGTCATTAAAACTCAAAGTACTTACTAAAATGTCAGCACTTATAATTATTAAAAAAAAGAGATTGCTAATGTGACCTACTAAATTAGTTAAGACATAAATGTAAGCAACAAAAACTAACTCAAGCTAAGTAATTTATTTTTGTCCAATTCCAAGACTGGGGATGCTGCTTGGTTTCAAGCAGAGACCCTGCATGAGGATTTGCAGCACTCTTCTTATCTTTGATAGACTCGGGTCATCCTATACCTCCCATAGTTTCTACCTTATGCAGATATTTTCTTTGGATCCCATTTCTAAATTCCAGGCAAAGATAATCTGATTAGCCCAGTTTGGAGCAATCAGCCTTCCTTTCTTATCAGATACCGCCAGAGGGCAGAAGAATATTGTAGTGAGAGAGAACAACCTTATGTGTAAGGTGTTTCTAAGAGAGGTATTGCTGAACAGACATATCAATAGTTCCCTTGACTCAGGGAATACTATAGGCTTTAGTAATTGTTGTTCATCCTACTGTTTATTGATGTGTGGTATTTTAAATGAGCTCATACGTGTTTGGATTTTCACGCAATTGGAAAGCTATGTCAACCACATTAACATAACTATGGGAATAAATAAACATCAACCTTCAGGGAATACTTAGGGCAAATGTCACCCTTTAGTATGTGTGGCTATTTATTAGTTTTAATTATTGATTAATTATTTTGAAATTATTATCTGCTGTAAAACAATAATAACTCCTCAATGCAGCTAAGCCCAGAATTAATGTATATTGAGAATAATTTACTAGCAATGTGCTAAAATGTGACAGATTTACAATGTTAAAACTAAATAGAATACATTTATGTCATTGTAACTTTCTTTATGGTATCTTAAAGAAGGGAAAGAGATAGAGTTATGGTTAGTAAGCTAGCAATTACATATGTGAGAGAAAGGAAAATATCAATGTGTTAGCATTCCCAGCCTTTTGTACAACTTCTCATTTATTTAAAATGATTTTGTGTTTGCCCTTTTGCTCCAGGGAATTGCTGAATTGAATGAGATAAAGGATTCATTGGAAAATTATGTGAATCTGAGCTAAACTAAATTGATTTACCATAAAAAGAATAAAACACCACTACAGAGGGGGAAAAGTAATGGTGTATCCAGGGGACTGGAGAAAGTCAAGCTAGATACAGTGAAGAAGGAAAGGATAATAGAAGGCCATGTTAGAACTGTTTGCTGGGAGAAAAACAGAAGGGCGATAGAATAGTTAACTGACACCATTAAGAATTTGGTGATCATTTATTTACGGATGTTCAGAAAATTTTTGCATGTCTTATTTCAAGGCTTTTGCTCCATCTGATAGCCAGGATAATTTGTGTGAATTTTAAATACGTGTCTTCATAAGTCCTTAACATTTGAATGCCACTGATAATGCTGATGACACCACAGATCAACCTACACAGATATTCTGCATCTAAGTATTCCAAGAAATTATTCATTATGTACAATAACCCATATGAGGACAGTCAAGTACTTTAATTTTGAGAGCTACATAGAATAGATTCCAGCCAAGTTACATTTAATGAGTTATATAATTAGTTGCTTATTTGGAAGTAGAAAACCCTTAAATGTTATTAAATATAATTATTTTTATATTTATTAATTTCTAAATACCATTAATTCCTAACTTTCAAACCTTTCTGTTACCCTAAATTGAATGGCCTTTTCTAAAAGGGACGCGGTTTCACCTGGATTATTAACAAACAGAATACGAAATAGCTTTCTATGTACTTTGAAACAATCCCTTTTTTGTAACAGTTTATTGTAACAGAATAATGGGCCTCCAAATGTCTACATTGCAACTCATGAAACCTGTTAATAAGTTTTCTTACATAGAAAAACGAACTTTGCAGATCTGATTATGCTTAGAGATCTCGAAGAAATTATCCTAGATTATCTACATTAGCTCAATCTAATCACATGAGTGAGTTCTTCAAATCGGAGAACCTTTGCCAGCTGTGATGAAAGAGCGATATGACAACAGATAAAGGGTTAGAGAAGTGGCAATAGTTTTAGCTTTGAAGATTGAGGGACAGGGCCATGAGCCAAGCAATGTAGATGACCTCTAGAAGCCAAACAGGCAAAGAAACTAATTATCCCCTAGAGTCTCTGCAAATAAAAACACCTTTGCTGATATCTTTATTGTAGCCCAGTGAGACCCATGCCTGACTTATTTTCTTACAGTTCTACAGAAAATAAATCTTTTTACAGTTCCTTACAGAACTGTAAGTAAATAAATTTGTATTGTTTTTAAGCCAGTAAGTTTGTGGTAAAGCTTTACAACTGCAACAGACAGTTAATATATTACCTAAAATATTGCTTGTCAAACTTAGAATATAAATTGCCTGCAGATCTTGAAAAATGTAGATCCTGGCTTAGTACCTGGTAGGTAGTGCCCAGGATTCTGTATATCTAATAAGGTCCTAGGTTATACCAAGGCTGCTTGTCCATGGCTCATACTTTGGTTAGCAAGAATTAAAAGCATGTGCTACAGCTCTGTAACCTTACGTCAATTTGACACACCCATGATCTCATGACAAAAAAAAGTGAGTTGTAAGCCTCCTAATTTTGCTTAAGTTACCCTGTTTTGTTTGTTGTTGTCCTTTTTCTACTTAAATTTTTATTCACATGATAGTCAGTTTTGGATCCTTTACTGATTGGGTAACCAGTGATGATATTTAAAATGATTTTTCTACTTCAGCCCTCAACTTGACCTTCAGTACTTTCTCATTTTTTTCCCTTTGAATTCACCTGTTCTGCTCTTGCATGTTGACACTTTCATGACTGACTCCAACTTGCCTGACTCCACAACAATCCCTTGTATGACCAACTTTCTAAATAGAATACTTGCTACCCCTCCAATGTTTAGAAGATATAAAAGTAGTTTTGCTAGTTAGTGTTAAAATAATGTTATTTAGAAGCCGCCATAAAATCCTGTTTCAAACACGCTACCTTTGAGGAAAGACACGTCACACAACAAATCTAGGCAGATAAAAATTACAAGTAGAGTTTTAGAATATCAAGATCATTAGATGTTATATTTTACCTAGTATAATCTCTCTTCATGTTGTTTCATTGCTTGTGGTTATATGCATATTTCATTGTAATAGTGTTCTACTTTTTGGATACACTAGAATTCAAATAGATTCTTCCTGTTAATCATCAATATCTCAATGTTCAATTTTACATTAGAATTGCCTCATAATCTAATAGGTGATAGATGATAGATGATAGATAGATAAATACAAGAAAGATAGACAAAGGAATATGTAACTACACTCACCTCCTAGATAAATTAGAATCTTTAAGATGGGAAGAGCTATTCATAACTTAAAAATTTTCCTAGATAATTCAAATTGGCAACAAAGTTTGAAGACAACTAATATAAGTAATAGTTTTGAGATACTTAAACATTTTTCTAATTTACATAAAATTTATTTTCTAAAATACTTTGAATTACACATTCATTAAAAATAAATTTCTACTCAAAAGATAATAAGTTATTAAAAAGTACTTGCATGGTGAATTAATTATCTATTGCTCTATAACCTACCATTCTAAAACTTAGTGTATTGTACATCAATTCATCTTGCTCACAACTCTACAAGATAGGCTGGGCTTATTCGTGCTTCTTCTGCTGGGCTCACCACTCATATGACTGCAGTCACTTGGCAAGTCAACAGTGGCTCTAGGGGCCATGAGGGCCTCATTTTCATGTCTGGCAGTGAGCTAGTTCTGTTGGCTGGGACTCTTTGGCACTTTTTCCTGTAGCCTCTCTAACCTTTCCAGCAGATCAGCTTAGGTTTCTTACACAGAAGTGACAAAATTCCAGGTTGCCAAGACCAATTATAGAAGTGTTTATTAAGCCTCATTTTCTGTAATACTTATGGATATACCATTGATCAAAGCACATCTCAAGGCTAACCCCAGTATCAGCATAGAAAGGAAATACACAGAGGCATGAATTTTGGGAGGTGTGTTTAATTATGGTCCATTAACGTAGTAATCTAACACACTCAGTGTAATTTATTAGTGCCAAATATAAAATCTGCGGCCGGGCATGGTGGCTGATGCCTGTAATCCCAGCACTTTGGGAGGCCAAGGAGGGTGGATCACCTGAGGTCAGGAGTTTGAGACCAGCCTGGCCAACATGGTGAAACCCTGTCTCTGCTAAAAATACAAAAAAGTTAGCTGAGCATGGTGGCATGCACTGTAATCCCAGCTACTAGGGAGGCTGAGCTGAGATTGTGCCACTGCACTCTAGCCTGGGTGATAGAGCTCGGCTTCATCTCAAAAAAAAAAAAAAAAATCTGCACATGGCTAATTATGTAATACATATTCTGATTTCAGCTTTTTTAAAGTATTTTTTGTAATACTCGTTAACAAAAAGTACATAAAGTGTAACTATCAAAGTGAATAAATGATTGCAAATGAGTAGCAAGGTGACCAAAAATCAGCAGCAGAAGAAGAATTTTGCCAGCATCCCAGAATCCCCCTAAACATCCCTTTTGGGTCACATATTCTTGTTTCACACAATGGGTATCTTTTATTCTGAAAGTTAAGGAAACACTTTCTTGATTCTCTTGAGAACCCCACTCAATGATTTTTTTTCCTGTTTTTAAATTTCATAGAAATATGATATAATGCATGTTATTTTCTATCTGGCTTCTTTTGCACAACGGTATATGTTTCAGTCACTCAGGGTGCTACATAGAGCTACATTTCATTGATTGTATGGCTGTATTCTTAAAAATAAACCACATTTTCTTTGTTAATTCTTTGGCTGCTGAACATTTGTTACTATTTTAGATTTATTACAATGTACTATATATAATATTGCTCTAAACATAAACACATATACACTGTACATATGCTTTGCAGGTTTCAGTGCACATAAACACATGTATATGCATACCCCAAAGAGATATATAATCTGAAGGAGAATTATTTCTGAGTCATAGAGAATGCATTCCCATTTAAAGATAAAAAAGATAATAAACTTCAGCAGCATTTGGTTAATTGTAGTAAGTGTTTCATAGTCACTTGATGAGAATATGGATTTATCATTCTGCATTCTGTCACTTAACTATTTTGCTAAACTTATCTGTAGATTTGTTTTATTTTCTATGTTTATAATTATCTGTGCATAATAAAAATTTTCCTCTTTCTCTTATTTCAATCGTCTTAGTTTTATTTTTTTTCTTTTTAAATATTCAGGCAAATATTTTTTGGCTCCACTATGATTGAGAGTGGTGAGAACAAGTAAATATTTTTACATGAAATAAATTTATTTGCCATTCAAGCGCTGTAAAAATGCATTTTTGCTTTCTTTAAATCAAATTTCCATTTCAATTTTATCTGCAGATATTATGCATTTCCCTTATGCCTACTAACTGTAATTACTCCATTATCATTGGAATTCATTATTATTTTTCTATATTAAGCACTGCGAAATGAGTTTTGGAGGGATGCTTTGAAGGCTATTTTTATTGCATGTTAATATTATTATATGCATTATTTAAGAAATAAAATGAAGAAAGTCATTTTTGGAAATCCAATGCCTCAAGAGTCAATTAATATTTTAGATACTGAAACCACTATTTAAGAAGGATCTTAGTCAGTTTAGGATGCCTAGCAAAATGCCACAGACTAAGTGACTAAAACAATAGAAATTTTCTTCTCACAGTTCTGGAGGCTTCTAAGTCTGAGATCAGAGTGCCAGCATGGGGCAGTTCTGGTGAAGGCCCTCTTTCTGGCTTACAGACGACCACTTTATCACTCTTTTTTTTCACATGGATCAAGGCAGAAAGAGAGAGAGAGAGAAGGGGGGAGAGAGAGAGAGAGAAGGAGAGAGAGAGAGAGAGAGAGAGAGAGAGAGAGAGAAAACACACAAGCTCTCTGCTGTCTTTTATTACAAAGAATACTAATCTCATCTAAACCTAGTTACCTCCCAAAGCCCCCATCTCTGAATCATTACATTCGGAGGTTAAGGGTTCAACATTTGATGTTGGAGCAAGACAATTCAGTTAATAACAAAGACTAAATTCCCTTTTCCTTCTCTGCTTTTTTTTTTTTTGTTGTTGTTTTTTGAGATGGAGTCTTGCTCTGTCACCAAGGCTAGAGTGCAGTGGCAGGATCTCGGCTCACTGCAACCTCCGCCTCCCAGGTTCAAGCGATTGTTCTGCCTCAGTCCCCCAAGTAGCTGGGACCACAGGTGCGTGCCACCACGCCCAGCTAATTTTTTGTAGTTTTAGTAGAGATGGGGTTTCACCGTGTTAGGCAGGATGGTTTCTATCTCCTGACCTCATGATCTGCCTGCCTAGGCCTCCCAAAGTGCTGGGATTACAGGTGTGAGCCACCACGCCCGGTCCCCTTCTCTCTTTTTTCCTTCCTTCCTTTCCTCTTTCTTTTCTTTTTTCCTTACTTCTTTCCATTATTTTTCTTCTTCCCTCTTTCATTCCTTTTCTTGCTCTCTCTTCCTTTCTAGCCTTCCTACTTTCCTTTTTTATTAAAATTATTTGAACAATAATCATTACATAGTAATATAATTTTATTTTGGTAACAATTTCATAATTATCTTTGAATGATTTATTATCTCTTCGAAATTTTCAAGTTGTCAAGCATTTTCTTCAAATATCCTGAGCTACCTTTTTGCCTGAGGATAAAACAAGGAAACAGGCATACCTCTGAAATATTGTAGGTTGGGTTCCTGGCCCCTACAATAAAGTGAATATCTCAATAAAGCAAGTCACACAAATTTTCTGGTTTTCTAGAACATATAAAAGTTATGTTTACACTATGCTGTAGTTTATTGAGTGTGCAATAACATTATGTCTAAAAATAATAATGTACATACCTTAATTAAGATTTTATTGCTAAAAATTCTAATGATCATCTGAGCCCTCTGTGAGTTGTAATCTTCTTGCCCAGTTGTTGATGGCTGCTGACTGACAAGGGTGGTGGTTGCTGAAGGTTGAAGTTGCAGGGAACATTCTTAAAATAATAAAATAATAAAATCTGCAGCATCCATTGACACTTATTTTCATGGAAGATTTCTCTGTGGTGTGCAATGCTGTTTGACAGCCTTTTATCCAAAGTGGGACATCTTTCAAAATTAGAGTGAATTCTGTCAAACATTGCTGCAGCTTTATCAACTAAGTGTATACAATATTCAAAATCCTAAATCAAACTATCTATATGTTTTTATTAAATTGACCTGTGATTTTCCATGTAAACACATAATTTATATAGAACTAAATTACTTTATTTCCATATAAAAGAACAGCCATCTTGAGATATTGAAATACAAGTTATCCCTTTTAACTTGACAATGTAGTACTTTTTTCTGGTCCTTTGCATGTTTGTATATATACATCATTATAATAATGTTTTATCTGAATACATTAGATAAACTTATTACAGCCTTATTATCACTTTATCTTTAACATGGAGGACTCAAATATAAGGTATACTTGCTCTGCACTACCACTGAAATATTTACATTGGCAAATTAAAAGTAAAAAACACCCAAATCCTAGTTTCACAGGTTGGTCATGAATATTAACAAAATGATATTATTAATTATACTAGAAATTCCTTACTCAAGGATAGTAGTCTAATCACCTTTTAAGACTCCCATTTCTCTAAAATGATTTTAGAAATATAAATGTGTGCTCCACACATTATTTAGAATGGCTTCTAGATATTTTCAATTGAAGTACAAATACTTGCAATAGATGTAGTTTCTGGCAAATTTTTTAAAAGTTTATTTAAAAATGTCTCATTGCTATCATAAATGTATCCTGTGTAACATGTCTTAAAGTTACATGAATGTATTATTTTTAACAGGATTACATTTTTGCAGTTTGCATTTTCTTTTCTCATTTACTTGTATTTGAATTGTCTTTCCTAAAATATTTCACCCTAATGCAATATGTTTTGTTTTTGTTTTTGTTTTTGTTTTTTTGACATGGAGTCTTGCTCTGTCGCCCAGGCTGGAGTGCATGCAGTGGTGCGATCTCCGCTCACCGCAACCTCAGCCTCCCGAGTTCAAGCAATTCTCCTGCCTCAGCTTCCCGAGTAGCTGGGATTACAGGTGCGTGTCACTATACCTGGCTAATATTTGTATTTTTAGTAGAGACGAGGTTTCACCATGTTGGCCAGGCTGATTTCAAACTCCTGACCTGAGGTGATCCACCCACCTTGGCCTCCCAAAGTGCTGGGATTACAGGCATGAGCCACCACATCCAGCCAATATGTTTTTTAAGAAATGTTTTTCTATTTACTCTAGCCTCAAAAAATTGTGAACATAAATTTATTACTTAAAAGCAATTTATTTTGCTTAATATTAATATATATTCATTTTGGAGTTAATATTTTTGTTTATATAGTAGTAAAGAATTAATCAAAACATATCTTGGTTGAATGCAGTGGCTCATGCCTATAATCCCAGCACTTTGCGAGGCCAAGGTGGGTGGATGACCTAAGGTCAGGAGTTCGAGACCAGCCTGGCCAACATGGTGAAACCCCATCTCTACTAAAAGTACAAAAATTAGCTGGGCATGGTGGCATGTGCCTATAATCCCAGCTACTTGGGAGGCTGAGGGCTGAGGCAGGAGAACTGCTTTAACCCAGGACGTGGAGGTCGCAGTTAGCCAAGATCATGCCATTGCACTCTAGCTTGGGAGATAGAGCGAGACTCCGTCTCAAAACAAAAAACAAAAAAAAAAAAATAAAAAAAATGAACCAAAAAAAAGACTTATCTTAATTTTCCAAAACACATTAAAACTGTAATGTAAAATTTGATCAAAAAGGTTTTTTTGTTTGTTTTTCAGTGAGATAGGATACTGCCTTATTAAAGTAAACTTCTTTGTATGAAGATGTCTTTTGAATTGTCTCTGCTTTTGGTCACCACAAAAGTTTCCCACTGGAAAACTGTTTCTTTTATTTTAGGATGAGTGAAGATAATGCTTTATTTTTTGTAAAATGAGAAAAAGTTGATTGTGAAAAAAAAGATTAGCATACAGAATCTAAATAATACTTTGGTGATCATTACATTCTGAACCAAATCAATTGCAAAACATTAATTGATTTCTTAAAATTTATTGGTCTTCGTATATTCCTTGTAAGGTCTTCATACATCTCAAGGGTTAAAAACACCCCAATTTGAAGATTTATTATTCCAGAAAGGAAATCAAAGTAAGACACTTTTTCTCTGAGAATCTGATGACCTTTAATTTTACTTTCTGAAGGAAGCATTCCTTTGTAACATAAATTAGTGAAACCTTCACATAAAGCAGCAAATGTTAGCAAAAATTTTCGAGGCCAACTTGTTAATAGAAAATATTATTTAAAAAGGATTTACTTTTCAAAGAGTACTTACAAATAGGGAAAAAAACAAAAATCTCATTAAGCTCAAATAGTTACATAGGCCAAATACTGAAATGCTAATTCACTAAATGTAAATAACTATTACAATATCAACAAAAATGATTGATATTCACCAATAATTTTTAAACACAAAATAATAATAAATTACCTGTTACGCTTAGGAGACATTGAAAAATATGTGATCTAAGATGGTAGAAACATATATAATCTTATTTTGTTAAATATATCATGAATCACTGTGGTAAAGAGGTCTTTTCCACTTTTCTTATGCACCAGATTTGTTCATTAAAGACAAATACCTAAGACAACTATTTCATCCCTTTTGAGTACATCACTTGGCTACTTATCTGTGACGAAGGAATTGTTGTCAATCTGATTGGTCAGCACTTGAAAAGTTTTATTAGGCTATATTTCACTAGTGATTGGGGTTTTGCAACTTAAGTTAATAATTTTGGGTGTATCTTCTCTATTTTCCTTCTCATTCCTATCTGTTGAACTAAACTCATCAGGATCTGTGTTTTTGGTTCAGACTAAAGCAGGATCTTCTCTCTTTTCCATCCTTTCCCTTATAGCAGGATGAGTCCGTTGAGATTTGGAGGTAGTAGTGAAACAGAAAATTTTCCCTAATCCCTTTGCGGGTAGGAACTGGAGTGCAGGTGCTGGAGCTAGCTGGCCTCTTCAGCGCTGGCAGGGGCAAACTTTGTTCCCTCAAACCTGCTATGCGCAGCCACTCGTGGGAGGGAGCATGCTGGTGAGTGGGTGCAGAAGCTGGGCCAAGTGCTTTTGTGTGCCAGCAGGAACGAACTCCTTACCAACCCCACGGCAGCATCTAGCGGGGGTGCCTGCGACCCCTGAAGCCCCAGAGGGTGTGTGTTATGGTACTCTTTAAACTCTGCTGTCCGTGGATGGCTTCAGTGTTAACAGCTTAGCGTGACAGTCTTTTGCATCCGCAGTCATAGTACCCAAGCTCTTATTCAGTGTCCAGGAAGAATCAGGTCACACGAATGAATTGAAGGGTGATGAATGTGGAGAATGTTATTGCCAATGAAAATAGCTCTCAGCAGGAAGGAGAGCTGGAAAGGTGATGGAGCGGAAAGGTGTTCTTCCCCTGAAGTCATGCCATCAAGCCGTCCCTCTGAAGTCAAGCCACTTCTCTCCGACGTCCAACCGCAGTCTCCAATGCCCAGCTGCTTCGCCTATCGACGTTCAGCTGCTTCTCCTTTCTACTGTCTAAGCCTGGGGTTTTTATGAGCACACGATAGGGGCCGGGGCGGGCCATAGGTGGTTTTGGAAAAGGCAACATTCAAGCAGGAAAATAGGAATGTAATGTCCTCACTTTGGGCCTCAGTTCCAGGCTTGAGGGTGGGGCCCTTGCTGGGAACCCACTCTCTTCTGCCCAGAATTTTCCTGCCTCCTGTCCCTATCAGCAGAAGAGTAAAAAGTCAGGTCCTAGAACTCCCTAGAATGAATTCTTCAATCCACACTTCTCAGAAAGTGCAGTATTTACTGTCACTGGGATCTTGCCAGTTTTATTTACTGTCACTGGGATCTTGCCAGTTTTATTTACTGTCACTGGGATCTTGCCATACGTTTTAGTTAACGTGGGAATTAATTCCATTTTTCAACTAGAGTTAAAAAGCCATATGCAGAAAACTGAAACTGGACCCCTTCCTTATACCTTATAAGAAAATCAACTCAAGATGGATCAAGACTTAAATGTAAGACACAGAACCATAAAAAGCCTAGAAGAAAACCTAGGCAATACCGTTCAGGACGTAGGCATGGACAAAGACTTCATGTCTAAAACACCAAAAGCAATGGCAACAAAAGCCAAAATTGACAAATGGGACCTAATTAAACTAAAGAACTTCTACACAGCAAAAGAAACTATCATCAGAGTGAACAGGCAACCTGCAGAATGAGAGAAATTTTTGCAATCTATCCATCTGACAAAGGGCTAATATCCAGAATCTACAAAGAACTTAAACAAATTTACAAGAAAAAACAAAACACCCCATCAAAAAGTGGACAAAGGAATTGAACAAACACTTCTCAAAAGAAGACACTTATGCAGCCAACAAACATATGAAAAAATGCTCATCATCTCTGGTCATTAGAAAAATGCAAATCAAAACCATAATGAGATACTATCTCATGCCATTTAGAATGGCGGTCATTAAAAAGTCAGGAAACAACAGATGCTGGAAAGGATGTGGAGAAATAGGAACACTTTTACACTGTTGGTGGGAGTGTAAATTACTTCAACAATATGGAAGACAGTGTGGTGATTCCTCAAGGATCTAGAACTAGAAATACCAGCAATCCCATTACTGGGTATATACCCAAAGGATTATAAATCATGCTACTATAAAGACACATGCACACTTATGCTTATTGCAGCAATATTGACAATAGCAAAGACTTGGAACCAACCCAAATGTCCATCAATAATAGACTGGATAAAGAAAATGTGGCACATACACATCATGGAATACTATGCAGCCATAAAAAAAGATGAGTTCATGTCCTTTACAGGGACATGGATGAAGCTAGAAACCATCATTCTCAGCAAACTATTACAAGAACAGAAAACCAAACACTGCATGTTCTCACTCATAAATAGGAGTTGAACAATGAGAATACATGGATGTAGGGAGGGGAACATCACACACTGGGGCCTGTTGGGGGATGGGGGACTAGGGAAGGGATAACAATAGGAGAAATACCTAATGTAGGTGACAGGTTGATGGGTGCAGCAAACCACCATGGCATGTGTATACCTATGTAATAAAACTGCATGTTCTGCACATGTACCCCAGAACTTAAAGTACAATAAAAAAAAAAAAAAGCAAAAAAGAAAGGTACATCTTTCATTGCAGTAGTCCTAAACTGCTTTATCTTAAAATAAAAAGAATTACAAACTAATGTATTTATCATATAATTTACATTTATATAAATATTAAATGACTTTTAAGACTGGGTCAAATGTAATCATACCTATAAACAAAGATTAACTCAGATACTTAGCAATATGATTGTGATTAAGTATATTATCATATAACTCAATAACATTTTGTATGTAATGTAAAATTCTGTGTTTTTAATCCAGCTAAAACATGGAAATGTTTAACAGACTATTTGGAGAAAAATCCAGATAAAGCATTATTTATAAGTTCAATTATATAGAAAGAAGCTTACATTCATAAAAAGGAAATAAATTTTTTTAAAAAGACAAATATTGTGTTTCTGTTGTCAGATCTTCTTCTCTATTTTCACAATTTACTAAGGAGCTTAGTAATGAGTTTAAATGAGTATTGCAATTCAGTTGTACAAAATTGCCAATAAAGGACAAAAAGCAAACTATGCAATTTTTGTGGAACTCAATATACCTTACAATATTTCTCATTTTCAATGTCCTCTTATATCCACTAATAAGGTCTTTTTTATTTTACTTTTGAGTTTAGATCTTTATTTTTACTCATTTTTAGATATTTCTCCTTTAAGAAATATATAAATACATTTTCTTTTGTATCTATAATTCTTAGGGTGACATACATTTATGTATGTTTGATGGCTTCATATCACGTCATTTGATTTTAGATTTATTCTGAATGAATTCTTCAGTGGTATTTTTTTGCAGTGACTTTTCAAGAATATTACAATACTTTTCAAAGACATAATAGAGTTAACTGCAGTCTGAAGGCCCTTGGCTCTTTTGAAGGCATTTCACTGCTATTTTCTGTTGATATTGTCATTATAATTTGCATTAAGTGACATTTTGAATACAATATACAAATGTTTGTGCCCTTAAAGTTTCACCATGCATTTTTCATGCTCAAATTTTGTTAAATGTCTCTCTTTTCGTCTGATTTTAGAGTTCCCTGAGACAATAGAGAGGAAATATGCCAATATTAATATGTAAGTGTTTATATTATCTTGTTCAGATTTATTGGGTAAGCATATGCTTAAGAAATTATTGCTTATTGTGAGCGACTTCTGGGTCAAGTTTAAGGACAATTGTTCGTGTTATTATTAAGAGTATAAATAGACCCAATCATGTATACATAATTAGCATGATATTTGTTGAATAAAATAACAATACTAATGCATTTTACTTCATATTTTCCAAAATAATATTTTATTTCCCTTTATTTTGGTTAATGTTTTTCTCAACTTTTACTACACACACTGCTATATTTAAAATGTTGATGCCCACCCTGCCGACTGACTTCATATGTTAAAATCCTTACTGTTAAGGGGATGATATTAGGAAGTGGGGCCTTTAGGGGCATTTAGATCATGAGCATGGAGCACTTATAAATGAGATTAGTGCTCCTATAAAAAATGCTTAAGAGAAACTCCTCATTCTTTTCCCCATGTGAGGAGGCAGCCAGAAAGAACCATCTATAATCCAGAAGTTGGGCCCCCACAAGGCAATGGATTTGCTGGTGCCCCAAAGTTGGACTTCCCAGCCTGGAGAATTATGAGGGATAAATTTCTGTTGTTTGTAAGTCACTCAATATATGGAATTTTGTTAAAGCTGCCCAACAGGACTAAGACATACACTAAGGAATGAAAGACATTCTCTACCTCTATGTTTTGTTCTCAAATTTAAATAAAATAAATATAATACAGAAATTTAAACGGTATAAAGCTGCATATACTAGTGTGAAATAATGTCACCCCAAGAACCAAAGAGCAGCACATTTTTCTCTATTCCCCTCACAAAGCCCTAAGTGAAGTGAAGAATTGGGTGCATTAATCATGAGACAGAAACAAACTGGAAGCACCAAAGCATTGCTGCAGGTGGGCTTTGCCTGCTCTGTCATTTCAAATTCCCTTACTCTTTTATGTGTTGATTTGTCCTCCTCAACTTTCCCCAGGTTTCATACTTTTTCCTACAACCTATTCCTCTATGCCAGAATCATCTGGTCTCAATCCATTTATCTCATGAATCTGGGATGGATTTTTGACTGTTGACACAGCAGATTGCAGAAATCAGACTTGGAGTGTGACCTTTTAAGAGACTTCCACTCATGTATTTCATCTTTAATATCCACAGAGCACAAGTCACAAGCAATTCTCCCTCCAGTGATTACATGAGAACGGCATAAATAATCGCCAAATTTTTTTTATCACGTTAATTCTCACACTAAGTGTATTATTTCCTAGCCTTTTATGGTAAAGATTTTATTTCAGTTACCCAGAGGCTGCATGTAATTTTGTACTTGGAGAATTCCTTGTTGTTTTTGTTTTGCTTATATCAAAATCCCACTTATCCTCATAGGAACAAATAATGCTTGATAATCATTTCTCCTTTTCTCTCTTGCAATTTAAAATTAATGAGTAAAAATAATGCAGTCGTGTTTCATGTATTAAGTGTTTTATTTATTTAAAATTTTTTATTCTTCAAAAAAATCCTGTGAGGTGACCACTGTATATATATACATATATAATTTCTTTTTTTGTACAGATGAGGAGTCTGAGGTACAGAGAGGTTAAGAAACTTGCAGAAGTCCAGACAGCTTTTCAGTGTGGTAGATGGGCAGTGCAGCATCACAGTCTGTGGTCTTAATCACACAATGGCAAGGCCCCCGAGTACTATGAATACCCAGTTATGTGCCTTAAATGTTACTGGTGGAAGGTATCCAAGTTACCGGTGGCAAAGTCATACAAGTCTGCAGCAACCTCAATTCTTGCCTCTTCAGAAGAAATGATTTGACTAAGGGAATAAGGCAAAACAAGAGACCAAGGTAATTTTCAGAGAAGGAGTGTACATTTATTTAAAAAGGCTTCAGACAGGAGGGAAATTATGCTTGGAAGAGACCCAAGTGCGCATGTGAGGGTCAAGTGCAATGTTTAACTTGGATCCTAGGACTTATAGGCTGGCCCCTTTCCATTGATTCTTCCCTTAGGATGGGCTGACCACATGTGTAGTGCCCTCTTTACACTTGAGAGGTGAGCACATTCAGTGTGTTTAGGAAGTTGTATGCATGCCCATCTGAGGCTTTCTTCCCTTTTCCCGTGGAGTGCCCCTGGAAGATCATGCTCTGCCATTTTATCTCTTAATGCACATACTCAGGAAGTTGCTTCTCCCTGACATCTGCATTCAATTAACACTTTAATGCAACAGGTGTGGACCATCAAGAAATGGCCTCTCCCTGACACCAGCTGCCAACTTACCACTTTTAGAGGGGCAATGTGATCTTTGCCCAACCATCACCTGACATTCCTGGTGAGTGGGGAAAGCCATCTCCTGGACTACTCATGCGTAGCTACCTGTTACATAAACTCCTAGACTCCATACATTAGACACATTTTCTCTTGACTTTGACCAAGAATCTGGTATCAGAAGCAGGAAGGTACTGACAGCTCATCTCTCTTGCTGTTTTTCTCTCTCTCTCTGCTTAAGGTTTGCGGTAGTTATAATAATTACAAGTAGGAATCGTAGAGCAAGAGAGACAGTGGTGCAAACTTTTAGCATCTAGTCCTTGGTGGCAGCAAGTACATTTCCTGATCAGACCAGTGTACTCATCAGATCATCAGCAACCAGTGTTGTCTCTGAACACTTGCTATTAAATTAAGTCTACTAAAGATTTTGTAAGCTTCCTTTTATTTTTTTAATTTAGTAAAATGTTTAATTAACTGGATCATTAGCCAGAGCTGCATTTATTACTTTCAACCAGAAATACTAACTGAACTGTACTCATGATTTTCAAGGCAACTGCCTCAGAATAAAGAGAGCAAATTCACAAGTAGAAGGCTTAGACATTTCCCTCTAATTTATTCTTCCAAATTGTGACTTTTTATTTGCACCAGGGATGAAAATTTGGCTGAAGTTTGAGTCAGGTATCTCTTGTATCTTCCTTTTTATTGTCAAGAGCTGAGGTGAGCCAGAGAGAATGAAAGGTCAGGTTTCAGGCAAATTGTGCAGCCACAATTGTCAAATTGTGACAAGTTGTCAATCCATTAAGACAATAAGCCCAAGTCGAAGTAATAGTCAAGCCTTTAATTGCTTTTTGCCGTAGTATAAAAGCAAGAGACTAAACGGGAAAAAGTATTGAATTCCCAAATGTCCCATTTTCACCACAGTTCTGCACTAAGCAAAAGTCATATGTATCAGTGCAGACAGAGACAATTGTCTCACTCTCAAGAGTTCTCTGAACAAAAAGCTACTTCCAATTTGTTGACCGTAGGAGCCATAGAAAGGGAGAAGGGAAAGGGCTTGGAACTGGAAATTTCTGAGGACTGAGACACATTGGAGAGTCACATGGGCTCCATAAGAAGGGCTTGGCACTGGTGCCTAGGGAGGGACTCAAATGAGTAACCTTGATAAAGGGGCCTCCAAATGGGGTCTTTCGATTATAGAGGTGATCTCTAGTTGCCTGAGAGCCGGCTTTGGAATAATTTAAGGCAGGGAAAATATTATCTTAGTGTGTGAGATTTAGATAAAGAGTGTAGTTGTAGAGATACACTTGGGATTGCTTTGCTGGCATAAGAAGGCAGGTGATGTCCAAGATCTTTGCCATCTCCATCAACTGGTTAAGACTGAGAGAGACAGTCACTTACCAGGAAGTAATATTTTGAAGATGACAAAATATCATACTCTATAGGAAAAAAAAAAACACATTAACACAACTTTAAAAAAAATAGCAACTCATTTGTTCACAATTGGGTAGGGCAGAAATATGAGATTAAGGTGTCAGTAAGGTTGATTTCTTCTGAGGCTTCCCTCCATGCCTCGTAGATGCCTTCTTTGTATCTTCACATAGTGTTTGGACTAAATTGTATCTTCAAAATTTATATGATGAAGCTTCAATCTCCAATGTGACTATATTTGGTGATAGGACATTTAGAAAACTAATTAAGGTTATATGAGGTCATAAAGATGGGGTCCTAACTTGATGCGATAGGAATTCTTATAAGACAAAGAAGTAGTACCAGAGATCTCTCTCCACACATACAGAGAAGAAGCCATGTGAGGACATAGTAAGAAGGCAGTTATCTATAAGCCAGAAAGAGGGGCCTCACCAGAAACCAAGTCTAATGGAATCTTGATCTTGAACGTCTAGTCTCCAGAACTATGAGAAAGTAAATTTCAGTTGTTTAAGCTTCCTGGTCTGTGTTACTCTATCATAGCAGCATGTGAATAATACACATCATCTTCATAAGAATATGTCTGTGTCCTAACTTCCTTTTGTAAAAACACCAGTCATGAAGGATCAGGGCCCAACCATATTACCTTGTTAAACATTATTATTTTATTAAAGACTCTATCTTTGAATATAGTCACAACTACTGGGAGTTAGGACTCCAGCATATGAATTTTGGGTACACACAATTTAGTCCCTAGCATTAACCAAAGACCCAGTCAAAGATTTGAGAGTTGAGGGCTCTCAGACTCCATTCTTAGTTTTTCTCTGGAGGAGAGAACATCTTACTCTTATGTCATAGTTATACTTTGTTGTTTCAGTTTCAAACAAGTTTTACTAATCTGAAAGCTTTTTTTTTCTAGTGTTTTTAAGATATATATATCAAACTGATCTTTGTGGCAATGTGAATGTGGAAATCATAAATAAATGAACTGAGGGTCCGGGTGCGGTGGCTCGTGCCTGTAATCCCAGCACTTTGGGAGGCCAAGGTGGGTGGATCACTTGAGGTCAGGCGTTCGAGACCAGCCTGGACAACGTGGTGAAACCCTATCTCTACTAAAAATGTAGAAATTAGTTGGACGTGATGGCATGTGTCTGTAATCCCAGCTTCTTGGGAGGCTGATGCAGGAGAATCACTTGAACCTGGGAAGCGGAGGTTGCAGTGAGCTGAGATTGTGCCACTGCACTCCAGCCTGGGTGACAGAACAAGATTTTGTCTCAAATAAATAAATAAATAGATAAATAAATAAATAAATATATAAGCTGAGAGAGTTAGCAAGGAGGGCATTTTATTTACAGCTGCTAAAAACTATCATAAAGACACATGCATGTGTGTATTTATTGCAGCACTATTCACAATAGCAAAGACATGGAATCACCAGTAGACTAGATAAAGAAACTGTGGTATATATACACCACGGAATACTATGCAGCCATAAAAAAGAAAGAGATCATGTCCTTTGTAGCAACATGGAGGGAGGTGTACACCATTATCCTAAGCAAACTAATGTAGGAACAGAAAACCAAATACTGCATGTTCTCACCTATAACTGGGAGCTAAACAGTGAGAATAGATGAACACAAAGAGGGGAAAAAGAGATACCAGGGCAAAAGGTAGGAGGAGGGAGAGGATCAGGAAAAAATACTTATTGGTCCCCATGTTTATTACCTGGTGACAAAATAATCTGTACACCAAACCCTTGTGACATGCAGTTTACCTATATAACAATCCTGTACATGTATTCCTGAACCCAAAATTTCTAATTAAAAAAATGTTCAAAGTATTGGTACACTACCATCAGAAATCAATTAATAACACCCAAAAGTTCAAGTCATTAGAATTCCTAAAGGAATCAGAGTGAGGGGAATATAGAATGGGTGGGAGTCAGGAAGGTTGGAAAATCAGAGTGTTGAGCACTTGGATGTGGAACACACAGTGAGGAGGAGCATGGTTTGAAGCAACTTGAAAAAGATGGACAGATGTGGAAGAACTGTGTTACCACATCCATTCATTCACTGAGTTGGCTTAGTCTTTTGGGGCTGATATAACAAAGATACCAGAGGCTGGGTGGCTTATCAACAACAGACATTTATTTCTCACAGTTCTGGAGGCTGGGAGTTCCAAGATCAAAGTACTGTCAGATTTCATGTCTGGTAAGAGTCCTTCCCTCACAGATAACGCACTCTTAGAGCATCCTCATTGGACCTCTTTTATAAGGAGCAAATCCCATTCATGAGGATCTAATCACCTCCTGAAGACCTCATTCCCATTGGGGATTAAGCTTCAGCATATGAATTTTGGGAGAAGACAGAAACATTAAATAATAACATGACTAAAGAAGAACAAATGAAACAAATTCAGCAGGAAAAGCATATTTAAGTTATTTTGATAGAGAAACAATATTTTCATAGAGATATTATAAGAAGTGCCTTTTGTATATAGTATAAAAACAGCACAGCCTATTCTGGGAAAAAATTACATTACTGACTTCTTCTTGAGAAGCATCAAGACCATTCTTGTTCTAAATAGAGCCCTCCTTGCATGGATGGGGGATTTGTTTTTTATAATACCTCCAGAGTGATATTTAGCAAAGTATTTTAAAACACCATATAATATGTACTCACATACCATTTAATTTCTAATATAGATCAATATTTAAATATATATATAGCTGCTTATCAAAGTTGTGTTTAGTGCATACAGTTTACTAAATCTTTCAAAAATAGTTCTAAAAATTTTATGTATCTTAGAAATGTTTGCTGAGGTATTTATTTTGTTTTTGTTTTGCTTTTAAATTATTAATGCAGTTGTCTTTTTCTGAGCAGTGCCCCTATCTAGACCACAGTGTTTCCTAGAAAATAACATCAAGCTCTTCCAATGACTTCTTATTTATTGATAGAAACAAGTCTTTTACTTTTGATATGTAGAGAATTACTTTTAACATCAATGATTTTCATTATTATGTGAAAGCTTCTACTGGCTGCTAAGCTAAAAATTGCATAACATTGCTATAATGCTTAAAACAAGGCCTAAGATTAGTATATATTCCATATCTTTATTGTGAATTAAGTCACAAAGTTGTTAATAAGAATGTTATATTTAGTTAGACTGAAACAGATTTTTCTGGCCAGATAGGATGTTGGTTGGGAGTAAGACATTCAGGCCTGACCAGGTTTGAAGCAAAGCTCTGCAATGTCCATAACCTCTGACATCTCTTTTCCCTCCCCTGTTAGAAGTGAACAATGATACCACTTAGAGCACATGAAATTGTCAATCACAGATACTGGCCATGGCATTGGTATGAAATCCTAGAAAGCTTCTACTGTGCCAAGCACTGATCATTTAGTTTCTGGATCACGGGGATATTTGGGGAGAGGGGGTTCCAGGTGAAATTCTATAGCAGCAGAAGAGACAAGCAGTATTTAAGGTGTAGTGGCCACACAGCAAGTATGGAAGAGTTTTGATATCTTAATATCTGATAATGTCAACATTTTAACATTTAGTAATGCCAACACTAGATATTTAAATGTCTAGTACCATCAGCTTACAGGTTGCATATTTGCTGTGGTTGGACTCTAATTTTATATGTTAAATTTTCTCCTGATTGGATATCAGGCAGATGATAGACAGAAGATCAGTGTAGGCTTTGGTAGAGAGGGGTAAATGGATTGTAGCTAATAAGCTGAAAATGTCCAGAAAGAAAGGGAAAGCAGGAAAGATCCTTAACCCTGAAGAGGGGTCCAAGAATGAGATGCTGGGCAAATAGTTCTAGTGAATCAAGAGGGTGGCATTTTTATGGAACATTTTACAAGTGCCCAGGAGGTGTGTTAGCGATGTAGAAGGTGCCTACCTAGAATTGCCAGTGGGGAGCCCAGTATCCACATGAGAAGTTGCTTTCATATATCATCTGTGTGCCCAGTGACCTCGGCAGACAAACATTCAGACACTATTTGAATAAAAACTTCCCATTGCTATAATCAAGCCATCACCTTGACACATTTGTGAAAATGTTGTGTATCTTCATCTAGAAGATGGAGATCACTTTACTAGAGGGAGAGCAAAGCCTAATCCTTTTTTGCGACCTACCTGGAAGAACAGTGTAGTATATAAAAAACACTGAGGAGAAATGAAGTCATTATTCCCAGCTTTTGAATAAGGACTATATATCTCTCATAATGGGAGAGAGAGGCAAGAGAAATAGTATTTTATGTTCTCTGCTAAATTTTTCCTTGTTAATTTCAAATTAACTCCATGCCAAAAAGTGTTATGATGTAATCATATATGTATAAATGCACACAGTTGAGAAAACATAGACTAAAAATTTGAACTAACATATAGAGTACTTGAAACTTGAATACATGCTTGATATCAGCATCCATTCATTAAACCACTGTTCTATTATGACTTTGAATAGTAAACTACTGTTCTATTATGACTTTGAAGGGTAAGCTTATTGATCAAGTTTATCAAAATACTTGAAAGACCTTGAAGAGTGCTTGTGAATTTTTAATAATTATGAAAATACATTAGTTTAGTAGTAAAAGTAATAGGAATAACAGCAAGTGCTATTTTAGAATGCCCATAAAATAAACATTTAATAGGTGTTTTACATTCATTAGCTTGTTTAATCCAAACAAATATTCTGTATGTAATCATGTGTTCATTTCACAGATGGGTAAAATGAGAATTGAAGATTAAAACTAGGTTGCCCAAGAATAAGTGAGCAATGCCAAGATTTAAATATGTCCCTCGCCAAATTCCATTGTTTGTCCCTGTATTTAACAGAAATGACAAGAGAAGATAAAAACTCAGTAAAACAATTTTAGAATTTTAAAATTAATTAACGATACATTGAACATTAATTGATATATTTTATGATTTCATTGTATGAATTTAACATTCTAATATACATGACAAAAATGCACAATGCAATATTAGAAGCTAAAATCATGTTTCAGTACTCCCCTGCTGCTTAGAGAGAAGCAATTCAATAGTTTCTTGTAGCAAACATTTACATTATTTGCATTGAAAAAAAGCATATTTTATTTTTGCCAAGGCAGAAATTCTTTTGTTATTGTATAGATTCTTGTGTCATTGGCTTTGTAAGAATGCAGTTAATATCTAAATAAATGTTTTTCAAATCTGTATGTTTTGTTGTTGTCAATAGCAGAGAACTTTGAAAGAGCAATAAACTGACGTCTAGTTCAAGAATCTAAACACTTGATCTTTAGTGCTATTTTTAAAAAAAAATTGTCTAAATCTACTTCATTTCCAGTTAATAGCTTCCCTGGAGCAGACATGAGAAACAAAGACTATTGGGTGTTTGCATGTATTTAAAGATCGTTTTATTATTATACTTCACAGGTGATTCCTCTCAATATACTTTCTTATTCACAAAGAATGGGGTTTGGCAAGGTGTTTGAAACACAAGGGCAAGAGTAAAACAGTCCTCGAAGGAGGAGTGTAAGTTGACTATAATGTCCTCAATTCTGTAGTTAACCTGATTTTCAAACTGTCACTTTAATAATATAAGACACTAGCCAACAAAATATTTTCGGATAAATAAAGATCAATGTTATGATTGAGAAACGGACTGAAATTATTTAGATGCATAGGTGGTAACTATGCGGTTTAGCCTGGCAATGGTATGTGAAGTGATCATTTTTACAGGCATGTGGAAATTCTGCATTCCATTCTATTTTCTTCAATTCAACTTATTTCATTTGGTGAATCTCTTCATCTTCCCAAGAAGCATTTCCCTTCATTTTGTGAAGCAGGAAGAGCACTGAAATTGTGGAAGATGAATGCCCACCATAAAATGATTGGCTGTCACCATCAACTTCCATTCACATTGTATCTGGATCTTATTAAAATGCAGATTTGATTTTGAGCAAGCCTATTACTATTCTTGTGGAAGCTTGTTATTCTTCTTTATTATCAAAGTCCGTGGGTCCCTTTAATTCATCTGTCCCTATTTCATAAGATAGCTTGAACATTCCCTGAGCTAATAGAGAAAGAGTTGAAATGTGGAGTCAGGGTAAAATCTAACTATGGAGACGAATATCACATATTACCTAGACAACTCAGGGTAAAAATAACTTTAGACACTTTAGGTAAAATTGAAAATGAGCATTTATAGGGTATACTTTAAAAATAACAAGCTCCATTGTTTTCATCTCTAAAATCCCATTTCCATTTTCTCTCTTCCCTTTATTTTTCATTTAGTAAACACATAAATTAGTAAAAATTTAAACATAAATGTTCATGTTATCCTGGCTTATACCAAATGTTTTCCTAAATTTGAAGAATACTACAATTAATTCAAACATTCCTGGTCAAGAAACTGACTAGTACAATGCATGATGATAAAAGTGAGGTATAGTATTCTGTGCATATACAGATGCAAATATAACTAACGGTCTCAGTGCGAAATAATTAAGAAATTTCCAGTTTGTTAAGTGGAGGTGTCATATTACACAGGCATCAATAGTAGGTGTAAAAGGAAGAAAGCATGAAAACCCATAGGAAAATGTAAACTATCAGGAAGGCAGAGGAAGCTGGGCAAAAGAGAATATGGTGAGGAAGCAGGTTTCCAGATGCCTACTAGAATACTGGGACATGACTATTAGGAGCGTATGTGTGAAATTGAGCTGAATAGTTCTGTCCAAGTAAAGCCTTAAAAATAAGGCTGGTGCTCTAGAAGCATTGGCATCATTTGGAAGTTTGTTAGAAATGCAGAAAATTGAGATACACCTAGACTAGCAAAATTAAATCTTCAATTTAATAACAATCACATATAATGTGAATTATATGCATATTAAATTTTTAGACAAATTTCAAATGATATATTTGGCGGTTTCTGAGTAGCTTGAAAGCAATTGGCTGAAACCAGAGATCATCAACAATGCTTTTTGACAAGAAAAGCTCAAACAGGTTTCTGCTGGGAAATACGAAAAAGAAAGATTTAACACCATAAAAATATTTCCTTAATGTGACCCTGGATATAAGAAGATCATGTGGATCATGTGGTAGGCATGTGGGTTTTTTTGCATTGTTTTTGTTGTTTTTTGTTTAACATATCAACAACCCTTTATTTCATGTAGCAATCAGCTTCAGAATAGTCCGGAATAATAGCTCCAGGTAATTTCTATTCTGAAAATGAAACACAAATGAGCTTAATAGTTAATACCCTGGAATTACAAATTGTCTTTGTCTATTTCAAAATAATGTTTCCCTGCACTCAGGTAGGGGACTTCCATACACTCTTTACATGTTAAGTTTTACATTTTGTATTATTATTTCTATGTTTTGATTATTTAAATATTACTTTTCTAAATAAAAACTATACATTGTTTTTATTTTTATGTGGAAGACAGTCAAAGCTTTTATTTGAAGATTCTACAAGATAGTTCTAATTTGGGCACAGATGTAGGAAAGATTTATAGGGTATTAGCAGGATTAAGTAAGTCAAAGTTTTGCTAGTTTTGGAGAAAAGTTAGGCAAGGATGGTTCTTGGAAGAGGGAGAATCTGACCTTATGGATTAGCGTCATTGTTTGGGCAATTTAGATATTGTCAAGAAGGTTAGAGGAACAGTTAAGGGCTACACGTATGTCCAGGAGGTGGCGGGAGAAAGAGCTGTAAGGGACAAAGTCAGTTAGGGGCTATAGAGAAAAATTATTTGTCCTACCCTATCTTTTACAATTAACAGGTTATTTTAGTGTAGGAAATACAAGTGAAATATTTATCTAAATATCCCATGTTTCTTATTATAAATGCATACATATGACACAATCTGTTTCACTAATGCTAAATCAAACTCAAGTTTCTATTGTTTGTGCTGTGGTCTCCAAGAGAAAGGACTCAATATTGATGGTTTGCACAAATTAAACTCAACCATGCAGGAGAACTTGAACTCTTCCAGTGGAATACACTGAATATTTCTACCATTACATTGAGATAGCTCCTTACTTCACTTGTTGTCCTGGACCTCATCACTGCTATACTTTTTTTCATACATCTTAGGATGCTGAGAACTCTGTTCATTGTACTTTGTTTCTCCATGTTTAAATTAGGGCAGGTTTGGTCTATCCTTGATTTCATATCAAAAACCTAATTGTCTGTAAAAATCAAGCCTCTAACATATATGCCACAAATATGCCATGGCAGCATGCATGCCATGTATATATGATGCAATGATATTTGATAAGGACATTGACACAGACTTCTTTGATTTTGTGAAAGAGCAGTAAATACCAGATCATCAAAATCAAGAATGCTTTATTGTAACTCAAATGGTACCTCTTACAAATAAAATGTTCTTTTGAGAAAACTCCTTTCTGGAATTTTTACATCTACCTGCCATCCTTCTGAGCTACGCAATGGTGAGTAGTACAGGGTAGGCCAGCAAGTGAAAGAAGATGTGTTAACAAGAGTTTCAAAAACACTGTGCATTAATTACATACAGTGAGTACCTAGGTGTAATGTTGCAAAACCTAATGCATGGGGAGTTTCTTCAAAATAGCAGAGTAAAAACTGTCATGCCTATTTCCTGAGAAGCAGAAAAAAGTATATATATATATTTGTATGTGTATGTGTGTGTGCATTTTTCTTTATGGAAGAGGAAGCCCCAAAGTTGAGGTGAAAGTAAAAAGTTAGACAGAAATATTGTTTTGTTAACTGGTTTGAAAAATGGTGGTTTTCTCTTCATCCAAAGAAACAGGCTGATTGTCCTCATTTTAATTCTTTCCTAGTGTGGACATGCGAGCTCTAGTGCTTTTGCTGCTCTTAAGAGTGAATAAAAGCTCACAAGTGTTTGTGGCCGGTGATTAACCATCAGAGCTTTCTCTGTGTGAACAGCTATTTTCAACCAAAAAGATAATTTCAATTAATCACTATTAAAATTAATCTCAATATTAGCAATTTGTCCAGAAATCCAAGGACAATTATCAAACTAAACTTTTAACACATGCTAATTAGCCTATTTTAAATAAAAATTTCAACACTAACTTTATTTACAGAAAATATACAGAGAATATATAGATTGAAAATGCAAATGAATAATATAATAGAATTTGCACAGTTCCTTTTTGATATTTCAAATATCAGAAAAAACCTAATGTTTTGGTCAGTGTCTGATAATTCCCACCTCTTAATATTTTTCTTCGTGAATAATTAGGAAGAAGTCAGGATCTCAATAGATTAATGAACAAATTCTTCAAACAAACATATACAAGAATTATACAAACCCAAAATATCTATAAAATGTGCTCTAACTTGATTTTATGAAAGCCATAAAAATGTGATTTTCCTCAAATAGACTGGCGAAACAAAGAAACAAAAATGATACAATTTCTATTTAGGGACTATCATTCAACACTATCCTTATGTTAATGATAGGAAATAGGAATTTTAAGAATCTCCTAAATACTGCTTTAAGAACTTAAATTGGTATAGGCATTTCAGCCATATTAACAATGCCACATTGAATTTGCCTCTATTCCCTCCCAGTATCTCTGTCTTTCCCTTGAAATCTCTGCTGACCTTGCTATTTGTCAAGGATGCTAGGCATTTGCCTACCTCAGGTTCTTGACAATCTTCTCTCTGCTTGATGTTTACTTCTACTATGTACTTCTGTATGTGTCTGTCTTCATTTGTCTTTCCTCAAATACCACATTTCTCAGTGAGTCAGATTCTGACCACACCATTTATAATTTCTAACAGTCTAATGAGGCAATCCCTGTCTCTCTTTATTCCCTGTTTTATTTTTTTCTCCATGTACTTATTGCTATCCATGCAATATTACATATATTATTTTGGGTCTGTTTTCTCTAGAGCATATGTAGTTTAACAAGGATTTTGTCTTTTTTGTTACCGTTACATCCTCAGAGCCAAGTACTGTATGATACATGCATGTTTTTTGATGATTAGATCCATGTGTGCAATATCATCTCACATAAACATACACATATACATATATACACACTGCTGGGGAAATACAAATAAAAACTAAGTCTCCTGCCAACTAAGGAAACCTCTTCACAAAAATAAAAAAAGAAAGGAAATAGTTTTATTATTGAATAAACAGTAAACCAGAATGTGAAGCTAAGAGATTGCCAAGATAGAAATACATCTCTCCCTTTTATACAGGCAGGCAGATACAGCCCGTTACATACATGTTCTCAGCATAAACTTAACTAGTGCTTAAGTTAACAGTACTTGACAGCACCATTTGTCACATATAGTTTGTCTTAGATGCACCTGGTCATTCAGGAGGCCATCTGCACTTGCTAACTGGATTTACGCACAGGAAAAATAAATTTCTCATATATTTATGACAGGAGAAGTGTTGCAACTTGAGGAGAGTGCCTGCAGAACTTAGGCCCCTGCCTGTCACAGGAACTGGGAGATAGGGGCACTATCATCTTGATGGTGACATTTCAGAGATGGTTTTCAAGTCCTTAAGAAAGAGACAGAGAAAGAACTTAGAATTATTAAGTTTCTAAAGTAAATTCTCTAGCAAATGGGAGGAGGGAGGTCTCTCCCTTTATTTCCAACAAGAAAAATTAAGCCTCCTATTTTTAATTTGTATTTGCTCTTACAGTCTGTCATATCTATCTATCTATCTATCTATCTATCTATCTATCTATCTATCTATCCATCCATCCATCTATGTATCATTTATCGTTTATCTTTCTTTCCTTCTGGTGAATCCACTAAAAGTCTTAAGAGCTTTCTATTTATTTACTTATGTCTTGAAGGTTTGCCTTAGTGTCTTGGGCAAAAGATTTAATTTTCATTTACTTCAAATGCATTTGAATTACTTTTTAGAAAAATCATTAACAGGGATTTTATTTAAAAGTATAATTTTTAACTTTAATAAATGTAGATGTATTAGGTCTCTCTAGGGGGCAGAACTAATAGGATACATATATATATATATATATATATATATATATATATATATATATATATATATATATATATATTTATATATAGAGAGAGATGTGTTTGTTAAGGAGTATTAACTCACACAATCACAAGGTCCTACAATACGTTGTCTGCAAGCTGAGGAGCAAGGAAGCCAGTCTGAGTCCCAAAGCTGAAGAACTTGGAGTCTGATGTTCCAGGGAAGGAAGCATCCAGCATGGGAGAAAGATGTAGGCTGGAAGGCTAAGCCAGGCTAGCCTTTCATATTCTTCTGCCTGCTTTTTATTCTGGTTGTGCTGGCAGCTGATTAAATTGTGCCTACCCAGATTAAGGTTGGGTCTGCCTTTCCCAGCCCACTGACTCAAATGTAAATCTCCTTTGAAGACACCCTCACAGAAACACCCACGATCAAAACTTTCCATCCTTCAATCAAGTTGACACTCAGTATTAACCATCACAAGTCCACCCCTTGTCAACCTGAACCCATACACATCTCCTGAGATCATATGTAATCTTTAAATAAGGACAATAATAAGGTCAAAATTACACCTAATATAATACAACTATCTTTCCTACAAGTGGAAATCCACCAATCCCCAAACCACATGCTATTACATAAACTTAACAACACTTAAATGCTTATATAAAGTCAATAAATCTTACTTTACATGATAAAGAAAAAAGGTAATAAAATGAAGATATTTTCTTTTTTTTTATTATACTTTAAGTTTTAGGGTACATGTGCACATTGTGCAGGTTAGTTACATATGTATACATGTGCCATGCTGGTGCGCTGAACCCACTAACTCGTCATCTAGCATTAGGTATATCTCCCAATGCTATCCCTCCCTGCTCCCCCCACCCCACCACAGTCCCCAGAGTGTGATATTCCCCTTCCTGTGTCCATGTGATCTCATTGTTCAATTCCCACCTATGAGTGAGAATATGCGGTGTTTGGTTTTTTGTTCTTCCGATATTTTACTGAGAATGATGATTTCCAATTTCATCCATGTCCCTACAAAGGACATGAACTCATCATTTTTTATGGCTGCATAGTATTCCATGGTGTATATGTGCCACATTTTCTTAATCCAGTCTATCATTGTTGGACATTTGGATTGGTTCCAAGTCTTTGCTATTGTGAATAATGCCGCAATAAACATACGTGTGCATGTGTCTTTATAGCAGCAAGATTTATAGTTCTTTGGGTATATACCCAGTAATGGGATGGCTGGGTCAAATGGTATTTCTAGTTCTAGATCCCTGAGGAATTGCCACACTGACTTCCACAATGGTTGAACTAGTTTACAGTCCCACCAACAGTGTAAAAGTGTTCCTATTTCTCCACATCCTCTCCAGCACCTGTTGTTTCCTGACTTTTTAATGATTGCCATTCTAACTGGTGTGAGATGGTATCTCATTGTGGTTTTGATTTGCATTTCTCTGATGGCCAGTGATAATGAGCATTTTTTCATGTGCTTTTTGGCTGCATAAATGTCTTCTTTTGAGAAGTGTCTGTTCATGTCCTTTGCCCACTTTTTGATGGGGTTGTTTGTTTTTTTCTTGTAAATTTGTTTGAGTTCATTGTAGATTCTGGATATTAGCCCTTTGTCAGATGAGTAGGTTGCAAAAATTTTCTCCCATTTTGTAGGTTGCCTGTTCACTCTGATGGTAGTTTCTTTTGCTGTGCAGAAGCTCTTTAGTTTAATTAGATCCCATTTGTCAATTTTGTCTTTCATTGCCATTGCTGTTGGTGTTTTGGACATGAAGTCCTTACCCATGCCTATGTCCTGAATGGTGATGCCTAGGTTTTCTTCTAGGGTTTTTATGGTTTTAGGTCTAATGTTTAAGTCTTTAATCCATCTTGAATTGATTTTTGTATAAGGTGTAAGGAAGGGATCCAGTTTCAGCTTTCTACATATGGCTAGCCAGTTTTCCCAGCATCATTTATTAAATAGGGAATCCTTTCCCCATTGCTTGTTTTTCTCAGGTTTGTCAAAGATCAGATAGTTGTAGATATGCGGCGTTATTTCTGAGGGCTCTGTTCTGTTCCATTGATCTATATCTCTGTTTTGGTACCAGTACCATGCTGTCTTGGTTACTGTAGCCTTGTAGTATAGTTTGAAGTCAGGTAGTGTGATGCCTCCAGCTTTGTTCTTTTGGCTTAGGATTGCCTTGGCGATGCGGGCTCTTTTTTGGTTCCATATGAACTTTAAAGTAGTTTTTTCCAATTCTATGAAGAAAGTCATTGGTAGCTTGATGGGGATGGCATTGAATCTGTAAATTACCTTGGGCAGTATGGCCATTTTCATGATATTGATTCTTCCTACCCATGAGCATGGAATGTTCTTCCATTTGTTTGTATCCTCTTTTATTTCCTTGAGCAGTGGTTTGTAGTTCTCCTTGAAGAGTTCCTTCATATCCCTTGTAAGTTGGATTCCTAGGTATTTTATTCTCTTTGAAGCAATTGTGAATGGGAGTTCACTCATGATTTGGTTCTCTGTTTGTCTGTTATTGGTGTATAAGAATAAAATTAAAAAGAGAGAAGAATCAAATAGACACAGTAAAAAATGATAAAGGGGATATCACCACCGATCCCACAGAAATACAAACTACCATCAGAGAATACTACAAACACCTCTACGCAAATAAACTAGAAAATCTAGAAGAAATGGACAAATTCCTCGACACATACACTCTCCCAAGACTAAACCAGGAAGAAGTTGAATCTCTGAATAGACCAATAACAGGAGCTGAAATTGTGGCAATAATCAATAGTTTACCAACCAAAAAGAGTCCAGGACCAGATGGATTCACAGCCGAATTCTATCAGAGGTACAAGGAGGAACTGGTACCATTCCTTCTGAAACTATTCCAATCAATAGAAAAAGAGGGAATCCTCCCTAACTCATTTTATGAGGCCAGCATCATTCTGATACCAAAGCCGGGCACAGACACAACCAAAAAAGAGAATTTTAGACCAATATCCTTGATGAACATTGATGCAAAAATCCTCAATAAAATACTGGCAAAAGGAGTCCAGCAGCACATCAAAAAGCTTATCCACCATGATCAAGTGGGCTTCATCCCTGGGATGCAAGGCTGGTTCAATATACGCAAATCAATAAATGTAATCCAGCATATAAACAGAGCCAAAGACAAAAACCACATGATTATCTCAATAGATGCAGAAAAAGCCTTTGACAAAATTCAACAACCATTCATGCTAAAAACTCTCAATAAATTAGGTATTGATGGGACGTATTTCAAAATAATAAGAGCTATCTATGACAAACCCACAGCCAATATCATACTGAATGGGCAAAAACTGGAAGCATTCCCTTTGAAAACTGGCATGAGACAGGGATGCCCTCTCTCACCACTCCTATTCAACATAGTGTTGGAAGTTCTGGCCAGGGCAATTAGGCAGGAGAGGGAAATCAAGGGTATTCAATTAGGAAAAGAGGAAGTCAAATTGTCCCTGTTTGCAGACGACATGATTGTATATCTAGAAAACCCCGTTGTCTCAGCCCAAAATCTCCTTAAGTTGATAAGCAACTTCAGCAAAGTCTCAGGATACAAAATCCATGTACAAAAATCACAAAATGAAGATATTTTCTTACTACCAGTTTATACATGCACAAATGTGTTTTTAACAAAAGAGAAAGGAAATACTCATGACAATTACAGTCTTCCTTTCTGCAACTTGTCATGTGGTCATAGGTGGCATTGATTACTACTTTCTTCTATTACACATTTTCTATTACCTTTGCCTTCAGCAAGCACCTCAGCAGATCCTGGGATTCAGTTTGTTTGTTTGTTTGTTTGTTTGTTTTTTCCTGGTGGAGTGACCCAAACCTTCATTCCTGAAAGGTCTGGGTCATTGTGGTCATGCCTGGATTGGGCTGTTGTAGTTTCTCATTGACCTTAATCACAGGGCACAGTAATACTAAGAGATGCCCCAAGGGATCTCCTGCATTCCATGCATACTGTTCCTTACCTCCATTGTGGAGTAGCAGACTGATATCATCTTGGTAGTCTGGGTCAGTTACCCCAGCCAACACTGTAAACCTCTTCTTAGCCTGTTGACATAAAGGTAGGAGGAGTCCAAAGTGTCCAGGTGGCAATCTTAACTTCCAGTTTAATGCAATCGTTGTGTCTCTTGTTGGCAGCATTCCTCCCTCTGGAACTAAGACGTGTAGGCCAGCAGAACATAATGTCACACAAACAGGAAGCAAAAATTTTGCTAGTGGATCATTCAGGGTGATGATGAGTGGTGGTGCTTCCATTTCCACTCCTTTATTCCTAGACCCATGAATCCTAGCTATGGGAGAAGCAATGCCATATTATAGACGTGGATTCAGAGTATATGCGACCTTCTGGAGAACTCTGACCCAGTCCTGCAAAGTATTGTCACCTAGTTGTTGTTGTACTTGTTACTTCTAAAGGCCATTCCACTGTTCCATCAACCCAGCTGCTTTAGGATGATGGGAAACATGGTAAGACCAGTGAATTCCATGAGCATGAGTCCACTGCCACACTTCTTTAGCCATAAAGTGAGTGCCTTGGTCAGAGGCAATGCTGTATGGAATACCATGATGGTGGGGATAAGGCATTCCATTAGTCCAGGGATGGTGTCTTGGCAGAAGCATTGCATGCAGGATAGGCAAACCCATACCAGAGTAAATGTCTATTCCAGTGAAGACAAACCTCTGCTTTTTCCATGATTGAAGTGGTCCAAAATAATCAAGCTGCCACCACACATCTGGCTGATCACCTAGAGGAATGTTGCCATATCGAGGGTCAGTGTGGGTCTCTGCTGCTGCCAAATTGGGCACGTAGAAGTGGCTATAGCCAGAGTCAGCCTTGGTGAATGGAAGGTCATGTTGCTGAACCCATGTGTAACATCCATCCTTGCCACCGTGGCCACTTTTTTCATGGGCCCATTGGGTGATGACAGAGTTGGCTTGGGAAAAGAGGTTGAGTGGTGTCCACAGAATGAGTCATTCTATCCACTTGATTATTAAAATTATCCTCTTCTGATGTCATCTGTTAGTGAGCACTCACGTGGGATATAAATATCTTCAGTTTTTTACCACTCAGAGAAGTTCGTTCACATACCTCTTCCCCAAATTTCTTTGTCACCAATTTTCCAATCATGCTTCGTCCAAGTCCCTGACCATCAGGCCAAACCATTGGCTACAGCGCATGAATCAGTATATAATCACACATCTGGCCATTTCTCCTTCCATTCAAAGTGCACAAGCAGGTGCACTGGTTGAAATTCTGCCCACTGGAAAGATTTCCCTTCACCGCTGTCCTTCAGGGATATCCTAGAAAGGGGCCGTAGTGCTGCAGCTGTTCACTTTTAAGTGGTGCCTGCATATCATACTGAACATCTATGAATCGGGCCCTAGTCTTCTCTTCCTCTGTCAACTGATCATAGGGAACTCCCCATAAAGCCATCAGTGCAGGCTGGGGGAGAGAAGGCAGGGTGGCAGAAGTGAAGGCCATGGGCATTTGAATCATTTCCTCATGTAACTTATTTGAGCCTTAAGGACTTGCTCGAGCATAATCACATATATACCACTTCCATTTGATGATGGAATGCTGCTATTCATGACCCACTTTATGGCTAGATGGGTCAGAAAATACCCAGTTCGTGATAGGCAGTTCAGGTCGCATGGTGACTTGATGACCTGTAGTCAAACGTTCAGTTTCCACCAAAGCCCAGTAACAAGTCATGAGCTGCCTCTCAAAATGAGAGTAATTATCGTGGAAGATGGCAGGGCCTTGCTCCAAAATCCTAGAGGTCTCTACTGTGATTCACCTATGGGGGCCTGCCAAAGGCTCCAGACAGCATCCCTATATGCCACCGACACCTCAAGAACCATTGAATCTGCTGGGTCATTAGCCCAAGAGGCAGAGCAGTTTGCATAGTAGTCTGGACCTGTTGCAGAGCCTTCTCCTGTTCTGGACCCCACTTAAAACTGGCAGCCTTTCAGGTCACTCAATAAATGGGCCAAAGTAACACACCCAAATGAGGAATGTGTTACCTCCAAAATCCCAATAGGTTCACTAGGTGTTGTGCCTCCCTTTTGGTTTTGCAGGAGCCAAGTCCATCAACTTATGCCTCGCCTTAGAAGGAATATCTCAACAGGCCCCACACTACTGGACCCCTAGAAATTTTACTGAGGTAGATGTTTCCTGGATTTTAGTTTGGTTTATTTCCCATCCTCTGACACACAAATGTCTCACCAATAAGTCTAGTGTGTTTGCTACCTCACTGGCTCCAATCAGCATAATGTCATCAATGTAATGGACCAGTATGATATCTTGTGGAAGCAAAAAGAAATCAAGGTCTCTACCAATAACATTATGGCACAAAGCCAGATATTTAATATACTCCTGAGGTAAGACAGTAAAGGTATATTGCTGTTCTTGCCAACTGAAGGCAAATTGCTTATGGTAGACTTTATAGACAGAAACAGAAAAAGGCATTTGCCAGATCAAGAGATGCATGTCAGGTACCAGGAGATGTGATAACTTTCTCAAACAATGAAACCACGTTGGTACAGCATTTGCAGTCACCACTTGGTTAAGTTCACAATAATCCCCTGTCATTCTCCAAGATCCATCTGTCTTCTCCACAGGCTAAACAGGACAGTTGAACATGGATGTGGTAGGAATCACCCCCCAGTGTGCTTCAAGTTTTCGATGGTGGCACTAATCTCTGGAATCCCTCCAATGATGAGATGCTGTTTTTGATTCACTATTTTTCTAAGAAGAGGCAGCTCTAATGGTTTCCATTTGGCCTTTATCACATAATAGCCATCACCCTACTAGTCAGGGTGCCAATATAGGGGTTCTGCCAGCTGCTAAGTGTGTTTATGCCAATTATGTATTCTGGCACTGGGGAAATGGCCACAGAGTGAGTCCAGGGACCCACTGAACCTACTGTAAGTCAAATCTGAGCTAAAACTCCATTAATTACCAGACCTTCATAAGCTCCTACTTTAACTGGAGAACCACAATGACATTTTGGGTCCCCTGGAATCAACGTCAGCTCAGAGCCACTCTCCAGTAGTCCCTGAAATGTCTGATCATTTCCCTTTCCCCAGTGCACAGTTACCCTGTATAAGGCTGGAGATGCTTTTGGGGAAGGATGGGAGAAAGATATGCAGCATAAATTGTCTGTAGGGTAGTGGGTTCCTTCTTCATGGGGACCCGGCCTCCCCTTCATTCAAGGGGTTTGGCATCTGTAAACTGGCTCAAGTCTGAAAATTGATTGGGGGGGCTGTGATTCTCTGCTTTTATAATTCAAGTTAGTCTTTTGTCCACTTGGCCTGGAAGTTTTCTTCTTATATAAATTAACTGGGAATGCAGTAGGCTTCCTATCAATTTCACTTCTAGGAACACTCTGATTAATTAGCCAATGCCAAAGCTCCACACGAGTCAGGCTGTTCTGATTGCTGCTTTGCCTCTGCTGTGCATTATGGTAGATACACCCACCTTGCCTTTGATGGTTGAGTGCCAGCACTTGGCCCCTGCCACCTCAAGATCCAATTATTCCCATTGTATTTCAATTTTGTAGTTGCATGACTGTGGTTTTCACTGTTCCATCTAGCATACAGAGAAGAGCAATTACAGGGCCTTCAAAGATGCAGGTGCTGCCCTGACAAATCTATATTACAAAGCATTGGTCAAGAGTATATCTTCCGGACCATTCCAGCTTGGATGAGTATGTCTAAAGTGACTAATTCACTCCACCATCCCAATAAGCCTAAGCCTTTAGATTCCTTCCTCTACATTAACCTAGGGTAGATCAGGCATTTTCAACTAGCTCACAGTAGGCCATCTTTTAATCCGTATTTCAGCTAACCAAGAAAATAAACTATTAGAAGCTCTTTTAACTACTCAAGCTGCAACATTAGTTGCAGATTCTCTACTTAGTTGGCCCAAATCAATAAATTCAGCCTGATCCAACTCTATGTTCCTTTCACCACTATTCCACACTCTTAATATCCATTCCCCTGCCTGTTCTCCAGATTTCTGTTTATATAAATTAGAGAACTCTAGTAGTTCTTTTAGAGTGTAGTCCACCTTCTCATGGGTCACACTCTCAACCTCACCTCTAGGGGCCTGTCAGGACTTTAGTCTAGTTATAGGCCTAGAAGTAAACAGCAGTGTTGGGGGTGGGTCTTGAGGAGAATCAACATTAACTTGCCTGGCAAGTGCCTCACAGGAGGCCATCACTGTTGCCTCAGGCAGCACATGGTTTATCTTCTCACACAAAGGTGGAAAAGCTGATGGCAGTATGGGTTGGGGAGGTGATGTTGCCACTTCTGGGGATGGGGAATCTGTTTCTTTTGGCGAAAAAGTCTCATCAGAGTTTACAAACTTAGTGTCCCCTGCTTCATCAGAGTCCTACCACATATCCCCATTCCAAGTTGTAGGGTCTCATTCTTTTCCAATCAATGACCTCACTTTAACAGTAGATACCTGTCAAGGCTGTGCATGCACCTTTTATTGCAGGTCAGCAACTCGAATGATAGGAGCTTGTGTCTGCTTTTTCATAAAATCAGCTTTTTCTCTACAGGAGAAAAGACTCTCATTAAGGGCAATTTTAGGAGATTTGAGACTCAGTATCTGCTTTAGAAGGCAGGAGTTAGAATCCCTGAGTTCATCATTTTCTTTCATCACTTTGTACAGTGAACTTGGGAGCAACAAACCAACTTCATTATGTTCCTTCATTCTCCACATGTAGTCAAAAGTATTATGTATAGAGTCACTGAACTCCTTGCCTCTCACAAGCAGTGAACCAGATGTGTTGAATGGATTTATTTTGCATAACTCTCTAAACAATTCATCTCAAGTACTATCAGTATTCTGCATACTATTAGAAGTAGAGTCATTAGCAGTTTGGGGTCTTATCATATTAAGCAGCCAACTCCAGAAACCCCAAAACCTATGAAAGAACTCCATCCTTAATATTCTGTTCCTCTAAAACCACTTTTTGTAACAAAATCTGTATTATTCAGGGTTTTCTAGAGGGACATAACTAATGGAATATATATATATATATATACTCACATGATCACAAGTTCCCACAATAGGCTGTCTACAAGCCTCAGAGCAAGGAAGCTAGTCTGAGTCCCAAAGCTTAAGAACTTGGAGTCTGATGTTTGAGGGCAGGAAGCATCCAGCATGAGTGAAAGATGTAGGCTGGGAGGCTAAGCCAGTCTAGTCTTTTCACCTTCTTCTGCTTGTTTTATATTCTGGCTGAGCTGGCAGCTGATTAGATAGTGCCCACCCAGATTAAGAGTGGGCCTACCTTTCCTAGCCCACTGACTCAGATGTTAATCTCCTTTGTCAACACCCTCACAAACCCACCCAGGATCAATGCTTTGTAACCTCAATCCAATCAAGTTGACATTCAGTATCAACCATCACAGCGAACAAAAATGAAATTGTGTTTGCTTCTTAGTCAGTGCTAATTACTTGAATGTTTATGTGACCTATATCTTAATGCAGACTTAGATCTACCTTTCATTTCTTTTTGCATTTATCCCCTTGCTTGATAATGTCTACTGATTATCAAGCAGAGTAAGAAAGTTATATTCTTTTTTAGGAACTAATTACATTTGTTATGTCAGATTCTGTTCAACTTAGACAGACCTTACTTAGTTCCAAACCATTGTCTATGATACTGATGTTACCAGGAAGTGTAGGAAGGGCCACATATCAATACTTCATCTCATAATTTATTCCATTGCCCAAGCACACTTTGTAGAAATCCAGACTGTACTTCTGAACTTTGAGGCAAAATGGTAATAAAACAAGACTCCTGATGAACTGTTTTCTGAACATGGGATAAACCATTCACAACTGGTAAATAAAATAAGCAAATTGAGAGTGCATTTTGCTACAAGTGGAGAAATGCTAATTGCTTTACATAGAAAATGATTTTGCTTATTGGTATATTTTCGTCATCATAATTTTCATCATTGTACTGAGCCATTAGCAAATAATAAAAAGAACTTTTTTATAGCAGTGTATATTCTTTGAGGAAGTCACACAATATTGAAGAAAAACTTTTCTCCATCTTACATTAAGTGAAGATGATATTTTGAACCATAAAATACCCAAAACGATTGTTGCAAACAAACAAAAAACACAAAAGGCAATGTTTCAAACATTTAACTGGAAGAAACAGAATTTTATAATTGGCATATGGAGAAGGAATTTGTTTTTCCAGTGAGCCATCAGTTTCATATCTTGTTTCAAATCAGAAATAACAGAATTTCTAAGCATAGAGTTCAGAAAGTCAGGTAATTGTTGCATTTTAAATTTTGGACTTTGAGCTTCACTAAGCATAAAAAGATAGAAACTCTGCTTTATACTATCTGAACTCTAAAGTGAAAAATACCAGGCTCATGGGGATCATATGAATACAGAAAGACACTTAAAATGTTTACATACAGGAAAAATGATTTTTTTAAAGGAGGGGATTGAAATAAAGTTAGAAAGTCAGAATCACTTTTTTTGCAAATGCATCTTTAGGATTCTAACAAGAATGGAATGGAAGGAATAAGTTAACCAAAGCAACACAGTGGAGTATTTACTAATGTCTAAATAACTTTTAGATTATTGGTATAGAGGACAGCAAATGTTTTGACCATGTAGTTTTGTCTGCACTGTTTTGATATATTGCTGATTGGAACCCAGTGTTATGAACACAATATTTTGATCAAAATATTTTTATATTTATCATTAAAAACAAAATAAATATGCAAAAAATCCACATTGTTGATTAATTTTTTATTGTAAAGCATTTATTATTAATCGTTTATTACCCATTGATTTAGTAGCTTTTAGTATGCTGATTTTCTGCATAGTACACTAAACAAACTTCCTACATGCAGTAATCTAATTTAACATACATTAGCATTCGTTTTAAATAATTATTTTCCGCATACACATTACCATTGTTTTTCCCAAAATAAGACAATCATATTGCAATATGATTTTTCTAAATTGCCTCCCAAATCAATTTCCCTGGATCAACTTTTCTAACCTACATTTTAAAATGAAAATTTATATTTTCACCAATTTTTAATACATAGCATTTAATAAATAGCTACAATTTTAGTAACTAAATTTTAATTTTGTTTAATTTATATTAGTAATAATTATTTTCAATATGATTTCGCTTTAAGTTAATCTATGAGAAAAATGTGAGAAAATTCCTTGAGGGATAACCAGATGTATTGTTCAAATGCACAATTGCAATTGTATCATTTATCAGCAGGGTAGCTACAATTTTTCACACTGGAGCAAACTAAAACAACAGTATTTAAAATATCTTGGGGAGCAAAATTTTCAGGGCCCAATTGGGTAGCTCAAAATGAAAGGACAAAAACTCTATTTTGGAAACAAAACTCAATTTAAATGCAGTGAGTCTATTGCACAACCAGAGTAGTGGGATTAAATCACAGGGTAAAGATATTTCCTCTCCTACTGTTGCCACATCCCCTTGGCTTTTCTTAAGCCGATAAATATGCTTTCTCAAACTTTAAAATCATCTGTCAGGTGTTAAACTGGATGCCCCAAGCGCAGCTGCAGCAGTCTTGTATCCTGTTTTCTGAGCGAGGCATCTTAAGCTTCTCCCTTTAGTCCTGAGTCCGGGGGCAAATTCTCCACCCTCCAAAAATAGAGGGGACAGTTTGTAGCAAACCAACAACTGTCTATAGATAAATTGTTTTTCATGACTTCCAATAATCATAAATGTAAGTTATAGTTTTAAGAACGATGTACCTATTTTGCAGCCTGTTGCTTTTAAGCTTGCATTTTGTTTTGGCAAGAAACAGTGGTATAACACGTCAATATTATCTGTTTCTTCAGGTTAAACTGATGAACAACTTGTCAAACATATTTGTAAATATCTTTACCATTGAAATTATAATTCTCTCTTTTACATTTGTGAAAAAGTGAAGATTCAGATAAATTAACTAGTTTTCTTAAACTTTGTAGTTAACAGTACTTATGGTAGCTATTTTTTACATCTTTATTGCCTTTTTAATCATAAATAGGTTAAATTGATTTTTCCCATTTCCCTTGTGTTTGTTTATGCCATGCTGATAGTAAAACAAAACACTGAAATAAAGTTTATTTCATCTTAATATAATATGAATATATATGCAAGCACATTTATGCTGCATCATTCTATGTTTTTAAATTTCCATCTAATACCTTTGCTGTTTTCTTATTGATATGAGGTAATAGACTGCCTTTAATAGTAAAAGGCAGACTTAGCAAAGTACTCTCATTTGCAGTGATCAACAGCATGCTAATATTTCTCTAACTAGATAAGCAAGGTGTTTACACATTACACCCTTGGGGGTATGTGCCATTAATTACACATGCCTAGCAGCTGACGTGTGATTAATTAGAAGTGGGAAATGTATTCTTCAGGTGACCAGAAAACTCTTTCCACTTGTCAAAGCTTATCTCTTTTTCAAAGCTGTATTATCCCATAAGATACAGGAAATAGTATTACAGATGTACCATTAAAGAAAAGAAAGCTGATCCAAGAACTGTAACAATCAAGTTCCTAAATATTTTAAAAGGAGTCAACATCAAAGCTATTTGAAAAACAGAATCAACATTGTTCCAAAAAAATTATAAGCCAATTTCACTTATAAATGTTAAAGATGAACTTATAATAGTGTGGGAAGTTTTTGTTGTCAAGGTTAATTTGAAATGTGAAAAATAAAAATTTCCATATGAAGGACTATGGAGCAAAAATTAAAATTTTGTTCCGTAATTATATTCATACTCATTCACCTTCTAAAAATGTAAATTCATGTCCATTATTAACATCAATGTTATAAGGCTTTCATATTTTCTTTTATTTGGAGTACAATGGTTTTATCCAGTGAAAATGAATCTGCATTTCATTTTAAACTAAATTAGGATTTTTGGTTTAAAACTTGGACTCAAACTTTAGAGTTGCTTATTCTATACAAGATTACTCATTGTATTGATGTTAAAAGTTTTCTATCATTTTATAATCATAACATTAAAATCTGCTTTTTACAAGACCTAAAATTATTAAAGGTGAGTTAGCCATAAATATCTACCATTATCTTTGGCAATTCTTAAAAATGTGGTAATAAATCAAAATTACTAGAAATATTTTTGACTAATGAAAGAGCAGAAGGCTAAGCCTTTCATCTACCATATGAAATTTCACAAAAAATAAACAGTAGTAGTTAAAAGTAGCAATCAAATACTGCCAATACCCATAGATATATTCACTCTGTAGGTTGTTATAATAAAAGCACTTTTCTGCATGTTTTCACATAATTTTCTTCTAACTGCCTATAAGTGAAATATCATTTTAAAAAGCTCTGACATTTTTTTAAGTGTGATCTGCAGACCAAGTGCATTAAAATCACCTAAAATGCTTGTGGAAAATACAAATTCAGGGAAATATTCCTTATCAACAAAATTAAAATCTTTAGAATTGGGTTCAGGAATCATTTCAACAAAATCACCAGGATATTTCCTGTGGCCACATTGCTTGAATCATTGCTCTATGAGTTCTGTATTATTATTTTATTAAATAGGAAAATAAACAGCCTCTGAGATAGGACAACTTCCCAATGTTACACAGTTCAAGTGACTGAGCATCCATTTCAACATAAAGCCCACACCCTTAATCATTAGACATACTGGCTCATATAGAAAACAAAAACTTAGATATCAAAATATCCATTAAATGATGGACATTAGTTATACCTATGTATTTTATTCATTACTTTTAATAACTAAACATTAGTGCTAGGTATTTTACACATATAAATTACTTTTGCACCAACCTAATACTTTATGCTCTTTCTATAATAAAAGATGGTCCCACGAAACTTAGTAATCATAACAATACTTATCATACTTCATTATGTACTGATTCAAAAGTGTAAGTTGAAAATCAAACTAAAACATTTATAACTTCAAACATTAGATTTTTGCAACATTATGATTCTTAACCACTATCTAACCATGTTGTAAATGTATCACTTCTTGTTTGCCCATAAATAATATCTTGTTATAGTTGTATTAAAGTGAATAAAAAGAAGTCAAGCAGAAAACTCTCAATCTGAAATTGAAAATGGTAATCTTTTTTCTTTCAAATTAGAGAATGTAACACAAATATAGAAAATGCTATGCCCAAAGAGAATCCTGAATCCACTAAGATAGATTTTCAGCTTCTGAGACCCCACAAAAAATTTTTTATTGTTGTTGTGTTTCTGAATCACTTAAGGATATTTCTAGAGATATTGGCACATCTAGAGAAATACTGAGAAATACAATTTAGATAGGTGGAGAGATAAATGGTATAGGTAATTTAATAAGCCAGAAGAAAGACTTCGTGAGAGCTCTTTGCTTTTGCTACGACATGTTATCTTCCTTTGAATTGTTGTTTTAAGCACTATCAAGTTTTAGTTTTATTGAAGGTATAAGAGAAAGATGGGATTGTAGGTAGCAGTGGAAACAGTGCCAGAGGCCAATCCAGTTTTTAGTTCCAGCAGTGTCAGCTGTACTTGCGCCAATCTTTCCTGCTCTGCAGCAGCAGCCTTCAAATTCTGATCAAACTTATTCGGCCTCGTGCTTTAGAGTGATGTTCCTGGCTCAGAAATGCTCAACTCGAACAACTCTAAATCCTTGTGCTAAACTCATTTTTGTAAAAATCTTCCAAACTTTGTTTCTGTTCCTTTCAACAATAAACCTTGACTCATATAGTGAGGTATTAAAATTCTATTTTCTGGACGAGGAATTTAAAATTAGAAGTTAGTGTATCATTCAAATTTTTGGAGCAAATAGGAAGCAGATCCAAATCTAGGTCTATCTGACTCCACGTTCATTCTCATAACTACTATGATAAATTATATCATATAATTGAGAGCTAAGTGAAATGACACATGCCTTCACCTAAATATATTTAAGTAAACCAACATTTAAAATTGCCTTGAAGCCCCATAACTTAAACTTATAGTGTATACATTCTTTTCAAATTATACCACATCCTCATCAATGATTATGATTCATATGATTATGAACGCTCATATGATTATGAATGTTCTAGGGCTATTTCCTAGCTTTTAGAGTGAATTTTACACTATCATTATTTATACTCCAATGAGCTCTCAGTGGTATCTCTGATCTCCCTTTTTTTTCTTTCCTGAGCTGCACTTATGTTGCAATTTAGTGCAATCCATTTTTATTTAAAAGCCATCTCTTCTTCATAGTAATGAGTAAGACTTACTGCATAACATGTGCATGTTGTATAGACAATATAGTATTAAAATGGTTCCAAATAACCACACTATCAAATAATCCGAGCTGCCAAGGGAGCAGCCAGTGTACTCAGGATGAAACTAGGGTCTAGGATTTAACAAACGGGAGAGATCACACAGCAGGAGCACTTTGGTGAAGAAGTAGATCTCGACACAACATAAACAATCCAAACTGGAGGAAACAAAGCCTGGCATGCAGTGATTCATTGGTTCATTAAGCGGAAAGTAAAAGAACACTCTTATTGACTGATGATGTCTCCAGGACAATATCTTTGAGAGTAAAGCTAAGAAACTTGGGAAAAGTCAACATCTAAGAAATGAAGTAATGTAAAATGTGAAGGCAAAAGAGGACTGGAAATAGTTAATAACAACTGGGGGACAATAGACTGTAGCTACATTGCTTTGGTACCTGACTCAGAACACAGAAGCTTCGTGAATGTGGTGGTTATAGAAAGGCATGACAAACTTTGAGTTGCTAAAAAGGAACTGCCTCAGTTCAGACCTTATCAATCTGTTGGGACAGATATCACATGCAAGCTAAGATAGTGTTTTGGGGTTGGTACCTTCCTTCTCTATTCGTCTATGTCTTATCTAGTCTTTACAATTTTTCCTTGCCCATCTTTTCATTCAGACATTGACTGTGCTTCCATTGTATTCCAAACTTGGTATCGCATTTTATCAGCTTTATTATTCAATTATCTACTATTTTATCCTTACTTCATTCTTTATCTTCTAAATCAGGCTTGGTTCAGAAAAACCTGATGGTAATAATACTACCTGGCTTTCGAACATTACTTCTCAAATTACTTCAAGGCTGGCCCTAGATGATTTATCCCTGTTGGCATTTTAGATAGGTGGAGAGGCTCCTATTAAGGAGCCTAAGTAGGCCTATTGGAGAGAAATGGGACCAAAAAAAAGTGCTTGTTTTCTATTTGTCTGCTTTCTGAAATTATTAATGCATGTCAAAAAATGTAGTTAGCAGTATTCAAGGGACAATAGGCATTGGTTCTGTACGTATAGGACAATATCAATGCCATACAATAATTTACTTCCAAGAAAAATGATACATTTACAAGCCAACAAAGAAGCTGTGAACTTTTATAAGAGAAGCCTCATCCCAAATAACTCTTGCTAATGTTGAAAACTTCAGTTGTCCTGGCATTTACAGGATAATGACTCGTGCTCAGGAAGCCAGTCTTCTTAACTTTGGAACTATTTTAAAAATGTGGAATTTCCCATGTACAGTATACTTGTGTGTTTCTGTGAAAAATACTGTCTTCTTAGAATGGACTATATACAAGATATCTGACATTGTGCTAATGACTTAAAAAAGAATCCACTCCCAACCTATAGCTCTATTTGCCTCAAAACAATTTTTTTGGTATACAAATTTAATTTGTCAAAATGTTGATGCTATGGTTAACCATAACAATATTAAAACAATGTAATGGAAGCATTATACACCCAAAGATATAACTTTCACACTCCTGTAAGTAACTTCCAGAGAGTCAATCATATAATAACTAAATATTAAAATGCCTCTCACAGGACATTAACCTCAAGTAGATAGTACATTGCTAATGAGGCAAATTCAACTCTCTCAAATATTAATTTATGGCAAGGATAATCATTTTTGTTCAATTAAGTCAAATTCTTAGGAAAGCAATGAAATTTTCATGAATATTTCTGGAATAATTAGAGAATTTCTATATTTATACTGCACTGACATCTCATAAATATCACATTGTGCTTTTATCTTCATATGTATTCTTTCCACTAAATATAGAAAAGTGATAATTAGCCTTAGAAATATCCATTAAACATGAAGGAAGATGGTATAAAAAATTAATGAAATATGATCATTATAATGTGCAAAATAAAAATATTTCCAATTCTTCAACTGGAGTTATCAACATAGCAAAATGTTGTCTGAGTAACATTAAACCCGATAATCACCATAATCTTCAAGAACTAAAGATTTATTAGAGAAATATCATCATGAAAACAAAACATATTATTTAAGTTGGAAGAAAAGTTATTAAAAGCATGATATTCTGAAACAATATTTTTTCATAAAATGAATAATAAATGCAAATAATAAGAACAATTTAAAATGTTTAGAAATTACTTAAGACCACATTAAAGTAGTATATTTATTTTGTTATAATTTTGTTAGAATTGCTTTATTATATACTATAAGTTTTAAGCATGGGTTAAAAGGGTTAAAAATAAGGTCAAGTTAATACATTTATTAAAACTAAAATTATTCAACATTAAATTATTTGAACACCTACACACAGACTGTGTTATAGCACTCTGAAATTATAGACACATAATTCTACCATTAAAACCTGTTAAAAAATTTAAAAACAAATATTAGGATAGCTATTTATTTGGATTTATTCTTTCATTCCATAGGCCATAAAGATAAGCTCACTATAACAACTTATTTCTCAGTACATTGGATAAATTACATTAATCAAAATTTGTTTTTAACAGAAACTTGGCTTTTAAAATGATTTTCCATTACACACACATACATTCTAGTTAGTAAAGTGGTACATGTACTAAATATGAAAATACAAAAACTGAAATATGACTAAAACAAAATATAAACCTTATTGAAAGTTAAGGTTCATTTATTTTTCTTTGCTGAAAACAAAATAAATCACAATGAATAATTATTTAGCTATCAGTGAAGAGGAAGCCACTTGGTAAAATGGCCAGCCATTTGAATGAAGTTGGCCAATATAAAAATCCACTTTAAATTGACCTGAATATGCTTGGACATAAATCTCTCTAAATTAAAAAAATCATACTAAGCATATTCTCAGATCACAGTAGAATAAATATACAATTTGATACCAAGAGGAACTTTCAAAACCACATCATTACATGAAAACTAAAATACTTGCTCCTGAATAACTTTTGCGTAAACAATGAAATAAAACTTGCAATCAAAACATTATTTTAAACAAATGAAAATAGAGACAGTATTCCCAAACCTCCGGGATGCAGCGAAAACAGTGTTAAGAGAAAAGTGTATATAGTATTAAATGCTTACATCCAGAAGATACATCAAATTACAATCTAACACTGCACCTAAAGGTACACATAAAAAAAGAATAATCACAAAGCTAGCAGAAGAAAGAAGTACTAAAATAAAAATAGAAATAAATGAAACTGGGACTTAAAAAACCATACACTGAATTGATGAAATAAAAATTTGGTTCTTTGTACAGATGAGCAAGATTGATAGACCTTTAGCTAGATTAACAACAACTAAAAAGTGATAAGTTCTAAATAACCACAATTAGAAATGACAAAAGAGACATACAACCAATCCTATAGAAATACAAAAAGTCCTCAGAGACTATTACGAACACCTCTATGTGCAGAAACTAGAAAAACTAGAAGAAATGGATAAATTCCTAGAAAGACACAACCCACTTTGATGGAATTAGGAATAATTTGAAACCCGGAAGACAGCAATAGTGTATTAGTCAGCATTCTCTAGAGGGATGGGACTAGTAGGAGAGATGTATATATAAAAGCAAGTTTATTAAGGAATATTGAATCACACAATCACAAGGTGAAGTCTCACAATAGGTTGTCTACAAGCTGAGGAGCAAGGAAGCCAGTCGGAGTTCCCAAACCTCAAAAGTAGGGAAACCAACAGTGCAGCCTTCAGTCTGTGGCAGAAGGCCTGAGAGCCCCTGGCAAATCACTGGTGTAGGTCCAAGAGTCCAAAAACTGAAAAACTTGGAGTCTGATGTTAGAGGACAGGAAGCATTCAGCACAGGAGAAAGATGGAGGCCAGAAGACTTAGCCAGTCTAGTCCTTCCACATTCCTCTGTTTGCTTTTACCCTAGCCATCCTGCCAGCTGATTAGATGGTGTCCACTGAGATTAAGGGTAGATCTGTATCTCCCCATTCACTGACTCAAATGTTAATTGCCACTGGCAACACCCTCACAGACACACCCAGGAACAATACTTTGCATCCTTCAATCAAGTGACACTCAATATTAACCATCACAAATAACAAGTACTGAAATTGAATCGGTAATAAGAATAATAAAAACTGAGCCAACAAAAGCTCTAGACCAGATGGATTCATAGCCTAATTCTATCAATTGTACAAAAAAGATCTTGGGCCAATCCTACTGAAAATGTTCCCAGAAAATCAAGAAAGAGGCATTCCTCCCTTACACATTCTATAAAACCAGTATCATCCTGATATCACAATATGACAAAGTTACATTAAAAAAAAATAAAGTTATAGCCCAATATCCCTGATGAATGCAAGGATCTGTCCCACAGACTCAACGATCGATGAATAAAGTACACTGACACACCGATATTCTGCTTTGCCAGTTCGACTGAGCATCCCAGCCGCTTACAGACTCCACACAGAGTGCTGTAAACCGTTGTGACCAAGGCCCCTACCAGTCAGCAAGACTCGCATTTATTCAGTAAAGATTAATTGACAAAGGCTCGAGTCAACACCACTAAAGGGTAATTGACATTGTGGACTTCCCGAGTAGAAAGCAATTAAGCACCAGCGGTAAATCAAAGGTTAGTCCTAGGAAAACAAGTTAGTTAGATAAACTACTGTACATTCTTTTGTATTTGCACCTTAAGCTCTCTGCCTCCTGCAAAGAGATTCTGGCTGCCTTCAGCCAGACAATCTGAAGCTATGCAAATTGTCAGCCTTTCCAAGAGAGTTTGTGGGTATTACTATAACTATCTTTAATATTTTTCCCACCAGCCTGATTGAACCCCCACAAATGAACAAAGATGCAGTTCCCCAACATAAAATTCTAGTAAACCAAATCTAGCAGCACATTAAAAAGTTAATTCAGCACCATTAAGTAGACTTTATTTTGCAGATGCAAGTCTAGTTCAACACACACAGATCAAAAATGTGATTCATCACATAAAAATAATTAAAAACATAAACCATGTGAACCTTTCAATAGATGTAGAAAAAGCCTTTGATAAAATCCAATATCCCTTCATGATAAAGAAAAAAAAAATCCCTCAACAACCCTCAACATACTAGGCATTGAAGGAACATACTTCAAAGTAATAAGAGCCATCTATGACAAACTAACAGACAATATCATACTGAATGGGCAAAAGCTGGAAGCATTCCCCCTAAAAATGGCATCCATATAAAAAAATAAAATGTAAAATTATCACTCTTCACTGAAAATATGATTCTTTTCCTAGAAAAACATGAAGACTTATCCAAAAGGCTTCTAGATCTGATAAATGACTGTAGTAATGTTTCAGGATACAAAATCAACATACAAAAGTCAGTAGCATTTCTATACAACAAAAATGGTCAAACTGAGAGCCAAATCAAAAACACAATTCTTTTTACAATGGTCACAAAAAAATGAATTTTAAAAACCTTAGGAATACATCTATTCATGGAGGAGAACTATGCAAGGACAACTACAAAATGCTGCTGAAGGAAATCATATATTATACATTAAAAATGAAAATTTATGCTCATGGACTGAAAAATCAACATTATAAAATGTCCATACTACCCAAAGCAATCTACAGATTCAATGTTTTTCTTGTCAAATTACCACTGTCATTTTTCACAGAATTAGAAAAAAAAATGTTCAATTCATATGGAGCTAAAAAGAACTTTGAAAGCCAAAGAAATTCTAAGCAAAAAAACAAAGCCAGACATAACATTACCTGACTTCAAGCTATACTACACGTCTATAGGAACTAAAATAGCATGGTACTGCTACAAAAATAGACACATAAACCAATGGGAACAGAATAGAGAACCCAGAAATAAAACTGCACACCTAGCACCAACTGATCTTTGGAGAAGTCAACAAAAATAAGCAAAGGGAAAAAGGACTCCCTAGTCAATATATAGTGCCAGGAAAACTGGCTAAACATGTGCAGAAGAATGAAACTGAACTCCTACCTATTGCCATATACAAAAATTAACTCAAAATGGATTGAAGACTTAATGTGTTTTTGGCTCCATATGTGTTTTAGAATAACTTTAGAATGGTTTTGATAAGAAAAAAAATAATTGATTCCTGGCAAGGCCAGTGTCTGTGAGTGTTTGCATACTCTCTCCATGTTCAGGTGTTTTTTTGTTTTCCAGGTTTTCTACTTTCCTTCCATATACCAAAGCTGCATACATTAGATTCAGTGGAATGTCTGCCTATTCCCAATCTGAGTGAGTGTGAGGTGTGTATGAGCACACTCTGCAATGGGATGGAATCCTGTCCAGGGCTGATTTACCACCTTGTGCCCTGAGGATAGGCTCGGGATGTGATCCTGAACTTGAGTAAGCAGGTTGGAAAATGAATGAGGGAATAAATAAAATGATTGCAAAATAAATATTTGTAAAATCTATGAAAAAATACAGATGCATGACAATAAACAATATGGTACAAATACACTCAAAAAATAAACTGGTGTGATTAGTATAAATATAATAAAATAAAACTACAGTGTCAAGATCAAGTTATAAACATAGCTAAATAGATGAGCAGTAAGTGCATATTTTAGTTTTAAAAAGAAAAAATAACTTACATCGACTTTTGTGCTTTAATAGGGACTACAAATATAATTAAATGTCAAATGAAAAATTAAGGAAATCTACAAATCGTGATAAAAATTGAGATACATACTGTGTAAAAAACATTGTAATTAGTCTAGGATGAACAGCACCATAGAAAAATGGAAGATCAATATTCATTTCACAATGCAAGAAACACAAATAGACAAAGCACATAAGAACATATACATATGGAAGATTATGTCCTCATATTAGTGCATATTTCATACATAATCTTACTTTCTGTATGAGTAAACAAAGTGATATAGAAGCTGTTTGCTTTCCTAATTGGTGAAGGTGAAAAAAATGCGGCTTGTAAATTATTACCCAAAATGTTACCCTAGTTCCCTGCCAGTGAGAGAGAGTGAATTATTTATTATACAGCTGTCAAAGCACAAAATTGCACCAAAGTTATACAGGTAAGGAAGACTTTATGGAAAACTATTGCAATAGAGAAGAGAGAACAGAACTCAGTCTCAACTGCATGGACATAAAGGGAGTTTATTAAAAGTCAAATTACGGGAGAGTTTTAAGAGCTGTGGTGAGGGAATCATAGGCCATTTGTGTTTTCTAACTGGCCTCACCAAAAATAAAAGTAAACTTTCTTTTATTGTCATAACAGGAGCTAGTATTACAACTTTGAGCAAGATGCCTCCTACCCTCCCAGGAAGCATGGGAAATGCTGTCTTCTTTCATGATTACATTTCAAAGGAATGGCTCACATGTTTTTGAGAAAGACATTCTTGGGTTGTAAAATTGGCAAGTGGCCTTTAAAAATATTTGCATATTTAAGAGGCAGAAAAAGAACTTGCCATTATGTGTCTTCCAAAATAAATGTTCTAAGTAAAGGGAGGGGAGTGACCTCTGTGGTTAGTTCATCTGGATTCCGTCAGTAATAGGGTGAGAGGGAGGTCAGGCCTACAGGCCAGAAAAATCCTATGTAAATTTTAGCCAAGCTGAGAGCAATGTTAAGGCCTCTTGGTCATACCTTACTAAGGGATCATTTTAATATATTGTTTAAAATACTCAAGGAATTCTGTGCCATCTAAGTAGTAGAAGATTTTTATTCATTTATTCTAGGGAAAACATTAGCTGATTGTGCACACTATGTATGCGGGAGGAGTAGGTTGCTTGAATGGAGTCACAACGTCATGGTAATCTGCTCCTGGCAGAAACTGCGATGGATTTGGTTAGTTTTGACTGAGTTTCTGAATCAGAGGTAAGCATTTGAAATGATATTTTAACTTTCTGTAGTACAATATGGCATTGTATGAGGGGAACAAAAGTCTTATGGTTTCAATAATTTATTTAAATATGTTGTAGGATTGATAAAAATAAGCAACTTTTATGTGATACTAGGTGTGTCAGGCCCCAAGCTCAGCCCTTTACAAAAATCATATTTTAAATCTCACAAAATTCCAATAGTAAGGATATTGATATCCCTAGTTTATAAATATGGAAACTAAGGTTATTAATTTCCTGAAGATCCTAGAGTTAGGAAAAGGAAACGACTTGGTCAAAGCTCGATTGTTCTAATTTTAGAATACCTCTTAGACATTGTGTTTGTTCCCCGGAATCATAGTCATTATCAAATATTTGTAATTATCTGTTCAAAACTTTCTGTGAGCCTAAGTTAATGTAAGATTTTGAATATGTTATGCTATGATAACTAAAGATCTGAGGAATTTCTACATATTGAAGAAAAATCAAAAATATCTTCTATAATAACATTGCATTGAAATGATGTATTGTAGGATGGATCAATGAAAGCTTTGGAGAATCAAGAGTACAAATAAAATATTCCTCAAAGCTAATCTTTTGTGTAATATTTACTATGCAATTTCCCAGGTATATTGTAGCTTTCATCCCTACCAGAAAACATATATGAAGCAAAATTTCACTGAAAAAAGTGAAAATAATAATACAAAATATGTGCAATTTTACAATATGATAAATTGCTTTTAACAGATAATTTTGAATAGCTCAGATGATATTTATCAACTGAAGACAATTTATCATGCTAGACACTGAAACATAAAAATATTCTAAATCATTAAACATATTTATAGCCTGTTTAGTTTAAGATGTATTTGATTAATTGTCATTTTCTAGGATTAAGATTATAACAATTGACTGGGTCCACAAAATTTTCGAATATTGGGCCTGAAAAAGTTGTCGGTGCTCAGAGAAAAAGTAAAAGTTACAGTCTTAAACTGCCTTTAGGTATGTCATAAATTAATTAATGTATCTTCCCAATTATATCTAAACATCAAGATCAGATCTTCATTTGAAATGAAAGTGTCACTTTATAAAATAAATTTCATTCCAAGAATGTCATTTGTTAATGTATTTTCTGGATCACAATAAGAAAAATGCATAATTATTTTATGTAAATTCAATTATATAGAACATGCTCAATTGATACTATTTATGATCTGATCCAATAAGTTTAGAATCATAAATGGAATAGTAATAATACATTTTTCTGCTATCTTTATTGAATTTTATCAATTTAAAGTAGTCAAAATTATTGAAAAAACATATATTCCAAACTGAGTAACCACTCCAGTAATTTCATTCTTACTACCTGGAGGGTTTTGTATGTCTTGTTTTTTTGTTTTTTTTTTAATTCTTGTTTTCTAGAGTTGTGTGAAGAAAAAATAAGCAGAAAACATTTTATGGATTAGCATAAGTAAGAAAGGATAAGTAGCTTTAGGCATGTAACATTTTTGAAATTTCTGCCAGCAGTTCAGGAAACAATATTCATTAGGCATCATTTCTGAGATTTTATTTTGACTCTTTCATCTTATTCAAGTTATATAACCTTAAAATTGGAATGAATTCACAGATACCCTATTGAAATTTACTATTTAACCAGGTGCAGTGGCTCACGCCTGTAATCCCAGCATTTTGGGAGGCCAAGGCGGGCAGATCACGAGGTCAAGAGATCGAGACCATCCTGGCCAACATGGTGAAACCCTGTCTCTACTAAAAATACAAAAATTAGCTGGGCATGGTGGCAGGCTCCTGTAGTCCCAGCTACTTGGGAGGCTGAGGCAGGAAAATCGCTTGAACCCTGGAGGCAGAGGTTGCAGTAAGCTGAGATCACGCCACTGCGCTCCAGCCTGGCAACAGAGCAAGTCTCAGTCTCAAAAAAAAAGAAATTTACTCTTTTGGAGAAAATAAAATCAATATTTAAAGATCTTATAAAACTTATTTTTAGAATAAGAGATTATTTTTGTTTCCCTTCACTAGGAGAACACACTGTTATCTACCTATCTTTCAATATACAATGCTTTAGATGGCAATAGACTTTAGTATAATGGTCTATTTTCTACTAAGAAAGGTAAACATTCTAAAAGACAGATATGTTTTGTTAAGGTGTAACTTACTGGAAAGTTCTCTTAATTAATGCAGTAATCATAAAATAAGTCTATTTTAAAAGGAAAAGTGTGGTGGTAGCTTTGTATAGCAGAGGACCTAAGAGATTTAAATTTTATAATTTTTGTTAAGCCTGAATTTCCCCTATGTCTCCTGCACTACTAGGGAATAAGAGCTCCTGAATTAGAGCTAAAGAAAATTATCCTCTAATCAGGGGTGTTATATATTAAATGATAGACAAGTGATATGCTTTATTTGGGTTTTGATTTATTTAATAAAAAAGAAAGGATTTGTATCATATAAAATCTGCCTCTTAAAATCTTTGTGTCTATGTAACTTTTTAGTACTTGGAATTCTCATCTAATTTCCAAATAAGACAATATTTGTTTAATTTCAATTGACATTTTCCCCAATATCTTATAGTATTGAATTCATATTTATATCCAGATTTGCACTGTTTTTGTACTCTGAAAAGCTACTATTAAGTTGGTAGTGTGTATGAAAATCGATGGTGTTCAAAAATATATGGAACTTCTGTTTCTTTGCTGAGGTTATTTTAAGTTATAAAAAGTATATAAATAAGACAATATCATCTGTGAATGTCTGTTAAATGTGCAGTATGGTAATTTTATTAAAATTTGATGTATACTTGTAGAATTGAGTGTTCAAGTCTGTTCTATGTCACTTAGTAGCTATGATAACTTGGACAAATCATGTTTCTCTTATCAGTAATCACATCTAACAAAATGGGGCACTAATGTAAATATTAGCCTTTTCTCATCTATTTGGAAACTATTTCTCTTTTATATTTATCTGTAACTATTAAACCTGCCATCAAAAACACATTCAAATCAGGTGTTCTCACTGTTGAGTGTTAAGGTGGGCAGCGTATAAAATCGAGGAAAAACAGGGAACGTATGTATCACAGAGTTTTTCCAGGGCACCTTCAAAATCTAGGTTACTAAAGAATAGAAAATTGGTCCAACGAATCAAGTCATAAATGAAATTAAACTAAGCAAATTATTAGTTGAAACTATATTATTTACACACACACACACACACACACATACTCATTATTACATTTGAAAGATTTTGTTCCTAGTCATTCATAATCATTTGTAATTTGCAAGTGGTATAGTTTAGATCTGTGTCCCTACCCAAATCTCATCTCAAATTGTAATCCCAAGATGTTGAGAGAGGGGCCTTGTGGGAGGTGATGGATCATGGGGGCAGTTTCCCCCATGCTGTTCTCATGATAGTGACTGAGATTTCATGAGATCTGATGGTTTTGTAAGTGGCAGTTTCCCCTGTGCACTCTCTCTCTCCTGCTGCCTTGTGAAGAAGATGCTTGCTTCCCCTTTTGCCTTCCACAATGATTGTAAGCTTCCTGAGGCATCCTAAGACAGGTGAATCTGTGAGTCAGTTAAACTTCTTCCTTTAAAAATTACCCAGTCTCAGATACTCTTTCTTCCTTTTTTTTTTTTTTTTTGAGGCAGAATCTTGCTCTGTTGCCCAGGCTAGAGTACAGTGGCACGATCTCGGTTCACTGCAACTTCTGCCTCCTGGGTTCAAGCAATTCTCCTGCCTCAGCCTCCTGAGTAGCTGGGACTACAGGCGCCTGCCACCACGCCTTGCTAATTTTTGTATTTTTAGTAGAGACAGGGTTTCACCATGTTGGCTAGGATGGCCTCGATCTCCTGACCTCGTGATCCACCCGCCTCGGCCTCCCAAAGTGCTGGAATTACAGGCATGAGCCACTGCACCCTGCCCTCAGGTATTCTTTATAGCAGTGTGAAATTGGACTAATACAGAAAATTGGTACTGAGAGAGTGGGGCACTGCTGTAAGGATGACCTGAAAATGTGGAAGTGACTTTGGATCTAGATAATGGGCAGACATTGTAACAATTTGGAGGGCTCAGAAAAAAACAGAAAGATGTAGGAAAGTTTGGACCTTCTTAAGAGACTTGTTGAATGGTTTTGACCAAAATACTGACAGTGATATGGACAATTAAGTCCAGGCTGAGGTGGTCTCACATATAGATGAAGAACTTACTGGGAAGTGGAGTAAAGGTCTTCACGTTATGGTTTAGCAGAAACTGGTGGCATTTTTCCCCTACACTAGAGATCTGTGTAACTTTGAACTTGAGAGAGATGAGTTAGGGTATCGGACAGAAGAAAGCTCTAAGCAAAAAAGCATTCAAGAGGTGACCTGGATTATTGTAAATGTGTTCAGTTATATTCATCCACAGAGATTACTTGAAATTGAAACTTATGTTTCAAAGGGAATCAGTTCATTAAGGTTTGGAAAAGTTGCAGCCTGACCATGTGATAGAAAAGAAAAACCCATTTTCTGGGGAGGAATTCAAGCTGGCTGCAGAAATTTGCATAAGTAATGAGGAGTCCAATGTTAGTAGTCAAGACAATAAGGAAAATGTCTCTAGTGCAAGTCAGAGACCTTCATGGAAGCCCCTAAGGTATTCCTTACAGCAGTGTGAGAACTGACTGAAACAGTAAGCCAGTGTCATTTATTTAAAAGAGCTTGGAGACTCAGCTATTATATGTTTGGAAAATAATGACTACAGCTAATGCAGCTTGACCCAACAGACGTCTATAGAACAAGAACCTGCCACCCAAAAACAACAGAATAAATATTCATCTCAAGTGAATTTGGAGGATTCTTTATACTAGAACATCTGCTGGGCCATATAACAAACTTTAATATTGGTATCATGCAGAGTAAATTCTCCATACACAGTAAAGGGTATAAAATTAAAATAAATAATAAAAAATTTCGAAGTTTTAAAAATGTGTACAAATTAAGTCTCACACTTCTAAATAATCAATAGAGCTAGAAAGAAATCACTGTAAATTTCAAAAATACTTTGAGATGAATTATAATTAAGGCACATTATGCCAAAACATATGGAATGCCACTAAAACAATGCTGAGAGGAAAATTTATAGTATTAATTTTCTATACTAATAAAAAAGAATTATCTTAAATCAGTAACCTTTTCTTTCATCCGAAGACACTTGAAAACAAAGCAAATTAAACCTAAAGCAAACAGAAAAAAAGGTAATAATAATAGTTAGAGTGAATAAAAATCAAAGAAAGCATAGAAAAACAGTAGAGAAAATTAATAACAACAAAAGTGGTTTTTATGAACAGAGTGACAATATTTACACACTTGGTTAGACTGTCCAAGAGGAAAAGAGTGAAGATTCAAATTACCAAAATTAGTAATAAAAGAAAGTAATTTCTACTGAGTTCCCAGAAATAACAGAGGGTAAAAGTATACTATTAACAATATTTGCCAACAAATTAAATAAAGTGAGTTGAATAGAATAGCAATACAAATATACATACTACCAAAATTTCCTCAAGAAGAAACAGAACTTTTAAATAGCCCTAATAACTAATCAAGTGATTAAATTAGTCTTTCAATAATTTCTCAGGTAGAAAGCCCCAGACCCAGATGCCTTCAGTGGTAAGTTCTACAAAATATATCTAGAGAAATTTATTCCAAATACCCACAAACTCTCCAAAAAATAGACAAGGAGGGAATAATTCCTACTTTATTACATAAGGTCAGTATTACCTTATCAAAACTACAGAAAGAAATCACAAGAAAAAAGAAAACCAGGCAGATTCTCATGAATTGAGCAAAAAAATCCTCAGCAAAATATTAGCAAACAGAATTTAGCAGTATAAAAAAGGGTTGTACACCAAGACTATATGGCATTTATCCCAGGTTTAATATCTGAAAATTAATTAATGTAATACATTATACAAATATAATAAGTGAAACCATGTGATCATCTCAGTAGCTGCAGAAAAAATACTAGACAAAATACAAAACCCCTCTGATTAAAATATAAGTGTTCTACATACCAGCAGTACAGGAAAGTATCTTAGGCTGTCATATACAAAAAAGCCACAGTTCACATCAAATTTAATGGTGAAAGACTGAATGCTTTCTTCCTAAGGTCAGAAACAAGAATAGAATGTCTACTCTCACTTATTTTGCTTAACATTTTATTGGAGGTTCTAGCTTGGGTATATATGCAAGAAAATTAAAGGAAACAGTTTCAGATTAGAAAAGAAGAAATAAAACCATATCTATTTGCAGACAATAGTCTTATACATAGAAAAATCCCTAGGAATCCACTAATATAAAAGCAACTATTAGAACTAATAAATGAGTTAAGTAAGCTTATGGAGTATAATTTTAACATAAAGAAATCAATTGTATGCCTAAGCTATCAGTAAATTACATTAAGCTACAATTATTTGGTCAATTTCAGGTTGTTTTTCAACTTTTATTTTAGAATCAGGCCATACATATGCAGATTTGTTACAAAGGTATATTTCAGTGATGCTGAGATTTTGAGTATTATTGAATCGGTCACCCAAGTACTGAGCATAGGATCCAGTAGGTAGTTTTTCAACCCTCTTCCCATCCCTCCACTCTTCTTGTGTCTATTATTTCTATTATTTTTATCTGTAGGTCTGTATGTACTCAAGGTTTAGTTCTCACTTATAAGTCAGGGCATGCAGTATTTGACTTTCTGTTTTTGCATTAGTTTGCTTAGCATAATGGCCTCCAGCTGCATCTATGTAGCTGCAAAGGACATAATTTCATTTTTTATGGCTGTGTAATATTCCATAGTGTATATGTACCACATTTTCTTTATCCAATACACTGTTGATGTGTTGATTCCATATTTTTTTCTATTGTGAATAGTGCTGCCATGAATATATGGGGACATGTGTCTTTTTGGTAGAATGATTCAGCTCCCTTTGAGTATATAGTCAGTAATAGGATTGTTGGGTCAAGTGGTAGTTCAATCTTAGTTCTCCATAGTGGCTGAACTAATTTACATTTCTACCAACAGTGTATCTCATTGTGGTTTTGATTTGCATTTCCTTGATGATTAATTATGTTGAATATTTTTTCATGTTTGTTGGCTGCTTATATATCTTCTTTTGAGAAGTGTCTGTTCTTGTCCTTTGCCCATTTTTAATGGGGTTGTTTTTTGCTTAATGATTTAAGTTTCTTATAGATTCTGGATATTAGTCCTTTGTTGGATCATAATTTATGAATTTTTTTCCATTCTGTAGGTGGTCTACTTACTCTGTTGATAGTTTCTTTTTTCTATGCAGAAGCTCTTTAGTTTACTTAGTTCCCACCTGTCAATTTTTGTTTTTGTTGCAATTGCCTGTGGGGAGTTAGCCCTACATTCTTCCCAACATAGATATTGAAAAGGGTGTTTCTTAGGTTTTTCTTCAAAAATTTTTATAATTTTGGATCTTACATTTAAGTCTTTAATTCACCTTGAGTTAATTTTTGTATATGATGATGATAGGTAGGGGGTCCAGTTTCATTTTCTGCATTGGGAAATAATAAAGTTAGAGATACATTTAACGAAAGTCAGAAAATCTATTGCATAAAAATACAAAACAGTTGTGAAACAAATTACAAACCTATGTTTGTAATCACATCTCATGTTACGGGTCAGAAGACAATATTGTTAAGCCAGAGCTAAGGTTATAATATTCTTGGAAGAAAATATAAGAGTAATCTTTGTGAACTTGAGTTAGGTGAAGGCTTCTTTAGATAAAACATCAAAAGTGCAAGTAACAAAAGAAAATTATAGCTAAATTAGATTTCAACAACATTAAAAATTCTGAGTATGTATTTCACCAAAGAAGAAACATAAATGAACAAAAAGTACATGAAAATGTGTTCAACATCATTTATTATGAAAGGCACAATGAAATACTGCTTCATGCTCAATAAGATGACCATAATTAACAAGCGGATCTTAACACGTGTTGGTGAAGATGAGGATAAATTCAATACATATATTAACAGTTAGAATATAAGATAGTGCAGCTACTTAAAAAAATTCTGGCAGTACTCCAAATATTAAGTAGAATTACTATATGGCCCAGCAAAATTTTACTCCAAGGTATTCATTCAAGAGAAATAGAAACACTTGTCTGCACACAATCTTTCACACAAATGTTTATAGCAACGTTATTTATAGTTTCTCAATAGTGTAAATGAATCAAAAGTCCATAAACTTATAAATGGCTCAGTAGACTGTTGCATCTTCATTCAATAAAGTAGAGTATTATTTGGCAATAAAAAGGAATGAAGTATAAATACATGCTCAAACATGGATGAATGTTGAAAATACAAGTAAAGTCAGTCACTAAACAGTGAATTTATTTTAAAAAATGAAAAAAGTGAGTCACACATACATTGTGCGTGAATCAATTTATAATGTCCAGAAAAGACAAATCTTCAGAGATAAAAAATAAATTAGTATTTTTCCAGAGACATGGGATTAGAGAATAATGAGAAGTGATAGGTAATGGGTACATGGGTTATTTTTAAGATGATTAAATGATCTAAAATTGATTGCGGTGATGTTTACTAAATATAATAAAATCTATTGGACTGTATACTTTAAGTTGATGGTTGTATGGCATGTCAATGACTCAATAAATATGTTATATACAACAAAGTTGTATAAATGGTTCCTTAATGGACATACTAAACAATATTATAAATATATTTGTGGGTATTTTTTGAGAAGTGTATGTTCATATTTTGCCCATTTTTTAATTAGGCTATTTGTTTTCTTGCTGTTGAGTTGTTTGAGTTCCTTATATATTTTGGATATTAACATCTCATGATATGTGTAGTTTGCAAATATTTTTCCCAGTCTGTGGGTTGTTTCTTCATTTGTTGTTTGCTCCTGTTGCAGTGAATAAACTTTTTAGTTTGATGTAATTCCATTTGTCTATTTTTGCCTTTGGTGCTTGAGCCTTTAGGAGTCATATCCAAAAAAATCTGTAGCCAGACCAACGTTGTAGAACTTTTCCTTTATGTTTTCTTTCAGCAGTTTTACAGTTTTAGGTCTTACATTTAAATATTTAATACTTTTTTAGTTTTTTTTTTTTTTGGTAAGAAGTAAGAGAAGGGTCTAATTTCATTTTTCTGCATGTTGCTATTCAGTTTTCCCAGCACCATTTATTGAATAGGCTGTCCTTTCCTCATTGTGGGTTCCTGGCACATTTGTCAAAAATCAACTGTTCGTAAATGTATGGGTTTATTTCTGGGCTTTCTATCCTGATCCCTTTTTTTATTGGTTGATGAATCTGTTTTTATGCCAATATTATACTGCTTGGGTTACAATTGCTTTATAATACGTTTTGAAGTTAGGTAGCTTGATCCCTCCAACTTTCTTCTTCTTGCTCAAGATTGCTTTGGCTATTCGTCCTGTTTTGTGGTTTTACACAAAGTTAAGGATTTTTTTTTCTATTTCTGTGAAAAATGACATTGGAATTTTGATAAGGATTGCATTGAATCTATAGATTACTTTAAGTAGTATAGCTATCTTAACAACGTAATTCTTTCAATTCATGAGCACAGGGTATCTTTCCATTTATTTGTGTTTTTTAAATTTCTTTCATCAGTGATTTATAGTTTTCAGTATATAAATCTTTCACTTCGTGAGTTAAATTTATGAATAAGTATTTTTATTTTTATTGCCATTGTAAATTGAATTATTTTCCTAATTTTGTTTTGGATATCTCATTATTAGTGTGTAGAAATACTACTGATTTGTGCATATTGATTTTAGTAATATACCCTGCAACATTACTGAACTTGTTTATCAGTTCTAATAGTTATTTGTTGGAGCCGTTAAGAATTTCTATATAAGATCATGTTATCAAAAAGAGACATTTTCACTTCTCTCTTTCTTATTAATACTCCCTTATTTCTTCCTTTTACCAAATTGCTCTGGCTAGGTCCTTCAGAACTATGTTGAAAAGAAATGGTGCGAGCGGACATGCTTGTTTTGTTTCTGATTTTAGAGAAAATGTTTTCAGCTTTTTACTGTTTAGTATAATGTTTGTTGTGGGTCTGTGATATATGGCTTTTATTGTGTTGGGGCATATTCTTTTTTAACCTATTTTGTTTTGAGCTTTTATCATAAAAGGATGTCAAATGCTTTTTCTGTAAATATTGTTTTCTGCATCCTTTTCAGTTTATTAATGTGAAACACACTTCTCCAAAGAAGTCATACAAATGGCCAATAGGTTCATGAAAATATGTTCAGCATCACTAATCATTAGGAAAATGCAAATTTGAATAAATGAGATATCTCATACTTGTTAGAATGGCTTTTATAAAAAAAATGTAAGAAAAGTGTTGGAGAGGATGCAGAGAAAAAAAAAACACTTGCACTCTGTTGATGGGAATATAAATTAGTATAGACCTTATAGAAAATAATATGGAGGTTCCTCAAAAATCTAACAATAGAACTACCTTATGATTCAGCAATCCCACTTCTGGGAAAATATCCAAAGGAATTGAAATCAATATGTTGAAAGGATATATCCACTCTCTTGTTCTGTGAAGCATTATTTACAGGAGTCAAGATAAGAAAACCACCAAAGTTTCTATGAGTAGATAAATGGAAATTGAAAATATGGTATATATACAAAATAGAATACTATCCAACCTTAACAAATAATGACATTCTGTCATTTGAGACAACATGGCTGAATCTAGAGGACATTATGCTAAGCAACTACCACATGTTCTCACTTATATGTAGAACTTAAAACATGTTGAATTTCCAGAGGTAGAGGGTAAAATAATAATTACTAGAAGCTGGAGGAGGAAGGTAGAAAGGGAATGGGGAATAAGTTTTGACATCTACTGTGCAACAGGGTGACTACAGTAACTAATAATGCAGTGTATATTTCAAAATAACTGACATAATATATTTTAAATGTGTCACCACAAAAATATCAAGTGAGATGATGGATATGTTAATTAGTCTGACTTAATGACTCCACATTGCATACACATATCAAAGCATCATATTACAATTAAATGTAATGCAATTATGATTAGTCAATTGAAAATAATATAAATAAAAATAAGATATAAACGGAATTATCTTCAATATTTTTTATATATTTTTATTGTTTTATTATGATACTTTAAGTTCTAGGGTACACGTGCACAATGTGCAGGTTTGTTACATATGTATACACGTGCCATGTTGTGTGCTGCGCCCGTTAACTCGTCATTTACATTAGGTATATCTCCTAATGCTATCCCTCCCCCCACCCCAACCCCACGACAGGCCCCAGTGTGTGACGTTCCCCACCCTGTGTCCAAGTGTTCTCATTGTTCAATTCCCAACTATGAGTGAGAACATGCGGTGTTTGGTTTTCTGTCCTTGCCATAGTTTGCTCAGAATGATGGTTTCTAGCTTCATCCATGTCCCTACAAAGGACATGAACTCATCTTTTTTTATGGCTGCATAGTATTCCATGGTGTATATGTGCCACATTTTCTTAATCCAGTCTATCATTGATGGACATTTGGGTTGGTTCCAAGTCTTTGCTATTGTGAATAGTGCCGCAATAAACATACATGTGCATGTGTCTTTATAGCAGCATGATTTATAATCTATTGGGTATACACCCAGTAATGGGATGGCTGGGTCAAATGGTATTTCTAGTTCTAGATCCTTGAGGAATCACCACACTGACTTCCACAATGGTTGAACTAGTTTACAGTCTCACCAACAGTGTAAGTGTTCCTATTACTCCACATCCTCTCCAGCACCTGTGGTTTCCTGACTTTTTAATGATCGCCATTCTAACTGGTGTGAGATGGTATCTCATTGTGGTTTTATTTGTATTTCTCTGATGACCAGGGATGATGAGCATTTTTCATGTGTCCGTTGGCTGCATAAATGTCTTCTTTTGAAAAGAATCTGTTCATATCCTTTGTCCCTTTTTGATGGGGTTGTTTGATTTTTTCTTGTAAATTTGTTTAAGTTCTTTGTAGATTTTGGATATTTGTCCTTTGTCAGATGGGTAGATTGTAAACATTTTCTCCCATTCTGTAGGTTGCGTGTTCACTCTGATGGTAGTTTCTTTTGCTGTGCAGAAGCTCTTTAGTTTAATTAGATCCCATTTGTCAATTTTGGCTTTTGTTGCCATTGCTTTTGGTGTTATAGTTATGAATTCCTTGCCCATGCCTATGTCCTGAATGGTATTGCCTAGGTTTTCTTCTAGGGTTTTTATGGCTTTAGGTCTAACATTTAAGTCTTTAATCCATCTTGAATTAATTTTTATATAAGATGTAAGGAAGGGATCCAGTTTCAGCTTTCTCCATATGGCTAGCCAGTTTTCCCAGCACCATTTATTAAATAGGGAATCCTTTCCCCATTGCTTGTTTTTCTCAGGTTTGTCAAAGATCAGATAGTTGTAGATATGCAGCGTTATTTCTGAGGGCTCTGTTCTGTTCCATTGGTCTATATCTCTGTTTTGGTACCAGTACCATGCTGTTTTGGTTACTGTAGCCTTGTAGTATAGTTTGAAGTCAGGTAGCGTGATGCCTCCAGCATTTTTCTTTTGGCTTAGGGTTGTCTTGACTATGTGGGCTCTTTTTTGTTACCATATGAACTTTAAAGTAGTTTTTTTCCAATTCTGTGAAGAAAGTCATTGGTAGCTTGATGGGGATGGCATTGAATCTATAAATTACCTTGGGCAGTATGGCCATTTTCACAAAATTGGTGCTTCCTATCCATGAGCATGGAATGTTCTTCCATTTGTTTGTGTCCTCTTTTATTTCTTTGAGCATGGTTTGTAGTTCTCCTTGAAGAGATCCTTCACATCCCTTGTAAGTTGGATTCCTAGGTATTTTATTCTTTTTGAAACAATTGTGAATCGGATTTCACTCATGATTTGGTTCTCTGTTTGTCTGTTATTGGTGTACAGGAATGCTTGTGATTTTTGCACATTGGTTTTGTATCCTGAGGCTTTGCTGAAGTTGCTTTTCAGCCTAAGGAGATTTTTGGCTGAGACAATGGGGTTTTCTAAATATACAATCATGTCATCTGCAAACAGGGACAATTTGACTTCCTCTTTTCCTAATTGAATACCCTTTATTTCTTTCTCTTGCCTGATTGCCCTGGCCAGAACTTCCAACACTATGTTGAATAGGAGTGGTGAGAGAGGGCATCCCTGTCTTGTGCCAGTTTTCAAAGGGATGCTTTCAGTTTTTGCCCATTCAGTATGATATTGGCTGTGGGTTTGTCATAAATAGCTCTTATTATTTTGAAGTATGTCCCATCAATACCTAGTTTATTGAGAGGTTTTAGCATGAAGGGCTGTTGAATTTTCTCAAAGGCCTTTTCTGCGTCTATTGAGATAATCATGTGGTTTTTGTCTTTGGTTCTGTTTATTTGCTGGATTACATTTATTGATTTGCATATGTTGAGCCAGCCGTGCATCCCAGGGATGAAGCCAACTTGATCTTGGTGGATAAGCTTTTTGAGGTGCTGCTGGATTCGGTTTGCCAGTATTTTATTGAGGATTTTCACATTGATGTTCATCAGGGATATTGATCTAAAATTCTCTTTTTTTGTTGTGTCTCTGCCAGGCTTTGGTATCAGGATGATGCTGGCTGCATGAAATGAATTAGGGAGGATTCTCTCTTTTTCTATTGATTGGAATAGTTTCAGAAGGAAACTATTGCATAATAAAAATGCATAATAAGCTATTGCATAATAAAAATGCATTCAATAGTTTCTATTTTAAAGTTATATGCCATTTTTATTATATCCTAAGTGGTTCTCTATTTCTATCATTACAATATGGTTTAAAGCAATACTAGAGAGGGTTTTGTCATGACATTTTCTGAAGGCTTCTTATGAACTAGGCAGGTGTGAAAAGCAATAAAGGAGTGGGTGTCTCATAAAAGAGCAATAAAAAGCGTTAAAGGGGGATGCCGTATAGTCCCCTGTTCCCATTTCATTCAGAATATTTGAAGACCTAATCAAAGGCTCTGCTTTAGAAGTGAAGAAGCTCAACTCCAACAAACCTAAAGACCTTATCTAACTAGCCAAGCAAATTAATGAAGAGTTGAAATAAGAATCAAGATTTCATGATTTTGTATTCAGTGAATTTGTACTTCAGTCTGATGATTGAAGGATGTTTAGCTGTTTTACACACTACAGTATTGTTCAACTAGAAATCATATCTATACAAAAAGTGTGAACTGCTTCTGAATTTATTTTTGAATATGTATTCATAATTTATACTATTGTTTTCACTCTTATTATATAAATATTTCTAGAGTAAGTTTATTACTTTGGCAAGTGCTTCTTCTTTTAGAGGAATTGACCATTTTTCCATTCCAATCATGTCATTAAAGGATGCCAGATTCAGTATTACACATTCCGGATGCCTGAGCTTTTGCATAATGATTGAACCGAAATGGGTATATACACAAGCAAAGATACAGCACATAACAAGAAGAGGGTCTCTTTCTTATTCTAACAAGAAGCTTTGAGTATGTGAGACTTGATACACACATAGTTGTGTCTTCACTGAAAAATACATACAAGAAGTGAACTAACATGTAAATGGCTTCTGACGGTGTTGGGGTCCGTAAACTCAGTTATATTTGAGTTTTATTTCACGATTGTTTTAGTCCCAAATCTCTAAAACCGATTTAAAATTATTAACTCTTTAGCTATTTTACTTTGTTATCATACTCTTGTTTTATGTTTCTGTAATCATTTTGCAGTAAAAGTTATGGTTGAAAAAAAAAAGTCTTGATTGAAAACATGTAAAATTAACAGCACGGTCTCCTCTAGAGTGTGCTTTGGGTTGGTGGCAAATTTTTCCTGTGAATGTTCTCTGTCTTTAATAATTTTGCTTCACTCAAAGTCATTGTATGAAAGACACCATGATCCCATTTTAAAAATTCTGCCATGGACCCAGAATGTATTCCTTGCCAAGTCATCCTCTGAAGGTTGGAAACTGACCATGGAGCCATAGAATGGTCATCATGATGAAAGTCCTGCAGATCCCAGGGTATCTGTTTCAACTCATGATCAGTGGAAGTGGTCAGGAATGAGACAGAGAAAGCACTAAGAGAGAAATGTAGACCACCCCTGATAATGCTAGAAGATCTCAGGCACTAAGGAGAACTTAGACATTTCAAAGGTTCTCCAAAGAGCAAGGCTGTTGAGGCACACAACTCAGGACAGAGATATACCTGTGTCTTAGTGAAGTACTAAATAATGAAAAATGAAAGATGAATTTAATGAAATCTGTACTGAATATGAATCATATGTCAGTGTGTAACTGTTACTTAAAGGAGCATTATGTGTTGCTCTATATGTAAAATAATAAACCAAATTTGACATATGGAAACATTAATTCAATAAATTTTATTATTTTTCCCACACTGTATAAGCCATTTAAACATGACTTCTGTTCAACTCAGTATTTTCTTTCCATGGTCTTTTATAAACACAATCTTGTCCAATATTGCTGACAAATTCTCTAAGACGAAAAGTGACTGCTTTTATTAAATTTCCCATGATAGAATAAAAGAGGGGGCTGTCACTTAGAAGATCAAGGGGGAAGTGGCAACGGAAGAAGTTTGAAGAGTATGTATTTGGCTTTTACCTAAGCCCACACTATTTGGTGTTGTTTTGGGCCACAAATTGAAAGTATTTGGTGAATGTTAAAAAGTGCTTATAATATTTGACACATTTTCTGATTATCTAAATTCTCTGTACCAAAACTGGAAAAATTTAATGTTAAACTTCTATGTATTAAAAAGAATCCTGGTGAGAAATAGATTAATTGAATAATTAGATTTTAAACATAAAGAAAAATTGCACTATACCTAATACACTTAAGTTAGTACTTAAAACCAAAATTATCCAGGCAGGGCATGGTGGCTCACGCCTGTAATCCCAACACTTTGGGAGGCTGAGGCAGATGGATCACTTGAGGTCAGGAGTTCGAGACCAGCCTGGCCAACATGGTGAAACCCTGTCTCCACTGAAAATGCAAAGATTGGCCGGGTGAGTTGGTGCATACCTGTAATCCCAGCTACTGGGGAGGCTGAGGCAGGAGAATTGCTTGAACTCAGGAGGTGGAGATTGCAGTGAGCCGAGATTGTGCCACTGCACTCTAGCCTGGGCGACAGACCAAGACTCTATCTCAAAAACAAAAACAAAAACACCCTAGAATTTTCCTACATAGGAGTAGGTAGTTACTCTTTTCTTTACTTTGTCTTCTGATTGCTAGATAGACACACTCATTTGCAAAGAACACAGTACAAATAGTAAATGGTTCAAAATAGCCTCCTTGAAATGTAAATCCCTAAGAGTAAATATCCATCAAACATATATATATATATATAAAATCAAAAATTATCATTCAAACTTTATATCCTTATTTATTTCTTTTTTTTTTTTAAGTCAAAGTCTCACTCTGTCACCCAGGCTGGAGTGCAGTGGCATGAACTTGGCTCACTGCAACCTCTACCTCCTGGGTTCCAGTGATTCTCCTGCCTCAGCCTTCCCAGTAGCTGGGATAACCAGCATGTGCCACCATGACCAGCTAATTTTTTTGTATTTTTAGTAGAGACAGGGTTTCACCATGTTAGCCAGGCTAGTCTTGAACTCCTGACCTCAAGTGATCCACCCACCTCAGCCTCCCAAAGGGCTGGGATTACAAGCGTGAGCCACCGCTCCCTGCGTATATCCTGATTTCTTATGTAAACTGTCTATAGCTATTAATAGAATATGTTCCCGCTCTGTTTTAAAACTACCAAAAGTATTAATTTAAATTTGTGTCATATTATAGGTTTTATCATTTGTAAAAATAATTCAATAATATAGATTATTTTAAAAATAGAGAATCATGCACTATATAAACAGACACATTTTATGAGAATTATCCTGTAACAATAATAAAATGATGACAAGTTATTTAAATCAAAGTAAATTAATGATAGAGTTTTTTATTTTTAATTAATATTAGCAAGAAACAGAAGACATCCTGCCTTATGTAAACTTAATTTGATGATAATATTTTAAATATCTCTTAAGTATACATTAGAAAATAGGATAATAAAGTTTATTTTTATTGTCTTCCTCACAGAGTCATGAGACAGGTTGACCATTTTATATTTAATTAATATACATTAGTTCATTAGCAATCATTTGATAAGAATATTTCTTTAGGCACTAGTTTTTTTTTAATTTCCCATATATATATATAGTTGAGATTATATTTTTATTAATTTTGTCATGTTTTATCATCTTCTAACTGTAGACATAGGAATTATATACAAGGTAATTCGATTAATACAACTGTTGAAGATACTTTGCAGTAGATCAACGTTCCTAACAGTGTCAGTTAGCCATTGCTGCTCATAAAGTACATCCAACACCTAGTTCCTTAAAACACGACTTTCTTAACTCACAATTCTATGGATGGACTAGGATTCTGTATGCATCTGTAGTCAGTTGTGCTAATCTTAGCCTGACTCTTTCACAGGTCTTGGGCCTCACCTGGGGAAGCTGAACTGACCTGACACTCATCTCTGATTTCTCATCCTCCAGCAGGGCAGGTTAGATTGTTCACACAGAGGAGGCAAGGGTCCTAAGAGAAGGGAAAGATACATAGCCTACTGAGCACTAGACTCAGAATTGGCACAGTGTAATTTCTGTCCCATTCCACTGGACAAAAGAGGTCACAAGGCACAGAGGGTATGAAAATAGACTTCGCCACAGTGAACATAGGAGCTGAACAGTTACATTGTAAAACATGTGGACACAAGTAGCATTGGAGAAATGGCACCATTTTTTTACTCAGTCTACCCTACTGCCAAAGCCTGACTTCCAAATTACAGTAACTCACAACATGTCGTGTCTCTTAACTTATCCTCTGCTCCCCCAAATAGCCACTATATTGAAAATACTTGTGTTGGATAGCAAAGGTATTTAGAGAGACACAAATGACCAAATATTGATCATTTCTGTGATCAGAAATCTTTATCCTGAGAGATGTCTATTACTATTTTGTATTTGTGAATTTCTGACAGTGTGACCTTTAGCATCTGCCCAAAACTACCGGGTAATATGACGTTAACTGGCATAGTTGTGTTCTAGGTCAACACTTACAGCTGTATATCAACAAAAGAGGGAGGAGAAGGCTGTTTTTTTTCTTCTTTGCATCCTATATCATTATCAACTTGTTCATAAGAAACACGACTCCATGTGCTCATAAATAAAGATACACACACATATACATATATGGACAAAACATGCCTACACGTACAATTACACAATGTGAATACTCTCTGTATCCACAGTTTCTTATAATTTAACTTTGAAATTCATCACATTAAGAGAAGGTTAAAAATGCACTGATCTTGTGGTTTGCTTTGGCCAACATATTGCAGCCAAAATGGCAGTTTGCCAATTCTGAACCCGTGTGTCAGAAGACCTTACACATTTTGCCTAGCCTTCTTGGAACCTTGCTGTCTAGGCTAGGCTGATAGAATCTTATGATAAGACATCCACATCCAGGCACTTGACCTTACTAGCTAATACTTAAGGAAATACTAGATATGCAAATGAATCTGCTGGAGACAATCCAGTCTCAAGTAACCCATCAGCTAACCACATACGTGTGAGTAAGCCAAAATGAGATCACTTAGACCTGACCAATTGCTTACAGTGCTCAAATGAACAACAGATTGGTCGGGGAAAAATACTGTTCTAACATTAAGCCACTAGGTTTTAGCATCATTTTTTTACAACAAAAATAGTTATGACTGTACATACTCATGTAGATATGACTGTACAAACTCATGTTAAAGATGCCAAAAAAATAGAAATGAAAGACATTGTTCAGATGTATAAAAGTCATTACTCCTATGAATGACTGACAGATGACTTTAAGAATTTTGTACTTTTTAAATACCTTTTTAACTCAGGTGTATTTTTGGTCCCCTGTATAATTTTAACATTATATTATCAAAATTGACTGTACTATTTGAATCAAATGGAATGACCAGTATGCAAACAAGTACATACTGATGATCTAATTCCTTCAGGGCATCTGCATTTTAAATCATAGCCTAACATATGCATTGCCAAGATATTCACTTACTAGTTTGGATTCTTCTCTGCTAGACCTATTATTTTGCTTTAGTCAGATTCTCTGTGAATTTGAATTAGGCCTCCCTTGGTTTTTTCACCTGTCAGACTCTATGCTATTATAACAACTTCAAAAGCTTAACTGTCTTCTCTGACCTAATTTTTTCTCAAGTGGCCAGATAAAAGGGAGTGAAAAATAAATTATGAAACCATCATTTGCTACACAAGTGAGTAAATATGAAAAGAGGTTAATGAGAGGACAAAGATCAAACAAGCTCAACAAAAGTACCATGAATACTGTTCTTAATGACTATAAATGTTCACAAAACTTTACCTTTATCCTATAAAATACAACATCCTAAAACAATAAATTATATTGAAATATGAATGAACACCACCTTGAGGCCAGAAGCCATTGCCCTTATGTTTTACCTTCACGCTCTTAAGTTCAGGTAAGAAGCTTATTCCTCACAATACTCTCTCAATAAAATCATAGCGGTTATTCTTTATCTGGTCATTTATTCCAGACTTATTCAATAGTATTAAGGAGTAAATTATTACCTTCCTATGGATTGTGTGAGTTCACAGTCAGTTACCTAGACAAAATTAAAATAGAAACATCCAAAGACCTTATGACAAAAGAGACCAGATTGTCTTCATTGACCAAATTTCCTGATTGCCATTATATATATTTCATAAAAGACTCCTTGTTTGTATATAAGACCTTATTATAAACTTGCTATACACAAATGATTTTAACAATAATAATAATGAATATAACTGCATTTTGTTAAATGCAAATATACTTGAAAACTAGGTGAGAGAAATTTTACAAAGTACTTTCCCTACAACATGAATATTCCTACAACAGGTTATAGCTCAGTCCTATTCTAAATAAAAACACCCATAATAGATTGACACTCCCATTAACAGCATGTGTTTCTTTTTCTCCACAACCTCTACAGCATCTGTTATTTTTTGACTTTTTGATAGTAGCCATTATGACTGGTGTGGGCTAGTATCTCACTGTGGTTTTAATTTGCATTTCTCTAGTGATCAGTGATGTTGAACTTTTTTTCATGTAATTGTTGACTAAGTGTATGTCTTTTGAAAAGTGACTGTTCATGTCCTTTGCCCCCATTTTTATGTTTTTTTTTTTGTAAATTTGTTTAAGTTCTTTATAGATGCTGGATATTAGACCTTTGCCTGATGCGTAGTTTGCAAAAAAAAATTCTCCTCTTCTGTAGGTTGTGTTTACTCTGTTGATGGTTTCCTTTGCTGTGTATAAGCCTTTAGTTTAACCATTATGGAAGACAATGTGGCGATTCCTGAAAGGCCTAAAGACAGAAATACCATTTGACCCAGCAATCCCATTACTAGGTATGCATCCAAAGGAATTTAAATCATTATCTTAAAAAGACACATGGACACCTATGCTCATTGTAACACTATTCACAATAGCAAAGACATGGAATCAACCTAAATGCTAAATGCCAATCAATGATAGACTGGATAAAGAAAATGTTATATGTATGTTATATATATGTTATATATATATGTTATATATGTACTTGTGTATATATATACACACACACACATACACACACACATACTATGGAATACTATGCAGCCATAAAAAAGAATGAGATTATGTCCTTTGCACAGACATGGATGGAGCTGAAGGCCATTATCCTTAGGAAACTGACACAGGAACAGAAAATCAAATACTTACGTTCTCACTTATAAGTGAGAGAACACATGGACACATAGAGGGGCACAACATACACTGGGGCTTATCAGAGGGTATAGGGTGGGAGGAGAGAGACGATCAGGAAAAATAACTAATGAGTACCAAGCCAAATATCTGGGTAATAAAATAATCTGTACAACAATCCTCTATGACACAAGTTTACCTATGTCATAGACCTGTACACATATTCCTGAACTTAAAAAATAAAAGTTAAAAAAATTACCAAGAATACATGTTCACCATTCCCAAACTTTCAACTGAGCTATTGCTGTCTCTCAAGAAGGACTTTTGAGAACTACATAGAATCATAAAATTTCATAACTTGAAATACCATGATTGATGTATTTTAAGCTTTAATTGAAACCTTTTATTTCTTATACAGTTGCATTATTACAAATAAGCCTGACACATTTTTTAACCAGAAAGTACTTCTTTTCTATGAGTGTTTGTGTTTAATTTGATTATTTCATTGTAAAACGTCTGCAGTTTCTAGGTTGTGTATTTCCACATGTACATCCGCATGTATCATTTTCACATTTTTCTCCTCTTATATGTATAAATCTTTAGGTTTGTTTATTGCACAAAGCAGAAAGCTCCTTTTCTAGCTTCATGGGAGTTCTGTAAAGTATGATAGGTTCTATCCAAGTGAAGAGACAATCTTCTAGATATGTAAGAATCACTTGATAAACTTATTAAAATTGAATTTCACAGAAACATTATATTTTAGGTTTGGACTGGGGCAATAAATCTATGTTTTGTTTCCAAGGTGTTTATGATATATACCATTCTTTGAGTGAATTTAAAGTCTGTGTAGTTTTGTTTTATGCTAATAAGAATCAATATTTTGGAATTATAATTTTCACTATGAAATGCTTCTGAGGCTGTGAATACAGGTCCTCTGTTTCTCTGGACTGTGTATGCTGCTTCTCACTTTCATTTATACTTGCTTTGTTTCATTCAGCTGAATGAACGAAGAGGTTGGGTAAATATCCCCAACCTGAGAACATGTAACCTGTAATTGCTTCCTTTTCTGTTGGCTTGAATTCTGTATTTCTAAACTAGAGAAAAATAGGGATGTTAAAAGACTCTTTATCCCTTTTTCCCAGGCAATAATGATGTTCTGTGTGAGCTCCGCAGCACAGTTTTCAGTTTATTTATACTTAAGTAAATGAAGATATAACCCAGATTTTGTTCAGTGTTTTGTTACTCTTCTTTTTTATTATTATTATTATTATACTTTAAGTTTTACGGTACATGTGCACAACGTGCAGGTTTGTTACATATTACTTCCAAGTATAATGTGTTTGTGTGTGTGGTTTCCACAGAAGTAAATGAAAAATAGCATTCTTTTTACTTGTTTTATAATCATGATTCTCTTTGTCAGCAAATAAATTATGTGATTTATAGACATAAGTATAAATACTTTGGTTGTAATTGCTTTCAGAGGTTGACTTTAAATGTAACTTTAATTTTATATTTATAATCCTTCAATACTGTTTATACTGTAGTTAACACTTACTCCAACTATTTTTGAATATTTCATTAATAATAAAATCTCAGTATTTAGTATTTTCTTATTCAGACACGATTTAAAGTCTTGATTCAAAATTATTTGTTCCAGAGAAAATAAATAGTATTAATAACAATAGACCTCTCTCTGCCTCAAACTATAAACAAATATCAAATTCAACATTTTCTAAAACTAGTGGTTAGCTTCTTGTTAATTTTGACTTATTTCTTATTTATAAATGTTCAAATAATTATAAAACTTAAAATGACTATAAAAATAATGTTTTTATATTCTTAATATGATCTGATTTTCTAAGGGAGAATCAGAAAAATATATTTTTGAGGTAAATAACAAAAAAAAAAGTATGTTGGGGGAAAAGCTGAGAGTTGGGAGAAAAGCCCTGCCCCTTGGAACTGGTCTTTTGAACAAGGAAACCAATGGGTTGTCTGCAATCAATCCTCTGAAATGGATTAAGGCCATTGGAAGCTCTACACTTGCAAATTTTGTTCTAATAATTATGTGCTTGTACTGTCTCCTTTTAGTCTGCAGATGTGGAAGCCACCTCTGGAGAGAAAGCCACCGTTGAGAACAAGCAATGACAGCTGTGGCGGTTTTACAAAAAAGAAAAAGGGGCATCCTGGGGAAAAGCTGAGTGTTGGGAAAAATGCTGAGGCAGGGCTTGTATGTCTGACTTAATGTAAAAGAGTCTTGGAACATGTCAGGGGTCTGGGGTCTAAAACCTCTCGTGGCCTTTGGAATATGTCTAGACTTGCTGGCTCTTTGCTTCTAGCACTCACAGTCTCATAGATTGATTGTATCTTAAACTAGAAGAACATGTTTCCCATTATCTCAAGTAGCAGAACATGTTCCATATGCTGCAAAGAAAATGCTAAACCGTCACAGCTGTAGATCATGCACTTGACACACCAGTTTCTTTCAACCCCCACTTCCTCACCACCTGCTTCTTTGTTTGATCACCAATAAATAGTGCGGGCTTCCAGAGCTCAGGGCCTTCGCAGCCTCCATACTAGCGTTGGCCCCCTGGTTCCACTTCATGCACTCTTAAACTTCTCTTTTCTCATTCCTTTGACTCCGCCATACTTTGTAGCCCCCACAGCCTGGTGTTGGGTCTGATCATCCCAACAAAATAAGATTGCTACAGTTTTTGTATGCAATTTATAAAATATATGTGTTATTTGACAAAATAAAAATGATTCAAACTTGGTATCTAGATTATATGTTGGATATATCAAAATTAATAAAGTGGACATTTTAGAAATCATTTAGAATAAAAATAGTTGTAAATGAGTTTCTTTCCAAATACAAATTACATCAATTAGTAACTTTGGATATGTGGTTTGGTAAGAAACAAACATATACAAAATCTCAGAAGCTTAAAAGAACAGAGGTGTATTTCTTGTCTATACCACATGTTCATCTTGGGCAGGCTGGGAGCTCTGCTTCCCATCTTCTGCAAGTTGAGACCAGGGCGAGAGAGCAGATAATTTCTGGAACATTGCTGGTTATTCTGACAGACAGAAAGAAGATGGCATACCATGTTTTGGTTCTTAGATGTTTTATCTTGATCCACAACCCTTTTGCTTGCTGATGACCTATGCAAATCACTTGACTAACACCAATCACCTGAGGCTAGAATAGCCCAGCCCTACCAGGTTCTCAGAAAGAGATCAGAGAGATTTAATGCAAAGTCTGACATCCACACTGGTTCAATATTATTGTGATAAAACGTAGAATGGCTTTAGAACATACAGAAAACATTACCAGCAGCTGTATAATCCAGGACATTTTTTATTAGCTTTAATGTTTTAGCTTTATGTTTATTGAGTTCTCTGACACATTTTTCAGATGTTATATAATATTTGAATTGTTTCATTTTAGGTCATGTTTTATTCAGGTATTGATAAATTCACTTTGAGTTGTATTTTGCATCATGCTAGAAAAATGTAATGATTTCACTTTTCTAAGAAGTTCAGTGAAACTTCTGTGACTGTTCTAGTCTACCCATGTGGTAGGAAGTTTAGCTAACTTCTGTCTAATGATGTGTCAGCTTCCACTGTACTTATGACACTGCTTTAGCCATTCAATGAAAGTACTTTGAGGAGTCTAATATGGATTTTAACTTAGTCACCACGGTGATCCTGTTAGCACCTTCAAACTTTACAGATTACTGTCTGAAAAAATGTGCTAGACTAAGGAGTTCAAAAGCTAATTGCTTTATTTTATGTGCCATTAGCTTAACCCTTCATTCAATTTTTCTTTTGATCTCATCTCCTAGAAGGTAAGTCTTACAAAATAAGCTTCATTCTTTCTTTGCTATTATCAGCGAAGGTATATTAAAGGCAAAAGGCAATTAATTTGATGATTCGACTGAAATGTGCTTGGTTGTGTAAGACTTTCCAGCCCAGTACCATTTATTGTAAGTCTGTAGGAAGGACATCACATTCAACTCCACACATAACATGATAGATCAAGTGTTTTTCAAATAAAGAATCACCACTTCTGAAGTATCTGTGGCATTCTGCAAGTGACCTATTCTTTTGCATTTGTGAATTCTTTAAGAGATAGTGTTATATTTGATTTTTTAATCCTAACCTAATAAAATTTAATATAATACATTTTGAATCACACAAACGACCATTGCATTAGAAAGGTAAATGAATAAATTCAGTGTCCACAGGCAAGTTTGCTTTTGACTTTATGATTACTTCTGAACAAAGTAAAGATCAAGTGAGGTCAAGAGTGGCTGTACAAAGAACATTTACTTAGTGGTTTAAATAGGAACAAATATTCTGAAAATTAAGTCATCTTAAGTCATTACACGGCAGTATACTTAGGACAAAGTCAAAAGTACTTAAATAGTGTATTGAGGGACAAGGGCAAAGTAATATGAAGAATGTATGTATTGCTTAGTTTATGCTTTTGTACAATTGAGCATGAACCACTTCTTTGTTATAAAAGTCAGTTATTCATCACTATAAGAAAAATTCTAAGAAATTATTTTAAATACTCAGTACCATATTGTATGTGGATTAGTCCATTCTCATGCTGCTATAAAGAACTGTCTGAGACTGGGTAATTTAAAAACAGAAAATGGTGTAGTTGACTCAGCGTTCCACAAGGTTGGGAAGACCTTAGGAAACGTACAATCATGGTGGAAGGGGAAGCAAACATGTCCTTCTTCACATGGTGACAGAGAGGAAAAGTAAGTGCCCAGTGAAAGTGGAAGCCCCTTATAAAGCCATCAGACCTTGTGAGAACTAACTCACTATCGTGGAGAACAGCATGGGGGAAACCACCTCTATGATTCAGTTAACTCCACTTGGTCCCACTCATGACATGTGGGGATTATAGGAACTACAATTCACGATGAGATTTGGGTAGGTACACAGCCAAACTATATAATTCCAACCCTGGCCACTCCCAAATCTCATGCCCTCACAGTTCAAAGCACAATCTTGGCCTTCCAAGAGACCCCCAAGATTTTAAGTCATTCCAGCCTTACCTCAAAGTTCCAAGTCCAAAGCCTCAACTGAGATAAGGCAAGTCCCTTTTGGCTATGAATCTGTCAAATCAAAAGGAAGTTAGTTACTTCCTACATACAATGGGGGTACAGGCTTTTGGTAAATACATGCATTTCAAATAGGAGAAATTGGCCAAAATGAAGGGGCTATAGGCCCCATGCAAGCCCAAAATCCAGTGGGGCAGTCAAATCTTAAAGCTCTGAAACTATCTCCTTTGACTCCATGTCTCACATCCAGGTCACGATGATTCAAGAGGGGGCTTCCCACAGCCTTGGGCAGCTCCACTCCTGTGGTTTTGCAGGGTCCAGCCCCCCTCCTGGCTGCTTTCATGGGCTGGCATTGAGTGTCTGCAGCTTTTCCAGGTGCATGGTGCGAACTATCGGTTATCTACCATTCCAGGGTCTGGAGGATGGTGATTGTCTTCTCACAGACCCACTAGGCAGTGCCCCAGTGGAGACTCTTTGTGGAAGTTTCAATCCCACATTTCCCTTCTGCACTGCATTAGCAGAGGTTCTCCATGAGGGTTCTGTCCCTGGACCAAACTTCTGCCTGGACACACAGGCATTTCCATACATCCTCAGAAATCTAGGCAGAGGTTCCCAAACCTCAATTCTTGACTTCTGTGCACCCGCAGGCCTAACACCACATGTAAGCTGCCAAGGCTTGGGGCTTGCACCCTGTGAAGCCATGGACTAAGCTGTACATTGGTCCCTTTTAGCCACAGCTGGAGCTGAAGCAGCTGGGATGCAGAGCACCATGTCTGGAGGATGCATAGAGCTGTGGGTCCCTGGGCCTGGCCCAGGAAACTATTTTTTCCTCCTACATCTCCAGGTCTGGGATGGGAGGGACTGCCATGAAGACCTCTTCAATATAATGAATTCTTTATTTTCAATATATAACTAGCAGTGAAATTGCTGGATCATATGGTAGCTCTAGATTTTTGTGGAACCTCCAAACTGTTTCCTACAGTGGTTGTACTAACTTATATTTCCACCAACAGTGTACCAGGGTTCCATTTTCTCCACATTTTCACCAGCATTTGATATTGTTAACTTTTGGATAAAAGACATTTTAACTGGGATGAGATCATATCTCATTGCAGTTTTGATTTGCATTTTTCTGATAATCAGTGATGTTGAGGCACTTTTCATATACCTGTTTTCATTTGCATGTCTTCTTTTGAGAAATGTCTATTCAGGTATTTTTTTCAATTTCTTAATTAGATTATTAGATTTTTTTCCTATAGAGTTGTTTGAGCTCCTTATATATTCTGGTTATTAATCCCTTATCCAATAGGTAGTTTGCAAATATTTTCTCCCATTCTGTGGGCTGTGTCTATATTTTGTCAATTTTTTCCTTTGCTGTTCAGAAGACTTTTAACTTGATGTAATTGATTTGTTCAGTTTTGCTTTGCTTGTCTGTGCTTATTGGTATTACTAAAGAAGCCTTCGCCCACTCTAATGTCCTAGAGAGTTTCCTCAATGTTTTGTTGTAGTAGTTTCATAGTTTGAAGCCTTAAATTTAAGTCTTTAATCCAATTTAATTTGACTTTTGTATACAGCAAAATATATAAATGTAGTTTCATTTTTTTGTATATAGATATTTAGTTTTCCCAGCACCATTTATTGAAGAGACTGTTGTGTCCCTAACATACGTTCTTGGCATTTTTGTCAAAAATGAGTTCACTGTAGATTTATGGATTCATCTCTAGGTCCTCTGTTGTGTTCCACTTATCTGTGTGTCTGTTTTAATGCGAGTACCATGCCATTTTGGTTACTATAGCTCTGTAGTATAATTTAAAGTGAGGTAATGTGATTCCTCCAGTCTTGTTCTTTTTGTTAAGAATAGCTCTGGCTATTCCGGGTCTTTTGTGGTTTCCTGTAAAATTTAGATTTTTTTTTTTATTTCTATGAAGAATCTTATTGGTAATTTGATTGGGATTGCATTAAATTTGTAGATTGTTTTGGGTAGTATGGACATTTTGACTATATTGAGTCCTCTAATCCGTGAACACAAATTATCTTTCCATTTCTTTGTCTTCTTCAATTACTTGCATCAGTGTTTTATAGTTTTCATTGTAGATACCTTTCATTTCTTTGCTTAATTCTTAGATACTTTATTTGTGGCTACTGTAAATGGCATTAATTTATTGATTCCTTTTTCAGATTGTTCACTGTTGGCATATAGAAATGCTACTGATTTTTGTATGTTGATTTTGTATCTTGCAACTTTACTGAATTCGTTCTTCAGTTCTAATAGATTTTTGAATGGAATCTTCAGATTTTTCCAAATATAAGATCATATTATCTGCAAACAAGGATAATTTGACTTCTTCCTTTCCAATTTGAGTGCCTTTTATTTCTTCCTCACGTCTGATTGCTCTAGCTAGCATTTCCAGTATTATGGTGAGTAATAGTGTTGAAAATGGGCATCCTTGTCATGTTCCCGATCTTAGAAGAGAAGCTTTCAGTTTTTCCTCATTCATTATGAAAATAGCTATGGGTCTGTCACATATGGATTCTATTATGTTGACATATATCTAACATTTTTAGAGTATTTATCCAGAAGAAATGTTGAATTTTATCAAATGCTTTTTCAGCCTCAGTTGCAATGATCATAGGGCTTTCAGTTTTTCCTCATTCAGCATATAACCAGTTATAGGTCTGTCATATATGACTGCTGTTATGTTGACATATGTTTCTTTAGGGTATTTATCCAGAAGAAATGTTGAATTTTATCAAATGCTTTTTCAGCCTCAATTGTAATGATCATATGACTTGGTCCTTCATTCTGCTGATATGATGTATCACATTGATTGGTTTGCTTATGTTGAACCATCCTTGCATCCCTGAGATAAATCTCATTTGGTCATAATGAATGATCTTTTTTATGTATTATTGAATTTGATTTGCTAGTATCTTGTTGATAACGTTTTACAACACTATTTATCAGTGATATTGGATTATAGTTTTCTCTTTCTGATATGTCTTTGTCTGGTTTCAGTATCAGGGTATATACCGGCTTCATATAATGAGTTTGGAAGTATTCACGTCTCCTCTATTTTTCAGAATAGCTGAAGTAGAATTGGTATTAGTTCTTCTTTATATGTTTGGCAGATTTCAGCAGTGAAGCCATTGGATCCTAGACTCTTGTTTGCCGGGAGACTTTTATTATAACGTCAATGTTGTTACCTATTTTTGGTCTGTTCAGATTTTGGATTTCCTCATGGTTCAGCCTTGGTAGAATGTATATGTCAAGGAATTTATTCATTTCTTCTATATTTTCCAGATCATTGGCAAATAATTGCTCATAGTGGTCACAAATTATCCTTTGAGTTTCTGTGTTATCAGTCATAATATCCTTTTTTCATCTCTGATTTTATTTATTTGGGCTCTCTCTCTGTCTCTTTTCAGTTAGTCTGGCTAAAGGTCTGTCAATTTTACTTATCTTTTCAAAAAACCACCTTGTTTCATTTATGTTTGTGTTGTTTTTGTCACTTAAAATTTACTTGTTTCTGCTCTGATCTTTATTTATTTTTCCTCTGCTAAATTTGGGTTTGGTTTGCTCTTGCTCTTGCTTTACTAGTTCTTTAAGGTGCATTGTTAGGTTTTTAATTTGATGGGTTTTTTTTTCTTCTTTTGATGTAGGAACTTATAGCTATAAACTTCCCTTCTAGTACTGTTTTTACTGTATCCCATAGGTTTTGGTATGTTGTATTTTACATCAATTGTTTCAAGAAATTTTTCGTTTCCTTTTTAAATTCTTCATTCACTCATTGGTCATTCAGGAGCATATTGTTTAATTTCCATGTGTTTGTACAGTTTCCAAAATTCCTCTGGTTGTTGATTGCTAGTTTTATTTCATTGTGATCAGAGAAGACGCATTATTTCAATTTTTTTGAATGTTTTAATACTTATCTTAATACATAACTAACATATGATCTTTCCTTGAGAATGATCTATATGCTGAGGAAAAGAGTGTGTATCCTGCAGCCATTTGAGGAAATGTTCTGTAAATATCTATTATATCCACTTGGTCTGTTGCAGGTTAAGTCTGTTTTTTCTCTATTGCTTTTCTGTCTGAAATATCTTTCCAATGCTGAAACTGGGGTGTTGAAGTCTCCAGCTAGTACTGAATTGGGGTCTGTCTCCCTCTTTAACTGTGATAATATTTGCTTTATATATCTTGGTGTTCCACTGTTGGGTGCAAATATATTTACAATTGTTATATCCTCTCGCTGAATTGACCCCTTTATCTTTCTATAGTGACCTTCTTTGTCTTTTCTTAAAGTTTTTGTCTTAAAATCTATTTTGTCTAAGAATAGCGACTCCAGCTCGCTTTTGGTTTCCATTGACATGGAGTAATTTTTTCCATTCCTTTATTTTCAGTCTGTTTGTCTCTATAGGTGAGGTGTGTTTCTTGCAGAAAACAGATCAATGGACCTTGTTTGTTTATTCATTCAGCCACTTTACACCTTTTGATTGGCAATTTAGTCCACTTACATGCAATTTATTATTGATAAGTAAGGGCATACTCCTACCATTTTGTTATTTTGTTTTCTGATTGTTTTGTGGTTTTCTCTTTCTTCTTTTCTTTCTCCTGTCTTTCTTTTAGTGAAGATGATTTTCTCTGGTGGTATAATTTAATTTCTTTTCAGCTTTTGTGTATCTGTTTTATGATTTGTGATTTGAAGTTACCACGAGGTTAACAAATACTATCTTAGAACCCATTATTTAAATCTTATAACAACTTAACACTGTCTACATATACAAACAAGCAAAAAAAGCCTAATAAAACTCTATTTTAACTTTGTCCCCCTATGTTTTAATGCTTTGTTGTTTCTATGTATATCTTATTTTACTGTCTATGTCTTTAACAGTTGTTGTAGGTACTACTTTTGATTGGTTAAAGATAGTCTACACATCAGTTTACAATGCTATAATGTTCTGTGTTTTTCTGTGTATTTACTATTAGCAGTAAGTTTTGTACCTTCAGGTGAGTTCTTATTACTCATTAATGTCCTTTTATTTCTCATTGAGGTACTCCCATTAGCATTTCTTGTAACAGGTCTGGGGTTGATGAAATAACTCAGTTTTCATTTGTCTGTTCTTTATTTCTCCTTCATGTTTGCACAGTATTTTCACTGATTACATTATTCTAGAGTAAAAGTTATTTTTATTATTTTTTTTTTCCATCAGCACTTTAAATATTTCATGCCACTCTCTCCTGATCTATAAGGTTTCCACTGGAAAGTTTTCACCAGACATATTGGAGTTCCACTGTGTGTTATTTATGCTTTTTCTCTTGTTGCTTTTAAGATTCTTTCTGTATCATTGACCTTTCAGAGTTTAATTATTAAATGCCTTGAGGTTGACTTTTGTGGGTTAATCTGCTTCATGTTCTATAACCTTCTTATACTTGGATACTGATATCTTTCTCTAGGTTTGGGAAGTTCTCTGTAATTATCCCTTTGAAAACCTTTTACCCTTATCTCTTTCATTACCTCCTCTTTAAGGTCAATGACTCTTAGGTATACCCTTTTGGGGCTATTTTTTAGACCCCATAGGCATGCTTCATTGCTTTATATTCTTTTTTCTTTTGTGTCCTCTGACTGTGTACTCTCAGATAGTCTGTCTTCAACCTCACTGATTCATTTTTCTGATTGAACAATTCTGTTATGAAAAGACTAATGCATTCTTGATCATGTCAATTGCATGTTTTAACTCCAGAATTTCTGCCTGATTTTAAAAAAATATTTCAATCTCCCTGTTAAACTTATCTGATAAGATTCTTAATTTCTTCTCTGTATTATCATGAATTTCTTTGAGTTTCCTCAAAAAAGCTATGTGAATTCTCTGTTTGAAAGGTCACATATCTCTCTTTCTCCAGGATTGGTCCCTGTTTCCTTATTTAGTTCATTTAATGAGGGCATGTTTTCCTGGATGGTCTTCATGCTTGTACATATTTGTTTGTGTCTGTGCATTGAAGGGTTAGGTGTTTGTTGCAGTCTTCACAGTCTGAACTTGTTTGCACTTGTCTCTCTTGATAAGGTTTTCCAGGTATTTGAAAGGACCTGGGTGTTGCGATCTAAGCCATATCTGCATTAGAGGGCACCCCAAGCTCAGTAATGCTGCAGTTCTTGCAGACTCATAGATGTACGACCTCGTTGGTCTTGGGTAAGATCTGGAAGAATTCTCTGAATTACCAGGAAGAGACCCTTGTTTTTTTCTCTTACTTTCTCTCAAGCAAGTGGAGTTTCTCTCTCTCTCTCTCTCTCTCTCTCTCCCTGCCACCTGGAGTTGAGAGTAGGGTGACACAAGCACCCCTGTGGCCACCTCTGCTGGGATCGTGCTGGGTTAGACCTGAAGGAAGCACAGCACTGAGTCTTGCCTAAGGCCTGCTGTAACCAATACCTGGATACTACCTATATTTGTTCAATGCCCTGTGTTTCTACAATCATCAGGTGTTGAAGCCAGCATTCGTGTCCTCCCCTTCAGGGTTATAAGTTCCCCCAGATGCCAGGCAGGTCCAGATGTGACATCAGGGAGCCACGGACTGGAGCCAAAAATCTTACAAGTCTTCCTGGTGTTCTATTGTACTGTAGCCAAGCTGTCACTCAAAACATGAGATGCATTTTCATTCTTCTTTCCACTATTTACAGGCAGAGGAATTTCACCCCATGGCCACCACCATCACAGGCCCACAGGGAGCACTGCCAGGCTACTGCCAATGTTCCCTTAAGGCCCAAGAGCTCTTTAGTCAGCTTGTGGTGAATGCTGCCTGGCCTGGGACTCACCCTTCAGGTCAGTGAGCTATCCTGTGGCCCATGGCAGGTCCAGAAATATCTTCCAACAGAAAAGGCTTGGAACTGGGGACCCCAAGAGCCTGCTTCATGCTCTACTCCACTGTGGCTGACCTGGTACCTGAAGCCAGCTAGTCTCAAGAGTCTCACCCAAGGCCCACAGTGTACTACCTTTATCACTGCTGGTTATTCAGGCCCCAAAGCCTTTTTAGTCAGCAGGTGATGGATCCTGCCAGGACTGGGCTCTTCCCTATAAAGCAGTGGGTTCCTTTATGGCCCAGGGTGTGTCTAGAAATATCTAGGAGCTAGGGCCCAGATAGGGGACCTTGCAACTCTGACTGTTGCCCTATCCTGCTGTGGCTGAGCTGGTATCCACGATACAAGGTAAAGTAATAGTAGGTACATAGTAATTAGCCATTTGCATTTAATTTAATTTCATTTCTTGTTCAGTTAAAGTCAGATCACACAGCTAAATAAATATATGAATGTTTAAGTGATTGCTTAAACACTTGAGAATTAGAAAGTTTTCTAATATCAAATGAAATATTGTTATATATTGACTCCACTGTGTTAGAATTCAGAGCTAGTAGTAATTATGAATTTCCAAACTCCCATGTTTAACCCTTTTTTAATTGCTATTAGTGCATTTTTAAATGTTTTTTAAATATATAACAATATTTGAATTTTTATTCTTTCTAGTAAACTCTTAATTATTAAAGAGAAAGAGACTCATATAAATGTTCATTGGAAATAATGTGAACTCAGTAAATATCTGGGCAAAAGAATCCAAACAAATGCATTATAGTGGTAAAATCTGCTGTTCCTTGCAGACTGATGTGTGAACAGAATCATGAGACACACACACACACACACACACACACACACACAATCCTTCCTCAAAGGGACAGAGTTGACAAATGAAAGATTCTCCTTGCATGACCTTAAAATAATCTAATATTTCTCCATTATTACACAAAGGAGTTATTGCAGTTTTATTTTTGATCTCAACTGAATAAGGGCTCACCTTTTGATGGTTGCCATTTTATGCTTTTTGTGTGTAATAACTGCCTTGACATTTATGGTGCTCCAACGTGTCTTTCTTAATGTGAAGGAATCATCTGTGCATTAATGAACTGGCTTGATGTATCTGCCAAACCTTTCAAAGATGCAATTAAATCCCTGTAAGAACTTGTGTGAATGGCATGATTTATTGTAATCTAAGAAGAAGTATAAACAAAAAGTAATTAATTTTTAAGGTGGCAATCAAGTAGTACAACATAAGAACTACATCTATTGAACTCCATCTACATAGAGCATAATAACAACATGCTATTTTTTAAATGTCTCATCAAATTTCAAATAGTACTTTTGGGAAAATGTTCAACTTTATTACTGTTCCAAAAATTTTAAATTAAAACTATGGGGTATCATTCTCATCTATAAAACTAGAAAACTTAAATTAGACACAGCAGGAACATGAAAATTCAAGGTTAGGAAAGGAATGTTGAAATGAATACTACTTGACATCATTAATGGCAGGATGAGCAGCAATCTTGCTGTTTTTTTTTTAAATAATTTTTCAATATATATTAGAAGCCTAAAAATGTCATAATACTATAGTTCATAAACTACCCTTTTTAAATAGCCATAAATATAGGATTAATTCCTGAGGATCACTATGACATTCATTTTTTATATATCTACCATCAAAGTAAACACCCAAAATATCCAAGAATAAAGGAATAATACATTTAACTATGTTAATGCACCAGAGAAATTGTATTCGGCACTTTAGGTGATACTTAATTATACCAAATGCATTTTTTATGTAGCACATATTGAGTACATTTGTGAAGGGAACTATCCTAATCGATTTACATTTAGTTCTTATAAGGCTTATTTCTTGTGAGATCTAATATTTTTCTCAATTTACTGACGAAGATCATTTTGATTAAAGTAACTTGCTTAGGGTCACACTGCTCATGTGTAATGAAGCAAAGAGTAGAAATATGTCCAATTAGAAAAATCCATGCTCTTAACCCTTGAAGCATACTGACTATTTAGTGATGTTGTAATTTTATTGAGCCAAAAAATACTCAAATACATTCTCTGTGTATACATTAAATGTTTAAACTGGATTGTTACAAATAATCTCTCTCTCTCTCTCTCTCTCTCTCTCTCTCCACCCTCCCCCCATCTTTCTCTTTCTCCCTCTTTTGCTTTTGTCCCTTATCATTCTTGGTATATTAGGCATACATTCCTAATATATAGGTATAGTTGACTAGGTTGAGTTGTTATTTGCACACATTATTTTCCTTCAAGGGTCACAAAAGACTTTTGTTTTTCTCAGTCGACCTGCTTGACTTAGTCTTCAATAATCTATATTATACTGAGTTCAAAATTACGGAGGTTTCTTAATCAAAAATTTGCATCTTTGTGTGGTTGTCTCCATGCATTGCAGACCTGTTTGACATACCCCTTTTTGGGGTGAGTCTGGAACATAAAGAATATCTTTGAATGGGACTTGTGAGAAGCAATCATGCAAGTCTGTAATGACATATGATCAAATTAAAAAATAAGAAGAGAAATGCTATTATCCAGAATATATTGTTTTTAATATTATAAACACAGGATATGTTTTTATATGAATTCAGAGGATTTTTTTTCTTTAAGGTCCATTCTCTTCTCTTTTCCTTATGGCACCTTTTATTTGACCTCTGTAGGTCACTCTAAGTGTCAGCCTACTAGGAATGCCTTGCTTGATTCCTTAGACATGGCATTTTATTGATCATCTTGTACTCTCCTTTGTGACAGTTAATATAGTTGGAATTGGTGTTTTTTAGTAAGTGTTTGTTTAGTGTTTCTTTTCCCAATTAGATTGCGAGAGCCATGAGGGCAGAACAGAAAAGATGTTTGTCATCATCTGTTCTGTATCATAAGGACATTATTAAATGAATTAGTGAGTATCTCTCATATATATATATATATATATATATTTTCTTTTCTTTTTTTTTTTTTTCAGACAGAGCCTCACTCTGTCACCCAGGCTGGAGTGCAGTGGCACAATCTCAGCTCACTGCAACCTCCACCGCCCGGGTTCAAGCAATTCTCCTGCCTCAGCCTCTCAAGTAGCTGGGACTACAGGCATGCACCATGATGCCTGGCTAATTTTTGTGTGTTTAGTAGAGTTAGGGTTTTGCCATGTTGGTCTGGCTGGTCTCAAACTCCTGACCTCAAGTGATCCACCCACCTCATCTTCCCAAAGTTCTGGGATTACAGGTGTGAGCCACGGTGCCCAGCCCTCATACATGTTAATAAAAATTGAGAAATTATTTTTTTCTGATTAAGAAATCATATATATATATATGATATACCTGTATATCATACACAATACATATATATCATAGAAATCTGTGGAGATTATATAATGTGCTCATGGAATTGCACTGATCTTATGAATTCTATCTAAAAGGATGTCTAGAAGTGAGGTGTATGGGGTTTTTGAGCTGGTCCTGTAAGAGGTAGAAGAGGATATGTTTTCAGGATAATTTGTCTATGGCACACTATTCTCCATAAAGCATACGACTTTGACTTTATTATGTACTCTTGAATTTTATTGCATCTTTTTAACCATTCATGGTGAACATAATGTGGACTAAAGGTATGAATATTTAACTCTAAATATATATAATGTGGGAAAGTAGCTTCAAGATTGTTGACTAGATACATCTGGTATTTGCTCTTCCACAAAGAGAACCAAAATAGTGAGTAGATAACTACACACTTAAAATAGATCACCTAAGAGAGGACACTGGAATTCAACAAAGAAGTGACAGGGAACATCTAAAGCAAGGAAACATAGGAAAGCAAAGCAGTTGCTTGGCTGGGATTGGTTGGGAACTTGGAGAGACTCCAAATAGGGGGAAAGGGAGATTCTCAGTGTTCTATATTTTCACCATGCTATCCTATTGATGGGAGAGCCCCTTGACCCAGTTGGATGCTGAAATCAACATGGGGAGCTGCCTGGAGAAAATGCAATAGGATCGCTCTGGAGAGGGGGCCCACAGGGTATCCCCCAAACCCTCAAGTCCTAAGCAGCTGCCACTTTAAGGGTCAAAGCTCAAGTGAAGTGTACCCCCCAAATGGCTGCCTACAGTTGTTTCCACTGAAAGCAACTCCACCTTCCCCAATAGAAGGGCTACAGGCACAGCAGCTGCCTCCACCAAGCATTCTGCTGGTGGCCTCAAGATTGCCCTGCACCTGCCTAACACAGAAAGTGCCTGTATGTGCTATCAGGGGACCTGAGGGCAGGTCTTCTTGGCCCAATTTCACTCCCCCCAGTACCTGGGCACACTGTCCAGAGCCTGGAGATTGCCCAGCCCAGTCCACCACATTGGCACCTGAGAACATCTCTCAGTTGCCTGAGCTTGGACCCACTCAGCAGGCCTCTGCCAACATATCTGATACCCATCTACACATGCCACACTTGAACCTGGAAACTGGCCCACCCCACCCATTACAACCAACACCAACACCATTGTGAACCACTTGGGGCCTTTAAAGTTGTCCCAACTTTGCTACTGTCATCACACCTGCCACACCTGTTACCCAGGGGCATGAGAACCTTCCCACCTTTCCAGCCCACTGCTACCATTTCTTGCATCTGACAAAGCTGCTGCAAGGTTCAAGAACTGGCCTGCCTGCACCTGCTAACATTGACACCACCCTTGGACCAAAGAACAGTTATACTTGATCCGTCACTGCCACCAAAGGGGCCCAACTGGTATCCCAGTCACTACAGGCTCCGGTAGCAACTGCATCCTAAGCCACTGAGGAAATCAGTCACCACTGATCCTGTTACTGCCAAAAAAAATCAAATGGAAGACATGCTATTGTATGCAAGCACAATCAAAGCCAACATGCACTACATCCAGATACAGGAAGCCCAGAAATTCTGAAGTAGATACAAATCAAAAAGGTCTTTTCTACAGCACATTATAATCAAAATGACAAAATCAAAGACAAAGAGAGAAGTCTAAACAAAGTATGAGAAAAGCACATAGTCATTTGTAAACAAACTCCTATCAGACTAGTGCAGTTTTCTCAGCAGAAACCTCACTGATCAGGAGAGAATGAGATGATATATTCAAAGTGCTGAAAGAAAAATAAAAACTTCCAGCCAAGGATACAATACTCATAAAGTTATCATTCATAGATGAAGGATGATGTTCTACTCATTCTTTCTCAGATAAACAAAAGTTGAGGGAATTTATCACCACCAGATCAGCCCTCTGATAAATGCTTAAGGGAGTCCCACATCCAAAAGTGAAAGAATGATGTTTACCATCATGAAAAACATTAAAATATAAAACCCAACTTGCTGGTAAAGCAAACAAGGAGTGAAAAATATTTAAATTATACTGTTACAGAAAACTAACAAACCACAATGGTAAGAAAAGGGAAAGGAACAAATGATATACAAAACAAACAAATCAATTAATGACATAAAAGGAATAAGCTCACTTATATCAATAATAACCTTGAATGTAAACAAATAAAGCTTTCCACTTAAAAGATACAGACTTGTTAAATGGACTTAAAAAATAATTCCACTAGGTACTCCCTAAAAGAAAGTCAGATATGACATGTAAACACACATATAGGCGAGAAGTTTAAATAGATTAATTTACCACTGATACCACAGAAATCCAAAAAATTCATCAGAGAATACTATGAAAACTGGATACTAAGAAAGAAACTGGAAGACCAAGAGGAAATGAATAAATTTCTAGATACATATGACCTATCCATATTGAATTAAGAAGAAATAGAAAACTTGAACAGTCCAATAACAAGGAATGAGATTGGATCAGTAATAAAAAGGCTCAGGATAAGATAGCATTAGTGCTGAATTTTATTGAACTTTCAAAGAAGAACTAACACCAATTCTTATCCAGCTATTTCACAGAAATGAAGAGTATTCCATGGTGTATATGTGTCACATTTTCTTTATCCATTCTATCATTGATGGGCATTTGGGTTGGTTCCAAGTCTTTGTTATTGTAAATAGTGCTGCAGTAAACATACATGTGCATGTGTCTTTATAGTAGAATGATTTATAATTTTTTGGATATATACCAGTAACGGCTTTGCTGGGTCAAATTGTACCATGTCCTTTGCAGGAACATGGATGAAGCTAGAAGCCATCATTCTCAGCAAACTAACATAGGAACAGAAAGCCAAACACAGTATGTTCTACTCATAAGTGGGAGTTGAACAATGAGAACACATGGACACAGGGAAGGGAACAACACACGCTGGAGCCTGTTGAGCGATGAGGGACAAGGGGAGGGAGATCATTAGGACAACTATCTAACACATGCAGGGCTTAAAACCTAGATGATGGGTTGATAGGTTCAGCAAACCACCATGGCACATGTATACCTATCTAACAAACCTGAAAATTCTGCAGATATATCCTGGAACTTAAAAAAAAATGGAAGAGGAGAGAATTCTACTCAACTAATTCTATGAGGCCAGCATTATCCTAATACCAAAACCAGACAAGGATGCAACACAAAAAGAAAACTACAAACACATATTCCTGATGAACATAGACACAAAAATTCTCAGTAAAATACTAGCAAACCAAATCCAACAGCACATTAAAAAGATAATACACCATTATCAAGTGGGATTTATCTCAGGGATTCAAGAATGGTTCAACATATGCAAATCAATAAGCATGACATCAATAGAAGACAAAAACCATATGATCATCTCAAAATACCCAGCAAAAGCATTAAAGTTAACATCAATTTATGATAAAAACTCTCAAAAACTGCGCATAGAAGGAACAAATCTCAAAATAATAAAGGTAATACATGAGAAACCCATTGCCAGCATCATGCTGAATGGAGAAATGCTGAAAGCCTCTAATAGCTGGAACAAGACCAATTATGCCCACTTTCACCACTCCTAATCAAAATAGGACTGGAAGTTTTAGCCAGAGGAATCAGGCAAGAGAAAGGTATAAAAGGAATCAAAGTGGAAAAGAAAAAGTAAAATCGTCCCTCATTACAGATGATATAATCTTATATTTTGAAAAACCTAAAGAATCCACCAAAAAATCCTCTTAGATCTGGTAAATAAATTGCATAATTTTGGGACACAAATCAGCATACAAAAATCAAGAGCATTTCTATACACCAAAAACTAGATAGCTGAGAAAGAAATCAAGAAATCAATTCAATTTATAATAGCTACAAAAATACTGAGAAATAAATTTAACCAAGAAGGTAGAAGACCTCTGGTATGGATATGGTTTGGCTCTGTGGCCCTACCCAAATCTCATCTCAAATTGTAATTCCCAGGGGAGGGAGCTGATGGGAGGTGATTCGATCATGTAGGCAGTTTCCCTCATGCTGTTCTCCTGATACAGTTCTCACAAGATCTGGTTGTTTCATAAGTGTATGAGTCTTCCCACTTCTCTCTCGGGCCACCATGTAAGACATGCCTACCTGTCTGCCTTCTGCCATGACTGTAAGTTTCCTGGGGCCTCCCTAGCTACGTGGAACTGTGAGTTAATTAAACCTCTTGTCTTTATAAGTTACCCAGTCTCTTTATAACAGTGTGAAAACAGGCTAATATAACCCGAATAAGGACAACTACAAAACAGTGATAAAAGAAATTGAAGATGACACAAAAAAATTGGAAAACATTCCATTGTCATTGGTTGAAAAAATTAATATTGTTAAAATGACCATACAGCCCAAAGCAATCTGCATATTCAATGCAATCCCTATCCAAATACCAACATCATTTTTTCACAGAAATAGAAGAAAACCCTAAAATTAGTATTGAACAAAACCAAGGCTGAATAGCCAAAGCAAAAGCAATCTTAAGCATAAAAAAATGAAATATAACAAAGCTGGAGGCATCGCACTAACTGACTTTGAAATATATTACAAGGCAATAGTAACCAAATTGTCATGGTCTTCATATAAGAAACACATACATAGACCAATGCAACAGAAAAGAGAACTAAGAAATATATTCACATACTTAAAGCCAATTGATTTCAACAAAGGTGCCAAGAACACATACTGAGAAAATGACACCCTGTTAAATAAATGTTGCCAGGGAAATAGGAGATCATATGTAGAAGAATGGCACTGGACTCCTATCTCTCATCATATACAAAAATCAACTGAAGATGGATTAAATACTGAAGCATAAGACTAGAAACTACAAAACTATCAAAACAAAATATAAGAAAAATACTCCAGGACATTGGTCTAAATAGAGGTTTTATGGCTAACACCTCAAAAGCACAGGCAACAAAAACAATAACAGTCAAAAAGGACTGACTATATCAAACTAAAAAGCTTCTGCACAGTAGAGGAAACAACAGAATAAAGAGACAACTGATTGAATGGAAGAAAATATTTGAAAACTATTCATCCAACAAGGGGATAATATCCAGAATATACAAGAAACTCAGACAACTCAACAGTAACAAAAGCAAATAATCCCATTAAAAAGTGGGCAAAGCACCTGAATAGACATTTCTCAAAAGAAGATATACAAGTGGCCAAACATATGTGAAAAAATGTTCAACATCACTAATCAGGGAAATGAAAATCAAAACCCAAATGAGACATCATCTTACACTAGTTAGAATAGTTATTATCACAAAGATGAAAAATTACAGATGCTGCAAGGGTGCAGACAAGAGGACATTCTTATGGACTGTTGTTGGGGATGTAAATTAGTACAGTCACTGTGGAAAACAGTATGCAGATTTCCCAAAAAACTGAAGGTAGAACTACAATACAATCTATCAATTGTGCTGCTGGGTATTTATCCATAGGAAACTAAATCAGTGTATCAAGGGGATACTTGCACTAGCATGTTTATTACAGCACTATTCACAACAGCAAAAATATGAAATCAACCTAAGTGCCCATCAACAGATAAACACATAGAGAAAACGTGGTGTATTTGCAAAACGGAATACCACTTGGCCATATAAAGAGTGAAATCATGCCATTTGCAGCAAAGAAGATGGAACTAGATGTCATTATGTTAAGTAAAATAAACCAGACACAGAAAGACAAATTTTGCAGATTCTCACTTGTCTGTGGGAACTAAAAACGTTGTTTTCCTTCCTGGAGGTAGGGAGTAGAATGACAGATACCAGAGGCTGGAACTGGTGTGAGTGTGGAAGAAGGGGGATAAAGAGAGATTTGTTAATGTGTACAAAGCTACATTCAGAAAGTATAAATGCTAATGTTTGACAGCAGAATAAGGTGGCTATGGTTTACAACAAGGTGTTATATATTTCAAAGTAGCTAGAAGAGAGGACTTGATTGTTCCCTTCTCATTGAAATGATAAATAATGAAGGTGCTGGATACCTCAAATAACCTGAGTTGATCATTTCACACTCTATGCATGTAATAAAATACCACTTGTACCCCAGAAGTATGTAAAATATGTATCAACAAAAATAAATAAATAAATATACAAAATGTATATGTTAATCAATGGTAGCTCCTGATAACATTCAGAAATTGAAACAGGTCAAAATTGACTTTTCTGTAGTGTCTGATAATATAATTTGTATTACAAAGGCTATGACCACCATTCCTTAGTCTCTCTAGAATGTTAGGAGTTGAGCTATGGTCAGAAGTAATTACTCAAACTTATTAAAGCTAAATGCAAATCTGTTTGCTTCATTTCCTTTCACTTTTTACACTATTCTATTTTAAAATAATCTTGGCGAAAGTTAGGAAGCACGTTATATTTCTATTATTTTTTCACTAGGTAACGATGGATGTGAAGAAAGTGACTTGATGCAATGATCTAACACATAAATCATAAATTTTTTGATCACAAACCTAATGCTCAATTTAAGAACAAAATTTAGCTTAGCAAAGCAAAATACTTCCAATGAATATTTTCTGCATTACTTAGGTTTCTGAAAATATGGGGTAAGCGTGTGACAGTGGGAGAGAAGTATAGAAGTTTGATGGTTTTTTATTTAAGAAATGAAGAAACAACAAAAAAAAACTGATGTGAAAGTAATCGAACGCTATGGTTGAGGGTAGACATTTTCTTTTGGTGTCTGCATTTAGCACACTGAAATAAATAGCATAATAACCCAGGTGATTTACACTTATAGTACTATTATCTTCCTTTAGGATGGGTAAATAACATATTTTATGTTCTAATTATTTATAGAACCAACATGTTTTGAGAATGTATGATGATGAAAAATCTACCCAAAAATAACGTGATAAAGCGTGTTTATATATAAACACATTAATATCCATTACTTTGAGGAATGTAAAAATTATTTTAATCATTTCAGAAATCAAATATGCTTTGAGATCATTTGTACTTTTACGAAGCATGGCTACATAACTTACTTTGCCTATTCGTATCTATGGCAAAATTGTGCTCCTTAATAAAATCTCATTAGAAAACACATTATGTGTAAATAAAATACTTCCTTTATTTTCAACATTACTTCACCATAATTATATGTTTTGCTGATTGATTGCCCTAAACATGGTCTGATTTACTGCATAGAAATTATATTTACAGATGTGAATGTTATTTCCAGAGAACCTGTTGATTTTTTTCTTCTCATACTCACAAAAAGAATAGAAGTTACAACAAACAACAGAATTACTTTAAGCAAAAATAAATTTCTAAAACTTCAAGTCCTTCTAATTGGTTAGTGTGAAATTGTTGTAACTTCTATTCTTTTTGTGAGTATGAGAAGAAAAAAATCAACAGGTTTTCTTGAAATAACATTCGCATCTGTAAATTTAATTTCTATGCAATAAATCAGAAAGTCATTTATGAAGGAAAAAAATATTGTTAATTTATAGTATAGGCATTCATGACTACAAACAATAAATGAACCAAAGCAGCATGGAAATATATTGACAGAAAAGACACAACTATATATTATATTTTAATAAAAAGAAAAATCCAGAAAAATGTATGTGCTTTAAAAGATGATATATTTTGGACATTTAAAAAACATCAACTAGCCAGGTGCAGTGGCTCACACCTGTAATCCCATCACTTTGGGAATGCGAGGTGGGTGGACCACCTGAGGTCAGGAGTTCGCGACCAGCCTAGCCAACATGATGAAACCCTGTCTCTACTAAAAATACAAAAATTAGCCAGGCGTGGTGGCGCATGCCTATAGTCCCAGCTACTCAGGTGGCTGAGGCAGGAGAATCTCTCAAACCCAAAAGGTGGAGGTTACAGTGAGCCAAGATCACGCCACTGCGTGATATATTTAGTAACATATTTAGTATATTTAGTAACATAGTTTGGAGGAAAAATAGTGTTAAGCTATGACAAAATTATCATATTTTATTGTAGAAAAGTCAGTATTATATTTATTTTTGTTATTTTTGTTTGTATTTATATTTATAAAGAAGAAGTCTTAGCAAATCCACTTAAAATTGTAGGTGTGGTTTATTTGCAATGACATATTAATTGAGCTTGTTTGGTTAAGCTAAATTGCTTAAATAATTGTTTTCAGAAAGTGCAAAAGTTTATTATGCTATTAATTTCAGTTCTAATTCTGTGTGAGTAACATATGTTTATACTGGTTAAAATTCTGCAAAGATTTTGTCTGACTTAATACCCGAAGTAGTGGAAATGTCTAATTACAATATATTATTAATTTGGAGTATAGGGTTATTTCATGAGGATGTTAACATAAGTTCTTGACTTTTAGTTGGGGTACACACACATTAGATCTCTTTTCCAATGTATAGTCCAAGAATTATGCATACCAAAATTACAGAAGATGTTTGTTAAAAAGTCAGATTCCAACCATACTACCTTTAAATATATAGTAATTTTTTATTGTAATTTGACATATAAATAATTTTAGGACTGTGTTATATATATATATATATGTCTGAAATTCAGAATTACTCTTGACTTTGTCTAATTTTAAATTTAATATTTAAATACATGGGTATTGATGGAATTGTTGCACCCTGTATTCTTTACAAATGTATTAATCTTTATATCTATACATCCATTTATAGAAATTCAGACATGTTATACATGTATGCATGGGAAGATTTTTAGAGGGTTTTTGATATTTTGGTAGCTTCTTGTGTTTTAACATTATATTTGCTTTACTTTTTTACCTTGCTAGGTATGTTTTTATATATCAAACATCCTTATTCATTACTCATTCTAAATGATAGAGATTCCTTGGCTTACTACATTAGCACATCTGGATTTGAGGCATGAAAATCTGTCTCTACAAAATATAACGAGAGATTTTGGTGCACAGTACCATTTAAAACCGTTGGAACAGACCACAGAATGACACCAGAATGATTGTGGTAAGCTTGGTAACTGAGTTTGAAATAGTTGTGCAGGTGGTTCCTTCCAATTTCCCCACTCCTTGAGTTAATCTTATTTACAGAATCTGACGAGACAAATTTTACCCTAAATCTAATAGACTTGGCTTTCTAGATTCATGTTGTACAACACATTTAGGATGAAATAGACCTTATTCTGTTCATCTTAGTAATAGTTCTCTTCTCCTTGAATGTAAATATTATATTTTAAAATATTTATTATTTTCTGTAGCATATATACTGTTATTTATAATGTTCAGTTATTAAATGTTTTGATTATGTATCTTTTATATTCATGATTGTATATCATTTATTTTTCTAGCTGTAAGAGATCAAACTATAGAACTAAGCATCTGCTGACCATGCTTCTTTCAGTCTATCTTATTTAAAATGTAGTGAAATGTCCTAATTCTTGAGAGAGGAATTTCTTTCTACTAGCTGACACGGCCCCTTGAAAATCTAGGTGCAATTTAATAATTTAGAAATCCTTTGGGCATGGTTTGACATGGACTACATAAAAGCATTAAATGAATAAATAAGTAGGTAACATATGAGCTTATAATAAGATTACCACGACATATAAAACTAATATTTAAATATTGAAAGTGGATATCTAGGAGTTCATAAATTTAATACTGACATAATTACACCTTCCCATTTGCCTTTCATTCTTGTAATCACTTATAACCACCGCCCCCCCACCCCAGATAGCACAAATCTGTGAATCTACATAGGATAGATGTAATTTAGATAGATCTAGTAATAAAGGCAGATTCTAGAGGATGATTACCTTAGTAAATTTGTGGAATGGTAGTTCTGTATGGCACTGGAGAACACAATTTTCCCAGCTTTCCAACAAGTGCCCAACAGGTACAAACTTTCAATAGTACAGATTACTTTCTGTCTGGGCCTTGGAATTTTTACCACACAGTAACAGGATGATTTATTGCTGGACTAATCTTAAGGGCATTCTGTGATCCCTAGCAATTTGTTTGCCTACAGTCATGGTCCCTTCTGCATACATTAGCCTAACACACTGTATAAAGCAATGCTTCTCACCTCTACATTATCTTCTCTTTCATAAGGAATATTTCTAAATAATTTTTAAATGTATACAGTTACCTCTTTATATATTACAATGTAAAATTTCCTATTTAAAGACCCATATGGGTCACAGGATTTAGGCAACACAATCTGATATTGAACATGTTTTAACATTCTGTATCAATGAATGAATCAATCTGTTTATATTCAGTATTACACATATATGTGGATGAATAATATTTTGAAATAGTATGGGTATGTGTTTATCAGTGTGTCTCTGACTTTTTCTTCCATTGAAAAAGATAGCTTTGTATTTAATTTCTCATTGTCGGTACATAGAGCATCAAAAAAAGAGACATGGTCAATAACACCTTCAGGCTATCAATTCTCAAATAGTCAAGCCTTAAGAAAACTTATGGGAAAGAACACTATTGGGTAAAGGTGGTGGTAGTTTTAAAAAGATGAAGAGAAAAGTCCCCCTTAAGACTAACAAAATAATCCTTAAGCTGGATAATGAGACAGAAATTACAGGTACTCAGTGCCCTGAGTCTATCCAGTGTCAAGCATCCTTGTAGTCCCAATGAGGCCCAGCAGAGTCCTAGAAATACTGGCTGTGTGATGCACTGAGGCAGATACATGACTGTTCAGAGAGAGGATAGAGAGGGTACCAGGAAGGTGCTAAGGATGACAATTTTTTTGCATGGTGATATGGATAGGATTCAATCAGAAGATGATTTTTGAGCAAATTTTAGAAGGAATAGAAAAGGCAAGTATATTTCTGAGAGCAGCTGTCCAAGTAAAAGTACACAGTCTAGATCAGCTAATCTCACCTCTGCATATTAGTAACAAAAACTCACCAGACAATTCAATAGTGTGTTTAGGGTTGTGAAAAATTGGCGTAGATTATAGAGATAAGGAGAAAGGACACAGACACATTCACCTGGTTATTGACATTGAAGGAAGGAATACTCACCTTTCTAGTCTTCCCCAAACAAACTGATGTGCTTAGTCTATCCATTCCAAAGTTTAGGCCTCTGAAACGAGGTGGGAGGTGGATAGGCCAGTGGAACCACTTCTCAGTACTTGGCAAAAGTAGACTCTCATGAGGCAGCTTTAAGTCAAGACCGTTGCCTTCAGTGATATAGAAACATTTCTTTTTGGCTAGAGGTTAGAAGAAAACTATAGAAAGATCATATTTCAAAAAGATACAAAGAAAGCTGCACGAGGTTATTTGTAACAGGATCCTCAGAACTTCGACAAATGCCCAGACCAAAAACAAAGCAAAACAAAACAACACAGAAACAAAACCTATTTAGACTGGTAGCCAATGTGTCTCTGTTTAGACTGGTGGCCAACGTGTCTCTGAGAAACTGAAGAAGACTTTTTTTTCCATGTTGTCTCACAGTCAACAATAATGATCTTAATTGTGCTTACAGAAAAGCAGAGGAAGTATATTAAGAGAATTCTGGTAAGTATGAAACTATGATCTTAGTGACTGTAAAATAATAAAAGAACAATACAGTTGTAGAGTTGATCATTTGTGGGCAATCCAAAAAAAAAAAAAAAAGAGACTTATCCACAATGGTAGAACCACATCAAAGATAAAACACCCAAATGCAGGTGTCCAGCACATAAATGGAATTTTGAGGTCTGGAGCACAAGAAGAAAATCAGGATAGGTTGCAAGCATTTGGGAGTCATCATTACATAAAAAATTGAAAATATAAAAATTGATTACATTGTTCATGTATGGCATGCATGCATTGTAAAGGTAAATGGGGCAGAAAGAAATCCCAGGAAAACACTAATTTTAAGAGCCAGAAAGAAAGAGAGTTCATGAAGAAGAATGGAAGGGAACATAGGTGGCTGGAGAGTTGCAAGAAATATCACCTGGCCCTTAATGTGACCTGCAATGTAGTTTATCTGCACCCCAAGTACCTATCAGGAAGTATAAGTGCCAATTCCTTGGTGCTTTGCAGAAAATACAACCTTTTTGATGTAACCTTTGGGGCATGCAGTTTATCCATTCTACGTAATCTATCCCTAGATCACATCAGAACAGCTGAGGCTGCAAATATAAAGTACTTTATTTCAGCCTCCTTAGAATGGTTTTATTGAAATACGTTTGGCAACAGCCATTATGGGATGCTATAAGATGTAGTTTTATTAAACTTGTCCTCTATTTTTTGTAAAATTGAAGTGTTCGATAAATTTCAGTTTTCTATATGAGGACTGACACTAGGAATGTCTTCTTGGCCACTGAACTGGGAATAGTAACGCTGTACCTCAGTAAATTTTCTGTTCCTTTATAACATTACCATATATTTAGCTGATCAAAATTTGATCTTTGCATTGCCTGGAAGAGGCAAGTAAATGGTCCAACTTTATCATAGAGGAATTTAAGTCATATATTTCATATTTAACCTCACCTGGCTTTTTTTTTTTACCTATGCTACTCTATTTTTATTTGTTTTTTATTGTTTCATTACATTTTCTTCTATTGAATATATGAAAGTCAACTTAAACTATGCTGACTATTTTCCATTTACCCATTCTGATGCAGCATCCATCCTCCTCCACTTTGAACTGTGTCTTTGGAAGCTGAACTTTGTGAATGACAGCAACCCAGCTCATTTTTCCTCAGGCTTCAGCATATCTTTGGCTAATGGGAGGTGTAGCCTAGAGATCAGGGGGACTGGAAGATGGTGAATGAGTTTGAGCTATCAATGTCTCCAGGGTTTTTTGTTTGTTTGTTTTACTTTTTGTGCTGTGATTTGACAGCAGCCATAACTCTTATCATGTTATTCCCACCGGTGACCATAGAAGTCTTCAGTTTTTGGTTACAAAATTTCTTCCTTTTTCATCTCAAGCCTGGATATGACATTGGCTTCCTACTATTGCTCTCAGCCTGGTGTTTAGCCATTTTTGTTTGCTTAAACCTATTCAAAATTTTATAAAAGTCACTCTTCTATCTGTCTTCTGTTAACTCTTGCCATGTATCTTGTTTCCTGTTGAGATATTTTCTGATCAAGGCATCTTAATAATTGTTTGATTAAAGACACTTCCTATTTTATTGTGTGCATCCACACATGAGTGTACACGTACAGAGTCACAAATGTGAACTAAGTGAATTATTTTTATTTTTATGAGCCAAGATTCTGAAGCACAGAATGGAAAAAAAAATTAACAAATTTTTCTCCTAATAGCTTTGTTTATCTAGTCTTATTTCTCTCAATGTCACTTAAACAAATTAAAATTAACTTGTGATGGTGCTATAGAACTGAACTGGGGTCCACTTGCCCAGTGCAGTAAGACCAGATATCTACACCAACGTTTGCAGCCATAGAAAGAAAGGTGATTATTTGCAGGGCATCAAGCAAGGAGGACCAGGCAGCTAACACCTAACTCCTGACCTCTCCAATGGTGGGTATGCAAGAGTTTATAAAGAAAGGGGTAAATTTCAGGAAAACAGAAGTTACAGGCAAAATTGTAAATCAACACATAGAGGTTACACCCTGGTTTGGGCCTAAAACGGAGAGAGGTTTTGAAGCGGGATCCCACAATTCCTAGGTCAATTCAAATATTTTATGATTTGAATTCGGTTCAGGAGGCAAAGCTTTGCCTAAAAATTTGGGATTAACAGAATGTTAGTTCTGGCCTGGGGATGTGACCTCCTCCAGGTCCCTCAGGAAGACATTTTAAAAAAAGAATGGTGATCAGAGTTCAGTCCTCAGTTCCCCTTTGAGGTTTACATGCCAGTAGACTTATTTGGTGGAAGTCTGCATTTCTGAATAACAACCCAGAGACATATGTTAGTAAGTTACCTTTAGTTTCTATAGGGAACCATATAGTCATATGACTCTAAGTCTTTTCACTATTGTTTTAAGTTACTATTATCTTCTTATTTATCAAGTTGCTTCTTTACTTTTCAAGGCTAGTCAGCTTCCTGGAATTTCCCTTGAAGGAACTCAATATTTTCTTTTATGTCCATGCTTGGTGGAGCCTGCAGGCCACTAAGAGGGGGTGACTGCTCTTGTCCCTGACTCCTGATGTTAACATTCTTACATAGTCCCTTTTAATCATGTCCTAGGGTTGGTATGTGTGACCAGAAGCATGTGGAAAAAGTAATGGTGTGAGTGATTCAAGCGTAACATTGCAGTAGACAGCTCCAAGCTCATATCCCTCCTAAAGAAATACTGAAAAACATGCAGAAACAGTTAGAACCAATTCTGGCAGAACTCTAGGAAGGTTTATGGTAACCAAGTAAATATTGAGTTGAGAAAAAGGCAACTTCAAAACTGTTGAAAATGTCTTTTTCCAAGATGGTCAACTAGATGCAGCCAGAAAATGCTGCTCCCACAGAGAGACAATTTCAACTACACCAACATAATTTGAACAGATCTTTAGGGAGAAAATGCTGAATGTGGATGGAGAAAAGATGCAGTCACTGAGGCTGAAGAGGGAGGCAGATAAGAACTCTTTGTGGGGTGCCTGCATGTTACCACTGGTTTCTGCCCCTGAATGGCTCCTGGGAAAGAGGTGACTGACAGGGCTGGGAAACTGCTCACACTTGCCACATATCTCTGGGATCCTAGCTGCAGAGGACCCCATACCCCCACAAATGTGGGAGCTGGTAGAGAGAACTCTCTGGATATTAGACAGAAACAGAGCCGAGCAGGCACAGAGCTGGGAACTGAGCATGGGGAAGCTCCGGTGGAGCCGGCTATAAGCACGCACTTCCCAGGGCTACCTGGCTCTCCCTGAGAGGAGCTAGGTAACTGCTAGGGAGAAGGCAGGGTCTGCTTCCATGTGGGACTGGGGCATATCTGTCCTGCAGGACGGCTTGCCCACCAGCCCCTCCCGGGACCCCTGCCTGGCCACTCTATAGAAGTGTGTACACAATGCAGCCTCTGCTGCCCAGGCTGGGTGTTTTGCTCCACTCGCCTGTGTTCTGGCAGCCTGGGAACACCTTGGACCCCATATCACACCCAGAACCCAACCCCAGGCATCCATAGGAGGGAGCTACAAGCAGATCCTGTGTCCCAGGGCAGTGGCCTGTGGCTCAGGAGTGTCAAGCTATAATCTGTGATTGGCACTTGAGTAGAGCAGGAGCCCACACGCTCAGAAAACTGAGAGTGCTGAGTTGCACAGGTTTGTGGGCTGGCATGGGACCTAGCCCTCCCTTTCTCCACAGGGTAGGTCTGGTAAGGGTATTTCTCTACCAGATATCTCCCCCAAGGGAGCCCTGTGGCCCAAAAGACCTAACAACAACAACAACAACAACAACAACAAAATAGTGGACACAGTGACAGTGATGAGAGATGGCTCCCCCAAAGCCCACAAGCAGACCAGGTAATGGAATCACCTCTCTTGCCCTCACACCATAGAACACAGCTGTAAACTCAAAGATACATGAAGGAACCACATGGCTGAGTAAAAGCCTATCTACTGCCCATTACTCTCAAGAGCCATCTACTGGATCGCAGCTGAAGCTACACCAGAGATCACTTTAGAATTTCCCCCCTGCAAAACCAATAGCAAGAATTCTACAACAAAGTCCTATATAGTGCCTTGGTCCTCTGAAAACTTCCAGAAATGATGCCAGCAGACTATAATCAATTTACACCACGATTAAAAGCATATCAGTCTTCTCAGATGAGAAAGAATCAGCACAAGAACTCTGGCAATTCAAAAAGCCAGAGTGTCACCTTAAATCCAAACAAGCCCACTAGCTCCCCAACAATGGTTCTTAACCAGTCTGAATTATCTGAAAGGACAGACAGAATTCGGAACTGGATGGCAAGGAAGCTCATTGAGATTGAAGAGAAAGCTAAAATTTAATCCAAGGAAACCAAGCAATCCAGTAAAATGATTCAAAGCTGAAAGATGAAATTCCCATTTTACGAAAGAGCCAAACTGAAATTCTTGAGCTGAAAAATACATTATAAGAATTTTGTAATACAACTGGAAGTAATAACAGCAGAATAGACGAAGCTAAGGAAAAAATCCCAGAGCTTGAATACCAGTTCTTCAAGTCAACTCAGTCATACAAAAATAAAGAAAAAAGAATGAAGAAACATGAACAAAACCTCCGAGAAATGTGGGATTATATAAAGAGACAAAATCTGTGACTCATTGGCATTCCTGAGAGAGAAGGAGAGAAAAAAACAACTTGGAAGACATAACACATCTGACACTATAGTCCATGAAAACTTCTCTAATTAAACTTGAGATGTTCATACACAAATCCAAGAAATACAGACAGTCTTGACCAGATAATATACAACACGGTCATCCCCAAGGCACATAGTCATCATAGTCACCAAGGTCAATCAAAAAATCTTAAAAGTAGCTAGAGAGAACAGGCACATCACCTACAGAGGGAACCTCATCAGGCTAGCAGTGTACTTCTCAGCAAGAACCTTACAAGCCGGAAGAGATTGGGGGCCTGTTTTCAGTGTTCTTAAGGAAAGAAAATTCCAGTCAATAATTTCATATCCTGCCAAATTTATCTTCATAAGTGAAGAAGAAATAAAATCCTTCTCTGGCAAGCAAATGTTGAAGAAATACATTTCAATTAGACCAGCCATACAGAAGGACTTTAAGAGATTGATAAGAATGAAGCCAAAAGAACCACACCTGCTACCACAAGAGCACACTTAAGCACATAGCTCACAGGCACTATAGAAGAACTACACAATCAAGCCTACATAAATACCAGCTAACAACACTACAGGATTAATATCACACATATCAACACTAAACTTGAATAGAAATGTGCTAAATCCCCCATTTAAAAGGCACAGAGTGGCAGGCTGGATAAAAAGACAAGACCCAACCATCTTTTGTCTTGCAGAGACCCATCTCACATGTAACAACACCCACAGCCAAAAAGTAAAAGGGAAGAGTGAGACCTTCCATGCAAATGTAAAACAAAATAAAACACAAAGCACTATTTTTATGTCAGATAAAATGCAACTTAAGTCAATAAAAATTAAGAAGCACATTGAAGAGCATTACATGATGATAAAGAATGCAATCCAACAAGAAACTTTACCCCCTATATATATGCACCCAACATTGGAGCACCCAGATTTATAAAACAACTTTTTCTTGGCATAAAAAAAGACTTAGACAACCACACAATAATATTGTGAGACTTCAACACCCTGCTGACAGCATTCGACAGACTATCAAGTCAAAACAAAACAAAACAACAAAAACAAAGAACCTCTGGACTTAAATTCAACTCTTGACCAATTGGACATAATAGACATCTATAGAAAACTCCATCCAACAACCACAGAATAGACATTCTTCAAACTTGCACATGAAACATGTTTTAAGATCAGCTATATTCTTAGTCATAGGGCAAACCTCCATAAATTAAAAAGCTTGAAATCATACCATGTACACTCTTGAACACAGTGCAATCAAAATAGAAGTTAACAGCAAGAAGATTTCTCAAAACAACACAAATACACAGAAATTTAAAAACTTATGCCTGAATAACTCCTGGGTGAACATCAAAATTAAGGCAGAAATAAAAATTCTTTGAAATTAATAAAACTAGAGACACAACTTACAAAAATATCTGAGATGTAGCTAAAGCAGTACCAAGGGGAAAGTTTATAGTCCTAAATGCTTTTATCAAGAAGTTAGAAATGTCTCAAATTAACAATGTAAGTTTGCACCTGAAGAATCTAGGCAGAAAAAGAAAATACCAAACCAACTCTGAAGCTAGCAAGAGAAAAGAAATAACTAAAATTAGAGAACTTACTGAAATTGAGATGCAAAAATCCGCATAAAACTTCAATGAAAACAAGAGTTGGTGATTTGAAAAGACAAATAAGATTGATAGAGATCCCCTGGCTTGGTTAACAAATACAAAGAGAAGATCCAAGTAAGCACGATCAGTAATGACAAAGATGATACTACAACTGATCACTCAGAAACACAGAAGATCCTCAGATACCACTATGAACAACTCTATGCTCAAAAATTTAAAAATCTAGAGGAAATGGATAAATTCCTGGGAGCACAAAATCTCCCAAGATTGGATCAGGAAGAGTTTGAAACCCTGAATAGACAAATACCAACTTCTGAAGAACCTACCAACGAAAAGAAACTGCGGGCCAGATAGATTCATAGCCAAATTCTACCAGACATACCAAGAAAAGCTAATACCAATTCTACTGCAGCTATTCCAAAAATTGAGGAACAAGGACCCCTTGCTAACTCATTCTATGAATCCAACATCAGCTTTATGCCAAAATTTGGCAGAGACACAACAAAAAAAGAAAACATCAGACCAATATCTCTCATGATTATATATGCAAAAGTCCTCAACAAAATACTAGCAAATTTAATCCAGCAGCACATCAAAAAGTTAACACACCACAATCAAGTAGGCATTATTCCTAGAATGCAAAGCTGATTCAACATGCACACATTAATAAATGTGATTTACCGCATAAACAGAACCAAAAGCGAAAACCGTATGATCATCTCAATAGATGCGGAAAAGGCATTTGATAAAATCCAACATCCCCTCATGACAAAATCCTCAAAAACCTAGGCATCAAAGAAACATACCTCAAAATAATAAGAGCCATCTTCGACAAACCCACAGTAAACATCCTACTGAATGGACAAAAGCTGGAAGCACTCCCCTTGAGAACTGGAGCAAGATAAAGATGTCCACTCACACCACTCTTACTCAACACAGTACTGGAATTACTAGACAGAGCAGTCAGGCAAAAAAAAAAAAAAGTTATAAAAGGCATCTAAATAAGAAAAGAAGTCAAACTGTGTCTCTTCATTGACGATATGATTCTGGACCTAGAAAATCCTAGAGACTCTGACATAAGGTTACTAGTATTGATAAAGGATTTGTATTCAGTAAAGTTTCTGGATACAAAATTAAGGAACAATAATCAGTAGCATTTTTACTCAACAACAACTGAGAGTGAAATCAGGAACACAATCCCACTTACAATAACCACAAAGAAAATAAAACACCTAGGAATACAGCTAACCAAGGAGGTGAAAGATCTCCATAAGGAGAACTACCAAACACTGCAGAGAGAAATCAGAGATGACACAAATAAATGGAAAAACATTTCATGCTCATGAATTGGAAGAATCAATGTCATAAAAATGGCCATGCTGCCCAAAGCAATTTACAGATTCAATGATATTACTATCAAACTATCAATGTCATTCTTCACAGAATTGGGGAAAAAAGTATGCTAAAATTCACATGGAACCAAAAAAGAGCCTGAATTGTGAAAGCTATCCTAAGTAAACAGAACAAAGCCAGAGGCATTGCACTACCTTACTTCAAACTGTAGTATAAAGCCAGAGTAATCAAAACATTTTGTACTGGTACAAAAACAGGCATGGAGAAAAATGGAACAGAATAGAAGACTCAGAAATAAAGTCACACACCTACAATCATCTGATCTATGACAAGGCTGATGAAAACAAGCACTGGGGAAAGGACTCCCTATTCAATAAATGGTGCTGAGATAACTGGCTAGTCATATGCAGAAGACTGAAGCCACACCCCTTCCTTTTGCCATATAAAAAATTAATTCAAAATGGATTAAAGATTTAAATGTAAAACCTCAAAGTATAAAAATCCTGGAAGACAACCTAAGAAATACTCTTCTCGACATCAGTCTTGGCAAGAAATTTTTAACTAAGTCTCTGAAAGAAATCACAACAAAACCAAAAATAAAGTGGGACCTAATTAAACTAAAAATCTCCTGAACAGAGAAATAAACTATCAACAGAGCAAACAGACAACCCACAGAATGGGAGAAGATATTTGCAAACCATGCATCTGACAAAGGTATAATATCCTGATTTTGTAGGTTACTTAAACAAATTAACAAGTGAAAACCAAATAATCCCATTAAAAAATGGACAAAGGATACTAACAAACCCTTCTCAAAACAAAAAAAAGACATATAAGGGGCCAATGAACATATGAAAATATGCTTCGCATGACTAATCATTAGAAAAATGCAAATCAAAACCACAGTCAGATACCGTCTCAGACCAGTCAGAATGGCTATTATTAAAAGAACAACAGATGCTGGTGAGGCTTGGGAGAAAATGTAACACTATACACTCCTGATGGAAATGAAAATTAGTACAGCCACGGTGAAAAGCAGTGTGAACATTTCTCGTGTAACTTACAATAGAGCTACCATTTGACCCAGCAATCTCATATTAGATATATACCCAAAGAAAATAAACCATTTTCCCAAAAAGATACATGCGCTTGTATGTTCATTCCTGTGCTATTCACAATAGCAAAGACATGTAATCAACCCAGGTGCCCACCAATGATAGATCAGATAAAGACAATGTGGTACATATATACCATGGAATTCTACACAGTCATGAAAGAATGAAATCAAGTCCTTTGCAGCAACATGAATGGGGCTGGAGGTCATAATTCTATGCAAATTAATGCAGAAACAGAAAACCAAATACCACATGTTCTCACTTATAAGTGGTAGCCAAACATTGAATACAAATGGACAAAAATATGGGAACAGTAGTTATTGAGGACTACTATGGAGGATGGGGAGTGTGTGAATTAAAAGAAACTACCTACTGGGGACTATGCTCACGTTTGGAGTGTCAGTATCTGTACTCCAAGCGTCAACATCATGCAGTATTCCCATGTAACAAGTCTGCATGTGTACCCTGTATCTAAAATAAATATTAAGAAAAACAGCAAAAAAATCACACAAAAAATAAAAACAAAAACAAACAACAAATCTAAAAAATATTTGTGAAGTTTTTACTCTCCTTGTTTCAACCCCCTTGGGCATGGCGGCACTTTTGAAGAGAGATGTCCACATTCCCAGAGTAATACTCTGGTCTCTGGTTGTGGAGGAACCAGAACAGACTCTATTTGCAAATTATTTTGTGTGTGTATTCTCACCTGTATGAAGGCCACTTGAGGGAGTGACGTAAGGCATTCATATCTGTTTCAATTAATTTAGAATCCAGGCCAGGAAGCAAGCACTGGACATTGCTCAAAAACACTGCAAGCCAACCCAATAACCTGCAGACTCCTGTGGCAAAGAACACGCTGAAACATGCAATAGACTACCTGTAGCTTGGGAGTAAAAGCTAGAAAGAGTTCCTTTGGGAAGCTAAGACATTCAAAAGCACGTTCATATGAGGAGAAATTTAGGAGGCTGTGCTCAGGTCCAGAGCAAGACAAAATGCTTAGAAAAATCTAGGAAGACACAAACCTATCATTTTTAGTTGATTCTTAGTCTCAGTACAAGCCTGGTAAAGTGCTGAAGGAGCATCCCCTTCAGACTCGGAAAAGTGTTTTTTTGTTTGGTTGGTTGGCTGGTTTTAGCTGTTGGCATTATCCTTCAAAGGAAATCTCTGTTAAAACACTGGGTAAACACTAACTAAGGTACAGAGACGTTTTTGACTACATACAACGGATACAGCCTTTACAAAAATAGTTTGAAAAAGACACTAAGCAAATTGACTACTATAGCTTTCCATTGAAACAACCACAGGCAACAACAAAATAACAACAAACTCTGGGGAAGGGAGAAAATCTAATTTCTAAAATTACTTCATTACAATATTCAAATGTCCACCTTTAACAAAAGTATCACAAGGTGTACAAAGTAACAGAAAAATATGCTGATTCAAAGTAGTGAAATATGTGGATTCTCTCTAATGGAGCCAAAACTTTGGACTTACAAGACAATAACTTTAAAATAACCGTCTTGCAATGGATCTGTTAATAAGCCTGATTTAGCCATTCTACAATGTATACATATATGAAAACATCATGTTGCACAGCATAAATGTATACAACCTTATTAGTCAGTTATAAATAATTCAATATGTAAATAAAATTTTTAAAACAAAAAACAACTGTGTTAAGTATGCTAAACTCTAAACATTAAAAGAAAACATTAACAAATAACTGTGGGAAATCAGGGAAATAGTATATATACAAAATAAGAATATTAAGAAATATAAATTTTAACAAAGAAACAATCAGAAATTCTGGAGCTAAAAAGCACAATAACTAAGCAAAAAAAAATCAGTGTACTTGAAGATAATACAAACGAAATGATTAATTCTGAGAGGCAGAAAGAAAACAAGGGTGAAAAAATGAACAGAGCATAAGGGGATTATAGAGCACCACCAAGGACACCAACAAATGCATTATGGGAGGCCCAGAAGACAAAGGATGGGGGAAGAAATATGATGTAATAATGGCTGAAAACTCCCAAATTTAATAAAGACATGAATCTACAACCAAGAAGACATACAAACATAAATAGGATGAATTCAAGAGACTCACCAAATTTACAACCAAACTTGAAAGGAGCAAGAGAGGAGCAACTCATCACATACAAAAGATTCTCAATAAGATTAACAGCAATTTATCAGCAAAAACCAAGAAGGCAAGAAGACAGTGTGGTGATATATGTAAGGTACTGAAAAAAATTATCTACCAAAAATTTTAATTTGGCAAAATTGTCCTTTAAAAATTAGGGTAAAATTAAGACATTTCAAAGTAAACAAAAGCTGAGAGAATTCATTATCACTGGAACCGCCCCACAAGGAATGCCAAAGGGAGTCCTTCAGGTTAACATGAAAGGGCACTGAACAGTAATTCAATGCCATATGAAGAAATAAGAACCTCTGGTAGAGACAAATATATGGACCAATACAAAACCAGTATTATTGTATTTTTGGCTTATAACTCTACTTTTCTTTCATACAGATTTTAAAAGAGAGATACATAACAAATTATATAAAATTAATGTTGTGTGAAAAATGAATAAAGACAGATTATAACAACGTATGTGTGGGATGTATGAGACTTTATATGTACAGAATGTTTTATGTTACTGAAATTAAGTTGGTATCAATTTGAACTAGATTGTCATAAATTTAGGGTATTAAATGTAACACGTGTGGTAACCATTAAGAGAAAATCTAAAAGGTATAGAGAAAATGATTGAAAGGGAAACTATGGTTTACTGAAAATAAAACAACTAAATATAAAATATGTCAGTAATGGAGGAAATGAAGGATGGAAAATCTGTAAGACATACAGAAAACAAACTCATACATCTACGGCATATTTACTTTTGACAAAGGTTATCAAATTTATTCAATGGCAAATTAACAGCCTCTTCAACAAATGATGTTAGGACCACTGGATATTCACATGCAAAATAATAAAACTAGACTCCTATCTCAAACATATATGAAAATTCACTTAAGATGCATCAATCTCCTAAATATAAAAGCTAACCCTAAACTGTTAGGAGAAAATATAGAGGTAAATATTAATTACTTTGAATTTGACAATAGATTTTTAGATATGACAAAAGCATGAGCAACAAAAGAAAAAAACAAATAAATAGGGCTTTATAAATGACAACAAATGAACAAAAATATTTGCAAATTAAAGAACATTAGGAAGAAAGTAAAAAAAACTTACAAAATAAAGAAAATATTTGCAAATTATACATTTGATAAGAGATAATGATCCATCCAGATTGTACAAAGAATCCCTTCAACTCAACACCAATAACAATCTAATTATAAAATAGGCAAAGTATTTGAATAGACATTTATTTAAAGAAGCTATGTAAATAGCTTATAAGCACATTAAAATGCTCAACATCATTAGTCGTTATGGAAATGCGTATCAAAACCTTGCTGATGTATCATGCCATACTTACAAGGTTGAAAATAATTTTTGAAAATGGGGAATAACAAGTATTAAGCTATGGAGAAGTTGGAAACTTCCTTCATTGCTGATGGGAGTGTAAAACAGTGTAACCTCTGTGGAAAAGTTTGGCAGTGTTAAAAAATAGTAAACAGAATTACCATATAACACAGTAATTCCACTCATAGGTATATACACTAGAAATAATTGAAAATAGAGACTCAAACAGACACTTGTATGTTTATTATAGTACTATTCACAAAAGCCAAAAACTGGAAACAACAGATGAATGGATAAATAAAGTGTAGTATGTATGCACAATGGAATAGCATTCAACAATAAAAAAAATTAGATTCTGATACATGTTGCAACATGGATGATCTTTAAAAACATTATGCTAAGTGAAGCTAGACACAATAGGACAAATATAATTCTATGTATAGGAAATATTTTAAATGGCCAGTTCATAGAAGTTTAGAGCTTACTAGGGTCTGAAGGAACAGGGAATGGGGAGTTATTGCTTAATGTTATAGTGTTTCTGTTTGGAGTAATATAAACATTTTGTACATAGATAGTGGTGATGGTTGCACAACATTGTGAATATAATTAATACCACTGAACTGTGCTTAAAAATAGTTAAATGGCAATTTTATGCCACATATATTTCACTAAAATAAAAACTACTTTAAAACACACTATTGAAGAAAGCAAGCTCACTTCACTAGCCAAGAAGATTTAGTAAATTAATCCATTCCTGATAAATGTCACATTTAAACTGAGTCTATATTCTGTTATTATTTTTAGTTCAAGGTAAATAAATGGATTGCGTGATACAAATAGACAAAGCAAATGGAGGCAAAGTGATATATTGCCAGGTGTTATGACCACATCTTTGCTCAATCATAGTTAAGTGTCTATTCTAAACATACTCTAATAAAACTGAGAGGTGGTCTATGTCACCTCTCAGATTAGATTTTGAAGCCTGAAGTTCCCATCTTGTTTCTCTGTCTCCCTGTCTCTCTCTCTCTCTGTTTTGTTCTCTCTCTCATTATTCACTTTGGGGAAAGCAACCACCGTGTCTTCAGAACACTCAAGGCATCCCTATGGAGACAGCTCAAGGCAGCAAACTGAGGCATCAACCACCAGGCCAGTGAGTAAATGTGTCTTCAGATGCAGTCCCAGCTGAAGCCATGTCTGCAACCTTACCATGACCCTGAGTCAGAAACATCCAGCCGAGGTACACCTGGATTCCTAACACCCATAATCTGTGCATAATAAATATTTGCTATTTTAAGTCAAATTTTGGGGTCTTTCATTTTGCAGCAATGGATAGCTAATTCATAACTTATTCTATATCCACAACTTAAGATTTAACACTTGTGTACTACTCAATATTTTGTTTTAGAAGCATAAAATCAGTTAAGTGAAAAAATAATAAAAAGGTTTCATTGTAATAATTTATTTTATTATTTTTCAAACAAGAACCTAAATAATTTTTTTATACATTTTTCTGCTTATTGTTTCTCTGAATAGGGAACATTCAAAAAGTATTATTATATGTGATTTAAAAGCTAATCAAGGAACACTAACTTTCCTTTTTTATTCACATTTTACAATTTTGTGAGGTTAATTGCAATGTAAAACACTGTAATAAATGTTCCAGTGATTGTTTGCTTGGCGCAAGTGATCTGTAAAGAAATTACAGAAATTAGTTTAAAGTGATCATGTAAAATATTATCAGACACATACTTGAAATATCCATTCATCAACAAGAAATTTTCATTGGAGTAGATGTTATACACTCTAATTTCCACGCAATTTATTATGATGGTTCACAAATTATTAAAAAGTTACTTTATTTTAGAATCAAATAATAGCTTAATATTAATTTTCTGTAAAATTAATAGTGGCAGAAGTAAGCAATAATGTTCCCATAAGGTGGAAACTACTAATATAATACTTAAGGGAAATAAGTTTCCCACATTAATTGAGCATTTATAAATGCATTAAATGAATTTCCATGTGATGGAATTTAACAAAAGTAGTGTTTAGTTAAACAACCCAAACAATTCTCAGGTCAAAGTGCAAGTAAAATTATAAAACCCAAAGATGTGATTAATATGCCCTTGGATCTGAGTAATAAAGATAGGAAATAGATTTTGTATTTGAAAAAAATATATTATCAATGTTATATTAAACCTTCATGTACGTGGAAACAGAGCATGTAAAATTTTATAAAACTCTTCAATTCAGTGTTAATTGGTTTTCCATTCCACAAAACGATACTTGCTATAAGATGGACAAAAATTCTGTTTTTATAAACAGTGTTCCAAAGCAATATAGTAACATAAAAAACAACAAAAGGAAAGTATTAACCCCTTAGTTCAGATCATCATCGCTAAAACTGTACTTAAGAACGTGTTGGGAAGATTAATTTGGATGTGTCTGTATAACTGAGGGTCACAAATGTATTTAATGAACATGATGATGGAAATGCAAGTGAATGCCACACTCATACAAAATTATTGAAGGTGTATAAATTACTGTCTCTTTGTAAAAGCCTTCTTGATAAATATCAGAGAGGTGTTATTTATGAACTCACCGATGAAAAAGGCAATATACTGCAAGAGGATAGCAAAATAAAGGACAGATAGAAACTAAAGACAGATGGTAGATTTTTAAGAGTGGCTGTTGGGAGAATGGATAGTGAATAGCAGAAGTTAAGGAGGGCAGTGTGAATGATGGTGATTGTGTTTGATTATAAACTTACAGGGAAAATCGCTGTTTGAATGGAATGAGTGTTTTTTTGTAGTGGGAGGTGGGTAGTGCCTGGAATGGGTGCCGGTGCTGTAAGCAGTAGGAAAGTTAGGTGGCTAGTGGCTGAAGTGAACTGTAGTGGTGTTTCTACAATGGCAGCAATCCTTTCATTTATTCTGGAAAGGACACAAGGCTTTCAAGAATAACAGACACAGCTTTGTAAACTCCAGGGACTGAAGATTATCTAAATTATAACAAAAAAGCAGAATGCTGTATTTCTAGTTCAAGATGGTGATCCACTCCACATAAAGTCCAAAGACATCGACAGTAGCTATGTCTATCTACAATCTGAAACACATGGGAAAGCTTAGAGCAGAAGAATGAATATGAGAAGGTCACAGATTTGCCATGAATGCCTGTATGATTGAATACGGATAGAAGCATATTGATAAAACACTGAAACTAAAATATGACATATGATTTAAAATAAATATGGAGTTTAGAAAAAGAAATTTATGTGCCATTGGCCCTATAAATTAGTATGTGTTCCAGATTATTTTATGATGGTGAAAAACAGGGACACAATTGTTATTCTAACATATTATCTTACTCTATTGTAAAAACTATAGAGTTAAATATTAAAGCTTCTTATTCTTTTTTAAATACTCAAGGTAATAATAATGCTGTGGCTTTTTAAAAGATATGCATGCTTATTTTGAATATGTTAAGAAATATATAAGTAAAGAACGGGGAAAAAAAAAAGCCCAGGAATACTCCCACTGAGAAATAATTGTCATTATTGTGGTACAAAATTCCATATCTCTCTATTTGTAAAAATAAGATGACAGGAGTTAAAACTGAGTGCCTGCTTTTAAACTATGATAAACAAAATATGTTAAATTTTATTGAATTTGGCAGAAATTGATGTAAAATTAAGAACTTAAAGTAAATATTTCTCAATGATAGTTATTAGTCCTAGAATAATCTTCTGTAATAATGAGAAAAAAATGGCAAGCAGTGTCTTCTTTTCTTAATTTCTAAAATAATTACAATTGTATCTTACATTATCCATTGATTTCCAGATTAAAACAAAAAAAATAAAAAACAAAGTAAACACATGTACATTCTGTTCACCTCATCCATTTCCCATTTTGTCACATGATCAATGTTTAATCATTTTAGTCTTTTTTGTTTTTTCTATATGTACCTTACTTTAATGTTCACCAGTGGTCAATTTTCAAGAGATCCTAATTCTAGATTTTTTGTTAACGTGGTAGCAGTAACAGAGTATTATGTTAACAAGACTTCAATATTCAAGATTCAATGTTGTCATTTGTTTCCATGAATAATTCATGGTTGCCATATTCCCTGAGTTCGGTTTACTTTAAAATGTTTGCTAATTTAGAACTGGAAGGTCAAATTTTTCATATATAAAACCTTAGTGGCATAAGTTCTCAAAGATTATATGAGCACTGTTATTACCTTAGAAAAACTTGGAATTAAATTTAAACTTAGCCCTATTTCTTTCTTTCTTTTCTTTTCTTTTCCTTTTTTTTTTTTTTTTTGAGGAATCTCACACTGTTGCCTGGGCTGGAGAGTGATGGCACCATCTTGGCTCACTGCAACCTCCGCTTCCTGGGTTCAAACCATTCTCCTGACTCAGCCTCCTGAGTAGCTGCGATTACAGGCGTGCACCACCATGACCAGCTAATTTTTTTATTTTTAGTAGAGATGGAGTTTCACTGTGTTGGCTAGGCTGGTCTCGAACTCTTGACCTTGTGATCTGCTCTCCTCAGCCTCCCAAAGTGCTGGGGTTACAGGTGTGAGCCACCATGCCTGGCCTAACCTTAACCCTAATTCTAAAGTAATCCCTCAAATCAACCTCTTCATTGCAGTAAATAATTTTCCCCTATTTCCAGCCTCATCACTGATTCTTACATAGTGCTTACTCTAATAAACAAAGGATTTTCAAATCTTTTACTTATTTTAAATGAATTCTAATTTTTTCTTCCTTGAGCTGGATGTTTGTAATCTTAATGTAGGGAGAAAAGACTAAACTATTTTAAATTCTAATAGTCAACTTAACCTTCCCACATCCTGTCCAAACACTAAAAATAACCAAGCTCATATAGTTAATATTTTCTTGTCTTAAATTGTGCTAACCTAGAAATAGTCTGTGAGACAAAGATTTGAGTGGAAGAAGTTCATTTTGAAGGGATTTGGATTTCAGGAAGCATGTTTAAATGGGGGGTTACTGAGCTGTATCTAACAATTATCAAACCCATCCCTACTGGGAGTTATTTAGGTCTAGTCTCACTTCAAGATAGCTGTCAATTACCATTTTAAGAGGTCCTAGTCCTATGTTAATAAAGAGCTTAGCAAATGTTCTCCAACCACTATGATAGTTGAGGTTAAAAGTAGTGTCTTAGTTTTCTGTTGCTATAACAGAATACCACAGACTGGGTAATTTATAAATTAAAAAAAAGTTTATTTGGCTCAGAGTTCTGGAGGCTGGGAAGTCCAAGAGCATGGTGTTGGTATCTAGTGAGGGCCTTCTTTCTGTGTTAGCCCATGGTGGAAGTGCAAGTGAGCACAGAAGCCAGAGAGAGAAAGCAAGACAAACTCCATCCTTTTATCAGAGGAACCCACTTCTAAATACCCCATTCTCCCAATAAAGGTATTAATCTAATCATAAGAGTAGAGCCTTCATGGCCTAAGTGCCTCTTAAAGGCCTTACTTCCTAATACTCTTACAAGGGCAATTAAATTTCAAGATGAGTTTGGAGGTGAAAGCAAACCAAAGCAAATAGGAAAGTATGTGGTGAGTGTTAAGTAGCGTACTGTGGGTGCTACTTAATGCAAGCATTTAGACATTATTTTATGACCCAAAGGAAAAGGGAGTTATTATAAAGACAACATGGCACCTCTTCTTTCTTTCTTCTGTCTCTTTTTTCCTGATACACTATGAGAATCTGTTTTGAATATTTCAAAACAAAATTAAAACAAACTGTCATAAATCTAATTGGCTTTTATTCTTGATTCATGAGTTGGGGCAGCCTCCATTCTAAAGAACAGAATGAGATCTTTCAAAGAACAATAGCTGAAACGTGGCTTTTGTAAGGCGAGATAAGGAAATAGAACAATAGAAAAGTAGTTGATTGATTAACATCAAGTTACTTCAGGTTACTTGGTTTTTGTAAGGGTTAAAGCAGAGAGAACTTCCTTTTCATGCTGAATCAGGTAGACCTGAATCTCCTGTTTTCAGAAAATAATAAAAAAAAACTGATCTGTTATGGGATTTATCTGCTTTCGTAAAATTTCACTTTGCTTATTTGGCATTTAGCTTGAGTGACTACATTTTGGTTTGGTCAGGTCTGTTGGGGCCTGGTTCTGGAGCTCAGTCCAAAAAAACAGGCCTTCCATATAATTTGTTTAATGATAGTATAATTCTATACTATGATTATTCTAACTACCTCCATATTATGGCATCTCAGATTTTGGTATGCATAACTGCCATCTCAAGTTTTGTTAAAATGCACATTATCAGATATTTCCTCTAGGGCATTTGATTGAACTGTACCTGTATGAGGCCCAGGACGCTTCAGTTCTAATATCTGCCTCCAGATAATTTTGATACAAGTGGTGCCTGGATCACATTTCAGGAACACTGTGTAGCATATTTCAGGGATATTTACATTTCAATTGAGAATACTAAAAAATAAACAGTTTTTCTCTTTACTTTCCATAAATTCCAATATGAGAAGTAAAACTATTAATATTTCAGCTAAGTCCCACACTCTTATGTTGACCTTCACTTTATCCTCACTTACCTGGGAATAGTAGAAATATTATCCACCGATACCACACAGAGGAACCAGAAGATGGTACTTTCACCAAGACATTTAAAATTTGGGAGAAGAGGGGAAAGGATATTATTGAAAAGCTTTTATTTGGGAGGCCAAGGTTGATGAATGACTTGAGTCTAGTTCAAGACCAGCCTGGCCAACATGTCAAAACCCCATCTCTACTAAAATACAAACATAATAGCTGGACATGGTGGTACATGCCTGTAATCCCAGCTACTTCGGAGGAACCCAGAAGGCATAGGCTGCAGTGAGCCAAGATTGAGCCACTGCACTCTAGCCTGGGTGACAGAGCAAGATGGTGTCTCAAAAAAAAAAAGAAAGAAAGAAGGAGAAAAAGAAAAGCTTATAAATGGCACCTATGGGCTGGAAATGATGGTAGCAAGCTCTGAGTAGAATTGAATTTCTCTAGCTCAATGAAAAAAGAAGATCTTAGAGGTCAGATGGCAATGCTTTATCAAAGACAAGGGGCAATGGAATGCTATCTATAGTGGTCATCAAACAAATTATGAGTCTCTAGAAATGTCAGAGATGAGCAGCCTTCTAAGGTGCTACTTGATACGTACAGAAGGAAAAAGTCTAGTACAGAAAGCCAGAACCTTCACTCAAGTGAAAGCCATGAGATGCTAAACCTCTTATACAGTTTCCAGATGTTGATTTATACAAGAGGAGCCCTTTAACTGGGAGGGAGGAAAATATATAAAGGGAATCTTACAACATGGCCATAGGTCCCAAGAAAGACCTGCGGCTCAAGTGCTAGGAAATGAGAATTACCTATAATTTTCAGAGAATATCATATGTTGGCTCTGAACTTGCACTGCTTCCCAGAGACCCAATTCCACTCTGGCTCACTAGTGAAACAAGAGATTTACAGACGTTAGGTAATACAAAGGATACCAGTCCAGGTAAATTTAACAAAAGTCCAGTGTGACTGATGATAAATTGTGTGTTATTTTCAAAATCATAAATAAATTAGAAGGATTTCCACACTGGTTTCAATATCTATGGAGTAAAGTGTATTACGGCAGAAAGAGCTACACAGAAGTCCCTGGAACTACATACTCCTGGAAAAAAAAGTAAATCAAAGAATTATTTCATTCCTCAGGATCTGAAGAGATTATTTTTATCATCAAGAACCTCAGAGATGCAGGGGTATTGATTCCTACATCTCCCATTTAACTTGTTTGATTACCTGGCACAGAAACCAATTGAATAATGCATAATAATTATAGAGGGTTACAGGCTAAATCAGGTTGTGATGTCCATCAGAGCTTTCTTTTCAGATATAGTGTCTTTACTTGAGCAAATCAACACAGCACTTGGTGCAAGAATTGCTACAAATTCTTCCTTGCCTTTCCCATCAGTAAGAAAAATATCAAGCAGTTTGCATTTACAAAACAATACAATTTGAACAGGAAAAAGACTTTCTCTTGCTCCATTACTAAGTCAATATGTTGCTGCTGCATAATACAATCTGGAAAAAAATTATAATGATCAAATTCTACAGAAGATTCCATTGGATATTATGTTGATGGCATTATGCTAATTAGATATAATAAATATGAGCTTGTAAACACCCTATATGTCTTAGTAATGTAACTGTGCAATGAAGGGTGAGACATAAACTTGGATCAATTCCAGGGAATTATTAAATTTCTAGGGAATAAGTGGTCAAAGCATGTAAAGATATTTCTTCTAAAATGAGAAAGATACGATGATCCATTCTGTTTGACCAATGAAAAAGCTTTTGCTGGTTACATTTAGATTAGGAAACATCATCTCCAGTCATGCTTTTTCAGTGCATTTATTGGGTAATCCCCTGAAGCTGACAGTTTTGAGTAGGACCTTGAACAAGAGGTGTGCTGATCGTCATGTCCTGGGTGTTTTTTGATTCAATGAATCATCAAATTCATCATGCAGAGCAGAATCTAGTTATAAATTTAAGCTTGCATATAGGAGACTTGGATATAGAAGGTCCAGAAGCTTAAAGTAAACTTCATCAGCAAGTGGCTTATAAGTCAATTAGCTATTAATTTACTGACTTTTTCTCTGCTTCCTAAGCTCCCCAGTTAACACATGAGGAAGCAAGACTATACACAAGGGTAACACAAAACATATCCATTGTACGCAAGAAAACTGCTGGAAACTGATATTAAAAAATAAATAGCATTGGAAAAGTTGGTAACAAGGATATCTGAGTGAAATGAATGTAGATAGACTTCTTAGAACAGGCGTTGATAGTCACTGAGTGGGAAGACATTTTGATTACAAATGAATGCAAACAGTGAGCATTCAAGGTGGTAGATGTTCTCAGTAATTAGATGGCTAAGGTGCCTTATCCTATGGATAGCAGACAGTCTCTTTCTCTGGTCATTCTAAATATGCCTTGGAGGTTCCATAAACAACGTAGCCATGATGACAAGAAAAGAGTCTGCCCACAGTCTCAAAAGCTGATCTGGTGAAAGCCTCTGCTGACTCACCAAAATCCCAACATTCTTGGGCCAAAGCTAAGCTCCCAATATAACATAATTGTCTGGGATTATCAGTCAACTAGTGTTTCCAGGTTGATTTTGTTGGAATCCTCCCATGATGGAGGAGGATAGTTCATTTTCTGAATTTTGATGGACATATATGCAGTTTGTCTGCCCAGCATCACCATTGATGAGTTTCCTGAATGCCTTCTCTTTTTCGATGGTACCCTACACAGGATTGCCTCTGATCATTGGGCATATTCCTCAGCAAAGAAAATATAGCAATGGGTTCACAGCCATGGAATTCACTAGCCATCACCCAGAGCCATTGGGTTGATGGTTGGAAAGCTCACCAAGAAGTTATTTATGGTACTGCCTGGAAAATAACATGCTGTAAAGCTGAGGTACACTCCTATACTCTGTGGCAAATGCTTTTAAATTGTAGTGCAATATATTTTGCAGACTTTCTCACAGTCTAGATACACAACTTCAGAAACCAATATAGTGAGGTGCAATTATAAACCCTACGTGATGCAATTTTTGCTGATCCCCAAAACCTGTGGCTCCATTGCTTTGGAGATTTTACTTTCCAGGAGAGAATTGCTTCCATAGGAAAGATTGTCACAGTTTTGATGAATTAGAAGCTAAGTCAGTCCCTGGCAATTTTAGAATACCAGTACCCCTGAATTAACAGGCAGAGGAGTTTATTTTATTGATTGATGTTATTGATTTAGATTATTAGGAGGAAACAGAGTTTCTGCTACATAATTTGAGTAAGGATATTTAAGTTTGGAATTCAGGGGATTGGTTGAGGAATTTTTGCCTAATAATTCTAGTCAATGGAAAATTGTTGAAAAACAATAAAAATAAGACCACTGAACAATCATATTATATGATAATGAATGCTGAATCACTTCTCGGGAACCAAATAAAACACATTTTCAGTTGTTAATGGAGTGCAAATGCAATGGGAACTGGGTCATTACTAGTAACCTAAAGCTCATGAATATGGGATCATGTAAAATGTGCTTTAAACTGAATATTTATTTATTTTTTCACCATTTTAAACCCCTGCTACCTTTGCTTTTTAGTCAAAGATCATTGGCTCTCTCAAGGCTCTCTTCTCTATGTGATGTTGTTCTAGTTTCTGGTAAATACGTCTTCCCCTGCTACCATCCCTGTTCTTCCCAGTTTAAAAGAGGTATTAACTCTGTTGCAACTAGGCTCAGTTGACTAGCCAATCGCTTTGCTTTACCTACAGCTACCCATACCTTTAAAAATAATACCTTTATTAAAATTTTCCCGGATTATCATCATCTGTGTATATCACCTGCCTCATAACTTTGATATTTCATGTTATTTAAAAATATTATGTGAATATGTAATACTTCATGGATGTTAGGAGAGAATGTGTATATTTATATATATATAATTTAGCAAAAGTGCTATGTTTATCATTTATTGTTCACAGCTTATGGATCTCAGTTAGCAGTAGGAGAGAAGGGCCTCTTATTTTGGCATCTGTTTTTTGGGATTTGGGGTTTTGTTTTTAATATACTTTATACGGCAAAAATTCTAGTTATTTCTTCATTTACCTTCTCAATATTAAGTTTAAAATTATGATTTCTATAAGAAAATATTTTATTTGTAATGCTTATTAGTAATATAATAATGATCATGCATCAACTGAATAAATCAAATGTTAAAAGTTGATTTAAAGTCTTTTCTGTAACTTCCCAATAATGTTGTAATTATTAGAACTTCTTTCTAACTTGTGAATGTCATTCAGGAATACAATTCAATACTACAAGCAATTATTCTGAATGGCTTGTATTTATCCTTACCATATGTGACTTTTCTTATCTATCTATCTATCTATCCATCCATTTTTATCCACCTATGAATTATTTCTAATCATAATCATAATTAGATAGAATTAGATCTAACATTATAATTAGATATAATTAAATCTGTAATTATACCTAGTGGTTTGCATATATCAAAATATAAGTGATTTGAATATCTGTTTCTTTTTATAACATTCTTTCCTTGATAAATACTATGTTTGCAATATTTAATCATGTTGACATATGTAAGGTTCTGATTATTTTCTGATGTAAAATCTTATATAGCTACATGACTATTTATCCGTTATTTTGTTAATGTTCTTTTTTTTTTTTTTTTTTTAAATAAACAATAGAAATTTATTTTTCCCAGTTCTGGAGGTTAGGAAGTCCAAGATCTAGGTGCCAGAAGATTTAGAGTCTGATGAGGGCCCATTTTCTGGCTCATAGACAGTGTCTTCTCACTGTGTCCTCACATGGTAGAATGAGGGAACACATTTCTTCAGGCCACTTTAGTAAGGGCACTAATTCTATTCATGAGGGCTCCACCCTTATGAACTATTCACCTCCTAAAGGCCCCACCTTTTAATGTCATCATTTTGGGGGTTTAGGATTTCAACATTTGAATTTGAGTAGGACATAAACCTTCAGACCACAGCATCATCTTTGAAAGTCTTCATGTTTGTTTGTTCTGCTATGCCCAGACTTTTTTAGTTGTAAGAGGGGCTCTTTCTTTCTTTTTTTCTTTTCTCTTTTTTCTCTCTTTATTTATTTATTTATTTATTTATTTTTTAATTTTTATTTTTTTTATTGATCATTCTTGGGTGTTTCTTGCAGAGGGGGATTTGGCAGGGTCATAGGACAATAGTGGAGGGAAGGTCGGCAGATAAACAAGTGAACAAAGGTCTCTGGTTTTCCTAGGCAGAGGACCCTGCGGCCTTCCGCAGTGTTTGTGTCCCTGGGTACTTGAGATTAGGGAGTGGTGATGATTCTTAACGAGCATGCTGCCTTCAAGCATCTGTTTAACAAAGCACATCTTGCACCGCCCTTAATCCATTTAACCCTGAGTGGACACAGCACATGTTTCAGAGAGCACGGGGTTGGGGGTAAGGTTACCGATCAACAGGATCCCAAGGCAGAAGAATTTATCTTAGTACAGAACAAAATGAAAAGTCTCCCATGTCTACTTCTTTCTACACAGACACGGCAACCATCCGATTTCTCAATCTTTTCCCCACCTTTCCCCCCTTTCTATTCCACAAAACCGCCATTGTCATCCCGGCCCGTTCTCAATGAGCTGTTGGGTACACCTCTCAGACGGGGTGGTGGCCGGGCAGAGGGGCTCCTCACTTCCCAGTAGGGGTGGCCGGGCAGAGGCGCCCCTCACCTCCTGGATGGAGCGGCTGGCCGGGCAGAGGGGCGCCTCACTTCCTAGTAGGGGCGGCCGGGCAGAGGCGCCCCTCACCTCCCGGACGGGGCGGCTGGCCGAGCGGGGGGCTGACCCCCCCACCTCCCTCCCGGACAGGGCGGCTGGCTGGGCGGGGGGCTGACCCCCCCACCTCCCTCCTGGACAGGGCGGCTGGCCGGGCGGGGGGCTGACCCCCCCACCTCCCTCCCAGACGGGGCGGAATTTTGTTGATGTTCTTACATGTCATTTCCAAATATTTGGCCTTACAAAAATAATGATAATTTTAACATTTTGATCAATCGTTTTGTATATAAATATATGTGAAACATGTTATTAGAATGCTACAACAAATGACTGGAATTGCTGTGTTGTAGAATAGTCACATATTCAGCTTAACTAGATATTGCTAAATTGCTTTGCTAAATGGTCATAGGTACAATTCATATTCCTGAGAATATAAAATAAAAAATTTCTACAGTTAGCATCTTTGTCAAGACTTTATGTTACAAAATTCTTTAAAGTTTTCAAGTATTATACACATTAAAAGGTATTTTCTTCTTATTTGAAATATCACTAGATATAACTTTTTTTATTCACAGATTTAAAAAAATTGATGATTTGATATTTCCTTAATTGTGTGATATAAGTATGCATTTTTAATCTTTTCAAAGAAATTCTTCAGAACAAGTTTATAAAATACTTTCATAATTGTATTCAAGATTTTGAAGTTTGTTTCTTATAATGAAATTTATCAGACCTAATATCATAAAAATATCTCCTTATATAATTATTTTATATATATATATTTTTATTATACTTTAAGTTCTAGGGTACATGTGCACAATGTGCAGGTTTGTTACATATGTATACATGTGCCATGTTGGTGTGCTGCACCCATTAACTCGTCATTTACATTAGGTATATCTCCTAATGCTATCCCTCCCCTAGTCCCCCACCCGACAACAAGCCCTGGTGTGTGATGTTCCCCTTCCTGTGTCCAAGTGTTCTCATTGTTCAGGTCCCACCTATGAGTGAGAACATGCAGTGTTTGGTTTTTGGTCCTTGTGATAGTTTGCTGAGAATGATGGTTTCCAGCTTCATCCATGTCCCTACAAAGGACATAAACTCATCCTTTTTTATGGCTGCATAGTATTCCATGGTGTATATGTGCCACATATTCTCAATCCAATCTATCATTGTTGGACATTTGGGTTGGTTCCAAGTCTTTGCTATTATGAATCCTTATATAATTCTTATATTTTACCCAAAAATAAAATTTTGAATTTTACATGTATAACTTTAATCATGTGATATATGGTATATGATAGGTTTCTAGTTATATTGATCAATATGAATGGCAAATTCTCCATGTATTGTCTAAACTTTAATCACTTTTGTGAAATGCCCCCCATGTTATTATATCATGTTAAATGTTTATATGTTCAGTTCTATTTCTTTTTTCTTTTTTTTTTTTTTTTTGAGAAGGAGTCTCACTCTGTCCCCCAGGCTGGAGTGCAGTGGCATGATCTCGGCTCACTGCAAGCTCCGCTTCCTAGGTTCACACCATTCTCCTGCCTCAGCCTCCTGAGTAGCTGGGACTATGGGCACCCACCACCACACCTGGCTAATTTTTTGTATTTTTAGCAGAGATAGGGTTTCACCGTGTTAGCCAGGATTGTCTCAATCTCCTGACCTTGTGATCCGCCTGCCTCGGCCTCCCATTCAGTTCTGTTTCTTAGTGTTACGTTGTACTGCTCATTTACTAACATTACCAATTCCATATAATTTCTATTATTTGTCATGTTTTTGTCTACACTTCAAAAAATTTCCTCAACTGTTCTTTTTAATTCTTTAAAAAATTCTGCTTTCAGTTTTTAATTTCCAAGTTATCATGCATTTATTTTATTTTTATTTTTATTTTTGGACACAGAGTCTCTCTCTGTCACCCAGGGTGGAGTGCAGTGCCACACTCTCAGCTCACTGCAACCTCCGCTTCCCCAGTTCAAGCAATTCTCCTGCCTCAGCCTCCCATGTAGCTGAGACTACAGGCACCTGCTACCACGCCCAGCTAGTTTTTTTTATTTTAGTAGAGACGGAGTGTTGCGGGAAGTCAGGGACCCTGAATGGAGGGACTGGCTGAAGCCATGGCAGAAGAACATAAATTGTGAAGATTTCATGGACATTTGTTAGTTCTCCAAATTAATACTTTTATAATTTCTTAAACCTGTCTTTACTGCAATCTCTGAAATAAATTGTGAAGATTTCATGAACATTTATCACTTCCCCAGTCAATACTCTTGTGATTTCCTATGCCTGTCTTTACTTTAATCTCTTAATCCCATCATCTTCATAAGCTGAGGATGTATGTTGCCTCAGGACCCTGTGATGATTTTGTTAACTGCACAAATTGTTCATTAAGCATGTGTGTTTAAACAATATGAAATCTGGGCACCTTGAAAAAAGAACAGGATAACAGTAATGTTCAGGGAACAAGGGAGATAACCATTAGGTCTGACTGCCTGAGAGCCAGGTGGAACAGAGCCATATTTCTCTTCTTACAAAAGCAAATAGGAGAAATATCACTGAATTCTTTTTCTCAGCAAGGAACAGCCCTGAGAAAGAGAATGCATTCTTATAGGGAGGTCTCTGAAATGGCCACTCTGGGAATGTCTGTCTTACATGGTTGTTGTAAGGGATGAAATAAGCCCCAGTCTCCCATAGCCCTCCCAGGCCTATTAGGATGAGGAAATTCCCACCTAGTAAATTTTAGTCAGACAGGTTGTCTGCTCTCAAAACCTATCTCCTGATAAGATGTTATCAATGACAATGCGTGCCCGAAACTTCATTAGCCATTTTAATTTTGCCCTGGTGCTCTGCCCCAATTTGCCTTGTGATATTTTATTGCCTTGTGAAGCATGTGATCTCTGTGATCCACACCCTATTCACACACTCCCTCCCCTTTGAAAACCACTAATAAAAACTTGCTGGTTTTGCAGCTCAGGGGGCATCAGGGAACCTGCCGACATGTGATGTCTCCCCTGGACACCCAGCTTTAAAATTTCTCTCTTTTGTACTCTTTCCCTTTATTTCTCAGACCGGCTGACACTTAGGGAAATAGAAAAGAACCAATGTGAAATATTGGGGCTGGTTCCCCTGATAACGATGTTTTACCGTGTTGCCCAGGCTATTCTCAAACTCCTGAGTTCAGGCAAGCCACCCACCTTGGCCTCCCAAAGTGCTAGGATGACAGGCATGAGCCATTGCACCCGGCCTGTTTTAACTTTTTAATTGGCAATTAATTATGTTGCTCCTAGTAGACAACTTCTTTATCTTAGAGGATTCCAAGACTTGTTCATTTTTTTTCTTCTTTTTGTTTTGTCTTGGATTGATTTTTCTCCAGGCATTTACAGCGTTTTTCTTTGATCCTCTTTTGTTGTTGTTTTTCTTTTCTTTTTTTTTTTTAATAATAGAGGATTTCCTCAGCCATCTGGAGATTATTGTACACCCACTGAGACCCACTGTAATTTACAATTGCATAGAAATTGCATAGAAATGTAATTTACAATTGCATAGAAATGCCTATTGACTGGTGGAAATTATAAAGGATGGGGAAATATAACATTTTATTGAAGAAATGCAGTGATTTTATTGTTGCATTCAGGGAGGCTGCTAAAAGACACAAGCTTCTGTATGTAGATTTTCATATATTTTCATGCTTGAATTGAACAAGTGTCTAATGGCTTTATCATCTCCTGAAAATCAACTTTCAGTATTCTGAAAGGGCTGGAGTTATGGGGTTTTAACTGCTCTCTAAATAGACTTTCCATTTATCTATACAACTGGATGTTTCTGGGTTTTTTTTCCAACAATTTTATAATGACCTTATGAGATCCAAACCTTAATCAGCTTTAATTCTCTTATATTTTCTTCTGCTTTTGTAATTCTATTTCTCATTTGCTCTGTCATTTAATATGTCTGAAATATACCTTTGCGTAGCAAAATTATTACTGATGTTAAAGAAAAAAATATTTATGACACTTGTTAAAGACGGTAAGGCAGACTTTATTCAAGGGGGCCATTGTGATCGGTATAGGCACTGCTGCAATGGTGTCTGGCAGTGGGGAAGAGAGATTCGACTCAAATCTGACTCTAACAAGAGCAAGTAGGGATTTATAATTAAGAAGCAGGGTGAATATAAGTGGATGAAAACTCACTATGAGGAAACATTGAAAACAAGGTATTTCTGGCTAATCTGACTTGATAGAATTATTGCTGAAGGCAGGCCAGGGTGATAAGGTATTATACCATTGTTGGGGAATTTTTACTAAACCAATGTAGGGAAAACAAAACTTTATCCCTTCCCTCTTAAGGTCCCATGCTAGACCTGAGAATTAAATTAAGATAATATACATAAGTAGGAGGAAAACACACTGATTTATTTAATATACTAGAGTCTTGAACAACAAGATTTTAAACTGCGCGGTTTTCATATGTGGACGTTTTTCAATAAAATTTACACCGGTGTGTCTGCCTCTTACCTCCCTTTTCACAGCCTCCACCTTTTCTGTCTTTGCCACCATGAGACAGCGACCAATCTCTTCTGCTTCTCCTCCTCCTCAGTCTACTGAATGTGAGGACAATGAGGATGAAGACTTTTGTGATGATCTACTTCCACTTAATGATTAGTAAATATGTTTTCTCTTCTTTATGACTTTCTTAATAACATTTTCTTTTCTCTGTCTTACTTTATTGTAAGAATACAGTATATAGGCCGGGCGCGGTGGCTCAAGCCTGTAATCCCAGCACTTTGGGAGGCAGAGGCGGGCGGATCATGAGGTCAGGAGATTGAGACCATCCTGGCTAACATGGTGAAACTCTGTCCCTACTACAAATACAATAAATTAGCTCGGTGTGGTGGCACGTGCCTGTAATCCCAGCTACTCGGGAGGCTGAGGAGGAGAAACACTTGAACCAGGGAGTCCGAGGTTGCAGTGAGCCGAGATCGCACCACTGCACTCCAGCCTGGCAAGAGAGAGAGATTCCATGTCAAAAAAAAAAAAAAAAAAATACAGTATATAATGCATACAATGTACAAAGTATGGGTTAATTGACTATTTCTGTTATCAGTAAGGCTTCCAGTCAGCAGTAGGCTATTAGTAGTTAATTTTGGGGGGAAACAAAAGTTATGCATGTATTTTGAACTATGTGGAGGGTCAACGCCCCTAATATCTGCATTATTCAAGGGTCAACTGCATATATTTTACTCAGCATAAGAGCCTTTATAAGGAAATGAAGACCCAAAGAGGCAGTTAAGAGTCCAACTCGTATTTACTGAATTAAACAAGAGTGGTTGTGAAATGTGGTGAGGCAAAGGGGCTTCGGTTACAGTCATTTATTGGTTAGAGAAGTGACTAAGAAGAAAAAGGTTAGTTTAACAAGATTTATTTGTACAGATTTTTCTTATCTTCACCTTCTAATTATTAATGGCAAGAACGCTACTACTTTTGGTATAGAGAATATGTATTTCACACGGTAATTTCATCTATTGTTTTTAAAAAAACAGAGTTAAAGTAAGAGTGATCTTGAACCTGCCTTGGGTTTTTTTGTTTGCTTGTTTGGCTTTATTTTTTTGTTGGGGGCATTGTTTTTATTGAAAATAGGCGATAGGCTAGAGCAGCATATTTTGGGGTGGAATCTTTTTTACTCCTTCACTGACTCAGCAAGATTGTTGTTCAAACAGGGTTCTACAAGGACAGAGAAATGTCTGAGGTCAGGACAAGTCAAGAAGGACTCAAGTACCTGACTAAAGGTTTACTCAAAGGAAACAGTCTTTGTCACAGGTAGGTCAAGAGAAATTGTGTTAGTAAAAATCCTATTTCTTTATTTCTTCCTAGATTAATCGTTTATGTAGCAAGGATATGGTAGGAATACATTTTTTTCAACCACAAAAATTATGTTACACTCAGGGCCATGATTAAGACACAAATTTAGATTTATACTTTACAAGGAATGTGTAGTCTGTCTGTGTATATATTTTTTCTGTCTTTATATTAACAATATTGGGCTTGGCTGAAAGTTTCACATTGTAGTTTTATAAACATTAAAGAATTTAAGCATTTTAAATGATAAGTATTACAAATATATCCAAAGTGATCCACTATTTAGATACGTCTTTTCTTACTTTCCAAATACATAGAAAGTATGATATATAATGTGATTTATTATAGTTCCTAAACCGCCTCCTATATGTGAAGAAGAGGGAAATACAGTATCTTTATATGAAGAAATTCCATACTTTTTATCATGTAATAAATATCTGCTTTCCAAAAATATACCCTATGTCACCAGTAACCAGTTTTTGTTTTTGTTTTATTAATAGGTTATGTGTTCTAAGATTTCAGAACAGTAGTAGTCCCCCTTATCCATGGAGAATATGTTCCAAGACCCTCTGTGGATGCGTGAAACCATGGATAGTACTGAAAGCTATATATTCCTGTACTATGATTTTTCTTATACATACCCGTGATAAAGGTTATAGATTAGGCACAGAAAGAGATTAACAACATTATTTAATATAAAATTTACCAATTATAACAATATACTCCAATAAAAGTTAAGTGAATATGGTCCCTCTCTCTTAACATTTCTTTTTTTTCTTTCTTTCTTTTTTGAGACAGAGTCTCCCTCTGTCACCCAGGCTGGAGTGCAGTTGTGCGATCTCAGCTCACTGCAACCTTCACCTCCCAGGTTCAGGCGATTCTCCTGCCTCAGCCTCCTGAGTTGCTGGGACTACAGGTGGGTACCAGCATACACGGCTAATCTTTTGCACTTTTAGTAGAGATGGGGTTTCACTCATGTTAGCCAAGATGGTCTCAATCTCCTGACCTCATGATCCACCTGCCTTGGCCTCCCAAAGTGCTGGGATTACAGGTTTGAGTCACCATGCCCGGCCTCTCTTAACATTTCCTATTGTACTATAGATCTTAGCAACCTCAGTGTATATATTTTTTCTTTCCCTGTTGAGAATTTTGACATTTTCACTTTAAGGAAGCACTTTACAGCTTCTCTTTGACATATCCAAATTGCTGCACATCACTGCTCTTGCACTTATGAAGTAGAATAAGGGTGACTTGAACACAAGCACTGTGATACCAACAGTTGATCTGATAACCCAGCTAGCTCCTTAGTGATTCACCCACGGGAAGCGTACACAGCATGGATTTGTGGGACAAAGGGATGATTCACATTCAGTTCCACCTGGGATGGGGCAAAAATCTCATCATGCTACTCAGAACTGTGCGCAATTCAAAACTTAGAAATTGTTTATTCTTGGAATTTTCCATTGAATATTTTCAAACTGCAGTTGACCACTGGTAATTGAAAACTATGAAAAGTAAAACTGGGATAAGGAGGACTACTGTACTATTGTTTTTCTGTGCATTTTCAACTCATTTTATTTCAGAAGTAATTGTATTATAAATTTATTCTGCTTCTGTTTTTGCTTTGGTAGAACACCTTAGGAAAACTGAGAATGGCAGTCAAAAGTATAATGTTTTTAGTTGGTTACTGGGACAGCCAAAAATAATCAACTTATTCCTGAAGGTCCTTCTACTATATAAAGGTCTCCACAGTTCAAATCACAGGTATTCAGTTTATAAAACTTTGGTTGACATTATCATTAAGGGTATACAAAGTGTAAAATACTATGTTAACATTTGAACACTCATGTTCCAACAGGCTATGGAAAGGAAATGGAGCATTCATACAGACAGATAAATCTTCTAATTTTAGTCATTGAAAAATTACAGCTAATCAATCATGTTGGAGACAACTATGAAAAGATATACTTAAAATACCTGTTTTTTTTCTTTTCCATTGGTATAGAAGGCTTCATTTTTAAGATATTGAAATAAATAATTAATTTAACTATATGGATTATGAATTATATGTATTTGCATTCCAAAAATAATTTTAAAATTAAGTAACTTCCAATTATTTTTAAAATTTCTAATTAAAAATAGACATTAATTTCAGTTTTTACAGCTTCTCTTTGGCATAACTAAGTTTTATACACTGTAATTTGACTCTTTTTTATGTACTAATTTATTATTTGATGTTTATTATATTTTAATCTCATTGCATTAGTGGATTTTTTATAAAGAATATTAGACGAAATAACTTGTATATTTGCTTATAAAACCAATATAAACCAAAATAATTTTCAGAAAATATAAGAAACTTTACAAACTAATTTTGAGATTTCAGTTGTAGCCTGAAATTAAGTTTCATAAAAACTTTTAAAGTATTTTTTAGGGCCAGGCACAGTGGCTCATGCTTGTAATTGCAGTACTTAGGGTGGCCAAGTTGGGAGGATCCCTTGAGCCCAGTAGTTGAAGACCAACTTGGGCAACATAAGAAGACTCTGTCTTTACGAAAATTAAAAGAAAGTAACAAAAAATTAGCCAGATGCGGTGGCACAGGCCTGTAGTCCGAGCTACTCAGGAGGCTGAGATAAGAGGATCGCTTGAGCCCAGAAGGTCTAGGCTGCAGTCAACCATAGTAACATCACCGCACTCCAGTCTAAGCAATAGAGCGACTTTGTCTCAAAAAAAAAAAGTATGTTTTCCTTTACTGATCTGTGTAACAAAATTGTTATTAAAATGTTAAACCATTTATGTGTTATATTAAAATGACATCTTATTTACAACATATTATCCATGTGTTATAATGACAGAAAACTCTAAAAATGCCCTGCAAAAAAGTAAAAGCAGAGGTATAGAAATACTTTATTTTGTTGACCAGCAAAACTTCAAATAATTTTTTATTTCTAAGCAAGAATGTCAGCATTAAAAAGGGCACTTGCTTTAGACTTTAACATTCAAAAAAAAAAAAAAAGAAACAATAAAACTTTATAGGATAGTCAGTTTTTGAAGCGAGATTGCCTGAGTTCAAATCTTATCTGTGCCAATAATTAGTTGTGTGAACTTAGATAAATTATTATGCTATTTGTGCCTCAATTACCCATTGAAAAAATTAGTATAGTAAATGTTCTTACATATAGGTTTTGTGAAATAAGATGCTCATTTGTACAGCTCAAGACATACATTGAACACCCTATAAATGTTTCTTAATATGATAATTACATCGTAGCCATTCAAATAGCTAGAAAATGTATCTACCTAATAGGTATTTTTTAAAAAATGACCAACTCAATATTAATAATATATTGATATTATAAAAGAACATAGACAAAATATGAATATGAAACCCTGTTTGAACTATAATAAGAACTGGTAGTGTTAAGTGATAATTTATAATATATAGGTAGCTATATTCCTAATTTTCTAACCGTCATCAGCATATGTATCTATATTCTATCTCCTACATTTCAAAAATTTTAAATAGAAGAAAATAAATGATAGAGAAAAATGTATATTTTTGAATTGATTGATAGGGAGTATGAAGAGTGATCAATAAGTTGTAACTTGCTTGGCTTAGTATTGTTCAGTTTCTGTTTTTGTTTCAAAAAAGATCCTTCAAGACGAAGAACACATTTTGGGCACACAATGCTATTCTATAACGAGAAAATTAAAGGAATTGTAGATACATGCTGAAAAATGTATCTTTCAAAATTTTTTGTTCCATGCCTAGAATATTTAGATTCCAGGATTTATCTTTTCTTGAGCATTTACTTAGTAGTAGCTGTAGGAAATATGCAATGGTTTGTTTTGTTATAAACACTTTTTTTAGAAATTCATGAAAATCAGTTTAATAAGAATAACTGAGAAAATAAAACCCATATACCATAATTTATATTAAACTAAATCTTAAAAATCTTTCTTCTCTTTTATTGTACTTCCTATATGTACTTAAAATGAAAAATGAAGCTTTATATGTAAATCAGAAATGGCTTTGATTATAGGTAACGGAAAATCCCAACAGATGGCCAAAAAGCAAATTTAAAGGAAATTCCTTTGTGTCACATAACAAAATGACTAGAATGAAGCCATTGTCTCTGAAATATTCTTAGCCTTTTTTCTCATTGTAACAAACATGGCGGCCGGGCGCGGTGGCTCACGCCTGTAATCCCAGCACTTTGGGAGGCCGAGGCGGGTGGATCACGAGGTCAGGAGATCGAGACCATCCTGGCTAACATGGTGAAACCCCGTCTCTACTAAAAATACAAAAAATTAGCCGGGCGTGGTAGCGGGCGCCTGTAGTCCCAGCTACTCGGGAGGCTGAGGCAGGAGAATGGCGTGAACCCGGGAGGCGGAGCTTGCAGTGAGCCTAGATCGCGCCACTGCACTCCAGCCTGGGCGACAGAGCGAGACTCCGTCTCAAAAAAAAAAAAAAAAAAAAAAACAAACATGGCTATCATCACTTCAGTCTTTAAAGTCTTGGCAATATCAGGAAAGAAGCTTTGCCAACCACTTTTATCTAGGAAAACACAATGTTCTCAAAGCTTTCCAAGAGACCTTTTTTTACTTCTCACATGATGAGTTCTAATTTACAGGAATCCTGAGATATTGAGAATTGGCATTTTCAAGCTGATATGTACATACAAAAAGAAGAAGGAAGATAAATTAATAATTCATCCAACAGCATCTAAACAAGGATATTCTGTACATTTTAAAAGTTCATAGATTTAGCTAATAACAGATTAGGGAAAAAAAGCATGTATCTTGGAACTTCAATATAATTATTTGTCAGTCTGCTAATATAATAATATGCCTCAAGTTATCACTACTGGAATCAACAGAAAATGATTGATGTACTGAAAAATAAAATCTTACAAATAAAAAAATTGCAGAAAAATTTTAACATGGTTGCTTAACTTTATTTTCTTGACATTAATGTAGATGATTTGTTAAGCATTCAAATTATACTACCTTGAATTATAGTAGATAAATGAATCTGAAATAGACTAGTGAAAGCCAGTGATTTTGCCCAATAGGTGATGCTTTTATTTTCTTGCAGCATTACTTTATAGTTGATTTATTATCATTTCAAAACGTCCCTAAGCTTTTTTCATATCTGTTTTGTTAGCATAGAATGATATTGATTGCTCTATATTTCTAAATAGTGTAGCTTTCTATAAAGCCACCTAAGGTAACAGAAAATATTGATCCAAAATATAGAATCTATATGTAAAATCCACAACAAGAATGCATTCAATTGAATATTCAAATATTTGATATTACTATATTTTAAAATGTGCTATTGTTCAATAATGCAGATATGTTCACATGTACATAAATCTCATAAATGACTCTTGATTCATGATCTTTCATAAGTAAATGTTGATAGAAGTGATTACCTCTTTTCTACTCTTGATGTTACCTTACTGTTTGGCAGAATCTCCACTGCCTGAGAATCCTGGCTTCTACTTTGTCCTCACACATGATGTAACTGTTGACATGTAAACATTTACCTAATTGGTGAATTTTGAATAAGATACTGACCATGAGTAGTCCAATCTTGCCTTGATGTTGTTTTCATTTTTTTCTTTCCTCCCACTACAGATCCTTATTTCCAAGGAGACATGCATTATGCTTTGTTTCTTCATGCCTTAAGTTTTATACATTTATACCACAGTATAACTATATACCATTGTCAATTTCATCACAGTACTTTGATCTTCAATAACTAAATCCTGTGATAATTTTAACTCTTTAAAAAGCAAAGCTAGAGGCATTACACTACATGATTTTAAAATATGTTACAAAACTATAGTAATCAAAACAGCATGATACTGGCATAAAAACCGACATATCAACCAATGGAACAGGATAGAGAGCCCAGAAATAAATCCATGCATTTAAGGTCAATTAATTTTCAGCAAAAAAGGCAAGTGCACACAATGGGACAAAGATAGTCTCTTCAATTAATGGTGTTGGAAAAACCGAATGTCTGCATGCAGAGGATTAAAAGTGTACCCTTATCTTACTCTATACACAAAAATTAAGTGAAACAGGATTAAAAACTTAAATGTAGAACCTGAAACAGTAAAACTGCTAGATGAAAACACAAGGAAAAAAGCTTTATGACACTGGACCAGGTAATTACTTTTTTCTTTCAATATGACTCCAAAAGCACAGGCAACCAAATCAAAAATAGACAAAGGAGATTGCATCAAACTGAAAAGCTTCTGTACATCAAAAAGATCAATTAACATAATAGACAATCCACAGATTCCCCTTCTAGAAAAACATTTGCAAAATATACATCTAAGAAGGAGGTAATACCCAAAATATATAAGGAACTCAATTCAATAGCAAGAAAAGAAATAATCAAATTAAGTTCTAGCAAGCAAAATGGAAAAATGTCCCCTTCTAGGAAAATAGCATCATTACATTTTCCTCCTGACAAGATATATTAGGCCAATTTTGAATTGCTGTAAAGAAAAACTTGAGACTGGCCAATTTATTAAAAAAGAGAAAAAAAAAGAGGCTTAATTGGCTCAAAGCTCTGCAGGCTAAACAGGAAGCACAGTGTCAGCATCTGCTTCTGGAGAAGGCCTCTAATGATGGGAGAGGGAAATGGGATAGCCAGCATGTCATATGGTGAGAGTCGGAACAAGGGAGAGGGGGAGGAGGTGCCACACAATTTCAAACAACCAGATCTCACAAGAACTCACTTTCTCCCTGACAGAACCAAGGGGGATGGTGTTAAACCATGAGAAACTGCCCCACGATCCAACCACCTCCTATCAGGCCCCACCTCCAAAGCTGATTATTCCATTTCAACATAAGATTTGGAGGGCTAAAATATCCAAATCATAGCATAATATATTATGAATATCCATACACATTAATATAAATTAATAAAATCATATTTTAAAGTTGTATAATTATTGCAGTATACATGACTTATAATTTTACACAATGATTTCTCTATTAATGGTAATTCAGAATTTTTCTGCATTTGTATTACTAAAAATACAATAGAATAGCCATCCATATTGTTATGGGTTAAATTATATTCCCCCAAAGTTTATGTGTTGGAGTTCTTACCCTCATTACTTCAAGATGTGACCGTAGTTGGAGAAAGAGCTTTTCTAAGAGTAATTAAGTTAAATGAGGTCATTAGAGTGGGTTCTAATCTAATGACTGGTGTCCTTTTATAAACAGAAGATTAGGACACAGATATGTACACAGGGAAGATCATGCAAAATGAGAGCCATCTACAAGCCAAGGACAGAAGTCTCAGAAAGAAACCAGCTGTGCTGACATCTTGATCTTGGACTTGTAGCCTCCTGAACTGTGAGAAAATAAAAGGCTATTCTTTTTATTATTTATTTATTTTTTTTCTTGTTTATTTTTTTTGAGACGGAGTCTTGCTCTTTCACCAGGCTGGAGTGCAGTGGCACGATCTCAGCTCGCTGCAGCCTCCGCCTCCCAGGTTCAGGCAATTCTCCTGCCTCAGCCTCCCGAGTAGCTGGGACTACAGGCATGCGCCACCACGCCCAGCTAATTTTTCTGTATTTTTAGTAGAGATGGGGTTTCACCATGTTGGCCAGGATGGTCTTGATCTCCTGACCTCATGATTCCCCCTCCTTGGCCTCCCAAAGTGCTGGGATTACAGGTATGAGACACTGCTCTCAGCCAAAAGGCCATTCTTTAAGCCACTCAGTCTGTGGTACTTTGTTATGGCAGCCCTAGCAACTTATGTACCTGAATCCTATTTTTTAAAGAGACACATTTATTATTTGGCTTTATGGATATTTCTATACAGATGAGCTTCAATGGTGGAATTGTTGGGTTAGTATGCATATAGACTTTTATTTAAATAAGCACTGGCAGATTTCTTTCTATAATGTTTATAACAATATGTACTATAAATGTTTATTTGCCAAGGCTTTCTATTCTGAAGATTTCTACTAGTTTAATTATTAAAGGTTGATATATACATCTATGAATATATACATTTATGCATATATATATAATACACACACATACATATATGTCAATTTTATTTCCCAATAACTACTAGCAAAATTGACACTTTTTTTGTTGCTAGCCATTTAAGTTGTTTGTTTGTTTCAGCCAATTTTTTGTTCATATCACTTCCACAATTTTTTTTGGCTAGTAGTAATTTTGCTTGTTGGTTATGTATTTTTCCAACCTTTAATTTTAATGTTTTTAGTCTTTGGTTTTCTGGGAGTAACATATAAATTTCACACAGTTGCAATATATTTGGATTCCCTAAGCTGATATTCTCTCACTTTATTTTTTATTATAAATAAAAAATTTTCAAAAGACAATTTGACAAAGTCTAAACTTCTGTCTCTCCCCTCTCCTACGGCTTTGCCCCCTCATTACCCTCTCCCTCTTTCTCTCCCTTTCTCTATTGTTTTCTCCTCAAATGATGAAACAATATGAATGTCTTAGAGTACCTAAAATCTGTATGACAGCAAATACCAAGATGCTATTACAAAAATATCTCACGGTTTTGGTTTATGTGTGGTAATTTATTTCCATGCTGACCCAAGCTAATAGGACAGCTCTGTTCTATTTGGTTATGCAGGAACCTTGGTCCCTATTTTCTTGTTGCTGTGTTATCTCCTGGGACATTGATCTCATTTTCACTCTAATTTCTGCATTCAAGGTGAAAGGTGCTCACTGCCGCAATCACATTGCAGACCATGGAAAGGGAGCAAAGACGAACTCCTGAGCAAGCAGCTTTTCTTTAATTTGCAGATATTCTGAAAATTGACCACATCAGATATGCTTACGTCTAATTAAACTGAAATCTAATCACATAAACACCAATGGCTGAAACAGAGGCTGGGAAATCTACATTTTAGATATGTTTTACCTACAGATGTACTAATTTGCATTTGCCAGGGCACTGTAAAATCTCTGAGTGAATTCTCTTTCTTATGCTCCCTGAATTTGAGCATTTCTGCCCATTTGCAATTCCAGAAATTGTCTAACTTTGTTCATTTGAATATTGTGTCCCCAAAGCAATATCATTTTCTGGGAAATCTTAAATATGTTGACCTCTGTCATTTGGGATTCTATTTCGATTTACCTCTGTTTTATATATTGCAACTGTTTAATCACTTGGTGCTTTATTATGAATTACTTCTTCATATCTTTCTTTTTACTAATTATCTATAGATTAATCTAACTTTCTACTTTATATAGCCATTTCATTTTAATCTCAGTGCCTAATCTACTCAACATAAATATATACAGATATAAAATTATGTTCTATAAGTTCTATTTTACTTATTTCTAAATATTTCAATGCTTTTTTCATAATGCAGCCCCCATAACGGATTCTTTATGTCTTAAATACTCATATATGTATGCATATAAATTTATTTATTTTTAAATCTGTCTAAGCTACTTTAATTTGAAATTTATTGGTGTAAATAATTTGGCTGTTGATTGTGTTGGCAGTCTTATTTACCGAGGATAAGCTCTTCATGAGTTCTGACTTGGGATTATTTATTTATCTTTAGATCGCTATTATCAGTGCTAATTGAGTGAGGTTTGATATGAACTTTGTGGTTGGGCTGTGGAAAGGAGCCCCACTTGGTCCAGAGTCTGAGAGTAAAATGGGTCCCACTCTTGCTCGCTTGCCTGTGGAGCCTCACACCCCTCTGGGTTGGCACTTGCTTCTGCTATTGCAGGTTCCAAGTATAGGCTTGCCTGGCCCAGCCCTGCTAGCTTCATTGACTCCCACCCTTACCCTACACCTCAGAGGCCGAACTAGGGACCTCTGAACCACTGAATGTTCCATTGGCCAACCTATCACCTGGGACACCCACGTACCCCACCTGGTTAACAAAGATCGAGCATAAACCCACTATCACTGCTGCAGTTGGCTGTCACATGCAAGTGCTACCTACGGGCGTGAAAGTCAACCTGCACAGTCCATCACATCTGCTGACAGAAGTGCACAGCGCTTGGGAAAAAGACAAGCTTCTCACTACCTCTGCTCTCTGCTACTGCCATCACCCACATCATCCCAGCTACCCAGAAGGCTGTGAGCTCACTCACCTGCCCAGTACACGACTACTACAACTGGCATTTGAGAATGCCGCCACCCTAAGGCTATTTATAATCAAGGAAACCACACTGAGTATTCTCCACTGAAGCACTCCAGAAGCAAAGCCAAATGACCTCCATCAACATATATCCTAGTCACATCCTGAAAAAAAGTCCTGCCCCAATGAATGTAAATTGAAAAAGAAGAAGTGACTGTTTCTTCAGGTGTGAAGAAATCAGTGTAATAATACTGGAACTATGAAAAAGCAAAATGCCATTACTGGGTATATACCCAAAGGACTATAAATCATGCTTCTATAAAGACACATGCACACGTATGTTTATTGCGGCATTATTCACAATAGCAAAGACTTGGAACCAACCCAAATGTCCAACAATGATAGACTGGATTAAGAAAATGTGGCACATATACACCATGGAATACTATGCAGCCATAAAAAATGATGAGTTCATGTCCTTTGTAGGGACATGGATGAAATTGGAAATCATCATTCTCAGTAAACTATCGCAAGAACAAAAAACCAAACACCGCATATTCTCACTCATAGGTGGGAAGTGAACAATGAGAACACATGGACACAGGAAGGGGAACATCACACTCTGGGGACTGTTGTGGGGTGGGGGGAGTGGGGAGGGATAGCATTGGGAGATATACCTAATGCTAGATGACAAGTTAGTGGGTGCAGCGCACCAGTATGGCACATGTATACGTATGTAACTAACCTGCACAATGTGCACATGTACCCTAAAACTTAAAGTATAATAATAAAAAAAAATTAAAAAAAAAAGAAAAAGCAAAATGTTATGACATCTTCAAAGGGAACACAGTAATTCTCTAGCAATGAATCCTAAAAAAATGAATTTTTCAAATGATATGAGACATTGTCTCTATATGCTATGTTTATTTTTGTTTCAATTCTACTGGGTGAACCAGAGATATTATCAGTTCATACATATTATATTCTAGGTTGAAGCTGCTGAATCAAAGATATAGTATGAGTGTAAACTGCTAAATTTGCTTAAACATAGGGTTTTGCCACAAAATTTTACTTTAGTGTTTTTTTTTTCCTCTTATTCCTACCCAAACTTTTAAAGCAAGGAACTAGACAGGAAGAAAACACACACACACTCACAAACAAACAAACAAACAAAACCTTTGTAATCTCTCTGTGGTAGTTGTAAACGTATGTTTGGCCTTTTGGTGGCATTTATTTTTAAGCTTCACCTTTCTTATCTAGAATCATGGCCTCATCTGATGAATTTCTGTAGGCATGTAATCTTAGGTCCTTCTATTATTGGTACAGGAATAGGCATGTTCACTCACACTTAACAGTATGTTTTTAAATAATTTTTAAATTGAACTTCAATGTATTCCTTATTTTTTTAATTCAGTCATGCATTTAAATGGATACAGGCAATATTTTAGTAAGAATCTCTAGGCAAATTTTAGCACAAGGTCTTACATGTTTCATTTAGTTTGTTTTATTGCTAGAAACAATTTATGACTGATTTATGTGTGAATAGCCTTGTTTTATGCTTTGAAAATGTCCTCTCAAAAAATCAATTGCAGAAACTTAATTGCTAATGTAATAGTATTAAGAAGTTGGCTCTTTAAAAGATGATCCTGTCATGGGAGCTCCACCCTTGTGAATGGGAAGGTTCTTATGAAAGAGGCTTCACTCTGCACTCAGCTTTCTTGTCCTTCTATCTCTGCTTTGTGAGGACACCGTATCCTTCTCCTACAAAGAATGCAGCAACCAAGTATCTTGGAATCAGAGAGCAGCCCTGACCAGATAACCAAACACGCCAGTGCCTTGACTTTGAACTTTGCAGCCTCCAGAACTGTGAGAAAACAAATTTCTGCTTTTTATAAATTATCCGGTTTCAGGTATTCTGTTATAGCAGCACAAACAGGACACCTTTGTAATCTCTCTGTATCTGTAGAGACTGTATGGTCTGCTTTATGTGAATGGCTGCATACAATGCTAATGTTCTCCATTGAGGCTTTCTTATAGAAGAAAAATTAAGGTCTAGCCCTGTTCACATAGGAGTAATAATTAAATAATATTATAAGAGGGTAGATACTGAGCCATAGGCTGGTACTTTCACTAGATTAGCCATTCTCGTGTGGATTTCCATGCAATGGAGGTTTAGCTCCACTGCTTTCTTTTTTGGGGGGAAGACATCAGGACCAAAAGTTGTAAAACTTTTACAAAAGTAGCCTCAGTGGAGAGCACCAGCATAACGAGTAAATTCTTTCTTTTTTTTTTCAGAACAGGGACAAAAGCAGAAATCAGGTTATCTTTATAAACAAGTAACAATATATGTTAAGTAAATTTTTTTTGGATTTTGTATTCCTTTATTTGTAAAATGAGTCAAAAATGACTTTAAAAGTACCTTTTGCCTTTCAATTTCTATGAATCATAGCAAGTTGAGTATATTTTGTGGTAGAAGATTAATTTTGTGCAGTCATACTATGTAGGTGATTTAATATCAAACCTATTTAGTAACAACATATAATTTTCAGACCAATAAGTACAGTGTTATTTATGTAGGCTTAACATGCAAAATGGTTGTGTTTTGAATTATGACCTAGAAAAATTAAGCAACAATCTAATGGTTTTCACTGACATTTAATTCCACAATAACTGATTACAGTATTATTTTTCCATTATATATTTGAGCCTAATATAACTTTATAGTGTTATAAATAATTTAGCTTTCTTTCTTAGTGTTTCTTTTGGTATATCAATATTCTATAGAATTCACGCATTGCACTTATATTTTTTATGTTAACATAATTTATCTCATGTTACATTTTAATCACCTTGTTATATTCTTTAAAATTCAACTAGCATATTAATTTAACTTTATTGGCATAATTTATCTACATTATTTTCTCTTTAATTTGTAGAGGTGGAAGGAAACATTTAATGTATTCATGTTACAAATTGATGTCCAATAAATCTATGCTTATGGAAACAATAAATAAGAAACTTATTTCTAAAAATTATGGCATTATTTTAATTTCATCTTAAAGTGAAATTTTAAAAATAATATCCTTGATGTTTTAATAATTTGACACTGATTTTTACTGAACTCTGGTCTAATTTTAATTATACATGTAAAGTTTATACATTTAATGAAGAACAACTCCATCCTATTTTGAAAAAATCTGTTATAAAATGTCTAGGTAATTCCCATGAAAACATATTTACCTAAATTTTGCAATAAGAATACAATTTATAAGGTTAAAAACTAAAATGACTACTCTTAAATTAATGCAGCAATTATTCGATGTTCCAACAACATCCTGATAACATATGTAACAAATTTTGTTTTATCTTCAACTATTGTTGCTTAAAGTGAATACTTCTTTTAAATATTTTGATATTACAATTAATTTAAATATTTTTTATTTTTAAGTATCTCGTTTGTTATAGTAGTAAACATTGTACTATTCTTTATGTCTATCTAAGAATGCCCTGATTTAGTTTGTTTGTAACACTGAGATATATAATTTAGAATGAAAATGTGTTTACTGTTCAGTTGTTTCCAAAAGATTTATTTAATAATAGAAAATGGTGTAATAGTTATTATGCATTCAATATATATTTACTTTGGGAAAACTGAAAAGGTTGTTTATATATATTATAAAATATATATAAATAATATAAGAAGTAAAGTTATCAGTAATAAAATTAATAAAATAAATGAAAAGAATATATATTGATAACTTAATGTTATAAATGAGAAAAACATGTTTTAGGTGTCAATGTAAAAAATAAAAAGAAAAATTAAATAACTCACGTTCTCTGATGGAAGTGTTGTAAAGCTCATTAAACATGGGCAAATACAAAATCCATAAACACCTGAAAAAAAAGCCAATAAATAATAAATTGACAATTAAAATTAAAAAATTCTCTGAAAACCTTGTAAACATGTCTTATAGTAATAACATATCGAGTGGGAAATACTGTAAAAATGGACAACTGATAAACTATTGACTTTTTTCTTTTTTGAGATGAATTCTTGTTCTGTCACCCAGGCTGGAGTGCAGTGGTGCAATCTCGCTTACTGCAACCTCTGCCTCCCGGGTTCAAGTGATTCTCTCCTGCCTCAGCCTCCTGAGTAGCTGGGATTACAGGCAGGTGCCACCACGCCTGGCTAATTTTTGTATTTTTAGTAGAGACGGGGTTTCTCCATGTTGGTCAGGCTGGTCTCAAACTCCTGACCTCGTGATCCACCTGCCTTGGCCTCCCAAAGTGCTGGGATTACAGGCGTGAGCCACCGCGCTTGGCCAACATTTTTAATAGTAAGTGAAAACATACTTACTAATGATTAATTGGGGGAAAGGAAAACAATATGATAATGAGTTAAAGATATAGCCTTATTGATTAATATATATTGTGGCTGATAAATAGAAATAAAAACAAGAGGAAATAAAAAATATGGATTTATAGAAGACATCAATGATATATATACTTTCAGAAAATTTGACACAATAATACTAAAACTGTTTATTAATATTTGTTTTTAGCTGGAGATTATATGTACAAACTCTAAAGTGTGTTTTTACATATCCTGATCAGATGCAAGAAAAAGTTCAAATTAAACCCTCTTCATACTATGCATGAGAAAAATTCATTTCTGAATTTTAGAACATAGGTTCAGTTTGAAAAAAAAACAAGTAAACAAGAAAAAAAGAATAAATCAGTAATAAACATAAACAAGTCTTTCAAATCCTGGGCTATCTGAACTTTAAAAAGTTGAGCCAAAAAAAAAAAAAAAAAAGAAAGAAAAAAACAGCAACAACATGTTTTATTTAGTACTTGTATTCAGAGATTAAGGGCCTGTATTAACCAAATATTTATGTATATATTCATTGAGGCTCTGATAAACAAAATTTATTCAGATGATTCTTCTTAAAAATCTCAGAAAAATACTGCAAATGCCAGAAATATTGGGAGGTTGAGATTGGCATGACGGAAGCCCATTTTCATAATTTCAGGTGTCAAAGGCAAAACTTATTACGGTTTAAGTAAAACAAACATGATGATGATGCAGTTTGAAATTTAGAATATATTGTATGCTCCATTCTTTAATAGTTCCAGATAATTAGGCAGTAAGTAGAGCATAAGTAAAACCTTCTTAGACCTGGATATTGGACTAGAAAATCTTCTCTCTGGGAGTGAGACCATTGCATATAAAAATGTATTGGATGTGTATAATAATGTTTTATAAGAAGAACATTTTTAATAATGTTAATTATTTTACTACTTATTCTCTAAATAGTAACAATAAATTGTTATAAGTTGAAAGCCAAAAAGCAAATAAAGAAGATTATTGCAAAATGTTTGTTATGCCATCTAAGATTGATTTAAAAAAACAAAATATCAAAGAAATGTCAAGTGATCTAGCAAAATTTTAAAAAAGTACTTAATTCAGAAACGTAAAAACTATAGTTTAGTTGGTAACACATATATAAAATATTTTTAACTGTGTAGTTTTTTTTTAATAGGACAAGTCTTATACTGTATGATGTCTTATAAAGTCTTATTTTTGGAAGTCAAAAATAACTTTTTTTAAATAGGAAAAGGTATTTTATAAATATATATTATATATTATATATATTATATATTATATATTATATATATTATATATCTTATATATTATATATATAATATATCTTATATATTATATATATAATATATATTTTATATATAATATATAAAATATATAAGATATATAATATATATTATATATAAAATATATATAATATATATAATATATATAAATATATAATATATATTTATATATTTTATATATTTTATTTATTATATATTATATATATTATATATAATATATATTTTATATATTTTATATATATAATATATATTTTATATATTATATATAAAATATATTTTATATATTTTATATATATAATATATATTTTATATATTTTATATATTTCATATATATTTTATATATTTTATATATTATATATTATATATATAATATATATATTTTTATATTTTATATATAATATATATTTTTATATATTTTATATGTAATATATATTATATATTATATATTACATAATATAATATATAATATATATTATATAATACATATATATGTAATATATATAATATATTATATTTTACATTATGTAATATATAATATATAATACATTATATAATATATAATATATAATACATTATATGATATATTATATAATACATTATATGATATATTATATAATACATTATATAATATATTATATAATACATTATATAATATATCATATAATACATTATATAATATATCATATAATGTATTATATAATATATTATATAATGTATTATATAATATATTCTATAATATATTATATATTATATATTACATTATAGAATATATTATATATTATATATTACATTATAGAATATATTATATATTATAGAATATATTATATATTATATATTACATTATAGAATATATTATATATTATATATTACATTATAGAATATATATTATATATTACATTATGTTATATATTATATATTACATTATATAATACATATTATATATTATATATTACATTATATAATACATAATATATAATATATTATATATAATATATATTATATAATATATATTATATATTATATATTATATAATACATAATATATATATTAGGTGGTGTCTTGCTCTGTGGCCCAGGCTGGAGTGCAGTGGTGCAATCTGGGCTCACTGCAACCTCCACCTCCAGGGTTCAAGCAATTCTGCCTCAGCCTTTTGAGTAGCTGGTATTATAGGCGCCTGCCACCATGCCGGGTTAATTTTTCTATTTTTAGTAGAGACAGGGTTTCACCATTTTAGTCAGGCTGGTCTCAAAATCCTGACTTCATGATCCACCTGCCTCTGTCTCCCAAAGTGCTGGGATTACAGGCATGAGCCACTGTGCCCGGCATACTTCTTTTTAAAACTTAACTAAATTTTATGGTAACTATTGTGAAGTCTATATCAAAAAACATATATGAACCTATTTGGATTCAAACAAAACAGGAACATGAAAATACCAAGTAAGTTTTGATTCTGGTTAAAAAATAAATGAAATAAATCAAAGTGTCATGAGAGATCCAACCTCTGATACTATATTTACAATGAGTGCATAGCTAAGGAACAAGTTCCATTAGGGTTCAAAAAGTAAGTTAATTACTTTTTAAAAAATATTCTTACATGTAGAAATTTAAGTCTAGATATGGAAGAAAGGGGAGGTTGTAGAGGAAAGGTAAACATTTAGTTTTGCAGACGCTGCCTAGAATCTACACAAGCCTGTTTTTCGAGAGTCTGAAACACTTATTTGTGTTCAACTGATCTATTTTATTAAGGTTAAAAGTGCTAGAAATCTACTGGAAACAAAATAAGAGAAAGAAAAATTAAAAAAAAACAACATTAATAAGGGTATTTAAAACAATATAGCCGTGTATTTGTGAGACCATTAAAAATACTTGCATTACTTCCAAACTAGAGATTGATTAATCCAAAGAAAGCCTCACAGATTTTTGTTCTAGCCATGATAGACTAGCTATATTAAACTTACCTTTCTGCTTTAGACAAATATGAAACTTAAATTGAGTATGTAGTAAAAGGAAAACTCTGGCTGGATGCCATGGCTCATGCCTGTAATCCCAGCACTTTGGGAGGCCGAGGCGGTCTGATCACAAGGTCAGATTATCGAGACCATCCTGGCCAATATGGTGAAACCCTGTCTCTACCAAAATACAAAAAGTTAGCTAGGCGTGCTGTTGAGCCCCTGTAGTCCCTGCTACTCAGGAGGCTGAGGCAGGGGAATTGCTTGAACCTGGGAGGCGGAGATTGCAGTGAGCTGAGATCGTGCCACTGCACTCCAGCCTGGTGACAGAGCGAGACTCCATCTCAAAAAACAAAAAAAAAGGGAAAATTCCTTTTGTTAGCTTTGGGGAGTAAGAAATGCCAGGTTGTATCCTTGAAATAATAGAGGCAATTTGGGTCAGTCAAATATTTGTCTCAGCTTCTCCAAGGAATATTTCTTGGCTTGAAAGCAGGGAGATATGAGCAAATATAAATAATCTTCCCATGCAAAGAAGGAAAAAATCAAATTTCAGACAGCTGAGGTGGCTTCAGATTGGGATTCAGGTACCAGATGGGGGAAGCCAAGGAGAAAGAAATCCAGAAAACTAAGAAAATTTTCCTTTTATTTTCAGAATTTTTTTCTTTCTCCCTCTCTCTTTTTTTTTTTTTTTGTCTTTTGAACTACTTGTGCACATAGCGACACTTGAAGAGACTGGTAGAGAGCAGCTGCTGGTTGGAATGCACCTGAGTAGATTTTAGCAATTGCACAGAGAGTGGAATATAGCAGGGCTTTGGTCTTAGCCAGAGCAGAGATTCCTCAAGCACCCCAGACACTCATTTGAGGGTGCATTAGAGTCATACCATAGAAGTAAAAGCTATTTTCTATTAGGGGTTAAAAAAGCAAATAAACCACAAATCAATCACATAAAAAACCCTTTCATATTTCCTTAAAAAAATAACTATAACAAAGCATTGGTAGAATTAATGAGAATTGCCAGTAATTTAACTATCTGCCAGGAAAAAATAAGCCAAAAATTCTTTACAGAAAGGCCTCTAAAATACATTTTCAACAATCTTGATTAATAATTTCTAACATATACAGAAAATCAGAATAAAGTGATTGATAATGAAAATACAAAATTATAAGCATAAAGCAACCCAGAGATGATCCAGACACCACAGTTAGCTAAAAAAAAAAAAAAAAAAAAAAAAAAAAAAAAAAAAAAAAAAAAAAAAAAAATTAAAGGAAAGATGAACAAAATAAATAAGATGGAATATATACTAAAAAAGTACAAAATATATTTAAAAAACAAAAGTTAATAAATTGTTGGTTCATATAAAAACAAACTTGGTAAAGAAAATAAAAATAGTAAATTGAAATAGTAAAAGATATGTTAAAAGAAACTGGTGAGTCGCAAAAATGGGCAAAATACATAAAAAAAGAATGGGAAATACAAAAATAAAAACTGAAAAATATGAAACAGTAAAAAAGAAAGAAAAGAAGTAAATCTAATCTACTTGTAATTGGGTTTCCAGAGGAGAAGCAAAGAAAATGAGACAGAGCATTATTTTGAGAAATAATAGTCAAGAGAGTTCTATATTTGATTTTTTAAAATCAACGGATTCAAGAATTCAGCATATTTCAAAACAAATAAAATCGTTGTATTAGTTTGTTATCACAGTGTTACAAAGATCTTCCAAAGACTAGGTAATTTATAAAGGAGAGAGGTTTAATTGACTCACAATTCCACAAGGCTGGGGAGGCCTCAGGAAACTTACAATAATGGGGAAAGGGGAAGCAGGTATGTCTTAACAGGTGCAGGAGAGAAAGAGAGCCTGTGAGAGCACAGGAAAAGCTACCATTTCTAAAACCATCAGTTCTGAGAATTCACTCACTATTAAGAGAACAGCATAAGTGAAACTGCACCCATAATCCAATCACTTCCCTCCCTCTAAACGTGGGGATTACAATTCCAGGTAAGATTTGGGTGATGAGACACAGAGCCAAACCATATCAATCACAATTACAAACAAAATGAATATTATAATACTAACAAACATCAAAGACAATGAGAAAATCTCTAAAAGCAGCTGGAGAAAACAGCAAGAATCATTAACTTTTAACGGAAACTATGAAAGACACTAAAAAAATAGAATTATATCTTCACAAATTATTTTGAATTATCTCCAAAAATTAAAGTAAGAATACTTTCTAACAAAGCTGAGAAAATTATTAAACAGCATTCTTCCTTTATAAGAAATATTAAACATGTTTGTCAAGTTAAAAAAGAATGATTTAATATAAGAATGGAGAGGCAAAAAGAAATACACCACTCTGGAAAGGACAAAATAATTGAGTAAATATCAAAATACATAAGCTGTTTACATTTTAAACAACAGCAAGGCTGGGTGCAATGGCTCACACCTTTAATCCCAGCACTTTGGGATGCCAAGGTGGGTGCATTACTTAATGTCAGGAGTTCAAGACCAGCATGGCCAACATGGTGAAACCCCATCTCTATTAAAAATACAAAAATTAATTGGGTGAGGTGGTTCACGCCTGTAATCCCAGCTACTCGGGAGGCAAGGCAGAAAATTAGTTTGAACCCAGGAGGCAGAGGTTGCAGTGGGCCCAGATCATGCCACTGCTCTCCATCCTGAGTGACAAAGCTAGATCTAAGACTCCATCTCAAAAAAACAAATAAGCAAAACAATAGCAATATCTTGTGGAGTTGATAATATGTTTAGAAGTAAAATGACAAAAATAGCGACATTGAGAAATAAAAGGAAATTGTTGTATTTTTTAATATAATAAGAGAATACATTTAAGATACATAAATTAGATACAGATGCATTTGGTAATTTACAAGGTATTTGCTAAATATAGTGATACTAAAAATTATGACAAGTATTAGTAAAGGAGAAAATTGAATAACCAAAACCTGATTAATGCAGAAAGTGAAATAAAAAATGGTAGGAAAGGAGAAATACAACAAAACAACACCTAAAAACAAGAGCATCAACGACAGAGGAAGAAAACAGAACATGGAGAAAACAAGTAATAAAATAGCAGACCTAAACAAAAATATACAAATAATTGAATTAAATGTAAATAGATTCAGTACTACTTCAAGCAAAACATAGTAGATTATGAGATTGAATTATAAATAAATGCAACTACATACTGCTTGAAGAATGCATGTTAAATAAGGCAATGCTCTAGGTTCAAAGCAAACATATACAAACCAAGTGACATGGCTTTATTACAAAAAAGACAAAGTGGTCCTTCAGAAAAATAAATGTGATAAACTTTAAAGATAACTATTTCGTAATTTTAAAATGGTCATTTCAACAAGAAGATATAATCAAATTTTGTATGTACCTAATATACCTTTATTTTAGGTAAAGAAATAAATGATATAAATTTATGGCTTTAAGTGCCTATGTTAGAAAAAAGTGAAGCTTGAATATCAATAATGTCAGCTTAAAAGCCAGAAATAAGATGAGAAGTTTAAATTTGAAGAAAAACAGAAAGCAGGAAAAAATTTTAAAATGAGAAAGCATTGAGCTAGAAAACAGATATACTGTACAGAATATCAGTAAAGTAAAATTTTGCAGCTGTAAAATGATATGACAAAACCTCTCAAAACTGATCTAGAAACGGGAAAACAAATTATCAATATCCTGAACAAAATAGGAGATATCCATATAGATTTTACAGTTAATGAAAGAACATTGAAGGATATTATAAATAATCTTTTGCCAATAAATTTGAAAATTCAGATGAAATTTACAAATTAGTGGAAAGTTAAAATTTACCAAAATAGGTACAAGAAAAAATAATCTAAAAATTACTTTATATGTAACAGAAATTGACATTTTTATTAAACACTTTACTCAAAGAAAATTCCAGGATTGTGTAAGTACAACGACAGAACTCTATTTCACAAGTCAGAAAAATGCCTTTATTTCATGTTAGTCTTGAATAAATTTAGTGAGCACAGAATATTTAATTGGCTATTATGTTACGTCAACAAATGGAAGATGTTTAACTCTTCCTCGGCTTCCGTTGTTGCTGTTGAAAAATCAGCTTTCAGTGACTTGTTCCTGTGAAGTTAATCTGTTTGCTTTTTTTCTCTCTATTAATGTTAAGATTGTTCTCTTGTACTTGCTTTGACAGCACATACAATAAAATTTGCAATGTACAGGGAAGATTAACTGACCCGCTGCACGAAGATGACACACAAATTTATGAAGATGGTTCTTTTTATTTTCCTTAAATTTTAGGTAATTTCCCAATGATGCATATTTTCTATTTTTTTCAAAGTCTTTGTTAATTTTCATAGTTTCCAGGTTTCTGCCAAAATTTTACAGTTTGGCTTCTACCTCACTCTAAATAAAAGCATGATTGTTTTGTAGTATGTGTCTGATAAATGTAAAAATTCTCCTGTTGAATTCTTCTATTGTTTATCCTGTCTTTTGTTTCTTATTTATGTTGACATGTAGTCTAATGGTCCTCATTATTTTGGTTGGATGCTGGACATTATGGTTTAAATTTATTTTTAGAAAAACAACGTTTGATGTATAGGTTTTTTTTTTTATCTCTCCTAAGAGAATTATTTTATTGTCATTTACTTTGTGTCACTAACAATAGATCATCATTTTAATCTAAACACATGGCTTGAGATTTTGAAAGGAGATATATTTTACTTCTCATTCACCCTATATTTTAAAGTGTAGACATATGTGGTTTCAGTTGGCCTCTCATTTTACCTCTTACGTAGCATGAAATGCTACTAGAGCCAAAGTGGTTGCATGCCAGGCTGATGTCTCTGCATTTTTGTCTTTCCTTCAATCGCGGTCTGGTACTTGCAGTCTTCAAATGCAACATCTCCAAAACTGAGCCCTTCTTTTCTTCATAACTCTTTGTCCTCTTGTGCTTCACTATTTGGGGAGTGGTGCTAGTCTGTACCTGTCTTATAGAAGCCTGTGACTAGAAATCTTTGTTTACTGCCCAAATTGTCAACGCTCTTAAAAAAAAAAAAAGGAAGAAAAGTATGTGAAATCTGTCTTTGACAGTACAAATTCTCATGTTTGCGTTCTTTAACTTTGCATAATTAGTCTCATTGATTTTCTTATCTTTCAGCTGCTCTAAATGCAAATGCAATTGTGTTCTATCCCAGCTCAAAATCTTGAATAGGTTTTTATTACATACAAGATGAATATACTATGTTGATCAATAAAAAAATAGTTTAGCTTTATACCATCTGAGAAGATTCCTGAATCTTACTGCCAGTTTAAATCCAGACTCTATCTTGTATTCTACTTTCTTCTACTGTATGCTTATCTTCTCTCTCCTTCAGCTTTCTAACGTATAAAATGGTAATTATAGTAACTAACATATATTTATGCTCTACTTTCTGCATGTTACTACATGCTACAAAATTAAATACAGATATTACTTCGTGTCTGACATATTTATTTATTCCCAAAGTAAAATTTTTTTCTGCATGTTTTTTTCACACTGCTATGCCTTAAAAAAGGTCACAATTATTTTTTTAATTTTAAAAATTATATTTATAGCAAAGTCAACTTGTACATTTATGGATTCTAAGGCAAAGTTGAATAAAAGTTTAAGATAAAAACTCACACAGTATTCTAGCTTGACATGGCCTTCTTTCGGGTATTCAGTGATTGCACTGAATGTATGATTTAGCTCTGCTCTGACACTCAGAAGCACAGCTAGACATTCAATTTTCTGTCTCAGCTCTTACAGCATGATTGTCTCTCTCTCTTTTAGAATGCACTAGGCATAATACCAAGCTGTTGAATTTTACATGTTTTTCTATCCTGACCACTTTATACTAGAATGTCCTAATAAATGTCTATTGAAAAAAATGTATGAATGAGTGAATGAATGAAGCTCCAGAAGAGACAAAGCCAAAATGAAAAGCCAAGACATCTTTGCATTCACAAGCTAGAATTATGTCTCACATATTTGAAGAGACTTAAAAAAATTCTCATCCAGTCATGCTTCCATTGTCACCTTTTGGAGTTAAAAAACTGAAGTCTGCCTCATTACATTAATTTCTTTAAAAATTACTAACTGAGGTTCTATTACTATATACACAAGGCACTATGTTAAGTGATTTTCAAATTAAATGTTAAGAAATATTTTCTGCCCTTGAGGGGGGATTGAGAAGCTGCAAATGAGAAGCTATCTTCTAACCTAATAAGACCTGACCTCTTTATATTTTTTTTACATTGTAAGTACAAACTGCCCATCATCTTCAGGCTCATCTCTTTCTTGCAATTATCAGACACAGCTAGGAGCAATTAGCTGACAGTTTAAATATTTTACATGGGCATCCCCATAGTTAAACTCAAATGTTCATTACATATAGTTTCCATTTTTCAACTTTTCTGGTTGTAGTTGTGCGAGTTGCTCTGCTACTGCATACCAGAGGTTACCATTTTATCATCCTCCAATAACATTCCCTTGCCGTTTTACAGTCTTCACTACTGACAGACTTTGCTGCATTTTCTCAGCTTCTGTCCACTAAAAGTTATGAAGTGAATGCCAAATATTTTAGATTTTTGTTATGGCAGCATCCCACACTAGACCAATTTCTGGTGCAGTGGTTGCTGCATAGCAAATCTTCTGAAACTCAGTGCCCAAAGAAAGAAAAACTGTAACTGTTTTGTTCATACGAATATACAGATGAACTGGAAAGTATTCTGTCCGGCATTATGTGAAGAATCCAGCAGTCTCAGTTGGGATTCTTCTAGATCAGCCAGCTTGCCAACACAAAATTTAACAGAGTCCAGACAAAATCAACAGGACCACTTACATGACCCACAGCTAATTGCCAGCTTCTAAGAGAACTGAGCAGAAATTTTCAGAAGCTGTGCATGTGATCTTTTGACTTACATGTAATTGTTAGGAATTGTTTTAAGTTACTGATATTTAGGAGACTTTGTTTTACATCAATGGCTAACTAATTCATTATTGAAATTGAAATATTTTGAAAGAATTTTTCTTCTTTAATAAAAGTTCCTAAAATTAGAGGCTAAAGCATAATAAAACAACAGCATCAGCAACAATAACAAAAACAAAATAGGCCTGTAATAAACATTTAAATGGGGGACCAGGCGCGGTGGCTCACACCTGTAATCCCAGCATTTTGGGAGGCTGAGGCAGGCAGATCATGAGGTCAAGAGATCAAGACCATCCTGACCAACATGGTGAAACCCCAGTCTGTACTAAAAAAAATACAAAAATTAGCTGGGAGTGGTGGTGCATGCCTGTAGTCCCAGCTAGTCTGGAGGCTGAGGCAGAAGAATCATTTGAACCTGGGAGACAGAGGTGGCAGTGAGCCGAGATCGCGCCACTGCACTCCAGCCAGGCAACCGATAGAGACTCCATCTCAAAAAAAAAATTAATTGGTGAATACATTGGCCAACATAGCAGTCTTGAGAGGGGCTTAGAGAAGAAAATAAAAGTATGGTTTAATAGTCATACCTTATAAAATAAATATTTGCCCAGATGCTTAAATGTTAAAAGACATTTTGATAAAACACAAACCCAAATTAAGATAAAATTTTTTTATAAAGTAGCAATAGATATATAATTTTTAACATAATGATATATTTAACATGCTGAAATATTTCTACCAAGAGTTTTTCTAGGCATTTTAAATATTTAAGTGAAAGTAAAGACTTTACAAAGAAATAAAATTTAGAAACTATTTTTTTAATCACATATAAACCATGACTATATTATTTTTAAAATAAATCTATATATAAAAGAAGAAACAATTTAAAAATAGCACATCTCCAAGCCAAAGAACCAACATAAGAGGTTTGCATATTTTGGATCCTGATTTGTCTTCTACATGTAGTATTTGGCCTACTACACAGTAAGTACTTAATTCTTTTTTAGTTGAATAAATAAATCAATTATAAATAATGAAAAAAAAAAGCCATGAAATACTGGGTATTTTTTTTTTTTCTCTTTTCTAGGACATGGCTGAAGATTGATGTTTAATTATACCTAATATTTTCAGGAATATGGCAGCAAGAAACAATCATTTTTAAACTCCATTTTTAAGTATCTTTTTTATTTTTGCCAAATTTCAAAATTTGCTTTTTGGGGAAATGTAGGGAGCTATGAACCAGGACCTTCCTAACTCACATGATAAGGGGAATTCAAACAATAAAATATCTTCCCAAGAGTATGGCAATATGCATAATCATGCTTGATGCATAAAGATTCTTTGTAAGATATTAGGATGATATAAAATAAAACAGAGTAAAAATATGTATATATAAAATACATAAAGAATACTCTACTCATTCAATAATTTTTTTTTTCTTTTTTTGAGACAGAGTCTCGCTCTGTCGCCCAGGCTGGAGTTCAGTGGCGCTATTTCGGCTCACTGCAAGCTCCACCTCCTGGATTCATGCCATTCTCCCACCTCAGCCTCCAGAGTAGCTGGGACTACAGGCGCCCGCCACCATGCTCGGCTAATTTTGTTTTTGTATTTTTAGTAGAGACGGGTTTTCACCGTGTTAGCCAGGATGGTCTCCATCTCCTGATCTCGTGATCTGCCCGCCTTGGCCTCCCAAAGTGCTGGGATTACAGGTGTGAGCCACTGCGCCTGGCCTCAATAAATATTTTTTATGTATGACAGACATTTAGTAGAACTCTTGAAATTTCTCAAGGCAGAGTGTACTTTTATGGAATGCATTTGTCACTAGTTACTTTCTAGGTGAAAGAAAAATTAAGCTTAGTTCAATTTAATAACATTTTTTGATGTTTTTGTAATTATAATTTGAAAGCTACAAATTCTATTTCATTATAATTATCTGTATATTTTAACAATATTTACTTCGTTAGAATTCAATTAAAACTAAAACACGTTTATTAACACATATAGTATATGCTTTTCGATAAAACTTCTAGTGCAATGTTTCCTAGAAAGGATTAGAACTGTCTTTAGATTATTATTTACACATATGCTGAGTAGATATAGGGACTGAAACATGATGAGTGTTATGCACCTAATTTTGAACAAGTCAACTTAAATTCCCTCATAATTTATCCTTTTAAGTTATCCTAAAGCATGTTTTATTCATGGAATCACATAGCAAAGTATTAGTTCACAATAATTAATAGAATATAAGAATCTGGAAAACTTACAAAATATAGTGTGCTTGCAAATTCTGTTTCTGAATGAAAAATGTTAATAAGGTTATCAGGAAAATAAATCATGGAAGCGAAAACACTGCATTTGTTATTTGATAAAAACTCAAGTTATTATCATACTTACAAATACAACCTCAGGACTGTCTCTTAACTGGTTGATGACAGTCACTCCCAAACAGAATATCTCTATCCTTATAATGTTTTCACCAACTAGGCAAGTTGGGCTTACACAATGTGGTTCACCTTGAAAATAAACAGTGTACAGCTGGCCACAGTTATCTATTACAGCAAAATTATCCCTTTCACTAGCATTTATTAAGAAGCTAGTTACATAAGTCATTTTGTTCTTGGTATCATAAAGCTACTTAAAAACAACAGAAGATGTCAAAAGTTCCCACCATCCTCTGTACAACCATCAAAGGTAATTAATATTTTAGCTAGACTGAACTAAGCCATAAAGCAATAGGTAAAAGCATTTTTGTGTTTTGTTCCTTATGAAATAATATATGTGTATCAGAGAAGACACAGAAAGTGCACAAAAGTACAAAGAATAAATTCACCATAATACTCTCACCCAGCAACAGCCATAGTTTATATATCTCCAGGATTTGTTTCTGTTTGTTTTAGTATTTGAGGTAATAGTATATATCACATCATAAATATATCCCATGTAATTAATATTATAATGAATTTCAATGTAAGAAAGATTTCTAAAAGTGAATGTTTATTGCAAAATTCATAAAGCTGTATAGCATGGAGGTTAAATTCACACTAAGGAATCAGCTGGAGGGTGTCATTCCTTACTCTGTCTCCACCAGCTAAGTGTGTGAGCTTGGACAAACAGCTCAACTTTTCTTTATCTTTACTATAAAATGGGAATAAAATAGTTCCTATTTCACAGGCTCGTTACAAGGAGGAAACTCGCTAACTCATGCAAAGTTTTTGAAGTATATATTGTTAAATCAAAATATTTTGGTTATTCTTTTCAGGCTGTTACTATGTATTTTCAAACAGCTTTCCCTAAACAGTAAGCATTCCATTCAGAAGTGAACTTACCAGTATCAATTGGGTACACACACACACACACACACACACACACACAAACACACACACATACAAACACACGCACAGAGAGCGAGAGTATTGGGTGTATACATAAGTGTGGGAATAATAAATTAAAATAATAAAATTTAAAAATATCTTAATCATAGCTTTCTTTATGTCATGAAAATAGACGTGAGACAGAAAAAAGCTAGAAAAGACAATAAAACACGAGCTCAACAGAACACTACTTATTACCAAGCACTATGGAATCTTCACTCTTTATATATCTCTGGATAAACCATAATTAGATCTACATAATTTTAAATGAAGGACTCTGCATTCTTCCCCTGACATGTCTACCCATTCAGTGTCATCAGCCCAAATTCACACTATCCAAGTTGCTAGACGATCCAGACATTTCAGTTTGTAACTATTCTGAAATTGCCTGAACTTTTTATGCTATTAGGCATGAGTCTCGCTCTCCATTATGCTCTGTGGACTTTATTTATAGAGAAAAGCCTGGCTTCCATTCTTGCTGTCAGAGGCATGTTGGGCTTTAGTGCTTAATAGACAGAACAGTGTGTTGACATGCATATGTTCATGCAGGACTTGGCACAGAAAGGCTATCTGATCCACCGTCTCTTATCCTTCAACTCATTGTCGGGTTCACTCTTTAATTACCCATCACAGAGGTTTTTCCTTTCTTGGCTGGAGATTCAATTTCTCATGCCACTCTCAGAAAGATTTCCTACAATGCCAAATTCATCTACATGAGTCCAAATTAAGTTTGAAAATGCCTTAATTAAGGAACGATTGAGGCCCATTGAGTACCAATGGCCCTACTTGAGGGTGTATATTATTACTGAAAAAGACTTCACTTAAACATGTTGTTAACTCATACATACCGTGTGGCTTATGGATTCATAATTTTTCAGTTCGTGAAATGACTCCAATTCAACCTAGCTTTTCTGAGCTGAGATTAATTTCGCTTACTGATAATTTAAATTTTACGAACATTATGACCACACCTTTTACATGCAAAAATAGACTTCCTACCATGGATTCTAATTGAATTCTGATAGAGCATATTTGGTAAAGTTTATAGATTTATGAAGCAGAGGGTAATGTTTCGCTCTTGTCACCCAGGCTGGAGTACAATGGTGCACTCTCGGCTCACTGCAATCTGCACCTCCGGTGTTCAAGTGATTCTCCTGCCTTAGCCTCCCGAATAGGTGGGATTATGGGTATGTGCTACCACGCCCAGCTAATTTTGTATTTTTAGGAGAGAAGGGGTTTCTCCATGTTGGCCAGGCTGGTCTCGAACTCCCAACCTCAGGTGATCCGCCTGCCTTGGTCTCCCAAAGTGCTGGGATTACAGGCATGAGCCACCATGCCCAGCCTATGACCTATTTTTGAATGGTTTTCTGTTGGCATGAAGGCTTCTCCAGTAAAAATAAAAATAAAACAACCAACCAACAACAACTACAACAAACAACAACAAAAGGCAGCAAAAACATGCAGCAATATCTGCTGTTATCCATATACCCAATTCTGGTTTTGATATTTTAAAAAATCTAAATAAGCAGGCCTCATGAGAATGAGAAATATGCCCAAATGTGCTAGTAGGTCACGAAGTATAATTATGAGTAGTGCCATCCTCTTCCTTCCGGTCTCCTTGCATTCTGGTGATGCAAGTAATTGAACAATATATTGACTTAAGAGTATAAGAAACTTCCTGCAGGGCAGTACTTGTGTTATGTTAGGAGCTAGTCAGACAGGAGCCGGGCAGGAGGGGGCCCCTCTCGCCCCGACCTCCAGGAATGTCAGGTGACCAGCAGGTGATGGTTCAGCAGTTGTTGTTTTGCCTCTTTAAAATGATAGTTGGTCGCAGCTGGCACCAGGGAGAGACCGTTTCTTGATGGTCTGGCAGTTGTCACACTAAAATGATCATTGGTGGCAGCCAGTGCCACGAAGAGGCAGTTTCCCAAAAGATAAAAACACTTGAAATTGGTAATCAGCAGCTTCCAATAAGATCTCAGGGCAAGTGAGCCTGAGCATGCGCATTAAGAGACAAAATGGCAGAGCATGAACTTCCAGGGGCATTCCACCAGATAAAGGAAGAAAGCCTCCAGTGAGCATGGGTATAACTTCTTAAACACACTGTGCATGCTCACCTCCCGAGCGCAAGGAGGGCACCACACATGCCAGCGGCTCGCCCTAAGGGCAGAATTAAGGGAAAAGGGCTTGAGATGCCGGAAGTAGGCCAGCATATAAAGTCCTAGGTTCAAGGATAAATGGGGCACTTGACCTCCAAGTTGCACATTTCGGTCGCTTCTAAGTAGGTACTTTCTTTTCTTTCATTCCTGCCCTAAAGCTTTTTAATAAACGTCCATGCCTGCTCAGAAACTTGCTTTGGACTCTTTTTCTGCCTTATGCCTCTCAGTCAATTTCTGTCTTCTGAGGAGGCAAGAATTGAGGTTGCTGCAGACCCGTACAGATTTGTTGCCAATAACTCAGACAGTCACCACTCTTAATACTTTTCACCTTGAAAGATATTATTTCCTTTAGATGCCACTACATCCAAGTTTTCAGAAGACCACTTATCATTCTGTACATCCAGCTGCTTTTGGTTTGTGACATAAAATAGTAAGGTCATTTAACCCATGAGAATCAGCATATTGCTTTACATTTTTAATTATGAATTCTACTCTTTGTTTATGTGTGGAATGCCTCAGATGGTGGGACTGCAAGTAGCAACACATGAAACTAAGAAAATTAAATCTACAATATATGTATTAACCAGTGATACAGATCATTTTTTCACCCCCTCATTCCCTACTTCTATAATGTAATTTACCCAATGTCATCTACCCGCTGCTTTCAAGAAGGTGACTAACCCCTGTTATCTTACAGTGCATTCCATAATAGGCACCTAGAGTAGGAAATTCACAGGCCAAATTTTATAGAGGAAAGTACAAAACATTGAGCCCATGTACAGTCCTTCAGCAAACCTGTCCACACAGTTCATCAGCCCTTTGAGTAACCCCTTAGATTGTGAAAGAAAGAAGCTGACTGATATACATAAGACAAATTATAAAGAACCTCTTCTGCAGTAAGTACTTTGGAAAGCATTTACATGAATGTCAGGCAGTCACTTAGGCAGTGATAGTCGACCCCTGCTGGGACACATGAGAATGGGCCTTGAACCTGGAACATTCTTACATAGTAAAAAAGAGCTCTCATATCTTGTGTTGAGTATATGTGTGGGAATATCTCTTCCTGTTTCAGACTAAATGTGTATCTTTTGTTCTGCTTAAGCATGTGTGCCATATGGCTCCTGGCCAACCCCACTACTACAACCATTCTGGACCAGAGGGGATAGTGTCCTTCAACTGCAGAATGAGGCAGTGCATGGAGACTATCATTCTATGTGAGCTGTGGAATGAGACCCACTGGCCATGGGAAACCAACAGATACCATTGTAGCTAATCTTGATCTGATCATCTTTAAGTAAAATGTTGTTCCAACCAATCCCTTTCCATCGAATGCCTGTGTGAGTGGTGTCTTCCTTGGTTACTTTGAACCATAGAGTAGACTGACATCCTTGGGACTGTGGCTCCTGGAGGAGCAGGACTCCTCCCCTGAAAGTGATATGAGGTATCACTAGTTTACACTGGCATACATTTTTAAGACTGTGGATCAATTTCAAGAGGGCCACCCACATATCTTTTTTCAAAATCTACCATATTTAGTTCCAGACTATTTTCTAAATTATTACCAAGATATTACTATTTTATAGCATATATTCAGACTGTCTTAAAAAAAAGGGGGGTGAGAGAGAGAGGCAGTGAAATGAACTGCTCAATGTTCTGCTGACTGAGAGGATATTTTTTTCTTTACTCTTTTTGGGGCCAGCCCTTTATGGATTGAGGCACCTTGGAAGTCCACTTTCAGCTCTTTCCACACCATTGAGCAAAGCTGTCTGTAACACAAAAGATCCTTATTAACCTTCCTCAAAGGAAATTTTATGATTTACTAGAATAGGAAAAACTCCATCTCTTCTACACCACCTATACATTTTTATTTCCCTGAATACATTTTTCTCATACACACCATGATGCAAATTTGCCTGTGGTTACATGCTTATTTTATGGTTTCCTAGGTTCCCATTAGTTTTACGTTCCTTAAAGCAGGTATGGGCTTGGTTTATCTAACCATTGGCTTGCTTGCACAAAATGCTCAGTAAGAGTTCAACATACATTTTATACATTTATGAAAAAAAGATGAATACAATAAATCCTATCAGCAGCAAATGAACCACATGCATGAGGGAAATCATTCTGTTTTTTTTCTCTTAGCATTTATTTCACCTATAGAATATTCTAACTTGAGAATTGAAAAGGTCCACATAAGTTGTTTTCAGATAATTTTCATCATGTTTTCTGATAACATCCCCAGCCCTTCCATTCCCCATATCATTGCACAACTTCAGCCATGGAATCTTAATTTTACACAATGACTTTTTACAAGAGATGGTCTTTGATGATACTTTTAATTTTTGTAATATATCTTTCTAAATTTAAGCATACTTTTGGACTTACATAAAAGTTGCAGAATGTCCATGAATCCTACTCCCAGAGTCCTCAACTTTAAAGTCTTACTTTACTATTATACATGTGTTTATTATTAATATTTTAAAACCAAATACATAGGCCTAGGATAAACAAAGCTAGGAACAGGCTGAGTCACTACTTTCCCTCCTTACCTTTGTTGTCTCTCCATATATTTCAGTGTTAATCCTCATAGACTGATAAATGAAGTACAGAGAAAGGGAATTATCTGAGCAGCATTAGTGGATACTCCACATTTTCCAATTTAATAATTTGCTTTAAACTTAATATATAACAAAGGGTTTAATACACTGCTTTTAGTTACCAGAAACTCACAAAGCTGAAATATTAAAATACTGGAGATTCAATTAAGAAGTGCTATTTGGTATCTCAATATTTATCACTCTACAAAAATGGTTCAGTCTGAGAGTATAAATGGAAAAAGAATCGTATCAGCAGGACAGTGATCATAAACAGCCTCCAACAACTAAGAGCATGTCATATTTACTCAGTGCAATTTTTTACATTATTTTTATAAGAACAATTCTTCAAGGACAGTTGCTTGTAACGTATATGGCATGAATCATATACTCTCAAAAGTGGATGTTTATGGACTTTTTTGAAAAATAAATACACTCACATACATATTCATTTAAATACACAAGTTTTCACAACAATGACTTACTTTCTAAGGTCAAGCTTGCTAAAAGCACAAGCTTAAGGGGCTATATTGCATTATTGGACTACATATGTGACTTTACAAGCACATGATTTTAAGATTACCTCTTTAGTTTCACATTAGAGCTACTGTGGGATATTTTTAAATTAACCACACTGGCTCCTAATTGCATTTCTCAAAATTCAGTAAAACATCACATACTATAGAGGACGTGGGGAGCTTTGTGTCTACTAACTAGTCAATCTGATCAAACTTGTGTGGAGGTGAAGTTAACTAGCTTAGCTCCTTTGGTTGTTGATGGGAAACCGAAAGGCAAAAACACTGAGACATTTTAAGAAGGCAACACAAAAATTCTGGTGTAAAATAGAATAGAAAGTAAACATCTCACTTCTAATTTCTCTGAACGCTTTCTTCACTTTTCATTCTAATGTTACACATTAAAAAATCATTGGGGCTGGGCATGGTGGCTCACGCCTGTAATCCTAGCACTTTGGGAGGCCGAGGCAGGTGGATCACGAGGTCAGGAGATGGAGACCATCCTGGCTAACATGGTGAAACCCCGTCTCTTCTAAAAATACAAAAAATTAGCCGGGCGTGGTGGTGGGTGCCTGTAATCCCAGCTACTCAGGAGGCTGAGGCAGGAGAATGGCGTGGCGGCAGAGCTTGCAGTGAGCTGAGATCGCGCCACTGCACTCCAGCCTGGGCGACAGAGCCAGACTCCATCTCAAAAAAAAAAAAAAAAAAAAAAAAAAATCAATAAAATCATTGGTTGGCTAATTTGAAATATATACTATAATACTATATCAAAGGGAAGAAATACTTTCTCGAACTTTTTAAAGATAAAGCGTTGTGTTGCTATGCTTAGCTCAAAATTTGAAATTAGTAAGTGATAGGGAACTAATGAATGTTGTTTTATAAAGAAGCTTGATATCACCACCAAACTGCAATTTCTGCTTTAAAGTCATATAAAGCATAATAATTTTTTTAACTATATGGATCCATGAATATTGCCTTTGATGAGTTAAAGTAAAATAGGCAAATATTTTTAATAGAACACAAATAACTGTTATTTCTACAGGAAAAACATGAATAGTGAACTATATTCAGATTAAGAATTGGTTTGCCTTAAAGACACCATTCAAAGAGAGGAGATATTTGTAACATATATATTTGATAAAGCATTCACATACAACATATACACAAAAAAGTTTTACCAATCTAGCAGAAGAGGAAAAAAAATCATATAAAAATTGGTAAAAAATTTGAAATGACACTTTATAGAACAGGGCTTCAAAAGGCTCACTAGAAACATGAAAAGTTACTCAACTCCATTAGCCACCAGGAAAAAATAAATTAAACCTTATATGTGGTACCTATCATAACTCACGATGCAAAACATCTATAATGAAAAATACGACAATAGAACTAAGTGCTTAAGAGAATGTCTAACAAAACGTAACTGTTATATTCTGCTGTTGGAAATGTAGAATGAAGTAATCAGTGTGGAAATTTTTGTCAGTACCTACTGTTCGGTGAACTTATACAAACACTATGAGTCAGAAATTTAACTCTTTAGTTTACATCAAGAAAAATATCTGACCAGGCGCAGTGGCTCACGCTTCTAATCCCAGCACTTTGAGAGGCCGAGGCGGGCGGATAACGAGGTCAGGAGATGGAGACCATCCTGGCTAACGCGGTGAAACCCCTTCTCCACTAAAAATACAAAACAAAACAAAAAAATTCCCCAGGCGTGTTGGCGGGTGCCTGCAGTCCCAGCTACTCCTGAGGCTGAGAAAGGAGAATGGCGTGAACCCAGGAGGCGGAGCTTGCAGTGAGCCGAGATCGCGCTACTGGCCTCCAGCCTGGGCGACAGAGCGAGACTCCGCCTCAAAAAAAAAAAAAAAAAAAAAAAAGAAAAAGAAAAAAGAAAAGTATCCAAAAGAATGTATTCACATATTCAGCAAAAGACGAGTCAAAAATTCATGGAACCATTCTTCATACTCACCATTAAGAAAAAAACTCAATGCCCACAACCAGCAGAATGGTTAAATTAATGACGATAAATTTATTGAAATAATGTTACATAGCAATGAAAATAAATGAATTATTACTAACTAAAACAATTTAACAATGAGTTAATCTTAAAAACTGTAGCTAAAGAAACCAGACACAAAATAGTGACACCACACACACACACACACACACACACACAAACATAACTTCAAAAACAGGCAAAAGATAAATTTACGGTGTTAGAATTTAAAGTGTTTATGACCATGCACGGTGGCTCACACCTATAATCCCAGTGCTTTGGGAGCCCTAAGTGGGAGATGCTCACTTGAAACCAGGAGTTCAAGACCAACCTGGGTAATATAGGGATACTGCAACTCTCAAATTAAAAAAAAATAAGTAAAAATTAGCTGGGCATGGTGGCACACATCTGTAGCCCTAGCTACTCAGGAGGCTGAGGTGGGAGGATCCCTTGAGCCCAGGGGTGAGCTTTGCTTGCACCACACTACCGTATAGCTTGGGCAATAGAATGGGATCCTGTCTCTATTTTATTTTTTTAATAGTGTTTACTTTTGGAATAGGCTGATGATTAAAATGGTGCACAAGAGGGCTTTCTGGAAAGCTGGTAATATTTATTTCTTAATATGGAAGACTTCAATATATAATTTGATTGCATATAAAATGTAATCAAAGTTCATATCTGCTTAAATGCACGAATACACATCAGAAAGTTAATATCTTTTGACAAGTGGAAGTAAATGTACAAGGTCAAAATGTAGAAAATACAAGTAAGAGTGGAATGAGGTACCCTAAACAAATTCATATTGGAAATAAAAATAACGTCCTTCTTCAAATTTCAGGAAAGGCTTGTATGAAAATAGAGGACAGAACTATGATTATTGAGGTAAATTACAGAAGCCAGATTTATTTCAAAATAAGCAATTCTAGCTACCAGAGCTGTCCAGAAATTGAATAAAATATCACTTTGATATGTGAGCCACCAAAATCATCAAACTTATTAAAAATAGTTAATTTTCATTTTTCTGAGTTTTTAGCCAGTCATTTATTTTCTTTTGTTTTATTTTATTTCCCTGCAACAATTTCTTACTGAGAATTCATTGGTGCTACATATTTTTCTAAGAGTATCTTGTGTACTAGATTTTTTTTTATTGGCACAAATGTAGACTAAATAATATTTTTTATTATTTGTTTTAACTCAAGAATAGATGGTTGTGTTAAGAAAAAATATTCAATTATACTTGAGTATTTATATATTAAATATAATTATATGTTCCATTATACTAGTAAAGGAAGGCAGATTTTCTTTAGGACGACCAAATACCACTCCAAAGGGGTCCTGCAGAGGATAGAGATTGGGCTTAACTCTGAATACAACTTGGGCAGGTGGGAATTGATAGCTAAGGAGCGGATTGGGATTCAGTAGACGGAAAATTGCTAAGAGGAAATATCAAGGGCAAGGGGTTTCTGGCTAAACTGACTTACAGAATTCTTGTTGGAAACCAGCCAGGTGATTAGACATCGCCTGGAGGACAGCGGAGGATGATGAACCTGATCAGATATTCACATGATCAGATATTAAAGGTGGGGAGTTCTTGTTAAATTGACTTAGGGAGGTTCTTTGTTAAAACTAGATTTTATAAGGAAGTTCACAGATGGGTCTAGAAGACATCTCAGAAGTCTAAAATTTGGCCAATAAATGAATTTTTGTGAATAGTCAAACTAAAATGTAACATATTACAGTGTTAAATGTATGTGCTGTGATTTCAGACTCTCAGAATTTGAAATCTCTCTCTTCATAGTGTACTGGCCTAGTGACCTGGCAAATTCAATCCAACATTCTATCCCTCAGTTTCCTCAACTGTCAAATATGGCTAAAATGGTAACTACTGCATAATGTTTTTCTAAAAATTAAACATTTTATAAATAAAACCATTGAAGTCTTCCTGGTTACTTCAAAAGCATCAGATATGTTAACACTGTAAATAGTATTAATGTTATTTATTTTGTTTAGGCAAGTGATTAAATACATAGACAGGGTCACATATTTAAAACTTTCAGGAATAATTATTTTCATATTCATAATGCTACACAGGTAAATGTACATTTGTTCTGGTTCAGATGAAAGTGTGTGTAAAAATTTAAAGTAAGTTTATAAAAATACATTGTTATTTTATAAGAATCTTAGTGACAACCATTTTCATTTTAATTATGTTGTCCTTATGTAAAAATTAGACCACACTTTTCGGACTGATTCATGCATCTTGGATGTCCCACCTCCCTCACTGCGTTGTACTATTATGTGCTTCAAAGTTGTGTGATACCAAGTCAACAACTTTTGTCCTTTGGCATCCGAAGTTATTCAGCTATGTTTCTTATTTCATGGGTCAGTTACTTTCTTTGTTCTCATCCATGAAGGATAAACCCAACATTTCTTAATGGATTGGAGGCAGGTAGTGGGATTCTTAACTCTATTGTGGATCTTGGCTTGTCACAGATGAATTGCTTCTCTTTGATACAACCTGAGCAATCTATCTAGTATGTGGAAAAATGTCATCTCTGTGGAAGAAGAAATACAATTCAGACCAAAGAGAAGCTTCTCTTATTTAAAATGAATGGTGGCTATTGGTGGATGACAAATCCACAGTCAGTTTAAAGCTGCTAGTTGATTGTCTGTTGAAGGATAGACATGGCTGAAAAAATTTATAAAGATGGTGTAGATGCGCCATTTGTAATTTCTCTTACAATAAGTTAAACTACTAAATGTTAATAATATAATAGAAGCATAAAACCGTATTTTTGTTTTCTTTTATAAATGAAGTAAGAGCAAAATGGAAATTTATATTTTTCTAAGTGTGCCAAAAATAATGGTTTGGTATATATAGACTTATAAATGTGTTTGGAAACAGCTGGGCTGAGGGTAATTAAGGTAAGGAGGTTTCTCTCTCTTTTGTTCTTTCTCTTGTTCTCTCTCTCTAGGAAAAAGTCCTACTTTATTTCTCTAATATCATGATATGATCAAATTACAGAATTCCTTTCAATGTTGGTAAATTCATTAATCATGTATCAGTAATATTCATTGAGATTTATGTAATAATAATTATTTAGTAATTAAGAATTTAATAAAATAAATGATAGGTTTGTGGTTGAAAATTACTTTAAGAATAGTTTGTTATTTCCAGCATGTTAGAAATATGATGTAAATAGAAATTTATATTTTTAATAAACTGATTTGCTTCAAGATAAACTAGGTATTACTCATGATAATTATATATCTCAATGTATTTTTAAGGACTCACATGTGACTGCAAGAAATAAACATGTGTATACACTGTTCTTAGACTTAAGAGTTGCCTGAAATATTAAAATGTGTGAAATAATGTCCTGTTAAAGCACAGCTCTGTATCAGTGAAATTTTATACAAAACAAATACTAAGTAAATTTTTTTTTTTTTTTTAATGAGACGGAGTCTCGCTCTGTCGCCCAGGCTGCAGTGCAGTGGCGCGATCTCGGCTCACTGCAAGCTCCTCCTCCCGGGTTCACGCCATTCTCCTGCCTCAGCCTCCCAAGTAACTGGGTCTACAGGCACCCGCCACCACGCCTGGCTAATTTTTTTTGTATTTTTAGTAGAGACGGGGTTTCACCGTATTAGCCAGGATGGTCTTGATTTCCTGACCTCGTGATCTGCCCGCCTTGGCCTCCCAGAGTGCTGGGATTACAGGGGTGAGCCACCGTGCCCGGCAAATACTAAGTACGTTTTTATGAACAAAGATATTTTGTATGTTTCTAAAAATATAAATAGCTTGTGATTATGTTTTTCAGGACAATGAGATAAATTATACTATTTAAAAACATATTCAAAAATTGAAAAAAAAATCTGCAAAAGTAAAAGAAATACATAAATATCTACAACAATTGTATTAGTATAAATATTTTATAGAATTAACATTAAATTATGCATTTCAAGGTTTCCTTTTAAATTTTATGCTATGCATAAAAGTGAAATATAGTGAATGGAGAGCATTACAAAAAATTAGTATTTAAGGTAAACATTTATTTTATTATAATATTCTCTACTGTGTCAGATATTATTTTAATTTAAGAGAAAAAAGGGATTTCATAATGCCTGTAGGTTCATAACAGTGGTCAGGGTATGAAATGTGACGTTGTATTGAAATATACAATGAATTATTTAAAGCAGATGTTTTAAAATTACTATTTGTCTTTTGAAATGGTTAAATACATACAACCATTGAGCTACATTTACATATTATATAAAAATCATATTTTATGAATTCACATATTTTGCATATATATATATAAAAATAACTTACATGGCAATATTTGTCTGCAATATCGAAAGTTTAGTACACAATATTTGTATGCATTTTATCTTGGAGGAAGACTCTTAAAGAAATCACACAAAGAGCTTAAGTTCTTTTTGTTTGTTTCTCTAGTTAACATCTTTATAAAATTTCATGATACAGTCTTCCCTTGGTATATGCAGATAAATGGTTTCAGAATCACCCATGGATACAGCAATTCATAGATGCTCAAGTCCCTTATATAAAATGGCATAGTATTTGCGTATAACCTACATATATCCTCCTGTATACTTTAAATCATTTCTAGATTGTATGTAATACCTAATATAATGTAAAATGTTTTGTAAATAGTTCTTATACTGAAATTTAGTTCATATTTTTTATTGTCATATTGTTATTTTTTCTTTTCTCTTTCTGAATATGTGTGATCTACAGTTGGTTGAATTCATGGAAGCAGAACCCACCAATACAATGGGCCAGCTGTATGTTAAATATAGTTTAGTATTGTCCCATGTTTAGTTGCAGCACTCACAAGAACAGAAGACCTTCCTAAGGATTTCCAATAAAAAACAACTGGAATAGATGTCATATTCTTAAAATAAATATAATGAAAGTGTGGATTCTGCTACCTAGGACAGAATCACTTTGGAAGCTAATTTTGGGAGTGGGAGAGTGACTCAAGGCTGTCCAGATTCCTCAGTGATTAACAATTATCAAATTTCTATGCAGACAATGACCAATTTTCAAAGAAGGGGAGTAAGGTGAGCATGTATTTAAATCTCACTAACTCAGTCTTCCTCATACAGGCTAAACACAGGGACTGCTATTTAAAAATATAAAAGCATTGTATCACTTTTAACTGCGAATAGCTCTGTTTTAACATGTGGTAATTAATCACACAGATAAGATTGAAAAGAGAATCGTGACCTTGAAATGTTGATTTATGTAAACTCAACGATTTTTTAAAAAACTTTAACCAACAGAAATTATAGTGGTACACAAAGGAACATTTCTCAAATATATTTTACATTTGCCACAAAATAGGAGTCACCCAAGGATATTGAAGTATTTATTATGTTTTATCAAAAGCTTTCATTAATGGAAACACATATAGAGCAATTTATTTATTTAACTTGTGTTTTAGAATGAATTTATGAAAGTGACTTGTCAAAGTTGATCATGTCTCTTTTACCTAAATGTGTCTGTATAAATTTGAAAATGATTGATTTCATTATTTACATGGTTACTACATTCACTGAATTGAAATGGTATCAAGGCAAATTTATCTAAGTATTAAAACTGTTTTAAAACTTTGTTTAAAGGTATAGATTCTGAACTGGTAAAAAATTGGTATGCGGGTTTTCCAGTTTCTAGCCCAGCATGTAATCAGATTGGAAGTCACCATTCTCTTCTAACCACAAGTAAAATGCTGAACAAATTAAAAAATAAATGACTCTTCTTAAGTCCTTCAGAGAAGTGAAGTTATAGGGCAAACCACTGTCCTCTCCCGAGTTGAGAGGCAGACAGGCAGACACAGAATAAATCACACTTTACAAAAGCAGAAAATCCCAAGCAGAAACCTCCATGGAAGCTCAGTACTGCAGTAGAAAAAGCTCAACTCTCATTGATGAACTGTGGGATGTTCTCTGTGGACAAGTCTGCACGTTAGGAAAAAAAAAAAAGTTTTCTCCATTTTTGTAAAGTTTATCTCTTAAGGCTGTACTAGATTTTCACAGTGAAAATGAGAAGAAAAATCTCCTCGTTCTTTCCACAAACGGACAGGGAAAGCAATCATTTAGAAATATGCTGGAACATTCTGGTTTGTTTGTAACCAGATCTGCCCTCAAGAGAAATGTTATTACCAGAGTCTAATTTATTGGGGTTTTTTCAGCCTAACAGATACATGGGAAAAGAAATACTCAACCCTAGATCTTGCTAGCTTGCCACATAAGGGAAGGAAATACATAATATCAGCCCACAGCAGTCTATCCGTCCCATCTAAGGTGGGAGAAAAACACAGAGACACTTGTGAGGTTCACAGTCAAGGTACACTAAAAGACTTAGACCTAATCATATGACTATAGAATGCTTCCTGTCCTCCCATATTATACCACATTATAAAAGGCCTACTTATCACAGTTCCTTATCATGTCCATATTAAGAAAAAATTACAAGGCATAGGAAAAGGAAAAAAAAACACAGTTTGAAGAGACACAGCAAGCATCAGATTTAGACTTGAATATGACAGAGTTATTGAAATTATCAGACTGGAAATTGAAAACAGCTATAATTTATCTGTTAAAGGTGCTAAAGAATGATGTAGACAGTATATAATAACAAATTAGCAAGGTAAGTGAAGAAAATAAAAATAGAAGAAAGAATAAAAAATTTATAGAGATCAAAAACATTGTAACAAAAGGAAGAGTACCTATGATGGACTCATTAATAGACCATACATAGCTGAAGAATCTCTGAGGTTTAGGTTATAAGAATAGAAACAAACCTACACATTCTGCACTTGTATCCTGGAACTTAAAGTAAAAAAAATAAATAAAAATAAATGAATAAAAATAAAGAAAAGAATAGAAACATTCAAAACTGAAAAGCAAAGAGAAAAAAGTGAGCAAATACATATCCAAGAATGGTGGAATAACAACACAATGTATAACATATGTAATAAAATACCAGAAGAAGAAGAAAGAGAAAGGAATAGAAGAAATATGTGAACCAATACTGACTGAGAATTCCCCAATTAATGCAAGACACCAAACCACATATACAGGCATCTCAGGAAACATCAAGCAGAATAAATGTAAAAATAAACAAACAAAAACAAACAACAAGAAAGCCATTTGAAAACATATTACTGTTCAAAGTGCAGAGACTCAAAGGTAAAAAAAATATATATTTAAAGAAGCCAAAGGGGAGAATTAATGTTACCTATAAGGAGCAAAGATGAGAATTAGCTCTGACTTTTCCTTAAAACACATGTGAACAACACAAAATGAAACAAAGCATTTAATGTTAAGAGGAAAAAAAATCAACCCAGAATTCTGTGTCCTATGAAATTATCTTTCAAAAGTGAAGGAGAAATAAAGACTTCCTCAGACCCCCCAAAATGAAAGAATTTGTTGCCAGTAAACATGCCCAGAAAGAAATATTAAAGAAGTTCTTGAGAGAGGAGGAAATTGATATAGGTCAAAACATATATCTACATGAAGAAAGAAAAATAATCTGGAAAAGAAATAGATGGAAATAAACACTTTTATTTTTATTATTCTTAATTAATAAAGCTGTTAACGGTTTGTTCAAAATAATGATAGCAGTACCATTTTTGATTTTGTATGCTTATGCATAAAAATGCCTACATATATCTATAAAATAATATTTATGGATATTTTAGTGTAAGTCAAATGAATAACAGCAATAGTAAAAGAGGAGGGAGGGAGAAATTAGGAATATTTTGCTATTATAGGATACTCACACTACCCACGAAACACTGTAGTGTTATTTAAAAGAAGAGTTAGATTAATTGCACATATTTTACTCTAGAAATAACACAGAAACTGAAAGGGGAACACTACATGTTCTCACTTATAAGTGGAAGCAAAATAATGTGTATATATGGACATAGAGTGTGGAGTGATAGACATTGGAAACTTGAAAGGGTGGGGAGTTCAAAGGTAGGTAGATAATCAGAAATTACTTAATGAATATGATGTACATTATTAAGGTGATGGATACACTAAAATCTCAGACTTCATTACTACGCAATATATGCATGTAACAAAATTGCACTTGTACCTTTTACATTTATCCAAAATAAATAAATACATAAATAAGGTAGAATAAATGATATGCTAAAAAAGGAAAAAGTGAATTTCATTTTAAAATGTTTAATAAACTACCAATGGCAAAAAAGAGTGGAAAACAAAAATATAAGCAAATAACAAAAGCAATGAATAGAAAAATAACAAATATAATAGTATCCTACCATATCCATAATCATGTTAAACACCAATGATCTAAATATATCAACTAAAAAACAATAACTGTAAAAGTAAATCAATAGACAATACCAACAAAACCGAACAATGGCAATTTACAAAGGTCACTAATCTCAATTATCCTCTAGCCATTCTGAGAAAAAAAAATGAGATCACACATATACATATACTGATACTAATATCAGTAATAAAAAAGGGGGCATCATTAAGATCTCATGGACATCAGAAGAGTAATAAAATAATACTTTAAACAACTTTATGCCCATACATTTAATAATTTAGATCAAGTGGACCAATTCTTTGAGAGACAATCTGCCGAAACATACATAACAAGAAATAAAAAACCTGAATAGGACTATATCTGTTGTAGCAGTTGAATTCGTAATTGATAACCACCCAAGAGAGCATGAGGCCATTTCACTGGTGAATTCTAATCAACATTTAAGTAAGAATTAATACCAATTCTCTACCATCTCTTTCAGAAGATAGAAGCAGAGGCAATACTTCCTAACTCATTCTATAAGGCCAACATAATCCTAATACCCAAACCAGAGAAATACAAGAAATGAAAAATATACACCAATATTTCTCATAATCAAGAAGCAAAACCGCTGAAAAATATTAACACATTCAATCCAACAATGTATACATCACAACCAACTGGGATTTATCCCAAGTGTGAAAGGCAGGTTCAACATTCAATTATCAATCCATGTAATACATCAGATCAACAGGCTAAATAAATTAAAGCAAAGCTCACAATCATATCAATAGTTGCAGAAAAAGCATGTGACAAAATCTAATACCTATTCATGATAAATTGTTCACAAACTAAGAATAGAGGAGAACTTTTTCAACTGATAAAGAACATTTACAAAAACAAACAAACAAATAAAAAAGAATACATCACACTTGATGAGAAACTAGAAACTTTCCTGCTAAGATCAGGAACAAAGCAAGGATGTCCCCTCTCACTACTCCTTTCAACACGATGCTGGATGTCCTAGCTAATGCAATAAGAAAAGTAAAAGAAATAAAATGTATATAAATTGGGAAGAAATAAAACTTTTACCAGTTTCAGATAACGTGGTCACCTATGTAGAAAATCTGAAAGAACTCACAAAAAAATCCGAAGTCCTGAAACTAATAAGGGTTATAACAAGTTTTCAGGATACAAGGTTAATATATAATTGTCAATGGCTTTCCTTTATGCCAGCCAAAAACAAATTAAATTTGAAATTAAAAACATACTACCATTTACTTTAGCATCCCTAAAAATTAAATCTAACAAAATTTGTATAAGATTTGTGTGAGAAAAACTACGAAACTATGACAAATGAAATTAAAAGAAACTAAATACAGGGAGATATATTCCGTGTTTATGGAAAGACTCAATATTGTCAAGATGTCAGTTCCCTCCAACATGATCTACAGATTCAATGTAACACCATTTAAAATTCCATCAAGTTAGTTTTTGGATATTGAGAGACTGATTCCAAAGTTTATACAGAGAAGCAAAAGACCCTGATAAGGGACTATTATTCAAAATATATAAAGAATTATTAAAACTAAATAGTAAGAAAACAAAAAACCTGACTTTAAAAAGGAACGAAAGATCACAACAGACACATCACCAAAGATTTACTAATGAAAAATAAGCATATGAAAAAAGTGCTTCACATTATATGTCATCAGGAAAATGTAATTTAAAACAAACCTATGAGAATCTACACTACAAGCCTATGAGAATCTCCAAAATTCAAAACACTGGCAATACTAAATTTTGGTATAGGCCAGCTGATGAGGCTGAGTTTTTGAGGATGCCCTAACTTATATCCCTGGTAACAAACACCAGATGGTCAACAGAGCTAACTTTGCGTAGTACCTCCCACCATCCAGCAGGCTAGCATAAAAGCATCAAGAGAGAACTGATACAATGTGAAATGCTTTTCAAGTCTCTTGCATGTGTCACATTTGCTCATGAATCATTGGTTAAATCTAGTCATCTAACAAAGCCCTGACAGAAAGGGTAAGAAAACAGACCCCACCTATTCAAGAGAGAAGCTGCAAAATCAAGTTGCAAACGATATTCAGACAGGGATGGCAAAAATTGTGTCTTTTTAAAGATCTATCACAATTTCAAATTTGCCTTGCAATTTGGATAGATTTGTGATAGATTGCTTCCTCAGTAATTTAAATAAATTTACGATAGGCTCTCTTTTTAAAAATTCTGGTAATAACTGCCTATATAAAGACTAATATTTATACACACTTTGTTCTGTTGGTAGAGCTCATATTTACTTTTATTCTTTTAATGCATTGTTCTTAACAAGACAATATTAATAGTGATAATAGCAAAAATTAATTACTTTGTTAATAATACATATACATATACACACAAATATCATATTTGAAATGACCAAGCCACTTACTGAGAATATTTTCATTTCAAAAAAAAGATTTATTTTTTATTCATATTTTCATTGTATGAAAAGGTAAAATTAGTGAAAAAAAGAAATATAATTTTACAAACCAAAAAAGACAATCATATGAGAAATACAATCATTTCTTTCTTTTCTTTCACACTTTACTGTCTTATTTAAATATTTATAATTTTAACAAAGTGCTTGTGTTTGACTTTTCCCAGTTGGCAAATTTCATGTCATCAATAAAAATTAATATATTCTATAAATATCTGACTACTTTAATTACATTGGGTAATTCTTAAATTTTGTTTTGATCTCTTAACAATTAGTACAAATATTGTCTTAAGAATTACAAACCAAAATTAAAAAGTGTTGATTTTCTTCAAAAATATACATATTTATGTCAGAATTTCTGCCCTTATTTTAGGAAATTTTTATCAAATACTGTGCTCTTTTCAGCACAATTTGTCTTGTTAAAAATGCATGAGGTAATATATCATACAAATAATTCACAATACACATAAAATATCATAATTGAAATAAATGGAATGGGATGTCAGAATGAAAAATTAACAATATAATTGGTTATTCAGTCCATCATTCATCTAATTAGGGATGCTACTTTGATGAAATACGTATAAATATAAATTTTCACAAAATGTTGCTATGGTTTAGTTTGATTTATTAGAAAGACATTTTCAAATTATTATTTAGAGAAGATGTTGGAATTGTTTTACCAGCTGAACAATAACTATAGTACAATAAACTTACGTCTTAAATATCATTATAGTGAAATAATTATACAGTCCTTGGTTACATGATTTAAGATAGAAGAATTTTATACCTAGAAATCATGGGTAGCTACCAGATTAACCCTCAAGTACTCAGTACTGACCCCGCAAACCCAACTCTGCTATGATACCTAGCCTGGGAAATAATCTATATAAAGTCACAACAGCAGAGAATCTTAGCAGTCAGCGTCTCATAACAATTTATTTTACTTCCAGTATCCCTGATGCTAGGGGTATCAGACATTGTCCAAGCCATGACTCTTCAACATAGAAGCATGAAGAGTAAAAAATTCAGAATTAGGTGACATTTGACTCTTGGTTTTGTCCTGTGGACTATTTTTCCATTGAACACTCCGAGTAGTGTGAAGTCTAAAAACAAGTTTGTTTGTTTTTACTTCAATCAATTAAGAAAAAAATAGACAAAAGCTACTCAAGCAAAGTTATCCTCCATTGCTTGACAATAAATGTGGTAGAACAAAGTTTACATTATTTTTCATACTCATAATAATTAATATAAATGAACTTAAACCATGTTATGAAATTATTGCATGTGCCTTAGCAGGAGGGGAAGGAAGAAACTATCTCTAGTGTCCCTAGGATGGTAACAGATTCAATATTCCAGGGATTAAGTATATGTCTTAGTTGTTATTAGTCTAGCCTAAATGATTTTTTCCCTGATTTAATGTTCTTGCCCAGACCAGTAAGAGGTTACACTGTGTTTGTTTCTATTTACCAATTCAAAGGGTTAAACTATGTGTCCTAGGGGAGGAAGAGTCAGGAACTATGTTGTGGATGGAAAAAAAAGTAAAGGTGGGGGCGGGGGATGAAATATCCAGAAACTATTTGGCAAGATTCAAGCTCAAACGCAGATCTGTTTTTTGTTGTTGTTGTTGTATATAGACAAGTTGTAATTTAGTAATATTGAAATGTACAGCTATATTTAACATGCTGTGATATTGATCTAAAAAATTAAATACAATTCTTCCTAACTGAGGCTTTGTACTCTTTGACTATCATCTCCCTATTCTCCCCACCTCCTAGCCTTTGATAACCACCTCCTAGTCTTTGCTTGTATGAGTTCAACTTTTCTTGACTCCACATATGAGGGAGAACATGTGGTATTTTTCTTGCTGTGTTTGTCACATTTCACTTAGCAAAATCTTCTCCAACTCCATCCATGTTGTTGCAAACGGCAGAATTTCTTCCTTATTTTAAAGTTGATCTATATTCTTTTGGGTATATACCCAGTAATGGGATTTCTGGGTCAAATGGTATTTCTGTCTTTAGGTCTTTGAGATTTAAGAGTATGACATTTTGTATATATACCACATCTTTAAACATTTATCCTTTGATAGATGCCTGAGTCCATAATATGGCTATTGTAAATACTGCTGCAATAAACATGGGATTGAAGACATGTCTTCCACATACTGATTTCAAATTTTGGGGGTAAATTCCCAGACAGAAGTGGGATTGAGGGATCATAGGTAATTCTATTTTTGATTTTTTCAGGGATCGCCACACTATTTTCCATAATGGTTGTACTAATTTACATTTCCAGCAACATTGTACAAGGATTCCCTTTGATCCACTTCCCTGTCAACATTCGTCTTCTTTCCTCTTTCTGATGAAAGTCATTCTAATAGGTATGAGGCACTATCTCACTGTGATTTTAATTTTTCATTTCCCTAATGATTAATGATGTCAATAATTTTTAATATCTGTTAGCCATTAATTAAAGAAATGGAAGAAGACACAAATAAATAGAAAGATGTATCTGTTCATAGACTGGAAAAATAAATATTGTTAAAATTTCCATACTACCCAAAGTGAACTACATATTCAGTATAATCCCTATCATAATTCCAATATCTTTTTTATAAATTAAGAAAAAAATTCTAAAATTCATATGGAACCATAAAGAATGCAAATAGCCAAAGCAATCATGAGCAAAAAGAACAAAGCTGAAGGCATTACACTACCATATTTCAAACTATACTACAAAGTGATAGTAGTTGAAACAACATGCTACTACTGGCCTAAAAACTGACACATAAACTAATGCGACAAAATAGGGAACTCAGAAATAAACCCAAACATCTACAGTCACACATCTTCAGTCAGCTGATCTCCCACAAAGGTGCCAAGAATATACAAATGGGAAAAGAATAGTCTTCTCAAGAACTGGTGTTGGGAAAACTGGATATCCATATTCAAAAGAATAAAATTGGACTCTTATCTCACACAACATAATAAAATTAACTCAAAATTGATTAAAGACTTAAACATAAGACCTGAAACTTGAGAACTATTTGAAGAAAACCTAAAGAAAAAAGTATCATACATTGGTCTGGACAATTTTTGTTTAATACTTGACCCCCAAAGCCCAGGCAACAAAAACAAAGATAGATAAGTGGAATTACATCAAAATAAAAAGCTTCTGCTTATCAAAGCGAACAATTCGTTGAGTGAAAAGACAACTTATGAATTGGGAGAAAATATTTGCAAGCCGTACATCTAATAAGGGGCTAATACCCAACATATATAAGGAGCTCAACTCTACAGAAAGAAAACAAATAATCCAATTAAGAAATGGGCAAGACACCTGAACAGATTCCTTCTATTCTTTCTCTATTCTATTCTTTATCTAAAGAAGACACACAGATCTGGTTTTGTATCCAGGCTCTGGGTCAGTAGCGTAATCTCTGAGAAAATAGTCTACAGTTTCTCTAGGTGGCTAGATCATAGGCACTGATATATTACCAACTCAAATACTTATTTTTCAAAATAAGACAAGGAAGGAGAAAAAACCATTGGGTTTCATATTTGGAGAAAGGATTCAGAAGTTTTTATGATGTACTGGAAATAAAAGACCCTCTTTCATACCTCCTTCATATCCCTCAATATGAGGTGGACTTTTCATGTTTTCCTGTGGCCTTGAGAAAGATGTAAGTTTCAATTCCCAGATGCATTAATTTCCTGTCACAGATGTAACAAATAACCAAAAGTATAATAAAACAAAACTTATTTATTTATTTATTTGTTTACAGGTAGGTTCTCACTCCTTCACCCAGGCTGGAATGCAGTGGCACAATCATAGGTCACTGCAAACTTGAACTACTGGGATCAAGTGATTTTCCTGACACAGCTTCACAAATAGCTGGTCTACAGCTGTGCACCACTACATCCAGCTACAAAAACAACACATATTTATTATAATACAGCTTTGGAGGTCAGAAGTACAAAATTAGTCTCATTGGTCCAAAGTCAAGGTGTGACCAGAGCTAGTTCCTTCCAGAGGCTTCAGGGGAGAGAGAATTCCTTTCCTGCAACTTTTCAGCTTCTAGAGGCTGTCTTTATGTCTTGACTTGTGGTCCTTTCCTATACCTTAAAAGGCAGCATTATTGTAGCATCTTAAACTCTTTCTGTGCTTCTAGCATCATAACATCTTTATTTTTTATTTTATTATCAATTTTAATTGCCACATAGTAATTGTATATATTTATGAGGTATAGTATGCTATTTTTATGAGTGCATGCAACTTGTAAAGATCAAAATCAAAGTTATTAGCATACTCATCACCTCAAACATTTGTCATTTCTTTGTGTTGGGAATATTCAAAATCTGCTCTTCTAGCTATTTGAAAATATGCAACAAATTGTTGTTAATTATATTAATCGCAAAGTGCTATAGAACACTAGAACTTATTCTTCCTATTTAGCTGTAATTTTGTATATGTTAACCAAATTCTGGCTATTCCCTTCTCGTCCTATCCTTCCCATCTTCTAGTAACCATTATTCTACTCTCTGCTTCTATGACATCAACTTTTTTAGCTTCCTTACATAAGTGAGAACATGAGATATATTTTTCTTCTGTTCCTGGCTCATTTGACTTAACATAATGTCCTTCAAGCTCATCTATGAAGCTACGAATGACAAGATTTCTTTCTTTTTTATAGCTGAAAAGTGTGCCATTTTGTATGTATACCACATTTTCTTTATTCATTCTTCTGTTAATGGACAATTAGATTGAGTCCATATTTTGGCTTCTGCAGCCTCTAACTCCTGGGCTCAAGTAATTCTCCCACTTCAGCCTCCTGAGTAGCTAGGACTACAGGTGCATGCTACTACACACAGCTAATTTTTGTTTTTGTTTTTGTTTTTGCAGGGATGGCTTCTCAGTGTGTTGCCCAGGCTGGTCTTGAACTCCTGGCCTCAAGCAATGCTCCCACCTTAGCCTCCAAAAATGTTGAGATGACAGGTGTGAGCCACCACACTCAATTGCTTAATGTATTTTAATCATAAAATGAAATCAGTAATTTTCACATCTTTGTTATTTAATATGTGAAAGAAAGGGATTTCTGCAGATAAGAGTAATTTTTCAAAACAATAATAAATATGAATTAAATTATATCAATCATACAGCTGAAAATAAGTAAAATTAAATGTCAGATTATCTAAAATCATCAATATATTCAGTGAATATCAATGATTATAAGTGTTTGTTGATTTTAAAATCTGAGTGTTATGTGTAAAATTTAAGAAAATACATAATAGTGCCTTAAGTATTATAAATTCTAATAGCATATTTTGGGAAATAAAGTTAAAACTATTAATTGCTGAGTTTACAGTATATAACCTCAGTGGATGATAATGAGAGATTAGATTATTGTGGAATATGAGAATATGTATAAAAGTCAGAAAGAAATATTTTTAGCTGATATTCTTAATAGTTAAGGGGTAGGTTTATTATTTTCCATAAGTGGATTAGTGGAGATTTTTGCAAAAATATAAAAGTAAAGATATCACTACTACTGCAATTATTTTGCATTTCTATAATGTCTTTTTATTGAAACACTTATAAATCCTATAAAACAAGTACTGGTACATGTTCTCTATAAAATAAATGAATATGGTTCGTAAGACTGTCAAATTCCTTTATAACCTCACGATACCTTATAGAGTGGCTGTTACTCTTTCAATAGGAATAGCTATGGTTCATAGGATTTATGGGTAATCTATACTGCTGTGGTATCTTGGGAGTGATAGCTCCTTTAGATATTTTATCTTCTGTTATAACCCTTACAAATAACACAGTTTATTTTCATGAGGCTTGAAATAGCCATAGCTAATTTCAAAAGAATTTACTTCCTGTGGTTGTAATACTTTATTATAGAAAGTACTGTACAAAGAAGTTACAGTTTGAGTGACAGTTAATTCTCACATATGTATAAAATATATTCCATGTTAATTAACTTACTATTTTTTTTCCCTTGGCATAGTGTTATGTACCATGAGGGTAGACTTATAACCATTAAACATTTTAACTTTCTTCCATAGTATTGTGTGTGTATGTGAATTTGTATGCAATTAAAATAAATCAATACAGTGATGCAGGGTACATTCTGGTCGACATGTGTCTTATTTTAGATGAATTGAAATGACAAGCGTGATAAAACTATTTACATTTTATCTCAAAATATTTTATTCCATTTCCTTTTCATAGACATAATACATTTACTAAAATAAAAATATTGACAAAATGTTATTCATATTCTCAGAAAATGTTAAAACATACATTGGCACTTTTGTGGAGCATCATTTCTGCAAAATGAAGTAAAAGTTGATGTTCACGTTTTTGTCATTAATGAAATCATTTATCCAGAAAAGTTTGTAAAGAAAAATAATGGGTATATGCAAACCTGCAAAGCAAAGTTATTCAATAATACAGGCCTTGGATATGCGGTTGTAAGGCAAGAAATCATACTTATTATTGCCCTACTCTGAAAACATTTCAGGTTGAAATTATTTATAGTATTCTAATTGCTACTGCTAGGTTACACTTAACTATCTATAGAAAAATCCAAATATTTTACATCACATAATTACTCGGCACAAAAATACCAAAGTTCTTGTCCAAAATACGTATTTCCTTTTATCGCTTGGGGGAATACTATAGGACAATTTTTAAGTACAGTTTCCTAAACATGACCAAAAACATGTTTAAGTCCTTATTTTTGCTCACATTACGTGTTTTTTTGTTCTTTTTCCCCTAGATTTATTGTATAGTTGAGAAATTAAAAATGCATTTATTTACTGTGTGCCATGTGATGGTGTGCACCATTCCCATAGGTTTCTTTTTGTTATTGTGAGAACATTTAAGATCAATCCTCCTAGCAAATGTCAAGTATACAATATAGTATAACTTACTATAGTCACCATGATGACTTTAAAGTTCTAGAACTTGTTCACTCGTTCATTCTGTTAAACCGAATATTTGTATCCTTTGACCAGCATCCACCCCATTCTCTCCACCCTCTAATCCCTGGTAACCCCCATTCTACTCTGTTTTCTACGAGTTAAAATGTTTTAGGTTGCACATATAAGAGAGATGGGCCGGGTGCAGTGGCTCATACCTGTAATTCCAGCGCTTTGGGAGGCCGAGGCGGGTAGATCACGAGGTCAGGAGTTCAAAACCAGCCTGGCCAAGATGGTGAAACCCCGTCTCTACTAAAAATACAAAAATTAGCCAGGTGTGGTGGTGGGCACCTGTAATCCCAGCTACTCAGGAGGCTGAGACAGAGAATTGCTTGAACACAGGAGGCAAAGGTTGCAGTAAGCTGAGATCGCGCCACTGCACTCCAGCCTGGGTGACAGAGCAAGACTCCGTCTCAAAAAAAAAAAAAAAAAGAGATCATATGCCTGACTTACTTTGCTTACCATAATGTTCTATAGATTCATCCATGTTGCAGCAAATGGCAGGATTTCCTTCTTTTTAAAGACGGAATAAGGTTATGTCTATCTGCAGTATCATATTTTATTTATTAATTCAGCCAGTGATGAACACTTAGGTTGTATCCATATATTGGCTATTGTGAATAGCTCTGCAGTGAAAATGGGAGTGCAGATATCTTTTCACGGATAATGATTTCTTCCTTTGGATATATACCCAGAAGTGAGAGTGCTGGATCATAGAGTAGTTCTATTTTTTAATTTTCTGAGGAACTACCATGATTTTTTTCTGTAATGACTCTACCAATTTATTTTATGCTGTATAAAAGTATAATCTACAGTATCAACTATATATTATTTATAAACAGTACATGTGTTATGACATATATAGTGCATATTTATAATTTTTAAGTTTACATTTACTAAACTACTTATGCTGTTTTCATATATTCAATTTCTTTAATTTTTATCTTCCTCTTAGGAATAATGTTTGTGCTTTTCTTTGTTTTATTTCGTTACACACATGACATAGATATTTATGTCTTAAATTCCAACCTTTTCATGTTAGTCTTATAAATATTTAAGGCCACTGATTTAAACACATATTATAATTCATGACACATGATGATTCAGTCTCATTTTATCTTAGACATTCTGCAGTTTTGCTTTCAAAGAAAATAATCTCTAGTGAAATGCAGAAACTACAGAAAATACATGATAATTTTGTCTGATAGAAGCTCTAATGTGTTCTCATTGATTTATGGAAACCAAAGCAAAATTTTTAAAAATCTGAAAATATATTCTGTTAAAATTAATGATTTCCAAGAATGAGATAAAAATTAAAGCACAAAAAGTAAATGAATAATATACACTTGAATCAAATGTTGTCCAACATAGAAATTAATAGAATTGCAAACATATTTTCAATGTTGATTAGAGCTGGGGGTGATCTGCTCAAAGAGATCAGAATAGTTTCTATCTGATTCCCTCTTAATATACGTAAAGATTTTCCATTGTTTTTAGAAAAAAAATTAAATCTCCTCACAATGCCCTACCAAACTCTGAATACTCTGCTCTCACTTACTTTTCTAAATGCATCAAAGATCACTCACTCACTTTTTTACCCACTAATTTCTAGACACACTAACTTCCAAGCACATTAGTACTTTCAAGATTTAGATTATCAGTACATTGTTCCATCTACTTAAAATTCATTACTCCTATATCTGCAAATGTTTTCTGCCACTATATCCCTCAAGGCTTAGATTAAGTCTTAACTGAGTTTCTTTTTATCTGACATGAACTTTTTTATCTCCATTTCAGGATCTTTTTGTCCAATCCAGAGTACATTGCTGAATGAGTATTTATATATTTGTTTATTTTTTCCATATTTTCAACCCATTTGCCTGTGTATTATTTGAACCAAGAGGGCTAAATTGGATTAAAAGAATTGAAGAGGTAGAAGAGACAAAAAAAGGAGGTGAGTAAATTAGCTGCCGTCTAAATTAAAAAATAATAACAGCGTGGGTTAAGAGAGAGACCATGACAATATAAAATGCAATCAAATATAATTCAGAGGTAGAATCTATGGATATACCACCATATTAGATTTGGAGATCAAAGGAATAAAATAATTCATTTTTATAGCTTATTTTGAATAAAAATCAAGGATATGATGTTGTCGATACTTTCAAAAATATGTGTAAGCCACGAAAAAGTCAATTTTGTATAATATAAACTCAAAGGAAAATTCAATGCATTTGTGTTTGTGGGTTTGTATTGGGGGTTGTCCATGATAAAACACAATGCAGTGAATAAAGTAAAAGATCAAAGTATACACCTAACTTGGGTTGTTGAATATATATTACCAATTGTTTCATTATATTTTATTTTAGTTATATAGACTTTACCAGTAGTGTTAAGAAGAGAGTATCTATCTCTAGAAAACCTTATTATTAATTCGTAAAAAGTATAATTTTCATAGGTAAAAATTGATACTTCATTTGGCAAATTTGTATTTTATAACAAATAAAAACAAATAATGTATATTCTATCTGCTGTAAAATTTTTAAATGAACTATTTCTTTAAATCTGTTGACTATATCCCAATTTAAAAGGCTTAGCAATAGTGAGCCTATTGGGTCTATTATAAACATTTTACTCAGTTTAATTTTACTTAATTTCTTCTAGATGGTTTGATAGTATATAAAAATTGAAGAATATATTTTGTTATATATCATTTTCCAATATCAAGTAATATCTTTTAAATACATTTAAAAACAAAAACTTTCTCTTAAAAGTTAAATAATTTTATCGTATGCCTCCTAGTAGATGTTTTTATGTACTTTTTAATTCTCATATATATGATAAACATTTTATATTTTTAAATTTGTTTTACTTTATACTGGGTTATATTACATTGCTGCTCCCATGCGAAGGCAACTATTTTTGGTAATTATGTTGTACTTTGAGATTTTCATGAAAAATATTTTAATTCAGATATTATTTAATTTAATGTGAGAAATTATTTATATGTATCTGATTTAGTTTCCAATACTTCCATACATTTTTTTCTCAATGATGTAGACCAAATGTCCAATATCCTGGTGTATAATAGTGGAAATAGCATCCAATCTTGTCCATGGAAATTCTTCTCTTTTGTTATTGAGATATTGCCTGACTACTTAGAATTCATCACCATGTTTACCTAGTTTCTTGTTTTTCTGTCTAGATTAAATATGGCAGTCAACTGAAGGAATAAAATACATTTTATAATTAAGAATGAGCAAAATGCTTAAAATAAAATAAAAGAATTTAAAGTAAATTTAAGTGGCAAGTGCAAGGCTAAAGGACGTCTATGTAAAAATAATTTAAGTTTTAAGTAAGGTAATATCAACTCTAATCAAAGAAGGAAAGAGTTTTTTTCTTGTTGACTGTACTGAAAATGGTCAAGGTTCCATACTGCATGTGATATATAATCAAAACTATATCAAAATTTCTGTGATTCTCCTGGGACTTCATCAGTCTTTGTGCTGGCTTCATCCTCTGAATGACTGAAGCAGTATTACACATCATATATATACACCAATCTTTGAAGTGTAAGAAAGATAATTTGTACCCTAGAATTACCAGATAATGTTCGGATTTCCACACTGATTTTTACTTTTGTGTCAGGTCTTGCAGACTAGATAATAATACATCACATCCCATTGAGTAGTTTAGGAAGATGCATACTGAATGAGATCGTTAGGACTGTCTTGAATAGTTTAATCCAGTGACTTCCAATGTTGCCTGCATATTAGACTCGTGTATGGACATTAAAAAATATACTGATCTTAGTTATGTCCTCCTAGACCTAATCAATTAATCAATGAAAGTGTATTATTACTTGGTTAGGTATTGTTGTTAACAATATTAAAAATATGAATATTAAAAACAATAAGCAAGACAACTTTCTGATTTATTCTAATATACACCCTGGATAAATAACCACAGGTTTAGTCCCCTTAGAGGCCACTTATTGAGGTGTGGATGAGGTTTAGTCCCATCCCAAGTGTACCCAAAAGTTTTGCTAGTGAGAAAGTACAGCAAATGCAGGAGGGAAAAAGCAAACTCCCACCAATTTAATTTATAAATATCCTATTTCCAAGTGAGACAACATAATGTAATCCCTTATTTTCTTACCATCTCCAGCAAGTAGTATATAGTGGATAGTTTTGCTTAGTGTAAACATCATAGCAGAGATAATTCAAGATGCAATATTTAGATATTTTCCACAATTACACTAAGTTAAAGCTTTTTCACAGCTCAATTATTTTGTTTGCATGAAAATTTAAGAAATTATAGTACAAAATAACTAATTGATATGGCTTACTGTAATCATTTCCCCTAAAATCAGATTTCATTTTGATAAATAGCGAATTAAGCAGAAATCTATATTCACTTCAATTTATATATTCTGAAATTATTAAAATGTTGATGTATTGTCTCCGGATATTGACACTTAAAAAATTTTCTCTCCCAATTGAAAAATATAGGCCAAAATAATTTATTTATTGTGTTCTTAGCTTGAAAAAGAAAAAAATGCTAGATCAGTATAAAGTATTTGATAAGCAAACTAAATCTCCTATCACATCAAAAAGTAGGTTTTGCTTTGTTTGCTTTTTCTATGGTCTCCTGCTCATGATACTGTTGTAAAATTCTCCAAGATCTAAAAAAAGACCTTGGATTTCTTCTGCTTCAGTAGCAAGTCTATTAATAGAATAGGGAGAGAATTGTAATGCTTCATTACTTTCAGCTGAGAAAGGGGAATACAAGGACCTCTCACTTTCAAAGTGGCATTGAAGCAAAATTACCTCAACCAGACATGAAGGTATGGAATAAAGTAAAAATAGGTTTTACAATTTCCCTCAAGGACTGAGGAGAATGCATATTTCTTCCAACAAATGCAAATATTTCAGCAATTAGAATTTTCAAAACAATTTTACTTGCTCAATTTAAAGTAAGAATGGTGTGACCATGAAGCTAGCATTTATAATCAAGCATGAATTACAATTTGTATATAAATGTAAAGTTGCTACATTGTGGTCCAATAATATTTACTATGGGATAAATTCTAAATTACATAAGCTATAACTTTCCCACATTCTCTCAAAATATTGGATAATGGCATCCAAAATACTCATTTAGACTAAAAATATCCAGTAAATATTTTCACTGGAATAAATATATTTTTAAGCACAAATTCACATATTATGAAATATTGTAAATGGAAAAATGTATGATTAGGAGAGCCCTGAGTCAAAACAGTGTCAAACTGAAAAGTTTGTCTCCAGGCAGGGCATGGTGGCTCACGCCTGTAATTCCAGAACTTTGGGAAGCCGAGAGCAGCGGATTTCTTGAGGCCAGAAGTTTGAGATTATTCTGGCCAACATAGTTCACCATGTTTCAACCCCCTCTGTACTAAAAATGCAAAAACCAGCCAGGCATGGTGGCCACACCTGTAATCCCAGCTACTCAGGAGGCTGAGGCAGGAGAATTGCTTAAACCTAGGAAGTAGAGGTTTCAGTGAGCCAAGATTGTGCCACTGCACTCCAGCTTGGGCAACAGAGCAAGACTCTGTGGAAAGAAAGAAAGAAAAGAAAGAAATAGAAAGAAAGAAAGAAAGAAAGAAAGAAAGAAAGAAAGAAAGAAAGAAAGAAAGAAAGGAAGAAAGAAAGGAAGGAAGGAAGGAAGGAAGGGAGGGAGGGAAAGAAAGAAAGGCAGGCAGGCGAAGGGAAGGGAAGGGAAAGGAAAGGAAAGGAAAGCAAAGGAAAGGAAAGGAAAGGAAAGGACAGAAGGAAAGGAAGGAAAGGAAGGAAAAAGAAACGAAAAAAGAAAGAAAAAAGTTTGTCTCCAAAAGGTAGTTTTATACCTTCTTTTATGTTAAAATGTAATGAATAAATTATTAGTTAATTTACATTTTGTGTACAAATCCAAAGTTATTAATTTAATTTATTTAACAGACATTAGATTTTTGGTGACTTCTTACTTGAAAGCTTTTAGCAGCATATATTAGTTTCAGAACAGGGAATAGTATCTGTTTGCAAAGCGATAAACCAAAAAATTTGTTAGCAATGCAGAGAAAAATATTCATGAAAATAGAATAGATCACACTGGAGAAAAGAAATGGTGATAAAATTACTTAAATATCATCTGCCATAGATGAGCACTGATTATCTCTAAAGATGTAGATTCTACACATACACACCATTGGCAAGGTGTATGTGGAATATAATTGATTCTGCATATTAGAGAGTATATTAAAAAGTCATATAATTTTAAGAATACCTAACATACCATTTTTTTCTCTTAAGTAATCTATATCATCTAGTGCAAATATAGTGGTTGATAAACAAGGGATTATATTGTTAAATGGACTTACACCAATCACTGATCTCACCTAACTCTGAAATATACAAATGATTTGTGTATTACTTTCCTGCTGCTTCAGTAGTAAACTACCACAGACTCAGGAGCATCAAAAAGAACAAATGTGTTACACTCTTGCTGTGAGAAATCCGAAATGGGTTTAACAGGGATGAAATCAAGGTGTCAGCAGAGCTGCATTCCTCCTTGAGGCTCTAGGAGAACTCTTTTTATTTTTTCCTTTTCTCCTGTATTCTTCAACTTGTGGTTGCATCATTCTGACCTCTTTTTCTATCATGATGTATCTTTCTCCAACTCTGAACCCTCCTGGCACTTTCTTATAAAGACCTTGTGATTCCATTGAGTCCACCTGGATATTTCAGAATAATCTTCCCATCTCAAGACATCAGGGTGGTGCAAAAGTAATTGCTGTTCTTACCATTCAAAGTAATGGTAATATCTTAAATCAAGCACATCTTTAAAGCCATCTGTACTGGCTTTGGGCATTCAAACGTGAACATTGTTGAGGGGCCATTATTCTACTTACAACAATTTGTAACCAATTAAACCAAAAAGAATCAAGGGAGAACTGTCATTCTAAAGTTTATCTGGACAGGTAAAAGACCCAGAACAGCTACCACAATATTGAAAAATAAGAACAAAATTTCAGGACTGATTTCCTACTGCCAGACTTAATATAAAGCCACAGTAATCAAAAAAGTATGACGTTGGCAAAATAATAGACAAATAAATAAATGAAACACAATAGATAGCCTAGAAATAGCTTCACATAAATATAGTCAACTGATCTTTGACCAAAAAAAAAAAAAAAAAAAAAAACCGAAGGCAATACAATAGAGAAAAAAAAACCAGTCTTTTCAACAAGTGTTGCTGAAACATTAGATAAGCAGAAAATTCATCTAAAATAAACAAATGAAAACAGAAACAACAAATGGTGCTGGAACTCCTGGATATCTACATGCAAGAAAGTAGGTTTAAACACAGACCTTATACCCTTCACAAAAATTGTCCCAAAATGGTTTACAAGCCTAAATGTAAAATGAAAAACTATAAACTCCTGGAAGAGAGCATTAGAGAAAATCTAGTTGACCTTGGGTATGGGGATGATTTTTAAATACAAGACCAAAGGCATGATATCCTCGAGAAAGTAACTGATAATCTGGAGAAGGGAAGCCATGGACTGGGAGAAAATATTTGCAAAAAAAAATGCCTGATAAAGGTTATCATCTGAAATATACAAAAAAAAAAAAAACCACTCAAAGTCCAATAATAAGAAAACACAGAACCTAATTAAAGAATAGGTGAAAGACCTCAATAGATATTTCACTAAAGAACACATGACAATGACAAATGAGAACACAAAAAGGTGCTCTGTGTCATATGTCATTAGGGAAATGCAAATTAAAACAAAAATAAAATACCATTACCTGCCTATTATAAGAGCGAGAACACTGAGAACACCAAATGCTGACAAAGATGTGGAGCATAGGAACTCTCATTGCCAGTGTAAATGTAAAATGGTGTAGGTACTTGGGAAGACAATTTATCACTTACAAAATTAAGCACACTCTTACTACTCAGTCCAGCAATCATGCTCCATAGTATTTATCCAAATGAGTCGAAAACTTACATACACACAAAAACCTGCACACAGATGTTTATAGCAGCTTTACTCATAATTCCCCAAGCTTGGAAGCAACCAATAAGCCTTTCTCAATCAGAGAATAGAATTAAATGTATCTATTTAGTAAAATATTATTTAGGACTGAAAAAACACTGAGCTATAAGGCCATGAAAAGACACGGAGGAACCTTAAATGGACACTACTCAGTAAAAGAAGAAAGTCCATATTCTGTACGACTCCAACTATAAGGCATGATGGAAAAGGTAAAACTATGGAGACACTAAAAATATCAGTGGTTTAAAGTCATTATGAAGAAGGGAAGGATGAATAGGAAGAACATAAAGGAGTTTTAAGCAGTGAAACTATTCTGTCTGATACTATAATGGTGAATATATGTTATTGGAAATACGTCTAAACCTATAAAATGTGTAATACCAAGAGTGAACCCTAATGTAAACTATAGACAGAGTGACAATAATGTGTCAGTGTAAGTTCATCAATTGTAACAACAAATGTACCACTCTGGTATGAGCAGTTGATATTGTGGGAGGCTATGCTTGTGTGAGAGAAGGAGTTATATTGGAAATCCCTCTACCTTCTGCTTAATTTTTTGTGAACCTAAAACTGCTCTAAAAACTAATGTCTTATACAATGAACAAACAAAAAAGATAAAGCATTGTTGCAAGATTTTAATAAATGGCTATACAGATGCTACGTGACTTACAATATGGTTATATCCTGATACATCCAACAAAGTCAAAAAATAAATAGTATATGTTGAAAATGCAATAAATACCTTGATAAGCCATCATAAAGTTGAAAATTGTAAGTCAAAGCATTAAAAGTAGCAACCATCTAGAAATGGTAAAAAATTTTTAAATAAGAGAACAACCAAACATCAGTCTCTGAGAAGCCTTGAAACTCTAGATGCTGTCAGTCAGTGAGTGCAACCCTAGCTGCTTGCAGCTTCAAAGCCAAAATACAAAAACCAAAGTGTGATGAAAGGAAAGCAACTTTATGCAAATGCTAGCAGATTGGAAATGGTCAAACTCATGGCTCCAAAAGACTATCTCAAATTTTGGGACTGACTGAGGGGGTTTAAAAAAGGAAACTTGGAATGGGAAACATGACGGAGTGATGCAGGGTGTAGGTCTACATGTATTTTTCTGATGGCTATATTGAGTGGTTTTCCACCTGTTGTCCCAGCTGGCATCATCTGGACTGTGGCTGGATTGTAGATTATCTACTTTGAGGTAAACTCTAGGTGGGTAAGAGTTCCATAGCTGGGTCACCATGTTTGGTTTGCTTTAAGATGAGCCCCTGAAGGTTCTAACTAAGCATGCCATTAGATAAACGTGCATGGTGCAAGGGAATGTCTCAAGGGAAAATAAGAGAAACAAAGAGGATGAAAGTACATTCCAAGGCTATATTCTGAGTTTAGAAAAAAAAAGCTTTAAGATTAATTTTATACCTAAAATGCTTGACTACAATTCCCCCATTGTCATATTTTATTCCATTTCCGTGGAAAGTGGGCAACATATTTAATCTGGCTATTTTCTGGTGGAAAGGGACATAGTTAGGGAGAAATTGAACAGAACCTGTCTACTTAGAGTTGATCATATTCTTGAGTCCCTGGTCTTATAGAAGAGATTGCTGAGCATCACAGAAAGTACATAACAGAAATACAGTTCACAGCAGAAGAATAAACCTATTCTCATAATCACGGCTAAAACTCCAAGTAATTTTCTTTCTGTCATCACAAGGGGCCTAATCCACATTATGTGGAGAGCCATTGACTTAAAGAAATTGTGGAATCAGATATATTACTATTTTGCTTATGTGTATCTTGTAGGACTGAGGATATGTTTCCAGAGTTATATGGAATGTACAGACAGCATTTAGTTTTAATTATTGTACACATTCCCCACTGTCAATTATACCAGGAGTTTCTGTGGGGATCTGATGACAGATTGGCTAAACAAACATATTTAGGTTATAGTAATAAAGTGGGAAAATTTTAAAAAATTTAAGTTAGACTAAAATAAGCATAAAATGCCCCCCTCGAAATGAAAGTTAAAAAAAATTAACTGCCTTTCTGTAAAATTTGTAAAGCATTAACCACATCTCTCCCCTACATATAAGTTCTATAAGTTCCTGTTTTTCTTACTGTACTGCAAAGTCACAAAATTAATAAGCATGAGTTACAAAACATGTTTTCCCAAGATATAAACTAAATCTTAAAAATGTCACCTGATAATTAACTACTTTTATTCTTGCTTCCATAAGCCTTCTTCCTGCATCACGTAATTACCACCTCAAGATACATAAAAGACATTTGTTTTCTTTGTTTGCTGCTCAGACTTTCAGGATGCATGTCTGCTGAGCCAGTGTACACCTAAAATAAACCCTCCTGAAACCCACTTGGTCTCTCTGGTTCTCTGATTTCAAGCTATGAATATTTATAAAGGTGGTGCTAGCACATGTTTCTTGAGCAAATATGCATGTAATATATGTCCCATGTTGATTTTGAGGTGGAGACTTAATATTTAAGTGTATTATAATTTTACCCTATACATTAAAATATCTCTTCAGGACACAAAGGCACATAAGTGTGCAATTTTTGCAGAACTAGTTGATGTTTGGTGGTCTTTTTTTCAGGAGAAAGTTACTGAAATCAGTCTTTTGTCTAATTAAAGCTGTAGTTATGGCTGTTAGAACAGGGGCTGGTAGTCAGCCTATTTCAAGGCTGGTTCTTGTGTGGCTGCTAGAGAAAAAGAAAAACCTTGTGGCAGTTGGAACATAGTTTACTTTTTAAGTTTAGAAGGGTGTGACTTAACGCTTGCCTAGCATGGTCTTAGAAAGTGTTTATAATGCAGTACATTCTTATTGTAAAGATCCTGTCAGTCCTGCAACCTCTATTTTACTGTTAATGCTGGTCAGTTGTGATTAAATTCCTGAGGAGGGAGGGTATTATGAGGTATGTCTGACCCACACCCCAACCCACAACTTTCTGTCATTTCTTGAACTCAGTTTTGTTTCTCTGGGGATCCCCTTTGGCTAAGAGAAGGACCATTCAGTCTATTGAGGGGCTTACAGTTCTATTTTATTTTGTTAGTTTATATTCCCCCTTTTTGGTCAAGATATGCCAGAGGCAGTATTGACAGTCAAACTTTTATTTATTTTTTTCCATATTGATGCTGGGGTGGTGTGCTACGTGCTCTGGGTCCATCATGTGGGCAGGCACTTATTGACCCTTGAAACCCCTTTTAAGCAATATAACAGCCAAAAACCAAAAGCCAAAAAGTTAGGTTATAAAATTAACTTGTCTGTAAGTTTTATATGTTATCAGCTGTTTAGGCATATGTGTATTTATCCTTGATTTGGAGGGTATGACCTAATTTTATTCCTCCAAATCAGCTCTTACAATATCATGCACTCACTTTTTCCATGATAGTCTCAGGGCCTGGAGACTTAAGTAAATGGTCTTAAATCCTAGAAGTAAAACAAAGCATAAAGAACAAGCAATGTTTTAAAGAAAAAAGTTAGAAGTGCTGCCTTGTTCTGAGAATGGCAGGAAAAGAAGCTCACAGGTAGCTAAACAGTTAAATCACTTAGCATCAAGGCATATAATAAATTATAGTAAGTTAAATAGAGGCAAAATCATTAAATGAGTATGTATGCCGTTGTATACAGGCCTGGTCCAGTGTCAACTGCAGGTAGTTTATCTTGATAGTCATCTTCTCCCAGATCTAAGGATGAGGATTTGATTAACTGGAATTTGGTGTCAGATATTCATAGAAGTCATTGTCTTATTTAGATGAGATACATGCAACCAGGAGTCAATGCTCTGAAACTTCATAGTATAAGGATTAGATAATAGAACCTCATAAGGACGTTTTTAAGGGGCTAAAGGTAGTGATACTGGAGTCCATGACCTGACTGGAAGCTGTAAAATGATTTCATAACCTTGCAGTGATAAATTTTTATAGTTTGATAAATGGCAGCAATAAGCCATAGATAACATATAATTCAGTGTCAAAGATGTTAAAAGATTCAAAACATTTGATAAAAACAAATTTCTTTTATGAATTTTCTTTATAAACATTTTTACAGCTTACATAGACTATCTATGACATGCTCTGACTTTGTTTTGTCCTGAATTTTATTTTCTTAAATCATTTCATTTTGCTTTATCACATAAGATTCTTTCTCATACAAAATTACTTTTTTAAGTTTTTAGCAAAAAATACCTCTATAACATTTTTTGCGTCTCTCTTTCTTACTGGTTTCTTTTATTTTGTTATATAAATAATTTTTGAATTAGACAAAATTATTTTTATTAAGAATATGTTATGTTATTTTAAAATAATTTTTTTCTTTATCTAAAACACATCTTACTTTAGCAAACGTTATATGCAGAATTATACAGTACCTAGAATTTTTTATGTTAATAATGTCTTTTTATTTTGAGACGGAATCTTGCTCTGTCACCAGGCTGGAGTGCAGTGGTGCGATCTCACCTCACTGCAACCTCCATCTCCTGGGTTCAAGTGATTATCCTGCCTCAGCCTCTCGAATAGCTGGGACTACAGGTGTGCGCTACCATGCCCAGTTAATTTTTGTATTTTTAGTAGAGATGGGGTTTCACCATATTGTCCAGGATGGTCTCGATCTCTTGACCTTGTGATCCGCCCACCTTGGCCTCCCAAAGTGCTGGCTGTTAATAGTTTTTAAAGTCTGTGAAGACGAGGTGTTCATCTAAGTAAGAATGAAACACCTAGGCATTTTACCAATAACATAAAATTTAACTGTTTTTATTAAAATTAACAATATTAAATTAGTTTTATTTGTCAAAAAATTACACAAAGTTTATTCTTCTTTTAGCTGGACTTATTGTCCTATAAATTTGGTGCCACACCTTAAACCTTGTAATATCTACCACAGATAAATATAAGACTGATTTAACCAACAAAAATGCAGTGACAATTCGGAAGACACTTCTATTTTTATTTTGTTAATAGTTTTGAAATCACTTTTATTTATCTAAAATTGCTAAATTTATGTGAACTTGAAAAGCATTTGGACTTAATTTATGAGTGTCTATTTACTTCTAAGTCAATGTGATATTATTTTAGACATCACCCCCTAAATGTCTATCAATGATAGACCGGATTAAGAAAATGTGGCACATATACACCATAGAATACTATGCAGCCATAAAAAGGGATGAGTTCATGTCCTTTGTAGGGACATAGATGAAGCTGAAAACCATCATTCTGAGCAAACTATCGCAAAGACAGAAAAACAAACACTGCATGTTCTCACTCATAGGTGGGAATTGAACAATGAGAACACTTGGACACAGGATGGGGAACATCACACACCAGGGCCTGTCGTGGGGTAGGGGGAAAGGGGAGAGATAGCATTAGGAGATATACCTAGTGTAAATGACGAGTTAATGGGTGCAGCACACCAACATGGCACATGTATACATATGTAACAAACCTGCACGTTGTGCACATGTACCCTAGAACTTAAAGTATAATAATAAAAAAAGGACATAACGTATAAACATATCTAAATATATATACACACAAATAAAGATCTAATAACTTTTACCTCAGAATTTTTTCCAAATATAGCAATATAAACTCACCATTTTTAAAAATACAGCTGGATCTAAATTATTTTTCTGAACAAATTGAAAAATTCACTAGGCTAAACTTTATTTTCCCTGATAGCTAATCCAGGGAAAGCTGTGGACCAAAATTTTGGGTAAAGCAGGCTCTATGACAATTTGATTTTTTTAAAAGCCTCTTTTATTTTCTTGAGTTTCAAATGAGTTTCCAATTTTACATTTTAGCTAGATCTGGCTAAAATGTATAAGAAAAACAAAATCTCCATGGAACCCTAAATAGGTGAATTCTATCTCAACACCAATAGCTGAATAATAGCAGATTCAAAGAAGGAAGAAAAGTGGGAAATATATACAGAGTTTAGAAACCTCTAGTTAACTCTATAGTTTCAGGTTAACCATTTTGAGCTCTCAGTTTTTCCTATTGTAATTTGCCCATTAGTTTAAAATGTGCACAAAAACAGACTATAACATATAACCATCTCAAGTCTCAGTCTAGAAAAGAGTTCACATGCTTTCTTCACCCACAAAGCTTGACAAGATATATGAGATATTCTAGAGTCCCAAAGAGAATGGCAACATCAGGGGCCAGGAAGCTGGAACTGTTACTTCCCTAATGCAGAGAGGTGCAGCCTATGTTGGTGCTTTCTGACAACCATGTGGACTTGGTATTGTCTGGTGGAACCCCACTTTACAGATGGAATAGAGACCATGTGAAACATTTACAAAGCAAAGAATATCAATAATCATAGACACAAACACAAATGGCTCTAATACAGAAGAGCACTCCAAACTGGTCCCCAAAAGGAGAGACTGAAGAAAAAGTACTAAAATCTTGTCTCAAATACAGACAGCACCACAAAATTACCTGTGCTAAACCCAGATGGCGCTAACTCAGAGAGCAGAGACGGAGGAGTCCCTAGAGCACTATAGTCAACTTACCCAGCTCTGAAGCCTGTCAGCTTCCTCAAGGCCACTTTCTTGTGTTAGCAAAGGGTTGCAGGCCACTTATGCTACAAGAGAGACATAAAGGAAATCCCTGGGACAAAAGCATCCTCAGCAGCTGCTGAGAGGTCTCTGGAGTCCCCAGCTACAGGGTCGACTATCCACAAGCAAATGACATTTATGAACAGCAATTACTCCACGTGGTAATGTGAACAGATAAGTCATAGCACACTGCTGCAGCCAATTGCTCCACTTATTGGAAACCAGGCAGAGACAGGCAGGCTAAGCTACTTGAATCACAGTTCCTCACATAGGGCACCAAATGTGTAAGCAAACATAAGTCTGGCCACTTGCTGCTTGACAGCAAAAATAATAGAAGCAAAGTGAGGTGAAAGGAAATCAACTTTGTTCAAATGCTAGCAGTTGGGAAATGGCCAGACTTGTGCTTCAAAAAGATCATTTAAAATTTTAGGGTTGGCTAAGGAGGTTTATAAAAGGAAACCTGGTTTGGGAAACATACGGGAGTGGTGCATGGTGCAGCTCTGCACGTTTTGTCCTGATGGCTATCTTGAATTATTATCCACCTGTAATCCTAGCTGGAATCATCTGGATTGTGGACAGTTGTAAATTATTTACTTTGAGATAATATCTAGGTAGGGGAGGGTTCCACAGTTTGGTCTCCATGTCTGCTTTGCTTTAAGATGGGCCTCAGGAGCTTCTGAACAAGCATGTTATTGGGTAAGCATGCAAGGTACAAGGGAATGTCTGATAGGAAAGGGAGAAAAAAAATATAGTACATCTGAAGGCTATATTTTGAGTTTAGAGAAAATAAGTGTTAAGATGCACTTTATAGCTAAGATGCTTATTTACAATGCAATCTCCTAAAAGTCCCATTTTGCATGGTGAGATGCATGATAAACAAGTCCTTGCATATTAGTTTTTAGTTACTTTTCATTTTAGACATGTATATGTTACATTAGAATATCCCTCCAAGTATGTTTTGAGTGCATTTATAAATTTTAATGTGTAATTTTTTCATTAATTTTCATTTATAATTTTTCTTTTACCAAATAATGATTTAAAATATTTTACTGTTAATTTTGTGAGAGATATATATGTATATCAATAGACAGTTACACATAATTATACTATTGTTATACATTTCTAATTCTATAAAAATGTAGTTAGTGGTGGAATGATTTTTACAAAAATCAAAGTCAAGTATTGAAATCAATCTGATCTCAATACTCTAAAACTACAATCATAGGAACAGTATGGTTGGTGTTGGTGTTAATATAAAAATTAAAAATTGAGATTCCAGTTTTGTGTATGCCTACATTTTCATGGCAATACAATTGTGAACAGATATTATTTTCAACAATGAATAAATAAAAAAGATGTTTAGCCAAATTAAAAGAAATAATTAATCCCTTACAAAATATACAACAATTACTTTAAATAGGCTTATACCATTAAGGATAAAAGCTAAATGCACAAAATGACGAGAGGACATTTCTAGGAGAAAGTTCTCAACTGAAATATATGACTAGAAGTTAATGCTCTGAGATTTGGGGCTGTGGGTATTGTTACATTATTTCATTGAGCTACCTGTTTACCACTATAGTTATATTAGCCTTTTCCAAAAAACAAGGTGAGGAGGTAGGCAGGCACTTCAACTATTAAATCAGTAGCACTGCTAACTCAAACAGGCTTAAGGTGTAGTAGTGTGTTTCAGAAGTAATTAGATGCTTTGTAAACTTTATGACATCTTAAACTTGAAATACTAAATTCTAAGGGCAAGAAAGAAAATAAGGTAATATGGGTGAAAACATTATTGTAATAAGAGAAGTTATTTAAGCTGTATGTGTATTATTTGAAGATTATATAAAGTAATACATTTTTTAGCTTCTCTTTTATAAATATTATCAAAATTTCAAAATAGGACACATAGTTTTAAACCAACTATGGATAGGAGTTTTATAGCATTACCACAATTATTTTTTTCAGACTAATTACAGATCAAAGTGAACAAAATTTAAATAGAATAATTCATCTAATAAGAAATTAACTTGCTAAATAACATGTGAAAACCTACTCTCTTCGTAAGTAACCAAGGAAAGGAAAATTAAAACTTTGGCTATGTCTGTCTATCATGCCGGCAAAGATAAAAGAATAGTAAAGAATGCCCATAAAGAGTCAGTAAAGTTTTGATTGCATAGCTTGCATAATCTACGAACCTCATTGCTTATGGCTTCCATTTTTACATTGATACATAGTTCTTCTTTGTACAATTAAGCTAGTTAGTTATTTTATTCCAGTCACTACTTTTAAACAGTCAATTTTTATTTACTTTATGGAAATTATTTGTATATACCATGATTTACTATTTTACCATGCCTTTGGTCTTTTGAGTTGATTTTTTTAGAGGGGTTTCATATAATTGATGTTGTTATTTTCCAAGTAAATAGATAGGGTTAATATGGGATAATATGTATATTTACTCAATTTTAGTATGCATATTTACCCCTTTTCATATTATTGACCTTATATACTAACTGCTACTCTTCCACTTTCATGTTAGAATTATCTTTGTTTTTCTGATTATTTATGTTCTTTTCTATTAGGCTTATATATATTTCTATAAACATTATACTTGAGTTTTGTTTTATATTCCAGTCCAAGAATACTTGTCTGTAATGGGGTCTCATTTTTCTTGATAGGTCAGGTACATACAGCACAGCTGAAAATTTGGCCTAATTTACTTACTTTCCTTCATCCGCATTCTCCTCTGCTGCTGTGCCAGTCTGTATGTTCACACTATTCTACATGCCATTGCAGTTACTTAACATGCTGTGTTGTGCTTCCTCTCCTCACAATTTATTTTCTCCCTATGCTATTATAGTCACTATCCCACTTTGAAGTTCAACTGAATATAAATCAGTCCTAAATTCTATCTCCAGCCAGTCCTTTCTCAGAAATCTGAGATTCTCCCTGAAAACAGTATTTTTATTCATTCATATTTAAGTCATGACTTAGTCTTGACTAGTTTAATTCATAAGTGTAACCTGTATCTGCATCTCCATTGCCACCTTGGTTGTTAAATGTATAATTGCTTCTTACCTCATGGCAGTGTTTCCCTTTTTCCACGTTACTTTAGCTGTATTCAAACCTATTTGCTACAGGTTGAGATCAAAGTGATCTTTCCAAAATGTTTATATGACCTAACCACTCACATTGTCATAAATGCTTATAACTTACTTTACATTGCTGATAATTAAGTTAAAAATTCTTATCTTTGCCAACCATGTCCTACCCATCCCTACAGATTACTTCATAATACCATTTACTTTCCTCTCAAGCCTGTCTTATGGGCCTTTTTCAGTTTCTGCAACATCCTACTTCTCTCTCCCATGCAACTTTTCTCACTTTCTTCTCATAATTAGCTTGTCACTGTATTTTATTTTTCAGTCTAATTCCAACTCATTCTTTAGAATTAATTGCTAAATTAGGGGCCCCTGATTTATTGCCATCTATGACTAGGGTAGGCCCTCTAATCACAATTATCCAATAACAATATATATTTCTCACTTGTAACATTTGTAATCCCTGATAGATTTAAACTCTATGAAGGAAAACATGAGTATTCCCTGCTAAACTCTAAGATTGTGCATAATCTCTCTCACGTTGAATTTATATTAGTAATAAAGCATCACATTTTTATTATCATAAAGAGAAACATTTTATTTTGGTAAAACTTTGAGTTCAAAGTCTTAAATATTAAATGAGGCCGGGCACTGTGGCTCACGCCTGTAATCCCAGCACTTTGGGAGGCCAAGGCGGGTGGATCATGAGGTCAGGAGATTGAGACCACGGTGAAACCCCGTCTGTACTAAAAATACAAAAAAAATTAGCCGGGTGCGGTGGTGGGCACCTGTAGTCCCAGCTACTCGGGAGGCTGAGGCAGGAGAATGTCGTGAACTCGGGAGGCAGAGCTTGCAGTGAGCCAAGATCACACCACTGCACTCCAGCCTGGGCGACAAAGCAAGACTCCGTCTCAAAAAAATAAATAAAAAAATAAAATAAAATAAATAAAATGAAACTCACTACTCATTGACATACTCAAATACTGACACAACAAATAGACTCTGAAGCTGTTATTTCATCTTTCTTTTCTCATTTTTGAGTAAAATTATGAAATAAATATAACTAAATCTGAAATAAAATAATATCAGAGAAGAAAAAGAACATTTTAAAAGCTAGCTATAAAGAGCAATCTTCCTACCCCTAAACGTTTTACTATCAGCATTAATTAGACATAAGCCTGAATTTTTTTCCTCCTAGGTGCCCTGAAGTTGGTTGAATCATCATTACAAATCTTGTTTGGTGGGCTTGCTAAAGTGTATGTAGGGCTATATGTCGTACAGAATTTATATCAGGACATTAAAAGTGATTTGAGAACCTATTAAAAAATTAGCTTAATTATCGGGGGAACCTGCCCCTGACAATTCAATGTTATTTCACGTAGGTTCTTTTCTATTTCCCTAAGTGTCTGCTGGTTTAAGAAATAAAGGGAAAGAGCACAAAAGAGAGAAATTTTAAAGCTGGGTGTCCAGGGGAGACATCACATGTTGGCAGGTTTGTGATGCCCCCTGAGCCGTAAAACCAGCAAGTTTTTATTAGCAATTTTCAAAGGGGAGGGATTGTATGAATAGGGTGGGGGTCACAGAGACCACATGCGTCACAAGGCAATAAGATATTACAAGGCAAATGGAGGCAGGGTGAGATCACAGGACCTGGATAAAATTAAAATTGCTAATGAAGTTTCGGGCATGCATTGTCATTGATAACATCTTATCAGGAGACAGGGTTTGAGAGCAGACAACTGGTCTGAACAAAATTTATTAGGTGGGAATTTCCTCATCCTAATAGGCCTGGGAGCACTACAGGAGACCGGGGCTTATTTCTTCCCTTATCTGCAACTGTAAAAGACAGACGTTCCCAGAGCGGCCATTTCAGAGGCCTCCCACTAGGAATGCATTCTCTTTCTCAGGGCTGTTCCTTGCTGAGAAAAAGAATTCAGTGATATTTCTCTTACCCATTTTTGTAATAAGAGAAATATGGCTGTGTCCTGCCTGGCCCACAGGCAGCCAGACTTTAAGGTTATCTCCCTTGTTCCCGTAAAATCACTGTTATCCTGTTCTTAAGGTGCCCAGATTTCATATTGTTCAAACACACATGATCTACAAACAATCTGTGCAGTTAACACAATCATCACAGGGTCCTGAGGTGACTTACATCCTCAGCTTACAAAGATGACAGGATTAAGAGATTAAAGTAAAGACAGGCATAGGAAATCACAAGATTATTGATTGGGAAAGTGATAAATGTCCATGAAATCTTCACAGTTTATGTTCAGAGATTACAGTAAAGACAGGCATAAGTAATTATAAAAGTATTAATTTGGGGAACTGATAAATGTCCATGAAATCTTCACAATTTATGTTCTGCCATGGCTTCAGCCAGTCCTTCCGTTCAGAGTCCCTGACTTCCCGCAACACTTGATCATTCAAAATAACATTACATTACTTATTAATAAATCTAATCAGTATTTTGAAATTGCTCATATCTAATATTTTTAAGAGTACCTGATTATTTTAGCATTATTGAGGTATAATTGTTATTAAAAGTATTATGTACATTTAATATGTACATTTTCATGTGTTTAGACATATGTACCTACCCAACCATTACATTCCTTAAGCCTCAATTTTCTACCCCTTTATTTATGTTGCACAATATGGCAACTCATATAAGCTTGCCATTTTGGATTACCCGTCTTATTTTTCCATATTTTGATTTAAGTACTTAATCTCTGAATAAGGGTCATGAAGACTTAAAAATTCTATAGGGTGTAACTGCAAGCTACTGTCTAAGCATCAATGTCCCCAAATCATAGGTAATAAAAGATGCAATCTTGTTCAATTTAAAAAAATAACTCAAGGCCGGGTGCAGTGGCTCACGCCTGTAATGCCAGCACTTTGGGAGGCCGAGGCGGGTGGATCACGAGGTCAGGAGATCGAGACCATCCTGGCTAACACGGTGAAAACCCGTCTCTACTAAAAACACAAAAAATTAGCCAGGCCTGGTGGGGGGCACCTGTAGTCCCAGCTACTCAGGAGGCTGAGGCCGGAGAATGACGTGAACCCAGGAGGCGGAGCTTGCAGTGAGCCAAGATTGCGCCACTGCACTCCAGCCTGGGCAACAGAGCAAGACTCTGTCTCAAAAAAAAAAAAAAAAAACCTCAAAACACAACCTGGAGATGTTTCAAAGGCCACTGCTATTACTCTAATTCAATATTATTCATGAAATGATGTTTCATGTACAGTGTGTAATATATTTACTCAGTCAATCCTTCATTGATAGTCATCCATCATAGTGATTTTTTTTTATTTTTTCTTGGAACAACAATCACATTTAACATACATTGTTTCTTATGTATATATCTATATTTATATCTATCTAATTTTATGGAAGAAACAAACAAATGAGATTGTTAATTTGAAGAGTATGTGTATTTTAACTATAATTTACATTGCAGGATTACCTGAGAAAGCTGGAACAAATTACATTGATGCAAAGTTTATGTATATGCTTTTACCTGAATCTCTAAGACTAACCATTATGGCTTTGTAAAATTGCTACCAGCTTTGTAAAAATATACCAATATGATGTGTATGTAATGACATCTCATTTCTACTGTTTTTGCATTTCTTTGACTGCATGGCTTTCTTGATCATTTACTTTTCATCTTTACTTAAATATAAAATATATTCACATTCATTCTACGTAAAATTATACCCCTTCAACTTCCTATAGTTGTTTACAGCTTTATTTTCTTCCTTTGAAAATACCTATATTAAAATGCTATAGATTTCACTTATTTACCCCATTTGTTACCTCTCTTTTTCTGAAGAACATAAGCTCTGAAAACAGGGGTTTCCATAGTTTTGCTTATAGATACAACTCCAGTATGAGCAGATTGCCAGGCATATAGTAGGTATTCAATAAACGTTTTTTAATAAATTAAAAAATAATGAAGCCACTTTAACAACAACAAAAAATTCTCTATATATCTAAAATATCACTTCAAAACATTTTGTTACTGGGGCCTCAGGGATGATGGAATCTGGCCAAGGATTTACACTCAACTTATATAATTTACAGGACATTGGCAATGCTGGAAATGTACTGGTAACATTGGCAACATCTTTATTCTTAGGTCAGGATGGAGAGAACAAAATCATAAAAAATACAATGTCTAAAGTTACTGATTGAGTTAGGTCACAACCCACTTTAGGCATAAACTTTCATCTTAAGGCACAAGACTGTAGTTCGTTGATAAGCATTTTCAATATTTTCAACAAGATTAATTACTATGTTCAAAATATAGGGTCAGTTGGGTTATGTGGAACCTAATGTTGAGTGGAGAATCAATAACTAGTCCCTTTAGGTGCCAAATTGGTCCTGTGATTTTTATCCTACAGGATGTGCTTTATGTGGAAACCATGCCTACCCAAGAGCCACATAAAACAAGGCCTAGGGGATAGTAGCCCCAAGCAAAAACAGATGGACACATTTGTTTCTGGCAGCTGGAGGCTTTGTTCTATGTGGCTATGTGGTATAATGTTTACTACTTGACCTCTTATTACTCTGCGCTTTGCAACAAAACTTTGACCAAAGGAAACAATTTCATAAAAAGCAGATGTTTCTGCAATGTATGAATACAAAACACAAGATATTCAGCCCCACTTCATTTGAAAAATTGTTCTGATTGCAAACTAAAGACTTAAATGAAATTAATAAAGAGATTGAGGAAACCCCATAATCAGACATGTTAAGTAGGAATGATTTTTATTGGAATTCACTAGAATCGTTTTTGTTGGAGCTCACTAAATTATACATTTAATAAGGGTTGATATTTGGAATATAGTAACTAGGACTCATGTCAGAAATATTAAAAATGGTGTTCTAGTGAAATAATGACTCTCACTCTTAAATGTACCCATTTTATATAATTAAACATAAGTGTAAGTTTTATAATAAACTTAATGTGCAAACTGCTGTTACTGTTGACATTTGTGATTACAATACACTGAACCCTTGGAAACTCTCCAATGTTGCTTTGTTTGATCCTTGCAAATAGATGTTTACTGATACTTATTAATGTAAAAATTACAGAACATTGTGATTTATGTTGTAAAAATAAGTGTCATGAAAACCATGAGACAAGGTGGATGACTTCCATAAAGAACTGATTAACAGGCCGATTTAGTTTGGTTTCACGGGGGAAAAGTGTGGCAGGCAGATAGGTGTCATATGGAGTGAAATTTATAGTAGCAGAAAAGGAATAATGAGATCATGTCCAAAAATAGTGCAAACATGCATACACACACACACATGCACAATCACACAGGCTGTACATATAGAAATCCAAGATTTTGCAGGTACTGTAATAGCCTCTGGCAGCAAACCATCATTCTAGTAGGTGCTACACATCCAAATGTACCTACTGTAGGTAAATCCAATCCTACTCCCTTAATCCCACACTTGTTGAATCACTGCAGATAAACAATAGAGCAATACAGTGCAGGATTGAGTCACTGAGCCCCACATTTGACAGCACTCCCTAATTGACTATAATCCAACAGTAGGCAATGGATTCCTAAAGCCATACTAAAGTCTATCAGTCTAGGTCCTTCCAATTCTATTCTAGCAGATCAATTCAATTACATTCTATTAAATTATTTAGACTAAATTATCCTATTAAAGTGTCATTTCAAAGGGTGATTTCCAATTACTTATGTAATTTAAAAAATTTTTATGTGGCAATATGATTTGCAATACTTTTTTTAATCTTCAAAATCAGCACATATTTTAATTCACATATTTTGATACTTCATTCCAGTTTCTAGGTCTGGTAAAAGAAGTGGATGACTTTCATGGGATATAAGGTTATTTCTAGCATAGAGAAAGATCTGAGGAAAATTCTACTACAAAAATTAAAGATGGCAATAGCACACTTGCAATATTTCATATTTTATGGCATTATGGCATTACTATTTGTGTTTGGGGCAGACTGAAAATCTATTTTTATTATGCCTTCTGAGATGGCACTTTGAATTTAAGCCCCATTTTCCGTGGCTTATAGCTTTTCCACTGAATACCTTTGGGGCTAAACTTCATCATTCTGGTTCTTAACCTAGAATGAAATAATTCAGGAAGTTTGAAGGAAATTTATTTAGTCATTTTTGATTTAAGTAACTATAAGGAAATTCTTTTTGGCTGTTCGAAAAATATACAAACAAGTTTTATATTGAATCATTCATAAGGAATTATGATTTTCAGTAAAAATATTTATAATTATGATTTTCTATAAAAGATACATATTTAAAATTACTTATACAAACTAATAAACAGAATATAATACATATTTACTGCATACCTTAATTCACATAATAAAATTCTGTAAGATCTATCAACTTCATTAGAAGTTCTGAAATGTAGGCTTTTGGGGGCAAGACTGCTGTATTGAATCAAAATGAAAAATCTTATTTGCAAGAATGACTAACCACCTATTAAAGACTCAGGACTTCAATGTCATTTAAATGCAGTTTCAGTGGTTTATGCAAGCTGTCAAAAATTTCCATTTGCTCATTTCAAATATATCTAGGTAAGCCTATTTTTTAGGCTCATTTATACAAAATCAAAATTTGAAAGAGTAATAAAATGAAAAATTCATAGATGATAAGAATGGCTAAGACTCACATAATAGCTCATTTGGCTTAACAACTTTTGGAATTCTCAGAAGAAAAGAGGAATACTTATACTTCCCAACATAGCCATTAATTTAGGAAAAAGAATTACCTTACTGTGGCAGTTTGATAATTATTATACACTGAGTATTCATCAATTGGAGAGATTATCCCTTAAAGAAAAAATAAGGTAATTTGATCAGAAGCCTGACACCCTAACTATTTATGTAAGTGCAATATTTGTGACTTTGTCTCACACACACAGACATATACATAGAATATATTTTCAGAGACACACATATATACACATACATATATGTTTGTGTGTGTATATATATAATTAATATATGTATTGGTTATACACACATAATAAGTGATGACTATATGGAAATGTATAGGCAGGCCATAGACAAGTATAGATGGATAAGTATTTGACTTTGGTTTAATTGTCTCCTAATTCTGTTTCACAGTTTCCTATTTTCTGTGAAAAAAAATTGTTTAATTAGATTAATATTGGAACATTTCTTAAAATATCTAGTACTTAATTGTTTCTTCAATTATATTGCTAAATATCTTTATACACACATATGCAAAATTATCTCAGTTGATTTAATTATTTTCATTTTGCATATTCTCTAAAAGTCATTTTTATTTTTAAAAAGTGAGCCTACAACATTTTTCTTATGTTCATTTTGATTTATTATGATCCACGTTCTAGGTACCATACTAAGGGAAAAGATATATAAAGAAAATTCATAAATATACAATAGTGTGAGATGAAAAAAATTAAAACAAAGTAAATGTATCTATAAAGTGTTTTTGGAGCCATTGAAGTAGGAAAATGTGTTCATTTTAAGAAGAAAGAGGCGTTAATACCTGGTCTTAAAGAAAACATTGGGATTTATAAAGTAGTAAATGGAGGGGATTATTTTCTATCAAGTGTGTTCACTGTATAAAATTACATTTCTAATGTTTTTTGTTAATGGATGTGTATCCAGAGATCATTAAATCACAGTGGAGAAGGAGAGAAAATTAATAATAATGTTCCAGGTTTTTGAATTGGGTCATTTCTATATTTTAACCCAAACTTCTTTTCTTTTTGATCCACGACCAGAACGCAATTACATCACTCATGTTTCTCCTACTCAATGGGTTTACATTCAAAATTCCAATTTTACCTCAAAAAACCTTATAACTTGTTTCCCCTTAAATATCAATACAATTATTTTAGAAAATATTGGATGATTAGAGACTATGTCTACATAATTAGTTGCTCTTGCCTTTCAAAATCACATTTCAGAATGTATTATTGTTGCCATATGTCAATTTTCAGGTTATGTTTTTGCTCACTCTGGCAATTTGTGTTCACTGATATTCATTTATATATAGGTCTTGCTCTGTATGAATTCCTGAAAGCTTTTATGATCTGGGCAAAGTAACCGGCACTGCTCATAATCAGTATATAGCTATATGTTGTGCCATATTTTTAACTATTAAAGTGGACAAAGAGACGGATAGAATTTAGGAGATTAAGTGCCTGTTAGTATGTCTCTTGTTACTGTAGCTGAAGGGAGAACTACAGCGACTGCACTCATTGCTTTCTAACACCTTTTTGTAGTTCTAAAAGTAAACTCTGACATGTAAAGTCTCAGCTCAAATAACCGGTAAAGAATTACGGATGGGCCTAAAAATGCCTTTGTCTTTGCTAGCTACAGAACTGACACAGTTAAAAATCAGTTAACATCACAGACTCTGCAGTTATGTAAGGGAACAATCTGGGATTTATCAGGAATGAATGGGTTCCTGAGAAACAGGCTAAAAAATGTATTAGACGAATCTGTTAACCTTGAACCCATACATGACCCCTGGCGTTTTTTTTTTTTTTTTTAATTAGGAGAAATAGCTCATTTTCCTTGATGAGTATATTTTCTCTCATACATAAAATTATTTTATTTATTGACCAGAAATCACTTGTACCCTTGAATAATTAGGATTTCCTAATTAAGCTCATCTAATGTATCTGTAATATGTACAATGCTCATCATTACTTTATTAAATATTCTTTTACTTTATTATTTTTCCAACATACTTAATTATTCATCTTTATTCCCAGGACCTTGTTAACTTACATTTGTGTGGTTTAAATAAAAGAAAATCCAGAATGAGAGATAGTTACAAAAATGCATTTATATTCTATAACATGTATTATCTCTGAATATGGTTATTTTCATTGGAAGGAAATGATAAATAACAATATTTTCTCTTTTAGATGCCTAGCATTGTAATATACCTAAAGTGTGTTTTTTTTTTGTTTGTTTGTTTGTTCGTTTTTTTGAGACGGGGTCTCGCTCTGTCGCCCAGGCTGGAGTGCAGTGGCGCCATCTCAGCTCACTGCAAGCTCCGCCTCCCGGGTTCACGCCATTCTCCTGCCTCAGCCTCCAGAGTAGCTGGGACTACAGGCGCCCGCCACCACGCTCGGCTAATTTTTTGTATTTTTAGTAGAGACGGGGTTTCACCGTGTTAGCCAGGATGGTCTCAATCTCTTGACCTCGTGATCCACCTGCCTCGGCCTCCCAAAGTGCTGGGATTACAGGCGTTAGCCACCGCGCCCGGCCGTGTTATGCTTTTTTAAAATATCCCTTATATAAGGTTATCAGAAATGCAATGAATGCCATTTTTATTTGGAAACAAACTTTTAGGCCAATCTGAAATGTCCACAGTTATTGCGTCTTTTGTAATGGTTACTTTATTTCTGCACATGCGTTTCATGTCAGGTCAGAGAATCTATTCATCTCATAATTTCTTCTCTTCAATAATATATTTTTATTTATTTTAGGGTCATTGATGAGGTATAACATACACAAGGAAAACAGACTTGCCCAAATACTTGATATGAATCAAGTATATAACTTGATTAATATTCACAAATTGAAAACACTCATATAAGCATTATGTAGAACAAGAAAGAAAATATTAACATATATAATAATCTCTTATTAGCACTATGATTATTAGCAATGCCTCATTTTGTATACTTAGAAAAGTAATTCTAATTTTTTCTTTTCTTCTTGACTAGTCTGTTTTGCATTATCTTTTAAAATAAACTAATTTTACCTTTTAAAAATATTTTCTATTGTAGGTTTTTCCTATTGCAATAATTTTTGCTATTAGTTGTATGTTGATGATTCAATTTCTTTTAAATTTTTACTTTGATTCTTCTGCACTTTTTCTAGCTTCATGGAATATAAGCCTATATCATTAATTTTTAGCATTTTCTCTTTTCCAATATTGGAAAAAATCCATAATTTTATAGGAACTGAATTGTATCCCCCTGCCCAAATTCATAAAGTCCTAATACCAATGTACTTGGAAATGGGGTGGGACCTTTGGGTGTTAATGAGGTTTAAATAAGGTTATGAAGGTGGGCCCCTTATAATGTGAATAGTGCCCTTATAAGAAGATACATCAGAGAACTTGCTTTCTCTCTCTCCCTCAGTCTTGTGAAGACATAGTGAAAAGACAGCTGTCTGAAAGCCAGAGAAACAGTCCTCATGGGGCAATTGAATCATCTAACACCTTGATCTTGGAGTTCTCATCCTCCAGAACTGTAAGAAATAAATTTCTGTTGCTTGACACCTGGTCTATGATATTTTGTGATGGCAGCTTGAGCTGACTAATACAAATATATACCCTCAAATTGATAGATGTATCCTGTAAACACTGCTTTAAGTATACCTGACAAGTGTTGATATATCTTTATTGGCCTTTATGTAAAATATTTTTCTAGTTGTCATTGTGATTTATTCTGTGTCCCAGGTGTTTCTTCAAAGAATATTCCTTAATGATTATGGACATCTCTATATCTACCTCAACTTTGTCAATTAAACTTATTTGAAGTCATGTTATTGTATGTCTGCATATTTAAATTTTGAAATATTTCTGCCAAAAGGAATCGTATAAAGCAACTGTTTGAGTGATGTGAGGACTTCAGCATTAAAATCTGCTATATCAAATATTAGTATATCTATACTAGCTTGCTTTTGGTTAGACTTTATGTAGAACAACTTTTTCTAACCTTTCATATCCAACTATCCTTTCATGAGTTTCTCATGTACAGCAAAAACTATGGCTTTGGTATTTTGTTCACTCTGATCATTTCAATCTTTAATTTGAATACTTGTATTTTGTATAATTATTTACATACTTAATTTTATATCTGACACTATTTATTCTATAATCCACCGGTCATTTTACATCAAATATTATCTCTATTTTTTTCTCCTTTGAATTCATCAACTAATTATTATTTTATTTTCTACTCACTGGTAATTACTTACTTAAAAAATTTTGGGGCCGGGCACGGTGGCTCACGCCTGTAATCCCAGCACTTTGGGAGGCTGAGGCGGGTGGATCACAAGGTCAGGAGATCAAGACCATCCTGGCTAACACGGGGAAACCCCGTCTCTACTAAAAATACAAAAAAAATTAGCCGGGCGTGGTGGCAGGCCCCTGTAGTCCCAGCTACTCAGGAGGCTGAGGCAGAATAGCGTGAACCCGGGAGGTGGAGCTTGCAGTGAGCCAAGATCACGCCACTGCACGCCAGCCTGGGCAACTGAGCAAGACTCTGCCTCAAAAAAAAAAAGAAAAAAAAATTTTGTGGTGGAATATCTGGAGACTACAACATAAATGATTTAAAAAAGAAATAGTTATATTTTATCTTATTTTGCATAATGCTAAAACTCAACTAACCAGTTGAGTTTTATTTATGCTACCATTATATTTGGTATTATTGTTCTCATGCATTTCTGCATTATTTTACATTTTTATAGAGTCAACATTCATTTTTAATGTATTTATATATTTCTATCCAGTGATGCTTTTGATTTTATGCTGTATTATTTTTCTATTCCTCTCTTAGATTTTTTTTTCTGCTAGGTAGATGCTTAACATCACTTTGAGTACAGTAATAAACACTGTTCATTTTATATTCATTTGAAAAAGTCTTATTTTATCTTTTATATTTGAAATATTTTTCAGTGGGAATTGGGAGTAAAATTTTTTGTTAACATTATTTTTAGCTCTTTAAAAATGTCCTTCTCTTGCCTTCTGCTTTTCATCATTTCTGTTCAAAGCCAGCCTTCAGGCTAACTATTGTTTCTTTGAAGATAGCAATATAACGTGTCTTTATCTTTTTCTCCTCTCACTATTTTTTTGATGTTTTGCTGATTTTGGTTTTCAGTTGTTTTATTATTATGTATCCAGGTGTGCTTTGCTGGATGTTTATCTTGTTTGATGCTTCCAGAATTTCTTGAATCCTTTGATTGATTTTTTTCATCAGCTATTGTCTATTGAAATCTTTTTTTACCTTACTTTCTCACTCATCATCAACTGAATTTAAGTTGCATGTAGTCAAGCTTTTTGTTTTTTTCCATGTCATTTAGTCTTTACTATTTTTTATTAGTTTGATTTCTTCGCTTCAGTTTGTATATTTTCTATTTTCTTGCTTTTCATTTCACTAAACCTGTCTTTATGTCTAATCTATTTTTAAAACCATCCATTAAAGATGTATAGAAGCAATAAGGACTAACATTCCAGCAAGAAGAAACCTCAGAGAGATGAACTACGACTGGAGATTTGTACTTTCTTAGGGGCAAATGCATTCTCACCTTGAACTAGAGGCTGAGAATTCCTGCTTGGCCTTGTGCCAAAGTTGCCACAGCAGAAGAAAGCAGTCTATTATCAATTTATTTTCCATTATGACCAATTCGTAGAACCGTAGGACGTATCCCTTTTGACCCTTAGGCTCTTTCGCAATTAGAAACAATTTAATAATTTGTGGGAATGAATACTCCGCTTAGTTCTTGTTGGCCAGGAAAAAAATGTTCTATGTTACACATAAGAAAGAAAATATCCTCAAAACTTAAAAAAAAGTTAATCCCACATTACATTTATGTCTGCCTTTCTGAGGTATAAAAGTAAAATCCATGAATCATATTCTTCAAATATTCTATTCACATAATAAGCTGTTCTCCTGTTATTTTTTCATACATGTTGAAAAAGCATAAACATAACTTAAAAATCTCCCATATGAAAATTGCAATCGTTGAAATGAATTTTGGGCACATAAAGTATTGCAGAGATCAAATACTTGAAGACAGTCTCTAAACTAAGACAACTCTTAGAGATAAGTACAAGAAAGTATTGGTCTGCCTTAAAACAAAAACATGAAAGCATGTTGAATAGGACTATTTATCTATAAGGTACCTTCACAGATGCCGTCTATGTGGCTTTGAAATTTGATAAGACTCACCTGTATCATTATGAAAGCAGTAAACCTAAAATATATTCCAGCCAAGCAGTGAAGAATGGAGAAAAATATAAAAATCTAATAAAATGGTGAGACTTTTTTTTTCAATAACATCCATAGAGATGTTCCCTTTGGACTGAAAAACGTATGAAATATTAGTTGAATGTATTAATTTCGCAGTATTTACATTGCATTATCTAATTAGATGGGTGATGTGCTGTTGCATATAAATGTCAACATATATGAGATAACTGGGATTATTTTTTAGGATCTACAATTCTGGGATGCAGTAACTTCCTGATATCCTTCGGAAAAGCTATATTTTAATTAACCATTTGTTTTCCCAGATAACTCAATACTGAGAAAGAAACAGAGGTGGTTAGTCTCAACTAAAATAAGCATTCCTAGTTAATATCAAAGTTTCTACTAGACAGTCTTATTTACATGTGTTTGTTAAACATTCAGTACAAATGATATGACTATGTATATTAATTGAATGAATTAATCAATCAATAAAGCAGAATAGGTTATTTATTATGTAGAGAATATATTAAATCCTAAAATTAGGCTGAGTTACATAAGTTTTTAATTATATGTATAAAAAGTGTACATAAGATAATGCAGAAAAATTTTCAATTCCAAAGATAATACCTTATGTATGAACAAAAAAAGCAAAAATTCTGAAAATGAGTATTAAAATATCAGGGAGAAGAAATTCTACTTTTCAATAATAAAATTTAAAAATTAGCATTCGGCCGGGCGCGGTGGCTCACGCCTGTAATCCCAGCACTTTGGGAGGCCAAGGCGGGTGGATCATGAGGTGAGGAGATGGAGACCATCCTGGCTAACACGGCGAAACCCCGTCTCTACTAAAGAATACAAAAATCAGCCGGGCGCGGTGGCGGGCGCCTGTAGTCCCAGCTACTCGGGAGACTGAGGCAGGAGACTGGCGTGAACCCGGGAGGCGGAGCTCCGTGAGCGGAGATCGTGCCACTGCACTCCAGCCTGGGTGACAGAGCGAGACTCCATCTCAAAAAATAAAAAATAAAATAAAATAAAATAAAATAAAATAAAATAAAATAAAATAAAATAAAATAAAATAAAATAAAATTAGCATTCATTGTAATATAAGTTAGCCAGGTCTTTCGTCATTAGGTTTAGTGAACATGGCATATCCTTGACTCCAGAGTAAAAAATAACATCACTGGCTAGGTAATCTTAATTTAGATTAAGAAAGAATACAGCGAGCCGGATTTTCCTCTTATTTTTTATTTATTTATTTTTTAAGACAGGGTGTTGCTCTATCACCTAGGCTAGAGTGCAGAGGTATGATCAAAGTTCACTCCAGCCTCTGCAGCCTCGACCTCCCTGGCTCAAGCGATTCTGCCACTTCAGCCTCCTGAGTAGCCAGGACTATAGGTTGCGCCACCACTCCTGGCTACTTTTTTATTTTTATTTTTATTTTTATTTTTTTTTACAGTGACTGGTCTCTGTACATTGCCCAGTCTGGTCTCAAACTCCTGAGCTCCAACCATTCTCCCGCCTCATTCTCTCAAAGTGCAAGGGTTACAGGTGTAAGTTACTGTGCCTGGCCTCAGGCGGGCTTTTGGTAGAGAGGATTATTCCTTGGATATTTTCTGTATCACATTTCCACGGTAGGACATAGGAAAAGAACACATAGATGTACTGCTGCTATCAAAAAGCTTACTTCTTCAAGAAGAATCAGAACATGGATGCTGACAGAGTTCATGGCTCTATAGATGTTGGCATATTTGTTTCTCATTTGTCTTGCTTCTCAATGCATTCCAGTGAACAGTGGGTGGAGAAATAAAGTGGAGAAAAAGAATTTTGATAGAGATTATAAAGTCAGGACAACAATTCTGCTAAAAACATAGATTTCTTGGACTGCATTTCAATTTGTTGTTATATTAGTCACTAACTACATCATATAAAATAAGTCATTTAACTTTTCTACAACTCAATTTACTCTTTATATAATGAAAAAATATTGTTTCTAAATAATGCTTCTGAAAATTGCCTATACAGTATCTAAAAACCATAGCTGACATTAATAAACATAGCTTCTACTTTCTTAGCTTCCTTCCTTCCTTCTTTCCTTCCCTTCTTCCTCCTTCCCTCCCTTCCTCCCTTCCTCCTCCTCCTCCTTCTTCTTCTTTCTCTCTCTTTCTCTCTCTCTCTTTTTCTTTTTTACAGAGTCTTGCTGTCACCCAGACTGGAGTGCAGTGGCACAATCTCCGCTCACTGCAACTTCCACCTCCCAGGTTCAAGCGATTCTCCTGCCTCAGCCTCCCAAGTAGCTGGGATTACAGGTGTATGTATGCCACCACGCCCGGCTAATTTTTGTATTTTAGTAGAGATGGTATTTCACCATGTTGGCCAGGCTGGTCCCTAACTCCTGATCTCAGGGAATCCGCCCGCCTCGGCCTCACAAAGTGCTGGGTTATTACAGGCTTGAGCCACAGCGCCCGGCCATAGCTTCTTCTTCTTTCTAAGATTCTTTCTTTCTTTCATGTTTTTACCCCTAAAGCAATAGTTGCATGCATGTTTTGATTTAAACTTTAATTACAGACCAAACACTGTTTTATATAAACATCTTAATACTTTTAGCCTCACATGCCTAATAGCTCTTATAAAGGAACAAAATCACTTCTCGGCCTTTTGGCTAAGATCAAGAGTTATAGAGGAACAAAAAATATACACTGATATCTTCCTAGCATCATGCTCAAAGAATATTTTGTAAATATGAATATATGATATATGAATATATATAATATATAAATAATATATAAATATCAATTTACTGTAATCAGTCATCTTCTAGGAAGATGTGTAAGACAGGTGGGAAAAGTACATTGTAAAAAAGGTAAAAGTTTTACATTGTAAAGCAGGTAAAAGTGCCACAGTGTAACATATCAAACATGCACACACACTCACACACAGCATATACAGTATATGCGTACATAGATAAATACACAAAAATATCAAGTTGCTTAACAAATTATTTGAAGTCCTGTACCAAATATACACTTATTGAGTGGTGGTTCTATTTTTTTCTTCTGTGAGTACTAAATAAATCACTGTGTGTGATTAATTTCATATTTGTACTATAGCATCTATATCTTCTCATTTGTCTTGCAGTTAAGGATTATAATGAATGCTTATTTTAGATTTTTCCTAAATCTTTATGCGATCAATTTTTCCTCATCTCTGTAGTTATGGCTCATTTTATTATACAGTTTTATAATAATTAATCATCATGTATTTCTTCCCTCCGTAGAAAATGCATGCATTATCTGCAGTCTGTTTATTTTGCTTCCCAGTCAGCAATTACAATGCCAAAGTAAATTAAAGTAAATTATATTTTTACAGGTTTTGAGGTAAAAATTGATGATAACTGCTGAAGTTCTAGAATGAGCATATTGGGAAAATTGCCAAATAAATTAACCCAAGAATAAGATTCATTTATCATAGAAAATTATTGATGAAAAATTACTGATAAAAACTAAGTAAAATTTTCATCTATCTACTTTATTTCCACTTGAGTATACCTGTGGAAAAAATACACGCTTAAAGTTTAATTTTTTTTGCCTGACTTTTTATTCTATTGAATGAATGACATTTCACTGTCATTTAAATAATACTTTCTTAAAATCATATTACATACCATCTGTATTCTTTCAACCATGACTCTCCTACCAATCCAAGGCACACACTGATGTCTTAATAAATATTTTCCACTAAATCGATAAGTGACTGAATAGTTTTTCTTTGTCACAATCTTTTGAATGGTTAGTAAATTCATTTTTTATATAATGTTTTTTAAAAAGAAAAGAAAAGAAGTAATCAGCAGTTTTTAGTACAAATGATATGTTATCACCTTTTTAAAGGAAGTATCCTTTGGCAAATGCACCATTTCTATCATGTTCAAAATTCCAAAACACATGGAATTTGGACAAACCTGTTTTAAAACCAATGGTGATCACTTATTTTGCGACATTGCTGATTTAAAAAGTAAACATTAATTTAAAATGATTCAACACATCTTCTCTTTCCAGTAGTAGACTTATGAGAATATTTGGATTTGATAATTAACATTTTTAAAATCTGAAGTTTGCCTCCTTAAGCAAGTGGTGACATTAGTCATTTACCTTAGCCTTTTTTTCTTTTAAGCTCTGTGATAATTTATCAGTTTTTACCTGTAAGCAGTATTTGGAACCACATCAGATAATTCAGCACAGGGATCACACCACTTGGTGAGTTGTATTACAGGCTGCATTTATTATCTATAGTTCTTGTCAGTGTAATGGTAAATATATCTCACAGTTGGATACACAAAATTAAGTCATTTAATGGATTTGTAGTTTAGCTGATTGAGGTCCACAGGTCTCTGCGCACTTCTGGAAGCCATTTTATTTCTTCTGTAATTGTCAGTCACTGTTATTTCCACTTGACAGCTGTTCTGTGACTAGTCAGAATATAAGGTGCTTAAATGGTATCAGAGCCGTGATAAAATGGTGTTTAAAGGAACCTTACACACACACACAATGAAGTTTCTTTAGATTAATTTGAATGTCAACATTTTTTTCTGATAGAATTGGGATGTGTCTGTTTATACTAAGTACTTAACTTCATCTTGCTTTCTGTTTAAGCATATGTTATAGAACATCCTAGATGCAAAAAAAAAAAAAATCATGATAGAGACTAATTTTAGTAGTATCAGAATTTCAGTGCAGAAATCAAAAAGTTACAATAGTGAAGGTAACTCTGTGAAGCAAAGCCATTTGCTAGTTTTATATATTGAGTCTTCTTAAACAGGTTATAGTCATTTAGAAAAAAAATAAATCCACATCTTTCATTCTTTGAAAAGGCACCTGTATATTTTCTGAAAACCCACATCATCCCAGGAAAGAGATCAAATCTTAGGAAAGTAAGTTTGGCTCAAAATGATTGAGTGTTAATGGTCCAGTGCTGTTAGGAGCTTGCCAGGATGCAATGATTTGTTCTTCATTTTTCAGTGCCAGCAGCTTTCTGATTCAAAAACCACAAACACAGCATTTTTTTTTTTTTTTGCATTGACTCTGAGGACATTAGCAAATCTCAAATAAATAGCAGCACTACATTCTGGAAGAAGTCTTAAAAGCAAGCTGTATTCCAGATGGAAACCTCAAGCTGGTCACTGAAATAAAGAGTTCTGACAAACAGAGTGGAAGTTAAGTGAGAAAACTTACCAAGTACTGACTTTGCTCAGCACCTTCTGCTGCAGAAATGTTTGAATTAAAAATGAATAATGTATATGCTCCTTGATATTTTATGATGACAAAAATACAAAATTAGAAGGCCACATTTTTAATAATTATGGATCACATTGAAGAGCAAGATATCAAATATGTTTCAGATTATATAACAATGATTTCTAAATGAAAAGTTTTATTCTTAGTAAGAAAGCAACGTTAAAAATATCACACAGAGTTTTTGTTTTTAATATTATACAGAGAAATGACTGAGTGAAATTTTGGGAGACACACAAATTCGTGTGTACAAAACTAATAATAAAAGACAAACTTTTCTGATAATTTAGGAATATTTTATCATAATCTCACCTATAGGAAAGTGAGTACAAAATAACATCAGCTGTTGAGGCCCTAATCCCACAGGGAGTTGCACACGGGTAGACTAATGTATTCTAGTGTTTGGTTATTATATTCTTCAATTCTGATGACTTACTGCTTGGCTTATTAAATGTGACCAGTTCTTCTAGTGAGTATTCCACATTGGTCAAAGTTGCCCTAAGATGATTCTCTAAGAATAGGTTTATTTAGTGCACTAAGTCAAAATTAGATGATATGTGATTTGGAAACCAGAAATACCTACTTAAGATATTTGTTGAAAAAGGGTACATGGACAAGTCATATAAGATAGGATGTAAGATACACATGGGAAAGAAATATGAGGTAGCAAGTGGTCATGAAATAAGTGCCATACGACATGAATTATTAGGAAAAAAGTAGAGGTGGATGGACTATATCTGAAATATCAAGATTATACAGTGATTTGGCATTAGAAATATCAGGAAAAACAGCAAAAACAGTGATAGGAAAGTAGCATAAATGAGCATTGGTATCAGGTTGCATTTATTCAATCACAGACATAGGCCTAGAAGGAAGATTTTAGGTCATAGGAAGGCAAAGCTACATTCTTAGACAAGGTTTGGCAAACTGTCAGGAAAATACTTGAACTCCAAAGGCTCATTCATTAACCTGGCTATAGTAACTAGTGTCTGAAGTGAAATTAGGGTGAGTTGTCACTCTCAGACGGGGATTTAGCACTAAGCAAAAGTCCCTGTATGGGAAGACGTATAGTGCATGAATAAACTATTGAGGTCTAGGTGGCCCAAATACTTGGTGTTTATATCTTTGTAAAAAGAGTCACTAAAGATGTAATAAAATGAGCAACTTTTAAAATCATCCATCTAGACCTGTAGTGGGGAAAATATTTGGATTAAATTTTAACAAGGTAACTTTGTTAGCGGACTGATGCTGCAGATATATGGGAGTTTTGAGAAAATATTTGAGCAAAACTAAAATATAGTCTCACTGAATTAGACCTGAGACACAGTGAAAATAAAAATGTGGGATACGATGTTCTCTAAATATGCAAAACCTCACCTTTGAAGAGGATTTATAGACTCTCAAAATGTTTGATGCTCCTTCTCTACAATTAAAATATTATGTTACAAATGGGAAATGTGAGAGTTTTTAGTGTTTATATCACTTAGTCAATCAAATCATTTTGACAAAAATAGCATAGTGTGTGGTTTTAAAATAAATTTTAACATATTATTTAACAGGGTAATTTAAATTAAGTGAGATGGTTTGACTTTGCTGCTATAAACTTCTATTGATTGCAGAACTTTTTAAAATAAGGAACTGCTGTTACTTCTAAAACTCGGGTTCCAGACTGCCATTTGTTTTGTGTTCTTGTATTTTCAAATTGTATGTTGTGCATGCCAAAATTATTCAAATGATTCTTGTTTGTATGATTTTATCAGCAAATTTTAACACAGCAATTAGCATTAGGAATAATGTTCATTCTAATGCTTACAGTTCTGAAGTGCTACTCTATTATTGTTTGTATTTTATATTTCTGTGTTCATCAAGATATTTACTTCACAGTCAAATTAGGCAAATAGAAATCTTAAATATAATTTCTACACGGAATTCATGAAAATGACTTCTTAAAGCCGACAGGATTAAAGATGTTAAATGTCTTATCTTCTGAGGGTCAATAGGCTGTATAAAAATCTAAAGAGAATGTACATTACATCAAACAATAATAGAAATACTCCATAAAATGAAACAGAGTACACATATATTAATATGTATAATTGTAGAGAGTTGCTATTTAGAATGTAACAACGTCCAGTACTTTTGAAAACATGCGCAATTTCACTTGCAAAACTATTACTTTTATCTTCTCTGCTTCCTAGTTGACGCATTTATTCTACTTAGCTAATTTTCTAAAATAATGAGAGATAAAATTTTAATGACAGGTTTTATTTTATTTTTACTCCCTGCTACTAGGGCATATAAGAAGTAGCTGAAAGAATATGGCAGTATTGTAACTGAACTGAAAATTAGTATTTGAAGAAAGACAATGAGTTTTTATAAATATATTATTTACTAGTTTCCTAGAGCAAGTAATTTGTAGTTTTCTTATATGTTGTTTTAGAGTCTCAGCAGTATTACTGGCTAAACAAATCAGCAAAGAAAAAAAATACCCAAAACAAAATTTGAAAAACAGCTAAATCTGTTATAAAGAGAAAATTTCATAGAAAAATGTTAGGAAATTGAATAATATAAAATTCATATCTTCCCTATACAGATTCCACTAAGTGTTCACTATATAACATACAAGAATTAACCTTTCTAAGTTTAATTTTACGTATTGAAAATGCAGCGATCAAATAACATCTATAATAAGTGGAAATCTCTATCCACAGCTTTGGGTTAGTATTATCTTTTTTGTGAGGTGAATATATCAAGAGGAAGCCTAGATAAGAATTTTTACAGCTTTGATGAGGTATCATTGATATACAAAAACTGCACATATTTATCGTATACAACTTCATGTGTTTAGACATACAAACACCAGTAATAACCTCACCATAACCAAGGTAATAGACGTATCTAGCACCTCCCAAAATGTCCTCATGTACCTTTGTTTTTATTCTTTTTTCTTTTTTGTTTGTCTTTTTTTGTGGTAAGAACATTTGACATGATATCTACCCTCTGAATACATTTAAGTTCTAGAAACCTGCCATGCAACATAGTGTCTATATTAGCAATATGATATTATGTACTGTATAAATTCTTCAAAGAGAATATCAAGACCAAAATATGATTTTGTATGTGTGTGTGTGTGTGAGAAAGAGAGTGAGAGACAGAGTGAGAGAGAGAGAGACTCCTTTCATCCCCCAGGCTGGAGTGCAATAGAGCGATCTTGGCTCACGACAACCTCTGCATCCTGGGCTCAGGTGATTCTCCCACCTCAGCCTCCCAAGTAGCTGGGACTGCAGGTGCGTGCCACCGCACCAAGCTAATTTTCATATTTTTTTAAGAGACGGGGGTCTCACCATGTAACCCAGGCTGGTCTTGAACTCCTGAGTTCAATCTATCCACCTGCCTTGGCTTCCCAAAGTGCTGAGATTACAGGCGCGAGCCACTGTGCCTGGCCTGATTTGGTATTTCTTAAGTCTTTTGCCCCTATAACTTTTTTTTCCAATTCTGTATTTGACTGATAGCAAGCCAATGAAAGATGAAGCCAGGAAAATAAAATAAAACTTGTGTGTGTGTGTGTGTGTGTGTGTGTGTGTGTGTGTGTGTGTGTGTGTGTAATATAATATGGTAACCCTGCTTAGAGTAACAGATTATCTTCCTATGTCATGACTCCAAAGGAAAGCAAATAAGTACTATAAGCAAAGTAAAAAACCAAGTAATGTAACACTATATATTATAGGATATTAATTTCAGTATGGCTACACATTACCTTCAAAAACTTCAAATCTAAAGAATTTGTAACGTTGTGCAGATGTTGGAATTAAGAAGTTTGAAGCTGCCTGCTTATTTAAGTATTAATTATATATTCAGTGGTGAAAATCTGGAATGTTAAATGTGTTGGTAACAATTTGCATGTGGTGGTGTCACTTCATCTTGTTATTTAGCCAAAAAACCAATAGATTTCATTTCTTCTAAGCTTCTGTAGACTTTATTTTCCATATATAGCAATTGGTGTATTAACTTTCACGTTTAAAAATTCCATTTATATTTTCATTCATATTCATATTGCAATGCTTTTCAAGATACTGATTTTTACATTTTTGTAGCATATGAAAGTAAAATTGTGAAACTGAGGTATGAAATTATTTTAATATTAGATTTAAAATAGAGAAAAATATTAAAGAGATTAACTTTTTGACCATATAGATGACAAAACATACAGAGCTTTCTTTAATTATTAAAATACTTTGGAAAAATCTTCAAGTCTGTTTCACTATTAAAGTATCAAAAGTCTTTTCCTTGAAGAAAACATAGCAGAAAAAAATATATGAAAATACGTATTCATAAAATGAAATCTAAATTTGACTTTTAAACTTTAAATAAATTATTAATTGTTTTTCGCTTAATCCAGATGGTTTTTCAGTTTCTTAAATTAGTTTTCATGTTCAGATATATCTACTGTATCTTGCTGGAGTAGAGGGAATAGTAGAGTAGGATATAGAAGATCTGAGCTAATATCCTAATATTTCACTAATTAGCTGATTAATTTGTGACATGTGAATTTTTGTTTTCTAGACCTTAGGAATTGAGAAAGATGATTGTTGAGCGCTTTCTCAGCTCTGATTCTTGGGCACATCTAGGACAATTTCTGTGGCTTTCTCTTTTTGGGTTCCTGACCACACACATGTTGATGCTATTTGGCAATTTTACCCCATTTATAATCAAATATTTTCTATTTATTCATTAATATATACTTATAAATTTTAGTGGCACATATTGTACTTGATACTGTGTATAATGCAGACTAAAATATCTAAGCTAAAGCCATTTATGAAGAAACAGTCCCAATTTAAATTGAGAAAGCTATGGTTCTTGGGACTTGCTCTCTTTCTTCTTTCTTTATCTTCATTCTTACCAATATTTATCTCACCCACTCTCATCCAGATCTTTAAATACTGTCTTTACCCTGATGATTCATAAATTTGTATCACCAGATTTTCCACTTCAAATTCAAAGATCTCCGCTTGAAAAGACATTGTAAAATCAGCAGGACCAAACTGAATTTCTAATTTCTTATCAGATCTACTTCAACTTGCAGCCTTCCTGCCTTTGGCCTCCTTAGTCTCCCAGCCTCTTTCACAAAAAGCTTGTTATTCACCCTCTCTTGTTTTCTTCATATGCCCATATTAGATATTTCAAGAAATCTCATTGACTATAGTTTCAAAACATGCCATAAACAACTACATAACCTAACTTTCTTTGCCACCACCTAGTCAAGCTAGTTGATCTCATTGCTGAATTTCTATGATGTCCTCATAACTGACCTCCTTTCTTGCACTCCAACTCACTAGGGTCTATTCTCAATACTACACAAATAGTGGTCCTTCTAAAACCCAAATCGTATCATGTCTCTCTCTGCTCAAAACTATTCAGTGGTCTCCATCTCATTCAGATTAAGAATTCTAGTACTTAGTAAACAAAAAAGCCCTATCATGATTTTCACTTTCTGTGTCTTGTTTATGAAATTCTTTCTCATTTCACATTGATTTTAGTTATTCCCATTATGCTCTTAATATAGCTTGAGTTTGTTTTTCTATCATGCTGTATATTACAGAACTGGTTTAATTTTCTCTCATAGAATTAGCCAAATTTCCCAATTTGATTACTCTCACTGAGTAATCAAAAAAGCTCTTTGTATACCAGGTTTCCATATATATATATATGGAACCCGTGTGTGTGTGTGTGTGTGTGTGTGTGTGTGTGTGTGTGTGTGGTGTGTGTGTGTGTATGGGTCTTTAACTCTGTTCTATTTCATTTTTTGTTTTTCTCTTTCATTGCCATTATTACAAGTTTAAAATTACTTTCGTGGTGAAATATGTAATATCTGTTAGGAACACCTTCTTTTTATTATACTGCTTTGCCAAATTTTTCTATACACTTTTCCATACATTTTAGAATATGTTTATTCAGTTTCTTAAAATGTTGCTTAAATTTTGATGGAAATACTAGTGAACTTAGAGATCATGTTAGTAGAAATTTCAATATTTTAAATACCATATTTTTATCCAAGGATTTAGGGAAATTTATCTAAAATGTTATATTCTTCTATATGCAGTTTGAATATAATGATTAATAATGCCTTTATGAAAAAATGCTGTAAATTTTTTCTATTCTCCTGTTTTCCATAAAAGCATTTATAAGTTAGGGATTTTCTGTTATTAGAAATTTGGTATATGTTACCTACAAATCTGAACTTTTTAGAAAAATTTCTTTTTTTTTTTCTTTACAGGATTTATTATCTTGGCATCTGCTTTGAAAAGGACCCAACCAAAACAATATTATATCAGCATAAAATCTAAGGGTAGGTTTCTTTTATATTACAGCCTCAACAAATTTGTGTAAGATTGGAATTTTGTCTTTCTTGAGTATTTGGTAAATATTTTAAAGCAATATTTGATCTCTGTAAAGTGATTCGGATTCTTATATGATAAAAAATTATTCAAATTATCAAATTCTTTTTAAATTACATTTGCATAGATGTTTAAGAATATGAGTTAATGGGTGCAGCACACCAACATGGCACATGTATACATATGTAACAAACCTGCACATTGTGCACACGTACCCTAAAATTTAAAGTATAATAAAAAATAAAAAAATTTAAAAAAAGAATATGTATCTAGAAATATAACCATCTTATATGAATTTATTTGATCATTAAGTATTCATATTTTTATTGTATTATTTTTAAATCACTGAACAACTCATAATTTTATTTATTTTTAGTTCCAATATTTGAATTTTTAAAACTTAACAAACTTTTGATTTATTAATATTACTTTAATATCCTGATATGTATTCAAAAGATGCTTCTATTTCTTTATTATATTAACTATTTTTGGTGGATGTTGTTTTGATATTGCTTTTCTTATTTCATAAAGTTCATTCATGGCCAGGCTTGTTGGCTCATGCCTGTAATCCCAGCATTTTGGGAAGTTGAGGCAGCAGGATCTCTGGAGCTCAGAAGTTTGAGACCAGCCTGGGCAACATAGTGAGAGTTTGTCTCTAGAAAAAAAATAGAAAAAATTAACTTGGCATAGTGGCATGTGTCTGTAGTCCCAGGTACTTGGGAGGCTGATGTGGGAGTATAGCTTGAGCCAGAGAAGTTGAGGCTGCAGTGAGCTGTGATCATGTCACTGCACTCAACCCTGGGCAACAGAGTGAGACCCTGCTTAGTGCTAGTACAAATAAAGCTGCTATGAAAATGAAATTATAAGTATTTCCATGGTTATATAGTTTCATTTATCTTGGGTAAACACCTAGAAATAGAATGGTTTGGTCATATAGTGGGCATATGTTCAACATTGTAATAAACTGTCAAACAGTTTTCCAAAGTAGTTGTATCATTTGTGTTTTCATCAACAATTAATGACAGTCATAATTTTCTCTATATCCTTGCCAACACTTGGTGTGATAATTCTTTAATTTTAGATCCTTTGATAGGTTTGGAGCAGTATCTCATGCAATTTTAACTTGGATTCCCCTAGTGTCTAGTGATTTTTAGAATCTTTTATTTTCATGTTTAATCTTGTTCAGTGTATCTTATTTTGTAGTGTATCTGTTTACATCTTTTCCTCATTTGTTTTTGTTTCTTTAACTGAAGTTTCAAAATTATTTTTATATTCTAGATAAAAATATTTGCTTCATATACCATTAAACTATTTTCTTCCATTGTATAACATGTATTTTCATTCTCTGAACATGCCTTTAAAGAGCAGAAGTTATTTTATAATTGTTTATTGAGGTGTGTTGGTGTCATACATTAAAAAAAACCTTTGCTTCACATAAATACAAGATTTTACTTTCATATGTTTTGAGACAGTTGTAAATTTTATAATAAATATTTAAGTCTATGATATATTTTCATTTAAATTGTGTATTGTTATATGATAGTGCCTGAATATTTCTTTTTATATTAGGATAAATTTTTGGGTCAGAGTACCAGTTAATACAAATATGTCTACTGGGGTTTTCACTGCTACTGTAGAAAAATACCATGTGTTTATTTGTATACATTGACCTTGAACTCTGCAGTCTTTCTAAACTTACTCATTAGTTCTTTTGTAGATTCTGTCAAACTTTTTACATAGATGGTAAAAAGTTTTACTTCTTCCTTTCCAATCCGTATGTAATTTATTTGCTTTTCTTATCATATTGCAGTGGATAAAATAGCTAGTATAATATTAAATACAAGAGGTGAAAGCAAACGTCTGTGTGTTTTTCTGGACTGGGAAAAAACTTTTGGTGTTTCCTTATCAAATAGCTTTTTAAAAGCTAAAAAAGCTTTGGAGAGAATCCTAATCAGGCAGAAAAAGTTTCCTTCTTTTTTCAATTTGTAAGAGATTTATGAAAAGGGATAATGGGTTTGACATCCTAAAATTAGAAAAGTTTTTATATCTATGTGATTTGGATTTTTTTAAATACTATAATTGGCTTCTGGCCTTATAGAATGAGTTGAAAAGTAGGCATTCCTCCACCTTAGAATTCTATTCTAATTATACAATATTAGCTTTCTTGTCAATTTATGATACTGTAATCTGAGAAGCTGCTTTTTTCTCTAATAATTTATGTATATTAGCAATAATCTTGGACTTTTTTTTACATTGCAAGGCCTCATTTTTTGTAGCTTGGATCTTGATGTAAACACTCAGAATTATAAAACAACAGTTTGGAGTAGTGAGAAATGTTAACCCACTCTTATTTCCCAGATGGAAAGCATGTCATTCCACTTAGAATAGAATAATGGGGGACTGTTATTTCCATAAGCATAATATAGCAGGAAAATTGTGTGATGAGATATATGATTTTACTTATTTCCCTTGGTTTTCCTAATCTTAATACCCAGCAATCATGCATTTTATGACGTTGCCTTTGATTTACAAAATTTAGTTAAGGAAATGAAAATAAAATTTGAGATTTTCCCAAGATGCTTGATTTTCTCTCAATGTTCTCAGATATTTTTCTAAAGGTATAAAACACTTCCTATAAAAAAAAACCCTCACACAGGTTTTCTTTGAATAAGCTCTTCTGTATCAGCATATGAAACTCTTGGGAAATAGACAATTCACAGTCACCTTCAATATTTCTGAAAATATTCCTAGAGTTCAGCCTTGCCAAGTACTTTTCTTGAGTTCTGATAGAAAAACCAATAGTACACATATTCACCATGGAATACTATGCAGCCATAAAAATGAACAAGATCATGTCCTTTGCAAGAATATAGATGGACATGTAGGCATTTATCATTAGAAAGCTAATGCAGGAACAGAAACCCAGATAAGAGATGTTCTACCTTGTAAGTGGGAGTTAAATAATGAGAACACATGGACACAGAGGGGACCAACATACTCTGGGGGCTATCAAGGAGTTGAGAGTAGGAGGAGGGAGAGGATCAAGAAAAATAACTAATGGGTACTAGGCTTAATACCCAAGAGTTGAAACAATCTATACAATAAGCCCCCATGACACAAGTTTACCTATGTAACACACCTGAACATGTACCCTTGAACTTAAAATATGTTGAAAAAGAAAAAGAAAAGGTAATAGTACATTCAGTTGCTTCAACAACAGATAACAATGACTGCTACCTAGAAACAATCTGCATTGCTTCCATCCCAAAAATAGCTTGGCCAATTCTACATGCTAGATTCACTTACTTGTGATAACTATTTTTCTACCATTCGTTTGTCTCTTAATTTGCAATATGTGCGCACGCACGCGCGCGCGCACACACACACACACACACACACACACACACACACAATGAGCCTGCACATGCATATGCATCTTCCAGGTCTTGTCACATGCTCTCTTGCGATATATCCATGTATAAAAACAAAGATCTCTGACTTTTGGAATACATATTTACCTTATGTTCTTGCAATCATATTCGGAAGTATAATTCAGAAGTAATTTTATTGCATATAAAAGAAACAAAGCTTAAGATTAGAGGGGAGAATCATGGGGAGAGAGAGAGAAGAGAAAGAGAGAGAATACGCAGGGAAAGGGGGAACTAAAGCCATTCTTCAATGTCACTAAGGTACTTCCTTTCTTCTGGTCTCTCTCCCTCTTTCTCCTCTGTACAACTTTTATCATAATTTCATGTCTGTTACCTTGTCACTATCTTGTCGGCATAGATATAGTCAGTTTATATCATCCCAGTGTAATAATACTAAATACATGAGATTGAGAGATTGTTCTTTGCTACCACTTTATTACATAGCCCCAGGTTAGTATGCTAATTATGTAGGTTTGAATCATCTGGCCATCTGTGTGCCAGTACCCTCAGCTGGGTGAACTTAGAACCATAATTAGGTGTTTTCTCAAATCTCCTTTTGGTCTTACAATATTCATTCTCCATAACTTCCAATCAAATAGAAGAAAATATTCTAAAATATTATGTTAAAAATTATAAAATAATTTATTATTAAAACCAAAAATAAATATTAGCTAGATGTGGCCAGTCATGTTTCTATTACGACATAAGCCATTCATTAAGATATAAGCTATAGTTTTATGTGGCAGTTTCCAGGAACTTTAAAAAAACAATCATTCGGTGTATACTCTAGCTTCTCTCCTTTTTCTCTTACATACATCCAGATTGCTTTCTGTAATGAAGATTTTGTCATCTTAGACTAGGAAGATGAAGAAAACATCTTAAAGATGAAAGAATAGTGAGCCATGGCCCATGAGAACTTTGAAAAACTTAGACTTGAGTTCATTTCTGAAGTTTGCATGAAAGGTAAATAAGCTTATGTCTTGAAAGCTACTGTTACTTTGACTCTCATTCTCTTGCTGTTGAATATAATTTAGTTGATAGTTACGTAGTTTTTGAAACACAAAATCTTCCTTTTTCTTTATCTTTCTCCAATCTGCAAATCAGATTTGCCAATTATACCTTAAATATGTATCATTTAAAAAAAAATCCTTTCTAGGCCGGGTGCGGTGGCTCACGCCTGTAATCCAGGCACTTTGGGAGGCCGAGGCGGGTGGATCACGAGGTCAGGAGATCGAGACCATCCTGGCTAACACGGTGAAACCCCGTCTCTACCAAAAATACAAAAAAATCAGCCAGGCGTGGTGGCGGGCGCCTGTAGTCCCAGCTACTCGGGAGGCTGAGGCAGGAGAATGGCGTGAACCCGGGAGGCGGAGCCTGCAGTGAGCTGAGATTGTGCCACTGCATTCCAGCCTGGGCGACAGAGCCAGACTCCGTCTCAAAAAAAAAAAAATCCTTTCTATATTTGTCACTACCATGTCATAAGCCATCATAAGATTCATATGAACTGTGAAAATTATGACTAAATTTTTTTCTTCTAAAATTTGAATCATAAAGTTTATATCCCATATGACAGCCAAAGTGCATGATTACAAACAATCCAAAAGATGCCATATTCTAGTAATCAATATTCACATAGTTTCTAGCTGCAAAAGGAAACCCGTGAAGACTTTACATTATTTGGCTTTGATTATATCTACAAGCATATTCACAAATATTTTGCTTATTATACAGAACCATGAATAACACTTTTCTGTTACTTAAAAACACATTTCTTTCTGCTGTAGAGACCTGATTGTGATTGTTCCTTCAGTGTTATCAAAGCAAAAATTGTAAAAGACAATGTTATCCAGGCAAGAAAGACTGTATTCAAGGCTACTGTAGTAGGTAGAGAAGCCAGAATTTTAGTCTGAGGTCAACGCTACTAAAAAAAAGAGCTGGAAAGATTTCAAAAACTGAAGTGAGGGATTTAGGCCATCTACCTTTGCTAATTGGCTTGACCTTCAGGAAAATAAACTTTCTCTCATCTTCATGACAAGACAGTTTTACCACTTAGAACTGGGAGCCTGAAGTTAGGCTGAAGTTAGACTGCTATGTTGCCACATAAGCTAGGAGCTAGAGGTGTTATCTTTCTTGATGTTTACATTTCATAGGGATAGCTCACAGTTTCTTGAAAAAGACTTTTCTGGATTGTAACACTGACAAGAACTTTTTAAAAAGATTTACATCTCAAAGAAGAACAGAAAGAATTTACAAGTTTTCTAAAGTAAATATTACAATAAAACATAAGAATACTAAAAGATGAGATTAGCATTTAAATCTATAGAATGGGTAAGGCAAGTGGCTCTGCTTAATATGGGTAGTCCTGTAAAATCCATTGAAGGCCTGAATAGAACAAATCACTGATTCTCCCCTGTGAAAAGTAAAGATAGAATTCTTTCTCTATGACAGCCTTTAGACTGGGACATTGACTTTTTTCCCGCCTGCAGACTCAGAGGGAATCACTGGCTCTTCTAGGGTCTGAAGCCTGCTTGTTAATGAACTGAAACGACGACATCATTTCTCCTTTCGCTCAGACCTTTGGGCTCAGACTGGAATTAAACCGTCGGCACTCCTGGCTCTCCAGCTTGCCAATTGACCTGCAGATTTTGGGACTTGTCAGCCTTCATAATCCCATGAACCACTTTTTAAAAATAGTAAATCTCTCCCTACAATAAAACAGGTTGGCACGCATGCCTTAAATAGACACACCCCATATCCCACAGCTTCTGTTTCTCTGCACAAGTCTAATACACACGGTAAAAATATTTATTCCATTTTCATAAGAGAAAAGAAACACTGTAAAAAGCTGTTTTTCATGACTTCTGTTTTTTTCTTAAAGTCTTAAATTAGTTCATGTAAACTCTGCCACTGAGTGAAAGGCCGACAATTTAATGAGGTAAAAAATTAAGCATGTCCTCCATTCTAGAAGTTTTTCAATTAATTTTCAAAGATAATAAAATATATCAACGAAATAATTTAAAAAGTTTATATCAGTAATAAACATAAAATTGAAAGTAAATATAATTAGTATATAAAATTTAACAAATGTGTTTTAACTTGTCAAAGAAAGAAGAAACAGCTTGATGATTGGTGATGAGTAGCAGGTGGTGAAGAAAGGGTATGAAATGATCGTCATTTGGAAAGTGATAGTGTCAGGTGATTAAATCAGGGATTCTTGATGATAATTTTTTTTCTGTGAGAGACTTTGATGAATGTAACCCACTGATGTAGAAGGATTTAGCAAATGCTAAAAATTTTTTTTTAGCCTAGGCTTAAAAAGTCATTTCAAAACACATTCAAGAAGCTCACACACATCACAGATTGATAATGGATGTTACATCATTATCACTCAGTGTATACACACACAAATACACACATATGCACACACACACTTTTTTTTAGATTTTTTCAAAACCTGGTAGACAATTGAAAATTTTTCTGATATTGTCTGACTAGAATCTGTGGTATTGAGTAAATTTGAGAATGGTTTGGCTGAAATTGTAATGATATTATAGCAATTCTTAAAGCAATTGTTCAGTTTGCTTATCAAGGAAAAAATTATTTACGCAAAAATGATAAAACTTTTCTTAAAGGTTTTCTCCAAAAAGCTTTCAAATACCATTATTTCAAAAAGTTACTGAATAAACAATTTGTATGTGTGGTAAATCTATATGTATGTATACATTTAATTTCCTAAGATTTCTCATCAAGAAAAAAAACAGTACAGAGGATATCTAGGATAGTGTCAAATTTTATTTCAGGAAATTGTCAAACGAGCTACTGTGTTAAGCAAGGAAATTTTTTGCAGATTGCCCTATGTCTCAACTATAATGATATTTCCTCATGACCTTTTGTTACCTGATTGCTATTACTTACTGTATGTGCTGTATTCCTCTCAAATTAATCCCATATCTGTTTTTGAATCATTTGCACTTAAGTCTTGTCCTTGTTCACTTTTGTTTCCTTTGCCTTATAATTTTCTCCATAAATAGGATTTAACCCTCACATTAAGGTTCTCCATAGAAATAGATGTAATTATATCTATTTCTCTGAAAATAGATATAATAGATATATTCTAGAGAAACACATATAATTTTATATATGTATATTTTAATAATATATAAAGCATGTACCATAAACGTATGTATATATACACATATATATACCTCTGTGCATGTAAAACATATACATATATATGCAGAAAGTGAGTGAGAAAGAGATTTTAAGGAATTGGCTTACATTATTATGGGTGCTGGCAAGTCTGAAATGTGCTGGGGGGACCAGCAGGCTGAAAACTCTGGCAAGAGTTGATATTTTAGTCTTGAATACAAAGGCAGTCTGGAGGCAGAATTAGTTCATATTCAGGTCTTTTCTTATAAAACCTTTAACAGATTGGATAAGACCCACTCACATTATGGGAGGTAATTTTCTTTACCCAATATCTTATTGAAATGTTAATCATATCTGAAAAAAATGCCTTCATAGCAACATCTAAACTAGTGTTTGACCAAAAAACTGGGTACCAGGTCTACCCTAGTTAACATATAAAATTAATCATCACTGTTCCTAAAAGCTGCAGTATATCAGTGGAGTCCCACTGTCAGGGAGATGTGCCATAGCTAAATAGAGAGTATCTTGTTGCATTATTGTATGAAGCTGCTTGTTGCACCAAGAAGATGCAGAATCCCTGCCAAACATCCATCATCCTTCTCCAAACTTTACTTAATGTGTAGTTTGTATGTAACTTAAAAAAAATAGTCTTTACAAATTTACCCCCTCTCTTTGGAATATCTCCATAACGTTATTGTGGAAGGTGCAACGAGAGGCTCAGTAACTGCCTGCAGAATTTGTTACAAATTTGTATTCGTTCCTTTCCAGATTTTGAATTTACACACACCCACAACTGCACCCACACATATATACATCACACAGATTATAAACCAAAAATTGACTGAGGCATGTCTCAATCATTTTAGAGGGTTATTTTGCCAAGGTTGAGGATGCACCTGGGGAAGGGGGAAAAAAACAATCACAGGAGCATCTGTAATCTGTGCTTTTCCCAAAGACAATTTTGAGGACTTCAATATTTAAAGGGGAAAGAGTAAGCAGGAGGGGAAGGAGGAAAGTAAATAAAAGCGGGAGGATAGGCAATGGAGACAAGTGGGTTACAGTCTTGTGAGGCTTTGATTAGCACTCAGGGAATCTACGTTTTACGTGTAAACAGGTGGGTAGAGGAAAAGTCAATTATGCCTTCATCTAGTGCCCAGGAAATCTGTATTTTACATGCAAGAAACTAAACTTGTGAAAAGATGGAGTAGAGGAAGAAGTCCCTTGTGTGTTCACCTTGACGTTGGTAGAGGAAAGATTTCTAGACTTGACCTTGCCCTCTACCTGTGAAGATAAGCTGGTAATTTACACTGTCGGGGTGAGAGTCAACAGAACTCTGTTTTAGGGTTAGTTTACAGGGGGGATATGCATCCTGAAAGATTTGGGGCCCACAGGGAATTTCTTTGTGAGCAATTTGTGAGAGAGGCCATCTGGGAAATGTGTTGCCTTTTATCATTTTTGAAACCTGGCTTATGTTTGAGGCTATGACACAAGGTTATGAAATTGCAGTTATCTGTTTGGGAGTGAGAGGAAGACCATTTTTTTTCATGATTCAGTTCCCAAGCTCAACTTTCTCTTTGGCACAGCGAGTTTGTGGTCCCAAGATTCTATTTTCTTTCACAATATTCTATATTGTATTATAAATGACTTATATCAATAAATATATGTCAATGTATGTTTGTATAAAATTAATAAATTATAAATAAATATATTAATTTATACATGTAAAATAGTGTCTGTGTGTTTGTGTATGTCTGTGTGAACACATGTATGCAAATATTTCTGATGTACCTAATAACGATTTTTCATTTCACTGTCTTGGAATATGTAATGAGGTAATACATGTTTCAGCATATCTGAAGCATGTCTTCTTTCTTTCTTTAATGTCTCTTCTTTTTTGATGGCTTCATGAGCCCCAGAAATGTTTAACACATAATAGGAAACCTTTTCTTTACACCACATGGTTGCTTTGTTTTCTGTTATTCTGAGTCATATGGCCACTGATAATCTGGATGTACTAGAGTCATGATTCCTTTATGGCAAGAAAGGAATTCTTGTGTTCTGGGGCTGTACTTGTGGTCACTTGTGCAGTACAGAAACCCATATATGCTGGTAGAAAAAAAAAAAAAACAAACTTTCTCACTTTTAGAGTTCCATTCAGTTATGGCATCATCTTGTGAGAGAATGCTTAGGTTCTAAATAAATACAACTTTTGCCATATGATTTGTTGATTACACACATATGTATACAGGAATATTCCCTAAATGCAGTCACAGTGTCAACATAGCTTGACCTAATCAATTTAAGTGTTAGCCACATTCTGAACTGAAAGTATATAAATGGAAATTTATTATTTTAAATGATGCCTGAATGGAAAATTTTTAAATTCTTGGATATTTTGAAAGAACTTTATCACTTTAAACAATGACCACTAGCCACAAGGAAAGAAGACGAAGTTTGAATAGCTTCTGTCCCTCTGCTTTCCCTTTTCCATTTGTAAGAAAGGACTCTGGGGTTTTTACTGTTACCTGATCAATGACAGAGCCTTCTGAGGACATTCCAAGACAGTACACAGTCCTGCGGTCTCCTTGGAAATCCGTATAGATAACATTTCAAGGGCAATACCACATTGATTTTGACTGCATATTCATATAAACTTTTTAAACAGTTGAGTGATAGAGTTAACCCCTTATCTGTAAGTTTTGAATTTACATTGTTTAATCCCATGTACAAAACCATTTTTCCTCCAAAAAAATGATGACTTGACAAAGCATCAAATTTTTTATTTTGCTCTTTTTTTTTTCGGAGACAGGGTCTGACTCCATCACCCAGGCTGGAATGCAGTGGCGCAATCACAGCTCACTTCAGTCTCCACCTTCAGCGCTTTTGGTGATTATCTAACCTTACCTTAGCTCACCTGAGTAGCTGGGACTACAGGTGTGTGCCACCACTCCTTGCTAATTTTTGTATTTTCTTGTAGAGATGAGGTTTCATCGCATTGCCCAGGAGGGTCTCAAAGTTCATTTTTTTATCCAAGTTATTTGATATTCTAAAGTCTTCACTATTCTGTGAGATTTATTGTTTTTCAGGGTAAATTGAAACTACTAGGTTTTAGAATTTTTAAAACTTGTAAAATGCATTCATTTGTTCTAAGCATTATATTATTTTTCCCCCATATTATCATCATTCTTTATTGTACCATGTGACAGTTTCCACTATATCCAATCTCAAGTATTGTGTCATGTATATAAAATTTCTTCTACTATACAGTATATCTCATATACCACATATCATATATACATACATATGTTCATTCTATTATATAGTATATACATTTCTATCTATACTTCTATCTATATATTTCACCTTTTGTGAAATATACTGTAAATTATATTAAATTCTTTAATTTTCTGCACTTTGAGTTAGTTCCTCAAGTGTATGACTTCCTTCAACACATGATTTTTAGTACTGATATGTCTATCTCATACTGCTTCACATATGAATTGATTGTATCCAATGTTTTCTTATCCTATTATTCAGAACAACCACTAATATTTTGATATTTTAACTTTTTTCTTCTATTCTTAGCATAATTTAGTATATTTCTTTTAGCATTTCTTAGCATAATTTCTTTTAGCATTTCTTAGCATAATTTAGTATAATTTCTTTTAGAAAAAGAAAAACTATAGCATATATTCAGCCATCTGTATTGCCTAAAAGAGCATTAATTTCCATGAATTTATCCTGGGTTATGTATCAAGTTGTGGTGATTTTGGATCTCCCTTCAGTCTAATATTGATAATAAAGCTGATAACTTCTTGGGCATTGCACAAAATAATCACTGGATAGTATCAGAGTGAGTTTTAAATCAGCCAATTCAGAGTTTCCTGGGGTAGGTTGAGGTGTATCTATAGGCAGTCTATAGGAAAAACAATTTTGGCAGTAGTGGGTAGTAGTTAAAGAAAAAACATATTATCTTGTTATTTATAATACAATAAACTGTATCTTCTATCATCAAACTTTACCTGAATAAAACAGCTTAGAAGGTTATGCCAGGACCAGGTTTTAGGAGGACATGCAGTATGTGATCTTCTCAGTACCTTAAAAATTAAGAATAATTATATTTATATTAGATTAGTCAACATTTTTATGAATGGCACTTGGTACTATTATCAAAAATTTAATACCTTTTTGCTTTACATGAAGCATACCTTAGAGGAAGAAAAATACACGCACATTTGCATGTGAGTGTTTGCGTGTGTGTGTGTGTGTGTATCTTGAAGACACAGCCCTGCTGAGTTGTAATATAGCAGAATGCCTTGCTCTGTCTCTCATTCTTTATACCCTTATTGGCCAGGCTACAGCAGGACACTCAACTGCTTTTAATGACTTTCATTACTCCCTCTTATTTTCTAGGTTAATGACATATTGAAAGTGCTAATGGCATAAAATTTTCAAATAGCTCACACATCGTTCATGAAAGAGGCAGTGTATTTTACTTTATAAGCACATAATTTTTCCCAGTGGATTAACTGCATCATTTTGCTGCTTTGTAATTTCTCAGTTTAATTGTGGAAGTTTTTTAAAAAATAAAAGCTAACAAAGCACAGTCTCCCAATTGAAGATGTGGTTGTGAATGTGGCCATATTCCATGTCACCTCAATTACAGCTTGAGGTGGTCATATTCCATAATGTCCCCCCAGTGATGGCAGGAGGTATTACATAAGCTGGGAAAGGGAATATGGAAAATCAGAGATGTCAATCTGCTACCACTTTGTTTTCTAAAATCCTATGATATTCCAAATCATGAGGACCCACTAATTAGAATAAATGAAGGGCTAGAAAAGGTGTAAAATTATTGGCATGAATAATGTTTTTCTATTTTGAGTTTCGTGAGTCATCTCTCCAAGTGCAACTTATAGAAAATCATTCAATTAAATTATATTCTAAAAATTCAAAAAAAGTTTTACTCATTTAATTATAGAATACTTACATAAACAAGAAATGATACTATTTCTGAGCATGCCTTTTTGAATCATATATTCTGTCCCTTTTTCTCTTTTATGGTGCAAGAAACATTGATATATTCAGAGTATTTTAGATAATAAAAAATTTTTGAAGTGCAAGAAGTTGAAGAAGAGAACAATATTATATATACAGTCAAGTCTTAAGGAAGAATAAGAATTGTTCCTCAAGCAGGTTTCCTGGAAATTAGCACAGTATTTATCAATTGAGTCATAGTTCAAGATACAGCTCAGCTTTAGGAGCCTATTATTTTGTCAGTTCTTTAGCAGGAGTTGAGTGTTACACTAGTATCTTAAATCAATTTTGTTAGAAGTTTCTTAGTTAATGCTTTCTGTGAAAGTCTTAAAGAGGTGTTCTCATCTGCATGTAGATATTCAGCTTTTCCAATACCATTTATTGAAAAGACTGTCATTTCTCTAATGTGTGATCTTGGTGCCTTTGTCAAAAGTCAGTCATCTGTAAGTGAATAGCTTTATTTCTGTGTTCTCTATTATGTTCCATTGCTAGAGCCCTATCTTTCACAATATGTAAAAATAAACTTAAAGTGGATTAAAGACTTACAGGTAAGACCTGAAATAATAAAATGATAAAACTACTAGAAAGACAATACAGAGAAAATGCTTTACAAAATTTGTCTAAACAAGATAAACAAGACTTTTTTTTTTTTTTTTTTTTTTTTTTTTTTCAGAAGGAGTCTTGCTCTGTCACCCAGGCTGGAGTGCAGTGGTGCAATCTAGGCTCACTGCAACCTTCACCTCCTAGAGTCAAGCAATTTTCCTGCCTCAGCCTCCCAAGTAGTTGGGATTACAGGCATGCGTCACCACTGCCCAGGTAATTTTTGTATTTTTAGTAGAGATGGGATTTCACCATATTGGCCAGGCTGGTCTTGAACTCCTGATCTCAAATGATCCGCCCACCTTGGCCTTCTAAAGTGCTGAGATTACAAGTGTGAGCCACCACGCCCAGCCATGAAATTTTTTTAATAAGACCTCAAAAGCACAGGCAAATAAAAACAAAAATAGACAAATGGGATTACATTAAACTAAAAAGCTTCTGCACAGCAAAGTAAACAACAAAGTGAAGAGACAACCTACAGAGTGAGAAAAATATTTGCAGCCTATTTATCTGACAAGGAGTAAACATCCAGAATTTATAGGGAACTCAAATAACTCAATAGCAAAAGAACAAATAATCTAATTAAAAATAGACAAAAGTAACATCTTAAACAACATTTCTCATGAGAAGATATACAAATGTCCAAGAGGTATATAAAAAATGCTTAAAATTACTAATCATCCAAGAAATGCAAATCAAAATGAAAATGTGATCTCTCACTCTAATTTGAATGGCTACTATCAAAAACACACACAAAAAATCTAATGCTGGTGTAAATGTGGAGAAAGAGAAATGCTTACATACTTTAAGAATGTAAATTAGTACAATGATACTGAAAAATAATATAGAAGTACCTCAAAGTGTTAAAAATAGAGCTACCCTATTACTCAGCAATCCCACTATTGTGTGTATATCCAAGGAAATCAAATCAGTATGTCAATGAGATGTCTGCACTCACATGTTTATTGAAATACTATTAACGGTAACCAAGATATGGAATCAACCTAAATGTGCATCAACAGCCTAATGGATAAAGAAAATGTGGTATATATACAAAATGGAATACAGTTCAATTATAAAAGCAATTCTGCCATATAGAAACAAGGGTCCTTTTAAGTGGAAAATACAGAGACAATGTGGCTAAGAAGCAAAATTTGCAAACTATTCACTCTACAAAAAATTTAATAACCAGAATATGCAAGGAATTCAAACATCTCAACAGTAAAAAAAAGGAAATAATTTAATTAAAGATGGGCAAATAAGCTAAATAGATATCTCTCAAAAAAGGACAAATGGCCAACATGTATATTAAAACATGTTCAACATCACTAATTATTAGAGACATACAAATCAAACACAATGAGATATTATCTCATTCATGCTAGAATAGCAATTATTAAAATGAGAAAAATACATGCTGGTAAGAATGTGGAAGGAAGGGAATTATACACAGTTTGTGAGAAAGGTAAATTAGTATAGCCATTATACAAAACAGGGTGGAGCATTCTAAAAAAATTATATGATAGTTTATTAAAACAGAACTCCATACGATTCAGCAACCAACTATTGGATATATATTCAAAGGAAGGAAAATTAATATGTTGAAGAGTTATCTGCATTCCCATGTTTATTTCACCTCTATTTACAAGAGCCACAATATGGAATCAACCTAAGTGTTCATAATCTGACAAATGGATAAAGAAAATGTGGTATAAATACACAATGGAATACTATTCAGCCATAGAAAGTATGAAATCCTGTCATTTGCAGCAGCACATTTGAACCTAGAGAACATTAAGTGAAATAAGCTGGATACAGAGAGACAAATACTGCATGATTTATTCATATGTGAAATTTAAAGAACTTGATCTCATTAAAATAGAGAATAGTGGTTACCGGAGGCTGGGGAGAATAAAGGTGTGTGTTAGGAACAGATTGGTCAACAGGTGTAAAGTTACAGTTAGATGAGAGAGATAAGTTCTGGTGTTCTATAGCACAGTAGGGGTATTATGGTTAATAATATCGTATTGTGTATTTTTAGTTTGAAAAGAGGATTTCAAATGGTCTCACCACAGATAAATGATGAGTGTATAAGTTGATGGATATGCCAAATACTGTGATTTGATTATTACACAATGCATGCATGTATTGAAACATCACACTGTTCTCCATTACTATGTATAAACATCATGTATCAATTAAAAATAAATAAATACAGACATAAATATTTTAAAGTGTTCTCAGAAGCAGGACTGAAAGAAGCAGGACAGGGCAGGAAAATGGCTAAGGAAAGATGCGATCTATACTAGAAACTAGCTTCAGGCTTGTGCCACATGTTACCATGGAGTACAGTCTACACACAAAGATTATCCAGCCTTAAAGCCAGGAGTTAGACTCTTGTACTCCACTTCCCTGTCAGTTACAGGCCTCCTACCTCTGCAACACAGTGTCATTTTCCTCTAAGGAGGCTAGAGAAGGTGATTTTCCAAAGAAGGATCCAGTGTGGGGCCAGACAGCCAACATTTATGGCAGCTGGGGAATGGGTGCAATATCCTGGGGAAATTGATCCAATTAGCTTCCAAAGTCCCTATTCCAGAAAAGCTAGCTAGTTTAGGAAGTGTTTCCTTGATAGGCTATATCATTGGCCATGGCCAATCTCCTTTGGGTCAGGGGTTCACCTTTGATGTCTAGTAGATTTATGAAATTAACATGTCCCAAAGATAATTTTGATTCCAATCCTGTAAATTTGCTTTTTTTCCCCAACTCTTTCTCATCTCAGTAAATTACATATTCTCTTGGGAGATGCACATGAAAACACCTAGAAATCATACTTTTCACCCCTTGATCCCCATATTCAATCTATCAGCTAAACCTTGCTTAACTGTGTTCATGTTTTTGTTATGTTTTTACTGTTTCTAATGCTCCCTTCCACCACGGTATCTAATATGTTTGAGGGTAATAATCTTGCCTATTTGTTTATCTCACTATAATCAAAGGTAAATATGTTTGCCACTCAATTAACCTTTGTTTAATTAACAAATACAGTTCCAGAAACCTCAAAGATTAATATCTATATTTTATTGTATTTTATAGTGATGCTCAAAAGCCTCTATTTATATGATCAATCTTAAGTGAATAGCTGCAAAAATGAAGTGTTGCTTCATATTTCCTTTACCTTCTTTATACCAGGTTTTGTATCATCACAAAAAAGAGTGCAATATTTTCTCTAATGTTTAATGCTGTGATCATTCAATTATATAGGTTCTGAAAGCATTCTTTAATTCTAACTCAGCTTTCTTCATTAATCAGGGTGTAGTTTTCAACTTAAGCCCTCCCACAGGACTGGAAGAGATAAGCAGAGAATTCATTAATTATCGTAATATTAAGCTTTAATAATAGAAAACATATTTTCATGTCTCTATGAAAAGTACATTAACAATACAATTTAATCTTTGCATCTGGTCTCTAAGCAAGAAACATGATTCACACGGGGATACTTTTTTCTTTGAAACCACATTCCAATCCTCATCCCAGGATGCCATTCTTCATCTTAATGTTGGTGTGTTTGATACATTAACACACAGAACATGGAGCTTAAATTTCCTGCTGATCTGCTATTATGTCACTTAGTCTTCTCAGGAGATAACTGTCTTGAAAATATAGGCAAGAAAGACAAATGACAACTCCACAGATAAATGCATGTTTGTTGTGTTTTCAACCCAAGACATATACTAGATATATTGACACTAAGACAAGAGCATAAAGTATACCTCCTTCCAACTAGACGCACAAAGAAAACACAAAATTAACAAATGAAAAATATCTTTGAACATTCATGTTATAATTACAAACTTATAAAGATCAAATTACCTTTTGAAATATTTTCTATAAAGCCATAGTGTTTAAAAAACAATAAATGAAATTAAGTTGCTTGAGCAGCAGGAAATTGAATTTTAGACAGAAACTGTCAGACTGATATCATCTATCTTTCCAACGAAGACATCAATCATTGTTTCTTCCCTCCCTTCAGTACTACTTTCCACACTTTCGGCTGTCTATGCTAAAATAGCTGAATTGAGTTGCTTCTGCCTTACTTGTGTTTCATTTTTCTATTTTTAGTAAGCCTCTGGAGGGATAGAAAAAAATAGTGTTGTTTATAATAAAAAAATCTTTGGATAGTTAAACATAAAAGTACTATAACAGAGTGCAAATTACACTGCTCCTTAAATAAGAGATATTAAAAACAGGCATAAAGTATGCATATTTATTATACCTATTTGGTTGTATATTTTCTTTTATAGAAATCAATGTACTTTCTGCCATGGATTAATTTTCTAAAGCTAGAAGTCCTTGTAAAAGAAGGCTGGACTCTATAGTTTGTTGTCTAATGTTATAGTGTTTGTAAGTCTTTTATAATTAAATATATTTCTCTAAGGTGGTATGCATGCCTCTTTCAATAATCTAGATCTCTTGCTTACTTTTACAATCAAGGTACTTCTTGATACTAGAATTATCAAATATCATCAAACAGTTTTAAATATAATATGACACCTTGATTTTACCATACTATATACCCAAACTAATTTATATTTGGTTACATTCCTTAATTATTAACTTGATTATATATGACTGAACTTTCCAAAGTGGATTGTGTTTAAATTTTAATTATTTTCTTTACATATAAAATATGATGTTTTTAAAAAAGCTTCTTATAAAAACTAGCTTTTGTAAAACTTTTAACTAATTATTGGCTCCAGAGAGGTATTTTTAAATTAATGCAAATGAAATGTAATGTGAATTTCAATAACATGCATGGAGTTATAAAATATCATGTAATATTTAAGTTGGAAAGAGATTTGAACACCAAAATATGGTTTACTGCATTTATAAATTTAATATTTTATATTTGATTTAATAATAATAGTTTTGGATGCACCATATGTGTAAACTGATGTGAACCATAAGTATACACAATTTTGCATGTAATTGTACAGTGTTCACTGATTCCCTTGGTTCAACTATTTACCAACTATGGACCAACCATTTTTAAAATAGCATTTTCTCCAATAAATTTCCTAGAGAATGTATTTGTATAATTTCTATTGCTTAAAATATAAAAATGATTTACTGAACTCAATGATGAGAAGTTAAGAAAAGATAGCATGTTCTTTTAACATTTATTGAGGGTTAACTTTAAAATATTAACTGTATTCTTCAGTTACAGGTGTAGAAATTGTTTCTTGGTTAGTTTCTAAAAGATAAGGTGGATGGTAAAATTACAATTTTAAAACAATGTCTATAAGTATATTTTCATTGGGTCATACAAAATATGTTTTTCTCTCTGAAATTAAATCATCATTTTCTATATAATTAGTAATAATTTCAAAAGTCTTCCTATTTTCAGTCAGCCATTCAATTAAACTCAATGTTTATAATCAAATTCTATTCTAGTCTCTCAAACTTACAAGACCCTGAGGATGATTTTCAAAAGTATAAGTTTACTTTAATGTTAAAAATGCAAAGTTTATAAACACAATAGAGTCTGACATTAGTAAAAGACAGTATGTAGAAGTGTAATATAGTTTATAAGTTAAAAAAATAAAAGCCTCACTTCTATTGCTACATCAACCTTAGCAGTTTGTTCTTCCAGAACAAGAGTAGTTCTCACAACAGGAGTAAAATTTAAAGAAATTTAAGTTTAAGAAATTTTAAAGAAATTTAAGTTTAGGTTTACAGAGTAATCTTATGTTTCAGACACCGCTCATTGCTTAAAAATCAAGGACATATTCCATTTTCTTTTTTTTTTTCTTCTTTAGTGATACCTATCAAATTTCTGGAATAAAGTTGTGGCAATGTTCTTAAGAAATCTGGGTTCCTCTACCAGCTCCAAAGGTAAATAGAAATAGTCTAATCCAGTCATAGGCCACTGTGATTTAAATGGACGTCTACTCCACTCAGGTGGACTTTAAAAAGTTGGTCTCATAGAAGTAGAAAGAAGAATAGTAGTTACCAGAGCATGGGGAAGGTAGGAGAATGGAGAAATGGTGAAAGATTTTTCAGTGAGTCCAAAGCTACAGTAGGGTAGAAATAATAAGTTTATCGGACTTATTATTGGATAATAGTATGATTAGAGTTAACAATAATGAATTGTATATTTCAAAATATATCGAAGAGAGGTTTTGAATATTCTCATCCAAAGAAAAGATTAAGGGAATTAATATGCTAAAAAGCCTTATTTGATCATAACACAATGTATACAAACACATGTAAATATTACATTTTACTCCATGAATATGTACAATTATTATGTGTCAATCATGATTGTATGTATTCATGGAACAAAATGTAATATTTGCATACATATACAATGCAAAAATATAAGTGCATATTATTAAATATTGAGAGAGACAACATTTAAAGGTATATGAATATGTAAAATCAGTTGTCTAAAATATGTAAAATCAGTTGTCTAAATGCTTGCCTACTCTGACTATAATTGTAAAAGTAACACACTTTTATAATTTTTATAAGCATAGACATATTCATTAATTTCAAGTAGATTACAGATGTCTTCTATCAAAATAAAAACTGCAAATTCAAATTGCAGATAATATTTTTGTAGGTTTAAGATAATTTTGAAATAACTTTCTAATTTGACTGTTAGTATTATCGTATAGTTCTGGGGAGCTTAGCTAGAATGAAAGGAATCCGGCTCTGGCACAGGAGAGTAAGATCATACAGAAATATTTTGAGAGCATAAAATTGAATTTCTGTATATAGGAAAAATACTCAAAGTCCTTTCGTTTGTAAATATTATCAATCTAAACTAAAAACACGAGTGCGTGTGTGTGTGTGTGTGTGTGTGTGTGTGTGTGTGCGGTGAGAAAGAGAGAGAGAGAATCACTCTGTTGCCCAGGCTGTAATACAGTAACACAATCATAGAACACTGCAGCCTCAATCTTAACTCAAGCAATTCTCTCACCTCAGCCCTACTGAGTATCTGGGACCACAGGCATGTGCCACCATGCCTAGCTAATTTTTTAACTTTACTATATTTTATTATTTGTTAAGACAAGGGTCTCCCTATGTTACCTAGGCTTTTTTTTTCTATTTATGCCAAAGTCCATCCTGCTAAAAAAAAAAAAAAAATAGAACCATTGATTATAAAATTCATCATGTAGTTTGTCTCTTAAGATAAAATCAATATTGTTGAGTATTCCAACTTGCTGATTAAGAAAGCTTAAATATCCAGTAGGATTGCTGTGTCAAATGGTATTTCTGGTTCTAGGTCTTTGAGGAATCTCCACATTGTCTTCCACAATGGTTGAAGTAATGGTACATACACACCATGGAATACAATGCAGCCATAAAAAGGAATGAGATCATACACTTTGCAGGGAATTGGATGGAGCTAGAAGCCTCAGGAAACTAACACAGGAACAGAAAACCAAACACCACATGTTCTCATGTATAAGTGGGAACTAAACAATGAGAATACATTGACACAGGGAGGGATACAACACACAGTGGGGCCTGTCAGGGGTGGAGGGAGGGACAGCATCAGGATAAACAGCTAATGCATGTGGGGCTTAATACCTAGGTGATGGGTTGATAGGTGAAGCAAACCACCATGGCACATGTTTACATGTGTAACAAACCTGCACATCTTGCACATGTAACCTGAAACTTAAAATATAATAAAATAAAAATTATTAAAAATGCTGAAATAAAATAACAATATTGAACAGGTCCATAAACTATTAGGAAAGTAATAAGCAGGTACTAACTTGTACAAATATAATCACACTACTTTGAAAGTTGAGAAAACTTGTCTAAGAAGTTGCTCAAGATTGGAATCCAGAGTTTTCTTAGCAAAAAGTTGTGAGTGTTTTCCAAGATACTTGTGTCTGAGGGTACAAATGTTTATGTTGTGGAGACTCATTGCAATGGCTCTAGTATTTATTAAATAAAATGTTACCTAAAATATTCATTACATTTTTAGTAAACAAATATGGATAAACAGGATAGACCTTTTGATGCTTGAATTAATTGACTACAGAGTGTTTTTATACTATATTCCAATTAAATATTAAAAATTATCTACACAAAGTATGTTTTAAATTCTTTTGATTATTATTATTATTATACTTTAAGTTTTAGGGTACATGTGCACAATGTGCAGGATTGTTACATATGTATACATGTGCCATGGTGGTCTGCTGCACCTATTAACTAGTCATTTAGCATTAGGTATATCACCTAATGCTATCCTCCCCGCTCCCCCCACCCCACAACAGTCCCCGGTGTGTGATTCTTAATTTATGTCATGCAATTAGAAAAATTTACGGTTTTTTGAGTACATTTTTTATATTTGTAAATAAAATGTTTCCAGAAAACAGAAAACTGCTCTTTCTGAATTTAATAGTGTGTGGCAAGTAGTGGGGAAAACAAGCACCTAATTCATCCAGAAGTGGTACTAGTTATGAATGTACATTCTAAATTGTAGAGATCTAGCATTTCTAGTTCCACACAGTGGAAATAATTTTCTGTCCCATTAAGAAGAGTTTACTTCCAATGGTGATTTTCAAAGCAGTTTCAGTATCTACATTTTAATATACATTAATAACTAGATAATTGTTGGATCCTTACTCATAAACAAATACTGCACACCAAGCTAAAGACAATAAAAGCCAGAAAAGCCCTGAGCAATGGTTATTTCTAAAAAATAGTGAAATAAAATAAAGTCATTCCACAAATATTTATGTGTAAAATGACAAAAAACTGCTGCTGAATACTTCTGTAGTAGTGAATTTATAAAATAAATTTCATTTACTAAAATAATACTTAATTGTCAGTAACGGTTAATAGTTCTTATTCATGATCAGAGTTCAGACAGTGTGGTTTTCAGGCAAAGCTTATTCCTATGGTCATATATATGATTGCCCAAGAACAACTGTCTTTAGGCAGTTGCTTTTTGTAGCTCCCCAATGTTGTCTTTATTCCCTCCTTTGTCACCAAATTTCTAAAGATCTGATTGAAAACTAGGAGAAAAGTTTCAAGGTTAGGTGGACAATGTGCAAGTGTGTGTTTCCTGAATAGTACTGCATGACAAACACTCCCAAACTCTCAGTGGCTTAAAACTATATTTATTTATACTAATGAGGCCAGGTAGCTCTATTTCAGCGGATCATTGAGGGGTTCAACCAGGCTTGAAGGACTCTAGGCTGAATCGCTACAGGTCCACTCCACGTATCTTTATTCCGGTTCTCAGACTGAAAGAGCATGGCTCCACGGGGCATGCTCTTCTCATGCTAGCTCAACATACCTGATAAAAATTCACCATACGTTTTAAAGCTTCAGCTAGAACTGTATAACTATATTACGTTAGTCAAGGCAACTCACATGGCCGAGCCCCAATTCTCTCTAGCTGGAAGCACTGCAAAGTTACATGGAAAGAAATATCGGTGTCTAATTATATTATAGGGAAGAAATAAAAAGTCAGAGGCAATACTATATCAACCATTACTAGTTTGCCTGTCTCTGCTTCCAAGAGAAGAAGGTGGGAACTAGCTTACTACAATGTTCTTACAGATCTAGATTATGTCGCCAGTTTTTCCAGCATTACGGTAATCCTTTGGGCTCCCACATCTAATTTTAGTACTATAAATTTTTTCTTCCTGAAGAGATACAGTCCAAAATCTGTGAGTCTTACAGAAGCAGTTACGAATTATTTAAATGATCAGCTTCACAAAGCCAACCTTTTCTCTCTTTTTTAAAAAATAGCTTTGAGGTTAATATTTCTCTGTAAGAATTTATTCAGAGTGAACTAAGATTTTGACATATTATGTATTATCACAACTCAGGAAAAGAGCCTCTAAAATATTGAATCCTGGGTAGTAGTTATTCTAGTCTCTAAATCTTTCATAATCAGACTGTGTCTTAAAGATAGTTATGAAAATTATGCTGAGATATTTCAGTGCCAGCAGTTTTGCTTACACATTGTCTATATATGCACATATATACATGCACACACATGTTTATGAACTAAGAAATAATACATATTTGTTAAAAGTAATACCAAATAAAACTAATTTACCCTACATATGCAAATATATTCCTAAAAGTTATATTTCAGTATTTCTAATAATTTTAATTTGCCTTAACCTACATATTTTATATTGAGAACAAAGTGTTATATATACAACAGCCCACTTGGGCCAGTGTACATCATTGATCTGAACATATTCCTGGTTAGCAGTGTATACAGAGTTTTCTCCATTCACCTTGTAACATTTTTCAAAAATGCTTTTATTCAATACATCTCAACATGAGTTGGAAACTTTCTGCAAGTATTGTTTCCTCTGGATAGAAGGCCTCGTATCAAAGAACAATTTCAGAATACATTTTCAATATCTTGCATTTCTCAAAGAGGGAATAGAATTTCAAACTAATATGTTCTTAAAAGACTTATAGCTAAAGTCTAATGCATTACTGTATATTACAGTCAAAGGATAAGTCTTTTAGAAATTCCTCCGTACTTTTTTTATTCAGGGAAAATTATTTTATAAGTTTCAAAGGCAGTGAAAATTTGGGGTAAATTACACATGGGAGAATGTTAAAAGATATGTTATTACAAAAAAGTTTTCCTTCTCTATTTTAGATAATGTTTTGCTTCTCTGAATTAAAGCAGCATTCACCCTTTGTATTGAAAAATTCCATCTTTTAAAGCTAATATAAAAAGGTTAAACTTTTTCAACAGCAACAACTGGAGTGATGTGGTATAGCTGTACAATGACAATTGAGAGAAAAGTGGCCAAAAATAAATATTACATTCTGTGGGGGCAAACGAAGGACTTATTTTATAAAAACATATTTGTCAAAAATATAAAGAGACCCTGAATAAAGACAGCAAAAGAAACAAAAACTGTAGAATGTGTTAGAGATTGGAACTATATTGACAGTACTTTATTTTAACAATAGTTCAAACAACTTATTTCAGACACAGTAGAGATAGTAGAAAAACAGAAACATTTACTAACATAACATTTTAAGAAAATATTTTTTTTCTTAAAAAACTGTTCAGGTTGGTCGCAGTGGGTCACACCTGTAATCCCAGCATTTTGGGAGGCTGAGGCAGGTAGATCACCTGAGGTCAGGAGCTTGAAACCAGCCTGCCCAACATGGTGAAACCCTGTCTCTACTAAAAATACAAAAAATTAGCTGCATGTGGTGGCATATGCCTGTAATCTCAGCTACCTAGGAGGCTGAGGCAGGAGAATTGCTTGAACCTGGGAGGCAGAGGTTGCAGTTAGGTGAGATTGCACCATTGCACTCCAGCCTGGGCAATAAGAGTGAAGCTCTGTCTCAAAACAAACAAACAAACAAAAAAACAAAATTGTTTGAAGTCAGTCTAAGGAGATTATTAACAAGGTTAAAGAGGTTACTATAATAATAGTAAACATAAAATAAACCTAAATATTAAGTTATCTGATTAAAATAAAATAATGTAATGCCCTTTTGACATTTTTAGAAATTTCCAGAAAGGGATATGTGTAGTGCCTTAATATGGCAAGGCTTATACTTAAGCTTTCTTATACTTGCTTCATAGTCTTTCCAAAGACTAGTCAGTTGATGTCCAATCATTAATGACAATTTACAGATAAATAACAAATTTATACCTCCAGATTTCATGTACTTCTCAAAATCTACTCCTATATAGTCAAGTGACTATTAAAGATCACTACTTCAATATCTGAAAGTCATATCAAACTCAATCCATTCATCATAAAACTGGACCATTTCTGTTTCACACCTTTGTATTAAGATACTACTTTGTCTTGTTACATAGATCAGTAATGCATCATCCTTGATATCTCTAGCATTAATCCAAGTATCTATATTATAACACATCCACTGTCAATCATCTATATTCAAATAAAAGCCATTCCTTTCATGTGCACAATAAGCTTCATTCACTCTAGCTTGCACATGGCAAATATATTGGGTTTTGTTGTTTTTTGTTGTTGTTGTTTTGTTCCTTTCACAATTGTTATTAGCATGGCAGGTAATTTTATTTTTCTACTTTTAAATAATCAAACAAACCTCAATGTCATTTCTAGGTACTGCTTATTACACAAATCCTCTTACAGTAAAATTCCTTGAAAGAGTTGTCTATTTGTGAAGGGCTCAATTTCTTTTCTCCCTTTCCCTCCTGAACCAATTTCAGTGAAGGGATTTTGTCTCTCTCCATTTCCCTGCAACTGCTCTGTCAATGACCTTATGGCCCTCCACATTGCTAAGTCCAGTGGCCATTTCCCAGGCTTCATTTCAGTCATCATCAGCGTTTGAAAGAGATGATCACACATTCTTCCGCTCGAAACACTCTCCTCACTTGGTTTTCACACCACACACCTCTTTTGTTTTTCTCCTCTTTCACCACTAATTTTCAGTGTTCTTCACTGAATTCTCCTTTTGGCATGACTGTTAATGTTGCACTGGGCTCAACTCTTTTTTTAACATATTTTTAAAAGTCTGTATACAAACTTCATAGGTGATTCTATCCAGTTCCATGGTTTTTAATACCATCAATATGCTGATGACCTCCAAGGTTGTATCTCTAAACTAGCTGTCTCCTCTGAACTCCGGATTCAAGCATGCAATTGTTATTATGTTATCTTTATGTGAATAGCTTATAAACACAGCAATATTGCTCAGAAAAGTCCTCCCAGCTCGACTGAGATGATCATTCTCTTAATTATATGCTTTCATACAATCATGTCCTTTGTCTTATAAGTATGTAATTTTTCTATTCTTACCTATTAGACTCTAATCTACTAAAGAGTATGGATCTATCTGATTATTCTTTTAATATATAATATAAATTCGTACAACAATAGCCATCACATAGGATGTGCTAAATAATTATTTGTAAAATAATGTAGTAAATGAATTTAATAACTTATTTTAAAAAAAATAAGATTCCCTTTGTGTTTCAGAATAAAATATGCTAAAAAATAAAAATTTAGAACAATTATTTACTATTTTGAGGATAAGTTACAATTAAATGCAGAGTTGAATAATGGGTTCCTTAATTTTGTATTGATATATTTTCCAGAATTGGGTCTGTGGTAAGCATTAGAAACGTGTTTACTAATATATAATTATTTTACATGCATCATACATAGATAAGTGAAAAATAGATGGTAAAATTATGTTATGGTTAAATTTTAAAAACATTTATATTTCATATTAAAGAAATTGAAATCCAGTGCTATAAAACAATTTGCCAAGATTATACAAAGCATTTATGACAGAGCAGAGACTAGAACCTAGATGATTTCTTTCTAAAATGAATCATTTATTAAGAAGTGAAGCCTAATGGTTTTGGAAAATAATCCCACAGTAAAATGTTTATTAAAAAAAGATAGCAACAATAAAAACAAACAATAGTAATTTGAAAAATACTTAGAAATTTAAATGTGATGTATCTGCACTAAAGATCTTGGCAGAGATCTTTGTCTCCCTACACTAATGTCCTTTCACCCCTTCCATCTTAGTAACAATAACCCTGTACTTCAGAATGTAGTAATGCTCCAAGTTAATAGAATATACATCCCTGTCTCTCTTGTCGGTAGATGTGAAATTGTGACTAATTCTTACTAATCTGATATAAGCAAAAATTGTTCAGTAAGTTTCCTGGTATGTTTGTACTGCTACAACAAGATACCTGAGACTGGGTAATTTACAAAGAACAGAAATTTAATTCTCACGGTATTGGGAAGGTCAACATTGAGGAGCCAGTATCTTGTGAGGGCCTTCTTGTTGTATGCTCCAGAGGGGAGGAACACCGTGTCCTTACATGATAGATTACAGTCTAATAAGTAAAAATAGAAAAAAATATATATACATATAGGACAAAGAACATGATTACATGAAAGCATATAATTAAGAGAACGATCATGTTCAGTCTAGTTGGGAGGACGTTTCTGAGCTAGGTTGATGTGTCTATAAGCTATCCACATAAAGATAACATAGTAACTATTGCATGCTTGAATCTGGAGTTCAGAGGAGACAGCTAGTTTAGAGATACAACTTTGGAGGTCATCAGCATATTGATGATATTAAAAACCATGAAACTAGATAGAATCACCTACGAAGTTTGTATACAGACTTTTAAAAATAAATAAATAAAAAAGAGTTGAACCCAGTGCAACATTAACAGTCAGGCCAAAAGGACAATTCAGTGAAGAACACTGAAAATTAGTGGTGAAAGAAGAGAAAAACAAAAGAGGTGTCTGGCATGAAAACCAAGTAAGGTGAGGGTTTCGCGAGGAAGAATGTGTGATCATCTCTTTCAAATGTTCCTGATGATGACTGAAATGAAGCCTGGGAAATGGCCACCGGACTTAGCAATGTGGAGGGCCATAAGGTCATTGACAGAGCAGTTGCAGAGAAACGGAGAGAGAGACAAAATCCCTTCACTGAAATAGGTTCAGGAGAGAAAGGGAGAAAGGAAATTGAGCCCTTCACAAATAGACAACTCTTTCAAGGAATTTTACCATGAGAGGTTTTGTGTAATAAGCAGTATCTAGAAATGGCATTGAGGTTTGTTTGATTGTTTAAAAGTAGAAAAATAAAATTACCTGCCATGCTAATAACAACTGTGAAAGGGACAAAACAACAACAACAAAAAACAACAACAAAACCCAATATATTTGCCATGTGCAAGCTGAATGAATGAGGCTTATTGTGCACATGAAAGGAATGGCTTTTATTTGAATATAGATGATTGACAGTGGATGTGTTATAATATAGATACTTGGATTAAAGCGAGAGATATCAAGGATGATGCATTACTGATCTATGTAACAAGACAAAGTGATGTCTTTGTTCTTATTGTGTCCTTGTTGTATCCTCCAAAGGGGAGGAACACCAAGTCCTTACATGATAGAAAAGAAGAAAAGCTAGCGAACAGCTGTTTGAACCCTTTTCAATGGAAGTTTTAATCCCATTAATGGGGGAACAGCTATCATGATCAAATCACCTCTTAAAAGGCATCACTCCTAATACCATCACATTGACTACACCTGAGTTTTAGAGGCGACACATTCAAACCATAGCAATGGGACTTCTAGAAATACTCTTTAAGGAAACATGCTGTTTACCCCCACTTTTCATGGTTCTTCCTTCCTGCTTCTTCAAATGTAGTGGTAATGATACATGTTCCAACAGTTATGTAAGGCCTTGGAACAACTTTGAAACTAAAAGCCATTTGCTGAGGTAGGCAGGGTAGAATAACAGTTGAAACAAATATTCTTAATGACTTTGTGGAGCCATCCTACCTGCCCTGGATTGCCAAACTTGGGAATTATTTCAGGTAAGAACTAAAGTTTCATATTATTCATTCCAATTGATGTAGACATTTCTAAAATCATATAAATGAATAAGTGACAGGTATCTGTTACGATGACTAATATTGAATGTCAACTTGATTGCGTTGAAGGAGGCAAAGTATAGTTCCAGGGTGTGTCTGTGAGGGTGTTGCCAAAGGAGATTAACATCTGAGTCAGTGGACTGGGAGAGGCAGACCCACCCTTAATCTAGGTGTACACTATCAAATCAGCTGTCAGTGTGGCTAAGATAAAGCAGGCAGAAGAACCTGGAAGGACTAGATTGGCTGAGTCTTCCAGCCTTCATCTTTCTCCTGTACTGGATCCTTCCTGCCCTCAAATATTAGACTGCAACTTCTTCTTTGGACTCTTGATCTTACGCCAGTGGCTTACCATGGGTTCTCAGGCCTTCAGCCACAGACTGAAGGCTGCATTGTCAGTTTCCCTACTTTTGAGGTTCTGGACTCTAACTGGCTTCCTTGCTCCTCAGGGTGCAGGCGGCATATTGTAGGACTTCACCTTGTGATCGCGTGAGTCAATAATCCTTAGTAAATTCCCCTTCATATATACATCTATCCTATTAGTCCTGTCCCTCTAGAGAACCCTAACTAATATATCTGTTATAAGGTAAAGAGTTGATACAAATGAATATTTTAGAGGATTAAGAATATTTACCAGTTTTTCTTTTTGTTTTTACGTTTATTTTAGCTCATCACATGTGGAATTACATCATTTGTGTAGAAGAACTTAAGAAAATAAGGTAGACAATTTTCTGTTTCCCAGAGAATGGTCTTTATGTTTGTATTCTAAATCTTACTTTAGCACTTTTTGATAAGGATGGAGAAATTACTATAAAAAACAAATGAACATCATAACATTTCAAATATTCATTTATTACACTTAAATTCCATGGTTAGCATACTCCTGATTTGCTCATTTTATCTTTATATGCAGACATCATCGTTTCCTTACTTTTATTTTGATTCCTTATTCCTCAACTTCTAGTCTGAGAAGACAGCATAATTGTCACCATGATGAGCTACTGCAAACATTCATTTGTGTTATTTTAACAAAACTCTCAATGATCAAACAAGGGTACTCCCCTACTGTGTCTTCACATAAACAATCCAGATAACAGTGTGAGTGAAAACATCAAATTCTATACCAGATGGAAAAAACATAAATTACTTGAATAGAAAAAAGAGCATTGAAAATTAATACACAAAAAGCAGAAAAAAATTTACTTTCCAATTAGTATTTGAATGACAAAACTTACTTTTTGATTATTGAATATATAACTTCCTGTAGATAACAAGAAACACAATATTCTATGCATTTGTTGCTATTATGAGCATGAAAAATCAATCTAAATTTAGTACTACTGTCTCATTTGTGATCCTAAAAATGGTGTAATAAGTTCAGATAGTCAAGAAAATAATAAACAGGTATATTTACTTTCATATATAAACATGTATCCATAAAGTGTAAGGCATCAATATTAATGTATTAAACGTAAAGTTTATTTTAAGTCCAGTCAAATTTTAGAGTAGTGGACAGTTAAGTTTGGGTAATAGGTGTCAAATGTGTTTTGCGAAGAGTGTTTCGAGAAGAAAAAACATGACATGAAGTCTTCTCTACTCATCTTTCATTCAACACATATTGTTTTAGTTTCTACAATTTACCAAATGATATTTCAGGTCCTGGGGAATGAATCAGTGAACAAGACACCACCTTGTTCTTAAGCCACTTGTAGAACAGTTATTGCCTATGGTAATCAAAGCTAAGACTGAACACAAGACCGAAGTGATGACAACACCATACCTCATGGGACGCTACAGCTGAGAGAGCAGCCACAGAAAATGAGATGTGAAGGAGATAAAAATTCAAACACAGACATAGAGGGATTAGTAAATACCAGGAGGTAGATCAGGGAATTCAAGTGATTCTTACAGGAATGGAGAACATAGTGATTGCACTGAATTTATCAGAATTTCAAAAGTTAAGACAACATGAGATGACATCTGTTCACAATTAAAGTTAGTTTACTAGTTTACCCAAATAGCTTTAAAGGTAATAATGTAACATCGATACACTTTTGTATAGAACAAGTTATTGATCTTTTGTATTAGAAACAATATCAAATTTTTTTTCAGGAAGGTACAACTGTGACTCTAAGGTTTCTTTCAATAGGTTCTACAAATGACGTATTTACTAATTTTTATATACATTTTATGATACATTTCTCATAATTCCATGTGACTTTAAGTACTTGCAAAGGAAGTTAAAATTTTAAGTGCCCAGAAACATGAGAACAGAACTCAATAATGTGGACTTTAAAATTACTACTACAAATAATTAACCAATATTGATTTAATGCTTACAGTATGCCAAGTTCTAAGTGAAGTGCTCTCTAAATTATCAGCTCATTCTCTTCTCACTACACTCTTATGTAGTCATTATCATAATTGCCCTCACTTATAGATAAAATAGGCTTAAAGAAATTAAGTAAACTATCTACATTTATAATACTGCAACATGAGAGACCTGAGTTCTAAGACAGGTGCCGGTCTGTCACCACTATCACTATACTCGATTTTTTTCCCCATTCTATAGGATTAAGATAGGCATAAGGGGGAGAATATTCCAGGGAGATTCATTTTTGGGATAATGGAAAATATGCATCAGTGAACCAAAACATTATAAAATTAATAATTTAATATTTATTTCATCTCTGTAAATAAATATTTCTGCATTTCACAACATGACAGAATCAACTTTTGCTGAAAATAGTAAGATTTGGATGAGTGAAACTTTAATATTCATAGCATATATAAAATATACTTTTTAGTCACCCACTGTGGTATCAAAATTTTAAACTTATTGTATATTTCAAAATAGTTAGAAAAGAAGATTTGAAATGTTCCCAACACAAAGAAATGATAAATGTTTGAGGTGGTGTATAGTCTAGTTAGCCTGATTTGATTATTATACATTGTATGCATGTATTAAAATATCACATGTACCCCATAAATGCGTACAATTATTTTGTATCAATAAACTTTTAAAAACAGGCTTTCCGAGGCCTTAGGAGAATACTACAAAGACATAGGATATTATTCCCAGAGACTACTGATACTGTAGCCAAAGAAACCGAGAGCCAACAATAATAGAAGTAATGCAAGTGTTATTCCAGAAATCCTAACATTCTGTTAAAAATAAAACACCTGACCATTTGTATATCTTTTTTTTGACAATTGTCTATTTATGTCCTTAGCCCAATTCTGATGGAATTGTTTGTTTTTTACTTGCTGATTTGTTTGAATTTCTTGCAGATTCTGGTTATTAGTTCCTCGTCAGATATATAGATTGAAAAGATTTTCTCCCACTCTGTGGGTTGTTGGTTAACTCTGTTGATTATTTATTTTGCTGTGCAGAAGCTCTTGAGTTTAAGTAAGTCCCATCTATTTATCTTTGTTTTTGTTGCATTTGCTTTTGGGTTATTGGTCATGAAGTCTTTGCTTAAGCCAATGTCTAGATGTTTATCTTCTAGAATTTTTATGGTTTCAGATCTTATATTTAAGTCCTCGATCAATCTTGAGTTGATTTTTGCATAAGGTAAGAGATCCAATTTCATTCTTCTACATGTGGGTTGACAATTATCCCAGCACCATTTGTTGAATAGGGTGTCCTTTCCCCACTTTTTGTTTTTGTTTGCTTTGTCAAAGATCAGTAAGTATTTGGGTGTATTTCTGGGTTCTGTATTCTGTTCCTCAGTACCATGCTGTTTTGGTGACTATGGCCTTATAGTACAGTTTGAATGTAAACTAGTACAACCACTATGGAAAACAGTGTGGAGATTCCTTAAAGAACTAAAAATAGAACTACCATTTGACCCAGCAATCCCACTACTGGGTATCTACCCAGAGGAAAAGTAGTCATTATGCAAAAAAGATACTTGCACATGCATGTTTATAGCAGCACAATTCACAATTGCACAAATATGGAACCAGTCCAAATACCCATTAATCAATGAGTGGGTAAAGAAATGGTGGTATAGGTATATACCATGGAATACTCTTATCCACAAAATGGAATACAATAATGACATTCGCAGCAACCTGGATGAAATTGAAGACCATTATTCTAAGTGAAGTAACTCAGGAATGGAAAACCGAACATCATACGCTCTCACTTATAAGTGAGAACTAAGCTATGAGGATGCAAAGGAGTAAAAATGATACAATGGACTTTTGGGGTCTCAGGGGAATACATGGGAAGGGGATAAGGCATAAAAGACTGCGTATTGAGTATAGTGTACACTGCTTGGGTGATGGATACACTAAAATCTCAGAAATCACCACTAAATAACTTATTCATGTAACCAAACACCACCTCTTCCCCCAAACCTATTGAAATTAAAAACATAAAATAAAACACCTGAAATAAAGTTTTAGATATGACCTGCAATTTAAATCGTATAAAAGTAGGTGTTCTGAATGCGTGTATTAACTTGTAACTGAGCTACCTCTTGTATTGTCAGCACTTGATAATATGTTCCAGAGTGAATAGCATCTTTGTTTTTTGTTTTTTTTTTAATTGTTAATTAAAAAATGGTTCATGGTTTCCCTTCCCAACTAGGTGATAGGATGGTTGTTCCATTTGTTTAAATATAAAATAATTTAAAAATAGTTGGTAAATATTATCATTGAGAGTTAATCTCTGTTTCAACAAAAAATAGAATTTTACATTATATTTATCATACTTATTTTTCTGTTCAAAAGCAACAAATAAGTCACAAAAATAATATAACAATAAGGAAAAATAATTACATCAATCATAAGAACAACATCTAATGAAAATCCTTACAAGCTGTTGGTGTCTTCTACAATGTATTTGCATGCATATATATTTATATTTATATAAATGTATTTATCTTTGAGTCTAAAATGAATTTTATATTCACTTTGTGTTTTAGGCTAAAATGGGGTTGGTTATTCTTGTATGGTTAGAAGAATTGGCTTAAAGGAAAAGTTAAGCTGTATTTTAGCTTCAGTTTTTCCAAGTATCTTTAGTATTTCTCAAGTATATTTCTGAGTAGTGGCTTAAAAGTTACACATTATATCAGCATAAGTGGAAAGTTCAGTGAATGCTCCTTTTAAAGATTTGAATTAATGTTTTCATCCATTTTGTTAGCCATACAATTTTTTCAGTCTTTCTCAGTGAACAAAATATGTGTGAATTTTGTGTGACACTATCAGAAACCATTTAACACCAAGGCTTCTTAAGATACTTGCACAGTAGCAAGTTCTCACAAGATATAAAATCTGAGATTGGTGTTAATTGCTCACATTCCAGTAATCTCCATGTCATGACCCTAATGTTAATATTTTAAAAGCGTATAAAAATTCTGTGCAGCGTTGAGGCAGATAGGGCATTGTGTTTTTCATAAGCTGCAAAACTGTTTTGATAAAGATGATAAATATCTGTATATACATTTATATCAATAAAGTATTTTAATGGTATTATTTTGCTGGCAAGAAACTGCAGTTTGAAGAATTACATGGCAAAACAATTGTAAAACTGTTGAGTTATATTAAATAATTATTTATATCACAAATATTCAATTGACACTTAAACATCCCTGCAAAAGTCTAATTTTAGGTTCTGGGTGTTTTGGGGTTTTATTTTTTCCCAGCTTTATTCGGATATAAATTAAAAAATGAAAATTATGTGTATTGAAGGTATACAACTTGATTATTTGATATATAGATACATTGTAAAATGATTATCACAATCAAGCTAATTAATATATTCATAACCTAGCAGTAACCTGCATGTTTGTGTATTTGTGCATGTGATGAGAACACTTAAGATCTACTCTCTAAGTAAATTTGAAGTAAACAATATGGTATTATTAGCTATAGTCACCATGATGTACATTACATTCCCAGAGCGTATCCATCTTTTAAATGAAAGTTTGTGTGCTTTGACCAACATCTCCCCATCCCCACTCCCCAATACCCTTGCAACCACCTTTCTAACCTCTGGTACTATGAGTTCAACTTTTTTAGATTTCACATATGAGTGAGATCACATGATATTTGTCTTTTTGTACCTGGCTTATTTCACTTAACATAATGTCCTCTTGGTTCATCCCTGTTGTCACAAATGGCAGGAATTTTATATGGCCAAATAAAAATACATTTTATTATATGTATATGTATATGTATAAACACAATATCCATACACATATATCACAAAATAAAGACTTAAATATAAGATCAGAAACTTTAAATCTCTTATAATAAAACATAAGGGAAAAGTTCCTTGGCATTGGTTTTAGCAATGATTTTTTTTCTTTAATATGATCTCAAAAGCACCAGAAACAAAGGCAGAAAGAAGCTTATAGGACAAAAATAAACTTATAGGACTACATCAAACTGAAAAGCTTTTGCACAGGAAATAAAATAATCAACAAAATGAAAAAGGTAATTTAGAGAATGGGAGAAAATATTTGCAAACCATATATCTGATAAGGTGTTAAATCCAAAATATACAAGAAACTCATACAACTCAATAGCAAAATCCAAATGACCCGACTAAAACATGGGCAAAGGACCTGAACAGACATTTTTCCAAAGAGCTTTCCTTAGGTACTGTGTGCTAATTTTTTCATATGCTTTCACTCATCTATGTTTTCTCTTCCTCTGTCTTTGTCCCTAAAAGATCCCATAATAAAAATTTAGTTGGTGGAGAACACACAAGTATTGTTAGCTATGGAACACATATCTTTATTTTTGATAAAAAGAAAGTACTGCTGTATTTGTACTTCCAAAGCCACACTTTGTTCAAAGCTTTATGTAAAACACTTTTATTTACCTGATCTTTTAAAGTATCCGATCTTTGTCTTTATAATTGTGCTGCTTAAGTCCCAGCCTCTTTTTCTGTTCAAGATATGAGGCTATTTCTTTCATTTTTTACAATTACTTACAGTTACCATTTCACTGATTTTAAACTTTTTTTTCTATATTCACCAAATGAAGTGTTTCCTGTTAAATATTTTTCAAATTTGAGAAACGGTGACTCACTTGGAAAATAAATTTTACTGAACGTGTTTTTCAACTTGGTAGAAAGTGCTGCCTTGACTGTGAGTAGTTATCAAAAATACCCTTTAAAATTAAATGACTTTTTGTCCTTAGTCACATTTGAATACCTGGAAAAACAACTATTGTTCTTTGAAATATCTGTATTTTTTAACTTAAAAAGCTTACTTGAAACATTTATTTGCATAAAAATAAAGGAGTATATTTATAAGTAACTACAGCTGTTATTTGATGAACTTAAAGGAAGCTAAAATTTGCTTCCTTATAGTACACCTAAAAGTTAGAGAGCCATGCACAGCAAGAGGGTTGGTAAGACATAATGTCATTTTTCATTTGGGTTATTCAAATTCATGTTTTGGTTTCTCTAAATAAAAACTTGAATCATTGCTTGACATAGCTTGGATGTGTATCCCTGTGCAAATCTCATGTTGAAATGTAATCCCCAATGTTGAGGGCGGTGGAGCCTGGTGGAAGCCGATTGGATCATGGGAAAGAATTTCTTATGAATGATACACTACCATAACCTTAGTGCTGCCCTCCAGGTAGTGAGTGAATTCTTAGGAAATCTGGTTGCTTAAAAGTGTGTAGCACCTCCTGCTGTCCTGCAATGACTCAAACAATGACTCAATTTCCTTTACATTCATCAAATAAGAGTGGTAGTTACTAATAAATGTGCTCTTTTACTCTTTTTTTTCTCTCTGTTGCTTCTGATTCTACCACAGGACGTGCTTGCTCCCCCTTCATCTTCCACTATGATCATCAGCTTCCTGAGGCCTCCCTGGAAGCTGAGCAGATGTTGGCACCATGCTTCCTGTAAAGCCTGCAGAACTGCAAGCCAAGTAAACTTCTTTTATAAATTACCCAGTCTCGGGTATTCCTTTATAGAAATAAATAAATGCAAAATGCAATCCTATAAATGCAAAAACGGCCTAATACTTGCTCTTAAAAACAAGAGCTATAGCTTTACTAGATTGTTAATTCAATTTTCTTTCACCCCGATGCCCTGCTTCATTTTCCCATGAAGATGGAGTTGAAACTTTAGTATTATTTTGGCTTCTTTCAAACTACCTTAAGAAGACTAAAAATTCCTAATAATTTAAAGGATACCACATTGACAACAGACAAGCCAATTGCAATGGAGTGTGAAGGAAGGAGACACCCTAGTGTTAAAAAATGAGAAAAGGGAAATAGTTGATTGTTGGGAAAGAGAGGATTTCTTTTTCTTTCTATTCTTGGTTCTAGCGAAGAGCCCTAGTCCTGGTACATTCATTTACTACAATTTTTACATTTGAGAGCTTACTAAAAATATCTCAGCCTTATTTTTCTCATATGAATAATAAAGAAGATATTTCCAAAATATGTCCACCTAATACAATTTTCAAAAGAATAAAACCAGTCCCATTCATGAAAGTGATTACATAATTAAGAAATTCAGCTTATAATTATTATAGATTTTTTCTATAGTACTGTGAGTAGTTTCTACCCTCACTATCCAGAGAAGATGTCTATACAATTATCTGAAATACCACAGAGACATTAAAGTTGGTTAATTAAGAAGTCACATGCATTTCTTTAATACTGTTTTATTAGCTCTTATTTACCACACAGCACTTCTTAAAATAAAGGAGTTTTCTTCCCTACCTTCGGAGAATTCATTAAAAAAGACTTTATTCATTTTTTGACCTTGTATATTTAGTGATTATTACATTACCTAGCATAAAATAGGCCTGGATGCTTTTTTTGTTATGAACAAAAAAAACATGGTTTTTCTCTAAATAAGGGGTAAGCAGATTTCTCATATGTCAAAATGGAAAGTGAATAAAACCATAGATGATAGAAATCAGATTATATCTCAGGTTGAATATTTCAGTGGCCAAACTTATGTGAGTATGCAAAAAAACACAGACTCATAAAAAGAATCTACTACAACCAAAATCCCAATTTTTTTCAATAGAAAAACAAGGTTCCAAAAAAATGTGTTTCCAAATAAATTATCCAGTAACAACTGTGGAATTTTTATTTGACAAAACATATTTTATGTTTGATAAATGTAAAATGAAGCTACTAATCCAAGGCATTTAAACATTTATCAATAACAAAAGAATCAACATACATGGCACCAAAATGTAGTAAAATGAAAAACATTTTATGCAGAAGCATAATGTGCATATATATGAAAATGTGTAGTATAGGTAACTGTACTCATTAATATCAAGTTTAAGTTCATCTAAGGTCCCTCAAGTATCATCTAGGTAAAAGGCATTCAAGTCATAAGATATATTTAGGTGATGATCAACAAATCCATTATGGTGGTCAATAGTAAGGTGAGGACAGATGCTGGAGGTGAAAATGGGTATTTAAAAAACCAACAGAAAAATGGGTATATTTATAAGCAATTGACTATTGGAAGATAGTAGAAGTTGTAAGAATTATTTAGAATATTATGTGAGTGACTGGGGAGCTATCTATGCTACTCATAGATAGCTACTCATAGTATCTATGCTGCTCAAAAAGGGAAATAGGCAAGGACAACACAGAGCAGAAAACCTGCAGAAACTTCAATTAATCAGTTTTAGACCTATTTAAATAAATGTGTGGAAATGGCAGTGAATATCCTTCTGCAATGCAATTAGGCAATTATAAATTTGTATCTGTTCAGGAATGATATAAATCCTGGATTTTATTGTCATTGGCATAATGGTGAGTGTTTCTAGAACACATAGACTGAGCAAAAGAATAGAAAATAACCTAGCAAGAGTTTTGGAAATCACAAATAGGAATGTGACACATAAAGTCCATATAGAGAGAACAATCAACATCATAGCAGTAAAAAAATCAAAGAATCTGCAATACTTTGCAGCATCACAGAAACATAGGCAGACAGAATTTTAAGGTTGACCAGAGAGCAAAATGTACCACTCTTAAATTAGATGTAGAGGCTACAGAAAATGTTTCGTTTGGCCATAAGAAAAAAAAAAGTAGTGAATTATGAAATGAAATGGGGAGTGAAGAAGCAGCAGCAGAAGTTTTGAAGTTCGTTTTTCTTTTATTTTTTGTAAGTTTGCTAGGGAGGTTGAGGCCATTATTGACTAAAAATCGGAGAGGAGAAGACTTTTACCAAAAGAATGACTAAACATGATGGCGAGTGAAATAAACAAGTGGAAAATGAAAAATTGAAGATACAAGAGAAAGTGATAGGCAGGAACATATGTGATCAAATGCTAAAGTGGTAATTACTAAATATAGTAATTTGGTACTGGAAAGAAGAGAAGAGTACAAATTAACTAGACTGGCAACATCCCTAGAGCTGTGCTTTATTGAAAATTGCATTAGCTTTGTAACCTTTGGCAAATTATTTAATGTCTTGGGATCTATTTCCTTATCTGTGAGATGTGGGTAATAAACACACATGACTCATCTACAGAGCACTGTGTAAAAATATTTTAAAAAATGGTTCTCCATCAGTTGAAAAATATTATAGAGATGATCAATGTTATTATTTCCCTGAAACAGGACTTTGGAAACAGAAAATAAGGCTAGCAGCAAAAGTATTCCATCATTTTTACTATGTAATGATTTACTGTGCCTAGGTTACTTAATAGGTTAAATTTGCATAGAAAACTTACTGCTTTTTCATTATTACTTGCCCAGTTTACTGATAGCATACTCTATAATATCCCATTAAAATAATTATCAGTTGAGATATTTAATTTAAATTATACCTATGGATGCACTCTTGCCAACCCTAAAGCAAATTTCCCATGAATGTACCCAAAGTTATGAGTTAAAGGACTCTCTTAATTGGCCTTATACATTCATATGATACGACCAGTATGTGTGTAGCAATAAAAGCTGCAATAGCCCTTAGGACACCCCGCCATGACAAGCAGCCTTGGTAAGCAATAAAGATTCAAGGATAACATTATGAATCAGATTTCAAAGTATATGCACACAATGAGAAAGCAAAGCATAGAACATATTTTTATTTGTACATGTAAAAATAGTTCCTGATAATAAAAATGTCACCATATGATATTGCAGGGAATACTTCAACTCACTGCTCCTAGAGGGATTCACAACACTCTAACTAGAGGTTTTCATTCTCTGTGGATTTCAAAATGCAAATTGATTTGATTTTCCTGGTTTAGAGAAACATAATATGTTCCTGCTGTCCCATGAGATTCTTCAGATTTCCTTGACTGAAGGCAAAGTACTTATTAATACTTACGCGTAAGTGCCTCCAGGGTCATACTAAAAGCACAAAAGCTCGCTGAGATCCATTGAATAATTTTTAGAATCACCTGGAATTTTAAATTTTCAAGATTAAATACTATAAAATATATTTTATTTTTGAAACCAACCAAAATTACCATTATGTTTTAATTCCTATTTTTCAATTGTTCATAAAAACAAGAATCTAAAATTGCATCATAAATCCTTACTTCAAAGTACTTGCACTAAAATTATACCCACTATTGAAGGTAATATTTGGAATACCATATTTAAAATACAGAAGGAAATATTTTGTAGATGTAGGAAGACAATGAAAACCAACCCTTTATCACAATCAAACTGAAAAGCTTTCAGTCAGAATAATACTATCTAACAAACGTATGTGGTACACAGACTACATGTCATGAACCAGACAGGGCTGCTGCAATAAGTAACATAAAAAAAAAAAAGAAAACACTTTTTCCCCTTTTGGAAGGGAATTTTGGAAGGGAATACTACAAGGAAGTTTGATAAGTTCTGCAATGTTCATAAGTAACAGTTGCTGTAGAAATAAATGCAGTGTCTGAAGATAGCTGAACAGGGGAGGATTTAGGTATGGGCATATGTGCGAAAGACTTCTGTGGAGGAAATACTTTTGACTTACTAGATATTTTGTCAGGGCTTTGCCAGGGGACATATGCAAAGAAACGTAGGTGAGAGAGAATGTAGCATGATGAGGAAAGTACAGGTAGTGAAAAAAGGCTTGCCTAAAGATGGAGATAGCAGGAATGACAGGTGAATAAAAAACATGAACTCCTTCTGTAACATACTACGAAGTTAGAGATTTTTTTTCACTGTATAGTGGAAGCCATTTTAATATTTAAGTGTAATTTCAAAGCAGTCTCCTAGAGAGATTTTTCTGACACCAGTGCGGCTAAAAGCAGAGACAGGGAAGCCAAATCACGGAGAGGAAAACATCTCTCGAGAAGCACGGAGATGAGAGGACTCAGTCATAAATGCGTACAGTGGAAAAGTGGTTTTCCTTTGTGATTCATCTCATGTGACAGAAAAAGAACAGAGAAATGTATGTGCACACTCCAATTTCAGACTTGTGTAACTGGGTGGCTGCTGTGAAAAAGCACAAATGTAGAAATACAGGCAGCAGATGACCTTATGGGATAAGATGGACTATAATATAGAGATTGGCTTAAGATATATTGAAATAAGGAATTGTCACATAGTTAAAGATTTAAATCTCCATCCAGTCCTTGAATAGCCCCAAATTTCAAGCATTTTAAGTATTTTCAAAGTTAAGCAGGCTCGTAGAAATTTAGGATGTTCAGTTAGGAGTTTAGGGTAGAATCGATTTCCACTGTTGTTTGAATGATGCTGGTTAAATCGTATAACCTTAATACTATAAAGACAGGAACTCGCAATTGTTGCAGGGTCTTATGAACTGCACTCTGACACAACTGAAGACAAATCTAGTTGCATCTTTACCTGAAAAATAAGAAGAGAGACCCACTGAGACAGCCAGCTAGTTGTCTCCTTCTGGCCACGTCTTCTATAATAACATACATTTTAGTAGAGTGTGTGACCATCTAGGCAAAACAAAAGTTCCCAGGTTCCCACACAGATGTGCACGACCTTATAAACGGAATAAGAGCAGAAATGATATATTTACTTTCCAGGTCACACCGAATAGAATGTGCACTTCCAAGTGGGAGGCAAAGAGGCAATTTGAAACACAAGATCTAAGCCACAATTTGATGATAAAAAGCAAACGCCTAGACAGTCTTGGTCCTCAACAACATGGAGGGGCCAATCACAAACTGCTGATTTGCAGACTGTGAATATGAATGAAATATACTTCAAATTGGTTAAGACATTTTCAGTTTCTCTTGCTATCCCAACACATGCATAGGAAATGCTCTGAGGTCAGTTTAAATATGTGCAGAAGATACTGCCTAATTATTATCCACTTAGAAATTGAAGACAACTATGGCAAGCATGTTGAGTTAGCTTTTCACAAACAAGCACTTAACTTCTATGCCTTTGACGAGAATAAATGAAGCTCAGATGTTCAGCAAAACAGTTTGGGCATGGGCACAAGCCAAATAAAGTTCCCGTTATCTGAACTAAGATTAAGACAGTGTGCTGAAAGACAATGTAATTGCAGTCATATCTTATATTTAATCCTTATTATTTACTTGTGCTGTTGGTTTCATGATAAGCTAAACCTAGGCTGTCCGAGAATGAAAAATAATAATCAATATTAAATCAAAAATTGATAACTCATCAGACACTTTATATTTCAAAATAGGAGGTAATCTTTATGTGTAAAAATAAAAATTAAACATGGTTATGCCATACCCAGTGAATATTTTTATTTTTATTATTTTTAAAAATTTTGTGGATGCCTAGTGGGTGTATATATTTATGTGTATTTATCAAAGTATACATGAGATACTTTGATACAGGCATGTAATGTGAAATAAACACATCATGGAGAATGGGGTATCCATCACCTCCAGCATTTATCCTTTGAGTTAAAATGAATCCAATTACATTGAGTTATTTTAAAATATGCAATTATTATTGACTATAATCACCGTATTGTGCTATCAAATAGTAAGTTTATTCATTCTCTCTATTTTTGGACCCATTAATGATCCCCATCTCTCCACAATCCCTCACTATCCTTTCCAGCCTCTAGTAACCATCCTTCTGCTCTCTATGTCCATGAGTTCAATTGTTTCGATTCTTAGATTGCACAAATAAGTGAGAACACGCAATGTTTGTCCATCTGTGCCTGGCTTATTTCACTTCACATAATGATCTCCAGCTCCACCCATGTGGTTGCCAATGACAGGATTTCATTCTTTTTTATGGATAAATAGTAGTCCATTGTGTATACGTACAAAATCTCTTGACAAAAGATTAATAACCAGAATATATAAGGAGCTCAACAACTCCATAGGAAAAAAAATCTAATAATCCAATAAAAAATGGGCAAAATATTTGAATAGATATTTCTCAAGAGAAGATATACGAACGGCAAACAGGGATATAAAAAGATGCTCAACATCATTAATCATCAGAAATGCAAATTAAAACTACAATGGGATATCATCTTACCCCAGTTAAAATGGCTTACATTCAAAAGACAGGCAATAACAAATGCTGACAAGGATGTGGAGAAAAGGGAACCCTCGTACACTGTTGGTGGGAATGTAAATTAGTCCAACTACTGTGGAGAACAGTTTGGAGCTTCCTCAGAAAACGAAAAATTGAGCTACCATATGATCCAGCAATCTCACTGCTGGGTATATACCCAAAAGAAAGGAAATCCAGTCTATCAAAGAGATATCTGCACTCCTATGTTTGTTGAAGCACTATTCATACTAGCTAAGATTTGGAAGCAACCTAAGTGTCCATCAACAAAGGAACAGATAAAAAAATTCAGTGAAAAAAATTTTCTAATTTTATTACTTACAACATTTATAATAACTAAGATACTCAAGCCTTATAGAAGTTAAAAGCTAAAATTTACAAAAATTTCCTCATTTTCACCTTAAAAAGATTTGAGGCAATGTAGTATTATTTTAAATATGAGAAAACTGAGTTCGAAAAAGTTTAATTTAATATATAATCCTATCATCACTGTGCTATTCTTCTTCACATTTACCATATCTAAGGTATGTTGATCATTTACTACATACCAGTAACTATGTGTTCTTTTCATATTTCACCTTATCGAATATTCATTGTTTTACAGGTGGAAAGGAACATTTCAGTGGGGCCTGTGGTTACCAGTTTCATTTGCTATGAAATCCTTACTGTTTGAAATAAAACTTTGTGCATTTAACCACTATTCTACATAATGAATATAGTTGTTCGTAAATAAAATTTTAACAAATGGAAAAGATGCACTTAAAAATAATATTTGATTGGCCAGGCATGGTGGCTCACGCCTGTAATCCCAGCACTTTGGAAGGCCGAGGTGGGTGGATCACCTGAGGTCAGGAGTTTGAGACCAGCCTGGCCAATATGGTGAAACCCCGTCTCTACTAAAAATACAAACTTTAGCTGGGCGTGATAGCAGGCACCTGTAATCGCAGCTACTCGAGAGGCTAAGGTAGGAGAATCACTTGAACCCGGGAGGTGAAGGTTGCTGTGAGCCAAGATCATGCCACTGCACTCCAGCCTGGGTGACAGAGCGGAACTCTGTCTCAAAATGACAATAATAATAATATTTGATCAAGCATGTTTTACAGTATCATATCTGCAGTTATTAGCTATTAAGTATTAATTAGTAAAATGATCAGGGGAAGTCTAATTCATTATGGAAAATCAAGGATGGATAATTAGAGAGTGCTGTGGGATATCCAATAATAAGACAGTTCTTTGAGTGCCTGTACAAAACTCAGGTATTCATAGAGGTTGAGAGAGCCAAACTTATTCCCTTAACTTCTAAATAATCTCCCTCTGCAGCCCTAAATGCTAAATAAAAGTTCCAATTTAATCTCTTAATACGAAGTCATGGTAATTCCTGTAATTGAAATAGTATCTGGAGAATATGATACTTTACAAGAATTTTAGACATTAAAACTTTTCTCAAAATAATTTGAGTAATTATTTTTTTGCCTAGAAGAATCCTGAACAAACTAACACAGTAATGAGATTCGTATGTTGTCAGATGATAAAAAGGAAGGTTCTAGACATGTCTAGTGTCATTTTTCAAAATCATCTTATGCTCCAGTTTGTCTGATGCATATGGCATCCCAAAGTAGTATATGATTCAGGTACAAAGTAGCTGAAATGGTTTCCTTTTATTTGCCATTATTCAAATAAGGATATTAAGAGTTTCAGTGCTCTTTCTATAGGTGACACACATACAACACACACACACATTATGATATATGTGTGTGTTTGCCTGTAAACATATATTTTATTGTTTTTTCAATGCAAAATTGTATATATTTTTAAGCTGCCATATTGTGCAATCTCTGCCTTGTGAACCGAAATTGAAATCTGTGTTCACAATCAATGTCATCTTCAAGCTTCTCTTTCCTGGCAAGAGGTAGTTTTCCTCAGCACTGCTTCATTTGTGCTCTCCCCATCAGTGGTTTCTGCTGCCTCTGACTTCATCTGTGTGCCAGCAATATAACAAGATGCAGTGACAGAAATGTATAGCCCATTTGTCTGTAGTATATTTTTCTGTTCAAAATCCAACAGGTCAGAGCATCTAAGTGTCAATTCCAAGATAAATATTTTCATGAAGTAGCCAGAGTTCCAACTTTATGCTTTATATTTCTACTGGTATTAGGAAGGGTGAGTCATATTGCTTAGTTCCAAAAATATCTACAAGATTGAAATAACTTTACAAATCATAGAGCCCATGTTTTTGAAACTCAAGATTATACTCTCACTCATTTCCACAGCCATCCTTGTGGCTTGTAGTTTCCAGATTCATTTATTTTTTAATCTTTATTATTTTCCTATAAATAATGACATAGAGCCAGGTAAGATTATTATTATAAGAGTTTAGTCAACTTCCAATAGATCAGAAGACAAAGCTATGTTTCATGTAAATTTAATGTAGTGCTTTTAATGTTAACTGTAGGAACAAGTGTAATGTTAGAAGTCAAAGAGTGGAAAACTAACAAGACTCATTTTCTTGGCTCATTAATTTTGCAATGCAGTTGTACTTGGATTGTTCATAAAGATGCCTAAGAGCACCAGATACTTTTTCAAAACCACAGGGCAGGGGTTGTTCATCTTTTATACTTTCCACCTAGAAAAAACTTTGTATGAATATATTATATGTATTGATGATAGTTTTTTTTTACCTTTAACAGATCTATGGAACTGACAGAAAATAGAAGGTTTGCTTCACATACTGATGAGGTACTTTGCATCCAAAGAAACTTCATATCAAAAACCAATAGGTAGGTAAGAATTTTAAGATTAGTGAGGTTTCCAAATTCTATAGGATTATTAGATGATAAAAAAATTAGAAAAATAAAGTACACTCCATTCAGGAATAAGCTAATGTGATGTAAATTATGTCAAAATATGTATGTATAAATGAATAAAAGTGTTACTCATATACAAACGGGTCCATATTCAAAATATACTCTCATCAAAAAAATTCTTTAAACATAAATATTTAAGAGTTGGATTTCTTTCATAGCTGGAATGTGCCTTTAACCAACATTTATTAAACTTCTACATGGGGCCAATATTGTGGCACATTGATAGTAAAAATAGTTAATAAAGTGTAATATCTGTCCTTGCGAATTTTGGTACCAAACTGCATGAAGAACAGAGGATGCAGAGATCAAAGTATGCATGCTAAAGTCATGGAGGAGAAAATGCTATGGGAACAAAAAGAAAAGAGAACTTTACAAAAAGATCCTTTACTTCACTTATACCAGTCAAGATTTTGGGCTTGCTACTCACTCACTCCAGGCTGTCAAAATCTCCATAGGAGTGTCATATAGTACAAAGTTTGAATTTTCTGGTCTGCTGTTTTTGGCGGGATCACAATCCTTAGTTCTCAGCATTTTTATTTACTAATTCAAATTATCATAACTGATGTACATAGTTAAGTATTGAAAAGGCTCATGGGAATACTTAAAATGTGACACACCATAGGCAGCCACTAAGTCCATTAAACAATTATTGAATATCTAATCTATGTCTGGATGAAGGGATATTGAACCCATTAAAAACAGACTGAAGCTATGTGAAATGAATCTCACTTACAGATTCAAAAACACAGAGTGTTGTTTGGTAGCCAGATTCTTGATGTCACTCATCCTTAGAAACCTATGCATAGCCTGTTGAGCCACAGATCACAAATGCTTGACTGAGTGAGTCGGATTATGAGAAGCTCAAATCAAGGGTTAGCCATTAAAAAAACCCCAGATGACACAGATTTAAATGAAACAATTAAAACCTGAGTTCATTGAGCTACAGCCTCAGTAAGTATATTAAATACAGCCTGGTAATTGGACCAAGAAAGAACTCACTAAGGGGGACCAAGTGAATACTACAGATAAAGAGGGCTCATGAAGCAGGCTAATTGTCTGGAATCGCATAAATTATCTTCAATAGATAGCAACTAGTAACTAGAAGGTTAATAGTGGAAGGGAATTTGAGATTTATTTGCAAGTTAATGCAGACCTTCCTCTTTTCTTTTTTTTTTTTTTTTTTTTTTGTTTTTGTTTTTGTTTCTGAGATGGAGTTTCGCTCTTGTTGACCAGGCTGGAGTGCAATGGCAGGATCTCGGTTCACCGCAACCTCTGCCTCCCGGGTTCAAGCAATTCTCCTGCCTCGGTCTCCCGAGTAGCTGGGATTACAGGCATGCACCACCACGCCTGGCTAATTTTGTATTTTTAGTAGAGATGGGGTTTCTCCATGTTGGTCAGGCTGGTCTCAAACTCCTGACCTCAGGTGATCCACCTGCCTCGGCCTCCTAAAGTGCTGTGATTTCAGGCATGACTCACCGTGCCCGGCAGATCTTCCTGTTAATGGGGAAAAGGATCCCAAGCAAATCTCAAGCAATGGGTACAGTTTGAATACATGTTAATGTAAATATAAGTTATTATTGCAAGTGGGCATGGCTGGAACGGTCAAGAACTTACATAACTGTCTTTATTGTCAGTCTCTAATTTCAGCCAGGGAAGAACTAAAGACAGAAATTGGGAGGAGAGACAAGTTTTATTGCACAAGCTGGGTTCACTTGCACACCCCTTGAAACTATTTCAATACTGCAGTAGGAAGCTCAAGTTCCAGATGCTTGAAGGTTTTCTAGAAAACCAAAACCTTTTCATTTTTAAGATATCTTGTATGTCCCCTGAAAACATCAAGCAAAATTCCCCCATAATTTACATATAACAATAGAAGTGTTTCACATTAGTTGTGAGAAAATTGCTCATACCAAGACTGAGTGTTCTAATATTGCAATTAAAACACTGGATTAGAAATGTTAAATAATCTCTGTGTAACTACTGAGTTGTACCATGGCATGGGATTTATGATAGTCAAGAATCATTATAGAATTGATAATGATTTGACCAAATACAGTAGTTTTTTTAAAAATTTTTGTATTTTTGGTGGTTAATTTTTTAAATGTGGCTTTCTAAGTGTCCGCTCAAATTACCACCCATCCTCTAATTTTTATATATATATATGTGTGTGTGTGTGTATGTATATGTATATACACGTGTCCATATATGAAGCTATACATATATACATATATATACATATATATAGCTATACATATACACATATACATATATATAGCTGCATATATATATACACACACACACATATGCATCTATGAAGCTATGTATATCTTCACAGTCCTCTCTCTTGCCTTTAGCTTATATTTTCTTAATGCTGGGCTGAGCACAGTGGCTCACGCCTATAATCCCAGCACTTTGGGAGGCCGAGGTGAGAGGATCACCTGAGGTCAGGAGTTCAAGACCAGCCTGGCCAACATGGTGAAACCCTATCTCTACAAAAATAGAAAAATTAGCCGGTCATGATGGCGGGTGCCTGTAATCCCAGCTACCCGGGAAGCTGAGGCGTGAGAATCGCATGAACCTGGGAGGCAGAGGTTGCAATGAGGTGAGATCACACCATTGCACTCCAGCCTGGGCAACAGAACGAGATTCTGTCTCAAAAAAATTAATTAATTAAATAGATAAATAAATATTTTCTTAATGCCTCACTTGCCGGTCAAAATGTCAGCTACCCACTGTTCTACTTTTTATTTAATACTGACTTGTCATCTCCATCTGGATTTCAAACCTTTCAGAATGTGTACTAAGCTGGCATGACTTTATTTTGTATATATAGTGCTTTACACTATTTTTAGCACAAGTAGGCAATTGATAGCCAAAATTTTGATTGATATAAATGTGGAGTTCAATTTTTCAGAAACCTTCTGCAGCTTTATAGGATCTATGACCTATTCGATCTTCCGATAAATAAATAGGACTGTTCACATAATATGACACTCACTTAGAATGTTATTACATCAGCTTTTAAAGTCCATGCAAATATTCTTCTTTGCATAGCTATTTGTTACATACGATCATTCTCTAATTTTATGGCACCACCATCTTATATGATTGAGGTATTATCCAATGCACTTTTAAAACGTAATACTTTACTATATTAACAAAATCATTGTAAATAATGTAAATATTTTGCACAATGATTTAATTCTAGAATACCTCATTTACCTATTTCATAGTTCAGAGATTAAAACATATGCTTTACTTCAACTAGATGCCTTGCGATATTAACCACATAACCTGACCAGATATTTAAATATACACTAACACAAACAGACAAAATTAATTTCAAATGCATGTGGGTTTTCTATTTAGTCATAAACTTTACTTGAATAAGCTAGTGAAACATATTGTAAAAGAAATGAAGTAGTTTTTGACAGGAAATAGTTTATTACTTTAATTTACTCAAAAAAATAGTGCAATATATAAATGAGAAGAGTAATATAAAAAGAAAAAAATGTGGAATGATATTTTATGAGCCCTTGGCTGATACTTGTCAGAAGAATAGAAGAATAAAATGAAAAGAAATATATAAATACAAAGTTTTGTCGATTGATTATTTTAACCTAAATATTAATATTTAGCTTCAAATGGACTCTCAAAAGTTTTTTTGGAGTTATCTTCTGGATATTAATCCAGTAGCACTCACTTTAACATAACAATGCCTGAAATAGAAGAAATATCTTTATGAAATTTATTATAAAATATTAAATAATTATTCATCAAGGGTTACAAAAGAAGGCTGAAAACCATAATTGTAATGAACCTCCACCTTCCATTAAAAGCTAACATTCCACAAAAATCATGTTGTCCAATGCACGTGCAACCACAATGTTAACACGTCATAAAGATAACATGGGATGATTCTGATGATTTCTGAGGCTCTTGCCCAAGTCTGCATTTTCAGGCCTCTGCTAGTCAACAAAGGTGGTTTCTCCTTAGAGAATTAATGAATAACTGAATCAATTATCTTATGTTCTGGCAGTGTGTGTCTTATGCTTATGGCTGGAAGTGTTTGTTTTACCCTTAAGCCTGATTTTGCTTATGTTGATGTTGGGGTGATCAGACCCAACACTAGGTCTTGGGGGCGATGAAGTCCAGTGGAGTCAAAGGATTGAGAAAAAGACAGTTTGAGAAGTAAAGTGGGACCAGGGTGCCATCGTGATTGTGGAGGCTGCAAAGGCCCTGAGCTCTGAGAGCTCATGCTATTTATTGGTAATCCAACAAAGAAACAGGTGGTGAGAATGTGGAGGTCGAAAGGGAGCGTTGCATTAAGCACATGATTTACAGCTGTGGTGGTTTAGCATTTGCTCTGCTACTTGATAATGGAGAGCAGGTTCTTTTAACTCGAAGATAAAATGGATCCTGGGAGAGCAAGGAGCAAGTCTAGACACATTCCAGAGCCACGAGCCCTGGATTCTATCCAAGCCACGAGGGATTTTATGCCCTGGGCTTAGATGATGGTGCGTCAGGGTAGCCTTCCACCATTTAGCACAGAGCTTAGTGTTCCAAAGGCCACAAGGGGTTTTAGACCCTGGTCCCCAGACGTGTTCCAAGACTCCTTTACATTATGTCAGACATGCAGGCCCTGACTCAGCTTCTCCCAACTCTCAGCTTTTACCAACATGTTGATAAATGAGATTTTGCATTCTCCTGAAACACAGTCTCTATCTGTGGTAAACATACAGACTTCAAGAACTCAGCCATATCTGATTTTTCTTTCCTACTGGTTTCCTAGTAATATTATATTTTCTTTCTCCCATCAATTGAAGGAAGGAGTGTCATATGATTACTTTGGGCCAATGAATTTTGAGTAGAAATAATGTGCTTCAAATTCAGGCCAGAGCACTGAATTGCTGGTGCCTAATCCTTCACTGCCCTCTTCCCACTGCCTCAGTGATTAGAAATTCACATAATACAGAGAGTGGACCCAGTCCCCAAGATGATCACAGTTTCAGTAAACCAGTGCTCCTGGTGACTTTGAACACAAGATGTCTCACTCATGAACACATGCACAATGAGTATGTAACACACACACACACACACACACACAATCTTTTCTGGCTTAGCCACAGGTATTTTAAAGTGAGTTTATTATTCTAATATTCCAACACAGTCTACTCTAGCTTAATACCTTCCCTTAAAACTATATGGTAGCCAAATAACTCCGTTTTTCCTTATTCCCTATACCAGAAAACCTACATAATATTTCTGACATGTTAGACTGACGTCCCTTCGTGCTTTTTTATTCTTCTTTCTCATATCCATCACCCTTGAGTTTGGAGATGATCATAAGAATTGGGTTGTTTGCTTAGAAACTGATAACTATTGATGAATTTTCTGGGTGCAGCCTAGGTGCTTAACTTGTATTACTGCCATTTTTATTTGGCCTAATAATCTGCTCTTTATTCTTTACCAGACTCCTTTAGAATATCATTCAAATATCCCAACTACAACATTTTTGATAAGATTCGTTACCTACAAACATCCTTTCAGTTGCCATATTCCTTATTGCCTAAATTTTTTTTAACAATGATTACAGTCATGTGTTTTCTCCACATTTTGATTCTACTCTGGGTTTATGTAAATAGTAAGCAATTTAAACATTTATTATGATACAAAACAACATTTGTTTTTATGAGCAGTTCATCCATCAAGTAAATTGTGTGATTGGATTTAACTTTTTTTTACTTATTTTTCCTGTTCTTTTTCTTTTATTTTAACATAAATTAATTGAGTGAGCAATAATTGAAAAGTCAAAATTTTGGAAACAAGACGTGGTTAAAATTCAGCATTTTGAAGGTAATGCAAGCTTATCTACAAAAAATAAGTGCAGTCAGTTTTGTTATAATATTTGCTTTGTAAATGTGACTGTGTTGCAAAACAATATACCAGGAAACAATGCAAACACCATGTGAATTGCAAGTTTGCTTATGTGCAATTTTGCCTGCAAGAAACATCAGGTGAGCCCAGAAAACTACACTCACCTGGACAGAGCCACATAAGAATACATCAAACACACATATGCACATATCCCAAACAAATACCAGTGACTTAAGTTCCCTGCATCTTATGAGCTCACCCACTCACATCTGGTATCATCTATTCAGTCCAAATCAGATGACTCTCCTTCCATGACTTCCAATAACTCACAAATTGTAATCTTTCTTATGCAGAGTTCTGTGAGTCAACTTCAGACCTTTTTCAAGGTCAAGCCACATTTATTTTATACACACACACACACACACATACACACATATATATATATACAATTTATTAGGTTAAAAAAAGTGTTATTATGTTCTACATTTTTATTTTATATGTTACCAAGGAAGTTTTGAGGGTGGTGCTCCCAACCTCCCTTTCTTCTCGTAAGTCTGTGGTTTTATTATGCAATTATACATAGCATGGTAATTTTTAAAGAACTCCTATAGCATGCTGATATGGTTTGGATATTTGTCTCCTCCAAATCTTATGGTGAAATTTGATCTCCAGTGTTGGAGGTAGGGCCTGGTTGAGGTAGATCCTTTGGTTCATGAGAGCAGATCTCTTATGAATGCCATTCTCACAGGAATGAGTGAGTTTGCACTGTGTTAATTGCTACAAGGACTGATTGTTAAAAAGAGCCTGGCAACTTCCGTTCCTCTCTCATTCTTGCTTCCTTCCTCTCCCTATGTGATGCCTGCTCCCCTACACTTTTTTTCATTGGTGGAAGTTTCCTGAAACCCTGCAGAACCATGAACAAAATGGCCTATTCTGGCACTTATTCTAAAAACCGATGGAGTCTCGCTCTGTTGCTCAAGTTGGAGTGCAGTGGCGTGATCCTGGCTCACTGCAACCTCCGCCTCTGGGGTTCAAGTGATTCTCCTGCCTCAGCCTCCCATGTAGCTGGGACTACAGTCACGTGCCACCACGCCTGACTAAATTTTTTTTGTATTTTTAGTAGAGACCGGGTTTCACCATGTTAGCCAGGATGGTTTCGATTTCCTGACCTCGTGATCCACCCACCTCAGCCTCCCACAGTTCTGTGATTACAGGCATGAGCCACCATGCCCAGCCAATAAACCTCTTTTTATAAATTACCCAGCTTCAGGTGTTTCTTTATGGTAATGCAAATGAACTATGACACATACTATAGCAAAAAAGTTGGTACTGGGACTAACAATGAAATGAGCAGGAGCTGAGAAGAGACGGATTCTAGCAGCCTATTCTGGCACTTATTCTAAGGGGAATGTGCAATAATGTAACTGTATACACAGGGGAGAGTCACTAAAATAAATCACTGTAGTACACATCAAACGATGTGAGAGCACTGTGTGGTACTGAAAGCAGACAATCCCAGTGTGCAACTACTTGAAACAGAAGTTGGCTCGATTCAGAATTGCAAGCAAAAGACATTGAAGAAGCTGTCACACACACAAGCATAGTCCTCGGATCTTTCTGATAATCACAAATTGAAGAATGGCATTCACATACATGACCCAAATGTTTCCAGTACCAAGGTAGTTCTTTCAGTACACTGCAAATACTAAAAGCAAATATTAACTAATTAAATATATGCTAGAAATTAGGAGAAAACCTGCTGGTGTACATTCTGAAAAACAATGTGTTAAAACTATGAAAGCTGGACATTTGTATATACTAATTCTTCATGATATGGGAACGTATATGAATATAGATTTAGTCATAGTTAGCATAGTGCTAGATGCTGATTAGTATAAATTTTTAAAGCCATATTATATTACATATGTCAAATAAAAACAGAATTATAGCTTAGCAACATATTTACCAACATTAACATATTTTTTATGCTGCTGAGCTATACTTGCAGATATGTCTCCACTTTTTTTTAGTCAGCATGTGTATGTGTGTGTCTGTGTGTGGTATTTATTTTGGCTTATGCATTCCATGCTAAATCCCGTTCTGAGCACCATATTATCTGTAAAGCAGTATCTTTTTGAAATTTTCTTAGAATTCACCAAGAAAAATTGCTTCAGTACTGATTCTCTTTTTCTTTGTATGTTTTGCTATGGAAGGAAACTTAAGAATTTTTATAATACATAAGTCAGCTCTTAGATATTGATATGGAATTACATGTGTATTAAGTGTAGTTATATTTGCAATTGAATTTAATCCAATAATTCAATTTAGGTATCATGAATTATTATATTTATCACACACATTTGAATACAAAAACTGAGAGGAAAAGCATCTATAGAGAATGTACTAAAATTAATACATGCAATATTATTGGAGCCCGGTGCAGTTGCTCACGCCTATAATCCCAGCACTTTGGGAGGCTGATGTAGGCAGATTGCTTGAGCTCAGGAGTCTGAGACTAGCCTGGGCAACATGGTGAGACTCCGTCTCTAATAAAAATACAAAAAAACTTAGCCAGGAATGGTGGTGTGTGCTTATGTTCCCAGCTACTTGGAAGGCTGAGGTGGCAGGATGGCTTGAGCCCAGTGGTCAGAGGTTGCAGTGAGCCAGGATAGCACCACTGCATTCCAGCCTGAGTGACAGAGTGAGACCCTGCCTCAAAAACACAACGAAAAAAAAAAAAGGAAAGAAAAGAAAAAAAAAGACAAAAACAATATTATTGTATATTTCATTTAAATAAAAATGCAGTTTATATGAAATAATAAAGTCCTATTCACGTTTCAAACATAATACTTCTTTTTGCTTTACTGATTAACACCATTCTTTTAGAAATTAATTGTCAATATCCATCCATTTATTCATTATTTAACAGCACATATTTATTAAATGCATATACACACAGGATATCTACAGGTAATATGTATATAGGATATATGTATTTATATATATATACTATATATATTATATATATAGTATATATATAGTGTATATATATACTATATATATTATATATATAGTATATATATAGTGTATATATATATACTATATATATACACATACACACACACACACACACACAGAATAGATATATATATATCTGTATGTTCTGCCAAGGGTGGTAAGATTTATTGAGTAAAGTAACATAGAGATAAATATTGGGAAAAGCATCACTATATTTTTCTATATTAACCCTGTAAGGGTTACATTTGAGTAATCTAATCTGAAAAAAGATATCAGAAGATGCCATGAAATACCTGAGACTCAAGTTTTCATGCACACAAAACAGTAAAGGCAAAGGACCTTAGGCTTAACAATGCCTGGAGCCTTTGCAGAATGCCAGAAGAATGGAACAGGAAAATAATCGACCAGAAAAGAGCATTAATTTGTTAAAAGAGTTAATGTCTTGCCAGATTGTGTCTTCTAGGGCCCTGAAGACTTTGAATTTTTGTTGGCTTTTATCATCATAACTATGAGAGTGTGATGGAAATTCGTTGGAAAAAATTAAACATAAGATGAGAGGATCTGACTTAAGAATTAAAGTGTTCACTCTGGCTGTAGTGTTGAGAATACTCTTTGGGACAAGATGATCGATTACATTTCTGTTTCAATAATCGAGGAGATCAAGGTGGCTTGGATTAGGGTTGCGTTGGTGTATGTAGTAAGATGTTGTCAGAATTTGGATATTTTTGAAAGTAAATTTGAGGTGAGACAGAAAAAGAGGAATCAGAAATAACTTCACAAGTTCATGACCTGAGCCACTGTAATAATCAAATTACCATATACTGAGGATTAAAACGGAAATTTGAAGATTGAAGGAAAAATGTCAGAAGTTCAATCTGGCATGCTCTCAGTGATGTAGCTATTTATATTCAAATAATAAGTTTTGAAACATATCATCAATCTTTTATTTAACTAAGCACTGCTCTTCATTTTGGAGGAAATAATAGAATTTAAAATCTGAATTTCCTACTCAAGAAGTAGTATAAAAACATGACATTGATTTAACATACAACCTTCAGCAAAAATAAAGTGAACACAATTCCTTGGGAAATAAAATGCATATAGAGTTTATCCTGTTAGTCAATGTGATTTTCCATAGTTTGCAAGTATTATAACCAAGAACAACAACAACAAAACAATGAAAAGTTGAGTAAACCAGCTCAGTTTATGGTTACTGTGATGTTTTAAAAATCACAAATAAAATGTAACTTTTCATGCAAATCCATTTGATGTCCATGAGCACACTAGATTGTATCCTCATTTATAAAAGAGAATAGTTTGACAAGCACATAATATCAAGTCTCCAACATAGTGGATTCTATTTTGTTTAAAAAAAAAGAAAGAAAACAAGTACTCCTTAAATTTTCTTAGCTCTTTATAGCATATGTCACATGAAATTAAAGTTTGGCTTCCAAATACATTTTTCTATGTTGTCGTGGTATCATCTAGTATTGTTCATGGTCAACTAACAATGTCTTTTTTATTTTTAATTATACTTTAAGTTATAGGGTACATGGGCACAACATGCAGGTTTGTTACATATGTATACATGGGCCATGTTGGTGTGCTGCACCCATTAACTTGTCATTTAACATTAGGTGTATCTCCTAATGCTATCCCTCCCCCCTCCCCACACCCCACAACAGGCCCTGGTGTGTGATGTTCCCCTTCCTGTGTCCATGTGTTCTCATTGTTCAGTTCCCACCTATGAGTGAGAACATGCGGTGTTTGTTTTTTGTCCTTGCGATAGTTTGCTGAGAATGATGGTTTCCAGCTTCAACCATGTCCCTACAAAGGACATGAACTCAACACTTTTTATGGCTGCATAGTATTCCATGGTGTATATGTGCCACATTTTCTTCATCCAGTCTATCATTGTTGGACATTTGGGTTGGTTCCAAGTCTTTGCTATTGTGAATAGTGCCGCAATAAACATACGTGTGCATGTGTCTTTATAGCAGCATGATTTGTAATCCTTTGGGTATATACCCAGTAATGGGATGGCTGGGTCAAATGGTATTTCTAGTTCTAGATCCTTGAGGAATCGCCACACTGACTTCCACAATGGTTGAACAGAACAGAACAGAACAAAATAACAATGTTTTAAAGAAAGTTGAGGTCTTAGTCTACTCAGGCTGCTATAACAGAATACCACAGAGTGGGTACTTATAAACAACATAAATATATTGCTCACTCTTCTGGAGGCTGGGAAGTTCAAGATCAAGGCACCAACAGATTTGGTTCTGTAGAGGGCCTGCTCCCTCACAGATAGCCATTTTTTTCACTGTAACCTCACATGGATAAAAAGGTAAGGGATTTTTCTGTTGTCTCTTTTATAAGGGAACTATCCCATGCAGAAAGAACGCCTTCATGACCTAATCACTTCCCAAAGGCCCCTTCTCCTAATACCATCACATGTTTTGGATTTCAGCATATGAATTTTAGGGGGACATAGGCATTCAGTCCATTGCAGTTGGCTGTATCCATCTGGGTGCTGCAGAGAATTCCAGAATGAAAAAATTATATTGTAATTTATTAGCATTTAAAGGACATTTGGAAAGTAGATAAAAGAGAAAGTTAGGTGTAAGGGTGGACTCCAAGCCATGAGCTGCAGAAAACTCCATGTTTTATTAAGAGAATCTGGAAGATGATGAGAAAAATATAGACTAAGATGAAGCAGCAAGTGAAGTAAAAATTAAATTAGGAGAATAGTGTGAATAAAGTTCAATGAAGAAAGTACTTTATGAAAAAGAATAAATACTCCTCTAATAAATATTGCTGAATAGAGAATTGATATTGATCAATGATAAAAAATTAGCAGATTGGTGGGAAATCACCTAATTGGAGTATTCATTTGCAAAGAATAAAAGGAGAAAATGAGTAAAGACACACTATCACCACTTTTGACAATTTTCTTTCTGGGGAAAGGAGCAGAAAAAGAGAATTAATGAGGAAGGTTTAGCAAGTTTTTTTAATACGAGAAATAATAGCGTGTTTGTTTAGTCAAGGGGAGGTCAACACTGTGAAACAAAAGAAATCAAAGAAAATCACTGGAACAAAACCCATGAATAAGTGAGAGAAGATGGGATTCAGTAGACACATAAATGCAACAGGCCGCCATAGGTAGGTCACAGAGTTTATCTGCAGTTGCAAAAAGAAAGAATATGTTCTCAGATACAAATAGGTGTTCAGATGTAGAGACAGGAAATTGTGACAATATTCTTGATTGTTTTGATATTTGCTATGGGAAAAAGAAAAAGCAGCAAAATCAATAGCTGTGGAGAGAAAGAAAGAGGTTTTTGAATTAGTCATTTGAGAAATTGCTAGAGTGAATGGATGAAGAAAATAGATGAGGATTGGTGAACAAGAAAAGAAATATTCTCTTTGAAGCAATTGTGAATGGGAGTTCACTCATGATTTGGCTCTCTGTTTGTCTGTTATTGGTGTATAAGAATGCTTGTGATTTTTGTACATTGATTTTGTATCCTGAGACATTGCTGAAGTTGCTTATCAGCTTAAGGAGATTTTGGGCTGAGACAATGGGGTTTTCTAGATAGACAATCATGTCGTCTGCAAACAGGGACAATTTGACTTCCTCTTTCCCTAATTGAATACCCTTGATTTCCTTCTCCTGCCTAATTGCCCTAGCCAGAACTTCCAACACTATGTTGAATAGGAGTGGTGAGAGAGGGCATCCCTGCCTTGTGCCAGTTTTCAAAGGGAATGCTTCCAGTTTTTGCCCATTCAGTAAGATATTGGCTGTGGGTTTGTCATAGATAGCTCTTTTTACTTTGAAATACGTCCCATCAATACCCAATTTATTGAGAGTTTTTAGCATGAAGGGTTGTTGAATTTTGTCAAAGGCCTTTTCTGCATCTATTGAGATAATCATGTGGTTTTTGTCTTTGGTTCTGTTTATATGCTGGATTACATTTATTGATTTGTGTATATTGAACCAGTCTTGCATCCCAGGGATGAAGCCCACTTGATCATGGTGGATAAGCTTTTTGATGTGCTGCTGGATTCGGTTTGCCAGTATTTTATTGAGGATTTTTGCATCAATATTCATCAAGGATATTGGTCTAAAATTCTCTTTTTTGGTTGTGTCTCTGCCCGGCTTTGGTATCAGGATGATGCTGGCCTCATAAAATGAGTTAGGGAGGATTCCCTCTTTTTCTATTGATTGGAATAGTTTCAGAAGGAATGGTACCAGTTCCTCCTTCTACCTCTGGTAGAATTTGGCTGTGAATCCATCTGGTCCTGGATTCTTTTTGGTTGGTAAGCTATTGATTATTGCTTATCCTGTTATTGGTCTATTTAGAGATTCAACTTCTTCCTGGTTTAGTCTTGGGAGAGTGTATGTGTCGAGGAATTTATCCATTTCTTCTAGATTTTCTAGTTTGTTTGCATAGAGGTGTTTGTAGTATTCTCTGATGGTAGTTTGTATTTCTGTGGGATCGGTGGTGATATCCCCTTTATCATTTTTTATTGCGTCTATTTGATTCTTCTCTCTTTTTTTCTTTATTAGTCTTGCTAGCAGTCTATCAATTTTGTTGATCCTTTCAAAAAACCAGCTCCTGGATTCATTAATTTTTTGAAGGGTTTTTTGTGTCTCTATTTCCTTCAGTTCTGCTCTGATTTTAGTTATTTCTTGCCTTCTGCTAGCTTTTGAATGTGTTTGCTCTTGCTTTTCTAGTTCTTTTAATTGTGATGTTAAGGTGTCAATTTTGAATCTTTCCTGCTTTCTCTTGTGGGCATTTAGTGCTATAAATTTCCCTCTACACACTGCTTTGAATGTGTCCCAGAGATTCTGGTATGTTGTGTCTTTGTTCTCGTTGGTTTCAAGGAACATCTTTATTTCTGCCTTCATTTCGTTATGTACCCAGTAGTCATTCAGGAGCAGGTTGCTCAGTTTCCATGTAGTTGAGCGGTTTTGAGTGAGTTTCTTAATCCTGAGTTCCAATTTTATTGCACTGTGGTCAGAGAGACAGTTTGTTATAATTTCTGTTCTTTTACATTTGCTGAGGAGAGCTTTACTTCCAAGTACGTGGTCAATTTTGGAATAGGTGTGGTGTGGTGCTGAAAAAAATGTATATTCTGTTGATTTGGGGTGGAGAGTTCTGTAGATGTCTATTAGGTCTGCTTGGTGCAGAGCTGAGTTCAGTTCCTGGGTATCCTTGTTAACTTTGTCTCGTTGATCTGTCTAATGTTGACAGTGGGGTGTTAAAGTCTCCCATTATTATTGTGTGGGAGTCTAAGTCTCCTTGTAGGTCACTCAGGACTTGCTTTATGAATCTGGGTGCTCCTGTATTGGGTGCATATATAGTTAGGATAGTTAGCTCTTCCTGTTGAATTGATCCCTTTACCATTATGTAATGGCCTTCTTTGTCTCTTTTGATCTTTGTTGGTTTAAAGTCTGTTTTATCAGAGACTAGGATTGCAACCCCTGCCTTTTTTTGTTTTCCATTTGCTTGGTAGATCTTCCTCCATCCTTTTATTTTGAGCCTATGTGTGTCTCTGCACATGAGATGGGTTTCCTGAATACAGCACGCTGATGGGTCTTGACTCTTTATCCAATTTACCAGTCTGTGTCTTTTAATTGGAGCATTTAGTCCATTTACACTTAAAGTTAATATTGTTATGTGTGAATTTGATCCTGTCATTATGATGTTAGCTGGTGATTTTGCTGGTTAGTTGATGCAGTTTCTTCCTAGTCTCGATGGTCTTTACATTTTGGCATGATTTTGCAGTGGCTGGTACTGGTTGTGCCTTTCCATGTTTAGTGCTTCCTTCAGGAGCTCTTTTAGGGCAGGCCTGGTGGTGACAGAATCTCTCAGCATTTGCTTGTCTGTAAAGTATTTTATTTCTCCTTCACTTATGAAGCTTAGTTTGGCTGGATATGAAATTCTGGGTTGAAAATTATTTTCTTTAAGAATGTTGAATATTGGCCCCCACTCTCTTCTGGCTTGTAGAGTTTCTGCTGAGAGATCCGCTGTTAGTCTGATGGGCTTCCCTTTGTGGGTAACCCGACCTTTCTCTCTGGCTCCCCTTAACATTTTTTCCTTCATTTCAACTTTGGTGAATCTGACAATTATGTGTCTTGGAGTTGCTCTTCTCGAGGAGTGCCAAGCATTCTTATAAACCAATAACAGACAAACAGAGAGCCAAATCATGAGTGAACTCCCATTCACAATTGCTTCAAAGAGAATAAAATACTTAGGAATCCAACTTAGAAGGGATGTGAAGGACCTCTTCAAGGAGAACTATAAGCCACTGCTCAATGAAATAAAAGAGGATACAAACAAATGGAAGAACATTCCATGCTCATGGGTAGGAAGAATCAATATCGTGAAAATGGCCATACTGCCCAAGGTAATTTATAGATTCAATGCCATCCTCATCAAGCTACCAATGACTTTCTTCATATAATTGGAAAAAACTACTTTAAAATTCATATGGAACCAAAAAAGAGCCCACATCACCAAGTCAATCCTAAGCCAAAAGAACAAAGCTGGAGGCATCATGCTACCTGACTTCAAACTATACTACAAGGCTACAGTAACTAAAACAGCATGGTACTGGTACCAAAACAGAGATATAGACCAATGGAACAGAACAGAGCCCTCAGAAATATCGCTGCATATCTACAACTATCTGATCTTTGACAAACCTGAGAAAAACAAGCAATGGGGAAAGGATTCCCTATTTAACAAATGGTGCTGGGAAAACTGGCTAGCCATATGTAGAAAGCTGAAACTGGATCCCTTCCTTACACCTTATACAAAAATTAATTCAAGATGGATTAAAGACTTAAATGTTAGACCTAAAACCATAAAAACCCTAGAAGAAAACCTAGGCATTACCATTCAGGACATAGGCATGGGCAAGGACTTCATGTCTAAAACACCAAATGCAATGGCAACAAAAGACAAAATTGACAAATGGGATCTAATTAAACTAAAGAGCTTCTGCACAGCAAAAGAAACTACCACTGGAGTGAACAGGCAACCTACAAAATGGGAGAAAATTTTCACAACCTACTCAACTGACAAAGGGCTAATATCCAGAATCTACAATGAACTCAAATAAATGTACAAGAAAAAAACAAACAACCGCATCAAAAAGTGGGCAAAGGACATGAACAGACACTTCTCAAAAGAAGACATTTAAGCAGCCAAAAAACACATGAAAAAATGCTCACCATCACTGGCCATCAGAGAAATGCAAATCAAAACCACAATGAGATACCATCTCACACCAGTTAGAATGGCAAACATTAAAAAGTCAGGAAACAACAGGTGCTGGAGAGGATGTGGAGAAATAGGAACACTTTTACACTGTTGGTGGGACTGTAAACTAGTTCAACCATTGTGGAAGTCAGTGTGGCGATTCCTCAGGGATCTAGAACTAGAAATACCATTTGACCCAGCCATCCCATTACTGGGTATATACCCAAAGGACTATAAATCATGCTGCTATAAAGACACATGCACACGTATGTTTATTGCGGCACTATTCGCAATAGCAAAGACTTGGAACCAACCTAAATGTCCAACAATGATAGACTGGATTAAGAAAATGTGGCACATATACACCATGGAATACTATGCAGCCATAAAAAATGATGAGTTCATGTCCTTTGTAGGGACATGGATGAAACTGGAAATCATCATTCTCAGTAAACTATCGCAAGAACAAAAAACCAAACACCGCATATTCTCACTCATAGGTGGGAATTGAACAGTGAGAATACATGGACACAGGAAGGGGAACATCACACTCTGGGGACTGTTGTGGGGTCGGGGGATGGGGGAAGGATAGCTTTAGGAGATATACCTAATGCTAAATAATGAGTTAATGGGTGCAGTACACCAGCAGGGCACATGTATACATATGTAACAAACCTGCACGTTGTGCACGTGTACCCTAAAACTTAAAGTATAATAATAACAATAATAATAAAAGAAACTTTTAAACTCAGTTTTTTTCTCTAGAAAAAAATACAATATTGACTTGGGGAAAGGTACTTTTTAAGCACATAGAACTCATCTATACCTAACCTGCCAGAAGCTTTTCGCTGGCTCACTCATGCCTTGGATCTTTCATTGACTTCAAATATTTTTTCTTCTTACTACTCTCTAGCATGCTATCTTTCTTCGTGTTATATTCTGCAGTGATCTTCATTAACTGCCCAATATCAAACTATGATTTTTATAAGGATGGCCATACACTTAGATGTTTACATTACTACATAATATGAATGTGAGTTACATACTGACTTTTTCTACATGTCTGTTATACGTTAATATCTATAATTTAGTTTCTGCAATATATTCCCTATTTTTGAATAAGAATTGGGTTTCCTGTTGCTCTTCCAAAAACTAAATCAATATTATTTTATCCTAATAGATAGACTAATTATTACTACAAGAAAGATGCTGATAACGATGCCATGCTGTACCAGTGTAAGGTAAATTATAATATTACCATACAACCTGGGATATTTACTTAATAGATTTAACCATTCTAGATAATTCAATAAGAACGATCTTCCTCAGCAGAGTTTGCTTTAAACATTACAAACTTTATCGGCCAGCCTTCTACACTTAACCACTTGCTGGACCAGTCGATGAGCCCCGTTGCCTCTGTAAATCAAACTGATTGATGCCTAGGGCATATCACTTGCCCATGGCAGGTCAGTTCCCTCCCTGGATGGCCATTAACTTCAGCTTCCACCACTTGAATTTTACTTAGAAAAACTGAGGTGTCTTTCTTTCAAAGCTTGTTATACCATATATGCTTACAATTACAGCAATGTCACTTAAATGTTATGAAAATAAATTGAGATACATTCAAAATAGAAGATATTCATTATTTTACATTGTTTTGTAAGGCAATAAACATAATATATGGGATAATAATTGTGGACCAGATAACTATGAAAGATTGGGGATGTAAAAATATAAATGCTTCTCCACTGAGATTGCCACATAGTATTTTCATATCCTCTCTACAGAGTGAATGGATTAAACCCAAAAGCAATAAATGATGTATCATGAGTATGTCTTATGTAATGATTATAATATCAATTGTCATTAGGCCAACCTGTCTGCAAAAATGTATTCTCTTCATAAAAATGTATGTATTATTGTATAATACATTATATCAACACCTATCTGTAGGTGTATGCATGTACCTATGTACAATCATAAACACACATATCCCATACATATATGTGCAATGCTGCATATGTTTACTATGCACTTTTGAACTCACTATTTCAAGGAACCAAAAAAACAAAAATAGGGGTTTATTCTAATTGATTCAAATATTTACTTCTAATTTACTTAGTCTTTGTAGACACATTAAAAAAAACACTCACCAATTACTTTTTTAGAATGGTAAATTTGAAGTTTTTAGACTGATGCCACAGTTTTACTGGTTGTTTTTAAAGACAGAGAGGTGAATTGGGTTATCTTGGTTTTGTATCTTTTATCACTAACATTATATTTAAAAATGAAGTTAAAATTGTAGCTTAGGAAACAATAGCTCCTAATGCTCTTAAGTCTATCACATTAAATCTTGCACATTTTGAGGAAAATAGGATTTTTTTTTACTCTGCATAAGTGTTTTACCACAAAGAACATAGAAGCATATATAAACAAGGTTAACTTTTTTTTTCTTGATAATCCAGGAAAGACTATGTTCTAGTATCAGCCAAGTTTTAACAAAACATTTTATCATTTTTCATAATATAGATGATCCCTTTGTAATACAACTATCTACTTTGATGATGTCAAAGAAAAAATTGCATCAATATTACATAGGCAAGGAACATTTTATTCAAGAGGACAGATAAGAACTCAATTTGAACTCAACTACAATGGAATAAAAGGCTGGAGGATTTTAAAAGTTGGTCAAGGAGTTGGGGGAGTGGGGGAGATCATAAGCTATTTTTGCTAGTAGGTGTTCCCAAAGGAAAAATAAACTTTCCCATATCTTTATCACAGGAATGATATGCCCACTGAAGTTAGGCTCCTACACTCCTACAAAGACTGGGAGATAGGAGTGCTATCATTCTTGATATTTACATTTCAAGAAGATGGTTCCCAGATCCTGGGGAAAGAAATTCCTGGGTTTAAATAGTAGCGAGAGGATTTTAAATAGATTTACATACATCTCAAAGGAACAGATAATGAGTTTATAATTACAAGTTTTCTAAAAAAATGTTCTAAGAAAAGGGAACTCAGAGATTAGAAATAGGAAAAAGCCTGTATAAAGTTTAGTCAAGCAGAGAGGAACATTAAGGCTGCCTTGATTAATAAAAATATTCTATTTCTTCAGTAGACAATGTGGTAGTGACTAACCACTTGTGGATTTTGAGGTCGTGAAATGTGGGTATTATGGCTGAAGTCATTGAATATTTCCTTGTATTTAAATGTAGTTGAGGTAAATTTAAATTAATTAGCAATAAGTAGCTAATGGCTACAGTATTGGGCAATACATATACATGGATACATAATCAATAGTTATTATCTTGAACAAAAGTAAAATCTTTAGTTAAAAATGAAACATAATTGATATATAAAGCACCTGCCTTTACATTTAGGATAGCTTAGGTAGTAATTTGTGTTGCTACTCTTTATTAGTTATTTGTTTGTTGTCATGTGATTTCATTTATGATGAATAATCAAGAGTCACTAAACACACCCTGACTTATTAATTTGCAAATATTTGTTTTCAAATATTCATTTTCCACACACCCAAAGGGTACCAGTGCATGAGGAAATTCCATGAGAGAGAAAAGTAAATAAACTTCCATATTTTGCATTTCTGCTTTGGTTACAACATCATTCCACATTCAGTGCTGGAGTTACACAGCACTATATTTCAAAACCAACTTTTCTATAAAAAAGGTGTCTATCTATTGTTTATCACACCTTTTTTTTCTGAATTAATGATATGGGTAAATGTCCAGGCCCACAATTATTCACCCATTGCTTAATCCAGTTTTGTTGCAGGAGATAGAAATTTCCAGAAGAAATTACTCTGCATCCTCATTCTTTCTTTTCTCTTCCTTTTGTTTAGGAGAGATATATACCCGAATCCCAAGGTCAACCTGTGTCCCACTGTTAGCATCTCCTTTCATAGCTGTGTTGCCAGGACCAGGATTTGCCATCAATTCCTCTCCAACCTGTAATGTCAACTGCTCTTTCCACTGACTCCTACTTCCAACCCAAGTCTAAAGTCAAACTGACGTTTTTCCCAGCCAGGAATGACAGAAACCAACAGTGGCAGCAATAACAACAACTAAAAAAACAACAGACACTCTCGTGGTTAAGGAAGTTGCTCCGATTTTCATGTGTTGAAATACATATAAATGCATGTAAGAATTATAAATACATATAAGACTTAAGGACAGTCTACATTCCCAGAATCTTTTATCAAACATCTTCTAGAAAAAGCAAACAAGCAAAAAAAAAAATTAACCAAGTCTTACTTACAGATATAGAGGTAAAAATCCTAAGAAACACAAAAGAGAGAGAGAGAGGGGGGAGAGAGAGAGAGAAAAGAAAGAAGAAAGAAAAGAAAGAGAGAGGAGGAAGGAAGGGAGGGAAGGAGGGAACTATAATACCAAAAGCTTAATATAATATTCTCAACTAGAGTGTATAGCAAAAATGAAAGCATGCTTTATCATTTGTCAATGTAATTCATCATTTTATTAAGGAAGGAAAATATGTGAGAAGTTAGAACTTTATCCTAAAAGACAGTACAACCTGGAGAAGAAAAGCTCAAAGTATAGAATCAGATAATAGAAGTTTAGAACTTGACTTTACCACATCCTTGCTGTGTCATCTAGTCCACATTTTCTAACTTCTCTGTACCTATTTCCTCATCTGTGAAATTGGAATAGCAATATTGCCTCAGAGAATTGTTTAGAGGACACAATATTCTTTAAAATTTAAAGCATTTTATTGAGTATCTGAGCGATGATAAATCCTCAATACACATTAAATAGTATTAATGTTATATTATTTAATGTGTGCATGTATGTATTTTCTTTCTACTTCAGTGTCAACCTTCTCTGGGGTCCTTCCTTACTCACTTCCCTACTACTATCGTTGACAACCTCATTCACTCCCAAAAGGTTGCTTTTCAGATTTGACTGTCAAATCTTTGTTACAGCCCAGATCTCTATAAAGTTTCAGTCTCATCTGTGTTCCCAACTACTTATTAGCTATAACAACTAGGTTGTCTTTCCAAAGATCAATATATCAAATCTAAGATAACTACCACTGTCTTCCCTTCCTTCATTTTAACATCATTTCAGCTTGTTACTTACGCATTCTCTACCTTGGTTAAAGCAATCATGGTCCTGTCTCTCAAATTAAAAATCTCAGAAATACTTTTTTTCTCCCTTACCAAAATAATACTGCTATTGTTCATTAAAACAGGCAAAAGGGATAAACAATAACCCAGGACAGTCTTTGGCACTTTCCTGGGAACCAAGAGCAAGCATTGGTTCCTTATTAGTGACTGAAGGAGTATAACAAGAAGTCGCCAATGAAATGTGCATTTGTTCATCTGTCACCTTCTTTTCATTTCATTTTCCATCCTATTGTTTGAATCAGACTCTATAAACTGTTTCCCAGGGCACACAATTTGCCTCTGATTTTCCAGCTTCCCAATTAATCTTTCATTGCTTAAAATATGCAATGGGATTTATTTAAAATAGTTTATGCTTTAAAACTTTTTAGTATGTTTCCAAGGCCTTCATAATCATCATCTACCATATTTTTCTCTCTTCTGTCTCTTGATTTTGATGCACTCATTTTATTTTCTGATTACTCCCAAACTTACACATTTTCCAAACAACCCAGGACACTTCTCACACCCTTGGCTCTACATACACTGGTCTCCATTTCCTGAATAGCTTTCTCCCTTTTCCCATATGTATAAATACTGATTTTACCTTCCTTGAGGCCCAGATAAAGCATTATCCCCTCTATAAAAATATCTCTTTCCTCCCCAAACTAAATATAGTTTTTGCACTAAAATTAATTTCTGCCTCTATATTCAAAAAGCATGTCTTATTAAAATTATCAATGTTTTTATTATTTTATTTTTTCCTAGTAGAGAGATAGCGCTTATCAATTGTGTATTATTTTAAAAAAAATCTGTACGTCGACATAATTAATATGACTTGCCTTCACTGATCCTTACGTACATAACTAATATTTTGAAATTTGTGCATCATTCAGGAAAACATACTGTTTAATGTTATTATTTACTTTTGAAAACAATATGCAGTCTCTAGTAAAAAATTTTATTTACTGTTTCTTAACTTTAATGTGAAATAAGATCAAGACTAAAAAACAAAATATTAACATACCTATATACCTACCCATTTAATAACTTAAATATAATTCAATATATTATAACTAATTTTTAAGAGATTAAAAAACATTTTATTTTATCAGACACTCAAGTATTAAATTTTCATATTCATTCTACTGTTTCTAGTAAGCTCTAGCATTTTAGGGGTTGGGCTGCCATCTGGTGGAAATTTTAAGTCTTAACTAAAAAATCTATATTTTGGTGTGGCTTGCTCATTTATGTGTTATAAGCACGTTAATAAACATTCTAGTTGCACAGGAGAAAATGTACTAAATTAAATTAATGAGCTGAAATGTAATAGAAAATAAAAGCAAATACATATTTAAATTAGACAAGTATGCGTTTCTGCTTGCCTTAACCATCCATTTGTACCACAATAAATTTAATACTGTGAATATAAAGAAGGCCATAAAAACTCAACAAATAGACAAACAGACAATTGGTTACTGTGTGAACACAATCAGGATTTTTTAACCCTAAGTTATAAACCAAGATTTGCTTTTACTGTCATACAATTACAAAACCTCTACATAAGCTTCAAAAGAAACCATAAGTAGTCATGAAAAAATACACTGGGAAGAAATTACATTCTATTTCTTTTCTGATTACCCAATTGCACATTCATTTCTCAGTTATTTCTTCTTGAAATACCTTGTTTGGTGCAGCAATACCTTGCTGTTTACCATACTTAATGAAATACAAACTAGAGTAGATAAACTCAGAAACAAATGTAAAATAGAGTACTCAGATATGAAATAGAATATTGTCAAATATTGTTTTAGAAAGACTCACATACAAACATTTCAAAACTGATTATACCGAAAATTTTTAAATGAAATTATTGAAGATAACTGTTGGTTGGTAGAGTTGATATGTTAATATTCTAGAGTGCAGATCACATCCTTAGTCTTATTATTGACACAAACTCACAGGAGGTGCATTTTTATCTAATGAGGTTGTTATTCTTGTTGGATATTTTTTATTTCCAAAAAATTAAAATTTAATCTCACCATAATGGGATGTTTGCCTAGACATGCTAGGCTTGACAGAGATGATTTATGATTCTGAAAATAAAACTAAATTGCACAGAGCCCTTGAGGAACCTAAAAGCAGAATGTGTTAGAGAAGTGAGGGATACATTGTGAAGCAGGAAGGCTCAAGAGCAGTTCCAGTTCCATTCTTAATTAACAGTATGGTTTAAATAAAAATAATAATCATAATCATAAGCCACATTGTAAAGCAGTTTTCATATCACATATTATTGAATCCTCACAACAATGAGATGATAAGCGTTCCTTTACTATTAGTTTTGTAGAAATCACAAAACAGGCTCAGAGATACAAAATAACTTTGCCAAGTGCAAACAACTAGTATATGCCACAGATGGAACATTCAGGCAGACTACTGGGATTCGGCTTGCTCATTGAAAAATAATATTCTGTGAATCCTATTTAGGATTTTAGTTTTCTATGCAGGTGAATCATAATAGGTTTACTTTATTACAGAACCAATTAGTATTTTAAAATTAATCTGTATTTGTTTTGTTAGGATTTAACATACATAAAGAATATACATAAAAATTTATGTGCCTGGAAAAAATAAGGTACAACAAAGAGCCATGGCTATAACTATAACCAGTATTCAAGAAGCCTCCAGCAATGCATCTATAAATATGAAAGCTTTCTGCAACTGACTTGGGTGTAAACTTTACACTACAATTTATAATAATTGTCTCCTGTTTTTTTTAAGACAGAGTTTCGCTCTGTTGCCCAGGCTGGAGGGCAATGGTGTGATTTCGGCTCACTGCACCCTCTGCCTCCCAGGTTCAAGCAATTCTCCTCCCTCAGCCTCCTGAGTAGCTGGAATTACAGGCACCTGACACTATGCCCGGCTAATTTTTTGTATTTTTTGCAGAGACAGGGTTTCACTATGCTGGTCATGAACTCCTGACCTCGTGATTGGCCCGCCTTGGCCTCCAAATATTGCTTTTTTTAAAAAAGGTATACACCTTTGTATTCATCCTAAAAGTTAATTTTGTTTTGTCTGTTATGCTTATTAATGGTAATATATGTTTTTTATTTGATATCTTGTTTCAGTCAAGGTTTGTGAAAATTATCTTAGATAATTTTATATATTAGAGATACCGTTTATTTTTATTGCTCTATGGTAATTCATTGTATCAATATGAAATAATTATTTATTTTGTAATTGATAGACATAGGATTTTCTTCTAGTTCAAATCTATTACGATAAAATCCAGTGGGATTTCTGTGTGATAAGTTATGTACATCTTCCAAATTTGTATATATATCCTAATTACCAAAATGATTGTATCAACTTATTCTCTTATCCACACTGCACAGTGAAATTTTTTGTTTCTTTTGCCACTCTGATGGTTGTTTTGTTTTGCTTTGATGCTTACAAGATTGAACACACCTTTTCATAGAATTATAGAATACATAATTCATTTTTGTGCTCATTTAAAAATATTACGCTATGTATTTCTCTTACTCATTTATAGCAATTCTAAACATATTTGGAATGCAGATTGTTTCCAGGCAAAGTAAAGAGTAAAGTATGTTCTGGGGAAAATAAAAACAAATATAGGCCGGGCACAGTGGCTCACGCCTGTAATTCCAGCATTTTGGGAGGCCGAGGCAGGTGGATCTCCTGAGGTCAGGAGTTCGAGACCAGTCTGGTTAACATGGTGAAACCCTGTCTTTACTAAAAATATAAAAAATTAGCCTGGGGTGGTGGTGCACGCCTGTAATCCCAGCTACTCGGGAGGCTAAGGCAGGAGAATCGCTTCAACCCGGGAGGTGGAGGTTGCAGTGAGCTGAGATTGAGCCATTGCACTGCAGCCTGGGCAACATGAGTGAAATTCCATCTCAAAAATAAATAAATGAATGAATGAATGGATGAATAAATAAATAAATAAAAATGCAAGAAGCTAAGGGGCAAGGGAATGGGTAGCAGAAAGATGGCAATTCACTGTAAGATGATTACTATGGCAATAACAAAATATTTAGTAAAACCCTCACCATAAAATATACATGTGTGTATGTGTGTGTGCATGCAAGTATAATGCCAGGTTCATAAGGAACAACAGGTAGCAATGTAGGAAGAGTCTGGGAACAGATTACGTTCTATTTCATTTCTGATTGCCCAATTCCATATTCATATCTGAGTTATATCTTCTTGAAATATCTTGTTTGATATAGTAATACCTTGATGTTTACTGTACTTAACGAAATATCACTACAGTAGACGAACTCAGAGACAAATGTACAAATGAATAATCAGAAATGAAATAGAATATTGTCAAAAAGCTCAGAGACCTAAAAAATTTTCGACCACAATATAATATGAAATATTATTAAGATGTACTTTGATAACAAGGGAGGATCAGAGTCAACTTTTCTATAAGGATCAAATCAAGGGTATTACCCATCTTTCTATTGTTAATACTTTTGAATGGCTTATGGGAGAGCTCAATAGATTCTTTCAATTGGAATAAAAATGATTCAGGAAATGATACTAAAGGTGCACCTTGACCTCGAAGTCTGATAGTCTCATGGTTTCTGCAACTTAATTTGAGAAAGAAAAAGAAGTTTTGGAGCACAAAATAGCAGAGGAATATTGCAAGACATTTGTTTTTTAAAAAGCTGAAATGAATTTTTATTGGCACATAAACCTAAGTAGAATGGAATAAAAAGCCTACCATGTATATAGAGAGGGAAGCTACCATTATAACCAGAACTCTGGATATAAAATATCTCTTTATCTCGATATCTATAACATTGTTTGAGTTAATGGTCTACAAATAGGAAGTAAACGACAAACATCTCAGCTCTTAAGGAGGGCACATTGTTCACTTCAGATATGACAAAGAAAGTAGTGGAAAAAGAAGACCCTTCCCTTCCTTCCTCTCCTCTTCTCCCCTCTAGTCCCTTCCCCTCCCCTCCCCTCCCCTCCCCTCCTCTCCCCTCCTCTTCTCTTATATAGAAATAAGGACTGTAGGGAACAGTAGATTTAGGAATTTCTCCCAGAGAGAAGATCTGGACCTCTAACAAAGAATATGTCCGAAACACCGCCATAAAATAGGTCACCTTTAATTCCGACCAGAATTACAGAATTGCTATTAACCATAAAATCTTTTGTTCTCTCATTATTCCTCTTTTTGAAAGACAGTATTTCAGTTTCATTGTCCTGATTCCTCCAATTCCATTTGGTATATGTGGGGACAATTTCTTTCCCCATTCACTTCCAGGTCTTTGGATCTAGGGCTGGATAAAACATTTAGAGTATATTTTGCCTGGATGAGGAATCCTAACCAGAATATCTAGTGAACAGACAGACCAACTGTGATAAGGATCCAAGTTGTTCAAACAATTTTTCCAGCTTTATTCTTTGCAGAAAGAAACATGGTAGACATTTTCGAAGTTTTCTTTATTAAAAAAGTTTTTTGACGTTTTCTGTGGCCATATGACTTGCTTTGGCCATTGTGGTATAATCATTGTGGTATAATCAGGAGTGATATGGCTCACTTTGGAACCGAATCTTTAAAAGCCAATTAATAATTTACTGCTTGCACTTCCCACAGCTCTGGTGATCACAGATGCTCATGTCAACAAGCCTCCATTATCTCACATCCCTGAGTCACTCCAAGGGCAGATTGATCTAATGATCTACGTAGGACATGTACACGAAATGCAAACTTTCCATTTGTCAAGCAAGCAAAATTTTGAAGTTACTTTATACTGCGGAATTACTGACCCCACTGTGACTGTCAGAATAACAACATGTGTCTTCATTCGTTTCTGTAATAACTGTGCTACCCTACCTGATATCTTCTGAATAAAAGGATATCTAAACACTTGGACTCTGTTACCATCTTTCCTTCAAAATACCATGTTATTGATTCTGTATTTTAAATTCCTCTATTTTAAATATACTGATTTTAATAGTCAAGGCTTATTAACCATTATCCATATGTCCCACTTTTATTGTTTTTTTATTGTTTAATCTACCTCAGAATTTTTATCGGAAATTTCTTTCCTCCTGCCCAAATATTGAATACTGAGTTTTGATTTGTAGGTGGTAGGTGTGGCTTAGACTAGACCTTCTTTACATAAAGTGAAATTGAGCCTGGATTAAGTTTTGTGATATATTCAGGTTGCTTCCATTGAGCATCAAAAATAACTATTTGATTCTATCATTAAAGAAAAGAAAAAATGTGTCAAAACATTTTGTCTTACCTCCTACAAACCAACAATTTATTAGTTTACTTATTTTTTCTAAAAGTTGGTTTAGAGAAAGATAAATACAGTTTCAGGGAAACTGGGTTAGAGAATAATTTTTACTTATTACTTTCACTAGGGATGTAAGACCACTTTGAATCAAGCGGGGACTTGCAAAATGCATTCTGAAGGTTAGACCAATCAGGTTGAGAAGGACATTTTGATTTATGAATAAAAGCTGGCTGATTGTAGATTAATGATTTAAAGTAATACTTCTTTTAATTATGATCATAAATGGCCTTAAAGAAGTTCTACGGGGCCAATTATTACCACATATTATGAGGAAGTAAACAAAATTGCCACTAAATTTTTCTCCAGTAAAGTCAGTTGCACTGTAGTTCATCTTACTATTTGATATTTACAACCCAACCGCTGACGGTTACAAATGAACTTTTTACTTCTGCTGTGTTTTATTGTTACTGAAGGAAGTACAATTCAATGATTGAGTGAAATGTGTAGCCAGTAGTTAAATCACAGTCACAGATTTAAATAGGTACTTATAAAGATATACATTTAGGATGCAAATGAACTCCAAAGTTTTTTCATTTTCCAAAGAATTTATTTTTTTACTGGTTGAGGGTGAAGATTAGTGTATTAATAGTTTTCTACCAATTTTTTTTTCCTCTAGAAGTACTAATGTATCTTTGAAATTTTTCAAGTTTATCTTGCTTATATTCTCAGGATCAACTCTGAGTCACTTTTTCCTATCATTATTTCCAAAGATTCCATTATGTTTTTAAAGTATATCATCTTTTCATTATACTCTTTGGAATAATTTTGACTTCCCTAACTGATTCAAGTATAACATAATAACACGTGTAGAACATTGGACTGTAATGCAAATGAAATAATGTATAGAAAGAAAATGAAAATTTCTGTTTTGAAATTCCAAATAGTTGAATTTTTTTCCAGCGGACAAATTAAAATTTACTTGTAAGGATGAATCTCATTTTTTTTTTTTTTTTTGAGACAAAGTCTCGCTCTGTAGCCCAGGCTGGAGTGCAGTGGCGCCATCTCAGCTCACTGCAAGCTCCGCCTCCCAGGTTCATGCCATTCTCCCGCTTCAGCCTCACAAGTAGCTGGGACTACAGGCACCTGCCACCACGCCCGGCTAATTTTTTGTATTTTTAGTAGAGACAGGGTTTCACCGTGTTAGCCAGGATGATCTCGATCTCCTGACCTCGTGATCCGCCCGTCTCGGCCTCCCAAAGTGCTGGGATTACAGGCGGGAGCCACCTTGCCTGGCCACATTCTCTTTTTAATAGAGAGTAAAACCTATTAAGATCAAAAACTAGTAAATGATTTCTGTGTTTATGCAAACATAATATGGAAATCATAGACTAGAATACGAATGGAGAACTTCCACGAGAGGCAAAACTGCTCAGATTAATAATGTGAGAATTTGTCTGTTTTTGATGTTAGTTGAATTTTTACAGATTCTCTTAAGTTGGATAGAAGTTGAGCCTACAAGCAGAGATGAAAAAAATAAAATGTTAATTTTGTTCTCTTCTCTTTGGTCCAATGCCTGTCATTGGAAAGACAGGATTACAAATTCAGGGGAATAATCAATACGACTATCTCTGGGAGAAAACAGGTTAGCGGTTCTAAAAAGGTAGCAGGTAAGGAAGTAAGCAAAATTGGCCACATTAGAAGATCTCTAGTGGAGTATCAATTAAGAATTTCCAGTATTATCTAGTATGCAATATAAAAATTTCAGTGTTTGAATTGTGCTTTGCCTATGTTGACCAGAGACCTTTATTAAGTTTTGTTAAACACCATAACTTTAATTTTTGTGTACTTTAAGTTACCCAAATCCACATTTGATTCAAAATGGCGTAGTTTACCATAGAAGAGGGAGAAGCTAGTTAATAAATGGCCAAGAGGTATTTGCAGAAACTTAAAAAATTATTTGGGATTTGTCAGAAATATTGGTAAACTATACACATAAATAAAAGTCAAGCTATTGATGTGGGACATTACTCAGTGTCTTCTGAATGCTAGGAAATTTGGAAACACTTTATGTAATGGGTGACCTATTTTCAAACACTAATACCCTGACAGATTTGTAACATCTTAGGCAAACTCCTCTTTTGCTTACCATTCCCACTGATTTATCATCCTTCACATGCAAACTTCTACAAACAATTGTCCCCATGTACCCCGAACTTCCTCTTTGCCTAATTCCCTCATGGCCTACTTCAATCTGGCAGCATTTTACTAAATTTTTAAATCAACTCATTAATAACATCTGAGGCTAAAATTATTGGACACTTTCCTGCCTCACTCTATACTCTTAACATTCACTCGTTACCATTTCTTTCCTCTCCACAAACTTCTCTCCATTTTCCTACCTATTTTCTACGCTGTTTTCATAGAAATTCAGAGCTGTGGGCCTGAATCCACTATGGAAAACTTTCCATTATCCAGTTTTTTCATAATGAATACCACAGACTTTTTCTTCCTTTATCCTACTGTATACTGTCTCCCTGGTTAATTTGATTTTATACCATTAGTTTGCCCTTATAACCATTGCATTTCCCTCCAGTAGCATATCTAATAATTCAATATTCCTGTTTTTACTACATATTAAATATTCCTGAAGTCTTTTCTTTATCTAAACAGCCACTTACTTAACTCAGCTTGAGCCCCTATAACTATACTATTCTAGATAGGCTTCCCACAATTACTCCACCTCCAGACCAATTGAATTTCTATGCATACCCAAAGTGTTCATAAAAAGACTCAGATCATGTCACTTCTAAACTTAAAACCCTGCAGCAATTTTCTGTTTTAAGCCTCAAGTCTAAAATCATTAACCTGTTCTATAAGGTGCTAACTGCCTCATGTCAACTTCTCAGCTTTTTCTGTTTCATTCTCAGAATTCTGAAAGAGGCTGCTGTCACAATGGTATATTTCTATCCCCTCAAATGTACAAGGCTCCTTTCTTTCTGCTTCAGGTCTTTCATGATTGCTCTTTCCTTAGCCAGGGACACTTTTTGATTCTGAGTCCAGTTTAAATATTCTACTTCAACCAAGATATCCTGGGCCTATTTCCATATTTCTTTCATTTTTTTTTAGAGAAAATGTCAGAATTATACCCTAATTTATCTAAATAATTTTATGTTGCTGTCAATCTTCCTGATTATACTGAGAAGTCATAAAAGCAAGGATCATTTCTTGCTTTTTCGCCACACTAACACCACACTTTGCAGATAGTTGACTTAAAACTCATATTTCATTAAGCGAATGAACTTATGAATAGTAGAAAAAAATCACAAATATAAGGCAAATAGTGAAGTATGTTTCGAATGTTTAACATTTAGTTTTCATGCTAAGAAAAATATTAATAATTTTAAAGTTAACTTACATTCATTATACAGTCATTAAGAGTCAGGTAATCTTCTAATAACATGACATATTTTAAATCACTCAATTTATTGGCAACTTTATAGCTCAGTTCTCCAAAATTCACCATATTTTTCACCCTTATTTCTCTAACTACATTTTCATTTTCCTTTTACCTCTGTAAGGCATGACTTAGTTAATTTTCTCAGTAAGTGTCATCTAACACAAGTAGATAAACACAATGTGTTAGAGCTCCATTTTCTTTGTCACATGAAACAGTGCGATGGATATTTCTTTTAGTTAAAATCCATAAGTGCTTGTAATAGTGCTGTGAATACAGTGGATGCTCAGTAAATAGCAGGCTGGTGAAAAGAATGAGGGGGTATTCCTCATTAAAATAACTAGAATTCAATCAGCATTGTTTAATATCCCTAACAATTTGTTTCTGGAAGTTTAAGAGTGTAACTATGATTACAAAAACAAAAACTTATTTTAGCCAAGACATTATTCATTTTTGAGTAGTTTACATTTGATATTAGGAATAAAGGAAAATGGCTACTGAGAAAAAGATGTGGCTCATATTGTTACAGTAAAACATCTTGGTATATTTAAAATGTATGATGTCGGTAGGGCTTCTATTTCAAGGCTATGGGAAAGCTTTAACCAAATCTAAAAATAAGAATGAAGGGGCCTTTTGGAAAGGCTTAAGAAAATAACAATGCATAGTCTGAAAACTGGATCTTCTAAGAAGGTTCTCTGATGGAACAATAGAAAGCTACAAAGAAGGCTTGAAAATCATTTCTTGGCTCCATGTCTCAGGCTCTCTATGACAAACTCAATGATCATAATCTGATTGTGTGGCAAGTGAACATTTGGCATGATTATAGAATGGTTTTAACAAAGGAACACTAGTGTGTAAAGTGTGAAGAGGTTCAGCACTTCAGTTCCCTTTGGTCTAATAAAATATACAATGCAATTTGAAATGCATTGTTCCTAGAATTAATTGCACAGTAATACTTGGAGCAAAGAAACATGTAACATTCTTGGAAATATGAGCTAGGTTATGACTCAATAAATAGTTTTGATGATTGTGCTCTCTGTTGCATGAATGAAGCCATAAAATCTCAACTTTAAATGTAATTATGATAACAATTATTTTGTTAATATACTCTAGTTGATTACCTAATGAATTACATTCATTGTAGACCAAAATCCATGCTAAGCATAGGAATGTCTTCTAGCTGAAAGAATGACATTTTAACAAAAAGATTTCAGACGTGAGCAATTGAAAGGCTTTATTTATATATATATATAAATATATGTAAAATAATATATATACACCTATATTAAATATATAAAATGTATGTGTACATATACATATATATATTTGGGAGAGGGTCTGGCTCTGTAGCCCAGGCTGGAGTGCAGTAGCGTGATCTTGACTCACTACAACCTCCGCCTCCTGGGCTTGAGTCATCCTTCCACCTCAGCCTCCAAAGTAGCTGGGACTACGGGTGCACGCCACCATGTGTAGCTAGTTTTTGCATTTTTTGTACAGACAGGGCTTCTCCATGTTGTCTAGGCTGTTCTCTAACTCCTGAGCTAAAGGTATTTGCCTGCCTTGGTCTCCCAAAGTGCTAGGATTATAAAGGCTGTCAGATTTAAAATACATCATTCCATACTACACAAACTTGGAAGCATTTTGAAGAATTCTCAAAATTGGCCTTCTTAGTTTTCCTGTTTCCTTAGATAATCTGTGTCAGATTATCTGAAAGGACATACTTTAAAGACTCTAAAAAGTATTCTTTATCTGAAAGTAAGTTAACACCAAATATTTGCCTATTTTATGCCATAGTAATAACAAATCTTTCCAACTTACGTATATACCAATATCAGACACGTTAAAATACATATGATTATTTAAATTACTTATTTCCAATAGAATTTTTTTATTAAAGTGTGGTTTATTATGTATAATGGATAATAATTATATTTGAATACATAAGTTGGCTCAGAAAATTATCAAAATCCAAAACAGTGAAAAAAATTTTTTTTATATTGGAGTACCTGATTTAGGTAAAAACAAAACTAAAACAAAATCTGCTGTGCCATTTAAGGTAGTTAGAAAACATTCTGTGCCATTTAGGGCATGGCCAAAACTGTATCCCCAAAGTCTTCAATCTCTGTTATACTCCCTATATTCAAACCAGGGAATTTAAAATTCTCTTGGGTTCCACTAAGGCACATTCACTTTCTATTGTTCTGTAACAAATTGCTACAAATTTAGTGGCTTAAATAAGTTTTGTAGGTCAGAAGTCCTCGTAGGCTCAACTAGGTTCTCTGTGAGAGTCTCACAAGAGCAAAATCAAGGTGTTGGCTCAGCTGAACTCATGTTGAGACTCTGGGGGAAGAACTCATTTCCAGCTCATTTAGATTGTCTGTATAATCTATTTCTTGCAGCTGGAAAACTTCAGTCCCTGTTTGCTAGTTGCCTGTCTGCAGACATCTCTCTCAGCTTCTAGATGTCATTCTCAAGTTTTTATATACCATAAAAGAAAAATTACACATGACTAGTGAAATATACAAAGGTGAATTTATTCAAGACTATTGGAATAATGGAAAGAGATTATTAAACTATGCGAGAAGGATTGAATTTAACTCTGCTGAAGCAAAAGACAGGAAGATTTTTAAATGTTGGAGTGAGTTAATGGAAAACTACTGGAAGATGTTAGTGGAGAGGTTGGTCAATGTGATTAGGCCACCTGTGTTTGCCTATTGTCACTTATTGAACTTGGGCTCCTACCCTCCCACAAGGACTTGGAGGAAAGGATGCTATCTCTTTCTCCTTATATGATTAAATGTCAAAGGAATAACTCCCAGATTATTGATAAAGCTATTCTTGTATTATAGTAGATTCACATTTGAATAGAGCAGATAAAGAGTTTACAGTTGGAAATTTTCTGAAATAAATGCTTTAAGAAAATGGAAGTAAGGGGCCTATAGTCAGAAAGAAACCTTATATAGAGTCAAGTATGGGAACATTAAGAGCTGGGAACATTTTTAAGGTCTATGTTGCCCCCTCCATTTTCAAAGCCAGCAGTGGTGCTTTGAATCATTTTCATGCTTTGAATCTCTCTGCCACCATCTGGAGAAAACTCTGCTCATGCAGGGCTCCTCTGATTAAGTTAACCCCGCCTAGATAAGCTCTCTTTGCCACATAATGTGCCACACTCACAGGAATGACATTCATATTTAGAGGGTCCATCTGCAATCAAAGGGGTTGAGAATCAAAGGTGAGTTATCGGAATCATTTTGAGAATTCTTCCCACTAAATGAGGAATACAGTTTCTTCTTACATTATAATCTCTAGAAGCCAAGTTCAATTACTATTCAAAGCATCATAATTTGAAGAAGAAAGTAAAAGAAGAGCTTTACTGTTCACAGGCAGTTGTTTATTTATAAGTAGGGACATACAGTTGATTCAGTGTGCGCAGTGATAAGTAATTGTGAAGACATCCCGACTAGTTTCCTTTTTGTCTTTCCTTTTCATTTCCGTGTTTTCAGAGCCATGTGAAGAACACGTGGGCCTGAAAACAGAGAGATGAGAAGAAAAGACAAAAAGAAATGTTTGATTTTTAAATACTGAGTTATAATTTGTGCTGCTGCAATAACTTTTTCAGGAATCATAAGCAACCTAACACTTCTTTTTGATACCAGAAATTATCAAAGAAGTCAGCCCATCTGCATAAATTCACAAAGATCCTATGACTGATAGTTATGATATTCTGTCTCTGATTATGAAAAGTAAAATGTGCAGGATGTATATATATGAATGAGCCTGTCCATTTCAAAATATATGACATCAAAAAAGAAAAAAAAAATAAATGCATATTCAGAATACTTTATTCAATCTGTTCATTGGCATTTTTCAGTTTTCACTTGTTTGCCAAATGTGTTGCCATTGTAAATGGCATTCATTTTAAAGTCAAAGTCTTCAATGAGCACCTGTGTGCATGTCTAAGTAACATTATAAGGGGTATCTTTAGAAGCATTATTAGGTGTAAGTGAAAAGCAGAGAATATTTGGCAGGGCTGTTACTGTAATGATGCTCTTTGGGCAGAAGGCTGCAGTATTAGATCATGCTCAGCACCTCCAGAGATTGCACTTAACTCCAGTGGATTAGCAACTAACTGAACATTTTACTGCATTCTTACACACTCCAAGCATCTCAGTTGCTTTTGCTTTTGCTTTTTTGAAAAACAAAATCAGGGATTGTTTCAAACTAATATGTTCCAACATAAAAAGTAGTGAGAACAATAGTTTTAGCCAGCTCATAGTACAGGAGAAAAAATGAAAACAAATTCTAATTATATATTAAGCTTATATTAGGAATTGGTAAAGTCCTCAATTCTCAGTGGTACAATTAAACAATATTTTACATATATTATTGTAAAATATAAGTTATTGAGAGATCAGTTCCCTGAGCAGTTAACAAACCTATAAGAAAGGATAGCACACAAGCATTGCTCATAGTGGAATGTAGTATATATTTATCAGTATAATCACTTTTGAGTCATATTCATACTTTCTTTAAAGAAAAAAAATCAGACAAAAGCTTAAAGTGGAAATTTCACAGTTTTATCTTGAAACTGCAGAATCACTATGATACACTATAGTTTTGTAAAAGATATATGTGGTGGTAATAATCATATTTATACAACATGTTCTCAACATTAACAAAATCTTTATTTTGGCCCTTCAATACACCTGTGACTTTTGTAATTTCAGACAGTCCGTGAATTAGACTTAAATTTCAGGCCATTCTTTCTCTCCCCCTCCCTCCCCTCCCCTTCCCTCCTTCCTTCCTTCTTCTCTGTCTTTTCCTTCCTTCCTTCCTTCTTCTCTTTCTTTTCCTTTCTTCCTACCTTCCTTCCTTCTTTCCTTTCTCTTTTTTTCTTTTCTTCCTTCCTTCCTTCTTCTTTTCCTTCCTTCCTACCTTCCTTCCTTCTTTCCTTTCTTTTTTCTTTTCTTCCTTCCTTCCTTTTCTCTTTTCTCTCTTTTTCTTTCTTTCTCTTTCTTTCTTTTCTTTCTTTCCTTCCTTCCCTTCCCTTCCTTCCTTTCTTTTTCTTTCTTTCTTGTCTTTTCTTTCTTTCTCTTTCCTTCTTTCTTTCTTTTCTTTTTCTTTCTCTTTCCTTCTTTCTTTCTTTCTTTCTTTCTTTCTTTCTTCCTTCCTTTCTTTCTCCTTCCTTCCTTATAACCTGGTTTAGGTAGAAAGTAAACTATTCCGGGTAGAAGAAATGAAAAAATATAAGCTAAATATTTTATCACAAATATCTAGGATAACCTATACTGTTATTTCAGATAGTACTAGAGGAATTTTGACCAGAGAAATGAAAATAAAACAGGAATACCTGCAAGTATATATCATGTGGAGGTACTTTCAAACTCTTAATAAATGGCTTAATAATTAGGAGTGTCATGGACAAAGAAAAAGGAAGCTGTACCAACCTCATGTTACTTCTGTCTCTTCATTCTAAGTATCATCTCTGATTCTTAGTTCCAAAGCAACTCTATTATTACATCCAATTTCCTTCATCTGTTGGATAGGGTTGTTGATATAGTCCATAGTGGTGAGTCTTTGTGGATCACGTGTTGCCTACTTTACTTGCTTATGAAAAGAAAATCCAGGCAGTCAATAAAGACTCAAATTTTCATCTGAGAATTGGACCATAACCTCCCCTCATCCTCACTTATTAGTGAGGACTCAATTCCAAGTAACATGATATTAAATTCAAACTAGCTTAAGCAGAAATATAAACATACTGGTTAACAGAAAAAAAAAGAAGTCAACAGAAAAGTCAAACTTTAAAAAGATTGGGTCAAAATGCTTGAAAACCATCATCAGTAATCTCTTTATCTTCAATTATTTTATTTTATTTTAGAGATATTCTTGCTATGTTTCCCAAGCTGAATTCAAACTAGGCTCAAGGCCTTCCTCCTCAGCCACCTGAGTAGCTAGCTGGGCCTGCAGATTTTTTTCTTCAACTCTTAGTATCTACTTGTTCTGAGTTTGCTTTATTTTCAGGCATTTTCTTTCCAAGTGGAGAGAAAGTTGCAACTGGTAGGTTCAGGTTTTTGTTCTATCATGGCCAGTAGAATGATATACCATTTTTCTTTATATTTTCATTACAAATTTCAAGACTGCATCTAATATAGCTGCTTGGAAATTGACTCATCTTGAATCAGTCATTTTTAGAAGGAGCCTCAATTTGGATTATGCCTATCCAGGGTGAAGGGATGCCTAATCTGATGTGCGTAGAGCTAGCGTGGGCAGAAACAGTTCATCACAGAGAAATCAATGTACTTTTAGTAAAACAACAAAAATTAGATGCTGGGAGGCACATTAAGTGATGATCTCAACACACAAAGCTCTCAGAAAGCACAACTTGCATCCAAAAACTGAGAAGATTCATCCCTGCTCCTGCTGATGGTTTGTCTGCCCAGATGCTTTCCTCCACCTGGGAGCCACACCATCTGTGTTTTGGGAATGGCTCTTCCCCTAAACTCAGGGGTGTTAATTTACTGGATACAGTAATCAATGGTACACCATATTTATGGTTATAAAATAAACCAATTAAAGCCATTTCTAGGACTTGTTTTGAAAACTAGAAGATTGGGGGTTGGATGTATTATGGTTAAAAAACCTGATATTTGTCAGTGGCTATGTCAACGTGTATGATTAGGAGTTTCTAAGAGTTAATTCACATAGAAAAAACAGAGATAAAATTTAGTAAGGAATCCTAAAAGTATTGGAGATATTTCTTTCGGTACCTCTATGCCCTTTATAGGAATTCAATTATACATTCTCTTCTTTTTTATGTTTTTGTAGTAAGCACGTAATATGCTTCATAAATGGAAATCAGTTTATGTTATATAAATGTGTTATATACACATTATATAAATGTGATGGTTAATAACAGGTGTCAACTTGATTGGATTGAAGGATGCTTATACAGCTGGTAAAGTATTGTTTCTGGGTGGGTCTGTGAGGGTGTTGCCAGAGGAGACTGACATTTGAGTCAGTGGACTGGAAGAGGAAGACCCATCCTCATGTGGGTGGACACCATCCAGTGGTCTGCCAGTGTGGCCAGAACACAGCAGATGGAAGAAGGTGGGATAATCTCACTCGCTGAGTCTTCTGGCTTTCTCCTTTTTCACATGCTGGATGCTTCTTTCCATTCCTTCTACCCTTGGACATCAGACTCCAGGTTCTTCTGCCTTTGAACACATGGATTTATACCAGCGGTTTGCCAGTGGCTTTTGGGCCTTTGGCCAGACTGAAGGCTGCATTGTCGGCTTCCCTACTTTTGAGGCTTTTGGACTGGGACTGAGCCACCACTGGTTTCTTCCTTCCTCAGCTTGCAGATGGCCTATTGTGGGACTTTGCCTTATGATCATGTGAGCCAATTCTCCCTAATAAACTCCTTTTCATATACACATATATCCGATCAGTTCTGTCCCTCTGGAGAATCCTAATACAATAAAATACCATTCTTTTCACAGATCTTGTCAAAAGTTCCATTTCTCACATGTCTGTGGCATCTGAAATAAAGAATTATTTATCAGTGTTTGTTTACTTCTAAAATATTATAAGAATTGGAAATTTGATTCTTATTGTTGCTAATTATATCTTCTTATTAAAGTTCAGTTTACTAACAAGGGAAAATAAAACCTTCTTGAGGACAGCAGTTGCTGACAAGCATACAGATGGCACTTTTACATGGCTATTATAGTGATCCACAGAAACTGTGGGTAGCCATTAAGCATGCTCATGTGGAAAAAACACATTTGAAGTAATTTATGATGTTATAAAATGGTGTGGGTTAGTAGCCAACCACACTGAATAGGGCAGAAGTAAAGGATGTTAATATTATATAGTCAACTCTTTCCTCCAGGTGTCTCCAGATCAGCTATTTCCATCTTTATACTTCTGCCTTCTGGCTCTTGCAATTTGTCTTCGCATTAGTCATGCTAAAGCTAATTTGTATGGGCACACTAAACATTCATTTCCACAACACGGAGTTCAACGCAAGCTGTTAGAATTAGCCATTTCTGCCATAGGTCCTTCTGTTGTTGGTATGCCCAATCTCAACCACGTTGTTCTCACTTTTGCCATGCAAAGGGAAGAAATAATAGAGAATACTGCATTACAAAATGTAAAAGCTGAACCTGGAAAGTGATGTGCACTCCTTTCTCCCATATTTCAATAGGCAGAATTCAGATGCTTGGCCCCAAATTAACTATTCAAGGTATAAGTTTATGCTTTCTCATAATTAAAAAAAAAGCTGGGTTCCTAAGGCAAAAAAAGAGTGAATGACAGTGTCCAATACAATTCTGTTCCTCCTCAATTTTACAACATATGTTATTTTCATCCTTGGTTATACCAAATACTTTTGTAGTCTACACATTGTTATCCATAAAGTTATGAATATACCATAAGTTATTAATAGTTTCATATATGTTTGCCATGACATTGAACAAATTTAGCGAGAACTCAAAAACAAAAAAGCAATCTTTCTAAGACGGTGATTTTAATGCTCCTACTATTATTACAATATTAAAACAAATAAATAAATATGTAGTTAAATGAATTAAAGCGTAATAAATGTAACTCTATTAGAGAAGGAAGGCAGAAACTTCAGATTAGAAACCAACCACCTGCACTTCATATAGTACACATTGCTACTGAAGTAAATATCCATATGTATTTTTTTCAAAGTGTCCTAGAAGGAAGCACAGCAGCCATAAGGCCAATTGATTTAACTATATTGGAAGCGGCAGAAATTAATGAAAGTCTTGTTTTGGAAGAATTATTATTTCTTTTCATTACTGAGCAGAAAGGGGAGCTGCAGTGGCAAGATGATGATCTATGTAAGAGGAATCATCTGCTCATATAGGAATGGGGCCAAATACTGATGTCAACTAGAATGCATCAATGTGGAATGATCAAATACCCTTCATTTGCTATGGTGCATGCAAATTAGTTCTGATGACACTGCCTATAAAGAAATGATAAGGGTATAAAAAGAAGTTACAAAGTCTCAAACATAATTTTCCCAGATTTAAATAATTTTACCCAAATTAAGAAGTCATCAAGGATACCCTTTCTCATAATTAAAGAGAAAGCCTAAACAACACCATACATAAAGACCAAAAAAAAAAAAAAGAAAAAGAAAAAAAGTTGAAAAGACCTGTCAAGGTTCTTTTCTGAGTCATAGTAACCATTTTAGTGGCCAAAAACTCTGCACCACTTTTTATGACATCAAACTGTTTGGTGATACTATGATACTGCATACACAAATAAAATAGATGAAAGGATATTTTCCCTGTGCTAAAAAATGCTTAAATAAAACCTGATGATAGAAAGGTAGACTCTACAAGATTTTTAATTGTGATGGAATTCATGCTTCTTTTGAGTAGCTACCCTAAGGGACAGTCTCCAAAGAAAATGCATAAAATTTTGGATTTTCTACAAATGATGGACTGGCTGATTCTGGGTGGAAATGCCAGTGAATCTTTAATATGCTGTATAATTACTAGGATAGTTACAAGCTCAGTTGAAGCCCTGATTATGAGGCTGTCAAAGATTTAATTACTGTGCCATATCATTTTTCCTCCTATAAGTTCTGATATTTTTAGTGCATGAATTGGCAGAATTCATGAGTTTGTGTTTTTTTAAATCAACACACATATTAGATCTCAGCAAAAATACTAGGCAGTATTTGAGGACTCCAAGATGATAACACATCTGGTTAAAGAAGATATGCTGTCAGTAAGAGAAGATATAGTGTCTATAGCAGCAGAGTCAGTAGAGGATAGAAGGGGGCTTGGATCTGGGTAATTGCGAGACATAAGCATATTTCCTTAAAAATGGAAGTAAGATGCAAAAATAAACCCAAGAGGCAGACTGGAAATAAAGGAAGTCCATTCCAATTTAAAAAATGTGTTACGAAGGCTTTGGAATTGCCCTAAAACTTAATGATTTTAATTGAACAATCTGTTAAGAAACAAAGCAAAACAAACACCCAAAGGCAAGTAAGACTAAGCAAAGCAACACACAAAATAGTATGAAAATGTATTCCATGAGATATAAACCCAGTGAGACAAACGTTAATAATTGATGAATCTAGGTGAAGAGTAGAAATTTATTAATTGCACTGTTTTTGTAACTTTTCTATAGATTTTTAGTTGGGGAAATTTAGTTAAATTATTTGTTAGACAGAAGCTAATGTAGAAATGGTCTACAAATAAAGATATTAGATACTGCCACAATTTAAGACTATACAGTTGTTTGGTGAGTAATAACCAATATGCCCATTTGTTTTAAGAGATGTCAGGCTCATAATAAACAGACCACAGAGAAGACAGAGTGAGAAACATTTATGTAAACAGGGGCATTATTTAGAAATCTATATATAGAAAAATAGTTGTGCTAATCAGCCCCACATTCTTGTTTCTTCCCTCTTAGAGCACAGATAAAAGGGGTGTTCCATTACAAAAAAAAATGCATTCCCACTAAGTAAAATAAACTAGGAATTTAGGTGAAAGCGAAGACTTCTTTAGAGGAAGCTGATAGCTGGGGGAAAATTTTGTTTTAAGTTTGGCATTATGTCTTCTGCCTTCCAACTGGCTTTCTATAAACCTGATTTACACAGAGTTCTCAGAAAGAATTGCTCAGAGAAGAACTTGAATGAAATACCTATTAGGAAAGCCAAGTGATTCGTAACATCATAAAGGTAATTCATATCTCATAGGCAATCAAAGGTGTAAGTGAATCAAGAGAAAAAGCATAAAGTTGAGCAGCTGTCTAGAAAGTTTTGAGTCACAGAAACAGACAAAAATATAGAATCACTGATATGGTTTGGCTGTGTGTCCCCACCCAAACTCATCTTAAATTGTAATCGCCACAATCCCCACATGTCAAGGTAGAGACCTGGTGGGAGGTGACTGGATCACCGGGACAGTTTCCCTCCTGCTGTTCTTGTGATAGTGAGTGACTTCTCATGAGATCTAATGTTTTTATAAGTGTTTGACAGTTCCTCCTTCCCACTTGCTCTCCCTTGCCTGTTACCATGTAAGATATGCCTGCTTCCCCTTCTGCCATGATTGTAAGTTTCCTGAGGCCTCCCCAGCCATATGGAACTGTGAGTCAATTAAATCTCTTTCCTTTATAAATTACCCAGTCTCAGGAAAGTTCTTTATAGCAGTGTCAGAACAAACTAATACAGTCAGGCTCCCTTCAAGTATAAAGTCCATTTAGATAGAAAGTATTCAGCATTAAAGAGTTTAAGAAATGCAGAATCAGTGATCCCACCCATGGAAAGGAACCATTAGAAAATAACACATCAACAACAAATTATGAATTAGAAAATGAAAAATTTGAATCAGTGAATCTGCATTATTTTGTAACGGTGTAAGCATGTCATTATACATTTGACAATACCCATAGCCTGTACAAAGCAAAGAGTGAACACTAATGTGAACTTCTATTGATAGTATTTCAATATTGACTCATAAATTATAACAAAGGTACCACATTCATTTCTTCTAATATAGAAGTAACTGGTAAATGGGTTTGCAACTGAAAGGGCATATGAGAACTCCACACTTTCCACTCAATTTGGTTGGTAGAGATATTAATCCTAAAGGTGCTTCTGGTGAGGTCTCAGAAAGAGATGAAGAACATGTTACTGGTCAATGGAGGAAAGATGACCCTGGTCATAAAGTGCCGAGAACTTGACTGAATTACATTCTGCCGTTGGGAGGAAAGTAGAATTTGTTAGCAAAGAACCGATATTTCCAAGCACAGTGTGGAACAAACTCTCTGGTTTCTCCTTCTTGCTTATACTAGCTTAATATGAGAGAAAATAGATAAAATGAGGAATAAATCATTAAGCAAAAAGAAACCAACACTTGAGGATTTGGAAAATTCTCTGCTTATCCAGGCAGCAGCAAAAGATGAGAAAAATAGATGCTCTGAAGAGAACATTAAAGCTATGGCTGGACAACCATTATTTAAGATTAGTAAAGAGATTAGACATGTGATTTATGGATTTAATCAAACATCTAACGAGAAACCAAGAATAAAAGTTGGGCTATTCGGGAAGGATCTGTGGAGAACTTTTATGTCTGGTGGCTTAGAATCCCATGAATTTCATGGAAGACTGATAAGGGTTATGATAATTTTATACCAGCAGACACCATAAGCTGGGACTGATAGGATTGGAGATAAAAAGAAATAAGGGAAAAATGATACTGAGGGAAGAGCCATAGTTGCAGAGGCCAGAAAGGACAGAGCAGTGGGCCCAGAGTCTGGGCAGCTCAATGGGGACTCCAGAGCTAAGAGATGGGGTCACTGCCTTGTAGGACCCAGGGAATGAAGCATCAGGTCACAGAGAATTAGTATGTGGCCTTAAAGCCTAATCGAATTTGCCTGGCTAGGTTTTGGGGTTGCTTGGGACCCAAGACCCATTTTATGTTTCCAATTTCTCCCTTTTGGAACGTGAGTGCTATCTTATTTCTGTCTTATCACACTGTAAAGTTTTTTTTTTTTTAAGTTTAGTCACACAAAGTATGTTACTGGAGTAAAACACAATAAAATTAGAAATCAAACATGGCAGAAAAAATAAAAAATCAGAAATATGTGGGAATTAAAAATGTACCACTAGATAATTAATGGGTCAAAGAAGAAATCATGACAGCAATGATAAATAATTTGATTTAGTGGAAAATGAAAACAAAACATAATAAATTGAATAGAATACAGCTAAATCAGTGCTCAGAGGAAAATTTATAGCTGCAATATGCTTATATTAAAAATAGAAAGGTCTCAAATAATGACCAAATCTTCCACCTCAAGAAATTAGAAAGAACGTTAAGAACAAACAAAACCCAAAAGAAAAGACATTTTAAAGATTAGAGAAAAAAATAAATAAAACGGAGAATAGAAAAATGACAGAGAATATCAACAATGAAAATTGTGTTTTTTAAAATAATTGATAACATTATTCAACATTTTAGCTCCTTACAAGATTGTACAAGCTATGCCATCAATGATTCCTGGTGCCTTCAATTTGTTAAATAGGTAAAAATGCACATACATTGAAGTATTGTGAGGATAAAATTAAATGGCAAGTGCTTAGTAAATATCCCCATGCCAGGTCCTTGGCATTTGAATGAAGTTCTGACTTTGTACATTTGAATATAGTTATGCATAGATGTATTTAAATGTGTGTATAAAGTACCTATTTTTTCTGTAGTTTATATTTTGTAACTCTTAATACTTTTGATATCTGCTGCTTAAAATTTTACTACAAATTTAGATATGATTCTGAATTCTATTTAAATCTTAAAGTTTAGATATTAAAGACAATATTTATATATTTTGATTGTCTTTGGCTTCTTACCTTTTGGTCATTTATTGAGATAATTTTATATTTCAATTAAAATTAAGAAAGACAATTTAATCATCATTTTATACTTTATTAAGTAATCATGGGTTGATTTATTTTATCATCACAATTTAGTTGAGGATAAAAATGTATACATCCCTCTCAAATAAATAACAATTTAAGGTTAATTATTTGATGCCAGTAATAGTTTTAAGCTGAATAAAATTAGTTTACTGACAAAAATTTATAATATTACAATTTTAATCCATTAAGTAATCTTAGTTTATATCTGAAAAGGTTAACAATTCTGAAGTCTAAAAATATCAATTTTAAAATATTAAGAATCATTTTACCTTGAATTTTTTAAAGTAATATTTATTAGTCCACAGTGAATCCTTTGAGAAGTAAGTGAAGCAGATTTATTTCCCTAGAGACAGTGGATCACACAGTGTTAGAGCAAACAAACACACAAAAAAACTGACAGTGTATTTACATTTGCCTCAGGGGAGCTGGTACTTCCAAATTTTATGACAAAGTCTAATACTTTGAGGGAAATTTGATCTTTCTGACAGTACTACCAAGTTATCATCCCAAAAGTGAAAGAGTTTTGTCACATTTAGAAAGTCAAGGCAATTTATTATTAGGAGATAAGGAAACATGACTCTATTTTTGCACAATATTTAGTGCAATGTCTTTAACTCTAGAATTTTAAAGGCATTCAATTTGGACAATATTGTCCCATATTAAACAGTTTAACTTTTTCAGTTGTGCTATTTAGTTATTATTATCTGGCTTTTTTCCATGGTTGAGAGAAGAACAGAAAAAGGAAGGGAGAGAGAGAGAGAGAGGGAGAGAGATCATTCATAATCACTTCAAATAATGGCAAAACCATTTATATGTATAGGATATTTATCAATTAGAAAAAAAGTAACATCTAGCATTTTTTATTTATTCTTAGGCTATAAAATGTATAAATAAAATAATACTTATTTTGAATAGCATATTATCAAATATCAAAACTAAATGTAATTTCTGAAATGAAAAATTTTTTAAATACACAGCCACTGATACACACACACACTTTATTAGGTGCTGATTATTTTATGAGTTCCTTGTTTGTCTGCTTTCAGTATGCTGGAGAGTAAGATAAGATTTTGTGGTTGAACGTCTTATGGAAAAATTGAATTTCAAAGGTAAGTCACAGGTTTTTCTAAATCCAAGATATGTGGGGGTTGGGACAGTGACTGAAGCCATGTTTCATGGGATTGTAAAACAAAATACAGAGCTGTGTAGAGCTTAAAGATGTGACAAATCAAGGCTGCAATACATGGCTCAAAATAAAATTAATATTGGAATCTGGAATTATACACAGAATATATTGAAATAAGGCAATCTATATGTGACACCAGACTAAATGAATCTCTTGAAAAAATTGTTGTCTGGAAAAAACAGAGTTTCACTAATGGAAAGGATTATATCACCAATAAGTTCCTTAAAAAAATTAGATGCTTCTTGCAGAAAACTTAATGATTATATGTCATAGCGTTTGCCAAGGAAGGAAGTGTAGAACACTGTCAAACATTTTATCCTTAGATGACTTTACTCAGATGATTTGCCCTTTTATTTATTTATTTATTTATTTATTTTTACTTAGGTTTTATTGAAGCATGATTTTAATGTAATCTTATTAATCAGTTTTAAACAAATAGTTTGGTACATTTTTTAAATGTTTGCTATTATTTAATCACTACCACAATTATGATATAGAACATTTTCATCACTCAAATAGTTTCCTCATGCTCCTTTGCAGTCAGTCTCTTCCCCATATCCTCTGGCTATTAGCAATCAATAAACTGCTTCCTAACACTACATTAAATAAAATTGTATAATTTGTAATCTTTGGGGACTGGCTTTATATATCTCTGAGAATTATCTATGCTAATGTATATATCAGAAGTAAGTTCATTTTTAATACTGATTTACATTCCATTATATGCATATACAATTTATCAAATTTTTAGATAGAACAAAGAAAGTTGCTATAAATGTCTGAGGTCTTGCCTTGGGGGTGCACATGTTTTAACTTATTTTGGTAGTTACATTGAAGTGAAATTGTTGATTCCATAATAATCATAGGTTTAACTTTCTAGTGGCTAGCCCGTTTGTCATTGCAATGCAGGGAAGTTCCTCACCAGTGTTTGGTAATGGCCATTCTTTTTAAATTCAATCATTTTGGTAGGGGTGTAAAGTCATCTTATTATGGTTTTAATTTGCATTTCCTAATAACTAATAACCCTGAGAACCTTGCTTTGTGCTTAATTATCATCCAAATATTTTGTTTGATGAAGTGCATCTTCAAATATTTTGGCAACTTTTATCAAATTATTTTTATTAATAAATTGTAAGAAGTCTTTATATATTCTGGATACAAATCCTTTATCAGATATATGATTTTTCATATCTTCTTTCAGTTTTTCACTATTTAGTATAATGCTAGCTATAGTTACTTTGTAGTATCCCTTTATCAGGATGAGAAGTTTGCTTTCTACTCCTAGTTTGCTGAGATGTTTATCATAAATCATTGTAGAGTTTCATTAAATTCATGAGATTGTAGTAATATTAAAAAATTGGTTACAGGCAAGGAATAATGCCCTTATCACCTTACAAATGATAGTACTGCATAACCAAATAGTAGATAAGGGAAAGCATGTCTTTATAAAATTATTCCAATCAATAAATTAAAATAAATGACATAATTAGAATATCACAATTCTGCAAGCCCTAATGAATAAGAAAAATAAAATATTTTATTTTTTACTTCATTTGTTCTTTCTCTAACACTTCCTTTGTTTATATACATCAGAGTTTCTGACCTGTATCTTTTTCCTTCTCTCTGAAGACCTTATTTTGACATTTCTTGCAAGGCAGGTCTCTTGGTGATAAATTCCCTCTCAATTTTTAGTTTTCTGAAAGAGTCTACTTCTTCACTTTTGAAGGATAATTTCACTGCTTAATGAAGTCTAGGTTGGTGATTTTTGTTTTCTTTCAACATTTTATATATTTTACTTCACTCTCGTCTTGCTTGCACAGTTTCAGAGGAACAGTGTGGTGTAATTCATATCCATGTTCTTCTGTGGGATTTTTTTTCTTCATTTGTTTTGTTCGTATTCCCCCTTATGCCCCCTTAAAATTTTAACTCACAAACTACTCCATACTGACCCTCTAGCAATCCATCAATTACAGATTAAAGTGCTTCTACCAACAGTGTTTCCAGCTGCAGGCTTCTGCTCCTGGACTTTTTTACCTGGACTTCTTTACCCACAAACTGTGAGTCTCTGTATCTCTCTGTCCATCTCTCACCATTTTCAGGGCAAAAGTTTTTTTTCTATTACTCATTTATTTGTTGAATCTAAATGTTGTTGATATTCAGTTAGTCCAGCTTTGTTCTTGTTGTGAAGATTAGAGTGAGAATCTCCAATGTCTTTACATGTCAGATCAGAAACATACACAAAACTCAAAACAATAAAACTTCTAGAATAAAACAAGGGATTAAATACAGGTGATTATGAGTTTCCCAGTAAAGTGTTACATACAACATCAAAAACATGATTCATGAGAAAAACAAATTTTATATTAAACTATATTAAAAGCAAAAATTTCTGCTCTATGAAAGACACTATTAAGAAAATGAAAACACAGACCACTGACTGGAAGCACATATTTATATAAGACAAACCTGATAAAGGAGTTGTATCTGGAATATACAAATAAGTCTTAAGACTCCACAATAAGAAAACAAATAATCCAATTAGAAAATAGACAAAAGATCTGAACAGATACTTCAGCAAAGATACATGGATGCCAAATAAGCATATGCAAATATGCTCATCATAAGCCATTAGGGAATTGTAGATTAAGACAACAAAATACCATTACATATCTGTTAGAGTGGCTAAAATCCAAAACCATAACAATATCAGATTGTGAGGAGTTAAAGCAAAAGTACTTTAATTCATTGCTGATGGAAATTTAAAATAGTATAGCCACTTTGAAAGATGGTTTGGAAGTTTCTTACAAAGCTACATACAGTCTTACCTTATAATATGACAACTGAAATCCAATTTACCAAAAGTAGTTGAAAACATATCACCAAAGCATGCACATAAATGTTTATAGCAGTTTTATTCATAATTCTCCAAACTGGAAACAACCAAGATATTCCTCAATAAATATATTAACAAATGAAATGTGTTATATTCATACAATGGAATACTTTTCAGCAATACAAAGAAATGGCTATCAAGCTATGAAAAGACATGGAGACATCTTAAATGTATGTTACTAAGTTAAATCAAGCAATCTTAAAGACTACACTGTATGATTCCAATTATATGACATTCCGGAAAAGGCAAAACTAAAGGCAGTGGAAAGATTAGTTTTTGCCAGGGGTTGATGGGAGGGAAGGAAGGCTAAGAAGATGGAGCACAGAGGATTTTTAGGGCAGTGAAACCACTCTGTATGAAAATGTAATGGTGGATACATGACATGAGGCAATTGACAAAACCAATATAATTTTTTAACACAGAGAATGAACTTTAATGTAAACTATGAGCTTCAGTTATGAATAGTGTGCCAATATCAACTGCAATAAATGTACTATGCTAATTCAAAATATTAATAATAAATTAAACATAGTGGGAGTCGCATATGTGAGATCTCTTGAGTTCAATTTCTCCATAAATCTAAAACTGCTCTAAGAAATAAAGTATATTAATTACATGAAAAAAAGAAGTCCTGAGACTACCTATATTGAGGACACACTTCCCATCATGTTGCTTTATCTTGGATCTATTGACCAGAGAGGCGTACCATGGAAAGGTTTTAGGGTATGGAGAAACTCCTCAATCTGTGTGAAAACTTTCTATCCTTGTAATTTACAGTTTGTATGAAATTCTTGTTATAGACGTTGATCTGAAAGCTTTAAAACCCACATTGAAGTGTTAATGTTAATCCTGAAGTCTACTGCTATTTTCTTAAATCTTAATAAATATTTCTTAAGCAACTTAACTCAGGTAAAACATTTTTCACAGATAATTCTTTTTTCCAAGTCTTGACACTGTAATTTAGTTACGGAAAATTTCCTAAAACATTAAGTAACCAATATATTAAAAACTTTTATCCAAAATTGTATGTGCTCATTCATTTAGCTTTGTTGCTTTCTTTTTAAACACAATTGTCAGTTTACATGGCACTTTTGGCTTCTCCAGTACACAGATTTTTGTTGTTATTTTTCAGAGTTCAGAAAGAATGACCTGTCCCATGTGATTTTTGGGATACGATATATTTCTATCTAAATCTTAGTGTCCATGTCTTGAAGAACCCTGGCAGCAGCAGCATTTTGATTAAACTAATAACTTAAGTTTCATGCCAGTTGGATGCACAAAAGTCTTGACTTCCATTTGCTGTGACTGCACTGCAATGAAGACAGATAGTTCAAACTATTTTGATTAAAAGTTCTGATCACAGTTGCATAATGGTTTGGCCACTCTGAATATGAAATAAGCTAAATGAATTATAGCACATGAACTTAATCAACTTCATCTTGTTTATATCCAGGCTCCTCTCCAACTCATCAAGGTCATTTTGAATTTTAATACAGCTTTTAAATGTGCTAATTGTCCTACCAAATTGGTGTCATCAGCAAATTTACTAAAGATACACTCTGGTTCATCACCCCAATCATTAATTTTTAAAATGTTTAATAGTAGCATACTAAGTATGACCCCAACAAAAATATAGTTAGCACTTAAAATTTCAAAAGACGGTACTTTATCATCAGTTGCCTGACAACTTGATATTTTCCATAGGTTAAAAAATAGATTTGTTTCTTTTATTAAAGTACAAAGTTATGTTTATCTATGTGTAAATGCTAGTGTCAGGCATTTTGATCTTAGAACTAGAAAGTAGGGAATACGTCTGTTATTCCTTGCTGATATTTTGATACACTATCACTTTTATTTGATTTGCCTGCAATTAAAATATCCCACCTATCATCCTTTCTTCTCTCTGTCTTATGTGACCTCACTTTTACAGCAACCAATACTTGAAATATTTAGGGCCTGTACTTCACCACTGTGCCTGGTTCAATCACCTTAACATCCCATTACCCTGACTTTCCAAAGCCCTATATAGATTTTTACTGCATTCTTCCTCAGGCAAAAACACATGCTTATACCTCAGAACTTGTCACAATAATATGATAACATTTCAAAAATGTGGAACAATCATCCTCGGTTGTTGTTCTACCTTTATTTTAATATCCCTCTTTAATAATAATTTTACCTAATTTCAACACAGAATTCATCAGCCCTATCACCTTTCAAGATTCACATTTTCCTTCATCCTCTGTTTCTTCTTTGCTCAGGCTAGAAAATCTATGGAATGGTATTATCATTCTCTAGCAAACCCAGCTTCATGCTCTTTGGCCTCTTGCCTATGTGCTTGACTAATTTATATTAATTTCCTAGGGCTGCCATAAAACTTACTACAAACTAGGAGGCTTAAAGCAACAAAGATATATCCTCTCACATTTCTGGATAATTCAAGTCTGAAATCAAGGTGTTGGCAGAGTCATGTTCTCTCTGAGGGCTCTAGGGAAGAATCTTCCCTTGCCTCTTCCTCGTTTCTTTTGATTGATGGCAATCCTTAGCATTTCTTGAATTCACTACAATTCTGCCTCACTACAATTTCTGTACTTATCTTCACAAGACCTTATTCCCTCGAGGTGGGTCTTTCTATCCAAATCTCCCTCTCCTTATAAGAATACTAGTCATTATATTTAGAGCCCACCCTAATCCACATACATTTATCTTAATTTACAACCTATGCAAGGATTCTACTTCAAAATGAAGTCACATTCTGAGGTTCTGGGTGGACATAAATTTTGAGGGGATATTATTCACACAGTACTTTGACAAGCTCCAATCCTTGTTAGACTCACAAAATTTCTATTGGATTTTTCAAATTGGATTTCATAATATATCTGCAGAAAATAACATATGTGAACTTGCCACTTAGAAATCATGACAACAAATCAATAATACCTCTTACTATCCAAAATTCTTCCTATTCCTTAGAAATGAAAGTCCACCTTCTTAGAGGGTTATTTTACATTTTCTTTAATTATCTAAAATGTACATTTTAAGAAAGGAGATGACAACTCATGTAACTAGCCACTGCCAGTTTACTGTAACCAGGACTGATATTCGGGGTCAATATTTATCCCATTGCCTTCCACTTACAGGAGAACTAGACCCCTAAAACAGAACAGTTCCCTGTTTTTTCTCAGTGTATTATTTTTCTATTTTCACTTTTCTTCTTTTCTTTTTTCTTTCTTTTATTATTATTATTATTATTATTATTATTATTATTATTATTATTATTACTACTATTATTATTTGAGATGGAGACTCACTCTGTTACCCATGCTGGAGTGCAGTGGTGCAATCTCGGCTCACTGCAACCACCACCTGTGGGGTTCAAGCAATTCTCCTGCCTCAGCCTCCTGAGTAGCTGGGATTACAGGCGTCCGCCACTATGCTCAGCTAATTTTTTATATTTTTAGTAGAGATGGGGTTTCACCATGTTGGCCAGGTTGGTCTCGAACTTCTGACCTTGTGATTTGCCCACCTTGGCCTCCCAAAGTGCTGGGATTACAGGCATGAGCCACCACGTCTGGCCTATTTTTCACTATTTCCATTACTATGCAACTACTGACTCATGTTCCGGTTGTTAGAAAACAACCTCCACTTATTCTATAATCATTTCTATTTCATCCTGCTATATCTGGGAATACTATAGCCAATACTTCACTAAAATTATTTTAATTCTTTTTAATAACTCTATTTTGCCAAATTCTTAAGTCTGCTGTCTGTTTTTGCCTTATGAGAAATCTTCTCACTATTCACCCCAGCTGACCACATTTTATATTTCTTAATATTTTTCGTTAGTTGCATGACAACAGTACTCTCCAGACCCCTTCTGTATTGCTGGCTGTACATTTTCAGTCATCAGGAGAAGCAAATTTAATTTGCCTCTTCCTAATTTAACTAACTGCTCAACGCTAGAGTGCTTTAGAGCAACCATTTCAGAGTTCTTTTCCGTATACTTCTAATTTCTAAATAAATAGACACCTAAAGGATGATTTCATCCCACAGCCTCGAGGTCTCTGATAGCTATATCTATATCTATATCTATATATATCTATATATATCTATATCTATATCTATATATATCTATATCTATATCTATATCTATATATATCTATATATATCTATATCTATATATCTATCTATCTATATATATCTATATATATCTATATCTCTATCTATATCTCTATCTCTATCTATAGATCTATATATATCTATATATATCTATATAGATATATAGACATATAGATATAGAGATATAGATATATATAGATATAGATATATATAGATAAATATAGATATATATAGACATAGATATATATAGATAGATATATATCTAGATATATATAGATATAGACATAGATATATATAGAGATATATATAGATATTGATATAGATATATAGATATAGATATAGATATAGATATATAGATATAGATATAGATATATAGATATATAGATATAGATATATATAGATATAGATAGATATAGATATATATAGATATAGATAGATATAGATATAGATATAGATATATAGATATATAGATATAGATATAGATATAGATATATAGATATATAGATATAGATATATAGATATATATAGATATATATAGATATATAGATATATATAGATATATATAGATATATATATAGATATATATAGATATATATAGATATATATAGATATATATAGATATATATATAGATATATATAGATATATATAGAGATATATACAGATATATATAGATATATATACAGATATATATAGATATATAGATATAGATATATATATAGATATATAGATATAGATATAGATATGTATATATAGATACATGGATATAGATATAGATATGTATATATAGATATATATCTAGCCTTAGTTTCTATCCAGTTCAGAGCATTTAGGTGCTCAGAACAGAAACCTACATCACATTCTGTTCTGGTCTAACCTCTGGTCCAATACACTTACTTTAGATGTTGAAACAAAACAAAACCAAACAAACAAAACAAAACAAAACAAAACAAAACAAAACATGTAGACAATCAGAGCAGATAAATAGTAGGGGCCAAGTATGTTATGCCTAGGGAGAACATGGTGGGTAGAGGCAGCATAAAGTGTGAAGGTGTATACAGACCAAAGGGTAAATTATATTCAAGAGAAATAGAAAGATTCATGTACTAAGTTCAAGGAAAGAATAGCAGGATATAAGGAGGGAGACTGTGAATGAGTCCAGAACATGTACAACATTCTAAATGTTAAAGAATAAGACATTTATGCAGCCAACAAACATATGGAAAAAAGCTCATCATCACTGGTCATTAGAGAAATGCAAATCAAAACCACAGTGAGATATTATCTAACGCCAGTTAGAATGGCAGTCATTAAAAAGTCAGGAAACAACAGATGCTGGAGAAGACATGGAGAAATAGGAACACTTTTACACTGTTGGTGGGAGTGTAAATTACTTCAGCCATTGTGGAAGACAGTGTGGTGATTCCTCAAGGACCTAGAACTAGAAATACTTTTACACTGTTGGTGGGAGTGTAAATTACTTCAGCCATTGTGGAAGACCATGTGGTGACTCCTCAAGGACCTAGAACTAGAAATACCATTTGACCCAGCAATCCCATTACTGGGTATATACACAAAGGATTATAAATCATGCTACTATAAAGATACATGCACATGTATGTTTATTGTGGTACTGTTCACAATAGCAAAGACTTAGAACCAACCCAAATGTCCATCACTGATCGACTGGATAAAGATAATCTGGCACATATACACTATGGAATACTATGCAGTCATAAAAAAGATCAGTTCATGTCCTTTGCAGGGACATGGATGAAGCTGGAAACCATCATTCTCAGCAAACTAACACAAGAACCGAAAACCAGGAGGGAGGAGCCAAGATGGCCGAATAGGAACAGCTCCAGTCTACAGCTCCCAGCGTGAGCGACGCAGAAGACGGGTGATTTCTGCATTTCCATCTGAGGTACCGGGTTCATCTCACTAGGGAGTGCCAGACAGTGGGCGCGGGTCAGTAGGTGCGCGCACCATGCACAAGACAAAGCAGGGTGAGGCATTGCCTCACTTGGGAAGCACAAGGGGTCAGGGAGTTCCCTTTCCGAGTCAAAGAAAGGGGTGACGGACGCACCTGGAAAATCGGGTCACTCCCACCCGAATATTGCGCTTTTCGGACCGGCTTAAAAAACTGCGCACCACGAGATTATATCCCGCACCTGGCTCGGAGGGTCCTACGCCCAAGGAGTCTGGCTGATTGCTAGCACAGGAGTCTGAGATCAAACTGCAAGGCGGCAGTGAGGCTGGGGGAGGGGCGCCCGCCATTGCCCAGGCTGGCTTAGGTAAAGCAGCAGGGAAGCTCGAACTGGGTGGAGCCCACCACAGCTCAAGGAGGCCTGCCTGCCTCTGTAGGCTCCACCTCTGGGGGCAGGGCACAGACAAACAAAAAGACAGCAGTAACCTCTGCAGACTTAAATGTCCCTGTCTGACAGCTTTGAAGAGAGCAGTGGTTCTCCCAGCACGCAGCTGGAGATCTGAGAACGGGCAGACTGCCTCCTCAAGTGGGTCCCTGACCCCTGACCCCCGAGCAGCCTAACTGGGAGGCACCCCCCAGCAGGGGCACACTGACACCTCACACGGCAGGGTATTCCAACAGAACTGCAGCTGAGGGTCCTGTCTGTTAGAAGGAAAACTAACAAACAGAAAGGACATCCACACCAAAAACCCATCCGAACATCACCATCATCAAAGACCAAAAGTAGATAAAACCACAAAGATGGGGAAAAAACAGAAAAGAAAAACTGGAGACTCTAAAACGCAGAGCGCCTCTCCTCCTCCAAAGGAACGTAGTTCCTCACCAGCAACGGAACAAAGCTGGATGGAGAATGACTTTGACGAGCTGAGAGAAGAAGGCTTCAGACGATCAAATTACTCTGAGCTATGGGAGGACATTCAAACCAAAGGCAAAGAAGTTGAAAACTTTGAAAAAAATTTAGAAGAATGTATAACTAGAATAACCAATACAGAGAAGTGCTTAAAGGAGCTGATGGAGCTGAAAACCAAGGCTCGAGAACTACGTGAAGAATGCAGAAGCCTCAGGAGCCGATGCGATCAACTGGAAGAAAGGGTATCAGCAATGGAAGATGAAATAAATGAAATGAAGCGAGAAGGGAAGTTTAGAGAAAAAAGAACAAAAAGAAATGAGCAAAGCCTCCAAGAAATATGGGACTATGTGAAAAGACCAAATCTACGTCTGATTGGTGTACCTGAAACTGATGGGGAGAATGGAACCAAGTTGGAAAACACTCTGCAGGATATTATCCACGAGAACTTCCCCAATCTAGCAAGGCAGGCCAACGTTCAGATTCAGGAAATACAGAGAACGCCACAGAGATACTCCTCGAGAAGAGCAACTCCAAGACACATAATTGTCAGATTCACCAAAGTAGAAATGAAGGAAAAAATGTTAAGGGCAGCAAGAGAGAAAGGTCGGGTTACCCTCAAAGGGAAGCCCATCAGACTAACAGTGGATCTCTCAGCAGAAACTCTACAAGCCAGAAGAGAGTGGGGGCCAATATTCAACATTCTTAAAGAAAAGAATTTTCAACCCAGAATTTCATATCCAGCCAAACTAAGCTTCATAAGTGAAGGAGAAATAAAATACTTTACAGACAAGCAAATGCTGAGAGATTCTGTCACCACCAGGCCTGCCCTAAAAGAGCTCCTGAAGGAAGCGCTAAACATGGAAAGGAACAACGGTACCAGCCGCTGCAAAATCATGCCAAAATATAAAGACCATCGAGACTAGGAAGAAACTGAATCAACTAAGGGGGAAAATCACCAGCTAACATCATAATGACAGGATCACATTCACACATAACAATATTAACTTTAAATGTAAATGGACTAAATGCTCCAATTAAAAGACACAGACTGGCAAATTGGATAAAGAGTCAAGACCCATCAGTGTGCTGTATTCAGGAAACCCATCTCACGTGCAGAGACACACATAGGCTCAAAATAAAAGGATGGAGGAAGATCTACCAAGGAAATGGAAAACAAAAAAAGGCAGGGGTTGCAATCCTAGTCTCTGATAACACAGACTTTAAACCAACAAAGATCAAAAGAGACAAAGAAGGCCATTACATAATGGTAAAGGGATCAATTCAACAAGAAGAGCTAACTATCCTAAATATATATGCACCCAATACAGGAGCACCCAGATTCATAAAGCAAGTCCTGAGTGACCTACAAAGAGACTTAGACTCCCACACATTAATAATGGGAGACTTTAACACCCCACTGTCAACATTAGACAGATCAACGAGACAGAAAGTCAACAAGGATACCCAGGAATTGAACTCAGCTCTGCATCAAGCGGACCTAATAGACATCTACAGAACTCTCCACCCCAAATCAACAGAATATACATTTTTTTCAGCACCACACCACACCTATTCCAAAATTGACCACATACTTGGAAGTAAAGCTCTTCTCAGCAAATGTAAAAGAACAGAGATTACAACAAACTATCTCTCAGACCACAGTGCAATCAAACTAGAACTCAGGATTAAGAATCTCACTCAAAACCGCTCAACTACATGGAAACTGAACAACCTGCTCCTGAATGACTACTGGATACATAATGAAATGAAGGCAGAAATAAAGATGTTCTTTGAAACCAACGAGAACAAAGACACAACATACCAGAATCTCTGGGACGCATTCAAAGCAGTGTGTAGAGGGAAATTTATAGCACTAAATGCCCACAAGAGAAAGCAGGAAAGATCCAAAATTGACACCCTAACATCACAATTAAAAGAACTAGAAAGGCAAGAGCAAACACATTCAAAAGCTAGCAGAAGGCAAGAAATAACTAAAATCAGAGCAGAACTGAAGGAAATAGAGACACAAAAAACCCTTCAAAAAATTAATGAATCCAGGAGCTGGTTTTTTGAAAGGATCAACCAAATTGATAGACCGCTAGCAAGACTAATAAAGAAAAAAAGAGAGAAGAATCAAATAGACACAATAAAAAATGATAAAGGGGATATCACCACCGATCCCACAGAAATACAAACTACCATCAGAGAATACTACAAACACCTCTACGCAAATAAACTAGAAAATCTAGAAGAAATGGATAAATTCCTCGACACATACACTCTCCCAAGACTAAACCAGGAAGAAGTTGAATCTCTGAATAGACCAATAACAGGAGCTGAAATTGTGGCAATAATCAATAGTTTACCGACCAAAAAGAGTCCAGGACCAGATGGATTCACAGCCGAATTCTACCAGAGGTACAAGGAGGAACTGGTACCATTCCTTCTGAAACTATTCCAATCAATAGAAAAAGAGGGAATCCTCCCTAACTCATTTTATGAGGCCAGCATCATTCTGATACCAAAGCCTGGCAGAGACACAACCAAAAAAGAGAATTTTAGACCAATATCCTTGATGAACATTGACGCAAAAATCCTCAATAAAATACTGGCAAAACGAATCCAGCAGCACATCAAAAAGCTTATCCACCATGATCAAGTGGGCTTCATCCCTGGGATGCAAGGCTGGTTCAATATACGCAAATCAATAAATGTAATCCAGCATATAAACAGAGCCAAAGACAAAAACCACATGATTATCTCAATAGATGCAGAAAAAGCCTTTGACAAAATTCAACAACCCTTCATGCTAAAAACTCTCAATAAATTAGGTATTGATGGAATGTATTTCAAAATAATAAGAGCTATCTATGACAAACCCACAGCCAATATCTTACTGAATGGGCAAAAACTGGAAGCATTCCCTTTGAAAACTGGCACAAGACAGGGATGCCCTCTCTCACCACTCCTATTCAACATAGTGTTGGAAGGTCTGGCCAGGGCAATTAGGCAGGAGAAGGAAATCAAGGGTATTCAATTAGGAAAAGAGGAAGTCAAATTGTCCCTGTTTGCAGACGACATGATTGTATATCTAGAAAACCCCACTGTCTCAGCCCAAAATCTCCTTAAGCTGATAAGCAACTTCAGCAAAGTCTCAGGATACAAAATCAATGTACAAAAGTCACAAGCATTCTTATACACCAACAACAGACAAACAGAGAGCCAAATCATGAGTGAACTCCCATTCACAATTGCTTCAAAGAGAATAAAATACCTGGGAATCCAAGTTACAAGGGATGTGAAGGACCTCTTCAAGGAGAACTACAAACCACTGCTCAAGGAAATCAAAGAGGATACAAACAAATGGAAGAACATTCCATGCTCATGGGTAGGAAGAATCAATATCGTGAAAATGGCCATACTGCCCAAGGTAATTTACAGATTCAATGCCATACCCATAAAGCTACCAATGACTTTCTTCACAGAATTGGAAAAAACTACTTTAAAGTTCATATGGAACCAAAAAAGAGCCCATATCGCCAAGGCAATCCTAAGCCAAAAGAACAAAGCTGGAGGCATCACACTACCTGACTTCAAACTATACTACAAGGCTACAGTAACCAAAACAGCATGGTACTGGTACCAAAACAGAGATATAGATCAATGGAACAGAACAGAGCCCTCAGAAATAACGCCGCATATCTACAACTATCTCATCTTTGACAAACCTGAGAAAAACAAGCAATGGGGAAAGGATTCCCTATTTAATAAATGGTGCTGGGAAAACCGGTTAGCCATATGTAGAAAGCTGAAACTGGATCCCTTCCTTACACCTTATACAAAAATCAATTCAAGATGGATTAAAGACTTAAACGTTAGACCTAAAACCATAAAAACTCTAGAAGAAAACCTAGGCATTACCATTCAGGACATAGGCATGGGCAAGGACTTCATGTCCAAAACACCAAAAGCAATGGCAACAAAAGAAAATTGACAAATGGGATCTAATTAAACTAAAGAGCTTCTGCACAGCAAAAGAAACTACCACTGGAGTGAACAGGCAACCTACAAAATGGGAGAAAATTTTCACAACCTACTCATCTGACAAAGGGCTAATATCCAGAATCTACAATGAACTCAAATAAATGTACAAGAAAAAAACAAACAACCGCATCAAAAAGTGGGCAAAGGACATGAACAGACACTTCTCAAAAGAAGACATTTAAGCAGCCAAAAAACACATGAAAAAATGCTCACCATCACTGGCCATCAGAGAAATGCAAATCAAAACCACAATGAGATACCATCTCACACCAGTTAGAATGGCAATCATTCAAAAGTCAGGAAACAACAGGTGCTGGAGAGGATGTGGAGAAATAGGAACACTTTTACACTGTTGGTGGGACTGTAAACTAGTTCAACCCTTGTGGAAGTCAGTGTGGCGATTCCTCAGGGATCTAGAACTAGAAATACCATTTGACCCAGCCATCCCATTACTGGGTATATACCCAAAGGACTATAAATCATGCTGCTATAAAGACACATGCACACGTATGTTTATTGCAGCATTATTCACCATAGCAAAGACTTGGAACCAACCCAAATGTCCAACAATGATAGACTGGATTAAGAAAATGTGGCACATATACATCATGGAATACTATGCAGCCATAAAAAATGATGAGTTCATGTCCTTTGTAGGGACATGGATGAAACTGGAAATCATCATTCTCAGTAAACTATCGCAAGAACAAAAAACCAAACACCGCATATTCTCACTCATAGGTGGGAATTGAACAATGAGATCACATGGACACAGGAAGGGGAATATCACACTCTGGGGACTGTGGTGGGGTGGGGGCAGGGGGGACGGATAGCATTGGGAGATATACCTAATGCTAGATGACGAGTTAGTGGGTTCAGCGCACCAGCATGGCACATGTATACATATGTAACTAACCTGCACAATGTGCACATGTACCCTAAAACTTAAAGTATAATAAAAAAAAAAAAGAAGAAATGGCAGCCCATGAGAAAACCAAGCAAGCTATTAAGAAAAACTGCCCCGCTTTTACCTCATGCATGTATCAAATAAGTGGACGTAATATCAAAGTAATCATTATTTGTTGAAATGAAATCAATAAATACTTAAACCAGAAAAAAAAAAAAAGAGCAGAAAACCAAACACTGCATGTTCTCACTCATAAGTGGGAGTTGAATAATGAGAACACATGGACACAGGGAGGGGAACCACACACACAGGGGCCTGTCAGGGGGTGGGGGGCTAGGGGAGGGATAGCATTAGGAGAAATACCTAATGTAGATGACGGGTTAATGGGTGCAGCAAACCACCATGGCACGTGTATACCTATGTAACAAACCTGCACATTCTGCACATGTACCTCAGAACTTAAAGTATAATCATAATTAAAAAAAGATAAGATGTCTTTAAAGAAAAATATGATGGTACTTTATTATTACATTGAACTTGAATTAGTTGACATGGTATGTATAATAATAAATAATGATGAAAAACATCCTTGTAAATAATAAGTCACCACTGATGTGTTTTTTTTATATTTAAAGCAATACTAATGCTTTTATTACAAAAAGGGAGACTCTTTTTTTGGTAAGTAATTAATAATCATAATTTTAGTGGACAAATGTAAAAGTTGTGAATAATGAAGAAAAGTAATGAAGAGTCTTCGGGACTTGTGTGTAAAGGGCAACAACAAAGCATTAGATACATAAATTAAAAATGCATTTGTAATTGATTAATAAAATTTTGTAAAAATAAAGAAATTTTAACGCAGCATTTTAACAGTGTGAAAAATTATTAAAATCTTAGTGAACATTAGAAATATTATAAGAAATAAATCTTAGCAAAATAACATTTTAATAATGTAACATTCTCAACGTTCTTAAAGACCACAACATTTTGACCCAAAACTAACAGCATACAAAAAATTAAGAAATAATTTTGAAAAATTGAAATTAAGAAATAATATAAGAAATTGAGAGGATATAAAATCTGTGGAACTAATCATGTGACCTTATAATATGGTTTCAGTCTCAACTAAGAATATTTTGTCTAAACTTGTGATTCACTAGGAAGACACTCCAGATGAGAATCTGTTGATAAGGTCTGCCATTTAAATGTTCTAAAATTCCTTTCAGATAACCTCAAAATATATGCATGTATACAAACACACACACACACAGAGTTGTATAGCTATGTAATATGATATAAATATATATGTTTAAAATACCTATAAAAATCTTTTATCATAACAACATGCATTATTGAAAGTATAAAAGAACACTAAACATGTCTCAACATGCACAGGCAGTTATTTTTTTCCCTAAATAATTTGTGTATTGCTTAGTAAAATATAATTTTTCAGCTTTTTACTGCATACCGTATAAATAAGTTATATGTGTTCGGTGAAGCAGTTTAACTGATTCCCATAATAGAGTAATAAATACTTATTCTTAAAAGACAAACGTAAAAGTTTCAAAAATGTCTCTTTATTGCTGCTTAGTCATGAAAAGGGTTAATAACTTAAAATATTCTGGAAATGTATTTCCTTTTTAAGAAATACAACATATTTTTCAGAGAGCTACATAATTATAGATATAGTATTAATAAAACACAAACACATGTCAATAAATTTGCTAATAAATTTTAAAATCCACACATCTAAAAATAGAAGGTATTAAAACTGACTCAAGAAGAAATAATCTATTTCTATACATTTAATTAGCGACATTGAATCAGTTGTTAAAAGCTTTCTCCCATCCAAGAAAAGAGAAAAAAAATACAAATGAAACACATACAAAAAGTAAACCTGATGATTTTACAGGTATACTCTTTGAAATCTTCAAGGAAGAGATAAATAAAATCTTATGAAAACTTTTTCCCATAAGAGAACAAAATACCTGTTTTAATAACGGGGGGGATATTAACAGCCATGGACCATATCTAATGCTAACCATGATGGATGAGAAGATGGAGCAATTGTCAGAATCCAGAGACAGAGATAATATGGAGGGAGCTATCTCTCTTTTGATTGTTTAAGGTCAATTGAATGTCCACTCTACAACCAAATTGCTCTTTGTCATAGTTCATACAGGGCAGTTCTGTTCAGCTCACAGAACATGGTAAAAATAAGATCTAGAAGGGTTCACAAGAGATACATTCTACTACTGAAAAACCTTATTTTGCAAAATTAATTATGCACATACACACAGATATACACTTGGAAAACAGAAACTTATGAATGCTTTTTTAATTGTGTGTGTGCATGTGTATATTCTCATGAGTATATAAGAGGATGTTAACATTCAACAGGTTCTTCTATAGAAATTTATTTCTCTTTGTTTCACTTTTCATTTTGTTGTGCTAAATTATGAAGATTGAAGCTATTCTAGGGAGTGAGCATATCTCCTCATCCTTTCCCTACCATGCAGCTTAGTATGTATTTAAAATATTTCCCCACATCAACTGTGTATTTGAAGTCTGAATTCTCCCCACCCAGTCATTATAAAGAACGAGGAAAAGTTATCTGAGGCTGGAAACCAATGGAATTCCATAGTAAATGACTCACAGTGAAAAATAGTAGTGTCAGAGTTGATGACAGAAAGGAAAACGTCAAGATTACACATGGCTTTTTAGGAATGATTCTTGACTTACTCTGAATATGACAGAAGCCATTGGATGAATCTGATCTGAGGGGTGACCACATCTGACATATTTAAAAATGACCCCTCTGGGAAATAGAAACTAGATTTGTGAGGCAGAACAAATGTGGAAGCAAGGGAATTAGGTGATGATTATGTCAATATTCTAAGAAAGAGATGATAGATAGCTGCTTGAACCAGAGTGTCTGCCAGGGATGTAGTAAACAGTGGTCAGATTTGTTCATGGATAATAAGGAGTTGGGAATATTAAAGCATTTAGTGATGGATATACAGTTGACTCCTGAACAACCCTGGAGTTAGGGGCTGAGACCTTATTATTTTTAAATCCATGTATAACTTTTGATGACCCAAACTTTCAACTACAAATAGCATACTGCTGACCAGAGCCTTACTGATGATAACATAAACAGTTAATAGTTGATTAGCACATATTTTGTATATTATATGTATTATATACTGTATTTTTTTTTTTGAGACAGGGTCTTCCTCTATTGCCCAGGCTGGAGTGCAAATGGAGTGATCACAGCTCACTGAAGCTTCCACATCCCAGGCTCAAGCAATCCTCCTGCCTCAGCCTCCCAAGTAGCTGGGACTACAAACCTGTGCCACCACGCCTGACTAAATTTTGTATTTTTGTATTTTTTGTTTGTTTGTTTTTGTAGAGAAGGGGTCTCCCTATGTTGTCCAGGCTGGTCTTGAACTCCTGGGCTCAAGTGAACCTCCTACGTTGGCCCCTTAAAGTGCTGGGGTTAGAGGCATGAGCCACTGAGCCTAGCCTTATATACTGCATTCTTACAACACAGTACACTAGAGGGAAGAAAAAGTTATTAAGAAAATCATAAGGGGTTCTCCATCAAACAGAGGGACAGAGAAGAGTGCCCTGGCAGATCAGGACAGTCATTGGTAGAGGACTGCACAGAATAGCTGTAGCAATGTGGAGATAACCCTCAATGTGCAGGTGCAGGAGCCCATGAGAGTGAGAGGCTTAGGCAAGGTGGACATCACCCTGCCTACTGGGTGGCACAGATGTTGGGCATGGAAGCAGAAGGCTTGGATTGGTTTCTGTCCTGCCGCACCATCTGGTTTCCTGGGGGGCTGCTGTGACCACAATCTTTGGAGGGGTGGTCCCATACATGCCACAGTACAAGAATGTTGGGAGGACCCAGAATGCTAATGGCTTCTCTACCTATGCATGTCTGGTGCTACTGGTGGCCAATACACTGCTGGTTTAGAAGGCATTTTGTGCTGCCTCTCCCATGGCAGAGCATACTCATGATCTTGACGTTTTTGCTGATGTTGGAACTCTGTACTATGTCGGCCTGGCAAAGGAACCAAATATAAAACTCCAGCCTTTGTAGACTCCCATTCTCAGCACTTCTGGCACTGGGGCAGTTTCATGAGCTATGTGCACTGTGTCCTGGTCCTCACGAAGGTGACAAGCAGCTTCACTTACCTTGTTCATACACTCTGCCTGCGGAAACCCTGGACTTCCTGGCCAAGGCCACTCTGAGCGTGCAGGAGCCCTACCAGCAACGCTGGCCACCCATGCACACAGGGCACGAGAATCAAAATGGTGCTCGTGAGGACAAGCGGCGACACCTTCAAGACAGCCACAGCTTCAAGATGCTCCTTCAGTTCTCCGTCTGTTGCAGGTGCTGGTGGACCTGGCCGTCCTGGGGCAGGTGTAGGCCTTCACCCGCCACCCCTAGAAGGCTGAGCCCGTTGCAGCGCCCCTGGCCAGAGCTAAGGCCCTCAGACGCAGCCAGAGAGGACCAGGAAGTGTGGCACCTGCGCAGGCGCCGGCTGGGACGCTGTGTTTCCCGGATGCCGGAGGGCGGGCACCGCGTCCCCCGGCAGGCTGACAGGGGTTCTGTGGGGAGAGATGAGATGGCGTCCGGTCGTCAAGTTCTGGATCAGGACCCTGTGGAGGTCTCAGGGCGGGCGGTGGGGGCCACTGTGTTCTCCAACGCAAGCACGCGGAGAATGGATTTTCTTCAGGCCCTGAGGGACAGCGGGCCCTCAGGAACCTTCCCTGATCTTGGTGGATCTGGGCCCCAGCTCCCTGGATCCACCGCAGCCGCATCTCTGGCCTCCTGGTGGGTTGAGGGACTGCGGACCCAGAGTGCGGACCCGGAAGCGAGAAGGAGACCTGGCGTCAGGGGTCCCCCATGTCCCTCGATCTCTAAAGCCTTCTGCCTCAGCGCGCCCCTGACTGGACACCCTGGTTGGACTGGCTTGGCCTATGCGCCCCAGCGCGTTAGGCACCCACAGCAGGGCCTGGGTGTTCTCTGCCCCCGGTTAACGTGGAAAGGAGGCCGCAAGGACGCAGTGGTCCCTTTTTCTGGCCAGATTTTCTGGCCAGATTCGGCCTTCAGAGCGGCCACCTCCGGAGACTCGGCCCTGCCACCCTGGCGCCCGCCCGGACGCCTCGCTGCCTTGGGAGACCCTAGTGTAGACACCCCGGTGAAAACGGGCCTGCCCGGGTCCAGGCTGAGCCAGAGTGCGCCCAGGAGTGTTCCAGTCAGAGCCTCCAGTTCTCGAGTCCCAGCGACCCTCGGTCAGACCTGGAAGCCCTCTGGGAGGAGGAGGAGGCCGGGACTGGGCTGCGCGGACACAGCCCCAGCCACCTTCCTACGGAGATGGCGGGTGAGTCTCCCCTTGCCGAAACCCCTTTTACTGAGTTTCGTCCACACCGCCGGACATAGCTTTGCAGTCCATCCTTCAGGACAAAGAGAAGGCGTCGGGTCAGGGGAGGGGATGCCGGCTAGGTGCCCCAAGGATCTGCAGGGCCGCGGCTGCTGGGACGCCTTGTCGCACCCTCTGCTGCCCTGGGATCTGGGCCTGAAGCGCCCTCCAGGGCGGTAGGCGGCAGCGCAGGTGCCCCTGCCGTCCTGTGCCCGCTGCGTACCCGGCAGTCTTGGGTCCCACAGTTCAGAAGAGTCTACGGCTTCTGGCGGCTATGGGAGCAGCTGTTCTGACTTGTCTACCCATATTCTGCCCTCCTTCTCGTTTCCAGTTTAACACGAGGTCATATTCGTTCTTACCAGCCCTGTGTTGCCTCCAGCCGGCCCTCAGGCCCCAGGGTTCTAGGTGCTTCTCTGCGGCTCCCATACGGGTCCTCTTTCCTTCTGGAGGGCGGAGGGGCAGCTTCCGTGTAGAAGTTAACGCTGTCAGCGCCAAAACGCCAGGACTTCAGTGGGAAAATGTTCAAAGTTGTTTGTTCCTCCAGAGTTTTTCTCGGGAAAAAAAAAAAAAAAAAACTCTTGAGTGCTTGAGTGAGGATCTGGCTTAGCTCTTTGACCTGTAAGATGCTTTGAACATCTCAATTTTTATTTCTAATGAAGGGAGGTGTTTGTAGAGGTAATTGCCTGCAAATTAAAATGTCACCAATTTTAGTCACAGTTATGGTGAACGAATGTGCCCCCATGTGGCGAGTTTCAATCTTTGTGGATCCAGGAAAAAAAGAAATCATAAGAATGTGGTAAATATGTGCCTGAATTTTCTGGTTGAAGCTACCAATCTGTCAGTTTCCAGGGTACTTTAAAAGGAAGTCAGTGAGAACTTTGGTAGGGAATAGGGGAGCAAGTACTGTGTCCACGGAATCAACGATATTTAACAGTTGGGAAAATTAACAGGATCCATCAAAGAATTCTGACAAGTATCTACCAGGGTAGTAAGTTAAAAATCTGAAAAGGAAATGTCCCCAAAATCGTCCCCAAAATCAAGGAAAAAGCAGTTTTTCTAGAAGGATAAAGTGATCAGCTGTTTCAAATACTGGCAGCAGGTTATGCTGAGGACTTAGAATTGATCTTTTTTTTTTTTTTTGCGTTATGAATTTTAGGGGTGATTTTGTTAGGAGTTCAAATTCATGAAAACTACTCAGTGCTACCCTTTTATAGATTACATATTCATGCTTACATTGTTTGAGTCAGATTAATAATATAAGTACAATTTTTCTTAAGGAATCCTCCCATTGTTTTCTCTGGGATTGAGAAAACCTAACTTCATATTCACACATTTTTTTAAAAAGAAATGCTTAAGTTTTTTCTTGAACCCTAGCTTGTAACATACTTATTGATACAGACAATAAATAAGTGTTTTATTTAGCTACAAACAAATTAATATTAAAATGTTATTATGTTATATATAAAACATAATTGCATGTGATGTGATTATTCAGTTGAATTTTAGTTGATTCATAACAAAAGTCTTATTTGAAAGAACTGAGAAAATAACAAGAAGATAGATGATAGATAGACCAAAAGTGAGAATTACAGATATTAAATCTTAATACAGTTAATGGGGCTATTATTTAATCCTTAACCCTCATGGTACTTCATGGTATAGAAATTATTTTATAATGATGGTTCAGTGCATTTATAATCATATGTTTATAGAGAATCATTGAAATTAATTAAAACCAAGATCATTTGATGATTTATGTCATTTCTGTTAATATTTTTTATGTAGAAAACTACAGACAGGCTAATTTTGAAAATACATTAAATTTGAATTCTGTATACTAACATTCATTTAGCATAGCACTAAGACTATTTGCTTTTTAAAGTTAATATGTGATGATTACAGATTTATTTTTCCATTAATTTTCAGCTAGGAATACAGAAGATATATTTCGTCCCACATAATCTGCTAACTCTGTAGGAGATTGGTAGGGAAATATGCATGCTACTTACTGTGGCATTTCTGAAAGAACCAGCTTTCATTATTTTCCTAACCAGTCTTCGCCTATCAGCTACCACTTTGGCTATATATATATATGTACAACTGACTTCTTTTACATTTAATTGTACTCATGGGAGTCTATTAGTGACTCTAACTTTAATAAGAAATTTCTAATCCACAGTAGTTGTTTTTTTCTGTTTTGTTTGCTTCGTTAATCATATTCAGTATATATAAGCTAATTAAATAAATAAAATTTCTATACAGTAGTTCTAAAGCTTACTATTGTGAAGGAAGTCATTTTGGATTATATCAATATATACTTTTATACATATATACAGAAACAGATATAAAACCCCTACAACAGAAACCAGTAATGTTTTTTAAACTGAGATATCCAGTTGTACAAATTCTACCTATGTTTATTTTTTCTTTATGATTTATATATATATAGGGAAGTATATTTCATTACCAGCATGATGATGTCAGTGCAATCTAGGAAAAACTAACGTACACACACACACACACACACACACTCACACATATGCACAAGATTGATTTGAAATATTTGTTTTGCCATGGTCTCTTTTATTGACTGGCAAGTTTCTCTATATATATGTACACACACACACACACAAAATCTTGAAGGAATCATGTAGGTCTACAAAATTTGCTTTTCTAAATTAGTAATACATGTTCTGCCAATGCAGATGTTTTCATGATGATAAAATAAAATGTAAAAGACTAAAAATCATTACATTGATATAATTTTGTATGAGGCAATAGTAAATAGTCTCCAAATATGACGTTACAAAATGACATATGTGGTACACAAAAAGTAACATTTTTAAAATCTACATTGATGAAAGGGGAAAAGTGTACTCAGAAATTTGGAAATTTAGTTTTTTATGGTAACTCATAACAGTAAAACATTTTTTTCAAGTCTAAGTTTTTCAAAAATATTTTCAAGAGATAAAAAGAAAAGCTAAAGTTATAAGATATACACACACACACATATGTGTGTGTGTATATATATATATATTCTATTGATTAACCCCAGGAGAGATGGAGACAGACAAGTGATTAGGAATGGCATAATTCAAATTTCCAGTAGAAATTGCACATTGTTCTTTTCTGAGGAGAGGGATTGTGATAATATTAATGAAGAAGAAGAAACTTGGCAAAAGGCCCAAGCTCAATCCAAAAAGAACTAAAATTATGTCACATTATCTCTGGGAGAAATGGTAGGTGATGAGTAGACATAGCTTTCTATGATGCATGAGGGAACTGGCTTTTGGTGAGGAAATTAACAATTATCACATTATTAAATAAACACTAAATCTGAAGCCATAACTACACAATTCTATTGAGGAAGAAAATAATTATGCAAATACTTCTGATTTTAAATTTTTTATATAATAAACATACAACTGAAGAAAATAAAATGATGCATTCAAATGAGCTGTTTTTAATACGGAGAAAATTCAAGCTCATCTAAATAGAAATATTGGTGGGATGAAAAAAGTAAGTATGTTGGAGGCTGAAAACTGTTCTCCATATAGGAGTGAAAGAGAGAAAAAAAATTTCAATTACATATCTGAGATTAAAAGCAAGAATGAGAAATTTTCCAAATTCGATAAATGCATGGGGGCCAGATGCAAGCATACAGAAAACTGCTGGACATAATTCAACACTAGGGAACCACAGATCAAAAGCACACTGAACTACCACCTCACACCTATTAGGACAGCTACTCTTAAAAAAAAAAAAAAAAGTGGGCCAGGCACAGTGGCTCACGCCTGTAATCCCAGCACTTTGGGCGGCTGAGGCGGGCAGATCACAAGGTCAGGAGTTCAAGACCAGCCTGGCCAATATGGTGAAACCCTGTCTCTACTAAAAATACAAAAAAACTAGCCAGGCGTGGTGGTGCACACCTGTTGTCCCAGCTATTCAGGAGGCTGAGGCAGGAGGATCGCTTGAACCCAGGAGGTGGAGGTTGCAATGAGCCAAGATTGCACCACTGCACTCCAGTCTGGGCAATAGAGGGAGACTGTCTCTCAAAAAAAGAAAAAAAAAAGTGCTGATAAGATGTGAAGGAATTGGAAACTTTGTGCACTTTTGCCCGTAATATAAACTGGTACAGGTACTATAAAAACAGTTCTTCAAAACATTAAAAATTGAAGACCAAAATGATGCAGCAATTCTACTTCTGGTTATACATGAAACATAATTGAAAATAAGATCTCAAAGTGATATTTACACACCAGTGTTCACAGCAGCAATATTCACAGTAACCAAGATATAAAATCCACCCGAGATCTATCGATGTATGAATGCATAAAATGTGATATACACATACAATGGAATATTATTCAGCCTTAAAAGACGACATTCTAACACATTTGACAACATAGATGAAACTTGAGGACACTATTCTAAGTGAGGTAAGCCAGTTGCAGAAAGAAAAATAGCTTGTGAGTCCACACATATGAGGCATCTGCAGTAGTTCTTGAGATTACTTGCAACAACAATGTGAATATACTAAACACTACTGAACTCTACACTTTAAAATGACTAAGAAGGTACATTTTATGTTAAGTGTCTTTTACCACATTTTTTTTTAAAAAGAAACAAGTTCCTGGGAAGCTGAGCATGTTGAATAAAACCAATTCTGTTGATCTTAGCGTTTAAAATCCTGGATGGGATGTGAAGTATATCTCAGGACATTTTGGGTATTAATACTCTGCTCCCTGTATACACAGTGTATTCCTGAAAGGTTGGCATTTTTTTAAAGTAAATTATAGTCATTTATAAGCACAAATTTCCATGTGAAATTTTGTATATACACAATATTGTGTGGATTCTTTTTATGACTTTTACAAAATATTACTATAATGTATAACATTGTAATTTTACATTCCAAGGCTCAAATTTTGAAAATGTTCATATAATGTGTAGATTTGTCCTTTATATGGGAAAGTGTTCCATTAAAATGCTGAGTTTTATATGAACATTAGCTGTTACCATACCTTTATCTTTTAAAAATCTAACAGATAGTAAATACAAATACATTTATATTGTTTTCTATTATATACCATTGAGATAATCTACTTAGATGTTAGAAAAAAACTATTTAGATGTTAGAAAAAAATTGTTACTGATTAGGATTTTGAGTACAGATAATTTTTTGCATTGGAACATGAAATGTTTCCGTTGCTGCTGGTCCATTATTTTTCACTTTATGAAACTATATATGCTCTCAGAAAGCTTATAAAAATAACACAAAATAAAATATCAACATATTTATAAATTTAATAAATAATTCTGACTATGAAAGAATCATAAAAATAAAGAGTCCTCCTGGTAAAGCAAATTATTCACATTTGTAATTTCATGCATGTGGTGTGTGACTATTTTAGATAATCTACATAAATATAATTCAAGCTTTGGAGGTTTATTTCTACTTTACACCTAACCATATCAAAGTGGTAAGAAAATCAATAAAATAAGAAACTTGTTTCTCTAATCTGAAGTAGGTTTTATTTTTTATTTTTTATTTCTATTTTTTATTTTTTGCCAAATATTCCAAAGTAAGATAATTAGACCTAAACTGAAAATGTTGCAGGTCATGTTTTCACAAAATGTGACATTTCATGTCGTTGTTATGAAAACAGTGGCACCAAATTCAATCTGCACCAATCATATTTTTATTTTAATATTTTAAGCAACATGGTTCTAATCCATCTAAATGAGTACATTTAATTTAGTAAGTCATAAAATATTTCTTAGTCATTAAAACACACAAAATATTTTTTCTGCTAAGTCTTACTAAAACTTATAATATCTAACCTCTTTAAAATATATATACCTTTGGTTTCTGTTTTAAAATTTTTCTCTTAGCTTCAAGTAACTTTTTAGTACTTTTTTCTTCCTAGCTAATTCTACTGTTCTTGGAAATAATAGAAAAGGAAGAATTTACCTTTGGAGTGAAAGAGTGCTGAAGCAGGACTGGTAGTTTGGTTAGGGAACATTTTGCAAAATCTAGTTTAAAAAATCTGAAGAGTCTGAAGCATTGTCAGCTAGTTATCTCATGTGGTACCTATGCAAATTTCCTCGAGCAGATGTTAGAAAATTCGTGAAATTCTATTCAATATGATCATTCAGGAGTTCAGTCTGGTCTTCGTAAATATAATCCAGCATAAATGATGCATAGAGCTCCTAGCTGTGCTCCTTATGTGCTGCAGTCAGATCCAACACCCCTTGGGACAAGACATCTGGAACTATATGCCATTGTGTTTGACTAATCTTTCTCCTGAATACCAGCTTAAAATTGCCCATTATTCCAAGAAATTCAGAAAAGCACAAATACACACAAACAGCTAAAATAAGACATATCTCATATAGTTATATATATATACATGAAATGAAATAATTGCACATATTTGTATATTTGAGTATGACACTAATTCTTTTTATTTCCTGCTACAAAGGTATTCATAAAAAATACTTATTGCAGAAATCCAATATATGATATATACTAGCAAATGTTTGGACTATGTTGAAAAATCAATAAACCTCATAATTCATTCACTAAAAAAACAGATTTTTTACAGGTCTGAATTTTTAATGATTTTTCTTTGAGTTTTGCAAAGCTTTGTCTATCAATCAGAAACATTAACCAAATATACCTTAATGTAGAGATATTTTGGTAGACATTACTTGTGATCACTGATATTTCTCTTTTCAGCCTGAGTATATAAATGTCTATACTTCTCAGCACTATTTTAGTTAGCAGGGCCATAACTAGCAATACTGATATTCTATCGACAAAAGAGTTTTGTAAAAATGTTTGTTTTAGTGCAATACTGTGACAAAATGAAGTGGCCGCGTTGTCTGAGGTGAATACCTGAAGTTTGTCCAAGGAAATTGTGGACACAGACATGCAAGGAATGAGCCAAAGTATAATAGGTGAATTTCCAGAAGTTTAATAGGCGAAAGAAAGAGGAAAGCTCCCTTGTGCAGAAGAAGGGAACTGGTTCCTGGGTTTGTGGCGAGATACCAAAGGTTTTATAGATGAGTTTGAGGAGGTGGTGTCTGATTTACATAAGATACAAAAGATTGGTTGGACCAGGTGTGTCATTTACATAGTGCTCAAGAAGCTGGCCATCCTACCATAATCTTTTACTACATAGATGTGTTTTTTACCTGGCAGATGCCATGTTGTCTGTTCCCTTATTGCACATGTGGAGACAAAGAAAAGGGAAGATGGAGCTTCCATATTGGATATGCCTGGCTGCTAGGTAGCCCTTTTCTATTGGCACAGCTCTCAGCATTCACCTGTGCAAGCTTCCAGATTGCTTATTTATGTCTGCAGCTTGATTTTTTAGGCTGGTTTTTGTTAGAAAAGAAATGATTTGGGAGCTGCTTTTTATTAAAAGGGAAACCTTGCTGAAGACTCTCTTACCCTCACTAACTGCCTAAATAATTTCTTTTTAGCTCCTGTATCAAAAATATATAGTATTTTTATTTTCGGATAAATTTGCAAGTATCATATATGTCTACTGAACCTAAAGCTTTTGGGATAAATGTTGGAAAACACATTTTATAGGCCATGTTGGTTACTATTGGCTGCATTCGACAAAATATGATAAGCAAGAGATAAGCTTGGGGGCTAAGAGGAAGGCCAATTTTCACACAGAAATGAGAGAGTAAAGATAGGCTAAACATGTAGAGACTTGTTGCATTAGAATACCTGACTGGTTTTAATCCCCAGAAGGTAAAAAATGAAGTATAAGAACTTAAGTAACATTTGAATAAAAAATCTTTAGTATAATGTAGTGCTCGAATGCGAGAATTAATCCAAGGGCTGGAGCCATTAAAATTGCTTGGCCAGGCACGGTGGCTCACACCTATAATCTCAGCACTTTGGGAGACTGAGGCAGATGGATCACCTGAGGTCAGGAGTTCGAGACTAGCCTGGCCAAAATGGTGAAATCCCATCTCTACTAAAAATACAAAAAAGCTAGCCAGGAATGGTGACAGGTGCCTGTAACCCCAGCTACTCAGGAGGCTGAGGCAGGAGAATCACTTGAACCTGGGAGGCGGACGTTGCAGTGAGTCGAGGTCGTGCCATGCACTCCAGCCTGGGCAACAAGGCAACAAGAGCGAAACTCCATTTCAAAAAAAAAAGAAGAAGAAGGAGGAGGAGGAGAAGGAGGGGGAGGAAGAGGAAGAGGAAGAAGGAGGAGGCGGAGGAGGGGGAGGAAGAGGAAAGGAAGAAGGAGGAGGCGGAGGAGGAGGAGAAGGAGAAGGAGAAGAAGAAAATTGCTTGATGAATGAAAGTGCTCATGGGAAAGTTTGGGTCACAGGTATTGTATTAGTTTCCTAGGACTGCTATAACAAAGTACTACAAACTTACAACAAAAATGTATTCCTTCACTGTTCTAGAGGCTAGAAGGTGCTAAGAACGTTGGTTTCTGCTGGAGTCTCTGAAGGGAGAATCTGTTGCATAACTCTCTCCTAGCTCTAGTGATTGACAGAAATCCTTGGCAAGTAGATACATTGCCAATTTCTACCTCCATTTTCACATAGCATTATTGTTTGTCGCTGCATGTCTTTGTCTCTTATAGAAACACCAGAGACTAAATTTGGGGTCAGTCTTAAATCTTAAAACAACTTCTTAACTTACATCTTATTTTTATTTGCAATGTCCCTATTCCCAAATAGGGTCACATACCTGAGATTGGGAAATAAACATCCCTTTTTGGAGTACATGTTTCAACCTATGACAGGTCTAGTCATCTAATTGAAGCCGAGCAGGCTCCAAGTAACTGCCATAAGTTGAGAAAAAGGAACATGGGTTAGAAAGATAAGTAAATTAAGCTGGTAAATAATGTCATATAAAGAGTTTGAGTGTTGTTATTGTTCATGGGGCCGATGAGAAGCAAACAAATTAGAAGCCAACCCCGTTTTCTTTATTCATTTTGTTTTATTTTTTGAGACAAATGTTGTTGTATGTTGAATGGAAATATCTTTTACCCATCAGTATTTCCCTGGAAAATATAAGCTATGAAATCTTACTATACTTAATTATTTTGTCCTTCAGTGTTCCTGCTTTTAAAGGGTAAACAGTAATGATACACATTTCAACTTTCAGAGCACTAAAAAATCTAAAGATGTGGCTAGGCGCAATGGCTTATGCCTGTAATCCCAGCACTTTGGGAGGCCAAGGTGGACGGATCACCTCAGGTCAGGAGTTCAAGACCAGCCTGGTCAAAATTGTGAAACCCCATCTCTACTAAAAATACAAAAATTGACTGGGCCTGGTGCAGGTGCCTGTAATCCCAGCTACTCGGGGGGCTGAGGCAGGAGAATTGCTTGAACCTGGGAGGTGGATTTTGCAGTGAGCCAAGATCGCACCACTGCAGTCCAGCCTGGGCAACAGAGCGAGACTCCATCTCAAAAAAATAAATAAAATAAGTAACAACAAAAAAACTTAAAACATGTAAAGGAAGCCTTAGGATAATGCCTGACAAATAGTAAGATTTTGATAAATGTTGGCCATTCTTGCCATAGTATATTTATAAGTTATACCTATATCTATGTCTACACATTTAAAATTAAAGATGGGATAAATTGTGCAACAAACATACTTGACATCTCAGAGGCTTATCATACTAAAGCTGCTTTCTCACAAAAAAATGTCTGTTTCATGTCAACCAGCACTGTAAGGTCACATCTGTGGTATGTATTGGGACTATGCTGTCCTTGGGAGCTGCACTCTTTTCTCAGTCAACTTGGAATCTTGGGTGTCTAAATCTCAAATACTAAAAAGGCCTGTGTTTTTTATGGCAATACATGTGCATTTAGTTACTGCTCTGTAAGAAACCCACTGATTTCTATGTGTTAAAATAGCAATGGTCTTACTCAGGATTCTGTAGGTCAGTAGTTTAATCGAGGATTAGTTGGAGATCATTGTTCTAGTGTTGGCTGATTTCAGGTAAGTGTCCTCTTGCGTCGACAGTCTGTTGGATGGGTTGACTTGAGACCAACTTATGTAGGCTGGTGTTAGCTGCAATTCTTCATCTCTGCTCCATAAGGCTCTATGATGTTTACCTAAGTTTTTTTTTTATGCCAAAGACAGAGTTCCACCACGTTTCTGTTAGCCAAACAATACTCACTGTATAGGGAAGTAGACATCACCACTTGATAGGAAAAAACTAGAAAGCTGCATTGTAAAAACTTACCACAGAATCTAACTAGGAACAAATATAGACCTCTCTTGAGACAAAAATAAATGGGGAGAAATTAGGACTTCCAACCTAGCTAATAGAATTTCCTGAACTAAGACCTTTTAGAATAAAAAATCATATTTATTTAAAGTCTTTTTTACATATGGCCCTAATATTTATACAAAATTCTTGTTCTTAAATACAGTATCATTTTTGAATTTAACAATATCACCAAAGTGGCATTTGATGGCATTTTTAAATACTAAATATACTTTAACAAATTAACACCAAAGTAATGGTTTAAAAACAACAAAAATTTATTCATCTTACACTTCTGTAGGTCATAACTCCTAAAATCTAGGTATTGGCAGTGTTGTGTCCCTTCTGGATGCTTTAGGGAACATTCTGCTTTGGCTTTTCCAGAAGAGGCCACCTACATTCCTTGGCTTATGGCCTTTCATCTCTGACCTCTATTTATATCATCACATCTCTTTCTCTGACTCTGAACCACCTGACTACCTCTTTTAAGAACTTTGTGATTACACTGGGGCACCCAGATAATCCAGGATAAACTTCACATCCAAAGGTCTTAATTTAATTACATTCACAATGTCTCTTTAGCCCTGTAATGGAACATGTTCCCAGGTTTCAGAGATTCATAAGTGAACATAAGTGCAGGATTAGAATTCTGTCTACTAACAATATCGCATTATAGAATTGAGCTTTTAGAAGAGCAGCCTGTGGTGTAGATATTTCTAAGTATCTATGTTTATGGTACATAATACTGCTGCTGTTTTGGGTTATGGTATCTTTCTATACACTTAGAAATTGAAAGAAGCCCCATATAGGAATTTATTTTTAATGGTAACATTCATCACTGGCCTTCACCTTAAACATTCTCAGTTATTTTTCTGGAAATGACAATTTTAACCATGTTAATATTCAAAATAAAAATGATGGATGGTAAAAATTCTAACAATGTAATATAAAGATCAAAATAAGAAATTTAAAATATTTAATGTGACATTTTCTTAACTCCAACTTAAAAGAAAACCCCATTCACAGAAAAAAAAAAAGTTGCTTAGTTGCAGTATCCTTCAAAAGTGCTATTATCATTTAAATAAAACTCCTAGAAATGTGTCCTTTAAATTTACCTTTGCTCTTCCAGTATTGATTATAAAACATAAGGTTGTGCAACCAATAACTTCTGGAGTTAAGGAGATTTATTTTTTATAACTTTTGATAACTTTTCCTTCATGTAAAACCTCTGAGGCATTTAGGAATAAAACATGAAATTTCACTAAGTCCCTTTCATATAAGCATTATATGCTTCGTACTACTTTATTAGACAATAATACTGGATTTTGGTAGCTTTGGTTTCTCTCATTCTTGTCAGACTAATAGTTATCAATATTACAGTGTGATTAACCTAAGACAAAACTGAACTAAATTGTTTGTGATGTGTTAGTAAGAGTTATGCCAAAACTTGAACTGAGCAAGCTAAAAAAGATTTATCTATTTGGTGGTAGGAAAGAAAATCAAAGATTTCCTTCTTTGGCATTACAACTCAAAACTATGTTTTACATAAAGCAACATCTGAAAGCACAAAGGCAAATAATGTTGTTATGTGATATGGTTAGGATTTGTGTCCCTGCCCAAATCTCATGTAGAATTGTTACCCCTAACGTTTGAGGAGGGGCCTGGTGGGAGGTGATTGTATCATGGGGGCAGATTTTCACCTTGCTGTTCTCATGATAGTGAGTGAGTTCTCATGATAGTGAGTGAGTTCTCATGAGAGCTGTTTGTTTAAAACTGTGTAGCACCTCCCCCTTCACCTCTTCCTTCTGCTCCAGCCACATAGGATGTGCCTGCTTCCCCTTTGCCTTCTACCACGATTGTAAGTTTCCTGAGTCCTCCCCAACCATGCTTGCAGTAAAGCCTGCATAACCATAATCCAATTAAACCTATTTTCTTTATAAATTACCCAGTCTCAGGTAGTTTTTTATAGCAGTTTGAAAATGGACTAATATAGAAAATTGGTATAGAGGAGTGGAGCATGCTATATAAAGATACCTGAAAATGTGGAAGCAACTTTGGTATTAGATGATGGGCAGAGGTTGGAATAGTTTGGAGGGATCAGAAGAAGACAGGAATATAAGGGAAAGTTTGGAACTTTGGAACGTCCTAGAGATTTGTTAAACTGTTGTAACCAATATGCTGATAGTAATATGAGTAATGAAGTCCAGGCTTGAGGCAGCCTCAGTTGGAAATGAGGAACTTACTGGGAATGAGAGAAAAGGTAACTTTTGTTATGCCTTAGCAAAGAAGTTGAAGGCATTGTGGCCCTGCCCTAGGGATCTTTGGAACTTTGATTTTGAAAGAGATGATTTAGAGTATCTGGCAGAAGAAATTGTTAAGCAGCAAAGAGTTCAAGATATGTCCTGGCTGCTTCTTACAGTGTATGCTCATATGCCTGAGCAAAGAGATGATCTGAAACTATAATATATATTTAAAAGGGAAACAGAGGATAAAAGTTTGGAAAATTTGCAGCCTGACCATATGTTAGAAAATAAAAACCTACTTTCTGGAGAGGAATTCTAGCTGGTTGCAGAAATTTGCAAAAGTAAAGAGGAGCCCCATATGTTAATAGCCAAGACAATGGGGAAATGCCTTGAAGGCATTTCAGAGACGTTCAGCGTAGCCCCTCCCATCACAAGCCTGGAGGCCTAGGAGGGAAGAATGGTTTCAAGGGCCGGGCCCAGGGTCCTGCTGCCCTGTGCAACCTAGGGACACTACTCCCTGCATGTCAGCCACTCCAGCTTCAGCCTTGGCTAAAAGAGCCCCAGATATATTTCAGACTGCTGCTCCAGAGTGTGAAAGCCCTAAGCCTTGGCAACTTCCATTTGATATTAAGCCTGTGTGTGCACAGAGGGCAAGAGTTGAACCTTGAAAGCCTCCACCTAGATTTCAGAGGATGTATGGGAATGCCTAGATGTCCAGGCAGAAGTCTGCTGAAGGAGTGGAGCCCCATGGAGAACCTCAACTGGGACAGTGCAGAGGGGATATGTGGGGTGTGAGTCCCCACACAGAGCCCCCACTGGGGCATCATCTATTGGAGCTGTGAGAAGAGAGCCACCATCCTCCTGATCCCGGAATGGTAGATCCATTGAAAGCTTGCATTGTGCACCTGGAAAAGCCACATACACTGAATGCAAGCCCATGAAAATAGCTGAAGGGGCTGTACCCTGAAGAGCCACAGGGATAGAGATACCCAAAGCCTTGAGAGCCCACTGTTTACATCACTGAGGCCTGAATGTAAGACATGGATTCAAAGGAGATTACTTTGGAGCTTCAAGGTTTAATGACTGCCCTGCTGGGTTTCAGACTTGCATGGGGCCTGTAGCCTCTTTGTTTTGGCAGATTTCTCCCTTTGGAAATGGGTGTATTTACCCAATGCCTGTATCCCCATTGTGTCTTGGAAGTAACTAACTTGTTTTTGATGTTACAGGCTCCTAGGCAGAAGGGACTTGCCATGTCTCAGATAAGACTTTGGACTGTGGGATTTTGAGTAAATGCTGAAATGAGTTAAAATTTGGGGGACTGTTTAGAAGGGAAGATTGTATTTTGCAATGTGAGAAACACATGAGATCTGGGAGGGGCCAGGGCAGAACAATATGGTTTGAATTTGTGTCCCCATACAAATCTCATGTCAAATTGTAAACCCCAATGTTTAACATTAGATCATGGGTGAATCCCCTGTCACTTTCTTGTGGCAGTGAGTGAGTTCTCATGAGATACTGTTGTTTAAATGTGTGCTTATTCCTCCTGCCCCAGCCATGTGGGATGCACCTGCTTCCCCTTCATCTTCCACAATGATTTTAAGTTTTCTGAGTCCTCCCCAGCCATGCTTTCTGTACTGCCTGGAACTGGGTGCCAATTAACTGACCCCTCATTTTTTTAATAAATTACTCAGTCTCAATTAGCTCTTTACAGCAATGTGAGAACAGACTAATACAGTGTACTTTTTAAATATAAGGATTGTTTTATAAATGTCATTTTATTTATGTGTATCAAGGACTACTTAAAATAATAGACTAAACATTTTAACCAATGAATAATTTCAGATTATTTCTTGCTGTTCTTTCTCTTGAATGAAGATAATTAACTCTACTCTACTCTGATAGGGTCTATTATTTATCAAGATATGTAACAGACAGGACATTGTTCATTGTCTTTATTTCTTTAGATATCACTTTTCCTGAAAAATAAGTTAGGCATGTGGAATTTTTAGCATAAAAACAATATTAAAATATACTACCAAGAAAATCATACTATCTTACCTGTAGTAAGAAAAATCTTTTACATATAAAACATTTGATCTGGTAAAATTTAGGTGATGATTTGCATGTAAATGTCCTATTTATCATATGGATGATGGAGAATATGTAAAATATCCTGGGGGCACAGTATAGGATACTATAAAGCAGTTTGAAGCAATATATCAGATATATACAGAACGATATGAATAAATATATGTATATATGTATGTGTGTGTGTATATTTATATGTGGTACTGAGGAAAAAGCAAATAATGGAATAAGATATATAAAATAGTTTACATGAAAATTAATTTGTAAACATACAAAAGAGTATTAAATTTATTGTTAAAATATATAAAATAAATGAACATACATCAAACCTCTAGGAATAGTGGTCTTTAGGTTGTAGGGAATTGGGAGTAAAAATAAACAAACTAAAATAAAAAGACAATAAACAATAAATAAAGGAATATAAATAAATGACTAAAACAACAGAAGTGTCTTGCATAGACCAGTGCAGATTAAACACAATTTGTCCCCTTAAAGTCCATCCATGGCTCTTAGTCAAATATTGGTGCAATAATAATATGTGACTAACAATTTATAAAATCTCAATGGCTTACAAAAGTAAACAATCATTTGGCCTGTGGTTTTGCAGGTGAGGTAGAGCAGCTTAATTTCAAGCTATTGTTAAACTTCAGGTGTCTTCCCATTCTCTGTGGTCCAAAAATGACCCAAGGTGTGGTTTTTTAATAGCAAATAATAGAAGCACAAGTGTGCAGACAAAATCTCCAAGCAAATTTAAAGGCTTTGTTCTCATTTATTCACTACTATTTGATTTGTCAAATCATGTCACATGGCCTAGCTCAATGTGTCAACCTGAGTCTGTCAGTGATGTATATTTTACATCTACTGGGGCTGTATTATGTTACATGGTAAAGATTATATGTACGATATATATAGCACACACATACACACACACATATGTGTGTCACTGTTTCCCAGAAACAGTGTATATGTGTATTACTGTTTCTCAGAGTTGACAAGTGGAAAACTGAGAACAATAATTTTATTTTTCACAGGATGCATATACCCTAATACCACAATTGAAAACAAACATATTTATAAAGTTATAAAAAAGGAAGAAATAATAATATTCAAAGATTTTCAAAAATAAACACAACAAAATATACTTTTAAATGGGGCTTCTTCTGTTTGAAGCCCTTTTCTGATGTTTGTTTACTTTTATGGTAAAGGCAATTGCTTCTTTCATTTGATTATTTTTCTTTCTCTTTAAGCAAGCACTGTAGTTTCTCTCTTCTAAATTATTTTTTCAGGTTGCACACATCACCAAAAGGGCTTTCCAAATTATGGACCTCTTTCCTGTGTCATAATCTGAGACTTCCCATCCTTCATTTATAAGGAATAACAACAAAATCTATAAAAAGGACACAAGAGCTCACATAATGTGTTAATTAGTGTGTATTAGTGTGTGTGTGTTTAAAAAAGCAAATAAGCAACATATAGTAATAACTGGTTATTCACTCACTTAAAGCAACATATTTGATAACATTTTCCACTATTATACACTTTTTAGAGATCTCCAAGTACTTATGATCTGTCCAGTAATATTGTGATTCTTTAAGGCATTAGAGAATGTACTACAATTGATAGTTTTACCTAATTTCATGTGAAATATTTTATTTCTAGCTTCTTGGGGTTTCTTCTGTGAACATTCCTACCCTTTTATGGAAAGGCTACTTTCCTAATTTTGCCATGTTTTCCATTATTTCCTTAAAAATACTTTTAGTATTTTTCATTTGAATTATGCTCTTGGTTTTTCTTATAAGTCCTTTAAGGTGGCTTTTTAAAGTTCATAAGTTCTGCACAATATTATTTGACTCCTTATGAATTATATCTTATACAGCAAACCTCCACACACAGACACACATGTATTCATGTACATTCACAGACAGATGGATATTTTAAAACAGTAAGATATTTCATTACATAGTCACAACTTGATCTCTGCTTGTCTACTTTCTTTATTCAATCCACTGTTGAAGGGCACTTAAGTTGATTCTATGACTTTACTGTTATAAATAGTGCTGCCATAAATGTACAAGTGCACGTTTCTTTTTGATAAGATGATTTTTTTTCCTTTCATAGATACACAGGATTCAAATTGCTATGTTGAATGATAATTCTATTTTTAGTTCTTTGAGAAATGTCCACACAGTTCTCCAAAGAGATTGTACTAATTTATGTTATGACCAACAGTGTATGACTGTTCCCTTTTCTTTGTATCCTCACCAACACTTGTAATTTTTTGACACTTAAATAATAGCTAATATGACTGGCATAAGATGGTATCTCACTGTGGCTTCAATCTACATTTCTCTGATGATTAGTTGTGTTGATCATTTTTTGTGTGTTTGTTGGCCACTTGTATGTCTTCCTTTGAGAATCTCTGTTCATGTCCTTTGCTCAATTTTTAATGAGGTTATTTGTTGTTTTTGTTGAATTGTTTGAGTTCCTTATAGATTCTGGCTATTCGATCTTGGTCAGATTCATAATGTGCAAATTCTCTCATTCTGTAAATTGCTTATTTACTTTATTTATTTATTTATTTTGTTTTGCAGAAACTCTTTAGTTTAAGTCCCATTTGTCCATTTTTGTTTTTTGTTAAACATTTGCTTTTGAGGTCCTAGTCATAAATTATTTGCCTTGGCCAATATCCAGAGCAACTGTTCCTAGATTTTCTTCTATTACAGTTTTAGGTCTTACATATAAGTCTTTAATATGTCTTGAGTGAATTTTTATCTATGGTGAGACATAGGGTCCACTTTCTTCTCCTGCATACAGCTAGCCAATTATCCCAGCGTTGTTTATTGAATAGGGTGTCCTTTTCTCATTGTTTATTTGTGTAAACTTTGTCAAATATCAGTTGGTTGTAGGTATGTGGCTTTATTTCTAGGCTCTCTATTCTGTTCTATTGACTTTTGTGTCTATTTTTGTACTGGTATCATTCTGTTTTGGTTACTATAACCTTGTGGTATAGTTTGAACTCAGGTAACAGTGATGCCTCCAGCTTTGTTCTATTTTGCTTAGGATTCTTTTGGCTATTTGAGTTCTTTTTTGGTTCCATATGAACTTTAGAAAATTTTTTTTTCTAATTCTTTGAAAAATGATGGTGGCAATTTGACAGGAATTCTGTTGAATCTCTAGATTACTTTAGGCAGTATGGTTGCTTTAATGAGATTTATTTTCCAGTCTGTGAGCATGGGATATCTTTCTATTTGTTTGTGTCATCTGTGATTTCTTTCATCAGTGTTTTATGGTTCTTCTTGTAGAGGTCTTTTACCTCCTTGGTTATATGTATGCCTAGATTTTTTTGTTTGTTTTTGTGTTTGACTATTTTAAATGGGATTGAATTTTTTACTTGTTGCCAGCTTGAGTGGCAAACAGATAAAAATGCAACTTATTATTGTATGTTAGTTTTGTATTCTGAAACTTCGCTGAGGATTTTTATTAAGTCTTAGAGTCTTTGGAAGAATCTTTAGGGTTTTCTAGGTATGAGATGTCATCAGTAAACAGAAATAATGTGACTACATCTTTTCCAATTTGGATGTCTTTTGTTTTCTTTTCTTGCCTGATTGCTCTGGCTAGGACTTCCAGTGCAATGTTAAATAGGAAAGGAGAAAGTGGGCACCTTTGTCTTGTCCCAGTTCTTAGAGGAACTGGGACAATTTAATTTAATTTTATAAAAATTAAACAGAACATTTAAATTAGTTGAAAAATAAATAGTAAGTATGTGATTATAAGGAAGTTTTGTGAATTTCACTGCAAATAAATTAATAATTAAGCACATTTTAAATGTGGGTGCTTGTTGAATATCTGCTTTTGTTGTATGTTGTGATCAAACATGATTTGTTTGCTTAGAAGCTTTTTATTAAGTCGTTAGGATGACATAGCTAAGGAAACAAACAGAGCTTCTATTTTCAGGCAGCTTCCTCTCTGGCTCAGAGCAGGTGCTTTCATTGCTTTTATACTTCTCCTATGGGTGAGTTCTTCCAGCTCCTGGGGAGGTGGTAATGTGCATCAGTTTCATCAATACCAGCTTCAATCCAAGGAATGTCATTCTGAAAATAGCAGGAAACACAAAAACCATCTGCATTTAAGTACTTGACATTTTGGTGAAATACAACAGCTATACCAAAAACTACAACTGTTTGACTTGAATTCATTTGATTATTTTTTTTTCTATTTTTATGGGGCAAAGTTTCAAAGAAAGCACAGTTACTGTTTAATGAAAACAGCAGGCAATGCATTGCACAGAGAACTGCTCTTCTATTCCCATTTGAGACACCTGAATTTTAAAAACTCAATTCCTCCTTCAAAATCATCATACTTTTTATTCATATTATAAACATTCAGGTTACCAACTGTTTGAAGAATTGAATGAGATTTTCAATTTGAAATTGACATAAGAATCTTTTTTGTTCCAACTGGGAAAAGGAATTCAGCTTGGTGCTTATGAATTTTTATATACAATGTAATAGCTTTTTTAAAGAAGACAAAAAATTCATAATACTACTTTTCCCTCCTTTTTTTCTTTTTTCTTCCCTCCTTTCCATGATCATACTCTTTTCCTTGTTTTCTCTCTTTTTTCCTGCCCCTCCAACTGGCTTCTCTCCAATAGTATTCGGTCATTTCATTACATCATAACTAGTTGATTCTATCATTCATTCTCTGTATATTCATTCACTGCATATTTGCATTGAGGGCCTAATATGTACCTCTCTCCATTATATGTGCTGTGGATAATATCCGAAAGTCTTTGTACTCATGCAGCTTACCTTCAAGTAAGAGAAAATTACATTAAGTTAAATCAGAAATTTAAGCTGTTTTCTTTACATGAATTACAATTTTTTCCTTAATAATTTATATTTTTATAAAACATTTGCATGCATATATCATATATTTTCCTCACCATCACTACCTATTTCTAATTTTGAATTAAAAAAAATTCAGCATTATAAATGCAACACAAATTTATACATATTTCCTACCACAATGAAATAGAAGGTATATTGCATGGAATTTAGGAAATATATCTGAATTCAGCAGGTCTAAAGCTTCTAAATCAACATAGAAATCTGAAAGTCATTGGTCTTCTGACCAAACACCAGACCAATGGGCTAGATCCTGAGAAAATGTGGTTCCTTAATGATTTGCTTTATATAAAATTTATTGTCAATCCTCTTATTTTCCTTCTCTCTCTTCCTTTGAAAAGATGTGCATTTGTGTATTACTTCGTTCTCCTGCTGCTATGAAGAAATACCCAAGGCAGGGTAATTTATAAAGAAGAGACGTTAAATTGACTCACAGTTCCACATAGCTGGAAAAGCCTCAGGAAACTTAACAATCATGGCAGAAGACTTCACTTCACAGGGTGGCAGGAGAGAGAATGAGTGCAGAGCAAAGGGGAAAGCACCTTATAAAACCATCAGATCTCCTGAGAACTCATTATCACAGGAACAACATTGGGGAAACCACCCTCATGATACAGTTATCTCCACCTGCTCCTGCCCTTGACATGTGAGGATTATTACAATTCAAGGTGAGATTTGGGTGGGGACACAGAGCAAAACCATATTATCCTGCACCTAGCTCCTCCCAAACCTCATGTCCTCACATTTCAAAAGACAATCATGCCCTTACAAAAGTCCCCCAAAGTCTCAATTCATTCTAGTATTAACCCAAAAGTCCAAGTCCAAAGTCTTATCTAAGACAAGGCAAGTCCCTTTCACCTATGAGCCTGTAAAATCAAAAGCAAGTTACTTACTTCCTAGATACAATGGCATATCTAGTCTCTGCAGCTTTTTCACTTGCACAGTGCAAGCTGTCAGTGGATCTACCATTCTGGGGCCTAGAGGACAGTGGCCCTCTTCTCACAGCTCCATTAGGCAGTGTCCCAATGGGGACACTGTGTAGGGGCTTCAACCCCACATTTCCCTTCTGCACTGCCCTAGAAGAAGTGTTCCATGAGCTCTCTGCCCACCAGCAAACTTTTGCCTGGACATCCAGGTGTTTCCAAACATCCTCTGTAATGTAGGCAGAGGTTCCCCAACTTCAATTCTTGACTTCTGTGCACCTGCAGGCCCAACACCATATGGAAGCCACCACGGCTTACGGCTTGCACCCCCTGAAGCAATGGCCTGAGCTGTACCTTGGCCCCTTTTAATCACAGCTCGATCTGAAGCAGCTCGGACACAGGGCACCATGTCCCAAGGCTGCAGGCTGGCCCTAGGTCCAGCCCACGAAACCATGTTTTCCTCCTAGGACTCCAAGCCTGCGACGGGAGGCCTGCCATGAAGGTCTCTGACATGCCCCAAAGACATTTTCTCCATTGTCTTGGTGATTAACAGTTGGCTCCTCATTACTTATGCAAATTTCTGCCAAGGGCTTGAATTTCTTCCAAGAAAATGGGTTTTCCTTTTCTATTGCATCATCAATGTGTACATTTTCCAAACTTGTATGCTCTGCTTCCTCTTGAATGCTTTGTTACTTAGAAATTTCTTCCACTAGATATCGTAAATCATCTCTCTCAAGTTCAAAGTTTCACAGATCTTTAGGGCAGTGGCAGAATACTTCCAGTCTTTTTGCTAAAGCATATCAAGAGTCATCTTTATTCAACTTCCCAACAAGTTTCTCATTTCCATCTGAGACCACTTCAGCCAGGACTTCATTGTCCATATCACTATCAGCATTTTGGTCAAAGCCATTCAACAAGTCTTTAGGAAGTTTCAAACTTTCCCTCATCTTCCTGTATTTTGGGCCCTCCGTGTCTCTAGGAAATTACAAACTTTCCACATGTTTCTGTCTTCTGAGCTCTCCAAACTGTTCCAACCTCTGCTTGTTACCCAGTTCCAAGGTCGCTTTCACATTTTTGGATATCTTTACAGCAGCACCCCACTACTCCCAGTACCAATTTACTGTATTAGATCATTCTCATGCTGCTATAAAGCAATACTCAAGACTAGGTAATTTATAAAGAAAAGAGGTTTGATTGCTCACAGTTTGCATGGCTAGGGAGTCCTCAGGAAACTTACAATCATAGAGGAAGATACCTCTTCACAGGGCAGCAGGAGAGAGAAGTGCAGAGCAAAGTGGGGAAAAGCCCCTTATAAAACCATCAGATCTCAGGAGAACTCATTATCATGAGAACAACATGGGGGAAATTGCCCCCATGATTCAATTATCTCCACCTGGTTCCACCCTTGATATCTGGGGATTATTACAATTCAAGGTAAGTGTTGGGTGTCTGGAGCATAAATATATTTTTCTCCTCCACAGAAAGCCCGAGACAACATTTAATGTCATTTAATTTAAATGTAAAACAAAATTGTTGGTATAAATTGCATGCTTCCTATCAACATATATATGTATATATACTGTATATATACTGTATATACTGTATTAATACCGCTCTGCAATAACTTAGTCCCTTTTCATGTATACAATTACACGTTTATTTAATAAATATAAAAACAATGGAATAAAAATATATTTATACATTTCGAGTCATCAGAAAAAAGAAACATAGCAAGAATAATTCTAATAGTGGAGTACAAAAGAAGAAATATAAATTTAACAGAAAGAAAGCAGAACACCTAAAAGCAGAAATTTAATTAAAATAATAGACCTCATAACCGAGACAAAAGCACTTTGGTTAAAATATTTTTATGAAGGCCTTTGACAATCTTTATGAAGGTGTTTGGGGATTTTTTTTTTCCTTCTCTTTAATTTTAGTAGACTGGGGTTTCTGTAAATTATTCTGTCAAATTATCCTCTTTAAAAAAAAGAATAGTCTAACACATTAGATCTTCTAATAAATGGAAAAATACTCATTCAGTATGAAAAGTTTCCCACTTTATTTTACATGATTTTTCTGTCTATGTTTAAGATAGTACTGGGGGCTCACAGAAAAGTTTGAAATTTTACAATTCAAAATCTTGTGTTTAAACAATAACACAAGTAATGACAAATTATCTTCTGAGGTTCATTTATATTAAGTAGATGTTAAAATAAACCTGAGTAAAAATCTTAATCTCATAATTTTTTAAAATTATACGTGTACAAACACATACATAATACAGTTCCAACTTTTGAACATTAGTAAAATAAATTGATGTCATACATGAAAAATTTGATTTAAACCCTACGTATAAATACTTATAATTATATAGGAGGAAATATTAGAAATATAAAAAGGAATATTTATTCTTTGTCAGACCACAAGGAATCAATTAAATCTGGTTCATGAGTAATTAACATCTTCTCAGAAAATAATAATTATATTTTAAATATATATTTTCTATAAAAGTGATGATATTTTAGTGAATGTATTTGAGGGTAGGACAGCAGATAATGACAGATACACTAAAATGAAGTAATTTCAGTTATTTTTCTTGTATATTATACATTTAAAATCCTATAGCACAGACTTTAGGTTTAATACAGGAAAATACAATTATATTTAAATATAAAGAAATTTAGCATTATGAGATAGCTATGAAACCACTATGATTTAATGCTAGTTCACAATTTGTGCTTTCCCACTGTTTAACAAAGGTTAAGATAGCAATTTAGTGTGGAACTGCAAGTGCAAAAATACCTAGGATATTCATATATATGCTGTTTTAAAAGTTTGCTAATCTCATATGGTACTTTTTGAGCCTTAATAATATGAATATTCACATCTTTCTTACCGTAGGTTTATTTTTCTTTACTTTTTTTTTCTCATTTAATTGATTCTTTTCTCCTCTGGAAGTTTTTTTTTTTTTGAGACGGAGTCTCACTCTGTCACCCAGGCTGGAGTGTAGTGACGTGATCTTGGCTCACTGCAACCTCTGCCTCCTGGGTTCAAGCGATTCTCCTACCTCAGCCTCCTGAGTAGCTGAGACTGCCAGCGCGTGCCAACACGCCAGGTTAACTTTTTGTGTTTTCAGTAGAGACGAGGTTTCACCGTGTTAGCCAGAATGGTCTCAATCTCCTGACCTCGTGATCTGCCCACCTCAGACTCCCAAAGTGCTGGGATTACAGGCATGAGCCACCGCGCTCGGCCTCATTTTTAATATATTAGCATCCTACATATGTTTCCTATATCCCTTTACAATCATAATTTTTTTAAAAAAAAATTGCTCTATGCTGTCACATAATTTCAACAGCTAAATTTCAACATTCTTAATGTTATTATTAAGGGTGATTAGCATTTTTTCTTTCCTTGAAATTTTTAGGGTGAAAATTAGTTACATAATTGCTTGTTGTTTTTATCTGTTCTACCTATACATCATATTTTTATATCTGCCTAAGAAGTCTTATTATTTGATTTTTAATGACCTCAAAAGGAGTTCACTGCTTGGATTTTTCTTCAGAGTTTTATTATATTAGTTATAATTTTTCTTGACTTGCCTATATCAGAAAGTGTAGGATACTTCATCAGTCATACTATTGGAGTTTTTCATACATATCTTGCAGAATTGGCAAACTATGACTCTTTAGCATGATATTCTTTTTAAAAGAGTGTAGTGAAAATTATAGCCTATGTCTTAGTCTGTTTTGTGTTGTGATTACAGAATAACTGAGACTGAGTAGTTTATAAACAATAGAAATTTATTTAGCTCATGTTTCTGGAGACTGAAATCTATAAGAGCATGGTTCAGGCATTTTGTGAAAGACTTTATGTTGCATCATTATATAGCAGAAGGCTGAAGAGAAGAAAATGTGAAAGCAAGAGAGTAAGACAGCGCAGAACTCACTTTTATAACAACCCACCGTCACAATAATGACATTAATCCATTAATGAGGGTGGAGGCCTCATCATCTACTCACCACCCTTAACAATCTGAAGTCTTAATACAGTCACCACGACAATTAAATTTCAACATAACTTTTGGAGAGGCCAGTTAAACCACAGCATTTTAATCTTGGCCCTTCAAAACTCATGTCTTTCTCACAGACAAAATGTATTTATTACATCCCAAGAGTCCCAAATTCTTAACTTGTTCCAGCACCAACTCAAAAGTCCAAAGTCCAGACTCTCATCTGAATTAGATAAGGCTGTGATTCAAGGCACAATTCAGCCTGAGGGAAATTTTTATTTATTTGTGTGCTTGTGAAATTAACATGCATGCATCCAAAGTAGAACTATAGGACAGACATGGGGTAGGTGTTCTCAGTCCAAAAGGGAGAAATAACAAGAAGAAAGGGGTAACTGGTACCCAAAAGTCCAAAACTCAACAATGAAAACAACATTAAGTCTTAAAGATCCTGAATAAGTTCCTTTGGCTCCATGTCTAACATCCTGAGCACAGTGGAACAGGAGTTGGACTCCCAAAACCTTAGGCAGCCCCACCCCTATAACTTTGCTAGGTTTAGTTCATCCAACAGCTCTCATTTGTTGGTATCCTGGGCCTGCAGCTCTCCCACACTGATGCTGCAATGTGGTAGCTCTACAGTTATGAGGTCATGATATTGACCTCACTACTACAGCTAAGCTAGGCATCACCCTAGTGGGGGCTCTCTGTGGTGGCTCTTCTCTTGCAACAAGTCTCTGACTGGGCCCCTAGGCTGTTTGTGACAACATTGAAAATTGAGGTGAAGGAAGCCATGCCCCCATGGCTATGCATTCTGCACACCTACAAAATTAGTACCACATGGACACTACCAAGGCTTATAGCTTGTATCATCAAGAATGGTGGATGGAGCTGCACTTGGACCCACTTGAGCTGTGACTGGAGCAACCAAGGAGCTGTGCTAAAATTTGTGGAGCATTGACATGGGGTGATTATGGGCAGCTTGTCCTAGAGAGTGCCCTGGGCCTGTCTCTGGAAACTATTCTGCCTTCCTCGAGTTCTGGGACTATTATAAAAAGTGCAGCCTCAAAAATCTCAGAAACCCCTTTAGTGACATTCTGCCATTGTTTTTATGATCCCTTCTTTCTGTACTAATCTTTTTAGCAAATGGTTGCTTGGCCACATCCTTGGTTTGTGCTCCTGAGTATGCTTTTTCATTCTTTACATGACCGGGTTGAAAATATTCAAAATCTTTCTATGCTGTTTCTCTCTTAATTATAAATTCTACCTTTGAGTCATTTATTTTATCTCACTTTTTATATGTGGTTAAAGGTAGCTAGGCAATTTCTACAACATTTTACTTAGAAACTTATTTCACTAGATATCCCAGTTCATTGCTCTGAAATTTCACTTTCCATAAAGCTGTATAGCGTGTGCACAATTCATCCAAGTTCTTTGCTACTTCATAACAAGAATGGGCATTTCTCTATTTTTCAATGAGACATTCCCTTTTTGCATCTGAAACCTTATCAGAATCGCCTTTATGGTCTATACTTCTACCAATATTCTATCACGTTAGAGAACTTCTTCTTCAAGAAGTTATAGACTTTCTCTACCTTTTTTATTTACTTCTGATCCCGCATCAGAATCACCCTTGACACTCCATTCATGGCACTCTGGACTTTTTCTAGCATACTCCTTCAAAGTCTTCCAGCTTCTAACGATGACCTAGTTCCAAAGCTACTTTCACATTTTCAGGTATTTGTTATAGCAACAGCCTTACTTCTGTGTACCAGTTTTTTGTCTTAGTTCATTATGTTTTACTATAAGAGAATACATGAGATTGGGTAATTTATAAACAGTATAAACTTGTTTATTTTATGGTTCTGGAGACTTGGAAGTCTAAGAGTGTGGCACTCACATCTCATGAAGGACTTAGTGCCGCATCACCCCATGGCAGAAGGCAGAAGGACAGGAAAACACAAGAGCAAGCAAGAGAGAGAGGGCCAAACTCACTTTCATACTAACCCATTCTCATGATAACAAATTCACTCAATTGATAACAACATTAATCCATTAATGAAGGTGGAGCCCTCATGGCCTAATCACCTCTTAACAGTCCTACATCTTAACACCAGCAAGATGGCAATTAAATTTCAAGATAAGTTTTGGAGATAGCCTTCAAATCATTGCACGTGGCCATTATAGACCTCTCTATTGAGAATGGTAAGGGGCCTCTTATTTCTGAGGCTACTGTATGTTGTTTGAATACAGATAGCCTTAAAAGCATGCAAGGATGAAAATTCAGAGCAATAATGAAACTGGTATAATTAAGACCATGGACTTTCAGGAGGCCAGTGCAAAGCAGGTGAGTAAGTCAGTTCTTTTCTAGTTCCTGGTAGTATCCATTCAGCAGGGCCAGTCTGACCACTTCACACAGCCTCAGATTCATGTGTTTCCCTTTGATCTTCCAGAGAACTTAGCCACTTCCAGACTTCTGTTCCTTAGACTCTGTTCTAAAACTCGAGAAAATGACACCTAAACACTGTGTCATAAACTCGAGAACTGAAAGCCTCAGAGATCTTAGAAATCCCTTTAGGGACATTCTGCCATTGCTAGAAATCCACCATAGATCCTATTTATAAAATAGGTGGATCTGCTGGTAGTGCATTGGGATTATACAATCAGAGGAAAGTATACATCCAAAAGTTACCCATATCCACACTTAAAAAATAGACACTCTCTTGGAAATTCACCCTGCTTTGAATACCTCACATGTGATTTTCCATGTACATATATTAGTTCTGAATCATGTATTATTTTTATGTCTTCTTAAGTCATGTACTTAAAAAATAAGTAATATCCTTATAAATGAGGAAAACAATGAAAGTTGTATTACATTATCTTTAGGTGAATGTAGTTTATATACGTGTATCTAAATATAGTCATTCCTCAGTATCCACAGGGTATTGGGTTCTCCAGTGGATACCAAAAGCCTAAGATGCCCCAGTCCCTTATCTAAAATGACTCAGTACTTGTATGTAATCTATGCACATTCTCCCATAATAACTCTAAGTTATATCAACATTATTTATGATATATAATGCAATGCCTACACATTACTTCATTTGCATTGATTCCACATAATGCTAGGTGCATACATAATTCCAGTTTTACTTTTTGGATCTTTGTGGAATTTTTTCTCCTAAATGTTTTTTATCCATCATTGGTTAAATCCATGAATGCAGAACACACAGATGTGAAAGGTCAAATCTGTATGTATTTTACATATATGTGTACACACATACTTTATTATAAGAATATTGAAATAACATATATAGGAAGGAATATAATTACTTTAAATTGCATACGTATGTTTTAGATTGCTTAAATATGCATTCCAATTCAAATACAATTATGTATAAATATATATAGTTTGAAATTATATGTTAATTTAGCTATATTGTAGTGTATGTAAAATTTTAATAATCATCTCTGGTATGCTCACTAGCTTGGAGATTATTTTAAATAATAATATTGAATAGACATAGAAATAAATACAATTTCAATTCAAAAGTTTATTTTCATCTTTATGGTCCTTTATTTCTAAGTGTAGCAATAATTACAAACTGGATTCAAAGGTTATGATTCCTTTCTTTATACAGTCCTTTATTTCTGAACTTAGCCTTAATAATCTAATTTTTGATTGAAAATTAGTCTTTTTTAATGAAAAGTCAAGTCTTTAGTTGAGACAATGAATTATCTTATCATCATTTAGTGACAATGCATAATAAAATGAATTTCTGAGTAATATCAAAAGACTTTCTTATGAACTTTCATCAGAAACCCATTACAATTCATTTGAAGAAACTGACATGCAGCATATGACTGCAATTTACATTTTCACATATGAGAATGAAACCTAGCTTCCAAAACTTATTGAAGAAATTGGGGAAATTTTACTTAGACATAAATCTAGAGAAAGGAAAGACAAAAAAAAAAAAAATTTGAGGTCCCAGGTCTGATAATCATGGGGAGAGGATTACTTGTAAACAAGAAAATGATGGATTTGTGATGAGCCTGATGATGGTAACAGCATAATCAGTAGTTAATAATGAGAAGATTTTCACACCACATCAGAGTAACTTAGTAAACAGTATACTTAACATTTTAAAAATCCTATATCTAAATAAAAAAACTCTCATGATGATATTTTTGTATGACTATACTTCAATACAAAGCATATATTTACAGAAATAAATCTATGTTTAAACCCTTTTAATCTTGAGTGCAGGGTTCCACAAAGAACTTACTGCAGGCTTAGATACTCTAGCACACCCAGCTCTAGTGAAGTGTAATTTACAAGACAGAAAGGCCAAGATACTCGAATTGATTTAACAAGTACAGGCAAAGTATTTTTGAAGAAGTTATTTAACCCATTTGAAACTGATTTTCTCAACTGAAACTTAGAAAATGTAGATTCTATGAAAATAAATGAAATGATGTTTACAAAATACTCTTTCTAGGACATAACAATCCTTCTCTTTCACACACATACACACCCCAGTACAATAAATAGAAAAAATAAATAAGAAGTATTTAAGAATATTATAACTCACATTTGTCTGTCTACCTACAAAAGGGTTACAGCAATTCACCTGGACTAAATGCCTTTACAGTTAAGCTTTATCAGGTGAGAAAAGAAAAATTTTAGAAGCAAAATTTAGGTGAAGACCCAGCGGATGAGATCAATGTTTCTTTCATTTCTCTCTCACATACTGTTGGGTCTGATTTTTCTCAATATTTGAAATCATTTATATTGACCAGTAATAATGGCATCTACCCATTGGTGGTGATTATTAGAGTAACTCAAACAGCTTCCTCAAGACTGTTCTATTCGTAGCATTTATTCCCCATCTTTTATTGCCCAACCACTTTATTCTTCCTTTTATTTTCTACCACTTCATTTCACTGCTATGTGCATGACTAAACAAACTTATTACAGTCTGTAAAAATATATATTTTGAAGCATAAGGTAATTAGCAGATAGTAATAGAGATTCAAATATGGATATCTTGCCCATTTGTCATGGCCTTGGCATTTTACTGAACCAGACTGTAGTGTTTTTAAAACTCGCTACTCTCAGGAGAGAGCTTTGGGGCTCTTGCTTTCATTCCACACACCTGCTGTGGGAAGAAACTGATCCCATCAGGACCTGTCACTTCTTTTCATTTTTAACCAGGGAAAGAGTACACACAACACTTTCCCTGATAGAACACAAACACTCCCTGAATACTTTGAAGAACAGTAAGAAATCCACATAGTAGGAATTCACGTGCTAATTACTTATTTTTTGTACAGAACTTCTAGACCAAAAGAAAATTAGTGACATTTTCCTATTTTAAACTAAATTGTCTTCCTATAGAAAAAGTGTAAATCTGGATATATCTGTGCATAGATATACATACATTTGTATAAACACACATGTATATACACAAGATTGATAAAGGAATTTGGGAAAATCATACTTTTTCAAAGTAAGGTGAGATTTTTCGGCTATTCCTATCACAAATATGCTAGCAGATGAAGGCCAAAAAGCCCAATTATTCAAAAGATGACTACAGTACAAATATGGGCACACTTGATTTTAGAAAATATCTATTTTTGTTGGGCCTTTTAACTAACGGCATAAACTTGTCTTATATTTTTTTTTTCTTCCTGTTTAAAATAGATAATACAGGACACTTCTTTATGTAACCTCTACATTCACCTTTTTTTTTTTTTTTTTTTTTTGAGACGGAGTCTCGCTCTGTCACCCAGGCAGGATCTCGGTTCACTGCAAGCTCTGCTTCCAGGGTTCAGCCATTTTCCTGCCTCAGCCTCCCGAGTAGCTGGGACTACAGGCGCCCGCCACCACACCCAGCTAATTTTTTTGTATTTTTAGTACAGACGGGGTTTCACCGTGTTAGCCAGGATGGTCTCGATCTCCTGAACTCGTGATCTGCCCGCCTCGGCCTCCCAAAGTACTGGGATTACAGGCGTGAGCCACCGCGCCCGGCCTACATTCACCTTCTATAACCTTTTTCAGTGAGTCATTAGAAGGACTCGCAATAGAATCCTTAGTTATTGAAGGTTACGAGATAAACCTTCCTGCTTTAAAATGGTTCAGTGTTCTTTACATATGAGTTGACTCTGGGATGTTTTCCAAATCTTGCATGTAAAATTTCCTCGTTCAATTTTCTATTAATAAAGACACTTTTCTCTTACACCATTCCTTTTTTATATTTGTATGATAATGCTTTTTTATGTAAATTGACTATTTTCAGAACACTTAATATGATTCTGCTCTTATTTGAAAATTATTTCAAGGAGACTGTTATGTAATAATGATCTATAATGTGCAAGGTTTTAACTGCAGATATATGTCTAGCAGTATAGAACTCTAGTGTGAGTTCTGTTAAAATTGGAGCTCCATTATAACAGCCACAAGTCAGTTATGATGGAGCTACACAGGTCTTCACTAATACTGTTATATATTAAGCGGTCTGAATCCTGCTGCACTAATGTGGAGAATAGAAAATAAGTTGATAGAAGCCCAATTTAAATTCAACAACTAATAAAGACAGGATACAATTTTAGTACTGAAAATATTTTCAAATGTGATATGTGAAAAGCCTACTACTCTGCAACTCATTTACATAAAAGTGAATGATATGTTAGGAGTTTAAGCCATGAGTTTAGCAACTTTTGTGGCAGATAACTTAGGTGAAATTGATAATGCTTTCATTTTCTTATTGTGTAAAAACTGGTAGCTTAGTTCTTTAAAAGTAAAAATAGTAAAACATAATAAATACATATTTACTACCAACTTGACTATTTTAGAAAAAAATAATTTTTATTAAAAATATAAATAAATAGCAAATTGAGTTAAGGAATTTTCTACAACTTTAAATTCGTATCTCCAATCTAGTAAGTGTGAAACAGTATACAAATATTTCTTTGACACAAGTATTTTTATTGATTTTCTAATTGAAAATTCATCAATAAGAAATACTAAATATCACTAATTTTATTTTTAATCACAAAATTATGTTATATTTACATAATAAATTATTCACATATCCACAAATAAACAGACATAACACACACACACAAAAATAAATTCAAAGTTTATAAGCATGTATGCAGCAGAAATTTTTATTGCTTATGTTCAATCAATAGGTAAGTCAATTGACTGAGGTTTTCCAGTTCCTGGGGAAAGTATAATGATACATAGTCATAGAATAGTGAACAATTTTTTAGTTTTTATATTTCTACTGATTAACTTGCTTTTTTCTAAAAAAAGTTTATTCCACTTGTGTTTAATATTCTTAATTGAAAGTTGTTTTATTTGTATGTAATTATATAACTGAACTGAGCATTATATAAATACTTAAATATAATACCAAAGTAGAGTTCCATTTTTATGAAAATAGTCACATCTTTCCCAGTAGGACTTTTGCTTCCTTTTGAAAATAAAGTTAGATCTATCTCTTACTCTCCATAGGGAAAGATAGACAGCTCTTCAGTAGCTTCATATAAGATCAGAGTCTTCTAAATTTGAACTCCTCTCCATTTCATGTGCAGGTACCATAACTAAGAAAGTAATTTTTAAAAAAAATGTCAATCAGCAAAAGTATGTTCCCTTGCTTTTTAACACCATGACTAATGATGGGCTTCCTGTTTTGGCAGTAGTTATACCTTTAGAGTAGTGAATGCCTCCCTACCACCCACAATGGAGATTGTCATGATTTCTCTTAGCAAGTTTTCCCAGTGTGAAATAAACCATCTATCATATTTCATTTTTTTTGTCATCACCCTAAATAAATGTTCTCTGGCTATTGCTGTGATGACCACAGGTTACTTTTGGTTAAGAATTCAATTGGGCCTGAATACCTACAATTATAACATGAAGAAGTTAAACCAGAAAATGTCTAATGTCTTTTCTGACATTGAAATATTGGGGATGCCAGTGAACAAACAAAATAGATTTATTTTTATATTACAGCTTTGACTCCAATACAGAAAAATGCTAAGGGCTTTTATATCTTTGGGGTAAATTTATAACATCATGTAACAAATCAAAATCATGGAGATATGAGGCATGGATTTCCTACAGTTATAAGCCATTAATCGGGGCAGGAGTAGCCTAGAAATTAATTGAAATAGTGCTTGAAAAATGTGATGGTTAATGAATAGAAGACAGATGGATCCTGGAGAATGACAGTGGATTATCATAAGCTTAACCAAGTGGTGACTCCAATTGCAGCTGCTATACCAGATGTGGTTTAATTGCTTGAGAAAATTAACACATCTCCTGGTACCTGGTATGCAACTATTGATCATTCAAGTGCTTTTTTCTTTTCTTTTCTTTTCTTTTTTTATTATACTTTAAGTTTTAGGGTACATGTGCACATTGTGCAGGTTAGTTACATATGTATACATGTGCCATGCTGGTGCGCTGAACCCACTAACTCGTCATCTAGCATTAGGTATATCTCCCAATGCTATCCCTCCCCCCTGCCCCCACCCCACCACAGTCCCCAGAGTGTGATATTCCCCTTCATGTGTCCATGTGATCTCATTGTTCAATTCCCACCTATGAGTGAGAATATGCGGTGTTTGGTTTTTTGTTCTTGCGATAGTTTACTGAGAATGATGATTTCCAATTTCATCCATGTCCCTACAAAGGACATGAACTCATCATTTTTTATGGCTGCATAGTATTCCATGGTGTATATATGCCACATTTTCTTAATCCAGTATATCATTTTTGGGCATTTGGGTTGGTTCCAAGTCTTTGCTATTGTGAATAATGCCGCAATAAACATACATGTGCATCTGTCTTTATAGCAGCATGATTTATAGTCCTTTGGGTATATACTCAGTAATGGGATGGCTGGGTCAAATGGTATTTCTAGTTCTAGATCCCTGAGGAATCACCACACTGACTTCCACAATGGTTGAACTAGTTTACAGTCCCACCAACAGTGTAAAAGTGTTCCTATTTCTCCACATCCTCTCCAGCACCTGTTGTTTCCTGACTTTTGAATGATTGCCATTCTAACTGGTGTGAGATGGTTTCTCATTGTGGTTTTGGTTTGCATTTCTCTAATGGCCAGTGATGATGAGCATTTTTTCATGTGTTTTTTGGCTGCATAAATGTCTTCTTTTGAGAAGTGTCTGTTCATGTCCTTCGCCCACTTTTTGATGGGGTTGTTTGTTTTTTTCTTGTAAATCTCTTTGCGTTCATTGTAGATTCTGGATATTAGCCCTTTGTCAGAAGAGTAGGTTGTGAAAATTTTCTCCCATTTTGTAGGTTGCCTGTTCACTCTGATGGTAGTTTCTTTTGCTGTGCAGAAGCTCTTTAGTTTAATTAGATCCCATTTGTCAATTTTGTCTTTTGTTGCCATTGCTTTTGGTGTTTTAGACATGAAGTCCTTGCCTATGCCTATGTCCTGAATGGTAATGCCTAGGTTTTCTTCTAGAGTTTTTATGGTTTTAGGTCTAACGTTTAAGTCTTTAATCCATCTTGAATTGATTTTTGTATAAGGTGTAAGGAAGGCATCCAGTTTCAGCTTTCTACATATGGCTAGCCAGTTTTCCCAGCACCATTTATTAAATAGGGAATCCTTTCCCCATTGCTTGTTTTTCTCAGGTTTGTCAAAGATCAGATAGTTGTAGATATGTGGTGTTATTTCTGAGGGTTCTGTTCTGTTCCATTGATCTATATCTCTGTTTTGGTACCAGTAACATATAAACAGAGCCAAAGACAAAAACCACATGATTATCTCAATAGATGCAGAAAAAGCCTTTGACAAAATTCAACAACACTTCATGCTAAAAACTCTCAATAAGTTAGGTATTGATGGGATGTATTTCAAAGTAAAAAGAGCTATCTATGACAAACCCACAGCCAATATCATACTGAATGGGCAAAAACTGGAAGCATTCCCTTTGAAAACTGGCACAAGACAGGGATGCCCTCTCTCACCGCTCCTATTCAACATAGTGTTGGAAGTTCTGGCCAGGGCAATTAGACAGGAGAAGGAAATCAAGGGTATTCAATTAGGAAAAGAGTTAGTCAAATTGTCCCTGTTTGCAGACAACATGATTGTATATCTAGAAAACCCCATTGTCTCAGCCCAAAATGTCCTTAAGCTGATAAGCAACTTCAGCAAAGTCTCAGGATACAAAATCAATATACAAAAATCACAAGCATTCTTATACACCAACAACAGACAAACAGAGAGCCAAATCATAAGTGAACTCCCCTTCACAATTGCTTCAAAGAGAATAAAATACCTAGGAATCCAACTTACAAGGGATGTGAAGGACCTCTTCAAGGAGAACTATAAGCCACTGCTCAATGAAATAAAAGAGGATACAAACAAATGGAAGAACATTCCATGCTCATGGGTAGGAAGAATCAATATCATGAAAATGGCCATACTGCCCAAGGTAATTTACAGATTCAATGCCATCCCCATCAAGCTACCAGTGCCTTTCTTCACAGAATTGGAAAAAACTACTTTAAAGTTCATATGGAACCAAAAAAGAGCCTGCATTGCCAAGTCAATCCTAAGCCAAAAGAACAAAGCTGGAGGCATCACACTACCTGACTTCAAACTATACTACAAGTCTACAGTAACCAAAACAGCATGGTACTGGTACCAAAACAGAGATATAGATCAATGGAACAGAACAGAGCCCTCGGAAATGAATGAAATGAAGCGAGAAGGGAAGTTTAGAGAAAAATGAATAAAAAGAAATGAGCAAAGCCTCCAAGAAATATGGGACTATGTGAAAAGACCAAATCTACGTCTGATTGGTGTACCTGAAAGTGACGGGGAGAATGGAACCAAGTTGGAAAACAGTCTGCAGGATATTATCCAGGAGAACTTCCCCAATCTAGCAAGGCAGGCCAACGTTCAGATTCAGGAAATACAGAGAGTGCCACAAAGATACTCCTCGAGAAGAGCAACTCCAAGACACATAATTGTCAGATTCACCAAAGTAGAAATGAAGGAAAAAATGTTAAGGGCAGCCAGAGAGAAAGGTCGGTTTACCATCAAAGGGAAACCCATCAGACTAACAGCGGATGTCTCGGCAGAAACTCTACAAGCCAGAAGAGAGTGGGGGCCAATATTCAACATTCTTAAAGAAAAGAATTTTCAACCCAGAATTTCATATCCAGCCAAACTAAGCTTCATAAGTGAAGGAGAAATAAAATACTTTACAGACAAGCAAATGCTGAGAGATTTTGTCACCACCAGGCCTGCCCTAAAAGAGCTCCTGAAGGAAGCACTAAACATGGAAAGGAACAAACAGTAGCAGCCGCTGCAAAATCATGCCAAAATGTAAAGACCATCGAGACTAGGAAGAAACTGCATCAACTAACGAGCAAAATCACCAGCTAACATAATAATGACAAGATCAGATTCACACATAACAATATTAACTTTAAATGTAAATGGACTAAATGCTCCAATTAAAAGACACAGACTGGCAAATTGGATAAAGAGTCAAGACCCATCAGTGTGCTGTATTCAGGAAACCCATCTCACGTGCAGAGACACACATAGGCTCAAAATAAAAGGATGGAGGAAGATCTACCAAGCAAATGGAAAACAAAAAAAGGCAGGGGTTGCAATCCTAGTCTCTGATAAAACAGACTTTAAACCAACAAAGATCAAAAGAGACAAAGAAGGCCATTACATAATGATAAAGGGATCAATTCAACAACAAGAGCTAACTATCCTAAATATACATGCACCCAATACAGGAGCACCCAGATTCATAAAGCAAGTCCTGAGTGACCTACAAAGAGACTTAGACTCCCACACATTAATAATGGGAGACTTTAACACCCCACTGTCAACATTAGACAGATCAACGAGACAGAAAGTCAACAAGGATACCCAGCAATTGAACTCAGCTCTGCACCAAGCAGACCTAATAGACATCTACAGAACTCTCCACCCCAAATCAACAGAATATACATTTTTTTCAGCACCACACCACACCTATTGCAAAATTGACCACATACTTGGAAGTAAAGCTCTCCTCAGCAAATGTAAAAGAACAGAGATTATAACAAACTATCTCTCAGACCACAGTGCAATCAAACTAGAACTCAGGATTAAGAATCTCACTCAATACCACTCAACTACATGGAAACTGAACAACCTGCTCCTGAATGACTACTGGGTACATAACGAAATGAAGGCAGAAATAAAGATGTTCTTTGAAACCAACGAGAACAAAGACACAACATACCAGAATCTCTGGGATGCATTCAAAGCAGTGTGTAGAGGGAAATTTATAGCACTAAATGCCCACAAGAGAAAGCAGGAAAGATCCAAAATTGACACCCTAACATCACAATTAAAAGAACTAGAAAAGCAAGAGCAAACACATTCAAAAGCTAGCAGAAGGCCAGAAATAACTAAGATCAGAGCAGAACTGAAGGAGATAGAGACACAAAAACCTTTCAAAAAATTAATGAATCCAGGAGCTGGTTTTTTGAAAGGATCAACAAAATTGATAGACTGCTAGCAAGACTAATAAAGAAAAAAAGATAGAAGAATCAAATAGACACAATAAAAAATGATAAAGGGGATATCACCACCAATCCCACAGAAATACAAACTACCATCAGAGAACACTACAAACACCTCTACACAAATAAACTAGAAAATCTAGAAGAAATGGATAAATTCCTTGACACATACACTCTCCCAAGACTAAACCAGGAAGAAGTTGAATCTCTGAATAGACCAATAACAGGATCTGAAATTGTGGCAATAATCAATAGTTTACCAACCAAAAAGAGTCCAGGACCAGATGGATTCACAGCCGAAATCTACCAGAGGTAGAAGGAGGAACTGGTACCATTCCTTCTGAAACTATTCCAATCAATAGAAAAAGAGGGAATCCTCCCTAACTCATTTTATGAGGCCAGCATCATCCTGATAACAAAGCCGGGCAGAGACACAACCAAAAAAGAGAATTTTAAACCAATATCCTTGGGGAACATTGATGCAAAAATCCTCAATAAAATACTGGCAAAATGAATCCAGCAGCACATCAAAAAGCTTATCCACCATGATCAAGTGGGCTTCATCCCTGGGATTCAAGGCTGGTTCAATATACGCAAATCAATAAATGTAATCAAGTGCTTTTTTCAACAATCCTGTCTAAAAGGCTCACCAGAAGCAGTCTGCCTTCATCTGGAAAAACCAGCAATACATCTTTAGAGCCCTATCTCAGTGGTATATCAGTTCTTCAGCCCTCTAACAATTTAGTTCACAGGGATCTTGAGTATCTTTTCATTCCACAAGATATCATATTGGTCCATTACACTGATGACATTATGCTGATTAGAACTAATGAGTATGAAGTTGCAACTACTTTAAACTTATTGGTAAGATATTTGCATGTTGGAGGATGGGAAATGAACTTGACTAAAATTCAGGGTCCTTCTACCTCAGTGAAGTTTCTAGGACGCTACTGGTGTAGGGCATGTTGAAATATTCTTTCTAAACTGAAGGATAAGTTGTTGCATCTGACCCCTCCTACAACCAAGAAAAAGGCACAACACCTAGGGACCTGTTTGGATTTTGAAAGGAGCAGACTCTTCATTTGGATGTGTTGCTCTGGCACATCTACCAAGTGAACCAAAAAGCTGCTAGTTTTGAGTGAGGCCTAGACCAGGAGAAGAATTGCAACAGGTCTTAGGCTGTTGTGAAAGCTGCTTTGCAACCTGGGCATTATGATCCAGTTGCCCTAATGGTACTTGGATGCTGTTTGGAGCCTTTGGCAGGTCCATATATGTAAATCACAGTAGAGATCTTCCTTTGAGATTTTGGAGAAAGGCCCTGTCATTATCTGCACGTAACTGCTCACCTTTTAAGAAATAGATTTTATTCTGCTACTAGATCTTAGTAGAAGCTGAAGGCTTGACCATGGGCCACGAATTTACTGTGATTCTTGTACTTCCCATCATGAACTGGATGTTACCTGACCCACTAAGTTGTAAAGTTGGGTGCACACATCAGCACTCCATCATCAAATGGAAGGGGTATACAAGTGATCCAACCTGAGCAGATCCTAAAGGTATGAGTAACTTAAATGAAGAAGTGGCCCAAATGCCCATGGTTTCTACTCCTGCTATGCTGCCTTCTCTCTCAGCCTACACCTATGGCAGTATGAAGCATACCCTCTGATCAGTTCACAAAGGAAGAAAAGACTGGGGCCTGGTTTAGAGATGGTTCTAAACTATATGCAGGCACCACTCAAAAGTGGACAGCTATAGCGCTACAGCCCCTTTCATAGATGTCCCTGGACAGTAGTAAGGTAAAATCTTCTCAATGGGAAGAACTTGGTAGGGGGGCACCTGGTTGTGCACCTGGGAGGAGAAATGACTAGGTGTATGATTACATTATCTACTGATGGGCTGTGGCCAATGGTTTGGTTGGATGCTTAGGGACTTGGAAAGGCATGATTTGAAAATTGGTGACAAAAAATTGGAGGAAGAAGTATGCAGATAGATCTCTCTGAGTGGGCAAAGGATGTAAATATTATTCATGTCCCATGTGAATGCTCACTAAAGATTGACCTCAGCAAAGAAAGACTTTAATAATCAGGTAGATAGGATGATCTATCCCGTGCTTCTGTGGATACTAGTCAGCCTCTTTCCCTAGCTAATTCTGTCATCACCAAATTAGCTCATGAACAATGTGGCCACAGTGGCAGGGATGAGTGTTATGAATGGGCTCACCAACATGGACTTCCACTCACCAAGGTTGACCAGGCCATGACCACCACTGAGTTCCCAATCTGCCAGCAGCAGAAACCAACACTGAACCCCCCAGTATGGCACAATCTTCCTGGGGTGATCAACCAGCTACCTGGTGGTGGATTTATCCCATAGGATCACTTCCATCATGGAATAGGGCAATTTTTTTCCTTCCTGGAATAGATACTAACTCTGGATATGGATTTGCTTTCTCTGCATGCAATGTTTCTGCCAAAATTAACATTTGTAAACTCACAAAATGCCTTGTGATATTCTACACAGTGAATACCATCAGGATATTCTACACAGTGTTGCTCGTAATCAAGGAACTCACTACTTGGCCAAAGGAGTGCAGCAATGAACTCGTGCTCACAGAATTCACTGATCTTACCATGTTCCCCATCGTCCTGAAGCAGTTGGTTTGATGAAAAGGTAGAACAGCTTTTGAAATCCCAGCTACAGTGCCAGCTAGGTGACAATAGCTAGCACTGCAGGGCTGGGACAAAGTTCTTTAGAAGGCTTCATGTGCTCTAAATCGGCTCCCGATACATAGTACTCTTTCTCCCATAACCAGGATTCAGGGGTCCAGGAATCAAGGGGTGCAATAAAAATGAAACCACTCACAATTGACCCTAGTGATGTATTAGCAAATTTTTTATTCCCTGTTCCCACAGCTTTATATACTGCTGGCCTAGGGGTCTTACTTCGAAAGAGAGGGATGCTTCCATCAGGAGAAACAACAATGATTCCATTTAACTGGAATGTAAGGCTGCCACTTTGCCACTTTGGGCTCCTCTGAGACAACAGGCTAAGAAAGGAATTATGGTGGTGGCTGGGGTGATTTACCTGGACTACAAAGGAAATATTGGACTATTATTCCACAATGTAGGTAAGAAATAGCATGTCTGAAATACAGAAGATCCCTTAGGGCTTGTCTTGTACTATTATTGTAAGGTTCTTCTATCCGTTCAAACCCTGAGAGCGTGCCAACAGACAACACAAGGCAGTGTGGAGTAACACGCTGTTTTAATGAGTGCCTGGGTGCACGCGGGCTGAGGTCTAAAATGGCGTCAGCCCCAAGTGAAGACGGGGCAAAGATTTTATAGTCTCTTGTAAACAGGAAGTGTCCTAGTCTGACGTAACTGCTGTGTGGTACGCGGATGGCCTTTCTCGATCTTCAGGGGTACGTGTCTTCCAGCCAGGGTAGCTGTCTTCTGACTGGCTCTCTTCCTGCTTTTGCTATCTTACTGACACATGCTGCTGATGCAAGTGGCCTTACACTTTGAAGACCGGGCCTGAGAAGGCAGGAGTTACTCATCCCCTTAAGCTTTCAGGCCCCAGGGAGAATCTTACAATTATGCTGTGTGATTAAGGTCAATGGGAAACTGTAATAATCCAATTCAGGCAAGACTATGAATAGCTCAGACTCTTCAGGAATGCAGCCTTGGGTCACCCCACCAGGTAAAGAACCATGACTGGCTAAGGTGCTTGCTGGAGACAAAGGGAATACAGAATGAATAGTAGAAGAAGATAGTTATAAATACCAGCTACAATCAGATGACCAGTTGCAGAAATGAGGACTGTAATTTGTTCTAAGTATTTTCTCCTGGTTTTGTTAGGAATACATCTGTGCATATGTGTACATATATTAAGCAAATATCTTTAGTTTTGCTTCTCTCATTGCTTTATCATAACATAATATTAATTGCATTTATATAAGTATTTAAGTATTGTTAATTTTATGTCATTGTATTTAAGAAAGGGGATATCAGGAGAAGAGTAAACATCACTCAAAGAGTACCTCCTCTTCTGAAGACAGGACTAATGAGTTTTTGGTTTTACAGAGCTTCATGTTAAGCAAAACTAATACTTTATTATTGTTTTTATTTGAAGAGTATGGCTTAGGAAGATGTGTATGGATGCCAGTTGACAAGGGTTGGGCTTGTAAAGATTAATTTTAGGTGTTGATTTGACTGGAAGGAGTACCTAAAAACCTGGTAAAGCACTATGTTTGGGTGTGTCTGTGAGAATGTTTCCAGAAGAGATTAGTGTGGGAGACTGGGTGGATTTTCGTTTCTTTTTCTTTTTATTCTCCTTTCTGTATTTCCCAGTCTGATGGATTAATTGGGAAAGGTCCATCTTCAATGTGGGTAGGCAGCATCCAATCTCCTAGCAGGCCCAGAGAGAATAAAAACAGAGAAAAGGAAAAATACATTAATCTATCTGCTGGAACTAAGATATATTCTTCCTCTCCAGTCGTTGGACAATTCCATGCTCTCCAGGCTTTGGACTTCAGGACTGGAAGTCAGGACCACTGACTTCCTACCAGACCCTCGGATTCTCAGGTCTTTGGCCTTGAACTGAGAGTTTACACCAACAGCTTCCTTGGCTTTGAGGCTTAGAGAGTTGGACTAAGTTATGCTACAAGCATTCAAAGGTCTCCAGCTTGCAGATGTCCTGTTGTGAAACTTCTCAGCCTCTATAATCAATTAGCCAATTTATCTAATAAATTTCCTCTCACATCTCTCTCTTTCTCTTTCTACCCCTCCTCATTGGTTCTGCCTCTCTGGAGAACCATGACTTATATAGAAAGTAAACAGCTCACTACCTGATGTAGACTGTAATTGCTCTGTTGCAGGCTTAATTGTGTTTTCCCCAAATTTATACTGAAGATTTAACTCCCAGTAACACAAAATATTACTGCATTTGAATATAAGGTCTTTAAATAGTGATTAAGTTAAAATGAAGTTATTAATGTGGGCCCAATTATGTTACTGGCATCTTTATAAGAAGGAGAAGTTGGGCACAGACAAAAATATAGGGAAGATCATGTGAAGATACAGTGAGGAGACAGCCATCTACAAGCCAAGGAAAAAGGTCTCAGAAGAAACCAACCCTGTAGACACTTTGATCTCAAATTCTAACCTCCAAAACTATGAGAAAGTAAGTTGCTCTTGTTCAAGCCAGGCAATCTGTGGTACTTTGTCATGGCAGCCCTAGCAAACTAATACACATAGTGAGCAGAAATAGCATACAGGATGGTCTAGTCTAGTGGAAAGATGTGAGGTCTGAGGTGTGCTATAGGTCTGAGTTCAAGAGGGTGCAAAGAAGTAAGCTTTAGAATTTGGACTCTAAGATACACTGCTGAGCTTCTAATTTTAAAGAAAATAAGAAATGTGCTACATTTTTTTCAATGGAGGAAGAATCTCAAATTAAAAATACAATAACAATAATTAACTGGGGACATAATGAGTCAAGTCTTAATTCTAGGAGTTCTCTAAGAGTCCTGAATAATGGGAATACTATAACATTAATAGAAGGCTTAAAATATACCTGACACTACTATTCAAATGTGACTCATTTAATCCTTACAACCCCATGAGGTATCCAATATGATGGTCAATTCCGTCTTACAGGCTGAGAAAAGGAACATGAAGAAGTTAAGTAAATTTCTCAAAGACGACATGCAAATGAAATGAAAAGGAAAAACCAGGCATTTTAACTCAGATAATCTGAATCTAAAAATCCAAACACCAACGCATTTTTTTCTATACTCCTTCTTTTTACAGTTTAAATCCGTGGAACAATTCTAGACTAGATACATGTTTTAGTTAATACTGTTGAAATTTCTACTTGTTTTTTTGTTTAATTAATTGTTTATATGTTATTATTATTGATTTATATGTGTTCAGAAAATTTAACTCTCTAATATAATTAGCAGCTACTTTATAAATAAGAATACATATTACGTTATGACTAAAAATCTTTAGAAATAATTTTTGCTGAATTATGACTTTACTAAGAAGGAAACTAATATCACACAGTTTGAATATTAGAGTAAGTAACAGAAACCAAACTGAAGAGGAATATGAAAATAAAATATTTGTTATTTTTTAAACCTTATGTTTATTACTGGTCATATTCTGAGAATTTGCAAACAAGGACAGTTTTCTCAATTGGTATTTTAAAGCCACAAAATAAAGATGACATACAAATGGCAAATAGGCATAAGAAAAGGTACTCAACATCACTGATCATCAGAGAAAGGAAAATTAAAACTACAAGGAGATATCTATTCCAGTTAAAACGGCTTATAGCCAAAAACAAACAAATACAAAATACAGGCAATAGGAAATGCTGGTGAGGATGTAGAGAAAAAAGAAGTCTTGTATACTGTTAGTGGGAATGTAAATTAGTACAACCATTATGGAGAACAATTTGGAGGTTCCTCCAAAAACTGAAAATAGAGCTTCCATATCATCCAGCACTTACAGTACTGGGTATATACCCAAAAGAAAGGAAATCAGTATGTCGAAGAAATACCTACTTTTTTGTGTTTGTTACAGCACTGTTCACAATAGCTAAGATTTGGAAGCCACCGAAGTGTCCATCAACAGATGCATGGATAAAGAAAATGTGGCACATATTCACAATGGAGTACTATTCAGCCATAAAAAAAGAATGAGATCCTGTCATTTTCAACAACAACGATGGAAGTGGAGATTTTTAGGTTAGGTGAAATAAACCAGGAACAGAAAGACAAATATTGCATGTTCTCACTTATCAGTAGGATCTAAAAATCAAAACAATTGAACCCATGGATGTAGAGAGTAGAAGGATGGTTATCAGAGGCTGGGAAGTGTAGTGGGGGAATGAGGGTGGATTAATGGTTATAAAACACGGTTAAAAAGAATTAATAAAACCTACTATTTGATAGCACCACAGGGTGACTATAGTTAATAATAACTTAACAACTTAATTTTACATTTTGGAATTACTAAAAGAGAGTAAATGGATTGCTTGTTACACAAAGGATAAATGCAGAATAATTACATTATTACAGGGATGGATACCCTGTTCTCCATGATGTGATTATTATACATTGTATAACTCTATCAAAACTTCTTATGTGCCACAGGTATACATCTACTGTGTATCTACAAAATATTTTTTTAAAAGACACAAAATAAATCTACCATTAATAAAAAAAGTTATATAGACTGTGGCATCTTCAGAATTGACTGAAAATATAATAAATTTAAATAACAACTCTACTCCAATACTGGTATTTGTCTGCATATCTATTTGTATATATGTAAGAAATCACAACATATATGCCTCAATATTAGCAATTGTATTAAACTTGTTCCAATATGTATATACATGGATAGCAGACGATAGAAAAATGGACATATGTATAATTTAAAAAATATGTGTAGTCAGGATATACCAACTTTAAACATTTATGGGATTGCATTATACTTTATTTAATTAGAATCATTGTTCTATTTGTTAGGATATCCATTTAATTACAGTCTTAAACTTTAAGAATTCAAAGGAGACTGAGGCTCGAATTTAGTATACTTCTGTTTTACTTGAACATATATCATGTAATAATTAAGACTACTTCATTTATTCTAAAATTTCTAATAATTGATGTCAAATATGTTTTATACTTAATAACACTTGTTAAAGCAGTAGAGAAATGCAATTGCACAACAATATGATTTGAACATCTCTTTATATCTAAGATTAATAATAATGATGTTTTAAATTTTATTCACAATAAACAATTATTTACAGAATAATATTGTAATCTTTACCTAAGGGAGTTGCTAATAATATGGCAAGTTATTTAAATAACAAATCATATTGGCTTTCTTAATGTAATTATTTTGAATATAACACATTTTCATGAAACTATATCCATGTAACTTTTATTTTGGCTATTACTATTGTTTTGTTTTCCAATTAAGGAATTTCAGAAATAAAGAACTACAGAATATCTGGTAATGTGAGAATCTGTAGCGAACTTATTATATTGTTGCTGTTTTTTGGTGTTTTCAGGTTTTCTATAAGATCATTACACACCTTAAACTTTCCCAGCTAGAATTTTTCAGATAGAGGCTACATCATTTTTCTCCACTTATTTACTCCCCATTCATTTTTTAATTACTGTATTAATTTTTATCAAAGTTATAAGTACACATATTATGAAATATTAACTGATTCTACACTTGCATTCCTAGTTGTAACTCCACAGAGATAATTATTTTAGAATCTTAACTCTGTTGACATATGCCTTCTTCTGGTTAAATATTACTTATATAACTACTTCTTGATTTCTTATTTTGGAACATTGTCTATTAATGAGAATTTTGATCTCTTTCAATCCATCCTCATTTTACTCAATCCTAGTTTCCTTTTTCCACATCACAAATATAGTTAGATTGTGATTTTGGATACACTATAGATTAGTATTCAGATTTATATTATTCTGATAATGTAAATTTTACTTACATGTCAGTTACAGGGTATTTGATCATGTCATTTTATGTCTTGGTAGGAATTCACAATTTCTTCAGACTTAGTCATAATTTTGTTTGCTTTAGTTTCTGAACATGTCTGTACTTGTTTCCTATGGTTGCTAAAACAAATTACCATAAACTTTATAGTTTAAAATAATAGAAATTTATTCCCTCAAATTTCTAGAGGTCAGGAGTCTGAAATCCGGCTGCCACAGGGCCATGCTTCTTCTGAAGCCTTTAGGAAAGAATTATTTTTTTTTCCATCTTTCAGCTTCTGTTGATTCTTGGTGATTGTGCCTTGTGGCAGCATAACTCCAATCTCTGCCTCCATCATTTCTGTGTCTTTGGCTCAAATATCCCTCCCATTTCTCTTATAAAGATGCCCACATATTTGATTTAAGGTCCTCTCTAAATGCAAGATAATCTTATCTCGAGATTGTTAATTAAATCTGCAATGGCCTAATTTTCAAATAAGGTCATGTTCACAAGTATTGGGGTGAAGTCTTGGACACATCTTTTTGAGGGATACAATTCAAGCCACTACAGTATCACAGTATCAAATGTGTATAAGAACATTCACTATTTTATCTTAAATTTTAAGCAAATCTTTTCTAAAGCCTCCAGACCTGCTCCAACTTAGACAGTGGTTCTCTTCGCCAGATACCTGGCTCTTATTTTAGGAACCCCTTTCAGAGTCATCTGGAGAATTTCTTCCATCTGTGTCTTTTGTTGCTGAGTCCCTGTTTTCTTAATCCAGTGTCTTACTCTTTCTTTGTTTATATCCTTCATTTTTGTATGTCTGTCTTCTCAATAGTTCTTTGAAAAAGAAAAAATGAGACTTTGCATGTCTATAAATATCTTAATTCCAAATTTACCTTTAACTATAAATGCTGCAAAACGTGAATGTGTAGATTTTTTGATGTGTTAAGTAGTAGGTGAACTTTCATCTTGTTTGTAGTAGCCTGTTTACCACTTGATTCGTGGTACTGAGCTTTGCTCAAAATAGAAATAATATACACTAGTGGATGTGGCAGCATAACTATTTATATCCCAAATCTACCTCAGAGGTATACATTACCAGCTCATCTACATTATTTCTTGAAAATCAAAATTGTTTGACTTGTGTGCCTGAGTTTGTTTGTTTGATTATTATTTCAATAGCTTTAAGGGTACAAGCGATTTTTGGTTACACGGGCACATTGTACACTGGTGAATTCCGGGGTTTTAGTTTACCCATTACTTGAATAGTGTTCATTGTACCAAATAGGTAACATTTTATTCCTAACCCCTCTCTCACCTTCCCCTCTTCAGAGGCTTCTGTGGCCATTGTACACCTATGTAGGCTTTTGTGTACCCATAGCTTAGCTCCCACTTATAAATTAGAATGTGCTGTATTTGATTTTTTGTTCCTAAGTTACTTCACTTAGGAAAATAGCCTGCAGTTCCAGACAAGTTGCTAAAAAAGAAAATTTTTAATATCTTTTATGGCTCAGTAATATTCCATGGTGTGTGTGTGTATATATGCATACATACAAATACATATGTGTGTATATATGTACAAATATTTCTATACATATTTATAATAGCATTTTATTTATCCATTCATTGATTAATGGGCACTTAGGTTGATTTCATATCTTTGCAATTGTAAATTGTGCTGTGATGATCACACACATGTGCAGATGTCTTTTGGATATAATCACTTCTCTTCCTTTGAGTTGTTACCCAGTAGTAGGATTACTGAAGAAAATAGTAGATCTACCTTTAATTCTTTGAGAAATCTCTGTTCTGTTTTCTCTAGAGGTTGTACTAATTTACATTGCCACCAACAGCATATAAATGTTCTCTTTTCATCACATCCACACCAACATCTATTGTGTATCTTCTTTTGAGAAATGTCTGTTGATGTCGTTTGCCCACTCTTTAATGAGATTGTTTTTTTCTCACTGATTTGTTTGAGTTTCTAGTTTATTTATTATATGAAGTCATGTAGCCTAAGCTTTTCTGAGACTTAGCTATCTCACACATATTTCGATGATGTGATTTGGATTCTGTGCAACTCTGAGACAGAACACTAGAAGCTGTGTTTGGGTGTTTTAAGACTCCCAGTAGATCATAGTGTCTCCTAATGATATAAATCTTTTGCCTGAGATAAAACTTATGAATGTAACTTGTTAGAGTCTTGAGTCTTATCAATTATCCCACCAAGTGTAATTACTGCAGATATTCCTTTCCTTTGTGTTTTTAAAACATATTTCCATATACTAATTGTTATTGTTGTTTGGAAAAATGTTTTTGTGTATTCTGATCCTTATGTTTGATTAAGCCCATTGTGTTATTTTCTTTACATTTCTAGGATCTTACTTTGATATTAACTGACCTGAAATGTCATGATTGACTTGTATTAGTGTAGGATTATTTGTATCCTACCAGTTGTACGCTTGATATCTTCTTTTAATCTAGAAATATGTGGATTATTTTCTGGAATTTCTATCATTGGGCTTTTATATCAGCAGGGCTGGTCCTATAAGTTTATTTTCTTTTAATTTTTTTATCTTTTTGTGCTTTTATGTATAACTTCTTTAACCTTAACTGTATATTATTTCAGTTACCATATAATTACCTTACAAAAACCCATTTTCTCCCTCTGGCTATTCTTTTACATGCATCCAGATTTAAATAGCTTCTCGTACTGCTTTTTTTTTTTTTTTTGGAGACAGAATCTTGCTCTATCATCCAGGCTGGAGGGCAAGGGCATGATCTCGGCTTACTGCAACCTCCTCCTGTCAGGTTCAAGCAATTCTCCAGCCTCAGTTGGGACTGCATGCACGTGCCACTGGGTTTTGCTAATTTTTTTGTAATTTTAGTAGACATAATGTTTCACCATGTTGGCCAGGCTGGTCTTGAATCCTGACCTCAGGTGATCCTCCCACCTCAGCCTCTCAAAGTACTAGGATTACAGAAGTGAGCTGCCACGCTTCTCATACTTCTTAATAAGACTATTTGTGAGATATTTGGCTGCTGATTAAAAACCTTTGTGTGATTTTTCAGGCCTGACCATGGGTAATTACAAAGGCTTAACCTGCAGGCCTCAAGCTGCCCTCCCAACACCAGAGTCAGTGCACAGCTTATGCGTCGGTCCTTGGAAGAAGTGCCAGTGAAGGACTCAGGCTCCTCTGGCTGGTGATGCTCCTAACATGTTTGCATTCCAAGCCTAGGTGCCTTCATTCTTTATCTGAGGCCTTGGGCAGATAAAGGTATCTGAAGAAGTTCAGATACCTTAAGGGAGGAGGGAAAAAGCTTGAAAATACTTTGCTCTGCTCTGACTTACTACTTTGTACTTTTCCAGTTCTGACTCTTTCTGGTTTTTCTCCCTCAGGTCTATGGGGACCGTAAAACTGTTAAAGACTTTTGTTCAGGCTCCCTCAACAGTGAAATGATGCCCCCTCCCCCCACATCTGTGTTGATCTACTTTACTCTCAATCGGTGCATCCTTCCACATGGGAAAATGGAATATAGGGCATCAGTGCATTCTCTGGTTGTAGCTTCTTGCTTATATCATCAAGGAAATGATTAGAGGCTTCACACTTTCATTTTTGGCTTGCAGCTTTAATTGGCTACTCAGACACCTGACAACACATCTCTTTTGCCAGCTCAATTGAGCTCCCTACAATTCATAATACATTTTTCAAATTTGTTTCTACCTTACCAGTCTATGCTCCTAAAGGGTGCATTTTCTTTTTCCTGTTTTTCTGGATCATTCACATAGATAGATTGATGGCCTTCTACTCATATTTATGCAGTAAATAATGGCTTTAAAAATCTGAAAATTTTGCAGATTTTTGAACATTCTATTTCTATTGATGTAGCACAGGTTGGCTTCCTATTGCATTTCATAATCCAAATTAATTGGATTTACAATTAGATATGTTTATCTGACTGTCTAATAATGCTTCTATAATTCATGATATTTTACATATCTGTGTTTGTCTGTCTCTTCACAAATACTTTTAAGTTTATTTTCTAATCTTCAACATTTAATTTATATAAAATCAAACAATTCATTCTTATTTCCTTTTAAAATTGAAAACAGGCATAAAGAAAATTACCTAGCTTCCTAATTCTACTCCCAGGTTTAAGTGGAAAGGTGTTAATAACATGCAATGCAACTGTGCAGCACATCATATATGTGCACGTGCCTGCTGTATATACTGTAAACTCACAATTTGGTATCATCGTGCACCTGCATATCAGTGTATGTAACAGACATTTTGGAATAAATATTTAAAAGACCTTTGTTTCAAAAATTTATACCATATTCTATAATCTCAGACCCACGTGTTTTATAAAGGTAAAGTGAATTTCATTTAATGGGATTAAATAAAAAAAAAACTCCACCTTTGACTTCAATAAAATGATATTCTTTTCCTCAGAGACTTTAGAACCTTTGGAGTTTATTGGAGAATGGGAGGTTTCTATGTTTCTCTCTTGAATAATTTTGTTTATTCTGAAGAACTTTTTACTTCCTTACTTCTGAAAGAAGCACTTCTTTCAGGGCTTTTGATGATTTTCTTAGTTTGTATGCATTCAAAATGTCTTTCTTTATTGAAGTTCCTTTTTTATTCTCTTATTTTTTCTATCTCTAGAAATCTAAATAATCTAAGCTAGATTTTTTTTCTTTCACAAGTTTACTCTTTTATTTCTATGGTTCCTGTTGAAAAGTCAGCTATCTTATTAATTCACCTTTGCATTTAATGTTCATCCCTAACAGCTTTTAAAAAATGTTCTCTGTGCCTTTGGAATTAAAATAGTTTGACAAGTGCTTTGGGAAGTATGTTTATATGTGCCTGATTATGTGTTTGGTTTTCTTTGTAGGGTTAGTTGAGACCTTGCTTCTGTGATTTGATGTCTTTCATTAGTAGGAAAATTTTTGTTCAACATTTTGTTAAATTCTGTTTCTACTATTTATTTCTCCTTACCTGTTGTGAGAAGGATTTACATATTTTACATTATTAGAACTTTGGAGGGTTTCCTCCTTGCTCTCTGATTCTAATTATACATGTTGGTCCTATTGATGTGGCCCTTAAATGCATCTGGTGGGTTTTGTTTTCTTTTTTTTTTTCCCAGTTCAGATATGTTCCATGATTCTGTCACTGAGTTTAGTAATTCTCTTTCTCTTTTGTCCAGTGTACTGTAAACACAAGTCCAGATAGTTTATATTCAGTTGTCACATAATCATGAGTCTGAATAGATTAGAAATCTCTGTTAAAACTATTGAAAATTTCCATTTTATTTATACTTTTCTTCATTTTGTCAAGGTTACTTTAAGGTACTTTATGTAAACTTCAATATCTGAATCATCATCTATACATCTGATTCTATATTTGCATTTTCCTTCATTACCATTCATACTTTTCTACCTCTTTGCACACAGTGTATGCTGGAAATTTTGTATAGGAGAACCATAGAGGATCTAGATGACACTCCCAAAAGATACAATTCCACTTTTACTCTATTAAAAAGAATAAATGAGCCTGGTCTGTCTAGAGATGATGACTCATTCTATCTTGTCTACCTTGCAATAGTCCCCCCAGACTTCGGATTAGCTCCTGCTAGACCTGTGACTCTTCACACAGGACAGACTGCAGGAGCGTTAGTTCTGTATTGAAAAGATTTTGAGGTTTATGTATAGGGTTCTCAAACCAAAGAGCTTCAAAGATTGCACATTTCTTGAGGACTATCACGTCTTTAATGCAGACTCACTCTCTCCACTAGGACTTTATGTACCATTAACTTTGAGGCTGCAGATGTTTTCACATCACCATTTAAAACCTTGTGTCACAGTTCCCAGCACCTCCAGTGTATTTAGCAAATATCTCATATTCTAAAAATGCCCACATTTTCCTCTTTTTCACATCAGAGTCCCACAGCCTGATCTGAAAATGATCCTTAGAACTGGCAATTACACATTGCAAACAAAGCAGCCAGTAATCCTCAATTCACCATGAACATACATACACTCTGTGCAATTTTATTTTATCACATTTTTACTGTTTCACACCTCTTTGTTGTCCTTAGAATTTTTTTTTTTTTTTTTTTTTGTGATTTAACTGACTGGTTCTAGCTATTGCAGGGCAGCATTGCCCTTCCATAGTCTAGCAGATGCAACATATATCCCCATATATTTTAGTGAGAATTTGAAAAGTATGTTTGAAAATACCCAGTTTATACTTCCTGCTTAAGTCCTCAGTGCCTATTCTTTTCTTCAGTTCCTCTGGTGTGCCTTGCTACAGATTTCACTTTCATGACATTCCACATCCAAGTAAACCTCTCTTTAAGTCCGAGAATAATTATTACTAATCAAAGTTTTCATAACAGGGAAAAATAATGTTTTGTTCCTAGTCAAAGTTTAATGACAAGATTGGCTTTACTGCCACTGAGGCACTGAGATCCCAGAAGGCCCTGTAAAGATCTTATTCTGAAATTTCAGAAATTAGTTTCATCAGCTTTCAGAATGAACCATAGACACTGGTGCCATGTGAAATCACTTTTGTCAATATGTAATTGAAATGTAAACACCCTCCTCTAGTAAGGAGCTTTGTGTCAAGCTCATGGAGGGCTTTATAAACATTGTAGCTCTCACTGTAGTGCTGAATAAATGTAGACACTGCCCTGTAAAACAGTTCCCACTTCTCAGGATCAGGGTATCCTCTATACAAGGCAACTCTTTAGGACCTTTTTGAGTTGCTCTCCTGGCCCAGGCTGGAGTACAGTGGTGCAATCTCGGCTCACTGCAACCTCTGCCTCCTGGGTTCAAGCGATTCTCCTGCCTCAGCATCCTGAGTAGCTAGGACTACAGGCGTGCGCCAACATACCCAGCTAATCTTTTTCTATTTTTAGTAGAGATGGGGTTTCACCATGTTGGCCAGGCTGGTATTGACCTCGTTATCTCAAGCAATCAGCCCGCCTCGGCCTCCCACGGTGCTGGGATTACAGGCGTGAGCCACCGCGCCGGGCCAAATAGGATCTTTTTCATCAGGGATTCTCCTCAGTTGTCCTTATGGCTTTTTTTTCCTTTCTATTTACTTTATACCTGGTAAGATGATAAGAGTTTTCCTCCTCTTTTCTTTTCTCCTTCTAACCTTTATATTTGTTGTTTCTGCTATCTCTTATTCTTGGAGAGAGGTGGTTGAGAAAACAAATTCTTTCCTTTGTTTGGAGAGAGGCTGAGAAAACAAATTCTTCCTGTTGTTTGGAAAGCGTTTGTTTCATTATTTCTACATTCATCTCAACTGTGTAATCATTCTCAGCAAATATTTGCACTTAGGTTGCCATTTACCTCTCATAGCTGTACCTTTAGAGAACTAGGTAGAAATATTTAAATATCAGGAAAATCTTTCCCTTAATTTTTGAATTTGTATTATTTCAGTGTCAAGTAATTCATTCAATTTCAATGGTGGTGTAAATATTATTTTCTGCTTTATTTTTTATATTTATAGGCTATTGATAAGTCTCTCATACTTTCTATTTTTGTTGTTTATTCATTTATTTCAAATAGGCCTGTGTAGTGTCTAATAATAATTCATTTGTCATGAATTAGGTGCAAATTTTATTCTCTGTTCACTGTCCGATAGATCCAAACCCTTCCTATCTTCCTTTGCTTTTAGAGAAAAAATAGCTTATCTAAAATCTTCATTCAGGTTATCTCTCATGGTTTTTTTTTTTTTGAATAGTATGAACTCAATGAACTGTAGCCTATCTAAAAATTAATTTACTTTTCAAGTAAATCTTACCCATTTCCAACTGCTAATTAAGGTAAATTGGCTAAAATTGTTATCAGTCAAAATTTTAGCTTCAACATGCCTTACATCAATTATTATTTCTCTTTGCTGTCTTTTAATTTGTTACCGTATCTGTGTATTTTGCCATAGAATCATGGCACTATGACACTCACAGGCCTCCTCTCCCATGAAAATGGCCATACTTGTATCCTTACCTACAATAAACGTCCTCTATTGGAAGTTTAATGAAGTACTGTAAATAATACTCTAAATTAAAAAGTCCAACCTTTCCTTTGCAAACATATCCAAAACTTACATAAGAAGCCATTGTAAATAATAATATGAATAATGGTAACTTTTGTGTTAATAGTTTTTTGATACCAGATGATATTCCATGTAATGTCTCATTACTTCTAAACTACAACCATAGGAAGCAGATGCATGATTATTATCATTTTACAGAAGTGGAAGCTAAAGCCCAGATACACTAAATAATATACCTAAGTTCCAAAGCTAATCTATAGGAAACTAAATTTCTACCTGAGTACTTAGACTCCAAAAGCTTTTCTCTTATACTGTACTAAAAGTGATTTCTACTACATCTCATTTGATATTCTTGGTCAGCCAATGGAAAAAAAGACAGATGGTTCTGAGGTAATGGCAATGTGCTTACTTAAGCTTAATGAAGTTAAGATTCCATTTGCTGTCGTGGACTCCTTAATGGTGAAATCAATACATTCCTGGCTTTCCGTGGGCAGCTATTGACATAGTGAATCTATTTTAGCTATTCTGTTAAATAGAAAACACACAAGTAGTACCCTTTAACCTAGTACATCATTACCATTCTATGTAGAATAAAGACTCTCATTTTTCCAAGGACAGGAGCAAGAAAAAAAATGTTTATCATATTATAGCTTTCTTATCAGAAATCTCTCTGTGGAAAAAAGAAAGTCTAAATCTCCTGTACCATGGACTCTGGTTAGTAGTTATGGAAAGAAAACTGTGTGTGTGTTCGTGTACATGAATAATAATTGATCAACAGAATAACAACAAAATGAAGGATATTACTGTTTTTAATATGTGTATTATGTAATATGAGAAATTCAGTTTACTATAACTGGCTCAATACCTATCAGAATGACAATTATAATAATAGGTATCAAAAAGATAATGTTTAAAACTATAATGACTCATTAACTTTAATATATGTTGCGAAAAACATTGATTTCAATCCCATGCTAAAAATTTTCTCAGCAGGAGATCATTGTCAATTTGATGCTTGAGGAGGAAATGCTGAACAATGAGTCTTAAAAGCCTTCCCACCTTCTAAAGGTGGAGAGTAAAGAATGTCCAAAAGCCAAGGCTGTATTTCAGAAAGAAAAATATATAATAATAAAAAATACTGAGTTTGATAGCACTAAACACTATGTAGCTGTGTATTGTGTAAAACTGCAGAAGTATTTCCAAAGGCTACATTAGAGTGACACCATAAAATACATAAAATGAGCTTAAAAACATATTGTTGGAAAACTTGTATTTCTTAAGAAAGCATCCAGGAAGCCAGACTGTTCTTAGTAACATATAGGTCACAGTGAAAGCAGTCAAAGAATTTTCTGACTTTTCTTATTTATAGATATAAAATTCAGTGTCATCCAAATGGCAGCAGGTAGATGGAAACAGGATTCTTCCCTAAAGTGAAAAAAAAACAGTCCTTCCTCTGCAGAAAATGCCTGCTTTACTCTTACTGTTTAAGAACTAAAAAATACCCACTGTATATGTGCTATTTGGGAACTGATATTATGTCATACCTTTACAAGAGTAGTGCTAATTTAATTGCTTATTTTATTCACATAACATTTCCAAAAGTGTTTCTATTTCTTTCCAAGAATTATTGCTAACACTTACTGGAGCTTGGGATATGTCCTTCAACACAAATCCACATCAAATATTCCACAAGTTGATCTACAGATTTTATACAATCCTCATCAAATTACTGGGTGTCTTGCTTGGAGAAAATGGCAAAGTGATCCCAAAATTTATATAAAAATAGAAAGGATCAAGAATAGTCAAGACACTTTTTAAAAAGAAGAACAAATTTGGGGGACTTGGACTTCTCAAATTCAAAATTTTCACACAGCTAAAATAATTGAAACAGTATAGTACTGGCTTGAGGATAGTCACATATATCAATGAAATATAATTTAAAATCTAAAAATAAACTCTTAAATGTGTGGTCAATTGATTTTCAAAGAAAGGTTAATTCAATTCAATTAGGAAGTCAGTTGATAAGAAATATTTCTGAGATTATCGGATAGCCATGTGCAAAATAAAGATGAAATTGTGCCAAAAATAATATGCAAAATTCACTTAATATGGATCAGAGACCTAAATGAAAGAGAAACTACTATTAGAAACTTAGAAGAAAATGTGACTAAATCTTTGTGTCCTTGGGTTAGAAAAATTATTCCTGAATATGACACCAAAATTATAAAATGACCAAGTAATAGTTAATTCTACTTCATTAAAGTTAAACAAATATTTGAACTTCAAAGCCCAGTATCAAGAAAATTAAAGGACAACCAAAAAAAGAGAGAAAATATTTTTAAATTATATATTTGATAAGGACCTTTTATCTAGAATATGTAAACTACACTTACAATTCAATAGTAAATATGTAAGTAGGCACATTTAAAATGGTCAGAAAATTTGAATATTTTCCCAAAATAATATAAAAATGAGCAGAAAGCACTTAAGAAAATACCCAACATTAATCATTAAAAAAAAAATGCAAAACAAAACCACGGCGAGATACCATTTCACACCTTCTGTGAACTGGATGGCTGTAATCAAAAAGACAGATAATAATTACATTGATAATGATGTAAAACATTAGAACCCTGTTATGCTGTTGGTAGAAATGTCAAATGATACAGCTGTTATTGAAAATAGCTTTGCAGGTCCTTAAAAAAGTTATACAGACTGGGTGCAGTGGCTCATGTCTATAATCCCAGCAGTTTGGAAAGTGGAGGCTGGAGGATTGCTTGAGCCCAGGAGTTTGAGTCAGCCTTTGCAACATGGTGAAACCTTGTCTCTACAAAAAATAGCTGGGTGTGGCAGTGTGTACCTGTAGTCTCAGCTACTCAGGAGGCTGAGGTGGGAGGATGGCGTGAGCCCAAGGAGGTGGAGGTTGCAATGAGCCGAGATCACATCATTGCACTCCAGCCTGGGCGATAGAGCCAGACCTTGTCTCACAAGCAAACAAACAAAAAAGTTAAACATGGAATTATTATATAACCTAGAAGTTCCACACCTAGTTATATATCAAGAGAAATGAAAACATATGTCCACAGAAAAATGTGTACATGAATGTTTATAGCCACAGTATTCATAATAATCAAAAATGGAAGCTGTGCAAATGACCCTCATCTGAAAATTGGATAATTAATACTCAGTGTATTTATAAAATGGAATATAATCAGAAATAAAAGGAGGTGAAGTACTAATACATGTCCAAACACGATGGCCCTTAACTACATAATACCAAGAGAAATGTGAAAGAAGCCAGTCACAGAAGCCCATAAATTATACTTATCTATTTATATTATATGTCCAGAATTGAAACATCTATAGAGACAAAATAATAATAAATTCATAGTTGCCTGGGGCTATGCGGGTTACAGGGAAATTGGAACAATTAATATACGTAATCTTTTAATTATAATGGGAATGTTTTAAAAGTGATTATAGTGATGGCTCCATGACTTTTTGAACATACTAACAAATGTTAAATTGCACACATTAAATGGGTAAACTTCATAGTAAGTGAGTTATATCTCAAGAAAGCTGTGTAAAAAATAAAACACCTAAGTTGGAAATGTAATTACACAATAGATTTTAATATAATGTATTTGTATCATCATTATATGGAAAACTACTTTTCATTTTGTCTCAAAAACTGTTTTCTGGACCATAGTTTCAAGCTTCTAAGGGTAACAATGAAACATTACTCTATAGTACTCATTATTATATAATAATAAGTACATTACTTATACTATGATGTGCTATCATAATTTTCATTTTACTTAATGTCATCATATCAATATTTCACTTCACTTTATCTTTCTCATGATTTTTGCATTATTTTAAGTGAGATGATATGCATGGTATGAGTCTGAGTGTCATAACACATTCTACATTCTAAGCAGTGATCATTGCAGGAGCTCAGCCCTATATATTATGAGCTGCTGAATGGTGTCCCCAAAGCCACTTCAGGTGTGTCAGAACCTAGAGGAACTGTTTACTCATGGTTACAGTTTATTACAATTGAATGGATACAGATTAAAGACAGCCAAGGCCAAAAAAGCATGGAGCCAAGTTCAGGAAATGTTCACAGGTAAACCAAGAAGTGGAAGATAATTCAAATCCCTGTGGTTCCATGCTTTCCTATCTAGAGAAAAAATGAAGGTAGAAGTGGAGGAAAAATAGTATCCCTATGGTTTAATGTTTTCTTATCTAAAAAAATAAAGGAAAGTAGATTGTACATATACAAATACTGATTTTTTTCACCTTTTGGTGGTAGTTTTCCGCTTATGATATATTGTTCAGTGGATAATGTGTATCTGCATAAACTGGCACAAGGGAAAAGCATGGACAACTTTCTTGACTCCCTACGTCCCCACTCAACTCAAAGCAAATCAAATCAATCATCAACTCTGCCAGTACTCTCATCTTTATATTTAAATAAACTCTCCTATTTTGTATTTTGTATTTTTTCACTTTCTCCTTATTAACATCATATCTAACCTCCCAGTATCAAGAACCTGACTTCCTGCTAGTGTCTTCTTGGGCAGATATATAGAACTATTTTGAGTAACTTTATTTTGTCAAGGCAAATGATGACAAACATTTATAAATATAAAATTAGCTCAAATAAACAAAATGCTAACAACCGTGTCCTCAGAGAGGACAGGCACCAGTGTAACAGAAGGATCCAGAGACCATCTCTCTAGACTTCTAGCTATAAAGCAATACTTAATTGGTGCAATAGAATGTAAATTTTATTTTAAAATGAATAATGCATAAAGGAATAGATGAATGAATATATATATATATATACACACATACATATATGGAATATATGGACAAATTAATAGATATGAGAATGGTGTACAGAAGTTACTTAATTCCCATTGTAGCTGTCCATATACAAGAGAGTTTAGTCTGGGTCTCATTTTCCTAAAATATGAGATAATAGATATTATTGATATTTTGAGCACCATTTCAGTTCTAAGCTAATTCCCTGACCAAAGCAATGGTAATTGAACGAATGCAATATATAAACTTTAGCATTTATTCTTGTTTTTTCTGAGTAAAAAAATCAAATATTTAATATTTATGAGACTAAAACAAACACAATAATCCAACATCTGTAATAAACTATGACATGGATATTTTTATTTATAAAAATACATGATAATTTTAGGCAAATTAGCTACTATTTAGGCAGAATATTTTAAAAATCTCAATAGGTTTTACAACTCTCTTTTTTTTCCTTAATTTGGTTTTAGTACCTTTAGGCTATTTGGTTTTTCCAGATGTTTAAGGAAGCAAAGCGGCTCGAAGTGGTAAATAAATGCTTCTTAAATTTAAGTAGACCCTAAATAGATACTTCTTGTAGAATAATTTTAGTTAAATAAATACGTAACAGATTTCTTTCTTCTAATCTAAATGGAAAACCAATATCAAATACATATAGAAGCCATGCAATTTTTCATGACTTGCTCAAACTACAAAATAAAACTTCAAAATTATGACATTTGATGAATTTTTGCATTATTTTACTTTATGATAACTTTTGGTATTGCATGCCAGCTAAAGTTTTTCAGGCCAATTAGATTATATTATGTTTTGATTTGTAGGCTTTTGAGAAAGGTTATTATAAAATTATTTTATATAAACTAAAAATAAATCATATTAGATTTAAATTTCCACTTTTCCTAATTGAGTCACTAAAGCATATGATTGACACATAATACTAAATGTAGTATAGTTTCTTAGAATCTTCAAGAACAATGATTTCCGGGAATTAACATCAGATATATTGATTGTACTGATGCTCAAGGGAAGTGCTGGCAGACATCAGTAATTCATACAACTATGGCTGATGGCATATTGTCAGCAATGAACAGAGCTAGTTAGACATCATCTATACTGTTAGAGCAGTAAATATTGTTTTATCTCAGAGCATACTCTCATCCCCTTCTGTTCTTATGCCCTGCACCTACTAATGCAAACATTTGTGTGTGTCATTTCAACCAGGAATAACATTAATCTTTGTTTCGTATTCAAAAATATGATTGTCTTTCATATTCACAGATGACAGCTTTGAGGGTTTTACTCCAAAATGATGTGAATGAAGGAATCAATGCTTTGTTTTTTTTTTTCCTGCAATGATTATTTCAAGAATTAATTGTTGTCTGACTTTTTTCAAGATTTGAACTGAATTATTTTAGGCAGACAAAAAAAGCAGATCTATATATATCCAGAAGTTATTGCTGATAAAATTTTTATGCAGTATTTTTGTATTTGTTTTTCTTTATTATCATTCAGAAACCTTAATTTTTAATCTAATTGTTTCTATGTACAAGGTGATTATTCTATAAGTATGCTAATACATTTTTTAAATACATAAACCAAAGGAGTGTTCATTTGCTAAGAATTTGTTTTCAAGTTACATAGAGTAAACTTATTTCCAAAAGCATGTTTGCTTTTTATCTGGTCAACTTTATATAATAGCTTAAGATTCTCATTTGAAATGGAAAATTTATCTTTCAGGGCAGTCATGATTTCCCAACATGAGCCATGAAAAAATATTTCTTATTAAGTAAAACACCTTAGGTAAATGCATTTTGTGTCACCTTTAACTTTAATCCACTTTTTGTTAACGTGTCTATTTTTAATTTTAAAAAGTGTTAAGATTATTTTTAGAAAAATTTTAGGTTCTCACCAAAATTTGGAGGAAAGTGTAGAGAAAACTGTATACTTTACTCTGTCTCACATACCTCCTGCTACCATGCATAAACAGTTTCCGCCACTATCAGCATACCCCACTAAAATGGTAAGTATATTTGTTTCTTTTTCTTTTTTTTTTTTTTTTTGAGACGGAGTCTCGGCTCTGTCACTCAGGCTGGAGTGCAATGGTGCAGTGTCAGCTCACTGCAACCTCCACCTCCCAGGTTCAAGCGATTCTCCTGCCTCAGCCTCCTGAGTAGCTGGGACTACAGGTGTGTGCCACCACACCAGGATAATTTTTTTTTTTTTTTTCAGTAGAGACGGGGTTTCACTATGTTGGCCAGACTGGTCTCGAACTCTTGACCTCGTGATCCGCCCACCTCGGCCTCCCAAAGTGGGTATATTTGTTACAATGAATAAGCTTCCATGGTCACATCCTAATTACCTATCATAGTTTATGGTTCACTCTTGTTGTTGTACATTCTATAGGTTTGGACAAATGTATTATGATATGATTCCACCATTATACATCAAACAGACTATTTTTACTGCCCTAAAAATCTTCTGTGCTCTGCCTATTCATGCATTCTCCACTCTAACCACTGAGAACCACTAATCTTTTTACTGCATCCATACTTCTGCCATTTCAAAATGCGAGATAGTTGGAAACATAAACTCTGTAGCCTTTTCAGATTGGCTTCTTTCACTTAGCAATATCATTTAAGTTTTCTCCATTTGTTTTCATTGCTTGATAGGTCATTTCTTTTCAGGAGGAAATAATATTCTGTTGTCTCAAAATATTCCAGTTTATCCATTCACCTCTTGAAAGACATATTGGTCATTTCCACATTTTGACAATCGTGAATAAAGCTACTATAAACATCTGTATGTTGGTTTTTGTGTGAACATATATTTTAAATTATTTTGAGTAAAACGCTAAAACCATGATTGCTGCATCTATAGTTTTGATTTGTTTTTTAGCATTTCTATTTCTCTTATTTCCTACTTGGGACAACAGACTTATCAGTCCTGCAAAATGTTACTGATATCAGTCAGCTTCTTATCAATTCTTCTATTGTTTACGTCTGATTTCATACAGATATTCCCAATTGAGGCCACTGACATTGTTTTCTAAGAAGATACATGTCCCTTTAATATTTTACCCTTTCTTAAATTGTATAAATTTTTTTGTTATTATCCTTTTGTTGTTGGAATATATTTTTAAATAACTTTCTCAGGAAGATTGAGTGGGGAAATATTAGTTCATGCATGCACAAAAATGACTGACTACATTTTGTCCTCATATACTTGGCATATGGAATACTAGACTGGTCAAGTTAGAAGTCACTTTTTTATCAAAACTTTAAAGGCATTGTACCCTCTCTTGATTTCTATTATCCTCTGTTACTTATTAATGCTGAATACCAGTATGATTATTGTCCTTTAGAGCTGATGTTTTTAAGAATATATATAATATAAATTATATCATGTATTATATATTTGTCTATACTGTCTCAATATTTTTTTCTCAATATAGATGTGGCAGATTAAATTTTCTGTCAGCAGTGTTTTGTAGTTCTCCTTGTAGAGATCTTTCACCTCCATTATTAGATGAATCCCTAGGTATTTTATTTTTGTGTGTGTGGCTATTGTAAATGGGATTGCATTTCTCATTTTGCTCTCAACTTGAATGTGACTGGTGTATAGAAATGCTATGGAATTTTATAGATTGCTTTTGTATCTTGAAACTTTACTGGCCATTTAACAGTTCCAGGAGCTTTCTGGCAGAGTCACTGGGATTTTCTAGGTATGAAAACATCATCAGTAAAGAAAGATAGTTTGATTTATTTTCTGTTTAGAAGCTTTTTATTTTTATTTTTTCCTCTTGCCTGATTGCTTTGCTAGGACTTCCAGTACCCACGTTGAATGGGAGGAGTGGTGGAATCGGGCATCCTTATCTTGTTCTAGTTCTCAAGCGGAATGCTTCCAGCTTTTGTCCATTCAGTATAATGTTGGCCGTGGATCTGTCATAGATGGCTCTTATTATTTTAACTTATGTTCCTTCATTGGCGAGTTTGTTGAGGGTTTTATCATAAAGAGACCTCAAGTGAGGTTATTTCAGCAATGTTCACAGCATCTTCATCGGGAAGAGACTTCATTTTGAGGAGCCGCTTTCTTTGTTCATCTACAAGAAGCAACTCCTCATTCTTTCACGTTTTATCATGAAATTGCAGCAATTCAGTCACATCTTTAGGCTCTACTTCTAATTGTATTTCTTTTGCAATTTCTACCACATCTACAGTGACTTCCTCCACTGAAGTCTTGAGGCCCTCACAGCCATCCATGAGGGTTGGACTCAACTTCTTTCAAGCTACTATTAATGTTGACATTTTGATCTCCTTCCACTAATCACAAATGTTCTTAATGTCATCTAGAATGATGACTTTTTTTCCAGAAGGTTTTCAATTTACTTTGTCCATATCCATAAGAGGAATCACAATCTATGACAACTGTAGCCTTATAAAGTGTGTTTCTTACATAATAAGACTGAAAGATGAAATTATTTATTGATCTATGGGCTGCAGCATGGATGTTGTGTTAGCAGGTATGAAAACAACATTAATCTTCTTGGGTGTCAGGTGTATTGTCAATCAACAGGAATATATTCAAATAAATCTTGTCTTCTGAACAGTGGGTTTCAACAGTAGGCTTAAAATGTTCAGTAAACCATACTGTAAACAAATATGCTATCATTCAAATTTTGTTCCTTTTCTAGAGCACAGGCAGAGTAGATTTAACTTATTTTTTTTTCTTTTTTGAGATGGAGCCTTACTCTGTTGTCCAAGCTGGAGTGCAGTGGTGTGATCTTGGCTCACTACAACCTCCGCCTCCTGTGCTCAAGCAATTCTCCCGCCTTGGCATCCCGAGTAACTGGGATTACAGGCGCGTGCCACCATGCCCAGCTTGTATTTTAGTAGAGATGGGGTTTTACCATGTTTCCCACAGTGGTTTCAAACTCCTGAGCTCAGGCAATCCGCTTGCCTTGGCCTCCCAAAGTGCTGGGATTACAGGCATGAGCCACTGCGCCTGGCCAACATAACTCTTAAAGGTCCTAAAATTTTCATCATAATAAATTTGCATTGACTTCAATTTAAAGTCACCAGCTATATTAGCCTCTACCAAGACAGCCATGCTGTCCTTTGAGGCTTTGTAGCCAGGCATTGACTTCTCTTCTTTAGCTATGAAAATTCTAAATGGCATGTTCTTCTAATAGAAGGCTATTTGATCTACATTGAAAATCTGTTGTGTAGTGTAGCCACCTTCATCAATGATCTCAGCTAGATGTTCTGAATAAGTTGCTGCAGCTTCTACGTTAGCACTTGCTGCTTTATCTTGAATTTTTATGTTATGAAGATTGCTTCTTTCCTTAAACTTTATGAACCAGGTTCTGCTAGATTCAAACATTCCTTCTCCAGCTTTGTTATAGGGAGGCTTAGGGAGGGAGAGAGAAAAATGAGGGAAAAGCCAGTCAGTGAGAAGTCAGAAAGACACACAACATCTATCTGTTGAGCTCATAACCTTTTATGGGCCTGGTTTGTGGAGCCAAAAAATAATTTCAAAAGCAACATCAAGGATCACTGATTACAGATTACATATTAATAATGAAAAGTTTTTAAATATTGTGAGAATTACCAAAATGTGACAGAGAGACACAATGTGAGCATATGCTCTTAGAAAAATGGTACTGACAGACTTGCCTGGTACAGGGTTGCCATAAACGTTCAATTTATTTTAAAAATGCACCATTTGCAAAGTACAAAACAAAGTACAATAAAATTAGATATGTCTATATTATCTTATTATTTTATTGCTATTTAAATATTTAAATTATCTATTAATTTATTTGTTGCTAGTATTAACTGAATTGGGAGGAACTTTTTAGCATTTTCTTTTTTTTATTTTATTTATTATTATTATACTTTAAGTTTTAGGGTACATGTGCATAATGTGTAGGTTAGTTACATATGTATACATGTGCCATGCTGGTGCGCTGAACCCACTAACTCGTCATCTAGCATTAGGTATATCTCCTAATGCTATCCCTCCCCCCTCCCCCCACCCCACAACAGTCCCCAGAGTGTGATGTTCCCCATCCTGTGTCCATGTGTTCTCATTGTTCAATTCCCACCTATGAGTGAGAACATGCAGTGTTTGGTTTTTTGTTCTTGCGATAGTTTACTGAGAATGATGCTTCCCAATTTCATCCATGTCCCTACAAAGGACATGAACTCATCATTTTTTATGGCTGCATAGTATTCCATGGTGTATATGTGCCACATTTTCTTAATCCAGTCTATCATTGTTGGACATTTGGGTTGGTTCCAAGTCTTTGCTATTGTGAATAATGCCGCAATAAACATACATGTGCATGTGTCTTTATAGCAGCATGATTTATAGTCCTTTGGGTATATACCCAGTAATGGGATGGCTGGGTCAAATGGTATTTCTAGTTCTAGATCCCTGAGGAATCGCCACACTGACTTCCACAATGGTTGAACTAGTTTACAGTCCCGCCAACAGTGTAGAAGTGTTCCTATTTCTCCACATCCTCTCCAGCACCTGTTGTTTCCTGACTTTTGAATGATTGCCATTCTAACTGGTGTGAGATGGTATCTCATTGTGGTTTTGATTTGCATTTCTCTGATGGCCAGTGATGGTGAGCATTTTTTCATGTGTTTTTTGGCTGCATAAATGTCTTCTTTTGAGAAGTGTCTCTTCATGTCCTTTGCCCACTTTTTGATGGGGTTGTTTGTTTTTTTCTTGTAAATTTGTTTGAGTTCATTGTAGATTCTGGATATTAGCCCTTTGTCAGATGAGTAGGTTGTGAAAATTTTCTCCCATTTTGTAGGTTGCCTGTTCACTCCAGTTGTAGTTTCTTTTGCTGTGCAGAAGCTCTTTAGTTTAATTAGATCCCATTTGTCAATTTTGTCTTTTGTTGCCATTGCTTTTGGTGTTTTAGACATGAAGTCCTTGCCCATGCCTATGTCCTGAATGGTAATGCCTAGGTTTCTTCTAGGGTTTTTATGGTTTTAGGTCTAACGTTTAAGTCTTTAATCCATCTTGAATTGATTTTTGTATAAGGTGTAAGGAAGGGATCCAGTTTCAGCTTTCTACATATGGCTAGCCAGTTTTCCCAGCACCTTTTATTAAATAGGGAATCCTTTCCCCATTGCTTGTTTTTCTCAGGTTTGTCAGAGATCAGATAGTTGTAGATATGCAGCGTTATTTCTGAGGGCTCTGTTCTGTTCCATTGATGTATATCTCTGTTTTGGTACCAGTACCATGCTGTTTTGGTTACTGTAGACTTGTAGTATAGTTTGAAGTCAGGTAGTGTGATGCCTCCAGCTTTGTTCTTTTGGCTTAGGATTGACTTGGCAATGCAGGCTCTTTTTTGGTTCCATATGAACTTTAAAGTAGTTTTTTCCAATTCTGTGAAGAAAGTCATTGGTAGCTTGATGGGGATGGCATTGAATCTGTAAATTACCTTGGGCAGTATGGCCATTTTCACAATATTGATTCTTCCTATCCATGAGCATGGAATGTTCTTCCATTTGTTTGTTTCCTCTTTTATTTCCTTGAGCAGTGGTTTGTAGTTCTCCTTGAAGAGGTCCTTCACATCCCTTGTAAGTTGGATTCCTAGGTATTTTATTCTCTTTGAAGCAATTGTGAATGGGAGTTCATTCATGATTTGGCTCTCTGTTTGTCTGTTGTTGGTGTATAAGAATGCTTGTGATTTTTGTACATTGATTTTGTATCCTGAGACTTTGCTGAAGTTGCTTATCAGCTTAAGGACATTTTGGGCTGAGACAATGGGGTTTTCTAGATTTACAATCATGTTGTCTGCAAACAGGGACAATTTGACTTCCTCTTTTCCTAATTGAATACCCTTGATTTCCTTCTCCTGCCTAATTGCCCTGGCCAGAACTTCCAACACTATATTGAATAGGAGTGGTGATGACCTCATCCCTGTCTTGTGCCAGTTTTCAAAGGGGGGCAACTTTTTTTTATCTTTGCTCGCATATCTTTTCTCTCATATTGTCAGTCTCTCTTGTTCTGCATTACGTTATCTTTGAAACATTCTATTACTATTTTAAGTAGCACCCTATTACTAAAAATACGTTCTTTTAATTTACTATTTGTCAGTTTCCTAGCATTATGTCCTCCATTCTATATTCTGTTTAAAAAATAGAATGATTATTTCTGTAGTTTTGCTATGTATTCTCTATGTTACGTGTTTCCACTCACACTTTTTTTGTTTGTTTATTTTGCCTTTTTGTCTAAAGGTCTTATTCTCAAGATTTAAAGAGATGACGATATGATAGCTGACTAGGTGCTCTATGAATCTGTGTGGATCAATATATTTGCAGAGTTCATATTACTAGTCATTATACATAAGTAACCAAGCCCACATTACATGCTGTATTGCTTCCAAGACATTCATTTAAATAATAAAGGAAAGGTCCCACTGATTTTTTTTTTTAACCTAGGACATTTCTTTCTGTTTCTCATTATATTTGTTGGAGAACAGGGAGGGAAGTAAATGTGTACACTTTTTCCTGTACAGACTTTAAATTAATTCTTGGATTTTTTGCCCAATTTTTAATCCAGTTACCTGTTGTAGCAAGTCTGCAGTCTATACATAATTGTGCTGACATGTAGATTTCTACCTTTTTAACAGCTCCTTTATTGTACATTCAATCTTGCTGTCATTATTTCCATTTTAAAAATTGTCCATCTATTTTATAACTTCTCTACATGTCATATACTGGTATGCTCTTTTTTCTCTCTAGCATGTTATAGATGTAAATCCTTTAATCTCATTTAAATAAGATCTTTGCTACTGCTTGAATAACATCAGGCTCACTGGTATGCTCAGTTCTACATCTTAATCTAGAAGCCTTACAACTCTTTAAACTACTGGCAATTCCAATGGAATAAACTAAAAGAACAGCACCTTTCAATTAACCAACATAGGTAAATGTACTCATTTTCTACCATATCATTTATAATAAAATTTGTAGGGCCACTATTTACAGCACATAAAATTGAGTGTGATCTGTTATGCCATAAGTGGATTAGAAAAAATAATATGATATGTCATATTATATTTGTAATTATTATTACAATTAATATAATATGACATACCATATTAATATGAATGTATATTATATTTGTAATTCCATGTATAGCTTATACACTCAATAGCATTTTATTTCTATTTAGCAATAAAAATAGATAAAATTTGCTTGTTTCAACTGATCTCTGGAACTTTTACATGCCATAAAACCCTAAGTCTTTTTTTTTTTTAACCTCTCCACACACATCCAGAGTGATTTCATATGTGTAAACCCAAAAAGGTGACATCCAAAATCCCTTAAAATTCGAATCTACATATGACATAACAGAACACACTCAATTTTATGTGCTGTAAATAGTGGCCCTACAAATTTTATTATGAATGATATGGTAGAAAATGAGTACATATTCAATTGTACCTACAGAATTTACAATCAATCCTGAATTGAGGAAGTAAAGGGAAAAAAGCAAATTATTTATGTAAGGGCTTGATAAACATAATTTTGTTATTTTCAATCATCCGTTGCATGCAAAGTAATATAAAGTATGCTCTTCCTACCTACTGAGTGATCATTATTCATTCTCTGGGGCTTCCTGTTCTGAGATGTGCAGACTTAGGTGATTTTACTAGGAGGTAAATTGGATGAATGGCATTTCTTCCAGTTGAACATACTGCCCATAATTGCTAGTAGGCCTTCAAGTTCTAGTCCAAATTTAAGATGTTAATAAATCCATGTGTTTAGTTTTTGCAGAAAATATTTATTGAAAGTAAATTCAAATCAATACATTTTGAAATATTAGAGATTGCATTTCCAGTAATCATTTCTTTGTGTATTTAGGAGTCCATCAGATTCTCTTACTTTGGCTGACAGGTTCTTGAACACTGCAATAAATGTGACAATCAATGCCTTGGAGGTCAAAGATACTAGATGTGCATCTAATGGAATGAATTAATGTTATGATAGGAATCTTATGTGTTGCCCTTCTTTGATTACTTGTCTGTAAAAATGAAATAACCTACAGTATATATCTCACATTACACAAACACTAAATTATATTTCCACATTCCTCCAATTGCTAAAAATACATAAAACTAAAAAGATTCAAATACTTGGAAACACTTAATGGCCTTTGATTTGCCAAATATGTTAGGGAGAGAGAGGAATTATTTATTAAAGAAATCACATGACTAAATAGTAAATTTTCTACATTATCTGTTAAAAAATCCAAGCTCATTTGAAAGTTGAGACAGGCAATTTTTGTAAATAATTTGTCTAAACATTATATACTTATAATATATTTTATTTTAGAAAATATTTAAAGTTGAATGCCGGCATAATATCCTAAATTGCATTTGATGTACAAGAAATGGAGTATTAAACAATTATTTAGATAATATAAGTCTCAAGTAAAAAAAAAAATAAGCATGAGAACTGTCTGTTCTCTCTAGTATATGTGAAATATTAAAGTTTCCTTTAAATTACTACATTTCATTTTCCTGAATAATTGATATACTTCGAGACCAAATAAATAATTCTTGAGCATCACCTTATTTATTGGTGGAAAAATAAATTTTCTCTAATTATGCTTTAAAAAATGGCAAAAATAGAGTAAAACTTAATATTTCTATTTGCATTTAAATATCTCAAGACTACAATAAAGATGTTTTAAAACTCATTTATATGTATCATCATATATGGTAAATACAACACTTTTAAATTATTCTACTTCTATTTTAAAGACATTTCATCAGTGGCTCCTGACTTTGCTTAAAATTGCTCTCTGTGTCTTAGCTGATGCATTTTGTAATTATGATTCAGAGCAGAGAGTTAAAATTACATCTATGATTTCTTCTTCTGACAAACTATCTCAGTTAACTTTTCTTTCCCTGTAATTACCTTAATGGTTCAGCTGCTGGATGTTATCCCTGGAAATCTGAGAAACTAGGTAAATGTCTCTTGTAATGCTTCCTACTGTAAAAGCTTGTTAACCTAATATCAAGCCTCATTGAAAACTCTGAGTTAGGCAATAATCAGCTGAAAAAGAAAATATGTTTTCTTATAAACATCTCTAAGTACTGAATGTAACAAATATAATTACGATGGAAGAAATACAGGCATGAAATATTCTTTATGATGAGTAGAAGATCAAATTTTAAAAAGTTATCTCCCTTCCTCTAGTCTTGGCTAATGACAAAGAGTTGGATTTATCCAACCAAAGGTGTAACCTGAAGTGAACCACACAGTGTGTCACTTGGTCTAAATATTTGTGCCTCTGCTCACCACCTACATAAGCTACAGTCTTCAGATATTTTGTAAATTCTATGTGTTTGCCATCCAAATGTAAAAGGAAAGATAAATTCTGCCTTTGTGTTGACAGTCACCAAAATAAATTTAAAGTCACAGATATAGAAAGCACAAAGACAGGAGTACAATTTTATACTATGATTTTATTATTTGTATAAAACTAAGATGTTTTTGTCTTTCTGATTATTGAAATAGGCAAAAATATTATGATCTTAACAATTTTATTGTGTGAAATTAATAGCAATTAATTTTTTCAAGGGTAGCACTGGCTATGGTGCGATCGTATTTGTTATCTAGTCCATCTGCCCTACTTCCAAAATTATTATTAAATTATTTCAGATGAATAGCCTCAGGCAAATAGCATACGTAATATAATGCAAGAAGTGATAAGTGTATTATGAAGAAAATTAGGGCAGGACAAAAGTCATGGTGACTGGCGCTTATTTTGGATAGGTTTAAAATTGAAAACCTCTTTGTGAAAATAACATATAAATAGAGATAAGAATGAAATGAGGACAGAGGTCTATAAATGTTGACTGCAATACAATGTTCAGTCAGAGGCAAATTCAAATTTGAGGGCATTTTCTGCCCTTTGTCTCAGAAGGCAGAAATGAAATTTATGTCTTCCAGATACATCAGTGTCAATGTTTACCATAAGATCATTTCTCTGAGTCATAAGTTGTCACTTAGACACTGCAATGAAACCCTCCTACATATGATAAATTCTATATGTGTATGATTACTTATTGTTCCCCCTTTTCCTCACCCTGCATTACCGTTACCTTTTTTCCCAGATCTTTATCTAGATTAATGGCATTACCATACACTTGAAACTAGCAAGAAACTCATACATGTATAGTTTTTGATGCTTACTCCTCTGCATATTCATTGGACTCTTTTTTTTCCTCTGATGGTCTATATTCTTCTCCCAGTCTGTTAGCATAAGAAGGTATCCACTATATTTATTAGAGCAAATCACATTTAATCAAAAAGTCCACTCCTTGAACCTCACCCAAACAAATTGCATTACATTAGTAATTTATGAAGTCTCTATATTACTATTTTTATGGCAGGACTGTATTCTAGCCTGAGCCTGACCCTTTTGTGGCATTGCAACTCTTAAGTCAACATGCGTCTTTTATTGGCATACTTAGTCCTTCTGAGCTACTGTAAAGCAGCTAGATCTAGATTCATCCTGAAGAATTACAAGGTACATTGTGTTAGATATTGTTTAAACTAATACTTCATTGACTTCATTGCTCAAACAGACTTTTGATTTTTTTTTTTTTTTTTTTTTTTTTTTTTTTTGTGATAGAGTCTCATTCTGTCCCCCAGGCTGGAGTGCAGTGGTGTGATCTTGACTCAATGCAACCTCTGCCTCCCAGGTTTAAGTGATTTTCCTGCTTCAGTCTCCCAGGTAGCTGAGGCTACAGGCACACCACCACACCCAGCTAATTTTTGTATATTTATCAGAGATAGGATTTTGCCATGTTTGCCAGGCTGGACTCGAACTCCTGATCTCAGGTGATCCATCCAGCTTGGCCTCCCAAAGTGCTGAGATTACAGGCATGAGCCACCATGGCCGGCGGACTTTTGAGTTTTAATCAGAATTTTTTCCTTTTCTTACACATGAACATAATCTCTAAGTTCTCAATTCTATGATTTTCATTTCTGATTTGCTTTTCTCCTGCACCAAAATACCTTTGCATTAATATTGACACCAGTGATTGTCATATAAGATGGTGAATTGGAGGCAGTGTTAGCATGCCACCCACACTTGGAAAAACAAAATAGTAAATAGAGATTCACACTGTAAACTTTTTTCCAAGAAGCAATGTAGGAACTTAACACAAAAAAGGAAAGATACCACAAACCATTTGAAAGAAGCATCAACCTGCAGCCTACATCACAGCCTGGTGAAAACCTGTAAGTCCTCAGAATGTGAGAGGGAGAGAGACTACCTCCAGAATATGCACCCCATTTGGAGAACTTGGCAATTTAGCCCACAGGGGAAGGCCTTAACCCTACCCAGCACTGGAACTGAAACAGGGAAAAATGGGTAATATAAAAGTAGCAGCAGTGGGAAGAGCCCAGCATGCATTTCCAGTCTCCAGCACAGACTGAGGAAGCCATTCCTGATTCTTTGTCATAGGGGACCTCACTGAATTCTGCCAGCTAACTCAGCCAGCAGTTGCATGTTGAAAAAGCTCCCAACTGAAATTCACAATATAAGCTTGGGGGATGACAAACTCCTTTGGCCAGAACAGGGAGGTAAGTGGGAAGTGTGCTGCAGCCATGAGTGCAGGAGCTGGGCACCCTGGCTTTGGGGATGGACAGGGAGGAGCATGGCCTGAAAGCTGTGCTTCTTGTCTCCAAAAGGAAGGCTTATGGTCTGGGGCAGTTTTGACTTCTGTGTTTAGACATGCAATTTAACTAGCTACTGCTAGCAAACACTGTGGGTGAGAGAAATGCCTTGCCAAGCGTGTGGGAGCTGGGTGAGGCCTACTGTCACTTTATATTTCCCACTCCCTGCAAAACTCTATTGCGGAGGAGGCAGCTATGATCATTTTTGGAACATTACCCAATGGCCAGATAACTGCCTCCCAATGCCCCCAGAGCCCTCTGATTGCCCTGTACGTAAAAAGCCAGAACATAAACTTGTCTCATTTAGCCCCCACCTGTTTTTGCCCTTCCATGTGTCCTGGTAGCTTAACACAAAAGACAGAAACCTTGAGGAACCCTATGGCTCTGCTCATCACCTAATAAACCAGAATACCTCCCCTGGGTAACATAATGCAAGTACAAATCCACCTGCTTCCACCTCAGCTGGTGCTCTTTTATAAGTGCCACCTCCTGGCTAGAGGCCACCTGACAGACAATTACAGCATCTCAAGAAGTAGAATAACAATGCACCCATGAAGTACAAAACTTGTGTGTGAGCTCAGTCATCATCATTGCCTGCAACACCCTGGCTAACCAGGAGGTTCTGCGTCTGTACACATGACCAGTTCACTACTGCTACAACTGGTATTTGAGAAAGCCAACACACTAAGGCTATTAAAACCAAGAAATCTCACAGAGTCTACATTACTCCCTTGCCACATCTATCAGAGCATGTGCTGGTATGTGCTACTGGGAGACTTGAGGACCGGTCACATTACTGGATCCCACTGGGCAGCCTGACCCAGAGGAGCAGCAATATTTGCGGTTGTCTGGCTTACAGGGACTCCTACTCCCAAGAGAAGGGGAAGTACACCACATTAAGGGAACACCTCATGGGACAAAAGAATCTGGACTGCAGGCCTAAGTCCCAGATTTTTCCACTGGTGGGAAGTTTCTTTAAGCAAGGCACAACTGCAGTGCTGAGTTCAACAGAGAAAATGTGTAGCTCTACCAACAGGCAAGCAGCTCTGGTGCTCATGAAGGTTCTTCAAGAAGACTTGTTTTCACTTTTGTCCATCACTGCAGAAACAACTGGGGCATCTCCCATGGGAGCTTAGCATGGCAGCACATATAGACGGCCTTTCTGAAACACTTCAGGGTGATTGAATCCCCAAAAAAAGGAACGCCCTCCAGATACTGGCTTGCATGAGGGGTAGAGTCACAGTTCCTCCCTACTTGAACATCAACTTTCCTGCAGATATAAAAAGGTGCCTGCCTGGTCTTAGTAGGCAGAACACTGGGTCAGGAGTATGTCTGGGAAGTGGATAGATTTCCTACTGGCCTGGCAGGGGAGCTGAGGTAGCTCCTACCCTTCCTTCTGATAAGGCCTTAGTGAATTTCACTGAGAGCATCCCTGACTGCCTCTGTCAAGGCTGGGACTTTAGCCCCCCATTGCGTATTGAATTCACCCAACTACTTTAGTCACAAGTAGTTTCCACTCAGGGACACCTCCCCTACTGGCCTGAAGCCTGAACTATTTAACCTAGTAGATAAAATATTGGGGAAAAATAAATTAAAAAGAGCATACCATGGGGTGGTGAGGTAAGCTTCAAGAGACCTCTGCCTTTCCAACCCCATAGGAGACAGCAGACTTGCTGGCACACTCAACACACATTGCTGCTACAATCATTATCTAAGAAAGCCATTAAAAAAAAACTGTAACAAAGGAACTCACACAATCTTTATCACTAAAGCACCAAGACCTGAATTAGGCTGCAGTAAACTGTAAACATTAAAGTCACATTCTTAAAGAGGAAAAAAAAATTAAAAAAACATAGTCAAAAAAACAAATTTAATAATAATTGAAAGAAATGGCCTGCCCAAATGAGAGGAAAAAAAATAATTCTTGTTATATAACAAAATAGGCTTCTACCGTATCCCCAAAAGATCACATTAGCTCTATGGCAATAAATCCAAACCAAAATGAAATCTTTGAAATACCACATGAAGATTTCAAAAGGTTTGTTATTAAGCTACTCAAGGAGATACCAGAGAAAGATGAAAACCAGCATAAATAAACAATTCAGGATATGAATATGTTTTCTAAAAAGACAGATTAAAAAAATCAGAAGTTCTGAAAATAAAAGGCACATTTAGGAAATTACAAAATGCAGTGGAAAGGTTTAAAAATAGGCTAGAAAATGTAGAAGAAAAAATTTCAAAGCTCAAAGGCAAGGTTTTCAAATTAACCCAATAAAAACAAAAAGAAATTAACAAAGATTCCAAGCAATGTGAGATCGTGTTAGCCAAACCTAAGACTATTTGGTTTTCTCAAGGGAGAAGAGAAAGCCAAAAAGTTAAAAAAAAAAAAAAAAAACTTATTTGAGGGAATAACTGAGTAAAATTTCTTGGGTCTTGCTAGATATTTAGATACTGAAATATGAGAGGCCCAAAGAACTCCTGGTAAATTCATCACACACACCAAAAAAATTTCCACCAAGGCATATAGCCATTTGGCTATCTAAAGTCAACATTAAGGAAATAATTCTGAAAGCAATGAGACAAAAGTATCAGTCTTATAGGAAAACCTATCAGACTAATAGTAGACTTCTTATTAGTAACCTTGTAAACTAGAAAAGGTTGGGGTCCTGTCTTCAGCTTCCTTAAACAGGATAACTGCCAACCAAGAATTTTGTGTCCAGCAAAAGCAAGTTATATAAATGAAGGAGAAATAGTCATTTTCAGACAAACAAATGCTGAGGGAATTTGTTCCTACCAGACCAACTCTACAAGAAATGCTAAAAGAAATCCTAAATTTAAATTATGCTAAATTTTAAAATTATTTAAAATTTAAATTATGCTAAAATAAATTCTAAATTAATTCTAAACAAAAGGTTGATATACACTAGAATAGAATCTCTTGAAAGCATAAAACAATAACACAATGTAGAAAACAAAGTATCTAAGTAACAATTAATGTAACTAAACCTCATAGCTCAATATTACATTTGAAAGTAAATGGCCTAAATGCCCCACTTAAGACATACATATTGGCAGAATGAATAAAGAATCACAAACCAAATCTCCACTCCTAAGCATAATAATTTGTGTAAACTCAAGTTAAAGGGGTGAAAAAGATATTCCATGCAAATAGAAACCAAAATTGAGCAGGAGTAGTGATATGGTTTGGATGTTTGTCTCCTCCTAAATCTCATGTTAAATTGTAATTCCTAATGTTGGAAGAGTGAACCTGTGGGAGGTGATTGAATCTCGAGGGCAGATTTTTCCCATGATGTTCTCATAATAGTGAGTGAATTCACATGAGATCTGATGGTTTAAAAGTGTGCAGCACTTTCCACCTTGCTCTCACTCTCTCTCCTGCCTCCATGGTAAGACGCACTTGCTCCCCCTTTGCCTTCTGACATGACTGTAAGGTTCCTGAGGCCTCCCAGTTATGTTTCCTGTTAAGCCTGCAGAACTGTGAGTCAATTAAGCCTCTTTTTCTTCATAAATTACCCATTCTCAAATAGTTCTTTATAGGAGTGTGAGAATGGACTAAAACAGAAAACTGATACTGGGCAGCACTGCTATAAAGGTACCTGAAAATGTGAAAGTGAATTTGGAACTGGGTAGTGGGCAGAGGCTGGAAGAGTTTGAAGGGCTCAGAAGAAGATAGAGCTGTGAGAGAAAGTTTGGAACTTCCTAGGACTTGTTGAATGATTGTGACCAAAATGCTAACAGTGATATGGACAGTGATGTCCAAGCTGAGGAGGTCTCAGATGGAGATGAGGAACGTATTGGGACCTGGAGTAAAAGGTCATTTTTGTTAGTGACCTCTGCTTTAGCAAAGAGACTGGTGGCATTTTTCCCATGTGCTAGAGATCTGGGGAACTTTGAACAAGAGAGATAATAAAGATTCTCTGGCAGAAAAATATTCTAAGCAGCAGAGTTCAAGAGCTGACCTGGCTTTTTCTGAAAGCATTCAGTCATATGTATGAACAAAGAGATGCTCTTAAATTGGAACTTATATTTAAAAGGGAAGCAGAGAAAAGAATAAAAGTTTGGGAAATTTGTAGCCCAGCCATGTGGTAGAAAAAAAAAAATTCTGGAAATAAATTTAAGCCTGCTGCAGAAAATTGCATAAGCAAAGAGGAGTTGAATGTTAATAGCCAAGACAATAAGGAAAATGTCTCCAGGGCATTTTAGAGAACTTCACAGAAGCCCCTCCCATCATAGGCTGGAAGTTTAGGAGGGAAGAGGGAAAAATGGTTTTGTGGACCAGGCCCAAGGCATTCCTGCTCTGTACACCGTAAGAACATGGCACCCTGCATCCCAGTCACTTCAGCTCCAGTCCTGGCTAAAAGGGGCCAAGGTGCAGCTCTGGTCATGGCTTCAGAGGGTGCAAGCTTCAAGCCTTGGCAGCTTCAGTGTGATATTGAGCCTTTGGGTGCACAGGAGGCAAGAGCTGAGGTTTGGGAACCTCCACCTGACTTCAAAGGATGTATGGAGATGCCTGGATGTCCAGGCAGAAGCCTGCTGCAAGTGCAGAGCCCTCGTGAAAATCCTCTACTATGGTAGTCTGAAGGGGAAATGTGGCATTGGAGTGCACAAGCAGAGTCCCCACTGGGGCACTGCCTAGTGGAGCTGTGAGAAAAGGGCCACCATCCTCCAGACCCCAAAATGGTAAATCCACTGACAGCTTGTTCTGTGCACCTGAAAATGCTGTAGGCACTCAATGTCAGCCTGTGAACACAGCCATAGGGGCTCTACCCTGCAGAACAGAAGGGTTAGAGCTTCCAAAGGCCTTGGGAGCCTATCTTTTGAATCAGCATGTGCTGGATATGAGATATGGAGTAAAAAGGGATTATTTTGGAGTGGTAAGATTTAAAAACTGCCCTGCTGAGTGTCAGACTTGCATGAGGCCTGTAGCCCCTTTGTTTCAGCTGATTTCTCCCATTTGGAATGGGAGTATTTACCCAATGCATGTAACCCCATTGTATCTTGAAAGTAACTAACTTGTTTTTTATTTTACAGGCTCTTAGGTGGAAGGGACTTTCCTTGTCTCAGATGAGTTTTGGACTTGGGTTTTCTGGTTAATGCCAGAATGAGTTAAGACCTTGGAGTGCTGTTGAGAAGGCATGATTGTGCTTTGAAGTGTGAGGAAAACATAATATTTTGATGGGGCCAGGTGCAGAATGATATGGTTTGGCTCTGTGTCTTCACCCAAATCTTATGTTGAATTATAACTCTCAATGTTGGAGGAGGAAACTGGTGGGAGGTGATTGGATCATGGGAGCAGATATTCCCCATGCTCTTCTCATGATAGTGAATGAGTTCTCATGAGACCTGATGGTTTAAAACTGTGTAGCACTTCTCTCTTCGTTTTCTCACCCTCTTCTCTCACCAGAGTAAGATGTGCTTGCTTCCCCTTTGCCTTCCAACATGATTGTAAGTTTCCCAAGACCTCCCAGTCATGCTTCCTGTTAAGCCTGTGAAACTGTATTTCAATTACTCCTCTTTTCTTCATAAATTACCCAGTCTTAAGTAGGTTTTACAGCAGTGTGAGAAAAAAAAACTAATATAAATAGCTATTCTTACATCAGATAAAACAGAATTTAAAGCAACAACAGAAAACAAAAAATCAGTATGTATGATAAAAGGATCAATCTAACAAGAAGATGTTACAAACATAAATTTATGTGCACCTAACACAGGAGTGCCAAGATTCATAAAACATTTACTACTGAATCTAAGAAATGAGACAGGCAGCAACACAATAATAGTGGTGGACTTCACCACTCTACTGACAGCTCTAGACAGATCATCGAGACAGAAAGTCAACAAAGAAATAATGGACTTGAACTACACTCTGTAATAATGAACAAAACAGATATTTACAGAACATTCTACCCCAAAACTGCAGAATATACATTTTTCTCATCAACTCATGAAAGTTTCTCCAAGGCAGACCATATGATCAGTCAAAAAAAGTCTCAATAAGTTTAAAAATATCAAAATTATATAAAGTTTCTTTGCAGACCACAGTGGAATAAAACTAGAAATCTTCTACAAAAGGAACCTTCAAAACTGTACAAATAAATGGAAGGTAAACAATCCTCCTCAATAATTTTTGTGTTAACTATGAAATCAAGATGAAAATTTAATAAACTATTGGAAATAAATGATAATAATAACACAAGTAATCAAACTCTGGGATACAGCAAAAGCAGTGCAAAGAGAAAAGTTTGTAGCACTAAATGCCAACCTCAAAAAGTCTGGAAAACAACAAATTGACAACTGAATGTCACACCTCAAGGAACTAGAGAAACAATAAGAAACTAAACCCAAAGTTAACAGCAGAAAATAAATAGCAAAAATCAGAGCACAAAAAAAATGAAATTGAAAGAAACAAACCAAAAAAAAAAAAAAAACACCAAAAAAACAAAAGAGCAATTGATATGGTTTGGCTTTGTGTCCCCACCCAAATCTCACCTTGAATTTTAATAATACCCATGTGTCAAGTGCAGGACCAGGTGGAGATAATTGAATCCTGGGGATAGTTTCACCCATGCTGTTCTCATAATAATGAGTGAGTCTCACAACTTCTGTGATTTTATAAACATCTAGCATTTTCCCTGCTTGCGCTTACTTCTTTCTCCTGCTATCCTGTGAAGAGGTGTCTTCTGCCATGACTGTAAGTTTCCTGAGGCCTCCCCAGCCATGTGGAACTGTGAGTAAATTAAACCTCTTTTCTTTATAAATTACCCAGTCTCAAGTATTTTTTTCGTAGTAGTGTGAGAACAGACTAATAAAACAATGAAACAAAAAATGGCTTCCTTGAAAAGAATCAAAATTGATAGACCATTAGCTAGATTAGCCAAGAATAGAAGAGACACAATTCAAATAAATTCAGTTAGAAATGAAACTGGAAACATTATAACTGACACCACAGAAAGACAAAATATCATTTGAAACTACTATGAACACCTCTATGCACATAAAGTAGAAAATCTAGAGGAAATGAATAAATTCCTGGAAACATAACCTTCATTGATTAAATCAGGAAGAAATAGAAACACTGAACTGACCAATTACAAGGATTGAGACTGAATCAGTAATTAGAAAATTGCCAATAACAACAACAAAAAAGCCAAGGGCCAGATGGATTCACAGCTGAACTCTACCAGACATTCAAAGAAGAATTGGTGCCAATCTTACTGAAACTATTTTCAAAAATTAAAAAAGAGGGAATTCCCTCCATGTTATTTTATGAACTTGTATCACCCTGATACAAAAATCAGGAAAGAACATGTAACAATAAAGGAAAACTACAAACCAATATTCCCGATGACTGTAGATGCAAAATTCTCAACAAAATATTAGCTAACCAATCCAACAGCACATCAAAAAAACAATACAAAAGGATCAAGTGGGTTTCATCCCAGGAATGCAGGGTTGGTTTAACATATGCAAGTCAAGATACGTGATACATCACATAAACAAAATTAAAAGCAAAAACCATGTGATCATTTTGATAGATACAGAAATAGCATTTGAGAAAGGCAGCGTCCCTTTATCATGAGAATTCAATAAACTAGGAATAGAAGGGACTTCCCTCAAAATAATAAAGGCTGTATATGACAAACTCATAGCCAACATCATACTGAATGGAGAAACATTGAAAGCATTCCCTCTGAGAATTGAAATAAGACAAGATGAAACTGTCACCACTTGTATTCAACATAGTACTGGAAATCCTAGCCAGAACAATCAGGCAAGATAAAGAAATAAAGGGCATAAAATTAGAAAAAATAAAATTAAACCATTGCTTTTCATTGATAATATAATTGTTATATTAGTCAGGATTCTCTAGAGGGACAGAACTAATTTTATATATATATATATGTACACACACACATATATATATGAATATGCCAACACTGTTGGCTTCCCTACTTTTGAGGTTGAGGTTTTGGAACTCTGACTAGCTTTCTTGCTCCTCAGCTTGCAGACAGCCTGCTGTGGGACTTCACCTTGTGATCGTGTGTGTCAATACTCCTTAATGAACTCCTAAAAATATATGAGTTTATATATTACATATATTTTATATTATATTATATATAAACTCATATTTATGTATGTATATGTATATAGGAGTTTATATATGATGGATGACTGATTGGAAAGGGGAGCAAGGGATTTTTTCAGAGATGACGAAAATTTCTAGTATCTATTTTGTATAATGGCTACACATTTGTCAAAACTCATCAAACTGAACACTTAAGATCTGTACACTTTACTGTATGTATATGAGTATATATATATATATATATATATACATATAGTAGTTTATTAAGGAGTATTGACTCATACGCTCACAAGATGAAATCCCACAATAGGCTGTCTGCAAGCTGAGGAGCAAGGAAGCTAGTCAGAGTCCCAAAATCTCAAAAGTAGGGAAAGCAACAGTACAGCCTTCAGTCTGTGGTCAAAGGTCCAAGGTCAAAGGTCCAAGAGTCCCAAAGCTGAAGAACATGGAGCCCAATGTTAGAAGGCAGGAAGCATCCAGCACAGAATAAAGATGTAGGCCAAAAGACTAAGCCAGTTTAGTTTTTCCACGTTGTTCTGCCTGCTTTTATTCTGGCCAAGCTGGCCAGTCAAGCTGGCAGCTGATTAGTTGTGCCCACCCAGATTGAGATTGAGTCACTTTTCCCAGTCCACTGATTCAAATGTGAATCTCCTTTGGCAACACCTTCACAGACATGTCCAGGAACAATACTTTGCATCTTTCAATCCAATTAAGTTGATACTCAATATTAACCATCTCAACTGTATAACAAATAAATTGTAGAAAACCCTAGAGATACCCCCGAAAGACTCCTAGATTTAAAAAACAAATTCAGTAATGCCTCAGGTTATAAAATCAATGCACACAAATCAGTAACACTGCTATACACCAAAAACAACCTAGCTGAGAAATAAATTAAAAACTCTATTCATTTTCCAGTAGCAGCAAATAAATAAATACAACACTTAGGAATATACTTATAAACCAACCAAAATACCTACAACCAACTGATCTTTGACCAAACATACAAAAACATAAACTGGGCGAAGGAAACCCTATTTAATAAATTGTGCTTGGAAATCTGTCTAGCCACATGTAGAAAAATAAAACTGGATTTCTATCTCTCACCTTATAAGAAAATCAACTCAAGATGCATCAAAATCTTAAATCTAAGATCTGAAACTGTAAAATCCCTAGAAGATAACCTAGGAAAAACTCTTCTGGACATTAGCCTAGGCAAATAATTCATGACTAAACCCCCAAGAAGCAAATGCAACAAAAACAAAAATGAATAAAAGGGACTTAATTAAACTGAAACTCCTCTGTACAACAAAAGAAGTAATCATCAGAGTAAGCAGACAATGCACAGAATGGGAGAAAATATTTGCCAACTTTGCAGGTGACAAAGGACTAACATCGAGAATCTACCAGGAACTAAAATCAGCAAGAAACAAAAAATAAAAAACAACAAAAAATCCCATCAAAAGTGAGAAAATGACATGAATAGACATTTCCCAAAAGAATATATACAAATGACCAATAAACATGAAAAAATGCCCAACATCAGTAATCATCAAGGAACTGCGAACTAAAACCACAATCTACCTTACCCTGAAAGAATGATCATTATTAAAAAGTCAAAAAATAATAAATGTTAATATGGATATGGTAAAAAAGAAATGCTTATATACTGCTGGTTGGAATAAGAATTAGTACAACTTGTATGGAAAAAAAGTACAGAAATTTCTTAAAGAACTACAGGTAAATCTACCATTTGATCCAGCAATCCCATTATTGGGTACTTATCCAAAGCAAAATAAGATGCCATTATATCAAAAAGATGCCTGAACGTGTAGGATTATTGCAGCACAATTCACAACTGCAAAAACTATGGAACCAACCTAAGTGCCCATTGACCAATGAATAAATAAAGAAAATGTGGTATACATACACCATGGAATACTACTCAGCCATAAAAAAGAATGAAATTATGTCTTTTTCAGCAACTTGGGCAGAGCTGGAGGCCATTATTCTAAGTAAAGTAACTCAGGAATGAAAATCAAATGCTGTATGATCTCACTCATAAATGGGAGCTAAGTTAAGTGTACACAAAGGCAAAAGGGACTATGGAGACACAGACGGGAAAGGGTAGAAGGGAGAGAAAGGGACAAAAATATATATATTGGGTGCAAATTACACTACTTGGTGACAGGTGCTCTAAAATCTCAGACTTCACCACTATACAATTCATCCATGTAACCAAAAACCACTTGTACCCCAAAAGCTACTGAAAAAAATATTTAAAAAGAGAGAATGGTGCATAAAAATATAATGATGGCTGAAAATGTTTCAAATTTTTGTAAAAGACATAAGTTTCCAGATCTTAGAAGTTCAGTGAATTCCAAGCAGAGAAAAAAATACAATGAAAATCATACTAGGGTACATCATAGTTAAACTCTTAGAAACCAAATATGAAGAAAAACTCTGGAAAGCAGCCAGAGAAAAATTGCATGCTACAAGCAAGGGAAGAATGATTTGAAGCATCACTGACTTCTCATCAGAAACTATGAAGGCCAGAAGTCCCTGGAATAATATCTTTAAAGTGCTTGATAAAAGCCAGTCAATCCAGAATGCTATGTTCAGTGAATATATCCTTCAATGATGAAGACAAACTAAAGGCATTTTTAGATTTAAAAAAAAAGAAAAGAAAAACCCTAAGGGAATTCACTGCCAGCAGATCTGTGCTACAAAGAATGCTAAAGGAAGTTGTTCTTCAGCATGGAAACACAGATCTTCAGGAAAGAATAAAAAACACTGGAAATAATACATAGTGTGGATAAACATAAAATACTATTTTTCTAATAATTTCTTTGGAATGCATATAATTATTTAAAGCAAAGATCATTACATTGTATTGTGTGGTTTATAGTATATACAGATAAAATACATTTGATTCTACAGCAAAAGGATGAAGGAGGTAGTTAATGTACTTATTCTTACTTTTTTTTTTTTTTCTTGAGACGGAGTCTCGCTCTGTTGCCCAGGCTGGAGTGCAGTGGCGTGATCTCCACATACTGCAAGCTCTGCCTCCCGAGTAGCTGGGACTACAGGCGCCCGCCACCACACCCAGCTAATTTTATTTTATTTTATAATTTTTTTTTTATTTTTAGTAGAGACGGGATTTCACCTTGTTAGCCAGGATGGTCTTGATCTCCTGACCTCGTGATCCAACCGCCTCAGCCTCCCAAAGTGCTAGGATCTTACATTTTATGTGAAATAGTACAAAGTTAACAAAGTACACTACGTCAACTGTGGAAATATAAGGATGTATAATTCTAGAGTGACCATTAAAAACATAATGCAAAGTCACAGATTAAAAAGCTCATCTATGTTTTAAGATGTAATTGTAAAAAATCCCAGAAAAATCCAACTTCATGCAATGACGTGGACGAATGTCAAGACATGCTGAGCAAACACAATAGTAAAACACTCCATGATTCTACTCACATGATATTCTACAACGGACGAACTAACAAACTGGATCTTCGGAAAGAAGAAACTGTTGGCTTTTTAGGCGGGACAGCAGAGCGACATGATGGATGACTAATTGGAAAGGGGAGCAAGGGATTTTTTTGGAGGAGATGAAAATTTACAGTATCTATTTTGTATAATGGCTACACATTTGTCAAAACTCATCAGATTGAACACTTAAGATCTGTACACTTTACTTTATGTAACTACACCTCAATTAAAAATTAAGTTGAAAATATATTGACACCAGGCAGGCCTGATGAAAATGTAAGATTGCTAAGTGAGTTAATGAGAGACTGCCCTAGTTAAATAAATAATTTGTAATAAAATATTAATCTAATCTATAACCTATGATCAGGCAAAAGCAAATCATTTGTTGTTAAAACAGCCAGTCTCCTGCACTTTAAAAAAATGCCTGTTTCGATGCTATTCTTCCTGCTTGAGGAACTCTCTCTCCCTAGCATACTTCACTTCTGCCAAAATCCTACTCATCTTGAGGTCCTGTATCAGTGGGTATATATTCCAAGCAACTTTCTCTTTTTTCTTAACCTTTAACCTTATAGGACAGTGTGGTTCCCTTATTCTAATTATATGCTGTATTTTAAAAATTTCATATATATTATTTCTTCTAAGATTAATTTTTCACTAATATCTTTCTCAAGTAGTTCCATAGTATTGGCAATTTCTGTGTGTGTGTGTGTGTGTGTGTGTGTGTGTGTGTGTGTGTGTGTGTTTTGAGACGGATTCTCACTCTGTTGCCCAGGCTGGAGTGCAGTGGCGCAATCTTGGCTCACTGCAAGCTCCACCTCCTGGGTTCACGCCATTCTCTTGCCTCAGTCTCCCGAGTAGCTGGGACTACAGGCGTGCACCACCACGCCCAGATAATTTTTGTCTTTTTAGTAGAGACGGGGTTTCACTATGTTGTCCAGGATTGTCTTGATCTCTTGACCTCGTGATCCACCCGCCTCAGCCTCCCAAAGACCTGGGATTACAGGCCTGAGCCACTGCGCCTGGCTGGCAATTTCTGTTTTAAAAGCAGCAGTCATTACTGCCAGTCTTCCATCATGCCTCATCAATAAGCATTTCTCTCCTGGCATTTTTATCTAGGTTAATGGGATTATTAAAAAACAGCTGACTCTAGCAAGAAACCACTGAAGACGCGGTTCTTGACTCTCCTGCTTCCTCACATTCCTGGACATTTCTTTTTACCTACATTGGTTTATACTCCTCTTTCAATATAGCAAGTTCCTCCCTAGACTGTAAATTCTCTCTAAACAAAAGGTTATGTTTGTTCATACCTATATAGCCAATGCGACACAATGCTGACTCATAAATTATTAGTTCATTTTAAAAGTTATCTTATTTTTTTTTTTATTTTCTGTCTACTAACTTGGTCTCTCTAACGTATCCAAAACACATAAGTTTATTTTTGCTTTGGTGCTTTTGCAATTTTTGGTTCCCTCTGCCTAGAACGTTTCATCACAGGAAAAATATTCAAACAGCTCCCTCACTTATTTCTTGTTTCCTCCACAATGTGACATTTTAAAATATGTTCCTGAGAATGGGGTGTGAGGTGCTGGTGTGGATATATTCCAGGTAGTAAGTAAGCTCTGTAATGCTTGGGACTTCGTTTATTTTTCAACACTGTAACTCCAAGTTTTAAAAATGCAGCCGGGCAAGGGTCTCATGCCTGTAATCGCAGCACTTTGGGAGGCCGGGGCAGGCGGATCACCTGAGGTCAGGAGTTCCAGACCAGCCTGGCACATGGCGAAACCCCGCCTCTACTAAAAATACAAAAATTAGCCAGGCCTGGTGGCAGGCGCCTATAATCCCAGCTACTCTGGAGTCTGAGGCAGCAGAATTGCTTGAACTCAGAAGGCTGAGGCAGGAGAATTGTTTGAACTCAGGAGGCTGCAGTAAGCTGAGATCATGGCACTGCATTCAAGCCTAGGCGACAAAGCAAGACTCTGTCTCAAATAAATAAATAGAATTTTAAAATAAAATAAAATACACATGGTATAATGTAGGTGCTCAATTAATTTCTTAAATGAATAAATGATCTTTTAAATAATTAGCTGATTAATTAAGAATTCCCCATTCAATTACTTCAGTATCTCAGGCACCTTTTAATTCTTCCTTATGTTTTATGAGGAATAATAGAAAAGGCTCCTAATTTGTATATCCGTGAGCCAAATTCTGCTGCTTAATGCAATTTTTGCAGTCCACATCATCTTCCATAGGGTTGGAAGTTTGATTTTTATAAATATTAAATCAAATTATAATAATCTTCTATTTTAACATTTTTTTAAGTTTTCTAACATCAATGAGATCATCCAGGTATTTTTTTGGGGGGAATAGATTGTCCTTCAAAACATATTCTCAGCCTCATTCTCCAGCTATGATAATCACATGAATATTCTATGACAAAGCCCCATTGGACGTCTTGCTATCCTGAATATATGGTTTTATTTATGCTTAGGAACTTTCCCACCAGTTGCGATTTATATCTGGAAGCACCATTATCTTCTTGCTATAGATTTTCTTATATCTATAATGTAATTTCCTTGATTCTGTGATGGTATGTCAAATACAATGCAGATACTAATTAAGAGTACAGTTGCATCATACATTTAAGCAAAACTTAAGGCCATAAGAGGGTATCAGAGGCCTTAGTATTCAAGATTAGAAAGGATCATAAATGCAGAAATTAGAAAGTTTAAACAATGGCAACATAATTTTAAAATAAGCTGATACCAAAGTAATGATGTTTTTAAAATTCTTGTTTTTATTTTTATTTGTTTTTAGTAGCTCTGAATGTCTCATGGTTCATAAGGATAGTCAAAAAATCAATTTTATCCAGAAATAAAGCCAAAGTTTGTTTTATATACCTTGATATTTATTGAATACATAATAGTTTAAAGTTTTCATAGAAATCCTTACAGGGATATTTAAATCACATAAAATAACTTTTAATTAAGTAACAAAATATTTATTATATCTTAAGCAAAATTGGAGAGAGATTTTCAATTGAAAAATAATGATTGCCATAGACTGGAGTTCTAATGATCAATTTACATCCAAATTATGCATAGTTTGTATTCTTTTTATTAAAAGTTCTATAAAAAGTCAGCATGTATATGAAAGAGAAAATAGAACCTTACTATTGCAAAAAATATCAGTTTAGTGGCCTTAATCTGCCATCTTGTGGTATAATAGCTTCATCTCACATTTTACACATATTCTCTGGGCATTTCAAAGTATTTTCTTGAATATATAGAGTAAGTGTAAAGGTTGGCTTTATTTTTCTACATTTGATTTTTAAAAATACTTGAATATATCAATTTTATTGTTTCTCTATGCACACATTTACTTGCTACTGAAGATGGAAAAAAAATAACACACGGAAGTCTTCTTTTACTGCAATTCAAATTTTTGAAAGCCAGAAAATCAAATTATTATGCTCTTGCCAAACTACCCAATGTTTTCTTTCCCCAAGTTACTTTGTTACAGATTCTTGACCTTGGGTTACATCTCACTGACTTCAGGCTTCTAAGACACATGGGAACACTTAGGACCTATTGATGCTTCTTTGGTCAAATCAAACAGTAGAGCTAAAGTATATTGAAGTTATTCAAATACATTCAAACTATACAGATCCCTTATAAATTACTGGTATCATGGTAGAAAGGAAAAGATATATGAAGAAAAATACGTAACAGAACTCATTATCAAAATTATTGTTATACAGTCTGTAATAGTATAGAGTAGCTTTCTCAACTGCTGAATAATATTACCAGCAAGAATAAAAAGTACAAGAATAAAATTGATGGCTGAATCTGCTCAGTGTCATAATTCCCTATTCTAGCATTCTCAGAAGGATCCCTCCTAGTGCATGCAGAAAGTGCAGCCAGATCTGAATGGTTCCCTTCTCAATTCAATCTGAACTCTTTTAAGCCCCGTGTCTGTTAGCTCTCTTTGAAGCTGAGAAAATCTGTTTACTAACAGGTATCTCAATGTTACCACCCTTTCTTTCTGCACAGATAACTGTGTTCTTACTCCTTTCCCCCTGTAAGGCCAGCCATCTCTGATACCCTGGAAAATCATTTCTATTCTACCGTGTTGTTGAGGTAAACCTTCTAACAGATGAAGACAAGTTGGGAATTTGGTACCAGAATTGACAGTCAAGTTACTAAGGTTCTTTATCGACATCTTGGAGCAGAAGTTATGAGAGGCCTCTGAATCATCCTGAGAATTTTCTTCAGTAAGCATTCATAAAAATTCTGGGATCAAGGGTGGGTTAAGCTTTTGTGATGGTTTCATAGGTGGTCTACTCACAGCGCTAAGCTTCTTCTGGATCTTTGGATCCCAACACAAAGTGATACTAGACCCTCAAATTGCTACAGGGTAGTCTGGAAAGAACTGTATAGCCCAGAAATAACTTGAAAACCCAAAGTGTAACAAATGTTGGTGAAAGAATCAAACTGATTTTTTTTAAACATAACTTCTTTGGGGGTGAATTTTTTTAAAGACCATCATGTAGATTCCTTTGTCTTGATAATGATGTTTGTTACAATGCTGTTGGCCCAGTTGCTCTTTGATTGGTATTTGGGAGTTAAATATAAAAGTAAATACAAAATAATTCTTAGATGGAAAAATCACATTAAAAGCATTCTGGGAAATAAGAGTTAATATCACATGGCCAGGAGTTAAAGTATGTTTTTATGTTTTCTTTAAAATTGTAAATGCACATTTTTACCACTAAGACATACTAATTGTTACTTCAATAAGCCCCAACAGAAAAAAAACAACTGTTTCATATTTTATATGGGAATAAATGTATTTTGGCTTCAAATCATGCCCTCAATAATCTAAAATATAGAAATCTGAAGTAAATCAACATTTCACTGTGATCAAAAAGTTTAGCCTTTAAGTAATTATTGCAAAAAAACAAATTTACTCATTTATTTTACCTTTATTTGTTAATCTCTTATTATAAACATTAGCTAAGAATGCAATTACAGAGTGAACATAAACAGCTCTTTTATAATTTTAAAGTTCTGCTGAAATATGTTAGGAATAATATAATCATATGAGCAAATAAAGATCCATACGTCATTTCTAGGAAGAAGGACTGATTGAATATTTTTTAAATGCCCACTTTGGGGAGTGGCACCAGGGAAATAGTGGAGTGGGAAGCTCTGAATTCCTGTGTTTCATCAGAAATATAATAAACATATCAGAAACATTGAGAACTCTGTCTTAAGTTTGTAAAACAGTCAAAGTCTTAGAGCAATAATTGAATGCTGAGTCAATAAAAGTCAGGTAAAAATTCCCCTGTAATGCAAGGAAATCTTAGCCAAAACAAAGTAAGCCTAGAATAATCAAAATAGCAAATCCTGGGGAAAGAGAATACCTCATTGCCAGAGTTAGTCCATTAAAATTTAGAAATGTCCAATTTTCAGCCAAAAATCATAAAGCCATACAAAGAAATCAGAAAGTATTGGACACTCAAAGGAAAAAATAATTCACAGAAGTAGGCCCTGAAGACGCACAAACATTGGACTTTCTATACAAAGACTTTAAATCAAATGTTTTAAAACTGCTCAAAGTGCTAAAGGAAATTATAGACAAGAACTAAAGGAAACCAGCAAAATAATATATGTGATAACAACATCAAAATAAAGATATAAAATATATAAAGGAACCAAATAGAATTTCTAGTGCAGACAAGAAAAGTATAATATACTTCTCTTTAGAGATGTATAATAAGTGAAACACAAACTTCGCAAGAGTGTTTCAACAGTAGAATGAGCAATCAGGAGAAATAATCAGTGAACTTAAAGATAGACAATAGTATTTATGCAGTGTGAGAAACAGAAAGAAAAACGATTTTTTTAAAAAATGAACTGATCATAAGAGACCTGTGGAACATTACACAGAAGGCCAATGTATTCATTATGGGAGTCCCAGAAGGAAGACTATGAGAAAATAAGTTGGAAAGACTATTTTAAGAAATAATGGCTGACAATTTCCCAAATTTAATGAAGGGCATAAAACTGCACATTAAAAATGTTCGGCAAATTTCAGGCAAAATATAGTCAAATCATTAAAAGCTAAACACAGAAAAAACTTAAAAACAACATGAGAAAAGTAAGATACAAAATATTTTTTATATAATTAGCAGCTGATTTATTATTGGAAACAATGGAGGACAGAGGCAGTGGGTTGATATAAAGTACTGTAAATAGTCCAGGGTTTGGGTCACAAAACTGTCAACCCAGAATTCTACATACAGCAAAATTGTCCTTCAAGTATTAAAAAAAAATAGCTAAGGGAACTTGTTACTAATAGACTTATCTTACAAGAAATGCTAAAGGAAATTCATCCAGTTGAAATAAAAGAGCCCTAGACAGTGGTTTGAAGCTGTATGAGGAAATTAAGAACATTGGTGTAGGTAACTATGTAGGTAAGTAAAAAAGCCAACCTCATTGTATTTTTGTTTGTAACTCTTCATAGTTTTCCTATATGATTTAAAAGACACATGCATAAAATGATAACTGTAAATATATATAATACACATACAATTCAAAAAGAGGTAATTTTTATAAGATTGTTAAGAGAGTGGCAGAATGTATGAAAAAGAAAACATTATTCATTTATATGCTGTGTATGAAAGAATCACTTTAGATGCAAAGACACAACGAAATTTAAAGTAAAATAATGAAAAAATATATTCTATATTAACAATTATCACAAAAGACTTGGAATGACTATATTCATATCAGATAAAATAGATTTCCAATAAAAAATGTTTCCAAAAGAAAAAACTACATTATATATTGTTGAAAGTTTCACTATAAAATAATTTTAAAGGTATACATACCAAACAATAGAGGCAAAATATATAAAGCAAAAATTGAAAGAATTAAAAAGGAAAATATGTAATTCTACAATAGTAGTTGGAGACTTCAATACATGACTTTACCATTCAATGTGGAAAGTACAGTCTGTTCCGCAAAATGGTGCTGGTAAAATGGGATATTTTCATGCAAATGATTGAAGTCAATCCCTTACCTTATTCCACATTTAAAAAGTTAAGTCAAAACAGATAAAACATCTAAATTTAAGTGTCACTATTACAAACTTCTTTAAAAAATTAGGACAAATCTGCATGGTGGTGGATTTGGCAATAATTTTTAAGTATACTAAAAATATAAGCAACAAAAGATAAAATTGGCATATTTGACTTCATTAAATTAAAAAAAAAAAACTTGTGCACCAAGGACACTATAAAGAAAGTAAAAACAACCCACAGATTGGGAGAGAATATTTGTAAACTAAATATGTGACAAGAGGTTAATATTCAGAATTTGTGAATAATTTCTACAACTCAACAAGACAAAGAACCTAATCAACAAAACGGACAAAAGACTTCTATAGACATTTCTCCATATAAGATTGATTAATGGGCTGGGTGAGGTGGCTCATACCTGTAATCCCAGCGCTTTGGGAGGCTGAAGTGGACAAATCACGAGGTCAGGAGTTCGAGACCAGCCTGGCCAACATGGTGAAACCCTATCTCTACTAAAAATAAAAAAATTAGCCAGGCATGGTGGCAGGTGCCTGTAATCCCAGCTACTTGGGAGGCTGAGGCAGGAGAATCACTTGAACCTGGGAGGCAGAAGTTGCAGTGAGCCGAGACGGCACCACAGCACTCCAGCCTGGGCAACAGAGTAAGACTCCATCTCAAAAAAAAAAAAAAGAAAAAAAAAAAGATTGATTAATGGTCAATGGGCACATGAAAAAAAAATGCTCAAGAAATAGAAAATGGAAAACATGTAAACCAAAATCACACCACTTCAAAAATTCTGTGATAGCTATAATCAGGAAGATGAAAAATAACAAGCGTTAGCAAGGATGCAGAGAAATTGGAACTCTTGTACGTTGTAGGTGGAAATGTGAAATGATGTAGCTGCTGTAGAAATGTTTGGTGATTTCTCCAAAAATTAGACATAGAATTACTATATGACCAGCAATTTCCCTCCTAGTGTATATCTGAAAAAAATAAAATTAGGGACTCAAACAAATATATGCATATCAATATTTTAGCAGTATTATTCACAAAGGTAGCAATAACACAAGCATCTATGAACAGAAGAATAAATAAAAGGGGTATATATCACAATGGAATATTATTCAATCATCAGAAGGAATGAAGCATTGATATATGCTACAACATGATTGAACCTTGAAAACAATATATTAAGTGAAATCAACCAGACATAAAGAAACATATATTTTAGAAGAGTGAACATGTATATGAGATATCTAGAATAGGAAAATTCATAGAGACATAATATAGACTAGAAGTTATCAAGGGCTGGGGTTAAAGCGAATTGGGAAGTTGTTGCCTAATGAGTACAGTAGAGGGTTTGGGTTGATAACAAATTTTGGAACTAGATAGTGGTGATGGTTGTACAACATTATGAATGTAATTCGTGGCAGTAAATTGTACAAATAAAAAATATTAAAATAACAAATGTTATGCTATATGTATTTTACCACAATAAAAATATAGTTTAAAAAAGAAAATGTCTGCTTTTATGACTGATTTAATGATTATTAACATTGAGAAGAAAGGTAGGAAAACCTTGCCATTGATTTCTGTCACTCTTTTCTTTCAGTTTTTTTGCTCCCTCACTTCATAGTTTTATTCACTGTCCAATTTCCCTCAAAGTAAAAATAATGACAGTCATGACCCCAAATTGAGTCCTTATACTTTTCTAGCCACTACTTATTCTTCCTTTTTAATATTGAAGATAATTTGTTGTGTATCTACTAATAACTCCCCAATATTTACCTCTGACTTTGATCATTCTTCTAGATTCCAGATGTAAGTTTCCAGTTGATTGGTACAGAATTTAACCTTGTATTTTTATGAAAATTTCTAAATTGTCATCTCTGTTCTTTACTTTTAAATTTTCTGATGACACTCTTCGGTTAGTCAGCTAATAGTGGAACAAATAATATAACTTACATATTATCCCAAGTACTGCTAATTTTCCACCTCTTTTTGCTATATTGGCCTATGTACAAACAGAATTTTTCTAACTATAAGTTTTTCTCCATTGACTGAATAAGACTCTCACTTTACCTTTAATTCCCATTCAATCTTGAACAACACATATTTCCAACCACACCAAACTTCACATACTCTTGCTAAATATTCTCATATATTCTTTTGCTCTTCTTGTTTTGTGGCCCTCTAATAATTCAGCCTCTCCAATTTTTATTACAGTTTAATTCATGCTAAACCCCTTTTATAAATTTAAAATTCTCTTTGTAGTTCTCCCTGAAATTTCTCAAAAACTATATTTTACTTTTATTTTCCAATTATGTTATTGTGTCATTAGTCCTGTTAGTTGGGATTTTTGTCATTGCTCTTTTTGTTTTCTTGCATGAATATCACCCATTTGATTCAGGAAGCAAATGCTAGTAAAGGCCAGACACTATATAAAAGTAGGTAAAATATTCTATGTTTTTCCGTGTGTTTTTCTGTATTATTTTTATAAGACTTATCTAGACATAATCAGGTCTTTAAAAGACAAAAATGTACAGAGAACTATGGGAAAAGAAAAGTCAGTGTTTCTAGGGAGCAAAATATTATGATTGTTATAATGCCTTGTATTAACAAAGAGGGTATAGTTGTAAATTAAATGTAAAGCACAAAAGACACTTACTTTCATTCTGACCAAAGTCTCCTTATGTCATAATTATCTCTGATTTTTTTGGAGGACTTCTTGTTTCCACACTTACTTTCAGTTGTCATAAAATAGAAACTTCTTTGAATTTCATTTACTTTGGTAGTAATTTTAAATATCACCAGTAGATGCCATCTTTTGATACAAAATGAAAAAGAACTATATGTTTCATAACTTGAAAGTATTAGAAGATGATAGGTATTTAGAAGGGTAGATAAATAGATAGATGCCAGATAAATGATGGATGGAAGGAGGATAGATGGAACAATAGATAATTGCAAGAATTGATATTTACATATACACTTCCACATGGTGGGTCCTTAAGAAATACGTGTTGAGTGAATGAATAACTTAATTAATGATCTTAGGGATTTACAAATTAGATGGAAACTAGACAAGCAGGCCAGCAGGCCTCAGAAATGGTCAGAAAATAAGGTAGTTTTAGGGGATCAGGTAAAAGGAAAAACAGGGCATTAACAAATTAGAATTAATAGTTGGATCAGACTATGTTTGCAACAACTCCAGAATACCTGCCATTATGCAGAAGCTTACAGTGGTGGTTAAAATTGGTTGAAGGGGTTTTGAAAAGCCCTTTCATCTTATTCAGGAAGATAAGTCGTTGCCTGAATCTAGTCACAGTATCTGACATGCAGTTTCAGAATATACGAGGAACAAGAATCTTAGTCTACATCTCTGGAGAAATTGTACCCAAATGGGAAGTGGTTTAAATATATGTGACAAGAATCTAAAGACAGAGTGAGTAGAATTACCTAGCAATGCCCAGAGCATCGGAAGTATTCTTTTTCACAGTTGTATAACACATTTACACTAAGAGATTATTCCACTGCCCAGCTGTATTAATATTCACTTATATTCTATCACTGGATGCCAAACCACACATGGTTCTACTGTAGTTTTATTAATTTTAGTATTTATTTTTTACCTTACACATAGAGATTACCACTTTAATCTAGGCTGGGTGTTCAAAATAAGTGAATAGTTGCCAGTGTTATAACACTGCATAGAAGAATCAAATTATTAATTAGCATTTTCTTCCCATCGGACCACTGGGCTTAAAGGTCAATTCTAAGACATTAATTTTTAGGAGTTGAATTAGTTAGACGTGATATTTACACTGCTTAGCATGGGCTTTATTGTGTACATATCTTATTTACATTTTAGGCAGGTGTTAGAGGGTCTGCTTGCCCATACCACCTGAGAGTGTCATATCAGGAATTTCACTTGAGCGACAGCAACACATCCTTGTCACTGCCTCTGTGATTTAGTTCAACATCCATTATTTTAAGTGAATGGGAATTGTTGTCTTTATAAATTCTCACATAGTAATGCAAATATTTTTAGGGAAGAAAGTGGGTACTATTGTGATGTGTATATTTTTATTAGCACATACTGGAACATCACATTGAGTTGTTCCTTATTTTTGTTTTTAAATATTAACTCTGATAACAAATACTTTATTCTAATAACCGAGTGAATGACTCTGTAATACCTCATGCTAAAAACAATTTAAAGATTTAACAAAACTATAATACAAATGACAAATAATTTAAAATTTAAAAAAAGATCACTTAAAAGACATTTTTAAGAGCCAAAAATGTTCAAAAATATTTATTAAAATTTTGCTTCGATAAATGTATTATGGGTTGTATTTAAAAATATTAAATAATTAAAATTGTTATTCTATTATATCAACTTACATTCTTAACTCTCAAGGCTGAGCCAATATTACTGCTGAAAATACAGAAAATGCACGGTAGGTATCCAATGACTTGGAAAAATGGTGTTGAAATACATGTGCCATGAACTACCTGAAATTTTTCAAACTCAACCTCAATCAATCACATATAGATTGACAAAGATTATTCCAATAGCTGTAGTGGGTCACTATAATTTTTTTTTTTTTTTTGAGACAGAGTCTCGCTCTGTCGCCCGGCCTGGAGTGCAGTGGCAAGATCTCGGCTCACTGCAAGCTCTGCCTCCCGGGTTCACGGCATTCTCCCATCTCAGCCTCCCGAGTAGCTGGGACTACAGGCGCCTGCCACCACGACTGGCTAATTTTTTGTATTTTTTTTTTAGTAGAGCCAGGGTTTCGCCGTGTTAGCCAGTATAGTCTCAATCTCCTGACCTTGTGAGCCGCCTGCCTTGGCCTCCCAAAGTGCTGGGATTACAGGCATGAGCCACCGCGCCTGGCCACTATAAAATATTTAAAACCAACTTTAAGTGCCAGTACCTTCCTCAGAGGCATTAGAAATATATTATGACCACTTTTTTCCTTAAAATGCACATTCATATGTCAATGTTTTATATGATTTTTAGATTCATTTAAAGTGAGTTTATAAACCTAAGGAAGTATAATTGATCAACCTATCTGTAGGTTTACTAAGTTTCATGTAATTTTGTTTGGCTGAAATATGTGCTAATATAATTTTAATTATATCTCAATCTATGAGTTTTTTGTAGATCACAGTAGTTTACAGAAGTCACCTTTCTTATATTTAAGGATGGAACTGTGATAATTATAATTTTTGTGTAATTTTTAAATTTTAGATTTATATTATATAATTGCTTTCAGTACAGCCCCTCAGGGTTTTAAAATACAGATCTTTGGTATTGTAGTTCACCTACCAACTTTGCAGTATTACATTTGCATATTAACTTTAAACATAGAACATGACACTTGACACATTACAGATAATTTGTAGCATTAAATAAATAAATAATGGAAATAATTTATATGTTGAAAAAATTGAATAATCTAAGTGTAACAAAGTCTGGGCACTTTGTAACATTAGGTCAATATGCTGCATTCTGGGATTTTATGAAGGTCAGACGTCATGAGTGGACAACGACATATATTGGAACAATTCCACATAAAGAGATATGCAAATCCAGTGTAAGAAGCACAAAATGCTATTGTAGTATGGCAAAAAGAAATTACTATCTATTTCATCTGCACTAGAATCTCATTTGATTAGCAATATTTCCATCAGCCCAAGACAATCCAGCCCCTAAATACCCAAAAAGATCGGAACTGTATTTTTAGGAGGATTTTTCGGGGTCGCGCTGAGTATAACTGTTCTTACCTTCATTTAGTCTTTGTGATGGCTAATTTTATGTGTTATCTTGGCCAAACTTTGGTGTCCAGTTGATTTGGTAAGTCTCATGAAATCCCTTGAAAGCTTTCGGAATAAAGACAGAAGTTTCCTGATGCAGGACTGTAACATACAAACTCTTCCTGAGTTTCTAGACTGCCTGGCCTGCTTTGTGAATTTTTCTCTCGAGACTGCAATATCAACTCCAACCTGAATTTCTAGTCTGCTGGTCTTCCCTATGGAATTTAGACTTGCTAGTCCCGGGTTCCTTAAAATCTTTCCTTTTCTTTCCTTTTCTCTTTCTCTCTCTCCTCTCTCATAGATATAGATATAGATATAGATATAGATATAGATATAGATATAGATATATAGATATAGATACACACATATACATATATACACACACACATATATACACACATACATGTATTCATATATACATGTATTTTTGTGTGAGATATATATATAAAAATGTATAGATCTGTACAATATGTATAAATATGTGGAGTATAAACATATACATAACACATAATATAGTCTAGATCCCTCTTTATGAACATTACTCCTAATGAAGATTAATTCTTCCTAGTGTGGCCTTCAAATGCCATTATTGTAAGAAAACTTTAGTACTACAGTTACACTGTAATGTTATAACACTGAGACTTTGTTTTAATGAGGCTCTTCAAATAAAGAGCACTTTCTGTTGCAGTAGGAATGTTCTAATCAATTGCCAATTGGTCTGTACGAAAGCTGCTTTCTAAGTGAAGACTGTTCATTACCATATTACTACAGCATATACTTTATAGAGGCTATCTTCATGGTAGCCCCATCTCACATGATGTGTCTAATATACTCATAATTTCAGATACATGAACACAAAAGCATATTTGTGCATCCTGGTTTTGTTTATGGCAATTCCTTGGACACTCTCATTTTGTTTCCACTTTTTCTGTTTTCTTTTTTGAGATGGTGTCTCACCTGTTGCCCCAGCTGGAGTGCAGCGTCATGATTATGACTCACTGCAGCCTTGAACTCCTGGGCTCAAGGAATCCTCCTGTCTCGGCCTCCTGAGTACCTGAGAATTTAGGTGCCTGCCACCCTCTCTGGCTATTTTTAAAAATTTCTTAGAGATGGGGCCTCATTATGCTGGTCAGGCTGGTCTGTAACTCTAGGGTTCCACCTGCCTCAACCTCCTGAGTAGTTGGGGTGACAGTCATAAGCCACTGAGACCAGCAGTTTCCACTTTTGTAGTGTCTTTTCCCCAACCTTATGTGTTATTCAGGTGTCTAGATTTTTGACGCTACTGACTTGTCACAGTGTCTTGTTAAACAAGCCAGTACTTTGGACTTGGTAACTGAATGTGGCTTTTCCTACTTTGCTCTTAAATGAATTATTTTTCATCTGGCTATGTAAGGTAAATTACCCATCTAAACAATGTCGAATCCTACATCAGCCACAGATTGCAATCAAATTAAATAAAAGACAGTGAGATATAAAAGCCATCATATTTAAAAATTTTATGTAAATTGAATATTATGAAACCCCAAATGGAAATGTGGCATGTGTAGATTACTGTATGCAAACAAACCTCCACAACGAATTTAATTTTTTATTATCAAATTTTTCTTAAGTAATAAACTTACTCAAGAAATATTTATTGATGACCATGCACTGTTCCTCATGCCTGTAATCCCAACACTTTGGGAGGCTGAGGTGGGTGGATCACTTGAGATCAGGAGTTTGAGACCAGCCTGACCAACATGGTGAAACCCTGTCTCTACTAAATATACAAAAATTATCTGGGCATGGTGATGCATGCCTGTAATCCCAGCTACTTGGGAGGCTGAGGCAGGAGAATCACTTGAACCCAGGAGGCAGAGTTTGCAGTGAGCTGGGATGGTGCCACCGCACTCCAGCCTGGGAGACAGAGTGAGTGAGACTGTTTCGAAAAAAGAAAAGAAAAATAAATATTTATTGAATCGCTATAACTTCCAAATTCTACCAGCTTTTCATATATATATGAATAATTATATATATATATATACACACACATACTCACAGACATATATGACCTCCATTTCTGAACTTTTATAGATTCTATTGTGTGCCAGTTTCTTCAGGTTCCTGAGATCTGCTCCTTTCTGTTAGCATGGACTTGGACATCTTCGCCGTTCAAACTATTGGCAAAGACAAAAACGTCTATTTAAATTTAACTTATTCCTTTTCTTTACTTTTACAATTCTTCAAATTAAGTTAACATAAAATCATTTTTACCAACAGAACAAATAAAATGGTACATTCTTTTGTACCAGGATTGTCACTTTTAGTATTAAATATGGGATAGTCATCCAAATCACATTTTTCTATTTTCTTCTCCTTAGTAAGTATAGAATGGAAGTCCCTTTTAATCAAGGAATTAGAACAGATACATATGTGTGTATTATATATACATATATATACACATATATATAAAATACACACATATTTATATGTATATATGTATATATACACACATATATGATATATATGATAACATTTCTTACTTTTATAGGGAGTATACTAGATTATGCAGTAAAAAATAACTACCTTTGTTAGGTTGAATGTTGTCAGTTTACCTAAATTAAATAACTTTTTGTTCATTCCAATACAAAAATTATCAACAAGTAGATATATCATTTATAACCAATTTAGAATTTTAAAGTATCATGGCATTATTATTATTTTTAAACAATACTGAATATGAACTCCTTATAAACATTCAGAACTCACACAATACATGTCATTTATAAAAGATGATTCATGGTTGGGCATGGTGTCTCACGCCTGTAATCCCAGCTCTTTGGGAGGCCGAGGTGGCTGGATCATCTGAGGTCAGGAGTTTGAGACCAGCCTGGCCAACATGGAGAAACCCCATCTCTACTAAAAATAAAAAAATTAGCTGAGTGTGGTGGCTGGCGCCTGTAATCCCACCTACTCTGGAGGCTGAGGCAGGAGAATTCCTTGAACCTGGGGTGGTGGAGGTTGCAGTGAGCCAAGATTGTGTCACTTCATGCCTGACTGGGCAACAGAGCGAGACTTCATCTCAAAAAAAAAAAAAAAAAAAAAAAAGAAAGAAAGAGATGATTCATTAATAATTTGTTTGAGATTAAAGGTGAACATTATTGTTTCTCAGATAATATGTGCAGTGGAAATAAGTCTGAATACATAATACTTTATGCAAAACAAGATCTATTTATGTCCCCCTTCTTCTTAATAGTAAAAAGTTAATGCTAATACATTTGGATCTCCTCCATCACGCTGCTGAGGTTGAGTCTAAGTTCTTGGGGATATGTAATGTAAAGAACTTAAGGACTAGTTATATGATCTTCGATGTCTCTTCCAACCTATGATAGCATCTCTGGAGACATTTTGAGTTGTTCTAATATCTTACCCTAGGTGTATGCAAGTCACTGTCGTATTTTCCCACGTTCTTACCTTTTTTCTAATCTGGCTAAAAATTAACTGCTTTCAGTGTTCTCTATGGTTCCCAAGTTTTATCTTTCTATTTTTGAAAAAGCACATCATATTCTGTGGCATTGTTTAAGATACTTTAGGATTTGTGTCCTACTATTTAAGATGCCCTGGCAACATGTTAATTCTCCAGGGCATGCTCAGGGGAGTCTGATTTCATCACAGATACAAGATATGATATGCCCTTTACACTCTAGGGCCTTGCCGCCACTTCATACTCTATTTAGGAGTAATATTTCCCTCATATTCAAACTTCCTACATCTATCTATCTCTCTATCTATCTATCATCTACCTGTCTATCTGTCTATCTATCTCTCTATCTCTCTACCTATCCATTTATCTCCCCTAGAGTTTTTTCTCAAGGACTCATCAGTATTATTTGCCCCTCGTCCTACTCATTACTAACCTACAACACAGAAAAGCCCATCAGGTAACCTGAGGGTTTGATAATTTAAATAACACCATGTTTTCTTCTAGCTCTGATATCTTCATCAGAACTTACTCCCTTTTCACAGGGCTTACACTTTCTAAGTTCCAACTATAAAAGTTTATATTTTCTATATTATCAATTGAATTACTCCTTTTCTGAGGAATGAATAAAGCCAGTTCCAATGTAGAAAAGTGAGAAAAATCAAGAGTAATAGAAAATCGAGTGTGAAGAAGAATTGGTTAATGTTTCAAAAACAGAATCTCACCATTCTATAAATTATTTTCCTAATGTTGCATATAACTATCAGATTTAGTTTAATGAACTGTCAGAAAGGTGATTAAAGAGAAAATGCTCTCACGCATAGATCGCAAATCTAAAATTTATGTTTATCTTTAAAATTACTACTCTTATTGGGTCTCAAAAATATTTTCTGAATTCTTAAAATAGTGATTTTAGAATTCAGAAAACTCTCATGGTATTGCTAAGCCATTTAGTATGACTTTACTTTCCCAATCAAAAGAAATTCTGTTTTATATGAATATTGATTCAGGTCTAAGTCCTGTAGATAAGATTCTAACAACCTACATACACTTTATGGATAAAAAATGGCAAGATCCATTTTAAGGCCCATAGTTAAATTGCTAATTTGAGAATTTAGCAGTCTTGAATATGCTAGGTTTTCAGCGACTGTGGGAATTTTTAATTTTAAACACTGATTGAAATGTTCTTAACAAGTTAGATAAGATACATTCTTTATTCCTTTTTCTGCTTTTTTTTTTTTACTTTTACTTGTTCTGATATATAGAAATTGTTTTCTCAAAAGTGTTTCATATGGTTTATATGTTTTCTCCCCTCCAAATCTCATGTTGAAAGGTGACCTTCAGTGTTGGAGGTGGGTCTAGTGAAAGGTGTTGGGTCATGGGGGTGGATCCCTCATGAATAGCTTGGTGCTGTCCTTGTGGTAATAAATGAGCTCTCTCACTGTTTGTGTTCAAGTGAGATCTGGTTGTTTAAAGCAGCCTGTCATCTCCTACCTCTCTCTCTTGTTCCTACTCTTGCTACTTGATGCACTATCTCTCCATTCACCTTCCACCATAATTCTAAGCTTCCCCAGGGCCTCAGCAGAAGCTCAACAGATGTGGGTGCCATGCTTTTACAGCCTGGAGAAGCATGAGCCAAATAAACCTCTTTTCTTTATAAATTACCCAGCCTCAGGTATTTTTTTATAGCAATACAAGCAAGCTAATATAGAAAATTGGTACCAAGGAGTAGGGAATTTCTATAAAAATATCGGAAGACGTGGAAGTATCTTTGGTAGTGGGGAACAGGCAGAGTTTGGAGGTCTCAGAGAAGACAACAGGGAATGAGAAAAAGTACAGAACTTCATGAGACTTGTTAAATGGTTGTGACCAAAATACTAATGAAAATACTGCCAGTGAAGACCAGGCTGATGAGGTCTCAGATGGAAATGAGAAAGTTATTGGGAATTAGGGCAAAGGTCACATTTGTTACACTTTAGCAAAGAACTTGGCTGAATTGTGCCCATGCCCCAGGACTCTGTGGAAGTTTGAACTTAAACAGTGATGACCTAACGTATCTAGCAGAAGAAATATCTAAGCAGCAAAATTTTCAGGGAAGCAGAGTATAGAACTTTGGAAAAGTCACAACTTGACCATGTGATAGGGAAGGAAAAATCATTTTCAGGATAGAAATTCAAGTGGCATATGGTGCAACCACTTTCTATAGAGATTAGCGTAACTCTGTAGAGCCAAATGCTAATAGCTGAGATAATGGGAAAAAAGCCTCAAAGACATTTTAGAAATCAGTGAGGCAGTCCCTTTCACCATAGGCCCCGAAGCCTAGAAGAAAAGAATAGGTTTTAGGGACAGGCCTAGGGCTCTACTGCCCTGTGTGACCTCAGGACCCTGCTCCCTGCATCCCTGCTACTCCAGTTCCAGTTGTGGCTCAAACGACCTACAGCTCAGGCCACTGTTTCAGGGGGTGCAAGCCATAAGTCTTGGTGGCTTCTGTGTGATGTTAAGCCTGCCGGTGTGCAGAATGCAAGAGTTAAGGGAGCTTGTCAACTTTCACCTAAATTTCAGAGGAGATACCAGAAAGCCTGGGTGCCAAGGCAGAAACCCACTGCAGGAGCAGAGTCCCCACAGAGAGACTCTACTAAGGTTAGATCTAGTTGTTTAGAAGATTCTGGTATCTCCTCCCTCTTTCTCTTGCCATGTGATGCACTGGCTGCCCCTTCATCTTCTACGATGATTGTAAAGCTTTCTAAGGCACTCAACAGAAGTTGAACAGATGCAGGTGTCATGCTTGTATAGCCTGTAGAACCATGAGTCAAATAAATCTCATTCCTTTACATATTACCCAGCTTCAGGTATATCTCAACAGTAATGCAAACAGGCTAACACAGTGATCAAAGGGGAGTTAGGGAGAAGTGAGGCTTATGTATATTATTCTATCATTTTTGCTAAAAATTTTATAGCACATTCAATTAGTTATAGAATTGATCTTTTATGAGAAGAATAATCAAAGGGAAATATAATAATCATATAAGTTATAGATAATTCATCAGAATTTTCTTCTTATTCTTTTATACCAATTGTGGTTTTTAATTCCTGGGTTTTCTCAAGAGGAAAGTATTTCAAATGCTCACCTGAAAACTGCAGAAAGAAAAAGAAAATCTCCTCATGTCACTTAAAAACTATCCAATGTTGTCTAATATAATCTGACTCTGTATGTAGATAAACTAGAAACATGTGAAGAATTGCTTCAATGAGAGTGCTCCAGATACCTATTGTGTTAACAGATCCTTTTCCTGTGTGAGCAGTGAAATAAATCTTCTCATCTTGAGGAATTACCAACAAATTATTACTCAAATTCCTACTAGCAGAATGTAACCAAACAATAGAAATAACAAAGGAAAGTATTACCTCAAGAGAGGAAGCATTGTTACCTTATTCATGAATTTCAAAACAGCACTTTGCTTTTGTTCATTACATGTTCTCAAAAAATTGCTTTTTAAGTAAAAGCAAAGATTTAGTGAATGAAAATAAAATGACATGTTCCCAAAAGCCTGTTCAGTGTGAAACTTTTCCTAAGACTTCTAAATTTCCCATTTTTATAAATCTTCAGTTCTAAAATATAATTACTGTTATTAACTGTATATAGAATATAACTATTGCTGAAGAGAGAGATTTGATCATTGAAAAGTTCACAACTTATTTCATTTATTGTTGCAACTGATGCTGCCTTGAGTATTTCAATGTATTTTTTTAAAAATCCATATAATGCAAGATTGCTGATATAGGAATTTGAATAGTATTCAGTGTAGTTTTATAGAGAAACAGTCTCGATCTGGAAAAAGAACTTTTGAATGTCACATTTACATATGTGCTTGAAATTCAATATTGGCAAACAAAGCATGAGAATCAATATTTACTTTGAGCAGTCTTTGTCTTATCCACTAATATTTCCACAAAAATTTAGAGATTATATTAAGAAGTTGAAAAAATTCTTATCACAATTTAGCTGAAATGTTAACATAAAAATGATTTTTTAGAGTATGAATGAGATAAATACTTTTCTCATGCATTTCAATGCCATCTGTATTCTTCCGAAGTAGGGTTCTATTGAGCCAGAGAATAATGTAACAGCTGTCAGAGTTACTTTGTCTTCTTAATGCTCATATACTAACAACATGTCATTGACCGTTGCCTTCTCCATTGTGTCTGCTCTTCCAGAAGCACTCAAATAGTGAAATAGCCTCTAAATTGCATCATCTCATGCTATTCACCATGGAAAACACAGAGAATTTAACTTTGTTTTAAATAGATGTATCTAAGGCTATTCATTAAATATTAGGTAAAGCAAACAAACTCTGAAGACATTCCAAACTCTGAGTTTCAATGATTGTAGGAAAGTGTTAGATAACTTTGTGATTTAGCAGGTTTTATTAGAAAATGAGTAGTATGTGTGTTTGTATTGGATAATTAATTTTGCCTTTATGGTTTCTATATTGCTACTTTGGACTAGATAAAATAAAAATTACCTCAGTTTGGAATCTTCCAAGTGTTTTCTGGATCTTGCAAGTTTTCTTTTAAAAATTTTACTTCATCCATGAGCTTTTTATTAAAACTGGATTCATCCTTGAAAGCAGTGTGCTTGACATTTTCAAAAAAACTTGACATATAATAACATTATAATATAATGTAATATTTAAAAGGTAGGAATTCAGAATCAAATTCTTTTGGTCCAGTTACAGAGCCTCTCTAAGACCAAATTTTTCCTGTTTTAGACACTCAGGAGATAGTCCTACCTTGTAGAATTACTGTGAGGGGTAAATTACACAGCGAAAGCAAAGCACTTAGCAGAGTGCTTTACAAAATTTGAGTATTATTATCACTTACTATAAATAGCAATAGCTCATAAATTTTATGTAAGAGAAATGGCTCCAAACCACCTTTGGCTTTCTACTTATGTCAAGTCTAAATATATCACTTGAACAATAAAGCTCAACTTCAGACAAATTTAAACTCATAGCATGAAAATAACTTTTTTTGTGTAACAGATTGCAACACTCTACATTTATTTTGAATGCTCCTTAATGAGTTTTCATTTTAAATGATTTGAAAAAGGATATCGTTAAACTACTTTAGTTTATATAGCTCCAAACTTGAAATGAATGCTTGAATGTAATTTTTTTTTTGTAGCCAAATAAATCCAATGTTTCAAGGGCAGAGAGATGTTGAGTGTTTTTTTTTTCTTTCTTTCTTTCTTTTTTACGTTATTTTAGCACAAGATGGGCTCTATGATGGACTGAATCACTTATTCACAATGATTTGTTCCTTCTCACTTTAGCTATGTTTTCCTGAAGGTGATGGATAAGTCCTTAGTTCTTATGAATTACTAATAGAAGTGTGTGGTATGCATGAATGTCATAAATGCAACAGTATTAAGTTTAAGAACTATTCATTATTTATTACATATTATATTTTTCTATTTATTAACAAGGTCATATGAGTCTAGTCTGATATACTGCCCAACTTTATTGATATACTATTCAAAATTATTATAACTTTTTAGTTGAAATTACTCAGTTACATAGCAGACATAACTATGTTATATATGTAAATGTAAAATATGTAAGTTTATTAATGTGAAGTTATCTAACACTTTCCTACAATCATTGAAACTCAGAGTTTGGAATGTCCTCAGAGTTTATTTGCTTTACCTGATATTTGATGAATAGCCTTAGATACATCTATTTAAAACAAAGTTATATTCTCTTGGTGGGTTCTTTTCAGAGGCTATTAATTTTAAAAGAATGTTCCTTTGAAAAAAAACCTTCTTTAAAAATTAAATAAGAAAAAATGTATTACCTATAATAGAATTGCTATAGGTTGTTGTTTTCTGAAATTTTCTAATTTTGTTAGTTCTAGCCATATGATTCAATAATTATCAATTTATTAACTAATTAGTATACTTAACTAGTATCATTTTAATTGTTCCAATGTTTATGACTTACATGCACACAGAGAGAGAGAGAAGCTTTTTTCAGTTGGGAAGACATTTTATACAATTTCTTTTGTATTTCTAGTTCTCTAACATGTTCTGTGCAGTCTTTGCTTTCCTGCTTGTCAGATGAAATGCCTAATTACACGCATACTTCTACACTTGTGCACTGGTGAACTGCTTATTGTGGAGAGTTAACTGTGAAGTTTGTAATTTTCTTTAATAATGTTCGTGTATATTTATGATATTTATGTTTATGCGTGACTTTTTTCTGGATTGTAGAGATTCTTTCTCTTTCTCTCTTTTCTTTCTCTCTTTTCTCTTTCTTTCTTTCTTTCTTTCTTTCTTTCTTTCTTTCTTTCTTTCTTTCTTTCTTTCTTTCTCTTCTTTCTTTCATTCCTTACATCCTTCCTTCCATTTTGCTGTCATTTTATTTACTTTTTTTGTATTAATGATACTATACTGCTTCTTAGAGAATTAATGCCAGTCATTTGAAGCATTAATTACTTCCTGTAATACCAAGTGTCCATAATATCACGTTCTATGCCAGTTTTTGTTTGTTGGTTTGCATTTGCTTGTTTTGAGGATAATTTCCCAATATATTAGAGAAGCAAATATAAAATCTATCAGCTAAAGGTGGAAAAAAAATAACTTTTAGTAAAAAAAAAAAAAGAAAAATCAACTTATTTTTCTAAGCCCTTCTTACATGATGTTGATAAGTCACGATTTCTACAAGGCTACTTAGCCTTCTCAGAAAAGGTATCACAGCTATTTGAGGCAATCAATTATACTTCACGTGGCGCTATAGAAAGAACGTGCTGAGTCCATCCATTTTGCCCCCTTCTTGAAAGCTAAAGTAGCACATATGCTAGGGACTTATCCAGAGCCTTCTTAAATCAACCTCAGCAATTGTTTCCTTGAGAAAGTTTTACAGTCTGAAGATGTTTTCCCTGGTTTCACTTTCTCACAAGAGAAAGTAGACAACAACTCAAGAAACCATGAGTTGAGACCAACTAAATATGCCTCTGTATCCCCAGGCTGAAAATAAATTCTAAGGATCTGGAGATATTATTCCTTCTTTGCAAGCCATTGTGTTTATCTTTTCCAATCTACCATCACTTATTTCTGATAACAATATAACTTTTCTCTAAGTTATAAACGGCTCACTGGGTCTATAAATGAAGTAAATATACATAGAGTTACTAGGAAGTTATTTACATTTGAAATAGCTAATACATTTTTCATATCTGTAAAACCTACAAGTTCTTATTTTGCCCTCTATAAATTTAGTACTATTTCTGCTCATTCCAGTCATTTCTTTACATTTTTAAATTATATTTTATGGCTTTTTGGATAGAGGAATTATGCAGATAAATACCCTGTGTAACAAAATGTTAATTTTGTTGTAGCTATGAGCTACACGATTTTGGTCATGAAAAGAGCAAGCAAACTAGATTTGGCAGAAATTAAAGTAGTCCCAATTCAGCAGTAACCTTACACAAAACCTAGATTCTCTTGTAATAAAATCAGACAAACTAGATTTGTATATAATTAGATCAGCATAATTAAATTCCCCATCTCTTAGGGAACATCAGAATGCACATGCGTAGGATTCATTATTTTTTCCCTTTGTCCCTAGTTGCAGTAATGAAAATCTACACCCAAGAACTCAGCTGGGCCTGCCACTTAAGAAGAGAAGTTCTTTTCCATTGATACTCCTTAAAATTAACTTTGCTGAAAAACTAATTGTATTTTTTAGAAAAACAATGTTGCAATATTTTCCATTAAGTTTAATTTGATTCCATTGTTCATCCACAATTTTAAATAATAAAGTTCTTTTTAAGACAATTAACAATCAGGGATTAAGAATGCAAAAGTGCATTCTTTTGTCATAATGAATTTTTTAAATAATCAAAAGACTTGTGTTGATCAACATCAATACAAATTTTGTTTTCACACTTTAGCTCTGCCATTAAAAATAAAAAAATTATTAGGAAATATAATTAATATTTATTGATTTTTGTTTGATATATAGATTTTCTATGATTTTTACAATCTTCACATGAATTGCCATTATCATTTTTCTTAAAATAAACATGTTATTTAAAAAGCTATACATAGTTGGTTTAAAGTTTACTATAAGATATGCACATTATCAAATTATAAATTAAGATAAAAAATAATGTTGGCCAAAATATGCTACCCAAACCCAGCATGAAAAATAAGCAATTTCAAAAAAAAAATTATTTAAAAAAAAAAGAGCAGGTATAAAGAATACAAGGTGTAAAATACTTCCTCATTTACTCATCTCTAAATATAGGTGTTACTACTGGAACAAGGATGAGGATTATGTTAAATGAATGAAGTCAATCTTCTTCAATATACACCTTTCTAAATGCACTATCCTTCCCCCAAGGACTAGATGAATTTTCTAGTATAATTCAAAGAAAACCAGTGCAGAGTTTAATCAAGCATGATTTTTAATTTTACTCCCACACCCATAACCTCTTGAGAGACTATTCTAGCAAAGTCTTTCTTCAGCAGAGAATGATTTATGTTTCCATATTCCAGAGACAAATGCTTTTTTCTTATACTCTGTAAAACACACCTCTCCTTGTTATTATCTTCCAAGTTGTCCTTTAAGGCATAGCGTAAAATATGCTTATTTGTGACTCCAAAAATAAGGCTTACAATAACTAAGGAAAAAAAGATAATGGGCTGTAAGCCTGATCAATGTTAAATTCAGAATCCAGAGAGAAAAATAATAATAAGCAGCTGTCAATGTTTCCATCAAAACTCCTTTAGAGGTATAATATTTAGGGAGATGCTTTGACATACACTCCTTTTCTGTTCAGAAACTTCCTCATTCCATGATTCCCAAACTCAATAATTTAGTTCATTTATATTTCTCCTTAGTATTTTAGGTGATATTTCTTCATGAAACTTCAGCTCACAATTATGCAAAAATATCAGATAGCTATATGCTTCCATATATCTTGTGCTTCATATTTACTGCACTTAACAGAATTTTAAATAAATATTTTGTTCTATTATTACTTTTTAAATTATCTGTGGCAAAAATCAGCCTCCCCAGTCCCCACAGTTTGATAATAACACACAGTTTACCCCACACGTGGAGTATCATGCAAATTTAACAGCACCCCAGCTTTTAATGAAATCAGTCCACTCATCACATACTTGACTACAGAGACAATATCACATTGCTCTAAGATTCTCTTCTCAACTTCTGTACTTATTTCAGCACAGACTGGTAACAATTTATGCATGACCATTCATTTATTAAACATATTGTAAGTGTCGCAAGCTGTGCAATTGAATATGTAATTTAGGTGTTACCTGCTGGAAAGAAGATAACAGGAGCAAGAATCTGTTGGTCATATTTCCTGCTGTACTCTTAGTAATGAGCACAGTGACTTTGTGCATAAGAGGTAAGGTCTTTTACCAAAACTTACTACAGAAATTATATCTAGGAATTACATATTATCTAATTTGGTTGAAGATTCTTCAGCGTGAATATTCAAAATATCAATTATCCATTTTGATACAACTCTTTTTAAAAAGTATACACAATAGAAAACATAAATATTCTTAAGAATCTAATGAAAAGACCAGTATGATGTCTGTGTGGCATATTTATATGGGAATTGTGAGAGGTAGGCTACAAGTACAGGGCAAGACTAAATCATGAATATTTTGGAATTAGTGAAGACTCTGAATTTATTTTACAAGCAATATGGTAGCAAGGAAGTTTTCTGAGAAGATGGCCATATAGTCAGAGGTAGTTTTTAGAAAATTTAGTAAGTCAGTGGTTTGCAACATGTCTTGGTGAGGTTGATGACAGAAAGAAGAAATGGCAGTTCATTAGATAAATTGCATGCAGAATATTAATTGGATTGGAAATGTTCAGAAAACTGTCATATAATTTCTAACTTGCTTATCACTTTTATGGTAATAAATTTTATTCTATTTTTAAATTAATTTTGCTTAATTTTTCATCCCATGAACAGCACATTTTTTACTAAATTGATAATGCAAAATTTATCAAACCTGGTGATATGGTTTGGCTTTGTGTCCCCACCAAGTCTCATCTTGAATTGTAATTTCGAAATCCCCATGTGTCCTGGGAGGAGCACAGTGGGAGCTAATTAAACCAGGGTGGCAGTTCTCCCATGCTGTCCTCATGATAGTGAGTGAGTTTTCTTGAGATCTGATGATTTTATAGGGGCTTTTTATCCCTTCACTTTGCATTTCTCTCTCTCCTGTTGCCATGTGAAGAAGGACATGTTTGCTTCCCCTTACACCATGATTGTAAGTTTTCTGAGGGCTCCCCAGCCTTGTGGAATGGTGAGTCAATTAAAACTTTTTCCTTTATAAATTTTCCAGTTTTGAGCAGCTCTTTATGGCAGCATGAGAATGGACTAATACACCTGGTAGACAAAAAGTAGGACTACCTAAAGATACCTTACCTTTACTTTTAGTACCTTACCTTTAGTAAGAGGCATAAATACTAGAATACAGAACTAATCTCCATAGATATTCTAGATATTGACATTTCTGTGATGGAGTACAATAGTCTTTGTGATATAAAGACATTTCCTCCAAACACAATTCCAGGAAACAGGAAAAATGTTTGATAGCATCACTGGATTCTGGAGCCAAAATTTGATGCAATTAGTTACCATGTATTTAGTACAACCCAATTCAGAAGATTCATGAAAACGTTCAATCTTGAACCCTTAAATATTCTCCATGATCAGTTAGTATTGGATCCATCAAGGCTTAAATCTCAGTATACGAAGCTACACTCCATAATGAAGTGAAAAGGACAAATATGCGGTAAGACCTATTCAAATCCAAAAGACCAAGTAGGTTACACATGGTAGTTTCTTGTTTTTCTATGATAGCAGCATTGCTTCCTCTCTCTACTCTCCTATAAACTTATGTGGATTTCCATTAAAAAGTTAAAAGTAAAAGGAAAGAGGTAGGCTTGATTTACATATAGATACTCTGCTTAAATGGACCTTCTAAAATAAACTGAGGTAGCAATGCAGTGTTTCTTAGGTATAGCTGTAAAACACAGGGGAAAAGTACGTTTCCATGTGGCAGATCTTTCATCAGTACATTCGATTGTCCACTTTTCCCGAATAGAAGAGATTCCAGAGTTACAGATTTATACAAGGGTTTCACAATGTCAACATTATTAACATTTGTGCCAGAAAAATCCTTGTCGTGGAGGGCTGTCCATGTGCATTGCTGGATACTTCATAGCATCCTTTGGCTCTACCCACTAAAATGCCAGTAGCATAGTGAAAACAACAAAAAAGTCTCCAATGTTGTTCCCTCTCACATTGAGAACAATTAATTTATAATAATTATTGGGCTATTGTTAATTGTTTAGCTGGATGATTGGGTACTTGGAAGAGGTGAGACTGAGAAGGGGTAGCAAGTAATTCTGGGAAAGCAGTATGTTAAATGTACCTCACAGAATATGCACAGGCTGTGAGCACGTTTGTGTCCCATGCTCACCAAAGTACATGCACTCTAGAAGATCCCTGAGTCACTCAGTAGAAAAGATAGATGCCTATCAATTTTCCTAAGCGACCACCTCAAAGTTTGCTCAATGGACTAATGAACAATCACATTTATATGGTAGTGAGATGAAGGTTGTATATGTATTTTATCTCTCAATAAGCTGTATGTGGAATAAGTATCCAACCGTTCAATAACAAATACCAAAAAAGTTACTGATAAATCACAATTCCCTGGGGAAAGTAACCAGCCAACCAGTGGTGGGGAAAAAAAACTGGGCCCTTCTGATAATACATGAAGTTGTTATTTGTCCTGGAATAGACACATAATCTGGATATAGATGTGCTTTACCTTTCTCTCTCCCTCCCCCTACACTTTCTTTACTATTGTTTCTTGAGCTATACTGTACCTCACTGTCCATCTAATAATGTTCCAATTTGTTCATTGTTACATAGAACATGATTTATTGCAGTTGTTCCGGCAGATGTTTATGGAATTAACTGAACTCACCGTGTGTCTATGATTCAGAAGTTGTTGTCCCTATAGAACATTGTGATATCTATTAACGTACCTTTTATAACGTTAACCTGAGTTTCAGTAATGTCGCAAAAAAATACGATATATGCTCTGATCCAGGGGAAATTTCATGTCATCATTTTTGTCTTAGCTAGACAAAGAAAGAGTGGGTATATAAATGGTATACATATTTTGTTAGATTTTTACCAAAGTACTTCATGTTATTTAGTGCTGTTATAAACGGTATTGTATTTTTTGTTTCAAATTCCAGTTGTCTATCAAAGGTATATAGAACAGCAACAACCTTTTGTACATCAAACTAGTATGTTACAACGTTGCCGCAATAGCTTATTCGTGGCTGAATTTTCTTTTGGTCAATTTTTGGGGATTTTTTTACATAGACAATGATGTTATCTATGAACATAGATAGTTTTATTTCTTCCATCTCAAACTGTGTAACTTTCATTTTCTTTTTTGTCTTGTTGCATTAGTCAGGATTTTAGCAAAATGTTGAATAGGAGACATGAGAGGTGACATCCTAGCCTTGTTCCCAATCATAGGATGATAGAATCTAGCTTCTCTCTACTAGATATCATGTTAGCTCTGCTTTTTAAAAATATATTCTTTATTGATTTGAATTAATCCTCCACTATTTCTAATATGCTAAGAATCCTTTTTCTTGAAAAAAAGTGTTGGATCTTGTCAAACACTTTTTCTGCATAGATGGATATCATCGCATGGTTTTTTTTTGTTAGCCTGTTGATGTGGTAAATTACATTATTTTATAATATTTTCAAGTATTGACACAGCCTAGAAAAACTGAAATACGTCTTGTGTAGTTGTGGTATACATTATATATAATTCTTTATATAACTTCTTAGATTTGCTGTAATAATAATTACTTGACAATGTTTACATCTATCTTTCTCTGCTTTTAATTTGTTTTATTTAGACCATGTATCAAGTGATTGTTGATATAGTTAGATTAATATCTACCATATTTTACTCCTTACTAAAGTTGCACTTGTTTGGTTCTTTTCTTATCTTCCTCTCTTTACTTGCCTTCTGTGGTATGAATTGAATACTTTATGTGATTTCATTTTATCTTCTCTTAGGATATCAATAATATTTTCTTTATAAATTTTATAGTGATTATTCTTAAATGTTTTTTGTTTAATTTATTTTTAAATTTCAACCAGTTATACTTGATTCTCTGTGGAGAAAGTCCACAGGACTCCTCATATTGTTATCCCTAAAGTACTTCTGTTCTGCTCAGGTGTTGATTTGATTTAATTTGATGAAATTGAAACTGAACTTTTATATAAACTTAGGAAGAATTGACTGCCTAACTAAATTAACTCTTTGAATCAATGAGCATTAAATACCTTCCTGATTTATTTATATGATTTTTCTTTTGTAATGTTTCTTAACTTTCCTTATACAGGTTTTTAAAATTTCATTAGCTATATTTTGAAGGATTTTATTTTTTATTCCATTATAAATGGAATAAAGCAACACTATAGAATATGTTATGGTGAACAAAATGTTCTTAGTGTTAATAGGAGATGGGTTACATGAGAAAATGAATTTATCAAAACTAAACAATGTAATCAAGATCTGTATATTTTAGCTTATTTAATGTACTGGTTCTCAGTCAGAGGTTATTTTGTCCTACCCTCAAGGAATTTTTAGCACGGTGTGAAATCATTCTTGTTTTTAACACCAGTGTGGAGGTGATAATGGCTTGATGAGTAAAATCCATGGATGCTGCTGGACATTCTAAAACTCCTAAAACAGGTCCCATGTAACAAATAATTATCCAGCCTAAAAGAGCAATAATGCTGCTGTTTAGAAACTCTTACACAAAGTGCATGTGACCTTTAAAAATTACATTTGTAAAATTAAAAAAATTTAGACAATTTAGTATCTAAGAGTAAGTTAGGGTATTAATATAAATGTTAGTATACTTTGAAAGTACCAATGTACAAATTTTCTGAGAAGAGGTATATTTCACTGAACTCAAAATAAAATGCTTATTATGTAAAGGTAAATATGAAAATTTCAACAAATATTATAAATTGAGAAGGGATGCAAAAGCGATCTCTATCATTTTGAAACAATAGCATGCTGTTCCACAAAAGCTACTCAACTATTAAATCAGATATGTGATTTTATTGAAGAAAAATCTAATAGGTGTGACCAGTTTATATTAATAAGGGACACATTTTTGGTAACTGGGAGAAGTTTCACCTTCCATCAAATAGTTGAAATTTTCACCAGATTTATTTGCATATGTGTTTTTTCTTGAAATCTCTTTTATGCTGACTTTGTCACTTCACCATGAGCATGTGAAACCAATAGTTGATCATTATAAAGAACAGTCAAAGCATGATTGTTCATATAGCCTGAAGAGGGAAATGTAGTTTTACACACAGGAAAAGCTAGAAGGAATCAAACATGATTTCCTGCACACCTCACATTAGGATAGAGTTATATCCAAACCATCTTAAAGGCAGGCAGAATTAAAATATAAATAATCTCTATAGATGGTGTCTTCATTTTTATTGAAAATTCTACTTAATTTTGCTTAATATACTTTATCAGAAGGATATTACTTTTGGTTGATTTATCTATAAATTAATTAAGGCATTTAGCTTCTATTTTCACTTTCAGTCATACGAAATTATTTCGTCACTCAAAATAATTAATCAAGTCATGTTCTACCCTGAAACCTCCCGCTACACTTTTTCTTCTTTTACTTTTAATCATTCCAAAATCTCATTACATCTCTTTCACTTAATATCTAGGTTGCTTCCAAAATTACTCATATCTATCCATATATCTGCAGTATCGCTCCTGCACATACAGCATCAATCTATTTTTTTCATTTTCTATAAGATTATCATATTTACTATTTTCCATTATAAAAATAATGAATGTTTTTATTTATTTAAACCAGTTGATTTTCCTGAAGACAACTGTATAAGAAACAGAGGAATTTGATTTTTTAAAGTCATAGGAATATTCCTATAGAATATTGATTTTTACTCATTTCTAATTATAATACATGTAGGGGCTTTTCATTAATACATTAATGTTAGTGTTTTTAAAAACTAATTATTTTTATCAATAAAATGCAAAATATTCTTCTGTATATAATTGCATCTAGTAGGGTATTTGCACTAGTGTGGCATCCCCGAAATATTTTTTTGGATATGAAAGACTAAAACAAGACTTGGTCAAGAAATTACGTATTTAGTCAAACCTTCTAAGGGTATTTTTCATTCGGACAGTGAATTAAATCAGAATATTAGGTATTAAAAAGCCATCTTCTACATTGTTGCCTCAGTGTTGAATACAATTCCAAATCTGACCCATTTTTGTGCTTAAAATATAGTAAAATCTATCCATTCCTTATATCATAATAAAGCACAATATCTTTCACTCATATACTCATTACATATACATTGTCCCCTACCATATTATCATATCTACTATATCTCTTTTAGATATTAAAGACCCAGAAATAAAGAAAACAGTGATTGTCTCTATTTTAAAGAGCAGGTTAGTAAAATGGTTTCAAGTGTTATGAAAGCTGTAAGGTTTGAAAGACAGAAAGAAATTTGGAGTTGGTTAAAGACGCCCTAACGTGAAGGATGAAAAACTATCTTGTTATTTGAAGAGTAAAAGAAAGTAGCTTTCTTCCAATCAGAGAGAAGAATAAATAAAATCTTCAGTGTAAAACTGGGTTCTCTGGGTTCAATGAGCAGAAAGCTGTTCTGTTTTCTTGGGACTTGGTGAACCTTTTTGAAACAGAGCAAAGTGAGTCGAAAAGACAGTCTAGAAACCTTTCAAGATTATTTGTTCCATGGGATTGACTTTAGATCCTATATTTAATAGAGAGATGTTGAGGCTTTTTTTTTTTAAGATGGAGTTTCGCCCTTTTTAAGCAAGGAAGGTATATGATCTGATTATATTTGAAAATATGGGCTCGGGGTTGTTCAGGGCGGGGTGGGCTCTGGACCCAGCAGGCCCGGCACCCAGGCTAGGCCTCCAGGGGAGGCCAGGTGGGGTGAAGGCCAAGAAGGGGCCGGGGCTGGTCAGGAAGGGCTCCTGGTGACCAGAGCACTTTGCTTGAGCCAGCGTGGGAGGGAGGTGGGCTGGATGAGCCAGGGAGGCGCTGGTAGGGGCCTTGGCAGACGCAACCTCCTCCGTCAGCCCCAAGGCCACTGAACCCTGCGTAGCGAGAACCGGGAGGGGGGGCTGCAGACGGAGGAGTGGAGGCTCCTTGGCTTTGGGGGCTTTGAGTAGAAGCATCTAGGGGTCCCTCAAGAGGCCCCGAAATGCTGCCCCATGGTGAGAAAAGGCGCGGAGAGGCGCATGGCACCGGCGCAGGTGCGGAGAGTCGCACAGGAGACCTCAGGCCCAGGCTCCACTCCCCAGCTGTGAAAGTACCACTGGCAGGACACCCAAGCTAGCCCGCCAGGCCTCCATAGAGCTGCCCAGCATGGCCGTGGCCAGTACCAAGAGTCGGTGGGAGACGGGTGAGGTACAGGCTCAGTCTGCAGCCAAGACTCTGTCCTGCAAGGATATTGTGGCTGGAGACATGAGCAACAAAAGCTTCTGGGAGCAGAAGGGAGGCTCCAAGACCTCATCAACAATTACGGCCCAGATTGCCTTCCTACAGGGAGAAAGGAAGGGCCAAGAAAATTTGAAGAAGGATCTCGTGAGGATGATCAGAATGTTGGAGTATGCTCTTAAACAGAAAAGAGCCAAATACCACAAGTTGAAATATGGGACAGAATTGAATCAGGGAGCTATGAAGCCTCCAAGCTATGATTCTGATGAAGGTAATGAAACAGAAGTGCAGCCACAACAAAACAGCCAGTTAATGTGAAAACAAGGTCGACAACTACTCAGGCAGCGTCATGATAACGTGAACAGAAGGTAGTTCAGTTTCTCCAGATTACCACAGAAGACAGCTCTGTGGATCCTCCTCAGATGAGATGATTTAATGTGGTATTGGGGAAATGAGAAGCCGTCGGAGCACAAGCGCTCCCTGAGGGTGGGCCACCACTCCGGCTGGTAGTCTTCCATACTCGTCTGCTGCAAATTGTATCCTGGGAACTCTCCAGCCGTATTTCAGCTCGCCTTCGGGGATCTCCGCCTCCGAAGCGCAACAACAAGCAATGCGGTCCGTCCACGGACCTTTGCACATACTCTCAGCGCCTCCCGCCTCTCAGCAGAAACGCCCAACAGAACGGTTAGGACCAGCGAGCACGTGCACCTTAGCCGGCCCCGCCCAACAGGCCCTAGGCGGAGAAACCGCCCTAGCAGCTCTCTCGCGGCGCCCAGTGCAGGCCGCGGTTGCTGCTCAGGTGCCGCCGGCTGGCGGGGCTCCCTGGAGCGCAAGGCGCGCCCTGCCCCAGGGCCTGTTTGACTGTGGCCTGCGCGCTCTTCTCCTCTTCCACCGGCTCCCGATGCTCCGGGCCCCCGCGCTGGGCCCTCTGCAGCCCAGGGATGGGGTTGAGTGGTGCTTCTCCGCCTGGTGCCGCCCGTGGGCCCACAGCCCGACTTCGCCACTGCGTCGCCCCCGGGGTCCGTGCTGATGGGTGTGAGGCGGGAGGACGGGATCCGGGGTTGCCACTGCTGCAGCCAGCGCACCACTTGCAGGTGGCAGCTGCAGCTCGGGCTCCGGCGGGGGCTGGCGGGGCTCCCCTGGGATGGCCTCCTGGGCCCTGAGTGCGCCGCCCATCCGGCCAGAGGGTGCGCGCCTCCTACACCCCGGGCCAAAGCCCATGCCCGGCGCTCCTGCCGCAGACTGCCTGACTTGCCGCGGCCGGGCTGGCCCCGGGGTCCGCGCGGCTGGAGGCGCCCGCCTGGTCGGAGATTCCCAATCCTCGGCGACCCCTGCTCCATGTGCTGGTGGCGGCTAGCGCCCATGGGCTGACCTGGCTTCCCGGAGCTGCGGCCGGCCACGCCCAAGGGCCCCACAGGCTGCGCTGCCCTTGCCAGCTGCTCCTGACCCGCGCCCAGAGTGCAGGACCTGGCGCTTGGCACTCTGCAGCCACAGGGATGAGGCTGAGCGCAGGTTCTCGTTCCTCATGGCGCCGCTGGGGCCACAACCTGACTTCACCTCCCCGTCGCCCAAGTCGTGTGATGGGCACGTGTGAGGAGGGGCAATCGGGGTTCCCAAGGCTGCTGCCTGCATGCCACTCTGTGGCCACTAGGATAGGGCTGAGGAGCTGCCAGGGGATGAGCACGTCGTGGCCATCGGGATGGGGCTGAGAGTCTATCTTTATCCTTATGCACCCGCCCAGCCGACTTCCTGACAGCCACTACCACAGCGTCCTGTCAGGGAGTCCTTGCTGTTGGGGCGGGGATGGGGAGGGCATGGAGAATCAGGGATGGTCTGGCCATTGCTGCTGGTGCCTGACGTGCAGGTGGCAGCTGCACCTAGGGCACGGGCTGGTAGGTCTCTTTTGGATGGTTTCCAGGTGGCCCATTGCGCCGTGACCAAGCCAGAGGGTCCACTCCACCTTAGCCCACACTAGGATTCCAGGGGCTACAGGCGTGGGTACTGCGTGGCCAAGCAGAAGGGGCTCAGCAGCCAGTTCAGCTTTCCTGCCTTTGCAGGGCTTGTTTTAAATCTTTTTTTATTTAACATTTTCTAAAAATACATACAAACAAAAAGATGCATATCAAACATATTAGGAAGGTTGCACATGCGAAGACGAGGAATAGAAATGGGGGGTGGGAATGAAAGAAAATAAATGAGAGAGGGACTTTGTATGGATCAGTGATAATAACTCAATCCTCTATGTCTTTGACAAGAAGGAGAAGGAAGAGGAAGAAAAAGAAAGTGGGATAAAGGATCAGAAAGGGAGGAAAATAGAAAAAAATAGAGTATGACTCCAGGGTAGACCTGTTTTGTTGTTGCTGGGTTGGTTGGTTGGTTGGTTGGTTTGTTGTATTTTTCATATGTTTCACCATGTTGGCCAGGCTGGTCTCGAACCCCTAGCATCAAGTGATCAACCCACCTTGGCCTCCTGGAGTGCTGGGATTACAGGCGTGAGCCACCACGTCCAGCCCCCACACTGCGTCTGGCCTCTGTGGTAGACCTCCCAGACGGGGCGGCCGGGCAGAGGCGCTCCCCACATCCCAGACGGGGTGGCCGGGCAGAGGCGCTCCTCACTTCCCAGACGGGGCGGCCGGGCAGAGGCGCTCCTCACTTCCCGGATGGGGCAGCCGGGCAGAGGTGCTCCTCACATCCCAGAGGATGGGCGGCCGGGCACAGGCGCTCCTCACATCCCAGACGGGGCGGCCGGGCAGAGGCGCTCCTCACATCCCAGATCCACAAAAGAAGTGAAAATAGCCTTAACTGATGACATTCCACCATTGTGATTTGTTTCTGCCCCACCCTAACTGATGTACTTTGTAACCTCCCCCACCCTTAAGAAAGTTCTTTGTAATCTCCCTCACCCTTGAGAAGGTTCTTTGTAATTTGTAATTCTCCCCACCCTTGAGAATGTACTTTGTGAGATCCACCTCCTGCCCGCAGAACATTGCTTCTAACTCCACCGCCTATCCCAAAACCTATAAGAACTAATGATAATCCCATCACCCTTTGCTGACTCTCTTTTGGTACTCAGCCCGCCTGCACCCAGGTGAAATAAACAGCCTTGTTGCTCAAAAAAAAAAAAAAAAAAAAGAAAAAGGAAAAAAAAAAGAAAATATGAAACCAGCTATTCATGAATAAAAGATTGTACAGAGACAAGAAAACCTGTAGATAGACTGGTTAGGATAACAGTGAGATAGACTAAGTGAGAGATATGGTGCTTTGAGCAAAAATGATGAAAGTGAAGATGGAGAAAATTACCTAAGTCATATCATATGATAGTGATATATTCAACTGCACTTGAGAATGGATTGCACAGAATAATGAAATGAATAGATAATGATGTGATAGGTCTTTAACTTGATGAATTAATTCCATTACTGTGCTTTCTACTCAGTTGGCAGAACTGGGAAAGGAAAGTAAGGGGTATCATAGCATTCATTATTTTAAATTCAAAGAGTCTATGTTGTGTGTTTTCTATTTTCTCTTCTGCATATTATACCATGTCCTGGCTGGCTGGATCAAAATTAAAATGGAAAGAAAGTTGGTTGTATATCTATGACACAGAAAATATTTTAATCATAGGTGTAAGGTAAAATCCAAATGCATAGGAGAATTTCCCAGCAGCTGAAAATGAGAATTCGGGACTCTGCTGAGTAGGTTGGGGAAAATTTAAAATGTTGGTTGTAGCTCTGGGGGAGCAAGAGAGATAACTGAAAGCCATATCTATCCAAACCATGTGGGTTCTTCATCACATGGATGCATGTGGATCTTTGCATCCCTTGTCTTAGATTAGCTGGTAAAACAAAAGGAAGATATCTCAGTCCCCACTTTCTTAGCAGCCCCCACACCAAAAGTCCAGAATGTATCTGATGTTATCATCATCTCTATGAGCCAAGCGTAGTGCCTACCATATAGCCCAAAACAGTTCAAACTGCAAGAACAAAGATCAGTGTCCATGCATACATTATTAGTAAAAAAAATAATAATAATAACATTTTTACATCATGTTCTACTGCTAGGCAAGTTTGCCAATGCTTTGTAGGATCTTCCTATTAAGCAAAGAAGAGACTTAAGGAGTGTACTATTTTCCTAGTTTTTAAGATAAAGCACCTGAAGGTCAGAGGTGACCCAAAGTTACAAAGCCTAGCTGCAAACTAGCGGAGTCAGGCTCAAATAGATATTTTCAGATTTCAAGTACATCAATCATCAAACTTTCCTCTATATAGGCCCCCGCCACCTAGGAGAATAAAATAGTTAAAATAGTTATGCAGCATTGCATAACTTGACCTTATTAGGACAAGAAACTCTCTCTGTCTTACAGACACTCTTATCCAGGGGTTACATTCACTGTAGGCTGCTAAAGGCTGCATCAGCTCACCTCACAACCCAATCATTCATAAAAACTTTGAACTTAAAAAATGTCAGGGACTTCACTACCTTGAACACAGGTCATGGATATATTTCATTACTCAAAAATTGTTACTCAAAATTAAAAGTCTGAATATGAGTATCATCATCATTATCAGCATTATCAGGCTTTATTTCTTTAAACATTATTTATAGAGAAAACACTGCTTAATTTTCTTCCTTTCAAGTAATATTTACCATTGAATTTTGAAGTAGCTCAGTTTTAGTCAAAAGCACACTAACACAATTATTTTTCTTGGGGTTAGCATGGCCCTGTCTCTTTTACAAGTATGAGTCAAATTCCTATAAAATGCCATTAGCATCCCTCTAAGGTTAAAATTCTCATGAGGAATTGGAAGGTAAAAATTAGTCCAAATGTTTTAAGCTTAGAAAACTGAATGGAAACATAGAATGAAATTAAAGCCATTCCACCTTTTGCAAACATGTGAACATTATTTCTCAACTTTCTGTTTTTTGAATTTTGAGGCAAACGGAGGATGTCAGTGTGGTGGCTCTGAGTGAGCAAAGGGAGGAATGGTATCAAATGAGATGAGATACAGCTAGAAGCTGAACTCCTTTTGTGTTCTGATGAGGAGCTTAAATTTTATTCTAGGACCAAGTAGGCTAGTTAGAAAAAGTAGATTGAGATAATTTGATTGATTTGATAATTTGATTGTAACTACCCATTGGAGACATCAATAAGGGTTGCTTCAGTCAGTGGTCTGGAAAGCATGAAATTCAGATTGTCGTGGGTTGGCCCGTGATGAAGTATATGGCAAGAGAGAAAGTAGGTATGGGAAACTCTTGGATATACATTTTTGTATGAGTGTGTGTACAGAATGCCAAATATTTAGAAACTACAAGTGACATAGGTCAAGGAAAAAATAAAATTGTGCATCTATTTGAGTGTGGGTGCTGAAACCAGAGATACTAAAACATGTACTGGAGGAATTATCTGCTGTAGAGAAAGTATTGATTTAAAAAATACAAATTAGTCTATGAGAGGTGAGAAGATCTGAGATTTGAAGGTCAGGGAATATCATTTAAAAAAGGTACAGGCACAATGGAAAGAATTTGCTGATATACTTTCACACTGTTACCAGACTAGAATATAAAGTTTTTTCACCAGATATTCCATAATACCCATTTCACATCATAGTCTGAATAGAAACTTTGGAATCAGTCAATCCAGATTTCAAATCAAATTCAGGTAATAAGTACTGAATCTGTTGCAAATTGCTTCCAATGAATTTCATTCTCTTCTTTCTTCTTTCTGACCTCTTCCCTACCCCCAGTAGTGATGTCTAACTTGCCAGAAGTTTTCCTTCTGGGTCTGACTGAGGTCTATGCCCAGAGAAATACTCAGGCTCTCTACTTATTCATATCTCATTTCTTAACCATTTCATTTGTTTAGAATGAATTATAGAATATCGCTTAAAACTAATTACTGTAATGAGATTACCAGATTTTTCTGAGTTAATACATTACCCATTCAATGCTTAAATGTGCTTTCTAAAATCAAGGTCTTATGTAAAAATATACAGATTTAAAGGCAAAGGTTTCCTAATACATCAAAATTAGAAGGCTTCATTAGGAAGAAAGCTCATCTTCCCTCAGATGGCAATATGATGATGGATTTCTGTATTTGATTTATGTATAAATTTAATGCTTAATGATACTCTGGAAAATAAGTGTTTGTAGAATGATATAACAAGGGGGGACATTGTTGAAAAACACAAACCATTCTGAAGACAGTAATGAATCTACTGAGAATCATGTAGAAAATGTTTTAAATATGATTAGATACTTGAGTAATGGATTTAAGGATTTTGTCATTAAATTTTACAAGATTAATGGGAAAATACATGAAAATCAAAAAAATATAATTAGAAAAATTTATCCATGGTTAAAATGCATTTAGATATTCAGGCCAATATTTAATATTCTTTTAACAGAAATGCATATATAGGTGTTATATATATATATATCCTACGTAATTGTATACTATGTACTATAATTACTTATATATAATTATGGAATATATATATCCTCATATACAATTTATATAAATATATAATATGTATTCACTTATATAAAATTATGGAATGCATATATATATATATCTCCTACACAACTTTATACAAATACATAGTATATTTCTGTTATGTGTATGTGGTGTGTGTGTGTGTATACACACAATAAAGATAAATTTACATAATGTATGTGGACCATATTTTTCTTTCACTGTCTTTCTTGTTAACATTTAGTATGTGTTTGTTTTAATTTGGCAAGAGCTTCAATAAAGTCTACCCTTTGTAAAAGTATAATGGGAAATAATTCAATTACTTAATTTGGGGAACACTAAAGATGAAAGTTAACATTTTTTTCCAACAATAGCAGAAGAATCATTAAGGAAACACAATTTCCTCAAGGATGAGTTGGAAATTAAGACCCATGGGATGGGCAAACTATGTCAATTACATGTTGATCCTCTTAGAGTTTAGCTTTGGGCATTACTTGAACATTTTCTCTATTGCTATCAATATTTTATTGCAAATCTCCTCAAAGCTTGTTCCTATTTATAGTCATACTTGCATATGTGCCATCAACATCATATGATAAAGCTTTGAAAACCACTCTACCCTGATGTAAAGCACAAAGTTTTAATATTAGATAAAAAAAATTTTTATACTCTATATACATCATGAATTATAAAAATAAAATGGTAAATTGTCTTTCTTGTCATTTTTTTTTTTTTTGCTCCCAGCCACAGGACAAAAATCTAAGTTTTTTTTTCTTGCCCCCCCGCCCCGGAGGAGAGGGGTTGCTTTATAAGCACCATGATAATTTATAATGTCATTTTATCTTAAATTATCTTAAAGTACAACAGCCAGATTTTTTTTATTTAAATATCTGATTCTACACACACACAGACACACACACACATACATATGTCAGCTTGCATTTTAAAATCTTAATAATTAAGATAAAAGTTAATTTGTATTTGGGGCAACAGAAAGTTATTCTTTAGAAAAGGACAACATGGAATTTTGGGAAGTGATAGAAATAATCTCTATTGTAATTGTGATGGTGATCATACAGAACTGCATATTTTAGTTAGCACTCATCAAATTGTAGAATAAATTTGTAAACATTTGTATTTAAATTATGCTTCAATAAATACGACTAAGAATAGTAATTTCACTAACAAGATGAATGTTCTAATATCTCTGCTTATCATTGATAATATTTATTTTGGTAATATTTATATAGATTTCTGACACATTATAAGGAAGCTCATATTCATTTCAAAATGAATATTATAGTAACCTGAGGTAGATTAATAAAAATTATTAAAACCAATAATATTTATTTTTGTTGAGTATGTGAAGAAATATTTATGTTGGAAATGTAAATTCACATCATAGTTTTAGATAGAAATTGTACAGTTTCTGTCAAACTACAAAGACATACTTTAAAAAATTTTATGTTAAAGTATTAATGAAACTATTACATATTTAATAAAAATATTTAGAAATGTGACCATAAAAGTACTTTTTATATTTTATGGTTCTCAATGACTAAGAATTCTATAGCATAAATAAAATATGCCACAAAATGTAATTATTGTAATATGTCTGTAAAACAAATTGTAGATCTTGTCAATAATGTATTGTAGTGTCATGTGGCTGCTTTAGCACCTGACCACAAGCTTACTTGCTTAAGACAACAGATATTTATTTTCTCACAGTTTCTACAGGCCACAAGTCCAAAGTAAGTATCACTAGATCAAAATCAAGATGTCAGTAGGTACATACTCCCTGCAGAGGTTCAAAGGAGAGAATCAATATCTTGGTTCTCCAAGCTTCCAGAAGGCTAATATTCAGCATTTCTAAGCTCGTGGCTATATCACCACAACCTTGAAGCCAGCATCTTCAAATCTCTGTCTACTCATCTTCCGATTGCCTTCTCCTCTCTGTGTGTCAAATTTCTCTGTGCCTCCATTTTATAAGGATACCTGTGATTGCATTTAAGGCCCAGATGGATAATTCAGTAGAATCATGCCACCTCAAGACTCTTCATTTAATTACTTCTGCAAAGACACTTTTTCCAAAGAAAGTAATATTTATAGGGTCTGGGGATTAGAATCTGATGTCTCTGAGGGTCATTTTCGTAATAGGATACCTTTATAAATAAGATATATATAAATACTTATACAAAATTCTGGAAGAACCCATAATAATAAAAACTGTTAAAATATTTAACATTGCAGAAGGCAAATGTTTATACTGAGAAACTGTGTTAATAAGCCTATTTATAACACTAACATTTAAAGATTAATAGTTATACACCCTGGCATAAAATACCACGTGTATTAATATAGAGTTTAACTACAATGTGTATTAACATAGATTTCTTATGAGTGATAATATGCATGTGACAATGTAGATTGATTAAAACCTCAGATTGTTTAATAAACTCAAAATACTAACTATACCCTTAAACTAAAATAACATTATAAAACAAGCAATTGTTAAATATTTTATTTATTGTACGTGCTTAATATAATATTTTTAAAAGGCTTTCATGAGTTTATTAAAGATAGTCCTAGCAATTTTTGAGATTAAAAATTATTGATTATGCTTATCAATGGTACTTTATACTACTAGAACACATTTTCCAAAGGGACATTTTTTTAACAAGCTGTCACTGGTCATTAGAGAAATGCAAATCAAAACCACAATGAGATACCATCTCACTCCAGTTAGAATGGCAATCATTAAAAAAGTCAGGAAACAACAGATGCTGGAGAGGATGTGGAGAAATAGGAACACTTTTACATTATTGGTGGGAATGCAAATTTGTTCAACCATTGTGGAAGACAGTGTGGCGATTCCTCAAGGATCTAGAACTAGAAATACCATTTGACCCAGAAATCCTATTACTGGGTATATACACAAAGGATTATAAATCATGCTGCTATAAAGACACATGCACATGTATGTTTATTGCGGCAGTATTCACAATAGCAAAGACTTGGAACCAACCCAAATGTCCATCAATGATAGACTGAATAAAGAAAATGTGCCACATATACACCATGGAACACTATACAGCCATAAAAAAGGATGAGTTCATGTCCTTTGCAGGGACATGGAAGAAGCTGTAAACCGTCATTCTTAGGAAACCATCACAAGAACAGAAAACCAAACACTATGTGTTCTCACTCATAAGTGGGAGTTGAACAATGAGAACACATGGACACAGGGAGGGAAACATCACACATGGGTCTTTCGAGGGGTGAGGGTTAGAGGAGGGATAGCATTAAGAGAAATATCTAATGTAGGTGACCGGTCAATGGGTACAGCAAACCACCATGGCATGTGTATACCCATGTAACAAAACTGCATATTCTGCACATGTACCCCAGGAGCTAAAGTATAATAATAAAAAAAGTTGTTTTAATAAAGTATTTTTATATTTAATTTCTATGATTTATTAAAGTCTCTGGAGAAATTAAAAAAAGAAAACTCTACAAGTAATTTATTGTGTTTTTTTTCTTATTAGGAAAAAATATTTTTTCCAGATGAAATCATCTCATAACGACACACATTATTGCTATGAAAAAAAGATAATTGTCTTTTCAGATTAATATTAATGAGAAAATTCCAAATTTTTCCCACGTAGAAATATAAAAGGAAAAATTAAACCCATATTATTACCATTATCAAACATTTATTTTGTTTTTCTTGATTTTTTTAACTTTTAATTTTTATGGGTATATAGTAGGTATATATATATTTGTAGAGTACAGGAGATATTTTGATTCAGGCATACGATGTGTAATAATCCCATCAGTATAAGTGGGATATCCATCACCTCAAGCATTTATCATTTCTTTGTGTTACAAACATTCCAATCATAATTTTTTAGTTATTTTAAAATGTAAAATAAACTGTTGTTGACTGTTATAACCTTATTTTGCTATCAAATACTATATATTATTCATTTGATCTAACTATAGTTTTGAACCCATTAACCATCCCTCCCCATCCGCCCAACCCTTCACAGTCTCTGGTGACCATCATTCTAATCTCTATCTCTATTAGTTCAATTGTTTTAATTTTTATCTCCCACAAATGAATAAGAACATTCAGTGAAGTTTGTTTTTCTGTGCCTGACTTGTTTCACTTAACATAATAACCTTCAGTTTAATCCATGTTGTTGCAAATGACAGAATCTAATTCTTTTTATGGTTGAATAGTACTCCATTTTGTTTATACGTACCACATTTTCTTTATCCATTCCTCTCTTGATGGACACAGGTTGCTTCCAAATCTTGGCAATTGTGAATGGTGCTGCAATGAACATGGGAGTGCAGATACTTCTTTGATATACTGATTTCCTTATTTTGGGGTATAAACCTAGCAGTGGGATTGCTGGAACATTTGGTCGTTTTATTTTTAGTTACTTAGGCATCTCCATACTCTTCTCCATAGTGACAGTACCAATTTGCATTCCCACCAACAGTGTATGAGGGTTTCCTTTTCTCCACATCTTCACCAACATTTGTTATTGCTTGTTTTTTTATTTTTTTTTATAAAAGCCATTTTAACTGGTGTAAGAAAATACCTCACTGTAGTTTTGATTTGCATTTCTCTGATGATTGAGGATTTTGAACACCTTTTTATGTAGCTGCTTGCCATTTAAATGTCTTCTTTTGAGAAATGTCTATTTAGATCTTTTGATTACTTTTAATCAGATTACTAGTTCTTTAGATAGAGTTGTTTGTGCTCCATATATATTCTGGTTATTATTCTCTTGTTTGCAAGTAATAGTTTTCAAATATTTTATCTCATTCTGTGAGTTGTCTCTTCACTTTGTTGATTGTTTATTTTGTTTTGCAGAAGGTTTTAAGCTTGATGTATTTCCGTTTGTCTATTTTTGCTTTGGTTGTCTGTGCTATTGTGGCAATACTCAAGAAATCTTTGCCCAGATAAATGTCCTTGAGAGTTTCTCCAATGTTGTCTTTCAGTAGATTCACAGTTTCAGGTATTATATTTATGTTTTTAATCCATTTTGTTTGGTTTTTGTATATGGTGAAAGATAGGGGTCTAGTTTCATTTGCCTGCATATGAATATCCAATTTTACCCGCATCATTTTTTGAAGAGACTGTCCTTTCCCCCACTTTATGTTGTATGTTCTTGGGATCTACTTTTGTGATGTAGGTGCTTATTGCTAAAACTTTCCTCTTAATAATGCTTTTGCTATATCCGATAGGTTTTGGTATGTTTTGTTTCCATTTTAATTTGTTTCAAGAATTTTTTTAAATTTTCTTGTTAATTTCTTCATTTACCCACTGGTCATTCAGGAGCATATTGTTTAAATTCTATGTGTTTCTATAGTATCCAACATTCTTCCTGTCGTTGATTCCTAATTTTGTTTTATTGGGGTTAAATAAATGTTTGATATTGTTTCAATGTTTTTTGAATTTTTTAACATTTGTTTTGTGATCTAACATATGGTCTAGCCTGATGATCCATGTGCTGAGGGGAAGAATGTGCATTCTGCAGCCATTGAAAAAAATGTTCTGTAAATATCTGTTAGGTTCATTTGGTCTATAGTGCAGATTAAATTGCATTTTGGTGATTTTCTGTCTTAATGATCTGTCCAATGCTGAAAGTGGGGTCTTGAAGGCTCCAGCTATTATTGTTTTAAGGTCTATCTGTCTCTCTTTAGCTCTAATAATACTAGTTATAAATCTAGGTGCACTAGTACTGGGGGCATATAGTTACAATTGTTATATCCTTTTTGCTGAATTGACCCCTTCATTATTAAAATGACCTTCTTTGTCTCTTTATTGTTTCTGTCTTGACATCAATTTTAACTAATGTAAGCATAGCTACTCCTGAACTTTTTTTGTTTTTTTATTTATATGGAATGTCTTTTTTCCTGTCTTTATTTTTAGTATATGTGTATCTTTATAGGTGAATTGTGTTCTTTGCAAGCAACAGATAGTTGGGACTTGTTTTATTTTCCCCAATGTAGTCACTCTATGTCTTTTGATTTAAGACTTTAGCACACTTATATTTAATGTTGTTAATTGTTTCCCAGTTGTTTTGTGGTCTTTTATTCCTTCCTTGCTTCCTGTCTTTTCTGTGAAGGTGATTTTCTATGGTGGTGTGCTTTAATTTCCTGCTTTTTATTTTTTTGTGTATCTATTGTAATTTTTATTTTTGATTTGAAGTTGCCATGAGGCTTACAAAGAACATCTTATAACCCATTGTTTTAAACTGTTGAAAACACTGATTGCAAAACACAAATAAACTAACAAACAGGCAAAGAGAAAACTTGTACAATTTCTACATTTTAAATAACATTCCTCACTTTTTAACATTTTATTGTTTCTATTTATATGTTATTGTCTATGTCTTCAAAGGTTGTTGTAGTTACTATTTTTCATAGATTAATCTTTAATCTTTCTACGCAAGATATGAGTAGTTAGCACAACATAATTATGGTTTTATAATAATCTGTGTTTGTCTGTGTACTTAGTATTAACAGTGAGTTTAGTACTTTCAGATGATTCTTTTTTTTCTCAGTATCAACCTTTTCTTTCAGTTTAAACAACTCCCTTTAGCATTTCCTGTAAGACAGGTCTGGTGTTGATGAAATCTCTCAGCCTTTTTTTTTTTTTTTTGGTTTGTTTGTTTGGCAAATTCTTTATTTCTCCTTCATGTTTGAAGAATATTTTCACTGGATATGCTATTCTAGATTTTTCCTTTGGAAGTATAAATATGTCATGCCACTCTCTCCTGGCCTGTTAGTTTTCCACTGAGAAGCCTGCTGCCAGAAATACTGGAGCTCCTTTGCATGTTATTTTTTTCTTTCTCTTGCTGCTTCTAGGATCATTTTGTTATCCTTCACATGGCAGTTTGATTATTAAGTGTCTTAAGGTCTTCTTATTTGGGTTAAATCTGCTGTTTGTTCCACCACCTTATAGTACTTGAGTATCAGCATCTTTTTCTAGTTTTGGAATGTTCTCTGATAAAAGCTTGAATAAAGTTTCTACCCTTATCTTTATCTACCTATTTAAGGTAAATAAATCTTAGATTTGTCTTTTTGAGGCAATTTTCTAGATATTGAAGTTGTGCTTCATTCTTTCTTATTATTTTGTCTCCTCCAACAAGCTTACTAATTCTTTTTTCTGTTTGACGAATTCTTCTACTGAGAAATTGTGATGCATTCTTCAGCATGTTAATTAAATTTTTAAGTCCCAGAATTTTTTTGATTTTTAAAAATTATTTTAATTTCTTTTTAAATTTATCTGATAGGATTTTGAATTTCTTCTCTGAAGTATCTTCTATTTTATTGAGCTTTTTCAAAACAGTTACGTGTAATTCTCTGTCTTAAAGATTAAATATCTTTGTCAATCTGGGATTGATCACTGGTGCTTTATTTAGTTTGTTTGGTGAATTTATGTTTTCCTGGATGGTCTTGATGCTTTTGAATGTTTGTCAATGTCTGTTCATTGAAAAATTAGTTATTCATTGCAGCCTTTGAAGTATGGGCTTCTGTGTATCCTCTTTCTTGGGAAGGTTTTCCAAGTATTCAAAGTGAACTGACTGTTGTAATCTAAGACTTTGGTAACTACAACCATATCTGCATTAGGAGATACTCCAAGCCCAGTAATTCTGTGGCTCTTGCAGGCTTATAGAGAAGCTGCCTTGATGGTCTTGGCTAAGATACAAGAGACGTCTCTAGATTACTAGGCAGAGACTTTTGTTCTCTTCTCTTACTTTCCCCCAAACAAAGGATGCCTCTGTCTCCTTGCTGAGCTGCAAAGAGTTAGGGGGAAGGTGAATAAAGCACCCCTGTGTCCACCACCACTGGGACTGTGTTGGGTCAGACCCAAAGCCAGCACAGCCCTGGGTCTCACTCAAGGTCAGCAGTGACCACCACCTAGCCACCACCTATGTTCGATTAAGGTTCTAGAGTTCTTCAGTTTGTAGGTGGTGAATCCAGCTAGGATTGTGTGTTTCTGTTCAGGGCAGTGAGTTCCTCTCAGCCCTGGGCAGGTCCAGAAATGCCTTCCAGGAGCCGGGGCCTAGAGTTGGAAAGCTCAGGAATATACTAGGTGCTCTATTCTACTGCTGCTGAGCTGACACCCAAGCCACAAGACAAAGTCCTTCTCTAATTTCCTCTCCTTTTCTCAAGCAAAAAGTCTCTCCTCATGATGACAACCACCTCAGACCCATGGTGACTACTGCTCGGCTGCTGCCAATGTTCACTCAATGCCCACGGGTTATTCAGTCAGCTTGTGATGACTGTTACCAGGCCTGGATCTTTCCCTCCAGAGAACTGGGAGCCCCTCTGGCACAGAGAAAGTCCAGGAATGCTGTCCAAGAGGCAAGCCTTGGAATTGGGGACCCTAGAAGCCTGCTTGGTGCTCTATCTCACTGTGGTCGTGTTGGTACCCAAGCTGCAAGACAAAGTCTCTTTAATCTTTTGTCTCCTTCCCTCAAGCAGAAGAGGTCTCTCTCTATAGCCATCATAGCTCAGAATGTGCTCACTCACATCTGAAGCCAGCATGACACTGGATCTCACTGTAGGCCCATGGTGAGTCCTGCCTGGCTACTGCTGGTGTTTATTCAAGGCCCAGTGGGCACTTCAGTCAGCAGCTGATAAATCTTTCCAGAACTGGGTTCTTCCTTTCAAGACAGTAGGTTCTCTTCTGACCCAGGTTGTGTTTAGAAATGTCATCTGGGAGCTAGGGCCTGAAATACGGGCCTCGTGACTCTGCCTGGTGCCCTATTCTACTGTGGCTGAGCTAAAACCCAAGCTCCACGACAAATTCCTTTTTCAGTCTTTCCTCTCTTCTCTCAAGCAAAAGGAAAACGTCTCCCCCAGAGTTGTGAGCTGCACTACCTGGGGTTGGGGGAGGGATTGCATAAGAACTCCCTTGGCTGCCCAAGCTCGTGTCTCACTAGGTCGTGTGTAGCCCAAGCCCGCTGACTCTGAGTCCAGCGGAGCACTAGGATTTGCCCAGAAATTGTCATCTCACTGGGCAGGACTGCCTTTCAAGTTTATTTAGAACCCCATATCTCCGTAGCCCACTGTGGTGTGTCTAACCAGAGCTCAGGTTCTGACCACTGGATTGAAAGATTCCCCTCTGGCTGGGGCTGATCTAAACGCTCCTGCATGGGCACCAGCTAAATTCTCCCCTGTGTTGCTTTCTACTGTGACTAGCAGTGCTGGGTTCCAATATAAAGACCCACAATAACTGTGCTCTCCCACCCCCAAGGACACAGATTTTCTCTCCATGCCACATGGCCACTGCAAAGGGATTGCAGAGAAGTGTCCTCAGCAATTCAAGACTGACTCTTCTACCCTTTCAGTGCCTCTTTACTTCATATGATGTTAAAACCAGGTACTGTGATTGCTCATGTGATTTTGGTTCTTATGTAGGTGTTGGCTTGTGTGTATAGTTGTTCTATTTGGTGTTTCTGGATGAAGCATAAATCCTAGAGGGCCCTAGTCAGCCATCTTGTTTCATCTCCCTCCCAAACTTATATTTTAGTTAATTAGGGATAAACCCGTGGTGTCCGAGAGAGCCTCTCTCGGAAGGCTTACAAATTTGGAAGGTAGGAGAGAGTGCATAACTTTAATAAAACAATATAAGTGAGTATAATCTTAATGCGAATAAGGTGAAATCAACAGCAATAAATGACAGCAAATTCAATATAGAATGCTCTTTGAATTGTAAAGTTGTATGGAAATTCAGGGGCTCTGTGTTTAATTCTAACGGAATGTAGGAATTTCAATGACGGTATCTCTGGCATATAATTAGCAATTATGACATCTCATAATTAGCAATTAGAGTCATTCCATGTTTCTCTCTCTTTTCTCTATCTTTATCTTCTCTTTATACTTTTTTAATATGATCATGCAAACCATGATAAGATCTTTTTTAAAATAAAATCTTAAAGTTTTAATGAATAAAGTGAATAATTATGCTGTTGTCTTAATTTTACTTTACACAGTTACTGGCTTTGATTTTATCCTGTAAAGACTTTATTTTGTGAGCTAGATGATCCCAAAATATATCAGATCTGACTCACTTAATTTCAATACATTTTAACTATGCTGAATGTTGAGGAGAAATATAATGACCTTTATTTCTTGCCCTAAGAGAGCTTTATTGGTCCTTTTAAAAGATATACTGAGTTGACAAAACAGGATTATCATAATGTATACTTTTTTAAGACAACCAGGAAGTACCTGTTGTGGCCTGAGGTCTACCTGGGGTAAATGCTACCAAGAGATGTGATGTGCAGCTCACTTTTAAAAATGTCAAAATGCCTGAGTTGCAGCAGAAGGGTAAAAATATACATATATTTATAGTTTTACTAAAACTTGTTTTCTATTCCGAAATGTACTCACTGAGCCTGAGAAAGGCCTATCAGCATGCTTTCCCACAGCTGCTTACTTTGTCTCAGTGTCACAGTTTACCAAAACAAAAATAAAGACAAAAGAAGGGAGAACTTTGAATTGATTTTATTTTTTCCTTACATGTCACTATCTGTGGGTGAGTCCTCTCAGGGAATAACCATTCCATAATATCTCATTCTAATTTTATATTGACTTATTATTTGCCTATTTGTTTTCTTTTAATATGAAAGTTCAATAAAAGGTTGAAAGAATCCTTTTCACCACACATGCTGGCTTTAAAAATGTTCTTATAATAAACTAAAGATCAGTTTACTTCCCAAGAAATGTTTCCTCTCTATATATTACAGCTATTGGGGCCATAGCCTCTCCAGTCAGGCTGCTAGAGAGAAATCAATTTTGTACTCATTTTTTAGAGCCTTGTAATCCAGGGAAAGTTACTTAATCTCTCCAAGCTACAGTTTCTTCATCTGCAAAATGGGCATAAGCAGAGGCAACAATAGATAGAAATAATAAGAAAAGAGAGTATTTCTTATTTATCTGAAACATAGTAATATGTGCTGCTATCTAGATCTATCCATTCATCCATCTGTCATCTATCTATCTATCTATCTATCTATCTATCTATCTATCTAATACCTATCTGTATGTATGCATGAATGTATTTGCATGTGTACATATAGTATATGTGTATATACACATATACATCTTTCATATCTATAGCCATCTATTTTTATTTCTATTATATTTATGTCAATAATCTATCTAAATGTCTTTTTAAAAAATTGATGAGCTTATGGCTATTGTAACTTAGATTTAGTATACATACTTATTCAGAAGCATCTAGATAACTTCAGAGATAGCCACAGATCTGATATTTCTTAGCTAGTTCATTAAATGGATGCAAGTTGGATTATTTAATAAGGCATTGGGGAAATTGCATAAGTTTTCTCCAGTCTTCTGCAGGGAGAATATCATTAAACCAACCAAATAGATATATAAACATAGACTGTATTGACAACAGATACAAGGATCAGGGTTAAGATATAGTAAAATTTTAAATAGAGAGTGTATCTCAAATATCTTTAATCAGTTTATGCTGCATTCCCCAACTGTTTCCTTTACTTCAATATCATCATTCAAAAATACATGGTAAACTAATTTCTGCCAAATATAAAATATAGCTTAGATTTTTATTCACTATAGTATTTACATTTTCATAGAATATTTACAGTTTAATAGATGATTGTAAAATATTGCTAGAACTTCATTACTCTGATGTTGATATTTGAGACAACATGGTGGGTAGAAGTTGTTGTAGAGGAGGGGAGATAGGTAGCTTGCTGGCACCTCCCTATCAAGTAATCCTTGTCAAGTAAAATAAGCTAAAAACAATTTATGGATTAGAACTAATTTGTTCTGTGACAAAATTTTAGAAATGCAGATTTACTGCTTTAAATCAGTATGGGCATTGTCTGAGTTGGTATCCCTTGTGGCCAATAATAAAAGTCCTGCCACTATTCAGTGTGCTCGGATTTGCTGAATGATTACTTACTTTATTCAAGATTTTTTCCTTAAGTAAAAAAATATCAGTTAGCAAGATAATTAGCTGCTGTATCATAGATGTATATTCCAAGTTTACACCTTTTTCTTCAGCCCATAACTCTTGCTTCTATTCTGATTTTCTTTGTTTTGCTTAGACCACTATCAGTTTTTTTATATTGCTATAAAAATAAATATAAAAAGTTCCCCTTTTGTTTGAATTATATTATCAGATTCTGTATTGTGTCTCTCTATCTAATGACTAACCTTCTGACTCTTACCTACAAGACTATTTTTCCTAGCTCTACTAAGGTTTACAATTGAAAAATAAAAATTATATATATTTACAGCATACAATGTGGTTTTCTATATATGTATGCATTGTGAAATGACTAAGTCAACAAATTAACATATCCATCATCTCATACACTTATCGACTTTTGTTGTGAGAACATGTAAGATTTACAAGGTTAACTTTTAAGTGTATATTTAATCATATTTAATCATTTCTTCCAGTTGCTAATACATTTTAATCCCTCTACTTGTCTACAGGAGAGGTGATTTCTTTACACAGCATCAAAGGCCCTCTGACAAGAACTAAAGTCACATTTTCAGAAGAAGCATTTACCATTTTGATGCCTTCAATGCCACATCAACTGACATAACATTTCTACATTTAGTTTTTCCCACATTGTCACACACATCTCATGTCTTCTATTGGATTCATTGCCTTTCTCTTTCACCACTTGGGAAATTTATACCCATTGCTAAAGTTAAATATCACCACAGCTATAAAGCCTCTCTAAATTATCTGAGTCCCCAAAGCATATTGAATATACATTTTTAGTAATTATGCTTATAAGCATTTTGTTATCTTTACAAATACCTAGATTCTGTTTTCTAAATTCCCTGAATAACATGACACAAAACATCTATTTCCTCAGCCCTAGTAATGAAAATAGGTTTCAAATTGATACATGTAACTTGTTCACTGATTGATTGAAAACAGTGTTGTTTCTTAAAAAGAAGTTACAATGGTCCAAAGTCCCTCCAAAAGATCAATGACACATCTCTGTTTCCTCGTAAGTGCCCATGTTTCTTTTTGTTGGTGGGCTCAGGTCTTCCTGTCCTCATCCTCTTATCTAGGGAGACGTTTCTCAATCAATTTGTTAATCACTGACAAGTGGCAGTTATACAGTCTGTCACTGATGGGTTTTTATTGTTGCATCTATCAATTCTTAAACCCTTTCTTCTTGTGTCCTTTGCAGAAGAACTACTTAAACGAACCTTTTAGATACATTTGTCCAGTACTGCTGTTCTCTGCCCTAAAATATGGCCAATCTGGAAGAACTAAACAGAGGCATTTGGGGTTTCTGTGTTGGAGAAATGGCTGTGCTCCGTACTTCTTTATAGATGAGAATTCTTTTCTATTGTTCACCAATGAAGCAATGACAATACTGAAGGAGAAATGGAAAATATCTGATAAAAGTCATGTCTGACATCTGTAGAGTTGAATAGCTTTAGCTTAGTTCGAATAAATGCTTTATAGAATTCAGAATTACAGGCTACTTTTTAGGGCTTTTGTTTACAACATTAACATTCAAGACATAAAATGAGGTTCAACTATTACCTTCTATATGGCCTAAAAAATAATGCGTTATCTAAACTGTAAACCACTATTAGTTTTGTATCATACTTTTAGGTTGCTTCCACCATCTCCCAATATATGTAACCGATCATGTGGAATTTAATGTTTATTTCCAGGTGTCATAGTTTTAGTTTATGTAAATATGTCTAATAATTCTTTATTTGCTCAAATAATGTGTTTATGAACTTTATTAATATTGTTGTTCATAGCTCCTGTTCAATGTTGTATAATAATTTGTTGTATAAATATAGTGCAATTCTGAAATCTTGGTTGTTTCTAATCTCATGCTATTGTATACATTACTGTGAAAAATAATCCAGTTTGTATTTTCTGGGGGTATTTGTACAAAATTTTCTCTAGAATATATACTCATAAGTTGAATTATTGTGTACAAGGTTAATAAATTTCAACTTTAATAAGTATTGCAAAACCTCTATCTTAAACCATCTTAGTGTAACATATCCTGAAATCACCTGTAAAATTGTATGTAATTATCAAAAGAAATTCCTAGAACTTAATTAATAAATACGGCATTGCCTATATGTTAGCTATCAATAATTGGAAAATGAAATAAACATATATAATAAAAGCATATGTATAACAAGTGAAATTCTTAAGTATAAATCAAATAAAACATATACAGGATATGTATACTAAAAATGAAAACACTGATAAAAATGATCCTAAATAAATGGTGAGATGTAGTACAAACATAGATTGGAAAGTTCAATGTTGTTAAGATATCAATTCTTTCCAAATTGATCTATAGACAACAAAATTTTAATCAAAATTCTAGCAGAATTTGTTGTAAAAATACACAGGAGATCAAAAACCACATCAACGGAACAAAAATGGGGTCTAAAAATAAACCTATTAAATTGTGGCTTCTTTTTGACAAAGTTACAAAGATATTCAATGGCAAAAGTATGATCTTTTCAATAAATGGTGCTGGAGAAACTGGAAATTAATATACAATAAAAGAACCTTGACCTAAACTTCACATCTTATAAAAATTAACTGAAAGTGAAATATAGATGTCAGCAAAAATGTAAAATTACGATATTTTAAGAAGAAAACAGAAAAAATATCTTCATACCTTGGGTTAGGCAACAAATTCTTAGACATAACTCTAAAAGTATACTGATAAAGAGAAAAAAATTAGATTTAATCAAAACTTAAAAATTTTTTGCTCTGTGAAAGACATGGCTGAGAGACTGAAAGGACAAGCTATATTTTCAGAGTAAATTGCATATATGACAAAAGATGTGTTTCCATATGTGTAAACACCTCCTAAAATCAAAACTAAGAAAACATAGAGCTAATTTTTAAAATGAGAAAAACCCTTGCATATACACTTCATGAAAAAGGATACACAGCTAAGTAATGAGAACATGAATAAATGCTCAATATCATTACCACAGAGAAAGGCAAATTAAATCTACAATGAGACATCACTACACAAAGATGTAGAGTAACTGGAGCTCTTGTGTATTACCAACAGCAATGCAATATGGTAAAGCCACTGTGGAAAACAGTTGGACAGGTTCTTGTAAACTTCAGTATACGCTTACCACATAACCCAGCATTCTATTTCTAGGTTTTAGGCAGATAAACAGATAAACATTTATTTTCACTACACAATGTGTATACGTGTTGAGAGCACTTCTATTCAAAATTGTCTAAGAATGAAAACTACCCAAACGTCCTTCAATGAATCTATTGTCCTTAAATGAATTGATTCTACAAAATGTGGCATAGACACACAATGGAATGCTACTCAACAGTGAAAAAGTAATGAATTATTGCTACATACAACAACTTGAATGAATCTTAAAATTATTATGCTGCAAGTAGCCAGTCGTATGGGCTACATGCTGCATAGTTGCATTTATGAGACATTCCAGAACATTAAACCATACAGAGTTGGAGAACATACTAAAATTTATAAAATAGATCACAACAAGTCAATTTTTCTGCATGTACCTTAAATACTACTTTTTTAAAAAAGTTAAATATTAAAAATAAAATAAGGTGGCATGAAAAATTTTGTGAATATATGCGATCACACTTATGTGGGTTTTTAATACTTTCTAAAAATAAAGAAGTTGAGGGGGAGGCTCAGGTTGTTAAAATTAATAAAATATTCAGGCTATATGATGTTTGAAAGTGATACATCTAAAATAAAACAATATAAATGTAAAAAGTAAAGAAATAAGGCATATAAAAATAGCAGGGAATAACAAGAAAGAGACAGACAGGGAGAAGTGGGAGGGATTAAAATGTTGAAAGGAAAGCCAGAAAATATTAACAAATACCCACATCCACATAAATTGGTCAACCTCATTTTTGAGTGTATGAAATCCTAAGCACAAAGCACATATAGGATTCAACAACACACTACAAGTGTATTACAAAATAATTAAGTAGGTTTTTGGTATTAAGAAAAAATTGAAGAGATATTTTGAACAGGTTCTATAAATTATTATATATTTAAATTTACAAAAATGTTATATTTCCATAGTTTATTCTATTTAGAAAACGTTATATTCCCAAACTTAAATTGTGTTGATTTTTTTGCTAATTTAAAAATTTGCTTTTGTATTAAATAAATATTTTTGTTTCTCAATAAACTTCTGCTGTGCCTTTACCAAACACGTAATTTTGTATCCCAGGAATGAATTCAACCTAGAGTAGTTAATATAAGAGAATCTATAAGCAGCCTTGGAAGCTTTAGTTATAAAAACTATAATAGGAAAAACTAATTACTCTTATTATAGTGGCATATCTTTTTCAGTGAAATAGATGAGAGTCATGTGTTTACGTAGGATTCTTCAGTGCACAGGTTTTAAATTTTACTTAAAAATTAGACGAATTAACAAACTATGTTCAACGTATTATACAGTAGTATGAAGATGACTTTAAAATAAAATATCAAAAATAAGATAGTCAAAATTTTTTAAAAAGATGACATGACGCTTTCACATGCATTTGCACAATTCATGCATTCACTCAGTAACTCAATATATGTAAAAAATATAGAAACAATGTAACCTGCTGGTATTGTTTATATATCAGGCCTAAGCCTTGATAGACAGAATTTTATAAAATATTTTATATTTTCATTTGAAGAAAATGTTATAAACACATAAGATTTGAAAACAGTAAGCACAAAACACAACAATCTAAGGTGTTTTCAAGAGCCACATAAAAGGATTGAAAATCAATTTGGCAATCTTTCTGAAGGGTAGGTATTTAGACAGAGTGCTTCCAGTGGCTGGAAATCATTAGAAAGCCAAGGCAAGGTGCCCATGGTCACGCAGAAGGGTCCCTGAAGGAGCCACAGCTCTGCAGTGTATTCTCTTGGATGATGACAGAGGCCAATTATTTAATGATACAGGGACCGATGTGGTCATTCGATAAAGTTCAGTGCTTTAGATATGATTGAGACAGAATGAGTGACTCTTAAGATTATTCATACTCAAGAGGAGATCCTTTTGTTTGTGTGGTTTAAATACTTTCTGCAAGCAAATTCTTGTTTTTTTTTTTTTTTTGACAGAATGATAGGTTTTCTTTATAAGTCAGTATGAACTGAGTAGGAATTACACATTGGCAAAAGTCAGTGAGCCAAAAATCAAACCAGCACATCAAATTGCTCTCCAAACTGAACTAAACCAAAGGGTGTGTGGCTTGAGTCGGACCACAGAGAATGACGGCTTAAGATCACCGCGTCAGGTGTTCTTCCTTTGGAGAAGGAGGCACTGGCAGTGTCAGGCATCCTGGAGGAGCCACCCCGTAGACTGTGGGGTGATGGTGCAGCCCTACTTATCACCTTACTAAGACCAGCAATGTCAGAATGTTCAGTGACACTTTATTCATCTCAAGGGTCTAGACATACGCTCTGGGCAAAAACAATTCCCCACACCTCTTTGCTCTCTAATAACAAAGTTGATCTATTTCATTCAAAACTTGGTGAGTCCTTGGAGCTCAGCACACCACACCTGAGACACACAACAACAGCACCAGCACCACACACAGATGAGCACTGGGCTTAGCATCTGATGTGGGTATCTAATGCAAACTAAGCCTGAGTCAGGCACTACGGTTCCCATTTTCAACTGGGGAAACTGAGGCACAGGGCAGTTGTGCAGTTTGCCAAAGGGCGTGCAACCAGAGAATTACTGAGAAGGAATTTGAACCCAGGCTTCCACTGTGGCTATAAACCATTACACTAAACACTCTCCTGCCATAACTAGTGACTGATCTGATCTGATCTAGAACATATGACTTTGTGACTACAATCACAGGTCCTAAATGCATTTTTGGCTATACTCCCTTTTCCATTTATTCTGCAGATGTTTACTGAGGGCATGCTACGTGTCACCACTGTCCTGGTGCTAGGGACACAATCAGTGGTGAGCAAATTCTTACTCTCCTCATAGAACTGTTTTTTTTTTTTTTAATATTACTTTAAGTTTTATGGTACATGTGCACAATGTGCAGGTTTGTTACATATGTATACATGTGCCATGTTGGTGTGCTGCACCCATTGACTCTTCATTTACATTAGATATATCTCCTAATGCTATCCCTCCCCACTCCCCCCACCCCACAACAGGCCCCGGTATGTGATGTTCCCCTTCCTGTGTCCAAGTGTTCTCATTGTTCAGTTCCCACCTATGAGTGAGAATATGTGGTGTTTGGTTTTTTGTTCTTGCAATAGTTTAGTTCTTGCAATTCAGCTTCTTGTTGAATTGATCCCTTTACCATTATGTAACGGCCTTCTTTGTCTCTTTTGATTTTTGTTGGTTTAAAGTCTGTTTTATCAGAGACTAGGATTGCATCCCCTGCCTTTTTTTGTTTTCCATTTGCTTGGTAGATCTTCCTCCATCCCTTTATTTTGAGCCTATGTGTGTCTCTGCACGTGAGATGGGTTTCCTGAATACAGCACACTGACGGGTCTTGAATCTTTATCCAATTTGCCAGTCTGTGTCTTTTAATTGGAGCATTTAGCCCATTTACATTTAAGGTTAATATTGTTATGTGTGAATTTGATCCTGTCATTATGATGTTAGCTGGTTATTTTGCTCGTTGGTTGATGCAGTTTCTTCCTAGCCTTGATGGTCTTTACAATTTGGCATGTTTTGCAGTGGCTGGTACCAGTTGTTCCTTTCCATGTTTAGTGCTTCCTTCAGGAGCTCTTGTAGAGCAGGCCCAGTAGTGACAAAATCTCTCAGCATTTGCTTGTCTGTAAAGTATTTTATTTCTCCTTCACTTATGAAGCTTAGTTTGACTGGATATGAGATTCTGGTTTGAAAATTCTTTTCTTTAAGAATGTTGAATATTGGCCCCCACTCTCTTCTGGCTTGTAGTTTCTGCTGAGAGATCAGTCTAACGACTGATGGGCTTCCCTTTGTGGGTAACCCGACCTTTCTCTCTGGCTGTCTTTAACAGTTTTTCATTCATTTCATCTTTGGTGAATCTGACAATTACGTGTCTTGGAGTTGCTCTTCTCGAGGAGTATCTTTGTGGCGTTCTCTGTTTTTCCTGAATTTGAATGTTGGCCTGCCTTGCTAGATTGGGGAAATTCTCCTGGATAATATCCTGCAGAGTGTTTTCCAACTTGGTTCCATTCTCCCCATCACTTTCAGGTACACCAATCAGATGTAGATTTGGTCTTTTCACATAGTCCCATATTTCTTGGAGTCTTTGTTTGTTTCTTTTTATTCTTTTTTCTCTAAACTTCTCTTCTCGCTTCATTTCATTCATTTGATCTTCCATCGCTGATACCCTTTCTTCCAGTTGATCGAATTGGCTACTGAAGCTAGTGCATTCATCACGTAGTTCTCATGCCATGATTTTCAGCTCCGTCAGGTCCTTTAAGGACTTCTCTGCATTGGTTATTCTAGTTAGCCATTCGTCTAATCTTCTTTCAAGGTTTTTAACTTCTTTGCCATGGGTTTGAACTTCCTTCTTTAGCTCAGAGAAGTTTGATTGTCTGAAGACTTCTTCTCTCAACTCGTCAAAGTCATTCTCCGTCCAGCTTTGTTCCATTGCTGGTGAGGAGCTGTGTTCCTTTGGAAGAGGAGAGGCACTCTGATTTTTAGAGTTTCCAGCTTTTCTGCTCTGTTTTTTCCCCATCTTTGTGGTTTTATCTACTTTTGGTCTTTGATGATGGTGATGTACAGATGGGCTTTTGGTGTGGATGTCCTTTCTACTTGTTAGTTTTCCTTCTGACAGCCTGGACCCTCAGCTGCAGGTCTGTTGGAGTTTGCCAGAGGTCCACTCCAGACCCTGTTTGCCTGGGTATCAGCAGCAGAAGCTGCAGAGCAGCGAATATTGGTGAACAGCAAATGTTGCTGCCTGATTGCTCCTCTGGAAGTTTTGTCTCAGAGGAGTACCTGGCCATGTGAGGTGTCAGTCTGCTCCTACTGGGGGTGCCTCCCACTTAGGCTACTCAAGGGTCAGGGACCCACTTGAGGAGGCAGTCTGTCCATTCTCAGATCTCAAACTGCTGCTGGGAGAACCACTACTCTCTTCAAAGCTGTCCGACAGGGACATTTAAGTCTGCAGAGGTTTCTGCTGCCTTTTGTTTGGCTATGCCCTGCCCCCAGAGGGGGAGTCTACAGAGACAGGCAGGCCTCCTTGAGCTGTGCTGGGCTCCACCCAGTTCGAGCTTCCCTGAGGCTTTGTTTACCTACTCAAGCCTCAGCAATGGTGGGCGCCCCTCCCCCAGCCTCCCTGCTGCCTTGCAGTTCAATCTCAGACTGCTGTGCTAGCAATGAGTGAGGCTCTGTGGGCGTAGGACCCTCTGAGCCAGGCGCGGGAATCTCCCGGTGTGCCGTTTGCTAAGACTGTTGGAAAAGTGCGGTATTAGGGTGGGAGTGACCCGATTTTCCAGGTGCCATCTGTCACCCCTTTCCTTGGCTAGGAAAGAGAATTCCCTGACCCTTTGCTTTTCCTGGGTGAGGCAATGCCTCGCCCTGCTTTGGCTCACACTCAGTGTGCTGCACCCACTGTCCTGCACCCTCTGTCCAACAATCCCCCGTGAGATGAACCCAGTATCTCAGTTGGAAATGCAGAAATCATCCGTCTTCTGCATCGCTTATGCTAGGAGCCTTAGACTGGAGGTGTTCCTATTCGGCCATCTTTGAACTGCCCCCTCTGCAAGCAAATTCTTAAGGAATTCCTGGTATGAAGAATGTCTTGTTTAATCAGGAAATCAACTGACAATTGAACTTTTGTCTTTTTAAAACTTTATGGCTGCATTGCATTATCAAGGAAGCTCTGAGGTAATGTTATGCCTTGAACAGAATGATTTTATTAAATTCCATTGCTGTTACACCACCACCTCCTTTGAGGTACTTATTGAACATTTCTTTTAAGAAACTGTCCATTGTATCTTTTTTGCCTACTCATTTTCAAGATAAAAAAGTGTAAATATTTACCACCATTTTGCATATTTTAAGTCATAGAATTGATAAATTTTGTTGTGTTTCTAACACATACTCCTCTGATTAATCATGCGTACTCTTAAACCATGGCTATGACAGTCTAATTGAATTTTTGTGCTGAATAAATACATAAGTGAGTGCACAATTAGTGAATAAATGGGTAAATAAATGAAAAGTAGACTAAGTATGTAAATTATAGAAAATAACAATAGAAATTGATATTCTAAATAACTTTCATTCCTTTAGCCAGGCAACATATTTTTACTTTAAAATAAAGTGAATATTCACTGGACCTTAGTGATAATATAACATTATATGAAGTAAAATTATTTTCCTACAGATTGACAAGTTAAAGTTAATAACTCTTAATATTCAGTGTATATTTGCTGTCTCTCATATATCTGTGTAGAGTATATGCGGAGTGAGCATATATTATACATATTATATATACATGGTATATGTATGTATATATGTATGCATAAGTATGTATGCATATATGCATATCTATTAAGGTATATGTGTGTGTATATATATCCACTTACTCACATACACATGCACATACTCATATTTTTAAGGAAAATTGGAATGGTATAGATTGGCAACGTGCTTTTATCTTCTTTCTAATTCATAAACTATTATTAAGCTTTCTCATATATTAAGCTATATATAAAATTTTACATAATGGTTGTACTATATTCAATAATGGGGTTATACAATGATTAATTTGGGCATTCAGACGTTATATGTTTTCTATGATCTTACTCTGTGACTTCTATAGCATATTTAATTACTAAATATCCTTTTGATTCAGGGGAACTTTTGTGGGCTTTGCATAGAATTAAATTATGCCACTAACAGATTTCAGTTTGAGGTATTTAATCTTTTTTCTGTCTTTACTCATACCTTTAATAAACAGTACCAAAAATTAATCCAGTTTGGGCTTGTTCAATTCATCTTTTCCCCCTACATCTTAAACCCTATTCTGATAAATTAATAGTCAGGAACTTTTGTTTTGACTTATCTCTAGGAAGCTAAATTAATCATATTTAGATTCAAATTAATGAGGCTGAAATTATGAATAATTTGATTTTTAAAATATTAAACCTTGTGTTGTGGAATCATGTTAAAGTGTTACATACAGAGTAAAAACATTCTCTAAATACATTGATATATTGATAAATTGACAGACATACCCAGCTTGTCTCCCTATCTGTTTTTCTCTCCTCCTTTCCTTTTATCTCTCTCTCTGTTTCTCATTCTTTTTCTCTCTCTCCCAGCATGTGTGTGTGTGGATTTTAACTGGCCTCCTTGATATTTCACAATATAGAACAAAGAGTGAATGAATAATCTTGCAATGTAGTGAGAAACAATACATAACATCTTTAAATAAAGCTCTTGCTATTATTGGCTATTTAACTTCCAATAAAGCATAATACATAATTGTTAGAAATAACTATAATATTCAAATATTCATTTATTTAAATTAAGTGTGACTAGAATTAAGAAAATATAGTTAGTAGTTCTCTATTACCCATTAATATGTTTATGAATAAATCATAACCCCCAAATTATGTTTTATATTTGAAATATAAATAAAATTATATATGTGATTATTTTGTGAATTTGAGAATAAGAGCTGACAAAAGAAATTCCTAGTCCATAATTCCAGTCTTACATTTAGAAAAAGAAAAGTGCATTGCAGTTAAGAGACTTGTTCAAGCAAACCTAAAACATAGTTAACCTGGAGATTCTGGGTCTCTGACCCTTTTTACTAAGCTTACTCTGCTGAAGGGCATTTCCAGGGGTAAAGAGCTGTTATTTTTTAGTTAGTGTAACCTGCTTGTGCTCTGGATTAAACCTCTGAATTGGTTGAGTCAGTGAATTTTATGGCACTGTGGTGGTTCCTTTCCCATTAGCGCAAGTTCCTATTCTTTCAGTTCCTAAACACGGCAGACCTGTACCTGCGCTTGTCTAGTTGGGGTTCTCAGGCTTAGTACAGGACTCTTTATGTCAAACTGTCAGCACAACTGAAAAACAGTCATAATCTGACCCTGTTCCCAATTATTTCACTAACGACAGCAAACTCCACACTTGCAGATAGTTTCAGGTCAGAATCAGACAAAAGAATGTAAAAACAGTTTGAGAAAATAAATTAGAGATTTTTAATTCTCAAAACCTCTGAAGAGACATTTCATTACTATAAAACAATATGAGTAAAATATTTTGGTGTTCTTCACAGGCCATTAGCACAAGCTCTGCCTTGAGTAGGTGTTGAAGAGAGACAAAGCATGAAGTATGCTTTTGCCCCCAAGTACATTACAATTTTTAAAGAAAGAGACCTAGAAAGAGAATTTTCTCACATAGAAATAAGTATTATCTATGCACTGTATAAGCAACAAGTGGCATACAGTTTATGTATTGAAGAGATGAGAGTAATTGAATTAAGCTTATTGAAAAATACATTTTAATACAATATATAATGTGGTTTTCCCAGATAGTGATATAACCAATGAATGTTTTCTCAATATGTGTAAATAAACGTTACAGTTTTACCCGTCTCCCTTTCATATTTCCAATACAAATTAATAGTGATCAGACCTTTCTAAAGAATATTTATATTATACTATTTTATAACTAAATATAATTTCATACAGCTATAAAGTAAACGTTTATTTTGTGATGTTTAAATGATAGTGACAACAATTCATTGAATTATTACTACATTATTTACTACATGTTGTTTTCCAAACTAAGCACATTATGTATGTTTCCTCAATAAACCTTAACACACCTCTTTTGATTGAAGACTCTGAGTCTCAGATTACATAATTTATCCTAGGTCAAGAGATGATAGGTTGCTGAAACAGAGTTTGAATTCAGGTCTGTATAACTGCAACATCTTGTCCTTAAAATGATGCTATAATTCATTCACATGTATAATGGCATTTGCTATGTGAAACTGTGTCATTACTGGAGGGCTACAATATACCTGAAAGCATATGTTAAAATAGGAAAATGGTATTTTAAAAATCTCTACATTAAATCAGGAACTGTACCAAAAAATGAAAATAAAATATTACTACATTCCTTCCATGTTACTTCCTAAGGATATTATGTGTAACAATGCTAGACAGGATTGTAAATCATATACAGAGATTAACTAAGGCTCACCAATCATTCAATGTTGTAGAGCATTCACTTGACTGTAGATAAGATCTTCTAAGTAACAAGACTTACTGTGTTATTATATAGATATATGAAGTTCCACATTACTATACAGAGTAAGGCAGACAGCAGCTGTTCCCAGTTATACATGGTGACATTAACATGACAAAATTCACATCAGCCCCAAAACTCATCTAAAATTCCATTACCTCATTATTGATTAATTGCTCCAACTTTAAATGTACTTGGGATGAAGCTGACTTATATGTCTACTTTGTCTGTTTAGTCCAGAATGTTCTACCTGTCAAAATGAAGGAATCCGATGATTTTCTTTCAAAAAAGAGAATAGGTATACTGACTGGCACAGTTGCCCTTGATAAAAACAACATATATGCACAATGGGCTTATTCATCCTAACAAAGACAAATTACACATGTAACAATTATGCATGTAATTAGTTCCCCATGACTAAAATAATGGAAATACTTTAAATTTTACCAAGGTGTTTTGTACCCTTTTTCTATTTTTCTTTTTATAGTTTTGATCCAAACAGAAAAACTATAAGGAGGAAGCACCACTGTGTCTTAAATGTTATATAAGTGTTTTGAAGATTCCTAAGGGGAAAAATTGAAGTACCCCTGAGGTATTGTTTTATTTGTTTGTTTTTGAAGATGGTATGGTAAGTGAAGTGTTGAAGATGGTATGGTGACACTTGTTGGACTTCTTTTCATTTCTAACTTGGGATAATACAACTGTACATACTTTTCCCTGATCACAAAACTATTAGATTGACCCATATGAATACAGACATGTGTCCTGTATTATACTGGACATACATCTATTACTGCATTTTTCAAAACAATTTATTCTCATAAGTTAAAGAATAATCAAATGCTATATGATTGAAGAAGACTGATGGGGAAGGGGTTTATTAATAAGAAGATACTCTTTTTTATTGACAGATGGAGTAAGCTTCAAAAGTCATAAGAAATATTAAATGCACTTTGAAAAACATACATTAATCAGATAGTTGAAAATGAGGAACTATAATGTCTCAGCAAGGTGAATTACTCATTTAAAGTGTGTTGTTCAGAAAAGAATAAATCATATTCAACAGAAGGTGCATGATTCATTGTTACCATAGCAAAGAATTTTGCTTGGTATGAGTGGGCCTATTCCATAGAATTCAAAGGTGGAACAAGTAATTTAAGTTGGTCGTTGTGGAGACAAAATAGTATGGTCGGCCATCATTTATTGTGTGCTCACTTGGGTATGGCACATTTCTAATTCTTTCAATGTTTTAGCTAATTTAATTCTTCTAAGCATCCTAGGAGGCACATAACCCTATTTCACAAAAGAGGTAGTAGAGAAAACCAACACCAGTGCTATTATTGTCTCCACTATAACCTTACCTCCAGTACTACCACCACTATCACCCTGGCCTCCCACTACCCTATCCACTATCATTACTACTATGACCACATCCACAACTACACTGCTCAATACTACTGCCATGATGACTAGCACTTCCACCCTAGCCCACTCCAACACCAACACCAGTATGACTTAAGCCATCATCAACTCTTCTTTGGGTACAACAGCTTTGCCCTAATTGGTCCTCCACCTGCTATTAACACTCTTTCAAGTTATTTTCTACATAGAAACCAAAGAAATCTTCTAAAATGTAAAACTGATCATATAAATGTCTTATTTAAAAATCTAGTGACTTCCTATACTATTTAACAATAAATTCAAATTCCCCACCATGCTCTACAAAACCCTATACGATCTAGCTTTTGCCCACTTCTCCATATTATATCTGGCCATCCTCACCTTCCTTTACCTTATCAAATAAGTTGTCTTTTCCACTTGGTCTCAGATACACAAAGCTCACCTTACCTCAGGAACTTTCAAACTCATATTGCTCTGCCTGGAGTAATTTCTTCCCAACTTTTCCATGATTCTCTTTCTCACTTTATCCAGGGGTCTGCTAAAGATTTATGTCTGACAGAATTCTTCCCGAAACAAGCACGAAAATGATGCCCTTGTCCCTGACCACATGGCCTTCCTTTCCTCTTAGTCCATGACCCTTTTAAATTTTCTATATAGCATTATAATACTATTATTTGAATAACTACATTGTGAGCTATTACAGTGGGCTAGGCCGTGGAGGTATAGCAATGAACAAATGAAAATAAAAGAAAAAAGATGCAAACTCTACCTTCACAAAGAATATATTCTAATCTCTAGAGAGAAAACAAGAACCAAAAATAATATTTAAAAATTCATGATGTGTTGGAAAGGAAAACAATTTCTATATGGCATTGCAATTTATAAGAAATACTTGAAGTTTTCTTGGACCTATTGGATCACTGGGGCAAGATCATAGAACTATTTGTGTTATGTATTTTAATTTGACTGACTTCTTTTTCTTTGGAGTTCACTCAAAAATGAAAGAGTTTGGGGTCACTAAGGAAATGAATCTGAGCAGCACATTCCAGTGTGATATTTGTTGTTTCCAAAGGCCAAACATTGCTCCCCACTTTTAAAAATTAGTGCTACAGGATGTAAGAACCAATAAATTATCTTTTATCTGGAGTGGAATTCCTAAAACATTCCAACGACTGAACACCCAGAAATTCAAAAATGTAATGTATCTGTCAGTCTCTGTCTTCTGTAGATTTCACCAAAATACATAGGGCACCCACTACTTGTTAACCTCATTTTATAATTAGCATGATACAATCACAGTAATAGGTGATCATGGTACTCCATAAATAAATAAATAAATAAATAAATATATATATATGTGTGTGTGTGTGTGTGTGTGTGTTTCTATGGTATACCATGATCACCTATTACTGTTATATATATGTGTGTGTGTGTGTGTGTGTGTGTATATATATATATGTATATATAAATCCTTACAGGCAAAACTGACATGTTACCTTATAATTTACAATTTCTGTGATTATATGGCAAAAAAACAAGGTCTTGTCATTTAAAAACTTTTTAAAATACTTTGACTGTAGAAAAATAAATTCCTAGATAAATATCTGCATACCAAATGCCAGATATATTTACTCAAACACACTGAAACATAGGCAAACACATATGGAGGAGGAGCTAAATATGTTTAAGAGGATCAAATAAAATTATGTAATTCTGTCTTTTGTAAGGGCAAAAGAAAAATAACAATAAGTGATACACACTTTGCACATGTTTGATAGTGGCACTATTGGCTACAGTTTTCTCAGACATTTAGGAGGAGTTTTCATTTACTATTTTAGTAGGAAAAGAGAGATTCCAGAGCTTCCACTTGACTCTCTCTAACCATGAATTAGAAAGGGAATGTGTAGCTTCTGTAAGTTGCTAAGCAAAATAATTCTAGCTCTATATTCAGTAACTGAGTACATAAGCACAATGTTCAGGATCAAGTGGATGCACCTTGAATTGGACTTGATTAAAAGTTACATTAATTGCCAGAACCCTGTTAAACATCTCTATGGTCTGATTGACCGTGATACACCAGCTTCTCACATATTTATGTTAGCTAGGGAGAGTTTCCAGTAATAATTGATTTTTCTAAGTAGTTCTCAATCTCGCTTGTGTAATTACTACGACAATCGACCTTAGATACCTTTAAAGGCCAGAAGGAGTATTTACAGCAGACCTCTCATGTTCTCACATGGTTCTTCTTAATGATAATATCCTTAAGTTTCATTCAGGAAGCTTTAGGACTACATAATAGTTGAAGTCTAAGAACTGGGTGAGGCACCATGGTGATAGTTCAAGTCTGGAATATCTTCACAATGCAACTGTATATAAAGCCCCTTCCTCAATTATACATTTGATGCGTAGTAGGGCCTTTGAAGTTAGCCTGGTAGTTTTTGAAAATCTGTAATCTATTCTTCCCAAAGTCTTTGAATGTCTTCTCAAGGAATACTTGTTATTTCAAACTTATTTAGCTTTTGTTTGCTCTGGGATAGAGCTTTCAATTAACCACACAGTAAATATAATTACTAGTGATGTATGAGCAACCATAGGGGTCAGCAAACTACAACCTGAAGGTCAAACTCAGCCCACTACCTGTTTTTATAAATAAAGTTTTATTGGACCATAGGGCTAGCCATTTATGTATTATCTATAACTCTTTTCTGGCTCCAATGGCAATGCTGAATAGTTATGACAGGAATCATTTGGTCTCTAAAGCTTAAATATTTACTATCTGGCCTTTTGCAGAGAAGATTTATCCACCCCTTAAATAGTGCATCAAATTCAGAATGTCCAGTATAAATATGCTTATCTCTTCTCATGCTATGTGGTGTCCTTAAGACTCTAAAATCCCCAGGATTTCTTCCCATAGACATTCTTGACATTTTTAGTAATATCATCTAGCAAAATCTTGCAATTCTTTTGCCATGAGACATAATAATTCATATGTCTGCTCCACTTCAACCACTTCCAAGCAAACAGAAGCTAATTTGAGTCTAAAACTGGGGGCCATTAAATGAGGCCATGGTGAGGGCTGAAGAATAAGGACATGCCCAACAAGTCCCTTCCCAAGGTGGGTTATTGTAGAGCATTTAAGCAACATAGAAGCAGACACATAGGAGAGTGGGAGAGGAATAACTATTGGTGGCAACAGAAATTCAGTGAGTTTGGGGGTGGGCTCTACTGTGTATGGTCTACCTCCTATATCACTCCATTCCTATTCTCCAGGTCACACACTTTTACAATAATTCCCTGAGTTTCAAATAAAAGGGTTGGTGAAGCTGACAATTCAAATAGCATTATAATTCAGCCATCTTTGGACCTGATTTGGGGCTACTTACAGCACAGCTATGGACAACTCCTACTTATCTGATCATCCCAAGAGTTGAGAAATTAAGGAAGGCAGTCATTATCTTTCTCTAATGCTGAGTACAATTAGAAGAAATCAGCATATCCCACAGAGCTTGTATTCCTTATGCCAATGTCATAACTCTAGAAATTGTAAGTATAGATGTATTACATCAGTGACCATAGTTGAAAATTTAAATAATCCTTTCATTACTGTCTGCCAGGGACAGCAAGAATCACATCCTTTCAATACAAGATGAATTCTTTCGCCCTGGCAATATAATCAGACCAGATAACTAGACCTGGCTTTTCATTTCCTTGAGGCTCCATTGCCTGTAATTATGTTTGGCACCAATTTTTAACATGATGAGGATTCTTTAAAAAACAAAAACAAAACAAAACAGGGTCTCACTCTGTTGCCCAGGCTGGAGTGCAGTGGCAAGATCTGGGCTCACTGCAACCTCTGCCTCCCCAGTTCAAGTGATTATCCTGCCTCAGCCTCCTGAGTAGCTGGGATTACACGTGTGCACCACCACACCCAGCTAATTTTTGTATTTTTGTAAAGATGGGATTTTGCCATGTTGCCCAGGCTGGTCTCCAACTCCTGACCTCAAAGTCATCCGCGCTCCTGGGCATCCCAAAGTGCTAGGATTATAGGCATGAGCCACCACACCCAGACTACCACAAAATTTCTTTAACAAAATTTTAAAAAGTAATGAAAAAAGAGGAAACTAACTGAAGTAAAAATGGAGTCTACTAAAAGACATTTGGATCTTTGGGTGGGCCGTGAAGTCAGTCACAAATGGCCACAAATCCCAACATGGGAATGTTCTAGTGAGGATCCTACAACTGGCAAGGCTACAATTGGAATCACCACAGCTCACCCTCATGATGCTAGCACTGGAGGTCAAAACGTTTTTCATGTCTGGCCTTGAAGTCCAGGTCATTCTGCCATCACTCTTATGAGAAAAGATGGATATGTATGGAATTTGACTCCTATATTGTTATTTTCTGGATGAGAGTCCCATATTTAGAATTCGAAAGACAAGATCACTGCAAAATATTTTAGCTATTAAAGAAAAAGGCCACGAAAGCAAATTTCTGACTTCTGCTTCGGTGAAAAATGTCATAACATGAGAATTTTTTCAAACATAAATAAGAAGTGTTCAAAACTTGCTGTGTAACTAAAGGCATGACAAATTTTTCCCACGCCTTTTGTAAAAAGAATGGAGCAATAAAACAGAATTTTGACATCTTTATAATTGTTTTAGTGTATTTACTCTAGAAACAATAGCGTGTTTGCTACTCTTGGGTGAATCATAAAAACTCCACATCTGTTCCTTAAAGAATTTGACATGATCTGGTTCAGTAATTTTTACATAGTGATTGTTGTTCTTCTTTAAAACATCAGTGAACATATTGAAATGCAAAAGGCACCGACTCTCTTTCTATGTTACAGAGTCACTTTGGTTTCACATTTATTAGAAATAAGTGCCATATTTCTAATTTCTGTATCAGGTTGTATTTACATCCATATGGTTTAAATACTAATTAAGAAGCTTTTATGTAAATCCAAGGCAAACCTGCTTAACTTACAGTTAATTCTGTACTTATATTCACAAATATATATATGTGTATGTACACATTTTTCTTTCTTTAAACATAATGACCAGCTAAAATGTGTGTTATTGATCAAAAACTTTTAGCTTTAATCAATTTTAATAGCAGACACAATTATCATATAAAATAATTGGAGTTGAAGAGAGTGGACTATTCAGAATGAGTACATTATTTTCTTCTCAAAAAATGCTCTTTCTGTAATGGGCTTGTTGGAAATAGAAACCTAAAATAAAAAATAAGCCATGTTTGACTAACTCTTGGTTGCTATTTATTCCTCTTCTTACCAATTTAATGTGTACTGCAGTATCTAGTCCTTGAATTCTTAGAGTAATTAACTTGTTCATATGTAGTGATATTTTGCTAACGGAACAAAGCAATTCACCTTAAAAAGCAAAAATTGTTTTCTGTTGTAATTGTAGATGTGTATGTTTATTAACTTAGCTATGAGCCTCAGCTTAGAATATCAGCTCTGACCTATGAGTTGATCAGGACAGGTATATACGGCTTTTGTTTCTTAGTAACTATTTCTCTATTGAATATATTCCCTTCTTTCATGTTTGTATTTTTTGCCTGAGAAAAAACAATTGGCTGATAATGTACCTAGTATTAGTTGTAGGGCAAGAATAATTGGTTAAACCTGAAATTCAATGTTAAAAATGTTAATCATTAGCACAGTTCTTAACAGACCATTAGATTTAAAGGTAGAATATATATGCATATATGTGCATGTATTGTATATAGTAAAAAGATCCACTCCTGTCCACTCCTATCACATACACCTGCATCTGGATCTTTAAATTAACATCTCCTTTAAGTTGAACCATATGAAATGACTGATTTTTAATGTTTTTAACATGTATAAAAATCAATTTCTTGTGGTTTGATGTAATAAATCTAAAGCCATAATGATTCCATTGTTATGTCATGGTCATCACCTCAAATCAAAAGTGATGTCTTTTTCTACTCAAGTTTTGGCTGCTATAACTGCAGCATTTAGTAACAATTAAAATGTATGTTTTATAAAATGGAAAACTTAAAAATGTCTCTTTGAAAACACTTTCCATCTATTTACTGTCTATTCCACATATTCATTTTTATTGAAAAAGACACATTTCTGTCATTCACCTGATCATCACCTCCTTCATTTGCTGTGAGTAAATAAAATGTACTAAGGACATCCTTTGTGTTGGAGTTAGCTCCCAAGTAAATAATATCCCTGGAAGGCAGTACAATTTTAGGAGAAATGTGCTTGCAAAAGAAGTAGAAGGAAAACAAGGGAAGTGTAAAATTGAGATTAGTCTAACTTGGATACTATTTCCTTTCTAGCATGAAACATGAGAAAATAAATTTAGGATAAGTCCCAACAAATAGCTTACACTTAATTCAATCTAGGGACAATTTTCTGTATGGCTGCATTTCAAATATTGCATTTTCTTCCCAGTAGTTTATTCCATTTATATAATTGGTTCAACTATGTCAAAATAATGTTTTCTAACGGGTCTCACTATTTGTTTCTCTTTTACCCATGGAAAAAAAGTGAGATATCATGCATACTTATTCTGGTTATTAATGTAGAAAATAGTTTGAGAGCAGCTGTCATGATACTCTGAAATCTACATCCCTTTTTCTCCCCTCATCTGTTACCAACTAAAAGACTGTTTTCTTGCTCTTACTACTGGCCCTTTTTTGCTCACTCAGGACCTTTGCTTACATGTTGACTGAACATCTTCTTACATAGTTTTGTGTTTTTGTCCTCTGCTTTGTGGTGGGATGAACTGGTCATTGATTATAGAGCATCCCATTAAGAACCTAGCCATGGCGCTGGCCAGTGTGAATAATTCTTCTTCTCATTGCTGTATTCCAGCTCATGCTGGCCTAATCACAGGGAATCAACTTTTAAAAGCATAGTGAAGTATGTGTAAGAAGCTTCCCAGAAAGTGGCCTTAGACATGATTAATTCCAAATATTTCCATTACTTGTATAATTTTCTGTGTACATGAATGATGTTATTGATAACGATTACTTTTTTTTATAATTACCATGATTTAGTTTGCACATGAAAATGACAGTACTGTGATATCGGTCTGTTTATACTGTATATTTTGGACATTATGCCATGTATATGAGTTATCTTACTATTTTATAATTCCAAGAATGTGATGCATACCAAAGCCCCCAATGTCTTGTTAAGAAACTGTTTCACAATGGAAATGATATGCATACTTTCTCCATTTTCACTGTAACTTATTTTATCCCAAGGAGGGAAACTAGCTATTTACAGAAGAATTGTAATAATTTCAAGTCATCAGATTATTGTATGCCTGTTAAGATAATTTCATATACGAAAAAAAAAGACATTCAGAAACTACTAAGAGATATGCATTAAAGCAGAGGTCAATACAACCATATAAAAAGAAAGTAAACCTTGGCTGAGTGCAGGGGCCCACGCCTGTAATCCCAACATTTGGGGAGGCCAAGGCGGGAGGATCACTTGAGCTCAAGAGTTTAAGACCAGCCTGGGCAACAGAGATTTTGTCTCTAAAATAAAATTAAAATTAAAAAATTAACCAAGCATGATGGTGCACACCTGTAGTCCCAACTACTGAGGAGGTTGAGGCAGGAGGATTGCTTGAGCCCAGGGGGTGAAGGTTTCACTGAATGGAGATGGTGCCTAGGCACTCCAGCCTCGGTGAAAGAATGAGACCCTGTCTCAAAAACAACAACAACAACCAAACAACAACAAAAAAAGAAAGTAAACCCATTTCATCAAATTGGCAGAGTTCATTGCAGTGTAATCAAAAAACTATTTTCTCAGTTGCCAACACCTTCAAACACAGTATATTGTGTCCTATAGATATTTGGTTACTTTAAGTATCTTTTTTTAAGAGTGTATATATATATATGTGTGTGTGTGTCTGTGTGTGTGTGTATGTATATATGTATATATACTCTTAAATATATATTAAATAAATATAAATTACATATATTTATTATGTTAAATTAAGTATATATATATATAGTTGAATTAAACTGGAGTAGGGTTTTGCTGTTTTGTTATATATATATTTATTTAATATTTATTTAATTTTTATTTATTTAATATATATTTAAGAGTATTAATATATATTAAAGTAATATATAAAAAAGTATATATATATGAGTATATACTCTTTATATTATATTTAATATATACTCTTAAATATATATTAAATAAATATAAATTAAATAATATTAAATATATATATATATAGAGAGAGAGAGAGAGAGAAACAGCAAAACCCTACTCCAGTTTAATTCAACAACCTCACATTCAATTTCAAGTTTTTTAAGCCCTTGTGATATGGGAGCTGGGAAGGTAAGGGCATAGTCTCTGGCTAGGGCTCCATCCCTGGGCCTATGCCTACCAACCTAGGTAAGGACAGGCATTTCTGTGTTCCTGCCCAAATGTTGCATTTCCCAAGACCACCCTAGCCTGCCATGCCACCATCCTGTGCCAGGAGGTCATGGACCGGTGGAATGACTCAGAGTTTGGCCAGGGCAGTCAGAGGAGAGCCCGGCTGTTGAGCAGCCCGACTCCAGGGGAAAACCACCTGCCCACTCCATCTCCCCTCTGGCTCCCCAATCTGCTGAGAGCTACTTCCACTCAATAAAATCTTGCACTCATTATCCAAGCCCACGTGTGACCCGATTCTTCCAGTACAAGAAGACAAGAAACTGCGGGATACAGAAAGCCCTCTGTCCTTGCGATAAGGCAGGGGGTCTAATTGAGCTGACTAACACAAGCCATCTATGGAAGACTAAACTAAAAGATCACCCTGAAACACACTCCCACTGGGGCTTCAGGAGCTGTAAACATTTACCCCTAGACACTGCCATGGGGTCAGAGCCCCACAACCTGCCCATCTGCACGCTCCCCCTAGGGGTTTGAGCAGGCGGGCACTGAAGAAGAGAGCCACTTCCCCATTGCATGTGTCCTGTGAGGGGGATAAGGGAACTTTTCCTGTTTCACTTGGTTCCTGTTTACTCTTTGGTTGGAGACCTTAAGTCAAGCAGTGCTATGTGTGGCTTTAGCTTGCACTTTGTCCCTGTTTATTTCATTCCTCCACTCTTCCTGTAGCTGTCTCCTCCAGGACAATGGATTGGAGGAAATGGAATTAGAGAAAATCATGCAAATTCTGAAATCACTGGTGCTGCTGTGGTCTGAACATATGTACTATTCCATTTTATTTTATGTATTTTTTTTAGGGTAGGCAGGGAAGCGTTGTCTCTTTTTCTGTCGCACCCCTTCATAAAATTGAACTTTACTACCATTTCTGTTTATTCCCTCCAGCTTCTTATTTTTTTTTTTTTCTTTTTTTGACAGAGTCTCACTTTGTTGCCCAGGCTGGAGTGCAGTGGTGCGATCCCAGCTCACTGCAACCTCTGCCTCCCGAGTTCAAGCGATTCTCCTGCCTCAGCCTCCCGAGTAGCTGGGAATATGGGCACGTGCCACCATACCTGGCTAACTTTTTGCATTTTTAGTAAAGGCGGAGTTTCACCGTGTTAGCCAGGATGGTCTTGATCTCCTGACCTCATGATCTGCCCTCCCCCGCCTCCCAAAGTGCTGGGATTACAAGCATGAGCCACCGTGCCTGGCCTCCAGCTTTTCTTTTCTCTTTCTTCACCAGAGCAGTCATTCTCTGGGCAAAAGTTGCCAAGATGACTTTTCATGTATGAATCTAAGTGATGTTCACACAAGGCACAAAAATAGCATCATGACTCTTTGCCACATTAAATGATAGAAATGAGACCTAACTTATCTCTGTCCTTCCTCCTTTCCCTGAAATCACGAGTGGATTCCTGATATTGCTAAAGCTTTTCTTTTTTTCCTTCAAAAGGCAACTATTTTAATTATGATTATAGTTGATAGTCATAAAGAACATTTGGACTCCATGATCTATACACCCCTTGATGTTCTCAGCTCACTGTATAATAAGATACCTGCATTCTCATAAACTTTTACTCTTATATTACCTTAGGTACTAGGAGAACACTAAGGAAAAGAATCTAAATTTTAAAAAATTTCAGGGAAGGACTCTTAGGGGTGATTATCACTAAGTTGTGTTCAGAAAATAAACAAGATCAACCAGGTTAAAAAAAAAAACAAACTAGTAGAAACAAATAAAGGAAACTATATCCTGAGTTCTAGTCTAAGAATTTCAAGTCATTCTTTATTGCACTTTCTTGTCAAAATAACTGTAATATCTACTCAGCCTGCCATTTTATAGGCGATAAGCAACTACCTTAAGCCATGTGACTTTCTGGAAATTTGCCAGCAATGCTATTCTATTTTAAAGAAAAATTACACACAAATTGCCTATATATTAAATACAAATAAAATATTTTGCATATCAGTATCAATTATATTGAAGGGCAGTAACATTCAGTTCAATTGATAACTCTTCTGCCTGGAGCTTTATAATAGTAGATTTAACAATTTCTTTTCCTTTAAGAGCATAGAAAAGAGTAAAAAATTCAATTTTAACTACAAATAAACAAATAACTCACACGTGTTTTTTAAAAATAAGATCCTGTAAAATGCTCAGAAAATTGTATTTAATCTCTTAATAAGTGGTCCATGAGGTAGTTACTAGAATACAAAGCTACTTTATGTATCAGTCAATCTGACAGATACATTTAACATTAATCTAGTGTTCACTCAGGTATACAGAAGGATTTTCTTCATAAAATGTGTAAATCATTATTAGAAGTTTTAGACATTTAGACTAAAAAATAATTTGGCTACTCTGTGGTATAAATCATTCATGTATGATAAACATATACGTATATTGCCACATTACTATAATATCAAGCCATCATTATCCACAAGGCAAGATAAAAACATATCCAGAATTCTGAGCATTTGATAACAGTCATAATTTCCTAGAAAATAAAAACTGTTAAAAGCAAAATAACAGCTGTTTACACTCATGTCCTTATAAATCAAAATTCATTTATTTGCTTTGAGTGAGACCATAGGAAAGAACCTGTTTTAAAAACGGGTTGTCTTATACATTGGATTTTAATGCATGCTTTCAATTTTGGTGAGGACTTATGAATTAAAAATAGTTTTAAGAGATCCAAAAGAAAAAAATAAACAGTAATTTGAAGTCTTAAGCAATACCAATATAATTGCCTATTTCATAACAAATTGCTGTGAAAAATTGATTTGAATTAACTACCTGAAACATTCAATATGAATTAAACTGTAGAAAAATAAAAATGTTCAAATTTGTCCTTTATGTCTATAATGTACTTTTTAATGTTGGGTTCATGATTCTAACATAAAGCACTAGCTATGAATAGGCCATTTATAGGTCATGTAGAAATATTCTCATTCACCGTACACAATTAATTTTCTCCCTTATTTTCCAGACTCTCAAGTAGAGAGATTAATAACATAACAAAATTAATAACATACAAAAGCACAGTTCTTTATTGCATATCTTTTCTAAGTAAAAGCAAATATATGTAAAACTTGTGGAGGTTTTTTTTTTTTTTGCAAAATGATACATAAATTTGTTGTAGTGTTTTCAATTCTAGATACACAGATAGTTTTTGTTCTGTATTTCATCTTTAAAGAAGATAAATGCCTATATTGCAAGAAGATACATGTATTGCGAGCTTTTTCTTTTATCTATAGCGAATAATAAAAAAACTAATAATAATATAAAAGGTGACCATAAATAAGTATAATCTGAGAATGCATTAATATACAGGTATGTGTACATATATAGTACATACATACTGTGTATATATAGATTAGACATTTCATGGTAGATATCCTAAAATATTTATTGTAAAGCGGTGGAATTTCGTTGTTTCTTGCCCAGGAATATTTACTTTTGTATGAATGTTTTCATGTTATTAGCTGATTGATAACAGCATATTGGGTAGCAGCTATTTTGAATAAGAAATTCATTGTGTTTAAACGTGAGATGATAACTTAGATTCAAGGTAGAATGTTGTATTAGTCATGGTTCTCTTGAGGGACAGAACTAATGGAACATATATGTTACATATATAATATATATAATATATTGATCATAATATGATCAATATTCATAAATATTCAATAAAATCAATAAATCTTATGTCACATGATAAAGGAGAAAGGACATAAAATGAAGCTTTTTCTTAGTATAAGTGTATATATGCACTAACATGTTTATAACAAAAGGTGGAAATACTCATGACAGTTACAATCCTCGTTTCTGCAGCTGGTCACATGGTCGTAGCTGGTATTGGTGACTACCTTCTTCTACTACTCATTCTGTATTCCCTTTGCTTTCAGCAAGCACCTCAGCAGGTCATGGTTTTTTTCTTGGTGGAGTGACTCAAACCTTCATTTATGGTACTGGTAAGAGATGCCCTAAGGGATCTCCTATATTCCAAGTATACTCTTCCTTACCTCCATTGTGGAGTAGTAGACTGATTTCATCTTGATAGTCAGGGTCAATCACCCTAGCCAACACTGTAACTCCCTTTTCAATGTGTTGATTTAAAGGTAAGAAAAGCCCAAAGTGTACAGGTGGCAATTCTAACTTCTAGTTTAATGGAATTGTTGTTGTGTTTCCTGGTGGCAATTCTAACTTCTAGTTTAATGGAATTGTTGTTGTGTTTCCTGGTGGCAACCTTCCTCCCTCTGGAACTAAGACCTCTAAGCCAGCAGTATGTAATGTTGTAGGAAGAGGAAGCAAAAATCTTTCTAGTGGAGCATTAGAGGTGTTGGTGAGTGGTGTCACTTTGACTTCCACCCCTTGATTCCCGGACCCCTGAATCCTGGCTATGAGAGAAACAGTAGCATATATTGGATTCTGATTCAGAACATACATGGCCTTCTGGAGAATCTTGCCCCAGACCTGCAAAATGTTGTCACCTAGATGACATTGTAATTGTGACTTCCAAAGGCCATTCCATCTTTCTGTCAATCCAGCTGGTTCAGGATTATGGGGAACATGGTAGACTATTGAATTCCATGAGCATGAGCCCACTGCCACACTTCTTTAGCCATAAAGTAAGTGCCTTGGTCAGAGGCAATGCGGTGGGGAATACCATGACAGTGGATAAGGCATTCTATGAGTCCACGGATGGTAGTCTTGGCAAAAGTATTGCCATTCTCCAAGATCCATCTGTCTTCTGCAGGGGCCAAATGAGAGAGTTAAATGGGGATGTGGTGGGAATCACGACCCATGTGTCTTTCAAGTCTTTGATTGTGGCATTAATTTCTGCAATCCCTCTAGGGATGTGATATTCTGTTTGACTTACTATTTTTCTAGGTAAAGGCAGCTCTAATGGCTTCCATTTGCCTTTCCCACCATAATAACCCTTGCCCTACCAGTCAGGGAGCCAATGTGGGGATTCTGCCAGCTGTTGGGTATGTCTATTTCTGGCAGTGGGGAAATCAGCATAGGATGAGTCCGGGGACCCACTGGCACCACTGTAAGTCAAACCTGAGCTAAAACTCCATTAATTACCTGACCTCCATAAGCCGCTAATTTAACTGGGGGACCACAATTACGTTTTGGGTTCCCTGGAATCAATGTCAGCTCAGAGCCAGTGTCTAGCAGTCCCTGAAATATCTGATCATTGCCCTTTCCCCAATGCACAGTTACCCTGGTAAAAGGCCAGAGGTCTCCTTGGGAAAGGATGGGAGAAAGATTCACTGAATAAATTATCAGGAATGTAGTGGAGTCCTTGCTCAAGGGGACACAGCCTCCCCTTCATTCAAGGGGTTCTAGGTCTGTACACTAGCTCAAGTCTGGAAATTGATTGAGGGGCCGTGATTCTCTGTTTTTATAATTCAAATTAGCTTTTTTTTCCATTCAACCTAAAAGTTTTCTGTTTATATAAATTAAGTAGGAATGCAGTAGACTTTCTATCAATTTCACTTCTAGGAACCCCATGATTAATTAGCCAATTCCAGAGCTCTACAAGAGTCAGACTATTCTGATTGCTGCTTTGACTCTGCTGTCCATTATGGTAGCTATGCTCACCTTGCCTTTCATGGTTGAGTGCTGCCACTTGGCCCCTGCCACGCTGGGATCCAATTATTCCCATTGTATTTAAATTTTATAGTTGAGTGACTGCAGTTCCCACTGTTAGATCTGACACACAGAGAAAAGTAATTACAGGACTCTTCAAAGATGCAGGTGCTGCCCTCACAAATCTGTTTCACAAGGCATTGGTCAACGGTATATTTTCTGGACCCTCCCAGTAGGTCTAAAGTGACCAATCCACTCCACCATCCCAATATTCCTAAGCCTTTGGATTCCTTCCTCTACATTAAATCAAGGGAGATCAGGCATTTTCAGCTCACTCACAGTGGACCATGTTTTAATCCATGTTTCAACTCACCAAGCAAATAAACTATTAGAACCTTTTTTTTAACTCTCTGAACTGCACATTAAGTGCAGAGTCCCTACTTAGTGGGCCCAAATCAATAAATTCAGTCTGATCTAACTCTATGTTCCTTTTACCATGATTCTGCACCCTTAATATCCATTCCCAGGCCTGTTCTCCAGATTTCTGTATAAATCAGAAAACTCAAGCAGTTCTTTTCGAGTGTAGTGCACCTCCTCATGGGTCGTGCTCTCAATCTCACCTCTAGGGGCCGGCCGGGACTTTAGTTATAGGTCTAGTAGCAAACAGGGATGTTGGCAGTAGCTCCTGTTTGCTACCAGAGGAGAATCTCCTGAGGAGAATCACCATTATCTTGCCTGAACTGCCTCAAGGGAAGCCATCAGTGTTGCCTCAGGCAGCTCAGGGTTTATCTCCTCAGACAAAGGTAGAAAGGCTGATGGCACCATGGGTTGGGGAGCGGGTTGTTGCAACTAATGGGGATGGGGAAGCTGTTTCTTCTGGCAAAAAAGGTTCATCAGAGTTTACAAACTCTGTCCTCAGCTTCATCCAGGTCCTCCTCTACGTCGCCATTCCAAGTAGCAGGGTCCCATTCTTTTCCCATGAATACTCTCACTTTAACAGTAGACACATGGCAAGGCTGTGCAGGCACCTTTCGTTGCAAGTCAGCCACTCTTATAATAAGAGTTTGTGTCTGTTTTTTCCAGAATTTCAGCTCTTTCTCTGTAGGAGATAAGACTCTCACTCAGGGCAAACTTAGCAGATTTGAGGCTCAGTATCTGCTTCTGAAGCCAGGAGATAGAATCCCTGAATTCATCATTGTCTTTCATCACTTTGTCCACTGAAATTGGGAGAAACCAACCAGCTTCATTATGTTCCTTGGTTCTCCACATATGGTCAAAGGTATTAAGTATAGAGTCACTAAACTTCTTGCCTCTCATGGGCAATCAATCAGGAGTGTCAAATGCATTTATTTTGTATAACTTTCTAAATAGTTCATGCCAAAGACTATCAGTGTTCTCTGTACTATTGGCAGTAGAGTCCTTAGCATTTTTAAGTCTTATCATATTATGTGGCAACTCCAGAAACTCCAAAACCAATGATGAACTCCATCCTTAATATTCTATTCCTCTAGAACCACTCCTGATACCAAACTCTGTATTAGTCAGGGTTCTCTAGAGGGACAGAACTAATGGAATATGTATACACACACACACACACACACACACACACACACACACATATATATATATGGGAGTTTATTAAGTATTAACTCACATGATCACAAGGTCCCACAACATGTGGTCTGCAGGCTGAGGAGCAAGAAATGCCTGTCTGAGTTCCAAAACTGAAGAACCTGGAGTATGACGTTCGAGGGCAGGAGCCTTCTAGCATGGGAGAAAGATGTAGGCCAGTCTCTCTTTTCACATTTTTCTGCCTGCGTTTTATTCTAGCCAAGCTAGCAGCTGATTAGATTGTGCTCACCCAGATTAAGGGTAGGTCTGCCTTTCCCATCCCACTGACTCAAATGTTAATCTCCTTTGGCAACACCCTCACAGACACACCCAGGATCAATAATTTGTATCCTTCAATCCTATCAAGCTGACACTCAGTATTAACATCATAGATGTTAAGTTTGTGGAAAAATGATGTGAAAAGTAGCAATTGACAACTTTATTCTGCAAAGGAGATTAAAACCTGTTGTATGACAGTTTATTTACACTTCATTGGCTCTTTTTTTATTGAATTTGGTTCATTTTCCTTTGTATTTCTCTTATTATTTCACCTGCTTGACATTTCTATTTGTTGTTATCCGTAAAAAATATGATTCATTAAATATATCAAAGCATTTTCAGGTATAGAGTTGAAATGAGACTGTGTTCCTTTTTCAGCTTTTTCATAATAAATTATCTTTCATCTTAATTCTTTTGGATCTCAGTAATGTATGCATTATTTCAACTCAACTTTGTGGAATAATATATCTGACATATAAACTATACTGAAATTTATAGCAAGCAAAAGCAGAGTTCATTTTACTCAAGAAAGCCACAGCATTTCAACTTGAAGGTGCCTAATTGAATCTTAATGTAACTGTGCTTTAATTTAATTTCTGTTTTAGACTATCTTTAATCAAAATCCAGTTGAAACTATGCTTGGGAAGAATTTTTGTTGTGAGTCATTTTATATAAATATTTGAGACATCACATCATTTTTCCTGAATAATTCATTGCTTTATATTAGTAAATATAAATTTGATATAAAACTGAAACATGAACTTTCATTGCGCAGTAAAATTATAAAGCTATTTACTTAAAAGTATTGACTAGCAATACATTACGAATGCATTATATAACATTTAGGAAAATAATTTTTAAAGTAGTTGTATCTCAATTCATGTAGGCCTATTATTTATAAATTTTTAAATATACATCATAAATAAACATGTCATTTAAAATATAAATTATTCATACTGATGAAATGACAACATTGGCAAAATAACACAGCATGCTCCTAATGAAGTGAATGAGTAAAATTAGACCCTTTGTTGTCCAGAAGTAGTGGGCATGGCATATAAATTTCTTGAAAAATGTCTATGGGATATTCTTTCTTTTATTATTTTTAAAAACATTCTCATTAATATTCTGTGACTTGTGTCTTTCCCTTGTTCTCTTGTTTAAGGATGTAATCTATTTGAAAAATAAAAACACTTTCATGCTTGCAAAATTACTTTAAATCATTTCTAACTCTTTATTATAACAATTAGTAAATCTTGAAAAATCATTAATAGCAATTTTTTTACCTATGTCAATTTTTATTGATATTGCCAACATGATGGCTGAAAAACTTTTAATCGGAATGTAACTGCATTATTGCAATAGATATGTAACTAGTCATTTGCTTTCCATGCCTGCAAATTAAATAGGCTTATACTTTGTTTACAAGAAAAAGTTCAAGGCCTTGACATGGCATTCCAGGTGTCAGAAATATGCCATTCGGGCCGTGGACTGTGGTTCATGCCTGTAATCCCAGCACTTTGAGAGGCCGAGGTGAGTGGATCACTTGAGATCAGGAGTTCGAGACCAACCTGACCAACATGGTGAAACCCCTTCTGTACTAAAAATACGGGCGATGTGGTGGGCGCCTGTAATCCCAGCTACTCCAGAGGCTGAGTCAGGAAAATCGCTTGAACCTGGGAGGCTGAGATTGCAGTGAGCTGAGATTGCACCATTGCACTCCAGCCTGGACAACAAGAGCAAAACTCCGTCTCCAAAAAGAAATATACCATTCAAATCATTGTTATTCTTCCTCATAAGTGCTCTAGTATTCTGCAAGTTTCATTGTACTAAGTGCAGTTCAGTCTCACTTCCACAACTCTACTTATTTTCTCCATTGTAAAAACTCCGACATGTTTATCCCTCTGTGTGTGTGTGTGTGTGTGTGTGTGTGTGTGTGTGTGTGTGTGTGTAGTATTCATCTATCTAGAACCTCGACCTACATTTTCATTATAATCAAAATGCTATCCTAAAGCATCAAGAATTCCTGAATACAGCCCTTTTCCTGCAGCTAATTAGGTTATGAATGTGCCTAACATCTCGCAACAATTTGATTCTTCTCTCCACTCTCTAGATGTTATCTTTACTCATCTTTCTTAACATCTTGCTCCATCAATTTTTCTCTTATAACTCTTGTACACTCAGTGTTGCTATTCTTTTGTACTATATCTCTTAAACAATAAATATGATCCAGCCAATGACATACTTAAAATAACAACAGTAATAAGGAAAACAATATAACAATAACAATTCTAAAACTTCATATTGTCCATGGGTCTGTATCTCTCTGTGCTTATGCAGCCATATTGTCAAAAAATATATATGCTGTCTCTAATTTATGCATCATATATTTTTTAAATTATCGTAGTTAATTTTGTACCTAAGAAGTAAACCTAATCGTTAAGTTTAAAAGACAACAGCAAAGGAGATCTTTTAAATATTCATTTTACTGGAACTTTATTGATCATTTGACATTTTTGCAGATTTCCTCCTTGAAATCCTTTTGTTTAAATGATATTAATTATTGTCTTCTTTTTGATTGCTTTTTAATGACTTTAGATTATATTCTTAAGAACTTTTATTCTCCTTCCGCCATATAGAATCTATGGTCTTACATAGAATAACATCAAAACCCCAACTGTTTCACTCTAAACGTTCTAGATAAGTGACCTTTTCTAGACTTCAGACTTCACTGGCTAATTACACAGCTTTCATTAAAATCCTAATTGCCTGGCTGGGCGCGGTGGCTCAGGCCTGTAATCCCAGCATTTTGGGAGGCCGAGGCGGGTGGATCACAAGGTCAGGAGATAGAGACCTTCCTGGCTAACATGGTGAAACCCCGTCTCTGCTAAAAATACAAAAAATTAGCCGGGCGTGGTGGCGGGTGCCTGTAGTCCCAGCTACTCGGGAGGCTGAGGCAGGAGAATGGCGTGAACCAGCGAGGCAGAGCTTGCAGTGAGCCGAGATCGCGCCACTGCACTCCAGCCTGGGCGAAAGGGCGACACTCTGTCTCAAAAAAAAAAAAAAAAAAAAAAAAATCTTAATTGCCTACTTAATTTTATTCTAATTCTAACCATATTTCCCTATTTAGATTTTTTAAAAGTTGCTTTTAACTCATAACGTACAAAGTCTGAATTTACTAACTTTCCTGCCATCCTTGTCCCCTGTGTATTCCTAATATGACCATCATAAGTACAAATAGAAAACTATTAAACATCATAGACTTTATTATCTTTTTTGCATGCATTTGAAGGGTCCCCTTTTCATCTAGAAGCCTTCCACTATTTTCTGATCTATTCCTTCTGCCTAAATTCATGAAGTTATCATTTCTCATCTTTTACAATATCCTCCTAGTTTTTCACTCTCACTCAATCCCAACTCTTGTCTGAAGTAAACATCCATATCCTTCACTCTACCCAGACTGATTCCTATTGGTTTGCTATGAGTTGGCAATAAAGCTGACATTTCTACATCACACAAGCCCCTTCTAGGTTTGCATTATTTCCACCTTTCCCAACCCAATCCTTATGATTTTCCACACTCATCGTTCATACTTGGTTACAGAAATATTTGCAGCCTACCCGACCGAATTTGCACATGCTGGACTTGCCCTTTCTTCTCCTTGATTTAATAAATATACTCATCCTTTAAAAGTCAGTTCAAATGCCAACCTCCATAGGGAGCTTCCACTGTACTTTCAAGCAAAAGAGTCCTTTTCCTGTACTCCCAAGGCACCTTATTTGTCTCTATTAGAGCAATTTTAGGTGACATTTATCGAGCAATGACTCTGGAGTGGAAATTAGGCCCCAAGGAAAGGTCAAATAACTAGTAACTTTTGGGACAGTTTTCAGTTTGGATCCCTGACCAAAACACCACTCCCACCCAAAAACACACACAAATACAATCACCACTAAGGCATTCTGATGCTTACTTATTGCATTTGCTATACATTTTTTACTTGTCTGGGCTTTAATGATCTGAAATATTGGGACTGGATTATAACCATCCTTGTTCTATCAACACCTACCACAGTTACTGAAGCCTAAGGGAAGAATATTAAATGTTTTATCATTGATTGAAGAATGGATGGATGAGTGCGTATGTTCATGGTATATGCTAAACTAGACTATTTTGATGACTAAAATATTGATATTCACTGAATGAATGAGTGCACTAATAAGCAAATGATCCAGTGAAGGGAATGAAATCAATGAGAGAATGTACTTTGATGTCTTTCTTATTTGTCTTTTTGCAGTATTTATAGTCTGTCATCACTTAGTCCTGGGTAAGGCCTTGTATGGGCATTTAAGTACTGTAAATGGGTAGATGTTTCTGTCTAACTAGGTAACAGCCTTGACAAAGGCTGAAATAGTGAATTATACAATTCTGTCCACAATGCTTAGAAAAAGGTTACATACATTAATACCTATTGAATGACTGACATATAATCAAATACCTGTTATGTATTAGTGTTCATTGAATCTGATGAATTTGGAAAATCTATAGCATTTCATGTTTCCTTGGGTGAGGTAAATTGTCATTACAGTAAATTATAACCACGTAGGAACCAGAAGAAGGACAAAGCATAATTTGTTTTCTTATTGGATTGTTGACATCTGTTCTCAGTCATTGGTCTGTACTGTTTTGCTTTATTTTCCTCCGCAGGGAGGAATATACCAGTGTAATTTATTAAAGCAGTCAAATAATCTTAATATGCCCTTAGTGCATTTGATGTATCATACATGGTTGATGCTTTAAATAGCACCAGAGAGTTAATCAGATGTTTCAGATTTATAAAGGGAAAAATTAAGAAGATAATGAACTGATGAATCAGTAATAGACCTCTTATGAAGACTGAGACATTTGACTCTCTTCATTAAGATTTGTATCTCCTTAAAATAAAATTATTTCTTAAAGTGGAATCATCGGATATTTGATGTGACCTATTCCCCAAACAACATTTAAATGACACATAAGTGGGTATGGAAACTATAGAAAAAGAGAAAACTAAAATATTTATTCTTCATCTTATAAGACATTGTACAAAATATAAAAAAAAGTTATTGATTACTGTCTTTAAAGTGTCCATGTCAGTATACATATATTTAAATCATTAAAAGTTAAAAGAAACACTGTGCTTTCTAAAACCACATTATATACCTGATCAAAATAAAGTGACTCTTTCTTTTATTAAAAATATATAAAAAGAAATCAAGATTTACCTGATCAAAATGAAGTGACTCTTTCTTTTATTAAAAATATATAAAAAGAAACCAATATTTAATCTACACACATGATGAAGTAATTTCAATTATCTTCTTGACGTTTAATTATGCTAAAATCAGAACATCTTATGAATTGCTCTTTTGATATATTGACATTTCTTAAAAAATAGCAAAAAGTAAAGAGGATAATTTTATGTAGTTTTTAATTTGATTACAAAGAAATACCTAAAAGATAGTTCAGAATACACAGAATTCTGAGCAGTCAAGAAAGATAATTTTTAAAGTAATAAATTTATGTCCTAAGATTTCAGCAAATATATTCCAAAAGTAATTCACAAGCATTGATTGCAAATGTTCATATGAACAAGACTTAAAGAAAAAAAAGAGATTTTAATATTAATCTGAAAAGCAAATGAAATTCAGTGAAAAAACATAAAACGTAAAAAATAAGCTTACAGAAATAAAACTGAAATTAATTGAATGTTTTAAAGGAAATATAATCAATAAAATTATTCAGTTATACATTCATCAATACTAATATTAATAAGTTATAAACCTAGTTGCCACGAGGGTTAAAACCTGTCAATGGTTTTGGACAGTGGAAAAATTTTGAGAACAACAAAAATTATTCTCCGCTTTGTCTAGAGAAAAGACGTGAAGGGGAAGGATTGACCTACTACTTGGGAAAATGTTATAACACTGATGAATCAGTAGGTTGAGCTACTCCTATTATTAGCTTATGTGTTCTATGAAAAAGAGTAGACAGGCAATCTTTCATGAGTCAATTTCATAATGATTGCCCTGGATATTACAATTAGCATCTTAATTTAAAACTACCTGGTTTTGATTAATTTTAACACAAACTTTACTCCACTATTCCCTACCTCTTCCTTTGTACTATTGTTGCTGTAAAAATTTCATATTTATACAATTGAAAACTATTAAGATATTATAATTATTTCTTTAAGGCCTTTTTTGATCACATAAGAGAAGAAAAGAGTTATAAATAAAATACATTTATTTTGTTTTCTTACTTGCTGATGTAATTACATTTACCTGTGTTCTTTATTTACAGAAATGGCAATGAGTTATTACCTAGTGTCTTTCATTCAACTTGAAAAATTCACTTTGTATTTCTTGCAGGGCTGTTTGGGTAGTAATAAATAGTTTGTTTCTGGTTTGTTTAAAGTTGTCCTACTTTCTTCTTCATTGTGGAAGGGCAGTTTTACAGGATATAAAATTTTAGGTTGTCAATGATTTTTATTGTTTTATATATTTAATATGACACATTATTGCCTTCTGGCTTCCATGATTTCTTATAAAAAGCGACTGTTAACCCTTGAGAATACCTTGTGCTTGATGAGTCTTTTTTCTCATACTATTTTCAAGATCCACTCTGTTCTTGGTTTTCAAGAGTTTGACTATAATGGATCTAGGTGTGCATCTCTTTATATTACTTACAGATCACTGAGATTCTTGGATATGCAGATTAATGGGGTTTTAAAAATGAAATTTGGAAAGTTTTCAGTAATTATTCCTTAAACGGATTTTCTGCCCTGTCCTGTCTCTCCCATCAAACTATTTGTTGCTATGCTTGATAGTGTCCTACAGGTCTCTGAGACTCTTTTTTTTCCTTCATTCTTTTTTGTTGTTGTTGTTCCTCAGGTTGAATAGTCTTCGTTTACCTATCTATAAATTTACTTATCCCTTCTTCTGCCAGAATAAATCTGTTGTTGAGATACTATAGTAAATTTTTAATTCAGTTATTTTATTTTCCAACTCTAAAATTACTATTTGAGTCTCATTTCTCGCATTTTTTTCTCTGTATTGAAATTCTTTATTTGATGAGATATTATTGCTAGACTTCCATTTAGTTATTTATACATGGTTGCCTGTAGTTTTTGAAACATATTTTTAATAGCTGATTTAAAATATTTTTTTGGGCTGGTTTCTGTGGCTTACGCCTATAATCCCAGCACTCTGAGAGGCTGAGGCGGGCGGATCACTTGAGGTCTGGAATTCCATACCAGCTCGCCAACGTGGTGAAACCCCATCTCTACTAAAAATACAAAAATTAGCCAGGCATGGAGGTGTGTGCCTGTAGTTCCAGCTACTCAGGAGACTGAGGCAGGAGAATCACTTGAACCCAGTAGCTGGATGTTACAGTGAGCTGAGATCACACCACCACACTCCAGCTTAAGTGACAGAGTGAGACTCTGTCTCGGAAAAAAAAAAAAAAAAAAAAGAAATTTTGGTACATTCATCTTCTGGCCTGCTCAGGGTTACTTTCTGTTGGCTTTTTTTTTTTTTTTTTTTTTTTTTTTTTGCTATGAGCTATACTTTCCTGATTCATTACATATATCATACTATTTTGTTGAAAACTGAACATTGGCCAGGTGCAGTGGCTCACATCTGTAACCCTAGCACTTTGGGAGGCTGAGGCAGAAGGATTGCTTGAACTCAGGAGTTCAAGACCAGCGTGGACAACATAGAAAGACCTCATCTCTACAAAGATTAATAAAATTAGCTGGTTTAGGTGATGTGCACCTGTAGTCTTGGCTACTCTGGTGGCTGAGGTGGGAAGATCACTTAAGCACAGTATGTGAAAGGTGATCATGCCACTGCACTTCAACCTGGGTAACAGAGTGAGACCCTGTCTCACAAAAACAAATAAATAAACAAAAGAAAAAGGAAAACAAAACTGAACATTATAAATAATATAATGTGGGTACTCTGGAAATCAATCTCATTACCCAGATTTGTTGATTCTGTGTTTTTTGTTGTAGTTTTTGCTGCTACTACCATTTGTTTGTTCTTTACCTTAAGTTCTGGGACACATGTGCAGAATGTGTAGGTTTGTTACATAGGTATACATGTGTCATGGTGGTTTGCTGCACCTATTGACCTGTCCTCTAAGTTTCTCCCCCTCGCCCCTGCCACCCCACTCCCAGACAGGCCCCAGTGTGTGATGTTCCTCTCCCTGTGTCCATGTGTTCTCATTGTTCAACTCCCACTTATCAGTGAGAACATGTGGTGTTTCTGTTCCTGTGTTAGTTTGCTGAGGATGATAGCTTCCAGCTTCATCCATGTCTCTGCAAAGGACATTGATCTCATTCCTTTTTATGGCTGCATAGTATTCCATGGTGTACATGTACCACATTTTCTTTATGCAGTCTACCACCGATGGGCATTGGGTTGGTTCCATGACTCAGCTATTGTAAATAGTGCTGCAATAAACATATGTGTGCATGTGTCTTTAGAGTAGAATGATTTATATTTCTTTGGGTATATACCCAGTAATAGGATTGCTGGGTCAAATGGTATTTCTAGTTCTAGATCTTTGAGGAATTGCCATACTGTCTTCCACAATGGTTGAACTAATTTTCATACTCACCAATAGTGTAAAAGTGGTCTTATTTCTCCACAGCCTTACCGGCATCCATTGCTTCTTGACTTTTTAATAATTGCCATTCTGACTGCAGTGAGACTGTATCTTATTGTGGTTTTGATTTGCATTTGTCTAATGATCAGTGATATTGAGGTTTTTTTCATATGTTTGTTGGCTGCATAAATGTCTTCTTTCGAGAAGTGTCTGTTTATTTCCTTTGCCCACTTTCTGATGTTTATTTTTCTTGTAAATCTTTTTAAGTTCCTTTTAAGCTCTGCATATTAGACCTTTGTCAGATGGATAGATTGCAAACATTTTCTCCCATTCTGTAGGTTGCCTGTTCACTTCGGTGACAGTTTCTTTTGTTGTGCAAAAGCCTTTTAGTTTAATTAGATCCCATTTGTCAATTTTGGTTTTTGTTGCAATTGCTTTTGGTGTTTTAGTCATGAAGCCTTTGCCCACGCCTGTGTCCTGACTAGTATTGCCTTGGTTTTCTTCTAGGGTTTTTATGGTTCTAGGTTTTACATTTAAGTCTCTAATCCATCTTGAGTTAATTTTTGTATAACACGTAAGGAAGGGGTCCAGTTTCAGTTTTCTGTATGTGGCTATTCAGTTTTCCCAGCCCCATTTGTTAAATAGGAAAATTCTTTCTCCATTGCTTGTTTTTGTCAAGTTTGTCAAAGATCAGATGGTTGTAGATGTGTGGTGTTATTTCTGAGGTCTCTATTCTGTTCCATTGGTCTATATTTCTGTTTTGGTACCAGTACCATGCACCCTAACTCATTTTATGAGTAAACTGGTAAGAGATACAACAATAAAAGAAAACTTCAGGCAAATATCCCTGAAGAACATTGATGCAAAAATCCTTAATAAAATACTGGTAAACCATATCCAGCAACACATCAAAAAGCTCATTCACCACAATCAAGTCAGCTTCATCCCTGGGATGCAAGGCTGGTTCAACACACGCAAATCAATAAATGTAATCCATCACATAAACAGAACCAAAGACAAAAACCACATAGTTATCTAAATAGATGCAGAAAAGGCCTTTGATAAAATTCAACAACCCTTCGTGTTAAAAACTCTCAATAAAATAAGTGTTGATGGAACATACCTCAAAATATTAAGAACCATTTATGACAAATCCACAGCCAATATCATGCTGACTGGGCAAAAGCTGGAAACATTCCCCTTGAAATCTGGCACAAGACAAGGATGTCCTCTCACACCACTCCTATTCAACATAATATTGGAAGTTCTGGTCATGGCAGTCAGGCAAGAGAAAGAAAGCATATTCAAATAGGAAGAGAGGAAGTTAAATTGTCTCTGTTTGCAGATGACATGATTTTATATTTAGAAAACCCCATCATTCTCAGCCCCAAAACTCCTTAAACTGATAAGCAATTTCAACAAAGTCTTAAGATACAAAATCAATGTGCAAAAGTCAAAAGCATTGCTCTCGAGCAACAATAGCCAAGCAGAGAGCCCAATCGTAACGAACTCCTTTTCACAATTGCTGCAAAAAGAATAAAATACCTAGGAACGCAGCCAAAGAGGGATGTAAAGGACCTTTTCAAGGAGAACTACAAACCACTGCTAAAGGAAATAAGAGATGACACAAACAAATGGAAAAACATTCTATCTTCCTGGATAGGAAGAATAAATATCATGAAAATGGCCATACAGCCCAAAGTAATTTATAGATTCAATGCTATTCCTATCAAACTACCATTGACATTTTTCATAGAATTATTAAAAAAAAACTTTAAATTTCATATGAAATAAAAGAAGACCACATATAGCCAAGACAATCCTAAGGAAAAAGAACAAAGCTGGAGGCATCACACTACCTGACTTCAAACTATACTACAAAGCCACAGTAAACAAAACAGCATGGTACTGGTACCAAAATAGTGACTATCTTTGACTGATAGTTTAAGTCTGTATTTTTTGTATCTTCTTGGGTTGTATGCAACCCAAGAAGCCTCTGTCCATCTAGCTTTGTTGTCAGCTAATAACAAAAAGGCATAGTCCTTAATGCCTTGAGCCAATAACCATCTCATCATTTGCCAAAAGCTTCATATTTATATTGATGTAGATATTCAAAGCTTCACATGTGTACCATAATCCAGGTGTGGTACCATAATCTCTATTTCTTTTACACTCTCACTTATATTTCCTTTGTGTGTGTTCCACATTTTATTTTGTAGAATTACAAAGTATAGGTGAAAGGTAGTCATCTGGACCTTACCAGTGTGGGGGAGTAGATTTCTAGTGACAGATTTACTCTAGCATTCCAATCTCCCTAAGATTTGAATTTCTTCCTTACATTAAACCAGTAAAGATCTATCATCTTCAATTTACCAACAGTGGGTAATATGTTTATACGTGTTTCACCCAACCAATCAACTAAGCTGCTAGCACCTTTTCTAATTCACTGACCTGCAACATTAAATGGAGAGTTTCTACTTAGTGGATTTATATCAATATATTTAGCTTAATCCAATTTTATGTTTCTTGCATCATTCAATCCTATATTTATAATATCTATTCCCACATGTTTTCTGGATTTCTGTTTTTATAATTAGAAAACTCAAGTAGTACATTTGGAGTACAATGCAGTTGCTCATGGGTCACACTTTATACCTCACCTTTAGAGGCCTGCTGGGACTTGAGTCTAGTTATGAGTCTAGAAGCAAAGAAAGTTGGTGGGCATGAATCCTAAAGATAATCAGTATTGTCCTGCTTAGCACCTGCCTCAGGGGAGACCATTATTGTTTCCTTAGGCAATTCTGGGTTAATTCCTCAGACAGAGATGAAGATTGTTAACACTGTGGGTAGAGAGACCACTACCAATGGGAATGGAGTAAACCCTGCCACTGGGGGTGGTGAAGCCACCTCTGCTGGCAAAAAAAGTTTCATCAGAATTTAGAAACTCAATGTTCTAGTTTAATTAGGGTCTTCTCACACATCTACATCTCAAATTATAGGATTCCATCCTTTTCCAACCAATGCCCTCACTTCAATAGTATATACCTTGCAAAGCTGAGAGTTCAACTTTTGTTTTAACTTAGCATATATCATTAAGAGAATTTGTGTTTGATTTTCAGAAATTTCAACCCTGTGGCTACAGGAGAGAAGATTTCCTCTCAGGGCAGACATGGAAGATTTTGGACTATTCTTGTTAATCCAGAGACAAGAATTGTCTTATCCTTCTTTCATCATTTTTTCCAGCAACATTAGAGCCAACCAACCAATATCATTATACTCTTTTCTTTTCCATAAATGTTTGAAAATATTGTTTACAGATTCACTAACTTCCTTGCCTTGAACAAGTGTTTGATTAGAAGTATCATATCCAATGCAGATATTTTGCATATCCCTCTAAACAGATCAAGACATGAATGACCAATGCTTTGTCTACCATTGAAAGTAGAGGCTTTAACATTTTTAGGTCTAATCGGATTAGAGAGCCAATTCCAGAAACGTAGAAACCAATTAAGAAAGCTCATCCTTAAATATTTTCTACTCTAGAATCCACCCTGATACCAAAATTTGTGTTAGTCATGGCTCTCCAGAGACAGAACCAACAAATGATAGTACGATAGATAGATAGATAGATAGATAGATAGATAGATAGATAGATAGATAGATGAATGAGGGGATCTATTAGGGAAATTAAACACACAATTATGGAGGCAAAGAAATACCATGATAGGCTTTCTGCAAGCTAGAGAACCAGGGATGCTAGTAACATGGCTTAGTCCATCTAAAAATTATCAGAACCAGAGAAGCCAATGGTGTAAATCTCAGTCCAAGGCCAAAGGTTTAACAACCCAGGAGGCCACTGGTGCAAGTCTTCGATTCCAAAGTCCTGAAGTTCTGATGTCCAAGAGCAGGAGAAGACGAGTGTCTCAGCTTTAAAAATAAAATAAATTCACCTTTCCTCTAAATTTTGTTCTATCTGCACCCTTAGCCATTTGAACGGTGCCCGTCCACATTAAGGACAATCTTCCTTACTCAGTTCAGTGATTCAAGCACCGATCTCTTCGGGAAAGACCCTCACAGATATGCCTAGAAATAATGCTTTACCAGCAGTCTGTTTATCCCTTAATCTAGTCAAGTTGACATATGAAATTAGCCATCCTAGGAGATGTTTGGACCAATTTTTCATTTTTTAAATAATTAAAATACAAGTTCAGTAAACCTCTGTGATCAAAATGGCTTCTAGCCATGGTATGATATTCCCTCATTATCTATTTAGTTCATCAATGTCTTTAAAATATTTTAAATATTTTTAGCAAATTGATTTAGTGTTATTTGTTTATAGTGAGAAAGTTGGTTTTATTAGGTCACATACCATTACTGGAAATTGGGAGCTCTTATTTTACTGCCTCTTTGCTGATCTTTCTCTACTCTTAAATTATAAATCCTTCTATGACAGATGAGATACACTCCAAACTCTAAAAATGATTTATTCTAGTTTTATTTCTCATTTATGTATTCATAACATATTCTCATCATTGAGATCTTAGATATTCCACAGTACACCAAGGGACCTAATTTCTCCCTTGTAGAAGTTTGTCTATCAAATGTAATACACGTTGGGGGAGTTGTGGCATCAGGTGAGAAGTCAGCATTGGCAGTGAGGGCAAGATATATAATCTATCTTCTGCCAAATAGCGGAACTAGATTTTTCTGCAAACATAACTCCTCTAATTCTGCTTATTCATTTAAAGTTCCATCACTTTGAGCTTTCTTTGTGCTCTGGCTCATACTAATTGTAGATCAACCTCGGATCATATATGCTCACTTTATGTAATTTCTTGAGATCATTCCTAATGACTTCAATATTCATCTTAATTCTTTCAGAATTAACAACCTTTAATTTTATTGCTATCATCATTCTGTATTGGCTTCTTATTAATATTGTTCTGTACTAGACAATATTATGGCAGGGTATTTTTTTTCTCTTTCCACCAAACAAGAAATTCAGTATGATAAAGTTATAATGCTAAACTACAATTCTAACACTCTCTCCTTAAAAAATGAAACTCTTCAGTCTTCTAATTTCCAAAATTAATAAAAGTGTATTTTATTTATTCCATCTATTATTATTTTCAATACATTTTATGTCTTTAATTAATATTTCTATCTCAACAAACTATCACTTTGTCTTAATTTAAAAACCGGTCTTCTTTATATCCTTTGTACTTAAAACATTGACATGTACCAGATGTTATGTAAAGTATTTTTTATGCTGTTAGCACTTTTTATTCTCTACACATATGAAGAATGTGTGTGTCCTGGCTATTCGGTAGGTGCTGCTTTTTAATAATTTTCTAGGTCTGTATTAAGTTGTCTGAATAAAGTGTTTAGGAAATGTACATGCTCACAGTGCATACTATTAGGTGCCAAGTCCAGCCTTAGATATTATGAGTTGATATTGGTTTGCGTGGTTTTTGTTTGCTTTGGGGGTTATTTATGCACTGATGTCTGCCAGTAATTTATGAAGAAATTGGTAACTAGGTGGCAGATCATGTTGACCTTTTAGTATGTGATTCTTATTGTTATTAAGGAAACATATACTTATGTTATTTATCAGGTAAAGATAAATTCAATTTCACGTAAGTCAACAACTTAATGAAATATTAAAAAGTCATAATTCATCAAGCTATAATTCCATATAGAATATAATATTACATGTGAGAAAACACTATTCATTTTATGCATATAGCAGGTAAAGGGTTTATTGAATAATGCAGGTTAAATAATAATACTGAGTTTTATTTGACCATTGCCTCACAATCTTCATACCCTATTATAGGTTGAAGTTCCCAAGTGAAATTCAAATTGAATGGCAATAATAAAATTTGAATTTGAGAGGAAGGCAAGTGATTTTTTACTTCTCTCCTTTTTGCTCTTTCTGATATGAAAAATAGCTTATGGATGCTAGGCTTAATACTTAGGTGATGGGTTGACAGGTGCATCAAACCACAATGGCACACATTTACCTATGTAACAAACCTGCACATCCTGCACATGTATCCCAGAACTTAACATAATAATATATGTATTCAAAACATATCTACATATTTAGAGCAAACCGACTGTTCTAGATGTAGCAATCATCCATTTCTGACCGGGACACCTTTAGAGAATATTATTAGGTAGCCTAGTTTTGTATATTGCAATAGTAATGAGATATATTTTTGATAAGTTAGAAGTGAACCAAAAGACTAAAATAAATTAGATCAACTGAGGCAATTTGAAATTCTATAATAAACAATAATAATTATAGAAAATTTACAATATATTTATCTGTTTTGCATGGTATTTCTAAAATAACCTCTGAAAAGCACAAGAAATTTATTTGTAGAAATGAGCAGTTGTATACACCCTAAACTAATATACGAAATAGTGCTATATATTTATATTTAATTTCTTGTATTAATGTATTTATAATAACTTTCTCCTAATCCATAAAAGATAAGAAAAATAAAGAAGTACCACTATATTTTCATGTCATATTGGTTTATCCCCTTCAAAATATTGCATACTATTATGTCATATTAAAATGATATATTACATGCATCCTACCCTGAAAGTCATTTTAAACTTATTGAATAAGAACAATTTCTTAAAAGAAAGAGAAACAGTATGAAATGTGATAACAAAAGTAACAATTTATAATACACATTTTGAATTATTTGGTATATCTAAGCCCGGCCAAGTTATAAGATATTTAAGGGTTTTTAAAGTGATTCTGAACTTCCTCCACTAAGTAATTTAAGATTCTAGTAGAAGATGGATATAGATGCTACATTCCTATGTTATGGTTATGTGTCACTGAAATAATCTGGTGCTTCTGAGGAACTTAGGGCAGTCCATGACTATGTGGAAATCATAGATTCCTCAGCCCTTCTTTATTCTACTTATTTTATTGCCCCATCCCTGTACTTATTCTCAAATTTAAACTTATTCACTCAAATTTAAATTTTTTTCACTTGTGACATATAATTATAAATTTGTCATTTATATAATTTTCTAGATCATATAAAACAATAATTCAGATGTAGTCATTTATTCATATCCAGGGTACTATTGATAAATATTATCAGACGGCCTTGTTACTATACTACATGAAGAAGATCAATAGTTCTAGTAAAGTTGGTCAGTTACCTGAAAAACTGCATAAAAACACAATTACAACCACTATAAATGAATCACCTTTTAATCAAAACTCAACCAAACCTTCAATGTGCATGTGCATAGGAATTAGAAATATCTTGGATTTCTAAGGATAATCATTTAAAATGAATATTCAGCCACACAATCAAGTAACACAAGTTACACTAATACTATCACCATTCTTGACCAATGAAAATGTGGATATGCTGGGTTCCAAGATGGCCGAATAGGAACAGCTCCAGTCTACAGCTCCCACCATGAGCGACACAGAAGATGGGTGATTTCTGCATTTCCAGCTGAGGTGCCAGGTTCATCTCACTGGGGCTTGTCGGACAGTGGGGGCAGGACAGTAGGTGCACCCCACCAAGCATGTGCTGAAGCAGACCTGGGAAGCACAAAGGGTCAGAGAATTCCCTTTCCTAGCTAAGGGAAGCTGTGACAGACGGCACCTGGAAAATCACTCCCACCCTAATACTGTGCTTTTCCAATGGTCTTAGCAAAGGGCACACCAGGAGATTATATCCCACGCCTGGCTTGGAGGGTCCCATGCCCAAAGAGCCTCGCTCATTACTAGCACAGCAGTCTGAGATCGAACTACAAGGCGGCAGTGAAGCTGGGGAAGGGGCGCCTACCATTGCTGAGGCTTGAGTAAGTAAACAAAGCGGCTGGGAAACTAGGACTGGGTGGAGCCCACCGCAGCTCAAAGAGGCCTGCCTGCCTCTGGGGGCAGGGCATAGCCAAACAAAGGGCAGCAGAAACCTCTGCAGACTTAAATGTCCCTGTCTGACAGCTTTGAAGAGAGTAGTGGTTCTGCCAGCACACAGTTTGAGATCTGAGAATGGACAGACTGCCTCCTCAAGTGGGCCCCTGACCTCTGAGTACCTTAACAGGGGAGGCACTCCCCAGTAGGGGCAGATTGACACCCCACATGGCTGGGTACCCCTCTGAGACGAAGCTTCCAGAAGAATGGTCAGGCAGCAACATTTGCTGTTCAGCAATATTCAATGTTCTGCAGCCTCTGCTGCTGACACTCAGGCAAACAGGGTCTGGAGTGGACCTCCAGCAAACTCCAACAGACCTGCTGCTGAGGGTCCTGACTGTTAAAAGGAAAACTAACAAACAGAAAGGACATCCACACCAAAACCCCATCTGTACGTTACCATCATCAAAGACCAAAAGTAGATAAAACCACAAAGATGGGGAAAAAACAGAGGAGGAAAGCTGAAAACTGTAAAAGTCAGAGTGACTCTCCACCTCCAAAGGAACGCAGCTCTTCACCAGCAATGGAGCAAAGCTGGACGGAGAATGACTTTGACGAGTTGAGAGAAGAAGGCTACAGATGATCAAACTTCTCTGAGCTAAAGGAGGAAGTTCGAACCCAATGCAAAGAAGCTAAAAACCTTGAAAAAAGATTAGACGAATGGCTAACTAGAATAACCAGTGTAGTGAAGTCCTTAAATGACCTAATGGAGCTGAAAACCATGGCACGAGAACTACATGACAAATGCACAAGCTTCAGCAGCCGATTTGATCAACTGGAAGAAAGTGTATCAGTGATGGATGATCAAATGAATGAAATGAAGTGAGAAGAGCAGCATAGAGAAAAAAGAATAAAAAGAAATGAACAAAGCCTCTAAGAAATATGGGACTATGTGAAAAGACAAAATCTACGTCTGATTGGTGTACCTGAAAGTGACGGGGAGAATGGAACCAAGTTGGAAAACACTCTGCAGGATATTATCCAGGAGAACTTCCCCAACCTAGCAAGGCAGGCCAACATTCAAATTCAGGAAATACAGAGAATGCTTCAAAGATACTCCTCGAGAAGAGCAACTCCAAGACACAAACTTGCCAGATTCACCAAAGATGAAATGAAGGAAAAAATGTTAAGGGCAGCCAGAGAGAAAGATTGGGTTACCCAAAAAGGGAAGCCCATCAGACTAACAGTGGAGCTCTCTGCAGAAACTCTGCAAGCCAGAAGAAAGTGGGGGCCTACATTCAACATTCTTAAAGAAAAGAATTTTCAAGCTAGAATTTCATATCCAGCCAAACTAAGCTTCTTAAGTGAAGGAGAAATGAAATCCTTTACTGACAAACAAAAGCTGAGAGATTTTGTCACCACCAGGCCTGCCTTACAAGAGCAAGGAAGCTCTAAACATGGAAAGGAACAACCTGTACCAGTCACTGCAAAAACATACCAAATTGTAAAGACCATCAATGCTAGGAAGAAACTGCATCAACTAACGAGCAAAATAACCAGCTAACACCATAATGACAGGATCAAATTCACACATAATAATATTAACCTTAAATGTAAATGGGCAAAATGCTCCAATTAAAAGACACAGACTGGCAGATTGGATAAAGATTCAAGACCCATCAGTGTGCTGTATTCAGGAGACCCATCTCATGTGCAGAGACACACATAGGCTCAAAATAAAGGGATAGAGGAAGATCTACCAAGCAAATGGAAAACAAAAAAAAGGCAGGGGTTGCAATCCTAGTCTCTGATAAAACAGACTTTAAACCAACAAAGATCAAAACAGACAAAGAAGGCCGTTACATAAAGGCAAAGAGATCAATTCAACAAGAGGAGCTAACTATCCTAAATATATATGCACCCAATACAGGAGGACCCAGATTCATAAAGCAAGTCCTTAGAGACCTACAAAGAGACTTAGACTCCCACACAATAATAATGGGAGACTTTAACACCCCACTGTCAACATTATACAGATCAACGAGACAGAAAGTTAACAAGGATATCCAGGAATTGAACTCAGCTCTGCACCAAGCGGACCTAACAGACATCTACAGAACTCTACACCCCAAATCAAGAGAATATAAATTCTTCTCAGCACCACTCCACACTTATTCCCAAATTGACCACATAGTTGGAAGTAAAGCACTCCTCAGCAAATGTAAAAGAACAGAAATTGTAACAAACTGTCTCTCAGACCACAGTGCAATCAAACTAGAACTCAGGATTAAGAAACTCACTCAAAACCACTCAACCACATGGAAACTGAACAACCTGCTCCTGAATGACTACTGGGTACATAACGAAATGAAGGCAGAAATAAAGATGTTCTTTGAAACCAACGAGAACAAAGACACAATGTACCAGAATCTCTGGGACACATTTAAACCAGTGTGTATGGGGAAATTTATAGCACTAAATGCCCACAAGAGAAAGCAGGAAAGATCTAAAATTGACACCCTAACATCACAAGTAAAGGAACTGTAGTAGCAAGAGCAAACATGTTCAAAAGCTAGCAGAAGGCCAGATATAACTAAGATCAGAGCAGAACTGAAGGAGATAGAGACACAAAAAACCCTTCAAAAAAATCAATGAATCCGGGAGCTGGTTTTTTGAAAAGATCAACAAAATTGATAGACCGCTACCAAGACTAAAAAAGAAGAAAAGAGAGAAGAATCAAATAGATGCAATAAAAAATGATAAAGGGGAGATCACCACCGATACCACAGAAATACAAGCTACCATCAGAGAATCCTATAAACACCTCTATGCAAATAAACTAGAAAATCTAGCAGAAATGGATAAATTCCTCAACACATACACCCTCCCAACGAAGAAGTTGAATCTCTGAATAGACCAATAACAGGCTCTGAAATTGAGGCAATAATTAATAGCTTACCAACCAAAAAAAGTCAAGGACCAGATGGATTCACAGCCGAATTCTACCAGAGGTACAAAGAGTAGCTGGTACCATTCCTTCTGAAACTATTCCAATTAATGGAAAAAGAGGGAATCCTCCCTAACTCATTTTATGAGGCCAGCATCATCCTGAAACCAAAGCCTGGCAGAGACACAACAAAAAAAGAGAATTTTAGACCAATATCCCTGATGAACATTGATGCAAAAATCCTCAATAAAATACTGGCAAACCGAATCCAGCAGCACATCAAAAAGCTTATCCACCACGATCAAGTGGGCTTCATCCCTGGGATGCAAGGCTGGTTCAACATATGCAAATCAATAAACATAATCCAGCATATAAACAGAACCAAAGACAAAAACCACATGATTATCTCAATAGATGCAGAAAAGGCCTTTGACAAAATTCAACAACACTTCATGCTAAAAACTCTCAATAAATTAGGTATTGATGGAACGTATCTCAAAATAATAAGAGCTATTTATGACAAACCCACAGCCAATATCATACTGAATGGGCAAAAACTGGAAGCATTCCCTTTGAAAACTGGGAGAAGACAGGGATGCTCTCTCACCACTTCTATTCAACATGGTGTTGGAAGTTCTGGCCAAGGTAATCAGGCAGGAGAAAGAAATAAAGGGTATTCAATTAGGAAAAGAGGAAGTCAAATTGTCCCTGTTTGAAGATGACATGATTGTATATCTAGAAAACCCCGTCTCAATCCAAAATCTCCTTAAGCTGATAAGCAACTCAGCAAAGTCTCAGGATACAAAATCAATGTGCAAAAATCACAAGCATTCTTATACACCAATAACAGACAGATAGCCAAATCATAAGTGAACTCCCATTCACTATTGCTTCACAGAGAATAAAATACCTAGGAATCAAACTTACAAGGGATGTGAAGGACATCTTCAAGGAGAACTACAAACCACTGCTCAACCAAATAAAAGAGGACACAAACAAATGGAATAACATTCCATGCTCATGGATAGGAAGAATCAATATTGTGAAAATGGCCATACTGCTCAAGGTAATTTATAGATTCAATGTCATCCCCATCAAGCTACCAATGACTTTCTTCACAGAATTGGAAAAACCTACTTTAAAGTTCATTTGGAACCAAAAAAGAGCCCGCATTGCCAATACAATTCTAATCCAAAAGAAAAAAGCTGGAGGCATCATGTTACCTGACTTCAAGCTATACTACAAGTCTACAGTAACCAAAACAGCATGGTACTGGTACCAAAGCAGAGATATAGACCAATGGAACAGAACAGAGCCCTCAGAAATAATACCACACATCTACAACCATCTGATCTTTGACAAACCTGGCAAAAACAAGAAATGGGGAAAGGATTCCCTATCTAATAAATGGTGCTGGGAAAACTGGCTAGCCATATGTAGAAAGCTGAAACTGGATCCCTTCCTTACACCTTATATAAAAATTAATTCAAGATGGATTAAAGACCTAAATATTATACCTGAAACCATAAAAACCCTAGAAGAAAACCTAGGCAATATAATTCAGGACATAGGCATGGGCAAGGACTTCATGTCTAAAACACCAAAAGCAATGGCAACAAAAGCCAAAATTGACAAATGGGATCTAATTAAACTAAAGACCTTCTGCACAGCAAAAGAAAGTACCATCAGAGTGAACAGGCAACCTACAGAATGGGAGAAAATTTTTGCAATCTATTCATCTGACAAAGGGCTAATATCCAGAATCTACAAAGAACTCAAGCTTACAAGAAGAAAACAAAGAAACCCATCAAAAAGTGGGCGAAAGATATGAACAGACACTTCTCAAAAGAAGACATTTATGCAGCCAAAAGACACATGAAAAAATGCTCATCATCACTGGCCATCAGAGAAATGCAAATCAAAACCACAACGAGATATCATCTCACACCAGTTAGAATGGCGATCATTAAAAAGTCAGGAAACAACAGGTGCTGGAGAGGGTGTGGAGAAATAGGAACACTTTTACACTGTTGCTGGGACTGTAAACTAGTTCAACCATTGTGGAAGTCCATGTGGCTATTCCTCAGGGATCTAGAACTAGAAATACCATTTGACCCAGCCATCTCATTACTGGGTATACACCCAAAGGATTATAAATCATGCTGCTCTAAAGACACATGCACACATATGTTTATTGCGACACCATTTACAATAGCAAAGACTTGGAACCAACCCAAATGTCCATCAATGATAGATTGGATTAAGAAAATGTGGCACATATACACCATGGAATACTATGCAGACATAAAAAAGGATGAGTTCATATCCTTTGTAGGGACATGGATGAAGCTGGAAACCATTGTTCTCAGCAAACTATTTCAAGGACAGAAAACCAAACACCGCATGTTCTCACTCATAGGTGGGAACTGAACAATGAGAACACCTGGACACAGGAAGGGGAATATCACACACTGGGGCCTGTTGTTGGGTGGCGGTAGTGGGCAGGATAGCATTAGGAGTTATACCTAATGTAAATGAAGAGTTAATGGGTGCAGCACACCAACATGGCACATGTATACATATGTAACAAACCTGCATGTTGTGCACATGTACCCTAGAACTTAAAGAATAATAATAATAATAAAAGAAAATGTGGATATTTGATTCCCCTGAATTATCAAAATGTAAACACTGATTAGAAGTATGCTTACTCTGAATAAAAACAAACATACTGGTATCAATGATTTAATCTTTTCAGCTCTTCCCTAATTTCCCATTTTTCTAAAACATCCACTTTTAATTGCAATCTTGCAATTAATAATCTTAAATTGAGCTTATTGATTATCAGCAGGAATTAAAAACAAAAATTAGTCACCAGAGTCTGGATGAACATAGAGCTATCTCCTAATACCCTAGTGGATATATTGGTGAATTCTGACAGCTAGAAAAATCATCATTAAACTATTTCTATGTCATATCATTTTTACTCTGGGGAAAAAAATACTTTTTAAATTACACCTGTAGTTGTATCAGTCTTTTCTCATCATGACAGGTTAACTTCAAAGTATATTGCAGAACAGTTCTCTGGGTGGCCTTGACCTGACCCAGTTCCTCTCCCACCTGTTTTGCTTATAGTTCTGAAGAATAACTGTGGAATGTGCTAGTAATGCAATTTGATAAAAAATCTTTGAAAATGGGGAGGAACTGGTTGGAACAATCCAGGTTTTGTTCCATCCCCCACTAGAAACACGATATCCTTCAATTCTTTCTCCCAGTAGTTCATAAAACTTCAAGGGGTACTTCAGCTATGGTGCAAGTGAGGGTTACATAGATGAGACCTGTACCTCATGGGCAGCTTTTTTGAGCATGGGGTTAGAGGGTCACAATGAATTCTAGGCTTCTGTTGTCCCTTGCTGCCTGTCCATGAGTAATAAACCTGCTTCACGTAACTATTTCGCTGGACTCAGACAGGTTGGTAACCAGCACATGATGAATCTTTTTCACATATATCATGTGGAGAGTCTTTTAGATCTAGAATATAAGGAGGGCTTTTAAGACTTAGAATGTAAGAGGCTTATGCTTCCACCACATATAGGTATCACCATATCTGGAGTTGGATGTTGATGGCAAAAATTATTTCATAAAAATGCTATCTAACAGTAGAAATAAAGCCACTTAATTTTCCAGAGAGGATGGATTCACAATTTTTGCAGGCTTATTATTCATTGTATTTTAAAGCCAGAGTTCCCAATCAGTTTACTTAGCACAGAAAGTTCATCAATTTTTAAGTAATTAATAGTTTTACTTCACTTGATGGTCTCTCCCTTCGCTGTACATGCTCATTATTATGGTTGTCAATTATCTTCTTAACTGATGATTTTAATAAAGGTAGCTCTACTATTAGCAAATTGCTCAGAAGCTGCTAATAGCTCTGCAGAGAGCACTTGTCTCACCCTATATCTCCCACCTTATCAAAAGGTCACATTAATTATATCACCCTTACGGAGAGGAAATCAACATGTCAGTCAGACGGGCTCACAGTTGTGCTGCAGGTAGAACATGAGGATTAAATCAGGTTTATCTAGTGTCCCAAAGTAGCCCATTTACATTTAGCTCTTGTAAATGCAATTAACACAAATGAAACAATAAATCACACTTAGATTTACGAGTTTACTTTTTGGCAAAAGGCTAATTTGCTATTCTTTTATGTTTACAGTTACTAGTAAAATATTATAAGTCATCAGATGTTGGTTAAGAATGGTTTTTAAAAATCTTCGTAAAATGGCTCCAGAAGAGTAAGGCTTTCATTGTGCTTGTAGAGATCTTTCATTTATCATTTCAATTTTTTACTAATTATGAACATAAATTGATTTTTGATAACCTTCTCTCACTCTTATATGCTCTACATTCTTGGGATCACAGCTTAAGAACTAATTATGAGAAAAGCTAGGATACAAGCCAGGGAAACTGTATGAATTTGAATATTTCTAATTAACATTAATATGTATTACTTGGATAAGTAAATATTTTCCATCCACTTTTTTTTTATCAAGTGAGTTCTATGTGCCTGGGAGCCAATTTCTTATTCAATGTTCTTCTGCCATTAATACATTATCTTTCACTCAAGAAACAATTTTCCATTTGTTCATTTCACAAAGTATAGTCTTTAAATACTTACTGGTGATTTAAATTGAGAATAACGCCACAATTTATAATTATTTTTTCATTACTTTGGGCAAACTGTTGACTGTGTACTTAAGTCATGGTCCCAGCAAAACAGATGGCACACAGATTTTAGGATAATTTAAGGATTTTTTTAAAAAAACTATCATTTATACAATTAGAAGTAGATATAGGAAAATAATAAAAGATAATACAGTGGTAACAGGTTTTGGGTATCTTAGCCCCTAAAGGTGATAGGGGTGGAATAGGGCAAAAAGTAGTTTCAGAATGGAAAGTAGAGTCAATAGAAAGTCTCCCTTAAGAGGACCTGTGACTATCGGCTGGAACACAACCTATCCCAGTAACTCGGCCAGGAGAGAGTCAAGGGGTAAACGTCTTCATCTCACTCTCCTCTTTCCTGCCAATGTTGGATTCCTTTGTGGCAACACTTCTTAGAAGCAGAAGTGAAAGCAGACCATTGATGTAATACACAAATACACATAGATCAGCTTCCTGGGGTAAATAACAGGGTAGAGGATGGTTGATAATTAATCTGAAGAGTTAAAATGAAGATGGTGATTTTAGAGACTGAATTCATCAATTTCTAATTGTCAGCTGGGATGAAATAGGACATAGAACTGGAAAAATCTGATATGTGCAAAGTGTGGAAATAGGCAAAGGTATATGCATTCTTAAAAAAAAAAAAGAAAAGGAGTGAAAAACTAAGAAAGCTACAATTTAAGAAGGAGTTTTAGACTCCCAAAAGATTGATATGTTTGGGAGAGAAGCAGTTTGGAAGCTCTGAGTAAGCAAGAGTAACATGTAATATCAAGCCCACCAACTTGGAATCAGGGCTGCTAAGGCAAATCTCTCTCAAGAGCATCAGTCCTATGCTCTACTACTGGGGAAACCTGTCAAGTTACTAAACAGCTCTGAGCTTATTTATTTTCCTGATGCATAAATTAGTATCTAACAGGGTAAACCCACAATTAGGACTGAGACATAAGAAGATGCAAATGAGAATTCTGAATTTAAAGTCCAAGTATAACAGCTAATCTTGATATATATATTTAATTTTAAGTTTATATTTCTTTTCTATACACCAGTCTAGACTGTGGTCTTCCAATATCCATTGTAAATTTTAAAATCATAATTATTATTTCTCTCAAAATCTAATAATTACAGGGCATAGCTACCCTAATTTTCACTTCCTTGTGATTACCTATTATATCCTAGATTAAAAGATATATAATTAGTTTCTGATTTATTAGAGATAACCTTCTCTATATGATATCTTGAACCCAATTATAACTGCTTTTTTATTCATAGTAAAATAATTTAATAATGTCTTTAGCACTACAGTGAGCCATTCAACTTAAAGTACTCATTTCTCCCTTAGCCACATGGAAAATCTGTTAGATTAATTCCTGTAAATACTTGTTTAACTAAATTAAATTTTAAATATTTTATTTTTGATGAGATATACAAGCAGAGGAACTGAAAAATAATTCCTGGACAAAAGTGGCTTTTCCACCAGGATCCCATTGAACCTGAAATAATTACCACTAGAATAATTCCTAGGGGTTAAATTACTATCTCCTAGAGAATCTTTTAACCTCAATATGTGTTATTGAAGAATAGGTGCTCCAGTTAGACACATTAATGCTAAATTGATAATGATGTGTCAATACCATTACCTAGTAGTTCTTTCAATGCCATTACAAATGTCTTCTATTTTTGGACATGGAAAATATATGTCCAGTTTGAGGGATGTTAATAGGAATTGATGTTTCACAGATTGGCGGCAACTGATAATACACAAACTTTTTATAAATAAGGGCTCAGAATGAATAAACAATATCAAAGCATATATAGTCACAATGTATTCTGTTTATCAGAAAAATATTATGTAATGTATTGGCCATGAAGAGAGCATGTGTCATGAAAGCTGATTTTTGATAAGGGGCCTGGATTTTAACTGGTGCTTTTGCCTACACACTCAATATAACAATAATAACATTCAGACAAAAAAGCGGTACCACGTTTTTCAAAGAGGAATTGCACGCTGAGAGATGAACCAATCCTCATTGACTCCTGTTATTTGCAAAATACATTCTTGGATTTTACTGGGAAGGGAATACTTGGAAGCTCAGTACAGTCTTTAAGAGAAAGTATTTTTAATATACAAAATTTTGTTTCCAGCAGCAAACTCACTATTAGCTTTGACCTTGGGTCCTAATTTTTCAGATCTTTGTGGAGAGGATGGTGATAGTATACTTATGTTATTACTATATGAAATAAATGAATATACATTCTACTAGTAATAATAGCTATAACACTCACTGCTTCAGTCAAGCCCTTTAAATAAATATGTATTTAAATATATATTATATATATATATTTTTTAGAGACTGAATTTATCAATTTCAGTCTCTGTTAGCACTCATTGTTCTAATTAAGGAATAATTAGTATATAAAGAATAATCCAAATAATAATAGCTAATATCTAGAAATAACTCATCTACAAGAACTAAAAATAATAATCCGAGTCCCAATACCCCACTTCGGGTTTTCTGTTTAAAATGACATTCTCCTGGTAGCACAAGCCAGGAAACTTCTGCGAGACCTAGTGCTCCACTCTGGTTCTTGGTAGCCAGGTCCAGGCACTTCAATTAACTTCCAGAAGATGGCAGACCCTCCAGGAATGCCAGAGCAAGAAACTGATGTCTGACAACAGAGTGAGAGTTCAAAGATTCTTTGTAGCAGACACTGTGAATGAAGAACTTGAGGTTGCTAAGAGACTAAAAGCAAAATAAATTGTTTTAATTAAAAGCCCAGATCTTAGCTGGAGGAAGAGGAAAGGGTGTCTTCAATTGTGGTTTGAAAGGAGGTGTTCACTTAACAAAAGAACTTAAGGTTGTGGGACAGCTGGCTAAACAGATGATTGGGTATGTTTGGGGCAAAAAACCAAACTCTAAAAGAAGATGTGAAAGTCAACAAGCTGATGGTTACTGAAACCTTGGACATTTCCAGAAAAACTTACCTGGTGATTCTGATGGACAGGTCCTGCAATGGCCCCACGCTGGTGGGCAGGCCCCAGGGAGCACTGACATTGAAGAGGTGGCTGCTACAAATTCAGAATTTATTTTTAAGGAGCAAATTTTTCAAGGGATAAAGGACAGCCAAGTTCAGAGTTCAGCAGATGTCAGAAAATCTAGGCTTCCTTGGGTCTTTGACAATCCAGGTTGCAGATCAAATTAAGAAACTGTATAATCTCTTCCTAAAAACTGATGCTACTCAGGTGATAGTGAATCCTTTTGGTGAAACTTGAGAAAGACAAGTTGTCTGTTTTAATGCCAAGGTAAACTTTCATGACAATGAAGAATTCTGACAACAGGACCTATCTGCTATGGATGACAAATCGGAGAATGAGCCTGATATGGTTTGGTTCTGTGACTTCACTCAAACCTTATCTCAAATTGTAATCCCCACGTGTCAAGGAAGGGACTCGGTGGGAGGTGATTAGATCATGGGGGTGGTTGCCGCATGCTGTTCTTGTGATAGTGAGTGAGTTCTCACGAGATCTGATGGTTTAAAAGTGTGGCACTTTCCCCTTCTTTCTCTCCTGCCACCATATAAAAAATGCCTTGCTTCGCCTTCACCTACTGACATGATTGTAAGTTTCCTGAGGCCTTCCCAGCCATGGAGAACTATAAGTCAATTAAACATCTTTCCTTTATAAATTACAGAGGTAATATACAGCAGTGTGAAAATGCACAAATACAGAGCTCATTGAATATGAAGTTGCCAGACAAGATATAAAATACATACGACTGGATGGGAACATTACCTGCTTTGTGAATGGTGCTGGATTAGCCATGGCTACTTGTGATACCATTTTCCTTAGTAGTGGGAAGCCAGTCAACATCTTGGAATCGTGGAGGTGTTGTAAAGGAAGCTCAAGTATATCAAGCATTCACATTGCTCGCAGTTGATCCTAAGGTTGAAGCCATCCTTGTCAATATTTTTGGTAGTATCGTCCACTGTGCTATCATTGCCAATGGGATCACCAAAGCCTTCCAGGCATTAGAATTGAAGGTGCTCTGGAATGAACCAATGTTCAAGAGGCCCAGAACATACTCAACAATAGTCTAACAGTGGACTCCCCATTATATCAGCCCAAGAAGGCTGTGGCCAGCATGGCCAATAAGTGATGTCTTTGTCCTGATCAGTTGAAGAAATAAAGCCCTTTTTTCCATAAAAAAATGGATTTCTCTCATCACTGTGAAGGAAATTATCTCATTGGGAAATGAAGGAGAAAAGTATGAACAAGAACCACTATCTGAAAAATCTGTTTTTTTGAGACAGAGTCTCGCTCTGTTGCCCAGGCTGGAGTGCAGTCACGTGATCTTGGCTCACTGCAACCTCTGCCTCCCAAATTCAAACAATTCTCCTGTCTCAGCCTCCTAACTAGCTGGCTCTACAGGCACACGCCAACACACCTGGCGAATTTTTGTATTTTTAAAGTAGAGATGGACTTTCACCATATTGGTCAGGTTGGTCTAGAATGTCTGACCTGGTGATCCACCTGCCTCAGCCTCCCAAAGTGGTGGGATTACAGGTGTGAGCCACTGCACCTGGCCTGTCTGAAAAATCTTAAACCTGTATTTTCTAGAATAAGATATCTAGACAGCCTAAATCTGATTTTATTTATAGTCTTTATAAAAATAACATCCTGCATTCTCATACTTTTCTGTTATGGTAAGCCTGCTCAATAGGCAGTGTTTTGCTGACTTTGGGAAGCAGTATATATAGACAAATATTGTGTGCATATTCAGAATTTGAAATCAGGTCCTGGTTCACTTACAAGAATTTTGGTGGACATCTAATTCTACATAATAAAAAAAAAAATCACAGGCCACAAAAAAATGCAGGCAAGATTATATTTAATGTATAAACTACCAAAAAGGCACAGCTAAGACATCCAAACGAAAAGCTATTATACACTACAGCAGCTTTTACAAGTTTTTAATTCCAACACATGTTTGTAAAATATGTGAGTATTCCGAAGTATATTTTACCGTGGAATGTCTCCATTAATATACCATATGTGTATTTCATCATTTTCCTTAATATTGAATATACTGTTTAGCTCACACTAAAAAGAAAGCCAGGAGACTTATTTGTGATTTTAGAGTAGGAGTTTCCATTTTAGTATCAAAACTGAAGAGTGCTGACTCTTATGGAAATCTCTATAATTAAGTCATTTCACGGTGAGACAATGCTAAAGATCAAATTGTGTTGAATATCAGAATCTTCTCTCCTCTCTCATCTCCCACCCCACACCACCCCTGCCCCCCAGAATCTACCAGCTTGTGGTAGAAAGATGGGAACATGTAATCCAAGGAAATGTGACTTCTTTTCCATGATGTCCATTTTACTTGTGGGAAAAAAATTGAGATAAGGTTTCTGTTCAACTTTTGGAAAATGTGTGTCTGTATACATATTTAAATGAAATTCTGTTTGTAAACTCTATAATAAAAATACTAATCCAAATACTAATAGCTAATATAGATATTAACTGTTTTTTAGATTATTACAAATATTATCAGTTTTCCTCTGTAAATATACTTGAGAGTCAGAAAGAAGGCAGAGTAAAACTGCAGTAGGTGCTGTATTTACACATTTCTTTCCCCTTTGTGAATAAATTATCTTTTTTTTTCCCTTCCATAATTCTGCCTCATTACTTTGCTCTGAGTAATATTTTTCTTAGGTAATTGGTTTCTTAGTCGGGGAGGTAGGTACTATTCCGTTGGCTAAAAGGAGGCTTAGAATATACCTTTTAAGAAGTCCTTTTGCTTTGATAAATATTGACTCTAAATATATTGCATGTTGATTATTATGGATCCAAAACAGTATAGGATAACATTATGATTTAAATTCTCATTTTAACAAATCTAATCATCTTCCAATGTCAAACAAAACAAATTAAAAAGTGAAAATAAAGCCATCAGCGTACAAATTATTAGAAATATGGTGGTACTCTATCAATGCCATCTGGAAAAATTGTTTATGTGAAATGGTATTTTTCCCTATTGGTGAGAGATTTTAGAAGTACACCCTATCAGCCACTTGTTATGGATGGAAAAATTATCTGTGGCAAAGATGTAAATAACTCCATGTTTTAGTTAGATAATCATGGGCAAAAAAGAAAAAAAAAGTGAATATAAGATGCAAGGAGCTCTGGGAAGTAGGCACAGTGTGAGAAGATTTTACTGACCGTTTATGGCCACCAGAGGTCATCCCCTGTAGAACATGCACAGTCGTCCAATTACCAGAGTAACCATGGTAATGGAAATGGATGTACCCGTAACATGCCATTGTTTTCCCCAAAGCTTCTCTAGCTATTTAATCTGCTGAATGTTTGACCCATCAACAACAGGAAACAGCTGTGAATATAACTTTTTCTACATGAATGCCAATCAGTTACTTAAGGACAAGTTGATTGCATCATTCATCTTTCTCCTTGAAGGAGGCACCAGCTTGCCTTCACTGTGATTGATACATATCCTTATATGGCCTGACCTTCTCTGACCACACCATCTCAGCCAGAACCACTATCTGAAGACTCACAGAGTGTCTAATTTATCAAACGTAGTGTCTCCCATTATATTATCTTGGCCCAAAGAACCTACTGCATAGTGAAGGATCATATCAATGGGCACATGACTGCAGGAACCACTAGTCTTAACATACGTCACATCATTAGGAAGCTGCTGACCTAATGAAACATTGAGATGGCTACTTAAAGGCATAACTAACACAGCAGGCAGGGATTAATTTCTGGCCTTATTAGAATGATTTCCTAGTTTCAGTGTGTAAACTCATGGCCTTCTGGGGCACTGTATCTTGGATAGAAAATATAGGTTCAGGAACAAAAGGATAGAAGTAGGAGAGACATCATGCCATTCTCACAATGTTTTGGTCTGGAAAGATTGGATAAACTATTTCTGGTAGCATGGTGGTCATAAGAGTACTTGTAACAGAGGAAAAAATAAAGTTCCTCCTGAAGTTATATCTGCTACCTGATTATTTTGGACTTCTCATACTAAGAGACCAGAAGTGTGTGTTTATGGATTTCATACTGAAAAACTGGAAGTTACCAATATAAAAACAGCAGTAATAGTTGTGTGTGGTAGAAAATATCAACCAAATAAAAAAGTAAAAACTTAATGAAACCATTGTTACTTTTATTTCAAAGGGCTAATCTTTCTGAAATAGAATGTGTATTATGTACATATTGTAATGCATTATAAAATATTTATATATTGTAATAATATATTCTTTATTACATATTGTATATACATTATACTGTGTATATATACATTGTGTTTATAATGTATATAAATATATATGTAAAATTCAAAATAAAATGGAGAAAATACTGGAAGAGATGGTTCCCCATAATGCAAACCAAATGGTAGTGATTCCTCCTATATAAACACTTAAAATCACATGGGAAGTCTTCCTCCTAGAATTACAAATTCAAAATTCACTGGCTCCCTATTTCTCATCTATAATATTGAAACTAATATAAAAATCTGACATCACACTTTGTTACTAAACCTGAAAGTAACAAGCATTCTTATCTATTGCTCGTGGAAGTGGAAAAACATACAATCCTGCAGAAGATTTGCCAAACAAACGATTGATGCCTTTAGTCTTCAACAAAGTATTCACATCACTGGAACTGTACCTTCAACATACTTCTGCACAAATATAAAACTTTACACTCATTGTGTCATTGTTGATATTAGCAAAATATTAAACAACAAAAAGTCTCTAGAGATAAAATTTATTAAATAAATTACAGTTCATGCACTCAACCCAGGAGCAAGTGGTCATTAAAAATGAAGAGGATGTCTCTAGAATTATAGGGAATGATCTCTAGAATATATTGTCTGGTGAAAAAAGCAAGATGCATAAGAGTGTATATGATTATATAATATGCACACTCAAAACATAGATTTGTCTATTATTGCCAAAAGAATATTGAAAAAAGTATCCACAAACTATAAAAGTTGGTTTCATATAAGAAGAGAAAATTGTTAAGAGAATAGGAAAAGTTGTGGTACTTTTCTGAGTACAGCAATATAATGTAGTCTTGCTTCTGCATATGTAAATGTTTACACACTGAAAATAAATTTAAATAGAAAGAATGAACAGTCTTAAAACTGCAAACAATTTACAATGAATAAATTTAACTCTATTTAAATTAGTACTATTACTGCCCACAATTAGTACTATAACTGCCTGGAGAAAAATATTTCATATTATTAAAGGATAAAACAAATATATAATGCTAGTGTTATTAAGAAATCACACTTTTAAAGCAAAAGGGAAAAAAGATGCAAATATAAAAGTCAAATAAATTACACACAGCCTCTGAAGATTACATTTGAATTTGAAGTATAAATTGATGCATTATTTTTAAAATGTATTTTTTTGCCCTGGTGGCTGAAAGATTCAGTGTAATTCTGCAACTTGATGCAATGAGACTCCAGTTGGGTTGCACTCCAAGAGCTCATATGCTTATTTCTAAATGTTATTTCTACTAAAAGAAACTGAGAAACTTGGTAAAAGATTGGTTTTACTACTGGAAAAGGGAAAATATAAACTAAGCCTGCCACATGTAAATAGGCAGAGAATATTGGAAGCATGTGGAAAAAAAAGAATACAGAAGCTAGGTTGACAATATTCCCACTGACCACATTTGTGACAATTTTGACAATTTGTGACAATTCTTCTAGCAATACAATAAATGCCTACTATTAACTGTAAAGTGTTGGTTAAATTGAATCGGTGAGTCCATAGAGATGTGTGTGTGTGCTTGTGTGTGTGTGAGAGAGAGAGAGAGACTTAAATACCACCACCAGAAGTGAACCCATTTCCTCACTTTGAAAATTGACAGTTGTAAATGAAATAATTAATCAGGAGGACTTACTGTTTTATTAAGAATTCAAATTCAATTACAGTTGAGAAAAATAGAGTATATCAGCTAATAAAATGTAAAAAATAATAAAATGTAGAAAATAAATTTGCAAGTACAAAAAAGTAATTGATTCAAGTGATAATCACTAATAATATGCTAAAAACACTCAATAAAACGTTGTCAGCTAAGAAGATATTTGAAAGATCACAAAGTATTAGCAAACATTATTTACCAATTGCAAGAGGAAATCATATCTTCGTAATGAAGGGATCTGGGAGAAACCAAACTGACAAAGTGTTCAACATTTTTTATACTTAAACACTGGCTAAGGGGACATTATATAACCTGCTGAGGTGATGTGATGTGAACCACATCGCATCACCTCCAAAAGATTCTTGACAAAATGTTTAATCTAGATATAATCTAGCATTTAGACCAGACTTCCAGTTTAATAAATAATACAAATTGTGGGAGACTTGATAAAGGCTGGCTATCCAATCATGATGACGAAAAAACGAATGGAAACTCTAATTAAATTAGAATAAAATAAATACCATAATAATAACATGCAACGTGTGTAGATAGATGGCTAAGACACATACCAAAAGGGTAACAGTTGCTAAGTCTTAATGCTTAGGATATCGGGGTAATGTTCTATTATTTCCAATTTGAACTATGTTATGAATTTTATTTATAAAAGTTGAAAAATTATAATTTCAAAACTCTTAAAACTGCTACAGGTGAACTATATTTTTAAGCAAACTATTGCACTTTAATATTTTTAAATTAAGGTTTAATTCACATACAATTCACTCTTTTTGGCATATAGTCCTGCTAATTTTGACAAATGCGTTGAATCACATAATTAACACCACAATCAAAAAGTAGACTTGCTCTCCAAAATTCCCTATTGTTCCTTGTTAGTCCCCTTCCCTACATCCAAATACTGGCAACTATTGATCTTTTTTTCAGAAACCGTAGTTTTGTTTTGCAAGAATATCAAATAAATGGAAACATACAGCAGGTACCTTCTGAATTTTTCTTTAATAAAAGATCATGTCCAAATCAAGTTATCTCTTCATCAAATCTTTCTCATTTATTATTTGTTATTATTTATTTTTTTCTGGTCTTTTATTTCTAGCTAAATGATTTACAATAACTCTAACATCAGAAATGATTTAGTATAGCACTCACAATGTACAAAACGTGTTCAGCTGACATTAAAGAGTGATAATATAGTACTTTCAGTGTAGAAATTATTGATCAGGATTTTCATATTGTGTGTAATGTAAAATTGGGGGGATACTGAAGCTCACTGTGGAACTGCATAGCATGCAAGTCTCCGACTGAAATAAATGAAATATTACATAACAGGAAAACAGACATAAGTTAGTCATTTGTTAATTTAATCATTTTATAGCTTAGAGTTGAAATTTGTTTTCTCAAAAATTCAAATCAACAAGAGGCATTGTCCAGAGAAAAAAAATTACTTTAAATCAAAAATTTCACTTTAAAATGAACCTATGCACGTATTTGCAACCACAATTAAAAATATATTATTGAAAATAAAAACTAAGAACACGATAGAATTTAATAGCTTTTAGATAAAATATGGGTGGTTTAACATCTTCAACTTTTCTAAACTTCATGTTTTAATTCTAGTTATAACTAAAACTAGTGTTCCATAGCATCAAAATATTCACAAGTTTCTCTCAATTCTCTGAGATTTTTTAGACATTTTAGTCAGGAGATCAAAGGAGACCCAAATAACTTTTATGAAATATGGACACTATTCTCAGAATCTCTCTGTTTCCTATTTTTTTCCTCCTTATCTAGAAAGCCTAAATTTTCCATCACTTGGTTTATTTTCTCCAATTGTCCAGCATTGTTTTCTAAACTGAAGTTATTGATTATGTGTATACCTTCAAGTTGATGGAACACTAGGACAGTGATCCAACGACTGAAACGTCAATAAATGGAGCTTAGTGATTCCGGAGTCACAGAAAGCACATTATAACCTAATTTGTGGAAGGAGACTGTAAAAATGTTTAAGTTTGGCCACACAAAGTGATAGGATTCCAGTCATGTTTCCAGAGAATTAATTTATTGAATACAGAAGGTGATGATTGGGGCAGCTGTGAAGGAAGAGAGAAGGAACAGAGGAAGGAGAAAAGAAAGAAAAGAAGGTCGACTTCCTATATAGCAGTAACTATAAGAAATTTGAATTGTTTATTCAACAAAATCCTCACAGTAATTTTTTTTTTTTTTTTTTTTTGGGACAAGCGTCTCACTCTGTTGCCCAGGCTGAAGTGCAGTGGAACGGCTCAATCTCAGTTCACTGCAGCCTCTGCCTCTCAGGTTCAAGTGATTCTACTGCCTCAGCCTCCCCAGTAGCTGAGATTACAGGCCTGCACAACCATGTCCAGCTAATTTTTTTTAATTTTTAGTAGAGACAGGGGTTTCACCATGTTGGCCAGGCTGGTCTCGAACTCCTGACCTCAAGTGATCTGCACGTCTTGGCCTCCCAAAGTGCTGGGATTATAGGCGTGAGTCACTGCACACAGCCTTCACAATAATCTTATGAAAGCATAACCAACTGATTAAAAGCTTGGCCTCTGAACATTACTGCCTTGTTTTAGTCCCTGACTTCATTGTTTTGCTGTGTTAATTTGGGAAATTTACTTAACCTCCCTGGGATAGTCTCCTCACCCATTTAGTGAGGATACATTTAATAGCTTTTAGATAAATTATTGATGATTTTATAATTCTTTATCTCAATTCCAAAATCCAATCAAATCTGAACACTAAATCCTTTATCTACAATTCCAAGCAAACCTGAAACAAATAAGCCTCAAACTCAAGAACCTTTCACAACTCACTTGGCAGCAAAATGAGACGTAATCTGAATTCATTTGGTGGCAAGACCTGACCTGAATTAACATGAGACGCTTTAGAATCTTAATTTATGCCACTTAGTGTGACAATCTATGTTTCACTGAAGAAATATTAGTATAATTGCTAGTATTTGTTCCAAGTTTAAAGACACAGAAATGAATTAAATCACTTATGCTAATTTCCAAGGATTGAGATTTATTTAAAATAGTCTTTCCTCTTAGAGATTCATAAAAATTTATGTAATTTAAGCATTATTCAAAAATGAAATGTGGAATAAAATTACCGTAGAGGCTATGGTTGGTTTGGAAAGTAGTATGTGAAACTAAATGGCATTAATGTTGCTTGATTTTATTTACTTTGTTGTTCTTATTTACTTATGTACTTATTTTTATTAAGTAATAAATAAATACATGTGTACTTAATGTGTATGTGTGTGAGTGTGTGTGTGTAGTTTAATGTTAATTTTCCTGAGTGTGTTTGTGTGTGTATTTATTTATGTGTTTGGTCATTTTTATATCTGGAAAGTGAACAGGCTACATTTAAGGAGATAAATCTGTAGAAGATGTATCAAGGAAATTCTAATTCAGAGATTTATTGTGATAAATATTAAAAGATGTACAATTTCAATTTACCTATTTTTGAACATTATATTAAACTATCTATTATTAATTATTTTCCCACAATGTAGTGTTTTATGTGTTTTTGACACAAGGCTTTCTTTTTCATAAAATAACTTATTTGACTGAACAAGAACATTCAATTTAATAAGTTTTCACACTGCATTTAATAGGATATTAGAGGTCTAAGTGAAGGTTTTTTAAAAAACATAACAATTTGTATTTTTCTACTAAAAAATAAACATATGACATTATTTGGTTGATATTTTCATTATGACACTGCTTTGTCTGGTTACTAGGTACTAGTTTCTTTGCAAATCACATGTATGGAGCTAAAGCCAGGTAAATGGCTTAAAACCACCTGCATTTTTATGTGAGAAAATTATTGACATATTAAAATAGAAATCTTTAATTCCAACAGTAGCGCAATATAAACATTTTGTATCCAAATGCTTCCATCATGAAAAGTTCCCCATACTGAAATAGAAGTATTATTTTTAATTTAATACAGATAACTGGATTTTGGATATCTTCTTTAATTTTAGATTTATTCTTTGTCTCCAACTTCCAGTGTTTCCGCATCACTCCCTATCAGAAAATATGTCTCAGGATTTTTTGCAATCGATTTTTTATTTATACAGCACAGTTAAAATCTGTATGTACACTTTTGAAAACTTTTAAAACAAAATATTGTTCTTATATTTTTGTTGATTTTTTTAATAAGCTGTCAAATGATTTTGAATTTTAGAATGTGCTAATGAAATAATTAACTATTCCCAGAATTGTAATATCAAGTGGTGGTTTTGTTTTTGAATGGGATATACAAATATATATGTCATGAATTCTGCACAAAATAGGTAATAAATGTATAAATCCAGATGTTAATTCAATAGAAAAATAGCGAGAATACAATGTAATGTATTGTACCATGTAACGTATAATGTAATGTAATATAAAGTATCCACTGCCTCATTCTAATTTCAGACTTTTAACCATAGTTTCTAAGTACTGGTAATATCTTTATGAGACTAGTATTTTAGTGTAAAAACAATGTAATAAAAATATTGTTTTGTGATATTTATCTTCAATTCATACTAAATGTAAGGTGGTTTCCTGCTTTGTTTTCTTTACATTTCAGTAGTAATTAAGCCTGAAGAGTCTGCTAGTATTCCTCTTAAAATAAGATGAATATTAAGTCCCTAATTGATTAAAAAAAAAGCTTCAAAGGAAAGCATTAATTGAGTAAACCTTTTTAAAACATTTATTCAGAAAAAAGAAGAACTCAATATTTATAGTACAAAATTCCACACAGATATAAAAAGAAATTTTCTTAGGCCAGAAGTTCGAGGTCATTTAACTTTGCCAAGGTCTGGAATTTTCTCAAACATACTTGAAACTAACTCGGATAAGTTTGAGTGTCCATCAAATTTTTACAAGAGACATGAGTTGAAATTACCTGTCATAATAATGGGTATTTATCAAAATGAATTTGGATCGCTTCTTTAATTTTAGATTTATTCTTTGTCTCCAACTTCCAGTGTTTTTGCATCACTCCCTATCAGGTTTCTCTCACTTCTATTTTTGAGAGCATATAGTTTTGTCATCGTCTAAAGTGAGAGTATTATTAGTCTCCTTAGAATCTTTTTTCCTCTGGAAAATTATGACATTTAAAAAAATTACCAGATTTCAATATCTCTCTAATAATAGGAATTCTAAAATAGGAACTAGGAATTGCAATACCTATTCTCTTGATGTGCTGGATATTTTCTTTTTGCCCTTCCAGACCTCCTCTTTATCCTTTTTCATCCAGCCTGTGACCTGAGCCTCAAGATGAGACAAGATGTCATTAAGCTTTCTGCTTTCTTATTCTCACTAAATTCAGTCCACCACAAGAACCAAGAGGAGACCAGAAATGGGAAGACAGTGAAGCCAGGACATTCATACTAGGACTTTTCCCTACCTTTTGCCATGAGTTATCCATGTCCCTCTATGGGAGGTGGTATTGCTTGTGAGATAGCCTCTTCAGGTTATGTGACCACTCCCTTTATCTCCCTCTGCTTCCTGGTATTGCAAAGGCTAAGTACTTTGCTGCTCTTTGTCAGTTTTCCCTTTCCTTACGCACAACTTTGGAAATGGTCCATTTATCCAACTTTCTTTTAGCAATTACCCCACTTACATATGCAAACTTTTCCAGATGAAACTTTACTATTGCAACTACTTAACCTGTGATGGGTTGTTGAAAACAAAGCTACAAAACCAGCTACAAAAACAAGCTAAGTTCATATCCACAAGAGTTAATCTTACATTCCAAACTAAAAATATTTAAAAATATATACATAATCTTAATATTTTAGGTTGAGAAATAATTCCAGGCTATAAATATAAATCTTCAAAAGTAGATCTAGCTTTGTTTTCTTTCAGAGCAAGTTGCCCTATCTTAGCATGTGTGTTGAATATTCTGTTTTGCCCCCCAAATCTAATCACATTTCTTTATCTTTCTGTGTGTCCTGTGCCTGATGTTGTCCCAGTGTTCCATTTGAGTTCTCTTGCTCTCTGCTTCTAGCTGATGTTGGTCAATGGCTAGCATCAACAGCTGATAAGAAAGAAGTAAAAAGATACATAGGGATATTTATTCTGGATGCTCCTTCCCTGTAATTTTTCAGTCCTAAGGAGGGTTAAAAGTTTGCCAGTATTGCGAGATGCTGGATGCTTCAGCACCCTTTGATGTTTCCCTTAGCCCTACCCACACTTTAGTAACCATCTTTTCCATAAATGCTATTCAGTTACCAGTTGGTGTTTGCCATCACTTTCCTCCCAGGATTTTGAACAAGTTAGCATGTGATTCATTTACAAATTGATTTTTTAAAAATATGATGTTTGCATCATAAAATAATGTAGTGGTTTTCCTTTTATATGGTATGGGAGTAGAAATTTTTAAACTTATAAAATAGACACCTTTTGTATTCCACAGTCATAAAAACAATCTAAAAATTTTATTTTTACCCCCAAATTGCCTTAAATCTAAAATGCAACACACAATATTTCAAAAACAACAATTAAAAAATAAGCCAACATGAACACAAACAGAGGATTCCTATCAAGGGAGTTGAGAGCTAGGATGATTGTATGTCCAGATGTTTCATTTTACACAGTATCAAGACTAAATTCACAACAGTTTCCCTGTTCACTGTATAATATATCCCACTAAGACAGTTAGTTTTATGGTCACTGTAGTCATATTACAGTATTATTTTAATATATTAGAAAACATGATATATATTGTGTATTATTTATATCATTTTTAGGCTAAGGTAATTGCTGAAGTCACAAGTTGGATTCATTTTTCTTTCAAAGCTATCAAGAAAGTTGTTTTAGATTACATATAAGTTCTCCCCCAACATGGGTGAGTCTGTAATTCAGGGTGAATGATCTGCAAAGATATAAGGCAATATACTTATTATGTTAATTTTCTTCTTTTGAAAAATAATTATGTACCCTTTTGTGGCATGCAATAAATTATGATGAATGCTAAAGTTTATTTCAAAAAGATGTAGATTTTAATGAAAAATGGATGTGTCTGCAATAAAACTTCTGAGGGTACACTAAATTTGGCATATGTTTAATAAATATGATAATATTGGGTTTGATATGATTCTAATTTAAAACATCAAATGATTTAAAAACCTAGACCAGCTTAAAAAATTATCACAAACTTCAACACTCCTATATATGAACCTTTAACTTATATTTTATATAAACCCAAAAAATAAAAATTAAAAAGCACCCTACCTATATAAATGTTTGTCAGTTTCTTCTCCCCTTGTAGAGATGATTTGTTAGTCATCCTGCTTAGAGAAATATTTTGAATTTCCAACAATTATTTTAGTAGGCTTTGGGAATCTAATGTGATTGGAGGAGATTCAGCATTCCTGGTGTAATTTAAGAATAATTGTGACAAGTACCCTTTGACACATTATATTTAGTAAATGCCTTAAAATGTTTGAAGGGTGTCAAAATATATCAATCTTTTCAAATATAAAACTCTGTCAAAGACTAAGAAGGTAACAATTAAGGTGATGTAGTTCTTGAAGTTATATAACAAATGGCTTTCACATGTTCATTTTTAAAATCAGTAGGAGTGTATCTTCAGATGCAATTCATTAATACATTCTTAAAATTAAACGCCACCGTTGTCCTATGTGAAAAAGATATTCCATTTCATTTCTTGTAAGTTTTTTCTCCCCCTCACTTTAGATGCATGAAATTAGTAATGACTTTTATAATGCATTAAACAGCTTTGGTCTTTAGAAAGAACCATATCCATTCTATGTTAAAGTAAAATAGTTCAAAATTAGATGAAAGCATCTAATTTCATTCTTCATATGGATAAGCGTGCTGGTTTTCTATTTGTTGCTTCTAAGCTCCAAATTTATTCTTTTTACCTACTCTGTTAAAAAGAAAAGTGCCTTTTTTTTTTTCTTTGCCAGCTGACAATGAAACTGTGTCAGTGGAGGGTGCTAGTGAGATATTAAAGCCTATTAAAAAAAGAAAAAGAACTCTGCTTCCTGGTTCTGCTGTACTCACTTGGCAAGTTCCTGAGGCATATATGGCTTCCTCCCACACGCGGTTCCTGCTATTCCCACAGCTTATCCAGGGGACTCGGCTCCTGCAACACATTGTGGCCATCAATACCCAGTGGCTACCAGCTCCCCTTGGCATCCAAATTTGGGCAATTTTGTAGCAGAACACCTCCAGAGAAGTTTCTCATGAACAGCCTTCCCTGGCATACTTGAGGGCAGACTTCCAGCCAGCTCCATTAACATGGTACCACAGCAACTTCTTTGCCATCCAAGAGCCACAGGCACATCCTCGATCTTATCCTCAGAGACATAGCTTTTCCTTGGAATATTGGTTGCTTCTCATATCTGCTGTTCCTATATTCTTCACAGTTCGCATTACCTCTTAAGAAGCAATTCCCGCATTACTTAAATCTTCTATGTTAAAAACTGTGTAATTTTCCTGTTCAAATTACTGTGCGGCTTCTGTTTTTCCCTTGGGCGCAGACTGAGTCAATAAGTAATTTGGCAGCACGATTCATTAATTGTCATTTATTTCTACACTTATCTGAATGCTTATTTATACTAAAAGATCTGGGAAAGAATGTTCATCGTAGCCCTATTCATAAATATCCAGACAAACAAAAAGGAAACAACACAAATATCTATCAAGTTAGAATGAATAAGTGAATTTCATGCCAATTACAATGTCACATGTTATAAAGGACAGTTTACCAATTGTTTTCCCAGCAATTGGATAATACTCTGTCTCTCTTGAAGGAGGGCAATGTGTCTTGAAATGTATAGATAGTAGGCGAGGTTAGTTATAACTTCGACACACACTCTAACAAATAGATCTTGGCCGTTGACCTAGGTATATCCAACCATTTGCCTACATGCGAGTCTGTGAATGTTGAGGTAATAATGAAAAGTCTTGTCATTTAGAATTTATTCCAAAAGCGTCCTGAAAATCTCCAGTAGCAACAGCACTACATAGGACATCGTAAGCATTCAGAGTCTGAGACACATAGGATTCACTGGGGTACCACTGGGTGCTTCCAAATATGGTGACAAAAATCAACCCGCTAAAGGGCTAGTCAAAGGTGAGAGTTATGGTTTATTAAGAAAGGAAATAAATTATAATTACAGGCTTGGAAGTAGTTCCAACACAGGGATTCTAGCTTGTGGACCTAACCTTCATTTTCACATCATTTTTAGAGATTATGGGTAGAGATCACATTAGGGCCTCCATAACAGAGAGGATCAATCAATGTAGCATGAGCACATTTGAATGTTAAAATGGGTAGACAATCAGCACTGTCTCAGCCTCCTCTGAGTGCGGTTGAAGCCACATATTCCATGAATTCTGAGCTTTCTACCTCCAATACATGTGCCTCTCCGCTCCTGCTTATCAGATTCAGCACTTCCTACAGCACCAAGAGAGCTAGCCAGGTCCCCTAGTTTTAGTCCGAGAATGCTTGGAATTTAATGTTGCCAGAGTCAATATTCAACTAGTGAGAGGCAAAAAAAAAAGCAGAGGCTGGATATTTTAATCTTCTCATCTTTCCTTAGAACATTGCTGAGGTATACAGTTTCTCTGACATTCCTGGGAAGATTGAGCTTCAGTTGCCCATCTCATTAAACCACTCACAAAATTACCCTTTATTGGTAATTCTTCTCTCTGTTACTTTATTCTACTCTCTCACTTCTACTTCCTGGATCACTTACCAAAAATATACCTATGCATAGTCTTTGTTTCAGAATTACTTCTGGGTAAAACTAAACTAAGATGACTCTAGTTGTGCTGCAAATATAACAATAAACTTACATTAAATATTAATTCGGGTTCTAAAACTACATACCTATATATTGGTGCATCAACTTCTTTTCAGCACATAGTTTTTTTGCTTTCTTCTTTGCAATTTCAATGTCTCATGTCAGACCTCCCCATACTGTGCAAAGTGAAATATTCAAAATCCCATGTAGCCACATTTAGGATTTGTCTCTAACAGGTATAGTTATATCATTATAACATTTCATCTTTTAATATAAAAGTAGTAATTCCTCTTGTTTTGGGGACATAATGTTAAAATTGCTGCTTTTAACTTTTAGTTTATTTTTGAAAAAGGGATCGAAAATCACGTACTAAGACCGGGAACTAATCTCTCAAAAACCGAACAAATTTAAAGGAAAGTCCATTGCTGTCAATAACCATCCCATTAAGAATGCATGAATGGGTAAAATCAGGTTATTAATGACGGTTCTCAATGTAAATATTAGCATGTTCTAATAATATGTTATTTTGTAATCAGAGACATGATAATAGCTTAATCGGGAGTTTATAGAAATCTAATTTTGATAGAAAATTATATTAAAATTATGAATGACAACTCTGTTTTGAGTCTATATATGTACACTGACTATAACTACATAAGACAGATGAGAGTAATTTTTTTTTTCAGAAAACCTAGGGTAACCTGGAATTTATATATAGTTAAATGTAAACAAAATACGTGAAACTGTATTAAGTGACAGACAATTTTAATTATCTTTTAACTATCTAGGAAAAGCAAAGTTCTGGAAATAAATACTTCAACAAATTAATATTGACTATTTTCATTACTGGGACTTTGGAGATTATTTCATTGTAGATGTCTATATTTTCTGAATTTTCTTAATAAACTTCAGAGTATGTAACATGTTTTTTAACAGTTTTAGGGTAGACATGATTAAATAACTATTTAATTTATAAATATGTATTTGACTATCTAGCAACCATTTTTCTCTTCTGAAACTAAAATGCATTCTGTATTAATCTCTGAATGTGGCTCTCTTTTTCCATCTTGTATCTCTTATAATATTGGTGTCCAATAACACTTTCTGCAATGATGGAAATATTCTCATTTCTGTTCTGTTCAGTAGAGTGGTTACCAGCCAGTTATCATGAGCCCTTGAAGTGTGGCTGGTGTGACTGAGCACTAAATTTTAAATATTTTAATAAATTGAACTTTAAATTTAAATAACTATAGGTAGCTAGCAGCTACCATATTGGACAGTACGTTTTTCTGTGACTAAAAAACACGTGCAAATAATAACTTTGAATTACAATGAGAATTGAGGTTAGAAAAGTAGAGGTTGATCTGTTATTAAATATGAAAACATCCTGAGCCCAGAAAATACAAAGTCCATTTAACTGACACAATTCAGGTTTCATTATTTTTCTGGTGTATTTCATCAGCAGATTTGAATACTAAGGAATTTCTTAATGGCTATTAAATATGCACTGTATGCCTGCGGATTTTACTTTTATGTTTTGTGGTTTGGAAGTGCAAGTGGGGTTTGAATTCACAGTAAAACTTAATGTACCTTTGGGAATGAACGCAACTGTGTTTCTAGTTGAACACATTAAGATATTGAACTATTTTATTGAACTAATAAAAACTCGAATATTAAGTTAAGCAATATGTCATTGTATGCTTAGAGGAACTGAAAGAATAGTTTAATTTAATATTGAATACTTTAAAACAAGAACACATGTATTACAATTTAAAATGGTTATTATTGCTGCTTCAAATGAGCTAGTAAGTTTTACACCTATGTGAGCAGATTGAATTCTCTAGAAAATGTTCAGCATAAGAGTTTTTCTTTCTATATCTACATCCTGTATAGATATAATTTTTAGTATATATAATATGCAATTTTTGAATATATAATATGTAATTAATTATATAGTTATTTCACTAAGGTATCACTGTAAAATAACATTTCCTATTATATATGCAAATTACATGGGTGCACCTTACCATATTCATCACAGAAATGAAGGAATTCACTTAGTGGGCAAATATTATTTTTACTCTCCATGATATAGTATTAGGAGAACAGCATACTGAGAGTTTTATATTTCTTATTTTTGTAATATTAAGTAAATCACTGTAGCATTCCTGAAAAGTGCTTGGAAAATGTTAATTAATTAGATAATTTTGTGTTAATCTAAGATTTCAAAGGGGATAATGAATTAAATTTTAGTATAAATAATAATCCTATATGTTATGTATCTGTATATGTATAAGGAAGGTTTAATTTTAAGAAAAGTATGGAGTATGTATATCTTTGGAATATTATAGTAGTACATTTATTTACTTTATATGCATCAATTTGGTTCCTTTGCTTTAGTGTAATGTTATGCTTCAGGATAAATTAAATTTCTTTAGAAAAGCTAATAAGTGAAAAAACCTGGTAACTATGGGTGCTTCTTAGACCTTTAGCAGCATCTACTTCCCAGACACATTTGTCATAAGTGATCTGAATACATTTTTTGATGTTTTACTGCTAACATGTTTCAACCTTCATCCTGCTCTCTTTCCCTTCCACCTCACATCTGGGAAAGCTAAGAAAGCCTGGATGTTCCTTTCTTTGGCACTAGTGGGGGTTCAAACAGTGTAAGTGCCTGCCCATATGGGAATCCCCACTCTGGCCCTATCTTCTGACCATGAGAGAAAACCCCAAACCAGTCCTCTTTCCCTGCTTTCTCAAGCCATTTCTGGAACTGCTTGTGAGCCACCATGCTCTCTCCAGAAAGCCTCTCTTTGTGAGTAATACACCTTTTCATACTCTTAGTGTGTGTGTGTGGCATCATCCACTTCTACAACTCAACCAAATTTTTGAGTTGTGGTATATCCTATACATTAATAGTGGTGGCAACAATCGGCACAATTATCTGGGTAGCTAGTGATGACTACCGCCACTGGTGAGCCTTCTTCCCTTGTTTGGCTTGCCAACTGGCTTGGCTGCCTGCTGGCGAGCCTGCAGTTGGAGCTGTTTCTTGCTGGCAAGCTTGCACTCTGAACTGTGCTACTTTGCGCTGAAAGTATTTTTTGCTGAATTCTACCCAGCCTCTGTTCCAGATTTAAAACTCCAAAGTCATAAATTTTGATAACTTCTATTTAGGAACAGAAGGATAGAATTGAATCTCTTCTTACAGTGCCCCTGGGTCATATGTCTTAGCCTGGACCTATTTGTGTATCTTAGATGCAATTTTTCATCTCAATTCCAGCTTAAGCCTTGTCTGACATTAGACTCAGGCGAATGACCCTTACCCTATGACCACTGCTTTTGTGTCTCAACCTGGAGCCGGCTCCATTTAATAGAGAGTTCAGGTGAAAGACTTACACTGTGTGTGATATATGGTCCCATCAGATGGTTGGTTGTGTAGAGAGGAGGCAGAAGAGTCAGTATTTAGATTTCTGAGTTCCACTTTCTTAAAAGCAGAAGGATAACTAGAATTCTATGAAATAAATTTTATTGTTTCTGCTGCTACCTATGTCTCTATCAGAAAAAGATCTTGAGTTTCAGGATTATAAGAAAGCATATATGATACCCCTGTGATGCAGCTAAGAGTTTAATTCAGCCATTTTTATTAGGGAGGTGTTTAACCCTGGTGATATTGATTCCAGCCTATTTGAAGGAAGAAATATAAATATGAGCTGGGTAACAGTAATTATAAAAAGTAAAGAAAATAATAAGAAAATTCTACCTAAATAGAAATCTAAGATTTGCTACAATAATGTATGTAGCTAACTGACAAAAAGGCACAGATCGGCTTTTGTACTTCTAAGACATAGGTTCTAATTTAACTAGCATCTGCCGAAATGCACAACTGAAAAGGTTTCATGGCCTTAATTAACATTGAGGCTCAATTTACATTTGTGCCTCGGGATTCCACTAATTTTAAATAAGGTATCCCTCTAATCTTAGGGGATTATGGAACACAAAATAGGGAGCAAATAGATATTCCTCACCTTAACTATTACATTGCCTTGCCTAAATCCTTCATGGTTATGGTACCCATTGCCCTAAAATGTTCTTGAGTATGGCTAAAGACACTTTGATCAAATGAGTAATGAATTAAGATTAAAATAAGTCTTTGGCACTTGCAAATTGGCTTGAAAAAAAATGAGACCCCATTGTTCTTCCACTACGTTAAAATAGTTAACATGGTGCATTGTAAAGTCAATCAAGGATTGAAATCAATCATAATAGGCCTATTCAGAGAAAGGGTGATTCGTTTCATTACTTCCACATTTATAGCCCAAGCTAGGCTCTTCTTAAACAGTTGATTACCACAAGCTTAACACCACTTAATGCTATGAACCAACATCCTCTCAGATGAAGAAACGAAATATGCTTTTACCTGTGTACCCATGGGATACTTCAGCAGCTTCGATGTTGTACACAGTCTTTACTGGCAGGATCTTAAACATGCCCAACTTTCTCCAGGAGCACAGGTGTAAACTTACTGATAACATCCTCCTCCAGAGGAGATTCATTTGACACGCCCATTCAGTACACAAAGATACTCAAAAAGGAGTTCAAAAAATAAAATAAAATGAGGCATTGCCCCATACATAGCACAAAGCCCACTATCCTGTTCAGAGTTCTGAAAATTATTTGGTAAACTGAGGGACACTCCATCCCTGACACTATCAAAAAAACACTATTGACCTTTTTATCACCCACAATGTTAAAACAAGCCAAACATCTTTTAGGCATTTTTTTGTGCTCTGGAGGCAAAATATTTATCATTTACAAATTTTGCTTAAGATTATTTATGTTGTCATTCATCATTACTTGCAAATCAGCCTAGCTTGCAAACAACCCCCTCCAACAAAGGGTGCTAAACATCTGTAAAAATCACAATAAAACAGCCACTCGATTTGTGTCCCCAGAGACTCCTTCACTATAGCATCTTTATAAACCTTCTCTCATGGTTCCCAGAGGCTTTGTTCTATAAGTTTATCACAATATTTTGTGTATGAGTTTCTTATGCAATAAATTGTGCTATCTGGCCTCACAGTATAGGTCATTAGAGAGGCAATTCCTGGTCACATACTGTACTCTCTTGAAAACAGAGGCCCTTCCAGACCGGAGATCCTTGACCCTTCCTACCCAGCTACCTACTCTGCCTTAGGTCATGGAAGAAGCAGCCCAAAAGCTTAGCACAGCTATTGAACTCCCTTGCTATTGAAGCTCTCTTTGCTCAAAGATGGAGCAAAATGTGATCCTTCTTTCACATCTCACCTGCAATAGGAGGTAGCCTCCACTTTCTTTGACAGATATTATGTTGCTGGAGAAGGTCATCCTCAGTCCTCTTGGCTACCTAGGGAGCCCCCTGGGATCAACTGAGTTAATAACAAATGGAGTTACTGTAATGTTCAGATGGCATCTGGAGGAAACCAAATATTTCATCCCAAAATATATTTCTTTGAGTTATGTTGAGATGGCTGTTCTGAGGGCCTGCAAACAGTAGTAGCCCTGCAAAACTGTCTTTTGTGGGGGAGATTTGCATCTGTGGAGAAAATAGGCATTATGCAACCAGGCTTTCTCTGAAGGCCCTCCCTTGTCCAGATCTAGGAAAGATTAACTGAAGGTCTGATAGCTTTGAAGACCTAAAAGAAACATTTACCATATTTTCTCCCTGAGGGTTAATACCTGTGAGAGATTTCATCTGCTTTACAAGACAAGACCATATTTGCTAGACAGGCATCCTCTTGTTTTCCGTCCCACAACCTGTTTTGCTGCCGTAACCTGTATTGTCTTGCTCCAAGGCCCCCATTTTTTTTCTGTAACTCCTGTGCATGTTAATACATTTGTAAGCTTTTTCCTTTTAATCTGCCTTTTGTCAGGTGACTTTTGAAAAAACTTTCAGAAAGCAAAGGGAAGCCTTGGCACCTACACATTGCCATCATCACATGTGATGGAGCTCATGGAGAATTACTGCTTTCCATCCTTTAACTAGGACATCCTAATAAAGATGGGACCCAAGGTCAGCACAATTAAGGTGATTTTTGATAGATGATCAAAAACTAACAGTGGCATATTGATACAACTATATAATATACCTATATGTATATATGTCATTGCTAAGCAAAAACAAAATTACAACAAAACAGAAACACAGCAACAAAAATCTCTATTACACGCAGCAACATGAATGACTCAAAAATATGCTGACCAATAGAAAATACACAAAACAATATGTACGTGAAAGCTCACTTTTGTTTTTTAATATGTAATAACAGCACTATTTTCTGTAGAAAATATTCTCATATGTAGGAAATATATACTTTGCAGTTTCATAATACGTGCAACGTGCAGAAAATATAAAATGGTTCAGCCATGTCATTAAATAAATGAATAAATAAATGATACACTGATAGATGTAGATGTATAGAGGCAAATATAACACAATAATTACCAATTTTATAACCTATCTACTTTTCTTTTTTTTTTTTTGAGACGGAGTTTCACTTTTGTTGCCCAGGCTGGAGTGCAATGGCGTGATCTCAGCTCACTGCAACCTCCGCCTCCTGGATTCAGGTGATTCTCCTGCCTCAGCCTTCCTGAGTAGCTGGGATTACAGGCATGCGCCACCACGCCTGGCTAATTTTGTATTTTTAGTAGAGACGGAGTTTCTCCATGTTGGTCAGGCTGGTCTCGAACTTTCGACCTCAGACGATCCGCCCGCCTCAGCCTCCCAAAGTGCTGGGATTACAGGCGTGAGCCACCACGCCTAGCCTAACCTAACTACTTTTTTAACTTTTCTGACTTTACTAATATTTATAGTACAATTGGAAGGAGTGTAAGAGGAAAAGTAACCAATTTCAATTAATTTGTGAAAGTGAGAACTCAGATAATATAAAAAACCAATAGATCTGAATAATTTTATATTAAACTATACATTGAATATTTAGAATAAAAAGCCTTTGTTTTTTATACTTTGGGGTTTTTTTGCTTACTCTTAAATTGTGTAAGTCCATTCAGACGAAGATTTTATTTTTTTTATATTTATTTATTTATTTATTTTTTCGAGATGGAGTCTTACTCTGTCGCCCAGGTTGGAGTGTAATGGTACGATCTCGGCTCACTGCAACCTCTGCCTCCTAGGTTCAAGCCATTCTTCTGCCTCAGACTCTCGAATAGCTGGGATTACAGGCATGTGCCACCACACCTGGCTAATTTTTATATTTTTAGTAGAGACAGGGTTTCACCACATTGGCCAGGCTGGTCTCAAACTCCTGACATCATATGATCCTCCTGCCTCAGGCCTCCCAAAGTGCTGGGATTACAGGCGTGAGCCACCGCACCCTGCCTGCCCATACAGAGATTTTTATACATAATAGTTATATTGGTTTTTTTAATTTCATGTCTTCTATACCATATATTTAACTTTCCTCCATTTTCTTCTATATGTAAAGTTATCATCTTCTGAGATTTCTTTATTCTGTTCAAAAAATTCACTTCATTTCTGCTTTGACCACAAGATGTCTCCTGCCGCATTGACTTCAGTAAATGGTAATTTAAACTGCTAGTAACACCATATTTAATAACATTTTATTTTTAAAATTATATATATCTTAGTGGTGATTCTCTACAGAACCTAGAGAGAATTCCTTTTGAAATAAATTGATTAGAAAAAACTTACCCCTTTTTCACTTAACATAAAAAAACTGCATGACCTCACTCATATGTAGAATGTAAAAACTGCATCTCATGGAAGTAGAGCGTAGAATAGTGGTTACTAGAGGATGGAGACGCAGAGAGGATGGACTGACAGTGAGACATTGGTCAATGGATTCAAAGCCACAGTTAGACAGGAGAAATGAGTTCTGCTGGCCTATTGCATAATGAGATGACTAGTTACCAATAGTGTATTGTATATTTTTAAATAGTTAAAAGAGAGGTTTTTGAATGTTCTCATCACAAATAAATGGTAAATGTGTTTAAGATAATAGATATGCTTCTTACCCTATTTTGATCATTATACAATTTATATATATATGGCAACATCACATTGTACCCCATAAATATGCACAATCATTGTCAATTATATTTTTTCTTTCCTTTTTGTTCTTTCTTTCTTTTTTTTTTTTTTTTTGAGATGGGGTCTCACTCTGTCGCCCAGGCTGGAGTGCAGTGGTGCCATCTCAGCTCACTGCAACTTCCACCACCCTGGTTCAAACAATTCCCCTGCCTCAGCCTCCTGCCTCCTGAGCAAAGTAGCTGGGATTAAAGGCACATGCCACCCCGCCTGGCTAATTTTTTTGTATTTTTAGTAGAGACGGGGTTTCACCATGTTGGCCAGACTGCTCTCAAACTCCTGACCTCAGGCAATCCACCCGCTTTGGCCTCCCAAAGTGCTGGGATTACAGGCCTGAGCCACCGTGCCTGGCCAATTACATTTTTTAAAAAAAATTCAATGCTTATAAAATCTTAAAAACACCATGCACTTAGGAATTAATATAATCACAGTTGTATAGAATACGCCTCCCGGAAACTCATACTCTTTAGAGAAATTTTAAAACACCTAAATAAATGGAAAGACAAAAAATGAAAAAAAAAAGATACTACTACAATACAAACAAGCAAACAAAACACACTTTCAATTTCCTTATGGCTTAGTATCCATGAATTCAAAATGAGACGTTTTACTCGGTGTCAATTTCATGGCAAGCCCTGCGATGACTATTAGAACCAGGAAAGTGTACTTTCAGGCAAGGCAGATATGACTATGTGGCATATCTTTTTTCCAAGATGGAGTCTTGCTGTTTCGTCCAGGCTGGAGTGCAGTAACGCTATCTCTGCTCACTGCAACCTCCACCTCCCAGGTTCAAGCAATTCTCCTGCCCCAGTGTCCTGAGTAGCTGGGACTACAGGTGCTCACCACCACACCCGGCTAATTTTTTGAATTTTTAGTAGAGACAGGTTTTCACCATGGTGGTCAGGCTGGTCTTGAACTCCTGACATCGTGATCCACCCACCTCGGCCTCCCAAGGTGCTGGGATTACAGGCATGAGTCACTGCACACAGTCTTATGACACCATTTTATAATGTCTATCTCTTTGTTTTATGCTATTCTATACACCTGAAAGATACAAAGATTTCTCAGAGGCATTTTCATCAGCTAATCATTTAATATGTTAACAAATTCTTTAGTGCAAAAAATAAAATTGGAGTCATAAGATATCAAGAATGTATTCAAATAATATAGTGATTTTGAGATATTTTCTCTCAAAGCCCAACCTTCTCTACTTACTTTGTGCTGCTGTTGCAAGGACTTGGCCAAAACATTTCTCTTTTGCCAGCTTGATATAAGTTTAGCTCTTCCCTTAGGAATCTCCACAGGGGTAAGTTGGTGTCTGGAAGGAGGAGTAACATACCACTTGCTTCTTTGTGTTTTCTTGCTTGATCATGTGGACATCCCTTCAGCAATTTCTTCATCAGTGTATTTCAGTTAGATATCTTTCCACTGTATTATAAACAGTCCCATTGAACTTCCCTAGAAGCATCCAAAATTATTTGGCAGGTGGCTCTATGCCAAGCTTTGAATTCTGAACACCAGTGGGTCTAACTGGTTTGCATAGCACTATAGAAGGACCATCATCACAAGCAGTCACAAAAGACCTTGAGGTAGAGTGGTTTCAGTGAAAGTGTGCATGAAAAGTGACTACTGCAGCTCAACCAGATTCAACTGACCAAGAATAAATGGGCAGTGCTCCTATTTGACTTGTGGCTACCCCTTGTACCATGCAAATCTGCCTATGCTCTATACTAGTCTACTCTGTTATGGATGCTTTGAAGTAACAGCTGATCATAATGTCTAAAAATGTTGTGATACCAGAAGTCTAGTGGAATAAGCTATAGCTCCTCCTGCAGCAATTACTCCTAAGACCTTAGTTAATATTCATCTTTCTTAACCAATCTTAGAATGTCAGCTGGTTGGTTTACTTGTCCACTAGAGTGGTGTAGACATAGATTCTCAAAACTTTTGGTCATCTAGTTACCTTGCCTTGTCAGGCCATGGTCACCGCAGCTGGCAGGTGACTACTGTCACCAAGTTTGGAAGTACCCAGAGGCAGCTCATTGAATTAATCGAATTCCATACTTACTCTTTCCTCTCCTCATCATGTTGCAGCATTCCTAGTACTTCATAACATTCTAGAAAATTTGCCCACTAGTAGAATAATGTCTTTCTTTGCCTGATGATCTAGCATCAGTATTTAAAGTCTAAAGTGACATGATAGCATCCATAGCATTAGTTCATGGAAAGGATTCCTTCCCCCCACCCTATAGGTGTTATCAGCTATAAAACCTCATAGATGAAAAAGATTGAGGAGCACAGATTTTGCAATTGGTAATTGAAAGCGATGGTAATAAAAAGCAATTCTGCCACCACACAGTGATTCCTGGATGCAAGTCTTCTACCCATTGAATCTCAGCAAGATATAACAAACATTGGTTCAATATGTGTACCATATCATGTCCAATAATATACTCCAGTAACATATTTCAGCACCTACTTGGTGATTTCATGGAAATTTTAAAAGAACACTGCAATGCTCTACTGGACACTGTTATCAGCATCAGTTTGGCAGTGTCTTCTCTCTGGATCTCAGTTCTTCTGGGTCTTTCACCTAATTTATGCAACCTAATAATCCTAACTTCATCAATTGCTCCTCCCAATGTAACAGAGTGACTGTAACTCTCTAATATCTTGGTGTCCATCTCATTTATTTTGTTCTTTGCAATCTCCATTACCAGTTCAAATAATTCTTTATGGCATCTTACCTGTGTTAGAATAACTAGTATACTTTCTGTATTCTTGATTAGCACCAGAGAACCAGAGAAACTTTGAGCCACACATGGCCTTTTATTTAATGTAGTATAACATTCTGAAGGTAGAGAATGGGGAGGGGAATTGTAAAGAAGAAATTAGTGTCAAACCCACTACAGAGATACTGTGGCCATGGTTACAATTGAAGTCCAAGTAACCAAATGTTTTTTTAAGTCATAAGAAAGTGGTACCTTGTGGAATGTTGTCATTAGAGGATAAGCCATAGCAGCAGGAATAGGGAGAAACACCAAAGAGAAGCTCAACTCTTGAAAATGTTATCTCTTTATAAATGAAGGGCAAAAAAATAGAAACCACTTTGGTACTTAACACTATTAAAAGATTTCTAAGCTAGATAACATAGTCCAGAATATATTCATATTATATAGAAATTCAAACAATGTCTTTACCAGGATTTGTACAAACCATGTGCAATTGTAATTAGAAAGCAGAGTGGTCCCATGAGTGGGAGTTGACACTGTAATTTAGTGACCAAAAACCAGAAGTGTCATACCTCCTACAATGCATGGGCCTTCACAGGACAATGAAAGACTCCCTCCCCCAGTACCAGCAACATTCTCATTGAGAAACATCATCTCAGATGCTAGTTCTAAAATGTTTTCTAATGACATATTTTCTAAAATCGCTTCCTTGCATTTTACCTTATATACCATCTGGCTCATGTAATACTTTAGTAAAGAAAACATTTAACTAATGAATCTAAAAACGTTAACTGAATAAATCTTAAGCACAAGATTCTTGAGTTTTGTAATATACAGCCTTCGGAATTACATAAGTACTTTCTATTAATCTTATTCAATTTGGAAAGGCACAGATATTCTCAAGATTTCAAAGCTGTTTATGTCAAAACAGTGATAAATATTTGCAGATTTTTCTCAGTAGAATCAAACAGTTTTGCAAATGTTTTGCTTTTAAAATAGCGTAAAACTTTGACTTCATTTTTTCACAAATTTCCTGCTCATAATTCTTTTCTTTGTAAATATTTATATGAAGTAGTCAGGATATAAACCTTGAAAGCTGAAAAAAAATGTGGATTATCTGTGGAAGGAAAAAAAGTTTTGCTGGAATCACTGCTAGTGGTTGGCAATGTGAGAATGAAAATATTCAATGCTTTATATCTGGTGCAGTTGTAAATGTGAAAACTTTGCAAATGGATTTGAACTAAGTAAATGGCATATACAGAGAAAATTCAGAAAAAATAATATCTAATTGTGAAGTATGTTTTTGTATAAAATGCAGCCTAGAATCTATTAAAAATCTCTCATCTCAGATTTTGTCTGGGATAATGTTTTTCTGATATACTTTATAACTTTCTCAGGAGAACAATAATATTGCTATTAAAGTGTTCTAGGGATTTTTCTGACTTTAAAGAGATTAAGAATTCATTCTAAAAAAAATTAGAAATAAACATTCAGTGGAAAGGCCATTCTTACAATCTTTAAACAGCTATTTATTTAATCTATCACATGTTGTTGTTGTTTGTTTGTATGTTGTTTTTTGTACATAAATGCCTCTATGAAGAATAAACAATAAAATGACTTTTTAAGGCATTCCTTCCGTCTTTTCTTTGGCAATTTGCAATAAAACTTTGATGTATCTTACAATGAAGTTGTCTGAAAGGTTGCTAGAGTAATGCAGGTGGTTTACTGAGTTCATTACTGAATGAAAACTATTAAAATTTCAGGAATAGAAACTGATTATTGGTTATTATTGAATTATTATTAATATATGGTTATGTTCATTACAGACTATAATTTGTAATTATTAATAAAAACTGATCATTAGATTCTTAATAATATAAAAGTTGTGATCCGATTAATATCCATGAATACAATTATGAGCACAAACAACTTTTTCATGTTGAAATACTAATACATTTCAAGAATTGAGCGTAGCTGACTTCTAAGCAGCCCCACTAAAAATGCCCTTCCAGGCTGCTTTACAATGAGAAAGAGCTTCTCACCCTCGAGTTATGGGGATGGCTGAACCCATGACATCTGACCCTGGGCAGATGAAATCGGCAGCAGTTTATTAGACACAAATACTCACACACCAGGGGAGGACAACATAGCATGCTATTCAAGGTCACACAGGGATTGTACTTGGGAATAGATTGAAGAAGCAGGAACTGTGGGAGGCAGGTTTTGTAGTAGCAAAAGCGTGGGGTAAACCCTGGTCCCCAAAGAAGGGTGTGATTGGCTTTTTTGAGTAATTTCACTGGATGGCAAGGAAATGAAATCTGCTACTAAGGGGTAAGCAGGAATCGTACCTGCTCTGCATGGAAAGGAGGAGACTTTATCCGTGGGAGCAGTTGGGAAGAAGAGCTTGTAGTATAACAATGTGAAGACTTGCTGGATTTTCCTAGATGTCAAGGCAACATGTAGTACTGAAGACTTCTACCACACCTTTCTTCTATTGACTTTCACAATTATTTTAAGCTATTACCTTAAGAAATGGACCAAAAATGTGTCAGTCATATAAAATATTTTATTTCTGTGGCTAATGTTTATCATAATCATTTGAATCTATGTTTAAGAGTGGGTTTGCGGTGTAAGGGAGTGAGGACTGAGAAATTCTTGTGGGGCACAATGTTTAATATTTAGATGATGGGCACACTAGAAGGTCAACCTCACCATTATGCAACATACCCATGTAACAAACTTACAATATACCCCCTGAATCTATAAAAATATAATAAATACTAACTAGAGAAAACTACAAAAAAGAACGTAAACATTATCTAATTTCAAAAGTCCTTTAAAAAAGAATGGATCCAGTCACTCATTCTTAACATTTATAAAAAGATAAATCTCTATGAAATCTATCATAAATTCATGAATGCATGGAAATTAGAAAGTGTACAGGGCATGTGCATTAGTCCATCTTCACATGGTTATAGAGGACTACCTGAGAGTGAGTAATTTATAGAGAAAAGAGGTTTAATGGAATCACAGTTCCACAGGCTGTACAGGAAGCATGGCTGAGAGGCCTCAGGAAACTTACAATCATGGTGGAAAGCAGAGGGGATGCAAGCACATATTTATACTGCAGGAAAGAGAGAGAGAGTAAAGGGGGAGGTGCTACACACTTTTAAACCATCAGATCTCAGGAGAACTCGCTCACTATTACGAGAATAGCAAGGGGGAAATCCACCTCGATGATTCAATCACCTCCCACCAGGTCTCTCCCTCAACATTAGGAATTACAATTCAATATGAGATTTGAGTGGGGGCAAAAATCAAGCCATATCATTCCGCTCCTAGACCCTCCCGAATCTCACGTTCTTCTTACATTTCAAAACACTATCATGCCTTCCCAACAGTCCCCGAAGTCTTAACTCATTCCAGCATTAACTCAAAATTCTACAGTCCAAAGTCTCATCTGAGAAAAGGCAAGTCCCTTCTGCCTATTAGCCTGTAAAATAAAAATAATAATAATAAAAGTTATTTACCTCCAAGATACAGTGGGGGTACAGGCATTGGGTAAATGGTCCTGTTCCAAGTGGGAGAAATTGGTCAGAATAAAGGGATTATGGGCCCCATGCAAGCTCAAAACCCAGCAGGGCAGTCATTACATCTTAAAGCTTCAAAATAATCTCCTTTGAGTCCATGTCTTACATCCAGGACATGGGGATGCAAGAGGTAGGCTCCTAAGGCCTTGCCCAGCTCCATTCCCGTGGAGGGTACAGCACCTGCAGCTGCATTCATGGGCTGGTGTTGAGTGCCTACGACTTTTCCAGGCTCAGGGTGCAAGCTGTCAGTGGATTTACCATTCTGGAATCTGGAAGACAGCGGACCTCGTCTCACAACTCCACTATACAGTGACCCAGTGAGGACTCTTTGTGAAGGCTCCAATCTCACATTTTCCCTCCACACTGCCCTAGTAGAGTTTTTCCATGAGGGATCTACACCTGCAGCAGACTTCTGCCTAGACATCCAGGTGTTTTCATACATCCTCTGAAATCTAGGTAGAGGCTCCCAAACCTCAATTCTTGCCTTCTGTGCACCTGCAGGCCCAACACCATGTAGAAGCCACAAAAGCCCGAGGCTTGAACCACCTGAAGCAATGGCCTAAGCTGTACCTTGGCCCTTTTTAGTGACAAATGGAGGTAGAGTGGCTAGGATGAAGGGTGCCATGTCCCGAGGCTGCACAGAGCATCAGGGCCCTGGGTCTGGCTCATAAAACCATTCTTTTCCTCCTAGGCCTCTAAGCCTGTGATATAAGGGGCTGCCATGAAGCTATCTGAAATGTCCTGAAGTCATATTCCCCATTGTCTTGGCTATTAACATTCAACTCTTTATTTACTTCTGCAAATTTCTGCAGCCTTGAATTCTTCCTCCAGAAAATTGCTTTTCCTTTTATACTGCATGGTTGGGCTGCAAAATTTTCCAAATGTTTATGCCCTGCATCCCTTTTAAATATAAGTTCTAGTTTCAAATTTTCTCTCTGTTTATGCAAATGAGCATAGGCTTTCAGAAGCGGCCAGGCCATGTCTTGCACACTTTGCTTCTTAGAATTTTTTTCTGCCAGATACTCTAAATCATCTCTCTCAAGTTCAAAGTTTTACAGATCTCCAAAGCATGGACACAAGGCTGCCAATCTTTTTTGCTAAAGCATAAGAAAAGTGACCTTTAGTCCAGATCCAAGTAAGTTCCTCATCTCCATCTGAGACCATCTCAGCCTGTACTTCACTGTCCATATTACTATCAGCATTTTGGTCACAACCATTAAACAAGTCACTAGGAAGTTCCAAACTTTCCCTTATCTTTCTATGTTCTCCAGGGCCCTCCAAACTATTCCAACCTCTGCCCATTAACCAGTTCCAAAGTCACTCCCACATTTTCAGGTATATTTATAGCAAAACTCCCCTTCTCTTGTACCAATTTTCTGTATTAGTTTGTTTTCTCGCTGCTATAAAGAATTACCTGAGGCTGGGTAATTTATGAAAAAATAGATTTAATTGACTTACAGTTCTATAGACTGTACAGGAGTCATTCCTGGGAGGCCTCAGAAAACTTACAATCATGGTGGAAGGTGAAGAGGAAGCAAACATATCTTCACATGACAGCAGGAGCGAGTGAGAGGGAAGGGGAAAGTCCCTCACACTTTTAAAGCATCAGAACTTGTGAGAACACACTCAGCAGAACAGCAAGGGGAAACCCTCTCTTGTGATCCAATAACCTCCCACCAGCCCCCACAAAACACTGGGAATTACAATTCAAAATGAGGTGGGGACATGAAGCCAAACCATATCAATATGGCAATCATTTTTCAAAACATTATTATACTTCAATTTCTTTATTTGTATATATAAATGTTTATCTTGTCAGAGCATTGTGTGTTTTGCTCTGAAAATTTCTACTGAAGAGAAAAAAAGATGCATCTAGTGGTATGTATTGACAACAAGGTTCTAAAAGTATGGATTAACTCAAAAGTCCACAGTCCAAAGTCTCATCTGAGAAAAGACAAGTCCCTTATGCCTATAAGCCTGTAAAATAGAAAAAAAAAAAGTTAGCTACTTCCAAGATACAATGGGGGTACAGGCATTGGGTAAATGGTCCTGTTCCAAATGGGAGAAATTGGTTCAAACAAAGGGGTTAAATATCAAGATATTGAGTTGCTTAATCAAAACAGTTATATTAAACAAAGTGGTTTATTGTGGGCTCACATTATCTTTTTTCTTTGTTTTGTATATTAATTAATTGATTTTCTTATCAAAAATTATTAAAGATCCTCATTATTAAAGATTCTCAGAGTACTTAAAATGGGCTACATAATTGAAATAATGCAAAGGTATCAAAAACACCATCTTAGTTATTAAAAAGAGCTCAAGAAAGGGGTGAAAATGGAAATTTATGTTTTGAAGCATCACATTAAGTGTTATGTTCATGATAAATGGAAGAAACACCTAAATGGAACATTCAGTACAAGTAAGGGTTATGGATTATGAGAGGAAACGAAACCACCCTGATTCTTCTAACACAACAAAGAGAAAGAGTTGGGCTGGTGTGATATATTCAAAGGAGCTGTCAATGCAGGACTATATAAAGAATAATTTGTGAAAATAGAAATAATATTCTGCAAAACCTAGGCCCTCCCTTCCATTTCAATCTCTTTTCCTACCAGTTTTCTTTTGATTATGCCTCTGACTTACTGTTTCTGCTTCTTGAACAAACCTAGTTTACCCATGCTTCAGAGACTTTGAAACTTATCTTCCCTTTGCCTGAGAGGATCTTTATCTTTGCATGGTTGGCTATTTCAGTTCATGTCTTAGCTCAGATGTCTCTCTTTCCAGAAAGCTTTTTCAGGCTATCCCTCCTTTTTAGACTTCATTACCTTCAAACTGCCTCATTTAATTATTTTTTAAGATTGGTATCACTTTTCAAAATTATCTTTTCTATCTGATTTTGTTTTCATTGTATTTTTTTTCTACTAGCCCAACAGTCACATAAGAACAAGAACCATGGTCCTGGCTAATGCTATATCCCCAGGCGTATAATAGTGTATGACAGAAAACCAGCAGTTCATAAATATGAATGGATAGATGAATGATACATTAATAGAATGAGACAAGAAAATTCAGTGTGTGCCAGATCACCAATATATGCCAGATTTACCTTTGATGAATGGCTTTGAATTTGAAGGATATTAGGATTTATTGAAGAATTTGAAGAGAAGTAGCATGATCTATTTGTGTTTTTAGAAAACTGAGGAAAATGTGTCCCAAAGGATGAGAGCAGGCAAAGAGCAAGATGGAATAAATAGAATTGAATTCTAAACTAAGTCGTATGTGAGATGCACAGAAGAAAAAAACTATTTGCCAAACACCAAGGAAGTAAAAATCAACCAGATCTAATAAAAAATGAATATTGAAGATAAAGTACAGGGTGGAGAAAATGATATTAAGTATGCTACAAATTTCTGTGCTTATTATCTTACTTACAAGGCACCGGAAGATTTAATGTTTTGCTTTGGTTTATATTTCCATAGAAATGTTTAAGTACTTATTCAGCATAATAGCATCTCTACCACATAACAGCTCTAAGAGGATGAATACATATAAAGAGTTTAAAATACTTTTTAGGAGTTATGTAATTGTGCACATTATAACAGTTTATATTTCCAACTTCACATTTCTGAAAACATTTGTGAAAGGCTGGAAATACTTTCTCCTAAACACGCAATCTTTATCTGAACTACTTAAAATGCATATAATTGCTATTTAGTATTGAAGATTAATCATTACTTTAAAACTGACATTTTAAATGAGCTGTTTTTCTATAATTTGATTATCAATTTTTTTTATTAACTGCTACATGATTGTAGCAGTCATATGTGGGATTAAAACACATTTAGATTGTACTTTAATATCACTTATAATTATCCAAAAGTTATTTTGGGCAAAGAAGTTTTGGATGGCTTATTACTCAGATATTTCATTTATAAAGGGGCAGAAATTATTCTATAAGGATATAACTCGGTCCAAGAGAGGCCCAGGTCATTTTCTCTTTTCAAACCTTCTTGAGTAAGCAGGAACCCCAGCGCAAGCCCCATGCCTCATGGGCCCCTAAGCTTGAGTGTCTTTCTAAAAATATTGAAGTTCCTCTCCAGCATTTGAGATTAGCCAAAGCCAGCAGGGATATCCACGTGGGGCAGTGCAAGCCCAGACCTGGATCCATAATAGAGCTCTCTGACACTGTGTCTCCATATATAGGATCCAACAGATTTCCCAACACAGTCCCAGAATTATGTTTTTGGGGTGGTCCCAGTCAAAGTCCCAACACCAGGCCCAGTTCCAGAAGGGAAACCTGGTAAGATGATTGTTTGCATTCCACGGCCAGAACAGAATGTCTTTCATGAAGCTGCAGAAAATTAGCTGCATAAATAGTGCCGAAATAATGAATTTAGATGACTTTTACTCATGTCAGACACAAGAAGAGATGAGGATTCTGGATTACCTAAAGACCACCTCCGACTTGTGGTCTCAAGTCATGTGTATGGGTCCTTTCACTGGGTTTTCCTGGTCCATGTTCCCACTGAGGTGCTGCCTCTGGTCTATAGCTCCTGAAAGCAACAAGATCAGGGAAATACTTTATTTACCTTGTACACACTCTCTATCCACTACTGACATCCGGTATGGTCATTCAATCCCGTCTAGTATCAGGAGGTCTTCTGTGGTTGGTCACATCAATCACATCTGCAATTTGACAGAATCAAAGAACCATTCTGATTCATGGTTTTCTCCAATCAGGGCTATCTTTATGAATTTGCAACCTGTGCAATATCTCAGAGCACTTCTTTGCGAGGGTCTCATTCTTGATTTAATTCTCTGCTATTGCTATCTTACAGTTTAGTGTAATTGTTTTAACAATAGTCCTTCATTTTTGTTTTTCACTGGATCCTGCATGTTATACAGCCTATCCTTCCTCTGACTGAGAAGGTAACAACATGATCTCCCAAGCAGGTCTTAAGCTTTCCTGGACATGTGGCAAGCATTCTAGCACAAATTAGAATGTTCTTTTCACCTACTCCATGCACTCCTAGTTTGTTCTGCATGCAGATAGAAACATGTGGAAGGCAATGATGTGGTCAGTATTGAAAGAGATCACATTCTAGAAGTGTAATGATTGTGGCCTAAGAGTTCTCCTAGTCAATGCATTTGGAATTTCTACATTTCTGTTATAAAATTTCAAATGCTAAATATAACAAGACCAGAAAGTGAATATGGTTCAAATGTTTCATTTTCTTTCACACTCTTGGTAAGACTAGCATCTTTCATCATCATTAACCCATCTTTCAGAGAGTAATTGGAAGCCAATATTTAGGAGTGGGTTGGTAGATGATGTACGGTCCTGAACAAGGATGCAACCAACATAAAATACACAGCATTAAGAAAATTCAGAGACAATTAGTACTAAATAGTTTCAATACAAAGAAATCTGTGGAGCCATACAGTTATGAGTCATACAGAATTGCTACATATTCCACTGGGATGAGAGAGAGGAATTTTTCCAGTAACAGCACACTTAACAGTGAAAAACTTGATGAGATGGTGTCTAGATCTAAACAGAAAAACAGCGTGCTTTGATACTACAAATGATCTTCTGAAATATATAACAAATTCTTCTCTTCCTATTTTTCTGAATTTTCATTGATAAATCACTATATCCCACACGGGCCTGTATACTTTGTAAGCATTTTTTAATCAAATAGTTTGTATAGACAAGGGCTACGCAAAAATATATTCTCTTTGTATACCACACACTCTAGTGGTAGTCCTGGACTCTGATATGTTAAATTTTAGAAATGTCAAAATTAAATATAAATTAAAGCTAAAATGTAACCAATTATATTGCATATAAACAAACACGAGTGCACACATAACCCCATTTAGCTATAAAACCAAAAGTTAAATCTATGTCCACTGTGAACAATTTAATAATCAATTTTTCCTATTTCACCACCTCACGCCTACCCCTAAAATGCATGTAACCACAAATCTCTCTGCCAATATGTATTTCTTGCTTAAGTCACAAAACTTCTAGGAATAATATAAATAAAAAGATTTACAGATGTTCAGAACTAGAAACTAGCTGTTGTAATTTTTTTCTGTTCAGTAAATGTGTCAAAAGGAATATTAAATTATATTCAAACTATCTGTATAGAAAATTGTGTTTAATATAATTTTATATGAAATGTAATCCAGGATCTATCGGTTTGAAATATACAGCAAAAACACAGAAAATAAAAAATATTATAGTGTCATACCCAGTAATTAAAATAAATACAGTAATGCATCATTTAATGACAGGGATATGTTTTGAGAAAAGCATTCTTAAGTAATTTTGTCATTGTTGGAACATCATAGAGTATATTTACCCAAAACTAGATGCTAGAGCCTGCTACACACCTCCGCTGTATGGTATAGTTTATTGTGCCTAGGCTATTGACCTGTACCATATGTTACTGTACTGAATGCTGTAGGCAATTGTAACACAATGATAAGTATTTTTATATCTAAACACAGAAAAGTTACAGTAAAAGTACAATGTAAAGGATTTAAAATGGTACATCTTTACAGGGTACTTACCATCAGTGGAGTTTATAGGACTGGAAATTGATCTGAATGAGTCAGTGAGTGAGTGGTAACTGAATGTAAAAGGCTAGGACCTTACAGTGTGCTGCTGTAGACTTTATAACACTGGAAAATTAGGCATCACTAAATTCATTTGAAATTCTTATCTTAAAATTTTATTTCTTCAATAAGAAATTAACCTTAGCTTACTGTAATTTTTTACTTTGTAAACCTTTAACTTTTTTAACTTTCTTGACTTTTTGTAACAACACAATTTAAAACACACATTGTACAGTTGTACAAACATTTTCTTCCATTTATTCTCATTCTATAGTTTTTTAAAATTTTTATTTGTTTATTTTTTAAATTTCTTTTTAAAAACTAAGACATAAACACATACATTAGCCTAGGCCTACCTATATGGTCAGGATCATCAATAGAACTATCTTCCATCTCCATGTCTTGTCCCAGTGGAGGGTTTTCAGAGGTAGTAACACCCGAGGAGTTTTCATCCTTGATAACAATGCCTTCTCCTGGAATACCTCCTGAAGGACTTGCCTGAGGTTGTCTTACAGTTACCTTTTTTTTAAGTAGAAGGAGTATACTCTAAAATAATAAAAAAAAATGTGGTAAGATGTATAAACTAGTAACATTGTTGTTTTATCATTATAAAGTATTATGTAATATAAATAGTTGTATATGTTATACTTATATGCAACTGGCAGGGCAGTACGTTTGTTTACACAAAAAACACAAGTACTGCATTGCACTAGGCAATAGGAATTTTTCAGCTCAATTATAATCTCATGGGACTGCCACCATATATGCGGCACATGACTGTATTGAAATTTGTGCCTAATCTAGTATTCCTAAGTTTGTATTTTTTTAAGTGTGCTTCTAAAATTATATAAACTTCAAGCCCTCTAAAACCTAGATCATACATGGCTGGTGGTATGTCAGTTGACTCCAAGATTCAAAGGGGCCCACCAACTTTTTACTTCTTTCTTCAATGTGGGTAGTTTGAGGAGAACACTTTGTCTCTTACTTAAAAATGGAGTTAATGGGTGCAGCAGACCAACATGGCACATGTATACATATGTAACAAACCTGCACGTTGTGCACATGTACCCTAAAACTAAAGTATAATAATAATAAAATAAAATAAAAATAAAAAGATATGATTTAAAAAAATAATAAAAAATAATAAAAAAGAAATAAAAATGGATGCCCAGATTACTAGATTCCTAGAAAGCTTACCAATGTTCTAGGTCTCAATTTTCTTGAGGTATACCTACTATCTTTTGGCATGTATCTGAATTACTTAGTCATCTACAATTCTTACTACTCCAGGCTTACCATGGAATAATTATCATTATTTTATCAATATAATGAACTAGCGTGACATTCTTTGGGCTATTAAAATAGATCATTTAGCATTATTTGTGCTGTATCATTACCAAGATCATCACAGTTGGCCTAGCCCTAGGGCAAGAAAACAAAGGTTATGCTGTTTCTGCCATAAGAATGCAAACTACTTCTGAAAATATCCCGTGTTACATGCAATGTATTTGAACCTGTGTTGAATTGTTTCAATAAGGATATGATGCAATATCAGCAATTATCAATACCACCTGGTTAATTTTGTGATAAATCATTTTCTCAAAGAATTGGCACCTGTCAAACAGGAACATTAAATAGGGATGTTATAGGCATCAACATGACATTCTTTCAAACTGTTGTTGGTAAAAATATTGGTAATTCTCCTGGACAAGTAGTATCATATTTACTCTTAGTTCTGCCTACCGTAATAATCTACATATTATAGTACCTATGCACAGATTCTAACTGTCATGAGGCATACTATTCCACTGTGTTAGAGATATGTGAGAAAAGAAAAAAAATAAAAATAAAAACAGGAGAGGTCCACAGTTCCACTAGACTTATTGTCAGACAGACTTGAGCCAAGATTCTCTCTACTACCTGAAGTTCCGAGTTCTTACTTTGTTCAATGTTCTTCAAATTAACTACTACATAACCCTTTCTGAATTCTACTGTATGAATTAATGAGGGCTTGGCCGTCAGTGTATAGACTATACCTTTATGGTCTAAGCTGTAAACACTTCTGGCTCAAGACATATTGGAATTCAACTTAATTTGGGCCTGTAAGCAATGACATGGGAAGTGGAGAGGAGGTCCTGGAGGATATCTAGTTTCAGATTTTGCTAATGCAGTTTTTGAAAATATTTTATACAATATATAGAGGACTGGTTCCCTCAGATTTAATGGAGTGGGTCTGTTTTCTCAGCCAAAGATGTTTTCAGAAATTTCAAGATTCAGAATTCTCAGTGTCATTCATGTCTACCCGAATATCATTCCCCCATGATACAAAGTTTCAATCTCTTCTTAAAAGTATCTGTTTTTGGGTACTGAGGCACTCAAAAGGTTTACTTCTCTCTGCTATTAAAAGCTGATATCAGCCGGTCGCAGTGGCTCCTGCCTGCAATCCCAGTACTTTGGGAGGCTGAGGTGGGAGTTCAGGAGTTCAAGACCAGCCTGGCCTACATGGTGAAACCCCATTTCTACTAAAAATACAAAAATTACCTGGACGTTGTGGCGTGTCTATAGTCTCAGCTGCTAGGGAGGCTGAGGCAGGAGAACCTGGGAGGTGGAGGTTGCACTCAGCCGAGATCACGCCACTGCACTCCAGCCTAGGTGACAGAGTGAGACTCTGTCTCAAAAAAAAAAAAAAAAAAAAACCAGCTGATATCTCGGTGGTATCTATTACCAATTATGTACACTTCAATTTTTAGGGTTTTTGAGCTGCAGGTTGAAAGATATTAAATGGGGAAATAAAAACAATTTAATGAGTTTACAAGATATATTTTTATAAAAACAAATAGAGTTGATCAAAATGAGAATATAAGAGAATGTATCATATATAATAAAGTACAATAAGTCCTCACTTAACATCATCAATGGGCTCTTAAAACTGTAACTTTAAGTGAAAAGACATGTAATGAAGTCAATGTCCAAGAGGCTAATTCATATAAACAAGAGTTAAGTATTTATGGCAAATTTTTGGTGATAAAATATTAAGATCACTACACATCTAAGTAAATACCAAAATACCTCTAATATTAAACATTAAAATAAATATAAGCTACACGTACATTTAAGACAAATTAAGACAAAAAAGCTAATTGTTTACCCAATTATTCTAGCTCAGGGTCATGGGTGACCAAAGCCTCTACTGGCAACTAAAGGCACAAGATGGGAATCAGCCCTGGACAGGATGCCATCCCATCACAGGCCTCACCCACACTCATTCAGACCGGGATGTTGCAGAAATGCCATTTAACCTAATATGCGCATCTTTGGAATGTAAGAGGAAACAGGAGTCCTTGGAGAAAATTCATGCAGACATGAGGAGAATAGGCAAACTCCACACAGTCGCTGGCCCTGGCTGGAAATAGATTTTATTTTCCTCATAAACATTGTAACAAAACAACATTAAACAAAAAGCCATTAATCTAGGATCTGCTGTACTGCTTTGTTATGTTTTAATATCTCACACACACACACACACACACACACACACACACACATACACAGAGCAGTAAATTTAGCTTTGCCCTAGATATTCATCAGAAGTCAACTATTTAGCTTTTTCTTTCAGGTGAGGATTTTGAAAACTGAATAACCTCCTGTTACAATTTTAATGTTATTTCTAGTATCCTTGAATTTGTGGCATGATCAATGATCATTTGATTGTTTGGAACACCATCACTTCTAATAAACATAATTAGAGACAATTCATTCAATTTAATAAGGTCTAAGTATTCAGTTTTATTGAATGTTTATTCTGAATATCTTAGTTATATTTAGTATGGTTTGTAAAAAACTGATTCATGTTTTGAAATCGTATGTATGAATTGCTTATAGATTATAGGTATTATCGAAAGAATGCAATAATAAATCATTATATTTAATACATCTAATTAGAAACTAATAATGAAAGTTTTATATAGGTAAATAATTAGGAAAATGTATTTCATGTTATGTAAATAAGAGGGTATGTTAGATAGATACAGTAAATAAGAACAACTGAATGAATAACATTATATAATTTTAAGCCAAAAATATTTATAAACATTTAAATAATATTATAAAGCTAAATAAGATCAATTATATAGCATCATAACTTTAGTTAGCACAGAATTACTTGGTATACTAGTATTCACAAAGTTAACTAAAATAGCCAAGATCCAAAATTACTTTTAAAATTTAGCTATTTAATTCCATTTAGAACATGGGATTTAGAGAAAATTGAAAACTTGTTAAAAAATAACTCAAAATTAACTTCATAGAAAAATAATTAAAATTATATTATTGTTAAAAGAAAAACTTTAGGCAATTAAATTAAACAGAGTTCATTTGAGCAAATAACAGTTTATGAATCAGGCAGCACTCAGAACCGGAAGAGGTTCAGAAAGCTACACCCAGCAGCATGAGCAGCAAATGGAGAAGCAGAGAAATTACCTGATTAGACACAGCTAGATGGCTGCCTTATTTCTGCACAATGTGATGAGGCATTTACCTTACTTGGGCACGTTCTGATGGGAGGTTTCTAGTTGTATAATGAATTGGCTGGTTGATTGGTGGTGACTCGCTGAGGCCCCCTTTTTCTTTTCTTAGTTACAAGAAATGTTTTTTAAGTGAAGTCCTGGTTTTGCTAATATGAGAGCTTGTGCTACAGAGACAATCTCTGTATGTAATGGCCTCCTTCTTATTTACTTTAACACTACCTTGAAACTCACATGGAGGAAAACTTCCAAAGTCATGTTCAATCACATCCATGAAAAATCATCTTCCATCTAGCTGTATTAAAGGTTACAAAACATTTGAAGAAGAGAAATATAAGATATTGAGAGAAATATAAGATAGCTAATACACAATGAACCTTAAAAAAAGATTTTACAAGAGTTCTGTTACAGGATAATTTATAATTTTTATTCTATGGTAACTAACATTTAAATAAATTATTGTCAAAATGACTACTTACTATATCAATGAAAAGAAAGAAATTTGGAGCTATGTCAAGAAATGCCCTGTATTTTTCAATTTGCCTGTAACAAGTTCATCAATACTATCCACAAACTCAAATACAATAGTTTATCTTAGAGCTTCTTTTCTTCAACTTATTGTAAATATTACATATAGTTGATTATTTCTCCTTGATATTTTTTTCTGACTTGATTTTTGGGATCACACATACATTACATTTTTTTCTTTTCTTTACTGGTCTCTATTTCTGAAGGTCCTTTGTTTAATCTTAGTTTGTCTCTTACTAACACAACATATATTATTCATTGGTAAATTCTTAAACTTAAAAAAAAAACTTTCAAATTTTATACCATCAGCTTTATGCCCCACACTAGCCAAACCTACCATTATCTTTTGCCTGTGCTGCAATAAACTACAATGAGTACCTCTTCAACTCTTGCCTCCATCACATTTCCCAAGCATTAACGTGTTTTAAGCAGAAAGAAAAAAGTAAAATACACTTTAAGCAGTAAAGAAAATTACACTTTACTTAAAAGTAAAATACACTTTAAGCAGAAAGAAAAAAGTAAAATAGTATTAAGCTCCCTGTTGTGGAAGTCCGAATTGAGACAAATTTGGATGAGGGAAACAAGATGGAGAACAATTTACATAGGCAGGCGAAAGCTGATAAAGATTAAAATTAATATCCATGAAAAGAGACAGGCAGAAAAGAGAGGATGTTGCTGTAGTCTGAAAGATTGTGTCCTCCCAAAGTTTATATTTTAAAACCTAATCCTCAATGTGGTAGTATTAAGGGGTGGGGCTTTGGGGAGGTGATTAGGTCATGAAGGCTGAGCTCCGTAAATGGGATTAGTTATTTTACAAAAGAAGCTCAGAGGGCTCTTATTCTTCCCTCTGCTGCATGTGGATGCCACAGAAGGTGCTGTCTATGAGGAAGAGAACCCTCACCAAACAGCAAATCTGTTGATGACTTGAACTTGCACGTCCTAGTCTCCAGAACTGTGAGAAATAATTTTGTTTCTCATAAGGTACCCAGTTTATGACATTTTTGTAAAGCAACCTGAACAGATTAAGACAAATGGTGATGACAAAATATAATCAACATATCTTGATAAATAAATAATTGGTTATAAACACTCAGGGTGAAGAAAGTAATATAACGCATTTCTATTTTATGTAAATGCATTGATGATAGTATAAGAGAGGTATTGCAGGACATACAAGTTTGTTGAAATAGATAAAAATATGAATATAGGTAACTGCAACATATTGAAAAGATATTTGAAAGTAAGGAAATAAAATCAGTAAATAAAGAATGACATTCAGTGAATTTTGTAGTGCTGGGCATTTACACCATATTCTATTTATCTTAAACTGGAAGAGATTTGAACTTGACTTTAGTTTGAGGAAAATTTGTAAGCAGAAAAACTGAAAGATGCAGAAAGAAGAAGTTTGGAGAAAAAACAGGAAATAGAGGTTTGAACACAGATAACGGGATTAACCTCTAAAAAGAGAGGGATTCTCTTCCTCAGAGATATAAGACAATGATCTGAAGTTGGCTTCATATGATGGAGATAAGATTAATATGATCAGGCCAGGAATTCCAGGGGTTTCCTATAAGAAAACCTCAATTTTCTCTGAAAATACTGCTTCATAGGGTAAGGATATTTTTAAAAATTAGTCTTTTTAAAAACAGCAAGAATTAAAAGTAATTTTAATTTCTTAGATACGGTATGAAACAGTGGTAAATGAGAATCTACCTGGCATTCCAAAATCAAATATTTACCCTAAAATCTACATTTCACATAGACAAAAAGCAATGGAGAAAAAATTGCTTATTATCAGTTATTTGAAGTGTGTATGTATGTAGATGAAAGCAGAAAAATAGCAACTCGAGCATCTGGAGTTATATTTTGCATCTTACATCTTCAAAAATTCTATAATTATTCTAACTCCATTGAAAGCATCTAATTAATTGTGCATCATGAAAATGTTGATATTGTAAAAAGCAATAAAATCTACGAAAAGCATTAATGTCAATGATCACTTTACCTACATTTCCCTGTAATAATAAATTGGTTTAATTACTGAATAAACACAGATAGTTTATACCTCAGTTTTTAAAAGTCACTTTTACTTCAGAAGATAGATTGCTAACTAGTATTCCTGACACAGAAACAAGGCTTTTATTCACCGTTCTTCTTTACAAATATTTTTGCTGCTGTATTTACTAAACAGATGGGTAAAATTATTTGCTTTTTAAAAACTACTCATCTTACCAATATCTTTTGTTTAGTTTTTCAAGGACAGGTGTTAAGAATGTGCTTGTAAAATTTTTGTTCAAAATCTTACTTTTAAAAAATGTTTGCCTTCGTGAATACTAAACATAATTTAGGCTATATGGGAGGCTGTTCCTTTTTTAAAAATTAAAATATATGAGGACATACTTTTAAGATGTGTGGCAATAAAATCTAGAAGCTAAATATGTCTTTGTTACAGACTTTCTACTGATGTTTAAACTAACTAAAAGTACTTTAGAAGTTTGTTTTCTCTCTGTCAGAAACATTAAGGTGTATCGTTGTGTCCCCAACTTATCTTTATTATTTTCTCAGTGTAGCATAAGGAGATATAGAGTATCTTATAATTGAATATTTTCTTGATATAGCAAGCATGTTATTTAACCAGGTTGTAGTATCATCACTAACCAATGAAAAATAACTCTTACATATAAGGAGTATATTCAAGGACAAGGTTGTATTTTAAATCTTATTTGAACAATGAGAAGTCATGGATATAGGGAGGGAACATCATCACACAGCAGGGCCTGTCGGGGAGTTGGGGGCAAGCAGAGGGAGAGCATTAGGACAAATATCTAATGCATGCTGGGCTTAAAACCTAGATGATGGTTGATAGGTGCAGCTAACCACCATGGCACATGTATACCTATGTAACAAACCTGCACGTTCTGCACATGTATTCCAGAACTTAAAGTAAAATTAAAAAAAAAAAATACAGAAATCTTTTGCTAAGAATATACTTTTTCTGCAAGTGTCCTTCCTAACTTCCTTCTTAGAAAGAGAGAAGCAGAAATATTCCTTGGTGATAAAATCAAATAATTAAAGTATTCTCAATGAAGGGATATATGCTTTAAATTTGTAGGAATTAAAATGAAATATCAGATATGGCCCTTGATCTAAAGGAGATGAAAATCTAGGTGAAACAATCTGTTTTATTTACACATCAAATAACAAGATGATTATTATAATTTATGTACCCAAGTAGTTTCCACTAACGGAATGTAAGATAGTTGTCCTTGGCTTTGAGGAACTCGGGATCATTCCAGAAGCAGACAGTAGATACACTCCAGGGAGGGAAACAAGCAAACAAACAAACAAACAAACAAACAAACACCACAACCACTCTTTTACCAAATGCAATTTTTTTCTAGTGTTATACAGAAGGTAATGGATTAATACGGGGATGTCCGGGAGTGCCACAATTCCTTGTCACCTTTACCCTTGGTAAGCCAAAAATATTCTGTTCTCCCATGACGCATCACAGACACGGTGCAGCTTTTGGTGGAGGGATTTTACCATGTCAGAGTGGCTTCTGACTGCACTCAAACGCTCAGAACAGGGTTCTGTAGGATCAACATCTTCCCTGCTTTTAAACCACAGCCTATTAATTGCATACAGTCAAAGAGCCTAAAATTTGGATGATTCAGGAATCTGTTTTTATCCTAATAAGGTTGACGATGGAGGTGGATAGGATGGCCGACACTGTACATGGATCTTGAGCTGAGTAAACTGGCTTATGTTATACTCCACAGTTAGTGTTTGAGGATATGTTCTGGTGGCCAGACACAATTATCCTCTGACCTCAACCTTTCCAGAGTCCAATTAGCTTTTATTATATATATTAGTCCGCTAAGATTACCATAACAAAATATTACAGACTGGATGACCTATTCAACAGAAATCTATTTTCTCACAGTTCTGGAGGCCAAAAGTTCAAGATCGAGGTGTTGACAAGTTTGGTTTCTACTGAGACCTGGTGCATTGGCTTGCAGATGGCTGCCTTCTTGCTGTGTTCTCACATGACATTTTCTCTGTGTGCATCCACATCCCTGATGTCTCTTCCTCTTCTTATAAGTACATCAGTTCTATTGGGTTAGGGCCCACCCTTATGACATCATTTAATGTGGGTTACCTCTTTAAACGCCCTATCTCTAAATAAAGTTACAGTAGGGGGTTAGGACTTCAACATAAGATCCTTGGGGCGGACAAAAGTTCATCTATAATGGTATATTTACATGATTCATCACAAGAACCAGTAACTTACTTCGAGTTACCTTATTACCAAAAAAGCAACTCAAAATCCAGTATATTTTCAGTTAAAAATTGCTGGTATTTTTTTCTGCTAAAACACAAACTTAAAATCTAAACCATACCAACAGAAAGTTCATTTATTTGCCTAAAATATATAACAATTACTCTCTTTTCCCATTTTGCAGATAAAAGGAATCACACATATGTCTTTGTTAGGTAGCCGCTATATATAATACTAGGTTTTATATAATAGCATATATTACTCTCAAATGAAGTGACCTAGACAATTATTATTCCTGAACTCCAAAAAAATAGGCGAGATTTGTTTACTACTGTGGACTAGAATTTCCAGAGCTGGCATTGCAGGCTGAATCACAAGCAGAAGCCCAGTGTGAGTGATACGTGATTCCTTCTGGTCTTTCAGTATTAGTAAGGAGGATGTTCTTACTGTCACATCTACAGATTGAGAGAAACTCTCTGTGTGCTTGTTTGTCTGGATACATTAAAATATAGAGCACAAAGGAGATTAGCTGAGATAATCACATGAAGCTAAAGTCATTTTCAGCCCTCATAATTTTAAGAACGGAAAATGGCATGCTATGTCAGGATATATGAAAACAACACACAAAAAAACACAAATGTTTGTTATGGCACCAAAACTTCAGAAAAGACAGAACACTTACATAAAGATAAGCCATGAATCATACAAGTTTTTACAGAGATATTATTAGGCAAATCAGAATATGTATGACTATGAGAGATAATAAGTAGATAATAGTTTTATCCAGCTTTTTTCTATTGTATTCCTAGTCATGTAATATTTTCAACTTCAGTGAATACTTAAAGTATAGATCAAAGTAGTTTATTTATCATATTATATGATCAAAATATGATTAGTAAAATCTTAGTTTTTACGGACAAATTTAAAATGTACCAATCTCATGATATGTTGTAAAGCATCGTCCTGTGTAAATATTTTTATTATAGAAAGACTTTGGGTATAATGTAAACATAATTTCATACAGAATCTTAGGGCATTGCATACAACAGTACTACTCTTCCAGACTAGTAGGTAGATACACTGTTTCTCTCATACCTCTAGTGTCACAAGTCCTAAAAGCCATTCACTCTGTCACCAATGCACAATTTTTTCATAAGAATTTTAATGTTGTTCATTTCTACTTTTTGAATATACAAAATAATATAGCCAGGGGAATAGCTTTTGGATAGTGTAATTCAAACTCCACTGCCTTAATTCTTCCTTGTTCTCCTCTCTTTGACAATGTAAATAATTTACTTTGTTTACTTATATTGTTACATGGAAAGATTTAAGGTATTCATTTATTATAATTTATTTATTATAATTTATTAAAATACTGTCTCCCACATATATCTATATCTATATAGATATAGATATATAAACATATCCTCAAGCTCAGAGATGCTTTACTCAAACCAATTTCTTACTGCTATAATTTTTTTTGAATTTCTTATATACTGTTCTACCTCCTTTGTGATCCTTATTCTATAACATTAGATTGTCATACACAATAATTATAAGGCAAATTGAAGTACTGCAACAGTCTAATTCAATGTGCAGCTGCACTTGAGGACATCTCTACTATCTTTTTTAACAATGAAAATTTATTGGCTCTTTCAAAGATAGTTTCAGTTTCAGTAAGTAAAGACTGAGACTAATATTAAACTAAGAGTATGATTAACTGAACTTTCATGTAAAAATAAGATCATATTCAATTCATTACTTCTTGAATACATTTTTAGATAAGAAAAACACAAAGGTTTTGGTTTGTATTTTTCACAAATTATCTTTTTAAAGGTTAAAAAATAAAACTAATCCCATTCTTTTCTGTCATGGTGGTGCATATGATAATAGCATGTATGGAAAATAATCTCTTGTATAGCTATGCCTACCTCTCATATACTATATATTAAGTAATGTAATTAACACCATATTTTGAATATTTTACAATTGTAATTTGAATTACTTCTGAATTCATTAGATAGATGTTTTTATTTATTTTTTAAATCTGTCCAGTTAATCAGTTTTGTTTATAACAGTGTTCTTTATTTTATTGTATTGCATTTAGAGAATGTGGTCTTTACCATTACTGTCTTTGAGAATTAATTCAAATTAATTTATCTAAACTCAGAGACATGTGCTCTCTGAAGTAGGTAACCACATTTTAAAATTATTATTTTCTACTATTATATGTATGAATAAAGTGTCCGTATATGTATGATATATATCATCTCTCTAATATATGGGTACTTATCTGGTAAATCTTAAGCTAATGTATCCCTCTCAAGATAAAAGTTTATCAAGTTTGCCTTGCTCAGTTCTACCTTTTTAATGCAGAAGATTAATTGTTCTTATTGTTTATTAGTATCTAGCTACAATGAAAATGTGAATACATGCTGCCTAGTGTAGGTTCACTGGTCATGAAAAGGAATTTTTTCCTCTAGTATTTTGAAGTTAGAATTTGATGATATGTCTTAATAAATACTGTTGAAAATATTATTAGGATATTATGCTGGATGTGACTCACCAATATCTATTTGAGGTTTCCCACAAATTGGTAGGACCTAAACAAAAACAGAGATTCCCATTGACACACCAAAACTTATCCCCTATACCTAATAACTTGGTAGACTCAAGAAGTCAGGCTCACTGAACTACTCCTCACTGATGCTAGTATCTAAAGCTGAGGCTATATTCTCTTTGCTTATCACAGTAAACTAGAATTTCTACAAGATTTATGTGGTAGAGTACTAGATTCTGCCAAGGTACAAGGCCATCTTGTGAGGAACTCTTTTATTTTTAATTTGTTGTATATTTCTGATAAGTGAACAATAGCTAAATAATGGAACAGGTATTAGTATTGATATGTGCTAATGTTATAAGGAGAACAATCTTACCAAATGTATTAATACGTAAAACAAATTATCAAAATTCATGGCCCACAGCTAAATTCCTCCATGCTTCTTCCTCTCCCCAATTCCTTCCTTCTATGTGAGGACCTTAGCCCATCACACAAACACCTTGGCTAAGCATCTCCTTGTAACAGTAATTCTTAGGGAGACATCAAAATTTTCTAGCACCATAAAATATTTTCAGTTCTTAAAAAAAGCGAAGTGTGTGTCTAGAGAGAACTTAACAACTGACAGAGTGTTTTATGAAGAGCAACTTGTTGAGAAGAAAAGGATGACTGCTGGTTTGTGATTTCTTTAAAGTTTACTCACATTTGTAGAGCCTGAAGGGGACTGTGTAAAGAAGATAAAATAAAAGCTTGGATGCCACACAAGATTAACTTGGCAATCGAGATAAGAGCATTTAATCAATGGCAAACCAGCTTCACGGGAACAGATCAGATCACAGTGACTGGAGGGAACTGCACAAAGCCCATGAATGATTGCTATTTACCTTTCGAGAACAATGACAGTCATATTTTTGCATTTTGATAGCTACTTTGATCATAAGTTTCCCAACTCTTAGCATATTTTAAGATATTAAACCTTCTAAGATAGATATGACTTCAATCAGAATTTTATAAAGGATAGGCTGCATGGATTTCTGTTGGAGAGAATGCAAGATGAGTCGAGATTAGAGATACTTTTGAAAACATCCCACAGCTCAACCCTCGTGGAGTACAGGCTTATATTTTATGTAAAAGCCAAGAGAGTTTCAAGATAATCAGAATCCTTACTAGACATTAATGATACTTCCACACAGACAGAGATGTTGAAGTTTTATTGTACGTGGGATGCTGTGTATTAATCGCTATAAATATATCATAAGTCTTAAGGCAATAAATATCAATAGTAGTAGCATAGGAGTAAAAAATTGCAGGCATAATTGCAAACGTCATTCTTTTGTATGCCATAAGTCATTATATGCATATATTATGATAAATTAGGCATTGGTATGTGTAGTAATTATATACTAGTAGTTATTAGTTGTGATAAATAGTTAATACAGGTATATGAGTAAAGATTTATTAATATCTCCTTCTTAAAAAATATTTCGCACATACTCATAATTGCAAATAAATAAATTGTTCCTCATTATAAATATATGACATGCACCAAGGCATTTAAAATATATAAGAAAAACAATTATTCTTAATAAGGCCTTAAACTGGGTTAAGAAGGAAAAAGCATAGTATGGTGGGAAAAAAAAGTTGTAGTTTAGTTTTTCTACTAAATGGCTAAAAAGTTATAGACGAGTAGATAGAAAGAGATACATTTCCTCCTTTCTAATAACTTCAATTAGGGACAGAGTTTATATGCACTGTTTTTCATTTCAGGCTATATATGAAGGAAACCAAAAATATGCTCAAAATGTACTTCCTTGACATATTTCAAGATGGTCATTCAGAGAAGCTAAAAACACAGGAATAGCTGAAAAGCTGTCCCACGTAGAAGAGATTTGCCTGCAGAAGAAATTAACAACAGAAACATACAGGCATTCTCTGAAGTCCCTCTTTGGTCTAGGAAAGATTATCTCATAGAAAAAGAAGACAAAAGGTCTGACTGAGAAACTGTTACCACAGACTGCCATATTTCCTTTCTGAGAGCTGCTACATGTGACCTTTTCTGTCCATAACAAGACCACCTTTGCTCCATGCCTTTCCTCCACTTCTCCATCCTGTAACTTCTCTTGTCATTCTCCAAGTCCATACTTATTCTGTAAACTCTGGATGATTAAAAAAAAAAAAAAAAAAAAAAAGTTAGGTCATCTGGTCCTTTCTTTGAGTTTTCCTATTTTTTATGACTGCTATGGACATGAGTGCATGTAATCAATGTGTGTTCCTTTTTTCCCCATTGATCTATTATCAGTTTGTTTTATAGGCTCAAAGTATCAAACTTTCAGAAGTGGGGAAAATTCCCTTTGCCTCTACAGTTCGGCATAGTCGGCAGGATGAAAAATTTGAAGACCTCAGTTGGGATCCTTGGACAACTGACTACAGGCTGGCAAAAAGCGCAAGATTTCTTTCCAAAAGTCAGCTCCCCAGATCTCTCCCTGTAACACTTGGTCTAACAAGAGTAGTACAAGTCTTTGTCTTTTTCCCTTTCCAAAATTGGATTAGCAAGAAAAAAAGTATGTGAACCGAGTTTGCTTATAAAATAAATTGGCTACGTTTAAAATAATACTTTTTAGAGAGCTCTCATCTTAAATAGCTACCTGATTGACACCTGTAAAAGATACAATAGAAACTCTGTTGGCAAGATTAGGGGAAAAAAGTGTAAATCAAATTTAAAACAAAATTAAAATATTTTGTATGCTCAAAATGCCTGATTTGAATCCCCTGAAGGGCTCATAAAAGAAAATGCTATACATAGTCTAGTGGTTAAGATTCCATTCCTTTACTATTGTGGCCAGTGTTTGATTCTTGGTCAGGGAACTAGTTCTCTGGTGGAAGAAAAAATAAGGCCTTTATAAGACTAATTTTATAGAACCAATTATCAAAACTTCGGAAGGATGGGAAAGGAAATTCTCTTTACTTCTACATGTATAATACATTTAATTTCCCTTAGCTAATCTCTGGGGAAATGGATCTTCACTCTGCCCTGATTTGCCTTGAGTACAGCATTTTTGTACAAATGTGCGTCCAAAAATAGTACTATTTACCTCCAGTTATTAGAACATGTGCTTTGGCTTTATGAATTATTTTGACTGATAGATGTATCCCATTCTTTTATCATTTCATCTTTCTTATGATGAAAAAATAATGTTTTTTAAGTTTTATAGAATGAGGAGGATAATGAATTAGTTAAATGATCTACTGCACACCTAAACTCTTAAGTCTCATCAATGACCTGAGTACAAAGGTAACTTAGCAGTAACTTGTAGACAAATACAACTGTAGTCATTATCATGGCAATTTATTTTGGAGAAAAAATGTTTATGGAATTTTTGAAAATATGGTGGAAAGGGAACCAAAACTGAAGAGGCTGACTCCAATATACTTTAAGCAACCTGTAAAAACAGAAATGCATCCAATATTTAAGGAGTAAGCAGTGCTTAACAATGATGTGCTGACTGCATGTTTCCATACATTCCACACATTCTTCATGTATGCCAAGGTCAAAGACTTCCGAGAGGACAAGGCATGGTGCATTCTGTAATGTAATATAAACTAAAGAATGCCAGATAAATTCTGAGAAAGCAGCAAGAAGATAGTAATACTAAAGAATTCCTATTTTGTCCTTGCACATATGGTAGGTACTGCTAATACCTTCCTGGCATTTGTACCCTCCTTACATTTATTAACAGAACCTGACTTTTATTCATGTAATTTGTTTCAGGAGCTCCTCCCCAGGTACAAAAAAAAATCATTATTTATAAAGTAGGGTACAGAACAAGAAGGGAACAGATCGAGTTTATGCATGCTATGACATCAATTCTGAGACCATTTACCTTCTATATTTATACTCTTGGATATCAATGCTTGCTCTACAGCATTGCCCTCTGTTTCTTATCCTATGTCAAGTCCTGACATGAAAGTGACTAATGCCATACATAAGAAGAAAAAAAATAAGACCCATGAGTGTATCTGAATTTTAAATATTTTTCTTTATACCATCCATCTTCACCCTGTACAAGAATAAATGAGAATTTATAATACACTTACCATTATGTAACAAGTTTAAAATATGTCAATTTAAGTATAGATTTTTTAAACCATATTATAAGCATGTTAAATATTAAATATGTGGGTTCAAATAGTGGCAAAATAAATTGTAAAATTAGTCAGCATTGGTAAATTTATAATATTCTTATTTATTTTATCAATTAATATACAGCTGCATATGATACAGATTTATTTTGGGCTTTAATTATGAATATATATACACACATATTTATGATTACATGATTGAATAAAATATATAATTAATAGTATTCTTTGGAAAGATTGACAATAGATTATTAATTTTTTTTTCTGTAATATATTTCCCAGTCTTTCTGAAGTAATATCACACAGGATTTTTTTAAAAAGGAAAAGCTAACCATTTTTTAAAAAACAGATAAAATGTATACTTGTATATTGAAAATTTTACCTAGTGCTAATGTTGAAATTTTCAGAAACATTAGGAGGCATTCTTAAAGAATAACTTCCTATAATTTTTTCAGAAAATAGTGCCTTAAATCATTTTCAATATTACAGAAAACACAAAGATAAGTTTATGGGTGTAATTATATTGCCACACACTTTATAATTACATATCTCTAATTGATGCTTTTAACCACCTACTGTGTTGTGCTACACCTGTGAAAAGGTTACACTCCAACATTAACTGGAAGCTATTTCGATTTGCAGAACTGAGTGTTGCATTGATAGAATAGGTAGAAATTTTATGAAAATCATCTTAAAGTTTTAGAGCTACAACTGAAAGTATGTTTGCAATACAATCCCCATAATCCCTAAGCCCAGCAAATGAAAGAGGGGATGATTTAGAACTTTTTAAAAGACTGTATACACATCATCTAATTGATCAAATATTTTACTTGTTCTAACAATACAACTAGCTTTCTCTTTTAAATATTTCTTTAAGAGAATGTAATCAGAATGCCTGCTGGGTTACTTTATTTGACTCCTTAAATAACGATTGCTTAAAAGTGATGTTATTATTGTAGTTTTAATGTCACTAATACATACTCCAAATTGGTGCTAGTAAAAAACTTTCTTTTTTTATTATTATTATACTTTAAGTTTTAGGGTACATGTGCACAATGTGCAGGTTTGTTACATATGTATACATGTGCCATGTTGGTGTGCTGCACCCATTGACTCTTCATTTAGCATTAGGTATATCTCCTAATGCTATCCCTCCCCCCTACCCCCACCCCACAACAGTCCCAGGTGTGTGATGTTCCTCTTCCTGTGTCCATGTGTTCTCATTTTTCAATTCCCACATATGAGTGAGAACATGCGGTGTTTGTTTTTTTGTCCTTGCGATAGTTTGCTGAGAATGATGGTTTCCAGCTCCATCCATGTCCCTACAAAGGACATGAACTCATCATTTTTTATGGCTGCATAGTATTCCACGGTGTATATGTGCCACATTTTCTTAATCCAGTCTATCATTGTTGGACATTTGGGTTGGTTCCAAGTCTTTGCTATTGTGAATAGTGCCACAATAAACATATGTGTGCATGTGTCTTTAGAGCAGCATGATTTATAATCCTTTGGGTATATACCCAGTAATGGGATTGCTGGGTCAAATGGTATTTCTAGTTCTAGATCCCTGAGGAATCGCCACACCGACTTCCACAATGGTTGAACTAGTTTACAGTCCCACCAACAGTGTAAAAGTGTTCCTATTTCTCCACATCCTCTCCAGCACCTGTTGTTTCCTGACTTTTTAAGGATCGCCATTCTAACTGGTGTGATATGGTATCTCATTGTGGTTTTGATTTGCATTTCTCTGATGGCCAGTGATGATGAGCATTTTTTCATGTGTTTTTTGGCTGCATAAATGTTTTCTTTTGAGAAGTGTCCATTCATATCCTTTGCCCACTTGTTGATGGGGTTGTTTTTTTCTTGTAAATTTGTTTGAGTTCATTGTAGATTCTGGATATTAGCCCTTTGTCAGATGAGTAGATTGCAAAAATTTTCTCCCATTCTGTAGGTTGCCTGTTCACTCTGATGGTGGTTTCTTTTGCTGTGCAGAAGCTCTTTAGTTTAATTAGATCCCATTTGTCAATTTTGGCTTTTGTTGCCATTGCTTTTTCTGTTTTAGACATGAAGTCCTTGCCCATGCCTATGTCCTGAATGGTGTTGCTTAGGTTTTCTTCTAGGGTTTTTATGGTTTTAGGTCTAACATGTAAGTCTTTAATCCATCTTGAATTAATTTTTGTATAAGGTGTAAGGAAGGGATCCAGTTTCAGCTTTCTACATATGGCTAGCCAGTTTTCCCAGCACCGTTTATTAAATATGGAATCCTTTCCCCATTGCTTCTTTTTGTCAGGTTTGTCAAAGATCAGATAGTTGTAGATATGTGGCATTATTTCTGAGGGCTCTGTTCTGTTCCATTCATCTCTATCTCTGTTTTGGTACCAGCACCATGTTGTTTTGGTTACTGTAGCCTTGTAGTATAGTTTGAGGTCAGGTAGCGTGATGCCTCCAGCTTTGTTCTTTTAGCTTAGGATTGACTTGGCAATGTGAGCTCTGAGGCCAGCATCATGCTGATACCAATGCCTGGCAGAGACACAACAAAAAAGAGAATTTTAGACCAATATCCTTGATGAACATTGATGCAAAAATCCTCAATAAAATACTGGCAAACCGAATCCAGCAACACATCAAAAAGCTTATCCACCATGATCAAGTGGGCTTCATCCCCGGGATGCAAGGCTGGTTCAACATACAAAAATCAAGAAACGTAATCCAGCATATAAACAGAACCAAAGACAAAAACCACATGATTATCTCAATAGATGCAGAAAATGCCTTTGACAAAATTCAACAACCCTTCATGCTAAAAACTCTCAATAAATTAGGTATTGATGGGACTTATCTCAAAATAATAAGAGCTACCTATGACAAACCCACAGCCAATATCATACTGAATGGACAAAAACTGGAAGCATTCCCTTTGAAAACTGGCACAAGACAGGGAAGCCCTCTCTCACCACTCCTATTCAACATAGTGTTGGAAGTTCTGGCCAGGGTAATCAGGCAGGAGAAGGAAATAAAAGGCATTCAATTAGGAAAAGAGGAAGTCAAATTGTCTCTGTTTGCAGATGACATGATTGTATATCTAGAAAACCCCATCGTCTTAGCCCAAAATCTCCTTAAGGTGATAAGCAACTTCAGCAAAGTCTCAGGATACAAAATCAATGTGCAAAAATCACAAGCATTCTTATACACCAATAACAGACAAACAGAGAGCCAAATCATGAGTGAACTCCCATTCACAACTGCTTCAAAGACAATAAAATACCTAGGAATCCAACTTACAAGGGACGTGAAGGACCTCTTCAAGGAGAACTACAAACCACTGCTCAATGAAATAAAAGAGGATACAAACAAATGGAAGAACATTCCATGCTCATGGGTAGCAAGAATCAATACTGTGAAAATGTCCATACTGCCCAAGGTAATTTATAGTTTCAATGCCATCCCCATCCAGCTACCAATGACTTTCTTCACAGAATTGGAAAAAACTACTTTAAAGTTCATATGGTGCTAGTAAAAATCTTTCTAAAACTTTATATGATAATTTTTTTTAATTCTTGGAAATCTTTACATAGTATCAGGAAAATTATCCTTAAATGTACTCATATTATCTGATGTAATAACACTGCAGTATATCTCTAAATATAATTCTCTGATAGTCACTCGAGTCATGTAAGTTCAACATTCTATATTTGCCTCCAAACACTCTCTGAGCCAATATCATGTACCTGGTTGACTATTATTTATTCATTTGTTTTTTCTTCTTTAAGTTCAAGGCTTGCATTCTCTGGAAAAAGTTTTTGGATATCCTCTGTGACTTAGGGTTCTGTGTGTTACCTATATCACCTAGCATACAAGGTATTACACTGTGTTTTAATTTATGACTTAAATAGGTAAGCTCATTGAGGCTGGAGGTAATTTACTACTTTTTTTCTCTTAGGTTTATCTGTGACTACTTATAAAGGCACTTCAGAATCTCCTAGTACACTTGCAAAATTTGTTTAAAATAATTAAACTGTATTATTTGAACACAAATCAAAAGTTCTTTCAGTAGCACTTTCCTCACACTGATTAATATTACACTTTGGCCTAAAAGTATGATTTTTCCAGTAACACTGAGTTTAAAATGAAGGAATATATACATAAATAACCATAATATAAATATATAAAAGATTGTGTATATACATCGTAGGCTGCCTTTGTTACAACAGAGACCTACCTGTTACAATTTTAATGATACACTTTTATTTTAATTTAACATTTGTTTTTAAACCACTTTTTAATTAAGTAAACAGAGCCCTGCATACATTTCAGTTTCAGTATCCCTAATGTATTTATCATTTCATGTGGGGGCATATATGCCCCTTCAAATATTTTAGTGTGTTTTCTACATGGGATTAAACAGTTCAAATAAGGTATTTGTCAGCATTTTATAATTCTGAGGGATTTCTGTTGTTGTCATTTGTTTGTTTGTTTTTGTTTTTGTAGGGTGTCACTCTGTCCCCCTGGGCTGGAGTGCAGTGGCACATGACCTTGGCTCACTAAAATTCAACCTCTTGGGATCAAGCAGTCCTCCCACATCAGCCTCCCAAATAGCTGGGACTACAGGCACATGCCACCATACCCAGATAACTTTTTTATTTTGTGTAGAGGCAGGGTTTCTCTTACCCAGGCTGGTCTCAAACTCCTGGCCCTAAGTGATCCTCCCACCTCGGCCACCCAGAGTTCAGGGATTACAGGTGTGAGCCACTGCATCCCCCCAAGGATTTTAAAAATAGATATATTTCTCTTTTAATTTTTCTATTGAAATTACCACAGCAGTTATATAGTCACTATCACTATCAATTTCTCCACCTATCTGTCCATAGATGCTATTCTTTAAGTTTTGAGCATTACACGTATTTCCATTTTCTTCATAGAAATTATCTTTTTATTTTACCTTCCTTACAGAATTTTATTTTCGTACTTGAAATACCTTGCATACTTTGAAGTGTTCGATTTATTAATTCTCTTAACAAAATCTCTCTTTCCCTCTCAGTTACTAGACAGATAGACAGACAGAAAGACAAATAGATAGTGTATTCAGTTAGGGTTTTCCCCAGAAACAGAACCGACAGGATGTGTGTGTGTGTCTGTGTGTGTGTGTGTGTGTGTGTGTGTGTGTGTGTAAAGACAGAGACTTATTTAAGGAATTGGCTCACTTAATTATGGATGGAGGCCAGAAAGTCCAGAATCTGTAAGTTTCCAGGATAGACCTATAGGCTAGAAACACAGGAATGAGTAAATGCTTCCATTTGAGTCCAAAGACAGATTTGAGGCTGAATTTCTTCTGTAAATCTGTGTCCAAATGTCTTCTTTTCATAGGGAAATGTTTCATAAATGACCTAATTTTAACTTAATTACATCTTTAAAGACCATATCTCCAAACACAGACACATTCTGAGGTACTGGGGATTATGACTTCAATATGAACATTTTGTGGGATAAAGCTCAGATATAACAGATAGATAGACATAGATACATAGTAATATAAAGAGATAAACAGATATAAATTGAAATTTAATTTTATATATCTAATGTTTTGAATATATATAACCAAATACACATTGAGATATATTGAAAATTTAAATGAGATGAAAATAGTTTTTAAAATATTATGTTTTCTGTATAGAAATGTTGCTTACTGCATATATTTTAGACAGTAGTTTTAATAGGTCAGATTTAAGATAAGATTAGGATTCAAGAATAATCTATGCTAAAGACTGACTCTAGACTCAAATTAAGAAAGGTGATAGTTTGTGGGGAACCAGATTTCTTGTATCATATAGAGTTTTAAAATCTCTATAATATCTTGCTTTTCACGAAAATGTTAAGACAAATATTTTTCTGAGAGAAAAATGCTATGGTGACCCACCCAATTTGTTATCAGCCAGTAATAGTTCCTCTATCACAACAAAATTTATATTGTTGTTCTTACTCTCTTCTTGCATTCAAAGTCCAATAAACTGTTCTGGGAATGGTTATATCAAATTATGTCATTAAGAGAGAAAGACTGTTTAATGGAAGAAAAACACGAGCAACAGCAAATGCATGTTCTTACTATCCAGGAGCTATCAATAAAACCACAAACTCCAAGTTTAAAATTATTTAGCTCAATCTTAATATATGTACTATTTAATTATGTTAGCATTTTAATCATAATTTCATTACATATTTAGCAAGCATCTATAAATTATATAATTCTCAGCTAACAAATTCCGGATAAAATAAAAACAAGCCACTCCCCTACTAGTCTTTTCATTTTGGGCACTCTGAAAAATATTATCATCTCTCGGATTTCTCTTTTTTAAGTTTAACTATCCAGCTGTTATCTTAATTAAGTCTGCTACAGGCAAGGATCTGGTTTTCCACACCTGTGGAGAAGACTGTCATGGCATTTTAATGACTTAATAGAGCTTGCAGAAATGGAGGCTAGTGTGAATGTTAGCAATGATTAGTTCAAATTAGTGCCAGAGCTGTCAATTTCCAATTAGGAGATGTGTTTGTTCTTCAACAATGTACTACCACAAATTGGGTGTTTTGACACTGTTAATTCATCTTTTGCCACCTGATAGAAATAACTCAAATGGCTCCCAGTAATCTCTTCTACAACAGAGTTATTAAAGTTAGACCCAGCTGGATATCAAGTTTAAAACCAAAGAAAATACATTATTCTCAGGAATAAAAATATATGGGATAAAAGAATAATTATTTTTGGCAATACTCCCAATTTATGGTTTAACTGCATGTGAAGGATGTTAGAGTACATAGTTGAAAGCACTGAATGCTCTGTTTGATAGGGAATTCTGGTGTGGTTGATGTGATTAGATGAAAAGGAAAAATAGTAAAATTACAGTGCCCAGTGCAACTGAAAAACCAGTAAATACAAAATTTATCTTTCAATAAAGTAACAAACTATTTATTAATTTTTACACAGGAAGTGTGCAGAAAATTGGATGCAAGTTCAGAGAAAATATGAAAAAGAGGGATTGATAATAAAAAGAAAACATTTTAATTTATAAAGTCTATCCCTAAAGAAGATTATATCTGCTCTATTTCATAATATTAAGTACTACTTAATACCTTGCTTTATTGGATTTCACTTTATTGTCCTTCAAGGATACTGAGGGTTTTTTGTTGTTTTTTTTTGTTTGTTTGTTTTTAACAAATTAAACGTTTGTGGCAACTCTGACGGCTCCATTTTTCCAACAGCATGTGCTCAGTTTGCGTCTTTCTGTCACATTTTGATAACTCAAACTATTTTAAACTTTTTCATTATTATTATCTATTATGGTGATTTGTGACAAGTGATCTTTAATGTTACTAAGGTAATTGTTTGGGGCATCACAAACCACACCCATGTAAAACAGGAAATTTAATCTATAAATGTCGTTTGTGTTCCCAGTTTGCCACACACCAGCCTCTCCTCTGTCTCTCTTGCCTCAGGCCTTCCTATTCCCTGACACATGACATTATTGATATCAAGCCATTTAGTGACCCTACAATAGCCTGTAAGTGTTCAAGTGAAAGAAAGAGTCACATATCTCTCACTTTAAATCCAAAGCTTTGTGAAGAATGCCTGTCAAAAGCCAAGATAGAGGCCGGGCACAGTGGCTTACACCTGTAGTTCCAGCACTTTGGAAGGCTGAGATGGGCAGATCACTTGAAGCCAGGAGTTTGAGACGAGCCTGGCCAATATAGTGAAATCCCCTCTCTACTACAAATATAAAAATTAACTGGGTGTGGTGGCTCACACCTGTAATCCCAGCTACTCGGGAGGCTGAAGCACAAGAATCACTTGAAACTTGGAGGTGGAGATTGCAGTGAGCTGAGGGTGACACTCCAGCCTGGGTGACAGAAAGAGATTCTGTCTCAAGGGAAAAAAAAAAAAAAAGCCAAGATAGGCCAAAAACTAGATCTCTGGCAATAAATAGTGAGCCCAGTTGGGAATTTAAGAAAAAGATTTTGAAGGAAATTAAGATAAGCAAAAAAGTCTCATTGCTGATCCTGAGAAATTTTGAATGGGCTGGTTGGAAGATCAAATCCACCACAACATTCCCTTAAGCCAAAACCTAATCCACAGCAAGGTCCTAACTCTCTTCAATTCTATGAAGGCTTAGAGAGATGAGGAACGTACAGAAGAAAAGTTTGAATTTAGCAAGATTGGTTCATGAAGTACATGGAAAGAAGCAGTCTCCATAAGACAAAAGTCTTAGATGAAGTAGCAAGTGCTGATGTAGAAGCTGCAGGAAGTTATCCAGAAGACTTAGATATTTGATAAAGGTAGCTATACTAAACAAAAGATTTTCAATCTAGATTATACAGCCTTCTAATGGAAGGAGATGACCATCTTCTCAGAGCCAGCAAGGAGAAGTCAATGCCTGCCTTCAAAGCTTCAAAGAACAAGCTGACTATCTTGCTAGAAGCTAATGCAGCTAGTGACTTGAAGCAGAAGCCACTGCTCATTTACCTGTCAGGAAATCCTAGGGCTTTAAGAATTATGCTAAACCTATTCTGCCTGTACTCTGTAAATGGAAGAATAAGGCCTGGATCACAGCACATCTGTTTACAACATGGTTTACCGAAAATTTTAAGCCCACTGTAAAGATCTACTGCTCAGGAAAAAAAAAAAAAAAAGCCCTTTTTAAAATATTACTGTTTGCTGACAATGCACTTGACACCCAATCACTCCAATATCTAAGGATATTAACATTGTTTACATGCCTGCTAACACAACATTCATTCCTAATGGATCAAAGAGTAATTCTGAATTTCAAGTCTTATTATTTAACAAATACATTTTATAAGGCTATAGCCGCCACACATAGGGATTCCTGTAACAGATCTGGGCAAAGTACATTGAGCATCTTCTGGAAAGAGATCACCATTCTAGATCCATTAAGAACATTTGTGATAAGGGAGGAGGTCAAAATATCAACATTAATGGTAGTTTTAAATAAGTTGATCCCAACTATCATGGATAAGTTTGAGGGGTTTAAGACTTCAATGGAGGAAGTAACTGCATATGTGGTGGAAATAGCAACATAATTTGAATTAGAAGTGAAGCCTGAAGATGGGACAGAATTGCTGCATTCTCATAATAAAACTTGAATGGATGAGGAGTTGCTTCTTTTGGATGAGCAAAGAAAGTATCTTCCTGAGATGGAATCTAGTCTTGCCGAAGATGTGGTGAACATTATTGAAATGACAACAGAAGACATAGTTGGGGAAGCAGCAGCAGGGTTTGAAAGGATTGATTCCAATTTTGAAAGAAGTTCCACTGTGAGTAAAATGCTATCAAACAGGGCATGCTGTAGAGAAATAGTTCATGAAAGAGTCAATTGCTGTGGCAAACCCTACTGTTGTCTTATTTTAAGAAATTATCACAGCCAATCCCAAACTTCAGTAACCGCCACCCTCATCAGTCAACGGCCATCAACACTGAGGCAAGAACCTGTACCAGCCAAAAGATTATGAACTCACTGAAGGCTAAGATAAATATTAGCAATTTTTAGTAATAAAGTATTTTTAATCAAATTATGTATATTGTTTTTAGACACAATAATATTACACACTTAGTTGTTTTAGACACAATGCTACTGTATATTTAATAAGCTAATAAGCTACAGTTTAGTGTTAATATAACTAGTATATTCACTGGGAAACAAAAAGGTTTGTGTGACTTTGTGAATGGCAGAAGGGATCCGAGTTACTGGTGGTGAATCTGTATGGATCTGCAGCGACCTCAGTTCTTGCCTCCTCAGAAGAGTTTGACTGAAGGATGTAAGGCAGAAAAAAGAGACCGAGGCAAGTTTCAGAGCAGGAGTGGAAGTATATTAAAAAGCTTTAGAGCAGTAAAGAAAGGAAAGTACACTTGGAGGAGACCCAAGTGGGCACTGAGAAGGTCAAATGCAGCATTTTACCTTGATCCTAGGACTTTATAGAGCAGCCCACCTCTGGCGTCTTGTGCCCCTTTCCCATGAATCTTCCCTTAAGTTGGGCTGCCCACAAATGCAGTGCCCTCCTTACACTTGGGAAGTGAGCATGCGCAGTGTGCTTAGGAAGTTCTACGCATGTCCATCTGAGGCTTTCTTCCCTTTTTTTTCCAGTGGAGTGCCCCTGAAAGGTCATACTCCTCCATTTTGTCTTTTAATGTTGATGCCCCGGGAGTTACTTCTTCCTGGTATCTTCCTTCAATTAACACTTTAACGTGACAGCTGTGGACCATCAGGAGATTGTCGCTCCCTGGCAGTGACAGCCAAATTATCATTTTTAGAGAGGCAACGCGATAACTGTCAAATCATCCTCCAATAATCACCTTAGGGTCCTGGTGGGTTGGGGAGAGAGCCCTCTCCTCCCCTACTCATGGCCTGTCTAACTCTCTGCAACAAGTTGCTTTATTGCAATATTTGTTTTATTGTGTTGGTCTGGAACTGAACCTGCAGTATCTTTGAGGGTTGCCTGCATTAAAGAATTTCTATGGTATGGAACTGAGAAAACCTATAAAGAGAAGGGAATATATTTAACACTCAAAAGTTACATTTTCTGGAGGTAATAACAGACCAATAATACTAATAGCAATTATTTATGAACTTTTATCCATCTAAGATTGACATTGGTTTATTTTCACATATATTGTTCCACTTAATAGCTACAATTTCCATGCAAGTTAATTTTTAGTAGTATTATTTTTCATTTTACAGATAAAGGAAATCAAACTTAAAAAGTTACGTGAATGGTTTAAGAAAGCAAACTTCAGAAGAGCCCATGACCTTTAATAGAAATATCTATGTTCGTTTATTTAAAAACTATTCATAGTTGCTTAAGGTATTTTTTATCTTTAATAATACACATCAATTCATTTTCACAGGCTATATTCTACATTTAACAGTAACATTATTAGCTATTTATTGCAATATAACAAACTCATCCTAAAACTTAATGGCTTAGGGTTTTATGGGTTGGACTGAACTTAGCGAGACTAGTTCATTTGTGCTACTTAGCCTCACCTAGCATAGCTTGATTTGGGCTGGAAATTATACTTTCATAAAGGTTCACTCACTTAAATGGCAAGTGATGATAATTGTTAGTTGGGAGCTCAGCTGTGGCAACTGACCACAAGTCTCTGTTTTCTGCAGGTGATATCTCTTGATGTGATAGCTCTATTTTTCTTATAATATGGCAGTTGAATCCCAAAGAAAAAACAGTTTCACAGGACAATACCTCAAGTAAGATCTCTTATTTTCTCCTGTGACGCTCTCTAATGTCCCATTGACCAAAACCAGTCATATGAATAGGCTCACTGTGAAAGTGTGACAGGACTGCCCCAAGCATGAAATCTGGGAGACATGGATCATGGTGAGCATCAAAATAACATCAATATGAAAATATTTCTACAATTTTGGTGGGAAAGTGTAAGAAAAAGATATTTATTATTTATTCGTGGATGAACATTCAAGAGTAGTAAGAAACAAAGTGCTTCCTTCCATTATAACGCAAAATAAGCATTTAATAAGTACATTTAAAATGTTACTAATATGGAGTAAAGATTATGCTAGAGCCGTATGTCTAAAAATAATATTTTTAAAATGTGTAAGTGTAGTTTTTAAACATATGAGGTTTCTTCTCAGCAAGCAGACTAAGTAGCTTTATTGAGAATCTTACTGGGAAAACAAGAGAAAAATATCAAAAATGTACAATTAAACATTTTGAAAAAAATGTTCTTAATGGAATTGATTAAATACTGATATAGTTAGAAATATTTAAATACCAAAACTAAGTGAAAATAAAAATTCTATATCTGGCTTTTTCGTTAAGAATATTTGCAAATAGGGTAAATTTGAGTTTCAATTACCTTGACCTTGAGGCACACAGGGGCAGTTGGTAAAAGCCCGTGTCAGCCAATTTGAGGCAAACTACAAAGGTAGAAGCCAAAATTTCTTCCCCTTGAGTTATTAAATCCAAACTCAAAAAATCACATACACACACACACACACACACACACACACATACACACACACAAATGCAACAAAACCTCTGGACTGTGAGAAATGTATTTCTGCTCATTAAAAATTAGTCTCAGGTTTTCTGTTATAGCAGCATTTTGGTAATAACTAATAATAAAACAATACACTCTTGAGAATTCATAGCTATGTGATATAAGTATTATTTATAAGAACTAGTTTACAACTAAGATGTAATTCACTGTGAAATCAGAAAAAAGTATTAATGCCTAATTATTGGGAGTTATGACTGCATATTGTAACAATTTTGAACTGCTTGAGTTCAGTAAAAGAAGTCTTCATGGAAGTAAAGTAACTAACATCAAATTAGAGAAAATAATTCAGAAGCAAAACAATAACAAGTAACAGTGAACCTTCAGTACACTTCTCTGCATTAAAAATTATTTGTATATTTTAAAGACATAATTTAGAACTTCCTGACACTGCTGTAAAACATAGTCTACTGATCAGAAATATAAGTTTTCCACACATAATGCTTATCTTACTTGAAGAAAAATGTTTCAAGCAAAGATGTCTTTTATAACAAAAGACAGCCACCTAAGAAAAAGTAGAACACTTCTGTGGTTTGAATATGATCTTCAAAAAGCATGTGCTGGAGACTTAATTCCTAATACAGCAGTGTTGGGAGGTAGATCCTAATGAAGGGTGATTAGACTGTGAGGGCAGAGTGAATGAATCAATGTCATTATTGCAGGGGTAGGTTAGTTATAAGACGGGAAGTTCTGCAATCTCTCTCTCTCTCTCTGTCTCCTCTTCCCCTCTCTTTCCCTCTCTTTGCCCTTTCATGATCTGATACCTCCAATGTGTTATGAGGCAGCAATAAATTATTCACCAGATGCCAGCCCCTCAATTCTGGAATTCCCAGTCTCCAGGACTGTGAGAAATGGATTTCTGCTCATTATAAATTGCTCAGTCTCAGGTTTTCTGTTATAGCAGCATAAAATGGACTAAAACAGACACTATCTTGATTTATAGCTCTTTGCAATTATGTTTAATTATTTTGGAAATTTTGTTGCATTCACTGGTTTACCCTAGTGTATTAGTCCATTCTCACAATGCTATGAAACATTGAACTGCCTGTGACTCCGTAATTTATAAAGAAAAGAGGTTAAATTGAATCACAGTTCTGTAGGGCTGGGGAGGCCTCAGGAAACTTACAATCATGGCAGAAGGGGAAGCAAACATGTTATTTTTCACATGGCAGCAGGAAGGAGAAATGCCAAACAAAGAGGGAAAAGTCCCTTATAAAACCATCAGATCTCCTGAGAACTCACTCACTATCATAATAACAGCAGCATGGGAGTAACTGCCCCAGTGATTCAATTATCTTCCACTGAGTCCCTCCCAGGACACGTGGGAATTACGGGAACCTCAGTTCAAGATGAGATTTCAGTTAGGACACAGTGAAACCATACCATTCTGCCCCTGGCCCCTCCTAAATCTCATGTCCTCACATTTCAAAACACAATCATGCCTTCCCAAGAGTCTCCCAAAGTCTTAATTCATTTCAGCATTAACTAAAAAGTTCATAGTCCAAAGTCCATTCTGAGACAAGGCAAGTCCCTTCTGCCAATGAGCCTGTAAAATTGAAAGCAAGTTAATTATTTCCTAGATACAATAGGGATACAGGCATTGGGTAAATACAGCCATTTCAAATGGGAGTGATTGGTCAAAACAAAGGGGCTACAAGCCCCATGCAAATCTGACATCCAGCAGGCATTCAAATCTTAAAGCTCCAAAATGACCTCCTTTGACTCTATGTCTCATATCCTGCTCACATTGATGCAAGAGGTGGGCTCCCATGGCCTTGGACAGCTCCACCTCTGTGGCTTTGCAGGGTACAACCCCCTTCCTGGCCGCTTTCACAGACTGGCATTGAGTGTGTGCTGATTTTCCGGGTGTACAGTGCAAGCCATCGGTGGATCTCCCATGCTGGGGTCTGAAGGATGGTGACCCTCTTATCACAGCTCCGCTAGGCAGTGCCCCAGTGAGGAGTCTGTGTGGGGACTCTGACCCTACATTTTCCTTCTGCACTGCCCTAGCAGAGATTCTGTTTCTGTTTATCCTACTCTGTGTGGGCCAGGCCCAGGGCTCCCTGCTCTATGCAGCTTAGAGATATTGTGCCCTGCATCCCAGCTGCTTCAGCTCCAGCCATGGCTAAAAGGGGCCAATGTACAGCTCAGGCCGTTGCTTCAAAGGATGCAAGCCTCAAGCCTTGGTGGCTTACATGTGGGGTTAGACCTGTGGGTGCACAGAAGACAAGAATTGAGGTTTGGGAACCTCCACCTAGATTTCAGAGGATCTATGGAAATTCCTGGATATCAAGCCAGAAATTAGCTGCAGGGGCAGAAACCTCATGAAGAATATAAGGTTATTTTTATTTATCTTTTTATGTGATCCATATTTTTTCTCTCTCTCTCTCTCTGTCTGTACTTTCCTCCTTCATTCTCTCAAATTGCAGGTTATTCTTTTTCTCTCCAGTGTGCTAAACTTTCTTTACTTCCTGCCCTAGAAAAAGTCTATATTCTTGCCCAGGTTTAGGGCCTCAGTGGACCCTGAATTAGGAAATGTTCTTTAGTCCTGACCTATTTTCATGATCTCATTAAGGGTTTTCTACACTGTTTTCTTTTTGGAAACAATGTATAGGTTTATGCGTAATCTGTTCATAGGAATGGTGCATTAAGGAGGGGCCTCACTGACAGTCTCTTCAGTATTTCATTTTGGGCTGGTCAGTTTCTCTGGGAACTATTCCCGAAAGGTCTTTGTTTGATAGTAGAGGACAGGGTGAAAATAAAGATGGGCATTGGCTTTCAGTTTGCATGCATAATGAAGATTTCTGCTTTTGGCCTGTTACCTCTGCCTACAAAAGTGTCTGAATTCCCCTCATTAATAAGTCCTATTCTTTATCATCTCCAGAGAACAAATTGGCATTCTTCTCTCTGTTTGAGGGACTGTTAGACATGTGGCTGAATGCAGTGGAGGAAGAAACTCAGGATGCTGCTCATTCTTGAATAGGTTTTAAGTGACTATCCTAATTTTGTGACCCCTGGGTTATCACTACTTTCAGAGGTATCAGACGCTTTTAATTCATGAATCTTGTAAGTATTCTGTATTATAAATATATACACTTGATTATTAATCTTCCCCACTGCCAATTTAGAATTTCCATTTTATAGCTTATTTCACTACTAATTTATTTACTTTTCATTGTTCAACATTTCATTATTTTTTAAACAATCATTCCTTGAAGATAAGAAATTTGTCTTAAAGATCAACATTTATTTTACTCTCAAAAGCAACTCTAGTTTTGTGATACGTTAAGATTATACAGTTTGTGGAGGAGGTCCATTTTAAAAAAGAATAGATTGGAAATGCCTCATAGAGTAACTCTGTGGTTTTATTTTACCCACAGGACTATGGTTAAATATGTGGGAAAGAACTACAAGACAGTTGTTAAAAGTATGAAAAAGACAGTTGCTAAATGTATGAAAGACCTTTTTTACCTTAAGTATTGGCATATTCCACACGTCTGTACTATTCTTGAGTGAGCTCGCTTAAGAATGAATATGACTTGAACTCATTCATGTTTAGAGAGGATGTCAAATTGAGAACCAGGTGTATCTACCAACACTAAAAATGACCCTAAAGTAAATTGGTTGAAGAAATTAGATCTCAAAGATTCTTGGTGAATTTTTAAGTCTTCATCCGTATATCCATATTCAAAGGAGATGACAGAAGCCAAAATAAAAGAATTATGGGCTGACAGGACAACTGGAATAAAATAAGTATCAGTTTCATTAAAAAGGGCTAACTTGAAGATAAATCTTTTGAAGATAAATTTTAACTCCAGCTCTTTAGAGGATCTAAAGTGACCTTAATGGACAGTGGAAGAATCACAACATAGAATTCCTCGAATAAAAATTTATTGACTTTAAATAAAAATAAATAAATAAATAAATAAAATAGAAATAAAATAGGAAATTTCATACAGAATCTTGAAAGCAGTTCATGCAATTTATATGCCCTAAAGTTTAAGATTAACTAGCTTCATGATAAATGTATTTCTGATTCTAGTGTCAATTGTTTGGGGAGGACGATGAATTAGATGCTTATTTTCAGCTTGCCCTCATTATTCAGAAGTCTGATTTGAATCACTTTGTAAGTGTGCTCACTCAAAAATATCATGTTTTGAAACCGTTCATTTTTTGTATTTTTTTTGGTTATTGGATATTAACATATAACTAGAATATAATTTTAATGGCCTTAGGCCTTTACATAACACCTAAAATAAATTTAGCCTCATTTCCTCTATCATATATGCAAACTACTTTCAGCATGGTAAAACTTATTGTCTCACAGAATACAAGTAAGTATCAAGCCCATACAATTACACAAATATACATAATATACGAGTGTATAAATGCCAAAGAGAAAAAAAAATATGAAAATGAGGAAAAGGAAAAACTTGCAGAGAAGGTATAATTTTAAAGGGATCCAATACATCTAAAAAATGTGGTATTTAACAATCAGTCAATTGGTTTCTAGACATAAGCAATTCCATGAGAAACAATAGTAAGTGTAAAGGCCCTAAGGCAGGAGCTATTTGATGTATTCCAGAGACAATGAGGAAGTCAATGTAGATGAAGAGCAGTAGCAAAGGTGTCTCAAATGAGAGAAGGCAAGATCAGAGTTGTAAGAACAGGGGCGGAAGGGCAAATATGTGGCATCATCTATGTAGCATAAGTGTAGGCTATTCTATGGATTTTGGCTTTGAGACATACTGTTAACTATTTAAGGGTTTGTTCATAGATTAAACATTTAATTTGAGATATTTGTCATGAATAATTCCAAGATTTTTTGAAGAAATGTGTCCAAAGTCATGCAAAGGAAGACGGAATATGTGTGTATAGATGAGAAAATGAATTTAAAAAATTAGAAAAGAAAATTAAGTGACATATTTGGAATGATTAGTAAAATGACTAGCACAGAAAGAAGCAAAACTACTATACTTGTGGCATAAATAAAAATGAACATAAACATAAATATGAATAAAATTGCTTAGCTCCATAAAAAAGTAACAAATTTAAATAAGCACAAAATATGTCATTTTCAAATAAGACAAAATATTATATATCTCCACATAAAGTTATGTGGACTCATCTTGAAATCTTTTATCTTTTCATCTTTATTTGAAATTTAGAAATTCTAATTCTAATTCTTACATGTATTTCTTCTTTAGAAAAAGCTTACTGATTTCTGTAAGTTAATAGGAACCCTCTGTCTCTCTGTCTCTCTTTCTTTTTCTATAGACACATATAAAATACACACAAATATTTTACTTGTATATGCATGTACCAATAAATTATATGGTTTCATCTTAAAGTGTCAAAAAAGCTGCAGTGAATTTTAATAAAATTAGATGTTTACTATTTATTTTATTTTATTTTAAATTGACAATAGTTGTATATATTTATGGGGCACAATGTATTGATTTGATACATGTAAGTATGGTGAAATAATCTAATCAGGCTAACTAACATGTACATCACTTCACATAGTTGTCATTTGTTTGTAGTCAGGGCATTAAAAACCCACTTTAATTATTTTGAAATACACTATAATATATTCAGTAACTATAAATATAATTTAGTATTATAGTATAGTTAACTATAATTTAACTAAAATTATTAACTATAGTCACTATGCTGTGCAATACATAAACAGAACTTATTTCTCCACAGGACAATAATGCAAGTTTGTTGAACAATTTTTGCTGAAGCACCCCCCAAAACCAAAAACAAATATTTAACTACATGGATATTGGGAGTACCAACAAACTCATATAATGTAGAAGACCATAGAATAATTTGTACAAATTGAAAGATGATACGGGAACTTGACAATGACATTGCCTTTAATGTTAAACATGATGCAGAATTCAAAAAAGATTATGGAAAGGTTGTATTAATTTCAGCAGAGATGGAAGGATTTGGACATATTGTTTGGTACTGTCATATGAGATACAAAATCAGAAGAGGGAAAATAATAAAGACCAATGAAATTTAGAACATTATACACTTTTTGAATTTTAGGAAAAAAAATACTGCCAACATAAATCAGAAAAAGAGCATTAAAAAACCTATTTATATTATTATTTCACAATTACAAAATGGAGTAGGACTATCTGTGCATAAAAATATGTCAAGAAAGTGATTCAATCTATAAAAAGAAAACACGCTAACTTTATATAATTTGTCAGAAAAGTGGCATACTAAAGACAATAGAATTGTATACTTTGAAAAAAGATATTCAAGAAAAAAGAAAGAAGACATTATTACTTTCAAGGAAACCGAAACAATTCCTGGAGGTATTATGGATGAAACAAAGCTTCGTGTTGTGTTCTAGATTTAGAAACTGACAGAAGCACTTTGAATTTGACTCAGTTTTATAATATACTGCAGCTGAAAAACACTGAGTTGTCACAAATGTAAAAATTTATACTGAATTTTTATTGTATATAATAAAAAAGTTTGGTTGGGAGAAATAAAAAAAAAACTCAACAAGTTAAATATAAATTTAGCCAGATCTGAAATTATCAAAAAAGTTAAAATTTGTGCAACATTATTATTCATGTTTTTTGACTTCCCATAATTATCTTAAATATGTTAAGAAATGTTGAGATCTACACAAGATATACGTTAATATTTCATATTGGTAAAGACGGTATATGTCAAAAAATTATTTGATGTGGTCCAGACAATAGTACATTTCATAACACAAGGCAACAAAATTTATACCACTCATGATAAAGGAAATGATATGGTGGTAGATAATTTTCTTGAATATTTTACTTCACCCTAAATGTTTTAAAAATAGGATTTTTGTTTAGTTCTCTGAAACATATTACATAGCTTTTATTTAATCGGCATAGAGAACAAATTTAAGACACAGTACCTAATTAGGTGAATTAATTTTAATTCCACATGAATCCTTTAATTTCTTTTTTAATGAAAACTCTACCATAAAGAAAAACATAATTATTTAGTTATACTTTCCTCTAAAATTGGTCTATTATTATTTGGTTTTCTTACAATGAAACCAGAAATATATATAATAAAATACATGAGGCCGGGCGCGGTGGCTCACGCCTGTAATCCCAGCACTTTGGGAAGTCGAGGCAGGCAGATCACCTTGGGTTAAGAGTTTGAGAACAGCCTGGCCAACATGGTGAAAACCCGTCTCCACTAAAAATACAAAAATTTTCCGGGCGTGGTAGTGGGCGCCTGTAATCCCAGCTACTAGGGAGGCTGAGGCAGGAGAATTGCTTAAACCCGGGGGGGCGGATGTTGCAGTGATCTGAGAAGCTGAGATTGTGCCACTGCACTCCAGCCTGGGTGGCAAAAGTGAAACTCGGTCTTGGAAAAAAACAAACAAAAAAAGCATGAATGATGAGGAAAAAGTGATCAGTACAGTGAATGAAAGAACTGAGGAAAAAATAAAGGGACACATTATCTGTAGCTTGAACAATCAATTTTCAGGGGAAAAATGCTCCTTTATAAGATTGATCATAAGACCTAGCCTTGTGAAGCTATATTGAATATCAAATATAAAGAAATAGTAGCATTCAGGCAAAGAAAATAAAATTTTCCTCAAAGTCTTTTTTTAGTAGTTTTAGGTGTCAGAAAAGCAGATAAAAAAATTTCCTAAATCAAATAAACAATTACTAGAACCGAGTAAATTTAAACTTTACATAATACAAAGTTAATGTACAAAATTTAATTGAATTTTTATATCCTGGAAATAAATCAAATATGTAAACATCTGATAAGGGGATTTAAAATGACAGTAGTTTTGAGATTCAATAAACATTGCCCCAGAATATTATACCTGAGACAAAAGGTCAGTAGAGCCAATAGCCAAGATCTTACACCAAATTATATTAAAATGCATTTGCAACATACACCTATTATAGGTTATATATTTCTCTGTAACTAGAAAACCAAAATGTGTGTATGCTCAGGCTAAGTATAACATTGTTTTCTAAAGAACAGAGTTAGCTTTGCCCAGTCATAAATTCACTTCCTTCCCAGAGCATCAAAATATTAAAATAAGCAAGAATTATCAACTTGGCCTTAAAGATCTCTATTAGAATGTTTCTGAAATCAAAATCCTAGAAAATCCAGCCACCAAATTATAGTAAGCTTCACAAAGTTTGGTATTATGGACACCCACACAAAATTGTGTCCTATTTTTCTTGCCCAATCCCCCCTAAGTTTGCTGGCCAGTGTCCCAGAATATCTTCTGTGCATATCTCAGATGCTGGTACAATTCTGGCTTCAGGTTGTAGCTATGGATGACCATAAGTTCCAAAAACCAAGAATAATAGCAGCTTGGAGATGAGTTTTAGCATCCAGACTCGGATGTCTCTTGGAGTATATGTCATTTAGGATGCTTTATATCATGTAACAAGAAATAAAAAATGACAAGAAGTGTTTTAAAATAAGGTAAATTTATTATTTCAATTAACAGGAAGATTTAAGAAGGGAGCAATTTTATGGCTACTTAACTAAAACTTCATAAAGATCATCAAGAAATCATCAACATCCTCAAGGAAGGGTGATATGGTTTGGCAGTGTCCCCACCCAAATCTCATCTTGAATTGTAATCCCCATAATTTCCAAGTGTCTAGGGAGAGACCTGGTGGGAGGTGATTGGACCATGGAGCCATTTTCCCCTATCCTGTTCTTCTGATAGTGAGTGAGTTCTCATGAAATCTGATGGTTTTATAAGGGGCTCTTCACCCTTCGCTCTTCACTCCTCTCTCCTGCCACCATGTTAAAAAGGTCCTTGCTTTCCCATTGCCTTCCTCCATGATTAAAGTTTTCTGAGGCCTCCCCAGTTATGCAGAACTGTGAGTCAATTAAACCTCTTTCCTTTATAAATTACCCATCTCAGGTAGTATTTTTATAGCAGTGTGAGAATGGACTACTACAGATAGATTATATCAATTATTCTCCTCTGCCATTCTTCACAGGTTGGCTCTTAATAATTCATTCTTCATATGGGAAAATCTAAGGCCATAGGAGAAGAGAACATATTCTTTCCACATGTCTTTTTTTTAGAGAAAAGAAAACTTTTTTAAGTCTCTCACACCCCAGCAGATTATTTCAACTGTTAACAATACCTGTCAAAAATCTACAGAGATATGCAAAATGCCCGTGGGTTATCAATAAATTGAGAGCATAAGGAATATATGTATAATATGCTTTTAAATTAGGAAAATAGTAATTTTCCATCCATTGAGATATTTTTAAATACCAAAAGATTGAATGTACTCAAAACAATATTTTAGGCCTTTTGTTATATTGACAAGAGCAAAGAAATTCATTCTTTGCAGTTGACATTTCTAACTCCTGTTATGAATTCTTGTTTTATAATGGTATTTTAAAAGGATGTCAGTTTTAAGTTATCCTTTGTTGATTTAATTCAAACTGCTAGGCATTTCAATTTTGTATTTATTTTTCTCTTCTTTTTGTATAACACTTTATGGTGCTATAGATATGTTTGGTGCACCCAAAATGAAAAAAAAAGTTGGTGACTCACTTAGTATAGATATTCCATCTTTCAAAATTAGACTGCATATTAAAGCTTTTTAAATGAACTTATGTAATGCTGAATTGCTCATTCAAATGTAGTATTCAATTTTATGAACCATATATGTTTGGCTAACATCTGGAAAACTGCTCCAGCCTAGCAGCCCTCAGTGTGAAATTTAAGTGGTTGGTACCATCTACCAATTCACAAGCTTCTTCTCTTAATATTTAAGTACTTCTAAAACTACAGATTTTTAACTGTATTATTTAAGAAGAATCAAGAATCTTACTTAATATTAAGATTTAATATTAAGATTATCTCAAGCAATAATAAGAGACGATAATAGCAAATATTATAAGATATTACATGCTTACAAGGTAACCTATGTTGTTTTAAATGCTGTGGGTGTCATCTCAAATCATCTTCCCCAAATGTAAGTGCAATGGGTTTATATTTTTATGTTACATTTTGATTTTATTTTATAAATTTTACTTATATAGATGGTATTACAGATTTCCCCAGAGTCATATAAGGTGTTTCTGCTCACTGGAAGGCTTTCCCTTCATCAGTGTCCTTCAGGGATATCCCAGAAAGGGGCTGTAGTGCTTCAGCTGTACACTTTCAGGAGTGCCAGCATGTCACATAGGACCAAGTATAAACCAGGCTCAAGTCTCCTCTTCCTTTGTCAACTGGTCATAGGAAATTCCTAATGAAGCAATAGGTATGGGCTGGAAGAGAAAACAGTGCAAGAGAGGAAGGGGACATGGGTGAATTTTCTACTTGTACACGCATCCTATTTCTTCCTTCGGGGCCAGCTTGGGCCCTACCTCATGTATATCACTTTGATTTGATAATGCTGTGTTGCTGTGCATGCTCATATTTATGGCTTGACTCACCAGACCACACCCTATTCATGATGAGCGACTCAGGCTTCCATCTCCACTGAGGCCCAGCAGCAAGCCAAAAACCGTTTCTCAAATGGAGAGCAGTTTTCTGCATAAGATGACAAGACTTTTTTCCCCAAATTCTAAGGTCCTTCATGGTGATTCAACTATTGTGGCCTACCAGAAGCTCTAAACAGTATTAGTGTCTTCCACGAACATTTCAAGTATCACTGGATCTGCTGGATCTTACAACCCAAGTTTTAAAGCATTTTTAATGACAGCCTGAGCCTTTTGCAGAGCCGTCTCTTTGTCTAAGCCTCACTCAAAGTTTGCTTTTAGGGGTTATGCAATAAACAGAGCAGAGTAAAACATTCAAATGAGGAATATATTGTCTCTAGAGTTCAAAGGGAATTACTAGGCATTTTTTCCCTCGTGTGTGTGTGTGTGTGAGAGAGAGAGTGTATGTGTGTGTGTGTATGTGTGTTAGGAGGGACCAGAGGGAACAACCTATCATTTGCATTAAAAGGAATATCGCAACATTGTCCCCACTACTGAACCCCAACAAATTTTGGTGAGGTAAAATTCCCCTCAATTTTTGTAGGATTTATTTCTCACCTTCTGACATACAAGCTTCATACAAATATGTCTAGAGGTAGTTGCTATTTTCTGCTTACCAAGTCCAATCAGTATAATACCATCAATGAAAAGGATCCATATTAAGTCCTCTGGAAGGGAAAAATGATCAAGGTCTCTGCAGACTAAATTATTACAAAGGGCTGTAGAGTTTATATCCCCTTGGGGGGTTGGTCTCGCCACCTTAAAAAACAAACAAACAAGCAACAACAACAACCAAAAAAAAAAAAAAAAAAAACAAAAAACACAGCGTCTTGTGGTATTTACCAAGAGATAGAAAGAAAAGAAAAGCATTTGCAAGATGAATAGTTGTATGTCAGTAACTGGGGACATGTTGTCCAAACAACAAATTCTACATCTGGAACAGAAGCTACACTTAGAGTCACCTGAGTAAATTCACAATAATTCACTGTCATTCTCCAGGATCAATTTCTTTTCTGCACAGGCCAAATAGGCAAGTTAAATAGGTAAGTTGAAAATATTGTGGGAATAACCACCTCTGCATCTTTCAAGTCCTTAATGCACTAGTTTCTATAATCCATTCAGAATGTGGTGTTGCTTTTCACTTACTGTTTTTTGTTTGTTTGTTTGTTTTAGGCAGAGATAATTCTGGGAGTTCCCACACAACATTTCCCACCATAGTAGCCCTCTGTACAAGTCTGGGAATGAAAGTGGTGCTTCTGCCAGTTGCTGAGTATGTTTATTTCAATTATGCATTCTGACACTGGGAAAATAATCATGTGATGGGTTTGGGGACATAATCTAAAACTCCATTAATCACCTGACTTTCATAAACCTTTATTCTGAATACTGAACCATAGTAATGTCTCCAGGAATTAGTTATCAGCTGAGAACTAGTGTTCAGTAATCAATAAAAAGTCTGATCATTTCCCTTTCCCCAATGCACAGTCACCCCACTCAAAGGCTGTGAGTTAGTTTGGAGAGGCTGGGAGAGATTACCACTCTAAATTTGTTTTGAGGACTCAAATCAGTCTTTTGTTCACTAGACCTAGAATTCGGATTATGCAAACTAGTGAAGAATTCATTATAGTATCTGTCTATTTTCTAGGAACAGTAACATCAAACAACCATTGCTACAGGTCTCTTTATGGGTCAAACGATCCTGATTACTCTTTTGGTTCTGATGTCCATCATGGTAACAGCACCCACTGCATCTTTGGTGATTAAGTGCCACCATTTGATGCTAACACCCTGCGATTCTATTATTCCCGTTACAACTGGGGATTTTAGCTCAGTGGGAACCCAGCAGTTCTCACTGTAACTTCCCACTTACAAAGGAGATTAGAAACAGAATGCTTCAAAAAATTTGGGAGCTTCTCTCATGAATTTAATACTGACTGCCTTGGTGAAAAGTGTCCTGGGGACTCCTCCAAAGAGAAGCAAGTCTTAATTGATATATCCGTTGTAACATTTCATTTCCCTAAGCCTTTGGTTACATTCTTTTACAGAATACAAAGACAATTTTAATTTTTTAACTTAGAGTTGACCATTTTCTTTGTGTTGCTAGAAAGGGATACCTGTGGCTGAGGCTGGGTAATTTATAAAGAAAATAGACTTATTTGGCACAAAGTTCTGTGGGCTGTACAAGAAGCATAGTGTCAGCATCTGCTTTGGGTGAGGGTTTCTAGAAGCTCCCCCTCCTGGTGGAAGGTGGAGGAGTGGCGGCATCACAGGACCCTATGGTGATAAAAGAAGGAAAAGAGAGAGGAGGGAGGTGGCAAGCTATATTCAACAACCAGCTCTCGTGGGGGTGGGGACACTTGCATGAGTTAATAGAGCAAGAATTCACTCATTACCTTGAGGATGGCACCAAGCCATTCATGAGGAATTCGCTTCCATGACTTAAATTCCTCATTTTAGGTCCCACCTCCAACATTGGGGATCAAATTTTAACATCAGATATGGAAGGGATTAAATATCCGAACAATATCACTCACCTTGTGCCCATGTAACAGACAACAACCCAAATGGTTAGAGCCCTTCTAATTCTTCAACTTACAAAATTTATTAATATGGGGTCCATTATTGGGAACCCATATTAATAAATTTAGGTTGAATCTACTTTAAATTCGGTCCACATTAATCCCCCATTCTTAAAATCTATTTCTAGATATATTCTCCAGATTCTGTCTGTATAATTTGGCAAAATCATGTAATCCTGTCAGTGTGTAGTATACCTTGTTCTTTGGAGACTGCCTAGACTTGAGTGTAGTTATAGGTCTCAAAGCAAAGAGGTATGATGGAGTGTGATATGGTTTGCCTCTGTGTCCACATCCAAATCTCATATTGAATTGGAATCCCCATGTGTCTAGGGAGGGAACTGGTGGGAGGTGACTGGATCATGGGGGTGGATTCCCCTCCCCTGCAACATCTTCTTATAGTGAGTGAATTCTCATGAGATCTGATGGTTTCTAAGTGTGACACTTTCCCCTTTGCTCTCTCTGTCCTGTCGCCATGTAAAACGTGGCTTGCTTTTCCTTTGTCTTCCACCATGATTGTAAATTTCCTGAGGCCTCCCTAGCCATGCAGAACTGTGAGTCAATTAAACCTCTTTTCTTTATAACTCACCCAGTCTCAGGTAGTTCTTTATAGCAGTTTGAAAACAGACTGATACAGGGTGGGTGCTGAGGAGAATCAGCAGTGCCTTCTAAGGCAACTACCTCAGAAAAGGCCATTAGAGATTTATCAGGCAATCAAGGACTAACTTCCCCTGGCAAGGGTGGAGGGGTTGCATCTGTAGGCAAAAAAGACTTATCAGAATATGAAGGTGCAATAACCCAGGCTCATTAGGACCTGCCCCTATGTTTCAATTCCAATTTGTGATATCCTGTCCTTCTCAATCAATACACTCGCTTTAACAGAAGACACCCTGCCATGTTGAAAATAGAAATTATATTGTGATTCAGCCGCTAGAGAATTAGATTCTAGGTTTAGTTTTCAGAAATCTTAGCCCTCTGGTTATAGGATATGAGTTTCTGTCAGGGCCGAAATAGCTTCTATGTCATATATATGGGGGTTGAGCTAGGAATTTTAGTCCCTCAGCTCCTTGTTTTCTTTTTCAACTTTGTCCAGCTGAATTAGGAACAACCATCAGGCTGGATGTGATGACTCATGCCTGTAATCCTAACATTTTGGGAGGCTGAGGCAGGCAGATCACTTAAGCCCAGGAGGTCAAGACCAAGACCAGCCTGGGCAACATGGTAAAACTCTGTCTCAACAAAAATATAAACAATTATCCAGTCATGGCGTTGCATGCCTCTAGTCCCAGCCACCTAAGTGGCTGAGGTCAGAGGATCGCTTGAACCTGGGAGGTGGAGGCTGCAGTGAGTTGTGATTGCACCACTGCACTCCACCCTTCCAGCCTGGGTGACAGAGTGAGACGTTGTCAAAAAAAAAAAAAAAAAAAAAAAAAGGCAGTCTACTATACTCACTAGTTTCACTAGTTTGACAAAAATTTTCTCAAGGCACCAAATATGGGGCCACCCATCACCTCATAAGTATTTGGCTAAGTGTAGCCAATGGATACTTTTAAGAATATTTTGGGTATCGCTGTTGCCACAAAACACCATACAAACTTTCTCTTTCCCATTAAAATCAGGATCATTAGTGCCTTCAAATCTAATCAGAAAAACCAGTTCTCACACAGAGCCAATTCAAACCTCATCCTTAACATTTTCTTCATTTAGAACAACCCTTGGCCGGGTGCAGTGGCTCACGCCTGTAATCCCAGCACTTTGGGAGGCCGAGGTGGGCAGATCACGAGGTCAGGAGATCGAGACCATCCTGGCCCACATGGTGAAATCCTGTCTCTACTAAAAATACAGAAAAAAAAAAAGAAAAATTAGCCCGGCGTGGTGGCGGGCGCCTGTTATCCCAGCTGTTCTGGAGGCTGAAGCAGGATAATCACTTGAACCCAGAAGGCAGAGGTTGCAGTGAGCAGAGACTGCACCACTGCACTCCAGCCTGGCGACAGAGGGAGACTCCATCTCAAAAAACAAACAAACAAACAACACACACACACACACACACACACACACTCACACAAAACTACTCTCAGTACCAAAGTCTGTGTCTGTCAAGTTTCTCTAGGTCTATCAAGAGAAGTATACTAAGGTATTTATTGCAAGAAATGATTACATAATTGTGGGAGCTGGCCATGAGGAAGAGCTTGCTTGATCTTCTAGAAATAGGTCGAAGCTGTTGCCCATAGGCAGAATTTCCTCTTCACTAGGGAAGTCCTAACTCTCCTTTTAAGACCTTTTCGCTGACTGAATCAGGTTCATCCAGACTATCTAGGATAATATTTCTTAAATAAATGGATTATGATTATCTGATTATGGAATGTAATCACATGTACAAAGTATACCTTCAAAGCAACACCTAAATTAGTATTAGATTGAATAACTGAGAATTTTAGCCTAGACAAGTTGATGCATCAAAATGACTATTACATTAACCAACAGGAATTGCATGTAATTTGTGTTCAGAGGTAATTTTCTTCAGAAAATAAATAACATATATTCTCCGCTGAGAAGTTCAGGTTATATCCTGTGAAAGATGAAGAGATGATAAAAAATTTTAGGCAAGAAAATTGCCAAGATTTGAGCTCATTTTGTAATGATAACTCTGAGCCCTTTGTAGTTAATGCCAAGAGGCTTCTCTAATAAAAAGCCTAAAATATAAATGTTAGAACCATCAGAATAGAAGTTGTAGGAGGTGTAAACCATGGGAATGGGTAATAATCACTCATGAAACACATTTTAAATAAGATTATATTTAAAATCACTTCTTGAGTTCTTAGAATATGTTTAAAACTATGTTAGGATTTAAAAATGCTAACTTGATAAAAATCCTGTTCTTGACTATAGAAGCTGACAGTGCAGTGGCACTAAATTTGGAAAGAGGAAACTGCGAATACAAAAAACTGAATATAAAGTGATTGAGATATGCATGGAGTAATGTAAGTGCAGCAAAGGGCTGTTGGTGTGCAGGGGACAAGGCAAGTTCCAGAAGCAAGACTAATACATTGAATAAGATAAGAGGGCCTGGGGCAGGAACACTCTTTTTAACAAAATAGACTAAGTCAAAGAAATTGAAATTCAATATTTAGCTTGAATGCCAGGGGAACTGAGAAAAACCTAGTAGGGAATAATGTTACAGAAACTAAGAAAGGCCATTTTGAAGAATAAATTAATGGACCACAGATTTAATAGTGCAGCAAGGTCAAGTGAGACAGGAACTGAAAGGAATTTATTATATTTTAAAAATAAGAGGAAATGGCCAGGCATGGTGGCTCACGCCTGTAATCCTAGCACTTTGGGAGGCTGAGGAGGGCGGATCCCAAGGTTAGGAGTTCGAAACCAGCCTGGTCAATATGGTGAAATTTCATCTCTACTAAAAATACAAAAATTAGCTGGGTGTAGTGTGCGTGCCTGTAATCCCAGCTACTCAGGAGGGCGAAGCAGGAGAATTGCTGGAACCCAGGAGGCAGAGGTTGCCGTGAGCTGAGATTGCACTACTGCACTCCAGCCTGGGCAACATAGTGAGACTCCATCTCAAAAAAATGAATAAATAAATAAATAAATAAATAAATAAATAAATAAATGGTAATTTGTTAACTGGGAAAACAGTTTTATTAGAAACGTAGAGGGTAGAAGTTCTACTATAGTAAGTTGAGGAGTTAATGGAAGATCAGAAAAATGACTAACATTTGCAGACTCTAGAAACTTGGCTTTAAAACAAATTTATATTAGATGGTTAGAGGAGAATGGAGACATGGGTTGTTTTTGTTTTGTTTATGGATGGTAATAGAGCACATTTTAGGCTGGGGAAAATTAATCTAGTGGTTTGGAAGACATTAACAGAGCAATAAATGATCTGTTTTCCAGAACATAAGAGCCAAAAGGAAAAAGAATTTCTATTTGTTTGGTTTGCTGTTGTGTCACATGCATAGTAGTTATTCAAAAATATTTGCAGAATGGATTAAACAAATCCTTAAAAATAAGAGGTCTTCTAAGCTCAAAAGTGACTAATGGGGGAGAATTTTCATAATCATATAAGAAGAGCATGATCATCCATGTAAGAGAATGGACAAAAATAATATTTGTAGTATTTATCCATTTGCTATATTCTGACTTACTTCTAATTTAATTTGACCCTATAAAATTATTTTATTTAAATATTATTTTCCCACAATCACAAAACCTAAAAAAGTTTCAGAGAATTTAACAAACTGGAGAATCCAGAAATTTTAATCAAGGTTGCTCTGATTTTATAATCTTTGTGCTAGATGATACATATAATCTATCTGGTATGCTCTCTAATATTTTTTCTTTATTCTTTTAGGTGAAAAAACTTATAAAATATATAACTTGTTATCAAAGTAAAATCAAATCATAATTGTGTCCACATCTTCTCTGGTTTTAAAGATATAACACATAATTACTCAGGTGTATATATATTAAATAATATTGAGTATCATGCTTCAGATGTTGCTTCATCTGTCACCTCCTCAAAGGAGCTTTCTCTGATTTTCACACTAGAGTAGGTAATTCTCTTACATGTTCCATAGCACAATTTTGTGAAAGAATTGTCTTAGATGAGAAACTAAGCTTCTCTGCCCTTGTGTCTTAAATCCAGTTTCCTTGAAAATTAAGCCAAGGCAAGGCTTAAGTGTAACTGATTTCTTCAGTAGGGCATTTGCAGAACATAGACAATGAGGGAGGCAGAGACCGAGGTGGGGAAGATGGAAGTCAAATGCACTTGCTAGGGCTTCATTGTAATTTGTGGAGAGTTTTAGCTAGTTGCTGCACAAGAGTGCTCTCTCTACCATGTAGCTGTCTTCCAAGAGGCTATACAAAAATACTGTGTCTCCAAATTGTCCTCTGTAGGAAACACAGAGAAAAAAAATCTGGTATTTCCCTTCCTGATCCTGTTGGTAGAGTTTCTCCAGAAGGAGTTCAACACCACCCCAACCATGCCAAAACATACCAGAGAGCATTACCTGGTCACTTTTGCAGCTTGTGGAGAAGCCAGATTTCATGTACTAAGTGTGCAGGTATTTTAAGTATTTTAACCAAAGTCCACACTCAGTTCTTTATGGCCTCGGATGATGTAATTAGGTGTACTTGCACAGTGACCTTCATTGCTTTTTCAGTGAAGAGACAGACAGACAGAGCGAGAGAGAATGCAGGAGATAAATGAGGTCCAGTGAAACCAAGGAAAGGAAGAACATATGCAGAAGGCAATTTGCATCACTTGTTTCATAGGCACCTCTACTGTGTATTTCTCTGGGCAGAGGAAATAGGAGGGAGGGGGCGGATGAACAGACATATTCTTTTTGCTGCAAAAGGAAGTATGCTACCAGCTTCCAGAAAACAAAAGCAATTAGCAGATACAAATATGGGAGGTATTATTTATAAATTTAGTGATAACTTGTTTCATGCTTGCTCATTAAAAAATAAGAAATGGATCTGAGGGGATGTAAAGATTATAAAAAAAACTTTATTCTAAAATAATTTTCCTTCACAGAAACATTATTCTAAATTATTAGAAGACTAGAAGGAGAGAACAAATCAAAATTTTCTCTTTTGATGATGATCTGAGTTCTAACCTATCTTCTTCAACGTTCTCTGGACAAAAACCTTAGAAAGCAGTGCAGCCGAGTCATAATTCATGAGTGAATATTAGTTATGTATTTGCCCTCAAGCATATTTTCCTTGAAGGTGAGAATCCTGAGACTATAAGAACATTTTGTCCTGTTAATGGAATGAAAGAATCAGGATAATAAAAAATGAATATCATATCTTTACTTTTAATTGCACTAAATAAGGCTTTCTAAAGTTTCTGCTCTTGTTCTATATAAATAAACCTTAAAACAATGCATTTTCATGCTTCTAGCCAACTTAAGAATTACCTGCACAAGATGGCTCTCCACACTTTTCTCATGTAGCAGACTCTGTGCTTTCTGATTTGAGGGAAGAGTTATGGGAAACAGAGACATGACAGCTGTCAGGTCCTTTGTCCAAATTTAATCAGGAATCAGCCAGAGAGGAATGTCCTAATCCATCAACACCTGCTTGGGATAAGCAGTAAACCCACCAGAGACAGAGCCAAATATAGTGATTTAATTAATTGAAAGGTGTTGGCAATTCATCAACATGCGGTGCTTCTGAGCAATTTCCAGTACCAACTAATGTAGAGCAGAATTTTGCATAAGTATCTTAAAGATTTTTAATTTGTTATAATTTTTTAAATATCAGTTAATTTGAAAATATTTCAGAATACCAAGAAAAGATACAAAAGAACATCATCTTGACTTTTTGTTTTAAATTGATATTTGCTATTTTTTAATAAACTTTTAGATGGTAAAATTTTATAAACATTCACAATCTGATGCAGAGTTATACTTCTATATGAGTGACATTTTTACACAGCTAACATGGTGCTGATTAAACTGATGTGTGAGTGTTCTAAGACAAGGCTATATTTATCACTCTTGTTCTGAAATGCGTATGTAATAGCCTAAAGACAATTATTTCACAATTAAATTACAAATCAAAGTCATCATTTAGTCTTCCTTATTTTTTTCTTGTATACTAATTTGGCCTGAGTCATGTTAGATCAATCCACAATATTTCTCTCATCTCTTCCCTTGTTTCTGTACCCAGCAGCTATTCAAATCATTATTTAATGATTTCTTTCTCACACAAACCAACTTATTAATCTCCCTCCTTTTCCCTGACCCTTGATTATTCTACACTCAGTCTAGCCAGTCTAGATTTTGTTAATTGGTTACTTTTTTCCAAATATGTCTCCCCTAGTTTCAATAGATTAAAAATATGTACCTTAATTCCACATCTTTTTTTTTTTTTTTGAGACGGAGTTTTGCTCTTGTTGCCCAGGCTAGAGTGCAATGACCCGATTTCGGCTCACCACAACCTCCACCTCCCAGATTCAAGCAATTCTCCTGCCTCAGCCTCCCGAGTAGCTGGGATTACAGACATGCGCCACCACCCCCAGATAATTTTGCATTTTTAGTAGAGACTGGGTTTCTCCATGTTGTTCAGGCTGGTCTCGAACTCCCGACCTCAGGTGATTTGCCTGCCTTGGCCTCCCAAAGTGCTGGGATTACAGGTGTGAGCCACTGCACCCGGCCTCCAATTCCATATCTTTTTAAAGACTATTCATATTTAAACATTAATTTAAAATACTTTCTTCTCCAAAAATGCTTTCTTAATCCAACCAAACAGAATTGGTTGTCTTTGTTTTTTTTTTTTTTTTTTTTAAGTCCACATGGCAATATGATCTTCCCTTGTGGTTTGTAGTTACAATTTTTGTTTGTTTCATATATTTGCGTTTTCTATTGAAGGGGTGTGTGGGGATTTTAAATATATGTGCTTAATTGCATGACTTTCCATTACAAAGTCCTTTAAGACAAAGATCGTTTTGCTCTTTTAGCCTTTTGTTCTTATTTTTTTTTCTTTTTTGCTACTCAACTTTAATTTTCTACAACCTAGCACTATCCATTGAACTATTTTATTAAATTATAAAACTCTTTGGGGCATATGCTTGCAAATTCAATTTAGTTAAATTAACACAGTCTTTAAAATCTCTAAATATTGATCTCCAGGTTTGAAAACTTTCTCTAAATAATATTTATGCCAGAATTTTGGGCAGCCAATTCATAGTCATGATATCTTCAAATATCCTAACCTTATCAGCAAAATCTTTTGTTCTTCCAAATTTAGCTACTTATTTAAAACTACATAATGTCTTTTTTTTTCCTTTTTCTTTGTAAGTTTACATAATGTCTTTTTTTCCTTTTTCTACATAGATTTTTACCTATTTATAAAGCTCTGATTTTGGCCAGGTGCGGTGGCTTACGCTTGTTATCCCAGCACTTTGGGAGGCTGAGGCGGGTGGATCATGAGGTCAGGAGTTCGAGGTCAGCCTGACCAGCATGGTGAAACCCTGTCTCTACTAAAAATACAAAAATTAGCTGGGCTTGGTGGCACATGCCTGTAACCACAGCTACTCAGGAGGCTAAGGCAGGACAATCTCATGAACCTGGGAATTGGAGGTTGCAGTGAGCCGAGATCAAACCACTGCACTCCAGCCTGGGTGACACAGTGAGACTCCCTCTAAAAATAAAAATAAAAATAATAAAAAAAGCTCTGATTTACCCCCAACCCAGTCAGAAGTCCTCACACACATCAATAAAAAGAAATGAGTAGAGTGAACATTTTATGTATATCCAGTGCATTTTTACACTTCTCTCTCGGAGTCCACATGACTCCTTTATTTCTTTGAAGAATAGACTTTTATCCTTGCCAAATTCAGTTATTGTTTACCTCATTTTCTTATCTCTGCCTTCCCTACCATCTCTTCCAGTGGCTTGCTTTCTTGAATATTCTCTGCTTTTCCTTCCCTATTGTCAGACTTTCCACACTCATTAACTCATTCCTGTAAATGTAAAAATACACTCATTTTTTTCTAATAAATTATTATTTTTAGAAAAAATTTAAGATTTACAGAAAAACTGAGAAGATAGTAAAGAGGGTCCCATACACCTGGCACCCAGTGTCTTTTGTTTTTAACATAGCTTGTTAGTATGGCAGGTTTGTTACTGTTAATAAACCAATGTTGGTAAATTAGTATTAATAAAAGTTTATATTTTATTCAAATTTTCTTAATTTGTATGTAAAACACTTTTTCAGTTCCAAGATCCTACTCAGGATATCATGTTACATTTCAGCATGAGGTCTCCTTAGGCGTCACTTGTCTGTGACATTTTCTCAGACTTTTATTATTTTGATGATTCTGACCGAGAAACAAGGGTAAATTAGTTTATCAACTGCAGCTAGATTATAATTTGTCTTTTTTTCTCATTATTAAACCAGAGTTATAGATTATAGGGAGAAAGACAACAAAAATAAAGTGCCATATCCATTATAGAATATCAAGGGTATACACTGTCAACATGAATTACAACTGTTGATGTTGACCTGATACCTAGCTGAAGTAATGGTTGCCAGCTTTCTCCTCTGAAAAGTTACTTGCCCTCTTTCTCTACCTTTTTTGTGAGTCCAAAATCTATGTGAATATTTGTAATTATTCTGTACATATTTTTCTCCTCCCCCAAAAGCTCCCCCATTTATTTATTCAGTCATTTATTTATATCAGGATGGACCAATAGATATTTATTTTATACTTTGAGTTCTAATCTGATACTACTTTATTTATTTTGATGTTCAAATTTTCCATCGTTGCTTATCGAGAGGCCTTTCAGGTCCTGTCTCCCTTTGCTGTCCATAACCCATCAATGTGCCATTGTCATTACCTCCTTCTTCCTTTTTGTTCTTTACCTCCTCCCCCTCCTCTTTCTACTTCCTCTTTCCCTCAGCATTTTCTTACTTTGGCCACAAGATCTTCCATGCTCATCTTGTGTATTTCCTACCCTAATTCTAGAATCAGTCATTTCTCTAAGAAGCTTTGCTTCTGTTTATTGGAGAATGGTATGATAAACCAAGATATGGGCACTGGGTGTGCTAGTTACTAGTGAGGTGTCATTGATTCTGAAATATCTCAGCTGACAGAGAAGGAACACATATGTGTCTAGGCTAACCACATATCTATAAATATGTCTGTGGGCAGCTATGTACATCTCTGTTAAGCTAAGTAGGAGTTCATATGGATGTCTTTAACCCTACCTCATGACCACAAGGGCAATTCTAGACTCCTTCTCTTGCTTATCTGTAAATTCCCACTGCAACTGGCTGGTTCCAGACATTCATGATATATTCACTAAGTTGTTGAATTCCAGTATACACGTATTGTAGTATCAGAATTTGTAATCCAGATCCTTGCAGGAAATACCTTTTATTAACTAGAGTACAGTGATTATGAACAGTTTTATTTTTTACCTTTACTTTTATAGATCCATCACATTTTTACTCATTTTGGTGAGCCTTTTTTCCTCCCTAAGCCTCTTTAGTGAAGTTGCTTCATACATTCCTAATTAGGTTAAATTGTTTTGTCATATTGTGCATTTCATCCTGGAATTCCACTCTCCTACAAAATGACCCCATACAATTTACATATTTGAAGGTTCACTCTTCTATGCCTTTGGAGAAATGTACAGTGTCATGCATCCACAATTAAAGTATCATGCAGAATAGTTTTATATCTCCCCCCAAATCCCTATTCTTTATATATGAAACCCTCCCTTTTCTTCACAAAACACTGCAAAACACTAATCTTTTGCTGTCTGCATGGTCTGCTATTTTCTTTCTTTCTTTTTTTTTTTTTTTTTTTTTTGAGAAGGAGTCTCGCTCTGTTGCCCAGGCTGGAGTGCAGTGGCCTGGTCTCGACTCACTGCAGCCTCCGCCTCAAATGATTCTCCTGCCTTAGCCTCCAGAATAGTTGGGATTACAGGCACCCGCTGGGCTAATTTTTGTATTTTTAGTAGAGACGGGGTTTCACCATGTTGGCCAGGATGATCTTGATCTCCTGACCTGTGATCCCCCCGCCACGGCCTCCCAATGTGCTGGGATCACAGGCTGGAGCCACTGCACCCGGCCTGTTTGCCATTTTCATAAAGTCTTTTTTTTTTTTTTTTTTGAGATGGAGTCTCATTCTGTCGCCCAGGCTGGAGTGCAGTGGCGCAATCTCGGCTCACTGCAGGCTCCGGCCCCCGGGTTCACACCATTCTGCTGCCTCAGCTTCCCGAGTAGCTGGGACTACAGGCACACGCCACCACGCCTGGCTAATTTTTTTGTATTTTCAGTAGAGACGGGGTTTCACCATGTTAGCCAGGATGGTCTCGATCTCCTGACCTCGTGATCCGCCCGCTTTGGCCTCCCAAAGCGCTGGGATTACAGGCGTGAGCCACCGCTCCTGGCCTAATGTCTTTTATTAGAACCATACGTCATAGAGCATTTCAGACTACCTTCTTCACTAAGCAATGTTTAAGATTCATCTGTGTCTTTCTGTGGCTTTATAGCTCTTTACTTTTTATGGTTGAATTACATTCCCTGATATGGATGTACCACAGTTTGTTTATGCATACACATATTGAAGGACATCTTGGCTGTTTCTCATTTGGGACAGTTATTAATAAACTTTTCCTAAACATCACTGCTCAGGTTTCTCTGTGAACCTAAGTTTTCGAAACAGTTTGATAAATACCTACAAGTGCAATTACTTGTTGTAACTAAGATTATATTTTGCTTTGTAAGACATTGACCAACTGTCTTCCAAGTGGTTGTATGATTTTTGTATTCTCGCCGGCAAGAAATGAGAATTTATATTGTTCTTCAGTAATTGGCATTGGCAGTTTTTTGAAACTTATTTATTCTAATAGGTTGTAATGGTATCTAATTGTGGTTTAACTTTGAATTGCCTAATGACAGATGACATTAAACATCTTTTTATATTTTTATTTGCCATTTGTATAAGTTATTTGGCAATGTCTCGAGATATTTTGTCTACTTTATTGAGTTATTTGTTTCCTAATTATTAAGTATAGGAGTTTTCTGTCTGTTTTGGATACAAACTGTTTATCAGTTATTTGATTTGTAAAGAGTTTCTCTCAGCCCGAGGCTTGTGTTTCCAACTCTAAACATTCCTTTTGCAAAGTAGAAGTTTTTACTTTTATTAAAATCAACTTACCAGTTTTTCTTTTCTGGATATTTTTGCTATTGTGTCTAAAAATTCATCATTAAATCCAAGCTCACTTAGATTGAGGGAGGAGACCACCCCTCATATTGTCATATGCCCAACTTCTGCCTCCAAAGAAAGAAGGAGTAAAAACTAAAAGGCAGAAATGGAATCCACAGGCAGATAGCCCAGCACCACACCCAGGGCCTGGTAGTTAAAAATCAACCCCTGACCTAACTGCTTGTGTTATCTACAGATTTTAGACACTGTGGAAAAGCACCGTGAAAATCCCTGTCCTGTTCTGTTCCGATCTAATTACAGGTCCATGCAGCCCCCAGTCATGTACCCCCTGCTTGCTCAATTGATCACGACCCTTTCAAGTGGACCCCCTTAGAGTTGTAAGCCTTAAAAGGGACAGGAATTGCTCACTCGGGGAGCATGGTTTTTGGAGACGTGAGTCTGCCGATACTCCCAGCTGAATAAAGCCCTTTCCTTCTACAACTCGGTGTCTCAGGGGTTCTTGTCTGCAGCTCATCCTGCTACATTTTGCTCCTATGTTTTCTTCTAGAAGCTTTAAGGTGTCATGTGTTACCTTCAGATCTAAGATCCATTTTAAGTTAATTTTTATCATATGATTGCCTGTGTATAGGAAAATAATTTACATTAGTATATCAACCTTGTATCCTGCTACCTTGATTTACTTATTCCAAATGTTTTATTTTCCATTTTTACTTATTATATTGACTATCACATTGTCTTTGAACAAAGACAGCTTTATTGCTTCCTTTACAATCTGTCTACTATTTATTTCCTTTTCTTATTATATTGTACAAGTTCAGTTGTCTAGCACAACATTGAATAGAAAGGGTGAAATAAAACACCCTTGCCTTTTTCCCAGTCCTAGATGAAAAGCATTTCTACTATTCAGTATAATATTAGCTATAGGTTCTTTCTAAAGTTGAGGAAGCTACCCTGTATTGCTAATTTATGAGGGCTTTTATCATGAATGGGTACTAGGTTATGCAAAAGGCTTTTTCTGCATCTATTGATATTATAATATTTTTATTCTTCTTAGGCTCTTGATATGGTGAATTATATTAACGGATTTTTCAATAAGGAATCAGCCTTACATACCTGGGACAAATCCCACTTGATTGTGGTGCATAATTATTTCTATACATTTTTAAAATTCAATTTGCTAACATTTTGTTGAGCAACTGTGGATCTGTATTCCTGAGAATTATCAGTCTGAAATTTTCTTCACTTACAATGTCTTTATCTGATTTTGGCAGTTGATTCATTGTGACCTCTAAAATGACTTAGAAAATATGACTTATTCTTCTATAATCTAGAATAAATTGTTAGAAAATGTTGTAATTTTTTTCTTAAATTGTTCATAGAATTCACCAGTGAAGCCATTCGAACCTGGTGCTTTTATTATTTTTTGAAATGTTATTAGTTGTAGATTAAATATCTTGACTGAACATATTTATTCAGATTATCTGTTTCTCCTTGTGGGAGTTTTGGGAGTTTGTGCTTTTCAAATAATTGGTATATTTAATATATAAAATTTGTGAGCATAGAATTATTCATAGTGCTCATTTATTATACTTTTAATGTCATTTGTGAGGTGTACATTGAAGGAGTCTGTTTCCTTTACAATATTGGTAATTTGTAGCTGCTCTCTCTCTCTTTTATCCTTTGTCAGACTGGTTAAAGTTTTATCAATTTTGTCTACCTTTTCATAGAACTTGCCTTTAGTTGTGTTAATTTTTTTGTCATTGTTTTTAATTTATTGTTCTCTGCTCTAATTTATATCATTTCTTTCTTTCTGTTTGCTATAAGCTTAAATTGTTATGTTTTCACTAGCGTTTTGAAAGTGAAATAAATTGCTAGATTATTGAGTTAAGAAATTTTTTTCTAATATAGGCATTTAATGAAATGGATTTCTCTCTAGGCACTGTTTTCTCTGCATCCCACAAAGTTCAATAAGTTAGATTTGTATTCTTACTTAGTTCCAACTTTAAAATATCTCTTGTGAGACTTTTTCCTGGACTTCTGCATTACTTAGAAGTATGATGCTTAGTCTCCAATTATTTGTGGATTTTCCTGCTATATTTATATTATTGATTCCTAGTTTGATTCATTATGGTCTGTGTACATTGTTTGTATAATTTTATAGTTTAAATTTGTTAAGGTGTGCTTAATGGCCCAGAATGTGATCCGTCTTGGTGAATGTTTTATGTTAGCTTGAGAAGAATATGTATTCTGTTGTTGTTCAATGAAGTATTCTATAAATGCCAATACAATTACGTTAATTGATAATCAATACTCATTTTCTGCCCACTTGTTCTATTAATTACTGAAAAAGAGATGTTGAAATCTCTATACAGGTCAATTAGTCCATTTTTTTCTTGCACTTTTTTTTTCAAATTATGTCCATCACTTCTATCCATTGATGCCCTGTTGTTAGATGCATATATTGTAGATTGCTAGGTCTTCATGGAAAATTGATCACATATGATTATGTCACTATTTCTTTATTCCTGATGACTGTTCTTGAACTGAGGTCCACTTTGTCTGAAATTAATGGAGCAACTACTCCTTTTTAAATTAGTCATCATATTATGATATCTTTTATCCCTTTTCTCCTTTCCTAAAAAAATCCTTATAGTTAAAGTGGGTTTTACAGACAACATATAATTAAGTCTAAATTTCATCCACTCTGGGAATCTTTCTAATTAGTTTCTTTAACTTATTTATACTTAATGTACTTAAATAAATATGAGATACATAGCCAGGTATGTATACAGAAATAGAGATAGATATGAATAGATAGATAGATAGATCAACCATATTTGTAAGGTTACATATAATTCTATTTTTATTCTCTCTTAGCATATTAAGTATATTGCTTTATAAAGATAATTTCAGGAATTTCAGTATTTTAAACTATTCTGTATTCCTTTAAATAACACTCTACTGCTTTACTTATAGTACATATAACACAGTGTTACATCTATGTAACAGAGTATGTCCATTTTCTATTTCCCATCCTTTGTGACATTGCTGTCATCCACTTACTGTGCTATAATCATCCAAAATATTATTGTTATTATTATTAGTTTAAATATTTATCTTTTAGTCAGTTAACAATAATTTTAAATATTTTTAAAATTTATTCCTCCTCTGATGTTCTTTCTTTACGTAGATACTAGACTTTTACTAATATCAAAACTTTTCCGGCTGAGGAAAATTCTTTAATAGTTCTTGCAGCACAGGTCTGCTGCTGATGAATTCCCCCAATTTCAGTTTTCTGAGAAAGTTTTTATTTCGACCTCATTTTTGAATAATAATTTTAGTAGTTAGATAATTCTAGGTTAACTTTTAAAAAATGTTTAACATATTAAATATTGTAGTTTTCTTTTTTCTAGCTTGCAAATTTTCTGTCATGAAGCCGGAGATTTCAAATTCCTCTAGTGTCTTTTTGTTTCCACTCTTAACTTCTCTAAGTTTTCCTTTCAAGAGTTTGCGTCTTGAGGCCCTTTCATCTATAATCCACTATTATTATACTAGAGCCTTGTTAGTGTCGTGCTAATGTATGATGAATGGTGAAAGAACATGCCTGTTAAATCTGTCTTTCAATGGGTTTATGCTTCTTGTCTATAACCTTCACAAGTGCTTCTTCTTGTAACTTTCTCTTCATTCCCACCTCAGATGAGGCAAAAAGGATATATATCTCCTACATACAGATAGCAGCATGTTAAATTTTAGTATAGTACATTGGAACTTATGATTCTAACTTTTGAAAGTAGAGTGTTACTATCTACAGTTGCAGTCAAATGGTAGTTGGGGTAGAAGTCACCTTAAAGATTTCTTTAATGTTACGCCTGACTAGGAATTATGGTAATAAGCTGGGTCCTCAGTAGAGACCATTGGTTAAATTATATAAATGTGACCTCTACCTATAACCAGGAATTTCTTGTAGTGTGATGACCTGGTTTGAAGGTCAAGGATATCACATTTTCTTACCTGGTCTTAGAAGTTATGGAGCATCCCTTCAACCACATTATGTTTCTAATAATTGGGTGACTAACTCAATCCTATATTTAGTAGGAAGGAAATTAGATTCTAACTCTTAAAAGAAGTATCAAATAATTTGTGTATTTATTTTAAACACTCCATACATACTTTACACTCCATTTTGTGTATATATTAGCTTAGAACATCTAAATTAATCCAATAATGTCTTCTAGAATCTTCTATTTCCTATCTATTGCACAATGCTATCAATGTTCCCCAAATTCTTTTATGTTCCCTCATGCTCTGTTGTAATATAAAACGGATCACTGATTATTCATACACTTAATATGAATAGTTCACATTTGTTTATAGATTTCTTCTCCGTTTGTTAATGACCTTTTTTGTTTGTGCTTATATCTAAGGGCAAATACAGATTTCCAGTACTTCTATATTCCCAAAGAATTGCTGATTTAATGTAATTTTATTTTAATACTTCACTTCATTCTCTCTTGGCTGCTTAGCTTTCTTTTCTACTTCAAATTTCAGTTCTGTATTCACCAGGATATTCCTCAAAAGAAAACTGTAAATCAGGGTCACACTACTTGTCACTTAATAGGACACACACACATACATACACACATGCTCACCTGACTGTTTTGTTTTATATGGTCTTCTTCCTTGACATTGTAATACATATAGACATTATCGTTTTGTAATTATTTTAATACTTATCTATAGTATTTCATATCTGCCACAGTGTCGAATATATATAATGAGATATTCTCAAGAAAAATTCCCTGTCATATATGAATAACAAAAACAAAATGGCACAAATAGTCTGTAGGATGGTAATACATGTTTTTATTTTATAAAATTTTAATGACTTTAATGAGAAATAATTTTCATAATATATAATTTACCTAATTAAAATGTTCAGTGGTTGTTAGTATATTCTCAGAATTGAGCAACCATCACCCACAATAAATTTTAGAACACTTTAACAACCTCCAAAGGAAACTCCTTACCCATTAGTGGTTATTCAAAAATTACCCAAACTTCCTAGTCTTGAGCAAACATGAATCTTCCTGTTTCTATAGATTTGCCTCTTCTGCATTTTTTTATTTTGAGGGGGAGTCTCGCTGTGTAGCTTAGCCTGGAGTGTAGTGGCACAATCTTGGCTCACTGCAACCTCCGCCTCTCAGGTTCAAGCGATTCTCCCACCTCAGCCTCCCGAGTAGCTGAGATTACAGGTGTGCGCTACCAGGCCTGGCCAATTTTTGTATTTTTAGTAGAAACGGGGTTTCACCATGTTGGCCAGGCTGGTCTCAAACTCCTGACCTCAGGTGATCCACCTACCTCGGCCTCCCAAAGTGCTGTGTTTATAGGGCGTGAGCCACCACGCCCAGCCTGAATATTTTATATAAGTAAAATTATACAATATGTGGTCTTTGGAGGTCTGACTTCCTTCATTTAGCATACTGTTTTCAAAATTCATCTCTGTTGTAGCATGTGTCTGTGTTTCATTTTCATGTCTCGATAATATTAAATTCCTAGTAACTTTTATAAACAATTTAAAGTCTATTTTTGACTGAAATTATTATAGTAACTCAGTCTTCCTTATGGTTGCATGATAAAGCTTGCTCCATCCTTTTACCTTTAACCTAATTGTATTTTTTTTATTTAAAGTGTTTCCATTAGAAAGCAGAGTTGGATCTTGTTTTTATTGCCAAGTGTATTAATCTCTGTCTTTTATAATTATCAAATGACCTTAGCCATTTTCTTTACTTTCTGTATGTATTTGAATTACTGTTTTGAGTCACTTGATTTCAACCTGAAGAATATCCTTTACTATTTCTTCTAAAGCCAATCTAATAGCAGCAAAAGCTCTGTGTTTTTCTGTTTTGTTTTGTTTTGTTTTGTTTGAGACAGAGTCTCACTCTGTCACCCAGGCTGGAGTGCAATGGTGTGCTCACTGCAACCTCTGCCTCCCGGGTTCAAGTGATTCTCCTGCCTCAGCTTCCTGAGTAGCTGGGATTACAGGTGCTGCCACCACACCTCGCTAATTTTTGTATTTTTAATAGAGATGGGGGTTTCACCATATTGGCCAGGCTGGTCTCGAACTGCTGACCTTGTGATACGCCCAGCTCGGCCTCCCAAAGTGCTGGGATTATAGGTGTGAGCCACCGCGCCTGCCAAAATCTCTGTCTGTTAAAATTTTTCTAGTGATGTCCTTTTTGTCTTTATTTTTGAAAGATAGTTTTCTGCAGATAAGATACTTGATAGCCTTAACTTTCTTTGCTATAAATGTATTCCCAGTGATTTCTAGACTCCATTGTTTTTCCTGCTAAGAAGTTAGGTGTTATTTTATTAGGGTTTCCTTATACCTGAAGAGTGATTTTTCTCTGTTGTTTTCGGGACATTGTCTTTAGCTTCCTATATTTTTACTATGCTGTGTCTGGGCGAGACAACCCTTCGGCTTTTCCTACTTAGCATTTTTTAAATCTTCTTTGGTATATAAATTAATGTTTGCATCATAATTTTGTAAGTTTTGCCCTATAATTCTTCAAATTTTTTTTCTGCTTCTTATCTCCCTCTTGTCCTTTGTGCTTCTATGATGTGTATGTTGGTGTATTTCTCTGGAACTCCCTTCACTTATCTTCATTCTTTTCTCCTGTCTTCTTTAGATTGCATAACCTACATTGATCGACTTATGCCTTTTGCTTAATCTTTTATTTTATTTTATTTTATTTTATTTTATTTTATTTTATTTTATTTTATTTTTTGAGACAGAGTCTCGCTCTGTTCCCAGGCTGGAGTGCATTTGCACTATCTCGGCTCACTGCAACCTCTACCTCCTGGGTTCAAACGATTCTCCTGCCTCAGCCTCCCAAGTAGCTGGGACTACAGGCACACACCACCATGCCCAGCTAATTTTTGTATTTTCAATAGAGACAGGGTTTCACCATGTTGGCCAGGATGGTCTCGATCTCTTGACCTCGTGGTCTGCCAGCCGTGGCCTCCCAAAGTACTGGGATTACAGGCATGAGCCCCTGCCCCCAGCCAATCTTTTATTTTTTTATTGTATGGTCAAATCTGCCAGTGGAGCCCCTCTAGCTAATTGTTAGCTACTATGCTTTTTAATTCCAGAATTTTTATTCATTCCTTTTTGTAATTTCAATTTTTCTAATTGATATAATGTATTTGATAAGGTATTGTCATCATATCTTTCTTTTTCTTTTAAGCATGGTGTCATTTAGTTCTTTGAAAATTTACAATAGCTATTTTGCTTTTGTCTGCTGAGTTGAGATTGGGGCCCCATGAAGGACAGATTTTACTTTATTTCATAGGTATACATTGCTCTTTCTTGTTTATTTGCATTTCTCATAATTTGTCATTAGAGATTTAATATTTTAGATAACATATTACAGTAATTGCAGATTCTATTACCACTTCCCATCTTGCTCCTCATCTAGGGCTTGTTGTGGTTGCTATTGCCTACTTCATTTGTTTAGTGACTTGGGTGGAAAATTTTAGTTAAGCATATTTCCCAAGCAGGGTGCCCACTCTGATGCCATCTTCAGAGGTCATAGCCTTGGACTTGCACACAGTCACTTTGGGATAATGTTGGGGTTCACAGGTCTGCTTTTGAAAGTACACTGTGATATTTCTGTAAATCTACCTACCTCTGTTAGTATCACATGCAGCTATAGTTTTCATTACTTCCCAACTGGCTTCTCTCTTGTTTTTCACAATGTCCTCAGATAGAAATTGTTCCACAGTCTGATCAAAGTTTTGGTGCGTCTTCGTGGGTCTTCCGTTATGCTACTCTTTGAGGTTTGTTCTGACTCAGTGAGGAACTGTTATTAGCAATCTCTTTCCCCAGTTCTCAGTTCTCTCTGGTAAACCTTTAATTTATATCAAGTTTAGCTTGTTACCTTATGGAGTTATCAGTCTATTCTCAATTTTTTTTTTACCACCATTGTGTTCTAGAGTGTAATTGGGCTTATTTTTCCCCAACTCTGTCCCAAATAACATCAGTTCTTTGGGGTTCTCCCTGCGCAAACACTCTTTGCCACTTTTCCAGATCTAGACATAGATACAGCGACCCGCTTCTCTTGGCATGACACTTCTTATAAGTGGGATCCTAGCAAAGGCCCTAGCTTATGGTCTTTAGGGCTTGCCTCTCCAAGCCTGTAACCTCAATCCTACTATGAGCTACAGGAGATCTATTTGTGTCTTCATATACTCAGCCTGCCATGTCTAAGATGAAACTTCCACCCTACAGATGGGGCTAGGTGGAAGAAGAGAGTCCAAGCCTTTTCAGCTGTTCTTGCCTTAATGAGAACTTCTGCCAAATGAAGTGATGGTAAATAAAAAAAGGCTGATGGTTTGTTTCTTGGGGGAGATCTTTACCTCATGACTCATTGCTGGGAGAACAGGAAGTCCTGTGTCCTTGGATACACCTGCAAAAGTGGAAAATTCTGCATGCTGAGCTTGTGAGCAGGAAGAGTGGGTCATGGCTCAAATGCCATAGATTCACTATTCTTAGCAAGATTTGATCGACTTGCTTGAATAAATGCTCTTTTTATAGTTTCTGTATTCCATTAGGGTAATTTCTAGAGATTTATAAACGGCAAGCTTATAAATTTACCATTTTCACTAGTTATGCTGTTTCACTAGAGAATGTGTCTGCATTGATATATATGCCACCATTCTAGAAGTTATAAAGCTCTCATAGAAATGTGTTGAAATAGTTTACTTGTAAGGGCATCTGTTGATTTCCAAACACAATGTAAGACTAGATTTTCCACTTTTCTTTTATTTCTGCATCCATACATGGACAGCTGGTACTCTCAATTCTGCACCAGATGGAATGAAGTCTACTGTATGACTCTCTGGATAATGGTACCTATATTCCTGTGTTGACTCTTTCAACTTTCCTCTTTAGTACTTTGTGAAAACTGTAATTTTAAAGAACCTTTTATTCCCCTAGGATAAAGGATGTAAATGGCCCCCAATGAATATAAAGGATAAGTATATGATGATAGTTTAGTTTCTGAAAAATGAAGAAAAGAATACTATTTCAGTGAGTGAGTCCTTTTATCAAAATATCAAATAATTGACTTTCTGGCACTATCTTCATTCTTTCTAGTATCCTCAAGGTAAATCTACAAAAAATTATGTCTATTTAGTTTACTGAATCCTATGTATAAAATATAATGACTAACTCTTTGTATCTCCAGCAGAGTTGAGTCATAGGGTGAAATTTTGTGCTGTATAAACCTAGAAGACATAAATCTAGTCATTTTACTGCACAGATTGGTAAACTGAGGTTCACAAAGACTAACTATTTTGCCCATGGTGACATAAATGGTTACTAACTGAAAATATGAGCTTGTGAATCTGGGTTATGTTTTCTTCCCGCTACATCACTCTGCTTTACCAAAAATGTAGAACCACTTCTCTTTCCAAAAAACAAAATAATTCTGTTATTGTTGTCTTTCAGAAAATATACAGATGACACTTGGTGTAATTTATGGGCTCCAGGTAGTTATCCATCAGTGAGCAAAAAGAACCATATAGCTTCATGTGATTACACACAGAGTGATCAATAGCTACTGGTTACTTTTTTTTTTTCACTTTTATTGCCTTGAGTATTACTGAAGAAGTCAAAATGTTATAGTTTATTAGAAGCAGAGAAGGGACACTTAATTCTGTATCTCTTGGTAGTTTCTGATATTATACTATATTACTATGATAGGTGAGTTTGGGGGAAGTTTTAGAAGGAGCAAAATTAAGTGCCCATATGACACTAATATTCTTTTTAGGGAATCCAGAGGTAAGAACTTGCCTATAGCTATATTTTTCTCATAGGTTTATCTGAAAAGGTAGGGACGCATAGCAGAGACTGTCCTAAAACAAGTAAGTTATATAATTTATTAAATTATTTATTGAAATCTATAATTCAGTAAATTTCCACCCTCTGTTTCCTTCTTTCTTCATTCTTAAAGAGTAAATCCTAATTTTTTATCAAAATTAATCTCTTAAAAATAATCAATTCCACATCACTGTTGCAAACTTAAGTCGTTCTCATATATGTATTTAGACTTTTATCCTTCTAGTAGCTCAACTTTCAACATTTCTTCTACTTTTTTTTCAGATCAGTTATGTATTCCTAGCCTACAATTAACCTTACAAATAATTTCCATTACTCTATAATGTATTTATTGAATAATATCCTTTTTGTAATAAGATGAGTACAGTGCATGCAAATATTCCTGGAAGTCAGTACTGAATGTGAACCACATAAACATATAGCATGAAAGCCAAACTCAAAGTGTCCTTCAGCCAAAGTCCCCTTATATGCATACATAAATTCTTGTGGCTATTCTAGCACCATCTGATATAAGAGAAATGTGATTGTGAGAAAAAGGTGGACAGAAAGAAATAGTAATGTTAGCTAATTGCAGATAAATAGGTTATTTTGCAAAATTTATAAAAAATACATGCTCACGTGAGTACATTATTAATGCCCCCTCATGGGCCCATGTAAGAGAGTGGTCTTGAAGGTTAATCTGTATTAGTTTTCTGATAAAGATTCTTCTGCTTTTATTCACTCCCAACACTTTGGGAGAAGCATCTCTACTCATGTAACTCTTGAGAAACATCTCTACTCATTTGAACTCTTCCTGTGAAGGATGAGATTACATTTACTATGGGACTTTAGCTTCTTAAATTATCTCTAATGTTACCGCATTATTCTCTTTATTCATAGGAATTAATCCTATTTATAAAATACAAATATAGTATTGTATCACATTCTTCATTTATTTAGAATGCATCACATTCTTCATTTATTGTATCACGTTCTTCATTTATTTACTTCCAATGCCTTCTATTGTTATTTAAATAAATCTGAAGTCCTTATCATCGTTTACAAAGCCCTGTCTTATCACTACAACCAAGTCTCCTGTCCCTCACATTTGTTATTAAATATCCCAATCACACTACACTTATTTATGGTTCTTGAGAAACCTAGATGTGTTATAATCTCCTGGGTTTTTATCTATTTTTAATCTAACGTTCTTGGAAAGATTCCCCAGTTCTTCACAAAGCAATCTTCTACGTGCAGTGGATACCTATTTCTAAATGTTCTCCTAGAGAGTTTCCGATGAGCATCCCAACATCATTAATCTCTCTGCAGTTATTTTAAACAGTATTTGCCACAATTTGAAATTAACTACATTATATGTATAATAGATCTTTATAATTTTTTTTTTCTGTGAGAGCAAGGCATTCTCTCTTATTAATCACTATTTCCTCAGTGCCTACACCAGTGGCTAAAATTCTAGTGATGTTGGATGAATAAATGAGTTAATAGCTACGGATATTTAGAAGATGGAGAGAAGTTATCACCTGAAGAAAATGTGCAGGGTAAGTTGAGAGACATTGCAAAGAGAAGGAAACAAAAGACTACAAATTCTAAGTAGTTTACATTGTGAAACAGGCATGTCAAATTTACCTTTTTTCCACAGTTCACGCATACTTTGGAGATACTGTAGGTTTGGTTTCAGACTGTCACAATAAGTAAGTCATACAACTTTTTAGATTTTCGAGTGCATATAAAACTATGTTTATACTATATTGTTGTCTATGAAGCATGTGGTAGAATTATATCTTTAAAAAGTATGTATCTTAATTTAAAAACAATTAATTGCTTAAAAAATACTATTATCTTAGCCTTTAGCACCTTGCCATATTTTTGCTGTTGCAGGGTCTTACCTCGATGTTGATTCCTGGCAAATGATCAGTGTGTTTGTTGCTGAAGGCCGTGGTGGCTTTGGCAATTTTTTACCATCAGACAGTGAAGTTGCTGCACCACTGACAATTCCTTTTACAAGAGGTTGCCCTGTAGTACTTAGTGCTGGTTGATAGTATTTTACCCACAGTAGAACTTCTTTTAAAGTTGGAATCAATCCTCTCAAACCCTGCTATTGCTCTATTATAGTCTATGTAACATTATAAATCTTTTGCTGTCATTTCAACAATATTCACAGCATCTTCATCAGAAGTAGATTCCATCTCAAGAAGCCTTTACTCATCCAGCAGAAGCAACTCCTCATCCATTCAAATATTATGATAAGATTGCTGCAATTCAGTCACATCTTCAGGCTTCACTTTTAATTTTAGTTCTCTTGCTATTTCCACCACATCTGCAGTTACTTCATCCACTGAGGTGTTGAACCCTTCAAAGTCATCCATGAGGATTCAAATAAATTTCTTCCAAATTCCTGTTAATATTGATATGTTAGCCTATTCCTATGAACCTTGAATGTTCTTAATAAATGTAGAATGGTGAATTATTTCCAAGAGATTTTTAATTTACTTTGCCAATATTTATTGGATAAATTCCTGTCTATGGTAGTCATAGCCTTATGAAATATATTTCTTAATAATAAGACTTGAAAGTCAAAATTACTCCTTGATCCTTGGGCTGCAAAATGGATATTGTGTGAGCAGGCATAAAAATAGCATTAATCTCATTGCACATGTCCATCAGAGCTTCTGGAAAAATAGGCGCATTGTCAATGAGCAGTAATATTTTGAAAGAAATATTTTTCTGTACAACAGGTCTCAAAAGTGGGCTTAAAATATTCAGTAAACCATGCTGTAAACAGATGGGTTGCCATCTAAGCTTTGTTCCTCCATTTATGGAGCACAAGAAGAGTAGACTTAGCATCATTCTGAAAGGCTCTATGATTTTCAGAATGTTCAGAATGATAAATGAGTGTTGGCTTTAGTCACCAACTGTAATTGCCCCTAATAAGAGAGTCAGCTTGTTGTTTAAAACTCTCTTTCTTCTTGAATCTAAAATGCTGACTTTTTTCTGGATGTAACACTCCTGGCAGCCAAATATGTCTAGTTATAAAGAGAAAATTTTGGGGCCAGTTCTTGTGGGTCTGGAGACAGAAACATTGGATAAAGTCATCAAGATCATAAATAACAACCCATATGGAAATGCAACCGACATCCTCACCACCAATAGAGCTACAACTTGGAAACATTCCCACTCGTGTGGTGGAAGTCAGAGAAGTTTGTGGACAAACTTTCAGAAGATTCTTAAAGCCATTCACCATCTCTTCAGTGGAGATAGTAAACAATGATCAGCACTGCATTTTATTTAAAGATTGTCCCTCTAATCTTTCACAATGCTCCATTTCTGACTCAGTAATGAAAGATCAGGGGTGGAAAATTGGGTAGAAGGTGGGTATTTAAAAAAGGTCTCTGATGCTATTGTAGTTCCACATGATGTGCTTCTGTCTTTGAGTCCTTTGCTTAATATTTGACGTGGATTTATTCTGCTGTAAGCGAAAATGAATGCCACTAATCCAGTGCCTTTGCAAATGTTCCCTTTTGCCAGCTTCTGATCTTCCCTCATGGGAGACACTAATTTCTGTGGCAAACAGGTAACTTCTGAGTTAACTTTCTTTCCTTTAAGATACTTTCTTGAACATAATCTGTAGTAAGACTTCTACAAGGAAATGCCTGCCCACAGCTTCTGTGCAGTTACATGCTGTTCATCTGTGGTTCTCAGAAGGTCCCTGTGTCAGACACTTGTAATTTTTTCTTTCCAAAATATTGGGAAACATCATTTCACGAAAAGAGTCTGATAGTGGAATTTGCCAGGTGATGAAAGTTGGATCTTGAAGCTTACTTTCATTCCTCAATTTTTTTTTTTTCTCCACCGTCAGAGACAACACAGCCTGGAACTAGAGGTCTAGAAATCTGACTAAATTTCCTAGAAACAAAACTGTTTATTTTTGCAAAGAGAAATTTCATTACTTTCTCATTCTGCTCCCAGATCAAATCTCCAATATTCATATTTCCTTCAATACTTGTCTATTTCTGTCTCTGTAAGAGCCCGTTTCACTATTGATGCTGTGCTCTCTGTCATCAATTGTTCTGATTTGGGGATATTCCATTCTTCCTGTAAGTGCTGATCTCATTTGTAATTGAAAGCCCCTTGTGCTTTCAATTTAAATGCTTCCTGATAAATAGGATCTGTTATTTCACTTGGTGTAGGGCATTTAAAAAAGAACTGTCCAATGCTGTTCTCTCACCTAGCATGTTCTTGGCCAGCTTCTTCACTCAATTCATTTTTCTTTTGTTCACCTGACTTTGCTACTGCTTGTCAGTTTATACGTAACCTGATTGGTTCTCTATCATTGCTGTTGCTACAGTTTTAACACTTCAGTCTCAAACTCTGGTCCTATAACTTAGAGCAGTCTCCAACCTTACTACCTTCTTCTGAAGTGTTTGGATTTGTGTTTTCTACTGGGTAAGCTGCATAATCTTTTCCTTAACCAAGAGCTCATTAATCTCCTTTTGATGTAAAAGGATTTGATTCTATTGCAACTTCTGGGAGCGTTTTTGTAGAGCATAAACTTCTTTCAGGTGGTATGCAAGAGCATTCTGGAGATAACTACTCTCTTTAAACACATTTTTTCCATCATTGTTCAATTGCACGACAACTTCATGATGGGATCTCATCGCCAGCATTGTCTTTTTTCAGCCTTTTGTTCTAGTCGATGATTTTCTTCAAAAACCATGCCTTCCCAGGTCCTAACAGTCTCCTTATGTTTCTATTAATTGTTCTTTAAATTCTTCTTTAGAACATCTTATTCTTTCTTGTTTATTGTTTTCAGCTCTGTCTGAATAAGGCTAATTCCTTCGGATTTTTTAATGGAACTATTCCTCCAGCTTATTTATTTGCACAGTGTACTTTTGTTTCAGTTTTCCTTTCTCCTCCTGGGATTTTTCCTTTATTTCAGTCAGTTGCTTTTTCAGATTTTCAGTTTTTTCTGGTCCTTGCCTCTGCTCTTGCTTCTCCTTTTCCTTTTGTCCTTTCCCTTTGACAGCTATCTTGGCGTCTCCAGTGGCCTCACTGTTGTCCTTGACCAGCCACTGACACTCAGGCTGGCTTTTTCTCTAAGAAAAGCTGCATTTAAAGTGAGTAAATGTTCCCTCTGGGTCATTCCCATGCATAAAGAGTGCCTCTGCACCTGACATGGCTGGGGCACAGGGGTAAGGTAGATCACACCAGTGCAATGTATGTGCAGTGAGTATGCAAGTGGTACAGGTGCCTGAGCCTGCCCAGGATAGGTCACACTGGGTGGGCAGTCCTGCTTATCCTTTGAGCTTTGAAACCAGACATTGACTTCTCCTCTCTAGCTATTTAAGTCCTAGATGGCATCGTCTTTCAATAGAAGACTATTTCATCTCCGTTGAAAATCTGTTGTTTATTGTAGCCACCTTCTTCAATGATCTCAGCTAGATCTCTGGATAACATGTTGCAGCTTCTACATCAGCACTTACTGCTTCTTCTTGCACTTTTATCTTATGAAAACACTTTTTTTCTTTAAACCTCAAGAACTAATCTCTGCTAGCTGCAAAGGTCTCCAGATTCCTCATCTCTCTCCGCCTTTCAATAATTGAAGAGAGTTCAAGCTCTGTATCAAGCTTTGGGTTAAGGGAATATTAAGGACGGTTTGATATTCTATCCACACTACTAAACCTTTCTCCATGTCAGCAATAAGGTTGTTTTGCTCTCTTAACACGTGTGTCTTCACTGAAGGAGAACTTTCCTTCAAAAACTTTTTCTTCTCATTCAAAATTTGGTTAACTATTTGGTGCAAGAGGCCTAGTTTTCAGCCTATGTCAGCTTTCTTTTTTTAATAATTGCAATTTTTATTTTAGATATGAGGGTACCTGTGCTTGTTTGTTACATGGGTATGTTATGTGATGCTGAGGTTTAGATGTCAAGTTCTTGAATGCATGGATCATGATGTTTTTAATCTTTGTCAACCCAGTGTTCATCATAGTGCATGATATATGATAGGTATTCAATAAATCTTGGTTAAATTAATGGGATTTTATTTTATTTTATTATTATTTCAACAGTTTTGAGGGAACAGGCAGAGTTTGGTTACATGGATAAGTTCTTTAGGTGTGATTTCTGAGATTTCAGTGCATCTATTACCCAAGCAGTGTACACTGCACCGAATGCATAGTCTTTTATCCCTCACCACACTCCCAACCTTACCCCCAAGTTCTCAAAGTCCATATATCCTTCTTATGCCTTTGCATCCAAATATCTTAGCTCCCACTTCCAAGTGAGAACAAATAATGTTTGGTTCTCAATTGCTGAGTTACTTTACTTAGGAAAATGGTCTCCAACTCCATCCAGGTTGCACGAATGCCATTATTTTATTTCTTTTTTTGGTTGAGTAGTATTTTATGGCATTTATATATCACAAATTCTTTATCCACTCATTGGTTGATGGACATTTAGGTTGGTTCCATATTTTTGCAATTGTGAATTGTGCTGCTATAAACCTGTGTGTGCAAGTGTCTTTTTTATATACTGACATCTTTTCCTCTAGGTAGATATTCACTAGTGGGATTGCTGGATCAACTGGTAGTTCTACTTTTAATTCTTTAAGGAATCTCCACACTCTTTTCCATAGCAGTTGTACAAGTCTACATTTCCACCAACAGTGTAAGAATGTTTCCATTTCACCACATCCATGCCAACATCTATTACTCTTTGATTTTTAAATTATAGCCATTCTTGCAGGAGTAAGGTGGTATCACATTGTGGTTTTGATTTTCACTTTTCTTGATAATGATGTTGAACATTTTTTCATGTTTGTTCACCATTTGTATATCTTCTTTTGAGAATTGTTATTCATGTCTTTAACCCACTTTTTGATGAGATTTTTTTTTCTGATTTGTTTGAGTTCCTTGTAAATTCTGGATATTAATCTATGTATTAATGCAAATACATAATTTGCAAATATTTTATCTCACTCTGTGGGTTGTCTGTTTACTCTGCTGATTATTTCTTTTGCTGTGCATCAGCTTTTCAGTTTAATTAAGTCCCAACTATTTATCTTTGTTTTTGTTAAATTTGCTTTTGGATTCTTGGTCATAACCTCTTTGCCTAAGCCAATGTCTAGCAGAGTTTTTCAGATGTTATCTTCTATCTTCTATAAGGTGAAAGATGAGGATCCAGTTTCATTATTCTATGTGTGACTTACCAATTATCCCAGCACCATTTGTTGAATAGGGTGTCTTTTCTGCACTTTATATTATTGTTTTCTTTGTTGAAGATCAGTTGGCTGTAAGTATTTGGCTTTATTTCTGGGCTCTCTATCTGGTTCCATTGATCTACCTGCTTATTTTTATACCAATACCATGCTGTTTTGGTAACTATAGACTTGTAGTGTAGTTCGAAGTTGGGTAATGTGATGCCTTCATATTTGTTTTTTTTGCTTAGTCTTGCTTTGGCTATCTGGGGTCTTTTTTGGTTCCATATAAATTGTAAGATTGTTTATTTCTAGTTCTGTGAAAAATGATAATGGTATTTTGATGGGAGTTGAATTTATAGATTGCTTTGGCAGTATGGTCATTTTCACAGTATTGATTCTACCCATCCATGAGCATGAGAAGTGTTTCCTTTTGTTTGTGTCATCTATGATTACTTTCAGCAACGTTTTATAGCTTTCCTAGTAGATCTTTCACCTCTTGAGTTAGATATATTCCTGAATATTTTATGGTTTTTTTTGCAGGTGTTATAAAAGGGTTTGAGTTCTTGATTTGATTCTCAGCTTTGTCACTCCTAGTGTATAGCAGTGCTACCAATTTGTGTACATTGATTTTATATCCTAAAGCTTAACTGAATGCATTTATCAGATCTAGAAGCTTTTTGGATGAGCTTTTAGGGTTCTCTAAGTATAGGATCATATCATTGATGAACAGCCACAGTTTGACTTCCTCTTTACTGATTTGGATGCCCTTCATTTTTTTTCCCTTTTCTGATTGCTCTGGCTAGGGCATCCAGTACTGTGTTAAATAGAAATGGTGAAAATGGGCATCCTGTCTTCTTCCAGTTCTCAGGGAAAATGGTTTCAACTTTTCCTTATTCAATATAATGTTGGTTGTTTGTTTGTCATAGATGGCTTTTATTACCTTAAAGCATGCCCTTTCTATGATGATTTTGCTGAGGATTTTAATCATAAAGGGATGCTGAATTTCATCAAATTTTTTTTCTGCATCTACTGAGATGATCATATAATTTTTGTTTTTACCTTTGTTCCTGTGGTATATCACATTTATTGACTTGTGTATGTTAAACCAACCCTGCATTCCTGGTATGAAACCCACCTGATCATGGTGTATTATCTTTTTGATATGCTGTTGGATTTGGTTAGCTATTTTTCTGAGGATTTACATCAAAGATATTGGTTTGTAATATTCGTTTTTTGTTATGTCCTTTCCTAGTTTTGATATTAGGGTGATACTGACTTCATAGAATGATTTAGGGAGGTTCCCCTCTTTCTCTATCTTTTGGAATAGTTTCAGTAGGATGGTACAAATTTTTCATTGAATGTCTTATAGAATTTAGCTGTGAATCTACCTGGTCCTGGATTTTTATTTGTTGACAATTTATTTTATTACTGTTTCAATCTTCCTACTTTTTATTTGGTCTATACAGAGTTTCTGTTTCTTCCTGATTTAATCTAGGAGGATTGCGCATTTCTAGGAATTTATCCATCTCCTCTAGCTTTTCTACTTTTGTGTGTAAAAGTGTTCATAGTAGCCTTGAATGGTCTTTTGCATTTCTATTGGTTGTAATATCTCCAATTTTGTTTCTAATTGAGTGTATTTGGATTTTTGTCTTCTTTTCTTGGTTAATTTCATTAATGATCTATTGATTTTGTTTATGTTTTCAAAGAACCAGCTTTTCATATCATCTATCATTTGATTTTTGTTGTTGTTGTTTCAATTTTATTTCATCCTACTCTGATCTTTGTTATTTATTTTCTTCTGCTGGCTTTTGATTTGGTTTGTTCTTGTTTCTCTAGTTCTTTGAGATGTGAACTTAGGTTGGCTATTTGTGCTCCTTCAGACCTTTTGATGTAGGCATTTATTGATGTGAGATTTTCTCTAACACTGCTTTTGCTGTGTTCCAGAGGTTTTGAAAAATTGCACCACTATTATCATTAACTTCAAATAATTTTAAAATTTCCATTATGATTTCATCATTCACCCAAAGATCACTCAGGAGGATATTATTTATTTTCTATATATTTGTATAGTTTTGAGGGTTCCTTTTGGAATTAATTTTCAATTTTATTCCATTGCCGTCTGAGAGAGTACTTGATATGATTTCAATTTTCTTAAATTTATTGAGACTTTTCTTGTGGCCTATCACATGATCTATCTTGGAGAATGTTCCATGTGCTGATTAAAAGAATGCATACTCTGCAATAGTTGGATAGAATATTCTGTAAATATCTGTTAAGTCCATTTATTCTAGGATATAGTTTAAGTACATTGTTACTTTGCTGACTTTCTGTCTTGATGACCTGTCTAATACTGTCAGCAGAGTATTGAAGTCCCCCACTATTTTTGTGTTGCTGTCTGCCTTATTTCTTAGCTCTAGTAGTAATTATTTTATAAATTTAAGAGCTCCAGTATTAGGCACATAGATACTTAGGATTGTGATGTTTTTCTGTTGGCCTGGTCCTTGTATCATTATATAATGTTCCTTTTGTCTTTTTAAACTGTTGTTGGTTTAACATCTGCTTTGTCTGGTGTAAGAATAGCTACTCCTGCTTGCTTTTGGTATCCATTTGCATGGAATATCTTTTTTCACCCCTTTACCTTAAGTTTATGTGAGTCCTTCTGTGTTAGGTGAGTCTCCTGAAGATAGCAGATACTTGATTGGTGGATTTTTATCCATTCTGCCATTCTGTATCTTTTAAGTGGAGCATTTAAGCCATTTACATTCAATATTAGTGTGGGGATATGAGGTACTGTTCTATTCATCATGCTAGTTGTTGCCTGAATACCTTGATATTTTTTTCATTGTGTTACTGTTTTTTTATAGGTCCTGTGAGATTTATGTTTTAACAGGGTTTCATTTTGGAGTATTTTGAGGTTTTGCTTCAAGAGTTAGAACTCCTTTTAGCATTACTGGTAGTGCTGGTTTGGTAGTGGTGAATTCTCTCATCATTTCTTTGTCTGAAAAAAATTTTATCTCTCAATGTATAAAGCTTAGTTTCACTGGATACAAAATTCTTGTCTGATGATTATTTTGTTTAAGGAGGCTAAAGATAGGACTCAAATCCCTTCTGGCTTGCAAGGTTTCTGCTGAGAAATCTGCTTTTAATATGGTAGGTTTTTCTTTATGGTTACCTGGTGCTTTTTTTTTCCTCACAGCTCTTAAGATTCCTTCCTTTATCTTGACTTTAGATAACCTGATGACTACGTGCCATGGTGATGATGTTTTAACAATGAATTTCGTAGTAACTCTTTGAGCTTCTTGTATTTCAATGTCTAGATCTCTAGCAAGACCAGAGAAGTTTTTCTCAATTATTTCCTCAAATAAGTTTTCCAGACTTTTAGAATTCTCTTATTCCTTGGGAACATCTATTATTTTTATGTTTGCTTGTTTAATATAATCCCAAATTTACTGGAGGCTTTGTTCATGTAATTTTTTTTCTTTTTCTTTGTTGGATTGGGTTAATTTGAAAGACTTGTCTTCAAGCCCTGAAGTTCTTTCTTCTACTTGTTCTATTCTATTGAAACTTTCCAGTGTATTTTGCATTTCTCTAAGTATGTCTCTCTTTTACAGAAGTTGTGTCTGTCTTTTCTTTATAATATCTATTTTTCTGGAGAGTTTTGCATCCAAATCCTGTATTGTTTTTAAAATTTCTTAAGTTGTTTTTCACCTTTTTCTGGTGCCTCCTTGAGTAGCTTAATAATCAACCTTCCAAATTCTTTATCTGACAATTTAGAGATTTCTTCTTGGTTTTAATCTATTACTGGAGAGCTGGTGTGATCTTTTGGGAGTCCTTGTTTTGTCATTTTACCAGAATTACTTTTCTGGTTCCTTCTAATTTGGGTAGACTGTTTCAGGGGAAAGATCTGGAACTCAAGGACTGGTGTTCAGATTCTTTTGTCACACAGGGTGATCCCTTGATATGGTGCTCTCCCCCTTCCCTTAGTGATGGGGCTTCCTGAGAGCCAGACACCAGTAATTGTGTATTAGTCTATTTTCACACTGCTGATAAAGACAAACCCAAGACTGGGCAATTTACAAAAGAATGAGATTTAATTGGACTCATAGCTCCAAGTGGCTGGAGAGGCCTTACAATCATGGCAGAAGGCAAGGAGGAGCAAGTCACATGTTACCTGGATGGTGGCAGGCAAAGATACAGCTTGTGCAGAGAAACTCCCATTTTTTGTTTTGTTTTTTATACTTTTAAGTTTTAGGGTACATGTGCACATTGTGCAGGTTAGTTACATATGTATACATGTGCCATGCTGGTGTGCTGCACCCACTAACTTGTCATCTAGCATTAGGTATATCTCCCGATGCTATCCCTCCCCCCTCCCACCACCCCACAACAGTCCCCAGAGTGTGATATTCCCCTTCCTGTGTCCATGTGATCTCATTGTTCAGTTCCCACCTATGAGTGAGAATATGCGGTGTTTGGTTTTTTGTCCTTGCGATAGTTTACTGAGAATAAGCTCTCCTGAGACTCATTCACTATCACAAGAACAATGCAGGAAAGACCCACACCCATAATTCAATCACCTCCCACTGGGTTCCTCCCACAACTTGTGGGAATTCTGGGAGTTACAATTCAAGATGAGATTTGCATAGGGACACAGCCAAACCATATCAGATTGTTATTGTTCTTCTGAGTCTAGCCACCCAGCAGGACTACTGAGCTCCAGGGTGGTTCTAGGGAATGTCAGTAAAGATTCCTGGGATGTGATCCATCTTCAGGTCTCCAAGCTATGGATACCAGGACCTACTCTGGTGGAGGTGGCAGGGGAGTGAAGTGAATTCTGTGGGAGTCCTTGGTTATAATTTTGTTTAGTGGGCTGGTTTCCCCAAATACTGATTATACTAGCAGTGAATTTGTCAAATGGACAGACTTGGGACCCCTGGTTAGCCAGAGTGTTGCAGGTGGTGGAAGTAGCTGTTGTCTTCTTCTTCTTGGAACAGGGCTGCTCTGTTATGAGTTGCTGTTATGGTTTGAGTTGGTTGGTCTCCAGCCAGGAAGTTGTGCTTTCAAGACAGCATAAGTTGCAGTAGTAGAAGGGGGATATAATCTTGCCCTACATTGGCCAGGATAAGTTTTCAGGTTACTCAGGCAATGGCCAGGGCCATAGAGCTCCCAAGAATTTATGTCTTTTGTCTTTGGCTGCCAGAGACGGTAGAGAAAAACCATTAGGTGCAGGTAGGGTGAGGTGGATCTGAGCTCAGACTCTTCTTGGGCAGGACTTGCTGCAGGCCCTGTGAGGGATGGGGGTGTGGTGGTCAGGCCAATGGAGTTATGTCCCCAGGGGGATTATGGTTGCCTCTGCTGAGTCATATCAGTTACTTGGGAAACTGGGGAAAGCTGGCAGTGACAGGCCTCACCCAGCTCCCAGGCAGCCAGCAAGTCCAGTCTCACTCCTGCTGTGCACCCCCAACCACACTGAATTTATATCCAGGCAGCCAGGGAGCAGGGTAGAAATCTTGCCCAAAGCTACAAGCCTCCCTACTGAGAAAGCAAGCAGGGCTACAGCTTTATCTCTCTCCCCACCTCCCTGCACCTTCAGCTGTGGCTTCTATGCTCCTATCTGCACTTCCTTTTCACCCTTCTGGATTCTGTTCAGGAAACTTCATGCTCAATTGACATTATTGCAAAGTTCAGCTAGAAGCTTCTTTCACCCTGTGGCCCCTCCCCAGTTTTCCTGGCTGCCTTCCATTCCCCGAGGACCTCTGTAAAATAAGGCCAGGAATGGCTTCCCTGGGTTCTAGCTGGGGACTGGGAGTGCCCACAAGGTTCTTCCCACTGCTTGTTCTACTTTTATATTTCACTTGGCTCCCTAAATCCATTTCAGCTCTAGGTAAGTTTAAACCCTTCTCCCTTGATGTGGATTTTCAGGTTCCCCAGTGGGGATGTGTTTTCAGAGGCTAACTTTTCCCCCTCTCACACTTTGAAAACTCACAGTTTTTTGGCTGTCTTGTGGCACTTGCAGCAGCAAACTGTTTCTTTCAAAGCATTTGTGAATTCTTTCAGTTTTCCTGGTATGTTCCTGCAGTGGTTCTTAGAGCAAAAGTTCACAATGTGAGTCTCCAGATGTTGCTCTGTCCATCCAAGTGGGAGCTGCACATTAGTGCTGTCTCCCATCTGCCATTTTATCCAGATCATCCTGTGTCATCTTTCAGTATGCCTTCTTGAAAAAGTTTAATTATGTCTAGCTTTTGATTTAAAGTGAGAGACAAGAATTTTTTTTTTCACTTGAAGATTCAGAAGTCACCGTAGAGTTATTGGCCTAATTTCAATATTATTGTGTCTCAGGGACTAGGAGGTGCCCGAGAAGAGGGAGAGAGATGGAACAATGGCCAGTGGGTGGAGCAGTAAGGACACACACATTTACCTATTAAGTTTGCCATCTTATATGGGGGTGATTTGTGGTGCTTCAAAATCATCACAATAGTAACATCAAAGATCACTGATCACAGATCACCATAAAGATATAATAATAAAGAAAAAGTTTGAAATATTGAAAGAATTACAAAAATTTGACACAGAAGCAAAAAGTGATCATACATTGTTGGAAAAATGGCACTGATATACTGGCTCAAGGCGGGGTTGCCAGAAACTTTCAATTTGAAAATTGGCTTTGGATTTTTTATGTGAAGCATAATAAAGCAAAGCACAATAAAATGAGGTAAGCCTGTACTGAAACTTTTCTTGCAAGTTCAGAATAAACTAAGTAAATCCATCAGCAAAATATAAAAATTAATTTGTGTTTCTTTGTTGTTAAATTTTAAGCCATATGCATAAAATTAAAAGGGACATAATAGAAAGTGAGGTTAAAAACTCTGAAATAAATTCAACGAGTTTAAACTTTAAATACCCATATGTTATTGACTTAATTGTGATCACCCCTAAGGTTTTTATGTTGAAGGTCTTAACTCCTGGTACCTCAGAATGTGACTGGTTTTGGAGACAGGGCCTTTAAAGAGTATGGCTATTAGGATAAGGCTTTAATCTAGCAAGGCTGGTATCCTTTGAAGAAGAGGAAGAGACACCAGGGATTTGAGTGCACATAAGATAGACCATATGAGGACACAGAAAAGGTGATTGCTTGCCATCTGCAAGCAAAGGAGAGAGAGAGAAACCTTAAAAGACACCAAACCCACCAGCACCTTGAACTTGGATTTCCAGCCTTCAAAACTATTAGAAACTAAGTGTTGTTGCTTAAGCCAGCCAGTCTATAGTATTACAGCAACCTTAGCAAATTAATACTTCATATGAAGTTTTAAGATAACGTGAATTAATATTAGAGAACCCTATTGCATTGGCTCTCTTTGAAATGGATAAATTAACATCATTAGAATATGTTAAAATTTTATTTTATTTTGCTAAAATAAAAGAGAGATTTAATTTAAAAAATATTTTTAAAGAAGTTTTATATACTTGAACTTTGTAAAGACAATAACACATGCAGTCAGGAAAGGAAAAAAAGTCTGAGAAGAATGATTACATGATATTAAAATGTATGTTATTTTAAGAGTTATTATGAATTCAGCTAAGTGCAATTTGAAATAAGCAAAAAGTTAAGTTTGTAAAGATTAAGACTTTAAAAATTTGTGGTTAGTGGTGTTGGTTGCTTGTTTGTTTTTCACCAGGTATAAAGTTTTTATTATATTCAGTATTTTCCTTATACAAAAAAATTGACCAATGATTACATTATGTCTATGATGTCTTATTTAATATTTCCTCTGACCATCAAAAACTGATGATAAAAAAAATCATTTTTGCCTTCCACAGATTAAAAATTATAAATTTAGAGAAATCGAAAGAAACCCCCTACATACACAATTGTTATCCAGTAACCTTTTTATTGCACTTTGAAATACCAGGTGGGAATATCAACTTAGTATAATATTAAATTGTCACAATATTAAAATGGTGCTCTTCTTATACTTCTCATTTATAAAAGTCAATCTTATTTCAGGTTAATCTGCAAATTCTCACATATAATAACACCACTGTATGTGCAGATCTTTTATGGGTTTATTATTTTCCTTTAGTTCTATATAAATTTGAAAAAGAATTTTTATATAGCAATTTTATATAAATTTTAAAAATTGTCAGTTCATGTAAGCACATGTCACAGAAAAAATGGTATTGACTGAATTGTGCTAAATCTGTATATCAACTTGGAGAAAAGTAATTTATGTAGTATTTCAACCCACGAATATGAAAATGTATATTTACATCTACATTTATCATTTATTTTGTTTTTGATGTGTGATAAAATTTATAATTTACCTACACACATATATGGCCTTTCATAGATTTTGTTAGATTTATTCATAGACTTGATATTTTTGAAAAAAATATATAAATGGAGTGACCCTATATGAGGGCCCTATGCAGATGATATGAATGGCTTAGCTTCAGGGATGCTCTTTCCAATACCTTTCTGAAAGGTGGACATGGGAGATCTGCAGAACAATGACTCTGAAAAAAAATGTTATCTTGTTAAAAATATGCAGTGTCCACATGTTTACTGCTGGTTTATAGAAATGCACTTGATTTTTAATAATGTTGCTAAAATATATGTAATATATAATTTAAAATCTTAACTTTTTTAAGTGTATAGTTCAGTTGTGTTAAGTACATCTATACATTGTGAAACCAATCATCAGAATTATTATATTTTCATCTTGCAATACTGAAACTCTACACCCATTAAACAACAACTCTACTTCATAACCTATTCCCTTAGCACCTAGCAACCACTAGTCTACTGTCTGTCTCTATAAATTTGACTGCTTTAGTTATTTCATATAAATGAAATTATTAAATATTTGTATTTTCACAACTGGATTATTTTACTTAACATAATGTCCACCAAGTTTATCTATGTAAACCCTAATCCTAACCCTAGCATAGTATGCAGTTTTCTTCTTTTTATTTTATTTATTTATTTGTTTGTTTGTTTTGAGATGGAGTCTTGCTCTGTCGCCCAGGCTGGAGTGCAGTGGTGCCACCTTGGCTCACTGCAACCTCTGCCTCCCAGATTCAAGCAATTCTCCTGCCTCAGCCTCCTGAGTAGCTGGGACTACAGGCACCCACCACCACCCACTGGGCTAATTTTTTTATTTTTTAGTAGAGATGGGATTTCGCCATGTTGACCAGACTGGTCTTGAACTCCTGACCTCAGGTGGTCTGCCTGCCTTGGCCTCCCAAAGTGCTCAGATTACAGGTGTGCACCACTGCACCCAGCCAATTTCCTTCTTTTTAAAAGCTGAATAATATTCCATTGTATGTCTATACCACATTTTGTTTATGCTTCTACCTTTTGACTGTTGTGAATAATGCTGCTGTGTCCATGAGTGTACACATATCTCTTTGAGATACTGCCGTCAATCCTTTTGGATATATACCCAAAAATTGAATTACTGAGTTTTGTTAATTTGTGCTTGATTTTTCATTTTTAATTTGTATCCAACAAATTGCTGAATTATCCTATAAATTATAATAATTTGATATAGAAAATTCTTTTGAATATTATTGCTATACACATATCATTTGAAAGTAAAATATTTTTTATTCTACTTTCCCATTAACATAGTTTTATTTCACACATTAATAAGCTGGCTAAGACATCTAGTGCAATGTTCAATAAAAGTCAGTTTCTAGAATATCTTTTTTGGTTTTCAACATCTGCAAGAAAACTTTCCAAGTAGTAACATAGTGTTTTTGTACATATCTTTGCTAGCTTAAGAAAGTTAACTTCTAATCTTAAATTTGCTAACTTTTCTGTAAAGGGAATTCATTTTTATTAAAAGTTATTTTTCTACATCTAGTATAATAAGTATATGATGTGTTCCTTTAATTTGAAAAATGACAAATTTTAGTAATTTACTTTTGTATTTTAAGCCAAACTTGCATTTTTATAAAAACTGAAATTGGAAGTGATATACCTTTGATTCTGTGTACATAAGTCAGATTGGCCACTAATTGCCTTTAACTTCTATTTTCTTTGTTGAAATTATCAAACTTCTGTGCTACGCTTAATAAAAACAAGTAATATGAGTTTTTATTTCTTTCCAATGAGTATCTTCTCCCGCCCCACACTCTGCTCTCTCCCCCTTTTTGTTTGGCTAATATTTCAGTACAATACTGAATAGGAGTAATAAGAGACGCCATCTTTGCCTTGTTTGTGATCTTATGGTGAACATTTACAGTTATTCATTGTTAAGCATTATGTTAGCAATTGGTTTTGCATGAATTCCCTTTCTAGTCAAGTATATTCCATTTTAATTATTGTTTAGTCAGATTTTTTCTCATGAAAAGCTATTATTATTTGTAATATGATAAATTCCTTTTCTGCATCAATCGATATAATCTTTTTTTCTTCTTTAGATTTAGCATATGACAAAATAAACTGATTGATTTTCAATTATTGAACCAGACTTACATCCTCAGAATAAACTACAATTGGACGTGGTGTATTATGTATTTTATATATTTTTGCATTATATTTGCTAATATATTGTAAAATTTTGCTTATATGTTCATAAGTTCAGTAAAGTAGCAAGATATAAAATCAACATACAAAAATCAGTTGCATTTCTATACACCAATAACAATATATTCTTCAAACATAACAAATATTGAGGAATAAAAGGAAGTAAAATACTTGTACACTGAAAACTATAAAATGTTGATGAAAAAAATTAAGGAAGACACAAAAAATAGAAAGATATTTTGTGTTCATGGATTGGAAGGTTTAATATTGTTAAAATGTTCATTCTACCCAAAGCACTTTACATAGTCAATGAAATTTTTATTAAAATTCCAATGGCCTTTTCACATAAATAGAAAAAAAATTTAAATTTTATATGGAAGTTCAATAGAACCCAAATAGGGAAAGCAATCTTGAGAAAAAAACAAACTCATCACACTTCCTGATTTCAAATTATATTATGCAGTTATAATTAAAACATTATGGTACTTTAATTAAATAGATGCATAGACCAGTGGAACAGAATAGAGATCCCAGAAATAAATCCAAGCATGTGTGGTCAACTAATGTTCAACAAGGCCACCAAAAGACACAATGAGGAAAGGACTGTCTTGTCAATAAATGGTTTTAGAAGAACTGGATAGCAACATGCAAAAGAATGAAACTGGACTCGTTTCTTATACCATATACAAACATTAACTTAAAGTTGATTAAATACCTTCATTTAAAGATTTAAAACTGTAAAACTCTCAAAGGAAAAACAGAAGAAAAGATCATTGCCATTGGCTTTGGTAATAATTTTTTTGATATGTCACCAAAAGCTCAAATAACAAAAGCAAATATAATTAAGTGGAACAACATTAAACTAAAAAGGTTCTCCACAACAAAGAAAACAATGAATAGAAGGAAGGGCAGTGTATGGATTGGGGGAAACTATTTGAAAACCATATGTCTGATGAGGGGTTAATATGCAAATATATAACGAACTCAAACAATTTAATAGTAATTAAGAAAAAAAAACCTAACTACAAGTGGACAAAAATCTTGAACAGACATTTTTCCAAAGAAGACATAAAAAGGGTCAACAGGTATATGAAAAAGTACTAAATATTGTTAATCATCAAGGAAATACAAATCAAAACCACAGTGAGATATCACCCTATACCTGTTAGGATGAATATAATACAACAGACAAGAGATAACAAGTGCTGTTTAAGAGTGTGGAGAAGGAAAACTCTTGTACGCTGTCGGTAGGAAGATAAATTGGTACAGCCATTATGGAAAAGAGTATAGAGGTTCCTAAAAGATTAAAAATAGAACTATCACATCATCCACAAATCTCACTATTGGACAAATACACAAAGAGAATAAAATCAGCACCTTGTAGAGACGTCTGCATATCTGTGTTCATTGCAGCATTATTCACAATAGCCAAGGTATAGAAACAATCTAAGTACCCATCAATGAATAAATGGTTTAACAACTATAGTATGTATACATTATGGAATACTATTCAGCCTTAAAAAGAAGATACTGTCTTTTATTTAAAAAAAAAAAACAGGATGAATTTAGAGGCCATTATTATGCTCAGTGAAATAAGCCAGAAACAGAATGAAAAATTCTGTACGGTTTCACTTATATGTAGAATCGATACAAAGGTTGAATACATAGAAATGAAGAGTGGAATATTGGTAACCAGGGGTGGGGAGGGGCAGGAAATTAGGAGAAATGCATCAGTGGATACAAATTTTCAGTTATTTACAATGAATAAATCTAAAGATCTAAAGCATAGCATGATGACTACAGTTAATAATACTGTATTATATTGTACTGTGTACTGAAAATTTGCCACGAGTAGATTTTAGCTGCTCTTATTTCTCTTCCCCACCTCACAAAGATGCATAAAATAAGTCTGGGCTTGGTGAGGTTGGGAGAGAAAGATCAAGAAAGGATCAAGAAAAGTGGAAGATAGGTTGGAAAGTATTTATATGAATATTGAAATAAATTGTCATCAGATTTTTAAATAAAAGGAATTATGCAAATAATCACAGTGATAAATTTAAACTATCCTCAAAAGTAGAAAAGTACAAACTCAATTAGAAAATCTAATTAATATACGGTGAAAGAACCTTTGAAAGCAGGATGTTCTTCCTACTTCATAGATGACAAGAATAAAAATTTTTAAAAAGGAAAGAAAAAATAACTGTAGAAAGGTGAGCAGCTGCATGGGACTGAAAATGGATAACGCTTCATCCCACAAATAATTGACTCTTTAAAAGTTTTTTTAAAATACTTAGTCACTAGGATAGACAAATGCTTCAGAGATTTACTAAAGAAAACAAAAATATTTTGATGTGACCTAGACATGAATCCATAAATAAAAATAGCTTATTTTACTACAGCAAAAAATAATGAAATACAATAATATCTAACTATACCACTAAAACTATGAATTTCAAAAATCACTAGAAGCTCTGATAATCATCTTTAGGAAAAAAAGAAAGATGATAAAGGCATAGTAGGAATGAATCTGTGTATTTAGACCGTTCCTGTAAACAATAACAATAGCAATATAACACAGCAAATAGCAGCAACAATGACAAGGTCACCATTAATAAAACCCAAAATGTTGTACAATCGTTCAGATTTTCAAAGAGAAACTATGCTCCAATATGTAGAAAGTTTACTACTCATATTAATTTTCTGAAAAATATTTTCAAACTGTACCCTGGCCAAATGAGAGATGAATAAAAATAATCGCAAATGGGAACATTTAGATATAAAAGGCAGTGAGCAATGATGGCACTCTTCTAAGTTAGGCTTCAAGAGTCATTTGCACAGGATTTAGTAATCAGAATGAATCACAGAAAGTTGATACAACATCAGGTGCTGCTGCAGCTCTAGCTCATTGTCACACTTTCGCTGGTTCACCCTGTTGGCAACTAGTGGCTTCAGAACACTCAGCTCCTCTAAACCCTGCTGATCTCCCTGTGCAGCATTTGGGCTTTAATCCTTTCAGCTTCCACCACATTCCTTTGTTTATTTTCCTCAATTCCTAGGCATGGTTCATATGTATGTCTGTGGCAAAGTGTGCCAGTTCTTCTGCAGGTTGCTGGCATCAGTGAAGTTGGCGAATAGAAGGGGTCATTAAAAAACATTGATTCCTGTTCATTTAATGAATTCCATTTCACCCTTGAGGGGTCCACTTTGCCTGGATACTCCTTTTTTGAAATATAGGCCTCAAATGATCCTCCCACCTTGGCCTGTCAATGTGCTGGGATTACAGGGCTGAGCTTCCGTGCCCAAACCATATACCCCCTTTTCATGTTTGTCTTTGCTCCCTGCCAGCCAGACTAGCTGACATCAAGACCAGAACATTTGGTTACAGGATAACAAATTACATAGCTTGCTTAAGCCAGTCTCAAAATTGTGTAAGATCCTATCACCATAATAAATCCATTTGTATCACTCATAATGGTTCTATTCTTCAATACAAAGAATTTAGTAATGATTTATGTAATAACAATAAATTCTATCCTAATTTCCAGAATAAAACATGAGAAAGCATAGAATGGGAGAGAGTACAGTAGAAAGAGCTAATCTTTGCTGATATCCTCAATTTGTGCATGGGAAAAGGATGGTAAGTAAATAAGGACATTAAAAATAATGTTCTAAACCATCAACCACACAATGTCTCTGAGGAAGTATATTCTACTTTGCAAGATAAAACATAGAGAAGTTTTTATGGAGGTTGGATTAGATTTTAAGCGAACAAAGGGAACCTTTCAGTAAGGTGATGTGCATGAGGGAAAGAGACATTCTGGTTGATTAAGAATGTTATTTTGTTATTTTTTAAGGGAGAAATAAGGTCCTCTGGTTTACAATGATGGTGCATCTGGCAGACAGACAGATTTGTTGTGATGCAGCCATGCTTTTCGTTGGTAACAATGCCCCCACTTCTGATTGACAAAGAAATCTCTGAGCTGCCAGTACATGTATGAGGAAATACATCAACCCATTAAGCAGAATACTCTGAAAATTTTAACACGATTTGCTGTGAAATTTTATAAACAGCCTTCCTGTAGTAGAAATGTAATATGCTCAATAGAGTAAGAAGGATAAATTTTGCTATTATATCAGCTGTGACTTCTGTGACTTCTTTTTTAAATTTATTTTTGTAATTAACACTACAATTGTATGTATTCATTGTGTACATGATGTTCTTCAGTACATATACATTGTGAAATGCTCAAATCTAGCTAAGTAACAAATGTATTACCTTACACATAGTTACCATTTTTGTGATGAGAAATTTGAACATCTACCCTCTTAGCAGTTTTCAAGAATACAATATACCATCATTAACTAGAGTCACCATGTTGTACAACAGAGCTCTTGAACTTATTCCTTCTATCTAACTCTAATATGAATGCTTTGATCAGTATCTCTACAATTGCCCCTCCCTGTGGAACCACCCCAGCCTCTGGTAACCATGCTGCTCTCTAATTCAGTGAGATCAACTTTCTTAAGTTCCACATAGGAGTGAAATCATGCAGTATTTGTCTTTCTGCACCTGGCTTATTTCACTTAGCATATCAGACTTCAGGAACATCCATATTGTTGCAAATGTGTCTTTTGACTTTAAAGACAGTGAATGCTTCACAGTGCAAATGACATCATTTCCTGACACTGATTCCTCAACCCAAGTACAATTTGCATATCTATTCTCTGATTTGTTTATACTTTTTCAATGGAATAAGTTTCAGGAAATATACTCTGCTTACTGTACTTTGTAAATGAGATGAAATATTTAAATCTTAAATTTTCATTTATCACTGGCTTTGAGTTAAATGTGTGTGTGTAATTTCAATAAGAAATGTGATGAGGAATATTTTGGCTCCTGACTGATAAGAGAAGCTCATGCTTAAATCCTTCTTATAAACTAAGTTGAATTTTAAGAATAGAAAGAGGACACACACACTTGACAACAGATTTCTGTGGGCAAACTAACATAGGACAGAGGAGATTGGAAGAAAGTAATTCCAATTAGAGAGCATAAATCACCAAGCCAGAAGGATGGGATAAAATGAGTTAAGGGTTTATACACTTACAAAAGGAAACAAAGACACACGAATGAGTGAACAGATCTGGCTCTTAAAATGATTATTGAGCGTGTTAAGTCTACAGCTATCCTGTTTTGAGATCAAAGAGGAGTTTCAGAAAATTCAACATTAATTTGCACTATTTTTGTCAGCTGTGAAATCATATGGGAATCAAAGCTTAGCTAAAACAGTTCTTTTTTTATTTTTTGGTCAATCACAGAAAGTTAGACATTTTTAAAGTTGCAATGGGCTTTTTGATTTAACAGCTTCAATTATGGCCACTGAATATATAAAATTTAACTCAGTAATAAAACATAGAAAATATCTGGGGAAATGGACTACATTTTATACTGTCAAAATATAATTTTTAAAAAGTTAACAGCATGACTCAAAGAAATATGACATGAAAATGTGTCAAAAATGTATTAATTCACTAATGAGGAAAACAGTAAAAAGATAAAACTAACTTAAAGAGCATTTAGAAAAACTGGGCATTGAAAGTCATTTTGACAAAAATATTAAAGGATTTTAAAATAATGTGTCCCAGTTAACTACAAAACAAGTAAATGTCTTATGGGGCAATAAAATTTTGAACCCCATTATTTTCTTCTCTATGGGACAGAAATCTTCATACTAACATGTACGTCACATAGTCTGGGCTCAAATGAAATAATGGTAACACAGACACATTCCCTGAGATAATTAAATAATTGTAATGTAGGCTTGTTAAACAATAGCTCATATGGCATTGAAATTATACTGTACATATTTTGTTTTGTTTATTTTCAAATTTTGGGTACTTTTTCTCTACAGTTCATTTACAACAGAAGAAACTGGCAGGTCATGTTAATCCTTGTAATAAATATAATAGACGTATTTCAGTTTATGATTAAGGATGTACTTATGTAAACTAATGATACTGTATATGTAAAATTAGATTCTAAAATATTAAAACTTAACAATTCCATCTTTATATAAATAAAAAGTAATGCATACTTGATCTCAATTGATAATTATGGCTGTTCCATTCCATATGTTATTTACTTACAGAAATATGGTTGGTAGTATTTTAAAAAATAAGTTCCATTGCTGGCTATGCAATATATCTACACACCAAAACTACAATTTACCCCCAAGCATGTAAAAAAAAATTTAAAGAAAAATAAAAACAAGAAAAAATAATTAGAAAGTAAGTGCATACGAACTTTGTCAATGGCCACAGCTTTTACCACTGTTGCTTTTCACTATCATTTTAATTTCCACATTTAAATATTCATTTTTAGGTAATAATTTTTTTTTGGTAACTAGATCTTTAAAATTAACCCTTCATTTATATTATCAAGAAAAAGGATAGTGATAACTAGAAATAAGTCAAAAAGTGACAGAGGCAGAAGAATGGGAATGGTCCTATGGAAAATAAACTTTTAAGTCTGTAATAATTGGTATGGAAAGATGCCAAATGCATACTAACCTGCTTTTGAACTTGCAGCTACAGTGGTCAATTATTTTACAAGCCAATTTTAGACATTTAGCAAAGCTTCACTTAAGCCAATTTTGTCGGTTTATGCTCAATATAAAGTTAATTTTTAAAGGGTTGATTTGGGCAGCTAAGCAAATTCAGCTATAGCATCTGACATCTGCTGCTTAGCAAATAATAACATTAGTAAAGGAAGAAGAATTTCCAAAAGTGGAGGACATGGTTTAGTAAATCACTGGAAAACTTTAATCATAACTCTTTTCTCATATTGTGTCCAGACTTGGTGGGTTCTTGGTCTCACTGACTTCAAGAATGTAGCCGCGGACCCTGGCGGTGACTGTTACAGCTCTTAAGGTGGCGCGTCTGTAGTTTGTTCCTTCGGATGTTCAAATGTGTTCGGAGTTTCTTCCTTCTGGTGGGTTCGTGGTCTCCCTGGCTCAGAAGTGAAGCTGCAGACCTTCGCGTTGAGTGTTACAGCTCTTAAGGCAGCGCATCTGGAGTTGTTCATTCCTCCCAGTGGGCTCATGGTCTTGCTGGCTTCAGGAGTGAAGCTGCAGATGTTCACGGTGAGTGTTACAGCTCATAAAAGCACTGTGGACCCAAAGAGTGAGCAGTAGCAAGATTTATTGCAAAGAGCAAAAGAACAAGGCTTCCACAGTGTGGAAGGGGACCCGAGCGGGTTGCCACTGCTGGCTCCGGCAGCCTGCTTTTATTCTCTAATCTAGCCCCACCCACATCCTGCTGATTGTTAGAGCGGAGTGGCCTGTTTTGACAGGGTGCTTGATTGGTGCGTTTACAATCCCTGAGCTAGATACAAAGGTTCTCCATGTCCCCATCAGATTAGTTAGATACAGAGTATGGACACACAGGTTCTCCAAGGCTCCACCAGAGCAGCTAGATACAGAGGGTGGATTGGCGCACTCACAAACCCTGAGCTAGACACAGGGTGCTGATTGGCGTGTTTACAAACCTTGAGCTAGATACAGAGTGCTGATTGGTGTATTCACAATCCCTGAGCTTGACATAAAGGTTCTCTAAGGCCCCACCAGAGCAGCTAGATACAGAGTGTCGATTGGTGCACTCACAAACCTTGAGCTAAACACAGGGTGCTGATTGGTGTGTTTACAAACCTTGAGCTAGATACAGAGTGCCCATTGGTGTATTTACAATCCCTGAGCTTGACATAAGGTTCTCTAAGGCCCCACCAGAGCAGCTAGATACAGTGTTGATAGGTGCACTCACAAACCCTGAGCTAGACACAGGGTGCTGATTGGTGTGTTTACAAACCTTGAGCTAGATACAGAGTGCTGATTGGTGTATTTACAATCCCTGAGCTAGACATAAAGGTTCTCCACCTCTCCACCAGACTCAGGAGCCCAGCTGGCTTCACCCAGTGGATTCCGCATTGGGGCTGCAGGTGGAGCTGCCTGCCAGTCCCGCGCCGTGCACCGCACTCCTCAGCCCTTGGGTGGTCGATCAGAGTAGGCACTGTGGAGCAGAGGGCGGCTCTCATCGGGGAGGCTCTGGCGGCACAGGAGCCCACGGAGCGGGTGGGAGGCTCAAGCATAGTGGGCTGCAGGTCCCGAGCCCTGCCCCGTGGGAAGGCAGCTAAGGCCCAGCAAGAAATCGAGCGCAGCGCCGGTGGGCTGGCACTGCTGGGGGACCCAGTACACCCTCCGCAGCCGCTGGCCCGGGTGCTAAGCCCCTCATTGCCTGGGGCCGGCAGGGCTGGCCGGCTGCTCCGAGTGCCAGGCTTGCCAAACCCACACCCACCCGGAACTCCAGCTGGCCCGCAATTGCCACAAGCGGCCCCGGTTCCCGCTGACGCCTCTCCCTTCACAGCTCCCTGCAAGCTGAGGGAGTGGGCTCTGGCCTTTGCCAGCCCAGAAAGGGGCTCCCACAGTGCAGCGGTGGGCTGAAGGGCTCCTCAAGTGCTGCCAAAGTGGGAGCCCAGGCAGAGGAGGTGCCGAGAGTGAGCGAGGGCTGTGAGGACTGCCAGCATGCTGTCACCTCTCAATATTACAAAAAAAAAAGAAAGGAGGCCGGGCATAGTGGCTCATGCCTGTAATCCCAGCACTTTGGGAGGCCGAGGTGGGCGTATCACGAGGTCAGGAGATGGAGACCATCCTGGCTAACACGTGAAACCCGTCTCTACTAAAAATACAAAAAAATTTAGCCAGGCGTGGTGGCGGGTGCCTGTAGTCCCAGCTACTCCAGAGGCTGAGGCAGGAGAATGGCATGAACCCGGGAGGCGGAGCTTGCAGTGAGCCAAAATGGCGCCACTGTACTCCAGCCTGGGCACCAGAGTGAGACTCTGTCTCAAAAAACAAAAGAAAGAAAGGAAAAGAAAACAAACAGGAAGAGTTCTGCAGGACAGTGAGACTTCCAAATGAAGTACATTTTACTATCTGGATAGAAGACAAATTTTTATTTATCGGGGAAAACTACTCACACTTAAATAATAGACTTCAGTTTATTTTCTGTTCTTTGTAGCGAAATATGATTTTGTCTCTGTAAGTTGATATCCAAGGCTAAGGGTAAGCGTCTGCATTCTTTCCTTTCTTTTAAATTTTATTTCTGTCAGCTTATAGGGAATGCATATCATAGCAACACCAATGTTTAGGCAAGGGGAAAGTCGTAGTTTCTGTAAGTAATATTAGTTTACCAGGAAGGAGACAAAACTATTTTGAGACCAGAGAGGAAACACACCAAAAAGCAACAGAACCAATGTGAGTAAAAAGCATCTGCCCATACCCATTCTTTCTGTGTGGGGAATCTTAGTAATTTAAATCTGGAACCATAAGGTTGATACATTTTTAGCAACCTTTATAACACAGCCTCCATGCTATGAAATATTGTGCTAAAGGACTTGCATTATTGTTTTCAGTGCTACTTAAATCCTTGTGTATGTTAAATTTATAGTTGAAGTCAAGATAGATGCCTCATTCAGTCCAGGTTGCTATAGTAAAATACAATAGATGTGGTGGCTTAAACAATAAACATTTATTTCTCATAACTGGAGGTTAAGTCCAAGATCAAGGTGTCACCAGATCCAATATCTGATGAAGGCACTTCTTCTCGTTTGTAATGGATTTTTTTTTTCTTATATACTTATATGGTGGACAGAGAGAGGGAGAAAACAAATTCTCTTATGTATCTTCTTATAAGAGCACTAACTCCTTTCATGAGGCCTCCACCCTAATGACCTAAATAACTCCCAAAGTCCCCATTTCCATTACATTGGAGGTTAGCATTTCATTATATAAATGTTGAATGGACAACAACTTCAATCCATAACAATATATTAATAAGCATTAAACATCTACGATACATTCAAAATCATCAAAGTGATGTTATGAGATAACAATGATGTTAAAAAAAAAAAAAGGCTTTCCTGGTGTGAGTAAATAGACTTGAACTTTCAGGTTCATGGTTTTCAATTAAAATGTTATTCAAAGGGATCAAACTGTCTACTTCAATAGAAACATGGAAAAAAATGAATCACCATGGCAAATAAAGTATTTTATTATCCTTGAAGAAAAATATCTTTTATTTTTCTTTCTTTCTTTTTTTTTTTTTTTTGAGATGGAGTTTCACTCTAGTTGCCCAGGTTTGAGTGCAATGGCATGATCTCAGCTCATCACCATCTCCACCTCCTGGGTTCAAGCAATTGTTGTGCCTCAGCCTCCCGAGTAGCTGGGATTACAGGCATGCACCACCATCTCTGGCTAATTTTTGTATTATTAGTGGAGACGGGGTTTCTCCATGTTGGTCAGGCTGGTCTGGAACTTCTGACCTCAGGTTATTTACCCTCCTCGGCTTCCCAAACTGCTGGGATTACAGGTGTGAGCCACGATGCCCAGCCTATTTCTAAGGAATCTTAACAATATGTCACTTTACATGAATAAAATCAAAAGTTAATAGATCTGCTTTTGTAGAACCATGTATAGAATAGCAAATACTTTGTTATGTATTATAGTTCATGATTGCTGTCTGAATATCAATAATATTTTAAAATGCATTATAAAAACAATAATTAAAATAATTATCTGAAATTTAAAAATCATCCCTGCATTAAAAATGCAAATAATTTGTGATAGATGCAATTTTAAAATAAGTGTGTTTGCCTTTGTAATTATTTTCTTCCACCTTTATATAAAATGCCCTTATGTGGTCAAATGAAATTATAATTTTCTTTCAAATAAAACCCATGAGCATCTATTTAGTTTATTTTCTAGATAATTGGCTAATTATGTGTTTCTCTTTCCATCTCATTTTTCTCTCCATTTATTATGGCAGAAAGGTTAAATAGCGTATAGGTGGTCCCAGAGAATTCACTTCTATCACACATGAATCTCCATTTCTCTACAAAATTCACATGGATTATCCTTTCTAACTCACCCCTCAGTCCTTATCACTTTGAATGAGCCTCTTTCATGGAACACTTCTTTACATCTGTGCCTACTGTAAAATGTTCTTATAGTTGAATATACATACCGTGATGCAGTTGAAAGACAAACAGTATAGTATAATTATGTCAGGAAGCATGAAACTTTCCAAAGTTCATGAGACTATAAATGTCTAAACATAATGAAATTTCAGAATCTCATCCTTTTTTTACATGCTTCTTTAAAACTTATTTTTTTCAGGAATTCATCTGCTAATCCTTTCTTGCCTACCCTTTTGCAATTGTCCTCTCATATATCTCTCACATATTTGAAGTCTTACCATAGAACAGTAACCTGGGAGTAAAAATTTCTGGCATAACAAAGGGACATTTCAAAATACAGTACTTAACTGATGAAATCTCTCTTATCAAAATAAGAGCTATATAGGCCAAGCAAGCATAGGAAAAAAAAATGTTCAACATCACTAATCATTAGAGAAATGCAAATCAAAACCACAACGAGATACCGTCTCACACCAGTCAGAATGGCTATGATTAAAAAGTCAAAAATTAACAAAAGCTAGCAAGGTTGCAGAGAAAAGGGAACACTTGTACACTCCTGGTGGAACTGTAAATGAGTTCAGCCACTGTGGAAAGCAGTGTGGCAATTCCTCTAAGAACCTGAAACAGAATTACCATTTGAGCCAACAATCCCACTACTGGTTATACACTCAAAAGAATATAAATTGCCCTACCATAAAGACACACACACCTGCATGTTCATTGCAGCACTCTTGACAATAGCAATGACATGGAATCAACCTCAATGCCCATCAATGGTAGACTAGATAAAGAAAATGTGGTACACATACATCATAGAATCACACACAGCCATAAAGAAGAATGAGATCATGTCCTTTGCAGCAACGTGAATGGAGCTGGAGTCTATTATTCTTAGCAAACTAACAGAGACACAGAGAAACAAATCCTGCCTGTTCTCACTTATAAGTGGTAGCTAAACAACATGAACACATGGACACAAAGAGGGAAACAACTGACACTGGGGCCCGCTTTTGGGTGGAGGTAGGAGGAGGAACAGGATCAGAAAAAAATACCTATTAGGCATTACGCTTATTACCTGGGTGACAAAATAATCTGTACACCAAACCCCAGTGACACACAGTTTACCTATATACAAACCTGCACATGTAACTTTGAACCTAAAATGAAAGTTATAATAAAAAAGTTATATAGACCATGAAATTTTATTATTAATACACATCAAAATTTATATACAGGTTTTAGATAATACTGTACTGATAATTTTATTTAAAATGTAAACTGAGAAGCATCTATTTAAAACTTAATCACTCAAAAATCAGAAAATTACCAGTACTCTTTTTGTCTCTTTTCTGTCACTAACTCCACCTACAAAAATGTAAGCCCTATCTTGATTTTCAAAACCAAAGATGAGTTTTTTCTGTCTTGATATACATTCATATAGAACATATTCTTGGATCTTGGTCTTTCATAAATATTATCCTCATAAGACTATTCTATATCATTCTATGTACTTATTCTAATTACTAAATAATATTCTATTACATAACAAAATGCTATTCTGAAGTTGATGAGCATTTAGCTGATAGACAGTTTCTGATTTTAATGTATAATGTACATTTCTTCTTGTAAAAGTGTAAACACATTTCTGTTAGCTATTTACCTGGAAATAAAATTACTGAGTTATAGAATATTCATATGGTTATTTTTTCAAATTTCATTACCAACAGTAATTACGATATTGTAAGCAGTTTGAGACTTCCTAAACATTTTGTTTTGTGCATTTTTCTTACATTAGCCATTCTGGTGCTTATATAGTGATATTTGAAAGTAATGTAACTGAGTATCTTAGCCTTGAAATTAATTTTGAATTTTTTTTCTTTCCATCCGAATCTCAGAATATAGCCTTGTACTTTGAAAACTATTTTTTTTTTCAGACTAAGTCTTGCTATGTCACCCAGGCTGGAGTGCAATGGCATGATCTCAGCGCACTGCAACCTCCACCTCCTGAGCTCAGACAATTCTCCTGCCTTAGCCTCCTGAAGAGCTTGGATTACAGGCTCACACCACCACGTCCTTCTAATTTTTTGTATCTTTAATGTAGACGTGGTTTCACCATGTTGTCCAGGCTGATCTTGAACTCCTGACCTCAGATGATCTGCCTGCCTCGGCCTCCCAAAGTGCTGGTATTACAGGCATGAGCCACTGCGCCTGGCCCAAAACTTTTTATTTATCTCCCTTTCCCACCAGCACTTTCTATGCACAGCACTCCCTTATCTAATTACATGCTTGCTTAGAAATTCTAGGGGCAATTTTAAACTATACTATAAAGCTACAGTAACCAAAACAGCATGGTACTGGTACAAAAACAGACATGTATATCAACAAAACAGAATAGAAAACTTAAAGTTACACACCTACAACCATCTGATCTTGTACAAGGCAGACAAAAACATGCAATGGAGAAAGGATTCTTTATTCAATGAATGGTGCTTGGATAACTGTTAAGCCATACATCAAAGACTGAAGTTGGATCCCTACCTTTCACTATATACAAAAAATTAACTCAAAATGTATCAAAGATTTAAATGAAAAACCTCAAACTATGACAATTTTAGGCAGCAACTTTGAAAATACTCTTCTTGATATCAGCCTTGCAATGAATTTGGAGTAAGTCTGCAAAAGCAATTGTAACAAAAACAAAAGTAACGAAAACAAAAGTAGACAAGTGGGACCTAATTAAACTAATTACTAATAAAATTAGTAATTAGTTAATTAAAGAGATTCTGCATAGCAAAAGAAACTATCAACAGAGCAAACAAACAGCCTACATAATGGGAGAAGATATTCATAAACAATACATCCAACAAAGTCCTAATAACCTGAATCTATTGGGAACTTAAATCAACAAGCAAAAACAAAACAAAACAAAACAAAACAAAACAAAACAAAAAACACCAAATAACTCCATTAACAAAATGGGCAAAAAATATGAACAGAAACTTCTCAAAAGAAGACATGCAAGTAGCTAACAAACAGATGACAAAATGCTCAGCATCACGAATCATGCAAGAAATGCAAATCAAAATCACAATGGGATACCACTGCACACCAGTCAGAATAGCTACTATTAAAAAGTCAATAAACAGATGCTGGTGAGAGTGTGGAAGAAAGGGAAAACTTATACACTGTTGGTAGGAATGTAAATTAGTACAGCCACTGTGGAAAGCAGTCTGGAGATTTCTCAAAAACCTTAAAACAGAGCTACCATTCAACCCAGCAATTTAATTACTGGGTATGTACCCAAAGGCAAATAAATGATTCTACCAAAAGGACACATGCAGATGTATGCTTATTGCTGTGCTATTCATGATAGCAAAGACATGGAATCAAACCAGGTGTACATCAATGGTAGACTGGATAAAGAAAATGTGGTGCATATACACCATTAATTCTATGCAGCCATAAAAAATAGAATCACGTCCCTTGCAGCAACATGGATGCAGTGGGAGGTTATAATCTTAAGTGAATTAATGCAGGAACAGACAAACAAATACGGCATGTTCTAACTTATAAGTGGGAGCTAGACATTGAGCACACATGAATATCAATGTTGGAATAATAGACATTGAAGACTGCTGGAACAGGGAGGGCAAGGGGGGGATGGGTTGAAAAACTACCTATTGAGTCCTATGCTCATTGCCTGAGTGATGGGATCCTTATCCCAAATTTCATCACCCAATATCCTCATGTAACAAACCTGCATATATACCCCATATACCTAAAAGTTGAAATTTTTAAAAAATTACATTTTACCTTGTAAATATATATAATTATTATATATTAATTACAAATAATTAAAAAAATCCCCCTCCCCCAAAAGAAAGAAGTTCCAGGGGCCAATTTGAATCAAATCAGGGATAGACATCAAGCTGCCAAATCCCCCTGCTTAGTCTACCACTACTGGGCCAAAGTCAGCATGACACAAACCCAACCTCCAGACAGGTGATTATGCAAGATAACATTCAGAACAAGACACGCAGAGCTGCGCCCTCTTGCCCCACCCCTGTATATTCCCCACACCAAATTTTACTTCCTAAACCCCTTCACTCAGCCCAGAAGGCTGAGATGGTTCCTTTGAGGCTTGAGGCCAGCCATTCTCCCATCTGCTGGCATTTGGTTGATAAAAGCTGCTTTCCTTTACCACACCTAGCTTCTCATGTTTTGACTCTGAGCACCAAACAGCTGGACTTGAGCTGGTACATTAAGTGCAATCATCTCTTTTTTTTTTCCAAATAATATATCTTTTATTTTAAAAATTTTCTTATGGTGTTGCATTGTATTGTCTTTATTTGTCTTGTATTGTATTGTATTGCCCTGTATTGTACTGGTGTTGGTGGAAATTTTTGGCCTTCTTGTCTGGCTGTGCCCCAGTTCTGTAGAATGATTTGTAGTATACACGATATCAGGCATCCTTGTCTCATGCAGAACTCAGAGTCAACTTGTTCCTACTTCACTATTATTTGTCATCTTTGTACTTTGTTGTAGTTTTCTGAACTATTATGTTTTTATTGGTTTTATTTTTTATCAATACGTAATAGTTGTACATATTTTTGAAGTACATGTGATACTGCTGGTGATGATCCTGGTGCTGGATATTTGGTTTTGGTTTTCTGTCGGGGAGTGAAGCCAGATTACTTGCATTCTGCCATTTTTGGTGATGTCACTCCACTGAGGTATTACTCTTTTTTCTTTTCTTTTTCTTTTTTCTTTTCTTTTCTTTTTTTTTTTTGAGACAGGGTCTAACTCTGTTGATCTGGCTGGAGTGCAGTAGCACAATGATGGCTCACTGCAGCCTCAACGTCCTGGAGTCCAGCAATCCTCCTAGCTAAGCAACTTGCGTAACTGGGATTACAGGTGCACAGCACTACACCTGAATAATTCTTGCAATTTTTGTAGAAAGTGAGTCTCACTATCTTGTTTAGGTTGGACTCGAACTCCTGGGTTCAAGCGATCTACCTGCCTCAGTCTCCCAAAGTGCTGGGGTTACAGGCTTGAGCCACCACACCTGGCCAGTATTACTCTTTATTTTAATAAAAAGGTCATTCTCTATTTCTACTTTACTGAAAGTGAATATTATGAGTACATTTATTATTATTTATTAAGTTTTCTTTATTGAAATGATATGACCTTCGATTTTTGTTAACGTTATGAATTATATTGAATGTTTGCAGATGCTAACTTACTATTTCATCTATGAATTAACCTGCTTTGGTCAATGAATTTATCCCTTTCCTTATTGCCTAATTTCTTTTGCTAATATTTCATCAATGATTATTAAATCTATGTTCCGGACATGATGTTTCTGCATTTTTCTCTTCTTGTAATAAATTTATCCTGTGTTAGTATCATTGCTACTGTGGCCTCATAAAAATAATTGTTATTTCTTCCTTCATTTTTCATTATCTGGATGGTTATGTATAAATTTGATATGAATTTCTTAAGTATTTGGAAGAATATGATGAATCTATGTGGGTCTAAGCATATGAGTTTATTTTTATAGTTTTTTTAAATAATAGATTTTAATTTTGTAATAGATATCAGACTTTCAGAATACCTATTGCTTCCTTTATTTGTTTTGGTACATTGTGTTTCTCAAAAATTACCACTTTCACAAAAATTGTCCAATTAATTGGTATAAAGTTGTTCCTGCTATCCCCCATCTTTTGAAAACCTGTTCATGTTTCCGCTACACCAATAAGAAATGCTAATAGTAAAGTTATGATGTTAGATCATAAAAATCATTTCTAGAAACAAAAACATAAAATATTTGTAACATACTTTTTAAGTGAATGGTGCTTTAAATTTTTAATTAGTTCGACTATATATGCAGAGAAAGAAAAAATAGAGTGAGGCATACACAGGCAAAGGGCATACACTAAAGTCATAGCAAAGCTATCCCTGGACAATGGGAAGACAAAAATGCTTATCATTTTGTTATTACAGGTTTATTTTTCTACATTTTACAAGGTAACCATAAACATAAGTTGTTTTCATAATGAGAGCAAGGATTCAAATTAAAAAAAAAGGACACCATCGTTTTGTCAGAATCAGTTTTAAAATGAATTCAATTTCTAAATAATATTTATAGTTATGTAAATAAATGCAGTAATTTTATGTATTCCAAGGGCTTCCTAAATGGGCAAATGTACAGACTTTTATTTCAATATTTGTTTACAGAAGAATAAAATAGTATGTCTCTAAATCTTTTTCTACTTTTTCTGTAATGTTTACTTTCATTAGAAAATAAATGTGATGCCATTTATTTATAATGATATGCCAAATGCAGGTTGTTATTTCTCACAATTATAATTTAGTGTCATAATTTAACAGGGTATAAAGTTGGAAAACATTATAGAAAAACTACTTTTTGTTTTTGCTTGTGAAAATCTCTACTGACATAGAAGGCATGGCAACATGATCAATCAGTTGCACAATTGGGCTCTAGGTAAGTAATAATAGGAGATAGACGTGACATCAAGAGGAGAGTTATGCATACTTCTGAGTCTAATTTAGTCCTCTGCAAAACTATTAACATGTTATGTGATGGTCCCTAATATCACTGAGGTTCAGTAATTCATCAGAAGGGCTCACAACACTCAAAAGTTGTTATACTCAAGGATATGGTTTATCATAGCAAAATTATACAAATCAAAATCAGCAAAGGGAAAGTGCATAGGGCAAAATCTGGATGAAATCAGGTTCATATTCTTTCCCAGTGGAGCAGCATAGGACCCACTTAATTTTTCCAGCAAACAGTGTGACAAAATGCTTTAAGTGTTGTCTCTAAGGAAATATCATTAGAGAATCAGTATTCAAGGTTTGCACAGAAGCTGTTGCTGTACGCATCCTCTGTCTTGTGGTCAGCCTACAGAGCAGGATAGATCAGCACCCAAAATTTGGTTTGAATGTCAAGGCTGATGAGGAACCATTTACCCACCAAGTTTCTAGACACCAGCCAAGGGCCAATCTGACCAGCAGACTAGAAGGACTCACAGCACCCAAAAGTTGTTACCCTCAAAGTTATGGTTTATCATAGCAAAATTATACATATCAAAATTAGCAGAGGGAAAGTGCACTGAGCAAAATCTGGAGGAAACAAAGTACATGAATCCAAGAGTTGCTTAGGATAAAAGTCTGAGCCAACAGTGTAAACTCATTTTTTTTCCACAGGTGTACACTGAAGTTTAGATTGATTACTTGGCCACTTGGAGAGCATAAGATTTTTTTTAGCAAAGCATTAGAATTTGTTTCCTAGACTTGTGCTCCTTATGTAACCTGCAGATAATAGGACGTATTCAAATAGAGATATGAATATATAATATTCAAATGATGTGTTGTACAAAATATCTCGTCTGTCTAGAGTCTGGGTTTTTATTTGAGTCATCAACTTTAAACTTTTTCTTCTAACTTTCTTTGTGTAGTGTGAATTGATGAGGTGATTTTATGGGGAACAGATCTACTGTATTGCCAAGGCATAGTGTCTTAACAACCAAGCAATGAATGTGTAAAATATATTTTTGCCTTTTTGCCTTCTCTGCCCTGAGTGGTTTGTAGTTTGTATCTGTAGTTGTCTTCATATATAATCTAATTCTTTTGGATAGCCTTTGCCTAAAAAGCTACTATTTCTATATCTACAGTTACAGATATTTATATATTTATATTAGTTCCCATATACTTTAGTTTGTCTTTTTTAATAAGAAATCAATTAATAAACATTTTGAAACAAACCTTGCACAATACGAAAATAGAGTTTAGTTAACTTACATCTATGTGTCTGGTAAGTATCGTCAGTATGCTTTCAAGGTTAACACTTTTCCATTTGAAGGTTATAGTTTTAAAATGTAATTACCTTTAGATATGGGAAGAATCAAGTTATTTTTGTTGAAGCATAGTTATAATTCTTTTAATGAAAAGGAGCTTGAATATATATGCAAAGAATGGCACATTTATTAAAGTAATTATACTTTGAATACTTAGCTACAAATTTTATACCTCCTGGCTGAGGAGTAAAATTGAAATAGAAAACATGCTATAATGCAATTTACAATGTAATTAGTTGTCAGTGGCATTATGTATTTCGTGTAACTCCATTATTAAAACATTTACAATTTACATAATCAGACAAATAATTTAATGAGTTTGAGATAGAAGAGTTTTTTTCCTACTTACAATAAAAGGCTATTTACAAGCAGAAGTAATGGCCAGTTTTAGATACAGGGACAGATTAAGCACCATAAACTAGTTTGAGATGTTTAACCTGAATAAAATGGAAAATTTTATTTTTATTGTATTTATTGCCTGTTTTTGAAACAGAGTCTCACTCTGTCACCCAGGCTGGAGTTCAGTACCGTGATCTCGCCTCATTGCCACCTTCGTCTCCCCAGTTCAAGCAATTCTCCCAACTCAGCCTCACAAGTAGCTGGGACCACAGGCATTCGCCACCACACCTGGCTAAATTTATGTATTTTTAGTAGAAACGAGGTTTCACCATGCCTGGAGAACTTTATAAAGTTCCCATTGCCTGGAGAACTTTATAATTTAGTGTAATCTCAAAAAGAGTTAACTGTGAGTGGGTTTTGGGGTTAGGATTACAGAAGGAAACACAATTTCCATGCACGCAAGTGGTAAATAAGGGAACTATAATGGTGCATTTTTTGTTAAAAGAGCAACTGAAATACCCCAAGCTTCTCACAGAAACAATTCTGTAATACTTTACAGGGCTCTGAGGTCTTTGTAAAGAGGAGCCAGTAATAAAGGGGACTATTTCAGTTAATTTGTTATCATCATTATTGTGTCTTGAAATGGCTACTCTGTGCCTCCAGTTACTGGTGTGAAATTGTTGTCAATTTAGAATGATAATCTTCCATTCCTCCCTGGTGCAGCTATGTTTGATGGCAAGGCTGATTTAGCACTGAGTGAAACTCAAGATATTTTTTGTACCACCTCTGTCTTTTCTTAGAAAAAAATCAGATTAAAATTAAGGAATGCCTTCAATGACAAGAAAATCTAGAAGTTGTGTAGGTTTTTAGTTTTTATTTTAGGCCTTTTGCACCCAACAGAGTACTTTGCACATCTCTTCTTGTAAGTATTATTTAATCACTTGTTTTATCTAAAAAATTGTTACCTAGAATGGGCATCTACATACTATGGCCTATACACCACATTCACTCCACAGCATGTTTTTCTATTTTTTTTAATTAATTAATTTTTTGTTTACCCACTAACCAAGTATTGCTTACCATTTTTTAAATGGCTTGTTAAAGAAGAAGTAGAGGGAGGAGAAGGAGAAAAGAGACTGCATATAGGCTGCAGAACCTGAAATATTTATTTCTTGACTCTTTACAAAAAGTAAAAATAAAAATTGTTGATTTTTGCTGCAGAGCAGCACTTTCAATATTACTTTCAGCAATGATGGAAATATTTTACATCACAGATATCCAAGACAATATTCACTCTTACAGGAGTAATTATTTAACACTTAAACTATGGGGAGTGGAGTATTACAGAAGAAATGAATTTTCTTGCTGTTTCATTTAAAATAAGTTACATTTAAGTGTAAATGCCACACATGACTGGTGGCTACCATACAGTGCAGTAGAACAGAATGTAAGCTACTAAAAGGTAGAGTCCATTGGATATTCTTAAGCATTGAGTATTAAATTTTAATGTGCACATACACCACCCGGGGTCTTTGAAAAACAAGGATTTGGGTTTGGTAGATCTCAAATGAGGTCTGAGATTCTGTGTTTTTTAGAAGTTTTCAGGTAATGTTGTTAAATGATGGTGTTCAGATCATACTTTAAGAAGAAAGGCAGAATATCTTGAGAACAGCAGGTAACAAATTGTTGAATAAACAAATTTTACAATGTCATTTTCAGGAATTCTTATAAGATGAATAAAAAATTCATGAAAATAGGTGATTTATAACTACACATGTAAACTTAAGTCTGTCTTAGCACTAGCTCCTAAGCTATATCTGTCACCTTACTAAGGGGTGCTGTCAGAAGGTAAGACATCTAAGAGTGTATTAGACCCCAAGTTATTTTCTTTCTTTTTTTTTTGAAACAGAGTCTCACTCTGTCACCCAGGCTGGAGTACAATGGAGCGGTCTTGGCGTACTGCAACCTCCGCCTCCTGGGTTCAAGCAATTCTCCTGCCTCAGCCTCCCGAGTAGCTGAGACTACAGGTGCATGCCACCACACCCAGCTAATTTTTGAATTTTTAATAGAGACAGGGTTTCACTATGTTGGCCAGGCTGGTCTGGAACTCCTGACCTGGTGATCCGCCCACCTGGGCCTCCCAACATGCTGGGATTACAGGCATGAGCCACCACGCCCGGCCAGACCTCGTTATTTTCCAGGAATTATTCTGGGTATGTGTTTGTGCACATGTTTGTGGTTGGAAATGTTAAAACTGGTCACTAATTGAGTACTATTATAATGAACAATTATGATAGACTATGCCATGTAACATGAGCTCTAAAAGAAATCTAACTTAATACAGCCTGCATTTGTAAGGACTAAGGATACTTAAAATAATGAATTCTAAGAGATGGTGATTAACAGCGTGAACTTTAGAACCAAATTGCCTGGACTCCAACACAGGCACTACCACTAACAAACTTTGTAAATTTGGATATATTACTTACCCTGTCTGTGCTGCAGTGTCACTTTTTGAAAGTGACATTGAAAATAATTAGGGATAATGAAGGTAATTATGACATACTAATACATATCATGTTTACTAGGTGTCAGCTATTCATCTCAAAATTTTAATATATATATTACTTACCTAGAGCCCAATTGTGCAACTGATTGATCATGTTGCCATGCCTTCTATGTCAGTAGAGATTTTCACAATCAAAAACAAAAAGTAGTTTTTCTATAATGTTTTCCAACTTTATACCCTGTTAAATTATGACACTAAATTATAATTGTGAGAAATAACAACCTGCATTTGGCATATCATTATAAATAAATGGCATCACATTTATTTTCTCATGAAAGTAAACATTACAGAAAAAGTAGAAAAAGATTTAGAGACATACTATTTTATTCTTCTGTAAACAAATATTGAAATAAAAGTCTGTACATTTGCCCATTTAGGAAGCCCTTGGAATACATAAAATTACTGCATTATTTTAATATATTAACTCAATTAATCCCTAAAAGAAACCTCTGATATAGGCATGCTATTGTTATGCTCACTTTCTGGACAGAGAAAATGAAGCACATTGATGTCAACTGGAAAAGTTGCATTATAGTAGATTCAATCATTCAGCATCATTTATTTTAAAAATCTATCCTTTGCTCACTGATTTGTGATAAAATCTCAATTAAATATCAAGTGTCCATAAAATGAGTCTATTTCTGATCTCTCTTTTCTGTGTTGCTATGTTTCCATATGCCATATTATATTAATATAATTCTGTCTGAATTACTGTACCTTGATGACAAATCTCATGATTAAGAAAAGTTCATTAGCTCTGTTATTCTTCTCTAATGGTATCTTCACTATTCTTGGTTCTTTGTATTTTCAGATATATTTTTTAAAATTTTGTTCAGGACTGTCAACAAAGTAAATTTTTGGAATTAGGATTTTGATTGATATGGCTTTAAATCTATATCCCAATTTAGAGATAACTGACATCTTTACAGTTTTAAGTCTTATTTTATATGATCACAGGAAGTCTGTTCATCCGTTTGGATTTTCTTTTTTGACTATGTCATTTTCCCATGACAATTATTCATGAAATCATTTGGGGTAAATGATTTCAGAAATTATATGTATTTGCTTATCTTAGACATTTAGGAAAACCATCTTTTGGATTAAAATATTATGTGATCTTGGCTTGCAAATCTATGTTAAGATTTTCTTTTGATTATACAATCTCAAGGAAATCCTTACTAGACCTCCTGCTCTAAGATCAGTAACTTTTATTGTAATCTTCTTGTGATGAGGAAGTTGGAAGGGTTTTAGACTTGCTTCTCACTTTCACAAAAATTATAACTTTGTGTGACTGTAGATATTTAATTTTTTTAACTTTTATTTTAGGTTCAGGGTTACATGTATAGGTCTGTTATGTAGGTAAACTCATGTCATCGGGGTTTGATAGCAGAAAAAATAACTACTGGGTACTAGACTTAGTACCTGGGTGATTAAATAATCTGATAGTAGATTTATATCAAAAGGTTATTGAAATCAACTGGGGAAGGTGTTTGGGACTGTGTTCTCATCTCTTGGTATATACTGTGTCAAGGAGAACCAAAATTTGTCAAGTTCATAATTTTTGTGATAATGTCTCCAGGACAAAACTGTCTCTGATTCTGGGTCCCCATGTTCCCTTAAATATTCTATCTAGCTCCTTCTTTAATGAATTTAAGAACTTTCATAAAGAGTTCACGTACTCCTAACTGCAGCCTTTTTGTTTTCAGGACATCTAGTCACCTACTTTAACAAACATAACTCAAATTTATTTACGTAAATATTTTATAGTTATTATTACCTGCCCTTGTTGAATATCTGTACTGTTGTAATATAAGAAGAAATATCTATTTGTTTTTTTCCTTCAGTTCTTGACATACGGCTCCTGAAACTTTTATAGATAGGGGTACTAAGAGAATCTTCTGTTCCAATATTTGGACTTTGACCTCAGTTCCTGACACAGATCTCCTAAATCCTTGGCAATTTCCTGGATGATAGGATCATCTTTTGTTCTAATGAAGCAACTCTTGGTGGGCTCACAGAGAGTCTCAAGACAGGAGCTGGTTGCCAAGGAAACCAACCATGCAATAAGAGGATTAGAATATTCAGCCCCACCCCATGACTTCCAGAGACAGAGGAAAGGCTGAAGGTTGAGTTGATTACCAGTAGCTCACGATATAATCATTCATGCCTACATAACACAGCTTTCATAAGAACCCAATAGGACAGGGTTCAAGGACCCTCTAAAGAATGCCACACCTATAGAGGCATGGAAACTCTTTGCCACTTTCATCTGACTATTGATCTATATCCTTTGTAATGCCTCTTATAAGAAATGGGCAGATGTAAGTAAAGCGTTTCTCTGAGCTCTATTAGCTGCTGTAGAAATTAACCAAAACGCAGGAGGCTGTCTTGGAAACCTCCCATTTATAGTTGGTCAGTCAAAAGTATAGGTGATAACCTAGTTCTCAAGATTGGTGTCTGAAGTTGGGTCAATCTTGTGGGACTGAGCCTTCAGTCTGTGAGATCTGATGCTGTCCCCAGGTTGGCAGTGTCAGAATTGAGTTAAATTACAAAACACTAGTTTGGTTTCCACTGGAGAATCTGGAATCAGAAATATTCTTTTGAATGTCCATGTAAAAGAGTAGAGAGAAAAAACGTATGCTTTTGTCTTTACAATATCCTATTGCAAATTTTTCTAACTTTTACAAACCACATATGTTTATATGATTGTTTGTATTTATATACAACATATTTATTATTCCTTTATTTGTACTTTCTAGGAACAAACTTTATTAAAAATTACTAATATTACTGTTTAATATTAAATGTTGTGATTTCTCACATATCATAAAGATATAAGGGACTATAAAGATGAACTGATTTTATCAATAGAAAACATTCATATGGTGTATAATATATCAAAAGAAAGTCTAAAGCTGGAAACACAGTAATTAGTCATTCAGTGTTATGTATTGAGAGGTACAGTTTAAAAACTTTATTGTAAAAACAAACAAATAAACAAAAAAGAAGCCTCTCATACTTTTAATATTTTCAAGGATAAAGATCAGTTGAATTACCCATATTTAAAATTTAAATATGAGAACTTAATGTACCAGTTGATAATTAAAGACAAAGCCACCTAATTTCTTACAATTTAGAAAGAAATTGTGGAGATTCCACAGTTGGAAAATGAAGAAAATATTCTGGGCTTTAGGGATGTGGACAAAGTTACAGATCTTTCAAATCATATGCTAAAAACTTAATAAAAATATATTTTTGCCAGCTGTTTGCAGATTTTGTAAATTACAGTAAATGAGTTTTAAAAGCCATGTGCCAGATGGAGAAAGGCTCATATTTCCTAAAGTGTTAATGAAATTTAGTTATAGCAAGAGAGACACAGGGAAAAAATAATATTAGTATGAGACTGATAATGATTTTGTCAAGCCACAGCTGTCACAATGAACTACTCATCTGTCCGTATTTGGGCATGCTTCCCATATTTGCTACCACATTTATCATATAATAAAATACTGAAACTGTTGGTTTTTGATGCAAGTCAAGTTTAGTGGAGGTCATTTATTTTATAGATAACAGTTCTAATATAATGTGATATTGTATAACTACAATAATTCTAAGAAAACATGAACGGTTTTATGGGTAATTTTAAAATTCACATTAATTATAAAGGGTCACCATTTGAAAATATTTCAGGAATTGATAAGAAAGAACATATACAAATAATTCTATTCATTTTGTGATTTCAATGTGTTTTTAAATGCATTAATGATAATTTGAGAAATCAAAGCTTTTACTACACAAAAGTAGAAAATTAGCCATCGATAATATTGATAAATCCTGCAGCTCAAATTACTTCTCATTTTAGTATTACAAAAAGTTGCCTTCACAAACACAGTATCTTTTTGTGTTAGAAATCAATAGGTAAAAATGTCTTCCTGAAACATGAAATAGTGTCCAGTAAAATATGGCACACTCTTAAATTTCATATATTGTATCAATCAAATAGAGAAAATAATTTTGCAACGGTGAGAATGTTGTAGGATGAGCAAGGAAGTTATCAAATCCTGACACATTTACCAGAATATATTGTTTAAATGTATGCGATATTTAAATGGGTATTCTTCCTTCTCTCAAATATTAAGGGAACGGATATTGTCCAAATTGGCTCCATATCTTCTTTTAGTTAGGCATGCTAAATGAGAGCTTTAGAATTATTTAAATCCACTGACATGCTTAATTTGAAACAATGTTGTTTGTTTGGGGGACATCCAGAAATTTCAGTTTTAAATAATGATATATTAGCTGCAGGTGTAACAGTACCTATGCATTTATTGCTTCACAGTCTAGCAGTGTTTGTGAGAAAAACTGATGGATCCTGCAGATTAACTATGGACAGCCAAATATTGAGTAAAGTGATGTCTACAACAGCATCAGCTATGCCTGATATGGTGTTAATTCACATTGTGAAGGTAAATTGGTATTTTGTGATGGAAAACCCAGGGCCAATTTTCATTAATGTGAGATGAAACAAAATACACATTTATTGTTCTCCTAGAAGGACATTTAAATTTGTGTATGTGTTGACACCACTCAGTAAGAAGAAACAATTTTGATTTAATTGAAAGCTATTGTTATTATGTTGATGATATAATGCTGATATATATTTTAACCTGAAGATTAAGCTAAAAATGAATGAAAAGTAATGGTTATTTATATAAATACCCAGGGAAGAGTTACATTACTGATTATATGGATTAATTTGAATGAAGTACAGGACAAATAGTAAAATTCATGTTTATTACTTGGGCCAGAGTAACTAAAGACATTCCTCAATCAACCAAAAATAAATTATTGTGCTTTTCCAGTTCCAAAATCAGAAGATGATACAGAAAGATTGCTCTGGTTGCCTGGTTTCTGAAGAAATCGTGTACCCTGTCTGGATAGTGTCTTACTTCCTATCCACAAAGTTGTGAAATAATCTGGAATTAAATGGCAACCTAAACAACCCTAGAGTTGCCTGAACACAGAGCCATTGCTGTGTTGATCATTATAGCAGGTAGATTTTAATTTGGCCCCTAATATTCTTCACCTCTTAGTATTTTCACTCTTATGCAATCTCTCTTATTTGAGTATAGGCTGGTTTAGTGACTTGCTCCTTATCAACAGAATACAGCAAAGGAGATGAGATGTCACTTTCTTAATTAGTTTATACAAAATATGAGTTCTGCCTTGCTATCTTGTTGGCTTCAATAAAGGGAAGAGCCATATATATGAGGTCCACATGGACAAGGAAATGAGAAATTCCCTGAACAACAGCTAGCAAAGAACTGAGACTCTCATTCTAACACCTCACAAGGAAATGAATCTTGCTAACAACCACATGAGCATAAAAGCAGATTCATTCTTAGTCTAGAGTTCAGTTGAGACCCCAGCCTTGGCTAATACCTGTATTACAGTCTTGTGATAGACAGAAACAGAGAAGCCAGCTAAGGCATACAGAGATTCCTGATCCACAGAAATTATGAGAAAACAAATGTGTGTTGTTTTAAGCACCTACATTTGGGAAAATTTGTTACATAGCAATAGATCAATAACATAAGACCACGTGTGACCCTTGTGCTTAAAAGATATTAGAAGTGTCAGCAATGACACTTATGCTGGATGGAGCCTTTGGCAAAGGCCTGCAAGTACCACCTGGTGGTAGTCACTAGAAAATAATCTGAGGCTGCCTTCATGTCTACTCTCCTTGAAAGGCAAATGATGGCCTTTTATTGGGGTTTAATGGAAACTGAAACATTCATATTAGGATTTATATAAGAACAATATTCCAATACAAAGAAAAAGGCACAGAGAAACCCCCTCATCAAATGAAAATGGTTTATTTAAGAATATGCATCAGAACTGACCACAGGCAGTATTGATCATATCTATGAACAGGTAGCTCATAAGTCTTTAGGTCCTGTGTTAAAATTTTAGATGTTGACTAACCCCATAATTTTAAAAAGCTTAGAAGTTCTCTTGTATAATCAGTTATTAGAGGACTTCCTAACAGGCAGCATTGCTCAGGATGGAGATTCCACATTCAGTCCGGAAGGCATCTATATTGTGTCCTGTGATCGCTGCATTTTACTGACGAAGAAAAATATGTATCTTCTAAATGAGCAGAATTATGAGGGTGTTTCCATTGCCTTAGAAAAAATACACAATAACAATAATAGCAAGGTTAAGGGTTTATACAGTTTCTTAGGTAGTAACTGAGAGACTGACAATATGGTAAGGAAATGAGCCTTGGATGACTGGAGGATAAAAGAAACCCTACTGTGATGGTTAAGTTGAGGTGTCAACCTTGCTGGACTAAGGGGTACATAAATAGCTAGTAAAGCATTGTTTCTGGGTATATCTGTGGGAGTTTCCAGAACAGACTGCCATTTGAAATCAGTGGACTGAGTAAGGAAGATTCACCCTCAATGTGGGAGGCAGCATCCAATCAGCTGAAGACCAAGTAAAATAAAAAGGTAGGAGAAAGGCGAATTCAGTCTCACCTGAATTTGGGACATACTTCTGCCCTTGGACATCGAATCCTCAGGCTCTCTGGCTTTTGGACTCTGGGACTTGCACCCACAGCCCCCTGGGATCTCAGGCCTCTGGCCTCCAACTGAAAGTTATACCATCAGCTTGCCTGCTTCTGAGGCTTTTGGATTTGGACTGAACCAACCTACTAATATCCCTGGATCTGCAAATTCAGACAGCGTATCATAAGACTTCTCAGCTTCCATAATCCCATAAGCCAATTTTCCTAATAAATTCCCTTTCTTCTATCTATCTATGCATCTATCTATGTTATCTATCTATCTATCTATCTATCTATCTATCTATCTATCTATCTATCATCTATCTATCATTTATCTGTCTTACTGGTTTTTTTTTCTTTTTTTTATTATACTTTAAGTTTTAGGGTTCATATGCACAACGTGCAGGTTAGTTACATATGTATACATGTGCCATGTTGGTGTGCTGCACCCAGTAACTCGTCACTTAACCATTAGGTATATCTCCTAGTGCTATCCCTCCCCCCTACCCCCACCCCAAAACAGGCCCCAGTGCGTGATGTTCCCCTTCCTGTGTCCATGTGTTCTCATTGTTCTATTCCCACCTATGAGTGAGAACATTCGGTGTTTGGTTTTTATCTCTCTGCAGAACACTGACTAATACTCATACTTTGGGCAATGTGTTAAGAAGAGGAAATTTCAAAGTAGACTTATCAGTATCAATGAAAACAAAACACTTACAAATTCAGTGGCAGCCAGAAACAAACAAGGGGATGCCCCTTGTTCACTAAGTGGAAGTGGCCACTTGGCTAAATGAGATACACGGTTATGGAGGAATTCAAACAATGCAAAAGAGAGAAAAAGAGGAATCTCTTTGTTGGCCTCACTATCAAGCATGCACTTTTTCTTGCTGCCGTCTGTGGAACAATTGCTGAACTATTGAAAACTGCACACCAAGGGTAAAAGCTGGAGCTTAATTCCCCCTAAATATATCTACCCTCTTCTTTTTTAAAAATGTATTTCAATTAAAATTAGTGTTCTCTCCGTTTTAACAGGCATACTTTTGGATTTTTAATTTGTAATTTAAATAACCCTGCATAGTTTAGATGAGAAAAGTGTGTGAGAAGTCCTACTGATATCACTTTTCCTACTACTACTATTACCATTAGCTTAATTAAATATTTGCTGAGTCCGGTTTTATTTAATCATTTTCTTGAAATTTTTTTAGTAAAATTTAACAATTTTTCTTAGCGAATATTATTAATATCCTCATGGCAAGTGAATTACTTTCCTGAGGCACACAGTTGGTAAGTGAATAATGAATAAATATTTTAACCCAGGCAGGCTCCCTTCAGAAAAGACATTCCAAAGCACTTTGTTACACTGGATTTAACAATATCTTAACATAATTCCTCAGCAGGTGGATCATAGATAATGAAATGTACACTAATGTAAGCTGTTCAAGTATATGAGCTATGATTTTACTTCTGATTTGTTCTGTAGGCAAATGTAGAAATCATTCTCTTTAGAATTTCCTGGCCTCTGTGGTCATTCCTGAGTACATCCCCTCTCCCCTCAGACACACACAGTCTTCACTAATGATTAAGAATACATTTTCTGATTAAGAATACATTTTCTGTTTCTGATACCTGCTGTGGTATTGAACTCTGGGAGAAAATACTCTATTTTCTTATTTTTTTTCCATATACTGGAATGTACCCAAAAATATTTCCACAGAACAATTCTACCATTATCAGCAGGTAGTGACCAGTCAACTTTTCTGTGATGTTTGAATGGCTTATTATGAGAGTGAGAGCATTGATTTTGTTTCTCAGTTTTTATAATAGAATGTGACCTGCACTACAGAAATCATTTTTAACTCATTTCTGGGTATGATTGAGCAGTTGTGTGATAAAGAATTTGGCCTTTGTCCCCAGTTTCTGGGAGGTAACCTCTAAATACTGGGAATCTCTTCAGTGATAGAAGTGTCTTTGTTATTCATGGTGGACTCTTTAGACCACATCTGATGGTTTATGTAGAGGTGATTCAGGGTGTACCTTTAGATAATTTGTGCTAAAGACGTGATTTAAGATGGGGACTGGTCATGCCAGAAAGATCAACCTTGTAAAGCTTAGAGCTTTGAGCCACATTATATCAGCCAGACATCTGGAGAGGGGAAGGAAGCTGGAGGATGCGCTCAATAGCATGCACAGTGATTTAGTCTATCATTCTTAGGTAATGAAAATTCAATAAAAACTCTAGACATGGAAGCTTGAGTGAACTTCCTTGGTTGACAGTGCCGTATATTGTCATACATCGTGGTTCTAAGAGGGTAATGTGTACTGACTCCGCAGGGAGGAAACAATGAAACGCCTGTAGTTACAATCTTCCCAGAATTTGCCCTACATGTCTCTTCCCTTGGCTGATTTTGATCTGTATGATTTTGCTATAATAATAAAACTGTAATCATAACTCTTTCTGAGTTCTGTGAATTGTTGTAGCAAATTATCAAACCTGAGCAGGTAGTGAGAGCCCCAGAATTTATAGCCAGCTGATCAGAATTGAGGGTGGCCTTGGAGCATGTAGCTGGTGTCTGCAGTGAGGGTGCTCTTGTGGAGAACCACTTCTTCCTTAGGTGTGGACACGTGAAGTTACGTGGATGTCTGTTTTCCTCAAATCCGTATATGGTTTGGTTTGACTGTCACTCTGAATAGAGTCAGGTGTACCCCAAGGAAGAGGCCCTGGGGTTGGCAAAATACCTCTTTATGAATATTCATGTGCCTTGGCACTTCAAAAGGCTTGAAAAAAAAAGTGCTTCAGTGTTTGCAGGATGCTAGAATCACTTGCTGTAAAAATATTTACAGCTGTGCTTCAGTTTCCAGGTCTTTGAAAAGATGTTTCAGTAGTGTGGGTGCTGAGTAGCTTGTGTAAAATTTTTATTGTGAGCACCACCTTTTCTGGGCACTGACTCCATTTACAAGTGTATCATTCCCCACTGTGAGCCAAGTTTACAGCCAAACCAAGGCAGAAAAACACCCTGGAATTCACATGCAGTTTTCATCCACAGATCCCAACTCAGGAGTCTGCCTGAACTACAATCCCCAGAATCACCCACTCCTTACCTGACCTCTAGAACTACTTACTGTTCCTCCACTTGCAGGCATCTCAGTGTCATTAACACTCATCCCCTTGCCTTTTGCGTTCCACTTGACACTGACCTCCTCCATCAGCAGAATGAGATCTGTCATTTGGGATACACATTCTGTCCATTATGCGTAAATGTAATTTAGGTCCTTGCTGCCCAGGTTGAGTCTTAAGTCTTTCATGCAGTGAATGCACAGAAAATAGAATAAGCTGAAACTTGTTTGCTCCATTCTAAACAAAAATGTTTATGAGAAAAATAGTAAAGTGGTTTCACCAGTTTTCCTCAAGTAACAGTAATAATTTAAAAGTATTAAATATTACCAACTTCTGTTAGTGAATAAATTACAGTAACACCTTAAAACATAAGGTATACATAGTAGTCTAAGATTTAAAGGTATTAAACTTTTTTTTTGAGTTTAAACAGTATATAATCTCAGGACCTAACCTTGTTGTCTATAGTCATGTTTTTAATTATTTAAAAAATGTATCAGGTAAGTTACGTAAGGTTAAGTTGTATGAGGTTTAACTTTAAGTGATCACTTTTACTTTCAGTAAAATTTCATAAATATATTAATCAGAAAGGAAAGTAAAACTTAGAAGTATGCTAATTGTCTTGTGCTTTGCGAAATAGATGGAATGAGACCACTTAGAATAGAATGAGGCTTTGTTCTTAATTGCTGTCAGGTGAATGATGTTACAATTTTGCACATAAAACAGAAATAACTTCACAGATTTCAAAGAAAAAAATATATTCTAAGGTTCAGAAAAATAAGGAGTTGGTTGTCTTTCCTCTGTTCCCAATATAGAGAAATAACAGCCATTGATGCAATGAAATTTTGCTGATGCAGTTCTCCTGCAAGTCAAGAAGCATAAATGATTCAAGGAGTTCCAGAATATGAAATTCATTTATTCTTCCAAAATTATTTTATATATTTCTATTACCTAGAACTTTTTTTGGATTTGAAATAATAGAAAATGAATGATGTCAGATTAAGCACAATGGATACAGGGTCTCCTCCCAAGCTAGAGGCAGAAGAATTAGTGTGCAGGAAGGCCTCAAGCATGCCTGAGAAGCTGGTCTTTAACGTATCTCCTTCTCTTATTTTGCTGGTCACCTGCTCCATTATTCTTCCTCCGGATGGGCAACTGAATTTATACGGCAAAAGAGCCTATTCAGATTTCATGAGTTTACAAGTTAAACATCCAAAGGACGTGGGAAAAGTGATTCTAACATCAGTTGAAAATTCTGTGGGAAGAAGTTCTGACTGTTGCAATTTAGAATAGGTACCCACTCCTTGTCCAGTTAGGTGCAACTGTAGGATTGAGTAGAATCTCTCTGCAAATAAAATGGTCTGACCCTACCACTATACAAATGTTAGAAGCTGAACTCATACTCACTCTTTGAGGGAACTTCTGATAATTATGCCTGAGTATTGTATTATTATATGTATATAATTAGTAAATAAGTAACTATTATTTCATTGTAAGTAGAGTCAAGTGATTAATTAAATTTTCACTTTTCATATTTTAGCTATGTTGCCTCCAACCATCAATAAGTGATAACAAACAAAGGGGATTTGCAGTTAATTTTGTATAATCGTAGATTCCTATGGGGAAGCCAGAGTTCTTGCATGTTCTTTCTGTAATATGATTTCATTGAACCCTTTCTTCCTTGTAGCTCATTCTCTTCACATAATTTCAATCTGTGTCATCAGCTTATTTTCTTTCTCTTAGGATTAAAAATTATTTTAATAATAGGCTCCCAATTCCTCACAGCAACACAAATAAAATAAAGAGAAAAGAGGAGGTGAAGCAATCCCTAATGAAACAAAACATATATTTATGTTTACCTTTTCAGCACAATGTGTTGACAGGCTGGATGAATTAAAGTGTGCATTGGGGGAGGGGAAAGCTGCATTTTAGGCATTTTTCTAGATATTAACATTTAACATTTAGTTTCACTTCATTCTTTAAATATGTATAATTCCCATGCATATAAATACATTGGATTTCATTTCATAGGTTTTCATTAGGAGGCCAATTTGTAAATGTAACCAATAAGCATTCAAATGATTGCTGAGACACTGAATTTTTTTAATTACTCATGTATGTTGAGGAATTCTGATTTTTTTCTGTAGTTAGAATAGCTCTCCACAATACTAACTAACTAACTAAATAAATAAATAAAACAACCATTCAGTGGCTTAACAAAACAAATTTATTTCTCATCCATTTAGCTGATATATGTAAGCATTCCTATCTAACGTGGGATTGTTTGCTTTCTATGCTGATTCAGGAACCAAGTTGCTTCCAGAGTAAAGTTCTCCAATCCACTCGATATTTATAATTCTCTGCCCTCAGTCCTCAATAGGAAAAAGATGCCTCCCTGGTCGACCTTCCTGGAAAGTATGCATATCATTACTGCTTAGATTTTGTTGGAGAGAAATCACACTACCATCAAAGACAACGGGTCAAAAAGAATGCCGTCCTAAGCTGAGAAGCCATCTTCCTAACGACAGCCATGTAATATGAAAGGGAAAAACACACTGTTATTGAAGAACTTATCAGCTATGTCACATCTTCCACACAAATACTCAGGAAAGTTAAAAGAAAATTTTACCTCGGACACAGTTGATGTACCTCAGTCTTGTACAAAACTTAGAACTCACTAAGTCTGAAATAAGACTTTAAACTCTCTCTGAGGTGAAGTTGTAATACAGTGAGAATGATAATATATAGTATATTAGGATTTACTTACTCCTGTGTTGTTCTGGACTATAGACTGCCACACATATCAGATGCACATGACTGACATGTATATCTTCATTTTGCTATTATTTGTGGTGAACTAATACAGGATTTACTGTAAAAGTATAATAATGCAGTAGCAATATACTAATAAATCAATGCAGTTAATATACAAGTGCTGCTTATAAGTTACTGTGTATTCATCAAAGCCACAGAATTTGCAAATGAAATAATCTATTACATAGTCTACAGCTTGTGAAACTAAAATTGTTTAAATTTAAGTGCAAATTCATTAAAACTTCACTTAAACAAGCACTATTTCATATATAATAACATAGAGATCTTCTTTGCTCAATTCTATATGAACACATTTCTACTCTGACTTTATAATTTTAATGTTCTGATGTTTTTATATTTATATTTTTATATATTTGTTCTTATATCTTGCCTTGTTATTACTATGTTTACTATTGTTGAATTTACTAAATCTTTGACTGGGCTTATTTCAGTAGAAATACTTTTAGTTAATTGCAACCCACTAAGATTTTGGCTTCCAAACTACAGTATTGAAAATGGTAAATAGACTGCTAGGGAGTGACATAGTAAAAACTCATTAAAAACGCTAATTAGCAAGCTGAATCGTTCTGACATACCCACTTTACTAATCCACTAGCTAAATACACCATAAAAATGAGTCTGTATTGCAAGTGAGCAAATATCCAAAGGAAGGCCTTTTTGAGTTTCCAGATTACTTTCAATTAACTGAATGCTGAATAGTCTAGAGTATGATATGCTGTGTTATCAGAATTTTAATAGAAGTCCCTAAATGAGCCTTAGAGTCTAATCATACTATTTCCTTAACTTATTTAGAGGATTCTTGATGAATCCTATGTTCTCTCTCACTCTTCCCCTTCCCCTCTTCAACCACTTAACCATTTTTACAGATTTTGGTACATTTATAATAACATTTTTCACATTTCATCTTTCATTATATTTATATACAAATATTATCAGTTCTACTAGATAGAAAGCTCTGTGAAGTCAAGGATTAAATTCTGTCTTCTTAGTTACCTATTAATGCCCTGTTTAGTTTGAATTTGTATAGATACAGTACTATAGTATCTATACTGTGAGTGTTGAGTTTGTATAGATATTGTACTAGGACTTGGAAAAGTAGTTCTGGAAGTTGGAGATGGTATCTGATTAACAGTCAAGTTAAACACAACTCTTTCCTTTTATTTTCATTACTTCTGTATGTATGAATGTGTGTGTGTGTGTCTGTGTAATTATATTCTTTTAAAATACAATAAATAGATTTCTTTATATTCAGTTAAAAACATGGACACAAAGTGGGGATTACGTGTTCCTTAAAGTCTAGTTTTAATAAGCCTCAAGGACTCACTGATCGTCATTTCTTTTTATGTGTGATGCTTTAAATTACCAATGCATATTTTAAAGACTGATTTTGGATACTTTCTAATTCCTCCTTAAATGGAAATTCCAATTTTTTATTTTTTCAGAGACATGAAATTCTCTTAGGTTTTCACCACATTAACACAGTTTCAAGGAGTTCTCTACTGAATATTCTGACCTGTACTCTGCACTTTAATGATCCTTGTATACACATTTGCTTACATAAGTTTCTTATTTCCAACTTTGTTGATTTGTCACTTCTGCCTTCCCTTTAATTTCTTGATTAGTTAGAACTTATAAGAAGTTTTTCTACGTTGTTGGTTTTTCCTCCCAAAACTTCAGTTTCAGCTTGCTTGTTTATTCTTCCCTCTCTCACTACCTCTCTCTCTTCTCCTCTGCTTCATATTCCTATATATTTATTTTTCTTTACATTTTCTTTTAGTTTATGTTGTCATTTGACTAATAATTTTTATATACTTATTTCTAAATAAATACCTTAAAGCCTAGGACATTGTACTGAATATGTTTTTGTTTGCTACATGCCGCAGTTCTGATTTCGGATTACTGCATTTGGAGTCTAAATATCTTATAGTTCTAATTTGTTAGAGGGCTAACATTTCTTCTGTATTTAAAGTTCCACTGGAAATATCTTTCATGATAAGAAAAATTCATAAAATTTTCTCTTCACTTTCCCTATTCATCTCTCCCTTGGAGGCTGAGTGTGTTCACTGATTGCTCTCCGATATCTACTTGTCCAGTATTCCTGATAGTAATGTATTAATCTCTAAGAAGCCTGAAGGCTTGTCGCGGTGGCTCACGCCTGTAATCCCAGCACTTTGGGAGGCCAAGGTGGGTGGATCACGAGGTCAGGAGATCGAGACCATCCTGGCCAACATGGTGAAACCCCATCTCTACTAACAACACAAAAATTAGCTGGGCGTGGTGGCACGTGCCTGTAATCCCAGCTACTTGGGAGGCTGAGGCAGGAGAATTGCTTGAACCAGGGAATCGGAGGTTGTGGTGAGCCGAGATCACGCCACTGCACTCCAGCCTGTTGACAAGAGCAAGACTCTGTCTCAAAAAACAAAAAAAGAAGCCTGAAAGTACCAGAGATTCTCCTTGTTTTGTTGACTCTTTCCTAAATTGATATGAAGCAATAATCCTAGTTGGTAAGAATGTGCTACTCTCCTCAATATTTTCCAGGTTGAGAATCTCATTGTTTAGGCTAGAAAGATGGCAATTCATAGATCATTAGTCTTTTGACTATAAATGTAAATCCATATTATATAAATGCATTTGTCAGTATTAAAGCATGCATCATAGTTTTAATGATCTGTCCCCCAATTTATTTTTTAATTTGCTTGTATTCTAGCAGGTGTCTTAGAAGGCTCCTGCTGCTATAACAAAATACCTGAGCAATTTATCAACAACAGAAATCCATTTTCTCAAAGTTGTAGAGATTGGGAAGTAAAAATTCAAAGTGCTGGCAGATTCAGTGTCTGGTGAAGTTTTGATCTTTGCTTCCAAGATGGAACTTGGTTGTTGTGCTCTCAGATGTCGAAAAGTGGAAGGGGCGAAAGGGTCTGGCCTGTTCCCTCGAGCCCTGATAATAATCACCACCTAAAAGCTCCAAGTCTTAATACTGTTACGTTGAGTCTGAGACTCCAACATATGAATTGTGAGCAGACACATACATTCAAACCATAGCAGGAGGGGAAAAAGTATATAACAGAATAGTACCTTAAAATTTTAACTTTTTAGTGAATTGGTCTGAAACCTCGAAGAAGAAAAATAAACAACGGACATGGAGCAATCTAAAGTCGTCCAAGTGGGTGGCTTCAAATTTTAATTTTAGTAAATACAGTCCAGGCAAGGTTTTGACAGCAGCAGTTCACTGAAGATTACTCTCGTTTTATCTCAATCATAGAGTTTATTTAGTAGGGAGAAGACTGATGTTTAATAGGTCACTGGCAAGCCTGGTAACTAAAACTATGATATCCTTTGCAACTGACCATTATCATTTATATAAGTTTATTTTTATTAAGCTGGCATGGCAGAAGCAAGGATATATAGAGAAGAAAAGAGTCTTTTAGAATACTGGTATTTTATATATTGAGGACTAGAAGTATGCATTGAAAATTTAGCCTAATTGTTTAAGAAGGTCTGAAGACTTAAATTTACTCTGAAAAGAACTAAGTTCCAAATGGACTGCAGGACACGCTGTGTGCACTTTTTCCTGTGCAGTATTTAATGACATGCCTTAAACTTCCTTCCACTGAGTTTTGTTCTGTTTTCAGATCATGAGGGAAATTGTAGAAGGTTGTATCACTACTATTTATGTAAACTACCCCTTGACATAATTGCCCATTGGAACCTAATTAAAAGAAGTCCCAACATTGTTACACTATGCTAATTACAGAATCTCTGTGTTCAACCACCCATTGTTCTGACCACCTTTCTCTGACTCTCACCCAACTCAAGTCCTTTAATCTTGTTTACTCTGCCTAAATTCATGTTTTATCATAATAATTAATCTGCAGACATGCTCAATTCCTTTCCTCTTCCTTGCTGTTTATCTGCTTACCAGGAGCAAAACCCTACTTAAATACAATTCTTTACATTTTCATGCAACTGAAGAAACTGGAAAAAAAAATGCTTTTCTGACTGCTCTCATGAAATTCTTGACCATGTACCTCAGGTAGGATTTTACTGAACAAAAATCATACAGCATTATTCAATTCTAAATAACCATTTCATATTTTTTCTTATCTTCTCAAATATCTAATACATTCTCCAATTGTACTATTTACTGTTGCACTGGACACTTTAAAGCAATCAGAAGAAAATTTCCACAATGAATTTTTGTGTGGTCACTGTGAATACTAAAATATACCTCTTTAAGGTTTCACAATCTATCGTCAAACACAGTCTAATGCTTAACCAATCTATCTTCAAACATATTCTAATGCTTAACCAACAGATAAAAGTGTTACAAGGGAAAACCTTTAATACATTTTCTCTTTTCTGGCATAACTTCTAAAGTCATTTATTTGATTTCTGTATATATAATATAAATCCCAGATCACATCAAAAATTATTCTTAAAATATCTTTTATTTTGCATATATGTCATCATTACTCTTTTCCCCCAGTTTTTGTAATAGCCTGTTTCTATCAGATACCATTTCTCTGGTTTAAAAGAAAAAATATTAAAAAGCATGTTTTTATATTTTATTTCCTCTACAGCAGATCTGTTCAAGAAAAATTTTTCAGCTTGCCTAAAAATGTATTTGTTTTGACTTTGTTTATGAAAGACACTTTCACTAAAATTCTAGGCTGACTGTTTTTTTTCATAATTGTTATTATATCATGTCATTGTTTTCTGAGCTCTATTGTTCATTTGCTGCAGTGCAGAGATCTGTTATTTTCATTGCATTTCTCCTTATACTGTTTTATTTTCTTCATCTAATGGCTTTTAAATGTTATATATTTTTTTCAATTTGAATAGAGTGTGCATAGGTGTGCTTTTTTCTGCACATATTCTGGTTGGAATGTGCTGAACTCTTTGAATATCTGGGTTGATATCACTAACCAATTAAAAATACTATAAAACATCATTTCTCAAATATTTTTAACATCAATTCATTATATTTTATATTTTATCTGGGGCTCCAATAATATGTATATTAGACTGTGTGATATTGTCTCACAAATTTCAGATTATTCATCATTTTCTTCTTTATATATTCTCTTTTTCCCTTTTGTAATTCAAACTGTGTATTTTCTACCTGTTTTCAACATTATTTATTATTATCTCTGCTAATGAGTCAACAAACAATGTATCTATAATATAACACTTTTAGTTTTTTGGGTTTTTTTTTCTTTTTTTTTTTTTTGAGACCGAGTCTCTTTCTGTCTCCCAGTCTCCCTCTGTCACCCAGTGGTGCAATCTGGGCTCACTGCAACCTCCGCCTCCTGGGTTCAAGTAACTCTCCTGCTTCAGCCGCCTGAGTAGCTGGGACTATAGGCACATGCCACCACATCCGGCTAATTTTTTGTATTTTTTGTACAGACAGGGTTTCACCTTGTTAGCCAGGATGCTCTTGATCTCCTGACCTCGTGATGTAGCCGCCTCAGCCTCCCAAAGTGCTGGGATTACAGGCATGAGCCACCACACCCAGCCAACACTTTTAGTTTTGATAATTTTCATTTTGCTTTTATTAATTTTTAAATTTCACTTTTTCCCCTGTATGTAATGAATATTAATTCCCTTTATTGACTAGGTTTCTTAATGTATTTATCTTGTCTATCTGTAGTAATTCTAGAATTTGTTATCTCTCACTCTTGTTCTATTGACAGTTTCCTTTCTTGATGATATACCGTATAGTGCCTTGTTCCTTTGTGCTTTGTAATCTTTTGCTTAATTGGATGCCAGACATTTTGATCATATAGTCTTACAAATGAAAGTAGGTTACATTTGTCCACAGAAAATTGTAGGCTTTCTCTTCTGTCAAGTTGAATACTTTTGAGGTAATCAAGTCTGCGTTGAAACAGTTTCGTTTATTATTATTTTGCTTTTGTGGGGTTCAATTAATTGCATACTTCAGGTTTTTTTGTGTTCAGGACCAGAAGCTTCTGTTTTTCAAAAAGTCATATTTCAATTAGCTCTTTCGGCTTTTAGCCTTCAGCTAGCCTGAGGCAACTGCAACCCTGGAGAGATCTCTGCCAACTTTCTTGCCCCTCATCCAGATGCAGGTATCCAGTGTTTAATACTCACTGTAAGACTAGGAGAGACTTTTTCACAGTCATTAGTGAGCCACAGACTCTGTCAACTCTCCTGTGTGTATTGAGCACAGACTTATCCACTATTTCCCCAACTGTAAAGGGTGGCTGCCTTGGACACAGTTAAAGCCTGAGGTGCTTATAGTGTTCATCTCTGTTTTCCAAACTTGCCCTAATATTTCTGCAGGCCTGATACATCTATACCACACAGGGTAGTATCTCCAGGTGTTTTGCTCTGCCTACAATCTGTCTGTGAATATATCCTGTCTTTAAATCTATGCCTGTAGAGAGTGCTCCTTCTTATGCTAGCCATCATTTTGCCTTTAAAAGAGTCATAAAAAGAATTCTCATTTTCTGTCTTCTTACCCAGGTCTGTTCTTTTTACATCTATTGCTCTATAAGGATAAAAGCAACTATGAGCCTCTTTGTGGGCAAGAGGTATTTATCAAATTGTACTTTAGTTCATTGGGTATTTTTGTGACATGAGTTCTTATATGCTTTTAAAAATTTGTTGGTTTTCTACTTATTATTGTCAGAGAGGATTCATAATTATCTTCCACATGATAGGTAGAAGCAGCTTTTCTCTTTGCTTAAATTGCAATAAAATCCTTGGAATTATGTTGGAATGCACTAATTTGTGTCTACTTGACGTTTCAAATCCTTAATAGTATGTATTATTTAGATCTTATCCAAGATTTCTAATTTGTAAAATTTTTAAAATACTTAGAACTGACTCGTAATAGCTGTACCTATTTTTGTTTCATATTTTTTGTCTATATATTTTAAAATAAAGATCTTAATTTTATTCCTGTAAATATCTTGAATATTCTTAGTATATTTCATGTTGTTAAGTAACATTTTTTTCTGTTGTGAATTTGTATTTTAATTATAAAATGTATTGGTTATCTTTCTTAGGTTTATCACCTAATTTTAGATTTTTTTTGTTATTTTGGACTTCTCTCTCTTTTGCATACTCTTGCGCGCTCTCTCTCTCATCCCTGCTTTTCCCTCCTTTCTCCCTATGATTCTCTCTCTTAAATTTGACCTGTGAGGCTTGATCCAGGTTCTCATCCAGGTATGGAATGGGTTTAGTCCATGTTTTGCTGCAGGAGTCAAATTTTTGCCATCTGCCTATGGAACTAAAACTCCTTTAGACAATAGGATAAGTATGTTCGCTTATTTTTTTATTGTTGCTCTCTTTTCATGTTGATTTATTGGTGGTGGTTTTAATTTTAGTTGTAGATGTGTATTCATTTTATAAGCCCAGTTTTGTAACTTTTGTTTTGCCTACTGTCCATTGATGTATTTGCAGCAAATGTGATTGTTGATGTGTAAATTCACTATACCACCTTGGCTGTACAAACCACCCCTCTATTTTTAACTATTTTTTTTTCAAGAAGCTCAACACAGATTTCCTAGCACAATTTGTTATCAATAGTGTTAAAAATACATATATATGATAATCATAGAGCCCAAACCTAATGCTATAATGTTGTAGAAAGGCCAAGGCTCATGGAAAAGCAGAGTAAATGAATGCTGATTACACAATGTGTTTGCTCTTCTCTTTGCCTTTCTCTTCACTGTGGCAGTAAGCAAGAGAATGTGAAAAAAAAATACTAGTTAAACTCTTTGACTTCTATTAGCCTTTTTGCCTTCATGCTACTACTTAGTGTCTCCTGGATAATTTAGAAAACTTCTGCTTAATAACTATAGTGAAATTGGCTTTATAATTTCCTGAGGCTTCCATTAGGTGGAGGCAGCAATTTAGAAACTCTCATGGATAACATAAAACAGCTAAGTGCTGGTGCAAGACATTAAAACACAAAAGGCTTAAGCTGAAAAAAAGGGCTTTAAACTAAAGCTTATAAAATATTGGTGGGCTTTTCAAGTTTATATTCAAATAGTTAATGGCAGGGACTGTCTTCTCACTTTCATCAAATTTTATTTCAAATTTCCCTTAATGTGTAGTTCTTCAGTAGCCTGAAATTCAAGCCAAAAGCCCTTTACTATTTGAGTACAATTTCCTAATCTTTGTAATTTAACTGTTTGAATAATTTTATATGTCCTTTAGACTCCAAAAAGAGATTGCAAGCCACAGGACATGCTTTGTTTTAAACCAGCAGCTTAGTCTTTCTGGCTCTCTGAGACACGATGGGCACTGATATTGCAAGCTGGCTTAATGAATGAAGCCTTTGAATGAATGTCCAGAAGAAGCTAGGAAGTTTTTGTTAAAGTATCTGCTTTTGCTTTTTGAATCCCATTTGCTGCTGTTTTGGCTGTTTAATATTTCTGAGATCTGTGTAACAATGATCCTGACTTTCTTGAACCAGTAAAAGAAATTCATTTCTTATAATGAGAATATTTGTTTCTACCTAGGATTGCTAAAGTCCTATTGCATGCTTTAAGATGCCTTGCGTTTGGTGAATTGAAGCCTGATATGTCAACATACTCTCTGTAAACACAGCAGCACAGAGGGCAAAGAAACACTTATCCAGCACCACAGCTAGGACAAAAGGAATTATTTTGACAGTAAATGGACTTGCAGCTTAAGTTAAGTGCATTAATATTGGGATGGTATTAACTATACAAAATTGTTTCTAAGCAAAGGTGACCAGATGTCCTAATTTGACTGATTGATTTGTTTGCTTAGTTAAATACCCTTGTAATTTGATTGTTTATAGATGTTTGCCTACTCTTATTTTTATCAATCTGCTAAGTGCTATGCATAGAAAAGTATATATTTGAAATTAACTATTTTTCATTACAATATTCTAGCTTATGTGCTTATTTTTCATAAACTATTTATCTAGTAATCACCATGAAATCAAATGGTTATTTGTAGTGGGATGGTTCTAAAAATATTAATGTGATATTTTATTTCTGATAGTATTTAATAAGACAAGTCCTAAATTTAAAACCATGTATTTCTTTATAGACAAATCTTTCTCTTTACTCACCAACTCTTTCTACTCTTTTGTGGTAGAACTTTTTGTCACCATTTTATTAGCTCAGATTGTGAGCAAAGACACATTAAAATGGATAGAGAAGTTGATGTCACAATTGCTAAACTGATTAAAATAACTGAATAATGATTTTAATTTACTCATTTTGGTTAAACCAAAAATACTTGTCTCTACCATCAAAAAAATGCAAAAGTCCATGTTTTGGAGCATGTTAATGAAATATATAATTTTTAAAATAAACAACATCAACAGTTGTCAAAAATTAAAGCGATAAAAATATAGATTTCATCTCTTGGCAGGGTAAAGTCTTCATGTTAGTTGAATAGTAAATGTTACTCTTTCAAATTAAGATGTCTCTACCAAATGGGGCATTTAATAAGGACTGACAATTTGGATCCAAATTTATTGTTCTGTGACCATATTAAATTGAGAAATACAGAAGTGTACACATATTAAAAATGTACACTACATGATTCCCAATTTAAGAAAAACTAAAGACAAACTATAAAATACATAGATCAACCACATGTTTTATTCATATTACTTAGCATACTTCAAATGAAGTTTCAAAACTCTACATTGTTTGTGTCATGTTAATAAACCATACTATCTTGAATAATCATGAAATAAAATTAATTGAAATAATTCAACTAGTATGATAAGTGTGTATTTAATTAAGTCAATTGCAAGCATAATAAAGAAAAACAATAAAAAATCACAATTTTTATTCAGTTAGAGGTTGTAGTATTTGTCCCCAAAGGAAAATTAATCTATTCATAGTTGCCTTAATATTGGGGATAGTATTCTCAAACATTTTTAGGTGTACAAACTATGCCTTTTTGTTTATCTAATTTAAAGTTATCAAATTTACAGCAAATGTACTTTGGAATATAAACTCTCCTTCAATAATACAATCCAAAAAACAAAGACTTATTTCTGAAATATACTATTAGAAATAAGGCATATTGGCAGGGCACGGTGGCTCACGCCTTAATCCCAGCACTTTGGGAGGCCAAGGCCGGCAGATCACAAGGTCAGGAGATTGAGACCATCCTGAGTAACACGGTGAAACCCCGTCTGTACAAAAAATACAAAAAATTAGCTGGGTGTGGTGGCATGCGCCTATAGTCCCAGCTACTCGGGAGGCTGAAGCAAGACAATCACTTGAACCTGGTAGGCGAAGGTTGGAGTGAGCCGAGATCGCGCCCCTGCACTCCAGCCTGGGAGAGACAGAGAGAGACTTCCAGTCTTAAAAAAAAAAAAAAGTCGTATTTAAAAAACAAGGAGTAACTGAAAAAGTAACTATATAACTAATATATTACTCTCTGAACTATGTAACAAAAATATTTCTCTACAAAATACTATTATTCCTATAATCCATTTATTTCTATATACCATGTTTGTGTCACTATAGGTTGGTATGTACCCAATTGTGACTAAACCAAAAGAAACAAATCTGGAAACTGAAGTATCAATACGTGAAAAGCGTTCTTTTGGTATTGGGAGTGCCAGGTACTTTTGCCATTGTATTTTACTTAGTAGTAATAGCTGGCTTTTTCTATTGAGCACGTGCTACTACAGAAATTTAAAGGGGTTATTTCTAATTTGGGAGAAAAATAGAACAAACAGCTTTTAATCTTATAAATAATCTGCTCATTGAAATGTCTTATTTAATCCAGATCTGTGCAAAATGAACTTAAAACTAATTTTTAAAGCAGTTGGAAAGCATCATTTAACAAAAGAGGTATCTGTCATAAATTTAGGTCTATTTGTGCACATTTTCTAAATTTTAAAATATAAATCAAATCTTTACAAATTAAATCATGTTTCGTTCTTGATTTATGTTACCATTTTAGAGTTGCTTTCCCTTGACTTATTGGTATAAAGTTGGAGATAGCTATTAACATCTTGACTGTGTCTCTTGCAGTTGTCTTTGTTTCATGAACTACTTCTCCGTAATAGCATGCAGCCATCTTCAAGAGGTGAGAATTTCACTTAGCGACTTAAACAGAAGTGTTATCTCAAGATAATATAATATCTGGAGGTATGTGGCTGCTACTGTTTGGTGAGTAATTCAGAGTAAAAGGGACAACATTGCTTGAGATTTCTGTGGCCTTTTCTATAAGATCTATCCTGTGACTTCAGTCATCGTAATCATATTCAACAAAGAAGAGAGAAAAAGATGGCAGAAAAATCACTCCCTTGGAAAGGAGAGTAAAAGTTTTCGTTGAGGCCGGGCGCGGTGGCTCACGCCTGTAAACCCAGCACTTTGGGAGGCCTAGGCGGGGGGATCACGAGGTCAGGAGATCCAGACCATTCTGGCTAACATGGTGAAACCCTGTTTCTACTAAAAATACAAAAAAATTAGCCGGGCGTGGTGGCGGGCGCCTGTAGTCCCAGCTACTCCGGAGGCTGAGGCAGGAGAATGGCATGAACCCAGGAGGGGGAGCTTGCAGTGAGCCGAGATGGCGCCACTGCACTCGAGCCTGGGCAACAGAGCTAGACTCCATCTCAAAAAAAAAAAAAAAATTTTGGTTGGAGATTCCCAGCGGAGTTCTTCTCTAGTCTTCTCTAATATAAATTATTTCAGTGGTCATTTCTAGTAACACTGGAGAGTAGGCACAGGTATTTGGCTTCTCCAATTTCTGGAGTGAAGTTGATAAGGGAGGAATTATTTGGGAATGGGTGTTGGGTTAGCCAACTATTTTTCTGTCTCTGAAATTTTGCTTGACTCTGGCTTTTGTTCATCACTTCTCATGTGATACAACATTCATGTTCATACACACTCATCTACCTAAATGTTACCTTTTCCCAAAACTCTATCTATACTTCATCTCTAAGTTCCATATTCATACTCACATGCAGTACCAACCTGCTTCTCCCTCCTGGTATATATTAAATATATTAGACAACTCAATGTGCACCGTTTTGAAAGCCTGCCAAAAATCAAGCATCCCCTGACTCCCAGCAGACATATAACACAGCAATAACAACAACCCACCCAGGCATTAAACCCAACACACATGAATTTTTAAGGGACATCAATGCTAGAAATTCAGGCCATGGCATTAAACTTCCCTCACCCCTTTTCTCTATCATGATCTGCTTAGAAAATCTCTAGAGCTATTAGAATTTGCTCAAATGCAAACAACTTGAAGGCAGTAAATCTTGTTTCTCTCTGAATCTTTGCAGCCTAGAGGTTTACATAGCCTGCAATAGACACTTTACAGAATGTTTGCTGAACATCAAGAGATTTATGATTGGTATACATTCAGTGGTCTCATTTTGCACAATAGAAAAGACCTATATATTATAACAGACCTGATAATTTCCAAAGCTTTATAAGCCATTATTTGCTTTCTTAGAAAACAAATGACATTGAAAATTTTTGACTTAAATTTGGCTTATTGAAAAAACAATACATTGCTTTTAAGTTTCCTGTGAGGAATTACTTTTGAAATTGTGACAGCTTGCAGCATAATATTGCCACCAAATTAATTTTTAAAATCTACTACTTAAACCATTTTATTGTATCAATGGTTTTAACAATGACAAATAATTTATGCCCTACTCAATGTTCTAATTAAAATCAGAAGTTTACTCTGCACTTCATCGAAGCAGGTATCAAAATGTGCTCAAAATAATCTGTGATCTTCCCCAACCCCGTGCCTGAAAGTATGTGTGTTGTGGGTAGGGAAATATTTTAAGAGTTTAAATGAATGTTGGCAATATCTTAAGATTGATAACTCTTATTTTGTATATTGAATAAAGACTCTCAGATTGATATGCCTCTTGGCATAATATTGCAGAAAAAAATTTTGCCTTGGAACTTAAACTTTCAATATTAGGTTAGTTCAAAGAAGCAAGTCACCTCTGACTTTGAAAGGAATACAAAATGTAAGACTTGCATTTGCCAAATGAAAACCACTTTGTTATTTGTGTGTGGTCATTGACTCTATGGTCATACTGTCAAACTTTCAGGTAGATATTTGGGATGTCACATAATTGTTTTCATTTATGAGGTCTGTAAACAGGATCCAAATTTTTGTGGTTCAATATGTTACGTAAGTATGAAATTAGATATATTTTAGTTGATTTTCATTTCCTAAATGAAAGACATCAATCCCATTTAGATTGTTGATCTTGATGTTTTACTAGTGTTTTGGACTGAATAATTTCTCTCAAAAATGCATCTGCGGATGCCCTAATGCTCAATGTGAGAATATGTGGAGACAGGACCCTTAAGGAGGTAATTAATGTTAAATTATGTGAAAAAGGTGGCTCAGCACTTTGGGAGGCAAAGGCAGGCAGATCACCTCAGTTCAACAGTTCAAGGCCAGCCTCGCCAACATGGTGAAACTCAGTCTCTACTAAAAATACGAGAACTAGCTAGGCGTGGTGGCACACTCCTGTAATCCCAGCTACTCAGGAGGCTGAGGTAGGAGGATGGCTTAAACCCGGGTGTCGGAGGTTGCAGTGAGCCGAGATTGAGCCACTGCACTCCAGCTTGGGTGATAGAGTGAGACTCTGTGTCAAAAAAACAAAACAAACAAACAAAAAAATTGGGGCCCTAATCCAATGTGACTGATGTCCTTTTAAAATGAGGGAGAGGCACCAGAGCTCACTCTCTCTGCTGCAGCACAGAGGAAAGGCCATACAAACACACAGGGAGAAAGCCACCATCTGCGAGCAGAGGAGTGGGGCCTCACCAGAAACCAACCCTGCTGGCACCTTGATCCTGGAATTCCAGCCTCAGAACTCGGATAAAATAAATTTATGTGATTTATTACACCAAGTTTGTGTGATTTTGTTATGGCAGTCTGAGCAGACTAATACAACTTGTGAATCAATTTTCCATTAACCTTACCTGATAAATGGTATGTTGTGCTTTTCTATGAGACAGCAGAAGACCTAAGAATTGAGCGCACACCGTTATGACGTAAAGAAATTAGCATTGAAACTGCAATTTATGTGGCAGGTTTTTTTTTTTTTTTTTTTAGATGGAGTTTCGCTCTGTCACCCAGGCTAGAGTCCAGAGTTGCAATCTCAGCTCACTGCAAGCTCCACCTCCCAGGTTCACGCCATTCTCCTGCCTCAGCCTCCAGAGTAGCTGGGACTACAGGCGCCCGCCACCACGCCTGGCTAATTTTGTATTTTTACTAGTGATGGGATTTCTCCATGTTGGTCAGGCTGGTCTCAAACTCCCGACCTCAGTTGATCCACCCGCCTCGGTTCCCAAAGTGCTGGGATTACAGGAGTGAGCCACTGCGCCTGACCTTATGTGGCAGTTTTAATGGATTGCCAGATTATGGGGTAAAAATTACTGGATCTGAATATTTTAATTCATGATTATAGTTCGAATCTACATCAGGAGACAGTAATATAAATTTAATTCCCAGCATCAAATTTTATTTTTAATTTGTTTACTGCAAGTTCATTTTCATACAAAGAATGCAGAAAGACTAAATATATCCGTCATTTTTTTCATAGTTGAAGGGCTTTTCTTTTATGAAATAGAGATTGATAGTTTGTTATATAATTTTAATGTAAATTTTAATAGACTTGATTAAATTACTAGTTTGTACAATCATAAACCTACAGGTAATCTCTATATAAAATGAATTTAAAAATAAATAATTTGGATATCTTTATTGACTTTTCCCCTCATTTATAGAATAGTATATTTTAATTATATTGATTAACAAAAACAAAGACACATAAGTAGAACAACTTAAAAATCCCCAGCATATCTACATAGTAGGACAATAAGGGACTTAAAAAGATTCCACTGAGAAAAGAATATTAAGAATTTGCAACATTTTTATCTATGTGGGAAATTACTTTAGGTGCCTTTTTATGGTTATTACTATTGCTTGAAAATAAAAAGACTTAAAGAAATATGACAATTATAGTAGGTGCTGGAATTTTAGTAAATTTTCTGGCACTGACTCCAGGCTCTACTTTGTTTATGGCTTTGGGAAATGTATTTAACCTCTCTGAGCTTCAGTTTCTTCCACTGAAAAAGGAAAATAATTATGGCACTCACTTTCTAAGGTTGGTTTAAAAATTGAATGAGATAATATATAAAAAATGCTTTGCATAGTGGATGGCACGTAATAGACACTGAGTGAACATTGGCTATATAATAATGTAAGAAGATATTTATAATCCATTTTTCTTTGATATTCAAAATGAACTTTAACATGTTTATGTCAGGCAAATAGAATTATACCAATTTCACATAATATACATTTCAGAGATAAGTCTAGCTCACTCACCCACTTATAATAATCTGAGAATTTGAACTTTTGGCCCTAACAAAAAGCATTTTACCTATAAAAATAAGAATTTACAACACCTTTCTGATATGTGTAGAGGAAAGAGTTTGCTTATTTTCTACCAATATGATAAATGCTTCCAAGATGCAGTTTCTGCATAATACAGAATCATTGAAATAATCGAAGTAATCAGTCAATTATCAGGTTATCTTGATACCAATTTGTTTTCTCTCTCTCTCATGTTCCCTCTCTCTCTCGTTCTCTTTCTCTCTCTCTCAGGTAAAACAGCATCCCCAGGATAAACAGGTGAGGAATCACAGAGCAATTTAAAAAGTATTACAAGATACATAAAATCATATATTATGAAAGGAAACACTCAAGTGAAAATGCCATTTATACTCTAATAATGTAGTCTTACTTTGTATCTTGATACACACAAACACTTTCTCATTTGACAGAATAATATACCTTTGTTCAGCTGAGGGTGTTTTGGAATTAATAATAAAGAATGAGGTGGTTTATGGAATACTATGCAAGGAAACTTCTAACTTTTAAAAAAATATTACATGAGGGATTTAGTCAAGAGCTAAAAAAAAAAAAAAAAGGCAAGCATAGTGGTGAGGAAAAGATATTATCATTAATTACTTTTCAAGGTTGTCTGCTGCCTGCAGATTTGTTAGCTCCGTCATGGAATATGTCACAAGGGAGTTACTTTTGAAGGAGTAACAGAAGAGTGTGAAAAATCTCAATATGATGCATGAGTGTAATCTCCTCTTTGCAGATGTTAATTCCCTGCTTGCTGCAACTAGGAAGCAAGTGCCAACATATTTGGGAATGCTCCTTCCTGCTGGACAGCACACAGACAAGTTGGAAAGGAATCCTATAACAAGCTAGCTGCCATGCATATGGAATGAAGCTTAGTTAAAAAGTCTTTCCAAGTGCTTGAGTATTTTTAGATGATATTTAGCCCCCTTTAAATTGAAAGACGAAATGCAGCAATTGAAACTGAGTATGTACTCTGATCTTGGTGGGGAGGTAATTCCCCATAAGATGTTGTGTCTCTGATGAACTCTCAACAAATTCAAAATATAGGATGTTATCAAACTTGCCCTTTTTCACGGAGCACTTTCTTTAAAAAAATAATGATAGTAAAAGAAAACCTAAAGAAACATTTTCAATTTTCAAGGTCACATAGGATAACTTTGAAAGTCTAAGTTCATAAAAACAACAACAACAAAAAAATCTAAAGAAAAGTAAAAACAAGGATCAGGAAAAGATCATAAAAAGATTGACCATCTAAACAACAAACATTGGCTTTCTAAAAGAAAAACATATATTTATTTGGGAATAGAGCATTGCAATGAGAATACTCATGCCATATTAAACCATGTGGATATTTAGAGATGTAAAGAAAAACTGTGGTTTCTAAAGGAAAAAGAATGAGGAGAATTACATAATTGTTTTGAAAGCATTATCCCTGCCTACAAAGGTCACAAGGGTGATGCCAGTCTGAGTTTGGACAGGCAATTGCTGGGCAGATATCTCTGCAGAAGTATTTTGTGTAAGGTTGTGATGGTCTTTGTACAAGGGTGTGGTTTTTGCAGAGGTTACTGTGATACTTTTTGTTATTACGCATACAAACATGAGGACTTTCTCCTCACTGCCTTTCCTGGCTCTATTTGTGGGGGATTTTTTTTTTTAACATTAGTAATTCCATTTTGATTCTGACAATTTTCACAAGATTATAAAGTTTATATTTTTCCCATGGAAAAATTAAATATATAACTTAAAATATTGAACAAAAAGTGGAGGATTTTTTAAAAATAGAAATGTTTTCAGTATTAATATAAACTTCTAACTGGTCACACATGATAATCCAACAGATGGCCTTAACTATCTAATAAAACAGTCATTCTATATGAACAAATGCAGAAGAAAATAGGTTTTCTAAGTGTTTTATTCGGTTCTAATTGTCCTAATAATAGCTTAAACACATTGTCCATGTACTGAGAACTTTTATTAACATCCCTTGGGATTATAAATATAAGAAGTGGAGAGCTAATATTGACTTTTTAGTGTTTGCAATCCACAATTTTATAAACTACAAATGTGTAAAATAATTTAATTTCTAGATAACTCTAAAATACTCTTATTTTCTTAATTTGACACACGAGGAAACCGAAGAACAGCACAATCATTTTGCATTCCCTAGTGGTTAATTTTTGTCAGATCTGGGATTTGAACCACTGTTATGTATTGCCAAAATGGTCTCCTAAACCTTTTTGTAATCAGATAAATTTCCAAGGATGGAAGAATTAAGAGTTTTTCTCTAGAAAAAAAACAATGTATGTACCTATTATTTATAAATGAAATGAGAAAAAGAACAAGAAGCAGCAGGAGAGAAGCAATAGAGAGATAAAGAATTAATTAATTAAGAATTATACCCTATTAAACCTGAATACCTACAGATAAAAATAAGCCAGCATTTCTCGAAAGTTCAAAGGTGTGTCTGTGTTGGGGGATGGGGGGGCAGGGGCAAAGACGGCATTTCTGTTAACAGTTATTTTGATATAAGCTTAATTATTTTCATTCTAGGCAAATCTAATCTGATTTTAAGATAGCAATATTGAAAAATGGGACAGAATGGCTTAAAAGTAACCATTGTACAATAATGAGGTGAATGCATCTCGTTCATCTCATAAAACAGTGAAGTGTTAAAGCCAAATTCAGCTGTAATTTTCATTTGTTTTCTATCTCTCAAGGAATACTACACTCTTCCTTAAATAACAAAAACTGCGGCTGGGCGTGGTGGCTCACACTTGTAATCCCAGCACTTTGGGAGGCCGAGGTGGGCGGATCACGAGGTCAGGAGATGGAGACCATCTTGGCTAACACGGTGAAACCCCGTCTCTACTAAAAATACAAAAAATTACACAGGCGCGGTGGCGGGCGCCTATAGTCCCAGCTACCCGGGAGGCTGAGGCGGGAGAATGGCGCGAACCTGGGAGGCGGAGCTTGCAGTGAGCCAAGATCGCGCCACTGCACTCCAGCCTGGGCGACAGAGCAAAACTTCGTCTCAAAAAAAAAAAAAAAAAAAAAACTGGAAAATTTGTTCTAAACAGCTTCATGGGAAGAGATAATGAGCTATGCAGCTCAACATAATTCAACAAATATTTGTTGAGTATCTATACTAGAACCTGTTCCAGATGTTTGAAATACTTCAGTGAACATACCATTTTTTATAGAAAAAAGACCACTTTCTTTACCTTTGTGGAGCTTGCATTCTATCAGTGGGAGACATACACTCCACCATTGTTACACTAAGTAAGTATAATATTTAGCCAATTCTTATAAATTGTATGTTACCTCAGCATCCATTTTGAAAATAGGTTTAACTTGCACATACCAGAAGCTTGGCTTAGTGACCCTCAAAGGAGTTTTCACTTCCTCCAAAGTCCTATATGTGGTCGCCTCCGATATCTGCCGTATACAACTGTCTCCTGGTGACCACCTCCCTGTGAGACAGCAGATACAACCTACCCCTCTGGCCTTCTCACCTCTCGTGGACTGTGTAGATGCTGCAGTGGCCCCTGCTCAGTTACAGTGTGACTATTGGACTTGTTCCTGCTTGCTATAAGCCCACTGTATTAGTCCATTCTCACGCTGCTAATAAAAACGTACCTGAAACTGCCTAATTTATACAGAAAAGAGGTTTAATTGACTCACAGTTTTGCATGGCTGGGGAGGCCTCGGGAAACTTACAATCATGGCGGAAGGGGAAGCAAACACATCCGTCTTTACATGGTGGGAGGAGAGAGAAGAATGAGAACTGAGTGAAGAAGGAGGCCCCTTAAAACCATCAGATCTCCTGAGAATGAACTCACCATCAGGGGAATAGCATGGGGGGGAAAGGCTGCCATGATTCAATTACCTCTCACTGGGTCCCTCCCACTATGTGTGAGGATTAGGGGAACTACAATTCAAGATGATATTTGTAAGGCCGAGCATGGTGGCTCACGGCTGTAACCCCAGCGCTTTGAAAGGCCAAGGCAGACGGATCTTCTGAGGTCAGGAGTTCAAGACCAGCCTGGCCAACATGGCAAAAACCCATCTCTACTAAAAATACAAAAATTAGCCAGGTTTGTTGGTGGACGCTTGTAATTCCAGCTACTTCGGCGGCTGAGGCAGGAGAATCGCTTGAATCCGGGAGGGAGAAGTTGCAGTGAGCCAAATGGTGCCACTGTACTCCAGCCTGGGTGACAGAGCAAGACTCCATCTGAAAAAAAAGAAAAAAAAGAAAAAATGATATTTGGGTAGGGACAGTGACAAACTATATCACCCACCAATTAAAACTTCCCTTGGAAACCTGCTTAGATAATGCCCTTAGCCCCCAAAAAAGGCTTCAACTCACAGGTCTTTCTGCCTTTCTTACTCTCTACCTGATGGTTGAATGTGTGTGCTATATGGCTTCCCATTTCCTATTGTCCCTGCAAGACTTGCCCTTTTTTCTCTGGATCTGTAAGTAATAAACTGCTTCTGTTATTTCATGTGTTTTCTTGAGTTGCCTCCTCTGTGGCTCACCTGAGCAACACACCAAAACCTATCTTCTTTCCTAGTCAGAGTGCTCCTAGAGAGTGGCTATGGTAGAAATAAACTGGACACAAGTCAGACAAGAACCACGAAAATGTCTGCCCATATAAATGAGTTTCCTGTGAAAGGGACCAGTGATCACAAATTGGATACTTAAATATTAGAATGTATACAGGGATAAAGAAGCATTCTGTGAAAGGCACATTGTCATAGGTACAACCAAATACAAATCCTCTGGAGCCCCATCAGGGCATGGCCAGAGTTGATAGCTAATCTCCTAAAAGAGATCTTGAGACACACACAGGAAAAAAGCACTTTGGCAAAATACAATCATAGCAAGATTATGTTATGTATAGGCATTGGAAGTATGGATTATGATTTTAAAAGTGAGACTGTGGTAGGCCTCAGTAAGAAGAGCACATGTGAGCTAGTGAGTAGAGGTAAAAGCATTTGTTATAAAGATATCTGGGGAGACAACCAGTACAAATGCCGTAAAGTGAAAGTGTGGCTGGCATGTTCCAGGAATTTCAAGAAATACTCCTCCCTCCGTGCCCTCTGTGATATGAAGGCCATGAGTTATCGGGAGAGCAGAAGATGAGGTTAGAGAAGAATTAGAGGCCCAACCACACAGAGGGACTTGTACCAATGTAAGGATATTGTGTTGTTACTTTTAGTTACATGGAAACCTATAAGCAGGATTTTGAGCAGATAAGTGACATGATTTCACATATGATTAAAGAATCACTCCAGCTGCTCTGCTACAAATAGACAGCATGGGGGCAAAGATAGAGCACAGAGACAGTGAGGAAGCCACTGCAGAAGTCTAGACTAGTAATGATAGAGGCTTGGGTTAGAATGATGAGTAGTGAGATATCAATGAGATAGTTAGAAGTAGTCAGAGTCTGTTTACATTTTAAAGGCAGAGACAGAAATGTTTCTGAGTGTCTGATGTGAAGGAAAAATATACTTAAGTATAACATCACATGCCATTTGTGTCTGAAGGCATGAAAAGCTGAAATTGTCATCAACTGAATTGGAAAAGGTGGTAGGTGAAGTAGATTTTGGGAGAGATAGGAAGGATTCAGTATTAGATATGTGGAATTTGAAATGTCTATAAGACACTCTAGTTGAGAAGTTGAGTAAGTAGTTTGATTAATCTGTATTTTCAAGAGAGAGGTCCGTATTGGAGATGGTATTTGGAATTCATTGGCACATAAGCCATTTGATTGAATGAGATAACCAATGAGATAACCACTGCAGTGGAGAAGTAGAGGAGAGATTTGAGGATTGGCTCTTGGAAGTCAATATTATTGTGTAAGATATAAAAGAAGAAAAAGAAAGAAGACAAGAGTTAGGAAAGCAAAGAAGAAGAGTAATATCCTGGAGGCAAAATGAGAAAAGTGTATCAAGAAGGAGATAAAGGTGGGCTGCATTATATGGTTCTGATGGGCAGTGTAAAATCAAATATTAGATTTAGCAAGGTAGAGGTCAATGATTACACCAAGAGCACTTTTGCTAGAGTGGGGATAACTGTATGATCAGTGTAGCTTCATGATAGGATATGTAAAGGAAATTTGGGAATAGTGTATCTACACAACTCTTTCAGGGAGGTTTACTGAAAAGGGAAACAGAGAAGTAGATTGGTACTTAGTAAAGGAAATAGGATCAGGTCAAGATAAATTACATTTTTAAATGAGAGAAATTTCAGTTCATTATTATGCTGATGACAATGACCTGATGGGATTGTTAATTTTATGTATCAACTTGGTGAGTGTATTGTCCACAGTTGCTTGGTCAAATACCAGTCTAGAGGCTGTTGTTAAGGTATGTTTTAGGCGTGGTTAATATTTAAATCAGTAAATTTGTATTAAAGCAGATTACCCTCCGTAAGTGGGGTGGACCTTCTCCAATCAGCTGAAGGCCTTAAGAGAAAAAATCACTGAGGTTCCACTAAGGGAAAATAATTCTGACTTTAGATTGGCCTTCAGACTGAAGACTCCAGCATCAACTCTCCCCTGATCTCCAGCCTGCTGCTCTTCAGCATTCACACTTGCCAGTCCCCACAATGGTGGGAGCCAATATGGGGGATACTGGCATTCAGTTTAACACCCTGCTCTACAGTGATTAAGGAGCAGTTAGAGGATGTGGTATAGATACCATACATGCATAGATTTAGTGACTGGAATCTGTAAGTTTGCTTTTGGTGGTGGAAGCCACAATTTCATCAGCTGCAACTTAGGAATAGGAAGCATGGAGGTTTGGAGAGAGGAAAGGACGGCTAATAATTAAGATTTAATGTGCTAAGGATATTTAGTATGGTTGCTAAAATGCATTAAGTTTCCACTTGAAGTTCACGTCAAAAATCTTCAGTGAAACCTGTCAATCTGGTTGTGTATTTTTCTCCATTCATGTCAAACCCCATGGGTGCAGATAAAAAACAGCTGGAGAGTTAGATTTAATCAGAGTGTGGTTTTGTCATTCAAGTAAAAAGAAACAAGAGAGACCATGGGAATCAAGTGTGTGATCATGGATTTCAACTGGGTAAAAAAGGGGGCAAAGACTTTAGAGGATAAAGAACAGTGAAATAACAGAATTAAAGGATTTATGATTCTTGGGGTCTGGGTTAGATAGTGAACAGTAAATACAGGAAACCAGATAATGTTATGTCTTTTCACAAAGGGACCGTATTTTTTAAAAACAGAGTGTTCTTTTAAACCAGTACTCCTCATGAAATAATGAGAAAGAAAGTCTTAAAAAGAAATTTCTACAAAAAAAAATTCTATAGTGATACAAGGATTGCCACCATGTCCAATTGTAGGCCCTAGAAAACTAGTCTGAACCATATAAATACTATTTTTTATTTGTACTACAATGTAAGTAATTCTGGTCCAGGTGTCCCAATCATGTAGACGGGCCAGAGGCACTGGATCACGGAAATATGTGCCCACATGTTTAGAGCAAATTGCTTTGTTACTTGGCAGGAATCAATAAGGAAAGCTGGAATATTCTTTTTTCTCACAGCTATGTCATTTCTATATTGCCTGACCTAAAGGAAAAGAAAAAAAAGGGCCAATGTCTTCATTACAAGATAGACTCCTGAGAATGCTTATTCCAGCAAAGAAGAAGATCTTCCTAAAAAACAAGGTCTAACCAATGTTTTTAATATCATTATTTTTTTTTTGGCTTGGTTGTGGAGTGAAATAAAAAGTCTTGCTCTCTCCTCGTTGTATATTGGGCAATGGGAGATTAAAGAAGGAGAGAAGATTAAAGAAGGATAGGATAAAGAGAATGGGAGATTAAAGGATAGGCACCAAGTCTTCTCACAGGCCTATGAATAGATATAAGGCAGGGTATATATAAAAATATTTTGGACCCTATGTACAATATCTATAAATTATCAGAATTTCAAAACAATGTCTTTTAAGAGACTTTAAAGACATGCAGTTTACACAGTATCAAACCAGTAACAGAATATAAAAATTGTTTGATAAACATTTATAATTCCATAGAACTGTACTGTATCCAAGCAAGGGAATGTGTTGTATGTCAGCCAATGCCAACGAAAGCTAGGGTAAACCTTTGAAACACAGGCAATTCTCTGTGGGACAGTTCAATAATAATTGAACTATTGCACCTTTTCCATCGTGTTTGTAGATGTTTTTAGCTAAATTTTGATCTCAGGTTTAGCTTTGTGTGATTTAAGGTAGCAGTAAAAGTAAATGTCTTGAACCTCTAGGAGTATGGTGAAGATCAAATCACATAACATATATGAACAAAGTAAAACATGAAAATTGTTAATATCCAAATAAAATCTAAGTTTATTAGAACAAGTTATATATATATATACACATATATATGTGTACATACACACACACACACACACACACACACACACACATAGGTTTCCTCAGTTAAACATTGCCTACAATAAGTCAGGAACACAAAATGAAAATCAATATCAATGTCAAAGAACTTTTTAAAAATATAGCTATTATTTCATCAAATAAAATGCTACCTGCTGCCTGCTTTATAAAGTTAACCATTTTTATGTCAATTGACAATTTCAGTGAATTGGATAATCAACACATTTATTTTATCAAAATGTTTAATACGTAACTATTAAAATACATTTATGGATATATGTATTTAAAATTAAGTTGGCTATTGTGTACTTATTCTTTCAATATCATAGACAAGCCTCTACTCACTGTTTGCATACCCTTTTCGCCTTCCTTGCCTCGCCTTGAGAAAGAAGTGAAATATAATATAGTTTGGACAACAGGAATCACAATAGTGCAATGGGCTAAGGATAACCCTTTTTTATTGTCTGGAGCAAGTGGAAAGAAAATGATGAGATGAAATGTTAGCACTGTATGTAAATGGGATAAAACAAAATATGGAAGAGATTCTCTTTTAGCAAACTTACACAAGTGTTCAGAGCTTAGGGAAAACACTAATATGCTTAGCTCCTGAGTTTTGGTGTCAGTGAAATACAGGCATGCATTTTTCTTTCTAAAGTACAATAAATCTTATTCTCGAGAAAGTTCATGCTGTTAAATAGGCTGATTCAGATGCAAGATAAGCACGGGGAGAGATTTTCTTCAAAATTAAAGTTCTATCCTTTATTAAAAACACAGTCCTAGTGACAGAAACATGTTCCAGAAATGTGCTTAGTTATAATTTGAATGGAATTATTTGCACAATTCAAAATTATAATGCTTTAGTTTATCGTAAAGATCATTTATATGTCTAAGGAATTATCTGGAAATATTTCCCATAAAAATACATATTAAAGTAACAGAAAATTATGGTTTATTAGGAAAATTATCTTTTATTATATGAATAGGTGACATTCTTAATGTGTAGGCAGATAATGAAATGTCCTTCAAAACATTGTAAGACAGATGCATTTATTTTTCAGTGATGATAACATGTTTACTATAGTCTTTTATTCATTAATTCAAAACATTTATATTTAATATTTTCTATCTGTTATGTTCTGTATGCAAAGTTTTAAAAACATAATATACAGAACATAACATATAGGTGAGAAATAATGTATAGAAATTATTACAAACAAATTAGAATATTATGAATTCTGAAGAAAATAAAATGTGGAAAAAAACTCAGTTCAGAGTTAGCCAAAAAAAGGAAAACCCTTGTCTTCAAGAGTTTAAATCCTGCAATTCATCTATTTCCAAGTGTATAATGATATTGAAATGTATGTCACATACGATGTAAGAAATGGAGGTAAAAATAATAAATAAATCAGTTGCAATTCTTATGTTACAGTTCTTTTGAAGACATTATAAATAGATACATGTATGTGTGTATTTTATTAAATGAATGTGTGTGTATTTAGATGACAAGTGATGCAATTACTATGGTGAAAAAAGTACAAACTGCTGAATATAAGGCTGAATGGATAATTTAGTCATTATGTGTCGTAAGCAGATTATAAGTCACAGTCTGTAAGAAAAGAAAAAGTAAAACAAGATAGACTCCTGAGAACACTAATTCCAGCAAAGAAGAAGAAGATCTTCCTAAAAAACAAGGTAAAAAACAAGGGGATAAAAAGAAACAAATATATAATTCAGTTTTTGAAAGGGTACATTAGAGAGCTTTGTGAGACCTCAAAGATATATCAGGAGACAAGAAATGTCTCTTGTCAAACATCAAGAGACAAGGTTGTGATAAAGTGCTGGAAGGAAGTTGCTATTCTTTCCATAGTGTTACTCTTTGAAACCAGAGTTAAAAAGTAAAATTGTCTATTTAAAAACTAAATTTTATGACTGGGAACTGTGCCTCATGCCTGTAATCCCAACGCTTTGAGAGGCCAAGACAGGAGAATCGCTTGAAGCCAGGAGTCTGAGACCAGCTTGGACAACAAAGCAAACCCTGTCTCTACTAACAATAAAAAATAAAAATAAAGTAGCCAGGCACGGTGGTGTGCACCTGTAGTCCCAGTTATTTGGGAGGCTGAGGCAGGAGGGATACGTGAGCCCAGGAGTTTGAGGCTTCAGTGAGCTATAATCATGCAACTGCACTCCAGCCCAGGGAAGTGAGACCTCATTTCTAAAAATAAAAAATAATAATAATAAAGAATGAAAACACTATATATTTCACACACACGTATATTACATTTCATAACTATCAAGCACTTGAAATTTAATTACAGAACTGCATTGTGCAACTATGGAAAGACTGGGAGCAAAAAGGGCTCCAGCTTGAGTCCTAAGTTACTCCAAAACTACATGACTATTAAAGAGGGAGCAAGTGGAAAAGGACACCAAGAAAGAAGAAACAAGAAGGGGGAGGGGTAGAGAGAGAGAGAGAAGAAAGAATTGGCAGAAGGAGAAAAGAGAAAGTGCATGAGGAGCTATATCATACAAGAAATAAAAAATGTATTACTAATGAAAGAAATAAATGCTGCCATGAAATCTAGTAAAGTATGGTACAGTGAAATATGTAAAAGTTGCCCTTCACTTTGGTATGGAAATTGATGGTGACTGTAGGAGAAATTTTGGTTGAGTGATAGTAGCAGATCCCAAGTAAGAAGGTGTGTAACAAAATGGACTGGAGTGTAGCAAAATACTGGCTTTATATGAAAACAACTCTTAGAGTCCTATGGCTATGAAGATGGTAGAGTATAAGGCAGTAGCTGTAGGCATTATTTGTAATTAAAGGACGTAACAGGTGTGGTATTCTGAATTCCCACTGAATTCACCAACAATAGACCTGATCAAAACAACATACTGCTTTTAAAATAAAAGTGCTACACATTTTAGAATGCATTTATGGAAATATGTTATCTTTTAAAACTGTATTTGAATATGCATTAACATTTTGTCTTTATTAAGACACAATAACTATTGTGAATTATTTTATTGAGATAGAATTATGTAAGATAAATTTCAATGCAATTAAATTCTTTTTCTATATAACACAAAGAACTTTCGAATCTTAAAATCTTCCATTCCATATACTCTTTTAATTTATTGAGCAAAATGTAAAAACACAGGAATAGCTTTGCATACTCTAGTCATTTTATTCTTCAAAAGATTTAGCAAAGGTTATAAGAGAAATGGAAATTCTAAATATAAGTTAATGTAATATAGTCTGAAGATACACTTTTCTAAATTATCAATAAAAGTGAAATCACACAACAAATATTTATATTGCATTTAAACAAACAAAAGTAGGACAGTTCTATATTTAGAAACATTGAGAATTGTTAAGAAATATTAATTATTAAAGGTAAGTAACATTATCCAATTGTGGGTTTTTTAGTACATGTATATCTTTTCTGTAGATCTGAGTAATAATTTGAAAAGTAAAGTTTAATACACATACAATATAATAGTAATTTTCACCAAATCTATAATATTCTATGTGAGTAAGTGATTAGAATATCCCCAAGCAGCTACAAACGTTCATTTTAAGATGTAATTTAAAATCAATTACTTGAATAAAAGTCAAGTTATGGAACATAATTCCCATTTTACAGGGATACGTTTAAAGAAGCTAGATTGAGTCCCTATATGGCTATTTTTTAACTTCTGATTCATAATTTTTAATAGTCTGTCTTCATAGAATTTCCAGTAAAATAGGTAATCTGTGAATATATGACGCAATGTGAAAATGGGAAAACCAAAACGTCTCTCAGTAAATGAAAGCCAGTGTGTCCAAATGTGTTTTGAAATTTTAAAATGCTATTGTGACCAACTGCAATTCTGAAAATGTCGTAAAACAGATTTATATTAGAAGGGAAAAAGATATAAATTACATACCACTTGAAATAAAATGGTCTTTTTAAACATACTGGGTCATTAGAGAGCAAGCCCCACCCCACAACTTCCACAGTGGTCCCAAGCTTCTCTCTATCCTGTGACTCCAAACTTCATGATATAATAAAGTGAGGAAGTATTCTCCATTCTTTCCAGGATTATCCATCTCTCTTATTCATATTGACTCATGAAAAAATTAATAGGACCACCAAGGCTTTCAAATCAGCTTCATTGTACTAAGAGTTGTGACATATTATCTTACTTGCTTTTTGCAAGACCCCACTTTATTTTACATTTTCTCATTTAAAGACATTTTTCACTTTCCTTCACCACCACCTACTTCAACATAGGCTTGACGTGTGCTATATGTGGATATGTGTGTATTATGTTATATTATGCAGATTGTTCTGGCTATACATTTGATTGCATAAGCGCTATGTATTACAGATCCCATTCCATTGTTAAATTTTTAAAATTTGACGTTGTCCTTAATTTCTACCCATATTGTTTTTAACTGTTCCATAATATTCCACAGTACAAGACTACATTATATGTACCTATTGGCAGAATAATGAACACTTAGAGTGGCCTCTAAATTTTGACTACAATCCTTAACATATCCATGTGTTTCCTTTTTAAACATATATAAAGAAATTTCTGAGATATATTCATAGAAATGTAACCAAAGAATGATAGGGTATACAATACTTAGTTTAATTAAGTTATTTTAAATTTCTTGTCATAATGCTTATACCACTTTATACTATTCTTGGTACATAAAGCTTTCCATTATACCATAATTTCACCGATGCTAGATATTATCTACCTTTATAAACTTTGACAAGCTCTTATAAAATAGTATATAAATTTAAATTGAGTATTTCTCTAGTTACTCAAAAGTATGATCATCCTTTCCTGTATTTGTTGGATTTTCAGATTTCTCAAACTGCCTACTTTGTTCTTAGTGAACTGTCTTTTCGGTGTACTTTCTATAATTTTTTGTTTGTTTTGAAGATCAATATTTTTCTTTCAGAATTAAATATCTGATAATTGTTCTATCTTTACTTCAAGAGGTAAATTATATCCATAAGAACAATTTTCCTCTTCCTGTGATAAAGGGCAATTTATTAAAAAATGACTTTTTAAGTATAGTAATCCCTTCTAAATATATATAAGGCCCAACACATGTGTTATTTGTTTATTTGTTTTGTCATCTTGGGATTATGAAAGCTATAAAATGACTTTAGTGGTTGAATGCAAATCCTTGAAATGTGTTTACTACATATTTATGGCAATATCAAAATATAAGTAGATATGTTACTATAGAGTTTGCAATTAGGAATAGGGGATTTTAAAAGTTAATTAGTTCCAAAGAATTACATATCAACAAAGACATAAAAAGTGGTTAAATGAAAAATGATTTGTGGTGAAACTTTGGAAATAATAAAATTGTAAACAAGTACAAATAAGATAAAAATTATGGAAAATTACAACAAACAAAACAACTCTAGGTATCTATTGATTCCTGAAAACACCTGTTCTTTAAATTCTCATTGTATCAACACTAACCGTATTTTGAAGACCTCATTTTATAGCAAAAAAAAGGATGCATAATAATAATAATGAATACTATCTTTTCTTTTCTAGGATTACTCAAAGTTATTGAGAAGAAATACAGGTAGATGCATCATTACTTGTTTCTCCCTTGACATAGCCAGAATTCCATGCTAGTGAGTTTCTGGTGTAGAGAAGTCAGATCTTTTGTCATAGTAGAGAATATTGACTTAATTATTTTAGCTGTTGCATGATTATCTCTAGTAAGGAAGCACAAGTTTCTTAGAATTCATTTGTCCAATGCCAAAATTCATACAGTGTTAGAATTCAATAGAAAATAGACATCCTGTGAATACTGATTAACTAATGCATTCATTAAATATGTACAAATTTGACTGTATCTCTTTATAAACTTACAGTCTAGCAATAAGTTAATTAGAATGAAAAGCTGAGGTAATTCAAAAAATATATGAAGACCCTAGGCTTTGGGGGCACAAAACTGTGAGGTACCTAATTTGGTTTAGATGAGGTCTCAGGAATAATTAAAAATATTTTCTGAAAGAAGCTGTAACTGAGATTACTTTTAGATGACTAGTAGTAATTAGGTCAGAGAAGGGATTGGAAAGGACATTTTAATATAAAGGGAACTTCATATATGTATTAATCTGTTCTGACACTGCTAATAAAGACATACTGTGAGACTGGATAATCTATAAAGAAAAGAGGTTTAATGGACTCACAGTTTCACATGGCTGGGGAGGCCTCACAATCATGGCAAAAGATAAAAAAAGAGCAAAGGAATGTCTTACATGGCGGCAGGCAAGAAAGAGTACGTGCAGGGGAACTCCTCTTTAAAAAACCATCAGATCTCATGAGACTTTCCACTAACACAAGAACAGCATGGGAAAGACTTGTCCCTCTGATTCAATTACCTTCCACTGGGTCCCTCCCAGGACATGTGGGAATTAGGGGAGCTACAATTTAAGATGAGATTTGGTTGGGGACACAGCTAAATCATATCAATGTAGAAGGCAGAAAGGACAAATTATTGGAACTTAGGCTGTGAAGCAGAAAGAATTGTGACGTGAGTTTAGAAAAAGGATTCAAGTAGTAGAATATATATAGCCCTATACACCATCTTGAAATTTGTTGTGACTTGCTTTATGGGCCAGCATATTGATCAATTCTGGGAAATGTTCTCTGTGTATTTTAAAATATTGTATTAAATATGATTATATTAGTGCATCAGGCTATTTTCATTATATTGTTTTAAATTTTATCGGTTGCTTCTGGGTGTTTTACTTTTTTTTTTTTGTACTCTCTTAGTATATTCGAACTACTGTAACAAAATATCTTAGAGTAACTTAAGAACAACAGATATTTATTGCTCACAATTCAGGAGGCTGGAAAGTCCAAGATCACGGCACTGCAGATACAGTGTTTGGTAAAGGATCTGTCTGCTTCACACATGGTGACTTCTTGTTGTGTTCTTGCATGATGGAAGGGAAAAATAAACTCGCTTTCACTTATTTTATAAAGGCACTAATCTTATTCAAAAAGGTTCCACCCTCATGACCTAATAAACTCCTAAATATGCCACCCTTTAATACTATTGTTTTGGGGTTTGGGCTTCAACACATGAATTTGAGTGGGATACAAACATTCAAACCATAGCATGCACTTTACTATAATGTACTTAAGTATGCTTTAAAAATATGTATTGTCTATCCATGGGGTAATTAAAAATTTTTTAGTTTATGGCTTGATGTTTTTCATAATCTTGGAAAATATAGAGAGCTTGTATAACTTCTAATATTAATTCTATTCCTTAAAACTCTACTCTCTCTGGTCATTCAATGACATGCATTTTACACATTTTCACTTTGTACCGTATGTCTCTTACATTTTTAAGAGGTTTTCTTTCTTCCTCGCTCTCTCCCTCCCTTTCGCCCTTCATACTGTTCTTTCTTTCTTTCTTTTCTTCTCTCTTCTGTGCCTCCTCCTTTTTTAACCATATGTAATCAACAGTCTGAGTATTGTCTAGTGTTCTATTTTCCAGTTCATTAACCTGATATTCTCCTTTGTCTAATATATAGATAAATTATCTATTGAGTATGCCATATTGCTAGTGCTTTATTTTACTTATTATACTCTTCATTTTTAAAATACAAATTTATTTTTTCTATATTTATTATGAGTAGAAATAATCAACTTTTTTTTTACATATTACAGCTTTTAAAGTTTATGTTGTTTACTTTTGACACTGACATTGTTAGTTTTGTTTCTGCCGATTTTCAGATATTTGGTCTTATCTTTTGTCATACTTGGTGCTTGTTTATTCACTTATTTGCTATTCATTTGAATACTGGTCATCTAGAAATGTCAATTTCTTGATAACAATTTGTTTTTTCTTCAAGTGAGGTTTACTGTCTCTTTTGTTAGATAGTTACATAAAGTCACATTATCTTAATCTAAACAGAGCCAGAGTATTCAAGGCTGGGATTAAGGCTTTGTAAAGGATGGCCTATTGCTGATTCACTTGCTTCTAGAGCATAGCACTTCCTGGGTCATAACGGCAATGTAGATTTTATGCTTCCTTCTTGGCAGCCCATGAACTCCAATGTTTGTCTCCAATATAAGACAACAAATATTCTGCTTGGCTTTTTGGTTTCTTAGTTTTCATTCCTTAGCCTTTCATATGAGCTGCTTATAGACTGGGAAATACCTCAAGACACAAATCATTGTTGCATATGCTTTAGCTCACCTCGTGGAACTGGCCTTCTGTCTGAGATTTTGCCCACTAAACCTGGTTGACTTGACAGCTTTGCAGTGACTTCAAATATAAACTGTATTCTTCTTTCTTAGGTATTTCTAATCTTTTTCTTTGGATCTGTTAGTCTATGATAAAGTAATCATCAACAGGAGATAAATTGTATTTATTTCTGACTCATTCAGTTTCAGTAATTCAAATATAAAGCAATGTATCCTAATAAAACCCCAAACCTTTTAATATATATTACATCAACAGAAATAAACACACCAGAAAATACACAAGTCACACACAAATACACACATACACAAGATGGTTTATCCTTTTTCTTTCTTTACCATAATTTTAGCTCTTAATCAAAACATAGCAAAAAAGACAAAAACATACAGATAATACATCAGTATATATGTAGGCATTAGTTACTAATAGAAAGCCAAATATTTGTATATTTTTCAATTCATAAATAATGATTTTAAGGAATACTCTAGTTTAGTATTGTCCATTGAAACATACGGCCAATATATGAGATATTTTAATTTTCTTTCTTTTTTTTTTTTGAGTATTTTATTTTATTTTCAGTAACTTCTATTTATTTATTTATTTATTTATTTATTTATTTATTATTATACTTTAAGTTTTAGGGTACATGTGCACAATGTGCAGGTTAGTTACATATGTATACATGTGCCATGCTGGTGCGCTGCACCCACTAACTCGTCGTCTAGCATTAGGTATATCTCCCAATGCTATCCCTCGCCCCTCCCCCCACCCCACCACAGTCCCCAGAGTGTGATATTCCCCTTCCTGTGTCCATGTGATCTCATTGTTCAATTCCCACCTATGAGTGAGAATATGCGGTGTTTGGTTTTTTGTTCTTGCGATAGTTTACTGAGAATGATGATTTCCAGTTTCATCCATGTGCCTACAAAGGACATGAACTCATCATTTTTATGGCTGCATAGTATTCCATGGTGTATATGTGCCACATTTTCTTAATCCAGTCTATCATTGTTGGACATTTGGGTTGGTTCCAAGTCTTTGCTATTGTGAATAATGCCGCATAAACATACGTGTGCGTGTATCTTTATAGCAGCACGATTTATAGTCCATTGGGTATATACCCAGTAATGGGATGGCTGGGTCAAATGGTATTTCCAGTTCTAGATCCCTGAGGAATTGCCACACTGACTTCCACAATGGTTGAACTAGTTTACAGTCCCACCAACAGTGTAAAAGTGTTCCTATTTCTCCACATCCTCTCCAGCACCTGTTGTTTCCTAACTTTTTAATGATTACCATTCTAACTGGTGTGAGATGGTATCTCATTGTGGTTTTGATTTGCATTTCTCTGATGGCCAGTGATGATGAACATTTTTTCATGTGTTTTTTGGCTGCATAAATGTCTTCTTTTGAGAAGTGTCTGTTCATGTCCTTCGCCCACTTTTTGATGGGGTTGTTTGTTTTTTTCTTGTAAATCTCTTTGCGTTCATTGTAGATTCTGGATATTAGCCCTTTGTCAGATGAGTAGGTTGCGAAAATTTTCTCCCATTTTGTAGGTTGCCTGTTCACTCTGATGGCAGTTTCTTTTGCTGTGCAGAAGCTCTTTAGTTTAATTAGATCCCATTTGTCAATTTTGTCTTTTGTTGCCATTGCTTTTGGTGTTTTAGACATGAAGTCCTTGCCCATGCCTATGTCCTGAATGGTAATGCCTAGGTTTTCTTCTAGGGTTTTTATGGTTTTAGGTCTATCGTTTAAGTCTTTAATCCATCTTGAATTGATTTTTGTATAAGGTGTAAGGAAGGGATCCAGTTTCAGCTTTCTACATATGGCTAGCCAGTTTTCCCAGCACCATTTATTAAATAGGGAATCCTTTCCCCATTGCTTGTTTTTCTCAGGTTTGTCAAAGATCAGATGGTTGTAGATATGTGGCATCATTTCTGAGGGCTCTGTTCTGTTCCATTGATCTATATCTCTGTTTTGGTACCAGTACCATGCTGTTTTGGTTACTGTAGCCTGGTAGTATAGTTTGAAGTCAGGTAGCATGATGCCTCCAGCTTTGTTCTTTTGGCTTAGGATTGACTTGGCAATGCAGGCTCTTTTTGGTTCCATATGAACTTTAAAGTAGTTTTTTCCAATTCTGTGAAGAAAGTCATAGGTAGCTTGATGGGGATGGCATTGAATCTGTAAATTACCTTGGGCAGTATGGCCATTTTCACGATATTGAGTCTTCCTACCCGTGAGCATGGAATGTTCTTCCATTTGTTTGCATCCTCTTTTATTTCATTGAGCAGTGGTTTGTAGTTCTCCTTGAAGAGGTCCTTCACATCCCTTGTAAGTTAGATTCCTAGGTATTTTATTCTCTTTGAAGCAATTGTGAATGGGAGTTCACTCATGATTTGGCTCTCTGTTTGTCTGTTGTTGGTGTATAAGAATGCTTGTGATTTTTGTACATTGATTTTGTATCCTGAGACTTTGCTGAAGTTGCTTATCAGCTTAAGGAGATTTTGGGCTGAGACAATGGGGTAGATATACAATCATGTCGTTTACAAACAGGAACAATTTGACTTCCTCTTTTCCTAACTGAATACCCTTTATTTCCTTCTCTTGCCTAATTGCCCTGGCCAGACCTTCCAACACTATGTTGAATAGGAGTGGTGAGAGAGGGCATCCCTGTCTTGTGCCAGTTTTCAAAGGGAATGCTTCCAGTTTTTGCCCATTCAGTATGATATTGGCTGTGGGTTTGTCATAGATAGCTCTTATTATTTTGAGATACATCCCATCAACACCTAATTTATTGAAAGTTTTTAGCATGAAGGGTTGTTGAATTTTGTCAAAGGCTTTTTCTGCATCTATTGAGATAATCATGTGGTTTTTTTTCTTTGGCTCTGTTTATATGCTGGATTACATTTATTGATTTGCGTATATTGAACCAGCCTTGCATCCCAGGGATGAAGCCCACTTGACCATGGTGGATAAGCTTTTTGATGTGCTGCTGGATTCGTTTTGCCAGTATTTTATTGAGGATTTTTGCATCAATGTTCATCAAGGATATTGGTCTAAAATTCTCTTTGTTCATTTTGTCTCTGCCCGGCTTTGGTATCAGGATGATGCTGGCCTCATAAAATGAGTTAGGGAGGATTCCCTCTTTTTCTGTTGATTGGAATAGTTTCAGAAGGAATGGGACCAGTTCCTCCTTGTACCTCTGGTAGAATTTGGCTGTGAATTCATCTGGTCCTGGACTCTTTTTGGTTGGTAAACTATTGATTATTGCCACAATTTCAGATCCTCTTATTGGTCTATTCAGAGATTCAACTTCTCCCTGGTTTAGTCTTGGGAGAGTGTATGTGTCGAGGAACTTATCCATTTCTTCTAGATTTTCTAGTTTATTTGCGTAGAGGTGTTTGTAGTATTCTCTGATGGTAGTTTGTATTTCTGTGGGATCGGTGGTGATATCCCCTTTATCATTTTTTTTGCGTCTATTTGATTCTTCTCTCTTTTTTTCTTTATTAGTCTTGCTAGCGGTCTATCAATTTTGTTGATCCTTTCAAAAAACCAGCTCCTGGATTCATTAATTTTTTGAAGGGTTTTTTGTGTCTCTATTTCCTTCAGTTCTGCTCTGATTTTAGTTATTTCTTGCCTTCTGCTAGCTTTTGAATGTGTTTGCTCTTGCTTTTCTAGTTCTTTTAATTGTGATGTTAGGGTGTCAATTTTGGATCTTTCCTGCTTTCTCTTGTGGGCATTTAGTGCTATAAATTTTCCTCTACACACTACTTTGAATGCGTCCCAGAGATTCTGGTATGTTGTGTCTTTGTTCTCGTTGGTTTCAAAGAACATCTTTATTTCTGCCTTCATTTCGTTATGTATCCAGTAGTCATTCAGGAGCAGTTTGTTCAGTTTCCATGTAGTTGAGTGGTTTTGAGTGAGATTCTTAATCCTGAGTTCTAGTTTGATTGCACTGTGGTCTGAGAGATAGTTTGTTATAATCTCTGTTCTTTTACATTTGCTGAGGAGAGCTTTACTTCCAAGTATGTGGTCAATTTTGGAATAGGTGTGGTGTGGTGCTGAAAAAAATGTATATTCTGTTGATTTGGGGTGGAGAGTTCTGTAGATGTCTATTAGGTCCACTTGGTGCAGAGCTGAGTTCAATTCCTGGGTATCCTTGTTGACTTTCTGTCTCGTTGATCTGTCTAATGTTGACAGTGGGGTGTTATAGTCTTCCATTATTAATGTGTGGGAGTCTAAGTCTCTTTGTAGGTCACTAAGCACTTGCTTTATGAATCTGGGTGCTCCTGTATTGGGTGCATATATATTTAGGATAGTTAGCTCTTCTTGTTGAATTGATCCCTTTACCATTATGTAATGGCCTTCTTTGTCTCTTTTGATCTTTGTTGGTTGAAAGTCTGTTTTATCAGAGACTAGGATTGCAACCCCTGCCTTTTTTTGTTTTCCATTTGCATGGTAGATCTTCCTCCATCCTTTTATTTTGAGCCTATGTGTGTCTCTGCATGTGAGATGGGTTTCCTGAATACAGCACACTGATGGGTCTTGACTCTTTATCCAATTTGTCAGTCTGTGTCTTTTAATTTGAGCATTTAGTCCATTTACATTTAAAGTTAATATTGTTATGTGTGAATTTGCTCCTGTCATTGTGATGTTAGCTGGTTATTTTGCTCGTTAGTTGATGCAGTTTCTTCCTATATGGTCTTTACATTTTGGCATGATTTTGCAGCAGCTGGTACCAGTTGTTCCTTTCCATGTTTAGTGCTTCCTTCAGGAGCTCTTTTAGGGCAGGCCTGCTGGTGACAAAATCTCTCAGCATTTGCTTGTCTGTAAAGTATTTTATTTCTCCTTCGCTTATGAAGCTTAGTTTGGCTGGATATGAAATTCTGGGTTGAAAATTCTTTTCTTTAAGAATGTTGAATATTGGCCCCCACTCTCTTCTGGCTTGTAGGGTTTCTGCTGAGAGATCCGCTGTTAGTCTGATGGGCTTCCCTTTGAGGGTAACCCGACCTTTCTCTCTGGCTGCCCTTAACATTTTTTCCTTCATTTCAACTTTGGTGAATCTGACAATTATGTGTCTTGGAGTTGCTCTTCTCGAGGAGTATCTTTGTGGCGTTCTCTGTATTTCCTGAATCTGAACGTTGGCCTGCCTTGCTAGATTGGGGAAGTTCTCCTGGATAATATCCTGCAGAGTGTTTTCCAACTTGGTTCCATTCTCCCCATCACTTTCAGGTACACCAATCAGACGTAGATTTGGTCTTTTCACATAGTCCCATATAAGAAATATGTCCTTTCTGTTTGTTAGTTTTCCTTCTAACAGACAGGACCCTCAGCTGCAGGTCTGTTGGAATACTCTGCCGTGTGAGGTGTCAGTGTGCCCCTGCTGGGGGGTGCCTCCCAGTTAGGCTGCTCGGGGGTCGGGGGTCAGGGGTCAGGGACCCACTTGAGGAGGCAGTCTGCCCGTTCTCAGATCTCCAGCTGCGTGCTGGGAGAACCACTGCTCTCTTCAAAGCTGTCAGACAGGGACATTTAAGTCTGCAGAGGTTACTGCTATCTTTTTGTTTGTCTGTGCCCTGACCCCAGAGGTGGAGCCTAGAGAGGCAGGCAGGCCTCCTTGAGCCGTGGTGGGCTCCACCCAGTTCGAGCTTCCCGGCTGCTTTGTTTACCTAAGCAAGCCTGGGCAATGGCAGGCGCCCCTCCCCCAGCCTCGCTGCCGCCTTGCAGTTTAATCTCAGACTGCTGTGCTAGCAATCAGCGAGACTCCATGGGCGTAGGACCCTCCCAGCCAGGTGCAGGATATAATCTCGTGGTGCGACATTGTTTAAGCTGGTCGGAAAAGCGCAGTATTCGGGTGGGATTGACCTGATTTTCCAGGTGCGTCCGTCACCCCTTTCTTTGACTCGGAAAGGGAACTCCCTGACCCCTTGCGCTCCCAAGTGAGGCAATGCCTCACCCTGCTTCGGCTCGCACACGATGAGTGCACCCACTGACCTGCGCCCACTGTCTGGCACTCCCTAGTGAGATGAACCCGGTACCTCAGATGGAAATGCAGAAATCACCCGTCTTCTGCGTCGCTCACGCTGGGAGCTGTAGACCGGAGCTGTTCCTACTCGGCCATCTTGGCTCCCTGATATTTTAATTTTCTAGTAGTCACATTAAAAAAGTAAACAGAGGTTAAATGTATTTTAATTATATATTTTATTTAAACCTGTGTCTCTAAAGCATTACATCAACATATAATCAATATTTGAAAAGAATTAATGGGATGTACTACATGCTTTTTTGTCCAAACTGTCTTCAGAATTCAGTGTATATTTTTCAGTGTATTTGGTGTATTCAATGCTTATAGCACATCTCATTTCAGACTACCCATATTCCAACTTCTCATTAGTCACATGTGGTTAACAGCCATCATATTGAAAAGTAGAATTCTAGTTTCATTTTAATATTATCTTTATAATTAGCAAGTGAGTCTGAAAATCAGGAAGGTAGATGTATCTCTTGAATTTTATCTAGATAATCTTTGTAATATAATTGATGAGAAAAAAACAAATACAAATCAAGAGAGGGGAACTTCAATTAATGTCAAGATATACTATATATAACTGTTTAATCTATTCTCTTCCGTATTACTTATCTTTATTAGAATTAAGATGTATTGGTAGTTTTCGCTGAGTTCATCCTATTTATACATATAGATTTCCTTGCAGTTCAGTTTTCCTGTTAAACTGTGTTTATTTTATTAAATTAATTATCCTGTAAAATAATAGAGAATTATAATTACAATGTAATTGAATATTAGTGGTTTAAATAAAGCCCGTTATTAATTTTGCCAAGGAGATAAGTTTCTACACCACATAATTCTAAAATTATTGTAAAATTTAGAGGAACATGGGACCCTATATATTTCAAAGTCAGAATATTGGTATAGGGAGAGTAGATTATTCACTTATTTCATTTATAAAAATGAAAAGATTTGTTTTCTCAAGTTATCTCTGTGAAATATTTTTGTTAATATGTTCCAGAAAAGTTTGTTTGTTTATTTATTTACTAATTTTTTCTGAGTAGGTTCTGGTGGACAATTTCCAGTCTGGAGTCTGCATTTGGAGAGATTCTACAGCACATGCATGAATGGTAATAATCTTTTATTACAAAGTGGTTTCCAAAATGATCAGAGAAAGCAATACAATTCTAATTTCATTCCAAAAATGTCATTTGTTTTGGTACATTTGAATCATATAATCTATGCTTTATTTTATGCAGTGCCAGCAACAGCTTCTGCTAAACTACATAATCAATTTTTTCCGAGACATTCAGCTCTTCTAAACCAGTAAATTTTTATGAAAGGTGGGGTTTGGGGAGAAGTAGAATAGAAGGGTTTGAAAAATATTAAAGCATGTAATCGTCTAATTTATGTTGCCATTAATGACAGCCAAGGGTCAGAGTGCTAGGTTTATTACCTTTTAAGCACAAATTAATAGTTGATAAAAGTAGGAACGTGTTATGGAACATACAAGTGATTGTAACACCTACAAACATTGAAATACTAGGGCTAAAGCTGTTCTTGCTTGTGGGTTCCTAGGTTTATTAAATCATAGAAAATGAGTTTTATGAACAATCATCCAGATGGGAAAGTGTTCACATGTCACACAACATTTCACATATTTATGTGAAAAGCAATCTGTAACCACGTGCATATTAGAAATGAGAAAATGAATCTTCACATATGCAGGGGATGCCGTTAGGTACACAGCTGTATGAATTTGATGTTTTCCTGCCAGTGGATTTACCTGCTGCCACATAACTTTTGGGAAGTCAGGGTGTGTCAACCTACATAACAGAAAAAGTCTCTTTAAAAGAAAAAGGTAGTTATTTGGGACTAGAGCATTGACATGAGAATACATGTGCCGCAGTAAATTTATGTGCATATTCAGAAAGGTGAAAGAAGAAAAAGGTTTTTAAAGAAAAAAACAAGGATAATTACATAATTGTTTTGAGATAATTATCCATGGCTGCAAAGATAAATAACAAGAATGATTCCAGTTCCAGTATGAACAGGGAGTTGCTGGGCAGATGTCCTTGCAGAAGAATTTTGTGTGTAAGTTCGTGATGGTCTTTGTGCAAAGCTGTGGTTTTTGCAGAGGCCATTGTGATAGGTTTTGTTATCAGGCATACAGGCATGAGAACTTTCTCTTCATGGCCTTCCCTGCCTTTATTTGGCAGGGAATTTTTTTTTTTTTTTTTAACAGTAGTGACTCCATTTTGATTCTGACAACTTTCACAGTAGTGATTAATCTTTACAAGAAATTAAATTCCTAGGCATAAAGTGCTTTTCTTTGAAATCCACATTTAAGACTAACCTTCACATTTATAGTTTAACAAAAAAAGGAAATTAATTTTACATTACGCATGATTCTCATATCCAGAAATACAAAGATGTCACAGAATCACATATTTAGCTTCTCCTCTCCCTTTTCCCTTTATCTGACCATCTCTCTGTCCCCTTTTCCTCCCACCCCTTCTCATCTCCCTTTTTCTGTTCCTCCCCTTTCAGAATTTAATGAACACCCAATTGATTCACTTACGTGATTAATTGCCAGATGCAAAAATGTATAAGAGATAGCAAACAAATTTACTTTCTTCTTTTATTTTACAGTGAGAGAAAATTCTGATAGAATATATATATGCATGTTTTATATACTTATTTACACATTTGTATAATTTTAACTGCTTAACTCTTGAATTTCTTAAGATCAGAGTTTCTTCTTTGACTTAGTGCCCATGGGACTTGGAATTCTTCCTGGACTATAATAAACTTTTAAAAACTACTCAAATAAAATTGAACCCACTAAGTCCAATTGAATTCCACTACAGATCTTTAGAAAATCAATTACCATTAAAGTATAAAATGTATTATTTGCTCATGGACTGCCTTTCATAGTTTCCCCATAGAAATTATATTCCATTAATGCAAAATTGTACACATGACATTATATCACAATATGTTATAATAATTTCTGAGTAAATCTTGAAACGAATTGTCTAGCATTACTTTTAATATCTTTTACATTTTGAATTCTCAGGATCATTCTGAGCTACTTTACAATATGGCTAAATTTATTTATAATCACGCAGATAATCCACCATCCTTTCTTAGCCTTTTTATAAAAATTAAAGCACTAAGTATTTCCCTGCTTGGTGGCCCCGTTCAACTAATTCCTGAACAAAACAAAATCCCATCAGGATATTCTTTTTAGCCCATAAACTGAACATTATAAAGTTTGAAGTTTGGTAGCTGTAACAAGATGGTATGTTTGAAACTTGAATTTGAATTTGTGTAATAAGTTGCCAATTATGAAATGAAGAAAAGTTATTTTGGCAAAAATTGCAGAATACAAATCATTGCAATGACTAAAAATGGTTTAGCTTACCTTCTTTGTAACCCTGCTAGCTTACTGACAATGTAAATCTTTACATGTAATTGATATTCACTCATCTACTGTCTCCATACAGAATAATATGATAGATATTTAATATGTCATTTTACATATTTCCAACATGCATTGATTCATTTATTAAAAATAGAAGAAGAAAGACTAGCACAGGATGAATTAGAAATATTACTGACTTAGGAGTTATTGTTCAGTTCTTTATATTCTTCTATATCTGAATTCTGTTACTGAGCCCTAACTGCCTTTTATCTTGTTTCTTCTCCACAAGTAACTAGAGGCTAACGACTTACTTGTTGCCTTTTCCAAATTCTGATGTTTTCTGTTTCTCACTTGCGTTTTCCATATTCTTATGTCTCTGTTTCTCCCTAAAATTGATTATACTCTCTCACCATGTCTGATAACGTTTTATGCCTTACTTAACTAGACCTACTGATATCACACTATAGGAATAGCTTTCATTCATTTTGGGAGGCTGAGGCAGGCGGATCACCTGAGGTCATGAGTTTGAGACCAACCTGACCAACATGGAGAAACACCATTTCTACTAAAAATACAAAATTAGCCGGGCGTGGTGGCGTATGCCTGTAATCCCAGCTACTTGGGAGGCTGAGGCAGGAGAATCACTTGAACCTGGGAGGCAGAGGTTGTGGTGAGCTGAGATGGCACCATTGCACTCCAGCCTGGGCAACAAGGGCGAAACTCCATCTCAAAAATGAGAAGAAATAAAAAAAAGAAGAAGAAAAAGAAATAGACTTCATTCTTTTGAGAACCAGATAACCCTAGTTTTGTGTTATAAATTTACCACTCACTGGAAAATGTTATTTAATTTGTCCGTGTCTCAGTTTCCAAAGATGTAAAATGATAGTATATTTTTAGAGGTGGTTGAAAATCAGGTTCTGATATAAAAGACAGGACAACATTTAGGCTAGAAAACTTGTTGCAATCCTTCTTTGAGAATTCATTTCATCTCTCTTCTTTAACCCTTCTGAGAGATCTGTTTTGTGGCAGGCTGGACCAGGACCTCCATAATCATATGGCCTATTTAGCTATAAATTGATGATTGTGATAATTGAAGATAATGTTTATACTTTTCCCAAATCTAGCCTCAAAATAAAAAAAAGGAGAGTATTTTTTACATTTTATAAGCTGTTAGCATGTTAAAGAAAATTACAGTGACAAATTAGCAATTTTAGCTCATTCAGTCTCACTGGAACACAGCACCATCTAAATAAGTAAGAATTATATTTGTATGTTACATTAACATATTTCACTATTTAATTTAAAAATGTATATTTCCATGAATTTGCTAGTAATATTTTGGCAAATAGAGCTTTACAAAGGAATATATGACTTATATATTAATAAACCACTTACATATAATTTGGTATTTTTAAATGCAACTTTTCTGATGTATTTTAAGCATACTTGTTGCAATTCTAGTTTAAAAGTCTTATTTGTTTTATTATTTTTCATACGAGAGAGCACAGCTGGATTTTACATTTTGTTCAAATAATATTTATTTTAAATGAAACTAGTCTAAATGATTTTTTTCTGTAGTATCCCCAAAACATTGCTTATTTAAACATTTCAAAATGCAAAAATAAAATTAACATCTATTAAGTTACTTAACCATCTCAATATGAAAGTGAGCCATACTGGGAATTATTATCATATCCAAAAATCTTTCATTGCTATTCTTGATCAAACACAACCTACAAACGTTCCTGAGCCCAAGGTTACAAATAATGTGGTTATAAATAATGCTGCTACCCTGTTGGAAGAATAGTCCCGTGTATTTTCACACAGCCTTTGCTTTCCTTAGAATAATGAGAATAGAAAATATAAAATACTTTTATTAAATTTTATAATTTGCTGATGCTATTTGATTCTTACACAGTCACACATAATTAGAGAAACAAATTTATCATGCTCATTAATACAAAAAGAAACTAATACACTTACCCATAGGGACTGCACCCCTACGAGATGCATCCGTCCCAAAGCTTATTTTGTGCTACCAGAAAAATATCTGAATACCTTAAATAGCTATGATTCGACGTGGCTATGTAGTTCATTTTGTCATTTACACCTTTGGCATATATTGTTTCTCTAGTGCTACTTTAATATCATTAACGGAGAGAAAAAGAGATACCTACTAAGTGTCATAACATTGACATAAATATTTACCTTATATATCCCTGCATATACTCTGTAGTGTTCAGAGGTTTATTGCATTCATTTTTGAATTGCACACTGTCATTACCAGACACATTTTCTCTAGATACAACTCGAACTGCTTTGTTTTTGTCTTTTGGGATATTAAATCATGACTGACACCTATTCTACATTATTTTTCTCCCTTTTCTGTAGTAAAAGACTAAATCCTTAGTCACAGAGTAGTGTTACATATGACTCAGGCCAAATCAATTCTGTTTGCCATTCTTGTTCACAGAGATTGTTCAAGGAATAAATATGTAGTTCTTAAGCCAGAGCAATAAGAAACTGTTTTCATATATTTTGCTTCTATGTTTGTTCTGTTTTCTATGAAGAGCAGATAAGGAAAACCTCTTTTTTCTCTCTAGGACACTCTTAGAAACAGAAGCACATATGTGTTTGCAACCATAGCTTCAGTTATGTAAAGAAAACTGCCCTGAGAAAATGAAGTAAAAACACAAGGAAATCAGAGAGGAGATATGGAAAGAGATGAGACCAGAAGAGATTGTGATCAATTTTGTAATTCTAATCATCTATTTATGTTATACACATTTCTAACTGGCTTACAGATCTTTTATGAAGTCATTGAATTCCACGTGTTTTTACCTAAGCTAATCTGCTGAGTAAGTGCTAGCTACTGCAATGCTTAACTAACAGTATTATGATGTATACTAGGGTTACATATTTAGATCATTTTCAGATGCCCCCCCTCCCAAATTAATACCAGCCCCCCTGAAAGTTCTGAACCAAATGAAGGAAAAAACAAAAGCAGATAGAGAAATAACTATTGTTGCTGTGGTTAATATTAGAAAATATTAGCTTGGGTGTTTGGCAACAGGGCTTTGATACCGCACTCTATAATTGGATAGACTTATCCTCTTGATCAGGGCTGTACTAGACCTTTACCTCTTTCTGCAGTAGAGCCTGTCTGTGTAAAAGCTACAATGTAGACTAAGAAAGAAAAACATGTGTCCCAGAGAGTAGCCTAACTGCAGATAGACATAAAGTTTAGGTTTAAACCTAGATCTAGCTGCATAGATTTAGCAAGAGACTTGCCAATTTCTCTTCCAAATACTCCATTAAGGCAGTTAATTTCTTCTGCCAGAGAAAGAGGGTGAAGGTGAAAAGAAGACCTAAGTGTTACCTTGTTGGATGCTGCTCTGCATGGAAGAAAACATTAGGACTGGTAAAGAGGCTCTCCTCCTAACACACGTAAATACAGCTACATGAAATTTTTAATTAAAAAATATATTTGGTGTTACTATATACAGCATTTTAGAAAAAGAAAATCTAAAATGGAAGGCAATATGTTTAAAAGAAAGCTTGCTGTCATGTCAAACATGACATTTTCTTTTTTATAAAATACTGCTTTGTAGCCTCTGTGTTCAGTATAACTGGCTTCATAAGAATGTTTTTGCATCCTAATTTTAAAATAATTGAAACATGAATTTCGGATAGAAAGGAACAAATTTCAATAGAAAAACCAATATATGCCTTTTATAATCTAATTGGTAGGTTGTGAACAAATACTACCTCAGGAATATTGGGACTCTAGCCTTTCAATTTCTGGTAATCTTCAGTCATACAGCCTCTTCTCCACTACAAAGAAGTCATATTTCCATTTTATATTCCATAATTTTTCTCTTTGCTCACATATACTTAGAATTACAGAATTAATCTAAATGAGGATAAGAAAGATTTTATTGCTGTGAATTCAGTTTTATAAGACACTGCTAATATAAGACAGTGTCTTAGATTCCCAGGACTCAAAAGAATGGTCACTGTTGCATTTTCAACGGCAAATAGGAGGAATGTATTCACTTTGTCCTTTTGTATTTGCCCCATTAGTTTTTCTAATGAATAATTAGTAATCCATTGTATTAATTATTCAACATGAATACATTCAATACAATGTGAAGTTTTGTGAGAGTTGGCAAGTGCAAAACTGAGTCAGCAAGGTAAAATAATTCCCATAAATTTATCCTATGTCTAACAACCTTTAGGTAACATTTATTAGACATATAATCTCATAGATTCTGAAGAATATGTCTACATTACAATTTAAGAAACAATACATTGAAAATTATATTCTTTCACTTTTGATGATCACTCAGCAGCAAAACAATGGAAAACACACATAGATATGACCAAAGTGTCAAGGTAGTAAGAAGTTAAAGCTATGTACAAATCACCTGCGGATTATTTGTGAAATATGGGATCAAATAAATAGATATTTTAACTATGATGTGGGTGCTAAAATTTTAAGCAAATAATTCCTAAGTGGGTAACTAACATAGACAAGGTACCTAAGCTGATGAGACAGTTTAAAGAAAACATTTCCTTATCTTCATATTGGCCCTGAATGTTGCAGTATTTAAAATTACGTTCCCAAGACAGAACTTCTATCTGAATTATAAGTAAAAGTCACCAATGAAAAGTCTTCAGATGAATTTTCCATGTGATTGTCTCCATCCTTACTTGCTACATATGTCGGATATATTGTTGATAATTGTATATTTCAGTCAACTCTATTTACTGGACATATGATGAGAAAACATATACAGCAAATTCATTGTAAATCTTAACTCTTTGACTGAATAAAGATTTCTTTTAAGGAACAATTGAACCATCAAATTAAACAGCTTACCAAAACTAAAAACAAATATTTAAATGTGATTTTAATGCAACAGCTTGATATAGCCTACTTTTAAATTACCATTACTCTTTGAAATATCAACCAGTGTAGTCCAATGATATTTATAGAAATAAGATATAAGAGTAGCTTAAAAGATTTAGAGAATCACAGTTCAGAAATTAGGCATGGTTAAGACATAGTCTATGACCACTAAGTAGCTCAGATAGCGATATTTACTGAAACTTTCCAAGATTTTTCTTACAATGAAGTATTTTCTAAAATCTTCATACTTCTTTCTAAAAAATGAAATAAACAAACATGAGCCATTTTTTGTTATATGAACTCTTAAAGAGTAATTCCATCTACTATTTACTGTCTCATTCAAAAGCTATTCTCTTATGAAGTGCTTGAAATCTTTTGTCATTTAAAAACACTAAGCTAATATATTTGCCTTCTGTTATGACAAGGATGGCTAGGAGCAACAACAATCATTTCATATAAGAAACAACAACAATCACAATAAACACACACACATATACATATATAGGCACATATCCATATAATTTCTCCATCACAAAGGGTTTTATATATTTTTTTAACTTTCCTTAAGAAGTAGTCATTTTAGATTTCAGCTAGTGCCTTTACTGAATGTCAGATTAGGTATTACCCTGATTTGCTCTTCATTATATTATAAATTTATTACTAAAACAAGTTCAAGAAATGATATTTCTCATCAAGCTTTAAAATATTAGTTTCCATTTTGCCTCAGAATAAGGTGTTTTATTCATTGGCAAAATTCCCAGTCCAATAATATAAAGGGAATAAATTATGTACATTTGGATGGCACTTTAGTGGATTCTTAATTAAGGAATGGTAACCATCATCTAAGGGGACACATTTTATTTAGCAAGTAAAAGAACAGATCCATTAACCCCCATACATTCCAAGATTTAGCACTAGGGATGAATATTAAATTACTATTAAGTTTTTTTCACTGTGTAAAAAATGTAACCTTAGGATAGTGATTAAAAATAAGGAATAAATGAATTCTCATAGCTGTATAGGTTTAACAAACATTTTGAATATTTAAATATAAAACATGGTGTGAACACAATGATTATTTAGCATATTTTTTACTAAGGAAATAGCTAACTTTGAAGCAGTTTAAAGCAGCTTTTTCATATTGCAATTTTTGGCAGAGATAGCTTTTGAACAGGCAAAAATTTCTTTAAGGACACCTACATCTTTGTAATCATAGGCCAGCTATTTGATTGGATATGCTCTGTTGATGAGGAAACCCCTTAAAATCAGCAGTGTATATTAAAAATTTACTCAACAAAAATTTTATAGTATAGCTGTAGGTATGTTTCTGAACAGAGAGAAAACAGAGAAGCAAGAAGGTACAGTCTTGAATGGGAAAGGAAGGAATAAATTAATAAAACATTTTATATATGTTATGTATCAATGTGACATTAAACTAGGGTAGAAACTGATATTTTGCTAAAATAGTATCAAGTTAAAATATCTATGTGTTGAAACACATGTGTATAAAAGCTAACAGATAATAGCAAGCATTTTTGAAAATTTTAGAAGAAATTGCTCCTTACAAGTAATATTTTCAAATTAAAAGCAATTGAGTGTTCAAGCCAACATGTTAAATATTTATTGATTTGTGTAATTCTGCTACAAGTTCTTTGCTAGTACTTGCAACGGAGTTCATTAGCTTCTCAACCTGTTTTCAAAGGTGTGCTGCCTATTCATTTAAGAAACTGATGGTTTTACGACTAGTAGCATGGTGTATTTAACAAACACTGGCCTAGGACTCATAAACAGAGATGACTACAGGTTGATGATCTAATAAATATTCTAGTCATCACTGCCTGGGCTAAAGGTAAGAAACTGTCAGTAAAAATCTATTGTATGTGACTTTCTTTCCTTATCAACAAAAGATAATATTGACTTTAGACACAAAAATTACTAAAAAAAAAAAAGCCAGAGATACTGATATAGTAATTCCTTGATATTCGTAACGAATTGATTCCAGGATATTCATGGATATCAAAATCCACAAATACTCAAGTCACCTATATAAAATGGCATAGTATTTGCATATTATCTTGTACATCCTCCCATATACTTCGAATCATCTCTAGATGACTTACAATGCCTAATATGATGCCTACACATTGCTTCATTTATATGAATTCGATGTAGTCCTCTGCGTGGGCAAATTCAAGATTTGCTTTTGAGAATTTGAAGAATTTTTTTCCCAAATACTTTTGATTTCATGGGTGATTAAATCCATGAATGCAAAACCCAAGAATTCTCAGGCCAATTGTATCCTTCAGTCAATTTCAATAAATTATATTTATCTCATGGCATATATATTTGACGGTTGTAATAGTTGGAAAGAAGGGGATTGGTTCAAATTAAGCACCTTTGTTTTTATATTTGCTATATAATAATTTCTTTATCTCTCAGAAATAATTTTGACTCTTAAACAGTATTTGAATGTCATATGTTCAATTATATGACATTCCCAATTATTTTGAAAAATATTACTCACTTAATCTTAAAGTTAAATTTTAAAAATAACTGGAGTATCAATATAAATATTTTATAAAATACTAAAAAGGTAATGCATATTTCCACTTTATGTAAATGTATACATTTACATTGTGTAACACTTTTTTATGTTAATAGCCGATTAGTATATTATACTACAGTGATACAGTTATACACACACAAATATGCCTAAATTTGAAAATTGATAGAAATGGCAGAAATGAATGTATGTATAATTAATTTATTTCCAACCACAGCATGTATCTTTAAATTTTAGACTAATAAAATGAAATTGTTGAACCAGATATGTATGTTGATTATCAGAATCTTGATATATCTTGCCAAATTATTTTCAGGTGAAAAACTCACTTTTAGAAAAAAAGTAAAATAGTCTCAAGTTATAGCCCTGTCAGCATTCTTTTAGATATTTACTATAATGTACTGATCTCTAATTTTATTATGACTTTAAATTATTTTTATCAATTTAATTGGCACAGAAATCTCATTACAATGCAATTATTCATATTTCTAGGCTTCTTTTAAAAACAAAAATAAATTTAAAATATATAACTAACAATTAGACACCTGGTTTCAATCAACTTTGATATTGTGGGCAAGAATCTTATTTTCACTTTTTAAATCACAATGATGAGCTATAATGATTATAGACAATATTTGAACAGGTAACCCAGGATATTTTAGTAATATTTATAATGGGCATTATTATTATTATTTTATGATTTTTGTTTGCAATTCTTTAAAGGAAATTCAATGTTAGTAAAATATGGTCTCTGTATTATTGGAATATTCTCACTTCACTGACAATCTTGAATAAGAGTTTAACCTATGATAGACTTGTAAAAAAATAGTCCTTTTTATTTAATTTCTTAAAGTCTTCATTCCATCTTATTTCCCTTCTTGTATTGCTGAGAGGAAGGACCTCGATCTCAATGCCATTCTTTTGTAGCTATCCTTTGAGATTTTCTCTTTATAGCTGATATTTTCAGTTTTATTAGGTTTTGTTTGGGGTGGATTTATTTTATTTATCCTATTCAACAGTTTGTGTCAACTTTTAAGATAAAGATGCATGTCTTTTTTTTTAAATTAGAACAAATTTTCATTATTTTTAGCTCAATTTTTTCCACCATTTTTAAATTATATTTGAAATAATAATTAAGAACATAGCGATGGCTCTTAATACTGTACACATGTTTTTTAACAGCTTTTTTATGTTTTTCGTCTTCCTGACTCTGTGAAGTTCTCATGGAGTTATTAGTTCTAAATTCTAATTGATTAAAATGTCCTAAGAATCTGTACAGTCTATAGTGTGTAACACCTAGTTTGTTTTTACTTCAATCATTACGTATTTTATCTTAAGCATGTTAAATAGCTTTTTATAATTTACTTCATCTTTCATTTTTCTCTTATATACTTTGATAACTTAATGAAAGTTATGTGGATGCTATCATATTTTTATGTCTGAAGTAATTAAACACACTTAGTGTATTTATTTATCTACAGGAAATGAATCCCCTTTCTGAGTTTCTTGGGCTACAAGTTATTATTATATTTTAGAGTAATACTAGTTGTTTTAGTAAATATTCCTTCATTTATAACATTTCAGAAACACCTTTTTGTTCATATAACAGTACAAAATGGCTGCTTTGTCGGTAGATGACCTGACTTCTTTCCGTCCTAAGTACTAGCTCCTAATATAAAAGCCTCATCATTTTCTATATCCAGAAGACAGAAGGGGAAAGAGACGTGTGGAAAAAGTAGATTCACAACTTAGAATCTTTAATTTGTAAAGAGTTATCTTCACATTGCAATTGGGAAAATAAGTCATATGAGGTCACAAATAGATGTACAGGAACCTGGGAAGGGGGACCCTGGTTCAGTCGCTGCTTTCAACACACAGTCATGGGGACTCAATCTTGGAAAGGAAAGTAAGCACTTACAGGAGGGCTAGCCGTTTCTGGCAATACACAGGTTTTTTTCTTCATGTACTTTGGTTTCCAGTTTGTCAGCACACCCTTGTTCTCTCTCTCTCTCCTTTCCTCCGACCATCCCCCACCTCCATTTATTCCCCTCTTCAGTTGGTTTTGTGGTTGTTTTACTTAGATACTCAAGATCTCTGATCAAAAATACTTTCTATATTCACAACTCAGATATTCACAGCTCAGTCGTCCTTCATGATGTTGACTTTGGGGGCAGTGTACCGATCTAGCTGGTGGTTTGAGTATGATACAGGCTATGAAACTGTGTGTGCTTCTAAATCCCCAACAGTAAAATTTTAGCATAAACTATGGCCCAGATAGAGTGTACAGGTAGGATTGCCTTGTCCCACCTCAATTTTTAAAAGTGAGACTGGTTTTAGTTCCCAACTTAGGCTAGTGATACTGCCCACTGTTACTCTACAGACTTCTCATTCCTCAACTAGAATCCAGGTTGCTAGCAATATCAACCTCTTTTTACTTTGAATATTTGTTTGATTTCTGGTTAATAGAAACATCATTTTTTGTTTTTGCTTTTGTTTTAAGAGGAGGAGGTGGTGTCCCAAGGGCATTTATATCTTTGCTCTGTATTTGGAGGAGAATGGAGAGTTCCAAATGATCAGAGCTTGCACATTACTAGATCCCCTTTCTGTAAGTATTTTTTTATATATTTTGTGAGTTATATTTGTTCATATACCTCACCACTCACCAATTGTAAATATTCTTCTATCTTGCCTTGTGTCATCTTCTAGTTTCTCTATATGTTAAGGTATTAAAATGTATTCATACTTAGTGTGACCAGTTGATTAGGCACCTCCACTTACTTCTGATGTTTATGTGGAAGAGTAAGCCAATAAAAGCACACCGTTACCAATCTGCATCTTTCTAGGATTCATTTTATGCAAACTCTCTATACTCTTATCTTTTCATTTTATTTTGCTATGTATGTATACAGCCAATATTCCCCACACTGTATACAACCTGAAAGTTCTTACAGGGATGGAAATAAGGGAGCTATCAAACCTTTAGAACAGCCACAGGAAGAATGACCCAGAAAAAAAAAAATTACATGATTATTACAGTTGTAACCTCCAGATATTTGGGAGTGAAGCAGAACTTGTCTTTTAAAAACAAAGTTAAAGCAATCTGTAGCTATTCCTGAGAGTCTAGGAGACTTTGCACCATAGTTAGTAAATTCATCCATGGCTTCTTTGCTTCTCAGGGCCAGAGAAGTCACAGAGCTTACTCTTGCCTTAGGGATAAATTTGTGCTCATTTGCCTCGATCCTAAAACACAGTGAGTGATAATGATAGATATTGCTCCCATGTCTCCCTCTAAAATGTCTTTAAGGTACACTTCAAGAAAAAAAATACCTTTTCTGATTCTGATGTAAACTTTAATGTCATCCAATGATTCTAAGTCAGTCATGAAATTTAAGCAGTTTCAATTTTCTGAAGTTCAAAGTTAAAATTGTAAGATAATAAAAGTAGTACTTAAGAAAATAAGGCCATCTAAATGGCTCTGGTCTAACAAAATCATCTTTTATTTTACATATTTTTTTCACATATTTGCATTACTACACTTTTTTACTAAATAATATTAAAAGAGTACCGTGAAAAGGCTACTACTCATCACAAACATTGTAATATAGGTTAAGTCCATATTCTAAGATCCTATTTTCTATCAACATGTTTTATGCCATGAAGGCCTTCAGGTTTATAGTTCCATTTGGGTTTGCATGTAGCTATCTTTTCAGTTAAAATGACTCAGATTCTCATTGAATACTTCACTTTGTATAAACTTAAAGTCAAATATTTACTGCTGAGACAGGTATACATCTAAGAAGGCTTTCGTTTTCTAACTTACAAAATTCTCTAAATTTCCAGAGGGAAAATGCTGCGATCAATTGAAGTTGTCATCCTCATGAAGCTCATACTGTTTTGCCTGAAAAATAAATGTAAATGCACATTCTTGGTCTTAAAATACATAGAAACAATACTTTTTTCCCTGCTACTAGCTTTGTAAGATAAATAGGGTTCATGTTTAACATATATACTCAATACTTGGGCAATTTGTCTTCATCTAATGAATTATTATTTACCATTTTTAAATTATCTGCTCAGATTACAAGATTCTTTTTAACAATAACCAAATTTTAATTAGTAAAACTTTTGGTCACTTTATATTTTCTGATGTGCATATTACAATAAAATATTATTTTGCTGATTGAATGAATATTGCTTATTTATTTAATAGATATATATACAAATATTTATATATTCACATTTTATTTTATGTATATACTAGGAGAATATTATATTTATTGATATAATTTAAAAAACAGTTATTGATAGGATTACTGAAAATTAGTTTTGACTTCGTAGTGTCTAATTCCTGATTTATTTTAAAATTTTGTTTGTTTCCCTTAGTTGTATCTAAAAGAAGGTTTAATTCTGCCTTATCTCCCATTAAATTAACTGGAACTTTATTGGGGTATTGATCTAAATTTGGTGTAGAAGAGCAAACATTTATTGCCAATGGTTACATATTATATAAAGATGATGCACAGAGGTTTTTAAGATAATTTTTTTATTATTAAATGATACACAATAATGAGAGAAAACTGTCAACTACAAATAGGTCTAAAAATAAGAGAACCTATAATTCAATTACAGACAATAAGCATGTTTATGCTTCCCTCTAGGTTATTTTATATTTACATATGAATATATATATATATAAAAAATGCAATTATAAACTTTCTGTATACTTGTATAACCTGTATTTTCACTTATTTTGATAACTTGCATATTATTCCAATATATTGAGCCTCAAAAATTTATTTGAGTAATCTCTTATTGTTTCTAAATTGCAGTTTTGGGATATAACTTTGGAAATTACTGGTTTCCAAATTATTGAGTCCTTAGATAGAATAAACTTCAAGATGTTGATGAACTCAAAATAGATATTTTATGTACTTTCAAAATATATTGTCAAGTTATAATATCAGAAATTTTGTATAAATTTATACTTTAAAAATATAAATCAGAACCAACTACTGTTCTTTTATTAACACAGTTTTTAAAAATATAAAATATGTCACATAATATTTGCATTTGCATGTTTTTCATCAGTCATAAGAATGGTGACAGAAAAACAAGATGAAAATTTTCTCACATATCATCCATTTTAGAGAAGCAGGCAGAAGGGATTTAGGTATCATAAGGAGAGACACCAAATAACCCTGTAAGACCAAAAAATCTTTCCAAACTGTAATGAATGTCTTGATGTTCTGTTACCTCACTTCCTCTTCTACACTCTGGCCTGGAAGATTCATTCTCCTAGTTGCTGAAAGTGTGGGCAGACAATAGCTCCCAACTGAGTCACTCCTAGCACTTGCCATGGGCTGAGGAGAGCTGCTTGCTCAATATCATTACCTTCTTCTTGGAGTAACCCATGTCAAGTGACCAGCTGAGCTGGCAATATAAATGCCTAGAACCCTCATTCCAATTCAGTACAATTTTGAAGAGTCATTGCAGCTCCAGTGCCCCTGTTAAGATTGACTGAGATCTTTGGTATAGTTCAATTTCTCCTGCTACCCAGCCTTACGTTTTTTTCCCTTAGTGTTGTTGATTCTGAGTGTACTGATGGATAAAATTCCTGCAAGTAAATCTCCATCTATAGTCTTCTGAGAGAAACCAACCTGAATACAATATACATTGTAATCCTGACATACCAATGAAAGAAAACAAAGCAATATTTTTTTCATCTAGGTATTTGTTGAGAAAGAGACTGATTAATCCTGAAACAACCTTATTCTTCAATAATAAAAGTACTACTAGAAAAGGAAACGTTAAACAGGAAATAATATAGAAAAAGAAAATTGAGTTGGTCAGCAGCTCCGGGGTAGAGAAACATAGAACTTGTGTGTACATTGAAATTTTCCACTTTTGCAATAGGTTAGCAATTCCAAGGGTGACACTTGAAAATTTAACAATATGTTTCTCCATTTTTCTAGAATGGAGTATCTGCTGAGGAGACTGGAATGAGGAAGGAATTCATTAAGTCTGATTGTCTCTGAACAGCAAAGTTCCTGAGGTCAGTCTGAAGTGAAATAAACTATTCAAAAGCTTAAAATACCCTGAATAAGAATAAAACATGCCAGTAATTAAAATGATTTGAGGATTTTATTCTAAATACATTTTAAAGATCAAAGACTAAATCTACCAACAGGCAAAGCATGAAGACTAGAGTTCTGTGAATTTAGCCTTTAGACTTAATCTCTGAGGAAAAGAAAACCAATCTCAGACAAAGACATACGAAGCCAGGGAGAATTGTTAGATATATTATCTCTAATTCCAGTGGGGCTATCCGTGTTAAAAATTAGTAAGAGGGAAAAAAGTACATGGTAAAAACTGCAGAAGGAATAAAGAAAAAAAAAGCATAAACAGTATTATTTGCTAACGTTGAAAGACACACAAACTCTTAAGATTAGAAACTCTAATATCAATACAAATAAATTTTACATGTAAAATACCAGAATAAAATAGATAATGCAGAACTAATCAAGCTGAGAAAAGAAGCACAATTACTGTAGAACCAATACATGAGTAAGAAAAAGTATGTAAGAGTAGAATTCACTTATGTTGATACCTAAATAAATCAACTGGAAGGGAGGATTGGATAATCATGAGAGAAGTCACAAGAAATTTAGACAACATCATTATCAGTAGATAACTTTATGTCTCACCTTCCTGTTTAAAACTTCAACCCTTCTATCCACCCTGTACACTCAGCAGAAAACTTTTCCCAATATTTCATTTAAAAAATGGCAACAATCAGAAGAGAGCACCTCTCCTTCCACTCTTAAGTGTACCAGTGCCCCTTTATGTGACCACCTATGTTCAGACATTACTCACAATACAATAAAGAAATGTCCCTGTTTTTGTCTAAGACCTTTCATTTATGATCTAGATGACATGCCCTTCCATTAGATCAATGATTTGAACACTGAAATTGTCCTCGCTCATCCTGCATCATTAGAAGTTCTCTCTTGTTTCTATCATGTATGGAGTTATAGAAGAAAACACATGTTAAAAAAATTTTCCTTAAACAAGCATCTCTCTCCAATAACTTCCTAATTCTCCCCAGTCCATTGGAAAAGTAGTAAGCTAAGAGAGTCGCATATTTTTCTGTTACTGACTACTTCTCCACTGACACACTTTTCAAGTCATTCCATATAGACTTTTATTCCCACTTAGTTAAAGAAAGAGAAATAACAAAGAACTTAGTGGGGTTGATGGATGTTATTATAACATACATTTATACAACTAATACTTAGAAGGTATTTATGTATTGGACTATGTCATGAGAATTTTTAGTAAGCTTGCTACTTGATAATACTCAATTGGAAAATAGAGAGAGCCAGATTCTTAGGAGTACAAATGAGAAATGAAAATCTGTAATGGATATCTCTACTTGTAATCTTTATAGATATAAAAAAAGGAGTCACACAGCATTCAGAATATTCGTAACCAGATGCTTATGAATAGAGTTTAATTTGTTGGTGCACCTTTCCCCTACCATTCTTTCTAAGTACAATTAAGCAGGTAGAATTGAGGGAGTTTCTATTTCCACTCAAACATTTGAAAAAGATGAAGTAAAGACCGTATGTTCAATAGGCTGAGAAACCTATGGAGATACTAGCTAAAATAAGAGTATAAGTTATTAGCAGTTACTGATTTTGATGTTGCATATATTTGTTTGATATTATAACACATAAAAAGGTAACTTTTAAAAAGAGTCTTCTGACATCTATATTTGAAGTCTGAACCTTTTATTCATTTAAAACAGAATAAAAAATCTATTAATTATGTTTTGGCACTGAAAAGTATTTATTTTCTAATTTTTGACCAATACTTGTCCTATATTAATAATTTTAAATAATCACAAGAATATATATTGAAAACACTTCTGAAAATCTCTTTAAAAGCCAGCAATAAATGGTTGACTTTGTACATATATGTGTATGTATGAAGCTTATAAATATTCGTATATATGATGTATATATATTTTTTAAGCAAAAACTATTCAATGATACTTGTTAAAGCAATGTGAGGAAGAATTTATTCAGGCTCATGGTGATATGTATAGAAACAACTGCAACAGGGACTTGCAATGGAGGAAAAAGATTGAATTTAACTCCAATACGAGATAAGCAAGTACGAATTCATAGCCAAGAAGCTGGGTGGGGAGTCAGTAGATGGCAAGTGATATAAAAGGAAACATCAATGGTAAGGGGGATTCTGGTTGAACCAATATAACAGGATTCTTGCTGAAGGCAGACCAGGGAGATAGGATATTCTGTGGGGGGATAATGGAGAATGTGAAATTCAATAAGATAGGGAGAATGATTAGATATCAAGATTTGGGGTTGTTAAAATTTCTGAGAGGCCATTGTTTTGGATTAGATTCCTGCACTAAGCCCCAGAAGACTGAAACAAACCAAACTGCTAAACGTCACTTCATCATGCTAAACGTCACGTAATCAAATGGAAATTTTAAAGAAACAGGTAAATCCCAAGATAGACTAGTTTTTTCCTGAAAACAGGAGACTTCAGTTCATCTGTTTTAGTTTAATAAGAAAGCCCCGTCTGCTTTAACCCTTGCAAGAACAGTAATCTGAAATAACTTGACTTTAACAAATCAGTTCAGATTTTTTCTCTTCTGTTTTCTTTTCCCAACTTACAAAACCTACTCTCCTGCCATTGCCCAGTGGGAACTCTGTCATGAGACTTTGTAGAATGAAAGGTGCCCTGATTCATTACTCACAAATAAAGCCAATGAGATCTTTAAACTAAGTTTGTTGTAATTTTGTCTTTTGACAGGGTTCTTGCTAAATCAATTTAGCAGAGTTTTTGGCTTTAAAACCAGATTTTACAGGTAAATACAAATGGGCCTAGGAGAAAGTTTAGAAGCTTAGAAGCTTTACTAAATTTTTGTCAGACAGTCTTTGTTTATATATATGTGTATATATATACATAAACATATATATTATTAATACATAATTTTATTATATGCGAAGATACTAAAATATATATTTAAATTGTTCAGATAGTTAATGTAGAATTATCTCTCCTGCAAACGAGTCCTGCCCCAATAACTTTCACAGACAAATTGTTTCCAATATAATAAGGAATAAATAATTCTGATTTAAATGATTATAAAATACAATTAAGAGGCAAATTTTTCTAATACTATTTTTTTGAGAAGCTAGGGAAATACTGACTGAAAAGAAAACTGACAAAGATAGTGTCAATAAAGGAAACTATAGACCAATTACGATTTTGAACATCTATATGATATTTAAATATAATATTCACAAATAGAACTCGGTAGCACAATAAGGAATAATAATGACTATAGTTCATCCTTGAAGTATGACATTATTCAATACTATATATGCCCTGGGTCTTCTTGACCACTTCCCAGATAGAGTCAATTTATCAAGACAGGGGAATTGCAATACAGAAAGAGTTTAGTACACTGAGAGTCAGCTAAACAGGAGACTGGAGTTTTATCTTTATTCAAATCAGCCTCCCCCAAAATTTTGGGACTAGAGTTTTTCAAAGATAGTTTGATGGGCAGGGAGCTAGGCAATGGGTGCTGCTGACTGACTGGGGATGCAATCATAGGGATGTGGAAAATAGTCCTCATGCTGAGTTCACTTAGTGGGGGCCAGAGGACCATTTGAGTCAAGAATCACCAGGGTGGGTGGGGCCAGATAGTGATCAGAATTGCAAAAAGCTGAAAAGACATTTCAAAGGCCAATCTTAGGTTCTGCAATAGTGATGTTATTTACAGGAGTAACTGGGTAAATTGCAAATCTTGTGACCTCTGGAAAAAAGGCTGGTAATCATTTAACTATGCCTACATCTTAGCAGAATTCAGACCTTACTCATCCTCTTAACCTGGTAACCTTTCAGTATTTTTACAAAGGCAGTTTAGTTTTGGTGAAGGACTATTATCATTTAAACTATAAACTAAATTTCTTCAAAAGTTAGCTTGGCCCACGCCCAGGGGTGACCAAGGGTAGTTTGGAGGCTAAAGGTGAGATCTCTTTAACTGTCATAATTTTCTCACTGTCATAATTTTTGCAAATATTTTTATTTGCAAAATAAAATAATTTTTTTAATAAAATTATTTTATTTTCCAGGATATAAGTATATCCCTTTCCAAACATTACCAAAAAAAAAATAATAATAATAACTTCTTTTAGAACCTATAAAGTTGTTTAACCTTCTTTCACTTTCTCAATGTGTCTGTCCTGGCCACTTTATCTAAATTTGCAACCCTCCTTTCTCTTCACTTCACACTCCCATACCCTGATATATTTTTGTCCTTAGCAGTAAACACATGCCACCATGATGTATATCTTAACAGTTTATTTTTTCTCATATTCTTGATTCTCTCACCTTAGTAGAATGTAAGGTCCATGAAGGCAAGGAGTTTTGCCCACTTTTTTGTTGTTGTTCCTCCCTGGCCCCCACCAGGATGTAACATTAGTGCCTGAGTGGTATTTAGTAGGTCTTCACTATACATTGGTTGAATAAATGAATACGTGAATTTTCCTAATATATATATTTTTAAAATTAACAACTATTCTTCATATAAAAACTTCAGCAAAATATAATTATATTGTAACTGAATATCCTATTTTTAAAAAATTGTTTTTTTCCATTTCCTTTCCTTTTTCATTTTTTCTCTTTCCCCTTGTGTGATTGCTTAGCTCTGTAGAAATGCAAATGTAACCTTTACCCTCCTTTCTTTCCAACACACCCTCCCCTGCAAACACTACTGGCTCTTCTAGTTATATGTTCGCTTAGAAGTTCCGAGGACCAAATCTTGAAACAAACTAGGCACCTTCCAGAATTCTCCCCAACCAGGAGATTGCCTCAAGACAGTGGTTAATTTATAACCCTTTTGTACCTGCAATGGTGCTGGACTGGTCGCCAAAAGGCCCATTACTCAAGATAAAATCTTTGGAGCAAGTCAAATAGATCCTGTACCTCCATACCTCTTTGGCCCCTGGATACCAAAATTTCTATTCACAAGCCCCCACTTTCTGCCCAGAAATCTGAAGTGGTTTCTTTAGATGTGAATTCTGGGGTGTCCCTACTGCTAAGCTCTGGAATAAATTTGTTTTATTTTTATCACACCTGGTCCTTGCCATTTTGCTTTGCAAGCAGTAAGCAGCCAAGCCTGCATTAGGTTACATTGTCACTTGACATGAAAAACACATAATGAACTACTAAAAAAAAAAGTGTCTGTGTGTGTATGTGCACATATACGAGAGAGAGAGAGACGATAGATGTTAAACAATAATACAATGTGAGAAGTGTTTTTCTCCTAATCTTACATTTGAAGGAAAAGCTGTTAGTAATTCTCTTTTTTTTTTTTTTTTTTTTTTTGAGATGGAGTCTCATTCTGTCACCGAGCTGGAGTGTAGTGATGTGATCTTGGCTCATTGCAACCTCCATCTCCCTGGTTCAAGCACTCCTCCCACCTCAGCCTCCTGAGTAGCTGGGATTACAAGTGTGCACCACCATACCCGGCCAATTTTTAGTGGAGATAGGGTTTCACCATGTTGGCCAGGCTGGTCTCGAACTCCTGACCTCAAGTGATCCTCCTGCCCCTGGCCTCCCAAAGTGCTGGAATCAGGCATAAGCCACCGTGCCCAGCCAGTAATTCTCTTTTCTTTATCATTTCTATATAGGGAAACGAGGTCGTTGTGAGAAAAGGGTAAAGTGTGGAAATTGATCAGATGATACTAAAAGGTAGATTTTATTATTGGCACTAGGTTTTTGCCCCATCAGGCATCCATGCTTCCTGGCAGGAAATTCTTTGGTCCCTCTCACTAATGGCCAATGAACATATTTGATCCTTAACTTTGGGCTTGACCAAAAACCTGTTTTGATCAGTGGCGTATGAATGAAAGTGACAGTGTGCTGATTTTCAGCTTAGGCCTATAGAGACCTCACATGATTCTGTTTGCCCTCCTGAAGCTCCTAACTCTATGAAAAGAATATTCCCCACTTAGGTTTATGAGCCTTCCTTTTCTAGGAAGAAAGTGAGATCTAACACAACATAAATCAGCTGGCTCCCAGGGGACTGGTGGAGTCATGAGTAAGTCTGCCCAAGTTAAACAGACTGCTCAGGGGAGCCCAGTGTAGATCAGCTGATATCAAGGCAACCTACAGAAGCAAGAGCAATAATATATTATTGTTATTTAAAGCCACTGACTTTCACGGTGGATTCTGTGCAGCAATAGAATGTAGGTAGATTATAAATATAGTGATTGGGCTGAACTCTCTGATAGCCCAGGAGATCTAAAGATAGAAGAAATCACCATTGGAGAATAGAATGCACATCTAATAAAGTATGGGAAAGGTTATTTAACAATAAACATTAGAAGACTGACTTTGCCTTGGTGTGTCAATCAAAGTTGTATGTAGCATATGTACAGCCTTCTGAGATGCATTTACCTCAAGCTTGGGGAAAAAAAAAAAGGGTGAAGTAAAATACCAAGCCCTTTATTTGTGCAGTCTCCTAGAAGAAGACAAACTATTCTTAAACTGTCTGAGAAATATGCAAGGAAATTTACTCACATGCTTACTCCAATATTTGTATAGGAACAATATCATACCTGGAACATTATTTTTTTTCCTCTATTTTTCTTTGAGTTGTTGAGAATTCATGAAATAGTCAGAAATACAAGAACCAACATGAAGGTATTTTTTTCCACCCAAGTAGTTCCACCACCAGCCTTGTTACAGCGTTTAAGTGACAAATGCTTTACAATTTTGACAAGGAGTAAAGAAGATAATATTACTTAACTGCCTGACCATCGGATCTCCAAATAGCTCTCTGTTGCTACAATTTTTATTTAATATAATTCAAATGGCATATGGGCTAGATTAAGGATGAGGAGAGAAACTAATATTTTGTTGACTATTATATGCTTATATTGATCTTTGCTAAGTCATGAGTTGAATCTATAAATAGATGTTCTGATGAGTCTAGAACTATGCATCTTCTGAATGCATTAAGTGGCTATGCTGAGGTGAAATCCTTCAATGATTCAAACATTACTACAAATAATTAGCATTTGGGCCGGGATGTTGTATTAAATGATGGTATGGAGAAGAGATATTTGAGACACATACATTTGGCAATGGTTTTTCTGGAGGTTTATAATGCCGCATATCACCTGGATGAAATCGATTTTTCTCCCAACCACGTCTTTTCTGTCTCCTGACAATTATTTAATTCAAGTCTGAAATTCAAGTCTCTACACATCACTCAGTCAACTCCCAACTACACTAAATTTTCTTATTCTCACAGAGCAAATTTTAAAATTAAGGAAATCAAGATGACAACATAAAATACTTCAAACTCATTAAGAATTCTTAGTTTTTAAAATTATACTTAAAGACTTTTACATATATGGTTGACTCTTGAATAACACAGGTTTGACCTGCACAAGTCCACATATATTTGGATTTTCTTCTACCTCTGCTATCCTTTAAATAGGAAGACTAACACCTGTTCTTCCTCTTCCTCCTCAGCCTACTCAATATGAAGATAATGAGAATGAAGATCTTGATGAATTAGTCACTTTCACTTAACGAATAGTAAATATAGTTTATCTTTCTTATGATTTTCTTAATAACATTTTATTTTCTCTAGCTTACTTTATTGTAAGAATACTGTATATAATACATATACAAAAGATGTATTAATCAACTGTGTAAGTTATCAATAAGGCTTCTGATCAGTAAGAATCTATTAGTAGTTAAGATTTGAGGGAGTCAAAAGTTATGTAGATTTTTGACTATGTGAGAGATCAGCACCCTAATCCCAAGATTGTTCAAGGGTCAACTCTATTCTGTTTTCATCCACATTTTTCAACTTTCACACAAATTTAAACACTAAAAATCCTGAATGTGACCCACATGGGACAAAAATAATACTAAATTTGACTGTCTCAAAGCTATCAACATATGTAGCGTAGTGAGCAAGGAAAGAAATATACATAGAAATATATATATTTTGTTGCTCTATAGTCCTGTTGCCATGCTTATAGTTTTATGGTATTTGATCACTTAAAGGCCTTCAATCAACTCATGAAGAAAATATTCCAACATTTAAAAGTTTTTTTTCTTTTTCAGAACAAATAAACTAAGTGCTTTTTAAAACTGTAACCTGTAAGTAGATGAAGGAGTATTATAACCAGCTGCTCTTCATTTCCACTGAGAGAAGACATGGAAATATGTTTAATTCACAGCAGGAGTGGTTTAGATTGGACAACAGGAAGACAAATTTGACAGGAATTCATACTAGACCCTAAAAGATATTACCAAGGGGAATTTGTAGATTTTTTTTTTCTATTCAGGTCTTTGCGAATAAATTAGATTCTATGGCTACTGCGAGGACCTTGAATTCTTGCAAGTAGGTCAAGGAGGTGGACAAAGGGATACTAAAGTACCAGTCTTTTATTACTCTATACTAGAATGGTAGACGTTGACCTGTCTTGCTCATTCTCTCTTTCTCAATATAATACTTGCTTCCCATCCCTCCCTTACCTAATATGAATCAATAATGAATAAGTTCAAAGTATACCGGCCATTTCTTCGTTCCACCTTGGTGCTTTGTTTTGAGCAATAAACTCTTATACCACAATGAAAGACATAGACGGAGATTAAGTGATGCCATTTTTTAATTGAATTAATGTATCTCATATGTCTTTCTTAATACTACAATGTGCCTGCCACATATTTTCTCTTCTGAATGTTTTATTTTATTAAAATTGTTTTTTAATTCCTTAATAGTGCCTTTTTTCTTTATTTGAACTGAGAAAATAATATGAATTAAAAGATCCTTTGCATTCAGAAAACAGTTTTTTTTTGAAAATATATTTGAGTGAGTTGCGATTAAGATGCTACTATGAAAAAGCGGAAAGAGTCAAAAAGGTACCCTTCCTTTACTGCTATGTCCATCAACTAGGATATGCTTTCCCAACTAGTATTGTATGCCTAATAGGAAAGGAAAGCTTTTTTTTGTGGCTAAATTAATGATGAGATTCGCTATGTTCTGCCCTAAAACATGACTATACAAGTCCAGAATGCATCACCCTAACATATTCTTCTTTGGCAGGTTGATGCTTTTGAGCTGGTTATTTTAAGGAACTGCAGACACAGGAATAGCTCTTAAAAGTTGGCCTTTTATGTTGATTAAATAATTTTCCATTTGTAAGAGTGTCTCCTTATCTGTACCAGGGAAAAAAGAATTAAATCACTAGAGACTTCTAATCAATGAAGAAGGTGTAGACTTAAATCTGTGCAACAAATCTTATCTTTGTTTTAAGGTGCTTTTCCTGGTCATCTCATCTGAATCTGGCTTGTCTCCTCACCCTCTCATAATTTGCTTTTAGTACCACCTAGAGGCCCCAAGCTCTTATTTCTCCATGTAATTTCCCATTTCAAGAGGAAACACAGTGTAAGCCTCAATCTTCTGGCCAATTCTTTGAGCCCTGTATTTTTGTGGGACTCCTATGTGTATGTACATAATTGATATAGTTTTTCTCTTGTTAATCTCTCTTATGTCAATTAAATTCATAGACAAGCCAAAGAACCTAAGAGGGTAGAAGGAAGCATTTTTCCTCCCCTGTATTACTTATTTGTATTCTTTTTGTGTTAGGTATTGAGGTTGATTTGGGGGAGGCAGGGGGAATGGCCTCAATAACTCCTTCTAACCCTATGTGTATGCTCTTGTGTAATATCTTTGTTATTCCTTCAATCAAGAAAGAGAATCTATTTTCTCATCTCTTGAATCTGGGCTGGACATATGATTTCCCTTGACCAACAGAATGATGCACATGTGACATTTTGAGAGTTCAGGAGATGGCTCCTCAAGAAGCCCAGCAATTTTTCTTTTCCTCTTGAAACATTGTCATGATCCCCCTAAATAAAGAAATGGAGTCACTGGAAGATAATAAACCACGTTCAAAAGAAGTCAAAAGCTACAGTCCACATGTAGCATCCAGCAGCTTCACATGTGAGCAAAGACATCTGGGATCATTCAATCTCTGTCAAGGCATCTCATGACTACAGCTCGAGAGCACCCCAGATGGAACCCTTCAGAAAAGCTACTCATTTGACCGCAGTTCACATTTCTCACCCACAGTATCATGAACAAATAAAATGGTGTTGTTTTAAGCCACTGTTTTGGTGTGGTCTGTGGAGCGGCAACAGTCAGTTCATAATGATAACATAAACACATTACATTGTCAATTTATGGTTTACAGACCAAAAATTTTTAACATGCAATATGCTTTTTACTCATGAAAATTATATTCTATACCAGATAATATAGTAAAAGAAGACATTAAAAGTATCATAAGATAATAAAAAGGAGAAAAAAGACAAATTCAAAGGAGAGAAAATAGAGATGAAAAAGAAAAATAGAACGATGCAATCAATTTGATTAGGGTCTCAAAGGGGCATGGATTATTTTATATATGGCAACTGGATGACTAGGTAGATGATGGTTTTATTAATAATGTTCACATAGGTTCTTATTTTAGTTTTTTTTCATGCTTTCCCCATGTCCTTATCATACTATTTTAATAGTCTTTTCTAAGCCACCTTCATTAGTCCTTGTTTCCTTGCCAAATCTATCAAAGGTATAAAATGATCTTCTTCAATAGGATACAATGGTGTCAGGAATGCAAATTAACCAAAAGTGGCAGAGTGGTGCTGCATGGAAGCCCAAGTCCTGAAGCAGTGAGCATGGTGAAATATCAAGTAGCAATAGTGGCACCAATGCTAGTTTAACCTGATTTTTTCTGCTGAAGGATCTTGGCTGTGCCTTATCTTCCTTAATTCTTGCCCAAGTTTGGTGCTTCTGCATACCCATTCATTTTTTTATAAACTCTTTAATACATTTGTCTTGCATAACCAAAAGTGATTTCTATTGCTTGCAACCAATATCTAACGGTGTAACAGTACTTGAACTACGTGAAAGGAGCAGATCTGCAAAAAAAATTGGGAAACCAGAGATTGTACAGCTTCACCTGTCAGCACTGAAATGGTGAGATGGGTATCTGGCTATGCATTCTCTAGAGGAAAAGCTAAGCACATTCCTGTCTCTCATCTTTTGGAAAGTAGTTTTCAGGGAAAGCATGCTTTTGGGTGAAAAAGTGACCACTTCTATGAAGGACATGAGAGATTTAGTATGTTGGTTTTGTTTTAATGACATCCGATACTTTTTATAACATGAAAATTTAAATGCAAATACATTTAAAGCTGTTGTGTATTTTAGTCCATTTTAATGATAACTTGCTGCTAAATAACTTACCACACTGATATTTCTATCCACCTGGCATGGCACTTGAAAATCACAACTAAGTCTTTGTCCACTTTATACTGGCTCTCATGGAGGTGGAGGATAGAATCATAGATACCAGAGACTGGGAAGGGTGGATGAGTGGGAGGGGGGAAATGCAGAGAAGATGATCAAGCATTATAAGCAAAGAATTAGACAGAAGAAATAAGTTCTAATGTTTGATAACAGACTAGGGTGACTATACTTAGCAACATTATTTTGTATATTTCAAAGTAACTGAAAGAGAGCACTTGAAATGATACCAACACATGAAAATAATCAATACATAAGGTGAGGGATACTCCAAATGCCCTGGCTTTATTATTACAAGCCATGCATGTAATAAACACTCACATACACCCCATAAATATATAAAATAGTATGTATCGATAGAAGAAAAAAATGATAATTTTGATTTTTGTCTGCAGACTCCCTAAGGAAATTTCCATGTAAATGTAAATTGACTAACCATCTAGGTGAGTTTATGGTGAGTTTTGTAAGATCTTCACAGCCTTGGTTTCCAATAATATTGAATGATAACAAAATATATGCTGTTTTTTTAATCAATAATGTGTATTTAGTGAAAATACAGAGAAGCGCAGTTTTTAAATATTTGTTATTTAACGGAAGATAAAAGAGCAATCGAGAGAAGTGACAATCAAGACAGTCTTAAGTGGAATAACTATTATTTATTGCTTAAACTGGAACAATTATGAAAATTAAGTAGGTCATTTTTAATTATTATACCTGGACAATGGACATAGATTGGCCCATTACAGCAAACTGGAATGTACAGTCTTCCTTCCTTAAACCATATTGAGGATGCAGTCTTCTGACTTTTCTTAATTCAACTCATAGTATTCCTCTCTTTGGTAACATTCAGCACACTTGAAAATAATTTTTTAAAATTTGGATTCCCCACAAGAATGCAAGCTTCAAAAGGAAAATAACCTTCTGTATCTTATTCAGCATCTAGCACAGTGCATGGTATGTTATTCTAAATATTTAATACATAAATTATTCAATGCTAAAATTCTGGCTAGCATTCAGTCTAGAAATAATACAAAAATCCATGTATATATTTTTTTCCTTAATGTTGTATATTCATGACATAGAAGGCATTGCCTATGATGGTATTTATGGACCTTTATGTTACTAAAACTCATTTTATGTTTCTGGAAAATAATACTAGAAAAATTGCATTAATTGAAGAACTGAGATACTGCCTCCTATAAACAATGAATGTGATGCAACTCTCACAATTCTGAGTACGGAGGCAAAACTACAGAAAGATCATAAATAAATTGAAACATTAATATTAGTAATTATTTGATGAGCTATTTTGGAAATATTTTAATTTCAAATTACATTTTTGGTTATCTTAGTTAATTTTATGCATTCTATGTGTGCACAATTGTGAAATATGTATAATTTCACTTAATTACAAATTTTAAATTGCCTGATATTACTGATTGAATATGGATGGATAAGATTACTAAAATTGCCAACTGGTATTTGTTTTTCACTCACTGTACTCCTTCAAAATATTTAATTCACATTTGTAATTAGCATCTCAAATATTGCATGTGATATAGTCTGTCTCTCAAAGCAGAATTATTACTGACAGCTGTTAGTAGTAGATGTCTGACTTTTTTCCACAAAATGATAGAATATAAATGTGTTCGTCCTTGCTTTTCATTTTCATATTTTCACTTCTAAGACTCATCAGTAAATTATTCCTTATAGGTTTTTTTTAAGAAAAAAAAAACAGTTTGGAACCATGAAATAGAATCTTTAAGAAAAATAAAATGCAAATACATCTTGAATTATTACTTGAAACTTTTATATGGAAATCCTTTATGTGAAATTCAAAGAGATGCTTAAGATGCCGTTGATGTCATTTTTTTCTGTCTTCCTATTTTAAAACACACAGGCTTATACACACTTTCATATTGTAAAGTCTTCCCATATTTTAAACATTTTTTATTATTTGGAAAGATAAATTCAAATAAATAGTTTTTATAGTAGTATGTGTTTTGTATTTGGAAATGAATAACTGTGGTAGAGCCATGTTACTGATAATAATTATTTCTCATATTAGAAATTAAAATAATACAAAACATAAAATTTACTTTTCATTGTGGTATCAGTTTCTGTGGTATGGCATGTTCATTCTCACTTTATTGTATTACTTTTGAAAGTAATTATTCATCTTAGTCAAGACACTATTTTCGAATTCTCAGTTGTTTTGCTTCATCAAATTTAGGAAACACAAATATAATTATCAATTTTGAGGTCTCAGTTTTATCAAATATAGAAAAGAAATACATTTTCTAATATAAATTCTGCTTTCAGCTACACAAATCTTTGACAGCATGATTGAATAGTTTTTTTTTATTCATCCCATACCTTGAAAAATAACCTTTAAAAAAAAAGTAAAGAAAAATAACCTGTATAATCTTCATCAGTTTTAAGATAACAAAATCTTCCTGCAAAACAGACACTGAGGAAATAATCACAGTGGCTCAGTCTGCCTTGTTCACTCCGTTTTATCAGCTCTCTGCTCTTTCTGTCCTTGCTGACCTCCAGAGTTGAGGCTGAAGAGCATCTTAAGGCTTTTTGTCAGCATTGATTTAAAAGTACGCAAAAGATCAGCACAAAAACTAAAGCTTGAATCACTTTTTCATATATATAGCATACTTATTAATTGAATTTGATAACAACTATGAATACAATTATAGGCAATTTACTTGATATTTGTGTCCTTGGAACATTTGAAATTACAGAACAAAAGTCAACATAGGAAGGAATGCTATCAAGAATTAAGAAATAGAGGTGGCTTTGAAGTGCACTTGATCATTTATAGAATGTACACATTTTAAATTTTAATAGACACTACCAGATGAGGCCTTTAAAAAATAATAAGCATATTACATAGGGGTCTTATGAATTTGTGTCTCAAAATGTGTTATGCTGTTTAGGAATTCATTTTTAAAAAATTCTAAGACTTGATAATTTTGCAATCACTCAACAAGTAAGAATGAGGGTGAAAGGAAATTAGATATACATGTTTAATTAAACATAAATATTTAATTTATCAATAAATCTTTTCAAAGGGATAAGGCAATTGCGAATCTTAAAGATACTCAATGTAGAATAAAATACAAGAATGGAACCAATAGACATCTGACAAACATGTATATATTTATGTATGTTATAAATATATGTGAATTCTTAATATATTTTCATTAATAACTACTGAAACTGATAAACTAAAAGTTGTAGTCTTCAACTTAAAGAGACAGTTTTGTTATTCAAATAAAAGACACACTTTTGACAACATTTTTAAAATTAAAATAACTCTTAAGATATGTTAATGATAATGCAGATAAAAGATAGGAAATAAATTATAATTCAGAAACATCTTATATGAAATTCTGAGAATAATGACAGTAACACAAACAAATCTACCAAGTCAACTCCTTTGCTGCCTTTATTTCAGTTAAAGTCTAATTTTTTTTTTTATTACTTAGGGCGGAATCTAAGTGTCCTCTCTTTCTGTCATTTTCTTACGCTCATTAGGAGGAAATACAGTCTGTTATGCCTCCAATATCCAACTTTTAATCTCTTTTAACCACCACCAATATTGCTACCCTAATTCACAAATAATTGCAAACAGGGCCAGCTTCAAGTGTCTGCAACCTATTTTCTGGTGTCCAGTCTTCCAGATCTTTGTGTTTAGAAGGGCTCTGTTCTTAATGTTTTGCTCTTGGCATCTTGATATCTGAATAATTATTTTAATAGAAGTTCAACATTTTCATTTCACATTGGGATCCCAAAATTATATAGCCAGGCCTGATTGCAAACATTTTCTATACGCTCTCTTTGCTTTTGCTGTTGTTCCCACTAGACTCAACAGAACAGCCAGTGAGATAGTAAAAACTTGTTAGACAATGCCATTCATTTACTTAAAATCCCCTAATGATGTCGAAGTCCATATTTTAATCTGTAACTTCTTAAATGATCTCCCTACTCTCTTAGCTCTTTTATTCTCTTACTATTCTCTCACTAGTTATCGTTGACTCAGACACTAACCTTCTTGCTGTTCCTAGGTAACCACATACTACCAAATAATTATGTCTAAATCTTTGCCTTTGTTCTTATCTAAGTCTAGGATATGCATTCTCAATTTGGTCTATATCATTCCCAAGAAAGCAAAAGTTGATTCTTAGAGGCCAAAAAAAAAAAAAAGAGATCTTAGCTATTGCAGCTATCAGTAGTTATCCAATGTTAAACCCAACCCATCAAAATTTTATTTCTTAGGATTTAATTTTATTTGTGTGTACTGGGGTAGATACAGTTAATGAATGCCTTAAAAGGCTCCTAAGAGGATAGTTAATTAATATTGAAAAACATTGGTTTAGAATATCCTCCAACAGATATTTTAAAATATTACCTCACTTCCTTTGGGGTTTTTTGGAGTGCATTGGCGTGATCTCGGCTCACTGCAACCTCTGCCTCCAGAGTTCAAGGATTCTCCTGCCTCAGCCTCCCAAGTAGCTGGGATTACAGGTACCTGCCACCATGCCCAGCTATTTTTTTTTTATTTTTAGTAGAGACGGGGTTTCCACCATGTTGGCCAGACTGGTCTCGAACTCCTGACCTCGTGATTTGCTCACCTCGGCCTCCCAAAGTGCTGGGATTATAGGCGTGAGCCACCATGCCCGGCTTCCTTTGTTTTTTTTTACTTAGAAGTCACCTTCTCAATGGAGCCTTCCCTGGCCACACAGTCTGAAGTTTCAAAACTTGCTCTTCTTTCCACCTACCAGTTGCCAACAATTAAATTCCCCTTTCTCTGATTTTTTTTTTATCCTTAACATTTATCACAGTGTAATCTACTTTATATTTTATTTATTTGTTTACTGTTGGTCTCTTCAACTAGAATATATTTTCCACTGGAGGTAAGCTCTTGCCTGCTTCAATTACTACTGTATCCCCAGTGCCTACAGCAGTCTTTTATATGACAGGTACCTAGGGTGTATCTATGAATGAATGATTTAAACAACTAGACAGAAATAAAACATGTCTAATATGTAGTGAGTTTACTGAAAATAGCTAAAATACTAATAGCATCAATAAATTGAATCAGGGGTCCTTTCACTAATAAAAATATGAACAATATATTGCAAACAAAAAGAAAGTTTTTTCTTAATTGGTAAAATAGTCACATTAAAGACTTTATTTCATTTAAGCCTTGATTTCACATAAACTACAAGAAATCAAAATATTTGTGTAAAGAAATAAGGGAAGCGTCCTTATTTTGACTTTATCATCTTCATTTGTAAGCATATATGTATACTTATATATGTAGATATAAAACATGTATTAATATACAAAGTCAAATACATAATTATAGAACTTAAATTTTCCATTTTAAATGAAAGTGATTATTAGATGCATAAGACTTTCCTGATGGACTCATAGAGACACAATCGGTTCATAGGCAATTGTTTAGCTTGGCTTTCACCACATTCTGAAGTTCACAATATCATGCATCAAAAACGTATTGAAACATCGAAGAACTGGCAATACCAGGCACTCATTGTTATATAGCAGCAATAGCATGAAGCTGAATAGCTGCTGCAACATTTGGAAGAATTTTATGTTCCCCAGTTTGCTGCAGTATGTGTAATCTGCAGGCTCTTCCCTTCTGGACAACTGCTGAAATGCTCTCTCTTTTTGTTTCTCCCCATGATTCTCTCATCACTAGGTTGTGTTTTCATTACTTCCTCTTATCAAGTATCCTGTCACCCTTGTACTTCATTTTGTTTTTATTTTTATTTTTTGGCACATCTTGCTACTCCAGTAGACCAATCTATTTGGTCACAGCCCTTGTAGCCAGATCTTCTGCTCTAAATTTTTGCCTCTAAAATGATTCCTGGCTATCATTTATTTCTTATTTATTTATTTATTATTTATTTAAATAGAGATGAACTCTTCCTGTGTTGCCCAGGCAGTCTCAAATTCCAGGGCTCAAAAGATCCACCTGCCTCGACCTTCCAAAGTGCTGGGATTATAGGTATGAACCACGGTACCCCTAGCTGTGATTTATAATCAAGAGCTTGCTTCAAGCATGGCATGTTCCACCATTTATTTTTACAATTTTTCTGTCAATTATGCTGCATCAAGCAAGCCCTATATTACAAAAATGATGCCAAATCAACAATGTCCCCAATAGCAATTATGTCTGAAGTACTGATTTTTCATTGAGGATAATCTTGTATCATCATTACTGTATCTTATCACCCTGATTAGATAAAACTGTTTAAGTAAAAGACTTCTATTTTATGTATTTGGGGCAATAAAGATATGAGAAGAAATTTAAAAAATAATAAGTTAAAAAATAAAATTTGCCAAATCCCAAGATTATTCCAGAATAAACTAAAAAGTAGATGCATTTCTTGAAAAACTCACTTAAAAACACGAAAGAATAAAGTTCAAAAGGCTAGTCCAAAAAAACCAATATTAAGATGGAAAGTGGGGCCTATAAGATATATAAAATAATCATAACAGAATTCTGCAAGTCTAGACTATTTTGGGAAAGAAATGTACATTTGTCTATTATCAAAACATAGAAGCTCCATCATCAAGTCCCGTGTAAAAATAAACATTCATTGGATTTTCAGATTTTATTTTAAAGTTTGCAATGTATATATAAAATCATATTGCCAATCCTTTATAAACCCATACCCAACATAAAATATGTGAGTTGCTGATTTGGTAGTTCATTTTTCCCTGGGTATAACAAATGTCTCTTGCAAAAAATAGTTAATATTTGCTGACCTAAAAGCAAACCTTATGATTTGTTTTGCATTTTACAAGTTTTAGCTCACCTAGAATTGTCTAGATTTCTGGGGAGCTTGTTTTGCGTTCGGCAAATCTTCTCAGGGAGGTTCAATCACACCCATTCTTCTAAACCTTTACAATCTGATTAGATTATCTTCCCTCTCTCTTGTAAAGATTTAAGTAAATGCCCTTTTAAGCTCAATCATTAAAGTAGAAATAGTTTAAATTACACATGGTCACAATACTAACCACAGATAAGAAGAGTTTCAGGAGAGATTCAAAATAATACAACAAAATATCAGGAGTTTAATTCTTAGGGAAATTATCAGAAAAGCTTATCTTCTCTCACCTGAACTGATAATATAATACTGATTACACTGATTTAAAGATGTAAGGAATGATGATAGAATATTAACTACACATAAAATAGAAGAAGTGTGTATTTGATTTGGTTTTTAATCGAGTCTGGTTCTTCAACACCTCTGTAAATAAAACAGGTTGGGATAAAAGGTTAATTGTTATTTATAAAATATTTTACAGTTTTCTTGTGTATTTGCTATGCTATTAAGGGAGAAATTTTAAATAAACACTTAACCATCATATTAATCTGAAAATATTACATATTTGTTGCTACTTTAGAAGGAAAACATTCTTATCTGCGATTTAAAAATGAAAAAGGACTTTTTAGATAAATATTTATTAGCAGACTTTAAAATATTCAAGCAGAATTCAATTTTCTGCTTTGCGCTTTCCAGTTACATAACCTTGGTTTCTTAAATTATGTAATTTTTCTAAGCCTCAATTCCTACATATAAAGAATCTGTGATAAGCCCAGTGTCTGACCTAGAGCAAGTATTCCATAAATGGTAGATTTTTGTTTCCAAGAGCTTTAGAATAATGTGTTTAATGGTGTCCAGTAACCAAAGAAGAACATTGCATTAGTTTTCTTTCTTTCTCTTTATAAAATTAGTATTACTTTTGAGACAGTGTTTAGCTCTGTTGCCAAGGCTGAAGTACAGTGGCGTGAACACTGCTAACTGCAGCCTCGAACTTCTGAGGGGGCTTGACCTTCTGGGCTGAAGCCATCCTCCTGCCTCCACTTCCTAAGTAGCTGAGACCACAGGTGCCTGCCACTGTGCCCATTTTTTAATTGTTTTGTAGAGACGCCATCTTGCCATGTTGCTCACTCTGGCCTCAAACTCCTGGGCACAAGCAGTTGTCTCACTTTGGCCTCTCAAAGTGCTGGGATTAGAGGTGTGAGCTACCACACCTGGCTTAAATTTGAATATCTGCAACATCTCTGTATCATTGAGAATTGTGTTGAGGTGCATGTAACTGGTATCTGACAATGGTAGTGTAAAGTAATTAGGGGCTCATTTCCCCCATGTGATTATAAGTTTGTTTCCCAGGATTGGTGCGGCCACTGAAGGAAATATTCAAAGAATGCAATCCAGTGATAGTGACAGAAGATGCAAGAAAGAACAATTTACCCTGTATCTTGAACTGTATGTCCCAGCATGTCCTCCATCATTGACCTTATGGAAAAAAAAACAATCTCTATTTAGTGTCTTTTAATTTTTATGACATTTAACTTCCACCTTCTTGAATGTACGTATCTTAGTAGGAAAACTATATTGTTTTGCTTTCCTATTCAATTGGTGCAATTAAAATGGTGTCACCAGTTACAAATATAGTTAACATGAGTATGAGCAGAAGGTCAAAATAATAAATGTCACTGGATTGTATGTTGTGACAGAGGACCAGAGAGTCAACACTGGCAAGAGTGAAGGCAACAAATCTGTGCTGCAATCGTTGCTAAGCAATTTGAAACTGCTTTTCACCCTACCAACTAAGAGAAATAAAGAAGAACACGGACTAAATCGGTAGATACTTACCAAATGCCAGGACTAGTGTTGATGTGTTCCTGCAAAATACAAAAATGACATTTAGCTGTGATTGGGACTACCCCATGCTTGAGTTTGTGCTATTCCACTATCATCTGCCATGATCGCCCTGTTTGTGCATAGGACATACTGATGACTGGAGATACGATCGTGGCCACTCTGCTTCCTTCTTCGAATCTTTACTGGGTGTAATAATTTCTGCAATTCCTCATGACATAGGGCATTACACCTGATTAGTGACTTGGCTGGAAGGACAATTTAGGGGCTTTTGCTTGACCTTTCCTACCATAAGAGCCCTTAAATCCTAAGTTAGCAGAATCAACATAAATTTTATTTCAGGTGCTGAATATACCATTGCAGTTATATATTTATAACTGCAGTGAACCAGGAAAATAACCAAGCAGTTGTTTCAGGAATCCATGAGACTCATTAGGAGATTAATTTTCATCCCAGCTCTATTTATCACCTGAACCTCATGAACCCTGGTTCTAATGAGAGGCTCCTGATGGCTCCTTGAGTTCCATGGTTTCAATTGCAGCTGAGATGTACGGCTCATTATATGAAAGGCAACCTACAACACCCAAAGGTTCCCACCTCTTGATACATACATTTTGTGCAATCTCTTATCTTAAGTCTCCTTTCTTAAGCCTCTTAAATGAGCCTCTTTACTCATTTCTCATGAACAGAATACCGCAAAAGTGATGTGATTAGCTTTTGAGATTAGGTAGCAAAGAATTTGTGGCTTACATCTTAGATGCCTGCTCATACCCTCTTGCTTGGTCACTATAAAGTAATTAAGTTACCATATTTTTTAGTTGCCCTATGTAAAGGCCTGCATAAAAAGAACTTAGATAAGTTTCTGAAACAGTCAGCAAGGAACTGAATTCCACAGTACAAAAGCCCACACAACATAAAATCCTGTCAACAACTACGGGAGAAATGGTTGTGTATTTCTCTGACTGCTTGCATGGTGTTTCATTAAATATTTAACGACCAGAATTGTGCACATAGTTACAGAATGAATCATAGTTGATATTTTTATTTATATTTTGGTTATACTAACAAGTAAGACAAAAATAAAACAACAAAGATACATGTGATATCTTCTTGCACTCTTTACTAGCATTTTTGCTAAGTTTGACAATAGTTTTAAAATATTCAAATAGTTCCTCAAGTATTTTTGTGTTCTTTACAATTTAAAAAATAACAAGATACTTTAAAAATTTAATATACATTAACATTTTTTATCACTTAAATATAGACATAAGTGTAGACAGTCAACATAATAACAAATCGAGAAGTGATTTGTACCATTTGTGGTGTTCTCTCACTCTGGCTGATTTCAAGCTACCAATTTCACTGATCATAAAGTTGAAAAGTTATATTTAGTACCACAATACTTTTTAGTATTTCTGCATCACCTGAACAATAGAGATATCAATAATCTCTAAAGCTTAGATAATATCAAAATGAAATAAATTCTTAGAAAGTATAGGTTTTGAATATTAGTTTTTTTGAGGTTAATATTATTTTGATGTAGGTTTATATAATTAAACTTTTAATATTGCTTTAGTTTTACAATTGTCTCACGTAATTTCTGAAATTTTATGTTGCTGTCAATCCACAGAAGCAAGTGAACCTTCAGCCAAAATTTAGTTCCGATGTCAAGACTGATGATGTCATACATACCAAGAGGGTATGAAAAGTTTATTATACACATAATGAGGCTTTCTGGGAAGAGTAGGGCAGATTCCCAAGCAGGCGTAAAACAAGCTTAAGAGAACAGGGAAAGAAGATTGGTTTGGCTGGCTTTTTTGTTGTTACAGGCTTGGGGTAGGGTGAGAATTGCCTTACACAGTTCAAGGATTACATTGCTTGAATTTCTTTCCAATGCCAATGAAGAGAGCATCCAAAACTTTTTCTCAGCTTACCCAGATGTGGAACAGAAAAGGGTAGTTGGTGAGGCCTGAAAGCTGTCAGCAATGACACATCAAAATAATGTCAGACTCTTGAAAATCAGTTTTCATGGTCTATTATGCGCCAGCTCCAGGACACCACAGCTTGTGTATGAATTGGCAAGATTACGCAGATTGTCCAAAATCAAAGATATGTTTTGAATCTGTCCAATTATCATTAAAACTTTTGCTCTACAGGCTGAATTTCAAAGTAATTATTCAACAACCTAAAGTTCAATTAATTTTATTCCTTTTTTGCAACCAAAATTTCACAGTTTTTCTTTAAGAGTCTAAGTTTTCTATAAATACCTCAAAAATATAAAGTAGCTTTTGTGTTCTGGGGTAAGAAAATATTCTAGCAGTGTCAGCATAATGATTCAACAAAAGTTTTCAGATTCATATGGTTATTTCCATAAGCTTAGACTAGCATTTAAAAAAATAAAACAACTTCTTGGTTTGCCTTCGAAGCTATCAATTTATTTAATTGTTTTAAGCATGAAAGTTGGTTCATGTATAGTAAGTTAAAATGTAAATTAAACTTGAACCTGAAAATGCAAATATTAAACTTCTTATGTGAGATTTATTTTTAAATCATATGTTGTTGATCAAGTTCAACTTACATAAATATTATTCAAATATATTTTCCATTATATATTGATTATGGCCAACTTATTTTAACTTGATTTGCATGATACAGAAATAATATATTTAGTCAACCAAATAGTTTATTAGAGTACAGGTTGGATTAATATTATTTTTTAAAGGGCAATACATCATATTAAATACAAAAGCTTTGGATTATGGTAATTAAATTATGACAGCTACATTAATTGCAACTTATATTAATATGACATTTATTATACAGAAAAATAAAGAACAAGGAGCCACAATAAAGTAATTCACAGAAGTTGTCTTTTAATTAAGACAATATTTATTGAAATTCTAGAGAAACATAAAAAAACAGAATTTAGAGTAGTTAAAAACATGAAAGGATTTTTTCCTAGAGACCAATGTTTTAGCATGCCGTGTTTAACATCTATCTTCCCAAATTAAATTAATATAATCTTTTTGTGTGTGTGTAAGAGGGAATCTTACTCTCACACAGGCTGGAGTGCAGTGGCGTGATCTCAGTTCACTGCAATCTCTGCCTCCCAGGTTCAAGCGATCCTCCCGCCTCACCTTCCTTATTAGCTGGGACTACATGCATGTGCCACCACGTCCAGCTAATTTTTGTATTTTCAGTAGAAACAGGGTTTCACCATGTTGGCCAGGCTGGTCTTGAACTCCTGACCTAAGGTGATCTTCCCGCTTTGGCCTCCCAAAGTATTGGGATTACAGAGGTGAGCCACTGTGCCCGGCCCAGTCATTGTCTTCTAAGGTTAAGCTCAGAAAAGACTTAGAGACATGGGAGATGAGAGATTTGGGGATAAGTGAAAGCACATAAACATTCCCAATATTTAATAAATATAAAAAAATTTTTATTCTTAATTTCAGAAATGCATTTTTCTATCTTCTTCCCCTACCTCTAAAACATATGCTTATTTGACTGTTAGTAACAATATTTCCAAAAGTGTTAGCTTATTTGTTTATTTCTCTATTAAGAAATTATCTCAAACATTGCCTTCAAAATAATATCTATATTCTTAATCAACTGTATTCTAGGGTATCCTCGACATGTACTTAAATCCACTTGCTAATTGCAATCATGTTTACTTTCCCTTTGTAAATTATATTTAGATTAATTTTTTTCTATCATTGTTAACTATGAGCTAATAATATTCTGTAAGTTAATTAAAGTCATTTTATTGGTTGAATGTCATTGCAGGCCATAAATTACCAGAAATGTAATTTATATATCTCTCTCTCTCTCTCTTAAAAACAGTAGTGTTTATATGATACTACTTACACTCACAATAGCAATAATGCATACTTACGATATATCTGCTGATCATTAGTAAACAATTGGATTCATGGTCAGAAAACTAATAATTTACTTTTCATATTACTTTTCGGTATAATGCCAGAAAAAATTACACAATATTAACTAAAAATATGCATCATTATGCATGAATTCCATACATAGATAATAAATACGGAAGATTTAAGCCTTATCAAATTTGGCAACTTAATTTTTTTTTGCTTTTTATGGACGTTAGAGTACTTGAATACTTTTATGAAAATACAGGAAACATATAAAAATATTACTTTAGCAAATAGGCCCATAAATTATAATATATATAACAATTTTGTGTAACATAACCTCCAAGGATCTATAAACCAATGATATTTACCTGGAAATAATTGAGAATTATAAAAATTTAAATAAATTCTGTCACTGTTCCAAGGTTTATGCAAGAAGGGAAATCTTTATTTCTGTGGCAAATCATCTTCCTTGCTGCCAATAAAATTATCAAGTGTGAAGAGTAACTAGATTATATTTGAATATGTTAAAAATATTCAGATAGACAAAATTAAATCGTATGTTTGCATATGTCTAAATTATTGTTAAGAAATTCAGTATATAAACTCCAAAGAGTGAGAAAATTTCTCCTGTGAGACAGAAAAAAAAAATACTCTTTTGAAATTTACCTCATTTAAATTCCACTAGATTAAAGGATGGTTTTAAATCAAACATGTATAAATATGTAATCAACTCTCTTTTAACTCCCCATGTTCCTCACATATTTTCAAGTGATTTAATCAATACTTGGCTAGATGACAGATGTTAACATCAATGAACAATATGGTGTTATTAGTATCTGCAAATAGACAACAGAATAATAAAAATTCCATACTGAGTACCAATTTCTTAAATTCTAACTTTATAGTTGCTAACTTTGAAGAGGAGTTATTAAAGGTAACATTTTGTTTTAAAACTCACTATACAAAATGATTTTTTAAAATACAGCATTCATGTTTTTAAAAATGAAAATGTTTATGAGCAGTCATGATACAAAATATGGAGGATTTAATTATTCATGGGTGTAATCATATTGGTACTAAAATAATGTACCCCAACAATCTGAAATCTAATATAAATATATTGTGAATGCCTTGGCACTTCCTTAAAGTACCTAGGAAAAAGCTTCAACATGATAAACATTTTTTAGAGCTGTGTGTTGGAAATAGAGGATCCGATGTTAGCATAGTACTTTGGTTAGGAAAGTAACAACCCTGAGTATATTATTGGGGCATAAGTATATGTAAACAGTTTATTCTCTCACTTACTGTTCCTGCTGAAACAGGCACTGGAGCCCAAATAGAAAAATATTTTTTGGAAAAGATTTTCTTGTGTATGTGACCTAATTTGTAAGTATGAACTGTTCAATAAAGGACAGTATGTGATTTATTTTTCCCCTTAAGCAAACTGTCCCTTAAATTTTTATAAATCTCAAATTTCCACAAATGTAAGTTCATGTCTGAGAGCACAACCATCATTCTAAACATTGTCACAAATCAAATTTATTAAATCACATTTTTCTTTCCTACCCAATTGGAAGAACTGAAGACATGAAAAACTTGATTTTCTTTCCAGTGAACTTTGAAAGTGAAGTGGAGAGGAAAAAAAATGTTCTTGGCTCTTTTTCTGGAGTTGAAATATCTCCTATGCACAGCTTATACTCTGTCTCTCCACATGAATCTTATATTCCATCTAAACTCTTCTCTTGAAAAGTAATTTGCAACTATTTTGTCCTTAAGACACTATAATAGGTATGGAATGTTTTAAGATTTATAGTGTCTACGTGAAAGACTTAACACATCCAGAGAGTCAATATTGCCAGATACAAAGAATACTTGAGACCCAAGGACCTGACCTAACCCAACATGATCCATGGGAAAATGGAATTATTTCGTTAAACAGCCATATATAATCACTTAACATTTGGAGATAGTAATTTCTAGTATTTAAAAAATTAACTATCATTTTACTTTAAAACAATAGACTTTTATTTAATTAGATTTCTCAATATCCCTTGAAGAGAGATTTTTTTGTTTTCCTCTATTCAAATACTAAGGAATACACAATCACAGTGAGTTTGTTCTTATCGAAACTTAATTCACTTGCCTTTATGAAAGAATAATCTCACCATGTCCCTTTCTTGTAATGGGGTTTAGGACATGCTACCCCCAAAATCACACTTTGGCTTTTAGGAAAACAGCAGAGGCAGGAAGGTCATGCTCTGACCTTCTCTTGCCCTTCTCTCCTGAAGAAAGTCATAAAAGAATTCTAGGCCCTTTCCCCAGAGTAGGTCATTAAGACTTTCATTCTAGATGTACTCTTTCTATACATGGGGAGAAAGAACATCCTTATTCTCGAAGACACTATGATGCCTGTCTCTATGTCCTTCTATGCCCTCATTAAAATGACAGAACTAGGCCAGGTGTGGTGGCTCACACCTGTAATCCCAGTACTTAGGGAGGCCAAGGCGGGTGGATCACAAGATCAGGAGATGGAGACCACTCCGGCCAACATGGTGAAACCCCATCTCTACTAAAAATACAAAAATTAACTGGTCATGGTGGTGCACTCCTGTAATCCCAGCTACTTGGGAGACTGAGGCAGGAAAATCACTTGAACCCAGGAGGCAGAGGTAGCATGAGCGGAGATCGTGCCACTGCACTCCAGCCTGGGTGACAAGAGCAAACCTCCATCTCAAAAAAAAAAAAAAAATATATATATATATATATATATAAATATATATATATATATATATATAAATATATATATATATATAAAAATATATATATATATATATATCAGAACTAAATCCTTTACTGGTTAGGAAGGTTTAACTGATTTCTTGGAGAGAGAAAGATAAAATGTCTGTCTGTTGATGGTTAAAAGAGAAGCAAGTCAGCAGCAGCAAAGAATATATATGTGGGGTTTGCAACTTACAAAAAAGCATGTTAGCAATCCAGGCAAATTCTAAACTCACAGGCAGGAACGATATGGGATCGGAACAGTGGAGTTAAATGAAAGTTCATATGCACAGCAATTGCATCCCTCATTGTCCCAAATGCTCTCCCCTAATGAATCCTAATCCTTACTCAGAGTGAATTAGAATGCACAACTCATATCGCCAGAATTAAAGAAAAAATTAAAACAAGACTATTCTCTAAAGAAAGTAAAATAAATGACTCTGTGAAACTTAGAATTTCAGGGTACAATATATTGTATCAACAGACTGTTATTTCTTTCCTGTCATTCCCTCAAAATGGGTTTATTCCCTCAAAATGGATTTATTGGTCTTTCCCGAAAGGTTATAAACCTTTTCAAATAACAATTTTATATGTTTTGTTATTTTTTCTAAGCTCAAAACCTTTTCTTCTGTTTTATTTTTAAATTTTCTTCTGTTTTTTGTTATTAATCTTGTTCATTTGCTTTCTGATGTATATATTAAGCATGCATCATTTTCTAACATCAATTCTACATAGTCTAAAGACTTTATCTCTATATCCTTATTTTCTCAATGTAGAATTGCTTCTCAGATTTACCCTTTACATTGCTACATTTTCTAATGTTGCCAATTTTCTTCTATATTGTTTTTAACATTATTTTAATTTGGCCTTTTCTTTTGCTTTTATGCAATTTGTTGTCTTCTTATTCATTTCTACTTTATCTTCTTTTGTTTCCTTTTTATTTCAACCTAACCTATATTCCTTAATTTTTACTAATATTTCATGGAAATCTTCTTTACAAACTTTTCTGGCCCTAGGTTTTACAAAGTACATTTTTGAGGTTCAAATTTTCTGAATCTTGTAATACTTTATTAAATTTATCTACAATATTCGAATACTTTTTCCCTCCTTTCTTTTATACCCCTTCATCCCTTCATTCCTTGCTTCCTTTTTTTCCCCTCATTTTCTTCCTTTCTTCCCTCCTTCCTTTTTACTTTAATTTGCCCTAACATGAAAATGCTCTGTATTGATCAGGGTGTTAAGGAACAAAGGAGTGCAGGTTATTCTTGGTCCTTAGTAGTAGATCAATTACTTCCTTGATTCCTGTAGCAAGAGATCAGTGATTGCACCACATTTTGTCAAATTTGTATGTGATATATTCACATATGATCACATCTTGAGATGTGCTTGAGATGAAGCACGTACAGATTAGTACCCCCAAAGCCCTCTGCTAACAGGACCATTTACGTCAATATCCAGAGCTTATGGTCATTACATACCTCAGGATGTAGCCTCAACTATCAAAAACCTTTTACTCTCTGCCCAGTGGTTTTCTGAAAACCTTAATAATAGCATGAATTATTTGTTGGTAAAGACACTGGCTGAATGAGAAAAAGTAAAGCATGGTATTAGTCTTTTCTCCTGTTGCTATAAAGAATTACCTGAGACCGGATAATTTATAAAGAAAAGAGGTTTAATTGGCTCACAGTTCCACACGACCTACAGGAAGCAAGGCTGGGGAAGCCTCAGGAAACTTTCAATCATGGAGGAAGGTGAAGGGGAAGCAAGAACATCTTAGATGGCAAGAGCAGGAGGAAGAGACAGAAGGGGAAGGTGCTACACACTTTTAAACAACCAGATCTCATGATAACTCACGCACTCTCAGAACAGCAAGGGGACCTCCCACCAGGCCCCTTCTCTAACTTTGGAGATTACAATTCAACATGAGATTGGGGTGGGGACACAGATCCAAACCATATCAAGCATGATGAAGGATAAATGGTCTACCTCTCTACAGGCAGATGATCAAGAATAGACCAATAGTCATGTTTATTAATTTCATCAGTTTGTGCAGGTCTTAAAATTTCATGTGAGTTTAAACATTTGCTGTTAGAATGTTTTAATAGTTTGCATGAGTATTTTCTTGTAAGATGTAAACAAATCTATACCAAGAGTTTGTTGTTAAGTGCTATTTTAAAACAGATTCTTTGAATATAATTTTAATTGGGAAATGCATCTGCCAAAATAACCAAATATTTAAACCCTTTAGCTAACACATTATCTTCTTAAGCTAATGTATGTTGCAATCTAAACAAAAATTTAGAACATTGCTTAATGGTGAGAATTTTGGAACTCTTGACACATTATTCCCTCCAAACCCATACAATAAGAGACTTGAACAAACTTCAGCGCAGTTTCTAACAGCTTAAAGTCATATACTCAAGATTACCTTAGTCCCCTTTTAAATGCTTGGCTAATACAGTGTTGTGTTGCCAAGATAATTTACTTTTTGTTTCAGCCAAAACCTGGTGATAGGCAGATAGGTTCCCAAACTCCTCTTCAGAGTAGTTTCTTTAGTAACTTTGCAATTATAAGTCCTTTGCCTTTTAAGATGCAAATCTACCACCCAGAACTGCTTCCTCCATGGCCTGTGAACTTATTTGAAATGCAAACATTTAGAGAGAAAACTCTCCTTCTCCAGTTCCTGTGGGAGAATAGGGTCTAACTTCAGTGGGGTCCATGCTCACTCTTGCACCACGGCCTCATGGGATAAAAATAGAGAAGTTTGTTCTTCCTCTGACAAGCACCATTTAGCAAACCCAAAGGACCTATTCACATGTCCAACAAACCCCCCTGCTATCTCTAGTTCTTTTCCCCAAGTACACTCCAACCTTTAAAAATTATCCTGCCTATAGTTATGGTAAATTTGAATTCACTTCATTCTGGATTCCCTTTCTTATTAGAATGGGTATCACTAAATAAAATCTGTCCCTAAGGATTTAACTACTGTCCAGCTTTGTTTATCATTGACAGTGAACATGAATTTAATTATAACCAAGTAAGTTTTCTTGGTAAAGTGACTCACTTATAGGTATATATCTGTATATATCTCATGAAAAAAGGTCAAGAGGCAGGAGGACTGATATTTTGTCTGTTTCTCCTTTACTTAAGAACTATATTAATGACTTTCCTTACCCAAAACTTTTCCTTATATATGTTAATGTTTGCTCATCTCATTTTCAGAAATGCAAATAAAGCTTAACTTCTATTTAGGGGACACAAACCGAAATATCTTCTTCACCCAAGAACCATGAATTTATAATTTAGTACTTAGGTTGAAAAATTAAAGATAGATTGACTCACTTTCTTGTGATTTACTTAATTCAATTATCAGAGTTCTAAGTTATACCAGTATGTTCTCTTTGATTCACTGTTAGTGATTTGAACATCTGAATGATAGAAGTTGAAATATTAAGTGTAATTTACCTTGTTTCTTCTTTATCCTTAATACAGCCAAAAAACTGTGTTGCACAACTTTATACATTTGTCAACCTAAAGGAAGAAACTGAGGCAAAATTAATACAAGTATAGAGTTTATTTGGGACATGCTTGAGGAATGTTACCTGGGAGAATAGATTCAAATTGCCCAGAATATAATGATACACTCCAATTAGCAACAGTTACAAGTAGATTTTTTTTTCTTTTTCTTTTCTTTCTTTCTTTCTTTCTTTCTTTCTTTCTTTCTTTCTTTCTTTCTTTCTTTCTTTCTTTCTTTCTTTCTTTCTTTCTCTTTCTCTCTCTCTCTTTTCTTTTTCTTTTTTGAGACAAGGTCACATTCTGTCATCCAGGCTGGAGTGCAGTGGTACAATCATAGCTCACTGCAGCCTTGAACTCCTGGGATCAGGCAATTCTCCCACATCAGCCTCCCAAGTAGCTGAGATTATAGGTGTGCAACACAACACTCAGCTAATTAAAAAAAAAAAAAATTAAAAACTGATTCTTGTTATGTTGAACAAGTTTGTCTTGAACTCCGAGGATCTGGCAATCCTTCCAGGCAGGTTTTTAAAGTGAAAGAAGAGGCAGTTTGTAAGTTGTTATATTAAACTAACATAACCTATTGATTGGCTCTACATTGTTCTTTGTATTACACATTCCAGGAGTATGAAGTTAATGGGTGAGGCAGCTAGTCAGTAACAAAATGATTTAAACTGTAGCAGGACGAGCCGCAGACAAAACCTCTCAGACACCGAGTTGTAGAAGGAAGGGCTTTATTCAGCTGGGAGCATCAGCAAGCTACTGCCTTAAAATCTGAGCTCCCTGAGTGCAAAATTTCTGTCCATTTTAAGGGCTCACAACACTAAAGATTTCACATGAAAGGGTCGTGATTGATTTGAGCAAGCAGGGGGTACATGACAGGGGCTGCATGCACTGGTGGTCAGAGAGAAACAGAACAGGGCAGGGAGTTTCACAAAGTTCTTCTATACAATGTCTGGAATCTATGAATAACATCAGTTTATAAGTTATAAGTTGATTTTTAACTACTGGGTTTAGGCCAGGCAGGCCCAGGCCTGGTTTCGGGCCTGGCGCCGGGCTGTCTGTCTTTGGTTTTACTTCTTTGTTGTTTTTTGTTAAAACAGGTACTGTATATAAAACAATATAAAATAACATGAGAGAGTCTTTCTCTTCCTTCAAAACAATTGCCCTAGACGTGGGTGCAGGAGGAGTGTGGCATGACTGAAGTCCCGTACTTATCTTTCTGGGCCTGCATGCTTCAAAGAGCTCAGAATGCTTGTGATACAGTTTTTCTTTCTCATTTCCCCCCTGTTGATCAAAAATCTCCCCATGAAAACATTGAGGATCCATTTCTGCATAGTCCTACATTCCTTGGCACTTGGAAGGCTCATTCTAAGATAGTTGTCAGTAAAGTCACTGATTCATGTAACTGCTATCACTTGTTGAATCATCACTTATCTTCAGAATTTCATGCTTTTCATTATCTGAGAGGGAAAACAATGAGGGATATATTGCATCTATTACACTAGAGATTTAGTCAAGATTTTAGCAAAATAATAAAAACTCAAAAACAATGGTCAGGGCTGGAAATCTAATAATAGATGCTATAATTTTCTTCTGAAACAATTTTTCTCTCTCCAGTTCCCCATTTCTACCAAAGATAAACCTTAGTAGCACAAATTACTTGCAAAATAAGTTTTAGTTATATACTTGGCCTGATTATTCATATGACGTTCAACAGGAATTTTTACTGACCATATAGACTCTTTTAAGTTAGCTTTGATGGAATTTTCATATGGAATTTTGGATTAGACTTTTAAAAGCCTCAAGGCTGGTAAGTGACAGTCACTATTAGACTGTACCTATGATACTTGAACAAATTGGGTGAATTCTTCTCTTCTCAATCTCCCCCAAATATTTTAGGTCCCTTTGCCTGTTCAAAAGTAACGTTCTTTACTTCCTACAAGGTCACAAACCTTGAAAGGGATGTGTACAGACAAGATACCAGGCGAGTCTTTCCAAGAGACTTTTTATTTGCTCTATAAAGTCAACCTCAATTCCTCAAAGCAGGCTGCTCGTATTGGAAAATGTGTCATTCAAGTCAAAGCCTTGGTAAAATAGCCAGTGTTTCCAATTTTGTCCTGTTCTTACAGAACTCATGTTTGCCATAAAATAAGATACTCATGAATAGTTTCCAAATTTTGGAGAAATCAGAGAGAAATGCAAATATTTTAATTTTGCTCACATGGGTATATTTTACACAATTTCTATATGCTATAAAGAGCTCAAAAAGTTTTCTTTAGAAAACAAAATGTTCAAAGACTCAGTAATGTTTCAAACAAAAAGTCAAAAATATTATTTCAGTTGTTTATCATCTCAGTTTGATGTAATTAATTGTTGTTTTGCTTGATGTTAGGTTAGCAATCTTCATGAACACATAAAGTTTAGTAGAGTTTGGAAAGTTTTGACTTAGTCCGATAATGTAACCTCCAAAGTCATCAGAAACCTCTATTCAAGAGTACTTGTCGTCTGGGAGCGGTGGCTCACGCCTGTAATCCCAGCACTTTGGGAGGCCAAGGTGAGTGAATCACATGAGGTCAGTAGTTTGAGACCAGACTGACTAACATGGAGAAACCTCGTCTCTACTAAAAATAAAAAATTAGCTGGGCGTAGTGGCACATGCCTGTAATCCCAGCTACTCAGGATGCTGAGGCAGGAGAATCGTTTGAACCTGGGAGGTGGAGGTTGCAGTGAGATGAGATCACACCATTGCACTCCAGCCTGGGCGATAGAGTGAGACTCCATCTAAAAAACAAACAAAAAAAAAAGAGTAATTATTTCTCAGGATACTTTCCCATGAATATCCTTGAAGTAAAAGCAAATTTTGGACTGTAGCCAATTATAAACCAATTTTTGAGAAGTCTCAAAGTAAAACAATAATTATCTGTGAAATAGAAGGCTTAGGGGACAATGTTAAAAATGCAAATGACAAGAAAATTTGGTTATTTCTATATTCATACAACAGCCAAAAATAATAATCATAATTATTACTGATAAGTCATATTAAGACATATGAGAATTTTAGGAATCTGATGCTATTTTGGAATCCATATTAATAACACATTTATACAAATATAATTCAAAAAAGTTAAACACCATTTCTTTTTTTTTTTTATTATTATACTTCAAGTTTTAGGGTACATGTGCACAATGTGCAGGTTAGTTACCTATGTATACATGTGACATGCTGGTGCACTGCACCCACTAACTCGTCATCTAGCATTAGGTATATCTCCCAATGCTATCCCTGCCCGCTTCCCCTACCCCACAACAGTCCCCAGAGTGTGATGTTCCCCCTCCTGTGTCCATGTGTTCCCATTGTTCAATTCCCACCTATGAGTGAGAATATGCGGTGTTTAAACACCATTTCTTCTTTGATGATAAGCTCCTCTATGTTTTTAACATAACAAATAAGGAAAGTATCTCAAATATTATATTAAAGTTTCTTTTTTTCTTTTTTCCTATTTTTTTCTCTCTTTTTTTTTTTTTTTAATTGTAGTTGAGTTCTCCCTCTGTTGCCCAGCTAGTCTCAAACTCTTCAGCTCAAGCAATCATCCCACCTCAGCCTCTTAAAGTATCGGAATTACAGGTGTGTGTCACTGTGCCCAGACCAAATTTTAAAGTTTTAAAATACTTAATCAATATAGTATTACGTATTACTGTAAAATAATCATCAATGATTCAGACAAAATGATAATTTAAAGATTTCAGAAAGCAAATCTTTTACTCTTTGGTAGAGAGGAAAGTCAGCTATCCACGTAATCAAACAACCTGATAAAGACAACATGAGACTAACAGAATCTGTCTTCCCTCTTTTATTTTTATTTTTTGCAGATTACTCAAAAGGTGAACTCAAGTCTTTTATTATGTCTTATTAACATGATATGAAAATCTTGTTTAAAAGAGAAAACCAAAATTAATCTTTTCATCAGTATATTGTTAATGATAAAGCTAATTTGAATAAAACCTTACAAACAAATCAATCTAATCTTGAACAGTTTTGACCACAGACGATAAGATTTCCATAAGTTTTTCAAAATCTCTAACATTTTCTATTAAAGAGCAGATCAATGCTTTTAGAAAATTCTGTGATTCCTACACAGGGATCCAGACTCTGGACTGGCATCAGTGTCCCTTGATATTGATGCTCAATTTTAGAGAAACTAATCTCATTTTACCCAACTTGATCACACACAAGATTTCTTTCACACGATTAATCTTCCACAAACCTTCTTCAACTTACTCAGACCTTTAGTTTTGTCCTATAATCCTTTTTTTATATTGGCACTCTACCTTAGGGCAAAAATTTAGTTTCTTTTCCTCCTTATCCTTTTGACAACACAAAGTTCCTTGTCATGCAAAAGAAAAAAAAAATTGCTCTCTTTTCACCTTTCTTTAGATCTTACTTTCTTTATAGCTCTGCATATAACATTATTTCTCTTATACTGGTTTTTATTACATACATTAACTACAACTTTAACTCTTAGTAACCCTAATTTTTAGTGAAAAAAACTAGGAAGTAAGTGATTTTGAATGGTTTTATACCAGTATTTATAGGTAAAAAATTGCATAATTTTTAAAAATATGTTTTCTCAATTTTTGTTTATGAACAGATCTAAATTTTTATCTAGCTTTTTTTATACCATATACAACATGTCTCAATATATTAAAAAAATCACAATTTTATCAAGCATCTTCTTAGACTGAAGCAGAATAAAATTAGAAATAAATACTGACAAGAACTGGTGAAACTCCACAAGTACATGGAAACTAAACAGCCTTATTTTAAATGATTCTTGGGTAAACAACAAAATTAAGGGAGAAAAAGTATAATAATAATAAAAAAAAACTTTTTAAGCAATTGAATGTGAAACATAACATACCAAAATCTGGGGGTTACAGCAAAAGCAATGCTAAGAGGGAAGTTATAGCATTAAATGCCTACATTAAAAAAGGAGAAAGATCACAAATTAACAACCTAATGTTGCACCTCAAGGAAATATAAACAAAAGAACTATGAAAAAAAAAAAAAAGAATAAACCACACCCAAAGCTAGCAGAAGAAAAGAAATAGCAAAAATCAGAGCAGAATTTGATGAGACTGAGACCAAAAAAAAAGATACAAAGAATCAATGAAATAAAAATGTGCTTTGTGGAAAGGATAAACAAAATTGATAGACTCCTACCTAGTTTAACTAAGAAAAAAGAGAGACAATTCAAATAAGCACAATCAGCAATGATAAAGGTGACATTATAGCTGATACCACAGAAAGACAAAAGATCCTCATAAGTTACTACGACCATCTCTATGTGCACAAACTAGAAAATGTAGAGGAAATGGTTAAGTTCTTAGAAACATACAACTTGCAAGATTGAAACAGGAAGAAATAGAAAATCCTGAGCAGACCAATCATAAGTAATGAAAGTGAATCAGTAACAGAAAATCTTTCAGCAAAATAAGTCCAAGACAAGAGAGATTCACAATTGAATTTTATCAAACCTACAGATTAAAGCTGGTACCAATCTTATTGACATTATTGGAAGAAATTGAGAAGGACTGATTTCTCCCTAACTCATTCTATGAAGCCAGTATCACCCTGATATCAAAATCAGGCAAGGACACAACAACAACAACAGTTTGGGCCTGTATTGCTAATGAACTAAGATGCAAAAATCCTCAGCAAAATGCTAGCAAACTAAATCCAACTTTGCATCCCAAAGATAATTTGCCATGATCAATGGACTTTATTCTAGGCATGCAAAGAATGGTTGAACATTTAAAATCAATAACTATAATTCAATATATAAGAAGAATTAAAAATGAAAAAATATGATCATTTTAATAGATCCAAAAAAAGCACTTGATAAAATCCAACATCCCTTTATGATAAAACTCTCAAAAAAATAGGCATCAAAGGATCATAACTGAAAATAATGAGAACCATGTAACAAAAACCCATAGCCAATATTGTACAGAATGGTAAAAAGTTGAAAGCATTCCCTCTAAGAACTGGGACAAAACAGGGATGTCTACTGTCACCACTCCTATTCAACATAATACTGGAAGTCCTAAGAGAGCAATCAGGCAAGAGAAATAAAGGGCATCCAAATAGAAAAAGAAGAAATCAAAATATCTATCTTTGCTGACAATCCTAAAGATTCTGCCAAAAGGCTCCTAGAATTAATAAATGACTTCAGCAAAATTTTAGGATACAAAATCAATGTACAAAAGTCAGTAGCATTTTTAGACATCAACAAAATTCAGGCTGATAGTGAAATCAAGAACACAATCCCACTCACAATAGCCAATTTTTTTTTTAAATACCTGGGAATACATTTAACCAAGGAGATGAAATGTCTTTAGGAGGAAAACCACAAAACACTGGTGAAAGAAAGTATGGATGACAGAAACAAATAGAAAAACTGTCCATGTTCATAGACTGGAAGAATGAATATCATTCAAGTGACCATACTCCACAAAGCAATCTCAAGATTCAACAAAATTCCTATCAAATCACTAATATCATTCATCACAGAATTAGAAAAAAACACTACTAAAGATCATATGAAATCAAAAAAGAGCCCGAATAGCCAAAGCAATCCCAAGCAAAAAGACAAAGTAGAAGGCACCACATTACCTGACTTCAGATTATACTACAAGACTACTATGGCTAAAACAACATGGTGCTAATACAAAAATAGACACACAGAATAATGGAACAGAATAGAGAATCTAGAAATAAAGCCACATACCTACCACCAACCAATCATTAGCAAAGTCAACAAAATTTAACAATGGGAAAGAACACCCTATTTAATAAACAGTGCTGGATAATTAGCTAGCCATAGGCAGAAGAATGAAACTGGACCCCTATCTCTCCCCACATACAAAAATTAACTCAAGACAGATTAAATAAAATATAATATCTGAAACTATAAAGTCTTAGATAAAAACCTAGTAAAAACTCTTCTGGACATTGGCTAAGGCAAGTAATTTATGACTAACACTCCCAAAACCAATACAACAAACAAAAAATAGACAAATGACACTTAATTAAACTGAAAGACTCTACATAGCTAAAGAAAAAAACAGAGTAAAGATACAATCTACAGAATGGGAGAAGATTATGCCAATTGTGTCTCCAAAAAAAAAAGACTAATATCTAGAATCTACAAAGAACTGAAACAAAACTCAACAAGAAAAAATCGGATAACTCCATTAAAAAGTAGGCAAAGGACATGAAAAGATATTTCTCAAAAGAAAACAAACAAATGACCAACAAACATGAAAAACTGTTCAAAATCACTAATCGCCAGAGAAATGAAAATTAAAAACCACAAGGAGATATCATTCTATACCAGTTAGAATGACTACCATCAAAAAGTCAAAAACAACAATGTTGGCATGGAATTAGAAAAAAAGGAATTCTTATACATTCTTCTTGGGACTGTAAATTAGCAAAAACTGTATGGACACCAGTATAGATATTCCTCAAAAAACTAAAAATGGAGCTACCATTCAACCTAGCAATCTCATTACTGGGCATCTACCCAAAGGAAAGGATATCATTATATTAAAAAGATACCTGCACTCATATGTTTATTACAGCATTATTCACAATAGCAAAATCATGGAGTCAACCTCAGTGTTCATCACCTGTGGACTGAATAAAGAAAATGTGGTATATAACCACCATGGAATACAATGCACCTGCAAAAAGAATGAAATTATGTCCTCTGCAGTAACATGAATGGAGCTGTAAGTCTTTATCATAGGTGAAATAATTCAGAAACAGGAAGTCAAATACCACATGTTTTTACCAATAAGTGGGAGATAAACATAAACAATGGGTACACATGGACTTAAGGATGGAAATAATAGACACTGGGGACTTGAAAAGGAAGCAGGCTGGGAGGGAGGGTGAGTGTTTAAAAATTACCTATTGGTTACCATGTTCACTATTTAGGTGATGGGTATACTAGAAGCTCTAATCTCACCATTACACAATTTATCTGTATGAGATATCTGCATATGTACCTCCTAAATCTAAAATTTTTAAACAAAGGAAAAGAAAATAAGAGAAGAGCTGCCTACCCTATACTTCCCAAAAAAAGACCTGTAAAGGGGACCTAGGGCATGGGGGAGGGAGTGTTACTTGAGAAACACTTTCTGCAATGTCAAATGAGGAAAATTAGAAACCTGAAAGAAAGGTTCTGGAAGCAGCATGTGCCATGAAGAGGAAACCCCACCCTTTGCCTTTTCAAGTTTCTGAGTTCTTTTCAAGTGATTGGTAATTCATCCATTATTAGAACATTGTGCAAGCTCAGAGAAACATCTTTGTGAAGAACTTTTAATGGTGTCAAAAAATAGTAAATGCAGTATGAAGCAAAAAAAGAAAGCTCAGAAGAGGCATTTTCTAAACTGTTTACCAGAATTTACATTAAAGTAACAAATTATTAACTTGCTAAACATTTGTTTCTTTTATCATAAATTGTAGGAACATGGAGATAATTGATGAGGCTGCTGGTCAGGAACAAAATGACATTAAACAATTGCCCTCAGGCATGAAGGGGGATGAATGACGTCTCATACTTGTGTGTCTCTGGGCCTGCACATCTCACAGAGCTCAGACTTCTCGGAGTTATTTCTCTTGTCAACAAAAACAATGGAATAGCTGTCTGCCTCAAAATCAATTGATCAGACACATGCACACACACATACACAAACATACACACACAACTTTTCTTTTCCTCCCCTTTTTTATTGTATGTCAAGTTTATTAAAATGTTACTGTTTGAAAGGTATTTCCTTAGTTATTACAGTTATTCATCTTAAAAATATAATGCTTGTATTAAAAAGAACTCATCTAATGCAAGAGCTAAATGTGGGAAAAGCATTTGTGAAATAGAAAGGTAATCAGAAATAGAAAAAAGGTATATAACAAAATGTGATGAAAACAAGTTTTCACTTTTTCTTAGGGTGGGATACAGGGATAGAGGATGGGAAGAAATTGTATCTTCTCATGTAAGTCTCAACTATTATTAAAATAATTGTTATGTTGTTATAAAAAGAAATGTTACATAGCCTAAAAGGTATTAAACAAAGAAATGGGCAAGTTCTCTATTGATTCTATATCTTAAATTGCAATAAAAATGTTCAAAGAAACTATCTTTTAAGTCACAATTTTAATGTTTGTAAAGAACACACCCATAAATATAAAAATTATATTCTGTTATGAGCAAATGGGAAACATTTTATCACCATTTTTAGGAAATGGCTTTTTTTAAATTATATACGAACTAACTATATTTGTATCTAGTTCCAGGTATATGAGAAAAGGATATGGAGAAAAATTATTACTATACTTTTTTACTGTTATTTTATATTCTTTATTAGATGAGTTTATAGAAATGTACTTGGGAATTACCTAACTTCTCCAGTTGAGAGTAGCTGAAAATTCTAATTTTTGAAGTTTTATAAGGCATTAAGTAAAGAAATCAGATATAATACTATAGTACTAATTCAAATAAATCACAGCTTCATTTAGAATTTTATTCCTTTTAGTATTTTAATGGTTTTATTACAATATTTTGAACATGTACAGTTGATAATTTTCCTTCTGTTCCTTATAATTAATAGTAAATAATGGAGAAACTCATAATCTTTAATGTTTACTCACTTTGGTCAACTTTATTAGCATATTTGGTATTTTCATCATTTTATTGTGTGTTATAAAAATGTATTAATAAATTATATGAATTGGTTTCCAGTAAGAAATCTGTATATCAATAATAACAAAGAAGTATATAATAACAACAAAGATAAACAAAAATAACATGCATTTGTATTTTAAAAATGTATACCAATGCTAAAACAACTCTTTTTTTCATTCTTTCTAACACACACTCCAATAAAAAACCTGAGTGCTTAATGCTATATGTACTCATGAAATATTTTTTTAAAGTTACTTTCAAGAATGTCTTTTGCCCACCATGTTTTTCAACTGGCTTAAGTCACTATTCAACAAATATAGACTGCTTGGGAAGAGATACACATAATGGGTAACAGTCATGATTGGAGTCTTGTTATTGTAGGAATGATAAGGCTGTGGAAGAAAGCTATATCTAGGGGCTAAAGCTATAAAAAAGGACCAAGTATTATTTTTGTCTTTAGAGGCGAGTTTCTGTTCTAGCACAGGCTGTGGAAATGTAGTATTAGGAGTTAAAACCGAACTCTGAAATATTATGCTGGCTCAAGTCATAAAAGTTATTTTAGCATAGCTTATGTAATTAGGTCTCAGTTTAATTAATGTCAATGCAGAAAAAGAAAAAAAAATAGCTACATTTATTTCAACCTCACCTAAATGATTCAGAGGAATTTAACCTTCAAAATGATTGATTGTGCCCTAGTTTTAAAGAAGAGTGGATGGCTGAAGATGCTTTTTAAGTAAAATTATCTAGTCTAAAGCTCTCCAATGTAGCTGCAAGCTGCAATGGAGAAAGCTAGGTAAATCTCTGGAGAGGATGGATTAAAATGTTTTTAAAACTTAAAAATCTTGCATTTTAAGAATAATACCAAAAGAAGCTGCCATTTGTGGGGTCAGGCAGGTGAGTGTCATGACTCAGTTTGATGTCCAGCATCTAGAGAAGATTTTAAGCATGTCAACGTGTCTTCTACTAGAGGAAACCACACCGGAAATATAAATATCACTGAGTAAAGTCAATTTGCCTAGACACTCTCTGGATGGCTCCTGAAAATTATTGTTTTTTAGGGCAAACTCCCTTGGCATCCTTTTGGTCTTTCCATTTTAGACCGTGAAGAATACATGGGATTTAGAATTTAACTTTTTATCATTGCCTAGTATGGCATTTTTTCTTTCTCAGAGGACACAACAGTCCCTTAAAAAAGGTGAGTGAAATAGGATTTGCTGTGGTTTTTATATGGTCTGATTGTTCCCAGTATAAGCCATGTTGAAATTCCATCCCCAATGTGGCAGTGTTGGGAGGTGAGGCCTAGAGGAAGGTGTTTGAGTCATGAAGGTGGATCCCTCATGAATGGCTTGGTGCTGATCCTGTGGAGCAAGTGAGTCCTAAATCTCACAAGAAAAGATTGGTTCTCACAAAAATGGATTATTTCATTTGACAGCAGGTTGTTATAAAGTGAGGTTCCTCCTGTTCTGTTTGGTTATCTCACTTCACACTGGTCAGCTTCCCCTTTGACCTTTCTTGCTATGTTATGACACAGCAGGAGAGCCTTCTCCAGAAGCCAGAGCCATGCTCTTGATCTTTTCAACCAGCAGAACAGTAGGCTAAAAATCCTTTTTTCTTTATAAATTACCTAGTTGCAGGTTTTCTGCTGGAGCAACACAAAAAAGACTAAGACAATAAGAAAATGTACTCTTTTTTTTTTCTCTCTCTCTGCTTTAGAAAATAATACAACATTTTGGCCAAGCACAGTGGCTCACGCCTGTAATCCCAGCCCTTTGGGAGCCTGAGGCGGGTGGATCACGAGGTCAGGAGATCGAGACCATCCTGGCCAACATGTGAAACTCGTCTCTACTAAAAATACAAAAAAAAAAAAATTAGCCGGGCGTGATGGCTTGCGCCTGTAGTCCCAGCTACTCAGGAGGCTAAGGCTGGAGAATCACTTCAAACCGGAAGGCAGAGGTTGCAGTGAGCCAAGATCTCGCCATTGCACTCCAACCTAGGCAACAGAGTGAGACTCTGCCTCAAAAAAAAAAAAAGAAAAAAAAAAGAAAATAATACAACATTTTTACTACCTTCATGAAAGCAGAAAATCATCAAAGGATTGCAAAGAGGATAGCAGGTATGTTGCATGTGAAATAAAGAATTGGATGAGGTGGCTAGATTAGACTAGAACCCCAAAGAGACTAAGTCTTTTCTCCTGCCTGACTCTCAGGCTTTAAATCCAAGATTCAGAAGAAAGAATGTTACTCAGGAAACATATGCTGTCAGGAAAGTTTGAGACCTGCTGCTGTCTATCTTGATGCTTTTACTATAGAGCCAGCCTCAGCCACAATATATCCTCCAGTGGCCATTCATCTTAGCTCAGGGCACCCCATCCTCCATCACCAAAGGACCTGATTCAGAACAGATCCCCTGTCTATGCTTTGCAAATTAAAATAACACATTGTTTGTTCCAATATTTTCAAAGCTCTTGGTTAGCAGATATTGTCTGTGACCTTTTAAGACTTTGATATTCCTCTCAGAGGTATAAATTTATTTTCTCTGAGCTGTAAATTTATTTTCAGATGTTGCAAAGTAACAACAATATATCAAAACAATACCTGTCTGTAAAATAAAAAAAAAAAATAGGACAGACAGAAGTGAACAAAATAAAACAAAACAAACACATTAAAAATCCCCACAAAATCCACCAGTTCTTGAAGACAGATCCATTGTCTACATAAAATTGATCATAGACTTAAGTCATTTTCCTGATAATTGGAACAGATGTACCCATGATCAGTCTAAAAGGAGGGTCAGAAAGACCTGGACCAAGAGGTACAGGATGTACGAGTGCAATTCTATTATCATCCCTCCTCTCTTGTGCCTCCTTCACATTTTATCAAATTTTCTTACAGTTCGATGATTGCCCTTCTGTTAAATAAACTTGAAATAGAGTTTAGCCTTTATAGGTATTTAAAATTCATCTTGATTTTATTTCATGATAAGTTAAGGTTAACTTATACCTTAAAATGGAAATCAATAATGACAGCAATAGTAAGATTTTAAACAAAGGTCACACATAACTATACAGTTAAAATTATGACTATATCAACTGGTTTTGAGTATGCATAAATCATTCATACCACAGAATTAACCACGCATGTATGGAAGAGCATGTTTTATTAAAACACCTAATTATTTAATGTTTTAAATAAAACAGTTTCATTGTCACATTTTACAGATCCTAAATCTGATTGCCATTATTGCAGTTTGCAGATAATAGCAGTAACTGACAAAGCTAAAAATCAGAAGTCAGCTGTCATAGACTAATTTGATGACAATGTAGAGAAAAATATGCTCAGATGGAATGTAGATCAATGTACATAAATATGATTTTGTACACAAAATAAAGTGTTTTGAAGATTATCTTTGTGTATATATTAGTGTTCCTGTATAATCAAACATATTTAGTGTACTAGAAAGTACATACAGCAAGTCTTAAGTCTTAAGGATTAGTAGAGAAAAAGAAAAGTACACCTTGGTGTTAATTTTTTTTTTTCTCTTGAGACAGAGTTTCACTCTGTTGCCTAGGCTGGAGTGCAGTGGTGTGATCTTGGCTCACTGCATCCTCCGCCTCCTGGTTTTAAGTGACTCTCCTGCCTCCCCTCTGGAGTAGCTGGAACTACAGGTGTGCATCACCATGCCTGGCTAATTTTTGTATTTTTGGTAGACATGGGGTTTCACTATATTGGCCAGGCACAATTTTTTAGTATATAAATTTTGCGAGTTCAAACTACCATTTTAACAGTGTTTTCAAGACTTCAGTGAAAATTGAAAGAAAAGTTTTTATATTTCAAGATGAATTTAATTATAAAATCGAGTTACTTCCATACAACCTTTAATTGGAAGTGATTTCCAATGTAACGACATGATAAAAAGCCAATATTAGAACAACAACCTAATAGAAGTCTATAAATATGCTCAATTAAAAGCATATGCTTCTTGATTGATACCAACATTTGACAGTAGTTATCTCTATGAGGAGAGATTTTCATAGAAAAAATAAAAGAAAAAATCTCATCACAGATCACTTCCAATGGATTTTGATGATATGGAACACAAATTTTGAGTTTCAATGAAGCAAAAAGAAAGAAAGAATGTACTAAGCCATTCTTGCATTGCTATAAGTATATATCTGAGACTGGGTAATTTATAAAGAAAAGATATTTAATTGGCTCCCAGTTCTTCAGGCTGTCTGGGAAGCATGATGCTGGCATCTTCTTGGCTTCTAGGGAGGCCTCAGGGAACTTATACTCATGGCAGAAGGCAATCCTGTGGGGACAAGCACTTCACTTGGTGAAAGCAGGGGCAAGAGAGACAGAGAAAGTGCCAAACCCTTTTAAACCACCAGATCTTGCAAGAACTCACTCACTATCGTGAGGACAGCACCAAGAGGATGGTGTTAAAATACTCATGAGAAATCTGCCCCCATGATCCAATTACCTCCCACCAGACTCCACCTTCAACACTTGGAATTACATTTTAATGTGAGATTTGGGCGGAGACACATAGCCAAACTATATCAGAAAGGAAGGAAGAAGGAAGAAAAGAATCTCATCATTCTCATCAGTAGATAAGTATTACAAAAAAATTTATTCAATAGTTCATAGGAACTCATTTTCTCTCTTATATAAAAGGGTATACATGAAATCTTCAAATTTTTTCTCTTGGTCTTCAAAATCTCAACTATCTACTATCTTGTCTTTTGTAGAAAACAGTTCTGATTCTAATTTCTGTACAATTAAAATATAATTTATATTTTTTCTAAAGAATCAAAATATTACAGTTCACAATTACAACAATTTATTTTTCTGGAAACTAATAAAGATACTGTTTTACAGTACAGGCAAATATTCCAAAAAATTTGTCAGGAACATTAAAAACTTTGTCTTACATCAAGTTCTAATATATGCTTGTCTGCCTCTGTTCTTCCTAATCTATCTCCATTTTTATGTCTTTATATACATATATATATAACATATATAGTATTATAAATATTACATAATTAATTTCTTAGATATAAAGCAGTCATACATATATGTACATAGGCATGAATATATAGGTATATATATCATACATACTAATAAAGATATAGGCAGGTGAGAAATAAGCATATGACTACATATGAATGTATGTCTGGGTGTATATATATGTATCTTTTCATATATATGTTTATATATACACAAATATATGAAGAGAAAGAGAGAGATTACTTTTAATTCTGGTTTTAATTTTCTAATTTTTATTTTTAAGATAGATTTTGGCATCCATATTTTATGCTTACTTGTGAAGTTGACATAAAATTATATTTCCTTTTCCTATCTATATTTAATGTTGATACATAAGTAAAATTATATTTTTAATACATTCTTGTGAGAATTCTATCTTTCTCAATTTTCTGGAAGAGATTGTTTGATGTAGGAATGAACAATTTCATAAATATTGTGTAGGAATCCTATGTAAAATTCTCTAAGCTTGATATTCTTTTTGTAATTAAGTACAAAAGAAAATAGAGTTCTATTAAAGATTGACCTTCACATCAGATATTCTCTTTATGTTTTAAAATGTTTTTTATAAATAAAAATTGCACAAATCATTAATGTACACCTCAGTAAATTTGTGAGAAGTGAACATTTATAAAACAGCCATACCCAAGCCATGAATCAGTACCTTGAAACTCTTTGTACTCCCTCTCAATCATTACACTTCTTATTATTTCCAAAGGTCTTATTTGTGCTGCTGTCCCAAAATACTTGAAACCTGGTAATTTATAAACAACAGAAAATTATTTCTCACAGTTCTTGGGACTAGAATGTCCCAGATTAAGGTGCTGGCTGGTGAGGAGCCAGTCTCTCTGCTTCCAGAAGATGCCTTTTTGCTGCATCCTGCACAGGGCAGGAAAGCTGTGTCCTCACATGGCAGAAGGGTTTGAAAGGCAAGAGACAGCTCCCTTCAATCTCAAGCACTTCCATAAGAGTTTTAATCCCATTCATGAGAGCAGAGCCCTCAAGATTTAGTCACCTCCCAAGGGCCACATCTCTTAATGTAGCATTGGGGATTAAGTTTCAATTATAATTTTGGAGGGGACATAATTATTCAAACTATACCAGTACCACATTGACTGCTAATATATAGTTAAGTTTTGCCTGTCTTTAAATGTATAGATAAATGGGAAAAAATTAGTGTATATCACTTTGTGTCTTGTTCCTTTCATCAAATGTATTAATCCATTCTGGTAATAGAGGGTAAAAATTTAAGCATCAGTTTTGTGATCTGTTCTCTTCCTTTCCCTGCAAAACAAAGAGGACAGTTGTCCCAGTCTAATCACCTTGTAAACATAATAATGTCAGACCTCCTGGTAAAAAAGAATTTGTTGTTGTTGTTGTTTGTTCTTCCTGTCAAGAGATTTCTTATCTATGAAACACTTCTGGCCAATTGTGGCTGGTTGTCTAGGGTTCCTTATTGTTAACACATCTGGGATCTATGGATTTATAGGACATGGCTCCCTTAAAATGTGACATAAGGAATGTAATTATCTGAGTCTAAACTGTGGATATTTCATTACCTAAATGACTACTTTTGCATAGGTGAGCTGACCTTTTACTTCACCTAGAAACTACATCTGTTATCCAAAGCCTGAGTATGTCCAATAATACAAAAAAGGACCTGGAAACCTTGCAAGAGTTCCTGGACCTCTGCCTTCTTTTCATGTGAATTTTAATCATATAATTTGAAATTATTATATAATTACAAAGTGTGTAAGAACTCTAATTGAAAGCAGGTTACCTTCACAATCTGATCCTCTGTATTATTCAATAGACATTCAGATTGTTCTTAATTGTAAGCGTACTATGAGTCGGGTAGTGTAGAAACAGCCTCTAAACTGAGGATCTGCACATAGATTCATACTGTGAGCATAACAATGCCTATATAAAAGCGTGAGGATGTAGGACTGGGCAGAGGTAGAATTTTACCTGCAAGAAAACTGCAACAGAAGTTTCAGGAGATTTTGTACAGAGCTTGAAAGCTGAGATAGGCTTCCGGAAATCTTTCAAATTGAGGCAAGAGAGCTGGAAAATTGTACCACCCTATTGACTAGTCAATGCAGGAGGTATTTTCCCAGTATAGGGCTTACACTTGATGAATTATTGCCTCTGCTTGAGACAGCATTAAAAGAAGAGGGGACAGTCTAGTCCCCCATCTGTTTTATCTACAGCCATTGCTTGATAATTATCAGATGGAAACCGTGGGCTAGAACTTCCCATTTGTACCATACCTATAAATCAACTGAACCATGGTATTTTTGATGTAAACACTCAAATGCAATTGTAAGATACCTGCCAAGATTCAGACCCATGTTTCTTTGAGGAATAATGAGTGAATGGGATAACACAAATGCACAAGAAAAATATCAGAACTAATTTTTCTTCATCTGTACCTCTGGGGGAAAAATTGTATTTTTTAAGTCTATCCAAGGGACAATATCGAGCACCATTCTTATTCTCAATCTTTAGAATGATTATGATCATCCAAGGGTATATGTCCATACTTTTGAAAGTGTGGTCTCAACTATTTTAGTACCTTGAAGAAAAGGTATAATTAAATGGATATAATGTGCAAGAATTTATCACTTTCTGTTGATGGCAAAGTTACTTTTCCAGTAATAAAATATTATTTGAAGAAACTAACGGTGTAATTGTGATAATTAACTCACAGTGATTCTTTGTTAAGCCTACCCCGTTTAAGAAGCATAACCACCAACCAATCAACATATAAGCTCTTGTTTTCAAAGGTCAGTAATTCAGGTTATGCTGAATAGCTTTAGCATACTTTTTAAGCAATATTTTAAGAAAGCTGGCCGGGCGCGGTGGCTCAAGCCTATAATCCCAGCACTGTGGGAGGCCGAGGCGGACGGATCACAAGGTCAGGAGATGAAGACCATCTTGGCTAACACGGTGAAACCCTATCGCTACAAAAAATTAGCTGGGCGTGGTGGCGGGCGCCTGTAGTCCCAGCTACTCTGGAGGCCGAGGCAGGAGAATGGCGTGAACCCGGGAGGCAGAGCTTGCAGTGAGCCGAGATTGCGCCACTACACTCCAGCCTGGGCGACAGAGCGAGACTCCGTCTCAAAAAAAAAAAAAAAAGAAGAAGAAGAAGAAGAAAGCTATGAACCAAGAATTTCATGTGAACAACCAGGGATTAGATGACATTAATTAAATTCATTCTATGAAATAAGTCATACATACTTTAGAACTGGATTTTTAAACATGTATTCTTAAATCCAACAATTAAAACCATGCTAGCCTAAGTAGAAACTTGTTCTGTATTGAACTTATAATCCTTGTTAATAGGCCATTGGTGAAGATCTTAACCATGAGCCCTCTCTTCTTTTTGGTCATCATGGTTTTGCGTCTCATAAATAAATTTTATTTATAACTCTAAATTGCTGTCTTCATCTCATGGTGGATCATTTGTGGCTATAATAGATTAATGTTGTCATTCAATTTTACAAGTTTTCTCCCTCACCTTCTTGGAACTCATTTAATGAATACATTTGGGTTTTATTTTGTTTTTGTTTTTTTCTGCTTCACCTTTGAAAACACAAATACTTATTCAAGGATTCTGTTTTACAGATTGCTAAGCTCTTTAGAGAAGCCCTTCCTCCTGAAGACAATTACTTTCCATTGCTGAGTAACAATAATAGATCTTGGAGATTCCAGAGGGCTGTGCAGAGCTTAGCAATCTGCTCTTTTCCTATTAACCAATGTACACACTTCATCACTGTTAGACATTGCGTATAATATGTATGCCTCCACAACAAGCAGTTTCTTGCTTTTAATATGTTATAGTTCTTTTTCTTCCTATAGAACTAGTAAAATAACCAAGTTTTTAATACTTTCTAAATGTTTTTTTCTCTATTCTGAAAACTAAGCTATTTATACAATAGTAAGGAAAATATAATAAGCCAATTTTCTTCTTTGTCTCCTGATATATATATATATATATATATGTACACATACACACACACACACACATATATACACACATATATATACACACACTCAGACATATATATATATATATGGAAAACACCTTTATAGTTACTTTAGTTTCCCCAAGAGATTTACTGAAAGTTGGTTCTTATTCTTAAATACTGTTCCCATTGGTATTGGCATTGGCATTGCATTTGGGAATTGTTAAATTCGAAAAAAAAAAAAGGAGGTGGGGTGGTTGTTAAATTGGGGAATTGACATTGCAAAAGAAATTGCCAGCCTGGGCAATGTGGTGAAACAATCTCTCTACAAAAAATACATAATATTAGTCAGCCATGGTGGTGTGTGCCTGTAGTCCCAGCTACATGGGGAACTGAGGTAGGAGGATTGATGGAGTTCAGAAGATAGAAGTTAGAGGCCACAATGAGCCGTGATCACACCACTGCACTCCAGCCTGGGCGACAGAGTGAGACTGTCTCAAAAATAAATTATGTTCAGTTTTACAACATGAAGGAGTCTGGATCCCTGATCTACGGACATTCATTCCAATGAGGCACATAGGTTAGGTCTATATGCTTTGTTCTACTGCTTTGTTCTACAGCATTTGGGGGTTTATCTGTGATACTGAGTAGAATTAAATTGTATTCAATTAAGAGACTGAAACATGACTAGAGTCTATCTGTAGAGTGTTGCAGCGTGTGCAATGTGCAATGTGCAATGACTCAGGGAAGGATATCTTCTGCTCCTTGCCAGAGCAGAATGGCTCATGCAGGTTTCTGCGGTACTCTGGGTTACAGAAGGCCAGAGCATTAAAGGTTCCATGTAAGAAGAAATGTGTAGTGTAACATATGCAACTGGGGACAAGGAGGAGGGGACTTCAAATATAAGATCAGAGTTGGATATGATCTTTGGAGAAAAAAGTCAATTAGACTCTGGTTTTGTCAGGGTGAGTGAAAATTTTCTGGGCATAAGTATTTTTTCAGGAGCCTTGACAATGGTTTGATGATTTGTCCTCATGATTTGCTATTTCACGAATTAAAAAGAATATTTGAAACTGAATATATGTTAATGTGAATATACATTAAATTTTATTACTATGCTCGCATTTCATGAAATCTAGCAATGTGATCTCTCAAACCACATTGTTTGTTACATGATGTTTTAATAAAAGTAACCATATAATTTGATCATTAAAACACTTTTAGCACTTTTTTAGTATTTGTAGTGATAAACACCATAATCTGTTTTACAATTAATACATATTCTCATTTCAGTTAGATTTCATATAAAGGATTATTTCACAAAGAAGATGAAACTAGTTTGTATAAAATACATTTTGTAGTATATATTTCATCATAGCTGTGGAAGTTTATCTATTTAAAGTGGTTAAATACAAATCATAGCATACAATACAAAGTAAGTATTTGTTAGTCATTCAATTGTTTTGATGACCAAGAAGAATCAATGGCTTAATCAAGGTTAAAAAATGGTATTTGGCCTCTATTATTTCACTTTTCTGTTAAGATGAGGTTATACTGGGTTAGAGTGGGCCCCAAATTCAATGACCTATGTCCTTGTAAGAAGGCCATATAAAGACACAGGCACAGAAAGGGAGGCCTCAGAATATGAAAGCAGAGATTGAAGTGATGAATTTACAAGCCAAGGAATGTCAAAACACTAGGAGAGATGCATGGAATAGATCATCCCTAGATCCTTTGGATGGAACGTGACACTGTCAGCATGTCAATACTAGACTCCTAGTCTCCAGAACTGTGAGAGAATATGTTTTTGTTTGTTTGTTTGTTTGTTTTAGACTTTTGTGGTATTTTCTATGTTGCCAAAAGAAACTAATACATAGGCACTATGTTAGTTGTCACTGGAAATTTTATGGAAATAAGATTTGCATTCTAAAATTTATTAGGAGAGACAGACAAGTAAGCAGATGATTATAATAAAATGTGATATGTGTTACAATAAGGCATTTTAGAGTATCAAATCAGACATCAAACTTAGGTTTCCTGAAGAGAAGTGGCTCTAAATAGAGATTTTGAAGATAAATAGGTGTTAGAGAGGATGGGAGAGGAGAAGAATTCCTGTGCAGTAAAGAGTAAAGGCACAGTGGTGGCTGTGGCAAGAATGATTTTAGCACATTTGGAGCACAAGTGAATTGGTAGAGGAAACTTTCATAAGAGATTGAAACAGCAGGGAAGATAACCAAGGTTGTATCAGCCATTTAAAACATTTACATGCATACTGAGGGCAAGACTGCTTTGTTCTACAGCTGAAAAACATACTGAGGAATGGTATCAACTTTATTGCTAGTGAAATGCATTGGAGTACCTAATATGCAAATAAACTTAAAGTGGTTTTTGAGTCCTTGTTTAATGGATTTAATTTGTCCACTCAATCTAAGACAGAAGAGTTTACTAATTTCAAGCTACCACCTGCAGAGGCGGACATTTCATCAGTAGGTTTGTTTGTCTAGTATTGATAAAATGCATTTTCTCTTCCTCCTGATCAATGAATTGGAATATATTTTCCAACTTTTGCAGTTGGAAATGTCCATATAACTGGATTTTGGCCGCCAATGACATGTGAATTGAAGTAAAATGCAATCCATTAGATTTAGCCCATTTAAACTTTCCAAATGTATTCCTCCATACTTGATCCCCTATTTTGGTGACCTTAGCTGCCATGTATTGAAGGTAGCAGCACCATAAAATAGAATAATCTGGTTCCTTGATTATTTGAGAGAGCATTTGAGAGAGAGGGAGGGAGAAGAAGAAGGAGAAGGAGAAGAAGAGGAGAAGAAGAAGAGGGGGAGAGGAGGAAAAGGAAAATTATATTGATAGTTGATGTTAGAAAAGCATTTGAAAGATGGTAATAGTCAAGTTAAACCTATGACGTTTATAGTGCAGATGGAGAGAACATGTGATAATTCAAAATATATTTCGAAGGAGGGATTCAAAGCAAATGGTAACTGGATTTTTATAAATATTGGACTAATAGAATCAATCACAAATATTAAATGTATGAAAAAAGTATATGGGGGTGGGTTATGGAGTTTTGTAAGTGGTTTCATCAGTTTGTATGATGTTGTGCCTCAGTTGTTTATGGGACTTCAAAGAGAAAATGCCTTGTAGAATTTGTGTGTGAGAGTATGTGTGTCTATAATGGAAGCACTTGTTTGTAGAGACAGAGAGTATATACAAAGAAAAGAATTAAAAAAAATAAAATCCTAGGTAAATTTGAGATGCAGAAGAACTACTTCTGGATACTAGAAGACCTCAGTGCTTTCAGGCTGATCTATATGACTGGAATAAACATAACCCTCTCTCCTAATCTTTTTTTCTATCATTTCAACATGACTCTTAGGCATACTTCAGAAATTAGCTTAAAAGTTATTTCACAACATATATTTGCCACCTAACCTATCTCAGCCTCCTCCAGGCTGTGATAGTATATTGCACATGTAATTGAAGGAGAAAGTCATTTTGGAGAAACAGGGACAGATGTAAATTTGTTTCCTTCATTTGAGTTTTAGCTCAGTAGAATTTGTTTTACTTGAATTAATTTAAATGTTAAGATGCTATATTTGATCCGTTGCAAACATATCTAAAGTCTGACATTAGGCTACTAAACAGTCTCTGCCCTTCTCCATATAGATCAGTGGTACTCTGTACTTATCAGGTAATAAGTACTATCAGGTAATAGGTACTTATCAGATAATAAGACCAATGCCAGAAGCAAGATTACATTGCATACCCTGATAAGGGTATAGTCAGTGCAAATTGAAGACAGCATACCTATCACTACAATATGCCCTTCAAGTGTAACATTCTAAGAATAATTCACATTTGAGCAAAAAACTTCAGTGTGCAATACAGAATATATCAAGTTAGGAAGGAAATATTCGGTAAAGATTGTTGTGTATAAACATGTCTTAATGTGGAAACTAGGTTTAACCTTTCTTTCTAGTTTTATTTATATATATATATTTGTTATACTTTAAGTTCTAGGATACATGTGCACAACGTGCAGGTTTGTTACATATGTATACATGTGACATGTTGGTGTGCTAAAAGTTGGTTTATATTAGTTGAAGAAAAAGGCCAGATCCCTAACTCTATTGTGAGAGTCTGTTTCTTATTGTATGTCACCTTTTACACCAACATGCTTTCCAGTTCCACCTTGCTACAGAGATGATACCTACTAAAACCGAGGGGATGAGGGTGATTTACCTATCGTGCTACAACACAGTGTAGCTTAGAATAAGCTGCATTCTATAACATATTCCCAGAAAATAAAGATATATTCAAGAGCCAAATTAATAGAATAAGCTTTTATATGCTGCTTTCTTTTGTCTTTCAGCTTTAGTGAATATGCTGCACTGTATTTTTATGCTTTCAACCTTTTTATAGTATCCTGAATGGCATCACATGAGAGGCCATAAACAAGGCAATGTTTCTGGAATATTATAAATGTGATGAAGTGAACTGAAATGGGCATTTCAAATTACACTGTCTAGAGATAAGTGAAAGTCCCTTTCCACAGAGCTTTAATGGTAATTGGATCACTAACCCCTGGGAAAATGCATGTTCTAAGTCTCCCTCTGATATTATTTTCTGTTCTTCATATGGTTTGAGTCTAAATCACCACTCACACATCTGTGTTTTTAAGAGTCTGTTGAGAGGTCATTAAGCCTTTCTGCACCATGTAGTAGTCCTCAGAGCTTTGTTTTCTTTGTGTGTATTATTTAGAGTTTGTATGAGTGCCGAACAACCTAAATAACTTGAATCTGCAGTAAATATATTTTTTGGTGGCCACCTAGGTATGGGGCAATCCCTTGACCTCTCTTCTCTTTCTCTGACGCAAATCAAAGTGTATTTCAAATAGTACTGCCTTGAATCATTCTCAGGGTAAAGTTACATCATTAAAGTAGTTCACCCTGAATGCCTTAAGCTAGTGCTTCTACTCTTGACTGGAAAGATTAAATTAAAAAAAGAAAGAAAGAAATGCTGTGGATGGCAGTATTCTTTAATAATGTCTAAAGTCTTTGCTGAGATAGCTTGTCTGATTTCATGTACATGGAGTGACAACTTGCAAGACGTGAAATTGAGACAACAGCAAAATAACTCCAGAAGATATCATACTCTGAGATTTTGAAAATTTAGTGTTATTTCTGGACATGGCTAATCAGGAATTGCTTAAGTACAGAAAGTATCAGATCTAAAAAAACATTATCTAGAAAACATGAGAGGTGGAATTTTCTCTCAAGCCATTTTTTTGTATCTGTAGTTTCACCAGGGAATCTTTTATATAAACTCACTTTACTATAGATTTCAATTGAAATAAGGACTGAAGTTGCTGATTTCCCTGGTCATATTGATAATAAAAACCATAACTAAGCCGACTGAAAATGAGTTAAGTTCCTAAGATCCAGCAAAAGATTGGCGTGTAGTGTATAGATAGTGTCTTCCATACTTGTTTTACTAAAGCCTTAATACTTATCCTGTAAATACAATTTTAAGTTCTGTTAAAATGTTACAGTGAGATACACAAGTTTATCTGTTAATAATTTAAATAAAGTATTAATTTTAATTCAGAGCAGAAATACTATATTTGTCAAATTACACTATAATTATTACTAAATTTTTAATCTTTCATTCATAATTTCCAATATTTGCTTCAGTACATTATACATTTCTAAAAAAACTATGAAATGTAAGGCTTAAAATAGAAATTCTTACACAGTATGTCCAGTTAAAATTATCCAACTACAAAACAAATACTAAAACTGTTTCCAATCATATTCCTGAAAACTAAAACTTATCCACTTAAGTCACTATCAAAATTTTAATTAGAGAATCTAGTTAATTACATGTTAAAATATTTTTCCTTGTATTTAAAAAGAAATTTAAATATATTTACAATGCAGATTGCCAGAAACTAATGTTGTCATTGAGCACCCTAGTGACCTGATTGCTCAGCCTTCTCTGGGTTCATGCCATTGGCATGCAACTTTGCAGTTCCTTCCAGTAAAGGGTGGGAGTGTGGAAGGACTACATATATTCCACTCCTTGGATGTGGGTTTTGTCTTGTAATTTGCTTAGGTCAGTTGAATAACATGAATGTGTGTGTTAACAGGCTGCTTCTGAGCCAAGTTTAGGAGGTAGTGTATTTTTTCTGTATGTTCTTTCTCACCTCTGCCGCCACCATGAAAGGAATATCTCCATATTATCTCTCTGATCCGATTGAGAAGATTTAGACAAATGAAGCGGAGCCACACCAGAACAGCTGAATCACAGAGGCCAGCCTAGGCCAGCCAAGCACCTGCCAATTCATAGATGATGAATGAGTCCGGCCTATATGAAGCAGTCCTGAGTGAATCTAGACCAGGCACAAAGATGACCTAAAGAAACCCTAATTGTTGTATGTCAATAAAGTTTCAGCATGGCTTGGTATGTTGCATTACTGTGATTATAGCTATATAATACATATAGCCTACATTTCAGAAATTTGAGAAAGATAGACATAGGATGGAAACAATAAATACAGTCTTGAAAAAATGGTTCAATATAATAATTCAACAATAATTAATATTTTATTTATTTATGTAGATCACAAATGCTATTGAATATTATAAAAAGATCACCTCTGAAAAATATAAGCACATTCAATGCAAATTTGACATACACAGCACCCATGAAGTTTTATTATTGACCACTTCAGTATCATTGGAAAAACTACATTTATAACAAATTAGGAAGTATCAGTATATTTTTATCTTGTGTATATTCTAGCAATGCAGTTATCTTTGCTTTAATTTCTTTCAAGGGCACTCATCTACATAGAACCTTATAAAGTAAAAGAATAAGCTCTAAAAAATAAAGTAAATCTTATAGGATACCCTCTACAGAGGTACTTGTAAGTTTATTTATCATTTTAAAGAAACTGTGAAAGGAAATACAAGAATTTCATGTTATGCTTTTAGAAGCAGTACAAAAATCTATGGCAATTTCCGGCATCATGCCTAACTCTGAAGAAATTAAGAAGTTATAGCTGACAATAATAGTAGTGAAATGTAGGATGGAAGTACTATTCAGAAGAAAATTGAATAATAATATCATAAAAAATTGATGACTTAGAAAATAAGCATCATTCATCTAATATACACTATTGGAATCCTAGAAAGAGAGGTTTTATACAAGGTAAAACTTTTTCTGAGTTACCTCTGGGTAATATTTGATGAATAGTCTCCTCATTATTTCTCAGTAGGAAGACTATTCAAAAAATTGCCAAGCTACTTCTGTTCAGGTGTAGATTCACCTGCCACATATTGGAGATAAATATTGAGACTGAGGAGAAGAAAAAATGTTATAGAATTCTATTTAATTGATTGAATGGAAGTGTTCCAAATAGAAGTTTTCAAGTAATACACAGTTGGCCCTTTGGTGTTTGCAGGGGATTGGTTTCAGGACCTCCTGCTGAGAGAAAAATCTGAGGATGCACAAGTCTATTATATAAAATGGTGTCACATAATCCACCCTCTGTATCCACAGGATCCAAATCTGTGGATTCCACCAACCACAGATGGAAAATACACACAGTGGCCCTACCTATCTACTGTTTTCCATCCTTGGTTGTTTGAATCAACAGATGTGAAACTCATGGATACGGAAGGCCAACTGTATCTATAACTGCAGGTCTTAGTCCTTCTGCGGATGCTATAATGAAATACCCCAGACTGGGCTGCTTATACAAAATAGAAATTTCTTACTCACCAGTTATGGAGGCTCAAAAGTCCAACATCGAGGCACCAGCAAATTTGGTGTTTGGGGAATGCTCACGTTCTGTTTCATAAATGACACCTTCTTGCTGTGTCCTTGGGTGGTAAAAAGGGCAAACAAACTTCCTCAGGCATCAATTATAAAGGCATAATACTCTTCTCCAAGGCTCTGCCCTCATGATGTAATCATGTCCCATAGGCTCCCTCACCTAATTACATAATGGTGATTAGGTTTCAACATATGAATTTGGGAGGGACATACCATAGCATTTACCAATAATTTATTTGCATTTCTAGGTGTGTAATATTTTAGTATGTATAAACAACGTGGAAACTGAATTTCAGCTAAACAAATTTATGAAAATTATATTTAAACAAACCATGCACATTCATCTACAGAATATTTTTAAAGCTATCTCATATCACATATTCTCATTATTACATACATACTTTTCAGATTCGATCACCTATATGAAACTTTTCAGAAACAACCTAATTGTATTATGTGTTCACTTTTTCCATTACAGGCATCTTGAGAATAGTTCATGTGTCTTTTACATTTTTGTATCTTTAATGTCTGCCAAATATACAGCTATTCCCAATGTGTATTTATGAAAATTGAAAATAATTAAATTATAAGTACAGCAAGGACTCAATAATATTTGGGGTTTTAAATTCCAAATTGAAAAGCAAGTGATATTACATAGTATTCAAAGTGTGTTGAGAAAATTCTATGGGTTTCCTTTTAGTTGCTTTAAAATTATTTACTTTATTATTTATACTATCTTCCAGAGCACCAGTGTTTCTTACTATATGCTTCTTCACCTTTCCCCAGTAGTATTCACGGTTTCCAAAAGATACCAAATAACACTTCCTATCTGTATTAGTCCATTCTCATGCTGCTAATAAAGATATAACCGAGACTGGGTAATTTGTAAAGAAAAGAGGTTAAATGGATTCACAGTTCCACATAGCTGGGAAGGCCTCACAATCATGGCAGAAGGCACAGGAGAAGCAAAGGTACATCTTACATGGCAACAGGTATGAGAGATTGTGCAGGGAAACTCCCATTTATAAAACCATTCAAACTCTGGTTTTTTTTTTTTTTTTTTTTTTTTTTTTTTTTTTTTTTGAGACAGAGTCTCACTCTGTTGCCCAGGCTGGAGTGCAGTAGCGCGATCTCTGCTCACTGCCAGCTCCACTTCGCGGGTTCACGCCATTCTCATGCCTCAGCCTCCGGAGTAGCTGGGACTACAGGCGCCCGCCACCATGTCTGGCTAATTTTTTGTATTTTTTAGTAGAGATGGGGTTTCACTGTGTTAGCCAGGATGATCTCGATCTCCTGACCTTGTGATCCGCCCGCCTCAGCCTCCCAAAGTGCTGGGATTACAGGCGTGAGCCACCGCGCCTGGCCCAGAACTCTTAAGACTTGTTCCCTGCCACAGGAACAGTATGAGGGAAGCTGGCCCCACGATTTAATTATCTACACCTGGACCCACCCTTGACACATGGGGATTATTACGATTCAAGATGAGATTTGAGTTCACAGCCAAACCATATTACTATTCAAATATAGCCCCTCAATGAACCACAGCTCCTGGCATTCATACTATTATGTGGTTCCCACTTCATTTAATCTTAGCTGGACTCCAGTAATCAAAATAATATGGAGAAAATTGATACTAAAATAATTTCGAGCTGTTATGTACTAATGGAAAGTTGATAACATTGTCACCTGCACTAATATTAAAAAAAGAAGGTGAAAATGAATCAATGGATTTTGATACAGATATTCTTAGGCAGAATGTCAAAAGTGCCAACTACATATAAAAGTAATGTAAGATATGTAATGTGTAATGCATAAAGCAATATTAAAAATATAAAATATACTTTATTGTATCATCTATTCATATATATGTATACATATGTATATACTTACAAGAAATATGTATATACAAACCCAGAAAGTAATAATATAGTTTTGAACATCTAGTTATCAGAAATATGTGTTCATTTGCATAACCTTTTGTTAGGTTTTCTGTTACACGCAGCTAAGTTCATTCCTACATGTTAAAATTGCAAAAGGATATAACCAAATTCCTTGATGTGATAAGTGAGAGCTTTCATAAGTTTACTACTCCCTATATCTCCAGCCTTGGGTTTCACAGCTATCCAACTGACTCCCTTTGCTGTAGACAATCCACTCTCCAGTTGTATAACAATAGGAAATCACGATGCTGTTTGAAACATTATCCTCTTGAAATAAACATCTATTCCTCTTGAAATTCAGAATAGGTACTGGTTTGTAGGTTCTGCGACATCCTCAGTAAAGATGTCTGATTGAATGCTTGGAGCTTAATGTTTTCCAAATGATTCTGATCACATAACTATTCAACTAGCACCTTTTAACAATACTCAGTCTAAGCATTCTATGAGAAATGCATTGTGAAATGCTGTCTAGGCACATGAAATTCTTGCAGTGTTCCAAACATGCCTTTTCACTTCCAGGCTTTGTTGAAAGTATTGCTGTAGATCCATCTAAATGACAATTTTTACTTTTCTTTACCTGGAGTGCTGCTCCTCATGACATACAACTCCTGACTTGTATAGGAAACGCACAACTGATTCTGTCTTCAAAAGCCAAGCCTAATTTTACAAATAATCTTGGAATTGTCTCAGGAATGGATCCCTTTTCAGGAAATTACGTAAAGCACATAAATTTTGTTTGCAATTCAAAATCCCCAAACCACGTAAGACTAAGGGAAAAACTGAATTTTTGCCCAAATGGTATTACTTACATTATAAATCTCCCATGAGAATAAGGCATATATATATATATATATATATATATATATATATATATATATGCCATATATATATGCCATATATATATGCCTTATATATATATGCCATATATATATGCCATATATATATGCCTTATATATATATGCCATATATATATGCCATATATATATGCCTTATATATATAATAATATAATGATATTATTATGATTCAAGATGAGATTTGAGTTCACAGCCATGTAAGCATATATATATATAAATGTGTGTGTGTGTGTGTGTGTGTGTTTTATATATATACAACATTTAAATCAATCATTTAATTTAAATGTTTTTCCTTCAACCAATTCATGCCCAATGAACTGGACAGATATTTTCTAATGCAGAAGTCTGGGCATCCTTGCTATTGGGCCAATTAGAGCACACAGATTCCACCTTCGGCTAAACACTGACCTCAGATTAAGTGGTAATGCCTTCAGTACTCCTTGGTAATAAAATGCTCTCTCTTTTTTTTGTCATAGAAAATATATATTATTCTCACATTCTTGATTTTCCACTTAGGCTGTTCATACAATTAAAAACACTACAGGCTTTTTAAGCAGAAAACTTCTTATTGAAATGCAGTTACCAATACAGAAAAGATTGTACAGGCTTCACACTACGTTACATTACTGCTAAGTGTGAGGAATAAGATAAATCTCATAATTAAAGATCAGAAACTACACTTACTTTAGATGAGGAATCAGGGGATCAAGTGGAAGTTACTTCTTTGAACACCCCAGACGACTGACATTGCCAGGAGCCTCAATTTACTTGCTGTTGGAAAATGGAAGAAGGACCTCCTTCTGGCCCTTCCTGCTTTAGGTGTTGACTTTTCCACCCTATGCTTCTTGATATCACAGAAGTGAAAGATTTACTGATTTTTCAGTTATTTCATTAAACTTCCTATAAATTTCCTTGCATTTTTATATTTATCCAACAAAGACACTTGGAGAGTTTTGCTCATTTGTTTTATAGACAATCCTCTGACATATATTGGTCAAAGTTCACTTAATAATTTCTTCCTTTCTTTCTTTTTTGAGACAGAGTCTAATTCTGTTGCCCAGGCTGGAGTGCAGTGGCACGATCTCTGCTCACTGCAAGCTCAGGTTCATGCCATTCTCCTGCCACAGCCTCCCGAGTAGCTGGGACTACAGGTGCCCACTGCCACGCCCAGATAATTTTTTGTATTTTTAATAGGGAAGGAGTTTCACCGTGTTAGCCAGGATGGTCTCCATCTCCTGACCTCGTGATCTGCCAGCCTCGGCCTCCCAAAGTGCTGGGATTACAGGAGTGAACCACTGAGCCCAGCCCTCTTAATAATTTCTTTTCATCTGTTGAGCATATGTTCATCTTGCCACAGTAGGTTCACAGCATGAAACACACAAACACACAAACACACACACACACACTTCAAAGCAGGGGAGTTTCTGGACCAGATGGCTGAATAGGAACAGCTCCGGTCTGCAGCTCCCAGGGAGACCCAACACAGAAGGCGAATGATTTCTGCATTTCCAACTGAGGTACCTGGTTCATCTTATTGAGACTGGTTAGACAGTGAGTCCAGCTCATGGAGGGCTAGCAGAAGCAAGGTGGGGCGTCACCTCACCACCTCACTGGGAAATACAAGGCGGTCAGGGGATTCCCCTCCCCCAGCCAAGGGAAACTGTGAGTGGGGGATGGTGCTATCCAGCCCAGATACTACGCTTTTCCCACTGTCTTTGCAACCCACAGGAGATTCCCTCAGGTGTTTACATCACCAGGGCCCTGGGTTTCAAGTGCAATACCGGGCGGCTGTTTGGATAGACACCAAACTAGCTGCAGGAGTTTTTTTGTACCCCAGTGGCACCTGGAACGCCAACGAAACATAACTGTTCACTTCCCTGGAAATGGGGTTGAAGCCAGGGAGCTAAGTGGTCTAGCTCAGCAGATCCCAGCCCCACAGAGCCCAACAAGCTAAGATCCACTGGCTTGAAATTCTCGCTGCCAGCACAACAGTCTGAAGTGGACCTGGGATGCTCCAGCTTGGTGGAGGGATGGACATCCATCATTACTGAGGGAGGCTTGAGTAGGTGGTTTTCCCCTCACAGTGTAAACAAAGCCACAGGGAAGTTTGGAATGGGTGGAGCCCACCGCAGTGCTGCAAAGCCTCTGTAGCCAGACTGCCTCTCTAGATTCCTCCTCTCTGGGCAGGGCATCTCTGAAAGAAAGGCAGCAGCCCCAGTCAGAGGCTTATAGATAAAACTCCCATCTCCCTGGGACAGAGCACCTGAGGGAAGGGGCAGCCGTGGGTGCAGCTTCAGCAGACTTAAACGTTTCTGCATGCGGGCTCCGAAGAGAGCAGCAGATCTCCCAGCACAGTGCTTGAGTTCTGCCAAGGGACAGACTGCCTCCTCAAGTGGGTCTGTGACCCCCGTGCCTCCTATGGGGAGATACCTTCCAGCAGGGGTCAACAGACACCTCATATAGGAGAGCTCTGCCTGGCAACTGGTGGGTGGCCCTCTGTGACGAAGCTTCCAGAGGAAGGAGCAGCCAGGAATCACTGCTGTTCTGCAGCATCCGCTGGTGATACCCAGGCAAACAGTGTTTGGAGTAGACCTCCAGCAAACTCCAGCAGACCTGCACAAGTGGGGTCTGACTGTTAGAAGGAAAACCAACAAACAGAAAGTGATAGCATCAACATCAACAAAAAGGATGACTACGCAAAAACCCCATCCGAAGGTCACCAACATCAAAGAACAAAGGTAGATAAATCCACGAAGATGAGAAAAAAAAAGCTCAAAAGGGCTGAAAATTCCCAGAACTACAATGACTTTTCTCCTCCAAAGGATTACAACTCCACGCCAGCAAGGGAACAAAACTGGACAGAGAATGAGTTTGACGAATTGACAGAAGTAGGCTTCAGAAGGTAATAACAAACTCCTCCAGCTAAAGGAGCATGTTCGAACCCAATGCAAGGAAGCTAAGAACATTGATAAAAGGTTACAGGTACTGCTAACTGGAATAACCAGTTTAGAGAAGAATATAAATGACCTGATGGAGCTGAAAAACACAGCAAAAGAACTTCATGAAGCATACAAGTTTTATCAATAGTCAAATTGATCAAGTGGAAGAAAGGGTGAAGATCAACTTAATGAAATCAAGTGTGAAGACATGATTAGAGAAAAAAGAATAAAAAGGAATGAACAACGCCTCCAAGAAATATGGGACTATGTGAAAAGACCAAACCTACGTTTGATTGGTGTACCTGAAAGTGATGGGGAGAATGGAACCAAGTTGGAAAGCACACTTCAGTATATTATCCAGGAGAACTTCCCCAACTTAGCAAGACAGGTCAATATTCAAATTTAAGAAATACAGAGAACACCACAAAGATACTCCTTGAGAAGAGCAACCCCAAGACATATAATCATCAGATTCACCAAGGTTGAAATGAAGGAAAAAATGTTAAGGGAAGCCAGAGAGAAGGGTTGGGTTACCCACAAAGGGAAGCCCATTAGACTAACAGCAGATCTCTCTCCAGAAACCCTGCAAGCCAGAAGGGAGTGGGGGCCAACATTTAACATTCTTAAAGTAAAGAATTTTCAACCTAGAATTTCATATCCAGCCAAACTATGCTTCATAACTAGAGGAGAAACAAACTCCTTTACAGACAAGTAAATGCTGAGAAATTTTGCACCACCATGCCTGCCTTACAAGAGCTTCTGAAGGAAGCACTAGATATAGAAAGGAAAAACTGGTACCAGTCACTACAAAAACATACCAAAATGTAAAGAACATCGATACTATGAAGAAACTGCATCAACTAATGGGCAAAATAATCAGCTAGAATCATAATGACAGGATCAAATTCACACATAACAATATTAACCTTAAATGTAAATGAGCAAAATGCCCCATTTAAAAGACACAGACTGGCAAATTGGATAAAGAGTCAAGACCCATTGGTGTGCTGTATTCAGGAGACCCATCTCACATGCAAAGACTCACGTGGGCTCAAAATAAAGAGATGGAGGAAGATTTACCAAGCAAATGGAAAGTAAAAAAAAAGCAGGGATTGCAATCTTAGTCTCTAATAAAACAGACTTTAAACCAAAAAAAGACAAAGAAGGGTATTACATAATGGTAAAGGGATCAATGCAATGAGAAGAACTAACTATCCTAAATGTATATGCACCCAATACAGGAGCACCCAGATTAATAAAGCAAGTTCTTGGCGATCTACAAAGAGACTCAGACTCCCATACAAAAATAGTGAGAGATTTTAACACCTCACTATCAGTATTAGACAGATCAAAGAGACAGAAAATTAGCAAGGACATTCAGGACTTGAACTCAGTTCTGGACCAAGCAGACCTAATAGACATCTACAGAACTCCCCACCCCAAATCAACAGAATATACATTCTTCTCAGTACCACATCACACTTATTCTAAGATTGACCACATAATTGGAAGTAAAACACTTCAGCAAATGTGAGAGAACAGAAATCATAACAGTCTCTCAGACCACAGTGCAATCAAATTAGAACTCAGCATTAAGAAACTGACTCAAAACCACACAACTACATGGAAACGAAGCAACCTGCTCCTGAATGACTACTGGGTAAATAACGAAATTAAGGCAGAAACAAAGACACAGCGTACCAGAATCCCTGGGACACAGCTAAAGCAATGTTTAGAGGGAAATTTATGGCACTAAATGGCAAAGGAGAAAGCAGGAAAGATCTAAAATCAACACCCTAACATCACAATTAAAAAAACAAGAGAAGCAAGAGCAAACAAATTCAAAAGCTTGCAGAAGACAAGAAATACCTAAGATCAGAGCAGAACTGAAGGAGATAGAGACACGAAAAACCCTTCAAAAAATCAGTGAATCCAGGAGTTGTTTTTTTTGAAAAAATTAACAAAATAGACTGCTAGCCAGAATAATAAAGAAGAAAAGAGAGAGGAATCAAAGAGACATGATAAAAAATGAAAAAGGGGATATCAGGATATCACCACTGATCCCACAGAAATACAAACTACCATCAGAGAATACTATAAATACCTCTATGCAAATTAACTAGAAAATCTGTAAGAAATGGATAACATACACCCTCCCAAGACTAAACCAGGGAGAAGTCAAAACCCTGACTAGACCAATAACAAGTTCTGAAATTGAGGCAGCAATTAATTGCCTACCAAGCAAAAAAAAGCCTGGGATCATATGCATTCACAGCCTACTTCTACCAGAGGTAAAATAGAAGCTGGTGCCAGTCCTTCTGAAATTATTCCAAGCAATAGAAAAAGAGGGACCCCTCCTGAACTCATTTTATGAAGTCAACATCATCCTAATACCAAAGTCTGGCAGAGCCACAACAACAACAACAAAAATTTCAGGCCAATATCCTTGACGAATGTTGATGCAAAAATCTTTAATAAAATACTGGCAAACCGAATCCAGCAGCACATCACAAAGCTTATCCATCATGATCAAGTCGGCTTCATCCCTGGGATGCAAGGCTGTTTCGACATACACAAAGCAATAAATGTAATCCATTCACTTAAACAGAACCAATGACAAAAACCACATGATTATCTCCATAGATGCAGAAAAGGCCTTCGATAAAATTCAACACCCCTTCATGCTAAAAACACTCCATAAACTAGGTATTGATGGAATGTATCTCAAAATAGTAAGAGCTATTTATGACAAACCCACAGCCAATATTATACTGAATGGGCAAAAGCTGGAAGCATTCCCTTTGAAAACTGCCACAAGACAAGGATGCCCTTTCTCACCACTTCTATTCAACATAGTATTGGAAGTTCTGCCCAGGACAATCAGGCAAGAGAAAGAAATAAAGGGTATTCAAATAGGAAGGGAGAAAATTATATTATCTCTGTTTGCAGATAACATGATTGTATATGTAGAAAACCCTATCATCATCCCCAAAACTCCTTAAGCTGATAAGCAACTTCAGCAAAGTCTCAGGATAAAAATCAATGTGCAAACATCACAAGCATTCTTATACAACAATAATAGACAAACAGAGAGCCAAATCATGAGTGAAATCCCATTCATAATAGCTACAAAGGGAATAAAATACCTAGGAATACAGCTTACAAGGACTGTGAAGGGCCTCTTCAAGGTGAGCTACAAACCACTGCACAAGGAAATAAGAGAGGACACAAACAAATGGAAAAACATTCCATGCTCATGGATAGGAACCATCAATATCGTGAAAATGTCCATATTGCCTAAAGTAATTTATAGACTCAGTCTATCCCCACCAAGCTACCATTGACTTTCTTCAAAGTATTAGAAAATAGTAATTTAAATTTTATATGGAGCCAAAAAAGAGCCCATATAGCCAAGATAATCCTAAGCAAAAGAATGAAGCTGGAGGTATCATACTATCTGACTTCAAACTATACTACAAGGCTACAGTAATCAAAACAGCATGGTACTGGTAGCAAAACAGATTTATAGACCAATGGAACAGAACAGAAGCCTCAGAAATAACACCACATATCTAAAACCATCTGATCTTTGACAAACCTGACAAAAGCAAAGGGGAAAGGATTCTGTATTTAATAAATGGTGTGGGGAAAACTGGCTAGCCATATGCAGAAAACTTAAACTGGATGCCTTACTTACACCTTATTCAAAAATTAACTCAACTTGGTTTAAAGACTTTAACGTAAGACCTAAAACCGTAAAAACCCTAGAAGAAAACCTAGGCAATACCATTGAGGACACAGGCATGGGCAAAGATTTCATGACTAAAACATCAAAAGCAATGGCAACAAAAGCCAAAATTGACAAATGGGATCTAATTAAACTAAAGAGCTTCTGCACAGCAAAAGTAACTATGATCAGGGTGAAGAGACAACCTACAGAATGGGAGAAAATTTTTGCAATCTATCCATCTGACTAAGGGCTAATATCCAGATTCTACAAGGAACTCAAACAAATTTACTAGAAAAAAACAACCCCAACAAAAGTGGGCAAAGGATATGAACAAAGGAAATGAACTTCTCAAAAGAAGACATTTATGTGGCCGATAAACATATGAAAAAAAAGCTCATCATCACTGGTCGTCAGAGAAATGCAAATCAAAACCACAATGATATACTATCTCATGCCAGTTAGAATGGCGACCATTAAAAAGTCAGGAAACAACAGATGCTGGAGAGGATGTGGAGAAATAGGAATGCTTTTGCACTGTTGGTGGGAGTGTCAATTAGTTCAACCATTGTGGAAGACAGTGTGGTGACTCCTCAAGAATCTAGAACCAGAAATACCATTTGACCCAGAAATCCCATTACTGGCTATATACCGAAAGGATTATAAATCATTCTACTATAAAGACACATGCACACGTATGTTTATTGTAGCACTATCCACAGTAGCAAAGACTTTGAACCAACCCAAATGCCCATCAATGATAGACTGGATAAAGAAAATGTGGCACATATATACACCACGGAATACTATGCAGACATAAAAAAGAATGAGTTCATGTCCTTTGCAGGGACATGGATGAAGGTGGAAACCATCATTCTCAGCAAGCTAATACAGGTGCAGAAAACCAAACACAGCATGTTCTCACCCATACGTGGGAGTCGAACAATGAGAACATATGGACACAGAGAGGGGAACATCATACACTGAGGCCAGCTGGAGAGTGGGGGACAAGGGGAGGGATAGCATTAGGAGAAATACCTAATGTAGATGATGGGTTGATGGGTGCAGCAAACCAACATGGCACATGTAACAAACATGCACGTTCTGTACATGTATCCCAGAACTTAGGGTGTAATTAAAAAATAAATAAATAAAATAAAAGCAGGGGGGTCATATGAGAACTGATCAGTTAAAAATGTTTTATTCAACTATAAATAAAGAACAGTGTGTACTTAGAATCAGGTATGAGACATTCCTACTTGTCTTATCTAATCTTTGACTCATGCTGAATAGCACATTTCTTGTGGATTTGTGTGTTGCTAGTTTTCTAACCTTTTCCAGTTACTTTGTCTTTCCAATTTATTTGCTGCTCTTTTTATTTCTCTTTCAGTTTAACTCTTGCTGTCATTTTCCTGTTTTTGTTCCTTCATCTTCTGCTCCTTTCCTTCCTATTCTCTGTTTTCCTTGGATTTATAGTTTAACATTTACAGTTTCATATGAATATGTACTTCTCAACATGGACAATTTAATGTACACTTCAGACACCACTGTAACCAGTCATGACATACAGAATCACAACACGACCCTAGAGATTGTGGTTTTTTGTCTCACTTCTCATATCAACATATGCACCTAGCAAAGCAGGTTACGTAACTAATAGTTAAAGCAGAATTGTAGATCTTTCCTCCGGTCCAAAATCCAGAAAAATCCTGGGGAACATAAAGCCTGGAGGTGAACACAAATGTAAAAATCAACAAACTGAAGTGGGGAAGGGAAGGTAGATAATCAGCAAGGAAGGAAAAGAGACTTTATTCCTCAGAAAATCTGAGTACTGGTGAATTAATGGCCAGTGCAGACAAAAACTCAATGTGGGGCATCTAATGTCTAGATCATTTCTATTCAATAGGCAAATTCTTCAAGGTTTCCAAATACATTACAGCCTACTCCAAATGCTGGACAAACCACTTATCACCATTGATCAAAGCTGACTTTGAGGGTGTCCTTCAGGTGCCTCTGAGAGCGATTTGAGACAAGAGCCACTTCCTGTTCCCTTGTGTTTCTTATGGCTGCTAGTGAACATCAATAATATGAATTCCATTTTAATTTTTCTGTAAGGGATATTATTTATAGGGCAATTTCCAGTGCAGTGTCTTGTCTCTATGAAGTGATTGCCAACTCAGGCAGCCATTAAAGTTTACTGCTTAGGCTTTCCTTCAAGGTACAATATGGATATTACTTTCAAAAGTAATTTGGAATACAGAGTGAGAAGAGGATGTTAACTCTTTGCAAATATCCTATCTCAGACAAGGAAATTCTTGCCTTTTGAATTGCTGTGGTTCTGTGCTTCTCTAAGGTAACATAAGATGCAGTATTAAGACTTACTTTTTTACTGCCCTTATTTATAAATTAATGATGTCTCACTTTCAAGTGAGTATTACCTCACAGAATTTCAGTTATTAATTGAAGGAAATGATCATTTTATTTCAGCTTTCATGCCAGTACCGTCACCCTCACCCACACACTGTAATAAACTACACAAGCTGTCACATTTTTATGTGCTCTTTCTTCTTGGGCAGAGGCTTATATCCACTCAGCAGCCTGTCTCCAAACTCCTACACAGAATTAAATAATGAGATTCCTTAGCTGTAACCTAGTTAGCAAAAGGTTCTACTCAGAATGGAAACCAATCTTTCACAGTTCATACCTGTTCATCTAATAGCTGCGGGGAATATCTGACCATATAAAAATATTTTGTAAACCACAAGCACAATTTTCCACTGCTGGTTACATTGCGGCCTACCCATTTCTCTTTGTTCTTATTGTAAGCATGTGACTGACAGAAATAAAATTGTTTGTTAGAGTGGATGAAGAAGTCTAGCTTGGCCCATTTCTAGATGCAGAAAGGACTTCTCTCATCACTCTGAAAAGGGAGGGCGCTTCACTGGGAGACCAATTTCTCTATGGGCTCGTAATGATAGTTTTCCAATCATTGTTATATTAAACTGAATCCCTGCTCCTGCTGACTTTGCATTCTGTAGTGCTGCTTATGACCTTTCAAGGTGCAAAGACTGTATGCAATCTTCATTTCATATCATAGTCCTTAAAAATATGCCTGAGCTATAACAAAATCTCTTAATTGTCTCTGGACCAGGTGTCTCATTTGCTCAACCATTTCTCCTGTGGCATTCAGACTACTCTCAATGTGTTTGCTCTCCTTTAGATATTTTATTTAGTTAAATATTTATTCTGAAACACATTGCCCTTATTCTGGGGTCAAGTCATAGCTACTTCAGATTATGCTAATATCAATGGCTTACATAAAAGTTTTTAAAGCAAAGACTCTATTTACCCTTTAAAATATTTTTTACTCAACAATATAGGTTTAAGTTGAACCTGTGATATTCTGAAACTGCGTTTCTTTTTTTATTCACCTCTGTTAAATTTAATCTCGTCAAAGTCAAGAAAATCTTCTTTCTCTTTGATGCCAATTTGACTATTTTGTATTATTTATTATATTTAAATTAATTCTAGTTAGCTGTCATCTACATGTTTGGTAGTATTTTTTTAAATCTATTTTCAAGGAATTGAAAGTAATTTAGAAAATATTAACGCAAGATCTTCACAAGTCAGCCAGAATCACTTAAGATGCTAAGAGAGTGAGTACAGGCTGAAACTTCAAATAACTCCTTAGTTATTCAGTTCTCAGTTCTTCATCTTATCTACAAGTATAATGTATTTAATTCAAATTATTGGTGAATCATTTGGAAATTCTATATATCAATGTTAATATATAGAAAAAAATTTCCAAATTGTGAATATTTATATTATTTTCAGAATTCTATATACCATTTTTACTTTCCCAAGACATAAACAATATAGAACAGGAAAAATTGGTATAACTTCATATGGAACTGTGAGAAATTAGCTTCTCTGACTGTACTAACAGTAATTTTTATCAGTATTTTGGGGGCATGAGGGGAATAGACATGGTGTCTAGACTTACTGAGTTAGTCAAATATTTTTATTGACTATCTACTCTGTATCAGATACCATATAGTAAAGGTGGCTACATCAATAAGCATGAGAGAGAGTTGCTTCTTCATTGGTACTTTGAAGAGCATAAAGTAAGATAGAACTGACCATTGATACTCTTTTTAGCAAGAGTAAGTGAAGAAGGCATGCCTCTGCAATGAATGTGTAGTCTTGCATTGATTGATATTATAAGAAGGAAGAAGCCAAGCAAAGGACTCTGAGGAATGCATTTTCCAGAAAAAAAAGAAGGTCCTCTGATAAATTTTTCTCTTCCAAAAAATGAATAAGAATTACAAAGGATCACATAAACCAATAGTGTAGAAGAGCACAGAGTTGGAATTAAATCAGAGCAGAGAACAAAACAGGGAATAGATCATGTAAGAATTTGCAGACATGGTAAGAAGTTAGGTTTTCTGCTTGCAATGGAGGACTTTAAACATGACAATAACTTGATGTTATTTGAGTCATGAAAGATTATTTTGGCTGCTGTGGAGTAGACAGACTGTAGGGTAGCAAGAATGGAGGCATTGAGACCTAACAGGAGATTGTATCTGGAGTCCAAATGTCAGTGGCTTGAAGATGGTTTCTAGTGGTACAAGTAATGAGGTTTAGATCTCCTTTTGAGATATACTCAATAAGCCTTTCTGATAAATTGAATATGAAATGTAATGGTAGGATGCATCACAAAGTCCTAAGATATTTAAGATATTTGGCTTCGGTAAGTGGATAGATTGTGATTCTACTTACTGATAAGCATACTTTTGTGAGAGGGATAGTTTATTCATAATAACAAGATGTGCATGATATCATTATTATTCTGGCTATTGGGCATTAAAAACATTTTAATGTTTGGGTCTTAGGCAATGCAATATATACCTCCTATTATAAAATATAAAACTGACTATCAATATACTTTCTTAGTTTTCTTTAACCAATAGCAGGAGTACTGAACTTATGTTGTTGCAATTAGGGCCACATACTAAGTTTTTTAATTCAAAAGTATTGGCAGCAATGGCAGATTATCCTTTCTAGCAACAGTGGCAGCTGTATTGAATTTAAGCATTTTTAGGCAAGAGGAAATGTTAGTAGTAGCTTCCAGGGTCAAGAGTTAATTCATCAGTAGGACATTTACAGTAAAACTGGCTGCAATATCTAGAGCTCTAACAAGGTGGCTGTGGTTTCTTTACTAAGACAATTTTGTGGAAAGATTTTTGTCGTAGACCCAAGCTATGTATCTTTCCAGAATAATTCTCTAGCTATCCCATTAGTTTTGTAAGCCAATCAGTATTCTTTTTTTTTAAATCCTTCTAATCAGGAGAGGTAACTTCTGTGATTACAACCAAGAACAACTTATATAAAATGGGTATCAGTGGGAAAATGACTCAAGACAAGTGAGAGGAATTTACAATTTGTTATCTGCTCACACTTGTACCGAGGGGAGTGATAATCAGCTACTATATAAAGGGATATTCGTGTGTAGTATACTAGAACACTAACTTCTTCAGCAGACCCTTAATGAATCTACATACCGAATTGGTCCAGCTATTAATACAATTGCAGAATCAAGAATTTTTAAGGTTGTTCTTAGCTCTGTAACTGTGACAGATAAGGACTTTTTAGTGAAGTCATAGGAAGTATCTGATTGTATAGTTTGTGCCTTGGTGCAAATAGAAAGATAGATAGACGACAGATAACAGAGAGATAAATAGATAGATGATAGATAATAGATAAACAGATATAGATATATAGATGATATATATCAGATGTAGATGATATATCTATGTAAATAATATATGTCTGTACATATATATCAGAATCATTACTGATCCAGGTTCTCATCCTTTAATTACTTATCTCACTATATTTTGTGAGTAGCCACTTACTTCCAACATTATGCTTCACAGGATATTTCATTTTTGATGTTTACATTTGAAAGTTGAGTAACTACACACTGAAGAAAAAGTGGGACTTGAGAAATGAAATAAGAATCTATAAGTAGGGAAGCTTTAATACTTAATACAAAATGAGTCTTCCTTAACAGTAAGTGTAAGTTATCCTCCTATGTCTCATGATGATTTTCTTACGTTGTTTTAAAAAAAAATCTGAAATGACTTTGCATGAGGAAATATTTTCAGTGAGAAATTAATGCTTCTAATGCATTTATCTCCAAATATACTAACGTGAACGTTAAGTCTCAAGTAAAAATTGGTCATTGGAAAATTAAACAAGGAGTCTTTACAACAAAAGATTGATTTATGTGCCTATCTATCATATATGTCTATTATCTATCTATCATCTCTCTTCCACTTTGTTTCTGTAGTTTTTAATGGAGCCACCAAGATTGAGAGTCACAGTCCATAGGCCAATTCCCTGACTTGAGTTCTTTAAAAGTTTAGACTCTGTGAATGAAAGAAAGTTAATTATTTGAGGAAGGGCCCTGCAATAATACAACAAACAATATAATTCCTACTTGTATTTGTCTGCTGGGCTATCATAAAATGTACCATAGACTGAGTGATTTAAACAACAAAGATATATTTTCTCACAGTTCTGGAATCTAGAAGCCTGAGATCAAGGTGTTCCCAGAGTTTTGGTTTCTTCTGAGGCTTCTCTCCTTCACTTGTAGATAGGCATCTTCTCTCTTTATTTTCATATAGTCTTCTCTCTGCATACGTGTGTCCTAATCTCCTTTTCTTAAAAACAAACAAACAAACAAACAAACAAACAAAAAAACACCAGTCATATTGGACTAAGGCCCATACTTACAATCCCATTTTAACTTAATTACCTCTTTGAAGATTCTGTCTCCAAATCCAGTAATGTTCTGCGGTATTAGAGGTTAGAACGTCCACGTATGAATTTTGAGAGAACACAATTCAGACCATAACACCACCCTGAGGTGCTTATAGCCATTTAATAGGCTCACTATGTATTGAGGGAATAAAACAAATAGAATTAACTAGAGATTATCGGACACTGGCTCTGAGGATGCAGAATTCCATTGCATTTCACATTTCTAAATGAGGCACTATGAGGGGTATGACAATATATTCAGCTCTGATGTGAATTCTCTTTATGTAGCCCCCTACGAGACAAAGATTTGCACCGTGCTTACCTCAAGATACATTTGCAATCATCCTAAAAGCTTTTATAATATCCATATTAGCTCTTTGGCCTATGCTGTACTAGTATTTGAGACAGGAAGAATGAATTAGAAGCCACCAGAGCTGCATCTTATAAAATGATAAAAATGATGCAATAATGAATCTATGGTGAATACTATATCTTAACATTAAGAACTTAAAATATGTTTAATGGAATTTCTATCACACCCTCTTCCTCTTTTTATGATAGGTTTTATTTTTAGACCACTTTAGGCAAATTTTTGAAACAAAATTAAGCAGATGGTATAGATATTTTTCATATTCTCCCTTTCCCCACACATGCATAGCCTCCATCATTATCAACATCTCCCACAAGAGTGGTATATTTCTTACTATTGATGAACCAATGTTGACACATCATTATCACCCAAAGTCCACTGTATTCATTAGAATTCATTGCTGGTGTCGTACATTCTGTGGGTTGGGACAAATATATAATGACATGTATCCGCCATTGTAGTATCTAATAAAATAGTTTCACTGCCTTAAAATTTCTCCATGCTCTACCTTTATATCTCTTCCCACCTCCAACCACTGCCAACCAAACAGTCTTTTACTCATAGTTTTGCCTTTTGTCTAACGCCTTATATTCTAAGTCATATAGCATGTAGCCTATTCAGACTGGCTTCTTTCACTTAATAACACTGAAGTTTTTCCATTCTTTATTATGGCTTAAGAGAATTTTTTTTAGTGCTGAATAATATTCTATTGTTTGACTGTGCCACTGTGTATCTATTCACATACTAAAGGACATCTTGGTTATTTCCAAGTTTTGGCATTTATAAATAAAATTGTTATAAATGCCTTTGCAGGTTTTGTGTAGACATATGTTTTCAACCCCTTTAGGTAAATACCAAAAGGAAAATTGGCAGAATCATATGGTAGGAGTGTGTTTAGTTTTGTAAGAAACTGCCAAACTGACTTCTAAAATGGTGAACCATGTAGAATTTCCAAAAGCAATGAATTACAGTTCCTGTTGCTCCACATTCTCACCAGAATTTGGTGGTGTAAGTGTTCTAAAATTTGGTCAATAAGTGTGTAGTGGTAATTCATTGTTTTAGTTCATCGTCTCTGATGACATATGATGTGTAGCACCTTCTTATATGTTAATTTTCCACCTCTGTATCTTCTTTGGTGAGGTTTCATTAGGGTATTTGGCCCATTTCTTAATGAGAGTTTTGTTTTTTGTTTTGTTTTGTTTTGTTTGTTTGTTTTTCCCTATCGTTGAGTTCTCAGAGTTCTTTGCGTATTTTGGTAACAATCCTTGATTGGAGAAGTCTTTTGCAAATATGTTTTCTCATTCTTTGGCTTCTTTATTCTCTTGACAGTGTCTTTTATAGAGTAGAAACTTTAAATTTTCATGAAGTATAGTTTATCAATTCTTTCTTTCATAGATTGTACCTTAGGTGTGGTATCTAAAGTCATTGCCAAACTCAAGGACATTTTTTAGATTTTCTGGATTTTATTTCATGGATTTTCTATGTTATCTTCTAAGATTTTTTAGTTTTGTATTTTACATTTAGGTCTGTGATGAATTTTGAGTTAATTTTCATGAAAGATGTAAGGTCTTGGTAAAGATTCTTGTGTGTGTGTGTGTGTGTGTGTGTGTGTTTTATTTTGTATGTCGATATATAACTATTGCAGCACACCCCCTTTTAATATACTTGTTTGGCCAGTGCAAAAGGCAGTTGGAGTTTGGTTAAGGGTAATGTAATATTCTGAGTCAAATGTTGGCAAACTATGGCCAGTGGTTCAAATCCAGTCTTTTGATTTTCATTTATAAATAAGGCCTATTGAAATATAGCAATTATTATTAGTTTATATATTGTTTCTGACTGCTTTCACACTACAGTAGTTGAGATGTGTAGTTGTGATAAATTTTTGTATGACCTGCAAAGTCTAAATTACTATCTGATATCATGTAGAAAAAGTTAGCCAGACTCTAAGATAAATAAAGTGAGGACTCTAATTCCAAAGATATTTATTAACAGCAACACTCATTATGTTGATTTATGGCTTTTCATGATGATCAGGACTTGTGGGGAATGTCTGGATAAATTAAGATGAAAATATTAGAGAAATGTGATGAAGATGATCTCCTTAAAGTGGGTGAAAATTATATGAATATGCTCATCCTATGATACATTAAAAGCTCAGTGACAATTCCTACTTGATTATTGGAATAGAACCCAATAATTAAGCAGATGATATCAACTGCATTGTAAATATCAGACAGGCTCATTCTAGCTATCTAGCACTTGTTCTGTTGTTGTTCCTTTTTCAAGAAATAGCAGTAAGATCTTCTTTATTGAAGTTGACATAGATACTATAAGGGCCATCTAACCTCCCAAAAGTACTTTTCTCTGTTGATAGTCTGAAAAAGTGCTATACTCTGGAGGGACCCAGTCAACTATGCATTAGTAGATTACATTAAACTTATTAAGTAAATTACATTAAACTTCTCTCATGGTTTTGGCAATACACACTAATTTATGATTTGTATTTGATTTCACCGTAGTTATTGCTTTTCTCAGTTCTCTCTTCACTTGATTTATTGAATTATTTAATCACTGCTATTTTATAAAACACAATGTTTTATCTGACCAAAAATTTGACTTTATATCAAATGCAGGAGGCAATGGGTTAATTTTTATAGTTATGTATATTCCATAACTCAGAAGTTACTAGGTTGATACACAATTGAACCTAGTTATGACAAGAGATAAGAACTTCTGAGTCTGCAATTTCATCCATATTAATGTCTTTTTTATTGACAGAATATATGTTTTGAGAACCTAAGCAAGAAAGAGGAATGGTGTCTACTCAACATTGCACCAAATTAATTTATTGTAAAAAATTTTTTTGAGAATCACATAGCTTTCCCTAGGGGGAAAGCTACCATGTGCTGACTTATCAAGGGTTATATTGAACTAGAAGCTGAAGCTGAATTACTGGCTAGTTTTTTGTTTCTTTTTTTTTTTCCTTTGTCTTTTTTTCTCTCTCTCTCTCTTTTTTTTTTTTTTTTTTTTTTTGGCAAATAAGCAAGAGCAAGGAAAAAAGGAAGATGATCTTTGCAGAAATAACCCATTCTCACTTTCAATAAAAAATGTGTTTTTTACTGCAGAAGAAAGATAATAGTATAAAGACATAGCCTCTGTATACCTTAGTACTGCCTGTCTAGTAATAAAAGTTAATGAAAAAGGGAAGTGCGTCTTTATAGGAAAATTGAAACAGAAGGTTTAGACCCCTCAAAAGCAAAGTTTCAATCATATTACTTGGTAAAGAATAATGATTAGTTAATGATAAAACTAAAGTTTAAGGATACTATGAAATAAAAAGTGGAGGAAGGCAATCATAGACTGTAACTTCCTTGCCAAGTGATGACATTAGGATTAATAGGTCTTTTTTTTTCTTTGTTGAGTTAAAAAATATTGTTTATATTAAAGAATATTTTTCCCATTTATCATCTATCAATTTTATACATATTATATTAGAGATAATTACATAATAATGTAATACATACATTACAGAATATTAAGATGGGCTCTGAACACCCTGGAGAAACAATAGTTATCTTTAGTATAGCCTACACTTTGAGTTTAGTTCAATAAATGAGTCATATCTTTGCATATTCTTCCTTCTGGAAAGCTAGAGAAAATATAACCAATATTATGAATCATATATGAATTATTCGAGATAAGAACCATTTTTATATGTAAATATTAGAAGATATGTTTCCTTTTTTTTTGGAAAGTGGGGATTATAGTATTTTTTTCCCTTTTACTTTCTTTCTTTGTTCTTTTTAATGCCCAATTGCAGTGCCTGGAAAATCTCTTCTAATTAAAGTAACTGATCACAACTACTTCTGTGAAGTAGAGGCTTCTTCCCACAACGGAACAGATTAAGTCCAGATAGACACGTTTCCAGAACCACTTGAAGAATGAGCATGGACACCAGGCCTAGTAGAGCTGACAAGCAGGTGATCTTAGTTTGTGCTTCAAATAAACTTGTGGCACAAAGATTTTGGAACAACATAAATTCCATTCTCACAACAATGGCAGTTCCAGCAAGATTCTATTCTTAGGATGCAGTGTCAGCGATGCTACAGTGGCAACAAGAAATGTTTTCCCATTGTTGTCTCTGGCCAGGGTGCAGCATTAATGCTATCGTTAGTAAAAGCAATTTCTTCAAGGAGATATTCTGATAAGACATTTTGATTGTTGTTTGAAGCCATGTATCAAAACCCCTTAGCAGTTATTATGTGAACTATCAAAGACTTCTATTTTTTTTTTTTTTTTTTTTGAGACGGAGTCTGTCTCTGTTGTCCAGGCTGGAGTGCAGTGGCGTGATCTCAGCTCACTGCAACCTCTGCCTCCCAGGTTCAAGGGATTATCCTGTCTCAGCCTCCTGAGTAGCTGGGATTACAGGTACCCACCACCATGCCCAGCTAATTTTTGTATTTTTAGTAGAGAGGGGGTTTCACCATGTTGGCCAAGCTGGTCTTGAACTCCTGACCTCATGATCTGCCCACCTCCGCCTCCCAAAGTGCTGGGATTACAGGTGTGAGCCACCAAGCCCAGCCCCAAAGACTTCTTAATAAACTATTTGTCTGCTCATTTTAGCCAGATGTGGTTTCTCTCATTTTCAGGAAACAATTTTTACTGATACATACAAATGTAGACAGAAATTAGATTTTTAGCATTAGTCATGATTATAACAATAACCTAGGTAGTCTCTGTGAATATGAGAGACATTTGGAATGGGTGAAGAAAAGAATGAAAATTATGGAAATAGAAAGGATAACTATAGATAAATATTTCAGTTACTATGAAAGGGAGCATAAACATGAAGCAAAACTGGAATGGAATCAATAGAGGATGATGTTTTGTCATCTTTGTCTAGGAAAATAATGGAAACAAAGTTGGGCAAAGTACTGATGGAATAAAAAGGACTACTTGCAGTTGTGAAGTGTTTTAAATGGTTAAAAGAAGATGCAGAGCAAAAATGAACATAGTAACTGCAGAAAGAAGTACAGGCAATTTTTACTGTAATGTAAGAAAGACAGAAGATATAGTAATACGATTAAAGAAGTTAGTGAGAATTATGGGAAAATGAAATAGTTTTCTTCTGATTTCATGCATTTTCTCTGTGAAGTATTTAACATGGTTGTTTGCTAAAATGGAAGAACTTGAATATTAATGGTCAGATTAGTGATATGAGAAAAGTCGGAATATATCTTAAATAATAGAAAATTAGTTTAAGGAAGCTAACTGGAATTCATTTTTATGTTTATTCTTTTAAGTCACATTTTGATTTTTCTTCAAATAAATGAATCCGCCATTTTATATAGTTGTATTCAATTATCTTGAGAAAATTCCTTGGAATGGAATTATTTTTTCCTTCTGACTTAAAAAGTGAGTAAATTTGTATCAAATTATTCTTGCTATATTATCTCACACTTAATGAAATATTTATTGAACTAATGTGGAACCACTGTACAAAGCAACATGAGAGATATAAAGAAACAGATTAGGTATATTGGAGAGATACACAACATTTAGAAACATGAGGTTACCTATGTATATTAGTCCGTTCTCATACTGCTGATAAAGACAACCCAAGACTGGGTAATTTATAAAGAAAAAGAGGTTTAACGGACTCACAGTTCCACATGGCTGGGGTGGCCTCACAATCGTGGTGGAAGGTGAAGGTGGAGAAAAGGCAAATCTTAAATGCTGGCAAAGAAGAGAGAACGCGTACAGGGGAACTGCCCTTTATAAAACTGTCAAATCACGAGACTCATTTACTGTCAGAACAGAGTGGGAAAAATACGCCCCATGATTCAATTACTTCCCACCAGTTCCCTCCCAGGACACGTGGGGATTACGGGAGCTACAATTCAAGATGAGATTTGGGTGGGGACACAGCCAAACCATACCACTATATGATTCTAAAACTTCACTTTTTGGAAACATATGTTTTGAATAAGAGAGCACAGGGAAATAGAGGGGCTGTAAATGATTTTTGATTGTCTTGAATGGTGTACTTTTCCTATCTTTTCCCATAATTCGTCAAGGCCTAATAAATTTTTACTATAATTTTTACAACAAAGAGTTAAAAAAACAAATTAATTGAATGTATGCAGGTACCTTAACTGTAAAAATGAACTAATATATTGATTAATATATCAATCCCTAAAAGAGAATCCTTACATTTCATTATTTTAATAAAACTCACTTTCCTCAAGTTTTAAAAATACATATAAAAGTGTTCAGCATATTCTGGGTGAGTGATTTAGTGTAAAGGACTGTTTCCTCACAGTACATTTTTGGGCTGAAATTGTTTTCCATGTGCTAGGGAGTAGAATTTATCAGCAACCCTCATTCTCACTCCCCTAATGATGATATGAGGAGCAAAAGAACCATCTTGTATCAAATCATCATGATTGTATAGAATAGCTTCTGAAAATTGTTGACTGGCCAGAGTAAAGCACTTTCACCTTTTTCAAAAGTCGTGCTGTTTCCTCTTTGGGAAATGAAATAGCATAAAATTGAATAGTATATGCATAACCTAAACTTGAGGAGGCACTTGAAACTTCTGAAGATCTTGTCATCTGCAAATTATTTCTAACAGTTCTGTTCAGCTTTTTGATCAATGTAAGAGTACAACAAATTTGGATAATTTTTAATATAAACACATATTTTTTTTTAGAATCAGAATAACTTAGAATAAAAAAGATAAAAACATATTGCAAAGGAAGTTTGACCTGGGTACACTACATATATCTTCAATTGCATTCATTTTGATCAAAAAATGAACACGATACAGTAACATATACTAAAAAATATGCAGCAACAATAGGTCACCATTTAAGCAAATGGGGAAGATCCCTGCTATGTTCAAAGTCTGCATAATAATTCAGATGTATTTTGAAAAAAGCAAAGGATAAAGCAGTAAACCCAGTGGCTGTGTGGTTAGAGTAAACAAATTATTTTCATAAAGAGAGAGTTTTAATTAACTTAGAGTAGCAAATATAATTAGCTAGGTTAGACAGATAACAAAACAATGGAATACCCTCAAGCTTTCAACTTTTAAAATCGAAGGCTATGTCAGTAGGACAATCTTAAAAACTTTTCAAAGTAATAGGTGACAATAAATTAAATAAGGAAAATAACATATATATACATATTTGAGTACATCTTTTAAAAATATAAACGTATATTTCCTGAAAATAAAATTATTATGCTTTATAATTTGATTGAAAAATATATGTTATATATATTATACAGAATTTTTAATTCAATAATGTATTTAATAAATATTTATGCTATTATTAAACTGTCTTCAAAATAGAAATGTGTAGCCAGTATTCTTAATTTAATCTATTGATAATTTCTAACATTTTTAAATTTTGGAATTCTTTTCATTTTGTTTTCACATCTCAGTATTTTCTTACTGTTTCCTATTACATGCACAAAACAGATTTTATTCCACATTCTAAAAAGTAAAACAGAGTAAAACAGAGTTTTCAACTCTCATTTGTTTCTGTTAATATCTCATTCCCTGGTTTCATCTTAAATTAGAAAGAATTATTTCCATTTTTCTATCTTTCATCTCGAAAATCTCTCCTATTTGCTTTGAATGCCCATTTTGAACCTCACCAATTTTTTTCAGAATGTTAAATCAGCTTCATTAAGTAAATGTCCCGTTCATGACACCCAACATAGTTCTTCTCTGAAAACTGTTTTCCACCTGACTGCACGTCTTCACACTCCCCTGGATTTCTGACCACCTCAATCACTGTTTCTTACTAGGTCTCCTTGCTGATCCTCGAATAGAAATATGGTAATTATTTATATTTTTTCATAGTTTGAATGTTAAATAGCTTTGTTGAACATTTTATCAAACTTTGTTTTTTCTTATCTCCCCAATAATTAATTATTCAGGTTAATTATCTGAAACGAGGGTGTTATTTTTTTAAAACTTTTGCCCACACCACCCGAAACTGATTATGTTTTTGTTTTCTTTTATGTATTTAACTGAAACATTAATTGGTGAAATTTCCAGTCTACGTAAATGATATCATGTTACTAATATTTTTGTAATGTGGCTTTTCCTTGATCTCTTCATGATCTATGCATTTTAAGCAAATAATATTATGTCAATTTAGTGCTTTAAAAATTTAATAATATCAATACTTCAGTGTAATGATAACCTATATTTCCCTAAATATTATTTGGGCAAAGAAAACATATCTAATTTCACTACTGATGTTAAAAAAAGAATCAATGTGATTTTAACCCTCAAATCTCCATATTTTTCAACTAGTGGATGTTTGTATCAATGCATTTTAAATCATTGTTGTTATAAATTTTATGTTAGAGGACTTTTTTTTTTTTTACAAGATAGCAATACCTTGGGAGGATTTTTCTGTTTGTTTTTTGTTTTACTTCCTTTAAGAAAGTTCACATCATCATATTTTTATAATTACATTGAATTAAATATATTCTTGGCAACTTCTCAGAGATAGTATAAAGTTTAATTAATTAATTATTGTATTTTAAGAAAGCCACTTTTTCCCCTAAGTTTCTGAAAAAAAACTTCGAACTTATATGGTGCCATATGGTGCCAGATAATTAAAGATGATCATGTCTATCTTTATTGTGATTCTGTTAAGAGCAAAACAAAACAAACAGCAATATCAACAACAACACTATATTGAGCTTTGAAAAACAGGTCTAAAAATGTCTTCTCCGTTATTTGTAGTCTCAATTAAGCAATACTCTTCAATGATCTTAAGTCCATGGACATACTAATCAAAAAAAAAGAAAAAAGAAAAAAAAAGTATGGTCTCCACATTTGGAAATCTACAGTCTTAGGGAAGCTTCTCTGCACCTACTCTTCTCTTCAGAGGTGGTTTCCAAATATAACCCCTAAGGACTCATGCTCCTTGTAGTTATTCCCTCATGTAATCTCTTCCAATTGACTCTGGTCTGGTCATATGACTCACACTTGATCAATAGAATGGAATACAGGTGATTCAGTCTGATATCTGAGGCTGGGTTATATAGATGGAGGACTCAAATGTTTTCATTTAAACATTTTCTACAAAGCTTCAGCAATCAAGATTATGTGGTCCTGGCATAAGAATAGACATATAGATCAATAACACAGAATTGAGAGCTCATGAATAAGCCCATATTTATGCTCAGTTGTGGTTTGAAAAGGGTGTCAAGAAAACTCAATGGGGAAAGAATAGTTGTTCTCACATATGGTGCTGGGACAACAGGGTATCTACATGTAAAAGTATGAAGTTAAAACTCTACCTCACACCATATACAAAAGTTAAACCCAAATGGATCACATGCCCAAGTGTAAGCTTTAAAACTATAAAACTCTTAGAAAAAAACCATACATATTTATAATCATTAATTTGGCAGCAGTTTGTTAGATATGATATTTAGCATGAGCAACAAAAAGAAAAATTTGACTTCATCAAAACAAACAAAAAACTTGTGCTTCAAAGGACTACCAAGAAGGTGAAAAGACAAGCTACAGAATGGGAGAAAATACTTACAAATAATATATTTAATGAAAGTCTAGTATCCAGAATATTTGAAGAATTCTTACAGCTCAACAGTAAAAAGGTAACCCAATTTAAATGACCAACCAATTCAAGTGTATATTTCCACTATTTGGAGAAATATCCAATTGGAGAAATATCTATCTATCTATCTATCTATCTATCTATCTATCTATCTATCTACCTATCTATCTACCTATCTACATACACACACACATATATACACACCCATATATATGTATATATGGCTGTGTATATATACACATATATACACACCCATATATATGCACCATTTTTTATATTCTCATTAGTGATGTTATGAGGGTTCCAATTTCTCCACCACATTATTTTCTAGCTTTATGATTATAGTTATTCTGGTGGTAGTATCTCATTGTGGCTTTGATTTGCTTTTTCCTCATAATGAATGAATGATGTTGAGTATCTTTTCATGTATTTATGGGACAGTCCATATATATACAAACATATATATGGGTGTGTATGTATACATATATATGTATATATATGGGTGTGTGTGTGTATATATATACATATATATGGGTGTGTATGCATACATATATATGTATATATATATGGGTGTGTGTGTGTGTGTATATATATACACACCCGTATATATGTTTGTATATATATGGACTGTCCCATAAATACATGAAAAGATACTCAACATCATTCATTCATTATGAGGAAGAAGCAAATCAAAGCCACAATGAGATACTACCACCAGAATAACTATAATCATAAAGCTAGAAAATAATGTGGTGGAGAAATTGGAACCCTCATAACATCACTAATGAGAATACAAAAAATGGTGCAGCCACGTTGAAATACAGTTTAGCAGTTTCTCAAAAAGTTAAACACAGAATTATGTCTATGACCCAGCAAGAGAATTCAAAACATACATTTTCACAAAAACTTTCACATTAATATTCATAGTAGCATTATTATAATTGCCAAAAAGTGAAAACAGCCCAAATGTCCAACACCTGTTGAATGCATAAACAAGATTTGAAATATCTATACAATGAAACATTATTTAGTTGTAAAAGATAATGAAGTGTAGTTACATGCTACAAGCTACAACACAGATGAACCTATGCTCAGAGAAAGACTCCAGACACAAAAGGCCACATATTGTATATTTTCATTTACAGAAAATTTCCATAATAGACAAATCCATAGAGAAGATAGATTAGTGGTTTCCAAAGGATAAAAAAATGAAGGAGGAAATGGTTACTGCTAGTGGGCAAGGGGTTTATTTCTGGGTTACGGAAAATGATACGGTATTAGATAGTGATGATTGCACAACCTTGTGAATATGATAATAACTACTTCATTGTACACTGAAAAAATAACCTAATTCCCTACTGATAAATTATATACTCCTCAAAAAAAGCATCAGATAAAACAATAAAATATATGAAAATATGATTATCCAAAAATATATAACACTTAAGAAAAAATACAAAAGCACCAAAAATAATAAAGTTTTGCCTTAAGTTATACCTGTGTTTCTTAGAGAAATAACTTTATCATTGCTTTTCTGTATCTTACAGCGTGGATGTAAAAATATGTAAAAATATGATGCCTGCTGCATCAAATCTGCCTCTCTATAATTAATAAAATTTTCAAAAATCACTTTTGTTCCTTTTGCTAAGGAAAATTATAATAAAATATTCTGCAATAATTATTTTTCAATAGGAGGTAAATCATATCTATTCATTGATTAGGCTCCACTTTCTCCCTTTCCTTTATATGTTTTACCATTTTACAAAATATTTGCTCAATTAAGTTTAAATAAAGCATGGGTCGTAGTTACGAGTAAAATAAAAATAAATTCCTGCAGTATCTGCCTAGACCTTCATCTTGGCACGCATGTTTTTGTGCCACAACCTCCCAGAACACAGCTACTGTGCTCAGACAAGCTCAAAGTAAATGCAGAGGTCAGATGTGGGTGCCCTAGTAGACATCCCAACTGAGGTCCCAGGTAACAGTTAGCCCCTACCAGTTATGTGTGTTAGTTAATTATGTGCAAAACTCTAGGCAAGAACTGTTCAGCGGAGTTCAGTCAACCCTAAGGACAGTGAAGATGATAATACATTTGCTTTTAAGCCACTTAAGTTTTGCAAAATTTTGTTACAAAACAATAGGTGATTACAACCACTATCTTACAATTCAAAATTCGATCCTTCTCAAATTCTCATCTACATATCTTATTTTATTCCCATTAGTAACCTCGAAATCCCTAAAATCCAATCCTTTCCCTCCAGGGTGAAGGTATATTAGGAACAAAATTATATGTTAAAATTACAAAGTAAGTTTATTCTTCCTGGAATTATAGTAGAGAAATAAGTAGTTTTATTTTATGCACTTATTTTCTCATGCACAACTAAACAAGATACTAGTTTTTATATTATTACTAGCAATGTATTTACAGAATATACCAAGATTTTGTTCAGGAATGAGCTTATTTTGGTTCTCACAACTAGCCTATTCATGAGTATTTTTAAGTTTGGATATGTCACTTATACAGCTAGAATATGTATTTGCCATTTCATATCTGATATTGTATATTACATTCACATACGAATAACATATTTGTGGCATATAAAATTGAGTCATAAAATTGGCTCCTCAAATATCCATTGATAAACTTCTATTATGCCTAAGCAATGAAGCTCTAGTTCATCCTAATGTTTACCCATAAATAATACAATTGGATTTATCTTCTTTTCTTTCTACTCTCCATCTGATTGCTGTTGGGTTTCTATTTATTTGACAAGTAGAAATTCTATATGTTTATGTTGCAGAACGTGATGTTTGATGTATTCTTTTTTTAATAGGTCCATATACGGAGACTAATTGTTGTAAGAAGCCGTAGTCAACAGCAAACTGTTTTGCGGTGTCAAAGCAAAAATTGTACCAGATAAAACTAAACAAGTCAGGGAGAATTTGTTGAAGGATATTGCAATACGACATAGAGACCAGCATGCATTCTCAATTCAACTCTGTTTAAATAAAGGGCAGGGGATTTGAAGAGATAGAGTGGAGGGTATTACAAGCCATCTGTGTTTGCTAATTGGCCTTACCCAAAAGAAACATCAAATTTCTTATAACTTCCCAACAGCAGGTACTTTTGCAATTTGGAGTAATGCACCTACCACAGTCAGTCTCCTCTCTTTTCCCAGAGGTGATTCTAACTCACTTGGTGATTATTTTTCAGAGGAATGGCTCCCAGGTTCTGAAGAAAAGCAGCCTTGGCTTGTAAAGCAAGAAAGCAATAATAAAAATATGTACATCTCAAAAGAGCAGAGAAAGAATTTGCAATTACAAGTTTTCTAAAGGAAATACTGTAAGAGGGAGAAGAGGGACCTCTGTGGTTATTAGGATTCTGTCTACACCAAGTAAAAGGGAGGTCAGGGTGTGTCCAGAATTGGTGGGTTCTTGGTCTCACTGACTTCAAGAATGAAGCCGCGGACCCTCGCGGTGAGTGTTACAGTTCCTAAAGGCGGTGTATCCGGAGTTTGTTCCTTCTGATGTTCGGATGTGTTCGTGGTTTTGCTGGCTCAGGAGTGAAGCTGCAGACCTTTGCGGTGAGTGGTGAGTGTTACAGCTCTTAAGTCCAAACGTCTGGAGTTGTTCGTTCCTCCCGGTGGGTTCGTGGTCTCGCTGGCTTCAGGAGTGAAGCTGCAGACCTTCTCGGTGAGTGTTACAGCTCATAAACACAGTGTGGACCCAATGAGTGAGCAACAGCAAGATTTATTGCAAACAGCAAAAGAACATACCTTCCACACTATGGAAGTGGACCCCAGCGTTGCCACTGCTGGCACAGGCAGCCTGCGATTATTGTCTTATCTGGCCCCACCCACATCCTGCTGATTGGTCCATTTTACAGAGAGCCGATTGGTCTGTTTTACAGAGAGCTGATTGGCCCGTTTTGACAGGGTGCTGATTGGTGCCTTTACAATCCCTGAGCTAGGCACAAAAGTTCTCCAAGTCCCCACTAGACTAGCTAGATACAGAGTGTTGATTGGTGTATTTACAAACCCTGAGCTAGACACAGAGTGCTGATTGGTGCATTTACAAACCTTGAGCTAGATACAGAGTGCCAATTGGTGCATTCACAATCCCTTAGCTAGACATAAAGATTCTCCAAGTCCCCACCAGATTAACTAGATACAGAGTGCTGATTGGTGCATTCACAAACCCTGAGCTAGACACAGGGTGCTGATTGGTGTGTTTACAAACCTTGAGCTAGATACAGAGTGCTGATTGGTGTATTTACAATCCCTTAGCTAGACATAAAGATTCTCCAAGTCCCCACCAGACTCAGGAGCCCAGCTGGCTTCACCCATTGGATCCCCCACTGGGGCCGCAGGTGGAGCTGCCTGCCAGTCCTATGCCATGCGCCTCACTCCTCAGCCTTTGGGCTGTGGATGGGACTGGGCACCGAGGAGCAGGGGGCGACGCTCGTCGGGGAGGCTCTGGCGGTGCATGAGCCCATGGCGGGGGGACGCTCAGGCATGGCAGGCTACAGGTCCCAAGCCCTGCCCCTCAGGGAGGCAGCTAAGGCCCGGTGAGAAATCGACTACAGCAGCTGCTGGCCCAGGTGCTAAGCCCCTCACTGCCCTGGCGGTGGGGCCAGCCACTTGGAGTGCGGGGCCACCAAGCCCATGCCCATCCGGAACTCTAGCTGGCCCGCAAGTGCGTGGGCAGCCCCGGTTCCCGCCTGTGCCTCTCCCTACACACCTGGCAAGCTGAGGGAGCCGGCTCCCGCCTCAACCAGCACAGAGAGGGGCCCCCACAGCGCAGTGGCGGGCTGAAAGGCTCCCGGAGCATAGCCAGAGCAGACCCGGAGGCCGAGGAGGCGCCAAGAGTGAGCGAGGCCTGTGAGAGCTGCCAGCACGCTGTCACCTCTCAGGGGGACTAGAAGGAGAAAGAAGCCTGTGTAAAGTTTAGTCAAACCGAGGGAAGTGTGAAGACCTCCTTGGTCAGAAGTCTTCGATTAGGCTGGATCTAATGTTCTGAAGAGAACATCTCTGAGACTATGTTTGGTACTCAGAATGAGTAGTTAAGGGCATGCCTGGAGACTTGGATGAAAACCCAGTATGCTTTTTTTCAGAAGCAAAGAATGGAATGATCCTACCTTCATTAAGCTACTCTGTCACCACTCTTCAAGGCTCAGCATATTTACACTGAAAATTTTCATCCTTGAATTTAAAATACTGCTTTCATAAGAATGTTCATTTCTATCACCTTGCATTTTATGCATTGAAGTGACAGAAATTTAGGTTTCTTTTGTATTTATAATTGGTGAATTATTCTAGTTGGCTGAAATTTTACTAGGAGTGAAATATTTCCCCCATCCCCATGAGCATACAAAAGCTTCTATCTCTGACAAAGGAGTACGTAGAAAAAATGAATGGACATATTTAGGTGACACTACTGTGAGTTTCAAGGATATCTTCTATCCTATGAAGTTATACATTCTTCATTTGGCTTGCATATCATTGATAAGTAATCCGTAATTTCAGGGCTTTGTGTCTGGGTTTACTTAAATCTTGCACTGAGAACATGGGAAGAGCCAAACGGAGAATTGTTAGATTTGTATCATTGTGATATCTAACTTGGTGGTTAAACCTTAAGAGTAATTACTTGGGACAAGATAACCCCTAAGTATGCAACACTTCATGGTAACTTATCAAATTATATATATATATATATATATATATATATATATATATATATACACATATATATGAAATGAAGATGAAGATTGGCTAACAATCATGGAAAAAATGAAAGGTACAGAATCTAAATTTAATAATGCCAAAGATTGCCCAACCAACAATTTTTCAACACTGTTGTTCATTTACAAGGCTAGAGTATGTGCAGAGACAAGAGCATGGGAATGGACTTAAATATTAAAATCTATGAGACATTAGTAAGAACATCTCTATTGTGCAGATCTGGGAGAATTAACAAACTTTAAGTTTTTCAATTCTAAGAATAGTGCTTTCCTTGAATAACTAGCTTGAAAAGGAGACTGACACAGTTGCTGAAATCTATCTTAAAAAGTACCATTGGAGCAAGGTATCATATGGGTATAGAAGTTGTGGTATGGTATAGTTCAAACAAGATAGATGCAAATCACATTGCATAGTAATTCATCTATCTCTTCAGTTATAATAGTGAATCACAGGAAAACGTATGTCTTTGTTTCAGTTTTCCATGTAGGCCCTCCAAACAACATAGGAATTTATGATAGTTACATATTCGATTCTACATTTGTCAATTGGTATGTGCTATAGAAGTGGCAATGTCTTGAGGCACCAATAAGAGATGATTGCATAGCTCATGTGATAGACCGTGGTAAATTTTCCAAAATAACAAATGTCTCCAAACAATACCCTTAGAGATCCTCTGCCTATTCTAGGAGACAGGCACAAACTCCTGCATATCCATACTTATATCACAAAGATTTACAGAATCACACTCTCTTACTTCTATTACATGGCTTCTTATGAATGTTAGAAGCATATGCCACGATTCATGACTCCATTGCATCCCTTCTGTGTAAATTACCTTTTATTGAAATTTGTACAACATAAATATTAATATAATTATCCTGAGATAAAGAATATAGGTAATATAAATGACAATTATGAATAAGGCATATCATTTTAAAAATAACACTTGAGGTAACCTGAATATAAATGATCATATAAAACAAATGTAGAAATTAACCTTTCTGTGTATTTTAAACAAGACATTGGTGATAGAGATGGGGTCATAAGGAGGTTCATTTATTATCCTTTTATTGCATTTCAGACAGTGCATTTTAAAAATTCACTTAGATTAGTTTTAGCTTTAATTAAAATGCTTCGCATACATTTTCAACAGAGTAAAACATAAAATGAATGTATTAGTACATGATTTTGAAGAATGCCTTTAAGATCATCAAGGTGAAACAAACAACAGAAAGAAGCAACATAATTAACAGTAAAAGAATGCAGATAACCATTTAAGCTGAAATACGTTAATTATAATACATCAATTTAATTAATTTTAATTTGAATAAATTAATATATTTGGGATCTAGGCTTATTCATTAGTTTACACGTTTTTATTCAAAAGGAGACATTGAACTTATCTTTCCATTATTTATCCTTAATTCATATTCCACTGGCCCAGTAAAGTTTATCCATGACAAGTTTGCATGGATGTAGTATGTCTATCAGGATAAAACTTAACAAATAAGAGGCATCCCTATCCAAATTGTCCATAATTAGAATTTCTGAAACATTGAGAAAAAGTAGAACTAATGTTCCACAATCTTCCAGTGTTTGTTGACAGGTTTTAGTGATCTCGCTAATGTTTTCCCCACAGTAGTGTGTTCTTTTTATTGATTGATTGATTTTTTTGAGACGAAGTCTCTCTGTGTCGCCCAGGCTGGAGTGCAGTGGCACGATCTCGGCTCACTGCAAGCTCCACCTCCCGGGTTCATGCCATTGTCCTACCTCAGCCTCCAGAATATCTGGGACTACAGGCGCCCGCCACCAAGCCCACCAAAAATTTTTTTGTATTTTTTTTAATAGAGACGGGGTTTTACCATGTTAGCCAGCATGGTCTCGATCTCCTGACTTTGTGATCCGCCCGCCTCGGCCTCCCAAAGTGTTGGGATTACAGGCGTGAGCCACTGCCCTGGGCCCTGTTCTTATTTTTTAACATCATTAGTATAAGGCATTCCACATTGTTTAAAAATACATAACCTTCATAGTTTGGATTGGATTATAATTCCCATATGTTTGAAACTGGGTTTTGTATTAGAATTCCACTATTACATTTCTAACTTAGTCATGAGAGAAACACAAATGTGTAGATAAGTTTGTGTTTATAATAGTATCAGATCTCTACTACCAAATAACAAATCATCCCAAACATGACGGCTTAAAACTAGAACGATTTATTATTTCTTAAAGTTCTTATGTTAGGCTGATTATTGTGTTGCTGTAAAGAAATACCTGCAGCTGGGTAATTTATAAGAAAAGAGTTTTAATGGGCTCATGGTTATCCAGTCTGTACAAGAAGCATAGTGCCAGCATCTGCTTCTGGTGAGGGCCTCAAAAAGCTTACAATCATGGCACAAGGCAAAGTGAGAGCAGGTGTCTCACGTGGCAAGAGCAGGAGCAAGAGAGAGTGAGGGGGAAGATGCCACACACTTTTAAACAGCCCAAATCCTGCAAGAACTCACTATGATGAGGACAACACTACCGGGATGGCGCTAAATCATTCATGACAAATACGCCTCCATGATCCCATCACCTCCTACCAGGCCCCACATCCAATATTGGAGGTTACAATTCAACATGAAATTTGGTGAGGACATATATTTAAACTACATTGGTTCTATCGGTTGGCCTCTGCTAGTTTAGCTTGACTAGCTCAAATAGTTGCACTAAGAAGACTGTTGGATGTACTGCAATATATAAGATGGCCTCATTCACATATCTGGCTATCACTTGGGATACCTTGGGTATCCTCTTCCGTCAGTGGGCTAGAATGGCTTTCTTGTTATGGCAATGTCAAAATTGCACTTCAAAAGGCAAAGGTCTTTTAAAGTCTAGGCTGTAGAAAATAGCATCGCTTACACCACTTTTTATCAGCCAAGCATAGTGGTAAAGTCAGCCCAGATACACAAAGTGTGAAACAAGATTCCACATCTTAATGGGCTGACTTGCCAAGCCACATTACAAAGAGGTGTGAGCAGAGGAGCACAAGGAAGTGATGTAACCTTTGCAGACAATTTATCACAGTATACTTGCCATTTAAAGGCTACAAAATCCCTAAAAAATTCAAATAAATCAGCAAATTGCCTCTAGTATTTTAATTATTTATTTTTTCATTTCATTAGATTTTTTAATTTCAGAATTTAAACACACTTACAATTAGTCTTTTTTTTTTTTTTGAGATGGAATCTTGCTCTGTCGCCCAGGCTGGAGTGCAGTGGTGAGATCTCGGCTCACTGCAAGCTCCGCCTCCCGGGTTCACGCCATTCTCCTGCCTCAGCCTCCTGAGTAGCTGCGACTACAGGCGCCCACCACACCACCGTGCCTGGCTAATTTTTTTTTTTTGTATTTTTTTTAGTAGAGACGGGGTTTCACCATGGTCTCAATCTCTTAACCTCGTGATCTGCCCGCCTTGGCCTCCCAAAGTGCTGGGATTACAGGCGTGAGCCACCGCTCCCGGCCCGATTAGTCTTCTTTATGATTTAACTTTTGGTAATTCTTTATGAAAAACTAGCATATTCTTACTCATGTCCTCTTACAGTAGGCTAATTTTCATTACAGTTTAGAGTGCTATGCTTCATTTTCCAAGCATCTCACAATATTTAGACTAATGAGTATTATTTCAGCAGTGGGTCTGTTCTTCACTTTCCTTTCTAGAGAAACACTTTAATGGAAATCATCTTAGTTCATTTGTACTGCCATAATGAAATACTACAGACTGGGTAATGTATTAGAAAAATAAAAAAAATATTGGCACCCAGTTCTGAGGGCTGGGAAGTCCAAGAATAATACATACATATTTGGTAAGAGATTCCTTCTGTGTCATCACATGGCCAGAAGCTCTTTCTGGCTTCCATTCATGAAGACAGAGCCCTCAAGACCTAAACACCTCTCAATGAACCTCATCTCCTAACACTGTCACATTGGGGATTAAGTTTCCAACACATAAATTCTGGGGGGATATATTCAAATCACAGCAGAAGTCAACATATGTCAAAACACTGGTTCTCAAAATTTAGCATAAATTAGGTTTATCTGGGGAGTTGTTAAAGGACAGAATACTGGACTTCACCCAAGTTTGTTTTGTTTGTTTGTTTGTTTGTTTTGGTTTCAGCTTTGGTCCCAGGTATTCTTGGATAAAGCCTAAGATTTAGGATTTATTAAAACAAAAGTGCATATGGGATTGATTCTGTTGATGCATTTCTCAATTTCTTAACAGAGAGAACTACTTTCAGATGAAGGAACACTAGTCTCTGGCAAAGAATTGAAAAGCTCCTATTATCAAGACATAAAGACAATAACTATTCAAATAATATGTTAGCTATTAAAATGTTGGAAAGTTAGTCATATGATCAAAATTACTAATCAATGTAGATTTTATAGAATTTCTGATACAAGATACATGTAATATGTTTTGAGTAGATAGTGTGAGCCAGTAAGAGGAGCTGTTTAAAAAAAAAAAAAAAAGGATAATATCATTTCACAACAGAACATTGAAATCCAGAGAGATGAAAAGAAGAAACTTAATAGAAATATCTTCCATCAACAAATTATTGACATTTATTTTGTTCCAATAAATTTCTTCTCTTCCTTCAGTTAAAATGCAGCTATACTGTAAGGTACAATTACTACTATTGGGTGATCAAAAGAAAATATGGGTGTTACATTGAGTGACAAAAACAACGTATTTGGTAATATACTCCTGTATGTTTAACATTTATACATTTTTTTGCTTTTTAACAAAAGCTTAAGTTTTTGCTGCCTAACCGAAGGATGTTGATGTAAAAATATTTTCAAATAAGAAAGGACTACAATATCAAGGATCTCTTTTAAAATAACAAGGGAATTTTCAGGAAGTTTGTTCAATTCATTATTAACAGAAGACTAAATTAAGTAGAACAACTTATACCTTTCAAATGGAACATAGGAATAATTAAATACAAAAATATTTTTAGTTGTATAACATAAAACTTTCCTCAGGTGAAGAGACATCCTTAGCATTCGAGAAATTTTCCCAGCTTGTGTATATACAATTGAATACATTCGTCTGTCTTTTTCTGTTATATATTTGAAAAAAGGTAGATGCTATTACCAATAAAATTGTGATTTCTTATTTTATATTTAAAAAGAACAGAATTTAGATAAGTTATGCAGAAATTAAAAATGCAATATCACATTTCTCTCTATGTATGAGGTATATATAGAGAGTGAGATTCTCCCCTTGTTTCAAAAAGAAAATAGAACTTAAGCTCTATGAAAGCAGATTTAAAAAATTAAAATGACAAAGCAATCTACATATATATAATTTACGTTCTTGTATATGGAACATTAAAATAGGAACTTTAATAGTACATATAGTATAAAATCCTAATACATTATTAAATAGAAAATGTATATATTAAGAAAGCATGTTCAGGCCACTGTATATGCTGGTGTATATATTAATTAACCCTCTTATAACTAAATGAAAATAACCAAATATTACTTCATTTAAGTTATCATTAACATATTTATTTTAAAATTCAGAGGTGGATCTTGGAAATTAATTTTATTTCTAGTATGAGTAAATTTTTAAAATTTGACCATATTTTAATATAGAAAATAGGAAACACTAATATAAAACAACAGAATAATTTTGGTCCTCAAGAAATGTAATAAAATCAAATGCTAAGCTCTTACACTTTTATGTAAATTGAGAATAATGCTTCCATACCACACATTTTTCTAGACATAGATTGGAAAGTTCATAAAAACTAGTCCAATCATATTTTTAGTGTAAGATAAGTTATTGGCATCTCTTCATCTAAATATGGTTTTATACAACTTTAGTCTTTCTTTGGCCATAATAATCTCCAGAAACTACAAATTCCTGGAAGATTTTAAGATTTTCAGCTATGGTATTTACTACATTTGTTGAGCATTTGACAAAGTGTGGATTGATTACCCAAAATCAGATTCATATGAGGAACTTGTCAAAACCGATGTTTTCAGGATACCTTTTTGTCCTGCTCTTTTGGAATCTCTGAAGGCAGGATTTGGCCATCTATATTTTTATCAAAACCCTCTATGAATTCTTAGTTCTACTAAGTTTGATAACAAAAATTCTTGATTAAAAATATAAAAGACTGTCTATGTTTAAACTTTTTAGAAAGTAATAAAGTTATTTTCTATTTTTGAATTCCCAAAGCACAAGGTATATTTAGTTTTGACTGATTTTAGTTGAGCATAAACTCTAGCAATATAAAGTCACAAATCAAGATCAATTGAAGCAATAATTTTTGTTTTAAGACCATAGAATTTATATATACCCATTCAAGTTAACAGAAAATTATTAATACTAAAAAGAAGTGATCTATGAGTCATGATTTTATTGTTTTCTTTAAAGTACCTTTCCAAAAATCATTATAATAAATATTAATTTGTGAGTAAAGATTAATGTACATTATACATCTTATTTTTATTTTAAAAGGCCTTATGGACCTACATAAAATAAAGAAAAAGACAACATTAAACATCGATTAGCACCTGCCACTCTGAAGGAATAATAATTTAAAACTAGTTGTAATATTAATGTAAGTGTCTTTACATTAAGACTTTTACATTACATAAAAAAGGGCTGTTTATAATGGACCTTCAATAAATTAGTACTTGCTGATAAATGCAAACATTCCAACTTTGTACACAGTTATAGTGATGTTTTGTTTACTCTTTCCTTATTAAGCTGATGAAATTCCATGAATAGAATTATTCATTGAATCCGTGTCATTATGACAACAATCACTTAGGCAAGCTTTTCCACTGGTTAGTGCATGTTTCTGAAAAAGAGACACATGATGAAAGGTGGTGAATATTGGTTGATTCATTCAAAACATATTTATTGAGAACCTCCTTAGTCCCTGTCCAATGGACGTGTCATAAGTTATGTTATATTTGTTAGTCAGATTTATGTTAAACCTGTAAACGACAAACCAGACTGAGGTTTGAAGGTATTGAGCATATTGTGTATAGAGATGGAGTCAGGTTTCCACTGTATCTTTGTATTTGGCTTAGTGCCTCTTATTAGAGGACCTTATCAAGGGCACTTAGTCATTTTTGTTAGTAGAATGAATAAATGAACTAAAATTCAATACAGTTTATTTTCCAGAGGAATTTATTATAACTAATTGCTTGATAGAACGTTCGTGTAAGTTGTAAATCATGGTACCATTTTACATGTAATTTTTTTCATTTACTAACCTATTTTCCTCTGACCATATACTCTTTCTCCTCCTGTGTGTTATCAGAGTGAGCAGCTAACAATTTCATGCTTCATTTTGCACCATCAAAATCTATGTTGAGTTCGTTGTGATGTGCAACACACCTATAGCTTAACACAACTGGTGCAGAAAGACTGGTTAGCCTGAATGCTACATCACTACTATGAAAGGTATTTGCATTTAAGAGGTTTTTTTTGCTACTTTCCCCAGCTTTTTAAATGTATGATTAGTAAAAATAAACAAATAAATAACGTATATATTTAAAGTGAACAATGTGTGTTTTTTTATTTTTTCTTTTCTTTTTTAGAAGGAGCTGCAATCTTGTCGCCCAGGGTGAAGTGTTTTATTTTTTCTTTTCTTTTTTAGAAGGAGTTGCAATCTTGTTGCCCAGGCTCAAGTGCAATGGTGCGATCTCGGCAAACTCCACCTCCTGGGTTCAAGCGATTGTCCTGCCTCAGCCTCCTGAGTAGCTGGGATTACAGGCATGCACCATTCTGCCTAGCTAATTCTGTATTTTTAGTAGAGACGGGGTTTCACCCTGCTTGTCAGGCTGGTCTCAAGCTTCTGACCTCAGGTGATCCACTCGTCTTGGCCTCCCAAAGAGCTGGGATTATAGGCGTGAGCCACCGCGCCCAGCCAACATGATGTTTTGATACATGTATACATTGTGAAATGAATACCACAATCAAACTCCTAACATATTTATCATTTAACCTCGTTACGATTGGTTTGTTGTTGTTGTTGTTGTTTTGTTTGTGTGTGTGTGTGTGTGTGTGTGTGTGTGTGTGTGTGTGGTGAGAGCTTGATATCTACTCTCCTGGAATATTTGAAGTGTACAGTGCTTTGGTATCATCTATAGTCACTGTGCTTTATATTTAGGCTCCAGAACTCATTTATCTTATAACTGAAATTTTTACTCTTTGACCAAAATCTCTCCTTTTCCTTAACACCCAGCCCCTGGTAGCCATTATTCTACTCTTTCGCGTGAGTTCAGTTACACATTGTTTGTTTGTTGGTTTTAGATAACACATAAGTGAGTTCATGCAATATTTGTCTTTCTGTGCCTGGCTTATTTCTCTTAGCATAATACCCTTAAGATTCATCAGAGGGGACAACTTACTGACTAATTTTCCAACATTTGCTGATTGTTAGAAAGAATCTGGGTTTCACATTTAAATTTCATGTTCCCAAACTCTTTCCTTAAATTTCTAATTCCCAATGCCTGAAATATAAATAAGTAGATAACCACTTAGGTAATTCTTAGATGACAGGTTTAAAAATATGGTCTTAAATTACTCAATAATTTATTATAGCAAAAACTTATTATGAGATATATTATCAATATTAATATCTGACATGTACAGAACAACAACAAGAAAAAAAAAAACTTCAGGGAATGAGCAAAAAGTGGATAACATTCCAGGATATATCATTGAAATACTCACTTGGAGAAAGCTACTTTTTTTCCTTATTTAGAAAAGCTAATGCTTTTTAGTGTATGGTTTTAAAAGAACTTTATAAAATTTCTGAATTTTGCATTACATTGTACATCTTGAAAAATGTAGTTTGATTTGAGTTACTTTTGAAAAGGAATGTGTGAAATGTATTATCTTTAGTTATCACACTCCTTTCTTTTCAGTATGACACTGTAGTATCTTGCTAGACTTAACATTTAACTTTAAACCTGAGAAACAAAATTAACAGGTAAACCACCAAAATGCCTGGTCTACAAAATATAGTCAAAAACTGCAAGAATCGATTATTGTGCCAAATTGATTGATTTGAAAGACTATTAAAATATTCTATCTTTTAAATACAAGTTTGGATTCTTGGAGATTTTATATTCAGTAATAATTTCAGGGAAAAGTAAAGACCTAAAGTTTATGACTGTCACCTAGCTGAGAAAGTCCCTAGTAAAGAAAATAATTAGCAGAGTTCATTTGGCATGAATGGATGCAGTCTCTTATGTTTCAACTTATAAACAAAAGTCAAGTTCTTTAAAATAGATAAGACACAATTGAATGAAAATTTCAACATAATTTCTTGATTGCCAGAATAAATGAGAAAACATAGCACCAAGGAAAATTGTTATTGGATATGTACATGCAAAGGAATGAAACTGGACTTCTGCTTCAAAGCATATATAAAAATTAACTCAAAATGCATCAAAGACATAAATGTAAGAGCTAAAATTATAAAACTCTTAGGAAGAGACATAAATCTTAATGAGCTCTATTTATACAATAATTTCTTAGATATGATACCAAAAAGACAAGAGATATAATCTAAAACATAGATTAAACTTAATCAAAATGTAAAAACTTTTGTGAGCAAAGGACATCATTAGTAAAACAAAAATGCAATGCACAGAATGGGATAAAATATTTAAAAATCATATCTGATAAAAGGCTTTTATAGAGACGACATAAAGGATTCTTACAACTTAACAATAAGATGACAAATAACCCAATTAAAAATGGGCAACAGATTGAATAGATATTTGTCAAATGAAGATTTACAAAGGAATGACGTGCACATACACAGTCATTAGTTACTGAGGAAACATCATTAGTCATCACAGAAATGTAAATAAAAAACACTAAGAGAAACTCTTTCATATTCCTTAGGATTAAAACCCCAAAAAATAGGAAGTCTTGGCAAGGATGCGGAGAAATTGGAGCACACATATACTGCTGATTAGAATGTAAAATAGTGCAGTTACTTTGGAAAATAGTCTGGCAGTTTCTCAAAAGTTTAAAAATAGATTTTACCATATGGACCAGCAACTCCAAGATATATAAAAACTTGCACACAAATGTTTATAACAATATTACTTATAATAATCAAGAAGTAGGAAAAAACTCAAGTTGATTCATGTCTGTCAACTGATGAATAGGTAAATATCCATAGAACTTATGTACATACAATGAAATCTTATTTGGTAATAAAAAAAAAAGAATGATATACTGACACATGCTAGAACATGAACCTTAACATATACTATGTGAAAAGCTAGTGACAAAAAACTATGTATCATACTAATTCATTTATAGTGAATCCAGAATAGGAAGATATCTAGAGACAGAAGGTAGATTAGTGGTTGCCTATATCTGGGACATGGTTAGAATGGTGAACAGAGGGAGTGATATCTAAAACATACAAGGTTTCTTTTGGGGTGATGAAAGTCATCTAATATTGATCATCATGATGTATTATTCCACTCTCACACAGCTATGAAGACATACCCGAGATTGGGTAATTTATAAAGAAAAGAAGTTTAATTGACTCACAGTTCCGTGTGGCTGGGGAGGGCTCAGGAATCATAGTGGAAGGCACCTCTTCACAGGGCGGCAGGAGAGAGAATAGGTGCCAGCAGGGGAAATGCCAGACATTTATAAAACCATCAGATCTTATGAGGACTCACTCACTAGCATAAGAACAGTCTGGGGGAATATGCCCCCATGATTCAACTGTCTCCTACCGGGTCCTTCTCATGACACATAAGGATTATGGGGGTTACGATTCAAGATGAGATTTGGGTACACAGCCAATCCATAGCCAGTGATGTTTGCACAACTCTGTGACGGTACTGAAAATAATGAATTTTATACTTAACGATCTAATTTATATGGTAGATTAATTATAATAATCAAGTTGTTTTTGTAAATGAAAAACAGGTATTAACTTCTTTATTTACCAAAATGAGCTGATTACAAATCATTTGAGAATGGAAGACAAACTTGGATAATTTTAATAACAAGCACATAATGGCAAAATTGAAGATTCTAAGAGATTAATAGCAAGCTCCCAAATGAAGAAATTAAATAGTAAGGAGGTATAACTGAAATATATAATGTGTACATATAAATTATTAATTGACAATAGATCATAACAACAAAATTAATTCTATACCACTTGACTAGTCTAAGCTACCATTATTTATTGCCAGGTCTATTTAAATTGCCCTTTATTTGCTTTCCTTCATGCTTTGCTATTTATACTACAGTCACATCTCTATACATGGAGTCTTCTTTATTACAGAAACAAATATTAGTTTGATGCAAAAGTAATGATGGGTTACTGGCAAAACCCATGATTACTTTTGCATCAACCTAATAATTGCAGTTTTTGGGCTTTTGAAATCATTATATTTGAAAATACAAACTTGTAAGTCATCAATTCCATCTTTTCTGATAGGATAATAGGCATTCCATCCATCATCATTCTGTTTCACATCCTGTGGTTTCCTCTAGCTAGGATCATAGATATTGGAAAGCTAAATGGCATGATTCCTTGGTATTTGCTTAGCGTTTACATTTTTATTTCCACTCTATTGATCTGTGGTGTCAGGATTTCCATAAGTATTGATAATTTATATTTATTTGTATTTGTTGTTGTTTTGTTTAATCATTCAAACATATCCTGATTAAGAAAATTGCTTTGTTTGCAATTTCAAGGATTTTAGCCAAATCTGTCCTGTGCTTGAGGTTGAAGTGTGTGTTTGTGTGTGTGTGTGTGTATGTTTTATTTCATCCTATAAATACTTTTTGGGGTATGTCCCATTTATTTCATTCTGAAATATGGTAATTTTGTTGTGATTTTGTTTGTGTGTTTTGACTTGTGGGTGTTTTTTCTTTGTTTTTATTTTCTTTTTGTGTTTTTCCTTATATATGGGGAGTCAAATATGGAGACATATCAATGATTCTACCTTGAGGTCTTTAAGAAATTCCAAATCTCTTTTTTATAAATAATGTTTACTATATTAACATAAACATCCTGAAGGAGTAAAATCAGGTATTTTTATTTTTAAAGGGCTGCAATTATTTTCCTGATGACACCCAACTATGTGATAGAATTGTGAGTAGAATATGGTTATTTTGAATCATGGAAAGGGAAGTTCCGTAGTCAAGAAGTAAAGATAAAAGTATGTAAACTTAGACTATTTGATCAGAAAATTTTATAGATAAGAACAAAATGTTCGGTTGGTTAGACATACTGAAAATAGGCCTTCGATATTTTCAGGCTCCCTGTGTTGTGATATTTGTGCTGGGTATTTGGATTTAAAGAATTTAAGACAGTAGAAAATTACCCTCATATCTCCTAACCTGTATACCACATACACATTTTATAACATTCATTATTAAATAGATTATGCAATCAAAAAATAAGGGATAACATGTAATTCAGATTTCTAGTAGACATCTCCATAAACCTGGAAACAACTGTGGAAATTTCTCTCCATTGTGAATGTTTATCCTTTGCTTTTCACTATGACATACATCTCCAAATCTTCCACTCCATTCCACTGTTCCTATGCCCAGTTGGTCTCCTGCAATTTTTAAAGTCTCTACAGAGTATTAATAACCTTTTAAACATGGTCATCAATTTGTAATTCTCCTCCATAAAACCTTCCCATGTCTTCTCATTTCACTCAGAATAAATTTCAAATTTTATTATTTTCAAAACTATATGTATTATTTGCCACCTGCCTCTTCTTTGCCTTTGGTTTCTTGAACATGCCAAGCTCTTTTTCCTCTCTTCAGGTCTCATTTTTCAATTTTATTTTTCTGAAATGCTAATTATATAGCTGCTTTCCTCAAATAATTTAGGTCTCACCTCAGATGTCATTTCTGCAGAGAGACTCCATTAGTTTTTCCTTATAATACTGCACTCTACCCTCACCCACTCTTTCTCAAAAAAAATAGTTACTTTTTTATCATTTACCATAATCTAAATTCATTTCATATAGTTATTGGTTTCCCTATTTATTGCCTCACAAAAAATTCAATGATTTTTATTGAATGTATGAGTGGGCAGGTAAAAGAATAGAATTATGAAATTATTCTTTATCTAAAGTGTAAAGCTGGCTTATCTAAAATTGGCAGTTTTACTCATGTCCACATTCAGTCATATGTATTTATGCAGATGTGTCTTATGCAATCCATTGGTAGTTATGGCAACTGGTTAATGCCAATGATTATTAGAAAGAAAACTAGACTTTCATAAGAAATCTGCATTAGCTGGTGACCACTTTGAAAAGCATCAGATATTCAGATATAGTTAATTTTTCTATAGTCAAACCAAACAATTTAGAAAAAGTAGAAATGGTAGGGTTCATCTATGGTCATGCCACAACCAATCGTGACATGAATAAGGTTAGTTTGCATTCTCTCTATCTTCTCATTCACTTTCTCCCATGGATTTGCGCCCTTCTTACTTTAGGTGTCTTCAAGTGTCATTTTGAAGTTCTAGCTGAGTTTTCCTCCACTTTCTCAGTTTTTGCTCCTCAAATGATAAATAAAATGTACCCATCAGTGGTCATTCTACTGGTGGCTTTGTCATCTCTAGAAAAACAACTTAGTTACAGCACTTTGATATTTGAAAATTACATCTCCAAACCAAGAAATGAGGCATGTAGAAAATCTTAATGGAGAGTACATGTTTTGCTCCTTTTAATGCCATAAGGATTCTAGTCTGTTCTCTTTTCTGCAATTCTAGATATTTTTCACTCCAGAATCAAGACAACTTGAGTTGTCTTCCACTCCAGAACCAAGAAGGAAAGATCAGGTGCATTAGGACACACATGCAACTTGTTAGGAAAGAGTGCTGTTATTAACCAAATGATTGAAGTAAAGTAAAACTAAACACTAATTACTTTAACCAAAGAAAAGGCTTAATGAGGTGAACTGTCAGAGTGATTTTTAAAAATTAATTTACTGAAGTATTTGTAAATTTATTTAAAATATTTGATTTGGGTTTTTAGAAACTAAAACTGTATAAGTATATTGAATTATTCACACTATATACCCAAATTAGAAATCATAAATAATTTAAGTAGATACTCATATACATGTTTTTAGGAAGTAAAGAAATTTCCATCAATATGAGGGAATATTTTTTCTCTTTGGGGTATATTGCCTGTTTCAATTCCTTCACTTATTAAATCTATAGCTCATATTATCTCATATGTTGCAGAAACAAAAAAAAAAAAACAAATTTTGGCCGTATAATTTCTCTGGGATGTACTTTTTGGGATGTACTTTTGTCAACTGGAGAAAAATAAGATAAATAGAAAATGACAAATAATTTGAAGAGCTATCCATTTCTACAAGCCAGGCTTCAATTTTGTAGTGCTTCAGGCCAACTACTAAGTCCTCAACGCTTATCTTAATAGTGTGGAACCATCTCAAACAACATCCACACAAAGTGATTAAAATAAGGATAAGGACCAATGAGACCAGGAGGAGTAAGAAAGCTTGGAAAGGATGCTTTGAAGTTTAGCTCTCCTCATTTCTTCCTTTCTTTGTTTTTTGAAAACCAAGTGATAAGCAAAGGAGCTAATAGAAGACATGGTGAAATAAAAAGCTGTTTGATGGGCAAAAAAGACCCTTGTAAAATATCATGAATTTTATATTTGTTATCAAGACAATAAATTAAATTTTTCTTTTGCTTTAATCTGCACAATATTTTACTTTAATTAAACATCTAGGAGGATTAGCAAGATGCTGACTTTAAAATCTTTGAACCCCTAGGAAGGAAACACAATAAAAGAAGTAGCTTTGATGCATAATAAAATAACTAGCTTGCATTGTGATTATGAGTAATATTCCTGTGAGCAATTGCTTTCAACATTTTCATTTAAAAATAACTTTGCCCTATTAACCTTGAAAAGAGGATTAAAATAAAATGAATATTTCTTAATCATTATAAAATTTAACTAAAACTTTAATTAGATAGGCTCTAATAGTTCACAACCAATGGATTTAGAAATCATTCTCAAATATTAAGTTTGGTTTTCTTCAATATAATATTCTGTACGTAGGTTCAGGTAATTTCTGGTCCCAAAGCACTGAAATAGGCAGCCTAACTTCTGAGACCAAACATATGTTTTTTTTTTTGTTTATAATTAAAACAAAGTCACTGTTAAAACCAAAAAGAATAAAAATTACAGTATCTCACTGAAAAGCAAACTATGATGGTAAGGTAACACATTAAGAACTTTAAGATGTTTAGATAAAAATTGAGCTGTTGATATGTTTATTTATAAATTAGGACAGTATGTCAATCTCTATAATAACAGGTAGCAGATATAAGCAAAATGAGTGGCCTTAATAGTTCAAACAGCTGCAGAGCTGCCTTTGATAAGTGGACTGGTAATATTTGAATTATAATATTAGTAAGATTAATAATGAAATACACACACATACATATACACAATATATGCATATATAGAGAAATTAAAATGTAGATATAGTTGTGCAGTCAGAGATATTTAGATCTAAACTGACTTGATCAAAACTATCATTTTATTTTATACTTCAAAATCAGGACATTTTTGTTTTTCACATTAGCTGTTTATAAAATTCAAGTTAGAAGTCTTGAAAACCTGCATATACAGTAGGAAAAATTATCCTTTTAAAGAGAAATTTTAATTAAACTGGAACACATCTATAATTAGAAGTAAGAAATATATTCAAAATGTTGAGATGGAAAATTCTTGCCCACAATGTATTCAATAATATATCAGTCTATAGACCATATGCAAGTGGCACTAAGGATAAAGGAACATGCACTACTGATTAGGTTAATTTTTGGTTGATAAATATCTAGATAGGTGTTCATTTAAATAATACACTTAAATAATATCTATTTGCATACATAAATGTTTCATTAAAAATCATTTCTATGTATTTCTATGTATGTCTATGCAATGCCTCTATTTGTCTACTGAAAAATAAATATATAATATGCTCTTATCTTCCTACATGCATCTGATAATAAGATAGAAAATATCACTTGTGTGAGGTAGGTATAAATTTCCAGTAAGTATACTAAAACAATAATATCCTTAATATCAGGGGCATCATTACAGGATGGTCTGCATAAATGTGATATTGTTCAAAATTAAAATTATATAAACTTTGATTTCATTAATAGTTATGGTTATTTGCAAAATATCACAGGGTCACTATGAGTATATAAAATAATATCAGGAAAAAATATCCAATACCCTTCTCAGATATATTTAAAAGTCTAGAAATAAAGGCCTAGGTATTAGTATTTTATTCATTTCCAGCATTAGTCACTCATTGTCTGAATTATATTTCAAATATCCAAATTGCCAATTAGTAATGAGATAAAAGAGTGATCTAACTTAGTTATTACAGAAAAGTTTAAAGGACTTTGATTTGGTGACAGGATTGGAATAGAATATCATATAATTTTGGTAGGAACCAAAATTAGTTCTACATAAGTAAGGGCATTTAGCAAAAAATATGTGAAGAATAAGTTGAATCTTGTTAAAACAGACCGACATTGAAAATATAGGACATGTAGTCTAGAAACAGATTAGTAGTTCTTGTTCCAAAATGGTCTTAATATAGAAAGCTATGGATTTTACAGTGTGAAACTGAAAATCATGCCAAAGGCACATGACAGAAATAGGTAAATGAAAGAAGTTGAAAAATAATTACCATTTGTGTTCAGTCTTTGATAATTCATAAATACAAAGCATACACAAACACACACACACACACAATGATTTTATTATTGAATATGATCATCAAAGTAGATAGTGACATGCAAGGGCAATTATTCCATGCCATGCTATAGAAATGGCAGTTAGAGTTCTGGGAAGTTGACTATTGTCAGAGTTACGATGGCCAAACATTTTTTTTTTCAAAACTATATTAAATGCTTCTCTTCATTCTAGGTAATATTGTGTAGGTTATGCATAAACTTTATTATACTGACCATAATATAAGAAGAAATGATGTCTAAAATTTCAAAAACTATATTTAAATACTTTATGTAAGAGATGCAAAAAAGTTAATTATCATAAAAAGTGGGAGAAAGACACAATTCATTTTTCAGAGGTATTAACTTTTTTGGAAGGGTGATGTAAAAATTAAACATATAATAAAACAGGTATCCTATAGACATTGCTTAGCAAGCATACATTTCTATGAGATAAAATTAATAATAACCCTTTTGGTAATTTTATTTTTAGGCCATCATAATGTATTCAAAAATAGGGTGATGGTATATATTATTGCCTCTCATGCACAAGCCCAGAAACACTGATTTGGATGCGACTTTGAGATTTTCCAGTTATTATTTTTTTCAATTTTATTATTATTATACTTTAAGTTTTAGGGTATATGTGCACAACGTGCAAGTTTGTTACATATGTACACATGTGCCATGTTGGTGTGCGGCACCCATTAACTCATCATTTAGCATTAGGTATATCTCCTAATACTATCCCTCCCCCGACACCCCACCCCACGACAGTCCCAGGTGTGTGATGTTCCCCTTCCTGTGTCCATGTGTCCTCGTTGTTCAATTCCCACCTATGAGTGAGAACATGCGGTGTTTGGATTTTTGTCCTTGCGATAGTTTGCTGAGAAGGAGGGTTTCCAGCTTCATCCATGTCCCTACAAAGGACATGAATTCATCCTTTTTTGTGGCTGCATAGTATTCCATGGTGTATATGTGCCACATTTTCTTAATCCAGTCTATCATTGTTGGACATTTGGGTTGGTTCCAAGTCTTTGCTATTGTGAATAGTGCCGCAATAAACATATGTGTGCATGTGTCTTTATAGCAGCATTATTTATAATCCTTTAGGTATATACCCAGTAATGGGATGGCTGAGTCAAATGGCATTTCTAGTTCTAGATACCTGAGGAATCGCCACACCGACTTCCACAATGGTTGAACTAGTTTACAGTCCCACCAACAGTGTAAAACTGTTCCTATTTCTCCACATCCTCTCCAGCACCTGTTGTTTCCTGACTTTAATGATCGCCATTCTAACTGGTGTGAGATGGTATCTCATTGTGGTTTTGATTTGTATTTCTCTGATGGCCAGTGATGATGAGCATTTTTTCACGTGTTTTTTGGCTGCATAAATGTCTTCTTTTGAGAAGTGTCTGTTCATATCCTTTGCCCACTTTTTGATGGGGTTGTTTGTTTTTTTCTTATGAATTTGTTTGAGTTCATTGTAGATTCTGGATATTAGCCTTTTGTCAGATGAGTAGGTTGTGAAAATTTTCTCCCATTCTGTAGGTTGCCTGTTCACTCTGATGGTAGTTTCTTTTGCTGTGCAGAAGGTCTTTAGTTTAATTAGATCCCATGTGTCAATTTTGTCTTTTGTTTTCATTGCTTTTGGTGTTTTAGACATGAAGTCCTTGCCCATGCCTATGTCCTGAATGGTATTGCCTAGGTTTTCTTCTAGGGTTTTTATGGTTTTAGGTTTAACATCTAAGTCTTTAATCCATCTTGAATTAATTTTTGTATAAGGTGTGAGGACGGGATCCAGTTTCAGCTTTCTACATATGGCTAACCAGTTTTCCCAGCACCATTTATTAAATAGGGAATCCTTTCCCCATTGCTTGTTTTTGTCAGGTTTGTCAAAGATCAGATGGTTGTTGACATGCGGCATTATTTCTGAGGGCTCTGTTCTGTTCCATTGATCTATATCTCTGTTTTGGTACCAGTACCATGCTGTTTTGGTTACTGTAGCCTTGTAGTATAGTTTGAAGTCAGGTAGTGTGATGCCTCCAGCTTTGTTCTTTTGGCTTAGGATTGACTTGGCAATGCAGGCTCTTTTTTGATTCCGTATGAACTTTAAAGTAGTTTTTTCCAATTCTGTGAAGAAAGTCATTGGTAGCTTGATGGGGATGGCATTGAATCTATAAATTACATTGGGCAGTATGGCCATTTTCACGTTATTGAGTCTTCCCACCCATGAGCATGGAATGTTCTTCCATTTGTTTGTATCCTCTTTTATTTCATTGAGCAGTGGTTTGTAGTTCTCCTTGAAGAGGTCCTTCACATCCCTTGTAAGTTGGATTCCTAGGTATTTTATTCTCTTTGAAGCAATTGTGAATGGGAGTTCACTCGTGATTTGGCTGTTTGTCTGTTATTGGTGTATAAGAATGCTTGTGATTTTTGCACATTGATTTTGTATCCTGAGACTTTGCTGAAGTTGCTTATCACCTTAAGGAGATTTTGGGCTGAGACGATGGGGTTTTCTAGATATACAATCATGTCATCTGCAAACAGGGACAATTTGACTCCCTCTTTTCCTAATTGAATGCCCTTTATTTCCTTCTCCTGCCTGATTGCCCTGGCCAGAACTTCCAACACTATGTTGAATAGGAGCGGTGAGAGGGCACCCTTGTCTTGTGCCAGTTTTCAAAGGGAATGCTTCCAGTTTTTGTCCATTCAGTATGATATTGGCTGTGCGTTTGTCATAGATAGCTCTTATTATTTTGAGATACATCCCATCAATACCTAATTTATTGAGAGTTTTTAGCATGAAGGCTTGTTGAATTTTGTCAAAGACCTTTTCTGCATCTATTGAGATAATCATGTGGTTTTTGTCTTTGGTTCTGTTTATATGCTGGATTATGTTTATTGATTTTCTATGTTGAAACAGCCTTGCATAGTTTTCCTTCCATAATATATACCTTTTCATTTTTCTTTTTAATTATTCCAGTTCATTTTACCATAGGTTTGAAAGAAGAATAGAATGTCCTCTATGATGAACATATGTTATACTATTGGCATTTATAAGAAAGGAACTAATATGTTACTCAATCTACAATATTAGATTGTTTTCTAAAAATAATTGGATTTTTATATAAAAATAACGGGATTTTTTATATAAAAATAACTGGATTTTTTAAAAATAACTGGATTTTTATATTAAAAAACTGGATTTTTATATAAAAATAACTGGATTTTTAGAAAACAATTTAATATTGTAGATTGAGTAACATATTAGTTCCTTTCTTATAAATGCCAATAGTATAGCAGATGTTCATCATAGAGGACATTCTATTCTTCTTTCAAACCTATGGTAAAATGAACTGGAATAATTAAAAAGAAAAATGAAAAGGTATCTATTATGGAAGGAAAACTATGTAAAATGTTATAAGATGATATTTTTTCTTTAGATGTACCCTTTCAAAGTATAGATAAAAAATGAGTATTTCATGAGCAGGAAAAGTTTTTTAAAATATAAAGGGTCATCACGTTCAGTAAAATTGATGAAAAAGATAACAAGCATCTGGATAATAATACCAGAAAGGTTCCTGAATAAAAAACATCAGAAATTTGTCAATATCAAATGGGAATTATAATTATGAACATAGGACTTGATAAATGAGATGTTAAGGTAAATAATACCTATATAAATAATGAGCAAAAGGCAGTTTAATAAAAAACTCAAATTTCATAATAAATTATATATAATTAATAATTTTTTGGATATGCTTTTAAATATTTCTAAATTGATATGAAATATAAGTAAATACATTTTGGCCATTGCATGTGCCAAGAATTCTTAGCTTCATAAACAAGATTTTTTAAAGTCATGAAAAGGTTAAATTATTTGGCCACATTGAATATAGGTATATTTTTCTCATACATGTGTCCTTGGTTTTCCTCAGATACTCAAATGCAAGTCTGTAACCTCCAAATTTCTAGATTCACTAATTTTAGATTATACTTTCTTATGAGAGTTAATAAGGCACGTTTTAATTACACCAAAATGCCTGCTATCGCCAGAATAGAGTAGATATTTTATAGTAAAGTTGCACGTAAAGTGTAGTTAAAATCATGTACTAAATATCATTTTTCCTACATAATAATGTATATTTGATGACTAAATAATCTTATTTTTTTATATAATCTCTATAATTTTATGTTTGTCTGTATCTTTGCATTATAGATTTATCTATCCTTAAAAATATTCTCAGTAAAAACCAAACAGTACAGAGAAAGGAGTTATTTTGAAAATTGTTTATACTTAATATTTAATATTTTCCATTGGTGCGTTTAATGTCGTTGTCTATAAATTCTTGGAAAATTGGGAATATTTTGAAAATTAAACTTTAATTTTATTTCCGGTAATAATATCCTAGTTATAATAGCTGTACATCTATTCATTAACCAAAGATTTGGACAGTGAATTGTGAATGTGTGAATTGAGTATCTTTTAAGAAGGATTAGGTAAAAAATTTGATTAACCAAACTTCAGTGAGTAATTATAAGACTGATGCTTGTGCTCAGTTACATTTAAAATAGCGGTAGAATTGTTTCTTTTGTATTCATAAGCTAAAGACCATTTTCCCCTCTTAGTTGTGATGGTTATTGTATTTGTCAAATTGACTGGGTTAAGGGATGCCCAGAGAGCTAATAAAGCCTTATTTCTGGATGTGTCTGTGAAGTTTGAACCAATAGATTGAGTAAAGAAGATTGTGCTCGTCATTTAGTGTGAGCGTCAGCCCATCCATTGAGGGTCCAAATAGAACAACAACAACAACAAATAGAAGAAAAGGAAATTTACTCTCCGCTTGAGGTGGGACATCATCTTCTCTTGCCCTAGGACACTGGAGCTCTTGGGTCTCAGGGCTTAGGACATGGACCAGGTTCTACACCCCTGAGCCTCCAGTTCTTGGACCTTCCCTCCAACATGTACTGGAACTTATACCCCATTGGGTGCCTTGGTTCTCAGGCCTTCCAATTTGGACTGGAATTTCACCAGCAGCTTTCCTGGGTCTCCAGCTTGCAAAAGACAGATCGTGAAATTTTTTGGCCTCCATAATCACATGTGCCAATTTCTCATAATATCTATCTAGCTAGCTAGTTAGCTTCGATCTATCATCTATCTATCTATCTATCAATCTATCTATCTATCTATCTATCTATCTATCATCTATCTATCTATCATCTATCTAGTTACCATCTATCATCTATCTATCTATCATCTATCTATCTATCTCTCATCTATCTATCTATCTCTTATCCATCTCTCCTATTGGTTCTCTTCTCTGGAGCATCCTGACTAATATACTAGTCTACGCAGTAATTTTAAATGAGATGAAAATTATTGATCTAAGTACCAGATATAGATACAGATATCTTTGGGGAGGGTTCGTTGAAGGATCAGTTTTTTAGCTCATGGAGAATTGAAATGGATGTACCAGGAAAATAAGAATAATGAGTTGTTATGACAACTGACACAGAAAAAGCACAGAGTGGGTGATATAAAGAGAACTTCCTTTCATAGAGGCTAAAAATAAGATGGAAGTTTTCTGAGAAGTTGAATAACCCTGACATATCCTATCCTGGATGTCATTAATTATCACATGCTCGACACTGGTAAACATTTCCGGACATGGAGTAAAGACATATCTGGACAACCTGAATAGGAAAAAGGTCATAAAATAAACTAATCTATTGATCAAATTAAACTGAATCAAGCAGAGAGGGAATTGACTATTATCTCTTATACTATTATACTATCAAGCAGAGAAGGCTTCCCTATGAATGGGAAGGAGAAAACTCACCATCTCTGTTAATCCTATGACTTACAGCATACCTAGACAGGATTGTTTAAGATAGCAACTAGTAAATCTGGTGATCAAAATTTTGACTGCAAATGTCTGTCATAAATCCACACATTCATGTATTGTCTATTATATATTTAGATATAAATGCCTGTATATGCATATATAGTAGGCATGTGTACATTTATAAATATACCAATATACGCATATATATATATATTTCTGTGTGTGTGTGTGTGTGTGTGTATATATATATATATAACATGTATATGTACATAGAGAGAGAAAGAGACAGGCATGAATTGCTTAATGGTAGGGATACATTCTGAGAAATGCATCCTTATGTGATTTTGTCATTGTACAAACATCACTGAATGTTCTTACACAAACCTAGATAGTACAGCCTATTATACACCTAGGCTATGTGGTATAGCCTATTGTTTTTAGGCTACAAACCTGTATACTATGTTACTGTAGGCAATTTTAACACAATGGTAGATATTTCTGTATCTAACCATATGTAAACATAGAAAGGTATAGTAAATATAGAGTAAAAGATTTTAAAAAAATGGTGCACCTGTATAAGGCACTTGCCATGAATGGAGCTTGAAGGATTGGAAGTTGCTCAGAGTCAGTGAGTGAGTGGTGAATAAATGTGAAGGCCTAAGGACATTCTGGTTCACTGCTGAAGACTTTAGAAGCACTGCACACTTAGGCTACATTAAATTACTTTTTAAAATTCAGTAATTGTGCTACAAGATTACAACGGGTAAGACATAACTAGGCAACGGGAAATTCTCAGCTGCATTATAATCTTATAGAACCACTTTCATATATGTGATCTGTTGTTGACTGAAAGAAACATCGCTATGAAGTGCATGATTGTGTATGTGAGTGTGTGTGTCTCTGTGTGTGTTTATGTGTGTGTATATATGTGTATATATGTGTGTGTTTGTGTGTGTGTATATATATATATATATATTCAAACAAGAACCACAGCATTTTTTAGGAGATTTTGAAAAATAAAACAGTTAAAGCTAAATATTAATTCCACATTACAAAATGAAAACAGTATTATATTTATAAAATAAGAAGCCTAAGCACAAATCAACTTGGTATACCCTAAATGCAACTGCCTGTTTTAGCTACTAATTAAAAATTCTTCTTCATACTATTCTTCAATAGTAAAACTATTGAAACCCTTAAGCAAATGTTGCCAGTGATAATTTCTGGACTCTCTTCTTTCAATAGCCATAATCTAGAGCTGTGGTCTTTTTGGTCTGAGCTATATTAGTCACATGTTAATATGTAACAGAATAGTCTTATGCCTGTATCATGGCTTTTAATATGTATGACTGATAATTCTCAGTCTGCCCATAGCAATTGCTTGAAGCTGATACTTTGTTATAGTCAGATGCAGAAAATGAATTGAAATTAATTATAAGAATGTAAAAAGAGATTTCTTCTAATACAGATCTTCACTTTTCAATGTTCAATCTTTTAACTACATGAAGTTAAGAGAAGCTTTGCAAGCAGTTTCTACTACTATTTGTAATTTTTAGCATTACACTTTTTATATGTTAACAAACTTTTAACAATATATTTTCTTAAACATCATAATTATGTAAACATTTTTAACATCATCTTTAAGCTGCAAGATAATTTATCAAATTTATGCTACCAAACTTGTATTTAGCTTTGATCCTTCCATTAGGTACACATATTTAGAACTGAATGTTCTAGAATCATTTCTACTTATTTTTATTATACACAAATTCCAGTTAATGGGCACTCATTTGCTATTTTTTAGTCTCTGGAATTTCACCTTATATTGTATAATTCATAATGCCAAGTAATTAAAAGTGGCAGAAGAATGTATAAATCAATAAATAGATTTTTACAGCCATTTAAACATCAAACATAAATGGCATACTATGAGAAACATTATCTTAGTGTCTGTAGGAGGATGAACTTGTTTTTGCTAGGTTGTGATTGCTAAATAATTCTCAATTGACTTCTAACAAGCCATTAACATATTCTAAATATTATAGCTCATGATCTCAATGATTTTTTGAAGGGTCGTACATTTTGGTGTTTATAGATTTTGACATTTTGCTAATGCATGACCACCTTGAACAATTAAGTTATATGAATTGTACAAATTTACTCTTCAATACTACCAATCACCCTTAACATAATTATTAACATAATTATTTTTAAACTTAGAAATAGAATCATACATTGCTTAAAAATGGGGATATATCTTGAGAAATGCATCCTTAGGTGATTCTTTGTAGTTGTGCAAACATCGTAGAGTGTACTTAAACAAACTTAGATGGTATAGCCTAAGACACACTTACACTATATGATATGACCTATTGCTCCTAGGGTGCAAACCTGTATACTGTGTTACTGTACTGAATACTTCAGGCAATCATAACACAGTGATATTTGTGTATCTAAATATGTATAACAGGAAAGGTAGAGTAAAAATATGGTATCATAATCTTATGGGACCACCATCATATGTGTAGTCTGTCAATGACCAAAATGCCATTATGTGGCACATGACTGTAAAGAGATAGTATATAGATATTACCACTCATTTAAATGTTGAAATCAAAGTCTACAATTCTTGACTCTCAATTCCAAAACTGTGAATCTATGTGAACTTGAAGCTAAAGCATATTCTGTGGGAAATTTCACACAAATTGGAAGAAAATTATTTTTAATATTTATTTCAGTTAGTGTGAATATTCACATATTTCACTAGAAAAATTGTGTTGTTTTTTATTGAATGTGCTTCCACAGATCCCACATATGTTACCCATTATAAGTATATACAATCTTCCAAAACCCCAAAATTCTGAAGCCCAAAGCAAACTTGTCCATAAAGATCAGATATTATGTACCTAAATCAAAATTAAATAGTAAATCAAGTTTATATACTATATTAGTTAAAGCAATGCATGATTCTATAACAAATAACTTCTTAATTTCAGTAGTTTAAAAAATAAGAAATGTATTTCTTATGCTCATAACATTTTAAGAGCTCTGAACCTATGCAAGCACCTTTCTGTCATATTATGCTTTTGGGTTTCATACAGCTTGCTGTGGATTTGTCAAGCTCTAGGTCCCCTTGTTACCAGTTGATGGAATAATGTAGTGTATGAGAAAGAAATATTAATTCCTAATACTTTTTTTCTGGAAGTAATGTTCATTAATGTGCCTTGTGTTCTATGGCTGAGAACTAACTACATAGCCACACTACATGCATGAGAGAATCACAACGTTGCCTATGGTTGTACAGACCCTTTGGAGACATGTGTCTCTGTTCTGAAAGAGTGAGCATAGATTTTTGGTGGATACCAAAAAGTCTGTGCCACAGTGTTTGTTGTTAAATTATGCAGCCAACTCCGAATATGTAACTTTCACAACCAGAATTACATTCCACTAGCTATAATTTAAGAATATTCTTTGTTATTTTGATGTTTTTGGCTGCTTAAGCTAAAAGGAAAAGTGACTTTTTTCTTCCTATTTTATTTAGAGAAGATTCAAGTTATAGATAAGATCTTTGTTTCTTTCTTTCTCAAATATGTAACTATTACATATTATTATATATAATACACTTCATATATACAATATTCCCCTAATTGAATATTCTGATGAAATTTGTAGATCTATCTGTACAGGGTCCCAGGAAATCCCACTTTGGGTGTAGATACTGGAAACTGTACCAGGTTACTTAGGGAAGTAGTATGCACATGAAAACTTGAACATTGTATGTGGATTTATCAATATCGACTGCATGCTCACCAATAGAAAGTGGTATCTGTCTTCTGAAAGATGGTGTTTCTTACAATTTGGATTTCTTGATGGTTTTAGATTTATGTTTTTTTTCATTTTCCTGTTTATTTTATTTTTATTTGTTGTCATCAAAGAATATAATCATCCTCTACATTCCTTGATGGATTATAAACAACACATGCATAGTAACCATTTCTTCCCTTCCCTCCTCCAGGTATAATCTAAACAGAAGTTTAGCAGCAAATAAGCTAGGAAGCAGTGAGCAAGAAGAGCGATGAAAGCAGAATAATCAGGCTCTGTTTATTCATTGCAGGCTTCCAGCCTGAAGCAACATGACAAAAAATTGCATATATAAAATTTAGTTTAAAAACTTACAAATGAGTATGTTACATATGATTTTATTTATGTAAAATTTGTAAAAAGACAAAACAAATTCATGGTCTTGGAAATTAATATAGTGATTGCAGTGAGGTGAATGGTGGCCCCCACAAAAGATATGGCCATGTCCTAATTCCTGGGACTGTTCAATGTAATCTTAATTTGAAAGAGGGTCTTTTCAGTTCTAGTTAATTTAGGGCACTAAAAATGAGATTACTTTCAATTATAGTGGGAAGCCAAAAATTCAATGACAAGTACCTCAATAAAAGATGCACAGAGGAAAATAACATGCAAAGATGGAAGCAGAGATGGGAGTGATGCGGCTACAAGCAAAGGAATTCCTGGGGCCATCGAGCTGGAAGAGGCAAACAATAATTCTCTCCTGGTCTTCTGAGGAAGTATGGCCCTGCCACCATCTTGATTTCAGATTTCTGGGTTCCAGATACTTTCAATGTATGACAATTCACTGACTTACACACTTACGAGTGATAAACTTTTCTATTGCTATACTTTTAATCATTTTTATTACAAAAAGCCAATTGTTTTGGTAATAAAGGGCAGACGAATTAGATTAGACGAGGAAAGCTCATTGTCCCCTTAAATACTCATCTACATTTTCAACAGAGCTGATGATAGCATATTGGATCCTATTACAGAAAGTTGTAAAATTAATACAGTGCTATATATGGAGTAAATTAAAATTGTAGTAATAGAGAGTAGAGGAAATATACATTTTTCTCTTTTCTGGTATCTAATATTTTTATTACAATTCATTCTCCAGTATCTGCTTGTAAGGGCTATCTTCTTTAAGGTTTTGATTTTAAAAGATTAGAAAAAAAGTGGGCTCCATCAATTCAGTTTTCCAATAAAAATCACTAAGCTCATTCAAATCCAAACTGAGGTATCTAGCTTTGCTCAATTAATATATTATGGTATCATCTTCTGATTATGTTACTATAAATTTCACTTGAAAACTCAGGGCAAGGACTGACATTTCACATAAAGCACTCATGCTTTAATACTTGTGGTGAGTATGATCAATTTTAAAATGGATTGCATTTACACATTAATACAAACAAGAATGGGACAATTTTGGATTTTTAAAGACAACATTTCCTCTTTTCTTTCTCACAGAATAGACCACATGTAGAATATTCTTGAATTTGAGTCTATATAAAAGCTTGAGGTTTGATATCCTAAAGCATCTTTAATTTTGTGTGTTTAGCATATGTTATGCAATGTACTTGTTTCACAAGATTTTCTTTTTAAGACTAGCCTATGCTAAGTCATAAAGAAATGGTGATGATAATGATGATAACAAAAACTCTGAATTTCCTGTGAATCATGAAAACTATTTCTCTTTTTCCTTTGCAATCTGGGAAAATTCTCCAAATTAGTATGTATATAGTATAGACTTGAAAGAACAGAAAATATTCTTATTGTGTGAAAGGAGGAACTATTTTATTGAATGGCCTTTTCTCCTCCTCATCTGGCCTTCTATACATTCAGTAACACAGAACACTTCAAGATCCTCAGGAGCAGAGCTTGTTCCTAATAGATAGTAAGTAGTAATTTTGATTCCTATTACTGTCATATTTACATTACAGGCAATTAATATTTATTGATTTATTAGCTAAATTACTTAACTCAGAAAGTGTCTGTAGATGTGGAATTAGATAATTGAGTTACAGTTAGTTGTATGTCTTAAAGTGTAGAGCTGCTAGATGAACAAACAATTCTACTCCTGATTATATGCCTAAGAGAAAAGAAAAAATATATATCCACACAAAAAAAACCTTGAAAAATGTTCATGGAAGCTTTATTCATAATAGCTAAAAAAATGGATCAACCCAGATGGCTATCAACTAACGAAGGAATAAACAATTGTATGACTATGTGATATAGCCATAAAATGGAACATTGTTCAACCATAAAGGAAAATAAAGTACTGATACTGCTACAACATGGATGATCCTTGAAAATGTTGCATTAAGTGAAATAAGTTTGACACAGAATGTCACATATTGTATAATCTAATTTACATAAAATGTCCAGCATAGAAAAAAATCATAAAGTCAGAAAGTATGTGAATGTGTTTGAAGGGTTTGGGTGGAAGTGAATATCAAGAGTTACATAATAGGCATGAGTGTTTTGGGAAGGCTCAGGAAAATGTTATGGAATTAGACAACCATAGATGCATAACCCTTTGAGTATATTAAAAACTACTAAATTGTACACTTTAAAAAGATAAAATTTATGTTATGTGAATATCAATTAAGCTATAATTTAAAAATAACTTTATATACAATTCTTGAAAGTTCTTAGAGGAAAATTTATCGTCTTATTTCTTTCCTATTTCACAAACTGGTATATAATGTTTTGGTTTTCATATGACAAATGCTAAGAATTTAAAAATATGTGAAGAAATATCCCTCACGGAGAGAAATTTGTAGCTTTTGGATACAAGAAGGAATACTTTTTGGTGTACAATTCTTATGCCTATGTGCATCGTGGATTTTCTTGTTTTACTCTTCCGACATCATTAACATCACTGTAATGGTCTTCGGCATCATAAGTCCAACATGTTAAACCATTGCTAGCTTTCACAGATGTTGGCAAAACTCTCAGTATGAATTATCCACTTTATTCCTGAGAATCTCCTTTTGAGGTAGATGCCTTAAAAATATGAATATTTTAAATAAAAAAGTTGTAGCTTTGAGTGGTTAAGTAAGCCACACGAGGTAATTCAGATGATAGAAGGGCCAATACTAAAATTCAGATGAATCTGACACTAGAATATATTCTAAATCCTCTTCCTATATTGTCTGCAGGGTAAATTAAATAACATGAGACGTGGAAGGCATACAAGCACAGACCTCTATATAGTCTATGCTTTTTTCAATATTTAATTTGAAATTTAATTTTTTATTTGCATACACTTTTATTCTTCAGAAATACAATGTTAGCTATCTTCCTAGGTTATCATTTGGCCACTTACACTGAATACACTTTCAGAAATCATTATCAGTGAAAAATGTTCGTTTCTACAAGTATTGGATTGCTTAAACAGCATATTTCCAACTTTTCAGCCAATTTAAATCTACCGTTATATTGTAAGTTAGAATCATAGACAGGTGTTTCTGATTTATAGCAATAAATGACTGTTATTCTTTCTGGTTTTAATCAACAGTGTCAGTGTCAGTGTTAAAAACGCAACTTCTAATTTAGTAAAACCTTATCACTAGATACCTTGTAGGCAGCAAATGGCAGAAAAAATAATTAGAGACTTCTAAAAATAGTTTTCAAATGATTCCTCTAATTCATTTCAGTATAACAAGAATTACACTTAACATTCTTTTTTACCTCACTTTAGAAATATTTGTTAATAAAGAGCATAGTTTGAAAAGTCAAGAAGTGTTTGCTCCCTGTGAATAACAAGTCAATTTTTACAGGGTTCTTTTGGCATGTGGAATAGTTGTCTTCTCCAATTTAATATCCAGTAAAGAATTATATCTAAAGTATGTAATACATAGAAATTAATGTCAGAAATACTAAAGTTTGTTGATTTTCTTGGCAGTCAAAGAAGAAAGACAGTATCATTTTTTCAACTTAGAATAATTTCTTTTGAGTATATTCAAATACAGCAAGCTGAGCAGCTTGGAGAGTGGGCCATGACTCAGATTTATAATATTAAAGCATATTTGATATCTATGAGACCTACTTGCTATAGTGTGTGATTAATATTGCATATTTGCCTTTCAAATTAAATAATTATTTAATTTAATTAAGCCTGTTTTTATATTATTGTAATGTGCTCATTGACATTTCTGCCCATACCTATTTAGATAGGGCAAACTTCTAAAGCAAGGAAGTGCAAAATTGCTGAATTAAATAATATGAAACATTATATGGATTATAATAAAAATTGCTCAATTGTTCTAAAAAATCAGTACTAATTTATATTCCATTCTGCCATGTGAGAGAATCGCTATTTCATTACGATAGTGCTAAAATTTATATTAATGTTAGCCAATTTGATAAATGACAAATATACTTTATTATTATCTCCATAGCTATTTATATAAGTTTCAAGGGATTAGGACTTTTGTTTACCTTTGGTGAACTTGTACTAAAAGTTTTCTTTTTATGAGAATTACTTCTATAATTTCATTCATAAATTTGATATTTCATTGTTTCTATTTTTTAGCAGTATACTTTAATGTAAGAGCATGTACTTTTCTGCTGAAGAGTTATTGGTTCAAATCCTAGCTCGGCTAATTAATAGGTGTCTTTCTTCATCAAACATGATATCTCATGCCAGTAAAATATCCAATAACCCCATGAGATAATAGGAATGATAGGTACACAATAAGGATACTAGTAGAAATCCAAAAAGTCTTGTATGTCAGAAGCCATAGATGTCTATTTGTATGTTTTACACATACAAATATATGTTAGCCTTTATTAACAAGCAAGAGAGCTTATATGTCTGTATGTATTTAACACTGGGAGACAAGAAGTGCTTTGGGGTGGATCTGGATGAAGATAAGACAAGAATGGAGGGTCTTCACCTACAAATTCCCTTAGACTGATGGGAAGTACCTAAAGTTAGAGGAACTAGAGTCAGTCACGACAGAACAATTTCAGAAATTCTTTGCGAAACTCAGTATAAGTAGAAATGCTTTGGAGAATTAGTGATGTGTGGATCATTGTGTGCGGGGATTGCTTTTCCATGACTCTGCATGGAACCTAGCAACTTACTAGGTTCCAAAGAAATTTGGGCTCAATCAGAAATCTCAAGTATGGAACAAATGCTAGATTCTCAAAATGGGCTTTAGCATATACAAAATGCATCTAGTGTGTGGCAGAAAGTACACATGGATAAATAGCTATGAATCAATAAATGCAGTTTGTAGAGTGCAGTTTTGACCCCTTGGAGACACTCATGAACAACCATAAAATGGAGTAAAGTCCTGCTCTTTGTGTAGGAGGACCTACAGAGCTGGCAGGCATTTAGGTTAACAAAGGTTTATTTTTTAAATGAATTTATTTTTATTTTTATTTATTTATTTTATTTTATTTTATTTTATTTGAGATGGAGACTCACTCTGTCACCCAGCCATCTTGGCTCACTGCAACTTCCGCCTCCCAGGTTCAAGCGATTCTCCTGCTTCAGCCTCTCAAGTAGCTGGGACTACAGGCACATGCCACTATGCCGGCTAATTCTTGCATTTTTAGTAGAGATGGAGTTTCACCATGTTGGCTGGGTGGTCTCAAACTCCTGACCTCGAGTGATCCACCCACCTTGGCCAGGTCTCAAACTCCTGACCTCAGGTGATCCGCCCACCTTGGCCTGGTCTCAAACTCCTGACCTCAGGTGATCCACCCACCTTGGCCTCCCTCCCAATTAAATTAAATTTTATAGGCATTGTTACCTATCCTTTTGATTACATGTTGTTATACTCTCCCTCTTCAAATCTAATAGAAATATTAAATTGCATTTTCTTTCACCACCTCTGTAGCTTTATTCATGCATGATAAATATTTAACTCATTTGTTTTTTTAATTCTAAAAAAAGAAAACATAAACTGCAGTTTAAATAACAGGCAGACAATAAATTCAAAATGAAGAGCTCTTCACCGTTATTCAGAAGTAGGATCTAATGTCAGTAGGAGGTGGATCAACGTAAAAAGGCAAGATAATTAGCAGTGGGACCAAGCAGATATGGCAGTGTCCTGGGTGGCTGGTGATATCTTGAAGAGACCAAGAAGAGTCATTTAAAAAAGATTATCTATAGTAGCATCCCATTTCCGGTCCTGCCCATGTACATTTAACAAAGACAACATGGTCTACTCATCTAGGCAGTGAACTTACACCTGTAATTAAGGCATCAATCATAAAAACTGTTTATGGAGCAGCAGTTAGGAAAAGCTGATATCTATTTGTCAAACCTGTTACCTCTCCTAGTGTTTCTTATCTCAGTTAATGAGTACCTTTGACTCCTCTCATTTTTTCAAGTTCTACTTTCAATCTATCAGCAAATACTGTTGGTTCTTTATTCAAAATAGATAAACACCTGAACACTTCTCACCACATCCACAGGTACCACCTTGTCCAAGCTGTTGTAGTAATCTTCCTCAGGTCTCCCTTTTAGGCCTTTGCCTCCTGACATTCTGCTCAACACTAACAATTAGTTATCTGGTCATGATGCTCCAGCCCTCCATTGATTTTCTGTCTTACAGATAATTAAATCTAAATTATCTGAACAACCTAGGAATGCCTCCAGGATCTGACCTGCAGTGGCCTTTCAAAGTCGCCATTTTGATTCCTGTCCCACCCCTCTCCCTCTTCTAGCTGCACTAGCCTTCTTGCTGTCCCCACCATCACTAGCTATGTTCCAGCCTAATGGCCTCTGCTCTTGCCAGTCCAGGAACTTAGAAAGCTCTTTCCTCAGAGACCTTGATAGCTCGATGGCTATCTCTAAGATCCTGACCAAATTTCACCTTCTCCACGAAACCATCCCTTTCTATACAATGTAAAGCTGAATGTCCATCTTTAGTCCCCAGACTACCTAGTCCTCTGACTTACTTCATTTTGTTCCATAATACTTTTTTTTAATTCATTTCTTCTGAATCATCTGCCTGATTCCAGTAGAGTATAAGTTGCTTAAGTACAAAGATTTTGCCCATCTTTTGTCTGTGTTCACTTATAATTAATAAATATTTTAAATGAATGAAATATTTTGGATTCTAAGTTTTAATTAAATTGTAACGTCTCATATATGAAGTTATAAATCACCTTTCATGTCATAAATATAAATGAGTCCTTGTTTCATAAGTGTAAAAGTATATCATTTAATCTTTAGTTCTGACATAAGTGCTTTGTTATAACTTTTCACTATAGGAATGTTATATTTCAGTATAAGATATATTTCAAAGTAAATGAAAGGAGTGAGTAATATTATAACACACTTTCTTCTGCTTTGATTGCAAAGGTAACAAAGATTAAAGTGTGATAATGTGTGTTCCTCACTTATTTATGAGTAAAAAAGTCAGAAATCATTTAAAAAATAATAAAATAATGCATTAGATGAATCAAATGGAAATTGTCAAGATAAGCTAAGTTATGTTGTAGCAAAAAACACATGGCATAACTTAGTTACCTAAAACAATAATATTATGGTTCTCATTTTTGTTCCATGCTCATTACTATCCTTGAGAGAGGCATATGCAGATGAAGCAAGCACTGCCTGAGCCATTGACAGTCACCATGGCCAAGGGCAGGAAAAGCTGGAGGAGGATGGACTTCCTCTCATTAGATTAGATTAGATTAGATTAGATTAGGCTAGATTGGATTAGATTAGATTGAATTTGATTGGATTGATAAAAAACAGATAAAGATATGAAATATTGTATATTATTTATTAAAATTTATGCACAAAAGATAGCCTATCATGTCATATTTATTAAATTTTGATATCATATTTTGCAACATTACTTGACAGAATTAATGGGGTACTTTCAATACTACTTTTGTTTGAAAATTAAGACTATACTTTTATATATTATCTAAATAACTTTTTTTCTTTTGGGGTGGGTTTTTTTTAGTTCTTTTGGGTTCTTTCATTATGAGGAAGATGACAGAAGCTACTATGCTTGTTAATGGAAGAAACTTCATTTTATTTGTAGTTGAAATTATATTAGAGTAGTTCAAATTTGATATATTTTGATTTAGCATTTACAGTGCATATTTTTCTGCTCTGATTTTCTACATATATCACAAATGTCATATTGATTAATAAATACTTATGCAGAAGAAATATATGGCATCTGATGAGAGCCTATTTAAATATTAATCTATACTTTAAAATTGGATAGGACATTTTATTAGTGACAATTTTATTTTTTAAAAGAATGAAGCACTGAGGATAGTGAGTGAGGAAAGAAATGGTAAGCAATTGACTGTACTGAAAACTATATACCATATTATGGAGAAACTCAATGCACTACATAGGAATAGAGAAAATGAGAGAGGCTGGGGCAGTGCCAGTACTACCTGACTTAGGGTTGTGGGGATCAGGGAATGACAGGGGGAGCAACTGATGGACTGGAATTTAAATAATTGTGAAAGAACATCACAGGTAAAGAGAGAAGTATGTGCAAATGAGTGAGGTTGTAGAAAACCATTGCTATTTTATTATTTATTAAAAATATTAAGTTCAGGGATACATGGGCAGAATATGCAGGTTTGTTATATAGAAAAATGTTTGCCATGGTGGTTTGCTGCACAGACCATCCCATTACCTAGGTATTAAGCCCAGCATCCATTAGCTGTTCTTCCTGATGCTCTCCTTCCTCCCCCTCCACCCTCTGACAGTCTCCAGTGTGTCTTGTTCCCAGCTATAGGTCCATGTGTCCTTGTCATTCAGCTCTCTCTTATAAGTGTGAACATATTCTATTTGGTTTGCTGTTCCTGCATTAGTTTGCTGAGAATAATGGCCTCCAGGTCCATTCATGTACCTGCAAAAGATATGATCTCATTCTTTTTTATGGCTGCATAGTATTCCATGATGTATATCTACCACATTTTCTTTATCTGATCTAGCATTGATGGGCATTTAGGTTGATTCCATGTCTTTGTTATTGTAAATAGTGTTGTATTGAACATATGCATGCACATATGTTTGTAATAGAATGATTTATATTCCTTTTGGTATATACCAGTAATGGGATTGCTGGGTCAAATGGTATTTCTGTTTCTAGGTCTTTAAGGAATTGCCACACTGTCTTCCACAAAGGTTGAACTAATTTACTTTCCCACCAACAGTGTAAAAGCATTTATTTGTCTCCACAACCTCACCAGCATCTGTTGTTTTTGACTTTTTCATAGTAGACATTCTCACTAATGTGAGATGGTGTCTTCTTGTGGTTTTGATTTGCATTTCTATAATGATCAATGATGCTAAGCTAGTTCTCAAATGTTTGTTGCCAGCATGTATGTCTTCTTTTGAAAAATGTCTGTTAATATCTTTGCCCACTTTTTAATGGTGTTGTTTTTTTCCTTGTAAATTTGTTTAAATTCCTTGTAGATGCTGCATATTAGATCTTTTTCAGATCGATAGGTTATAAAAATTTTCTCCCGTTCTATAGGTTGTCTGTTCACTTTGATGATAATTTCTTTTGCTATGCAGAAGCTCTTTAGTTTAATAAGATCCATTTGTTAATTTCAACTTTTGTTGCAATTGCTTTTGGTGTCTTTGCCATGAAATCTTTGCCGGTGCCTATGTCTTGAATGGTATTGCCTAGGATTTCTTCTAGGGTTTTGTAGTTCCGGTTTTCCACTTTAGTCTTTAATCCATCATTAGATAATTTTTGTATATGGTGTAAGGAACCAGTCAATTTCAATTTTCTGCATATGGTTAGCCAGTTCTCCCAGCACCATTTATTAAATAGGGAGTCCTTTCCCATTGCTTATTTTTGTCAGGTATGTCAAAGATCAGATGACTGTAGTTTTGCACCCTTTTATCTGGGTTCCCTATTCTGTTCCGTTGGTCTATGTGTCTGTTTTTGTATCAGTACCATGCTGTTTTTGTTACTATAGGAGTGCAGTATAGTTTGAAGTCACGTAATGTGATGCCTCCAGCTTTGTTCTTTTTGATTAGGATTGTCTTCACTATTCATGCTCTTTTTTGGTTCCATATGAATTTTAAAATAGTTTTTTCTAATTATGTGAATAATGTTAATGGTAGATTAATGGGAATCTATACATTGCTTTGGGCGATATGACCCTTTTCACGATATTGATTCTTTCTATCCGTGACTCAGGTAAATAATGAAATCAAAGCAAAACTTGAGACGTTCACTGAAACTAATGGGAACAAAGAGAAAACATACCAGGATCTCTGGGACTCAGCTAAAGCATATTTAAAAGGGAAATTTATAGCACTCAATGCCCACATCAAAAAGCTAGAATGATCTCAAGCTAACAACCTAACATCACAACTAAAATAACTAGAGAACCAAGAGCAAACACACCACAAAACTAGCAGAATATAAGAAATAACCAAGATCTGACCTGAACTAAAGGAGATAGAGGGATAAAAAACCCTTCAAAAATTCAAGGAATCCAGGAGCTGCTTTTTTTTTTAAATAATAAAATATACTGCTAGCTAGTGTGATAAAGAAGAAAACATAGAAGATTCAAATAAATACAAACAGAAATGGTAAGGGGAATATCACCACTGATCCCACAAAAAAACAAACAAAAAAAATTAGAGGCTGCTATGAATACCTCTGTGCACACAAACTACAAAATTTAGAAGAAATGGATAAATTCCCAGACACATATGCCCTCCCAAGACTGAACTAGGAAGAAACTGAAACCCTGAATAGGCCAATAACAATTTCTGAAATTGAGGCAGCAATAAATAGCCTACCAAGCAGAAAAAGGCTAGGACCAGATGGATTCAGAGCTGAATTTTACCAGAGGTATGAAGAAGAGCTGGCAGGATTTCTACTGAAACTATTCCAAAAAATTGAATAGGAGGGACTCGTCCCTAACTTATTACATAAGGCCATTATCATTCTGATACCAAAAGCTGGTAGAGATACAACAGAAAAAGAAATCTTCAGGCCAATATCCTTGATGAACATTAATGCAAAAATCCTCAACAAAATACTGGCAAATAGAATCCAGCAGCAGATCAAAAAGCTTATACATCTTGAGCAAATAGGTGTCATCCATGGGATGCAAGGTTGGTTCAAGATATGCAAATCAATAAATGTGATTAATCACATAAACAGGTCTAAAGACAATAACCACACGATTATCTCAATAGATACAGAAAATGTGTTCCATAAAATTCTTCATTCCTTCATGTTAAAACCTGTCAATAACTAGGTTTTGAAGGAACATACCTCAAAATAATAAGAGCCATATATGACAAACCCATAGCCAATATCATGCTGAATGGGCAAAAAATGGAAGCATTCCCCCTGAAAACTGGCACAAGACAAGTGTGCCCTCTCTCACCACTTCTATTCAAAATAGTTCTAGAAGTTCTGGTGAGGGCAATCAGGCAAGAGAAAGAAGTAAAGGTATTCAAATAGGAAGAAAGGAAGTCAAACTGTCTATTTTTGCAGGTGACATGACTCTATATCTAGAAAACCCCATCATCTCGCCCCAAAAACTTCTTAAGCAGATAAGCAACTTCAGAAAAAGTCTCAGGATACAAAATCAGTGTGCAAAAATTGCTAGCATTCCTATACACCAACAACAGGAAAGTCAAGAGCCAAATCACAAACAAACTCCCATTCACAATTGCCACAAAAATAAAAAATACCTAGGAACACAGCTAACAAGAGAAGGCCAGGACCTCTTTAAGGATAACTACAAGCCACTGCTCAAAGAAATCAGAGATTACACAAATGGAAAAAACAAACAAACAAACAAACAAAAAACATGGTTACTTTAACTTCTAATGTAAAGGGAAAAAGAATTTCAAAGCCCTAGTGGGGAATCCTACCAGAAAGTCTGTTCATCTCATGAATATCATTAAGTTTTGGTGGTATCTGCTCAGCTCAGGAGCAGTCTCCTATTTCTGAGGACCGACTCGGGTTTATACCCGTGGTTTCTGCAGTAGCTGGGTTTGCACCTCCCTAGCCCTTGGTTTAGTTGAGGGAATTAGAAGTGTTTGGTGTATTCAAGCTAAGATGTTCACATTCTCTCTTTACTAGGGATTAGAATTGGGGAAATATACTAAATCAGTCCAGTCTCTGAGATCATTCCTCCTGTTTATTAGAATTCAGAAATTAAAAAAAAAACCCACATGTTATAAAAGATCAGATAAAGGAAAAAAAAAAAAAGACTGGGAAAGGAGAGATGGTGCATTCTCAAAGATTTTTAGTACCTAATCATTATCCCTTCCCTGAGATCCACTCCGTACTGGACCAGTTTACTCAAGATGGTTTCTTTTAAAAATACAATTTAAAAGTTGTAATAAATCACATAACAAATTTTATCCTAAAAATTAGACGGAAATCCTGATAAATTTTATGATCTGCATATAAACTAGGGAAAAGTCTTAAATTATCCCAAAATGTATATCTATTTCTGAGGGAAGCATTATTTTTAATTATGTCTGCAAATTAATATGTCTGCATTCAACCACCATGAAAGATTTATGATTTTTCTCCTGAATTAATTTCATTTAATTCAAAGAGCTAACCTTTCCTAATTTATTTCCTGCTTTTCATATTCTAAAACATTAATGTAAAAAGTCAAACTGCATTTAAACTATTGATAGATAAAATAAGTTACTTGTGTAAGATAGAGAAAAAAAATCTAACTGTAAAAAAATATGGATTTTTCTACAATACCCAATATCAGAGTTTAGGAAAGAATGACCTGGCTTTTAAAAGAGGAGATAAGATTATGTATAATTATTTCCTCTTTTCCATGAAAATAATGTATAGTCATATAATGATATACATCACTATATATATAATGATGTAACACACTATGCATTCATGCCTCCAATTTTAAAAAAAATTATTACATCATAGACTATTATGAAACACAACAGAGATGAATTTGTATCCTAAAATGTATATATTAAATATTTAGAAATTAAAACCAGTAGGTATAACCAGAAGGAAACAACAGCAACAACGTCAACAACAACAACAAAAACAAAATTTAAAGCAATAATGAAAAATAATAAAATTCTCCCTGGAGTCGAATATTTTTGGTTTAAAAATGCTTATGTCATAATTTTAATATATTTCAATACCTTACTTGGCTAATTTTCCAAGTGGGTTCCGTTATGCTATTCTTTTGAAGAATAAAGCAATAACATTTCTATTTCCTCTAACAGCGATTTATAGATAATAATTTCTCAGCCCAATATTCTCCTTTCTACAAAATAACTCATTAACCCAAGGTATTCAGGCTATCAATTTCTCTGAGATTAAAAACCGTAAGTCATTTAGATTTCAATTTTCCATTTTATATATGCAATTTGAATTTCACCTTTAGCCATGCAGGAATCCCTTCTATTTTTCAAATATATTGCATATCTCTCACTACCAAGCCTTTCCACGATCTCTTCTCCTAGCTTCTTTTTAGCTCAAACCTCAGTTTCTGCCCATCATTCATGTACTGGTGCCCCTGAGGTTTGTGGATAACTTCTTCTACTTTTCCTACTCATCATCCTTGGATGACTCCATCGAGTCACTTAGCTGTAATAACTGTATGATGTGAAATCTCAACCCCATGTTTGTGCCAACTCTCTTGTGAAATCCAATTCGCAGTGTCACAGTTTGAATTGTCACTTGAATGTTTTCCAAATACCTCCAACCCAACATGTTCAAATCTCAGCGTATCATCTCCCCACCTAAATCTGTACTTCTTCTTGTTTTCCATATCCTGGTTTATGTTACAACAACCTTCCTGCGTTTCATCTTTTAATACTACTTTAGTATTTTCCAATTTCCTCCAAACCAGTTATCAAGCTCTACTGTTTTGATTTTTTCTTCTCTCTCTTTTCATATCTCCCGCTGTATGTCCTCTCTTACCATTTCTATTTATATGACACTCCTCAAAATTAGCAAATTTTCAGATAAGTAATTTCTTATTACTTATTACTTTCTTAATTTCTTACAGGCCTTAATTTAAGAAAGGTTATAAAATTAACTTAAAAGACACAGGTAGTGTTTTACACTGTTTATATCCTGCTATGAAGATTAGTGTTAGACTACAAAGTATTCACTATTATCTTTAATTTTGCCTCTTAGTTTTGGTTATTGATATCATTTTTATATTATCACAGATTATAACATTAAATTACATTATACAACTCTTTGGGCATACTTTTAAAATTGATTCAACATGAGTATTCAGTCTATTTGAAGATAGAAGTAAACTTTCAAATCAAATTTTGTTCTGGTCCTATGTTGGATAGTTCAGTGATTCCCTTCTTCCCCTCAAAATATGATTCAGATGTAATAATATTAAGTTCATGAATATTTGAGAGTCTATCTGTAGTCTTTATGCCCCTCAGAATGTTGAAAAAACTATTTCTTTTTATTACTTTTGTTGAGAAATCTGAGTGCTATTTGGTCATAATATATATTTTTAAGAATTTTGAAGTTCAATAACTTCAATATAATGAATCTTAGTATGGATAATTCTGTTTTCTTTTTTTTTTTAACTCTTTGGTATCATGTAGAATTAGTTTATTTCTTATTTTAGAAATACTTCTGCTATTTCATTATCTAGTTTTCATTCTCATGAGTTTACTGGGATCTATTCCAACACAGTTGTTTTTATGCTGTGTCTTCTCTGACTCTGAGCTGTAATTTTTATTTTAATAACTATATTATTTTTAAACATTATATCTGTATAACTTTATTAAACCTGTCCACCACAATCCTGATTACATTTTCTATGACTATTTATAGAAAATTATCTGTTTTTAATATGAATTTCTTCTTTGTAAGAATAGGATGAAAACAGTAGAATACCAACATTTAAGAGCCTTCTAGACAAAGAGAAGTACACTGACGTGAGTAAAAATAATTGAGGGAATACTAAACAAATATGGTGTCGATAAAACTGAGAACGGGGAAAATTTCAAGAAAAAGGGAGTGGTCAACACTTTTACATATGGCTTGTTAATTGTAGGACCTGAAGGCCAGTGATGGAGAAAGTGATCAATACCAATTGCTTTATTTAGAAAAAGTCTAGCTAGGAAATTAAAGGCCAAGAAAAAAAAATGACATGCAATATGAAACTATAACTGTTTTTATTGATTTTGGTGATCAGTGGTGCACACAGATTACACTTTATGTTACTTAAAAATTCCATAATTAAATTACACTTTGCAATTCTGGTTACTTAATAAAAATGGTTCTTGGTTAGTCACTTTCACTTGATTAAAAGTAAATATATTTCCTTATGGATTTTTACATAACATTTTCTTTTCCCTAGCTTACTTTATTGTAAGAATACAACATATAATACACATATGATACACAATATGTGTTAAACAACTATTTATGTTACCAGTTTTGGGAGTCAAAACTTACATGCGGATTTTCAACTGTGTGGGGAGTCAGTACCACCAATCCCTATGTTGTTCAAAGGGTCAATTATATTTTGTTCTTGGACCTCCATGTGCTATGTATGGGAGACACAGCCTTGGTGCCCATCTGGACAGTATCGGATCCACTTCTACTACAGGAATGAACCATACTAAATTGATTTTTGGTTAGCATAAACTGATTGATAGATAATGTAAATTCTATGTATATATGATACTTTGATTTCCACTCAATATCTTACAGAATTAAATACTGAACATTTCTGAATAACATGCAAAATACAATCTAGGTATATTTATTTTAACATACAACTGATACCTGAAGCAGCAGAATTGGTATCTTGGTTTTTAAGAGAGTTTCTACTCGTGGCCACACAGTCCTGAATCATGTGCTGACATACCTCTGACATAGATTAAGCATAGAAAGCATCTCCATAAAATGTGCAGTATAACAAATGTTAATGTATTTAACTTACTTGGCATTGATCAAATAAGAATTACAATATTAATGCAGGCAGGTTGATACAATAGTATCAAACAAAAAAATACAAGTAAATAGTTATTACGAACACTGATACAATAAGTCAGATAAAAGTTTTGGCAAGAACCTGGATAAATCTGATCCCTTACACACCACTGGTGGGAATGCTAAATGATGCAGTCAAATTGGAAAATGACCTAGCAGTTCTTCAAACAATTAAACTCTATCATAATAGAGTTTTTGTATGATCCAGCATTTCTATTTCTCAGTATACATAGAAAAAAAATAAAAGCATATGTATATCCATACAAAACCTTGTGCGTGAATGTTTATGTAAGAACGACATTCATGAGAGACAAAGGTGGAACAACCCAAATGATCACCAGTTGATGAACGGATAAATAAATTATGTTATATCCACAAAATGTAATATTATTCAGCCATAAAAGTGATTAAATACAGATATATGCTACAAAATAGATAAACCCTGAAAACATTATGCTAGGCAAAAGAATCTGGACACAAAAGATCACATATGGTATGTTTCCATTTATTTGAAACGTGTAGAACAGGGAAATCTATTCAGGCCAAAAGTAGCTTAGTAGTTGCTTATTGAGATGTGACAGATAGGAGATGGGGGTGATACCTAAAGGTTAAGAGGATTCTTTCTGGTATAATTAAAATGTTCTAAAATTGACAGTGGTGATGGTTGTAAAAAGCTCCATTCAGTTGCTTAACATCAAAACTACTGCTTCTTCTTTCTCATCCATCATCTTTCTTGAAGGCCATTGAATTGTACACTTTAAAATAAGTATGTTGTATAACATGTGAATCATTTCTCACAAAAGCTGTATACGTGGGTGTGTGAGTTGTATGAATATTACACACAATTTAGAGTGTATATATGCATAATACATACAAATTTATACATATATGTGCATAGGTATAAATTTTCAAAGGAAAACATTTTTTTCCAGAGCTTGTTTGACTACATATAGGGAAATTACCCAATTCTAGTTTACTCTAGACTTTCTGTCTCACCTAAGAGGAGGGGGCAAAAAATATAAGAAGCACCTCTGAAGGTCACATACATGTACGTGTGTGTTTATAGTTTAGGACAGTAAAGCCTCCAGAATAAATATATAATAATAAATAATAATAATAAATAATAAATTAACCAGCTTACCAGAAAAATAAATCAAAAGATAGAACAATAGATTTATATTTGAATTTAACATTTATATAGCTAATGCATAATTTAGAAAATAGTGAAAGGAAGAAAATACAATTATGATTTCTACCACCTCACAGCTAGACCAAGTTGATATTAAAGTCTTAAATTTAGAATAAAATGTCTAGAAAGTTTGTTCTCCTTTCCCTAAACAGTGAACTTTGTGAAAGACACAACCGAAGATCTCACTGATAGCAACTGATTTGTTTCCCTCATCCATCCTAATAGTGAAGTTTTAAATTAAGTTGAACATATCACATACATTGTCTCAGGTAATTCTATTTCTCCTGTTTCTTGGATACTTAGCATTTTTAAAATCATACCTTTATTCTCTGCTCCATTTAGTTGCTTAACATCAAAACTACTGCTTCTTCTTTCTTATCCATCGTCTTTCTTGAAGTTTATGCTTGACTACTTAATTCAAGGACACAAGTCTTCACTTTCTGAACTTCCTAAGTGTTCACTTGACTCACCCAGCCTCCTGCCAATTCAGATAAACGTTCCACCCTCTTGCTCTCCTATCTTCTCAGTAATTTTTACTTGTCTGATTAGTTGATGGCAGTAAATATAATGGCATAATGTATAATAATGTGATCTCACCTCAAAATAAATTAACAATATAAAAATGCTGTTTAAAAATTAGTTGATTCTTAGCCCACATTTGTAATCTGAAAATCTAAAAAGTTTCTAAAAATAGAAACTTCCAGTTTTAATTCTGATGTGTAATGAGCCTGAAAATAGTCCAGCCATAATCATAAAAATAAAAAAGATACAGAATCTGAAAACCAATGACTTTTCTTGGACCCATCAGATAATTGAAATCAAAGGAAAAATCACCTCCCTTTACTCTGCGGAAACTGGAAATCTGTAGACTCACAGCCAAGATCACATCACCACAAGCACAGCCACTGGAATGAAAAGGTGGCAGGTCCTCTTAAATGATGATTTCAACTAGTTTCTAGAGGCTCTGTGGACTATGTGTAAGTGAGTAACTCTAAAGTCCCAGTCATGGCAGCAGGCACACTCTCTAAAGTGTTTGGCCTACAGGAACTCCTGAAGTTTCTCATGGTAAAGTGAAAAGAAAAATTCCCTCATTTTTTCTGCCATGGAAGGGCAAAAAGTCAATATTTGAAATACATGTAGAGGATTCTCCATAATGAAGGTCTACTCACCAAAGGAAATCATTTTTTTCCAGAGCTTATCTGACTATAAGTAGGGATATTACCCAATTCTAGTCCACTCTAGACTGTCTGTCTCACCTAAGAGGAGGGGGAAGAAAACTAAGACACACTTCTAAAGGTCACAGCTCAGCAACCCAGCCCCACCAAAAGACTAAGATTTAATTATAAGATTGTAGAATGTTTTATTCTATCACGTTGTATAACCACTTCCACAGGAAGCCAGTATAATGACAGTAGATTACAGGTGAAAGACCCAAAAGACAGACTTTATTTAAACAAGAATTTATAAGGAAACTCTCAAACAATAGGAGAAACAAAAGGAACCCCAAAGGGATCTACAGCTTTTGGAATCTACAAATAGAATAACAACAACCAAACTCATAGCAGATTGACAGAAAACTTTACACTGAAGATTCACTTAAATCAGCCTCTATTACCTAATATATCATATCCTCCATTCAAAACAAAAATTACGAGATAAGATAAAAGGAAATAAAATACACATTCTGAAGAGGCAAGGCAAACATCAGAACCAGACACAGATGTGGCACAGGTTCCAGAATGATAAGATAGGGAATTAAAATAACAATGAATATTGTATTAAACACTCTCATGGAAAAATTAGATAATACAAGAATAGATGGAGAATGTAAGCATAGGGACAAAAACCCTAAGAAGGTAGCAAAAGGCTATACTGGAAATCACAAATACCTTAGGAGAAAAATATCTTTGGTGGAACCATCTGTAAACTGGGCATGATGAAAATAGAATCAGAGAGCTTGAAAAATAGGTCGATAGAAAATTAACCAAAATCGTAAACAAAGAGAAAACGTAATATTTTTAAAAGAACAGAATATCCAAGAAAGATGGAAAGTTTAAAAGGTGTAACATAAATGTATTTGGAATACTAGAAAGATAAGATAGAAATTTCCAAGAATGCTCCAAAATTAATGAAACCATAAAACTAGCTAGCTCAGAAAACAAATCAGGATAAATAACGGCAAAAAATCAGCTCTCAGTAGTACCATATACGACATTCAGAAAACCAAAAGACAGAAAACCTTGAAGAAGCCCAGGGGTGGGAAAATAGATATAGAGAAACAAAGAGAAAAATAACACCAAATTTCTCATTAGAAACCATACAAACAAGAAGAGGGAAGTAAAATATTTAGTATTAAAAGAAAGAAAAACCCTAAACTATAATTCTATATTCAGCAAAATTCTCCTTCAAAAGTGGAAAATAGACTTACTCAGATAAGCAAACACTGAGGGTCCTCATCACTAGCAGAGAGTACTGAAATAAATATTTTTCAAAACTCTTCAGAGAGAAAGAATATGCTAGGGGTTAGGAAACATGGATCAACATAAAAGTAGGGAGAAAACTAAAGGGAAAATAAAAACTAAAGAGAAAAAAGGTGGAGAAAACTAAAGGGAAAATAAACATTTCATTTTTTAATTCTTAATTGATTTTGTTAACTGCAGCAATCATATTAAAATGGATTGGATTGATCATAACATATTGAGAAATTAAGTGAATGACAGCAAAATTCTAAAAGATAAGAAGGAAGAATTGGAAACACTTTGTTATAATGACCTGAACTATCCAGAAAGTGGGGTAGTGTCATTTGAAAGTGGACTTAGGTTAGTGGAAAATGTACACAGTAGTTCCACCTTATCCAGTTTCATTTTCAGCAGTTTCAGTTACCTGCAGTCAATCAGAGTCTGAAAATATTAAATGGAAAATTCCAGAAATAAATAATTCATAAGTTTTACATTGTGTGTTGTTCTGAGTAGCATGATGGAATATTGCACCGTTCTGCTTCATTCTGCCTGGAAGTGAATCATATCTTTGTCCAGCATATCTACACTGTCTACACTATATCTGGCTCAATTATCATTCAACTGTACCAGTATTGCAGTGTGTGTGCTAAATAACCCTTATCTTACTTAATAATGATTCCAAAGTGAATAATAGTGGTGCTAGCATATTGTTATAACTGTTTTACATAATGATTAGTTATTTTTATTAATCTCTTACTGTGCCTAATATAGAAATGAAACTCTATCATAGGGCACTATTATAGGAAAAAGCATATTACACATAGGATTTGGTATAATCAGTGGTTTCAGGCATCCACTGGCAGTCTTGAGATATACCCCCTATGGATAAAGAGGGGCAAGGTGTTACAAACTAACCAAAAATAAATTTAAAAAATTAGAATTGACATTCTAAGAGAGAAGATAAATTAAATCATATAATTCTCACTTAAAACCAGAAAGCAAAGAGAAACAGAAAAAAAGCAGCAAAGAAATTATCAAAGATAAAACAAAGATAGTAGATATTAACCACACCATGTCAATGATCACCTTAAGTTTAATATAAATATAACAATTAAAAGACAAATTTTCTGGATGTATGGTAAAACACACTCAACTATATGTCGTCTACAAGAATCTCAAATATAAAGACATAAAAAATACGAATAAGGGGGTAGAGAATCATATAATGTGCTGTGAGAGTTATTTTTGTGTGAACTTGGCTAGGCTACAGTGCCCAGATGACTGCTCAAACAGCAGTTTAACATCTGTTGCTGTGAAGGTAATTTTAAATATTAACATTTTCATCAGAAGACTTTGAGTCAAGTAAATTATCATTTATAATTTAGGTGGAACTCATTCAGTAAGTTACAAGGGCTTAAAAAAAGATTATTTGAAAAAGAATAAATTCTGTCTTCAGATTGCCTTTAGACTTGAGATTGCAATATCAATTTTTATTTACCTGGGTCTCCAGCCTGATAGCCTGCTCTACATGTTTCTCATGACTCTCTCTCTCTTTCTCTCTCATATATATATATATATATATATATATTTATATTTATATAAATACATATATATAAAATTCTGTGTGTATATATGTATATATACATATATGTGTGTATATACACATATACGTGTGTGTATACGTGTATATACAACTATATATGTATATAGTTCTCCATATACATTCTATTATCTAGAGAAATAGAACCAATAATACATACTACGTGTGCATATACTACATGTACTATGTATTTTTGGTTCTATTTCTCTGGGTAATGCCCACTAATACACACGCTAAAACTTACCCCCAAAACCTCCAGAATACTGAATATTAAATAAATATGAATTTTAGGTAAAGCAGACTTTAAGACAAAAAAAAGCAGGGATAAAGGAGGACATTACTAATGATAAAGAAATTAATTCTCCAAAAAGACATAACAATGTTTAAGGTGTATGCATGTAACAATAGAAGATAAGCATATCTGAGGCACAAAATATGGTAGAACTGCAACATAGTACACACAAGTCCATGATTCTAGTTGAAGGCTTAAATAATTTCATTTTAGTAATTGAAAGAGCAACCAAACAGAGAATTCATAATATAGCTGATTTGAACAATACCGCCAACCAACTTGATCTAATTTAAATGTATACAATATTTTATTCAACAATAGCAGAATATAATTTTACTCTAGGAAATATGAATATTCACTAAAATAAATCACATTATGAGGCATAAAATACTCATTTGAAATTTTAAAAGTCTAGAAATCATGCAAATATGCTCTCAGAGTACAGTGGAAGTGAATAGAAAAATTTTTAACTGGTGTGACTTATGGTAAAGAATATTAAACTATCTCATATGATACTGGGATATGGGAAACAAAATGTATATTTTTAAATGTTTCAATTTGACTTTTCATTCTTAATTCCTTTTCTAGATCTTCACATGAGATTATAGTGGCACAAATATAATTCATGGAGATCAATTTTCCAAAAGCTTCCTTGAGACTAATCTTAATGTTATGATTTATGTCATGTATCAAATGCCGACTGAGACAAAAGCACTTTAACTTCTCATGAAACTTGTAAATTAGAGATATGTATATAAAATTTACTTATAACTTCTCATGAAACTTGTAAATTAGAGATATGTATATAAAATTTACTTATAATAAGTAGAATACAAATTGAATTGTCAATTAAAATGTTACCTTTTTAAAAATTATATATGAATGTTAATTATACATAATTTTGGATGAAAATATTTTATAATTAATACTTTTCTAGTACAAATACCTTTGTACATCCCTAAATAAAATGGTTATAAAGAGAACATCCAAAATTGGAGAATTTTTAAATAAATTATTATTTTGACAATTATTAAAGGAAATTAAATTATTAATTTAATTTTCCATTTATTTTCCCTTATACTATACTTTTCACTTGTTGCATAAGTTGACATTATTTTTGAAATTTTTGGAGCTAAATTAGAGAGAAAACATTGTTTTAATTTAATGTAAAAGCCTTAGAACCTACATGCTTTGTTCTTTACCTCTTTTCCCACCCATCCATGGTGATGCCAGGTGATCTACTTCTAGCACTGTACATGAACATGAGTTAGATTTTGAAGTATTAACAAAAAAGATGTGAAGTCATTGGTAAAGGAGAGGCATGATATTCTATACAAGTTCAGGCACTGAGAGCTCCTCTAATACCTAACGTTTTGGTCCATAGCTAGTAAGTGAAAACTTAGAAGGCCTCTGAGTACTCATTTTAATTATCCACCTTTCTTAGTTGTTTGAAAAAATCACAAAAAGAAAATTGTCATTCTTTTGCATTACTAAATATACATAGCACACCTAGATAAATCACAATATTAAAGTTTAAATGCATACAGCACTGAATATAATATGATGAATTGGGAATATTTTACCTTAATTTTCTATCTGCTTTTTTGAATAACTTTTGAGTATTTCACATATGGTATCTTAAAAAGCAAGTGTAGATTTACATTGAATGTATTTGTTGAAAGAACCCCTTATTAATATGACATTCAAGAGCACTAAAACTTTTCCTGGATTTGAAACCAGGTTCCATCATTTGCCAGCTTGATTACATCAAACATGCCTAGTTTATATGAGAAACTCTAATCATGGCTATTATCATAACCATCATTACCATCATCTATTATTACTACTGTCATTTCTAAAAGTTCAGAGGCATGCATCTATCTGATATGACAGAGTTTTCTAAGCAAATGTATAGCAATTACGTAAGAATTACAAGTTATCTGGAATTACAATATTTGTAATAAAATGAGCCATGCACATAAACATTTAATAGAATATTAAATGCTAATATGCTGACGTTGGGGACATCTTAGACTAAGTAGATTCTTATAATCTGTCAATTAACTCTCATAGGTGAGCAACCATGAGGCCACCATACCCGAGTTTCCATGAGCTCATTTAGCAGGTATGATAAAGACAAGGCGTAGGATGACTAGAAAGGAACACTTTTTTTTTTTTTTTTTTTTTTTTGAGTTGGAGTCTCACTCTGTCGCTTAGGCTGGAGTGCAGTGGCGCGGTCTCGGCTCACCGCAAGCTCCGCCTCCTGGGTTCACGCCATTCTCCTGCCTCAGCCTCCCGAGTGGTTGGGACTACAGCCACCCGCCACCACGCCCGGCTCATGTTTGTATTTTTAGTAGAGACGGGGTTTCTCCTTGTTAGCCAGGATGGTCTTGATCTCCTGACCTCGTGAACCGCCCGCCTTGGCCTCCCAAAGTGCTGGGATTACAGGCGTGAGCCACCGCGCCCGGCCAGAAAGGACCACTTTTAAAGGGTAGAAATCGCCCAAACAAACCACAAAACTCAATGACATGTTCGCATGCTGGAACAAAAATGACCTGCTCTGTCAAAGTCATGCGTAGAGAGTATGAATTAATCTGTGTGTAGTCACTATAAATTTTTACTCTAATATGAAAGATAGCGACAACTGTGTTGTTAAAAATTCTTCTTTGTAAAACAGAAAATAATCTAATTAAGGTTCTATAGAACCTAACTTTCAACGCATGGAATCTGGAGTAAAATTTTCTTGAGTTCTAATCCCAGCTCCCTCTGCCTCGTCTACTACATGAGCTTGGGCAACAATTTCACCTCGGTAAGCTGCTTCATCATCTGTTTAATTTTAAAACCAAAGTATCTACATATTTGTCACAGACAGCCTACCACAGATAGATAAAAATTTTCATTTGTACTTCATGTAAAATGATTTTTTAAATATTGCTATAGCCTATAGTCTACGTGACCAAGATGTTCATATTTAATAAAATTGTAAGCAGGACCATCTATTAACAATAAATCTGAAGCAAAATTCCAGCAAAGAATTTTTTTAAAAGGATAGTTGTTGGAATTCAAAATTTGCTTATTCTAAATAATTTTTTTCATAGATAAATTTAATTAAGTATAAAGAGAGAAAGAGATGGGGGGAAAGAGAGATGAGATATTCTATAGCATTAATGTAGCAATGTAAGTCCTTAGTATATTGAACCAAATGAGTTCCTTAATTCCACAAGAAAGATGTAAGGATGCACATCTGTAATTATCTTTAGAATAAGAAACTAAAGTTAACTGAAATTTACATCAAGAAAATAGATAACTTAATTTGGGTTATGCATATAAGGTCAATGCACAATGCACAACAATGAAAAGGACATTTAATAGTCATCATATCTTTGGTTGAATCTCACAAACATTAAGTAAATCAGAATAATGAGTATCTACAATATGTTCACATTTACATATAAATAAATCAATCACATGAAAAACAGTCTATCATTATTGAGGTTAAAATATTGGGATTTTTTGAAAATTTGGATGTATTACTGAATGAGGGTTGAGTCAAGAAAGACATTTGAGTCAAGAAAGACAAATTGCCCAGTTAAATTTTTTTGCTTGATTGTATGAAGGATTTAATTCATTAGCACAACTCAATTGTGTGTGTCCTAGAAGACTAGACAGAGATAAAAGAAAATTAATGAACCAGAAAAAAGACACTGAAGTAAGGAGAGATAAAACAATAAAATATAAATATTTTAACAAACAGAGATGCAGTGGGAGCAAAACATGTAATTGATGTATAACTGAAGTTTAACTAGAAATAAAGAAAACAGGAAAAAAAGAAAATTTTGAAGAAATAATGACAAAAATGTCCAAAATTGATGAAAGACTACAAGTCACGTATTCAAGTTAAATAGAAAGAAAATTATACTCAGGTCCATCACTTTAAAATAGAAAAGACAAACTTACAGAGAATATCTTTTAAAAACTATAAAAATAGGTAAAGTTTACTGCTTTATGTAGTAGAAAGGCTAAGAGTAGGAATCACAAGAATAGTAACAGAAGTAAGAATATAAAAAAAATTATATTTACTAAGAGAAAAGATATGCTGATCAGAATAAAAGACAATCAATACTAAGCTGATCTGCATTGAAGAATTCCTAGAGTGTTCAGCAGATGAACATAAACACAGAGCAAACAATAGGCTTGCAAAAAGAAACAGAGAGGATTGGAAAAGGCAAATATGAATGAATATAAATACAAATAATAATTGGCTCTATACAATGGCAGGAGTATAAATAAACTTGAAATGGCCTAGGACCCTTGCATTGTCTAGGAAACAAATGACTAACTTAAATATAAACCAGGGATTCAGGTTTTAATATCTATGGTAGCTGCTAAAACACTATACAAAGACCATATAGCTGCTAAGTTAATGTAGTTAAAAAAGAATAATAAACTTTGTTAATTAATACAAAATAAAAAAAGAAAATGTAAAAGACACAGGACAAATAGAAAACAAATACGTTTAAAGAATTAAATACAGATTATACAATGAGTTACATAAAATCTAAATAGATTACATATTCTAGTTAAAGACTGATGTCAAGTAAAAATAACTAATATGTGGCTTAAAAGAGACATACCTTACAAATATCATAAAAATATGCCCAAAATAAGACAGTATATAACATATTTATCACCTATACATATATATCATTCAAATACTAAAAATGAGAAACTTGTGTACCTATACAATAATCAACCACATTAGTCAAGAAGTATTTCTAGAGAGAAAGAAAAGCATTTAATACAATGACAACATCTTAAGATATAGGAACTCTAATGTTTTGTGCACATAAAATTTTGCATATTCAAATTTAAAAAATGGCAGAAGCCAAAAGATATGTAAACACATTTACAATTATAGTTGAATATTTTACAATGCCTCTCTCATAACTGATAAAACAGTTTAAAATGGTAACTATTCAAAAGATTTACAAATGATTAATAAATTATAAAATAATTATACAAATGATGAAAAGATAGTAAAACTATAGAGAGATGCATATATAGGTGTAAATAAAAGAGATACATGGTATGTATCATCAAATGTCACAGGACTAAATGTATAGTGTATGTAGACTACTTTAGAATTATCTAGAAATAACAAAAAGTTTTAAAAATTTCTGAATATTTCCAAATTATACTGTACATTTCTAAACACGTGTGTGAGATGATGTACCATAGCATGTAATCAGTATATGAATTTAAGAAACAGCATGGAAATACGACACTGGAAAATAGGCAGAATATAGCTATAGTTGTACTTTAAGGAAAACTGTTCAAGGACTTTATATGAAATAATGAAAAGTTAGAAAAATCAGTGATTTAAACATTCATCTGGAGTGATATGTATGTATATGCGTGTATATATTTTATTTAATTTGGTTCATATGCTGAATTAGAGCAATTTATGGCTGCAAAACCAATCTTTTATTTCTGAAATAAACTACGCTCTGCCTTGATGTGTTTTTTGTGGATTAAGCTTATGATGATGCAATATATCTGCATTTGTCTACATAAGAATGATCCAGGCCAGGTGTGGTGGCTGACACCTGTCATCTCAGCACTTTGGGAGGCCAAGGCAGGCAGATCACCTGAGGTAAGGAGTTCATGACCAGCCTGGCCAACATGGCAAAATCCCGTCTCTACTACAAATACAAAAATTAGCTGGGCATGGTGGTGGGAGCCTGTAATCACAGCTGCTTGGGAAGCTGATGCAGGAGAATCGATTGAGCCCAGGTGGCAGAGGTTGCAATGAGAAGAGATCATGCCACTGCACTCCAGCCTGGGTGACAGAGTGACATTACTTCTCAAGAAAAAAAAAAAAAAAAGAATGATCAGTCTGCAATTTTCTTCTCTTTTCATAACCTCATCAAGTTCTGAAATCAATGTTATGAAGGATGCAAACATTTAAACGAAAAACTTGAAAAATCTCTTCCTCTTATCAAATTCTACCAAATAATTAAGAAGAAGAGAATATTCTGTCCAAAAATCTTTCCCAGGGTATAGACTAAAAATGGCGTAATTCCCACATCATTTTTTTTTTTTGACATTTCGAGAAGTCTTTTATTTTCACTAAATTAGAAGCTAAAGGTAACTAAAGTTAGATACCATTCTGCTTTATCAGGCAATAATTTACAACAATTTTATTCAAGCCAGTCATAAAATTCATTTCATAAAGTATGCATTCATATAAGGTTCTAGGAATTGATATACTACAGCTTTTTGAAATAAATATCACTTATTCAGTCAGATTCACATCTTAGAGTATTCACATTCAAAATGCCAACAAAGCTGACAAGTCTAAATTGTTTTTGACAGTAATTCTGTATCGTTTTCTATGTTTACAAGGAGTTTGGCATGCAATAATCTGTAATATAATCTCCATTTTTGGAAAAAAATATTTTTATATCTGCTTATCCATGTTTTCCTTTTTTTCTTTTCTTTTTTCTTTTATTATTATTATACTTTAAGTATTATAATAATCATTTTTAAAGCTAGAGTTTATGTCTAAAACATAAATGCCAAGTATTCAACAATGCATTAGTCAAATGAATTTTGCAATATAAGGAAGATATGTATTTCAATGTAAGATGGGTTTAAGTGCAGAAATTAAAAATTTTATTTAACTTTGAAATTCATTACATTCTACCACATTAAGAGAAAAATGTAGAAAATAGTTTGATCATTTCAGTATATGCAGAAAAAGACAGTGCATATAATTCAAAATCAAGAGTTAACAGTGTAACATGTATTTGAGACTACTAAAGAAACAGCTCTACATTCAAGGCATGCAAGAAAAGTAGAATATACTTTTGGTAAAAGATTGTAAGAAGCATGGTAATGTGGATTTCTTGCCTAAGTTTAGAGGGTTAAAGGATTTTATGTCAGATCTTGTAAGATAAATTCTATGTGTGAACATACAGTTAAAGGAGTTTTATTCAATTTTTCCATAAATTGATCACTGCAATAAAAAAAACAAGTTTTTCTTAGAACACTAATCTTCTCTTTAACACAAATTTAAAGGATTATAAATGGTTAATAAAAATCTTACCTTATGATCAGACATAAAAATTGGATATATTTGCCTATAAGGTTTTAATAAACACAGGGTTTAACATTGATAGTACACTAATGTAAAAATGACATTTGGTTTATTTGGTATAAAAATCACACGGGAAGCGTTGTCAGATATGAAATGGTGTTTGGCTTTCTTTGAGTTGTATTTGTATAAATATGTCATTGGTATGTGTTCCAAAATTATGAGAAACACCTATACTTCTAATATGACTTACTGTATGTTATTAATAATTATGATTGTTATGTAAAATTTTTGTGTGCCACAAAAGTAACCAAAATTTCCTAGTCAACTGTGGCTTTAACAGTGACTGCCCTAAGGCATTTTGTCATCCACCAACAATTGTTGTCTTGTTTTGATCCACTTTAAAAGGTGGTTTATAATCAGCCATAGGACTCTAACAGGTGTTCTTGAATGCAGGCTTCTGATAACTTTGGATATTGTGACATTAGAATAGAGGAAAATCCTTCAGGACTCTCATGGAGAGCTGAAAAGTTCATGAATATCAAGCAGAACAGGAGTTAACTGCATGGACTGAACTAATAAAAGACTGAAGTAATTTTTTTGACATTTTGCTTAAAACATTGCTGATCCTTTGTTTTGATTTTCAGAGTCAAGAAAGCTTATTCTTTTGAGCTATTGATAACTTTTAACAATTAAGTATCCTCCTGTGAACAAAAGTTGGAACATATTTGTTTCTCTCTTCCTAATTTATCCAGAATTTGGAAACTCTTTATGAGTATTCTTAACTTATGGCCATATTGTTATTTGCATAAGTGCAATAGGATTTTTTTTTTTTTTTTTGGAACATGACACAACTGGAGAAACTTGTTATTTTTATCAAGGCTTTACTGAAATGATGTGCTTTTCTTTAAGGAATTAAATTTGACTTACAGAGCCAATAAAATTCCCTTAAGAAAACTGGCCTCATACTTGTCTACAAAGGCCTTGTGCAGGGTTCTTGACCTCGGTAAGTAAAGAATGTCACTTTCTGAAAGGCTCAGGAGCTCCAAGTTGTCGTGGGACCTCAAGAGTAGAGGAATTTACCTAACTCATAGGTATTTGAGGGTACAAAGCCACGGCTGGGATCATCTTTAAAAAAGTCTTATCTGAGAATCTTTCTATGCAACAAATTTCCATCAAAGTCAACTTAAAAAGTTTATGTGAAAAATAATTATTCTTGCTGCATATTATACAAATAATCAGGCCAAGTATAATAAAGCAAGTTGAACTTACCATGATTTGTCTTTGGTAAAAATGAAAGACTAGAGAGAGAAAAATTATGTTTCAAGAATTATGGTACACTTGTTATTAAATTCTAGTTTCATCAGTTGTTTTTGAGGTTTCCTTTTCAAGCAGTTTAGAGTAACCCTGCTTATTCCTGTGAACCAATCAGTGATCTCTGGCTGATGCTCAGAAGAAACTAAAGGGAAAGTAATGTAAAAATCTGTATCAGTATTCTAATTCTGGACATATTGGAATCAGCTAGCAATCCCCTATCAGCTTGGTTGCAATATTTGCCTAGTTCATAGAAAGCCTTCTTATTTATTTTACTAGGGATAATTTTACTTATTTTGCTTCAGTGTTGTGGAATATATTGCTGTTGTACTCTGCATCAGAATGCAGGATAAGCTTACTGAATGTTTCCTTAAATTGTACACTTATTAATCTTCCAATATCCAGTTTTGTCCAAATGTTTTCTTACATTGTGCACTTATTAATCTTCCAGCTTTGTCAGAACTTGGAGTTATAAATGGCCCTCAGCATATTGATGCTTTCTGACTTAGCTCCCCTCTATCCTGAACACAAGGGACCTTCATAGTTAGGCAGAAATATCATCACCCCTATTCAGCCTAAAGAAGTCACAGAAGATGGATTTTTGTCCCTCTACAATCCTTAGAATGAAGGGTTATCTTACAAAGAAAATAGGGGAAATTTCAGAGACTTTTGAACCAGAGCAACTCCATCTTGAAAAGGGGCTAAGTAAAATAAGGCTGAAACGTACTGGGCTTCATTCTCAGAGGGCTAGGCATTCTAAGTCACAGGATGAGGTAGGAGGTCATCAAAAGATACAGGTCATAAAGACCCTGCTGGTAAAACAGTTTGTAGTAAAGAAGCTGGCTAAAACCTACAAAAATCAAGATGGTGACGAGAGTGACCACTAGTCATCCTCACTGCCATATTCCCACCAGCAGCATGAGAGTTTACAAATGCCACGGCAACATCAGGAAGTTTCTCTATATTCTAAAAATGGGAGTAACCCTCAGTTCCGGGAATCGCCCACCCCTTTTCCAGAAAACTCACGAATAATCTACCCATTTTAGCATATAATCAAGAAATAGCCATAAAAATGGGCAACCAGCAGCCCTTGAAGCTGCTCTGCCTGTGGAGTAGCCATTCTTTATTCCTATATTTTCTAATAAACTTGCATGCACTTAAAAACTCAATTTATGATAATTCATACTAAATTTAGGATAAAAAATTATATTTGAATATATTACTTTTTCAAAATACTATTGCAAATATTATACAGCCAATATAATACTTAATGGTGAAATATTAAAAACTATTTTTCAAATGTGGAGAATAATATAGGGATAAAATTTAATCTCACCTGTATTCAACATTGTACTAAAGAGACTGATGTGAATCCAATCACACAATTAAAATTAATGAAATGTATAAATATCAGAAAATAATTATAAATAGCTACCACATTTACATGTATTAATTGTCCAAATTGATCTATAGATTGAAATCAATTTCAGTCAAAATTCTATCAGGTTTTTTGGAGAAATTTAAAAACCGTATGTAAAGTTTAAATGGAAACCCAGAATACCCATATTCATCACAATCGAGTGGAATAACAACAAAGTTATAAGTCTTACATATTTCAAGACAAAGCTTGCAACATTAATTTGGCACTGGTTCAAGTAGAAGATAATCAGTAGAAGAGATTAAGGGGTCCATCAACAGAATTGATAACACTTCTTCCTAGAAAAATAATAAAATTGTCTTTTTAGTAAATGCTGCTAGGTAAACTGGATGTTTACTTAGAAAAAATAAAATATATTTTATATCTCACATTCATGTATATAGATCAATTCTACTCAAATTGTCCCAGGCAAAGAAAGAGGAAAAATATTCTAGATTATAATATAGAAGAGTATTTTGCTATCTTGTGCATAGTGAATATTTTGAAAACAGAATGGATAGTAAAAAAAGAGTATTTCATCTTGTTATAATAAAGTTAGTTTTGCTCAATAAAATACAGCATTATGAGAGTTAATTTGTAAGCTCAGTACGGGAGAAGGCATTTGAAACATGTATAACCAGCAAAGCCTTAATATATAGTGTTTTTTAATCCTAAAAATCAATATAAAGAGTAATTTTTTTAATTAGAAGAACACAAAATTTGCAGGGACGCAGGTAAACAACCCACTTAAATACATCAGAAATATTAAACAAGGAAAAAACAAAGCAAGTAAACAAAGAAAACTGTCTTTTATTAAAGATGCCAATATTTTTCTTCAGTGAGAATTATTTCGGATTTTCCTTTTGAGACTCACCTGAATTTGATGTAAAAAATAAGTATTCGTCATTACCCCAAAACATGTTGTTATAAAAATGATTTTTAAAAAACGCTACATTTGTATTATCATTTTCCATGTAGTATGCTAAAGTATAAAGGTAAATTATCCTTAATATGTCTGTAGGAAAGATGCTCAAGGTTTTATTCACTTTTTTCTTCTCTATTTTTTTTTACTTGAACATATTTCAAAATCCTCAATGTTATGTACAAAGGACTGAAGCTATCCCACCCTCAAGAGCGTTCTCACTGGCCTACACACCTTTCTTAATATGCACCTGCCAAAAGGCACTACAACTTTTTTATCAAAATGGCCAGGTCCTTCTTTTCTCAAGATAATCCGCCTGATAATTTCCTTGCATAAAATCACTTTTATAACCTTGTATCTTGAGTTTTGAATCATACTGTTTCAGGACTTGAATTGTATACACTCATGACTCCAGAGTTTGCATCATGATACTTATCACCATTATTATGGTGTAGGTATCTGTACAGTTATTTGTTAAATGTTTCTGTTTTGGTACAAATCCTGAGTCCTTTTGCAACTATTTCAATTACATAAAAATGCAAATATTTATCCTTAGGATATTTTGGAAACTTTGGGCAAATTTCAGCTGGCCCCCAAAGCAAAAGAGCAAAATGATGCTGCAATTTCCTAGCTTATTCCTTTTCTCCCATTAGTAGCCCTGGCAGAAACCTCTAGCCCCTGATCAAAGCCAATGATTGGTTTAGAAGACTGGATTTTACTGCCTAATCCTCCTTTTCCAGGGCAGAATGAACACACATCGTACCTGCACACATTCTTAGGTTTTCTGATTTGAAATATTAATAATTTGAAGCTAAAATAAAATTCTCCTTTACAAAATACATTTTTATCCTCGGGAAAAATAGTATTTTTGAGTGCTAGTTACCTTGCTTTCCTTTAGAGCCAGGAGAATATAAAAAGTTTTAAAGACTGCATACATTAACTTATTTCCGGTATATATAAAAATTCAGCAGTTTTATATTAAACGGTTGCACATTATTTTACCACAAAATAAGACCCTCTGTTAAAAACTCCATCAGACTACCCAAAAATGTGTCCTCTCAGCATTAAAACTGGTTTAACACATCAAGTTTATTATAAAAATACACTTTTTCTTTGATGATATTTGAGGCAAGCATTGGGCAAACTGTAAACTGCAAATATACATATATACACATATACATAGAGTATATATAAGAATCAATGATCTGGTTGATCATAAGACACTACTTATTTGAGGCACAGTGAAACAAGATTATAAATTATCAAACTAATTATACTATTGATAATTAAAATAAATAGAATTATGGAAATAATGTAGAGTACTTATATAAATAATATAGAATTAAAAGCATATTGTATCATTCTTACATTATTGTGTATACATAAAAATGGTATTTGAATATGTGACATTTATATACAAAATTTTAATAACTTACAGTGTCTTGCTCTTGTCACTGCAATACATGTTTAGAACATTTCTAATACTTTGAAAAAATTTCCCATGCCAACACCATGCCTCACCTACTAACCTACTTGTGTCTCTATGTATTTCTCTTATTAAACATTTCTTATAATCAAATCATTTACAATGTGATCTTTTTCATCTGGCCTCTTTCAATTTGCATAACAGTTTTGAGGTTCATCCATTTTTGTTTATCCACTCTCAGTTGATGAACTATTTTGACTAATGTTGCCGTGAAACAGTAACTCCTAAGAATACTGTTGAATAATGTTGTTGTGAACAATAACTCACAAGATTTCAGGTGATGTATGTTTTAATTTCTATTGAATAGATATTCAGGGGTGGAATTGGTGATTCATGTGATACATTTTGTTTAAGTGTTTAATCAATTATCAACCTGTTTTCCAGATTTGCTTGACAAATTTGCATCTCTATCAGCAAGTGTAAGGTTTTTCATTCTTCCCAACATTGAATATTGCCTGTCTCTTTAATTATTGCCATTTTAATGGGTGTGAAGTGGTATTTAACTGTAATTTAAATTTAAATTTCTATAACGATTTAAAATATTGAGAATTATTTTATATTTAGCATCATTTTATGTGCTTTTGGGCCTATTTGTGAATATTCATTGGAAAAATCAAAATGGTTTACCCATTTTAGTTGGTTTGTCTTTTCACTATTGAGATGTAAGAGTTCTTTATATACTCTAGAAAAAAAATCCCTTATGAGATATATGGACTTACAAATATTTTACCTCATATTTATAAGTCCTTCTTCATGTATTTTGAGGACACTTTGTTTGGTGCTTAACATATTGTTTTACAGGTTTTTTTAAATGTTGCTTATATATTGTTTTACAGATTTTGTATAGATTGTTATCTGGTAGATTTATTATTTTTATCATTGTTATGTCTTTCTTTTTCTCAAGAATTTTTCTTTGTCTAAAATGTACATTATCAGATATTATTGTAGTAATTCATTTTATTTCTTAAAGTTTGCATGATATATCTTTCTTTATCTTTTTACTTTCAGCTTTTTTGTCTTTGAATTTGAGGTGAATTTTATATAAATAGGATATGGTTAGGCCATTTTAGAAGGTCACTTTATCAGTCTTGTTTTTTAATTGATTATATACATAATTTTATTGAAGCAACTATTAATACGTTAGCACTGAAGTTTGCAATTGTATTACTTGTTTTTGCTGTTTCTTATTATTCTATTTCTTTTTTATTTGCCATCCTATGGATTACTGAAATTTTGGGAGGATTTCCTCTTGTTTTTTTAATAGTGTTTTTACTTGTAACTCTGACATGGTTTTTATATTGTTTGCCTTTTATATTATAATACATATATGAAATTATAAAAGACTACTCATATCAATAATTTTACCACTTTGAGTGAATTGTGGAAGCCTCATTTCTCTTTAGGTAGAATATGGAGTTTAGAACAATGCTATTATATTTGTATAGTAGGAGTGAATCCTGCTTATAGATAAAATAAAATGAAGGTGGGTCAATAGCCAAAATTGTGTCATACAGATATGTGGGTAAGAAAAATAAAGGTTTTATTATTATTATTATTACTAGACAGCCATTACACAGTCAAAAGTGTAGCATGCTTAGGTTGTGTTTCAGAGAGTTTATTCTGACAGTATTTCCATACACGGATTAGAATTTGTCTGTAATGAACTCATAGAATGTAGTTAAATTACCATTTTAGTTGTGATAGTACAAAGTAAAGTAAAAAAAAAAAAATAATGCAAGGATGTCCAAAAAAAGGTATAAAATTAAAGTTATCAGAGTCTTTAGAAAGTTACACAAATCTCAGTTAATAACTGCTTGAATGTCTGAAGATAAAGAGTGATATATATTTATGTTTGGGAGAAGAAGTAGAGATGAAGAGTACTTTATTTATGAAGTAATTATGGCTGAAATTACACAGTATTTGGAAATTGCTTTTGGTATTTTAGGAAAAAATATGTTCATGGGAGACTGTTTAAACACAACTGCAAGCTATTCATATGCAGTCAAGATTAGAGACACTTATGTAATGATATATACGTACAATGTTGCTTCTTGAAAATAGGAAAACACCTAAATATCCACCAAAAATATTTGAATAAATAAATTATAGATAATCCATAATTTATGCAATTATGTAGCGTTTCAAATATGCATTAGAAAGAAATTAATAGTGGACAGATTGATGAAGAACTCATGTAATTAGAGATATTATAGTTGTGCCAAAGTTTTAGAAAAAAATATTCATAGAAAAACATACATATGAGTCCACTGATGAGAAGAATTGAGAAGAAAAATTAACACTTATATTAGTTACAATGAATGTGAATATTAGGGTGTATTAAGAGAGGATCTGTTGGAAAGACATTCAAAATTACACCAAATTATTTAAGTGCTGGAATTTTGGTAATTTTATGTAGTTTTTATGTGTTTTAATATTTTCACATAAAATATTGCTAAAATATAAAAGAGCATATTATTATACAGTAACCTTCACTTTATGTGTTTGCATATTATTATGTAAGAAAATATTAGCAAGACAGTATAAATTTAATATTTTCCAGGATATAAATAATTGACTTGTTTGTTTAATTCTAATATTACGGTTCTTGATGCTAGCAATACAGTGATTATATGTATTTGTCTCTGTCCATGAAAAAGGGATTGGGAAACATAAAATTTAAATGATAGATAGAAAAACAAATCCACAAATATTCTATTGTTTTGAACGCTGAATCTTGATTAGAAACATAAGTTATTTTATTAGAATGCTAGTCACTTGCAGAAGAAAAGAAACAAAGCCTTTTTTGTGTAATTATGTTATAAATATAAACTCCATTGAGACAATCTAAGTAGGTATCAGCAGAGAATACTAATGTAAAATAGGCACAATGGAATAAGAGAGGATCCTGGAATAATAAAAATGAAAAGGGGCTTGAATAATATATATGAAGAAGGGGCTGGTTTTCATTCATCTATGTGATTGCATTGCTTGAATTTCTTCAAGTGAAGCCATTTGCTTTTTCCACTATAAGTCCTGGAAGATGTGGTTACAAACAATAAGAAAACACCCTACAGTGAGATCTGAGTATAATTTCTTCGGACCATATAACAGTTAATGTTAATTTCCTTATGCTTCTTCCGGCATTTAATCCAAATAGGACCTTCTGGCCGGGTGTGGTGGTTCACGCCTGTAATGCCAGCACTTTGGGAGGCGGAGGTGGGTGGATAGCTTAAGGTCAGGAGTTCAAGACCAGCCTGGCCAACATGGCGAAATCCTGTCTCTACCAAAACATACAAAAATTAGCCAGATGTGGTTGCGCATGCCTATAATCCCAGCTACACAGGAGGCTGAGGTGGGAGAATTCCTTGAACCCGGGATGCGGAGTTGTGGTGGGCAGAGATCGCACCATTGCACTCCAGCCTGGGCAACAAAGCTAGGCTCCATCTAAAAAAATAAAGAAAATAAAAAAAATTTAAAAAAAGACCTTCTATTTTCTTAAACCATGTCAACTTTTAATTCAACATATTGTAACTTGTTGACTTAATAATGTTTGCTTAATAACCTGAGTCTTTTAAAGAATTATATTCTTAAAATATCTATAATCCAATTTTGGCACAGAATGTGTAGCAAATTTATTAATACTTAAAAGCCTTGTTTAAAGGTTTACTTGCCAAGCCTGTGGTGAAAAGCCATGTTTTCTCTCCACTGGCCTTTAAACTCCGGCCAAAACCAGCCCCTAAGTGTAAGTCTTTCTTCCTTCCTAAAAATCCTGAGCCAGACTTCTAATATCATCATTTCTGTTTCTTTAGGATAGTGTCAAATTGGAAATATGGCTCCCAAGAACCTAATATTAGCTTTGCTATTCCCACAGTTGATTGTCTGGTTATGTAAGGGAAGAAAGAAATTTCCCAATTATTCTATTTCAGAATAAGCTTTAATTCTCACTCTATAACCAATGTAGCCACAAAAGTTCTCAGGACAAGCCACTGTGGTTTAGTCAATAAGGTTGATCTCAATCCCTCAGTGCCGTACAGAGATAGGATGCCTTGTACTAAAAATTACTTGGAAGAGTTAGGTTGCAGTTTGTTATTTTGAAAATACAGAACAAAAACCTGAGAAAGTTTCTCCATCATACCAATAAGAAAGTATGGGCAGCTTACCATCATACTGCACCTAAACTTTATGTTGGTTCATCTGGCATCTGGGTGGTAATTTTGAGCCTGGGTTACAGGATAACAACCCTCTTTTCCTTTAAAGAAGTTCATTTTAGGAGGTGTGCTTGAGGATGACCCTTGGTCTTCACTCTTGCCAAATGTTTCAACTGGACCATCTTAAATTGTTGGACAACATTTAGTAAATTTAAAATCCAACTGATGATTAGATTAGATGATTCTCTTCCCTGGAGGATCCTAGACCTTTATGAAAATGACCCTTTCCTTTTACAACCATCTTTGAGCTCTAAGAGGATAAGGTGTTTCAAAAATAACACATTTCTCCAAAACAGAAAGAATGTCTTGCAGAAAAAAAAAAAGTAAAACAAAGAATGATACTCAAGAAGTACGTCAAGACAAAAAAAAAAAAAAAAATCCCCTGTTGAATGGATACCAGTTTCTTCTTATACATAGATGACCAAGTAGTTCTTCCAATTAATTCTCACTTAAGTAAAGGAGTATCTGAGCCATTATGAATTTCCCTTTCCACCTATACAGAGAAAGTTGCTTTGAACTTTTCCTACTGAACAATCATAAAAATATATGCACACATACATAGATGTGTATATACATACATATAATAAATACATGCATATCCCCTACTTTTGAGGCTTCCTTATATAAACACATTCAATAGTATTTATTGCTCTCAGAATAAAGGAATCGAAGAGAAGTGCACAAATTATATTTTTCATTATGAAAAGAAACTATCACATATCAGATTAAAATTCTGAGGAAGACGATATTTTCGAAAGAACTTACAGAACCCGATATATACAGTTGATCCTTGAACAAATGCAGCATTTAGAGGCACCAACCCTCTGCACAGTTGAAAATTTGCATATACCATTGACTCCCCCAAAACTTAACTACTAATAATCTACTGTTGACCAGAAGCCTTAGGAATAACATAAATGATTGATTAATACATATTTTGTATGTCCTATGTATTATACCCTGTGTTCTTACAATAAAGTAAGCTAGAGAAAAAAAGGTGTTACTGAGAAAATCGTAAGGAAGATAAAATATACTTACTATTCATTAAATGGAAATGGATCATCATAAAGGTCTTCATCCTTGCCATTTTCATGTTGCATAAGCTGAGGAGGAGGAAGAGGGGGAGTAGTTTTGTTGTCTCAGAAACAGCAAAAAAAGAAGAGGTGGAGGAGGTGAAAGGGGAGGCAGGAGAAGCAGGCACACTCAATGTAACTTTTATTTTTTAAGAACATCTGTGTATCAATGGACTCACACATTTAAAACCATGTGGTTCAAGGGATAACTGTATATATAAATTTTACTGATGTAAAACTGCATAAGTGTGTGCAGAGCAAACAAGATAAATGTGTGAAAAATTATGGTATCAGGACAAAGTAATTATTTTTATCTTATAGGTTTCTACCATCCAAATTCAGTCTTTCTTAAATTATATTGATAGATGGACTGAAAAATGAATAATTTTAGTCATTGTCAGAGAATGTATTGATTAATTTCCAAGAAAGGTAAATATAGTATACTGAAACTATTACTACCATTAATAATCAAAATATATTACATTTTGAAAAAATATTCAAAATCATTTTGAATGAAAAATATTTTATTAAAAAAAATCATATGATCACACTATGGCCGGGCGAAGTGGCTCACGCTTGTAATCCCACCACTTTGGGAGGCCGAGACGGGTGGATCACGAGGTCAGGCGATCGAGACCATCCTGGCTAACACGGTGAAACTCCGTTTCTACTAAAAATACAAAAAATTAGCCGGTCGTGGTGGCGGGCGCCTGTAGTCCCAGCTACTCAGAAGGATGAGGCAGGAGAATGGTGTGAACCCGGGATGCGGAGGTTGCAGTGAGCCGAGATCGTGCCACTGCACTCCAGCTTGGGTGACAGAGCGAGACTCCGTCTCAAAAAAAAAATAAATAAGTAAATAAATCATATGGTCACACTAATTGCAAGTACAATATGAACCAAAATATTAATTTATCGCTTTTAACTGCCAGCATCAAATTAATATACCATAAAATAGTTATAATTACTCATAGACCTGGAAGTAATATCTTTTGTATGCCTTATACTAGTAAGGCTTTAATATTAGATCTATTTTATATGAACTTACCATTTTCTGCATTAGTATAAGAATTTACTTAATATCAGAAAATTTTTGACAATCTAGAGGGGTCAAAGTAGAGTGATAAAAAGAGCTAGAAAATGAAAGAAAAAGAAAAATTCTTGTCTATCTATGAATATATGATGTTAATAATATTCTAGATTTAGTATTCATCTTGAAATGCATTGTTCTATTTTAAGGATATATTAATTATGCTCCTTTTTCTCCGGGTTGTTAACACCATTGTATAATTCAAAGTTACAACGATAGATTAAAAAAATTATTTACCTGCTTATTGAAAAATAATATTTATTTTTTCATGTGAAATAACATTAGAGCATTATCATTATCAAGGAAATAATCTATAATTCTATCACACTAATACAAGTACTGTAACACAGGCATGCATGCATAAAAATGTTTTGGTCAACAACTGACCAGATATATGACAATGGTTCCATAAGATTATAATATTATATTTTCCTTGTACCTTCTAGGTACCTTCTATGTGTTTAGATATGTTTGAATACACAAATACTTACCAGTGTGTTACAGTTGCCTACCCTATTCAGTAACATAGTGTACAACTTTATAGCCAAGGATCAACAGGCTATACCATATAGGCCAGGTGTATAGTTGGCTATACTCTCTAGGTTTGTGTAAGTATGTTCTGTTATGTTCACAAAAGAACAAAGTTGCCTAATAGTACATTTCTCAGTTAAATGACACATGACTGTAATAATGTTGTACACTCATTTCATATAAATGCACGCACATTTTAGTTGAGGGAGGCTGACACTCCCAAGTGTTAGAGAAGATGTGAAACCGCTGAAACTCTTTTCCAGTCTTCTACCAGTAATGGATGTATAAGATGATACAAACACTTTTTTCTATTTTCCACACTTAATTATTCATATGTAAGGTGTACAACATGATGTTTTGATATATATATATGGATAGTTAAATGGTTACTACAGTAAAGCAAATTAACATATATCTTATCCTACACGGTCACTAATATTTTATTTTTTGTGTGGCAAGAGCGTAAAATCTACTCTTAGAAAAACTCCTGAGTTCAGTACATTATTATTAACTTTAGTCCTTATGCTGTACATTAGGTCTCTAGACTTATTCATGCTATATATGCTTCGTCTCCATTTACCTAAATCTCCTCCTTCCCATTTTCTCCCACCCAGTCTTGGTGCCCCTGGTAACACTACTGTTTTATTTTCTAACTTTGCATATTCATTTTTTTTAGATTCCACATAAAAGTGAAATTATGCTGTATTTTTTTTTCCTGTGCCTGCCTTATTTAACTTATCATAATGTCTTCAGTTTCATCTGTGTTGTGGTAAATGGCAGAATCTCCTTTTTTTTTTAATTTTTTTTGAGACAGAGTCTCCCTCTGGCGCCCAGGCTGGAGATCAATGGTGCGATCTCTGCTCACTGCAACCTCCGCCTCCTGGGTTCAAGTGATTCTCCTGCCTCAGCCTCCTGAGTAGCTGGGATTACAGGTGCACATCATCATCACACCTGGCTATTTTTTTTTTTTGTATTTTTAGTAGAGACAGGATTTCACCATGTTGGTCAGGCTGGTCTCCAATTCCTGACCTTGTGATCCTCCAGCCTTGGCCTCCCAAAGTGCTGGGATTACAGGCGTGAGCCTTTCTTGGGTTTTGCGGTGATACACTGAACATGAGAGTGCAGATATTTTTATGTGGTAGTGATTTCTTTTCCTTAGGTTATAGACCAAGAAAATGGATTACTTGGTCATATAATACTTATATTTTTCCTTTCTTTCAAAATTTCCGTACTGTTTCCACAGCAGCGATGCCAATCTACATCCCCACCAGCAGTGCACAAGAGCCCCCTTTTCTCCACATCCTCACCAACATTTATTTCTCATCTTTTTTATAACAGTCATCCTAACTTGTGTGAGGTGATATGTCACTGAGATTTTGATTTGCATTTCTCTGATGATCAGTTCTGTTGAAAAGTTTTCATATACCTATTGGCCATTTTTACAACTTATTGGGAGGAATATTTACTCAAGTTCTTTGCCTATTTGACTTATGTTAAATATTTATGTATTTTGAATATTAACCCTTATCAGATAAAAGGTTTGTAAATATTTTCTCTCATTCTGTAGGCTGCCTTTTCATTTTATTGGTTGCTTTTTTGACTGTGAAGAAGATTTTATCTTAGGGTGGTGCCATTTATTTATTTTTGCTTTTGTAGCCTGTGTTTTTGGAAATTATATTTTGCAGCTTGTAACAAATTTAAGCACATACCTTTTATTTGTGTTCACTCAGATATTGAAGTGTAATTACATATGCATGAATGCTTGATCAACATTCGTCCTCATAAAATGTTATTCTCAGTTACTTTAACTCAGTTAGCCATATTGATACTGATTGATTCTGGAACCTTGTATTTGTGTCATAACTGTTGAAGTTAGTTTCCACTAATATTATATCTTTAGTAAAAAAATCCAGATTAAAAATAGAAGGTGGAAACCAAAATGCAATATAAAGGAAATTTGAGGGAGAATGAGTGAGATGGAAACAAATGTATTCAAAATTGACTACATGAGTAACATTACAATTATGGCAAGCATCAATAGAGCACTTGAACAAGTAAATAGACGGTTTTGCATAGAGTGTAGCAGATTTCCATAACTTCTATTATCTTTAACAATATTAACTTGGAAAATTTTTGTATATTTGTTTAAAGTTTAGCCATTAAATATTTATTGATAACATACATAAAATATTTTTTAAGCAGACAGCTTTTAAATTTATTTCACAATGGTATTTTTGTTTCTAAAAATTAAACTAAGAAATACATTGTAACAAGAAAAAATACCCCGAACACTGCCCCCATACACACACTCACTCACACACCCCCACCACACACGCACATCCACATTGAAGGTCTTACAAAAAGCCATACATTTCAGACAATGGAACAAGTCACAACGTGCCATGAGAGCAAGAGGTAAGCTCATGTCCTGCTGGGTTCATCAGAGACCTATTCTTACAAAAGGAACTCAAAAGTTGAGCCTTGGAGAATCAGTCAATAGGATTTTAAAAGCTTAGGAAGAAAATAAACGACAATAACAGGTACTCTCAATAGTGTGATAAGGATAGGGGTGATATCTCCAGGAAATTAAAATAGTTCAGTCTGTTTGGAGGTTTGAATGCATGCAGTACTGGCTGCCTCCATTTGTCGTCAGTATTGACAGCTTTCACAGCACAGTTATGACAAGAATCAATAGAGCCCTTGTTGAAAAAGTAAGTATGTGGAGGGGTTTGTGTAGTGTGTAACAGATTTCTTAGGCACCACAATGAAAGAGACCAGAACATCAATACAAACAAATAAAAAACCCCTTCCCAAGATATTAATTTCCATAAAATATATTTTCTCTAAGCACACTGTGGGCCTTTGTTCTTCCCTTTATTAATTTCCCTTCTGGAGGAATAGAATAACTAATTCTTAAGTTTGGAAAGAAAAGCTGGGCATTCAATGCACATCTTCACCATTTATTTAACCTCTCTTGGTAGCTGTTGTTTAGTAAAAAATCCAGATTAAAAATAGAATGAAAAATAGAATGAACCAGTTAGCTGCTCTATAATGACTGTCTTAGAAGTACAGTCCTCTTGCCTATAAGTTGAGAGTAAGTCAGTCTTACTCTGTGATTTTATTCTAAATTCATAGTTCCAAATTACATAAAGCCATTCAGAATCTTATTTCATAATTTTTTGCAAAATTGTAATGTTAACCCTTCAAATCTCTCCCAAATTACATCATGATCTATACCTGCATGTTTAATAAATCACTTAACTCACGATGGCTGCCCTATATTTGTCATGTTCTTAACATTTGTTTGAAATTCCTTCTCTGTATGAAGAGTGATGTACCCATCTACACATACCTGATGTTACCCATGAAACATATTTCCAATATCCAGCCTGCCAAGATATGGCTTCCTTTGTATTTCTTATTTACGCTACAAATCCTGACATTTGGTGACAAATAATTGTACATTTTAACGAAATCAATAATGCCTATTTTCTCTCTCCTAAACTGGTGAAAAACATTCTTAAGCTACATTACATATAATGCCATATTTGTGAAAATAAGTTCATAGGAAATATTTTATTAGTCTTTTCTTGCATTGCTATAAAAAATACCTGAGACTGGGTAATTTATAAATGAGAGAGATTTAATTTGCTGACAGTTCTGCAGGCTTTACACGAAGTATGGTGATGGCCTCTGCTTGGCTTCTAGGGAGGCCTCAGTATGCTTTAATTATGGCAGAAAATGAAAGAAGAGCAGGTCAGGTTACACAGCGAAAGCAAGAGAAGGCATGAGAGAGAGAGAAAGAGAAAGAGAGAGAGAGACAGAAAGAGACAGAGAGAGAAAGAGAAAGAGGGAGAGGATGTGCCACACACTTTTAGACCACTAGGTCTCCTGTGAACTTAGAGAAAGTGGTCAATTATCACCAAGGGGATGACCAAATACATTCATGAAGGATCTGCCTCCATGATCCAAACATCTCCCACCAGGACCCACCTTCAACAATGGGGATCAAATTTCTTCATGAGAATAGCATAGGTGCAAATATCTAAACTATATCAATATTGACTAATGTATTGATTAAACAAGGAAAAATTATATGTAGGTAAACATGGAAGTGGTTACATATGCTTCCATGTTTCAGTGAAATATGCTCTAGGTGAATATTCTCTTGGAATATTCTATCCATAATATTATTATCTCAGTTCATATAATTGAAAAGTAAAGCTAGATAAACTTACAAAAACAAGTTTTGCTATTGTTAATATTTTATCCATTTTATTAGTCTGTTTTTATACTGCTATGAAGAAATACCTGAGACTGGCTAATTTATAAAGAAAAAGAGGTTTAATGGACTCACAGTTCAACATGACTGGGGAGGCCTCACAATCATGGCAGAAGGCAAGGAGGAGCAAAGGCATGTCTTACATGGTGGCAGGCAAGACAGTGTGTGCAGGGGAACTGCCTATTTTAAAACCATCAGATATTGTGAGACTTATGCACTATCTCAAGAACAGCATGGGAAAAACCTGCCACCCATGATTCCATTACCTCCCACTGGGTCCCTTCCATGACACGTGGAGATTATAGGAGCTACAATTCAATATGAGATTTCCATGGAGACACAGCCAAATCATATCACCTAAATTCAAAGGTGACGAAACTTTGGACCACAAGCATATGTGTGAATGTTCTTACTTTATTGGTCTTTTAAAAAGGTCTATATTCAATCCCCCAAATGTTCATAATTTTTTTCTTAAATAAAGACACTATGCATTGTTGGATAAGAAAGACGCGTATATTTGCCATGGTTCTCTCTGTGCATACTTTACTCATAAGTTTGTATTATAATTTTACAAATCACATAAGAAAACTAGATCTTCTGTTTTCTGTTTAAGATGTAGAAATCTGAAAAGAACACCAGTGCCAGCCTCACAACAAGAAAAATCTGGGTATTCAATAAAATCAAAACTTTCTTTATGACCATATTGGAGCTGACTACAGGTTCTCCATCTTGACTGAAATTTGAGGAAGTATAGATGGTTTTCTCTAGGGAGAGATGAGACACGACACTGACTCATCTCTGGCAGAGCATGCAAGGAAGGTAGGACCTCTCTCCCTGTGGATAAGAATGACTGACTTTCAATAAGTTGTAAATTTTGAGTGGGAGCTATCTTGAGAATATAGACTGAAGGGGACAACAGACATCAGAGAAGTTTGCAGCCACTTGCAGGTTTTCTCTTCTGATTTCCACCAGGGAATCATAAGAAAGTTTAGGGGCAGATGAAGAGACAGAGAAAGCATTCCTTGTGGTGAAGGACTGGGGGATAAGAATGGTTGCCACTGGCGAAAAGCAGAGCTCTTCTTGGCTTGTTTTTTTTTCAGGTAGAGCAAAAGTCTTAAGCTGTAAGAGAATGGTCAGCAAAAATACTGGTTTCAGGGCAACAATGGTAAGGCTGAAAGAAGCAAATAAAACGAAACAAAAATACCTCCAAAACTGGCATATGAGTAGAACACCATCTCGGGCTCTACTATCAGAGGACTTCTACTATTGGGAGTAGAACAAGATCACTAATAATGCGTGAACCCTGAGATTCAAGGACACAAGTCCTGCCTAAAACAAAGTTGGAAATACGAAAATAAAAATATCCCTGCCATTACTACAAGACTGGACAGCAGCTAGCATTAAATATTATAACAGCATTCTACAAACAGGAGATTAAAAAAGAGTGTAGAGACATTTCGTGTTGTGAAAGGGCAGGGGAAAATTCTAAAGTTGAGGTTAGATCAGGCTTACCATCATAAGCAGAAGGCAATGGATAAGAATTAGAAACAAATGGAGGACCGAGGGTAGTCAGAACAATGTAAAACAATAACAAAAGGGATAAAATGAAATCAGCTCAAGAGGTGATTAGATTGATTCAACTGCCCATAGTGGAGACCTAGGTTAGGAAAAGGCAGGCCCATTTCCAGGCATAATTACATTTATCTACAATTTCTACTCTCCACACCATGTGCAGCCTTTAACCAAGATTTTTGAGACATACACACACAACAAGGAAATATAAGCCATTATTGAGAAAAAGTAATCAACAGATGAGACTCAGCCAAAGACCACATGTTGGCACAATATTGCAGGGAGCTTAGAAAAAAACTATGAGAAATATCATAAAGGTAAACAGAGATGACAAATGCCTTTGGTGGAAAGTAGACCCATCAGAGCCAATGACAGATACAGCGAACTTGATGATAGAATAATAAAGGAAGTAGGGGGAAGAAGGAACAGAGTGCCCAAGAATTGTGGAGCAGCATTAAATGGCTAAGATACTTGTAATTAAAATCTCAGAATGAGAATTTAGAAACAAAAAAAAATGAAGAAATAATGCTGAGAATACTATAAATATTATACATATTTCCAAGGAAATATTTTTATATATAGTATAAATGATAATCTTTATAAACACTATAAAGATTTCCAAGGAATATTATAAATATTACAAATATAGAAATGTTATAAATATAATTTTAGAAATATTATTAATATTTATGATATTCAGAATATCATAAATATTTCCAAGGACTATTATGAATCTATCCTGTGGACATACACCTAGACACAACATATTTAAACTGCTAAAGAGCAAAGATAAAGATAAAATCCCAAAGGCAACCAGAGAATATGACACATTCCATACAAAAGGAGGAAAAAAACTTCAGAATTATTATAGACAACTGTCACCAGAAACTATGCAAATCAGAATAAAAACAAAAGCTCTACTTAGAATTTTATACGTAATGAAAATATCTCATAAAATTAACAGGAAAAAAGCTTAAGTAAACAAAAAATGAAGAATTCGTTAGAGGGTAACTATATTAAAGCAAATATTAAAAGATGTTCAGAGACACTGCATGTGAGCATAGACATATCTTTGGATCTTCATAAGTAGATGTTGATTTCTAGAAATAATTAAAATGAAGATAAAGCAGATGTTTAGCAGCTCTAAACTATAATTGGCTGTATAATATATAATTGGCCTTAAAAACTTTTTGATGTATTACATATTATTTATACTGCATTATGGTTTACAGTATATATAAAATCAAAGCTGGCAGTTAATTATCAATCATAACTAAATCATAACTATATTTTGTAATTAATTCCATGTCAATATAAATAGTTTCCTGGGCCAGGACCGGTGGCTTACACCTGTAATTCCTGTAACTCAAAAGGCTGAGACAGGAGGATTGTTTGAGGCCAGGAGTTTGGGACCAGCCTGGGAAATATAGCAAGACCCCTGAATGTTAAAAGAAAAAAAAATAGCTAGGTATGGTGGCATGTGCCTGTAGTTCCAGCTACTGGGGAGGCTGAGGTGGTAGGATTACTTGAGCACAGGAATAAAGGCTATAGTAAGCTATGATCATGCAACTTCACTCCAGCCTAGGCAGCAGAGAGAGACAGTGTCTCTCAAATATATGTAATAGTTTTCTTATTATATTTTTGTTTCCAGTGTTATTTGTTCTGTACTATCTGCAGCCATTTACCTAAACTTATATTTAGTTTGATTTTTTTTTTTTGGCCAAAACATAATGAAATGAATGAATCATATGATAAACAGTATATTTTAGGATAATTTTTAGGAGTTGTATTGCTATAATAAAGGACATGTGTAACTTTAGATTTTGAAAATATTTGTCCAATTGTCATTTCCAGAATTTGGGACAATTATATTTTTAGCAATATATAAATATCCGTCATTCCCCACACTGTTGCTAACACAATGTGCTATGTGTTTTTACAATGATTGATAATTAAATCATTAGCATTCTGATAGGTGAAAAAATGATCTGAATATACATGTAATTTTATGCTAAACTCATAATTAATTTCTCAAAATTTACCTTTTGTAGTCTCTCCACAATGAAGCTGTGTGTCATGCTCTACTGAGCTCTCTTATAAAACTATTATGAAGCCACAAACCCAGCTAAGAATCATTGTTTAAGTGTAATTAACGGATTTTAATGTTGTAGTTTGAATTCATTTATTATAATAAATACACAGGAATAAAAGTCACAATAATTGTTTTGAGAGTAAAAGTAATTATTTTGCTCCGGTGAAGGTGATACATTCTTACTTTCTTATAGGTGCATTTAAGATGGCTTCCGTTTTTGATTTTCAGCAGTTTTGTTATTTTTGGTTGTGTACATTTTTTATTTTATATTTTCTAATTATTTCTTGAAATTCTAAATATTGTGTTTTAATTCCTTGAATATTTTAAGCCATTTTATTTCTAGGTATTTATTGAAGAGAAATAAATAACATGTCTATGAAAAGATAAATGTTTATAGCAGCTTTTTCTTTGTAACAGGCAAATGCTGGAAACAACCCAAATGGCCATCAGGGAATAAATGAATAAACAAATTTTGGAATATCTATACAGTGGAATATTAATCGACAATACAAAATAACAGACTATTGATACATGCGATACTGTTGACCAATCTAAAAATAATTATGTTGAAATTTAAAGCCAGGCAAATAAGGGTACATACTGTTAAGTTTCTAATTATATAAAGTTCAGGAAATTTTTTTAGTATGGGTTGGAGGGATTACAAAATGGCATTAGGAAATATTTGGGGTGTGATAGTTATGTGTATTTTCTTGAATGTGGCTATGGTTCTACGAGTATCTACCTATGTCAGAAATCCTCAGATTATACACTTAACACATCTAAAGTCTTTTTGTGTGTCAGTTTATTTCAAAATATATGGTAAACTTTAAGAAAATAAAAGTGTCTGTACTATTGGTATGCAATATTGAGATTTTAAATGCTGATTTTAGAAATAATGTCTGATACTTGAAAATTCTACACGTTTTATAGTAAAATGTTATTTTGCTAGTTCTTTTTAACAAAAGTTTATTTTATGTATTGTAGTTTCTATTTTGTATAGAGGATCAGTGAACCTTCAAAAAGTAAAGATTCATATTTTTAAAATGTGAATATATTTCAGAGAGAGATATAAAACATATGGCTCATTTATTCTTTAATAATAGGATCAGCAAATACCATCTTTTTTTTAACCAAATAGAAAAAAAAATGAAGTCTCATTTCATTGAATACTATGGCCAATTATGTGGAAAGAGTATAATTTAGAAAGCTGTAAACTAGAGAGAAATACAGTTAAAAGGGGAGGGAGAAGAGTTATGGTGGTAAAAATGGATACAAAATAAGAGCTAGACTTCAAATGTGTATAGAAACACATCCATGCATATGCAAAGAGACAATAATATACAGAATCAGAGAGATACACAATGCCTCACCAATGTATGTCAAAAACAAAATAATAGAAAGATATTTGATCCTTCCTTTGTTACCCATTAAGACACTGGAGCTAAACATTTTTAAACCCATATTTTGTTATCACAACTGCAGGTATGCGGATTACTGCTGAAATTATTTTTCCTGTGAGCCACAAAGACTTTCTTCTCCATATGTCTATGTTGTTCTGCAAACAGCAAGTTAGCATTTAAGCTAAACTTTAGGGGATTTAACATTTAATTGTTACACAAAGAAATATTATGGTTTAAAATATTACAATTCTCAAATTGTCTCCACATAGCACTGCTTTTATTCTATTTTTTTTGTATGTACATGCATGTACATATGATTGTATTTATTTTTTGGTCTTAGAAGGAAATAAAGTTTAAAAATATCAGTGCTAGAAAAGAAAGAAACTTTAAAATTTACCTAATTTAACTGGGGCTACAAGAGCAGTTTTTTAAATGTTTTTCTGTATGTGGGTTTTTCTTTATTATATGTGTTTTACTGATATATAATAAAATTTTGATCAAATCTCAGATCTACTGAACCACAATTATTTCTTCTGTATTGGACTTCCATAGATTCATCCATTCTCTCTTTCTTTCACTCTACTTCTTTGAGAGTTAGTTTATGGGACTTTTCTACCTAATGTTGATGACACTAGAAATCAGAGATGTTCATGACACTTCATATAGTCTCCAATCTGTATTTTAAATAATATTGTACTACTAAAGGGAAAATTAGTACCGATGACTTTAATTAGGTTACTCCCTAAAACATTATATTTAAAGATTTTCTTGGATGCAAGAGCTTGTAATACTCTTTCTTCTTTCGCTAAAGTCCTCTCTCAGTTGACTGATACACTTCATTTAAATTCAAATAAAGTGTCCTCTCCTCTACAAGTTATTTTTGCTATCAAGTTAATATAAAAATACATTCATTTTTGTGCCTTTATTCTGATCCCAATAAGTCTTATATTACTAGGGCCTGTGTCTGACTGATTATACCATGGACTTCTTCAGAGCAGGAGCTGTCAACATGCTTCCTATCACATGGGCAAGGAGAAAGTATTAGTGAGAGAATGAGTGAATGAATAAATGAATGAATAAACAAAATTCTCTCAAGTCTTTTACACTTTTTTTTTGCAAAAAATATACAATGTTGTTCTTCTAAGTTTGTTTTACCTAAAACAGTTATGAATCACTGCATCTCAAACATAAAACATTAAGTTTTACAAAATTGATATCAGAAAAAAATTACTTTGCTAAATAATTCTTTTCAAGTAAAATTTTGAGATGATTTTATAATTTGCTTTTATATATGTTTATATTCAGATGTTCTGTTAAATTTGTTCTTTTTTTTTTTTTTTTTTTTTTCTGAGATGGAGTCTTCCTCTGTCCCCCAGGCTGGAGTGCAGTGACGCGATCTCGGCTCACTGCAAGCTCCGCCTCCCGGGTTTACGCCATTCTCCTGCCTCAGCCTCCAGAGCAGCCGGGACTACAGGCGCCCACCACCGCGCCTGGCTAATTTTTTGTATTTTTAGTACAGATGGGGTTTCACTGTGGTCTCGATCTCCTGACCTCTGGATCTGCCTGCCTCGACCTCCCAAAGTGCTGAGATTACAGGCGTAAGCCACCGCGCCCGGCCGAAATTTGTTCATTTTTAATGTCAAGATTTAGAAATCGTGTTTTTAATGAATGTTTTGAATAGACCAATGGATAATTTGGCCTTTTTTCTCCACGGCCTAAATCCCAATTGAAAAAATGCATACATGTTTGGATATATGTGTATGTCTTCGTGTGGATGGTGTGTGTATGTTTATATGTATGTGTATATTTTTGCACTCACATGTATATGCATATATATACATCAGTAATATATTGCACTTTGCATATATTGTATTTACATTTTCTATTTCATAGTTATACCATATGTTGTAATATGACTTATTTACATTTTCTATTTCATATTTATATTATATATTTTAATATAAAACATTAAAGTTTGAACTATATATTATATTATACTACATTATATTTAGAGGCATATACATATATGCAAAATTCAAACAGATTAGAGAATACGTAGTATAACAAATATTTCTAACTATTGTAACAATGTTAATGTTCTTTTGTTATATATTGTTATTAGAGAATATTTTAATATAACTGATTTCTTGAGAGTCTTAAAATAATTAGAAGGTATATTTCCTTCACTATTGGTGGGCTGGTTGCTATACATCTAATCTATGTTTTATATCTTAAGAAAGAACTTAACATAATCTAGAGGTTATAAAGTACAGTGAATAAATACAATTTTTAAGTATACTCTGTTGAAAGAGAAATCCTAAGCTTTATATCAAGGTCCTTAATTCTAAATTGATTTAGGAATTAAACTTTAATTTTCCTATTGATAAGACTAGATATTAATGGCCATTAACTGCTATTCTAAGTGGATATATAATTCTTATTTCTCTCGGGAAACCTTAAATTTTTAGGGTAAATCTCGGCAAGAATTGTGCAGTAAATACAATACATTTTCAAACTTTTAAGCTGGAGTCTTAATATTAGGTATGGATGTATACATCAGGAGTTCTGTTCCAGCAGCATGGCTCCTGGTAGGGGTCATTGGTCAGCTCTGGGTTAGAGCCTTCATTAGGCTTCATCTCTGCCACATGTGTATTTAAGCCTATCAATGCAGGATGTCAATTTAATAAGAATTAAGATGATTCCAATCTGCACTGATAAGATAAACACCCTTAAAATACTTCAGGTATTTTCTCAATATATTTTAAATATAATAGATTTTAAATAGAATTTTAAACTCATATGCACTTTACTGCATATGAGTCCATTTACTGAAGTAGTTCCATGGAAATTTTCTAAGGACCCAAATGTAGAAGGACTATAAATGGTTTTGATAACACAGCTGATTAAAAGAACAATGGCTAGGAGAAAAATTCTAGAAATAGTACTTAGTAGAGAATAAGTATAATAATTCCATGAAAGTCTCCTGAATATAAAATTGCATAATTTACTAGAGAGAATAATATAGTAAAATGTCAGATTCTTCTTTTACCAAAGACAGTTTCATTATTTTTCAGATTAGATTCTACCACCTTGAAAAAAACGTATACAAACACACACACACATCTTTCATGTGAGTATAAATCCTATTTTTAGAATGACATTTAAGAGAACTTGATTTTTATCAAAAAAATTGAAGTTGATGCTAAATTCAGGGGTACTTTCATAAAGTGTAAAGATTTGTAAAGATTTGTAAAATATTCTATTCCCCCAAATGATTATTTCGATCTCTATTTGCCTTACTTTTATATGGGCAACTTTATTATCAGAATGTAAATACTAAGAACACTGACATAAGATATGTATAAATTATGCAATACAACAAAAATTAAATGAGAATGGATATTAAAGAACTCAGATATATTTTATATATTATCTTACCATAATTTAAATTATCACATAACTTATTTGTATTGATTAATAGGTAAATATATGTAATATATAAATATATAAAGTGATTATATAATAGTTTATATTATGGATTATATATAGTTTATATATATTATATGTTCTTAGCTATATTATAGGTATATTATAGCTAAGAATATATAATATAATACATATTTAATATACATATGAAAGAAATAAAGATGACTAAAGATTCCAAACACAACAATTAGATTACAGTCATGTGGCACACAATGATATTTTGGTCAATGAGGGAATGTATACATGATGGTGGTCTCATGTGATTACACCATATTTGTACTGCATTTTTGTAGATGTAGATATATTTAGATACACCAATACTTACTATTGTATTACTATTGTGTACAGTATTCTGTAAAGTAACATTCTATACAGGTTTGAAGCTTAGGAGCAATAGGTTTACCATTTAGCCTAGGTGTGTAGTTGGCTATACCATTTAGGTTGGCATAAGCACATTCTTTGATGTTTGCACAATGACAAAAATCACCTAATGACACATTTCTCAGAATGTATTCCTGTCACTAAGGGAGGCGCGACTGTGTCTTGTTTGGTTAAAGATAAATAAAAAGGCCGCACCCACCTATAAAAGAATTTAATGTTATAAACTCTGAATTGGCTTCAGTGAAAGCGTGTATGGATTGTGATGCCTGTATCAAAGTGGAAAATAATGTTCACTTCACGTCATTCAAATTACATGTTTGCAAAAGCACTGTGTGGGGGTCAGGCGAAGGGAAAATGTGCAGTTTTGGTTTTGGCTAAAGAGTTCTAGTACCTCTACTTTAGTACCAATGATTTTAATACAGCTACAACAGAGCACTATATGGGACAATGAAACCAAACAATTACATCATTACCCATTTATCTAAAGAGTCCAACTTATGAATTATTATTTTTACTTGCTTATTCAATATTGGATTTGCTGAAACATGTCACCATCTACATTTGTCCATATAAATAAAATGATATTAGGCATTTAAAAAGAAAAAATTCCCTGAAAAAGCTCTTTATAGCTTGGAGGATATCTGTGAAGTCTGATGAGAGCAGAGTCAATTCATAAATGAGTTATCATCTATAAGCAACACCATATAAACTGTGCTGCACTCGCAGGGTTTAAGCAGAAGGGCAATTTTCTCAATAATCTCTCTCCACTAACTTTGGAACTTTGCATGAAGATATGTGAGTTTCTCTATCCCATTGCAACTCAAAAAGTAGAAAGCTGATCAGCAGTTTTGGTATCATCTGTGAGCTTTAGAGAAGCAGAACCTCAGAATTCATTCCAGATCTCTGTTTACATGAGACCCACAGGTGATTCCTATGCACAATGTGGTTTAAGAAACACCCCTTTAACCCACAGTTAGTTGCACAGTATGGAGTCACTGGCTTTTTGAGCAAGTCACACACTCAACTCACCATACTCCAATAACAAAACGGAACTGAGCTGTGTAATATATAGTGGCCTTTTAGCCACTTGACCAGGTCCTTACTCATTTACTCTTTTTTTTTTTCTTTGAGATGAAGTCTCCCTCTGTCACCCAGGCTGGAATGCACTGGTGCGATCTGGGTTCACTGCAGCCTCCACCTCCTGGGTTCAAGTAATTCTCTGCCTCAGCCTCCAGAGTAGCTGGGATTATAGGCACATGCCACCATGCCCGGCTAATTTTTGTATTTTCAGTACAGACGAGGTTTCACCATCTTGACCAGGCTGGTCCTGAACTCCTGACCTTGTTATCCACCCGCCTTGGCCTCCCAAAGTGACGGGATTACAGGCGTGAGCCACCGCGCCCGGCCCTCATTTACTCTTAAACTCTTCAAGTTGTATAACAAAAAATAAATGCAGACTCAAATAAGGAGAGAGTTTATTCAAAAACACTCTCGCAATGGGGAAACGCTCTAACCTCAAGATCTGCAAGTGTCTCAAAAGTAAACAAAAAAGCAAAAAAAATAGGGAGGTTAGTGCTAGCAAGAACTTTGTGAATAATAGGGCAGATGGTAGACATGAGCCAACGACGTGGTCAGGATGGTTTAACATAAAATGTTTCTGTGGTCTGCCAATTTTCAGAATGAGCTGTTGAGAGGAATGTTCTGTAACTTGGTGCTTTAGTGCTTACTTGAGCTTGTAGGCAAGCCAATGTCTAGGGGCATTTAGGGAGGAGAAAAGCCTGACTAAAGTTCGGTCAAGACAAAGTATGTTGGGTAAATAATGGACAATTTTTAGCACTTGGTCACATTCAAGTCTTTGGTGCACAACGAATCATCCCAAACTTAGTTTTTCTTTTTTTTTTTTTTTTAATGTTATTTAATTATATAATGATTCTACTGGGATATTTCTCTGTTGACTGGGCTGGGCTGATCTCAAACCTGTCACTTGTATATCTGCATAAAGTTGACAGTTTGACAGGTGGCTTATCCTGGATGCTCTCTTTCACATGTCAGGCAGTGGCAGGCCTTCTACTGAAGTGATGGGGGTGACCCAGTGATATCACAGACTCAGACTATTTGAGGCTGGTTTATATAGCAGCAGAACTGTAAAAGAATGAGAGCAAAACCTGCAAGACCTCTTGAAATGTATGCTCAGAACTGACACTGTCATTTATGCTATATTCTATAGTTCAAACCCAGTAACAAAGCCAGACTTGATTCAAAGGATGAGGAGATAGATTCTACTTTTTGATGGGAGGAGTTGCAAAGTACATATGGTATTCTGCCTTCATGTCATTCTAATGACTGATTATCATCAGATTTAATATTTGCTGTCTGCTTCCTTATTGCCACAAATCATTGCACACACCTACAACTGATTGGAAGACTAAACTATCTCAGACTAGCTCAGAACTTTGTTATAGTTGTTAGTTTTGATTTTAAGTGTTTGTTGATTTTAATCGTTTAATTGTTTGTTGAGTCTTCCACTGCTGGCATGATGATCCAAAAGAATCCCATGATATAGATTAGACCCAACCCTTCTAAGCAAATTAGGATATTATATTTTGTGTGATTTTCCAGGCCATTTTCTTTGTGATACCACGAAGAAACTGGACAATGGTCAGATCCTGTTGGAATAAGATGGAAGCAAGCAAAATTCATGCATTGTTTTTACTTACACTCATACAGGTATAAAAATAGAAGCAGGCACTCTTCCCTGCTTCTAGGAAAACTGGACACAAAATATAGAAACTGAAGCTTATCCTCTCATTTAATTCACTAGGCCAAGTACCTTCCTACAATGATCTGGTAATTTTTATACACATACTAGCTATAAAATAGGCCCCTGCCTTTTGTCGTATAAATTTCGTATAATTTTGTTGTTCTTTTCTGCTGCTGTTGTTCTGGTTTGTTATCATCATTAATGTGTTCTGTGTATTCAGAAGTTTAGGTAAAATTAGATGACTCTAAACTCCGAGATCATTTCCCAAAGAGCTTTCTTCCAAGTTGTTATATTTCCTTAATAAATGCAAATGAAGTAATTATCTAGTTAAATTTTGACTAGGCATTATTCATTTGAGAAATTGTTGTTTTATCGTGCAAGGGAGGCATTTTTTCCACCTTTGGCACTTTACAATAAACTCATTCTGATTTAAATTGATTGCTTTGGGATTATCTTGGAGTCATTAAAATATTGCTGTATTGACATTCACTAATGTCTTTAATTAGCAATTTCAAATTCCAGTGTTTGGCATTAGTATGAACAGATATAATTTATAATATCACTATAGCTATTTATTCAGTTTTGTTTGTATATCTATTGAGTTTATAAAACACTTATTTGGCATTCTTGAGCTATATTCAAGCCATTAATGTTGGTAAAATATTTAGATTAGCATGTCTGCCTCTTTAATAAAGATATGGTTGAGATGCTGAACTTCTCTGAACCTGGATTAAAATGAAGGGTATATTTTTATTTTGTTTTGTCACTTTCAAATAATTTTTAAACTTTACATTTGTTAGGAATTTAAAAGCTCCACATACACAAAATGTAAGAATCTCTCACTATTTAGAAATTAGTGTTTTTCAAAAGCCAGACACTTTTGTTCAGAGGGATGAAAATGTTTTTACCTGGAATCCTTGTACACATTGTAAGGTTATTCTCAACTGGCTTGGCACTTGCTCTTTTTGACAAATGTTATATTCATAGGGTTGCTTTTAAATTCCTGCAAAGAAAAAGCCTGAAAAAGAAGGAGACAGTCACAAAAGTACAAAAGCAAAAATTCGTCAATATAAATTGACCAGAGAACAACATTAGGCTGACGGGTTGAGTGCCTTTTCTCCATCCATATTCTCCTTCTTTTGAGACAATAAAGAAAAAAATAGAGATCATACACTTCGAGTTAGGATGGGGTTAGATCTGTATCTCCACATGATCACCCCTTCTACCTATTAACTTGGTCATTTCCCCTCTGTAAAATAGTTTTCTGGCTACTAAACGGGCAGAAAGCAATATTGATTATATGGGACTGTTGTGAGAAGCAGACAAAATAAGGCCCCAGAAGAAATATGGTTTTGCACAGATGGTAATGATTACATTAGGTTCTCTTCCTTTCTTATATTCTATATATGCTTACCAGCAAGAATGGCAAAATGTTCTTCTTTAAACATGAGAACATCATAAAAGAATAAATTTTCTCTATTCTTTCACGAATGTGTTTTATATCAAGTCCTGAGTATTCAAGTATATTGTTATAGGGCTTTCCAAAATAAGGGAGCTTTTACAGGGTGTCATTTTGTTTACCTCTTGGCTATAAGTAAGTTTAGTTTGAGATTTTAAAACTCATTTTTTATGGATGAATGTTACTGAGCAAGGAGGATGGGGTCTGGAGGCAGGGAACCTAAGGCTGTTTCACGCTGACTTTCTAGAACTAAACTGAAAGGAAACTCCTAACTTTACACATCTAACAAAAGGAACAGAGGCTACTCTCTTTGACCTTTTCTGTGTGGCAAATGGAAAATTGGCTGTCTGCAACAAATCAGACTGATTGCCCGCCCTGTCTTTGTTTGCAACTTTGTAACTTCACTCCTGCCTCTGAATGGTTACTGTCCACAACCAATCAGACTGATTGTGGGTGGAGCCTTTATTTGCATAGAAGTATAACTTCACCCTATCCCGATTGGTTGCTTTTTGCAACCAATCAGATATTTGTCCAGGACTGTGACTTTTGTAACTTCACTTCAGCTTCTGATTGGCTGCTTTCTGTAACCAATCAGACTGAGTGTGGGCTACCACTTCATTTACATGAGTTGAGCATCAGGTGGCCAATGGGAGACTTCTAGGGAGTGTTTGGACCCAAGAAGATTCTGTTCTGGGCCTCTGAGCCACTGCTGAGGTCCACTCCCACACTGCGTGCAGTGTGCTTTCGTTTTCAATAAATTCCTGCTTTCGTTCTTCTGTTGCTTTATTCTTTCTTTTCTTTGCTGTGAGATTTGTCGAATTCTTTGTTCAAAACACCAAGAACCTGGACAACTTGCAGTCACGATCCTCTACCAGTGCCATAACCTGGAAACCATTACAACTATAGGATGAAAGTACAGTGAAAAACCACATTAGTAGTACTGTGATGTTTATAACCCTCCAGTATTTCAGGTCCAATTTAACTAGGGCCCTTTGCTGTAGCGTTCCTTAAGCTTGAAACATTATTCTAGAAGATATTTTCACTACTGCCTTTTTTTCATCATTAGGGTTTTATCTTCCTGACAACGCTAGCTAAAGGAGAAATCTCTCATTAGCCACTCTCAGTCAAATGCCTCCTTAGACTCTTGTTCTTAGCACTCAGAACAAGAAATCTTATGTGTTTATGTATAAATGGTTAATATCTGTATCCTTTTAAAATATGTAAACTCCTTTAGGCCAGAACTCTAATTTCTTTGTCATCCCTATATCTTCAGTGTACAGAATAACATGTGCTACATAATATTCACTTCATATGAGTTAATATTTGTTAACTGATGAGTAGGTGAGAGTATTTCACTTTTCAATCTTTAAATTTCTTTATATTCTCTCTAGATTTTTTTTATTTTTCTAACTATGAACTGTTGACAGTTACAGATGGATCTGGATACATTTCTTCTTAAAACCCTAATAAGCAATTTATATGGTTTGGATTTGTGTCCCCACCCAAATCTCATGTTGAACTATAATCCTCAATGTTGGAGGAGGGGCTTGGTGGGAGGTGATTGGATCATGACAGTGGATCCCCCCTGATGTTCTCATGACAGTGAGTGAGTTCTTATGATATCTGATTGTTTAAAAGTGTGTGGCACCTCCCCCTCTCTCTTGTCCTTCTTCTCTGGCCATGTAAGATGTGCCAGCTTCCCCTTCCACCATAATTATAAGTTTCTTGAGGCCTCCTCTGCCATGCTTCCTTTACAGCCTGCAGAACTGAGTCAATTAAATCTTTTTTCTTTGTAAATTGCCCAGTCTCAAGTAGTCTATAGCAATGCAAGAATGAACTAATACAGCAATTGACTGTGACTTATTTGTGTACAATGATTAAAATATTCCTTACCATACTGAATATATTCAGGGTACCTTAATGATGTAAAGAGTCCAGAGCTAAATGAAGAATCACATGAAGCAGGATCAGATGCCATCCATTTCAATGCTAAAAAAAAGGAATACATATTTTAAGGCATATTTTAATATATAGAATAGATAGGCTATTTAGACAGTTTAAAAATTGAGAATCAAATGTTTCAGAAAGTCTATCTTAATATACATGTAACAAAGATGATTGTCTTGACCAAATTTTATTCAGGCTCCTGAACCTTGTAGGATCATCTGTATACTTGCTTGTAAAAATCCAGTTTTGGAAGAAGCCCCCTGCTAAATCAGTTCGGTAAGAACCTCCCACCCTCATAATCTTATCACCTTTTATATTAGCGAGGATTTCCATCCTCCACCATCCCTAGGTAATGTCTAATCACCTTGGCATCTCTTCAGCAAGCATCCTGTTACATAGGTTTAGCCTGAATCCCTCTTACTTTTAAGTTACCTCTTAGTTATTTTTTATCCATTGACTGCCATCCTGCTGCAAGGATACAAATTCCCACTTTCCCATACTATATTTAGAATCGAGTCTTATCTTTTTCCCTCACTACAAAATACCACTTCCATGACCTCCAAATGTATAGCAGTGGTCCTGAATAAAGTCCGCCTTACTGTATTTTAACAAATAACATTGTTTTTTTATCTTTAACACATGGTAAAGCATCTATATTAAAATATAATTTTTATGCCTATAGCTTTGGATATTAAATGGATCGACACTTTGGAAAAGAGACTCCTATAGCTATTTTAATTCTCCTGTCCCATTACACTTTATCTCCTTACTGCTTAGTTTTGAGCTCAAAATGTGATACAAGCTCTTCCTGTATGAATATTAAAGGATCTAATAATTATAGTTTAATAAAATGAAACTCAAGGGTGAGATTCATCAACTAGAGAAATGTAGATTTTTTTCATGCAATTTAATAACATCAAATGGACTCTATAATCATTTTCCATATAAAGGATCAAAAATGGCTTAACTGGGCTTATGCAGGTAGTTAAAAATATGCTCAGATGGATCATATGGAAGTACAGAAATATCATTTAATGTTAAATTTTATTATTCGTTTTATATATAGTAAAAATTAGATTGGCTACTTGACATTTAGTATTTAACTTTTTTAGGGTTAGACATAGAAACATTGAAATAAAGGACTGAAAAAGATATTTAGGCCACTTAAATACTTAGTATGCAATATCTAATCTTGTGAAGAATAGTTGTTAATACCATAATTACAGACCCTCTAGAGAAAAGTGTTAACAATACTCCATAAGATTTCACTAATGTAATTTTGATATATAGATATGGAGTATTTTTTACGCAAGTCCTGAGCACGTATAAACTAGGAAGTGAATCTTCATATATGAGGTCTCTAGTTGTAGTCCTTAGCAGGAGAAACTGATTTTTCATGATATGTTAGGGCAGGGGATACATAATCAGAACATTAAAATAAAACACACAATAAGGACTTCAGAAGAAAATGCACTCCTAACTGAATTTGAAATTAGATGGTATGATAAAAGTAGAAAAAGGAAAATCCCTAGCATTACGAGTTAACTGAATTTCTCATGCTATTTGCTCACATAGGAACAATTTGACTTTGAGAAAGTGAAAGAAATTCACTGAGTCTCATTTTCTCATCTGTTAAATGGCAAGGGTACTACTTTCACGTAAACAGCATAAGGATTAATATTCATAAGATTATAGGTAAACATTCCATTATTTAATATACAGTTTTCAGCCATTTACTGGAGGTCTTATATTGTGAAATAAGACATAAATATAAAGAAAAGGTATAAAGCTTAGAAAGAAAATTACAGCTCTCGTGGTTTGCAGAGAACATAGTTGTATAAATGTAAAATTCACGAAACTATTAATAATGAATAGGTAAGTGAATTAATCAAGTTTGATAGACACAAAGTTAATATTAAAAATCACTTTTTAAATAAATACTAGCAATAATATATAAGTGTTATATATGTGTAATTTAGAAGGATAAGAAAATAATACCAGCAATATATCTAATGAAAGATGGATAAAACATCTACACTAAAATAGTAACAGAATTCTTGCAAAATTTAATATTTGCAATAATAGTTAGCTATAAAGCTTAATATTTTTAAAATTTTAATTCACTTCAGAATATCTCTCAAAATACCAGATTTTTTATGTGTAGAAATTCACAAACTGATTTTAGAATTTAGAGTGAAATAGAAAACATCAAGAATATCCATGACAATTTTAAAAACTGAAGTTTGAGGATTTTCTCAATTAGAAGTCAGAAATCCTTCAAGTCCAAAATTCATATAACATGAAGATATTGGTCAAATAGTATATAGTATATATTAGAAGGCAATGAAAGAGATTAAAGACTCAAAATCTCTGCCACCTCTATAGGGTGTCCTGCAATCATAATATCGGACACTGTGGAGTAATAAAAATAAACTAGATATTGTGGTGACGCACTGTTTGGACATTTCTTTAAAATATTTTATTGAGTGTAAAACATAATAATTGAACAGTTTGAGGGGTCACAAAATGCATATTGAGGTAACACAATGCATTAGAATGTGAAATAAAATTCACATGAATTAAGGATCTTACCCAATATGGCTAATAATTTTAAGATAGCAAAAAACGAGATAATTGTAAATCAGGCAGAGGTTGCCAGTGCTTGGCTATTTCTGCTGAATGTAGGGCTTTTTAAAAGGACCATGTGTATTCTGGAATGCCCCACTGACTTTATGAAGAGTCAAATTTGTTTCACAATAGGTGGATCTCCTTGCCCAATTTTCCTTTTACGTTTCAAATAGATATTACAGTCCGAAGACTTTCCTAACTAACTCATTCCTTTTCCTTCTGTCTTGCACAATAAAATGCTGACATTTCTAACTCTCAGGTATTCTGCTTTCCAGATAGCCAACTTAACATACCTGGTGTCAGGAGTGATTCAAGGATGCAGCTGGAAAAATGTGGATTTGGGACTAGATCTCTCACTACCTGACTGTTAATGATGATCTAATCTTGTAAGGTATGTAGGGCATGGATAGTCTATGGTACAAAACTGTGGTCCAATTTCTGAAGTTTAACCTTAGGAGGTATGGTAATATTCCAGTGGAGAGAAATACCCAGGTTGTTATAATTGTTTAGTAATATGAAAAGTAGAGAGTGACAGATAATGTGTACAAGGAAAATTAAATTGGTTGGTTGTTATTAAATTTGTTTCTCAGTGTCCTATATAGTGACATCATCAGGCTGGGAACAGTTCTGACATTGGTGACTGAATATGAAGTGTAAAACATCTTTTTGGTAGCTCACAAAGAGAATAATTGGTGATTAAGTACAAAGTGCAAAATGTGTCTTGGTAGCTTGCAAAGCACCTTATCTCCTGTAATGAGAGAGAAAATAATTCAAAAGATCAAGCCCAGGATTTACTAGTTCGAGTTCCTGAGCTTTAAACACGATTCAGCCTTTAGCCCAAGTAAGTCTGTTATAACAAGCTCAGTGTCCTTGTTGGGAAATCTGAATCTTTCACACATGGACTAGGGGCGCATAGGCAGATGCTTCTGAAGACCAAAAGTACTATAATCCCTACAAACTCCCATTAGAAAGATATTATACAGAGGCCAGATAATGGATGGGGTCATGGCTAAAGTTATCATTACAGCAGGACTTTTGGGTTTCCAAATGTAAAATTGAGACAGACACTTGGCAATTGTAGTACTTCTCACATTTGCTCTTAGACTATAGAGTAAAAGCTATTGTAGTAGAAAAGATAAAGTGGAGGGCTCTGAAACTAACATTCCTATCTCCATCAATAAACAATCTAGTAAATCACAAATAATACTGCAACGTGGGTGGAGTGGTGAAGATTAGTGCAATACTCGGGCATCTAATGAATTCAAAAATGGCAGTGCCTATTTTATCTTCATTTTATCCAACATTCTGGACACTGAAGAAAAAGTAACCTGAAAGATGGCTCAAATACCACTACAAGGTCGACAACATAGTATACAATATAGCAGATGCTATCAGAAGATGGTGCATTTGCTAGAGCAGATTATAGGTACAGTTTCAACATTTAAAGGCATTTGCTGCCCAGTTTTGTTTTTTTTTCCCCTTCCTTCTATCTTTTATAACTTTAACATATCATTTACTGCTGGCAATCTTAACCTCACTTCAGCATCTCCTTCCTGAAGGACTCCACCAGCCTAAATGTCAAACATGACAATAGTCAAAGCATGCCTAAAACACAATATATTTAAGCATGAGATGTTGCCTTGTGCAAACCTGTTGTAGCTCAAAATGATAAAAATATGTTCTTATCTGTATATGTGATAGTTAACAAATAGAAAGACCTGACACCAAATCTCTGAGATTAGTGTGCTCGAGAATGTCCTTTTCCTGAGGCTGAATATGCAGGCCACTGCTCCTCGTGTTTGATGGTTATAGCTCTTTGCTTATTATACTGACAACCTTCAGGAGAGGCATGTGAGACTCAGGTAAAACTGTTGTGAGTCACTGGTGACCTGAAGTTATTATGTTTCAAGGAGTAATGTTTGTGCTAAGTTATTATGAAGGAATAGCAACTGATACACTCCAGAAAGGCTACATAATTAATAATATCTTGTAAGTTCTTATTCAATGCTCATCCTTCTACCTTTTTGTATGTGTAAACTAGGATGGTTCAGTATTTAATATTCCTCTTTACTTAACTGTGAAGATCTGTGTCTAGAGAAGCATAGTTTTGCACAGTGGTAAATATATCATGTTATTTGCCTCATCTAACTTCATTAATCCATCTCTTTATTCAAAACTTAATTATATCAAATATTTTAATGTGGTCTTATGTATTTGTTTTTCACCCATTAGCATCTTGTATTTAATGTAAGAGTATCGCAGAGGCTTCTCTAGTTATAAAATTTCAGAGAGATTTTATTATTCAGCATTTAATATTCCAGCAGAGGACAATTAATGTCATCAAACATGATATTATTCCATAAATTCATTATTTCCTCTTGATATACATTTTGTGAGGAGGAGTGAAGAAAAGGATTACTTGTAAATTTTTTGAGAAAAATAATATATAAAATTCTACTTATTGTGAGGCTGTCGAAATTATTTAAAGAATTCAATATAAATGTATTTTAAAAATATTCCTGCCAAAAATAATTTCAAGACTAACAATAACCTTTTATCTTAACATTTTTGTTGATGTTAAATGAAAAGTCAAGAATTATCACAGTATGCCAAGTAGAGTGTCTGATATAGTCCATGTTCACTGTAGGGCATTTTCCCATGATTAAAGAGAAGGGTGGGGAAGTGAAACAAATATATTTACACACCACAGAAAGACTCTCTTTGAGAATTAAAAGTAGCAGCTATAAAGAAGGCTGTTTCACCATGTAGAGATTCACTAGGAATGTTGAATTTGAAGTGAGCTAGCTATTATTTAAAGAGAGTAAACGATACCTTGTATTGCATTGGTAGAATATAATTAATATTCTTATGATCTTATAATTTTAGTGTATGGCTGTCTTGAGAAATACATGAATCATGGATCTCTGTTGGATGGGTATTCAGATGATCCTCCAAATCTTCCTTTTACAAATAAGAAAATGGTATAGTAAACATTAGATGAAGAAGCTCTTGTTAGAGATCCAAGCTACCCCTCCTCCTCCTCCATGACCTTCTCAATACAGTCCTTTGTGACCACCTACAAGCACCCCCAACCCTTTTCTACAGCTGCTTGTGCAAGACTTTCAGTAGAACTGTTAAATAGTTCCAGGATGCGGTTAAGACATCTGTCCACCTTGCCTAGCCGAGCAGACAAAAACATTTCCACGAAACAGTTGCAACACCTGCAACACTACTCAGTTTCCGCCACCCCAACCTAACCCCTTGCCCTATAAAACCCCACAGCAGCCTGTAAGCGGGGCTGCCTCCTCTGTTTACAGTGGAGCAGCCCAGCAGGTTAATAAAAACTTGCTTGCCTGACTTTGGGGTCCACTCGTTCCTTCTCTTGGCTAACCTTACATTTTGGTGCCGAAACCCAGGAAGGGGTAGGCTCTGGCTGGGTGTCCCTAGAGGACACTCTCTATCTCCCTTTCCCTCTCCCTTTTGCTCCCTCACTCCTCCCAGGCTCAGTTGTCGCAATGCACTGGAGCCTCGGTTCCCTTCCCTATCTCCCGGCCACCCTCCCCTTCCTGAACCTGTGGAAGACCCGGGGAATTTCTCGGACCCTCCCATTGTTGGCAACTTCATTCATCACTAGAGTCTACACAGAGGTGAGTAAGAGAGACTCTTGCCATTTACCCAGGACCCTTGACAATCTCTGTCTTCCTGAAAGACCCAGCGCTGGGCCAAGGGCTCCCTCTCATCTGTAGGCCTCCGGCATCTCCGTTTCAGGGATGCCAGACTCTGTGGTTGCCTTCCGTATACTAAACAAAACCCCTGGGACTGGGGACGCCCGCTCCTGCTGTCCTAGCCACCGGCAGTCTCTTCTTCCTCTGCCCCCACCTCCATCCGCTATGGAAGCCTCTCACTCTACTCTGTCTAAAAGTATTCCCCCCCCCGGGGTGCCTCTTGCACAACCTCAACACTCTCGGCCTCCATTCAGAGGTTTGTCCCAAGAGGCTTATTTTATACTGTAATACGACTTGGCCACAATGTAAATTAAACAATGGCTCCCAGTGGCCTGCAAATGGTCCTTTTGATTTCAATATACTCAGGTACTTAGACAATTTTTGCCATTGCAGTGGGAAATGGTCTGAAATTCCTTATGTTCAGGCTTTCTTCACCTTCTGTAACTGCCCTTCCCTTTGCCAATCCCACTCCACTTTCCAAATCCTCCTCGCTGGTTATAAACCCAACTTGCTCTCAGCAGACCCCACTTGTCTACCAACCAACGACTCCTCCTTTGACCCTGCAGACTTCCCCACTCCCCGGACTTATCCTGTTCCTCCTCCAGAACATCATGACCATGACCATAGGCTTCTGCCCCAGCATTTCCCCTCTTTCTCCTCTCTCTAACCACCCCGCTTCCGATTCTGAGCCCTCTCCGTCTCCAACCCTTACCTGCTCTCGGACCCAACATGCCCAACAACCAGCTCCCATGCTTCCCCTCTGGAAGTTTGCTAGGGCTGAAGGAATTGTCCGTGTCCATGTTCCTTTCTCTCTAACCCATCTTTCCCCAAATCGAAAAGCATCTCAGGCAGGTCCTTCTCCTCCGATCCCGATACTTATACCAAAGAGTTGAAACATCTCATGATCCTTATATAATTCCCTCTTCCACCCTCCTTCCAGAAGAAAAGGAAAGAGCGTGGCTCACGGCCCAGGCACACACTGATGACCTCCATAGGCAAGATGATACTAAGCCAGTAGGGTCCACGGCAGTATCCTGAGAAGAGCCCTCCTGGGAATACCAACCCACGGACCCTGGCCAAGCATCCCGTAACCATATGGTCACTTGCCTCACTGCGGGCCTTAACAAAGCTGCTCACAAAGCTGTAAATTAAAAAAAAAAAAAATTCAAAGAAATTTCCCAGAGGGCAGATAAAAATCCCACTACATTTCTCTCTCGCCTTACAGAGGATCTCAAAAATACATCTGCATTGATCCTGCTACCCCAGAAGGCACTATACTTCTTAATATCCATTTTATCTCCCAGTCAGCTCCCGACATCTGGCATAAACTTAAAAAAGCCAAAGAAGGCCCTCAAACCCCACAACAAGACCTTCTCAACCTGCCTTTCAAAGTCTTTGATGATAGGGATGAGCAGGAAAAAATAAATAAGGCCCAACAAGATCGTGCCAAATACCAGCTACCAGCCGCAGTTATTCACCAACCTGGCAATAGCACCCAAGGGCACAAAAGACCCAAGAGCAGTCTTCCTCCTGGGGCCTGTTTTAAGTTTGGCAAAGAAGGCCACTGGGCAAGGGCATGTCCTAACCCACAAGTACTGAAGAGCCCCTGCCCAGCCTGCCAACAGGCCACTGGAAATCTGACTGCCCTCTTTACAGGCAAACAAAAAAGCCTGGCTCCCCAAGCCGTTGTCCCCTCATCAAGCCAAAAAGTGAAGAATCACTCGCACTCCCACAGCTCCTCAGCCTGGCCGCTAAAGACTGATGGGGCCCAGGGCTCCCGACCTCCTCTGCCATCACTGCATTGGAGCCCAGGGTAACTCTACTAGTGACAGGTAAGCCAATCTCTTTTTTAATCAATAACGGAGCCACCTACTCTGCTTTACATAAATTTGCAGGACCAGATCATCCCTCTCAGGTCTCAGCTGTGGGAGTTGATGGACTTGTCTCCAATTTCTGTGCCACCGGACCACTGTCCTGTCCCCTGTTTAATACCATTTTCTCACACTCTTTCCTTATCATGCCTCGCTGCCCTACTCCCATTCTAGGCCGAGACCTCTTAACCAAATTTAAGGCTTCTATCACCTTTTCCTGCCTCCCTCAACCAAAGTCCCTCCTGCTCCTTTCCACTAGTCTGGCCCCTGACCCCTCTCCCCAGTACCCACTCCCTGCCTGTCTCATAGTATGGGGCACCACCACCCCGTCCCTAGCACCCACTCCCTGCCTGTCTCATAGTATGGGGCACCACCACCCCGTCCCTAGCTGCTTACCATTATCCCATAAAAATCCACTTAAAAGACCCCTCCAAATTTCCCAGCGTACCCCAGTACCCCATCTCTCTCACCCACCAAAAAGGCTTACAGCCCATTATAAACAAACTCTGCTCGTGCATTCTCCTTAGACCAACTCACTCTCCATATAACATCCCCATCTTCCTTGTTAAGAAATCAGACGGCTCGTACCAACTTGTCCAGGGGCCTCTGAGCCATCAATTAGGCTGTCCTCACTATTCATCCCATAGTCCCTAATCCCTACACACTTCTGTCTCTCATCCCCTCCAACACCACCCACTACACCACAGTTGGCTTAAAGGATGCCTTCTTTACCATTCCCCTACACCCTGACTCCCAAAACCTCTTTGCCTTCACCTGGACTAATCCTGACACTTTTCAATCACAACTCACATGGACCATCCTCCCTCAAGGCTTCAGGGACAGCCCTCACTTCTCTGGACAAGCTCTAGCCCAAGACCTCACCTCCTTAGACCAGTCCCCCAGCCATCTCCTTCGATACATAGATGATCTCCTTCTCTGGAGCCCCTCCCTAAAAGACTCTCAAACTCACACCATTACCCTTCTAAACTTTCTTGCTAGCAAAGGATATAGAGTCTCCCCCTCCAAAGTCCAACTATCCACCCCAACAGTAACATACTTAGGAGTCCAACTCTGCCCCAGGGTCTGAGCTATGACCCTGGCATGGGCAGCCTTAATAAAACAGCTTGCCTCCGCCTTCCTCAAAAAATAAAATTCTCTGTCTTAGGATTGGCAGGTTTCTTTAGGATATAAATTCCCAACTTTGCCCTCCTGGCTCACCCCCTCTATTAAGCAGCCAAAGGCTCCCTCAGTGAACCCCTAAGTCCCACACATAACATACTTCTCAGTGTCCATAAACTCCAAACCACTGTTGTCACTGCACCTGCCCTGTCCTTACCTGATATCTCCCAACCCTTCATTCTCTACACTGTCAAAAGCTGAGGAGTAAACCTTGGTATCTTAGGGCAACAGAAAGAGGATCCTCCTTCCTTTGCCCCTGTAGCTTATCTCTCTAAACAATTAGACCACACTTCAAAGGATGGCCAACCTGTCTTAGAGCATTAGCAGTGGCAGCCGTTTTAGCTCTGGAAAGCAAAAAACTAACACTTGGCCAAAGCACCACCATCCACTGCCCTCACAATTTACAGGATCTCCTCTCCTCCCAGGTGTTAAACTCCCTCTCTCCTTCCCGAGTTCAGTCACTCCATGCCCTCTTTATTGAAAATCCCAAATCCAGTGTTGCCAAAAGTGCTCCCCTCAACCCAACATCCTTACTCCCCATATCTTCTTCCCCTCTTACTCATTCTTGGACTGACATCCTGGACCTTGTACAGCCACATTTCCCAAATATTTCCTCTGAGCCTCTCACCAATCCCTATGAACAACTGTTCATAGATGGCTCCTCTTCCAGGCCCACTGGCTCCCCCAAAATTGCTGGATATGCAGTTGTTTTCCTTGACCAAGTAATTAAAGCCATACCCCTACCAAAACCCAGATTTACAGTCCTTAATAAGTCTCTCCAATTCCTATTCCAAAATGAAAAACCTCTCAACACAATAAGGCAAGCAGCTCTGTTAATGTGCCCCTATTTCCATATTGGTTCCACTCCTACCAACCATACTAAGCCCATCTTCCGTCCTACAGCCACCAACATCTTCTAAACTTCTCAAGCTCCTCTGTGCATCCAATGCCACTTCCCCTCAGGTCACCTCCTAAGACACCTACCTTCAAACCACTGCAACTTCACTGCAACTTCACAACTTCACTCTGCAACTCCAAGGCCCAGTTAATCATACTAATCTTTCCATTTTCTGGGTTACTATGAGCTTTTCTGGCCCCTGAAAATTAACACCACTGTACTACACAACATAAACTCAAGATACTGCAACAAAAGACACCTACCCTGCCTATCCCTTCAACCCTGGACTACATTCCCCTATAAGGCTCACCACCCCCAACCCCAAACGAATATCTCCTAATCCCCCTGTTAAACAGTAACCACAAACTCCTGGTAGACACAAAACGGTTTCTCCTCCACCAGGAAAATAACCAGGTTCAATCCAACCATCCCCCAATACCCTCTTCCAGCCACTCCTCACAGCTGCCTTAGCAAGCACCCTAGGAGCATGGATACATGAAGACCACAAGCTTAAACACCTTTTTAACATACACAACCAATTTTGTTTACCTAGCCAAGCCATATTCTTCCTGTGCGGTACCTCCGCCTACCTCTACCTCCCTACCAACTGGACTGGTACTTGTACTCTGGTTGTCCTAAGCCCAAAAATTAACATTGCCCCTGGAAACCAAAGCCTATGAATCCTTGTAAAAACTCAAGTGCGCCAATGCAGTGCCGTTCAGTTAATACTTCTCCTAGTAGGGCTAGAAATGACTACTGTGGTTGGAACCAGAGTGGCGGGGCTTTCTACTTCCCTCATGTACTATCACTGTCTCTCACAAGATCTTACAGGCAGTTAAAAAGACATAGCTAACACTGTTTCAACCCTCCAATCACAGGTAGACTCCTTAGCCGCAGTTGTCCTTCAAAATCACAGAGGTCTTAATTTGCTCACTGCTGAAAAAGGAAGGCTGTGCATCTTTTTAGATAAACAGTGCTGCTTTTATCTCAATCAATCAGGCCTAGTACAAGATGCAGTCAAAAAATGAAAAAACCAAACCCCACCCCCCCACCAAAAAAAAAAAAAACACATCCTCTACCTGGTCCCTCTGGCCTTCATGGTCCCTTAGCTTTTGGGCTCCCTGGCTACTACCCCTCCTTCGCCCAGCTATAAGCATGCTTCTTCTCTTAGCTTTTGGACCCTGCTTCATACGTCTCCTTACCCAGTTTTTACAGGACCACATCAAAGCCTTCACCCATAGGACAGTTCAAGATATGCTGCTTCTTCAAGAATACTGATGGCTTCAAAAACAACCATCCGAAACCCCCAGCCTTTCCTCTTCTACGCCGCCCTTCCACAGCTACAAGCAGTCAGATGATAACGTTGCCCTCTTCCTTTATGACCTATTAAAGGCCGGAATGTTAGAGATCCAAGCTACCCCTCCTCCTCCTCCAGGAACTTCACAATACAGTCCTTTGTGACCACCTACAAACACCTCCCCAACTTTTCTACAGCCGCTTGTGCAAGACTTTCAGTAGAACTAGTAAACAGTTCTAGGATACAGTTAAGACATCTGCCCACCTTGCTTAGCCGAACGGGCAAAAACATTTCCAGGAAATGGTTGAAACACCTGCTACCCTACTCAGTTTCCCCTACCCCAGCCTAGCCCCTTGCCCTATAAAACCCCACAGCAGTCTGTAAATGAGGCTGCCTCCTCTGGAGCAGCCCAGCAGGTTAATAAAAACTTGCTTGCCTGAGTTTGGGGTCTACTCGTTCCTTCTCTCGGCTAACCTTATAGCTCTCATCTCAACCAATTCTAAGAATTATGCCCTTATATACTAGTGTGTGTGTACCACCATTTACATTTTTTGATTCTGGAATAACAGACTGTAAATAAAAACTATTCGGCCGGGCGCGGTGGCTCACGCCTGTAATCACAGCACTTTGGGAGGCCGAGGCGGGTGGATCATGAGGTCAGGAGATCGAGACCATCTTGGCTAACAAGGTGAAACCCCGTCTCTACTAAAAATACAAAAAATTAGCCGGGCGCGGTGGCGGGCGCCTGTAGTCCCAGCTACTCGGGAGGCTGAGGCAGGAGAATGGCGTGAACCCGGGAAGCGGAGCTTGCAGTGAGCCGAGATTGCGCCACTGCAGTCCGCAGTCCGGCCTGGGCGACAGAGCGAGACTCCGTCTCAAAAAAAAAAAAAAAAAAAAAAACAAAAAAAAAACACAACTATTCATAACTAGTTAAGAACTTGGGTTAATGATGCATGTTTCTGAAATAATTCTGCCAGAGTCAGTCTTATTTCGTCTATGGCACAGATTTCTCTTTAAAAATGGCTTGAGAAGAATTGCTAGCTCTATTTCTAGCTCGAAATTATACACCCCATAACCTGCCATGACAACCGAGGGTGACATGATTTTTGCCTACATTCATTTACCAGATCTGGACACATGGCTTTATAAAAGAGCTGGAAATTATAGGAGTGAAAATAAAATTGTCCGTATACTTTGTCATTCTATCACAAAAAATCATAAGATATTACCACTTAATACATTTCAAATACAAAAACATAATAAATCATGTTAATTGAAATGAAAATTTCTTTAAATATGGGTCTTGGAGGACAATTTTTAAATGGTAGAGTAAAGATATTTGAAAATGCACTCCTCCATAAAAGTGATGAGAATGCTGGGAGAAAAAAAATCAAAATTAATATTTTCAGAATCTGAAAACAAAAGCTTTCAATTACTCAAAGTGTTTACTCAAGAAAAATCATTGAATCTAGGTAAGAACAGAAGATTCATGACCCTTTAACTTTCCCTAATCCCATCATGCTGTCCCAGATTCACAGTACTCTTGAAAACTAACAACCTCATAATTCCAACAGCTGTGAAATCCAGCTAACCAACAACCACTGGAAGAAACAACATATTTAGATATCCAAAAACACCCAAACTCCAGTGGATTCTCATTACTTGACCTGTCAGGCAACTCCCTGAAAAGCTTCATTCTCTGGGCAGTTGTATAGTTGATATAGCACAGAGCTTCCTCTGTGCAAATAGCCATATCCTTAGAGCATTTATTTCAAAACAAACGATGGCAATTATTTAACAGCATAGCTGCCTGAAGTGGTGATAACCATTGGGGCCAATAAAAATCTGGCCAAAAATCTTAAAAGGAAAAAATGAGAAATGAGTTTTTCATGGGGCACTTTGAAAACCACTCACATGTTGCTGGTATTTTGCAAAGCCACATGCCTCTACAGAGTCATGTGCATACTCAGGACTTTGCACATATCCAGAAAAGACCTGTGAAGGCCATGATCTCTGACCTCTGGAAGCCTTAAGACGGTAGGTAAATAGGAAGTAAAAACTAAGATGTAGTTAAAAACTACTTTTCAGAGTATTAAAAACATGCTTTCTCTCTCTCTCTTTCTCTCTCTCTCTCTCTCTCTCACACACACACACACACAGAGACACACACACAAACACACACACAGAGCCCATTCGCAAAGGCTAAAAGACTTACTGGTGTGAGTAACTTAAGAGAATATATTAGATGACTACTAAGTGAACCAAGCAGAGACTTTAGTGGCTGCAGAATTCCTCCAGGATAATCCCTAAATGAACAAATAGCAACGATGAAAACTGCAACAAACAGTAACAGGAAATACTGAAGATTGGGGGAGGTAGGGTGCTTTCTAAAGTTCACACGTTTAAATTGTCAACTAAATATACAGAGACAAAACAACAAAGCCTGGAGAGGGGAGAAAATCTGATTCCTGGAATGACTATATTTTATTATTTACAATATTGTTTAAACAATAATAAAATAAATGCAAAGAGACGGCATACTTCATACACACAAGGCAAAAATACAGTCAATAGAAACTGTTCCTGATGAACCCTAGAATATCGGTAAGTATATACTTTTTAAATGAATTAAATAGAAATTTTAGAGTTGAAAATAAAACACTGAAATGAAAAGCTCACTAGAGTGTTTCAAAAGCAAATTTGAACATATAGACTAAATACTTATACTGAGATTACCCAACCTATGAAACAGACTAGAATAAAGAATGAATAAGACCTCACAGACTTGTACAGCATCATCAAGTATATCAGAATATTTATTACAGGATTCCCAGAAGAAAAGAGAGAGAAAGAAGCAGAAAGAAGACTTAGAAAATAAATGACTCAAAGTTTCCAAATGTAAAGAAAACTATTTTGCATACCCCAAAATTCTAATGAGCTCCAGGTAAGATAAACTCAAAGAAAGCTATACTGACATTTATAGCCAATTTGGTAACATATAAAAACAAAAAGACAACCGTCAAGATAAAATCTACTTATTACATCAACAAGATTAGCAGCTTACTTCTCAAGAGTCAAAAGGGAAAAAGAAAACTGTCCAGAATTCTACATACAGCAAAATTATATTTTAATGACTAAAGAGAGTTTAAAAAAAATTACCAGACCAAAACTAATAAAAGGTATTGCTAATAGACTTGACTTAAAAAGACAGTTTTAAAAAGTCCTTATGACTGAAATAAAAGGACACTGGAAAGTAATTCAAATCCACACTACGAAGTTAAAAGCAATAATACAAGAAACTACATAGGTAACTATAAAAGGTTTAGAATGTAGCATAAATATATTTTTATCGTGATAAAATACACATACAATTCATCATTTTAATCATTTTAAATATATAATTGAGTGGTATTTGGTACATTTGCAGTATTGTCCAATTTTGTACTATATAGTTCCAGAACATTTCATATATCAAAATAAATTCTGCATTCATTATGTTTTTTGTCCTTATCTTCTCTTTCCTCAGCTCCTGAGAAAGAAAACTCAGTTTTCTGTTCTAAAATTTGCCTATTCTGGATATTTCATAGGAATGGTATCATACAATATGTGACATTTTGTGTCTAGTTTCTTGAACTTGGCATGATATTTAAGACTCATCCATGTAGCATGTACCTATGCTACATTCCTTTTTGTGGCTGAATAATGTCTATTTTTATCTGTAATATTTTTCTTGCCCAATTTTACTAAAAAAGTAATAATTATAAATCATTGTTGATAAACTTATATTATATAAAGATGTAATTTGTGTGACGATAATTGAAGTTCCAAGAAGAGAAATAAATTGAGCTATATTTGAACAATTTTTTTGTATATTACTTAAGCTGTATAGGTAGTAAGGTGAATGATATTGTGTTAAATAATTTGTAATCCACATGACAACAACAACAAAAAATCAGTAAAATATATTACAGCAAGCTAAAAAAGAATTAAAATTGTACACATCAATCTGTCTTTATTCTTATTAGTATTTACATCAAGTATCATTAGATTAAAAACTACAGCGGAAAGTAAACATTGGCAGAAAGGTTAAAAAACACAATCTAATCACAGTGCTATCTATAAGAGACAAACTTTAGGTTCAAAGTTACAAGTAAGTTAAAAATAAAAGGATTTAGGAAGATATACCACATAAACACTACCTGAGACAGCTGAAGATGCTATAAATACATCTGAAAAAATAGACATTAACACAAAATTGCTGTTAGAATCAAACATTTTACAGTGATAAAATGATTTATTTAACAGAAAGACATAATTATAAGCATAGTTACAACTAACACCACAGCCTCAAAATATATAAAGCAAAACCTGAAAAAAAATGAAAAAAAAGAGACAAATAAAAAATAATAGTATGAGACTTTGTTCCTCCATCTAAAAAAAATGGATACATGTCAGTAGATCAAGGTAGAAATGGAAGGTGTTAACAATACCATAAATCCTCTAGACCTAATATCAATAGAATACTGTAAAGTAAAACAATAGAACACACATTCTTCTCTATAGAAAGTTAAGCATTTATCCAGGATAAATCATATTTTGAGATACAAAATAAGACATAATAAATGTGAAAGTACTAAAATCATTCAAGTTATGTTTTCTGACCACAACACATTGAAATTAGAAATCACTAACACAAAAATTTTTTAAAGTCATAAAATGTGGAAACTAAACCACATTTTCTTAAATAATGAATGACTAAAGAAAAAATCACAAGGAAATTAGAAAAAATAACATTGAGATGGATGAAAATGTAAATGCAGTGTATCAAAACTTATGAATACAGCAAATGCAGTGATGGAATAAATATATACCTACAAATACCTGTATTAAAACAAGATAAATGATCATAAATAATAACATACCATTTTAATAAATTACAAAAATAAGGAAACAACTATACTCAAAGTAAACACAAGGAAGGACACTGTAGAGCCTATAAAACATAATAATACTAATAATAAATAAAGAGAACACCAAGAGAGAAAATGTAGTAAAACCAAAGTTGAGTTCTTTTAAGGATCAATAAGATTGGTAAACTTTTAGCTATATTGATGAGATAGAGATTTGAAGATATAATTATTAAAATCAGAAATGAAGAAAAGACATCATTAGTGACATTGCAGAAATGAAAAGGATTAATTATAAGAGGATACTAGGAAAAATTGTTTGTATGTCATCACATTAGATAACGTAGAAGAAATGGAAAAAATCGTAGAGATATATAAACTACCAAAACTGTCTCAGAAGAAGGAATAGAAGGTTTTTGTAAACCTATAACAAATCCAGTATCAGTGAAAATAACCTCACAAAGAAAAGCATGATCATAGATGACTTTACTTGTGAATTGTACCAAATGACTATAGAAAAATTAACACTAATTACCAATAACTTATTCGAAACACTTCCAAAATATTCTGAGGCAGGTGTTACCTTGATATCCAAAATAATGAGGACATTACCAGAAATAAAAACAACAAACTGTTGTCCCTTATTGACACAGATACATAAATTCCCCCCTCAAAAAATACCTTCAAACAAAAGCCAGCAACATGTAAAAATGATTTGTATACCAGAACCAGTGGGAATTATTACAGAAATATAGGACTGATATAACTTGTCAAAATTGATCAATATAATGTCATATTAAGTGAATTAAATAATTACAAATAAAAATTAATTTAGTTTCAATTAATTACTGGATATGAAGCATGTTATTCCAATACATCCTTAAAAAGCCTTTGACAAAATTCAACATCTTTTTTTTTTTTTTTTTTTTTTTTTGAGATGGAGTTTCGCTGTGTCACCCAGACTGGAGTGCAGTGGCACGATCTCATCTCACTGCAACCCCCGCCTCCTGGGTTGAAGCGATTCTCCTGCCTCAGCCTCCCAAGTAGCTGGGATTACAGTCGTGTGCCACCACACCTGGCGAATTTTTATAGTTTTAGTAGAGAGAGGGTTTTACCATGTTGGCCAGGCTGGTCTCAAACTCCTGACCTCAGGTGATCCACCCACCTCGGCCTCCCAAAGTGCTGGGATTACAGGCATGAGCCATGGCACCCAGCCAAAATTCAACATTTTTCATAATATAAAGTACTCAAGAAACTAGGAATATGACAAAACTTTCTTAACCTGACAAAGGTCATCTACAAAAATGTTCACAGTTTATATTCTACTAATGGTGAAAGACTTGATGTTTCCTCCATGACATAAGGAACAAGACTAAGAGATTTACTGTTGCCACTTCTATTGAATATTATACTGAAGATGCTAGCAAGTGCAACTTGTCTAGATAACTCCATGGATAAATAAATTTTAACAAATGGTGCTAGATCAACTGGATTTCAACATCCAAAAGAATGAAAATTAAACTCTATCTTATGCAATGTACAAAAACTTAACTGGAAGTGTGTCACACAGATAAATGTAAGAGCTAAAACTATAAATTCTTAGAAAAATACCTGAGTAATCATAATTTTGAATTAGATTTTCAAAAATATGATATCTAGTGCACACATGACAAAAATAAAAGGCAGATTAGACTTTATCAAAATTAAAAACTCTTGGAGTTTAAAAGTACAGCAAAATGGCAGAATAGAAGCCTCCACTAATCACCCCCTCTGGCAAGGACACCAATTTAACAACTATCTACACAAGCAAAGCACCTTCAAAATCAAGTGAAGACTCAGTACCTGGTTTTAACTTCATATCACTGAAGTAGGCACTGAAGAGGAAGTCAAAAAGGTCTTAAATTACGCATGCCACCGGTCCTTCTCCCCCGTTAACAGTGTTGTGGTGTGGAGTGTTTCTGTGCACTGGGAGAGGGAAAGCACAGCTATTGCGAGGCATTGAATTTAGTGCTATTCTGTTGGAGCAGAAAGGAAAACCAGACCAAACTCTGATGCCTGTGCCCACAGGGAGCATTTAAATCAGTCCTAGGCAGAGGGGAATCACTGAACCTAGAGATAAGAACTTAAGTTTTTACAAACCTCACCTCTGTAGGCTTAAATGCTGTGTGTCTCTAAGTAAAGTTGAAAAGCAATCTAGGCCACAAGGACTGTGACTCTCAGGCAAGTCCTAATGCTGAATTGTGGCCCAGATACAATAGACTTGGGGGACACATAATCTACTGGGAAACCAGCTGGGATGGCTAAGGGAGCACTGGCATCACCACTACCTCAACCCCAGGCTGTACAATTCGTGGCTCCAAAAGAGATCCCTTTCTTCCACTTGAGTAGAAGAGAGGAAAGAGTAGGGAGAATATTGTCTTGCATCTTGCATACCAGTTCAGCCGCAGCAGGACAGGACACCAGTCAGAATTGTGAGGCCCCCATTCCAGGCCCTACCTCCTAGCTCCAGGGAGACATTTCTAGACATATCTTAGGGAAGAAGGGAACCCACTGCCTTGAAGGGAAGGACCCAGTCCTGGCAACATTCATCACCTGCTATCTGAAGAATCTTGGACCCTGAATAAGCAGCAGCGATACCCAGGTAATACAGCAAGGGCCTTGGATGGGCTTCTGAGACTTGCTGACCTCAGGTACCAGCTTGGCCACAGGGGAATAGAATACCAAGTCATGTCTTGGGGTACCTGATTCCAGGACTTGACCCTTGGCCCTGGCCAGAGGAGAGTCCACTTCCCTGAAGGGTGAATCCTAGGCCAGACATTACTCACCACAGACTGATTTAACAGCCCTTGGGCCTTGAGGGAACATTGACAGTAGTCTGGCAGTATTCCCCATGGGCCTCTGGTGATGGTGGCCACAGGATAAGACTGCTCTGCTTTTGCCAAGGGGTGGAGGAATAATGGGAAGGACTGTGTCTTTGGTTTGAGTGCCACCCTAGCAGCAAGACAGTAGAATACTAAATAGACTTCTAAGGTTTTTGACCCTAGTCCCTGATTTCCAGACAGCGCTTCTGGATCCACTCAGAGCCTGAGGGAATTTGCTGTCCTGAAAGGAAGAACCTAGACCTGGCAGCATTCATCTCATGCTAACGGAAGAACCTTGGGCCCTGAATAACAAACAGTGATACCGAGGTATTACGTCAGGGCCCTTGGGTGAGCCTCTGAAACTTGCTGGCTTTAGATACCAGCACAGCCACAGTGGGGTAGATAATCAAGAGGGCTCTTGGCATTTTTGATTCAAGAGGTTGACTTCTGGATGGCATTTCTGGACCTACCCTGGGCTATAAAGAAGCCCACTGCCCTGAAGTGTGAGTCCCAGGCCAGGCAGCATTCACCACCAGCTGACTTAAGAGCCCTTGGGCCTTAAGGAAACACCGGCATTAATCTGTCAGTAGTCTGCATGGCCTGTGTTGATGGCGGCTATGGGGTGAGGCTCCTCTGCCTTTGGAAAGGGAAGGTAAGAGGGGGAAAGACTACGTTTTGTGGTTTGAGTGTCAGCTCAGCCATAGTATAAAAGAATACCAGGTGTTTTCCTCTAGTCTCTGACTCCAAGAGAATACTTCTGGAGCCACTTAAGGCCTGGGAGACTTCACCACATGAAGAGAAAAACACAGGCCTGGCTGTCTGTGCCACCTGTTGATTGTAGAGCTCCTGGGCCTTGAGTGAACATAGGCAGTATCCAGAGAGTGGTTACAGTAGTACTTGGGTGAGTCCTAGTGATGTGCTGGCTTTAGTTTTGACCCAGAACAGTCATAGTAATGGTGGCCATAGGGGTTCTTGTGTTACTTCACTCCCATCTTTAGGTGGATAAAGAACTGAAAGAGAGGCTCCATTTCTTTAGGAAAAAGTAAGGAAAGAGAAAAGAGTCTCTGCCTGGTAATCTAGAGAATTCTACAGAACTTGTCCAAGACCATCTAGGTTGCCCCTCTAAGACACTGCAAGAACCTCAGTGTTACTGGGCTTGGGGCATACCCTAAAGCAGATACAGCTTATATCACAACACCAAAACCCTTTGGAATATCCAGAAAGCCTTCCTGAGAAAGACAGAAAAAACAAGCCCAGACTATTAACACTACAATAAATACCCAACTCTTCAGTGCCCAGACACAGACAGACATCTACAAGTGTCAAGAGATAATCCAGGAAAACATGACCTTACCAAACGAAATAAATACGACACTAGGGACCAATCCTGGAAAAAGAGAGATTCATGACATTTTGGACAGTATATTCGAAATAGCTGTTTTGAGAAAACTCAGGGAAATTCAAGATAACACAGGGAAGGAATTCAGAATTCTATCAGATCAATTTATCAAATAAATTGAAATAATGACAAAGAACTCAGGAGCTGAAAAATGCAGTTGGCATACTGAGGAATATATCAGAATTTTTAAATAGCAGAATAGATCAAGGAAAAGAAAAAGTAAGTGATCTTGAAGACAGACTACTTGAAAATACATGGTCAGAGGAGTTAAAAGAAAAAAGAATGGAAGGCAATGAAACACACTTATAGGATCCAGAAAATAGCCTCAAAAAGGCAAATCTAAAAGTTATTAGCCTTGAAGAAGTGGTGGAAGGAGAGGTGAGGATAGAAAGTTTATTCAAAGGGATAATAACAGAGACATTCCCAAACCTAGAGGAAGATATAAATATCCAAGTACAAGAAGATTATAGAACATAAAATATTTGATATGGTCTGGCTCTGTGTCCCCACCCAAATCTCATCTTGAATTATAATCTAAATCATAATCCCCATGTATTGGGGGAGGGACCTCATGGGAGATGATTAGATCATGGTGGTGGTTCCCCCATGCTGCTCTCATGATAGTGAGTGAGTTCTCACAAGATCTGATGGCTTTATAAGGGGCTTTTACCCTCTTCACTCTGCACTTCTCTCTCCTGCTGCCATGTGAGAAGGACATGTTTGCTTCCCCTTACACCATGACTGTTAAGTTTCCTTAGACCTCCCTAACCATGTGGAACCATCAGTCAATTAAATCTCTTTCCTTTATAAATGACTCAGTCTTGGGTACTTCTTCATAGCAGCGTGAGAACAGACTGATGTAATGTTTAACCCAAAGAAGCCTACTTCAAGGCATTTAATAATCATACTCCCAAGAGTAAAGGTAAATAAAGGATCCTAAAATCAGCAAGATAAAATAAACAACATACAATGGAGCTTCAATACATCTGACAGCAGACTTTTAGTGGAAACCTGTCTACCCAGACCCAAAGCCAAAGCATTATTCCCAACCAACTGACAGTCTAGAACCGAGCTACAAGAAAATTCCTCTTTATGCAAAAGCTACTTTATTAAATTGGTAAAAGCAACTGGGTCACTAGACACAAATATATCAATTAAGGGCCAAAGAAACATGAGGAAAGCAAGGAAACATGACATCACCAAAGAAATACAAAAGTCTCCAGGAATAGATGAATTCCAAAGAAGATATTGATGAAATGCATGAAAAGGAATTAAAAATAACAATAGTAAGAATATCAGTGAGATACAAGAAAATACAGAAAAATATTTCAATGAAATCAAGTAAACAGCTTATTATCTGATTGATAAATTTAACAGAGGTGGATATAATAAAAAAGAACCAAAAAAGACATCTAGAACTGAGAAATTCCACAAATAAAAAAATACAATTGAGATCTTCAACAATAGACTTGATCAAACAGAAGAAAAATGTCTTAACTTGATTGCAGGTTGTTTGAAATAATCCAATGATCTAAGCTGCTACAGCAGAGCACTATTTTGAAACCAGACAGTTTCAAGAGGAAGGAGAAAGAAACAATAATACAAAAGAATGGAGATAGCCAGCAGAATTATGGGACACCATTAAATAAGCAAATAATATTTCCGAAGTGACAGAGGGAGAAGAAATGGGGAAAGGTACAGAAAACTTATTTAACAGCATGATAGCTGAAAACTTCCTAGTCTTGGGAGAGATATGGACATCCAGACTCAAGAAGTTCAAAGGTTCTGAATGACATATAACCACCCCAAGTTTTCTCCAAGGCACATTATAATCAAACTGTCAAAATTCAAAGACAAAGAGACAATTCTAAAAGCTGCAGTGGATAATTGTCAAGTCATGTATAAGGGAATTTCCATTAGATCAGCAGCAGATTTCTCAGCAGCAACCTTGCAGGACAAGAGAGAATGTGATGATATATTTGAAGTGCTGAAAGAAAATAACTGTCAACCAAGAATACTATTACCAATAATGCTGTACTTCAGAGAGGAAAGAAAAATAAGTATTTCCCAGACAAGCAGAAACTGAGAAAATTTATCACCTGTAGACTGACCTTACAAGCAGTGCTTAAGAGAGTGTGGCAAATGGAAACAAAATGATACTGATTCCTAAAACATGGGAAAGCACAAAATTCACCAATGTAAGTAAACTTATTAATTTAACATTACTTCACTGCTGTTATGGTGCTATGTAAATCTTTGAATGCTCTAGTATAATAAAGTCAAAAAGGTAAAAAAAAATCAACAGCCCCAATTCATAGCTAAAAAAAAATACATAAAATATATAGATGCAAATTAAGGCAACCAATGTACCATTTTGGGAGAGAGGGAAAAAGCCTAGAATATTCTTACATAAACAAAGTTAAGTAGGTATCAGGTTAAAATAGTCTATTATAACTACTAGGCCCTACATTAACCTCATGATAATTAAAAAAAGAAAGAAATTATATCAGATACATAATGAATAAAGAGAAAGGAAGCAAACCTTAGCAGGACAGAAATCCATCCAATCACAGAGGTAAACGACCAGAGATAAAGAATGGAACAAATGATCTACAAAACAATCAGAAAACAATGAACAAAATAGCAGGAATAATTCCTCACCTATCAATAATAACTTTGAATGTAAATGTATTAAATTATCCAATTAAAAGAAACAGCATGGCTAAAATGGATTAAAAAAACAACAACACTCATATAGTTGTAAGCAACTCTCTGTTGCCTAAAAGATACTTGATTTCACTATTGAAGACAAACATTGAAAGTTAAGAAATGGACAAAGTTATTTCATGCAAATGTGAGCAGGAACAGTCATACTTAGATAAAATAAGCTTTATGTCAAAAACTGTGAAAAGTGACAAAGCAGGAAATTATATGATGATAAAGGGATTAATTCAATAAGAGAATATAAGAATGATAAATATGTATTATCGCAACACAAGATCACCCAAATATATAAAGCAAATATTATTAGATATAAAGGAAGATACAGACAGCAATACAACAATAGGAGGGGAATTCAACTCCTCAGTTACAACTACAGCCAGATCATCTAGACAGTAAGTCAACAAAGAAGGATTAAACTTAAATATCACAGACCAAATAGATCTAAGAGACAGTTAGACACTGTTACATCCAACTGCTGCAGAATGTACATTCTTCTCATCCATACATGGAGCATTATCCAGGATAGATAATATATTATGCCACAAAAGATATCTTAGCATATTTAAGAAGAGTGATATTATAGGAAGTATCTTTTCAGAATTCAATAATTTAAAATAGAAATCAAAAAGAAAAACAAAATTTTTAGAAATATGTGAAAACGAAACAGCATGCTCCCAAATAATAGACCACTGAATAAATTAAAACAAATATTAAAATATTGCCTGAAACAAATAAGAATGTAAACATATCAAATGAAAATCTATGGTACAAACAAAACCAAATGTAAGTGGGAAGTTCATAGCAATAAACAGCTATATCAAAAGAGAAGAATAATTTCTAATAACCAAACTGTACCTCTCAAGGAGCTAGTGAAACAAGAACTAAATCCAAAATTGGTAGAAGGAAGAACAAAAATAAAGCTCAGAGCTGAAAAATCTGAAATAAAAACTGTAGAAAGTAAACAAACAAATGAAACAAAAAAGCATAAAATCAAAAATAGCAGCAAAATTAAGAGATAATTTCTTAAAAGAGTAAATAAAATAAATCTTTGCCAAGATTAAGAATTAAAGAGAAATGAGTGAAATAAAATCACGAGTGAAAATGGAGACAGTACATGTGATATCACAGAGATACAAAGATCCTGGGAATATGATGAACAACTATAAACTGACAAATTTGAGAACATAGAAGAAAAAAAAGAAAAAAAGAAAACTATGGACCAATATCCCCAATTAACATAGATGCAAAAATACTCAACAAGATACTAGCAAACTGAATTCAACAGCACATTAAAAAGGTCATTCGCTGTGATTCCTGGGGACTCAAAGATGGTTCAGCATATGTAAATAAATAAATATGATATGTTACTTTAACAAAAAGGAAGATAAAAACCATATCATCATTTGAATATACTCAGAAAAAAAGCATTTCACAAAATTCAAAGTTCCTTCATGCTAAAAATTCTCAACAAATTAGATATAGATATGTAACTCAATAAAATAAAGACCACATAAAAACATACCTAATATTATACTCGATGGGAAAAATGCTGAAAGCTATTTCTGCAAGATTAAGAACAAGACAATGATGCCCACTTTCACCACTCTTATTCAACATAATACTACCCACAGCATTTAGGCAAGAAAAAGAAATAAAGGGCGTCCAAATTTGAAAAGCAAAAGGCACTTTGTCCCCCTTCAAAGATTACATGATCTTATATATGGCAAAAACATAAAGACGCTACCCAAAACTTTGAGAACTGAGAACTGATAAGCAAATTCAGTAAAGTTAAAAGATACAAAATCAACATACAAAAATTAGTAGCATTTCTATACATGGATCGCAAACTAGCTGAAAAAAAAATCAAGAAAACAATTCCATTTAAAATAGCTACAAAAAAGATACCTAGTAATAAAGTTGTCCAAAAAGGTAAAAGTTCTCTACACTAAAAACTACAAAACATTGTTAAAAATATGGAAGGAGACACAAGCAAATAAAACGTATCCTGTGTTTATGACTTGGAAGAATCAATATTGTTAAAATGACCATACTACTCAAAGTGATCTACAGATTCAATGCAATCTTGGTCAAAGTGCCAATGATGTTCTTTGCAGAAATAGAAAAAAGTCCTAAAATTTATATAGAACCACAAAAGACCCCAAATAGCCAAACCAATACTAAGCACACAGAACAAATTTGAGGCATCACACTACCTAACTTCAAAAGAGACTACAAAGGTATAGTAACCTGAACAGCATGATATAGGCATAAAAACAGACACATTGATCAATGGAACAAAATAGAAAGCCTAGAAAAACATTAATTCATCAACTCCCACTTCTTTTAAACAAAGGTGCTAAGAACACATACTAGGGAAAAGGCGGTTTCTTCAATTAATAGTTCTTGGGGAATTGGATATTTATATGTAGAACATTGACACTAGTCTCCTACATCTCACTGTACAAAAAAGTGAATACAAAATGGATTGAAGACTTAAACTTAAAACCCAAAACTCTGAAACTACTGAAAGAATCCATAGGGTAAACACTTTACAAGATTAGCCTGGGCAAGAATTTTTCCAGTTAAGGCTTTAATAGCACAGACAACAAAAACAGGCAGATGAGATTACCTCAACTAAAAGCTTTTGCATGGCAAAGGAAACAATTAACAAAATAAAAAAGACAACCTAAAATTTGGGTGAAAATACTTGCAAACTATACCCCTGACAGAGGGTTGATATCCAGAATATATAAGAAATTTAAATAACTTAATAGTAAAAAATACTTCAACTTATACACGAACAAAAGACCTTGGTAGATATTTCTTAAAAGAAGACATACGAATATCAAACAGGTACATGAAGAAATGCTCAGCATCACTAATCATCAGGGAAATTCAAATGAACACCACAATGAGACACCACCTCACTTCAGTTAGAATGACGATCACCAAAAGGACAAAAGAATACAGGTGTTGGTGAGGATGTGGAGTAAAGGGAACCCTTACACACTCTTGATAAGCCACTTTGACAAACAGTATGGTGGTTCCTCAAAATATTAAAAATAGAACTGCCATATGATTCAGCAATACCACTTACTGGGTATGTGTCAAAAGGAAAGGAAATCAGTATGTCTAAGAGATATCTGCATTCCCATGTTTAATGCAACACTATTTACAATAGTCAATATATGGAACAACCTAAGTGTCTAACAACTGTTGAATGGATGAAGAAAATGTAGTATATATACACAATGGATTACTATTCAGCCACTGAAAGAATGAAATCCTGTCACTTGAGACAAGAGGGATGAACCTGGAGGACATCATGTTAAGTGAAATAAATTCGACACAGGAAGACAAATGCCATATGGTCTCATATGTGGAATCTAAAAAAAAAAAAAAGAGTTGATAAAATACAGCACATCAGTGGTTAACGGAGACTGGAGGTAAAAAGCAGGAGGGGAAGTTGGTGAAAGATTAGTCAATGGATACAAAGTTACAATTAAATAGGAGTAATAAGTTCTGTTGCATGGTAAGGATAAAAATGCTTCAAAGTAATAATAGTGTATGTTACAAAATAGCTAGGAGAGAGAGGTTTGAAAATTCTCATCACATACAGTTGAAAAATACATGAGGGGATGGATATGCTAAATACTATGATTTTATTATGCTACAACATATATATGTATCAAAACACCAAATTGTACCTGTGTATATGTATAATTATAATGTCTTAAATATAATAAATATCATACATAATAAAATATATTATTACATTATATGTCAATGTATAATATAATTTATATAATTACATAAGCATAATAAATTGCATATAAAATGATGTATTATATAATAATATATTACATTATAGTATCAATAAAATATAATTATGAATGGTATAATATCTACAGTATAACAAGATCAAAGAAAGTGAAAAGACAACTCATGGAATAAGGGGAACTATTTCAAAATTATGTATATAAGAATTCTGAATCCAGAGTGTATTTAAAATCTCTTATAGCTTAAAAGACAAAGAACCTCATTTACACAAATAGGCAAAGTATTTTATCACTTTCCTTAAATACACAAATGAACAATAAACACATGGAAAGACCTCAGCATTAGTGGTTAGAAAAATGTGAATGAAAACTACAATGAGACAGAGCTTCACACCAGCTAGGATATACAGAATAAAAAAAGATAATGTAAGATAATGTGCATTGGCAACAACTTGAGAAATCAGACCCTCCTGCAGTGCTGATGGGAATATAAAATAATGCAACTGCTTTGAAAAACAATTTTGTGTTTCCTCCAAAAGTTAAACATGGTACTATATAATGTAACAATTCTATTCCTAGGCGCATACCCAAAAGAACTGAAAACTTACATCCACAAAAATTGCACACAAATGTTGATAGCAGGGTTAGTAACAGAAGCCAAAACTAGAAATATCACAAATATATATCAACTGTTGAATGGATTAGAAAAATGTGGTACATCCATGCAACACAATATGATTCAGCTATAAAATGGAATAAAGTTGTGATTCATTCTACAACATGAATAAATCTTGAAAACTATGCTAAATGAAAGAAGCCAGACAAAAAGGCCACATATTTTTTTAATCTATTTATGTAACATGTTAAAATAGTCAAGTTATATAGACCAAAAATATGTTTGTGCTTGCCAGGGACTGTGGACAAGAAAGGATGTGCAGTGATTGCTGATGGGTATGCGATTTCTCTATGGGGTGATGAAAATATTCTTGAATTAATGATTATAGTCACACACCACTGTAAATATACTAAAAAAGACAAACAGTTCATTTTAAAAGGTTGAATTTTTGGTATGTGAATTATATCTCAACCATGCTTTTATAAAACAAAACTAGAACTCAGGATTGGAAATGTCTCTATAGACAGAAATCTGAACTGAAATTTAAAACTGGATTTTCCAAAAACAAAGTAGTAATTCACAACTTAATTTTAGGGGCTGTGCTTAACAAAACCTTAAGATGTGACAAAATGTTCTCTGTATATAACACTAAATATGGATATCTTAGATTGTTTGTGCAGCTGAAACAAAATACCTTAAACTGGGTAATTTATAAAGAATAGAAATGTATTTCTTACGGTCCTGGAGCCTCAGAAGTCCAAGATCAAGGTGCCACCATTGGCATCTGGTGAGGACTGCTCTCTACTTCCAAGATAATGCCTTGTAACTGTGTCCTCACATGGTGAAATGTCACTTTCTTAATACTGCTGAATTGTGGATTAAGTTTCAACGTGAGTTTTGGAGGAAACACTGTCTCTCAAACCATAACAATGGACAGTTTCAGATCACTGTAGGCAGAGCAACAGTGTGCTCCTGAAACTGACAGAAATACAGTTCTTTCTGTGTTTCACCATCAGGGAGAGTTATACTTTTGCAATAATTTGCTGTATTTCTATGATGTATGATTTAACTAAAAACATTGATTAGAAACTATAAGATGAAATAATTGGCTTTTGGTAGGCAACATATTCATAGAGAGCAGAAGAACAAGAGAATTGAAATAATTCTAGCTAGTGGATTTAGAGTGCCTAAAGGTAGGAGAACAATTTCTTCAAACCAAACATTTTCATTTGATCATGAAATGGATGATTTATCACTTCTTTCAATTCTTTTATTTACATAACGGAAGTAAATAGGATTTCCAAGCTTAGCAGTGTCTTTTAAAAAAAGTAGCCATTTTATATACCTATTTTGTGCTTTGGAACACATTTAGCAAATGACTAGGGTTGCATTTTTAGAGATGGTTTTGCTCCCATTTTTAAATTGTTTTGTCTTTGAAGTATGAAAAGTCTAATGTCTACTTACATTGGTGGTAAAAAAATCTTTCAAATATAGCAAAAATAGCTGCATATATCTTACCTACAGCTATCACATCTCAAGAAGTACTTTTATTCAATAAAACGGTGGTAATTTCTTTTCTTCTAAATGTAGTTTATTCTGCTAAAGACAATTTGACTTTACAACTCTAATATATTTTAATTTATTTTATTTTTGAGTAAGCATTCTTTTATGGATACAATTTTTTATTTTTAAATTTTGCGGGTACATAGTAGATTTTTATATTCATGGGGTACATGAGATTTTTCGATACAGGTATGCAATGCATAATAACCACAGCAAGGAGAATGGGGTATCCATCCCCTCAAACATTTATGTTTTGTACTATAAACAATCATACTATACTCATTTAGTTATTTTAAAATGTACAATTAAGTTATTATTGACTATAGTCACCCTGTTGTGCAATCAAATAGCAGGTCTTATTCATTCTTTCTAACTCTTTTTTTGTACCCGCTAACCATCCCTAACTCCTCCGCACCCCCTCCACTATCCTTCCCAGCCTCTGGTAACATAGAGACTAGAAGCAGTCTTATATATTTCATAACGTGTGTGTGTGTTCAAATCATTATAAAGCCACTCTTTCAGTTACTTATTTTTATTCTGAACTTTATTGAATATATTTTGGAAGAATGAGACCTCATAATTAAAATAAAAGTAACCCTCTCCTCTCATACTACTCATAGTTATTTTCATATTATCGCCTATATATTTACATTTGGGGTTTCAGGAAGGAATCAATTAAATTTTTAAAAATGTGTGATAACTTTGATTGATAAGAGTTTTGTTTTCAATAACCATTACATTTGCCTATGGATAGCTGCTTACTTCTCTTTTTTTAGAGGGGAAGACCATTTTTCTATTTCCAGTTATTGTAAGAACACATTTCCCCTGTTTACTTCTGAATTCTTGTTGCATCTCTACCCCTATCCATTACAGTTGTATGGATTTACTGCCTTGCAAATGACTAACAATGGTGACTGGTTCTGAACTGGAAATAGCCAACATTTTGAGACTGGACATTTAGTATCTCTACTACCTCATTATTTCCTCCTGCACCAATCCAGTGAGAGAGAGAGTTGTCTAGGCAAGTGTGTCTTCTTATTAAATTTAACATTTTTGCCCAGATATGCAGCTGCAAGATCTGGACTTCAAAGAAGTTAGTTGGGAAGTGAGTAGACACAGCCAGCTCTCCCAGCAGCTGAGATGTCCCATATGGTTTTGTCAGTAATCAGGCTGATATTCTTAGTGTTCCATTTTCTGACTTTGCTGTTGTTTCTCAGTTTGATGAGAAAATTTAGTAGACAGTGTAGTTTATCAAGTTCTTTCAAGACATTCAAAGTTCCCTTGGTTATTTAAGTTGCATTTATGACAACACATCTAACTGCTCAGATTTCTATGTAAATATAAATGGGCAGTAGCTCAACTCAGCTATAATATCTCCATGAACTTCTGAATTACTATATATTTTAACTAATTCTGCTAACTTCCTTCATCATTTAAAAAAACTCAATTCATATTTTTTGAATATAGCTTCTCTTTCCAGTCCTTAACTCAACTCATATACTATGTTTGATCAGTGAATGTACACATTTTTAAAAGTGTGACTAAAATAAATACAAATGTAAATAGATTTGAATGGATGAATACATAGATATATGCGTGTTGATTGAGTTTGTACAGTCTGAGTGTCACATTCCAACCTTAAAAACGACAAAAAGCTCAAAGCTCCTGCTTGCTTAACTCTCAGGCAAAGAGTTGTATTAACCTTCAGTAGAGTCAAGATCAAGTTTACAGTTGGTCCTTAGTTCTATGAGAAGAACAATGTCGCTTTAAGGAATCTTGCATTGAACAACTGTGGCTTATTGGTAGATTTATCGAGGTTTAAAAAAATTCCTTTACACTTTGGCTTCATTTTTTTATAGTCTCTCTGATGTTGTATTCTCTGTACGTGTGTCTGTGGTGTGTGTGTGTGTACACAGGTATGCCTGTCTGTGTCTGAGTGTGAAAACATAAATATGCTTGCTTACAGGAACAGTAAAAAAATGTTGAATCCAGGAACATATTTTTCCATAGTAGCCCTATAAACTTGCACAGTTATTTCAAAAAAAGCTAAAACTTGATATGTAAAATACTTAGGAATAAAATTAAGGAGGTAAAAGATTAGTACAATAAAAACTACAAAATGTCAATGAATGCAATTGAAGAAGACACAATCAAATTAAAGACATACTGTGTTTATGGATTAGAAGACTTAACATTGTTATAGTGTTCATACTACTTAAAGCAATCTCCAGATTCATTGTAGTCATTATCAAAATAACTGTGACTTTTTTACTTAATTATAAAAAATAATTAATATTTATATGGAAACACAATAAACCCAAATAGCCAAAAGACAGCCTTGAGAAAGAAGAGAAAATCTGAAGGTATCCCACTTTCTGATTATGAAACATATTATTACAAAGCAATGGTAATTAAAACAGTTTAATACTAGTATAAAGACAGACATAATAACCAATGGAACAGAATAGAGAGCCCAGTTATAAATCCATGAATATAAGGTCAACTAATCTTCAACAAGAGTGCCAAGAATGCACAATAAGAAAAGTATATTCTCTTTAATAAATAATGTTGAGAAAACTGAATATCCACATAATGCCTAATTAAATTGAACTTTTTTTGCATCATGCATAAATATAAACTCAAAATGAAGTATAGACTTAAATGTAAGACCTAAAACTATAAATCCCCTAGACTAAAATTCAGGAAAAAAATTTATGATATTGGTCTTGGTGATAATTTTTGAATACAAAAACTTAGACAATAAAATATTACGCCTTAAAAAAGAAAATCTTGCCATATATGAAAACATAAAAGGAATTTAAGACATTATAATCAGTGAAATAAGCTAGTCATGGAAGACAATATTACATGATTCCACTTATATGAGGCATCTTAAAAAGTCAAACTTATGAAGTAAGAGAGTACAATTATAGTTGCCAGGGTCTGGGGGTAAAGGAGAGTGACGGAGTTGCTAATCAATGGGCATACAATCTTCATTATGCAAGATTAGTATGTTATAGAAATCTGTTTTACAACATTGCACACATAGTTAAACCATAGTGTATTGTACAGTTAGCAGTTTGTTAATAAAGCAGATCTCATGTCAATGTCCTTACAATAATAAACAGATTTTCAAATTAAAATTTTAAAAAACATAGTTCTGAGTTTTTAAACAGTAGGCTAAAAATGTGTCACAGGCAGTAAGGACACAAGGAAAAAAAAGAGAAAAATATTTTTAAATTACATGGATTGTTATGAATTTTTACATTTTTTCATTTGAAAGATTAAAGACATTTGCAATTTTATATCTACCCAGCCACTTTCAAAATGCATTTTGACCCTTGCATTTTTTTAATATTTATAAAGGAAAAGCGTCAAAAGAAGGGTACAAGCAAAGTGTCAACACATTTTCATGTTTTCATGTTGCAAATAACATGTCATAATAAATATACAACCTTTATTTAAATTAAATATACAAAGCCAACCAAAAAAAGAAGTGTACATATGTGCCGACATTACTAGAAAACACTGACATTTGCCACATCCATCTTTCTACATCCAACCTCACCTCCATTCCCCTCTCAAATCCCTGAGTGTGAGAGATCAAGAGTTGAGGGATTCGTTTATGGATCTAGTTCAAATTTAGTGAAATTTAAAAGTCAAATAGACTAAGATAAAATTACATATAAATTTTAAGACAGCTCTCACAGTCTGTGGAATTCAAGTAAGTGTGGTAACAGATGTTCTATTCACCTCATTGTAAAGCAGGTTCACTGTGTACTGGTTACCAACTTGTCTGAATCTGATGAGACAGAATACCTGCATATACGAGTTACATGCAGTGGGTTTATTACTTACAAATAGGCAGCAAGGAACAGCAGAAGCCTAAAGATTCATTGTGAGCCTATCTTCCATGGCTCAGGAAAGCTGCACAGGGTAGACAGAATCTCAACTGTGAATGCCGCACTTGCACCATAACTGAGGGAGCTCAGAGAGTATCCTGCCCTGTGTTTTAATCCTCAGATGCAGCAGGACTGCTTGGCTAAAATATTGAAGGACATCCTGCATCCAGGGGGAATCAGAACAGAGCCTGGGCTGTTCTGGCCAGTCCTCCATTTATCTCAGGATGTTGTATTCATAGCACAATCTACAGTTATTCTTAAGAACTACAAGTGAGAAAAGGGGACGTACTCCCTAAGTCCAAGGCCACTGGGAGAACTGTCCTGAACTACTCTGTTATGTGAAAGTGATTCACCTGTCCATTTCTTATTCAAAAGCCTGTCAGAAAGCATTCTTTAGCAAAACCCGCCTTACGTTGTTGTACAACTCCTAAAAACTGCTCTTAAGAACATATATGCATGTATTCATGGTGATATTTTATCTCAATATTTGTATGATTAGTTTATTCTTCTTGGGCTGAGTGACCTCCTTGTACTTCAGACAAAAATAAATGAGATTTGTATGTACGTCAAAACAAACAAAGCTTGACATTGTGGGAAAACAATCATAAATTTATTTCAATTTCTAATTTATCTGATAAAATGGTAAGGAATGTTTGTGATTCTGAGAATATCTTTTTTTTTTTTTTTTTTTTTTTTTGAAATGAAGTCTCGCTCTGTCACCCAGGCTAGAGTGCAGTGGCACGATCTCGGCTCACTGCAACCTCTGCCTCCCAGGTTCAAGAGATTTTTCTGCCTCAGCCTCCCAAGTAGCTGGCACTGCAGACACGCATCACCACGCCCAGGTAATTTTTTGTATTTTTAGTAGAGACAGGGTTTAACCATATTGGCCAGGATGGTCTCAAACTCCTGACCTCCTGATTCACTCGTCTCGGCCTCCCAAAATGCTAGGATTACAAGTGTGAGCCATCGCAAATACAAATATTCATTAAACATATAGGCTCTCTACTTACTCTATGACCTTTCTACCTAGACTAAAGCCAAAAAACTCTGACACCCTAAATGATTCATAAATTATTTACTACATAAGGTTTAGATGCATCATTACCAATATTGCACATAGAAATTTAGTGCTGTTAGTTGAGCAAACAGATGCCATGACTATTTCTTCTCTTTATAAATCTTGGTGACTTATGGCAGCAGAAGCCTACTCCACTATTTAGGCTCCTATGACAGCTACTTTTCCCCTATTGAGCAAGTTTCACCTTAAGTTACTACCAAAAAAATTATACAGTTAATATATTTTGTAACTCCTGAAAATAAGTGTTTATATTATCATCTCAAGTAAAATAAAATATTTTCATAGAGAGATGGAGAGATGTGTAGGCAATTTATCAAATATTAACCTCTTCCTAAACACGGGGTTGAATTCCTCCAGTAACATTATAATGTTGTTAGAATTATGTGAAAGGGGGCTTTGTCTCAACTATCCTGCTAGTCATTCATTCAACAGCTATCTATTTATGTTGTATGTTTCCCTAAATGTTTCCATTTTTGCCTCCAAAACACTGCTAATTTGGTTTTGTTGCTATTTATTTTATACTGTCTTATAAATCCCCTGGAAAGTGTATTGCCCCATGCCTGCACACACTGAAGTACAAGAGTGTACTGAAGTACATAATGGAAGAGTTGGTTTTTTCTGCCACTCTATCCCTTGAGCTTAAATAATAAGGAAACATAGAAATCTAAAACATTTTGAACAGTTAAGAATTATTAAAAGAAAGTAGAATGACAAACAGGAAAATTATCTATCCACATCTATATATGTATATCTTTCTAGAAATGTCCTATAAGGACAAAAGAGGAAAAAATGAAGGGAAAATTATGATCCCTTGAATATGAGTCCTTCTAAGCGAAACTCTGTTCTTAGCATTTCTCCACTATTATCAAGTTTCTAGTATCCTCCAAGAAAATACCATACTATCATCCTGGAACTGTGGCAGTATATACCTGTCCTTTCTATCCCTATCTACAGAGACCTGTCTGATTTAGATTCTAAACTGACTTTCCTCACTTTTTTTTTTTTTTTTGGAGACAATATTGCTCCGTTGCCCATGGTGGAGTTTAGTGGTGTAATCTAGCCTCACTGCAACCTTTGCCTCCAGGATTCAAGTAATTCTCATGCCTCAGCCACCTGAGTAGGTGGAATTAGAAGTGTTCCTCATTTTTAAAACTCTAGAACACAGAAATTTTATTTGTCTCCCAAAGTCCAAAAATTTAAGAATAAAAGAAAAATTAAGAGTCAGCTTTGATATCCTGACATACAGTCTTCTTTGAGATATTAATATCTTTTATAATAAAAATGAATGGGTATTTTTATGACTTTTTAGTAAGAAAATAGTGAACCAAACCTGCTTGCACACATTTGTACTTACATAATTGTCAAAGACAAATATTTAATTATAGAAACGGTATATATACTTATGTACATACATACATTAGTGACTCATATTCAAGGACTCATATTCTAGGGTTCATAATTTTCCCTTCTCTCTATATATATACACATATATATATATACATACACACACACACATATATACACATATAAAATACTAAAAAATGTTTAAAAGTTAACTTGTAAATCTTGCATTCAGATATTCTGATTTACCGTGTCTGTATCAAGACTCAATATGGTTTTGTAAAAGTAAACACTCCAAGTAGTTTTGATGCAAGTCATCTAAATCACTCATTAAAAAAATTGTGGCTCATAAGTGTCCATTAACAAATAAGTGGATAAAGAAAATATGGTATATATACACAAAGGAATACTACAGAGCCATAAAAAGAATGAAATCATGTTATTTGCAGAAACATGAATGAAACAATAGGTCCTTACGTTAAGTGAAACAAGCCAAGCATAGAAAGACAACTATTGCATATTCTCATTCATTTGTGGGAGCTAAAAAGTCTGATCTCAGGAAGGTAGAGAGTAGAATGATGGTTAACAGAGGCTGGGAAGGAGGCAGGATGAAGATAGATATTGGTTAATGGGTGCACATATAGAGTTAGATAGAAGAGATAAGTTCTAGTGTTCAATAGCACGCAAGAGTGATTATACTTAGCAATAATTTATTGCCTATTTCAAAATATTCAGAAGAAAGGACTTAAAATGTCCCCAACACATACACACGAAATAAGTGTTGGAGGTAGTGGATATCCTAATTACCATGACTTGGCCATTATGCATTGTATGCATGCGTCGAAACATCACATGAACCCCATAAATATGTACAATCAATATGTATCAATTCACAAAGACAGAAAGATGGAAATGGTTTCGTTTATAAAAACAAGGATGGAAAAAAACATCCTTACCTAAATACTGTCCACAATGTCACCGGTGCTTTGCATCATTCAGGTGAGCGATGTTAGTGTCCCTTCTACTTATCCCCTGGCTTTAATTTGCACCAAGATTGTTGTCTGCACGAAGATTCAATAATATACAGAAAATCTTATGGTGACCCAGAGAAGATGTGAAATGATTACAGTTTTATGCCTTAGATGATGTTGCATTTCTAGCCATGGCAACACATCCCCAGAAACTTTTCTGTAATTAAAATGGAAATACTATATAATTTATCATTTCATTATAAAAGTAGTTACTCTATATGTGGAAGGTTTTGGTGGTGTAATTTCCCCAGATATGTATATCAATATGTGCGAGCAAATGCTTGTAAGCAAAAATAGATAAGATAATTTTGTATTCTATACGATGTTAAGAGTGTTAAACCAGAGCAAAATTTCATTTTGAATATGGTAACCCTGGATTTGTTGTTTCAATCTGGATTTTATATTTTACATAGAGTTAATTAATCAGTAAATAGATCACTCTTACTGTCTCTTCTGAAATTTTAACAAAGAGTTTTGTTATCTGTTAAACAGCAGCATCTTTAAAGTCTTTGGAGAAACTCTTTTCAGTTTCAGTAAGGCATTAGTGTTTGTACACTAATGTATGTTTGTCAGGTTTACTTATTTATTTATTGACCTCAGTGCAGGAAAATTTCACCCCAGGGGGTCTTACATTATTTTTCTACTCCAAAATATATAGGCTACACAGAATAACATCATTAGCAACATTGTTTCAGCAAGGAAATAATCCTTATTGGCAAAGGGAAACCAAGGAAAGAAAACTATTGTTTTCTTCAGCTACATGCTGTCTGCAAAGCACCCCATGAATTCAATTTCTCATCAATTCAGAATGGAATACTAACGTGCTGCCTAGAGATACAGAAGTGGGATGAACGCAGGGCCTTACTCAGCATTCAGAACAAAACTGTGAGTAAACTTTCAGGCATGACATGCTTAGAGTCAGTCATAGAGTGAAAATAGAAGTCTCAAGTCCTATTCAGAGACATCAATTTACCAAAGTTTAGGCTAGTATATTCCTCATTTGCACGGGTGCTTTCCAAAGACCCGGATGCGACATTAGCAAAGTCTCCTCATGACCATTGGTGTGCAATAAATTCATAACGGTAAAATATGTGTATTTATTCTCCATATATTTTTTAATTGTATAAGCTTCGGGCTCAGAGGTGGCTTGGAAAAGATGTCCCTGACTGCATCTCCCTTCACTGCATCTTTGTTCAGCAAAATCTTAATTAAGAGCAAATCGTCCTTCACTGATATCAGTGAATATGGTAACATGAACAAAATAATAAGATGAAGGTAGAGAGAACATGGAAGGGGAGGTGAATAATGAACTGGAATGCCCAGTTGGAAAAACCATCTAGAAAGTATTGAGAAGGTATGATGATTGATACTATCATAGTAAAGTAAGAAGACATAGAGAAGTAGTGTTGACACATCCCATGTTTTGCTAGTCTCAGAATTAAAACTTAAAGAAATAATAGTCAATAATTTTTAATGATTAAATACAAATGATGAAAAGACAATAGATTAAAATAAAACAAACAAAACTGCCTCTACATTATCGATGTTAATGTTAAGGAAGTTAAAGACAAAAAATAAGCTTCCAGACAGAAAAAAACTTGACTACAAAGAAGTCAAGTGGAGATGAACATAAAATATGAAAAAATATTTCTGTGCAACATGGAATTAGACATATCTAATAACTTGATAATATATAATATAGTATAATACATCTTCTTAATAAGAAGAATTTAGAATGCATTAAGTTTACCTATAATTTATAGGTTGGTTAACCATAGTAAACACGATAATACGTAAATGTAGTTCTGTAATTTCAGTATGTAATGACTCCCTACAATAACTTTTGGAAGAAGTGTCCATATGGGGGGAATCAATAAGACATACTCCATCAATTAGCTATTGCTGAGTAAAAACTACATCAAAACTTAGCAGATTAAAACAATAAGTATTTATTATTTCTCATGATTGAGCCAAATCTGGCTGGTCTATGCTTATATATCTGAGAACTCAATAACAATAGGTTAGTGGAAGTCAGTCTGTGCTGAGACTACTGGTATCTGCTCTGTTGTAATTAACCTTGTGGGGCGAACATTGCTCAGGACATTGACAGGGCTTCAAAAGCAACAACAGAAACAAGAAAGCTGTTTGAAGCCTAAGCTCATAAATGACACATTCTCAATTCTGCCGCATTTATTGGTAAAATGTTATCCCAGAATCAAAAGGTGGGGACACAGACTATAGTTGTCTGGAGAAGGTGCAAAGTCATAATGCAGAGACTGGATACAAAGAGATAAAAGCTTGCTGCCATTTTTGTAATCAATCAACAATAAATGATAAACTGGAGTGACTAAAGACATTAGTAAATTTAGATTGCCTGGACCAACAGAAAGCACCTGCTATGGCCTGAATTGTGTTTCTTCAAAATTCATACATTAAAGCCTTAACATTCATGTGATGATATTTGGAGACAGAGTCTTTAGAAAGTAATGGAGTTAGATGAGGTCATGAGGATGGGGCTGTTATGATGAGATTAAGGCCCTTATAAGATGAGGAAGAGACAGCAAAGTTTTCTCTTTCTGAGCAAATACATCGAGAAAAAGCCACGTGAAGACATAGTGACAGTCAACAATTCACAACCCAAAGAGAAACCACTCAACAGGCCCTGGTCCTGTTGCCACCTTAATTTTGAACTTCCAGTCTCCAGAACTGTGAGAAAAGAAATTTCAGCTGCTTATGCCACCAGTTCGTGGCATTTCATTATGGCAACCTGAGCAGACTAAGAGAGCATCTCTTTTGAATGGCTTTAAAATATTTAAACAGCTGTCACTTTCTTCCATACTTTCAATTATTCGTGCTAAGCCAAGAATCTCCAGGTGTTTACAGGCCTTTTGGGATATTGATTTTAGAATGCTGACACTCCAAAAGAGTTATATCCATGCCTTTGGTAAACACAAGAATGCACTAATGCCCCATAGATTCAATTATTCATGGATTTTATTTATTTTATTTTATATTTTATTTTATTTTATTTTATTATTGTAGTTCATTTTATTGAGAAGGAGTCTCACTTTGTGGCCCAGGCTGCAGTTCTGTTGCATGATCTTGGCTCGCTGCAACCTCTGCCTCCAGGTTTCAAGTGATTCTCCTGCCTCAGACTCCCAAGTAGCTGGGATTACAGGTGCCCACCACCAAGCCTGGCTAATTTTTTGTATTTTTAGTAGAGATGGGGTTTCACCATGTTGGTCAGGCTGGTCTCAAATTTCTGACCTCAAGTGATCCATCTGCCTCGACCTCCACAAGTGCAGGGACTACAGGCATGAGCCGCTCCCCCTGGCCCATGGATTTTAATACACAAACTCATAGACATGAGGATCCACTGCTGATTAGTGAATATTCACACCTCAAAATTAATCCAACAGTCTATTCCAATATTTTTTCAATATTAGATTCACAAAGATACAATTCATATATCGCAAGATAAAACATTTTAAAGTGTATAACTCTGCGGTTTTGAGTATATGCACAGAATTGTACAAACATTAAAAGTATCTAATTTTAGAAAATTTTCATCAACACAAAAAGTAACCAACACTCTTTCTTCATTCCCCCAGCCCCTAGTTTGTGGGAACCACTGATATACTTTTTGTCTCTATGGATTTGCTTATTCTGGATCTTTTACATAAACTGAATAGTACAATATGTGGTCTATTGCATCTTGTTTCTTTCACTTAGCATAATGTTTTCAAGGCTCATTCATGTTGTGGTATACATCAGTATTTCATTCCTTTTATTGCTCAATATTTCATTATATGATTATTGCAGTTTCAATGTTCAGTCTCATACATTGGACATATGCTCCCACCTGATAAACTGTCACCATAATCGAGAAGCCAAACATATCCAGCATAGAACCAAAAATTTTCTGTGTATCTCTATAATCCTACCATTCTATTCCTTCGTCAAACTCCCTCCTGCACCAGCCTCGAGCCATCACAGATTCACTCTTTATTATTTAGATTACTTTCTTTCTCTAGATTTTTATATAAATGGAATCATAAAGTATGTACTTTTTGTCTACTGTTTTTCAGTAAGCATAATTAACATTTATACATGTTATTGTATGTATTAATATAATAATTAGAATATATGAATAAAATAATATGTATACTTGTAATTGTATGTAATAATATAATAAAAATATTCATTATATTATTTGAACATTATTATTCCTTAATAAATTCCAATTTATGTATATACTACAGTGTGTTTATCTGTTCACCTAGTTATGGACATTTGGGTAATTGCAGTTTGGTTTCTAGTTCCTAAAATCATGTACATTTCTTTACATCAATAGCCATAGTCTTAGTTTAATATTCTTTTACTTGCTTGACTCTCTCTAACTCAATTCAAAGTGCCCAAACTTTCATGTTTTAATTTTTGTTTTAAAAACTTTTGATGACACAACATTGAGAAAAAATTGTCATCACTAGTAAATAGGTAAAAACTCTGATACACCCACACAGTAGAATATGACTCCACAATTTTAAAAAGCATCATCTACTGATACATATGACAAGGCTGAGTCTCTAAATAACTTAATAAGTAAAATAAATTGGACTGAAAAAACTATATACTCTGTGATTCCATTTATATGACATTCAGAAAAAGAAAATTAAGGAAACAGAAATAAGAGCAGAGGTTGCCACAGAATGGAAATAGAATAAGGAAATTGACTATAACTGGCATGAAGGAATGTTTTTAGAGATAATGGAAATATTCTGCATCTTTATTTTGATGCTGGCTTGATGAGTGTAAATTTTTTCAAAAATTATAGAACTGTACACCTTTAAAGTGAAATTTACTATATATAAATTATGTTCAAGTAAATCTGACTAAAATCACTTTTCTATATACCAAAAATAACCACTTATAAAATATACTTTTAAGTTACCATTTACTATAACATCTGGAAATACCAAGCACCTACAAATATACATAAAAAATGTGTATATGATTTCTGCACAGAAAACTATAAACTGTTATTGACATGTTAAATAAATCATTATAAAATGGAAATATATGCCATGTTCCCTCCTTGGAAAACTCAATATTCTAAAGGTGTCAATCAATACCATAGGGCCATTAAAAATCTTATGTTTTTTTCATAATTTGATGAGAAAATTTAAAAATATATATTCAAAATATAAAAATAGTTAATATTGTATAAAAAACTCAGCAACAGACAATATTTCAAATAAAAAGATTTATAAACCTACAAAACAGTATAATGTGTGATAGTAAATTAAAAATAGACAAAGAGGCCAGTCAAATAAAATGAATGTCACTAAAGCAGACTCACGTATTTATGAAAGTGTGATTTACACTAAAGAGTGTACTGCAGAGCAGTTATAGCAAAACTGTTTCCAAAAACTGGTGCTCAGATAAGTAGACATATATATAGAAAACAATGAATATATAGTGTGTTTGTTCGTGTATGTTATAAGGAAAAACCAATAAAAGACTGGATGTTAATATAGGAAAATATCTAACTCATGATCTTTGAGTAGCAAAATATTTTTTAGTAATAAAAAATACTAACAAGTATAAATGATGACATTAAAGTGGAAAACATCTGTTTAACAAAAGATACCAAAATACAAATTGTAAAAAAGAATAATATGTCAAGCAGGCATGGTGGCCTGTATTCCCAGGACTTTGGGTGGCCAAGATGGGAGAATCATTTGAAACCATGAGTTCAAAGCCAGCCTGAGCACCACAGTGAGATCTCATCACTAAAAAAACAATATTTAAAAGATTAGCTGTGGCTCACACCTATAATCCCAGCACTTTAGGAGGCTGAGGCGGGCAGATCACCTGAGGTTGGGAGTTTGAGACCAACCTGGGCAATACGGTGAGACCATATCTCAACTAAAAATACCAAAAAATTAGCCAGGAATGGTGGAGGGCTCCTGTTATACCAGCTACTCAGGAGGCTGAGGCAGGAGAATCGCTTGAGTCTGGGAGGCAGAAATTGCAGTGAGCAGAGATCATGCCAGTGCACTCCAGTCTGGGCAACAAGAGCAAGACTCCTTCTCAAAAAAAAAATATAAATAAATAAAATAAAAAAATAAAAAATAAAAAGCCAACCAACCAACCAACCAAACAAACAACAACAACAACAAAAAACTTAGCTAGGCATGCTGGCATATGCCTGTATTCCCAGCTTCTTGGGAGGCTGAGGTAGGAGGATCCCTGGACCCCAACAGTTGGAGGCTGCAGCAGTCCAGCCTGGGCGACAGAGTGAGAACTTTTCTCAGAGAAAGGAAAAAAAAAAAAAAAAGTTGAAGTATTGAAAGCTAGAGAATCATCATTTGTAACTCCCGTATCATTTATATTTTCAGGGAGCAATGAGAGAGAAGCTATTGTGTGAAACTTTGAAAGGCAAAAATATTTAAACAATATTAAATCAACTCCTTACAGATCACCTATTTTGTAACATTTAAGCTTCATTTAAGTAACATTTTTGCCAAAAAGGAGAACTTCAATTTAATCAGGAATACTCAGCCTATGTAACTAAATGTAAAATCATTTGACCAAATGTCTAGGCTGTAATTTTTGTTCAATCTTTGTATCAATGTCATGAATGTCATGGAGACAAAGAGTAGATGAAATAACCTAGTACTCCTGAGGGTACTGGTAGGATAGATTAAAGTCTTGATTACTGAAAAAAGTGAGGAATATTTTCTTGCTTTAAGTCACAGTACCGAAAGGAGAAACCTAGCTAAAAAGCTTTTCAGAAAGAGAAGACATTTGCGGAAGTTGAAGCACAGATTTGAATTGTTTCAGTTCCAGAAATTGGCTGGAGATGATCCTGAATTGCCTGTAGAGTTATGCAAATGACATTATAAAGGCAAATCCTGCGAGGGTACCTACAGAGTCTTTAAATTATTTTTTTAACATTTAATTATATAGAATATTAAACATGTGATAAATCTCTATGTTCACATTTTGTATTTATTTAAATATCAATTAATTACTAATCTTATTTGCTCTATACCCTCATTCTAATCCCACACACGGTATAATCAGTAATATTACTCAGTAAATCCTAGACATAATATAAATTCATCCATACATATTTCACTGTGTATTTCTATGAGATATGAACTATAATTTTTAGCAAAACCATTTATCTATAATCTCACATATAAATAAGTAATATTTCCTTAGTATAATAAAATATCTGATGAGTTTTAAAAGTCCAATTCACTTATAAATCTCATACATTTGTAAAGAGCTTTTTAAACATTTTAATTAGTAACAAGGTAAACTCTATACTTTGCAACTTAAATCATTTATTTATTTTTTCCCATCCCAGACACTGCAGGCACTGGTCACTGGTATAACCCTGCTGGGTCTACTAATTAAATTATTTTGAATTGCAAAGACAATGTTTGGAACAAATAAAAGAACCAAGAAGACAACAAAACAATAATACATAAGTGAAATCATAGAAAAGCAACAGATAATATAAACAGAAATATATAGTTCCACATATTGAAGTTATTGAACAAATTATAAAAATGATTTTATTTAGTATTTATAAGGAGATAGAAAACATGACTCACAATTTTAGCAGAGAACTCAAGAAAAATTGGAAAGCCAAATTTAAAATTGTTAATTAAAAAATACAGTAACAACTCCATGGATAAATTTAAGAGCAATATAAATTATTAAGAAAAAAGTAAACTACAAAATAGATGAGACAAAAATGTTAAGAAAAGAACAAGAGACACAGTGAAGGAAAATGGAGAAATGAGTTAGGGACACTAAGAACACACTGTAAAAGCTTAATGCAATTATCAATGAATTTTTTAAATCAATGTAGATTGCAAGGTGCGTGGCTGGCTTGGGCCTGTAATCCCAGCACTCAGGGAGGCCAAGGTTGGAGGATTGCTTGCATCCAGGAGTTCAAGACCAGCCTGGGCAACATAGTGAGACCCTGTCTCTACAAAAAATTAGTGGGGCCTGGTAGTGCGTGCCTGTAGTCTGGGAAGCTGAGGTGGGAGGATCACTTGAACCCGGGAAGCAAAGGTTGCAGTAAGTCCAGACAGCACCACTGCATTCCAGCCTAGGAGACAAAGCAAGACGCTGTCTCAGAAGAAAAAAAAAAAGAAGACGATGAAGTGTGATGATGGGGCTTAAAAGGATGACTATTGAATAGTCGAAACCCAAGAATTGTCTAAAGGATGATGAAACAACACATCAGTTCATAGATCTAAAATGTACTGGCCGGGCGCGGCGGCTTCCGCCTGTAATCTCAGCACTTAGAAGGCCAAGGCGGGCGGATCACCAGGTAGGGAGATAGAGACCATCCTGGCTAACACGGTGAAACCCCGTCTCTACTAAAAATACAAGAAAAATTAGCCGGGGGTGGTCCTGTAATCCCAGCTACTCGAGAGGCTGAGGCAGGAGAATGGCTTGAACCCGGGAGGCGGAGGTTGCAGTGAAGAGCCACTGCACTTCAGCCTGGGGGACAGAGCAAGACTCCGTCTGAAAAAAAAAAAAAAAAAAGGTACAATCACCATAAAGAAAGGTAAAAAGAAAAACAAAATTTCTTCAAAGCTATCAGAATAAAACTGCCAAGAACATAAGGTACAGCAACCAGAGCAAAAACAAAGCCTTAAAAGCGGAAACACACGTTTTCATATTAACATCAAGATAATACATGTTTTCATATTAGCATCAATAAATATGAAGAAATTAGAATGATATATTTAAAGAGTCGAAGAAGACTAATGGACACCTTAGACTTTTATAACCAGCAATAATTTATTTCACTTTTGAAAATTAAATACAGACATTTTCAGGCATATACATATTGGTTTCATCACCAGCAGAGCTTCCCATCATGAAAAGGTTCTCATGATAAAGTTAGAGATGCAGGAAAGAGTAAGTGTGACAAATAAATAGTGCATTTAATGTTGAGATTATAAGATTTAAGATTTAAGCATGTAAGTAAGGCAGAAGCTAATTACAGCTTAAATATATGTTCTCTGAGAAAAAGTTAATACATCAAGAAACAGTAGACTTTCAAATAAATTTGGTACATTCTGCAATCTCTAGGTTAGCTAAATAACTAATGAATTAAAAAATAGAATAATGAAATAATTACTTGAGGATAAAAATAATTACATGCTTTATCAATCTAAAGTTTTTAATAAAAGAAAGCATATTATAGAATATGTGATGCAAAATTAGACATATAATAAGATGGATCATTTAAAACCCAATATATTAGTAGAAGTCTGAATGGAAAAAGAAAAAAATAATAAAACTAAGATACAGAGGTTGTGGAATGGACAAGAGTAACAAACATAACTGTGTTATATTTACAGAAAATATATCTAAAACATAAAAATATAGGAAAGTTAAAAATATAATAATAAATTATATCCTATGCAAATATTAAACAGCTAAAGCTTTCCTTAAACCAAATAGTTTTAGAAAAAGAAGACTTTAAATGAAAAAAAAAGAATACTACACATAGAGCTTATTCAGGGGATCAATGCCAAACTTAAATGCACATGAAATATAGGTTTGAAATAAATAAACATTTACCTAATAAGGATAAATAATCAGTTGATAATGAAAGTAAAAGATCCCAATAAAATTTTCATAACATATGATAGAATATGCAGACAACAAATCAGAAATTATCTAAAACACTTGAACCGTAAAATTGTTCTGAAAGGCACATACGGCATTAAAACACAATACCCAAATAATGGTATATTTATTTCCAGGCGCTCATTTATTTCCAGATATCATATGTGTGATATCTAGGTAACGTCATGTTAAGGGAAAATTTGTACTTTAATTTCATTTGTTGGAAAATACCAGGCTGTGTGTGGTGGCTCACGCCTGTAATCCCAGCACTTTAGGAGGCCGAGGCGGGAGGATCACGAGGTCAAGAGATTGAGACCATCCTGCCCAACTTGGTGAAACCCCGTCTCTACTAAAAATACAAAAATTAGCCGGGCATGGTGGCAGGCGCCTGCAATCCCAGCTACTCCGGAGGCTGAGGCAGGATAATCTCTAGAACCCGGGAGACTAGGTTGCAGTGAGCCAAGATCGCACCACTGCACTCCAGACTAGTGAAAGACCAAGACTCCATTTCAACAACAACAACAACAAAAATACCAAAGCCTGAAAAAGGAATGATCAAAGTATACATGCCAAAGAGATGAGAAAAATAAATAAATAAATAAATCCGAAGACAGCATAAAGGCAGACATAATGGTCACAGGGTAGAGATTTACGAAATAAAAAACGTGTACATTTGAAAAATGTGACTCTTTACAAAAGCGTATATTGGATAAAGCCCTGGTAAGAGTGCTCATGATTTTAGAAGACTGGAGTCTTGACTCAAAGCCCATTTCAGCATTAAAATGACACATGATCAGCCTGAAATGTACGTGATGTTCAAAATAATGTATTTAGCAGAGAAAAAACAGGAGTTTATATAATAAGGATAAAAGAAAGAAGGCATTGGATGAGCAACTATTACTGCAGAATAATGAGTTATGAAATTCAAAATCATTATGATGAAAACAAAAATTCTGAAACAAATTGAATGTGATAATGATGTCTAAAAAAATACAGCAGATATGATAATGGTAAAATGTTGAAGTCCTTTTATTTTGTAATCTGGCAAAAGACAAGAAAGTCTATTTACGAAGAATTAATTAAACATTGTACTGGATGTCCTTGCCAGTGCAATAAAGCAAAATATAAAAATAAGAGATACAAAGATTGGAAAGAGAGAAATGAAATAATTTTCAGAGTATATGGAAATCTAAAATAATTTATCACATTCTTCTAATTAGGTTATCATTAGAATTATTATAACTAATGGTGAATTAACAATGGTATGAAATATATGACCCATATTCAGAAAATTATAGCATTTCTGTATATTAGAAGTAATACTCAGAAAATAAATATATACAATATTATTCATATATACCATTTAAATGGAACCCAAAAATATAAAATCCTAAGTAATAATTCTAGCAAAAGTTATGAAGAATTTTACAAAGAGAACTTTAACATAGAGACAGTATAATTGAGAGAAATTTAAAATGAGTTTAAAAATAAAGGAGTTTGGAGTATTCATGAACTGAAACATTGAATATTGTAAACTTTTTTATGAATTCAATTAAATACTGATCATAAAACAAGCAGGGTGTTTGCTTGTTTGCTTTGTTTTTTGGAAATGACAACATGATTCCACAATTTATATGGAAATGCAAAACTGCAAGTAGAGCAATATTGAAAAAGAAAAACATGAGTGGATTTGCATTTTTTAATATTAATCCTACTCATAAAGATGGAGAATGTAGTAGTGGAAAAGAAGAGAGTATTCAGATTGAAAACCCAGGAACAGACTCATGCATATAAGGATATTTGATATATAATCGATATTGCACAGCACAGCTGAAATGGCGTCATTTCCAATAAACTATGTTTCCCATTTTGGTAGCCACATAGTGAAAAATAACTCCTTATTCTTTACATGTTTCAGGTCCACATAGTGAAAAAAAATAATTCTCTACTCTCCATATGTTTCATGTATAAAATCAGTGCTAGTGGGTTGTATAGATGAATATAATTATTCAATAAATATTCTAGAAATTTATATTGTAGAATATCTTCAAGAAATATGCACATATTGCATTGTTACATTTTGAGGAGGATAATTCTTTGTCATGGTTGGGCAGTCCAAGTATTGTAGCATGTTTAGCAGCATCTATGGCCTCTACCCACATGATGCCACTAGCATCTCACCAGTTAAAACAACCCAAACTGTCACAAGTCATTGAGAAATATTCCCTAGGTGACAAAACAAAACCCATTTAAGAACCATTGAATTAAACTACATTAAAATTGTCATTAATGTTTATTAGATATTGTAAGGTAAGTGAAATGACAATTCATAGAGGAGCTCTTCTCAATGTATGTAAGTGATAAAGGCTTTTGTCCAAAACGTATTTTAAAACAGATATCAAAGACACAGTAATATAAAAGGACTTGAGACTTTATAGAAGACGAAATCAAAATGTAAAATGAAAATCAGAATAGCCGTTATTAAAACGCAAAAAAGAACTTTAATGTGATAATATGACAAAAAATCAAAATATTTTAAATTAAGTAGACTGCCCATGTCAAATATTGCCAAAAACATGTAGCTGTTGGTGAGAATCTTGTTAGTGAACTATTTGCTATTGCCCAATAAAACTAATCATATGTTCTGTATGATTCTATTTATAAGAAGTTCAAAAAATCAGGCAATACTGAAGTGTCATGCTTGGGGAAGCATGTGAGGTATAGGTATAAAAATCAAGAAATAGATTCCTGTAAAAATCATACCAGTAGTTAACTTTGTGAAGGTAAGAGGTAGTGAATGGGCAAAAGTATTTGCCAGAGCCCTGTGTGCTAGCAAATTCTAGCTTCTGACCTGTATACTAGTTACACAGGTTTTTCTGATATATTGTTGAGCTACACAGTTTTTCTTAAATATTTGTGTTTATATATCTTGAAAATATAAAAGGATAAAAAATGAAATATTTCTTCAACTCTGGTTCCACTCCCCAAAGGTAAACACTGTCACCAAATTCTGAACTATTTTTCCCATTTTTTGCACATATGTGCCTACATACATATTTATATACCTTAAAAACAGCATGCATAGTATCTTGCATTTTTATCACATAATGTACCCAAGTGATGATTCTATATTAGAACATACATTACTTTATTATTTTTTTCCAAAACAAGTGTATATAAGTGCAGTGCATTTCTAAAAGAAGTATGTATAAGTGCAGTGAATTTTCAAAAAAAGTATGTATAGTGTAGTGCTTAAAATAATATACTGTAATAGTCTACAACTTGGCAAGAAATTAAGCTTTCATTTATGTCACAACAGATATACTACATGAAGATTAATATATACATATGTAATATATATGCAATATATACATATTAATCTTCATGTATATATATGTATATATATACATACATACCATTTATATATATATATACCATTTATCTTTTAAGGGCATTTTTTCATAACCTTAAAATATAAACAATAAAAATTATGAAGCAATAATTTATTTTAAAAAAATATCCACTTGCCAAACAAACAAGATACTCCTTCCAGGATGTCAGTAATATCAAGATGAAATGCCGGAGAATTTTAACTGAGTATAGTAAATCAAACAGCTAATTTGTAACTTTGATGGAGGAGAAAATTAGATAAATTCTGAAAATTCATCTATTTATTTTTCTCTCTCTATATATGTTAACAACAAGCAAACACATTAAATCCTTAAATTTGGTTACTAAGTTCACAAATGTCATGGACACAGTGAGATAATATTTACAGACTAAATACTGATTTACTATCCCTTGAGTTTATTTTTACAATTCATAGAGTAGATGCTCTTTATAGATATACTCTTTTGGAAAAAGTCCAGATAACTAGATAATTAACTATTAATATAACTTTTTGAAAAATATTAATATAACGTTTCTTCTGGGAAAAATTATTTAACAAGTTTTATTCAGACTACTAAGACATATAAAAACAGGACATTAACTCTTTGGTTATCTAAAGATTCTCCTTAGGAAAATATGCCATTAGTGTTTCTAAATGTATTCAATTTTATCTCAGCAGTCTTGAACCTCAATCTACTAATTAGTTGGAGGTAGTTAATATACCTCCAAACAGCCATTCAGATTTCTTAAGGTGATGAAATATGTATTACCTATAATATTCTTAACTAAGTTATTGTAAGGCATATTTATCATGGCACATAATCCTGGGGGAAAATTGGGTATAATAACAATTCCCAAGAATACCTCTTGACAAAGAGTTGGAATTCAACTTTTTCTTCTACTGCTGAGGATGTTTGCATCATGTCTTTGGAAAAATGTATCTCATAATCGCAAAGCCCTAGTTACTGATGCTCCACTAACAACATTACTAAAGATATTGATGCTGACATGGCTGCTTATATTATTCCCAAGAGAATTTGTAGATATTTAGCAATAGCCGAGACCATCTACAATGTAAATTCCTATCTATGTTACTCCTCTTGAGAATCCACTCTTGGTACATTTATCAAAGGAAGACACTTTTAGCAACACCAGTGGTTTCACTTTCCACAGTTTTAGCTATCAGTGGTCAATCAGGTTTTGAAAAATATTAAATAAAAGTTATAGAAATAATAACTTTCAAATTGTGTACCATAACGTGATAAATTCTCAGGTTGTCCATCCTACTCCCTGTTTTCTTTATCACAGAAAGAAAAGTAGATAATAATATGGTATTTCAAGAGAAAGAGACCACATTCACATAACTTTTACTACAGTATATTGTTATAATAATTCTATTATTAGTTATGTTCATATAATTATTAGTAAAAGGAATATAATTATATTCCTATATAATTATAGAAGTATACTACTCCTATAAATAATATATTAGTATAACTAATATAATTCTATTATCATTAGTAGTATTAGTTTAACTAATAATCTAATAGAATTATTAAACTAATATAATTAGCCTATTAGTTTAATACTACTCCCATAATGAGTATATTAGTTTAAATAAATACTACTACTATAATATTTAGTAGTAGTAGTTTAACTAATAAACTACTATAATTATTAGTTAAATTTCACTATGCCTAATTTTTAAATTACAGTCTATTATAAGTATGTATGTGTAGGAAAAATAGCACATGTTTACTATCCACTGTTTCAGGCATCAACTGGGGGTCTTAATACATATCTTTTTACAGATAAGGGTGGAGCTACAGTTACCTTCCAAAAGGTGGTATTGCCACTGCCATTGTTGCCTGCTAATGTAAATTCCAAAGAAGTAGATGATTTTGGGAAGGGCAGAAAATAAAAATTTTCATCAATATTAATGATTTTGCCATTAATGCAGATTACCATTGCCATAGTCTGAGAAGTGACATGAAACTTAAGATTGCTAGAGCTCATAGGACAGTAGAACAGTGAAGACATTGAGGTTTAAAGTGTTAATGTTATGAAGATAGCTAAAAACAGGACTTGATCAATGTAATCCTCTACCTAACACAACTTGGAATGGGGCAGAGAGTAAAGAAATGGACCTCGGTAAGGATGTACATGAGCACTAAGAGGTAGTGCTTGATGCAAGAGCAGTAATAACAACAATAACCGCAACAAAGGTATATTATTGGGAGCATCAGAGAAGAACAACAGAAAACTAAAAATGTTGTGGATGTTACCTCTGAGCAAGAAAATGGGACTAGGGACACAGGCCCTTTTTGTTTTTTGCTTGCACATTCTATCAAATAATAGGAGAAAAAAGATATTTCATGTAAGATTAGTTTATTCTCAATATTCTGAATTAGAATATTGGATTAATACAATATTTAGAATGTTAGAAGCTGGATTAAAACAACTTTAAAACAAGCATTTGTACTGCATTGACATCTCTGTAGAAGTTGCCGTCATACTAGTTGAGAAGAGCTTGGAGACCTGGACTTGAGAGATTTAATGGATAGATAAAATTACGCAGAGGGGTAACCCTATAAAGAATTCTGAAACCAAGCATTTTGAAGCCTAGGAAAAGAAGGGACAACAATGCAAGCTGTCCAACCAAAACCTCTCTTCCCTACTTTCTTGTTTCTGAATGCCATTTTTGTTTGAAAGAGCAATGTGTCCTGCCAAATAACTACAATGCCCAGTCTCCTTGCCCTTGTGGCTGGTGACATGTTATAGTCCTGTAGAAAGATACGTATGCCGAAGTTGTTGAAAAGGACACTTTGTCAACTTCTCCCTTCCTGCCCTGATATAAAAACATGATAACACACTACTTATTACTCTAAATATGCATAACTTTTATATGCACTAGGAAGTGTGTATATCAATACTTAGAGATACAATTTCAGAAATAGTCAAATTAAACAAGTTAAAAGTTTACAAGTTCTTATAATAATTATAGAGGCAAGATAAATTACAGATTCAATTTTTTAAACTAATAATTTAATTAATCACATCATGGATAATGTTTAGAGCTAAAATTTTTATTCTGTATTTACATAATTAATATTGTAATTAAAAACCACCGAGTATTTTTTGTTGCGACTGAATGTTGTGTCCCCTCAAAATTCATGTGATGAAAACTTAACCTTCAGTATGATGGTAGCAGGACCTATAAGCTGCATATTTATAATGAACTTTGGGAAGTAATTAGCTTATTATGGCGGAGGCTTCATAAATTAGATTGGTGCCCTTAAAAATGACTCTTGAGAGCTCTTTCTGTCCACCATGTGAAGCTGCATTGAGAAGCCAGCAGTCTGAAACCCAAGAGAGCTCTCTCATCAGAACCCAATTACGCTGGCACTCTGCTGTTGGACTTCCAGCCTCCAGAACTGTGAGATGTGCATTCTGTTATTTAAAAGCCACTCAGGTTATGGAACTTTATTAAAGCAGCCTGAACTGCTGAAGACAGAAATTGATCATGAGAAGTGGGAGTGCTGTTGTTATAAATAACTAAAACAAAGTGAAAATGGTTTTAGGCTCAGTGATTGGTGGAGATTGATGAGTTTTTATGCAAAATGCTAGATTACTGTGAAAGAAATTTAAAAGTCAATTCTCGTGAGGGCTTGGAAAGAAATATAGAAGAAAACACTGTCTTCTCAGAAAATAATTAAATAATCATGAACAGAATATTGATAAAATATGGACAGTAAAGGTCATTCTGTTCGAGTCTCAAATGGAAATGAATATGTTATTGGAAAATGGAGCAAAAGCAATCCATGTTGAAAAGTGGAAACAAACTTCTTTGAATTGTATTCATGTTCTTGTGTTTTGCGGAAGGTGGAACTTACGTGCAGTGAAATTGGATATTTAACCCAGCAGATTTCTCAGCAACATGTAGAAGCAGCAGCTTGGTTCCTTCTGAATCCGTAGAGTCAAATGTAGAAAAAGAAAAAGGTTTGAAGATGGAATGGTTAAGGAAAAAGTAACCATAATTTAAGATCTGGGAAATTCTCAGCCTGTCCATATTGCAAAAAAAGTGAGAACGTGTGTTCTGAAGAGAACATGAGGAGTGTTTCGGACCCTTACTGATTTGATTAATATGGGTGTGAACCATAGGCTTAATCAAACATCTCAACACAAACCATGACTAGAAATGGGATTATACCAGGAGAAACACTGCCAGTTGGGACTAAAGGAAACAGATAATGGGATGAAATAAAGGAAGACATTCGGAATGCTTAAGCCCTACAGGCCTGGACCCGAGAGCAGAGAGCTATTCAGTTGTGGATGTGTGCTATTCTATTCTTCAAAATTAAGGAAGGGGGGCTCAAAGGGGATTTGGAGACAATTACAGCTGCTACTTTTAGCAAAAATCCAGAGGGTATGGCAAGGTGGGCCATGGTTGCCTCCATTCTGATTTCAAAGGACAGAAATGATGCTCAGAGGAGCTGTGTGGGAGGGCCATCCAGTGAAGCCCTGGGTGAGTGACCTCAGCCCTGACAAAAAACTGTGCCATAAGTGGGTCCAGTGCATAGAGTCAGCAGCGAGCAGTGCCTCACTGAGCTGTCGGGGACTGTCTGGAAGGTGAGTCATCAAGCCAAAGAGGATGCTTCTTGAACCTTAGGATTTGATGGAGTTTGCCCTGTTAGGTTTTAGATTTACTTGGGACACAGCATTCATTTATTTTATTTTTTTTGAATAGCGGTTCCTTTTGGAATGGGAATGTTTATCCTATGCCTGTCTCACCATTGTATTTTGAATGTTCATATTGTTTGATTCCACAGGTTCACAGATGAAGAGAAATTTTGTGAGAATGAACTGTACCTTGAATCTCACCTACATCTGATTTAGTTAATACTTAAATAAGACCTTGGACTTTAGACTGGACTTGAGGCTGGAATGAGTTAAGACTTATGGATTTGTTGGAATGGAATGACTGCATTTTGCATGTGAAGACATGAATTTTGGGGAACCTGGGGCAGAATGTTATGGACTGAATTTTTAAAGTGTACCCTCAAAATTTCTATATTTAAATCTTTTTTTTTTTTTTTTTTTTTTTTTTTTTTTTTTTGAGACGGAGTCTCGCTCTGTCGCCCAGGCCGGACTGCGGACTGCAGTGGCGCAATCTCGGCTCACCGCAAGCTCCGCTTCCCGGGTTCACGCCATTCTCCTGCCTCAGCCTCCCGAGTAGCTGGAACTACAGGCGCCCGCCACCGCGCCCGGCTAATTTTTTGTATTTTTAGTAGAGACGGGGTTTCACCTTGTTAGCCAGGATGGTCTCAATCTCCTGACCTCATGATCCACCCGCCTCGGCCTCCCAATTAAATCTTAACTGTCAGTGTAATGGTATTAGTATGTGGGACCTTCAGGAGGTAATTAGGTTGTGATAGTAGAGGCCTCATGAATAGGCTTAGTGTTCTTACAAAAGGGACCTAAGAGAGCTCTCACTTCTTTCCCCATGTGCTTATACAAAAACCTAACAGTCTGCAACCTGCAAAAGGGCCCTCCCCAAAACCAGAACATCCTGGCACTCTGACTTTGGACTTCCAACCCCTAGAACAGTAAGAAATACTTTTTTTTGTCATCTATAAGCCACTCAATCTATGGTATTTTGTATAGCAGCCCAAACTAAGACACTCCTCTACACTACAGTGTACACCACATTCTTCTGCCTCTTAGTATGCTTCAGTCACATTGAACTATATTTTGTTTACTAAACACGACAAATTTATTACTGCACTATGGTTTTGCCATATAATTTTTCCTGCCTTTTCAAACAGAAATTATTTCACAGCATACGCAGCTATAGGCAATTATCTAGCTTATGTATAAAATTACTTTCCTGATATTTGTCTCATTATTTTTTGCTTTTAAATGTTTTAAATAAACAAATAATAATTGTTTTGAGGGGTGCATATAATGTCTTCATGTATATTTAAATTGTGGAATGATTAAATCAAGCTTCTTAAGACATCTCATGTCACGTATTTACCTTTTTGTCGTGAGAACACTGAAAATAGACTTTTTAGCAATCTAAAAAAGGCAAACCCTTAAAAGTAGAGCGTAGAGCGTAGAATGCTAGTTAATGCTGGAGGCAAGGGATAGGGAATGGGGAGATGTTGTTCACAGGGTACAGTTTCAGTTAGACACAAAGATTGAGTTTTAGAGATTGACTTTATAGCAGAGTGACTATATTTAAAAATGATTTATTGTACATTTCAAATTTTCTATTTAAAATACACATAGTATCTGTATTCCCAGTTCTTAAAACGTGACCTATTAAATAACAGATTTTCAAGACTGAATGATTTTTTTTTACCTTGTCCTGATCTCTAGATTTTATTCAAACTTTATCTCATTAATTGCTAATTCTCTCTTTATGAATGTTAAATACTTAAAATAGCACCAAACATAACTAAACAAAACAAGAACAAAATGTTTTTTATTTCAAATGGCATGTTCCATTGCGTTCTAAGACTGGACTGTCTTGGAGATAAAGAAGACTTCATTATTTTATATAATATTCCTTTGAGAAATCCTGAGCTCTGTGCAAAAATGACATACTTCAATTTTTTTTGCTTATAATTTTATCACTCCATAGAGCCCAGATCGAGTTCCTAAGTTCTCACTAAGGCACATGGGTCTAATTCCATTACATTTTTGGCCTGTGTCAATTAATTTTCTTTTCTCAGATAATAAATTTACACTCCTATTCCACTTCTGAGCAGTTAGACATTTTCAGCATGGAACATTCTATTAAAATGAAATGGCAAATTGCCTTGTAGCACACACATTTTCAAAGAATGTTTTTGTCTGATAATTTAGTTCTTATGAGTTTCTTTCCAAAGTAATCCATTTACACAAAATACATTATTAATTTTGTGCATTTATAAACTACACATAATTTCAAAGTGATGTCATTGTTCCACAAATATATCTAGGTTTCAAAGTGATTGATTAAATTCTGTTTAAAATTTTGCACAGAAGTGCAGTATATAATCACATTTTATATCCCTCTGTGCAGGATATAGTTTTCTAAATCACACTCCATTGTCAGGAGCATGTTCATCTTCCATACAGAACACACTGACTGAAAATAAGATCAAGTCTGCACATTTGGGATATAAATTTTTGAGATTACTGCTCTTGGTATAATATATCTCTCTTGTACTTGAGCCTCTAGATCTTGCTGTTTTTAACACTTTTGTGCTTGCAAGATTTATGCATCTGTATACTTTGTTTATATTCAGCAGTTAAGTATATTTTGTCCTGTTATCATGACTCAACCTGTAATTTGTTTCAAAAGTACAACTAAGGTTTTAAACATAATTATAGTGTAATCTCTTTAAATTTTGCTGCATTATCACTCAGAATGAGAAAAATCTAAATTAAAAGTGTGTGCACACGTATACACATTTTTCAATACACAAACTTAGGTATCATGTTAGATTCATCACGATTTGAAAATGAAATTTGATTATAATACTTGCAAGATGACTTACAAGTTAATATTTATATGTACACTTATAATTTTTACAATTTTTAAAACCATCAAATATGTTAGTTTTCTTTGATTTCTAATGATAACAGTAGAAATACCTGGCCCCGGTTATCATATCTGGTTGTTATGATCAATTGAAATAATATATGCAAAAGCAAATACATTTTAAAACTTTTTAATATTAACTTTTACTGTTATGTATTCTGAATAATGCAGTTTTATAGTTAATTATTATAACATGACACAAATGGTAGAGATTTTGATACCTATATTTTTAATAAAAATGTTCAAAACCATATTTCTCAAAATGTATCATGCTGTAAGGTTGCAACAGCCCTCTCAAATAGAGTTCTGCCTTTCTCTTGCCCTTTAAATTAATGCTATCTGAGAGTGCAACAGAAGGCCCTCATTACGTGCTGGTATCTTGATCATTGACTTCCTTGCCTACAGAACTATCAGAAAATAATTTTCTATTTTTTATAAATTACCCAGTCTCAGGTATTTTGTTACAGCAGCACAAACAGACTAAGACATAAAGTGTAAAATTATCCTTCCATATTGCTGCAAGTGAAATTATTTTATTTTTTATAGCTGTGTAGTATTCATTGTGCATGTATGTGTGTGTATATATTTATATATGTATATCACATCATTTTCTTTATCCAGTTATCTGTTGATGGACACATGTTGATTCAATATCTTTGGTATTATGAATATTGCTGCTATAAATAAATGAGTGCAAATATCTTTTTGGTATAATGATATTTTTTCTTTTGGGTATACACCCAGTATAGGATTGTTAGAGTGAATTGTGGCTCTTTAATTCTTGAAAAAATTTTCATACTGTTTTAATAGAGGTGGGACAAATTTACATTCCTTCTAATTATACTATAAGGCTATAGTAACAAAAACAATACGATACTGATATAAAAATGGACACAATACTCAATAGAGCAAAATAGAAAATCCAGGAATATAGTGACAAAGGCACTTTGTCACTTTATTAGTGGATATTTATAAAGGGACCTACCTACAGTCAATGGATATTTGACAATGCTGAAAAAAAAACATACACTGGGAAAAGGATATTCCCTTTAATAAATAGTGCAGGGAAAATTGGAAAGCCACATGCAGAGGAATAAAACTGGGCCCCTATCTGTTGCCATCCACAAAGTTAACTCAGGATGAATTAAAGACTTAAATATAATACCTGAAGCTATAAAAATAGTCATAGAAAACATGGAAAAACTCTTCTAGACATTGGCCTTGGCAAAAAATTTGTGACTAAGACCTCAAAAGCAAATTTAGCAAAAACAAAAGTAGACAAATGGGACTTAATTAAACAAAAAAGTTTCTGCACAGTAAAAGAAATAACTGAGGAAAGAGATAACCTGAAGAATGTGAGAAAATATTTGCAAACTATGCATCCAACTAAGTACTAATATCCAGAATAGACAAGAAATTCAAACAACTCAACAACAACAAAATAGATAACCCCATTAAAAAGTGGACAAAGTACATAAACAGGCATTTCTCAAAAGCCAAGACATACGAGTGGACAGCAAACATATGAAATAATGCTCAATCTCATCATCAGAGAAATAAAAATTAAAACCACAATGAAATGCCACCTTATACTAGTCAGAATGGCTATTTTTTAAAAGTCACAACACATCAGGTATTGATGAGAATGTAGAGAAAAGTGAGTGAATCCTTATATAGTATAGGTGACATTTTTATTTATAGAATGTCAAAATAGAGAATTACTTAAAATTCATTTGAATTATAAAATATTAAAATGTAGATTATGAATATTTTGTACTTTCTAAAAGTTTAACCACAATAAAAATCCAAACTACCACTATTGTGTCCATAATAATTCGTAATTGTATGTGATGATGTTGAGAAATCTTCCTAAATATTAGGATTCAAGTCCCTCATTTATTTTAATGAAAACATCATCTTAAAAGCATTTCAAGGAATATAGCTCAATAATTCAACAAATAACATTTGCAAATTGATAATCCATGTTTCAAAGACGTCAAGATGAACTCAAAGTCTATAGAGATACCCTTTTGATTCAAGGAAATAATGTTACCCTAAATGAGAGAAGATAGGGAAGACTAAGTCAAATGAATCACTTTTTGATGTGGTTTGGCTGTGTCCCCACCCAGATCTCATTTTGAATTTTAGTTCTCATAATCCCCATGTGTCATGGGAGGGACCTGGTGGGAGGTAATTGAATCATGAGGGTGGTTACCCTCCGTGCTGTTCTCGTGATAGTGAGTGAGTCTCACAAGATCTGATGGTTTTATAAGGGGATTCCACATTTGCTCAGCTCTCATTCTTCTCCTTCTTGCTGCCATGTGAAGAAGGACATGATTGCTTCCCCTTCCACCATGATTGTAAGTTTCCTGAATGTTCCCTAGCTGTACGGAACTGTTAGTCCATTAAAGTTCTTTTCCTTATAAATTACCCAGTCTGGGATATTTCTTCATAGCAGCATGAGAACAGACTAATACACACTTTATTATTGATTTACATTTCTATGATCTTCAGTGATCTTGAGTATTTTTTAATGTTTGTTGGCAACTTGCATGTCTTCTTTTGATAAATGTCTGTTTATGTCATTTGCCTACTTTGTAATGACATAATGTGTTTATTTATTTATTTATTTATTTATTGAGTTCCATGTAGATTCTGGATATTAGTACTTTGTTAGATGCATAATTTGTGAATATATTCTCCTGTTCTGTAGGTTGTCTGTTTACTCTGTTGATTATTTCTTTTGCTGCGCAGATGATTTTTAGTTTACTTAGGTCCCATTTGCCTATTATTATTTTTGTTTCATTTGCTTCTGATGACTTAGTCATAAATTCTTTGTCAAGGCTGATATTCAGTAAAGTTTTCCTAGGTTTTCTTCTAGGAATTTTATAGGTTTTTACATTTGAGTATTTAATCAATCTTGAGTTAATTTTTATATATGGTGAGATATAGGAATCCAGTTTTATTCTTGTGTATATGGATATCCAATTTTTCTAGTACAATTTATTGAAAAAGGTATCCTTTCCACATTGTTTATTAGTGCATGCTTTGTTGAAGATTAGTTGGTTGTAGGTATGTGGCTTTATTTCTTGGCTCTCTATTTAATTTTATTGAACTATGTATCTGTTTTTGTATTGGTACCATGCTGTTCTTGTTACTATAGGTTTGTAGTATAATTTGAAATGGGGTGATGTGCTGACTCCAGCTTTGTTCTTTTTGCTTAGAATTGCTTTGGCTATCTGGGTCATTTTTTCAATTCAGGATTTCATATAAACTTTGGGATTGTTGTTTTCTAATTCTGTGAAAAATGACATTGGTAGTTTGATAGAAATTTCATTGAAACTTTAGATTGCTTTGGACACCATGGTCATTTTTAATTTTTTTAAATCCATGAACATGGGATATTTTTCCATTAGTTTGTTTTATTTCAGGTTTCTTTCATCCATCTTTTGTAGTTCTTATTGTAGAAATATTTTACCTCCTTGGTTAAATGTATTTCTCAGTTATATGTGTGTGTGTGTGTGTGTGTGGCTATTGTAAATGAGATTGAGTTCTTGATTTTGTTCTCAGCTTGAATATTATTGCTATATAGAAATACTACTGATTTTGTACATTGACTTCGTATTCTGAAAATTTATTGCAGTAATTTGTCAAGTGTAGGAGTCTTTCACAGTCTTTAGGGTTTTCTTTGTATAAGACCATGCCATCTCTTAATGTAACTTCATCCCAACTTTTGTGGTAATTTTTTTCTTGCTTTTTTTTATAATTTTATTTTCTAATTTGTTTATCCAGAAATACGATTTAGTTCTGTTTGGTATTAGACTTGAAAACAGTGCAAATTTTTTTTCTCAACATTTCATTTTTGAAATTCATCCATGATTTTGCATAGTTCATTCATTTTTGTTGACGTATTGAGTAGTCTTAAGTTTCCAATTTCATTTTTAATAGTTATGCTTTTTCCAAAAATTTTATAATAATTAGTAGTTTTATCATGACTATTCCTATATACATATTCATATAAATGCATGACTAAGAGTGCAATTGCTCATTTGGAGGGCATGCCATCTTTAGCACTATGACTATTAAATAAATTTTTGCATCGATTAAGAGGGTGATATTCCACATGATCACCAGGACTGTGGATTGTCAGACATTTTAAGTAACTGTGGCTCCCCATACAGGATAACTTGGTTAAACTTGCTATTCACTTGGCATCGCTAGCATTATTTATTGTCATCATAAGAATGGAACCCAAAATTCTAGAGTTTTTAATCAATTATCAAACAACAATTAATTGAATACCATGTAAGTTCCTAACCTTGTGCTAGCCGTTGTCCTACATTTGTGATAAGAATAGATAAAGTGCCCTTCTTCTACCTAGCAGTTTAGACAATAAACAATGAGAAAAGAAATTAAATGTGTATTGTATGATAGCAGGTTAGTGATAATCACTAATAATCCAATGAGGTTATATGATACCAAAATATTGATTAGATCAGGAAATCACTGCTAAAGAGGAAATATTATTTATCAGTATGTTTATAACAGATGGAGCAATGAGTATAAAAGTCATGTGTTAGGGTATGCAAGGTGATGATATAGAGCAGAGTAATCAAGGCAAAGGATAATGGTAGGTGGAGAAGCCAGCTTATAGTTCTGAGCAAGATTATATCTTTAGCTTTTATTAGGTGAGTAAATGAAATACTTTTGAGATTTTCAGCTGGAAAAATGAAACTAATGTGAAATGTATTATATTGCCAGAGGTGACTTCCATTGCCTGGTGGGGAAGAGATTGGAGGAAGGATGGATAGTGGCAGCACACAGATACTGCTGAGAAGCTATTTTAGTAGTTCATGTAAGAGACAATCGTCAGATTTGCAATACATTTCCAGGTGAAATGTAATTGACTTTCTAATGGCTTGGAATGGTGTATATAAAACAGCTGGTAATGACTCCAAGTTTTGAAGCTTTAGAATATAGATTAATAATGGCTCAAATTACTGAGTGAAAAATTACTGGGAAAGAAGCAGGATTGGCAGGATGCAGATAAAGAATTCTGTTTTACTTACTAAGGTTGAGATGCCTATTTGACATTCAAGGCAGTTGCAAATGAGATGAGTGTTCAGGAATGAGATATCAGCTAAAGATATAAATTTTAGCCTTGTGCCCATATCTTAGCCGCAAGGAAGGATTTTATGAACTGCTGGTGAGACTGTAAATCAGTACAATCAATGTAGACAAAGAAATAAATGCATACACCATGTCATCTTGTAATAACTCCCAACCCCCAACACCTAAAGAAGAGACTGTATGTGTAAGTTGGGAGTGTATTGTGGAGTAAGAATAAGAAACAGGATGGGTGCTATAGGGAGAGAGAGTAAAATCTAGAACACATTATTAAGTTAGGTGATGGAATACTATATGACCATTCACTGAAGTGAAACAACAGGGGAAATATGTATCCATCAGCTCTAGGAGTTCCATATTTCAAGCATAGCCTCATGGATGCTAACTTCTCAATGTGTCTAGACAGTGCATTTATGAGTCCCAAGCAAAATGCCTACAACAATCCACACAACATTGTCTGAGAAATCCCACAGCAGAAAGTGAATTCTTGCTCTAGTCTGAAGCCACATACTATCACTTCCATCTTTATGAAACTGACCAAAGTCTACATAAAAATGGTAACCAAGGCTCTGACTGGAAGAAGATGTAATGCTGAGAGGGTCTGCAGTGATGTAAGATCCAGTACACCCTATGATTTTTAAATTTTGTTCCTGGGTTTATATCCTAGAGAAACTCTGACATATATATGTGTATATATATATATTTATATATATACACATTTACATATATATATATACACACATACACACACATTCATAGCAGCTTTTTGTTGAAATAGCAAAAAATGAGAAAAAAACTAAATGGCAATATAATGAACAAAAGGGAGCTGTGTTTTGATATTTTTATATGGTACAATGCTAAACAGCATTTAAAATAATTGATAAGAGTTATATGTGCCAACATAGATGGACATCATCAATGTCATATAAAACAAAATAAAGCAGAAGGTAGTTAGACACTTTTTTTTGAGTCGGAGTTTTTGCTCTGTTGTCCAGGCTGGAGTGCAGTGGCGTGATCTTGGCTCACTGCAACCTCCACCTCCCGGGTTCAAGCAATTCTCCTGCCTCAGACTCCTGAGTAGCTTGGATTACAGGCGCCCTCCACCACAACTGGCTAACTTTTGTATTTTTAGTAGAGACAGGATTTGACTATGTTGGCCAGGCTGGTCTCCAACTCCTGACCTCAGGTGATCCACCCGCTTAGGCCTCCCAAAGTGCTGGGATTACAGGCATGAACCACCATGCCCTGATGATAGACACATTTTTAACTTCTAAAAATATATGATCTTGATTCAATTGTGTCTGTGGAGACTTGCACGTATACTAAATTTTAAACAATTAGAGATATTTGTTCATTACCACATTTTAGGAGTCATTATTTCCTCTATGAAGAGAGAAAGGAATTTGATACAAGTTCACAGGGGCTTCCAATAGATTAAGACTTTTATTTCTAGCTGAGCCGCTGATAGATGACTTTTTTTTTGTTATTATGACTTTCATATGTATTAAAAATAAAATGAAAAAACAAGGATTAGGTGAGGAACCTATACGTCTCTAATATGCAGAATACCACAGAAATAATGACTATTGGGAAATTAGGCCTTAGGTCTGATGTTTGAACCATCCCCTCAGTGTTTCCCAGTGCTTCTTAGAGTATTTTGACCACCTCTGTGTTGGTGCTTTAGAACTAGAGAAAGCCGTTTTGTTAACTTTTTTTTTTTTTTTTGAGACAGAGTTTCTCTCTTATTGCCCAGGCTGGAGTGCAGTGGCACAATGTCGGCTCACTGCAACCTCTGCCTTCTGGATTCAAGTGATTCTCCTGCCTTGGCCTCCAGAGGAGCTGGGATTACATGCCACCACATCTAGCTAATTTTTTGTATTTAGTTGGTCGGGCTGGTCTTGAACTCCTGACCTCAGGTGATCCACCCGTCTTAGCCTCCCAAAGTGCTGGGATTACAGGCGTGAAACACTGCACCTGGCCTTTTGTTAACTTTTAGTTTAAGTTCAGGAGTACACGTGCAGGTTTGTTATACAGGTAAACTCGTGTCATGGGGATTTGTTGTACAGGTTATGTTGTCACCCAGGTATTAAGCTTAGTACCCATTAGTTACTTTTCCTGAACCTCTCCCTTTTCCCACCCGCTACTCTCAGGTAGGTCCGAGCGTGTGGTGTTCTCCTCTATAAGTCCATGTGTTCTTATCATTTGGCTCACATTTATAAATAAGAACATGCTGCATTTGTTTTTCTGTTCCTGCGTTAGTGGGAGCTGAGGATGGGTGGAGCTGAGGATAATGGTCTCCAGCTCCACCCATGTTCCTGCAAAGGACATGATCTTGTTCTTTTATATGGATGAATACTACAAAGTCTTCCAAACTGTTTTGGTTTTGGTTTGTTTTCTTTCTTGAGAAAGGAAAGACAAAATAGAAATAAAAGAGTAGGCCGAGCGGGGTGGCTCACGCCTGTAATCCCAGCACTTTAGCAGGCTGAGGCAGATGGATCACTAGGGGTCAGGAGTTTGAGACCAGCCTGAACAACATGGTGAAATCCCGTCTCCACTAAAAGTACAAAAAATCAGCCAGGCATGGTGGCACATGCCTGTAATCCCAGCTACTAGGGAGCCTGAGGCAGGAGAATCGCTTGAATCTGGGAGGCAATGGGTTGCAGGGTGTGCCGGGATGGCACCACAGCCTGGGTGAAAGAGTGAGACTCCGTCTCAAAAAAAAAAAATAAAATAAAAAAGGGAGAGAGAAAGAGTACAAATGTATGGCAGAAATCAAGAGAAGAGTTTGCTTTTTTGAATAACTACACCCTGGACATTAGTTTCAAGAGAACCGTCTGCTGGAAATATAACTATATGTTTAAGTTGATGGATCATTATTACACATAGCATAAAGAAAGTCACTCCTTGCTAGAAAGCCCTGTGTAGGCCATCAGGCATCACAGTGTGGAGTTATCTAAGCAGGCACCAAGGTAGGATATCTGAATAACTGATTTATTTCCATGTTTACTGAGAATATTCATTGCAACAAGTCAGTAGAGAAACAGTAAAGAGGGCAGGCATGGCTATGCTTCTATAGAATCTATTGAAGAGGAGATAATTTCAAATAACCCGATAAAGTAAATGAGTAGTCAAATTTTGAAAAGGACTATTAACTCACAAACAGGAAACTATAGTAGAAAATAGTTGGTTGAAGGCCGAATGCCCAGTTCAGAAAAGATTCCTCTGAAAAGCAATATATAAGCATAGACTTCGAGGATGAGGAGTCAGTCATTTTGAAAGAGCAGATGAAGAAAGTTTCAGGACAAAGAAACAGCATCTGCAAAGACCTCAACCAAGAAATCACACAGAAAATGTTGAATTTAATCTGTTGCTAGACAAAAGTGAGCTACGGATCATATGGTCTTGGATGAGGGAGACAGATGATATAGTTTGGATGTCCCGCCCAAATCTCATGTTGAAACGAGATCCCCAGTGCTGAAGGTGGAGCCTGGTGGGAAGTGTTTGGATCACGGGGTCGAATCCTTCGTGGCTTGGTGCTGTCTCCATGGTAGTGCACCTACCCCAACACACTCTCTCTCTCTTGCTCCTGCTTTCACCATGGGAAGCGCCTGCTCCTGCTTTGCCTTCTGTCATGAGTAAAAGCTCCCTGAGGCCTCTCCAGAAGCAGATGCCACTGTGCTTCCTGTACAGCCTGCAGAACTGTGAGTCAATTAAACATTTTTATAATATCCAGTCTCAGATATTTCTTCAAAGCAATACAAGAACGGCCTAATATAACAGATAAGCAGGGACTAAAGTCATCAAAATTAGAATTGTGCTTTAAATTTTGATTGCATTGAAAAGGCAGATGCTTTGAGGCTAGAATGAGGTAACAACTGTTTTTTTGTTTTGTTTTGTTTGCTCTTAACAAATTAGTCTGACTTCAGTCCATAGTAAATTGGAGAGGAACTGGTAGAAGATAAAAGAACTAGTAAAAAGCCATTGTAAATACTCAAGTTTCAAAAACAATTTTGTGGTAAGGGCAAATCCTCAGGTCAAGAAAAGTGTGTTACTAAATTCTGTTAGTTTCCAGAAGAAAGATAAAGTCATATGACACAGATTTTACTCCTTACGTTAGAGAGTGTGCTAAGGATACCATCCACATTTTCCAACATTTATTCCCATCACATTTTATGATCTTCATTTCTAGTCCATCCTCCTTATTTCTAGCAACAGTCTGTGAAATTTCTTACATTAATAGAAATAATTTATTAATTATTAATTAATAAATTATTAAGAAATTTAATAAGAAATAATAAATAATTAATATTCAGCAATATGCTAAACATTGTTGAAACATTGTCTCAATATTACTCTTGGAAGAGCTCTGAGGTAGACAATATTTCCAATATATGAGTCATGAGGAAACTGAGGAATGGAGAGATTAAACAACTTGTTGAGGGTAGCATAATTGTAAATGGTGAAGACATAATACAAATCCTAATATCTATGACTCTAATGCTTTAAAAAATCATTATATATACTACGCTGTCTCTCTGATGTGTGAATCTACCCAGTTCTAATTCATTATTTATAACAAGTATTTGTTGCCAGGTAGCATTCTAGGCTTTGGGGATACATCTTTGAAAAAGCTTATAGAAATCTCTGTCCTCAGGGAACTAATATTCTAGGGACTATACAATAAACAATAAGCAAAAATGTAACATGTATAGTGTGTTAGACTGTATTAAGTGCAATGGCAAAAAATTAAGAATGGAGAATGTCTAAGGGGACAGATTGTTTGGAATTTGAATAAAGTGGCTATGGAAAACCTCACTGAGATAATGGCATCTGACCAAAGGCATGAGGAAGATATAGAACGAACCATATCTGTTGCATGTTTAGTAATAACAAATAAACTACTGTACATGAAGCTGAGTGAGAAAATTACATAGTGGAAAGAGGGAAGTCCATGGAAGAATTGGGGGCTCCATGTGGTGCAGCACCTATAAAGCATTGTGCAAGTTCTGACTTTTACAATGAATGAAATGAGAGATCAGAGTTTTACACAGAAAAAGGTAATAACCTGATACATGTTTTAAAGTGATTATACAAGTTGCTCTTTTGAGGATGTACTGAAGGTTGCCTTATGCAGAATCAGAAACACCTGTTTGCTGGCCATTTCAATAACCTGGGCAATAAATGATGGTGTTAGCACCAGGATGCTAGCGGGGAAAGTAGCAAAAATGATCAGAATTGAGCTGTATTTTGAATATACAGTTAATAAGTTTTGTGGCATGACAGAAAAATGATTCCATGATATTTGTATTGAGCAACCTTGTTGATTTGATATTCAAACTAAGTCCTAATATTAAACAATGTAGGAATTTCAATGAAAATATGACCAAAGGGAGAAAATGGCTCCCAACCTACTGTAATTAGAGTTCCCTTCTGTTGTTTTAAAATGCTACTATGGATAGAGAAAACAAGATATGGATTTGGGAGAAAATTACCCACAGTCTAATTGTAGATTTATTGACTTAAATGTTACATGGCAATAAAATTGAAAGAAAAATAAGAAGAAATTCTGAAAGCCAGCATGTTAGATTTATTCCCTCCACAAAAAGAATTGCTAATATTTATAAAGTGAGATAATATGCCAAACACTTGTACTTGGCATAATTGCATTTTCTCAACAAATGCTGTATAATCAACATTGTTTTATTTGTATATGTGTGAAAAATCATGACACCTGCAGTTTAAGTTACATTTGTATGAAACAGTCAATATGTGGCAGAGCCAGAATAAAGCCCACATTTAGATGAAAGGAATTCTCTTTCCATTGCACAAACCCATATTGCCTGTGGAAACCCTAAACAAGCTATTTAAATTTGTTGGAATTCAGTTTTTCAACTTTTTAAAACTAAGAGTCCAGTTCTAAATCAAGTTTATGTTTAAATTGTTCACTTATGCTTAGTATGTACATTATTCCAAAATGTGAATTGGTCCCAAATATCATATTCATTCTAACAGTGGACATTAAAAGTTTAAAAGATATCTGTTATGTTGTTGAACTGATTATATTTTATCAGAAAGTGAAAGGAACTACTCAGCATATTTCTAATGAGTATACAGAGGAAAAGTATTTTGCCTCATTTAATTTTGTAAAATCTCTCTCTGGCACATAATTCAAAGTCTTTTTTTGCCCACAGGAATAGTGAAGCAGGTATGTATTAATTCACATCATAATACAAGAATAGGTAGCAATAAAACACTGGCATTTTCCAAATTGCCAGTATAAAGAATTGTCAGAAGAACATGGGTATTATCTTCAGATTCTCCAAGGGGTTAACCTTTATGTTATCTGTTAAATATGAATTATGTATTAACTTCTCATATTTCATATATAAAACTTTGTGCCTTGGTCCTGTTCCTCAGGATGACCTTGATGTAATCAGAAATAATAGTGTTCTTTACCAAAGACATTAATCAATAACTTTATAATATGAAGCACTATGAATATTTAATGGTTCAGCTTGAATAATTCAAATCCTGTATTACTAAAAAATAAAGTCAATTGAGTGACTGAGAGTTCTATATCCCAAAATTCCTACTCTGCTTACTACCTATTCTATTTACTATTCTCTTTACTATTTGAGAAGGATATGGAGTTGAATATGTTGCAAACATCATGTATCTTTTGTTCGATTTTCTTGAACACGTCATATTTTTTTTTAGTTCATTTTCTGAATATAAGTAATTTTTGGTGAATTAATACTTTAAACAAGAGTTCACCTGGAAAGCAGTAGGCTAAATTTCATTAAAAATATTTTATTAACATACCTTAAAAATTTAATAGGACAATGCATCAAAGAACAATTTCAAAATAAAAACACAGAAAATAAATGACCAGCAAAATTGCATTGAAGTCTTAAAAACAGAAATAAATACCTTAATAATCATAGGTAATACGGAAATCCAATGTATGACTTACCTATAGAAAACCCTTGTAAAATTTCATTTAAATCTAATGTCAATATGAACTATGTAGGAAGTCCATTAATAAATAAGAATATTATATAGGTACACATGTATATATTCATTTTAAGCCATATGCAGCCCTATTTGAAAATGTTAAAAAAGTCATCAGGATTAGTCCATTCTGATTATTAAAAAATAAAATTGTCGTTGCTCATTGTAGAAGATAAATGTCAGCTGTGCAGTGGATGTGTTTATAGCCACCCAGTAATCCTATCGCCTCAATAATGCATTTCCCTTTTTTTAGTTAAAAACTTAATTGCATTAAGAAACTGTATGTGTTTAGGAATATGAATATAGAAGGAGTAAACATCGTTTAGTAAAATAAGTTTTACTTGCATATTAAAATTTACTGTGTTTGTGAAGATGCTGATAGTACATTACATATGGAGATTCAAGTGTGCATAGTCACTAATTCTTTAAACTATGTTTGATATTAGTAATAATTTACATATATATCAGAATTTAATTGAAAAATACTAAATGACTGCTAATATACATTATTCTTCTGAGTTGCATTTTTGCTTAATGAAATAGAATTTTTAAAAAAATGTTTATTTTACCTTTATTCCTACTAGATTATACATTTCATTGGAACAGCATTATATGTTTATTAGTGTATTTGTTTACCTATATTAGAAATTGACTTTGAAATAAACCAGATATAATAGCATTGTTGTAGATGTATTTATTGTGGTAAAAATAATATTCTGCATCTGAGTTTTGAGCAAGGAGATTTTACAAATGGCAGAAAACTACAAGACCCTCTTAACTTATCTTAGAAATGTAAGTAAAGAAGATAAAAATTAAAATGATAACGAAAAGCATTTGGGGTATAGTATCATTGTGCTTCCCAGGAGAATGAGTTGTAAGTGCTCACTCCGCATTTTTCAGTAACATATACTTAAAGTAAGCACACAGGGGCTACAAACGCTACTTTTTGGTTCAATATGACCTGAGCAGTTAATTACTCGTAAGGGGAAGAAGCAAGAATGGGCTCAGGGAGGGAGACAGAGAAAGATTGGGCGGGGCGGGGAGGGAGGGAGAGTTTCACCTGTATCTAAAACAGATCAGAAGCAATTTCTTCCTCCATCTCCTCACTTCTCTATTTCTACTAATAAAAAGCGAAACCAGACAAAATAGATTATTGTGTCATTTTTGTTTTCTTATTTTGTAATACACAGAAAAACTCAAGCTGGAGAGGGAAATGAACAGATGCATATGGCTGGAAAGACTCAGTACTAATCTCTACAACGTTGTTTTAATAGAACGGAGACAAGACCACATACTTTCTTACAATAACGAGGATCAATAAAGACAAAACTGACACTTTGTAATGAATAACGATCTAAACACTCACCTGAGAAAGCATCTCTTCGTTGCAGGTTTTTGGAAATGGGCTATATTTTTTGAATCATAACCGATATGTACTGCCATAAACAAGAGGATTTCAAGCCAGCTCCATATGGTCGAAAATTATTTTATTTATTACTAAGAGAAAAGTGTAAGACAAGTCCTGTGGTAAAAACAGATTTATTGCCTCTGCTATTCACCTGTGTTATTTCTTCATATATTACCATTGACATATTTTATCCATTCTTCACAGCAATGGCTTTGCCGTGGCAAATTAAATATCTCATTGTCCTTCTCTGTCCATTTTGCATTATAATGTTTCTGAGTAGACTTTTATAGTTCTCTCACAGAATTATAGCAAGTCTTTAAATAAAAACAAAATTGAAACAAAAATTTTTGACTCAACTTAAAATCCCTCTTTATTTTATAATTTGGATTTTTGAGTAAAATATGCTATATCCTATTTAACAAGAACTTTCATATGTAATGTATCAATGGAATTACCTAAAGCTCATTTGGTTTTGCATAAAAACACAGAGTAAAAACATTCTAAAATAGACACTGGAATAAAAACAATGAAAGCAAAACTATTAATTTTACATTTTTCATTCAGGCAGTTTGATTTTTACTATATTATATTATTACATTAGGTATTAGAGTAATCATTGACTGCTTTCAAAACCCTGCTCCTTTCTAGGTGCAATGAAGAATTTTTATTTTATTGAAAAATTATCTTACAACGTAAGACTGTGAGTGATAGCAAAGATTTAGTAGACCCAATGTATTCTCAGATAAATGTAAAATTAGCAAGATATGAATTAAAGGGTAAATATAGAGTTTAACAGCATAGATCTTAAAATCCATTATCATAAGGTAGAAGGATGTATAATTTATCATGATTAAAATATACTAAATGTTCATATCACAGCATTCTGATTTCTGATATCTACAATTTAGGTGACATATATACATATGTATATATATAACTATATTATTTGATATTTTAAAAGATCAAAGAGTTTTTCTCCTTTCCCAGCATTACCCATCACTTTTCTTAGGCACTGGATGATTTTTGAAGTTGTATACATGACACATAGCACTAGATTTAAAAAGTGAAAATAAACTTACTGTCCATCAGTAAGGGAATGGACTAATACACTATGATTTATTCATACAATAGAAATAATGAGAGATACATAATCAAAATGAACAACTCCAGAAATGAATGTTGAGTTAGAAAAAGAAGATAAATACCCATTTTAGAACTCTGATATATATATGATATATATAAATATATATTTATATATATAATTCTTTAAATTTTTATAGAAACAAAGAAGGATTGTGGCATAAGGCTTTGGTATCTTCTATTTTTATTTCTGAATAAAAAAGACACTTATGATAGCTATTATAAAATTTTGATACTTGATAATCTACATGAACAGTGCTGTCATTTCATGCACTTTCATGCATGTTTCAAATATTATATTATTAACATAATAATATAAATATATTATTAACATAATAATATAAATATTATATTATTAACATCAAATGACAATTCGTATTTTAAGATTTGCTTTGAAAATTTCCAACTCAAATTGAATTTTAAAGACTATCTGAATGGCTTGGCAGTGTGGAAAAGATTTCACACAAACTCCATTAGGCAAACCACAGATATTCTAAGATACATTCTGTCCTAACGACATTTCCTTCCAAGTGTGCAGATATTCTTGGTAATCTATATCTTTATCTATTTGGAATTTATAAAATCATTCTAAATTGAAAGAAGTACACATTAAGAATGTATAATTCTTCCATATGCCATTATTTGAACATATTTTTAACTAAAAATGTGGCATATGTATAAAATGCACACATTATAAGTGTAGAGTTCAATTAATTTTTACATAGTGAAACTTAGACACTTAAACAACTGCTACAAAGGTCATAAAACAGTACTTCAAAATGCCTATCCTTCTCCTGACTTATCCTTATGTTAACAGCATAGTGTGTGTGTGTGTGTGTGTGTGTGTGTGTGCGCGCGCGCGCGCGCACGTGTGTGCGTGCGCGCTTTGGTTGTAGTTAATATATGATGGAGAAGTGAGAATGCGTGTTTATGTAGTTGTGTGTGAGTGTATGTGTGCATATGTGTGAGTGTGCATGAGCATGTCTTCTATAGCTCAGCCGAACCTTATATTGATGGGAGTCATTGAGGTTGTTGCTTGTAGCAACAGTTCACTCGTTTACATTGATTTGTAGTTCCTTGTTTATAAATATATCACAATTGATTTTTTCATTATATAATTGATGGGCCTTTGGCTTGTTTCCAGTTTTAAAGCAAATATAAATAATGCTGCTATATGCATCTTTTTGCCCTTGATGAACACAAGTATGCATTTATGTTTACTACATACAGTTGAATGGAACTCTAGTGCTGGGTATTTACCATAGATAATGTCAAATTTTGATTTTTACTTGTCACATTCTACCTCCATCAGCAATAAATGAACTATTATCAGTCCTATTTACTTCAACAAACTGGTAGGTTTGTAGTGTTTTCTCCTTCTGATTTTTTTCCCATGGTAACTATTACTTGCATTTCCTCATGATTAATGGAAACCTTTTCATACATTGACTGCCAATTTAGATATTCTTCTTACTGAAGCGCTTCATCAAGCACCTGGCCCATTGTTTGTGGAATTCTCTTTCTTTGCTTGTTTATTTGCAGAAATGTATGTATTTTTCTGACTATAATTTTTTGTTAGTTATTATTATTTTCCAGTTACTGGCTTAAATTTTTACACGCTCTTAATTATTATGTACATATATATATATCTTAACTATTCTGTATGACACACACTCATATAATATATACAAAGATTATATACGTGTGTGTGTTTGAGTAATTGACACAACACTATTTATTGCACAGATCAGCTTGGCTCTACTTTCAAATATCAAATATCCATATATGTATGAGTCTGTTTCTAATCAGATTAGTCAGATTACTCAGACTCTAATCTGTTCTATTGCTTTACTTGCTTATCCTCAGTTCAAAATAAGTCTTCCTGATTTATTTTCCAATACATGTGACAGCCTTTAGAAAAATCACCCAAATTTTTATTTCTTTTAAGTTACTGCCTTTGCTTTGTTTGCTTTTTATGTTTTAATATATATTTTACAATATCCACAAAAATAACCCAACAGTCATTTTATTTCTGATTGTACTGAATGTTTAGAACAATCTTAGCACATTTAATACTTAACAATATTGAATCATTGATTTCAGGGACATAATACTGTCCTTGATTTATTTAGATCTTTTCAAATGTATAGCAATAAGCTTTATAGTCTTTAGTGCAGAATATGTTTACATCTAATATTCATATGCTTAGTTTTCCTCAATGTACTGCTAATACCATTTTTCTCTAATTGTTTATGGTATATACACATTCAATTGATTTTTTGCACCTCAGACTTATATGGAAATATTTGATAAGCATATTTTGTAATTAAAATGATATATAGATTACATAAATTTTATTATAAATTATATGAATAAATAATATTTTTTTTTTTAATTTTTTTTTTTTTTTTTTTTGAGACGGAGTCTCGCTCTGTCGCCCAGGCCGGACTGCGGACTGCAGTGGCGCAATCTCGGCTCACTGCAAGCTCCGCTTCCCGGGTTCACGCCATTCTCCTGCCTCAGCCTCCCGAGTAGCTGGGACTACAGGCGCCCGCCACCGCGCCCGGCTAATTTTTTGTATTTTTAGTAGAGACGGGGTTTCACCTTGTTAACCAGGATGGTCTCGATCTCCTGACCTCATGATCCACCCGCCTCGGCCTCCCAAAGTGCTGGGATTACAGGCGTGAGCCACCGCGCCCGGCCATATTTTTATTTTTTACATTCAATTTTTGCCTTATTCTACTGTCCATAAGTTCTAAAATTAAGTCTAGTAGAGATAATAGAAACAGACTTCCTGTTGCCTTTCTTTGTTCAGAGAAAAAGCTGCTTTTTAAATTTTTTTATGTTAGTATAATTTTTTTAAGCTGGATTTTACAAATATTATTTCCAGGATATTGAAATTCTCTTCTGTAAATGTGAATTTTTTAATAGAAATGAGAAATAAATGTATATAATGCTTTTATTGGTTTTTAATTTTCTGATCACATATATTTTTTTTCCTGACTAAATCATCATCATACAATTACATTGATAATGTTCTGAATTTCAAAGGGCTCTTCCCTTTATGAACTAAGTCCAATGTGTTTATGGTGCATTATTATTCACATATTGTTCAAAATATTATATTTAGGAATTATGCACACATGATTTAGACAGGAATTAACCTGTAGTTATCAGGTGTTTCTTTTTTATTCCTGATCTTTGTAGAGTTGTGCAATTATTCACATGCTTTTTTTCACTGAATATTTTATATATTTCACTAGATAAATGCATTAGGTTTTCCTGTGGAAAGTTATTTAACATATTCAATTTCTTCACTAGATATAAAACTATATAAAACGTTTATTATTTTTATCATTTTCAAATTGAATTGAGTTTTAGGATTTTTAACTTACTGAGATATCTAACTCAAAATCTCTGTATCTTGTTATATACTCAAAGGCTCAGATCCAAATATGATAAATTTGAGACAGCAATAATTCATCTTTACCCATTTCGTTCAAAGTCTTCCACTAATTTTTTTGAGTTTTTAATGCCATCATATTTTATGCTTTTTATCACTGAAATATGATTCAACACATATAAAAATGTACATGTTATATGGTGAGGCATTATTTCTCGGTTATTTAGGCAGATTGTTAATGATTCATCAATGTTTTGATACATGATTCTGATTTCTGCTTTTATCTAAACTAATTAACTTTTGATAGAAAAACTAAAATAATAATGTATTTGTGGCTAAAATACAACATAGTATCTTAAATGTTTTTGTGGCGGTTCAGTTCTAGTGGTGCTGCAGCTCCTTGCATGCGTATTGCAGAAAATGTGAGACAAATATTACCCATATCATTTCATGTTAACATCACAAAGAAATTCTACGGAATATTAACAGGAACAGATTTGAAGTATACGTGTTTCTGAAGATTCTAATGTCCCTGTAAATATTAATAATTGGATAGAAACCAGCATCATTCATCAATGTTTCTTTAATATTAAAAGAGAGAAAAAAATCAAAATATAGGAAATTATGGGTCCTATTGTGATTCAGCCCTAAAGGTTCTATAGCAAGAGGCACGATTATATGAGCCAAAATGTTGTCTTAATTCTTCTCTCCCACCTCAATGCCTAAAAGGAATATCGGTCACCTGTATTTGTTATTGACACATATTTTTCTTTTGGCCAGTCATTTATTCATAGAGATGCACGCTATCAATGACCATTTTAAAAAATAATATAAATATTTGGAAAATGGAAAGAACAGTTAATTTGGTAATATTAAGGAAACCGTAAAACACACCCAGGTCTTTCCACACTTAGCAGTTCCATCACTGTATGTAATTGCTCTGTATCATGTCAGTTATTTTAAACTCTTTAGACTTATTCTAGTCCACATGAATTGTTTTTAAATAGTATTAGGTGGCTAAATGTGCTGACCTGTATTATCACTGCATTTTTTTTCCTCCTGGAGCTCATAACAATGTAAGCATTTCTGCAGAGTCTATACAAAGTCACAAACAAAGTCACTGGGCTGGAGCTTGTCACCCAATAATCGACTCTGTCATTTATGAGTTCCCACTTTATGGCATTACTGAAATGCTTTCACCTGAACCATTACTGAGCAACCTGAATTGTGGGGATAAGTCTGCCACTGTTTTCTGCATACAATGACAGATCATCTAAGGGTGAAAGAGTCTCGGTGGGAAGAGAGCAAGTTCTGTCACAAGCCTCCCCTCTCCCTTTGTATATGCATGCCTGAGTAGGATGAAACTCTGCTTTCTAACAGTGTTATTTGTTGGAAATTGTTACTCCATTGCATTTATCACTCACAATTTGACAATTCCTCCTACAATGTAGTTGCCGCAGTGAACACACACACACTCCTGTGGAAATTGCTGTCAGCGAAAGAGAGTTTATTTTCTTCATGTTGATTCTCCATTCCAGCATCTGTGTGCTAAGCACTCTGTCAAGCATTGTGCATTCATTATTTCATTTAGTTCTCACAGCACCCCTAACAAATGGGTATTATGATCTCCTTTTTAAAATGCCCAGGTCACAAAGCCTGAAAATAGTGCAATAACTATTCAACACTGCATTTCCTTAATTCCAGGCTCTCTGCCTTTTAAATGGGCTACCATATCTCCAGTGTGTGTGCATCTAATATAATAATAATGCAGAATTTGCTTGGCATTTTAAAAAATTGTGAAACAGATATACCACAGCTATATATAACTTAGATGTACAACTAAATAATAATAAAGAAAACAATATATTCACATATCAGCTAAATATCTTAGAAGCCCTTGTTTGTCCCTTATGGGCTTCATTCACCCAATAGTAACCAATTATTCTGAATTATGTGATATTAAATCTCTTTTCTTTACGGTTTTACCATCCATATTTTAAAGTATACATATATTAAAACTATATAAAACTGTGTATGTATGTTACATAGTTTTGCCTGTATTTTCTTTTTCTTTCTTTTCTTTTCTTTTTTTTTTTTTTTTTTTTTTTTGTTTGACACAGAGTCTCACTCTGTCACCCAGGCTGGAGTGTAGTGACGTGATCTTGGGTCACTGCAAACTCCTCCTCCCAGGTTCAAGTGATTCTCTTGTCTCAGGCTCCCGAGTAGCTGGGATTACAGGCGCATGCCACCATGCCCAGCTAATTTTTGTATTTTTAGTAGAGACAGGGTTTCATCATATTGGTCAGGCTGGTCTCAAACTCCTGACCTCAGGTGATCCGCCAGCCTCGGCCTCCCAGAGTGCTGGGATTACAGGTGTGAGCCACCTTGCCTGGCCCCGTATTTTCAATTTATATACACACGTTTATTATATATTATTTTGGGGCTTGCTATTCTCAGCCAACTTTGTGCTTTTGAGATCTGTCCAATTAGCTGAACACAGCTGCAGTCTACTGTTGATGGAGATTTGGGTGATTTCCAGTATTTTGCTATTATGGACAGTGCTGCTAGGAAACTTCTGATTTCGCGTCTACTGAAGCACATGGACAAGATTATCTCTGTGGCGAATACCAAGTAATGAGATTGTTGAGCCATAAAATATGCACATTTCAGTAGGATTGAGTAAAGTCAAATTATTTTCTAAGTAGCTGCATCAATTTGCAGTAAGACAAGCAGTTACTAAGCAGTTAATGAAAGTTTCTCTTGCACCATTATCTTTGCCAGTAGTCGATTTTGTCCAGCTTTGGAATGTTTACCAAGTTGATGACTATAGTTTTGATATACATTTCTCTGCTTTCTAACTTTCCTTTATTATTCATTCATCTTTTGTGAAATCCCTGTTCACATATATATTTTAAAATCCTGGTAGTGGTCTTCTTGTTACTGACACACACATGCACACACACACACTCACTCATTCCTATATCATGTATATTCTCTCTGGATACTTTTTGTGAGTTTCATTTGTGGAAACCATCATCTACTTCGTCTTATCATTAATGCTGCCTGTAGATGAACAGAAGTTCTTAAATTTACTGAATTAATCTATTATTTTCTTCCTTTTCATAACTTGTGATTCTTCTTTAAAAAATTATTTCCTATCCAAGGCTATAAATTCATCATCTTATATCATCTTATAAAAAATGTAGATTTGCCTTTCACAGTTATGTCAATGTACATACATCTAAGACCAAGTATTGTTTATAGTGTGAGAGAGTTATGTATTTTTCTTTCTTTCTTTCTTTTTTTTTTTTTTTTTTGAGACAGAGTCTCTCTGTCCCTCAGGCTGGAGTGCAGTGGTGCAATCTCATCTGACTGCAACCTCTGCCTTCCTGGTTCAAGAGATTCTCCTGCCTCAGCCTCCCAAGTAGCTGAGATTACAGACGTGCACCACCATGCCTGGCTAATATTTGTATTTTTAGTAGAGACGGGGTTTCACCATGTTGGCCAGGCTGGTCTTGAACTCCTGACCTCAGGTGATCCACCCGCCTAGGCCTCCCAAAGTGTTGGGATTACAGGCATGAGCCACCACGCCCAGCTATGCATTTTTTTTTTCACATAATGATCACTATATTTCCAATCCCATTTATTTATTAGTCTACCTTATTCCCAAGAATGTGCAAATTTTCATACAACAGATGACTGTATATGCATGAGCATATTTCTGTTTGGATTGTAATTTCAATTACATTAAATATACAGATCAGTTGTGAGAGTATAGTTGTATTGGCCGCATTTAGCCTGCTTGCCTACAAAACAATATTTCTATAAATTTTACTAGCCTTTTAACTATTTTGAATAAAGTTTTGTTTTTCCAATAATGATCATTAACCTATATTTGATATAAGGTAAATTATATTTTTTCTAGTATATGACATCTTATTTGTAATATTTTTGTGGATTCTCAATATATGGCTAAAAAATTTCTTCTTTTTCCTAATGTAATAAGACTTGAATCATGAAATGATGTATAATTGTTTGACCTTGTTTTTTTTTTTTCACCACCATACAGTTTCCTTTCTTTAATCTGTTAATGTGTAAAATCATATTCTATTGTTGAATTCATCTGGAATAATTCCTGGAGAAAACAAATAGTTCCTTACATAGTATTACATTATATTTTAAAATATATACTTGCATCATCTTTACTGATTTTGTTTTTATCTCTTTTCATTGTTGAGAAGCTTAACTCTTTTTATTTGTTTCTTCAAATCTCTGCAACAATATATGTTAGATTGGACTTATCTTTCCATGAATGTCTAGTGAAAAATCTATTTTAAGGTAATCTGAGACAGTTATATATTATGCAAAAAAAAGAATTCAGAAGTTACTGATTAAATTTCTTTTTTTTCTTTTTTTTAATTTTTTTATTTTTTTTATTTTTTTATTTATTTTTTGAGACGGAGTCTTGCTCTGTCGCCCAGGATGGAGTGCAGTGGCACGATCTCGGCTCACTGCCAGCTCCGCCTCCCGGGTTAACGCCATTCTCCTGCCTCAGCCTCCCGATTAGCTGGGACTACAGACGTGCGGAACTACAGGCGCCCGCCACCATGCCCGGCTAATGTTTTGTATTTTATTTTATTTTTTTAGTAGAGACGGGGTTTCATCATGTTAGCCAGGATGGTCTCGATCTCCTGACCTCGTGATCTGCCCACCTCGGCCTCCCAAAGTGCTGGGATTACAGGCGTGAGCCACCGCGCCTGGCCAAGGGATTAAATTCCTCTATAGCTAAATGTCCATACAAATTTTCTACTTCTTTACAGTATGCCAAATTAAATTATTCAGAGAATTTTTTCTCTTAACATAAGTTTTAAAAAATATTAAAATTTTTTGGCCAGGCGCAGTGACTCATCCCTGTAACCCCAGCACTTTAGGAGGCCAAGGTGGCTGGATCTCTTGAAATCAGCAATTTGGGACCAGTTTGGCCAACATGTCGAAACCCTGTCTCTACTAAAAAATACAAAAATTAGCCAGACATGGTGGCTTACACTTGTAATCCTAGTTACTCGGGAGGCCGAGACTGGAGAATTGCTTGAACCCAGGAGGCGGGGGTTGCAGTGAGCCGAGATTGCACCACTGCACTCCAGCCTAGGCGAAAGAGCAAGAGACTCTGTCTCTGAGAAAAAAAAAAAAAAAGAAAATTTTCAATTTTAGTATTATTTTATAAATTTAATATTATATTTTTATACATTTTCTATTATATTTATATATGCTCTTTTTTATCATTATTTATCTTTCCAAAGGTCATCTAGTTTGTTGAAACATAGCCCAAATGCTTCTCAGTATATCACTAAAAATAATTGAAAACATTCAAATATTTAAAATTACTCATAACAAAATATATAATCATTAAAGTCTGGAAAATTAATATTTATATAACTCCAGGTTTACATTAAACAAAAAGAAAAAAAGAATAGATTTTGGTCTCTTATTTGTTCTATAAATAAAAAGTTCATTCTTCTAAAGGTTGAGGCATAATACACAGTAAATATTAAAGACTGCAGTTAAAACAGGGAACACTTCTTTTATTCTTGTTGGTAAATGATATCACACAGTGGTACTCCATCTAAAGGCCTACCATTATTTTTCCAAAGTATAATAAGGAGGGTTGCTTGTGAATTGTCCTTTAGTTGCAAATCAATAGAATTCAAGGGCTAGATTGAGCAACAATGATCTGATGATCCAGCTCTCCAAAGCATTTCTCCAAGTAGCAGAAAGTCATAATGGTGGCAAAAAGATTAATATTTACTCATGGAAAGTGTTATGCTTATTACACAGAAAGTAATTTCATCCCAAATTTAAGAGCAATAAACATAAAAACATATATTTTTCCTTTTATAATGCTTTTATATTATATGCCTTGTGCTGCAAACATTAAACTCTTTTTAAAGATGAAAGAGACATATGACTTCCATTTTTCTTTAGTACAATTTTATCAGTATACATGCAGGAAATAGTTATCGAATGATGATAAGTAATTTGTTGTGGAATATTAATAAATTCAGGAAGTCATTTGCTTCCTCCAGAAGGTATAAATGTCTTGAAATTAAGAATATATTAGTAGAATAGTAATAGAGAGTAAAGAGTGAATCACTTTGGGCCAGGCACAGTGGTTCATACCTGTAATCCCAGCCCTTTGGGAGGCCAAGGTGGGCAGATCACTTCAGGTCAGGCGTTCGAGAACAACCTGGACAACATGGTGAAACCCCTTCTCTACTAAAAAACCAGCTGGGCATGGTGGTGGTCACGTGTAATTCAAGCTACTCTGGAGGCTGAGGGGGGAGAATCGATTGAACCTGAACCAGGGAGGCGGAGGTTGCAATGAGTGGAGATCACACCACTGCACTCCAGCCTGGGCAAGAGCGAGACTCCACCTCAGAAAAAAAAAAAAAAAAAGGAGCGAATCACTTTGAAATGGAATGGTAGGAAAAGTTATTTGACATCCATATGCAAAGGAGTGAAAGTTTTTGGGTCTTAACGAAATAGTTTATAATCTGTAATCTTTAGTTAAAAATTATACCTTATCTCTTCACTACAGATCAAAAAACACAAGAAGCACCTGAGGTCAGAGTTTCCTACCTAACACAGTGTTTTTCTATACCCATTACATCATAGGATGGATGCTTCAAATAACTCTTCCATTGTGTTTGCTGCCACAGGATGGAAGGAAGACAGAACTAGGAGAAAAATGTGAAAAATGACTAATTTTGACCTAGAAAAATTCTCAGGAAAAGAGAGTGAAAATTTGAGAGGCTCATTTGCATATTCCTACTAACTCAAACCCAAACCACAGGGTGGGAATTGAGTTTGGGAGAAGCCACAAATAAATGGAGAAGCTTGAAGCTGCATGATCAGCAACAGGACTGATCCTGGAAGATAGTTTCAGTATAGAGAGATGGTATGTTTGCAAACCGGAAAGGAAAACCAGATGAGCTTGAAGTAGTATTCTTGGAATAATTTGGCCTGTAGGTTATCTGGTAGATCTAGCATTGTATTTCTTTTCTATCTGGGGACATGAACCAGGAGCGTTATAAATGTCAAAGGCTGTATAATCAAGACAAACCAACACTATAGAGAGCAACTATGATTCAGCACAATCAGCTACAGGTTTTGGTAATAACATAGCACTCCTTAAACTAGGTGGGAATAGTTAAGCTCAAAGCTCACCAATCATGGGTAGAAAAGCACAAACCATCTGCATCTGAAAGCAGAGAGAATTTAGTGCTCATAGTTGTAATCTGAAGAATCTTGTCCCTTATGAAATGCATGGTCATATAAGCCACAGAGCTAAAACCCTACTTAAACTTTGAGAATTATGTGAAAGCAAAATCAGAGGTTGGGCACTTATATACAGAACACTTATTTCATCGAAGTAACAAGATACTCTCAAGGAATAGTGCCCCAAATATATTCATGTCCCAGTTTTCAGAAGTGATAAATATGTTTATATTACATGGCAAAGAGCAACTAAAACTGTATATAGAATTAAGGTTACTACTAATCATCTGACCTTAAAATAGGGAGATTATCCTGAATTATCCAAGTGAACCTAATGTAATCATAAGGGTCCTTTAAAGTCGAAGAAGAGGCAAAAGAAAAGGTCAGAGTAGGCCGGGCGCGGTGGCTCACGCCTGTAATCCCAGCACTTTGGGAGTCCGAGGCGGGCGCATCACGAGGTCAGGAGATCGAGACCATCCTGGCTAACACGGTGAAACCCCGTCTCTACTAAAAATACTAAAAATACAAAAATTGGCCGGGCATGGTGGCTGGCGCCTGTAGTCCCAGCTACTCGGGAGGCTGAGGCAGGAGAATGGCGTGAACCCGGGAGGTGGAGCTTGCAGTGAGCCAAGATCGCGCCACTGCATTCCAGCCTGGGCGACAGAGAGAGACTCTGTCTAAAGAGAAAAAAAAAAAAAAAAAAAAAAAAAAAAAGAAAAGAAAAAGGTCAGAGTAATGTGATTAGGAAAGACTCAACCCATCATCTGTGTCTCTGCCCAAGAAAGAAGGGCACACTAAGAGATAAGGAATGTAGGCAGTCTCCGAAAGCCAGAAAACCGAAGCGTTGCGAAGCAAGGAGGCACTCCCCAGGAGCCGCTAGAAAAGAACATGGTCCTTCCAACAGCTTGGGTTTAACCTAGGAAAACATCTAACATACAGAACCGTAAGAAAATAAATTTGTGTTGTTTTAAGCCACTAAGTTTGTGGTAATGTGTTATAGCAGCAATAGAAAACTAACCCCATACGATTAAACCAATACTCTGCATTATGAACTTGTTTATTTGATTGTTTCCTTTTTTGTCTCTATTCAATGGTGAGGTGTTTATTAAAAAAAATCAGATCATTTATAGAGAAATGACATGTAGTGTGAGTTTACTTGCAATTCTGCTGAACAGCTCGCAAAAATGGAGATATACCAAATTTGTCTTATGTTTTCTGTCAAAACTTCCAAGTGGCTGATGTAACTTCTTGAGTTTTCTCATGTTAGTTTAAAAAATAAAATCTGTAATTTGTCCTCTTCTATAACCACTCTATAAATTTCACTACTCTCATTATCTTTATGTTTAGGGCTTTTTTAAAATTTAAAGCTGAAGATCAATTTATTAGTAATCTCATGTGTCCAACTGGCTATACAAACTCAACATTTCTAATGCTAAGAAAATGGCATTCTCTTCTAATCTGTTTCGGGAGCACTGTGTAGTCTTAATATTGGATAATTTCTTCATTATTTACCCAGCTACTGAATTAGAAACCTAGGAACATCCATTACTTATAACTTTCTTCCTCCATGTCCACCTGGTCTCCAAGACTCTGAACCTGCCTTTATTTTTTCCATCACTTTTGCCAAAAGTTTCGATTATATTCTTATCATTTCTCACTTGGACTATTACCTAATAGTTGGCCTCTCTGTTACTACTGTATTTCCCATTTAGACATTTTCATGCTTTCATAAGATTCCTCTATCAAAATTCTGTTTTTGATATTAATTTGTTTGGCAGTCATCATTGGACTTTTCTGTTGCCCACTGACCCCAAACCATCATCACTCCTCCTTTACAAATTACAGAATTGTGATTAACTCATGCTCTATTCACCTTTGTACTGCAATGTCCAATCAAGGGGTTGGCAAAATTCATGTGCCAAATAATATATGCAAATACATAAAAATCAAAATAGCTGGAGCCAGTTATTTTCACAGTAATGGATCAGAGAGATAATAAGGTTTTTGTTGATAGTCCACTGCCAAAGGAGGAAGAGGAAAGGAATATTTTTCTCCCTATCTCCTGCAGCTGAAATTGCTCACATCAGCATCAATCTGCTTGGTGATTACATCCCAGCCTTTTGACAGCCTTAAATTTGATCTATGCTAGAGGACTGATATGGTTATTTTAAGAGTTCATTGGTAATTAACCTAAGATTAAGAAGAATAAAATTTGTAAGTAAAAGAACACACCTTATGTCCAATGAACTTCCTATAGCTTTCTTTTGTTCAGTGGGTAATGTTTAGCATTTTTATTGAAAGCATTCAGTTAACTCACCCTATGAATGCAGACACTGATATGATCTACTGACTAGAAAGTAAAATTATCATCAAAATTTTCCAAGTGATCTTTAATTAACTCACCTTTTAAAACAGGTTTTCCCTGGGGTAAATATAAGCAGAAAAAGTAACAGCAAGCAGTTCACCATTTATCTTACTGCCTTTAACCATTGTTTCTGAACTGGTCATTCTTAAAAGGTAACTATTTTTTCTTCTCTAAAGTTTACTTGTATTTGGTTGGCAGTTGCTTTTATTACTGTTTGTTTCGTGTTTGATGATTAGTGTAACTGACTTCAATTATGGCTCACTGCCTTGCATGGAACCTGGTCAAATTGGCATTCACTCCAAAATTAAATGGATCCTTGTTTAATTTCCCCTAGCTCTTTGTAAGGGGCAGAAAAACACAACAGTATCATAAAATTGTTGGCTTGTTGTTACAAAAAACCTTCCTTTTATTAAAAGGTTATAGTGTTCTGAAAAGTATTAGACTATTTTTTATATATTTTCTCTCTGAGCATCCACGTTATATAAAGTAGTATTAAAAAGCTCATGCTGGTGATGAAGAGCTAACCCTTGCAGTAGAAAGGGAAAATTTTCTAGGTCACTCTGCTTATGCTGTCTTAAAAATAAAAAAGAAGAGTGTGTTTCTATTAATACTTGGGAAATTTTGACATTGTATCCTGTGTAAGGTGTTTTTGATGGAAACAGAAAATATATTCAAACGTATGCTGAGGTTAAGATGGTGTTTCATAGGAGTGAAAAATCTAGACGGGAGGTGGATGCTGTGGGGAAACAGACAGCTTCTGTACATTGGGTAAAGCTTAACAGAATCGGGTATCCACAGAAAATCCTAATAAAGTAGTTAACTCTGAAGAGCATGGCTTTGAAATTCCAGGTTTCCGCTGCATGTTAGGTGATCCTGCTGCTGAGTGCTTCGTTCTGGTTGTACTTTTTAAAGACTGATTTTTCCAATTTCTGTTTTAACCATACCAAATTATATTAGCTCTTGATTAAGAGTTAAAATAAAATAACAAAACATTTGTTTAGCCTTATTATAATCCAAATTGTCTCCCATGTTAACTCTGATGAGGGTATGAAGACTTACCAACTTCCTCTGGCCCAAACCTAGGAAGCAAGAGAGTTGATCTTCAAGCCTAGCTTTCTCAATTACAATTCAGGAATGTTGTCACTGTAATATGGCCCATTACTTTCCTAAAGCTGCCATAGCAAAGTACCATAGATGTGTTTTTCACAATTCTTGGGAATAGAAGTCCAAGGTCAAGATGTTTGCAGGGTTAGTTTCTTCTGAAGGTCGTGAGGAAGATCTATTTCATGCCTCTTTTGTACCTCTGGTGGTTTGCTGGGAATCTTTCATGTTCATTGGCTTCTGCTGCCTCCTTTTTATCTCTACTTTCATCTTTTTTGTTTGTTTGTTTGTTTGTTTTTTAGACGGAGTCTTGCTCTGTCACCCAGGTTGGAGTACGGTGGCGCAGCCTCGGCTCACTACAACCTCTGCCTCCTGGGTTCAAGTGATTATCCTGCCTCAGCCTCCTGAGTAGCTGGGATTATAGGCGCGTGCCACTACACCAGACTAATTTTTTGTATTTTTAGTAGAGATTGGTTTTCGCCATGTTGGCCAGGCTAGTCCCAAACTCCGGACCTCATAATCTGCCTGCCTCGGCCTCCCAAAGCGCTGGGATTACAAGTGTGAGCCACTGTGCCTGGCCTCTGCCTTCATCTTAACATGGCATTTTCCCTACATGCATGTCTGTCTCTATGTCCAGATTTTCCCCTTATAAGGAACAGCGGTCATATTAGATTGAAGTTGTCAAATAGAAATTGCACCTAGCAAATTAAACAGGTGAGGTTAAGGTAGAGTTTTTTCAAAGGCTATTGCAAAAGAGGTCAAGACTGTGGTAATAGGGGACAAATTGGACTCAATCATGCAGAAATAAATGGCAAGAGTTTTCAGGCCCTGGGGTGAGCTAGTGGAAAAGTACTGTAAGACATTACAGGGAAGGTTAGTTATAGTAATTAGACCATCTGTATTTGCTAATTGGTGTTTATTGAAGTTGGGCCCCTCACTTCCACAGAGACTGGGAAATAGGGGCGTTATCCTTTTTGATAATTATATTTTAAAGAGATGGTTCCTGGGTCCTTGAGAAAGACATTCCTGGGGTAGAAAACTGGCAAGAAGCTGGGAGAAGATTTACATCCCAAAGGACAGGCGAAAAAAATTACAATAACAAGTTTTCTAAGTAAATCTAAGAAAGGGATTCCAGGGGCCTAGAGTCAGGAAGAAACTTGTCTAAAGTTTACCCAAACTGAGAACTGCTAAGGCCTTCTTAGTCAGAAAGCATCAAATGACATCATTTTTTTAAATAATTTGATTTCCTATGTAAAGACACTGTTTTTACATAGTCACATTCTGAGGTACTGGCATTAGAACTTCAACATATCTTTTTTGGGTGGACACAATTCAACCTATAACACATGGATATGTAATTTACTTACAAAGAAAAGTAATTCTAAAATACTTGAATTCTTAACATTTGGTTATATTTTAGTAACAGAATTGGGAAAGATTTGCAATAGAAACATATAAATTTAAGTGCCAAACTGAAAGCTATTTTTGATATTCTCTAATGTATATACGTAGACATTTTATGAAAGAACTAATAACAAGAATGAAAAGTAAAGTGTTTACCCATTATAATAACTTACATCACAGAAACAAACCATATAGAAGAAAATCGTATATGAAACACATAAAATCTGAGTATATTATCAAGGTAATACAAGGCTATCTTTCTGCAATAAACTTTAGCCAAGTTTTTCAATATGAACAAATACAAGCAAAACAAATTTAATTAGCATTTAATACACTTAAATAATGGTATAATTATAAAAATAACCTAAATTTACTTCTTAAGCATCAGATCTATAGGCCCTTCTCTTAAAAATTTCAATTCAAGCTAGATGCAGCAGCTAATGCCTATAATCCTAGAACTTTGGGAGGCTGAGGCAAGAGGATCACTTGAAGCCATGAGTTCAAAATCAGCCTTTGCAACATATCAAAACCCAATTTCTACAATAAAAATAAAAATTAAAAAATTAGCTAGGCATGGTGGCACATGCCTATAGTCCCAGCTACTCAGGAACCGAGGCAGCAGGATTGCTGAGCCCAGGAGTTCAAGCCTGCAGTGAGCTATCTTCTATTATTGAGCCACTGTACTCCGGCCTGGGTGACAGAGGAAGATCCCATCTTAAAAACAAAATAATTTACTCATAAGTTATGTGGATGAAACCTGCAAAATTTATGTTTATCATATACCAAGGTAATATTATTAGTGAATTTTAGCCAACACAAATTTCAAAGCCCATTTAAGGAAAACTTCAAAGGCAATCTTCTATTTTTAAATGGTAAAAAAATAAAAAAAGAATCAACATGTGGAGAAGTATAATTCTGCAGAAGTGCCATGGATTTGGCTATATCATATGTTATTAGAGCTGTCTGAGAAATTTGTAAAATAGTTATTTCATGCAGTAGAAAATGATGTAAAATTATCTAAATAATGATAGCCTTTGGAAATCATTTAGTAATATAACTTCTAAATAATCCTTTCTACGTAATATATGTATTGAACATTTGTAATATGCTAAGCATCAAAACTAAAATACTGTCACCGCTTTCTATCAGGGGTCTTCTACATTGCTTGGTAGATAATTTTAGAAACTGGCCGCTATTCCAGATATAAAAGCAGAAAGTATTAGTAATAACTGTGGTATGTCTGTCCACATAATTCTAACATAAAATATATTAAATTTATTGTAGGACTAATATATTTATTTGGATTTATTTTGGAGACAGGGTCACTGCCTATATATAGGGTATAAACATATTTTCTTGAGTTGAGATCATTCCGTGGGCCAAACATAAGGGGTAATACAAATCTCTCAGCTAAAAAATGTGGACTTGAGTTGGTAGTCTATAACATGAAAAAAGACGAGTGCTATTCTCTTGAAATTGCTCAAGAGAAATTTGTCTTGATATCGCTGGGAGGCTAGTTTCACTAGGGTAGTGAAAAACCTAGCCATATGGAGATGTCCTGAAAGCTAAAAAATAAGAAGAAAAGAAGCTGACAAACTTCTGCCACTCCTGGAGCCTCAGAAAGTTAATCACACTGTTTTCCTGGACTTTCAAACCATAAAATAGCATTGAAGACACAATCCAAGTTATAACCATAGACTTTATATAATACTGTCAAGTTACCATTAAGTTGAGCATTTTGTAGTGAAATTCGTGAAACAATACAATTTTCAAATGTATAGTGAAGAAAAAGTTACCTTAATGTCAGTCAGCACATATTAAATCATGTAGCATTTTTATAAGTAGATGCATAAGAAAAAATACATTATTTTTCAATAAGCCCATGTACTTAAATTTAAAATTTTTGTACAACATGCTGAATATTTATTCTATTAATGACATTTACAATACCTTTATCACCTCTTTCTCTCATTTTTGCTCTAAATAATTAAGTTGGACATTTTATCAAGTTGATAAGTTGACATAACTTAGTCTCCATTAATAGTAATTGTATTAGTCAGGGTTCTCTAGAGGAACAGAACTAATGGAATGCAGATATATATATATATATATATATATATATGAATGAATGTATTAAGTATTAACTCATAGGATCACAAGGTCCCACAATAGGCCGTCTGCAGGCTGAGGAGCAAGGAGAGCCAGTCTGAGTTCCAAAACTGAAGAACTTGGAGTCTGATGTTCCAGGGCAGGAAGCATCCAGCACAGGAGAAAGATGTCGGCTGGGAAGCTAGGCTAGTCTCTCTTTTCACATTCTTCTGCCTGCTTATATTGTAGCCACGTTGGCAGTTGATTAGATTATGCCCACCAGATTAAGGGTGGGTCTGCCTTTCCCAGCTCACTGACTCAAATGTTAATCTCCTTTAGCAACATCCTCACAGACACACCTAGTATCAATACTTTGTATCCTTCAATCCAATCAAGTTGACAATATTAACCATCAGTAATAATAGCAAATATTTATTGAATGCTTATCAAGTAAATTTCATTATTCTAAAGACTTTCCCTACATTGTTTTATTCTTCGTATTTTAGATTCTTTAAAATGAAGAGACTGACACATGGAGAATCTGAACATCTTTTTTAGGGTCTAACATCTAGTTTGTGTCATATACAAGATTTACATCCAGAGGATCTATGTATTTTATGGTAGAAATTCTCAACCTTTACACATAGTGTTTAATGTCCGCAAGTATAACACACTAAAATTGCATTTTTTTAATGCTTAGCACCCCAAATTTCAGGCAAGTAGAGCACTACAGAAATTCTTAATCTTCAAGATTCTTATACTATTTTGGCTCATTAGAGGCTGTAACAAAACAGGACAGTTTAGAGGTCCCATTTCACGTGGATAATATTGTTGAGTTTTTTTGCTTGTGTCTCAAGGATGACACTAGGAATTCCAATCGGTAAATTACCCAAGGAATTGATGCATTACACTATTGTTTAATCTAAAACAAATAACTAATTGGGAAACTGAAAGAGGTACACTCTTGCATCTTACTTTAGATATTTGAGGTCATTTGAATACCATCTAGTACCTATCAAACTTTACAATGTTATTTGTGTTTCCTTCTATTTGGTTTAGCAATTTAAAATGTTTATCGTGTAGGTAATTCCTGAGTGTGTGTTTGTTACTATGGCAGGTTTATTTTTTTTAGCCTGTAAGTTTGTGTCTTAAATATTATTTAGTATGCCTTAGTTGAGATGATCTTTTGTTGAGTTTTTGTAAAAGGCAAATTTTAGGCCAGGAGCGGTGGCTCATGCCTGTAATCCCAGCACGTTGGGAGTCCAAGGCAGGTGGATCACATGAGGTCAGGAGTTCGAGACCAACATAGTGAAACCCTGTCTCTACTAAAAATACAAAAAATTAGCTAGGCATGGTGGGAGGCGCCTGTAATCCCAGCTACTTAGGAGGCTGAGGCAGAAGAATCGCTTGAACCTGGGAGGTTGCAGTGAGCCAAGATCACGTCATTGCACTCCAGCCTCTGGACAACAAGAGCGAAACTCTGTCTCAAAAAAAAAAAAAAAAAAAAAAAAGAAAAGAAAGACAAGTTATAAAGCCTATACATTTGCAAAGGGGAAAAATCTGATAGTAAAGAAACTTTCAAACAATAGAATTTCACTTTCAATTTCTCCTAGCCACCCACTCGGACTCTGCAGGGGCGATCACTATTAATAGATTTTCGAGTAACTTCCCACAATATTTTTGTACATATATGTATTATTTCTTCTTTTCATTTTTATATTGTGGTAAGAAAACTTACTGTAAGATCTACCCTTTTAACCAATTTGTAAGTGTATTTGAACAGCATTGTACAGAAAATCTCTAGAAATCATTCCCACTGCATAACAGAAAATTTATACCTATTGAACAGCAACTCCTTATTTCCCCCTCCTCCTAACACTTAACAACCACATTCTACTCTGTTACTATGACTATTTTAAATACATCATATAAATGGAATTATGTAGTATTTTTCCTTCTTTCCTTGCCTTATCAAGTAACTAAATGAACTAAGCATAATATCCTCCAGGTTCATCTACATTGTTGCAAATGGCAAGATTTTCTTCTTTTTATAAGGCTGAATAATATTTCATTGCATGTATATACCACATTTTCTTTATTCATCCATCCATCAATAGACATTTAAGTTGTTTCCAAATCTTGGCTCTTGTAAATAGTGCTTCAGTGAATATGGGAGTGCAGATTTTTCATTGAGATCCTTATTGCAATACTTTTATATACACCCAGATGTGTGAATCATATGGTAGTTCTAATTTTAATTTTTTAAGGTTGCTGATTTATAGACAAGAAAGTGGCCTCTGTTTTGGAGAAACATCTAGTCCATTCTGGAGGACAGTTATATGAGTACATTGTAACAATTCACTGTGACAAGGATGTTTAGCAAATAAATAATTCCTGTGAAAGCTAAGAACAATCCACTCATAATATCCTTAATATTGGCACAATTTGATGTGAATGGCACATATTATTTTTCACAGAAGTTTCTGTGTGTTGGACTCAACTTTACATTGTTTATAATTTATAAATGCTTAAAACAATTAAATTTCATCACTAAATTGCATTACCCTTGCGACTTCACAGTCTCCCTCAATGGAATTCTTACCTTTTAAGTTTCAGGGAAAATGGTGCAAACAGGCTTGAAATGCCTAACATGTGGGTAGACCGATCACAATCCTTAATTACTTGAACTCTCCCCATCTTGATTGCCAGATTTAGTGTAAAAGGGTATCCTCTCTGTCTAGGATCCATATCCATCCAATTTATGGCTCTTAACGCTTTGCATTTCTTCACAAACCTTACGTAAATTTCTTCAGCAAGCATTTCTTCACAAACCTTATGTAAATTTCTTCAGCAAGCATTGGCTACTGTACCAAAATATGAAAATATAAGTTTGAGATGAATATATCGATCTTGCCATAATTCAGTTTATATGCTGGTAGGATAAACCAACATTAAAATATAATACAATATTAATTTGAATATATTTGTTGAAATCACCATAAAAGTACAAGGCTATTTCTACTCATTTACTTTTCACATTTATTTATTCTATCTTTATTATATGTATGGTTTCATTTCTTCACTATACAGATATGTTTAGGATATAAACAAACTCTATTTTGTCCATCTTATAAAGAAAACATATATTTATCTCAATGGAAAAGCAAAAAAAAAAAAAAGGACTCTTTTTAGCTATGTTCCTATTTCTCTGTTCCCCTGCAAACCACCCTTCAGACTTTCAGACTCTGTTGATCACCTTTCAATGCTTGGTTTATTATATTTTCTTTGTTTTTTCTACAACACTCACTAGAAATCACTTTTATTACAGAAACACATGTCCTATAATTTTCTGTCTGTGAGCATTGCAAGATTTTGTTTATATAAAATCCCAGCATATTAGATGTAATGCTATTTTTTTGTTTTTAACCCAAGAAATTTCAATAAAAATAGCAAAATAGAAAATTAAAATAGATATAACTCAGATCAACTCTAAATTACATTAAAAATTAAAGTACTTGCAAAGCTTCAACAGAAAAGAAATGACATAAGGAAAAAAAATTGTATTACTATTAGCCAAATATTTAAAACCAATTGTGGAATGATAAAAACCTCTTTCAAATTCTACTTTAACTATCACCATAATTTAAAACATCTGATGGCTAAGAATGGTGGCTCATGCCTCTAATCCCAACAACTTTAGAAGGCCAAGGCAGGAGGATCACTTGAGTCCAGAAATTTGAAACCAGCCTTGGCAACAGAACCCATCTCTACAAAAAAAAAAAAAAAAATTAAAAATAGCTGGGAGGGGACAGGGTGCACCTGTTGTGGTCCCAGCTACTCAGGAGGCTGAGGTGGAAGGATAACTTAAGCCTAGGAGTTTGAGGCTGCAGTGAATTATGGTGGCACCACTGCACTCCAGCCTAGTTGACAGAGTGAGATCGTCTCAAATAAATAAATAAATAAAATAAAATATTTGCCCATTAAGCCTTGGAAACAATCCTTTCTTCTTTTATGTGTTTGCATGTATGCATATGTGTGTGCATTGTGTGTGTATGTGTGTGTGTTGTATACCATAGTGGCCTCTATTTTTAATAGCTGATAGGTGCATAAACTTTGGTGTTAGCTCCCCTAGTGAAACGAGTATTACGTCACATTTTGCCACACATTTTCTAAGAATGTTTAAGATTCAATGTTTTTATCTGAGAATAAAGATAAGACATATATGAATTCTACTAGAGTATTGCTAAAAATAAGCTCTCAAAAATGGCAATTTTTATTTTTACAATGATTAGGGTTTTTTAAAATATAATTTGTATTAATAATATTAACAAAAATTGAAATACCCTTAAACCTATGTTTTTCTGTTGGAAATGTTGTGGTTTTATTTCCCAGATATTTAGACCTTGGATCTTAGTGCTCTAGGGAAGGTTATGATAGTTGTGATAGAGACAGGAGAAAGCCAAATGCCGCCCAGGTCATTGTGCACAGGGGGCTTGCTTAAGCATGCCCGTTGTGAAAAATTCAATCTCTTAACACATGTGCGGTAAGGGAAAGCAATCAATGTGGAGTGGCTCAGACTAAAAGCCCACCTGTGCAGTGGGAGAAGGGCGTGGAGCCACCGGGAATTCGCACCTTATGCAGTGGGGAGGAGCCTGGCCTGTTGAGCTCCTGGGTGGTGGCCTGGTATTCAATCTGTGAGGTGGGAGGCTGTTGGCAGGACCCCCTCTTTTTTTTGCTGAGCACTTTCTTTTAATAAATTCTGTTCTCCTAACCTTTCAACATGTCCATGTGTCTAATTTTTCCTGGTCATGAAGACAAGAATGAAGATTTTAGCTAAACTAAGGAGCAAAAAATCCTGCATCATTTGCACCATAAATAAAAGAAATAAAAGTAACCATTTTTATAGGGAGGAATAAAAGTGAGAATTGAGGCATAGATAAATTCTGCTTATTATTATCATCATCATTATTTTGTGAGAAAACCAGGTCCCACACAGCAGAGATGAGTATCAGTGGAAAGGAAGTAATGAAGTACTGATACATCATGTAGATTAAGGTGAAATATCAAGGAAGACTGTATGCCTTCTCTACCTGCCTTTTGAACCCCTTGAGAGAGACAATGAGCCAATAGGTATATTGTGTGTGTTAGAAAAGAAACTATGCTTAAAATAATGGCTTAGTATGTATAGAAGTGAATCACTAGAACTGGCTGTATACCACGTCTAGGAAGTGATGTAGCATATTTAGGACAAGCGATCAAACATAGCACTCCTCACACTATCCCTCTCCTCTTATGTGGTTTAGAAAAAATCCAGAAGTCCTCACAAGTACCAAGTATATGATGTAACAGGCATCTGGATTTGAGGTTAAGAAACTCAATTTCATAACTGTATGAAAGGGTGAGGTAAACTACCAGTGTAAGCTGCAAGTAGATAGTCTAAGCCAATGGCAAGAGTTAAGACTCAAATGATCTGTATTGCTAATGGTATCTGAGATAAGGGAAAATGATTAAGAAGGAGACAACTAGGAACTAACATACTAAGAACACTTGCTTTAAGGTGCACTAATTGCAGAAACTATAGCTGTCACTTTATTGGAAATGACCTGTTGTCTAATGAAATCTCAGATTATCTTCAATGTGGCCAAGGACTGGATTTACATCCTATCATTTTGTGATATTTGACAACTTATTTATACTCAGAGTAAGGAAGATTCTTTACCTGTAATATGAAAGAAGTAATTTGTACTTTTCTCCAAGATGGCAGATTAGAGGCTTTTAGTGTGCCTTCACCACTTGGAAATAGCAAAATAGGGCATAAAGATAAACTCTGTGAGCTTTAATTCAAGAAAAAAAATGGGAATCTGCCAGAATCATGAAGGATACCCAAGGTCCCAGGGAGAAGAATGCAGGCAAATAGCCCCCATGGTGACTTCCAGATGATAAAAGTGACTGAAGCTCCTGTATGTGAGAGAGGCAGATAGCTTTCCTCTGTGACTTACCTTTCCACAGGGGATCCTAGTAACTCAGGCCAAGGAACAGCACTTTGTTTCTCCTAATCCCTATGGCTAACTTAAGGAAAGGGTTGGAGGTGTCATAAGGGAAAGACATCAGAAAAAGCTGCAGACATTTTCTGAGACTCAGGACCCAGAGCAGAATGCCATTTTTAATGTGGGTTCACACAAAGTCAGCCATTCTTTGGTGACCCAGCAGAGTGAGCATGCAGCCGTTTTAGTCTTTTGCCAGAGATTGGAGTGCCTGCTCTGGAGTGGTATAGGTGTTTTCACAGCCAGAACTCCAGAAAATGCATCATTAGTGAGTGTTGGAATTGTGCTTGCCCCTTCCATGGGCCTGAGGTGGGAAAAGAGCTGCTACAGCTGCAGTTTCTCCTGGGCAATGAGAATTGCAGCCAAGGCCAGCTTGGAAACCTGGAACAGGTCTACTCCCTTAAGATTGTGGTGCTCTTCTGCTCTACCTACAGACAGAAATCCAGGCATTAGAATCACCTGCTTGCATGGAACAGTAGCCTGAGCCACCCCACCTTTCATGGACACAAATCATGGTGCAGCAGGGCACTCTGTGCTTCATGCCAGGGCAGATCTCCAGGCATTCAGAGAACCTGCTCACCTGGTTCAGCAGCCTAAGCCATGCCACCCTTCCTGGGCATAGATCCTGGGTCAGGGGGTCCCTCTCCACTTCCTGACCAGGCAGAACTCCAGGCATTTGAAGCATCTGCTCACATGATCAGCAACCAGAACAGCACCACCTTTCCTGTGCATAGATCATGGTGCAGCGGAGCCCTCTGCTCAAAGCCCAAGCAGATCTCCAGGCATTCAAAGTACGTGCTTGCCCATATTAACACTCCACCATTCCTATGCAGAGTTTCAAGTGCAGGTGGGGCCCTCTCTGCCCCATACCCGGGCAGATCTCCAGACATTTGGAGAACCCACTCTCCTGTATTAAGAATATAGGCCACCCCTGTCGCCATGCAGATAACTTGGGGCTGAGGAGGTTTTCCAACTCTACACCTAGACTCACCTGTGGTCACTTGGTGGTCACTTACTGAATTCTCCCTCAATGCTCATGCTTGTGTTTGCCATCAAGGGACCTGTAGGCAAATATATGCCGTCTGGCCCTGCTCAACTTGCCCCATATCCCCAGGGCTGAGAAGGGCCCTCAAACCACTGTGCACTCCATGAATCAGCCTGAGTTCACAGAGAGTTTCTCCCAGTAAACAAGGATCAGGTATATACCCAGCCTTGTTGGTAACAGGACTCTTACCATAAGCCCAATCTAACTGCAGAGATCATTATAAATCCTACTGACAGAAGCACACAGGTTGTAGAAGCAAAGCCAAAAGATCATACCCAGCTTTCTCTGTAGTCAAACACCCTAAGGAGAGGGAAAACCAGGTAGGAAAAGAAGAAAATAAATAATGAAGGGAAAGAAAGAAAAATTCTACTCAACATAAAAATTATTGCAAAAATTAGAAGTGTCAGCATCTCCAGATGAGAAGGAACCAGAACAAGAATTCCAGCACCATGAAGAATATGAATGTAGTGACAACACCGGAGGATCACACTAGTTCTCCAGCAATGATCCCTGACCAAAATAGAACTCAGAAATGACAGATAAAGAATTCAAACTGTGGATTGCAAGAAAGCTCGATGAAGTCAAAGGAAAGGTTGAAAATCAACATTAAAAAAACTTCTATAGCAATCCAGATAATGGAGGAAAAGATAAACATCTTAATAGTAAATCAACTAGAGCTTATGGAACTGAACAACTCACTTAAGGAATTCCAAAATATAATTGACAGCTTTATCAATAGCCTGGACCATGTAGAGGAAAGAATTTCCGAGCATTCAGAGCAATCATTCAAAATAAATCAGTCAGACAGAAATAAAAATAATTTTTAAAAATGAACACAGTCTTCAGAAAATATGGGATTCTGTAAAGTGGTCAAACCTACCAATTAATTAACATTCCTAAGAAAGACGAAGAAAAAGAAAACATCCTGGAAAACATATTTGAGGAAATAATTCAAGAAAATTAAGAACATTTTCCTAATTTTGCTAGAGAGGTAAACATCCAGATACAAGAAATCTAGAGAACACCTGTGAGATACTATAAAAACAAACTTCATCAAGACATATATAGTCACTAGACTGTCCAAGGTCAATGCTAAAGAAAAATAAATTAAACACAGCTAGAGAAAAAGGTTAAATAATATTCAAAGGGTACCCCTAAGGCTAACGGCAGATGTCTCAGCAGAAAAATTACAAGCCAGGCAAGATTATGGTCTTATTTTCAACATTCATAAAGAAAAGCAATTCTAACCAAGAATATTATATCCTACCAAACTAAGCTTCGTAAGTGAAGGAGATAATAATCTTTCCCAGGCAAGTAAGCACTAAGTGAATTCATTACCACTAGATCAATCTTACAAGATATTCTTAAGGAAGTTCTAAATGTGGAAAGGAAAGAATGATACCTGCTACCACAAAAATATACTGAAATACATACCCACAGACCCTACAAAGCAACCAAACAATAGAAACTACAAAGTGACCAACTAATAACTTCATAATATGATCACAACCTCATATATTAATATTAATCTTGAATTTAAATGGTCTAAACACCCCCCACTTAAAAGGCATAGAGTGGCAAGTTAAATTAAAATCATAAGACCCATCCATCTGCTGTTTTCAAGAGTCCCCTCTCCCACGTAATGACACCCATGGGCTCAAAGTAAAGGTTGGAGAAAGTCTGCCATGCAAATGGAAAACAAAAAAGAGCGAGATCACTATTCTTACATCAGATAAAACAGAATTTAAAGAAACCAACAATGGTAAAAAAGGACAAAGAAGGACATCACATAATAATAACTGGTTCAATTCAACAAAAGACTTAATTATCCTAAATATAACGCAACCAATATTGAAGCACTAAAATTTATAAAACAAGTAATTCTAGTCCTTTGAAAAGACTTAGACTACCACGCAATAACAGTGGGGAACTGTACAACCACAGTGACAGTGTTAGATCACTGAGGCAGAAAACTAACAAAAAAAATCTGGACTTAAATCCAACTCTTGACCAACTGGATCTACTAGATATGTACAGAATACACCATCCAACCACCACAGAATACACATTCTTCTCATCTACACACAGAGCCTACACTAAGATCAACCACATGCTCAACCATTAAGCAAGGCTCAATAGATTAAAAAATAAAAATTTCACCAACCATTCTCTCAGATCATGGTGGAATAAATATAGAAATCAATACCAAAGATATCTCTGAAAAATCATGCAATAACTTGAACATTAAACAACTTGCCCCTAAATGGCTTTTGGCAAACAATGAAATTGAGGCAGAAATCAATACATTCTTGGAAATAAATAAAAACAGGAACACAACATACCAAATCTCTAGGAGGCAGGGTAATTAGTATTAACAGAAAAGTTTGTCATGCTAAATGCCTTCCTTAAAAAGTTGGAAAGCTCTCAAATTAATAATCTAACATTACACCTACAGAAGGTAAACAACCAAACTTACCCCAAATGTAGCAGAAGGAAAGAGATAAGTAAGATCTGAGTAGACATGAACAAAAATTGAAACCCAAAAATTCACACAAAGAATCAATGAAATCAAACGTGATACTTTAAAAGTATATACAAGATTGACAGCGACAGCTAGATTAACAAAGAAAACAAAAAAGAAAACCCAAATAAGAGCAATCAGAAATGACAAAGGTGACATTATAACTGATCCTACAGAAATACAAAAAAGATCTTCAGAGACTAATATGAACTCCTCTATGGAGAAAAACTAGAAAATCTAGAGGAAATGGATGAATTTCTGGAAACACACAAGTAACACATCTGTACATGTGCCCCTGAATCTAAAATAAAAGCTGAAATTATTGAAAAAAAAGAAAGAAGTAATTAGCTCAAAAACCTTGAGATAAAAATATTAATTGAATAAACAGTGTCAATTCATTTAGCAAACATTATATAATTGAAAACATCAGTACATTCAAACAGAGGTACGGCTAGCTTGATGAGGTAAAATAAATTATGACTTTAAGGATTATTAGGAGTTAGCTCGGTCAATACAAAGCGTGGGCTGAAAAGAAGCTTTCTAGGAATGTAAAACAGAATAAAGATACCAGAGTTTAATGCATTATGATATGCCATTAATTTAATAGAATTGTGCAGAGAATTCAGGGTATTAGAGAGATTGCAGTTGTATGTAGGAGCTTTGGTTCTCGGACTAGAGAAAACTCATAATTAGACATATTAGGTAAATTAGCCAACGTTATACAACTATGTCATATTTCAACACTGGATGATAAAGTTACCTTATTAACCTTGAAGTGTGATTGCCTTTATTAATACTCTTGGGCCTGATAGTAGATCTCCAATGTTTAGAAATTTATGAGACAAAATCTTGATGCCATATTTTTATTAATATACTTGGAGCTCTTGGCAAGGTGTCTTAGTGTCCATAGAGTCTAAGTGATGAATAACCCTAGGCTTACAGCACTTCTGGTCAGATGTGTATCTTCTATTCTCTATGAATTTAAATTACCCTCTGTTGGACTACAGAAAACAATTATTCCTAAGTTAAATTAAGTCCCTCCAACAATTTTTTTAATTAAAAAAAATTCTATATCTGATCCTTTCTTCATATATCACATACTACCCCCCTACTCCAAAACAGAAGATCTCTCATGCAGGCTTGAGCAATAATGTCTTCCACTCCTGGTTTATTATAATTCGTTTTCTTAAAGCAACTAGATTGCATTTTTAAAAATACCAATCAGACAATCTTCTCTCTCTCTTTCTAAATGCCTCCTTGGCCTTCCAGCCTACCAGGAATAAAAGCTAAAATTCTTCCTGTTACCCACTGTGCCCTTCATAATTTGTTTTCTCATCTCTTAAATTCTCCCACTGGTTTATTTTTCTCCAGACCTAGTAGACATCTTGCTGCTCCTTAAACACATAAGGCGTGATCTGTCAGCAGGGTCTTTGCACTTGTTCTTCAGACTTCTGGAAACGGTTTTCTCTAAGATATTCCAACATGTTCTTTTTTACCTTTAATCACATCTCAAATTCGTACCTCTTCAGAGATAGATTTCTTTATCATCTCACCTAAAAATGCACCCTTTGCATATCTTCTTCCTTTATTGTAGATGACAACATACGCTAATTTGCATCTCCTCAATGTTTGCGATATCCATAATTCTAAAAGAGAAAGAAATAAAGAAAATATGATGGTAGAGAGAGAGAGAGAGCTAAACTAAATAAAAGCATTGAGCGAATAACACTAGCATTTTTGAACTATATTATTTTATTGGGAGTGAGTAAACTAGGAATCAGGATAGACAAGTTTAGTAGTTTCCTGGCAGAAATTTATTATGTTTAATGTTACAGTTATTTAACTTCATGCATTGATGAAAGAGTTGGCAAAGGTTCCTGGCCCATACACAATGTTCCAAAAAAATTGATAATAAAATGTTACTCAATTACTTTTTTTATTAGACCCATGGAAACTATGCCATTTTAGCAGTCCATGGTCATATTAAAAAGTAGAAGTTATCGTATTTAATGATTATATATATGTGTAGTTTGCAGTTTGTTTTTTGTTTTGGTTGTGGTAATAAATTTATATTTTAGTTCCTAGAAAAAAAAAAAAAAAAGCCCGGTAACTAATTATTTCCTGTTAACATTCTACTATATCACCAGACCCAATTTTTAGAAAACAGAGTAATCATAGTCTTAGGTTACTGTCTAAAGCAATTCTTCAAATTATGAATTATTAACTTAGAAAATCTTTCCATCCATAGTACAGAATTATGCCAGTGGGTGAACCTTGAATACAGGTGTGACCCACTTTATAATCAGCAAAGTAAGTACATTTTAAAAGACTATTTACTCAGGTTTGTCAAAGATCAGATAGTTGTAGATATGCGGCATTATTTCTGAGGGCTCTGTTCTGTTCCATTGATCTATATCTCTGTTTTGGTACCAGTACCATGCTGTTTTGGTTACTGTAGCCTTGTAGTATAGTTTGAAGTCAGGTAGTGTGATGCCTCCAGCTTTGTTCTTTTGGCTTAGGATTGACTTGGCAATGCGGGCTCTTTTTTGGTTCCATATGAACTTTAAAGTAGTTTTTTCCAATTCTGTGAAGAAAGTCATTGGTAGCTTGATGGGGATGGCATTGAATCTGTAAATTACCTTGGGCAGTATGGCCATTTTCACGATATTGATTCTTCCTACCCATGAGCATGGAATGTTCTTCCATTTGTTTGTGTCCTCTTTTATTTCCTTGAGCAGTGGTTTGTAGTTCTCCTTGAAGAGGTCCTTCACATCCCTTGTAAGTTGGATTCCTAGGTATTTTATTCTCTTTGAAGCAATTGTGAATGGGAGTTCACTCATGATTTGGCTCTGTTTGTCTGTTGTTGGTGTATAAGAATGCTTGTGATTTTTGTACATTGATTTTGTATCCTGAGACTTTGCTGAAGTTGCTTATCAGCTTAAGGAGATTTTGGGCTGAGACGATGGGGTTTTCTAGATAAACAATCATGTCATCTGCAAACAGGGACAATTTGACTTCCTCTTTTCCTAATTGAATACCCTTTATTTCCTTCTCCTGCCTGATTGCCCTGGCCAGAACTTCCAACACTATGTTGAATAGGAGCGGTGAGAGAGGGCATCCCTGTCTTGTGCCAGTTTTCAAAGGGAATGCTTCCAGTTTTTGCCCATTCAGTATGATATTGGCTGTGGGTTTGTCATAGATAGCTCTTATTATTTTGAAATACGTCCCATCAATACCTAATTTATTGAGAGTTTTTAGCATGAAGGGTTGTTGAATTTTGTCAAAGGCTTTTTCTGCATCTATTGAGATAATCATGTGGTTTTTGTCTTTGGCTCTGTTTATATGCTGGATTACATTTATTGATTTGCGTATATTGAACCAGCCTTGCATCCCAGGGATGAAGCCCACTTGATCATGGTGGATAAGCTTTTTGATGTGCTGCTGGATTCGGTTTGCCAGTATTTTATTGAGGATTTTTGCATCAATGTTCATCAAGGATATTGGTCTAAAATTCTCTTTTTTGGTTGTGTCTCTGCCCGGCTTTGGTATCAGAATGATGCTGGCCTCATAAAATGAGTTAGGGAGGATTCCCTCTTTTTCTATTGATTGGAATAGTTTCAGAAGGAATGGTACCAGTTCCTCCTTGTACCTCTGGTAGAATTCAGCTGTGAATCCATCTGGCCCTGGACTCTTTTTGGTTGGTAAACTATTGATTATTGCCACAATTTCAGAGCCTGTTATTGGTCTATTCAGAGATTCAACTTCTTCCTGGTTTAGTCTTGGGAGAGTGTATGTGTCGAGGAATGTATCCATTTCTTCTAGATTTTCTAGTTTATTTGCGTAGAGGTGTTTGTAGTATTCTCTGATGGTAGTTTGTATTTCTGTGGGATCGGTGGTGATATCCCCTTTATCATTTTTTATTGTGTCTATTTGATTCTTCTCTCTTTTTTTCTTTATTAGTCTTGCTAGCGGTCTATCAATTTTGTTGATCCTTTCAAAAAACCAGCTCCTGGATTCATTGATTTTTTGAAGGGTTTTTTGTGTCTCTATTTCCTTCAGTTCTGCTCTGATTTTAGTTATTTCTTGCCTTCTGCTAGCTTTTGAATGTGTTTGCTCTTGCTTTTCTAGTTCTTTTAATTATGATGTTAGGGTGTCAATTTTGGATCTTTCCTGCTTTCTCTTGTAGGCATTTAGTGCTATAAATTTCCCTCTACACACTGCTTTGAATGAGTCCCAGAGATTCTGGTATGTGGTGTCTTTGTTCTCGTTGGTTTCAAAGAACATCTTTATTTCTGCCTTCATTTCGTTATGTACCCAGTAGTCATTCAGGAGCAGGTTGTTCAGTTTCCATGTAGTTGAGCGGCTTTGAGTGAGATTCTTAATCCTGAGTTCTAGTTTGATTGCACTGTGGTCTGAGAGATAGTTTGTTATAATTTCTGTTCTTTTACATTTGCTGAGGAGAGCTTTACTTCCAAGTATGTGGTCAATTTTGGAATAGGTGTGGTGTGGTGCTGAAAAAAATGTATATTCTGTTGATTTGGGGTGGAGAGTTCTGTAGATGTCTATTAGGTCCGCTTGGTGCAGAGCTGAGTTCAATTCCTGGGTATCCTTGTTGACTTTCTGTCTCGTTGATCTGTCTAATGTTGACAGTGGGGTGTTAAAGTCTCCCATTATTAATGTGTGGGAGTCTAATTCTCTTTGTAGGTCACTCAGGACTTGCTTTATGAATCTGGGTGCTCCTGTATTGGGTGCGTAAATATTTAGGATAGTTAGCTCCTCTTGTTGAATTGATCCCTTTACCATTATGTAATGGTCTTCTTTGTCTCTTTTGATCTTTGTTGGTTTAAAGTCTGTTTTATCAGAGACTAGGATTGCAACCCCTGCCTTTTTTTGTTTTCCATTGGCTTGGTAGATCTTCCTCCATCCTTTTATTTTGAGCCTATGTGTGTCTCTGCACGTGAGATGGGTTTCCTGAATACAGCACACTGATGGGTCTTGACTCTTTATCCAACTTGCCAGTCTGTGTCTTTTAATTGCAGAATTTAGTCCATTTATATTTAAAGTTAATATTGTTATGTGTGAATTTGATCCTGTCATTATGATGTTAGCTGGTGATTTTGCTCGTTAGTTGATGCAGTTTCTTCCTAGTCTCGATGGTCTTTACATTTTGGCATGATTTTGCAGCGGCTGGTACCGGTTGTTCCTTTCCATGTTTAGCGCTTCCTTCAGGAGCTCTTTTAGGGCAGGCCTGGTGGTGACAAAATCTCACAGCATTTGCTTGTCTGATCTTTGACAAACCTGAGAAAAACAAGCAATGGGGAAAGGATTCCCTATTTAATAAATGGTGCTGGGAAAACTGGCTAGCCATATGTAGAAAGCTGAAACTGGATCCCTTCCTTACACCTTATACAAAAATCAATTCAAGATGGATTAAAGATTTAAACGTTAGACCTAAAACCATAAAAACCCTAGAAGAAAACCTAGGCATTACCATTCAGGACATAGGCGTGGGCAAGGACTTCATGTCCAAAACACCAAAAGCAATGGCAACAAAAGCCAAAATTGACAAATGGGATCTAATTAAACTAAAGAGCTTCTGCACAGCAAAAGAAACTACCATCAGAGTGAACAGGCAACCTACAACATGGGAGAAAATTTTCGCAACCTACTCATCTGACAAAGGGCTAATATCCAGAGTCTACAATGAACTCAAACAAATTTACAAGAAAAAAACAAACAACCCCATCAAAAAGTGGGCGAAGGACATGAACAGACACTTCTCAAAAGAAGACATTTATGCAGCCAAAAAACACATGAAAAAATGCTCATCATCACTGGCCACCAGAGAAATGCAAATCAAAACCACTATGAGATATCATCTCACACCAGTTAGAATGGCAATCATTAAAAAGTCAGGAAACAACAGGTGCTGGAGAGGATGTGGAGAAATAGTAACACTTTTACACTACACTGTTGGTGGGACTGTAAACTAGTTCAACCATTGTGGAAGTCAGTGTGGCGATTCCTCAGGGATCTAGAACTAGAAATACCATTTGACCCAGCCATCCCAATACTGGGTATATACCCAAATGACTATAAATCATGCTGCTATAAAGACACATGCACACGTATGTTTATTGCGGCATTATTCACAATAGCAAAGACTTGGAACCAACCCAAATGTCCAACAATGATAGACTGGATTAAGAAAATGTGGCACATGTACACCATGGAATACTATGCAGCCATAAAAAATGATGAGTTCATGTCCTTTGTAGGGACATGGATGAAATTGGAAACCATCATTCTCAGTAAACTATCGCAAGAACAAAAAACCAAACACCGCATATTCTCACTCATAGGTGGGAATTGAACAATGAGATCACATGGACACAGGAAGGGGAATATCACACTCTGGGGACTGTGGTGGGGTCAGGGGAGGGGGGAGGGATAGCATTGGGAGATATACCTAATGCTAGATGACACGTTAGTGGGTGCAGCACACCAGCATGGCACATGTATACATATGTAACTAACCTGCACAATGTGCACATGTACCCTAAAACTTAAAGTATAATTAAAAAAAAAAACATTAAAAAAAAAAAAGACTATTTACATTTATGGAGACTAAAGGGAGGTTTATTTAGATAGCACAATGTATAAATGCAACTAATTTTTAATCTACCTATATATAATAGATGGACACAAAACATACATCAATTGCATCAATGAAATACAGTCAAGCATATAATTTTGTTTACACATTTCCTAAATTTTAAGTTCTCATTTATTTACCTTTAAGCACTTCAAATTTTTCCCATGGTTAAAAGTAGGACGTTTAATGGCCCTGTTCTCTCCTGATTTTCTTTTTGCTTTTTATTGTATATTAATAGTTATTCTCAAATTATTAAAGATATACCTATAGATTATAGTCTTAATTTGATTGATATTTCAATCGTTTTTAAAGCAGACTCAAATTAAAAATTTTGTTGATAACCTTTTTCTGTTGTTTTTTTGCAGAATTTCTGGGATATTACAAAAATCAATTTTCTCATACAAGCTTATTGATTTTTTTCAACTTACATAAACACATTTTTTCTGTCTTTACACATACTTTATATTTTATATGTAAATTTTAAAATGAAAACACCTTCAATGTCAGACATAACATTAGACATAATTCTGCTTACACCAAAGAAAAACAATTAAATACAGTTAATGTGCTATTGTAGCCCAAAGGAACACACACACAAACACACACACACACACACAGACAAAACAGTCTATGTCTATTTACCTGTTTTATTCATCTGTTCTCATGCTGCTGGTAAAGACATACCTGAGACTGAGTAATTTACAAAGAAAAAGAGATTTAATGAACTCACAGTTGCAAATGACTGGGAAAGCTTCAGAATCATGGCAGAAGGTGAAAGGCACGTTACATGGTGGCAGGCAAGAGAGAATGAGAAGCAAGCAAAAGAGTTTTTCCCTTATAAAACCATCAGATCTTGTGAGACTTATTCACTACCAACAGAACAGTATGGGGTAAACTGCCCCTGTAATTCAATTATCTCGCAGGGTGTCCTTTCTACAATATGTGGGAATTATGGGAGCTACAATTCAAAATGAGATTTGAGTGGGGACACAGCCAAACCATATCACACATGTTGAGTAATTAAAGAATGAGTCAACAGATTTTCAAAGTCCATGTTATTCACAAAAATATTTAATTTCAGAAAATTAAGAATATTCTACTTTTAGAAAGAATATTCTAACATACGATCTCCAGTATAGTTCATTGATCACATACAATTTTAAATATATTTCAATACGTTTTTAGAAAAGGTAGTGATACTTTTCTTTATATTTGATACAGAAATTTGTATACTTTCTAAAGGTAACTTTGAAATAAAAAACCTGAAAGCAAAAATAATAAAAATCTTTGAAGGTGAGACTCTTATCAAGTTTATGTCCTCCAATCCAAGATGGCAACTTTACCTTGTGTGTGTATAGAGTAGTATATTGCAGTATACAAAAATTGAAATACATTAAAACATTGGAATATCAAATGCAGGTGGACTTTTGATAAACACATGAGAAATCAGTCAGATAAAATCACTACTATTTACTCATGGAATTTTTTTTTTAACTTTTAAGTTCAGAAGTACATGTGCAGCATGTGCAGTTTCATTACATGGTAAATGTGTGTCATGGGGGATGGTAGTACAGACTATTTCATCACCCAGGCAATAAACCCAGTATCCATTAGTTATTTTTCCTGCTTCTCTCCCTCCTTTACCCTCCACCCCCTAACAGGCCCCAGTACATGTGGATCCCCTCTATGTGTCCATGTATTCTCATCATTTAGATCCCATTTATGAGTGAGAAACATGTGGTATTTGGTTTTCTGTTCCTGTGTTAGTTTGTGAAGGGTAAGGTCCTCCAGCTCCATCCATGTCCGTACAAAGGACATGATCTCGTTCTTTTTTATGGTTGCATAACATTCCATTATGTATGTTTACCACATTTTCTTTATCCAGTCTATCATTGATGGGCATTCAGGCTGATTCCATGTCTTTGCTATTGTGAATAGTGCTGCAATAAACCTACACGTGCATGTGTATTTATAATAGAACAGTTTATATTCCTTTGGGAATATACCCAGTAATGGGATTGCTGGTTCTAATGGTATTTCTGTCTTTAGGTCTTTGAGGAATCTCTACACCTTCTTCCACAATGGCTGAACGAATTTACACTCCCACCAATAGTATAAAAGCGCACATTTTTATCCAAAATCTCCCCAGTGTCTGTTATTTTTTGACTTTTTATCATAGCCATTCTAATTTGCGTGAGATGGTATCTCACTGTGGTTTTGATTTACATTTCTCTAATGATCAGTGATGTTGAGCTTTTTGTCATATATTTGTTGGTCACATGTAGGTCTTCTTTTGAGAAGTGTCCATTCATGTGCTTTGCCCACTTTTTAATGGGGTTGTTTTATTTCTTGTAAATTTGTTTAAGTTCCTGATAGATGCTGGATATTAAATCTTTGTCAGATTCATAGTTTGCAATTTTTTTTCTCCTATTCGGTAGGTTGTCTGTTTACTTTGTTGATAGTTTTTTGTTGTTGGGTAGAAGCTCTTTAATTAGATCCCTTTTGTCAATTTTTGCTTTTGTTATTATTGCTTTTGGCATCATTGTCCTGAAGTGTTTGCCAGTTCCTGTGTTCAGAATGGTATTTTCTAGGTTATTTTACAGGATTTTTATAGTTTGGGGTTTTTGTATTTAAATCTCTAATACACCTTGAGTTGATTTTTGTATATGGTATAAGGGAAGGGTCCAGTTTCAGTCTTCTACATATGGATAGCCAGTTATTCCAGCACCATTTATTGAATGGGAAATCATTTCCTCACTGCTTGTTTTTAACAATTTTGTTGAAGATCAGATGGTTGTAGGTGTACAGCCTTATTTCTGAGCTCTGTGTTCTGTTTCATTGGTCTGTGTGTCTATTTTTGTACCAGTACCATGCTGTTTTAGTTACTGCAGCCCTATAGTATAGTTTGAAGTGAGGTAGCATGATTTCTCCAGCTTTTTGCTTTTTTAACTAGGATTATCTTGGCTATTAGGGCTCTTTTTTGCTTTTATATGAATTTTAAAATGGATTTTTCTAGTTTTGTGAGTAATGCAGTTCATAGTTTTGTAGAAATAGCATTGAACCCACAAATTGCTTTAGGAATTATGGCCATTTTAATAATATTAATTTTTTTCTATCCATGAGCATGGAATGTTTTTCCATTTGTTTGTGTCATCTATGATTTTTTTAGCAGTGTTTTCTAATTCTCATTGTAGAAATCTTTCACCTCTGTGCTTGGCTGTATTCCCAGGCATTTTGTTCTTTTGTGGGTAATTGTAAATGGGGTTGCATTTCTGACTTGGCTTTTAGCTTGGCTGTTGTTGGTGTATAGCAATGCTGGTGATTTTTGCACATTGATTTTGTATCCTGTAATGTAGCTGAAATTGCTTATCAGCTCAAGGAACTTTTGAGCAGAGACTATGGGAATTTCTAGATATAGAATCATTTCATCTAAAAACACGGACAGTTTTACTTCTTCACTTTCTGTTTGGATGCCCTTTATTTATTTATTTATTTATTTTTGAGATGGAGTCTCGCTCTGCCACCCAGGCTGGAGTGCAGTGGCCTGATCTCGGCTCACTGCAAGCTCCGCCTCCTGGGTTCATGCCATTCTCCTGCCTCAGCCTCCCGAGTAGCTGGGACTAGGCGCCCTCCACCGTGCCTGGCTAATTTTTTGTATTTTTAGTAGAGATGGGGTTTCTCCATGTTGGCCAGGCTGGTCTTGAACTCCTGACCTCGTGATCCGCCCGCCTTGGCCTCCCAAAGTGTTGGGATTACAGGCGTGAGCCACCAAGCCCAGCCAATTGTGTCATTTGATGCATACGATTTTTAAATTTTGAAAATGCCCAGTTTATGTATTTTTTCTTTTATTGCTTATATTTTTGTATTTTTGGTTTCATATGAGGCACAGAGCCCTTAAACAACAGGAGCCCGTCCTCTGGCACAAGTTCAGATTCCCAAGGAGACTGCCCTCAAACCACTAGAACCAACCCAAACTTGCACCTCACTGGGTATTGCCCTTGGTCCCTGACTTGTTTTTTTGAGACAGAGTCTCGCTTTGTCACCCAGGCTGGAGTGCAGTTGTGCCATCTTGGCTCACTGCAAGCTACGCCTCGCGGGTTCATGCCATTCTCCTGCCTCAGCCTCCTGAGTAGCTGGGACTATAGGCACCATCCACCACGCCTGGCTAATTTTTGTATTTTTAGTAGAGACAGGGTTTCACCGTGTTAGCCAGGATGGTCTCGATCTCCTGACCTCATGATCCACCCACCTCGGCTTCCCAAAGTGCTGGGATTACAGGCGTGAGCCACCCCACCTGGCCTGATTGCCCTTTATTTTTGTATCTTTCCTGACTGCTTTTGTCAAGACTGCCAATATTATGTTGAATAGGAATGGTGAGAGAGGGCATCCTTTTCTTGTGCTGGTTTTCAAGGGAAATGATTCCAGGTTTTGCCCTTTCACTACGATGTTGGCTGTGGGTTTGTTATAGATGGCTCTTATTATTTTGAGGTATGTTCCTTTAATATTTAGTTTGTTGAGAATTTTTTACATGAAGTGATGTTGAATTTTATTTAAAGCCTTTAAATAAAGCCTTTAAGAACTTTATTTAAAGAACTTTATTTAAAGTTCTTATTATGTAATGAATCACATTTATTGATTTGCATATGTTGAGACAATCTTGCATCCTAAGGACAAAGCCTACTTGATCATGCTGGATTAGCATTTTAATGGGATGCTGAATTTTGTTTGCTTGTATTTTGTTGAGGAATTTTGCATCAATGTTAATCAGGGATATTTTCCCCTAAATTTTATTTTTTCATTGTTGTGTCTCTTACATGTTTCTGTTAGGATGATACCGGCCTCAAAGAATGAGATGGAGAGGAGTCCCTTCTCCTCACTTTTTTGAAATAGTTTCAGTATGAATGGTTCCAGCTCTTCTTTGTAAATATGGTAGAGTTTGTATGTGGATCCATTTGGTTCTTGGCTTCTTTTGGTTTGTAGGCTATTTTTTTACAGATGCAATTTTGGAGTTCATTTTTGGTCTGTTCAGGATTCAACTTCTTCCTGCTTCAGTATTAGAAGGATGTATGCGTCCGGGAATTTATCCATTGTTTCTAGATTTTCTAGCTTGTGTGCATAGAAATGTTCATAGTATTCTTGGATGGTTATTTGTGTTTTTGTGGGGATCAAGGGTAATATCCCTTTTGTCATTTTTAATCATATTTATTTGGATCCTCTCTCTTTACTTCTTCGTTAGTTTAGCTATCAATTTATCTATCTCATTTTTTTTTCAAAAAATTATCTCCTGGATTCGTCAATCTTTTGAATTTTTTTTATTGTTGTTGTCAATCTCCTACAGTTCAGCTATTGTCTTCTAATAACTTTGGAATTTGTTTGCCCTTGATTCTCTAGTTCTTTTATTTGTCATGTTAGGTTATTAACTTGAGATCTTTCTAATTGTTTGATGTGAGCATTTGTTACTATACATTTCCCTCTTCATAGTGCCTTAGCTGTGTCCCAGAGATTATGGTATATTTTATCTGTGTTTTTATTAGTTTCAGAGAACTTCATGATTTCTCCTTTAATTTAATTATTTACCCAAAATTCATTCAGGGACAGGTTGTTTAATTTCCATGTAATTGTACAGTTTTGAGTGATTTTCCTAATCGTGATTTTCATTTTTTTTTTTTTTTTTTTTTGCTGTTGTCCAAGAGAGTGGTTGGTATGATTTCAGTTCTTTTGCATTTACTGAGGATTATTTTATGTCTGATTGTGTGATTGATTTTAGAGTATGTTAAATGTGCTAATGGGAAAAATGTATATTCTGCTGGTTTTGGGTATAGAGTTCTCTGGATAACTATCAGGTCCATTTGGTTTCTTGCTGAGTTCAGATCCTAAGTATCTTTGTTAATTTTCTGCCTTAGTGTTCTGTTTAACGCTGTCAGTGAAGTGTTGAGGTCTCCCACTATTACTGTATGGAAATCTAAGTCTCTTTGAAGGTCTCTAAGAACTTGCTTTATAAAACTGGGTGCTCCTGTGTTGTGTGCATATATATAATTTTTAGCAGTGTTTTCTAATTCTCATTATAGAGATCTTTCATCTCTGTGCTTGGCTGTATTCCCAGGCATTTTGTTCTTTTGTGGATAGTTGTAAATGGAATTGCATTTCTGACTTGGCTTTTAGCTTGGCTGTTGTTGGTGTATAGCAATGCTAGTGATTTTTGCACATTGATTTTGTATACTGTAATGTAGCTGAAATTGCTTATCAGCTCAAGGAGCTTTTGGGCAGAGACAATGGGAATCCTTAGCATATATATGTATGTGTATATATATATATATATATACATATATATGATAGTTAGGTCTTCTTGTGGAACTGAACTTTTTACCGTTATGTATTTTCCTTCTTTGTCTTTTTTTAATCTTTGTTGGTTTAAAGTCTGTTTTGTCTGAAATTAAGATTGCAACTCTTGCTTTTTTCTGTTTTTCTTTTGCTTGGTAGATTTTCTTCCATCTCTCCATTTTGAGCCTGTGGGTTTCCCTGTAAGTAAGATGGGTCTCTTGAACACAGCATATCATTAGATCATACTTCTTTATCCAGCTTGCCACTCTTTTTGCCTTTTGATTGGTGTATTTAGCCTATTTATATTCAATGTTAGTATTGATATTTGTGAATTTGATCCTGTCATCATGTCGTTAGCTAGTTCATATGCAGGCTTGTTTGTGTGGTTGCTTCACACAAACTGGTGACTGGTCTGCATACCTAAATGTGTTTTCGTAGAAACTGGTAACAGTCTTTCCTTTTCATATTTAGTGTTTCTTTCAGGACCTCTTATAAGGTAGATCTGATGGTACACATTTACTCACCATTTTCTTCTCTGAAAAAGATTTTATTTGTCCTTCAATTGTGAAGCTTAATTTGGCCAGATATGAAATTCTTGGTTGGAATTTCTTTCCTTTAATTATATTGAATAAAGGGCCCCAGTCTCTTCTGGCTTTTAGGGTTTCCACTGAAAGGTTTGTTGCTGGTCTGATAGACTTCCCTTTGTAGGTGATCTGTTTTTCTAGCTGCCCTTAACATTTTTTATTTTATTTCGACCTTGACGAATCTGATGATTATGTGTCTTGGGGATGATCTTTTTGTGAAGTATTTTTCAGGGGTTCTCAGCATTTCCTGAATTTGAATGTCAGCTTCCTTAGCTAGGTTGAGGAAGTTCTCATGGATAATATCCTGAAATATGTTTTCCAAGTTTATTCTATTTTTCCCATCTCTTTTATGGATGCCAATGAGTCATAGACTTGGTCTCTTTACATAATCCCATTTTTCACAGAGGTTTTGTTCATTCCTTCTTCAAATACTGAGATTTTTTCTTCAGATTGTTTTGTTCTGCTGTTAATGCTTGTAATTGCATTATAAAATCTTTGTAGTTTGTTTTTCAGCTTTATCAGGTCAGTTATGTTGTTTTATATACTGACTATCTTGTCTGTCCGCTTCTGTGTCTTTTTATTGTGATTCTTAGCTTCTTTATATTGATTTTCAACATTCTCTTGAATCTTGATGGTCTTCATTCCTATTTCTGTTCCTGTTCTGAAACCTATTTCTGTCACTTCAGCCATCTTAGCCCAGTTAAGAAACCTTGCTGGAGAACTAATGCCCTTGTTTGGAGAAAAAGAAGACACTCTGGCTTTTTCAGTTGTCAGAGTTCTTGTGCTTTATCTTTATCATCTTTGTGGGCTTATCTTCCTTTGCTCTTTGAAGTTGCTGTCCTTTGGGTGGGTTTTTATTTCTTTTGATCCTATTTGATGACCTCAGGGATTTGATTGTTGCGTAAGGTGGGTTTAGTTGACTGGCTTCATTTTGGGAGGATTTTAAGGGACCAAGCTTCAGTTCAGGACTCCTGGACTGCATGCTCTAACTCTGGGGGACTTGTATCACCTCTGCCCTGCTCCCCTCCTGCTTAGTTCTATAGTTTCTCAATGTAATGAACCTGCTATGCTGGAAGAGCCGAGGTGCTTCCAGACTACTCGTCACAACACTGTGATGGGTGATGCCACCCAAGGCACTTTGTAGATTACTGGCGGCAGAAATCATCCTCATTTGCATGTGCACGTAGCAGCTACAGCTGCAGCAAGGTGTTGGTGCATGCTCCTAGACTGCAGCAGGATCCTAGTGGGTGAGGGGGCACTGGCCTTCACACAGCCCTTCACAGCAGTGGCTGGCATTGACAGCACAGCTAGGGGGATCACACCCCCTGCTTTGCTGGTAACTGTGTGCTAGTTCATGCTGGTGGTGGTGGTTGCACCCTGTGTGCATGTTCCCATGGGTGGAGGTGGTTGCTCAGGGTGGGAGCAAGATTGCTTTTCTCCATGCCTACTTTGGTCTGATGGCAGTTTTGGTGCAGGAGAAAGATGCTGGCAGAAGTAGTGGGATGTGGTGGGGGGAGATAGCCAGAATGCACTCACATGCACACTGGTTGCAGTGGCACAGCAGGGTGCACATGTACATGCTCCAAGTTGGGAAGGGAAGCCAAGGTCTGCCTGTGCACACATATGCAGTGGTAAAGCAATGCAAACGTAGGCCATGGGCAAGTACGTGTGGGAAAAGTGGCACAGGGGAGGCTGCATTGTGGGGAGGTTGCATTGTGTGGGAAGGTGGGCTAGTGCATGTCACCTAGGGCTTCTCTGCTGGAGCACTCTGCTGGTCAGGCACAGTCTGCCAGTGCAGGAGCTATGAAACAGGCCTTCAGGAAGTACTGCGGGCTGCACTACAAGCAGGAACTACCAGGCTGGGGCCCCAGAAGAGGCCAGCAGATTGAGGGCTGCTTGGGTCCACCGGCCCCATCTCATGGATAAGATCACCCTGTAGAGCTCAAGTCCAACAATTCTCCTAGGGTTAAATTCTCCTATGGGAGCCAGTTGAGCCTAGGGGAATAGATAACCCTGGCCATGATCCACTACAGATGCTCCTGCACCAAACCCTCTATGCTCTCCTCCAGCTGGAGTTCTGGCTCTGCCATTTCTCTGAGCAGTTCTCCTTGTGGATTCCAGAAGCCCAAGGGGAGAGTGGGCCACTACTTGCTTGTTCAATTCACCCCTTCCCCAGGAGACATACGGGGCCAGGAATCAAGTCCTGGTGCATGATAGCCTTGTGCAGTGTTCACAGCTTCCTCCCTTTTTAGCCTAGCATCTGTGTCTTCCCTCCATCCACTTCATTGCCTCCCTGCAAAAGATATTCTAAGAGTGTGCCAGTCTTTCTTATGCCCTTTCTATCGTCAAGAGATGTTTCTCCTGGTTATGTCTAGTCAGCCATCTTGTCCCCCATCTATATCAACTTTTTAAAGGCACGCTAACATCGTGCAATTTCTTTTTCAATTTTACATCATCTATTTTCATATAGTTTTGGCTATATGATCTACACATCAAATTCTTCTCATGGTGAGTGGGTTACTTGTTCCCTGTTCTTGGAAATATGTAGAAATACATTACGTATTTGATGGAACACCTACAGATGGCATTACCACATCAACCCTTACCTGGGGATTTAGACTCAAAGAATACGTGTGTGCCTTTTGACCCACTTGGCCCTATCTTTTTATGTGATTTCATACATTTCTATGACAGAGTTCTCATATATTAATCTAGATTCTGACTACTGACTACAACCTCTGAGATCTCTTTTTTTAATTTGTGCTTTCTAGGATGATGATTTAGAGCTAATCAAAAATAATTAAAATATGCAAAAAGTAAACCTGGACAAATAATCAAATAAATTCATTGTCCAAAATATCCTATTCATTAAGCCTGTCTTAGAAAGTTGCCTCTGGCTCCTAAACATAAATCTGGGACTAATGGGTACTGTTTCCTGGGCAGTCTCATAAGTAACATAGATATTGGGCCAGGCGCGGTGGCTCACGCCTGTAATCCCAGCACTTTGGGAGGCCAAGGTGGGCAGATCACAAGATCAGGAGATCGAGACCATCCTGGCTAACATGGTGAAACCCCGTCTCTACTAAAAATACAAAAAATTAGCCAAGCGTGGTGGTGGGCACCTGTAGCCCCAGCTACTCGGGAGGCTGAGGCAGGAGAATGGTGTGAACCCAGGAGGCGGAGCTTTCAGTGAGCCAAGATTGCTCCACAGAACTCCAGCCTGGGCGACAGAGCAAGACTCTGTCAAAAAAAAAAAAAAAAAAAAAAGGAACATGGATATTGCTACACCAGAAGCACCTCGGTTTGTGGAGATAGTCTATGCCCTATCAATTTCCTAATGCTATTTGTAGACTTATATAAAGTTGATGTGCCAAGTAGCCTTGAGAACCCAAACTCTATTTTTGTATGTGACTTGAAGTGTAACAATGGCTTTCTATGCGTAATGTTCTATCCCACCCACTACACATCTAGTCACTAGATCTTTCCTTCTCCTAATTTTAAAATAAATTCTGGACTTTATTTTCTTTTTTATAAATTTACTTGTATCTAATTTCTATCGCAATTTCCTTATCTCTAGAAAACTTTACATCTTGACCAATCTATGTGTGCTATTATGGTACAAATTCCTAGAATTGGTGATAGTGGCACAATCTGTCAGTATCAGGTCCATGCTTTACAAGACGATGGATGTATACTGAAAATAGCTATGATTTTTTCCTACAGATATTTTTCTGGCCTAAGGAGATCACTTGGTCCAGGTTCAGGGCAAGTCAGAGTCCTGCAGAGTAAATTCCCCAGAAGTGATCTTCATCCAACTAGGGATTTGGTGGATAAATACCACATACTTCTTCCTCCTCAACTGGGATAAATTGAGGTTATATATTATACTGTCACCAGAGTACTCTGGAAAAACTAACCTCCAGGTTCACAAATGATAACTGGTTTACTAATGCACACTTTATTGCTTTCTGTTTTTCCCTTACCTTTGCCACTTTTTCATTACCCAGCCTATCATTTATTGCACCAGTTTCAAAGAAACAAATTGCACTTAAATCTTTGTCTCAGATCTGTTTCTGAGAAAAGCCAAATCCAGAGAGTTGGAAACAAAAGATGCGTTAGGAGGTGGACTGTGAGGATTGGATTTGGAGATCAGATCACTTACTGGCTAGATGAAAATAAACACTCCATTGCTGGTAGTATGTGGGGTAGTTAAAAGCCTTGGCATGCGGAAATGTTTCACTCCCTGAATCTATAAACCATGTGAATCATGACAACATATTATAGAAAAGTATAAACTGGCTTAATAAATATTTTAAGCATTTAAGAAATGGGGCAAATGTTCTGATAAGAGTCAATGAGTTGTCTTGCTTTTGTTAACTTGCATGGAAACCATTAAGGACAAAAATGACTTTCTGATGCCAGTGAACTGTCCACTCAAGGTTTTATCCCTCACAACATGTGGGATCTATCACTTGGTGGGTGACAGTCCAATGACCACAACAAAGGAAGATTTAACATGAGAATTTTATTACCTGAAGCAAGTAAGGAGGGCACGAGGAATAGTTCCTAAAGCAGTGCCTCCCAGAACAGTGATGAAAACATGGCTTTTACTGGGTTGACTGGCTCGGTCATCCTATGTGGAGGTGGAGCAAAGGCAGTGCAGGCAGTCGCTGATCATGTGTCCACATATTCACATGTATAGAAAATGATAAATAAGGCAGGGCGTGGTGGCTCATGCCTGTATTTCCAGCACTTTGGGAGGCCGAGGTGGGCTGATCACAAGGTCAGGAGATCCACACCATCCTAGCTGACATGGTGAAACCTGTCTCTTCTAAAAATACAAAAAATTAGCCAGTCGTGGTGGTGGGCACCTTGTAGTCCCAGCTACTCAGGAGGCTGAGGCAGGAGAATGGCGTGAACCCAGGAGGCAGAAGTTGCAGTGAGCTGAGATCGCACCACTGTACTGCAGCCCCCTGGATGACAGAGTGAGACTTCGTCTCAAAAAAAAAAAAAAAAAAAAAAAAGGAAAGAAAAGAAAATGATAAATAAGATAAATAAGCTCCTCCTTGGTCCAGGATTTTAGTGTGATAATGAGAAGAGTTCACCAAAGTTCATGTCCAACACAGGCATCTCTGGATCCAACACTTTTTTTTTTCTTTTGTTTTTTCTCCAGGGCTGAGCTCTTTCCTGGAAATTTTTGAAATAACAAGAACTCGAGGCACAATAGGTACAAGTAGATACTTTTTCACAGTGCATACTCAAAAACTTGGGGATCCTGGGTTTCAAAAACATGGCCTGAAAGCAAGAAGGTCTCTGTGAATGCATTTGAAGGGAACTGATTTATTGTAGCTGGTAAGAACTGATTATATTAGTAATCGGGTTACAAAAAAGAGTCTTGTATTTCAGCACTCGAAAATCTCCTGTGATAAAATCAACATGAGAGAGAGTTGGATTACTTAAAATCTAGGTTGCAAAATCAGGATGAAAATTTTTGAGAAGCTTGAACTCCAAGATTGCACTAAACTCTGGTCAGGAAGCATTTCTCTCCTACTCTTTATTAGAAGATAGAAGCCTCTCATTGCCAAGAGGTCATGGAATGACCTCAGCTTAAGCAGGTGCCCTGCAAAATGCTAATAATTCTTCTGCAAATCTGCTCATATATTTACATATTACTATTATGCTAATAACTAGAGTTAAACACTTATGGTCAAGGGCCCACTGAGGTTCAATTTGCTCTGCTATTGAAAGAAAGAGGTTATTTCCAGAAAGATCTATGAGACTTAGCCGGTAAGCACCGGCTACAACCTAGAGAAAACAGTTAGGTGGATCTTGAGGGTGCTGGACACAGTGGGCAGAATACAAGGCTGAGTAAGTTTGTTGATAATAAACTTAAAATATAATTTATTGATATAAACACCTGGATCCAGTCTTAATTTGCTGCTGGGATGCCTCTTTGAAGCTTGCCAAATACAGACTATAAAAATTGATGAATTATTAGAATTATCTTATTTGAGTTTATTTCAAATAAATTTTAAATTTATTTAAATTAATATTAGAATGGATTTACTATTAGAACCAGAAAAATCTATAAGGACATTAAGTTCCTCAGGAGGGCACATAAAACTTTCATTTCATTAAGATGATATAGACTATCTCAGTCAATTGTCATTGTTAATGTAATGTCCAATGGCGACTGTCCTGTGTGTGCTGAAGTTAATGTTTGTTGGAATGTTGATATGAAACTAAGCTTCCCAGTATCAGTGAGAAACAGCAGAGACTAGGTAGCAGTTAGTAAAGTTTATAGGGAAGACGGACATACTTAACATAAGAATGATAACCAGATTGCCTTGACCTTGGTGAATAAACAATATTCCTAGTGGCTAGATAAATGAAGGTATTGCTAGGCCTATGAAACAACAACTAAAATATCTAGAGTATATAAAGCACTATCCCAATTTCCAGATACAAAACAGTTCTCAGATTCAGAACACATACATGGAAAGGAAGTATATATTCTCTTGAGGAAAAACCTCCTGTGAGCATTGCTGCAAGGATATTAAGCATCAGTTTTCCTAATCCTGCCACAAAGGGACATAAAACTATTCCAGAGGAATTGTATGCTGTCACACAAAAAACTACTCCAATTTTTCACACTCTGTTAAAGGATCTGCACTGACACTAATACAAGAGCACCCAAACACAGTAAAAGAGTAAAAAAAAATTCCCCTCACAGTAAAAGAGGGGAATTTCTCAGGCCAGGGGAAGGTGGAGTCCTGTACTGACTCTGTCTCACAGTAGAACGGTCATTCCTCAGTGGTTGAGTCCATAATCAAGAAGGATATACTTAGCAGCTTGAAGAACTCATATTGATTTCCTACTCACAAGAGTTAGCCACATTAGTTTAGGAGAGACAAAATGGAAGCCCCTGAAACTGTCTCCCAGTCCTTTCACCACAGCTAATAACAAGTTAGAAGCAATACTCCATTCTGAATAGAATGGCAGGGATTAGTGCCACTTTCAAAGACTTAATGAATGCAGAAGTGTTGGTCCTGATCACATCTCAGTTTAATTTATTAGTTACACTCCAAAAAAAAATTAAGATGAATTTTGACACATAAGAGTTGAGTACCATAATATAATCAAACCATAGCCTCAGACCAGCTGTTTTGCTGCGTGTAGTATGATTAAGTAGAAAAGTTCAGTGCACCTGTAGCATAGAGTATACCACTATTGATTTGCAAATAAATCCCTTTCAATTCCTATTAAGCAGCAGCAGAAACAGTTCACATTCCCTTGCCATGAAAAGCAGCTCATATTTATGACTGTGCACCAAGAACATATTCACTCTCTGTGGTACAAAGGACATTTATCATGTAGACATTCCACAGAGGATAACACTGGTTCACCCTATTGATGATATGTATATTAAACTTGGTAAGTAAGAAGTGGAAAATAGTCTAGGTACCCTCAGAAGATACATGAACATGAGAAGATGGGGAGATAACCTTACAGAAATTCAGAGGGATATCACTTTGGGTTAATTTTTGAGGGGTGGGAGTGGTTCTAGTTGTCTGGGGCATGCTGGAATGCCAAAGTTAAGTCATTGTATCTTGAAACTTCTATTATAAAAATGAGGAACATTTAGTAGGTCTCTTTAAGTTTTAGAAAGAGCCCATTGAACATTCTGGAATACAGATTGGACTCATTTAGAAAGTAACTTGATAATCTCTCGTTGTTAAATAGGGGCCAGAACAAAACAGAAATATGCAGCATGTTCAGGCTGCAGTAAACCTGGTACTGCCTGTTGGCTCACTGGAGTCATCAGATCCCATGGCGCCAGACGTACTGGTGGTACATAGGATGCAGTGCAGGAGTTCCTCACAAGTCTTAATAGGAGAGTTCCAGCAGCAACTTTAGTCACCTAGGGTTTCTGGAGCAACATCTAATTCTGGATTGCAAATAATGCTGTCTGCAATAGAGAATTACACACTATTTAAACTGCAGCTTGAGTCCTGCTTAACACTTGATAATAGAACTGCAAATGATTATGTGAAAAGAGTTGCCCATGATGAGCTGCAGAGTCAGGCCCAACAAGTCATTCGATTGATTGCAAATTATACCAGGTTAGGCGTGGTGGCTTACACCTGTAATCCCAACACTTTGGAAGGGCAAGGTGCGTGGATCACTTGAGCATAGGGGAGTTAAAAATCAGCCTGGACAACATAGTGATGCCATGTTCATACAAAAAAAAAAAAAAAACCAACATAAAAAAATAATTAGCTGGGCATGGTGGCATGCACCTGTGGTCCTACCTATACAAGAGGCTGAGATAGGAGGATCACTTGAGCCTGGGAGGTCAAGGCTGCAGTGAGCTGTGATTGTGCCACTACACACCAGCCTGAGTAATACAGTGAGACCCTATTTCAAAGAAAAAAGACAAAGAAAATTATATCAATATCCTGGTCTTACTGCATTGTGTTGCCATAACAAAATACCTGAAGCTAAATAATTTACCAAAAAAAAAGTTTTGTTTAGCTTATAATTTTGCTGGTTAGGAAGCATGAGAAACATGATACTGGCATCCATCTGGCTCCTGGTGAGGGCCATATGCTAGGTCATAACATGGTGGAGAAAGCCAAAGGGGAAGTGGACACATGTGAAGATGAAGGCAAACCTGAGGGGCATCCAAGCTTCATCATAACCCCCTGTAGTGGAAACTAATCTATCCCCACAAAAACTAATCCAGTCTTACCAGAATGAGAACTCACTTACTACCTGTAGAATGGCACCAAGTCACTGATGAGGGATCCACCCCCAAAACCCAGAGACCTCTCACTAGGCCCGACCTCCCAATACCGTCAGATTAGGGATCGAATTTTAACATGGCTTTTTGTGGGGACAAACAAACCATATCTAAACCATAGCACCATTGTAAAATAGAAATAGTACATTTGTGATGAGCATGGAAAATGTATATAGGATATTAGTAAATTATATGAATAGTTTAGAGCCCCTTTCCTGCACTGATGTCTCTCCCTCAGCTTCTTTCTATGACCTCATGGAGTTTCCCTCTGACCAGCTGGCAGTGGAGGAAAAAATCATTGATGTAATATATGGACGGTGGGCTTGATATGTTGATACAAGACAGACAGTGGACTCCTACTCCATTGCCTGCCTCAGATCTAGACGTGAAAAGCAGTGTTTAAAAGAAATTCCTCCAGAGAACAAAGTTTAGCATAGTATGCTTGACCATCTACTGTGGGCAGAGTGAGAATTCTGCTGAAATAAGTTCATATGGATTCCTGAGCAGTAGTTAACATCTAGGCTGGGTAGGCAAGGACCTGGAGAAAGCAAGACTTAAAGAATGAAAAAATGGGAGACGGCATATTTTGAATATTTGAATTTTGCATTGATGTTCTCCAAAAAATGATAACCACAGTCATATAGGCTCCTGAAAACAAACAAGCATGCATATTGACTGTCCAGTATAGTAAAGGTCAGCCATTTCCTGTCCTAAACGACCCAAATGGATGCAGAGTAGAAGCTTGAAATGGATGAGCTACGGTGACAGAGATGGGACCAGGGACACCTCCACTCTGCTGCAGTATGTTGTACCTGCCAGCATCCAAGATTAATACAGTTTCTTAGGCAATACTGCTAACTCAGGACTCAGAAATTGCCTACTATCATAGGATCCTACATAACATTACTTCAGACTAAAGGTGAATGAGACATGACAATGGAATATGCCTATGGAATGCTACAGTTCTATTATAAATGGTATTACCTAGAGGCTGATAGCCTAAGAACATTGGAATAAGCTTAAAACACATCCAAGTTGCTGTGAAGACATCCTGAAAGGTTTGAATGCGATCCTCAGGATGAGGCATAAACTTCAAACTGATGGGCATCATGTGGTTCTGAGACCACAATAGTTAGAATACTTGAGTTTGGGAACTGAAACTAAAATAGGTGTAACTGCTTCCATCATCATCTCCAATGAAACATGTGGACGATTTGTATATGTCCCATGCTTGTAACTGTGGGCTGTATTGGACTGGAGATTCTGGTTCCCAGGAGTAGATACTTCTACTAGGGGACAGATAAAGTTTCTCCTAACCTATACTTATTTCCTATAACATTTGAATACTCATACCAATATAAGAGCAATGTTTATTCACTCTTGTTATTATGAGAAAGTACATTTGCTTTTAATATGTGTGCTAGGGAGGAAAAATTTTATCAGAATTCAGAGATATTATTGGGATGCTTCAGGATGCTTCCAAGCACAGTGAACATAAAAGGACAGTTGAACCAACCATGTTCTAACAAGAACATGATAATTCTAGCTTACCACAGCGGGAATTGTTATATTGTTAAACATAGCATAACAAAATAATAAAATATTCTTTCAAATAAATTTTAGGGCAACTGATATGGTTTGGTTTTGTGTCCACACCCAAACCTAACCTTAAATTGTAGTAATCCCCACTTATCAAGGGTGGGGCCAGGTGAAGATAATTCAATCATGGGGGACATTTCCCCCATACTGTTCTTGTAATAGTGAATAAGTCTCATGAATCTGATGTTTTTATACATGGGAGTTCCCCTGCACAAGCTCTTTTGCCTGCCACAGTGTAAGACATGACTTTGCTTCTCATTCTCCTTCAGCCATGATTGTGAGGCCTCTCCAGCCATGTGGAACTGTGAGGCAATTAAACCTCCTTCCTTTATAAATTACCCAGTCTCGGCTATGTCTTTATTAGTGACATGAGAGTAGACTAATACCGCAACTAAATGGAATTCATATGATTTAATGCTTTCTCCCAAACTTTATTCTTTTTGTATTATTGTCCCATTAATTTAATTAATGCATGTATATATTCTCATAAAATAGCAGAGTAACATAGAATGCAATATGAAAGCTAAAATTTTTTGTTTCCTTTTTTACTTTACTATTTGTGAAATTAGTTGGGGGACAGTCACATGCTACAACTCTATTTCTAGTGCTTCCAACAATTACTATTTTAATGTTACGCAATCTATTTCACAACAAATTGTTGAACTAAATATCTTACGTAAACTCTATCCATTGTATACTGTTTATTAATTATGAAGAATTTAGCTCATAACTGTTTTCATAATTCACTTCATCTACATATTTTTTGATAATTTCCCTTAAGTCTTTAAATATTTTCCATTATCATCTGTTTAATAACCAACCAAAAAGATCATACATTTTTTTCTTTTAGGCCTATTAAAAATGCCCCTGTCAGAATTTAAACAAGGTACATGAAGCTATGTTTGAAATAATTGATTATTATTGATTTTATATTTTACTTATAAAAAGGAAAACTTTCATGTGGTCTCTTAAAACAAGTTGTATTTTTTATAACTGCTCTCATTTTTTAATGTTTCATTTCTTCTAAAAATGTATTATCCTTGAGTTTGGATATTAAGTGCTCCAGAAATTTCTCTTTTTCTATGGTGTTGAAAAGTACAATTTCTTCTTTTCCCATATATTTAGTTCTATTCACTATTTTGTTTTCATTTATTTCCAAATATTGAATGCACTCAGTGGGCCTGTTTCTATTTTCTAGTGCTTGATAGACGGATAGATATTTAGAAAGATAGGTGGATGGATAAATGGATATATAGATAGATAGATAGCTATAGAAAGATTCTTAGACTTGTTAAAGAAACATTTCAAAAGGGAGAGATGCATAGACATTAAATCTGGCTCTCATTTGAAAATTAGTATCAGTATTGGTCTTGAACCTCTTCCCACTTATTTATTCGAAGAAATTTTTCTGTCAATAACTTCTTTTCTTTTCAATATTATGCATGCATTTTTCCTAAGATAATTAATAATAATTAATGGCCAAATCCACCATTTGCTCATTCAGCATTTGACACAGAAAATCTCTTTGACCTTTATGCTGCCCACTTTGGCTTCCAGTGAGAAGATAAACATTCCCTGTTTGATCACCTGCTTTTATTTGGATTCTGTTTTTTTTTCTTTCCTAATCCTATTCTCCATACCTGCACTTAGTGTTCCCGGAGTTGGCACATGCCTCTCTCTCTTGTGGATCTGGAGAGGCATCATTTACAAATTATTTATGCCAATAGTTTATACCACTGGCCAAACACTGATGAATTCTAACTCTGTTGAGGGATATATGTGAAGGTCTGTGAGTACGTGTATGTATGTGTGTTTGCATGTGTGTGCATAATTTTGTTTTCCTCTAGTAGACACCATTCTAAAAACATTCCCCACCCTCCAATATTCCCATCTTCTGGCTTGATATAGTTTGAATATTTGTTCCTGTCCAAATCTCATGTTGAATTGTAATCTCCAATGTTGGAAGTGGGCCCTGGGGGAAGGTATTTGGAACATGGGAGCAGATCCCTCATCAATGGATTGGGCCATCTCCATGGTGATAAGTGAGCTCTCCTTCTGAGTTCACATGAGATCTGTCATTTACAAGTGTGTGGTAACTCTACCGGGTACTCTTTCTCTCTTGCTCTGTTCTCGCCATGTAACATGCTCGCTCTTCCTTTGTCTTCTGCCATGATTGGAAGCTTCCTGAGGTCTCCTCAGAAGCAGATGGCCCTATGCTTCTGTACTGTCTGCAGAATCATGAGCCAATTAAATCTATCTTCTTATCTATTACCCAGTCTTGAGTATTTCTTTAAAGCAGAACAAGAACAGCCTAATACATGATGATTCAATTATACACCAACCTTGGTACTGCTGTGAAGGGATTTTGCAGATATAATTAATGTCGAATCTCAATTGATCTTGGCATATACATTATCTGGTTTGGCGCTTTCTAGTAAAATGAGCCCATAGAGCAGACACATTTCTCTGGGTGGTGGCTGAAGAAGAAATGCAGAAAAGGCAGTCAGAAAGATGCAGCCGCAGCAGAAGTCAAAGAGATCTAAATGATGAGAAGGTCACAACGTATATTTCTGGCTTTCAATGCTGAAAGACAATGTGAAAAGGAGTGCATAAGCCTCTAGGAGCAGAGAGGGTCACCCAGCTGACAGCCAGCATTGAAGCAGAGACCTAGGACCTGCAGCCACATGGAACTGAATTACGACAATAGGCAGAATGAGATTGGAGTCTGGGTCTTCCTCAGATCCTTCAGAGAAGAGCTCAGCTGGGGACATTTTTTGTGGCCACATCAGATCCAAGCCAACTACTTGGTTTCTAGATTTCTGAGCCATATAAACTGAGAGGTGATACTCTCACAAACAATACATTTGTGTTGTTTTAAGCCATTAAGTTTGTATCAATTCGCTGTCTAACACTAGAAAATGAATAAACCTGCCATAACCCCTTACTTCCGTATTTCACTCTTCCTACATTTTCTAACTAGAAGAGAGAATTTTTTAAATAAATAAGATCGTGGTTAACAGCCTGCACTTTTTATTAACAGAGACTGGGGCTTGATGATTTATTACCTCTGAGACTTGGCAAAAATTTCTTCATTTTCTTTATTACAAACTTCACGTATTTTAAATGGACATAATAACATGCTATGTTCAACAGCTCTAACAAGAAAACAATAATCCATGTGCATTAAGAGTTTTTCACAGTACCTGGTGCAAAGTAACTACTCAATAAGTATAAGATATTACAATTTTACCACTGAAATCTGCCTTCCACGATTTGGCGAATAAATAAATGCAGTTGAAATTTTAAAACATGCATCACAGTGCTTGATCAATACAAAGCATTAGTACATTGTGATTAGTGTTAACACTAGTATGAATATCATCAGTTAATCATACTCTTACATGTTCTCATATCTGATTCATTCACATCAGATACCAACCTAGTCATGTAAATAAATCTAAATCACCAATTTAAATTAATAGAAACATACCTTCATATCAATATATTTTTATCTTTTTCTTACCATCTTTATTCTTATTCTTAATTCAGGTCATCATTGTCTCCTATTTATAATGGAGTGAGAATCCTAAATGAGGTATTTATTTAATGTAACTCCTCAGATACAACCACAACATCTCCATGAGAAAGTTCAACCTAATAACCAAAACTGAGTCTGCTATTTTTTTCTGCTGAAATCCTTAACATGTCTTGCCGTTGTCTGTAGTAAAATCCTAGTCTCTAAATGTTTGACACGCATTTCTCCATGCTCTTCTTTCTCAACTTCATCTCTGCATACTCTCCACTCCCCCTACTACCATGATCTTCCAATACTTAGGTTATAATGGTTTATTATGTTGCATTTTGTTTCTACTATTCCCTCTATCTAGATAGAAATTATCTTTTTCTTTGTCTGGCTGAATTGTATTTATTACTGTAGCTACTTTTGCAAATCATCTGAGGTGTTTTGACAAATTCTCACAGCTGGGACACACCCCAAAATAAGTAACTAAGATGTCCAGGGGTAGAGCAGGGGCATTGTTTGTATTGCTTCTCAGGTACCCTCATATGCACAGGGTCAAGAAATATTAGTATAACTAAACTGAACTATATCTCAGCATTACTCAGCTCAGTAAGGGCCATCCACTGCCTTTAGTGTCTCCATGGGATCCACTGGATCTGCTTTTTTCAAACAAATTACAAAACCTAATAGCAGGAATTTAAAAATCACCTGTTTATTTCACAATATGAATCATTTTATCATCAGTATATTCTGTAATTTCTCATGTGTTTCTGCTCACTGATCCTCTGACTTCCCTGTTTTTTGGGCAAATGAGGACTACTACTACTTTCGGTTATTAATTTATAAACTAGTTCAAAAATGCTACATGCCTTGACGGCAGGGGGAGGTGTACAGGTGGGGGGCAGGGGGGTGCTCCAGGCATTGGCCCTGGAAGTGGGAATACATTGTTGGGAAAAAAGTAATGTGTATCTAATTGTGCTTTAGTGAACTATAATGAGTATATTTGATCCTTTTTTATGTGCAATTAACCCCAATAATTCTAAATGGTTTTGACATCTTAATATAACTCATTATTATGTAATTAACTTAGCCCCGGTAAATAATACTGTGCATAATTTTGATATTTAGGATTATTTAAATTGAAGCATTCCAATGAGGGACACAGGTGGTATTTTTCATTGTTATAACTCAGTCAACCATATTTTTCCCAGAATAATTTTTCAATAATCTTACAATGACATGGAGAAAATATTTATGGTCTATACTGACAAAGAGCATATTTTCCTTGCTATTGTCATCCTACCTGCACAAAGAAGCTTGAATTCAGTCTACATAAATCTTCTCAGAGAGTGAAGATTTTAAAATTCAATCTTCTTGAAGTTCTTTACATGATTTCAGTATAGAATTTGTTTAAATAGAAAAAAATAAGAAAACATTGGATTTCTTAAAGTTCGATTCAGCTGTCTTTGGAGTTTTGCTATTTTTTTAAATCTCTTCAGAAGTCAACTTTTTTCTAGTTTACTTTTTTATTTTTTATTTTTTTAAATTTGGTATTAGCATAATCATAAGAATTGGCAGAGAAAGAAATGGTTCTCAAAAGGCTTTAAGATAACTAATTTCATTATATCTGGGAATAAAGACTTGAAAGTAATAGAAATAATCCTCTCAAAAATTCAGTTAAGCCTATAGTTTCATTTATTTTCTATTGCTCACAAAGATGAGATTTTCCCCAAAGTACAAGTAGTACTATATTTTTTGTGGACATTTGAATTTAAATAGGTCACTACAACTGATGAATAATGTTTATCCTATAAATAAATAAAACAATTGGATTTTCCCCGTGTGTTTATTAGCTAAAAAACCAAGGTATTGAGAAAAGAAAGTGTGTGAACTAACAACATACTAACACATTCTTTTTTTTTTCTTTTTGAGACAGACCCTTGCTCTGTCACCCAGGCTGGAGTGCAGTGGTGCAGTCACAGCTCACTGCAGCCTTAGCCTCCCAGGCTCAAGCAGTCCTCCCACCTCAGCCTCTCGAGTAGCTGGGGCTACAGGCGTGTGTCACTACGCCCAGCTAATTTGTGTACTTTTTGTAGATATGGGAATTTACCATGTTGCCCAGGCTGATCTTCGACTCCTGGGCTCAGGTTATCCACACATCCCGGCCTCCCAAAGTGCTGGGATTACAGTCATGAGCCACCATGCCTGGCCTAGGAACTAATACATTCTTTATTTGTCCCTATTTATCTATCTGGCTTGAGTATAATTCATAAAATACTAATAATTACATTTACAAAGCTAATGATGAACTTTATTAGGTAACACTTGGCATCTTAATAAGTAGCTGTCGTTTAAAAAATATATTTACATTCATGAACTCACTAAATTCTCTCAACAAGCCAAGTACATAGATCAGAAATCTAAGGTACAAATAAATAAGGTCAAGGTCATGCACATAGAAAGTGACAGAGTTGGAATTGATTGTTCCCAGCGAGTTACTTCCCAAGGCACATTTATTTCTACTAATTTTAAGCAACCATAAAGGCTAGAATATTTTTGATGTATTTTAAAGAACATATTTTGCAACCATCAGGACAATCTTATTAATTAAGCAATAACGCATCACTGAATATGAAAATGTTTTTAATATAAGACTTTCAAAATACATAAAGCCTCTAGTTTTTTATCAAGCATTACATGCTAAATTAAATTAAATCTAGCCTAAAGCTGCCTCCCTATGTGGTGAACTGCAACCTAATTTAAGATGCAAGCAAATTCCAACCTAAATAAGAGTATATTCTTGTAACACATAGCTGTTTTAGCCAGTGACAGGCTGCTAACTAATCAGACAATAGCTATAAAATGCAAATGTTGAGCTGTAGCAAGTCAAGCTGTTTCTACATGGTATTGCCTTTTACTGTCTATAAATGGTGCCTGTCCACCTTGTTGGGTATAGCTCTCTAAAACTCTCCTGGTTCTTAGTGCTGCCTATTCATCAGTTGTTCTTTACTCAAATAAATTCTGCTAAATGTAATTTATCTAAAGTTTTTCTTGTTGCACACGTCTTACCTGGGTCAAATAGGCTCAACGAATCTGGGAAATGTTTTTAATTATAGAGAACATCTTATGAGTAATGTGTGCATAATCTTTTCCACCTATTTTTAACACGATCATAAATATTTATGCACTTAATGAGTGCTTCAAAATTTCTGAAAACAAAATAGTAAAACAAAAAATGATTAAACATTTTTAAAGCATTTCTTTCAGTAATTGATAAAACTGATGATTGATGAATATCAGAGAAAATATAAAACATGTGAGAACTACCAATAAAACTGGAAAAGTTGACATTTAGAGAACACTACAAATAACAGTTACAGAATACACATTTTTTTTTTCTAATACAAATTGCCATTCACCAAGATAGACCAGTTTCTGGGCCAAGTAATAGAACTTATTAAACTTAAAACAGTCTGTCCTCTGATCACAGATTTAGTTAGTTAAGATGCATACTAACAACTATATTTAGTAAATCACCAAATATTTGGAATTAAACAACATATCTGTATAAACAGTGAATCAAAAATAAAACATTTTCAGAAAAATGTTTAGAGAAATTAGAAAACATTTCAAGTTTAATAGTAAAAATATAGCCTATCTGAATTTGTGTGATAGGGCTACAGCATTACTTAAAAGGAATTCTTATTATGAAAGTTCTATATTGGAAAGCAAAAATGTTTCAAAGCAATGATATATGTTTTTACGTTAAAAAAAATTTTTAGGCCAGGCACGGTGGCTCACACCTGTAATCCTAGCACTTTGCGGGGCTGAGGCAGGCAGATAACGAGGTCAGGAGATCGAGAACATCCTGGCCAACAAAGTGAAACCCCATCTTTACTAAAAATACAAAAAAAAATTAGCTGGGCATGGTGGCGTGTGCCTGTAATCCCAGCTACTTGGGAGGCTGAAGCAGGAGAATTGCTTGAACCAGGGAGTTGCAGGTTGCGGTGTGTGGAGATCATGCCACTGCACTCCAGCCTGGCAACAGAGCGATTCTCTGCCAAAAAAAATAAAAAAATAAAAAAAAATAAAGTGCAATTTAACCCATGGTAAATACAAGGAAAAAAATAATAATGAAAAGTAATATATGAAATAAAAAAAGGAAAAAGACTAAAAGATATTAGAAAAAATTAAAAAGAGCAAAGAGCAAAGTGTAGTTATTTGAAAAGATTAATAAAGTTAGTAAATTACAAGCCTTCAAAACTATTAAAGAAGTGTAAAAACATACATGCACACAGGTTACTAATAATAGGAATGAATGCAGACATTATTACTGATTCTTCAGACGTTAAAAGTATAATCATGAAAATTTACAAACAACTTAAAGTTAATAAAGTGATAACATATTTAATGCAAACATTTATAAAATTTGGGAAACAATTTCAGTAACTTTAAAAAAAAGTACCAAAACAGTCAAAATAGAAAATCTGATTAGCCTTATATTATTAGAGAAATTTAATTTTTAAGCACAAACCTTATCGCAGAGAAAATTTATTAAAGTGGCTTTCCAGATCAATGCTAAATAAAGAGGGAATACTCCTCAACTCAACTTTGAAACCAGCACATCCATGATACCCAAATTTGATATAGAGGATACTAGACACCAGAAGTCCCTTAGAGGAGTTGCAGAATGATCCCCTGAGCGCCTGGGGCTACCATAATCCATAGACCATTCTCATGATATGCCTGACGTTTCAACTGATTAGTCTTCCCTGGCTTGTCTCAGGGCTGCTGGGCAGCTAGAGCACTCAGTCAACAGGTCCAAGTGGGCTGCTTCTGTCTCTAGCAAGGGGGCCCAGTTGGAGCTTGAGGAGAGTCTGGTCTCCAAGAAGATGACCGTCAGCCCCCTGGAGAGCTGGCTTACATCTTTGATATCTCTTGTCCAGACTGGATACTGGAACTGCAGAGGTTGTGACTCCAGCCCATTTCTACAAGTATTCCCTTAGCTAGGTAAGGGAGGGAGAGGCCTAGCAGGAAGCCCGAGGGAGTCTAGGATGCACCCTGTAAGCATGTAATGTGAAAATGTGCGAAAATCTGTGGTGGGACAATAAGCCACCACAAATACCACAAACTGGTCAAGAGAGCTAGTTCCTGGGGCAGTAGGGCCAGGAAGAATGCCTTAGATTGTAGCAGATTAGGTTCCAGAGAAACCTGAGGTACATGTGGCTGAAGGCAGATCAAAGAGAGGTCTCAGGGGCAGGCAGACACCCAAGATCTACTTGAAGAGTAAGTGTGTCTAGTGTTCCACACCCCCTTGCATCCTGTTGCTGCTGGTGATCTATTGTAATAAATGTGCAGAGTTTTCTAAAAAAAATTAAAAAGAGAAAATAACAGACCAATGTCTTTCTTGACTACAGATACAAAAATCCTCAACACAATATTCATATATAACAATATATCATTTTTAAGTTGAAAATATACCTAGTGATGTAATATTATATTTTAATATTTGAAAATCAATGTTACTTAGCACATTAATATAATAAAGAAAAACTATCTCATAAAGTCATCTCAATAGTGCAAAGAAAGGATTTGCAATATTCAAAATCTATTCATAATTTAAAAAAATCCAACTGGGAATAGAATAAACACTTCTCAATTTAATAAAAGTCATTTATAAAAATTCTGGAGCTAAAATCAGATTTAATGGCAAAAGACTGAATACTTCCTAAGATTTTCAACAAAGCAAAAATGTCCCACTCTAAAACTATCCTCAAATCATCTAAGTGTCTATGTTAAGAAACAGAAAAATCTAAAAATATAAATAAGTGATTTTTGGCAAGTTCACAAAATGCAAGATTTATATATAAAAGGAATATGCGTTTTTACATATCAGGGATAAAAAATGGAATATAAAATTAAAATAAAGACATTCTTTACAATAGTATCAAAAACAAAATACTTAGGAACGATTGCTAGAAATTAAGGAAAATTAAATAAATGATCAAGTTTTTAAGTTAGAAGACTTTATAACTTCCTGTAATCCTGATCAAAATCTCAGCAAGAAATTTGTAAAGGTGCCAAAAGATTGTATAATTTAATGTAAATGCAAGTGGCCTAGAATAGTCAAAACTATTTGGAAAAAGAATTTAAAAGTTTACAGACACTTAACTTTTGATTTCGAGACATATAATGAAGCTTGATTACATATAAGCTTCATTATATGTCTTGAAATCAAATAGTTAAGAGTAATCTTAAGATTAAGAGTAATCAAGGCAGTATGATGTAGGCATGAGGGCATTTTATTGTTTTTAAATTATATTGCAACATATTTAATTTAAAAATCTAAATTAAGGTTTATGATATGTTATTACAGTTATAACTTCTTTTTTATATTACCACAAATGAGCATTCCTAACATTTGAAATATTAGAAATATTATATTTTAATTGAATTGCATATATTTGCTGGAAAGAATGGTCTATGGAGTTTCTCTTAAACATCTCTTTGCCCACCACTCATCATGCTTCTCTAACGTAACTCTTAAAATGAGTTATATAAACACAACAGACAATGTTGTCTTCTTTTTTTCTAACATTCATTAGTAGCTCACGCCCCCTTCCATATATACTTATCCACCAATGACATGCTGGTTGGGCAGTGAAATATATGGTCCTGAGCACTGCATACTGCAGAGAACACAGGGGAACAGTGAAGAGAGCAAGATATTCCTATAACAGGGGCAACTTCAAGAACAGCTAAAATTGTGGCCAGAGCAATATCCAACCTATTTTGGCCCGGGGCAATAGAGAAACAATTCACTTCTTAAAGGAAAATATAAAATTTTACTGTAACTTGTATGGTGTGTTATACTGAAGTAAAAACAGCGCAATGTATTAGGCCACAGAAGATGTTAACAGGAAAGGATTGAGTCATGAAATTAATCTAACTTCTCTTCACGTTTAACTAATTTTCATGTACATTTATAGAGTTTATGTTATTTTTCTCAAACCCTGGAAATGAGTCCCTCAAATTTCCAAATGCTGCTTCTACCAGATTGCTATACAAAAGCTGTTTTGCTCCAGGTCCCTTCCTACTGTCCTCATTCATTCCACCATTACAGGTTCTGACCATCTGGCAGGCTGCTTCTAAACATTGTCAGTGTGAGTGCTGTCACATCGCACATCCCCGGGGGATATCTTGAGTAATTACTCATCCTAAGCAATAATAACACCTCTTGAGGCCAAGAACAAGTTGTTTATATATCTATACTGCCCCCAGCATTATCTAGGCATTTAAATTGAAAAATTAAATAAGCTTTCTAAAGCTAGCTATTAACCACTGCTGAATACACCAGTAACTTCTAGATATGTAGACCAGATAGTATTAATGCAACCTACAAGAGACTTTCCCAAGTTATTTTGTTTGGTGGACACTATTCAAAAAAGGTGACCAATTGCTTCTGATGCAGATATAAATTATGTAGAAATGTCCGGGCATCTTTGCATAACAGCCTTCCTCTTCAAATGCAAAGATGTCTTTTGAGCAATAATATTGTTCAGTAATGGGCACATATTTCATAGAATTTTAACAGGGAAAATTAGAATTCAAATATGAAACTGAAGTGTCCTGAATTTTTTCACCCAGTTTCATTCTGTAGAATAAAGCAAACCATTAAATTTTATCTCATACGACCTTCTAAAAATTCTATGAATTCAATATTCTATAAAGACTGGAAAGATGTACTATCAAAACTACGAGCTTGGAGGATGTATACTTTAAAGAAGTTTCTTAAAAATATACTCTCAGAAAATATATAGTGAGTGTCATTTTCATAGGGTTATGGAGAAGCTATGTCACATTTGAGAAATCATTGGTTATATCAGTGTCTGAGCCCATTTTGTGCTGCTATAACAGAATACCTGAGATTGGGTAATTTATAATGAACAGAAATTTATTTTCTCATAGTTCTGGAGGTTGGGAAGTCCTATATCAAGGTGTTGGCATATGGTGAAGGCCTTCTTATGTGTGTCATCACATAGCAGATGGGAGAAAAGCAGAGAGCTCACTCTTGAAAGCCCTTTTTATAATGACATTAATCTATTCATTAAAGCAGAGCCTTCATAACCTAAACACATTCCATTAGGCCCCAGCTTCCAAAACTCTGTTGCATTGGTGGTTAATTTCAACATGACTTTTTGAAAGGACAAACATTTAAACCATAGCAAGCCATAAACCATCTTACCTAAAAGCTCTGATTCCCTAGGTGTAACTCATACCATGTCACAACATAAAAACGCATGTGTATGTGTGTTTGTGTGTGGCATTTGAAAAAATAGCAGACTCAAGAATGTCATTCTCATTTTCCCCTTACCCTTCTCTCTGAGCTAGGTTGTAAAACCTAGAAAGATTTTTTCCTGATCTTTCTGAAAAGCACTTCACAAGATCCTCATTTCAGAGGTATCCACCCTACACATGAAGGAAAGGAATGTTCTTATCTGAAAACATCAGAAAACAAAGAAGAATCTGAAGAAACAGATCTAAGTCCCCCAAGTTAATCACAGATCATACTTTTTTCCTCCAATCAAACTTCTACACAATTATCTACTTTTTAAAATCAAATATAGCATAAAATACATAGACTTCCCTATTTCTTTTGAGTTTTCAGTTCTAAAGGCTCCGTGTAATGTAAAACGTATATTAGATAAATGTGTGTGCTTTACTGTTGTTTGTCTTTTGTTATAGGGATGTTAGCCATGAACCTAGCAATGGGCCAAAAAAGAATTATTTTCTCAAACCTAAATGCCTAAACTCAAACCTACAAACCTAAATGTCAATAGTTCGCTACTTGCTTTTCCTTCAGTTGCAAAATTCATTATTTGTGAAATGAGCTTCAGGCAACAGAGAGGCTGCTTTTCGTATCTTTCTCTTTCAAAACCCACCACATACATACACACACACAATCCAATGTAGGCCGCATCTGCATAGCTATCAAAAACTTCTTCAGGTTCTAGTCTGCAATTACTGAAAGTAGGTTAAATACAAGTGATGATGGCCATGTGCATGATGTAAAAATATCTTTCCAATGAGCTCATTAGAGTGAAAAATTTTACTTCATAAAAAATTACATTTTTCACGCAAGGAAGAACATCTATACGTTTACCCATTTACTTTTCATAAAATACTTTAAATTAGTGATTAATAGCAATATTTTTCAATATTGAATAATAAATTTTTACCAGTTAACTTACGTGCTCTTGGCTGAATTAGGAATGAGAAAGAATAATATGCCAATGTTATGTTGCAGCATTAAACCCCTACCTTTGGTGGTCAATCCTAATTCCATTAATACTATACTTGGCTTTATAACTCTTCATCAACAAAACGATCAGAAGTCTTGGTGACTGCATTAGGTAATACGGTTTTCTGAGCAGCCACATTACCATAATTATGTGTTGACTACATTGTCTAATATGCCAATTCCCTAAAAAATTCACCTGAAGTTACTTTTTGTGTAGCTAAAAATAGCCACTCTAATCGTTAAAAAATGTCTAAAATCATCGGGAACGTATTTGACTTATCATTTGCAAAATTATTCTGACCTGATAATATGAAACACAATATGTAAAATTTAAGAAAAAACATAGGCAGTTTGATTTGTGAAAGTGTAGCTCAGAAAACTAATCTGAGCTGGATGCAGAGAATTTGTCATAATTCACATGAGATAATACTTAGATCTGTGGAGCCACTGTTATATTTATTGGGTAGAATAGACACAATAAAGAAATGGTAAAATACAGGCATATGGAAGAATACGTGAATTTATTGAACAATAAATAAAAAATCAATAAAGAAACGAGGGAGCAGTTTTCACAGAAATAAAAGATGGACCAGTCATAAACCTAGGCAGAAAAGTATCAAGAAAGGAGATATGCCTCACATGGTAGAAAAACTAACTTTGCAGGGAAAGGATTTGAAAAAGTCATTATTGTGGGTGTTTCCGTTTTCCAAAGCCTTTCTATTATAGAGCATAAGATAAATCCACCAGTGCATGCTAATAATATCTTACCATCTGTCTAGTTAGGCCAAATACAAATTTAGATAATCACATTTATTTAATGGTTCTGTTTGCAAATTTGAAGAAAGCAAAGTTTTGTAGACTTTGCTAATCATTCTATGCTATTATCAGTCATCATCCACACACACTTATTTACAGAGTAATCATAATATAAATATAAACATTTATATAGCGCTTACTATGTTTATACATGAAATCATTCAATCTTCCCATCAACTCTATGATGTACATATGCGTTCCCCATTTTATTGATGAGAAAATTAATCTCAAATAATCCCAGACTACCTGTATGCTTTGGAAGAGAGATTCAAACCCAGGCAGTCTGGCTCCCAGAGTCCATGTTCTTAATTAACAAGCTATACTTGATTTTCTTATTGAATGGACCTTACAGCCTTTTTGAACCAAATTCATTTCATGAGAAACCAGATGTGTAGTAGCCTGGTGTCAAAATAAAATTTTACTTATGGTGCAAAAATTTTGGAAAAAAATTGCAAGACAAAAATTAGCACAGCTAATGATAAATTCCTAAACTCACAGCCTGATCTTTACAATGAAATTTGAAATTTGAAATGGAACAAATAAGTAGTATTTTTGATTACTTAATTAAACATTATCTTCCATATCCAGGTACATATACACATACACAAAAATATAGACCAATATTAATATATACAGATATGTACACATTGATATGTAATATATTAATTTTTATAAATCTAAGGAAGAAAGGATTTTAAGGAAAAAGACAAATGAAAAATAAATATTCATTAGTTCATAGTAAACTATTATTAAATATGATAGCCTTATGCAATTTTAATTTCATATTTCCTCAATATCAAGGAATATCTTTATATTGTAAGATGCATGTGTTCACGTATGTTAATGTATCTATAAGTGGAAAATATCTTGAGTTCAATGGTATGTTATCATTGCCATTGGCCAGGTGGTAGACATGGTAACAGTAGTTTACAGCCTGAACATGGCTGAACCTTATTATTTCTGTTAGTGTAACTAGACATCATGAAACTTTTGAAGTTTCAATTGATAATAATTTAAGAATTATTTGAATAATAAAATGGATCTTCTCTATTTTTCTGCAATACTATTCATTGTCAACTTCACGTGACATCACAAAAACAAGGACTCAAAATTTGGGCAACAGATATTAATATATTAGCTGAAACATCTGAAAGACATCCTAAAGCAAGTTTGTTAAAAAAGTGCTGTACTACTAACACTACTGGTAGCACAGAGGAGTGTACTGAATGAAAAACACAAATTTCAATGTCTTTAGGAGAAAAATGATTTAGAAGAGTTGGATTTTATCCATAAAAAAGTTTTAGTATACTTTCATATTTTCTTTTCATTGTTTTTTGCACGTGTTATAAAATAAAAATCTATATCTAAATAAATCTAAATGAGCTCTTTTAGTAAATATAAAAACCTCAAAAAGTCTTATTGATAAGTAAACACTACGTTGTAGTTAATTGGCACTTTTTGTTTTTATTTTATTTATTTATTTATTTATTTATTTATTTATTTTGAGACAGAGTCTCGCTCTATCACCCAGGCTGGATGGAGTGCAATGGCACAATCTCGGCTCTCTGCAAGCTTTGCCTCCCAGGTTCATGCCATTCTCCTGCTTCAGCCTCCCGAGTAGCTGCGACTACAGGCGCCCACCACCACGCCCGGCTAATTTTTTTTTTTTTGTATTTTTCAGTAGAGACGGCGGGGGGGTTTCACCGTGTTAGCCAGGATGATCTGGATCTCCTGACCTCATGATCTGCCCACCTAGGCCTGCCAAAGTGCTGGGATTACAGGCGTGAGCCACCGCGCCTGGCCTATACACTTTTTCTTTTTGTTAACTTTTTTAGCATTCAATAAAATAATTGTGTATCTAAACAATGAAAATGTCTTAGATGTGATAAAATAAAGTAAAATTTTCTAAATATCTAAAATTTTTTCCTCAGTGGAAAAAAGAAATTTTAAATACATGTTTTAAGTATAATACAAGTACAGTAGTGAAAAACTAGGAAGAATTCAGAAAATGACTATTATCTTACAATACAGTATGTTTCCAATTATTACTTAAAAGCTATGAAGTTCAAAATGGAGATCATTTTATGCTGTATTTCAAACACTGTTATAAGTATAAAAATTCCTTTCACTAATTATATTGCTGTACTTATATGCATCAACTATCTATTTTTCAGGGACATTAGGGGACTATGTGTTGAAAATTTTAATTATAGTTATGCTACCAGAAGTGTGATTATAGTTAGCCCACTCAATAGCCTGGTGTTTTATTACAAGGCTAACAAATGTTTTAAGAAATTAATACACCTGAATTTCAAGGTCACAGCATATGTACGATTATTATTACAACACAATTTATATGATCATGTAATATTAATACAGTAACATGAGAGCATACTTAATTTAATTTATAGGTATAATTCTAAGAATTCAATGAAATTTGAATATTAAAATAGTAATAATGTATACATATGCATACACATATCTCTAGGTAAAGCTTTTTTATTTTGTCAATTTACCTAAACTTTTATGTATGACTTTATGGTATGTATATTTAATTCTAATTAATTTGTGTATATTTTTAAATCATTGTAAGTAAAAATTGCAAGTTGTATACATTTTAAATCTAATGATTGCCAATAATTTCTATATATGCACTTAATCTTAACTCCAACTTCAGAAAATTGCTTGAAAAAGATATCAGTGTCACTTGGAAATCAAGGGAAGACTCAATCCTAAAAGACTGATTAACCTACTCATTAAATTTGAGAGAATATTCAGCATCTCTTCTGGTTGAAAGTGTTTATTAGTGCATAGCTGATATTTTCAGAAAAAAACATGGATAGTTTTCTAAAATTCTGAAAGTTTTTGAAGGGTAAGACCATAAAATTATATCAAGCTGAAAGTAACCCAAATTCCTTGTTTGGGTTTTTTCAACAATTTTAGAACATTTCTTTTTCTTTCTCTCTCTCTCTCTTTTTTCTTTTTTTTAAGAGTATGCAGAGATCAGATAGGATGAATCTTCAGGAAGCCACACACCGAATGATTTAAGTTTTGTTTGTGTCATGCTAATCTCCAGAGCTGGTGAGGAACAGAGAATAAAACCAGTCCTTTGTTAAATTGACTTGACTTGCCAGATTTGTTTTCCTACTTCTTATTTTCTTAGGGGTTGGCCATTCCTAAAGTTATGTAACAAACAATGAGAAACCAGAAAGAAAAATCTTTCCGGAAGCTAATTTTTTATTGTCAACTCACATTCCCCTTTGGCAGATTTAGGCAGTGATTGTGTGTCCCACACCTGCTGCTTTTTCTTTGCTTCCTTATATTTTATTCCTCAGTTTGTATTTTCTGCTAGTGAATCCAGTCAACAGAATGAAAGCAACATGAATTTGCTTTATTTCAGGTTCCCAGGTTGGTCATTCATTTTATTTCAGCAAATGAGTAGTAAGTAGGTCGAGGTAGTAAAAAGAAATACCTCATTTTAGTGAAAGAGTGTCTTAAGCAATTGCAATATAAAACTCACATTACAAAGACAATGGAAGTTTGACCTACCAGTTTTTGGAGTGTCAGAACTGTGCAAACAGAGCATACAAGACAGAGTTTACACTAGGGTTCTTCTGTTATGATATCACTGGCGAGAAAATATATACATAAACAAATACTTCAGTGAATATGAATTTATGCATTCTGAAAATTTGTTTAAAGGCATCAAAGTTTTAAAGTTATTAAAATTATTTGAACCCATGTAAATTGTTAATGCCTATTGGTTAAACTTTTACCATCAGAAAAATACAAAGCCCTCTGTGAAACCCTATCTCTAACTACTTTTCCAAGTTTATCCCACAGCAGACTTTATGAAATATTCCTTATCTTTCAAGATTTGGCTCAAGTTTAACTTCCTTCAAACTTTAATTATCAATCTTCCTCAAACTAGAATTAATTGTCAATCTTGACATCTTATCTGTGCCCTGTGTGCCCTCTTTGAACTTCCCCCTTCTTACTTTATATACTTCTTTAATTTAAAAAGAATTTGTTTTTGGTACAATATGCCCTTTAACCCATTTGCATCCCAACATGTACAGCAGATTTTAGGATTTCATACCCAGTCAACAAAGGTTTATTTATGTGTAAAGGGGCCAAACTTTACATAAAACTGTGACAAAATCATTTAAAAACTAAATAACACTGAATATAACTGTATATAAAGTTGCAAAAAGCAGTTGTAGTTGGCAACATTATAAACATTTGGGGAGAGAGAGAGAGAGATCCTCTTGAAACCCATACACTTCTTTGAAAACACCAGCCAGTAAAGAATCCCAAGAGGACAGAGATTATTTATCTGATTCAATAAAGGTTTATAAGATAGTTTTAATTTCCACTAATTCCCATTTCAACAGTATTGTATGTTTAATATAGACTAATTGTTTCAGCGGCATGTTTTATGGAAAATCATTCACAAAATGCAACAAACCAAGAGGAACTGGTAATCCATTATAACATTTGTAGGTTGATTAATGCCTTCTTTGTAATCCTAATTTAGAGTTCAGTGAGGCAGGTGTAGATTGTCATGAAATGAAAATCAGTACATATTTACTATATTGCCACAGGGATATTTGAATGATCAACATGTGGTCATGAAATAGTGATGTATGCTTTAAACTTAGGAATCACTGAGTATGTTAGCAAGGGTCTGCATTTACTGAAGGAACGGGAAGCCACCTAATAGAGAATACTACTCACATCTTACCATTGAGAAAAAGTCAGTTAACCTACAGAATCATAGTTTTCTGGAACCTATCAGAGAACTGATGTGTAAGACAAGTGAAATAAATTTCACAGAGTGATAAGCCCCTTCAAAGACAGGGTACAAAAACTATATCACTTTGGCAGAGGATATACCAGCCAAGGCCTAAATTTGTTGAAAGAAATCAATAACTAACCCTGCCTCACCATAAGCATTCCATCACAAAACACACCATAGCCTATCTGTGGTGCATGTCTTTTAAGCCTGCTGAAAGATGAGAGTGGAAAAGGAATAGCGAGAAAAACCCTCCACATCTCCAGGGCTCCACTATGCACAATGTATGTCAGGATTTAAAGAGAGCAGTAATCTCAAATTAAATATAGTCCTATAGTCCTTCACCAAAAAGTTTAACTACTGACTAGATTACCTCTGCATTTAACACAAATGTCTTGACAAAGGAAGAGATGTATGTGCACATGAGTAGGTGAAAGCTATATTTTTCTCAGCCTCTACTGTTCTTTTGTATATAATTCCTGGCATATAATAAAAAATTTAAAAATTAAAAAAGCAAAACCGATGCAAAACTTATCAAAATTTACTCATCAGCAATATATGAAGACATCAAAAGCTCCAGAACCATGGAAGACAAAGATTTTGGATGAAATAGAAAAACAAATAAAAATATCTCTTATTATCAACTAAAAATATCTTGTTAGAAAGGTAGAAATAAAATGAAATATGGACAATTGTAAGAGAAATAAAAAGCTTATCCACCATGATCAAGTGGGCTTCATCCCTGGGATGCAAGGCTGGTTCAACATACGCAAATCAATAAGTGTAATCCAGCATATAATCAGAACCAATGACAAAAACCATATGATTATCTCAATAGATGCAGAAAAGGCCTTTGACAAAATTCAACAACCCTTCATGGTAAAAACTCTCAATAAATTAGGTATTGATGGGACGTATCTCAAAATAATAAGAGCTGTCTATGACAAACCCACAGCCAATATCATACTGAATGGGCAAAAACTGGAAGCATTCCCTTTGACAACTGACAGAAGACGGGGATGCCCTCTCTCACCACTCCTATTCAACATAGTGTTGGAAGTTCTGGCCAGGGCAATCAGGCAGGAGAAGGAATCAAGGATATTCAATTAGGAAAAGAGGAAGTCAAATTGTCCCTGTTTGCAGATGACATGATTGTATATCTAGAAAACCCCATTGTCTCAGCCCAAAATCTCCTTAAGCTGATAGGCAACTTCAGCAAAGTCTCAGGATACAAAATCAATGTGCAAAAATCACAAGCATTCTTATACACCAATAATGGACAAACAGAGAGCCAAATCATGAGTGAACTCCCATTCACAACTGCTTCAAAGAGAATAAAATACCTAGGAATCCAACTTACAAGGGATGTGAAGGACCTCTTCAAAGAGAACTACAAACCACTGCTCAAGGAAATAAAAGAGGATACAAAGAAATGGAAGAACATTCCATGCTCATGGGTAGGAAGAATCAATACCGTGAAAATGGCCATACTGCCCAATGTAATTTATAGATTCAATGCCATACCCATCAAGCTACCAATGACTTTCTTCACAGAATTGGAAAAAAATACTTTAAAGTTCATATGGAACCAAAAAAGAGCCCGCATTGCCAAGTCAATCCTAAGCCAAAAGAATAAAGCTGGAGGCATCACGCTACCTGATTTCAAACTATACTACCAGGCTACAGTAACCAAAACAGCATGGTACTGGTACCAAAACAGAGATATAGACCAATGGAACAGAACAGAGCTCTCAGAAAAAATGCCACATACCTACAACCATCTTATCTTTGACAAACCTGACAAAAAGAAGAAATGGGGAAAGGATTCCCTATTTAATAAATGGTGCTGGGAAAACTGGCTAGCCATATGGAGAAAGCTGAAACTGGATCCCCTCCTTATACCTTATACAAAAATTAATTCAAGATGGATTAAACACTTACATGTTAGACTTAAAACCATAAAAACTCTAGAAGAAAACCTAGGCAATACCATTCAGGACATAGGCATGGGCAAGGACTTCATGTCTAAAACACCAAAAGCAATGGCAACAAAAGACAAAATTGACAAATGGGATCTAATTAAACTAAAGAGCTTTGGCACAGCAAAAGAAACTACCATCAGAGTGCACAGGCAACCTACAGAATGGGAGGACATTTTTGCAATCTACTCATCTGACAAAGGGCTAATATCCAGAATCTACAAATAACTCAAACAAATTTACAAGAAAAAAGCAAAGAACCCCATCAAAAAGTGGGCAAAGGACATGAACAGACACTTCTCAAAAGAAGACATTTATGCAGCCAAAAGACACATGAAAAAATGCTCATCATCACTGGCTATCAGAGAAATGCAAATCAAAACCACAGTGAGATACCATCTCACACCAGTTAGAATGGCGATCATTAAAAAGTCAGGAAACAACAGGTGCTGGAGAGGATGTGGAGAAAAAGGAACACTTTTACACTGTTGTGGGGACTGTAAACTAGTTCAACCATTATGGAAGGCAGTGTGGCAATTCCTCAGGGATCTAGACCTAGAAATACCATTTGACCCAGCCATCCCATTACTAGGTATATACCCAAAGGATTATAAATCATGCTGCTATAAAGACACACGCACACATATGTTTACTGCAGCACTATTCACAATAGCAAAGACTTGGGAACCAAGCCAAATGTCCAACAATGATAAACTCGGTTAAGGAAATGTGGCACATATACACCGTGGAATACTATGCAGCCATAAAAAATGATGAGTTCATGTCCTTTGTCGGGACATGTAAGAAGCTGGAAACCATCATTCTCAGCAAACTACCACAAGGACAAAAAACCAAACACCACATGTTCTCAGTCATAGGTGGGAATTGAACAATGAGAACACATGGACACAGGAAGGGGAACATCACACATCGGGGACTGTTGTGGGGTTGGGGGAGGGGGGAGGAATAGCATTAGGAGATATACCTAATGTTAAATGACGAGTTAATGGGTGCAGCACACCAACATGGCACATGTATACATATGTAACTAACCTGCACATTGTGCACATTTACCCTAGAACTTAAAGTATAATAATAAACAAAAGAATAAAATGTAACACAAAAAATAAAATTTTTAAAAATCAGCTATTTCACAGATGATGAATCCCTACCATTGGCTATCAGTAAATTGGACACCTCAGATAAAATAATTAGCAAACTTGTAAACAGGACAACAGAAAATATAGGAATTGAAACAAACAAACAAACAAAAAGATTGGAGGAAAAAAACATCAAACAAAAATTAGGACAGAGCATCTGAGAACTGAACGGCAATATAAATGACCTAGCATACATATATATGAACTCCCAGAAAATGATAAGAAGAATGAGTCAAAGAAAACAGTTGAATAGATTATTATTGACAATTTTTAAAACATACAGACATCAAACAAAAACAATTCCAAAAATCTGGGAGAACAACAAATAGCATGAATACAAAGGAAAAAATGGATCAAGATGGATCATGGTCAAGCATCTGAAAACCAAGCTTATAGAGAAATTAGTTTTGGCAACCTGGGGTTGGAGGTGAGGAAAAAGAGGAATTACATAAGGAGAAAGGAAGAATAAAATAACAGTTGACTTCTATAAAAAATTATCCAATTCAGCAGATGATGGAAGGACATTTTTCAGGACCTAAAAGAAAAACGATCCATTCACAGACACAGATAAATGTAAAACATATTTTTTTTTTTCTAAGAAGAACTGAGAAAGCCATTTCCGGGAGCACTGCAATACAAAATTAAAAAGTAGAATTAACTTTTTAACTAGAAAATATTTTAGTAACAGAAGGAAATTTGTATCTAAATTAAAAAAATTTAACATCAGAATTGGTAAAAATGAAGATAATAAAGTTATCTCTTTATTGTAAAATTGTTCAAGGTAAATTACTATCTAAAGCAAAACTAGTAACAATATATTATTGGTCTTCTAAGTATGTATAAATTTTGTGATAATCACAGACCTTAAGAATTGGAGAAAGACTGAAAGTATATTGTTGTATGATTTAGACACGATTTTGACGTGGTATAATAATAATTGGAGGTCTATAGAATTAAACATGTTGTATGATCCATGGCAACCACCAAACATTTAAATTTAAAATGTATAATAGGACAAGAATGAAGATAAAAAATCAAAATAATAGAGTGAGGAAGCATAAAAGAGGGAAAATTATTGCAAAAAGAAACAACTGTATTATGTCTGTGAGAAATTCCTTTGAATGAAATATATAGATAGGTTAGATGTATAAATAAGAAAAATACAGTATGTAAATGCCAAAATTAACAAGACTACTGTGGATATATTGATTTCAGAAAAGCTATATACCAGAATGAGTAATATTCCTGGGCTAAACTGAGATCTTACATAATAATAAATTATCCCTTTCATGAAGTATATCTAACATTCAAAAATATGTATGTACCTAATATGAAAGCATTGAAATATTTAAAGTAAAAATGAGTAAAAAATAGAGTATATACATTTAAAAGTATAAGTGGAAACTTCAGTATTTCTATCTAATTTGTTTAAAAATTAAACAAAAAACAATATATAGTACAAATTCCAAAAATGACTTGGCCAAACTTACATCTTGTATTAGGCTGTTATTGCTTCACTATAAAGAAATACCTGGCCAGGCACAGTGGCTCATGCCTGTAATCCCAGTACTTTGGGGGCTGAAGCAGGAGGATCACTTGAAGCTAGGAGTTCAAGACAAGCCAGGCCAACACAACGAAACCCCGTCTCTACTAAAACTAAAAAAAATTAGCTAAGCCGGGTGGTGCACACCTGTAATCCCAGCTACTCAGGAGGCTGAGGCATGAGAAGTGCTTGACCCAAGGAGGCAGAGGTTGCAGTGAGCAGAGATAGCTCCACTGCATTCTGGCCTGAGTGACAGAGTGAGACTCTATTAAAAAAAAATAAGTAAATGAAATAACCTGAGACCAGGTAATTTATAAAGAAAAAAAGTTTAATTGGCTCACTCGTGGTTCTGCAGGCTCTACAGGAAGTGTGGTACCAACACCTACTTTTGGAGAGGGCCTCAGGGAGCTTACAGTCATAACAGAAGGTGACAGGGAGGCAGTATGTCACATGACAAGAGTGGGCACAAGAGAGCAAGTGGGGAGGTGGCTACACACTTTTAAACAACCAGGTCTCACTCACTAGGACAAAGAACTCACTCACTAGGACAGCACCAAGCTATTCATGAGTGATCCACCCTCATGATCCAAACACCTCCCACCAAAGCCCACCTCCAACACTGGAGATTACATTTCAATATGAGATGTGAAACTTCGCACCAAAATAAACTATACTTTGAGCCACAAAACAAATCTCAAAAATATTTCACAGGATTGAAATTATATCTCCAGGTGGATACTGAAAAAAAAAAGATTGAAATTATATAGTGTTCTTTAAGAATATTCAAAATTAAACTTGAAATCCAAAACAACATACTCAAAAGCTAAACTACGTATTTTAAAATGGCCATGGGAATTTAGAAAATCTTTATAATTTTATGAAACTGAAAACACACACAATATTGTAGGATGCTGCTGAAGCAGTTCATAGTGTAAAATTAATAATATAAAATTCGCATAAAAAGGAAATCTAAACTAAATGTCCTACACTTCAACCTTCTGAAAGTAGAAAATAAATAGCAAATTAATCTCAAAGGAAGTGAATGAGAAGGCAATAATTTTAAAAATAGGGCCAGGCAGGGTGGTTCAGGCCTGTAATCCCAGCACCTTGGGAGGCCAATGTGGGCGGATCACAAGGTCAGGAGATTGAGACCATCCTGGCTAACATGGTGAAACGAAAAATACTAAATTCTACTAAAAATACAAAAATTAGCCAGGTGTGGTGGTGCATGCCTGTAGTCTCAGCTACTCAGAAGGCTGAGGCAGGAGAATCACTTGAACCCGAGAGGTTGCAGTGAGCTGAGATTGCACCACTGCACTCCAGCCTGGCTACAGAGCGAGACTCTGTCTCGAAAAAAAAAAAAAAAATTAGAAAAGAGTGATATATAAAACAAAACCAATTAAGAAAAAATCAAATACAGCTCAAAAGAAGGTTTATTAAAAAGATTATAGCATTAATAAAACCCTAACAAGATTAAAATAATGAATAAATGTCACACAATTGTTTTCTTTTTCATTTTAGATTTAGGGTACATGTGTGGGCTTGCTATATTAATATATTACATAACGCTGAGGTATGGGATTCAGTTGAATCCATCAACCAAATGGTGAACCTAGTACATAATAGGTAGTTTTCAACTCTTATCCCTCTCTTTCCTTCCCCAACCCTTTGACTTCTCTAGTGTCTATTGTTCCCATATATATATCCAAGTGTACAAAATGTTTAGTTCCCGCTTATAAGTGAGAACCTGTGGTATTTGTTTTTCTGTTTCTGTATTAATTCATTTCGGATAATGGCCTTCAGCTGCATTCATGTTGCTGCAAGATACATGATTTCATTTTTTATGACTACATAGTATTCCATGTGTATATAAACTCCGTTTCATTATACACTATACCATCGATAGGTACCTAGATTGATTCTATGTCTTTGCTATTGTGAATCATGGTGAGATAAACATGTGAGCGCAGATGTTCTTTTAGTAGAACAATTTATTTTACTTTGGGTATATACCCAGTAATAAGATTATTGGGTCAAGTGTTAAGTATGTTTTTACTTCTTTGAGAAATCTCCAAACTGTTTTCCACAAGGGCTGAACTGATTTCCATTCCCACCAACATGGTATGAGCTCTCTCTTTTATCTATTATAATTATTATTTTTTTACTTTTAATAGCCATTCTGACTAGTGTGAGATGATATCTCATTGTGGTTTTAAGTTGCATCTTTTCATGTTTGTTGACTGCTTGTGTGTGCTCTTTTGAGCAGTTTCTGTGTTCTTTGCTTATTTTTTTTGTTTTTGTTTTTCTTCTTGATACGTTTATGTTCCTTATAGATACTAGATATTAGTCCTTTGTCAGGTGTATACCTTGCAAATATTTTGTCCCATTACATAGGTTGTCTGTTTACTGTGTTGATAGTTTATTTTGCTGTGAAGAAGCTCTTTAGTATTGACAAGATCTCACTTGTCAATTTTTGCTCTTGTTGCGATTGCTTTTGAAATCTTCATTATGAATTCTTTTCAGGTTCCTATGTCCAGAATGGTATTACTTATATTGTCTTTCAGGATTTTTATAGTTTCAGGTTTTACCTTTAAGTCTTTAGTTCATCTTGAGTTGATTTTTGTATATAGTGAAAGGTAGGGGTACACCTTCATTCTTCTGATTATGCCTAGTTAGATATCTCAGCACTATTTATTGAATAGAGTGTCCTTTCTCCAGTTGTTTTTTTGTTGTTGTTGTTGGCTTTATCAAAGACTAGATTTTTGTAGGTGTGTGGATTTATTTCTTGGTTGGCTATTCATCGCTAACCTCAACGATGAACAAGATATCCGAAAAATAGGAGGATTATTCAAGACTTTACCCTTCACTTCCTCCATTCTATTTCATTGTTCTACTTTTGCACTAACACCTGCTGTTTTGGCTTATGTAGCCTTGTAGCATAGCTTGAAGTCAAGTATTGTGATGCCATTTATTCTTTTTTGCTTAGGATTACTTTAGCTATTCAGGCTTTTATGGTCCCCTATAAATTTTAGAATAGTCTTTTCTAATTATACATTGGTATTTTGATAAGAATTTTAATGAATCTGTAGATTGCATTAGGGCAGTATGGACATTTTTAACAATACTGATTCTTCCAGTCAATGAGTATGGTATATGGTATTTTTTTTTCCAATTTTTATGTGTCATCTATGATTTCTTTTAGCAATGTTTTGTGGTTCTCCTCATAGAGATCTTTACCTCCTTTGTTAGATATATTCATAGGTATTTTTTGTGGTTATTGTAAATTAGATTATATTTTTGATTTAGTTCTCACCTTGAACATTATTGTTGTACAGAAATGCCAGTTTTTTGTACATTAATTTACTATTCTGAGACTTTGCCAAAGTCATTTATCAGGTTTAGGTGTCTTTGGGTGGAATCTTTAGGGTTTTCTAGATATATAATTTTATCTTCAGTGAGAAAAGATAATTTGACTTTCTCTTTTCAAATCTGGATGCCCTTTGTTTCTTTCTCTTGCCTAATTGTACTGGCTAGGACTTCCAGTACTATGTTGAATAGGAGTGGTAAGAATGGACATCTTCATCTTGTTCCAGTTCTTAGGGAGAATGCTTCCAACTATTGCCCATTCAATATGATACTGGCCATGGGTTTGTCAATTACTTATGTGAGTAGTAGATGACTCTTATTTTGAGGTATATTTCTTTGATGGCTTGTTTGTTGAAGTTTTCTTTAATCATGAAGGAATGTTGGGTTTTATCAAATGCTTTTTCTGGCCCAATGAGATGATTACACAGTTTTGTTTTAGTTCTATTAATGTGATGAATTTATTTTACTTTTATATTTATTGATTTCTGTATGTTGAATCATACTTGCATCTCAGAAATAAAGTCTACTTTATTGTGGTCAATTAACTTTTTGATTCAATTTACTAGAACTTTGTGAGGATTTCTGTTTCTATGCTCATCAGAGATATTGGCCTGTAGTTTTCTTTTTTTGTGTCTTTCCCAGATTTGGGTATTAGGATAATACTGCTTTTGTAGAATGGGTTAGAAAGAAATCTTTCATCCTCAGTTTTTTTTTTGGAATAGTTTCAGTGTGTTTGGTACTAGCACGTCTTTGTACATCTGGTAGTACTTGGCTGTGAATCCATCTGGTCTAGTGCTCCTTTTGCTTGGGAGATACTTATCAGTGATTTAATTTTGTAAGTCATTATTGGTCTGTTCAAAGTTTCTATTACTTCCTAATTTAATACTGGGAGGGTGTATGTTTCTTATAATTTATCTATTTCTTCTAGGTTTTCTACTTTGTGCACATATTAGTGTCTGAGTATCATTTGTATTTCTGTGAGGTCATTTCTAATGCCACCTTTGTCATTTCTGATTGTACTTATTTGGATTTTCTCTTTTTTTGTTGTTAATCTAGCTGATGGTCTATTAATCTTGTTTATCCTTTCAAAAAACCATGTTGTCATTTAAGATATCCTATGAATGGTTTTCTCGTTCTCAATTTTATCTAGTTCTGCTCTGAAATTAATTATTTATTTTCTTCTTCTAGATTTGGGTTTAATTTGTTCTTGTTTTTATAATTCTATTAGATGCAACATTTGGTTGGTAACTTGATATATTTCTATCTTCCTTATGCAGCTTAGCACTCTAAACTTTCCTCTTAACACTGCTTTTGCACATCCCAGAAGTTTTGATATATAGTGTCATTATTTTCATTTGTTTCAAAAATTTTTGAATTTATGCCATCATATTTTATTGCTGTTGTTGTTTAGCAAAAGTTATTTTGTGGCAAGTTGTTTAGTTTCCATGTATTTGCGTATTTTTTAGAGTTCTTGATATTGATTTCTATTTTTATTTCACTGTGGTCTGAGAAGATGCTTGATATTATTTCAATTTTTAAAAAATTTACTGAGGTTTGCTTTATGACCAAACATGGTCATTCTTAGAGTTTGTTCCATGTGTAGATGAGAAGTATATATATTCTGTGGTTGTTGGGTGAAATATTGTACAGATGTTTATTAGGTCCAATTGGTAATGTGTCAAATTTAAGTCTAAAATTTCTTTGTTAATTTTCTATCTAGATGATATATCTCATGCTCTCTGGTGTTGAAGTCTCCCACTTTTATTGTTTGGCTGTCTACGTATTTTTTTCTCTTTTTAGGCCTAGTAGTAATTGGCGTATAAATCTAGTGCTCCAGTGTTGGCTAGGTTTATATTTAAGACAGGTTTTCTTGTTGAATTGAATCCTTTCTCATTATACAATGCTTTTGTTGTTGGTTTAAAGTCTGTTTTACCTAATACAAGAATAGTGAGTCCTGTTTTGTTTTGTTCTGTTTTCATTTACATTTCTTTCTATTTTTTTTTTTTTTTGTACTTTAAATTCTAGGGTACATGTGCACAACGTGCAGGTTTATTACATAGGTATACATGTGCCATGTTGGTTTGCTGCACCCGTCAACTCTTCATTTACATTAGGTATTTCTCCTAATGCTATCTTACCCGAGCCCCCCACCTCCCAACAGGCCCTGGTGTGTGATATTCCCCGCCCTGTGTCCAAGTGTTCTCATTCTTCAATTCCCACTTATGAGTGAGAACATGTGGTGTTTGGTTTTCTGTCCTTGTGATAGTTTGCTGAGAATGATGGTTTCCAGCTTCTTCCATGTCCCTGCAAAGGATATGAAATCATCCTTTTTATGGCTGCATAGTATTCCATGGTATATATGTGCCACATTTTCTTAATCCATTTTATAATTGATGGACATTTGGGGTGGTGCCAAGTCTTTGCTATTGTGAATAGTGCCACAATAAACATACGTGTGCATGTGTCTTTATAGTAGCATGATTTATAATCCTTTGGGCATATACCCAGCAATGGAATTGCTGGGTCAAATGGTATTTCTAGTTCTAGATCCTTGAGGAATCATCACACTGTCTTCCACAATGGTTGAAGTAATTTACACTCTCACCAATAGTGTAAAAGTGTTCCTATTTCTCCACATCCTCTCCAGCATCTGTTGTTTTCTGACTTTTTAATGATCGCCATTCTAACTGGTGTGAGATGGTATCTCATTGTGGTTTTGATTTGCACTTCTCTGATGACCAGTGATGATGAGTATTTTTTCATGTGTCTGTTGGCTGCATAAATGTCTTCTTTTGAGAAGTGTCTGTTCATATGGTTTGCCCACTTTTAGATGGGGTTGTTTTTTTCTTGTAAATTTGTTTGAGTTCTTTGTAGATTCTGGATGTTAGCCCTTTGTCAAATGAGTAGATTGCAAAAATTTCCTCCCATTCTGTAGGTTGCCTGTTCACTCTGATGGCAGTTTCTTTTGCTGTGCAGAAGCTCTTTAGTTTAATTAGACCCCATTTGTCTATTTTGGCTTTTGTTGCCTTGCTTTTGGTGTTTTAGTCATGAAAGCCTTGCCCATGCCTATGTCCTGAATTGTATTGCCTAGGTTTTCTTCTAGGGTTTTTATGGTTTTAGGTTTTATGTTTAAGTCTTTAATCCAACTTGAATTATTTTTTGTATAAGTTGTAAAAAAGGGATCCAGTTTCACTTATCTACGTACAGCTAGCCAGTTTTCCCAGTACCATTTATTAAATAGGGAATCCTTTCCCTATTTCTTGTTTTTGTCAGGTTTGTCAAAGATCAGATGGTTGTAGATGTGTGGTGTTATTTCTGAGGCCTCTGTTCTGTTCCATTGGTCTATATCTCTGTTTCGGTACCAGTACCATGCTGTTTTGGTTACTGTAGCCATGCAGTATAGTTTGAAGTCAGGTAGCACGATGCCTCCAGCTTTGTTCTTTTTGCTTAGGATTATCTTGGCTATGTGGGATGTTTTTTGGTTCCATATGAACTTTAAAATACTTTTTTTCCAATTCTGTGAAGGAAGTCATTGGTAGCTTGATGGGGATGGCACTGAATCTATAAATTACCTTGGGCAGTATGGCCATTTTCATGATATTGATTCTTCCTATCCATGGGTATGGAATATTCTTCCATTTGTTGGTCTCCTCTTTTATTTTGTTGAGCAGTGGTTTGCAGTTCTCCTTGACGAGGTCCTTCACATCCCTTGTAAGTTGGATTTCTAGGTATTTTATTCTCTTTGTAGCAACTGTGAATGGGAGTTCACTCATGATTTGGCTCTCTATTTGTCTGTTATTGGCATATAGTAATGCCTGTGATTTTTGCAAATTGATTTTGTATCCTGAGACTTTGCTGAAGTTGCTTATCAGCTTAAGGAGATTTTGGGCTGAGATGACAGGGTTTTCTAAGTATACAATCATGTCATCTGCAAACAGGGACAATTTTACTTCCTCTTTTCCTAATTGAATATCTTTATTTCTTTCTCTTGCCTGACTGCCCTGGCCAGAACTTCCAAACACTATGTTGAATAGGAGTGGTGAGAGAGGACATCCTTGTGCCAGTTGTCAAAGGGAATGCTTCCAGTTTTTGCCCATTCAGTATGATATTGGCTGTGGGTTTGTCATAATTAGCTCTTATTATTTTGAGGTACGTTCCATCAACACCTAGTTTATTGAGAGTTTTTAGCGTGAAGCGCTGTTGAATTTTGTCCAAAGCCTTTTCTGCATGTTTTGAGATAATCATCTGGTTTTTGTCGGTGGTTCTGTTTATGTGATGGATTACGTTTACTGATTTGTGTATGTTGAACCAGCCTTGCATCTCAGGGATGAAGCCAACTTGATCGTGGTGGATAAGCTTTTTGATGTGCTGCTGGATTTGGTTTGCCCATATTTTATTGAGGATTTTCACATAGATGTTCATCAGGGATATTGGTCTATAATTCTCTTTTTTTGTTGTGTCTCTGCCAGGCTTTGGTATCAGGATGATTCTGGCCTCATAAAATGAGTTAGGGAGGATTCCCTCTTTTTCTATTGATTGGAATAGTTTCAGAAGGAATGGTATGAGCTCCTCTTTGAACCTCTGGTAGAATTCGGCCATTAATCCATCTGGTCTTGGACATTTTTTGGTTGGCAGGCTATTCATTATTGCCTCAATTTCAGAGCCCATTATTGGTCTATTCAGAGATTCAACTTCTTCCTGGTTTAGTCTTGGGAGGGTGTATGTGTCCATTTCTTCTAGATTTTCTAGTTTATTTGTGTAGAGGTGTTTATAGTATTTTCTGATGGCAGTTTATCTGTGGGATTGGTGGTGATATCCCCTTTATCATTTTTAATGTGTCTATTTGATTCTTCTCTCTTTTCTTCTTTATTAGTCTTGTTAGCAGTCTATCAATTTGGTTGATCTTTTCAAAACACCAGCTCCTAGATTCATTGATTTTTTGAAGGGTTTTTTGTGTCTCTATCTCCTTCAGTTCTGCTCTGATCTTAGTTATTTCTTACCTTCTGCTAGCTTTTGAATTTGTTTGCTCTTGCTTCTCTAGTTCTTTTAATTGTTAGGGTGTCAATTTTAAAAGTTTCCTGCTTTCTCTTGTGGGTATTCAGTGCTATAAATTTCCCTCTACACACTGCTTTAAATGTGTCCCAGAGATTCTGGTATGTTTTGTCTTTGTTCTCATTGGTTTCAAAGAACATCTTTATTTCTGCCTTCATTTTGTTATTTACCCACTAGGCATTCAGGAGCAGGTTGATCAGTTTCCATGTAATTGTGCTGATTTGAGTGAGTTTCTTAATCCTAAGTTCTAATTTGAAGTCACTGTGGTCTGAGAGACAGTTTGTTGTGATTTCTGTTCTTTTACATTTGCTGAGAAGTGTTTTACTACTAATTATGTGGTCAATTTTAGAATAAGTGTGATGTGGTGCTGAGAAGAATGTATATTCTGTTAACTTGGGTGGAGAGTTCTGTAGATGTCTCTTAGGTCCACTTGGTGCAGAGCTGAATTTAAGTCTTGGATATCTTTGTTAACCTTCTGTCTGTTGATCTGTCAATAACGACAGTGGGGTGTTAAAGTCTACCATTATTATTGTGTGGGAGTCAAAGTCTCTTTGTAGGTCTCTAATGATGTACTTTATGAATATTGGTGCTCCTGTATTGGGTGCATATGTATTTAGGATAGTTAGCTCTTCTTGTTGAATTAATTCCTTCACCATTATGTAATGGCCTTCTTTGCCTCTTTTGATCTTTGTTCATTTAAAGTCTGTTTTATTAGAGAGTAGGATTGCAATCCCTGCTTTTTTTTTTTTTTTTTTTTTTTTTTTTGCTTTCCATTTGCTTGGGAAATCTTCCTCCATCCTTTTATTTTAGACCTATATGTGTCTCTGCACATGAGATGGGTCTCCTGAATACAGCACACTGATGGGTCTTATACTCTTTATCCAATTTGCCAGTCTGTGTCTTTTAATTGGGGCATTTAGCCCATTTACATTTAAGGTTAATATAGTTATTGTTAATTTTATCCCTTCATTATGATGTTAGCTGGTTAATTTGCCCATTAATTGATGCAGTTTCTTCATAGCATTGATGGTCTTCACTATTTGTCATGTTTTTGCAGTGGCTGGTACCACTTGTTCCTTCCATGTCTAGTGCTTCCTTCAGGAGCTCTTGTCAGGCAGGCCTGATGGTCACAAATCTCTCAGCATTTGCTTGTCTGTAAAGGATTTTATTTCTCCTTCACTTATGAAGCTTAGTTTGGCTGGATACAAAATTCTCAGTTGAAAATTATTTTCTTTAAGAATGTTGAATATTGGCCCGTACTCTCTTCTGGCTTGTAGGGCTTCTGCCGAGAGATCTTCTGTGAGTCTGATGGGCTTCCCTTTGTGGGTAACCTGATCTTTCTCTCTGGCTGCCCTTAACATTTTTTCCTTCATTTCAACCTTGGTGAATCTGACAATTATATGTCTTTGGGTTGCTCTTCTCGAGGAGTATCTTTGTGGTGTTCTCTGTATTTCCTGAATTTAAATGTTGGCCTGCCTTGCTAGATTGGGGAAGTTCTCCTGGATAGTATCCTGAAGAGTGTTTTCCAACTTGGTTCCATTCTCCCCATCACTTTCAGGTACACCAATCAAATGTAGATTTGGTCTTTTCACATAATCCCATATTTCTTTGAGGCTTTGTTCATTTCTTTTTACTCTTCTTTCTCTAAACTTGTCTTCTCACTTTATTTCATTGTTTCATCTTCAATCACTGATACCCTTTCTTCCAGTTGATCTTATCGGCTAGTGAAGCTTGTGCATGAGTCACGAAATTCTAGTGCCATGGTTTTCACGTCCATTAGGTCATTTAAGGTCTTCTCTACACTGTTTATTCTAGTTAGCAATTCATCTAACCATTTTTCAAGGTGTTTAGCTTCCTTGTGATGGATTCGAACATGCTCCTTTAGCTTGGAGAAGTTTGTTATTACCAACCTTCTGAAGCCTACTTCTGTCAACTTGTCAAAGTCATTCTCCGTCCAGCTTTGTTCCATTGTAGTGAGGAGCTGCAATCCTTTGGAGAGGAAGAGGGGCTCTGGTTTTTAGAATTTTCAGCTTTTCTGCTCTGGTTTCTCCCCATCTTTGTGGTTTTATCTACCTTTGGTCTTTGATGTTGGTGACCTACAGATGGGGATTTGGTGTAGATGTCCTTCTTGTTGATGTTGATGCTATTCCTTTCTGTTTGTTAGTTTTCCTTCTAACAGTCAGATCCCTTAGCTACAGGTCTGTTGGAGTTTGCTGGAAGTTCACTCCAGACCCTGTTTGCCTAGGTATCACCAGCGGAGGCTGCAGAATAGCAAATATTGCAGGATGACAAATATTGCTGCCTGATCCTCCCTCTGGAAGCTTTGTCCCAGAGGGTCACCCACCTGTATGAGGTGTCTGTCGGCCCCTACTGAGAGGTGTCTCCCAGTTAGGCTATATGGGGGTCAGGGACCCACTTAAGGAGGCAGTCTGTCCATTCTTAGAGCTCAAATGCCATCCTGGGAGAATCACTGCTCTCTTCAGAGCTGTCAGGCAGGGACGTTTAAGTCTACAGAAGTTTCTGCTGCCTTTCGTTCAGCTATGCCCTGCCCACAGAGGTGGGGTCTATAGAGACAGTAGGACTTGCTGAGCTGCAGTGGGCTCTGCCCAGTTTGAGCTTCCCAGCCACTTTGTTTACCTACTCAAGCCTCAGCAATGGCAGACGTCCCTCCCCCAGGCACGCTGCAGCCTACCAGGTGGATCCCAGACTGTTGCACTAGCAGTGATCAAGGCTCTGTGGGACTGGCCCCACTGAGCCAGGCACAGGAGGAAATCTCCTGATCTGCCAGTTGTTAAGACTTTGGGAAAGTCGTAGTATTTGGGTGGAAGTGTCCCATTTTTCCAGGTACAGTTTGTCATGGCTTCCATTTGCTAGGAAGGGACCCCTCACCCTTCCCAGGTGAGGCAACACCCTGCCCTGCTTTGCCTCGCCCTCCATGGGCTGCACCCACTGTCCAACTAGTCCCAGTGAGATGAACCAGGTACCCAGGTTGGAAATGCAGAAATCACCTGTCTTCTGTGTCAATCACACTGGAAGCTGCAGACCAGATCTGTTCTTATTTGGCCATCTTGGAATGGGAATCCTCATTTACATTACTTTACCTTGAGCCCATATGTATCATTACATGTGGGATGGGTCTCTTGAAGACAGAAGAAGGTTGGATTTTTTTAAATCCAATTTGCAACTCTGTGTCTTTTAAGTAGAGTGATTAGAACATTTACATTCAAGGTTAATATTGTTATGTGAGGTTTTATTTTTCCTTCACTTACTATGTTCAGTTTGGTGGGATATAAAAATCTTGGTTGGAATATTTTATCTTTAAGAATGCTAAAAATAGGCCTCCAATCCCTTCTGGCTTGTAAGGTTTGTGCTGAAGAGTCCACTGTTATTCTGATAGGGTTTCCTTCATAGATAGTATGGCCCTTTTCTTTAGCTGCCTTTGAAATTTTTCTATTGCATTGACCTTGAAAAGTCTGATGACTCTGTACTTTAGGGATGATTGACTTCTATAGCATCTCACATGAGCTTTTTAAATTTCTTGTACCTGCATATCAACTTCTCATGACTACTGTGTACATTAAGCGTGCACAAAATAGAAAACCTACAGATAATAGATAAATTTGTAGAAACACACACCCTTCCAAGATTAAACTCGGAAGTAATAGAAACCCTGAACAGACCAATAATGATTTATAAAATTGGGGAAAATATTTAGAAATATTAGTGGGTTATATAATCAAACATGTTTTTGAAGTTGCTTAAATTCTCTTATTTCTCAGAAATGTAAATGAGTATTAAGTTTGGTTGCTTTACATAATCACATATTTCTCAGAGACTTTTCTCACTTAAAAAAATTCTTTTTGTTTTCATTTTTGTCTGACTGAGTTCATTCAAAGGACTGCTAATTGAGATCTGAAATTCTTTCCGCTGCTTGGTCTAATCTCTTGGTTTAATCCAAATTCTATCTAAAATTTCTGTAGTAAATCTTTCAACTACAGAAGTTCTGTTTGGTTCTTTCTTAATATAGCCATGTCATCCTTCAACTCTCGGATCATTTTTAGATGTTGCTTAAGAGCCAGGGCTGGTAGATCAGATCATACTCAGCCAAGCTCACCCTTGCTGTATTTCCATGCATCCATAACAGTGCTTTGGGGAAGGGAGGTGAGTGGAGGGAGATATGACTTACTTTTCAGTTTATTCCTGGGCCTGGGTGGTGTTCCCTTCAACTACTGGTCCTGCATCCACATATTCTTTGCCACAGGGAGGGCTTTGGTGAGCTGTGTTCCCTCTTCCCTAAGGGCAATTTGTGCCAAAGGTCAGATTACCAGGAGATCCACAACCTCTGCGCTTGCCAAAGTTAGAGCATGTCTGTGGGTGTTCTGGTGATGCAGTGAGTCAATGATAGAGGACCACTGGGCAGGACAGTGGTATGCAACTGGTATGGCACCCGCAGTGCATTGTTTTTATCACAGTATATGACTGTAGGGCTTGCCCAGCTCACACTCCTTTCACATGATGAGTCTTCCTTTGGCATCTTCCCCAGGAGCATGCCCAACCAGCTAGGCTGTCTTCAAGACATCTGTGCTGAGATCTCTGACCTGTTTGAGACATCCCTGTAGCCACATCATTTCTGACCCAGTCTTGCAAAGAGAGGGGTGCCTAGCTCCCATACAGTCACATAAACCCACATTACATTCATCCATGTTCTAACACTGAGACCTCCTTCCACACTCAAGCTTAGGTCACAGACCCAGTATCCCTGGGCAGTGTTTGAGTCCTGGAATGTCAGAACTGAGACCATGGATTTGTCCTCTGATCTCTGGGGGTCAAGCAATGCCTCTGATTTGGGGGTGAACTTCTTTCTGGATATGAGTAAAACACCCAGGCAGGGCAATGGAAGTTGTGCTGTGGGAACAGCCAGAGAGACAGTCTTGGGAAAGATTGGCAGACAAGGGCACACATGGATGAGATGCACCTTGGTCCTGTCACAATGGCAGCCTTGCTGTCTCCTGACCCAGCAGACAGTAGGAGTTGCCACCATTTACAGCAAGATGGAGTGCCTTGGGGGATTGGTGCTTATGGTTGCATTTTGCTGCTGCTGCACAGTACAATGAAGCCTTCTGAGCTCCATGTAGTTAAAGTTGTGCCTCTACTTGTTTCCTGGGTAGATCCCCCTGCCATACCAAAGTTTGTGAGAAATCCTGCAGTTAGGATGTCAGAGGTCCACTATGGGACTGTGTTGCGCCAGGGTTCCTTCACTCACCTCTTCCTTTTGTTGGAGGTGGGAGGCAATCCTCTTGCTAGTGACTCTGAACAAGCTGCCCAGCTTTCTCCCTCTTTAACAGTGGTGTCTGTGTTGGCTGTCTATTAATTTTTTGATGTTTTCCCTCAAGAGATCTGTTTGAGTCACACAATTAATAATATCAGAATTGAAAAAGTGAACATCAACTGTAATTTTTCCCCAAGTATATATAGAAGAAAAAATCTACCCCAATTAGAAAGAGTTTAGCAATATCAAGGTTGACATACAAAAATTAAGGTATTTCAAAATACATAATATATTATTATTAACTATAGTCACCATGCGGTGTAATAGCTCACATAAATCTATTTCTTATCTAACTGAAAGTTTGTACTCTGTGAATAACATTTCCTCTTCCTCTGTCTATATACCCCATTCCTGGTAACCACAATTCTACAAGTCCAACATTTTTAGATTCCACATATATAAGTGAGATCATGCTTCAAAATTGTTCAGAGTAGACTTTAAATATTGTCACCACAAAGGAAAAAATATGTGTGGTGATGGATATCCTAATTAGATCAACTGAATCATTCTACAATATGTACATGTATCATAATATTATATTTACACCATAAATATATGTAATTATTGCTTGTCAATTAAAAATTGAGACTATTTCTATATGATACCAAAGGACAAATGTGAATTAGAATACCATTTTGAAAAAATTGAAAACATGACATAGCTATAGATAAATTACACAAAATCTACTCAAGTTCTGCATGCTGAAACCTAAAAATATTGTTAAGATATAGTGAAGAAAATTTAAATAAATGGAGAGACATGTTAATAAATTGGAAGGCTCAACCACTTTAAAATAGCAATCTTCTTTAAATTTAACATAATTGCTATGCAATCCTAATCAAAATTTCTTCTGAATTTTGTCAAAATTAACAAATTCATTCTGTAATTTAAATTAAAATTCAAAGAATTTAAAATAATCAAAATAATTTTGAAAAAAAGTTGGAGCATAAATGTCAAGTAACGAAGTTTTTGTATAAAGCTATAGAAGCAAAAGCAGTAAGTTTTCCACATATGAATAGATATATTGATAATGTGGAAAGACTAGAGAGTCCAGAAATTATCTATTATGGTCAATTTTTAATTTCATGTTATGATACCAGGAAATTCAAGGAGAATGAATAATTTGTTTTAAAAAATTATGATGGTCCCTTTGGGTATCTATATGTAAAATATGAAACTTGACCTTTACCTTACATTGTATCAGAATTTTTAAACAGTAATTAATCACACACATAATTTTCTAAGACATAAATCTATCTGTGATTTATTCAACATGAAATTTTTTTGTGTGTGTGAAATGCCTTTTCAGTCCCCCATACATTTTTTTACATTGGATTATCTGCCTTTATCTTTTTGTTTATAATTATTTTCAGATACTTGAAATTGGTGCTATGTTGTTTATATCTATTGTAAATGCATGTTATTCTCTGTATGCCATTTTATTCCTTAAATGTTTGATGAACAGATCAAACAGAACAATCATTTGGTGAACAAAACATGATCCATTTTATCAGATTTTCCTTTTGGATTAAGGGATTCTTCCATCAAGTTTAAAAAATGTTTCCTTATTTCAAATTAATATATATGCATTCTAATGTATTACTTAGCTCCTTAATGTAAGCTTTATATAAGTGTATATTTATTTTATTTCACATTGAGATATACAGTCCACCAAGATTAGTTTTTTGTGTATACAATGTGAAATATAACTACTTGATCAACACACACTTAAGTTTTCTTGTATTGAATATTGCAGCATTTTTTGCTGTAAACACTTTTTTTATTGTTAAAATGCTAATTCTTTGTGATTTCCTGACCAGTTGGTTATTAAAGTATTTATTTGTCGATTTCTAAGCTTTGGGAATTTTCCAATTAAGTCGTCTAATTTATTTTTAATGTATTTGTCTATGTCTCACCACATGGCAATTCAAAAAACACTATTATATTGTTATTTAAAACACTCCTTTCTGCAATTATTGAAAATAATGTACTAAATATAAATGTTAGCTCATTTTTGTTAATTGGATTTTTCAATCCTTGATGTAATTTCTGCCATACACAGGTAGACTCATTGCCAACTACTGATTCCAGGCCTTTTCTATTTTGAAAGCTATACTCAGATATAGTACTTATTTGTTTTGAATACTTTCTGATGAACATTGCTATTAGTATTATTTGTCTTTCCCTTGTGAGTATAATATTCTTTATGTGTTGACATTTGTGTACATTTTTCTCTTCACTTTTGGATTTTAGTAATTTTGATGGAAAATGTGCAGGTATATTTTAAATTAATGATTCAAGGGATACATGTAAATATTTCACTCTAATGCTAAAGTATTAATTATTCTCAGAAATATTTTATTGCTTTATGTCTTCTTTTCTCTTTTTTATTCTTATATGTTTTTGATATTTTTATTTACACCTTACATGACCATGTGTCTGATTTTTTTGAATATGATTTCCAGTTCTTTCTTACTTTGTTTTCAATTCTAAAATATTTTTATTCAGTTTATATTTTGGAAAATATATTTATTTCTTACAAATGATTGTTTCTATTGCAGTTAATTTTAATTCAAAAATTAGAAACATTCTTTACATAGTTCTGAGTTTTGAAGCTTTTTGTTTGTTTGCATATTTTAATTGTATTTTCTTGGTTAATTATCTATTTTTATTGTTTTTATTAGTCTCTTTCTTTAGTTCAATGTGTCCTTCCTTTCAGGTTATGAAGTCATATTACGAGAGGATTCCCTTTTCTTACTCAAAATAGTATTTTTTCTTAATACCTTTAGAACTTTTTATCTTGGAATGACAGTCAAGCAGCAGGAAGAAGAGAAATAACAGCTTCTATATTTGTAGGCTGGAAAGAATGAACAGCAAAGTCTTATCACTCTCATGCATCGTTGTGTGGCATCCTCTTTCTTCTCACACTCATTCAGAAGCAAAAGACAGTCTATATTAATCCATTCTCACACTGCTATAAAGATACTACCTGAGACTGGGTAATTTATAAAGAAAGGAGGTTTAATTGACTCACAGTTTCACATGGCTGGGGAGGCCTCAGAAAACTTAGAATCATGGTGGAAAGTGAAAGGGAAACAAGGCATGACTTACATGGTAGGAAGAAAGAGCAAAAGTGAGAAGGAAGAAGCATCGGATACTTACCAAACGACCAGATCTTGTGAGAACTCACTCACTATCACAAGAACAGCAAGGGGGAAATCCCCCCACGTGATCCAATCATGTCCCAACAGGTCTATCCCTTGACACATGGGGATTACAATTCGAGATGAGATTTGGGTAAGGGCACAGCCAAACCATATCATTCCACCCTTGCCTGCCAAAATCTCATATTCTTTTTACATTTCAAAACACACCATGCCTTTCCAACAGTCCCCCCCAAATCTTAACTCATTCTACTATTAACTCAAAAGTTAAAGTCCGAAGTCTCATCTGAGACAAGGCAAGTCCCTTCCACCTATGAGCCTGTAAAATCAAAAGCAATTAGTTACTTCTAAGATACAATGGGGGTACAGGCATTGGGTAAACGTTCCTATTTGAAATGGGAGAAATTGGCCAAAACAAACGGGCTACAGGCCCTGTGAAAGTCCGACACCTGGTAGGGTAGTTATTAAATCTTAAAACATCAAAATTATCTCCTTTGAGTCCATGTCCCACATCCAGGGCACACTGATGCAAGGGTTGGTCTCCCAAGGCCCTGGGCAGGTCTGCCCTGTGGTTCTGCAGGGTACAACCCTGTGGCTGTTTCACAGGCTGACATTGAGTGCCTGCAGCTTTTCGAGGCACACAGGGCAAACTGTCGCTGGATCTACCTTTCTGTGGTCTGGAGGACAGCGGTCCCCTTCTCACAGCTCCACTAGGCAGTGCCCCAGTGGGGACTCTGTGGGGGCTGCAACTGCACATTTCCCTTCTGCACTGCCCTAGCAAAGGTTCTCCACGAGGTCTCCGACCCTGGAGCGAACGTCTCCCTGGACATCCAGGCATTTCATACATCCTCTAAAATCTAGGTGGAGGCTCCAAAATCTCAACTTTTGTCTTCTGCACACCAGCAGGTCCAACACCACATGGAAGCCACCAAGACTTGGGCTTGCTCCCTCTGAAACGACGGCTCAAGCTATACCTTAGCTCCTTTTAGCCATGACTGGAGCTGGAGTGTCTGGGAGGCAGCGAACCAAGTCCTGAAGCTGCACAGAGCAATAGGGCCCTGGGCCCAGCCCACAAAGCCATTTTTTCCCTCCTAGGGCTGCTGGCATCTGATGAGAGGGGCTACCATGAAGGTCTGTGACATGCCCTGGAGACATTTTCTCCATTAACATTAACTATTAACATTCAGCTCCTTGTTACTTAGGCAAATTTCAGCAGCTAGCTTGAATTCCTCCCCAGAAAATCGGTTTTTCATTTCTACCATATGGTCAGGCTGCAAATTTTCTAAACCTTTATGATCTACTTATTTGTTAAACATAAGTTCCAATTTCAGACCATCTCTTTGAGAATGCATATAACTGAATGTTTTCAGAATAAGCCAGGTCACATATTATATGCTTTGCTGCTTAGAAATTTCTTCAGCCAGATACCCTAAACCATCTCTCTGAAGTTTAAAGTTCCGGTTCTCTAGGACAGAAGCAAAATGCCACCAGTCTCTTTGTTCAAGCATAGTATGAGTGACATTTACTACATTTCCCAATAAGTTTCTCATCTCTATCTGAGACCACCTCAACCTGGACTTCATTGTTCATATCACTATCAGTATTTTGATCAAAACCATTCAACAAGTCTTTAGGAAGTTCCAAACTTTCCCACATTTTTCTGTCTCCTTCTGAGCCCTCCAAATTGTTCCAACTTCTGCCTGTTACCCAGTTCCAAAGCAGCTTCCACATTTTCAGGTTATCTTTATAGCAGTGCCCCACTCCCAGTACCAATTCTTTTGTATTAATCAAATCTCACATTGCTGTAAATATACTACCTGAGACTGGGTAATTTATAAAGAACTGAGGTTTAATTGACTCACAGTTTCCTGTGGCTTGGGAGGCCTCAGAAAACTTACAGTCATGGCATAAGGCAAAGGGGAAACAAGGCACATCTTACTTACATGGCAGCAGGGGAGAGAGAGCAGGGGGAAGCACCAGATGCCTATCAAACAACAAGATCTCAAAAGAACTCACTCACTATCACAAAATCAGCAAAGAGAAAATCTGATCCAATGATCCAGTCACCTCCACTAGGTCCCTCTCTCAACATGGAGGGATTGTAATTTGAGATGAGATTTGGGTGGTGAAACAGAGCCAAACCATAACACAGTCCATCTCAATATTAAAAGATTGTGAATAATTTAGATTGTGAAATGTACGTTTTTATTCTATGAGATTAGGAAGACTGAGAAATGTTTCCTTCTCCTACTCCTCAGCATTGCAGATATCCTTTAATAGAAATACAGTTTATCAAACTATCATTGTGTACTTTTTACCTGTCATGTCACCAAACTTTAGTCATTTGTGTATTTTCTAACTTTGAATTCCTGGAACATCTTGATATCTGATGCTTCAGAAACCCCCACGTAAGATTCCGCCACTATCCTCTTACTTTCTGTCCTACATTCATAAAGGAGATAGCAAGAGAAGGTTTTGAATGCACTTTAAGCCTGCTTTTTTACAATATGTTTAAAAATTTAAATTTACTTTAAATTCACATTTGTTTTCTAACACTGCCATAGCAAATTTTCACAAATGTAGCAGTTTAAAAAACCTGAAAATGTATTATCTTACAGCTTTATAGATCACAAATCTGATGTGATTTTCTTTGGCTAAAATCAGAGTTTGCAGGGCTGTATTTCTTTATAAGGAGTTTTTGAAAAAAAATCTGCTTCCTCGTATTATAAATGTTCCAGAGCCTTTCCTCACCTTTATTTTTAAAGCCAGCAATATTACATCACTCTCTACCCATTTCCCCAGTAGAACTGATATTTACAGTTTTTTAAAAATTAAACACAGAAATTGACCCTTCTAGTTTTAAAGCTTAAAACCTGTGTTTTTCTTATCGGAGTCATTTTCTTGAAAAACTGACCCTTGGGCATTCCAGATAGTATCAAGGAACTGAAACTAACCAGATCACCAAATCCAGACAACTTCTCTTCCTTATCTCTCTCTAATTTCTTTCTATCCACATGTAACTACATTTCTTCCCCACTATATGAACCTCCAAATTCAGTTAATTAGGGACACAGATTTGAGACTTAATCCCTATCTCCCTGTTGTGTCACCCAAATAAAGATCTTCTCCCCCGGCAATATGCATTGTCTCAGTGATTGGCCTTCTGTGCAGTTAGCAACAGGACCTAGACCTAACCCCTGGTGTTTTTGTTATGCTTTTTCCATCATCAAATCTTCCTTTGAGTCTCTGCTTCTGGTCCCCTATTTCACTTTTAAGGATCCTTATAATTATATTGTGCCCACTGAAAAATCCAGGATAATCTATTTCAAAATCAATGAATTATCAAACTTAAGCTCATCTATAATCTTAATCACCTTTGCCATACAAGTGAAGGTATTCACAAAATAAAGGATATTGCATGTAGATCTTACAAGGAGGTCATTATTATTCCTACCAACTTTAATTTTGAAGTATAACTAATTTATGTAAATCCACAAACACAAAAGAATATGCTTAAATATGAATTATATAATCTTAACATTATGTTAGTAATATTGTTTTCTACTGGTAGATAATTTCAGTTAATCTCTATTTGGTTTAGATTTCTATTTTTTCACATTGACAGACTTGGTCAATTATTTTATCATGGTATGATGTAAAGGTTTTTGTGAGTTGTATCTTATATAATACTAAATCTACTTCTTTTTCTGCTTTTATTATTTTTAATTGACACAAACATTTTATGTATTTGTTAGGCACAATGTAAAATATTGATAAACATATAAAATTTATGATGGTCAAATCAAAGCAATTAGCATCCCCTTCATCTAAAACATTTATTATTTATTTATGCTGGCAACATTCAAAATCTGCTCTTCTAGGAATATGAAAATATATAATTAATTACTAATTAAAGTCAATCTACAGTGCCTTAGAACACTTAAACATATTCCTCCTATTTAATTATAATTTTGTATTCCTTCACCAAACTCTGAGTAACTCTGCCCTTCCCACTATCTAGTAATCATGATTCTACTCTCTACTTCTATGAGATCAACTTATTTAGCTTCCGCATATGGAAGAGATTAGCAGTTTGTCTTTCTGTGCATGGTTTATTTTATTTAATGTAATATTCTCCAAATTCATCAATGATGTCACAATGACAGAATTTCATTTTTAATATGGCTGAATAGTATTCCAGTGTGCATATATACCACATTTTCTTTATTCATTTGTCTATTGATGTATACCTAGTTTGATTCTATATTTTGGTTATTGTGAATAGTGCTTCAATAAACATGAAAATGTAGATATCTCTTTGGCATATTGATTTTATTTCCTTTGGATATATAACCAAAGGAAGGATTGCTGGGTCATATGAGAGCTCTATTTTTAGTGTCTTAAAGAACTTTCATACTATTCTCCATAATGGCTGTACTAATTTAGATTCCCACCAACAGCAAATAAGAGTTTCCCTTTCTCTGCATCCTTTCCAACATTTGTTATTTTTTGACTCCTTGATAATAGCCACTCTAATTGTTGTGAAATAAAATCTCATTGTGTTTTGGATTTGCATTTCCCTATTGATTAATGATGTTGAGCACTTTTCCATATATGTGTTGGATATTTGTATGTCTTTTTAGAAATATTTATTGAACTCATTTTCTCTTTAAAAAAAGCAGGTTATTTGTTCTTTGTAGTTGAGTTGTTTGACGTTGTATATTCTGAATATTAATCCTTTTTGGATGAATAGTTTGCAAATATTTTCTCCCTATCTGCTAGTTGGCTATTGGCTATTGACTTTGCTGTGAAAAAGCTTTTTATTTTAATTTAATTTAATTTAATTTTTGAGATGGAGTCTCGCTCTGTCGCTCAGGCTGGAGTGCAATGGCGCGATCTTGGCTCAGTGCAACCTCTGCCTCCCGGGTTCAAGCAATTCTCCTGCCTCAGCCTCCAGAGTAGCTGGGACTACAGGTGCGTGCCACCGCGCCTGGCTAATTTTTTGTACTTTTACTGGAGATGGGTTTTCACTATGTTAGCCAGGATGGTCTCCATCTCCTGACTTTGTGATCTGCCCACCTTGGCCTCCCAAAGTGTTGGGATTACAGGCATGAGCCATCATGCCCGTCCAAAAAAAAGCTTTTTAATTTGACTTGTTATATTTTGTTGAATATTTTTGCATTTATATTTAATAGAGAAATTGACTGATAGTTGTGTTATGGATTGTGTATGTGCATATGTGCTTTTGTGTCTTTGTCTGGTTTTAGTGTTAGAGCATTGTTGGGTTTGTAGAAGTTTGGAATAATTCCCTTTTTTTCAGTTCTCTGGAAGAATTCGAAAAGAATTGATATGAGTTCTTCTTTTGATGTTGGGTAAAATTCAGGAGCTGAGCTGTTGGTTCCTGGGATTTTCCTTGATAGGAATATTTGCATTACTGATTCAATCTTGTTACTTATAATTGATCTGTTATGGTTTCATATTTCTTCTTGGTTGAAATTCAGTGGATGGTATGTGCTTAGAAATGTATTCACTTCTACTAGATTTTCTCATTTGCTTGTATACAGTTATTCATAATAGACCCTGATAAGTCTTCCTATCTCTGTGAAATAAGTTGTAATGTCTCTTTTTTGTTTCTGATTGGTTTTTAAGGTGTATACTTTTTTCTTATTTATTTTAGGTAATGGTTTCTTAATTTTCTTTACCTTTTAAAAACAACTATTTGTTTAATTGATAAATTGTATTATGTTTTCAGTCTCTATGTCTTTAATTTTTGATCCAATTTTTATTATCTATTTCTCCCACTATTTTTTTCAGCTTGGTTTGTTCTTGCTTTTCTAGATTATTGAGATACATCATTAGGTTGTTTATTTGAAATCTTTCTACTTTCTTTGATGTAGGCATTGATTGCTATAAACTTCCCTGTTAATGCTGCTTTTACTGTATCTCATGGTTTTTGATATGTTGATTTTCTGTTTTTATTTGTTTGAAGACATTTTCAACTTCTATTTTTCTTCTTTGAAGTGTTGATCATTCAGGAGTGTGATGTTTAATTTTCATGAATTCATGCACTTTTAAAAGTTTCTCTTGTTATTTATTTCTGGCTTTATTCCATGGTGATCACAAAAGCCATGATATGATTTAATTTATCTGTTAAAATTAGTTTTGTGGCCAAACGTGGAAAACGTTCCATGTACTTATGAAAATAATATGTATTCTGCAGCTGTTGGATGAAAATTTCATGACTAGCACTTAGGTTCATTTTCTCTGAAGTGCAGTTTAAGTCTAATGTTTCTTTGTTAATTTTGTCTAGATGATGTGTCCAATCCTGAGAGTGGGAAGTTGAAGTCTCCCACTGTTATTGTACTGGAGTCTCTCTCCCTTTATATTTAGTAATATTTGGATTATATACCTAGGTGTTCTGCTGTTAGGTGCCTATGTATTTATAATTGTTATATCATCTTGTGGCATTATTCCCTTTTTGATTATATAACTACCTTCATTTTCTCTTTTTACTTTCTTTTACTTAAAGTCTATATTATCTTACATAAGTGTAACTAATTCTGTTCACTCTTGGATTCTGTTTTGTGGAGTAATTTTTCTATAATTTCACTCTTAATCTATATTTGTGTATACAGGTTAAGTGCATTTCTTATAGACAGATGTAGTTGGGTCATTTTATTTATCTATCAAGTCTGTATATTTTAAGTGGGACATTTAATCTGTTTACATTTAAGATTAATATTGATAAATGAGGATTTATTTTGGTCCTTTTGTTAATTATCTTCTTATTGTCTTTATCCTTGGCCCTTTCTGTCTTATTTTTCTTTGTGGCTTGGTGGTTTTCTGTATTGATAAGGTTTGATTCTTTTCTCTTTCTCTTTGTGTATCTGCTTTACCAGTGAGTTTTATAGTTTTGTGTGTTTTTGTGATGGTGATTTTTATTTTCTCACATCCAGATGTAGGACTTCCTTGAGCATTTCTTGTAAGGCTGGTCTAGTGGGGATAAATTACCTCTGTTTTTGCTTGTCTGAGAAAAACTTTATTCTCCCTCATTCCTGAAGTATAGATGTTCTCAGTATAGTATTCAAGGCTAGTATTTTTTTTCTTTCAGTGCTTTGAATATAGCTTCTCATTTTTGCCTGGCTTGAAAAGCTTATATTGATAATTCTGATGTTAGTTTAATGGGAGTTACCTTATATGTGACTTGACGCTTTTATCTTGATGTTTTTAAAATATATATTTGCCTTTGACTTTTGACGATTTGACTATAATGTTTCTTGTAGAAGAATTTTTTTGGGTTGAATCTATTTAAGAACTTTTGAGCTTCTGGGATCTGAATGTTCAGAAATCCTTTTGCTTCATCAAGTCAGCTGTTGAAGCTTTCTTTCTCTTTTCATTTATTTATTGACTTCTTTAGCTGCCATTTTCCTGTTTGCTTTTTTTGATATTTATTTCCTTGTTAAATTTCTTATTCATGTTGTGAATTAGTTTTCTGATTGAGTTCCTATAAGATTATTATTTTGAATTACTCTTTATTTTTTGAGATAGGTTCTTGCTCTTTCACACAGGCTGCAGTGCAGTGGGGTGACCATGGCTCACTGAAGCCTCAACCTCCTGGGCCCAAGCAATCCTCCTCCTTGTGACTCTTGAGTAGATTGGAAAACAAATGTGAACCACCACACCCAGCTATTTTTAAAAATTTTTGTAGAGAATGGGTCTCTCTATTCCTCCCGGCTGGTTTTGAACTCCTAGACTCAAGTGATCCTCCCAACTCAGCCTCCCAAAATGCTGGGATTACAGGTGTGAGCCACCACACCTGGTCGATTTTGAGTTTTTGTTACTGGCAACTCATATTTCCTTTTCATTGTGGTATGTTACTATAGAGTTATTGTGTTACTGTTGTAGCGTTTTGGTTTTTTTAAATTTTTTAATGTTTCTTGTATTTCTGCATTGATGTCTGTTCCTCTGGGGGAACAATTGCCTTTTCCAAACTTTCAGGGTGGCTTTTGTAGAGAATTACTTTCACCTGATTTTGAATCTTAGGAGGCTTGTTAGGATGGGTGTGGTGACTGCTTCTGGATAGATGCAGTGACACGATCTCCATGAAGTTTCTTCAGCTGTGTAAAGTGTCAGCAATAGCTGTGGGTATGTAAGTGGCCTAGGTTGCAGAAGTTTGCAGCAGTGGGCCTAAGCTGGTATGGTCTTAAGTAGCAAGAACTTTTCAAACCTATACAATTTTCTACAAAATTAGGAGACTTAGCTGAAAATATTCCTCTTGGTGTCAGGTCTGACATGACCTAAGAGCAGCTGCAGTGGTTCCAGGTACAGGTGCTTGGAGCAGCTGTGGGGCCAGGATCCTAGGTTCGGGGTCTCACAAACCTATTGTGTCACTTGGTTCTTGGGCAGGTTTGTTTTCTTTCTGTGGTAGAGTGGATGTACATTGCACATAGAGCCAGGATCTGTGACTCTGAGAAATCTTCTTGCAGCTCAGGCCCAGGGAGGCTCAGTTGTAGCTGCGATCCTTGAGTGCAGGGCACAGGACTAGTCTGACTCCAGGAAAGAAGTGGTGTTCTGGAGGTTTGGCCCTGGAGTGCAGAGTATGAATGCAATTCAGGAATCAGAGCCAATGGGCTCAGTGGCAATTCAGGTCCCAAGAGTCAAGGCACATTGAGTGGTAGCTCTAGACCCTGGGATGGTAGGGTTGAGTTGTATCCCAGACTCCATGAGGTCAGAATCATTGGAAGAAAGTACCCCAGAATAATGGAGCACAGCTTCTGCCTGGACGCTGGGGGCAGGGGAGGGATAAGAAACAGTACAGTGATGACTCCACTCCCCACGGAGAGGGGTGACTCAGCTCAGATTCTAGATGGTTATTCCCACTTCACAGAAGCATGGTACTAGAGTAGTTTGGGCCGTCAGACAGAGCATCTCAGCTCAGCCATTGCTCTGTTTTTCTGAAATATAGGGTACTATGTCAGCTCAGCCCTGGGATGTGTAGCTACTTAGCTTAGCAAGGTACCATTTCCTCTGTGGGCAATGTTCCTTTTTGACTCATGCCCAGAAGATGTGGCTGTTCTCTGGGTGGCCCAACCACCATTTCCCTGATATGCAAGGCTCCACTTTACCTTAGGTTCTGGGGTGCATGGCCACTCCGGGCAGCCAACACAGCATTTCCTGGGAGGCAGAGAACTGGTTCAACTTAGGCACCAGTAAGGCATGCCTGTTCTGAGCATCCTAGGTACTGTTTTCCCAGAAGACAGGGTATCACTTTTGTTCAGGCACAGACTGTCATAAGCACAACAGCTCTAGGTAGCTAAGGCACCATTCTCCTGGGATGCCTGGTGTTATTTCAGCTCCAGCACAGTTGGACAGGGTACAGCATGATGGGGAGAACGTTTTGGAGCAGTTGTGCAAAGGCCTCATATCAGGAGGCCATATCCAAGTTTAGTTCAGCTCCCTAGGGGCAAAGCGTAACAGTGACTGGGAAGGGAATATGGAGTAAATTTTTCAAGGCACCACTTCTCTGGGAGAGTGTGTGCAGTTTTAGCTTGGGCTCCAAGAGTCAAGTCAGTGATATGACAAGAGAGGTAGAGTGGTTCTTCCAGAGCACCATTTCCCCAGAAGGAAATTCTAAGTAAGAATTATTTAATCATAATATTATATTATGCAAAATATTGTTTTTAATTGGTTTAAACAGATAAAATAATATTCCATAATCTTGAAAAATTTATATTTCTTATAAAAATAAAGCTAATCCTAAAGGCTCAAGTAGCACACCTACATAATTATAAGACTTTACTGTAGTTTTACTTAATTATTCATAATTTTCAGAGTTTCTCACTCCTCTTAAATAGGTAAACTGTTCCCTTTTTTGAATTCAGTAAGTTGAAGGTATAACATTAAGAAGAAATGTATTGACTGAGAGTAGGCTTAGCCTCAAAAATATGTAACAGTAGTAAAATAGTTCATTGTATTTTAAATTTTAGCCATATATTGCTTAAATGTTTTTCTCTGCTCAGAAAAAGCTAATAGCTTGTAAAGGAAAACACTGTGTGCTTATTTTTTATTGCTTGACATGTCTTAATTTAAGGTAAGTGATAAGTCACAAACCACGTTAAAATCTAGCATCAATATTGCAGTCTTTAACAAGATTACAAAGAAGAAAAGATAACTCTATTTGGCATTGATGCTGTGCTTTCAGCATGTGTTAATAAAATGTAATCTAAAAGGCAATTAATTACATGATTAACAAAAGAGTATGTTAAACACACACACACACACACACACACACACACACACACACACCAGAATTGTTTTCCAGGAGTAAGAAATTGGAGAAAAGAGTAGCATATATTAAGGTGAATTCAAATTGCATTATGTTCACTGTTGCTCTGAAGTCAGATTAATTACATCTCCTAATTCTGTTGGCATTTTTTTAATTCTAATGAAAATACCTATGCTAATTAGATACTTTTAAAGAATTCTGAACCAAAAGGAAGTAAAAACTGACAGCATATAATGGAATAAAACAAATATGAAAACTTTCTACCCTTCTGTAGTCCTTTACATTGCTATTTATCTAAACTGTTGACTTCCCTTAAAGTAAATATTACATATATTTATGACATGTTGTAAGTTGAAGTAGCCATAAAAGTTGTAGAGCATGGCAGCATATTATTGTCAAAAGCTGCATACCTACAGCCATCTAATTTTCAGCCAAGACAACAAAATTAAGCAATGGGGAAAGAGCTCCCTAGTCAATAAATGGTGCTGGGATAGCTAGCTAGTCATATGCAGAAGAATGAAACTGGATTCCTATCATTTATCATATGTGAATATAACTCAAGATGGATTAAACATTTAATTGCAAGACCTCAAACTGTAAGAATCCTAGAAGAAAACCCAGGAAACACCTTTCTGGACAGTAGCCTTGGGAAAAAAATATGACAGTGTCTTCAAAAGCAATTGGAAAAAAACCACAATTGTGACCTAATTAAACTAAAGAGCTTCTGCACAGCAAAAGAAACTGTCAACAGAGTAAACAAGCTACAGAATAAAAGAAAATATTTGCAAACTATACTTCTGACAAAGGTATGATATCCAGAATCTATAAAGAATTTCAACAGTTCAACAAGCAAAAAGCAAACTAACCGTATTAAAAAATAGACAGAAGACATGAACATACACTTCTCAAAAGAAGACGTACAAGCAGCCAATATACATGAAATAATGCTCTTTATTGCTAATCATCAGATAAATGCAAATATTATGTCTCTCCAGTCAGAATGGCTATCATTTAAAATTAAAAAAAAATAGTAGATGATGTCAAGGATGCAGAGAAAAGGAAATACTAAACACACTGTTGATGAGAATGTAAATTAGTTCAGCCACTGTGGAAAACAGTTTGGAGATTTCTGAAGTAACTTAAAACAGAACTACCATTCCATCTGATAATCCCATTACTAGGTATATACCCACCAAAAAATAAATTTTTCCACCAAAATGTCACATGCACTCATCATTCTAATGTTCATTCCAGCACTATTCACAATAGAAGGGACATGGAATCAATTTACGTGCCCATCAGTGGTGGACTGAATAAAAAATGTGGTACCTATACGCTATGAAGTACTATGTAGCCATTAAAAATAACAAAATAATGTCCTGTACAGCAATATGGATGCAGTTGGAGGCCATCAACCTAAGCAAATTAACACAGGAACAGAAAGCTGAATACCAAATGTTCTCACTTATAAGTGGGGACTAAACATTGGGTATTAGTCGAAATAAAGATAGCAAAACAATAGATACTTGGGACTAATAGAAAGGGTAGGAAAAGAGGAAGGCAATGGTTTAAAAATAAACTGTTGTGTACCATGCTCACTATCTGGGTGACAGGATCATTTGTATCCCAAACCTCAGCATCATGTAATATACTCATGTGACAAGCCTTCACACATATCCCCGAATCTGAAATAAAAGTTGAAATTATATAAAAATAATTAAAATGGTAGTACATAGCTTAATTTAGTGTGTCAACTTGGCTAGGCCATCCGAGATATATATTCAAATACCAGTTTAGATATTGCTCTGAAAGTATTTTTAGATGAGATTAACAAGAAAATCAGTAATTTTTGAGTAAAGCAGATTATTTTCCAAAATATTGTAGGGCTCATCCAGTCAATTGATTATATTAAAAGACTGAGATCCCTGAAGGAAATAATTCTGGCTGCAGATTGCCTTTAGTCTTGAGACTGTAACATCAACTTTTCTCTAGGTCTCTTGCTTGCTAGCCTACCCTGCCAATTTTTTATACATTAAAAAATATTTTTCTCAAATATTGTAGTTCTGCTATTTCCAGAAACTCGTGAGGATTGTACTTCCAAGTTCTTTTAAAGTTGATCACGGTCATGAAACTCATCATCAAATGGCATTTGAGCAAAATCTTTATTCAATTAAATATGAGTGGAAGTTTAAAGGCCAATGCACAACTCACTCAGGCATTGTGAACTATGTGTGCAGACAGATCACAACTCTTCCTTGGTCTCCGGGTGTCTCTGCGTCTATTACTGACTTACACTGGATATGTAAAATGAGTAAGAAAAAGTTTTTGTGTTAGCCACTGGGATTTCTGGTTTGTGTATTACTTTAGCATATTATCTCATTTTGAATGCTATAGTTTATGACATTAGTTTAAACTACTGAAGTTAAAATGTTCTCCTTATTTCAGAGGATAGAAGGATCTTACAGTGACAGACATCCATTAGTGAGAATTAATTTCTAGAGATAAAGTGAATACAGTAACCAAAGTGTCAGTAGAGTCAGCATGGTCAAAATAGTCTACATGGGAAATGTTTGGTGGCTCTTAGTTGATCATAGAGTCTCTAGCACCAAAAGTTATGAATGCCAATTAAGTTTTGATTTGGCTTATATGATCTCAAAGCTTCAGGTTTACAAAACATATCTTGAGCCACCACAATACTTCTATGACTCCTAAGCCAACTCCAAGGCCTCTGTAAATCAAAGCACCTAAAGTCAATTGAGAAAATTACAGTTTTGACATTCCTGAAGAAAAAACACACAATAATACTATACTACAAATATATACTGATATTATTTGTCTTAGTTATCACCAGTGGAATCTTGGCATTATCAACATCACTGGATATGGAAAAAAAAAAACACTAATACTTTCAGGAAATAGTAGACCTGAATCTAAGCTATTATAAATTCTCATGAACAAAAGACAGTTTTTAACTTACAAGTAAGTATGAAAAATTATGGGAGTTGTTAAGAAATAATTACAATTTTGACCTATGCTTCAAAGTAAACTACATATACCCTCATTTTAATTTCTTAGGATTTTATAAAATTTAAACATATATATGTATATATATATATATCATTTAGGAATGTATTAATATTTTGGAAGAATAATCAAGGGGAAACCCCAACAGTCTGTTCACTATAACAAAGATAAAAACAAATCAAAACAAACACCACCATCACCATCACACACACAACACACACCCCTCAAATATATTATTCTTGGTAGGACTGCAGAGATTTGTCCCTATTAAATCCTTGAAAGACATAAAAGCAATGGTTGCTAACACATCCTCATTTAATTATCTACTTCAGTTGGCTCAATAGACAGATGGGTCTTGGAGAATGACAGTAAATAATCATCAGTTTAATTGGGTGGTGAATCTTGTTACAGCTGCTGTCCAGATGTGGTCTCCCTACTGGAGAAAATTAATAAGGCTGCTTGTATCTTGCATATCTATTGATGAGATCAGATGTTTCCTTTCGTCATAAAAATTACTAACGAGAGAAGGAAATGTTTTTGTAAGGCAGTACCAAAAGTACGTATTTTACTCTACTCTTTTTTTTTTTTGGGTTCCAAGATGGCCGAATAGAAACAGCTCCAGTTTACTCTACTCTTAGAGAATGCACCACCACTTCATTTCTGTTCCAAAATTGAGTTTCCAGGAAACAAAACCTCTCGCCATCTCGGATAATTATCATCTCTTCAAAATTTTGATGACATCATCACTGTACAACCTGGAGAGCAATTGTCCAGCTTTTCTATGTTTGTAAGGCTATGGCAAAAACAAGTGTCACAAAAGACAGAGATGCTTCTCTGAATAAATAGCCCACTAGATCTTTAAAGTTTCTTGTGCATCCAGTAGTCAAGACAAGTTGAAATATTACTTTTTAATTGAAGAACAGAATGGTATACTTTATCTATTCTGGCAATGATAACACTAAGCTTTAGTGGGACAATTACATTTTGAAGAAAAATATATCCTATTTAGATGTACTGCTTTTACCCATTTGCTGAGTATGGGAAAGACATTTCCAGCTCTGAATGCATTCAGAGGATGAGAATAAATTCTGGCTTTTCCCACAGTGGTGAAAGCATTTGACTATATGGACCTAAAGGTTATGGATACACAATATCCATTTGTTTATGAAAAATTACACATGGCATTGAACCTGTGACAAGCCATACAATTGTAAATAAAGACTTGTTGTTTTAGGTCAATACATCGTCTTTTGTTGGGTTTTAGCACCTAGTTTTCTATGGGTAAGCAACGTGAAACCTAAGTAAACATGAAATTCAGTGTATCAATTTCAAACTTACCCTGAGCCACCCAGTAATTAAATTAAGTAAATTTAGTTATAATGCAAATTAAAAGTGTGCAAAAATGGCTGAGCCCAGGCATCTGAAGATGTATGTATGCTGCATAAGCAGACTCTTTATTTCCTACTGTGACTTCTGGTAAACATTTTCCACAATAGGAATTATTTTATACTAGTTGACTAATGAAGGCAAAACAACAATTCAAGTTTGATAAACAAAAAAGCTTCACTTAATTTATTCCAATTAGCCAGAAATGTTCTGCTACCAATTTATAACCCAGCTTGTTAGAAACTTCAGAGGTCATCAAAGATGTCAAATACATTCAGTGGACTTGTCTTTAAGCAGTATATCTTATTGTACTCAGCTTGAAATATAAGGTTACCAGATTAAAATAGCAAATGCATTCAAAGCAGTGACTGAAGATTTAATTTACTGAAGGATTGTTCAGTTTAAAGGTTGGGGAAATCTCAGAATATTTATTTATCTCCAAGAGCCCAGTTTCACTTCCATTGCTATTTCCAACCTACATATAATAGCCACTATATTGTTCAACAATATCAAGACCACTCGTAACTTTTGTATAATTATATATTTATTAATATATGTATATATTTATTATGGTAGATATTTAATATATGTATATATTTATTATGGTAGATATTAAATATATGTTCATTTGTTTAGGTATATATTAAGTAAAATATAATATATTATTAAAATTATTAAATATTTATAGATGTGTCTTTTATATGTTTATATAAATATCTACTTATACATTTTTGCTCCTTGATAATGGTAGAGGATAAATGAATAACTTTTATGGACTAACCCCACTCTAAATTTTTGGTCTCCATATCTCCAACCCTCTATCTTTTTAAATATATATTTTTAAGAACAAGTCAAAGAAGTTCAGAAATTTCAACTTTATTTTGTTATATTGTCTTAAGGTCTATGTTTACATCAACTAACTAAACAAATTTAGTCTTTCCCAGGCACTTGAAATAACACATGGAAACCAGAAACGTCCTTTATTTTACCCTAACACACATTGCTATAATTATTCCACAATCTTATTATTTAATATGTACATTATAGAAGAGGTATAATTTGAAATAAATTATGCTAATGACTATGTCATAAATTTAGGCAAATCATCAGCAATTTAAATCCTGAGGACACAGAAAAATGGAAACAATAATTATAAGAAGACAAGTTTAAACATTTGAAAACAGCAAGTAGTACAATAAAACAATAAACAGCAGAAATAAACTTTATGAAATTATCAATATAAGTGGAACTGGAATTAAAAAATGGGAGGAACTAAAAAAAGTAAATCACAAAATCTCAATTTCATGAATAAAAAGTTTATTCCTCCTTATTTTACTGAAATCAAAAATATTAGAAATGACCCTCTTATAATCATTATTGATAAGTTTAAACCAGTCAATTAAATAAAATTAAATAAAGTGGACAAATCCATAAAAAAGATAAAGCACAACACAGACACACACACAAATGCACAATCTTGCTGTAAATATTTGTACACCTGATTATGTTTTCAAGGTTATTTTTTCACTTGACTATTTTATGTCTCTCTATATATTGCAGTATTCCCACATTTTAAAATTTTCATGGCTTATGGAATAATTTGCACGGTGTATACTTTCTGCTATTTCAATGTCATCTGAGGAATATTTATATAGGTCATGAATGATACCCTAGTAAGTTTTTAATGTAGTAATCTATTTTTGAAGAAATATATACAAAGGGCCGGGCGCGGTGGCTCATGCCTGTAATCCCAGCACTTTGGGAGGCCGAGGCGGGCGGATCACGAGGTCAGGAGATCGAGACCATCCCGGCTAAAACGGTGAAACCCCGTCTCTACTAAAAATACAAAAAATTAGCCGGGCGTAGTGGCGGGCGCCTGTAGTCCCAGCTACTTGGGAGGCTGAGGCAGGAGAATGGCGTGAACCCGGGAGGCGGAGCTTGCAGTGAGCCGAGATCCCGCCACTGCACTCCAGCCTGGGCGACAGAGCGAGACTCCATCTCAAAAAAAAAAAAAAAAAAAAAAAAATATATATATATATATATACACACAAAAAGAGTTTTCCAAATATTAGAAATAATGTTTTTTTCTTTTTTCAGATAACATAGGACCTAGATAATAATGAGAAAATAAAGATATTTTCCAATTCATTGCAATTTAAGTCCTATCTTGAGTTTGGAAAGGCCACAAATCTGGAAAAATAATTCAAACAGTAGAATAAGTAACTTAGAAATATTTATTTGATTATAACTCAAAGAATAAAAGGAATATTCATGAGTTTACATTAATAAAACTATGTTCCTGAGTAAATAAGTAGATGAGAATGTATATTTCTTAAAATAATTTTAAGTAGCAAATGTTAAAAAAAATTGGAAAATAGCACATTGTCAAAACAACACAGTAATAATTGCTGCAGGTTCTCTGATGAATTACTAAAGTTAATGATATTACTGTGTTGGTTTAACATATGTCCTCAAATTATATGATACTCCCTCAAAGAAGAGTTATATCTTAATTCCCCCTCCTTCAGTAGAGATTGGTCTTACTGACTAACTTCCAAATAATAGAGTATGGGAAGAGAAACATAGTAACATTAAAATGAAGAAAACTGACAGATATTGCCTCAAACAGGTAATCAAAGTTAATGTCACTAGCAATAAGTGGTGTCAATACCACACATCTGATGATAATAATTCAATCAGAAGAATACTTTACCTTGTTATTTCTTCCTAAGAATCCATACCCTCAGTCTATTCATGCGAAAACATTAGAAAAATCCACACTGAAGGACAGTCTACAAATTTCTTCATCAGTACTCTTCAAAATGCCACAGTTATGAAAGACAAGAACAGATGCAGAAATTGCCATAAATAGAGTACATTATAGATTTGATACTGGAACAGAAAAAAATAATTGGTGAAGAAACTGGAGAAATCCTAAATGAAGTTTCTAATTTTTTTCATAGATTGTCCCAATGTTAATTTCTTAGGAAAAGTGTAAGTTAATACTCAATATTATCCTCAGAACACTTTCATAAATCAAAAATATTTCAAAAATAAAAACTAAGTGAAAAAATAAATGAATTTTTTAAAATCCAGAATTCATTCAGAAAATACACTTGGCCAAGATTTATGAAAGCCCTGCCAAAATAGTGAAGGGATATCCTCTTTTTCATGTTATCAGAATCAAATCTCCCATCTCCCATGTTGTAACCCAAGTTACCCATTTGATCTTCTCTCTCATGAGGGTTAGCCTTTATGTTAGGAAGTGTGCTGCTAATAAAGATGTACCCAAGACTGGGTAATTTATACAGTAAAAAGTGTTTAATGAACTACAATTCCACATGGCTGGGGAGGCCTCAAAATCATGGTAGAAGGCAAGGAGTAGCAAGTCACGTCTTACATGGATGGTGGCAGGCAAAGAGAAGAGAACTTGTTCAGGGAAATTCCCATTTTTAAAACCATCAGGTCTCTTGAGACTCATTCACTTTCATGGGAACAGCAGAGAAAAGACCCACCCCCATAATTCAATCACCTCCCACTGGGTTCCTCCCACGACACGTGGGAATTGTGGGAGTTGCAATTTAAGATGAGATTTGGGTGGAGACACAGCCAAACCATATCAGTAAGTGTTCAAGTTAATAATGTTATTATCTTAGTTATATTTGTGTCAATATTTCATTTATTACACAAGTAATAGAAAGAAGACAGTAAGTTCTGCTATCACACACTGTTTTTGAGAATAAGACTTTATTCAAATGTAATGGATATACTAGGGAACAGCTGGAGCATAATGTGAATGTCATGTTTACTTATCTGCAATTCAAGAGATACCCTACGTGAAAATAGAAAACTTCATCTAGGTGAATCATAGGACTATACAACAAGCACACATATACATCAAACATATACTATTTACCATAGCAGTGTGTGTCATGAGCCACCCACTTCTGTTGTTAAACTGTCTATCCAATTTCGGATAAACTTCCTTCTACCACCCCAAAATAACTCACCCATTTCAATTCTTCCACTTTCCACTTCCACAAGAAAATTTCAAGTATTTTTTTAGGTCTATAGTTATATTTATTGTGTTTTTTTATGTATTTCTTAACTATTCAATATGTGTGGAACTATTCTGCTATTTTTATTGTTACAAAAATTGGCTTTCTTAAATGTATCACTGACAAAGTTGTTGAGTATTGTGCCCTTAAATCCAATTTTCCCAAAACCTCGTGGTTTTATGACATGATTTTTGATAGCACATTGATTTCTATACACATGGATTTTGCATTATAGAAAAAGTGACTGAATTGCTATTAATATATAAAATGAAGTGGGATAGAAAGTGAGTAAAGAAGAGAGAGGATGAAGCAGAACACAAGAGAGAAGAGGGAAAGAGAGGAGAGTAACGTAGAAAGAAACCTCCAGGCTCTCTGGTGGGGAATTTAGTATGCATTGGTGTTTAGAGATGAAGAAAAGAATAACTTAAGAATTGAGGGATACATCCTCCATAGGAAGACAGTAGTGTGGATGCGTCTGTGTTGGGATAAACAGTATGATTCATATGTGGGAGTGGAAATGAGTACTGTAGAAAGATGAGTCCCTGGTTAGCTTTGCTCTATCCACAGAGCATTACATTCATCTAAAGTGTAATTATTAAGCTGTGCTAAGATTTTAAATTTAGATCTCTGTTTATCTGTTGAAAATAAGCTTTTTGAAGTAATAACATTTAATTAAATTTGTATATTCAATGTATAATCTCAGTGCCTTTTTAAGATCATGTCTGATGCATAGGATATCAATAGATGTATATTAAGCAAATGAATAAAATGGCATAAGAAAACAATGTTGAAGGTCTTTGAAATGTAAGTTTTGGAAGTCAACAAGGTAACATTAAATGTTTAGCTCAATCATCTGTAATGACTGATCAACTGACATATATTAAAATTTTCTAATGTGGCCCACAGTGTTCAACAAGACAAGGTTAAAAAAAAGTAGGAAAACAAGATTTCTTCTAGAGTAGCAGAGAAGAAAACATGCAATTAGGGAAGTTGGATAAGCTCTCTAATGGGCTTTGATTCATGTATCTACTTGGTACATCAGGTTACTGTTATGGGTTGAATTGCGTTCCTCTCAAATTCATATGCATAAAATCCTAACCCCCATATCTCAGAAGGTGACCTCATTTTCAGATAGAAACTTTACAGACATAATCAAGTTAAATGAGGTTATTAGGGTGGCCCCTAATCCAATATGACTTGTGTTCATATAAGAAGGAAAAACTTGGACAGACATATACTGAGAGAAGAGTTAGTGAAGAGACATAGGGAGAAGTCAGCCATCTACAAGCCAAGGAGAGAGGCCTAGACCAAACCTTTGTCTCATAGTCCTCAGAAGAAACCAATTCTGCCAATACCTTAATTTTGAACTACTAGTCTCCAGAATTGTGTGAAAATAAATTCTAGTTGCGTAAGCCTCAGAATTTATACTCCTTCATTATGGCAGACCTAGAAAACCAGTGCAAACACTCTGTCAGATACTACATGTTTTTTCCAAAGTTCCATTCCAACCCTCTCTAGTTCTTAACAGTTTTACACAGAGCTAGGAACCTACAAGTCATATTTTGGAGACATCTTTAACAGCTGATTTCTACTTAGTTGCTGTGACTAGGAGTCCCTTATGGAAATTTAGAAGGGAAGATAAAAGAAAACAGGTCACTTCTTGCTCTGACTGTGATAGAAACATCAACAGAAGATTTTGGCACCTCCAGGAATCTGTGGGCTCCGATATCCTTATCAGCAGTGGCAACAAGAAACGCTCCAGCCACAAAACTCCAAGTGAAGGCTTGTGGGCTAGGGTGATCACAGCTTCTACATATCTGTGAAATATCTTTTCTCTCTTTTGCAACTTCAGGGCTTCCAAATAGGTTGTTGACTAAATCCTTCTATTCTTAAAATGTCCAGAGGGATTTCAGCTCTCCTGCTTATACATTGACTGGTGCAGAATAGCCTCCTTCTGTAGTGAATAGAACAGAGACAAACACAAGCAAAGAAGCATCTTCAAGAAGCAAAACTGGCACACAGGCAAGAAGGTATACAAGGTTACAATTGGTTGTAGCAACAGAATATAATAAATTCATTTTCTTTTCCTTTTTTTAAGAAGGAGTTTCGCTCTTGTCACCCAGGCTGGAGTGCAATAGCAGTATCTCAGCTCATTGCAACCTCCGCTTCCCGGGTTCAGGCAATTCTCCTGGGATTTTTGGTTTGTGTCCTCATGTCCCTTTCCCCTTAACTTGTTTTCATCACTCTTCTTCAAGCTTCAACTTCTATATTTTTTATTTTATTTTATTTTTTTAGACGGAGTATGGCTCTGTCACTCAGGTTGGAGTGCAGTAGCTTGATCTCAGCTCACTGCAACCTTGGCCTCCTGGGTTCAAGCAATTCTCCTGCCTCAGCCTCCTGAATAGCTAGGATTACAGGCATGTGCCGGCACTCCTGGCTAATTTTTTTTTTTTTTAGTAGAGACTGGGTTTCACCATGTTGGCCAGGCTGGTCTCGAACTCCTGACCCCAGGTGATCCACCTGCCTTGGCCTCTGAAAGCCCTGGGATTACAGGCATGAGCCACTACACCTGGCCAATAAATTCATTTTCAATAGCCGCCCATGTTTAATAAAATGTGTTTAATAGTGAGGTTGGTGAAACAGGAGTAAGTCACATTGGAAAAGACAGCGTAAATAGATCAAGGATTTTGATATTTCAGTAAGTAGTTTGTATTATTTTTTCATATTTTTCAACCCTTTTACTTTTACAAAATCTCAGTGAGGAAGGCTAGACAGGTATTATTATCTCCATATTACAGACAAGCAAATAATAAATCAGTTGAATTTAACCAGTTATACTGCTAATTCAGTATTTGTGATTAACTGTTGTTCTTCATTTTTTGCAATTAAAAAATTAATGATTATTTGTATTTTAGTAGTAGTTGTCACTTCTCCTTGTCTTATATTGACTTGGTTCTGAATATAATTTCCTATACAAATTACCTATCAACCTTTAATCCAATTCATTTTCCAAATAATAGGCTTTAAATGATATTACAGTTTATTTTATATGCATTTGCATAAATATTTCAAAGAATCATTTTAATGCTCTAATAATTTACCTTTGTGAAGATATATTTTAACATAACATAAACCATATAAACATTTTATTCCTGAAGTGCAGTGCCATGTTTTGATGATATGTCCAGTATGTAAATCAAATAATGTTCCAATCAGGCAAAGAAGTAGAAAAAAATAGCTGAAACATGTTAATCTTCAATCTCGTTTGTATTTTTTCTTGAATTTTTTAAACCTTAAATTTACACAGATATTGTACAGTAAATTCAAATGTAAAATGTCTTAGTATTAATAAATTATATATGTAAAAAATAAGAAATTTCTTTTATGCCAGTAATTTATTTGTAGATATTAGTCATTTCCATAAATAGGTCCATTATAACTTGATTTATAGTAGCTCTCAAGAAATGCTGTGAAAGCTAAAAGTTGTTCTGTGTTACAAACTTTAATTCACCATGAGCAAGTGTACTTTAGGAAGACATAGATAGTTTGAAAAGGACATCCTTGAAAATCAGAGACCATGAAATATACACGTGGGCATCACTCAATCTCTTAAGAATTACAGGGCATAGAAAATATGTAAGAATGAGCAGGAGTTGTTTCTATAATTATAGGTATGCCTGTAAAAGTAACCTATCCCACATTATATGTCCCTTTTAGAAATAATACGTGTACCTGGAAACATTTGATTTCCTGGGGAGAAGTTAAACTGATAGAAAACATAATAAGAATACTAGACTTATGGTCATAGTAAGAGGACATATAATTTATTAATAAAAATGGGCATTGTGAAATGATACTAGCCATAGCAATAAATATTCTAAAACTAACTTATATGTATAAATAGTTTTTTTATTTCTGAATACTAAGAATTAGGAAAGAAAATTTGGGATTTCAGTGGGCGATGAAACTTTCTCCATTGGGAGGAAATACTGAATTTATAATTCTGGATGAGTCACTAATTGGGTAAAGTCAATTGAGCCATTTTAACTCTGTAAACTAAACTTCCTATTTATAAAATACAGGCTATAATAGAACCTCATGAATATTTGTATTCATTAAATGAAATCCTCTGTTAACATATTTAGATTTAGATTTAGCAAGTGCTTAATAAATACTTGCTATTAGCTTATTTTCAAAATACCTTTATATCTATTTATAAAGAGAGTTATATATAGTGAAAATTGCTTGAAGGAGAAAGCACAGTGATGCCAGAAATGATAAAATATCAATTATAGCATGCTTCATTAGATTTAGTTTATTTTGTCCCCAAAGCCAGCCTTAAAAAACTAGAAATTCTGACCTCAATTATTAACTTTTCTCTACAAATTTAAATGCATTTTCACTTATCACAATTTGGAAATGTTATTAAGTATTTTACAATAAAGTCAGAGGAAACGGCTGTATATAAATTTAAAGAGTGATTAGAATATATACAATTGAACTTTTATTATTCTATTTCTTTTTTTTCTCTTTTTTTATTATACTTTAAGTTCTGAGATACATGTGCAGAATGTGCAGGTTTGTTACATAGGTATACACGTGCCATGGTGGTTTGCTACACCCATCAACCCATCATCTACATTAGGTATTTCTCCTAGGCTACATTAGGTATCCTTCTCCTAGCCCCCCCACCCACCGACAGGTCCCGGTGTGTGACATTCCCCTCCCTGTGTCCATGTGTTCTCATTGTTCAACTGCCACTTATGAGTGAGAACATGCAGTGTTTGGTTTTCTGGTCTAATACTAATTGTATTTTTCTTCTTTACTTTCTGTTCTGTTTGACACCAACATTAACTAAGTGTAAATAATTTGGAAGTAAATTTCATATTCTATTAGAAGATGATAGGTTTGTGGACAAACACTGAGCTGCATAAGGCAGATTAGAGTGGTCTGAGGCAACAGGAGGGGATGTTAAAATTTTCAATAAGGAAGTGAGGCTAAGTCTCGATGAGAGGACACTACTCTTAAATATTATTTTAGTACAGGTATGTGGTTAGAGTGTGAACCAAATGCATTTCTGGTAGAAGAACATTATAGCAGAAGAGAAAATCCAGTACAGAGAACTCGATGCAGAATTGTGCCTGAATTATCTGGGAAATATCAACAGGTTCAGTTTGACAGAACAAGCAGTAGACCAAAAGGAAGTAAAGTAAGATAGATCACTGGGAGCTAGAGGAGAGAGTGGGTGCAAGTCAGGTAGAGCCTCTGGTCTCTTACTGCCAGGATACAGGATATTGTTACCGTTAAAGCACAGATGCTGGAAAAAGACTGCTTGGATTCAAATCCTATGCTGCCACCCTTAGCCAGGTAATCTGGATCAATAAACTGATCTTCTTTGTCCTTTAGATACTCTATTTGTAAGACTGTGATAATAATACTGCCAACACCATAGAAATTTTTGTAAGTATTATTTTGCAGAGTGAAATGGGAAGCTGTGGATTTTAAGCAGAGTAATGATATCATCTGACTTCTGTTAAAAGTTTACTACGACTAGAGTGAGGAAAGCATGAAAAAGCAAAACCAAGAAGAGCACTGAAGGGAGCTATTATGATAATTCAGGTGAGATAGGATGAGTGTCTTGTTCTAGTAGTGGAGGTGTTGGGAAATTTTATATTTTACACACATGTTGAAGAAATACAAACAAAAGATCATGACAGATTGGCTATGGACTATGAGAGAAAGCCAAGAGTTAAAGATAACTGCAAGGTTTTTCAACTGATCAATAGAAGCTGGGATCAGTTGAAATGGGGGAAGACTAGGAGATGGGAAAATGAGGATTAAAGAAAACCAGTGATTTTTGAAGGTGGAAAATTTGAGATTTTTACCAAATAGTGATTGAAGAGCTGAAAATAACTATTAAATGGTAAGTTAGAAATGTGTGACTGGTGTTTAGAAGGTAAAATACTGCTTGCAATACAAATTTAAAAATGTCCACATAGAGATGATATTTAATATCATAAAATTACATGAGTTCACTAAAATAGTAAATGTAGATGCACACACAGATGCACACACAAACATACACTTTATATAAAGTTTGAGTATCCCTTATCCTAAATACTTGGGACCAGAAGTGTTTTAAATTTTGGATATTCTTTTTCAGACTTTGGAACACTTACGATATTCAATATCCATAATTCAAAAATCTGAAATCCAAAATGCTCCAATGAGCATTATATCAGTTCCCAAAGAGTTTTGGACTTTGGAGCATTTTGAATTTTAGATTTTTGGATTATGGATACCAACACACACACACACACACACACACACACACACACACAAACACACACACATATTTATGTATGCATAAAATTTGTATATGTGTGTATTTGTACAACAATGCATCCTTGCGTGCATATTTACTTGAATATAATTGAATTGACATGTTTTACAATATATATCACCTGCAAGAAAAATGTGGACACTCTAGTGTTTTAAGAATCAGGCAATGTCTTCAAACACACAAATTTCTTCTAAGGCAACCTGTCATGAGGTACGTTATCTGACAAGTGGTAGATACTTGTATAATAGAGAAAGCCAGCATCTATTTCTGAATCATGGCTTATGGCAAGAAAGGACAAATTGAACAAGAAGTCAACAGCGCAAAGCTGAACACAAAATCTCTCCTTCTGTGAAACATTGACCTGCCATGGATGTCACATTCAGATTCTTGAGTAGCTTCAAAGTGTCACTCTGAACCAGCTGCACCATCAACTGGAAAGACTGCCTCACAAATCAACCATACCACTAACAGTGTATTTCTAAAGAGATGCATGAAGGTAGGAAAAGCCACCATCTATTTTTTTGGTTTATTTCAAATAATTTGCTTGGGGATATACTGGGACTACCATGTCAAACAAAAAGATATAATGTAAGACACTTTGGAAGATATCCACTTGGAAGACAGATGAGAAGATAGAGCAAAATCATGAAGAGTTTATTTTAATGATTGAGAAAATTTACCTAGTGCAGCAAACCAAAAACCAATGTGAGTGTAGGTCTCAAGGACTTACTAGCACATGGACAAATATGATAGCACTGAAAACTGTGAGATTTTCAAGAAGGATATTGAAAAAGCAAAGACACACGCATGCACACACACATTTACAAATACACACACTGCTGTCGGTCTTTGAAAGTCATTTTTCTTGATGAACATGTATCACTATTAAGAAACACAAATACACAGTTATCTCTTTATAATACTACTTATAATGTGTAGCTAACTAGAGTAATATAATTACAGTTATTTATTTCTGAAAAAGAAAAACTAAATGTTCTAGATAAATTATAATTTAAACAAATTATACTGTACTTTACAAGAAATGTTGGGGCATTGTAGATGCCAGAAGTGAAGAATATTCTGAGAACTAGACAGAGAGGTAAATAAGTTAATAAAGCAGTAGCCATGTGAAGTTTTTGAAACAGCAATGATTAGAGTAGTGGGCTTTCATGCCTGCAAAAATCCTAAGAATTGGTACCAGCAAAGACCTCTAGTATTAGTGACGAAAGATCTAATTGAATCTTTCACCAGATAAAATGAAATTTACCTGGCCATGTGTGTGGGAAAAAGCTCTCAACAGAAAGCAAAAGAATAGCCCTGCAACTTTGACGTGTTTGAACACAGACTTACACTGTCCTCACAATGTGGGGATACCACAAGCTGAGAAGCTGGCAATTAAAAAATGATCCTGGTGTGGTGAAAACCCTTGAGGGGTCTACAAATCAAGTGAAAAATTGCTATGGAGGAACATATTAGTTCATGTAGGATTTACAAAGGGGAAAATCAAAAGATGCCATATTAAGATGAGCTCATAAGCTCAAAATAAAAAATTACAACATTCATAGTAAGTGAAAGTCAACAGTCAAATGTACCAGGAGACCTCAAGCTATTGGCCTTAAACTCAAAGTCAATGCCAAGAGCATAACATTTTAGAATGACAAAAAAAAAAAAAAATTAACACACACAGGCACACTTGCACATAGCCTAAGTCTTGTTAAAAGGATTAAAGAGATAACAGAGTGTCTTTTCATGAAATACAATAAACTTGAGAAAATACTATCTTAATTTGTCAGTGGAAAAGCCAAGATGGGAGTTAATATACTCCTGTACATTTCCCAGAAACCATAATAATTGGTGACAGTAAACTTTGAAAGGTGAAAGAAGGTAACCTTAAAACCAGGAGGACTAGTTAAAGGCCTAATTTAGCATAAATTCTCAGTTAGTCTTTCTCTCTACTCCATGCATGCAGGAGGTTGCAATTTCTCTATTTAAAAGAAGATAAGAATACTATTCAGTCATAAAAAGGACTGAAATAATAGCATTTGCAGCAACCTGGATGGAACTGAAGACCATTATTTTAAGTGAAGTAATTCAGGAATGGAAAACTAAACATCGTATGTTCTCATTGTAAGTGGGAGCTAAACTACGGCGATGAGAAGCTATAAGAATCATACAATGAATTCTAAGGACTTGGAAGAAAGGGTGGGAGGAGAGTGAGGGATAAAAGACTACAAATTGGGTACAGTGTATGCTGCTCAGGTGATGAGTGCACCAAAATCTCACAAATCACCACTAAAGAACTTACTCATGTAACCAAACACTGCCTTTAAAGAAGGTAGGATTATACTCTAGAGAGCATCAAACAAAAATTATCTGGCCTGAGATGAAAACCTGAATGTTGGGAGAACATCCTATTCACAAGGAGTTTAAGGGTTAGCCAAATATTTCTACTATTTGATGTTCTAATTGTTAACACTTTATTTAAATGAGTGATGAGAAATGGGCATTATCTTCTCTAAAATGTATGACAAACCCAAGACCAAATTAAAAAAAAAAAGAAAAATATTATCAGCAGTGATTTTCACCATGATAAGTTACAGAAAGATCATCATCATTCTACAGTAAAGAACACAATGGGCAAGTATCCTCACATGCATTTAATTGAACTTGTTGTTTCAGTACCCCTGTCTTGTACGTGAGAGAACAGATCAAGAGCACCAGGACAGTAACTACTACAAAAACAGAAACTAAAGCAATTTGAAAAAAAGGAAGCAACTTGATATAATTAATTTATGCATGTAAAAGAAATGTTACTTTATAGACTTAAAGAACACTGCATCTGTTAAAAAGAATCAGATGAGTTCATGTCCTTTGCAGGGACATGGATGAAGCTGGAAACCGTCATTCTCAGCAAACTGTCGCAAGGACAAAAAACCAAACACCGCATGTTCTCACTCATAGGTAGGAATTGAACAGTGAGAACACTTGGACACAGGAAGGGGAACATCACACACCGGGGCCTGTCGTGGGGAGGGGGGAGGGGGGGAGGGATAGCATTAGGAGATATACCTAATGTAAATGACGAGTTAATGGTGTAGCACACCAACATGGCGCATGTATACATATGTAACAAACCTGCACGTTGTGCATATGTACCCCAGAACTTAAAGTATAATAAAAAAAATTAAAGAATCAGTTATAATATACATTTCATATATTTTCTCACACAACATTTAATGGAAAAGGTGAAGGCAGATAGTCTTGTCTTGCTGCTGAGCTCAAGGGGAAAGCATTCATTTTTTTAATCATAAGTACAGTCTTAGATGCCCTCAGGTGCCCTCTGTTAGGTTAAGGAAGCTCCTTTCCTGTGGAAGTTACACAACGTAGGTATTAATATAGCCACTTTGGTCCACTTTAGCTTAGTGTTTACATAGTATGTCATTTTCCAATATGTTAGTTTCAGCTTGAGTATATCTATGTATTTAAAATGTGTTTCTTGTAAGCAATGTATAATAATGCCTTACTTGTTCATTATGTCTGGTGTCTTTGCCTTTTAATTGAAAAGCTTAAGTCAAATATATACAATTAATAATTCATATGTCTGATTTAAGTCTTCCATCTTGCCATTTGGATTTCATTTATCTGACTTTTTAAAAAATTTTTTTCTTTCTTTGTCTTCCCTGTTTTCTTTGTTGTGAATATACCATATATTGACTTATTACCTACATATGTTTCTTTTCGTTATGCTATGCATTTTAATATGCAAATATTATTCTATTTCATAATCATTTTAGGAACCTTATATAAGTAAAATACGTTTATTTTCTTCCAAGTTTTGTGTACTTGTTGCTTTACTTTCTTTTACAATATAAACTCTCTATTTTATTTAGTTTAAAATAATATTAAGCCATTAATAATTTTATGACTCTACATATGAAAGAATACTAAAAAATTGTGTTTTTATATTTTTCTAGGTATATTCTTTTTCTAGAGCTGTTAGTTACATAGTGTACATCTGGCTGTTAGTTTTTCCCTTAATCTTGAGGAACTTTTTTACTATTTTTTGTGGTAAATGTACTGGATGAAATACTTTCAGGTTTTGACTGGAAATATTTTTGAAACCTGCTGAAATTTAAAACAATACCTTTTCTAAATATAAAATTGTAGGTTAAAATTCCGATTTATTTTCTTTCTGCCATTTTGAAATTCTGTTTTCTTCTCCTCTTTATTTTTTTCCTGATCAGAAGTCAGTAGTCATTTATTTTGTTATTCTACTACAAAAAGACACATGCACATGTGGTGAGTACTCTTTTATTGCCCCTTGAGATTTTCTCTTTTTCTTTGGTTTAAATCACTTAATTTTTAATATACAAATAGATGTAATATCTGTATATCATTTCCTCGGGGTTTTGCTAAACTTCGTGTATGTATAATTAATATATTTCATCTACTGGGAATATTTCCATTCTTTATATCTTCAAATAATTGTCTTATTCATCTTTTATATATTCTTCTGGGACTCTAGTTACATAGAGGTTAGACAATTTGATATTATAGCACATATAGAGACACTTCTTATTTTATTTTATTTTATTTTTCAACTTTCATTTTAGATTTGCAGTACACGTGCAAGTTTTTACAAATGCATATTGTGTGATGCTGAAATTTGGAGTACCAATAAATCCATCACCCAGGTAGTGAGCATAGTACCCCATATGTAGTTTTTAAGCCCTTTCCTCCCTCTCTTACTCTTCTTTCTAAGAGTCCTCAGTGGATTATTGTTCCCATCTTTATGTCCATGTGTACCCAATGTTTAGCTTCCACTCATAAGTGAGAACATTAAGTATTTAAGGTTTTCTGTTCCTATGTTAATTTGATTAAAATAATGGCATCCAGCTACATCCATATTGCTGCAAAGGGCATAATTTCATTCTTTTTAATGGCTGAGTAGTATTCCATGGTATATAGATACTACATTTTCTTTATCCCATCCACCCTTGATGGGCACCTGTGTTGATTACATATCTTTTCTATTGTGAATAGTGCTGTGATGAACATTCAAGTGAATGTGACTTTTGGTTAGAATAATTATTTTCCTTTAGGTATATACCCGGTAATGAGATTGCTTGGTTGAATGGTAGTTCTGTTTTAAGTTATTTGAGAAATCTTCAAACTGCTGTTCACAGTAGTTGAACTAATTTACATTCCTAACAACAGTGTATTAGTATTCTCTTTTTTCTGCAGCTTTGCCAACATTTGTTATTTTTAGACTTTTTTTTTTTTTTTTTTTAGACAGAGGCTTGCTCTGTCGCCCTGGCTGGAGTGCAGTGGTGCGATCTCAGCTCACTGCAAGCTCCACCTCCTGGGTTCATGCCATTTTCCTGCCTCAACCTCCTGAGTAGCTGGGACTACAGGCACCTGCCACCATGCCTGGCTTATTTTTTGTATTTTTAGTAGAGATGGGGTTTCACCATGTTACCCAGGATGGTCTCGATCTCCTGACCTCGTGATCCACCTGCCTCAACTTCCTAAAGTGCTGGGATTACAGGAGTGAGCCATAGCACCCAGCGTATTTTTTGACTTTTTAACAAAAACAATTCTGACTAGTGTGAGATGGTACTGCCTAGGTAAATTTACAGATTCAATGTTATGCTTATTAAATTACCAATGTCATTTTTCACAGAATTAGATAAAAAACTATTCTAAAATTTATATGGAACCAAAAGGAGCCCAAATAGTCAAAGTTATCCTAACAAGAATCAAGCCAGATACATCACATTTCTTGACTTTAAACTATATTACAAGGCTACAGTAACCAAAAAAGCATGGTACTGGTACAAACATACACATATAGATCAATTGAAGAGAAGAGGATTCAGAAATAAAGCTGCACATCTACAGCCATTTGATCTTCAAATTAAACAATGGGGAATGAATTCCTCTACAATAAATGATGCTGTGATAACTGGCTATCTATATGCAGTATAATGAAACTGTGGTCCTACATATCACCTTATACAAAAATAAATTCAAGATGAATTAAAGTCTTAAATGTAAAACCTCTAACTATAAGAATCCTGGAAGAAACATCTGTATTAATTAATTATATTAATCCATTTGACCACTGCTTTATGACCTGTATCGTGCAATTTTCTCTGAAATTTTCAAAATATGTTTACTACTTTTTATTAAGAAACAAAAAGGTATAATAAAAATTATGGAATAACTCAGGAAACCCAAAGTGTTCAACTAAAAGCATATTTTAAAAATATTTCAAACTCTATTTGTGTACATCTATTATTTCACATACTTTGTTTCACCTGTTGAAAACCAATTTCATTTTTAAATCTACATTGGCCCACATCAATAACTCCTGAATTGAAATCCCCACTGGATTAAAGGGCATAAATAACAAGGGTGATCTTAAAGTGCTAATTCAATTACTTAAATAAAGATTTAATTGTATATGCTGTGTCTGTTTCTCACCGCTGGATCAATAATTTGTGAACAAGAAGTAATGTCACCCTATCCTAATGTGGACAGGCAAATATTAAACCATAAAGTTATAATTAAGATAAAAAAGAAAGTTTCCAAAACTGCATGGGGAAAGGGGGTTTTTACAGGAAAAAAATTAAAAAATGTAAACACAATTTGTCATTCAACCATGATTATAGATTTTGTTTTCATTGTAAGGTACCTTTTCTATGTTTCCTTAGACCTTTTATTAATGTACAAAACTACATTAATGACTGACTAGCCATCAGTGTTTTTAATTTTACAAAATGGATACCTTAGTTAATAGAAATTATTTTTATTTTTCTTCTAAGAATTTTTAAGAGAAATAAAGGGAATAAATATGTAAAAAAACAACTTGTTAAAGAACTTTAAATATTAGTCTTTAAAATTGTTATGTTGTTTTCATTTGACAGTAAATGAGGATATATATGTTAGTATTGTCTATAGTAACTTTGGTAATAAGCATATACTATATATTGGCTACATACATGAACATATAAATTTCATTATCTATCTTCATTGGGTGTTAGTTTTCACAAGTAATTTCGTTTTATTAATTATTATGTTATTTGTTTTAATAGATCTGTAATATATCAAAGTAACAAAATTCCTTGTTTTTTATTAAAGTACCAAGATGTTGATCCAGGAACAATTATAAATATTTTTAAAAGAAAGCTGTATTAGCTATGCACAAATATTTATGTCTGTGTTGGAAAACAAAACAATATAAAAAGGTGAAAGGTAAATGCAGAAAAAATTATTTTTAAACAACTTTACTAAGATGTAATTTACATATCATAAAATTTACCCATTTAAAGTGTATAATCCAGTGATTTTTAGCATGATGAAAACGTTGTACGACCATTACTACGATTTTAAAGCATTAATACCTGACAAAGAAACTCCACAACCATTAACAGTCATTTCTCATTTACCTCCTCACTATAACTTGGACCAAGGCAATCACTTATCAACTTTCTGTTGCTATATGCCTATTCTGTCTTTTTAAAAATTACTCTTATCTAAATGTAATTATGTATCCTTTGACCAAGATGTCCTCATGGCCCCTTCCCCTTAACTTGTTTTCATACTGTTCTTCAAGTTTGAACTTTTATTTTATTTTATTTTTTGAGATGGAGTCTGGCTCTGTCGCCCAGGCTGGAGTGCAGTAGCCTGATCTCAGCTCACTGCAACCTCGGCCTCTCGGGTTCAAGCGGTTCTCCTGCCTCAGCCTTCCAAGTAGTTGGGATTACAGGTGTGCGACACCACGCCCAGCTAGTTTTTGTATTTCTAGTAGAGATGGGGTTTCACCATGTTGGCCAGACTGATCTTGAACTCCTGACCTCAGGTGATCCACCCACCTCGGCCTCCCAAAATGCTAGGATTGCAGGCATGAGCCACCATGCCTGGCCTCAAGCTTGAACTTTGAAAGGGATAATGTGGAGTTGCATATCTGGTGTCAAAAAAAAAAAAATGAAGTTGATTGCATAAAGCAGAGTGCATTAGACAATTTGTGATGACAGCTTTCCCTCCTGTTTGTAGGGAGCAAACATTACAATATCACATGAAAGGTAGAAGACTGACCCCAAAGGCACCAGTGTTCAAATACATGTAAACGTGGCACTTAATCCTCTTTTTTTCTGCCAAAATTGACTTGTTTGGAATACATGTGTATTTTCAGGTTGAGTAGTTTAAATTGTGTTTTCAGAAGCTGTTGCTGTAACCTCTGCAGTTAGTTGTTTATGGAGTAGCTACACACTTGGAAGAATCTTATTCCAGATGTGGAAATACCATATCCATAACAAACCAGAGAATTTTCAGAGAAATCTTCAGCAGCTGAAGTCCATAATAAGGTATCTGCAGAAAATCATTTTCAAAAGATACCATTTTATTTTACAGTATTTAGTAGATAAACAAAATGGGAAGTCTTGACACCCACAGAGTACATAAAATACCAGGTAGTTGGTCCCAATTTGTCTTATAGCTGTACTTCAAGGTGCCTTAATTTGTCATTTTCAATTGTATTTAAACTATACTGCCACAACCTTTTAACTTATATTATTCTTACTCAATAACCAGAGGGAAACTGTATGTTGGTATCGCTAATCGCATTTAGCCAATCAAACAAACAAAAAATCCTTCCAAAGACTAGTGAAGTTTTATTAGTCTGCTATGCTGGCAGAAGAAAAACTGGAATGCAAAGTCTGTGTTCATTTCCAGGTAACTTTCTACTGCTGCTCCGCTGTCTTAGAAATTATTTTTGAGAGATATTTGGGTGAAATGTCTACAAAACCTTTAAAATCTATTATGTTAATTGTTTGTCTTGATTTTCTCATGGAATATGCTTAGAATTGTCTATAATTAAATATATGAGAATACTTTTGTATATTTTTATATTTTACTTATTTCCCCCAGGATTATTCTCTTTGAGAGCATGAACTTATTCAATAAAAAGTCCATCCATCCCAACATTAAACGCTAATTATTCTGTGCATCTTCAGCAAACAAAATATAATGCATGATACTAATGTAAGGGATACTGGTTGTTAGTATGAGAATAAATAATATCCCAGATAAGTAACAATAACAACAGTGTCTACTGAGTGCTAATAATGTGCCAGAATACTTCTGTGTGACATATATATATTAACTCTTTACATTCTTAAAAAAATATAATTAGAGCGATCCGATTGGTATCCATCCTCTAGAATTGAGAAATCAGAGTCCGGATAAAAACATAAGCCATCTGCCCCTTGCTCTTATCTTGACCTTCATACTTACCTGCATGTTTTGTCCACCTCCCAAATCTGCTTCTCTCCAATTTGCCTTGCAAGTGGATTGAAGCAAGACTTGTCTGCATCTCTATAAAAATTAGCAATTTCTGGCCAGGCGCGGTGGCTCACGCCTGTAATCCCAGCACTTTGGGAGACCGAGGGGGACAGATCACTTGAGGTCAGGAGTTTGAGACGAGCCTGGCCAACATGGTGAAACCTCACCTCGACAAATATACAAAAATTAGCCAGGCATGGTGGTGGGCGCCTGTAATCCCAGCTACTCTGGAGGCTGAGACAGAATTGCTTGAACCTGGGAGGCAGAGGTTACAGTGAGCAGAGATCATGCCACTGCACTCCAACCTGGGCAACAGAGCGAGACTCCATCACAAAAAAAAAAAAAAAAAAAAAATTGCAGTTTCTTTTTACTTACATCCAAATGTATCATATTTGCTGTCATTTGGCTATATCACTCTAGGCTCCTAGACCTTATTTATATTTGCAGCCCTAGCCCATGCTTGGGAAAGAGCATACTCAATTAAATGTGATTGAACCATAAATGATAATACGAATGATCAAATTTTATAGAAAATCTTCTAGGTCTGAGCATCATATAGATACCATGAAAGCAGCATTTAACAAAATATATCAAAATTTCACATGGCCATGGAGATTATATTTGTTACTAAGGACTTAGATATATTAATATGGTCCTGAAAGATGAAATTTTATCTCAAGTTATTTTAGTTTTCTGGTAATTGAGGTTTAAAGTAGACTATACTCTTTTCATAATGATGTATATGTCAGTGCATTTCATTCTCAAAAAGCCTAAACTTAGATCTAAGCTTGTCAAAGTAGTTCAAAATAAATCTTGCTTCATACTGTTTAATTATGTTCAGTCATTTCTGCTTTTAATTTACACGGTTTATCAGGTATAAAACAAAGTTATTCTGCTATCCTTACTTGCTTTCTCTGTCTGTCAGTGTTCTGTCTCCACTCTAAATATCTAATCCTTCATGATTTCAGTTTAGTCATAGACTGATATAGTTAAAAAAATAATATTCCTCTGCATGATCAAAGCCATTTGAAAGAAGACCAGGAATCATAAATTGTTGTCCAGCTCAGTCTTGTAGTTTATTTAGCAGAATTAATTTTACCACTGAGAAGGAAACCAAATGATTTATTGAAAAATTATATGGGCATCTTCTGAATAATCTCAATGTACTTTTGTGGTTCAACTCATCACAAATCCCTCTACAATTAAAAAATAATAAGACTTCTCTATTTTAAGAAGCTTACTGGAAGTCACAGGCGTTTAAGACGATGGCACAATACAATATGTTGAACATTAGTATAAGATTATTACAGATAATTCCACAGGTATGCAATTCCATTAATACAGACACACATATGAGAGACATCAGTACCAATTAGAGAGATGACTGGGAGAAAAGGAGAAGAGAGTGGTATTAATGAGAAAGAACAGGAAAATTAAGTATATTAGAAAAGAAATGATGTGGTGAGTTTAAATTTCTCTATCTAGGTAGAGAAATCTAGGAGTTGGAAAACATGTCGGAATCTAAAGGATTGTTTTACCCAGAAAATATATTCGGAAATGTAATTGACATCAACAATGAATTACAAGGGAAACAGGCAAATTGAATGAAACAACCAGTTAATGGCTAGAAAAGGGAATGCTAGGGAACCCTAGTATTTAAGAAACATGAAGAGGAATGCTTGAAAATGTCTAAGAAGAAAAAGTCAGCCAAGCGAGGTGGCTCACTCCTGTAATCCCAGCACTTTGGGGGGCCGAGGCCAGCGGATCACAAGGTCAGGAGTTTGAGACCAGCCTGACCAACATGGTGAAACCCCGTCTCTACTAAAAATACAAAAATTGGCCAGGCATGGTGGCGCATGTCTGTAATCCCTGCTACTCAGGAGGCTGAGGCAGGAGAACCGCTTGAACCTGGTAGGCGGAGGTTGCAGGGAGCTGAGATCGCACCACTGCACTCCAACCTGGGCGAGAGAGCAAGACTCCATATCAAAAAAAAAAAAAAAAAAAAAAGAAAAGAAAGAAAAGAAAAGACGAAGTCAGAACAGTCTTGAAATTATTTCATGGGCAGAAAGTTTCCAAATTATTAAAGAACTGAAAAGTTAAAAGTTTTGCAGATGTCAGACCATTTATATAAGAATTTTTACAAACAAGAAATAATTTGTGGTCATTTGGTAATAAACAAGTATTTCCTGCTCAAAAAAAAAAAAAAAGGAATTGAAAAGTTTTGGGGATTAAAATGAGAACTTTCTTAAGAATTTTGGAAATAAAAACAATTAAGTAGATTATCTTAATAGGGTTATTTCATGCATTATTTTATATGGTTATGTCAACAGAATTTTAGTCCAATTTTATTCTACTAATTTAAGGAGAAAATTGAAAAAGACAGAATGTAAACATAAACTACTCTCTCAAAACAAAGGATGGGAAGAAAGAAAGGATGATAATTGATCATTGTCAGTTTATTTACTTGGCAATAATAACCTATATTTTTATGCGTATTGTTTCTCTTGAATGCAGTATCTTAAAGTTTCCTCCTTAATTTAAATTTTCCACTATAAAGGCCGTTCACAGAGACTCTACACTTCTTTTCTTCCAAGGAGACTCGATATTTCCATGTTTGTCTTCATTGTAGAATGTGTTTTTCTCATGTAATCCCTCTTTCAGAGGTTTTTCAATATAAAAATCAAATGAGCTCCCAGTGTAATCCTTGGTCAACATGTAGGTAAATTCTTCCATTTAAAACAGCAGGCAACAAATATCGATTACATTACATTTAAATTCCTGTATATATTATCTGACTTCCTATTTCATATCCCTAGATGTGAAAATGTATAATATATAAATCTAAAATATAGAAGTTTCAAATGTATAAATGTAATGTTAAATAATAAGCAAAATGTTATCTAAAAACTGAAGAAATTCCCTTTAAATTTCCTGCCCAAAATATCCTATTTGATAAATTTCCTAGTTAGGAATTGAACTGAATTATTCTTCTTTTAAATATTGTAGTTTTCCTACATAACATTTAGATGATTGTCTTTCATTTCTGAATTATATTTCTTAATCTTTAAAATATATTTTGTTTAAAAAATAATTAATTTTCCATATCCAATTTATATTCCATTTTTCAGAGAAAAGGAAAAGTTTGAAAAGTGTCAGGATATCAAGTTATAGCAAAAATTTAATGTATTAATAATTTTGGCTTTGCCGTTCTTACACTGTTTCTCTTATTTTTTTAAAAACCACCCATTGTTTCCTGCCCCGATGAGGCAGTAGCTCTATTTCATCTAGAAATGAAGAGAGGAATTCTGAAATTGTAAAGATTTTGTGTTTTCTAAAAGTCAAATGGGTGCAATTAAAAACCACTTGGGTGCTTAGTTTATAATATCTCTGATCTTTTCAGTCCTTAGTTTTTAAAGACTGAATATTATGCATGCTGGGGTGATGGTCATGGATTTTTTTTTTTAAACCACAAACCAAACAGGTCAGATCTTTTTAGGCTTTCAAACTTTTTCTGCACCTATTTATTATTTCTACATTGCATCTTATTTTATTTTTTTCTGTAAGTTACAAAAGAAAGTCTTCGAAAAATTGAAGGGTGAGAGCCGGGGTGAGGGATAAAAGACTGCATGTTGGATACAGTGTTTGCTGCTCAGATGACAGGTACAACAAAATCTCAGATATCACCACTTAGAAACTTATCCATGTAACCAAAACCACCTGCACCCCCAAACTATTAAAATAAAATAAAAATAAAACAAAATTTTCTCTCTCTAACATTTACCTCTTACTCTCACTAACTCTTGTTATTTTACTCATCCCTCAGTTTAAGCCTGTAATTACCTCCCCTCTGGTTTCTCTCTTTCTCTCTGATTTTCTAAATCAGCTTTTTCTACCAGAACTTTCTGCGACCATGCAAATATACTTCATCAGCATTGTTCAACATGATGACAACTAGTCATGTGTGACTATTAAACACTGAAAATGTGGCTAGCAAGGCTGAAGAGCTGAATTTTTAAAATTTTATTTCAGTTAATTGAATTTTAAATAACATCATGTGGCTAATGGCTATGACACTGGACAATGAAGCATGATATCCTCTCATTCTTTCTCATTCTCTCTCTCTTTTCTATGCCTTGGCCTCTATTTCCTCTTGTCTCTGTCTGTATCTAAATTCTGACTCTTGATACTTTTGCAGACCTTAGGGTTATTTGCTTAATGCAACTGAAAGGCAAAAACTATATTTCAAGTGCAACCACAAGGCACTGAATCTTTTTCGTAACATTAACTTTTCCTTGAGCATCTCAAGGAACTGCTGACTGAAACTGTTTGAGTCTTTTGCTAGTTCCATTGTGATAAACTCTGAGGGGTTTTATCATACATGCACATTTTTCTTTTGGTTATTACTCTTGAACTCCACAAAATCATAACCTTTCAGGGCACTTTCAAGTTCATGTTTCCTGAAGTGATTTTCTTGAAAGCAAATAAATCTTATAAATGACTTTAACCTTATTCAATATAAGACTACTCATTGCTTTCTTTTATTATTATTTTCTTTTTACCCTTGCCAACAGTGTTCTTCACATCATTTGACCAAGTCATTCATGGATCTTAAACATTTTGTGTTTTCTTATATTTCAAAGAACACATGTATTAGAACATATTTTGAGCCTATTCTAATAAACCTTAGGCCATTTTCAAAATTTGGTATGTCTGATATTTTAAAGATCAATTGAAACTTTGAATTAAGCAGCAAAATCCAATGTAAAATTTTAGGCAGTGAGTAAAATCAGCAAGATGGAAGAATAGGAGTTTCAGTACTCATGTCTTCACAAAAGTGTCAGTTTGAACAAATATCGGTTTGCAAAAATAGCTTCACAAAGTTGAGAAATTCAGGTGAGAGATTACAGCACCTGCGAGGAACACAGGAATAGGAAGAGATGTCTTGAAGATGATAGGAAGAACAGTTTTATATGATTCATGTCACCCTTTCCCCAAGCCCATTTGGTATAGCATGAAGAGAGTTATCTTCCATGTGGGGGAAATAAATTGAAGTTAGCAGCTGAAGCCACCGCAAGCCCTGGCATCAGACCTGTCTCAGTGTTCATTGCAACAGGCTGGCCCCTGCACCAGGCTGGCATCCATAATCCCAGGTTTCATGCTGGCCCCTGTGGCTCTAGGTTCCAAACCCATCTGATACCAGGTCAAGTGCTGTGGCCCTAGCTCCAGGCCCACCCCTATAACTCCAGGCACCAGGGTGGCCCTTGCAGACACAGGCCCCAGGCAAACTCTTATGTCCCCAGGCACCAAGTCAGCCCTTCTCAGGATTCTAGCACCAAAACAACCTGAGAACCTCATTAGCTGGCCTGCCATAATCTCCGGAGGGACTAATTGTTAAGTGTTTTATTTACCAAATCTAGTCTGTTAATACTGGAAGATGTGTCTAGTTCTTCAAATCCACAAACACCTTTACAAATAATGATATGGATAAGTATGGAAACATAACAACACGGAAGGAACAAAATAAAGCATCAGTAGCCAACCTTAACAAAATGAAGATCTACCAAATGCCTGAGAAATAATTCAAAATAATCTTCTTAAGGAAGTTCAGTTAGGTATAAGAGAACAGAAGTATACAACTAAATTAACTCAGGAATATAATACAGAAACAAAATGAAAATTTCAATAAGGAGATAAAAAAACATAAAAGAGAACTAAACAGAACTTTTGGAGCTGAAGAGCACAGTGACTGAAATGAAAACTTCCACTTCAACAGCAACAGCGGACTCATTCAAGTAAATAGAATAAGCAAGCAAAAAGGGAGATCATTTGAATTTACCCAGAGGAAAAAAAAAGAATGATAAAGTATGAAGAAAACTTACGAGACTTATGAGTCACTACAAAGTAAACCAATATGTGCAATATGAGATTCTCAATAGAGATAGAGAAAGGGCAGAAAGCTTATTTCAAAAAATAATAACAGAAAACTCCCCAAATTTGAAAAGAATAATGACCATTCATAAGAATACCAAATAGATTAAACAAAAACAGATCTTCAGTAAATCACATTATAATCATACTCTCAAAAGTAAAAGACAAAGAAAAATCTGAAAACAGCAAGAGAAAAAGTGAATGTTACATACAAAGGAGTCTCATTATAAGACCTGTCATCAGAAATGATAGAGGCCAGGACAGAAAAAAATAATACATTCAAAGTGTTGAAATAAAGTAAGTACCAAAACATGAATATTATACCTGACAAAGCTGTCCTTCAGAAATGAAAGAAAGATAAGCATTCTCCCTGACAAACAAATGCCTGGGGAATTAATCACCACTAGACCTGCCTTACAAGAAATAATGAAGGGAATACTTTAAGTTGAAGTGAAAGTATTGTTGTTTCTCCTTATCCATGGAAGATACCTTCTAAGACCATGCACCAGATGCCTGGTCTTTTCCACCACAGTGGAAAAACATATTGTTGATATACAAAAGAGAAAGGAATCAAAACATACTACTTTGAAAATCCCATGAAATCACAAAAGAAGGCACCAGGAGAGAAAGAAACAAAAGACCTATAAAACAGTCAGAAAATATTTAACAAAATAATAATACTGAGTCCTTAACTATCAATACTTACTGTAAATATAAATCAATAAGCAAATCAACAAGGAAATAGAGGATTTGGACAAAATTGTAGACTTAATGGAACTAAAAGACTTGTACAGAGTATTCCACCCAAGAGCAGTGAATTCCTATTTTTTCTCTTGTGCACATAGAACATTCTTTAGAATACACCATATGTTAGGCCACAAAACAGTCTTTACAAATTTAAGAGACAGAAATTATATATTTTTTCCAACCACATGATATGAAATTAGAATAATAGAAGAAAAAATAGAAAATTCACAAATATGTTTAAATTCAACAATAACCAAAGAATAAAAGAGAAAAATAAAAGAATTTTTTTTTTTTTGAGACAGAGACTCACTCTGTTGCCCACATTGGAGTGCAGTGGTGCAATCTCGGCTCATTGCAACCTCTGTCTCCCAGGTTGAAGTGATTCTCCTATCTCACTCTCCCGAGTAGCTGAGACTGCAGGCATGGACCATCACTCCTGGATAATTTTTGTATTTTCAATAGAGAAAGGGTTTTGCCATGTTGGCCAGGCTGGTTTCAAACTCCTGACCTCAGGTGATCTGCCCACCTCAGCCTCCCAAAGTGCTGGGATTACATGTGTGAGCCACTGCTCCCAGCCAACAAAAGCAGTTTTAAGAAGAAGATGCATAGCCATAAATACAAAAGAAAAATCTTAAGAAATGTAACTTTATATCTTGAAGTAGAAGAAGTGAGAAAAAAAAACACAAATTAAGCCCGAAGTTAGCAGAAAGAAGCAAATACAAAAGACTTCAGCATAAATAAAAAAAAATACAGATTAGAGAATATAGAAAAATATCAATAAAAGATCAATGAGTTTTTTGAAATAATAAACAAAATTGAAAATCATTTATCTCGATTAAAAAAGAGAGAGAGAAACCACTTAAGTAAATAAAGTTATAAAGAAGAAATATTACAATTGATACCACAGAAATGAAAATGATAAAAATAAATTATTATAAATAATTATATGCTGACAAATTTGGTAAATTCAAAGAAATAGATAAATTTGTAGAAACATACAGTTTACTTATACTAAATCATAAAGAAATAGAGGCCATGTGCGGTGGCTCACGCCTGCAATCCTATCACTTTGGGAGGCCAAGGAGGGCAGATCACAAGGTCAGGAGTTTGAGACCAGCCTGACCAACATGGTGAAACCCCGTGTCTACTAAAAATATAAAAATTAGCCCGGTGTGGTGGTGAGTGCCTATAATCCCAGCTACTTGGGAGGCTGAGGCAGGAGAATCACTTAAACCCAGTAGGTGGAGGTTGCAGCGAGCCAAGATCACGCCACTGCACTCCAGCCTGGGCAACAGAGTGAGAACCTGTCACCAAAAAAAAAAAAAAAAAAAGAAAGAAAGAAAGAGAAAATCTGAAGACACCAAAAACAAGTAAGGTGATAGAAGCAGTTATGAAAAGCCAGCAAAGAAAAGAAGCCCAGAATGGCTTGACAGGTCAATTCTTAGAAACATTTAAAGAAGAAATAGTACCAATAATTTCAAACCTTTCCAAAAAAAAGTAAAGATAACATTTCCAACTAAATTTATAAGACCTGCATTTCCCTGTTAACAAAGCAAGACATTACAAGAAAAAAATTGCAGATTAATACTCCTGATAAACATAGATGCAAAATTCTTCAATGAAAGAGTAGGAAACAAAATTCAACAACACATTAAAAGGATTGTACACAATCATCAAGTGAGATTTAGCTCTGGCATACAAGGATGGTTCAACATGCAAAATACAATAGATGTGATATATCACATTAACAGAATGAAGCATACAAATCATGATCCTCTCAATGGACACAGAAAAAAACATTAAACAAAAATTATTTCATGATAAAAATTCTCCAATTTTTCAAGATTAAACCTGCCAACAAACTAGGTATATAAGGTATCTACCTCAACATAATAAAAGGCATGTATGACAAACCCACAGCTAATATTTTACTGAATTGTGAAATGCTGAAAGTTTTTCTTCTAACATTAGGTGCAAAACAAGAATGCTCACTCTCACCATTTCTATTGAAAATATTAGTGGAAGTCGTAGCCAGAACAATTAGGCAAGTAAAATAAATTAAAGGCTTTCAGATTAGAAAGGAAAAAGTTAAATTGTATCTCTTTGCAGAGAAATGGTCTTATTTATAGAAAATTTTAAAGAGTCCACCAAAAAAAAAAAACTGTTAAAACTAATAGACGAATTCAGTAAAGTTACAGGACGCAAAATCCACATTCAAATATCCATTGTGGTTGTATATACTAATAAAGGACTCTGAAAAAGAAGTTAAGAAAACGCTATTTACAATAGTGTAACAACAAATAAAATACTTAGGAATAAATTTACCAAGGAGGTGGAAAATCTGAACACTGAATACTATAAAACATTGATGAAAGAAATGGAAGAAGACACAAGAAAGTGGAAAAAACATTGGTATTCATGAACTGAAATAATTAATATTGTTAAAATGTTGATATTACGCAAAGGAATCTATAGATTCAACACATTCATATCAAAATTCCAATCGCATTTTTTCACAGAAATATTAAAAACTATTCTAAAATTTGTATGAAATCACAAAAGACCCTGAATAACCAAGGCAATCTTGAGAAGGAAAAGCAAAGCTAGAGGCATTATACTTTCCGATTCAAACTATATTACACAGCTATTGTAATCAAAGCAGTATAGCACTAACATAAGAAACAGACACATAGACCAATAGAACAGAGTAGAAAGCCCACAAATTAACTCACGCGTATATGACCAACTAAACTGATAAGGGCACAATGGAAAACTGATAGTGTCTTCAATAAATAGCATTGGGAAAACTAATTATCCACGTGCACATAAATGAAATTTAACCCTTATCTTACACTATAAATAAAAATTAACTTGAAATAGGCTAGAGACTTAAATGTATCAATCCCAAAAATCATAAAACTCTTAGAAGGAAACACAGGTAAAATGTTGCTTGACATTGGTCTTGGCAAGGATGTTTTGTGGATGACACAAATGACATAGGCAAAAGAAAGCAAAAATAGACAAATAGGAATACATCAAACAAAAAGTTTCTGCACAGAAAAAAATAAACAATAAAATGAAATAGCATCTAACATGATTAAATTGTATGTAGTTATGATTAGGCAAAATTTTCTTATGAAAGAATCGTATCTTCCTTATTTTTCAGTCTCTAGATACTTATTTATCATTATTACAATATAAGCCATAATGTTTAACAATCTTTTGTCACATAAGCTGAGACGTGGTGTACATATATATATATTAAATTTCAATGTGCTACCTTCAGTGCTCTCAGTCTTTCCTAATAAAAACTCATAGTCCTTTTTTTTTCTGAATGCAATGTTGCCCACAGCCAAAATGATGTTTTTGTTATTTGATAAAAAAAGTTCATATTATTGTGGAATAAAAACCTAAGTTCTAGAAATAAGCTCATATTTTTCTCTAATATCCTAACATATACACATTAGTACAGTGGCCTATACTATACTATATCTAAAGCTCACCCAACAGAGTGGTCTTGAAATAATTTCACATTGCATGATTTAATGAAGTCTTGAGCTAATGTCTTTTGGATGATATTTCTTGTTACACAATATATAACTACTCTATGTTTCCATTATTTGTTTTCAATAGACTTCAGGCTTTATATTATTAATGAAGCTTGTCAAAAAGTTTATAGTGATTTGCTACAAAATTTGGAAATGTGTTGGTAAAATTTAAGTTATTTCTAACTCACAGAAACATGAAACAGAACTACCGTTTGACCCAGCAACCCAACTACTGAATATATAACCAAAGGAAAATAAGTAGTTATATAAAAATGACATCTGCATTTGTACATTTATTACAGCTCTTTTCACAAGGGCAAAGTTATGGAATCAACGTAAGTGTGCATCAGTGGATGAGTGAATAAAGAAAATGTGGTATGTATACCATGGAACAAAGCCATAGAAAGGAACAAAACTATGTCTTTTGCAGCAACGTGGATAGAGCTGGAAGCCATTATCCTAAGTAAAATAATGAGAAACAAAATATAAAATACATGTTCCTACTTACAAGTAGGAGCTAAGAAATTGGTATCTATGGAAATAAACAAGGAAATAATAGACACTGGGGACTCCAGAAAGGAGCAGAGTAGGAGAGAAGTGAGGATTTAAAAATTAAGTATTGGGGATAATGTTCACTATTTAGGTGGTGAGTATACTAGAAGCCGAAACCCTAGTATTATGTATGTATCCATGTAACAAAACTGCACTTGTACCCCCTAAATCTATGCAAAGAAAAAAATATATAAGTAGAAAATACATATTTCTGAATCCAGGTTGGTATAAAAATTATTAAATAAACAAATGAAGAAAAGACTAACTTTCCATATACAAGAATTTAAAATTTTCTCTGGAGATATGTTGTCCTTAAGGAGATGCAGCGTAACTCCCCAATCCTTAAGTATGAGCGTGCGTGGTGACTTGCTTTGAAGAAGTACTGTAAGAAAATGAAGAAAAAATAGAGTCACTTTGTGGCAGGCCATGTCTCACTAACGCAGGCCTCCATTACAACTGTCCCAGCACTGACTGAATAGCTAGGTTAAACATTAAAAGCTGATTGAGGCCAGGCGCAGGGGCTCATGCCTGTAATCCCAGCACTTTGAGAGGTCGAGGCGGGAGGATCACATGAAGTCAGGAGTTTGAAATCAGCCTGGCCAACATGGTGAAACCCAGTCTCTATAAAAATACAAAAATTAGCCCGGCATGGTGGCGGGTGCCTGTAATCCCAGCTACTAGGGAGGCTGAGGCAGGAGAAGTGCATGAACTTAGGAGGCAGAGGTTGCAGTGAGCTGAGATCGCGCCATTGCACTCCAGCCTGGGAGACAGAGCGAGACTCCGTCTCAAAAAAAAAAAAAAAAAAAAGGTGATTGAACCAGTGCCCTTATACAAAGGCTGGAATGTAACAAAGAGCCCACCAACAGTTTTGCCTAGGCTTTTCCTGGGCCCTGAAGCATGACAAGATAACGAAGGAATTATCAACAGGACGCTTTTAGGATTAAATAAATGTTACTGGGGGGTGGGGGGTCTGAAGAAACTCCCCAGGCCTCCGCAAACAAGTTTATTGGGGACTAAAGAAACTCCCCAAACCTTTATGATTTAGCAGGAGACAAGAGAAGGGGAATTACCCCAGCACCTATACCCATTTAGATTAATTAAACTTACTGAGGCTCCAGAAGAAGGTATTCAGGACTCAGGCCTTAGATATAGATTAAAAGAAGTTAGTCACTTATGACTTTGGATGAATGCACACTTACCAATAGACATATAGTTTAGAAGGTATATAAGCTCTGGAAAACTTTGTAATTTTGAGTTGGTCTGGTGATAGTTTCCAGGCCTTCCCACTGTAACTGGTTACAGAAATTAAAACTCTCTTCCTCCCCAGTTCATCTACATCTCATTATTGGCCCATGAGAAATAGCAGCCCAACCCTCAGTTTCGCCTAGGAACAACTTGACCTGAGGCCACATAGTAATATTAACATAAAAAGTGTGTCGTATTGATGGTACATATCCTTGATACAACATGATGAGACTGGCACTTTACCTCTGTGATCTTCCTCCCCAAAACACAAAGCTCCAGTCTAATCATGAAAAAAACAAATTCAGAAAGAATTCCAATTAAGGGACATTCCACAAAAAGGTTGAACAGTGATCCTCCAAGCTGTCAAGGTCATCAGTAACAAAGAATGTTTGAAAAACTGTCATAGCCAAGAGGAGTCTAAGGAGACATGACTACTGGATGTAATGTAGTAGCTTGGATGAAATTCTGCAAAAGATAAAGGACATTAGGGAAAAAGTGAGGGAATCATAAAGCATGAACTCTATTTAATAATAATAGATCAATATTAGTTGCGACAAGTGTACCATAGTGATCTAGGACTTTAATACTAAGGTAGAATGAGCATGGAGTATACGGGAATTCTTTGTTCTATCTTCACAATGATTCCATAAAACTAAAACTGCTCTAAAATAAGTTTCTTAACAAAATAATTCAACTTTTACTAGAAAATAGCAGGTATCAGGCATTAAACAGAGACCTGCTTGTGTGTGCATACATGTAAATATTTTCTGCAAATGTTCATCTACTTTTCTATATTTTTCAGGGTGTACTACCTTTTCTTCTGCCCAGGTTATGGACTTGTCATGTGAAGTGATGTGTCCAACGAGTAGTTAGGTTCTTGTCTGATTTGATTTTTTTCTTTTTGAGACAGTCTCATTATGTTGTCCAGGCTGCAGGTTGGACTGAAACTCCTGGAATCAAGCAATTCTCTCCACTCAGCCTCCTGAGTAGCTGAGACCACAGGCATCTGCCACTGTGCCAGGCACTGTCCACTTTTTACTCTGTGTCCATTAGGAGAAAAATGTGCCCTGGGAAGTGTTTGTCCAAGGGGATCATGGACACTGTGGAATTCTTTTGAACCCTACTCTAAGCCCAAAGCCAAGTCCAGCTCCCTGAAATCTGATGCAGTGATGCTCCAGTTGTTGCACAGACCATGAGTACAAAAAATAATTGTTTACTATTATAGATAACTAAATTTTGAGTAGTTTGTTATCTTGTTTATTGCAACAGTAGCAGAATAATTTAGCGTGGCACTCAAATCAAGTAGATGGTCATTGCTCTTTGCTGTAGAATAAATGAATCTCTGCTAATTAAGTTTTGTCTATGCATTCAATGACCCTAAACAAGACATATGAAACTTCTTAAAAAGTAGTTCTGTAGTTTAAAAAATTATCTAAAAGTGTATCTATTTTAATTATTATTCAGGAAAGAAGAAAAATCCATATGTAACGGAGACATTTTTTATTATAAAAACTCATCATAATTATGTGTTTCTTCAAGATTTTGTGCAGCAATCTCAGTCCAATTTCATTGTTATGACATTTACACAATTATGTGGACCAATGAATTATGAATGTTGAAATGGGTTCATATATTCAGGAACTAAATATGTTTTTGTGAAAATGAAAACATATTGCTGATCTCAAGTGACAATAATGGAAAAGAAAATTTAACCAGCATCAGCTGTAAAAATAGTATCACTTCAATATACATGGGGTGTATTTAAGATATTCTTTTGTGCACATACAAAAAAAAATTGTGTGCACATCCAGAAACGTACACACACATATATGTATAAGTATAAAAGTTACTACCTAGGCAGTGAGCTAGACAGCAATATAGCATATAAAGACATAAATTTGCCTTAGTATAAATGGATTATGATTCCATTTAAGACTTGAGAAAGTCTAGCAACAATAGTCTGGATGTGACACATTGGGTATGATTTTTTGTATATTGTACAGAATTATTTATTTGCAAATATGTGAAATGTAATCTCCCATTTCCTTAATCCACCTATGAAAATGGCACTGATAAAAATTGAAAACAATTTTGGCAAGGAATATTTTTATTGCTCAGTATAAGTTGAAATATTTTTATGACTCTATATAGTTAAATATTAAGCTGTCCAAAATGTTCCATTATTTATGGCAATATGCTTTGCTGGCTAGATAAACTTAATACTACTAAAAATATACGTATATTTTACTTTTTACCAGATTATTTATTTATCAGAATAATGAAAAAATATTTGGGGAACAACATTTAATTTAATATAATACGATATTACATGGAAAGATGAACAAAATCATTGGAAATGCTTTTTCTCACTGTGCTTAAGTAGTCACAATTTCAGGATTCAGTGTCAAAAGAAGGATATCTTTAAAACAGTATTTCATTGTTTTCATTCCGTTTTTATTTCTATGTTGTCATCCTGTTAATATATCCCATGTCAGGTGATAATTAGGTAAATGCAGATAATTGGCAATTTTGATTGAATGTTAAAAAAACCTATTTTATTCTATATATAAATAAAAATATGTGTGACAGGGAACTAAGTGTTGTTAATAACCATGGGTATGTCAAAACACATAGTGATTTGAAAATTAGTCTAAAACAAGATACAGTTCACACACACCCACACCCACAGGAGAATTAATTCTATTATTTGCTTTTCAGTTGTATCTGGCATCCAGCATGTGCCTATTAAGAATAGTAAGTCCATTTCCCTTTTTAGAACTATCTAATTGTCCAAGGGATAAATTTAATAGTAATAGGAATATATTACTTCAAAAACTTATAAGCAAAACATTTCCTGAGCAGAAAAAAAGAAAAGAAGTAGTGAATATAAGTTGTGGATGGCCAAGAATCATATGAAAAAAAGTTCAACACCACAAATCATTACAGAAATTCAAATCAAAACCATAATGAGATACCATCTCACACGGTCAAAATGGCTATTATTGAAAAGTCAAAAAATAGCAGTTGCTGGCAACGTTGTGGAGAAAAGGAACACTTATACACTATTGGTGGGAGTGCAAATTAGTTCAACCATTGTCAAAGACAATGTGGTGACTACTCAAAGACCTAAAGACAGAAACACCATTCAATCCATCAATCCCGTTACTTGGTATATACCCAAAGGAATATAAATCATTCTGTTATGAAGACACATGCACGCATATGTTCACTGGAGCACTATTTGTAACAACAAAGACATGGAATCAATCTAAATGGCCATCAATGATAGACTGAATAAAGAAAATGTGGTACATACACGTTAAGGAATACTATGCAGCCATAAAAAAGAAGAAAATCATGTCCTTTGCAAGAACACTGATGGAGTTGGAGGCCATAATCCTTAGCAAACTAATGCAGGAACAGAAAACCAAATGTTACAAGTTCTCATTTACAAGTATGAGCTAAATGATGAGATACATAGAGGAGAAAAACACACACTGGGGCCGATTGGAGGGTGGAAGGTGAGAGGAAAGAGAGGATCAGGAAAAATAACTAATGGGTACTAGGCTTAATATCCGGATGATGAAATAATATGTACAACAAATCCCTGTGATACAGGTTGACCTATGTAACAAGCCTGAAGATGTACTCTTGAACTTAAAACTAAAAACGAAAATAGTGTTGTTTTACAGAGAACAGGACACTTATCTGTGTAGTCCTGGGTAAGTTTCTTAATATTAGTTATAATTATGTCACAACTTTTCTCATATTTACTTTCAGACTATTTTTGAAATGTTTCACTGAGAATTAAACCATCTCCTAAATGATTTTAACATGTGTATTGTGATATCACATATGATAAAATGTGATCACATATGATAAAATGAGGGCCCCTTATTTTATAACCATCACTGTCACAGAGATGAAAATTGTTGGCTATATTCTTTCAGGATGCTGGATGTCAAAAGCCTATGGTTTCGTGCTGCACAGTAGCAGATGTGAACTGTTTTCCTCCCTTTTTTCACACACTCGTTTACTCTTGTCACTCTGAACTCTCATTCTCCAATTGGCTCTAGGCTCAGGGCCACAGAGAAACCATTTAAATATCACATTTAAGCCACCAGATACACCCTATTAAACAATCTACTGAATTGTGAAGTTGGAGCTCAAGGCTTGTTAATAATCTAGTGCTTTTGCATTTTGTTTTTCTTCTTCATTTTCCCTTAATCAGAGTCTCAATACTCTGTTGAGAATCTCAGGAGAAGAAATGTTGTCTTAACTGGTAACAATCCAGTATTCATGAGTTCTAGGATAATTATATTTAATATTACTTTGTGTCTGAAATGTACAATAGTATAATGATATGGTTTCCAGAATACATCTTGCTGATATTAAAATACAATTGAAATCCAGTGCATAAACTGCATTTCTGAGAACCGTCCCACAACAATATTTTTTATGATTTTCTCTAAAAGAGATTTTCTCTGAAAGATATATGGGCAGTATCTGAAAGCAAAACTTTGGAATTGTTTAGAAAATAACAATAAATTAATTACAATTAAAACAATTTTATGTGTGTTGTTTTAAATTTGCTTTTTAGTGCCTTTACTCATTTACGTGTCTTGCATTTTGTAGCTTTTTTTTCTTCCTTTGGACTCAGCTGTCATCTCCCTTAAATGAACCAATCCTGGTTATATGGACAAGTTAAGCTTAATCATTTAATTGTAATGTTTGCATCACAGTAGTATTATGGGTTTAACTGTATTCTCCCCAAACTCATATGCTCAAGTCCCAACCCCTAGTACTCGAGAATTTGACTACATTTGAAGATAAGGTCTTCAATGAAGTGATGATGTTAAAATGACGCCTTTAGTTTGTTCCCTAATTCAATCTGACTAGTGTGTTCATAAGAAAAAGAAATTTGGACAAACCAAGAGACACCAGAAACGTACAAGCACAGAGACAAACATTTGAGGATATAGAAAAAGGAAGTCATCGGCAAGTCAAGGAGAGAGGCCTCAGAAGAAACCAAACTTGCCTCCAAGTTCACCTTAAACTTCTAACCTCCAGAACTGTTAAAAAAAATGTGTTTTTAGCAACACAATCTGTGATAGTTTGCTAAGGCAGCCCTAACTAACACAAATAGTAAGCAGGAATCTTGCCATTTTAGGGTTTTGGCTAATTGTCCTATTTTAGGAGGCAAAGTTCAAGTGAAAAGTAGTTTTTCAAATACATAGCGCATTCATCTTCTCAAGGAATGAGAAGATGCATTGTTTTTCACAAAAATTGCAATAATTAAAAACCATTGGAAACAACTAAGTCCAGTGACCTAGAAGCAAAGGATCAGAGGCATAGTTCACATTTGATAAATGTTCTTGATTGTTCACCTATTAAATCAGGTAAACAAAGAGCAAATGTATCTATCAGACACCAGTCTAAACTCTTTATATTGGTTATGTCTTGGTTATGACATATATATTATGACAAATATATTATTAAAAATGCATGTCCTATATGACTATGATATCAAATTATCCTTTTGTGTGTCTATATTATAAAATATAAATTGTATTAATTTATATTTGTATTAATTGGTAAAAATATTTTAAAAGTAAAACTAAATATTTTAAATAAAACTATATATTTTAAATAAAATAAAAATAATCAAAAACTAAATATTTTAAATAAAACATTTGAAATAAAACTAAATATTTTAAAACTAAAAATGAAATTGCCTACATGTGAGTGTGTATAGTGTTTTATAGTCATACGTTAAAAGCAAACAAAAAACCTACCTCTACAAACAAACAAAGCTTTTTTCTTAAAAAAAATCTTTCTCTGTTTACTAATTTCTTAAAATATCACAAGAATATAAGAAGCAACTTTGAGAAATGAATTTCTAATAAAGCAAAATTAACTTCAACGTTATGTAAAACCTATCAGTATTTATTCTTTTGTCTGTTCATTCATTTATTCAATAGATATCATTGATGACCTATTATGTGCTAAGTAGTATGCTTTATACTGTGAGGAGAACTTTGAAATATTCTTACCTTAGAAATGGTCCCTTACCTTCTAGAGTACAAACCACATCGAATGAATAGCTCTATCATTTCCCCCCAACCCTGGCAAGTAATAGAGTTTTGAAACAATGCCATTATTTAATAGCCATTTGTAGCTAATAATAATCTAATTCATTTTTATTACTTAGGAAACCAAATATCAACAATTTAACTATAGTTATCACTGTTTAAGGGGAGAAATTGCAAATTCTGGAGCAGAACATTCCTTAGTTTGCATACTAGCTTTGCTTTGAAAAAGTGTCATTATTTCGAACAGGTTTCTTAAACTGTCTTTAAAACCTGTTTCTTATGTGTAAACCCTCAGACTAACACTTACTTTGAAGCTTGATTTAAAGTCAGAGATCATGGATTTCAGTGCTCAAGCGAGAAGAGTGTCACATCCACAGGTACAAGGTGATTCCAGCTCCAGCCACGATGACCAAGATTGTTTGCACGACTTTCTGGGGAAGAAGGTCCGCATTAAATGCAACACGGATGACACCATCGGGGACCCTAAGAAGCTGATTGCGTCCCAAACTGGCACCCTGCTGGACAAGAGTGTCCTGAACAAGTACACTATTTTTAACAATCACATGTCCTTGGGGGACTATGAAATTGAGGACTAAGCTCTGATTTTTTATCTTGCCCACATTCCTACCTAAGGGGTCTAGGGAGTCATGCCCTACAAACCATAAATTCTCATCAGATAGGTTTTATTTGACCCTATATATTGTAACTTACTTTTCATTCTATCTGTGGCATTACATAACACATAGAAAACATAACACAAGGAAACATACTTAACATCAAAATACATCTCTTCATCATACCTTGAAATTGCTCTGCAAAGTCTCTTGTGATAAAATCCACATTCTCTAGAGAATCCCATTTCTCCTTCCTTTCTTTCCAGATCCAGGAAATGATCAACTAAGAGACAGGCCCCTTTTAGGTCTGCTAAGAAGCATTTTACAACCTGTTCTCTCTCTCTGAAGCCTGCTACCTGAGAGACTCTTCTGCACAACAAAACTTGGTTGCCACAATCCTTTATCATAACCTGAACATTTCTTTCCATTAATCCCAGGTCTTCAAATAAACTCAGTCAATTGTCAACCAGAAAATGTTTAAATGTACCTGTAGCCTGGAAGCCCCCACTTTGAGTTGTCCTACCTTTCTGAACCAAACCATTGTATTTCTTAAATTTATTTGATTGATGTCTCATGCCTTCCTAAAATATTTAAAACCAAGCTGTACCCCGACCACCTTGGGCACATGTTCTCAGGAACTCCTGAGGGCTGTATCATGGGCCATGGTCACTCATATTTGGCTCAGAATAAATCTCTTCAAATTATTTTACATAGTTCAACTATTTTCATCAACAAAATCCACAATTGGATGAACCTGGAGCTTAATTATCTACAGATTAGAATTCCTTCCCACTGCCTCACCCTCCTCCTCTCCCACCCTCCCCCAAATACTGGTATAGGTGCTTTTGTGTGTGTGTGTGTGGCAGGGTCTCACTCTGTCACACAGGCTGAAGTGCAGTGGCGCAATCTTGGCTAACTGCAGCCTCGACATCCCTGGCTCAAGAAATTCTCTCGCCTCAGCCTCCCAAATAGCTGGAACTTCAGGCTTGCCCCAACACTCCTGGCTAATTTAGTTGTTTTTATTTTTTAATTCCTTGGGACCAGGCTTTCCAGGCTGGTATCGAACTCCTGAGCTCAAGCAATCTGACAAATTCAGCCTACACAAAGTGGTGGAATTATAATCATGAGCCATAGCACCTGTCCTGGTTGCATGCTTGGTATTCCAAATTCATGTTAATAAAAACTTACTTGTTGAAAAAAATATTAAAGATAGAGTCAGAGATCATTAAGTTCATGACACCTGTCAGGCATGTATTTATAAATTATATTTATTTTTATTTTTTAAAGTAACAGTATTCAACTTAGTGTATTAGTCAGGGTTCTCTAGAGGAACAGAACTAATGGACTGTGTATACATAGATATATATATACACAAACACACACACACATACAGTGTGTGTGTGTGTATCTATCTATATATCTATATAGATATCTATCTGTATACAGATATACATATATATGTATATATATCTAAATATCTATCTATATATATCTACATATATATCTAGATATATACAGAGAGATACACACACACAAAATAAATATATATATACACAGTCCATTAGTTCTGTGCCTCTAGAGAACCCTGACTAATACACTAACTTGAATACTATTACTTTAAAAAATAAAAATAAATATAATTTATTAATACATGCCTGGCAGGTGTCATGAACTTAATGATCTATGTAGATAGATATATATAGATAGATATACACACACACATAAGTTTAAGTATTAACTCACATGATTATAAAGTCCCACAATAGGCCATCTGCAGGCTGAGGAGGAAGGAAAGCCAGTCTGAGTCCCAAAACTGAAGAACCTGGAGTCTGAAGTTTGAGGGCAGGAAGCATCCAGCACAGGAGAAGGATGTACACTGGGAGGCTAGGCCAGTCTCTCTTTTCATATTTTTCTGCCTGCTTATATTCTAGCCAGTCTGGCAGCTGATTAGTTTATGCCCACCCAGATTAAGGGTGGGTCTGCCTTTCCCAGCCCACTGACTCAAATGTTAATCTCTTTTGGCAACACCCTCGCAGACACACCCAGGATCAATACTTTGTATCCTTCAATGTCATCAAGTTGACATTCAGTGTTAACCATGATGACTTAGTCAAAACATAATTATATCAGAACACATATATTAAAATAACTTTAGGGGGTTCCAAGATGGCCAAATAGGAACAGCTCCAGTCTACAGCTCCCAGGGTGAGAGATGCAGAAGATGGGTGATTTCTGCATTTCCAACTGAGGTATGGGGCTCATCTCACTGGGGTTTGTCAGACAGTGGGTGCAGCCCACAGAGCAGGGTGGGGCATCACCTCATGCAGGAAGCACAAGGGGTCAGGGAATTCCTTTTCCTAGCCAAGGGAAGCTGTGACAGATGGTACCTGGAAAATTGGGACACTCCTACCCTAATACTGTGCTTTTCCAGTAGTCTTAGCAAATGGCGCACCAGGATATTATATCCCGCACCTGGCTCGGAGGGTCCCACGCCCACAGAGCCTCGCTCACTGCTAGCACAGCAGTCTGAGATTGAATTGCAAGGCAGCAGCAAGGCTGGGGGAGGGGCGTCCACCATTGCTGAAGCTTGAGTAGGTAAACAAAGGGGCCAGGAACCTTGAACTGTGTGGAGCCCACCGCAGGTCAAGGAGGTATGCCTGCCTGGGCATAGCTGAACAAAAGGCAGCAGAAATTTCTGCAGACTTAAACGTCCTGGTCTGACAGCTTTGAAGAGAATAGTGGTTCTCCCAGCATGGAGTTTGAGATCTGAGAACAGACAGACTGCCTCCTCAAGTGGGTCCCTGACCCCTGAGTAGCCTAACTGGGAGACACCTCCCAGTAAGGGCCGACTGATACCTCATACAGCCAGGTGCCCCGCTGAGACAAAGCTTCCAGAGGAAGGATCAGGCAGCAACATTTGCCATTCTGCAATATCCTTGACGAACATCAATGCAAAAATCCTCAGTAAAATACTGGCAAACTGAATCCAGCAGCCAACAGACACATGAAAAAATCATCACTGGCCATCAGTGAGATTAAAACCACAATGAGATACCATCTCACACCAGTTAGAATGGCAATCATTAAAAAGTCAGGAAACAACAGATGCTGGAGAGGATGTGAAGAAATAGGAAAACTTTTACACTGTTGGTGGGACTGTAAACTAGATCAACCATTGTGGAAGACAGTGTGGCGACTCCTCAAGGATCTTGAACTAGTAATACCATTTGAGCCAGTAATCCCATTACTGGGTATATACCCAAAGGACTGTAAATCATGCTGTTATAAAGACACATGCACACTTATGTTTATTGCAGCACTATTCACAATAGCAAAGACTGGGAATCAACCCAAATGTCCAGCAATGATAGACTGGATTAAGAAAATGTGGCACATATACACCATGGAATACTATGCAACCATAAAAAGGATGAGTTCATGTCCTTTGTAGGGACATGGATGAAGCTGGAAACCATCATCCTGAGCAAACTATCACGAGGACAGAAAACCAAACAGTGCATGTTCTCACTCATAGGTGGGAATTGAACAATGAGAACACTTGGACACAGGCTGGGGAACATCACACACCAGGGCTTGTTGTGGGGTAGGGGGAGGGGGGAGGGATAGCATTAGGAGATATACCTAATGTAAATGGGTGCGGTTCATGGGTGCAGCACACCAACATGGCACATGTATACATATGTAACAAACCTGCACATTGTGCACATGTACCCTAGAACTTAAAGTATAATAAACAAAAAATAATTAAAAAACTTTAAAATAAATATTGGCTTTCCGATCTTTATGCTCAGTTTTAAGAATTTCATTTCTAAATATTCTGCATTTCATTTTGCAAATATATGAACTTATTATTATAATTGGCTGTATTTACCAGACTTAAACACAATATTCTGTTTGTTCCTTTGGTTCTAGTCTTTGATTTCCAAGTACCATTCTAACAAGACTCAAATAATGACAACATTTATTTGTGAGAACTTTTATAAATTTATGAATGAAAACAACTGTGTTTTTAGCTCATTTTTAATCTTTCCTCATATGCTTCTGTTTTTGGTGTTTTTATTGTGAGGGGTGTGTGTGTGTGTGAGTGTGTGTGTGTGTTTAAAGTGAATGTTCTATCAGATTCCATTTCTCCAGGGCATGAGTTTCTTTTGTGAGTTTTTATATTCCACAGGAAAAGGATTACTTTCAACTTGCAAATGGTCTGCCACTTTACATTTACTTGAAGCAGGTGCAGTTTTAGCTGCTTTCCAGTTGTAAGATTTAATTTTTGGAGAGTTTGGGTATGGATTTTGACCGGTTAAAAAGAAACATATTCATTACTTGCCATTTTACTTTTATTTTGATAGGAAAAACATAGAACACATTCTGCAGTATAATGCTAGTCAAGTGATTTAACCTATAAGACAAATAAACCTTACCATGAAATGCTTTGGTTTTATTTTTGTTTTTGTTTTGGGGAGGGGGACAAATGCTAATAGAGTTTTAGCCAATTCTGTGAAATCTGTAAGATAAAACAGTGATTTATTATACAATTATGCAAATTTAATATCTGGAAATATTTAAAATTTATCATTTAGGATAAATACTAATCAATCACAGCCCTCATATTCCTTTTACATAAAGTTGTGCTGTGATAAATGATCTTTCCTCAGTATCTTCTGGAAAGTGGTATCAACATCATTGATACATTAAAAAAGGAAAAAATAGACAATTAGCACTTGATGAGTTGCATGACAATAACATGCTTTTTGCGCTTCATTAAAAGATATTTTATAAAACGCTGAAAACACTCAGATAGTCCTACATGAATCTCCAAACTGTCTTTAAGCAGACTGGCTATGCTTTGACTGTCTTGTGAAGCCTCCTTTAATTATCACATGACTTTATGGGTATGCCCATATAACTACTCTTTGACAATTCTATCCAAATTTAAGTTGTACTAAGTACCATGTCATTTAGAAGAATTGGTTCAAAATATTTTTTGAGTAATATACACTTCTCTAATTTAGAACAGTGTTTCTATTACTTTGTATAGTTTTTTGAACACCTAGTTATTTTTCTGTTTTGTCTTCTAAGTAGGATTTTATTTGTTCTAGTTTTCAAATGACCTTTAGTCATGTTAGAATATCTAATTATTTTAAAAATACAAAGTAATTACTTCTTTGTGATAAAAATTTTGGACCTCCTAGAAGAAATAAATGGACTCAGGTTAAGAATCCCAACTTTGAAAAGTTTTCAGACTTAGAAAGTGGTAACCCATTTATCTCACCTATTTCTAATATTTTCTAAAATATGTTTTCAAGACTGCTAAACATGCTATACATTGTTTTATTATTAGATTTACTGTGATTAAAATTAACCAGCCCCCAAATCTGAGGGTTAGATGATGTTGCATATGGTTTTTCTTTTATTTCAGAAAATGAAATTCCCCTTGCATATAAAGAAAATATACGTAGATTCCAGACATTTTAAATACTGTATCTAATATAATATTTATTGACTTATAAAATAGAACAATTCCATTTCATTGAGGAAGATTTTATTATTATTTAGCCTTTAAGAAAATTTATGTTATATTATCAGCTCAATTTTCCTTTTTTCGATAAAATGTAAGCACATATGCATTATTGGATGTCACTGACAAATCTAAAGGTAGAATCTCGCCTTTGAATGTAAAAAGAAGGTATATTTTTCATTGTGTTGATGCTAGTAAACCACAATATTTTACACTTTCCTAGTAATTTAACTGTATGATTTTTACTTAATGTTTTACTATAATTTTTTTCTTTTAATTGTTATTGTAACTTGAGTATTCACTCTCATAAAATTTCTCTTTCATTTGTTTTGTTTATAAAAGCTGTTGACTAGTTTGATAATTTTAAATAATATCATTTTATTATATGGTGTCTGTTTTGAATAGCTTTTGTATTGAATTTTGGATTTACCAAAACATAATTATACAATCTCCTGATAAATATGGTTGTATTTAATTTTCAGTAATTCAGACTAAAACTCCTTTTTCTTATCTAATTGCTTTAGCTAATGTCTCTATTACTGAGTAAAATTTTACTAATCATAATGAACATCTTTGTCTTATTCTTAACCTGAGTGGAAATAAGAATTTCATTTCTGATGTATAAAAAAGAAGAGCATTTCACTTTTTTCTTGGCAAATTAGTAATTTCAATTTTATTGATATGATGTTGGAAAATGGAAAAAATAAGGCGGAGTGCTCTTGTTAAAGAAACCCATGAGTTTTGTCTCAATAAATTTTATTGTACACAAGAATTTATGTCTCTGCATTAGAATTCATTTCAAATGGCAGAGTAAATATAAAATATAAAATCCACAACAGTTCTAGAATTACAAATAATAACTTATTGTTGTTGCTTTTAGGAGTATTCCATTTCTATAAGTTCTATAACAAATTAGATTAAAGGATGGTCAAGTCCGAAGACCTAAGAACTCTACCACTCAACACTGAAGAGAAAACAAGGCCATCAAAAATACTCGATAACATTTTTTTCATTTGCAAACTGTAAGTGGGAGAATTGGGAGATGGAACAAGCATGTGGGTTTTTGTTCCAAAATAATAACTTAAACAGTAACAAAGCCACTCTGATATAATGAATATAATGCAGGATTAAAAAGTGGTTTCACCTCTTTAATAAAAATAAATATTGTGTAGAAAAACCTGTTCAAATGTGGGTCCTCACTATTCCCTGTTTTTCTCTGTTGAACCATGGGGTGAAGATATTTCTTTTTCTTATCAGAATTTGTATCTATACCTAGAGAGAGAGATTCCATAGTTAAGTAAGAAAAACAGTATAAGTACCAATATTGATCAAGCACGCTTTGAACTACAAATAAGAAAAATATATCTTTGATATATTTTAAATAATATTATATTTAATATGTATAAATAGCTTGAATATTTTTTAAAAATCAAAATACCTTAATTATAAAATATAGATGCAATACTGTAAAAATGTTTTTAGGGAAAAATGTAATTTTTGAAATGTGCAGACTATCATCATCCATATTGTATCATAAACAACCACAATAAAAGCAAAATTAAGTAGATGATGAGATATTTGTTTGGGAAAGAAGTAATTAGAGGTTTCATATAATAAAGAAAAAACTTGGAAGAAAAACTCCACAAATGGCATGAGTAACAGAATGTACAGTATAAAGAATAAACTGGGATCCATGGACAATAGATTCAGATAATTTTGAATACATTTGATAGGAAATATAGTAGAATATATCAGAGGTAAGATGGAAAGTAATATTTAGATTACTAAAACATCCATAAGTGTTCAGTTTTGTATAAAATTTTTACAGCAGTCAAGTGTTCATATGTTGCCAATTTAAATATTAAAATGCAAATCTATACTCCTGTTGTTCCTGAGTGGTATCAAGTAGATTATGCTGCTACCTGACACAGTGATATACTCTAATTATCCCGTAAAAGTAACATTAACCTCTAAAACTCCTCGATACAAAAGAGTTTAACAGAAGAGTTCATTATATAAAAGTACTTAGAAATAATTTTTTAAATGAATGAATTCTAAAGACTTTAAAAATCTTCAAAATAGTAGTTCAATACATTTCTATAGATATTGTAGTTTGCACTACTTTTAATGTGTTCATTAAAAAAATTATTACTATCCAAAACATTCCGTAATCCCTTAGCACAACTTGCTAAGGATTTCTTGAGGTTAATAAAAAGTTAATAGTGGCTTCTTTATAACCAGGAAAATTTTATAAAACTGTAATTGATAGTCTTATCAAAGTATATATTATTTAGCTTGCTATGTATTACAAGAAATGTACTTTCTATCAAATGAAGATGACTATTTTCTGACTCATTATTATCAGACTCTGAAATTTGAAGTTTTGATTATTTTATCTGCAAGTCATAGATATGATGTTGAAATATATGAATTAAAGTTAAAAAATCACTCATCTGTCCTAAGTCTGAAAACATAATATTTTAAAGATTGTTAAGGCATAGCTAAGAAATAATTTACAACTGAACTGTGAAAAGTAGCATGCATAATGGATAATTCTTTTTAACAGACATATCCTAAATTTAATGAGTATGTACTAAAGCTATTGTTCTTTGCTTATTAATTTTATTATTTGATAAATCTATTAATTATTAACATTTAATTCCATTTATAATTTTGATAGGAGAAACATTATACCAGTCTATTCAGTTTTTGATAAACTAAACATCATGAACTGTGATAGCAACACATCAATTATTGACAAACATGGTGAAAAGTTTGTCATCATCATCAACATCATGGTGTTTTTTAACTTTGTACAAATATTGTTAACTTTTTGCATTCTTACTTTCCCCAGGCTAGATATTTTTTATTATATTATTACATGATGAAGTGCAAAAGAAAGAATGAATGTGTTTTATTTTCTTCCTCTTTTAAAGTCAGAATTATTGAGATATAATTTACATAAAGTAAAATTCATTCTTTAAAGGTTTACTCTTTCTGTACAGACAGTCACTTTTTTCTTAAAAGTTAATGTTGCCTATCTATCACAAAAAAGGCCCAATAAATGGGAATTATCTCAATTTCCTCTCCCCAGTTCCTCCAGAATATGTTCTTGTTGTTCCTTCTTCTTATGTTATAGACTGCGATCTAGGAGGAGGAGTCCTTCTTTCTTCCTACCAAAAATCCCTTCCTATTGTGAATAATGCCGCAATAAACATACGTGTGCATGTGTTCACAATAGCAAAGACTTGGAACCAACCCAAATGTCCAACAATGATAGACTGGATTAAGAAAATGTGGCACATATACACCATGGAATACTATGCAGCCATAAAAAATGATGAGTTCATGTCCTTTGTAGGGACATGGATGAAATTGGAAATCATCATTCTCAGTAAACTATTGCAAGAACAAAAAACCAAACATCACATATTCTCACTCATAGGTGGGAATTGAACAATGAGATCACATGGACACAGGAAGGGGAATATCACACTCTGGGGACTGTTGTGGGGTGGGGGGAGGGGGGAGGGATAGCATTGGGAGATATACCTAATGCTAGATGACGAGTTAGTGGGTGCAGCGCACCAGCATGGCACATGTATACATATGTAACTAACCTTCACAATGTGCACATGTACCCTAAAACTTAAAGTATAATAATAAAAAAAAAATCCCTTCCTTTCCACCCCTCACCTTCCACCCTCTGGCTCTGGGTCCCATTCCATTCGCCATCTCAGCAAACTTAGGCTACATTTTACCCCAACTTTCTTTCCATCAGCATTGTCAGGTCTTTCTTCTCTACCATTTCTATTAGCATATATACACGCTCCATTTATTTTTATCTAAAGACAAGCAATAAAAAAAATTAAACTCTAAAACAACACATATGTTGTTAGCTCCGATCTACCTCCTGAAAGTATTGTCTCTTTTCACAGCCCCAGCTGCCAACAGCTTCACTCCTATTTACTCCCCAACTCCTCCTCCACTTCCTCCATCCCCCTACTGAAAACATTCTCATTCAGGCTTGTTCTAGTCATTAGAAAAAGGAGTCAAAGGCCGGGCGCGGTGGCTCATGCCTGTAATCCCAGCCCTTTGGGAGGCCGAGGTGGGCAGATCACCTGCGGTCAGGAGTTCAAGGCCAGTCTGGCCAGCATGATGAAATCCCGTCTCTACTAAAAACACAAAAATTAGCTGGGCGTGGTGGTGCATGCCTGTAATCCCAGCTACTTGGGAGGATGAAGCAGGAGAATTGCTTGAATATGGAGGCGGAGTTTGCAGTGAGCCAAGATCGCGCCACTGCATTCCAGCCTGGGTGACAGAGTGATACTCCATCTCAAAAAAATAATAATAATAAAATAAAAATAAACAAATAAAAAGGAGTCAAAGAGAGAAATGTAGAATGTGTAAGACAAGCCTGCAATAGTCCGCTAGGGCAGCCACAATAAAATACCACAGGCTGGGTGGCTTAAACAACAGAAATTTATATTTCACAGTTCTGAAGGTGTAAGGCAAAGATCAAAATGTCAGCAGGTTTGGTTTCTCCTGAATTCTCTCTCCTTGGTTTGTACTCTCTGCATCCTCCCAAGGTTTTTTCTCTCTGCACCAGCATTTTTGGTGTTTCTTTTTTCTTTTTGTGAGGACAACAATTCCATCAACTAAGGACACCACCCTACGGACTCATTTAATTTCAATTACTTCTTTAAAGGCCCTATGTTCCAGTACAGTCACAATGGGGGTTAGGTCTTTATTATATAAGCTTTGGGGTACATAGTTCAGATGAAAATGCAATCTCATGACTGTGATTGCTTTCTTTTTACATTTACTGAGATGCCAGACACTCCTATAGGGTGTGTTATTGCCCCTGAAGACTTTCCAGATGTGGAGGTGGCAGACAGTGATATTGATGATTCTGACTCTTTGTAGATCTAGGCTAATGCATGTGTTGTGTCTTAGCTTTCAACGCAAAAGCTTAAAAGAAAAAAAAATTAAAATTAAAATAGAAAAATGCATGCAGAGTAAGGGTATACAGAAAATATTTTGTATAGCTATACAATGTACTTGTGTTTTAAGCTAAGTATTACTTCAAAAGAGTAAAAAAACTAGATTAAAAGTTTATAAGGTTAATGGTTCCAGTAAGCTAAGGTTAATGTGTTATTGAATAAATATTTCTTGTAAATTTAGAGTAGTCTGAGTGTACAGTGTTTATAAAGCCTTCAGTACTGTACAATATTGTCCTATGCCTCACATTCACTCACTGACTCAAGTAAAGCAACTTCCAGCCCTGCAAGCTCCATTCATGATAAGTGTCTTATTCAGGAGTAGCATTTATTGGTCTTTTATACTGTATTTTTAATATACCTTTTGTATGTTTAGACATACAGATCTTTACTGTTAAATCACCAACAGCATTCAGCACAGTAACCTGCTGTACAGATTTGTAGGCGAGGAACAACAGGCTACACTATATTGCCTAGATGTGTAGTAGGCTATCTGCATCTAGGTTTGTGTGAATACACTCTGCGAATTTCCCACAAAAATGGAATCACCTAAGGATACACTTTTTCAGAGCGTGACCCTATGGTTAAGTAACCATGACTATATCTTAATAGAATATCATCCTATATTCTATCTAGTATTTCTGTTTATATTCAATAATTTTTTAAATGTATATAAAACATGAAAAGTATTTAGTTTGCCAAAAACATAAATATATATTTGTATATAATAATATAAATATATATTTATATATAATGTATATGTATTTGTATAACAAATACATATGTGTGTGTATATATAAATAAAACAATTATCCTCTTATGGTTTATTAAAAATTCTGTTTTTCCCAACTGATTCGCAATGCCCAATATGTTGAATATCACACACACCATCTGCAGAGTACATTTGTTTTAGTATTACATATTGCTTTCCATGGATATCATCACATTACATAACGCTGTTTCACTATTCCAGCTTAAAAATTCTTATTATTTTTTATTGCTTTAATTGTTCTTGGTAATTTATTTTCCTAAGATATTTATTATAACTGTGAATTTGTAACTAATGTCATGTTGGAGTTATAAAAACACTAGCGTTTAAGAAAGACATTAAGAGGATAGTCTTTTGTTTCTATCTTTTAGAAAATGATTACATGCACTTATACTTACTTGTGCTGTCTGTCTTGAGTTTAGAGGTAAGAAAGTGCCTATCTATAAAGAATAATTCTTTAATTTTATTAGTAAAAGATATAACGCTTATCTGATATGCATTGTTTTTAATTCTGTGAACTTATATAATTTGTTCTATTATCTGTTAGTGAGAAAATAACATTGATAATTGTATTTTATATTGAACCATCTTTGCATAGCTGGGATAAACACTAATTGCTAAGGAGGCATTGTAGTATATCATTGCTCTGTTTAATTGTATTTGATAATATTTTAATAACTAAATATTTCAATAACTATATATTGATAGAATAATTATAATTAATTTGCTTATATCATCCAGTAGAAACTTGTAAAACTTACAAACTGACTCTAAAATTTACTTAAACAGCAAACAATAGCTAAATACTTGGAAAAAATAAATTGAGAGGGCTTACTATAAAGTGGCAATAATCAAGATAGTGCCATTCTGGCAAAAGTTTAGAAAGATGGATAAAGTGAGGAGAATAATGTCCAAAAGTTAATAAACAGATATACGGCCGACTGATTTGTAACAAGGATATCCAGTAATTTCATGTCAATATGAAAGTCTTTTTAAGAAATGGTGCTGAAACAATTTAATATCTGTATAATTAAAAATTGACAATTACTGCCGGATGTGGTGGCTCACGCCTGTAATCCCAGCACTTTGGGAGGCCAAGGTGGGCAGATCACAAGGTCAGGAGATGGAGATCATCCTGGCTAACACGGTGAAACCCCATCTCTAAGAAAAATATAAAAACAACAACAAAAAAATTAGCCTGGCTTGGTGGTGGACGCCTGTAGTCCCAGCTACTCTGGAGGCTGAAGCAGGAGAATGGCATGAACTCAGAAGGCGGAGATGGCAGTGAGTGGATATGGTGCCACTGCACTCCAGCCTGGGCAACAAAGCAAGACTCTGTCTCAAAAAAACAAAAACAAAACAAAACAACAACAACAACAAAAACTGACAATTACCCCACAGGATGTACATGAAAATTGAAAATGTGTAAGAGATGGAAATATGAGCAGTAAAATAACAAAGCCTCCAGCAAAAGCATAGGAAAAAGCCATAACAATGATCTTGTGACCTTTGGACAGGTAAATGTTTCTTATAGCATACAACAAGAAAATGAATTAGAAAATATAGTCTTTGGGGGGAAAAAAAGAAAGACACTTTTGCTCTTTGAAAGCACTTAAAATAAAAAGGCAAGCCACATAATTGGTGGGTTTTGGAAATTTGGAAGTCTGAATAAGACTTTTGTCATATAAAATATATATACAAATTATATATGTATATGATCTACCTATGTGAGTATATATTATATGTAATATATGCACATACATATATAAAATAATTAACTCAGTATTTTTAAAGATACCCACTGTTTAAAACATGACTAAAACATTTAAAGAGATAATTTACAATTGGAGATAAATTATGAAAACCATAAACTAATGATAGACAATAGTACTCTTTAGGCTGTTTCCATAGCTTGACTATTATGAATAGTCCTGAAACAAACACAGGAATGCAGATACATATATATATATATATATATATATTTTTTTTTTGACATACTCTTTCCTTCCTTTTGGAGATATAACCAGTAGTGGGATTATTGGGTCATATGGTAGTTCTATTTTTAGTATTTTGAAGAGCCTTCATACTGTTTTCTATAATGGCTGTACTAATTTACATTCCCACCAGCAGTGCATAAGAGTTCCTCTTTCTCTGCATCCTTGCCAGCATTCATTTTTTTTCTTTTATTAACAATAGTTTTACTAACTGGAATGAGGCAATATCTCATTGTGGTTTTGATTTGCAGTTCTCAGATGATTAGTCATTCTGAGCTATATAAAAATATACCTGTTGGCATTTGTACGTCTTCTTTTGAGAAACGTCTATGCAGATCTTTTGCCCAACTTTTAATTGGATTATTTACTTTTTATTTATTTATGTTTTTGGCTACTGGGCTGTTTGAGTTCCTTAAATATTCTGGATATTAACATTTGTCAGACTTTGCAAATACTTTCAGTTTTTGCAAAAACTTGTCAGTTTGCAAATACTTTCTCCCATTCTATATATTGTCTTTGACATCCTGATTTCATTTCTTAGATAGATAAATACTCAGAAATTGAATTGCTGGAAGTAGGATTGCTTACAATGGCATATTACATATGAGAGTTCTCTTTTTAATTGTTTGAGGAATCTCAAAACTGTTTAAATACTGGCTGCACCATTTTTACACTCCAACCAACAGTGTGCAAAAGTTCCAATATCTCCAGATACCTGCTAACACTTGTGGATTTTTTTTGTTGTTTTGATAATAGTCATCTTCTTAGCTATGAGGTGATATCTCATTGTGGTATTTCTCTGATGATTTGTGAGGTTGATCATCTTCGCATATACCTGTTGGCCACATGTCTTTCTTCTTTTGAGAAATGTCTATTCAGGTTCTTTGCCCAGTTTTAATCAGGTTTTTGTTTGTGTTGTTGTTTCTTTTGTTTTTTGCTATTGAGTTGTATAAGTTTCTTATGTATTTTGGAAATTAACCTCTAATCTGATAAATGATTTGCAAATATTTTCTTTGATTCTGTAGGCTGCCTTTTTATTCTGTTGATTGTTTCCTTTACTGTGCATAAACATTTTGGTTTGATGTAGTCCCACTTGTGTATTTTTGTTTTTGTTGCCTGTGCTTGGTGTCATATCCATAAAATTATTGTCCAAATAAATGACAAGGAGCTTTTCCCTGATTTTTTTTTCTAGAAGTTTTATAGTTTTAGGTATAACATTTAAGTAACTAGTTCATTATGAGTTAATTTTTGTGTATGGGATAAGGTAACGATATTATTTCATTATTTGGCATGTGTAATGCCAACATTTGTTGAATAGACAATTATTTTCCCACTGTTTATTCTTGACAACTCTTTGAAAGATTAGTTGCCCATATATTCATGAATTTATTTCCAAATTTTCTATTTTATTCCATTTGTCTGTATGTCTGTCTTTATGCCTGTACCATACGGATTTAATACTCTGCTTTGTAATATATTTTGAATTCAAAAAATTTAGTGCCTCCAGCTTTGCTTGTCTTTCTCAAGATTCTTTTGACTATTCAAGATCTATTGTGGTTCCATATTAATTTTAAGATTGTTTTTCCTCTCTATAAAAAAATACCATTGGGATTTTGATAGAGGTTTTTGAACATGGATGTATACATTTGTTTGTATCTTCTTTGATTTTTTTTCAGAAATATTTTATAATTTTCAATATACAAATATTTCACCTTCTTAGTCAAATTTATTCTCTCTGTTTTACTATTTTACTCTCTCTGTGGCTATTGTAAATGAGATTAGTTTTTTTTACTAGAATTTCTTTTTTGAATAGTTCATCGTTAGTGTAGAGAAACACCACTGGTTTTTGTATGTTGATTTTATACCCTGCAGCTTTACTGAGATTACCTATTCTACCTTTCTTTTTTCATAGAGTCTTTAAAGCTTGTTATATATAGAATCATATATATATATATATATATATATATATATATATATATATATAGACAGGAACACTTTTACTTCTTTTGTTATAAAGTGGATGTCTTTTACTTCTTTTTCTTGCCTATTTACTTTTACAAAAATTTTTAGTAACATGTTGAATAAAAGTAGTGAAAGTGGAAGAGTGGAGACCCTTGCATTGTTCCTGATTTTAAAGGAAAGGCTTTAGTTTTTCTCCCTTTTGTATGATATTAGCTGTGGGCTTTTTATATATTGCCTTTGATACATTTTTATCCTTTCCTTCTATGCTTAGTTTGTTGGAAGATTTTATCATGAAACATTATGACATTTTTGTCTAACAATTTTACTGCATCTATTGAGATGAACATGTAATTTTACTTTTTATTTTGTCAATGTGGTATGTCACATCATCTAATTTGTATGTGGTGAAACATGCTTTCATCCCATGTATAAATTTCACTTGGTCATGTTGTAATATCATTTTAATGGGCTGTTGAATTTGGTTTGCTAGAATTTTTCAAGAATTTCTGCATCTATATTCATCAGTAAGTTTTTGCAGGCATGGAATTCAAATTATTATCAATTTAAAGTAACTGTTGCAACTATAATATATTTTATGTAACCCCATGGTAATCACAAAAAAATACATATACAAATTGTGCCAAAGACAAAGGAGTAAAAGCATATTCATACAAGAAATCAGCAAACAGAAAAGAAGAAAATAAAAGAGGAGGAAACAGACAAAACATTGTTAATAATAAGACAAAACATTTTTAGATGGCAATAGAAAATCCTTTACTATCAGTAATATTTTAAATATAAAAAAAACAAACTAACTTCCCAATTAAAAGACATAGAGTTGCTGAATGGATAAAAACACATAACCCAACTATTAAAGGTCTATTAGAAACTCACTTTAGAACCAGCACACACAAAGGGTGAAAGGGAAGGGATGGAAAAAAGATATTACATGCAAATAGTAACCAAAAAAAAAAAGCACAAAACAGACTTAAAGAAAAAAAATAAACAATAACTTCAAGAAACAAATAAGGACATTATATGATAACAATAGGGTCAATTTTCCAGGAAGATATAACAATTACAAATATAGATATACCTAATGTCGAGTCATCTGAATATATTGAACATGCACTGGCAGATCTGAAGGAGAAAAGACAAAGCAATAAAACCATACTAAAAGACTTTAATACTTCATTTTCAATAAAGGATAGGACTTTTAGACAGAAAATCAGTAAGAAAATGGAGCATTTAAACAGCACTCCCCAAATAGACCTAACAAACATACAGATCATTCCATCCAACAACAGAGAATACACACTTTTCTCAAGTGCACACAAATTATACATTAGGATAGATCATATGTTATGTCCCAAAACAAGTCAATGAATTTGAGAAGATTAAAATTATATCCATTAATTTTTATGACCACAATGGAGTGAAACTAAAAATCAATTGCAAAAGGAAAATGGGAAAATTTGAAAACATGGAAATACACTAACATACTGTTAAACATACAATGGATGAAATGGAAGGAAATGGAAAGAGAAATTGACTAAAAACCACAATGAGATACTGTCTCACACCAGTCATAATAGCTATTACTAAAAAGACGAAAAATAACAGATGTTCGTGAGAAAAGGGAATACTTATATGCCGTTGGTGGGAATGTAAATTAGTTCAGCCACTGTAAAAAGAAAGCAGTTCTGAGGTTTTTTGAAGCACTTAAAACAGTACAGTACTACCATTCAACCCAGCAATCCAGTTACTGCGTGTATACTCAAAGGAAAATAATTAATTCCATCAAAAAAGACGCATGCACTCATATGTTCATTGCAGTACTATTCATGGTAGCAAAGACATGGAGTAAATCATGTTGTCCACTGTGAACTGGATAAGGAAAATGTGATACATATACATGATGGAATACTATGAAGCTATAAAAAAGAATGAAATTATGTTATTTGCAGCAACATGGATGCAGTTGGTGGCCATTATCTTAATTATTGCAGGAACAGAAAACCAAGTACTCCAAGTTCTCACTTATAAGTGGAAGCTAAATACTGAGTACATATGGATGGGAATAAGACACTGGGGACTTCCAAAGAGGGTAGAGAGTGGGACAATGGTTATAACACATACACCTTTTGTGTATGTGTCAATCTATTTGCGTCACTATAAAAGACCTGTAGCTAGGTAGTTTATAAAGAAAAGGCATTGAATTGGCTCATGTTTCTGATGGCTGCACAAGCATGGCTTCAGCGCTGGCTTCTGGTGAGGGCCTCAGGAAGCTTACAATCATGGCAGAAGGCAGTGAGGGAACAGCCATGTCATATATTGACAGCAACAGCAAGAGAGAGAAGGGAAAGGTCCCAGAAGCTTTAAAACAACCAGATCCTACGTGAGCTAACTGAAGGAGAATTCACTTATCACCAGGGGAATGGTGCTAAGCTATTCATGAGGGATCTGCCCCCATGATCTAATCACTTCCCACCAGGCCTCAATTCCAACCTTGAGAATCACATTTCAACATGAGATTTACAGGGAACAAACATCAAAACCACATCAGGGTACTATGTTCACTACCTGGGTGACAAGGTCTTTTGTACCTCAAACCTCAGTGCAATAAAATATACCCATGTAATAAACCTGCACACCTACCCCCGAGCCTAAAATAAAAGTTGAATTAAAAAAAATTAGAAAATATCTGAGATAAATAAAAATAAAAATACAACATATCAAGCTTATGGGATACAGCATAGGCAATTGTAAGAGGGAGGTATATTATGATAAATGTTTGCATTATAAAAAGATAAAAATCACAAATGAATAGCCTAGCTTAACATCTCTGGGAAAATAATTGATAAAGATTATAGTGGATGTCATAAAATAAGGAACAGAAAATTAATGATAAAAGTCAACAAAACCATGAATTGGTTTCTTGAAAGAATAACAAATTCACAAATCTTTATCTAGATTTCCTTAAAAAGAGGGAGAAGATGAATAAATGAAAGAGGAAATATTACAACAAATACCACAGAAATAAAAAAGAGCATAAGATATTGCTATGAACAATTATACATCAACAAATTGGATTACCATGAAGAAATACATATTCCTAGAAACAGATAATGTACCAAGACAGAATCATGAAGAAATAGAAAGTTGGAACAAACTGTAACTAGTATGGAGATTGAATCATTAATCAAATCTCTTTCAAGAAAAACCCAGGCCTGGATGGCTCTACTGGTGAATTCTACCAAACATTTAAAAAATAATTAATGCCAACCTTAACTCTTCCAAAAAAAATTGCAGAGGAAAGCATATTTCCAAACTCACTTTACGAGGGCAACAATATTCTGATACCAAAGCCAGACAAGGACACCTCAGGAAAAGAAAACTTCAGGTCAATATATAAATCTGTCTTAAAATATTAATTTAAAATATGTCTATTTTATTTTCCAGATCATATAGAAAAATCCCTTTTTTTTTTTGACAGAGTCTCACTCTGTCACACAGGCTGCAGTGCAGTGGTGTGATCTCACTACAGCCTCCACTTCCCAGGTTCATGTGAATCTCCTGCCTCAGACTCTGGAACATCTGGGACTACAGGCACCTGCCACCAGGCCCGGCTAATTTTCTTATTTTTAATTTTTAGTAGAGTTGGGGTTTTGCCATGTTGGCCAGGCTGGTCTCGAACTTCTGATTTCAAGTGATCTGCCCTCTTCAGCCTCCCAAAGTGCTGGGATTACAGGCATAAGCCACCACACCTGGCCAAATTAACAGTTTTTAACATAAAGTTTGGTAATAATATATAAGAATAAGATAGGGAAATAATAAATTTGTATGTCTCCTAAATTACATTTATTTCCAATACAGAGACAACAATGCTCTTAAATCTTAATAATTGCCTCACATTAATATGATGTAGAATATCTTTTCATTAAGACTGAAGTCACGATGTGAATAGTCTAATAACTAATAAGACCAGAGTTAAAATTTTAAATATTCCATGCTGATTTTAAAATATCTGTTAAAAATTCTACTCCTAAATTAGTGGCAGAAGCAAATTGAGAAAATAGTAAAATGTTTTGATTCAGAGAGAGTTTATTTACTTTTAATATATGATGACTTTAGTACTTCTGGTGTACGTAGGATTTTGGGACATTGATAATATAGAATAATTAAAGAGGATGATCAAAACGCCATTTTAAGGACAATAGGAAAATGAATCAAAGTATAACACATACCCATAAAAATACTTTTAGTTGCTCACAATTTTTTCTATAGTATTGTTTTTATATTTCTTAAAAGAAAAAATGCTTTAAATTTTTTATATAGAGAACTTTGGTGGTTTAAGTTATTTTAATTGTCATATAAAAAAGAAGATAGACACAATGACCTTACAATGACTTCCAGCTTTATGCTTCTTTATAGCTTTAGAATAAATATGTCTTGGTTATTGTTCCCTTACAAATAACATGTGGGAGTATGATTGCTGACATTCCATGCATAGTAATCAAGGTAGTATCTATTTTATGAGGGTGCAGATCTTAATTAAGTTTGATCCAATTGGGTCACCTTAGAAGAATAATTACAAGTCAAAGTGCCAGTGTTCAAAGTTATACTACTTATAAAATGTTTCTTATTTAATATTATTATAGTTTTCATATTACTATTATCAATATAATTATCTTTGCGCAATAAATATTTTTTAAAATTTTATTCACATTTAGGCTGTAACTTATTTTGTTCAATCCTTGGAAAAACACTACTTAATAGATTATCAGAAAAACATGGAATCCCATCAAAAAAAAAAGAACACATAAACTAGTAGATATTTTGTGATGAACTCTATCTTTTTAACACTATGCAGGATTTGTATTGTATCACATAAGAAAATTTATGAAGACATCTTAAATAGCTATTAAAATAAAGTTTATATTGTTAAGATTCATTTTTGAATTTTAAACCGGTAACTTAAAAAAAAGACCCTTTAAAAGATCTTTTTAACCTGTTCCTTGCAGAGTGTGTGTGTGTGTGTGTGTGAGAGAGAGAGAGAGAGAGAGAGAGATAAAATAGCAAATTATTCAAACTCATTTAGCAACGAAAATACAAGGTTAATTTAATGTATACACTAATTCCACGTAAGGGCTTCCATAGTCAGCTATCAGATAGAGTAGAAGCAGTAAGGAAGGAGATAAAGATAAGTAGTGCTCAGAGGGATCAATATAGGCAAATCTCAGAAAATTTTACCAAAACTCCCTTCCTGAAAATGTGGCCCCCTTTAATTTTTCAAAAGACAAGGTACAGAAACTAGAGTTAAATCTGGCAGCATAGTCATCTTGGACTTGCTTTATTTTAGAAGCACAAAGTAGGCAGGAATAGGTACAGAATTTCCCAAAGAAGCCATACATAAAAGACAAAGAAAATCTTCAGAAATAAAGATGGCCTTTAGGTTAAAAACAATTGGCCTGGAAGAATAATATGTCCTCCACCAAAATAATTTTATTTATTGTGAGTACTAAAAATGAGTTTTCATTACATACACACCAAAAATCTCTTGAATAATAATAAGGAACAATGAAATTAGGAAAATAGGAAACCATATTAAGCCCATTAGAAGAGGTTATCAGGCAGCAGAGGAAATAAAATATGTTAACAATTACTCCACCTTCAGTTCCAAATCCATAATAAAACAATAGGAAAGAAATAAATACAAAAGCTTAAATAGACCGGGAGTGGTGGCTCACACCTGTAACCCCAGCACTTTGGGAGGCCAAGGTGGGTGGGTCATGAGGTCAAGAGATTGAGACCATCCTGGCCAACATGATGAAACCCTGTCTATACAAAAAAGTAAAAATTAGCTGGGTGTGGTGGCAGGTGCCTGTAGTCCCAGCTACGCGGGAGGCCAAGGCAGGAGAATCATTTGAACCTGGGAGAGAGGGGGTGGGTTGCAATGAGCCGAGATCACGCCACTGCACTCCAGCCTGGTGACAGAGCGAGACTACAACAGGCAACTATATCCATGAAGGTGAACCATCACAAAACAGAAAAACAAGAATTCAGTAAAAAGTTGAGACCAAAGAACACATGAAAGAGGTAAAGAAAAAAACACAAAATAAAGACAATGATGTTGAAAGTGTAACAAAGAAACAATAATGTTTAAAACACCATAAGGGACACTTGGATTACAAAATAAAAATCAGTAGTGAATAAAATAAAATGAAAATGAAGAATTTTAAGATTAAGGAGAATTAATAGAGGTGGAAGGCAAAAACAAAGAAACTAAAAACCCATTCTTCAGGTCTTTTGAACTCCCCAATTAATCAAATACAAAATAAAATCTAAGAGCAATATAACATATTAATTTGGTATGGCTGTGGAAAAGTGGTGTACTCATCCATTCCTGGAGATAATGCAAATACATTGTAGCACTGAATTGCCTTCAGCAAACTACATCTGTAGACTAACCATTATTTTTGTAAACAATGATTTATTGGAAAACAGCTATTTCTATTTCGTTATATATTGGCTATGTACAGCCAAGTTTACTGGTTTCAATGAGGGTCATGTGCCCGAAAGTCTAAATTATTTATTGGGTATTGGGTGGCACTTTAAGAAAAAGGTTGACAACCTCTAATTTATAATAAAATTATTAAAATGTGTATTTATACAGGATAATTTAGACAAATTATAGCGTATCTGCATGGTAGAATACTATGCATCTGTTAAAAGAGTGACGGTGCTTTTTTGTGCTTTTATGAATAAACCTACATGTTTTTAATGGGCTACTATTTTTGTTAAAATGAATATAGTAACTGCTACCTATTTGGTTTTATAGCCATAAAGAACATGTAGAATAAAAATAAATATTCCCATAGTAACCACCTGTGGGTGTTAGAGCTTAGGTGTGGATGAGAACCTGGAAGTTAAGAAAATGGAGTTCCTGTATGCCTTCTAGGACATTTGTTTGTTTTGTTACTAAAATACCAGGGGTTTTGTCTAGGTCCTGCTGTTCACTTCACAGAAAGCCAATCACTGAGACCACAAGTATTGCCAGAAAAGAAGGTTTTAATCGGGTGCTGCAGCCAAGGAGATGGGAGCTCAGTCTCAAGTCCATTTCCCTGACTAAAACTAGGGGTTTATACAGCAGGGAAGAAATGTTACCATACGTAAGAAAACAAGAACGAGGGAGGAGCAAGGAAGCAATAATGATGAATAAGACGTCTGCATCTGGTGCTGTGATTTGGTGATTTTCATTTTTTTAATACAAGTTGCAGTTATTTGATACTTTTTTTGAGAGTACTGAAGGTCCTGTTCTGAGGAAGGAATTCAGGTAAAACAAATATATTTCAAGCTTTAAGACCAGAATGGTCAATTTCTACATTTATCCAAAAGAACAGTCTATGGAACTATTGGGTCAGTTTCAGTTTTTGAGCCATATATATGTAGTAGCTATACAAAGCTTTAAACAAATTAAATTTGAAAAGTAAAGATTCCTGTGATTTTTTTTTTTTTTTCCACAGAGCCTCCCTTCATTCCCCAGGCTGGAGTGCAGTGGTACAATCACTGCTAACTGCAGCCTTGATCTCCCAAGCTCAAGCAATTCTCCCACCTCAGCCTCCCAAGAGGCTGGGACAGCAGGTGAACACTGCCACACCCAGATAATTTTTGTATTTTTTGTAGAGATGGGGTCTTGCCATGTTGCCCAGGCTGGTCTCCAACTCCTATTCTCAAATGATTCACCTGCCTCAGCTTCCCACAGTGTTGAGATTATAGGCATGAGCCACCAAACCCTGCCCTGTGATCTTTTGAAAGAAAACTAAGGAGTAAAATATGTTATATAGTAATTATTTAGTAAATATTTATTGAAAGTCTCATCATGGTTTATTGGCAAAATGCCTATACATAGAAACAATTAATATTAACATAATAAATTAATGAATAATCTGCTTTGATGAATTCTCTAATATTTGCATTTCTAAGATAAATAGTTAGTATAGTAACTTGACACTGTTAGTACCAGCTACTATTTTCAAAGATCGTGGTGCTCAGTTAATTACGAAAAGTCACAGAAACCTATTTTGACTGCCTTTTTCAAAATAGCAGGCCATTTAAATTTTTAAAAAATCCCACTTGGTTTATGTGGTAAGCATCAGTTAATCAGATTTGTTCTCTGCAGTTCCTTTGGCTTATAGAAATATTAAGAATAATGTCACATTGTCTAAATGTTCTTACCTTTAAATTTTTAATAATATAAGTGTTTGCAAAAATTTGTTTAATGTTTCACTTGTTTTCTACTTTTTAATTTACTTATAACTTAAAAGTTGTCAATCATAAATGTACTGAAAATTATCTCAGCTTTCAGAATTATTTCACGTGATGTTTGAATTATTACAGAAGTGCATTGAGTAAAAAATATGTTGAGAATTGTAAACTACCTATTTTTCAGTGCAGAAAGCTTAACCCCTAACTTCTGTTTTCTCATTACTAGATATAATTAAAATACGTACCTAGAAATGTCTTGAATAGAAAACATGAGGTAGTAAATGTACTTAGTATATTGCCTGGCATGTGGTACTTACTCAACAAATGTTAACTCTTATTCAAGTAGTAGATATAATAATGTCATAATGCCTTTTATATAAATACTTAGAAGTCCATTAAAACTTAAATTGTGTGACTTCTCTTTGTGAGAGAAATTGTTTTACTTGGCAGAGTTTCGGTTTTGGAATCTTCCTTGTAATAACATCTACCTAATGTGTAATGTGTATCTAATGTAAAATCCGTTTTTATATTTAACTAAGAGTCTTTTTTTATGTTGGATTTTTCCTCAGAAAATTATAAATTTGCATTAGCACATACTCATGAAGAGGTAAGACAGTGAATTATAAACAAAATATATTCTATTGCATCTATTACAGAAGTTAAAATATCTAAAGAAAAAGAAAATGTATTTCCTCATTAATTACAAATGGTGACAAGGCTATAAAATAAAACAGCTTCACTTTGCTTTCTGATTTGTTTATATTTACCACTGTTTATCACACTACCACAGTCCAGAAGTTAATTTCAGAAAACCACATGAGTTTGACAGCAAAAGCTCCAGTTTGCTACATGTGATTTTACAGATACTTGGGAGAAAGGAGAATCTGAAAAGAAACATGTGTCCTCTGTATTGGTACGCTGGTAGAGAAAAAGTGAGAAAAGGAAGGAGGAAAGATCACGTCATCTAAGAAGCAAGCCACAGGGAAAAACGTATTTTTAGAACAGTATTTGTTTTTTAATATTCAATTGTATTGTGAATCATTTCATTCAGCCCATTCCAAATTGAAGTATAGTTTGCCTATTTCTCAGAATAATTAGAAAGCATTTTAAACTGTGAAGGGCATGGTCTTATATTCTTCCTTGGAAAATTTTATTTTAAAGTCTTAAAAATAGATTTTATTATAAGATTAGCCTTTTCAAATAGCAAAAAAAGTCTCTACAAACTGATTGATAGTGATGAAAGCAGTGCAAGAAGAAAATAGGAGTAGTAGAAACATGTTGGGTCACTGCACAACGGAGACTTTCCCATAATAAGACAGAGTAACAGTAGAAAGAGGTTTATTTTAGTGGGAAAAAAACTAGAAAAGTGAAGCAAACTTGCAAACAACACACAAAAATGTGGAAAAAAAAATGACATGTCACATCGATTCAGGCTGGTTACCTTTGCCTGTTAAGATCTATGGAAAATTAAAATAACAAGTAAAATTTGATTAGCAAGATGATATGATAATGCCATACTTTTAAGAATTTCATTATTCTTTAAGATACTCAATTTTGATTCACACATAAGAAAATGTCTTTAAGAGTGAGGGCATATCAAGGCTTTACACTGAAGGCATGGTTTAACCTAAGTTAAAATGCTTAGGGAGAATTGAAAACATGGAATTGTATGCATGGGTTGAGATCATTGTGTCAATCAAAACTGGGCAAACAATTATTTTTTAAAAATCAAATGATGAAGAAAATATAATTTAATTCTATTACATTGAGGTATAATCTAATTTCTTAAACTATTATAAAAAGTTAGGGGTACTTTTAAAGTTTCTTTTATAGGTGTTCTAAGTTTTATTTTAACATGTACAAATGCATGCAAACTATTTTCTTGTTTAGCAAATTTATACAAGCATAAAATTAAGCAATTTAAAAAACAATAGAATGACATATTTTAAGAACTTTTAAAATCATAGAGGTTCATGTTTAAAATAAGATTTCCAGAAACATAATTGTAATTTGCATTTATAATCCAAAGGTTTAATTTTGAAACTTCTTTCTCTTATTTTTTTTTAATCTTTGATCACCTTGCCTGCCTTAACTATTGCAACGTACAAAAGGCAAGAAATATTTGAACTGTATTATATGTTGCAGTGTTGGCTTTTGGAATGACCCTACAATGTCCTCTGCATTAAAAATATGTGGATATCAGCTCCATAGTACCTATACTCTCTTGACACTCCAAAAGCAATTTAATCTTAGTAAGCTTTAATAATATCACTGTGATTCCACAGTCCAAGTACTCCCATGGTCCTCTCATAAAGAACTTCTCATAACATTACTTATTTTTTATCATCCTTCAAAGAATTCAGAATACATGGTAAATTACAATAATGTATCTAAGTGAACAACATACAAACTAAGGTGAGTTATTACAACAGAGAAACCAAAATTTGTTGACCAATAACAACAATTTGTGTAAAGTATTTCTACACATTGTAATTTTGTTCATATGTCCTTTAAAAGCTGTGTACTAGCCTGCAGATTACAAACTTGTTTAGGTAATTCTAATTATTTAAAAATATTATTAGTAAGTTATTTCACTTTGGGAAATAGGTATGTAAAAATCGAAATTTTACAAACTTATTTTGAATTCAGTATTGTGCATAGATGAATGATAAATTACTAGGTTTTATACAGGTCATTGAGATAAGCATACAAAAATGCTTTCATGTTGAGTTGTATTTAAATTGTGCTTCTCCTCAAAAATCATCAAAAAACTTGGGCCAATGGTGATTGAGCAAAGCTGCTCTCACTTTCTCCAAGCTCTTGATTTATCAGATCAATCAGTTGTAAAAAGTGAAGACTCAACTTTCTTTTGATAGACAGAAGGAAAGTCTGGGTGGGCAGACACAAATAAACTGTGTATTCATTACCAATGGAGGTACTCTTGTCAATTCATCTACTCTTTTGAAATGGCACCTCAGAGCCATACCTCCAGTTATACCAGAAGAGATTCTTTAGAAAGGCTCACAGAAATGAGCCATGGTTCAAATGTAACAATGTTTTTGCATGTGACCAAAAGCGGTAGAATGATATTCATCACTCCTTTTGTTCATTAGCAGCAATAACAAATGAATAGATCTTCCATCTTTTCTATCTCAATGTTTTGACGACTGTAATATGTTTTTATTCTCCAAGGTAACTGAGCAATCATTTGAAATATGACTGACTTATTCTTTCAACAAACATTTAGTTACTTTATTTATTTATTTATTTGAGATGGAGCGTCAGTCTGTCACCTAGGCTAGAGTGCAGTGGCGCGATCTCAGCTCACTACAAACTCTGCCTCTTGGGTTCAAGTGAGTCTCCTGCCTCAGCCTCCCGAGAGCTGGGATTACAGGTGCTCGCCACCGTGCCTGGCTAATTTTTGTATTTTTAGTAGACACGGGATTTCACCATCTTGGCCAGGCTGGTCTCAAACTCCTGACCTCGTGATCCACCCGCCTCAGCCTCCCAAAGTGCTGGGAATTACAGGCATGAGCCACCGCACCCTGGCCTAGTGACTTCTTAGTTGGAATAATACTGAGCCAAAGTGTTTGAAGCATGTTTTCACATTTAATATGTGTTATATAATTAAAGTAGAAAAAGGCTTCTATAAAGAAGGATTGAAGACATTTCCTTTGTGAACAAAATTACCCCTACTATATGACTCAATCTGCGTGTCTTTTTCTGTTTGCCAATTACAGTTTGTTTTTGCACACCTTAGCTTAGCTTAGTTACTGAAAGACTCAATCTTCACCTAAAGAAATAGAAGTATTTTCCACATAATTGAGAACTTGTGCCTCTGGACATATATGGGACCTCAGGTCAATGATCATTAAGAGGATTTCTCCCCTAGTATATAAATAATTTTAGCTGAATTTTGTGTCTTGGGACTCAAATCAACAGATAAAATTTCATTTTCTGGATTAGCCATAGAACTACCTTTTTTTGTCAGTATCTTCCCCAAAAACCTCACTGGGAATTGTTACTATTATGTGGTTTAAAAGGAGAGAAAGGCCAGGCAAGGTGGCTCACACCCGTAATCCCAGTAATTTGTGAGGCCAAGGCGGGTGGATCACCTGAGGTCAGGAGTACGAGACCAGCCTGGCCAACATGGTGATACCCTGTCTCTACTAAAACAACAAAAATTAGCAGGGCACGATGGTGGTGCCTGTAATCACAGCTACTCAGGAGGCTGAGGCAGGATAATTGCTTGAACCCGGGAGGCGGAGGTTGCAGTGAGCCCAGATTGCACCACTGCACTCCAGCCTGGGCAACAAGAGCGAGACTCCATCTCAAAAAATAAATAAAATAAAATAATAAAAAAAATAAAAGGGTAGAATGTTGCTGTCATTTCTTGTCAGACATTTCTTGTCAGACAGTTTTTCCCTCTGGTCCCTATTTGACTGCCACTTTCTCTTATACATGATAATTTCCTTCTATTATCTTCTTGGTTCACTCACTATAACAAATGTTTTATGTTTTTGAATTGGGAGTTCCAGTTCTGAGATATTCTCTTATGACATGACATGTGGAATATTACAATGTAGTCAAAATTATCTTGGTCTTCTTGCTCATTATTAATAACTGAAATGATGCAAAAAAAACTTCAGTGCACTGGGCACATTATATAACATGTATTAGTTAGTTCTTTTTTAAGTTTCTGAAATATGGCTGTTTTAATTACTTTTGTTTCGTTTGGGAAATTTATATTAAACATTGCAAATAAATAATCACCTTAAAGTCATTTAAATTGATTTTTAAAAAGAATATTCTCTATGCTGTGGAGTAATTAATGCTAATGTAATACATTAATAATAATAATAATTAGTAAGCATTTACTGTGCCATGACTATATTAACTATTTCTCATCCACTAACATTTTGTAATTCTGTAAATACTAAGCTAAGTATTTCACATCCAGTAATATTTTGTAATTCTTAACACAGATATAGTTTGTGATAATTATTTTAATCTTCTTTTTATTTTATTTTATTCTTGTGTTCTAGCTTGAGACTAGAGAAGGTAAGCAGGTGAAAGTTTATGCAGTGGTCTCTTTCTCTATAGATTAAAAATGCATTTTTTATGTTGATATAAGAAAATAATCTTATACTTATTAACTTCTGATTATAAAAATTACGGTGTGGTATTTTTACATCAATAATGAAAATAATAATACCTAACATTTATGGAGTAATTACTTGCTATGTGCCAAGTCCTGTGCTAACATTTTTAAAGCCTTAGCTCAATTTGTCATTAAAAATATAACAAAAGAAAATTTCAAATATTGATTCTTTGTCCATCTTCCTCTATAGATGATAAACTAAAGCATTGGAAAGTTAAGTGACTTTCCCTATATTTTGCAGTTTCTAAGTGGCACAATATAATTAGAAATTCTATTTGAATCTGGAGCCCAGAGTCTTTAATAAGAAAAGAAAAACACTTTGGTTCAATGAGTTTTAAGCCTCCACTTTTAACGACGATCATTTTAGTAGTTAATGAATTAAAATTTTCAAAGCCTTCTTGCCTGCAGAGATAGCCAAGGGAAACATGGACCAATGAATTCAGTAGAAATCTCCCTTTGATCAGTGTCAGTGGCAGAGGACTGAGCACTGGTCTCTGCATTGGGCTGAATGGGCTGGTGGTTGGGTGATAGTGTGAAACCCAATTTAACTACTTAGCTTTTAAAAAATAATTAATAGAAATAAGTAACCTCGAAGTGACCATAGTGCAGGCCAAACATTGAAGCTATCATCATACACATAATTCATAAAGGAAGATATTGAGTATGAGCATATCTTTAAAGACAAAATTTAGAGATACTAAAAATTCATAATTGTGGCTTTTATTCCTTGTCTACTGCCTCCTAATAAATAAGCCATTACTTTAGAAGGTTAGATTTCACAGATTTATTTGGTTAGCCTATGTAGTTAAATAGAGGTTGCTATGATAAGCTTTTTTGCAGTGCCCCACATCAGACTTTATATCTCTAACTGCCTTTCAGTTTATCTGGAACTGATGGCTATTAATATAATTATTTTATAAATGGATCAACAACTGTTTAACAATATTAAGTAGTTGCCCAATATCATACAGTTACCAAATCAATGAAGTTGAAACTCAACTTACGATTGTCGCAAAAATATCAATGTTTCCATTTAGTGAATGGGCCAGTAAATCAACCATCAGATTCTACTTGAAAGCTACTACTGTAAGGCAGAAAGATGTGCGTGATAAATAAGATTCATGAGTCCTCTGCAAAGGATTCAAATGCATGAATATCTTGGAATTAGTCTGGTTTCATCACTGTGAATAAACCAGTTTACAAAACTTTTATACTTCATCTTAAAATGGCTTAAATCCTAAAGCGTAGAAGAGAGCTAGAACGTAACCCCCTTTCCCCGCCTTTTTAACTTTCTTTGTTTTATGATGAGAAATTTTCATTATCTCATAAAAGTTTCACAAAACTTGTTTTAAAGTTCCTATATTTTGAATTCCAAAAAAAGAGTTTTTAAATAATTATTGCAAAAAAAGTGCTTGGATTATATGATTCTATAAGAAGTCTGAGAGAAAGAATGTGTTGAGTCTTTGGAGATTTTATGTTTTAATTATTATGTTAATTTGCTTTTAATTTACATGTTTCTATCTTTAAAAAAATTTGTTCTAAAGAGATTGTTTAATAATTTCATTTTTGACTCATGTTTTCCTACAAATTTTAATAATTTCATTTTTGACTCAGGATTTCCTACAAATTTTAGATGCACGAAGGGAGAAAAAGAGACAAGGTGAGGAAACAATCAACTAGCTTACACAGACAATAAAAAGTAGATAAAAGCAGATTATGAAAAATGGGATTTTATTGTGTAGAAAAAGAGTAATTTTCAGCCCAGTCACTGATGAATTGATTCATTTGTTTTTACCTGATGGTATGAAATAGAGTTGTCATCAAATTTTACATATTATTTATATGCATTAAGCACTTTTGCAGATAGCATTATCTTAATTCAAGTCTCACCCCAACACTGACTTATTTTCTAACTGTGGAAATTGACGTTCAAAATAAAAATTAGCAACTTAGCTCAAGAAGGATAGCTGGGAAATTGTAGAGCTTGGACAATCCTGGAGGCTATCGAACATATCATACTCTGTCTGTTCAACTGTTCATGTATGAAGTGTATCTGAATCAAAAAGCTGTTGTTTCAGAGAAGAATGCAAAGTGAGATGGATGAAGAAATATTGTAAGGAAGGGGTCCAAAGCTGTAATACAGTTTTATTTTATAAGTATCTGTGAAAAATAGAGGAAAATGTGTATTATGAATGTTACTTTTCTAGAAAAAATGTACAGTACAAGCTTTCAAGTATAGGAACAAACACAAGAATAACCCTATTTCTAGAAGAATCTTACTTCATATCAAATGTGCTGTACATTTTATAAAAATGGTTTTTCATTCTTAATAAAAAATAATGTCGTAGTTCTAGTTTATATATAACATATTACATAAGGCAGAATGTTGTGACTGATTCAGGCATCCTGATTCCTTTTCCCAACCACACAGATTCATACATTAGGCCATTTAATTTTTGCAAATCAAATGTCTCAAATTTCACAGTTCATTTTCAAGTTAAAAAGTTACTGATGTGTTTTCTATTTCCTCATGAATAGATTTGTGTTGTTACCTTTTTTGTGCAATAATGAATTATTTTTTGACACATTCCAATGTTTTTTTCTCACATGCCTTTCCTCATTTCAGCTCTAAATAATGAAATCATCACTGACCCCACTGGCATTCATCTCCACTCTGATTTGTGTGAAGACCTCTTAGATTGAAGTTTTACACTGTCAACAACTAGAGGGGCTTGCTGTGATCTTGTCATAGTCTATTTGTTTTATATTTTTTCTCTTTTCCCTTCACATATTCCTTTAATCTAATTTCATGTGAAAATATAGTTAGTTGGCTGCTTTTACTTATTTTTCTGGATCGTCAATAGAAATATTAACCCTGACAAAAATATAGTATAGGCCTCCACACCACCCTACTAGATACTTACCTTCATTAGTTTATTATAGATCATCACCCATTTTCAAAATCTGCCAGTTATTTTTATAATGTGTGTGCATGTTTTACTCTAAGATCCTCCTATTGATTTTGCTCTTAAGGTTTAAGCTCTTCTATAATTTGATGTAAAGATAAGAAGGGGAAAAAGTAGTTGTTATTTTTTGTGATCAGACTTGACTTCTAGGACTGAGAAGCTGTTGTCCTTACTACATGAGATGGGTTTTTAGAAGAGTATAAAATAGTTTAACTTTGTGTCAAATGTATTTATCATGTGCCTATTATCAGGATTCCATCTTCATGGGTATTCTTTACTTAAAACTCAAGTGCTTTTTAATATTTTAAATATATAAGATTGATATAAAATGTCAATAGATTCTTTTTTGCAAAAAGATCTTTAGAAGCCATTACTGGTAAATTGCCAAATTCTAATTGAATGAAAAATTTTTATGACAGTTTTATCATACAAATTATATATTTATTGTTCTTTTAGTGCACATTATCTGGTATATTACAGGTCTGTTGTCAATGTCTGTAGATGGTTTGAATTTTTTAAAAAAGTGGTAAATGCCAAGTTTTAATGTCGTTCCTCAAGTTGTAGAAAATGATCATTGAAAATTAATTTCTATTTAATAATTGAACAATAATACAATTTTGGAGTTTGAAATAATCATTAAGATTTAACTGACACTAAAGTTTTTGCATATGCTTTGCAGAAGAGCAAAGTGATATACAACAGAAAAATGAGAAGATTAAAAGAGATTTAAGCTCCGTCTTAGACTATAACTCAGCCCTTCAGACATCCAGAACTCTGAAATGCCACACCCAAATTATGAAAGCAGAAATGGCTATATATTATTTTTCTATTGCTGCATTACAGAAAACTACAAACTAGGAGGTTTAAAACAACCTGCATTTATTATATCTCACAATTCCTCTGGGTCAGGATTCTGGACATGACATAACTGCTCAGGGTCTCAGAAGGCTGCAGTGAGGCTGTAAGCAGACAACATTCCCATCCAGATGCTCAACTAGGGGAGAGACTTCCAACATCATTCAGGTTGTTGGCAGGAGTCATTTCCTTGTGAATATTTTCCTGAGGGCTTTCTATTGGCACTCTGCTGGGGACCACCCTCAGGTTTTAAAAGGTGCTTAAATCTCCTGGAGGCCACCTGCAGTTCTTTAGCATATGGACCTCTTTGGTTAGACTGCTTACAATCAAGGCAAAAAGGTCAATATTTCACCTCAGGGAGGCTCCTAGTCCCTCTTCTAAAAGCATTCTCCTGATTAAGTCAGTCTATCACAAAATAATCTACATTTAATTACATCTGCAAAACCTCATCGCCTTTGTCATCTCCTGTTAGCTAGAAGCAAGTTACAGACCCATCTCCACTAAATGGAAGTGATTATAAAAGGTGTGAGTGCCAGGGCATGGGGAGCTTGAGGAACCCTAAGATGTGTCTACTACAGCTTGCTGCCATGATTCAAACTAGCAATTTATTGAAATTCTGCTATGTATATTAGATATAGAAAGCATAACTGAACTTTAAACTTTTCCTGAATAATTCAAGAATCCTGCCTGACTCTCCACATTCTGTACTTTTTCTCAAAGTTTAAACTAAATCAACTTTACTATCTCATCTCTTCTTTGTCTTCAGATTTTTAGAAAATCCATTACTCTTTTCCTTCTCTCTCTCTCTCTCTCTCTCATCACTCCCATCAGCACCCAAATATATTCTAGATAAGCTCTGTTCAATACAAATATAATACAAGCTTCACAGGCAAGTCACATATGTAATCACATTAAAGGTAAAAAGGAACATGTGATATCAATTTGCAGAATATATTTTAACTCAACATATAAAAATACAATCTTGACATCTACTATATATAAACAATTTTTAGTACACCATTTACTTTTTTTCTTCTTACTAGGTCCTCAAAATCTGGTGTGCATTTTACACTTACAGCACATCTCAATGTGTAGTGCTCAATAGGCGCATGTGAAACAGCGCCTACCTGATTGACAATGTAGCTCTCTCTTATTAAAAACATTAAATTATAATAGTTACATCAGGAAGATGGTGTAATAGATGGTGACCTGCTTATCACCCTCCACAACAACAAGAATTCCACAGTCACTCACAGACAAAAGTCTCTCTTTGGGAGCCTTTGGATTCATGTAGGAGACTGTAAAACTCTGGTGGAGCCCAAGACCTTGGAAGGTTTTTTGAGAGTGTGCACAGGGACCTGTGTTGCTGATCTGCTGAACCTGCTCCCAGATACAAGCCCAGAAACAACTTCATTCCCAAGGGCCTTATCTACAGCCCCACTTGGTCTGGAATTTGCAAACCTAACCATCTATCAGGGGTCCAGGAGGAATTGTACCCGCTAGTGCCTCAGTGAATAGGCTCATATGCCTGCTGATGTCAGTCTCAGCAGTAAACATGAATGTTACTATGTGGCTTGGCTCCAGTCTTCCTCAGCTGAAGTCTCAGCTCAGAACTGCTTACACAGGAACCCAGAGAAAGACACACTATATCTCACAGTCTGGAAGTCTTAGCCTCTGTGTCATGCTCACCAACCTTCAGCCCACAGCTGATCCTGAGGGGACCCAGTCTCGGTTCCAGCCCACGTCGTTGCAGTTGAGGACTTATTCAGCCTTTGTGGGAATCTGTTGAGAGATGTGCTTATCTGGTACACCAAGAGAAGCTTTCAGACTTGAATCCCTGGCCAGTTTTCCCATGTAGCCTAGGTAAACTTCTTGAATCTCCTCCAGGTCTGTACAGGCCAGAAGGCTGCACCAACCTCAGAGCCCTTGAGAGACTTTCAGAAAACCTGGGTGTATGTTTAGTCTAGTGCTGCGATGGTTGCAGGCTCAGGAAACACAATAGAATCTCTTAGAATCTCTGGAAGGCCTTGGAAAAAAGATGAACACAAACAAAGCCAGACCACAAAGCCAGGATTCCTCAATGCACAATGCACAGACATTGTTGCATTGTTGCACACCCACAAGCATCAAGAATATTCAGGGAAATATGACCTCATCAAATGAACAAAATAATGCATTAGATACCCACTTTAAAGTGACGAAGATGTGTGATCTTTCAGATAAAGAATTCAAAATAGTTATTTTGAGGAAGCTCAACAAACTTCAAGAAAACACAAGAAAACTATAGAGGAATTTATCAGAAAATTTTGACAGAGATTGAAATATTACAAATCAGAAATCCTAGATGCAAAAAATACAATAAAAAATTAAAAGTTCAGTAGAGAGCATCAACAACAGAATTGATCAAACAGGATAAGGAATTAATAAGCCTGAAGAAAGGCTATTTTAAAATACACAGTTTGGATAAAAAAATAATAAAAAAATGAAGAAAGAATATAAGATCTATGAGACAACGTCATAAGGGCAAGATTTTGGTTATTGGGCTTCAAGAGGGAATCAAGAAAGACAAAGAAGTATAAACCTTCTTCAAAGACATAATAAGAGAAAGTTCCAAACCTAGAGAAAAATATAAACAGCCAGATACAGAAAGGTCAACTCCTACTAATCAGATTCAACCTAAATATTAATACCCTGAGACCCTAATAATCAAATTGTAAAAGTCAAAGACAAAGAGAATTTTAAAGCAGAAAGAGAAAAGAAGGAGATACCATCTAAGGAAGATCCAATATACCTGGCAGCCGACTTCTCAGCAGAAATCTTGCAGGCCAGGAGGAAGCGAAAAAATATATTGAGTGTTAACATTGCTTAGCAAGAATGATCTACCTAGTAAAGCTATCCTTTAGAAATGAAAGAAATAACAACTTTCCTAGACAAATAAAAGCTGAGGAAATTAATCAGTATGAAATTTGCGCAAATAAAAATGCCAAAGAGAGCTTTAAAACCAAAACAAAAGATTGTTAATATAATTTCATTTCCAATATTATACTTCTGATGTGTAAAGAAATATATCTTAGATATGAAGACTAGAAGATGAAACTCTTTAAAACAGTAACTACAATAACTTGTTAAAAGACAGGCACTGTAAAAAAATCTGTGACCAAAAATTCAAAATGTGGAGGGGAAATAAAGTTAATATATACAGCTTCATTTATTTTTAATTTTTTGGCAACCAAGGTTAATTTATCAGCTTAAAATAAATTGTTATAACTACAAAATGTTTTTGTAAGCTTCATGGCAACTGCAAAGCAGGAACCTGTAATAGATACACTAAAAATAAAAAGCAAGGAATCCAAATACACTACTAACCATAAATAAAGCATAAAAAAAGAAGAAAGGACCGCAAAACAATTAGAAAACCAGTAACAAAATGACAGTAGTTAGCCCTTATCTATTAATACGTACTTTGAATGTCAATGATTAAATTCTCCAATTAAAAGACATAGAGTAGTTGAATAGATTAAAAAACAAACAAATAAAGAGACCTAACTGTACAGTGTCTATGAGAAACTCACTTTACCTGTAAAGACACACATAGACTAAGAGTGAAGGGATAGAAAAAAAAATATTCCAGGCAAATGGAAACCAAAAAACAGTAGGAAGAGCTACACTTATATCAAATAAAATAGACTTCAAGCTAACAACAACAAAAAGAGAAAAAGAAGGCCAATATATAATAATAAAGTAGTTAATAGATCAAGAGGTTATAACAATTATATGAGGTTATAACTGTATATATATACACACACACATATATATACATATATATGTATGTATATAATTATATGCATCCAACTTTAGGACACCTAAATATATAAAGCAAATTTTAATATTCCCAAAGGGAGAGATAGGACTTTAATATCCCACTTTCAGCAATAGATAGATCATCCACACAGAAAATCAACAAAGAAACATTAGAGCTATACCACATTGTAGACTAAATGGACCTAAAAAACATTTACAGAACATTCCATCCAACAGTTGCAGAATACACATTCTTCTCAACATCACATGGGCATTTTCTAGGATAGATCATTTGTTAGGCCACAAGACTAATCTTAAAATATTTTTAAATAAAAATTATATCAAATATAATTTCTGACCAAAGTAGAATAAAACCAAAAATTAATAACATGAAAACTTTTTAAAATGTACAAATACATGGAAATTGAACATTAGGCTCTTGAACTAATCAGCTAATGAGTTGATGAAAAAAATAAGAAGAAAATTAAGAAATTTTTGAGACAAAAGCAAATAGAAACACATATCCAAACATATGGGATAAAGGTAAAACATTTCTAAGAGGGTAGTTTATAGCCATAAACACTGAGATCAAAAAACTATAAAGATATTGCATCTGCGGGAACTACTAAAACAAGAAAAACCAAACCCAAAATTAGTGGAATAAAGTAAGTACTCAAGACAAGAGTAGAAATAAATGAAATAGACATTAAAAAACAATCCAGAAAAATGAAAAAAATACAGTTGGGTTTTTGAAAACATAAATAAAACCTATAAATCATTAGCCAAACTAACCAAAAACAAACAAAAATAAATAAATAAATATAAGAAATGAAAAAAATGAGACATTACAACTAATACTACAAAAATAAAAAAGGATCATTGGAGACTATTATAAACACATATATCCTAATAAATATGACAACTTAGAAAAAAAATAGATTAATTCCTGAACACTGAAAATCTACCAAAGTTGAATCATTCAGAAGAGGAAAATTTGTACAGACCTATGATGAATAACAAAAAGTTATTTTTTAATTAAATGTCCCACATTTAATCAGTAACAAAAAGTTTCCCATCATACAAAAGCTCAAGAACAAATGATTTCACTGTTGAATTCTATCAAACCTTTAAATAACTAATATCAATTCCACATAAAAATTCTGTAGCATTTCTGTATGCCACTAGCAAACCACATGTAAAAGAAATTGTGTAAGCTATTCCATTTCTAATAGTTACAAAAAATATACCTAAGAATAAATTAAACAAAGGAGTTGAAAGATCTCTACAATGAAAACTATAAAATACTGATGAGACAAATTGAGGAGGACACAAATAATTAAAATATCTTTCATGTTCATAAATTAGGAAAATTAATATTATAAAATTGTTTTTACTACACAAAGCTATCTACAGATTCAATGCAATCCTTATCAAAATACCACTGACATTCTGCAAAGAAAAATAATTTTTAAAAATTCTAAATTAAGTATGAAACCACAGAAGAACCTGAATGGCACAAACAACCTAAACAAAAAGAACAAAGCTAGAAACATAACATTATCTGACTTGAAAATATATTATAAAACAATAGCAACCCAAACAGCATGGTACTGGCATTAAAATAGACACATAGACCAATGGAACAGAATAGAGATTCCAGTACTAAATTTACAGATTTATATTCAACTCTGATTTTTGACAAAGGCATTAAAAACACATACTTGGGAAATGACAGTGTATTTAAAGGTTCTGGGAAACTCAATACATGCAGAACAATAAAACAATAAAACAATAAAACTAGGCCCCTCTTATTGTTTACTAAAGTCAACTAAAATGAATTAAATAACTAAATGTAAGATCACATACTATGAAATTACTCAGAAGAAAACATAGTGGAAATGCCTCATGACATTGGCTTGGGCAATGATTTTTTAAATAAGAAGTCAAAAAAAGAAAAGGCAACAAAAGCAAAAATAGGCAAATAGAATTACATATAACTAAAAACCTTCTACATGGCAAAGGAAACTATCAAGAGTTTCAAGACAATTTGCACCATTGAACCTACACATCTGGCCAAGTGTGAATACCCAGAATATATAAGAAACTCAAACAATTCAATAGAAATTTTTTTAAAAAATTGAATAATTTGATTAAATAATGGACAAAACACCTAAATAGACATTTATCAAGGAAAACATACAAATGGCCAACAGGTATATGAAAATATGCAATATATTCAGTGTCACTAATCATCAGGAAAATGCAAATCAAAATCACAATATAGCTCACTTAAGTTAGAATAAATTTTATCAAAAAGACAAAAAATAAAAAAAAAAGCTGGTAAGGTTGTGGAGATAAGAGAACTCTTACGCACTGTTGGTGGGAATTAAATTAACACAGCCATTATGGGCATCAATACAGAAGTTCCTCAAAAATTAACAATAGAACTACCATATGATCAAGCAAGTTCCCTACAGGGTATACATCCAAAGAAAGGAAATGAGTATGTCAAGGAGATATTAGTACTTCCATGTTTATTTCAACACTATTCACAATAGATAAAATATAGAATCAACAATAGTGCCCATGAATGGATGAATAAATTTCAAAAATGTAGTATATATACACAATTGAATACTATTCACTCATAAAAAGAATGAAATCTTGTCATTTGTGACAAGGTAGGGATACTATATTAAATGAAACAAGCAAAACACAGAAGAACGAGTTCCTCATGATCTCACTGATACGTGGAATATCAAAAAATGACCTTATAGAAGGTTATTATATAACTAGAGAGTATAGTAGTGGTTATCAGGGCTAAAAAGCAGTGGAGGGGCTAGTTAGTCAATTGGGACAAAGTTACAGTTAGATGGAATAAGTTTTGATGTTTGCAATAGGTTGAATATGGTGAACAATAATGTATTGTATATTTCAAAGTAGCTAGATGAGGGGTATTGAATGTTCTTATCACAAATAAATTCTAAATGTTTATGGTGATACATGCTAATTACCCTGATGTGGTTATTATGTATTGTATACATGTATGGCAGCATCACACAGTACCCCATAAATATGTTCAATTATTATGTGTCAATTAAGAATAACAGATATCTTAATAATAAAAATAATAAAACACAAAACAAAAATAGATTAAAAATCCCTCCCCAGCTATGATCTTTGTGATTGATTCTCTTTTACTATTCTAGAAAATGTTTTTTAAAAACAGCTTCTATATCCTAACCTATCAATTATTCTTTTACACTTTCTCAGCTGGCTTCTACACTTAAAACTTCATCATTACTTGTATTATTCCATTTTCACACTGAAACTGGATAATTTTTTTTAAAAAGAGGTTTCATTGACTCAGTTTTACATAGCTGAGGAAGCCTCAGGAGACTTACAATTATGGTGGAAGGTGAAGGGGAAGCACTCACCTTCTCGACAAATTGGCAGGAGAGAGAGAGAGCATGAGCAAAGGGGAACTGCCACTCTTTTAAGACCATTGGACCTCGTGAGAATTCACTCACTATTATGAGAACAGCATGGGGAAACTGCCCCCATAATCCAGTCACCTCCCACCAGGTCCCTCTCTCAACACATGGAGATTATAACTCATGATGAGATTTGGGTGGGGACACAGAGCCAGACCACATCATCTCTATTTTGCTAAAATTGCGATGTTGCTAACTGAAATGGAACTTATAATGAGAATTCTCTTCAATTTGACACACAGTTGATATCTTATTTCCTCATAATTATTTTCCCTTTAAATATGTGGCATCATTTGTGCCTAGTTTATCTCTGCATCTCTGATATCATATTAATCCTGTCCTTTATAATATTTAACAAGCTAGGTCTAAAATGAAACTGTTATTCTTATCTAAAACGGGATCCTTTTTAAATATTTCCCACATTAGTAAATGGGATCACTATTGCCCCCAAAATTTGCATAATTATTTCATTTTCTTGCTCTTCTAAATACACAAACGCACACATGAAAGTACCTTAAAAAGTCTGTGGAAAATGGAATTAAAGTAAAAAAAACAGTGTTATTTTTCAATAAATTCCTTCAAGTTCAAGACACTTTTGTAAGTGATGATACTGGCTCTTTAGTCCGTACCGAAAGACCTGAGAGTCCTGGGAATTTAAACATGTAAATATAGTGTTTTTTTACACTATTAACTGAAGGAAAATGGGCGGTCTTCATAGAATTTTTTAAGATTAGGAAACAAAAATGTCAGAAGGAGGCAAATCAGAACTGCAAGGTGAATGTAGCCTAATATTTTCCATCAAAACTCTAAAATAACTGCCCTTTTTTGATGGGAGGAATGAGCAAGAGCATTGTCCTGGTGGAAAAGACTCTCTGGTAAAACTTTCCTGGTTGTTTTCCTGCTAAATCGTTGGTTAACATTCTCAAAACACTTTCATAATGAACAGATGTTATTGTTCTTTGGAGCTCCAGCAAGTCAACAAACAAAATGCTTTGAGTGTCCCAAGAAACTGTTGCCATGAGCTATGCTCTTGACCAGTCTACATTTGCTTTGACTGGACCACTTCCACCTCTTGGTAGCCATTGCTTTGGATGTGCTTTCTCTTCAGAATCATACTGATAAAGCCATGTTTCATCCCCTGTTGCACTTCTTTCAAAAATTGCTTCAGAATCTTAACCTCACTTGTTTAAAACTTTCATTGAAAGCTCTTCTTTTTTTCTGAAGCTGTTATGGGCACAACAGTTAGGGCACCCATCGAATAGCAAGTTTGTTCAACTCTAATTTTTCAGTCACAGTTGTGCTGAACCAATTGAGATAACTATAATGATGGCTATTGTTTCCATTGTTAATCACCATTCCCTTTCAATTAGGTCACAAACAATATTATTTTTTTTCCTTGAAAATTCATATGAATTATCTGCTGCTGTGGGATTTATCTTCAACATCATGTCTTAAAATGAGTTATCTATTTGTAAACTGTTGATTTCTTTTGAGTACTTTCCCTATAAACTTTGTAGAAAGCATCAATGATTTCACCATTCTTCCCCCCAATCTTCACAATAAGTTTGATTTTTTTTGTTGCTTCAATTTAGCACAATTCATGTTGCTCTAATAGGGGCTTTTTTCAAACTGATGTCTTTTTCATTTTGGTGTCTGAAACTAGATCCTGTTGAGATGTAACAAATTCATATAATTTAGTTTCAAAAAAGTTGAAAGTCATGCATAGATTTTTAAATAAAACATAAATTTTCCATTAATATTTTGAAGACCTATCATGTATATATGGTACATATACATATATAGTTATATATGCAAATACAAATTCCAGAAGCACTTACTGACCTTCAACTATTTGTCAAGCAGTATTTTAGAGAGTAAAAGGAACAGTTTAGGACTGCTGAGGACAGCTTGTATATGCATGTGCTGAAAAGAATAAGATAAAATAAATATATAATAATTAATATATCATAGTGATATATAATGATGTAATGATATAAAATAACAGGCAATAAAAAATAGAAAATTGAGACTACATTAAACTAAAAGGCTTTTACTCAGCAAAGGGAATGATATGGTTTGGCTCTGTGCCCACCCATATCTCATCTTGAATTCTCACATGTGGGAGGGACCTGGGGGGAGGTAATTGAATCATAGAGGCAGGTCTTTCTCATGTTGTAGTTGAAATAGTAAGTCTCCTGAGATCTGATGGTTATATAAGGGGGAGTTCCTCTGCACAAGCTCTCTGCCTGCTGCCATCCATGTAAGATTTGACTTTCTTCTCCTTGCCTTTCACCTTCTGCCATGATTGTGAGGCTCCTCCAGCCATGTGGAACTGTAAGTCCAATAAACCTCTTTTTTTTTTTTTTTTTTTTGTAAATTACCCAGTTTTGGGTATGTCTTTATCAGCAGCATGAAAATGGACTAATATAGTAAATTAAACTGGTAGAGTAAAACAGGTAGAATGGAGTGTGGATGGAAAGATACTTGAAAATGTGGAAATGACTTTGAAACTTGGAAACAGGGAGAGGTTGGAACAGTTTGTAGGGCTCAGAAGAAGACAGGAAAATGTGGGGAAGTTTGGAACTCCATAGAGACTTGTTGAACGGCTTTGACCAAAGGGCTGATAATCATATGGACAACAAAATCCAGGCCGAGGTGTTCTCAGATGAAGATGGCGAACTTGTTGGGAACTGTAGCCAAGTCGACACTTGTTGTGTTTCAGCAAAGAGACTGGTGACATTTTGTCCCTGCCTTAGAGATTGGTGGAACTTTGAACTTGAGAGAGATGATTTAGGGTATCTGGTGGAAGAAGTTTCTAAGCAGCAAATCATTCAAGAGGTGACTTTGGTGCTATTAAAGGTATTCAGGTTCATAAGGGAATCAGAGCATAAGAGTTTGGATAATTGGCAGCCTGACAATGCAAAAGAAAGAAAATCCCATTTTCTGAGGAGAAATTCAAGCCTACTGCAGAAATTTGCATAAATAACGAGGAGCTGAATGTTAATCTCCAAGACAGTGGAGAAAATGTCTCCTGGGCATGTCAGAGGTTTTCATGGCAGCCCCTCCAATCACAGGCCCTGAGGCCTAGGAGGCAAAAGTGGTTTTGTGGGCTGGGCCCAGGGTCCCTGTGCTGTGTGCAGCCGAGGGACTTGGTGCTCTGCGTCCCAGCCACTCCAGCTGTGGCTGAAAGGTGCCAATGTAGAGCTTGGGCTGTGACTTCAGAGGTTGCAGGTCTCAAGTCTTGGCAGCTTCCATGTGGTGAGAGCCTGCCAGTGCACAGAATTCAAGAATTGGGGTTTGGGAACCACTGCCTAGATTTCAGAGGATGTATGGGAACGCCTGGATGTCTAGGCAGACGTTTGCTGCAGTGGAGGGACTGTCATGGCGAACCTCTCTTAGGGCAGTGGGGAAGGGAAATGTGAGGTCAGAGCCCCCACACAGAGTCCCTAGTGGAGCTTTGAGGAGAGGGCCACCATCCTCCAGACCCCAGAATGGTAGATCCACCTACAGCTTGCACTGTGAGCCTGGGAAAGCTGTAGAAACTCAACGCCAGCCTGTAAAAGCAGCTGGGAGGGAGGCTGTCTCCTGCAAAGCCACAGGGTGGAGCTGCCCAAGACCATGGGAACCCACCTCTTGCATCAGTGGGATGTTTATTTGAGACATGGGAGTTAAAGGAGATCATTTTGGAGCTTTAAGATTTGACTGCCCTACTGGATTTCTGACTTGCTTGGGGTCTGAAGCCCCTTTATTTTGGCCCATTTCTCCCGTTTGGAATGGCTGTATTTACCCAATGCCTGTACCCCCATTGTATCTAGGAAGTAACTAACATGCTTTTTATTTTACAGGCTCATCATCAGAGGACATTTGCCTTGTCTCAGATGAAACTTTGGACTGTGGACTTTTGAGATAATGCTGAAATGAGTTAAGACTTTGGGGGACTGGAGGGAAAGCATGATTGGTTTTGAAACGTGGGGACATGAGATATGGGAGGGGCCAGGGGTGGAATGATATGATTTGGCTGTGTCCCAATCCAAATTTCATCTTGAATTTCCTCATGTTGTGGGAGGGACATGTTGTGGGAGGGACCTGGTGGGAGGTAATTGAATCATGGGGGCAGGTCTTTCCTATGCTGTTCTCATGGAAGTGGATAAGTTTCACAAAATCTGATGATTCTATAAGGGGGAGTTTCCCTGCACAACTCTCTCTTTCCCTGCCACCATCCATGTAAGACATGACTTGCTCCTCCTTGCCTTTCACCTTATGCCATGATTGTGAGCCCCCTCCCCCAGCCATGTGGAATTGTTAAGTCCCATAAACCTCTTTTTTTTTTTTTTGTAAATTGCCCAATCTCAGGTATGTCTGTATCAGCAGTAGAAAATAGACTAATACAGGGAAAAATTGTCAAAGTGAAGATGCAATCTGCAAAATGAGAAGAAATATTTTAAAACTATTCATCTGACAAGGGACAAATATTTAGAATATACTAGGAATTCAAATAACTGTAGAGCAAAGAAACCAAATAATATTAATAATATTAATAAGTGAGCAAAGGATCTGAATAGACATTTCTCAAAAAAAGACTTATGGGTGGCCAACATATAATAAAAAATGCTCCACATCACTAATCAGCAGGGAAACACAAATTGAAACTGCAATGAGAAATTGAAATATTCCAGTATTGAAATAATATTAGTCTGTATCCCATTAATGTGTTTAATTATTATATATTATTATATGTTGACTAAAAATTGAAGGAAAGAATACGATATCATTAGTAGCGTGATTGCAAATTATAACTATTATATATAGTTTTGTCAATCAGTCCAAAATATCTGTGTATGTGTTTGTGTGTATGCCACATTAAATATATATGTGGTATAAATTCAAAGGTATGTGTATATGTATATATGTATGGGTTTACAACTAATTTATGTATTTAGTACTAATTTATTTCCCACTCTAACCATATGAGATAAAATTTTCTACATTTATGGAAAGTTAATGCGTTAAGTTAAAAGTGACTTTCCCAAAGTCACATTTTTGTAAATGACAGAGCTTGGATTCAAGGAGCCATCTGACTCAATAGCATAACAAAGGTAAGATAATAAGACAAAGGTTGGATAATGACAACAATCTTCATCTGGGTGCAGAAACTAAGGAGATGCATTGTCTGTATATATTTTTTAATTTTAACTTTTATTTTAGATTCAGGTGCTACATATGCAGGTTTGTTACATGGGTGTGCTGTGTGATACTGAGGTCCGCAGTATCATTGATCCTGTCACACAGATAGTAAGCATAGTACCCAATGGGTAGTTTTTCAATCCTAGTCCATTTTCCTTTCTCTCCTTGTAGTTTCCAGTGTCTATTCCCACTTTTATGTCCATGCCTACCTAGTGTTTAGCTCCCACATCTCAGTGAGAACACGCTATATTTGGCTTTCTGTTGCTGTGTTTATTTGCTTTGGATAATGGCCTCCAGCTGCATCCATGTTGTTGCAAATACTTAAGTTAGTTATTTTTCAATGGATGTGTAGTATTCCATAGTTTATATATACCACATTTTCTTTATCCAAACCAGCATTATATGTCTTTTGGGTAGAATGACTTATTTTCCTTTGGGTGCATACCCAGTAATGACAATGCTGGGTCAAATGATAGTTCTATTTTAATTTCTTTTGGGAATCTTCAAAATGCTTTTCACAGTGGCTGAACTAATTTACATTCCCACCAACAGCGTATGAGCATTTCCATTTCTCTGCAGCCTTGCAAACATCTGTTTTTTTGTCTTTATGATAAGAGCCATTCTGATTGCTATGAGATGGTATCTCCTGGTGGTTTTGATTTGTATTTCTCTGATGATTAAGAATGTGGAGCATTTTTTTCATATATTCTTGGCTGCTTGTATGTCTTTTTTTTTTTTTTTTTTTTTTTTGCACATTTTCTGTTCAGGTCCTTTGCCCCTTTTTAATGGGGTTATTCATGTTTTGCAAGGCCAATGTGTAGAATGGTATTTCCTATGTTATCTTCTAGGATTTTTATAATTTTAGATCTTACCATTATATCTTTCATTCATATTAAAGAATATAATTTGTATATAAAAAAATTTGTATATGGTAAAATTGAAGGGTCCAGTTTATTTCTTCTGCATATGGCTAGTCAGTATCCCATCACCATTTATTAAATCGGGAGGTTTTTCTTCATTGCTTATTTTTGTTGACTTTGTCCAAAGATCAGATGGTTATAGGTATATGGCTTTATTTCTGGAAGCTCTATTCTGTTCCATCAGCCTATGTGTCTATTTTTGTAGCAATACCATGCTCCTTTGATTATTTGTAACATTTGGTAGTGTACTTTGAAGTTGGGTAATGTGATGCCTCCAGCTTTGTTCTTTTTGCTTTGAATTGCTTTGGTTATTCAGGCACTTTTTTATTTCTATATGAGTGTTATAATAGTTTTGTATAATTCTGTGAAATATGATATTGGTAGTTTGATAAGAATCACACTGAATCTATAGATTTCTTTGGGCAGTATGGCCAATTTAACAATATTGATTTTTTCTTTTTTTTTTTTTTGAGATGGAGTCTCGCTCTGTCGCCCAGGCTGGAGTGCAGTGGCGCAATCTCAGCTCACTGGAAGCTCTGCCTCCCAGGTTCATGCCATTCTCCTGCCTCAGCCTCCTGAGTAGCTGGGACTACAGGTGCCCGCCATGACGCTTGGCTAATTTTTTTTGTATTTTTAGTAGAGATGGGGTTTCACCGTGTTATCCAGGATAGTCTCGATCTCCTGACCTCATGATCTGCCTGCCTCGGCCTCCCAAAGTGCTGGGATTACAGGCGTGAGCCACCTCGCCCGGCCAAAAATATTCTTTTAATCCATGAGCATAAAATGTTTTTCCATTTGTTTGTGTAATCTATGATTTACTTGAACAGTGTTTTGACTATTCCTTGTAGAGATTTCTCACTCCCCTGGTTAGACATTTTCCTAGTTATTTTATTTTTGTGTGTGGTTATTGTAAATGGGATTGCAATTTTTTTATTTTTTATTTCTGTAAGTTATTGGGGAACAGGTGTTGTTTTCTTGCATGAGTTAGTTCTTTAGTGGTGATTTGTGAGATTTTGATGCACCCATCACCCAAACAGCAAACACTGCACTCAATTTTTACAAGGGACATACCTCAATGTAATAAAAGCCATCTATGACAAACACACAGCCAACATAATACTGAATGGGAAAAAGTTGAAACCATTTCCTCTGAGAACTGGAACATGACAAGGATGCCCACTCTCACAACTTATCTCCAACATAGTACTGGAAGTGCTAGCCAGAGCAATCAGACAAGAGAAAGAAAGAAAGAAAGGGCATCCAAATTGGTAAAGAGGGATTGAATTCTCGATTTGGCTCTCAGCTTGACCATTATTGGTGTATAGATATGCTGCTGATTTTTGTACAGTGACTTTGTATTCTGCAACTTTACTGAAGTTATCAGTTCTTGGAGCCCTTTGCCAGAGTCTTCAGGGTTTACTACATATATAATCATATCCTCTTCAGAGACATAATTCTACTTTTTATTTTTCTATTTTGATTCCACGTATTTCTTTCTCTTTCCTGATGGATCTGGCTAGGACTTCCAGTACTATGTTGAATAGGAGTGGTGAGAGTGGGCATCCTTGTCTTGTTCCTGTTCTTAAGCGGAATGCTTCTAGCTTATGCCCATTCAGTATGATGTTGGTTGTGGGTATGTTATAGGTAGTTGTTATACTGAGGCATGGTCATTTAATGCTTAGTTTATTGAGGGCTTTTGTTATGAAAGATGTTGGATTTTATTGAAATCTTTCTGTATCTATTGATATGAGTATTTTTAATTCTGTTAATGTGATGAATAACATTTATTGGTTTGCATAAGCTGCACCCAACCAAGGATCTCAGGAATAAATCCTGTCTGTAGAAATTTTAAAACAAATTTACAATCACATAAAGCTGGCCTGCTTTTTTTTTTTTTTTTTTTTTTTTTTTTTTTTTAGTATTACTGGTAATGCTAAACAAAGTTCATGGCAGTGATAGAATACTATTTCCTGCATAATAACTTTTGGTGTCCTAAATTTTAAACAATTGCTCATTATGTTGATTTTAGTAATATTTTGCACGTGGAAATTGCATTAACACATTTTAATTATCTTTTAATAAATATTGTAATGTACATGACAATTGATCTGGAGAACTCTCAGTTATAAACCTCTCCCTCCAAAAGCCTCAGTTTCAGCTAAAGATCTTTTCTGTGAGTGTAAGTTTGTAACATTTTGAAATTCTTTCAGTTTATTTCAATTAATTGCAGTTCCTGTTCTTAAGCCATGTAGTCCAATAATCTAGTGTGGGTAAATAGTGATTTTAAAGGAAACGATAATAGTTCCATGTTCATAAAGATGAAGAAACAGAACTTGTTTTACTCCAGAGCTGTCAATATATGTGGAAATCATTCTGTAAGCTTTGCAGAGTTTATTCTTTTAGAAACATGTCTTCATATTGTTTTTATTTATTTTGAGAAATGTGTCACTGTAAGTAAAATGTATATTTATCAATTTCTCATTTTTCCTTCATTATATGTAAATCATTATTTTACTCTAATTTCTAATTTATTTTCTTACTTGATTATAGATATGGATTTCAGTAAAGACAGTTCTCATTTTCTGCATTTTTTAATGGGTGCTATTATTATTCTTTTCATTCCATGATCATTTGGGAAAAAAGTGCCAAGTAGAAGAGGGAATGTTACAAATGATCTTATCTCTAGGTGTCAAATTCATGAGGTACAAGAATGGTCTCACGCCATGTCAGTGCTCTAGCCTTTACATTACATCATCCAAAGCCAGATAAGCAGAGATATGGGGGAAGAAATTTCCAGTCAGAAACATAAAAGGAATAAAGGACCTGAAAAGGAAATAAATTTGGTAGTATCAATAAATAAAGAGCATTTTACTGGAGCTAGAAAATGGCTAGTGAGGGCTGGGCGCAGTGGCTCATGTCTGTAATCCCAGCACTTTGAGAGGCCAAGCGGGGCGGATCACAAGTTCAGGAGTTCGAGACCAACCTGGGCAAGATGGTGAAACCCTGTCTTTACTAAAAAAATAAATAAATAAAATGAATAAATAAATACATAATTACAAAAATTAGCTGGGAGTAGTGGCGGGCATCTGTAGTCCTAGCTACTTGTGAGGCTGAGGCAGGAGAATCACTTGAACCTGGGTGGCTGAGGTTGAAGTGAGCCAAGATTGTGCCACTGCACTCCAGCCTGGGCGACAGAGCAAGACTCCGTCGCACAAAAAAAAAAAAAAAAAAAAGAAAAGCAAATGGCCAGGAGGAAGATTTTCTCAAGGTTGAAATAAGCCTATTCAATATAGAGGTTTGAAGACCCTGCTAAGCAGATTGGTTTTTCTTGAATTAAAACAAAAAAACACTGTATAAAGCAAAATAAGTCAGGCACAGAAAAATAAATACCACATGTTCACCCTTATACCTGGAAACTATAAAAGATTTTGTTTCACAAAAGTGGAGAGTAGAATTATGTCTGTGGAGGCTGAGAAAGGTAGTGAGAAGGGGAGGATAGAAAGAGGTTGTTAAGCAAATACAAAATTACAGCTAGATAAGAGGAGTAAGTTCTAATGTTCTATAACATTGTAGGTTGAATGTAGTTAACCATAATTTATTGTTTATGTTTAAAAGCTAAAAGAGAAGATTTTTTATGTTCCCAACACAAACAAAATAATAAATGTTTGAAGTTACAGATATTCTAAGTACCCTGATAGGATCTTTAAATATTGCATTGATATATCCAAATATATCTCTGTATCCCATAAATACATACAACTATTACAGGTCAACAAAAAAAAATAAATAAAAGAAAAGCATGAGAAAAAAGTGGTATTTTGAGTAGATTTTTAAGAAAGAAAGTTCTATCTCCTCTTCATTATGCCAAAAACCTGTAGTTATCATTTAAACCAAGCCCTGCCAGTTTTTCCTGCTAAAATCGAGGTAGATGATGTGACACATTGCCAATACTATTAACCTAATATAAGCTATCATCACTATGAATCAGACAGCTGGAAAAGCCAACTGGTTTCTCTTTTGTAAACTTCAAGAAGAAGAAGCAAGTGTAAGTTTTTAAAAATGTAATTCACGCTATCATAAAGCAAAGCAACCAAGAACAAATCTTTGAAATTGTTCATCACATTTTCCCCAAATTGTGAAGAAATTCAATTAGTTCCCCTGTATCAGCATAAAAAAAAGTTAAAAAAACAAAAGCCAAAACAAATGGCAAAAATAAAGTGAGAAAAAAATTAGTGTAGCAGATATCATATGGCTAAGTACTTTTTCAGAGCATATTACATTTCCTACACACTCATACACATATGAAAGTTTTTTCTGGAGTGCAATTTCTTTTTTTTTTTTTTGAGATGGAGTCCCGCTCTGTCGCCCAGGCTGGAGTGCAGTGGCACGATCTCTGCTCACTGCAAGCTCCGCCTCCTGGGTCCACGCCATTCTCCTGTCTCAGCCTCCCGAGTAGCTGGGACTACAGGTGCCCGCCACCAAGCCTGGCTAATTTTTTTTTGTATTTTTAGTAGAGATGGGGTTTCACCGTGTTAGCCAGGATGGTCTCGATCTCTTGACCTCGTGATCCACCCGCCTCAGCCTCCCAAAGAGCTGGGATTACAGGCGTGAGCCACCGCGCCCGTCATGTAATTTAAATTTAACCTATTGTGTTATTATGGATTTCAAGGTTTTTACAAAAATAACAAAAAAATTGTCTGCCAGAGACATCAAGATCTGGCTCTTGCTTACTTCTCTAGCATTACCAAAAGCCATTGATGACACTGACCTCCACAGTTACCACCTCACTAGATTCTACCATGATCCACTACACTAAGGTTCTTTCTTGCACAAGAAAAATTCCTACTTGGCCATTATATTAAAAAATGCACTGGCTGGGTGCGGTGGCTCATGTCTGTAACCCCAGCACTTTGGGAAGCCGAGACGGGTGGATCATGAGGTCAGGAGTTCAAGACCAGCCTGGATACTGGGTACTAAGGGTGTATAGTACATTTTTTCCTGTACATATGTACTTATGATAAAGTTGAATTTGTAAATTAGGCACAGCACAGAATTAACAGTAATAATACAAAACAATTATAACAATATACTGTAATAAAAGTTGTGAAAATGTGGTCTCTTTCTTGCTTTCTCTCTCTCTCTGTCAAAATATCTATTGTTCATTTAACATATTTGGAGCACTGTTGATAAGTAACTGAAACTGCAGAAAACAAAACCATGATTGAGTGGGGAAACTACTATATATAAAATACAAAATAGAAATATATGTGTTTATATATATATATATATATATATAAATGATATAAACACAGAAGAATAATAAACAGTCCAAGAAACACATGACAAACACTTGTTACAGAGATGCAAATATAATCATTCAATAAATAATGCTTATAATCCATAAAAATATGGGAAATCCCAATATGTATGTGGGTATTTCTTTTAAATTAAACATTTTACACATAAAAGTAAAAACTGTGAAGTAAAAAATTTTTAATGTTTTTAGTAATGGAATGGAAATGAGAAAGATGGTCAGTAAGTTTGGATTTATCTTCAGTCTTAAGAAATTCACCTAAACTAAACAGAATTTTAAAAGTGATTATGGCATTGTCATAGTCAAATAACTGAAAACGGCAGTTTATTTTAAAACTTCTAAGTGCCAAACAGAAATAATGTGTTATAAATAGGGAAATAAATTTTCAACAGTTGAAGACTTCTTATCAGAAATAATAGAGGGCAGAAAACAATTAAAAATAAATTTAAAAAAATATCCAAACAGAATTTTATCTATATTATCCAAATATTTCTCAAAAATAAAGGCAACATAAAGGTTTCTAATAAAACACAACTATAAGGAATTGTTACCAGCAGACCAAACATTTCTAAAGGAAGTCCTTTATGAAGAAGAAAAATGACATTAGAAAAACATGAAGAGTATCAGAAATGGTATATGTGTGAGTAAATATAAAATACATTGTTTCTTTTTGATTATTTATGAGTATTGTCTTATGGGAGTTGCATTGCATACAGATTTAATTCATACAACACGCATGGATGAAAGACAGCAATTAGGAGAAACTATCTAAAATTTCTAGATCTTATGTGAGTGGAATTATTGATTCCATATAAACTATGAAAAGTTAAGTATATATAGTCATTCTTTCACATAAACTGCTATGCAATAATACAATAAAGTATACCTGAAAACCTAAGAAATAAATTGAAACGCCAATTGAAAGATAAACACTAACTATATGACCCAGCTATTTCAGCTATTCCACTCCAATATATTTATTTATGTGTGTGTGTGTTGTCTGTTTGTTTGTTTGTTTTGAGACTGACTCTCATGCTGTCACCCAGGCTGGAGTGCAGTGGCTCGATCTTGGCTCGCAGCAACCTCTGCTTCCCTGGTTCAAGTGATTCTGGTGCCTCAGCCTCCCAAAGAGCTGGGATTACAGGCATGTGCCACCATGCCTGGCTAATTTTTGTATTTTTAGTAGAGCTAAGGTTTCACCATGTTGCCCAGGCTGGTCTCAATTCCTGACCTCAAGTGATCCACCCTCCTCAGCCTCCCCTAGTGCTGGGATTACAGGTGTGATCCAAAGCACTCAACCTCAATATATTCACATAACAGAAATAAAAACATATGCATCACAAAAAGACTTGCACGGTTTTATTTGTAAAATTATTTAGATTGTTTTATTAACAATCACAACATTGGAAGAAACTCCAATGTCCATCCACAGGTGAATGTATATACAGAATGAGATATATACATACAATGGAACACTATTCATCAATAAAAGCAATGTAGGCTGGGCGCGGTGGCTCATGCCTGTAATCCCAGCACTTTGGGAAGCTGAGATGGGCCAGTCACCTGAGGTCAGGAGTTCGAGACCAGCCTGAGCAACATGGCAATACGCCATCTCTACTAAAAATACAAAAATTAGCCCAGTGTGATGGTGGGCGTCTATAATCCCAAATACTCAGGAGGCTGAGGCAGGAGAATCGCTTGAACCCAGGAGGTAGAGGTTGCAGTGAGCCGAGATTGCGCCATTGCACTCCAGCCTGGGTGACAGAGTGGACACAACCTCAAACAAACAAAACAACAACAACAACAAAAACAAAAACAATGTATGCATAAACACAACTGCATGAATGGATCTCAGAATCATAATGCTGAGTGCAAGAAGCCAGACACGAAAGAGTAAATAAGATATGGCTCTCTTTATATATGATTCCAGGAAATTCAAACTATTCTATAACAACAATATACTAATAAGACTGATACAAACAAAACTGATGTAACAAAATACCAGTATAATGAATGAAAAAGTAAAAAACTATAAAAATACAAATATTAGAAAGATAAGCGAGTGAGAATATAAAACTTATTCATGAGAAAATTGACATCTAGAATGAAATGGACAAATTTCTCAAAAAAAGTACAGGATAATAAAAATATTTCTCAATAGTTTCATTTCTATTTAGAAATAAGAAATAGATGCTATTATTAGCACCCTTTTAAATTAAAACAAAAGCAAAACCAAATAACAAGCCAAGATAGCTTCAGAGAGGTAGAAAACAGGGTGTACTTCCGATGTATTCTTATGAGGCTAGAGTAAAGGAAACTTCACAAGGACACTACTAATCACACACACATACATACACACACACACACAGAAACCATTTGTGAATTGACAATAATTGTATAGTAATTGTATTGTGTGGTAACTTAGCACAAACCACAATGTTTTCCAGATGTGTCTTAGTTCACCAATATTTGGGAATATTGCCTGCTGTTTATACTCACATATTTGCAAAAATATTGCTTTATGTTTACCTTAAGCTGACTTGAGAGCCAGTAATCTTTCGTAAATATGATTTTAGCCTCTAGTCAATCTGTATTACATTATTTAATTCTGGGCAAAATATTGCTAACATTAAAAATCCTAGAATTCTCTAATCTCTACATTAATATAATAGCCCTGAGTCCCAAGAGAATTTGCTATATGTTTATTAGTAGATTTCATTGACTGCAGCCTGCAATTGAAAGCAAAGTTATAATTCTTAAGCTTTTCACAATGTTATTTATGGTAACTCACCCTTATCTAAATTCATGGAAAGTAATGCAATATGGCTAATGGATTTTAACAAATGTCCAAATTTTACATGCTTGAAAATTAACACCATGAGAAAAAAAAGGATTATGGTAACCCTTTCAATATTTTATTATTAAGTGGTCCTAGTTACTGGTAGTTATACTGACCTCTCTGACAGGAACGTTGAGGGAAATGTTTTATTAATGATTGAAGAGCACTTTGAAAATGTAAAGTGTGACATAAATGTTAAATTATTCCTGACATAAGGAACTAGACATACCAGCTGTCCTGGCTATCAATGTCAGATCATGAGATTATTTCTGGAAAGTAACTAGTATCTAATCTTTGTCCTTTCTGCCTTTTGAGGGGACTGATGATGTATGTATTACTCAGTAAAATTCAATAAACTTTAATGGCTTTCTGTTACTTTAGAGTACTTAATAAGATCAAAACAATGTTAAATAAAAATCGAAGAAGAAAAAATACCACCAGGATTTTTTAAAATGTGAAATTTTTAAAATAGAGCAAAAAATTAAAACAAGTATCATGCTATGAAGAGACCAAGGAATTTTGTCCAATGAAATGCAAACTTAAATATGAAGAAGATATGAAGATGATGGAAATTGTGATTAAACATGACATATATGCATGTCCCAAATCTCGTTTTGCTGAAATGAAAAGGCAAATGAATAAAAGAAATAAACTTACAACAGAATAAAAAAGGCTGCCATTGGTGTCACTTGTTGAAAGACTTGAAAATGATTCAGAAAAAAATTGGACAGGGTTATGTTGATGAAATATACAGCAGAGGTTTGCAAAAAGGCAGATTAATTTTCAAGTCCAGCTGGAAAAACAGTGAGAGACTCTGGACCCAAAACAACAAGTATTATCCTTGAGAATGAATAAGAAGTGCCATAGCAGACCAACTAGGCAAAAACTGTTTTTCTGTGTGTAGAATGTGGGAACACGAGTCTTTATTCCCTAACAGAGAGATATGTCTGTGTGTGTGTGTGTGTGTGTGTGTGTGTGTGTGTGTGTGTGTAGTGGAGGGAAGATAAAGAGCATGTGTGTATGGAGGAGCAGCAATTATATTATTTAGTGTGGATGTGGTACTTCATATATGTTCTTTTTTATTTTCCAAATTTTGGAGGCCCTAGTGTGATAATGAATTCTTCATTCATTCATTCATAAATGCAAATAATACCAATTGACATAATACATGCTCAGGCTTTCTGGTAAGTGTCTAACTCAGAAAACAACTTTTTAAAGAGACAGACAGATATACACAGGGCAAAGAAAAGGTACATCAACTACCGAGTTCTTCTTTCTGAAGGACTACTGTTGTTATCAAAAGAATTAATCAGAAGAGAAGAAACCACAACAATAACAAACAGAAAACAAACAATGGCAAGATAAACATAGGACACTATAAGAAATTAAATGTATGTCTTCTTTTGAAAAGTGACTGTTCATGTCCTTTGCCCACGTTTTTTGGGGTTGTTTCTTGTAAAATTTTTTATGTTCCTTATAGACGCTGGATATTACCTTTGTTGGATGCAGAGTTTGCAAAAATTTTCTCCCATTCTGTAGATTGCTTCTTTACTCTGTTGATAGTTTATTTTGCTGTGCAGGCTCTTAAGGTTAATTACATTCCATCTGTCAATTTTTGCTCCTGTTGCAATTGCTTTTGGCAATTTGTCAGGAAATCATTGCCCATGCCTATGTTCTGAATGGTACTGCCTAGGTTGTCTTTCAGGGATTTTATAGTTTTGGGTTCTACATTTAAATATTTAATCCATATTGACTTAATTTTTGTATATGGTGTAAGGAAGGGGTCCAGTTTCAATCTTCTGCATGTAGCAAGTCAGTTATCCCAGAGCCATTAATTGAATAGGGAATCTTTCTCCATTGCTTGTTTTGGTCAGGTTTCTCGAAGAAGAGATTGTTGTAGGTGTGTGGTCTTATTTCTGGTTCTCCATTCTGTTCCATTGGTCTATGTGTCTGTTCTTGTAACAGTACCATGCTGTTTTGATTATTGGAGCCCAATAGTATAGTTTGAAGTCAGGTAGTATGATACCTCCAGGTTTGTTCTTTCTGCTTTGGATTCCCTTGGTTCTTCAGGCTCTTTTTTTGGTTCCATATAAATTTTAAAATAGTTGTTTCTAGTTCTGTGAATAACGTCAATGGTAGTTTAATGGGAATAACATTGTATCTATAAATTACTTTGGCTAGTATTGTCATTTTAACAATAACCATGAGTATTTATACAGACACTTTTCAAAAGAAGACATGCATGTGGGCAACAATCATATGAAATAAAGCTCAACATCACTGATCATTAGAGAAATGCAAATCAAAACCACAATGAGATATCTCACACCACTCAGAGTGACTATTATTAAAAAGTCAAAAAAATTATAGATGCTGGTGAGTTTGTGGAGAAAAGAAATGCTTATACACTGTTGGTGGGAGTGTAAATTAGTTCAACCATGGTGGAAAACAGTGTGGAGATTCCTCAAAGACCCAAAGACAGAAATACTATTTTACACAGCCATCTTGTTACTGAGTATATACTCAAAGGAATACAAGTAATTCTATTATAAAGACAGATGTACACATATGTTCATTGTAGTAAAGTTACAATAGCAAAGACATGGAATAAACCTAAGTTCCCATCAATGAAAGACTGGAAAAGAAAATGTGGTACACATACACCATGGAATACTATGTCGCCACAGGGAAGAATGAGATCATGCCCTTTGCAGGAACATGGATGGAGCTGGAGGCCATTATCCTTAGCAAACTAACACAGGAACAGAAAACCAAATACCACATACTGTCACTTATAAGTGGGAGCTAAATGATGAGAACACTTGGACACATAGGGGGAACAACACACACTGGGGCCTGTCAGAGGGTGGAGGGAGAGAGGAGGGAGAAGATCAACAAAAACAATTAATGGGTACTAGGCTTAATACCTGGGTGATGAAATAATTTATATAGCAATCCCCCATGACACAAGTTTACCTATGTAACAAACCTGTACTTGTACCCCTAAACTTAAAATAAAAGTTAAAAAAAGAATAAAAAATAAAATAATGATAATGTGGGAGGAGGACCATGGTGGAAAAAAGTTAAAAATAGCATAAAAATAAAATTTAAAAAAATTGTGTTAAACATTAAAAATACACAAACCTAATGGTTGGAAAATGAAAAATTTTGCAGTGATAATGGAAATTGACCAATATCACAAATTTACATTCTAGGACAAAGCTTTCATGCTATTTATTTTGTGTTTTACAGAAGATGCTCCCATATAATTTCTCCTTCAATGGAAAATACGTTTATTATTTCTTTCCTAGTGCTGGTGACAACACTGAGGTTCTGACTAGATCACTCTTATGCCTTAATGCAGAAATTTAATATTTATATACTATGTGAGGATTCTGAAGCAGACCTAGATTTCTTAACCTGATTGTTCTCCCTTTCTTCATGTCTTTTGTAAATTTTATGACATTTATGAAAACAGTGTTATTGAATGCAAATGTTTAGCATATGTTCATATTTTAAAGGGATAGAGACATGGAAAACAGTTCAAGTTATTTAACCTTTGTGCTTTAGTTCCCTCACCTATAAAGTGGGATAATAATAGTATGTATCTCATAAAATTATAGTGAAGATTCAATGAGTTAATATATGTAAGATATTTAGAACAGTTTCATGGTCATTGCTAGTACTAACTACATATTTCTTATTAGTATTAATTTTTATTTGGTTTTACTCATGTAAAGACATGTATTGGCTCTCTGAATCTTAGTCAGTTCCGAAGTTCTGAACCTCCAGAGGTCTGTCTTCATTCTTTCCCTGATCTGTCACAGAGTGAGAAAAAAAATATTAAATGAATCAACTGAGTGTAGTAATGGAATTATTACATTTTTCTTTTGAAAAATAATCTGAGGAAGGCTGGGCATGGTGGCTCACACCTGTAATCCCAGCACTTTGGGAGGCCGAGGCGGGCAGATCATGAGGTCAGGAGATCTAGACCATCCTGGCTAACACGGTGAAACCCCGTCTCTACTAAAAATACAAAGAATTAGCCGGGCAAGGTGGCGGGCGCCTGTAGTTTCAGGAGGCTGAGGCAGGAGAATGGCATGAACCCGGGAGTCGGACTTTGCAGTGAGCCGAGATCGGGCCACTGCACTCCAGTCTGGGTGATAGAGCGAGACTCCGTCTCAAAAAAAAAAAAAAAAAAAAAAAAAAAAGAAGAAGAAGAAAGAAAGAAAAATAATCTGAGGAACTGTATTGAAGATTTGGTAAGTGGTAGATTGGACAGGAAAAGCTCTGGATAATAAACTTTAATTAATATATGTAAAATACAAGAAGGTATTTAACTGAAGATGCTGCTAAGAGAATATAAAGAAATCTGATGCCAAAAACAGTTCAAGTAAAGATTGATAGAACTTTAGAGAATATGTGACTCTGAAGTTCTCCTTTCATTAACCTGAGAAGTTAATATAGAAACAAAAGCACATGGCAAAGTAGGCAGAGTAAATGATTTAGTTCAGTCTGAATTGCTTGTGAAAGTTCTAGATAGAGAAATCCAAAATATTTAATCCCCATTAAGATAATGATTATAGGCTGGGCATAGTGGCTCATGCCTGTAATCCCAGCACTTTGGGAGGCCGAGGCAGGTGGATCACAAGGTCAGAAGTTCCAGACCAGACTGGCCAATATGGTGAAACTCCATCTCTACTAAAAATACAAAAACTAGCTGGGGGTGGTGGCGGGCACCTGTAGTCCCAATTACTCAAGAGGCTGAGGAAGGACAATTGCTTGAACACGGGAGGTAGAGGCTGCAGTGAGCCGAGATCGTGTCACTGCACTCCAGCCTGGGAGACAGAGTGAATTCCATCTCAAAACAAAAAACAAAACAAAACAAAAAAACAGATAATGATTGTAATTCAAGGTAGGTGTATCAGTCTGTTTTCACACTGCTGATAAAGACCTTCCCAAGAATGGGTAAATTATAAAGAAAAAGAGGTTTAAGGACTTAGAGTTCCACATGGCTACAGAGACCTCACAACCATGGCAAAAGGCAAGGAAGAGCAAGTCACTTCTTACATGGATGGCAGCAGGCAAAGAGAGAGAGAGATTGTGCAGGGGAATTCCATGAGATCTCATGAAACTCATTCACTACCCTGAGAACAGCACAGGAAGGACCCACCCCCATAATTCCATCACCTCCCACCAATTTCCTCCCACAACATGTGGGAATTGTGGGAGTTACAATTCAAGATGAGATTTGAGTGGGGACACAGCCAAACCATATCAGTGGGTTAGAATACTGGATAATAACACTTAAATGGATGCCAAAGATTGGCCAAGTCTATGTCTATATTACCTGGTATATTGTACTTTAGGACAAGTATAGTGCATTTGTTATAATGGATAGATATCTTGTGTGTATAAATCTGTTCCAGTTGTCTGTTGCACTGCAAAAAATAATGGCTAAAAAGAAACAAAAATACTGTTTTCTATCATGTTTCTGTGGGTTGACTAGGATGGCTGAGCACTTTTTTTTTAATTTTTATTTTTTTTATTGAGACGGAGTCTCTCTCTGTAGCCCAGGCTGGAGTGCAGTGGCAGATCTTGGCTCACTGCAACCTCCGCCTCCTGGGTTCAAGCAATTCTCTTCCTCAGCCTCCCGAGTAGCTGGGATTACAGGCACCTGCCACCATGCCAGGTTAATTTTTTTTTTGTATTTTTAATAGATTCACCATCTTGGCCAGGCTGGTCTTGAACTCCTGACTAGCCTAGGCCTGATCCACCTGCCTAGGCCTCCCAAAGTTCTAGGATTACAGGCGTGAGCCACCACACCCAGCTGAGCACTTCTTAACTAGAACCTCTCACAGTGGTTGTCCTTGAAAAGAAGCTGGGACTAGAGTCATTTGAAGCTTGGCATGGCTGGACATCCATAGTATTTGACATACATTGCTGAGGGTTGACCCTGTTGTTGGCTGGGAGCTCAGCTAGAGCTCTGGAATGCATTGCCTCCAAATAGCCCCTCAAGTATCTCAGGATGTCCATGGCATGGTAGCTGGGTTCTAAAGATGTTTGTTGTAAAAGACAGAAAGCTAAAACAGCCTGGACTCAGATTATGGTACTGCATCACCTCCTCCATATTCTATGGATGAGGTTGTCGCAGAGTCCCCCATATTGGAGAGAGCTTCACTGGAAGATTGAAAAATAATACAAGGTAAACTTTAGTTCATCACACAAGCTTAGAATGGAAGTGATTACAAAACATCTAAAACATTGTACAAAACATTGGGCTGACTCTCTTTTCCCGGGTTTTCAAAAACTTTGTTTATTTGATAAATTCACTATTACCTATTTTTATTTACCAAAGGAAAGCAAAAAGTAAAATGATACTGACTAGTGTAGGTGGGGAGAAAATTCTGGGGCAAGGAGCAATGCCATAGCCTCCTGTGAGTGCCAGACTGAATGGCCCTGGACAGTGAGAAGACAGAGAGATAATTAGGAATCTTCTGGAAAAGAAAGGAAATGGCACATTCTAGATGATTCCTCATTTATTCTAAAATTTCTTCACCCTCACTACTTGACCTCTACATTATTTGTTTGAAGCAAACATAATGTTGTGCAAAAGGTAAAGCCTGTGGACTGTGTGTGAAATCTGAGAGTCTGGTGTTAAAATCTTGTTCCGCAAATTACTAACCTGTACAGGATACTAAATTTCTTTAAGCCCGTTCTTCCATCAGTAAATGAGAACTAACTATATTTCCATTTTATGGTACGTCCTATTTGCTCTATCTCTCTTATTTCATATCTCAAATCAATTATCAATAGAGTAAACACAATCTAAAGAATGGGAGAAAATATTCCCAAACTATGAATCCAACAAAAGTCTAATGCCCAAAATCTATAAGGAACTTAAACAAATCAACAAGTAAAATAATAATAATAATAATCATCTCATTAAAAAATTGGCAAAGGTCATGAAGAGACACTTCTCAAAAGCAGACATACAAGTGGCCAACAAACATAAAAATGCTCATTATCACTAATTTCAGGGAAATGCAAATAAAAACCACAGTGAGATACCATCTCATACCAGTCAGAATGGCTACTATTAAAAAGTCAGAAAAATAACAGAGGTTGGCAAGGCTGAGGACAAAAGGGAATACTTATACACTGTTGATGGGAACATAAATTAGCTCAGCCAGTGTGAAAAGCAGTTTGGATATTTCTCAAAGAACTTAAAAAAGAGCTACCATTTGACTCAGCTATCCCATATACCCAAAGGAAAATAAAATGTTCTATCCAAAAGACACATGCACTCATATGTTCATCCCAACACGATCCCCAGGAGCAAAAACATGGAATCATGTCTAGTTGCCCAACAGTGATGGATTGGCTAAAGAAAATGTAGTTCACGTACACAATGGAATACTACAAAGCCATGAAAAAGAATGGAATCGTGTATTTATCGGCAACATGGATGCAGCTGGAGGACAGCATCCTAAATGAACTAACACAAGAACAACAACAACAAAACCAACAAATAACTCATGATTTCACTTCTATGTGGGAACTAAACATTGAATACACATGGAGGTAAAGACAGGAACAACAGATACTGCAGAATATACCAGAGAGGAGAAGGGAGGGGACAATTGGTTGAAAAATTACCTGCTAAGCACTATGCTCACTACCTGGCTGAAGGGACCTATACTACAAACTGTAGCATCCTACAATATACTCATGTAACATATCTGCACACGTATCCCTGAATCTAAAGTAAAAGTTAAAGTTACATTAAAAAGCTGTGTAAATAAATTCTGACAGGCAAATAAATTTTTTCTCAAAGTTTCACAGTTTAGAGCTAGGTCTAGATCTGGGTCTTTTGATTCCTAGATTGGGTTACTGCCTGTAGGTTACATTTATTTAGATTTTTTAAAAAATTCATATTATCACCCTTAATTTACTGACTCACCTGTAAATCTGTGGCTTGAAAATGTCTCCAGTCAAGTTTTCCCATTGATCACCATGAGCACTCTTTTACTTTTACTTGACTTGGCTGTCACTGACACTGTCCTGGCTGACACCACCGAAAATCATTTGTAGATGCTGTGCCTTTGGCAAAAGTTCTGCATGTGTTTAGATGTCAAGCAGCATGTTTACTACTTCAAGGCAGAGTAATCAGGTTTCCATGGAGCTGGACTAGGAAAGTCAGCGTTAAATCACTGGACAATTTCAAAATGACAGGCCTATAATCCTGGGTATAGTGTATTTCCATCTTGGATAAAAGGCTAAATAAAATTTTATAATGGTTCCTATTTTCAGGAGAAAGAGAAATTCATTGCAAATTGTAAGCTCTTTTCTCAACGACTTTCACCCAGCACTTATGAAAGTACTGGCAGTAAGATGTGGCAAAATAAGAAGAATCGGCAGAGAAGTTTTAATTAAATTAACACACCAATCTTCCTAAGCTCAATTATTTAAATTAATAACAGAACTCTATGGATGTGACAAAGCAGCAACTATGATGCTGAGCAAAGCAAAATGTTTTAATAGCAGTTATTTTGCCTTTTAAAATGTATTATTAATAAATATTTAAATGGAGAATCTAATTATTTGAGAAGTAATAGGTGACATGTTACTAATCAATGTCTAACCATGTAAAATGACCTTGAGTTTAACCTATCAGTTTTTCATGGTATTTGACAGTTGCGTGGAAGCATATAATGTTTGTGTGTGTGTGTGTGTGTTTTTAAAGCAGAACACCTACTGACTCAATTTTTCCCTCTATTGTTATGATCTACCTTAGAGTAGAAGAATCTTACCATAGCAGTAGTAAGAATAAAAGCCTCTCATGTACATTGGAATTTCCCAATTTGATAAACACAAGTTGTTGTCCTATTTCTTAATTAATTTCTTACTTAATTTTACAAACGTATAAAATTAGAAAATTTAGGGTTTGGTTCACTGAAATGATTAAAAAAGTAATTAACAAAATAATTCATTTCTTGATCATTTTACATATGTCTTAAAATTGGAAGCAGACATTCACAGTTCTTTCCGGAGAGGAATAAAAGATAAAATCAGGAAATAGAATATTGAAAAAGTAATTGTGATTCGGGGTCAATTCAAAAAAGGTAAGCAAGATTGCAGGGGAACTCATCACTTACTTACGCATTTGGTAAGCCATAGGGGAACACTGGCAGATTATTCTCTGGGCTAGATTTACACATCCTTTCATTTTACTACTTCTGTATCTTAACATGAGCAAAATAAAATTTCTTAGACACTCATTTAGATAGCTGCAATTTCCTCTTCTCGTTTATTGCAAGTTATTTAGAATACCACTTTTAATTTTTTTTAATTTTTTTAAAGCCAGTCAAGTTTAGCAGTGGGGGTGGGGGAGGGGTTGTATACCAGCTGTAGTGACACTAATGCTAATGGATACTTTTAAGATATTTGCTTATTAATTTCTAGATCACTTGGCCCCTAAATTTTCTTCCACTAAATATACAAAATATAACTCTATCCTTAATTTTGTAATTAAAGCAAGCTAAATCCAAAATCTAAGTGTTTTGTTAAATGTAATGTAATAGTCGTCACTTAAAGACATAATTGGACACATTTTCTCTGTACTTGTAGAGCACAGCTCATGTATTAAATATATAAAATGTCATTAAAATAATTTCTCCATTTTTATCCTTGCCTTGTATACTATCTGAGCACAAATAGGTATTAATAAATTACTTTTTTACTCAACCAATAACAGTTCTATCTTAAAAAGAAGCCATGTTCAAGATGATTGCTGACTAGAAATTTGGAACATTAAAGTAATATAGAAATGAACACCTGCCAGAACATCTACTGCCACCAGAAGATGAGTTCATGCCAGTGTTCTTCCCTGTGACACACCTTCCATTTTCTAGAATCAATTTCAATATTAATAAAGCTGGGCTTGTTTTTAATATGATCACTGTTCCAGGCATACCACAAAAAGATGGATGAAGTAGGCAAATATATTAATCTTTTTTTAATAAAGGATGATGATAGTTTATTTATTCTTCTGTAGTAACAGATATGCTTATCTGGTGGATGAACAAATTAAGTTAAGCTGGATAGACATGAAGACTTGACACACAAAAACACAACAGAAAAATTAGAGGTTGAGTCAAGAGGGCTAAACAGTAAGTGTTAAAAGGGAGAGTAACAAGATAGCAGCATTTTTGTTATGAAATGAAGCAAAATAAAATATTTTTCCTTACATTTCCAAACTTGGTGTCAAAGTTTAAGATTTTACTTAAAAGCTGTAGTGCATTTCTTTCTTTTTTTTTTTTTTTTTTTTTTTTTTTTTTTTTTTTTGAGACGGAGTCTCGCTCTGTCGCCCAGGCTAGAGTGCAGTGGTGCGATCTCAGCTCACTGCAAGCTCCGCCTCCCAGGTTCACGCCATTCTCCTGCCTCAGCCTCCCGAGTAGCTGGGACTGCAGGCGCCCGCCACCACGCCTGGCTAATTTTTTGTATTTTTAGTAGAGACGGGGTTTCACCATGTTAGCCAGGATGGTCTCGATCTCCTGACCTTGTGATCCACCAACCTCGGCCTCCCAAAGTGCTGGGATTACAGGTGTGAGCCACCGTGCCTGGCCTGTAGTGCATTTCTTAAAACAAATTAACGAAAACAAATACAAATGACAAATGAGCACAAAAACATATCTGTTAGAATGTTTAAAATAAAAAGACTGGCCATATCAAGGGCTTGTGAAGAGATGGAAGAGATGTTGGAGCTGGAACACTCACACACAGCTGGTGGAATGTAAAATGTGACAAACGTGGGAAACTGGTTGGCGGTGACTTCAAAGGTTAAAACCAAATTTGGGCTTGGCGTGGTGCCTCACGCCTGTAATCCCAGCCCTTTGGGAGGCCGAGGCAGGAGGATTACCTGAGGTCAGGAGTTCAAGACCAGCCTGGCCAACATGGTGAAACCCCATCTGTACTAAAAATACAGAAATTAGCCAGGCATGATGGCACTTGCCTGTAATCCCAGCTACTCGGGAGGCTGAGGCAGGATAATTGCTTGAACCTGGGAAACGGAGGTTGCAGTGAGCACAGTTCATGCCACCGCACTCCAGCCTGGCTGCAAGAGTCTGTCTCAAAAAAAAAAAAAAAGAAAAAGAAAAAGAAAAAGAAAAAAAATATCAAACTTGCTGTAAATTCCAGCCATTGCATTAATTTTTTAAAGAAGGAAATTAAAAGCTTATATCTATAAAATATGTCTATGTGAATATATATACCCACATATATATACATATATGTAAGATATATACACTTATACATATATATGTATATATATGTGGATATATATATATGTGGATATATATACATATACATATATATATATATATAAATGCCTTGTTTGTAGTAGCCAAAACCTGGACACAACACAAATGTTTACCAACAGATTAATGGATAAACACTTTGGTATACCATAGAACAGAAGAGCATTTTGTATTCATCAGTAAAATAAAGAACTATTGACACCTACTACGACATGGTTGGATCTTAAAATTTATTTTAAGGTATGTGAATGAAGCCAGATAAAATAGAGTACATACTGTATAGTTTCATTTATATAAAGCTATAGAATATTTAATCTATGGGCACAGAAGGCAGGTTCATGATTACTTTTGAGATAATGGATATGTTTATGATCTTAGTTGTGCTCATGGTTTCACAGGTATATAACATGACAAAATGTATCAAAGTGTGCATATTAATTGTGTGTATGATTGTATGTCAATTATACCTCATTAAAACAGCTAATAAAATAACTAATCTAATAAATCAATAAGTAGAGGTAACCCAGACTTAGATTTTTAAAATTATGAACACATATGGAAAAGCCAGGATCAATAAAATATTGACCAAGAATTAGGCAGAAAGAGTACAGATTCATATAGAAAGTCCAGAAAAAATCAAAGTATAAGCATAAATGTAACGTACACAGATAAATTTTTAAATGGGTCCTATTGAAAAGTTTCCTTTATTTGGCTATGAGGAGCTAGGGAGGAAAATAATTTATTCACCTTATATCAAAATGAAAACCTTTATTGTATTAAACAGTAAGAATTAAACTTGTCTACCGTTAGAAAAAACTAAAGTGAATATAACTATTTTCATGTAGTAAAAATTGAATTGTTAATTAATTATTTTCCAGATAAATAATGCATACTCATGGTACAAATATCCAATAGTAAAGGAAAAAAAAGAAAAAAAAAGAGAGAGAGGAAGGAAGGAAGGATAGATAGGGTAGGGAGAGAGAGAGAATGAGAGAAAGAAAATTTCATCTTTTCCCTACTTTGTTTTCAGTTCAAAACCTCCTGTTTCTACAATCAATAGCCCTTGTTAATTTTATTTGAAATAAATTCATAGAATAAGAAATCTGTTTTATTTTTGTAGATTGCTTTTAATCTATTAATATAGTAAATGACATTCAGTGTATTTTATAACAATGAAACAACAATAAAAAATATCTGCCAATGATTTTTGCTGTAGTGTTTGGTTGAAAAAACAGGCCTTTTTTACCTTCAGAGATTTTTCCCTTCCTATGAGTTTCGATGGGGGGGGGCTAATATTAGTTTTTGAGGAATATGAAAATTTTAGACACATTAATATTTATTTAACAATGTGCACCACCCTAGACTCTGCCAATCAGACAAAGAAGCTAGCAATACCAAAGTCTAATAAGTGGATTTTATTTATCCTTATGTCAACTATAATGGAAATTAAAAGCTAATTACCTGGTAAAAGGTGGCAACCTAGATTTTTCTTGAGGGATAACATACATCATTATTTTAAAAGTATTCCAATGATCTCAATTCTACAAATTTATTCTAAGAAAATGTTCATGGGACATCACTAACTACCTGCAACAACATTCAATATGGCAATGTTTAAAATATTAAAAAGCTAGAAATAATCTACATGTTTAGTAATAGAGAAAAGAATCACTTAAATTATAATTCCATCAGTGAAATGAAATTTAATATGGAAAAATGATTTAAGGTATATATAATAGCATTTTAAAATCTATTTTATGTTATTGTACAAAATAGACTCATTTTCAATTATATATGGATGTGTGTATATCAAAATTCTAACAATAGTTATCAAGATTTTTGCATTAAATGAGACAGTTGTTTTCTTTTCTATACTTTCCAGCATGTCTCTAATACACCCAAACAATTTAGAATTCAATAATATTGTCTTTATTTAAATATATGCATATTTTATTTGATAGAGTATCTGCACATTATTGATTTACCAGGGTATTTGACATTATTGTTTTCTGTTTCTTCCTATCTTCAGTCTACTCATCTCATAAAAGAATACATTCATTTTTGTGGGAAACTGCCTATTTCTCATTTTTAGCTCACACAGTTTGGATGGCTTTATTCCTCCTCAACTTCACAAATGGACAATGACTATTTTTTCTAAGTGAATAAACTCATTCCGTCCACTTACCCATAGTTCGTGTCATTATTATAGTGTCATTATGATCTCCTTAGCATTATAGCATACAAGAAAGTCAGGGCACCTCCAAGCTTTCCCTCCAGACATGAAGCTGAGTTGACATTCCACCTGGCATCTTTGCAGCCTCCTCATGAGTAAGGGGGAGAATCTTTTGCAAAATAAAATAAGCAGAAGAAAAAGAATAAACTCCAGCTAAGAGGTATAAAAACTTCTTAGGAATGGAATAGCCTCTCTGCTAACAAGATAGTTAAGCATATTCCTGGATAAAATAACATAGTACCTGAAAGGGTTTGGCTGTGCCACCACCCAAATCTCATCTTGAATTGTAGTTCTGACAATCTCCATGTGTCCTGGGAGGGACCCCATGGGAGGTAATTGAATCATGGGGGCGGTTACCTTTGTTCTGTTCTCATGATAGTCAGTGAGTTTTCATGAGAGCTGATTGTTTAATAAGGGGGTTTTCCCCCTTTGCTTGGTGCTTTCTTTCTCCTGCCATGTGAAGAAGGATGTGTTTGCTTCCCCTTCTGCCATGATTCTCAGTCTCCTGAGGACTCTGGAGCCATGAAGAACCGTGAGTCAATTAAACCTCTTTTCTTTATAAATTATCCAGTCTGTGGTATTTCTTCATAGAAGCGTGAGAACAAATGAATACAATAAATTGGTAATGGAAGTAGTAAGGTGCTGCTGTAAAGATACCCAAAAATGTGGAAGCAACTTCGAAACTGGGTAGCAGGTAGAGGTTGGATCAGTTTGGAAGCCTCAGAAGAAGACAGGAAAATGTGGGAAAGTTAGGAACTTTGTAGAGACTTGTTGAATGGATTTGACCAAAATGCTGATAGTCATATGGACAAGGAAGTCCAGGCTGAGGTGGTCTCCGGTGGAGATGAGGAGCATATTGGGAACTGAAGCAAAGGTGACTTTTATTATGCTTTAGTAAAGTGACTGGCAGCATTTTGTCCCAGCTCTAGAGATCTGTGGAATTTTGAATGTGAGCAAGATGGTTTAGGATATCTGGCAGAAGAAATTTCCAAGCAGCAATGTGTTCAAGAGGAAGCAGAGCATAAAAGTTTGGAAAATTTGCAGCATGATGAAAACAAAAAAAACAAAAACAAAAACAAAACATTTTCTAGGGAGACATTTAAGCCAGCTGTAAAAATTTGCATAATTAACAAGGGGCCTAATGTTAATTACCAAGATAATGGGGAAATGTCTCCAGGGCATGACAGAGACCTTCATGGCAGCATCACCCATCACAGGCCCAGAGGCCTAGGAGGAAAAATTGGTTACCTGGGTCTGGCCCAGGGCGCTCCTGCTGTGTGCCACCTAAGGACTTGGTTGCCATGTCCCAGCCACTCAAGCCATGGTTAAAAGGGGCCAAAGTACAGCTTGGGCTGTAGCTTCAGAGGGTGCAAGTCCCAAGCCTTGGCAGTTTCCATATGGTGTTGAGCCTGCAGGTGTACAGAAGTCAAGAATTGAGGTTTGGGAACCCCTGCCTAGATTTCAGAGGATGTATGGAAACACCTGGATGTCCAGGCAGAAGTTTTCTGCAGGTTCATGGAGAATCTCTGCTAGGGCAGTGCAGAATGAAAATGTGGGGTTGGAGCCCCCACACAGAGTCCCCACTGGGGCACTGCCTTTTGGAGCTGTGAGTGGAGGGCCACCAGCCTCCAGATCCTAGAATGGGAGGTCCATTGACAGCTTGAACCGTGCACCAGGAAAAACTGCAGACACTCAATGACAGTCTATGAAAGCAGCTGGGAAGGGGACTGTACCCTGCAAAGCCACAAGGGTTGAACTGTCCAAGGCTGTGGGAGCCCACCTCTTACATCAGCATGCCCTGGATGCGACACATGGAGTTAAAGGAGATCATTTTGGAACTTAAGGTTTAATGATGACTGCCCAATTGGGTTTCCAACTTTCATGGGGCCTGTAGCCCCTTCGTTTTGGCCAATTTCTCCCATTTGGAATAAGTGTACTTACCAAATTTCTGTATACCATTTCATCCAGGAAGTAACTAACTTGATTTTGATTTTACAGGCTCATAGGTGGAAGGGACTTGCCTTGTCTCAGATGAGACTTTGGACTTGGACTTTTGAGTTAATGTTGGAATGAGTTAAGGCTTTGGGGGACTGTTGGATGGGCATGTTTGTGTTTTGAAATGTCTGGACATGAGATATGGGAGGGGGACAAGGGCAGAATGGTTTGGCTGTGTCCCCACCCAAATCTCATCTTGAATTGTAGTTTCTATAATCCCCATGTGTTATGGAAAGGTCCCCATGGGAGATAATTGAATCATAGGGGCAGTTATTTTTATGCTGTTCTCATGATAGTGAGTGAGTTCTCACAAGATCTGATGGTTTTTTCAGGGGTTTTCCTCTTTTGCTTGGCACTTCTCTCTCCTGTCGCCATATGAAAAGGATGTGTTTCCTTCCCCTTGTGCCATGATTGTAAGTTTCCTGAGGCATCCCCAGCCATGCAGAACTGTGAGTCAATTAAAACTCTTCTTTATAAATCACCCAGTCTCAGGTATTTCTTCATAGCAGCATGAGAACAGACTAATACAGTATTCAGTGTGGTTATCCAAGACATCATTTTTAGGTTGAGGAAAGAACCACACACTGGTATTGAGGCGAGAATGAGCTTAATGTGACCAAAGAAAGGCAAAGGTTACATTTTATGTCTGAGAACAATGGGAAGGGAATAAAATCAGAATCAAAGGGAGGCTCAGATAATGCCCATTCTTGTGGGCTATGAAAAGATTTTTGGCTTTTATTTATAAATAGAAATGGAAGTCATTGGAGGGTTTTTGAGTAGTGGGGTGACATAATGCCATTTTTCTTTAAATTGGTGCTCAAGATACTAAATGAAGCAGAGCTCCGGGATAGAATAGGGATAGCTGCAGAACAAACAAAGAAGCAGGAAAACTTCTCAGAGTGAAGGAGTGCTGTAATTTAATTCAATTAATATTCAGAATAAGATGTAGACTGTGAAGATTCTACAAGTTTGATGGCAATTATAAGGTCTTATTTTATTTCTTCTGGCATAGTATTTAAATATTAACTGCATTAATATGAAAACAAAGTAGTATCATTTAGAAACCATTCAACAATGTATGTAGTATAACCTGTGGGAAGTACAAGGTGTTTAATAATAACAAATTGCCTCCCTTGGACTCATTTTGGTTAAATTGCTTTTATTAAGTAAGAGCTTGAAAATTGCTGATATAATATGTAACTTGAACGTATAAACTACAATGCATTTAACCTGCAGAAAATTAATGAAGCAATGACAATAAGATGAAATAATTTGGTATCTATATAGTTGCAAGTAGGCAACTTCCAGACATTAAATTATGTGACTTAAAACACTAAGTGCTGTTTTTAAAAACAGATTCTTCTAACATGGGAAATCTGAGCAGTGTAAACAAATTCAGATTGAGCTTTAAAAAAAGAAATCACATAAGGACATGGCTTTCCACAGTGTTCCCCTAAAATTAACTCCTTATTTCCTTATACATTTATTTCTGTGCTTTAAATGTATATTAATTGTGTCTCTGGAATCATATCAAAACATTTGTACATGTGTAAAGCAAAAAAATAAAAATATGTAGTGGGAAGCTGTAAAACTTATTTTTCTCTAGTACATTAGGAGAGATATTTGCTTTTAGGTTTAAAAGAAAAGATCCACTCTTCTAATACATTTCAATCTAAGCATAATGGGTGTTTGTGCATTTTGGGAGAAGGATATTGCTCTTGTATATCTTCTGTCATTGAATGTTCTCAGATCAATGAAATATGCATCATCAGCCCTGTAGGGATATAAAACCAATTGTATCTCACATCTTGACATTTCAGAATGCAATCCTTCTTATGTCTATTTAGTTACCACTGAATATAGGATCAAAAGGCTCAGGGTCCCATCACCATTTGATGATGTAGAATTAAGTGTTAAGGGCCACTCTAGCGATGCAATCTCTGCCTTGACTTTATGATGAGGTAAGGAATATCAGTGATTATTAGATTGTTTTCTTATATATTTTTAAACTGAGATGTAATTCATATACCATCTTGTGGATATACCTTCAGTATACATAATAAAATGTATTTCAGAAATATTCAATTTAGTGATTCTTTGCATATTCACAAAGTTCCGTAGCTATCACCACTAACTCCAGAACCTTTTCAACACCCCAAAAGGAAAGATCAAATACATTAACAGTTAGTGCACATATCTCTTTCTCCACTAAGCAATCACTAATCTACTTTAGATCTCTATGGATTTGCCTATACGGGAGATTTTACATACATGAAATAATGCAATATTTGGCTTGTCCTATCTTGCTTCTTTGACTTAGCATTATGTTTTCAAGTCTCACAGATACTGTAACATGTAGCAGTACCTCCTGACCTAAATTTTTATAGCTGAATGATTTGTCATTATACGACTGTAATATACTTTGTTTACATATTCATCAGTTGAAAGACATTTGGATTGTTTCCACTTTCTTGCTAGTATAATAAATACTGCTATAAAATGTGTGTACAAGTTTTTGTGTGGATATATGCAATTTCGTTGTGAAGGAAATGCTGCAGATTGCTAGGCTATATCATAACTCTTTGGTAAACATTTTGAGGAACTTCCAAACTGATTTCCTAAACAGCTGTACCACTTCACATTCCTAAAAGTAATATATGAGAGTTACAGTTGTTCCACAACCTTACCAAGACTTGTAAATTTTCATCATTATTTTTAAAGTATAGCTATCTTAGTATGTGTAAAATGGTATCTCATTGTGGCTTAGATATTCATGTCCTAATAACTAATAATGTTAAGCATCTTTTATGTGCTTATTGATCCTTGGTACATCTTCTTTGGATAAATATCTATCCCAAGCCCTTTGCCAGTTTTTAAAATAGGATTGCTTGTCTTTCAACGTCTTTTTTTTTTTTTTTTTTGTATCTAAACTGAGTTTCTTGTATGTCTTTTGTAAGGGCCACTTTTTGATATGTTCTGTAAATCTCAACCCTTTAAATAAAAACTTAATCCATTTACTTTTTACTATGATAAGGAACAACTTTGTCATATAGCTATTTGCTTTTCTCATGTTGTATATGTTTTTGTTTCTCACTTTTTTCACCATTGCCTTATTTATTACCTGGTTAGGTTATTGTAGTCTGCTATTTTGACACCCTCCTTTTATTTTCTGTATATTTTTGTTATTTTCTTAGTGATTATCTGGGGAAATACAGTTAACAACTTAAACATAAAAACATAGTTTGAATAATACCAACTAAGTTTCAATAGTATGCAGACATTTCATTCCTATACATCTCCATCTCTCCTCCTTTATACTGTTATTGTCATACACTGCATTTTTATACATACATCTATAATTATTATTTTCTGTATTTGACTTCAAATCATATAGAAAATTGAAAGTTACAAACCAAATGCACAGTAACACTTAATTTTATATTCATCTGCCTTTATGGACTTTCTTTACTTTTTTATATGACTTCAAGTCACTGTCCATTATCACTTCATTTCTGCTAGAAGACCTCCCTTTAGCATTTCTTGTAAAACAGATCTCCTACAAGATGACTTCTTAGCTGTTGTTTATCTGAGAAGTTCTTAATTTCTTAAAAACTTGTTATTTTTGTTTGCTATTTTTGGCACTTTAAATATGTCACCCCACTCCTTCTGACCTCCACAGTCTTCAATGATAAATCAACTGAAGAAAAATAATCTTGTTGAGAGTTCTTTCTACTTGTTGAGTAACTTCTCTCTTGCTGGGTTCAGATTCTCTCTTTGGCTTCAGCAATTGAACCACAATGAGTCAGTGTCAATCTTTTTGAGTTTCTCATGTTTGAAGTTATTGAGCTTTTTGAATGTGAATATTTGTGTCTTTCATCTAATTTAGGAAGTTTTTTTCCACTATTTCTTCATTTTTTTAACTTAATTCTTTATCTTTCTTTTCTGGAACTCTTATGATGTATATGTTAGTGCATTTGATAGTGCCTTACAAGTTCATTAGGTTCTGTTCATTTTTCTTAATTTTTTTTCAGCTCCTAAGGTTGTCATATTTTCAAGTTTCCTGATTTTTTTTCTACCTGCTCAGATTTGTCATTGAATCCCTCTAGTTAATTTTTATATTTTTTAAAAAAATTGGATACTGTACCTTCAGATGAGTTTCTATTTGCTTCCTCTTAATAATTTGTATTTTGGTTTATATTTCTTATTTGTTCATACATACTTCTTCAAATATTCTTTAGTTTTTTGTTGGTGGTTTTCTCTAGGACATTAAGAATATTTATAACATTAACAATTTTGATTAGTAATTGTAAGAGTTGGTCTTCCTCATGGATAGTTTATGTCTTTCCAGTGAATGAGCCATATTTTCCTTTTTAATTGCATATTTTATGTTTTTTTTAAACTAACAACTGGGAGTGTGGTGACTCTGGGAATTAGATTATTCCCTAATGAGGAATTGCTATTATCATTTGTTGGGGGTTGCATTCTGCCATATGTATTGTGATTTTCCCACATGAATATTGTAAAATTTGTATTCCTTGTTATGTGTGGCCATTGAGGTTTCTGTTCCATTGTATCTTCAGTCAGCCTGTTATCTCATAGATACGTGATTAAATGTCTGGATCTGTAAGTTAATAAATGAATGTATCAATGAATTTATTAATTAATTAAAGAGTATGTATGTCTCTTTGAATCATACAATATTTTCTGCTAGGAAAGTTGCTGCCACCTGAATGGGCCAAAATGAAGGTATCAATTTCTTGGAAACCATCATATTGATCAGCACACACAACAACAAACTTTTGAGGGACAGGATTTTACTTTACAACCTGATACTAGCCACTCATTCTAGGAATATGGGCCACTATCCCAATAGCTAGAGCAAATCTGATAAATAAGGAATGGTAGCTAGTTTGGACATCCTTTTCTTTTATAAAATTCAGGCAGTCTCTCCCTTTATTAAACACTTTCCTGATTAAGTGTCTGATCAGGTTGCAGAGTTCTAAAATGTTTTTTTTTAATTATTTGTTCAGGCTTAATTGTTGTTTGCATGGAGGGACCAAGTCCTGGAGCTTCCTATTCTGCCACTTTTTGTGATGTCACTGCATTTTAATTTTAATTTTAATTTGCATTTCTCTAATGACTAAAAAATGTTAAGTAACCTTTCATGTGATCATTGCCCAGTTACATGTCTTCTTTAGAGAAATATCTATTCAAATTAGGAACACATTCTATTTTATGGAATGAAATGTTGCCTAACTCTAGAATCACAAATAAAGCCAATTAATCAAGATCTGTTTACAAAAGCAACTTTTGTTCATTTTGGATTATTTGTCTTTTTGTTTGTAAGTTGTTGAGAATATATATATATATATATATATATATATATATATGTATATACTATATATACATATTCTGAATATAAATACATATGTGTTTATTCTGAACAACTCAACTATAATATATATATATTCTGAACAGCTCTGACAATAAAATATTCTGCAATATATTATGTTATATTATACATATAATACAATATATATTCTGAACAACTCAACAATAAAAATACAAATAGTCCAATTTAAAATGAATATATATATATAATATGTATATATATAGCCCTTATTTCTTCTAAAAAATTGGGATGCATGTGCAGAAAGAGTAGGTTTGTTACATAACTACATGTGTGTCATGGTGGTTTGCTGCACCTGTTGACCTGTCCTCTGAGTTCCCTCCCCTCACCTCCCACCCCCAGCCCCCAACAGACCCTGGTATGTGTTGTTCCTCTCTCTATGTCCATGTGTTCTCAATGTTCAACTCCCTCTTATGAGTGAGAATTGTATATAACACAATATATGTATATATATTCTGAACACTTTTCCTTTGTTAGACATATGATCTGACAATATTGTCTCCTAATTGTGGATTATCTTTTCATTTCCCTTATAGTGCCTTTGGAAACACAATATTTGTTATTTTGATGAAGCTAAATATGTCTCCATTTTCTTTTCTTTATTGTGTTTTAATATCGTATGAAATAAATCATATTGTAAAATGACATTATAAAGATTTGGACATATGTTTGCTAAGAATTTCATAGTTTTTGCTTTTACATTTTGGTATTTTAACCATTTTGAGGTATTTATTTTTTGTATATGACATAAGGTAGAGGTCCAATATCATTATTTGCATGTGGATAACTAGTTGTCTCAGCACTATTTGTTGAAAAGACTATTCTTTCCCCATTGAATTGTCTTGACAACCTTATCAAAATCAATTAATCATAAATACATGAGTTTGTTTTTATTCTACAAATTCCATTCCATTGATCTCTGTATTAGTCTGTTCTCATGCTGTTAATAAATACATACCTGAGACTGAATAATTTATAAAGGAAAGAGGCTTAATTGACTCCCAGTTCAGCATGGCTTGGTAGGCCTCAGAAAATTTACAGTCATGGTAGAAGGGGAAGCAATCATGTTCCTCTTCACGAGGTAGCAGGAAGGAGAATGAGTGCCAGCCAAAGGGGTAAAGGCTCCTTATAAAACCGCCAGATCTTGTGAGAACTCACTCACTATCAATGAAGACAGAGGCATGGGGGTAACCACCCACATGATTCAATTACCTTCGCTAGGTCCCTCTCGTGACACATGGGGATTATGGGAACTACAATTCAAGATGAGATTTGGGTGAGGACACAGGCAAGCCATGTCACTCTGTATGTCTATTCTTATGCTAGCCCATGCAACCTGGATTACTACAAGCTTTGCAGTCAGTTTTTAAATCATGAAGTTAGTCTTTCATTTTATCTTTTTCAAGATCTTTTTGACAATTAGGGTCTCTTGCATTGAAATTCTGCATGAATTTTAGTATCAGAATAGAGGTTTCTGCAATAAAGTCATCTGGAATCTTGATAAAATTTGTGTTAAATCTGCAGATTAATTAAGGAAGACTGCCACCTTAACAGTACTATTTTCCAATGCTTGAACATGAAATGTTCTCACATTTAGTTTGGTCTTTAATGTCTTTCAGTGATGTTTATAGTACTTGATGTAAAATATTGCCTTTCTCTTATTAAATTTATTTTTAAATATTTTTATTTGATGCTATTATGAATAACATTTTCTTATTTTTTCTGATTGTTAATCACTAGTTTATATAAACACAATTTATTTTTATATATTAACTTGTATTCTGCAACTTTGTTGAACTCATTTAATAGCTTTAACAATTTTTTGCATGTATGTGGTTCTTAGGATTTTTTAATGAACAATACCATGTCATCCGCAACTAAATTGGAAAGGAAGAATTAGAATAAGCTCTATTCACATTTTATTTATATTATTTCCTAAATTTCCTGGCTAGAATAGTACAATGCTAGTTAGACATGATGAATACAGATATTCTTGCCTTGCTACTCATCTGAGGGAAAACAAATTTAGTCTTTCACTACTAATTCTGATTTTAGCTATGTCTTTTTATTCCTTATTTTTTCTCTCTAATATCACTGGATAAAACTTACAAAATAATTTTGAATAGAAGTAATGAGAAAGGACATCTTTGCTTTGTTTCTGATTTTAAAAAGAAAGCATTTATTTATAATTCCTCTAAATCACATAACGTAATATGTGAATTTGTTAAATTCTTGTTTATTAAAATAATTTTTGTCTTTTAGGCTGGGCACAGTGGCTCATGCCTGTAATCCCAGCACTTTGGGAGGCCCAAGGAGGGTAGATCATGAGGTCAGAAGTTCGAGACCAGCCTGGCCAACATGATGAAACCTCGTCTCTACTAAAAATACAAAAAAATTAGCTGGGTGTGGTGGTGCGTGCCTGTAATTCCAACTACTTGGGAGGCTGAGGTGGGAGAACTGCTTGAATCTGGGAGGCAGAGGTTTCAGTGAGCTGAGATCGCACTATTGCACTCCAGCCTGGGTGACAGAATGAGACTCTGCCTCAAAAAAAAAAAAAAAAAAAGAATTTTTGTCTTCCTTTCTGTTAATACTATTGTTTTACATTAATCTATTTTAATATGCTGAAGCAGTCTAGTACACTTGGATAAATATCACTTGGTTATGGAGTATAATTATTTTTGTTGCTCTGGATTTGTATAAATATCACTTGGTTATGGAGTATAATTATTTTTGTTGTTGTTCTGGATGTGGTTTGCTAGTATTTTTTTTTGAAAATTGTTACATTCATACTCATAAAGGGTATTCTCCACTTTCCTATTCTTGTTATGCATTTGTCTATGTCTAGTATCAGGGTAATACTGGCCTTATAGAATGAGATAGGGAAAGTGTTATCGCCTCTTCTCTGTTTTGGAAGAGTTTGTTAACAATCAGGGTTAATTCATCCTAATGGTTTTGTTGAATTTTCCAGGAATCACCTTGTCTAAGGCCTTTTTTAAGGACATTAAAAAAATTCAATCTCCTTACTTATGGAACTTTTATTTAGATTTTATGTTTTTGTTGAATTATTTCCTTTGATGTTAATCTATTTAGACATTTCTCTATTTTACCTAGATTATCTAATTTACTGGCATACATTTATCCATGGTTTTCCTTTGTAAAATTTTTATTTCTGCAAAACTGGCAGTAACGTTTTTCTCAGTCATAACTGATTATGCAGATTCAAATCTTCTTCCTTTTTATCTTGGTAAATTTATCTAAAGATCTGTTAATTTATTTAAACTTTCCTTCAAAATACAAACATTAGTTTTGTTGAATTTATCTTTTTAATACATGTTTATGCTATTATCTATATAGGATTTATTATATTCTTTCTCGCTTTGCTATGGGTTTAGTTTGCTTTTTTTAGCTTCTAATTGGAAAACCTAGGTTATTAATTTAAGATTTCTATTTTTTAACATAATATTTACAGTTACAGGTTTTTCATTGGCAATGCTTTATCAGCATCTGATAAAATTTGGTATATTGTGTTTTTCGTTTTCATTCATCTCAAACTATTTTCTAATTTATTTTGTGATGTATTATTTTACCCAGTAATTATTCAGGAATATATTGTTTAATTTCTCAGCTTTTCTTCCATTATTGGAATAATCTATTTTGTATGATCTCAACTATTTGAAATTTATTGAGACTTGTTTTAAAACCTGACATAATCTATTCTGAGGAATGCTCTATGCACTTGAGATGAATATGTAATCTAGTGGTGTTGGGTGAGTGTTCTGTAGATATGTTAGATCTAGTTGGTCCAAACTGGTGTTTCATTTCTTTATTAATCTTATTCCTATTCTATTATTGAAAATAAAGAATTGAAATGTCCTGTTATTGTTTTTAAATCATCTATCTACCTTCAGTTTTATGAATTTCTATTTTATGTACTTTGAGGATCTAGTGATAGATACATATTTGTTTTTAATATTTATATATTTTAATGGATGTATTATTTTATTATTACAAAATATCTTTATAACTATTTCTGTACTAAAGTCTATTTTGTCTGAAATTAGCCAATCTTCTGGTAACTATTACATGGTATATTCTTTGCCATCCTTTTCATTCTACTTACTTGTATTTTTATCTTTTAGAGTTAACTTTTAGAGTGTGTCTTCTGAAGGCAAAATACTGTTGGATTTTGTGTTTTCATCCATTCTGAAAGTTAAAATGACTGTAAATTTTAATCCATTAAATTTAATGTAATTACTAATGAGGTAGATTTTATGTCTGCTAATTAATTTTCTATGTACTTTTGTTATTCTGTACTTTAATTACTACTTTTTTGTGCTAAATAAGTATTTTTCATGTGTACCACTTTCATTTACTTATTTCACTGACAATATTTTTGAAATATATTCTGACTGGTTGTCCTTATTCATAAAATTAATATCTTATAATTTCTTCATTTAATATCAACCTATCTTTGATAGTATACAAAATGTTGTTCCTCAGTATTTTCATTCCCTTCTTGTCCTTTGTGCTGTTACTGTTATAGAAATTACATCTTTATACACTGTATGCAAATCAACACGAATTTATAAATGTTGCTTTTCACAATCAGTATTAAAATTCATATAGAAAAAAATAAGAGCCAGAAACACTACTTTTATACTGATATTTGTCTATATAGTTACCTTTGCTGAATCTCTTTTTGTCTTCATGCGGATTCACTTAGTTGTCTACTGCCATTCATTTCAGTTTGAAAACTTCCATTAGTATATTTTTCATAGATCAGATCTACTAGTAACAAAATCGTCAGTTTTTGTTTATCTGGAAATCTCTAAATCTTTTCCTTTTTGATGGATAATTTTGCTGAATACAGAATTCTTATGTGCCGTCTTTCTCTTCTATTACTTTGACTATGTTGTCTCACTGCTTTCTGGCCTCTTCTTTGCTCTGATTCAGTATTTTCTCACTGTAGTTTTTCCCCCTCACACCCTCCCACCTCCAGAGTTTATAAAGCTACTGAAGCATTTTGTTTGTCCTGCAACAGTTGGGATTACCCACACATCTTCACTGATCTACTTGACCCTGAACTGATGCTTTGTTTCATGGGAGAAAATAAAATTCGGGTGCAAGGGGTGTCAACATTTTCTCTTGTTTTAGCTTCTTATTTATACCATCACAGTAAGTGATTAAAAGCTTAACTCTTTCATTTTTGGCTTGTTGCTTTAATTGGCTACGTAGACAAAACAGCTTAGCTTTCTCTCCCTCTCCCATCTCAGCTGAGCTCCTGATGATATTCTTTCTGTTTTTTTCTTTCTCTCTTTTTTCATTCCCCATTAAGTCTATATTAGTATTCTTCATGCTGTGCCATGTGTCTTTTTTTTTTTTTTTTTTTTTCTTGAGACAGTCTCACTCTGTCGCCCGGACTGGAGTGCAGCGGTGCCATCTCCACTCAGTGCAACCTCCGCCTCCCGAATTCAAGCTGTTCTCCTGCCTCAGCCTCCCGAGTAGCTGGGATTACAGGTGCCCGCCACTACGTCCAGCTAATTTTTTGTATTTTTAGTAGAGATGGGTTTTTACCGTGTTGACCAGGCTGGTCTCGAACTCCTGACCTCGTGATTTGCCTGCCTTGGCCTCCTAAAGGGATGGGATTTCAGGTGTGAGCCACCGTGCCTTGCCTGTGCCATGTGTCTTAAAGGCTCTGTTCATTTTTCTTCATTATTTCTCTTTGTTTCTCAGACTATGTTATATTGATTAAGCTATCTTCAAGTTTATTACGTTCTTTAAGAAAAATTGGCTCTGAAGCCCTTCCAGTTAATTTTTCTTATCATAGATTATATATATCATATTTTCTTTTTATATATATAATATGTATATTTTCTTATCATAGATTGTATATAATATATATTATAAATATTATATAATTTTTCTTATAGATTATCATAATTAAGATATCTTATCATAGAAGCTTTTCAGCTTCTGAATTTCTAGTTTTTTTTTCTCATTTATAACTTCCATCACTGTATTGGTATTTGATATGGTTTGAATGTGTCCCTCCACAAATATATGTGTTAGAAACTTAATCTCCAATGCAACAGTATTGGAAGCTGTGACCTAAAGGGAGGCGTTTAGATCATGCAGCTTCTATCCTCACACATGGATTAATGCTGCTATAAAAATGGCTTGTGAAAGTAACTTGCTCTCTTTTCCTCTTCTGCCACATGCAGAATGGTGGTTCTTCCCTCCAAAGGATGCTACATTTTAAGGGTTCATCTTAGAAGCAGACACTGCTCCCTCACCAGATGCCAAACTGCTAGCACTTTCATCTTGGAATTCCCCGGCTCCAGAACTGGGAAACATAAATTCATTTTGTTTGTGTGTGCTTTTTTAAATAAATTACTCAGTCTCGAATATTCTGTTATAGAAGCACAAATGGACGGACAGTATTCTATATTTGCTAAACATTATTTTCATATTTTTCTTTAGAAGTATAGACATGTTTTCCTTAGGTTCCTTGGATATATTTTTAATAACTGATTTTATCACTTTGGGATAGTTTTTATTTATTGCTTCTTTTCCTGTGTGTGGGATAAACTTCCTTATTTCTTGGTATGTTTTGTATTTTTGAAAATCGATATACAAATAGTATAATGTGGCAATTCTGGAAATTAGATCTTCCCCACCCAGAGTTTGTTGTTGTTTGTGTGTTAGTGACCTTACTGATTTATGTAAAGTGTATATTCGTTTTGTGATTGTATTGCTACTGAAGATTCTGCTTAATTAACTTAGTGAATAGCTAATGATTTATAGTGATGGTCTTAAAAGTTTGTAGTTAATAAGGCTCTCATTTTTGCCAAAGAATTGTCTGTGTGTATTGCAGCTTGCCTACAACCATCAGCCAGGCCCTCAGACCTGGAGGTGTGCATGGCATTTAACTACTAAGAAATATGTTAAAGCAATTCAAAGCCCCCGTGGACATCTCACTCCCCAAGTTTTTGGTTTAATATATTTGTTAGCTTATGGTTTGCTCCAACTGTTACCCACTGCCACAGGCATCTATAATGTTAAATAATTGCTGCTTATTGCTTTCAACCAAAGCTCACCAGGAAAAATTATCTTAAACTTGATGAACTCTGAGTTAGGTCAAATAAAGACAATGGTTTTTAGTGGGTTTTTTCAAGGAATCATCAGATAGGTCAAAGATTGATAATTGAGGATGGGGCTTTGAGAAACCTCTTTCCCCTTATCATGCATAATGGCTGTGAGGCTACTGGTTTTCACTACGATTTCAGGTTGCTTGTTGTCTAGCCTAGCCCATATCATTCAGAGCTGAGAGAAGGGGATGGCAGTAGGGCAAGTGAAAATGCAACAACACTTGCTGCTTTTACTAAAGTTCATCTATTTGTTCTTCAATAAATGCTTCCTTGCCAGGCACACTGGCTCATGCCTGTAATCCCAGCACTTTGGGAGGCCAAGGCGGGTGGATCACGTGAGGTCAGGAGTTCGAGACCAGCCAGGCCGATATGGTGAAACCCTGTCTGTACTAAAAATACAAATATTAGCTGGGCATGGTGGCACGCACCTGTAATCCCAGCTACTCGGGAGGCTGACACAGGAGAATCACTTGAACCTGGGAGGTGGAGGTTGCAGTGAGCAGAGATCACGCTATCGCACTCCAGCCTGGGTGACAAAAGCAAAACTGTGTCTCAAAAATGAATAAATAAGTAAATAAATAAGTAACTAAAATAAATGCTTCCTGGAGGGCTGAAGGCCTTTGGCTAATTTCCAATGTTCTGAAAACTTTGAGTCTGACCATTTGTACCAGTGTTCCCATACTCTTTATTGAGAAGAGGATTAACAGAGGTCCTTATTCAATCATCTTGATGATAACAATGTTTCATTAGTTTTTAGAACTGTTGAGTTAATTTGATAGTGTCTTGGTTAAAGTAAAGCTGGAATTTATAAATATTTAAATTCTTTGAAAAAATATGTTTTTCAAATGATACCTCAATATAAAACTCAGATTCCAGCTATATGTTTATACAAAAGTTTACTAAATTTTTAACTTTATAAAATGTTTGTTTAACATTGATTTTAAAAAAATAAATTCAGTTACTATTTTTAAAGCAATAATTATATTTTCCTAAATACAAAATCCTGCCAATATGAATTTTTGCTTTCTCTTAATGTCTGTATTGCCTTACATAGTAATAATAGAATTTTGCTTTTGACCAGTAAATTAAACTATTTTTCATTCTTGGTACATTTTCAAAATTAATGCTATATCACTGTTAATATCAACAATGCTCAACTTTTTCATAAATACGAAATTCTGAAAAACAACTGAAGCAACAATATTACATTATGTTACAGGGCTTATTATTTACTAAAACAACTAAGTTGTGTGGTTTAGATTGCATCCAATGAACACACCCAACCAGACATTGCTTACATATCATTAGCAGGGGACTTCCTAATTTTTTATTTATGTGTTCATTTGCTCGTTTTCCCATGGGAAGTCACATAGTAGACTAACCTTCTAGTGCTCTAACCCTCATATTCTTTGTCTTAGCAAACAAAATTTTTTTTCACAAAATTGCATAAGACATGCTATTTTGACATCCATCCACATGCACCCGAATATAGTCACATAGTTGATATTTTTATATATTACTTTGCTTCTTTTTCTGAATCCTCTATGAGTCAATGTGTGTATCTTTTCCTTGTTTCTTTATGTCAGTTTGTCTTATTCTATGTGTGTCTTTGCTAGAGATTTTCATAGTCCATAATATGGATTGGGTCTTTGTCCCCACTCAAATCTCATCTGGAGTTGTGATCCTCAGTGTTGGAGGAGGGGCCTGGTGGGAGGTGACTGGATCTTGGGACTGGACTTCCTTCTTGCTGTTCTTGTGACAGTGTGTGAGTTCTCAAGAGATCTGGTTGTTTAAAAGTGTGTAGCACCTCCCTCTTTGCTCTCTCTTCCTCCTGCTCCAGCCACATAGGGCATACCAAATTCTCCTTGGCTTCTGCCATGTTTGTAAGTTTCCTGAGGCTTCCTCGGGCATGATTCATGTACAGCCTGCAGAATCATGAGCCAATTAAGCCTCCTTTCTGTATAAATTACCCAGTTTCAGGTAGTTCTTTACAGCAGTGTGAGAACGGACTAATACAGTCCACTTGGGCTGCTATAACAAAATACCTTAGATTGGTGGCTGTGAAAAACAGAAATTTATTATTTACAATACTGGAGTCTAAGAAGTCCAAGAGTAAGGTGCTGGCAGATTCACTGTCTGATGAGGATACATTTACTAGTTCATAGATAAAGTTTTCTGTCTGTTTCCTCACATAGAAGAAAGAATTAGCTAGCTCTTTGAGGTCTCTTTTTTATTTATTTATTTTTATTATACTTTAAGTTTTAGGGTACATGTGCACAACATGCAGGTTAGTTACATATGTATACATGTGCCATGTTGGTGTGCTGCACCCAGTAACTCTTCATTTAACATTAGGTATATCTCCTAATGCTATCCCTCCCCCCTCCCCCACCCCACAACAGGCCCTGGTGTGTGATGTTCCCCTTCCTGAGTCCATGTGTTCTCATTGTTCAATTCCCACCTATGAATGAGAACATGCGGTGTTTGGTTTTTTGTCCTTGTGATAGTTTGCTGAGAATGATGGTTTCCAGCTTCATCCATGTCCCTACAAAGGACATGAACTCATCAATTTTTATGGCTGCATAGGTGGTTGTGAAAAACAGAAATTTATTATTTACAATACTGGAGTCTAAGAAGTCCAAGAGTAAGGTGCTGGCAGATTCATTGTCTGATGAGGACACATTTACTAGTTCATAGATGGTGTTTCTATCTGTTTCCTCACACAGAAGAAAGAATTAGCTAGGTCTTTGAGGTCTCGTTTTTAAGAGCACTGATCCCAATAATGAGGATTCCATCCTTGTGATCTAATTATCTCCCAAAGGCTCCACATCTTAATACCACCATCTCCTTGGTGGTGAGAATTTCAACATATGCATCTTGGAGGAATAGAAACATTCAGGCCATAACATTCTACCCATGCCTTCCCCTACAAATTCATGTCTTTATCACATGCAACGTAATGTTTATTCTAACCCAACAGCCCCTAAATCATTATTCATTCCAGCATCAAAATTGTAATATTCAGACTCTCATCTAAATATCATCTAATCAGATATAAGTAAGACTCAAGGTACAATTTATTCTGAAGCAAATTGTTCTCCAGCTATAAACCTGTGCAAAGAAACAAATTGTATGTTTCCAATACATAGTGTGACAGGCATAGAATACATATCCCAATTCCAAAAGAAAAAAATAGGAAGGAAATGGAATATGGGTCACAGGTCCAAAGTAAATACAAATATCATCAAGGTAAACAATATTAAATCTTAAGTTTAGAGAATAAACTTATTTGACTCAATTTTTTGCAACCCAGTCCACTGGGCAGAGGTCACACCTTCATGATGCATTGGGGCCCCAGCCCCACCTCATGTCTCTGCTGGGCATTGCCCTTGTGGGGGCTCTCTGCAGTTGCCATAGCTCTGTGTCAATTATTTGCCTGAGCCCCATAACTCTGCTTGGCATTCTTTGAAATCTAGTTGGAGGCAGCAAAGCCCCTACAACTTTTGCACTCTGTGTGCCAGCAGAGATGGTACCACACAGAGACTACCAAACTTATTGCCTATGTCCTTCAGAGAGGCAGCCACCAAGGCCCATGCCACACCTAGGCTTGCTAGAGTTGCACCTGGGTTGACTGAGAAGAATGGCACTGGAATTCAGAAGCAGGGCTTTCATATTGCTCTACCTTCCATAATCTTGTCTTCTGGGCCTGTGATGTGATTAATTCCATTATAAAGGATACCATTCCCTTCCACCATGTGAATACTGAATACACAGATAGAAGTCACTATCTATGAAACAGAAAGTGGACTTTCAGCAGACAATCAATCTGGCATCACATTGTTCTTGGACATCCTGGACTCCAGAGGCAGGGAAAGTAAATTTGTATGGTTTACAAGACACTCAGTCTGATATGTTGTTACAATTGCCTAAAAGAACAAAGAGAGAAAATTGGCAGTAGAAAGTGGAAGTGATACTATTATAAATACCTGAAAATGTAGAAGTGACTTTAAAATTGGGTGATGGGTAGAAGTTTGAACAGTTTTGAGGCACTTTCTCGCAAAAGTCTATCTTCTTTTGAACAGAATTTAAAGGATGATTCTGGTGAGAGCTCAGGAGAAGAGAAAAACTGCAGAGAGCTATATCTTCTTACAGAATACCTAAAGGATTGTGAACAGAATATTGGTAGAAATATAGATGGTAAAGAGCATTCCGATGAGGTCTCAGACTCATCATATTGGATATTGAGTTTCAACACATGATTTTTGGGGGAACATAAACGTTTAGACCATAGTATACCTATGATACTTATATGTATATCTATATGTGTATGTAAATCTATATCTATCAATCATCTGTCTATAAAATTAAATAGAATAGATTCTTACTGAGGATTTATCTAAATTTTTAAAGATAAATCTCTATGGGTCTCTTGTTGTCTTGCACATCTTGAAAACAGTAATAATTGTCCTTTGCCCTTAGGACTATATTTTCAAAGACATCTGCATAGCAAATAAAGCTTAGAATACAGAGATGATGTCTTCTCTGGAGCAAATATCAAGTTATTACCAGTCTTGGAAGACAGAAATACTTTGTCTCTCTGGACAAAATGACAGGCATGTTTGGGCCTCTTATAAAATATTAGGGTTCCATAAGGTCAAGATAGCTCTCCTATACACTCTTTTTCTGCAGTCCTCCATCTAGACCTACCTCTGTCACCCTATTGGAAATTGAGTGCAAGAGAAACTAATGCAAATAAGCAATACTCAACGCTTCTTGATGAAGTCTTGTATATTCTGCAAACATCTGTAAAACTGGCAGGCTAATGCGATAACCTGCAGTTAGGTGAAATCCAAGACCCTTCAGAGTTCTTAATGCTGATACATTAAGAAAGAAATCAATGAGATGGTAAAGCTGGTTCAAAGGTCACTTCTGAAAAGAATTATACAGTGCATTATGGAGGGCATGTTGAAATAGGTTTTCTGAATTAAAGTAAGATTTTTTATTTCCATTAAAGAAATACAATTATAATCTTTGAGTTTAGTTTTTTTTCACCATACAAAATTATTTTCATATTTATTAGACGTAAATATACAAGTTACATGTATTTTACAAAATGAGACTATTAAGAGTAAATAGCAAGTCAAAGTTATAAAGCCTCTTGTAATATTTTGCTAGGGCTGCCATAATAAAGTACCATCAACTTAGCAGCTTAAAGAACAGAAATTTATGCCCTAATTTGTGGACTCCAGAATTCCCAATTCAAGGTATCCAACAGTATTGGTTCCTTCTGAGAGCTGTGAAGAAATATCTGTTCTCTGCCTTTTCCCTATCTTCTAGTGGTTTGCTGTCAACCTTTGGTGTTTCTTGACCTGTGCATAACTCCAGTCTTCACTTGAAATTATCCCTATGTTTCTTTGTGCCCAAATTTTATTTTTAAATGCAGGCACAGTTATATAGGAATAGAGCATTACTTAATATAACCTTATATTAACTTATCATCTACAAAGACTCTATTTCCAAATTAGATCATATTCACAGATACTAGGGGTTAAGATTTCAGTATCTTTTTGGAGGACTGATTCAAGTTATAAAATCCTCCATAGGCATGATAGGGAATGCTTTAAATTGGCATTGAAAAGACCTCCTGCCATCTCTTTTTCAATTTTCATATTGTGGATATCTTTTATTAATAATATTTTAATAATTCTCTCTTTGGGGGTTAGAAATGTTTTCAATATATTTTCAAGACTGCAGAATATTCTTTTTCAAATTATTTTTAAATAAGACACAGAAATTCCAAACAATCAGGTAGGGTGTGCTTGAGAGTGAGTGACTCATCTAGGATGACTTATTACATTTTAAGCTTAAATTGTTTAATTAGGTGACATTTACAAAGACTTAAAAATGCAGGAACTTTATAATGCAAGATATGCAGCCGCCATACCTTCCTTAACTTGTAGATTGTTCTATCATCATTTGCCCTGTACTTTACATGCTAATGTGATGCCGTCCTTCAGTTGTATCTTATTTGCTTTAATTTCAGACAGTATTGTTGTTTTATACTCTATTGTGTGCTCATATTAAATATGGTTAATATCATGGACTGAATTGTGGTCTCCCAAAATTTATATGTTGAAGTCTTATCCTCCTTTGTGAATGCATTTGAAAATAGGACATTTAAGGAGATAATTAAGGGAAACTGAGGTCATAAGTGTAGAGCCTTAGTATAATAGACAGATGTTCTTGATAAAAGAGAAAGAGACCCTAGAGACTGCTCTCACTGTGTCTGTATATGCACAAAGGAAAGGTCATGTAAGGACACAGCAAGAAGGTGGCCATTTGCAAGCTTTCTAGCCTCTCTTTCTAGAGAGGCCTGATCAGAATCCACCCTGCTGGACCTTGATTGTGAACTTCCAGCCTCCAGTACTGTGGTAATGTAAATTTATGTTGTTTAAGCCACTCAGTCTGTGGTATTTTGTTATGACAGCCCAACAAGACTAATATAATTACCAGTTTTCTTGTTTACCACTAATTTTTGCATTCAGGTCTTCCATCCAGAAGGAACATTCATGTAGTCTATTATTCCAAGGGAGCTGCTATTTGATGCCTCTCTTTTCTCTAATAAATTTGTCTTCCAAACTTCATCCACCTGCAGGTCAAGGTTTTCTCATTGGTCCTTGCCAACATCTCCAGTAGCTCCATAATCTATATAAAGTGTCCCCGATTCTGACAATTGCCTTTTCATCTTTCCAATTCTAGTTCTTTTGAAGTTCCACAGCGAGAATATGATGGTGGTAAATTATATTTTTTTGTTCGTTTATTTGTAAATATATTGTCTCTACTCCTGTTTTTGAATAACTACTGTGAGCTTGAATTCTACATGAAGGGAATTTTCTCTTAGTACATAAAAGACATATTCAATTGTCTTTTGACTTCTACTGCTGTTAAGAATATGCTATTCATCTTTCTCTGTACTTTTGTAAATAGCTCTTTTCCTTTTCCAACATCATTTAAAGTCTCTCTCTCTGTTATTTATTTTACATTCATTAATAGTTTTTACTGTTCTGCGTTGTTTGCAGGATAATTATTTAAAACTACAATCCAGTTAATTAATGCTCTCTTTAGGTGGCCTAAACTGATGATTAGATAATGAATCAATATTTTAATTTAAGCTACATTTTCTTCATTTCTAGAAGCCTATTAATTTTTTTCCAAAACATATCTTGTATTATGCCTTGGTCTTTGTTGTGGATTGAAATGCATCTTCCAAACAGATGATGAAGTTTTAACCCTCCATATCTATGAAAGTGGCCTTATTTGGACTTTGCAGATGATCAAGTAAAGATGAGGTCACTAGGATAGGAACTAATACAATATAGCTGATGTCCTTATTAAAAGTGGAAATTTGGACACAGAAGCAGATACATATGGGTTTAAGCCAATATGAAGTCACAAGGGAAAATACTTTCTACAAAGCCAGGAATGCCTGAGGTACCAGAAGCCAAGGAAAGGCATAGGACAGAATCTCTCTCACAGTCCTCAGAAGGAACCAATCCTTTCAATACCTTGATTTCAGATTTCAGCCTCCAAAACTGAAAGAAAATAAATTCCTGCAGTTTAAGCCACCCAGTTTATGGTACCTTGTTATTGCAGCCCCAGAAGGCAAATTACCTTCTGTGTTTTTTTTTTTGTTTTACTTCCCTTTACACATTCTATAAATACTATCTATTAATGAAACATATCTGATTGATCTATTATATGTACTTAGAATTTCAGTTCTACATTTTATTTTCGTGGATAACATACTAAGGAGAATCAATAGTTTATCTCCAGTAATTATTTGTGTTTGCTTTTGCCAGGTGTCTTGGTACGCTGCCAAACCCAGGAGCACAGAATAGCATAAATTCATACCCCTACGCTACATGAAGAGAATACAATTTACATGTAAGATATTATTTTAATTTTAGAGAAAATACGTGGATTTGAGAAAACAAAAATATTGTTAAAGGATTGTAAATTAGGTTGGTTAAAAGATCAAAAACACTGAATTTGGAACTTGTAGGACGAAGTCACATTTCTCCTGTTGAAATTTTAGTATTTAATAAAGTCCCTGGACCTCAGTAACATTACCTACAAATTTAGATTAATAATATTGTATTTCTAATGCTTTAGTGGGTATTATCTGGAAAAGCGTGGTGATTGATACATTATGGCAATTCTGAACTATCTATTCAATCATTTATTCACAGAGAAATGTTCTCCGGAGAGTAAACTATTTGATTTGATTCCAAATTAATTCTTAGGCTCATATTTTCATGTATGTGTCAGTTAAAAATAGGCTTATTTGGGGCTTATTTGGTATTTTATGCTTAACAACTTCTAAAATGTAAATGAATCATGTTGTATGTAAAATTTAATACATTTTAACACCTAGAATTAAATGTTCTACTTATCACTCAATCGCTTCAAAATTCTAGATATTTAAAGCATAGGGACTCAGGGTGAAAGCTGAGCCTAATGTGAAAACAGCTGGAAGCATTTTCTACATTAATTTAGTTTCTTCCAGCATGATTACTCATTGTTTTCCTTTGCATGTTTTTTTCTTTTATACACATCTTAATATTCAAAAATTATGGCAAAATTATTCAGTGTTCGAGTTCTTACTTCAGAATAATGTATTTCAATTTTTATTCATAGTAATTATTAGATAAATATTTAATTTTTGCTCTAAAGGAAGTTACATATTTCTCTTACAATTCTTTACATATAATCGATTTTATTTAATTTGGTAGGTATTTGCCATTTCTAATATATATTATATGATCAAATTTAAACAAATTTCATTGTATATTTACTCAAAATGTAATTTGTGTACTGGATTCATTTTTTGTAAAACCATTGTTATTTGTCATCAAGACTTCATTAGCTTTTCCTATAAATAATTATACCATCATTTACAGTAGACAAACATATATATACACATATAGACATATCAGAGTTTATAGACTTTTAAGTAGTCATTATTAATTTAAAAAATAACATATTGGCAAGGTAATGTTTCATCTGACTCTCACATCTCACATATATGTATTATTCCATAATTTATTAGAATTTTTATACAATAACCTCTGATACCTTTTTCACCTGGCATACTTTTATATCTTTTGGAAAAAAATTAAATTTTAAAATGTCATTAAAATACACATGTTTTATTATAAACTATTTATAAAGAATATAAGATTTATTTTGAATATGAATATTTCATATTTGACCTGAATTTTCAAAATTTATTGACTTTCATTGTGCTCTGCATTTTGATTTTTTAAAATAACACCAGAAATTTTTCACATTTTCTTTTCATATGGAACTTAAATACTTTATGATCATGTTAGCTTAAAAAACCTAAATAGTATGAAATCACATCTTCACGTTTCATATAGATTCAGCAGTTATAACTTTAAAATTAATTTAAACTCATTACTTGGTGTAGGAGAATAACAAAGCTTGATTTTGTATAAATATCACAACGTAACCCAATATCAACTTATTCGAAATAACAACTATTTAGATGCTAGTATTACCAGTTAATGATGGAAAAGGAAAGAACAGGAGAACCATTCCTAAATTTATCAAAGTAAGAGCCTTGACACATAATGATTCACACTATTAAAAGACTAAATGAGACTGGAATGGTTCAATTTTTCTAAGTACTAGGATTGCCAGAACAGGCCATATAATTGGAAATAAAACTTGGTGGAAGACATAGAAACCATGTTTAAATAATTGGCAGATAATGAGGATATTGAGCGGATGTGAAAGGGACCAAAAACCTTAAAGGTTGTGAAGCTATAGATTGACTAAAGAAAATGCATTACCACAGCATAGAGTTAAACTATACCAATAAAGAATATAGGAGTTTGGCTTCTGAAATTCAAATGCAATTTGTTTTAGTTATAAAGGAAAACAAAAATAAAATATGAAGAATAATGTAATATATGGAGTAAATATAAATGAATAGGTAATTTGATTCTCATTAGTTATTCTCAGGTACACCAAGAGAAATACCTGAGAAAAGCAATCAAGAAATAACATTTTAAAATTTAAACTTTTATTTTAGATACAGGGAAGACATGCACAGCTTGTTACTTGGGTATATTGCACCTAGATTATGAGGACAGTACAATAGGTCGTTTTCTAACCCACACCTCTCTCCCTCCTCCCTCTAGAAGTCCACAGTGTCTGTTATTCCCATCTTTATGTCCATGTGTTCTCAATGTATAACTCCGACTTGTGAGAACATGCAGTATTTAGTTTTCTATTCCTGCATTAGTCTGATTAAGATTATCGCTTCCAATTGCATCTATGTTGCTGCAAACGCCAGGATTTCATTCCTTTTTCTGTCTGTATAGTTTTCCATGGTGTATATGTAACCACATTTTCATTATCCAACCCACTGTTGATGAGGACCTGGGCCGATTCTATGTCTTTGCTATTATGAATAGCACAGGAATGAACTTAAAAATGCATGTTTTTTTGGTATATTTTCCTGTGGGCATATACTCAGTAATGGGATTTCTGGGTGAAATGGTAGCTCTGTTTTAAGTTGTTTGAGATCTCTCCAAACTACTTTCCTCAGTGGCTGAACTAACTGAAGCATATACGGAGACAATCTAATGTTTTGTTAAAATTCCAAAATATATTTATATTTACTAAATAGCTTTTATAATCATCCTAATGAATGTGAAGTGGTATCTCATTGTGGTTTTGATATGCATTTCCCTAATGGCTAAAAATATTGAGCAACTTTTTATGTTCTTATTGGACATTTTTATATCTCTTTGGAAAAGTGTTTATCCAGATTGGCTTACCGTTTTTTTTTAAGTTAGGTTATTTGCCATGTTATTACTAACTTATAAGAAACATTTATATATTATGGATATATCTATCATTAAATATCTTATTTGAATAAATTTTTCTGTTCTATGAGTTATCTTTCAGAAGAGGTCTGGCTCAAATCTTAATGTTTGATTGTTTACATTTATCAAGTCCCTCCTCCTCTCTCTCTCTTTACCTTTTACCTATCTGGACAAAACATTAAGAAAGCTCAGGGATTTTTCCTATTGACACCAGCAGGAAGTTCAAACCACACAAAACCTGGAGGCATGTAGGAATACTGTCCCTGCCACATCCCTTATTCACCATAGAATCGAAGGTCAAGAATCCTTCCTACTTTTTCAAGCCATTTTGGAGCAGCTGGGAGGATACCCACTTTTGTCAGAAAGCCTGAATATTCATTTAACAAATTTCTTCATATCCTCTTGGCATGTATGTGTGAGACATCATCAGTCATGACATGTAAACAAATTTTGAGTTTGTGTGGGAGGATCCATCCCATCTACCTGAGTTACTAAAAAATCTTTCATTTCTCTGATGTTGTTCTTTGAAGTACAATTGTTTTAACTTTTGATGAAATCAAATTTATGAATTTTTTGTTGTTGCTTTTGGTTTCAGCATCTTTTGTGCGAAGGTATTTCCCAACACTGTCAAATATTACTCATGTTTTTCCTTCAAAAGGTTTTCTAGATTTTAGTTCTTACATCTAAGTTTAAGAGTCAATTTTAATTAACTTTTGAACATGGTTAACGTAGGGGTTCAATTTGACTCTTTTTCATATGGATAGCCATTTACATTACATATATGTGTGTGTGTATATATATATATATAAAACACACACTATTTGCAATTATAAATATGTATTTTTAAAAGACTTTTCAAAATTGCCTAAGCAGTTTTAAAAATTCAGTTGATCATTACTGTAAAAATATATTTATAGAGTCTCAATGCTGTTACCTTTACTTTTATTTCTATACAGTCAGTAACAAACATTCCTAATTAGTTTCTAGATTTGGAGAAAATATTAAAATTGAAAAATATGAGCCTAATTTGTTCTTTATTAGGACACATTTTGCTATTCTGGCCCACTTGATTTTCCACATAAATTTTAGAAATAGCTTTAAAATGTCACCTGGTGTTTTGATAGTGATTCCTCAAAATCTGTAGACTAATGTGAAGACTATTGCCATCTTAATAATAAATCATCTGATCCGTAAACATGAAATATCTTTAATTTGTTTTGGTCTGCTTTAAGTTTTTTGACAATAGGTTATTTAAAAAAATTTTTGAATTATCTACTGCATGTATACAGAAAGGCAAATAGTTTTTGTACATTGTTCTTGTATCCTATAACTTTAATGGACTCATTTTTAGTTTTAACATTTTGTAGTGGATTCCTTTTTTTTTTATTGTATACAAGATCATGTCATCCTTTCCTAACCTAATAGCTCTTATTTGTTTTTCTCACCTCATTGTCCTATCTAGATCATCCAGTATGGTATTAAGTACAAGTGGCAAAAGTGGGCATGTTTGTATCGTTCCCAGCTTTATGGAATCTCACTGTTATGTAGGTTTCAGAATGTCTCTTATCATGTTGAGAAAGTTTCTTTCTCCTTGTTTGTTGACAGTGTTTACCAAGAAAATGTGTTATATTTTAAAATATATTTTGTTATCATCTATTGAGATTATTATTAATGAATTTTGTCTGTGCTATTCTGATATGGTATATTATATTAATTGATTTTTGGACATTAAATAAACCATACATCCCTGGGATATTTCTCCTTTGGTGCATTTCATCTTTTTTTCTGTGACACCGAGCTCGACTTGCCAGAATTTTGTTGAGTATTTTAAATCAACATTCACAAGTGATATTTTTATTAATTTGTTTTCTTTTGGTTGTCTTTAACTGGTTTTGGTATCAACATAATATGTTTTTCACAGAATGTATTTTGAGGTTTGTAAATATTTTACCTTAATTTAAAAAGAAAATGTTTGCTAGAATTTACCAGTGAAGACATCTAGGCCCAGGCTTTTCTTTCAGGAGATTTTTAAAAAATTATTAATTTGTCTCTTTACTTGCTAGAGGCTTGTCAGAATTTCTATTTATTCTTGAGTAAGTTTCAGTAGCTTGTGCCTTTCTAGGAATATTTCCTTTCAATATAGATGATCTAATTTGTTACTATACAGTTGTTTTTAAAATTAACTTACGCTAAATTCATTCCTATTAAGTAGGCAAAATGTTTGTCAGTTTGTTATTTTCCTGGAGCCAACAATTGGTTTTCTTCTGAGGACTCTGTCCTTGGATTCTAGATGGTTACCTTCTCCCTGCGTTTTCACAAACTCCTCTCTGAGTCTTACAGGCTGAGTTGTGACTCCCCCAAAATTCATATGTTGAAGTCGTAATGCTTAGTACCTCAAAATTAAGTTAAAATGAGGTCATCAGGATGGGCACTATTTCAATATGACTGGTCTCCCTATAAGTAGAGAAGATCAGTATACAGATATGTACACAGGAAACACCATGTGGAGACATCAGGAGAAGATGGCCATCTACTAGCCAAGGAGAGAGGCTGGGAAGAAAAACTCTGCTAGCAACTTAGTCTTAGAATTTGGGCTATAGAATTGTACGATAATAAACTGCTGGCTGGGTACGGTGGCTCATGCCTGCAATCCCAGCACTTTGGGAAGCTGAGGTGGGCAGATTGCTTGAGCCCTGGAATTTGAGAGCAGCCTGGGCAACATGGCAAAATCCCACCTGTACAAAAAATACAAATATTAGTCAGATGTGGTGGAGCATGCCTGTAGTCCCAGCTATTCAGGAGGCTGAGGTGGGAAGATCACCTGAGCCTGGGAAGTCAAGGCTGCAATGAGCCACGATTACACCATTGCATTCGGGGCTGGGTGATAGGAGTGAGACCCTGTCTCAAAAAATAAAAAATAAAAAAAAAAGAATGAAAAGAAAAGAAAACAAAAAAAAAGAGAGAAACTTCTGTTGTTTAAGCCACTCAGTCTGTGACTGCATTCTGGCAGTCTTGGCAAATAATACAGTGAAGTATCTACATAAATAATTTGGAATTATTCCACATGGCATATTTTGCTATTGTTTCCATTTATTTACTCAGTCATTTATGTCAGTATAGACTTGTGGGTATTAATTTTATAGTTTGAGTAATAATCCAATACTCTGTGTTTATTTACTCACGTTGCTCCAGATTTGGACTTTGTGAGCTCTTTCAGTTGGCTCTTGTGTCCTATTGAAATAAACCAATCTTTTTTCTTCTTATTTACTGCTTCCTTACTTCTGAGCTACATGTTTAGCAAGTGCGTTTGATCAGGAATAGAAGTCTGAATGAGCATTTCTAGACACTACACACTAGCATTGCCAAGGAAAACACAATGCAGTCAAATGCTGGATGGAAAAAGGTTTTACTTACATAGAGGAGACAGCATATGATTAGCCTTAGTCTTGGGCATTAGTTCTGGATGGCCAGTGGGCCCCTCCCAGTAGTTGACACAGGGCAATTTGTTTATATGCACAATTCTTGTGCTGCAGCAGGAAGACCTCAACCACTCCCTGCAGAGCACAGAGATAGTAGTGGGATTGGCCACGTGTCATTTGATGCATATGCTTAAACAGAACAAAGGAGTTCTCAATGAGCCTAAAACAGAGAATGATATTCCCACACGAGGAGAAAAGTCCAGCACAGGTAGCAAGGACTCTTTCTCTCTTGGTAAAGACATACTCCAGGCCCATGGTCCATTCTATGCATCTAGGTGGAAGTCAAAAGAGTACATGCACGGAACTACCTTTCCCAACAAAACAAGCTGTCCCAGGTTCATCTGTCTCGTATATTTCCGGCCTCAGTCCTAGAATCAGCCATATCTCCAAGAAGCCCTGATTCTTTCTATTGAAAAAGAGTATAAGAAACCATGATCTGGGCACTGTGTATGCTCATTACTGCAGGATATTGCTGCTAGTAGACTCCCTCAGCTAAGAGCAAGCAAATACATGTGTGAATACATGAGGACTCCATCTACTGGCCAAACATTTATGTGCCATTTTCAGTCCTAGCCATGGGCATTACAAAGGTTTATGTGGGCGTTATATGCCCTTCCCATAGCTGACTTTGTGCTCAGCAAATTTGTTACGGTCTCTAGAAAAAACTCAGCCTTCACTCTTGGTCAGCCATGCTTTTAAGCATATATACATTTTTGCCCAGGAAACTTCATTCCTCCGTCTCTATCTGGAGTTTCCAGCCAGAGTCTTCTGGCACCTCTGCAGAGGCCTCCTCATCAGGTGACGAAAGACATATTTGAAGTCACTTTTACCCACTGTGAATCGATACTCAGTGCTTTCTAGCCCTCCCTTTTCTCCTTACAACCTCACTCTTCCCAACCCTTAGGCCGGGGTTTATAAAACAGCAGAAATCTTTTGTTCAAGGTTTCTAAATAGGGTGAAGGCGTTTGTGTCTGCTGATCCACTTGACCCTTGAGTGGCACATTATTATGTGGGGGGTAATGGAAAGGGGAAGGGGAAGTCTGCCACTTTCTCACATTTAGACTCTTGCTTATACCACTGGAGTAAGTGATTAAATGCTCAACTCTTTCATTTTGGCTTGTTTTTAAGCAACTACTCTAATACCTTGCCGCTCAGCTCTCTCTCTCCAGCTCAGCTAAGCGTCAGGCAATACAAACCTGTGTCTATATAAATATCTATAAATATTTCCAAATGTAACCATCAGTATCCAACATTAAGTTAAACATTAGTTCATGAGATGTCTCCGTCTCTAGTTAATAAACACTTGGATCATTCTACCCTCTTTTTTTTTCTTATCTGTAACCTCCCATTCCAAAAGTGCAAAAAATGATTCCCATCACCTGCCATTTATTTAAATTCCAGTGTATGTGTATTGTGGTATAAAAATTATTAACCTATACCCAGTGAGAAATAGCTGGATCAACTAGATACAGGTCTTATGTACAATTTTCTTTGCCTTTAGTCTAACGATCTCATTCATTTTGAAAATTATTTAAATTAGCATTCTCTCCAAAACTTTCCAGAGAGATTAATATATTTCTAAAAGAGTTAAATTATATTGTCACATTCTGTACTCCATCCTAGAATCTCATGATCTCCTAAAATACTTTAAAAATCCACATATATTAAGATTCAATCATTGTGCCCCTCAGTTCTATGAGTTTTGACAAACCTATAATGTTATGCAAACACCATTATCCTTTCACGTAGAATTGTTTCACCACACTAAAACTTCAAACTTCTCCTGCATGGAACCCTGGCAGCCACTGATCTCTTATATTTTTATCTTTTCCAGAATATCATGTAACTGGAAACATGGAAGTTCGCAATGCTCCACATGCTTGGTACCATTGATTAGAATTGTCTGGTGTAGGATTTTAGTAATTCTAGTAGATTTGTAAGTATATTGCGTTAGTGTTCTGCTTTGCAATTCCCTAATGACAAATGATTTTGAGCATAGTATTATATGGTTAATAGCTATCTGTATATCTTCTTTGGTGAGATGTTTGTTCATACATTTTGTACACTTTAATTGGATTTTTGTTCCTTAAGTTTAAGAGTTCTTTGTATATTTTAGATACAAGTTCTCTATTAGATTTATGTTTTCCAATATTTTCTTCCAATATGTGTCTAGTCTTTTCATTCTCTTAAGGGTACTTTACAGAGCAGTAGTTTTATAGTTAATGAAGCTCAAAGTACTCCAAATTTGTTCTTATTCTTGAGCATTTTGATTACTCAGTCTAAGCCTTTTGCCTTTTGATGTCAATTTTAGAATAATTTTGTCAATATATAATAGCTACTGCCTATTCAAAGTATCTACTTATCTTTTGTGAGTTTTGCTAACTTGTGTCTTTCAGAGAATTAGCACATTTCATACATGTTATCAAATAAGTTTGCATACAATGTACATAGCATTCTATGTAATTTAACATCCATGTAATCAGTAGTGATGACCCCATTTTATGTCTACTATAGGTAATTTGCTCTCTATTCTTCTTGCTCTTTCTCTGACTTAGCCTGGCTAGAAGTTTATCTATCAATTTTACTGATCTTTATGAAGTGCTAGCTTTTAGCTTATTGATTTATTATTTTCTGTTTTCAATTTCATTGATTTTTCTTAAAATTTTTATCATTTTTTTCTTCTACTTGGATTAGGCTTAAATTTTTTCTCTGGTTCTCTAAGAGGATCATTTAAATTATTGACTTTAGGTATTTCATATTTTCTAATATATATATTTAATAACATACATTTTCCTCTAAGTGCTGCTTTCATTATATCCCACAAATACTTTTGTTATATAGTCATTGTTATTTAATTCCAATAATTTATATTTCTCTTGAATCTTCTACTTTGATGTCTCACAGGTTATTTACACATACATTGTTTAAATATATATCATTTTAATTATAAGTATATATATTACATATATACACACACACGTACCTTTAAAGAATGCTTGACTATTTAATATATAGTGAAGATAGAGAATATAATTTTCAATTCCTCACTTTCTTACACTGCAGTCACTCATTTCACTTATCCATATGATAAAATAACCCAATACACTATTATTACAGTTACTTTAAAAAGTTATATTTTAGATAAATTAAAAGTAAGAAAAAAATAATTTATTTTCCCTTTATTCTTCTTGGACCCTTTTCCTTTCTTTATGTAGACCTAAGTTTCTGTTCTGTATTATTTCCTTTCTTGAAAAACCTTTTAAATTAGCCATAGACCAAATCCTTAATCCAGATAAGGGGTAGCCAGTAGGGTCCTCAAAAGGACTCCTTAAAACCCAGAGAACTTTGTAACTGGGTCCTGGAACAGCTTGCTCGGGCCCATTCCCACCCTGTGGAGTGTTCTCTTGCTTTAATAAATTCCTGCTTTCCCTGCTTTGTTCCTGTGTTTCGTTCTTTGGTTAACTTTGTTTGTGCATTTCATTCAATTTTTTGTTCAAAACCCCAAGGACCTGGACAACTCACTCATGGCCTTCCTTCTGGTAACAAAAATAAACAGTGCCAACTTGGGGTGAATGCTCTTTTCAGTTGGGATAAGACTATAGCAAAGTTTGTCCCATGGACAGTAGCTCATTGTTACAGAGAATATTGTATTTCAAAATAGGTACCATTCTATGTAGAATAATAGCCATTCTATGAAACTATCTTAATCCTTGTAACCCAGTCCATACTTAGCCTCCAGAATTCATGGGTATTACCACTGAAGAGTCGTTATGTCTATGGCTCTTTCAACGTTTTCTCCAGATAAACAGATCTTTGCTGTGACTATCTGGGTTTACCTCTCTCTCTCTCTCCTCGTTTTCTCTTTATGTTTTTTAATTTAAACTTCTATTTTCAGTTCAGGGGTACATGATCAGGTCTGATATATAGGTAAGTTCTTTGTAATGGGGATTTGGTGCACAGATTCTCTCGTCCTCCTGGTAATAAGCAAAGTACCCAATAGACAGCATTTTGTTCCTCTTCTTTCTCTCACCCTCCACCCTCAAGTAGGACCTGGTGTCTGTTGTTCCCTTCTTAGTGTCCATTTGTATGCAGTGTGTAGCTCCCATTTATAAATGACCACATGTAGTATTTGTTTTTCTGTTCCTGCATTAGTTCCATTAGGATAATAGCCTCCAACTCCATCCATGTTGTTGCAGAAGACATAACCTCATTCCTTTTGATGGCTATGTAGCATTCCATGGTATGTATGTACTGCATTTTCTTTATCCAGTCTACCATTGATGGACATTTAGGTTGATTCCGTGTCGTTGCTATTGTGACTAATGCTGTGATGAACATACACTTGCATGAGTCTCTGTAGACTTTGGCGTGGTGGTTGGCCCTATAAACTCCATTCCTTGTTGAATCGTTAAAAAGTCATCATTTTTATTTTTTCAACTTTTTCTTCTTGTATATATGAGAGAAATGACTAACATTTATTACTATAAAAGCTAAAACCAGAAATTCTGCTAGATATACATATATATATATATACTTAATTATAAATGAAATAAGTGTATTTACTGAGGTAAAAGCAAACATAGTAATCTTCAAAATACAGAAAAGAAATTTGCTATGAGAGATTGTCTAAATTCATCAATTCTAGAGCAAACGAATAGAGAAAAATGTTATGTATTCAAACCTTTGCCATGTTTTATAATTGTGTGTAGTATTATTTAATTTGCCAGTATTTATTAAATTTTAGTCCAGTAAACTAACTTCCTTTTGCCATTTAATAAAATTGCCTATTGTTTAATTTCAAAGCTCTTAGAGAGCTTTGAATTTCTACTAAAATTGTTTCTCTAAGTTTATCAATATTATTGAGATATCATTAGCTGATACCCAGTAATTAAAAAGAGATTATATAATCTTAAGACTTTTATGTGTGAATTCAATGGATAATGTTCCTCTGTAAATGGTGTCTGTGAAAAACATGAGCATTTACATTTTTTGGAGATTTCAAGGGAGTTTTATTTCTGTAAAGACAATATTATGTGGTGTAAAATAATTAAGAAAATAATGAGGTGAATCTATCTTTAATGAGATTTCCTTTATTTTGTGTATTTGTCTTTCATAATAATAACTAATACTGAGATATAATTTATAAGCAAAATACTGAACACATTTCATTTGCAAAGAAATCTTCCTTAATAATATTGTCAAACTGTATTATAAATAATTTGCCTTTAGCAAAAGCCTTTTCTACTTTAATGATGAAGTTAGCTTTACTATTTCATAAGGTTTTGATTTGTACTTCACTTTATGTCATTGCCAACATTGTTCCTGCCTCAAATAAGGACATCAGTGGACAAAACTTACTTTACCTTCACTGTTAAATTATGATGATTTGTTTCATCAAAACTATAAAATGTTTCATTCAATTAAACAGTCTTTTTCAACATAAAAGTTTGATATCTTGATTATGGTAATAATCTCACAAGAGCATTTATATGTCAAAACTCAGCAAAATAGACACTTTATATGTGTACAGTTTGTTGCACAATAATGGTACCATAATTAAGTAGTTTAAAAATCACAGAGAATAGCAGTCACAGACATTTTTGTAGATACTAGTATTGTAACAAAGAAGACACATGTCAGCTTAAGGCAATATGAGACTAGTAGACATGTACATTGACAGATAATTTTATAATATATCTAGTGCTATGAATGACAATGCAAAGGGAGGAATGAGAGTACTATGGAAAGACACTTAGCTTAGTGGCTGTTAGAGAGGTCATTTGTTGTTAGATGAGACCAGAATGGACATGCACCATATTTCGTTTCCTAGTTCTGCCATCATAACAATTTAGCAAAACTAGGTCATTTCAAAAATATATTTTTATGCTATTACAGTTCTGGAGGCTAGACGTCTAAAATGAGAGTACTGGCAGGGTCATGCCCACTATGAAGGGTCCATGAAAGAATGCTTCCTTGTTTCTTTGGCAATATTTGGATTTAAATGCATCGTTACAATTTCTGCTACCATATTCACTTTGCCTCCTCTTTCTGTATGTGTCTGTGCATCTTATAAAAACACTGGTCATTAAATTTAATTTCCAGCCTTATCCAGTATGACCTCATCATAAATGATTACATATACAAAAATCTTATTCCATAGGAGGTCAAATCTGTAGGTTCAAGATGGCCAAAATTTTTACAAGGAAATTATTTAACCCAATACAGTTGTCCTTCTGCCCTCTTCCCCTCAAAGTTTTATTCCTCCCATATTCAAAACACATTCACAATATCCAAAAATTCCACCAAAAATCTTAACCCATTCCAGCATCAACACTAAGTTCAAAATATCATCTAAATATAATCAACTCAAAAAGTCTCAAATAATATTTTCTAAATAGTCTAAATTAAGAGTCAGTAAAAATCTGTGTATGGTCCATCCTGGGGCAAAATTGCTTTCTATTTGTAAACTTGTAAATATAGGAAGAAAGTTAATCATTTCTAAAATATAATAATGAGATACGCATAGACTAGACATTCTCCTTTCAAAAGGGATAAATAAGAAGATACAAACAGGTCAAGGAGCTCAAGCAAGTTCAAAATCCAGAAGAGCAAATTTCATTAGGTTTCAAGGCCAGGGAACAACATACAATGGCTCAATTCTCTGTCTTCTCAGCCACTTATGCAGTAGTTCTACTCTGCTGCACAACACATAGGAAACTGCAGCCCCACCTCCTGCTTGTAGAATTCAATCCTAAGCCAAAAGAACAAAGCTGGAAGTATCACGCTACCTGACTTCAAACTATACTACAAGGCTACAGTAACCAAAACAGCATGGTACTGGTACCAAAACAGAGATATAGACCAATGGAACAGAAAAGAGCCCTCAGAAATAATGCCGCATATCTACAACTATCTGATCTTTGACAAATCTGACAAAAACAAGAAATGGGGAAAGGATTCCCTATTTAATAAATGGCATTGGGAAAAATGGCTAGGCATATGTAGAAAACTGAAACTGGATCCCTTCCTTACACTTTATACAAAAATTAATTCAAGATGGATTAAAGACTTAGATGTTAGACCTAAAACCATAAAAACCCTAGAAGAAAACCTAGGCAATACCATTCAGGACATAGGCATGGGCAAGGACTTCATGTCTAAAACACCAAAAGAAATGGCAACAAAAGCCAAAATTGACAAATGGGATCTAATTAAACTAAAGGGCTTCTGCACAGCAAAAGAAACTACCATCAGATGGAACAGGTGACCTACAGAATGGGATAAGATTTTTGCAACCTATTCATCTGACAAAGGGCTAATATCCAGAATCTACAATGAACTCAGACAAACTTATGAGAAAAAAACAAACAATCCCATCAACAAGTGGGCAAAGGATATGAACAGACACTTCTCAAAAGAAGACATTTATGCAGCCAACAGACACATGAAAAAATGCTCATCATCACTGGCCATCAGAGAAATGCAAGTCAAAACCACAATGAGATACCATCTCACACCAGTTAGAATGGCGATCATTTAAAAAGTCAGGAAACAACAGGTGCTGGAGAGGATGTGGAGAAATAGGAACACTTTTACCCTGTTGGAGGGACTGTAAACTAGTTCAACCATTGTGGAAGTCAGTGTGGCAATTCCTCAGGGATCTAGAACTAGAAGTACCATTTGACCCAGCCATCCCATTACTGGGTATATACCCAAAGGATTATAAATCATGCTGCTATAAAGACACATGCACACTTATGTTTATTGTGGCACTATTCACAATAGCAAAGACTTGGAACCAACCCAAATGTCCAACAATGATAGACTGAATTAAGGAAATGTGGCACATATATACCATGGAATACTATGCAGCCACAAAAAATGATGAGTTCATGTCCTTTGTAGGGATGGATGAAGCTGGAAACCATCATTCTCAGCAAACTATCACAAGGACAAAACAAAACACTGCATGTTCTCACTCATAGGTGGGAATTGAACAATGAGAACACATGGACACAGGAAGGGGAACATCACACACTGGGGACTGTTGTGGGGTGGGGGTAGGGGTTAGGGATAGCATTAGGAGATATACCTAATGCTAAATGATGAGTTAATGGGTGCAGCACACCAACATGGGACATGTATACGTATGTAACTAACCTGCAGGTTGTGCACATGTACCCTAAATCTTAAAGTATAATAATAATAAAATTAAAAAAAATTCATTAAGATTGTTAAGCTAAGAAATCATAGATGGATAAGGGACACCTTCTTGATGGAAGTCCTTGTTTCAAATATTCAATAAAATGCTAACCTTAAAAAAAAAGTTTTAAAAGTTCAACCGTGTTCTTTCATTTTGTCCCATCTCTGTTCACTTAGTGCAAGTTGGCAGTGTTTCTGCTGACCTAACATTCTCAAAAAGCATCTCAGTCTTCCATAAGTGTCAAGAAAGTCCATACCATAAGACATTAGGGTCCTCCACAGTTCCTTCCAGGATCATCCCATCCCTATTCCTGGCTTCAGCTGGGGTGGTTAATAAGATCTCTAGTTCACATAACTCATTTCTCCAACACAAGACTGTACAGCCACAACTTTGATATTCTTTCCAGAGCATGCTTTCTTATCTTTTTCTTTTTTTAGTATGAATAGGCTCTTTTTCTAAATCATCAAGTTCTATTTTTTTTCTGATGATTTCTTCCTCATTGTGTCTTTTTCCTTTTGTTTTTACTATATGTAGCAGAAAGAAATCAGGCTATGCATTGGATACTTTGCTTGAAAATCTCTTTCCCTAAATTTCCAAGTTCATACCATATACACCCTACTTTCCACACAAAGGCAAAAATCCAATTCACGCATGTTTTCTGCCACATTATAACATGGATCTATTTTTCTCCATTTTCTAATAACATATTCTTCATTTCTGTCCTAAGACTTCATCAGAAGCACCTTTATGTTTCATATTTTAGTAACATTTTATTTAAAATATGTGTATTGTTTAAGAAAATATAAAGCTTCTCTACTTGCTTTTGAGTACTCACCAAAATCATGGTCAAATATCCATATTTCTACCAACAGTCTCTTCAAAGAAATCTGAGCTTGATTTTTTTTTTAATCTTCTGTTGCAGAAAACTTCCAGCTTCTTCCACCATTTACCCAATTCCAAAGTCACTTCCATATTTTTAAGTACTTGTTACAGTACTACCTCAGTTCCTGGTACCAAATATTTATCAGTCAGGGTTATATATAAAGAGGAATTTATATAGAAATAGAATGAAACAAAAATACACAGATAGATGGATAGATAGATAATAGATTGAGATTGATAGATTAGATAGATGATAGTTATCTATTTTCTATATCTATCTATTTAGAAAGAGAGAGAGAGATGAACAGAGACAGAGACAGACAAACTGGATCAGGAGAACATGGGGGCAGGAGAATATGTGGGCTGACAAGTTTGACATTCATGGAGCAGAGAAGTTCAAATTTTGTAGAGCAGGCTGGCTGGCTAGAAACTCAGGCAGGAGCTGATAATTAATCCAATTTTCATTCTTAGGCCTTTCAACTAACTGAATGAAGCCCATGCAAATTATCAACAGTAATTTCCTTTACATAAATCAACTGATGGTACATATTAACCACATCTATAAAATACTCTAACAGCAACACATAGATTTGTGTTTGATTAAACAATTGGGTAACATAGTGTGCCAATTTGACACATAAAACAAATCATCACAAGTAAGAATGTGCAAGATGATACAGAAAAGGGGAAGGATATTCTAGACAGAGAATAATTTGAACACAATCATAAAGATCTAAAAAAGTGTACTAGTTTCATAGCTATGAAAATAATTTAACATCACTTGATGTCTAGTAATGAAAGGTAGCATTTGAATAGTTGAAGAAAACACCACTTAGAAATTTTTTGTTAATCCAAAAGATTGTATTCATTATACCTAGGTACTTATCAAAAGATTTTAGGTGGGGAGTAACATGTTTATATTTTATATGTTAGTTTTCTTACAGCTATAGGAGTTAGGCTAAGAAGTGGAAGGGACAGTGATTTCACATTGTAAATAAACATATTTTTCTATATAGACTATGAACTCTTCAATAAAATGTTTTATATATAGACTATGAACTCTTCAATAAAATGTTATATTCATTATTTTCTATCATATAATGCTCTAGTTCACTTTAATAACAACTGATTTTTTTTAGTATTTCCTGTTTGTTTACCTCTGTAAAGAAAACTTCACTTGAACTCACTCAGCTCTTGCTCAGAACTGAGTAGTTAAATCTTATTACTTTTATTACAAACATAAGGAAAAGGAGCATTGGAGAGGTGAGAGATGCAGCTCATTTTACAAATCTCTCAGACATCAGATTCAAACTCAAAGTAATGACTCCAAATAACAGTTTGACTCTCCTGAAAAGAATTAAAATGATATTGGGGCAAGAAAAAAATGAAAATATTATCTCCTTTACTTAGATTTTGAGAATGGGCTAAGAAATAAATACAACAAAAAGGCAACTCTTCATGTTCTCTGTGTTACTTATGAAGGTCCAAAGATATAGCTTGGAAGTAATTCAATAAGATCTCCTCCTCATTCTTTAAATATATTCTGCTGAATAATTTACTAAAAGTAGTGGTTGAAAACAATCAATTTACCAACATTTTGTTATTAAAAAATGCAATGCCTAAGAAGTATTTTTACATAGTGTGCTATGTATGTTAAATATGCATGCATATGTTATAATTACTTTATATGTATACAAGATAAAGGGCCTGGGTGTGGTGGCTCATGCCTGTAATCTCAACACTTTGGGAAGCTGAGGCAGGTGAATCACGCGGTCGGGAGATTAAGACCATCCTGGCCAACATGGTGAAACCCAATCTCTACTAAAAATACAAAAAATTAGCAGGGCATGGTGGTGTGCACCTGTAGTCCCAGCTACTCAGGAGGCTGAGGCAGGAGAATCGCTTGAACCTGGGAGGCAGATGCTGCAGTGAGCCAAGATTGCGCCACTGTACTCCGGCCTAAGTGACAGAGTGAGACTCTGTCTCAAAAAGAAAAAAAAAGAGACACATATACATTTACATTTATATTGTGTATAATAAATACATATGTTTAAGGATATATGTAGTTTTTAATCAGTACGTACATCTTAATTATCATAGTAATATTATGAATATTTCTAGCTTTGTTTACTTTAGAAAGAATAATGAGACAAAAGAAGCACATCAATTTAAAATAAACAGAACAACTGTGGAAGACCAGATGTGTTATGAGATGCTATGATACTGTTTTTACTTAAGAAGTTATCAGACAATGCTATATTCAGTTTGTTTGGCTATCCTAATATCACAAATATTTGAAATAATACTATTTTGTGACCAATAGTCAATTAAAATATCCTTTCAGTTTTGTTTGTTTGTTTATTTTTGAGACAGAGTATTGCTCTTGTCATCCAGGCTGGAGTCACTGACATGATCTCAGCTTACTGCAACCTCCGCCTTCCAGGTTCAAGCGATTATCCAGCCTCAGCTTCCCAAGTAGCTGGGATGACTACAGGCACGCGCCACCACACCTGGCTATTTTTTTTGTATTTTTAGTAGAGACAGGGTTTCATCATGTTGGCCAGGCTGGTCTCGAACTTCTGACCTCGTGATTCAGCTACCTGGGGCTTCCAAAGTGCTGGGATTACAGGCGTGATCCACCACACCTGTCCCCTTTCATTGTTTAATAAAACAATTCTGTTTTAAGTATCTTGATTGTTAAAACTAAATACATGTATAAACTAAAAATGCCTTCAAGCCCCATTTTGCATCCAAGCTCGATTTATATTTGTTTATTACAAGTACAGAAACTCCAATATTTTATAAAAATTCTACAATTTATGTTTTAGCAAAAATATTGAGTATTTATACTTTCCAGTAAATCCTAAATAATATATGTAAATTATAAATTTTAAACTGTATACATCAAAGAGTTTTTCTTTGACAGCTATATTTGGGAATGTGCTTATACATGCACATGTGTTTGTGTGTGTTTGACTTACAGTCACTATTCCGGAAAAACAGATTTCAATAAGTCAATATGAAAAGAAAAAAAAGAAGCTAATTTCAGCAAATCAGGCACCTATGTCCAAGCTACTGTGATATCTAAATGAAAATTAAAGCACTATCTTAGTCCACTGGGCTTTTATAACAAAATTCCATAAACTGTGTGGTTTATAAAGAAAAGATATTTATTTCTCACACATTAGGAGACTGGGAAATAGAAAATTAAGATATCAGATTTGGCATCTAGGGAGGAGGGTTAAATTCCTAGTTCATAGATAGCACCTTTTTGACGTGTCCTCACGTGATGGAAGGAACAAGGGAATTTTTTCAGACAATTTTATAAGTTCAAGTGAAGTTTTCTTCACAGAGGTAAACAAATAGTAAATAGTAAAAAAAAAAAAAAAATCAGTTGTTTTGAAAGTCAACTAGACCATTATATGATAAAAAATATACGATATGTTATCTTTTCTTGAAGAGTTCATAGTCTATGTATAAAAATATGTTTATTTACAGAGTGAAGCTACTATGCCTTCCACTTCTTAGCCTAACTCCTGTAGCTGTAACAAAATTGAAATTCATGAGTGTTCCCCTCTCATGACTAATCACTTCCCAAAGGTCCCAACTCTTAATACCATCACGTTATGAATTAGAATTGGACAAAGTAATTTTGGAGAAACAGAAACATTGAGACCATAATGAGATGCATCTCTTCATTTTCAACAATTCATTCCCCAAATTAAGTTTTTTGGGCAAAAAAAAATATATTATGAAATAGTATAACGTTACAAAATTAACACAAATACTAGACTCCAATTCAACATCAGACTTGAGTTATTTACTTCACAAATATGTTTCTTAATATTAACTTTCAGGAGTATTATTTATTTATTTATTTATTTTATTCATTTTTTTTAGACGGAGATTTGCTCTTGTCACCTAGGCTGGAGTGCAGTGGTGCAATCTAGACTCACGGCAACCTCTGCCTCCCAGGTTCAAGCGATTCTCCTGCCTCAGCCTCCCAAGTAGCTGGGATTACAGGGGCCCATCACCACGCCAGGCTAATTTTAGTAGAGATGGGGTTTCATCATGTTGGCCAGGCTGGTCTCAAACTCCTGACCTCAGGTGATCCACCCACCTTGGCCTCTCAAAGTGCTGGAATTACAGGCATGATTCCCACTTCATCTGGTAGGAATAGACAGTAGGCAACCCTAGTAACTTCTGAAGAAGAAGACCACTTTCTTCTCCTTAACTGTTTATTTAAACTTTACTAGTTTTACTTCAGAAACTGTTATTTTATTCATGTTGTTATAATCACCTCCTCTTTTCCTAAATTAAGGTCTATGCCACAAAATTTTATCATGGGTTTAATAGGTGAAAAACATTCTATTGTCAAACAGATGTGGAAAATATTGGGTTATAGTAAGCTAACCTACCTTCATTTCCCCGGCCTTAGTATATATCAAAAACAAATAAAGACTTCTACTTTAAAAATCATACATACCATTGTTTTGTGAAATATTATTTTCTCCACTTTCTTGCTTCCAATATAGTTATGTCTGATTTATACCAATAAAATATTTATCATAGCCTGGATAATACAATTGTTAGATAGTACTGTTTTCTCCTTTATTCAAAATTTTAATTACCAAAGACAATGAAAGATTTTATTCAAAATTAAATTTTCAGTGTCCTAGTTATCTTCACCAAATATGGAATATATATTGACTTATAAATGAATAACTTAGTCTTTGCGATGATATACATATAAACTATTTTAATTCTCATCAAATGCTTCTGAAACTGGTCAGACAAGTGTGTTTGGAGTGTTTATTCCATAAACAGACTGGTATTGCTACTTTTGATTTTTTATATAAGACTCATTAACAATAATATTTAATTTGGAGTTTGGTCCAGGAATATTAAAAAGATCTACACTGGGCAATAGTATTCCAAATCTACAGAAATACAATCATGTGATTCTCCTTCATAAAGTAGGGCTAAAATAATTATAAGTTGAAATGTTAAAGCATTGAATGGTTATATGAGGACAGAGAAATATTTCCTAATTAATTTAGTCACAGATTAAAAATCCTCCAAATCTTTAGTTTACTATTAAAATGTATTTTATTTCTGAATCAGTTCACTGTTTAAATTCTTACTTTATTTATGAGAGAGCGTTATTTTCACATCAACTACTAGGTCTCCACGGACTGCTGCTTAAAAGAATCTTGAAAATCAGTTTTAAAGTCTCCTACTAAAGCATATTTCCAATTTACCACCTTACTTTTAGCTCAGTCAAATTTTAAAGATAAGGCATAAGGTATAGCTTGATCTAAGTACTGCCTATTTTTCTTGCTTTATTTAGTCCCTAATGAAGGTTATTCTCAGTTTTAATAATGTTTTTAGGGTGCCATTTGAAAGACTGTTTTTTCCCTCTTATGATGAACTGATGAGTAAATAGTTGATAGAAGCTCAAGGCTGCAGTTAAGTGCCTACATTAAGGAACTGGGGACTAGAAGAGAGGAGATAGAGAAAATACAAGGCAATGATGAACGTAAAGCAGATCAGTTGGAGGCAGCAGAAAGTGAGATTTCAGATGTTTCATGTAGAAATAATTGCTTTTCTTGGCTCTTGTTAAAGGATCTTTGAAAGAGGCTCTCAGAGTCTGAACTTAATTTCGACGTCTCAGTATATTTGATAATTTTTATTTTTTATTCTATTGTTCCCTTTAAACATTTTATCATTAAAATGTCTAAACGTCTCCCTTATGGCCATTATAATAAAAAAAAATTTCCTTGGAAAAATTATGCCATCTTGATGGGATGGCATAATTATGGGTTGAATTTTGACCCCCAAAAAGATATATTAAAGTCTTAACCCAAAGTACTTCAGAATGTGGTCTTATTTGGCAGCAGAGTCTTTATAGGTGTAATTAGTTAAGATGAGGTCATACTGGGATGCTGTGGGCTCCTGATAAAATAAGACTTCGTAAGAAAATGGCTATGTGGAGGCACAGAGGTACACAGGGAAATGCTGAATGAAAACGGAAATGTAGATTAGAGAGACACATCTGCAAGCCACAGAATGCCAAAGATTGCTAAAAACAAAACAAAACAAAACAAAAACAAAACAAAACAAAAAAACCTTAGAATCTAGAAAGAAGCCTGAGAGGATTTCTCTACAGGTTTTTTTGTTTGTTTGTTTGGTGAGACGGACTCTTGCTCTGTCACCAGGCTGGAGTACAGTGGCGCGATCGCCGCTGACTGCAACCTCCGCCTCCCGGGTTAAAGCATTCCCCTGCCTCAGCCTCCCAAGTAGCTGGGATTACAGGCACGTACCGCCACACCCGGCTAATTTTTCGTATTTTAGTAGAGATGGGGTTTCACTATGTTGGCCAGGATTATCTCAATCTCCTGACCTCGTGATCCACCCACCTCGGCCTCCCAAAGTGCTTGAATTACAGGCGTGAGCCACTATACCCAGACTTCCCTACAGATTTTATAGGGAACATGGCCTACCAATAGCTTAATTGCAGAGTTCTAGGTTCCAGAACAGTGAAACAACAAATTTCTGTGTTTCTAAGCCACCCTGCTTTTGGTACTTTGTTATGGCAACCCAAGGAAACTAATACAATTGATAAACTCAAAAATTAGATTTACAATAAGAATGCTATTGTATTAGTCCGTTTTCACATTGCTATAAAGACGTAACCAAGAGTGGGTAATTTATAAAGAAAAGGGGTTTAATTGACTCACAGTCCCTCATGGCTGGGGAGGCCTCAGGAAACTTACAATCATGACAGAAGGTGAATGGGAAGCAAAGATCTTCACATGGTGGCAGGAGACAAAAAAGGGAACAGGGAAAACCGCCATTTATATAACCATCAGATCTCGTGAGAACTCACTCACTGTCACTAGAAGAGCATAGGGGAACCGCCCCCATGATCCAATCACCTCCCACCAGATCTATCCCTGGGCACCAACTGGGGATTACAATTTAAGATCAGATTTGGGTGGGGGCACAGAGCCAAATCATATCAACTGTATAGTATGATTTTAAAAGGTTGTGCTTTAGCTAGGGGTTATTAGCGTTTTATGACACAAACGTCACTACAGCTCTTATCTAGTAGTGCTTGAAGAATAGTGAGGACTCTTCAACAAGATTGTATTAACAGCCTGGTAATTAGACCTAGAGCAAAAACTTAAGGCAATAGACCACATATTTTAAACCAAGATGTTATGGGTTGAACTGTGTTCCCCCACCTCTAAAATGTTTTGAAGTCCTAATCCCCAGTACCTCAGAACGTGACCTTATTTGGAAAAGGAGTCTTTATAAAGTTAATCAAGTTAAATTATTATGGTAAACCTTGATTGAATACTATTGGTGTACGTATAAAGTGTAGAAAATTTGGATACAACCATACCTGCATAGAGGGAAGATAATGTGAAGAGACAAAGAAATAAGATGTCCATCTACAAGCCAAAGAGAGAGACGTGGAATAGATCTAACCTTAACAACTCTCACAGGGAATCAGCCCTACTGGCATCTTGATCTCAAACTTCTAGCCTCCACAACTGTGACACAAAAAACTTTTGTTGCATAAACCACCCAGTATATGGTACTTTGTTATGGAAGCCCTAGAAAACTAATACACAAGTGATCCTCCAAAACTTTTTCACTGTGGATTACAAATGGTGGTTCAATACTTAGCCCCTGGGGTGAGCTGATTAGTAATTTATATCCTCTATCACCATCAGATTCCCTTGACAATTCCATTGTAATATTCAACATAGAATTAAAGGTAACAGCCAAGATTTTGTTACAAAATTTGTTTCAAATTACGATTATTGAGATGACTAAATAAGTTAAATCATGTAATGTGCTCAGAACAAGTGCCCAACACATGGTAGGTGCGATGTTAGAATTAACTGTTAGTTATTGCCTAAATGCAATTCTGAATTAACTAATAAATATATATTGGTCAGAGCAGCCCACCTAAAATGTAAAATTATTGAAATAATAAATAAAACCTTAATTTGAGAACTCCAATATTTTTCATAAGCATTTCCCTTCTATTTAGATCATTTAATCTCATGGTTTTTTCTTTTCTACGTAAAATTTTGGGTGTTTTTTGACCTGCCGCCAGCTTTGAATTACCTGACATTGTTTTGGTTTTGGTCATCACAGGAACTGGTGGAGGCCAAGGACACACACTGTTTCTTGTTATGCAATTCTAGATACTGTGTACTGACTAACTTCTAGTGGCCTCTTTAATTCAGAGTTTTCTCTCTGGCTTCCTAAAGTCAAAACTCATGGAGCATCATCTCTGTTCACCCACTTCTTGTCAGCTCTTGCAGCCATGAATTATTCCCTTTGACAAATAACATGGTTTTAATTCTCTCTGCATTAAATTAAATTATGCTGATAGAATTCTACCACAGATAAAGATATAGACATACATACAAATCCAGGTACCAGCATATCACTACAGAGAATCAGCAGACAGCATGAGAGGAAAACAAAGCTAATACTTCCATTCCCAGTGGTACTTGCTTTGCCTTTTGAGATCCCACAGTGGAGTAGCACTTTCTGACAATATATCATATTTCCATATTATGTTGATATCCCCCTGTCCACTTGGAAAATATCAGATGGTCTTTATGGTAAAGGTATGTTATGCTGTTGTTCTTTTCCCCTCCAATTTTCCATGTTTTCCATTTCAATTGAACATTTCTCAGCATTTTTTAAACTTACATTTTGAATGACATTGTAGTAATTGTCTATTCAATGTCAACACTGATTTCTGCTCTGCAAAAATGACAGAATTGAAATTTAATATTATTCATTTTTCCTTATAAATTTGTCATTCCTAGCCTATGACAGAGTTCAGCATGTCATAAGTATTTGTAACTGTCCAACACTGACAAGTGGATTGAATAGTATTTCCTAAACAGAAAAATTCTAAAGACTTCAACATATGAAAGAAAAGAATCACAACCATTTGACTTCTTTATAAGAAAGTGATTAATTAGACAAAATAATTACCTCTTTAGAAAAATATCTCTTCTCTTACAAAATGCATCTTCAAGATATAAAACCCTCTAATACTAACAACTAATAATATAAGAATTGTTTTCCCAAAATGAGAACAAGCACTTACACATAAACTTGTTACAGTGTTGCTGTACTGGTATCTATTACATTCATTTGTGAAGCTCTCTTTTTCTGTACTTCTTGCTTCAATTTGTGCATAATATTAATGTTTTTATTATGGTAGGAGGAAAGACAAGAATATGAAATGTTTTATTACTTACTTTCAAATACGTGACATAAATTATCAGATAATACATTCTCAAGTATGCTTCATGATTATATAGAAAATCAGAAATTTTAGAATTGAGAGGGACAATATGGATAATCTCCTACCTAACATTATTGTTTGTTTATATCTAATCATAGTTATTCATCAGGAATCCAGTATGCATAATATAATACATTCTATTTTTTGAATGATGATGTTATCAAAATACCTTTCATTAAAATGAAAATACTATGACTATGTGTTAATACCTCATTCTGGTCCTAGAACATAGTTGAAGCCAGCACAATTATAAGAAGTTTGGATAAGGAATATTTATAAAATATATATAAGAATGCCTGATAAGAATATACAGCAAAAACATCTAATGTAAAGCATAACAATTTAATATAGTGGATACTGTTAATACCTCACCCAAATCCTTCAGATATGTTTTGTTATCTGTAGGAACATATCCAGATATGTATGCATTTGTTTCTTATGTCCTGTGCCCAATTCTGTCTTTGGAAGACTGTCCTTGGACTACTGGAGCTACTTTACCAGCACATGTACAGATCCTGTAGCTTCTGTTAGGATATGAATTCTAACCCTCAAAGGTGACCTTGAGGCATGAGGGAGTATAATAAGAGCCTGGAACTGACTCTTAGGTATCTTACACTCTAGAGATCACCCTGCAGGCTCAGACTCAGGCTGACACTGCACGAAATTACCACTGAACTTGACTTGTCTCCCTTTCCTATCCTGCTTCCTCTGTCACCTACCAGCTTTTCCTGGAACACATTGTTCATAAATCGCTTTACATGTGTTGTCATCTCATGGTCTGCTCCTGGAGAATGCAATATAAGTCAGCTTTCCATTAGCAGACCAGAAATTATAAGAATGAGGATAGAAAAATGATAGAAAAATATTAAGGGAAAAATAATAGAAGTTACTTATACAAGAAAACATAAATAAATTTAAACATATTTTTAAAAATCTTCCAAGTTTGGAATACTAAATTCCCAATTACAGAGCTGTATGTGAATGAAGTATTTTGAGTCAATAGTTGGAGTAATTATCAAAAGTACTATTTGAATAAATAAATGCAGAAAAACTGAACTTGCTAGGTCATATTACTCCTCCTACAAATACTGAACTACTAATGTCACTTGGTTTAGCAACTAGAAACTTACGGAATATAGGCCTATATCAACAACACCGGGCAATACTGTGTTTAACATATCAAGCATCCAATGTGCAAGAAATACTGAGAGTACAACACTTCACGGAAGTTATACCCAACTCATCAAATAATTGTAGTCAAAACTATCATTCAATTAGAAGTGTAAAACAAGAACAGTTTTAGACAAGCTAAATCTTAGAAAGTTATTCTCAAAAGCTTAGAAATAGAAGAAACTTCCACAAAAAACCTACAGCCAATATAATTCTTAATGGTGAAAGACTGAATGCATTTTCTTCTAAGACTGGGAACAAGTCAAGAAATTACCTTTGCTATTTCCATTCATCATTATACTACAGGTTCTACTCAGTGCAATAAGGCAAAATAAAAATAATAATAAATCAAATAAAATTAAAATGTGTTAAAGCAGTCTTAATAGTGAAATTAAAGCAAAACTTTCTTTACTCCTAGAAGCAGGCATTATTCATAGTAGCCAAAACCGGAAACAACTCAAATGTCCATCAACTGGTGAATGCATAAACAAAATATGATGTGTCCATATAAAAGAATTTTATTCTTCAACTAAAACATGCTGATGCATGCTACATCATGAGTGTACAAAAATGCTTATACTAAATAGACTAAGCCAGTTATTAAATAATACATATGCATGGTTCCATTTACATGAATGTTTCACTGGTCAGAAAAATGCATATTTAAAGAGACAGAAATCAGACTAGTATTGACCAGGGCTGGGTCAGGGGGTGGATGGCAGGAAGTAAGAAACGTGGATCATCTGCATAAAGGCTCTGGAAAAATATGGGAGATGTTGAAGGTTTAAAATTGAATTGCAACGAAGATCGATGGTTGTACTACTCTATACATTTATTAAAAATCATTCAGCCTTAAAAAAGAATGAGGTCCTGTCATTTGCAACAACATAAATGGAACTAGAGATCATGATGCTAAGTGAAATAAGCCAGGCACAGAAAGACAAACATTGCATGTTCTCACTTATTTGTTGGATCTAAAAATAAAAACAATTGAACTCATGAACATAGAGAGTAGAAGGGCAGTTACCAGAAGCTGGGAAGGATAGTGAGGGGCTTGGGGGTAGGTAGAGATAGTTGATGGGTACGAAAAATAAAAAAGAATGAATAAGACCTACTATTTTATAGCAAAACAGGGTGACTATAGTCAGTATAACTTAATGGCACATTTTAAAATAACTAAAAGGGTGTAATTGGATTACGTGTAACACAAAGGATACATGCTTGAGGGGATGGATACTCCATTCTCCATGGTAAGATTATTTCACGTGGCATGCCTGTATCAAAACATCTCATGTATCCCGTAAATATATTCACTTACCATGTACCCACAAAAATAAAATATATAAAATAATTGGGTCGTTTAAAAAATCTAATGTAAATATTAAGGAATTGGCTCATGCCTGTAATCCCAGCATTTTGGGAGCCCAAGGTAGGTGGATCACGAGGTCAGGAATTCAAGACCAGCCTGGCCAAGATGGTGAAACCCCGTCTTTACTAAAAATACAAAAATTAGCCATGCGTGGTGGCGGTCTCCTATTATCCCAGCTACTCAGGAGGCTGAGGCAGGAGAATCCCTTGAACCTGGGAGGCAGAGCTAGTAGTGAGCCAAGATCACACCACTGCACTCCAGCCCGGGCGACACAGCAAGACTCTGTCTCAAAAAAAAAAAAAAAAAAAAAAAGAAAAAGAAAAGAAAAGAAATCAAATCAAACCAAATCTGAAAAACAAAACCTCTTTCTAACACCAGGGCACATTTAGTATTGCTGTTGAAACATCTAAGTGTGGTAAACACAAAAGAAAAATTGGAGCCAAGAGTTCTAACCCAATTCACAACAGACTGTCGCAAACTGTTAGCATGGTGTTTCTGTAGTTAGAGAAAATTGTACAGAAAGTACTGGTGGGACTCCTTGAAACACTGTAGAGAAAACTATATGAGCTAAAAAACCTGTGGGATTCAGAGAGAACAGTAGTTGTGTTTTGATATTTTTATTACTTTTAATGACTCTAAAGAAGCCTGAGTAAATCCAGATTATATAATATTATATGTTAACATATTACAAGGGAGAAACTTGAGTTAAAAAAAAAATAAGTAATTTGCCCAAAGCTGAACATGTATTCAGTTGCAGGTCTAGAACATGAGCCCATGTAAATTAAACCTCTAATTCCAGGGCTTGTTTTGTGATGCTTGCTTTTATAGTATTAAAAAGGAAAAATTAAAAAAAAAGTACGACCTTTGAAATTTCATCTTTGAGTTCTACACATGACAGTGTGATAAAAAGATTTGCAGCATGTACTGAGTCTGGCACCCTTATGGGTCTGGCGTCTTTCCTCATGCATTCTAGCAGGAGACGGAAATAAGAAACAAATGTAGGATATATTTAGCACTATGTCACAAATGCTATAAAGAAATGACTTAGATGGTAGTAACCTCAGTAAAAAGACAGCACTTTAGCTTAAATTTGAATGATGAGAAGAAGCTGCACATATGAAGCCTGAAGCTTACAGAGAGGAATAGTGAATCTTCCAATCAGAAGGAAGTGCATGTGCAAAGGCACTGCATCCAGAAATATCAGTGACAAGATGCTAAAAAGTTGCTAGGACAAGGGAAAGGTAGCAGGACAGGAGGCGGGACAAAGACGCAGGACCCAATTTTACAAAGCTGCATGGATTATGGCAATGCGTTTATAGTTCATGTAAACAGGAATGGAAAACCTCTGAAAAATGTTTGCAAGGAGGGCTCATGGTGTGATTTACATTAAACAATTCTATTAAAGCTAAATATATATGTATATACCCAGTGACCTAATATTTCCACTTCATATAAATATGCCAACACACACACACACACACACACACACACACACACACACACACACACACACTCTGTCTCCAAAAAACATAAACTAAAATGTTCAGAGCATCCTTATTTGTAATAGTCAAAACTTAGGAAACACCCAGATGCCCATCAATACTAAAATGGATAAATAGTGACATAATCATACAGTGAAATACTATGCAGCAATGAAAATAAAAAGACACAACAGCACAAAACAATATGACTATATTTCACCAATAGCATACTGAGTGAAAGAAGCCAGGCACACACACAAAATATACACAAAATATATACCATATGGTTCTCAGAATGTAACTATGAAAACAAGCAAAACAGACTTATGCCATTAAAGTCAATACAATATTTAATCTTGGGCTACACAAGGCAAGTCTGCAGTCCTATAATCAGTTTCTTCATCTAAGTGCTGAGTTTGTGAAAGTAGATAGTGGAAATACCTCAATCTGTAAAACTATGGTATGTTAATTCTTGTGTATATTTTAATAAAAATAGAGAAATTTAAAAAAATAAATACTTAAAACTACTTAAACAACTCTTTAGTTGTAAAGAAATTTAAAACAATTGTTAAACTAATAAGATAGGTGGATCTTATCTATAAATGATTGTTTACAAAGTTATTCACACACTATATATATAAATGATAAATTACAGGTAAATGAATAGATGGATAAGCAGATAGATAATAGAGATGAAGACAGACATGCACTGGGTCTTGAATTAAGATGTGTTTCTTATGTATATGTGTTTTAACAAAAAAAAATAGAAAAACTTCTATCTAATCTCCATTAATTTTTTGTTATCTAATCTTCATTATTTTATTCCTCTTACTTGCTTTCAATTTTGTTTGCTCTTATTTTTCTTGTATTTTTATAAGATGATACGTTATTTACAAACTTTTTTTTAAAGTGGCATTTACAGCTGTAAATTTCTCTCTAAGCAATGTTTTAGTAGCAAGGTGTAAATTTTGGTATGTTGTGTTTTACTTTTCATTCATCTCAAAGTATTTTCTAATGTTCCTGTTTATTTCTTCTTTGCCCATTGGTTATTTAATAATGTGTCATTTAACTTCCACATATTTGTGGATTTCCCAAATTTCTTCATGTTTTTGATTTCTAGTTTCACTTCATTGTCATCAGAGAATTCACTTTCTATGGTTTAAATCCTGTTAAGTCCATCTTGCTTTATGGACTTAACCTATGTTCAGTGCTGGAGTATATCCCTTGTGCACTTGGAAGGAATGTGCACTTGGCTGTTGCTAGGTGGAGCCACCTATAGTTGCTTGTTAGTTCTTAGTGGCTAGTCCAGTTCACCCTGTGTCTTTTAAAATTTCTGCCTAATTTTCTTACTCATTATTAAAAGAGAGTTATTTAGGTCTCCAGATGTTTGTTGAATTATTGATTTCTCCTTTAAATTCTTTCCATTTTGCCTCATACCTTTTGAGGCTCCACAGACAGGGGTATATATGTTTATAATTGTTGCAACTTCTGGATTGATTGAGTCTTTTAACTTTATAAAATTCTTCTCTTGAAATAACATTTTATTTTAAAGTTGATTTTGCTTATTAGTAGAACCACTCCAACTCTCTTCCCATTGCTATTTGCCTTCTATCTCTTTTTGCATCCATTAATTTTCAACCAATTTTATCTTTGAATCTGAATTATATAGGAAGTTATAGTCAGATTTTTTACCCCATATGATGATCTCTGCCCTTTGACTAATTTAATCCTTTAAATTTTATGTTGATTTACATCTGCCATTTTACTTCTTGTGTATTACGTTTCATTTTTATGTAAAAGTATGTGGCTTAATTTCCAAATATTTGTGAATTTCTCAAATTTTCAATTTTTTTCAACATTGTTTTTCTTATTGATTTATAATTTAAATACATTGTGTTCACAGAACATAATTTAATACAGCTAATCTCTCCCTGGACTTGTGACTTACAGAATTATGAAATAATGTTTGCATAGTTTTAAGCTGCAATGTTTATAACTATGTTACCCAATAATAGACAAAATTTATTAACTATACGTTATTATAGGGAATTCTTATTGAATATTTAAGAGAAATATACAGAAATAGAATAAACAAATGATAAATGACAACAAAGATAAAGGAATACATCAAAAAGATATAGAAACCAGTAAGAAAATATTAAATGGAGGCTACTAGATATATTAAAAAACTGAATGACAAAGATGAATTTAAACATAAACACACACACACAACATCAATCATTGACTCTAACATTTTTAAAAATAATGAATAAAGTTTGGATAAAGTACAGGCTCATCACTTTAGTTATTCTGACATTTGGCTGAAATATACCTATATTTTCTTTTTAAAAATATTCAGTATCGTTTGTCCTGCTTTAAAAACTATAAAAATGTGGCCAACATTCTGGGATTTCAGAGTAAATCAAATTAATTCTCATGACATTGGTTTTGCAATTGAAATTCTTATATCTATAAAGGAAATTGAATTTTTCTACTAAGAGTTCAAGTGGCAAATAATTTTTAATAACTGGTGACTTAGTGCTTTTGACCCTTGCTTTTTCTAATAGTTTTTCATTTTCCCTGAAGGAAGCATCATCCTGCAAAATACAATACTCTTTTCTCTTTTCAATATTATGTGTCTGGAGAGATTTATCCGCTATTTTAGAAAACGATAATGAGTGCCACATTTATTTTCCTAATTTACTTTTTTATCGACAATGAATACATTCTTATAATTGACTACAGGATGCGTTATTTCAAGTGGAACATCAAAAAATTATCATTTATTTTGTAAAGAGAATTAAGAACATAATGTGCCAAAGAGATAAAGGGAAATAATCTTTTCTTTTGTCTCTTTTTTTCCCCTCAATGCTGTTTTACTCAGCCTACCTTGGTTGAAAAAGAGTAAGTTATCTCTTTAGTACATTTTGGTTTAGAAGCTTTGAGTTTCTCCTTGTGTTCTTTTCATTTGAATACACTTATTCTTCTGGATTTGGAGAATAGGCTCCCTGATATGTTCTAGCTTTGACAGCAAAGGCAATTTCTTTATCCAGTGACAACTCAGGTGTTCCAAAGTGACTGGCCACTGGGGCAATAAGTGTTTCCTTTGTAAAGATTCTATATTAGACAGGTCATAGTTGTCGGGAACCGAAGTTGTATTCTCCCACAACTCTTTGAATCAAAGTGATATTTTGGCTCCCAGTGACTGACTTCTTTGGTTATCCCCAAATTGATTCTGAACTGGGTTTGAGGACTATAATTTATTGGGAATATTTTTATACCACGATCTATTAATTGTCAGGGAATATTATGAATAGTGAATAAGATGAAGATGCAAATGTCATTAAAAAACAAGCCCCTGGCACAGCGAAGGTAGGTAACTGTAGACTTTGGTGCCACAGTAATAAAATCAGGTGCTTTGGGTTTGTTTTGGCTGGAGTTTGGTTTGATTATTTGCTTGTTTTTGTCTTTTCTTTTTCCACCACTCTTTCCAGCTGAGTATTCCCCACTTATATGCAGTTTCACTTTCTGGAATTTCAGTTACCCATGGTCAGCTACAGCCTAAAAATATGAAATAGAAAATTCCAGAAATAAATAATTTATGACTTTAAAATGACATGTCATTCTGAGAGGCATGATGAAATTTCACTCAACTGCAGAATATGAACCCTCCCTTTGTCCATGCTGTATATACATCTGCCCATTAGTCACTTAGTAGCCATCTACATTATCAGATTGTATGTAGCATTATCATAGTGCTTGTGTTTAAGTAACCCTTATTTCACTTAAAATGGTCTAAAAGTGCAAGAGTAGTGATGCTTGCATATTGTTATAGTTGTTCTATTTTATTGTTAGTTACCATTGTTAATCTCTCACTGTGCCTAATTTATAAAGTAAAATTTATCTTAGCAATATATGTATTGGAAAAATGCATGTGCAATTTTAGGCATCCACGGGGATTCGTGGAGCATATCCCTCACAAATAAGGAGGGGGTACTCTATCTGATACTGTGTCTGCATGAGAGGCATTAGCCTTGGACCTTGTGGGATTATAATCTTACTGTAACTATAGTGCATATCCATGGCTGGCTTTTTTTTTTTTTTAATTCAGGTGTAACAGTACTGGCAGCTTTAGATGACCAATAATGCCTTCAGTACAGCTCCAGGCCATATGTTTCCTGGCCGTACAGCTTGACATTGAAACCACATAGGTTTGGCTTACTTTAGTGTTGCAGGAAAGGCTGTGATGTGATTGGGTCATTTCTGGCAGTAGGTGAGCAGAAAAACATTTTGTTGCTTTTGCAATTTTAATTCCTGTGAAGGGGAAATGTTTTAGTTTCTTTTCAGTTCCAATAAGTGTATATAACAGGCTGAATAATTTATAAAGAATATAAATGTATTTCTTATAGTTCTGGAAGGTAGGATGTACCAAGGTCTAGGGGCTACACCTGGTGGGGGCTTTCTTCCTGATGGGGACTCTGCAGAGTCCTGACGTAGCACTGGTCACCACATGGTGATGTGGCTCACAAGAGACACTGGTTTTTATAACAAATCTACTCTTGTGATAACTAATCCACTCCCTTAGTAACCCATTAATTCATTAACCCATTAACCTCACTAAACCATGAATGTAATACTCCATTTGTAAGTACGGTGCCCTATCACCTCTAAAAACCCCAATTCTTAATACATTTAAATTGGGAATTAAGTTTTAAAATGAGTTTCAGTGGATACAAACATTCAAACCATAACAAGAAGTGATTAATACGTCCATGATTTTTGTTAAAATAAAAAAAAAGTGGTGACATAACCAGCAACTGTGCTTTCCTAACCCAGGCCTCTTTTCTCTCCAACCGTTTTCTAAATGTTCTTCAGTCTGATACTCTCCCCATTATGGAAATAATTGTGATTCTTCAGTTCTGCCTGTTGCAGAAATAATTCAACATGACAATTCTCTATTATGTAAAACATCTAACTCTCCTTAGAATCTGCTCTACCAATGAAATAGTTGTTACATTTATATTTGTGTGTCTAACTTCTGTCTTTATTTTTTTTCATAACTTAGGATTGGAAGAAAAAAGACAGATTTTTTCTGGGTGAAAATACATAACATGAAATACACAACATGAAAATGCAAATATTTGTCATTTTTTCCTTCTTTGCTTTCAATTTTTGAAGGTTTTCTATTTAACGACTTGCAAATTTCAGAAAATAAATGCCTATTTTTAAACAATATCAACAGAAATGTGTGTGGAGTTGACAGATCATATTTAATGATAAGACTTAAAAATTTGGTGGACATCTTTTAATTGACATTTAGACTTAGTTTACTCATGCCCTTAAATTAGTGGATGCAGCTGACTTAAATTAAAACTTAATTTTCATCTCTTTTTGACTATGGCTGCCAGAGAAACATTACATCTGCAGCATATGTCATTATGTGCCAAGTAACATTACTTTGCACCATTACTGTCAATATTTCAATAACGTATATAAAACACCTTAAGTGTTTTAAGTAAGTTTAAGTAGGACCCATAGACTTTTCCTTATTTTTTTATTTTTTTTTTTTTTTGACGGAGTCTTACTCTGTCGCCAAGGCTGCAGTGCAATGATGCAGTCTCGGCTCACTGCAACCTCAGTCTCCCGGGTTCAAGCAATTCTCCTGCCTCAGCCCCCCAAGTAGCTGGGATTACAGGTGCCTGCCACCTCGCCCTGCTAATTTTTGTACTTTTAGTAGAGATGGGGTTTTGCCATGTTGGACAGGCTGGACTCGAACTCCTGACCTCCAGTAATCTGCCCGCCTCGTCCTCCCAAAGTGCTGGGATTACAGGCGTGAGCCACCGCGCCCATCCAGTCACAATGACTTTTAATTAGTGTTTTATTTTCATCATTATGTCCATGTTGCCTCTGAAGAAATCAAATAAATACCAAATAGAAATATAAATATGTAAGTAACAGAATTAACCTGGGTTCGTTGACTAATAAAATAATATCACAAATTCATTTATAAACTCTTTAGAAAACAAGCAAAGAAATTATTACTACACAGAAAGTGGCAACAACACAAAGATAGGGCCTTTACATACTGTGTCTTTTTTCACACAAGAAACCACATATAAGTAACACAAATCTTTCTGATTCTCTAATAGATATAAGCCATACTTTAGTTTCCATTTACTTTTGACTATTTTAAATATTGAATTTCTTTAGGATTTTTCTTTCTTTTTTATTTTTCAAAATGTGTCGTAAGCGTTAACAGTCATTAAGTGAATTAAGGAGGGTGGTGCAGCAGAAAGAGAGTTAATTTCGTGCATCTAATTTTATATGTTGACTCACTTGTTTTCTATATAATTCTATATATTAACTTCAGAATATATATATATTCTGAAGTTAATCATACACAATAGCAGTTGCTATCATTTCACAAAAGAAAAAGAAGATAAAGAGTATATATGTTTGCCAAATAGTATTCATCACTTTTTGGTATAAAATCTTTCTAAATGTGTCAAATTAATTTTTCTACAGGCATATGACTAGTAGTCATAAAATTAGTATACATGATGGTATTTATATAATTTATGCAATATTGTGTTTATCAGAATAAATTTTTAAATTTTTAGTTTTTTAATTTTCCATTTATAATGAACTCCTTAACATTTTGGTTTATATTTTTTATTATTACTAAAAAGTTAAATTTATTTTTCTTTCTTTTTTTTTTTTTTTCTGAGACAGAGTCTCTTTCTGTTGCCCAGGTTCAAGTGCAATTGTGCGATCTTGACTCACTGCAACCTCTGCCTCCAAGGTTCAAGTGATTCTCCTGCCTCAGCCACCTGAGTAGCTGGGATTACAGGTGTGTGCCATCACATCTGGCTAATTTTGTATTTTTAGTAGAGACAGAGGGTCAGGCTGGTCTTGAACTCCTGATCTCATGATCCGCCCGCCTCGCCCTATTTTAAACTACAGAATACTGGTATATTACATGTCCAGAATCTTTAACATTTCTTTTGATTACAATATTTATTCTCTCATCCACCCATGCTAAGAAAATAGTAGCAAACTCAGAAAGTAAAATCTCCCCAGCCATTCATCAGGCTGGAGTAACAGACACAAAGTCAGCTGCAATTTTAATAGGAAATCTCTTTTTTCCCCTCAGGAATGCAGCAATTCAAACTATTATAGCATCCCCTTGCCCTTTTCTTTGAGTTATTACTGCTTTATAACTCACTGAGAAATTTTATTTTCTAAAACAATAGAATATCATAACATTGATTTTGAAGTTATACCTGTAAGAATGAGACATCCCACTCTTGAGTGGAAAACCTAAGTCACTTTAAAAAGAAGTTGTCTTGATTTATAGCCTAGGAACACATAGATTGTAGAAGCCTTCAGGTAAGGACTTTTAGACTCAGAATCCCAAATCAATCTTCACACTGTATTTTCAAAGAAAATGGTATTTGGGTTGACTGTCCAGCAGAAACCGGATGTGGATCCCACATTTATACATAGCCCTGTTTTTCTTTAAGCCATATAAAAAACCTGCTTCATTTTTCGCTAAAAACCACTCTTTCCCCTATTAGTATAATCCATCTTTTTTTTGTTGTTGTTCAGTGAATTGTCCCACGGTTTTTCTGACGGGCGATTTCCAAGTCTCCCGCAATGTAATCAAATAATAAAGCTTTGAATATTTTCTGTCACTCATTTGGCTAGGGACATTTATTGTCTAAAATTTTTAAGATAAATGTGAATAAGCCACAACTCCTACTGGGTATGAAAGTGAAAAAGTAGATATGCCGCTTTCCTGATAAAACTCATCATAGTGAGGAATTCATGCCATAATAAAAACTACACAATTAATATAATTTGAGTGATAATTGTTTACAATAAGATAAATGGGACAATTGAAAAGAGTGGCTGAGGAGGCGAATGCATTTGATATGCTGGTTGGGAAGGACTCCCTGAGAGGGATTATTTGAAACTAGTGTTAAATGATGACAAGGGTCCAATACTGGGCTATTTTATGGAAGAGCATTCCAGGCAGCAGGACACCAAAGGCAGGTGAATATCATGGAATCAGGACAAGAATTGGCAAATGTATATTAGAAAAGCTGAGGTAGGACCAAATCATGTACAATTTGTAAGATAGGTTTTATTTAATTCTAGTTTTAATGAGAAGTTTTAAGAAAAGTGGGAAATGGACTTTAGAGGAAAAGGGGGGAGGAAAAGTACAGTTTAGCAGCTATTGGAGAGGTATAGGCAAAAGGTAGAATAGGAAGCATGTTGAAATAAAGGATTCAAAAGTATCACCAAGATTTTAGGTCTTAGCAACTGGGAGGATGCTGGTGACATTAACTGAAAATCCAAGAGGAAAAAATGTTTCAAAAATAAGGTGACTTACATTGGAATTATCTTCCTGTGGTAAACAATATAAATAACAAATAATATTAAATAATTACTTTTGTACTTTGGATAACAGGCAGCACAAGATTATGACTCTTGAAAGACAGAGAACAAATTAAGTGAACCCAATAATTGTTCCCAATGTAGGGCCGAAAGGCAGTTTCCAGGCCACAGTAGAGACAGAGAACAAAATAAAACCTCAAATTCTTGCTGAGTTGAGAAGAGTTTAGACTCAAGGCAAGTAAGGTCGCTAGAAATGGATCTGCAGAGAGCCAGGGAAGAAAGTGTTGCCCATGAGTGAAAGAGAACTTACGTTTGTAAATGAAAAGTATTCTGCCCTATTAGTGATATTTTTGCACTGTGAAAGGAGATACATTTGTAACTCTGAGCATCTTTCCAACTTTTCTGTTCTCACTCCACCATTGAGGAAATAGATTGTCTTGTCTAATTGCTAAATTTGGACAAAATAAGTAAACGTGTGAGGATTAAATTAGTATTCTTGGTTGTCCACCGCTTACCTGTGTTGGAATTATGTATTCATGCTCTTTGATGAATGTGTTTTAAATGACCCCAGAGTTTGTATTATATACTTTCCAATCTCACTGATTCATGTGTACTCACATGACCTGCTTTGGAAAAAAGAATATGGGCAGAATTATCAACAGGCCAATTTTGAGCCCAGTTATGATGTGGCATTCTTTGTTTCCAGTCAGCCATTTGTGGTACAATGATGGCTATGACAAAGACATGCTCAGCTAGGTGTTGAGCCAGAGAGAACACAGAGACACAGGGACAGGCCTCAGCCCACAGCAGCCTGATAACCCAGTTGGCTTCTAGCCTGAAGCGGAGTCACCCCACTGATAGATACACCAGACCTGTGAAGGAGAAAAATATATGCTCGTTGCGGTTTTAAACTACTGAATTTTGCAGTGGTTTGTTACCAGCATCATCGTAGCAATAGTAAAGCAATACAACATGATTGATCTGGGATACTTCTGCCTAGCAGTGAGCTGCTGAAAGGTAGCACCTGTCAGCCTTTCTCTACACTAAGCCCTCTCCTGTCCAGAACTGTTTTTTACACGGTGGCTAGCTTTGCCTAATGCTAATGTTGATTTAGTAGGTCCATTTGGTTCTCAGGCTAAGTCAAATCCTCCAACTTATTCTCTAATTAAGATAATATTTGTCCTCCATATTTACTACTTAATTTATTCTCAGATTTTTCCACAATAAGAGTGGGATGCTATATATTTTGAGACTCCCTTGAAGCAGCAGTATGACACACATAGTTGTGAAACCTGTTGCCCACAGACATGTCAAACAATCTAAGAGGGATGATATGTTCCTTGGCATTTAGCAAATTTCCTAGGAATGCATTTGCAGACAATATAATTGTTTGTGTACCCATGTAAATTAAGTCACATGGATTTATCTTTAAACAGTTGACTCACACATTTAATAACAAAGAACAATATTATTACAGAATTTTTTGTGACATCATTGAAGAATTAGGTTGTAATATTTGCTAATAATTCAGTGATCCTTCTGCTGAAGTATCAAATTTGTGATTCACTGTTTAATATCACCTGAAACATTGGCTAATCATCTACAATCTAAAGAAATCAGGGGGCATAATGCCAGTTAGAGATGGCTATCCTCATTTACAGAAATCTAAAATCACCTCGCTAATTGCTTAGAAAGCTTATACCACTATATTCAACATTCACAGAATGTACAACCTTTTCAAGAACACATGGAATATTTTCCAAAACACACACAAAATAGTTTATATGAAGCACCATAGAACAAGTTTTACTAAATGCCCAGGAATTTAAGTCATACATCGTATACTCTTTGACCATAATAAAATTAGACTAGAAAGCAAAGATATAACTTTTAAGTTTACAAATGTGTGAAAATTAAGAAACACATTTTAAAAAATGCAATGGGAATTAATATATTTTGGAGTGAAAATAATGAAAACAAAGATTATCAAATTTTGGGGGCTGGCAGCTAAAGCAGTGTTTCATGAGTTACAAGTTTAGTTTTAAAGAAAATATTAAAAGAAAACAGCATAAAATAATAATCTGTACCTTGATTGTAGAAAAGAGTTTAACCCAATAGGAAAGACATAATAATATAAAAGCAAAAATAAAATATTAAGCATACGTTAAAGAAAAAAATCTGATTAAGTCTAAAGTTGGCATATAACTTTTAAGAAAATTAACAAACATTGAAAATCAGATCAAGAAGAGAAATCAAAACTAGCAACACATATTACACTACAGATCCTCCAGATCTAACTATTATAAGATGGTAACATATAAAACTTTGTAGGAATAAATTTGCGAACTTAGGTGAAATATATAAAATATTTGGGAAAGAGAAACACACTTACCAAAGCTCAAATGAGGAGATATAGAAACCAATCATTTTTATACATTGACAAAATAATTGAGCCCACATATTACAACTTCAGAATGAACATGATACCATAACGTGGCAGAAAAAAACAAATAAATGTAAAGGCGATGTCTTAAAGTCGATGTAAAAATGCAAAATAAAATGTGATAAAGCACAATCTAGAAATATACAAAGTAATACTACATCATGATTTTGTAGGAACTTTACATTCCAACATTTCAAATTAGTTTAACATTAAATAAGTATTAAAATATTTCAGTACATTAACAGTAAAGAAGAAAATCAATAAAATATTTTGCTAAATAAATACATTAAAATACTTGACAAAAGTAAGCACAGAAAATGGTTAAGTGAAATCTCAAAAATAGAGAGCATAAGGAACTTTTCAGTCTGCAAAGATACCAAAATATGCAACTAATATTCAACTTCAAAGAGATAAATCAGTTTTCAACTGAGTTTGGAAAGAGAAAAGAATATTTTTCTCACGTTTTCTGTGTATTGTATTAAACATCACTTATGCAATAAAACAAAACCTAAAGGAATAAAATATAATGTTAAAAAGTTAACACTGTCATTATTATTTATTTTTGATACAGGGTCTCACTCTGTCACAGAGGTTGCAGTGCAAAGGCATGATCTCAGCTCACTGCAGCCTCAACCCCCGAGGTTCAAGCGATCCTTCCACCTCGGCCTCCCGAGTAGCTGAAACTACAGACACGTGCCACCATGACTGGCTAATTTTAGTATTTTTGTAGAGATGGGTTTTCACCATGTTATCCAGGCTAGTTTTGTACTCCTGAGGTCAAGGAACCCGCCCACATTGTCATCCCTAAGTACTGGTATTATAGGTGTGAGCCACTGCTCCCAGATGTCATTATTCTTAAATAACAAGATTATATACAAAGAATGACCTACCTGTGGGAACTATCAAAAAATAAAAAAATAAAACTCAAAGGATCAGTATGTAAATAATTTTGTAGCTTCATTGTAAATTATATACATATGGTGTGTGTGTATGTATATATATATATATATATATAGAGAGAGAGAGAGAGAGAGAGAGAGAGAGAGAGAGAGAGAAATTTCCATTTTGTTTTCAAATCTCAGCAAAGCTTTGATTGTGTCCTCTAAGTCATTCAGGTTGTAAAAAGAACAGCCAGCATTTCAGATGTTTTTAAAGAGTGGCCCACATATTTTAAATGAGTAGATGTAAGTCACTGTTATTGATGTTTAACATTGATATTGTTAAACATTCTATAGGCCTAGGAATATATCTAGTAAAAGCTATGCAAAAACAATAATCTAATTCTACAAAACATTGCTGAGTAAAGTTAAGGAAGACCTAGGTACATGGAAAAGCATTTGTAGCTCATGGATTGGAAGAACTTAAAATATTAAGAGATAAATTCTATCCGAAATATTCAATTCAATCTAAAGTATTAAGACATCAGTTCTGACAAAATTTGTTTAGAAATCCAAAGTGAGTCCAAGCAACCACAGTAGTTTTTTGTAGAATTTATTTTTAAATGTTGGTTCTAAAAATTATTGAAAATGCAGAGTGCCTAGAGTCAAGAAAAGCTTGAGAAGAGCAAAATTATAAGATTTAGACTATCAAAGATACAGCCTAAAACTAGCAATTAAGAAAATATTCAGTGTTGTCATCAATGTTATTAAAATGGCCGTACTGCCTGAAGCAACTTATTGATTCAACATTATTTCATTAAACTACAAATGAATTTCTTCACAGAACTAGGAAAATAATTTAAAAATTAATATGGAACCAGAAGACAGCCTGAATAGCCAAGGCAATCCTAAGTAAAAAGAACAAAGCTAGAGGCATCAATACCACCTGACTTCAAACTATACTGTAGGGCTATAGTAACCAAAACACCATGGTACTGGCACAAAAACAGACACATGAAACAATGTAATAGTAAAAGAAAGAAAAGGAAAATTTCAGCCCATACGCTTGATAAACACTGATGCAAAAATACCCAACAAAATACTGGCAAACCAAACCCAGGAGCACATCAAAAAGCTAATCCACCATGATCAGGTAGGCTTTATCCCTAGGATGCAAGGGCGTATTAACATATGCAAATCAATAAATGTGATTCATCACACAAACAGAGCTAAAGACAAAAACCACATGATCATCTCAATAGATGCAGCAAAAGCTTTTAATAAAATTTAATGTCCATGTTAAAAATTCTCAGCAAACTAGATATTGAAGGAACTTAACTCAAAATAATAAAAGTCATCTATTACATACCCACAGCCTACATCATAATGAATGGGCAAAAGCTGAAAGAATTCCTCTTGAAAACCAGCACAAGACAAAGATGCTTTCTCTCACTACTCCTTTTCAACGTACTATGGGAAGGCCTGACCAAAGCAATCAGGCGGGAAAAATAAAACATCCAAATACAGAGAGAGAAAATCAAACTATCTCTGTTTGCAGAGGATATGATTCCATATCTAGAAGACCCCATAGTCTGCTCAAAAGCTGTTTGAGCTGATAAGAAACTTCAGCAAAGTGGCAGGATACAAAATCAATGTAAAATATCATTAGCAGTCCTATACACCAGCAATAGCCAAGCCAGGAGCCAAATCAGGAACGCAATCCCCTTCACAATTGTCACAAAAAGAATAAAATACCTAGAAATACAACTTACCAGGGAGGTGAAAAATCTCTACAGTGAGAATTACCAAACAGTGCTCAAAGAAATCAGAGGTGACACAAATGAACGGAAAAACATTCCTTGCTCATGGATGGGAAGAATCAATATAGTTAAAATGGCCATAATGTCGAGTGATTTACAGGTTCAATGCTATTCCTGTCAAGCTAGCAATGACATTCTTCAAAAAACTAGAAAAAAAAAAGCTATTTTAAAATTCTTATGGAACCAAAAAAGAGCCCAAATAGCCCAGGCGATACTAAGCAAAAAGAACAAAGTTGGAGGCATCACAATACTTGACTTCAAAGTATGCCTCAGGCCTACAGTAACCAAAACAACATGACACAAAATCAGACACATAGACCAGTGGAACAGAATACAGAGCTCAGAAATTAGTCTGAGCCTTATTTGTTCTTCAATAAATTTGACAAAAACAAGCAATGGGGAAAGGACTCCCTATTCAATAAGTGGTGCTGGGATAACTAGCTAGACATATGCAGAAAATTGAAAGTGGATGCCTCCCTTACACTATATACAAAAATCAACTCAAGATGGATTAAAGACTTAAATGTAAAACCCAAAACTATAAAAATCCTGGAAGACAACCTAGGCAATACCATTCTGAACAGAGGAACTGGCAAAGACTTCATGACAAAAATGCCAAAAGCAATTGCAACAAAATCAAAAAATGATATATGGGATTTAATTAAACTAAAGACCTTCAATTAAAAGAAAGTATCAACAGATTACACAGACAACCTACAGAATGGGAGAAAATTTTTGTAAATGATGCATCTGACAAAGATCTAATATCCAGCATCTATAAGGAACCTAAACAAATTTACAAAAAACCCGCAAACAACCCCATTAAAAAGTGGGAAAAACATGAGCAGCCACTTTTCAAAAGATATACATGTGGCCAAAAACTATATGAAAGAAAAGCTCAACATCACTGAACATTAGAGAAATTCAGATCATAACCACAATGAGATACCGTCTCACACCAGTCAAAACGGGTATCATTAAAAAGTCAAAAAATATCAGGTGCTGGCAAGGTTACAGAGAAAAAGGAATGCTTATATACTGTTGGTGAGAATGTAAATTAGTTCATATTGTGGAAAATAGTGTGGCAATTACTCAAAGGCAAAAATCAAAACTACTATTCAACCTAGCAATTTCATTAAGGGGTGTATACCCCCCAAAACGTAAATCATTCTGTCTTAAAGACAAACAAATGTATATTTTCATTGTAGTTATTCACAATTGCCAAGATACAGAATCAACATAAGTGTCTATCAGTGATTTACTGGATAAAGAAAATTTAGTACATATACACCATGAGATACTATGCAGCCATACAAAGAATAAAATTATGCCATTTGCAGGAACATGGGTGGAGCTGGAGGCCATTATCCTTAGCAAACTAATGCAGGAACAGAAAAGCATACACTGCATGTTCTCACTTAAAAGTGGGAGGTAAGTAATGAGAACACATGGACACTTCGAGGAAAACAACAGATACCAGGACCTACCAGAAAGTGGAGAATGGGAGGAGGAAAAAGATCAGGAAAAATAACTAATGGGTACTAGACTTAATACATTGGTGATTAAATGATCTATAAAACAAACACCCATGACATGAGTTCACCTGTATAGCAAACCTACACATGCACCCAGAAACAAAAATAAAAGTTACATAGAATTTTAAAAATTAAAAAAGTATTGTCTCAGTGATAAATGAAACAGAATTGAGGCTCCAGAATCCATTTTAAAAAAGCCTCACTGTATTTATTTTGAATAGGATAACTAAACCAAAGAGGAAAGTAACCCAGGTAACTATATAACGGTGCTATTACCATATATATTTATGCATATCCTTATGAAAGTCAAATGAAATTTTAAAAGAGGCACAGTGTCATAATTTACTCACAAATGAATATGAATTCAGAGATAATCAGATAGATACCAACAGATGGATAGATATAGATAGCCAAATAGATGTTAGATAGATAAATAGATTGATAGAGATGGATAGATAGAGGTGGTAAAACAAATGTGGCAAAATGTGAACAATTTGTGAATCTGGGTGAATCATGTGAAATAGTTTCAGATTTTCTGTAAGTTTAAATTAAAGTGCAGATGTTAGTTTTTAAAAATAGTTATATGTGAAGGTGAAATAGCCACACACTATAAAAACTTATTTCCAACATAAATATCTGGAATAATAGGCATATCAAGAATTATATTGCATATAGAATTATCTAAATATTATATAATTTATTGTAAGATTATATTTCATTATTTATTTTCTTCCTATTATCTTTACTTTCTAATAAAAAGTTAGATATAGCATATTTTATAAATGAGAACCTTTAAATTAATTTTAAAAAGAGAGTGCCTGTCAAGCATTTGGAAAATTTATCAAAGCAACTTTCAAAATAGTATTGCCTTTGAATGCATATTGGATATTTTCATAAACCATGAAGCGACAGATGAGGACAGAACTGCATAATATTTCAAAGGCATGGAAAACAAAGCTATTTAAAATATTACTTAAAAATTTGACAAAGTTAGCAAATATGCCAAATGATAAAATTGCTTCAGTAATTAATATCAATGAGGAAAGCTTTCACAAAATAGGAGAAAAATTAATACACTCAGAGAAAAAGAACATTTATCCATAATAATTTTTTCTCAAATTTCTACCACTGAAATGATAATGAGGTAGAGAATTTAAATGTATTTGTAGTTAATATGTTTTATCCTTAGAAAATCTATATAAATCAATAGAAAAAATGTGAGATTAATAAGACAGTTCAAAGAATGGCTAATCACACAAATATAATAAAACCATAGGTGACTTTTATACTAGCATTGAGTTAAATCATCTGAGTTAAATTTATTCCACCCAATAACAATATGAAAATAAAAAGAACTTTTGTGATTCTGCAAAGTTATATAGAACACTTTAAGAAGGGCTGCAAATTATTCTCCTAGATATTAATGACTTTATTTATGGAAAGACATGATATATTATCTGAGAGAAAAACATCTAATATTAAAAATAAAATTCTTTATGAATCAAAGTATAGGTTAAGCTGTATTAATAAAAATCTAAAATGTTTTTCAAAAATCTATTTGATGATTCTCTATGTTATCTGTAGACTCACAGGCACAAGTCACTAAAAACTCATGTGAAAATTATTTCCTTTTTTCTGATTTCAGAAACTATTTTTATACTAACAAAAATAGTTAAAATATATATATTTTAAAAAAAGAAAAAGAAAACTAAAGTAAGGCTAACAGTTAAAAATAAAACATGTCACTATGAACAACAATTGTCTTATTCAAATGGCAAAGTGAGTTTTTGTGAAATATGTCCCATTCATTCATCCCACCACACAGAAATATAGTACTTAAGAAAAACATTTCACAAATTTCAATAGACTAACCAAGCTACAATGAAGAGGCTGTGGCCACCCATAGGACTAGATGAATCACTGCCCCAAATTTGATTAGGATATTGAGACTGATGATTCACATACGTGTGCATGCACAAAAACACACACAAACACACAGTTGTGAAAGGTATATTATCCACATAAGAGGCTTTCTGGGGAGAGAAAGTTGGATGTCAAGCAGGTAAATTAAGGGATTGAAACAAAAAAGTGCAAGATTGAAGATAGCTGACTAGAGATGATCAGGAGAACATCTGCCACTGAAAGACTGGGACACTGGGAGGACTGGGATACCCTGAGCAGACCTTCAGATGGAAAGCATTGAGCGTGGATGGAAGACGGACACAGATGCTAGGCTGAATGGGGAGGAAGCTGGGAACCTTGCACAGGGCTACCTCACACTAGGACTCATTCCTATCCCCCAATAACTATTGGGGAAGGGGTGAGTTGGACAAATGAGGAGTGACCCACTCTTATTATAAAGCTCTGAAATTCTGGCAGTGGGAGACCCCAAAACCCCCACAGACACTTAAGCTCGCAGGGAAAGCTGCCTTGAGAGCTACTTTTCACAGGGGGAGAAACTCCAGCCTGAGGAGAGCCTAGAGGGTTTAGTATGTGCACATCTGCAGTAGAGCATGGCCAGGGATGCTCATTATCCAAGGTTCACCATGCTCTCCTAAGAGACTTTAGCCCAGGGAAGACTTTTAGACCTGGAAAGAGCAGGGTGGTTTTGCTTGAGAGATGAGGCCAGTCTGATCTGATCACCCCCCAGCTGCTGGCCTCTTTTGGTGCCCCAGCCTGGCCATGCCTACTTGCAACGTAGCCTCACTTGCCCAACTGGGGCACTTTCTGGGGACCTTCATCATAGTTCCTTCTCCAGCAGACCATGCCTGACCACTGGAGAGCTCCAGCAGAGCACCACCTGCTAACAAGCACCAGCTCATCTGCACCCTCCCCTTACTTCAGTCTCACTTGTACTACTTTGCTGGAAGGCAATCACCCTTGTTCATCCTCCCAACACTTTACCAGTGCCAATGCATGCACAGATGCCAGCAACCCCACCTTCACCCTTATGCAGTCAGTGCCTCCAGTGTGAATGCATATATGTGGCCGGCAACCCAGCCCCCTCTGTACCAACACTGCTGCCTCTGCAAAGGCATGCATGGGATCTGGCAGCCCCACACCCACCAGCACCCTGTTTCCCACCTCCACCAGCAGCAGTGTGATTACCTGAAGAAATGCTGCAGCCCTGCTCCCACTGGTATCCCGCCCCAGCTGACGTGTGCACTCTGTTGCACTGCCACTGCTGCAAGCACACATGAACAGGCACAGATCCCACTGCCACTGCCCCAATAAGGGCTTTGTCCTGTCCCATCCAATGGACTGCTGTGGCCAGTGGTCCAGGAACACCGCGGCCCCTCCAGTGCAACAGATTCCTAACCTCAAGTGGCCAGAGAACACGACCAGAAAGGCCTGTTACCAGCCCCTCAGTGTTAAAGCACACAGCCCAGGAGTGCTGAGCTGAGCCTTGACCCTATAAAATCTTTCAGAAACAAAGCCAGTCATCTGAACCCATCTTATACCACAATCAAACCCCCAACGGCATCAAAGAAGATAAAGGCAAAACAATCCATCCAAAGAACAGCAACTTCAAAGACTGAAGGAACATAAGCCCATACAGATGAGGAAGAATCAGCACAATAACTCTGGCAACTCAGAAAACCAGAGTGTCTTCTTACCTCCAAATGATCGAACTAGTTCCCAAGCAATGATTCTTAACAAGGCTGAAGTGATTAAAATGACAGAAATATAGTTCAGAGTATGTATAGGAATGAAGATCATTGAGTTTCTTTGGAGAAATTCATCACCCAATTAAAGGATACTAAGAAATATAATAAAACAATACAGTAGATGAAAGATGAAATGGTCATTTTAAGAAAGAACCAAACTTATATGATAGAGCTGACAAACTCACTTCAAGAATTTCAGAACACAATCACAAGTATTAATAGCAAAATTGACCAAGCTGAGGAAAGAATCTCAAAGCTTGAAGATTGGTTCTCTGAAATAACTCATTCAGATAAAAATAAAGTAAAAAGACTTAAAAAGAAAGAACAAAACCTCTGAGAAACATGGAATTCTGTAAAGAGGCCAAATCTATGTCTCACTGATGTCCCTGAAAGAAAGTGAGAGAAAGCATGCAACTCAGAAAACATATTTCAGTGTATTGTCCGTGAAAATTTCCCCAATATCACTAGAGAGGTCAACATTCAAATTCAGAAAATGTAGAGAACCCCTGCAAGATACCACAGTAGATGCCATAACCAAGACACACAGTAATCAGATTATCCATTGTTAAAATTAAAGAAAAAGGTTAAAGGCAACTAGAAAACAGGGGTATGTCACTTACAAAGGGAACTCCATTAAACTAAGAGTAGAGATTAAGAGCTGATATTCAGCATTCTTAAAACAAAGAAGAAATTTCAGCCAACAATTTTATATCTGGCGAAACTAAGCCTCATAAGTGAAGGAGAAATAAAATCCCTTTCAGATAAGCAAATGCTAAGGGAGTTTGTTACCACCAGGCCTGCCATACAAGAGGTCCTGAAAGGAATGTTAAATATAGAAAGAAATGATCATTACCTGCCACCATAAAAACATACTTAAGAACAAAGATCATTGACACTATAATCCAACCACACAATCAAGTCTGCATAATAACCAGCTAGCAACATGATAACAGGATCAAATCCACACATATCAATATTAACCTTGAATATAAAAGAGCTGAATGCCCCAATTTAAAGATGCAGAATGGCAAGTTGGATAAAGAAGCAAGAATCATTGGTATACTATCTTCAAGAGACCTATCTTACATGCAAAGACGTAGTAAGCTCAAAGTAAAGGGATGGAGAAAAGTCTACCAAGTAATCATAACATGGAAAAAAAAAAAAGCAGGAGGGGTTGTTTCTCTAATTTCAGACAAAACAGATTTTAAACCAACAAAGATCAAAAAACACAAAGAAGGACATTACATAATGTTAGAGGGTTCAATTCAAAAGGAAGACAAAACTATCTTAAACAGATATATGCACCCAACATAGGAGCACTCAAATTCATAAAGCCAGTTCCTAGAGACCTATGATATAAAGAGACTTAGATAACAACACAATAATAGTGGGAGATTTCAAACCCCACTGTCAGTTTTAGACAGATTATTGAGTCAGAAATCTAACAATAATATTCGGGACCTGAACTCAACATTTGACCAAATGGGCCTAATATATGTCTACAGACCCCTCAACCCCCAAAACAACAAAATATGCATTCTCCTCAGATACACATGGCACATACTCTAAAATCAACCACAAAATCAGCCATAAAACAATCCTTAGCAAATTAAAAAAAAAATCATATGAACCACAAAGACCACAGTGCAATGAAAATAAATACTAAGAAAATCACTCAAAACCGTAGAATTACATGGAAATTAAACAACCTGCTCTTAAACAACTTTTGGGTAAGCAAGGAAATTAACACAGAAATCAAGAAATTCCTTGAAAAGAATGAGAACAAAGATACAACATACCAGAATCTCTGGGACACAGCTAAAGCACTGTTATTGGGAAAATTTATAGCACTAAACACCCACATCAAAAAGTTAGAACATCAAATTAACAACAGAACATCACACCTAGAGGAACTAGAGAAAAAAGAGCAAACCAACCCCAAAGCTAAAAAAGACAAGAAATACCCACAATCAAATCTGAACTAAAGGAAATTGGGATGTGAAAAACCATACAAAACATTAATGAGTTCAAGAGTTGCTTATTTGAAAGAATAAATAAAGATTGATAGAGTACTAGTTAGACTAAAATGAAAAAAAAGAGAGAATATCCAAATAAACACAATCAGAAATAACAAAGGAGACATTTCCACTGACTCCACAAAAGTACAAAAACCCTCAGAGACTATTATGAACACTTTTATGCATACAAGTTAGAAAACTTAGAAGAAATGGATAAATTTCTGGAAACATACAACCTCCCAAGGTTGAAACAGAAAGAAACAAATCCCTGAACAGACAAATAATGAGTTACAGAATTCAATCAGTAATAATCCCCTACCAACTAGGAAAAGCTCAGAACCAGATGGATTTACAGTGAAGTTCATCTAGATGTATGAAGGAGAGTTGGTACCATTTCTATTGAAACTATTTCAAAAAATTGAAGAAGGATCTTTTTGTAACTTATTTTATGGGGCCAGCAGTATTGTAATACAAAATCTCTGAGAAACACAACAACAAAGAACTTTAGGTCAATATCCTTGATAAGCAAAATGCAAAAATACTCACAAAATACTAGTATCTCAAATCTAACAGCACATTGAAAAGCTAAATCACCACGATCATGTAGCTTTTATCCCTGAGATTTAAGGTTGGTTCAGTATACACAAATCAATAAATGTGATTCATCATATAAACAGAACAAAAACAAAACCCACATGATCATCTCAAAAGATGCAGTAAAGGCTTTCAATAAAATTCAACATCCCTTCATGTTAAGAACTCTCAAAAAACTAAGTATTGAAAGAACCTAGTTCAAAATAATGAGAGCCATCTATTACATACCCACAGCCAACATCACACTGAATAGGCAAAAGCTGGAAGCATTCCCCTTGGAAACTGGAGCAAGGACAGAATGCCCTCTATCACCTCTCCTATTCAAAATCTTTTTGAAAGTGCTGGCCAGAGGCATCAGGGAGGAAAAATAAATAAGAGGCATCCATTGTATAGTCTATTTTCACAATGTTACAAAGAACTACCTGAGATTGGGTAATTTATAATCAAAAAAGTCTTACTTGGCTCACAGTTCTGCATGGCTATGGAGGCCTCAGGAAACTTACAATCATGGCAGAAGGCAAAGGGGAATCAAGGCACATCTTACACGGCAGTAGGAAAGGGGTGGGAGTGAGGTACCACCCTTTAAAACCATCAGATCTCACTCACTATCACGAGAAAAGCAAGGAGGAAATTTGCCCCCATGATCCAATCACCTCCCATGAGGACACTCCTCTTACATGTGGGGATTACAATTCGAGATGAGATTTGGATGGGGACACAGAGCCAAACCATATAATCCATAGAGGAAGAGAGGAAGTCAAATTATCTCTGTTTGCAAACAATATGACTTTATACAAAGAAAATTTTATAGCCTCTGACGAAAAGCTCCTTGATTTTATAAACAACTTGAGCAAACTTTCAGAACATAAAATATAAAATTGGTAGCATTTCTATACACCAACAACATCCAAGCTGAGAGCCAAATCAAGTATGTAATCCCATTCACAGTGGCCAGAAAGGATAAAATGCCTAGAAATACAACTAACCAGGTATGAGAAAGATCTCTACAACGAGAATCACAAAACACTGCTCAAAGAAATCAGAGATGATCAAACAAATGAAAAAATATGTCATGCTCATGGATAGAAAGGACTGATATTGTCAAAATGGGCATACTGTCCAAAGCAATTTACAGATTCAATGCTATTCCTATGAGACTACCAATAATATTTTTCTCAGAATTAGAAAAACTCATTTTAAGATTCAAATGGAACAGAAAAAGAGACTGAATAGCTAAGGCAACCCTAAGTTAAAATGACAAACCTGGAGGCATCACATTACCTGACTTCATACTATACTACCAGGCTGCAGTAACCTAAACTTCAAGGTACCGGTACAAAAACAGACACATAGACCAATGGAATGAAATAGAGAGCTCAGAAATAAAGCCACACACCTACAACTGTCTGATCTTTGACAAAGTTGTTTTTGATTAGAAAAAATAACTCCCTATTCAATAAATGGTGCTGGGATAACTAGCTAGCGATATGCACAAGATTGAAACTGGACCTTTTTCTTACACCATATTCAAAAACCAAGTCACGATGGATTAAATACTGAAATGTAAAACCTGAAATTATAAAATCCTAGAGGATAACCTAGGAAATGCCATTCTGGACATAATCTGGCAAATAATTGTGATGAAGATGCAAAAAGCAATTGCAATATAAACAAAAATTGACAAATAAGACCTAATTAAACTAAAGTGTTTCTGGAGAGAAACTATCAACAGAGCAAATAGATAACCTATAGAATTGGAGAAAATATTTGCAAATTATGCACCTGACAAAGGCCTAATAGCCAACATCTACAGGAAACTTTAACAAACTAACAAGTGAAAAACAAACAACCCCATTAAAGAGTGGCCAAATGACATGAACAGACACTTTTCGAAAGACGACATGCACACGGCCAACAAGCATCTGAAAAAATGCTCAACATCACTAATCATTACAGAAATGAAAGTCAAAACCACAATGAGATACCCTCTAACACTAGTCAGAATGGCTATTATTAAAAAGTCAAAAAATAACAGATGCTGACAAGGTTGTGGAGAAAAGGGAATGATTATATACTTTGATGGGAATGTAAGTTAGTTCAGCCATTGTGTAATTTAGTTTGGCAGTTTCTCAGATAACTTAAAACAGAATTACCATTTCACCCAGCAATTCCATACTGGGCATATACCCAAAGAATATAAATCATTCTCCTATAAAGACACATGTACATGTATACATGTATATTCATTGTGCCACTATTCACAATAGCAGAGACATGGAACCAAAATGTTTTATATATACATATAAATATATATATATTATATATATGTTTTTATATATAACATAAATGTATATATATTATATATATGTTTTTATATATACATATAAATATATATATTTATATATATGTTTTATATATATAAATAGAAATGTATTTATATTTATATATATGTTTTATATATAAATATAAATGTATTTATATTTATATATAATGCTATTCCTATGAGACTACCAATAATATTATAATTGTATATATAATTATAAATATATATGTAAAATAATATATAATTATATATATATCCAGCCTGCCACTGATGGACATTTAGGTACACACACACACACACACACACACACACACACACACACAATGGAATAGTATTCAGTCATAAAAAAGAACAAGATCATGTTCTTTGAGGCAGCAACATAGACAGAGCCAGAGCCCATTACCTGAAGCAAACAAACACAAGAACAGAAAACCAAATACCACTTGTTCTCACTTAAAAGTGGGAGCTGAACGTTGAGTACATATGGACACAAAGACGGGAACAAAAGACACTAGAGCACTAGTGCCTAGTTGAGTTTAGAGGGTGTGATTAGAGTGGTAATAGAAAAACTACTTATCAGGTACTATGCTTATTACCTGTGTGATGAAATAATCTGTACACCAAGCCCCTATGATATGCAATTTACCTATATAAAAAACATGCACCTGTACCCCTGGACCTAATATAAACTTTAACAAAATAAATAAAAGGATTGAGAGAGCAGATAAAAGAAAAGAGCTTGAGATTTTAATTATGGTTTGGGGGTATGGCTAGGGTGATGTCCCCCTGCTCAGGAATGTTTAAATTTCTGTTGGCACCAAATGAGGGGTCAACAGAGGCTTTCTTATTATCTTGTCTAGATGAGGCACAGAAGGGAAAGCAAAAGAGGTAAGGCGAGGCTGAAAGCTGTCAAATGTCAGAAACTGAACCCAGATAGTTTATTATAGATATACATCTTGATAGTCTAGAAAATATTGTCCAGAAAACCTATGAGCTTAACATAGGTCAGCAAAGGTCTGGGCCTGGGAGTGAGCACAGGTAGGATTTCAACCTCTGCAGCATACTAGCATAGGAGAGCAATTCATGTGATTTGAAAGTCTGAGCTGGCAACAAGACTTGAGACAGGAGGCTGTAGGAAGGATCCTCTGTGAAGAAAGATACAAAAAAAAACTAAAGTGACCACTTCCTGGGGCTTGTATTGAGAGAGACATCTACAATAAAGGCCTGGGCCAACCTAGTTTTAGCTTCGGGACTGGCTCTGAGATCTATTAGCAAACCACAAACCACATGCTACCAATATATGACTTGATTCAGAACTGGAATCATCTAGTGACCGAGTGGAGTATATGCTTACAATAGTGTCTTTTATTAGAGAAAAAAAAAGTTCCTCTGAAGAATATTTCAAACTTAAAATTTGAAAAATAACTTCGTTACAGATAGCCAATGAGTCTAACAAATTAGGAAGAAAAAAACACCTCTAGTTTCTTGGATTTTGAATCTGAAATGGACTTATTAATGTTTAAGATTATTAAATATTAATACATACAAAATATACAAAATACTACAAAGGTATAAACCAAAATAATTATAATGCAAAGGTATATAAAAGAGTCAATTAAAAATGTAGGAGATATGTATATGTACATATATATATACTCACACAAATATATATATTACTCTATGTACAAACATGACATATAGCTATAAAATTATTAATATATAAAATAGACATATATAGCAGATGTATAAAATGTATTCATTAATATATATCATAGTGAAATAGAGCCAATTAAAACAATGTCAATAAGAGAGTGAGAGAATGGATAAATACTATATAAAATTTTAATATTTTATATACTTTATTTTATATAAATATATTTATATTTATATAAATATAATATATAAATATATTTTATATTTAATACTATATAAAATTTTAATGCAAGAATAAATAAACACTAAAATTAAAGAAGGTGATTGAAATGTTCCAGTATAAGCCTATTGAGAATTCCAGAAATAGGAATTAGTAAAACATCACATAGGTAAATTTCAAAGTATTAGATCATGGCAATTTGAAAGTATTATAAAATGACAAGTATCTTTACACAGAAAAAGACTCAAATATTTAAAAAGATAGTTAAGAAAACATACATAGTGAAAAGGAGATGTAGATGATTTAATCATTTACTTATTACACAATATGTAACCAGAAATTTTAGGAAAATCAATGACAGATTTGGAGCCGTGATATAACTTAATTCCATAAGCTTTCATACCACCAACTACGTGGAATCCAAAGCAAGTGTTAACAATTCCTCACATCCTTTTCTTATATTTAGTTTCCAGTGTTTCAACTTGGCTAACATAGATCTGTATTTCCTATTAGGTAAGATTTGTCTAAAAGACAAGTTTATATGTCATTAAGAATGCAGAATTGGCTGCCATAAGTCTCTCAGCTTATCATTTTATATGCAATATGAGACACATGCAGAAGTAGAATCCAATTTTAGTCTTATCATGTACTTCATGACACTCCAGGGAAATCCAGAGATGCTACCAGTTTCCAACTTGTTGAACTCTCCCCTTCTACATATAGTTTTTTCTCAGCTGCCCACCTAGCTGACCATCAGCAGTCCATGTCCACAGCCAGATAAAGAGATACCAGACTTCCAGAGCCTTTTCCACCAACTCACTATTGTGGCCCCCTATTGACAGATGGATGTGCCTGCCTTTCTAGATTTCCTTGGCTGTTCCAATATGACCACCATGCCACTCTTTCAGGAGGGCTGGATAAAAATATTTTACTGCCCCCAATATTTCTACAACTGGTACTAAATAGCTTACTGTATATAACTGTATTTCCAGAAAGAGAAGAAAGAAAAGACTGGGACAGGAATAAACATTTTAACTGATAATGCAAAAGAATTTATCAAAATTAAATCAACGGTTGAAAAGACAAGAGAAAAAAATCCCAGTGATCCTGTAATTTCTGAACAAAGTAGATAAAAATATGTGCACTTTATTATATCATAGTGAAAACAAAAAGCAAACTCAAAGAAAATATTTACAATACTTTATATTACCAATGAAATAGAATAAAAGTGCCACATCAATGGAAGCAATGGAAGATGGGGCACAATGAAATCATAAACTCAATTTTCTAAAAGAAAATAACTTTGGTCTGGAATTATATACCCAGCAAAACATATATTTAAAATGAAGACATTAGATCATTTTCAAATGAGATAATATGGAGCATTTTCTATTGACAGAACCTCAATAAAGCATCATGAAAGATATAATTCAGGTTACAGATCTTTTCAGAAGAGTGAAAAAACAAAAAAGAAGCCTTATCAGCGAAAGTAGTCACTGTATGTGTAAATCTAAAGAAGCATGATTTATAGAACAATAGTGATATTATGTCACTATGAAAAAGCAAACTAGAAATAAAATGTGTACATTGCAAGGATGATCAAGTTGACTTATACTATTTTTAATGGACATGTAAAAGTAATTATACATGAAATACCCTTTCATCTGTAATAGTTTTTTTTTTTTTTACTTAGAACAAGCCTTTTCAATTTCATTCAAGTTTTCTGTATCAAGAGTTTGTTTCTTTTGATTATTGAAGAGTTTTTCCATTTTAAGAGCACATTGGAATCTGCTTATCCATTCACTTGTTGATGGATTTCTTTTTCTGCTTGTGGTTATGAATGGCACTGCAATGAATATTATTATTCAACTCCTTAGGAGTATTTTTTATGTTAGTAAAATTACTGTAAATAAAGTACATGTGTACTTACCTTCAAGAGAACTGACTGAGCAATTTCCAACTGTTGATCGGACAATGCACTCCATCCAATAATGTTTAAGCACATTCTGGCTAACATTCAGTGATAGTAATATAAACATTTTAGAATTAAAGAATAAAATTAAACTGCAAAATATCACACTATCTTGAAGGGGTATGTGATGATATCACACTGAAATTTTAATAAGTATTTACTTGATAACCAATGATGTTGAACATGCGTTTGCTTAGTCTACTGTCCTTTCATAGGCCTTTTTAGAGAAGGATTGCTCAAGACTTTAGCCACTTTTATTCACAGAATATTGTTTTTACTTAAAGAAAACAACCAACAGAAAAATTATCATTATCCTGCCTTAGGTATCTAATTCAAGTTTCCTCAAAAATAAATGGAGTGAATTTTTAATTTGAAAGAACAAAATAGAGATTGTAGAGAGTATTTGGAGTAATCAAAAAAATTCCTAGTAAATGTTAGAATTTTGGAAGTCTTGTATCTGTCACCATGAGATTGACAAATACCCATTACCATGGAATTTGCATCTATTACATAATGTTTGGTTCACCTTCTTCCTCCAAGTGCTTTGGGATGTTGAAGCCTAATTATTTTTTCTTCAGAATAGCATTGACCTTGTTGTTCACCATGGAAACTCTTCAGGTCATACCATTATGTGGCAAATAAAGCCTATATATACTTTAGACTGACACCGAAATTCCTACAAAGGCTTGCCAACTAGCAATCCTTTCTGTTTTTTGTGGACCAACTTATAATATGTTACACACCCCAAACTTCCCTCTGGACATGCTCCTTTCTGAATCACCACTTAAGTCCTTACCTATATGTGCAAATCCTTGTCTCTCTTCCAAGTCTCAGCTTGACACAACTTCATTCCTCTGGAGACGTCTTTGATCCCATTAATTAAAATAATTTCTTTTTTCTTGGAACTCCTTAGTCATTTAATTAAAAACATTATGAATTCCTTGAATAAATGATTCATTCTCAATTCATTTTTACAGGCTGAAAGGAACCAAAGTGTTCTGCATATTTTAGACATTCAATATATCTGTTTAATGATAAAACAGAAAAAATAAACTGCCAAATTCCATTAAATATAAATCAGTATTAACACTACAGTGTGGATTTTAAGTATTAACAAGAATAATTTGCTCAAATTGCAAATTAGAATACAGATCCATATATTGAAAAAAAATTCAAAGTATGTAAACTGTAATAAAATTTGGAAGCAGTTCCTGGCCGGGATGCTGTATCCTGGAAAAAGAAATAGAACTTCCCCTTCCTGTGTCCATGTGTTCTCATTGTTCAATTCTCATCTATGATTGAGAACATGCTGTGTTTGGCTTTTTGTCCTTGCTATAGTTTACTGAGAATGATGATTTCCAATTTCATCCATGTCCCTACAAAGGACATGAACTCATCATTTTTTATGGCTGCATAGTATTCCAAGGTGTATATGTACCACATTTTCTTAATCCAGCCTATCATTGTTGGACATTTGGGTTGGTTCCAAGTCTTTGCTATTGTGAATAGTGCCATAATAAACATACGTGTGCATGTGTCTTTATAGCAGCATGATTTATAGTCCTTTGGGTATATACCCAGTAACGGGATGGCTGGGTTGTGGGGTGGGGGGAGGGGGGAGGGATAGCATTAGGAGATATACCTAATACTAAATGATGAGTTAATGGGTGCAGCACACCAGCATGGCACATGTATACATATGTAACTAACCAGCACATTGTGCACATGTACCTTAAAACTTAAAGTATAATAATAATAAAAAAAAAATTAAAGAAAGAAAAAGAACTTTGTTCTAGTCTCAGGTATATTCACATGGTAGGTAAATTGTTTTGATATCTGAATTTAGATATGTTCTGGCTAGATTCATAAAGCATATTTTTGATCCTTACTTTATACTTTTCTATTTTCCAATTCAAATAATAGAGCATCTAGTAAGAAAGTGTAGTTGCCCTGGCAGCAAGCTTAAATGTTAGATATAATTTATAACAATACAATTTTAAAACCATTTTTTACATTTTTTGCACTACATAATTAAAATATATTATACAACAAATTATATATTCATGATTATATTTAATAGGACATTTCATTTAAAACATTGGTCTGATTAAAGCATTCATTTGATTAATCAATTGATAAATTGATTATATCAATTTTTTCTAAGATTAAAATGCAGTTTACAGAACATATGCAAACATAAATATATACCTCTTTTTGGAAGAAATTCAAACTGATTGACATATTTTATTTTATTTTTCATTTTTTTAATTGACCAATACTATTTATCATCTCATTTTTTTTTTGTTCTAAGAACATTTAGTATCCTCCTTCTAGCTGTTTGAATCCATATATTATTGTTAGTAATAGTAATTCTACAGTGGTAGAGAACACTAGAACTCATCCCTTCTTTGTAGCTGTGGTTTTGTATCCTTTAATGAATCCCTTTCTATCTCTCCATTTCACTTGACATATATTTTAACAACACATTGGTGGCTGGGTGTGGTGGCACATGCCTATGAAATCAGGGACTCGGAGGCTGAGGTGGGAAGATCACTTGAGCCCAGGAATTGAATGCTACAGTAAGCTATCATCTTGTGACTTATCTTGTAATCCAGCCTGGGTAACGGAGTGAGAACTCATCTTAAGAAAAAAAAAAAGTGAAAATGATCATTATTGATAAATAATTATATTTTATATATTTTAGAATTAAGATGAAAAATATCCAAAGTGGCTCATAATTCAAAAACAATATAAATTTAAGCTGCTATTTGATAAATTTTTTAAAAAATATAAAATTTGAATCATTTTAAAACAAACTCTGAGTTTGAAAATTTAAAAAATGTAGGTCTACATTATTGTAACTTAGCTGAACATGAAAAATTTATTTCTATTGCCTAAGATTAAATTATCCTATTTCTTTTATAAAATGCCTTGGGGAATGATATAGGTAAATTAAGTAACTCTTATATTTTTAGAGTTCTAAAGAGTAAACATTACATTTCATTTTGAACTTCTAGGGTTTAACCAAGGACAAGCAGTTTGTATAAAATTTTGGTGGGTCTGATACGTTTATGTGGTGTTTGCTTTCATACTACAGTGAGATAAAATACTTCATTAAAAATGACATTTATCTTTCTAATCTTGTTTACAGTACCAATAATTTAGTTTGTTAAATAAAACTGTGTTCCATGATTCATTGTAATAAAAGTATACCTCATTTTATGCAATATTTTTCTTCTTCTCCATGAATTAACATAAAACCACATTGTATCAAATGACAGATGTTTTTAGATCTTGAAGCAAATTATATTAGAAGGCCTGAATTATGTTTACGAAGATTTTGATTTGCCTATAAATCTCTTCTAAATATTTGAAAGTCTTAAAACAATACAAGCATTGGAAAAAATGAGAGAACATAAAATAAATAACAATTTTAATAATGCACAAAATATATCAAACTGACCTACCATAAGGCTGCTTCATCATACTGCTGTATGAAGTTCTTTATTAAATCATTAAATCCTCAAAATTATATTTAGGAAATGAGATAAATAATATCCTCATTTTAAATACAAGCAAAAAATGTATTTTTTATGTTTATATTTAGTATTCCATTAAATATATGTGATATTAACGGACAATGAGCCAATTAATAATTATAACAGTGATAGATCTGGGCTTTAAATGCACTCTCACTCCAAACCTTGCTGTGTTCATCACTACCATGCACTTTGTTTCTTACCATTAACTTTTATGGTATGTTTGACTTCATGAATGCCAGTTCTTTGAATCTTTACTGTGGCCCTATGAAAGACAGTCATTTATTATCAAGAACCCTCTGTTATAGATTGAAAAAAAAAGACTGTGCAGATTTAGAAATTTAAGAAATCTGTTTCAATTCACATGGAGTGTAAGTGGCATGGCAGAAATTTAACCCAACATTTTGGATTGGAATCCTATATCCTAAGCCAATCAACCATAAAAATTTCCATGTTGTAGATGATATTTGCATTGACATAAATGTCAACTGTACTCCATTAGGGAAATCATTTGGAAAATATGGCCTCAGTTAAAGTATGTTTTTAAATGCGGCTCACAGATGGATTATGGTAAAAATGAAAGGAGGCTAATAGTTTCCTATTTTAACAAATTATTTGGAGCTCTTTTTTAATTTCAGTGCAGCTGGGGTACACTCACTGTAAAGTATGTAAAAAGTAACACATTTTTTACATTGTAAAATTTAGAAATTTGTTGATTCAGTTAAATTTTGTGTTGTGGGCTAAACCTAAGCTTTCATCCTATATTAGACTGTATTTTGACTAATTTTATTGTTTTGTTTGCTTTTGTTTTGCTTGCTTTTGGTTTTATGATCATTATTCTCTATACATTCCAAACTGATATTCTTCAGCTTCACTCAATTTTTTAAAGTATACTTTCTCATAAAATAATCTATTACAGACTGTAGAATAAAATATTAAATCAAATATACTGTTATAATTTTCAAGACTGCATGAATTTCTTTTTTATCATTTTAAATGTAAATATTATTTTGTAATTATTTGTATTGCTTTCCATAATTCTGTTTACCATGCTGATATGTTCAAAGAGGCAACTGTTTGGTATAAAAATTAATGTAATTTTTGCTTTCAAATCTGTAAATTTTTGTTTTTATAAATAATTATCAACAAATTAACAATTTAATATTTTAATAAATACCAGTGCATCCCACTCTGTTTTAGAAATAATAGTTCTCCAACATTTAAATTATTTTATTTTATTATTATCCTTGAATATGTTTGCAGTTTTCTCTTTAATCAAACTATATCTGGGGAGAAAAACAGCAAGATAAGAGAAAATGAGCGTATGAAGTTTCTTAGAGGTCTTTAAATTTTAACAATATTTTTTCATCATAGAATAGATTCAATATATCTTTACCAAAAAGGAAACTGAATCAGAGACAGAGGAAAATATTTTCAATATATAATATTTAATACTATTTACTATGTATTTGGAAAATTTAATATTCCATTGGATTAAAATAGCATACCTTATATAGCTTGTGTTGTCCTATAAATTTTATTATATTCTATCAGCATCTTAAAGCACTATCCATATATATATGTGTGTGTGTGTGTCTATGTGTCTATATATGTGTATATGTGTGTGTGTGTGTGTGTGTATATATATATATGTGCTCATTTTTGTTCTACAATGACCTTTTGAAATGAAAACCAAGAGGGGTTCCTGCAAGTCAACACATACACACAAATCCTGATTCAAAAATGGGCAAATAACTTGAATAGATTTCTATTAAAAAATATTCAAATGTTGTACAAGCACAAAAAAAGGATGTTCAATATCACTAATCATTAGGGAATGCAAAGGAAACCACAATGAGATATCGCTTCACATTTATTTAAATGATTACTATAAACAAACACACACACCCCACCAAAAACAACAACAAACAGAAAATAAGTATTGGTGAGATTGTGGATCAATTGGAACCCCTACACATTGTTGATGGAAATGTAAAATGGTGCAACCACCATAAAAAACAGTATAAAAGCTCCTCAAAAAACTAAAAATAGAACTACCGTATGATCCATAAATTCTACTTCTGGATATATATACGTAGGAATTGAAAGCAGAGTCTTGAGGAAAATATATTTATACACTCAAAATATATCTGTACACTGGTGGTTACCAGAGGCTGGGGAGGGAGTGAGGGAGAATGATTAGTAATCTTTTAATGGACACAGAGTTGTGGGGTGTGTGTGTGTGTGTTTACAGTAATAATTTATAGCAGCATTATTCCCAATAGCCAAAAGGTGGAAATAACCCAATTGCCTATAATGGATAAATGGATAAAAAAAATATAAGAATGTTATTTATCCATAAAGAGGAAATAAATTCTGACACCTGCTACAACATGGAAGAGCTTTGACTAATTATGCTAAGTGGAATAAGCCAGCCACAAAAAGAATAACAAACTACCAAATTCAATGAAGTACATTGGGTTGTTAAATTCATAGAATCAGAGAGTAAAATAATGGTGATTAGCAGAGGCTGGGGTGGGAGGCAGAATGAGTAGTAATCCTTTAATGGATACAGAGTTTCAGTTTTGCATAATGAAATGAGCTCTGGAATAGATGATGATAATGATTGTATAACATTGTGAATGGACTCAATATCATGAGACTGTCCATTTAAAAATGGTTAAATGATAAATTTTACATTATGTGTATTTTACTCCAATTGAAAGTTTTTAAAAAGATTATTTGTCAATCACAATTACAGGTATTAATTATTTATGTCATAGATATGTTGTCCACAAATTCAATATTGACAAGTCAGTAATAACATTGATGTACTTAAAAATTCTTACTTTTCTGATATAACAATAGGTAATATATATAAAAGCCCAAATGCCTCTCCCTGGAAAATCTAGAAATTTGAGCCTTAGAGGAAGATTGAAGGACATTTCTTAGAGGAAAATAAACAGAATAGGAGAAGTAAAATACATGATATGATGTTTAACAAAGAAATTGCTAAGTACATTGCTTAGTGTAATAAGTATTAATCCTGACTACAGAAGTAATATCAAAAGAAAGGAGTCTGAAATATAGTATAAATAAAACATTGGCCAAAAATAACATGAGGTATAAATAGGTAATCATTGAGAAAAAGTTGAATTTTTTAAAATTATATTTTAATTTCTGGGATACATGTGCAGAACATGCAGTTTTGTTACATAGGTATACACGTGCCATGTTGGTTTGCTGCAGTCATTAACCCAACACCTACATTAGTTATTTCTCCTAATGCTATCCCTCTCCTACCCCCTGATCCCCTGGCAGGCCCCAGTGCATGATGTTCCCCTCCCTGAGACCATGTGTTCTCACTGTTCAACTCCAACTTATGAGTGAGAACATGTAGTGTTTGATTTTCTGTTCCTGTGTTAGTTGGCTGAGAATGATGGTTTCCAGCTTCATCCATGTCCCTGCAAACGACATGAACTTATTCTTTTTTATGGCTGCATAGTATTCCATGCTGTGTATGTGCCACATTTTCTTTATCCAGTCTCATTGATGGGCATTTGGGTTGGTTCCAAGTCTTTGCTATTGTGAACAGTGCCACAATAAACACACATGTGCATGTGTCTATAGAGTAGAATGTTTCATAATTCTTTGGGTATATACCCAGTAATGGAATTGCTGGGTCAAATGGTATTTCTGGTTCTAGATCCTTGATGAATCGCCACATTGTCTTCCACCATGGTTGAATTAATTTACACTCCCACCAACAGTGTAAAAGCATTCCTACTTCTCCACATCCTTTCCAGCGTCTGTTGTTTCCTGATTTTTTAATAATCACCATTCTGTCATAAGGCGGTATCTCATGGTGGTTTTGATTTGCATTTCTCTAATGACCAGTGATGATGAGCTTTTTTTCATAGGTTTTTTTGGCCACATAAATGTCTTTTTTTGAGAAGTATCTGTTATATAGAAAACCCCATCACCTCAGCCCCAAATCTCCTCAAGTTGATAAGCAACTTCAGCAAAGTCTCAGGACACAAAATCAATGTGCAAAAATCACAAGCATTCCTGTACACCAATAATAGACAGAGAGCCAAATCATGAGTGAACTCTCATTCACAATTGCTACGAAGAGAATAAAGTACCTAGGAATCCAACTTACAAGGGTTGTAAAAGACCTCTTCAAGGAGAACTACAAACTAAACGAAATAAGAGATAGAGAGGACACAAAGAAATGGGAAAACATTCCATGCTCACGAATAGGAAGAACTGATATCATGAAAATGGCCATACTGCCCAAAGTAATTTATAGATTCAATGCTATCTCCATCAAACTACCATTGACTTTCTTCACAGAATTAGAAAAAAATACGTTAAATTTTATATGGAACCAAAAAAAAATCCCACATAGCCAAGACAATCCTAAGCAAAAAGAACAAAGCTGGAGACATCATACTACCTAACTTCAAACTATATTACAAGGCTACAATAACCAAAACAGCAGGGTACTGGTACCAAAACAGAAATATAGACCAACGGAACAGAATGGAGGCCTCAGAAATAATGCCACACATCTACAACCATCTGATCTTTGACAAACCTGACAAAAACAACCAATGGAGAAAGGATTCCCTATTTAATAAATGGTGTTGGGAAAACTGGATAGCCATATGCAGGAAACTGAAACTGGACTCCTTCCTTACACCTCATACAAAAATTAACTCAAGATGGATTAAAGACTTAAACGCAAAACCTAAAACTATATTAAAAATTAACTCCAGAAGAAAACCTAGGCAATACCATTCAGGACATAGGCATGGGCAAAGTCTTCATGACTAAAACACTAAAAGTAATAGCAACAAAAGTCAAAATTGACAAATTGGGTCTAATTAAACTAAAAAGCTTCTGCACAGCAAAAGAAAGTATCATCAGAGTGAATAGGCAACCTACAGAATGGGAGAAAATTTTTGCAATCTATTCATCTGACAAATGGCTAATATCCAGAATCTACAAGGAACTTAAATAAATTCACAAGAAAAAAAACCCCATCAAAAAGTGAGTGAAGGATATGAAAATTTGAAATTGTACTTATCTAATTTGTTACACCAATAGGGAGTCTGCACATTGTGTATTGAGGGCAACCAATGAACAATTAAAAATAGAAAGTATGACTTCTAAGTAAAGTCTTGTTAAATTGTTGCAAAAAATTCACTCAACCCAACAGGAAAACTGAAACAAGCATAATAATAATATAGCAGAAGAAAAACTTTAAACACTAAGTCTGAAGTAGTAATTGCAAGTACATTAAGTAATCAATTATATTAAGTAAAAATGAACTAAATTTGATTTCTAAAGGACAAAAAAATTTTCCAGTTATGATGTTGACAAGAGAAATATCTAATGCAACTTGCATGGAGACTGTAAAACTAAGAGGATGGACTATACATACATTTATTTTATATATTTGCCATATGTGTGTGTGTATGTGTGTATGCATATAAAGTATATACCACTTCCCAAATAGTACCCCCGAATAAAATAGCAAATATTATCACTTTTCAAAGTTTGTTTACTGTCAACCTCAGCATAATAAAATTGTTCACTATTAATTTTAATATAATTGAAATTAAAATAATTAATTATATTGAGAGTGAATACTTGATTATTAACTAAGTAACCGTCCATGAGAACAAAGCAATCTTTTTGCTTTGTTTTTTGACATGGCACTTCACTCTCTGAAATGCAATGGTGTGAACTCAGCTCACTGCAACCTCTGCTTGCTGGGTTCAAGCAATTCTCCTGCCTCAGGCTCCCGAGTAGCTGGGATTACAGGTGCCCACCACCACACCTGGCTAACTTTTGTATTTTTAGTAGAGACAGGGTTTCACCATGTTGGCCAGCCTGGTCTTCAACTCCAGACCTCAAGTGATCCACCTGGCTTTGCCTCCCAAAGTGCTGGAGTTATAGGTGTGAGCCACCGCACCCTGCCAGCAATCACAATATTTTTATGCAGCAGATATAGCTGATATTGAAATACATATAGAAAATATTGAGATAATTAAATAAAGACATAAGAAATCCATAAAGTAAAAATTAGCCAGGTGTGGAATGTGCACACCTGTAATCCCAGCTACTCAGGAGGCTGAGGCATAAGAATTGCTTGAATGCAGGGGCATAGGTTGCAGTGAGCTGAGATCATGTCACTGTATGATCACTGTCTCCAAAAAAAAAAGAAAAAATATTACAAAGATTATCTACATAGGTTCGCCTCTCTAGTTTTATACTTCTGAAATATTTTTAAAAGTTAAAATTTTAATAAATTAAAGGGGAAAAATGTAATAAAGGCATGTCATCTAAGTACAATTGATTATATTCAGAGGGGAAAGAGAGACAGAAGGATGGAGAGAGAAGAGAGAGATAAAAAGAGAAAGCATTAAGAAACAAAGACATATTAGGTATTTTAAAATATTTTATAATTTAACATATTTAATATTTTAGTGAAGCCTTGATTATAATAAGATTGAAAAAATAATGAGGAAAGAAGAGGTAGAGGAAGAAAAGGGAGAGGATGAAGCAGAGGAAGAAGACAAATGAAAGGCATAGGTAGAAGAAAGCAATGATTGAAAAGTTGCAGTGATTTAAGGATGATAAAACTGTCAACATAGTAAATCTCAAACAATCTAAAGATAGCGTATCTCAATTAATTGAGTTTATCAGTTTTCCCAGAAATCAGGTAGACATTTTTTAAAAATCTAAAGCATTTCTATTACAAACAATTAAAATAAAAAAAGAAAATTACATTAATGATAGCACCAATGTAGGTAATGCTTAGGAATAGATTTAATAATATATATGATAAGTTTATACACAGAAAAATATAGAAAAGTAGAGGAAGACATAAAATTTGTATGGATTGAAAGATTCAATACTGTAGAACCAATTTCTTCCAAATTGACCTATGGATTCAACACAGGTTTAATACAATTTAAACAAAACTGTAAGTATTGAATTAGTAATTACAAATTTTATAAGAAATTGTGAAGATGCATAAATAGTAAAAATAATTGTAAGGGAGAAAGATTACACAAAATCTATCTGATATCAAGACATATAATAACCAATGATAATTTAAAGTAATAAATCATAAAAATTGAAATGGTCATTGAAAAAGAATAAAGAATCCCAACCAGTTTTCCACATATATGCAATTTGTACAGGTTCATACCAACACAGATATTGAGAAAATTAGATATTATTCATTGTATTATGTGTTGAGTTTATTTAAAAAATTATTGGACTCACAGCAGACACACACACACACACACACACACACACACACACACACAACTGGTTAGTTAAAAATCTAAAAGTGAAAAATATTTTAAGTCAAAAATAAATATAGAATATTAAATATATTCTTCATGTAAGGATGAATTAATACCTAAATATGAAACCACATAACAAGACAAATATATTTTCCACATTAAAAGAATAACTTTTAGATGTTAAAAGATACCCTAGATGTTTGAATACATGACAAGAGATATTTTCAAGTATGAAATAGAGAAAGCTGATCATCTAGATATTATTTTAAGAGTTTCTATGTTCTACATAAAAAAGATAAACAACAGCATGTAAAAATTACATTATTTAAAATAAAACAGTAAGAAACAGAGCACATAGGAAACCAGAGTAGTCAAAGACATAAAAATTTATTCAGTCACATTAGAAATGAAAAAATGAAAGAGTAAATTTGGAAGACAATACAAATCAACATCTGGGGATGAACTCAATATTCATCAGAAAAGCAGATATTTAAATATTACAATATAGAATCTATAAATTTAAATGATATGGATATATATGATATATATGCATACAGATATATTTATATATAGCTATATAAATACATATAGATACAGATGATGGACAGGTGATAAAGGGATAGATGATAGATAGATGTTAGATGACAGATGATAAACGATTAATAGAAAGGGAGACAGCTAGCTAGCTAGCTAGATACATAGAGATATCGTGCCAAGTCTGTCCCGCAGACTCTGGCTAAGCAACAAATGAAAGCAGTATGCTGACACAGGTATTTTGCCTGACAGCAAGGCTAGGGGACCACACAGCTCAGCAGCACCAGGGAGACAGTGCAGTAGCCAAGAGAGTGCAGCCCCCATAAGCTGGCTACAAATCGCCTTAGTCAGATTTAATGACTAAGGCTTGGAGCAAACACAAGTTGTGGGTAATTAACATTGTCAACCCCCCAAGTAGAGAGCAGTCCTGTGTGAGAATGATCAAAGGTTGGTTTCTAGAGACAGGAGTAAACACATTTATCTAGATAAATTCCTTTACATTCCCTTGTTATCTGCCCTTTGCTCTCAGGATCTGGATAAGAGGATTTGGCTGCCTTCAGTCATAATTCCCTCTTGAAACTTTTGCAAAACCTCCCAGACTTCCAAGAAGGTTTGTGTCATTCCCTGTAACTTTGTCTTACAACTTTTCTCACCACCCTGACTGAACTCTTACAATATAGAACAGGAGATGAGAAGGACTCAAGCTGAAACATGAACTGCTGCCCGTGAAATTTAATAAATGGGACAGAAGAAAAAGAAATCCTTTACTTATCTGCAATATGTTTTGTAGTAATATTTCATTTTTTTAAACATAGATATATATACAAAAACAAAATTTTTCAACATTTTGGGTTTTGAATATTCAGAGTCATATTAACATTACCTATAAAATGCTTATGATGATGCTATCATCAATCGAGAGGCAGAAAAAATAAGTAGTAAAAACAAAAGATTCCTAAAGAGATTAATAATTGTGAACAGTCTTGAAATTTTGGAAAACCTTCAATAAAAGTAATGAATAAGGAAGTAGCAATGAATTCCAGATAAGTCAAAATCTGGCAGAAACAAATTTGTACTGTTACAAATTTGCCTTTCTTCTTTTTTCTAATTTTTTCTTAATTAATGTATGTAAATTACTAATTTATTATTAACAGTTGCCAATGTTTCCTCACTTCTCATAGAATACATCTGGTAACTACTTTCCTACTTATAAGACTAAAAATACTCTTTAAAATTGAAAAAAATAAACTCATCTGAATATTTTATTCTAATATTTACACAGAGAGAGTAAATGTATCTTGGCTCAGAAAGAAAGTGCAATTATTTTTCAATTATTATTCTCTTCAGTTCAATAAGATTCTCCTGAGGAAAGCATTTAAAACACTTTATGAAAGTATATTACAGCTTTAGGGAGTTACTTTCTTGCATAAACAGGAGATAAGAAGGACTTATTCTTAGTTCTAAGTCTCATAAAGCATTTTGATATAATACCTCCCCTGTCCTCAGTATGTTGTAATACTTCCCATGTCCTCAGTATGTTATATAATATCAGATTCACAAAGTACACATAACCAACCAGTAGACTTAATAAATATAACCAGTCGTTGTTATAGTCTGTTAAATCATATATTTTGACTTTCAATATTTGCTAAAAAGTGCTGTATTATTTTCCAACACTGTATTAATGAGTCTAGAACCATTTTCTAATTTTACTCATTCAGAAATTTATCATTTTCATTGAATAATTTCTTGCTTCAAAGCATTTACTTCAAGCTAAAACTTTTTATGAAATATGATTAATTTTATGTATTTTATTCTAACACTAAATTAGTAATAAATAGAATTCACCAATTTCAGTGGTTGCACTGTTTTTGGAAAATAGAAAAATTATGAAATATTCTCAAAATTCAGAAGGAAAAGCACTTAAAAATTAAATTTGTCCCAACTTTTAACCTCTTATTCAACTCCAATTACTAACCTCAATCTTTCAGTCCACAGTTCAACTATATGAGGTATGCTTTTATTTTCTTACTTTACATCTGCTAATCTTTATCCATCTCATGGAAAACTTAGCTTTTTCTCCACGGAAATGACCTTTATTCTAGCCTTTGTCATTTATAATGATGATATTTCAGAAGGTTTCTTTTTATAACCACTAATACTTGACTCTCAAGCCTCAAATTTTGCGGAGATGTCAATCAGGAAATATATTGATTTTACCAACTCTCAGTGTATTCAGTTTTCCTTCAGAATTTTTGAACACGTGTAATTAAAAATCATTCAAGTTTTACTGAATTATCCTGAGCATTACCAACAAATATCTGTAAGACAAACAATAACTCTAGCAGATAGTAAATTCAATAAATAATAAAAATATACATTTCCCCCAAAATCTTTATAAGTCACATGATCCCTACAACTTTAGGGAGTGAGTCATATGATTATGAAAATACATTTTGTTCTTTTTCTATGTGTGTTTCTTATTTTTAAAAATTTTACATATAAAACATTTTTGGAAAATCTCAAATAGGAGGATAGGAAATAACCCTTTTACTTGTTATTCTGATAACATCTTCATTAAAGTCTTACTTAAGGGTTGTTGTTTTTTCTAGTTTTTCTAGGGAATATGGTGATTTTTATTTAGTTGCAATTAAAAAAAAATAGAGAGTGTCCAATGCTCACTTAATCCTAGGTAAATTTTCAATTGACTTTAAGTGGTCCAGAGAATGAAGTGTACTCCTGCTCTCATGCAAGAAACTCGAGTTCCTAATTTCATATTTAGGAGATGTTTTAAATGTTATGGATGCCAAACCATGGTTTATTCAAAGTGGGGAATTTGAGGAGAAGTCATCCAAATTTCCTTTACCCTGCTGCACTCAGGTCCTTCCACCAGAAGAACCATCTAGCCCTGCTCCACACCTGTCAGCCTCAATCTTATCTGGTCTTCAAACACTACAGAACCTGGTTTTTGGAGAAAAGCTGTCTTGCCTGTAAATCAAAGTTTTCATAGAATGTTTGTGCCTTTTTAGTGTGCGCCTTAGAGAAAAGATAATTCGTGATAAGCTAAAAATAGCTTAATTTAAACAATTTTTGTAGAAAATTTATGTATTTGGAAATTTATGTATTTATAAATAAATATATAAATTTTTTACAAAAATTATTAAAATTAAATATAGAAAAAAATTTCACTTGCCCCAGGAGAAAAAGAATGTAAAATATACAAATTTATAGTGCTTATAGTAAAAATGATAAAATCTAAAATATATCTCACCTTTTAGACAAAGTTTCAAGCCTATGTTCATGGAGAGCTCCAGATTAAATTTTCATGCAGAATTTAGGCACCAAAACCTATTATGGATGTGGGCTGTGGTACCTGTCTTGATATTGCAGTAGTAGAGCACACACAGAAGAAGAAGACACATATATTCAATATAAAAATATGTATAGAAGAATGGTAGCAATGCAGAAGAGAATAAAACCCTCCAAATCCTCACTTGTTGCCCCACTGATTTATTATGCCTTATTGCAATTATGCCCAGTCTTTCTCAGCCTTTCACATCACCAAGAACCTTGGCTGTATAAATAAAGCACTGTGATTCTTGGGTAGGTAAGGATGGATTTCTTGAGAATTCCCCTAAAAATAGGAAATCTCCATTTGCTTTCATAATCTTGTAGACTACTGAAACCATAAATCTGTTTGCTTTATATGTAAATCATAACTAAAGACAGTTAACATATTTAGAATATCATAGAGTAATACACCAGTAATTTGACCACATAGCTACTTCATCATTGTTGAGTGCCATGGACTGAACTGTGTACCCCTCAAATTACTATGTTTCAGCTCTAACACCCAGTTTGACTATATTTAGAGATAGAGCCTTCAAGGGTAATTAAGGTTAAATTAGATTATAAGGATGGGATCCTAATACAATAGGATTTGTGTCCTTATAAGAACAGATGTTAGAGAGCTCCCTCTCTCTTTCTTCTCACCACATGAGGACACAGCAAGAAGGAAGCCCAATTGCAAGCCAGGATGAAAGCCCTCATCAGAAATTAAATGCTTCTGGACCTTGATCTTGGACTTTCCAGCCTCCAGAACTATGAGAAAACAAAATTTTGTTGTTGAAGTCACCCGTTCTACAGTATTTTTTTTTTAGACAGCCAAGTAGACTAAAACATTTAGTATACCTAAATTGTACTGGAACAGTTACAAGTCCAAGATTATTTTAGTGGGGTAAGTTAAGAGAAAAACTTCAACTCTCCGAAATACTGGAAAGAAAGAGATAAATGATAAAAGAAAGAGCCTGACAGATAGATGATGGATGATGATGATGATAGATAGATAGATAGATAGATAGATAGATAGATAGATAGAATTTGCTCTGACTTAATTTTGAGCAATATTTGTAATTAAGATACGTGATTTGGCTATGGCAAACATATTAATGTGTAACTAAATACTTTTTCATGCTGTTCTCATGGGAGAATGTTATTTTATTTTTCATTTAAGCAGTATATTATTGTATTAAGTTCCTGTTGATATTACTAAAATATTAAGTTAGAATAATAAATATTTAGACATATTTAAATTTCATGATAGGCTGAACTGTTTACTCTTCAGATTTTCACTATTATGTTTACCATTTTAAGCCATGTTTTCACTGTATAGTAAAATGGCTCTGTATGTTTTGCATATACTTATATCACTGGATTTTAGAAGTATCACGGCCAACTCTTCACACTTCTGTGAAACATGGTGGATTTTCTTCTACTATCTTGATCCAGTTTGATACCCTGACTAAAGGTCAGTACGTTTCCCTTCTTGAGCAGCCAGTTTAATCAACACCACCAACCACTTGTATCATCAAGTTCTCATACTCTGGTCACTATACCTGTACCTTAATCATTACAGGTCCAGGGAATAGACAAGGGACAGCTCTTATTTCCCAGAACCCACTGAAATTCTTCAAATTAGCCCTGTCTTGCCTCTATGATTCCTTCGTGCATAAATGATGTTAATAATGAAGGTGCCTGTCAACAGTCTGCTCCCCTTTCTCTGCCTTTTGATCAGCCTTGATGCTTCAAGTATTTTATGGTAAACTGTGATCTCCCAGGGAATTGTGAGTTAATACAACTGTAAATCTCTTTCTAGTTTCTCTCCCTTGATCTGCCTCTGACCCCATCATATCTCACCCAGGTAATAGGTTTCAAACAATAATCCATCACTCTAAGATACAAATTCGCAAATGTAATTACATGCTTATTATTGCCAGGCATAGAACTTCCTACTAGCAACTCATGAGAACTCATGGATGTCACAGTCAGGCAGGAAGACAACTATTTTATAAGTAAGTGTAATATGATAAAGTTAAATCAATGGTGTGATAACCATATGTACAAATTGTTAAGTTGAAAGATAGATTACTTTAGTCTTATATTCTGAAACTTGAGATTTCAGGAGTTCAATGAATGAAAGGATGGTCAGAGTAGGCTGAAGAGTCAATTAAGAGTGGGAGAATTGTGCAAAGGCAGTCAAATCATAAATGTGCATGTTGTATTTAAAAATGACAGGTGGAATTATTTGGACTGAACATAAAAAGTAATAGATGCCATTGTGGTTTTGATTTGCATTTATTTGATGATTAGTGATGTTAATCATTTTATATAATTGTTGGCTAGTTGTCTACCTTCATTTGAGAAGGTATGTTTATGTCATTTGCACATTTTTCTAATTGTATTATTTTTTGCTTGTTGATTGATTTAAGCTCCTTATAGATTCTGGATATCAGTATTAATCAAATGCATAGTTGGTGTATATTTTCTCCAACTCTGTAGGGTGTCTGTTTACTCTGGTGGTAATTTCTTTTGTTGTGCAGAAGCTCTTTAATTTAATTAAGTCCCACTCATCTATTTTTGTTTTCGTTGAAAATGATTTTGGAGACTCAGCCAAAAATTCTTTGCCAAAGTCGATTTTGAGAAGGATATTTCCTGGGCTTTCTTCTAGCATTTTTGTAGTTTGAAGTCTTACATTGAAATCTTTAATGCATCCTCTGTTAATTTTTATATGTAATGAGAAGTAGGGGTCCAGTTTCATTCCTCTGTATATGGCTAGCCAGTTAGCCCAGCATCATTTATTGAATAGCGAGTCTTTTTTCCATTGCTTAATTTTGTCAATTTTGTCAAATATCAGATAGTTGTAGGTGTGCAGATTTATTTTTGGTTTCTCTATACTATTCTACTGGTCTATGTGCCTGTTTTTGAACCAGTGCCACCCTGTTTTTGTTATTCTTGCCTTATAGTATGGTTCGAAGTCAGGTAATGTGATGCCCCTGGCTTTGTTCTTTTCACTGAGGATTTCTTTTGCTCTTCAGGCCTTTTTTATTCCAAATCAGTTTTAGAATAGATTTTTCTGATTCTAAGAAAAATGGCATTGGTGTTTTGATAGAGATAGCATTGAATCTGTAAGTTCCTTTGGGCAGCATGACGATTTAACAATATTGATTCTTCCTATCCATAAACATGAAATGTTTTAAAATTTATGTGTCATCTTTGAATTTTTCAGCAGTGTTTTTTAGTTGTCCTTGCAGAGATCTTTCACATCATTGGTTACACATATTTATAGGTATTTCATTTTCCCTGTGGCTATTATAATGAGATTATGTCCTTGATTTGGTTCTCAGCTAGAATGCTATTGGTGTACAGAAATTCTACTAATTTTTATACATTGATGTTGTAGTTTGAAAGTTTACTGAATATATTTATCAGTTGTAGGAGCCTTTTGGTGAAGTCTTTAGCGTTTTCTTTCTAATCATATTGTCAGCAAAGAGAGACAGTTTGACTTCTTCTTTTTCTATTTAGAGGCCTTTTATTTCTTTCTCTTGCCTGATTACTCTGGCTAGGACTTTCTGTACTATATTGAATAGGAGTTGTGAGATTGGGCATCCTTGTCTTGTTCCAGTTCTCAGGAGGAATGCTTCCATCTTTTGCCCATTCAGTATGATGTTGGCTGTAAGTTTGTCAAAAATGGTTATTATCATTCTGAGGTATGTTACTTGGATGCCTAGTCTGTTGAGGGTTTTTATAAAGAAGGGTCGTTTGATTTTATCAAAGTCTTTTCTGCATCTATTGAGATGATTATATGGTCCTTGTTTTTTACTTTAAGTGGTGAATCACAGTTACTGATTTCTGTATGTTGAACCAACTTTGTATCCAAGGACTAAAGCCTACTTGATTATGGTGAATTAACTTTTTGATGTGTTGCTAAATTTGGTTTGCTTTGCTAGTATTTTCATGAGAGGATTTTTGCATTTATGTTCTTCAGGGATATTGGCCTGAAGTTTTCTTTTTCCACTGTGTCTCTGCCAGATTTTGACATCAGGATGATGCAGACTTTGAAGAATGAGTTAGGGAGAAGCCCTTTCTCCTCAATTTTTGGAATAGTTTCAGTAAGATTGATATCAGTTCTTCTATTGTACATCTAGTAGAATTTGACTGTGAATCCATTTGGTCCAGAGCTCCTTTCATTTGGCAGGTTATTTTTTTTTGTACTGATTCAATTGCCAAACTTACTGTTCTTTTCAGGTCCTCACTTTCTTCCTGTTTCAATCTTGGGAGATGAATGTTTCCAGAAATTTACCAACTTCCTCTAGATTTTCTAATTTTTATTCTTAGAGATGTTCAGAACAGTCTATGAGGATATTTTGTATTTCAGTGGAATCCATTTTCATGTCCTTTTTGACATTTCTGATTGCATTTATTTAGATCTCTTTTTATTTTTTGTTGATCTAGCTAGTGGTCTATCAATCTTATTAATTTTTAGAAATACCAATGCTTGGTTTTATTGATCTTTTGTATGAAATTTTGGGTCTCAATTTCATTCAGTTCTTCTCCGATTTTAGTGATTTCTTTTCTCTGCTGGCTTTGGGATACCATCTCACACCAGCCAGAATGATGATTATTAAAAAGAAAAAATAAGCTGATAAGGCTGTGGTGAAAAGGAAACCCTTACACACTGTTGGTGGGAATGAAAACTATTTCAGCCAGTGAGGAAAGCAGTATACAGACTTTTCAAAATATTTAGAAGTGTCATTTGACCCTGCAAACCCATTACTGGGTGTACATATCCAAAAGACAACAAACCATTCAACCAAAAAGACACTTGCACACATCATAGCACTATTCACAATAGACAAGGTATGAAATCAACCTAGGTGCCCATCAATGGTGGATTGGAGAAAGAAAATATGATATATATTCACCAGGGAATATTACAAAGCCACAAAAAAGAACAAAATCATGTCATTTGCAGCAACATGGATGAAGCTGGAGGCCATTACCGTAAGTGAATTAACGCTAAGGACAGAAAAACAAATACCGTATGTTCTTATTTATAAGTAGGGACTAAATGTAAAATACACAAAGACTTAAAGATGAGAACAATAGATGCTTAAGACTATTAGACAAGGAAGGAAGAAGGGGGAATAGTTTGGAAAACCACATATTGGATGCTAGGCTGTCTACCTCAGTGATGAGATTGTACCTCAAAACTCAGCATCACACAATATACCCATGTAACAGACTTGCATATGTACCCTGTAATCTATAATAAAAGCTGAAATTATTTAAAAGATAAAAATATTTATAGAAGATTTCAGCTGGAGTAAAGCCAATACTGTAAATTTTAATCTGATTTTTACTCCATGTTTTCTTAATCTTATTCTTGCTTTTATGTTAGAACTATTTGATGTACATTTTCATGCTTTGACCATTTTCATTTCTTCATAGTTAATTACCTGCTCATGTTTTTTAAATGTCCATAGATTTCTATATACTCAACTAACTCTTCATCTATATCTTACAAATAATTTTACCAGTAAACATATATCCTTTTTATCAGTTTTCTATACAGATTTTTTTTGTATGGAATTCATACTGAGGCAGAATTTTAAAATTGTTTTTCCCTAAATATGGAATATAATTAATTGTTTTTAATTAAAGTTAGGCATTTACATTTATGAAATTCATATTTTAAAATGATTATATTTTAATAAAAATATTTGAGATAGAATTTATTTTGATATTATCTAATAAGTGAAGATTGACTTTATTTTCTGAATTTTAAATTGTCTCATAAACTACATTATTTAAAATATAATACATATATCATGTATTGACAATTTAAAATAATAAATATTCAGATGTCTGTTTCTATACATTTTAATATTTTCTATGATATATCTGTTGAGGTTGGCACAAGTAGCCTACAGTATTGTTTTTTGTAACATTTTTCACATTTTTGATAAGACAAATATTTGTAATAATAAAGGTCACTTTCTAATTATATAAATTTTGTACAGAGATTGTTAAAATAAACAAAAAGACTTTCAATCTTCCCTAGAAGGAAACCTCATGCATGGTACAATCATGTTCATTGTGTCATGCTGGTTGATATGCAGAGCACTCTGAGAAAGACACTTGCATGGTCCAGACGCTTAATAAAAATAAGAGCAGGTAGGCCGGGCGCGGTGGCTCACGCCTGTAATCCCGTAACTTTGGGAGGCCAAGGCGGGCAGATCACGAGGTCAGGAGATCGAGACCATCCTGGCTAACATGGTGAAACCCAGTCTCTACTAAAAAAATACAAAAAATTAGCCGGGCGTTGTGTCGGGCGCCTGTAGTCCCAGCTACTGGGGAGGCTGAGGCAGGAGAATGGAGTGAACCCGGGAGGCGGAGTTTGCAGTGAGCCGAGATCGCGCCACTGCACTCCAGTCTGGGCGACAGACCGAGACTCCGTCTCAAAAAAAAAAATAATAAATTAATTAAATAAGAGCAGGTAAGGTGAAAGACTTTCAGAGAATGGTTAAGCTAGGATGTAAATAAAGAGTAGGATTTTTCAATGCAGGTGACCAAAGTTCTGGGAGTCTTCATAGGAGGGGATAAATCATAAGTGAAGGTCTATTTGAAAAGGACACACAATAAGCCTTAGAAATTAAGGAGAATGCAATAATATTGAAGTAGCAGAAGCCAGAACTGGACAGAAAAGCTGGAAAACTGAAGAATGGGCTTCTTGTCCACAGTCTAGTAGTCTATGCAAGAGATTATTATTTTTTCCATGTCATAGATTTATGGATCTTCTGCCTATATCTGGGGTAAAACTGAGGAGGATTTTAAGTATGGAAGCACAGTATCAGATTTGAATTTCTGAAGATCATTCTCATTAGGATGTGCAGAATCGATTCCAGGAGCAAAAAACAATGAGTATAGATAAAAATGTTGTTTAGGTCAATGAAGCTGTCCAAATGTGAATAAAAAATATTAAATAAAACTGGGACATACATGGGAGTTACTAGAAAAATGAATTAATGATAAATATTTAAGAGAATGTGCAGCAATAATATATGAATAACTATGAGATGTATGGTTTAAGCACTTGGGTGGATAGCTGTCCATTCACTGAGATTAAAGAGTCTAGATAAAGGTAAGATTGGGAAAGTTCAAGTTTATTATGTTAACTTTGGAGTATATTTTAGACTTCCTATGGGAACTATTAAAAATCAATTAAATAACACTAAAAATTTGTCTGCGCTAGAGAGTTGAAATAGGAAGTTTATTTTCAAGTATGTAGTAATAATGCTAGGAGAACAGGGTCTAAATGAGAGTCCTATGTGGTAGTTGGATTTTATACATGGAGGTTCCAACAAAGAAAAAGGAAATGAGCAATCTAAAACTCAGTATCATATTGTAATAAAAAAAAAAGAAAAATGTCTGGAAAGCCATATTTCAAAAGGAAGGTATGTTGGATTGTGTGTAATGCTGCTGCTTAACCAAAAAGTTGGGCCTAAAAATGCTGATGATGTTTTTTCTTTTTCTTTTCTTTCTTTCTTTTCTTTTTATTTATTTTATTGTTTGTTTTTTGAGATGGAGTCTCTCTCTGATGCTCAGGCTGGAGTGCAGTAGAGTGATCTCGGCTCACTGCAACCTCCGCCTCCTGGGTTCAATAGATTCTCCTGCCTCAGCCTCCCGAGTATCTGGGATGACTACAGGCACGCGCCACCACACCCAGCTAATTATTTTGTATTTTTAGTAGAGACGAGGTTTCACCATGTTGGCCAGGCTCGTCTTGATCTCTCGACCTTGTGATCCGCCTCCCTTGGCCTCCCAAAGAGCTGGGAGCTGGGATTACAGGCATGAGCCACCGCACCCAGACAAAAACAAAAACAAAAACAAAAACAAAACAAAAAAACTTTTTAATAACGTTTGTCTATGAAAAGGAGTGAAGAATTAGGCTACTACTAGTAAAAAGAGGTAAAATTCTAGTCTTTTTAACGTTTTATTTTGAAGTAATTTTAGATAGAGAAGAATTGCAAAGATAATACAGGTGGCATATACACACACACAGGCTTATACTTTAGAGCCTTTTGTGGTGTGGGTATGTGTGTGTGTGTGTGTGTGTGTGTGTGTGTGTGTGTGTATCAATCGATCTTTCTATCTATCCAGAAAGGGTGGGTGGTTTAAAGAGAGATACACTGGCATTTTTAAAAGCTGTTGAAAGTATCCAGTAGACAAGATGAATTAGGAAATTCAAATCGTAGTGAATATTATACGTTTTCTGAAAATATTACCACATTAAGGGCAGTAGTGGAGAAGATGGCCTTCAATGAGTAAATAAATGTAGGAGAGGAGGAAAATCCATGCATTTCTATGTAGGGACATTTGTGGATTTAGTGTTTTGAGTGTAAAGAGATTATCTCTTTTTTAATAAAAATTTGATATGTTTTACATAAAGTAGTACTTTTATAAATTTCAGCCTAGCCAGCTTTTGGTTTTTGTATCAAAATTGCCTGGTTAACATGTCACAATAAATGTATATGATTTCTTCTTCTTTCTTTTTTATTCAGTCTTGTGTCGATTATTTTTCCTTTAATGCCTCTTCCACCTCATTACATCTTCCTCCTTTTACAATCTCTTCTCTATTTAAAATGTGGAGCTGGTTCTTTTCTGTAGTAAAAAAAGAATCAGTGCCTGGAGAAAATTAATTGGAATTACCATCAACAAAGAAGGGAGTGGCTATTATTTCTAAAAGAGAAAAAGAAAAAATAGAAAAATGACATAAAAACATACTTCCTGAGCTGCCTTTTGCTGTATGTAACAGGGTAGAAAAATCTTGTCACCTTGAAGTGAAAGGAAACATGAGGCTCTCGAAGGTTTGAAAAGAAAAAAAAATAGAGCTTCTCCTTCCCCAGTGATTGTGAAAATGAGTGAGCAGAGGGAAAGAGTGGGTTTTCCAGATAATTGGAAGCAATCAATTCACAAGGCTTTTCAGGTGCGTGGATCCATGATTTTCTGTACATGCCCTCACAGCTGCCATAGACCTAGAGGCAACAGTGTGATGAATATGATTAGAAGTGAGTGGAGCTGGGACAAGACTGTGACAGAAAAAAAATAATAATAAAAGCAAAACAGTTTCAAGTACTAGCAAGTGAGGTATTGGATCAGAAGCCAAAGAATTAAAAAGGGATAAACAGAAATGAGGAGAGGGAAAAAAGCCTTATTGATGGAAAGAAATGGAAATGTCATTGGACTGGAAATCCCAGTGCAACACCGGAGTGGTGGGGCCATGGACCCCACAAGGTAAAAGATAGATGATCCAAAACTCCCTTTCCAGATGAATTTTGAAACTATGTAATCACATGTTTAAATACCAATTTAGATTTTCATTAAATGATATTAAACTTATGCATCTATGGGTGGAAAATAATATATTTACTATTAACGGGTATTGTCAGTCAAGAGCATTTTTAAATATTTCTCTTCATACAAACCGTATTTTATGTCATTTTGGCAATGTTTGGTCTTTGTTTGCAATACAAATTGCAATTGCATACACAATTCTCATTCCACTGGGTGAATATTCTGGTATTTTTAGAAAATTAAATGTTTAAGTCACCGAATTGATGACTACTACTTTAGCTATTGAGCAGAATTCAATAACAGTGACTGTATGGCCTATCAGTGAAAATGTTTTACACTGGCTATACAGATGGATCTGTCTACTTGAACTGATAATTAAATCTTATGCAGGCTTATGCTGACATATTTGCTTTTGACAGTTTAAGAAGTCAGTAGCATTCATTATTATTTGTACATTATTGATCTTTTGAATTTTAGTTTTCAATTTCACATCACGGATTAAGAAAGAAGTAGAACTTCATTCTAATAGAAATGTTGTCTTCTTTCTTCTCCTTATGGTCAGCATATTGTGAGACTAAACAAAGAGGGGAGAGCAAAATGAAATACATAATGAGATTTTCATGAAATGTAATATATTGCTACTAATATCTATCACCATTTACAATATTTATAAATATGTAATATAGGAACCGAAGTTAAGAACAGGTTAAAAACATCAAATTTAAATTTATAGAGGTGTGGACCTAGATTTGCATATGTGTAAGTTTCAGCACCATTCCTTATTTATTAATTGTGCCATCTTGAGCAACTACTCACCTAAGCCAGTATTTCCTCATCTAAGAATTGAATGTAATAATACTACAGGACAGAAAAAAGTAGTTGCATACATTTACTTGTCAGCTGTTAATAATTAATTATAATTGACATAGAACTTCTTGAACTATATACTCTACAAGAAAAACAGATATACAACATCTCTAAAATGTTTCATTATTGAGCTGAGAATTCTGAAGATAGAAGATATTGAATATGTTAGCCTATCTCTAAATTGCATTTTTTTTGTTCCACAAAGTGCATAACTTATATGAATAATTTTTTTCTCCATATTCAACTGAGAATTTCAAATGATGCCTGAAGAAAATCACTTTAAGGGCACAGTGATGGATTTGTCAGTCTTTTGTTTCCCATCAGAGGAAAAACAAAGTGAGACCAAAAGAGACATGAGAGATAATGCATCACTGTAAGAGCAAAAGAGAGGCACAATGTTGAGACAATAATGTGCCAACAAATGGATTTGAACTGATACCAAATCTGCTTGTAGATGGAGAGGAGAAAAACATAGATGTGTCATAATGAAAGGGAATGTTGTACCAAAGGCAGTTCAGGAAGCACATTTCTATATCATATTCTCATTTTCCTTTTTCCCTTCTAGAAGGAGTACCCCACCACCACTTTTGTAGTGATAACCCTTATTAATTTTTCTCTGTGTACTTATGCTTTGTTGATTCTATAGAAAAGTACCAGCTCCATTTTTTTAATAAGGGATGAGACTGTAAAAGGAGAAAGATACAATAGCATGGAAAGGGGATTGAAGAAAATAAATGATACAAAACTGAATAAAGAGAAAGAAAAAAGAAACCATATACATGTATTATAATATGTTAACCAAATAATGATTCAAAAACAAAAACTGTATATGCTGAAATTTCTGACTGTGCCACCTTATGTAAAACATTTTTTAGCAAGAACAAATTATAACATTTTGCGGCTATTTGTAGATTAGAAAGTGATGTATCCAGCCGGGGCAGTGGCTCACATCTGTAATCCTAGTGCTTTGGGAGGCCGAGGTGGGTGGATCACATGAGGTCAGGAGTTCAAGACCAGCCTGATCTACATGGTGAAACCCCCGTCTCTACTAAAAATACAAAAATTAGCTGGGCATGGAGCCACGAGCCTGTAGTCCTAGCTACTCAGGACTGCTGAGGCTGAGGCTGGAGAACTGCTTGAACCTGGGAGGCAGAGGTTGCAGTGACCCAAGATGGAACTATTGCATTCCAGCCTGAGCAACAAGAGCAAAAACTCCATCTCAAAAATAAATAAATAAATAAATAAAAATAAAAATAAAGGAAAGTGATATATCTACGATCTCTACCAATCTCACTGAAATATTTTCAACACAATTCACATTGTTTTACAAATAATATTATTTAAAAAAACAGTTCACCCATGTGTGGACACAATTGTCTCTTCTTTTCTCTTTGTACTTATTAAAATTGTCAAAGAAATACATACACAGAGAAAAGCATACTATGCAAAGTGTGTTCAGTCTATGGCCCAGCCATGCACATGATTAAATCTCCCTCCTGTGTACTCCTATTTTCCTGGAGATCAAAGTTTTCACTGTTTCCTTTTCCTAGTTTTCTGTAACTACAGTATTTTTATGTTTTTGCCAAATAATCCAAAAGATCCATCCACTTTTATTCTGAATTTTTTTCCCCTGGAAGATCACTCTTTTCCAATTAGGACTGGTTGTTCTTCAGTCTCGTGGGACAGTCGTCTTCCTTGGCTTTCATTCATCTTCAACTTAGGAGCTCCTCCACCGTGTTACATGCCTTGATCCCTGTTGTTCCTGCTCTCCTGTTTTCTATTTTTTCTGGAGTCCATACATTAGTAATTATCTTGAGTCCTAGTGGTGAACTTTTCTTGGATTCTGTTTCAGCCTCCAAAAGTGATGGGATTACAGGCATGAGCCACCACGCCTGGCCACTGTATCAAATTGACTTTATTATAAACCAGGTGCAAATACATTATCTATCATTTTCTTCTCTTTAACTTTTTGACCATTTGAAATAATACCTTTATAAATTTCTTTACCATTTTTTATTGGGGTTTCTGGGAGAAGGGAAGTAAACATTTGGGATCAGGTGAACTTCCTCAACTATAATTCACAAATAACTTTTATTAATAAAAGGGCTACCACACCTACTATTTTGAAAAGGAACAATTGTTCAGTTACATAAATTTAGAGACTTAGAAGTTACAGTTATGAACCTGCTATAATCTGATTATGTCCCCCACAGCTCATGTGTTGGAAACTTAATCATCAATGCAACAGTATTTGGAGGTGGAACTTTTAAGAGGGGATTAGGTCATGAGGGTTCTACACTCACGAATAGAGTAATATTGCTATTAAGGAAGTGGGTTTGTTATTGAGAACATGGGCTTGTTTTAAAAATAAGTTTGGCCCTCTCTTTTCTCTCTTTTTATCCCTATGTGACCCTCTCTCATTCTACCATGAGATAATGAAACAAGAAGGCTCTCGCCAGATGCCGACAACTTGATGTTAGATTTCCCAGCCTCCAGAACTGTGAGAATAAATTTGTAATTTTCAGACAAATTACCCAGTATGAGATATTCTGTTATGTCAACACAGAAAGGACAAAGTCCAAGCATAATAAAATTTTCTTCATTTTGAAACAAGGGAGTGTTTCAGTGACTTAGTTTTTGATGAATTCTGACACTTTTTGGAAAGATTAGGCTTGTAACAAAAAATATTTTATTTTGTTTTTATTTGTTTAATCTTTAATTTTCTTCCTCTCTTTATTTGAATCTGATTTTCTGACTATATGATTTTCACTCTTTCTGGAAAACTTTTAATATTTCTTGCAAGGCAGATCTACAGGCATGAAATTCTCTTAATTTCTGTTTAAGGAATAGTTATTTTTGCTTTCTTTTAAAGGGTAACTTGCATGGATACAGAATTTTGATTTGGTGTTTTCTTTCAACACCTTTTAAATATTTCAGTCTACAATTTTTTTGCTTGTATGGTTTCTGTAAAGAAGTCCAGTGTAATTCTATGTGAAAAAATCCAATGCAATTCTATTTGTGTCTATAGGTAAGATGTACAACCAGTCACTTCTTTCTGGCTTCTTTTAAGAATTTTTCTTTGTCCCCAGTTTTCCTCCATTTGAATATAACATGACTAGGTTGAGATTTTTACTATGTATCCTTTTTACTGTTTACTAAATTTTGGGGGGCTGTGGTTTGGTGTCTGCCATTAATTGTGCAGATTTCTCAGCCCTTATTATGTTAAATATTCTTTTGATTCCTTTATCTCTTTTTGTTACTCTCCTTACATCTATGTCACAGATTTTATAATTTTCCAATAGTACTTGGTTATTACATTCCATTTTATTTTTTATTCTTCCTTTCTCTGTACATTTCAGTTTGAGAAGTTTCTATTGATACATCTTTAAGCTCATTGATTGGCCACATCCAGTCTAGTGGTAAGCCCGTCAAAGGCATTACTCATTTCTGTTACAGTGTATTAGCCTGTTTGGGCTGTTTTAACAAAATATGATAAGCTGAATAACTTATAAACAACAAAAATTTAGTTCTCACAGTTCTGGAGGCTGTAAAGTTCAAGATCAATGCACTAGAAGATTCAGTGTGTAGTGGGGGACTGCTCATACATAAGAGGGTATCTTCTTGCTGAGTCTTCATATGTAAAATGGGAAAACAAGTTCCTTTTAGCCTCCTTTCTAAGAATCATAATTATATTCATGACATATCCACCCTCAGAACCTAATTATCTCCCAAAGGCTTCCCCTGCTAATACTATCACCTTGGGATTTAGGTTTCCAACATGTGAGTTTGAGGGAAAAACATGCATTCAGATCTTAACATGCAAGGCTTTTGTTTCTAGCATTTCATTTTGATTTTTTCTTAGAGTTTATATCTCTGCTTATATTACATTCCTGTGCTTCGTCCACTTTTTCCCATTTCAGGCTTATGAATGTTAATTGTAGTTATTTTAAATTTTCAAATTTTCTCTGCCATATCTGAGTCTGGTTCTGATGCTTGCTTCTTCTATTCAGACCGTGTTTTTTGTCTTTTATTATGTTTGCAATTAATTAATTAATTAATTAACTTACTTTTATTTTTTAAAGAGACAGCGTGTTACCATGTTGCCCAGGCTGGTCCCAAATTCCTAGGTTCAAGCAATCCACCCATCTCAGCCTCCCAAAGTGTTGGGATCATAAGTTTTATGTTTTTCTAACTGTGAGTTAGATTATGTTTTCCTGTCAGGTGTAGCTATGGTGTTAGAAGCTAAATTCCATCTAGAGTCCTCATTTTTGTTTCACCTTTTTTGGGGAGGGGGATTGTAGAATTAAGACATTCATTTTTTGAAAAATATCTCAGGCTTGCAATACTTTCAGCTGTCATCACTTGTTTTTATACAGGAGTCCCACTGATGTGGTAAAAAGGTGTTTGGGGAGGGAAAGTATCCTATGGTTCTGTGACTAGGTCTCAGTATTTTAGTGAACCTGGTCCCGGGCTGTGACCCTTGCAATTGCTTCTCATCTTTTCTCTTTTCTCCATAGGTGAGACAGAAAGGCTAGAAGGGGCTGGAGTTGGATATTTCACTTCCAACTGTTAGGTCAGACTTCAATAAATCCCAGTTAGGCTCTGACAAAATTGTTCCTGTAAGGGCCAGCATCGTTAAAGAAAGCATAGATATCTGGGCATGTTTCAAAATTGTTACTTTTTCCTTCCTTCTGCCAAAAGTGTGAGAGGATTTTCATCCAACCCTCACTGTTGAGAACTTCATGGGATTCCTGGAGATAAAATTAGTGAAAGACTAGGATCACATGGAGATTTTAACTCTGAAGCTAGTCCACAACAAAACTCCAGCAATTTGTCAATTATAACGTACGTTTTCCTAACGGGATTGGCACAGTGATGGAATTCTGTTTCTGGACATCTGCCCTTCATAAGCTGTGATTCTCTGTATTCACTTGTCTGTCTCCCCAGCTGTAGGGGCAGAAGTTTGCCTTGTGGCTTCAATTCTATGTAGATTGTAAGAAGAGTTATTGATTTGCAGCTTGTTCAACTTTTCTTTTCTTCTTGTGAGAATGCAGTTGACACCTCCAAGCACTTTATAAGTTGGACTGGAAACCATAAGCGCAATTGACATAATATACAAAAATCCTATTATTAATTCCTGTTTTCAATGGTCAACTTATCTCTCAGATTCCATAATTGCAGTTATTTATGATGTCATTTTTTATTTCCTCAATGTAAAATTGCATGTTTCATTTTACTCCTACTCCAAAAGATACGTCTCTAGATAATCAATTAGTTTGGTTACCTTTTCACCAATCTATTCTCTCTTTTTTTTTTTTGGAGACTGACTTTCACTCTTGTTGCCCAGGCTGGAGTGCAATGGGACTATCTTGGCTCACCACAACGTCCATCTCCTGGGTTCAAGTGCTTCTCCTGCTTCAGCCTCCCAAGTAGCTACGATTGCAGGCATGCACCACCACACCTGGCTAATTTTGTATTTTTAGTAGAGATGGGGTTTCTCCATGTTGGTCAGACTGGTCTCGAACTCTCGACCTCAGGTGATCCACCTGCCTCAACCTCCTGAAGTGCTGGGATTACAGGCATGAGCCACCATGCCCGGCCTTATATTCCTAATCATTACAATTAGGAACTGTGTCAAAAATAATTCTCTCACTGATGATGCCATTCACTAATCTATTTGGAAACTTTCTCCTGGCCCTTACTATGTATAAGGATTTAGGTACTGAGTCTAACAGAAAAAGGTACCAGATGTAAATTCCACATTCAAGGTCCTAAATCTAATGACATAAGATTGCCAAAACACACATGTAATGCACAAAGTGAGGAAATGGCAATGTATTATTTTTCTGTGGCTGCTGTGAAAAATTACGACAATTTGAGTGACCTAAATCTACAGAAATTTATTCTCTCACAGTTATATAGGCCAAAAGTTGTAAGTTAAGGTTTTTCCAATGCTACACTCCTTCCAGAGGTTATAGCAAATAATGTATTATTTGCTTCTTGCAGCTTCTAAAGACTGTAGGTATTCCTCGGCTTGTGGCTGCATCACTCCAATCTCTCTAAGTCAGATAGTCTCCTCTTCTTCTGCTTGTATTTCTCTTCTTTGGTCTGTTTCAAAGATTCTTTTGGCTTTGATCTCATAAGAATACATTTGATGGTATTTAGGGCCTACCGGATTATCCAGGATGCGTTCTTCCTCTCAAGATTCTTTAACTCTATAACATTTTTGTTATAAAAGGTAATATTCACAAGTTCCAAATATTATGGCATGGAGATATCTTTTGGGGGCAATGATTATGGTCAATAAAACACTAAAAATTACAGAAATAGAGAAAGAATTTAGAGAAGACTCTGCTCTTGAGATAGGTGTATTTAATCTATTTAAGGGAATGAGTTTTAAGTTTTTTAATTTCTAAAAAAGAAAAAAGCAACTCATGTTAATGATTATTTTAGTGCCTCTCACAGTCCTAAACATAAATGCATATTATTCTACTTAAACATTGTAAGGACTTGATCTGTATATATGATTGCTCCAATTGATTTATAGCTGAATACAAACTAGTAAAGAAGAAGATTGAATTTTAAGGAGGATAGAGGATTACGTAATTTCTCTGGTCATAGTCCTCATAAGTAAGAGAGAATTCCAGTCACCTTCTTCCGGCCCCCAGCTCATGAACTCCTAATAGAAAAGAATGGAAAAAATATAGTAATAATAATAAAATGAAAGTCAGTCTTTTCCAGAAGTATATTGTACTTTCTTTTATATCAAGAGTAAAATGCATTTACACTAATAGGCTTTTTGGTTTTTGTTTTTTTAGCTCAAAATTTGAGGGCACTATTTGAATTATTTTGTCAGCTTCCAGTTATCATTAGACCTGCTACTGCACTTAACTGGTAAGGCAGTAAAAGCAGACTTAAAAAGCAAGAAGCTCTCTGCCATATGCCTTTGGGGCTTGCTGTCAAAGCAATCCCGATGCATCCCATAAAGGCAGAGAGAAGATGGAACCTCTGAGCCGGAGGTAACATCAGCAAAGCTGATGAAATGAGAAGTTGTGCTTACAGGCTTCAGTAGCATCATCATCTCTTCCTATTTATTGATACATTCTCACCAAGGATAAGAAGAGAAAAGACGTTTTGAGGCAGAACTTGCCATTAATCAGTTCCAGAATGCTTGGAGGTGGGGGAAGTTTGTCAGGCACATGAAGGGCAAAGAATCTACATTTCATAAAGTGTATCATCACATAGGCTGTTTTGCCTTAGAGCATAAATGAAGATCAAAGTAGTAAAGAGATTTAGTGGCATGAATTTGATAGATTCTTGTTTTTTGAAAAATAAATCATATGATAAACTAATAATAGAAGACAATAGGCTTGAAAATTCAAAGAGAACTGGGCTGTTTATCTCCATTTATAACATTGTTTGATGAAATTATGTTGGGGTTTTGAGTAAGCTTTAGGCTTTGAAACAGCAAGCTATAATCCTGATAGACTGACCATTTCTAATTTGCAGCTTTTTTTTTTTTCATTTTGTGATGGCATCAGTATTTCTAAGGCATTGGTTAATAAAATGAAAAGACAAACACTTTTCAAATAATTTCATTAAAGTGAAACTTGATCTAAATCTTGGACACTTATTCAAAATAGAGAATGAGTTCGTTTTCTGACCTAAGAGTTATCAAAAATAAACATTCATTATATGGCTTTGTTTTTTCCCATTTTGTTGCCTTAGTGTATGAAATATAATATTTTTTTAAATAAAAAAAGATTTAGTGAGTCTAAACACATTGAATTTATGGGATCTCCAATTTCATATCTGCAGATACAAGGACATCTCCTATTCATTCTTGGCCCCTCCTCTTCTTCAAATGTCAGCCTCAGTGCAGGCAGAATCTGTTGAAGGATGTCTATTTCCTTTTGTTTACCCCGGTCCTAGCTGAGCCTCATTAAAGAAAACAAACCCCCCATGAAAGAAACTATTGGAAACTAGGAAGAGGTCAGTGTAAATTAGTTCAAAAAGTGGGACTTCGATAGTCACCTAGTACAGAGGCAGGAAGCTATATAAACAGAGACATCAATTCGAAAGAGAAGGCCCAGGGCCTTTTTTGTTCAAAGATAAGCCTTTAAGTGAGTTGCTCTGTCTCTCTTGTTTTCTTTTCTGTTTCTCTCTCTCTCACAGATGTTTATCTGTCTATGAATGAACACTGTGCATCCTTTTTGAAGTTTATTTCCATGCAACATCTGTGAGAATTTTGGCTTTAGGTCTTACTTCAAAGCTTTTGTACTTAATGATAGAACAAACAGATGATTCAACAGTAACGGCACACCCTGCCAGGAAGACATTTCCATGTGACACAGTTTTTGACGTTTAATAGCAGCATAAATTTTCAAAAGGCAAACAAGGTATGTTAGCTTCATGATAGGAAGGAATCAACTTTTCTGTGCCAAAGAAATGATGTCAAGATGGTAAAATGGGTGATTCTGATGCCATCTTATCAGGAAGTCTCAACTTTTTTTCTTCAGCTCAAAAAATAACATTTTCAAAACTTCGAGTGCCATTTGTTGATTATCTTGATCCTGGAAGAAAAAGCATAGCTAATGCCTTGGACTAGCTCTCAAATTGACTACCACATATTACCTGTTTTCTAAGTATCTAGAATTGATATAATTATCTGTGTACTTTATCATATTAATCTTTGCAAAAATCTAGAAATATTAGATTTACCCCATTTTATATATAAGGTAGCTGCTATTTTAAGAAGTCATGTAACTTTATCAAGGTGGCATAGGTAATAATAAGTTAAAGCAAAATCTAAACCAAGCAGACTAACCCAAGAACATGCGGTCACTGTGAATTATTGCTCTAAGATATTCCTGGAGTAATGGTATTTTACCTGTGTTATGTGTAGCCACTTTTAATGTTTTTAAGCAAGTATAAAAGATTAAATAAGAAATATTGATCAAGGACATATAGGTTCACACAGTGGCAATAGACATTCAGGTTTAGTGCAATAAAAATGTCCAATGAGGGCATTGTTAACATCTAAACTGGATTAATGGGCTTTTTCTTAATTTCCCCCCAAAGTAGCGCCACTTAATATAAACACATGTGCAATGTATAGTGTTTTCTGTGGCTAAAATGATGAGAAATTAACAAACTTTATATACACACACACATAAAAAAATTATTCTTGGGTCTACAGGTATTCTGCATAGATATTTTTTCTTGTAAAGCTAAATTATTTAACATTCAAATTTACCATTATAGAGCCTAGAGAACTTTTGTTATTCCATCATTTTTTAGCAAAATAAAAGTTATACTCCTAAAAGTCATATACGTAAACTTTTGAATACACCAAATGAGTACTACCTAAATGATTTCCAGGAGGAATAATAAATAAGGAATGTTGCAAAGGCATTTTAGCATATTTCTTAGCTAGTCAATAGTGGCATTGTTTTAAGACAATGGTTGATTACACTGCACATATAAACTTTGTCAAGTTGTTCATTATTTTCAAAGGCATTTATAATATAAAGTTTTTTTCACCAACAATAACCATATTTTAATAACAAAAAATACTCATCTCAAAGAATCTTATGATCTCTTAAAACACAACCAAGCAAAGAAAATAACATAAAACTGAAAGATATGTGAATTATTATACTATCATAATCTGTTATTTGTATTTTGACTGTGATAGGTACAAAAAAAGGACCAGAATATCCAACAAATACAATATAAATGGTCTTTATACATTTAAGAAGCATTGAAGTAATACCCTTAAGTAACGAGAAAAAGCTAGGGATTTTAATTTTAGTAATGAAAATTGATGAGAATTAATCTGATGCAAGGGTTGTAATCTTTACACACACATAAAATATTCTCTCTTGTATACTAGGAAAGAAGAAAAGTAAGACATTAATTTAAATTCCATACCACAAGACTCTACTAAAATACTAACTCAACAACAATCCTGAATATCAAGAACTTCTGACTTATTTCTATTAGTAAGACTCTCCTTACTAATAGATTTTCTGGGTGGAATTGTTTGGATAATTAAGATCATTTTGCTTAGCAAATATCTCATTATAAATTACTATTCTTAATGTCCTAGGTAGCAGTATATTTAATTGTCCATTTGTAATGATTTTTGAAATAGAAATACACCAGGAGAGAACCCCAGTACCTTGGGTTTACACTAAGGAAGAAACATTTCTACATTCTATTTAAATTAGGGTAATTTTTAATATTGCTTAGATATCTAGGCATGAGGTAAAGAGATGGGAAAATAAAATAAAATGTTCTGTAAAAACAATTTCAAAAAAACATACAGCAGACTATCAAAGATGATCTTCACCCATCAATCTTTACATACAGAAGCCAATGGCCATTATCTCATCCCCAATAAGATATATTCATTTGCAGACTCTTTTAGGCATATTAGAATGGTTTGTGCCTCCATGCAAAGCACAATCTCTATTAAGAAGAAGGAAGGTGAAGAGAGGTTTTGCAAAGAATATCTTTCCAAATTAAATAAATCATGTCTGTATTAAACATCTTATGCCAAATTTAGGATAAATTGATGCATAAAACTAATTATGGCCACCATATGGAAGGACAAAATTCACATACATTGGAAAATTTAGGTATAGATGCAGATCTTTAAAGGTATATATATAGTATTAGTTGCATGTGCATTGTTGTCTTTTTACATAGATAGCACTATGTGTCAGGAAGTGTTTCCTTTCGATGGCATAGAGTCATTTCTCTCTAGTGACAGCACTAGAAAAGCAGCAAAAGGGGCAGCTAGTCAGGGAAATCCCTGCCACCAGTCAATTGGCAATGGAGTCCTGTTCACACACTCCACAGAGAAAGATAAATTGATTGCTTGGATGAAATGGACAGTGAAAGTCAAAGACATTTTTGAAAATGTGCAAGGTTTGTCCTCCAAGAATGGAAAAGACTTGTCTGCAGAATTTAATTTGTCTATAAACTTCAGAGTTATTTGAACTAAAATTGCAAAATCTTTCAAGATAGTCCTAGTTATAACTGTTTCTTTCAAAAACTCTGCATTAGAATAATATGGTGTGGTACAGAGAAACATACTTACAGGATAGTGAGGAACTATAGACCTGGAAAGTCAAATCTGATATACCCTTTCACAAATATGAAGGAACACATTCAAACAGTAATATAAGGTAAAATTTTCCTCAATAAATTTGTTTTCTGAAAGTATCAATGGTGAGATTTAAGGGACTAATTTATTTATACTTCGAGAATGAAAACAGAATATTAGTAACAAGTAAGAAGAAAAGAAAACATGTATAAAATGCAGGCTTTTTTTCTTCCCCTTCCCAAATATCATCTTCCCCCAAAATTCAGTCCATTAAGGAAGTTTTTGTTAATGTTTTGTTTCATTGTGTGTAGGATGATGTCCAGATTAGGAAATAATTTCAATATCTAAATCAAATATTTATTTTCCATTACTTCTTAAAAAGTATATTTTAAAAGTAAAATTTAGAGAACTATAAGTGTCAAGATTGTTATGCTACTGTATCTTACCAAATAAATAGCTGTTTAAAAATTTATACAATTTTAGACATTTTTATCTCACATGCTATTTTAGAAATTCCCCAGGAAACATTTTATGTTCAGGAATGATTAAGACATTATGGAGATTATATATACACATATATATACATTATATATACACATATATATACATATATTATATATATATACATATGTACATATATTATATATACATATATATTATATATACATATATACATACATACATATATTTACATATATATTATATATATATGTATATATACATAGATACACATATATATACGTGTATATATACATATATACGTGTATATATACATATATACGTATAAATGTACGTGTATATATATGTATAATATATATACACATACATATATATAAAAATTAATTCAACTGTGAATATTTATATATGAAACTTGAATATATATTTTTCTGCAATATGATTTGGGTCATGTTGTCTGTGATTTTTAACTACTATTTTTCCCAGCTTCATAATTGCTTAATTTTGATGATATATTCCAGTGTTTAGGTTGTTTGTTGAAAATACTGATGTTTAAGAAGGGAAGTATTTTAAGTCTGATATGTAACAATTTTTAATTATTAATACATATTAGATATTATTTTTAGTGACCGGTGTCACAAACATTAATAAAATACAATTTTATTTCTCAAATAGCTTATGATTAAACAGAGAAAGTTGCATAAATTAAGTATATTTTGTTATAAGGTCAAAATAAGATTGTATAAAAATTCTACAGAAATTTACTAATCAGATTTATATTATTCAATCTGTTATGTGTGAAATACAGTATACAATTAATAATGCATACTATATAATACATAATACAGAACAAAAAACTAATACATAATTTCTTAAATATGATATGTGCATTGATTTATCTATAATCTATGTAAACACATCAAATTTAGTGGATTTTCTAGAGGGAATATATAAGTTTAATATTATAAATGAAGACCAAACATGAATTTTGACCCAATAGCAATGGGGTCATGGCTACAGCAATGTCTTGAAATTTCTCTAAATTCTAGCATGAATACCAGACTGACCAAAAAAAAAAATAGAACAACAAATAATTTATGAACAAACAACATACTCCCTGAAACCACATAGGAGTTTCTTGAATGCTTGTGGAACTCCTGAGGGTGAGTGGCATGGCCAGTGCCCTTCACGGCTTTAAATCCATGCTGGACTAGCTATTGTCCAAGGGTAGGTGACAAGAAAAAGGGAAACAGTGAAGAAGCAGAGAGGTTATGGAATTCAAGAGTAACAAATAAAAACTTGCTCTCAAAAGGATGTAGAACAACAGTGTGTGAACTAAGTACAATACTATAAGAAAATGTGCAGGCTCCAGAACTTTGTAAGAGAAGACTAAAGGAAACACAGTAGGACAATGAGAAGATCAAACCATCTGAGCCTAAATTCCAAGGCATCAGTGAAAGTAGCATAATACAGTTTGTCATAAAGACAAAGACCTACCATAGAGGAAAACATTTGACAATACAATTCAAGCTGAGAAGATGGTAACACTGGGAATCCTATGAAAGATTGTCGAAGTGCTAGGAGTAAATAAATCCAGAATAAGCAGGTCTCAGAAAACAATATCAAAAAAATATATATAACATTGAAAGTGAGTCATCACTTTGGAAGGCAAGGCCTGTAGCATGCAGGACAATACAGAGTTAGAAAGGTTGAGTCTTCCTGCATCAGACTTATGTCATTCACGCACACACACACACACACACACACACACACACACACACACACACACACACTATTGGCTCACATAGTTATTGAGGCTGACAAGCCCCAAGATTTGCTGTCAGCAAGCTGGAGACCTAAGAAAGCTAATGGTGTAGTCCCAGTACAAGTCTGAAAAGAATGCACATGCCATATCAATGTCCACACCAGGAACCTGGAGTTGTTATCTGCTCTAACAAAGTCTGAAGGTTAGGAATCAGGAAAGTCAATGGTGTAATTTCCAGTGTAGGCCAGGCACAGTGGCCCATGCATGGTGGTGCGTGCGTGTAGTCCCAGCAACTCAGGAGACCGAGGCTGCAAGTGAACCATGGTTATAACAATGCACTACAGCCCGGGCAAAAGAGCAAGATTCTGTCTCAAAAAAATAAAAACTAAAAAAAAAAAAAAAAAAAAAAAAAGTTCCCGTCCAAAAATCAGCAGTTTAGAGATTCAAGAAGAGTGGATGTTTCAGTTCTTCTGAAGTCAGGAAAAGAATGATGTTCCAGGCCGGGCGCGGTGGCTCACGCCTGTAATCCCAGCACTTTGGGAGGCCAAGGCAGGTGGATCACGAGGTCAGGAGATCGAGACCATCCTGGTTAACAAGGTGAAACCCCGTCTCTACTAAAAATACAAAAAATTAGCCGGGCGCGGTGGCGGGCGCCTGTAGTCCCAGCTACTCGGGAGGCTGAGGCAGGAGAATGGCGTGAACCCGGGAAGCGGAGCTTGCAGTGAGCCGAGATTGCGCCACTGCAGTTCGCAGTCCGGCCTGGGCGACAGAGCGAGACTCCGTCTCAAAAAAAAAAAAAAAAAAAAAAAAAAAAAAAAAGAATGATGTTCCAGCTCAAGCAGTCAGACAGGAAGAGAGTTCTCTCTCTCTCTTTTTTTTTTTTTTGTTCTATTCAGGCTCTCAATTAAAGGAATTGAGGTCCACCCCCATTAGCGAGGGCAGTGTGCTTTACTCAGTCTACAGAATTCAATGTTAATGTCATCTAGAAGCATCCTCACAGATACATGCAGAATCATGGTTGGTCAAATGCCAGGGTACTCTATGACCCAGTCAAGTTGACACATAAATTTAACCATCACATCCACTATGAAATCCATTCCTATGACACCGCAATAATGTAGAGTATAGCAACTGTGGTGATGCCTCATTTGTGCCTACAACAGGCCATACTGATGCTCTGTCAGTCTGGTCACCTCTGGAAGGTAAGTGGGATTCCATGCTATTGATCTCCATCCCTGCTACCGGGTCATTTTGTTCTCTAAATCACATGTGTCTTATACTTTCAGGATGCTAGCCATTTGAAGAGATCAACATGTTATCCTCAATGAAATGGATTCATGTACTGCTCTGTGCAATATATTGATAGTTCACATCCTTTTGGCTTACATTATGACAGAGGAGAGAGGAGTTAACATAGCCTGAGGTCAAATTTTACAAAGGCTTATTGTATATTTTAATGACATAAAGTTCTTTGTGATACATTTCTCTCATTGAAACAGAAGATAATGCACATGCCATATTAATGCCCACACGAGGAAACTGGAGTTGTTATCTGCTCTAACAAAGTTGCCATCTCTGTCATGGCAGTTCTAATCAGGGCAACTAACTATTGGATTGACCTTGTAATGACATATAATCATCTTTCAAGATCCATCTGGTTTCTGCAAAGGAAACAGTAGATAATCTAAATGAAGGTGAGATGAGGACCACCATCCCTACATCTCTTACAGACATAAGGCTGGCATAAATCTGCTAATCCCTGCCATACACACAGGACTGATTTTTTTCAGTAATTTGGTCATGGAAGGAGAAATTTCAGGGGCTTTCACTTAGCTTTCCCTATCATATTAGTTCTTTTCTACCAAGAGCCCAATTTTGAGGTTGTGCTAACTTTCAAGTATGTCAATGACAATTAAATACTCAGGGTCTAGGGTTCATCAATATGGTCCATATAAGCTGGTTTTCACCTGGCTCCCATATGTTCCCAACAAATAAGAAAGCTACGGTAATGTCTCAAAGTATCCATGTTTTAATGTCTATTAGACCCTACACCCTGTATTAGAAAAATGTGAGTAGCTCCCATTTCCCAATGTCCAATTAACTGACTGTATGGTCTTACTTCCCTTTGGTAAATGGTGAAGAAATAATTTCTATGTATACGTGCTATGGTCCTGGAGAATAATTGCACTTCAGAAAGAAGTCAACTGTGTTTAATGGGTGAGGTCTGCTCAATGGCTCAGGTCTGAAAACTATCCAAGGTAAAAGGAAATTTTTCTTAAGATGGCCTCCCTCAGATTCCCTGTTACCAAACTGATATCGTTTAGTTCTGTGTCCCCACCCAAATCTCATCTTGTAGCTTCCATAATTCCCACATGGTGTGGGAGGGACCTGGTGGGAGATGGTTTAATCATGGGGGTGGGTCTTTCCCATGCTGTTCTTGTGATAGTGAATAAGTCTCATGAGATCTGATGGTTTTAAAAATGGGAGTTTCCCTCCACAAGCTCTCTCTGTCTCGTTGCCTGCCACCATCCATGTAAGATATGACTTGTTCCTCCTCGCCTTTCACCTTCCATCATGATTGTGAGGCCTCTCAAGCCATGTGGAGCTGTAAGTCCAATAAACCTCTTTCTTTTGTAAGTTGCTCTTTCTTTCGTAAGTTGCTCTTTCTTTCGTAAGTTGTTGTTCTTTTGTAAGTTACCCTGAGACATGCCAGTCTCAGGTATGTCTTTATCAGCTGCATGAAAAGGACTAATAGACAAACCTTGGCTTCTTCCACTGGTTTAAGCTGAATAGTGTATTTGTCTTCCACCAATCTATTTTGTCCCCAGGGAGGTCACATTCTGTTAAGTCATTATAAGTCCCCAAGTATTTGGTTCCTGGGGCTGCTAATTCAACTTTGCTTGCCATTACATATCTGTGGTTAAACACAACCTGGGTACTATCTGTTAAGTGCCACCGCCTAGACTCTCTTATTTCAAAGTCCATTCATAACTCATTGTTTTCAGCAAGACAAATTTTCTGACAGTCTTTCCTACCTCCATCCTTGAACTGCAAGGTAGAGCCACTGCTGAACTTTTTAGTGATGCTGCTACGTTTCTCACTGGGGCATTCTTGTGGCCCTGATAAATCGTGTGTCTTCTCAGCCTTCCCAAATAACATTATCATCTTGCTCATCTTCAGGCTCTACATATTTTATCCATGCTAGCAAATCCACTACCCTGAACTTTTTATTCTCTTTATCCATCATCAGAAACGGCAATTCTAAGCATTTCAATTTTGCTCAGCTTGGCCATTGTGTATACCATGCCACTGAGAGCCAACTTATTAGGTAGTTTGCAGGCTCTCCTGAGGTTCTTTCCAGCTTGAGAAATCCTTTATCTCCAGAGAGTATTCTCAGCTAAATAAACTCTTTCTTTTCAAACTTTATATTTCAGCCCTTTCGTGAAGAATCTTCTAATCTTGTGCCACTCACACTTCCCAGGCTGCTGGCAATACTTGTCAGCTAAGCTTGTAGTCTTTAAATTACAGTTCTTTCTTTATCAAGCCCAGTGCATCTTCAGCTGGTTAATTTTCTGACTTAAACCTAGGTAAAAGCCAGGTGGTCCAAAGAAGATGTGAAGGCAGATTTTGAGTATATTGCCTTTCAGGATTATGGAGCTGATCACTCTTAATAGGGAGAAATGAGATATATCTGCAAGCTTAGATGTTTCAGAAGAGACAGAGCAATCAATCCTCCAAGGACAGTCACCTGCATACCTAAATCCTGTTGCAGAATCTCACATTTTCCCAATGAAGCTCTCTCTTTGGCATAACAAATCTGTCTTCCTTGAGGGCTTAACCTCCTCTGAAGTTAATCACACAGTCCAATAAATATTGCGTTTCATGCTTGGCTTTCTATGCACTCCTGCTGCAAGACATGAGGGCTTTTTTTGTCACCATACCAAGGAGTACCTCATCCCTTTAGTTTTCATATCTCGTTATAAAATGATCTTTATTTTTCTCATTATTCTATTATCTTTCTGTAAAAAAAGCCAGCACATAATGGTGTATCAGGGACTGGGATTACAGAAACCAAAGAAAGTTGTAATGATCTCCTTATTTCTGCATAAATTTATGTCCAAATTAATAACAGTGTATTCTCACTTTCAAAGCTGATTATTTCACTCTCTTCCCCACATCTCTTCAAGATAAACGCTGTGTGTGTGTGTGTGTGTGTGTGTGTGTGTGTGTGTATGTAGTAAGTACAAAGCTCTCTATTATCTGAGGTCAAATTTTATACAAGTTTATTATATAATTTAAGTAAACGAAATAAATAAATGTTGTATATTTTAAGTACATAAATGTTAAACTCATTGCTGCTTCTCTGTTTTGTGGTTAGATAACATTTTGTTATGGGAATTCTCAAAAATATATATAAAAATAGCAGAGATTAACATCAGGTTCATCCATGATGAACATATATAATATAGCAGACATCAGCATCCAGGTTCATCCATTGTTGCCACAAATGACAGAATTTCATTGTTTTATGGCTAAAGAGTGTTCCATCGTATATATGTATGGGGAAAGCTAAGTGTAAGCCCCTGAAATTTCCCCTTCCATGACCAAATTACTGAAAAAATTGGTCCTGTGTGTATGGCAGAGATTAGCAGATTTATGCCAGCCTTATGTCTGTAAAAGATGTATGGATGGTGGTCCTCATCTCACCTTCATTTAGGTTATCTAGTGTTTTCTTTGCAGAAACCAGATGGATCTTGAAAGATGATTATATATCATTACAAGCTGAATTCAGTAGTTAGTTTCCCTTATTACAACTGCCATGACAGAGATGGTAACTTTGTTAGAGCAGATAACAGCTCCAGGTTCCTGATGTGGACATTGATATGGCATGTGCATTCTTTTCTATGTCAATGAGAGAAATATATTACAAAGAATTTTATTTCATTAAAATATACAATAAACCTTTATAAAATTTGACCTCAGACTATGTCAAATCCTCTGTCATAATGTAAGCCAAAGGGATGTGACCTATCTATATATTGCAGAGTAGAACATGAATCCATTTCATTGAGGATAACATGTTGATCTCTTCAAATGGCTAGCACCCTGAAAGTATAAGACACATGTGATTTAGGGAACAGAATGACCCGGTAGCACAGATGGAGACCAACAGCATGGATTCGCACTTATCTTCCAGAGGTGACAGACTGACAGAGCATCAGTATGGCCTGTTGTAGGCACAAATGAGGCATCACCACAGTTGCTATACTCTACAGTATTACGATGTCATAGGAATGTATTTCATAGTGGATGCGATGGTTAAATTTATGTGTCAACTTGGCTGGGTCATAGAGTACCCTGGCATTTGACCAACCATGATTCTGCATGTATCTGTGAGGTTGCTTCTAGATGACATTAACACTGAATTCTGTAGACTGAGTAAATCACACTGCCCTCGCTAATGGGGGTGGACCTCAATTCCCTTAATTGAGAGGCTGAATAGACTATTTAATTTCTTTATTTATCCATTGGGTATTTAGGAGCATGTTGTTTAATTTCCATGTTTCTCCTGTTATTGATTTCTCGTTTCATACCATTATGGTCAGAACATTATAATCAGAAAAGAAACTTGATGTAAGTTCAACCTTTTTAAATTTTGTACGATTTCATTTGTGGCCTAAAATATAATCTGTCCTGGAGAATGTTTCATGTGCAGATGAAAGGAATGTGTATTTTTCTGCTCTTGGATGGAATATTCTGTAGTTGTCTCTTAGGTTACTTTGATTTAGTCTGTAGTTTAAATCTAATGTTTTCTTATTGGTTTTCTGTCTGAATGACCTGTCCATTACAGATAGCGGGATGTTGCAGTCTCCTACTATTATTGTATTGCACTTTATCTCTACCTTCAGATCTATTAATACTTGATGTATATATTTAGGTATTCCAATGTTGGGTGCACAAATATTTACAATTGTTATATTGTCTTGCTGAAACCCCTTTATCATTATATAAGGAACTTCTTTGTCTCCTTTCCAAATTAAATGTGTCTGCACAGCTTTGTCTCTTTTTATAAACTAAAAAGCTTCTGAACAGCAAAAAATATGATCAACAGTGTAAAGGGACATCCTACAGAATGAGATAACACACTTGAAAACCATACATCTGATAAGGGGCTAATATCCAAAACATATAAAGAACACAAACAACTCAGTATCAAGAAAAGAAATAAGCCATTAAAAAAGTGGGCATAGGGATTGAATAGACATTTCTTAAAGGAAAATATACAAAGGTCAACAAGTCTATTTTAAAAATTGTCAACATCACTAATCATCAGATAAAAGCAAATTAAATTCACAATGAGATATCACCATGAATCTGTTTGAGTGGCTGTTATGAAAAACACAAAAGATAAATTTTGGTAAGAAGGTGGAGAAAAGGAAAACAGTGCACACTGTAGAAGGATATGGAGATTAATACTTCTGTTATAGAAAACAATATGAGGATTCCTCAGAAAATCATAAAAAGAACAACCATAAAATCCTGCAATCCCACTGCTGGATATACATCAAAGGAAATAAAAGCATTATATAAAAGAAATATTTGCACTCTCATGTTTATTGCAGCCTTATTTACAACAGCCAAGATATGGACTAAACCTAAGTATGTATCCATAGATGAACGGACAAAGAAAATGTGGGTCATATACACAATTCAATCCTATTACATACTATTCAACCAAGGAAAAGAAGGAAATTATGTCATTTACAGTATGGGCAAACCTGGAGAACACTATGGTAAGTGAAATAAGCCAGGCAAAGAAAGAGAACTACTTCATAAGTGAGATCTCATATGTGAAATTTTAAAATGTTGATCTCATAAAATAAATGACTATAGTTATTAATATACTGTATTCTTGGTAATGCTAAAACAGTGAATATTAAGTGTTCTTACCAGGAAAATAATAGCTATGTGAGGTAATGCATGTGTTAGTTATCTAGATCTAATCATTCTGCAATGTATGTATATTTCAGAGCTCATTATGTACACAGTAAGTACATACACTTTTATCTGACAATTAAAAAAACATTTAATATCAAGCAATAACTGTATGGTTTAAGTAACATACTTGCATAAGATGAATTGTGTTTGTAGTTATTAAATAACTTGCTTTAAAAATATTCAGTAAAATGGAAAATATTCTTGATACAATGTTATATCAGAATAATAGTTTACTGGATGTAATTTCAATAAAGAGCAGAGATGTAATATCAATATCCTAATAATTTTATATATGATATTCTAAATTTTATGTTACACAATGTAGATAAGAACAAATATCACTACAAATAGACTGATTTTCAGTTAAATATGGTGAAACAAAGTTGTTACTTCTGTCCTGTTCTTAGCAACTCAGTGCCAATAACGAAAGTAAAACAAAGTGAAAAACGTCTATCTTTAATAAAAAAGAAAATATTTTATTGCTTAATAGAATGATATTTTATTAGAATAAGGAAATATGACCAAATTAAGGCAGAATTATGGAATCAAAAAGCAACAATACTTAATTTTTACTGGTTACTTGCATTTGCATTCATATCATGAACAATACTCGATAAAATAATACAAAGTTCTAAAAATAGATGACTAACTCTGTGATTTCTGAATTGAAGTTTGGAAAAAGGAGGAAGGTTGTCCCAAGAGACAGGGTGAGTGCTAAAACTACACATGTCTACTGAACCAAATTGTATCAATAAGGTTGTCTCCCCAAAAATTTTTTGCATGGCAATCAAGTGAGGGCAAATCAATATCTCTATAGGAATGGTGAATACATAATGGAGAATCTAGAATATATAACACATGATGGTATTCGGAAAAAGTTATAAATTCAGAAACACATATATGGGGTGGGAAAATGTCTCTCAATCTTCTTATCAAATGAAAAGCAAGATCCAAAACCATAAAATGAGTAAGAGCCTACTGTTCGTTTAAAGTGTACTTATTAAAATGTGCATAGCAGAATGTTAACAGACGCTGCCTTTAGGGAGAGATAAAAAGCATAATGACATTAGGTAAGATAAAGGAAAATTTTTCTGTTTCATTTAATTGTTACATTTATACCTATTTGAATACTTTACATTTCACAAATTTTATATATATGTAAATGAACATAAATTAAATATTTAAACAACAGCAAAACATACGTTTTTCGTTTTTATCTTGTTTTGTTGAATGTTACATGCCTAGAACATTTTAGTATATTTATTGACTTTTAGTTACCTGTTTGAACTGCTAATTCCGGCCTTTGTCCACTGTAAGATTTATTCTATTAGTTTTAAGAAATTCCTCCACCCTATATTTATTATTTTACATTGCAAATGTTACTTCTCCATTTAGATATTTGTCTTTACTGTTGAAGTTTTTGATATTTAATCAAATCTCTCATTATATCTGCTTTTATTGTGCAGCTCAGAGTTTCAATTGTCTTCTAGATTATTTTAGTAATGTAATGCTCTTTACACTTGTCCATTTGTTATGGAGTGAATGTCTCCATAAAATTCATGCTGAAATCTTATCTCCTATGTGATGATAATAGGAAGTGGCATCGTTGGAGGTAATTAAGATTAGATGAAGTCTAATGAGCATGAAATTAGTGCTCTTGTAAGGGTTGGGAGAGAGCTTGCTTCTTTTGCTTTCTGCTATGTGAGAATACAATGCAGTTTGCACATGAAATGCAGTCTGTCGTCTTCACATGTAAGAAAGCCCTTCCTAATACCTGACCATACTGACACCCTGATCTCAGACTTCTAGCTTCCAGAACCGTGAGAAATAAATTTGTGTTATGTCTAAGCTGCCCAGTCTGTGGGAATTTCTTTTTATTTATTTATTTATTTATTTATTTATTTATTTTATTTTTTATTATACTTTAAGTTTTAGGGTACATGTGCACAATGTGCAGGTTAGTTACATATGTATACATGTGACATACTGGTGCGCTGCACCCACTAAGACGTCATCTAGCATTAGGTATATCTCCCAATGCTATCCCTCCCCCCTCCCCCCACCCCACAACAGTCCCCAGAGTGGAATTTCTCAGAGCATCCAAAACTGACTAAGACACCATATGAAATTAATTTGGATTTGTATTTCAGGATCTATATAAGAAGATCAGCCATCTTCTAATTAAATGTACACTTTTTAATCATCATATTATGATATTTATATCCTCTTGAAATCATAGAAAAAAGCATAATACTGTGGTTTGACAGAGAAAACATGTGTCTTAAAGGGAATATTCTGCCATCAAAGAGTAGGTCCTTAGTGAGGACACAGAAACTGAACAGAAGATGTTAACTTGCTGGGTAAAAGGAAACTCATGTCTACTTTCTGGTCTTTAACCAGTATTCTTAATAATGCCAAATACTTAAGACAATTCACTTATTGTATTAGGTAATGGGATGTAGTCAATAATTTTACTACCCACTTGCTGGTTCCATGAAGATTAGCTGCTGCTTTGGAAAAGTGTAAATATCTACTTAAAAACAGTCTGAATATCTGTGGTTAATCATATCTTTCTTATCATCGTCTTTTCATGAATCTTCAGTATCATTAGTTGGAACCTTGAATTGCTTTATTCTTCTTCAATTCATTTTCATTTACTCATTTGGAAGAAGAATTTTTTCCCGGTTTTTTGCATTGTTTTCTTCAGAGGGAATGTTTGGTATTTGGCAGCTTCACTATGACTTGCATTTTTAATAGCAGTTGAAGGAAGCTACATCTACAACCAGAAGAATCACTCATATGTTGCTTTATCAATTAAAAAAATCCTTATAATTTGCAAAAATGACCAGGATATATATGGGGGATGATTTATTAATTTTGTTTGATGACTCAGAAAGTTTTAATTCTCCTTACAGATGAAAAAAATATTTTTATTCAATATTTTATCAGTTCTGACTTTTTAATGAAGTTGCAATTTTATATAAATTGAATTTTATTTTACATTTTTCTGTCTCTTTATTTTTCTCTACTCATAACTAGTTTTTATACTTTTCTTCTGAATTCTAAGCACATTTACAGAGTATACCTTTCATTGTCTTGATTTTCTGAGGAATATAACTTGTGGATTTTTACGATTATAATAATTATAAATTTGATAATTATATTTTTAGTCAGGGATATATATTTTCTTTCTAATCTCTAGAATAAGCAGGTGAATTAAGAGTAATGATAACCTGTTCCGACAGCAGCTGGGTCCTCGGTTTCTGTACTGGCCAGGCCACAGCTGAGGCAGCCTGTGTCCAGAGGCACTTGCCTAAGGGAAGGAGGGCTCATCTGGCAGTTGAAAAGCCTGTACCCACTTCATCATGCTCCATGGAGTGGATATCAAATTGCTGAATGCCTTCCTGAAGTTGCACCAGGCAGAACAGGAGAGACCCAAGTTTATTGCCTGGCCCTATCTCCATATCCTGCTCAAGCCTTTTCCCCGGGGAGCTGGTAACCATACTTTATCTCATTCTTTCATGTGCTTCCACTTCTGACCTGCTATGAAGTTGAATAAAGATAACCTGGACCACCAGACACTGCAGATGGTGACTCTGCATATCTACCAGTAACCAGCAATATGCGCAGGACCTTAAGCTCTTCTTTTTGCTTGTATAAAATAAGGGCAAGCATACTGATCTCACTTCCCCTTGCCTGGGAAAAGAGATGGCTTAAATAAGTAACTTCATTAGAACCAGAGAGGGGCAAGGCTGGGGATGAGGGTTTGGGGTGGGGAAGAATTAATGGTTAAGAGGAAAACTTAGTCTTGGGTTTCACACTTACTAGTAAGGAATCAGCCACAACAACATATGTTTTTGTGATCTCTGTTTTCTATACAAATCAGGCTAAGATTATTTCTATTAGTAAAAAGTGACAGACATATTTGACTACTGATTAAATTAGTATATTTTATTAGATTAAAATAAAGCTTTGCTGAAGGGAGAATATAATTACATGGGGTATAAGATGGCTTTCATTTTGTGGGAAAATAGTTTTATTTTAAGTTACTTTTTTTTCCTTTCAACCATTCTTTCCCTCTATCTTTTGGAAATTTTTCAGCCAGTCTGGATTACTAAATAAAAATGTTCAATATTCAATATATGAGCAGCAAACACGATTCTTTTTTTTTTTTTACCTTTTCATATTGTTTTAGGCTATCAAGCCTCTTTTGTTAAGTAATGCAGAATTCCTTAAAAAAAAAAAGCTCATATACATAAAGCTAAAGTGACTTCATGGATATCTTATAAAAACTGGAAAACATAAATTTCCATTTTTTGCTTTTATCTGATCTGTTTTTAAGCTCACATATATAAGTAATATAAAAAAGAATGTAGAACATGGGTTATGTGACATAAGTATCATTTCAGAAAATTAATGGCAGACACTCAAACACATTAGAAATGTTGGATTTTTTCAAATGTTGTTTATTTATGACAGGAATTTTCAGTGTATTTATACAATTTTTAAAAATTTGTCATTTTAGTTTCACCAACCTACTAATTTTCATCTTGACTCGTAGTACATAATAAAATACATTTTTACTGTTATAGAATATTGCTAATTAATAGAAGAACTGAAAACATCCATTTAATATTTCCCAATCCAATTCAAAGAAACTAAGTCAATAATTATAAAATATATTTACAATTTATTATAAAATCAGTCAATTAATTGACTATAGCAAACAAAGAAAGCATGCAATGGTCCTAAAGGGTAGAATGAATATCCCATTTTATTTTATTTTATTTTATTTTATTTTATTTATTTTTTTATTACACTTTAAGTTGTAGGGTACATGTGCACAACGTGCAGCTTTGTTATATATGTATACATATGACATGGTGGTGTGCTGCACCCATTAACTCGTCATTTAACATTAGGTATATCTCCTAATGCTATCCGTCCCCCCTCCCCCCACCCCACAACAGGCCCCAGTGTGTGATGTTCCCCTTCCTGTGTCCATGTGTTCTCATTGTTCAATTCCCACCTATGAGTGAGAACACACGGTGTTTGGTTTTTTGTTTTTGCGATAGTTTGCCGAGAATGATGGTTTCCAGCTTCATCCATGGCCCTACAAAGGACATGAACTCATCCTTTTTTATGGCTGCATAGTATTCCATGGTATATATGTGCCACATTTTCTTAATCCAGTCTATCATCGTGGACATTTGGTTTGGTTCCAAGTCTTTGCTATTGTGAATAGTGCCACAATAAACATAAGTGTGCATGTGTCTTTATAGCAGCATGATTTATAATCCTTTGGGTATATACCCAGTAATGGGATGGCTGGGTCAAATGGTATTTCTAGTTCTAGATCCCTGAGGAATCACCACACTGACTTCCACAATGGTTGAACTAGTTTACAGTCTCACCAACAATGTAAAATTGTTCCTATTTCTCCACATCCTCTCCAGCACCTGTTGTTTCCTGACTTTTTAATGATCATTATTCTAACTGGTGTGAGATGGTATATCATTGTGATTTTGATTTGCATTTCTCTGATGGCCAGTGATGATGAGCATTTTTTCATGTGTCTTTTGGCTGCATAAATGTCTCCTTTTGAGAAGTGTCTGTTCATATCCTTTGCCCACTTGTTGACAGGGTTGTTTGTTTTTTTTCTTGTAAATTTGTTTGAGTTCATTGTAGATTCTGGATATTAGCCCTTTGTCAGACGAGTAGGTTGCAAAAATTTTCTCCCATTCTGTAGGTTGCCTGTTCACTCTGATGGTACTTTCTTTTGTTGTGCAGAAGCTCTTTAGTTTAATTAGATCCCATTTGTCAATTTTGGCTTTTGTTGCCATTGCTTTTAGTGTTTTAGACATGAAGTCCTTGCCCATGCCTATGTCCTGAATGGTATTGCCTAGGTTTTTTTATAGGGTTTTTATGGTTTTTTGGTCTAACATTTAAGTCTTTAATCCATCTTGAATTAATTTTTGTATAAGGTGTAAGGAAGGGATCCAGTTTCAGCTTTCTACATATGGCTAGCCAGTTTTCCCAACACCATTTATTAAATAGGGAATCCTTTCCCCATTTCTTCTTTTTGTCAGATTTGTCAAAGATCAGATAGTTGTAGATATGCAGCATTATTTCTGAGGGCTCTGTTCTGTTCCATTGGTCTATATCTCTGTTTTAGTACCAGTACCATGCTGTTTTGGTTATTGTAGCCTTGTAGTATAGTTTGAAGTCAAGTAGCGTGATGCCTCCAGCTTTGTTCTTTTGGCTTAGGATTGACTTGGCAATGCGGGCTCTTTTTTGGTTCCATATGAACTTTAAAGTATTTTTTTCCAATTCTGTGAAGAAAGTCATTAGTAGCTTGATGGGGATGGCATTGAATCTATAAATTACCTTGGGCAATATGGCCATTTTCATGATATTGATTCTTCGTGCCCATGAGCATGGAATGCTCTTCCATTTGTTTGTATCCTCTTTTATTTCATTGAGAAGTGGTTTGTAGTTCTCCTTGAAGAGGTCCTTCACATCCCTTGTAAGTTGGATTCCTAGGTATTTTATTCTCTTTGAAGCAATTGTGAATGGGAGTTCACTCATGATTTGGCTCTCTGTTTGTCTGCTATTGGTGTATAAGAATGCTTGTGATTTTTGCACATTGATTTTGTATCCTGAGACTTTGCTGAAGTTGCCTATCAGCTTAAGGAGATTTTGGGCTGAGACGATGAGGTTTTCTAGATATACAATCATGTCATCTGCAAACAGGGACAATTTGGCTTCCTCTTTTCTTAACTGAATACCCTTTATTTCCTTCTCCTGCCTGATTGCCTTGGCCAGAACTTCCAATGCTATGTTGAATAGGAGTGGTGAGAGAAGGCATCCCTATCTTGTGCCAGTTTTCAAAGGGAATGCTTCCAGTTTTTGCCCATTCATTATGATATTGGCTGTGGGTATATTGATGGGGCGTATCTCAAAATAATAAGAATATCCCATTTTAGAACCACCACTCCTTCCAGGACAGAAAACAGCTTTCTTTATCCCAGGCCAAAGTATTAAAATATTAAATTGTCCAAAGTATTAAAATTGGACAATGATTTAATTGTGCTGAGTTGCTTCCAAGGCCTTTATCAATATTTCAAGGTTTCTGGACTTCAAGTGAACTTAGGTTTTGACCACCACTGTAGTCTTACAAGCGCAAGCCAGCTGTGTGTGTGTGTGTGTTGTGTGTGTGTGTATGTGTTGTGTATTTGTGTTTGTTTAACCATTCCATCCTCCTCTGGAATAACTTAATCATCATGGAAGAGCAACCACGTTTTTTTACCTCCTCTAGGTCCATTTCAGAGGAAGGTATAGAATCAAACATGCAACTAATCTCAAACTCATGTTTTCACTTTTCTTTCAGCAAAGTGCTGACTTTAATTGTAATTAGATAATCTGTTTCCTTTTATATAGTGTGAAAAAAAATTTATTGCACAAAACACATACATATATGGCTATGATACATACTATATATAATATTTATATAACACATCTATAAATATGTTATGTATACTAAATATAATATAACATGATATAATATACTGTGATATAGTACATACAATTGCAGGTTCAGTGAGCTATTGCTTGCCTCACAAAAAGCTACGCAGTCATATAATCAAAACTATATGTGTTTGCGGACCAACTTCTGGAATGTCAGAGTAAAGACTTTTGAAAATCTTCTATTCCTTCAGAAGCAATGAGAACACTGGCAGAAAAAGTCCAAATGAACATTTTTTAACTCTGAAAGTCAGTTAAAGATTTACAAACAATCCGAAGAGTGTTTATTCAAGAAAAATGACTGAATCTCAGTATGAACAGTGAACCTTGTGGTATCTTGGCCTGCCCTGATCCCCTTCCCCTCTATCTAACACTTTGGCAGCCTTGAAAACCAATAGGCTCACAATAGCATAGCTGCAAAATTCAGCAACCTAACAGCTATGGAAGGCAGAGCAGAGGTTTGGAGTTCCCTAACCCCCCATTTCAAGTTTGACCAGACTAGGGGCTGGCTGAAATATTTAATTCTTAGCATTTTACTTCATTTCACCTGACTTTGGGCTCTCTGTGTGAGAGCAGCTTAGCTCCAGGAAATTTGTCAAAAGTAACCAGCAGCAATTGCACAACACTGCTGTTATTTGAGGTGGCACTACCAGTTAAAGTAAACAAAAAGATAACCAAAAAATAGACCCTGAGGATTACGTATCCATTGGAGGCTTTACAATATTTCACCAAATTCCAGGGAATCTAGGCTCCGTGTTCATGCATAGGGCTGCACAGATGCCGCAAAGAGACCTGAGACCTTAGAGAGCACTGATTTCTAACCTCTGCCTGACCTTGAGTCCCTACACAAGCAGGAAATGAAGCCCACGACACACTTGTAAACTACCGCAAAGATCACTGATAGTGTACACTGATACATACAAAGAGCCTATTGGCCAAATCTCAGAAACTTGTTGGTTCAAGATGTTTAAGGATATCTCTCTCCAGTAAGACTACCCAAGTAGAGACTCATGTGGATACACACAACAAAGAATAAAGACTTTACAGAATTAGTCCAGAAAAGTTTATTCATAAAACAACAACACCAAACAACAGCAAAGAGTGACAACAACAACAAAATTAGAGGAAGGGAAAATATGATTTTTTAAAACTAAGAAATCAATAGAAAAAAATCAGTGAGTAAAAAAAGTGGTTCTTTGAAATTAGTAAGATAATTGAAAAGCTGATAAAAGAATAAAAATAGAGAAGACACATTTCCTGTATCAGAAATGAAATACAATTATCAGTAGTAAGCCCATTGAATTTAAAAGGACAATAGCAGATTACATATAACTTTATGACAAAAACATGATAACTTTGATGAAACATACCAGTATCTTGAAAGACACAACCTACCAAAACTCACACAAGAGAAATAGATCACCTAAATAGGCCCATATATATGAAAGAAATTGAAGCAATAATTAACTTTCCACAAGAGAAAATGCCAAGCTCATATTTTTTTTTTTTTTTTTACTGGTGAACTTTACCAAACGTTTAATAAAGAAATGATTGCAATTCTATTTCATATCTTCCAGAAAATAGAAGTAGAAAAGCAATTCCTAAATCAGTGTATGAGGCCAGTATTACCCTAATACCAAAACTGGATAAAGATATTATGAGAAAATAAAACTACAGACCAGGATTTCTCATAAGTAAATACAAAAATTCTACATGAAATTATAGTGCATCAAATCCAACAATATATAAAATGCCTCATATACCATGATCAAGTGGGATTTATCTTAGGTGTTCATGGCTGGCTCAGTATTTTTAAATCAATGTAATCCATCACATCAAAAGGCCTAAGAAGAAAAATTACATGTTCATATCAATTAATGCAGAAAAGGCATTTGAAACAAAATGCAGACACATCCATTCATGATTAAGAACAACTGTCATCAAATTAACAATAGAGAGGATTTTCCATAACTTCATAAGAAACATAGATGAAACAACTTCAGAGCTAATGTTATGTTTAGTATTGGGAAATTAGATGTTTTCTCCTAAGATGAGAAACAAAACAAATATGTCTCTTCTTACCACTCCCATTCAATATTATACTCAAGTTCTGGCTAATGCAAAAAACACAAGAAACAAACAAAAGTCATAAGGATTGGGAAAGAAGAAAAATAAAATCTATCTTTGTTCATAAATATATATGATTTTTTTATGGAGATAATTTCACATAACTGACAAAAAATGAAACAAAACAAAAATCTCATAAAACTAAAATAGATTATAGCCACCTAGCAGGATAAAAGGTTAATACACAAAAGTCAATTGCATTGAAAAACTGGATTTGAAATTTAAAATATAGTACCGTTTACATGAGCACCAAATAAAAATGAAGTATGTAGAAATAAACCTAAGAAAATAGGTTTAAGGTCTACATGAGAGAAAATTACAGAACTCTGATGAATGAAATGTAAAATATCTAAATAAATAGAGAGATGTTCCATGTTTATGGTAGGAAAACTCAATTTTCAAGATGTCAATTTCTCCCTAATTTATCTATAGACTCAAGGCAATCTCATTCAAAGTCTAGCAAGTTATTTTTCAGATATTAACAAACATTTTCTGGTGTTTATGTGGAAAGGAAAAGACCCAGAACAGGTAATACAATACCGAAAAATAAGAATAAAGTCAGAACTGATACTACCCAACTTCAAGACTTAATATAAAAGTAAAAATCCAAGTACTGTAATATGAATGAAAAATATAAACATACCAAAGGAACAGAAAAAGTAGCCCAGAAATTGACCCACACCAATGTAGTCAACTAATCTTTGACAAAAGAGCAAAGGGAAGTCCTTTCAACAAATGGTGCTGGAACAACTGTACATTCAAATGCCAAAAATTTAATCTAGACATTGACTTTATACCTTTCACAAAAGTTTGCTCCAGATGGATTATAGACCTAAAAGTGAAACATGAAATGATAAAATGAGTAAAAGATGACATAGGTGAAAGTGAATGACCTTGGAATTGGTGATGACTCCTTAGAACCTATCTGAAAGGTGCAATGCATGAAAATGAATTAGAATTAAGAATATTTGCTCGTGAAATGCACTATGAACATGAAAAGACAAGCCACAGACTGGGAGAAAATATTTGTTAAATATATATTCAATGAAGTTATTTTGACTGAAAATGTCAAAAAACTCAACAATACGGAAAAAAAATAAAACATTGGGATGATCTGGGAAAACACACCCTTCAAAGAAGATGTGTAGAGGACAAATAGCCTATAAAGAGATGCTCAAATTTGTATGTTGTTAATGAAATGCAAATTAAAACAAGAGTGAGATGCCACTACAGACCTATTAGAATGGCTAAAACCCAAAGAAACCAATATTACCAATACTGGCAAAGATGTGGAACAACAGGAACACTCATTTATTTATTGCTTGTGGGAATTCAAAATAGTGCAGGCACATCAGAAGTCAATTTGGCCTTTCTTACAAAGCTACACATAGTCTTACCATATGATTCAGCAATTGTACTCCTAAATATTTACCCAAATAAGTTGTAATCTCATGTAAACACAAAAGTCTGCACATAAAATATTCATGTCAGTGTTACTGATAATTGCCAACAAGTGGAAGCAACCAACATTTTCTTCAAATGGTAGAAGGATAAACAATTTTAGTACATTGGTGCAATAGAATATTATTTAATGACAGAAAGAAATGAGTTATCAGGCCATGAAAAGGCACAAATAACACAAAATGCATATTACTAGACAAAATAAGACAGTATGAAAAGCCTACATATTACACGATTAATACTGAATGCCGTGATGCAAAATGCAAAATTATGGAGACAATAAAAAGATCAGTAGTTGCCACAGATTGAGTGGGTGAAATAGGAGGGATAAACAAGTAAAGCCCAAGGAACATTTAGGGCAGTAAAACTATTATTTGTAATACTCTAATGATGGATGTACAATATTATATATTTCTTAAAATCCATAAAAGGTACTATACAGTGAAGTACCTACGGTGAATTATTTATTTCAGTTAATTATAATGCATCAATATTGGATCCTCAGCTGTAACAAATATACCCCACAAATGCTAGATGCTTGTAATAGGGAAGTTGTGGCGAGGAGAAAGGGTATGTGAGAACTCTCTGTACTATATACTCAATCTTCTCTAAATATAAATCTGTTCTAAAAAGTTTATAAGGGAACACTGTGAGCGTTGTATTTAAACAAATTAGATAACATATGAAATTGGCAAATTTCCAGATAAACGAACTACTGAAACTGCCTAAAGACGAAATAGAAAACGTGAATACACATATAACATGTAAGGAAATTGAGTTAGTGATTTAAAAAAATTAACAAAGAAACATCTAGGCTGAGAATGCTTCACATGTAATTTTATCAAATGTTTACAGAGAAATTAATATCAACTTTTCACTAGCTCTTCCATATTAGAGAAGTATAATAGACATTTCACAATCTATTCTATGAGGCCAGTATTAACCTGAGGATAAAACCAATTTTTTTAAAGGCATCACAGTTAAATTTGCAAATATATACAAAAATTATTAACAAAATACCAGTAAATATTGTCCAACAATATACATAAGGATAATACAATACGACAAACTGGAATTTAACCTAGGAATACAAGATTGATTTAACATGTGACTATGATTATAATAATCATATTAATAAAAGACAAAAAAGTCATCATCCTAGTAGATGAAGAAAAATGCATTTGACAGAATCGAGCACTCATTCAAAAAAATAAAAACGTAACAAAGTAGGAATGGAAGTGAACTACTTCATTCTAATAAAGGCTACATATGAAAAACCCAAAGGTAATGTTATATTTACAGTGAAAAATATAATGCTTTCCCCCTAACACCAGGAATAAGACAGGATGTCTACTCCCATTTATTTTCTTTAACATTGAAGGTTCTAGCAAGGAAAATAGGGGGAAAAAAAGGAAAAGGTATTCTAATTTAAAGAAAAGAAATAAAATATCTCCGTTTCTAGAGGTTTCATTTTATGTAGAGAGACTTATAAGGAATCCACAGAAAAACTATGTAATCTAATGAATTATTACAACAAAAATTACAATGTAGTAGATATATTTCTATACCCAAGCAATGAAAAGTCCTTACAGGAAATGTGTGAAACAATCCCACTTACAACAGAATACAAAAGAATAGTTGGGATAAATTTAACAAGACTTGTGGACTGAAAACTTTAAAACTTTGTAATATAATCTGACTAAAAATTTAAAATGAAATGATATCTCATTTTCCCGAAGGAAGGTTTAGAAGACCTGATATAGATACACTAAATTGATATACAAAATTGCTGTATATGTTCAGTGTAAGCCTTACCAAAAATCCAAGTGGATTGTTTTTTGCAAAAATCCAAAAATAAATATTGAAAAATAATATATCCATTATAATATAAAAATGATTTTTAAAAAGAAAAAAATTGGATAAATTACACTTCCCAATTTAAAACTTACTACAAAAGTAGAGTAATCAAGACTACGAGATACTGGTATAAGCAGACATAAAGACACAATGAGTAAAATTGAGAGCCAGTGATGATTAACTTTATGTGTCAACTTGACTGAAACATGATGTGCACATTTGACCAAACATTCCGAATATGTCTGTGAGGGTGTTTTTGGATGAGATTAATATTTGAAGTGGTAGACTAAATAAAGCAGATTGCTTCCCTAATGTGGGTGGGCCTTATCCAATCAGTTGAAGGCCTGACTAGAACGAAAAGGGCGAACCTCCTGCTAGTAAAGGGGAACTTACTGCCTTTGACCTAAGATGTTTTTTCTTGCTTTTGGACTCAAAATTTCAGCTCCTTCTGGGTCTTGATCCTGCCATCATTTGGACTGGAACTTCACCTGGGCTCTCTTGTTTCTCAGGCCTTCAGACTTCAACAAGAAATACACCATTGGTTATTCTGAGCCTCTAGCTTGCCAATTGTAAATCTCAGGATGTTTCAGCTTCCATAATCATATAAATCAATTCCATGTAATAATCCCTTTATATTGGACTTCATCAAAACTAAACATTTTGTGCTTTAAAGAATACCATCTAGAAAATAAAAATACAAGCCACATAGTGGCAGAAATTATTTATGTGTCATAAATCTGATAAGAAACTCATGCCCACGATACATAAAGAACTCTTACAACACAACAATAAAAAGGCAGAACATTGAAATAAATTTGAGCCAATGATTTGAATAGACAATTCTCCAAAGAAGATAGGTAAGTAGCAATTAGCATATGAAAATACATTTAATATTATTCATCTTTAGGGCAATGCAAAAAATTGATGAAATCACTGCATACATACTAGAATGGCTACATTCAAAAAGTAAAAAAAGTGTTTACAAGGATGTGAAAGAAGTGGAATTTTCATTTATCGACAGTAGGAATGTAAAATGGCGCAGACATTTTGAAAAGTTTAGAAGCTCCTCAGTAGCTAAGTGTAGCATTACCGTAAGACCCAGCAATTCCTCATCTAGATATGTATCCAAAATAACTTAAGACACATTTCCAGGAATTTGTACAAAAATGTTTATGGCAGCATTATTCATAACACCCAAAAAGTGAAACAGTCCCAGTGTCTATCAACTGATAAAGGATAAACACAATGTAGCTTATCAATACCATGTAATATTAGTCATGAAAAGGAATGGTGTTCTCATATGGAACGTAAAATGGTTGACCTTTGAAAACAATATACTAAGTGAAAGAAGTCAGACACAAAAGCACACACATTCTATAAATCTATTTATATAAAATTGCCAGAATAAGCAAATCCATCTAGACAGAAAGCACATAAACGGTGCTTGAGGGAGGGAGGTTGGTGAGTGACAGCTGATGGATATGGGTTTTATTTTGAGGTTATAGAAATGCTCTCCTTCATTTTTGGAGGAGACCACCAAGTGTGTGTCATAATCTAGAAGGTGAATCAGACAATGCTGTCACACATTTCAGGAAATGATGGCTTGGAAATACAAATGTGGACCTAGAACATAATAGCCTATCAATAGGTATTAGTTGAAGTAATAAATAGAATAAGCACAATACTCTGGGGACAAGAGCAGCTAATGCTCTCTGATAATTTCACCAAAGACATCATGAAAGAAAAAACTTTGAGGCAGCTTGAAGGATGCATGGGAATCTGTCCGCAAGAGGAGATGTGTGTACCAAATTCTGCAGTCAAAGAACATAGGGCCTCCCAGGTGATAGGGAGCAGGGCAATGAGGCCAGGAACAGAAGTAATGGCCACTTTTTCCTTCCTTCCTTCCTTTCAGTTTGTGCCCGGTGCAGATTCAGGGTTTTACAGTCCTTGGGATGTTCTGTTTGGGAAATTTGCCATTATACTTGTTTTTGTAATATAATTGTCCTCCCACTGTGAAATATACAAGGCTTCAAGTGCTCCATCTGAACATTCTCTCTGTGCTAGACAGAAATGTGGGATATTCTATATTTTAGGAATCCATTCTCATATTCCGGGGTTTTATGTAGGTATGAGCATTGTTTACTACCAACGTCTGATCTGATTTTCAGGCCTGTGATTTAACAGTTATTATATATTTTTAAAATCACAAGCAAAGGTACACATTTTTATGTGAAAATTTGGTTATATATAAAGAAAGTATCCACTTGATATTATCTTTTTTAAAAAAAAGTTTTACCCTTATTAAGTTTTTTCCCTTTATTTGGACTCAATAAACATTTCAAAAATCTGGGTAATTTTCAAAGAAAAAAATACATGTATCGTCCCATTCATTTTGTACGTAAACTTTTCTTTTTGTTTGTTTCCTTTCATGACTTGTTTGAACACCAACCTTCTGTCACTGAACCATAACAAATCAGGTGAATTTTAAAAATTTCTGAATATATATTTATCAGTAAACTTCATTTTTTAGTTTTAAAAATTAAACTCTTTAGATTTATATGAAATTATAAAGATAGTACAGAACATTCCCATCTACTTCATACCCAGTAAGCCCTATCATTAACATCATAAATTAGCATTTGTCACAGTGAATGAACCTATATTGATACATAATTATTAAGTAATTATAAAGTGCATAATTTGTTCAGATTTGCTTAATTTTTACCTAATAAATATTTTTTTCTTCTAGGAACTCATTGAGAATATCACATTGCATTGAGAGTTCTGTCACCTTAGGCTCCTCTTGACTGAGACAGATTCTCATACTTTCATTGATTTTTGATAACCTTGAAAGTTTTGAGAACAGTTCAGGTATTTTGTGGAATGTCACTTGATTGAGAGTTGCCTGATATTTTTCTAATTATTAGATTGGAGTTACAGGTTTTTGGAAGAAATATTAAGGGGTACAGTGATATTTTTGTTACATAATATCATGGGCACACACTATCAACATAACTTATCATTGTTAATGTTGACCTTGACCATCTGGCTGAGGTAGTGTTTGTCAGGTTTTCCACTGAAATGTTTTTTATTTTATTTCCACCTGCCACCCGTTTTCCATACTACTTTCATTGGATTAAATAATGCACTAAATAACTGCACAACCCACATTTAAGGGGGTTAATGAGACTCGTGCTCCACCTCCTTGAGGATGAAGTATGTGCTTAAATTATTTGCTGTTCTGCAGTTATGTATACCAATATGGACTCACTGATATTCATTTTCTCCTTTCTGTTATAATCTCACACTATTTTAATTATTTTGATGCTCAAATTGTTCCAGCTTTGGCCATTGGGAGCTCTTTGAGTTGTTTCTTCTGTCCCCTTGACATACCCCCCTCATTTTTTATGTATGTGTGTTTTATTTGATCATATTTGGTTTTCATTTTCTTCATTTCCTTATTTTCTGGAACTCAAGCTGATCCAAGCTCATATGTTATATTTTCTCCCCTGGTCCCAGAATCAGCGACTTCTCCAAGGAACCCTGGTTCCTGGTATCTTTAATTCTAATTCATTAGCGCATTGGTCAATCTATGCTTCCTTCCTTTGCTTATCTGTAAACTGTCACTCCAACAGTAAAAAAAATCTGTCTGTATTTTTACTCCTCAAAAGCAATACATATAAAGTTTGTGGAACACAAATATATCAAAAATAAAATTACTGGAAATCTTTCAATAAACAATATGCCAAACCACTCTCTTCATATTTAAACATTTAAATTTTCAGTGTCCTGGGGTGACACTATCACTATAATAGTCTACGGGAAATTTTTCCTATATGATCGCATTCTTTTCTTTTAAAAATATAAACCACGACATGAAAGCTAAACAATTTGCTACCAATAGGGAGAAAAAATAAGCATACCATCTCTGCTTGCCCTCTTCAACACTTCTACATTTCCATAATATTTATAACTACCATAAATTTGAATGAATTTAACATTCAGGGCGTCTTGCTAAGGACGATAACACAGGTTCTATCCTATAATACATAGAGCCATTATTTAAATAGTTATTATTATTTGACTCATTTCACTCAGGAAGTTCTTGAGTTTTGTGCAGGTAAATGCATTGCTCATTTCACAGTTAGTAAGTAACTGAGAACTGAGTGAAGGAGAGCAAGAAACTAGTTTTGTAAGCCCTCCTCCCGCATTTTAGTCCACTGTTTACCACCAATACATTTGGAAACTACAATTGAATTGTTGTTCCTGATTATTTTAGCCATACATATTAAGTAGGACATGCCTACCTAATAAAATACAATAATTATACGTACAATTATTATATGTACATTTTATGGTTTATAGATATATTTTAATACATTGAATACCGATACACTTCTCTTAACGACATTAGTTAGTCCCAAACGGGGAACTCAAATTAAAGGAAGTATTAATTTATGTGGCTCCATGTTAGAATAAATTTGTATGAGGGCAGAGAGTTTGTTTTATTCAGTATTCTCTTCCCAAATCCTGGAAAAGTGTCTGACACATACATATAATGTTGAGAATTGCTAAATATTGGTAGGGAGGAGGAAACTTAGTATAAAGTAATTTTAAAATATAATGCCACCAGCTTTGTTCCTATTTGTGTAAATGAATAAAAATCATGGCATCAAAATACTGCTTTCATGAAGCTCAAATTTCAGAAACCCATGATCGTTTCCTCTCATTTCTCTGAGGATCTTTTCAATGTATTCATTTTTAATGATATTTTAATGGAATTGGTTGATCTCAATAAAGTACAGTTTTAATAATTATGTGGAGCTCTTAATGTGCTGGCTACTCCATTTGGTAGTTGCGCACATCTTTATAGGAATGAGTATTTAACAGATACTTCAATGTCTGATAGAAGAAATTAAACGAAATGTGTGATACGACATCATTTACAAAGTTCTTTTAAGCCCTGAAATTTGTTTCCATTTGGTTTTACTCAGCTAGGAAAGTTAATTTTCAGTTCTTACTGAAGTGCTGTATGAAACTGAAATTTCCAAGGAACTGAATTTTGTGAGCCAAATGAGCATGCAATTCTTGTTTAAGGTAAGTAGAAATGTGGGATACAACACACACACACACACACACACACACACACACAGAAACACACACACACAATTAAAATAGTGAAAGAGTGCAGGGCATCTATTACAGGCTCTGTATCTTAATGGAAACATGACAAATGTAATAGCAATTTCTACAGGAAGTGCTGTTATATGCTGAGTTGTGTCTCTTCAAAATTTCATATGTTAAAGCCCTAACCCCCAATGTGTCTGTATTTGGAGACAGGGCCTTTAACGAGATAATTAAGATGACATAATATCATAACAGTGGGGCTTTAATATAATAGGAATGGTGTCTTCATAAGAAGAGGGAGAGAAACCATGAGTGTGCACACACAGAAAAAAGGTCACATAAAGACATACTGAAAAGGAAGCCTTCTGCAAACCAAAAAGAGAGGCCTCAGGAGAAACCAAACCTTCTTACACGTTGGTTACAACTTTAAGCCTCCAGAACAATGAGAAAATAAATGTCTTTTATATAAGAAACCTAGCCTTGGCAGCCCTCGCTTAGTGATACAAGTGCCTAAACGTCAAACGTACAAGCAATAAAGTTCCCTAAGCAAAACTGGTTGGGTGTTAACGTATGTAGAAAGATGTTTTAAATGCTTAATAGTTTTTGTTAGTTTTAGAGTTTCGTGTGTGTGTGTTCTTGAAAGTATAGCTTAGGAAGATACAGATACACATATAGATGTAAATATTTAGATAGGTATCGCTATCTATCTCTCTCTCTCTCTCTCTCTCTCTCATCATACCACATAACTTAAAACCAGTAGTATGTTGGTTTTTTTTTTTTTACCTTTTTTTACCTAACAATGAGTAGAAGTTACTTTATAGAGGTTATATAAGTGAGCCAAAGATAGTCCCTGTGTATCAGCCACTATGTTGTTTATCTCTTCACAGCAGAAAAGGACTGTTAGCTAAAAATCCTGCCAGTACCAAACTAAACTTTTTACACAATCAATCACTTTAAATATAGCCCATATGAGCATGTGATTAGCCATGTAGAGCCTGCCTGCTTGGCACAACCTGAGAAATTGTACCCAACATCTGCTGGCCATAAATAAAATAAACTCTGGGGACACTCTTGATCCCAAGATTTGCCCTTAGAGCTCATGACCCAGAAACTCTCCATCTTGTTGCTGAGTGACAGCACCTAGATACTGGGGTCTCCTCTCTGATTTTCTTCTTCCACAGAAAACCTCTTTCTTTCCCCTTCCAGATGGTGGCCTTATGCTGTTGTCTCTGGAAGATCTCCGGCTGTGAGGAAGTCCCTCTAACTTACAACCTGCTCAAGTGCCTCCTAGATAAAGCGCACTGTGTACTCCTGACATCTTGTGGTTACATCTTTTCCTTGATCAGTCCAGAAATTCTCAAACTCACTTTAATCACTGTAAGTACTTACTTAAATATAGGCTTGTAATCAATCTTAGAAATATTCAGACATACAAATTTTATAGAAACCAAATATTAATTGGAAGTGGAAATTTTATTTAATAACCAAGTATTGATTGTAAGTACAGATGTCTCCATGCTGGGATGAATAAATAAGTTAATATATGTAAAACACTTAACAAAAATGCTTGGATCATAGTAAGTCCTTAATATTATTAAGCAATTATTGATATTCTATGTGATCTAGATTGAAAAGTTTTAATCTAGTTCATTCATCATTTTTTTGCTTTGTCAGCTTTTTATAATCATTTCATAATGTATTCACCAAACATATTTTGAGTATCTTCTTTGTGCCAGTTTATGACATAGTAGGGCTTTTCCACATTCACTCCTTATAATTTAAATAGAGTGTTTCACATGGAACTTCCCTGTTATAGAAAGATAATTTCCTGTCCAAAGCAGTAAATTCAAATTTTAAATCATTTATGAGACTGTTCTATAATCACTGAAAAAAAAAGATGACATATGTATATAGACACATAGGTAATTATAGATAGATAAATAGATAAAATTATATTAAATTTATTAAAGTTATAAGACAAGAGATGATGATTCTAGGGCCAGTAATGAGTGCCGCCTTTGTTTTTCTTCTGTTGTATTTCTTTTTCTGGTCATGTTCATCATTTCCTTTTAATTTGAGGTTCCTAGCATCATGAATAAATTGGCTGAAAACTTTAACACTTTTAATCAAAGTTTGCCTGTTATGTCAATTTATCTAACATGTGTATACGAAAAATATCAAAACCAGGATGTATAAGTGTGTCCATATGTTAAGCCCCTTTGAAAATCAGAGGTAATATGAAAGAAACTGGATTATAAATTGTATCATCACCTTGTGTTCAGGAATGTGTTAAATTTTATCTTAAATAACATACACATATTAATTAATTTTTCTTTGTTTTGTTTTGTTTTGTTTTGTTTGGAGACAGAGTATCTCCTCTGTCGCCCAGGCTAGAGTACGGTGGCATGATCTTGGCTCACTGCAACCTCTGTCTCCTGGGTTCAAGCGATTCTCCTGCCTCAGCCTCCTGAGTAGCTGGGATTACAGGAATGCACCACCAGGCCCTGCTATTTTTTTAATTTTTAGTAGAGACAAGGTTGGCCAGGCTGGTCTCGAACTCTTGACCTCAGGTGATCCACCCTCCTCGGCCTCCCAAAGTGCTAGGATTATAGGCATGAGCCACCGCTCCCGGCTACGTATTGAAATTAATAAACAGATACTTTGCTGAGAAAAAAAAATGCAGTCTATCTACTTCAATTAAACTATGACATTCTGGACATTTTTTGACTCTCCCTAAACAGACATACACTGAGTCACATTTGCTATCTTTGAAATTTGTGAAACATCAGTGTCTCAAACAGATGTTAAGGCTTTTTGAAAGATGTCACATACATTCATCTCAGGGACAAATTTTCCTAAAATGGGATTAGAAACAATATATCACAACTGTGGAGGAGCTTTACTGGGGTGTTGTCTATGCTTAAGTTGCAGATCCTCTTAATACTCAAAAATCTACACTTACTGTGGCTGACAGTTTCAAGCAGATGTGTTCATCGCAGTAGTGCAAGAAAAGAAAAGTAGAAGAACCCTGCAGAGATTTGATGGAACCCAGCTTCTATTCATTAAAACCAATGGCAAAATATAAAGCAAATAGGAGGTGACGAAGGTTACAAAGATACGTATTGTTTATGTTTTCCCTGGGGTGTGCTGATTGTCAGGCATCAGTTCCCTGTGCCATTCATTCCCCAACACAGCATGCATCAGAAATTTTATCAATAAATGCTTTCTCTCTCAATGTTCAACCTATGCTGATAGACCATTAAATACAGTTTTTGGGTTCACAGCTTGTCATCATCATTTGTCTATACCTGTGGCAAAGAATATCTAATAAGATACTCTCAGCATTTTGCACACTTAAACTAAGATGCTGAATGCTGTATTTTACGGAATAATCAGCCACATTAAATTTGGAGACTCAACAAGCATGCTGTGAACATTCAACATTAGGTTTAAATTTTATTTTTAAAAGTTAATAATAAAAGGATATATGTTAAGTATTATGAAACCCTGCATATATTGTAATAAAATGGTGGATGTGAATGGACAATATATGCAATAAAATTTATAATTTGATTCTGATTTCTTTGTTTTAGAATTTGTCTATGTTTATGGATTTAATAATTAGCTTAGGATTTTTCTATCTGTATAAAGTTAAATTAAATACAGCTATAACAAATGTATTATGTCTTAAAATTACAAAGAGTATTCTCAATAGACAGAGGGAAGGGAAATGACTTTTACTCAACTTTTACTCATATGCATATAAAAATGGCTCTATTTTGGCACACCTTGGTATTACAATTCGCATTGTGAAATGTGCATTGTAGAATATGTCATGGGTGAAATTGGTAACATCAGCAAAATAGTGGACTGCGAGACTCTAATTCTCCTTACCCCCTAAAGAAACAATTATTTCACTATTTACTGACTACTCGCAAACACTAATAGTGTTTGGAGAATACCAGAGCACAATGAAGGTGCTGCAGCAAGCCAATGGGGCAGAAAATCACAAGGATGGCTCCACAGAAAAGTGTAGGAAAAGTAGCTGGGCATGGTGATGCACACCTGTAATCCCACCTACTCTGGTGGCTGAGGGAGGAGAATTGCCCCCAGGAGGTGGAGGTTGCAGTGAACCAAGATTGCTCTACTGCACTCCAGCCTGGGTGACAAAGTGAGACTGTCAGAAAGAAAGAAAGAGAAAGAAAGAAAGGAAAGAAAGAAAGAAAGAAAGAAAGAGAGAGAGAGAGAAGGAGGGAGGGAGGGAGGAAGGGAGGAAGGAAGGAAGGAAGGAAGGAAGGAAGGAAGGGAAAGAGAGAAGAGAGACAGGAAGGAAGAGAGGGAGGGAGGGAGGAAGGAAAGGAGGGAGGAAAGGAGAGAGGGAGGGAGGAAGGGAAGGAAGGAAAGAAGAGAGGAAAAAAGAAAAAGAACTGTGTAGGAAGCATTACATGCATCTCCTCCTCCCTCAGATCAGCACAGGAGGTTCTGAGAGGAAGCCTCATGGCCATAACATGCCCCCAGTGAGAGAAAAAAGAAAGCAAGAGGGGCCCTGCAGTCTTTACCCCTGAGAACGTTCACGGTCTCTGTGGACTCTGAGCCCAGCTGATGGAACGGCTCAGAGTTCACTCCACCGCATCCCCTCATCGGAGCCACCACTGTTTCAGCACCAGAGCTGCCACCACCACCTTTACAGTCCTGGTGCCACTGCCACCAGATATATGAAAAAGTGCTCAGCATCACTAATCAACAAAGAAATGCAAATCAAAATCACAAAGAGATATCACTTCACACCTATTAGAATAACTGTTATCAAAAAGATGAAAGATAAGAAGTGTTGATGAGAAAAACGAAGACTTACATCCTGTTGTAGGGAATGTAAATTGGAGCAGCCATTATGAAAAACAAAACAGAGGTTCTTCAAAAAATTAAAAATAGAAAACTACCATATGATTCAGCAGTCCTGCCTTTCGGTATATATCCAAAGGAAATGAAATCAGTACATTGAAGAGATATCTGCACTCCAATGTTCATTGCAGCACTATTCACAATAACCAAGACATGGAAACAACCTAAACATCTGTCAGTGTATGCAAGCAAAAACCCTGACACACACACACACACACACACATGCACACACATACGTGCATGTGTATAATATAATATTATTCAGACTTTAAAAAAAAAGAAACCATGCCATTTGCGGCAACAGTTGTAAACCTGAAAGATATTATGCTAAGTGAAATAAGCCAAGCAGGCAAAGACAAATACTGCATGATTTCACTTTAGAATCTAAAATAGTCAAACTCAAAGAATCAGAGAGTAGAATGGTGATTTCCACAGCCTAGGAGGCTGAAGAAATGAGCTGATACATGAGGTATACAATTTTGTTATGCAAGATGCATAAGGTGTGGAGATCTATGTAAGCATGGTAACTATAGTTAACAATATTTCATTTTATATGTGAAATTTGTTGAGAGGATAAATTTTAAGGGCTCTCGCTGCAAAAAAAAAGAAAAAATATTAACTATGTCATGTAATCATTATGTTTGCTCAACTGAGAAAATTATTTCACAATTTATACATATATCAGAACATCACCTGTGCACCTTAAATATATAAAATTTATTTGCCCATCATATCGCAATAAGGTAGAAAAAGTGATTTTTTTAAAAAAAGTCATGAGCAAAGTTTCCTGTTTTTAAAGTTGTTAGCAAGCAGCCATATTACCTGAGCAGCAGAAAAAAATGAGTATACAGAGATTGATGATCTAGTGAAATCAAGCTGATGTAATGAAAAAAATGTGCATTTTATATTCCATATTTTTTCTTACTAGATTTTCAAGACATAAATAGAAGTTACAGAAGTCACATCAATGTGGATTTATGGTTCTCCATAAATAAACATCAGGTCATATTCTTATACCAGTAGTCAACATTAGTTCTCCAAATAAACATCAGGTTTGGGCTATATGTACGTACTACAAAATCCCATGTGACATTGCTGTTGTCTGCCTCATAAAGACTCTCTAAACCTATGTAGATGAAAGCTGATTAGTGTTCTTTAAAAGGTATTTCCTTTAAGCACTGGTTCAGATTAACAAACCATTATTTGTAATTAATGAAAATATTTATAAATTGCACAATTATTTCTTTAATAGTGTAATATCAAGCAAGATGGAATAACTTATACCGTGATAACTTATAATCACAAAATCTCATTGGCTTAACCAACCCAAATTTGTTTCTTACCAATTAAATATGCCCATTTTGGTACTGTAGGGGCTTTCTACTTTAGTTTCACTAGGGAAGCTAGGCTGACAGAGATTCAATCTGGACACATATTTCTGCAGCCATCACAATTGAGAGAAAGCAAGATGGCAAGTTGCAACTGGATTTCAAAATTTCCTGATGAAAATACACGTAATATTTGTGCTCACATTTCATTGATCACAGATGTCACCTGACCATGCTTAATTTAAAAATAATGTAAAAACACAACCTTACCTTGTACTAGGGAGAAATAGACCTAGAATGACTTCCAACACCAATCATAACTACTACAATTTTTAAGGAATCCTTCTCAGTATAATTCGTAGGAATGTACCTATGATAAATTCAGCCATTAGCCTCAGGTGTGTGCCAAAAGAAAATCTGGAGATCTTAAAAATTAAAGTTACTGCATGGTAAAGATTAAGGTTCAGCAAACAACAGAGGGCTGGCCGTGGTTGTCCCTGTAAATAAAGTTTTATTGGAACCAGCCATCCTCATTCATTTATGTATTGTTTATGGCTGCTTTTGCACTACAATGAGTTACATAATTTCAACAAATTTTGTATGGCTTATAACGTCTGTAATGTTTGCTATTAGACCTTTTAAGGAAAATGTTTGCTGACTACTGCTATAAGAATATGACCAATTATGATTGTATTGTTTGTTTTGTTCTTATTTTTTCTTTCAGTAGTATTTGTTTTTTAATGTCATATTGGGCATGTGAATATCTTTAAAGGTCCCCAGAGGAGTCTATGTTATTAATTAATGAGCATGTAAATCCATGCTTAGCACCAGATATTTTTGAGAAGAGTTGAATTTGTTACCATAAAAATATAAGTATGAAACCATGCTTACTGTTTTTTTTTTCCCTAAACATATTACTTGTATATATGGTTAGTGGAGTTTTTTTTTAAACTATATTTCATTAATATTTGTTCTATTGGAAAAAATACACACCACCCAAAAATCACCATCCCCAAGAACACAGCTCTATGGCATCAAACACACCCACAATATGGTGCAACCACCACTATCATCCATCACTAGAACCTCTCCATCTCCCCAAATAAACTCTGTACACGTTAAACATGAACACCCCATTTCAACTCCCTCACCTAGTTCTGGGAAATTACTATTCCACACTCTCTATCCCTTAGAAATTCATCATTTTAGGCACTGATGGAAGTGAATTATTCAATTCTCCTTCTGTGACTGCTAGCACAATGGTATCAAGGTTCATCTATGTTACAGCTTGTGCCAGGGATTCCTGCCCTTTCAAAGTTGACCAAAGTTCTGCCACATTGGCATAACACATTCTGTTTATCATTTCATCCTGTGATGGAAACCTGGGTTGCCTCCATCTCTCTGGCTACGGAAAAAAATTGAGCCATAAACTTGGGTGTACAAGTATCCATATGAGTCCTGTTTCCACATCTTTGGGTATATATGCAGATGTGGAATTGCTGGATGAAATGGCAATTCCACATACAAATATTCAAGAAATTGCCACATTGTCCTTTACAGCCATTGAAATTTTCATATTTCCACCAGCAATGAGCAAAGCAAGATCTCCAACATATCCACATCCTCATGATCTGTCATTTACAGGCTTTTTGTTGTTGTTTTTAACAACAGTGTTTTTTTTGTTTTATGGTTTTTTCTTTTTTTTTCTTTTCCAACTCTTATTTTAAGTTCAGGGAATACATGTGCAGGTTTGGTACGTGGGGAAATTGAGTGTCACGTGGGGTTTGCTGTACAAATTATTTTATCCCCCAGGTAGTGAGCACAATACCCTTTAGATGGTTTCATGATCCCTCTTCCCACCCTCCACCTTCAAGTAGGTCCTGGTGTCTATTGTTTTCCTCTTTGTGTCCACGTATACTCAATGTTTTGCTCCCACTTAAAAGTGAGAACATTAAGTATTTGATTTTCTGTTCCTTTATTATTTCTCTTGTAATAATAGCCTCCAGCTGCATCCATGTTGCTGCAAAGAACATGATTTCATTATTTCTATGGCTGTGTAGTATTCCGTGATGTATATGTACCACATTTTTCTTTATCCTGTCCACTATTAATGGACATCTAGGTTGCCATTCTGGTAGTTGTGAAGTGGCATGACATACTAGTCTTGAACTGAATTTCTGGTTAGTGATGCCAACCATCCCTTTATATGTTCATTGGCCACCTGTACATTCTCCCTTGAGAAAATTCTACTCAAGTCTTCTGTACAGTAAACTAATTACTTTTTTTCAGTTGTAGGAGATCTTTATATATTCTGGATATCAATCCTTTATGAGATATATGATTTGCAAATACTTTCTCCTATTCCATGGATTACCTTTTCACCCTGTTAATGGTATTCTTTGATGTACAAAAGTCTAATTTTGATGAAGTTCAACTTATCCATTTTATATTTTGTTGCCTGTACTATTGATGTCTTAGTCAACAGATCATTATGAAATCCAGTGTCATGTAGCTTATCTCTCCTTTTTCTTCTAAAAGTTTGACAGCTTTAGCTATTACATTTAGGCCTTATATCCATTTTATGTCAATTTTTGTATATGGTATAAGGTATGGGTTCAAATTCATTTCTTAATGTTAATATCCAGATTTTTCAACAGTATTTTTTGAACAGATTGTTTTTCCCTCATTGAACTGTCTTAGCACCCTTGTCAAAAATCAGTTCACCATATATGTGAAGGTTTCTTTTGTGGCTCACTATTCTATTCCATTGATTTGCCTGTCTTAATGCCAGTAGCAAATTATATGATGATGGTAGTTTTATGGTAAGTTTTGAAATCAGAAAGTGTGAGACCTCCATATTTGTTCTTCTTTTTAAAGAAGCTCCCATATTAGTTCTTCTTTTTTAAGACTTTTGACTCTTTGGGATCCCTTAAAATCTGTATTAATTTTAGGATGAATTTTTCTCTTTCCGCCAAAAAACTATTGCTGAAACTTTTATTGGGATCACATGGAATCTGTGGTTTGCTTTTGGTTATATTGACATCTTAATGATACTAAGTCTTCCCATCAATGAACATGATATGTTTTCCACTTATTTGTGTATTCTTTAATTTCTTACAGCAACTTTTCTTTAGTTTTCAGTGTGCAAGTCTTCTGCCTCCTTTGATAAGTTTATTTATAATTCTTTTATTATTTTTGATACTACTGAAAATGGTATGTTTCCTTAAGCAAATAAATTGTTTTCTTAATTTCTTTTTCAATTATGTATTGTTATGTATAGAATTGCAACAGATTCTGTGTGTTTATTTTATATCCTGCAAATTTACTTAATTCATTTATTAGTTCTAATACTATTTTGGAGGAGTCTTTTGGGTTTCTTACATATAAAATATCATTCGTGAAAATAGATCATATTATTTATTTCTAATCTACATTCCTTTTATTTCATTTTCTTGCCTAACTGCTCTAGTTGGGACTTCTATTATCATGCTGAGTAGAAGTGGTGAAAGAAGTCACCCTTGTCCTTTTTTAATATTAGAGAAAAAGCTTTCATTTTTCACTATTGAACATCAAGATAGCTGTACGTTTTTCATATATGACCTTATTTATATCGAAGTAATTTTCTTTTGCTTCTAGTTTGTTGAATGCTTTTATTTTGAAAGGGTATTGAATGTTGTGAAATATTTTTTCTGCATCAATTGAGATTTTTATGTGTTTTTTAAATTCATTCTCATTATATAGGATATTACTCTGATTTATTTTCATATACTCAACCATCCTTACATTCCAGAAATAAGTCCTACTTGGTCATGGTATAAGTAGATAGAATTTTTAAGGAAATTAAATATAAAAGTTTTTAAATTATGAAAAACTTCCAACATTTACCAAAGAAGTTCAATAACACTTATGAATTAATAACCCAGTTTTAACAAACACTTACGTTTTGCCAGAAGTTTTAAATATACATTCTGAAATCTATTCTTTAGAACAGAGAATTTTTAAGTTAATGCAAACTTTTTATTTTTTTTTTTTTACAGAGTCTCACTCTGTCACCTAGGCGCAATCTCGGCTCACTGCAACCTCCGCCTCGGGGGTTCAGGCAATTTGTCTGTGCAACCTCCGCCTCCCAGGTTCAAGCAATTCTTCTGTCTCTGCCTCCCGAGTAGCAGGGACTACAGAGTATCTCCTCTGTCGCCCAGGCTGAAGTGCAGTGGCATTATCTCTGGTCACTGCAACCTCTATCTCCTGGGTTCAAGCGATTCTCCTGCCTCAGCCTCCCAAGTACCTGGGATTACAGGCATGTGCCACCACACCCGGTTAATTTTTGTATTTTTAGTGAAGATGGGGTTTCAAATGTTGGTCAAGCTGGTATCGAACTCTTGACCTCAGGTGTTTATATAATGTCTAAGAACAGATAATCCTTAAAGCTATTTGACTGTCTCATAAATAGTTACTACAAGAAAGACAATAAAATAATTACTTATTTATCTTGATTTTCAGACTAATGAGTTGATGCTTTAGCAAACTCAAATGATTTTATTATTTTTATTGGTTACTTTTTTCTTCTTTTTCTGAATATATTTGTAAACTCACTTTCTATATTTAAAGAACTTGAATCAGCTGTAGCTATTCAAAAAAAATCAAAATGCCTTGTCAGTGGTCTACAGGATTTTATTAAAGCTGACTCTTGAGTTCTCTTACAAGTCTCTGTTATTTCCTGGTAGCTTATCCTTTCCAGGCACTACAGCATGCATGAAATTCATCTTGTACATTTCCTGCATCAAATACAGAACCAGCCATTTTCCTAAGCCAAATCTCAGGCCCTTTTAATTGGGTGAATTGTATTAGAGACAACAATCTTGGCATTGGGACACCTGTTACGCCATTGTAAAAAGTGCTATTCCCTGCTTCTTCACAAAAATTGCATTTCAAAATCTGACAAACTTAGTAAAATGACTGAATACAGTCTTCTCTGATATCATTATATTATTTTATGTAATTTGGATGTATTTTTTTCTTTTGACTCTCACAGAACTTTCAGTTCTAACCAGATACATAAGCCAATCTTTTCATTTTAAAGAGAGATGGATTAATACATTGGTTTAAAAATCTGACACATCTTCTATTATTCAGCAACACAGAGAAAAATACCTTCTGAACTTACTAAATATATGTAACCATATGTAGTGATACATGCAAATTATGTGTGTGTGTCTCTAATATTTATACACAATTCATTCTGTATTCATGGCTGAATAAATAGATATCATCATGGTTTGGCTGCAAGTTATTGTACTCTTATTTCTAATGACAAATCCTGTAACAAGAAAAAAATGAAGGGTATTTCTGCCACGTAAAGCCTGTAGCGTTTTTCCAAAAATCTTCCCCTCCAGCGTTACATTGTTCAGAGTATGCCAGCATTCTGTATGAAATGATTTTCTCAGCTGTAAATTCAGAGAAAGAAAAATGTTACTTTCAGTTGATGAAAATTAAAAGGATTATCTTAGATAATCATCTCTGGAGTTGCATTCGGTATTCCAGACCCTTCACTTCATCCCCTGCCTATTATTCAAGCAAGAAAGCTGACTGACGTGGAGGCTTGTGATGGCAGCCCTGGTGAACTCTTTCAGTTTCATACACAGCAATTACTTCTACTTAGAATCTGTGGCATTGGACAGTGAGTGCCTGTCATGTCTGTCATCTAGCTTGCCTTAATTGGAAAAAATGATGGATCGATGGAAAGACAGGAGGCAGGGAGATGGACAGAAAGATGGAAAGCACCAAATAAAAACAGCAGTGCACAGATTAAAATATATGTTAAGCTTTGCAAACACTGCAAGCGTCCAGACAGCTTGAAAGATGCTTATGTTCAGTTTACAGATTTATGACTTGCTTTCTCCAATATTCATGAACATGGAGAGTATTTGCTTAAGGCATGATACAGTGGCAAAGCATTAAAACTGACAATAATTGCCTAACACAATGAACAACATAATTATAAACTTTTGGTAGTTTTATCCAGTGAATTAAAGATATATCCACTACTCTTAAATGTATTCATTTAAAACAAAAGTCAGTTGCCTACAAGATTTTTAAATCTTTTTGTCTCTTAACCAATGCTATTGCATTCTTTTCATTTTGTTTGCAGCATATAAATTGCAGTTTTACTTAATTCAAAAGAATCTTGACTAACTGGCTGTCAATTCCATTGTAAATGCTATATTCAATAAACTATAATTATAAATCCTTCAGGGTCTTATTATTCAAAGTAAGGTGTAAACAAACAAAGTAACATAAAATTTCATATTCAACAAAGAATGTGGTACTTTGCAGCAAAGTTTTCAGATAATATAAAAATAACTGAAACCATTTTATTTATCTCCATATATTTTTACAGGGCAAGGACAATGCTCTATTATTCTGTTGGCCAGTCAATTTCTTTGCAGATGTGAAAGCATATTTTACTTTTAAAAAAGGAAACAATTATTATTGACTATATATCTTTTTCCAGGTAGATTGTACTTTTCCCTTCTAGTTAATGACCAAACTTCTTGAATAAGTTATCTACATATACTTTTTTTCAAATCATTGCCCAAAAACAATTCAATCAAATACAATTTGACATTCTCCTCTTTACACTGCTAAAACTGCTCGTTGGAGGACTCCAAAAAACCCCGTGTTGTGAAATCTAGGACCATTTCTGTGTCAATATTTTACTGCATATAATCTCAGTCTTAGTACTTGATCTTTATCAAATCATTCTCTTCCTTTGGTTTCTGGGTCACTGCAGGAACTAGGGCTTCCTTCTTCCTCCAATCTGTGGGTTAGTTGTAATAAATACTTTTACTTAACTGGTACTGGTGATTTTTTCCTCTCTTTTTTTTTTTCTATCTCTTTTCTTAAAGTCTTATTAGAAGTCTATCAATTTTATTTTTTTCCCAAAATGACATTTGTCTCTGTTAATTTTATGTACATTGAATATTTTCTCTTTTATAGCTTTCAATTCATTTTTATTGCTTGAGAACAGTTATGTATTACAATTATTTTGGCTTAATGTAGACAGTTCAAATTAAAAGCAAGGGAAATTTTACTTGGCTTTTCAAAAAATAATTAAAATCACTCTTTTTGTTTTGTTCCTCCCTGTACATATGAGTTCCACTGTATGACATTTTCCTTCAGCTTGAAGAACACCCTTTGTATTTCTGTTAACACTATCACTGTTGACAAGAAAATCTCTCTGCTTCCATTTTTCTGAATTCACCTCTAATTTGCATTTATTATTGTTGTATATTTTATCTGGCTGTAGCGTTCTGAATTGACAAGCCTTTGTTTGATAGTTGGTTTGTGCTGTATTATGTGTTAAAACCTACATGCCTTCAGGAACCATTCTTTTGTCTTGGCTAGTTAAGGGAACCCACCAACAATAACCTAACCCCAGATAAGGAAATGGAAGTCTCTTACACGATCACAGATGGAGTGAAGCTTGGATGTAGATAAGGAAGGAGTTATCTTTCTCCATAATCAGACCATACCCCACTAAAGGGACCAAAGATAATGGACCCAGATGTAAAATTCTTGGCTTTTAGGGCCAACCTTGTCTACTCTCTACCCAATGGGCTGTATCCCAGTGCCGGGCTACCATGATGCATGTTGTAGAAGTTGAGCTAGTTCTAGGAAACATGTTATGACTTTTGGCCTATTGTCAGGCCCACGTTACACTCTACCACCTTTTCCAGCACTAGAACAGTTCCCTCCCTGTCCCTGTGACTTCCTGGTACATAAGCTTCTCATCATAACCAATAAAAAGTTTCTGGTTTGTAAAAAAACAAGCAAGCAAAGAAAAACTTTCCTAGTGGCAGTAAGTTTACAGCAAAATGCCAAAAATTAATTAATTTTTCAAATTTGAATCACATTGAATTTTAATATAATTTTGGCAGAATTGACATTTTTACAAACATTTATGTTTTCATCAAATAATAGAATATATCCTTCCCATTGTTCTGATCTCGTTTTATGTTCTTCAACAAAACTGCATTGCCTTTTCATAAAAATCAAGTACTTTTTCTTCAAGTTTATTCCAAATTATCTTACCTACTTTCTATTACTTTGAATGCTTTTGTAAAATTATAGCACTTCTAACAGGGAAGATCTAATTATATATTATTTTTGCATCTATTTACTTTTCCTAGGTGCCTTAACATACTTGTAAGGAATTTACTTGAGACCTTAGTTATTTTATGTATAAAAACAATACAATCAAAATGATATATTTCATCCATGTATTTTTATATGACTATAAAGACTACGTTATCTTATTAATTGTAATGGAAAACTTATACTGCATGATATTGTAGATTCCATTCTTGCCTGTCTAATCTATTTCTCTTGGTTTTCCATGATGATGGCTTTAGAGTTCCAATTCTGAAGTGGTGCTTGCTATTATAATTTTATAAATTATCCTTATTATACATTTCTATTTTGCTTAGATATTTTATTACAAATTTCAAATGACAACAGGAACTTTGCCTGATACACTGAAACGTATTAATGTCTTATTTTACTGATATGAGATGTATTGGTAGTATTCCTGTTATTGAGCTAACTCTTCATTCTTGTAATAAGTCCTACTTTGGCATAACACACTGTGATCTTGATACATAGCTATAGTTTAGTATAGTATAGGTGAACGTATTCATTATAATCTGATGTAGGACTGAGCTTTAACCATAACCATTTTCATGTTGTAATATTTTTATTTTACAAAATGAGTTTTAAAATTCTACATTTTGTTTCATGGCCTAGAATGACTATTATCATTACATATTATTTAAAGTTTAGACAAAAGTTTACTATACACATCTTTACATAACTCATTTTTTGTTGTTATTTTTGATAGCAGGTATTTTAATCTTTTCTCTCTGCTTATGGATCCATTCAAGTTTCCCACTTGATTTTAAATCAAGATTGGTATTTTATAAAAAAAAAGTACATTATTACATTTCCAAACTTATTGTAAAAGAGTTCTAGGTATTATTTTATTGTAATTTTAAATTGTTTTCTGTGGAGTTTCATCTTATTTTTCCTGTAGAGTATAGCTCCTGTTGTTCGACAATGGCAGATTCCAATATACGGTTTTTAAACAGAGGTGTATGGCTCTAAAAAGATATTTATGTGTGGCATAAGATATTTACTCTCTAATCTTTTATGGAAAACATTTTCTGATCTTTTTAATAAACTAAACAAATATATAGAAAAAATAATCATTATCATTTTATTATATTTATTTTAGTTTCTTCCCTTGAAATTTTCAGGTAGAAAATAATTGTATCAGCCAATAAATCTATCCTGTTTCTCTTTGATTCTAATTATACCAAATTTCATTTTCTTTTTTTAAATTAAACATTCTTTTTCTTTTTCATAAACATTGCTCCACCATTTTTACCCAATTATACACATCAGAAAACTGAGTGTCAACTTAGATACATTCTCCTCCTACACACACTAGCAAGTATGTTGTTTGTATATTAATTTATTAAACAAGTATTGTTGAATTTAACTATGGTTTAGATGTTGAGAAAAATACTGTGCAAAAACATAATTTCCTATATCAGACTTTTTCAATATGTGAAGTGGTTACTACACTCATAACTAATCTATAACTGACACACTGCCAATGTAATCCAAGTTTTTACACATTCAGAATCCCTGTTTCTTCAGCTTTATCTTGTGTTTCTTCCTTCTTCCATGCACAGCATCTTTCTTCCAGTTTCTCTAGTGCAAAAAGCTCTTTCCTAAATTTAGGCATCTGTGAAGAATGTTTCTTCTCCCTGAAAAGCCCACTCTTCTCTACAAATTGTTCTTCAAACTTTATTAAAAACATTAGTTTCCCATAAAGGACTTTTTCTTACTGCAAAACACATAATTGTTTCCCATTTTTATTTTTTAATGGAATACTACACATTTTTGGGTAATATTTATCACACAAAAATGCAATTGTGGGATTTTCTATCATGTCTCTCTTCACTACTGTGATGATGGAGACTGAATTACTTAATGAATACTGGAAGTTTAGCCTAAAACACCAGGCACCATGCACAAGGTAAAAACTAAAATGATATTTGATTGAATGCTACTGATTTATGAATAAAATATCCATAAAAGCATGACAGATAGAAGCAAAGAACTTTAAAGAAATGGTTCTGGGAATATGGCAGAGTAGGAAGCACTAGGAATCTATCTCTTTACCTAGACAATTGGATTGGCAGAATCTGGCTAATATATCTTTTTTTTTGTTTTGGAACTCTGATGTCTATTGAAGACTGGCAACTTCTAGGGGAAGGCTTAGACAGATAAATTGTGGTAAATTTTGTTCAAATTTAGATCTTAGCACAGTAGCAGCTACCTATCCCTCACCCCCTGCTGATGGCAGGCAGCTGTGCATATTCTCCTGCAGCAGCTTGCACAAAAGCTTGCTGGGGCCAGGGTAGACCCATATCACCCTGTACTACAAATATTGGGACTCTGTGCTCTGATCATTAATCAGGTGTACCTGATCACGAGGGGCAGAAAAAAAGCAAGTGGCATTTTATGTTACGCCTGACCCCACTGTTGCAAACCTCTCTCCCTCTAACTGAAGTAAATTTCAGGTGATTTAAAGGGCTGGTATCCTTTAAAAAAGAAAAAAAACAAACTTTTATTTTTTTTCTTTTTCCCCTTGTGAAGTCCACGTATTAAAGCATAAAACATTCAAAAGGAATCACATATATGGAAAAAATTAGAAAGTACTCAAACTTGCATAGGAAAAGGTGTAAGTACATGGTCAAAGGAGACCTGAAAAGGCCTTAAATTTTCCCTTCAGACTGATCCTTACTTATTTATATTTATTGATGTAGGTTTTCACGGGAAAAAATAAATAAATAAAACAAACAAAAACAATAAAAAAAATAACAAACCCTGGGGGAAAAAGGAAAGCCTCATTTTCAGAGTTATCATATTAGTAGATTGAAATATGCAGATTTTAAAAAAGTATAAGGCATACAAAAAACAGAAAAGTATTGCCTAGTCAAAGGAAAAAATATCAATAGAAATTATCCCTAAAAATACATGATGGCAGATCTACTAGTAGACGATAACGTTAAAGCAACTCTCTTAAAGATGCACAAAGAACTGATGAAATACCTGCAGAGATGTATCAATAAATAGATAGAAAATCTGAAAATAAATCAGAAAGAAATTCTCAGGCTGAAAAGTACAATAAATAAATGAAAATTTTACTAGAAAAATTCGAAAGTAGATTTAATTGGGCATAATCAAGAATAAGTGGACTCGAAATAGGACAATACAGGTTACAGAGACTGAAAAATATTTAAAAAAAAAGATTAAAGAAAAATGAACAGAGTCTAAAAGACTTGTGGAACACTATTAGGCAAACTAAGATACATGTATTTTGGGAATCCCAAAAGAAGAAAAAGGAAAGCAGATACACAGAATGCCAGTAGCCCTTGGGGATCTTTTGGGTTCATTTTTAGATTACTGCATTAAAAGAACTATTGTAATAAAGCAAGTAACAGAAATCATTTGGTTTCATAGTACTTATAGGAGTTATAGTTAGATAATACTATGGTCTACTAAGTGTGAAATGGCATTACATCTACAATACAAAGTACATACCTGAGCTAAAAAATAATTTATTGGTAAAAAAATACTAATGGTCATCTGAGCCTTCAGTCAGTTAATGGTGGAGGAATTTGCCTCAATGTTGATGTTTGTTGACTCATCAGAGTGGTGATCACTGAAAGTTGGGGTGGCTGTGGCAATTTCATAAAGTAGGACAATCATAACATTTTCTGCATTGATTAATTTTTCTTTTCATGAAATATTTCTTTGTGGTATGCTGTGTTTTTTCATAGCATTTTACTCTCAGTAGAACTTCTTTCAAATCTAGAACCACTCAAACTCTGCCACTCACTGCTTTATCAACTAAGTTTGTGTAATATTCTAAAATTTTTGTCGTCATTTTATCAATGTTCATGGCATCTTCACCAGGAGTAGATTTTCCCTCAAGAAAACAATTTATATGGTCATCCATAAGAAGCCACACCTCATCTGTTCAAGTTTTATCATGAGATTGCATCAATTAAGTCATATCTTCAGGCTGCAGTTCTAATTCTACTTATTTTGTTATTTCTACCACATTGGCCATTACGTCCTCCACTGAAGTCTTGAAGCCCTCAAGGTCATTCAGGGAGGTTCAAATCCACTTACTCAAAATTCATATCAATATTTATATTTTGACCTATGCCCATGAATCATGATTGTTCTTAATGACATCTATAACAATGAATTGCTTCCAAAAAGTCTTAATTTTAACTAAATCCATCAAAATAATTAGTCCTATGTCAGATATGCTGTTATAAGATGTACTTCCGAAATACAAATCCTTGAAAGTCAAAATTATTACTTGATTCATGAACTACAGAATGGATGTTGTGTGAGTAGACATGAAGACAACACTAATCTCTTTGTATCTTGCTACCTGAGCTATGTAGATGGCTAGGTTCATTCTTAATGTGCAGTGTTAGTATTATTTTGAAAGGAATCCTTTTTCTCTTAAAAGTAGGTCTGAACAGTGAGTTTTTGTTTTGTTTATTGTAGCCACCTTCATCAATGATCTTAGCTAGATAGTCTGGATAACTTGCTGCAGCTTCTCCAACAGCATTTGCTGCTTCACCTTTCATTTTTATGCTATGGAGATGGTTTCTGTCCTTAAATCTCATGAACTAACCTCTGCTAACTTCAAACTTTTTTTTCTGCAGCTTCTTTACCTCATTCAATCTTCATAGAATTGAAGAGAGTTAGGGTCTTCCTCTGGATTAGGCTTTAGCTTAAGGGACCGTTTTGCCTGGTTTAATTTTTCTGTACAGACCATTCAAACATTCTCTATATTAGAAATAAGGCTGTTTCAACTTCTTATCATTTGTCTGTCACTGGAGTAGCATCCTTAATTTCTTTCAAGAACTTTTTCTTTGCATTCACAACCTGGCTAACTGTTTGGCACAAGAGGCCTGGCTTTCAACTTTTCTCAGCTTTCAACATACCATTCTCACTAATCTTAATCATTTCTAACTTTTGATTTCAAGTGAGAAACATACAACTCTTTCTTTCACTTGAACACTCAGAGGCCACTTTATGGTTATTAAGTAACCTAATTTCAATTTTGTTATGTGTTTCAGGGAATAGGGACATCAAAGAAGAGGAAACAAGATGGAGAAACAGCCAGATGGTGGAGCAGTTAGAACACATAAAATATTTGTTAATTAAATTTGCCATGTTATGTTGAAACAGTTTGTGGCACTCCAAAACAATTACAATAGTAACAAGTATCAAGATCATGGATCATGATTACAGATACAATAATAATGAAAATATTTGAAATATTATGAGAATTAATAAAGTAATACACAGAGATATGATGCAAGCACATGCTGCTGGAAAAATGAAAAATGATTCCAATAAAAATATCTCAACAGAGGATTGTTGCAAACCCTCAATTTGTAAAACATGCACTATCTAGAAAGCATAATAAAGAAAAGGACAATTCAATTAGGAATGCCTGTGTTCAATAAAATAATGCTGAAAACTTTCCAAATTTTATTAAAAACATGAACGTAAGCATCCAAAAAGCTCAATGATGTACATACAAGATGAACTGAAAGAGAAACACATGGAGACACATTATAATCAAACTTTCAAATGACAAAGACAAAAGAGAATTTTGAAGGTAGCAAGAGAAAAACAACACATTATGTACAGGAGAATTCAACAATATTATCAAAGATTTCTCCTTAGAAACTTTAACACCCAGGCAGCAGTGGGCTGATATATTCAAATTACTAGAATAAACAATAACAAAAACAATACAAAAACAACAACAGCAACAAAACTGTCAACCCAGAATTCTATCCAGCAAAGCTGTTCTACAAAATGGAGGGAGAAAAAAAGACATTCCTAGATAAACAACACCTTAAGGAGTCTGTGACCACTAAACTTGCCCTGTAAGAAATGCTCATGGAAGTCCTTCATGTTGAAATAAAAGAGCACTAGACTGTGACTTGAAGCCATATGAAGAAACAAAGATAACAGCATTATTATTTTCATATATGAGAAAATGTTATATTGTTTTGGTTATTAATGTCCTCTCAATAGACAACTCTATTAACAAACATAAAATGAAATAAAAAATTCTGTCGTGGTCTCTCCAGACATTGAAATAAATACACAGTCTAGTTTTTGCTCTTCATGGAAATCTGAATTCACATGGCTAAGTATATGAAAGTCCAAAATGGGGTCCAGGCATGTCCATACCAGCTTGTTTTGTGAGAGATCATCAGATAAGTGGACAGGATAAAATAAAAAGTACTAGTTATCCTGCAACAGTGGACCACTAAGATGCTAGATATGTGGAACAACTGTGGATTCACCTGGAAAATTAACTTGTGTAGAATTTCTTTACAACAACCCTCTGGGTTTCCTAGAAGCAATAAACGGAGGGAAATATATATTATTTAATTTGTTTGGCTTAATAATAGGAAGCCTAATTTAAACTTGCTAAAACAATGAGAAAATTTATTCTCTCAAAGAACTAGAAATAGAACAAGTTTCTAAACTCATTGAAGAGATGGTGATGAGGTCATCACAGTCATTGGTTTTATCTGTCTCTTGACTCTTCTATCCTCAAGATTGTCTTATTCTAAGACTAGTTGCCCTCAGGGTTACCAGGGGACTGCCACTAGCGATCAGTATTATAGGTTTATTCATATTCCTAAGGGCCCTTACTAAAGAGCAAGAAAGAACTCTCCCATAAGCTCTCAGCAGACTTCTCAAATCATATGATTGTGAATAAATCCCATGTCTATTTTCCAATCAATCACTGACAAGTGAAAAGATAAATACTATGATCGATTTAGACTAAACAGCTAACTTAGTTTCTACTAAGTTATATAAACTGCACAGAAAGGGGTATATATTTAGAAAAAATTGGTTCATTTCTACTAAGAAAATGGAAGAAGGAATATGAAAGGTGGCTGGCCGAGCAACTATCAAAATCCAATGTTATAAGCTTTTTGATTATCCAAGAACTTATTTCATATTTATCTATCTACCTATATGTGGATGTGGAATAAGCACTTCAGTATCTCTCTCTCTCTCTCTCTCTCTCTCTCTCTCTCTCTCTATATATATATATATATATGTGTGTGTGTGTGTGTGTGTGTGTGTGTGTGTATATGTATATATATGTGTGTATATATACATATATGTGTGTATGTGTGTGTATATATATATATACACACACACACACATACACACACAATTGCTACCTGAGCTATGTAGATGGCTAGGTTCATTCCTAATGTGCAGTGTTAGTATTATTTTGAAAGGAATCCTTTTTTTCTTAAAAGTAGGTCTGAACAGTGGGTTTTTGTTTTGTTTTTTGTAGCCACCTTCATCAATGATCTTAGCAATATAGCATGATCACAAAATATATAGCATGTATATATTTTAATATATACATATATACACACAGTTTGGAAACATAATTCTTATATAATTATATATATACGCATATATTCACATGCATACAGTTTGGCAATATAATTCTTTTAAAACTAGTTGTCTAGTCTACTTGTTTTCAATCAAGTCTATAACTAAAAATACACAATCAGAGATTGTTTAGGGCTATGAATATGGAAGGTTCTGGTTTATCATGACAATTGCTATGCTCTGTTTGGGTCATGAGACCTTAATTTAATACCTTGCTTTTCTCTTGGTCTCACCTACCAGGTGATTTTACCATTTGCCTCTGGCAGAAACACACTTGGTTTTTAGAGAGCTGTATTCTGGTTGTCCCTTTTTTTTCAGTTACATAACACTTTACAGGAGGTACTTGAGAGAGGTTTGTGGATTAGTACTTTTTTTGTTGTTTCAATCTTATTTTACTCCAATTCCTAAACTTTTGTATGGCTCTTGAAAGCTTTTCTGAATCCTCCTAGCTCCTGGTGACTACACTTTAAATTTGCTTTACTATAATCCATAGGTAAAGACAGCTTATCTTAAGAGAAACATATTTTTTCTCTCTCAGATTTCAAATGAGACATACGCAGATCAAAGTTTTCTTCACATTTAAAAATGTTATATAATGCCATAGAAAGAATTCAAATTGGTCTAATGTTTTATTTTCTCTGCTACGATTCCTGATGATTCAGCCATTGTCAGAAGTTGATATATCTCAATGTAAAACAACAAAAAAAATTATAGAATACTAGTATTCCTAAATTCCTATGACAGAAAAAGGGGAACCTTATTGTCTGACATCAATTTTACTCAAGTAATTTTATATCCTAGAATGTTATTTTCAGCTTTCCATTTCTGATACAAACATCTGACTTATTAGGATGGTGCCTCAAGAAACCCTGGCTCAAATAGCTTAAACATGGTGGTGGTGGCTTTGTAAAAGTGTAGGGAAAGTCTAGGAGAAAGGCTGTCTTCTCGATTGTCAATTCAGTAGTTCATTAACATTACAAAGGGTCAGGTGTCTCTAACTCCAAGCTCTGCTGGCCACAGCACTGTCATTATCCTAAAATTAGCTCTATACGGAGCTGTAGAGTTACTGCTAAAAATAATTTGGATTACTTGCTTTCTTCTTCACATTAATGGTAGAACAAGAAATGTACCTGCAAAGCATTGCTGAATACAGAGGAAGAAATTTTCCAAAAGCAAATTTCTTTTTGTATCTGTATACTCTGAATTTTATTATATTCTTATTCTCCCACCCCTGCAAAAAAAAAAAAAAAATCACTGGCAAGTAGAACAACTTAGCTCAACCAGGATTTCCAAAGAAGAATGTATAGTTTCCAGTCTGCCACACATAAGCCTGTGGGATACCCATATTTCCTATGGTAAAGTTCAACCTAATCAAAATTGGAGTTATTTGAAATAAAAGGAAGGCATACTATAGTTTAACCAAACAACTGTATTTACTGTAGGAATGCTAGGAAGTTATTGGATTTCTTGATAGAATAATTGAGGAAGACTCACGGCATGAAGGTCGATTGAATTCCTGAAAATATAACATACCAGTACTACCTAGTGAGTGGGGCCAGGAGTCAGAGACTCCATATATAGTCTTCATGATTATAAGACTGTAAGAAATTTCAAGCATATATAGATATATTTTTCTTTGAAAAATTATGTTGTATTTTCTCCATCATTTCATTATATTTGTATTAAACTTAAAATAGTTATAAGTGGTAAAAACATACCTTTTGAAAAATATTGTTTTTATTATAAAGTATAATTAAGTCAGTTTCTGAAGGGATGCAGTCTATAATACAACTAGAGACAAGATAAAATGCAATCAATGTAACGGTTGATATATTTCTAAGATTGCAAGAAAATAAGGTAAGGGACCAAGTGCTCCTGCCAGAGAGATAGAACATAAGACAACAAAAACAGCTAAAGGTGACTCATAATCAAAGAAGTGATATTACTCAAGGAAGAAAGTTGATTTTGTTTTCTAGGCAAATTCATTATCAGTTTAGGAAAAATCAGATAAATTATGCACTTCTATTAAGTTGTGGAACTGAATCCGAGACACATATTAAGTGTAGACTCTCACTGGGAGCCAAACGCTTAATAAAACAAGAGTCAAAAAAATATACCTATCAGCAAAAGGAGGTTACAAGAAATCATTGTTTTCTGCTATGGCCATTGGTTAATAATAACAAATCCTGAGTATTTAAAATTATAGATTCCACTGGGATCTGAAGTTCAAATTAGTAGTAGATATTTAACGATAGAAATCATATAATGATGAACAAAAGTAAAGTTTAAGATAGTTTCCCAAGTTAGCAATGTTGCTTGTAACTTAGCAGGTGCAATTGAAACCCATTTTAAAGGAAATTGTTCTGTGTTCAAGCCCTCAGGATTTCAGCAGATTAAATTGAAAAAAAAAAAGAAAAATGATCTCAGTATCAAAAATGAACTACTGTATATAAAAAGAAGTCAATGTAAGGAAAAGTCAGCAGAAAAAAAGTAGGAACTAATATACATATCCTGTCCATCAATAAATCCAATGATTTTTTGAATTATCTGTTCCAAAATACAGAGAAATTATTTTAAATAATTTTAAATTGAATGGCAAAAATCTATGAAAGTCTTTACCTGTTTGCAAAGATCCAATACAGTTTTTGGATAGTGGAAATATAAATGTTAAAATTACAATTACAATAAGTACATTAAACATAAAATTTAACTTAGCTAAAGAGACAATTAATGAATTATTTGTTATTTATTCTTAACTGACACAGTTTATGAGTGCATGGAAGAATAAGCAACAGAAAATATCCAAGGGAAGCATATTGATTTAGAAAACTGATTTAGTTATATTACTATTAGCAAACTAAGTATGATCAGGGTTTGAAAATGTCGCTAATTGATAAAATTTTTAACTATTAAGACAACTTAATCACTCTAATATAAAAATTTTCCATAAATGTAGCCAAACAATCATCACTAGGAAAACATAAAAAAATCACAAATTGGAACATTTTCTTACACTTCTTTCACAAAGAGAGATGCAGGTGTGTGTGTGGGCTTGTGTATATGCGTGTATTTGTATGTTACTAGCTCTTTAAATTGGAAACTGGAATTTTGAGTCTAAAACTGACCTACAATAAATGAGTGGAGGTATAAGAATATCCATGACATTGTATTGGAGAATATACAAGAAAATTTAGGGCTGCTGTAATGTGACAATCAACAGTTCAGGCTCAAACACCTAATTTAGGCAATAATGAAATGCAGTGGAAATGACAATAAAGATCTACTGTGAGATGACTTAGCAGTGCTTGACATCTTTTAAGCCAAAGTCAAAAATGAAGTGTACTCTCTTGGATTTGTGCTTTCAATTATCAGTGGATATGATAGAACCATAGAATAACAGAGGTCAGACAGTGCACTTAAAACCTAGAAGCAGAATAAATATAATTCTACAATTAGAGTGCCTTTGTTAATAGAGATATTTGGTGGTAAACCAGGGAATGTATGGAGTTGAGAGAGACAGAAAAACATCTTGTGTGTACCAAGTTTCAATTAACAGTAAAAACAATGAGAGTTAGCAAGTGAAAGGAGACATCAGATATTTTAATGGAAAAACATAGCTAGTGTGTAGATCTGAACCAATTCACTGAATGCTTATTAATTTAATGGGAAGCAGGCTTCCCTTGAGGAGGGAACTTGAAACCTCATCAAAAATATGCCTAGTAAAATAGTTTGTTGATTCTTCCTCAAAAGAGTCTGCAGCCAATTGTCAGGGCAACTTCACAGAGGCAAAATAACTATTACTCAGACTCTTCAAGAATTTTTAGACAAAAGTATCAAAAATATCTACTAAGCAAGAATGATACCTTGTCAGGTGGTTCACATGGGAAATACAGAGGTCAAATAGTTAAGTTGAGTTCTGGATCAAGCCAAACTCACAGTATGTTCTTTGGGACCATAATGAACCCTGAAGATATTTCTTATTTTTCTAAATTTACTGAACATATAAGTGGAATAAACTTGTTTAGTGACAGAAGGTCCCCTGTCTGGTTTCCAGAATTATGGGGTAGATGCTGTTGCTATAGGAGGACCAAATGAAACAGAACTGAAACCGTTCCCCACTGTAATAAGCTTGAAATCAAAAGCAGTATTGCATTTCTGGAATTATTGAAGACATGAGTTTCACCATGAAAGATATGAAAGATTTGGTATTGGTGTATCCCTACATATCTCCATTCAATTTTCTCTTTTCTTCCTTCCTTCCTTCCTTCTTTCCTCCCTCCCTTCCTTCCTTCCTTCCTTCCTTGCTTCCTCCCTCCCTTCCTTCCTTCCTCCCTCCCTTCCTTCTTTCCTGTCTTTTCTTTCCTTCTTCTTTTCTTTCTTTCTTTCCTTCTTTCTTTCTTTCTTTCTTTTTCTTTCTTTCCTTCTCTTTCTTTCTTTCTTTCTCTCTCTCTTTCTTTCTTCTTTCTTTCTTTCTTTCTTTCTTTCTTTCTTTCTTTCTTTCTCTCTCTCTCTTTCTTTCTTCTTTCTTTCTTTCTTTCTTTCTTTCTTTCTTTCTTTCTTTCTTTCTTTCTTTCCTTCCTTCTTTCTTTCTTTCCTTCCTTCTTTCCTTCTTTCCTTCCTTCTTTCCTTCTTTCCTTCCTTCTTTCCTTCTTTCCTTCTTTCTTTTTTCATGCAGTCTCACTTTATTGCCCAGACTGGAGTGCAACGGTGCTATCTTGGCTCACTGCAACCTCCACCTCCTGGGTTCAAGTGATTCTCCTGACTCATCCTTCCAAGTAGCTGGGATTACAAGCATGCACCACTACACCAGGCTAATTTTTCTATTTTTAATAGAGACGACGTTTCACTATGTTAGTCAGGCTGGTCTTCAACTCCTAACTTCAGGTGATCCACCCACCTTGGCTTCCCAAATTGCTGGGATTACAGGCATCAGCCACCATGCCTGGCCTCCATTCAATTATCTTAGATGGCTTTAGCAGAACCATGATGGAAAATGACAGATAAATATAAACCCTTGTGTGCTTAACCAGGTGGTAGCTTGGTTTTGAAACTGCTATTTCTACATGTGAGACCTTAACTTAAAAAGTGTATTGTAGCCATTGTCACTGGGATTTTGGGAATGCATTTTTTGGTCTCATTATTCATTAAAAAGAAACACACATACACACACATACATGCATGTGAACACACCATATTTGTTTTCATATGGTTATATGGCAAGAACAACAATCCACCTTAATGGTTTTATTTCGGGTTTACGTCAATTTTCTCATGCCCTGCATAATAGTTTAGAGAGGAACATTTATGACCTTGACAATCAACAGCAGATACCAGAAATTTGTAACAGCGATGGCTTCAAATTAAATAAATCTGTGAAATTGGAAGTGTCAGGTTCTCTAGACACCATGTAAGACACATGTATAATCTCAATAAAGTTTTTGTGTCATTTTATATGTCCTTCTACATGGACACTTTTTATCTAGCCATCAAGGACATGCTGGTACAAATCCTTTAAGATAAAGAGCAATTTCCTGCTCCTTGCACCTCCAATCACTGTGAATGAAACCTAGGTCTTAGCAGACAACTCTAGATTTTGAAACAACATTGACTATACTTAAAATACTGCTCCAACTTATTTACTGATTTACCTGGAATGTGGCCAAGTTCAAGTAATGTCCAGGGGAAAAGAGACCTCTGCCACAGTTCCAGGATATGGTAAAACTATTTTGTTCTTGTGTTGTATAACATAGCATATTTAGTAAGATACCATGATATGTATATAATTGTCGAGGCCTAATGGGAATTACAGAGATTTTTAGAGTTTGGGGAAAAGTATATGCATTCCGTGTCAGAAAACTACTATTTCCTTATAGTATCTGAGATGCTACCAGGCCCTAGATGTTAATGACTTCCTAACCAGGATCATAAATTATTGCTGAGACCTAAAGCTGCTTATCATGAACTGAGTTTTGTCTCATCAGCCATGTTATTAAGTCATATTTGTACAAAGGTAATTCATCATTTAACTCAAACTTAAGTAGTTCCAGAAAGCCCAGGAACAGATTCCCACGACAACTACCTCTGCCACACTGTTACCTAACTGTAGTCTATACCTAGAGCTTTAAGAATGCTCTCCTAAAGTCAATTTACATAAAAAGAAGAAACTTCGGGCTGGTTCACAAATGAGTCTTCACAATGTGTGTGTATTAATTAGATGATTAATGGAGATGCGTAGTAGTCCCTTTTATGAATGATCCAAAAATATAATACTTAAAAAAAAAACTTCACAATGAGAAGGGTTATGATGAATAGACTTTCTATCTACATTGTATGGATTACAGGTAGTTTAGGGTTTTCATTTACATTAATTTCTGTATTATGAATGATTTCAAGGCCATTTCATCAAGGTCTGGACTAAACAAGATGGAACAATTGAAAAATGTCAGAGAATAAATTTATTATGTACCCATGAGAGAGGTATGAACTATGAAGATTTTTATTTACAATAATGCCTCTGAGAAAGCATTTTCTGCAGAATCATCTGTGAGGATCACCTATACTTGAATGTCAAACAACCTCTATATCAAGCCTCTTACAACCCCATGAACAGAAGGTGGCAGTTATGGAGAATATTTAGAGTCAAAAATATAAAATTTCCCCCAGTAAGGCTAATTTGGTTACTCCTATTTTTTAATTTCTAACATGATAGCCGAGACAGATACTGAATTTCAAAATGGCACCATTCTTATGGGACCAACTAGTCACCTGAAAAAGAGCAATTATATTAGACTAGTCCCAACACAGAAAAAGCAGTAATTTGTCCTTAACAGAGTTGTTATCTACTCCAAATACGGGTTTACCCTCTCTGTTTACAGTGTCTTCATCAGCACCAAAGTTTATTGCCTCCAAATGACTGTTGTTACAATGTGGCTTTGTACAACTATTGACTGAGACAAATGTGTAGCACTGAACTCATCTGCACAAGTCTTAATATGAACCCCCTATCTCTAAAACAGTTACCCTCATGGAACCTTAGAATAGAGAGTTAACCCTCACCTAAGTTACAAGTTCTTGGAAAGTACTGTCAGTTTATGGAACACTCTTCTTGGACCTGGTACATACCTTGAACAACAACAACAACAACAACAAAAAGCCTAACATATAGAACCATTTATTGTAGCTACAATACATGCCTTTGGGAGTCAAAGGAGTTGAGGAAGTATAGAATGTTTTCTATCAGAATCACCCTCAGATATCCATTTTTGACATCTTGTTCATTTTCCCCAATGTTACATTAGTCTGGGTTAAGATTTCTGGTTCCCTTGAACCAAAAATGAGAAACATTTCTGCTAGGGAACATGATAGGATGTTCTATTAAATTGGAAGTTGTGTCTACAAATTAGGGACTTTGATTACCTCATGTCAATTGTCCTACAGGCCAAAAAGGAGTTATATTGGCTAGGGCAAACAATACAAAGAGTATGACTGTAATTTGGAGATTATTGAAACACACATATGGTAGTGACTACCCAAGATGGAACTAAAGGATCAGGCTCCTTGGGAAAAATGATCTTGATTGCTCTACCAAACAAACAAAACAGACTAGCCAAAGCGATAGCTAATGATGAGACTCTTAATTACTAAGTTTCCTAGGCAATGACACTGGACCAGCAACTTGGGGAAGACTCTGATTTATTATACTTGTATTTCCCTTCTCAGTGATGAAGTGGGAGTGACTTTATTAACACAAGGAAAATATAGGTAGTATACAACTAAGATAAAATGAGAGGTCATAAAGGCATCCAAATGGCACAAGAAGTAGATTGAATTGGGCAAAGTTGTGTGTGTCTGTGTAGCTTCCATTCTTCTGAATGCCTTCCTCTTTAATTTTTTGTTGGGGCCCCACTCTGATACAGTCTTCTCTCCAGTCTTGGCCTTGAATGACATACTACCCTATTGGGCAACCAATAGGACTTCTTGATCAGAGAGACAGTGCAACCATTAAGTCTGGTGTTGCTGCATCCTTGAACACTCAATGGTGATTAATCAGAAATAAGAAAAAGGAGGAAGTTGAGCATATAGTTTTATCCTCAGTTCTCTATTCTGTGGACAATTCTGAGATGAACTAGTCTCTCATGCCCAACCGAGCAGACGTCTACTAAGTAATTTGCTAGATTTTTAAAATGGATTATTGCTATAAACATTTCCTTGCCTCATTTATTATTTTTTCCACACATCTTTACCACCCTCTATGTGTCCCCTTGAAATTCAGGGTCAGCTTTGTAATCTTTGTCTTAGGCTTGAAAAGCAAACCATATTCTTTTCTTTCAAGAAGTCTAATAAAATAGAAATACATCTCATGTAATCAATCAAGAATTTTACAGCACATATGAAAACTGATAACACAAAAAGGAAGACACCTTTTTAGTCAGAGTTTTCCACAGAAAGAAAACCCACAGTATATGGGTATATATATATATATATACACACATACACATACATACACACACATATACTTATACACACACATATATACACATACATACATAATATATGTATTATATATATAAATATATACATTTTTTTTAAGAAATTGGCTCATGCAATTGTGGAGTTTGGCAAGTCCAAAATCTCTATGGTGGGTAGGTAGGCTGGAGTTGTGGGGAGAGGCAATGAAGAACATCTGCCATACAATTCCCTCTTGCTCAGGGAAGGACATTCTTTTGTTCTATTCAGGCTTTCAACTGATGGGGCCCACCTACATTATGGAAGGCAATCTGCTTTACCCATTCTACCAATTAAAATATCGATCTCACTGAAAAACACCCTCACAGAAGCATCCAGAATAATGTCTGGGCACATATCTGAGCACTGTGGCCCAGCCTAGTTGACATATAAAATTAACCACCACAACATTCTGAAGTTATGACCATATTTTTTTTTATTATACTTTAAGTTCTAGGGTACATGTGCACAACGTGCAGGTTTGTTACATACGTATACATGTGCCCTGTTGGTGTGCTGCACCCATTAACTGGTCATTTACATTAGGTATATCTCCTAATGCTATCCCTCCCCCCTCTCCCCACCCCACGACGATATTTAAAATTATTTAAAAAATTAATTTAACAGTGGCCTTATTACACATAAAGCTATGAAGTTTATACCAAAAAATGGAGAAACTTTGATAACACGGGCAATTTACTGGGAAATAACAAAGAACATAACTGACTCAAAGATAATTAGAAATACTGAATTATATTCAACTACTGAAGAAATTGAAGAAGCTGTAAAATCTCCTACAAATAAAATATTGTTAACAAATGGTTTTACAAAAAATATATATTATTCCACTTATTCCACAAACCTCATCTTTAATATTAAAATAACAAAAAGGCAGAAGTAGGAAGGACATTTATGTCCATAGCTCACTTATGAGCAAAAATGCAAAATTGCAAACAAAATATTAGCAAATTAAAACAAGAAAAGTGTTAGAAAATAAGGCACTTGAATAAAGCAATATGTTGTTCTCAAATTTGGTTTATGCCAAAATGATAGATTGGGTAAGCACACAGATTTTTAAAATGTCACTGAATTCATTAAGAAATTAAATGATTAAAGAAGTAGATAATTTTAATAGATACAGAAAAACAATATAGTAAAAATTAACATAAACTCATAACTAAAATAGTTCTGTGAGCAACATAAACTTTAAAAATATATGCTTCATTTACAATGAGAAAGATTCAAATTAGGACCAAAATGAGACAAATTTTATAACCAAATTATTGTCAAATTAAAAATATGAAAATAGCAAATATTAACAAGCACTTAGAGATTCCATACAATATTTCTGAGAGTGTAACTTGCCTCATAATACAAAAATAACTTGAAATTTTTTAGTGTGCATTGGCCGTGACACATCCATCTAATTACATATTTAAAACTGAGTGAAACTCTTGCATATTTATTGAATTAGGCTACGAATTTACATACATATCCATATTAATTTCTGTATTACATATTTTATAGTAAACCTTAGTATATTAAAATATTAAAAAGTTGCCAATCTATAATTAAGCCATATGTAAAAGAAATCTTGCTATTAAAGAAAGAGCTCTTATTTCAAGATAGCTTGCTATGTTTTTATTAAAATAAAAATGTGTATCATGAAACTTATTGAAAATTTTGTATACTTATACAGTGGAAGGATTTCATAATATGTGAGAGAAAGCAGGTATATTATTTATCCTGAAATTATGTAAAATAATATCTAGGTATTTTCTCAGAATTCTGATGCATTTTTTATTGAACCAGGAAAATATTCTGATTATTCTTAAATAATTGATATAAATTTGGAGTTACCTCTTTTTCATAATTGTTGAAGGTCTACATATAAGGTAAAATATTACAGTTAGACAAGAATTTAGGAAATTTTTTTGCTATGGTTAATCTCACTTCTAAAGATTATATTTCTAATCAAATTTCTGGCTTGAAGTTGTGTAGTTAGGTGGTGATGATAAGTAGATAATAGATCAGTAGGTAGGTAAGTAGATGATAGATAGATAGATAGATAGATAGATAGATAGATAGATAGATAGATAATAGAAAAAAAGGAAAGAGAGAAGGAAGAACAGAGAGAGAGGAAGAGAGAGAGGAAGAGAGAGAGAAAGGAAAGGAGAAAGAAATGAAGAAAGGGAGGGCAGGAAGAAGGAAAGAAGGGAGGAAGTATGAAAAAATGAAATACATTATTAATCACCTCTTGATGAGTAGTTAATTATGGATATCTACAGTCTATAATACTTCATCTCATTTTTATTAAAAGGAATATCTACTCCTTATATGTTGTATCACGGTGAATTCCAAAATATGCTGAAAAATATGGAAGCTAAATGTCGTATAAAACTTACATTTTACTACAATGGACATATTAAGGGTGTAGAAATTTTGTTTCTACGAATACTCTTAACATCCAGCGGCTGGGAACATCAAAAATAGATGTGTGAAATATCCAATATATCCCAATCATTTAAACCTCCGACTTCACAATTGTATATTTCAGTACTTATATAAAGTCCTGGAAAGTCCTGAGACTCTGAATTGTGAGTAAAAATACTTGGAAACCTTGTAGGTTTGTGAATTGAGGATAATGGAATGCAAAACACCACTTCTTACTAAGTTGAGACTGACAAGAGTCATTTGTAAATTTCCCGATGAGTTCAGGTGATTGTAAGAACAGTGTTCTTGTTACACATGCATTCAATCACTGTGTATTTTGTGACAACCAAAGTAACCTCTCTCTGGTACAGACATCAGAGATATAAGACATAAGGCATACAAGGCATACAGACATGAGGCAAGAAAAGATGTTTGCTGAGAACACATGCTTTGGAATAGAACAGAAGTTCCACCCCTGAATATATGTTCAACAAGTTCAATTTTCTCTTATCTAAAAGAGAGGCCCGTAGTCTTGCCTTATTGGTTCGTTAATTAATTAATTCATTCACTCATTCATGAAAATTAAGTGAGCTAATCTTCTTAAGGCCTCCAGAGACTACAGGTCACATAATATGCATTCAAGAAATGTAGGCTATTATATTAACAGTGATACACAGATGTTGATGATGTGGCCTTTATATTATTGATGCCTTTTATAGTACAGATTTTGAACTATGAGTATATTTCAAAAGAAATTCTGTTATTCATTTTCTTTCTTTTTTTTTTTTTTTTTTTTTGAGACTGAGTCTCGCTCTGTCGCCCAGGCTGGAGTGCAGTGGCACAATCTCGGCTCACTGCAAGCTCCGCCTCCCGGGTTCACGCCATTCTCCTGCCTCAGCCTCCCGGGTAGCTGGGACTACAGGTGCCCGCCACCACGCCCGACTAATTTTTTCTATTTTTTAGTAGAGATGGAGTTTCACCGTGTTAGCCAGGATGGTCTCGATCTCCTGACCTCGTGATCCGCCCGCCTCGGCCTCCCAAAGTGCTGGGATTACAGGCATGAGCCACCACGCTCGGCCAATGTTATTCATTTTCTTAAGTTTTCTGAGATGGAAACAAATATCCTCAAGTGATCCCTTTTCTGGCTAGGCTAGAGAAGCAATCTCTAAGGTGACTAAATCCCAAACAATATCAGAGTTTAGAAATAGAAATATGGGCCGGGCGCGGTGGCTCACACCTGTAATCCCAGCACTTTGGGAGGCCGAGGCGGGTGGATCATGAGGTCAGGAGATCGAGACCATCCTGGCTAACAAGGTGAAACCCCGTCTCTACTAAAAATACAAAAAATTAGCCGGGCGCGGTAGCGGGCGCCTGTAGTCCCAGCTACTCGGGAGGCTGAGGCAGGAGAATGGCGTGAACCCGGGAAGCGGAGCTTGCAGTGAGCCGAGATTGCGCCACTGCAGTCCGCAGTCTGGCCTGGGCGACAGAGCGAGACTCCGTCTCAAAAAAAAAAAAAAAAAAAAAGAAATAGAAATATGTACCTTAAATTTCACTAAGAAGCAAAGGGTTATGGGTAACATTTTGCAGCTCAATAGCAGTACACTCTGTTTAGTCAATCCTCTATTTATCCAGTTTTCAAGGTTAATAAGCAATTATTACTGGCTTCATTCTAACAGCAATGCGATTCAATTTAAGTGAAACTCAATTCCTTCAGAACTATTCTGTTTGTATTTAGAAATTTTGGTTTCTTTAATTTACTAGCTAGATCACTGAATTTTGCTTTTATAATTTTATGAATAACTCAAAATTGACAATTGTAAAATATTGTGCAATATCTGATAACACTTAATGACTACATATCCTATTCCAGGTACCATATTAGTTATAATAAGGTTTACGTTATTCAGAAAATAAATTCCAATTGAGTGAAACAGTTGTATATACTGGATCTCTTACCTTAAATCTGATGAAACATTTGGGTGAGGTGAATACATAATTCTCTTAAAAATAAGAAAATACGTGTTTTTCTTTTTTATTTTTTTAATCTCTGAAATAAAGTTCTAATGTTAATGCGTTGTATTCCAACATAGGTTTTAGGTTATAAATCCTCATATTATATAATACAACACATTTTGTGTGTTTCTATAGAATTTTCAAATCCACTATACCCAATGCTTTCTATATATTTGCCGAATTAATCATGAAGTCCTGAATTTATCCTTTTTTCCTAATGTCAAAGAAGTTGCTTATTTTCCAAATAGTTAAAAAAAAAAAAGCTAGTGCATTCTTCAACTTACAACTTGCCCAAACACTTATTTTATGCTAGCCCCAACACACCAAAGTTTAGGCAATAAAGTATTTTAAAAGACAATATCGTAATATTAGGGGAGCTATTTTTTGTCTATAATACAATAAAAACTGTTAATACATTTAACGTCACTCAAGCAACATTAAGTATGCCACAATATTACTTATATATTATTGGCAATTATATTATTGATTCAAATATATCATGAACTTTGAAAGATTGAGGAAATTGATTTTTTTTCCACAGCATTTGTAGGCATGTATTAAGTGAAACATATACACGCTTAAAATGATCTTCATAAAAAATTTCACAAAACCAATGGGGAAAAAAAGGACAATTTTTTGACCTGTGTAAGATATAAAGATCACTTTAATCAGCGAAAGTACCAGTTTGATCCTTAACTATGGAATTCAGATAAATAAAAATAACTCCATTGTCTCTTCTATATTTGAAGATTGTATTGGCGACAATCAGAATGTGTAAAGTTTTATGATAATTGTTCTAATTTCTAGATAGATAGATTACATAATTTTAAAGCATTTCAATAGTTCATAATGTGTGACTTTTGTGCTATTTAACATTTACAAACAATATATTTTATGTAAAGGAAATCATAAGGAAGTGACAAAATATGGAAACTTTTTGTAGCTTGTGGCTTGAGCATAATAAGAATTAGACTGTATTATAAGTGCTTGCTTAGCTTTCAGAAAACTTGCTGTTATATTTTGCTATGTGGCTGAGCCATTTTACATGTTCAGGTTCTCCATGTCCTCTCCAGCATTTGGTGACATTGTTACATTCTACTTCAGCTATTCTGATATTTGTGTAATAGTACCTGATCATGCTTTTTCATATGTCATGAGCATCGTTTTATGTACTTATTTAAGATCTATGTATCCTATTCATTCAAATGTTGACTCATGTCTTTTGCTCAATTTTTAATTGGACTGTTTATATTTTTCTGCTTAATTTTGAGAGTTATTCATAACGTCTAAATACAGGTGCTACGTAAGATATATAGTTTACAAATATTTTCTTCCAGTCAGTGTACAAACATGTCTTTCCATCCTCTTTATAGGGTATTTTCAGAACAAAACTTCCGGTTTTTGTTTATGTCTTAATTTTGAGGAGTAGCAGTTTATAAAATTTTAAATTATTATTATTATATTTTAAGCTTGTGAGCACAAATTGTGAGTTTTATTTAACTGCAAATGATGCAACCTATGTAACACATTCTTTTCTCATCCATGTTCTTCAACTGCTAACATTACCTTTACAGAGCCAAACATTATAAAATGTGCCTGATTGTTAATTTATTAACTCTATATGTCAAGTGATAATATTCCGTAGGCAGCCTTTGAAATGATGTTTTGAGAATGTATTTACAGCCATTGAACACAGATGGTTTTGTAAATCTGGCAAGTAATTACAGGCTCCTTAAACTCACAACACACATATATTTTAATATTTAAATAGCTCATTTTCTTCAAAAGTAATTTTCTACTGCTTTTTTCATAAAAATATAGAAAAGACAACATTTACAGTTTTAAAAACCTATATTTAACCCAAATCAAAATTTTTCTATAAATGATACCTCTTTCCAAAAGTTAAAAAGACATCACAGAATAATGTGATGTTAAACCAAAGACTCCCGCCATAATAACAGCATTTTACTTTTAGGTAATATCGTGCGGTATTTCCTTTTTAACCTTTCATTCTAGATTTCAACTATGTATATCCTATGTAAACACACCAGATTAATCCTAGTAATTCATATTTATGCAGAAGACTCTCATATATATGACCAGTTAGCATATAAACTATAATACCATAATTGCAAAAATAGCAAAAGGCAATCTTTACGAAAGCTTAAAGAAAAGCTTTTAATAAAAGTCTACCAACATTGCCCTAATTTTCAGTAAAAGTTACCTCTTCCTCCTACCTTTCCCTCTGCTTTGAATGGCACCTTTTATTGCATGTTAATACACAAAGATATTTCTAGCACTTGTACTTAAGTTGGCCACTTACATGGCTGCTTTCTTTTCTGATACACTGAGTTTATCAGAAGGCACCAAGATTAGACTCCTAAGGAGTTTCAGATTTTTTGTCCCTTTTTAGGTTCCTCTAGAATAATTTTCCTCAGAAAAGGATAACTTGAAAAACTTAAGGAACCAGAAGAAAAGGAATGGTGTAACACCAACTTGAAACTTGTAGCATTCAATAACTGTAAATATAGTAATAGGCTCCTTGAACATATCACTTAGGACAAAAAGTCAGAATAACTTTCTGAACATAAATGTAAAAATAGAGCACATTTATTAACCGTAGTGAAACTCTTAAGCTTACAGTAACAGCATATTAAATCTTACATCATAACACACAGCCAAAAGCATTAGAAATTCACTGCCAGATATTCTGATGCACCATCCTGAAAATATGTCTGAAACATACCACTACATATATAACAAGTAACAAAATATGGCGTTTATTTCACAGAAAGAAAAGATAGTTTCATCACACAAACAGATTTGCATATTTCAGCTTTAAGTTCTAGAGATATATTTTAAAGATTAAAAAGAAAAACAAGATTCACCCTTCAAATAAAATAGTCTCTCTCTATATATATAATTCATTATTAATAGTTTTTATGCTCTTACAATGTAAAACATTTAGAAACTTTTGAATTCTAGAAATTTTCAACAGTTAACCTAGTCGGCCTTAACATATTCTAAATTCCCTTTCGAGAATCACATTAATGTTTTCAGTCCATTGGTCCAATATGGATGGAGAAACTCTTTCTTTTTCTTCCTCTTTGGTGGTTCATCCTTGGAGCTGCTATCTGTGCTGGTGCTGCTGCTACTGGAAGAGCTGGAATCTGAGTCTGAATCAGAGGAGGAGGAAGAGGTTGTGGAGGAGGCTGAGGATGAGGAATTAGAAGAGCTTTCATCAATGTCACTGTCCTCTGAGGAGGATGAGGTAGATGTTTCTTCTCTCTCTGATGAAGAATCACTGGCTGAACTGTCACTGCTACTGCTACTGGAACTAATTACGCTTTTAGACCATTTTTTCTTGGTCTTTCTACATTGGTTGCTCCAATGCCAATAAACACGAGTGGGGAAGAAAGCTTCGTTGTAATAATAATCTGTTTTCTTTTTCTTTTAAAGTTTTCTTTAGTTCTACTGTCCTTGAGGGCCTATGTAGGTATTTACTTTTTAATGTGCATTCACAAGTCCAATAGCCAAATTCCAAGCATTTCTGACATCTTACATGTTGCTTATTTGCTTCATTACCCTCGTCTCCGGGCTATGAGCAGATGCATGGGAGTCGCCATCTTAGCAAAACAAATTTTTTAAATAATGCTTTTGCTGTCAACTCAGAAATTTTAACCTTCAGTTGAATCTTAAGGAGGAGAATTTCTGGTAAAATGTCAAGATTTCACTTGAAACTTTAGAAGAGAATCACTCTAGAAATAAAAGCGTCTAGAAACAGAAAAGCCACATAAAATCTGGACCATCTCAATCTAGGACTACATTAAAATGATGGACCATATTCTAAGTGTGTGTGAGGAAATAAAATCACAAAAGTATCTAAGTTCTTTATACATAATGTCCATCATCCATATAGCAGGACCGGATGACTTAAGCAAAATAAAATAGAAGGAAAATAAAAACAGTACCACAGATGATACCAATATCAAAGTGAGAAGACGTAAATGTCAAAATAACTATCATTGATTAATAAAATCAATAAAAATAATAATAAAGGAGTATTTTTCCTAAAGAACTAGAGTCGATAAAAAAGAAGAAATGGCCTTAGGCTTCTAGAAAGGTGCTGAACATCATTAACCTTTAATTATCATTAATGCAAATTACTGAAACGGGAAAGTTCCCTTATTCCCCTTGCAGGGCGTACAACACGTGGATTGCTTGTTTGGTGCCCTACTGCTCAAACCCCTATGGGGAGCATGCAGACAGACAGGTGCAGAGGCCATGAAGACTGTTTTTGGGCTCTGGCCCCACGGCAACATCTAGGACTACGGATGCCCACTTTTAGCTATGCTGTCTGCAGATGGCTTGTGTTAATCAGCTCGATAGACCGTCTGCCTTATTGCAAGGATAAGGGGCCAGTGTGACAGCCTGAGTTTTTGCCCAGAGTACCAGAAGAATCAGATCACATGTGGGCCCAAAGGTTGAGTGCGAAGTTTTATTGAGTGCTGGAGGTGGCTCTCAGTGAAATGGATGGGGAGCCAGAAAGGGGTATGGAGTGGGAAAGTGGTCTTCCCCTGGGGTCAGGCTGCCCAGTGGTTGGACTCTTCTCCAACTTCCACCAGCCGAACTCCCCTTGGCGTCCACATCATTTCACCATCACTGATCTGCTGGTGTCTGCCGACATGTTCCTCTTGACATCCAGCCACTTGTGTCTGTACCTGCTTAAGGTCTCAGGTTTATATGGGCACAGGGTCAGGGGTGTGGTGGCCAGATTGATCTTGGAAAATGTAACATTTTGGAGTGAAAACAGGAGTGCCTGTTCTCATTTAGGTCCGTGGGCACAGGCCCAAGGGTGAAGCCCCTGCCAGGGACCCTGGCATGAGATTAATAGTTCTTTTGAGTCTTCCTGTTGATTTATTCAAGAATTCTGATGCTGAGGTAGAAGGGAGTGTCAACCAGATTCACAGCAATTGCAGATAGGATATCTAAAGTGTAATTTAAATGGTCAAAGACCATTACTAATCTATAAAAGACAGTAGAGACGGTTGTACATGAAAAATGCCAATTCAAATTTTGCCAGATTTTGTTTCTACTTCCTAATGCATAACTTCAGGGACCTCTATAAAGCTGTTGTTCCAAGTATATTTAGAAGTTCTCATAAACTTCTCTCAAAGGATTAGACATAATTTTGTTCTACCAGGATGAAAACACTAGTTATACAGAGTTCAAATGGACAGTCTGCAGTGGCAGAGGGGATTGAGGCATTCTCAAAAAAAAATGCTCAGGCTGCTGCATGTAGTAATAATAATAATATCAATAAACAGTAATATAGCTACAATAATATAATAGCAATAGCAAGAAGAAGGAGGAGAAGGAAAGAGGGGAGAAGGAAACAGAAATGCATCTTCTGTATGAGGCACTGTGCTAAGCCTTTACATTCATTATCTCCTGTTATTCTATATGATAAACTTATGGGAGGAGAAATATTCACCTCTGTTGTTAATGGATCATAACTGGAGACTTAGGAAAATTTAATGATTTGCTTGGGGTCCTACATGTAGTCAATTTCACACTGGACATTTGAACTGATGCTTATTTGCTATCATAAGCCACTTATTTAGAATATTTTTCCTTATTTCGTATCATACACAATGAAGAGTTTCCAAAAGTGTAGCTGTTTATTCATGCAGTTTTAATGCCAATATTCATAGAGTTTTAGGGATAATAACTTTTTTATGGCATGAAAACTACTACTGCTCCAACAATTAGTTTTCATCTGAAGCTACTTTTTAAAACATTTTTGTAAGTTCTACAAACTGTTGAGGACTTGTGACTTATAGCAGAGAAAGTCGATGTTTCTCTAATATTCTCTCTTTCATTATCATGCTATTAGAATCCTTGATTTAAGTTAGTTTTCTGGGAAGCAGATAAGAAGGTGGAATTATTCATGCAAAAAATACTGAGGGGAAGAGCCTGTGAAGAATAAAATGGAGAGAGATCTTGAGAAGACTGAGAGAGGCTTCAACTGGGATTCAGTATGACATTTAGGAAATGAGAAAGGGAGGGAAGGAAGGGCTTCAGAGTGCAGCTCAGCAGTAAGAAAAACTTACCAGCATGATCGAAGATGTCTGTTAGAGGCCAGGCGCTGTGGCTGTGGCTCATGCCTGTAATCCCAGCACTTGGGGAGGTCAAGGCAGGTGGATTGCTTGAGACCAGGAGTTCAAGACCAGCTTGGCCAACATGGTGAAACCCTGTCTTTACTAAGAATAAAAAAAAAAAAAAAAAAAGCAAAAAGCCAGGTGTGGTGGCACACGCCTGTAATCCTAACTACTCAGGAGGCTGAGGCAGGAGGATCACTTGAACCCAGGAGGTGGAGGTTGGAGTGAGCAGAAATCTCACCACTGTACTCCAGCCTGGGTGACAGGGTGAGATTCCATCTTGAAAACAAACGAACAACAACAACAACAACAAAATATGTCTGATAGAGAAATTGTCAGTAATGGTGGGCAGGAATGGCTGTCAAAAGTTGGTACAACTACCCAGTTGTCTGTGAATCTAGGTATGCTTATATATTACTAAGATTAAGCTAATGAGATAGGTTGTAAAATGATGTGCTCAGTACTTATGCTTACCCTTTAACTTCCTCCTCCATCTTTACCTTGCACTGCATTTACAGTAGCAAGCCATCTTGAGTGATGCTTGGGAGAGTGAATAAAGAGGATAGAAAGAGTCAGAGTCCCTGGATAACTTCCAGAAGTATCATCACACCAGCCCAGTTAGACGCAAAAAAGAAATGTCTAAACTCATTTTTAAATGCTATTATAGGACTCTTTACACACACAGCTGTGTTTCAACCTTAACTGATAAACCTAATCATATTTAGAGATGAACTATAATTTTGCTGAGGCAGCAATGCTTAGAGTATACCAGAAAAAGAGATTTTTAAAAGTAAGTTAGCCTGTACAAAAATACGGTGACAGTACAAACATGTTTTAACATTGGCCTTGATGTTGCTGTTTTAATGGAAAGAAAAAGAAAGTTAAATACTTTGTCAAATTGAAACCAATAGGATTTGCTGACATGATGAAAGAGAAGAAAAATTAATGAAGGATCCAAGATCTTGAAATTGTTGATTGGGTGAATGATGATACTATTAAACCAAACAGGAAGCATGGAGATGGATCAGGACTATTGGGAAGAAAATGATGAGTTTCGTTTTTGTTGAATTAGATTGAATTGCTGATGAAACATTTAAACTTGGTTGTCCCGTGTAAGGGGAAGATTGAATCTGCTCAGCAAGTGAAACAGATTCTTTATGAGCATAATATCTTTTCCTCTAAAACTTTCCTAAACCATTAGAGAAAGTTGTGCGTATAAAATAAAGTCATAATGTAGTATTCAGGCTTCCCATTTGTAATGGATGACAGTTTTTTGTTTGTTTTGTTTTTGTTTTACATTTACCACATATAGAAAATATCTTTGGGTTGTACAATGAAATTTTGTGTATTCTGTACATTTTCTGGTTTAACCATTATAAATCAAGTGTTAGAGTAAAGGCATGACATTCTTTCTTTCATATTATATCTGTATCCAGAGATGTCTAATTCCTTTACACCTTCTCATCTGCCTACATGTTAGAAATCTAGGGAAAATTTTAGGTAAGGCAAAAATTCTATCTTTTCTCTTATTTATTATTACTTTTAAAATAATCTATTATAAAACTTTTTAAAAATTAAAAATAATTAATCTTCATCAAATATTATGAATACTTTTGGTTTAAAAGTCAATTTGTATTTTATGTTACAAAAATAGCATTTACTTTTTTAAATCTTGATTTTATATGACAGAGCTGTGAGATGTGTGATGGTAAATCAGAATTGTATGATGGTAAATCTCAACATGATTTCAGTTTATATTTATAGATTTAAATTTTTCCACTAGTTAAAAGATGATATTGAGCACCTGTATTCATTATTTAACCTCCCTCATTTTAGTTATTGTTTTTTTTAATCTTTGTAGTTCTTACTGTTGTGATTTTTTGCCCCAGGTGGAATTAAATAGGAGTAGATCCAGCCATATCTTTTGGTGATTGATCTAGGGATTTCCTGACAGCTCAGAATATATTTAGTAATTACACCACTCAGACCTGAATATTGCATTATCTCCAACTGCCTGGAATGAAAATAATTTATCCAACTTGCTGCAAGAAATTCATTTTCACCATAAAGTGATCACTTTTCTTCCTAAATTGCATTATCTACTAGTAAAAGTCCAGGAGCCCTTCATCTACAGTCTTTTTCTATTCTGTTCATTTTTATTATCTTTGGCCATTTAATAGCTGAAGGAGAAGGTAGACAATGTTTTGGGCCTGCATTGTTTATCTTACTATCTGTCAGTGCAATAGAGATTTAGATTGTGTAACTTGATACAACAGTGCAAGACAAGTTAAGCAATAGGATTTCAGAATGTCTCCACCGAAGTTATACCTGTCCTACACAATTAAGTTCTCCAAGATACATTTAATTATGAAGGAAAGGCTATGAAAAAAAAATACTGCAATCCAAAGAAATTAGTTTCCAATCTTATTCTGCTGAATCTTCAATAACCAAATCGACTTTATATATTTCCTTAGATCTTGGTAAAAGAGGAAAACAAACATTACAAATTGACATTGTTTTTCCATTTTATTACTTACATGAGATTAACTTGTGAGGATTTTATTTACACCTCATTGAACAAGTAAAAATAAAATAAATTAGGGATAATAAAATATACACATTAGAGGCACATATTATTCTTTGTTCTATAGAAGACATTAAATGTTTAAAAACAAATTCAGCTTAAAAAGTTTAAAGAACTTTTGAGAAACTTTATTTTAGTGCTTATCTAGGAATCCAGATATTGTACATTTTTTATGTAGGTGAATAAGATTAAGACATAACAAATTTAATATGTTGATACATTTTAATTTACTCAATTGCCTTAGATTATAAAAATTAATTAAAGAGATTTCCATAATGTTCTTATATCGTAATGAATTAATTGCTCTTTAAATATTTCCTCTTTAAATTTTCAATAGAATACTTAGTAGCTTTTAATTTTTACATATATTATATATTCTCAAGCTGCCATTTCTATTACAAAATGTGTTTGTGCCTGGGAGTATAATATATGATCCAAATAAGAGCTTTCCTTAAGTTTAAAAATAATATGATTAACTCTATGAAAATATATTGACTAGTATCCATTGAAACAGGATATAAATATAAAATGTGATATATATTTCATGAATAATAATGTAAGCATAAAAACATTGTATAATAATATACAATGTTTAACAAATCTTTTTGACTTCATGAATTTCAAATTTTTTTATTATACTTTAAGTTTTAGGGTACATGTGCACAATGTGCAGGTTAGTTACATAGGTATACATGTGCCATGTTGTGTGCTGAACCCAGTAACTCGTCATTTAACATTAGGTATATCTCCAAATGCTATCCCTCTCCCCTCCCCCCACCTCACAACAGGCCCCGGTGTTTGATGTTCCCCTTCCTGTGTCCATGTGTTCTCATTGTTCAATTCCCACCTATGAGTAAGAACATGCGGTGTTTGTTTTTTTTTCCTTGGGATAGTTTGCTGAGAATGATGGTTTCCCCCTTCAATCATGATTTATCTACAGCACATTTTTATGTCTATAAGGCCAAGACACACAGATATCCCCCAGAGGCTGCAAAAGGCAAGGAAGCGGATTGTCTACTACAGCCTTCAGAAAGAAATACCAACTTGCTGATACTTTAGTTTTTGCCCATGAGATCCATGTTAGACTTCTGACTCCCAGAATTGTAGGTTGATAAATTTACGTTGTTGTAAGCACTTTTTACAGTAAATTAAATTAGCTATAAATGATAAAAAAAGGAGACAGTCACTGAAGGATAAAATAGGAGGAAATTTCAGGCAGAGGAATTAAGATATAAAGGGCCTTAGTATATAAAACAACTTGAACTGGACGAAATGTTTTGCAAATCTGCAACTATTTTAAAATACAAAATTGATTTTTAAAATTTCCAATGACAAAACAAGTTTTTATGAATCTTTTAGGGTTTTTACTATGAAGGCTCTCTGAGACTTTATTCTTTTTTATAGGCCTCATTTATGTATTTACTCATTTGTTCAAGAATATAGGTATTTTACAAATAAAGACATAGATATCACAAATTTGATTTATAAAAGTTTCTTATGTTTCTTCTGCTGGAAAATATTTTGAAAACAGGTATTTCTATCCTTTCTTTTTTGGTACATGCATTTGTGACTTTTCTCTTTTTTTTTACTTTGTGATGAGAATTTTTTTAATATTATTATACTTTAAGTTCTGGGATACAAATGCAGAATGTGCAGGTTTGTTACATAGTTATACATGTGCCATAGTGGTTTGCTGCACCCATCGACCCATCATCTACATTAGGTATTTCTCCTAATGCAATCCCTCCCCTAGCCCTCCACCCTCCGACAAGCCCTGGTGTGTGATGTTCCCCTCCTTGTGTCCTTGTGTTCTCATTGTTCAACCCCCACTTATGAGTGAGAACATGTGGTGTATGGTTTTCTGTTCCCGTGTTAGCTTTCCAAGAATGATGGTTTCCAGCTTTATGTCCCTGCAAAAAAACATGAACTCATCCTTTTTTGTGGCTGCATAGTATTCCATGGTGTACATGTGCCACATTTTCTTTATCCAGTCTCATTGATGGGCATTTGGATTAGTTCCAAGTCTTTGCTGTTGTGAATAGTGCTGCAGTAAACATATGTATGCATGTGTCTTTATAATAGAATGATTTATAATTCTTTGGGTATATACCCAGTAATGGGATTGCTGGGTCAAATGGAATTTCTGGTTCTAGATCCTTGAGGAATTGCCACACTGTCTTCCATAATGGTTGAACTAATTTACACTCCCACCAACAGTGTAAAAGCATTCCTATTTCTCCACATATTCTCCAGCATCTGTTGTTTCCTGACTTTTTAATGATTCCCATTCTAACTGGTGTGAGATGGTATCTCATTGTGGTTTTGATTTGCAGTTTCTCTAATGACCAGTGATGATGAACTTTTTTTAAAATGTTAGTTGGTCACATAAATGTCTTCTTTTGAGAAGAGTCTGTTCATATCCTTTACCCACTTTTTGATTTTTTTTTTTGTAAATTTGTTTAAGTTTCTTGTATATTCTGGATATTAGCCCTTTGTCAGATGGATAGATTGCAAACATTTTCTCCCATCCTTAAGGTTGCCTATTCAGTCTGATGATAGTTTCTTTTGCTGTGCAGAAGCTCTTTAATTTAATTAGGTCCCATTGGTCAATTCTGGCTTTCATTGCCATTGCTTTTGGTGTTTTAGTCATGAAGTCTTTGCCCATGCCTATGTCCTGAATGGTATTGCCTAGTTTTCTTCTAGGGTTTTTATGGTTTTAGGTTTTACGTTTAAGTCTTTAATCCTTCTTGAGTTACTTTTTGTATAAGGTGCAAGGAAGGGTTCCAGTTACAGTTTTCTGCATATGGCTACCCAGTTTTCCAAACAGCATTAATTAAATAGGGAATCATTCTCCCTGTGCTTGTTTTTGTCAGGTTTGTTAAAGATCAGATGGTTGTAGATGTGTGACATTATTTCTGAGTCCTCTGTTCTGTTTCCTTGGTCTATATTTTTGTTTTGGTATCAGTACCATGCTGTTTTGGTTACTGTAGCCTTGTAGTACAGTTTGAAGTCAGATAGGGTGATACCTCCATCTTTGTTTGTTTGTTTGTTTGTTTGTTTTTCTAGGATTGTCTTTGCTATGTGGGCTCTTTTTTGGTTCCATATGAAATTTAAAGTAGTTTTTTTTTTCTAATTCTGTGAAGAAATTCAGTGGTGCTTGACAGGGATACCATTGAATCTATAAATTACTTTGGGCAGTATGGACAGTTTCACAATATTAATTCTTCCTATCCACAAGCATGGAATGTTTTTCCATTTGTTTGTGTCCTCTCTTATTTCCTTGAGCAGTGGTTTGTAGTTCTCCTTGAAGAGGTCTTTCACATCCCTTGTAAGTTGTATTCCTAGGTATTTTATTCTCTTTGTAGCAATTGTGAATGGGAGTTCACTCATGATTTAGCTCTCTGTCTATTAATGGTGTATAGGAATGCTTGTGATTTCTGTGCATTCATTTCGTATCCTGAGACTTTGCTGAAGTTGCTTATCAGGTTAAGGAGATTTTGGGCTAAGAAGATGGGGTTTTCTAAATATGCAATCATGTCATCTGCAAACAGAGACAATTTGACTTTCTCTATTCCTATTTGAATACCATTTATTTATTTTTCTTGCCTGATTGACCTGGCCAGAACTTCCAATATTATGTTGAATAGGAGTGGTGAGAGAGTGCATCCTTGTCTTGTACTGGTTTTCAAAGGGAATGCTTTCAGCTTTTGCCCATTCAGTATGATATTGGCTGCAGAACAAAGCGAGAAAGATCTAAAATTGACACCCTAACATCACAATTAAACAAACTATAGAAGCAAGAGCACACAAATTTGAAAGTTAGCAGAAGACAAGAAATAACAGATCAGAGCAGAACTGAAGGAAATAGAAACACAAAAAATGCTTCAAAACATCAATGAATCCAGGAGCTGTTTTTTTGAGAAGATTAACAAAATAGAGAGGCCACTAGCCCAACTAATAAAGACGAAAAGTGAGAAGAATCAAATAGACACAATAAAAAATGATAAAGCGGATATCACCACTGATCCCACAGAAATACAAACTACCATCAGAGAATACCATAAACACTTCAATGCAAATAAACTAGAAAATCTAGAATAAATGGATAAATTCCTGGACACATATACCGTCCCGAGACCAAACCAGAAAGAAGTCAAATCCTGGAATAGACCAATAACAAGTACTGAAATTGGGGCAGTAATTAATAGCCTACCAACCAAAAAAAGCCCAGGACCAGACAGAATCACAGCCGAATTCTACCAGAAGTTCAAAGAGGAGCTGGTACCGTTCCTTCTGAAACTATTCCAAACAATAGAAAAAGAGTGACTCCTCCCTAACTAATTTTATAAGGCCAGTGTTATCCTGATACCAAAACCTGGAAGAGACAGGACAAAAAAACGAAATTTCAGGCCAATATCCCTGATGAACATCAATGTGAAAGTCCTCAATAAAATACTGGCAAATTGAACCCAGCAGCACATCAAAAAGCTTATCCACCATGACCAAGTTGGCTTCATCACTGGGATGCAAGGTTGGTTCATCACACACAAATCAATAAACATAATCTATCACATAAGCAGAACCAATGAGAAAAATCACATGATTATCTCAATAGATGCAGAAAAGGCCTTCGATAACATTTAACACCTCTTCATGCTAAAAACTTTCAATAAACTAGGTATTGAGGGAATGTATCTCAAAATAATAAGAGCTATTTATGACAAACCCACAGTGACTTCTCTCTTTAATTCATAGAGTGGCAATTCCAAACATCTCTTTTAAAGTTTGGAATAAAGATGTCTGCCATGATGTGTCAGTGTAACCTGAATGTTACATCCCTGGGATAAATGACTTTACTTCTTCTATTAGTGCCAAGATAATTGACAACAATATTAATTGTCACAGTTATGCAAAAATAAGTTTACACTTCATTTTTGGGACATTGAGAGATGGAAAAGACTAAGGACTTGGAATATCAGGAGGTGGAAAGATAGATTACCATTTATAAAGGCTCTCCATTTCAAGATCAAGGAATCATTGTCACATGACAAATGACTTAGAGTTTGGTTTTATAAGGCAAGGATTTTCAGGAACATCTCAAAACAGATATCTTGAGGTAACTCAGAAGCTTTTTAACACTGAGAAGCTGTGAAAAGGAATTGAAGCCAATGGAGGACATTGAAGTGTTATGTAATATTAGGGTGAAAAGTGGAGAGTATGCCATCAGAAGAAACAACATAGAAAGCTGAGACTGGAATATGGGGTGGAGGCAGAGCACATAAGACTGATCTTTTACATTTTATACAGTGCAATACTAATGCCTAATTTCATAATTATGTGAGTGTATGACTTACATTTAAAAATTATTTTTAAAACTTTACTTTTTAAGTGTATTTACATTTCTAGCTATTTTTATCCCCTGAAACTGAAACTTCATTGAAAGGATATCATCGATATTGCCAAAAGAAAATATAAGAAAATATAATATTTTTCATGTTTGATATATGTGAAGTTGATTTAAAATAACTGGTGTGGCTGTTTGTACACATATACTAACATATACTAATTGAACGGCATTTTCTTTAAAATAATTTCCTGACAGCACCATTTTTCTGTGTGAAGGCTGTTTCCTTTCTCTCTACTTTTCCTTGGTGTCACACTTTGGTCTTGCTTCCCATTTCTTGTTCTTACATTGCATTAATTTTTTTCTGCTTATTCTTATATTCTCCCTGAGATGTCAATAATGATATGGTCCTACCAAATCAACTTGACATAGACAAAACAAATATAACCAGCTGTCGTCATCATGTCTCCCTGCTGTGCACTTTTTAAGCTGAACTGCCTAGAAAAATTACTTGTAAACTTCCCCAACTGCTTTACAATAAAACAAGAATTATCCTTATATAATAGAGAGAGAGCAAAGTTTCACACAGCACAAAATGTTGTTAGAGTCCATATCAAAACAGTGAATAATTAAGGTGCATATCTAATGTAAATTGCAAAATATATTTATACTATCAGCATCTTCATGTATCAGTCTATTTTTACACTGCTTATAAAGACATACCTGACACTGGGTTATTTATGAAGAAAAAAAGTTTAATGGACTCACAGTTCCATGTGGCTGCGGATGCCTCACCTTCATGGAGGAAAGTGAAACGCACATTTTACACGGTGGCAGACAAGAGAATGAGAACCAAGCAAAAGGGGTTTCCCCTTAAAAAACCATTCTATCTTGTGAGACTTATTTACTACCAGGAGAACAGTATGGGGGAAACTGCCCCCAAGACTCAGTTACCTCCCACTGGGTCCCTCTCACAATATGTGGGAATTATGGGAGCTACAATTCAAGATGAAATTTGGATGAGGATACAGCCAAACCCTATAACTCCATAACTTCAGGAATTATAGAATCAATCCAATTGAAATTAAACATGCCTAGTTTTCTATTTGTTTTTCTGAAGACTGTTAAAACCCAGATACACTGAAGGGTTCTTGGAGGCAGTTAACGGCAAGTGAAGAAAAGCTCTCCTCACTGTAATTCGGTGTCACTAGTTTGTCTACTCTGGCAGTCGGACTAGGGAGCATAGTGTTTTACAGCAGGTGGGACTTTTAATGCTCAGTCAGCTAGTGACAGTGGGTAGACCAGCAAAAGCAGCCCCTTGGAGGTATATTTAATGTGACACAAGATTTGGTTGAGAGACCTGTAACCGTTAGAGATGAAGGTTATAAAAGTCAATTCATAGAGTGAAATCAAAATGAGTCGGAATAATGGGCTGAAGCAGTCACATTGAAATGTATTTTCACTTTTCCAATTTTCTTTATGTTTCTAAACTTATAATCTTACTCTCTCTATTACACATGTACTTTTATCTATCACTTTTCTTCCAAGGAATTTAGAATGCCAGATCATCAATCATCCAAACAGACTTAGAAGACACAAAAAGTTATTGTTATTCCCCTTTTTCAGATAAAAAAAGAAAATTGAAGGGGCAGCTAAATAATTTTTCCCCTAGGTCACTCCAAGAAGTCACTGGCAAAATCAAGAGGGATTTCAAGGTCTTTTGTGGCCCATATCCACAAGTATAAGATGAAAGTGTGAGATAATAACACGAACAGAATCCAAATAAGCTGTCAATGAAGTTCAAATTTCTCTTGCTCTTCTGCTGGGAATAAACAAAAAACAGATTTTGTTTATCAACGTGTGTTCATTTTGTGTTTATATGAATAATGTTCTTGAAATAGAAGGTGCTATAAATAAGTATATATGTTCATATATATACCTATATGTTTTGACATAATTATACTTTTGTTTTTTCTCAAATATGCTATTTTCCCCCACATATTTCCATTCTAAATCCTTTTTTGAATATTCACTATACTATGTTCAGAATTCAGTTGTAAAATTCTGTTATATCTAATATTCTATTTTACTGATTATAAAATTACAGGACAATTTTACAATATTGGGAAATATACAAAGGCTCAGTATGTGAGTCTACAGATACTGCTGCCTTTGAAATGAAGTGACCCTTTTTCCTATTTATCTATGTATTTTCTTACAAAATGAAATTATTGGACTTCAGGATTCAGAGGAAAGGTTTAAAGCTCTCATGAGTGTTACTGTCAGGTTTATTAAGAAAGGTGCTTCTTATTGCAAATTATAAATTACCTTTTCTCTTGAAGACATGAGAAAACTGACATTATAAGGCTGACAACTAATCCTAAACCTGAAGAGAGACAGGCATTCTCTGGGAGAAAAAAGATTCCATCATTTGCTTTCTTCAGGCAAATGCTGTGGAACCCCATATAAGCAGTAAAATGATTAAGCTAGAAGTGTTTAACAAATTGCCAAAGGCTAAGTGTGGAATAGTGAACCAATGTGAAGACTCTAGTTTCTGCAGACATATGGGAGTTGTATGTCTGCAGAAGCCAGGATCTTCACACTGGTACACTATTCAACACTTGTTACATTATTACACTGTGAAGTTTTTTGCAGGTTTTCCCAGTATGATTACCACCGGGTGCTCCCAGATTAGATAAGGAGACATTCATTAGCCAGAAAGAAAACAGTTTTGTTTCAACTTGTATATCTTCAAAGAGATAATATGCTTCAGAAATGAAATGAATGAAGATGAAATATAATATTTTAATTTTACTTTTAATTTCTCTAAAATAAACTTTTCACAAAAAGTTGTAGAAATATAGTATGTTCATAACATGAAAACTTGAAAGTTTTGACTGTAATGACACATAGAAGGGGATGGATTTATTGGGAATATTATGGTGCAAGTCTACTATTCTATAAATAAAACCATATAGTATTATTTAAGGGTGGATTCAGATTATTTCAAAATATAAGTTGAAAACCCAAGACGATCATTTAAAGAAATTTTTTTAAAAGATGGATATATTGTCCTAGTTAAAGAGGGTAATGACATGACGGTCAGGTTTCAAGAAGCCATAATAATCTTAATTATGTATATAATATACACTAATACATCAAACTATATGAGGTAAAAATAAACAGATTTGAACAGAGAAATATCCACAATTATCACTGGAAACTTTAACACTACTGTCCCAGAAATTGATAGGCCCATTAGGCAGAATGTCAATACAGATATAGATAACCTGAAAAACACTATCAGCCAACTTGACATGATTGACATTTGCAGAACATTTTACCCAACAACAAATGAATATACATTCTTCTCCTGTGCACATGCAGCATTTATAAAGAAAGATCATCTTCTGGCTGCAACACAAACCTTAGCAAGCTTAAAATAATGCAAATCATATAGTGCATATTTTTAAAAGATAATATAATTAAACCTTGTTGACCAAAGTGACAGACGAAAGCAGGAGTCTTAATCAAAGGGGTTATTATGCCAAGCTTGAGGATGTGCACCCAGGAATATCATGAGCTTTCCAGATATGTGTCCTCAAGCTCAGCATAATAAATTTCACTTGATTTAGATACCTACTATGGTTTCTCATTTGGATTGACATTATTGTCATCCCAGATGAGACCCCTGAGTGGGGTCTAGCTTTCCTGAAACACAGTAAATCTCTGCTCAGTGCTCAGTACCAACTGAGAGACTTTCTTCATTTGATTACGCTGTATAACCTACCACGGATCAAGGGCTTCTGCTTGCTAAGGTCTCCATCTCCCAATCTTTGGTTTAGATCTCAAAATTTGATTGCCATGAATACCCCATGGAAATTTGTTGGCTTCCAATAAAGAGAGACAGTCTCCCACTTCTATGAGGACAGACAGCAATCTTCAGCTCATTAACTTCATCTCTAAGTCAGGAGTTGGGTTGGAGTATTATCTTAAGTTTGTTTGCTGAATTTTTGCCAGTCCTGTTGGAGTATTATCTTAAGTTTGTTTGCTGAATTTTTGCCAGTCCTAACTTCTTTTTCTTCTGCAATTGCTTTTTCTTGTTTGGTTGCTTGGTTTTGGTTTTCCTTCTTCTGGATTTGACCAACTTTTAATGACCTATAGTGTATGAATGTGGAATTTCCACTCCAAAGACAAAAGAGAACTTACTTCCAGGGCATTCTCAGGCAGTGGATAATCTCATGAGGGAGTCTGAGAGGAAGCTCCTGCAATGTGTAGTAGTCCTAGCCAGATTCCATTCTTGGAAGAACAGATGAGTCTGTTTTCCATTATTTTATCTACTTTGCTAAAACACTAGGACAATATTGCAGAATGTCAGCAGATAACTATTAAAAAAACAAAAATCACACATTATTAAATTCAAATTTTCAAAATGGTTTCTGTGATAAATTAGGCATTCTTGTCAAACGTCATATGACTAAGTGAGCTATGACCAAAACTAGTGACCTGGACTACTTAGCTGACCAGTTGTCCTGTATAATGGTATGAAAGGAAAAGCAAAAGACTGCTGAAGTTATGAAGCAAAAGACAGCTGTTACAATTGCAACAGCTGACCTCTTGAAACTTCCAGGCCAATAAGAAAATTAGGTCCACTGGCCCTGGGAGTTTTCTCCTGCAAGAAACCAGGGCATTTTGAAATAAACTGCAAGAAACTGAAAAGGAAACAGGTTGATAAGCTCAAATTAAACTAGGGCTTCTCTGAGGAAATAAGTGGTTTTCATGTCTCCCAATACTCTGCTTTAACCACTTTGGAGAAATTAACAAAATAACAAATAATAACTCTCATCAGCCCTTATAGTCAAGGGAACTATTCTATCAGTTATAAATCCCACCTTATCTGAAAAGCCTGTTCCTCAGAATAATCAAAGGTTAATACGGTGGGTCCACCTAATAAACCTATTCTTTGCTTTAAATCGAAAACTTTGCCCTACTGGTCCATTGAGTCTGGCCTTCCTCCTACGGGCTATGAATGTGATACCCTCAGCTAATCCCATGTATTCCTGATATGCCCCAAAAGCCCCAGTTAACCTTCTGGGTCAATATTTCCTCATTATCCATAATACTCACGTCTATTTTTCCCCAAAGGGGAAAATATTTTTAGAACTCAAACAATGGGATTGGGGGAAGCAAAGAAGAAATATCACCCTGATAATATGCCACATGTTGGCATTAGTGGCATAAGATGCCCTCATGTGATTGGGAAAATAAATGGAAAAACAATAATGCAATAAAGAGAAGGAGAGTATAAGAATCCTTTTAAGCTGTCTATTTTTTCTGTTAACCCCAAATATTGAACAGTTAGTTGAAGCTGCTCCTTCCTGGGTATGATCTACCCCAATTGTGAAGATAACCCACTCTGCCATTTTAATACCTTAAAATGAAAAGAAAGCTACCAGGAAGTTATCAAGATACGTGGCGGCATACACGTCTGAGATATTGTTCTCAGACATGGGGAATATGCTAATAGAGATATGATAAAAAAAATCTGTCAGCCACAATAGGACAGATCGCTTAAGATACTCCAAAGAGCATTGCAGTACAACAAATGTCTCTGAATTCCTTGGATCAAATAGCGCTGAATAAAAGAATTGCTGTAGACTTTCTCCTAACCAAACCAGCAAGTATCTGTGCAGTAGATCACACCACCAGCTTCACTCACATCACCATTTCAGGTGAACTAGAGACTTATATTGAAATAATTACCAAGTGAGCTAAGTGCTTACAAGAGGTACAAAATATTCAACTTCTTAATGTGCTCTACTCTTGTCTTTCTATGAAAGTGGAAAATTTCTTTTAGTCTGCAACTCAAACCTTTGTTATAATCATAGCCTGTATCCCACTTATCTGATTATCAATGAAATCGCTTATGTTATAAATAACCAACTGCTATATGTCATCTACTAAAACCAAAATTATGGTCGCACAGAGTACAGAATAGATAGATAGACTGAACCCATTAGCCTAGCTGCAGTTTCATTTTATACTTCTAGAAAGCCCAATTTGTCTCGGGCCTAGATTAATCTCATTATCATTCACCTTTTTGCCTCCAACATGAGACATGACTTTCCGGGAATGAGCCTTTTCAGAACCAAGGGCCAAAAAGGACTTTTAAGTGTGATCATCTATGTTCTTTAAAGAGAAATCTCAGTCTAAAGGAGAAAATATGAAAATAAGTGAACAGAAAAACTGATCAGCACAGGCCCCTTCTAAATTTCTGTTCTGACCCAGGAATGTGTGTTCATGTTAAAACCCATAGAATATATAACACCAAAAGTAAACCCAAATGCAAGCTATGAACTTAGGATAATAATGATATGTCAGTGTAGGTTCACTGACTATAAAAATGTACTACTCAGGTGCAGGATATTGACAGTGGGGGAGGCTGTACATGTGTGGAGGCAAGAAGTATATGATAACTTTCTGTATTTTTGCATAATTTTGGTGTAAACATAAAATACTCTAAAAATAAAGGTATTATATAAAATATATATAACAATATATACAATATATAAAATATATATAACTTAATAATATATACAATATATAAAATATATATAATATAACCCACAAACATACTTGTGTGTGTGTGCATGTGTGTGTGTGGATCTGTGTGTATACACCATTTTATGTATCCATTCATGTATGCATGGACACTTAGGTGGATCCCATATCTTGGCTATTGTGAATAATGGTGCAGTGAACATGGAAATGCAGATTATCTTTTCAGCATACTCATTTTATTTCCTCTGGATTCATATCCAATAGTAGAATTCCTGGATTATATGGTAGCTACATTTTTAAGTTTTTGAGGAACACCCATACTATTTTTCATAATGGCTGTATTAATTTACATTCCCATGAATAGTGCTCAAGCTTTCTCTTTCCTCCACATCCTCACCAAGACATGTTTTCTTTCATGTTTTGGATGATAGCCATTCTAACAGGTGTGAAATGATATCTCATTGTGGTTTTAATTTGCATTTTTCTGATTAGTGGTTTGAAGCATTGGTTTATACACTCATTGGCCATTTGTATATCTTCTTTAGAGGAATTTCTATTCAGGTGTTTTGAGAAATTTGTAATGGGGTTATTTGTTTTCTTAGCATCAAGTTGCTTGGGTTCCTTATATATTTTGGATATTAACCCCTTATCAGATACATGGTTTGCAAATATTTTTTTCTTATTCCATAGGGTGTACCTTCACTTTGTTAATTATCAAAAAATGACAATTCTGTAATTTGCAAAAAAATGAATGAACTTGAAGGATATTATGTTAAGTGAAATCAACCAGGCACAGAAAGACAACTACTGCATGGTCTTATGTATATGTGGAATATCAAAAGGTGAACTTACAGACATAGAAAGTAAAATGGTGGTTACTGGGAGCTGGGACAAAGGGAGGAGTGGTGAGATTTTGGTTAAAGAATACGAGATTTTACTTAGAGTAATAAGTTGAAAAGATCTATTTACAACATGGCGACTACAACTAATAACAATGTATTGCATTCTCAAAAATTACCAATAGAGTAGATTTTAAGAATTTTCACCATTAAAAAATGTTTGAAGTAAGGAATGTGTTAATTAACTCTAGTTATTTCACAATGTATACATATTTTGAAATATGTATTACACAATAAATATGTGTAATTATTTGTCTATTAAGATTTAATTAAAAATAAAATGCAAAACAATATATTTATTATAGTACTTCAAAAATAGAATATTTAGATACAAATCTACAAACATTTGGGCATAATCTGTATATTGAGAACTACAAAACATTAAGGTAAAATATCAATGCAAATCTAAGTAAATGGAGAGACATGGCATACTTGTAGATAGGAAGACTCCATATTTTTAAGATGTTCCCAATTGCATCTATAAATTCCATGCAGTACAAATATAAACCCCAGCAAGCTCTTTTTGTATCACCATTTACAACAAGTGGATTCTAAAATGTATACGGAAAGGCAAAGAAACTAGAATTTCCAAAACTATTTTGAAAAAGTTTACCATAAAGTTGCATTAGACAGATTGCTGCATTAGCTAAAGAATAGACATATTAGTTGATAGGAACAAAATAGCCCAGAAAAAGAACACAGGAATATACTGAACTAATACTTGAAAAAAAGTATAAGGAAAATTCAAGGAAGACAAATAGTATTTGCAATATATGTACTAGAACAATTGGATATCCATGTGTTGAAAACAAAAATAACTTGACTATACACCTCATACCTTACACAAAAATCAGCTGAAATGAATCATAGTTCTCAATGTATAAATTAAAACTATAAAACTTCTAGAACAAAACAATGAATAAAATCTGTATGGCTTTGGCAACATACGACACTAACATCATGCTTCATAAAAGAAAAATTGAATAAATTGGATTTTATTAGAATAAAAACCTTTGTTATTTAAACAACATTAAGGGAATAAAAAGGCAAGCCACAAAACAGAAGAAAATATGTGTTTTTCATATATTTGGAAAAAGACATATCTAGGATATACAAACATTACTAAAAACTCAACAAAATTTAACTGCTTATTTTAACTCTGTTTAAAATGAACAGAACAGACTGGACAAGGTGATTAATGCCTGCAATCTCAGCACTTGGGGAGGCCAAGGCAGGATGTTCACTTGAGGCCAAGAGTTTGAGACCAGCCTGGGCAATACAGAAAGACCCCATTTTTGTTTTGTTTAAAAAAATGTAAAAAATAGTCAGGCATGGTAGGACACACCTATAGTCCTAGCTTCTCAAGAGGCTGAAGCAAGAGGATTGCTTGAGCCCAGGAGTTCAAGGCTGCAGTGAGCTATGATCATGCCACTGTACTCCAATCTGGGTGACAGACAGAGATCCTGTCTGGGAAAAAGAAAAAAAAAAGCAGAATACAATATGAACAGACGATTCATTTCACCATATGAGATATTCAGATGACAAATAATCATGTTAAAATATGCTCAACACATTAGCCATTGGGGAAATGCGAGATAGATATAGAAAGAAAAGCTACTGCATACCCATTAGAGTGACCATACAAAAAAAATGATTTATTGGTCAGAATTCTTCAGAGAAAAAGAACCAACAGAATGGGTAGATGAATGATAGATAGGTGATAGATAGATAGATAGATAGATAGATAGATAGATAGATCGATAGATACATAGATAGATACATGATAGATAGATAGATAGATAGATAGATAGATAGATAGATAGATAGATAGATAGATAGAAACACAAGAGGGGATATATTAAGAGATTTGGCTCATGCAACTATGGCAGCTTTGAAGTCCCACAACAGACCATCTGAAAGCTGGAGGCCCTGTGATGTCAGTAGCATGGTTCAGTCCAAGCCTGAAGGCATAAGAACCAGAGGAGTTGAAGGTGTAACTCTAAGACTGAGGCCCAATGCTGCTAGTGTAAGTCCTGAAGTCAAAAAGGTGGAGAGCATGGAGTTCTAATGTCTAAGGGTATGAGAAAAACTATGTCTTCGCTCCAGGAAAGAGAGAGAAAATTGCTTTTCTCTGCCTTTTTTGTTCTATAAGGGCCCATAGCTGATTGAGTGATATCCTCTCACATTGAGAGCAGATCTTCTCACTCTCTCTACCCACTCACACAAATCTCCTCTGGAAACACCCTCACAGACACATGAAGAATTAATGCTTTACCAGTTCTCTGGATATTTCTTAATCCAGTCAAGTTGATACCTAAAATGAGTCATCCCAGATGACAACATGAAATGAATTTCAGAGTAAAAGAAACTCACCCATTTCTTAGGGAAATTAAGTTTCCACTTTAGAAAACAGTGTTATACTTTCTTACAAAGGTAAACAGACAGCGTCCACACTTTTAAATACTTACCAAAATCAGTTGAAAACATATTTACAACCAAACCTGTAATAAATATGTATAACAGTTGTATTCATAATAACCCAAAATAGAGTATAACAAAGAGGCACATTCTCATGACTACAACATAGCCAGACCATATCTCTACACAAAAATTTTAAAATATTAGTAGAGTATGTTGGTCCATGCCTGTAGTTCCAGCTATTTTGGAGGTTGAAGCAGTGAAGCGAGAGGATTCCTTGAGCCCAGGAGTTCGAGGCTGCATTGAGCTATAATTGCATGACTACACTCCAGCCTGAGTGAAGGAGCTAGATACTATCTAAAAAAATTAAAAATTAATTAATTAATCAAGATAGCAGATCCCAGAATGGATTGCAGATGGTGCCAACTAATTATAACTCTCTTAGAAATGTATGATATCAACCTCATGGAAAGAGGTGGGGAAAAGAAAATGATTGTAGTAGCATTGTAAACAGTGTTTTGACTGGATTTTTAAAGGCTAAAGTCAGAGGGACAGTATATAAATACTGTCATGTAGATGAAACTGTGTTTCTCACTGTGTAATGGTATAGCTATTCTAAAACTTCTGTACGTGTACACTAGGCTTGAACAAAACAGCCAACATTGTCTACATTGTAGACAATGAGAGTCAGAGTCTTCACTGCTAGAGAAAGAAGTTATAATTAAGTAAGGAGGGGAAGGGCTAGAATGAGATCTTTGCTGCAAAATTAGAGAAATGAGCACATACATGTATACACACACACACACACTCATACAATAGAAATGGAAATAAACTCAGATACACATATATACATAGGTAAGTAGACATAAAATATGCTTTCTAGTTTGGACAACTGATAGGTTCTTGAAATAGTGACACTTAGTAACAGTCAGCAATGTAGCATCCAGATCAGTTCTTAAATACCATTTTCCAATGAAAGAAACCATGGTTCCCTAAAAAATAGCTGAATCTAAGACTGTGGCAAGATAAATATAAATTTAGTTTGAAACATATTATAGTGACAGATAGAAAAATGTTCTCTAACAAACAATGAAATAAATAATAAAAAATTAATAAGATGCAAAGAAAAAAATGAGAGCTGGTGAAAGAAACAGTCACCAAACAGAATGAGCTACCAATAGCCAAAGTTGGAACAATCCAATCAAAAAAATAAATAGCAATATTGTTGGATTATAGCCCCCAAAATAAAATATATCTGCAAGTCCATACTGTTATAAATAAATGATTGTATTAATAACTTATGGGGAAAATTGTTTTTCTTTACAGGAAATATTTGATGAAAAAAATTTAAAATTGACAGTACACCAGAGTCATAATTGCTGCTGGCATAATACATGAATAGTCCAAAAGTTGGAGAATCTTTAGGGAAAAACAACATATTTTCATAGTCTCAAAATATATTTTTCAAGGTGTTTTTTAATTGTCATTGTTGTTTTGACATACATCAACAAATTCTTTGATACTGGTTTCACCAGGATAATCCACACTGTTGAAGAGCACTGAACTTTGTCACTTGTTTTTAATAAGTAGAAAGGTAAAAATAGTAACTCTGCAGTGGAGAAATCTGACAGCGATCACTTTAACCAAGTGTTGAAGATAACATAACCAATAATGCTATGTTGACACCATGTAACCTCTGATATGATGCAATGAGAAGGGAGGTAATCTTTGTGCTATTCTTCCCAAAAAGCCATACCTCCCTGAAACACTTACTGAGTGTTATTCAGAAGTGTCAAGGTGTGAACAAAGAAAAAATCTCAAGAAATTTTAATATATTGGAAAAGACTACGGAAACATGATGGCAAAAAGTGATGTCTTCTCAACTGAACCTAAGAGCTATATATATGTATAAAAATTGGTAAAATCAAAATTGTGGGAGTTTTATGTAGAGTACGTGAAAAATAATGTATTTTTTGGTAACTGTACCATCACTGTATAAGCTGTGAGAAAGGCATTTGGGAACACTCTTAGCTATTTATTCAACTATTCTCTAAATCTAAAATTATCTCAATAAACACATTTTTAAAATAAAATTATTGTGTTCTCTCTCCTTCCTCTCAGTCTTGCCAGCATTTGTTATTTTTTGAACTCTTTTTGATAATAGCTATTTTAACTCAGTTAAGGTGTTATATCATTGTGTTATTGATTTGTATTTTCCTAATGAGGAGTGATGTTGAGCATTTTTATATACCTGCTGGTTATTTTTATGTTTCCTTTTGAGAAATATCTAATTAAATCTTTGCTCACTTTTTGATGGGATTTTTTGTTTATTGATTGAATGACAGAAGGATGAAATTAGACTATCACTGTATACAAAATTCAACTCAAAATGAATTAAGGCTTTAAATGTAAGACCTGAAATGATAAAACTACTAGAAGAAAACTTGAGAGAAACACTTGATGACATGGCTCTGGGTAAATATTTTTTGGGATAAGACCTCAAAAGCCCAGGCAACAAGAGCAATAATAGACAAATGGTATTATGTCAAACTATAACCCTTCTGCATATCAAAGAAAATAATTAACAGAGTGAAGAGACAACCTTCAGAATGGCAGAAAAATATCACAGATTATAATGTATCTGCCAAAGGTTAATATCCATAATATATAGGAACTCAATAGCAAAAAACCCCAAAATGAAAAATGAATAATTTTATTTTAAAAATTAGCAAAACCACTAAATAGACATTTATCAAAAGAAGATATACAAGTGCCCAAAAGTTATATGTAAAAATGCTCAAAATTACTGATCATCAAATTAGTGTAAATCAAAACCACAATGAGATATCACCTCACATCTGTAATTATGACTGTTACAAAAAAGACTAACAGTAACAAATGCTGGAGTGAATGTGTTGGGCAGCAGTGACCTGGCTCTAATACTCCTGCAAAGCTCAGTAATTCACTAGCTGGGAGTATTCTGGAGGAAGTGTGGCCTCAGTATGAATGTCTCAATGAATGGAAAGTGTGACAGATAAAAACACAAAGTCACCTTTCCTATGCTGTTGCAGATTGTCTTAAAGAGAGAACTAAGTGTTATACATCATCAGGTCATGGTCTTCCTCTGAGAAAAAGTGAACACTATTTCTATTATGAACAACGAAATGGAGGGATAATGTGTTCCGGTTCACAGGACTCTAGGGAAATGTCTAATTGATCACAGCACCCCTACCAGGGGGGCTTCTAGACCTCTATATGCAGAAAAATGATGGTGAGGGGAATCTGATTAAATGCACCATGGAGATTCATAGTCTTTTACTCAGTTTTTAGATATAAGCCAACTTTTAAATCTATTATCTTCATGATTGAGAACAATTCCTTCTGAGAAACGACCCTGTAGTTTGGTTAAAAATATATTCAAAAGCTTCCTTCAAGCCTTTTCCAGAAAAACTCTACAGCCATTTTTCCAGCACTATGCATTGAGGAAAAGGAGATTCACAGATCACCTGAGAGTATTTGATTACTGGTTCTCACTTCTGCATATCTCTGAAACTTTAATTGAATGCCATAAACCCCAAACTATTCCTATATATATTTTCCTGGTACTAGAATGTATAGCAGTAATTAACTCACAATTCCAGTGCTTGCTTCCAGTCATTAGTTCCCACATTATTTTACTAAACAGAAAACTAGGCATTCTTACACTAAGACAAGGCAAGTGGAAGCCAGGGGAAATACTCAACCACTCACTGGCCAGAACCAAACCAAAATAATATCAAATCCAAAGAAGATAAAGAGTATCATTAGTGTCTTGAAAAACACAGGAGTTGAGATTATATCATATTCCCTTTAATTCACATTTCTGGTGGCAGACACCAGATTCATCAAGTTGTAGGATAACTAGATTGATGTCAATATTGGGTATTGATGCTGATGGCAGCTGCTGGTTGTATATGTGATATCTTACTTGAGCAAATAAAGCCAATCACCATAACGTGGTATACAGCAAGTTAGTTCAAACTTTTTTCAATCCTGATGAGTTAAGATAATCAGGAGCAGGGAGAGCAGTATAAATTTGCTCTCCAGTATATCATAGTCTAGAGGAATTTGATTGTCTTAATTTCCCATAGAACATCACAATAGCCCATCACATTGACAAAATCATGACAGTTAGATATGGAAGATATAAAATAACAAACAATATAGATGTATCAGTAAAATGAATGTAGGTCTGAGGATGGGAGCTAAATCCCCCAAATATTGAAGTACCTAGCAATTCTTTTTTTGGATCCTTTGGTCTGATGTGCATTAAATACCTCACTTAAATTCATAAACAATTTGCTTCTCCTTGCACAATACTTATGGGCAATATATATGATTTTGGAAGCAACATATGTCATATCTGAGTGTGATGATCAACCTGTTAATGAATAACTCAAAGTGTTGCTAGTTTTGATGTGGTTTAGACCAAAGAAGTTTTAGCAGCACAGGGCTGACATTCAAGCTTCTCTGTCATTTAAACCTAAGGCACAATTGACCCTATTATTTCTGAAATAATTTTGGAAGATAGGTATACTGCATTGAGTCTGTGGTAAGGTTAATAGAAAGCAATTCTGACATTATTTGAAAAGTAGCTTTAGCTTTCAGTGGTCCCTGATAGAGAATTAATATCTGATCAGGAGATACCAAGTGACCATGTAATCCAAATTTCCTTTTAAGTGTTATGTGGTACAACAAATTACACATTTCACACATATAGCAGCATACCCTTCTTTTTTTTCTTTTCTTTTTTTTTTTTTTTTTTTTTTTTTTTTTTTTTTTTTTTTTTGAGACGGAGTCTTGCTCTGTCGCCCAGGCTGGACTGCAGTGGCACGATCTCAGATCTCAGCTCACTGCAAGCTCCGCCTCCCGGGTTCACACCATTCTCCTGCCTCAGCCTCCCAAGTAGCTGGGACTACAGGCGCCCGCCACCACGCCCAGCTAATTGTTTGTATTTTTAGTAGAGACGGGGTTTCACCGTGTTAGCCAGGATGGTCTCAATCTCCTGACCTCGTGATCCACCTGCCTTGGCCTCCCAAAGTGCTGGGATTACAGGTGCGAGCAACCGCGCCCAGCCGCAGCACACCCTTCTTAAATGAATATGGTATGTATTCGTTCAGGCTTAAGCTCATGTGGAACACATACATCTATTACCTTAAAATTGGCTCATATTCCCATGATATATGTTTATCCTGCCTCACCACCTTTCTCTCAACTCACAACTTTCATACAATGAAAGTAATATATCACCAGATTAAAGGAGGAAAAAGTGCAAGTGTGACTCAGGTGATCCTGCATGGGATTCTGGCCACAGCTGTTAATAGATCATCACTGCACTAAAGCCTCTCTTAGAGACAAACCTAAAGTACAATGGTGAAGAGAAGTCTTCCTAACTGGAATAACTTGGGTAATGCTTAGGATTCTCTGTTTTGTGTAAATGTTGACATAACCTGAATTGTAAGTTAATTCATGGGTAATGGCTAATGCATTGGTCAAATGATCAAAAACTTTGGAATGTTGTGATTAGAAGGTTGAAGCAAGACAGTCTGTCAGAGAGATATGTGAATGAGTCTATCAGGAAGGATACAGAACGTGATGTCTGTAGCATGCATTAATGACCTTCACAAGATATTCACGGCAGAGAATACTATCAATCCATGTATAAGAAAATTTGTCTTTTGAATTTCAGTAAACTTCTCTTCCAAGTCACACTAATGTTTGCTCAATGGGTCTATGTACAAAACTTCTGTGATGGAAGGATGGACTATGCATAGTTTTATGTGGTGGACTTCCCTTCACAAAAGCAGATCCACCAAAGCTATTTATTGTCCAACCCTCCAACACCAAAGCCTAAAACTATAATCCAAGACACCATGGTCTTTCATTAGTGGTCAGTTTCTTGGTAAAAGGTTGATTACACTGATTCTTACTATCGTGGAGAGGACAGCCATGAGTTCTATGAACTGTATTGGCAGTAACCAGGTACGACAAACCTAAACCACTATGTCTTGGGACCACCAAGACATGAATCCTGTGGGAATCAAAATTATGTAATTGTCCCAGCCAAGCTAATAACAATGGATAAGGGGACTCAGAATGGTGGTATAAAAAGGAAGGGTATTAACATCAACTTAGGGAGTATTATCAGCTACAGAAATAAGAACTGAAGCACCTACATTTTATGAGTATTGTCTCTTTATTTGATGTTTATATGATGAAGGCTGGTGGATGCTAATATTTATCTAAAGGTTTCAAGTTTTAATACTGAATTGATATGGCCTGTGGCAATATAATAGTTACTGAAAGTTTGTCCTGCATTGAACGTATGTTCCTGATTATGTCATCATTCTCTCTCCCCCAAAAGAAATTATTTCTCCTCCACAGTACTTTATGACTATATTCTGTCACAGTATTTCAGATAAATTTGTGAAAATGTCTAACTGCTTTGCTAACATATAAAATTATTAAGAACAGATATTTCTTACTCTAAAATGGTATTCACCTACAACACTCATCATAGTGCTTTGAGCAGTTTCACCTTTAATAAAGTTTTAATAAAGTTTTTATTTGTGGTCATCTCATTTCTAAATAAAACTGTCATAAATAGAAAAGGTCCAGTGAAGGACAATGAAAAGGATTGTAATCATGGGTAATACTACAGGAGGGTGCTCTGAATGAGGGGGAGATTAAAAAGACTAGACTGAATTGCTCTAAAGAAATGAAAGGGAAAAGGTGATAAAATGCAGGCATATTAAGTCAAGAAGTGAATAAAATAGATGCACAGAAATTTTACTTTTCCACCCTTCCTTACAATTCAAGGACAGTGGATAAAATCAGAGTGCTTAAAATATAAAAATAAAGGTCCTCCTTGGAATAAATTGTCAAAAAATAGTTTCAGTGTTTCTGTCTGGTCCATTGCTAATTGGAAAACTAAATCAATTCTATGCTTCCATTTTCCAATATTTATTTGTATAAAAGAATGTTAAATATTGAAAGAACTTTAGATATTATTGTATTCTGAAAGTTTTCCATTTAAAAAGAGAAAATTCATGCTCAGACAGCTTTGTTACCCATATGCTTTCATAACTCTAATTAGTTGGAGTCCTCTTTCCAGTGTTCTTATGTCAGAGGTCTTTTTAGTACTCTATGGATAGCCTCACAGTAGTCATTATACATTGTAATTCACGTAGTTAACGTACATGTATATATAAATATATGCATACACTATTAGTATGCATGGTATATTCTATATCCACGCAAATATATTAGATAAAACAAAAATTTAACATGGGCTTAGGTTTATATTTTAACACTTTTTACTACTTATCTTTTTTTTTTTATTATACTTTAAGTTTTAGGGTACATGTGCACATTGTGCAGGTTAGTTACATATGTATACATGTGCCATGCTGGTGCGCTGCACCCACTAACTCGTCATCTAGCATTAGGTATATCTCCCAGTGCTATCCCTCCCCCCTCCCCCCACCCCACCACAGTCCCCAGAGTGTGATGTTCCCCTTCCTGTGTCCATATGATCTCATTGTTCAATTCCCACCTATGAGTGAGAATATGCGGTGTTTGGTTTTTTGTTCTTGCGATAGTTTACTGAGAATGATGATTTCCAATTTCATCCATGTCCCTACAAAGGACATGAACTCATCATTTTTATGGCTGCATAGTATTCCATGGTGTATATGTGCCACATTTTCTTAATCCAGTCTATCATTGTTGGACATTTGGGTTGGTTCCAAGTCTTTGCTATTGTGAATAATGCCGCAATAAACATATGTGTGCATGTGTCTTTATAGCAGCATGATTTATAGTCATTTGGGTATATACCCAGTAATGGGATGGCTGGGTCAAATGGTATTTCTAGTTCTAGATCCCTGAGGAATCGCCACACTGACTTCCACAATGGTTGAACTAGTTTACAGTCCCACCAACAGTGTAAAAGTGTTCCTATTTCTCCACATCCTCTCCAGCACCTGTTGTTTCCTGACTTTTTAATGATTGCCATTCTAACTGGTGTGAGATGGTATCTCATTGTGGTTTTGATTTGCATTTCTCTGATGGCAAGTGATGATGAGCATTTTTTCATGTGTTTTTTGGCTGCATAAATGTCTTCTTTTGAGAAGTGTCTGTTCATGTCCTTCGCCCACTTTTTGATGGGGTTGTTTGTTTTTTTCTTGTAAATTTGTTTGAGTTCATTGTAGATTCGGGATATTAGCCCTTTGTCAGATGAGTAGGTTGCAAAAATTTTCTCCCATTTTGTAGGTTGCCTGTTCACTCTGATGGTAGTTTCTTTTGCTGTGCAGAAGCTCTTTAGTTTAATTAGATCCCATTTGTCAGTTTTGGCTTTGGTTGCCATTGCTTTTGGTGTTTTGGACATGAAGTCCTTGCCCATGCCTATGTCCTGAATGGTCATGCCTAGGTTTTCTTCTAGGGTTTTTATGGTTTTAGGTCTAACATTTAAATCTTTAATCCATCTTGAATTGATTTTTGTATAAGGTGTAAGGAAGGGATCCAGTTTCAGCTTCCTACATATGGCTAGCCAGTTTTCCCAGCACCATTTGTTAAATAGGGAATCCTTTCCCCATTGCTTGTTTTTCTCAGGTTTGTCAAAGATCAGATAGTTGTAGGTATGCGGCATTATTTCTGAGGGCTCTGTTCTGTTCCATTGATCTATATCTCTGTTTTGGTACCAGTACCATGCTGTTTTGGTTACTGTAGCCTTGTAGTATAGTTTGAAGTCAGGTAGTGTGATGCCTCCAGCTTTGTTCTTTTGGCTTAGGATTGACTTGGCAATGCGGGCTCTTTTTTGGTTCCATATGAACTTTAAAGTAGTTTTTTCCAATTCTGTGAAGAAAGTCATTGGTAGCTTGATGGGGATGGCATTGAATCTGTAAATTACCTTGGGCAGTATGGCCATTTTCACTACTACTTATATTTTTATTCCCAGGTATTAAGTAAATACACTATTTGGTTTTCATCAATTCACATACAAAATGATTTATATAAACTCGCGTTTTAATTTATATATATTTTAAACACACTTAATGTAGAATATCTGTAGAAAATATATTGCTACTACAAAATTAATTTTTTTTATTCTGAAATAAGCTGAACAATGAATGGACACCATGAAGTCCTTCTAAAGTTTTTCATATCCATTAATTTTTTGAAATTTTCTCACATTTTCTTAGTCAGCATTAAATTTAAATTGTTGTCATTATTAAGCATGCTTCAGAATCTTGATTTTCCCAAGTTATTGGTTTTTATAGAAAACTATCTATTATTTCCACATAATAAATAAAGAATATATTTACAGTAAAATCTGAACTGAAGGAAATTACAAAATGGCCTACATTAAAACATAGTACATAGCCTCAGAGACTATATTAAAAATCTAGTATAGGCAGTCCTATAAATTGATTTTCCTAAATGTCTCTTGTTTTTCTTTTGACTTTCAAGTTTTCTAGTTTCTGATTTACTCCAGATCTATTTCATGACCCTCTCAATTGAAGATCAGTTTTTTGTTACATCTGAGTCAAGGCAGTTTCCTTCACTTGCTCCTATTAAGAACACCACATACTTAGCCTTCCATACCAGTATCACAATGCATAATAAGTTCTTATTACTTACTTTCCATTTGTATACTATGTGATAATTACATTAGTTCAGGGTTAATATCTGTTAAAGTTTGTATAACTAAATGCCTGTCATTAAGAGCTATGCAATAAACATTTATTGAATAGCTAGAAAATTGAGAAATAAATGCTCAATTGTTGCTGTTTTTAAAAACTGTTCTGTTATAGTACTTTCGGGGTAATTAACACTTGGCGTATGCCTCTATATCTTAGAGTCTACATAGTGATAGGGTAGTTGTCTTATTGACTCTGACTATTCGTTCCTTCACTATAAAAGAGTATTATTCAATCTTGATCACTGCAAGATGTGTCTTGCAGTGACTCCCATGAGGCACGTGCTTCCTCCCCAACTGACACTGGTCTTGATGGTGTAATTTCTTTTGTCAATTGGTATGTTAGCGAAGTGACATTGTGCCATTTCCTTGAAAATGCCATAAAATACACCACCTGTTTTACCGTCTCTCTTGCTGTTTTTTCTCTAACATGAGACCAAATAGCTCAAATAATGGCTGCTCCTTTGGATTTTATTCAGGAATAAGAAGATGGTAAAGCAGAGCTGAGCAGAAATTTCATACCTGAAGCCAATAGCGGACAATATGTACATATAAGAACAATAGATATTATACCCAAAAAATCATTGCCAAGATCAATGTCAAGAAGCTTTCCCTTTATGTTTGTATCTACAACTCAGTGAGTTAATTATTCTATGTAAGGTAAGATCAGCGTCCAATTTCATTATTTTGCAAGCAGATATTTCAGTTTTCCCAGCACTACTCATTAAACAGACTTTTTCTTCATTGTATATTCTTTGCACTTATGTCAAAGATCAGTCGAATGTACAAGCATGGTATTATTTCTGAGCGCTCCATTCTCTTCCACTGGTCTGTATGTCTTTTTTATGCCAGTACTATATAATTTTGATTACTGTAGCTATGCAATATATTTTAAAATCCAGAAGTGTGATTTCTCCAGGTTTTCTCTTGTTTGTTTTGTTTGATTTTGTATTTAATTGAGACATAACACTTGTACATATTTTGAGGGTACAGTGTGATGTTTCAATACACGTATACAATGTGTAATGATCAAACTAAGGTAATTAGCATATCCATAACCTCAAACACTAATCATTTCTTTGTGCTGAGATCATTCAATATCTTCTCTTCTAGTTACTTTGAAATACATAATTGTTAACTAGTCACATTGTTATGCAATGGAACACTAGAATTTATTCCTCCTATATTACTGGAACTTTGTATGTTTTGACCAACCTTTCCCCATCCACCCTACCCTCAACCCTTCAAAGCTTCCAGTAAAACAACTATGCTGCTCTCCACTTCGATGAGATCAACTTTTTAAAATTTTACATGCGAGTAAGATTATGTGGTATTTGTCTTGATGTGTCTGGTTTATTTCAATTAACATAATGTCCTCCAGGCTTATCCAAGTTGCCATAAATGATAAAATTTAAGTCATTTTTCATTGCAGAATAGTATTTTGTAGTACAAATATTCTGCATTTTCTTTATCCATTCATTTATTGATGGATAATTAGGTTGATTCCATATTTTGGCTACTGCAAATAGTGCTATATAATAAATGTAGGAGTACAGATATTTCTTTGGTATGCTGATTTTATTTATTTAGATATATACTAAGTGGCGGGATTGCTAATCATATGGTAGTTATATTTTTAATATTTGAGGAACGTAAATACTATTTTCCACAATGGATTTATGAAATTGCACTTTCTTTATGTGTTAAGGGATAAAAGTTATACAATCTTAAAAAATAAATAAAAAATTCAAAATATGTATCGGGCAATTGTTAAAGTGTAGGATTTTTTCTTTGTATGTTTTTTTCTTTTATTTGTGATCAAACTTAAGTTTTTATACACTTACAATTACTTGTTATAAGATATTTTGTAAGCTTCATGATAACATAAAGCAAAAACCTATAATAATACACTAAAAATTTTTTTAAAAAAGTGGAATCAAAACATACTACTTGACAAAGCCACTTAACCGCAAAGGAAGATAGTAAGAGTTGAAGAAAAGAAGAAACAACTTACAAAGCAACTAGAAAGCAAACAACAACATGGCAGGAGTAAGCCATTACCTGTCAATAACTACCTTGAATGTAACTGGATTAAATTTTCCAACTCAGAGAAATAGAGTAGCTTAGTGGATGAAAAATAATACCCAACAAGAAACACTTCACTCATAAAGACACACATAGACTAAAACTATAGGGATGAAAGATAATATTCCATGTAAATGGAAACCAAGAAAGAGTAAGAGTAGCTATACTTACATGAGATAAAATAGATTTTAAGCCAAAAACTATAACAAGAGACAAAGGTCATTACATAATGATAAAGAAGTCAATACAGCAAGAGGATATAATACTCATAAATATATATGCACCCAATATTGGAGCACTTAAATATATAAAGAAAATATCAATCTGCAGACAACATTGCCTTTGCCATCAATTCCGTAATTGAATATGATTTCTTTTTTCTTTAGAGCTACATCTGATTCCAGTGGGGCTTTGTTAATGCGATCCTTTCTCACTGTACCTGTTGCCTGATGTTCCATTGAACTGAGCTTATCAAGAAGTGCAATACTGGTGAAAAAGTTATCGAATACAAAATGATATTGTCCAGGGTGTGTGTAAGTCCCTCACTAAACTTATGAATAAGTGATGCACCAACACCGTATTCTTCATATTTAGTATTTGGGTTTTTACCCTGATACGGCTGAAAGCAGCAAATGTGGCACAGACATGTGGCACCACAACAAAACTTACAGCCAAACATAATGGGCTTTCCCTGAATAAATTGTTTGCACCTGTGACAACCAGAATAAGGAACCATGGATTCATTAAAGCTGAAATATGTCTCATTTGGAACAAATTTCATACATCTCTCATTACGTTTGCTTATGAGAAGTCGCAACTTGGAAAATTTGTCCATTGGATCCAAATTTGCATCGTCAGCAACATGCAAATTAGAAAATTTAGTTTCAAAGCGGTCACGTCTCATGGCAGCAATAACCAGTACATTATGCGCATCTGGTTTGTTGTTGTTGTTGTTCCCAAAACATACGGCTTCTAGGAACTGAGATGTAACCACTCAGAAAAATAATTCCCAGAAAATATTTGAATTCGGAGCTAGTCAAGCCAAGATGTACACCCTTAACTTCGAGCCTGTAAGTTGGAGTACTTGACAATGAGTTCAACGACTTCGTCATCATGAAAAAGTTCCAGAATTTCTGTGGGAGTTCTCATTTCGGTGAATAAATCGTTTGGTGGTTCTGTAATTCTACCTGCTACAAGTTGTGCAGTTAGGTCCCTCTCTTCCATTTGCAAACAATTTTTGTCACTTTCCTCCTCCTTGATGGTGGAAGTTGCTGCGCGGTAGACGTAGATGGATCTTCGTCAGGAGAGTCAAATTTAAGTGCGTATGAGGGATCATCAGAGTTAGACTCTGCATCAGAATCACCTTTATAAGATTTGCAGTTGCGCGCAACAAAGAACCTGGCAGATTTTTTATTGTTCCACCTTCTTCGTCCCCGGAGTCCTCATCAGAAACAGGTGCTGTAGCATTTTCAGGTGGTTGTATCAGAATAGTACTTGCTTCTATGCTGTCATCTGTATTTAAAGGTTATTTCATGTAAACTTAGAGTTTGAGACATCTTGGGACTAAAACTCAAAAAAGTGATTATTAGTCCTAGTGGTAGTGGTTTGCCGAGTGTTCCAAAAATGGAACATACAAAATGTCAAACCCATAACTAATGCAACAATAATAATTTCGGTATTTTCTTTCTACAGCACAATTACTAGCATAGGATATAGTGCAGTAAAATTACATGTACTTGTCTTTTGATATTGCTTCAAAAATGTTTCCAAAAACTCACATCACTACTTGACAAGCTCCCAGCACGCCAGTATCTGCAGCAGTGACTAACTCTGCGCATTATGTGATAATATGTACCCCAGAAGGCAGACATTTGTGAAAAATCAGACCTTGGAGATGACCTTGAACAGTAGGATATAAATAACTCCCACATGCTTAGAGTTCCAATAATGGAACACTGGGCATATTAAAAAAGATAAAATCAACAACCCTTTAGACTAACGGGAGAAAAAGGAGAGACAACTAAAATAAATAAAATAAGGAATAAAAAGGAGACATTACAACTGACACCACAGAAATACAATGGCTTACTAGAGATTATTATAAACAAATGTAAACCAACAAATTGAAAAGCCTATAAGTGGACAAATTCCTAAACAGCATTGTTCTTATTACTTATAATTGTTTTGGTTATTTAAAGTAACATGCAAAAAAACAAAAATAGGTAAGTGGAACTATATCAAACTAAAAACTTCTGCACAACAAAGAAAATAATGAACAAAATGAAAAGGCAACCTGTGGAATGGAATAAAATATTGGCAAGCCATATATTTGATAGAACATCAACATCTAAAATATGCATGAACCTCCTACAACTCAAGAGCTAAATAAATAAATAATAACACAAATAAAAATTTAACCTGACTAAAAAAAATGAGCAAAGGAACTGAATAGATATTTCTACAAAGAAGTCATACAAATTGGAAATATATATATAAGACGATGTTCTGCATCACTAGTCATCAAGGAAACTCAAATCAAACCACAATAAGATATCACCTCACACCTGTTAGAATGGCTCTTACATAAAAGGCAGATAAAAAGTATTGGTAAGGGTGTGGAGAAAAAGGAAACTTTGTACACTATTAGTGGGAATATAAAATGGTATAGCCACTGTAAAAAATGTGTGCAATTTACTTTAAAAATTAAACTAGAACTACCATATGATCCAAAAATCCCATTTTGGGGTATATATTTTAAAAAATTAAAATTACTGTCTCAAAAAATATCTGTACTCCATGCTGAGTTCAGTATTATTTACAATAGTAAAAATATAAAACAAACTAATGGTCCCTCAACAGACAAATGAATAAAGAAATTGGTATATAAAGACGATAGAACATTCAACTGTTGCATCTACAGCGAAATAAAAGAGAGAAAATTCTTCCACGTGCAATAATGTGGATGAATCTGGAGAACACTATGCTAAGTAAAATATGTCAGAACAAATACATAATACCACTTACATAAAGAATCTAAAGTAGGTCAAACTCATAAAAGTGGATAGTAGAATGATAGCTGCCAGGGGCTGGGGGTAGGAGGAAATAGGGAGTTATTAGTCAAAAGGTACAAAATTTCAGTCAAGCAAGATGAATAAGTCCTAGAGATCTATCGTACAGCATAGTGCTGATAGCTAACAATACTGTATTGTGCACTGAACAATTTTCTAGAAGTTATATCTTATATTAAGTGCTGTTATTATAAATAATAATAAGGAAGGCAAGAGGAAACTTCAGGAAGTAATGGATATGTTTATGTCATAGATTTTGATGAGGGTTTCATAGATGTAGACTTATCTCCAAACTCATCAGGTTGTGTACATTTAATATGCACTGTCTTTTGCCAATCACATGTAAAGTGTTTTTTTAAAAATAACAAATGTTCTATAAGCCACTGATTTTTTTTCTCTTAAAAATGTTACTTCATTATGTTTATTCATGATGTTACTGCTGCAGTCTTTTTATTGTTTATTATTATATAAACTCTGACTTGAATACAAAATTTACTACCAAACATTGGATGTTGCTATTACAAAATGTTCAAAAGACCAATTAACTGCTAAAAAAGCCTGAGAATATTTTTTTTTCAGTTTAGTTTCAGAAATATCAGATTAAGAAAGCTGCTCTGCCATGAAGGTGATACTCTCTCCAGTATACTCTTTGATTGGGCCAAGAAAAATTGGGAGAAGAAAAGGACATAACAGCACTCATAAAAAAATTCTAAGATCAGTAGGCCAGGAAGCTATGCAAGGGAGGCAGACTAAGGGCAAACTTTCAGTATAAGGAAAACACGTGATATTTGGCCAGTAGGATTTCAGAATTTCTATGGCCCTGTGACTGCTGGGCACTTCCCTTTCTTTCCCCTTTGCAATCCAAACTGTTACTGGGGTTTATTCTGTTCCAGTTTTATATGTTCTCTATGGCTTTGTGTGTGGTGGGTGTCATGGTGGGATACTCACTGTTTTAGCATACAAGTCTCTGAATCAAAAGACACTATATAAAGACATAAAGTAGAATATATCAAGAAATTCTGGATCTTGAGTTGATGCCACAATCGATTGAAATTTTTGTTGTCGTTGTTCTTGTTTTTGGTTTTTTGAGACAAGATCTTGCTCTATCACCCAGGCTGGAGTGCAGTGGCGCAATCTCGGCTCACTGAAACTTCTGCTTCCTGAGCTCAAGCGATTCTCATGCCTCAGCCTCCCAAGTAACCAGGATTATAGGAGTTCACCACCACGTCTGGCACATTTTTTTTTTTTTTTGTATTTTCAATAGAGACAGTGTTTCACCATGATAGCCAGACTGGTCTCGAACGCTTGACCTCAAGTGATCAGCCCACTTCGGCCTCCCAAAGTGCTGGGATTACAGGGGTGAGCCACCGTGCCAGGCCGGACGGAAATATTGAGTGCTCCTTGGAAAGAATGGTAGTGTGTTTCTCGTACAAAAAGCAAATAAGTAAATATTTTTGACCAGTAATAAAATTTCTTATTACTTTCCATTATTATTTCTCATTTATGTTTGCTTTTTGTAAGGTCTTACACACATACATATACATATATACATATATAATGTATTCACATATAAATATGCCTACATTATATATAAATTATTATATATTATTTATTGCATATTAATATATATTTTATATAAACCTACTCTCTTCTTATTTGCTGTTCCTTCTGTGAAAGGAGTTATAGTTCATGGCTATCAAGATTGGTGAAACGAATTAAGGTAATGAAATGTGAGCCAAAGTAACAATCAGCCAGATATGAGCTGAAACTTTAGAATGCATCCTGTTTTTCTGTCATTAATCTTGCTCTGTCATGAGACAAGCATGTTTCAAATAGAAGCTGTTCATTTAAGTTGGGTACTGGAATGGAAAACACATAAAGCAGAGTGTTCAGAGGCTCATAGAGCTTAACAGAACTGCAGCAGCCAAAGCTGACTTGCAGCCACCAAAATATTATGTGTAAATGAAAAGTAAATGTCTGCTGTTGCAAACTATGACGTTTTCTGCGCTTTAAGCTACCATGGCAAAATGGAGTGATATGAAAGACCACCATTTATTGGTGAAACTGATACTCTATCCTCCATGAATAAAAATAATGCTTACTGAGTTGCCCCAGTGTTTCAGGAATTACATTAAACTTTTGGCTATGAAGATTTTTTAAAGACATTATTTTTATTGCTCATAATAAAGTGGATATTGCTGTGGTAGACAAACACAACAGAATGTGATAAATGCCATAATATAATTATATTGTGGTTAACATTTGTCTGGAGTCAGAGGATCACCTAACTCTACCTAGGATACAGAATTTGGGGGAGGATTTGCAGAACAAGTAAAACTTAATGTGAATTGTGAAAATATGCAAGAGTTCATGGAAAGGAAGTATTGAAGGACAAATTGAAGTATTACAGACTTAGGGAAACATAGAAATGAAAGTTAAGGATGCAACAAATGTGGAGTTTGTAAATCAGCTATAGAAGATTGGGGTTTTAGTAGGCACTGTACAAAAAAGTCAGTCAGTGCCAAATTAAAATGGACCTTTCTCATTGCACTAATGAGCTTGCACTTTGCCCAGTAGGATGAATAATAGGTGGATGAAAATTGATTATAAATTCAGAGAGACAGATAAAAAATGAGTTGTAAAAGTTACTGTAAAAAATTGAACTAATATCCTGTCATTAGGCAATTAGAGAGATAAGTCTCCTGCTTGCTTGGAGGAGAAGGACCAGAGGAAATTCAGTTTCATTCTGGTGCACAAATGCTAGTGTTAGTTGAAGAGCAAAGCTAACGTTGAGGATATTGCATCCGCTCTCCATGGGTAACCCAAAACCCACCATACTTCTCTACCTCTTGATGAGAAAGTAAAGTTAGAAATTTGCACAACTGAGCCAAAGTCAAAGTCTAGGGATATAGAGTAACCCTGCAGCCTCTCTAAGCCACATTTTTTCCCAGGGTAACTCTGGGCCTCTGTCGATATCCTGTGATCAGGGTAAGAAGAATGTAACAGGTCATTACTGGGGAGAAGCTGGGTATAAGGAGGTTGGGGGAAGCGAAGGAGGGGAAGAAGCTTTGGATATTGATATCATTTGTATTTTTATGTTACTTTGTCCACATACCCAATAATTTGGACCTCTTAATCTTTGAAGTCCTCAGCATTCATTCTAAATGTGTTTGCCCCAATCAGGAGATAGAAGAAAAACGAATTGTTTCTGGTTCAGGAAGTATGGGTTTATCCAAGAAGGCCTGTGCTACATTAGTTATAGGAAAGAAGCATTGTATTTTAAGGTTTCTGCAAATAAGTTTGAGGAGAAGAGTTGTGACATCTTTAAAAACTGGGGATAAATATTCTGCCAGTGGCTGTAGCAGTGAAATGGACAGTTTATCAAATAAAAGGAAAGCCTTGAGCCATTCTTAAGCAGACTGGTATGTTCAAAAGTCATATGTATATATTTGACTTCCTATTTTACAGAAGGGTCAAAGAGAATATAAAGTACCAATCAGAGTAACAATAAAGGGATCAAGTGTCATCTCAAGAAGAACACGGAACATCAAAATCAGGCCAGAAGCATTTTCTTTCAGTCCTTCACACATAAGCAGAACTTTCCTAGACACTAGACTTGTTTAAACTGAGAGGAACATGGACATTTTCATGTTTCTCTTCTGCCATTGTAAGGGGGGAAAAGCATCTATTTTTATATAGGCTGACAAGTCCAGGTTTATCAATAATGGCAGTCATAACATTATAAACAATGTAGACATTTTTCCAGAGGAATTTATGACTGCTCTAACTTTCAAATAAAAATAAAAGAAATAAAAATCACATTCCCTGTTTTCATAGGATGAAAAATTAGTTATTATTTCTTTCACTGGAAGAAAATGAATTTTTAAATTTTTCTAACATCTAGTTGTTTACAGCGACTAGAAAGAGAACTAAAGGAGAAGATCTTGAAATAAGAAAGACAGAAAAGAGAGAAAAGGAAGGACTTGAGAATTCTAAGAGCACAGGGTTACCTTAGGACAAAAATGACTGACAGAAGAATTAGAAGATAATATAAAGAACCAGGGAAGTAAGGAGACCTTTGTTGAAGAGACAGCAAATTCATTTTGGGAACAGGAGGTCTGGGCTCCCCTATAGAGAGTGATGATAAAGGCAGGAACAGATCAATAAAAGATTTGAGACCTGAGGGATGGCTAGCATTTTGATTTGTGGGACAATTTCACTCAGAAAGTTTGTGAGATAAAATCAATATTATTTACATAAACTGTCATATGTGGAAGTTGAGTTGGTCCCATGACTAAGGCTGATGTTAAAAACCTGAAAGTTTCTGAGAATATAATTGCAGGATCTTCATAGAAGATGACCAGAACTTCAAAATAAGAACCAAGCAAATACTGAATTTTACACATTGTATAGAAGGGTGTGTATAAAACCTACTTATTTGATCTAGGTTTGTATATATAAGCAGAGCATGGAATATTTTAAAATTAGATTTTATCCTCATAAATCAAATGTGAGTAGAGAAAGTACAGAAAAAAAAATCCATAAAACAGTCTGATAAAATGATGAGCAAGTCTGTTGTAACTAGTGTTTGGGGCTTTTTTGTGTGTGTGCATATCGCATTTTCTGCTTCACATCCAGTACCCTATGAGAGTGAATGCCTTCCAAACAAAGGCCTTTCTTTGGTTTTGCCTGTCAATTACTTTCTATAGTAGCTTCTTGTTCTTTTACCTTCCACAGTAATATTTACGATTCATGAGTCTGGAGGTTAAGACAGCAAGTGCCTGCCTGCATGGCATAAATTAATGCTATCTGTATAGAATTCATTACCCTGCTTTCACGCACTCAAAAGGAATAATACTAATCAAAAAATTGCTGTCATCGTCTGTGTCCTTTGCTGGCTGAGGCTGATGTGTAACAGCAGGTGCTTCCGAAAGAAATGCCGTTGGCACTTGTAAAGGCTGGCCAGACACAGCTATGTCCTTTTTGCTTAGGGAAAGAACATCGTTTCTTTTGATGGTGGATTGTCAGAAGGAATTTTCGCAGAATAGTTCAGGCAAACAAAGTGGCACAACATGAAAATGATTTCAGAAGCCAAGCTTGACTGTAGAATTTGAGAACATCACCAGTCAACAATCACACAAAGAATGATCTCTCTTTGGTCTGTCTTTGAATAAACTTGCTAATCATAAAAATCTCTGTCCTTCATTGATTCCACTTGTGAGAGGTATCATTGGATAAACTTACACAGCCCTAAAGCTCTGCATATAATGTATAAATAAAAGCATGTCTATCAACATTATATTGAAATATCTAGGATTAAATGATAGTGTTATGTTTAATCAGATGGTCATTTAAAAATGACAATGTCATTTTCAAAACAATTCCAGCAAGTATAGTAAAATCTTATATTTCTTTAGATCTTGCAGATTTCAAAGTGCTTTTACTTGTTATTTTATTTGATCCTTAAAGAAAAGCCATGAGAAAAAATATTAGAGAGCCAGTTTGCCCTATGAACAATCTGAGAATCAGAGGCAAAGTGTTCTGGCCAAGTCACATACTTGGTAAGGACAAGAGTTGACATTAGAATCATAATTTTAGTGCAGCCCTGGGACAGTTTTCCATCCATTAATGTGTCCAAATATTCTGAGATATTTCCAAGAAAATGTGGAGTTATGGTAGGTGGGAGAGAAAGCTGATACCTGTTGTATTCACAGGTTTGACCATGTCTACACTCATTCTTACATCTTCTATCGTGACACAGAAGCCCTTTATCCAGCTGCATATGTCATCACCATTTTAACCTTAGCACAGGAAGTCCCTGGTGCATTAAAGTTTCCCAATACACATTTGCTAAAATACCCTGGCTGAATAGACGTATAAACAATAAGATTTATTTAAAATTATCGCTTCCGAAAAAAGGTAAAAACTGTAAATCCTAGGAGACTACTGAATCATTATTCATTTCCCAGTGCCCATTTCCACACCACTCCCCCACTGCACAGTAATCCACGAAAATCAAAGGTAACGTGTTCGGAATCAAATCATTTGTTTAGGGCAGGCCTTTCTGTGATCTGAAAACCATTGACTCAGTAACTTTAGCTATCAAATTCTAAAAATATGTTAAGAAACACAGATTTAAAGAGAAGATGAAATGATAGAAAGGGACAATGTCTCTAGCAATCATTTGATTCTCATGAGATCTTTGCTCTCAAAAACACAGTTTGTATCTTCTCATTTCACAAACAAAGCTAAAAGTTATAATATAAAGTGGAATTAAAGTTCTAAATCTGAGTAACAACCATGGCTCCTCATCTGTATTCCAATTTTTTTTTTTGTTACACAATAAGAGGGTTAATATTTTAGTAGTTTTCTATAAATCTTTAGTAATAACTTCTTTTTCATTTGCAAATCCCAAACAACATTTCTATTTCATTATTAAGGCTAGGTACCTAATAATATATAAACCTTAATAAGTTCAGACAAGAATGGATTATATTAAGTGTTTATATGTATGGTCTCAAGAACACCAAATCCTCTGTTTTGACTTTTAACCTAGATTGCATGTCTCTTTGGTGTTTATGGAGTGTGTGTGTGTGTGTGTGTGTGTGTGTATCTGTGAGTTTGTGTAGAGATAAAGGGCCATACTTAATGCTTAATGAGTCTGTCCAAATTAATATTCTTTTAATTATTATTAGAGATTTGGCTTCAAATTTCTAATTCACCTTGTAGAAGATGAGCAGCTTAATATAGCATGGTAAGGCATCAGATATATTTTATGCAATTTACAGTGTTTGTTTTCCTGAAAGCTTAATTTTTCATTATCTTATAGTACATAGTAGGTGCAGTTACAGTACTGGTATGTTTACAGCACATTGATTCCACGTTCCATCATGACTAAATAATATAAATGTGTAAAATGAGATTCAAATGTTAAGACATTCCCAATACCACACACAAGAAAATCTAAAAACATCTTCTTGTTTGCAAATAATCACAAAAAAGCATAGTTCAAAAAATGATAAAACTGATTTTTCCTGTTTCTACTTAACGTTTGCTGTTGTCTCTTACTGGTATAATCTTTGTCTTTCTCTTTCATGAATTTCCAATCAAGCACTAAGACTCATTTTAAATGTCATTTTTCCCAGCAAGTATTTTTTGATTGTTCTAGACAAAGCTAATCATTCCCTTAGTACTTGTGAGCATCAACTCACAGTGTTTCAAGCATACTTACAGCAGTCACTAGTGTGATTCATGTTAAGGGGAAAATCTGCATCCTACTTATCTTTTTGTACCTTTCACCTAACATATCTCCAGACACTCAGTCAATGCTAACTGAATACTTGTTGAATAAATATAAGAAAAAAGTGAAATAATTCATCCTTTTTAAGCATGAATTATGTATCAGGTACTATGCGAGGCAGCAAGCGTATACAAATATTGCCCTTAACAGTTGTCATGTTGTTATCAGGATTCTTATTAGTCAGAATCCTCAAGTTATGCCTTTCTGTGTCTTAGAATCTCTATCTGAGCACTTGGGAGAATAGTTGGAAAATATTGTTTATTGAGGCCAAACACAATACATGTTACTTCCTTTATCCCATAAATGCCAGTGAGAGGATCTCTGCATATGCTGACTTCTCTTTTTTGCATGCCTCTCTCTCCATAATTATCAGCAATGTGACCCAATATAGCTGCAATGTGCTCCATTTGCATCTTCCCTTACCACTGTTTCTTTTCTCAGCCACCCTAATCAATAACCTTCCTCATAAGAAGGTTCTGATCACCAAGTACAAAGGTCATTTTTTACTCTATTTTCTTAAACATCTCTACTGCTTAGTACCTCTGCTTACCTCTACTACTTTATTTTATAAGAATAAACTATTATTTTGTTGTCTTTACTTAGGTAACCCTTTCTGATCACTTATTATGGACTGGTTAAGTTGTTTCAGGCTATATACATTCTTATAATTTAATCTAACAAAGTGTAATTAAGAAAATGTATCTTTATTCCAAAAACTTTGTCTATATTTTATAAAGGAAGAAACTGAGGCTCAAAGAAGTGAAAAAATTTGCTCAAACAGCTGTTTATTGGAGGAATTGGGATTCCAATGTAAATCTGCAATCTGATCCCAAACACTCTATATTTTTAAACCACTGTATCATATCGACCCAGCATCTGAGACTACTTCTCTGTCTCTGAATGGGCTGTTCCTTCTTTGTGTTTTTCAATTTGGTGAGTCCTTGTCCTTGGTTCTGTTATTATAGTAATGCTTTATATACGTTCTCCATATTCTTATGACATTATCTTTCACATTTAGGCTGAATGGTGAAATTTTAAGCCATCCATCCAGCTCCTGCTACTTTCTCTGAGTATTGTCTGTCACCTGAAGACCCTGAGGAAAGGTGAACATGACCTTTAACTAATTATAAATGGCTTTACCTCCTAGCTACATATGATTTGATAAGAGATAAACACCTGATCTAGTCCTTGCAATGTAGTAGCTTCAAGAAAGTTGTTTCTGTTATGTAAATAATTCATACATAAGAGACAGAGTCATGAGTCCATGCTGCCTAAGAGACAGAGAGGAAACCTAGCTCCTGAATTGCCAGATCTCGGGTCATGTCATTTAGTAGGGTTAGGTTCTATATAGTCATTGACTATATATAGCCAAATCAAGCCTATGAATTCCTCATTATTTTTTTCAGCTAGTTTTAGTAGCCATTATCTTTTGAAGAAAATCACCACTATAAAAGAGAGAGAGAGAACTTAGCTGCAAGTATCAAACACTTGAAAGTGAGAAAACATGGAGCAGAGTGAAGTTTCCCTGATTCTAGGACATAAATCTATCACCACCAAATAACAGAGTACAAATGAACTGATTAACCTGCCTTCTGAAATTTTCAGGACTCTAGACCTTGTGTTACATTAAGTTAATGTTTTAGGGGAAGGAAAGACAATAGACTTGTTTATTAGGGGAAAAATCTAGTCTCAGGTTTCTAAACTAATACAAATGTGAAACTGTGGATCTCACACTTTGCTGGAAAAAGACGCTGTGGTTTGAAGTGATGCCCTGCCAGAAATCAATCATTTATCATTCTAAACTAGGGTATGTATTATTGCTTGACCCATATTTAAAGGGCTACTGATAAATATTTACAAGGTCTTGTTGTCACTCTAAAAGGATAAGGTGACAACTGTATAAATTTTATTGGCAAGTAGGATCGTTCTGGCAGGTTAAATAAGGGCATATGATAGAGGCGCTTATGGGGCTGTAGAAACACAACTACCTGGATTCTTCTAGTTCATCCTGTCTAGAAGTTTCCTGTAGATATATCCCCTTGTAAGCTTAATTAGTGCTGCTAAGCCCCAGGGGATCCGAGGAAACAAGCTAAAACACAGTACAGTGGAAAAAGTCTCTGCATCCCATTCTTAAAGAACACTATATAACACTGGCTTCCTCAGACAAAAAGAGGCATGGTGCAGGGAGCACTTGGTTGCTAATTGATGAAGCTTTTCTTTTTGGTTATCCTAAAACAGTTACTTGCCAATCTCCAAGCTAGACTGTGACTCATAGACAGATCTAATCAGAAAAAATAACTGGAAATGGTAGAGGGTCCTGCCCAAGAAGTGAAGTTAAGACAAAACACAGCATATGCACGGGAGTGCCTGTAGACGTGCGCACGTACACACACACACACACACCCAAACACAGAGGTTTAGCACATATGGGCACATGCTTTCATTGAACCAAGGAAAGCAGAGCATCTCAGCTCCTTAGGCAAACAAAACCCTGAAGACAATTTTAATGATGTGGGTATTCACAATTGTACAGCCCTCTCCAGTACCCTCTCTTTAGAGGAATTTGTAAGCATCAGAGACCAGGAGAGCACTCCTGCTAAATGACCCATGAGACAATCAAATTTTCTAACCAAGATTACCCTCCCTTGCAGGATGTGGAATTTTCTCTGAACTGATGGCCAAGACTTGTTGCTGACTTCAGAGATCTCTCCTTAGCCCTATCCATTTCTAGTTTTACAACTTAGAGAAAATTTCTGACTGATATTCCGCAGCCTTAAAATAAGGGTACAAATAGCACTATGCTCAGGAACTATTTGTAAAGACGAAAAGAGTGAACGATTTTCTGAAGAGCCTCAGCTACATTGCAAGCACATAGAGAAAAAGTTGGCTCTCACAAATGAGGAAAGAAAGCACAGGAGTATGTAATATCATGCACACAATTATTCCACTAGCAACGTTGGAAATAAAAAGCAGGTGATCTGATTCCAGAAATTCTTTTATTGACAGCTTTTCATCACCACGTAATTGTACTGTGTCTTTGTTCAAATGTTATATCTGTTGCATTGGGGATGATTATTTTTTGTATTTAGCTCAAAGTTGGCAGGATAATGAGGAGAAGCACCTGATCTGTCTCAAGGACCAGAGGAGGAAAAATGACACCTGGAAATAATGCCACTTTGTAACTGGGATACAATATGTGTTGTGGCAGTACATTATCTTCCACTGAGACTGAGTAAATGCATTTGTTGGATCATGTTAGGTGGAGGCAAATTTAAATTTGAGTCAAGAGAAAAATATTTTCTAGGCAAAGAATGAAATTTGGTAGAAAGATTTGGAAGTGTCTATCCATCCTATTCTATTTTCTTATTTTAAAAAAGGAAGAGAGGTTTATTACCCAGGTATATCAATTTTCAACATACAAATGATGACAGAAACCTGGCTCACAAAGATATAAATAAAGCTATTCAAAGAAATAAATGAACACAAAAGTCATTGTTTCATGGTCTCAAAGAGAAAAAGATTAATATTCAAGATTTTTCTTTTTAAAATTGGCTATATTTCTTATTCTTGGGATCCACTGTAATTATTTACAGTGTCCAGTAAATTCCTTGCTTGTTTTACTTAATCTAAGTATTTGTCCACCCTTCACTCTCCAAAATTGTCATCTTAGAAAACCCCCCGGCTCAACATGAAGCGCCACATTTATCCTTCTCCCTTTCTCACTTCCTCATCCATCTTCAGATTACGTGAGCAACTGTAACTCAACGTGAACAAACCTGAAGTCACCATAGTTTATGCTAACAGTTATAAAACAAGTCCTAGACTTAGACTGGTGAGTTGCTTACTGGCTCTACCACTTTGTGTTTCTTAACATCTCTGTTTCTCATTTTATAACTCTGAAATGAAGACTCTAACCACACTTATTTCAGATGCTTATTTCATGAGGTTTAAATGAGATAATGCAAAGAGCAGTGACGTTGTGCATGGTAGGACCAGAATAAATGTCAGCTATTAGCTGTCATTTACTTCCCTCCTGAATTCTGTTTATATGCAGCCAGTCATTCCAGTTATTCAACTTCTAAAAATTATCCTTGACACATTCTTCATTCTCATGCCATTATATTCAAACAAGCACTAAGTTCAGCTATTTTTAATACCTAAATGCTATCAAATCTGTCCCCTTATTTTTACCATGCTTCTTTAGTTCGGATGCTATCTTGATGTAATTTCTCTTTACATATTTAGAAAATGTTTAACGCAGTATCACTTAGATGGCATATATTTGTATACCTTCTCTTTCTAAAGAAATGTTTAATATTTCCTTAGTGTATCAGCAAAACCTCTTGTTTTGAGGGCTATAAGTAACTTGCATTTTTTGTTCTTTACATAGAGGGAAGTATTTGAAATACTGGTGAAAAAAATAAAATACAATACAATAAAATAAAATAAAAACAGTGTTGCATGTCAGCCTAAAAGTATTGTGCAGTTTGATTTCTCTTAAGTGACAACAAAGTGGTCAAAATAGTCTCCTTGAGGTTTCACCAGTTTATACTCCTATTAACACTGGACGATGGCACATTTGTGTCCACAATGCACATTGTAATGGATCAAAGATAATATTTAATAGCACTAATATGCATATTCCTGATTGAAAACTTGTTGAAATGTTTTTATATGCTTTCAAAAAATTTTGTGAAATAATCATTTTTTCTTGGTTTATTGTTTTTATTATCAATTCATATGATTGCTTGTATATGTTTGAATACCTTGTGATGTATGTTGTTATGAACTGAATGTCTGCATTCCAAAAAAGTCATAAATTCAAATCCTAACTGGAAAGATGATGTTATTAGGACTTAAAGCCTTTGGGAGACAATTAGGTCATGTAGGTGGAGCCCTCAGGAATGGGATTAGTGCCTTTATTGAAAGAGATGCTAGAGCTTCTCATCTCTCTGCTCTTTGTATGTAAGAATATAGTAGGATCCCTGTCTGCAAACCAGGAAGAGGGACTTCACAAGATACTGGATCTGTCTGTGCCCTCATCTTACTAACCTATAGAACTGTGAGAAATGTTAGCTGTTCAAGCCACTCGTTGCATAATATTTTTAGATGAGTCATATCTGTTGCAAGAGCTATACCTTAATGTCTTTATCTTTGTTACTTTTTATGACAAGATATTTTAAACTTATTTTGGGCTTGCAAACTTTTGTTTCTATTTCTTTTCTATTTATACAGTCATGATTTAAAACTAAATTTTTAAAATTATCTTATTTTAATTTTTCTTTTTTTGTGGGGGAGGGGACGGAGCTTCACTCTTGTTGCCCAGGCTGGAGTGCAGTGGCATGATCTCAGCTCACTGTAACCTCTGCCTCCGGGCTCAAGCGATTCTCCTGCCTCAGCCTCCCACGTAGCTGGGATTACAGGTGCTCGCCACCATGCCGAGCTAATTTTTGTATTCTTAGTAGAGACAGGGTTTTGCCATGTTGGCCAGGCTGGTCTCAAACTCCTGACCTCAGGCGATCTGCCCGCCTCGGCCTCCCAAAATGCTGGGATTACAGGAGTGAGCCACTGCCACTGGCCTTAAAAATTGTTATTTAAGAAGGTCTTCCTCACTTTAAGATATTTTTAAGTTATATATGAACACACACACATACCCCTAATATACGTATGTGTGTGTATGTATGAAATAAGATATACAGAATATACTTAATTATTTAATTCATTTTAAATTGACTTTTGTATGTTGTGAAAATTGAATCTTGCATTTTCATATATATATATGTAACATATATATATGGGTTTATTTCTACTGGTTTATGAGTATTGCTGTTTTAATTATTACAATTTTATGGTACATTTTGATGTCTGGAAGAATAAGCTCCTTCATTACTCCATGTTTCAAATTTTATTGGCTGTCATTGAGTATTTTTCAAATGCACTATCTTAAAAATTTTATTTAGCACTTTTATTGAAAGTACATTTAATTTATAGATCAATTTAGGAAGAAATGACATGTTGAAGCTATTAAATCTTCTTTCAGCAACATGGTATCTTTCTCTCTTTCTTAGTACCTAGAAAGTTAAATGATAGATTGATGGAATTATAGATACATACCAGAAATGTATGGCTTTCATTGTACAGGTTCTGTACATTTTATATACAAGCTTCACAAAAGATAAACCTACTGAAATTGTACATTGCTATGGACAAAATTGTCTCTCCCCAAAGCTGTTGTGTTGAAGCCCTTACTTTCAATGTGGCTGTATTTAAAGATAGGTCCTTTAAGGAGACAATCAGGGCTAAATGAGGCCATAAGCTCTTATTCACTCTCTCTTTGTTTCCTCTCTTTCCCCATACACACACACACAAAGAGATCACATGAGCACCCAGAGAGAAGGCAGCCACCTTGCATGCTAGGAGAAGAGGCCTTACAATGAAACCTCCTTTGCCTGCACCTTAATCTGGGACTCCCCAGCCTCCAGAATTGTGAGAAATACATTCCTGTTGTTTAAGCCATCCAGTCTGCAGTATTTTGTTATGGCTGCCAGAGCAGACTAAGACATCCATACATATTTTTCACTACCTTACCACACATCATTTAACAGTCCTTCATTTGTTTCCTGACATATTCTTTATTTTTTTTCTCTTTCTTCAACTTTTATTTTAGAATTGGGGGTGCATGTGCAGATTTATTGCAAAGCAATATTACTTGATGCTTACTGCCCCTTCTTTTAACTTCAGTAATTCTGAACTGCTAAGTTCTCTTTCCTTGCTTCCCTTTAAAGGAGTCTTCTAGAAATAAAATGCACTTTATCTTTGTTGACACGTCAACCTTACATCCTCCAAGAGTTTCTTTATTATCTTACAAAATGTATTCCATTCTCCAAACTACACTGCATATTTTACCGTTTTATATTATAATGGTATCTTTAAGTTTTCCTTGCAAATTGTGAGTTGCATACTTTCTTCAGGGTGTGGTCTGTGCTCTATTCATCTTTACATTATTTTTATCTAAAGCAATCGCTTATATGGAAGTGGCTAAATTAATTAATTAATGCATTCATACTTTAATAAGTACATCACTTCCACCCAAGGTAACATAGTACCAAATATTCAAAAAAAAGAGCTATAGAATATTCAAGAAAGAAGCTATAGAATATTTAAATAAATGACTGTATAGTGTTGAAGATCAATCCCACCTATCATCCTGTTTCTTAAAATGAATATATCTTCTTTTTATGTGATGTTAGGACAACAACAACAAAAAAAAAAACACTTCCAGATATCAAGTGACATTAATAAGCTATCTAGGAAAGAAAGTGTTACAGGGTTAAAGTACTAATTCAAATGACCAGAGAAAGATACTAATGCTAAATTATCTAATGCTGGCAACAACAACAAAAAAACACAAAAAACAATTGTTTATTGAAGAATAACACATATAAACAGTAAGTGTTCAGCTCTATGAAATATCACAAAGTGACTGACTCGTGTATTTAATAACTAAGTCAAGAAATAGAAGACTGCCTCTTTTGCCTCTCAACTCCTAGTCTCTCTTTCTTGACATTAACCACTACCTTGACTTATAACAAATTAGGACGGTTTACTTTTATTTGTTTGAAGTAATATTATATGCAGTTATATACTATTGTGTTCATTACCTGGTGTGATGGTTAATATTAGGTGTCAGATTGATTGGATTGAAGGATGCCTAGATAGCTGGTAAAGTGTTATTTCTGGGTGTGTCTGTGAGGGTGTTGCCAGAGGAGATTAACATTTAGGTCCGTGGACAGGGAGAGGAAGACCCAACCTCGATGTGGGTGGGAACCATCCAATTGGCTGCCAGCTCTGCTAGTGCAAAGCAGGCAGAAGGTGGGATAAGCTGGCTTGCTGAGTCTCCTGGTTTTCACCTTTCTCCTGTGCTGGATGCTTCCTGCTCTTGGACATCAGACTCCAGGTTCTTTGGCCTTTGGGCTCTTGGACTTAAACCAGTGGTTTGCTGCAGGCTGTCGGGCCTTTGGCCATGGACTAAAGGCTGCACTCTTGCTTCCCTACTTTTGAGGCCTTTGGACTCTGACTGAGCCACTGCTGGCTTCCTTCCAACTCAGCTTGCAGATGGCCTATCATGGGACTTTACCTTGTTTTCGTGTGAGTCAATTCTCCTTAATAAACCCCCTTTCACATATACATATATCCTATTATTTCTGTCCCTCTGGAGAACCCTAATACACTTGGTTTCTATTCTGTTAGTCAGCATTGTTTTAGGAAGTTATCTATATTATCTTGTCAAGCCATATTATTTACTTTTACTCAGTGCCATATTTCATTTTATGATTCTGTTATTATTAATTTTTCTTCTTCACTGATAATAAACAGTGAGTTGTTTCCAGTTTCAGACTATAATAATGCTTTATGAACATTATCATACATGTGTATGTGTGTGCAAATAAGTGTGCCCATACATGCATTATGTTAAGTATATATCTAGGAGAGATGTTTCTAGCTATACCTAGAAAATGTGTGTTTTCAGCTTTAATAGATTAAAAAACAAAAAAAACATTTTTCAAAGTAGTCGTTCCAGTTTGTACTTCTACCAGCAATGCCAGCAACGTTTGGTGATTCCAGTTGATCCAAATCCTCCCCAATATTTGTGTTTTTTAAATTTTATTATTATTATACTTTAAGTTTTAGGGTACAACGTGCAGGTTTGTTACATATGTATACATGTGCCATGTGGGGGAGGGATAGCATTGGGAGATATACCTAATGCTAAATGACGAGGTAATGGGTGCAGCACACCCAATATTTGTTATAGTCTATCTTTTAAATTTGGCTTATTTTAGTGTTATCTTACTGCTGATATTTTCACTGATATTAATCAGGACCAATCAAAACATGTCAATTTTCTTATATGACTAAGACCACATGGAGAAAGGAGAAGTAAGTAATTCTCTTTTTTATTATGCCTAAATGACCATTTGTCTCTTTTTTCTATCAAAACAAATAGTATTTCTAAATCTTTAAAATATTCATGTAAAAGAAATAAAGAAAATATTATATATTTGATATCACAATACAGATGTCTTACTTTGAATAAAGAAGAATTGATTTTGACAGAACAAATTTTCATTCATAGCTTTGAGAGGATTTTTTTAGTAGGATGAATTATAGATTTAGAGTTCCTGACTTGCCTGTTCTTGGACTATTTTTAGAGTTATGTTTGTATTCCCAGCTTTCTTCCCTCTCTTATCTGGATGGCGATAGTGCTTTTGAAAGAAGCATGCACTCACAACAACATAATGGTAACTGGTTTACTCTAATACTAGAGGTATATTTTATGGACAATTGAGTAATTTCATATCAGTAGATATTTACTACATTTATCAGAACTCAACTAACACAAAAACAAAATCTAGTAATAAATAATTAATCTAAGCTGCATCTCTTTCATGTGTCTTTGCATTACAAGTTTGATGATAATACTGTGGAAAAGAAAAATACAATAACATATAAAACCTGTCACTGACTTCAGCAGTTGCTTGATAAATACATGAGTAGGTGAATTGGTGTCTGTCTGTTCATATATATTTAATGATAAGTAAAATGTAATATAAAATCGTCATATTATTTTGTGTTATATTGTACTCAGCCCACAATTTTATTAGCCATTAATATTAAGTTCAATAAAACTACAAGTTAGAATTCTGAAGTGACTTTATATTTTTCTAGTAAAATGAGTTTTCTATTTCCAAGTTTCTCTGTCAATTAACATTCAGACATCAGTATCCACTAATCTTCTGATTGTAGCCAATGATTCTTTATTTTGCTTTGGTATTCTACAAATAGAGTTCGATTTTTGATTCTTCTCTAACAGGAATCATTCCTGAATAGTTACCTTACATGTAACACACCCAAACATCAGTAACGTTTAAGTGAACCTCTCTGAACAATGTTAGTTGTCTGATCTGTCTAATCAGTACCCCTAATATTTTTAACTGGAAAAGTATTATAGCACATATGCAAAAATGTGTTTGAAATCATCCATTAAATTTAAAGTACAAAATAAGATTGTAAATGCATTTACTTAACAACCAGGTGAAGAAAAGAATTTATCATATACCCTAGAAGCACACTGTTTTTCTTATTAGTGTCACCATTCCTTTCTCCATAAAATTAATCACTCTCTCTTTTTTTTAATTTATTATCCTCCTGTTTTGCTTTATACTGTTTTCCTTATGTGTGGTTACCACACAGCATACATGTATATGAGTGTATGTATGTGTGTGTAGAATAATATAAATGGGCAATGAGGGAGGTGTTATTAAAAACTGAAAAGATGAACATCCATGTAATGCAGTGGTAAATTATTTGATGAAAATAATTTGGAAAACACATAATATACATCTAAACATCTAGCATAAGTAACAGAGTTTGGAAATAAGACTGTTAGTGGTATGGTATGTCCTGGTTTTAACTAGCTACATTTGAACAAATTTTACAAGAAAGGGATGAATGCAGAAAAAAATATGGTTCAGTTTTCATGAAGACACGAAAGAGAATAAAGAAAGTGCAGTGATTCAAGGACATTCACGTTCAAAATAAGCAACTAAGGAAAAATACAGGGCAGAAAAGCCTTTGAACAATAAATGTCATTAGAACTCAGCTTTGAAATAAAAATTAAATCCAGTGTATAACTTTAACCCTTGTTAAGACCTCTGGCCAAAATCAAATGGTGCCTAATAAATCATTTTATTTCCAAAAAAATAAAAAATAAAAAAAATAACAAATTAGCATAAGCCTGCCCCTTTTTGTTTCACATCTGGATAAACATATGGTAATTTCTGACCTTTTTTCAATTCTGTGAGTATAAAAATGAATGCCATTATAGTTTTGATTGTCCTTTCCATAGTTGCCAGTAAAGGTGACCATTCATTTGTAAATTAATGGACCATTTGTTTTTCATTTTTGGTGAAATTTATGTAAGTACCTTTAGTCCTTTTTTTTTCTTTCTTAATGATATATAACATTTTTGTTTACATCCAGTTTACTTGTGTATTGTCAGATCATGTGGGTTAAAATAACTTCTATATTCTATTACATGTTCCTTTTCAACTCTTATTATGGTGCCCTATTCTGGATTCAGAGACAAAGTTCTGGAGTTTAATATAGTTGAATTGTTTAACCTTTGTTCTCCAAAGAAATAAGCAATTGTCTCACCACAGTTTATTGAAAAATTATGATTTCCCCAGTGATACGCAACAGCCTATCATGAGTAATGAGTCAGACATTGTTTTCTAACTGGCTACAGTGTATCTCCCATTCCACATGCTGTCCTATGACGTGATCTTGACACTCCCTCATTAAGAAATAGTCTATTTTCCTCCCTTTTGAGACTTAGTTGGCCCTGTGAGCTGTTTCTCTAACAAAAGGTGGTGGAACAACATACAGTTTAATGTCTGAAGTTGGGCCTTAAGAGATCTACAGTTTCTTCCTTCATTTGGCAATATCCCTTCTTGGGACCCAAATTTCATGCTTGGTTAAGAAAGCCTGAGCAACGATACGGAAAGACCCACATGGGGATATTAGGTTGGTGCTAAAGTAATTGTGGTTTTTGCCATTAATAAACCACCTGCTTTGCTGACTCTCTCAACCGAGATACCAGTAACCAGAGAGTATCAACTCCAAGCCACATGAATGAGGATCTCTTAGCATTTCCAGACTTTCATGGACATTCATCTATATCATGTGAACCAGAACAAGACCAACCTGTTGTAGATATTGGTTTAAAACGCCAAATATTGGAGTGGGTTTGAACACAGTAATAAATAATTGAAACAGACGTTAGCTCTAGTAAAATTTAAATATACTCTAAAATATTTTCTCAGTTTGTCTCTGGACCGTTGATTCTGTACTATGTTCAAGTCTCTAATCCCTGTTTCAATGCCATATTTAATTACTTCTTCAATACTAATTTTGAAATCTTACTAGATTTTTAGACATTCTTATACTTCTACTCTAGGAATAAATATTCTTGAACTTTTTTCCTTGATTAAAAATTGTCAGATTATCAAGACTCTCAAAACAATTGAAATTTGTATAAAGATTTCATGTTAATGCTATATGTATAAATTTACAGATAGGGTTTCAGAATTTTGGTTTATCTTCATTTTTAATCATCATTGAGGTTTTTAAATAGAATAGTGGCCCAGAGTGGTGGCTCATGCCTGTAATCCAAGCACGTTGGGAGGCCGAGGCAGGCAGATCACAAGGTCAGGAGTTCGAGACCCGCCTGACCCACAGAGTGAAACCCCGTCTCTGCTAAAAATTTAAAAATTAGCCAGGCATGGTGGCATGCGCCTGTACTCCCAGCTACTCAGGAGGCTGAGGCAAGAGAATTGCTTGAACCTGGGAGATGGAGGTTGAAATGAGCCAAGATCATGCCATTGCAGTCCAGTCTAGGTGACAGAGCGAGAATAGAATTGTATAAATATTTTCATAAATACATTAACAATCTTTTATTTAGATTTATTCCTAGATACTTTATATTATCAAGATTAGTCTGTTTTGTGTTTCCATTTTCAAACTGTTGCTAAAGTATAGAAATGGAATTGATATTTTGTATATATACAAAATTTACACTTGTAATACTTTCTTACTAATTTATTATTTTATTTCTATTTTCTTGAATTTAAATATTTTCATAAATGCATTAACAATCTTTTATTTAGATTTATTCCTAGATACTTTATACTATCAAGGTTAATTTAAGTATGTTTTGTGTTTTCATTTTCAAACTGTTGCTAAAATATAGAAATGGAATTGATATTTTGTATATATACAAAATTTACACTTGTAATACTTTCTTACTAATTTATTATTTTATTTCTATTTTCTTGAATTTTAAATTATAATTATACATGTAAATAATTTTTCTATCTTAATGAAATTACTAGAACCACCGCTACAGTATTTAAAATATTGGTTGACTGGGTATGGTGACTCAACCCTGTAATCCCAGGACTTTTGGAGGCTGAAGCAGGAGGATTGCTTGAGCTCAGGAGTCTGAGATTAGCCTGGGCAACATGGCAAGACCCTGTCTACAAAAAAATTTAAAAAAAAATTACCCAGACACAGGGTCCCATACCTATACTCCCAGCTATTTGAGGGGCTGACGTGAGAGGAACCCTTGAGTCCAGGATTTTGAGACTGCAGTGAGTTATGACAGCCAGGGCAACAAAATGAGACCCCCATTTCTGAAAAAAAGAGGAATTGGTGATAGTGGGCACCCTTATTTATTTAGTTCATTTGTTAACAGGAATGGTTTCAATATTTCATTATAAAGTGTTTTTGCTGCAGACCTGTAAATATTTTTGTCATGGTATTGTATTAGAAGTTTTAGAAAAATAACTGAGAAATTAAATGGAAACAACTGAAATCCTAGTATGAAATAAAATTACATACCATTTGCACTGTATTATATATATTTAATAAAATATAAATAGATATTTTAAAAACCATCGAATAAAATTAAATAAGGTTTTCAAGAGAGTAAAAATATATGTGCTTTATGTCTCATTTCCAAAATTGTATTAAAATTACAAAAAAGTGTAAATATAGACATTGATAAAATTGAATGAAAATATACAAGAGGACAGAATGTTATCTGCAATTCAAAAAGTTTGGTAAGTGATAAAAGATCATAAGTTGGCCTGTTTCATATAATAGACAAGCTTAAGAAAAGAAAGCCACATCTGCAGATAAGCAAATGTATGTAAGCAGACTCCATGGCATTCATTATGGTAAATAATTGTTGTTATTTTGACTAATTATGACATTAATTATAGTTACCATATTATTACTGAGATGAGTCAAGCTAGTCTGCTCGTTACCTTTTCCCTGCTACAGATGAAAAGGTCTTGAAGAAGGAGAATCTGTCCCAAGCATTTGTACCCAGGACAAAACCAGAAAACTTGTCTTCAAAAATTATATATTGACAATCTTGATATGAGCTCAGAATCCTAGTGTATGAGAAAATTGCAAAAATCTGTCGTTTTGCACGAAGAAGAGGCGCGTGCACGCGCGCGCGCACACACACACACACACAGTAATAAACGCCAAAGTTTTCCAAAGACAAATACATTGTATTTTTTGCATCAAGGAAAGCCATAATTATTTGATATATATTTTAAGAGTTTCCCAAGCCTAGCAACTTGTTCTTTATTCACAAACTGACAGAGATTCCCAACCCAGCTGTGCGCTAGAATCATGCAGATAACTCTAAAATACAGCAATGCCTGGGACCTACTGCTAAAAATTCTGATTCACAAGGTCAGATTGAGACCCGAAAATCAATATTTTGAAATAGCTTTGCAGGTGATTTTAAGATATAGCCAAGGCTAAGAATCATTGCAAAGTCACTATTTGGAGGACCTTCCTTTGTTATCTGTGAACTTTGTGTTATATTTGCTTGTGGGGTTATGCTGCCCAAAGAAGAAACACACACCCTTTTATTTGGTTTAGTGATGGTGACTCCGCTCAAGCAAATAAAACCGGGGCCCCAGATATTTGACAAATGCCTGCCTCTTCTTATTACTCTAACAAGGTGCCCTTTCTTAGTGGAAATGAACAAAAACCACGCAGCTCTTAATTTATTGAGTTTATAAGATTGTGTGCAATACAATATTCTTGCTGAGCTTAAGGGCCTGGGGATTTACTTAATGAATTAAATCAGAAGATGCCCTGCCATGGGACCTGTTTTGAGCAGCATGGAAAAATTATAAAATTTAGGGATCATTGCCTCTTTTGTGTTCATCAAGCAACCTCAAAATGTTTATCATGAAGCTGCGTCACATCTTGTCCGAAATCTTGTAAGTGGGAAAAGGGTGGATTTGAATGGAGCAGACACATGTAAGCATCTGGAATCTGATTTTCAAATCTACAAGTAAGGTAAATTCCAGCTCATTAAATACATTAAATTATTTTAATATGTTACTGACATTTTATAAGCTTCATTAATTTATATCTTTCTGCAGGTAGCCTTCTATTTCAGGAAATAATTGATGTGGGGCAAAGTGACTTCAAAATATGCATTCTAAAGTACATGTGTTACAATCAAATTAATTAAATTATTTCTTCCCTAATATTAAAGGACAATGACACAAAACTCTCAACAACAACATCTAAAAAAGGAAGGACCAAGACACATTCTGCCAAAAAAATTAAATTTAAAAAAAGAGACATTTCATAAAAGTGAAGAACATCTATACAGCTGGACTCCATTTTTTAAATATTTAGATGCTATTTAGGAAAATATTAGTAAGTATATGCTTAATTGAATTACTTTGAATAGACTTATGAAAATTAATTTATATATGTTATATGATTCTAATAATTAAAATTAAATATCCAAACGTGAATACAAAACATTACTAATAATATGCAGCAATAGCTATAGGAGCCACTGAGTAGCTAGTAGACTATTTGTAATATCAGTTGAATACTTCCCTGTGATATGTACTATAAACTTTAAAGATGATGGTTGTCATCTTTCATACTTAGATCCATAGCACTTGGCTTATATTGAACCTCAGAAAAGTTTCAATTAAATTTCCACACATACATGTCTTTCTCCTCTCTCGATCTTAAACACATTGTGAATATGTCTTTATCCCTGTTGGGCAGGGACAAAGTGTAGTGCCGAATTATCCAATAAATATTTACTGAATGATTGTGTGAAAGTAGTCAGTGAACAAATGTGTGTGTTTGTGTGTGTGTGTGGTCTGCGTTGCCTAAATTTTGTATAAACTATTTTATAATCTTTAATTTTAAAATTTAAATATGGACATGCTCCCTAGGAAAATACATAGAAAAGTTCAGGTTATTTATATCTCTGTATCTAATTCTATTGATATACATTTCCAAATTTATTAATATAGTAAACTAAATTAAAACTATTATGAAGCCACATTAATATCTTATTTTACAGAAACAATAAATTCATGTCCATTGATTTTCATGTCATTTTAATGTTTTCTAACTGTTATTATTTTCAAGTCAAATAAGGTTTATTTGCCTTTACCAAGGCTTTATTTGTTTTCAACGCTAAAATTAATCACATTAAACCTTAACAAATCTTCTTCCTCTCTCCTTTTAAAAATTATTATCTGATAGTATCAGACAGAACTTTGTTGTCTTTTTTTGAATTTTCATTTTGTTTAGTATGTTTTATTGGGCATTTACATGTAATTCTAACATTAAGATACATTATTAGGTGCTGCCTTGACATTTGATGAAATGTGAAAGGACCTGGAATGGACTCATCACAATTCCCCTCCCCCTCTGCTCCTTCAGTTGGGTAAAATTCTTTAGCCAAACAACCCTCCTTTTTGAGGGAACCAGGCTAGTTCCTACTTATACATAAGTAGTATGTTTCAGTTCCTGGCAGACAGTGGAATTGTTCAAACGCGTCAATTACATCCTTCTATGGATGCCAGGGATCACCTCATCCTCTTTTTGCAACAGAGAATGCCTTATAAAGTTTCCAGTTATTCCTTTTCTTCCCAATTGCAACTGCCATGTGGCCCTGCATGGTGTGCTCTAGCCTCTCAATCTGTGAGTATAGGTGACTGGAATAATACTGTGGATTTTATCTGTCCAGTGTAGGGTGTTGAATATCAACCATCTCTAAAATCCTAGGCTAGAAAGTCTTCTCTCAACAATAAGATGAATGGAAGGTAATTAAAACAGGATTTCTTTTACAATATATAAAGGCTGGTTCTTGCTATGTGACTTTTATCATCATTGTATCCTCAGCATGTAGCAAGTAAACTAGTGGTTAGTATTTTTAAATAACCTAATTAATATATGCAATGTAAAGAAGTAGATTCTTAGAAATAAAAAGAACAAAGCTGGAGGCATCACATTACCTAACTTTAAACTATACTACAAGTCTACAGTAATCAAAACAGCATGGAAATGCTACAAAAACAGACACATAGACCAATGGAACAAGTTAGAGAACCTAGAAATAAAGGTGCATGTCTACAACCATCTGATCTTTGGCAAAGTCAACAAAAACAAGAAATAGGAAAATAACTCCTATATTAGTCTGTTTTCACACTTCTGATAAAGACATCTGAGACTGGGGAATTTATATGGAAAAAAGTGTTTAATGAACTTACAGTTCCATATGGCTGGGGAGGCCTCACAATTCATGGCAGAAGGCAAGGAGGAGTAAGTCACATCTTACATGAATGGCAGCAGGTAAAGAGAGAGCTTGGGCAGGGAATCTCCTGTTTTTAAAACCATCAGATCTTGTGAGACTCATCACTATCATGAGAAAAACATGGGAAAAACTCACCCCTATGATTCAGTAATTTTTCATCGGGTCCCTTCCACAACACATGGAAATTATGGGAGCTACAAGATGAGATTTGGGTGGAAACACAGAGCCAAACCATACCATTACATCCCAGACCTCTCCCGAATCTCATATATTCACATTTCAAAACCAATCATGCCTTCCCAACAGTCCCCCAAAGTCTCAACTCATTTCAGCCTTAACTCAAAAGTCCACAGTCCAAAGTCTCATCTGAGACAAGGCAAGTCCCTTCTGCCTATGAGCCTGTAAAATCAAAAGCAAGTCAATTATTTCCTATATACAGTGTGGTTACAGGAATTGGGTAAATACAGCCATTCCAAATGGGAGAAATTGGCAAAAACAAATAGGCTACAGGCCCCATACAAGTCCAAAATCCAGCAGGGAAGTCAAATCTTAAAGCTCCAAAATGATCTCCTTTGACTCCAGGTCTCACATCCAAGTCATGCTAATACAAGAGGTGGGCTCCCACAGCCTTGTGCAGCTCCACTCCAGTGGCTTTGCAGGGTATAGCTCCACTTCTGGCTTCTTTCAAGAGCTGGCATTGAGTGTTTGTGCCTTTTTCAGGCACATGGTGTAAGCTGTCAGTGGATCTACCATTCTGGGGTCTAGAGGACAGTGGCCCTCTTCTCACAGCTCAACTAGGCAGTGTCCCAGTAGGGACTCTGTGAGGGGGCTCCGATCCCACATTTCTCTTTCACATTGCCCTAGCAGAGGTTCCTCACAAGGGCCCCATCCTTGCAGCAAACATCTGCCTGGGCTTCCAGGTTTTTCCATACATCGGCTAAAATCTAGATAGAGATTCCCAAACCTCAATTCTTGTATTCTGTGCACCTGCAGGCTTAACATCACATGGAAGCTGCCAAGGCTTAGGACTTGAACCCTCTGAAGCAACAGCCTGAGCTGTGCATTGGCCCCTTTTGGCCCCAGCTGGAGTGGCTGGGACACAGGGTGCCCAGTACCTAGGCTGCACACAGCACAGGTACCCTGGGCCCGGCCCAGGAAACCATCTTCTCCTCCTAAATCTCTGGGCCTGTAATGTAGCAAAGGTCTCTGACATGCCCTGGAGACATTTTTTTCCATGGGGATTAACACTTGGCTCTTCATTACAAGTGCAAATTTCTGGAGCCAACTTGAATTTCTCCTCAGAAAGTAGAATTTTCTTTTCTATTGTATTGTTAGGCTACAACTTTTCCAAACTTTTATGCTCCATTTCCCTTTTAAAACTGAATGCCTTTAACAGCATCTGAGTCACCTCTTGAATACTTTGTTGCTTAGAAATTTTTTCCACCAGATACCCTAAATCATCTCTCTCAAGTCCAAAGTTCCACAAATCTCTCTGGCAGGGGCAAAACGCTGCCACTCTCATTGCTAAAGCACAAGAGTCACCCTTGCTTCAGTTCCCAACAAGTTTCTCATCTCCATCTGTGACCATGTCAGCCTGAATTTCATTGTCCATATCATTATCAGCATTTTGGTCAAAGCCATTCAACAAGTCATTAGGGAGTCCAAACTTTTTTCACATTTTCCTGTCTTCTTCTGATCCCTCCAAACTGGGTCCCTCCCAGAATACATGGAAATTATGGGAGCTATGAGATGAGATTTTGTTGGAGACACAGATCCAAACCATATCAACTCTCTAGTCAGTAAATGTTGCTGGTATAACTGGCATATGCAAAAGATTGCAACTGTACCCCTTCCTCTCACCATATACAAAAATTAACTCAAGATGAATTAAAGACTTAAATGTAAACCCTAAAACTCTAAAAAACCTGGAAGAAAACCCAGGAAATACAATTCTGGACATAAGAATAGACAAACATTTCATGATGAGGAATACAAAAGCAACTGCAACAACAGCAACCAAACAAACAAGCAAACAAATGGGACCTAATAAAACTAAAAAGTTTTTGCACAGCAAATTTTTCTGTGCAGAAATAAACCATTAAGAGCAAACAGACAACCTAAAGAATGAGAGAAAATATTTGCAAATTATGCATGCAACAAATCTATAAGAATGGGAAAAAAATATTTCCAAATTATGCACCCAGCAAATCTATAAGAAACAAACAAATCAGGAAGCAAGAAACAAACAACCCTATTATCAAACAGGCAAAGGATATGAACAGACACATCCCAAATGAAGACACACACAAATCCAACAAGCATGTGAAAAAATGTTTAACATCACTAATCATTACAGAAATGTAAATCAAAACCACAATGAGATATCATCTCACACCATTCAGTATGTCTTTTATTAAAAAATTAAAAAATAACTGATGCGGTCACGATTGCAGAAAAAAAGGAACCCTTATACACTAAGAGTGGAAATGTAAATTAGTTCAGCCACTGTGGAAACCAGTTTGAATATATCTCAGAGAACTACTATTTGACCTAGCAATTCCATTATTGGATATATACCCAAAGGAATATAAATTATTCTACCATAAAACGCATACATGTTTATGTTCTTCACAGCATGATTCACAATGGCGAAACCATCAAATCAACCTAGATGCCCATAAACAGTGGACTGGATAAAGAAAATGTGTTACATATACACCACAGAATACTATGCAGCCATAAAAATAATGAAATAATGTCCTTTGTAACAACATAAATGGAACTGTAGGCCATTATCCTAAGTGAATTAATGCAGAAACAGATAGCTAAATACCACATTTTCATTTATACATAGGAGCTAAAAGTTGAGTACGCATGGAAGTAAATAAGATAACAATAGATACTGGGGCCTACTTGAGGATGGAGGGTGAGAGGAGGGTGAGGATTGACAAATAAGTGTATCAAGTACACTCTCACTACCTGGGTGATAAAATAATCTCAGTGCCAAACCCCTGAAATATGTAATTTATCCACATAACAAACATGTACATGCACACTTGAACCTAAAATAAAAGCTGGGAATAAAATAACATTATCAAATGAGACACTGGCACATTTCCAATCATATTAATTGATATTAAAATTATCATATGGATCAACTTTTCTAGTACAGAAGAAATAAATAGTGTTATATTAAAAAGCTTTCAATAAAATGCTAAATAATTGAAGAGCAACTGATCTGAATAAATGAAGAGATATCAATATGAAAGATGGAATCCTAAAAATTACAGAGGACATACAGAACATAACAATATGACAAGAAGGTTAGGAATGAGAAAGGGTCAAATCCAATATGGTCAAAATTCTCAGTAAGTTTTCAAAAGAGAAATTCCTCAAGAAAATAAAGATGTGAAAATAAGAAGTGAAAAAAGGAGCAAGTATTCAAATAGAAAACAAAGTAGTAGTCTGTTAATAGGGACATGATTGAAAAACAAATGTGTTACATCTAGTCTATGAAATAATACACATAAGTCACAACTACACCCAAGCATTGAAAATTGGATGTTTTTCCATCATGTTTATTAATACAGGACAAGATTCAGAGTACTATAAATAAAATTATACTAGGTTTTTAAAACTGTAAGAACAATCTCCATGCTTTTATATTATACATATATTTGCACATGGTAACATGAGCATGGAGAGAACTATGGTCACTTACATACACCAGATCACTAGGTTTGGTTAACAGAAGGATGAGAAAGAAGAAAGAAAGGTTATACAGTTTGTTGACTACCTGTGCACAAAAGGTAATAAACATGGGAACCCAGCTGAGTGTAAGAAAATAAAAATAAAATATTCTGTATATAAACCACATCTTCTTTTTCTATTCCTTTGTCAATGGACATTAAAGTTGTTTTCACATCTTGGCTATTCTGAATAATGATGCAATGCGAATGACAGCGCAAGTATTTCTTTGAGATCCTGATTTCAATTATTTTAGGAAAATATCCAGGAGTCAGGTTACTAATCCATATGTATTTATTTAATTTTTATTTTTGATGAATCTACATACTGTTTTCCATTATTCTAAGTGAAAAAAGCCAATTAAGGCAATTAAGGCATGAGGCTACTGACATGAGGTATCTAAAGTAGTCAACCTCATAGTTGGAAGTACAACAGGGATTGCCAGGAGCTGGGGGAAGAAATATGTGGAGTTACTATTCAATTCATATAAAGTTATATTTTTGTGAGATTAAGATGAGTTAAGAAAGAAGGTAAGATGATGAACTAGACACAAACAAGAGGAATAGCTCCCATGAAGTACTGAGACAACTGGCATGCTTTTAACAGATCTTCAGAAAGAAGGTGCCAAGAGGAGACAGAGGGAAGACACAGAAGCTGGACTGATGGGGGAGAAAGCTGGGAACCCTATACAGCCTACTGCATGCTGGGACTTATTTTTGAACCACAGCAGCTTTAGGGGAAGATATGAGTAAAACTGGAAAAAAGCAACCCTCTCTCACCAGGGGCATCTGGCACCATGGCAAGAGGGGACAACTCGACCACCATGGACACTTGAGGTGTCAGGGAGAGGTGCTTAGAGAAGTGGTGGGGCAACAAACCAGCTGATGTGGGGCCCAGAGGGCTTGGTGCAGGAGCATCTGTAGTGGAGCAGTGCCAGGGATGGCCATTCCCCTAGGCTCAACTTGCTCCCATAAGAGACTTTAGCCCTAGGGTAACTGTCGGACCTAATATCTGAAGGATGGCCTTGCACATCAGATGGGGCTGGGCCAACTTGAGCACGCTTTGGTCTGCTGTCCTCCTGGTGCCCCAGCCTGGCCACACCTACTTACAGGAAAGTCTTGGGCTCCTGGGAGCCCACACTTTAGCTTCTGCAGGAGGGAACCCTGTCTGACTGGTGGAGAGCTCCTGGAAGGCAGCTCCTATGACCACACACCAGCCCACACATTCCCTTCCCATACAATAGCTTCTCCAAGCCCATGGCAACTTCCCACATCACTTTGCTGGCACATGTCTGCATGGGCAGGTTTTGTTCTACTTGCCCCACCAGCCTGCAAGAGTGCAGCATGCCCTCCGATCCCACTGACCACCATTGCAGAGGGAGCTTTGGCAGGCAAAGTGCCAGCAAGCCCTGCCCCCACCAGCACCCTGCCCTTAAGCTAAGGCTGCACAAAGGACAGGGGATCCTCTCACACCCTGAGCAATCATTCCTGCTTGTGGGGCATAGAGAAGACATCTAGACCTGTGCTGGCCAGCACCTTGATCAAAGCCCACACCACCTCCAGTGCAACAGTGCACACAGACTATAGCAGGAGCCACTGTTCCCCCCCAGATGCCTTATTTCTGCCATTGTGGTGAATGCCCATAGGCAGGCATGCGCCCTTGCACTTGCTAGCACTCTGCTACAGCTGCTGCACCTCACCCTTACAACTCCTAGCACAGTGGACTCCAAACCTTGAGAAGCCAGAGAACAAAATTGGAACCCAGTACATGTCCTTCAGATTTAGAGCACACAGCCTAGGAGTTGGGAGCTGAGTGCTGCCCCGCTAAAACCTCCCATAAATGAAGCCAGTCTTCTGAATCCACCTCATATCACAATCAAATCCTCAAGGTCATAAAATGGGATAAAAGCAAAGAAAATCTAAACTTCAGCAACCTCAAAGATTGAAGGTAGATAAGCCCAAAAAGATGAGAAAGAATCAGTGCAAGAAAACAAAAACTCAAAAATCCCAAGTGCATTCTTGCCTCCAAATGACCATATTACCTCTCCAGCAAGGGTTTGGAAATGGGCTGAGGCTGAGATGGCTGAAATGACAGAAATAGAATTCAGAATATGGACAGGAATTATGTTCATTGAACTACAGGAGCGTGTTGTAACCCAATGCAAGGAAGGTAAAAATCATGACAAAGCATTGTAGGAGGTGACATACAAAATAGCCAGTATAGAGAAGAATGTAGAATGTAAACAACCTGAAAAACACACTACAAGAATTTCAAAATGCAATCACAATTTTTTATAGCAGAACAGACCAGGGTGAAAAAAATTCCCAGAGTTTGAATGCTGGCTTTCTAAAATAGGACAGGCAGAAAAAAATAGAGACAAAAGGAAGAAAAGGAATAAACAAAACTTCAAAGAAATATGGGATAATGTAAAAAGAGTGAATCTGTGACTGATAGGTGAATCTGCAAGAGATGAGGAAAATAGAACCAACTTGGAAAACATATTTCATGGTAACATCCATGAGGACTTCCCCAACCTAGCTAGAGAGGCCAACATTCAAATACAGGAAATGCAGAGAACCCCAGTAAGCTACTTCTCTACTTGGGAAATTATCCCCAACACCCAATTCTCCAATGTCAAAATGAAAGAAAAAATATTAAAGGCAGCTAGAGAGAAAGGTCAGGTCAACTACAATGGGAAGACCATCAAACTAACAGCAGACTTCTCAGCTAAAACTCTACAAGCCAGATAAGATTGAGGGCCAATATTCAACATTCTTAAAGGAAAGAAATTCCAACCCAGAATGTTACATTTGGCCAAGCTAAACTTCTTTAGTGGAGGAGAAATAAAATCTTTATCAGAGAAGCAAATCCTGAGAAAATTTGCTGCCACTTTTTTCAGGAGCTCTTCCTAATGGAAGCACTAAATATGGAAAAGAAAGACTATTACCAGCCACAATAAAAAAACCCTCAAGTACACAGACGAGCAACACTATAAAGCAACCACATAAACAAGTCTGCAAAATAACCAGCTAACATCATGATGACAGGATCAAATCTACACATATCAACACTAACCTTAAATGTAAATGGGCTACATGCTCCAATTAAAAGACACAGAGTGGCAAGCTGGATAAAGAATCAAGACTCATTGGTATGCTGTTTTCAAGAGACCCATCTCAGGCAATCACACATATAGGCTGAAGATAAAGTGATGGAAAAAAACCTACCAAGGAAATGGAAAACAGAAAAAAGCAGGGGCTGCAATTGAAGTTTCTGACAAAACAGACTTTAAACCAACAAAGATTTTAAAAGACAAAGCAGAGCATTACATAATATAATTCAGCAAGAAAATTGAACTATCCTAAATATATATGCACCCAGCACTGGCAAACCCAGATTTATAAAGCAAGTTCTTAGAGACCTTTTAGGAGACTGAGACTCCCAAACAATAATCAGGGGAGACTTTAGCAGCCAACTGACAATATTAGACATATCTGGACTTGATAGATATCTACAGAACTCTACACCGCCGAACAATAGAATATACATTTTTCTCAATACCACAAGGCACATTGTCTAAAAATTGATCCATTAATAGAAGTAGAACACTCTTCAGCAAATGCAAAAGAACTGAAATCATAACAGTCTGTCAGACCATGGCATGATCAAATTAGAAATCAAGACTAAGAACTTCACAATACCATACAGTTACCTGAAAACTGAAAAACCTGCTCCTGAATGACTTTTAGGTAAATAATGAAATTCAGACAAAAATCAAGAAATTTTTTGAAACTAATGAGAGCAAAGATACAACCTACCAGAATCTCTGGGACATACATAAGGCAGTGTTAAGAGTGAAAAATTATAACACTAAATGCCCACATCAAAAACTTAGAAACATCACAAGTTAACAATCTGACATCCCAACTAAAAGAGCTACACAACCAAGAACAAACAAATTCCAAAGCTAGCAGAAGACAAGAAAGAATGAAAATCAGAGCTGAACTGAAGGAGATTGAGATATAAAAATCATTCAAAAGATCAACAAATTCAGGAGCTGTTTTTTTTAATAATAATAAAATAGATATACCACTAGATAGATTAATAAAGAAGAAAAGATAAGATTGAAATAAACTCAATGAGAGATAACAAGGGGGATATCACTAGTGACTCCACAGAAATACAAATAACTATCAGAGAATATGGTAGGTACCTCTATGCACATAAACTAAAAAATATAAAAGTAATAGAGAAAATCCTGGACACATACACCCTCCCGAGACTTAAACAGGAAAAAACTGAATCCATGAACAGACCAATAATAAGTTCTGATATGAGCAGTAATAAATAGCCTACCAATTAAAAAAAGCACAGGACCAGACGGATTTGCAGTTGAATTCTACCAGATGTACAAAGAAGAGCAGGTACCATTATTACTGCAATTATTTCAAAATATTGAGGAGGAGAGACTCCTCTATAACTCATTTTATGAGGTCAACATTAACCTGATACCAAAACATGCCAGAGATGCTACAACAGAAAAGAAAACTTTAGGCTAATACTCTCAAAGAATATTGTTGCAAAACTCGCCAACAAAATACTCACAAGACAAATCCAGCAGCATATCAAAAAGCTCATCCACTATGATGAAGTAAGTTTTATCCCTGAGATTCAAGGTGGATTCAGCATATGCAAATTATAAAATGTGATTCATCACATAAACAGAACTAAAGACAAAAGCTACATGATTATCTCAATTGATGCAGAAAAAGCTTTTGATAACATTCATGTTAAAAACTCTCAGAACACTAGGTATTGAAGGAACATACCTCAAAATAATAAGAGCCATCTATGACAAAGCCACAGGCAATATCATACTAAATGAGCAAAAACCGGAAGCATTCTCCTTGAAAAGCAGCACAAGACAAGGATGCCTTCTGTCACCACTCCTAATCAACATAGTACTGGAAGTCCTGAACGGGGAATTAGTCAAGAGAAAGAAATAAAAGGCATCAAAACAGAAAGAGAGGAAATCAAACTATTCTTGTTTGCAGACAACATAATCCTATACCTAGAAAATCTGAGAGTCTCAGCCCAAACATCCTTAAGCTGGTAAAGAATTTCAGCATATCCTCAGGATACAAATTTTATGTGCAAAAATTACTAACATTTCTATACACTAACCACAATAAAGGCAAGAATCAAATCAGGAACTTACTCTCGTTAACAATTACCACAAAAAGAATAAAACACCTAGGAATACAGCAAACAAGGGAGGTGATAAATCTCTACAAGAAGAACTACAAAACACTACACAAAGAAATCATACATGACACAAACAAATGGACATTCCATGTGCAGGGATAAGAAGAATCAATATTGTTAAAATGGCCATACTGCCCAAAGCAATTTATACATTCAATGCTATTTCTGTTAAACTGCCACTGAGATTCTACATAGAACTAGAAAAGACTATTTTAAAATTTATATGAAACAAACAAACAAAGCCCAAATAGCCAAGGTAATTCTAATAAAAAAAAAAAAAAAAAGCAGGAGGCATGATGCTATCCAACTTCGTAATATATTACAGGGCTACAGTAATGAAAAAGGCATGTTACTGGTACAAAAACACATATATAGACCAATACAATAGAATAGAGAACCCAGAAATAAGACCACACACATACAACTAAAGCAGCTAAAGTGGCTGCATTGCCTGGGGTATATATCCTGGGTTCGTCATCTTGCATCAGGAAAATTTAGGACACAGACACACATGAGGAGTTTAGCAGTAAAGGTTTAATAGGCAGAAGAAAAGAGAAAGAAAAACAGCTGTGTCTATTGAGATAGAGGGGTCTTCCAAGTGGAAACGACCAGTTGGCAATTGATGCACCAGATTTTACAGTCCAGCTTGAAGAGGTGGTGTCTGATTTACATGGGGCTCACAGATTGGTTTGATCAGGTGTGATGTTTACATAGAGAGTGGGGAACGCTGGTCACCCCTCCCTAATCTTATTATGCAAATAAATTCTCCCCTTGGCCGGTGCCATCTTGTCTGCTTTTTACTGTACATGTGGCTGGCAGAGAAGGGAAGATGGATCCGCCATCTTGAACATATCTAGTACCTAATCCCTGCTGGCATTCACCTGTGCAAACCCCAGCTTGCTTGTCTATGTCTTCAGCATGACTTTACAGGCTGCTGGTCTTTGTTAGAAAATGATTTTGGGCTGTTTCTCATTAAAAAATATAAGCTTTACTGAGGACTCCCATACCCTTACTAGCTACCTAAGGGATTTCTTCTTGACTTCTATATCATTTCCCATTCAGGAGTGGTAACCCTAACTGCTATTACTGACTGTTTGGTGACCACTATTTCTGGCTACTTCTTGCTAAAAATGGGCGTCGAGTTGGGGCAACAGCTAGGACTCCTCCTGGGGTCAATCTAAGGGTTCTTGGAAGAAAGGCGTGGCAATGTGTGGTTTGGCCTGCAGCACCATTTGTAGTTTGATTGTTTCTAAGTGAGAGAAAACAATTCGATTTATAGTATTGAGTAGACAAGGTCTAAACATTAATATAAGACATATGAGCAAAAGGGGGCTTAATAATGGAGCTAACCAGTTCCACAAAGAAGACTGTAATTCATTAAAAAGGGATTGTGGCCATTCAAGGCTGAAGCCTGCATTTTCTCTTAACTTGTCAATGATTTAACTTTATATTTATATTTAAGCACTTGTTGATTTTCTTCTACTTGACTTGAGGTGTTGATCCAAAAGCAGCATGTTTCATTTAAGATTGCACAGGTATCCCCTACCTCAGCTGTAAGGACATCTAGGACCCATCTACTCTGTGATACTACTAAGGCTAAAGAGTCTATGGATTGTTATTGTGCTTCTGTGACTCTTACTGTTGCCTTCCATCCTCATTGCATCATAATGGAAATATTAAGTACTGACTTTAAAGGGGAGGAATACTAGCAAACCAGAAGTGGTCTCTGATTATAGAATTTCCCATCCATGGTCTTCCTAAGATGGGATTGTCATGTGCATGCCCTCCCCAATCTTCTCTTTAAGTTAAATCTCTATATGAGGGCATGGAAATGATACCTCTCTTTGTTTGGTGTATCTGAGATAGTGCATTTTATAAAAAGGAACCTAGGTTAGGGATATCCCCAGATGATCCACGCATGTCAGTGGAATTTAAAAATAATAGGTTGAGGACCACTGCTACTATGATGCACATTCCTTACCAGTGCCTAGGGAGGATTAAGTGTAGCTAGGAGCCACAAAGAAAATATAATCCTGACCCTTGAAAAGATGGTTCTAAGTTGTGACTTCTGAGGAACATAGGTAGACCCTTCTCATATCTGAGAAGCTTTCTCCCATTAGATATAGTAGAAGCATCTTTGGAACAGGGATATCCATACTCAGGATACTCATTTGCAATGCCATTTGGAATCTTACATGCTAAGTAAGAAGGGTTCACCTGACAAATGGAGTTTTGAAAAATTAGGGAAATAATATGGCCTGGCCAATATAGCAGATAATTTTTGTGGCAAGGACTGTCAGTCCAGAAATCTCCAGTTTTCCCACAGACTTGTAGGCCACTACTATTAGCAAACATCATACAAGGATCTGGAATTCTGTGAGGGGACATGTTTGGAAAGACCCATAAGTTATTCTTTACATTACAGTCAAGGGTGTTACTTAGAGCATGCCACTCCCACTGGGACTTCCAACCAGAAGGAGAGGCTAGATTCTGAAAGCCTCCCCCCTCCCCATTAGGGCTTCTGATCCTTTTAGATCACCCTTATTCCATCCTCCTCCCCAAATATTTGAACTATCAGCAATTACAAGTGTGATGTTATGATATTTGAGCTCTCCCAAATATCCCAAATATTGGTCTTTCCCCACTGTTTTTAAAGCAGAGGGAGGCATTTGCTATTACCAGGTCAATTTTTCTCAGGCTGAGGGTGTGAAGCTTATCTTTAGGGAGATTGTTCTTTGTCACTGGGGGCAGAGTATTTTCCCGAGAGGAGTTAGTTAACTAACTGAAAGTGTTCCCATACCATGTCTCATTTATGCCTGATATGTCTTTAAGGGTTAAAGGTAAGGCTAACAAAGGTAATCCTAAAAGTGTAAGTTCCAGGTCATTGAGAGGTTCCTCAGTGTTACTGAGCTGAGAAAAATGCTCAAGACAGACCCAGCAATTAGTCTTATTGTACAAATGGGCCATGGCTGATATTGTAGGAGCTGAAGGGAGTGATGTATAAATAAACCCAATAAAAAGTCCTAGCAGACTCAGTGATAGTAAAACTTGTATGTACCCTTCTTTTCAGTAACTTTTATCCCTGAAATTATGTGTCAAAAAAAGCTTCAATATTTGTTAGCAAATATTGAGAGAAAAAGTAGAAATGACTGAATGGTAGAGACGGAACTGAGTAAGATGCGTACCCCTTGCTTATTTACTTGTCTTATGATTTTCAGCTCAAGGTCTTCTATTTCTCCACATTTGTATCCAAGATGTTCCTCTGAGCTGTCAAGGGTTGCTGTCTCAGCTTTTTCAGGCTTTGACTCAAGTGTGATGTATCCAGGAGTTGATACCTGTAACTTTTACTGCTAAGAGGGTTGAAAAGAGAATAGTGTAAGAACCTTCTCAGTTTGGGCTTAGGGAAGGAGAGAGAGAGAGGGAAGAGATTTTACCAATACCAAATTTCTTGGGTTAAATAAACCTGGTCCTACTTCTTGGGGCTGGGCTTCTGATAGTTGTGTTAATTCCTGTTTAAAGTGAGATGTTATGTGCTTAAACAATTCAGAGGTCTCTTGATCTAATAAGAAATCATTGGTGAGAAATGGCTGTCTATACAGGATCTCAAAAGGGCTTAGACCTAACTAACTTTGAAGGGGTGTTTATTACTTGCAGTAAAGCCATGGGAAAAAGAGCAACCCAAGAAAGGTGAGTTTCTTGGGGCAGTTTCCTGAGGTGTCTTTTGATGATATCATTTGTCTTCTCTACCTTTGCTGAGGACTGGGGTCTCCAAGTGCAATGGAGATGGTAATGTATGCCTAGTGCCTTTGAGTACCCCTGTGTGATGGTTGCCTTAAATGAGGGGCTGCTGTCACTTTGGAGGTACTTAGGTAGACCAAAATGGGAAATAATTTCGTTCACTAACACCTTTACTACCTCAGAGGCCTTTTATATATGGCATAGAAATGCTTCTACCCAATTAATGCAAGTATCTACCCATACCAGGAGGTATTGGATGCCCTTCACCTTTGCCATGTGGGTGAACTCTATCCTCCCCTGGATAGATTCCCATCCTTTGGGTTTGAGGAAGAAGGAGCCATCTGTTCAGGGGATTATTTTTCAGACAGACTTCACAAGCATTAACAATCTGTTTTACTGTTCTTAGTAAATTCTCTCCTGAAAACAATCTCTGGGCACCTTGATAAGTTTATCCTTTCCCAAGTGAAAAGCTTGGTGAAGGAATTTAGGAAATTTTCCCTAACTGGAGGCTGGGAAGTGGAGTTTGCCATACTCTGACTGCAGCCATCCTGAGGGCTGGAAGGTGTACCCTCAAGAAATGGCCCATTCTATATCTGTAGGGGAGTACTGAGGCTTGATTTAAGGAACCTTCCCAGATGTGAGGGGCTTGAAGTGTGTTGATGTCATGAGGATTTCTTGCTACTGACTTGGCTGTCTGATCAGCTAGCTTGTTTTCTTTGGCTATTTCATCTACTCCCTTCTGATGTACCTTACAATGCATCACTGCTACCTCTCATGGAAGGAAAGCTGAGGATAATTCCTTAATTATATTTTACAGGAGATTCATTGGCAGTAAGAAAGTACCTTTTTTTTCCAAATGGCAGCATAAGCATGGAGAACCAGGAAAGCATACTTGGAGTCAGTGTAAATATTATCTATCTTTCCCTTGCTTAACTGAAATGCTCTTGTAAGAACTATCAGTTCAGCTAGTTGAGCACTTATGCCTGGAGAGAGTGATCTACTTTTAATAAAATTATTCAAAGTGACTACCGCATCTCCTACTTTATGGACTCCCTGCTCTACAAAGGAGCTTCCATCTGTGAAGAGGGTTCAATCTGAATTTTCTAGGGGGAGGTTCTCTGAGATATTCCCTGGCTTCATAGGTCTGTACCACAACTTATTCACAGTCATGTTCAGGCTCCCCAGTTCCCACAGGAAGGAAAGTGGCTGGGTGTAAGTGAGAGCAAATTTCTAACAATAAAGCTTGATATTTAAGGAGCCTATTGTCTTTTAACCAAAAGGCTTCCTTTAGAGGACAGTAATGTCACCACATTATGTGGGGTATAAACAGCTAAGTCATTTCTCAGGGTTAATTTTGATCCTTCTGGGACCAGTAGAGCCAGAGCAGCAATGGCTTGGAGACGTGCTGGTCATCCTATAGCCAGCAAATCAAGTTCCTCACTCAGGTAACCCACTGACTATTGAGCTGGTTTTCAACTCTCAGGGCCATTCCCTTCCTTTCTGATACATACAGATTGAAGGCCTTTCCTATGGGAAGGCTGAGAGCTGGTGCCTTAAGTAGGGCCTGCTTTAGCTGGTTAAAGGCATTTGAGCTTCATATACCCAGGAGATGAGTTTTAGCTGCTTGAGTTTCTCTTACGAGGTGATACAGAGAGTGAGCTATCTCACTATACCCAGATACCCATAGCTTGCAAAATCCTGTAATGCCCCAAAATCCTCTTAGTTCCTCTTGGCAACCTTAGCTGTAATCCCAATGATGCTGCAGATGAATGGAAAAGGAACCATTTTTAATGTACATATTGGAGGGCCTATGAAGAACTAGGGCCAGACCTCTTAATTACTCTAAAATGTCCACGATAGACCAAAAGCCAGATGAGATTCCCTCAGCAATTCCATTACTGGGCATATACCCAAAGGAATATGAATTATTCTACTATAAAAACACATGGACATGTAGGTTCATTTCAGCACTATTCACAATAGCAAAAACATGGAATCAACCGGATTCCCATAAATGATAGACTGAATAAAGAAATTGTGGTACATACACTCCAAGGAATTCTATGCAGCCATAAAAAAGAATGAAATCATGTTTTTTTGCAGGGACATGGTTGGAGCCAGAGGCTGTTCTCCTTATCAAACTAATGCATGAACAGAAAAACAAATAGTACATGTTCTCACTTATAAGTGGGAGCTAAATAATGAGAGCACATTGACACACAGAGGAGAGCAACATACATTGAGCGTTTTGAAGGATGAAGGGTGGGAGGAGGGAGCGGATCATAAAAAATTGGATTTTAGGCTTAATATTTGGGGGATGAAATAATCTGTACAACAGCCCCTAATAACACAAGTTTATCTATGTAACAAACTTGCATATGTACCCCTGAACTTACAATAAAAGTTAAAAAAAAATAAAAATAAATAATATGTTCTAGAGATCTACTGCATGAAACAACAGTAAGCTTATAGTTAACAACAGTGTGTGTGCACTTAATAATTTGTTAAGATTGTAGATTAATGTTACATTTATTTTCAACGAATAAGTGAATAAATGAATGAATGGATGAATGAATGAATGAATGAATGCACACGTTGTGGTGACTCTCAGTAGGAGGGAGTGCTTAACTTTTCTAAAGTTATTCATACATGTGTTTTAGAATTCTGCTATGACACCATAAAACCTTCCAGAAGGATGACTCAACCATTGTAGCCAGGTTGAGAACCCTTGTTTATATACTTTCAGAGGGTTTCCCATAATCAGTATTTCTGCTATTTTAATAGCTATTGCTATTAGATACCTTTTGTTCTAAAAAATGCCTGACACCCATTCTCAAAATATGGCTTCTGTTCTATTATGCTACGTTCTAAATTAGTTACAGCTTATTTGGTCTTAGATCTCATATTCATCTAAATATGTTTTCTTTGTTTTAAAAATCAAATTTCCCATCTAAGTCCAGCTCTGAATAAGATAGAAGGGTAGTTTTCATTACTTTTCTTTTTTGGGGAGCCTTATTTAATTTGTATATCTAAGTGTGTTAGATTGGTTAGCTGGAAATCATTACCTCTGTTTCTCTTTTTGAGAATATTTTAATTAAATTTTCTTAAGTACATTGACATAAAATTATATAAATTTTTATTTTTTTAACATCTGAAATTGTAAGACATTCTCCATTCTTGTTATTGTCTATTTTTGCTTTTTTTTCTTTTCTTGGTTTCTCTTAATATCATTGTATTTTATTTGTTAGATCTGTCAAATAAAAAATTTTTGGTGGATTTTTATAGTGAAGGTTTTGTTTTTGATTTTGTTTTCATTTTTTGTTTTTTATTAATTTTCACCTTTATCTCTGTAATTTTATTCTTTCTAATTTCTTAAATATGTTCTACTGCTCTTTATCTAATCTCATTTGTCAAAGATTTACCTCATTGAATTTTCACTGTATATTTTTCTAAGCATACATAAAATGCTAAATTTCTTCTATTAGCCAGTTAATATAATCTCCCCAAAGCTAGGTAGGCTTTTGATTATTATTCAGTTTAAATATTTTCTAATACAAATTATAACTTCTTCTGTGACCTGTCATTTATTTGGGAGTGTATTTTTGTTATCAAATAAGTGTGCTTTCCAGTATATTTTATTACTGATTTCTAAATCAGTTATATTGAAGTGGGAGAATTGAATGGCACAAGTACCGTTAACTTTGTCTTTTTTTCAGACAGTCTAGCTCAGTTGCGCAGGCTGGAGTGCAGTGGTGATCTGGGCTCACAGCAACCTCTGCTTCCTGGTTCAAGAGATTCCTTCACTGCAACCTCTGACTCCTGGGTTCAAGCGATTCTTTTGCCTCAGCCTCCTGAGTACCTGGGAATGCAGGCACTAATCATCACACCCAGCTTTTATTTGTATTTTTAGTAGAGACAGGATTTCACCATGCTGGCCAGGCTGGTCACAAACTCCTAACCTCAAGTGATCCATCTGTCTCGGCCTCCCAAAGTGCTGGGATTACGGACGTGAGACAACACACCATGCCCAGAAGAGTACTGTGGATTTTTTGAGGATGCATTTTGGTGAGACACAAAGTTAGTTTTCATAAGTAATTCATGTGTTTTCAAAAAAAAATGTGATCTACCGGTTGTTTAATGCAATGTTTTATATGGTTCTGATATGGTTTGGCTGTGTTCCCATCCAAATCTCACCTTGAATTATAGCTCCTATAATTCTCAGATGTTGTGGGAGGGGCCCAGTGGGAGAGAATTGAATGATGGGGGTGGTTTCCCCCATACTGTTCTCCTGGTAGTGGATAAGTCTCACCAGATTTGATGATTTTATAAGGGGTTTCCACTTTTGCTTGGCTCTCATTGTCTCTTGTCTGCCATCATGTAAGACGTGCCTATCATCTTCTGCCATAATTATGAGGACTTCCCAGCCATATGGAGTTGTGAGTCCATTAAACCTCTTTTTCTTTATAAATTACCCAGTTACAGGTATGTCATTATCAGCAGCCTGAGAAAAGGCTAATGCAGGTTCCATTAAATAATGTTTGTTCATTGTGCTATTAATACACTTATCTTTAATATGTTTTATCTGCATGATTTCTCAAATTTAAAAATTATATTAAAATTTTATATAAAATATTAACAGTAGGTTCACAAAATTCTCAATCTACTTCTGTCAAAATCTATTATTGTTATTTTGAGGTTTGTTTTTAGGTATATGTTTAGGAGTCCCTTCACATGTTTAGATTATTTTGATATGATCCAAATTATCTCTCATGCTTTTCTTATTAATGTATGACATTAAGGTATATTTTGACTACCATAAATATAAGCACACTGGCTCTAGTTTTTTGCTAGTTGATTGGTTTTGCTTTAGAGTCTTTCAGAAACATATCTTCCCTTTACCAGGAAAAAATATTTATCTGAATATAAAAAGCAAACTATATTTATTTTGGTTATAGATATGCTTTTCTCTTGTGCACAAGTGCTAAATTCAAACTTTGCATACATCTTTAAAGCTTCTGTTTATATCACATCAGCTAACATTTCGGTAGCTAAAACAAGTTATTAGAGACAGTGTGAATTAGGACTGCCGACCCACATAAGGGCCCACTTATTCCAAATTAGCTGGGCAGATTTTTTCCCCCATCTTGTTTTAACAATTTCAAAACAAACAAATTTTACCATACCCTTTTACATAGCAAAGATTTTTTATTCACCTCTATATATAGGATGTAGTCCTTCATGCCGTCACCTTTATGCAAAGACTTCTTACTAAATTCCTCATCTCCTTTACTACTGAGTTTATCTCCTATCCTACAAGCCTGTGCTATCATTGGATGGTAGTTTCCAGTCTCTAGGGTTCAGTTAGAAAACAGGCTGGGGCTGGGTGTGGTGGCTCAAGCCTGTAATCCCAGCACTTTGGGAGGCCAAGGTGGGAGGATCACTTGAGGTTAGGAGTTCGAGACCAGCCTGGCCAAAATGGTGAAACCCCTTCTCTACTAAAAATAAAAAACTTAGCCAGGTGTGGTGGCATGCCCCTGTAATCCCAGCTCCTCAGTAGGCTGAGGTGCGAAGAATCGCTTGAACCTGGGAGGTGGAGGTTGCAGTGAGCCGAGATCCTGCCACTGCACTCCAGCCTGGGCAACAAGAGTGAAACTCTCTCTCAAAAAAAAAATTAATTAATTAATTAATAATTTTAAAAATAAGAAAACAGGTTGGAAGTAAGCTATGCTGTGAGACCTCCATGGTTCTTATTTTCAGTTTAAACGTGATCCTCAAATTATTTATATTTATGATTTATTCTTGATTTATTTTAGGCTATTAAAGTAGTGTGTGTGTGTGTGTGTGTGTGTGTGTGTGTGTGTGTGTGTGTGTAGCTATGTCTATGGCAATATGGCAATTTAATTGTTTCAACTGAAAGGTGTCTTAGTTTGGGCTGCTATCACAAATTACTATAGACCGAGTGACTTAAAAATAAAAAAAATGTATTTTTCACAGATCTGGAGGGTGAAAGTCTAAGATCAGCATGCCGGAATAATCAGGTTCAAGTAAGGACCCTCTTACGGGCTTGCAGATGGTAGTATTTTCACCTTCTCACTGCGTCCTCCCATGGTGGAGAGCAGAGAGAGAGGAAGGAAGCCTTCTCAAGCCTCTCATAAAGGCTGTAATTCCATCATGAGGGCTCCACCCTTATGACCAAATTACCTCCCCAAGCGCCAATACCATCACCTTTGGGGTAAGGGACTCAACATATGAATTTGGGGGGACAAAAACATGCGGTCCGTGAGAGGAGGATTGTTCAGGACGATTACTCATAATATTAGTAGAGCCAGCTCCTCCGTAGGCTGAGGTGCGAAGAATCGCTTGAACCTGGGAGGTGGAGGTTGCAGTGAGCCGAGATCATGCCACTGCACTCCAGCCTGGGCAACAAGAGTGAACCTCTGTCTCAAAAAAAAAAAAAAAAAAAATTAATTAATAAATAATTTTAAAAATAAGAAAACAGGTTGGAAGTTAGATATGCTGTTAGACCTCCATGGTTCTTGTTTTCAGTTTAAGTGGGATCTACTACCTACCTTGCCACAAATTCTCAAATGTTACGATTGCTTCCTCTCACAAAGATGTGCTAAGTCTCTTCTATTAGGAACAAAATACGTGGTGCTGGCTTCAACTGGGGAAGCTATGTGGCTAGACTTCACTTGAGAGTTCCATTTTTCCATTTTTCTGGGAATCAGTTCAGTTTTATAATTATCACATTATGATATAATGGTCCTAGTATTCTCACTCTCTCTCTATGCCTTCATCCAGAGCTGAGACCATTTTCTCCCTTTATACAGACCATCATTGTAGCCACCTCTGTGAATTGAGCACAACACAGCAGGGCGATTGGCCTTACTTCAAATTCCTATCAGTACTGCCTGCAGGCCAGGCCATGTGTATCCACACATAGTACTGAATATTGTATTTTTATTAACCTATAATTTATAACAGTGTTGGCCTTTGTGTAGCTTTCATTTCTCCATATCTCAGTATTTTTTTAAGGCAAAGTGATGGGGAAACATAATTTAAAACAAAATCTGTTCCGACCCAGAAATCTTCTCCAAAAAGATAGTAGAAAAAGAAAACACTTTCATTATTGAATAAGCCTTAAACCAGAATGCAATGTGCATCACAGGTACCCACTAAGAGATTGTAAAGACAGAAAGAAATCTCACTTTGTTATATAGCCTAGCTGGTACAATACATTACATATATGTTTTCAAATTCCACAATGGCTAGTCCTCAAATTAGAGGACATAACAGCACCGTGGGTCACACACAGTTCATTCTAGGTTTGTCTGGTTATTGGGGTAACGATTCATGGTAATTACCTGCGTTAATATAGGAAGAAACAAACTTCTCATATCTTTATAACAGGACATAGTTTTGCAGCTTAGAGCCAGGCTCCCATCTAAAAAGTTATTTCTCCATTAACATAGAAACTGAAGATGGAGTGTTATCTCCCTTTATGCTTACATTTCAAAGAAAAGCTTCATAGATGTTTGAGAAAACTGGAAAAAGATTTATCCAGTTTACAAAAGGATTTATATACATTTCAAAAAGTAGAGAAAGTACTTAAAATTGCAAGTTTTCTAAAGTAAACAATCTAAGAAAAAGGGAGAGCAGACATCTCTTTCCTTACTTTTAACAGGGAGAATTAAAACTCTTATTTTATATTTTTATTTTCCTTTCCAAAATGGTATTTGGCATCTATACAAATACATCTTCTTTAAAATGGCACTTCTTTATTTTTATTGATAGCTGTTTCTTCTGACACTTGTTTGATCCTTAAATTTCTTGAGAGCAAATGATAGAAACCACTTGCAAATAAATTTACTTCAATGGAGGAATGAAATCTTGAGATATTAATTTAGGCTTTTGTTGTGGTTAGTGTGAATTTTGTCAAAAACTTCTTTCTATCATCCATTTCATTTTTTCTGTTTAAATTTTTTTTTGAGGCAGAGTCTCGCTCTGTCGCCCAGGCTGGAGTGCAGTGATGCGATCTCGGCTCACTGCAAGCTCTGCCTCCTGGGTTCACACCATTCTCCTGCCTCAGCCTCCCGAGTAGCTAAGACCACAGGCGCCCGCCACCACGCCCGGCTAATTTTTTGTATTTTTAGTAGAGACGGGCTTTCACCCTGTTATTCAGGATGGTCTCCATATCCTGACCTCGTGATCTGCCCGCCTCAGCCTCCCAAAGTGCTGGGATTACAGGCGTGAGCCACAGTGCCCAGCCTAAACTTTTCTTAAATAGGGCATTTCTATGTTCAATGGTCTGAGTTCAGGCCTGGTACAATAGATACAAAAAGAGAAAGGGCAACAGGGACATCAGAAAATTTAGGACCAAATGCATGTTTAGTTAGAAGCAGTAAGACAAAAATGCTTTTGACTTAGAAGAATTTAAAAGTCAGAGGCTGAAGTACCTCTAAACCTAAAGTTTATCCAAAATTTGCAAGCTTGTAAAGAGAACACTGTATAGAAAGCACCAAATACCTCTTCTCTCAAAAATTCCTTAATATTTACCTGGACTGGGGTTGGTGGAAGACGAGAGAAAGATTAAAACAGCAAACTTTGAACACTAAATTGAAGGGTACAATGTTTACTCTTCAGAAAACAACCCATTGTCTTCTTCACCCAGATGTCAGGCAAATGAATAGAAATGGGTTGGGGATGAGTCTGCCTTAAGAATGACTAATGATAAACACAAAATGCAGGCAAGTTCTGAAGGATTGTAGTTAAGAGGACATGACCATATCCAAGGTAAACCTAAAGGAGGCAGCAGCGTGATACAAAGATTTTCTGAAATTCCACGTTTACATGGAAGCTTGACATGTCCAGTACAGAGCTGCACAATCTCTCACTCCCAATCCTAACCTCTTCTGTGAGTCTCCAGAGGTCGAGATAGGTAGATGAGAGCTCAGTATATTTCTGTCACTATTGAGTAAGAGCAAGAAAGTTGGAAAGGAAGACTCACTAGGTATGAATTCACCTTTTCAGTACAATTTTGTTTCTACAAGAGTGGTCCAGGGCCCCATAGGCTTCTCTGAGTCAATTCAGGGAGTCTATGAGATTGAATTTTTTAAATAATAATTATAAATTATTATTTGCCTTTTTCCTTCTCATTTTTCTCAAGAGTGTAGAGGAGAGTTCACAAGGCCATATGACTTGTGAGATCCACAACGCATTGGATGCAGCTGTCTTCTACTAAACTAGGCCTGTGCTGTTTGTTATAGCACCAATTATCTATGCATGGCTACTGAGCACTTGAAATGTGCCTAATCCCCAGTGAATGAGCTGTAAGTGTAAAACACTTACAGGAGTTGGAATATTTTGTATAAAAATGAATTTAAATATCTTAATACTTGTTTAGATATTAATTACATATTGAATTTAAAATAGTTTGAATATATTGGGGCAATAAGATATATCACTTATATTCCACAAAATGAACCAATAACTGTGAGATCTCTTGAGACAGGAGGCATGACTGTCTTTTCCCTCAGCTTTCACTGCTATCTGACCCATAGGAATGAGTTATATTGTATAAAGATATTTTGTTTTTTATAAAACTAAACTGCCAAATTCCATTCAAGTACTTTATTTGGTATTCTGCTGTCAACCTAAAAGCAAAAAGCTGGACCAAATTAATACAAGGAAAGAGTTTATTTGGGACAAGCTTGAGATTGCAATCTGGGAGCATAGATTCATGTTTTCCTGAATATACACTCCAATTAAGAGCAGTTACAAGTGAATATTTAAAGACAAAACTGGGGGAGGGGGCGGAGAGTGGACTGATACAAATTGTCAAGAATTCTCATTGGCCTAAGAAAATAACATTGATTCATGATTGGCTATACACTTACACATTAGTAAGCTGTAGGGTGTGGATTATAATGTCTGATGTGGCAATATTAGGTTAATTTGCAACTACTCGTGGCAATAGTAAGTAGTTTCAGGATATGGATAAATAGCTCAAAGCAGAGAGTAAGGTGTGATTGCAATCTCATTTTAATGTCTCTTTGGGCTTGATAGTTAAAAAGACTTGCATTCCTTAGATAAAAGTAATTTTCTTTTCTCATTTTTCCCATTTTAAGCATTGATGATCAAAATGTAAATATCAAGGTGTGTACATTCTGTATACATTGCACAGTTGCTATAAGCTATCAATGGCTAAAAAGAAGAAAAAGTTTTCTTGATTTTGAAAAACAAAACAAAAGGAATCTTCAATGTTTCAAACAAAAAAGACATAAAAATTATTTCAGTCCTTTGTTAGTTTCATATAATTAATTATTGTTCTGTTTGATGCTGGGTTAGCAATTCTCATGAACACATCTGCTTTTTAATTAAAGTCCTGGAAGCTTTTACCTAGTCCAGTGGTATGGTTTCCCAAGTTATCAGGAACCTGTATTCAGGAGTACTTATCAGAATCCTGTCCATTAATTTCCTTGAAGAAGAAACAAATTTTGGACTTGTGGCTGATTATAAACCCTTTTTGAGGAAAATAAAAGTAAAATAATAACTGTGGATGATAAAAGCCTTAGAACAGCTGTAAGGAAAGACACAATTAAAAAAATTATTCCTGTGACATATAACCGTTTAACATAATAATTATTAACATAATAATTTAACATAATAATTATTGCTGATAACATATACTAAAACATACCAGAATTTTATGAATCTCATTAAGAAATTTAATCTCATCAACACATATCAGTAACACATTTAATCTAATTAACACATACTAATAACACAAATATATCCTAAATAAAGTTAAACACCATTTCTTATTTGACAATTCTTCCTGTATAATTTTAACATACCAAATAAGTCTAATACACCTCTCTTGTTCTTCCAGGAGATACTTCTGTAAAAAGACTGAATTTTTGAATTTGTAGTTTGATTTTGGAAAGTTCGTAATACAGTAAAGGTTTAAAACACTAGTTCAAAATTGGATCACAGGTCACTGTAAAATGATACTGATTCACTTAGCACAAGTCATAACTCAAATATTTTAAAAACTAAGAACATTTACTCTTTGATAAAGAAGAGACTCAGCTTCTCAAAGAATGAAAATGCTTAACAAAGACAGAATGAGACCAAGGGAATCTCTCTCTCTCTGTCTGTCTCTCTCTCTCTCTCCAGTTTATGCAAAAAGTGAACAAAAGTCTTTTACTATCCTGAGTAATATTATATGAAAACTTTGTTTAAAAGAAAAACCCTAACTTTCACTTTGTATCAGTACATTCTTAATGCTAATGCTAACTTTAATATTAATAAAACCTTAAAAACAAATCCATCTAATCACAACCTGCTTTGACCACACAAGATAAGATTTCCATAAACCTTTTATAACCTCTTAAAATTTTCTATTACAGAGAAGACCAATGCTCCAAGAAAACCCTGTTACCTAACACAAGGGCCCAGACTTTGCCCCTGCACCAATGTGCTTTTGAAATTAACATTTAATTTTTTAAAAATTAAATAAACCCCTTTACATTTTGGCCAACTTTATCATACAGAAATCTCCTTTCACAAGATCAATCTTCCACAAACCCACAACTTGCTTAAACCATCAGTTTTATACTACCATTTACCTTAGGACAAAAATTTACTTTACTTTCCCCTTTATCATCTTAACCACACAAAATTCTCCCACGTAAAAGAAAAATTATTCTCTATTTTCAAATTTATTTACATCTTACTTTATACATTCTGTATATAAATGTGTTTGCTTTGTTTTTATTTTTGTTTTTTTCTTGAGGCGGAGCCTAACTTTGTTGCCCAGGCTGGAGTGTAGTGGTGAGATCTCAGCTCACTGCCACTTCTGCCTCCTGGGTTCAAGTGATTTTCCTGCCTCAGTCTCCTGAGTAGATGATATTACAAGAGTGCATCACCGTGCCTGGCTAATTTTGTATTTTTAGTAGAGACAAGGTTTCATCATGTTGGCCAGGCTGGTCTCGAACTCCTGATCTTGGCCTCCCAAAGTGCTGGGATTACAGGCGTTAGTCACTGCTCCTGGCCCATAAGTGTGTTTTTCTTATATCCAGTAGTTTTAGTCACATATATTAATTACACATTTAACTCATAGTAACCCTAATTTCCAGAGAAAAAACAAGGAATTATGTAATTTTGAACTGTTTTTAACTAGGATTTGTCAATAAGAACTATTTCATAATCTTTTTAGAAAAACATTTTCTTATTAACAGATGTCAATATATTTACCTTTTTTATACCATATAAAAAGATATTGTCAAAGTATAGAAACTTAAATGTATGTTAAACAATTAAAGTTTCAGTATTTTTACATACTTAGGAATGACTCAGACATTTTATAATTATATATCACTTAATTTAACGTAACATGACCTTAACTTTTTAAATTATTGAAAAAGAATTTTGAAACTATTATACAGGTCCTCTCTCTAACGTCTTCTCCAGTTGCCTGGCGTCTCAAGTTTCTATGGGGCACCGTAGGATGGCTATAAAGAGCAAGGCCCATCTGGGTCCTAATTTATACACCAAGTTTAGAGCCCAGGACAGAGAATAGCATCGTGATGAGGATGTCTGTAGGATCAGGCTCCTTCTACCATGACCAGGAGGCAAAATGGGCCAGGGAGAAATGGGTCATATGAGGCTTGATTCTGGCTTTTAGCCGGTGAGATGCTGAGCATTTTCCCCCAGGCCTTACCATGTTTACCCATCCAGATTCCAGAATCTATAGGCTCAAATTCTATGTTATAAGCTCACAGATAAATTGAGCAAATATTTTAAAAATTATATAAATATTACAGTTGTATCACCTTAAAACATCTATAAGAGACAGTATCAACTTGCTTAACCAATAGACACAGGCAAAAATGTCTAAATTTAATTATGAAGTTGTTTCTATTTATTTTACCAACAATTTAAAAATGACCTTTATTTGCCAAGGATAACTAATGTCACATAAACATGAAAATCATTTGGCTAGTTATTTAATTTATTAGTAGTCTTTTTATTATAAGCCAGTTTGGGGCCCTAGAAAATATAAAAGCAAACATGCATGCACATGTATACACAAAAATAAAGACAGATATAAGTAAAGAGCTTATAGTTTTAGTTTCAAAATTTTAGCCGCAAGTCGGGTAAAACTCATTAGTTTAAAAGGATAGGTGGATTTCAACTGTGCCTGTGTAAATGAAAAAAAAAAACAAAAAACAAAAAACATGGCTGAAAACTTTACTGAGTTTTAGAGAAACAGGGTAGCAAATTTACATCTCCAAGAAGAGAGAGAGAGACAGAGAATTTAGGATTTTTTCAGGAAGGCATTTGGGTGTATCGGAGGAGGATTAAAAATAGATGTCAAGGTAACACAAAATCATAGAAATTTACCATAGGACTTTATAAGGAGACCAATCTAACATGCATAGGTAGCTTTTAATTCAGTGTCTGTTTTGCAAGCTGACCACTGAGCTCAAGGTTGCTCTTCATTAAAGAACAGATCCAACAAACCATTTGCAGTTTTTAGGGTCTAGTAGTTTAAATATGTGAAAAGCAGGCACAGTTGGAAGGCAGAATATTTAGATTTTTAAAAATCAAAGATTTTACTTTTACACAAAATCCCTTGTCCCCCAAAACAGGGAAAAGTCATGGGCCTGGGCTGCACAATACATTCGCAGTACACTTTACTACAAGGTCATTTCTCTAAGGGTTTAAATCATACATTTCTCATCTAAATGTACAAATAAATGAGTAGCCCTCTGTACTAATAACTATTTATTATAAACAATGGCCCTCAGACACCTCCAAAAGTGCAGTTCTCACCAGTGACTCACCAGCCCTCATACACAGGAAGGTCAACTTCTATTTCTCAGTACAAAGTAATCTCTGATAACCTCAAAAGCCAAAAAGATAAAGTAAAGCAATCCAAAAGAAAGTTTAGTTTTAGACTTGAGAGAAATGTGTCCAGGACTCTTTAGACTCCACTGACAGATCTCAAAAAGGAGTCATTGGTGCATTTTCTGTGTTTCATAAGGAGTCTGCATTATTAGATGTCCATCCTAGTACCTTTAATATAGTACAGAATATGGCGAGGAGGAAGAAAGAGTAGGGAGGAGTAGAAGTAAATGAGAGAACCAACATTTCCTTTTTTTTTTTTTTGGACAGGGTGTCTCCCAAGCTGGAGTACAGTGGTGAAATAATAGCTCACTGAAGCTTCGAACTCTCAGGCTCAGGTTATCCTACCGTCTCAGCCTCCTGAGTGACTGGGACTATAGGTATGATGCACCACCATGTCTGGCAAACTTCTTATATGTGTTTTTGTAGAGAGGAGGATTTGCCAGGTTGCCCAAGCTGGTTTTGAACTCCTCGGCTCAAGCAATCCTCCTGCCTCAGCCTTCCAAAGTATTGTGATTACAGGCGTGAGCCACTTCCTCGGCAAAAGAACAATTAGAGAAATTAGAGAACAATTCTTTTTTTTTTTTTTTTTTTTTTTGAGACAGAGTCTCACTCCGTTGCCCAGGCTGGAGTGCAATGGTGCAATCTCAGCTCACTGTAACCTCTGCCTCCCAGGTTCAAGCGATTCTCCTGCCTCAGCCTCCGAGTAGCTGGGATTACAGGCATATGCCACCATGCCCGGCTAATTTTTTGTATTTTTAGTAGAGACAGAGTTTCATCATGTTGGCCAGGCTGGTCTCGAACTCCTGACCTCAAGTGATCTGCCCGCCTCGGCCTCCCGAAGTGCTGGGATTACAGGCGAGAGCCACTGCACCTGGCCCTGAGAACAATTCTTGAGAAAGAAAGTGAACAGAGGGCTCAAGCACATAATTAAAAAAGGATTTCAGTCCACTGGAAAAAAAATCCAAAAACAGGATCCAAAGGAAAAAAAAAAGATACACCTTTAAATATATATATATATTCAATATACATATATCTTATATTTTTATATATCAAGATATATCTATACATCTAAATAGATATATAGATGTATAGATATAGCTTGAATACCAGCTTGTACATATATTTATTCAAGATATATATATATATACACACACACACAATGTATCTTATATCTTGAGTATCAGCTTTCAATTAAGCTGACTTTTCATCATAGAGTTCTTTAAAACAAAATCCTTTCAAATCTCTTATTATCACAGTTTAGTTGAGACAAACACTGACATTTCTGGGTTTTTGGTGTATACTTTTCCAAAAGCAGTATCTCACAATGTCAAGCATTACACAAATATCGAACTAGAAGGAACAAGTTCCCTGACCAGAAATTGAACCCAGGCCATGGCTATGATATTGCCAAATCCTAGTCACTAGATTACAGGGTGAAGTGCCATTTTTTCCCCTTCATTTTTATTTATTTTTTATTCTTTGTAGATTTTGCATAGGATCCAAACCTGGCAGCTTGAACATTTAAAGGATTTTAACTTATTTCAGATCTGATCTCGGCTAGAATGCTGCTTAGCTAATTTCCTGGATGTTAGCATTTCAACATCTGTGTAAGTCATTAGTCCTGATTTAGAAAAAAATTTTTGCTCTGCATTTTTATAATCTCAATAGTTTTATTTTCATTTATGTCCCCCTTTTAGACTATTAATTGTTTAATTACCTGTCTTACTGCCCTAAGCAATTGTCAGCTAGACAATGAAGGTGTATTTTGGAGACCCATTTTGTTCATTGGGTAGTCTTTCTAATTGAGCAAAGAATGGCGTGACAATCAGGTAGTCCCCAGAACCATAAGAAGTTTGTAGCAACTCTGGGACTACCACAATAGTGTCAGAGAGGGAAACAAAGACCTGGGTAATGACATCCAGGTAGTGGTGAGAGATATCTTTTGTTTACCTCCTAAATGGAAGCAATTTTCTCAGGATTTGTAAAGTGCATGCCCCTTCACTTTCTGCCATGATTTTAAGTTTCCTGAAGCCTTCCCAGCCATACTTCCTGGACAGCCTATGGAACTGTGTGCCTATTACATTCTTTTCTTTATAAATTACCCAGCCTCAGGTAGTTCTTTATAGCAATGCAAGAATGGACTAATACAGCTGGTGTGGATAAATCTAACACATTTTGAAGTAGAACTCAGACATCGTTGAAAGATAAAAATGTTTTGTTCATTATATCTACACTATAGCATTTTATCCTTTGGCCAGTAAGTAATTACATTTTATATTTTAATATGTAAAATACTGTTCTGACCACCAATATATGGGCTATTGATTCTGTTATTGTAATTATTTAATTAAAATGGGCTTGCTAATTTTATAAACATCTCTGCCTTTTATCAACAATCCATTTGAATTTATTGTATTAGGAACATTTTTAAAAAAATCTTGGTGACATAGAGCTAGAGCCTTGGTGAACGTATCAGAAATTAGAAAGTACATCTGGTGCACATTCTCAAAAAGGGCATTTGGGGCTAATTATTTTTTAAAAAGAGTGCCAATTTTATCAAACACATACAAAAGAAAAGCTATTATGTTTATATTTTCCTTTACTTATTACCTTTATTTGGTTTGTTTATAGAAAGAGATAATTGATTCCAGTGGATGTGTAAGACTAACCTAGACATACGATCCTTCCTTTATTTATTCCTTAAATAACTGCTTTTGGATAAACTATGATATTTCAAAATCCTCATTATGAAAATATTAGGATGAAAATTCAAGTGGCTCAAAGATTCAAAGGTCTAGAGCACCTCACACCTTATTGTTACTCCCCTGAAATTTCACTTAAAATTTTAGATTTGTATTATTTCTACAGTCTGGGGAAAAGATTCCATGTTGTTTCCCATAATAATCCCTCCTGATTAAAAACTATCCTCATGGGTATGGGCAGGACCTGTGATTTGCTTTTAATTAATACATTTACTGGCGAGGGGATATCAGTCCCATGATTATGTTATATTAGATAAAAGTGTGTCTTGCTATCAGGTGCTGACTAGAGATTCTCCTTGTTGGTATGATCATGTCAAAGGCCATGATGGGAAATCCACATGGCAAGAAACTGCAGGTAGTCTCTAGAAATGGAAGACAGCCTGTAGGAGTTGAGAGGGTTATCTCTAGACTACAGTGACAAAGAAGTGGGGCCTCAGTCTTCCAGCATCAATAAAACAAATTTTGCCAACAAACTGAGTGAGAAGGGAGCTGACCCTTACCCATTCAAATCTTCAGATGAGATCCCTGCCCTGGCCAACATCTTGATCAGAGCTTTGCTAAGCCATGACCAGCCAACTGGACTACAGAAACTATGAAATAATAACTGCTTTTGGTATAATCCACTAAGTTTGCGGTAAATTGTTAAAGAGGAAGAGATAACTGATAACATGTAATTTATTGGAATATTTTTATGCATGCATCATTGAACTAAATGATGTTAACAATTTGTTAAAGGTCTCTGTAAAATGTTTAATATAAGATTTTGAGAATAGAACCACCTCTCTTTTATAGGGTAGTATAGTCGTTCTTTCTGACATACTTTTTGAGCTGTTTGTTGACTTTACAAAGAATATTGAAAATGCTAATAGTAAGTATTTTTGCTTGAATTCTAAACAGCTGGCTGCATTAACAATTGGAATGAAATTGAAATTGATTTAAGTTAGATTTGAGAGATTCTTAAAATTTCAAAAGCCTCTAAAATTATATTGATTAATAATTAATTTTTTTAGTTTTATAATTAAGGTTGACATTTAGTAAGATTTTTCAGAAGTGCTACCCTTGAGTATATATAAATTTAAATATATGTAACCATTTAATTAACTTTATGCACTTCCTAGTGAGCTTTGCCTTCCTCTTACTTCAATAATGTCCAAAATAAGATATTTGTATTCCCAAATTATAATAAATGTCTTATCTTTATTTGATAATGCTTCATATCTCATTTGGATCACCTCATAATTAAAGCCAAAATATGTTTTAAGATTCTAATGTTTTTCTACTCTCCTTAATATAATCTTCAATTTAGCAATATTGTATGAATGGATACTAGTATATATCTAATATATACAGCCACATTTCTTAGTTGACTAATCATTGTCCATTAAACTTGTAAAAATTATTGGAAACATAAATATTTGATAATTATATAATTAAGTATATAAATGCATAATAAGTTATATTTCTATAACAGTTTAGACTTTATAAAACACTTTTAAGTCATTCAAATTCTGAGTCGCATGAGGCCTCTGTGAGATAAATATATTTATAACAATCTTCACTCCATCTATGTGGGGACAGCAGATAGAGTAGAAAGAGGGAATGAACAAATAGAGTAAGCATATATTAGGGACTTGGCACAATGTTGTACAACTGAAGAAACCAAAAAATTGAAAGTTGTCCAAGTCATGAATAATTAATATTTGATTAATTCTGAGTTTTAATTCTCTGTTTTTTCCATCCCTTCTTTGTATAGTTCTGATTGCCTTGCCTGAGGGTATTTCCCCATCTATGATTTACTGGGCTACAGAACCTGCCATCACTAAAATTAGCTAAAGCGTATAAACCACAACAGCTGATACTTGAACAATGTGGGAGTTAGAAGTGCTGGTCTCCCATATGGTAAAAAAATATATATATGTATAACTTTTGACTCCTCCCAAATCTTAACTGCTAATAACATGCTCTTGGCCAGAAGCCTTACCCATAATATAAACAGTTAACACATATTTTGTATGGTTATATGTATTAGATACTGTATTCTTATAATAAAGTAAAAACATGTTATTAAGAAAATCATAAGGAAGAGAAGATATATTTACTATTGATTAGGTGGAAGTGGATCATCATAAAAGTCTTCCTTCTCCTCAGCCTCTTTCATCCTCCTCCTGAGGGGAAGAGTTGGTCTTGCTGTCTCTAGGCAAGGCAGACATAGAAGGGATAGGCAGGAGAGGCAGGAGAAGCAGGATCACTCAATTTATCTTTTATTTAAAAAAAATTGAGTATAAGCAGATTTGTGCAATTCAACTCTGTATTGTTGAAGGGTCAGTTACATATATGTATTGCCAGATGCTGAAAAAGCAGACAGCCATGGCATACTCATCCTTCTAGAAATGTATAATTTATCTGGACAGACAGAAATGCGCCTACATATATTAGTGAGCCAATCAGGTTTTCTCTAAGGGTACAATGACATGTGCAGCCTTCTGCCGTGCCATTGTACAAAACGTTTCTTTCATACTGTACGACATGCTTTTCATCCTTATCAACAGTATTGAATTGCCCTATCATTATGAAATAAAACTTCAAAATATCATTGTAGAATATATTTCTCAAAAACATCAAACCAAATTGGCATTTTAAAAAAGTAGTCATTCTCTCACCAACAAATTAAACTAAATTAATTTAGCTTCATATTCATAGTTGTGATTACAGGAGTGTGGAGGAGGGAAGAAGTGAATTCTAGAATGTATAATCAGGAATAATATGTAACTTGGAATCAAGAGTACAAAAGATGAAACTCTAGCCCTTAGAAGAAATACAGAGAAATCTGAGTTTATTTGGGGACCAAAAATGTAAAATTAAATTCAGTTTAAAAATGTACTGAATGCCTATCGTGTGCCACCTCCACGCTTGTGTTAGTAATTATAAAGGTAAGTCACGACTTCTGATATTGAGGTGTTGACAGCATAGAGGGGAAAAATCACAAATAAAATTTAAAATAAGTTTATTATTTAAATAATATATGACTGTTATGCAAAAGGCTAACAGGACATCCTAGCAGTCTGGAAAAGGTCTTAAGTAGTACTTATGGACTCAGGCTTGAAGGATACATAAAATTTATTCAGGCAAATAAGTGGGAAGGAAGTGTTGGTTAGTGTTAGTAAGAAAAAGGCACGGGAAAGAGAAATCTCTGTGAGGAACTCTTAAATGTTCTGTGTTATCAGAGTACATATTTCCAGAGGGGAGAAAAATAATATGATATTGAAGGGCTGGAGGGGTTTACCATGGGAAGCATATATTGAATTGTGTAATTCTATAAAAATATATAGAATAATAGATAATACTTCAATAAAAGATTGACCTAGGCAACTTTGTGTTTTGTAATTATCATTGCAATTGTTGAAAGCATTTTTAACACAGGCAAAATGAGATAATGAGAAAATATCAGCTACCATTTACAAACATAACTTACCATGAAATCTCTCCTTTTTCTGTTATTAACTTAATTTACATATAAGAGACTGTATATAATTAACTTGCCCAAGGTTATTAGCACAAACAAAACTCATTTCTAGGTTTCTTCTGCTTTCACAAATAGCTTTTGCTCTAAACTCTCTGCCAGACTTTCTCCATGAAGCTAGGAATTAAGTGGGAAATTATGGTAATAATTGAGAGAAATAATAACAACTTGAATTTAGGCATACCTACTATGGATGGAAACAGAATAACAAAACTGAGAAATGTTAAGGACTTAAAATCCTAGTAAAAAGGTCAAGATTCTGGAATGAGTCTGGTTACTGGCCTAAATAATAGAGATGCTAAGTAATGACATTAACGGAAACGAGGAACACAGGGAGAGGAAGTGCTGAGTCACATTTAAGTCATTTTAAAGCTTATCAGATATCCAGGAAGACATATGAAGTAGACTGTAGAACTTGATGGGCATGCGGCTTTAAGAACAACAATAGAAACCTTTTGATGTATCTTTATCTTGTAATTGAATGTTTTCTCAACTCCCTGGACTGTATTGAAACCTGACTGTATGAAGTCCAATAGTGACATCATAATCTTTCCTCCTCTTTCTCATCTCAAGAACACTTCTCTGCTATTTTCTTCAAGGGTCTAGAGTAATGTTTTGCCACTGCTCTCCACTCATAAAAGACTTTGACATATGGCTCATAACCTTCCCCAGAACCCAACCTTCCCTGGCCCCCATCAGTCTAAGTTATTTCACCTTTTATTAAAAATTAAATTATTTAAAAATTGAATAAACTCAAAATTTATTCAAAAATTCACTATGAAGAACATACAATAGATCAGGAATTGTTCTCCTTGAAGCATGGAATATAATGGTCACGACTACAGAAGGTTAGAGTTTATCCAGAGGGTAATTGAAAGCAATTAGGGGCCTTTTAAGAAAAGTTATTGAACATTTTATCAGATTTGCATTTAAGAAAGATCACCCTTTCTGAGGTGTAGAGAATGAATGGAAGGAACCTGCATTACAGAAAAATGGCAGTTTTGAAGAAGTATGGATGTGCTACTAATCTGTGAGTGTGAAGAAATAACTCCGTTGGCTGGAATTATTGAGGAATAGGGGCCTACGGACTATTGTTTTATTTTTATTTTGTGTTATTTACTGTATTAGTTCATTTTCATGGCTGCTACGGAGAAGGACCCAAGACTGGGTAATTTATAAAGAAAAAAAGGTTTAATTGACTCACAGTTCCACATTGCTGAGGCCTCAGAAAACTTACAATCATGGTGGAAGGCAAAAGAGAAGCAGGCACCTGCTTCACAGGGGTGGCAGGATGGAGTGAGTGTGAGCAGGGGAAATGCCAGATGCCTATAAAATCATCAGATCTCAGTGAAACTCACTTCTTGTCATGAGAACAGCATAGGGGAAACAACCCCCATGATCCAGTTACCTCCACCTGGTCCCATCCTTGACACATGGGGATTATAATTCAAGATGAAATTTTGGATGGGGATACAGCCAAACCATATCAGTTGTAGACAAAAAAAACCTACCCATTTTCCCCGCTTAGGAAAATTCTCTACTTACTTCTTACAATACTTAAAAAAAAAATCTTCTACTTAACAGAAACAAAATAAAATATTAAATATGATGTAACTTATGAAGGTATATAGATACTACATGGTGTTTATGTTACACATAACTTTTATTGTAAATACTTTTAGTGTAAATAACTGCCTAGACAAGTAAATTATTCTTGCTAGGTAACCTGCACTAGCCAAACTCATGCCTGCAGAAGACTGACTCCCAATGAATTAAATAAAACAAAATGATGTCGTGGAGCATCTCCAAAGCCAGAGAGAGGATAATGGATAAGTACTCTTGGCCTGCAATGTTCACGAACACAGAGAAATTTCTTTTTTTCTACAAAGCCAAATAGGTTAAAAAGAATTACAAAAAGTGTCACATAGTAGTTGCTGATTATAAATGGAAGAACAGCTTTTAAAATATGTGTGTACTTTACAAAAGCCTACTATATATTAATCGGTGTCTTTAAACATCCATTTACCAGGTAAGTAATCACAGAAGAATGTTTCTGTGTATGTGCTTATTTATCTACACACACACACACACACACACACACACACACACACACACACACGCACCCATGCACGCACATGCGTATTCTACTACATGGTGCAGAGACATTGGGATTTTGAATCCTGTGATTTGGATTCAAGAATTCTTCCATTTACCAAGTTTGGGAATTTACTTAACTAACTTAGTTCATCGGGGAGGGCAACTTTAAACACAAAAACGAAAATTGTATAATGACTCAAGCACAGTAGAACTTTGTCTATTGCTTGTGAAATTGTAATGAGTGGGTGAACATGAATGGGGTAGTCTTCCTCCATTTGGTCATTTAGGTAGCCAGGTGGAAACTAGGCAGCAGCCAAAGCTCTACCAGTTTTAAAATATGGCTTCCTAGGTTTCCTTGGAAGTTCTCTCTGTTTAAACCAGAAGAGAAAAACATAGAAAATGCCATATGCAACACACGTTAACTGGGACTGGAGGTGACACACATCCTCTGTACACATATATTAAAATTTATACTCTGTTGATCCAGTTTAGTCATTTGGACACTATTAGTTATATGGGAAGCTGATAACAGTAGTTAGAAAGCCAACTAAACAAAGCAAATAAACAGATAAATAAAATGTGCATGTGAATGAGCTGTTATTAGTTTCTGCCTCCTTGCCAAGACTACTTTTTTTCATGTGTAAACTTCTCATATTAATTCCTCATACGAATGTTATGAGAATCAAAGTCAACTAATATATCTAAGAGTTTGGCACTTTATAGTTGCCAAATTGTAGTTGTTTTTACTTTTACTTTGTCATCAAATACACAAATAAAGAAGCATCATTTTTCGATGGCTGATAGCAATATATTCCCCACCAGTACATCATGTGCATTGAAAATCCACATTTACAGTCACTGTACATTTATTCTAAAAAATGTTGAAAAAATCATGGGGGTTTTAATTATGAACAATTCACTAATTGTTTTTCAAGGATATTTCTAACTCTCTTACAATGGCAGTGCTTTGGGAAAATTATGAAAGATTTAAGGCTCTGTTTAGTTTGTTTCTATGCTAGAACATCTTCCTTAGATCTTGCCCACGTAGGAGTGGGCAAAATGAATCCAGTCTTCCAAATTTCAGAAGAAGCAGGGGCTTTGTGTCAAATTTATCTTTATGAAGATCTTAAGTTTGAAGACTCATTGCCTTTGGTTCCAGAGAATTACATCATCAGGTTGGCTACTTGGCTATTTTATACGTGTAAAGCTTCTCCACATGAATAATGGAAAAGCAGCCATATCTGATCTAGCTCAAACCAATGAAAATTTGGCTTAATATTTCGTGGGTTTGGTAAACTTGATGAACTTACAACCTCTAAACACAATAACTAAGGTCTTTAGTTAATGGTTATTATAAAGCAGTGTTATCCAGTGCAATCATTTCAAAACAGCCATGAAATGATAATTAATAAAGATTCATATTATAACAAAATATGGAAAAAAACATTTCTGAAGTTAAAAAATTAACAGCTAAAATCCAACTTCTCTACAAAATTCACAGAACCTCTGAAAAGAAGCATTCATTTATAAAAAAAAGAATTTCTTCAATCACTGGGTAATATGTTTTAGGAAGAAAAATACTAGGGCTATTGTGCTTCCCTCTATTTTATCATCAGATTTATGTTTTGTAAGTGAGTCATATTAAGGTTTGAAGAGAACATTAAATTTGGTAGGGCAATTTTGACGGATAATCTAAGTTTTTATATAGTGAGATATAGTCAATGCACATTTGAAATTGCTTCTGCTCATAATTTGTTCAGACAGTTGTACAACTGAACACTTTCAGGTATCTAATATCCAAATTTAAATTAGAGACCATTGAGCAAATGGACTTATGCCAGAAATTGATAAAAATTGATTGAATAAATCATATTTTATAAAATAATTATTTAGGTCTTAGGTTGAACAAATATATATTTTTACAATATCCTTGGAAATGACACTTCATTTCAAACTGTTGAATACACTCCACTACCTCAATTTGAACCTGACATACAAATAGTAATCTCTTATTAGACATTTTTAGTTAGGAAAATAGAAACCAATCTAGATAGATCAAAAAAGGAAGTTTAAATTCAAATATTCGGATACATGTAAAACTGTTGGGAGAGCTGAAGAGATGAAGATAAGGAAAAAATCTCTGCTAGCATCAGAAATAGCATAAAAAAGCCCAAGAGCAAGCTGGTGATGGTTACGATTCTCAACATACTGTGGGAGAGTTTCAGGCAATCACTCAGAAGCCCCTGAAAAATTTCTGAATCTTGATTCTGCTGAATCAAGACACCACCAGAATTGCAACATATGCCTATTGTTTCTCTTGCATTTTTCAAATATTCCATTGGCAAAATATAACCTAGCAACTCTTGCTAGGATTAAATATGCAACCATACTTGTATTATTTTTTTAAAAATATTTTTATTCTATTTGTGAATTCCTGGATGAATGTTAAGCTATATGCTCTACTTTGATATTTCCATTTCCAAAAATAATTGAATATCTACATATCAATTATTTAATAAACAATTCCTTCACAGATATTTGATATGCTGTCAGTTTGATACCTTAAGTAGTTTTAAAAATTGTCCATTTGGATATCTTTGTGAGCCATTTATTCAGATCCATTGTTAAATCTGCAGTTTGTTGATACAAACATACATCATTAAAATTGTTGGAGCAGCCAGGCGCAGTAGCTCCCACTTGTAATCCCAGAACTTTGGGAGGCAGAGGTGGGTGGAACACCTGAGGTCAGGAGTTCGAGACCAGCCTGGCCAACATGGTGAAACCCTGTCTCTACTAAAAATACAAAAAAAAGTAGCTGGGTGTGGTGGCAGGCCCCTGTGATCCCAGGTACTCAGGAGGCTGAGGCAGGAGAATCGCTTGAACCTGGGAGGTGGAGAATGCAGTGAACCGAGATCAAGACACTGTACTCCAGCCTGGGCAACAAGAGCAAAATTCTGTCTCAAAAAAAAAAAAGAAAAATTGTTGTAGCCGCATGATACTTTAGTACATCTCAGGGAAAGTCTCCTTAAAATATTTTTATTCCTATTTCTCCTGTTTCTTTTTCATGAAGATACAGTTTTTTTAAGCTTTTGTTGGAACTTCTATATTTTTTCAAGTTCTCCAATACAATGTATTTTTACTGGGATTATAATTTTATACAATAGCTCTATTTATTGTACGTATTTTAATTAATTGTTATCTTTCTTGTGATCAACCTTATATTTCCTTTTAAGTAAGGCAACTTGAGCTACTTAGTCATATATCTAACAAATTTTATATATTTAAAATATATGGATCAGTGAGTTTTGGAAAATATACAGTCATGTAACACCACCACAATCAAAACATGGAACATTTGAATCACACACACACAAAAATGTTCTACTGTTCTTTGCAGTACGTCCATCGACCCTCTGATTTTTGTCCTCGCAGTATTGCCTATTCTAGAATATAGCAAATGGAATCATATAGCACCTTACCTTTTGTGTTTTGCTTGCTATACTTACCATTACACATTTACTCTCAACATTACAATTTATCACTGAGTATTATATTGTAGAGAAACACCACTCTTTGTTTATCCATTGACAAGCTGAGGCATTTTTTTTTCTCATGTGGCATGTATTAAGTTTATTCTTAGGTATTTTATGTTATGTATTATACTATTGCTACATAATCTCCCTGATGAGAAGAATTTTGTGCATCCTATAGAACATGTTCTGACACATAGTAATCTTTCAAAATGTTGAATAAATCAATGAATGAGTGATCATTGATAATAATGTATTTTTTCTTGTGACCTGCATTTGTTTTGACTCCCTAAAATTAGTGAACTATATAACAAATGTTTATTAATTTTAATAGCTTTTCAGTTAATTCTCTTCCTTTTGCTAGAGAGAACATTCTATATCTTCTTTTTCAATGGCCACATATCTGATGTCTTATTGTATTTTTCAGAACTTAATAATTACTATAATATAAAAGCAAGAAAATGTGTAAAGAGCATACTTTAAATTACAGAGATAAATGATTGATTTAAAAATACTCAAAAACTCAAAATTTTTCATTTTACTTCTATCAGTAATAGGGCAAAATAAAATATATCACAATTCAATAGACAATGTCTCTAACCTTTTACTATTATTTCTCTAATAATTTATGATTCATAGTTAAATATACATTTCATTTTAAATAATCAAAAGTCTATCAGCAGATAAATTGATGATACACTATAATAATTTTTTCCATTTTTAAATGCAATGCCAATTAATTACTGAGAGGTATTTTTTAACTTCACATGTTGAGAAGATTCCCAAGAATACTGTAGTCGTGCTACTTTAAAAAATAAACAAACAAAAATGACAGAGAAAAACGTATATACAATTCTAATCACCATGCCCATGTTTTCATGTTTTAAATAATTACATTTACTCTTCTGTAACATGGTGTCGTCTATTAAATAAATTATTGAACACAGGGTTTGCACACCTTTGGTTTTGATGATAAGAGCAGAAAAATTACAGTACTAGTTGTATATCCTTATACAATAAATCTTTCACTTCATTTGTTTCAAATTTTCATATAAAATTTAATTTAGAATTCAAAGACTGACTTTCATAATTTTATCAAAATAATATAAATGTGTCATAATAAGTTAATACTATAAAATGCAGTCTTCTCATTTATAATCTATTAGTCTCAATAGAGTTAGTTTAATTCTCCTTGAATTCTTGATAGCTGTGTGTTTGCTCTATATATTCTTATGAAAGAATGTGATGTAAAAAGTGATATTAAAAGTGTCCTCTCAGATTGGATGTGAGGGCAATCTGGCTGCAACATCTGTCACCCCATTGATTGCCAGGGTTGATTCGGCTGATCTGGCTGGCTAGACGCATGTCCCCTTCCTCCCTCACTGCTCCATGTGTGTCCTTCATGAAGCTGCACACGCGGTTGAAGAGGACAACCGTCCCCGATAAAGGACTACCGGTCAAGGGTATAGGAGTAGCTGCGCTCCCCTGCTGGAACCTCCAAACAAGCTCTCAAGATGGCAATTTATTAAATAATTTATTCATTCATTTTGTATTATTTTTAAACCATTTATATTGAAATAATTATAGTGAGAATCAGGTTTGCTAATTACCAGTCTCAAAGGAGGACTTCCAATGCATAGAGGATAGCAAATGTCATCCACCAGGAATAGCAGTTCTAACACTTCTGCCCACTGCATCTTGGGCTCCGGTTTCAACAATTGCCTGAATCCGATGTGAGAGAACACACTTACATGCAGCAAGTTATATGAATTTAGGTTTATTTCTTACAGATAGGCAGCAAGAGACAAAAAAAATCCTAGACTCCATTGTGAGTCAGTCCCCTCAGGCTGGAAAAAGCTGTTCAGAGTGGATGGAGTCTTGACTGAGCATGACCCCCTTTGAGTGAAAGGCAGCCTGCCTTTCAAGTATATAACCCAGGTTATATACTTCAGGGGCGGTGTGACTCGCTGGACAAAGCTTCGAAGCGCATCTTGCTTTCAGGGGAAACAGAAGGAAAGCCCAGGATGTCCCAGGTAGTTCCTCTGTGATTCATGATGCTACATTTCCTAAGCGAGACTGGAACAAGGCCTTGACTGTTTCATGCAGTTCCTCCCTATCTCAAGGTATTGCATTCCTCACACATTCTATGGTAATTCTGAGAGCTACAAGCAGGTAGACAGGGGAAAACAGGATCATTCCAAGCCACCTGGGGAACTCTCCCATATATAGGTTCATAGGAAAGTGAAAAAGACTCCAGAGCAGTCTCGTATCCTCCTCTCCCAATTTCCCCCAATGGTAATTCCACGCATAACATGCAGTATAGTATCAAAACCAGGAAGCTGACAATCATCAATTGGAATAATCTATACTCTCATTTATGTATGTGTGTGTGTGCATGTGTGTCTCTGTGTGCATGTAGTTCTATTAATATTTACCACACTTAAAGATTAATATAATCACAACCACAATCAAGATACAAAACTGTGCTATCACTACCAAGAAATTTCCTAGTACTAGCCTTTTAAAATTGTACCTACCCAGCCCCCCACCTCCATAATTCCCTGCAATCATTAATCTATTCTTGATCTCTACAGTTTGGTCATTTTGAGAATGTTATGTAAAAGGAATCATTTGGTATGCAAACTTTTAAGGATTTTGTTTTTTTCTCATTCAGCCTAATACCCCAGGGATTCATCAAACCAGGTTCTTGAGTATACTAATAGTTCATTTTTTTTTTTTTTTTTTTTAATGAGGGACCTGGGATCCCAATCAGAAAGGAAGCTTGGACCATGATGTAACTCAAATTCTGGGTATCACATGAATAAAATGCTATTTTATTTTTAAAGTTTGCTAGCCGTCTTAGAAATTATGAAGTATATACCTTTTATTTAAAATATACAAATCTTCAGTGTTTCAGTAACCAAAAATTTAGTTCATTTTCAGACCTGTACACATCTCATAGTTTATATCGATTTTCTTTTAAAATGCTTACTTTGTTGGGAAACCAAATCAGTTCTCATAAAAACAGCAGCTGCTTTTTAAAAGCCATGCTTCATGATGTCCAAAGTAATTCCCCTGGGACCATCTAAATGCATATGGCTAGGAGGAAGATCAGCCTGTATTTAATATTTATATTGGATGCCAGTTCAGATTACCGTTGACTCTTGTGAAAGCTGATGCAGAAATTTTAATTCTAAAAATTCCTCACCTTTTTGATAGCTGGCATGTGTTTTATTCTTTAAAAAAAAAACATTACTTTGAAAATAGCTATCATTAATTAAAAACAAACTCTGTACATTAAATCCAACTTCTAAAATGTCATTGCAGTTCTTTGGATGTCTTTAGGGCAAAATATTTCCACCACAAGAGAAATGTGATTGTCATAAGGCTTCCTGCTTTGAAAGAGTCACTTCTTCAACAAGAAAACATCTGGGCTTGCTGATCAAAATATACAAGGAGCCCAGTTTTACCCAGTATGGTAAGTAGCCTACAAGATGGCCCCTGATGATCTTGTCCCAGTGTTATCACCTTTTTTTATTGTAACTAGATTGTTGAACCTTGCTATAGTTTGAATTTTTTTTTTCTTTCCTAAACTCATGCTGACATTCAGTCGCCATTGTAAGTTACAGTACTAAGAGTTGGGACCTCTAAGAAATGAATAGACCATTATGCTGTACACTTCTGAATGGATTAATGCTGTTATTATAAAAGTGGGTTCGTTATAAAAAGACAGGTTGGCCCCCCTTGTCTCTCTCTCTCTCTTTTTTACCTTCTTGCATGTACCCTCCAAAGATACCAGCTCCTTAATCTTGGATTTCCTAGCCTCCAGAATTGTGAGGACATAAATTTCTGTTCATCAGAAATTGCCCCATCTGTAATATTTTGTGATAGTAGCACCAAATGGACTAAGACAGGCCATGTGACTAACAGCACAAGCAAGAAGTCATGATACGTCATGTCAGAGCTTAGGTTATAAAGACTGAAGCTTCTGTTTGGGACTTTCTTTTTCTGTTCTCTCGCTCGCAAGTGCACACTCTCACTCTCTCTCTCTCGCTCTTTCTTTTCTGTCATCAGTCACCCTGTGGGAAACCAGCATACATACCATGAGGATATTCAGAGATCCTATATAAAGGCTCATGTGGCAAAAACTGAGGTCTGCAGCCAAAAGCCAGTGAGAAGTTAAATCTTGCCAACAACCATATGAATGCTTGGAATCAGCTATTCAAGGTCTAACTGACCATTTGAATGCAACATCATGGGAGTCCCTGAGCCAGAAACATGCAGCTAGCTGCTCCCATATTCTTGACCCACAGGAACCGTGAGATAATAGATATTTATAGCTTTAAGTCTCAAATTTCAGCAATAATTTATTATGCAGCAATAACTGGTACATAACTCATATGTAGTGAATGCAGATTTTTTTGTAATAGAAGTGGAATGCCCATATAGCCGCACCATAGCAGTGACTTTAGAAATGGCTGTTCGCAGGAGCTAAACAAAACTGTAAGGATTCTAAGGAAATACGCGATAAAAGGTTGAGCCTTGAACACATCATTCATAGAATTTGGGACTTTGGAGAGGTACTGGTGAGCCTTTAATAGAAGGCAAACATTCTTATAGGGAACTATAAAAAAAAAAAGAGATCCACGTTAATAAGTGGCAGAACATTCAACAACCCTGTTGTCTGTAGTAATGTGAAAGGTAGAAAATGTACCTAAAAGACTAAATGATTTAGCTAAGGAAATCTCCAACAATAATGTTGAAAGTCTGTCTTTTTTCCTTCTTGCCACTTATAGTAAAATATAACAAGACAGTAATAAGTTAAAAGCATAGCTGCTAAGCTAAAAGTAGCTAGGTCTTGCTTGTATTAAAGATTTGCAGTCTCTCCAAATGGCAAACAACGTTAAAATTAAGAAATGGTTTCCAATCAGAAATTACATTCAGGGTACTCACTCTAAAGCATGATCTGAAGGTGGAGCTGAGGTTATGACTAAAATCCTCTAAAACCTCAGAAATATCAAAGATGGTATCTCTAAGCACTATTTAGTCAGACAAAATGCTATCTAAAGAAGTTTCAGGTATACCTAAAACATTGTTTTCAACAATTGAAATTGAAGTTGTTGTAATGTTATTTTGAATAGTTAATAAGAAAGAACCATGAAAAACTTCCAAGTGGTTTTAATTTGTCTTGATACTCTAAAATACCATCTATTTAAAAATTTCCAACAAAAACCAAGATATACCCTTGCACATTTAGCTGTGAGCCCAAAATCTAGAACCCAGTCAGTTCTCACTACATCTTCAACTAACACAATGGATACTTACCGGGTTTAATAGCCACTAACTTGTCTCCCTTCTTCTTTCCTCTTCCATCATTCCTACCTCAAATCTATTCACGGTAATTTTGTGATTTTGTTCTAAAAAATTACCTAGATAATATCATTCCTTTACTTAAAACCCTGCAATTACCCCCATTGCACTCATAATAAAAGCCCCATATCTAAAAATAGCCTAGAGTCTCTGAATAGTATGGTCCTGGTACCCCTTGATCTTACCATCAATTGTTATTTTAGACATCAAGGAGAACATATATCCAACTAGAAATTTAGTGGAGACATCAATTTGCTTAAAAAAATCCAGAGCAATTAAATGAAATAACCAGAGAAGTAAAATAATCAGGAAGAATATGTTGAAAAAGAAGATAGGCAAAGGAAATCTAAAAATAGTCTATTGTGTACCTCTTATTGGGTGGTCCCACTTCTCCTAAACTCACAACCGTTTACAAACATATACACTAAGCTTTCTATTTGGTTCTCAGTGTCCAATTCTATAATATACATGAACAAACATGAATAGTCACACACTTAATAAAAGTCTCCATTCGTAAAGACAGTTGCCAAAATAATAATAATAATAATAAAATATATGAAAAATACAAACAGAAGATAGTGGGAGAGAGAAAGAGAGAAGAAACTGAGTAATGAATTAACTTTTAACTGTAGTAAAAATTTGAAATTTTATGAGAAAAGAAATACTAGCTGACTCAGAAGTCGTCAAAGGAAAACTTAAGCACATTTAAATGTTAGAGTTTATTTGATCATTCAGCAATTCATTAATGGGACAGCACTAAACCACAAGTGGCCAGCACTCAGCTGAGAGGGTTAAGAAGGAAACTTTCAAAAAGTGATTGCAGAACCAAGATGAAGAAAACAAATTTGTTTGGTTAGAATGAAAAATTCCTACAAGCAAGTTGGTGGTTTCTGACTGTTTAAATTTTTTACTTTCAATTTACCACTTACATTGGGCATTGGTTTGTTTCTGTAGAACTTTAAAGTGGCAGAGCCACTCCTGTGTAATGACCCTCCAATAAGAATCTGTTTATTAACAAACATTAAAAATATTAACATAGTTATAACAATGTAAATAATTATAATGATTTAATCTGAAATAATGTGAAATTGTGGCATTGTTGTGAGAAAGTTGGGGTTTGAGAGCAAAATTTTTAATTACCATGAAATAAATCAACAGATGGGGTTTTGCCATGTTGGCCAGGCTGGTCTCAAACTATTGACCTCAGGTGATCTGCCTGCCTTGGCCTCCCAAACTGCTGGGATTATAGGAGTGAGCCACTGCACCAGGCCTGTTTTCCTTTTTTTTTTTTTTTTTTTTTTTTTTTTGAGACGGAGTTTCACTCTTATTGCCCAGGCCAGAGTGCAGTGGCACCGTCTTGGCTCATCGCAACCTTTGCCTCCAAACACCAAACAACAGTAGTATTTAATTAAATAAATATAACTAAATAAATAATAGAATGTAACTAAAAAATTGAAAATAATTTCCTCTGGAAAGAACTCAAAAATCAAAGTTGGTGGGACAAAAGAGAATTTTCAAGTTATTTGCTTTTTAGTATTTTTGTTTTTTTACAGTTTAGCTGCTTGTATTTTTTAATCTGGTAAAAAAATGAAATTTATTTTGGAAAAATGACATATCTTTTGAAGACTAAGCAGAAACAATTTCTAATATACTAGATGTTATACACTTACATGCCAAAAAATGATTGCTACCATGTTAACAGCAACTCTCAAAAATTTCCATTTTATTGGAATACTTATTGGATATATTATATACTCTATATTTTCTGCCCTTTTCTTGAATGTTCAATGGATATGCAATTGTATAATTTTTTATGAATAGTTTATGAGCCAATTTTCATTTATTATCTCATCATAATGGAATAAGCTTAAAAATATGAAGCTACTCTAATCACATTATCTAAACATTATAACATATTACAGCAGTTCATCTATATTAGTTACACTTTTTAGCATCAAATTAAATATAAATGACTTCATGAGTGAATGGAACCAATAAGGACACAAGAAGAAGACTGGCTCAGTGTTACAGACATATCCCAGTTGGGATTTCTTAAAAACAATTAATACTTTTAGATGTTTTATTTGAAATTGATGACAAATTGTGCATTTTTAGTGATGTTTTAAGAATTTTTGGGAAAGGAAAATAGAAAATGATCCCAAATAATCTGTACTTTTTTTTTGTTTTTTTTTTAAAGATTTTTAATAGAAAAAAGTGAACTATAAAATCTGTTTTTACATCTTTCAGTGACTCACTAAAAAAAAGTACTGTGATTTAAAATATCTCTAAAACACGATGAAGAGAGTCAGATTAAGCCACATATATTTTGGATTCTTCATATTAATGACTCTTAAATGTAGGCATATACATGCTATTCATTTTAAAATGAGAATACATGTAATTTCCTTAAAGGATAGACTGTAGGCTTGATAAGTACCTGAAAAATAGAGATATTCATGTAATAGCAACAATGTATTACCAAGTGCACAGGAATTTGCTGAGATTGTGACCAGTTACTTGTGCCTGCTGGGGAGATAAGTACATACCTAGGGTTTCCAAAAGTGCTACAAGAGTCCAAAAGCTATAAGGAAAAGCCAAGCCAGCTTAGCAAACTGCCCGATGGAAGCACCTTGCTAGGCAGATGGCATTATTGGAAGGAACTAACTCTGTGGGGACTAAACTGAAAGCTTGGACGTTTGATATGGAGTCTTCTACTGAGAACTGTGTTGCATTTCTTGCTTTGTATATTCCTCTTTGTGCTGAGCTGTATTCTTTGTCTTCTTTGCTGTTATCTTTATATAAATCACAGTCACACTTGGTACACCATGTACATTTATGACTAAAGTAGAATCAGTGCAATCTTCTCAGGACCTAAGAATCATGGTGAGTGGCCATAAATGTTAGAAATGGAAGATTTCTGGAATGACAGACATATCACACTTGTTCCAGAATGTAAGCTGTCTTATTCTGCTCCGGCTACTATAAGAAACTCCACAGAATATGTGCCATTCACAATAGAAATTTTTTTCTACAGTTCTGAAGACTGGAAAGTCCAATATCCAGGTGCCAGCCAGTTTAGTTCTTAGTGAGCAGCTCTCTTCCTGGCTTGTAGACGGTTGCTTTCTCCTGTATCCTCATGTGGCCTTTCCTTCCTGTGTGCGCGCAGAGAGGGATCTCCCTCTCTATTTCGTCTTATTTGGCCTCTCAATTTATTACATTAGAACGTCTACCTTTATGAGCTCATTTAACTTTACCTCTTAAAAGCTCTATCTCTAAATATAGTCACATCAGAAATTAAACTTTCATCATAATAATTTTGGGTGACACAATAGCCCATGGCACAAACCTCTGAGTTTGGTAATGAAAAAAAAAAAAAGGCACACTCTCAAGTGGCAGTCATATATTTCCATAGATGGGATGAAGTAAATTGAAACCAATGAAGGATGAAGGCATTAGAACTCTGCACCAAACTGTCTAAGGAAGACACAAATAGGGTGGTATTGTTGGTTATGGTGCAATGTCCCACAACCACTGAGAGTTTCCAGGATATTGGTAATTGGCAGCTAGCAACTTTCTAGGAGAAGTAGCAGTATCAGTTTTAAAAGTGGAATGGATTAGTCTTGTAGATGGAATATGTTATAATATTACTACACCAACTCCTTCTATAGAAGTATTCAGAAAAACAGGAACTATAAAAGATAGAAAATAAAGAGATAACTAAAACTTTAAATGCAGGAAGGGGTAATGATAATACTAATAAAGTTATGTCTTTTTATTCTTAAAATAATGTAATAAGAAATCTGCTTACAAATTAATGTTTGAAAATTTGTGTTTTTAATAAGCACCCCTTCCTTGGGGCATTATTGATTCTACACTTTGTGATTTGTGCAATCTAATAATATTTTAGTGATGTATATAGTATAAAGTTCAGATGTACAAGAGACTACTGAAAAAAAACAATAAAAATTATTTAATGCAGAAATGAAGCATCATTAGCAAATGTACAAAAAGCTATCTATTTCTTCTTAAAAGACAAATGAGTACCGTATGGCTGAGCATATAATGTCCCAAGTATAAATGTTTTAGTTAAATGTGCCTTCAAAATTTTGAAAATATCACATTATTTTAATTTCCTGAGTACCTAGATTTTTGAAATTAACCTACATGTTATCATAATTACTTATCACCAATATGATTCTTTTCAAGGTGAACTTCTAAGATATAAGAAGAGAGGGACTGGTGTTGTACATACATAGTAAAATATTATAAACATATTTATATGAAAGGTTTCACAAAAAGGAAACTACGGGCAATGTAGGAAGAATTAGATGGACATACCTGAATAATAAGAATCAATATACCTGTGATAGGTATGTCTAAGGTCCCCCCTATTGATGTTCACAGCCTGGTATTTATAGCCTAATAATGATTCTTTCTCTTTGAATAGCTTTCTTCTACCAAACAGTATACCTCAATGTGTAGTAAAATGTCACTTAGACATTAGATTATAAGAGACTGACTTTTGCTTGCTAGCATACATTCTCTCTTTCTGGCTTTCATTAAAAAGTTGCCATTTGAGGAAGTCCATATGACAAGAAACTGAGGGTAGTCTCAGGCCTTCAGTCAGTTTGAAACTGATGCCCTCAGTCCAAGTACTCAAAAAGAACCCAAACTATGTAAATGACCTTGGAAGTAAGTTCTCACCTGTGGAGCCTTCAGATGAGACTCCATCTCTTGATGACACCTTGATTGCAGCCTCATGAAAGACACTAAATTGGAGGTCCCAGCTAAGCTGCCACTGGATTTCTGACTGACAGAAACTGTGAGAAATGAATTTATGCTATTTTAAGCCAGCAGGATTGTGGTAATCTGTTACATAGCAACAGATAACTAATAAAATATCTTTCTTAACCAAGGCTATATCAAGGCAAAAATTCAATAAAAATATCGAAAGCATAAACAATACAATGAAAAAGTCTATCTCGTGGATAGTGTATTTCTGTTTATGTCAAATTGACCAGGCTACGGTTCCTAGTTATTCAATCAAATGCTAGTATAGGTATAGGTATTGCTATGAATGTATTTTATTAAGGTGATTAAAGTCCATAATCAGTTGGCTTTAAATAAGAGCAATTATCTTATATATTCTGTATGTCTTAATGTAATCCATTGAAGAACCTCAAGAGCAAATTTGAGGCTTTCCTGAAGAAGATATTCTGTCTGTGAATAGCAGCTTTAACTTGCGGCACAGAGAATTTTAGTTTGCCCTCCCAGCAGCCTGTCAAACACTTTTAGACTTCCTGAGCCATCCCACATAATCATATAAATCCGTTCCTTGCATTAAATTTCTTAGACTATATCTCCAATTGGTTATGTTTCTCTGGTAGAAAGCTAACAGATTTAGACTTTTGTACTGAAGGTGGTTTTGAAAGAACAGAATTTTAAGAATGTGCTTTCCAAATTAGTTATGAGTTTCCTGAAATTGGTTCTCTAATCTAGTTAAATTTCTAGGCGTTAATGAGTTTATTTCTAGTGGTAAAGACAGCAGAGGTAGATCATGGCATGATCTAATAACAGAGATATGTAAAATGTCACCAATGTTTATCCCTAATTAAATGCCTGTAGACATCGAAGTTTTTGACTATTTATTTGATATCTAGAACATTTGAGTCTAATTAAGGAGTATAATAGGTTTGTCTGGTTGCTGGAAACTGCTCTGGAAAAGTGAAGAAAGGAAATAATTGCTCAGGCCTTCCAAGTTCCAGCTCAAGCTCTATAGTGATGACATGAATGCATCTAAACATGCTCCTAAAGAAATCCATGTTATCTCCTGCAGTCATAAAGACAAAATATCTGAAAACCAATCTCACAGTTATCCCTCAAATGGCCAATAGAGGTAGTCAATAAACTTCTTTATCAATAATAATAATATTGATGAAAATCAGTAATAGCAAAACAACCTCCTTTCCAGATACAAAAATTTGCCAAATCTATCAAAATAATAGTAACAAATAATTAAATATAAGTAATTAATACATGTAATTATTTTAAATACCCATAGGGTTCAACTAAAATAGTACTTACGGATAACTTTATTACACCAAATACATACATTAATGGAAAAAGAGAAATTATACATTAAAGTAAAATTCACTACAGAAAAAGTAAATCAAAAATGAAAAGGATGCAGGAAATAACATGCATATAAACAGAAACTAGTAAATTGTGACAGAAAATATACTGGAACTAAATAAAAGCTAATTCTTTACAAAAAACAATAAAGTAGTATAATTTAAAGGGAAGATGGAGGGGTGGAGCAAGATGGCTGAATAGAAGGCTCCACTGATCATCCTCCCAATGAGGACACCAGTTTATTATCTACACACACACACACAAAAGCACCTTAATAAAACCCCCAAATCATGTGAACATTCACAATACCTGGTATCAACCTTATATCACTGGAAGAAGCACTGAGGAGGGTAAAAAACAGTCTTGAATCACAAATGTCACCTTTTCACCACCCCAGCACTGGCATCATGGCACAAAGAGAGAATCTGTCAACTTGGCAGAGTGAGAAGTTAGCAATTACGAGACACTGCATTGAACTCAGAGCTGCCTGTCATAGCAGAAAGCAAAACCAGGTTGAACTCAGCTGCCTCTCACAGAAGAAGTTTAAACCAGCCCTAGCCAGAGAAGAATCGCCCTTCTTAGTAGTCGGAACTTTAGTTCTGGCAAACCTCACCACCATGTGCTCTGAGCTCTAAATAAACTTGAAAGGCAATGTAGACCACGATGACTGCAACTGCTAGATTAGTCCTAGTGCTGAACTGGTCTCAGAGCCAGTGAACTGGGAGGACACGTGAACTATTGAGGCAACAGCCGGAGCAGCAAAAGGAGAGCTTCTGCCAGCCCTCCCCCAGACCCAGGCTGCACAGCTTGCAGCTGCAAAGGGGGCCCCTTCCTTTTGTTTGAGGAGAGTAGGGAGGACTTTTTCTTGCATCTTGGGTACCAGCTCAGGCACAGTAGGATAGGGCACCAGTCAGAGTCGTGAGGCTCCCCTTCCAGACTCTAGCTCCCAGACAACATTTCTAGACACACACTGGGTCAGAAGGGAATGCACTGCCTTACAGGGAAGGACCCAGTCTCAGCATGATCCATCAGCTGCTGACTAATAAGCCCTTGGGATCTGAATAACCAGCAGTGATACCCAGGTAGTACATTGTAGGCCTTGGGTGAGACTCTGAGACTAGCTGATTTAGGTGAGACTCAGCATGTTCCCAGCTGTGATGTCTATGGGGAAAGACTCCTTTTGCTTGAGAATATTGGAGGGAAAACTAAAGGGGACTTTGTTTTGCACCTAAGGTACCAGCTCAGCTTAAGGTGGATAGAGCAGCAAGCAGGCTCATGAGTTCCCAATTCCAGGCCTTGGCTCTTAGAAAGGATTTCTGGACCTGCCCTGGGCCAGAGAGGAACCCACTACCCTGAAGGTTAAGTCTCAGACAGGGAAGTATTCACCACAAGCTGACTGAAGAGCCTTTGAGCTTTGAAGGGTCATTGGCGGTAGCCTGGAAGTACTCCTCCTAAGCCTGTGCTTCTGGTGGCCACAGGGTGACGCTCCTCTGCCTGTGGAAAGGGGAAGGAAGAGTGAGAAGGACTGTCTCATAGTGCCAGTTCAGGTGGAGTACAATAGAACATTATGTAGACTTCCATGGTTTTTGACCCTAGTCCCTGGCTCCCAAATGGAAGCTCCAGACCTGCTTGGAGCCTGAGGGATCTTGCTGCCCTAAAGTGAAGGACACAAGCCCAACTGGATTTGCTACCTGGTGATTGGAGAGTCCCAGGGTCTTGCGCAAACATAGGTGGTAGTCACATAGTGATTAGAGAGGGCATTGGGCAAGAACCTGTGCTTTGCTGGCCTTGGGTATGACCCAGAACATTTCAAGTGGTGGTGGCCACAGAGGGGCTTGTGTCACTCCAGGCCATTTAGAACAGAGAGAGAAGGACTTCCTGTGTAATAAAGCAAAAAAAGGTATAGTAGTATCTGGCTGGTAATACAGAGAACCCTTCTGGATATTATCCAAGACAATCAAGGAGGTTTACAAGTCTGCAAGGGTTATTGAACTTGGAGTGCCTCCCAATGCAGATAAGGCCTAGATCACAACATACAAGTTTTTCTGAATACCTAGAAAGCCTTCTCAAGAAATTTGGGTAAAAATAAGAATAAACTGAGAAGACTACAGTAAGTACCTAATTCTTCAATGCCCAGACAGAGATAATATTCACAAACATCAATATCCTCCAGGAAAACATGACATCTCCAAATGAACTCAATAAGGCACCACGGACCAAACCTGGAGAAACAGAGATATGTGACCTTTCAGGCAGAGAATGCAAAATAGCTATCTTGAGGAAACTCAAAGAAATTCAAGATAATATAGAGAAGGAATTAAGAGATCTATCAGATAAACTTAACAAAGAAATGAAAATAATTAGAAAGAATCAAGCAGGAATTCTAGAGTTTAAACATGTAATTGACACACTGAAGAATGCATGAGATTCTTTTCGTAGCAGAATTATTAAGCATGAGAATTAGTGGGCTTGAAGACAGGCTATTTGAGAATACAGTCAAAGGAGATAAAGGAAGAAAGAATCAAAAACAAAGAAGCATGCCTACAGAATCCAGAAAAGAGTTTCAAAAGGGCAAATTTAAGAGTAATTGGCCTTAAAGAGGAGGTAGAGGAGACAGGAGTAAAAAATTTAATCAAAGGGTAATAGCAGAGAACTTCACAAATCTGGAGAAATATATCAATATTGAAATACAGGAAAGTTATAGAACACCAAGGAGAATTAACCCAAAGCAGACTACATCAAAGCATTTGATAATGAAACTCCCAAAACTCAAGTATAAAGAAAGGATCTTAGAAGAAGCAAGAAAAAAGAAACAAATAACATTCAATGGATCTCTAATACATCTGGCAGCCACCTTTTCAGTGGAACCCTTACAGGCCAGAAGGGGTACCTTATATGACATATATAAAGTACTCAAAAAAAACCTTTTACCCTAGAGTAGTATATCTGGCAAAAATTTCCTTCAGATGTGAGGAAAAACAACAACAACAACAACAACAACAACAACAACAAAACACTATCCCAGGTAAACAAAGCTGAGGAATTTCATCTCAGCCACTTTACCAGCTGGGGACCTCCATAGCTGGTGATTCTCCCTCACCACCTAGGCCTCATTTGTGCCTGGGCCTTCCACTCTAGGCACCCCACCAACTTGGCCTGACTGTATTATACCTTGTACCCATATTCAGTGGTTCCTGAACTCTTGTCCTGAGACCAAAAAGAATGATACACTGACAATTTGAATAATGAGGAGGGCAGGGAAGAATTTTATTGAGTGACAGATCAACTATCAGTGAACAGAGAATGCAGGGATGGTACCCCCAATCCCTTCAGTCAGGTGGTTTTTCTCTCAGCGTGTCTGGGTCCGGGGCTTTTATGGGCACATAATAGGGGAGTGCATGCTAATTGGTTTGTAAGTAGGCACAAAAGGTTAAAGCAAATACACTACTCAGAGATGGGCACAACAGTGTAGAAAACCAATTAGAAAAGGGTAGGTATATGTAAAATAGGTGAAGAGTGGGGATGAATCAGAGAAAAGTGTGCCAAACAGGAAGACAGGTTCTCAATCCAGTCTATGGATTTGACTGGTAGCTTGGCTTTCAGGCTTCAAACTGTCTTTAGCTTGGAGGTAAGGATTCCACCGGGGACCCATCCATATCTGCCTAGGCATTTGCCTGTCTCCTCCACTATCAGTATGTATGGCAAAAATGTCCTTCAGATGCAAAGGAGAAATAAAGACTACCCCAGACAAACAAAGCTGAGGGATTTCATTAACACTAGACCTGCCCTATAAGAAATAATAAAGAGAGTACTACAAACAGAAAGAAAAGGATGGTAATGAGCAATAAGAAATCATTGAAGGTACAGAAGTCACTGGTACTAGTAAGCACACAGAAAAACTCAGAGTAGTATAACACTGTAACTGTGATATGTAAGCTATTCTTATCTTAATTAGAAAGACTAAACAATGAACCAATCAAAAGTAATAACTACAACAACTTTTCAAGATATAAACAGTACAATATAAATAGAAACAATATAATGTTAAAAGTCAGGGGAAAAATTAAAGTATAGTGCTTTTATTAGTTTTCTCTCTGCTTCTTTGTTTGTTTGCTTCTTTTTAAAAACATTGTTAAGTTGTTATCATCTTAAAATAATGGGGCCAGGTGCTGTGGCTCATCCTTATAATCCCAGCACTTTGGGAGGCTGAGGTGGGCAGATTGCTTGAGGTCAGGAGTTTGAGACCAGCCCAGCCAACATGGCAAAACCCCATCTGTACTAAAAATGTACAACAATTATAATGAGCCAGACATGGTGTCATGCACCTGTAATTGCAGCCACTCAGATGTCTGGGGCACGAGAATTGCTTGATCCTGGCAGGGAGAGGTTGCAGAGTCGAGATCACACCACTGCACTCCAGCCTGGGTGACAGAGCAAGACTCTGTCTCAAAATAAATAGATAAGTACATACATACATACATAATAAAATAAAATAATGGGTTATAAGACATTACTTGCAAGCCACATAGTAACCTGAAATCAAAACACACAAAACAAGTACACCAAAAATAAAAAGATATTGAATCATACCACCAGAGAAAATCACTTTTACTGAAAGAAAGCAAAGAAAGAAGAGAAGACCACAATCCATCAGAAGACACATAACAAAATGGCAGGAGTACGTCCTTACTCTCTAATCAAAAGACATACAGTAACCAAGTGGGTGAAAAAAAAAAACAAAAAAAACCCAATGATCTGTTGCCTACAAGAAACAAGCCTTACCTCTAAAGATATACATAGGCTGAAAATACAGAGGTTGAAAAAAAATGTTTCATGCCAATGGGAACCAAAAAAGGCAGCAGTAGCTATACTTATACCAGACAAAAATAGATAGCAAAGCAAAAACGATAGGAAGATAAAAAGAAGATAACTATATAATGATAGACAGGTTAATTCAGCAAGAGGATACAACAATTTTAAATATATGTGCATTTAACAGTGGCACACCCAGATATATAAAAGAAATATTATTAGAGATAAAAAGAGAGATAGATTCCAATACAATAACAGCTGCAAACTTCAATGCTTCATTTTCAGCACTGGACAGCTCTTCCAAGTGGAAAATAAAAAAAACCTCGGAGTTAATCTGCGCTATAGACTGAGTGGAGCTAATAGATATTTACAGAACATTATCCAACGGCCACAAAATACACATTTATTTTCTCAACACATAGATCATTTTCAAGGACAGACCAACTATATGTTAGTTCACAAAGCAAGTATTAAGACATTCAAATAAATTAAAATAATATCAAGCATCTTCTCTGACTACAAAGGAATAAACTAGAAACCAATAACAAGACAAATTTTGGAAACTACAAAAATACCTGGAAGTTAATCAATATACTCCCATATGACCAGTGGGTTAACAATGTATAAGGAACTCAAACAAATCTATAGGAAAAAATCTAATAATCTGTTTTAAAAATGGGCAGAGAAGTGATGATACCCCAGTTACTATGATGTGATAATTACACACTGCTTGCCTCTATCAAAATATCTCATGTAACCCCAAAACATATACACCTACCATGTACCCACAAAAATTTAACAAAAGGAAAGAAAGTTGCACAATTACACAAAAAAAATGACAAATGATGAAGTGTATGCATTGAAACAATGAAAATTTAAAAAATATATGAAGAGCTAGTTTGTATACATCTAAAACTATTTTGAAATACACTAGCTAAAAATAAATGTCATGGATAGTTCTATAAAAAATATAACTTACCCAAACCAAAAAAGAAGAAAATTCTAAATAAATCCATTTCCATAGAGAAGCATACGAAAATATCACTGCTTTCTTACAAATAATAGGAACAGCTCAGGATGGTCTCACATCTGCATAAAAAATTTTCTAAACATTCTAACAATATGTTAGAATGTTTAGAAATATGTGAACAATATGTTAGAATGTTAACAATATGTTAGAATGTCAGATAACAAACTCCAAGACTCCATTAACTCATTTAACTTTCCAGGGTAGAAAACAGGGGTAAAGTATTCAAATTATTTTTTTGTGAAATACCAATAACATTGGTATAAATTACAAGCAATGTTACATAATAGGACAAATATGTATAAGGCCAACGCTATTTTTGTATATTCCCTAAAGTTTTCAATTAAATATCAGCAAACAATAAAAGAACATATTAAATAAATATTATATGTTCCACTAAGTTATAGTGATCACTTAAATCCAAAAAAGTATGTACTGCACAAAAAGAAATAAAAAAAATTGAAATGTAACTTACAATGAGACTCACATATATGCAGTCCATTGAATTTCAATGGAAGTATTAAAGCACTTAAATGTGTAAACTGTTTCAAAAAATTGTATAAAAATAACTGGATATTTGTATGTAAGGAGAAATGAACTCTGGTTTTTATCTCACAACAAATACATCCATTAAATAAAAATGGATAATAGACCAAAATGTAAAAATTAAAATCCCAAAAATTCTAAAAGAAAACTTAAAAAAATTTGCAATGTTTATATAGAAAAATAATTTGCCTGCTTAATGTGGCAACTATAGGCTAGAAATAGAGGGATGGAGGAAAATCTACCAATCAAATACGAAAGAGCAGGGGTTGCAATCTGAATTTCAGACAAAACATACTTTAAACAACAAAAATCAAACAGACAAAGAAGGGCGTTCAATAATTGTAAAAGGTTCAATTCAACAAGAAGATGTAACTATCATAAATATATAAGCACCCAAAACAGGAGCACCTGACTCATAAAGCAAGTTCTTAAAGACCTTGAAAGAGACTTAAACTACAACACGATAATAGTGGGAGACTTCAACATTCCAATGACAGTATTAGACAGCTCATTGACGCAGAAAATTAAAATGGATATTCAGAACCTAAATTTAAGACTTGACCAAATGGATCTGATAGACATCTACTGAACTCTCCAACCCAAAACAACAGAATATACATCTGCACATGGCACATACACTAAAATCAACCACACAATTGGACACAAAACAATCCTCAGCAAATACAAAATAATACAGAAAAAATGCCATCCACATTCAGGAACCACAGTGCAATAAAAATACAATTTAATATGAAAAATATCTCTCAAAACCCTCAATTTATAAGGAAACTAAACAACCTGTTTTTGAATGACTTTTGGGAAAATAATGAAATTAAGTCAGAAATCAGGAAGTTCTTTGAAACTAATGAGAACAAAGATACAATAAACCAGAAACTCTGGGGCACAGATAACAGAGTGTTAACAGGAAACTTTATAGCACAATAGACCACTAGCTAGACTAATGAAAAGGAAAAGAGAGAAGATCCAAATAAACACAATGAGAAATGACAAAAGGGATATTACCACTAACCCCACAAAAATATAGTAACCGTCAGAGACTATTATGAAAACTTGCATGCACAGAAACTAAAAAATGTAGAATAAATGGGTAAATTCTTGGACAAATACACCTTTCCAAGACTGAACCAGGAAGAAATTGAATCCCTGAAAAGACCAATAATGAGCTTTGAAACTGAATCAGTAATAAACAGCCTACAAAGCAAAAAAAGCCCAGGACCAGATGGATTCACAGATGGATTGTACAACCAAAGTCTACCAGTTGTAAAAAGAAGAGTTGCTACCATTCCTACTAAACTATTTCAAAAAAATTAAGCAGGAGGGACTCCTCCACAATTTATTCTATGAGGCCATTATTATCCTAATCCCAAAACCTGGCAGAGGCACACATGAAAAAGAAAACTTCCGGTCAATATTCGTGATGAACATTGATAAAAAAAAATCCTCAAAAAATATTAACAAATGGAATTCACCAGCACAACAAAAAGCTAACCCACCATGATGGAGTTGGTTTTATTGCTGAGATGCAAGTTTGCTTCAATATTCACAAATTAATAAATGTGATTTGTCATATAAACAGAACTAAAGACAAAAACCACATGATTATCTCCATAGATGCAGAAAAGCCTTTAGATAAAATTCAACACCTCTTTATGTTAAAAGTTCTCAATAAACTAGATATTGAAGGAACATGCCTCACAATAATAAATCATCTATGACAAACCCACAACCAAAATGGTATAAAGCTGGCAATATTCTCCCTGAAATCCGACACAAGAAAGGATGCCTTCTATCACTACATCATTCAAAATAATATTGGAAGTTTTGGCCAGAGCAATAAGGCAAGAGAAATAAATAAAGAGCATTGAAATAAAAAGAGAGAAGGTCAAACTATCCTTGTGTGCAGATGACATGATTCCGTATCTAGAAAATCCCATAGTCTTGGTTCAAAAGATCCTTAAGCTGATAAACAACTTTAGCAAAGTCTGAGAATACAAAAACAATGTACAAAAAACAGTAGTGTTCCTATACACCAACAACAGTGAACCCAAGAGCCAAATCAAAAACACAATTCCAGTCAAAATTGCCACAAAAAGAATAAAATACCCAGGAATACAGTTAACCAGGGAGCTGGAAAATCTCTCCAATGAGAATTACAAAATGCTGCTCAGAGAAATCAGAGATGACACAAACTAATGGAAAAACATTCCATGCCTCTGGAGAGGAAGAATTAATATTATTAAAATGACCATAGTGGTCAAAGCAATTTAGAGATTCAATGTTATTCCTGTCAAACTACCAATGACATTCTTCACAGAACTAGAAAAAACTATATTAAAATTCATATGGAGCCAAAAAAGAACCCAAATTGCCAAGGCAATCCTAAGCAAAAAGAACAAAGCTGGAGATATCACACTATCTGGCTTCAAACTATACTACAGGGCTACAGTAGCCAAAAAAGCATGATACTGGTACAAAAGCAGATACATAGATGAATGGAAAAGATAGAGAGCCTGGAAATAAGGCCACACATCTACAACCATCTGATCTTTGACAAAGCTGACAAAAACAAGCAATGGGGAAAGGACTCTCTATCTACTAAATGGTGCTGAGATAACTGCCTAACCATATGCATAAGATTGAAACTGGACTCCTTCTTTAGACTATAGACAAAAATAAACTCTAAATAGATTAAAGACGTAAACTCAAAATAGATTAAAGAGTTAAATGTAAAACCCCAAACTGTAAAAACCCTGGAAGACAACCTAGTGATACCATTCTGGACATAAGAACTGGCAAAGATTTTATGGCAAAGATGCCAAAAGCAATTGCAACAAAAATAAAAAGTGATGTATGGAATCCAATTAAAATAAAGAGCTTAAGTGTAGGAAAAGAAACTATCAACAGAGTATGCAGACAACTTATAGCATGGGAGAAAATTTCTGCAAACTATGCATCTGACAAAAGTCTAATATCCAGCATCTATAAGGAATTTAAACAAATTTACAAGGGAAAAATATCCCATTAAAAAGCCAGCAGAAGACATGAACAGACGCTTTTTAAAAGAAGACATACATGTGGCCAATGAGCATATGAAAAAAGGATTAGTATCACTGATTATTAGAGAAATGCAAATCAAAATTACACTGAGGCACCATCTCACACCAGTCAGAATGACTGTAATTAAAAAGTCAAAAAAACCCAACAGATATTGGCAAGGTTGCAGAGAAAAGGGAATGCTTATACACTATTGTTGGGAGTGAAAATTAGTTTACCTGTTGTGGAAAGCCATGTGATGATTCCTGGAAGAGCTAAAAACAGAACTACCATTTGAGCCAGCAATCCCATTACTTGGTATATACTAAAAGGAATACACATCATTCTATCATAAAGCCACATGTACATGAATATTCATTGAAGCATTATTCATAATAGCAAAGACATGGAATCAATCTAAATTTCCATCAGTGGAAGACTGGATATAGCACATGTGGTACATATACACCATGGAATTCTATGCAGCCATAAAAAAGAACAAGATCATGCACTTTGTAGGAACATGGATGGAGCTAGAGTCCATTATCCTAAGTGAACTAATGCAGGTACAGAAAACCAAATACTGCATATTTTCACTTATAAGCAGGAGCTAAATGATGAGAACACATGGACACAAAGAGGGGAACAGCAGTCATTGGGGACTACAGGAGGGTGGAGGGCAGGAGGAGGGAGAAGATTCGAGAAACTAACGATTGAGTGCTAGGCTTAGTACTTGGGTGATGACATAATCTGTAAATAAAAGCCCCATGAAATGAGTTTACATAAATAACAAAACTGCACATGTGCCCCTGAACCTAAAATAAGAGTTTATTAAGTAAGTAAAGAAACAAGAAGATAAATAAATCTTAGTTATAACATGCAAAAAATAAATAAATAAAAGAAAGCAATATAAATTATACTTGATTAAAAAATAGAGCTTTTTCCTCAAATACGTGATTGTTGTAACAGAATAGGAGAAAGTGTTTGTAATATGCATGACTGATAAAGGACTTATGTTGATAATATAAAAAAATTACAACTCAATAATAAGAAGATAAATTAATTAAAAATTGATAAAAGATATAAACAAACAGTTCACTGAATTATATACTCAAAAGCCAATAATCACATGACAATAATCATATGACAAATTAAGCATTTCTAGTCATCAAGAAAAAGCAATTCAAAACCCAATTGATATATTAATGAATATTCATTAAAATGGATACAAATAAAATATGGACAATATAAAGTGTTATGAGAATATTGAACAACTGTAACTCTCATATACAGTCTCTATGGAAAATATTTTTGGCAGCTGCTCACAAAAGTAAGCATGTATTTACCTTACATATATATATACACACACACGGTTCATGCAAAGGAAATGAAAGCATGTGTGTACACAAAGGATTGTACATGGATGTTCATAGTAGCTTTACTCAAGATAGCCCCCAAACTGTATATAAACCAGGTGGTCTCCAATAGGGGAATTAATAACACATTGTAATATGTCTATAATAAATGGAATATTAAAAATAAATTAAAAGGAAAGAGCTATGGATAAATACAGTAACATCTACTAAACTAAAAATTATGCTGAATGAAAGAAGATTACATACTGTATTTTTTCACTCAAATAAAATTTAGAAATTACAAATTCTGTTATAGTAAGAGAAACAAATGAGTGTTTTTTGCAGGCCAGTAATAATTTGAGGCATGCCTGCAAATGCTCATAAAGAACTTTTTAAATTTCTTGGAACTCTTCTGTGTTGAGTGTGGCAGTGGATATACATTTTTTAAATAATCAAATAATGTAGCATAAAAATACTACTTATTGCAAAGGAATTATTACCAATTAAAGTTGATAAAAATAAATATAATGCAAAAGAAGTCACTCTTACTTCCAGATCTTGGTTTCCAGACCTACATATTCTAGCTATAAGGAAAAGAGCAACATCTATTGATTCTAGGCTCAAATTATATATTAGTTCCTATAAGATATGACTCTAGGATTTTTCTATCCTCTCTATATTCTTCAAGTAAATTTTCAGTAGGCCATTACATTGTTTCATCAGGAAAGTTGAGTACCCAAGGAGAAGTCCAATACTGGCCTTCTTTTGGTATAAAATGCATTCATTTTTTAAAGCAATTTTGTGTTGGATAGTGAGTATGTAGGCATCCCATAAGTCCACAGATGGTGAAGCTGCCAGCAACAGTTTGGACAGAAAAATCAAATCCATTGTTTGAATACTTGTCTATTCCAGTAGAAATAAATTGTTGTCTCTCTATAATGGAAGGATTCCAATGTAATCAACCTGACACTAGATGGATAGCTGCTTCCCCCAAGAGAACAATATAAGTGTGTCACCATTGGTTTATACTGTTGGAAGTGGGCCTTTTAGCATTGTTAATGACCAGACCAGTCACAGGTACAATCCATATTTGTGATTTTAAGCACAGCTTCCATTCCTACTCTATCTCTACTTATATGTTTCCCTTGAGAAAATACAGGGTGGCTGGGGAAGGAAGCTGATAGACATCCAGGAAAAAATCATGTTGTCCATTTGATACTCCTCTGCAGTGGATGCCTTTGGATGAGGATTCATACAAGGAGCAAATAATTACCATCTTTTGACATTTTGAGAGGTCCATCTACATAATTTTTCTCCAGAGGTTTTTGTCATATGAGTTCTAGTCTTGTTCCATGTGCTCTCGGTCATCCAGTAAAGCGGTTGGCTACTGCTTATAATTTAGAATAGTTCCAAAACTCTGGTTACATTTCATTGTGGGCAATGTGGGAAAATGTACTGCTAGATGTTTTGCTCACTGGAAACATTTCGCATTGCTGCTTTATCACAGAGACACCCCTGATTGGGATTGTAATAATATCAGTAGGAGTAACTAGCAAGAGAATGCAATTAGAGGTAGGAATTAGGAATGAAGCTAAAGCTATTTCTATTTGCAAAGATAGAGAACTTAAAAAAATGGAAAATGTCCTGAAAACAATAGCATGATATAAAATTAGCATACAGAAAACAGTCTACTCAAATATAACCAATTAAATACATAATAAAATAAAATACAATAACAGCAGCTAAACATTTAAAATACCTAGGGACAAATTTAACAAAAAAAGTGCAAAACTGTATAAGATGTAATGCGATAAATGTGACTAATTCAGGCTAATAATTGTGGACAGATGTCAAAAGAGTCACTTCCAGAAAAAAAGAAGGAATTCTTCATTTCTGGTGCACTCATATTTAGAATCTCTTAGTCAATTGAAATTTCTCAGAGGAAAAATGCAATTAATAGTGTGGCATTGAGAAAATCCTTTGAATTGAAAAGCATTGCTCAATTGGTAGCCATCTCTATTATTTGATCTGATGCTCACAGGACAGTTTCTGTACAAATTTTGTTAATAGAATTGTCTGTAATGATGAAATTGTACTATCCTGCATTGTCTAATATGGTAGCAACTAGTTTGTGTGGCTATTGAGTTCTTGTAATGTGGCTAGTGTGACCAAGGAACTAAAATTTTAATTTAATTTAATTTAATTTATATAATTTAAAAGCAAATGTAAATAGCCACATGTGGCTAGTGGCTACCATATTGGATTATAAGGGGCTAGACTTAAGACATGAACTAACTAGCATTGTGATGAGATTAAAAGCATAATGGCTCTTAAAGGCTATCTTATCAAAGGCCCAAATGAGCCCTTTATATACTTTTTGGCAACTCTAACTCTCCATTTTGTGAACAAAATATTGACTGAGAAATCACTGGATAGAGTAGAGATTGGCATGTTTTCTAAATTTCTTGTGCCTTGATAATCTTCTGTGTTCTAGTATACTTTAAAAATGGCTACAAAACTTTGCCACAACTCACATCATGTGGTAAATCTGTTTTCTTTCCCTTATTGACTCTGGTCTTAAGCATGTGACTTGCCTTGTCTGATGAGATGCTACTAAACATACTATAAAGCTTAAAAAGAACTTGTGCAATGGGGTCTGTCCTTTTACCAGTCTTGGAAGTCTTCAGCTGTGAATCAGTTTCACCATGCACTGGTTACCAACTTGCTTGAGCCTAGAAGGGGGAATACCCACATACACAAATTACATGAGGTGGATATGTTAACTTACAGATAGTTAGCAAAAAACAACAGAACCCTAGAATGTATGGTGAGCCAGTCTCCCGAGCCTCACGAAAGCCTCCTGGAGCAGATGGAGTCTCAGCTGTGAGTGTCCCGCTTGTATCACAGCTGAGGAACCCCAGAAAGCAGTCCACCCTGTGTTTCTTATCCCAGGGCAATGTGGCTTCTGAGCTAAAGCACTGAAGAACATCCTGTTTCTATGAGAGCTTTGGAACAGAGCCAAGTTATTTCAGCCAGCCCCCCCTTATCTTAAGACATTTCATTCCCAGCCCATTTTACAGTTAACCTTGAAAACTACAAATGAGAAAGTAAGAACTGGGTTGCTCCAAGGCCACCCAGGGAACTGTACTGCATTCAACCAACCTGTGAACCATTCTGTGCCAGCCTAGTGGAGAATCAGGGACCATGTGGAGTAAGACCCCAGTTATTTTAGCTGTCTCGGACAAGACCATCACAATTTATTCAGTTCCAGCTGAAAAAGTCCTGAAAACAATAGCATGATATAAAATTAGCATACAGAAAACAGTCTACCCAAATATAACCAATTAAATACATCTGACTTCTCACAAGTAAACTAGCCAAGTTCAGTTGAGCTGGCTCAGAAGAACCATGAAGCTGACTCCTGAACAGATTGCCAAACCATTAAATTGTAAGCTAAGTAAATGATTGTCATTTAAGCTTCTATGTTTAGAGGTGGTCTGTTATGCAGCAAAAGTAACTAATAAAAATATTTTATTATTTATCTGACTCTTTAAACAGATTTTCATTTCTTTCTCCTACCTAATGGCTTTGGTGGGGAATTCCAGAACCATATTGAATAAAAGCGGTGAAATTGGGCATCCTTGTTTTGCTCCAGACCTTAAAGGAAAAGTTTTCAACTTCTCCCCATTCAATATGATGTGGGCTGTGGGTTTGTTATATATGGTCTTTACTGGACTGAGGCACCTTTTTTCTATACCTAACCAGCTCAGAGTTTTTATTATGAAAGGATGTTGAGCTATATATAATTTTTTTGTGTTTATTGAGATGATCATATGGTTTTTTACCTTAATTCTGTTGATGTGATATATTACATTTATTGATTTCCATATGTTGAACCAGCTTTGCAACCCAGGGATAAATCTCACTTGATCATAGTGATGATGTATTTAATGTGCTGATGGGTTAAATTTGATAGCATTTCATTGAATATTTTTGTATTAATGTTAATCAAGAATATTAGCCTGTAGTTTCCCATTTTTATGTATCAGGGTGATGCTGACCTTGTAGAAGGAGTTTAGAATAATTCCTCCTTTTTCAATCTTCTGGAAGATTTTGAGAAGAATTCATATTATTTCTTCTTCAAATGTTTGGTAGAAATCTGCAGCAAAGCCATCAGGTACTGGGCTTTTCTTTGAAGGGAGAATTTTTATTAAAAATTGAATCTTGTTACTGGTAATTGGTCTGTTTAGGTTTTCTATTTCTTCTTAGTAAGTTGTATATGTCTAGAAATATATCAGTTACAATTATGTTTGATAATTTGTTGGTGTATAGGTCTCTGCAATAATTTCTAACAATCCTTTGCATATCTGTGGTATCAGTTGTAATGTCTCCTGGTACAAAAGCAAAACAAAAGAAATGGGATTATATCACTCTGAAAAGCTTCTGCACACACAACAAAGAGAATAATCATCAGAGTGTAAAGACATCTGCAGACAGAAAGAAATTATCTACAAACTATTCATCTGACAAAGGATTAATATCCAGAATACAGAAGGAACTCAAACAACTCAACAGCAAAGAAAACACAAAAGCAAATAACCTGATATAAAAATGGGTAAATTAAGTGAATAGATATCTCTTTAAAAATACATACAAATGGCCAATGGGTATATAAAAAATGTTCGACATCAGTAATAATCAGAAAAATACAAATTAAAGCCAAAAATAGATATCATCTCATCCTAGTTAAAATTGCTATTATCAAAAAGACAAAAATTAAAAAATGCTGGTGAATATGCAGAAAAAGGGAGCTCTTCTACGCTGTTGGTGGCAGTGAAGACAGTATGGAGATTCCTCAAAAATCTAAAAAAAAAGAACTAAAAAAACCCTTAGTTTTTAGTTTTTAAACACAAACTAAAATATATTAATAGAACCATACAATCCAGTAATGCCACAACTGAGTATATATCCAAAGGAAAGGAAATCAGCATGTTGAAGAGATATCTGCACTCCCATGTTTATTACACTATTTGCAATAGCCAAGATATAAAATCAACATAAGTGCCCATCAACAGATGAATGGATAAAGAAAATGTGGTATATTCACCCAAGAGAATACTGTTCAGCCAATAAAAAGAACCAAATTTTATCATCCATAACAACATGGATGAACTTGGAGGACATTATGCTAAGCAAAATAAGCCAGATACAGAAAAATAAATACCACATGTTATCTTTCAAGTGTGGAAGCAAAAAAGTCTAATCTCAGAGAAATAGAGAGTAGAATAGTGGTTACTACAGGTGAAGAGGGTGGTCAGGGGGAGTCTGGAGGGTTACACAAAAGTTGATTAAGAGATATAAAATTACAGCTAGATAAGAGGAATAAGTTCTAATGTTGTATAGCATTATAGCATGACTGTAATTAACAATAATTTACTGTATATTTTCAAATAGCCAGAAGGACAGTTTTTAAATGCCGACCACATAAATAAAGGATAAGTGTTTGAGGTAATTAATATACTAATTGGTCTGATTAGATCATTACACATTATATATATGTATCAAAATATCACACTCATTCCGTAAGTATGTATGATTATTACATATCACTTAAAATTAAATAATAAAAGTAAAAAAGGAGGATTTCAGAAACTTGGTGAATTAATAGAATTTCTCATGCCCTGAAGTGAATTACCGCTATTGATTTACGAACTAGGTTGCATCTTCTGATATAACTTCTACTCCTCCAAGACTTTGAAAAGCTTTTAGGTTGAGAATGAACAGCTAAGAAAATGAAGCAAGCAGAGAGGCGGGATCATGGTTTCTGATCTTTAACCTCAGAAATTTTGGCCATTGGATATAATACATACAGTCACAAGGGAAAAATTAATAGTTTATATTCCTTTGGGTGTTTATCTGAACATAAATTCACAAAGGTATTTAGTCCTTAAATTTCAATTAGCATGAGAATTTGAAAATAAAAAGTGATTAACATTTAAAATGCTGAAAGTGTTATATTATTATTGGAGGTTCTATTCATTGGAAAATCATAATGGTGTCAGTTAACTTACTTTCAACCTACTTGTATGCTATTTTGGACATAATTAGGGAAGGGAAGTTGAATACATTCTCAGCCAGGTATGGTGGCATGCACCTGTAGTCCCAGCTATGCAAAAGTCTGAGGTGGGAGAATCTCTTGAGCCCAGGAGTCTGAGGCTGCAGTGTGCCACAGTGACATCTGTGAATAGTATAGACACTGCCCTCCAGCCTGGGCAACAGAGAGACCCCATCTCGTTAAAAAAGTACATTTTCAGCATTAGTCATAGGATGTATTTGTAGTTATTATAATTAGTGTATTTTCCAAGATACTTCAGAGCCTTCTGAGGGCTCTATTTCCCACTACAGATCACAGAAGCAACCTAACAGAGCATTAGTTCATAACAGAAAAACACCCTCAGGGTGCTGTGGCTGCCTTTCCCCAGGGGTGCTCATCTCATGAGGAGACCTGCTTAGGACACCATTGCCTGTGACCGTGAGCTAATCTTCCTAGTTTGGGAGTTGAGTTAAAAGGCTTATTATCACTTTTTTTTGCCTGCAATTTAGTCATTATCAACAATAAATTTAATCTTTTGACCTCCTCCTCACCTCCTCACATTTAATTCCCATAATATCCATTTGTTTCAGAACTTGGTGTATTAATTCTGTTAAGCTAAGACCAAACAATGCGCGCGCGCGCACACACACACACACACACACACACACATCACCTCATCCTACATATTCAAAGCAAGTTAGCGAGTATCAGTTCTTCATATCAGGACTCATGAAACTCCACGATGGGATCATGTAACTGCATCATCTGGAAATCAAAGGTTCTTCAATCACCATGGCAGGTCAAGAAACAGCTTGGAAACCAAGCACTAGAAATGTCATGGTTCAGCTTTAAAGTTACACAGATGATTTCCACTCACATTTTATCAGCCAGAAGAGTCACAGGGCCATACCTAACTTCAAAGTAGTGGGAGACATTCACAACGTCATTCACAAGGGCTCCCTTCTTTAAAACACTTTTTTTCCTCCTGCATCTTCTGTAAATTTTGCTAAACTTCAAAGTATATAGCAACCACTGACTGCAGGGAGAGGAGTCTGTGGAAACAAGATAAGGTAGTGTCTTCGTTGCTGTCTTCCACTGCCAGTGACACCAATCAGCTGAAGCTGTATTATGTGCTGAGACCAGCTGCCAACATTCAGTTCAAATGTGGAACACTGGTATTAATATATAGGTGAGGGTGGGTTAAAAAGCAGTCTCCAGATCTCCTGAATGTGTGACTTTGTTCAGCTAGAAACTTTTTTGGGGTGGCTAGCGTGGCCATGCCTGCACCTTCCTCTTTGACCTCAGAAAAAACCTAGGGCTCCATGAAGCCTGCCTTCATTTCACTGGGGGAACTTTATAATCTCGGTAGTGCAAGGTTGGTGGGGGTGGTGGGCCATCTTGGTATCCGTCCTCTGCCTACTTGCTGTGCTGTCTGTCATCTTTCTGTGTCTCCTCTTCTATGCCCCAGCAGTTCTAGGTGTAGCCTTTGGATGCCAGGGCTCATTAAACTCCAAAAGGAAATGTGTGTTTTTCTCTTTCTTAGAAATTACACTGCTTGAAGAGTCCCTCATCACCAAAAACCCTTGCTTTTCCAGAACTGTTTTGTATAATTGTTGACACAATATCGGATGAATTCTGAGGAATTTGGTATTTTTGTTTTAATTTTTTGCAATTGCTTGCATGAATTATTGCACTATGTTGTTCAGTTATCTGCTTTAGTCACTAAACTTCATGAGGTTAAAAAGATTTCTTATTGCTGGTAAACATAACAAAATTCAATATATCCTTCTAAGAATGACATTAGAATAGAAATATTTTTAACAACTGGAAATGATTGTATTATACTGTAAATTTATTTCATCCAGTTGTTTAAAATGATGATTGTGTGTCTCAGTGCATTGTCAGTGTTAATGTAAGACTCAAAATTCATTTTTAGGAAGTAGCAAAAACATAGGACTAGAGCTTTCAGATTGCATCATTAACATATAATATTTATATTTTAAAGCAACAAAATCATCATTGTAAGAAATCTTGAAGCATCAAATCACTATGTGTATCTGTAATTTAACGGACATTAAGTTGTTAAATATATTTATAAGCTAATAGAAAAATGTGTGGCAGCCTTTACACATTTAATTATACAGAACTGGTACAATATTTTGAGAACCAAAATAGTGTCACATAAGTTAAAATCTTACAAAAAAAAATAGAAAAGCTAAAGTGGCAATGGATAAAGTAGGAGAGAGAGGTGAGGAGAAAAAGAGGCAAGAAATAAAGACAGAGAGAGAGGGAAAGAGAGACTGGAGAAAGGAAGAGGGAGGGAGAGCAAAGGAGTATATGTAGAAAGAGAAAAAATAGTTTTGTTTTATTACATACAGTATCCTGATTAAGGGATTGGATCCATTATCATCACTTTACCAAAGAGGTTTAGGGAAGTAATTCTGTTTGCTCCACTTGGTGTTTATTAAAGAGGTAAAAAAGTGATCACACACTACTGTCAGCAAAAATTTAATTGTAGTAAAGCAGTGAAGCTTAAAAGCATTCATTTTCCTTGGCTAAATTATCTTCAAACTTGCAAGGGAAATAATCTGAGAGTTTGGTCGGAAGTCTTTGAATGACTGTGAAATAGAGGCCATTTGATTTGTCACAGAGACAGTTCTCATCTTGAATATGATTGCATTTCTTTATGTTTTGATCAGTAAATCTTGAAACCAGTCCATGTTTCAAAGACCTGTAAAGCTGAGCTTTTGGTGACTATAAATCAGATATGTAGGGTATGGTTCTCATACCATCATTGCCAGTGTGATTTAAAAATATCTGAAATATTCTAGTCTACCTTTCTACATAAATAGAAGACATAAAAATCTTTCATGAAGCCTCAACAGAAAACAGAAAGAGACATGTGCTTCCCTGTTTCTGATCCCTGCCTCTGTTCCATTTCTTCACAAACACACAAATCCACAAACACACGAAACAGATAGACTCAAGTACACACATATGAGAGAATAATGTTCTTTCTGATTCAATCAAAATCTGGACACAAATTAAATAGGCTACCTAAGCAAGGGTGACTCTTCAGTTAGTTGATTTTTGTTAATTAACAAACTAGGTCATTTAAGCTAATTTTCCAGGTAACAGTGTAGGTTTCCTAAGAGGATTTCAACTTAGTACGACAAACAAGGATGGCATGAAAAAAAAAAAACCAGAATTTATTATTTTAAAGTTTTGGATACTAGAAGTCCAAATTCAAAGTGTCAGGAGAGTCATGACCTCAGAGACGCTGCTAGAAGTGTACAGAATAGTGGAAGAATAGAATTATTCTTGCCCTTCCCTTGTTTTCAGTGGTAGTTGCTAATCTAATGTGTTCATTACTGAGCTTGTAGCTGCATCACTCCAAATTCGGCTTCTGTTATCACATAGCATTCTCACCTTACGTGACTATTCATGTTGTCTTCCTTCTGTGCATGTCTTTTGTCTCTCTTCTTTTTCTTTTTTTTTTTTTTTCCTTTTTTTGTTTTTTTGGAGACTGAGTTTTGCTCTTGTTGCCCAGGCTGTAGTGCAGTGGTGCGATCTGAGCTCACCACAGCAACCGCCTCCTGGGTTCAAGTGATTCTCCTGCCTCAGCCTCCCGAGTAGATGGGATTACAGGTGCATGCCACCATGCCCGGCTAAATTGTTGTAGTTTTAGGAGAGATGGGGTTTCATCATGTTGGCCAGGCTGGTCTCGAATTCCTGACCTCAGGTGAGCCACCCACCTCAGCCTCCCAAAGTGCTGGGATTATGGGCGTGAGCCACCACACCCAGCCGTCTCTCTTTTTTTTTCAAGGACACCAGTCATATGGGATTTAGTGCTTACCACACTCCAGTGTGGCCTCATCTTAAGTAATTACATTTGCAGCAACCCCATTTCTAAATGAGGTCATATTCTCAGGTTCTGAGGGTTAGGGCTTCTACATATCTTTCTGGAGGATACAGCACACTCAATTCCTAATAGCAACTGAAGCTTCTTCTTAAACAAAAAAGAAAATACTCTTATTTCAGTTATCATATTATAAAGTGTTCTGAATCCTATTGGAAACTTTCAACCTCTTTTTTGATATTTGTTGTAATGACTATTAAAAATAGCATAAATTTAACATAGAAATTTAAAAATATATTACAAAAAGTCTGGGCACGGTGGCTCATGCCTGTAGTCCCAGCATTTTGGGAGGCCGAGGCAGGAGGATCACCTGAGGTCAGGAGTTCAAGACCAACCTGGTCAACATGGTGAAACTCCATCTCTACTAAAATAATACAAACATTAGCAGGTATGGTGGCAGGCGCCTGCAATCCCAGCTACTTGGATGGCTGAGGCAGGAAAATCACTTGAACCTGGGAGGTGAAAGTTGCAGTGAGCTGAGATCGCACCATTGCACTACAGCCTGTACAACAAGAGTGAAACTCTGTCTCAAAAAAAATGAATAAATGAATAAAAAAATTAAAAAAGTATAATGAAAATAATCACGCATAAAGACTTGTTAATTATAATATTCATATATTTGTATTTATGTAAAAACATTTTTTATTATGCATACACAATAATATATTTTATGGTTGTGCAGCATTCAATCCATCCAGTTGTATTCATAATATACACCGACCAGCTGTAAGGTCTTATATTTAGAGTTCTTATTATAAATGCGTATCTATTTTTTCAAATATGACTTACTTTAAGCACTTTTGTAGTCTCTTTGAGACTAAGATATTTGTCTACATTTTACAGCATTTCTGTTTTTCTCTCTCATGGCTTTTCTTCTCTTTCTCTGATACCTAGCTTAGATTATATATTTATTTCAGTTTTACATTGTCGTTTCTATTCAGGACTGTGTACGTGCTGTCCATCCTCTCTTCCTGTAGCAGTTTCCCAAACTTTTCATATAACTACTTCTTTCAGGCCTCTACGTAACATTACTTTGTAGACAAGGCTTTCCCGCCTCCTTGAAATATGGTGTCTCAGTACCTGTATTGTAATAAAACCTATCACACAAATGTTTCTCATTTTATTTTTTGTTTTTAATACTGTAGAGGTAAGGCCTGTGACTTTTCTATCTACCCAGCATTCCCCAGCACTCATAATGTATTTGCTCAATAAATGTTCCTAGATAGTCCCTATTTTGGGAATTTCACTGTCATCTTTTCCCTTTCCAAGTCTGAATCCTAGAAGTCTACTTTATTACACTCCTTCTCCCTTAAGTGAAATATACATGTATACACACACACACATATATATACACACACATATATGTGTGTATAAATATATGTGTATGTAAATATGTGTGTATATGTGTGTGTGTATATATTTATATATCGTTTTTGCCTCTTTAATATGTCTTCCATATCTCATTTGTCTTTCTTTTGAGACAAGGTCTTGCTCTGTTGTACAAGCTGGAATGCAATTGCAAGATCTCAGCTAACTGTAGCTGCTGCCTCCAGGTCTCAAGCAATCCTTCCACCTCAGCCTCCAGAGTAGCTGGGACTATAGGCATGCCCCACAAGGCCTGGGTAATTTTTCTGTTTTTCCTTTTTCTTTTCTTTTTTATTTTATAGAGACAGGGTCTCTCTGTGTTGCCCAGGCTGATCTTGAACTCCTGGGCTCAAGAGATCCACCCACCTGGTCCTCCCAAAGTGCTAGGATTATAGGGGTGAGCCACCCCGCTCAGACCAATATCTCCGCTTCTTCACAGCCCTCTCACCACCTTAAGCCTTATTATCACAATCTCTTACTTGATCTATGACAGTACTCTGTAAATGATACACACTTTTCACACCTTTCCTGTTGTAACCCATTCTCAATTTTCTCAGGAGATACTTTAAAAATATTATTTAAATCATGTAATTCTATTGTTTAAAACCTTCAATGGCTTTAATGGCTTCTACTGCTTTTGCGATAAAGAGAAAAATCCTTCACGTTACCCATAGGTTTTGACTATAGCTACTGGGTTTCTGTCCAGGCAAAAGTCATTATTTCCCTCTTTGTTCCTACTTCAGGTATATGGATCTTCTTTGAGATCTCCAAAATTTTCATGTTGTCTTCTGACTTAACGAATTTACACACGTTGTTTTCTATAGAACAAATAATTCTGCCTGTTTTAATTCTCCATTCATACCTAATTCCAACTCATCCTTAACATATTGATTCTAAGGTCATGATTCAGGAAAACCTTCTGTAACTTTTCAGACTCTATCAGAGTCCAGTATTTTTGCTTTTAAAATATATTGCTATATTATAATACTGTTTATAGCATTAATTATATGTTTTCATATATACATATATATGCTTAATTTACTGTTAGCTTTGCCTCATAATATTCAAATGTAAGAAATGTAAAATTATTTTTCTAGAGCAAAAAATACAATGCTTCTATTTCCTACTGAGGCTTTTAGAGAATACCTCCAAGAAAGTACAAAGTTTGGATGAGATACTGAATTTCCAGATGCGCTCAAAGGCATCACTCACTGACAGCCACTTCTGACCAGAGACTGGGACAGAAATGAATACCTTTCCTGGTGTGCCCAAGGCCTTGGTATTAAGTAACTATCTATCTTCCACCTGTCTCTACAGTTATCCACCATGGAATGAGCAGTGCTAGACACAGATGCATTGGTCCTTACATATGGGAAAATGTGAAACTCACTTACCTTTTCTGGTCATAGGAAAGAAATTAATCATCCGTCTTGCCAGTTAAGTGTCATTATCTCATCTCCCAGAGCCAGACTTGCTTACTTCTCTCCCTGAGCCATTTTAGAACAGAGTTTGGCAGTGAAGTATGTGTGTTTGGAGATGGGGGGAAAGGGGAGACATTTGTTGACTTCTGGGAATCTTATGTCTTGTGATTTCAACTGTGCAAAATAAAATCTATTGTTTCTCTTCATCAAGGAACCCAGAAAAATAATATCAGGATTGTGTTTGTATCTTAGAGCACAGTAGTAAAAGTATTTCTTATTTAAAAATAAAATCCTTTGGGAATGTGTTTTTTATATCACTTGTTTTTGATTCACAATATACAAACGCTCATGGAAAAAAAAAGCAATACAAAGGGTCAAACCAGTAAAAATACACTCTTTTCCCTCATAGACTTAGTTTTTCTCCCCAAATGCAGCCTCAATACTAATTGTTTGTGTAGCTTTCAAAGACACAAGAATTCCCATTATCAGGATAGACATTTTTTTAATACAGTGACCTTTACAGAGAACTTTTCATATTAGGATCACATTCTTTATTATCTTGTCATTCTGTCCAGTCAAGCATTATCATTGTCATTTCCCCTCATTCCTGTTGCTACCATTTTCTGAGCCTTTTGAGAATGCTGCAATATAAAACATTTATCAGTTTCTCAACTATCCTCATTTCCTGCGTAGAATTCAGCATTCTTTGTTCTGTTAATTCTGTTACCACTTGACCATCTGTTTTCCAGCTCCCAATATTTCATTGATTTGTTACATGTTCCTCTGTCCTGCTTGCCTCCTTAATTTTATGCTTCTCTTTCTTTTTAATTATGTTTTCCTTAGTCGTTTTAGTGAAATTTTAGAGGGAGTGAAATTATATGCACATATTAAACTCACAGCTTGAACCTGGAATCTCTTCTTTCTTTTAATCTCATGAAGAAGGAGAATCAGTAATTTCCCTATAAATGAACAGACAGTAAATAATTTAGCCTTTGCCAGACAATGAGACTCTGTCACAACTCCTCATGTCTGCCTTTGGGCTTTGAAAGCAGCCATAGACAATGCATCAATGAATGAGCACAGTTGTGTTCCAACAAAACTTTATTTACAAAAGCAAGTGTTGTGCTAGATTTGATCAGCAAGCCATAAAGATTTCCCTGTACTGTAGCTTTAAGAACTAATCATTAATTATCTCAACAAATATTTTCCCCCACATCTTTCTTCCTTAATAGACATTAAACTCTATGAAAACAGGGACTCTAATTTCTCTGTCTCTCTTTCCCTCTCTCTCTTCATACACACATGCTCTCTCTCTCCCTCTCTCTCTCTCTCTCACACACACACACAAACACACACAGAGACACAAGGTTAGTATTTGGAAACATCAGAATGCATACTATGTAATCTTCATATGTTATTATTTCCATCCAGCTCTTATGTGGATGTTATTCCTTTGCCCATTTTGAAAACCAATTTAATTTAGTAATTGAATCTTTGCTGAACAGATGAGAAACTTTAGGAAGCAAGAGGATGAGTAACCACTTTCTAAATTGAGAACCTCTTTCCCCCTGTGGCAGTATGTATTTTCCTATCTCTATGAGGTTGGTACATAAAGATACACTAGGAAGAATGAGAGCTGAAATTTCTTATCTGAGCAGACCTTTTGCAAGATAGCATTGCACTATCTAGGGCTGATGTAAGTTTACAGCTAACCCATTCTCTTGTGAGTGCTTTCATAGTGTTATTTAGAGGATGTCCCACTGAGACCTTCTGACAACCCCAGGAATGAAAGGCAATTGCTCCTGGCTTATGCCATATTGTTGGTGAGCACAGAGCCTCTAACTGATGAGTCTTTATAGGAAAGTGGTTTTCTGCGTCACTATATGACATCTCAGCATTGCTGTTTAAGTGATAAATCTTTGTCTGAAACCTCATTTTGGCCTTTATTTTTCTACTTGTAGTGTTAGTTGAAATTTTAACTTAATTACCATTGCATGTGCATACCTATGCATACCCTCCCCAGTATATATCCACACTCACCCTTGCAGCAAAAGCCAAGCTAACAAAACACCTGATTTACAGTCAAACTTTTGTTTTATCCTAGTGTCCTAATATTTTTCAGATGTTTTCAGTTTTTGAATAATCTTTTTATTTTGTTCTGGGCTTAAATAATTTGCTCTGGTTTGTACTCTACCTTTCACATAATGTATTGCATGTAAACATTCTCTCCTTCCCTTCACTCAAGCAGGCTCCAGAGTCCGAGGATTTTCAGTGGCAGAATAGGGAGTGGTTCAGTCTTACATATTTTATCTCTTTTTCTAATATCTGGTTCTTCCGAGGTCAGATTTGACTAAGGGGAAGTAAAAACCATAGTAGCATGACTGTACTCAGCTGGCGCTATTTGCAACTCTCGTTTGGCTATGAGCATGCACTGTAATGACAGGTACCCACATGCTACATGTATTACTATTTTCAGGAGTTTTAGAGTCTCACCATTCCCACAACTCATCCCATATGCTTTTTTTTTTTTTTTTTTTTTTTTTGCAAGGACTTTTGGTCTCTTTATCCCATCAGTTCTCTTCCAGGGTCTCCCCATCTTGTTAGGTGGATGTCTTCACCCAGCTATGTCAAAGCTTGTCTTCTCAGCCCAAGAGACAACTCAGGTATCACTGCCAAGCTACAGTCTGTAAATGCTGGCTGCTCCTACTACCACCGCTCTCTCCTGTTCCTACTATTATGGGCTGTTTCAGATGGCATCCAACACTCAGGTTTCTCTTGACACAAAGCACCCACTTCTATCTCGGCAGTCCGACCCCAGAAAACTCCTGGAACAAATATCATATCATGCTTTCCCCCAAATTATTTTGACTCCTGGTGGGAGCATTTGGTGAGCTTATGATAATCTCCAGCTCAGCAAGTGTCAACCAGGAAAGAAGCCAGATGTCCCCATATGTGTAAGTAACATCCTTGACACCTGCTTTCAGGGTCCATAGAGCAGAAGAAGGACCTCAACAACAGAAGCATAAAGCCATGGGTCTGTCTACTCCCCTGAACTCTCCTCCAAGGTCATGGTGTGTCTACTAAGAAATCTTCTAGAAGCGCAAAATGGGATTGACTGGTACAATTTTGTCATCTTTAAATAAACACAGTGGCAGTGTCTGTCACCTCTCTTTAGAATGAACAGAGTACGTTCACTCATTGTCTTCAACTTTTAGAGGTATGAAAGAAACTGTGAACTGACAGGGAAAGACACATTTTGTCACTTATTACATACATTTCCACACTGCCTTTTGTTTTTTGATGATCTTATATAATAACTATACAATATATATAATATAATAAATGTGTATTTATATATTGTACATATAAATATATTATATAATATATACATATATACATATGTATATAAAAATACATATACCTATATATACATATATATAATATATATATATAAAATCTATAATACAGCTGTAGCCATATTTGTCACATTTCATCTTCAAGGGATTTAGTCTTTTTCTCATTCCTGTACATCGAATCTCAATGATATTTAATTCAGTTTAAAAAATGAAAGATTATTGACTCGGCACAGTGGCTCATGTCTGTAATCCCTGCACTTTGGGAGGCCGAGCCAGGAGGTTCACTTGAGGCCAGGAGTTTGAGACAAGCCTGGCCAAATCAGTGAAACTCTGTCTCTACTAAAAAAAATATAAAAATGAGCCAGGCCTGGTGGTGGGTGGCCTGTATTCCCAGATACTTGGGAGACTGAGGCAGGAGAAGCGCATGAACCTGGGAAGCAGAGGCTGAAGGGAGCCGAGATTGTGCCACTGCACTCCAGCTTGGGTGACAAAGCAAGACCCCGTCTCAAAAAAGAAAAAAAGAGAGAGAGAGATTATTTCACATTATTTCTAATATAATTTTAACCTTTTAAAATTATTTCATATTGTAAGTTGAATAATTATTTACTAATTGCAGTAAATATCAACATTAACTTAATTCAATTGTTAAAATCATATTTTTGAGTTCTATTTTTGGAGTCATAAGCAAAATGCTTGATAAGTGTAGTCATATTTAATTTTACAACCAGGGCACGAAACCAGAACATCCAGTGAAACCCAAGAATCCAATTATATTAATTTTGCATACTGACATGATTTGGCTCTGTGGTCCCACCTCAACCTCATCTTGAATTTTAATATCCACATGTAAAGGGAGGGACCTAGTGGGAAGTGACTGGATCATGGGGGCAGTTTCCCTCATGCTGTTCTCGTGATAGTGAGTGAGTTCTCATGAGATATGATAGTTTTATAAGGGTCTCTGTCCTTCACATTCTCCATTTCGTGTGCTCCCATGTGCTTCTTTCCTTTCTGCCATGATTATAAGTTTCCTGAGGCCTCCCCAACCATGCAGAACTGTGAGTCAATTAAACCTCTTTCATTTATAAAATTATCAGTCTTGGGTTTCTTTATAGCAGTCTGAAAATGAACTAATACACATATGAACAACTAATAAGATGGAAAGTAAATTTTTGGGATTCAAACTTTTCTCCTTAAAATGCAGTTGATATAGGGAACTTATCTTCTAGGCTTTAATACTGTAGAGAATAATTGCAAGATCATTGAAGGATAACTCTGAGGCCAACTTGATTTTTGCCTCTTTAGGTATGCATTTATTTAATTATAATCTTGGATTCTTGTGAGATTTTCTTCAAATGAAAATTTTATCTACATGTGTAGATCTGAATGTGTTTTCACAATTTTTCAGAAATATAATGAGTCTTTAACAAAAAATAAATATAAAATAATAGAGGAAAATAACATAAAAATTCTAACATTGCAAATAAACCAAAAATGATAGTCTGCCTTGTACTATTTTGCAACTATTCCAACATTCTTGTCTATAATAGGCTTTCTAAACCTTGGCATCACTGAGATTTTGAACTGGTTGGTCATTTTTGTGCAGAGCACACTTGTGTGTTGTAAGATTTTTTTTTGCAGGATCCGCTGCCACCTAACCAATAGGTGCCATTAAGATCAATCCTTTCCTTCAAGACATGATAATAAAAAATGTCCCTAAACATTGCCACTGTCCCTTGACGGCAAAATTTTCTCCCCCAGTTGACAATCTTTGCTCTGAGCATAAAGATTTTATGTGCTTCGTGCTTCATTTTTTTAAGATGATAAAATGATTTTTTTAAATAACAAGAACATATACTTTTACCTCAATTTAGATACATCTTCTCCTACTTTCCATTACATCTTATTTTTATTGTGTTATTATTTTTAATAATAGTCTTACATTTATAGCTTCTATAATATAGGTGCCTTCCTTGATTCATTTCATGTAGTACCCATAACTCCTACATCCTCTTCACCTCTCCTCCATTTTACCTCCACAATTCTAAGATGTTCTATTATTTTTGTTTTTAACAGCATTCAGTGGTTTTAGTCGAGAGAATTATTTAAAAAATAAATTTCAAATGTCTTACAAATCACCATTCATATAACTGCTGTTGACATAAAGAAATGGCTATACATGATTCGAAATTCAAACAGTACAGAAAGGTACATAAAACAAAGTAAAAACCTTCATTTATACAATAGTTCAGTGTCTTTTCACAACAGAATCTGGTCACCTTGGATAGGAATTTGATATTGCAGAAACAAACAGATAATCGTGTACACATACAGAGTAAAATGCAATTGAATTTCTGTTGCTTGAAACAGAAATACCAATATTGAGGAGAAATGAATTATCTTTTTCATACTCCCTCAAGTGCTTAAATCCTAGTATATTACTATTTGTTTCATTTTTTGTCTGAGACATCCATGACTACCTCTGTGAGGTCAACAGCAGCCTACTTGGCAGCTGGTGCAGGCATAGAGCGGAGGGATTTATAAATAGGTTAGATCATTTCCTTATCACTCAGTCTGCATAGGGAACACCATGAGAAGGTAAAAGTATGAGTTTGTGGCAGGACTTGGTATGGTTGTAAGTCGAAGATATCAGATAATTTTCTGTAGGTTGTTCATTTTTGAGTTGCTTCAGGGTATGTCGATATTGATAAAAGGTCTGAAGTTACAGACTCCATCAGTATCCTCCAAGCCAAAACAGCAATCATTTCCTTAAAAGAGGACAACTATGTCCTGAAATTTTGAGTTTCTATTGTGATTCTTCTATTTGAGTGTGGCGACAGGATCCACAAAGCATCCTGAGAATCCACCAACCTCTTCAAGAAGTTTTGGATTTCCAGGGACCCCACAGTAGAATCACAGAGATAACTACTCTATACTTGACCAGCTGATAGCCATAACATGTTCTGGTCTTCACTCAAATCTGTGTCATTTGCTTTGCTTTCATTGCTAAGGCAATAATGCACGAAGTTGACTCAAAAGAGCATATCAAGTCTTATTCCGGTATTTTATTGGTGGGGTAACAAAGTAAATCAACTTGTCCTTTATTAAGACGAGAATAACTTGGTAGTGGCTTCACACTTACATAGCACCTTGCATCCCAAAATTTCATGGAGATAGTGGAGTCTGCTCTATTCATGGAACTGAGCTCTTGTTCTCTGGTGTATATGTGGAGTAACACTGTGTTTAGATTACTCGTTACTTTTCCCAGTAAAAACCGGCATGGTCCCTTCATAAAGGTGGCATTCTGTAAAACAGTAAGATATTTAGATCCCTAATCACTAAACTGAAATTTAGAAATAGAAGGCTGACTTATTCCAGAGGTAGAATTTGTCACAATATTAATCCTTCTGCTACCCTCAAAACCTCTGTATTTTTTAAAAATTCTACCAAGACCAGAAATCCTATATAAAGTGAGCATAAATTGAGTTCTCCAGAGCACTTCATCCAAGAAAGACCAATCAATAAAGAGCATTTCAAAATGCTGAGGCTTTTGTCACAAATCTACAGGTAAAATATTTGTTGAAAGATACTTCAGAGTACTTTAAAGAGATATTATTTGAGGGTGAATATACAGTATAACATAATGAATTCCTTACTTTCCTAATTCATTAGATTATTTTGCCTGCATTTTGTCAGAGATTATCTGGCACCTCAACTTATTTTAAGTAGGGTCAATAATTAGTCCCAGTTTTCATGAAACAGCTAAACTAAATGTGAACATAATATTCAGTTTTCAAGTAAGCATTCCAAATGTAGACATGCTCGTATATGAAACTATGTTAACACATTAACACCACTTTAAAATATATTTCTCTGGATTTTTGGTGGTGGTGGTTGGTATTGCTCACATATTCTCAGATTCCCTACATTTGTGTGACTATATTGAGGCTTTTTTGGTGTGAATGTCTTCTGCTTGTGAATTTTTTTTCTAGACTGCGTTTTACAATGAAGGCATGCTAGAATTTTATTGTAGCTCTTGACATGGTATCAGTGAGAGATGGGACACAAAGAGAATATTCGTTTCTTGTTTTGAGAAATTACCTTTATGAGAGACTACCCATTCAAACAAGAAAAGAACAGTGTAGTAAGGCTAAAAACACTGCTTCCCTTGGAGAAGTAGTTAAATTGGTGAAGAAACAGATATTCAAGAAACAATAGCAGTATTTATTTAAAGCACAGAATCAGAAAACCATGAGGCTGTTTAACTTGGTTGGGAAGATTACATGAATATGAGCAGACAGATATTAAACTGAAAATATGGATTTAGACTTGGTATTAGAGGATTTGAATAACTTTTGTTATTTTGGTTAGCAGACAAAGATTTTGAACAGAACTGTGCCTAGAATTATTATTTTAGGAAATTAATTTGACAAGAATACGTAGGATGAATTAGAAAAGTAAGAAAATGGAGACCGGGGCACAAATTAAGTAACTAAACAATATCCCTGGTGAGAAGCAATGAGGATACTACTGAAATAGTTGCAGAAGGAATGGAGAATAGAAGGTTAACACTAATCTCCGGTCTCTTGACTATTTATAGACAGGTGCAGTTATTAAGTATCTGCCCTTTAAATTCTGGGAGTAATACTTTATATTCATCCACTTAATATAGAATTAACCATAATGCTTTATTAAACTTAACATGGGATTAATAATTAAATATGTAGCTAAGATACTCATCTCGGTCAAGATAGGGCAAAGGAATAGGCAGAGTGGGTGAGGGGAAGCTTAGTAAGAGCTTCGCAAATGTGTGAGGACACTGGAATCATAAGGGGGATTTTTAAGAAGGAATAGTGAAGAGATCTGAATGTCACTGGAGAAAATGCAGACTTAGCAATTCTGAAGAGATTCTGTGACATATTCATATTTGCAAAAGATCTCCATGTGAGGCTGATGCACAGTCAAAGCTTCACCAATCTACAGCTAGATAGGCTAATGAGGAAGACTCACAAAGAAACGTACACCTAGAGCAGACTTCTGTGGCACTCTGCTTTTCCATGGATGATCTGTCTCCACAGGTTTATTCTGTTCTTATATGAGATTCTGTTCTGTAATATACACTCTGTTGCTCCTGACTCTGGCTAGAGCTTGAAAATCTGAACTTCATGTTTTTGTGTACATCTTGATAACCAGTCATATATTTCTGAACTGATGGACATTAACTTCATGGTAAAATGTCAATTTTACCCAAGATTCTTCTTTCTATCATCAGGAAATTCAGATTTAGTAAACTCGTATGGCCTTCTGTAAAGAAATTTCGATAAGATCGACACTGATGACTACCTCAATTGTGGTTAAATCAGGAAAGATGTGAGTCTCTTTAGAGTTTCACAAGCTAAATTAAATTTTTATGACAATGATTTTTTGCAAAAGTCCATTTACATATTTTTGTGTCCTTAGTGTAAAAGTATAGGTGTATCTCCTCTCTTTCCCTTCCTCTCTCTCTCTTCACCCGCTCACATCCTCTCCTTCGACACACACACACTTGCAGACCTTCTAAAGTTTATTTTATACACTGAAATAATTAATTCACCTCACATTGTCTAGCAATATCTTTCCAGAGAATGGTTTATATGTTTGGACTCACCATTAATCTCATCAGGTCAACTGATAGCAGAACTATTTTACTGGAAGAATTGCCAAAAGGTAAAATTTACCTTTTGTCTTCATTGAGATAAATTAAATTAATTCTCTACCTCACTTTTTTTTTTTCGGCTTGATCTTGGAAAAACTATTATTTTCTCTAATGCAAGAATTGCTAACCAGTGTTTGTGGACTGACTCTGTCAAGGAGATGTGTTTTTATTGGCTAGATAAATATTTAATAATGTTTAAGTTTGGAAGTTTTTAGATGCAGCATGAAATCTCCAATTTAACACAATTCCTATCACTTCATATTAGATTTCACTTGGATCTCCATGTACGTATGTTTCTTGACTTATCTTTAATGGAATTTGAGCTTGACAGACCTAATCTAAAACTAGGTTTACATATGAACTACAAAAAAGGCTAGTTATTTTAAATAAAAGTTATTATTATTTACATGCAGTGAAATGAGTCAGTTTTATGTGCACAGTGTAATGGGTTTGACAGATGAATGCATCTATATATTTATCACCACAATTAAGATACAAAGCATTTATATCACTGTGAAAAGTTTCCCTTATTGCCAATCTCTTCTTCACGGCCCTGGGCCCAAGTCAACAATCCTCTATTGTCTGTCTCTATAAATCAGTTATTCTGTTCTGGGATTTAATGTAAATGGTATCATAGAGTGAGTATTATTTTATTCCTAGTTTTTAAATAATCATCATTTTATAAGTTGCATCCACGTTGTTATGTTTATCAATAATAGTTTATTCTCTAATGCTTAGTAATGTTGCATCATCTGTTTTTAATTATTTACAAGTTGATGAGTGCTTTGTTTCTAATTTTTTGTTATTATGAATAAAACTGCTGTGAACATTTCCATCAGGTCTTTATGTTGACAGTGTATTTATTTTTCTTGGAAGCCACAAGAAGTAGTTTTTGTGTCTCTTTTATTTTCAAATGGTCCAAACTCTGTTATTTAAATTAATTTCACTCTTATAAGCATCTATTTAGCAACTATTAGGTACCAAGCACTCCAGTAGAATCTGTAAGTATACAAAATACTAAGTCCAAATTATTGACATAGGGAAATAAATCCAGGAGAATAATCCAACTTTTAAAAAAATTACCAAATGGTACACTATTTCCAAAAGAATATTTAAAGACTGTTATGGGGGGAGGAAACTTTCACAAAGGAAATGTCAATGTAGCTTACAAAATAATGTGAGAGATTCCAGTTAGTGTTGATGCAATGATGGAAAAAGTAGCACATTGTCTTTAGTGAACTGCAATAACATTGGTAGGCAAGGATATATACTCTAAGTGAAAAGCAGACAGGTATTAAGTTTAGACATGAAGCCAGACCTTTTGAATCTCATTTTGAAGCTGAGCTCTTAGAAAATATTTTACACATTAGAGTGAAAAGAAAATTAGAGTTTTGTTTCAAAGGGATTGTGCTGGTGGCAATAGAGCAGTGTGATCTGAAGGAAGTTGAAGTTAGGAGCCAAACTGTTGCAAGAATTGAGGCAGCAATGGGAAGTTTTGTTGACTGATTACATGTTCTAGAGAACAGACCAAGTCCTAAATTTCTGGTTGCATAACTGGTTACGTGGAGATGCTTTCAATGAATGTTTTAAAATATTAAATGATTGGTATACAGAGGCAAAATTACTTATCTTCTTCCATTCTCATAAGCGTTGAGAATCCTGTGAAACTTTTGGGTGATTATGTCAAATAGGAATTTGGTTGTCCTGATCTGAACCTCAGGAGAGGGCTCTAGACTGCAGAGGCAGATTTCAGATTAAGAAGACTGCTAAACGTGTGGACGTGAATGAGCTAATCCAACCAGTGGGTGTAAAATGATGGTAAAAATGATAATGAGAGAACCATGGTGAAACTGACCAGAAAGGCAGAAAGGGTGAATTGCAGTTGCAGATAAGAGATGGAAAAACAAGCAGAGAGGAATATGGTGAGCCATGAGCACTGGTGTAGAAGCCAAGATAAAGAAAGATTCAAGAAGAGGGAGAAGTCAGAATATTGTTGAATGTTGTTGTGCTCGTGATTTTGTTTTTAAATACAATAATCAGGAAATGATAACTTTCAGTACATGCTATTCCAAAATATAGCACCCTGGCACTTGAAAAAACAGCAGAAGAAACAAGGTCTCTCTGCTCTTCTCCTGTCCTTCTCTCCTGAAGCAGGCCCTAAAACACTTATCCGACCTTCCTCTGAAGTAGGTTATAAAATCTTCATGTGAGAGAAGAACCTATAACCAGAGAAAAAGGAATATATCTCCGAGGATACTAAGAAGTATCTGAACAAACAGGTTTTGCTAAGTTCCCCTCATTTATTACCATTAGATTGCAGCCCCTTCACCCAATCATACTTCTGCACAACTGCCCACACTTCATCAAACTTAGCATAAAAATATATAGGGTTTCCTGTTTCTTTCAGCCTTCATTTCTGAAGATGCAAAGCTTATGTTAAATAAATTTGTATGTCCCCTTTTGTCAATCTGTCATTTGTTATGGAAGTGTCAGCCATGAATCTTGTGAAGGGTAAGAAAAATCTATTACTTTTACTTACCTACAGAAGTAATTGTTGAATCTATAAAGAAGAGGCAAGAATGAGCTTCACTGAGATGTGAGAATCAGGCACTAAAGTGGAAATATTAAACAAAAACTTCCAATTTAAATAAGCTTATTTGTGACTTAAGAAAAGATAACCCCTAGCTTAACAAACAGGGCTGTGAACGGTCTTCAGAATGAGAGTGATTCGAATATGATTATATTGTGAAGAATAAATTGAATAAAAATAAGAGGAAACAATTAAACTAACATAAAAATGGGTTGCCATGTAGAGCAATTAGTGATATTAAACTTGGGTAGGAAGAAAGTCATCTCTTTTTCTTAGACCTGTGGTTCCCAAAATGTTCTCCAAACAGTAGCATCAGCACCTCCTTAGGAACTTTTAGAAAAGAAAAATGTCTAGCTCCTCCTCGGTTTATTGAATAAGAAACTCTGGGGTTGTGGGGTAACATTCTATTTTTTAAAATTGTCTCCAGGTAGAATATTGTTGCACAATAATGTTTGAGAACGCTGAATTGAGGGAAAAGGAAGGACAAAGTTTGTGAGATTATAGAGACTCCCATAGGGATAGGCTGACAGATATCATAAGCTCACAGAAATCATGCTTACCAGCCTCAATGACACCTGTGAATTTGACGATGAGGCCAGGGATAAAGAAGACATAAACATTTTGAGAAAATTGGTGAAATAATTCAACATTCACTCCCTCTAATGTGGGATGAATCAATCTGATGACTGGACATTAAAAATTAGTTTTAAGAGACTCTTGGTGTCTACTCTGACTTCAAAATAGCATAGTTCTTCACAGTTATGTGATTTTTTTCTAGAGCAGTTTTTAGTGACTTTGGGTAAGAGCAAAAACTGGGGGCTTTATCTTGGGGAAATATGACAAAAAAATACAGACAGTTTGAAATATAACACTAATGATTATGCCCTCTCTTCACAGTGCTCTAAATCTTGGTATCTTAAAAAACTGTGACAACTTTTGTAACCTTCAGTTTCATGAGATGGACTAATTAGTATGAGTGGTGAGGCCACATGGGATTTAGATTCTAGTTGTGAGACAGACTAGTTGTAAAGCATGTGATTTCCTTTAGTTAAATTGCTTGTAGCTGTAAGAACTCATGACAATACTTGTTATGGTACTGTGTTATCGCTCCACTCCAGAGCCCTGAATGTGTCTCCACTGAAATTGCAAGCAATAGAGTCTTATTTGCTTCATTAAATACTGTACCAGACTGGACTTCTTTGGGAGATATGTTTATTTCCTGCAGGAAAGGCTATGAAGATATAACTTTTGAAAGCCTTATACAATATTTAAGGGACTATGTATTAGAAAGTAGACAATAACTTCTTACCTCATTGCTGTGAAATTATTTGCATGCTTCCTTATTTAATGAGTCACTAGATTCAACTTGCCTTTCAAAATCAAAATATTCCTAGAGAGTTAACAAAAGAATTTCAATAATAAGCATTCTTCATTTTCTCTTGACATTGGTTCATGTAACAGCTTGGGGAACTTTTTCTCCTACACTTTACTAGGCAAAAAAAGTTATAAATATGAATTTTATGTAAGCAAAGTTCAAAAATAGCTAAATCTTATTACTATGCATAACTAGATTAGAGGACTCCTGAAAACACACTTTTTTGTATTCAAATTCTACTTTCACTGTTGTTATTGATGCCGTTTTCACAGCTGGTCTTTCAAATTCAGGGAAAAAATGAATAACTGAAGTAGTTTAGTTGATAAATTGTGCCTATTCCACTCATTTTATTCAATCAAGAAAATATTTAGTGACAAGATGACGGCTGGTTAGTAGAATGTCAATTCATCTAAAATAAGTGAATTAAGCTGCATGTATTTAGAGCCCATGTTGGATTTCTTCATTTTCCAAACTGACATTTAATTGACATTTCCAGCATGAAAGGTAATGATTTTTTATAACAATCATATTATGATGATGATTGCTTCCACATTCAATGTGTTTCAATTTACACATGAGCAATATGAGAGTGTCCTTAGTAAATTACAGCCTCTCCACATCTGAGGTAGTTTCAGGGTCTCAATTATTCACAAAGAACTTATCAGCTAGTGAGAAAATAGGGCTCATTTTCAAATATCTATATTTAGATCACCCAAGGATAGTGGCCATCAAAAAAAAGAGAAAGAAAATAACAAAGTTACTTATGCATATGTAAACAATAAACACACACTGTAGAATATGATTAAGTAAATAACTGATCCTGAAGGACGAGAGGAAAGTTAAGAGAAAGGCAAACAGGTAGTTTGCTAGTATAGTAAGCTTAAAACAGTTAATGCTTCCAAGGAGTTATTTTTCCAATGAATCTTAAAAATTCTTTTCACTTATTTATTTATTTTCAATTTAACTTTCTTTTCCAAATCTTAGTTTGATTCTGGAAGTAAAATGAAGCAAAGGGAAACACCATGCTAACAGTTTCAAAAAACTCGGAGAAATAATGCTACTTAACAAAAATCTTACAATAGATTTTCATTGTCACAAATTATTCAATCGTATAGGAAAAACATAATATTGCACAAATACAGCAGAAAGCAATAACATTCTTTTGTGTTTTCTTACTTTGCTTTTATTCATAGTTGCTGAGAAAAATAATAATCTATTAAATCCATACACTTTGCAGCATTATATGAGTTTGATTTTATACTTTTTATTTTAGCCAAAATATTTAATATCTTTATAATTATTTTTTCTTGCTTGAGAAAAAAAGTTACACAGTTACTAGAACATATATAGCATATATGATATAATTTACCTCCAAATGTTTTACAATAGATTAAATTCTAGTCATCAACATCATTATGAGATGTTATTACATTCCAGGCTCTTTGCTAGGCACTAAGGTTATGAAAGTTAATTAAATGGTGTGGCTTACAAAGTTTTCATAGAAGTGTGGGTGATAAGCATATAAAGTATGGATGACATCAAGTCTAAGAGGCTTATTAATATGGATGGATAGAAAGGAAGGGGGGTGGTTCTGAAGGAGCTGAAAACTTTAAGAAAAAGCTTATAGGAAGTTGATATTAATTTCCATTTTCCCTCAGAATAAATTATATATTTAAAAAATGTTTGATGAATCCTTTCATGATCTACAAATCACAATTATTTTTGCAATTTCTTCCTTCATTATTTTTCAATAGTATTAATTGTATATAATGTATATACATTTGTATGCCCATGCATACATATACACATATATGTATACATTATGAATCTATACATTTTGCATCAGATGCCATCATTTTGTCTCAGATACTATCATTTTGTGTTAGGTATTATGCAAGGAACTAAAAATAGCGAATAAGGCAAAATTTTCTTCTGGATGAACCTTTTATCGAGTTACTAGCGTTCAACTGGAAATGAATACATGCCATGGGATATGCAAAACATTTAAATATGGTGTAGAAAGAAATGTTACAACTTTTATTTGCAAATGTTTTATATTAAAAAGGAGGAAATCGAGGGTACATACTGAGATCAGTGTCCCCATGTAAGCCCTAGTCCAAGTGACACTTCTCATGTTCTCTGCCTCTATTACCTGGAGCCAATAGAAATCCTCATGGACAATTAACTTTGGTGCCATTATTCTGTTGAATGCTCAAGTGTATGTGTGCCCAGTTAAATCAAACCTTGGATCATTTTTGCTCAAACTTAGCTATTAAACCAACACAAAGTTTAAAATGCCTTACATAGATTTTAGTTAAGGAACTGTGATTTGATGACACTATTTATAAAGCAAACACAAGTGAAATAACATAAGTTTGACAGAACTGACCTTTTTCCTATTGCATAAATACTCTTGTCACCAGCCACAGAGTTCATCTGTCCCTTCATGGTAGAGGAGATTCTGTAACAATAAAAGAGAAGGGAACTGTTTTACAAAAGCAAATTGTGCTAAAAAGAGAACGTTATGTAAATAAATATTTAGACTTTTTGTTTTGGGTTGACTTTCATTATTGTCACATGTTGGCTTCTCAGCAGACACTGAGATGCTGAGTTTTAGGTATAAGATAGCTATTAGGAAACAACACCTTTGAAATGAAGCAGAAGAGGCATGATTGGGTGAAGAGAAATCAAACTGCGATTCAAAGCCTTGGCCAACTTACAGGGAGTTCTGGTGACTATTTCTCATCGGGATTATCTTACACCTGTACAATGGCAGAATCTCAATATTCTTGTGTCACTCAGTAATCAGATGCAGGCTGACCCAGAAGAGTGGAACCTTTGGTAAGGCAGCTTCCTGCAACTGACACAGACCCTAATGGCTCATAGTAGTTTTTAATTAATTTTTAAAAAGACATAATAATTTTCTATTTAGTTTGTGAGTTTGTTTTTGTTTTGTTTTTGTTTGTTCATTTGTTTGTTTGAGATGGAGTCTTGCTTTGCTGCCCAGGCTGGAGTGCAGTGGCAAAATCTAGGCTTACTGCAACCTCCACCTCCCAGGTTCAAGCCATTCTCCTGCCTCAACCTCCTGAATAACTGGGATTACAGGTGTGTGCAACCACGCCAGGCTAATTTTTTTGTACTTTATTTACTAGAGATGAGGTTTCACTATGTTGGCCAGGCTGGTCTCAAACTCCTGATCTCAAGCGATGCACCCACCTTGGACTCCCAAAGTCTTGGGTTTACAGGCGTGAGCCACCACACCCAGCCTAGTTTGTGGTGTATCTTAATTGATGAGAGTTAAAAATCTAGGGCCAACTGTAGGAAGCATATCATTCTTATCGGTGAAAACAGAATTGGCAATATACCTGAAATCCATGATAGCTATGAAAAGAATTGTATGACTGAAAAATCTGTGAAACCAGATTAATAGTTTATATGGTACTGAGAAAAGAAGTAGCCCAATCAGGGTACTCAAAATAAAAAGAACATGTTTTAAATATTATAGTCCATTTTATTCAACATAATATTTACACATTTCCTCATCCATTTGTCCTCAAAAGACTATTAAGGTTATAAGGCCAGAAACTAAATTTTATTAACACATATGTCCCAACATAACACGGTGCTTTACATACAGTATGTACTTCATAAATATACTTGGAACAAATTAAAACATGGGAATGAAGTACATTCACAAAATATGGAAGAAAAGACACATTTTGACTAATGTTTACTATTGAAATGTCACTAAAATGATACTGAAGGAAGAATAAAAAGCATAAATCCTCATGTACTAAGAAATATGAGATAACAAGAATATCAACAATTTTTGAAAACGCAAAGTAGGTTGATGCATAGAAATCAAACTAGAAAGTTCAAGAGTGAAAACTATGTGCCAGGTGGAAGAAATCAAGATTAAAAACTACTTTGATCAAGAGAAACCCAGAAAGACTCTGGAATTTGGAGTACCTAGCATGTTCACTGTAAGTACAGGTGGTGCTAAATTCATTATTATGATTTTAGGTCTCAGAGAAAACATTTGAAAGTCATCACTCCTGTCCTTAATACAAAAAAAGACAGAGGCCGAGGCGGGCAGATCACAAGGTCAGGAGATCGAGACCATCCTGGCTAACACTGTGAAACCCCGTCTCTACTAAAAATATAAAAAATTAGCTGGGCATGGTGCCGGGTGCCTGTAGTCCCAGCTACTCGGGAGGCTGAGGCAGGAGAATGGTGTGAACCCGGGAGGCAGAGGTTGCAGTGAGCCGAGAACACAGCACTGCACTCCAGCCTGGGTGACAGAGCAAGACTCCATTTCAAAAAAAAAAAAAAAAAAAAAAGAAAAGAAAAGCTAGACAAATTAAAAAGTGGTTACTTCTTTTCTTGGATTCATCATAGAACAGGTCATACAGCAAACTACCACTCTGAAATCTAGAAAGACAGTCTTACTTAAAGAAATGGAGCAACTGAGATCTGCTTATCTAGGGCCAAAGTTCCTGTAACTATAAACTGCTGGGTGCATGTAAATGGTAATTTAAATTAATTCTGGAGACTTGGTATGAACTGGCATGAATGAAAAATGCCTAGATTCTTATTTGTATCTTCATAGTTTCATAGGCTTCCCCTCCAGGAAGTCATAGGTTTTGATGGGATCCAAGAAAGATCACTTCTTCTCTCTGGCATAGGAAGAAGAGTGACTATTGTGAACAGTGCCTAGTGCCTTCTCCAGAATATATGAGTAATCTCCAGGGAAAAGGGCTTTACAAGAGAGCAATTCAGAAATTTTATCCTAGCTGGGAGAATGAATCTCCTCTTCACACAAAGCTTCTCCTGCTATTCTAGCTTACCTAAGGGGGGAAGGTTAAACAAAATTACAGACAATAAGGTTCCAGACTTCAAGAAAACAGAAATAGAACATTCTTACTGGAAAAAAATAGTATGGTACAGGGGAGGGGAAAGGGAGAGCATTGACAGAATACTTGTGAAATTAAGGGAACCAAAACAAAGGTCTCTAAAAGACTGGGACTTAAAAGAATATAGAATATTTCCCCTACCATACATCTCACCACCAAACCAACAAGGCTTCAATATAACAGTGAATTACATATTTTAAAAGATTAAAGAAACAAATTCTACAAGAAGAGTACATATGAAAACGCAAGAGAAAAAATAAAAATATGAACACTAGAAAGATCTTAAATCCTTACCTATATCTTTAACAAGCATTAAACAGAGCAAAATCTCTGGCTAAATTTACATACCTCATCACATTATGTGTCAAATTACTTCACTTCCTGTTGTCTTGTGCAGCATGTATGGATTTCAACAATAATATCTAAGGCATAAAGAAAAACAAGAGAAAAAAACAATTTGGGAAGACAACTCCATGATGAAAACAAGACTTAGATAAGACATAGCTGTTGAAATCATGAGACAAAATATTTAAAACAACTGAGATGAATGTTAAGGGCTGTATTAGAAAAATAGACAACATGCAATAACAGATGGATGACTTAAGCAGAGAGATGGAAAGTCTAAGGAAGAATAAAAAGAAAGTGATAGAAGTGAAAATCTCTAAGCAGAGATGAAGAATGCCTTCAATGGGCTCATCAGTAGCCTTGACAAGGCTTAAGAAAGAATCAGTTGGGTGCGGTGGCTCATGCCTGTAATCCCAGCACTTTGGGAGGCCAAGGCAGGTGGATTGCCTGAGCTCAGGAGTTTAAGACCAGCCTGGGCAACATGGTGAAACCACGTATCTACTAAAATACAAAAAAAAAAAAAAAAAAAAATTAGCCAGGCCTGATGGCGTGTGCCTGTAATCCCAGCTACTTGGGAGGCTGAGACAGGAAAATCGCTTGAGCCTGGGAGACAGAGGTCGCAGTGATCCGAGATCGCGCCACTGTACTCCAGCCTGGATGACAGAGCAAGACTCCATCAAAAAATAAAAAAATAAAAAAAAAAGGAGGCGAAGAAGAAAGAAAGAATCAGTGAGCCTGAAGATGTAATAGATCAATAAAAAAATTCCCAAAATGGTATGTAAAGGAAAAAATAAATAAAAATGTAAAAACCTAGGAGATTCAAGAATCATTACACAGTATCAAAAATGTATTATATGCATAATGAGAAGGGAGGAAGGAGAAAGGAGGAAAGAGAAGAAAGAAATAACAAAGCAGAAGAAACATTTGAAGTGAAAATGACCAAGAAATTTTTTAAGTTAATTTCTGAAACCAAACCACAGATCGAGAAAACTCAGAGAACAGCAAGTAGGATAAGTATGAAAAAAAAGATCATATCTTCACTGCAGAAAACTAAAGATAAAAGGAAAATCTTGAAAATATTCAGAGGTTATGCAATCATCCATCTACAGAGGAAGAAGGATAAGAATCACAGCTGGCTTATTGCCATAAAGTGTGTAAATAAGAACAGAGCATAGTGAACTATTCAAAGTGTTGAAATAAACAATTTCAGAAAATAGCATTCCAGGCAAATAAATTACCTTTCAAAAGGGAAGGACAAATCAATTTTCTGAGAAAAAACGTTTGATTGCTAGTGTATGTGTCCTAAAAAGAAAAGTAAAGAAAGAGATTATTCAGGCAGGACAAAAATAATATAGTCAGAAACTCAAATCTATATAAAGGAAGAGAGCTGACAAATATTAACAAAAGTAAAATAACATCTCTTCTTTTTCTTATTCTTAATTGATCTGAAGGATATATGTTTAGTTGAAGCAATAATGTTAACAACATATTGTGTGATTATGGCATGAAGATAAGTGACATGACTGACAGAAATATCACAGGGGAATATAGGGAAAAGAATACTAAAGTTTCTTATAATTCATGCACATTATTATTGTGTTTTTACTGTGTACTAAGATTTTTTTAATGTATACTATAAACTCTAAGGCAACCACTCATTTATTACAGAAGTATGATTGATGATACCAAAGAGAGGAAAGATAATCATATACAGTGTACATTTAAAGCTAGAGAAGGTAGTAAAAGAGGGAAAGAAAAAGAAACAAAAGACAAACACAACTAATAAGAGGCAGTTTAGAACAAGGTAGATAATAGACCAACTATATTAATAATCACTTTAAATGTACATATCCTAAATAGTCAAAAGAGACAGATTGTCAAACTAGGTAAAAAGAGAAACAAAAATGAGCCAAATATATGCTTTCTACAGGTGAACCACTTTGAATATAAAGACTTGGGTTAAAAGTAAGAGAATCCAGAAAGATATGCAATGCTAACACTAATAATAGGAAAGCTGAAGCAGCTATTTTTATTTAAGACATAGAAGATTACATAACAAGAAAAATTGTCAATGATAAAAACATTGTCATATAATAGGTTATTTAGATTTTTTTAAAATAAAAATATAAAGACTTATACACCTAAAAAATTGTCAATATTCATGAAAAAAACTGAAAAAACCAATATTAGACAAATCTATTAGAGAAGCAGACATCAACAACACTCTGTCAGTAATTTATAGATGAAACAGACAGAAAATCAGTAGGGATGTAGATGGGATAGATGCACTGTTAGTCAATTTTACATAATTGATATTTACTACTTCATGTAATGACAGTGAATATATAAATTTTTCAGACTGACATGAATTGCTCATCAAGATGGGCTCAATTATGATTCTTAGAGCACTCCTTAAACATTTACAAGAATGAAAGCTATGCTTAGTATATTCTCAAACTACATAGATTTAAACTAGAAATCAATTTGTAAATTAAGACAGCTGAAATTTCCTGAGAAACATTTGAAAAGTAAACAGTACAATGCTAAATAATCTACAGGTCAAAGAGAAGACCTTAAGATACTTTTAAAAAAGTTTACGATAAACAGAAATTTATTGACTCATGCTTTTAGAGGCTGGGAAGTCCAAGATTGAAGGGACAACACCTGGCAAAGGCCTTATTGAAACGTAATCCCACTGTGGAAGAGCAAGGATGCGGTGAGAAAGAAAACAAGAGAAGAGCTGAACTCATTCTTTTATAAAGAATCTGCTCCCACAATAATGGCATTAATCCATTTATGAGGTCTCATCACATTTCAAAATGACTAATACTGTTATAGTAGCAATTAGATTTTCTACACATGCTTTTTGGGGTACACATTCAAATTATAACACACATACTGAAGAAAAAGTAGTCTACTGACTGGTTTACCAGTGTTACCAAATGTGTAAAATTATTTGTAACCGTGAATCAAAGTATAATGATTTTAGAAAATGTTTCTGTATTTATTCTAGGAAAAAAGAGAGAGAGACAGACAGACAAATAAAAGAAAAAATGCATCTTGAAAGATTAGGACAACAAAGTTTTTGTGTGTGTTTTCCTTTATTTGAGAAAACTCCCCAGACCTGATAATTTCTTTTATTAAAGAAGGAAGAGCTACAAAGCATATGCTTTGGATGAACTATGTCAACTTCAAATGCAGCATTTGCCCATGATGCCACAAAGCTTATTTGTAAAGTAAATGAGGGGCCTCTCTTGTCACCAAATATTCATCATCTTTTTTGCCAATTGTAATTAATTCCTCATGGATGATTTTCCCTATCTCAATGGTTCAAAACGAAGGGCATTCTTTTCTTTTTTTCTTTTTAAATATCAATGAATACTTGCCAATGAAGTGACAGGTTTATAAGCTCTTTGTTTATTAATGAAGAATATATTGATCTCTTAAAAAGTTTAATTGGCACAGGACCTTGAATTAATAATTTTCATTTCAGTATTGTTCTTCATTTTAACACATTTAAAAACCTGGTATGAACTGCTTTCTCCTGTCTACTCACTGTGAAGATCACTTCTTGGGAGATTACCAAAACAACTAAAATGTTTTTCATGCAAATTGACTAAGGGAGTAATAACCACGTTTGTTCTATATTCAAAGAGTAAGAGTATGATTATATAAATTTCAGTAACTAAGATTATGAATCCAGCTAGCTCACCAGTGGACTTGATTAAAGTGATTCTTATGGATTGAATAGTATTTTATTTGGCAAGTGAGACAAAACAATAGATGAGTCAACTAAAATGTACTTCCTGACACTACTACTTCTTAATCAAACGTAATCGTTTGCAGAGTCATTATTCTGCAAGTGATATATTCCATGTAAGTTAATATTTAAACACAAAAATATTTCAATTGTCAAAATTTTTGACGTTTTAAAAAATAGTGTATTATGTTGACAGAGTACATAAAAGTTCTAGAAAAATTAAAGAACAGGGTACCACCAAGGACAAAAATATAATTAAAATTAAAATATAAATATAATTAAAATTGAAATTCTATTCTCCCCATATGTAACATATTTGTCTAACAGTTTCAGACATTTGATTGAATTAGGAGATGAAGTAGGAAGTAAAATTTAGCTATTTAATAAATATATGTATTAGGTATATGTCTTGGTAACAAATGAGTCTCTTTGGAATTCCTTAGCAATTGACATATTTTAATAAGTCTTAATAACAGTTATTGTAAAATCAGTTTTCTCTAATTTTTTTAATCCCTTAAAATGTATACTGTTGTGGGAAGTCAGGGACCCCAAACGGAGGGACAGGCTGAAGCCATGGCAGAAGAACGTGGATTGTGAAAATTTCATGGACATTTATTAGTTCCCCAAATTAATACTTTTATAATTTCTTATGCCTGTCTTTACTGCAATCTCTAAACATAAATCGTAAAGATTTCATGGACACTTATCACTTCCCCAACCAATACCCTTGTGATTTCCTATGCCTGTCTTTACTTTAATCTCTTAATCCTGTCAGCTGAGGAGGATGTATATCGCCTCAGGACTCTGTAATAATTGCATTACCTGCACAAATTGTACAGCATGTGTGTTTAAGCAATATGAAATCTAGGCACCTTGAAAAAGAACAGGATAACAGCAATTGTTCAGGGAATAAGAGAGATAACCTTAAACTCTGACCGCCGGTGAGCTGGGTGGAACAGAGCCATGTTTTTCTTCTTTCAAAAGCAAATGGGAGAAATATCGCTGAATTATTTTTCTCAGCAAGGAACATCCCTGGGAAAGAGAATATGAGCCTGGAGGTTTAGGCTTATAAACGGCCCCCCCAGGTGTGTCCGTGGCTTATGGTCGACACTGCAGGGGTGAAATAGACCACAGTCTCCCATAGCGTTCCCAGGCTTATTAGGAAGAGGAAATTCCCGCCTAATAAATTTTGGTCAGACGGGTTGATCTCAAAACACTGTCTCCTGATAAGATGTTATCAATGACAATGGTGCCTGAAACTTCATTAGCAATTTTAATTTTGCCCCGGTCCTGTAGTTCTGTGATCTCGCCCTGCCTCCACTTGCCTTGTGATATTCTATTACCTTGTAAAGTACTTGATGTCTGTGACCCACACCTATTCGCACACTCCCTCACCTTTGGAAAATCCCTAATAAAAACTTGCTGGTTTTTGTGGCTTGTGGGGCATCACGGAACCTACTGACATGTGATGTCTCCCCCGGATGCCCAGCTTTAAAATTTCTCTCTTTTGTACTCTGTCCCTTTATTTCTCAAGCTGGCCAATGCTTAAGGAAAATAGAAAAGAACCTATGTGAATACAGGGGCAGATTCCCTGATAGTATACCCTTAATTAATCTAATTTCTCTCCAGTTCACATGTCCTATAAAAGAGATGTCTGATTGTGCAGGAATAACACCTTCATAACTGCATAAACTTCATATCTCATCGTTAAAAATAATTTTATTTCTTCATAGAATATTTTGAGATAAAGGGAAAAAAACAATCATCTACAGTCTTACAACATGGAAACAATTACTATTAACATTTTGATATATTGCTTTTCAGATATTTTCCTAGGCATTGTTGTTTTGTAATCTTGTTTGCATTACAGAAAATATTATACAGAAATTAAGATTATGAGCTCAGGTTCAGAGAGAGGAGATTTAAACACAAACACAACCCCTCTTGTAGCTGAGTCTGTCCAAACTTCCTCCTCATATATATGTGAGACAGAGAGAGAGCTAGAAGTATAAAGATTTTGTCAGGGGTATGTATTTTTGAAAATATTTACTATGCGTTATCAAACTAATTAAGTAATTTCCTTCACCACCAGTTGCGGGTGAGTGACCGACTTTCTTCAGAATCTTATGCAGGTTAACGTCTTCATACTTTATTTGCATTTTAGTTGCATTGTGAAGCTATTCTTTAATACTAGATATGTATGACTTATAAAGTATTGGTTACCAGTTGTTTCATATGTGACAGATATCTCAAATAGTAGTATATATTTTCATACTGCTTAATTAGTCTTAGACAGAATTGTATAGTTTTGCATGGTCAAATGTATCCTTCTTCCCTTTAAGACATTTTTGTCTTTTTGGCGAATTCAAATTTTTCCACAATATTGGCCAGCATGGTGGTGCATGCCACCTGTAATCCCAGCTGCTGGGGAAGCTGAGTTGGGAGAATCCCTTGAACCCAGAAGGCAGAGATTGCAGTGAGCTGAGGTCGTGCAACTGCACTCCAGCTTTGCAACAATGAGACATTGTCTAAAAACAAAAACAAAAACAAAAAAAGTCACCAATTTGAGGTTATAATTTTGTCTGCTATATTTTCTACTGGTGTTTTCAAATTTTCCTTTCCTTGTTGTGGTGTCCTATTTATCTGCAGGTTATTTTCATGGTATAAGGTGCATATCTAATTTGTATTTTTTACATAAAAGCAATATTTTTCGTGCCCATTAGAGAGTACTTTCTTTACTTGTTTGTTAATTACTGTAATTGTATAATTCATTATAATTAGCAATAAAGATCTTCATTATCTTCAATCTTTCTCAGAATTTATTCTTCCAGATAAATTTTCAAGTGTCTTAGAAAATCCTACTCAGATTTTGACTGAAATATAATGGAATTGACAACTCTATTTGTAGAAGTAATATCTGTCTCCAAATAATAAGTCTTATTTTCTGTCTCTGTCAAGCTGAATAATGGCTCCCAAATACACCCAAATGCCAATCCCTGCAGCCAGTGAGTATTACCTTATCTGGCAAAAGAGACTTTACTGATATGATTAAGTCTGATATTGAAGGGGATATTATCTTGGATTACCCAGGCACAATGATCCTCATAAGAGGATGTAGGAGGAAAAGGTACTGTGAGGAAGAGCAGACATTGTAGTGATGTGGTTTAAAGATGGAAGAAGAGGCCACAAATCAAGGAATACAGGTGGCTACCAGAAGAGGAAAACATAAGGAAACAGATTCTCCCCTCAGAGTCTATAGAAGGAGCTTGTCTTTTTGGAGTGATTTTAGACTTCTGATCTCCAGAACTGTAAGATAATGTATTTGTGTTAGTTCGACTAACCAAGTTTGGGATTAATTTATTTTAACAATAATAAGAAACTGATACATTATCCTACAGTAATACTGGTGCTCTCTTTTCATTAGCTTTTGTTTGCCTTAGCTATTGAGTAGTTTTAAGTATTGGTTTATTTTATATATGTCAAGTAAACAGCTAAAGTTGAATTTAAAATTACCGATTGGAGGTGAATACAGTCCTTTTCAATGTATTGCAATTACTGATATTGCTTATTGATTTCTATTAGCATAGTTTGAGTATGTTTCTGTTTAAAAGTTCTGGTGTGCATGTTTGTTTGCCCTACACCTTCATTTGCATTGTAGTGATAAGATTTTCATCATTCCTATCTGTTGTCCTCTGCTTGTTTGAAAACTGTATATTGAACATGTTGTTTTTGTAAATACTCATACATTTTTAACATACAAAAATATATTTACTCACAAGCTCTATAGTTATTTATAACTCTTTCCTCCTTTCAGTGAAAAACTCAGTACAATTTAACTACACACCCCACAAGCCCTGCCTAGTTATAGCCTATTGCTTTTTCATGAACACTGTTTTCTGCATACCTCTCCTTCTTTTTGGGTTTAATTTTATTTTACTGAAAAACTTTTTTTAGTAGTTGACTTGCCATGGGTATATGTGCTGTAAATTGTCTTCACTTTTGATTGTCTGAAAATACAAGTTTACCCTTAATCTTGTCTATTCTTTAGCTGGATATAGAATTCTAGGTTGACAGTCATCTCACAATTACTAACCAAAGTGAAGACTTCTCACGGTTGCATGTTATTCTATGACATCTTGTTAGGGTCTTCTTTTACACAGTTTTTAATTTTTTTTCTCTTTTCAATATTCAGCTGTTTCCCTAGAAAATTAGTGTTTGTCTTTATTTTGATTTATTCTAATAGGCCCTCATTGAGTTTTTAGTCTTTCTTTAGTTCTGGAAAAGTCTTACTTATTGTCCCCTCAAACTTTGCTCCAAAATGCCCTTCAATCTTGACTTCTGGAATGATTTTATTGGCAGCAAACTATCTATTATTTTGTCTCTTTAGCTATTTGTGCAGTATTCTGAATAAAATAATCAACACTATCTTCCATTTAAAAAAATTTTTTTTCTGACTGAGTCATTTCTAGAATTTATCCCAAAGACTGTGATATCATTTTTAATATTCAGCAATTATAATTTTTACTTTGAACCTAATTGTTTCTTTTCTATAAATATGCTTTTGATTTATGTCTACTATTTTTATTTCACATTTTATCAATTTTATTTATGCTATATTTTATTATCATTTTAAGGAAACAAAACAACTTATTTTAATATATTCTTGAGTTCTCTATCATTTACACATATTTTGAAGCAAGTAATAACTGAGTCTTAGTCATCTTCTTCAAGCACAATTTAGTTGTATATTCATCTTGAATGTGAGAGTTCCCTTTCTCTCTTTCTTGCTCTCCATTTCTGTGTTAATGTTTTAACTATGGCCAACCACAACCTCATGCCAAGTTTTGTACATTCATTAATGCGAGTGAGATTTTCTGGTCTCAGATCACATATAATAATGTCAAAGTCCTTTTCCTAAACTACTGAAAACCTTAGCACAAGTCCTATTTTGTAGCTTCCTCCTTCTCCTTCTTCCATATCACTGACAGTTTTACAAAAGTGGCAGCTCCAGGAAGCTGTCAAAATTTGCCTCCACATTTTGAGGGGATAAAAGAAATTTCCTTAGATCCTGATATTAAATTATGAGCCTCGCTAAGCCCTCAGAGACCTAATGGGAGATTTGACCCTGGTTACCATTCTGGAATAAAACTCCTCCAAAGTTTTTGCTGAAAATTATGAAACTCACAAGATTATTCCTATGTAACATTATAAGGGTAGTTTTGGTTGGTTTGTCTTTCACTTTTGGACTACAGAGAAAGTTATAATCCATTGCGCATGGTTATCAATTTTATTATATTTTTAATATTTACTCACTGTTGCCACATATTATTTCAGAATTAAAGTATATACTTGTCATACTAACTTTATTAAAATGCAGTATATATGTCTGTACCCAACTGTTTTTTTTCAGTTTTGTGGTTATATTAAATTAGATTTCCTGATATTTAATTATTTAATTATAAGAGTATTCATTTTCTAATTTCTCTTGAAACTACTGCCAATTTTCTGCCTCAAATGTTTACCATTTCATTTTGTATTGCTGTTTCATTGCACTTTTTATTTTAACCTTAAAATAATCCAAAGGTCTCAAAAATATTTTAATACCATTTTTATTTGACATAGTCATAAAACCTGCTTTAATTCCTGAGATTTTAAAAACAAATCATGAGGGTAATATGTTTGTGTTTTATCCCATTCTCTAGAACTGTTGTGTTTATAAAACTCAACAAACAATTTATATTTTCTTTTGTCAGAATTAACACTGTATATTGAATTATATTTGAGTTGGAAAATGTGCAATAGAAAGAGCAGAACTCAAAATTCAGGGCTGAATGAGTCTTAGGTGTGATACAGATGACCTCAGCCTTCCTATATATTTCCGTATAAACCAACTGATAAATTAAGAAACCCAGAGCTCTCACATTTCTGTTTTTATAGGAACTGGGATTAGACACAGATATATAGATATTTTTAGGAAAAAGAAAGAAAGAAAGAAAAAATAAATAAGGGATATTATAAAAACCAAATTCATATTTCTCACATTATAAAAGTACCTATCCCAAACATATATGGAAAATTATTAGTTCATAGCAAATGAGAGGGGCAAGATACAGTATTATGAATTGGCTTGTTCTTGGTTAAGGGTTACTTCTTATTAGAATGTATTATTGACTTGGTTAATAAATAAAAACAAATTACATTTAGTGAGTCTGTTAACTTTGCAAATATAACAACCTAACTTGCTCTTTTTCACTATATTTACTAACTTTTTTTGGAAAAATGTCTTTAAAGCAAAAGCCTTCCTGAAATTTTTCCAAGACATGTAGTAATAAATAGCATAGGTGACTTAGAATCAAAGACATTTCACACTTCTTTTTTATGTATTCCATGATAATTGGTGAAACTTTGAATGTAATAATGAGCCTGACCATGTAGAAGCATGAAAGTGTCAATGTGTGCCTTAGTTCTACATAAAGAAATATACTAGGCACATGAGATGAGAAGAGGTACAATAGCAAAAATCTCATATTCATATGACACATGAAGGGTTGGTTCCACTGACTCAGGAAATTTGGATTCTGAGATTTATATGAGACCACCTGTTAGCAGCAAGGTGCTCTTTATAAGGGCATGCCTGCTTTTAGATCTCAGGATACAAATAATTTTTAAATAATGCACGTAGAATTAGAGAGTCCAAAAATCAACTTTGAGGAATTTTGTTTTTTTTCTTCCCTTTACAATAGAAGATATGTGGCTTAACAAAAACAATTATGATAATATAATTAACAGAAAGACAACAACAGAGAAAAGGTCTGGATATGAGTTCCTTTAATGCAAGTAAAAGCAAGGTGATTTGTGGGTGTAGGTAAAGGTAAAATGTTTTCTAAAACTCCTACCAACTAAGGACAAACTTCATTAGTATTGAAATCCCAGGAAAGCACCCAGCTATGAATAATAGTCCTATATTTTTCAAAGGGTAAACTTTACCATTCTGCTGTGATAGCAAGATGTTTACACCACTTTTATTTCTTCTAACACCCTTGGGGACTCTGGCTACCTGCCTGCTTGCCCACCAGTTGCAAATATTTCCAGAATATTCTTGAAGGAGTACTGTGATATGAGTAAATCACTCATTTGTACCATTTTTTAAGAGTCTCAGTTTTCTGGACTGCCTGAATTACATTTCTGTAGACAGGATTTCCATCAGTGAAGAAGCTATATTTTTGAAATCAGGTAAGTCTAGCACAAACCGGGTACAAAACAAGCATATGAGTCAGCAATTGAATTTTTAAGAAAAAGAAAATAAGTTTTAGATATCACTAAGTCAAAATATGTAATGTTTTCTCTTTTTTTGGATCTTTTGGATCACTTTTCTTCTTGAATTTCATTTTTTATGATAAAATCAGGTAGGAAAATATCTTTATCTTTGGAGATTACCTTGTTCTTTGAGGTGGTAGATTAAAAGAGTATATGAAAGAGTCTGCCGAGACCAGCTCGGTTGGGGAGACCCTAACCCAGAGGCACTAGAGGAATTAAAGACACACACACAGAAATATAGAGGTGTGAAGTGGGAAATCAGGGGTCTCACATCCTTCAGAGCTGAGAGCCTCAGACAGAGATTTACTCACGTATTTATTAACAGCAAGCCAGTCATTAGCATTGTTTTTACAGACACTAAATTAACTAAAAGTATCCCTTATGGGAAATGAAGGGATGGGCCAAATTAAAGGGATAGGTTGGGCTAGTTAACTGCAGCAGGAGCTGTCCTTAAGGCAGAGATCGCTCATGGTATTGCTTGTGGCTTAAGAATGCCTTTAAGGAGATTTTGGGCTGAGACAGTGGGGTTTTCTAGATATACAATCATGTCGTCTGCAAACAGGGACAATTTGACTTCCTCTTTTCCTAATTGAATACCCTTTATTTCCTTCTCCTGCCTAATTGCCCTGGCCAGAACTTCCAACACTATGTTGAATAGGAGTAGTGAGAGAGGGCATCCCTGTCTTGTGCCAGTTTTCAAAGGGAATGCTTCCAGTTTTTGCCCATTCAGTATGATATTGGCTGTGGGTTTGTCATAGATAGCTCTTATTATTTTGAAATACGTCCCATCAATACCTAATTTATTGAGAGTTTTTAGCATGAAGGGTTGTTGAATTTTGTCAAAGGCTTTTTCTGCATCTATTGAGATAATCATGTGGTTTTTGTCTTTGGCTCTGTTTATATGCTGGATTACATTTATTGATTTGCGTATATTGAACCAGCCTTGCATCCCAGGGATGAAGCCCACTTGATCATGGTGGATAAGCTTTTTGATGTGCTGCTGGATTCGTTTTGCCAGTATTTTATTGAGGATTTTTGCATCAATATTCATCAAGGATATTGGTCTAAAATTCTCTTTTTTGGTTGTGTCTCTGCCCGGCTTTGGTATCAGGATGATGCTGGCCTCATAAAATGAGTTAGGGAGGATTCCCTCTTTTTCTATTGATTGGAATAGTTTCAGAAGGAATGGTACCAGTTCCTCCTTGTACCTCTGGTAGAATTCAGCTGTGAATCCATCTGGTCCTGGACTCTTTTTGGTTGCATTACCATTCAGGACATAGGCATGGGCAAGGACTTCATGTCTAAAACACCAAAAGCAATGGCAACAAAAGACAAAATTGACAAATGGGATCTAATTAAACTAAAGAGCTTCTGCACAGCAAAAGAAACTACCATCAGAGTGAACCGGCAACCTAAAAAATGGGAGAAAATTTTCGCAACCTACTCATCTGACAAAGGGCTAATATCCAGAATCTACAATGAACTCAAACAAATTTACAAGAAAAAATCAAACAACCCCATCAAAAAGTGGGCAAAGGACATGAACAGACACTTCTCAAAAGAAGACATTTATGCAGCCAAAAAACACATGAAAAAATGCTCATCATCACTGGCCATCAGAGAAATGCAAATCAAAACCACAATGAGATACCACCTCACACCAGTTAGAATGGCAATCATTAAAAAGTCAGGAAACAACAGGTGCTGGAGAGGATGTGGAGAAATAGGAACACTTTTACCCTGTTGGTGGGGCTGTAAACTAGTTCAACCATTGTGGAAGTCAGTGTGGCGATTCCTCAGGGATCTAGAACTAGAAATACCATTTGACCCAGCAATCCCATTACTAGGTATATAACCAAAGGACTATAAATCATGCTGCTCTAAAGACACATGCACATGTATGTTTATTACGGCATTATTCACAATAGCAGACTTGGAACCAACCCAAATGTCCAACAATGATAGACTGGATTAAGAAAATGTGGCACATATACACCATGGAATACTATGCAGCCATAAAAAATGATGAGTTCATGTCCTTTGTAGGGACATGGATGAAATTGGAAATCATCATTCTCAGTAAACTATTGCAAGAACAAAAAACCAAACACCACATATTCTCACTCATAGGTGGGAATTGAACAATGAGATCACATGGACACAGAAAGGGGAATATCACACTCTGGGGACTGTGGTGGGGTGGGGGGAGGGGGGAGGGATAGCATTGGGAGATATACCTAATGCTAGATGACGAGTTAGTGGGTGCAGCACACCAGCATGGCACATGTATACATATGTAACTAACCTGCACATTGTGCACATGTACCCTAAAACTTAAAGTATAATAAAAAAAAAAAAAAAGAATGCCTTTAAGCGGTTTTCCGCCCTGGGCGGGCCAGGTGTTCCCTGCCCTCATTGCAGTAAACCCGCAACCTTCCAGCTTGGGTGTATGGCCGTCATGAACGTGTCACAGTGCTGCAGAGATTTTGTTTATGGCCAGTTTTGAGGCCAGTTTATGACCAGATTCTGGGGGGCTTCTTCCCAACAAAAGTCTGATCAGACTCTTTTCTTACCTAAGTTTTTCATATTAAAGGGCACAAATTGAGTTTACAAGTTCACATTTCAATCCCATTGCTCAGTGTATAACAGATTAGATCTGGGGGACAACAACTTAGATATCAACAGGTAATATGTTTTCTTGCACTGCCATTTTTTTCCTTCAGTATATATGGCAGTGAGTGACTAATTCAAGATTCAGTTCCTAGACCCTCTTCCTCCTATTTTTTCTCAAGCTTTACTGCAATAAATGGTACTATAATGATTTAAAAGAGTTAATATAGATTCCAAGTGTGTATTTTGCTCTTATCTATACTTTCACTGAGAAAACTGTCTAAGTTTTAATATTATTATTACTTAGGAACATTTTTTAGTAAACAAGTTGCACTAAAATGTTTATAACATAGTTCCAGACAATAACCTTGCTTCTTTTATATATCATTTTAGTTTATATAATAAGCATCAACTGAATGTCTATTTTGTATATATTTATAGAGATATTTAATTTATAGGGCTCAAGGAAAGTAACTGTGTCAGGCAATCTTCCAGAAAACTTAAAAATTAATTTACTTAATTATCATAACAACCTATAAGACAAAATTTATTATAAAGATGCTAAAAATGAGGTACAGAGAGACTAATTAACTCTCTCAAGGTAACAGAGCTAGTATGATAAGGAATTGGGAATTTGAACACAGGCAGTCTGAATCTAAAGTACTTGTTTTTCACTACTAGCCAGTGGAAGATGACTATTACACAGTTTTTATTTTTTCTGAGGAATATCATAATCTATTGAAGACACAGTTTAGGTAGGAGATTGTTTTTTAATGATAAATGTTTTGGTTTATCACTATGTTCACAATAACACTATTCATCATCTGTCTACCCATCCAAGAATCACAGTTTCTCAGAGCTCAATATTATCCTGGATAAATCTATAAAACCAAGTTTTTCAAAAGAGGAGTTCTGGGAGTGAATCTTCTTACTAGCTTCCATGTTTACTATTTACTTATCTTTTATAAACATAAATTCTTCAGGCTGCAGACTAAGTATCTCATTTGCTTTCAAAGGTTATAGAGCATATACATTAAAATAAATATTATTAAGTATTGATAGTTATCCTTATTTTCTGTCAATATTATCATATATCCTATTCTGCAATTGCATATTCATTCAATCTCCTATCTCATGAATCTCTTCTTAAATTAATTTTGAAGTTCAAATTAGGATAAAATTATTTAGTCCAGTTGTACTTAGTTAAGAATAAAAGAGAAAAATTACCCATAGTTTTCTGCATATTATGAAACTGTTTAGTGACCCCAATATTTGATTACTTTTAAGGCAACAAAAGGTTTTGTTATGCTTATTTGTACCATGGTAATTAGATACATTTGCAAATACTTGTACCTCTTGTAACTAGGGCTGATTGTTTTTAATTTCATAGATATGCAATCTGAGAGATTATTCTTCCAAAATTATACTTTCATCTGTACATCATTTGAACCACAGCTTTTGGAATTTTTAGCAAGCATGATTCTTTGTAACTAGCATTTTTTAATATAAGGCTTATTACAAAAAATATATAACAGTGAAGCCTTCAAAAAATGCATTAATAGTCTTATGATTTGATTTCTTCACAAAAAATAGATACTTGTGAATACTACACAAAATATAAGTTATAAAATTAGATATACTGAATTGATTAAGATAAAATCCACATTTTAGGTACAGAAATATTCTCCATTTTAACAAACTATAATTTTGCATTATAACTACTATAAGTCAACAGTGACTTTTTAGTATTTTATAAATCACAAAAATAGTATTAGCTTTGTAGTTTGTACAACTTGTTTAATTTTTCTAAATAAATTAAGATACTGTAGTACATGACCCTTAAGCTAATTATGTTTCATTTTATTAATGCCAATAAAGTAACAGGCCAATTGTATTTATTATAGTCTATGTCTATAATATCATTATACATGCATAAAATGTAACATCCTAAACCAGTTTTTAAATTTAAATTATTTTTAATAATACCAGCTTGTATGTAAACTATTCATACAGTTTGAGCAAATTAAGCATCATGCGGAATTTTGTGAGGTAATTTAAAACATCATCAAGCCACTCAATAATTCCACAATATGATCTTACCATATTTGAAACCAGGAAACAGAACTGAACTAAACTGAAATAGCAATGTTAAATATGATCTCTGAAATTACTTATCTTCAATATCCACTGAATGACATTTGATTTTTAAAATTTTCCTTCTGCTGACTATCACAATCTTCTAGAAAATATGTCTTTTGAGTTACTGCATACATTGCTGTTTTCTATCCTTCCTGATATTTCACTCGAAGCAAAACATAGGATTTAAAAAGTTTTGTCCACTTTCTCTATTTCAGCACTACTTTTGCTGTTGTGCCTTTGCAAATTCTGTTCTCTCCGAGTAAAATACTTTTTTCCTGTTTGACCTATGTCTTTCATACTGAGAAACATTATATTTACAGTTGCTGTGATGATTGTATGAATTAATATACAGAAAGTAATTAGAACAGTCCTGGAAATATATGAGACATATAAGTATCAAAGAAAATGAAAGAAAGAAAAAAATTAACTAATGTATCATTCTTTTTTGCTAGATGAGTTTGATGAACATTATTAGAGATATTATCTTACCACATGAAAATTGATAGACTTCCTCTCCATCTTCTCTGATAGACAGTGAGCTGGTAAAAAGCTGATACTATGTCTCATTCAGCTCCATATTATGAGTCCTTAATATTATGGCATCAGTGGCATTTGGAGTTCAGTGGCCTTCAAGTAGGATATAAAATTCAGTTGAAATATCTTAAATACTTTTCAACCAAATTGCTCAACTAAGATGTGCAATAGCAACAACAACAAAAGACAGGTTGAGAGAATAGTTAATACTTCCCAAAGGTATTATTGAACTTGATTCAATTTCATATCAAATTGGTTTTCTTCTGAATTGACCTATGATACACCAGAACACCTGGGATCCTGACTTATATATGTTATATATTATTGCTGAAAAGATCAGAAGATGTTAGCAAATTGGCCAATAAAGCATAGTTTGCTGACCCTAGATCAAATCAATAAAATTGTCTATACTAAAGGTTGAGAATTCACTGGAGTGTTAATTGACATATCTAATTCTCATTAAAGAAAATAAATGCTTAGTTTTCATTTGTCATGCAACATGGTAAAATAGAGTTTGGATTAAATCAATTTTTGATAAGTTTTTTTTCAAAATACATGAATAAGTGCTACTAAAATAAGAATTATGTTATCCTTTTGGACCCACCCGAGCCCAAGATCACCCCTGAAGATTCATGCTTCACCCCAGCCCACATTCAGGCTCCAGGAATGCCCTTGTAGAACCTAACAACAGACCAGCCCCTGTGGTTCCAAGCTCCAGGCCAACCACTATAGAACTAGTCTCTAAGTCCACTCCAGTGGTTGCTGGTGCCATTTTGGACACCATGGACCCAGACTTCAGGCCAAACTACCAAGGAGCTAGGAAGTACACAGTCACATGAGTACTCCAGAAGCACATCAACCCAGAATCTCTGAAAGCTATTGATGAAAGTCTTTCCCAATGAAAACTAATATCTAAGGACTGGAAGAGGTGACCACTTCCAATGTTCAGACACTAATCCAAGGCTACGAGGATCACCAAAGATCAGAGAAACATCATACCCCCAAAGGAACAAAAGAAATCACCAACAACTTACCCTAAATAAATGGAGATCTCCAAATTGCCTGACAAAAATTTCAAAAATTTCATCTTAAGGATGCCCAGTGAGTAACAAGAGAACACAAATAGACAAATAAACAATAACAGAGAAAGTGTCTTTTCCCCCTTTTGCTCACCACTTCTCTCTCATGCTGCCATGTGAAGAACATGTTTGCTTCCCCTTCTGCCATGATTCTGTAAGTTTCCTGAGGCCTCCCAAGCCATGTGGAACTCTGAGTCAATTAAACCACTTTCCTTTATAAATCGCCCAGTTTCAGGTATTTCTTCATAGCTGCATGAGAATGAACTAATACAATAAGGAAATGTTATGAAAGCCAAATAATTGGACAACCTAGAAGAAATGAATAAATTCCTGGAAACATGTGACCTACCAAAAAGGAATCAAGAAGAAACAGAAACCCTTAATAGACCAGCAACAAATGGAAATATTGAGTCAGTGATCAAAAATTTTCCAATAACACTAGAAAGCCCAGGCATAAACAGCTTCACATATCAGTCCTCCTAAATATGTTTTTAATTAATACCATTCATTCCTAAGCTGTTTCAAACAATAGAAGAGGGATCACTTAAAAACTCTTTTTATGATGCCAGCATAACCCTGAAAACATTTATAAACCATATATCTGGTAAATGGTTATTATACAAAATATATAGTTTGGCTACAACTCAATGGGAATAATAATAACAATAATAATAATAGCCCAAATTAAAAATATGCAAAGGTATAAATAGACATTTCTCTAAAGAAAACACAGATCTATGAAAAGGTGGTTGACACCACTAATCATCAGGGAAATACCAATAGAAAACATAAGATGTCACATCTGTTAGAATGGTTTTCATCATTAAAAATATATATTGCACATTTTGGCAAGATTATGAAAAAAAATCCCTTGTATACTGTTTAAAAAAAAACCTGCAAACAGAAATGTCATATGATCCATCAATCCCATTTCTGGGTACATACCCAGAGGAATAGAAATCAGTATATCAAAGACATATCTCAATTTCTAGGTTCATTTTAGCATAATTCACAATGGCAGGATATGGAAGCAATCCAAGTGTCCATCAATAAATGAATAAAGAAAACATGGTATATACATACAATGGATTACTATTCAGCTATAAAAAGAAATAACCCTGCCATTTACAAAAACATTGATGAACTTGGCAGACATTATGCTAAGTGAAATAATGCAGACACAGGAGAATAAATATTAAATGATGCTACTTATGCAATAAATATATAATAGCCAAATTCATAGAGGCACAGAGTAGAATGGTCATTGTCGGGGCTGGGACACAAGAAAGGGAGAAAGGAAAGTATTAGTCAAAAGGTGTAAAGTTCTGGGTATATAAGACAAGTTAGCACTAATGACCTACTGTACAGCATAGTCCTTATAGATAACAACACTCTATTGTATACCTAAAGATTTTCTAAGAGGGTAGCATTTATTTTATGTTCTAATACAAATAATAAATAAGAGATTAGCAGAAAATTTGGAGGTGATGGATTTATGGTACAGACTGCAGTGATTGTTTAACAGGTGTATACTTCTCTTCAAACTCATTAAATTGCATACATTATGCATGATATTTTATAAATACAATTTTTAAATGAAAAATAACATTGAGTTTTTTTTTTTAAATGTGGGATGAACATATTTGGAAAATTGAAATGCAAACAGTTTGTTAGCAATACCATTAATTTGTTAATTTATCTTATAATTATCAAAGTGGAGATACAGGATTCAATGTCTCCTAAATTTGATAAGAAAGCAGTGTTTCCAAAAACTATCTCAGGGAAGAACTATTTAAGGAAATGCATATTGAGGAACATTGAAAATTATGAACATCACTATCCCTTTCGGTTTATTTTCTACTTAATAAGAAATTAAAACAATATATATTTTTCAGAATATAGTGCCTTGGGGAAATGGCGATCATGGTGGATGGGAGGCAAGATTAGATTGCAGCTCCAGACAGAGCAGCATGCGGGGGCTAGCATTGTGAATTTTAGCTCCAGATTGACTGCAAGAACTAACCAGCAATCCCAAGAGGACCCACAAAAATTCTGAAGGAAGTGGACTGCTCCGGCAGGACACAGGAGATCCCGCCAAAATTGTGAGTACCCCAACTGCTGATGTGGGAAAGGGAAACCCTCCTCTCCCGAACACACATCACCACTGGAGAAGCTGAAGGTCTATTTGTGGGAGAAGTTTCCAACTTTACCTGGAGCTGAGTCAATTTGGAGAGCCGAGCAAAATTCAAAGGTAGAGGAAGCAGCAGAAAGGCCCAGGGAGCTCACTGGGTCCTCTAGCAGGCCATTTCTTCCTGGCACCACAGGGATCCAATGGGAGAGAATCAGGGGGTAAAATTACACAGGCAGATGGAAATCTCTAGCTGAACTTTGTAACAATTTGAATTGGGTGAGACACCTTCTGGCCAGAACTCACGGGAGGGTGCAAATCCGGTTTGCAGACTCCACAGGCAGAGGAAGAGCCAAGCCCTTTTCTTTTGCAGCTGGGAGGCAGGTAGCCTGGGGCAAGTTTTCAAGCCCATATCATCCTCCACCTGGAAACAGCCTAGAGGGTGTTGTGGGGGGTCACCGTGGGAATGAGACCAGCCCTTCTGTTTGCATGGGAGCTGAGTGAGGCTTGTGACTACCAGGTTTCCCCCACTTCCCTGACAACATGCATGACTCAGCAGAGGCAGCCATAATCCTACTAGGTACACAGTTCCAGTGACCTGGGAATCTCATCCCCATCCCCTACAGCAGCCACAGCAAGACCCACCCAAGGAGTCTGAGCTCAGACATGGCCTAACCCCGCCCCCACCTGACGGTCCTTCCCTACCCACCCAGGTAGTGGAAGACAAAGGTCATATAATCTTGGGGGTTCTAGGTCCCTGCCCACCTACCAGTTCCTCTCCATACTACCACAGTTGATGCTCTCTGAAAAGTGCCACCTCCCAGCAGGAGGCCAACCAGCACAAAAATAGAGCATTAAACCACAAAAGCTAAGGGCCCTCACGGAGTCCATTGCACCACCCCATCACCTCCACCAAAACAGGCACTGGTATCCACTGCTGAGAGATGGATAGATGGTTCACATCATGGGACTCTGTACAGACAACCCTCAGTACCAGCTCACAGCCGGGTAGACTTGCTGAGTGGCTAGACCCAAAAGAGAGACAATAATCACTATAGTTCGGCTCACAGGAAGCCATATGCATCGAAAAGGGGGAGAGTACTACATCAAGGGAACACCCTGTGGGACAAAAGGATCTGAACAACAGCCTTCAGCCCTAGCCTTCCCTCTGACAGAACCCACCCAAATGAGAAGGAACCAGAAAACCAAACCTGGTTATATGACAAAACAAAGCTCTTCAACAAGCCTAAAAAAAATCACACTAGTTCAAGAGCAATGGATTCCAACCAAGAAGAAATTCCTAATTTACCTGAAAAAGAATGCAGGAGGTTAGTTATTAAGCTAATCAGGGAGGAACCAGAGATAGATTAAGTCCAATGCAAGGAAATCCAAAAAATGATACCAGAAGTGAAGGGAGAAATATTCAAGGAAATAGATACCTTAAGGAAAAAACAATAAAAAATTCAGGAAACTTTGGACACACTTTTAGAAATGTGAAATATTCTTGTAAGTCTCATAAATGGAATTGAACAAGAAGAAAGAAATCAGAGCTCAAAGACAAGATCTTTGAATTAACCTAATCCAACAAAGACAAAGACAAAAGATTAAGAGAATATGAACAAAGCCTCCGAGAAGTCTGGGATTACGTTAAACAACCAAACCTAAGAATAAACGGTGTTCCTGAGGAAGAAAAGAATTCTAAAAGCTTGGAAAACGTATTTGGGGAAATAATAGAGAAAAACTTTCCCAGCATTGCTAGAGACCTAGACGTTTAAATACAACAAGCATAAACAATACCCAGGAAATTCATTGCAAAAAGATCTTCACTAAGGCACACTGTCACCAGATTATTCAGAGTTAAGATGAAGGAAAAAATCTTAAGAGCTGTGAGACAGAAGCACCAGGTAAAATGTAAAAGAAAACCTATCAGATTAACAGCAGATTTCTCAGTAGAAACCCTACAAGCTAGAAGGGATTGGGGCACTATCTTCAGCCTCCTCAAACAAAACAATTATCAGCCAAGAATTTTGTATCCAGCAAAACTAAGCATCATATATGAAGGGAAGAAACAGCTTTATTTTTTAGACAAACAAATGTTGAGAGAATTTGCCATTACCACGCCACCACTACCAGAACTGCTAAAAGGAGCTCTAAATCTTGAAACAAATTCTGGAAACACATCAAATCAGAACCTCTTTAAAGGAAAAATCATACAGAACCTATAAAAGAAAAATACAAGTTAAAAAGAAAAACAAACAAACAAACAAAAAAAACAAAAAACAAAAAACCAAAGTACAGAGGCAAAAAAGCGCATGATGAATGCAATCGTACCTCACATTTCAACACCTAACATTGAATATAAATGGCCTAAATACTCCCTGTAAAGGATACAGAACAGCGGAATGGATAAGAACTCACCAACCATCTACTGCCTTCAGGAGACTCACCTAACACATAATGACTCACATAAACTTAAAGTAAAGGGGTGGAAAAAGGCATTTCATGCAAATGGACATCAAAAGTGAGCAGCATTTTCCGATATTCTTATATTAGAAAAAACAAGCTTTAAAGCAACACCAGTTAAGAGAAACAAAGAGGGACATTATATAATGGTAAAAGGCCTTGAGCTTGTCCAACAGGAAAATATCACAATCCTAAACATATATCCACCTAACACTGGAGTTCCCAAATTTATTAAACAATCACTAATAGACCTAAGAAATGAGACACATAACAACACAATAATAGCAGGGGACTTCAATACTTCACTGACAGCAGTGGACAGGTAATCATGACAGCAACTCATTGAAGAAACAATAGATTTAAACTGTACCTTGGAACAAATGGACTTAGCGGATATATACAGAACACTCCATCCAACAACTGCAGAATACACATTCCATTCAACAGTGCATGGAACTTTTGCCAAGATAGATCATATGATAGACCATAAAACAAGCCTCAATAAATTTTAAAAAATTGAAATTATATCAAGCACTCTCACAGACCACAATGGAATAAAACTGGAAGTCAACTTCAAAAGGAACTCTCAAAACCATGCAAATACATGGAAATTAAATAACCTGCTCCTGAATAAGCACTGGGTCAAAAATGAAATCAAGACAGATATTCAAAAATTATCTGAGCTGAATGACAATAATGACACAATCTATCAAAACCTCTGGGATACAGTAAAGGTAGTGCTAAGAGGAAAGTTCATAGAGAACTTTCCACACATCACATCAAAGAGACTGAAAGAGCACAAACCAACACTCTAAGGTCACACCTCAAGGAAGTAGAGAAATAAGAAAAAAAACAAAACAAAGCCCAGCAGAAGAAATGAAATAACCAAGATCAGAGCAGAACTAAATGAAATTGAAACAAACAAACAAAAACAATACAAAAGATAAATGAAATAAAAAGCTAGTTATTTGAAAAGATAAATAAAATTGATAGACCATTGGCAAGATTAACCAAGAAAAGAAGAGAGAAAATCCAAATAACCTCACTAGGAAATGAAACAGGAGATATTACCACTGACACAACTGAAATACAAAAGATCATTCAAGGCTGCTGTAAACACCTTTACACACATGTACTAGAATACCTAGAAGAGATGGATAGATTCCTGGAAAAATACAACCCTCTTAGTTTAAATCAAGAAGAATTAGATACCCCGAACAGACCAATAACAAGCAGTGAGATTGAAATGGTAATTTAAAAATTACCAACAGAAAAAAGTCCAGGACCAGATAGATACACAGCAGAATTCTACCAGACATCCAAAGAAGAATTGGTACCAATTATTTTTGCACTATTCCATAAAATAGAGAAAGAAAGACCTCTCCGTAATTCATTCTATGAAGCCAGCATCACCCTAATACCAGGAAAGGACATAACCAAAAAACAAAACTATAGACCGATATATTTGATGAATATAGATGCTAAAATCCTTAACAAAATACCAGCTAACAAAATTCAACAACATACCAAAAAGATAATCCACCATAGTAAAGTGGGTTTTATACCAGGGATGCAGGGATTGTTTACATATGCAAGTCAATAAATGTGATACACCACATAAACAGAATTAAAAACAAAAATCACATGATCATTTCAATAGATGCAGAAAAAGTATTAGACAAACTTCAGCATCACTTTATAATTAAAACTTTCAACAAAATCGGCATACAAGTGACACACCTTAAAGTAATAAAAGCCATCTATGACAAACCCACAGGCAACATACTACTGAATGGGTAAAATTTGAAAGTATTCCCTCTGAGAATTGGAACAAGACAAGGATGCCCACTCTCACTACTCCTCTTCAGCCTACTATTGGAAGCCCTATCCTGAGCAATAAAAGCAGAGAAAGAAATAAAGGGCATCCAAATCGGTAAAGAGGAAGTCAAACTGTCACTGTTTGCTGACAAGATGATCATTTACCTCGAAAACACTAAGGACTCCTCAAGAAAGCTCCTAGAACTGATAAAAGAATCCAGCAAATTTTCTGGATACAAGATTAATGTACACAAATTAGTAGCTCTTCTATACAACAACAGCGACCAAGTGAAGAATTAAATCAAGGACACAACCCCATTTACAATAGCTACAAAAAAATAAAATAAAATACTTAGGAATATACCTAACAAAGGAGTTGAAAGACCTCTACAAGGAAAACTACAAAACACTGCTGAAATAATCATAGATGACACAAACAAATGGAAACACATCCCACACTCATGGATGGGTAGAATCAATATTGTGAAAATGTCCAAACTACCAAAAGCAATCTACAAATTCAATGCAATCCCCATCAAAATACCATCATTGTTCTTCACAAAATTAGAAAAAACAATTATAAAATTTATATGGAACCAAAAAGAGTCCGCATACCCAAAGAAAGTCCAAGCAAAACAAACAAACAAACAAACAAACAAAAAAAACCCAAATCTGGAGACATCACACGACCTGATTTCAAACTACACTACAAGGCCATAGTCACCAAAATGGTGTGGTAAAAAGTAGGCACATAGACCAATGGAACAGAATAGAGAACCCAGAAATGAACCCAACTAATTACTGATCTTTGACAAACCAAACAAAAACATAAAGTGGAGAAAGGACACCCTTTTCAACAAATGCTGCTGGGATAATTGGGTAGCCACATGCAGTAGAATGAAACTCTATCCTTATTTCTCACCTTATACAAAATCAACTCAAGATGGATTAAGCACTCAAACCTAAGACCTGAAAGTATAAAAATTCTAGAAGCTACCATTGGAAAAACCCTTGTAGACATTGGGTTAGGCAAGATTTAATGACCCAAAACAAAGATAAATCGCTGGGACCTAATTAAACTAAAGAGCTTTTGCACAGTAAATGGAACAGTCATCAGAGTAAACAGACAACACAGAGTGGGAGAAAATCTTCACAATCTATACATCTGACAAAGGACTAACATCCAGAATCTACAACAAACTCAAACATATCAGTAAGAGAAAAGCAAACAATCTCATCAAAAAGTGGGCTAAGGACATGAATAGACAATTCTCAAAAGAAGATATACAAACGGCCAACAAACATATGAAAAAATGCTCAACATTACTAATGATGAGGGAAATGCAAATCAAAACCGCAATGCAATACCGCCTTACACCTGCAAGAGTGGCCATAATCAAACAATCAAAAAACAGTAGACGTTTGGTTGGATGTGGTGAACAGGGAACACTTCACTGCTGGTCAGAATGTAAACTAGTACAGCTGCTATGGAAAACTGTGCTGAGATTTCTTAAAGAACTTAAAGTAGAACTACTATTTGATCCAGCAGTCCCACTACTGCGTATCTACCCAGGGGGAAATAAGTCATTGTTTGAATATAATACTGAGTAATATTCCATATATATGATTAAATAAAAAGGAATAATTAAATAAAAAGGAATGAATTAACAGCATTTGCAGTTACCTGGATGAGTTTTTGGAGACTAGTATTCTAAGTGAAGTAACTCAGGAATGGAAAACCAAATATTGTATGTTCTCACTGATATGTGGGAGCTAAGCTATGAGGACTTTGAGATCTTGGGGGTAAGAGTGAGAGGGAAGTGATGGATAAAATACTACAAATATGGTGTAGTGTGTACTGCTCGGGTGATGGGTCCACCAAAATCTCACAAATCACCACTAAAGAACTTACTCATGTAACCAAATACCACTTGTACCCCAATAACTTATAGAAAAATAAATAAAGTGATTATAATGGTTAACTTTTAAAAATAATAATATAGTCCCTCAATTACAAAAAAAAAATGATAGTCATTGTCTTAATAGGGAACATGGAGACTTTAAACATTTCTAGAATCTATGGAGAACTTCTTAGAATCTGTAGGCCTAATCTCATTTTCTTTCCTCACTGTTTGACCTGAATTCAAACATTTCTGTTCAGAAAAAGAGGAGTTCTTGCTCTTCATTATAATGTAGTACAGTCTTTTCTTCTTATTTTCTGTCTGGGAAAGACTGTAATAATCTTCAAAAACATATTTTTGTCTTATTTATTTTAGTCATTAAACTTTCAAATTTCAGTGGAGCAAATATAATCTAAGTTGAAGATTATATTTCACAGCCTCCATTACAGACAGTCTTGAACATGTACTTCAGTTCTGAGAAATACCATGCTAGCTTCTTCAGGTCACCTTCACTGAATAAAAATTATTTGTCTTCCATTTCCTCTTCCCCTTCCTGTGGACTGGGAAGTGGGCGTGTGGTGAATTGCATTTAGTCATATTATGAGAAGACAACAAAACACAAGGAACCTAGATGTCTATGTGTCCTTATGGAGTTAAGAAATTGATCACCTTGCCACTCCTAGCAGGTCATGGTTTACACAACAGAGAAATAAACTTCTATCTTATTTATGCCAAGGACAGTTGGTTTCTTTTGAACAAATATCCTTAATAAGTCTTACTTCACAAATGTCAGAATTTGGGGTTATTTTTATTTCTGCTGTTGCCCACTGTACTTTTTAAAAACTTTAGTATGTATTTATTTTATTTATTAAATTGACTTATAATTGTACATATCTGTTGAGTACATAGTGATTTTTAATATATATAATGTTTACTGATCAGATTAGGGTAATTAGCATACCCATCCAAAATATTTATGATTTTTTTTTGTGTGTTGGGAACATACAAGATTCTCATTCTAGCTATTTGATACTGCATATTTTGTTAATATAATGATCCAACAGTGGTATAGAACACTAGAACTTATTCCTCATATTATGTGTAATTTTGTGTCCTTTAACAAATCTATTCCTATGCCCCCATTCTCCCTACCCTTTCCAACCTGTAGTATCCTTTGTTCCACTTTTTAATTTTTTTTTTTTTTTTTGAGACTGAGTCTCACTCTTGTTGCCATGCTGGGGTGCAGCGGCGTGATCTCGGCTCACCACAACCTCCACCTCCTGGGTTCAAGCAATTCTCCTGCCTCAGCCTCCAAAGTAGCTGGGATTAGAGGCATGCGCCACTACGCCCGGCTAATTTTGTACTTTTAGTAGAGACGGGGTTTCTCTATGTTGGTCAGGCTGGTCTCGAACTCCCAACCTTAGGTGATCCACCCGCCTCGGCCTCCCAAAGTGCTGGGATTACAGGCGTGAGCCACCATGCCCAGACCACTTTTTACTTTTATGAGACAGCTTTTTCTGGCTTCTCCATATGAATGAGAACATGTGGTGTTTAACTTTCTGTTTCTGGTCTATAACCATTGTTTATTGATCAGAACTACCAGTTAAAATGGTGTATGACCTTAAAGCCATACTTTCTCCTCTAGACTGGGAATGGCCTGGTACTATAACTGGAACACGTCAGGCAGAGATAACTTAGAGGGAAAGGTTGGAATTACCTACATGAAAACGTAAAATCATTTATTAGGTTCTAGAGGAAGAGACAGATATTCTTCTTTCTCTGTGTTTGGTCAGGTAGTAATACCTATCTTTTATTATCTACATGTACTTTGGCAGCAACTCTTCTTTTATAAAATGCTTTGGAGTTATTTACTTATAGCACTGATAAAGGGTGGTATATTTGAATAAGCACGTGTGAGCTTGTTTCTGTGTGTGTGCATTTGACTGTACTGCGATTTTCTGAATTATCTACTATTTTCATTATCCATGCTTCTGTAACCTTCCATCAGCATGGATAATCAACTGTTGAGTTCTGTTAACAAATATGAATGTCTAGGGGGCATTAATAAAGCTTATAAAATGCCTTACTGTTATTTTTATGTTGAATTAAAAGAAAAGATTACATGTATGTGTTAAAGTAATAGGGAACAATTTGATTATGGCTCCTTGTAAATTTTTATATGAATAATAAAAAATAAAAGTTTAGGTGAAGCATGGTTATTATATTTTATCACAGTAAATAGTCTATCTGAAGGCTTTCATTTGAATTACTAAAATTCAAAAGCTGTATTTAATTATAATGAAATGCATTAATATAATTACTTATTGAAAACTTCAGATTCAATGTAGGACACAAGCTATTCATATACTATTACATATGAAAGTTTTTGAAATAAAATCTCTGATTCTAACTTGATTTTTTTGCCTTTGCAATCAACTTTTAAAACTAATATATTATGCACATTTAAAACTTTATTGTTTTTTTTGAAATAGCTTAAATGCCACATTAACAATTTTTTAAAAACCAACTCAATTATGGATGCATAAGTTCATTTTGGGATATATATATATTATGGGTTGGGAAATGTCATCACATCCTTCATCATCACACTTTTTATGTCCTCCTGTGGTGAACACCTGTGGCTTGTTGGCAATGTATTTGCTTCCCTGGGCTATTAAGCACTCTATATTTTTAGAGTGGATCAACTCAGCGTTATTTAACACAGATGTTTCTATAATTGTGAAACATTGAGAAATATACAGTGCTCAGTAGCTTTCAGGTTCCTATTTCTACCTGTGTGACAAAATTTTCTGTGCTTTATGTAATGCAGTTTTATTGAAACATTGATAAATGGTTAAGTTTTGGTTTGCATACTTGATTTTTAATAAATTAAATAGATATTTATAAAAATATCAGATATCTTAAAGACTATATCAATTTACCACATTTCTAGAATTTTTAAAGAACATTTATTTTATTCAAAATTGCACATACACAGCCATTTTACAGTATATTTCTATATCTGACATACACATTTAAATCATAAAATATAAAAGAGATGCTTTTATAGTAAATATTATATGAAATAAAACATCTATATATGTAGGTTTGATTTTAAGACAGTCTATGTAGAGACCGATTATCTTCAAGAAAATAAAATTTGTTGATTTTAGATATTTTCAAACTTTGCCAGCATTGAAGCCATTAGAACTCTACCCAGGTCCAACACTGAATTTTAGGTTCTTGGTTGTTATGATGTGACTGTTGGTGTCCCCCAAAATTTATGAGTTTAAATCCTAACTCCCAAGGTGATGATATAAGGAGATGGGACCTTTGGGAGATGATAAGATTATGAAGGTGGAGCCCTCATGGATGGAATTACTGCTTATAAAAGGTCCAAGAGAATTCCTTTGTCCCTTCTGCCATGTGAGGACAGGGAGAGAAGTCAGCAGTCTGCAATCCACAAGAGAAACCTCATCACAACCCAATATGCTGGCACCCTGATCTCAGACTTGCAGCTTCCTGAACTGTGAGAATAAAACATAAACAAAAAACATTCTGTTGTTTATAAGCCACCCAGTTTATAGTACCTTGTTAGAGTGGCCCGAATGCACTAAGATATTGCCAGTATAAATACTTGCATGTGCCACAACAAAGGTAAATATCTGACTCACTGAAAGATGAATTGGAGGAAGTATGTTTGCTTTTAATAACCCACTATTCTCTTCTTCACTTTCATAAACAGTGTTCCTTCATTCCAGTTACTCTGAAATGAAGGTAAAGGAAGTTGTTCGGACTAATTGCTGACAATAATAACAAGGGAGAGGAGTCAAGAAGAGCAGCCTTAGCTACCTCGAATATATTCTCACATTTACTCTGGGAAAGCTGCTGAGGCGTTGGTATGTGTTTTTGCAACAGTGACTGATTCATTCAGGTTTGTATCCCCCTTGCCAAAAGATGTCACCTGGTACCTAGTAGCACCTAATAAATACTGTGAAAAATGTGTCTAGGTAAAAGGTAATTGAATAGAGAGTCCTCAACCCTTTCCTTTAGAATTTCAGAATCTTCTGTCTTTATAAGGTTTTCCAGGGATCATAGCAATTTCTGCTGTAATTGTTGCTGCTGACAATTAAATCAACACTAACAGATCAGAACATTATTCAGAGAATATAATGCTGGTAACTTTCATTGTAGATGCTAGACACTAAGTACTACACAAATGGGTAGGAGGCACAATAGCGTCTTAAACATTTGATGAACAAATAACATAAAAGGTGGGAGTTAACCACCAAAAATAATACAATACTCTTTTCATCCTCCTGTCATTCTCCTCCACAAAAAATCCACAGCAATGATGAATAGTGTTTGTTATAGTTCTAATAATGTCATTTGATAGCAGGTTTAGGTTTTTCCTGAATCCAAGGGCTTTACATGAGTCTGAAATAAAGAACACCATTTATTGTAACTCTGACTGTTGTGTTCTGATTTCTTTTCTGGTAAATCTTTATGCTATGATTTTAGATGATGTTGAACTTTATAAATGAGGCTTAGCTTACATTATCCGGAAAAATATTATTTGTGTGAATGAGCTGAAATAAATAAATAAAAGACAGATTCTTTGTTCCTCTTTAGTAACAGCATAAGCCTCAGAGACCAAATAAAATAAGGGAGGCTTACTTCCCCTACTCGAGGTATTTGTTTCATTCCCTTGCTGGAAATGTCTTTATCTCTAGCATTTTTTATATCTCTTTTCCTGTTAAATGTACTTTGTTAAAAAAAAAAAAAGGATCTATCAGTCCTTTATACTTCCACATGAATTGAAGGCAATAAATATACCTCCCAAGAAATAGTCTTTTGAGTCTTGCCCTTAAAGAATGACACAAGTTGTTTTATTAGTGGGATTTCAGTTGAGCAGCAATGCTGGAGGAGAGGATGGTGGTTATCAAAGAGTTTTATGGGAGTCTTTTTCATCAGGAAGTAGGAAAACATTGTTCTAGGAAAAAAGTTTAAAGTATTGTGGCACTAGCATACTAATATACTCTTTGTAAGAACTGTTAAGCCAGGTATGTAATTTATATTTTTCTTTTCTATCAATCTCTGGCCATTCCTCCTATAAAGTGTACTTTCTCTTCATGTAAGGTTATGATGATTCCCCAAATATTACTGCAGACTTCCAAATTCTTTTTCTGCAGTCTCTCTGCTTATAACAAATGTCTTCTTAATGATCATAAGAAAGTAAAACATATCTTCAAAATTAAATTTAAATGTTTCTTTCCCTCTCCTCATCTGTTTATTAACTCATATTTACACCAGACTCCTCCATTATCAATGTCATGTTAGTCATGCATATATCTCTTTAATGGAATACTTGTCAATATTGAAATTATTCAGTTCCTTATCTCATTTGCTTCCCAACACATTGTAATCAACTTGATGTCAGAGTCATATCCTCACTGTCTTTGTTTCTCAAAGACCAGAAAATTAATATTACTAAAATTTTTGAAAATACAGTAAATATTTTGCAATGATTTTATCTTTTTAGGGAATTTCTTTACAGTCTTTCAACTTCAATACAACATCTTGAATTATTTAGTTTTTTTCACATATCCTTTTTTAAAGAAAATCTTTAATGCATATTTATTAATCTCTAAATTTAGAATGAAATTTTTGTCTTACCTACCTGGAATTGTCTATAATGTCTACCCTTATTCTGCCTTTTCTGACAATTTAATTATGTTCTATCAGAGATAGCTCTATTAAAATTTAAGCCAAAAACAGAAGCAACTATTTAGATAAGTTAATAATGTATCCCAATTTGTAAGAATATGTTTAAATGGCTTGATTAAAAGCAGAATGTACTGTTTTCTAAATAGTCTTCACAATTTCTTTAATTTGCCTTTCTTCTCAACTATTTGTCTTACCTCCTGAGTTCTACTCTAGAACTTTGTAGAATTAACTATTACCGCCATGTTAACAATACCTATTGATTTTTGTCTTTCAATATTAGAAAATTCAAATAAAGGCCATGAACTCAAGTGATGTAAGCCGGTTTATTTAAAATACTGTATGCTAACAACACCTCTATCTGGACTTAAATCCCTGTTGTGGCAAAAAAAAACCTACATATGCTGATAAAAGACAAGATTATAGTTCAGACATGAACTTTCCCACATTAAAAGGCAGACAGAATTTTATTTAAGCACCGTAGTTTATTGTACAATTGGAAAAATGTATCTCAAGCACAAGTGGTATGCAATTATATATCTTCACTCATTCTGTGTTAATATGTTTGCTCCTTTTTCTTAAATCAAAACATTGTTACCTAGTAATTCCCATCCTCTACATTATGGCAATGACACCACATATCTGTCTATGGATTCCTGTGCACTAGACGTATTTTAAATACTTTAAGCATGTGGATTATCTTACTTCCTTCTCACAATAAAAATATACCTAGAAATTCTCTATTTAATTACTATTTACCTAGACACATCTTTACAGTATTTATTAGGTGCTACTATGTACCAAGTGACATCTTTTGGCAAGGGGAATTGAATGAGGAAGAAATAGAAAGCTTGAACAGACCAAGAATGATTAAAAACATTAAAGAAGTAATCAAAAACCTTCCAACGGAGAAAAGTCTTAGACCAGATGGCTTCATGGCTAAATTCTAGCAAACATTCAAAGAAATATAAATACTTCCAAACACATATTATGAAGCCAGTATCACCTCGATGATACCTAAGCCAGTCAAAGACCCCACAAAAAAGAAAACTACAGGCCAATGTCCCTGATTAACATTCATGCAAAATGCTCAATATAATATTAGCAAACTGGATTCAACAACACATCAAGAAGGTTATAGATAAAGACCAAATGGGATCTGTCTCTGGCATGCAAGCCGGGACTTAACAGTTGCAAATTAATCAATATGATATATCACATTAACAGAATGGAAGATAAAAACAACATAATCTTCTCAATCGACACAGAAAAAGATTTTGACAAAGTTTAGCAATCTTTTTTTTGATACAAACTCTTAACAGTTTAGTTATAGAAGGAAAATTCCTCAACACAATAAAGTTTATTTTTGAAGACACCACAACTAACAGAAAACAACTGAAAGCTTTCCCATTACGATGTGGTACAAGGTGGGGATGCTCACTCTTACCCCTTTTATTCAACACAGAACTAGAAGTCCTATCAAAGACAGGTAGAAAGAAATAAAAGAAAAAGAAATAAAAGCCATGAAAATCGGAAAGAAGAAAAGTAAAATGATGTCAATTTACGAATGGCATATTCCTATCCAGAATATGGATTCCAAAAAAAAATTGTTCAAACTAATAAATGAATTCAGTAAATTTACAGGTATAAAATCAACATACAAAACTTAGTTGGATTTCTCTGCACACATAATAAACTATCTAAAAAGAATCAAGAAAACTATCCCATTTATGATAGTATAAAAATAGTACCAAGAAATAAATTCAACCAAGGATGTGAAATACTTGTACACTGAAAACTGCAGAGCATTGATGAAAAAAATTGAAGAAGAAACAAATAAATGAGAAAATATCCAATACCTATAAATGGGAAAAAAATTAATATTGTAAAAATGTTCATACTACCCAAAGCAATGTAAAGATTTAATGCAATTCCTATCAGAATAATACGTCATTTTTATGGAAGTAGAAAAAAGCAATTCTGAAATTAATATGAAATCACACACACACACACGAAAACAGAATAGCCAAAGCAATATAAGAAAAAAATGAAGTTACAGATGTAGCATTTCCTTATTTAAAATTATATTACAAAGCTATAGTTATCAAAAGAATGATACCTGCATAATTACAGAAACAGCCCAGTGGAACAGAATACAGAACTGACACAGTTTAGCTGTAATAATGCCCATGTATCAAGGGCAGGACCTGATAGAGATAATTGCATCATGGAGGCCGTTTCTCCCACATTGTTTTTGAGATAGTGAGTAAGTTCTCATGAGATCTGATGGTTTTATAAGGGATTTCCCCCTTGGCTTGGCACTCATTCTCTCTCCTGCCGCCCTATGAAGAGGAGCCTTCTGCATGATTGTAAGTTTCCTGGGGCCTCCCCAGCCATATATAACTGTTAGTCAATTAAACCTCTTTTTTTTAAATAAATTACTCATTCTTGGGTATTTCTTCATAGCAGTGTGAGAACAGACTAATACAGTAAATTGCTACCACAGAGAGTGGGGTGCTGCTATAAGGATACCCGAAAATGTGAAAGTGACTTTGTAACTGGCTATCAGTCAGAGGTTGGAACAGTTTGGAGGGCTCAAGAAAAGACAGGAAAATGTGGGAAAGTTTGAAACTTCCTAGAAACATTGAGGGCTCAGAAGACAGAAGAAATATGGGAAGGTTTGAAACTTCCTAGACACTTGTTGAATGGCTTTGACCAAAATGCTGATAGTGACAATAAAGTCCAGGCTGAGGTGATATCAGATGGAGATTAGGAAATCGTTGGAAACTGGAGTAAGTGTCACTCTTTCTATGCTTTAGCAAAGAAACTGGCAGCTAATTGCCCCTGCCCTAGAGATCTGTGAAACTTTGAACTTAAGAGAGATGATTTAGGGTATCTAGTGGAAGAAATTTCCAAGCAGCAAAGCATTCAAGAGGTGACAGAGCATAAAAGTCTGGAAAATTTGCTGCCTGACAATGCAGTAGAAAAGGAAAAACCAATTTTCTGGAAAGAAATTTAAGCCCATTGCAAAAATTTGCATAAGTAATGAGGAACAAAATGCTAATCACCAAGACAATGGGAAAAATGTCTCCAGAGCATGTCAGAGACCATCACAGCAGCCCTTTCCATCAGAGGTCCAGAGGGGTAGGATGGAAAATTGGTGTCCTGGGCTGGGTCCAGGGCCACCCTACTGTGTGCAGCCTCAGGACTTGGTGCCTTGCATCCTAGCCACTGCAGGTGTGGCTAAAAGGGGTCAAGGTACAGCTCTGGCCTTTGCTTCAAGGGTGTAAGCCTCAAGCCCTGGTGGCTTATATGTGGTGTTGGGCCTTCAGATGCACAGAAGTCAAGAATTTATGTTTGGGAACCTCTGCCTAGATTTCAGAGGATGGATGAAAATGCCTGGATGTCCAGGCAGAAGTTTGCAGCAGGGGTGAAACCCTCATGGAGAACCTCTGCTAGGTCAGTGTGGAAGGGAAATGTGGGGTTGGAGTCCCCAAACAAAGTTCCCACTGGGGCACTAACTCGTGGAACCACCATCCTCCAGACCTCAGAATGGTAGATCCACTGACAGCTTGCACCAATCACCTGAAAAAGCCACAGGTGCTCAATGCAAGCAGTGAAAGCAGCCAGGAGGGAGACTGTACCCTGCAAAGCCACAGGGGTGAAGCTGTCCAAGGCTGTGAGAGCCCACCTCTTGCATCAGCAAGACCTGGATGTGAGATATGGAGTCACAGGAGATCATTTTGGAGCTATAAGATTTAATAATTTCTTGTTGAATTTTGGACTTGCCTGGGGCCTGTAGTCCCCTTGTTTTGGCCAATATTTCCCATTTGGAATGGCTGTATTTACCCAATGCCTGTAGCCCATCGTATCTAGGAAGTAACTAACTTGCTTTTAATTTTACAGGCTCATAGGTGGGAAGGATTTGTCTCATGTCAGATAAGACTTTGGACATGGACTTTTAGGTTAATGCTGGAATGAATTAAGACTTTGGGGGACTGTTGGGAAGGCATGATTGTGTTTTAAAATGTGAGCACATGAGATGTGGGAGGGGTCAGAGGTGACGTGATATGGTTTGGCTGTGTCCTCACCCAAATTTCATCTTGAATTGTAATAATCCCCACTTGTCAAGGGTGAGATAATTGAATAAGGAGATAATTGAATCATGAGAGGGGATTCCTCCATACTGTTCTCATGATAGTGAGTGAGTTCTCACAAGATATGGTGGTTTAATAAGGGGCTTCCCTTTTTACTTGGCATTCATTCTCTCTCCTGCAACCCTGTGAAGAGGTAGCTTCTGCCATGATTATAAGTTTCCTGAGGCCTACCCAGCCATGAATAACTGTGAGTCAATTAAATCTCTTTTCTTTATAAATTACCCAATCTTGAGTATTTCTTCATGGCAATGTGAGAATGAACTACTACGAGAGCCCAGGAATAAATCAAAATGTGTATGGAAAATTAATTTTTGACAAGGGCACCAAGGGGACACTATAAAGACAGGATAGTCTCTTAAATAAATGGTGCTGGGAAAACTGGATTTCCACATACAAAAGAATTAAATTGAACCATTATCTTACACTATACAGAAAAATTAATTTGAAATGGATAAAAGACCTAAATGTAGGACTTGAAGTCATAAAACTCCTACAAGAGAACATAGGGAAAAAAAATCTCCTTGACAGTCTTTAAGTTCTTGGTGATCAATTTTTTTGGCTATCACACCAAAAGCTCAGGCTACAAATACAAAAATAAACGAATGAGACTACATCAAATGAAAAGCTCCCGCATGCCAAAGGAAACAATCAACACAACAAAGAGGCAACCAAAACACTGGGGAAATATATTTCCAAACCACATATCTGATAAGGGAAGGGATTACTATCCAAAATGTATAAATAACTCCTATTATACAATTCAATAATAAAAATACAAAAACTGAATTAAAATGAGCAAAAAACCTGAACAGATCTTTTTCAAAATTAAAAACAACACATAAAAGTAGCCTACAGGTATATGGAAAGGTGCTTAACATCACTAATCAACAAGGAATGAAAATAAAAATCACTGTTAAATTTCACCTCACACCCAAAAGAATGACTATGATCTAAAAGGGAAGAGATAACACATATTGACAAGAATATAGAGAATAGGAAACCCTAATACATTGTTAGTGTGAATGCAGATATATATAGCCATTATGGAAAGCAATGTGTAGGTTTCTTAAGCAATTAAAAATTGAAGTATCAGATGATCCAGCACTGCTCCCCTCTCTTTCTTTTTCTTGGTATGTATGCAAAGGAGATGAAATAGTCACACCTAAAGATATCTGGACTCCTGTGTTCATTGCAGCATTTTTCATAATAGCCAAAATATGGAAACAAACTAAATGTCCATCAATAGACATTTAGTTACAGATATGTAGTATAAATGAAATGGAGTATTATTCAGCCTTAAAAATAAGGAAACCTGCCATTTGCCACAACATGGATGAAGCTGAAGGACATAATGATAAGTAAAATAAGTCAGACACAGAAAAAAAAATTGCATGCATGATCTTACTTGTATTTGGAATATTAAAAAAAATCTCAAATACACAGACAGAGGGGAAAAAAGTAGTGGTTTCTACGGGAAGGGAGGAGGGTGATGAGGAAATGAAATGAAGTAGGCAAAAAATACAAAATAGCAGATATGTAGCATGAGCAAGTTTAGAGAGCTAATGTACAACATTAGTGAGAACTAATGTTAATAAAATTGTATTGTATTAGAAATTTTTGTTAAATAGATTTTAGCTGCTCTTATCACAAAAATGTATGTGAGATGATAAATGTGTTAATCTGTTTTACATTAGTAACCATTTTACTATCTATATGTATCCCATAAAATCATGTTGTAAACCTGAAATATAAACATAAAAATTTATTTTTTAAAAAAGAGTATCTGATAAATATAATATGAAATAGCAAACAAAACATGACCTAAAATGAAGAACTAGGGAAGTGTGGTATCCAAGAGTATATAGACAAAAGTAGGAATCAATGGATTATATTAATAATCATAAGCCAGATGAAGTGATCAGAATATTCTCTGTTATTTTTGAGGAAATGTCCTGATATTCATAATACATGTCCATATTATGAAGGAATAATTTTTGCTTTCTAATGGTTTCTGGAAGATTCAGAAAACATATATAATTAGTATAGTTTATTTGAAAAAATGAAGAGTGATTTTCTGCCAAACCTTTGACTAACTTTTGCAGAATACTCTCATAATAAGCAGATATTATTGTTCTTTGGCCCTCCAGAGAGTAAACAAAAGAAATGCCATGAGCAGACCAAATAAATAAACAAGTAAAACCTGTTGTGATGACTTTTGCTCTCAATTGGTCCACTTTTGCTTTGACTGGACCATTTTTACCTCTTGGTAACCATTGCTCTGATGGTGCCTTATTTTCAGGATCATACCAGGAAAGCCATGTTTGATCTCTTGTTACAATTCTTTGAAGAAATGCTACAGGATCTTGATCCCATTTGTTTAAAATTTCAATGGAAAACTCTGTTCTTATGTGCAGCAGTTGATTTCGGTGCAACAATTTTAGCACCCATTGAGTGAAAGATTTGCTAAAGTTTACGTTTTCAGTTAGAATTGCATAAGTTGAACTAATTGAGATGTCTATGGTGTTGGCTACTATTCATGCTGCTAATTGTTGGTTCTTTTCAATTATGGCACAAATGAAATTATTTTTTTCTTCACTCCTGTAATCTCGGAACTTTGGGAGGTTGAGATGGGAGAACTGCTTGAGCCTAACAGTTCAGGACCAGCCTGTACAACACAGTAAGACCTTATCCCTACAAAAATTTACATAAAAATAGTTGGGCATGGTGGTATGCACCTGTAGTCCCAGCTACTCAGCAGGCTGAGGTGGGAGAAATGCTTGAGTCTGGGAGGTTAACACTACAGTGAGCTGTGATTGCACCCCTGCACTCCAGCTTGTGTGACAGAGTGATATCCTGTCTCAGAAGAAAAAGAGAAAGAGAGGAAAAAAAAAACAGAATGGAAGGTAAGAAAGAAGAAAGGAAGGAAGGAAGAAGGGATGGAGGGAGGGAGGGAGGGAAGAAAGAAGGAAGGAAGGAAGGAAGGAAGGAAGGAAGGAAGGAAGGAAGGAAGGAAAAATAATTTATGAAGATGGGCTGCCATGCAGGCTTTGTCTTAAAATCATCTTAACCCTTCTAAAAAAAGTTTTCTATCTGTAAACTGCTGATTTCTTTGTCTCCATAAACTTTTCAAAAAGCATCAGTGATTTTCCCATTCTTTAACCCAGGTTTAATGTTTATTTTTGTCTCAATTTTAGCAGAAAGCATGATGCTGTGATAGGGGCTGTTCTCAAACTGATGTCATCCTTCTTAATGCCTAAAACTAGGTCCCTTTAGGACACAGTAACAAGTGAGTATGAGTTTAATTTGGTGCAAAAAATATTGAAATCCATGCACAGTTTCATAATAATGTTTATTAAACATATGTTGATCCTTATTAACAGAATCGTTGTGATAGTGATATTTGCCCTTACTCTCAGCTTTGGCTAGGCCACAGAATTTAGACAACAAATTAGAGGAAACAGAAATAAAACCACACTTAACCGTGTCAAAGAAAAAGTCCCCTGTCTTGACAGTGCAGAGTAGAAAAATAAATTATGTAAGAAAAGCTTTACATGTTCTTACATCACCTGTATGTTGAAGAATCCCTTTTAATATATCCAAATTTGTTTTTGTCACTCACTGCCTTTTTAAAATATACTTAGTGAAGTAACTGTCGGGGCGTTTCTTCTCACTTATAAATACAATTGTTCTAGAGGCACTTTTATTGTTATCACAGACACAATTTAGTAATTAGAATGTTCAATCCAATATATTAATTTCAACTCTGAATTTGAATTTAATAGCATATTTCTAATCCATTCAAACCAGCCTGTTTTAAGCTGTAAGCCTTCAGGATTAAAAACGGGTATAGTGAATTTTTTATTTTTAAAGTTCTCTTATTTAAAAAAATCCCTCTCCTGCCTTCTTTTATAGACACTATTTTCAAATTAATGGCATTTCTTGTTTTAACTATCATTGAGCACTAGGGGCATGACATACATTTGGGGAGAGCTTCTTCTGTGAATTCTTCTGAGGTTTGCTGCTAGCCTCTTCTCTTTTGCCATTCTCTTGACCATGGCAAATTAACCTCTATTCTAACTGATCTTGACCACTCTTTCCCGAGCTCTGGGGATGCATCTTTAGCTTTTTGCTGCTAAGTTCCCTCCATGACTCCAGGTGGCGCTATTGGACAAAAGTCAAGATGGCTTGCTCTTTGCACAGTTCAAGTCCACTACGAGAGAACCGTAAAAGCATTCATTGTTAAAACACATCCAGGGAGTGCAGGCCCATCCCAAAGCAGTGACCTTCTCTAAAGAGATATATTAAGTCCTTTTCTCTTGTGCAAGGGTTCCGAGGTGAGAGTCAGACTTAGTTCGTTCTGCCTCCTAGATGAAAGAATTGTATATTAAGCTCTGCATAGATCTCTGTGAGAGTCCACACCCCAGAAGAATGTTTGAGTCCAGGGATCAAGCCCTCCTCTCTGTAGGAGAGGAAATGAATATCACATCATATTCTTATCTAAAGATATCTTCTTCCCAATATCTTCAATAAAAAAAACTTCTCTCCTTTTTCTTTCTCTTGCCTTTCTTACATACTTGAGGTGAATGAATCCCAACCCTGATACCAATTGTATTATTATCTTATATTTACTTTGTATATTCCACACATGGTGATTTGCCCTGGAATTTTATATTTACTATACTTTTTAGATGTATAGTAAATATACATTTATAGATGTAGATGTACTATAGTAGAAATACATTTATATCAACTACACGTTGGAGTCATTTATGAAATCTCGAAATTAGTAAGCTCTTATTATAAAATTAACAAGCTGTTACTTACAAAATTTTAATCATATAATAGTGAAATGACACTGGCTTCATAAGGCATCTTGCATACTTAACTATATCTAGATGCACTTAGGAGAAGCATTTGAGCAAGAACATGCCAGGAGATTCAGTGAAGCATAAAAGAATCAGGCACAGGCCAAAAGAGACAATCTGTTTCTGACACTTACAATCCTGGAATAGGTGTTCTATTGAAAGAGAGCAATTCTGCTTATTATAAAATAGTTTCCTGCAGGACTTGTTCATTCATTTATTCACTCATAAAATAAACATAAATATCTTGTAGGTACCAATGACGGCAGTGGGGCCCATCTAGAGCAGCCACTGTGAAGATGCTGTCTGTGGCGGGGGAGGCCTAGTCAGGGCTGCGCACTCCAGCTGGTGGAGCCAGGAACAGGCAGAAACCCCTCCTGTTTCTGAGTTGGTGGGGCAGGAGCACCGCCCTCCTGGGCACAGATGCAGTCACCCAGCCGCGGCTGTGGACCCAGGTATCCCTGCACTCTAGGGGACCTGGGAAGTCCCCTGCCCCCCACAGATTCAGAAGTGCCTGCTTCCACTGCATGGCCTCACCCTACTCCCAGTGCCCGATTCAATTTCAAAGCAAAATTGAGGTTGAGTCAGGATGCTGTCACCACCCAGCCAGGTGTGCATGTGCTCAGGACAGCACTGACACACCAGCACCCTGTCACCTTCGTGCCCTCTGAGCTTTGGGCACCAATGACCATGGGAGTGAGGCTGAGGGGGGGGCTGAGGGCAGCTAAATGTGGGCATGCAGGTATCCTTCAGCACGAATAGCCTGGGAGCCACTGGCACTATGGATAGCAGGTTTATGGTCGTAGGAGGCAGACAGTCTCCAGGGCAAAAAGGGGCAGGTCCCCAGTAAAGCCCCACCTTCAAGCCAGGGAGGTACTGAAGCATGGGGCTGGGCTGCCAGTTCTGTGGACTGGAGTGAGAACTTACAGTGCTTTTACCAGGCCTGCCCATGGTCACCCATGGACTATGCAGCACGTGTTTTCTCCCCTCTGAAACCTGTAGAAACCCCAGAATCAGCCACAGGGAGATGATGAGATGACCTGCCTGTAAAAGGCGCTACCCACTTCAGGTCTCCTGAGAACTGTACTATCGCTTAATAAAATACCTCTTTGCCTAGCTCACTCTCCAGTTATTTGCATACTTCATTCTTCCTGGACATGGACAAGAATTCAGAACCTGCTGAATAGTGTGACTGAAAGAACTGTAACACAAACAAAGCTGAAACACACCCCTTGCTCACCACGTTGTGGGTGAAGAGAAGGAGAGAAGAGGGAAAAAGAGAAGAGCTGCAGCCCTTTTGGGAGCCCAGACATAGGAGCTCCTTGAGCCAGGGCTGTGACACCCCCTTTGGGGCAATGTGGTTCCTGGCATCGTCAAACTTCTGGGCACCACTGCATTGCCCAGTGCCAGCAGTGGAAGCTGCTTGTGGTACGCCTGGTCCAGCTGCAGCCTCACAGGGAGCTGGCTCCCGTGCTGGCACCTGGAGCTGTCCACCTGCGGCAGCCAGAGTGCCTCGCTGTGAGCCGCAGCTGGACCCCACGCTCGCTCACTCACTCTCCCCTCACCGCTTTGTGCCTTGCTTGCCCTTGGCAGGTGTGGGATCTGGGCCAGTATCACAAGCTGAGCACAGCCTGACAAGCTGAATGGGTAGAACGAGCCCAATGTGCCTGAGCAAAACTGAGGCAAAGGCGCCACCAGCTACGGAAGCTTCCGGCTGGCAAAGCAACACTCTGCGTATCCCGTGACACCCACCTGTATGCAGTGAGCTAACACGCTGTGCAAGAATAACAAACATTAGTCAGATTTAACAGAAATAGTGATATAACCTTTCTAAGGAAAAGTTCATTTGGTATCCTCCAAGCCTTATTAGAAAAGTTTAAAAGTAGCATTGTAAAATATTCAATGCAGGAGCATAATCATGTTTGCCTTCTGATCTGCTACTTAATGTTGGTTTAAGTTGCTTACAGTAAGTCCTAGCTATGATTTGAGATGTAAATTTTTATTCAGTTACTGATTTCCTCAGAATTTCAAATGAAAATTCAAGCCAACAGAAATAAATCACTTTAAAAATTATCTGAGCTTTTCATGGCACAATTTGGTGATCTCAAAGACATAGTCATAGCATTTAAGAGAAAAATATTTCACTTTCTTTCAGTGATGACAAATTATTTAATTATAAAGTTAATTACACAAAAACATGAAACTAGTAATCAATTCTCTAATATATTATTTATACAAATGCAATATCAAAAAGTTACTAATTAAGTATAAACATTAAAATATTGATGAATTAGATGATAAATTAACATAATATCATATTAATATAAAGGTTTGATGGTTTGCTGAAACTAAATCCCCACTTAAAACACAAAAACAGGCTGGGTGTGGTGGCTCACTTCTGTAATCCCAGCACTTTGGGAGGCTGAGGCGGTGGATCACCTGAGGTCAGGAGTTCAAGAACAGCCTGGCCAACATGGTGAAACCCCATATCTACTAAAAATACCAAAAAAAAGTTATCTGGCATGGTGGTGGGCGCCTGTAATCCCAGCTACTGGGGAGGCTGAGGCAGGAGAATCGCCTGGACCCAGGAGGCAGAGTTTGCAGTGAGCCAAGATTACACCATTGCATTCCAGCCTGGGCAACAAGAGCAAAACTCCATCTCAAAAACAAAACAAAACAAACAAAAGTGTTGCTACATTGGCGTGGGTTTTGTTGAATTTAGCATACTTCCTTTAGTGTCTGGTATGTGATGCTTCCATTCTTTCAACAGCTTTAATTTTCCTGTTCAAACAACTGAATTTATACAGTATTCAATGGGGTTCCATGGTCTTGGTGTAGCAACAATATATTATTTAATTATTTGTTGGCCTCTGTTTTTTCCACCTTAACCTGAAAACATAAAAGAGTAAAATGATTTGTTAATTCAATGAATCATAAACATAAAGGTAAATCCATTTACTGAACTCATACTATAATGCAGCCATTATAGTTATAATTGACTCTGTAGTCCTAAGTTAGTCATTGGAAGGATGCAGAACAGACTAGTACTAATTGTTTAAACCTATAATTGAAGTAGATGCGTATACTTAAAACTTTTTCAGGACAATAACTAAGAAGGAGGATAAAAAGGAAGAAGAAGAGAAGGAGAGAGAAAGAAGGGGAGGTAAAAGAAGAAGGAAGAGGAAACTTTCAGAAACTTTAGGAACATATGGCTCCCTGAGAGACAAGGATTTAGACATTGGGGTACCTTTGTACTCAGGTTAGTTTATGAAACAGTATTTTATTTTATATTAGGCTCTAAAACCAATGTATTTCTTTTTAGTTTTATGTTCTTATTTTGAGATATTTGACATATATATATGACATGTGTATAAGTTACAAAGCACAAAAGAGTGACTGAAGGGCTGGGCACAGTGGCTCATGTCTGTAATCCCAGCATCTCAGAAGGCTGAGGTGGGAGAATCACTTGAACTTGAGAGTAAGCTCTGAAAGTATCTCATCTAGATATGTGCTAAATGCAGGTACCATAGCTGGTCTGTTCAAATTCTACCTAATTACTTTTTATCAGATATATGTAATATTGAAATTTACTTTTCAGGCAACTAAGAGTTTGCATACAAACAAAGAACAATGAACACGAAAACAGAATTTTAATGAAAAGCTTGTTGTTCACACATTGGCAGCTATTTCAAAATGCATTACAAAACTTTATGTCAATCAAATAAATTACATATATGAGTTTAAAATAATCATAAATATTTCCTCATATTATTGAGTTTTTCTGGCTCATATAATATTTTTATGCAGGAAAGAGGTTTGGAAATCAAATAATATCTTCTTATTTTCATTTTTTATGTTCCTTTGTCTCAATACATATTTTGCATAGCAGGAGATGATCAGCTTGGTATAATGTTGTCACGAGTTTGAATTAATAATATATTACAGATACATCAGTTTATACAGGAAGATTCTAGTTACTGAAATCACGACATTTTACAGTCCCTTGGTTCTACTTCTTTTATTCAAAGATATTTGAAAGTGAAGTTATTAACATTAGAACTGTTTTGACAGAGGTGGATACATAACCTAAATTTAACCAATCTAATTGCCCAGCATAAAAATGTAAAATGAGGACTGTTCATATGGATTGGTTATGAAAGATAGTGGCCTGCAGGAGCTAGCATCTATCAACTATGAGAATAGGGGAACAGAGAAGACTAGTGGTGGCCAGCATCTATCAACTATGAGAATAGGTGGCCAGCATCTATCACTAAGTGGTGGCTAGCTTCTATCAACTATGAGAACAGGGGAACAGAGAAGACTAGTCCAGAGAGAACAAAGATTTAAGCAAAGGAGAGAAAGAAAAATGAAAATGGAAATGAACTTCTACGTGCTTTTATGGCATAGCTTCAATCCCTTCTTGAGTACTTCCTGACTTTGTTTGTGGTCCATTTTTTTAGTACTTCACCTTTTATTTCTTGAATTTGTTTTGTTATTTGCAAACACAGGGCCCCAATTAATTTTAATCTAAGCGTTGGATAAACACATAAAAGTGAAATTTCACTACTAGCATGATTATTCCTGCCAGATCTACTGTGTACATCTAAGTAAGTTATTTGACTTGTTTTGTATAAATCCAAGAAACAATGTTCCTATCTGTTGTACCAATTACATGAATTAATACTTGTAAAATGCTTAGAATAGTGCCTTGCACATAGTAAACACTATGTAAGTGTTGGCTCTTGTTTGTATCCTATTTTGTAAGCATTTTTCATTTATTGATTCCATATTATATGCTACATTGTAATACACCCCAGGAAGCAAACAGTCCATTTGATGGAATTGGCTTCTTTTTAAATAGAAATGGTTTGCAGTATTTTTTAATGGAGAGGAGAGGGAAGGAAGGAGAAAAAATTAAACCATTGCTCATCATAGATCTGTGTTTTATTGCACAGATGAATAACTTACCCTTTAAGAAGAACATTTAAGTAAAACTTTTAAAGATATTTTTCTCACATTTTAGGTTGCTGTTTCTAACATGTAGGACATTGTCATTTTGGAAATAAACCAAATAACCCTCAATAGTCATGTTTTTCAAAAATATCCATCTTTAAAGATGTCACAATTTCTCCCTGTAGTTTTACTTTCAACATGACCTGCTGTCTTAATATGAAAAGGCATTTGAAATGAGCTTAGTTCACTATTAATGAAACTTGTCTCAGGGTCACAGTAATTTTTTGTCTGCAATGAGGTTCTTCCTTTAGATTCTTATACTTCTTTTGAAGAACTGATGTGTTCAGCTTTAAATAATAAACTAAACTGCTCTCTCTTGTGTCAGAATGCAGGCCAGGTGGCCAGACAGATAACATGACAACTTAAGGAAGGAATTTCCTACTCTTTCTTACCTTATGAACTATACTTTCATTCCTCTTCAAATGCTGGCAAGCAAAACAAAAATGTTCTTATAAAAGGATGGGAGGAAGAAAAACAGATTTCAATTCATTATGGCCAATTCAGAAGTAAGCATGACAGTATATTTCCAAAACCAAACCAAACCTTCACTTCTTTAGAAGCAAGGAATAAGCTGAAGACTAAAATAAAAGTCCTACACTTCTTCAACAGACTAATGGACCCTCTTTTGGCTAAAAGTCTCCAAAGTTTTAATTCCTGGACGTGGTAGGACAGAGGCTGGCCATGTCCCATTTGCTGCTACCCACCTTTCCCTTACTAATCATTACTAGATTTTTATCAAAGGTTGACTTGAGAAGAACAAAAGACCAGAGTACTTCTTTGCCCACCTCATTCAACCACCCAGTACCCTCCTCCTGTTTTTATGGTTCTGACATGACAGCCATCCCAAGCCACAAAGAGCCTCTTGAAGGATTACTGCTGGCTACAGATCAGTTCAGACTGATCTCCTGAGAGTATGTAGTTCCCTGGACTTGGCCGTACGCTTTGCCTTTTTACCTATGGGACCTAATGATAATGCATTTAAATGTTAAATCTCCACCCCAACGTGAATCTGGATCATATGTTGCTGTATGTTTCATATATGTAAACCTAATACACGTGCACAACTTATGTCCATGAATATTCATAACCTTCTCCTATACCCTATAAAATATGTGTGTCCTGCTTCCCCATGCAGCAGAAATACCCACCTCTACTTTCTCCCCTTTGAAGCTCTATTAGTCTGTTTTCACACTGCGGATAAAAGCATGCCCATGACTGGGCAATTTACAAAAGAAAGAGGTTTAATTGGACTTACAGTTACACATGGCTGCGGAAGCCTCACAATCATGGCGGAAGGCAAGGAGGAGCAAGTCATGTCTTACATGAATGGCAGCAAGCAAAAAGACAGAGCTTGTGCAGGGAAACTCCAATTTTTAAAACCGTCAGATCTCTCGAGATTTATTCGCTATCGCCAGAACAGCATGGGAAAGAGCTGACCCCATGATTCAATTACCTCCCACCAGCTTCCTCCCACAACAGGTGGAAATTCAAGGTGAGATTTTGGTGGGGACACAGTTAAACCATATCAGAAACATGCTTTACGGTCTCTGCCAGAGGCTTGCTTCCCACCTGCAGGATGTAACCTGCCTAGAAATAAAATTCTTTAATTTGCTGAAGTTGATTCTTTTTCAGTTGACTATATAGATATAGATAGATAAAGATATAGGGTACAGATATTTCAACCTGAATCAGCAATATGAAAAATGGAACTAGAGGTTCTATCTCTAAGCTATTAAGAGAGAAATGGGAACTTATGATGCTTATCCACCTTGGAATAAAATTTAAAATTACTAGGAAAACTACTAACGTATAGAAAACAGATTTAAATGTTATGTTAAGGTAACTTTTTTTCTGTAAAGGAGTCGCTTGGGGTTTTGTGAGTTTGGCATCATGCGATGTGTGTAGTCTGATTGGTAGACTTGTTGGCACACTTGTAACATTTCTCTAATGGTGACTCTTGAATTGCTCCTCTTCTCTAGAATGCACTGTCTGAAAATTGAGAGTGTCCATAGTCATCATAGTTGTTCAATTTGTACCCAGTCTGCTTGAACTGAGTACTCCTCAGAAAATTGGGGTTGTATTATTTTCTATTGTAACACATTACCCCAAACTTAGTGCTTTAAGGAAAAATTTAATATTGTATAGCTCTGTTGGTCAGAGTCTGACACAGTTCTCACTGGGCTAAAATCAAGGGACAGGTAGAACTGTGATCATTTCTGAAAACTTTAGGGGAGGATTCCTGACCTTGTCATTTCCACCTGCTTGAGGCTACCGTCAAGCGTTGTGGCTCATGGCCTCTTCTTCCATCTTCAGAAGGGAGATTTGAACCCTCCTTGCACTGCATCACTCTGACTTCTTCTTCTGCATTTCTCTTCTCCTTTTAAATGATAACATTGTCCCTCCTCTCACTGAGATAATGTAGGATAATCTTTTTATGTCAAGGGCAGCTGTTTATCAAACTTAATCCCACCTGCAACCTCAATAGCCTTTTTCATAGAACAATATATTTATAGTTTCCTGGGATTAGGACATTGATATCTTTGGGGCCAGAGAGTGCCTTATTCTTCCTATCACAGAGACTACATTTGCCCTCTGTGTTGCTTAGCTTGTATTGTTCAATGCTAACTTTCACAAAGAGATCATAATTTAATCACTAAGTGTCTCCATTTGAGGAAAGTTACACTTACGAATATATCATAGAACCATTACTTGATATTCATGTAAAAGACTGGTTATTGTCAATAAAAATTAGAATAATTATTGGAAAAATCGTTTGATTTCAAAGTGAAGTGAGTAACAAAATGTGGATGCAAATTCACTCTCTTTATTAAAAATCAAAATAATGAGCGTCATATGTAGTATTCATTATTTCTTTGATGAACTCAGTTTGGAAATTTTATAAACAACCAAGCAAACTGAGAATATGGCCACGTGATAAAACTAAACAGGAAGGTTTAAAGACATACAGATAAGCTAACTTGAAGGGAAGAATAGAAGATTAAACCAAATGTTGAATAGAGCAAACAAATCAGTTGTTAATTTTAGATTAAAAAATCATTATCTTCTTTAAAGACCTTGACAAATCAGGTACCTAATTAACAGTAACTCAATTAAGCATCTCATGCATGAAACACAGCACTCCATTCTTTTGATTTCATTTTTTGCAAAATTAAATTTTAATTTAAGTAATATTTTGCTAGAAATAACAAAAATAATCAACAGAGCAATCCTACTTAAGCAGGACTTTATGCCTTCTCTGCTTTTGACGTAAAGTAAAACTAATCACAAGCATTCACTATGCATGAGAAGCTAAGATTTTATATAGTTTAATTAATGTAACCTTCAAATAATTGACACAAGGAAGTCCATATTATCATTCTCACTTTATAGATGTAAAACCTGAAGCGCTGAGAGGTTAAATAACTTACTTAGGAATAGCTATATTGTGAAAGATAGATAGCCTTTCTAACCCACACATCCTGGCTTCATAACTTCAACTATTAAGTGGTTCCCTACTGTCTTCTAACATGGGTCACATACAAGTCTTTTCCTTCTTAAATGGAAGACTCCCAAAAGCTTATATGGTTGAAATTTGATCAGTTATCATGAGAATTAAGAAAAAAATATATAATTTATTTCTCATGTTATTGGACAATTTATCAAACTTTGCATCTTTTAGATTTCCGTTATTCTGTTCTTCCTAGGGTGAGCTATGCTATGTTGCATTATTCATTCAACTTCTACATTTTCGGCCTCAAAATCACAAACCTCAATGCCTGCTAAATGTAAACAATGTAAGTTTTTACAGCTTGGAAATAATGAGAGTCAGTCAGTTAGAATGTTCTTTATCTCATTGGGCCTGGATATGCATGCCTGCTGTCATTCCTACTCAGCTCAGTACTTTGGAGAGAGGACAAGGTCAAGATGACCATTTAATAGTTTTCTATGGCTGTATAACAAATTACAATAAACTGAGCAGTGTAAAACACAATTTATTATTTTACCGTTTCCGTGGGTCTGGAATCAGGATATGGATTTACTAGGTCTTTTGCTCAGGGTATCCCTGGGTTGAAATCAAGGGACTACAATTCCATTTTAGGTTTGGAGTCTTTTTTCCAAGTGGTTTCATGAATAATTCATTTCCTCGTAGCTATAGGACTGCAGTTTTCAGCTCCAAGAATCAACCCATTGTTTTTGATCTTGTGGCCTTTTGGGAAACATAGCAATCTGCTTCGTCAAAGCCGATAGATGAGTGTCTGTCATCCGATGCTTCACTTTTTAAAAAGTGGCTCAGCTCAGTAAATCAGTACACAAAAACAATCTCCATTTTGATTCACTACAAGTAAGTTGATAGCAATTGAATCATAGGAATGATATCCCATTATATCCACATGTTTCCCTGCACATGTTATATGGAGAGGAAGGGTTATATGGAGAATATGTACCTGGAGTCAGAATACTTGGGGCATCTTAGAATTCTGTTTGCCACACATCATTTTCCAAGTTTGATACAAACATTATAAACCATCCATCTTCCAAGTGTCTAGGTTAAAAAGATTTTACTCTTAAAATTCAGTAATGTGATGGATGAAGTTTTAATATCCATTATTGATTATTATGTATATTTTCAAATGTAAAATACTAAAGTCTATTTTGTTGATTTGGAACATAGTGTCTTTTTTGCTGTGAAGATGTTTCACAGTTGAATTTTAGCGTTCCTGTTCTATGTCAAACTGTCATTTGAGAACTTGAATATAAACAATATGCGATATGTTTATTTCTATATTTATTTGTGGTATTTTAATTGAGTTTTCTTATATATACTAAGTTGACATTATTTAATTTATTGAAAGTTTAAGACTTCATTTAGTTTAAAAAGCAAATAGTCTATCTAAACTAATAAAAGATCAAGACAACAGCTTAAGTCTGATTAAAACTTCTAAGAATTTAAGGAATTGGGAGTATTTTACTGAATCAAAGCTGTTTGTGCTTTATAGCAGGGGTTCCCAACCCTTGGGCCATGGACCATAACCTGTCAGTGGTCTGTTAGGAACTGGGCCACACAGCAGGAGGTGAGCATCAGGCAAGCAAGCATTACCATCTGAGCTACACCTCCTGTCAGATCAGCGGTGGCATTAGATTCTTATAATAGCTCGAACCCTGTTGTGAATTGTGCATGCCAGAGATCCAGGTTGCACACTCCATATGAGAATCTAATGCCTGATGATCTAAAGTAAAACAGTTTCATCCCAAAACCATTCACCCAGCATAAAAATTGTCTTCCATGAAATCCGTCTCTGCTGCCAAAAATGTTGGGGGCTGCTGCTTCACAGAATGTAGCTAGATCTACTATCGTGGCTCAATAGCACAAAAATCTAATCACTGTTTGGGGGTCTCTTCGAGTGAGAAAGAAACTTAGGGTCAGACTAACATGGGAAATAAAAAAAAGAAAATACAGTGTTAAATGTTACACTGTTTTCTTGAGTCCACAAAAAATATTTTCTTATGGTGAATAAATTGACTTTTAATCTTATGCTCACTGCATAGGTGCCAGGGAAATATTCTATCCAGCAAAAAATATTTTCCAACTTCATGGCTGCAACAAAAATATTTGCTAAAGTGTGGAATTATCTCCCCTGTTGGGACTGAGAGGCTAAGCAAGGGAAAGCCTTATATATTATGGCAACTCCTGTGATCATTTTGAGACTTTGAATATGTTACAAATTTCACGTGATGGTATTCCACTAAGATGACATATGGGCACAGCAGATGCTTGCCTACAACTTGACCTGGAACTGAAAGTCCATTGTAAAGATAAACAATGTTAGCACTCCTCTAGATAATAGGTAATTTGACTAAAAATGCATCTACTTATTATTCATAGAGGATTTTCATAAAGTTTTTGAATACACATTTTTTAACAACAAAGGTTTAATAATTTATGTAGTTCACGTAAGGCAATTAGTTCTCATGCAACAAAATTAATTCTCACATTTAATTATCTTTTTATAACCTAGTTCTGTACAATGCAGAATATCATTTCTCAAGAAACAATGTAATAAATAGTGCTTATATTATCAATTACTCTGTTCTCTTTATTCAATTTATAATTTATCCAACACAATGCAAGTTAATAACAATATGGTTAAGCATATAATAGTCGTGATGATAGCTGAGTAAATTGCTATAAAATAAAACAAACTACTAGTAAAAGTCCTTAGTAGAGTCAAGTACCAGTAATTAAGGAAAACCAGCTAATTAGATATAAACAGAATTTTTGGTTACTCACTTGGCTTTTAAATAAAAATCATACTAGGTTTTGTTAACTATAATTTTGCTGCAAATCGTCTACTTTGCATTTTTATAAAGCATATCCATCGCTGTTTATAATTTGCATAAGCATTAGCTCTGATTAGTATATAGTGCTATCTCCCAAGTAAATAGAGAAGTTCTGATTTTATTGCATCTAGCACAGGCCTATTATGTAATATGTTTTCTTTCAGATTATATATTGTCATTGGTTCTTGAGGTCATTAATTCTCTGTGCCATCTGAATTTCTCATATTTTGGATTTTTCCTGCCATGTGAATTTTTTGTGTGGATGTTCTTTGCAGCTGTTTATGTTGTTGCTGCTGTTGTTTTTTTTCGCCTTCAGTAGGATTCTTTTGTTTCAGTTATGTATTGTTGAATAACAAGTTATGTTAAGAGTTAATGGTTTAAAAACAAATTATTATCTCTTATGATCATGTGGATTGACAGTGCTCAACTTTGTGGATCTTGCCTTGCTTTACCAACATCATGTGGATGTGATCAGATGGTAATGCAAATTCAGACTTTGTGGTACCAAGAAACACAGATTTCCAATTATTTCGAGATGGAATTTTTATTTTGACAACTACTTGCTTAACACATATAGGCATCTTGTCATCTCCTTCAACTGAAGTGTGGTTGTTGACCTTCCTTTTCACGTAGAATTTAGTTCTTTTTTTTATGGTAAAAGGTAAGTTTTGTTTTTCTTTTTTATGTGAATATTCTATTTTTTCAGGATGGCTTGTTGGAAATATTTTTCTTCCATTAAATAATTTCACAAATTAATTAAATACAAATGTAAAGTCATCTCATTCTTCATTCTCTAGTTTTTTCCATTAATCTGTCTATTCCTATCACATAGGCCACACTATCAAGCTAGCTCATATCAAGTAATTAATGAGGTGCCCTAAAACACTTTAGTTTTCTAGTAGATTTTCACTATTGTAGGTTCATTATGTTTCCATAAAAATTATAGAATCAGCTTGTCAATTATAACAAAAAATATATATTATTTTTATTGGGATTGTTTTGAAATTATATATCATAATGAGAGTGTAGATATCTTAGCAATATAGTCATCAAATAATGAACATGGTATGCACTAATTAAGGCTTTATTGCCTTTATTATTTATTGTCCTTAAATAGGGTTTTCTTTATTTCAGCAATTTTTATAGTATTTGTTTCTTCATTGAACAAACAATAAATTGATCACAAGGCTTTTACATGTTTTATACTATTGTAAATACTATTTTTTATATTGTATTTTCCATTTTTAAGAATAGAAATGTAGGGCCAGGCGTGGTGGCTCACGCCTGTAATCCCAGCACTTTGGGAGGCCAAGGCTGGCAGATTGCCTGAGGTCAGGAGTTCAAGACCAGCCTGGTTAACATGGTGAACCCCATCTCGACTTAAAATACAAAAATTAGCCGGCCACGGTGGCGCATGCCTGTAGTCCCAGCTACTCAGGAGGCTGAGGCAGGAGAATTGCTTGAACCTGAGAGGTGGAGGTTGCAGTGAGCTGAGATCATGCCACTGCACTCCAGCCTGGGTGACAGAGGGAGACTCGGTTTCAGAAAAAAAAAATGCAATTAAATTTTGTATGTTAACTTTGTGTCTGCAGTTTTGTTAAAAATAGTTTTTAGATATACAGTCATTTATAGATTACTTAGGATATCTGCCTTCTTCTTTTAAAATTTCTCTCTTTATTGCATTGGGTAGCACCTCCACTATAATGTTTATTTAAAATAATAAGACAGAATCATCTTTCTTGTTTCTCTTCTTAGGACGAATATGTTCAGTCCATTTTTCAGTTACAGCAATTAGAATGATAGCTGTAGGTTTTTTAAAGATGTTATTTAGTGCACTGAGAAAGTTTATTTCCTTTGAGCTTTTACAGAAATTTGTTCACATGAATGGGTATTAAATTTTGTCAAAGGTATTTTAACATCTATCAAGAAGATTAGATAATGTTTCTATTTTCATCTGTAAGTGTTTTAAATTGCATTCATCTTCAAATATAAATTAAGTTGCATATTTAGGAAAAAGCAGATGATATATTGCACTATTTGCTATAGTAGAATATCTTAAGAATGTATTGGAGCATATATATATATTTCCTCACTATTTGATTCATCTAAATGAAGATTTTAAATTTTATTCACCTTTCTAATATTCCAATTTTGATTTCATTGATATTCTCTGTCATTTGACTAGTTTATTAATGTCTGCACTTATCTTTCTCGTATCACATATTTTAATATTTCTTTTCTGTAATACATTAATTTGTAGTATTTTTTTCCCAAGACACTTTATATTCCCAAATTTAGATAAGTTGCATTTTTATCCTCATTTAGGTCCAAATGAGTTCTACTGTTTTTGTTATTTTATATTTGACACATGCATACATTGGAATGGTTTGTTAGTTTACAAAATATTTAGAAGTTTTAAAGATATCTTTCTGGCATGTTTCACCAGTATTTAAAAGTTTTAAAGATATCATTCTGGCTTATTTTCACTTAATATAATGACCTCTACTTCCATCCTTGTTGTTGCAAATAACAGGATCTCTTTCTTTTTTATGGCTGAATTGTACTCCATTGTGTATAGATATCACTTTTTCTGTATTTATTCATCTCTTGAGGAAGACTTAGGTGGCTTCCAATTCTTGGCTGTTGTGAATAGGGCTACAATAAATCATCAAAGTGCAGATATTTCTTTGATATAGTGATTTCTTTTGAGTATACATGTTAACAGCAGGATTGCTGAACCATATCCTAGTTCTATCTGAGAAACCTCCAAACTGCTCTCCTTAGTGGATGTACTAATTTACATTCCCCCCAACAGTGTAAGAAATTTCCCTTTTCCCCATATCCTCACCAGCATTTCTTATTGCCAGTCTTTCGGATAGAAGTCATCTTAACTGGCGTGAGAAAATATCTCATTGTCGTTTTGCACAAAAATACAGACTTTACATGTTCTCACTTGTTTGTGGGGGCTAAAAATTAAAACAATTTAATTCATGGAGATAGAGAGCAGAATGACCATTACCAGAGGCTGGCAAAAATAGTGGTGGGGGAGGTAGACAGTGGGATGGTCAATGGGTACAAAAATATAATAATTAGATAGAATGAATAAGATCTAGTCTTTGATAGCTCAACAGGGTGACTATTGTTACTCAACAATAATTTATTGTACGTTTAAAAATAATTAAAAGAGTATAATCGAATTGCTTATAACACAAAGAAAGAATAAATGTTTGAGGAGATGGATACCCCATTAACCCTGATATGATTATTATGCATTGTATGCCCATATCAAAATATTTCATATATAACTCAAGATGGGTTAAAGGCTTAAATGTAAAACCCAAAACATTAAAAACACTAGAAGAAAACCTAGGCAATACCATTCAGGTTGTAGGCATGGGCAAAGGCTTCACGACAAAAATGCCAAAATAATGGAAACAAAAGCCAAAATTGACAAATGGATCTATTTAAACTAAAGAGCTCTGGAAAACAAAAGAAACTATTATCAGAGTGACCAGGCAACGTATGGAATGGGAGAAAATTTTTGCAATCTACCCATCTGAAAAAGGGCTGATATCCCGAATTTGTAAGAAACTTAAACATATTTACACAAAAAAGACAACCCCATCAAAAAGTTGGCAAAGGATATGAACAGACACTTCTCAAAAGAAGACATTTGGCCCGGTGTGGTGGCTCACGCCTGTAATCCCAGCATTTTGGGAGGCTGAGGCAGGAGGATCACAACAAGGTGAAACCCCGTGTCTACTAAAAATGCAAAAAAAAAAAAAAATTAGCAGGGCGTGGTGGCGGGCGCCTGTAGTTCCAGCTACTTGGGAGGCTGAGGCAGGAGAATGGCATGAACCCGAGAGGCAGAGCTTGTGGTGAGCCGAGATTGCACCACTGCACTCCAGCCTGGGCGACAGAGCGAGACTGTCTCAAAAAGAAAAAAAAAAAAAAAAAGAAGAAGGCATTTACGCAGCCGACAAACATGAAAAAAGGCTCAATATCACTGATCGTTAGTGAAATGCATATCAAAACCACAATGAGATACCATCTCACAACGGTCAGAATGGCGATTATTAAAAAGTTAGGAAACAATAGATGCTGGCGAGGCTGTGGAGAAATAGAAACACCTTTACACTGTTGGTGGGAAGTAAAGTAGTTCAACTATTGTGGAAGTCAGTAAGGTGATTCCTCCAGGAACTAGAACCAGAAATACCATTTGATCTAGCAATCCCATTATTGGATGTATACCCAAAGAAATATAAATCATTCTACTGTAGAGACACATGGACATGTATGTTTATTGTAGCACTATTTACAATAGCAAACACATGGAACCAACCAAAATTCTCATCAGTGATACACTGGATAAAGAAAATGTGGCACATATACACCCTGGAATACTATGCAGCCATAAAAAGAAATGAGATAATGTCCTTTTGCAGGGACATGAATGAAGCTGGAAGCCATCATCCTCAGCAAGCTAACACAGGAACAGAAAATGAAACACCTCATGTTCTCATTCATAAGTTGTAATTGAACATTGAGAACACATGGACACAGAGAGGGGAACAACACACACCAGAGCTTGTTGTGGGGTGGGGAGTAAGGGAAGGGAACTTAGAGGAAGGTAATAGGTGCAGCAAACCACCATGGCACATGTATATCTATGTAACAAACCTGCACGTTCTGCACATATATCCCGTTTTGTTTAGAAGAAATAAAAAAAAATTCATATACCCATTACTATTTTATTTTTTATCTATATTTTTGAAACAGAGTCATGCTTTTCTTGCTCAGTGCTACAGTGCTATAGCCCCGACCTCCTGGGCTCAAGCAACTCTCCCACCTTAGCCTCCCAGGTGGCTTGCACTACAGGTGCACACCACCATGCCTGGCTAATTTTTTTGTTATTTTTTATTTTGTAGAGATGGTCTCACTATGTTGTCCATGTTTGTCTCAAACTGCCGAGCTCAAGCAATCCTCCTGCCTCAGCTTCCAAAATGCTGGGATTACAGGCATGAGCCACCACCTCCAGACATACATACCACATAAAAATATACACCAACTATGTACTCACAAAAATTAAAAGTAAAAGTGTTTAAAAGAAGAAAGCTTTCTGGGTTTTTATTAATAATATAATTTCTCTGAGGTTAGAAAACATATGTGTATAATATCATTTTAAAATAACTTAAGCAAGTATCAAGAACCAGCAAAACATTCTAGCATGGTGAATGCTTTATGTGTACTCCAAAAGGATATGCATACTTCAGGTTTTGGATGTAATATTGTATCAGGTAAAGTAGATTGTGTTGGTTGATAATATTGTACAAGTATTCTGTATTCTTGCAGATTTTTTAAAAGTAAACTTTTATTTTGGAATACTGTTAGGTTTATAAAAAAATTGCAAAGATAATGCAGAAAGTTCCCATATACCCACCACTCAGTTTCTCCTATCATTAACATCTTACATTGTATGATCCATTTGTTACAATTAAGAAGTCAATGTTGATATATTGTTTTTAATTAAAATATATCATTTATTCCAAATTTTAGTTATTAGCTTATGTGTTTTCTGTTCAATGATCCCATCCAAGATACCAGATTTTATTTAGTTGATGTCTCTGTTGGCTCCTCCTAGCTCTGGCAGTTTCTCAAACTATTTTTGTTTTTGATGATCAGGACAGTTTTTTAGAGGACTGCTCAAGTATTGAGATTTTTCAGATATTTTTCTCAGAATTAAACTAGGTCTCTGCATTTTGGAAAGAAAGGCAGCAAAGGTAAAGTGCAATTTTCATCACATCATAACAAGGGTACATACTATAACATCTGACATCACTGTTCAATTTTACCTTGATCGTATGGTTGAGGCACTGTTTGTTTTTGAAGTTTCTCCACTGTAAAGTTACTGATTTTTCCCCCTTCTTGGGCTCCATTCTTTGGAAGGACAATATTACACGCATTTCAAACTTAAAGTGATAAGTTATGTGTAAAATCCTAAAAGGTAGAGTATTCACACATATTATTTGAAATTTTTCTCTATATTACATTTTTATATTCTTTCCAATTTATTTAAACCATGTGTTTACATGACTATGAAATCATGAACATTATTTTTACTTTGTTTTTTCATTCAGTTATTTTTAATCCCCAAATGTTGGGGGCTCTTCCAGTTGAGCGAAGAGTTTTCCTTTGCCATATTTCACAATATTTGGAAATACATATGCCATATTTCCATTATATACAGCCATATAGTCCATTAAATCCAAATGTATATTTACAACATGTTCCAGAATCATCTTTTATATTTTGTATATTTATTATGGGCCTTAGTCCTAAGTCAGCCATTTTGCTAAGAAGACTCAGCTTATCTCTAAATACTTCTATATGTAATTATTTTTATCTATATTAAAGTAAGCATTTAAAACTCATAAATAAATAATTCATTTTGATGTCTCTAGGTACAGTCTATCTCATGGTTTATTTTAGCTTCTTCCCCTTATTTATCTGTAAATTTACACTCCAATAGTGAGAAACTTACCTCTCACAATTTGCCATCAATTACACAATTTTTAGTCCCGTATACATTAATAAAGTATCTCTGCTGTTAACCTACACTCTCATGGGAAGTAATATTACCAATTAGAGGATAGTTTTATGTTCAGTTTATTTTTTTCTTTAGTCCCACTTGACCTAGGACACCACTAATATTTTTACTGTCACTGTAATTTGCCTTTTCCAAAACCTCCTAAAATTTGAATCACTTATGCAGCTTTTCCATACTGGCTTGTTTCACTTGGTAATATGAATTTAAGTCATGTATTTTTATGACTTGATGGTTCATTTATTTTGATCAATGAATAATATTCCATTGTGTGTGTTATCAAAATTTGCTTATTCATTCTTCTTTTGAACAGCATCTTGGTTCTCTCCAGTTTGGGAGATTATAACTGTCTTATAAATATTGATATGTAGTGTTTTCAGGAGGATATAAGTTTTCAAAATTTGTTTAAAGTTTTATTTTATGTTCAGAGGTACATGTGCAGGTTTGTTACGTAGGTAAACTTGTGTCATAGGGGTTTGTTGTACAGACTATTTCACCACCCAGGTATTAAGACAAGTACTCATTAGTTAGTTATTTCTGATCCTCTCCCTCTTCCCACCCTTTGCCCTCTGATAGGAGGGTGGCTGCATAGTATTCCATAGTATATGTACAACATTTAAAAAATCTAGTCTGTTATTGATGGGCATTTAGGTTGATTTCATGTCTCTGATAATGGGAATAGTGACGTGACCAACATATGTGTGCGTGGGTCTTTATAGTAGGATGATTTATATTCCTCTGGATATACACCTAGTAATGGGATTGGTAGGTCAAATGGTATTTCTGTCTTCAGGTATTGGAGGAATTGCCACACTGTCTTCCACAATGGTTGAACTTATTTTACATTCCCACCAACAGTGTATAAGCATTCCTTTTTCTCCACAACCTTGCCAGTATCTGCTATTTTTTTGACTTTTTAATAGCCATTCTGACTGGTGTTAGATGATATCTCATTGTGGTTTTGATTTGCATTTCTCTAATGGTCAGTGATATTGAGTTTTTTCATATGATTTTTGGCCACAGGTATGTCATTTTTTGAGAAGTGACTCTTCATGTCCTTTGCCTACTTGGGTTTGCTTTATTTTTTCTTGTAAACTGTTTTTAAGTTCCTTATAGATGCTGGATATTAGACCTTTGTCAGATGCATAGTTTGCAAAAATTTTCTCCCATTCTGTAGCTTGTCTGCTTACTCCATTAATTTGGTTTGCTGTGCAGAAGCTCTTTTGCTTATTTTAAAATTCATAAAGAACCAAAAAAGAGGTCAAATAGCCAAGGCAATCCTAGGCAAAATAAATAAATAAATAAATAAATAAATAAATACAATAAATAAACCTGGAGGCATCAGGCTACCCAACTTCAAACTAGACTACAGGGTTACAATAAACAAAACAGGACGGCACTTGTACAAAAATAGACACATAGACCAATGGAATGGAATAGAGAACCCAGAAATAAGACTTCACACCTACAGCTATCTGATCTCCACAAACGGACAAAAACAAGTAATAGGGGAAGAATTTCCTATTCAATAAATGGTGCTAGAATAACTGGTTAGTCATATGTAGAAGACTGAAACTGGATCCCTTCTGTACACCATGTACAAAAATTAACTCAAGATGGATTAAAGATGTTAATATCAAACCCAAAACTATAAAAACCCTGGAAGACAACTAGGAAATTACATTCATGACATAGGCCTGGGCAAGGATTTTATGATGAAGACACCAAAAGCAATTACAACAGAAGCAAAAATTGACAAATGGGATGTAATTAAGTTTTCACATCTTGTGGATAAATACATAGGTGCTTGATTGTTAGATTGATTACATGATAAGACTATAACTTATGAAAAATTGTCAGTTTATTTTCCAAATCAGCTGTACCACTCTGCATTCCCACCAGACATGGATGAGATGTCTCATTTTTCTGCAGTCTCATCAGCAATTGATTGTCAGTTTTTTTGACTTTATCCATTGTAATAAGTGTATGCTTTAAGTTTTAAATGCACTAGTTCTATTTAATGGTAAAAATGAATTGGTTAAATCTTTAACTAAAATCATAAGCTGAGATATTCCTAATTGTCAGATATTTCCCTCTTATATTTTTAACTCCATTGCTAGGTTTATACATATTTAAAATTATTGAGTTTTAAAAAATTTGACCCTTTTATTATTAGAAAACATGCTTCTTTTATCTAGAAATATGTTTTGTCCTACAGTCTATTTTCTGATATTAATATAGACATTCCAATTTACTTGTAATTAGTATTATTATATGATTTTTATTAATTTAAACTGTCTTTATTATTAAAACATGTTTCTTCTTATTTGTATGCATTTGATTCTTGCTGTGTTTCATTTGCCCATCTGAATCTTTTAACTGTAATAATTGCTCCATTAATAATACTTGCAATTAATGATATAATTTTCATCTACTTTCTTGCTATTTGTTTTGTGTTTGTTTCATTTTTCTCTTCTTCTCCTTTCTTGTTTTCATTGGATTAAATAATTTTGTTATTCCATTTTTAACATCCCTATTGGTTTTTTAGAATGCTTTTAAAAATATTTTGCAGTAGGGATTAGAATATGCTTCTAATTCTTTTTTCAATGCAACATCAAGTAATAGCATAACACTTCAGGTATAATGTAAATTTTACAACATCATACCTCATTTTAAATTTTTCCAATACAATTTTTCTTTACTTTAAATGTTGTTTCTACTTGTGTTATAAACCTTAATATTCTTTGTTATTATATTTCTTTGGTCATTCATTATTTTCAATAAAATACTTTTTAAAATCCTTTTGTAGTTACTTATAATTACCATGTCTGCTCTATTTGGTAAACATTAAAACAATGTTTAAATTTTCTTTAAATTTCCCTTAACTTCCATAGTTGATTTTAAGTATGTCTTATGATACAGAACTTCTGGTGATAAATTTTCTCAGCGTTGATTTAATCTCAAATATTTCTTTATTTCCCATTTTTGAAAGATATTTTCAACGAATATAGAATTACTGGTTAAATTTATAATTTTTTCTTATAGTGCATTAACATTTCATTTTATTTTCTTCAGCATGAGGTGTTTCAGAAGAGAAATCCGTGGAGCTTTTATTATTCCTCATACCTACCCCTGAGTTAAATATGTATTTTTTCCTTAGGTGCTTTTAAGATTAAAGGACAATGGTATTCACAATTTGAAAATGTCTAGGTACGGTTTCCTTTAATTTTGTCTTGCTATTTGTTAAGCTTCTTGGCTCTATAAGTTGATTTTTTATTGAAATTTGGAACACTTTCAGTTATTATTTTCTGAATTTTTTTTTCTGACTGAATCTCTGTCTCCTAATACATAGACTCTGACTCCAAATACATAGATGCCAGATTGCTGAATGTCAGTGATAATGTCGGGTGGGATTTTAGAATTTTTTTGTTTTTCTTCTTTAATTTGGATGATTTAACTTGATTTGTTTTCAAGTTTACTGATATTCAGTATCTAATCTACTATTAAGGCCATTTAGTGAATTTTTCATTTCAGATCTTTTTTTCCAGTTATTCAATTAATTTTTATAGTTTTAATTTTTCTACCAAAATTATCTATAATTTCTCTTATTATGTTCATTTTTTCCTTACTGTCTTTAAAATATTTGCAATAGCAGTTTTAAATTCTTTGATTCTAATTTCAACTGCTTTGAATGTTCAAGTTTATATGATAAGTCATTGTTGGGGCAGAATTACACACCTTTGTGAGTCTATTGTTCAAGCTAGCCATTGCAGAAGTACACTCTTCCTTCAACATAATTTGCTCACATCAGCATCTTAGAATTTTACAGTAAAGCACTGGTTAAAATTTATGCTCTCTAAAACACTGTAATTTAACTGAGTAAATTGGATATAAAAGACCAGTTAGATATGGTACCTTTGTTACATGACATGTTGTGTGAAGTTAATAAGCCTATAGAATTGTAGATATCTGTTTACAATAAATATACACATTTTGCAGTAAGTACATAACTAATTCAGTTACTCCTGACTTCAGTATCATGTCTACATTAACAATGTTACAAGCACAATTAAATAATGAGAGGAAAGGGAAAAATGCACACTACTCTAGCTTTAATTGTGTCCAATAAGCTTGTTAGATTATGAATTGCATCCATTGCTTTTATTATAGAAATCACTAAATCTTTTAGATGAGAAAGGAATTGAAAAATAGAAGACAAAGCAGGCATTCTGAAGTTGAACAAAGATACATGTAGACATATTATATGCATACTAAAGTAGATTGCTAGACAGGGAAGCTGACAAATAGCAATCAGATAGACTAATGAAATATGTCTAACCATCCTGTCAAGTGCAATTCTGGGTGGAGAGACAAATGAAGTGGGCTGAGCACTTGCATACTGACATTCACTTAAGATGCAATCCTAATGATGCAGACCTTGATCCCTCCATATGCATCACTGCCATATACATTACATATACATATATTTAAAAATCTGAACAAAGCTAAAATCTGAAAAGACAATTTATTTGGTTTATTTATCATCGTAAGTCTGTTCCACCAGGAAGAAGTATAAGGAAATGTTATATAGTCTTCAGGTGTGAAGAAATCTGTGCATTAGTTGGTAAGAACAACATTTATTTCCTCACTTTGCATCCTGAGTTTACATTATTATTTTTTTGGCTATGGAACCTTGAACCAGTCACTTAATACCTCAAAGTCTCTCATTTAAAAATAGAAAGTTTTTTAGTTTGTATAAAATAGAAACTAAAGTTTATACAGTTTGTATAAAATACCACCTATTTTATATAACATTTAAGATGATATGATACACCATGTATAAAACACTTAGAGAGTATTGAACACATGGTAATCACTTACTAAATATCCTAGCATATTTTATGAACAACTTATTTTTTGTGAAGTTGATTACAATATATTATTATATCAGAATTTGCATAGATTTCTGGATCTTATATATATGAGGCAATAATTATTTCTACAGGTTTCTAAGATTAAATGCTAATATGAGGTAATAATTTTTCACTTTCAGGATAGCAACATGGTGTTTTAATATTATGATTTAAAGCATGATATTGGAAAATGTATTAAAAGCAGTGTATTTATAATTATCATACCTGTTACCCAGCTTTTCAAGATGAAAAATATTTCTTTTTAAAATATAGAACTGAAAGGGCAAGGCAGTCATGGGCACCTCTTGTAGGTCTCCAAAATGTTACTGCTGCAGCAAACCCCACAGGATTCTAAACTTAGTGAGATTGTGGGAGGGGAATGAGGGAGGATATTCTCAGGGTTTCAAATTCCCAAAGATGTATAATTTATATTTCCTGAACTTGTATAGAAGAATTGAAAGAATAATAAACATACCTTCCACGGATGGGTGTGTAGAGGCCCCCTCTGGATTCAAAATAGTAATGCACTAAAGTGACAGGGCAGGTGGCGTCTGGAGCAGAGGGAGGTGAGAAATAAGCACGTTTGTAAAACAAATGGTGATGTGATTGAAAAGAAGGAAGATGCCTCATGTTGTCAAAATACCAGCATCATGGTTTCAAAAACATAATCACATTTTCATCAAAATAAGAAGCATAACTTCAGAGTATATGCAGAAATTACATTTTACAAAGGGCCAGCCTGGTCCAGTACTCCATATACTATACACAATCAATACAACCAAGTTCCGATTTGCCTGACTTCGGCCTAAAGAATGAATCTGTAATTCTATATAAAATGTAAAGATTTAGGGGTTACAATTGAAATAACCCCCTTACACAAGGAAAATGAGCAAATATTCCTTTTGTATGTGTTTTATTCCTCTTACTTAACTCTTCGATGCTTACATTTTTCAAAATGTTTTAATTTACACACACACACTTAAATTATTTATTTACAATATGTCTGTGAAATAGAATAATAATTTCTATTTCAATTTCAATTGTATAGAATACAAAACTGAAATCCATAGAGATTGAAGATTTGGCCAGTGTTAACAAAACAGTAATCAACAAAGCATAAGCTAAAATCAGCCCCCCAAATCTGATTTTTTTAGTTTATGAAGACAAACTCTTTTCTATCGCATTATTGCATGATCAAAACACTATATGGCTGACAGAGGAGATACATTTCTTGGATGAAGCATTTTATGTAAGCTGTTGGAATTTCCACAATTAACTACCAAGTCAAGTCAGTAATATCCACTGGCAATCTTAGTATGAGGGATCAGCCTTCTCCATGATCTTGGGAATTTTTATGTAAAAAGATCCTGGAGAGGCAATACCTTGCATTATGCCTTGGTCAGCTCAGGCTGCTCTCACAGATTACCATAGACTGGGTGGCTAAACTAATAAACATGTAGTTTTCAAAGTTCTGGAGGCGAGAAAGCCCAAGATCAGGATGCCAGTATGGATGGTTTGGTGAAGAACCTCTGTCTTGTTTACAGAATTTTGACTTCTCACTGTCTTCTCACATGGCAGAGAGCAGAGAAAGAGAGGACAAACTCTCCTCTTTCTTCTTATTAAAGCACTAATCCTATTCATGAGGGTGCCACCCTTATGACCTACTTACCTCCCAAAGGTCCCAATTCCTACTGCCACCATACTGGGGGTTAGAATTTCAACACATACATTTTGAGTGGACACAAATATTCAGTTCACAACACCTGCCATAGAGCTCGTAACATTCTACCCTCATAATGACAAACCCATGTATAGATCTATGTATGAAACGAATGCGAAGAATCTTGGATCATAATCCTGACTTCATAGTTCTCACATTATAGCCCTCTCTTCATTTCTGTATTTTGCAGTAATTTTAAAAAATCTTAGAAACAAAATTATGAAAACGCTATGAAGTAATGATTTTATTGTAAAATGCTTTTCCTCTAGGTGTAATGTATTTCTCCACTATCTCTTGGATATCTTACCAGATTATTCAGTGTATGTGTGGAGGATACAAATAATGAGAAAAACAGCAAATAACCAAGTCAGTTATTTTCAGAATTTAAATATATGTAATGCATTTTAAAATATAATTTTAGTGAAAATCCGCTGAATAGAAATGAAAGTAAAAGTCCATTTAGATCAATTCCATTAGCTATTTTATGTAGACAATTGTTTTTCAATAACAAGTTATTAATAACTTGTTAGCATTCTTCTCGTTTAACTTGGAGAGGAAAGCAGAAGATACCAAGGAAAGGATTGGGAACATTTTTCAACATGCCCGAACATATAGTTCTGAGAATACGGGATGTTTTCTAGACTTTTAGAATAACTTCACCAAAGAAAATGAGTAAATATGCACTCACATTCTTAATATTGATGGAGCATCTATTTTTTCCAATCCAAATTTAGGTTGTTTTTGGAGATTGGATGAAGCATGCAATTTTAATGCTTTATTCATGGGAATAAGTAGGAAAGAAGATAGAAATAAGTGGACAACTGTAAGTGCAAAATCTTAAAAGTTGCTTGTGCAAGTTTTAACTCTAATACATTCTCTTTCCCTGTGGATTTCGGCAGGCAGATGAAATAAATGACCACTAAATAATAGTATGCATGAAATAAATAGATATTTCAGGAAATAAAGGCATAGAGAAAATAGTGTGCAGTTTAAAAAACATAGAGTTAATGAAGGCCAGGAACTAAACGGAATAAGTTGTCCTTCTATAGAATCTGTATTTCTTTAGTTTGGATGAGTTCCAAAAAGTGAAAACTTTTTTTACAGTTCCTCTATGGCATGGAGTAAGTGGTTAGATACTGTTAACTAAGCACATGGGACATGTGGAAAAAATCCACAGGCTTATATGTCCAAAATAATCTCTTTCTCAAATATAAAGCCTCTGGTGATGGATGGGCGGTACTGTTTGTTTTCTGAGAATTGCAGGTTAAATGAATCAGTTAATGAAATCTAATTTCTCCAGAGGCAGATACTTTGAGAGAGAACCTCAACCATACATGAAAAACAATCCTACCTCCAGAATCCATTAAAATAGCACAATCTACATTAGTATCCTTCACTTTTTTTGAAAATATTTTTGTACAAAAGTAAGAAAATTTAAAGCCATTCACTAAATTTAGAATATATCCTTGAGAAAAAGTTTATTCACCAGACTAATATCATGATTTTGACACTGGGTCCACAGTGAGCTAGCAAATCAATATCACATTAACTATATGCATAAATAAGTGATTGCTTATTTACAAAGCATACTTATAGCCTGAGTAATTAACTCTTGCTCTTCCAAAGGCAAAGCTATGGTAATTATAGTATAAATGTGAATAAAAATAGTAAGATTTCATATAATCTCACAGCATTTATGTCCTATAGTTCTCCAAGCAATATAGTGAAATATTATTTCACCTTTGAGTTTAGAATAAGCTAAAAATTTAATGACCTCTTTAAGAACTTTCCAATAATTTAATATCTCTAAATAAGTATTCTTAAGATTATTCATATAGATTATCAAAATTATTTAGGTTGCTTAATATATGCCAATGTTTTAGAAAAGCAATGCTCTACTTCCTCGTTATTTAAATGAGAATATTTCAGAATTAGAAAATGTTTTTAGAAGCTGTTTCTCAAGATGTAACAATATCAAACTACCATCTAATTGAAATTTCTAAATATTTAATTTGCCAAGTAATAATAAATAAGGTTCATACCGGCTTTGTAGACTAGGTCTTTTTTAAATCCTTTGTTGAGTATACCCAATAATAAAAATTGAACAGGAGCCGAAGAGGTGAATGTATAAAATACCTTAAGAGTATCATAATAGCTAAATTGCTGCCAGGATAATGTATTTGTTTTGTTTTCTTGTTTTTGAGGAAGAGATTTACATTTCATCTATGATCTGTTAAAAAGGTAAATAATTTTGAGCCTCCCTAATACTGTTCTAAATCTGAAAATAAAAGTTCCTCATTAAAATTGCAAGGCTTTGGGAGTCAACTGGATGTTAATTCATTGACTTTTAACATTTGACTTAGAGAAGATTCGATCAAGCCTTTAAAAAGTAAGGCAAGTACCTAGAAAGTAAAATATAACTCTCTAGGAATAACTCTCCTAGCCTGAAGTCAATGCCAATATCCCTTGAATACTACGCAGAGGTCAAATGTAATAACTCTGGGAGCTAAACCGAAATGCCCAAATTCAACATTGAAATATAACCCAAGGCATTACACTGCCTCAATAATTTTCAGTACAAAAAATATTTGCTGCATAGTGATATGAAAAGAAACAGAAGAAAATCATATTTGGAAATTGTCTTAGTTCAGTCTGCCATAACAAAATTTCACAGACTGTGTGGTTAAAACAACAGAAATTTATTTCTCATAGTTCTAGTGGTTAAAAGTCTGAGATCATGGTGCCCGCATGGCTGGTGTCTGGTCAGGCCTTTTTTTTGTGACTTCTGGGCAGTTGCCATCTCCCTGAGTGCTCGCTCATATGACCTCTTCTTTGTGTGTATGTAGAGCAAGACAAGTGCTGTCTCTTCTGCAAGGACACGAATCCCATGACATCATGGTCCTGCAGCTAAGACCTCATTTAAACTTAGTTGCTTACTTAAAGCCTCCATCTCCAAACACAGCCACACTGGGGGGTTAGTGCTTCAGAATATCAGTTTTGGGAGGAAGCAAACATTCAGTCCATAACAGGAAGCACACGACTGTTATGTAGAGGCAGCACACACATCTTTTGGAGAGAAGGGAGACAAGGATGATTTGTTTGAACTATTAAGCTCGTCTCCTTGAACAGCTCAAAATATCTAAGTATTTATAAAATATCTACAAAAGACAGAAGCTGGGGTTAAGTAGGAGGAAGCTGGGAACCTGCATGGGACTCCCATGTACCAGGACTCCTTCCTGGCCCCTAAAGACGAGAGGATAACGGGTGGCTAATGGGTGAGTTGAACTGGCAAGGAACAACCAGCTCTCACCATGAGCCTCTGGAATCCTGACAGAAGGAGACCCCTCAACCACCATGGACATTGGAATTGGCAGGAAGAACTGCTTAGAGAAGTGGTAGGGGAAGCATAACAGCTGAGGCGGAGCCCAGAGTGTTTAGTGCAGGAACATCTCTAATAGGAACATGACCAGGGAAGCCCATCTCCCTAGCCTCAATGTCCTCCCATAGGAGACTTTAGCCCTAAGGGAACTATTGGACCTGAACTCTGCAGGGCGGGCTTGCCCATCAAACAGGGCTAGTATGACCTGAGCACCTCTTGTTCTGCTGGCCTCTCCTGGAACCCCGACCTGGCTGTGCCTGCTTGCAGGGCAGCCTCTGGTGCCCTGGGTGCCCGCATTATAGCTCCTGTGCTTGCGGACTGTGCTTAACCACTGGAGAGCTCCAACGGGATGGCCCCACTGCCAGGCAGCAGCCTGCCCTCTCTCTTTCCACATTTCAGCTTCCCCCAGGCCTATGGCAACCCCCACCACCCAACATTGCCTTGCCTATGAGCGTGTGCATTGGCAGGTTTTGGGTGTGTGCATGCATCCTGCCCTGCCACTGCTGCCAGTGGGAGAGCACCCTACCCATACTCCCACACCCTCGGCCCCCCACCAGTATTGCAGTTCGAGCCTTGGCAGGCACGGATCCAGCCAGCCCGCCCCCCGCCTCCCTGAGTGCCCCACCTTGTGCCAACACTGCTGCAGGAGTGAAACTAGCCACAGAGAACAAACACTTCCTTGCCCTGAGTGACCACCATTCCCTGCAGAGCACAGAGGGCGCACACAGACCTGCACCCGGCAGTGAGGCATCATCATGCCGACCCCACCACCAGTGTGACTGCCTGCACAGTCGCCAGCACGGGCCCCCGCCCCACTGGACCATGCTACCTCTGCCATTGTGGTGAACCCCCACACCTCAGCCACCCCCAGCACCCGCTAGCACCCTGCAGCAGCCAAGTATGCACTCCACCACACTGCCACTGCTGCTGACATGTGCAAACGAGGATGGATCCCACTGCTACTGCAGTAAGAAACACTTTACCTGACCACTCATCAGAGCGTGGTGACCAGCCATCCGGGAGCACTTTGGCCCTCCCAGTGATGTGGATTCTTTTGTTTTTGTTTTTGTTTTTGTTTTTTTGAAGAATAACATTTTATTTGTGTTGTAGTGATTTCTTTTTTCACATTTTGAAAAACTGTAATACCCTTTGGGTTTTTGGTTACACGGATGAATTGCATAGTGGTGAAGTCTGAGATTTTAGTGCACCCATTACCCCAGTAGTGTACATTGTATCAATATGCAGTATTTAATCTGTCACCCTCCTCCCACCCTCCCCACTTCTGAGCCTCCAATGTCCATCATACTACTCTGTATGCCTCTGTGTACTCACAGCTTAGCTTCCACTTTTTTTGTTGTTATACTTTAAGTTCTGGGGTACATGTGCACAATGTGCAGTTTTGTTACATATGTATATATGTGCCATGTTGGTGTGCTGCACCCATTAACTCGTCATTTACATTAGGTATATCTCCTAATGCTTTCCCTCTCCCCTCCCCCCACCCCACAACAGGCCCTGGTGTGTGATGTTCCCCTTCCTGTGTCCAAGTGTTCTCATTGTTCAATTCCCACCTATGAGTGAGAACATGCGGTGTTAGGTTTCTTGTCCTCGCGATAGTTTGCTGAGAACGATGGTTTCCAGCTTCATCCATGTCCCTGCAAAGGACATGAACTCATCGTTTTTTTTTGGCTGCATAGTATTCCATGGTGTATATGTGCCACATTTTCTTAATCCAGTCTATCATTGCTGGACATTTGGGTTGGTTCCAAGTCTTTGCTATTGTGAATAGTGCCGCAATAAACATACGTGTGCATGTGTCTTTATAGCAGCATGATTTATAATCCTTTGAGTATATACCCAGTATTGGGATGGCTGGGTCAAATGGTATTTCTAGTTCTAGATCCTTGAGGAATCGCCACACTGTCTTCCACAATGGTTGAACTAGTTTGCAGTCCCACCAACAGTGTAAAAGTGTTCCTATTTCTCCACATCCTCTCCAGCACCTGTTGTTTCCTGACTTTTTAATGATCGCCATTCTAACTGGTGTGAGATGGTATCTCATTGTGGTTTTGATTTGCATTTCTCTGATGGCCAGTGATGGTGAGCATTTTTTCATGTGTCTTTTGGCTGCATAAATGTCTTCTTTTGAGAAGTGTCTGTTCATATCCTTTGCCAACTTGTTGATGGGGTTGTTTATTTTTTTCTTGTAAATTTGTTTGAGTTCTTTGTAGATTCTGGATATTAGACCTTTGTGGTCTATTCAGAGATTCAACTTCTTCCTTGTTTAGTCTTGAGAGAGAGTATATGTGTCGAGGAATTTTTCCATTTCTTCTAGATTTTCTAGTTTATTTGCGTAGAGGTGTTTATAGTATTCTCTGATGATAGTTTGTATTTCTGTGGGATCGGTGGTGATCTCCCCTTTGACATTTTTTATTGCATCTATTTGATTCTTCTCTCTTTTCTTCTTTATTAGTCTTGCTAGCGGTCTATCAATTTTGTTGATCTTTTCAAAAAACCAGCTCCTGGATTCATTGATTTTTTGAAGGGCTTTTTGTGTCTCTATCTCCTTCAGTTCTGTTCTGATCTTAGCTATTTCTTGCCTTCTGCTAGCTTTTGAATGTGTTTGCTCTTGCTTCTGTAGTTCTTTTAATTGTGATGTTAGGGTGTCAATTTTAGATCTTTCCTGCTTTCTCTTGTGGGCATTTAGTGCTATAAATTTCCCTCTACACACTGCTTTAAATGTGTCCCAGAGATTCTGGTATGTTGTGTCTTTGTTCTCATTGGTTTCAGAGAACATCTTTATTTCTGCCTTCATTTCGTTATGTAACCAGTAGTCATTCAGGAGCAAGGATATCCAGGAATTGAACTCAGCGCTGCACCAAGTGGACCTAATAGACATCTACAGAACTCTCCACCCCAAATCAACAGAATATACATTCTTCTCAGCATCACATTGCACTTATTCCAAAATTGACCACATAGTTGGAAGTCAAGCACTCCTCAGCAAATGTAAAAGAACAGAAATTATGACAAACTGTCTCTCGGACCACAGTGCAATCAAACTAGAACTCAGGATTAAGAAAATCACTCAAAACCGCTCAACTACCTGGAAAGTGCTGTGGATTCCTAACCTCAAGGAGACAGAAAATAACACAGACCCAATACAAGTCCTCCAGATATAGAGCACACAGTCCAGGCATCTGGGAGGTGAGTGTTGGCCCCCTAAAATATTTCAGAAATGAAGCCGGTCAGCTGAATGCACTTTATATGACAGTCCAACACCCAAAGTCATTAAATAGGATAAAAGAGAAAGAAAAACCCAACCAGAGGTCCACAACTTCAAAGATCAAAGAAACATTCACCTATAAAGATGAGAAAGAACCAATGTATGAACCCTGGCAACTCCAAAAGCCAGAGTGCCTTCTTTCTTCCAAAAGACCACACTGCCTCTGCAGCAAGGGTTCTGAACTGAGTTGAGATAGCTGAAATGACAGAAATAGAATTCAGAATAAGGACAGGAACAAAGATCATTGAGATGCATGAGTATGGTGAAATGCACCCAAGGAAGCTAAGAATCACCATGAAACTATACAGGAGCTAACAGACAAAATAGCCAGTGTAGAAAAGGATGCAACCCACCTGATAGATCTCAAAAACACACTACAAAAATTTCATAATGCAATCACAAGTATTAATAGCAGAATAGACCGAGCTGATGAAAGAATCTCAAAGCTCGAAGATTAACTTTCTGAAATAAAGTAGACATGAATAAAGGAAATAAAATGAAAAGGAATGAACAAAACCTCTAAGAAATAAGGGATTGTGTAAAGAGACCAAACCTATGACTTACTGGTGTCCCTGAAAGTGATGGAGAGAGTGCAAGCAACTTGGAAAACACATTTCACATCATTCATAAGAACTTCCCCAACCTACCTTGAGAGGTAAACCTTCAAATTTAGAAATGCAGAGAACTCCAGTAAGATACTTCAAAAGAAGTCCCCAAGAGACAAAATCATCAGATTTTCCCAGATCGAAATGAAAGAAAAAATGTTAAAGGCAGCTAGAGAGAAAGGTCAGGTCAACTACAAAGGAAAGCCCATCAAACTAACAGTGGACATCTCAGCAAATACCCTATAAGCCTACAAGATTGAGGGGTTAGTAGTCAACATTCTTAAAGAAAAAAAATTCCAAACCAGAATTTCATATCCAGCCAAAGTAAGTTTCATAAACAAAGGAGAAATAAGATCCTTTTCAGAGAAGCAAATGCTAAGTCACAAGACCTGCCTTACAAGACCTGCCTTACAAGAGCACCAGAAGGAAGCATTAATATGGAAAGGAAAAACCATTACCAGTCACTACAAAAACACAGATAATTACACGGATGAGTGATACTGTAAAGCAACCACACAAACATGTCTGTAAAATAACCAGCTCATATCATGATGACAGGAACAAATCCATGCATATCAATACTAACCTTGAATGTAAATGGCTAAATGCCCCAATTAAAAGGCAGAGTGACAAAATCCATTTGTATTCTGTCTTCAAGAGACCCATCTCACATGCCATGACACTCATAGCCTAAAAATAAAGGGTTGAAGAAAAATCTACCAAGCAAATGGAAAACAAAAAATTGGGGTTGCAATCCTAATTTCATACAAAACACATTTTAAACCAATAAAAAGACAAAAATGGCATTACATAATGGTAAAGAGTTCAACTCAAAAAGTAGGCATAGCTATCCTAAATATGCATGCACCCAACATAGGAGCACTCAGATTCATAAAGCAAGTTCTTAGAGATCTTCAAAGAGGCTTAGACTTCCTCTAAATAATAGTGGGAGACTTCAACACTCCACTGACAATGTTAGACAGATAATCGAGGCAAAAAAAAAAAATAACAAAGATATTCAGAACCTGAACTCAGCACTGGATAAAATGGACCTGATAGGTATCTACAGAACTCTCCATCCGAAAACAACAGAATATACATTCTTTTCATCACCACATGGCACATACTCTAGAAATTGATCACACAACCAGAAATAAAAGACTCCTCAGCAAATGCAATAGAACCAGAGTAGTAACAAACAATCTCTTGAACCACATCGCAATCAAATTAGAAATAAAGACTAAGAAATTCACTCAAAGACAAGCAACAACATAGAAATTGAGTAACCTGCACCTGAATAAGTTTAGGGTAAATAATGAAATTAAGGCAGAAATCAAGAAGTTCTATGAAACTAATGAGAACAAACCAGAATCTCTGGGACACAGCTAAGGCAATGTTAAGAGCAAAATTCATAGCACTAAATGTCCACATCAAAAGTTAGAAAGATCTGACTTTAACAACCTAACATCACACCTAAAAGAACTAGAGAACCAAGAGAAAACCAACCCCAAAGCTGGCAAAGGATGAGAAATAACCAAAATCAGAGCTGAACTGAAGGAGATTGAGAAGTGAAAAACCATTCAATAGATCAACTAATGTAGGAGTTGTATTTAAAAAAAAATAGACAACTCGCTAAACTAATAAAGAAAAGAGAGAATATCCAAATAAACATAATTAGAAAAAAATGAAGAGGATATTACCACTGACCCACAGAAGTACAAATAACCATCAGAAATATTATGAACACCTCTATGCAAAGAAACTAGAAAATCTAGATGAAATTGATACATTTCTGAACACATAAACCCCCCAAGACTAAGCCAGGAATAAACTGAATCCCTGAACAGGCCAATAATCAGCTCCAAAATTGAATCAGTAATAAATAGCCTACCAGCCAAAAAAAGCCCTGGACCAGATGAATTCCCAGCTGAGTTCTACCAGATATACAAAGAAGAGCTGGTATGGTTCCTGCTGAAATTATTCCCCACACCCCACAAAAAAAAATGAGGAGGAGGGACTCCTCCCTAACTCGTTTTATGAGGCCAGCATCACGCCAATGCCAAAACCTGGCAGAGACATACCAAAAAAAAAAAAAAAAAAAAATCAGGCCAATATCACTGATGAACCTCAATGCAAAAATCTTCAACAAAATATTGGTAAACTAAATCCAGCAACATATCAAAAAACTTATCCACCGTGATCTAGTAGGCTTTATCTTTGGGATGCAAAGTTGGTTCAACATATTTAAATCAATAAATGTGATTCATTAAATAAACAGAACTAAAGACAAAATACACACAATTGCCATGATAGCTGCAGAAAAGGCTTTCAATAAAATTCAACAACCATTCATGTTACAAACTCTAGGTATTGAGGGAATGTATGTCAAAATAATAAGGGCCATCTATTACAAACCCACAGCCAACATCAGACTGAATGGGCAAAATCTGGAAGCATTCTCCTTGAAAACCAACACAAGACAAAGATGCCTTTCTTACCACTGCTATTCAATATAGTATTGGAAATCCTGGCCAGAGCAATCAGGTAAGAGAAAGAAGTAAAGGGCTTCCAGATAGGAAGAGAGAAAGCCAAACTAACTCTGTCTGCAGACAATGTGGTCCTATATCTAGAAAACCCGGTAATCTCAGCTCAAAAGCTTCTTAAACTGACAAACAACTTGAGCAAATCTCAGGATACAAAATCAATGTACAAAAATTATAATACTATAATTCCTATATGCCCAAAGACAGTCAAGCTGAGAGCCAAATTAGGAACACAATCCCATTCACAATTATTCCCAAAAGAATAAAATACCTAGGAATACAGCTAACCATGAAGGTGAAAGAGCTCTACAATGAGAACGACAAAACACTGCTCACGGAAATCAGAGATGACATATACAAATGGAAAACATTGTCCATGCTCATTGATAGTGATATGGTTTCGCTCTGTGCCCCCACCCAAATCTCATCTCAAATTGTAATCCACATGTATTGAGGGAGGGGCCCGGAGGGAGGTCATTAGTTCATGATGGCAATTTCCCCCATGCTATTCTCTTGATAGTGAATGAGTTCTCATGAGATCTGACGTCTTAAAAGTGTTTGGCAGTTCCCCTTCCCCAAGTCTCTCTTTCTCCTGCCATCTTGTGAAGAAGGTGCCTGCTTCTCCTTCTCCTTTCACCATAATTGTAAGTTTTCTGAGGCCTCCCCAGCCATGCAGAACTGTGAGTCAATTAAGCTTCTTTTCTTTTTATGTCACCTAATGTCAGGTAGTTCTTTATAGCAGTGTAAAAACAAACTAATACAGATAGGTAGAATCAATATCATTAAAATAGCCATACTGGTCAAAGCAATTTACAAATTCAATGCTATTTCTATCAAACTGCCATGACATTCTTCAAAGAACAAGAAAAAAACGATTTTAAAATGCATATAGAACCAAAAATAGCCCAAATAGTCAAGGAAATTATAAGGAATAGAAAAAAAGCTAGAGGCATCATGCTACCCAATTTTATATTGACAGGGCTACAGTAAACAAAATAGCACAGTACTGGTACAAAAACAGACATACAGAACAACGGGAGAGAATAGAGACCCCAGAAATAAAGCCATACAACTACAATGATCTGATATTCGACAAACCTGACAAAAACAAGCAACGGAGAAAGGACTCCCTATTCAATAAATGGAACTAGGATAACTGGCTAGTCATATGCAGAAGATTGAAAATGGACCCCTTCCTTGTACCATATAAAAAATCAACTTGAAATGGATTAAAGACTTAAATGTAAATCCCAAAACTATAAAAACCCTGGAACACAACCTGGGCAATACCATCCTGGACATAGGACCAGGAAAATATTTCGTGATGAAGATGCCAGAACAATTATAATAAAAGCAAAAATTGGCAAATTAAACTAGAGAGCTTCTGCATAGCAAAAAGAGCTATCAACAGAGTATATAGACAATCTACAGAATGGGAGAAAATTTTTGCCAACTCCACATCTGACAAAGGCCTAATATCCAGCATCTGTAAGGGACTTAAACAAATTTACAAAGCAAACAAACAAACAAACCCAAAACTGCATTAAAAAGTCGGCAAAGAACATAAACAGACATTTTCAAAAGAAGACATACATGCAGCTAATAAGCATATGAAGTAAAACCCAACAATACTGATCACTAGAGACATGCAAATCAAAGCCACGTCATCTAACACCAGTCAGAATGGCTGTTATTAAAACGTCAAAAAATAATATGTGCTGGTGAGACTGCAGAGAAAAAGGGATGCTTATACACTCTTGAGCATGTAAATTAGTTTATCCATTTTGTAAAACAGTGTGGTGATTCCTCAGAGATTTAAACACAAAAATACTATTTGACCCAGCAATCCCAAAAATACCATTTGACCCAGCAATCCCATTACCAGCAATCCCAAAAATACCATTTGACCCAGCAATTCCGTTACCTAGCAATCCTAAAAATACCATTTGACCCAGCAATGATGTATGGATACATAAAGGCACATGCATGCATTTGTTCATTGCAGCATTATCACAATGGTGAAGATACAAAATCAATCTAAATGCCCATCAATGATAGACTAGATAAAGAAAATATGATACATATATACCATAGAATACTATGCAGCCATAAAAAGAATGGGAGTATGTCCTTTGCAGGAACATGGATGGAGCTAGAGGCCATTATCCTTAGCAAGCTAATGTAGGATCAAAAAACCAAATAACTCATGTTCTCACTTATAAGTGGGAGGTAAATGGTTGGAACACATAGACACAAACAACAGACACTGGGGCCTAGCAAAGGGTGGAAGGTAGGAAGAGAGAGAGGATTAGAAAAAATAATTAATGGATACTAGGATTAATACCTGGGTGATGAAATAATCTGTACGTCAAACCCCATAATACAAGCTTACCTACATAACAAACCTTCAAAATTACCCCGAACTTAAAATAGAAGTAAAAAAAAAAAAAAAAAAGAAATAAAATAAGAAAAAGAAATATCTAAGAATGCTAGTCTAATCTGATGAAATATTATTTCCTATATATCAAATTCTCATTTCAGGTCAACTTAAAGATTAAGTAAGTGCAACTCACAATAATTATACAAATATTAGGAAGTTTCCAAATAACCATTAATTTCATCTGGTCTGACTCTTCCTGTCAGCTTATGTCAATATATATTTTTATATTACTTTGGACCACTGATTTTTTATATCATTGTGAAAGTGATAATTGAGTCAGTGATAATTGAGTCAGTGATCGTGCCAAAACAATTTGAAAAGTGGATAGGGGTTCTGATTTTTTAAAATGACTGAAAGTGTAAATTACTGGAAATTGTAGCACAGTCCTTGTTACTTTGCATATCATAATATTTCATATTAAGCAGAATGTTTTCACCTATACCCCTTAAAGACAGTTTATGAGAACCATCTAAATACTATTCTAGAATGGTTATTTTAAAATAGTATATAGATACTCTATATACTATTTTAATCCATTTTTGTCATACAAAAATGAAGAAATACATAAAACTAGAATTCAAGAACTTACTTTTGAGATCTTCAGTAATTGTAAAATATTTTAAATATATATGAAATATAGAGTATATATGTAATACATGTATTTATTACACATATACATTGATATGGATATTATATACATATATGAATAACTTACTGTGTATATAACATATAATATTTATGTATGTATCACATATTATATTCCTATAAATAGTAATGTGAATATTAATAAATGAGAGTCTATGCTCTATAAATGGATTGAGCCAGAATGTAAATCTAAGTTCTCCCAACTTTCTCTATATGAGTTGTCTTATCTAAAAAAGAGAATGATTATATTATCTGCTTCATAGGGTTATTGTGATGAATAAATGAGATAATACATGTAAAGTGGTAAGAGCAATACCTAGTAGTTCCCAGATCAAAATTAGAGTTATTGACCATGTCCATAATTATGTTATTAATGATCATCATTTCCACCACCACCACCATCACCATCATCACTGTCATCAAATATAATATATGATTTTGGTTCTCTGTATTTACCTTTGACTGCCTCACAGTTCTACTGGATATATCACACCCTTATAAGAAAACAAACAAACAAACACAGGCAAATAATGACTTCATGTCATATGGAGACATCATGCATGCTTCATTGCACCAATGTAGATTTCATACTAATTAAAAGAGAAGACTGTTATGAGAGGGTTGAGTCATTACTTGGCAAATAATAGTATTAAAGAGCTGCTCCTTTTCCCCATTAGTTGATTAAAAATATCAAGCATAACTAATTTATGCCTAGTCTTTAGTCTATATACATTTGAGTATTATTAATGTTAAAATAATAGCATTTAATTTTGAAATTCAATGAAAATTGCTCACTTAAAGTAAGAGAATATTTACCACTAAGTATAAGAAATATTTCAATAACAGGAGGAAGATCCCTTGTAGAGAAAGATAAGTTTCCTCTCCCTGCCCTGCTTCTTAAGAGGGGGGATCATATAAATATCTGGACCCTTCTTATCATGAAAGATCCCATTTTAGTGAGGTTTTTCTTACTCTAAGGGAAATTACTTTAGAACTATCATTTCTATCAAACACTATAAAGAAGATGAACACAATCATTAGCAAGAAGTACCATAAAACCAGCTCTACAATCAGGGTTCATATTTATTTGTAGCTATTGAAGATAGTGGGTTTTATTTGAAGTTCACAATGTGCAATTTTCTGACTAGATGCTGAGCTCTTAATTTAATTGCTTTGAATTTTTGTCTGTCCCCATGATTGATAGATTGATAAAAGCAATAAATTGTGAAACAAGAGTCCTGGGATTCAATTGTGTTCATTGTGTTTAACTAGCTCTGTGCACTTGAGAAATTTCCTTGACTTCTCGGGTCCTGAAGCTCTTCACTAGCAAAGTGAATGAATGTATCTCAGAGGCTTATGAGGCTCTAACAGTTGGTGATTCAATATATTACAAGAAAATCACAACGTCCTAATATTAGCCACAAATATATGTATTTTTGTTATTCTGAATACTAACGTTATTTAGTAGAATAAATATAAGAAGTCAAAAAAACAAAACTACACAAGCAGTTAAGGCAATTTCAAAGCTATGTCTGTCTTCACTTTAAGTAGCTGAGCATAATCACTTGGAAAACGTGGGGGCACTTTTCTCTAGATCTATAAAAGTAAACAAATGGTAAGAGATCTGAGCTATTGTGAATCTGAATCCTATCTATACCCAGAAAAGCAATATGTAAGCAAAAGCGTGTGTACCATACACCTATCTCCCTTAAGAGTCTTCACATACTAGTTTAATTAAAGTAAACATTATTCTACTTTTACTCTATAAATGCTTAGTGTACTGTTGAATCTTAATAAATATTTAATAATATTAAGAACCAACAGAGTGACAAAGTCATTTTCCTTTTATAGATACAGGCTTTTTAACTGAAGTAAAGAAACCTTATCTATTAAAGCCAAATGTTTTATAACTGAAGTATTCAGAACTCATAATCTTTACAAGACCTTCATAGCAGTATCTACATTAGCATTTTAATGGGGCAGTACTTTTTTGGAACCAGTACCCTTGTTGAAATATGATGGTAGATTAACACAAAACAATCTATTGAGCTATGATGTGACACTTTTCAATAATATACATGAACTGCTCTAAAAATTTCCCAGAATAGACTTAATCCATTTCTGTTATTTAATTTTAATTTCTACTTAACTTTCCATTTGTCACTGCAGGAAAATTCCTTCAAAGCTCTTCTCTAACAGAACTAGTAAAGTTGACACATGTATAGTATATATGCTTATATGTAAGATCCCATATGTATGTAACTATTTTAATAAATCTGTACAGCCATTTTAACTAACATTTGAATTATGAGGAAGGAGCACTGAGGACTAAAATTAGATACGTTTTTGACAATGAGCTTCAAGCTTTCTACGGAAAACTAAAGTCATTGTTTTCTTTATTTTTATTTTATATTTATTACTTCAAATGTTATTCAAAACCTCCATCTTACTAAATTTCTTCATTAGCTATTTTAGTTAGTTGAAATTATATAAATATAATTTAAACCCTAGCTAGGGTTTCAGTTGCCTTTTGCGTATCATGTGTTCTCTGAAGTAGAAAAGCTTCCTTCATTAATCCAGACAGGGGAAGAGAAGGAAAGTCTGTGTGTATATGTATGTATATATGTTTGTGTATGTGTGTGTAAAATAAAGTGTGTCATTTTCCTCGAATCTCATACCCTTGAATTTTCCTCATAGACAGACATTGCTTCATTGCCTAACATGTAATTCTATGTCTTCAAAGGTTTTCAAATAACAGATTTTATAATACTGAAATTTCTAAGGACTAAAGGGATTAACTCTGTGAGAGAATGGATAAGGCTAATTATTAAATTCATTTCTTTCCAATAAAAATACAAATACTCCTGAGTAGAAAGCATATAGGCATTTCAGTTGATCTACTTTTGAAGGATGGTAATTTCAAAACCATACTGTCCAAATAGTAGGCTAAGACAATCAATTTTTCTCCTGCAATTGCCGGAGTTTATATTTGTTTAGAGTAAAATGCATTCAGAATTGGTTTAGGTTGTCTGTTGGACACTAGATGAGAATTTTTAACTGTGTTCAGATGAACTGAATGTAAATAAAAATGTAGGTTTAGTTTTTCTTATTATCTTTGATATCATTTACCTATCTCAGTAATATATCATGTGTAAGTTTATTTTTAGTTCAGTGTTTTTGAAAGCACAAAAGTGTTTCAATTCAGTGCACTGTGGAGAATTTTAGCATAGCATTAAGACCTATTGCAGTTCTATGCTCAGAATATCAAAGCAAAACTTCAATATTGCATCCTCCAAGATTATAACATACAATTACGTATAAAATGACTTGCTTTTGATTTTCGTTTTATAAGCACGTAATAACACTGACGTCTACTCCCCACTTCAAAGATGGGACACTTGCTCAGTTGAGAAGAGCCAGTGTTAGACAACCCATGTAATTGAACAACACGAAATGATGATTCCTGGGCTGTTTAGGGATAAATTATTGTTAGTTAAGTAGGTTATACTAATTTATATTTTACACATTGACACAGAAGACTATATATTTTATGTGGTATCATAATTATTTAGTTGTCTTGGGAACTGTACACAGATACATGATCAATGTGTACACACTTAATAACCTTAACAACTTACCTCAATTTAATAAATATTATGCCTAGCTACCTGCAAATAAATTTTACAAAGGAGGAATCAGTTCATACAAAATTACAGCTCTGGCTTTTCATAACAAATCCATAAAAGACTAGGGAAAAACTCATATGGAGTAGAAATAATACATTTATCTGAACAAAAATAACCAAAATAACTTCATATTTAGCTATGATTTAACATAACTTGAATTTTTGCCAATGGCAGTCAAATAAAAATTCTATGTCCAGCCAGTTCTGCTGTTTTCTATATAATGACAGGTAAATGCCAAAACAGGGAATCCCCCTTGCCACTGTAAACAGAGAAGATATTGATGATATTACACAAAATTTATCATTGTTTCCATGTTACTATCCAAAGCAGGATTAATTTGTAGCTCAGATTCAATCATGAAGTTATTACTGCAGCAATAAATAGTTATATTAAATATATCACTCTCATTTTAATGAAAACAGGATATAGAGTGAACAATATGTTAAGTTCAGACCAGAAAAACACATAACAAGATTGCACAGTCCTAGGAGAAGTTGAGAAGATATAATTTTATCTTCCTAAAACCAATTAACTTTTCCTCTAGTCATACAAGAAGACTATTTCTAGATATCTCTTGCTTCTAATTGTGGCCTTGTTTAGATCAAAGAAATATGACATTTAAACATGTTCTTTGTAATGTCTTGCATTTTTTGCATAATATACTGGTCTCAGTCTTCACAAATGAATTCAAAGAATTATGATATTGTAATGCCATACAATGGAAGAGGCCTGATAACTGTTTCATAACCTCAGTTATGTGGGTTTCAAGAGCTAGATGGACAAGTTAGTTACTTTGTGTGCCTTTATTTCTTCTCCTTTCCAGGAAGGGGATTGTATTCTAGTTATAGTTTTCCTATTGTATATTTGGGGTGTGTGTGTGTGTGTGGGTGTGGGTGGGTGAGTGCACATGCACTAACTTGTCTATAATAGCTGGTAGGTCCCCTTTCTGAAAAGCTAGACATGATGGAGAAAACAGTGGATAAACTAGAGATTCTGCACTTACTCTGTGTGGAAACTGGATGATGGAACTCCCTGTTGTCACTCTTGGGGCAAGAGTGAAGATTTTCTATGTATGAGAAGAATATGAAATGCCATGTTTGGTAACTAAACTGGAAAAGCTGCCCAGGAGAATCACCTGATCAGCATCACACTATGATGTTGGCAAGAAATTAATTTAAGGCACTGAACTTGTGGGGATTTTGTTAGAGCAATTACCATAAATTCTCCCTATTAACTCACCCACACAAAATACTGATGATAGTACTTTAAAAACGTGTTTAGAACCAAATAGCCCATGGTTGAAAAAGTATGGCTGAAAAAATTTGTCATTATTATACATTTTGAATATTTAGAGACTTAGAATTCTCTGTACATAGTAACATGGATCCTAATTGAAGGGTATGGTCAGCCAAGAGCATGATGATGTGGACACGAGTAGCCTGCATTTGACACAATAGGATTAGTGACAGAGGAAGTGAAATTCAAAACAAAGAGAATGTAAAGAGCAGGGTTTTTTAATGTGATAGGAGAAAATTAGAAAGAAATATTGAAACCCATAGTGTATCATGGGTAACCCAGCTAATTGTATTTTTAGTAGAGATGGGGTTTCACCATGTTGGCAGGCTGGTCTCGAACTCCTGACCTCAGGTGATCTGCCCACCTTGGCCTCCCAAAGTGCTGGGATTACAGGCGTGAGCCACGGCGCCCGGCCAATGGTAAGATTCTTTAATAGGCTCATCTCTCTTCCACAGAAGCCACGGAGAGGAAATTAGACTGATGATTTTCTGTCTCCCTAAATCCTGAGGGGAGCTTAAAATAGCACTTGTATAGAGAAGGGAAACTTTCTTCAACTTACTCAAACTAAGCAAATGGAACATCAGCTAAACAGGGCACTTCAGGGATATAAGCCCAAAACTAATATTATGCTGGCTTCTTGAAGATAAGATAAAGTGCATTTTTTGCCTTAGGAAAAGAAGCACATCATTTCAAATAACACGGATTATTGATTAATAGTTCAGGTACACATTAACTTTTTTTATTCCATGAAGAGAGTTTACATAAACTATCCTGATAAAAACTGAATTTTATATTTATTTTACCATTAATCTAAATGAAACTTGATAATTAGTTACTTAGATGTATATCATACATCTAAAATAAAATGATTTATTTTACTGCATCATGCATATTTCAAGCATAGATGTTATGTTAAGAATAAAACCGCTATTTTTTTTTTTTTTTCTTGAGACGGAATCTCGCTCTGTCACCAGGCTGGAGTGCAGTGGCACAATCTTGACTCACTGCAACCTCCGTCTCCCAAGTTAAAGCGATTCTCCTGCCCCCCCACCTCCCGAGTAGTAGCTGGAACTACAGGCACCCGGCCACCACGCCCAGCTAATTTTTGTGTTTTTAGTAGAGACGGGGTTTCACCATGTTGTCCAGGATGGTCTGGATCTCTTGACCTCGTGATCCCCCCCTCTCGGCCTCCCAAAGTGCTGGGATTACAGGCGTGAGCCAACGCGCCCAGTCCAAACCACTATTTTTAAAGTTGGTCCTCTTCATTTGGTTGATGTTTATACGTAGGTTGATGAAAGAAAAAGTGCACAAACTTTGAATCTAAATATTTTCCATGTTTAAACACTTCTTATTTTTTCCTTATATGTATTACAATAAGCCAATTAAATAAAATCTTGATGGCTTGATACTCTTCGCCTAAATCATTCTAGATTAAATTACAGAAACTAGAATTTTGGAACAAGATGTTATGCACCTCATCTACATGGAAAGCACATGTTTCTCTGATTCTCATTTAATAATCTCTAAATAGATTTTTAAAGATTTTTGAGTCTGTTGTATAAACAATATCCTAATACTAAATTTATCTCTTGAAGAGCTTTCAAAAATTTATTGAATCCTCCCAAATTTTATTGGGCTTATTAGGAATATTTTGGCTTCATTTCTTCTTTTACATTAATTACTCCTAGAGTTGCAACCTTACCTGATATTAGGAGACTAGAATCATAAATTATTAATTCAGCATTACCAAATGATGTTTGTCTTATTACTTGCCTTGTTTTCTTTACATTATAAGATTATGATTTGCAACTACATTTATAGGCCGTATTTGATCCCCAAATAAGAAAAATAAAACAATATTTTTATGGATTGACTAAGCTTCAGGTCTTTTGCTGGGGGAAGGAAGACGTAGATATAAATGAAACACACAAGTATTTTCCCCTAATGGCATTTGGAATCAATTAGAACAGATACATGTTGAGTGTGGATGGAACATGGGAGTAATCAACCATTTCCAGATAACAATTAGTTTAGGAGAACAGCCTTGAAGCCAAAACACACATCTTAGCCGTCTTCCCATGGTTTCCTATTCTTTAATCATTTCTTTTAAAAATAGTGCTCTCTTCTTTCTCATTTATTACACTCTAGAAATCTCCTTCCTTTCCCTACCCCTCATGATCACCTGGGACCTGGGTAAACTTTTTTTTTTTTTTTTTTTTGGTTTTTCTCAATATACTACTCTTCCCTTGGCCTTTTCAGAATGATTTTTTTTCAGAATATTTATTTATTTATTTATTTATTTGTTTATTTATTTATTTATTTTGAGACAGAGTCTCTCTCCGTAGCCCAGGCTGGGGTGCAATAGCATGATCTCGGCCCACTGCAACCTCTGCCTCCCAGGTTCAAGCGATTCTCCTGCCTCAGCCTCCCGAGTAGCTGGGACTACAGGTGCGCCCCACCATACCCAGCTAATGTTTGTATTTTTAATAGAGTTGGGGTTTCACCATGTTGGCCAGGATGGTCTTGATCTCTTGACCCTGTGATCCGCCCACCTCACCCTCCCAAAGTGCTGGGATTATAGGCGTGAGCCACTGCACCTGGCCCAGGATGATATATTTGCCTTTTAAAATCAAAAAGTTTTATATGTATCTACTTCCTAAATAAAAGTATATTGAAATAATTTTAATAAAGAAAGCAAAAACTTATTTTCAGAGGTAACCAACTTCAACTTTGTAACAGTTTTCTTTGGTTTAAATCTATGTATAATATCAAAAAAATTAGTTAAGGTAAGATTCCAGTTTACAAAAATTGACTCCGAGAATAAATGAGAACAGTAGACCATATTAAGTAAGAGACCTTGTCTCTTACTAAGCCTTCCTCTTCTTTATAGGTGATGAATTCTGTAGGGTTTTAGTGGCTATTTGGCTTCACTTACTTGGATGAAAGATATGGTCTTAGAATTGGGTCAAGTTCATTTCTATTTAGTCACAAAAACATAAATAATTGCCAATATCAGATTTAGGACTCAGATTGACAAAATGGAGGCTACGAATGTTGGTTACTTGAGTAATTTTAACTAGCAAATAATACATCGTAAGACACTTAAATTTTACCTTGAAAATGAACTGAATCATCCCTCAAGTCATTTTGCATAAATAAAGCTCATATTAATGTAGCTTTCCCAATTGCAGCAATAGCAAAAATTGACAAATGAGATCTAATTAAACCAAACAGCTTTGGCACAGCAAAAGAAACTCTCATCAGAGTGAACAGACAACGTACAGAATGGGAGGAAATTTTTGCAGTCTATCCATCTGAAAGATTTAATATCCAGATTCTACATGGAACTTAGAGAATTTGCAGGACAAAAACAAACAACCCCATTAAAGTGGGTAAAGGGCACGAACAGACACTTCTCTAAAGAAGGTATTTATGCAGCCAACAAACATATGAAAAAAGCACAACGTCACTGGTCATTAGGGAAATGCAAATCAAAACCACAGTGAGATACCATCTCATGCCAGTCATAATGGCAATTATTAAAAAGTCAAGAAACAACAGATACTGGTGAGCTTGTGGAGAAACAGGAATGCTTTTACACTGTCAGTCGGTATGTAAATTAGTTCAACCATTGTGGAAGAGAGTGTGGCATTTCCTCAAAGACCATGAACCAGAAATACCACTTGACCCAGCAGTCCCATTACTAGGTATATACCCAAAGGAACATAAATATTTCTATTGTAAAGATACATGCATGCACATGTTTATTGTATCACTATTCACAATTGTAAAAACATAGAATCAACCCAAATGCCCATCAATGATAGAGTGGATAAAGAAAATGTGGTACATATACACCATGGAATACTATGAAGCCATAAAAAGGAATGAGATCATGTCCTTTTCAGGGACATGGATGGAGCTGGAAGCCATTATCCTCAGCAAACTAACACAGGAACAGAATACCAAACACCACGTGTTCTCACTTGTAAGGAGAACAGAACAATAAGAACACATGGACACAGAGAGGAGAACCACACCCATTGAGGCCTGTTGGAGAACGGGTAGGGAGAGCATTAGGCTAAATAGCTAATGCAAGCAGGGCTTAATACGTAGGTGATGGGTTGACAGGTGCAGCAAACCACCATGCCACACATTCACCCATGTAACAAGCATACATATCTTGCACTTGTATTCTGGAACTTAAAATTAAATTAAATTTTAAAAATCACATTTACCCTAAAAATATATATAGATACCTATTTATGTACCCCAAATTAGCAATAAAACATTTTAAATTTTTTTGAAAAAAATTAGCTTTTCATAAAAATAGAAAAATAAAATGAACATACCAAGTTAATATCCTACACAGAAACTGATTCAAGATTATATTTTAATAATTATTTTATAAACACTAGGAAATAGATCCTGCCCGGTAACCTTAACTTATTAGCCTAATTATAAATTGTATCTACCAAATATGACTTATTAAAAAAATTATAAACACAAATTTCTTTCCTTTTTCAAGATGACAATACTGTTTTGTATTGTTCATTTTCACGTTTTTGTTTGTTATATTATTTTGTTATTTCACTAATGCATAGTATATTTTATTAGTCTCTCACTTTCTGTAAAGACAATTTTTGTCTAGTCGATTGTAAATTTCTTGGCGTGATGGAACCCCCCAAAATTCAATTTTCTTTCCCCACCGTGTGACTTGCTTAGGGCTATTATCGCAGTAGATGTTTATAGAATACAGATAGGTCATAGAGAAAAATACACTTGGTTATTGAGTAGTTCACTCAAATCCTAAATTTTTATCATTATTGAATATATTAAAACATTGATAATTTGCACCATTAATCATTCCAGGCACTACTTCCAGTAAAAGCATTCATTGCTTCCTAGAGTAGAACTCTTCAGCAGATGAGATGTGGTAAGCGAACTCCAACTGGATTGTTCTTGACAAAGACACAACATTCTGCCGTGGCAGATATGCAACTTGATTATTTCCCACACCAGGACCTTTCTGGTAAGCTAAAGTATGATATCTCATGCTCGTTATTGCTTGACAATTGCACAGAAGGTTAAGTGGCAAAAAGAAGATTAGTGTTTTTGGACATCGGCTGTATATCATCAGCAATATTTCTGACAAAAAGTCATTAGTTTGCCAAAAAGTGTAATGAAATCATGATTAATAAATGCATCTCAAAGGTCTACATTAAAGTCAAGGCATTTGGGTGATAAATGTAAACATGCCGACCCTTCTTTGCCAAAAGCTGTGTGTTTCACTTACATAGCTCCACTGATCTGTCCATTATTCTAATACATAATTTATCACATCAAGGGGGGTCATTCTTTATGTGTGTTATATAGACAGGGAGTTCTAAACAGGAAAATATTTAGGAGAGCTATCAGATTTTCAAAGTACTGAAATTCTTTTTTCATTATTTGCAAAATAATGCAATGAGATTTGAAAACATCAACAAAAACAGCACTTACGAACAAGCAAAACAAAACAAAAATCTCACATCTTATGAAATGAATTTACTTGAGATCATTTTGACACATTCCTTCCTCAGGTAGCATTTCCATTGCCCTCATTGTTGTTATTCTTCGTGAGAAGTCCACATGTTGTTAAACTCAAAGCAGTCAGAAGTGGGATGGTGTTCCAATCCCATCAAATGAAAATTGTGTGGCTATATTGCTTGAACTGTAAACAGCAGTATGCACCATTACATAAAAGCTCATGGAATTAAATTATAGATTTGGCATTCTTCTATTTAAAATGTGAGCCATTGAATAGTATAACGTATTTAATTTCAAATCATTCACTCCTGGATGCAGTCATCTGTATGACTCAATTCTACTGCTATATGTTGATGTAATCTATAACTCAGTATATATATTAACAGTTCCCATGAATATCTCATAAGGAAAAATGCATACTTTCATTGAAGATAAAAACTGTAGTGATGAATGGGATATTCCTCTGAGTGTTTGATATGTAATTGATTTTTGGAAAGCAAAGAATTTGAATATAACCTTCAGATAAACAGAGAAGGCAGTACTACAGAAATGCCTTTACATTTTTAGAGTTATAGACAGAACAGATGACTGAGAATACTGATTAATTGATAGTACCAAATTTTGTGCCGCCACAGTGCACAATCGCTTAACTACATTTTATCCTTCTCATCAGTAGAATAATAATAATTTAAAAATATTTAAAGCTTTCTCAAAAATTTGTGAAAAATGCACTTAGGGCATTCCAATTCCAATTACAACTTTAAAAGTATATTTCCTGTCATGAATCAGTTAATCTCTTTCCATTTTATCTGCAGAAATAATGGGCCCCTTTAAAGAATCAACTGTTTGACACTGTTTTCTCAAAGATATTGTAAAAATTAAGTAATTGGAAATTGCATGTATTCATTTGAGAATAATGTATAATTTAGGTAAGTAAGTACAGCTCTCAAAAATTATACCATGAGATATTACCTTGCAGGTTTACACTCATAAGATTTTGTTTTATATCTTTGAGTAGCACTGTAATCAAAAGATTACAATTGAGCAACACTCACAACATCAGTTTAAACACTTTTTTAATCCAAAAAGTGGTTCTATATTACATTCCCAAAACTGCTTCATTGACTTAAAGGCTGCACTTAGTAAATGTAGTCACTATTTTGGCTTCAGGGAGACATAAGTTAATCTGGAAGCTTCTAAAACTGATTTATAAATTATATCTTAATAACTAAAATTGTTTTTTACTTTGGTTAAGTGTTTTTCATTGCAACTGTATGACTAAATTCCAATGGATCCTACAACTCATAATTTACTAGGGATTATCAATGCAGAAAAAGAAAATTCTGAATATTTCAAGTGTTTTAATTTAGTATACATAAAAAATACCTTTCTTTATTTGCATCTATGGATAGTATCCATCTAGCTTTTCAATTCAAATAATTGGTATCTCTCCTGCTCTTTTGGCCCAAACCACTTGTGCTCTCTTTCTGGCCTGTAGTGTTAAAACACCTGAGTTTCTGAGAAAAGCTCTTTGATCCTTCACATAAGTATTTTTTGACTGAGCCTCTAGATGATTATATAAATTCTTTCATGGTGAGACAGAAATTGACTCATTTTACCTGCAGCTTTGTCCATAATATTCATTGAATTTTAAGTAGCAAAAAGTCAATTTGATATCACCAGAATGTACATCTTTAAAAATATTCTAATTTTTAAAAATAGTCACCTATTTTTAATCAACAAATATTTTCCACTAGAATCAATCACATTATTATTTGAGAAAGTATATCTGAGTAGATCAAAGGTTAACCTATATTCAAGATATTCATGTCATTAATGACAGCATGGTACAGTAGAAAGAGTGCCTTGAGATGTCACATTCTTAGGTTAAAGTTTTGTCTTGCTCCTTAACTAGGTAGCCTTGAGTAATGACCTCTCTCTAAACTCTAGTAACCTACAAAGTAAGAGGTTTTTTTTTTTACCATCTTATCTCTAAAATACTTTTTAGAAAATACTTTTTAGAATTTGCCTTTTATTTACTACAATAGAATTTTAGTATGTTAACTAAAATACGATTTTGAAAACAAATATAACAAACTAAAGACTAGAAATAGTTTTCTCTTTATACTTACTAAGCTAACAATAAACCGGAAAATAATGAGGACAGTTGATCAAATAAATTATTGATTTTTTTTCTCCAATTAACGTTAGGTAGATTCTGTTCATCCACTCTCCTAAATGAATATGAGTATGAATTCCCAGAGGTATTTTTAATAAGATTTAAGGGAAAGGTTTCTATATCATTACACTAACAGGATTTACATTAGTTGACAGCTACAACACATAAGTTAAATAAAACTTTATTGATATGTTAAAATATGCGATTTATGCAAAGTACAACGAACAACGGATTTTTTAGAAAGAAAAAAATAATAAATATTTGCTCTGAACCAAATATTTGTATTTACTAGAAAAATATTCTTGTCTGATTTTTATTTAATTTTTGAATGTATGCTTTGTAACAGCAGTAAGCAAATGAATTAAATGTCAAAATTCAGTCATTGTAAAATAGGTGCTAATATATATATAATATGTATATATATCTAAAATAGAGTGTCTGCATGGATAGTTAAGAGCTTAAGAAGAAAACTAAAGAGAATATGAGAAGACCTGAGTACTAATCCTGAGTCTGTTATTAATAAACAGTTTTTTTATGTAAATTATATGTTCCTTTTCTCCACTTTTGGTTGCCTTATTATTAAAAATAATGTTTCCAAAGTCCCCTGCAAACTATAAAGTACATAATAGTTGAAAACTGAGGAGAATCCAATTGCCAAGTAAGAGTAATTTACATAGAAAATAGCTTAACACAGAAAGCATTTTGTTCACTAAATGTCCATGTATTAGTTGCTGTCTCCTTTTGCTTTTCAGCAATTTAGTCAAACATTATTCATGCTTTTATGTTAAATGTTATTATCAGCACATTTTACAAAGCAACACAAAACAACCCTAGCAACACTCTTCAGTGAAATGCTCGTGAAAGCAAATCAGTAGTCTTCATTTCTCATAGACCCATAAAATAATGTACTTCACACATTCAATGAAACACTTTTCTATTGAGCTCAATAAGCTATCAGATTGCTAAGAGTTTTCTTGAGTTAAAATCAAGAAAAGCACATGGCTACAGTTCAAGAAAATGCATTTATAACAAAAGAGGAAAAGTCTTTTGACACTGGCAATTGTTATACTATAAAACCAAAGGCCAGCCTTCTGCACATCAGCTGAGAATGAGATGGTAAAAGTGGCAAGCTTTACCATTAAGTAGCAGACTCATCAATTGACAAAAGAAATAGAGGCTATGTGGTTGATAGCTCTTGTATTGCAGCTGATACACTTTGGATGAGTGATGCAGAAAGAGTCAACTGTCCTCCCTAGAATATGAGGAGCCAAATATAGGTAGAGATGAGATGGTGAGTAATTTGACATATGTGAATTATCATTTACATATGACATATCTTTTTCCTTACAAAGCCATGACGTGGATAACTGTTAGTCTGTAAATCTTCTATTCAAATAAAACCAGTTCCATAATCTGTAACAGTTTTCGAAACATTTCAAGTTATACATCACCTAACTTGAAATTTAGAAAGAAAATAAAATGACTACCATTCTTAAATGAACATAGACATGTAGGTATTTATAATCTTTTCGAGTAAATTCATATATAAAATGTGTACCATATATGTATATACACATATATAATAAATTATACATATACATGCAATTGAAGGTTTTTTATTACCTCATGAGTATAAGGTCTTTGTTTTTTGCTCAAAAATTAGTGATGGTTTCTTCAGGGGACCAAAGAACAGGAAAGAGTATAATGCTGATTTTATCCATATTAAAATCTTGTTTATCAATTATCTTAAAGCTAAATTAGAAAAAGGGATGTAAATGTCAAAAGTATAACAGCGAATTGGTTATATTATAAAAGAAACACCCACTCTTTAACAGTAATACCACTGAAATGTTCATGAAACAGATAAAGTGGTGTTCCTTTATAATTTTCTGCAATGTGCCCTACTTGTCAATCATTGACAAAAAAAAAAGGGCGTATGAATGTGCCAATCACTACAGCACTGACATTTTCAGAGCTACATTAAAAAATTTCCTCACATAATCACAGACACTAAGTTTGTGAATAACTATATTGGTTATATCATTATCTGCTCATTACTACCATATATTATATTTTATATATGGACTCTTTCATACTTGCAAAACAAACCAAAAGTTTTCAAAAGTATGACCACAATAGGGGTTATTGCAATATTTATATTGAAGGTATAGGGAGAAATGCCTAACATAGGTGAAATTCACCTTGTTTTAGTATGGTATTGGTCTTCTTTGACAATGTTTTGAGTATTGAGGCTTGTTGTTTTCGAATTAGGTAAATTGAAGCAACAATGACATTTTATGATAAAGAAAGCAAGAAGCAATGTAAGAAAAATAATTTATTTACATGTGCATCATAATTGGTAAAGCACTTTATATATACATTATTTATTTATTACCAAAATTATGTGAGATAGTAAGATAACTTTTGATCTTCTCCATTTCACAGATTAGGAACCTCATGCTTTGCAAGGTTGTGATTCTAAGATTTAAAATCTGTTAATTAGTAGATCCAACCATAAGCATTTTTTCCTATTGTTCTCTCCACTTCTTCACTATTCTCCAAATCCCATCGACAATTCAAATCAGCTAAAGTGCTCTGTGTTTATAATGGTGCAGAAACTCTCTCCCAGACTAATTAAATAAGAAACTCTTGGGGTGAGACCTAGTGATGATTTATTTAAAGCTCCACAGGTGATTCATACATTAAGGACAGGGTTAAGAACCGGGCCTTTATACCAACTATTCTGACACCCAATTTAGTGCTCTTTCTACCTTCCCACAATGCTTTTGATTAACAACACCTAAAAATAAAATAAGCCTACCAGGTCCATAAATGCAGCCTTTGACATAAGATAGCACAATGGCAAACATTATCAGTTTTAAAGGCAACAGTCTGGATTTCAGTATCTGTTTGAGGACTTACTAACTGTGTGAACTTAGATGAGTATTCAACTGCTATTATTGAATGAGTTCATGCATGTTTAGATCAGTGCTTGGCAAACAAATAAATATTAACAAAACAACACAATCACGCTGTTATGGACTAAATGTTCTTGTGCCTCTAAAATTCATATGTTGAAGACATTACCCTCAATAAAATGTTACAGTATTTGGAGGTGGAGCCTTTGATATGTAATTTGTTTTGGATGAACTCATGATAGTGAGGCTTCTGTGATGGTGTCAGTGTCCTTGTAAGAAGACGAGAGACCAGATCGCTCTCTTTTCTCCATGTGATGATACACTGAGAAGGCAGTCATCTTTAAAATAGGAAAGGGGCCCTCACTAGAATCTCATCATTTTGGCACCTGATCTCAGTCTTCCAGGCTCCAGAACTGTGAGAAAGACATTTCTGTTAGGTTAACCATTCGGGCTATGGTATTCTCTTATGGCAACCTGAGCTGGTTAATATGCATACTTATCATTCAATAAATATAGCTTTGAACATACTTGAAAATAATTTAAAGTCCTAGTTATAAACCAGAAGAATATCTGGACAGTCTAAAATTCTTAAGTTTACAACAGATCACAATAGGAGATAAGGAGGATTTTAAAATGTCCCTAAAAAGAAAGTAAATCCTTCCAATTTTACACTTAAGGAATCAATTTCTTTTCTGCCATCGCATTTATCTGTAAATTACAAGCCTCTGCTCATGTACCTACTGCTCTCTGAAGGCTGCTTTGCTCTTCATGTTTATCTCAGACTCTGTGTAATTATGGAACTGTGAGTGGTGTTTGCTTATGTGAAAAGCAGAGTTTTAAATTCTTTGTTAGAAGAACTGCATGATTAACGAATAATAACTGAGTAATAGGGCCACAACTGAGAATCATATGTTTAGAGATATTTATTTGAAACATTATATTTTAAAGATGACTTTTGAATGATCAATACATCATTCACAGGAAATAATCAAAGGATTATTCATAAGAAAGTAAAACTGCATTTTTACTTATTTATTTATCAATTTTTTTTTAAGTTCCAGGGTACATGTGTAGGATGAGCATGTTTGTTACATAGGTAAATGTGTGCCACGGTGGTTTGCTGCATAGATCAACCCGTCACCCAGGTATTAAGCCCAACACACATTAGCTGTTTTTCCTGATGCTCTCCCTCCTCCTCCTCCCTGACAGGCCCCAGCGTGTGTTGTTCCCAACAATGTGTCCAGACTACGTACACGGAAAACACATTTACTAATGTTTTAAACGAATGAAGGTTATTTCAATGTTATACAACGTAGTGGTTAATTTACAATTAAAATTCAACATCTTTGCTCTAAAACCTATGGACAATTTTCTACTAATTAGAATTTCCTCTCTAGCCTCTCTGTCTCTTCTCAGAAACTCCTTTCCCTTACTCTATTCTCCAACTTCAAAGTTATCTGTAAGAACATCACTTTTCATTTTAGAACTTTATTTTTAACCTCAACTTTAAACTTTATTTTTTTATTTTTTCACACAGAAAAATCTAACATCTACACTCCTTCTAACATCCACATATGTGCTCAAGGCTCACTTTTTCACCTCTCAAGTTTCACTAAAAAAATCTACTAAACACATAGCCAGCTATTTTTTAGAATCAAAGAAAAATAATAAGACAGGTGAAATTATAGTTTTATTTTGACTTATAAGTATGCATCCCAATCAGGGACCATGATCTTCTATTTGTTATTGTTTTTATTTGTTTGATTGGATATGGCATTATCTACGCAGAGATAACAAAGTTGAAATTCAATGTTTATAGGGTAGTCAATGAATGCTTCTCTGGAAAAATTATTTATAAAATGTCTGGTGCATGATCAATATGGAACAAATGCTAATAATAAAATTATTTATTGTGTGTGCTTGTTGAAGTTGCTAATCTGAGATCAGATTGGGCATTTTATTTCTGTTCAGCCATGTGTCCATGCTGTGTAAGTTTCCCTGACTAGCTTTGTAGAGTCCCCTCAAGCTTAGTCAGGAAGCAGCAATACTGCATGTTTAGCTTTTGGCCAGTCATGGTCACAGCTGGAAAGATGAGAACTCTAAAGGCTGCTGCTTTCAAGCTTTGTTGAGTTGCTTGTAAAATAAGTAATGTGTTCTTGGAAGCTAATGTAGCCAGTAACTATCACTCACCCAATAAGGTGCTATACTATTTGCCAGTATCTCCCTTTCTAAATTCAGAGTCATCATGTGCTTTCTTTGGAGAAATTACTGACAGGTATCTTTGTCTTCATTCCATCATGTCTCATCTTCAGAAAACACTGAAAAATTTTCTAATATTTAACTATGTAAATGGTACCCCTTCAATTTAACAAGATGAATGCCTCTGATACTTTTATGTATTTTTGGTTATTTTAGCAGGAATCTGAAAGATGAACAAATTAGAAGTCTGCATTCCGTAGAAATTTTGCATTTCATAGAAAGTTTGCAAAGGTTTACTAAACACAAATTTTTCTTATAGTCAATGGATTGACAAATGTATATAAAAATATTGAAAATTGGAAGACTGCAAGGAAGTCACAGGCCATTAAAGAGATACTTTAAATAACCAAGAATAGTCATACATAGCACCAGCTAAATTAAATGGGTTTAATATGCTAGTTTCTGATGAATATCTTAAATTTAACACAAGGCATTCTTTTGGGGGTCATAAGGCATGGTTCTTAGTACTTTAAAGAAGTATAGTGATTTAACATAGATTTATATTTATTTATAATCTAGTACATAAAATAAAAAAGATTTAAATCATTATGAGGCAAAAGTTATATGGTGTTTTAAATTCTATGGCTGTCATAGAAAATACGTTTTGCCTAGTTTGAGTGATTAGGTAAAGCTCCTAGAGACGGTAATATTTATGACAAAACTAAATTAGAGGTAAGACGTAAGCAGGAGGAGATAAGTGAAATTTCGATGAGGAAAACTGCAAAAGCAAAGACAGAGTCAAGTATGGGCCAAGAATGATTGAACAAAAAGTCTGTGAAACATGCTAAAATTTAGGTTATACAAAAAATATGTGAAGAGCTTATAGAAAGATATGTTGGATGACACAAATAGAACTGGAAAAGCTATTAGCTGTCTCTTTGACAACCTGTGATAAGTTCAACATTAGCAACAAATAACATATACTGAATTGCTACTATAAAATTTGATTCAGAAGTGGGGTTCCAAAAGATTAGCTGGATTCAGTGTAAAAGCCTGCAGACAAAACAGGGTATGCACAGAGAGAAAAGAGAACAAAAATAAAACCATGAATCCTCTCAGTTAAAAGGAAAATTTGAAAATATTTGGAGAAATATAATATTAAGAAAAGAATAAGTATAGAACCAAGCAGTCGGAACAGGACCTCATTACAAATGAAACTATTTGTGTGGAATATTTTGAAAAATACTTCAAAGTAAGTATAATGGCAGGATTTAGAAAGTAAGTGCAAAACCTCTATTTTAAAAGAATTCGGTACATATAGAACAGGAATTCTTATGATTGAAGTAAAACATGTGATTTCTTAAAAAGAAGAACTCATTTAAAAACATAATTTAAAAATAAATAAATGGGATTAATTTTATATTAGATGTGGCAAATGGGAGGCTAAAGGAATTAAAGCTTTCAGAATTTTAGAAAAGCAAAAGTCTTCAAATTTAAAACTGTAATTGGTGAACAGGAGAAATGAAAATCAATCCTTGCCTATAGAAATTCTAAGGAGACTCCAGTAAACCAAAAATATATAAAATATAGAATGCCTACAAATAAATGATAACTTCACCTACTCTCCAAAGCAACTTGACCAGAAGATCATTACAGTAATAATTTCAAAGTGCAGAAAAATATCTAATGATTAGTACAGAATTTTATTCCTAGCTAATTTACATTTCATAAAGAGAAGCAAAATAAAGATACTTGAAGATATACAAAAACTAAAAGCTTAGTATATATAACCTGTCAATAAAAGAAATAAAAATAAATGTACTTCAGCCAGCAGAAAAAGTAAACTCTGAGGAAAAGCACATGAAACAATTTAAAAAGTAAATATGAAAATTAATAAATATGTAGGTAAATTGAACACATTTTTAAATTGTTTTATTACATTTAAAGTTTTGGAATACATGTGCAGAACATACAGGTTTGTTACATAGGTATACACGTGCCATGGTGGTTTGCTGCTCCCATCAACCCGTCATCTATATTAGGTATTTCCCCTAATGCTCTCCCTCCCCAAGCCTGCCACCCCCCGATAGGCCCCGGTGTGTGATATTCCCCTCCTTGTGTCCGTGTGTTCTCATGGTTGAACTTCCACTTATGAATGAGAACATGCGGTGTTTAGTTTTCTGTTCTTCTGTTAGTTTGATGAGAATGATGGTTTCCAACTTCATTAATGTCCCTGCAAAGGACATAAACTCGTCCTTTTTTTTGGCTGCAAAGTATTCCGTGGTGTATATGTGCCACATTTTCTTTATTCAGTCTATCATTGATGGATGTTTCGGTTGGTTCCAAGTCTTTGCTAAGAAACAGAAAAACAATGAAACTAAACTAAACATATACTTTTAATTATAGCATTTCTATTCACATAAATGAAATAATAATGCTGACAGTGCATATAGGAGGAAATATAGGTTTTGGTGAGGAAAAAGATGTTTAGATGATTAAGAAACTTTTAAAATTTGACAAATGAAAGATACAGCATGTGGTTCAGTACTAACAATAAGAATTGTAAAATAGCAATCCCAATACATTTGAGAATCATTATAACAATCTACAATGTTCAACAACAAAAAAGCAATAATAGTATTAATAAATCTAATATTTAAAGATCTACTTAATTTGCAGAATCAATTCTTATGTCAAAACACATTCATTTTTCAATCCTTTTAAAATTTTTTCAATAGATTTTAGTTTTAGTATGTTTCTGTGTTTATTATGTCTATTCAAACATCTCTCATAGTGTCAAAGTACAATCTTTGTCAAAAGAAGCTTATTACCAAAAGAAATATGATGAGGAAATATGACTTTTCTATATGTCAAGGAAATGTGATGGTAAAAACAAACACAATTTGTTATTTTAAGCATTTCATTTCAAATGGAAGTCTTTCTGCTGGAGAAATTATTTGTTTTACTCTTAGGCAGTTGTGCACCCTGCGGAGAATGAATGCATAGAGAATGTAACCTTTCTCGGGTCTTCATTTTAATCACACTCTTGCCTAATCTCCATTTTATTCCTCGGAGACATTAGTCATCCTTAAAGAATGCCTTCTTGTAATAAAAATGCACTGCATTGGGTTTAATGTGTTGACTTTTGCAGATATTTTTGTTGGGAATATTGTATTCAAGAATAATGTAAACAGAGTACTTTATAATCGTGTTTATATTATGAATGATGCCAATGAAGGTAGATCACGCAACTGCCATCTGCAGGTTTTGCAGACATCTCACACATCTGCTATTGCTTCATGAAAGCCATGACATGTACACATAACTTCCAAGGCTTTTGATTATTCACACAAGATATGATCGATTAGCTGCTAAGAAAGTGGGTTTAAAAAACTTTTCCTGAGGGAAGCAGAGCAAGAAAAGAGCATTTTCTCAACTATCAATATATCTAGGGGCCACAATATTTAAGGAAACGCAGGCTAGAGTACAAGAAAAGAACTACTGTTACTTCTGACATTGATTTTTTTCAAGTAGACATAAATATTTGACCTTCACCCTCATTGACAATATTTCTATTTCTGTTCAGGTTAAATTTTTATCTTTCCCAAGATAAATCAGTTGGTGGGAGCATCTGACAAAGCATTTGCATCATCCTACTTAATCTCTCTAAAGAAGGCATCACAGTGCTTAAGTCAAATGCTTAGCCCGTTTACAGAGAGGATTCAGAAGAAAAGTAGTTTATGATTCTGTGTGTGAGAGAGAGAGAGACAGAGAGAGAGGGAGAGAGAGAGAGAGAAAGAGAAAGAGAGAGAGAGACAGAGAGAGAATTGGAAGAAAAGATGCGAGAGGTAAGAGAGAGAATATGCATGTGAATTTAATAGCACAAACAACACGCTGTAACATTCATTAGAAGATTATACTAGAGTTCACTTCGGGTTCTGTTTGAAAAATTTCTCTAAAAGAAGATATTTGTTTCCTAAGTCTGTGAACTCAAGCTCCCAATCACTGAACTCTGAGAGTTTTGTTACAGGAACATTTCTCTGGGACTCAGGAAATCTCACAGAGCTCCTTAATCACAATGTGTTTTTTACTTATGTGTTTGTTTCCTGTTGCAGTTGTAACAAATTACCGCAAACATAGTTCTTAAAACAGCATAAATTTATTCTGTTTCTGTTCTGGAGGCCAGAAGTGTGAAATCTGTTCCACTGTGTCAAAGCCGAGGTGTCAGCAGGGCTGGTTTCTTCAGGAGACTCTAGGGCAGACTCCATCTCCTTGGCTTTCCAGCTGGTAGTGGCTGCCTGTATCCTTTGGCTAAGGACACTTTCTCTATCTTCAAAGCACAAAACTCCAATCTCTGCTTCCATCATCATATTGCCTCTTCCTCTCCAGCCCTTCTCTGATCGCCTGCTTCTTTACTTTAAGTACTCCTGTGATTGCATCATATGATTGCATCATACCCACCTGGTAACCCAAAATTATCACCCAAACTCAAGATCATCAACTTAATCTCATATGCAAAATTTCTTTTGCCATATAAGGTAACATATTAAGATGTGGATATTTGGGGGAGCCATGATTAGCTATACTTTAGTATAGCCAAAATCACTGGTTTAGAAAGTACGTTTTTTATTTTCATAGGTAGCAGATTCAATATAAACCAAGTGTTTATTCTGCACTTAGGATGCAATAAAAAAGGCACGGACACCTGGACATGTATGTTTTGTACTTATGTAGTACTGTGTAACTTACATAAATATATGCATTAGAAGGAAAGGAATACAAATCAACTAGCTCAGCTCAGCATTAGAAATCTTGACAAAGAAGAGCAAATTAAGCCTAAAAGAAGAAGAAATATTAAAAATTAGAATGAAACTCTACAAAACTGAGAAAAAATAGAGAAAGTAAATACAAGCAAAAGATACTTTTTAAAACATCGATAAAATTTATAAACCTGTAGCCAGGCTAATAAAGACAAAAGTTGAAGAGACACAAATTACAAATACCAAAAATATAAAAAGACTTCTCTATTCTTACTTGTACTTTGAAAGGCTAACAAGTGAATAGTATAGGTAACACTAAGCACAAAAACTTAAAAATACAGATATGATGGACAAATACTTTGAATGACACACCTACCAAAATTCACATAAGGAGAAATAGATACTATCGGTAGCTCTTTATCTACAGAAAATTATCAATAATCGAATATCTTCCAAAAAGAGAGCATGAATCTCAAATTTCACTGATGAATTCTTTAAAACATTTAACATGAAAACATATTTATTTTTTGTAATCTTCTCAAAAAATAAAAGCAAAGGGATCAATCCTTATTCATTCTATGGGCCAACATTACCCAGATAAAGTTATTAGAAGAAAGAAAACTATGAATTGGTATCTCACAGAAAATACAGGCAAAAATTCTCAACACATCCAACAAAGTGTGAAATGAATTATATAACAAGACCAAGTGGGATTTATTCCAGATATTCAAGCCTGTTTTAGTATTTACACTATATCAATGTAATCTACCATGTCAACACATTTAAGAAGAAAAATCATATTATTATATCCATTGAAGAAAGCATGTGGCAAAATACAACATCCACTAACGATCTCATGACAAACTTTCACAAATATTCCAATTGAGAAAAACATTTCTAGCAGTACTCCTTAAAACTGCCTAGGTCATCAAAACCAGGGAACCTTTGAAAAACTGTCACAGAAGAGAAGACAAAGGAGACATGATGACTAAATGGAATGTGGAATCCTGGATGGGATTCTGGGACAGAAAAAGAACATTACGTAAAATTAAGGAAATCTGAATAAAGTAGGCATTATAGTTCATCTTTATATATCAGTATTAGTTCATTAATTGTGACAAGTATGCCATCCTAATATGAAGTACTAAGAGTAGGAAAAACTGAATGTGAGGAATATGCAAATTCTCTGTACTACGTATCACAACTTTTCTGTAAATCATAAGCTAAAGTTATATTAAAACTTTAAAAAGTTTATTTAAAAACAACCATCAAAAATTTGAATGTGTTCATATAATTCTCTCAATTTTTTTTCAAAAGAATACAATTTCTGCCACAAATATAACTGATGTTATTTTGGGGGATGTGGAGGATACTCATTAATTTAGATTATAAGGGGGAGAGTTTAAAAAGTATTAAATAGTAGTATTACAACTTACAAATATAATTTTGGTCCGTTGCTATGATTGTTGAAAAATCAGCTTACAATTTAGCCTTTAAAATATTTGTCCTTATGAAAAAGAACTGGAAGATTTGTCCTCTGCTATAACATTTTTTAACCTGAAAATTTCCTTGCTTTTTACATTAATATTTTAAATTATTTTAACCCTAAACAGATTCAATGAGTGTATTACTATTAAAGTAACATACCTTATTTCAAATAATTCTTTTTAGCACATAAAAGTGTGTGAGTGTGTATTTTGGCAGAACATATATTTTTGCCAGCAGATTCTATGAATTACTCATAGTTTTGAAATGTAGCAACTCATCGAATAAGGAAGAAGTCATATAAAAATACTACTTCTTCTCTGAGGATGGAGCCAAGTAGCTATCTTCCACATGCTCCATGAAAAAGTAAATAGTTTAGCTATGGAGAAATTATTACTTCATTTCATTTATTCTCCTCTCTTCAATCCAAAAGGCACTAAGTGAATTCTTTCTTACATACTCAAAGGCAGTGTGTGTATGTGTGTGTGTGTGTGTGTGTGTGTGTGTGCATGCATGCATATATGTATTTATTTCAGACATTGGAGTGACTTTGACTTTGTTTCCATTTGATACCATATAAATAAAATATATTTAAAAATACTAAGCAGTACTATTTTATTGAGAAGGACACATAAGCTGCTTACGTGAACGTTGTAGATATTGAAGACAGGAAGCTAGCATTGTGGTTTTTCTCATTTTCCAACATAACTTTTCAAGAAGTTAGGAAATGAGGATTGATATCTTTAAAATCAAAGTTGAATCATCTCATGACTTAATCCTCTCAGCATAATCCAGCAACAATTGTTGTCCCTGCCTATTTTAAAATATTCTCAGTGATTATAAAATGCATTACCTTACAAAGAAGCAAATGTATCTTTAGACATTTCTGCAAGTTAGAAAATTTCTCGTAAATCCTGAACTGTGTTATCTTTCTCTTAGTCTCTCATTCCTTTGTCTATGCTTCTGGGCTGCATTTTAAAAAAGAAAAAGAAGAAAATTCTAACCTTTTGTGTCTTGGTGTTCACTGCAATTCATCATCTTGATAACTGTCCGCAGAACGCTTTCCGAAGTGTCCGTGTCTCTAAGGAGGTTAAGGACAGAAAATAGATGTATGAAATATGCTATAAATTCTGAAAATTATGAGAGTGTTTTTCAAAGAGGAGATTTTGAAGATGACTAATATTATTCTTGGTTTAAGTTCATTGTAGTAATGTCACTCTTCAAGAAATAATACTGAGGTAACAAATTATCTACAGTTTTAAAGTCCTATGGGCACATTTAACAATGCCCATTTAGTTATTTAAAAATAACTAAAATGTAGGCTATTTCTTGCACATAAGTGTGAGTTTATTGTCAAATAAATAGCCTATATTTTAGTTATCTTTATAAAATATTGGAAGATAAAACAAATATGACATATTTTTAAATGATAAATGTATAACATATTTGTTAAATAATACATTTGCTAAATTTTAGCTAACATATCATAATCAGTATATTTGTTTTTCAGAAAACATATGAAAATACTAACTTTGAAGCACTTTAGCTTTTTTTTTTTTCTTTTTTAAAATGTGTCTTAACAGGGTGTGGTGGTGCGTGCCAGTAATCCCAGCTACTCGGGAGGCTGAGGCAGGATAATTGCCTGAACCCGGGAGACAGAGGTTGCAGTGTGCTGAGATTATGCCACTGCACTCCAGCCTGGGTGAAAGAACAAGACTCCATCTCAGGAAAAAAAAGAAAAAAAGAAAGGGTCTTGTTTATTTGGCCTTTTTCTCTTCCATATATGTATATATATATATATATGTCATATATAGATTGAATATATTTTTAGAGTTTTGCAAATTTAACAACTTCATTAGTTTCTCCACGTTTTACTTTTCTTAATTTTATTTATCTGCAATTTAGGGTAATAACATCCACAGTAATTTGTCACATAGCAGTTATTTTTCTCAAACTTGAAAACTTTATTAGAGGCAAACTGCATACTTAAAACAGAAATTTAAAGTTGAACAAAGAAAGAAAGAAAAAAATTTTGGTGTGACCTGTTCTACAAAACATTAGGGATTAATTTTTACTTTCACATCATAAACTTTGTATCTGGGCAGAGGAATTCATTGTGTTGCAGGTTAAGCAACATTAAATTTTAAAACACCACAATGATTTCATCCTATGAGCATTTGTAAAACTTTTATATTTTAGCCCAGTTGCATATTTAATGGCTTATACTCTACTAGGCAGCAGCAGCATTATGAAACTTCTGAATAATTGAAGTCTATGAGAATGACATATAGGAATGTTATTAGGATTTTTCATTTTTTATTACAGTCAATTAGACATTGATATGCTAATAACTTTTCAGGTTGTGCATTTATCTGCTTAAAAGAGCAGGCAGGGAAAAAATTATCTGTGTTCTAAGCCATAGACTATAGAAATATTCACAACCAAAATTTCAAAGATCCTGTTTACTCAGCAGATTAAGGGAACTCTGGTGACAAGAGTGGCAAATGTTTTAGCTGTTATTCACTAAACCTCTTAAATAACATTAATGAATGCAACATCTAAATTACTGGTCCTAGTAAATCTGTACTTTTCTAGAAATTTATGCCTTCTCAGGTAAAACACAAGCATATCACTTCAAGGCAAAATTTGGGGCTCTCAGGGTTTTATTCTGTTTGCAATTGTAGTTTGCAAAAACTGTGTATCAGTATTGGGTAATTGCTGATGAATTAGCTAACTATTTACATCTTTAAAGTTTGTAGAAATAATTGGCATTTATACATCAGTGCTTATCCATCAGGTCATATTATGATCTGGCTGTCTTGAAATAGAGTCCTTTCTGGCCATCTTGAAATCGGTTCCTAGTGATTTAAAAGTCTGAGACCCACATTGTGTTTTCTTGATTTCTTTCCCTGTTCTTGACTCAACCCTCACTGGATTAGGCTGGCCTATCCACTCATTGTATCTCCTCTCTGTCAGCCACAAAGAAAGTCACACATTTTAGCTGATTTTTAAAGCCATTCCTCAGAGTTTCTCCTACTCTCCCTACTCTCCCATTTGGTCAACGACAGGGATGGGAGGCAGGGAAATTCTGGGCTGAAGAGGGCAGGTCCCTGGTGAGGGCCCCACCCTCAAGCTGAAAAGCCTGAAACAGCAGCCCAAAGTGAGAAGTTAACATCCCAGTTTTCTCACTCAAATGTTGCCTTTTCCAGAACCACCCATGGCCCACTCCATGCCCTCATCTTGTGCCCGTGAAAACTGCAGGCTCAGCCAGCAAAGGCAGGAGAAGCAGCTGGACATCAGAGAGAAGTGCCTTACTTCAGAGGGACAGCTCGACGGTGTAAATTTCAAGAAGAATCCCAGGAGACAGCTGGACTTTGAGGGAAGATTACCTTCCTTCTCTGTCTGCTTTTCAGCTCCTCTTCCCTCTGAGAGCCACGTCCAACAGCAATAAAATCCCCCACATTTACCATCCTCCAATTCGTTTGTGCTACTTCATTTCTCCTGGATGCTTGACAACAGCTCAGGTGCAGTGAGTGTGGAGGCAAAAGGCTGCCACACTGACCCTTTGCCCTCGCTGGCAGAAGGTAGCCGCCTTATGCTAAAAGACATAGGGTCCACTGAGCTGTTAACACTTAAGCCATCCACAGAGGGCAGAGCTAAAAGAGTACTGTGACAGTTCCTCTGGGGCTTCGGGGGTCGTGGGCACCCCCGCCCCGCTGATGCTGCTGTGGGGCCGGTACGGAATTCACTCCTGCATGTGCCCAAGAGTGCTTCCCCAGCTCCTCCTGTACCTGCTCACCTGTGCTCCCCCTCCCACGAGGGGTGGAGCGCAGCGGGTTCAAGGGAGTGGAATTTGCCCCTGCTGGCGCCAACACAGTTGGCTTGTTCCAGCACCCATGCACTCCAGTTCCCACCCACAAAGGGGTCAGGGAACTATCTGGCTTCGTCACCACAGGCTTTGCTTCACACTTACTCTGAACTCGGATTCACACATCTACTCCAATGTCTTTGATTCTTGTTTTCCAAATGGGCCGGCTCTGAAAGTTAATCATTCACAATGACATATCTGAACCCATCTGTCCTCAACTCTACTGCTATTATAGATTTTTTTGAAACAATAGTAATCAACATTTATTATGTACTTTTTACTGTACTAAATGCTATAACTTCATTAGTGAACAAGCTTAACACCAAGAAGTCTGTGATCTTGAGAAGATCAGACAAATAAAAGTAATTAGGATTCAGTGTGTTAAGTAGCCATGGAATTCGATCAAATCCAGTCATAATGAAGTAAGGAGAGGTTTGTCTAAGCAACTTGTTACATAAGTGAAGAAGAATGAGAACCAGGCACAGTGGCTCATACCTATAATCCCAACACCTTTGGAGGCTGAGGCCAAAGATCACTTGAGGCCAAGAGTTTGAGACCACCTTGGGCAACATAGTGAGACTTGTCTCTATAAAAAGTACAAAAATAAAAAATTAGCTGAATGTGGTGGTGCATGCCTATTGTCCCAGCTACTTGGGAGACTGAAGTAGGATGGTCACCTGAGCCACAGACTTCAAGGGTACAGTGAGTTATGATGACACGACTGCACTCCAGACAGTGACAGAGCAAGACCCCATCTCTAAAAATAATTATTTTTAAGTAATAAAAAAAAGAAAGACTTGTAGTTATCCAAGGAAAAAGGATGGGTGTATTAGTTTTTTAGGGCTGCTGTAACAAAATATTACAAACTGGGCAGCTTATACAATAAAAATTTATTTTCTCGTAGTTCTGAGGTTAAAAAGCCAAGATCAAGGTGTTGGCAAGTTTTGTGTCTTTTGAGGCCCCTCTCCTTGGCTTGTAGATAGCCACCTTCTTGCTATGTGCTTATAAGATCATTTCTCTGTGAATGCATCCCTGGAATCTCTTTCTCTTATAGGAACATCAGTCATATTAGATTAAAAACTATCTCTCTACTGGTGTTATTTTAACTTAGTCTCCTTATCCTTATCCCAAAATGTGGTCACATTCTGAAGTACTAAGGATTAAGACCTTCACATATGAAGTTTGCAGGGTACACAATTCAATTCATAACAATGAGCTTGGGGTAGAAAGTTTAATTCAATCAGAAAATGCAGTGCATAAAAAGGCCCCAAGGAAAGAGAATGTAGATGATTGCATAAAATTTATTATGGCTAGAGAGTAGATTTGGAGAGATCCAGGAAATGCAAGTGATGGTTTAAGGCAAGCTGGACCAGATTATAAAGTTTTTAAAGGCAAGTCGTTACTGAAATCCCTATTCTTCTCTTTTTCCTGGCACACAGTCAGACTTTCTCTCTCATGCTCTTTGTTAGATGTTGTTGTGGAACTGACTTCCAGCCAACACAATATGAATAAAATGCATAAGTATTATTTCTAAGCTTTTAAAAAATGGTGGTAGCTCATTTATCTACTTCCTTTCTTCCTTCCTTCCTTCTTTTCTTTTCTTTCTTTCCTTCCTCCCTTCCTTCGTTTCCTTCATTTCTGATGGCTAGAATCAGGTTATGAAGGCAATGTAGTACATGCCAGAATCAAAAGAGTGAAGGAATGTGAATTAGTATATAGAAGGGAACTGTCTAAAGAATCAGTAATTTCCACGTGGCTGATCTATAAACAACAACAAAAAAACCTCTTCTGTTATTGAGCCATTGGCGTTTTGGGGTGTTTATTTGACACTATATCCTACTCCACCCATATGTATCTATATAATTATTCAATTTTCTAAAGACATTTTTAAAAATGTCTTTAGGAGTTTTAGAAAATTTAAAGGAGGAGTGACCTCATCAGTTCTATGAATTAGAAACTAGCCACAGTGGGAAGTGTGGATTAAAGGGATATGACACCACAGAAAAATTGCAGTCTCAGTAATCATCATGAAATTTTAGTAGCCTGACCCAGTGAGTGGGGATTTATAAACAGTGAATAGAATGATGAAATATTTTATTATAGAATCTATTTTCTGGCAACAAATTATTTATAATGTGGGAGAAATTCTAGAAGGAAAGAAGGATTCTAGGGTAATATCCAAGTGTCTACATCCGCAATTTGTTGAATTAGATCTTGAGTAATGAGAGCTGGAGAAGTAGGCATAATGTATTCAATTTTGAGCTAATTTTAGTGTCCACAGATCTTCTCTGTGGCGATCTGAGTGAGTTTGAGATACAGGTCTGTTTTCCATAAACTATCAAGAAGAAAAATACATATATAGTGTAATAAATTATAACTAATATTTTCTATATTACTCAAGGTTCTTTTGGGAAACAGAAGCAATAGGAGATAGATGATAGACAGACAGACAGATGATAGATAGATAGATAGATAGATAGATAGATAGATAGATAGATAGATAGAAGCTTTGTTCTGGGAATTGACTCACATGTTTATGGAGACCAAGACGTCCTACACTGTACCATCTGTAAGCTACTGAACTAGGAAAGTCAGTGATGTAATTTATCCTGTGTCTAAAATCCTGAGAACCAGGAGATCCAATTGCTCTGGAGCTTGAAGGCCCAAGAACGAGGAGCTTTGTTGTCAGAGGGCAGGAGAAAACGGGCGTGTTCAAGCGTAAGAAGAGAGAGAGAATTTGCTCCTTCTTCAGCTTTTTGTTCTTTCTGAGTACTCAATTGACTAGATGATACCCAACCCATCAGTGAAGTGGGATCTTTTTTATTCAGTCTGCTGATTCAAGTGCCCATCTCTCCTGAAAACACCCTAATGGACACACCCAGAAATAACATTTTACCAGTTATTGGAGCATCCCTTAGTCTACCCAAATTAACACATAAAATTAACTATTATGTACACATACGAAATTTATGGAAAAACTTACCTTTGCAACACTCTACCAAAAGTAAACAGTACCTTCATTATTCTTGCCTCTGTGCTTTTCGGTGTGTTTGTTTATGTGTGTGTCTGCATGTGTGTTTCTGTGTGCACATATAATTCAGATTGCCTAGGGAAATTATTTGAAAACATTTGTTTGATTTTATTTGATATGAATTTAATTAATCTGTATTATATTTGAAATTTTCTAAATAATCAATATTTTCACATAACGGGTATTCTATTCCATAATATGTTATACACCTCAATTTCTTTAGGTCTTATTTAATGTATTTTAATCAATTTCTGTAATATTTTCCATAATGGTCTTGTACACTTCTGTTAGATTCATTTATATTATCATTGCTGTTATAGCAAATGGCATGTGTGACTTTTAATAATATTTAATTATTTTGGTTTATAGAAATGCAGTTATTCTTTATGTTAATTTTGCAACCAGAATCTATGCTGAACTCTCCAATTCTAATAATTTATGTATAGCATTTTATGAGTTTTTATGGAAACAATCACATTGCTTGTAAATGATAACATTTTTTCAAACTTTTCCAATCTTTGTATCTTATATCTCATTCACCTTTGGGTAGCATTTCTAATGCAATATTAAATACAGTTAGAAATCCTTGCTTTGCTCTTGATCTTGAATTATCATTCTTTTAATATCTCATGATTAAGTAAGATATTTGCTCCAGATTTTTGTGGATACCTATATTGTTGGAAAATACCCCTAGCTGCTGATGAAAACTTAACTTTCCCTGCTGCATGGGAATGAAGTTTTACCATGTTTTCTATAATCTTGCAGTTAATTAAGCTATGTAACAAATCCCAGCAAATAAGCTGATTAAATGCGATGTGTATAATTTCAGGATTGTCTATTAAAATTTCTCGAGGAAAATAAACTTTTCCACACTCTTTGTCCCATCCCAAACACTTTTTAAGGGGTGACCATACAACCTAGACTGTCTAGAACAATAATGACTTACACCTGGCATCCTAGAAACATTACTAATAGTTTTCCCACTCTTAGAGATGTCTTATTTTGAATAATACATTATATGGTCATTCTATTTAAAAGCCACATGATGAGAGGTAAAGCAACTCAACACTGAGGTCTCTAAAGGAGAGCTGCTCAACAATGTGAATCCATGCTGAACTGTTAAATGAGTGAAAAATAAACATATTATTTTTAAATCTGTCATGCAATTTTATTTTCCTACAAGATTATCAGGATATGGAAATGTCCTTTGATTGGTAGATTAAAATTTTTGTCACAGATGGTTTGAAATTTTATGAAAATATTATATTTTTCTGTTTATTAGGTAAACAGGAATTATTTTTCTTTTAATGTAATTAAATTACATTACTTAATTTTATACATTAAATCAACCTTGTATTTCTGGAATTAATCCAACTTTATTTCCAGGTTCATGATTCATACTGCAAGTCTTAATGTAAGAGTTTTACCTTCATAAACATGAATGAGATTAACATGTAATTTTCGTTTGGTAATGTCTTTATAGGCTTTACGTCAAGGTTGTGCTTGTATTCTAAAATAAGTTGAAGGCCCTGGAATAGTTTGAGTAGGATTACAATTATTTATTTCTTAAGTTTCCAATTATGTTTAAATCTCCATTATATCTTCCTCTTTGATCCACAAGTTTTAGGTTTCATGCTCAAATATCCGTATTTTTCCAGACATCTCTTTATTATTGATTTCTAATTTAATTGTGTTGTATTTGGGGTATGTTGTTAACATTTTGAATTTTGTTTAAGCTTCATTCACCAAACATTTATGAGGTCAATATTCTTAACTGGTCCAGTGTGCTTGAAAATAATACATATTCTTCACTGTGCTGTTTTAATGTATTATCATGTCACTCTTGTTATTTGTTATTTACACATTCTGTGTCATTTTTGAACTTTTGTCTGCTTGATGTATCAATTACTGATAGAGCTATATTTGATGAATTCACAGTAATAGAATATATTTTTATTTCCTTCCATGGCATTGTCAATTGCTGTTTTATACACACGCATGCACACACACACACACACACACACACGCACACACACTCTCTCTCCATAAGGGATAGGTAAGTTGCCATGTAATTTTTCTCAACTCATTAAAAATTATTTAACCAACTTCCTCTGGTTTCTAGCACTCTAATTTTCCTTTTGGGTGAGCCATCTTTTCTTTCTCGGTGTTCAACAAGTCTTCTCTATATCTTTGGTATTATATGTTTGAATTTGTATGGGTCTAAATATGATTTCCTGTGTATTTCTGTGTTTCTCAGAGAAGGAGAAATGAATATAGTTTGAATGGCACTTTCTGAATCTGTAGATTTTGCAATTTCAGGAATACTATCATTCATTATTCCATTATTCACTCTTTTTCCTTTTTACTCTGAAACTCTTAAATATATAGAGAATCTTCTTATTCTGTTCTCCATATTTCTTATCCTCTTTCATGTTTGTAATATTTTTGTCTATCTGTGGCGACTTTGTGATTTTCCCCTCCCCTTGTGTTTTATTTAGAGTTCTAGCAGGAGAATAGATGCTATAGTGGATGCCTTGAGTAGGATAGTGTTTGACTAACAGAGTAAATGCTTATGATACCTTGGAAGGGCTGTGATGACAAAGGTCAGTGATGCTGTCAATGGCTTTTAGAATATCCAAAAATGTAGCAATTACTAGGAACTTTAGCCAATTATCTCACCTACATGAAACCCTAATGAAGAAGACTCAGGATGACATCTCTGGGAAGAGGCAGGATGATGCAGCTTTTGATCTTAGCCAATAAGATATTAAAACGACAAATTCTCAGGGGACACCACCACCAAAGGAAGTACTCTATTATCTAAGCTCTATCATCTACTAGATTTGCTTTTATTCTCTCCTAGCAAAGATCTTAGAAAGGCAAAAGTAGTCCTTAGTATCCACTAACAATGTATATCCAGATGATGCTTACGTTGGCATATTATTTTCTCGAATATTTTATGATTCATTTGTAACATGAGCTTATTATTTTGGACCCTTATTGGAGGAAAATTTGAGGCCAGGGTTGAAGGTAGGATATTGTAGAGAGAAATTGCTCCTGTTTCTAACGGTCATATGGGAGCAATTCCACTTTAAATAAAACATACACAAAAGATTGCCTGACATCCAGATAGTGTGAATTTGGTAAGCAAAACTGTTGTGTGGATGACTTGCAATTACGACATCTTAAGAAAGCAATAGTTCCTCTCCTTAGAGCCAAAGTTTAGACAGACAATTTTTCTTGCAATCTTGAACTATGTGATTGGAGATAAGGCTGGGTAATTATGGTTCTAGTTAACCATTACAGTAAAGATTAAGTCTTCTTGGATCCAAGTTTACTGGGGCAAAGGGTTTCTTGTGAGCTTTTACACATTTCAGTAGTCTCCAGGCATTTTGTAAAAATAAGCTGAAAGTTAATAAAATTTATCAAATGTCATCAAGCCAAAAGTTTCATGCTCCTCTGACCTCAAATGCCCCTTTTATTTAGTTCATCTTCTCATTTAGCTTCTCGATATTCTATATTTCCTTTCCAAGTCATCAATTAACTTACATTTAGCTTCTCGATATTCTATATTTCCTTTCCAAGTCATCAATTAACTTACAAGTATTTTATCCAACATTCTTTACATGTTTTCAGCATGATGATGGGTACTTAATTTACCGAATTGCTACCAAAAGAAATCTATAGGTAAGTTTTTAAGTAAAGAAAAATTATACACCCCGATTTGTCATAAAATTGTCAAGGCATCTTATGATAGTAAAACTAGTTTCATCAAGATAATGAAAATTAAATGACATACAAAAATATTTTATTTACTAAGACAGATAAAATTTTTAGACAGAAGTACAAATGCTTATTTATACAAAAAGTATGTATGTGCTTGGCAGGCAGCCAACAACACTAACTTCTTGAATTTGACTCTCCACTTTCCTTAATATCAGTATTTGTTGATTAATGCTAGTCAAACACATAAGCATATTCAATGATTATTTAAAAAACCTTTTACATACATGAAAAAACACATAAGCATGTTCAATGATTGTTTAAAAAATATTTTACACATGCGAGGCTGGGTGCGGTGGTCCACGCCTGTAATTCCAGCGCTTTGGGAGGCCAAGGTGGGTGGATCACCTGAGGTCAGGAGTTCGACACTCCCCTGACCAACATGGAGAAACCCCATCTCTACTAAAAATACAAAAAAATTAGCCGGGCATTGTGGTGCATGCCTGTAATCCCAGCTACTTGGGAGGCTGAGGCAGGAGAATCACTTGAACCCAGGTGGCAGAGGTTGCGGTGAGCCGAGATCACACCATTGCACTCCAGCCTAGGCAACAAGAGCAAAACTCCACCTAAAAACAAAAAACAAAACAAAACAAAAATTACACATGTGAAAAAACACATAAGCATATTCAACGATTGTTTAAAAAATGTTTTACACGTGTGAAAATATTAATGGAATCCTCAACTTTTGAATCCAAAACGGTGAGGTTCTCTTGATACTAAGCCTTACTCTTTCTCCTCAGCTAATTGCACAGGGTCTGCAATGAATTGATGGGTGAGTAAAATTACTTTCCACTTAAAGCAAGTTAAATTCCACTCAAAACAATTAAAATTTAAGAACAAAAACATCTCACATAATAAAATGTATAAAAGTAGAGCTGGTTAAATCCAGGCTTCATGACATTATCTAAGACCCAGATTATTTTAATCTTTTCATTTTGTTTTAATGATCATGTCCTTATTTTTCTCAAGCTAGCTCATCTCATGTTCCTAAGATGACTTTGCCACTTCCAGATGTCACATTTAAATATGACAAAGTTTAAAGTAGGAAGAAATTACAGGTCTCTTTTTTGAGAATGAGAAAACCTTTCCTAGAATTTCCCGGAGGAGTTTCTTTCTGATGTCATGGCAAGGTTTGTACTCTTGCAGATATGTTTTTACCATTCACTGCCAAGGTAATCATATTCGCATTATGTGCTTAACCTAATTAGGATTTACAACTGAGCATTGCACTGAGGGATGCAATTGTACCAAAGTATGAAAACATTTTAAAAATAGTGTTGATGTTAATGCATAAACGAAGAGAAAATATGTTTATTGGCAGATAACAGTAGAAAAATAAAATTATCAGTAGCATAAAATTTTAGAAGTTTTCAGTGAAGATTCTCTTCAATTATCTTTTCTCACACTGGAAATTGTTCAAGTTTGGTAGTAGCTGTAAAAGTAATTCATTACGTAGTATTTTCTATAGGCCTATCGTCATTTATATACAATTTTCTTATGTAAACTTCAGGACAATTATATGAAATGTCCATTAGAATTGCCTACACTTTGTATATTAGGAAATAAGCTTCAGAGAGACTAAGCAACCTTTTCAAGGGCATAACAAATAAATGGAAACTTGAGTTTCTTGGCCCTCAAAAACAGTTTCTTTATCTACAGTTACAGCTTTCCAAATGTATATAACAGTACATATTTAAGTACAGAAATGAATAACTAATAGTTCTGAAGTGAATAACATGTTTAAAGTATTTCAAACCAGCACTCATTCATTGCAACAGATATCAATTTTTTCTAATGGCTAGAACCATCTAATTTGTATCTGAACAGGTGAAATTATCACATGTCAGTAAATGCTGTTCTTAATGAAAATGAAAATGAAATATACACTAGCTGTGCTTAAATTCTGGAGGTTTCATACTATGTGATGATTTTAATGTTCTGCAGGATGCAGATTCTAGGGTGCTTCCTAACTTGATGACCTCTCTTTCAGCTGATCTTCTTGATGAAGAAATTTTCCAAAATAGAAAAATTATGAACAACTAAGCGTTTATGTGCTCATGTGTTCGCCCTCATTATTTCTGTGTAGTAAGGTATGTCAATGAAAGATCAAAAAAGGAGAATGCCTGTAATAGAGAAAAGGAGAGAGAGTGCAGATCCTAAGCAATATAATTACATATATGTTTCTGAAGGAGTATCCTATCTTCTCTTTGGTTCCACTGATGATTGAGATTTTCCAGTTGGTGTTATGGAAACAGTTAAGCTTGCTCATTAAAAATGCCTGCTGATCTTCATCTTAGAAATAAATAAAAGGGCTTAGAATTTTTTTCTTAGACTATTTCAAGTATTAGCCCACATTTTCTTAATATCATGTAGAAGAGGAGCAGCTTATAAAACTACTGATAACTTCTGCATTAAGGGGGTGAAAACTGCAGATTTTATCAATGACCACTGATAGGGTTTGGCTGTGTCCCCACCCAAGTCTCGCCTTGAATTGTAATAATCCCCAAGAGTTAAGGGTGGGGCCAGATGAACATAGCTGAATCATGGGGGCGGTTCTCCCATACTGTTCTCATGGTAGTGAATATGTCTCCCAAGATCTGATGGTTTTATGAATGGGAGTTCACCTGCACAAGCTCTCTTGCCTGCCGCTGTGTAAGATGTGACTTTGCTCCTCATTTACCTTCTGCCATGATACTGAGGCCTCCCTAGCCGTGTGGAACTGTGACTCAGTTAAACTCTTTTCTTTATAAATTACCAAGTCTTGGGTATGTCTTTACTAGCAGTGTGAGAATGAACTAATACAACCACAAAATAGAACCAAATAGACACAAATAAAATATTTTATTCTGAGTTTCTTTCCTGCTTATCAATTTTCAATTCTCTTTTTTTTTGTTTGGTTCTTTTTGGTTTCAATAGCTTTGAAAAGGAAAACTCCTCTTGGCTTCTTAGGTGTGATTTATAACAAACATTAAGTTTAAAATTAGTTTTTTGTTGAAATTCCCTGAGAGTTAAGTCCCCTTAGGAAATTAGTACCCTTAGTTGAACCTTCATGGTTGGTAGCAGATGAATTATGGCCCAAAGAAAGACATTCATTAAGAGAAAGTTGAGAAGGATTGGGAAAATCAAGTCGAAGTAAGAAAAATATTCTGATTCAATTTGTTCAGCCAATTTCTAAAAAGATGTGTTTTCCCCTCCACACCAGAAAATGCATTTACTTTGGGGAAAAAAAATAACTCAAAAGGAAGAACATAGTTCTTTAACAGTCACATGCCTTCTTTATTTTCCTTGGGATAAAGTGAGCAGGCTGCCCTAGAGAGCTTAATTCAGTGGCTTTTATATTCTCTTCAATGACAGATTTTAGAATCTCATTCAAGACAAAATGAGGCATGGATAAAGCTAAAAAAGGAGACAAATGCAATCATTGAGAGAAATTACTCCTCAACTAACATTTACCTGTAGTTGAAATAATTTATACCCAAGCTAATTTTTACAGTTGTAGAGTGACTAGTTTTTTTTTTTGTTACTGTTGAAAAATAGGTGGACAATGCTTTAAATGCATTCAGATATTATAAATTAAAATAACATTTAGCCATAATTACTCTTTTAAAAAACTTTACAATAAACTAATTTTGATATAAACTTAGGTAAAAATTTATCTTAGAATAAGGTAATAATCATATGAAGCTATATTATTGCTGACCTAGTAAATAAATGTTTGAGAGTCATTGGTTTTGTTCACAAGGTTATTTTACCTGAATTGGAAATGATACTCTGATAATGATCCTATCATACCTTCACCTAGTTTTCTTGGGTTTAGTAATAGTCTATAAATAGGCATAAAGAGTTTGGAATTGACTGGTTTGAGGCTAGAGGTTTTATAATATGGTAAAGAATATATAGTACCTATCTTATTGCTATCATGTTTTGACTAGTTGAAATAACTAACTACACTGTCTGAAGAATTGTGCTCATCTAACAGAGAGAGAGAGAAAGAGAAACCCCATTCTGTCTTCTTTGCATTATCAGAGTTAATTTCAATTTTCTTTTCAGGCAGAGTGTGTATAGTGGCTAAAGGTTTCAAGACTGTGTCATGATGCTTAGGTGAAAGTAGCAGATCAAGTGTTGGGGGAAATGTGGGAATCCCACTCTCAAAAATGATAATCTAAATGGGAAGCCTGAATTTCATTTTACTATCTCAAAGGGAAGGCACAGATTTAAGTTCAAATATTAGTGATTTAAGATATTTTTAAGCTTTGCTATTGCCCATCTGACAATTACTTATATCTTCCCTTCCCCAGTACTGATTTACCTTAAGATCCATAATAAGAAAACTGTCTGGGTACTTCTGATGGGGATTCATTGTGGTCTTGAGTTTAGTTTGTAAAAAAGAGATTCCCCAGGCGAATGTGTCAGTGACTAAGACTTCTGGGGTGAAAAATAAGCAGCTGGCATAAAAGATCCTTCATTCGAGTATAGAAGGAACGTCTGTGGAGATCATTTAACTCAGAAGTTACAAGAAAATCTTGAGAAGGATGAAGGGAAAAGGTAAAGTGACAAAAGTTTGGGGTATATATTTGATACCAAGGCATTAGAATATACTTATTCTAGACCAACCCTCCCCTGTACAGGTTTGATCTTTAGAAGAGGGAAATAGGTTCCAAGCTATTACAATTTGGCCAAACACTATAAATTTTTGTTTGGAAATTTCATGAAACCTGAAAATGTTTTCATTTCTGAAGTTGACGAATAGCCTCTCCTGCATTTTTGTGCAAAGTCTGACCGCCTAGATTTCATCCTTATACCTTTTTTTTTTTTTTTTTTTTTTGACGGAGTTTCGCTCTTGTTGCCCAGGCTGGAGTGCAATGGCGCGATCTTGGCTCACCACAACCTCCGCCTTCCAGGTTGAAGCGATTCTCCTGCCTCAGCCTCCAGAGTAGCTGGGATTACAGGCATCTGCCACCACTCCCTGCTAATTCTGTATTTTTAGTAGAGACAGGGTTTCTCTATGTTGGTCAGGCTGGCCTCCAACTCCCGACCTCAGGTGATCCACCCGCGTCGGCCTCCCAAAGTGCTGGGATTACAGGCACGAGCCACCATACCAGACCCCATCCTTATTCCTTTTCTCATCTCCTTCCTCAGAGCTTCTTTTGGAGAAATGTTTAAAATTCAAGTTACTTCAATCACTATTTGTAGGCTGATGAATTCCTATGCAAAGTTGCCAGTTTTTGCCAGTTTTTCTCTTTCTGTACAACTCCTGCAGGGAAACTCCAGTCTCCTCAAATTAAACACACCTGAAGCTAAAATTTTCTTAAACACTCACCTAGCTCTAATTTTAGCCACTGTGTAGCAGGTCCTTCAATAACGTCATTCCATTTAATGTTATTTCCTTGTAATGCTGGGGGAAAAAAAATGATTCTCGGCCGGCTACTGCTTGTGTGGAGTTTGCACATTTTCCGCATATCCACATGGATTTTCTCTGAGTTCTTGGAGTTTTTTTGACATCCTGAACCTGTGCATATGAAGCGAATTGGGTTGTCTACATGGTCCCAATCTGAATGGGGGTGGGTGTGAGTGTACTCTGCCAGGGGATAGTGTCCTGTCTAGGGTAGGTTTACACTTCGTGCTTTGAGTTGCCAGGAAAGGCTCTGGCCAACTGAGACTCTGAACTGGAATAAGCAGATTGAAGAATTCATGAATGAACAAGTGAATACCAGTGATTGTGAAATAAAAATGTGTGAAGTCTGCAAGTGAGCCCACCATGTTTGTCATTTCTTTGTTTTTGGACTCTGTAGTGGTAGGGAGCTACTGTAAGGAGCAAAAACTCCTTACAGTTTTTGCCTTGCAAACATTTATTCCTTGACTTAACCCCCAACTTCTGTGGTCACTGTCACATACTGATTCACCAAAAATTGGGTGAATAATTATGTAACATTTTATTCATCTTTCTTAAATGTATGTATAGCTCATATTTATTTCAATGTTTAGTATTAGAAGTGTTTTTGGTCTTTATTTTGATGTTTGGTGATGGTTTTGTGACCAGAAATATTCTGTGGAAATGTAACTCTTGTTTATATGAATTAGCATATGGTAAAATTGGATCTGTGACATTTCGTCTCTCTTAAAGTTGCACTTTCCAGGAACCTATTGACGATGTTTAGTGAGAACTCATTGTACAATGTAAATATTGTATGGCTATGTATGTGCAAACACAATGAGATGACATATCTCAACTATACATTTTGAGTGTGAAATTATGTTTTATTATTTTAGTCTGTTTTGTGCTGCTGTAACAAAATATCTGAGAGTGGGTAATTTATAAAAAACATTAATTTATGTTCTCATGGTTCTGGAGTCCAAGATAAAGGTACTGACAGGTTCAGTGGTTTGGTGAGATCCACATCTTCTAAAGGGTAGGAACTCTGTGTGTTCACGTGGTAAAAGACAAAAGCGCAAGAAAACAAACTCCATTCAACAAACCCTTTTTAAAAAGCACCTAATCTCACTTATGAGGGTAAGGCCCTCAAAACACAGTCACCACCCAAAGGCCATACCTTCCAATACTGTTGCATTGGCAACTAAGTTTCAACATTCATTTGGAGGGGACAAAAGTTTTCAAACCATAGCAAGTATCTGTTTAGATATTAACACTGTGTCAAGAATAGAATATAAGTTCATTAAGTGGTTGAATATTTGATGAGTAAAACAGAAAAAATTGAGATATACTCAATTTTGATATACTATACTATCTATACTGTGTGTAAGCACTGATGGAAACAAAGTGAAGTCTAGATTTAGGAAGTTAAATCAAATAAGACAGAGGCTGTGAAAGAGCTTGGAAAAAGAACACATGTCCATTGCACAAATGGACAATCATGTGAAGAGACAGTGAGAAGGTGGTTAACCACAGGCCAAGGAGAGAGGCTAAAACCTATCCTTTTCTTATGGCTCTGAAAAAAAACTCATCTGTAGACACCTTGGTCTTGCATTGGTATCTTGCAAAATTGTGAGAAATTTCTCTTGTCTAGGACAAATTGTCTGCAGTATTTAGTTACGGTAGCCCCAGCAAATGAGTGCAAATTTGAGTATGTAATATTAGTATGTGCAGATATTATTATGTGTAGTTTAGTGCATCTAGAGGAGAAAATTGCCTCTATAAAACAAAGTCCTGGGTCTTCCACCTGAAGAGAAAATAGGGCTCAATTGAAAGCCAGTATGCCTAATCCTAAAGAGGAAAAACTACTTGATAAGGGGTTGCTGTTTTCCATCCGGATATAAATGCAATTACAATAAAACCATGTTTGTTTCCACTAGAGTTAGATGTTTAAACAAGTTGATACATTTTTGAAAACACAGTAAGTAAAGATGCTTTGTTTATTTTTATTTCCATATTAACTTTAGTACTGACAGAGGATGACAAAGAGATAGCCTTGGAGACCACTGAAATCATTTCATTCACAAAATGGGTATTTTGTGAGTAAATGCTGCAGATCGTTCCTCTGTTGGGAGCGTTGCTTAGGGCTCAGCAGACGGCCACAGGAGTTTGAAAACATCTGTTTGCTTTCTCTCCTTTTCTCAGTCCAGAATCCACAAATGATAAAGGCTTTTACATAATAATGCTCTCTGCCTACTAGAACTAGGTTACAGCTGGCAAGAACAAGGAAGGGAGATAGCTTTGATAAATGTGACACAATAATGTCATGTTGTAAAAACACTTTGACTTGGTAATAGACACTACTGCATCCAGGAGACAGTAGCAAGTATAAATTTATGAATTGACTGATGTTTGAACTTATTTATTGGTGTAGATTGGATATCTGTCCCTGCACAAATCTCATCTTGAAATGTAATCCCCAATGCTGGAGGTGGAGCCTAGTGGGAGATCTTTGGGTCATGGCAGCAGGTCTCTCATGGTTTGGTGCTGTCTTTGGGAGAGTGAGTGAGTTCTTACAAGATCTGGTCATTTAAAAGTGTGTGACAGCTTCCCTCTGCTTCACTCTATCTCTTTCTTGTCCCTGCTCTTGCCGTGTGAGACACCTGATCCTGCTTCACCTTCTGCCATGATTAGAAGCTTCCTGAGGCCACCACAGAAGCAAATGCCACCAGGTTGTCTACAAAGCATGCAGAACTGTGAGACAATTAAACTTATTTTCTTTATAAATTACTCAGTCTCGGGTATTTCTTTATGACAATGCAAGAATGGCACAACATACTTTTTAAAGTAATTCACAAGTTAAAACACATTTGCCCTTAAGAAATGAATTTGGATTTCAAAACAATAAGCATCTATTACAAACCATGCAAAAACTTAACTTTCTAATATAAGTTTTACTTATACAAATAAATTTTAAAATAGTCAGCTAAATACAGAATTAAATAACTTTTAAATCCAGATTTTCACTGGGATATACTTTTTAAACCAAGAACTGTTGAACTGAAAATATTAAGCACTGAATTACACGCAGTGCAGTTAGATGTTAGGATTGGCAACAGTAGAAATAATATTGCTATCTTTTAAAGCTTCAAACGTTTTAAAACAAAAAGACATATCAAAAAGTAAGTGAATATAAGTAAGCATTATATACACTACCTGTAAGCAGGCCATCTGCTCGGTTGTAAAGGTGGTGGTTAGGGAATGCTCTGTAGCTTCAGCAGGGCAAGGGAAACCTCAAGAAAGAAAGACCCTTTGGGTGCATTCTGAGGGACAGGTAGTGATAGGGAGATAAGAATAGGCATTTTATTATGAAAGAATTGTCAAAAGAACCCTAAAAGATAGAGTTGAAATTTTGTAGAATGAGTTCGAATATAATGGATAGACTAGTCCAGTGGTTTTCAGTGATTTTAATATATTTATTAAAATATTTTTGTTACATTTCATTTTGTTTTAATTTCACATTTACAGAAAAGTTGGAAAAATAGTGCAAAAAACTCCTGTATACTCTCCACTTTACTCACATTCACCAATTGCATACATTTTTTTTTTCTCTTTTGCTTTAGCATTCTGTCTTCCTTGCTCTCTCTGCATATATGTGGCTGCTTCTTTTGTCCTTCTGACATATCTCCGGGATTCTCAAAATGCCTCTTTAATGTCTGAGACTACAGGGTGACTCAGGTTTGCATTATCATTTTGCTGGTGTAGTCTTACTCTCAGTTATATTCACTGTACCTTTTAATTGGACAATGTTTTTTAGAAAAAGACTGAGGATCAAGGGTATTCATAGCTTCTATGCCTTCTCAATAAACAGAACTCAGAAAATATGTATCTCTATATTCATTTATTAAAATGATGCTGAGCTCATACTGCTACCTCAATTTTATCCAAAACTTCAGAATGTATTCCAGGTACATGTGTATATGTATACATACACACATATATAAACACATACACATATACACGCATAAACACACTCTTCCAAAACAGTGAGAAACCTAGTCTTCGTTACACTCAAAATATTTACATGTTTGCTCAAAATTAGTAAACATAAAAAAATAGTTTCAAAATTGGTAACCTAAACCACTAAGGAAAAAAAGCAAAGCTATAATAAAATTTGTTTACCATTTCTTTTTTGCTTCTTTGAGATAAAATTTAATTAGAGTGAAATAAACAAAGCTTACATGTAAAATTTAATGAGTTTAGACAGGAGCATACACTGTTAAGACAAAACATTTTCAATACCTTAAAAAGTTACTATGCTGTTCTTTTCAATCAATACCCTCACCCCCACAGAGGTAAACATTGCTGTATTTTTTTTCACCATGAATTAGTTTTGCCTTTTCTAGAATATATAATAAATCAAATTATTCTGTCTACAATTTTTTAATCTAGTTCATTTTTCAATATAATGTCTGAGGTGCATCTAGTAGTTTGTTTATTTTTATTGCTAGGTAGTATCTTTGTTATATGATTTTACCATAAAATATTTACCCATTTTTATGTTAATAGACACCCAGACTACATCCAGTTTTCGATTCTTGTGTATAGTGCAGTTGTGGACATTCTTGTACAAAATTATTTGCAGACATGAGATTTTATAGATTTTGAGTATACACCTAGGGTAGAATTTCAGAGACAGATGTATACCTTTATAATAGACTCCCAAACATTTTTTCAAAGAGGGTGGAATATTTAAATTTTCACCTGTCTGTGTGAGAGATTTGGTTGCTCTGCATCCTCTCCAACATTTACTATTTACAGGTTTTTAAATTGTATTCATTCTGGTGAGTGTATATACATTTGATTTTAATATACACTTTCCTGATAATCATGTTGAATACTTTTCTCATGTTTATCAGACACTTGTATATGATTCTTTCTAAAGTATACAAGTTTTTTGACCAATGTTGTTAGATCCTTCATCCAACAATCGTTTTACTATTGACTTGTAAAAATACATTTTTTTTTTTAAGACGGAGTTTCACTCTTGTTGCCCAGGCTAGAGTGAAGTGGCTGCAATCTCGGCTCACGGCAGCCTCCACCTTCCAGTTTCAAGTGAGTCTCCTGCCTCAGCCTCCTGAGTAGCTGAGATTACAGGCACCCACCACCATACCTGGCCAATTTTTGTATTTTTAGTAGAGGCAAAGTTTCACCATGTTGACTAGGCTGGTCTCGAACTCCTGACCTCGTGATCCACCCACTTCGGCCTCCCAAAGTGCTGGGATTACAGGCGTGAGCCACCGCGCCCATCAAGAATACATATTTTTTTATACCGGTCTTTTGTGGGTTACAGATTTTACTTGCGACATTTTACTAACTTTCCTATTTTGATGAAGTGTTATCTCGATGAAGTTTATCATGTTTTCTCTTTACTTTTATTCTTTTCAATAAAAATCTTCTATAAAAATCTTTCCTTTCTAAGAAACTTTTGCCTACCTCATGTTGCAGAGAGAAACCACTTTTTTTTATTTTGGCCAAACTTATAGTTTTAGCTTTTACATTTAACCTTTACATTTGAGCTCCATCTCAAACTAAGATTTGCATATGTTGTTAGGTGACATTAAGATTTATTTTATGCCATATGTTTATCCACTTCTCTCACACTATTTGTTTAAAAAGCTTTCCTTCCCCTTTGAAATGCTTTGCCATCTACCAAAAATTGAATGATCTTATAAGTGTCTGTCTAATTCTGGGTACTTCTCCTCATCTGTCTTTGTTTTTTTTTTTTTTTTTCTATTTTTATACCAATAGCCTACCATCTTTTTTACATAGTTTTATGTTTTTATGTTAAGACTTGAAGCTTCTCAACTTTTATATCTATTTGAATGTGTCTCGCTTTCATTTTTATTTTTAAAAGATGTGTTCTGATTTCCATCTTAGACTTTTTCTCCCTTTTTAAAGAGAAGTCTGTGCTTCATATCATTGTTCCTCTACGTGTACTTTTTCTGTGGTGATTTTAAGCTCTTCCTTTACTCTGTTTTTTTCTACCTTCACTATACAGATCTCTTTTTGCTTAACTTTTTGCAGTTCACTGAGCCTCTTTGATCTTTAAGTTTCTGCTCTTCACCAAATTCTGGGAATTATTGACATTTTTTCATTTACATTACTGTCCCTTTCTTTTGGTTCTTTCCTGAATCAAAATGTTCTCTCTCTCTCTCTCTCTCTCTCTCTCTCTGTCTCTTGGTCTTTCAGTTTTTCATTTTTACTTCTTTCTCTGATTTTCAGGTTAGATCATTTCTTGCATTTTCTAACTAGACTGGCATAATTTGGTGAATTGTTCTTTAGTATGTTGTAATATTTAGCTCTAGAATTTATATTTTTAATACAGTGTTCATTTTTCTGCTGATAATTACATTTTTGTATTCATTCTGACCAGACTCTTCTTTAAGTACTTCAACATATTTGTAATAGATGCTTTGAAACATTTTGTTGTCATAGTCATCTTCAGCAACTGGGTCATCTCAGATTCATTTAATTATTTTCTTCTTCAGGTTTAGAGGCCACTATTTTTTTTTCTGCATGTCCTGTAATATTTAATTCTATGTTAGACATTTCTATGGTCTTTACAGTCAGTATGCTGTTGGGTTATCTTTGTTTTTTAAAAAATTGGGTTTAACAAAGGCTTTACTCTTAGGCGTGATTAGGACTACTTTTAGCTGGAATTTTCTGTCACATTACTGCCCCAGGTGTTCTGTCACATCTCTTCACTCTGCTTGGAATGCCAATATCTCTGATGTATGTTAGCATTGTGTGATCACCAGAGTCTTTGTTGAATTCACTGCTCCTCAGATATTGTTCTGAGTAAGATCCCATGTAGGCACATCCTGCTCATGCTCAACATCCTCTGCCACTGCCCTTCTGCAAATGCTTTAGCTTTCTCAGTAGCCACAATGTGCAATGTGTAGGAAATGTGCCCCAAGCTGTCCCTGTACTGTAGTGGGGAAAAAGGCCAAGCACTCAGGGATTAAAGTCCTCTGCAGCCTATTGTACAACGTCTGAAACCAGTTGTCTCATGTACTTGTTCACTTTTACAGTTATTTTTGCTTAGAGGCCTGTTCTAGTACAAGTTAGACTCTCACAAACAGAAATGGAAGTATACTTTGTAAACAGCTATACATTTATCAAAATATCTAATTTTGTCATATTTTAAAACTTGATTTTAAAAAGTAAATTATTACTTCACTTTTTTAACTTGCCAAATACAATTTAAAAGTCAGTGGCTTTAAATCAATTATTCATTTAAAAGACTGAAAAAATAAGCTCTATTTTAACAGTTTGAAATTTATTACTTTATCCTTAACTTTATATTTTATATTTATGTTCCATTTCTCCTGCTACTTTTTATAGCTTTTATATTTTTTATGATCACAAGACTTCTATCAACTGTTTATCCTATTTTTTGAAATAAAAATAAACATAAAATGGAAATTTAATTCTCTGAATAGTTAAAAAATATTTTATATTGAAATAAACAGTAATTTATTTCAAAAATATTTTCAATAGAAAATAATTTTTACTATTAACACACATTTATTAAACACATTGTTTGAAATTTTATTGGAAATGCATCTTAGTGAAATGTAGGGTTTTTTATTCTTATGTTTACATTTGCAATTGGCTTATCTACTCATAGCTGATTATCACATATTAATGAAATTGGATAATATTCAAAATATATTAGATTTTTTATGTCCCCATATACCCTCTGCCCCCACATATACATAGCTTTCCCATTATCAAAATCTTCCATCAGCATGATACATTTGTTAAAATCGTTGAATCTATATCAACAAATTCTAATCACCCGAAATCCACAGTGTACATTAGTGCTCACCCTACCTGTTGTATATGCATCTGTCATATAGCATCGTGCAGAGTATTTTCACTGCTCTAAAAATCCTCTGTGTTTTGCCTATTTATAGGGATAAATAGTTGGAATCATACAATATGAAGTCATTACACATTGACATCTTTTACTTAATAGTAAGTAATTAAGATACATTTTCATGTCTTTCCGTGATAGTTCATTTCATAAATTTAATTTTTACTTTGTGGGTTTTTGGGGAGTTCTTTATAATATTATACATACACGTAATACATATAATATTATAAAGTATAATATTATAAAAATATCCCCCCAAAAATAATTGGAGAAAAATTGTGCAAAAAAATAGAAGTAAGTCATCTAGAATACCATCATCCAGAGATTAATTGTTTTTGGTATTTTAGTATTTTTCCTGGTAATCTGTTTCTAAATATTTTATAAGTAGTAAAATTTCACTATAAAATTTAATACAGAAGTAATTCAGTTTTTTCTTAGCATATAATAAATATTGCTTTGTTGTTTCTTTGAGTAAAAACCTAATATGATCATATATAGGTAATTAAATTTAGAGATGTATATAAGAAAATATAAATCACTCCATACCATTATTAAAGCAAACTATTATTAAAATTTTAGTAATATTTTAGGCAATTTTCTTTGTCAGTACTGATAGCTTTGGTTACATTATTTCATTTAATTTTTATAAGAGCTTGAAGGGGTAGATATTATTATTCTAGTAATCTTGTTCTTGTACATAGACATAGTGGAATGAAATAAATTTGTTATCGCAGTATCTCTCAATTAATTAAAATCGTTACTGAAGCATCTACCAAAATCACATCGTATTATATATTCAAAAAATATTTTTCATTATCAAGTGACATTCATCAAATAACTAAATTATTTTTTAAATTTTAGATGCAAAAGTTGGAAGCAATTCAAATTTTAAAGGAATATATTAGCAAGTCATTGATGTTATTCATTTTCATAAATGTTACATAATTCTAAGATGTAACAAAAGACTATATCCATTAATCTTACATTTTGGAGGAATCTTCTTAATTAGGATAAATATTAAATGTAACCAGACACAAATAACAACGTTTCATAAGAAACTTGTGCATGTTAACATCTTTGTTATTATATATAGTCCTACGTAGTTATGCCATATGAAAAATTATTTACATAAACAATGGTTTAATTCATTTCAAAAGACGGTTACAAACAGACACAAATTGTTAAGTATTCTTATGTAAGAGATAGAATCATAATTTCATATCTTGGTTTAAACTATGTTTATATTTAAAGAATTGACAATATTGGAAAAATATTGTCTCTAGGAGAAATTAAACAGGTTTCGAAAATTTGTTCAAGTTAGAAATTCCAAGATAGCATAAAAGTAGTTTTTGTGGTAACATAGATATTCCATATTTTTTATCATGATAGTTACATAACTGTATATGGCTTCAAAATTCAGAGAATTCAACGTGTTAAAAATTTGCATTTTATTGTACATAAATTATGCTTCAATATACCTTTCAAAAATACACACAATTTAACCTAATTTGTAGAAATTCATAGCCAAAAGAGAGAAACGTGTTGAATTATTATAAATACAGAGCTTATAAGTAGGTGTTAATAATTTTGTTAAGGGTATTATTTAAATTAGAATTCAAAACCTACGAGTTTATTAAAATATAATAATTACACAATAGGAGTAGCTACAACAAAGAACGGGTATATAAGTAATGGTGAGGAGATTTGAATCACAAATTTTAAAAGTGAAGATGAATTTAGAGCATCCAGTAATCTTTAGGAGAAAACTAATGACAGCCCTACCCTTGATTCTGAGTAAATATTCAAGACTATATATTTTCCCTTTGACCAATATTTCTCCACCCTCCTATCCACCCCCAGTCTCTGGTAACAAAGATTCTACTTTCTACTCTTATGAGTTTGACATTTTTAGATTTGATATGTAAGTGAACATCATGTAGCATTTGTCTTTCTGTGCCTGGCTTATTTAATTTATTAATAGCATAATGTCCTTTGGGTTCATCCATGTTGTCACAAATAACAGGATTTCCTTTTTAAAAAGGTTAAATAGTATTCCATTGTAATACATATCATATTTTCTTTATATAGTCATACCATGATGGATACTTAGGTTAGATCCACATATTGGCTATTGTGAATAATGCTGCAATGAACCATGATGGTTCATTTATCTCTTTAACATACTTTCTTACTTAAATTCCTTTGGGTATGTACTTAGAACTGAGATTCCAAGTTCACATGGTGGTTCTATTTTTAATTTTTTGAGGAAGCTGTATGCTATTTTGCATAATAGCTGTACTAATTTACATTCTCATCAATACTGTACAACGGTTTACTTTTGTCCACATTCTTGCATTTGTTACTTTTTTTTCTTTTTTATAAGAACCATTTCAATAGGTATGAGGTGATATGTCTTTAGAATTTTAATTTGCATTTCTCTGATTATTAGGGATGTTGAGTATTTTTTATATACTTGGCCATTTGTATCCCTTTTTTTGAAAAATGTCTATTCAGGTATTGTTTTTTATTAGTTTGCTTTACAGTTTGGGTATTTGTTTTCTTGCTATTGAGTTGCTAACGTTTCTTACATATGTTAGATATTAACCTCTTATGAGTTGTATGATTTGCATATGTTTCCTCCCAATCTGCAGGTAATCTCTTCATTTTGTTAATTATTTCCTTTGCTATGCAGAAACTTTTTAGTTTGACACAATCTCATTTGTCTATTTTTGCTTTTGTCGCCTGTGCTTTTTGGTTCATATACAATAAATTGTTGCTAAAACAAATTTAATAGAGTTTTCCCCCATGTTTTCTTCTAGTACTTTTACAATTTTAGGTCTTACATTTAAGTCTTTAATCCATGTTTGAGTAGATTTTAGCATAAGTTGTGAGCTGAAAGTCCACTTTCATTCTTTCCAGACACCATTTATTGAAGAGGCAGTCCTTTTTCCCATTGTGTTTTCTTGGAACCTTTGTCAAAAGTCAACTGACTGTGAATAGATAGGTTTATATGTGGGCTCCTTATCCTGTTCCATTGGTGGATGCAACTCTTGCAATATCATGCTGTTTTGAGTATTATAGCTTGGTAATATATCTTGAAATCAGGGAGTGTGATGCCTCCAGCTTGTACTTTTTCCTCAAAACTGCTGTGACTGTTCAAGGTCTTTTGTAGTTCCATATGCATTTTAGAATTTTTTTCTATTAATGTAAAAAATGATATCAGAATTTTGATAGGAATTATATTAAATCTGTAGACAACTTTGAGTAGTGTGGATATCTTACCATAATTACTTCTTCTAATCTATGAAAACATTATATCTTTTTTGTGTGTTTCTCAATTCCTTTTAATAATGCTTTATAGTTCACAGTAAACAGATCTGTCACCTACTTACATTTCTTCCTAAATGTTTTAATTTTTGATATTATAGTGAAGGTATTGTTTTCATAATTTCTTTTTTTGTTATTATTATACTCTAAGTTCTGGGATACAAGTGCAGACTTGCAGGTTTGTTACACAGGTATACACGTGCCATGTTGGTGTGCTGCACCCATTAACTCATCATATACATTAGGTATATCACCCAATGCTATCCCTCTCCCCTTCCCCCACCCCATGACAGGTCCCCATGTGTGATGTACCCCACCCTGTGTCCAAGTGTTCTCATTGCTCAATTCCCACCTATGACTGAGAACATGTGGTGTTTGGTTTTCTGTCCTTGTGATAGTTTGCTGAGAATGATGGTTTCCAGCTTCATCCACGTCCCTTCAAAGGACATGAACTCATCCTTTTTTATGGCTGCATAGTATTCCATGGTGTATATGTGCCACATTTTCTTTATCCAGTCTATCATTGATTGGCATTTGGGTTGTTTCCAAGTCTTTGCTATTGTGAACAGTGCTGCAATAAACATAGGTGTGCATGTGTCTTATAATCCTTTGGGTATATAGCGGCATTGCTGAGTCAAATGGTATTTCTAGTTCTAGATCCTTGAGGAATCACCACACTGTCTTCCACAATGGTTGAACTAATTTACACTCCCACCAACAGTATAAAAGTGTTCCTATTTCTCCACATCCTCTCCAGCATCTTTTGTTTCCTCACTTTTTAATGCTCACCATTCTAACTGTTGTGAGATGGTATCTCATTGTGGTTTCAATTTGCATTTCTCTAATGACCAGTGATGATGAGCTTTTTTTCATATGCCTTTGGCCGCATAAATGTCTTCTTTTGAGAAGTGCCTTTTTATATCCTTTGCCCACTTTTTGATGGGGTTGTTTGTTTTTTTCTTGTAAATTTGTTTAAGTTCTTTGTAGATTCTGGATATTAGCCCTTTCTCAAGTGGATAGATTGCAAAATTTTTCTCCCATTCTGTGGGTTTCCTGTTCACTATGATGATAGTTTCTTTTGCTGTGCAGAAGCTCTTTAGTTTAATTAGATCCCATTTGTCAATTTTGGCTTTTGTTGCCATTGTTTTTGGTTCTTTATTCATGAAGTCTTTGCCCATGCCTATGTCCTGAATGGTACTGCCTATGTTTTCTTCTAGGGTTTTTATGGTTTTAGGTCTTATGTTTAAGTCTTTAATCATCTTGAGGTAATTTTTGTGTAAGGTATAAGGAAGGTTCCAGTTTCAGTTTTCTGCTTATGGCTAGTCAGTTTTCCCAACACCATTTATTAAATAGGGAATTCTTTCCCCATTGCTTTTTTTGTCAGGTTTGTCAAAGATCAGATGGTTGTAGATGTGTGGCGTTATTTCTGAGGCCTCTGTTCTGTTCTATTGGTCTATATAGCTGTTTTGGTATCAGTAACATGCTTTTAGTTACTTTGTTGTTAGTATATAGAAATGCTTCTGATTTTTGTATGTTGATTTTGTGTCCTGCAACTTGACTGAGTACCTTTATACATTCTAATAGGTTTTTGGTGAAATCCTTAGGGTTTTTTCATATTTAAAATCATAATATTGACAAACACAGACAACTTCACCTCCTTTCTTATTTAGAATGATACTTTGCATCCTTCAATCCATCCTTCAATCCTTTTAATTCTTTTTCATGTCTAGCTGCTCTGGTCAGAACTTCCAGTATTAAGTTGAATAGATGGAGTAACAATGGGAACACTTGTCTTCTTCCTGACCTTAGAGGAAAAACTTTCAAGAATTCTATCCTCCTCAGTTTTTTGAAAGATGTTGCAAAGGATTGGTGATAGTTTTGTGTTGAATGTTTGGTGGAATTCACCATTGAAGACATAAAGTCCTGGGGTTTTATTTGATAATTGACTTTCAATTACTGATCAATTCTTAGTTACTATCACTCTGTTCAAATATTCCATGTCTTCATGACTCAGTCTTCCTATGTTACATTATGTGTTTCTATAAATGTAAACATTACTTCAAGATTATCCAATTTTTTTGGCATATAATTTTTTATAATATTCATTTCTGGTCTTTGATATTTCTATGGTATCAAATTTAATGTCTCCTCTTTCATTTCTGATTTTAGTTAGTTGATTCTTCTGTCTTAGTCTTAGTCTAGCTAACAGTTTATTAATTTTATCTTTAAAAAATTCAAATTATTTTTTTTATTTTTATCTGGTATATTTCATTTAGTTCTCCAGTGATCTTTTTTATTTCCTTTTTTCTGGTAATTCTGGGCTTACCTTGTTCTTTTCCTAGTCCTTTGAGGTTTAATATTTGGTTATTTATTTGAGAACTTTTTTTTTAATGTATGTAGGCATTTATTACTCTAAACTTTCACCTGAGGATTGCCTTTGCTGCATCTCATACGTTTCAGTATGTTGTGTTTCCATTTGCACTTGTCTCAAGTAATTTTTAAAATTTCCCTTTTCATTTTTACTTTGACTCATTGGTTGTTTAGGCGCTTGTTCAATTTCAACAAGAGCATTTGAATTTTCCAAAATTCTCCCTGTTATTGATTTCTAGCTTCACACCACTGTGGTAAGAAAAGATTCTTGGTATAATTTCAATCTTTTCAAATTTTCTAAAATTTATTATTTATTTCCTTATTTATTTTTGGCCCAACATATGGTCTATTCTGGAGAATATTTTATGTGCACTTGAGAAGAAAGTATACTCTGCTGATGTTGGATGGGATGGTCTAATATATATATGTTTATTATTTCTTTTTTGTCTAAAATGTAGTTCAAGTTATTTTTCTTCATTGATTTTCTGGGATGATCTGTCCATTGTTGAAAGTGAGGTATTAAAGTCCTCTTGTATTATTGTTTTAGAGCATATCTCCTCTTTTATGTCTATTGATACGGTTATATGCTAAAAAAACAGTGTTTGGTCAACAATAGACTGCATATATGATGGTGGCCCCATAAGATTTTACCATTCATTTATTGTACCTTTTCACTTAAATATGTTTAGATATACAAATACATATAATGGTGTTATAGTTGCCTACAGTATTTAGTACAGTAACATACTGTACAGTTTGTAGCCTAGGAGCAATAGGCTATACTATATAGTCTTAGTGTGTGGTAAGCAATACCTCAGTGTGTGGTAAATTTGTGTAAGTAAACTCTGTGATGTTCCCACAACCATGAAATCACCTAATGGTACATTTTTCAGAATGTATCCCCATCATTAAGTGATAGATGAATGTGTTTACTTTGTATGTTTAGGTGCTCCAATGTTGGGTGCATATATATTTACAATTGTTATCACCTTTTATTAGTCCATTTTCACACTGTTATAAAGAACTTCCTGAAACTGGGAAATTTATAAAGAAAAGAGGGTAATTGACTCACAGTTCTGCATGGCTGAGGGGCCTCAGGAAACTTACAATCATGGCAGGAGAAGAAGGGGAAGCAAGGTACTTCTTATATGGTGGCAGGAAAGAGAGAAAGCAAGGGGTGAAGTCCACATTTTTAAACCATCAGATCTCGTGAGAACTCACTGTCAAGAGAACAGCATGGGAAAAATCCACCCCCATGATCCAATTACCTCCCTCCAGGTCCCTCCCCCAACACATGGGAATGGGAATTACAATTTGACATGAGATTGGGTGGTGACACAGAGCCAAACCAAATCACACCTATTAATAAATTGACCCCTTTATTATTATATAATAACTTTTTGTCTTTATTTTACAGTTTTGACTAAAGGCTATGCAGTCTGCTCTAACTATAGCAACTCCTGCTCTCTTTGAATTTCCATTTGTGTGAAATATCTTTTTTCCATCCCTTCACTTGCAATTTATGTGGATCTTTAAAGGTGAAGTGAGTCAATGAGTTTCTTGTAGGCAGCCTACAGTTGAGTCTTGTTTTTCTCTTTCAATCACTCTACTTTCAAAATAATTGATAGGTAAGGACTTACTACTGCCACGTTGCATTTTGTTAATGACTTTCTGGTTTTGTTTTTCTAAAGTAAATATTTTGTTCCCTTTTTCCTGTCTTTCTATCTTCCTTTGTAGTTTGTTGTATTTCTGTAGTGGTATGCTTTGATTCCAAAGTTTTTATCTTTTTTGTATCTGCTGTAGGTTTTTGCTTTGTGGCTACCATGAGGTTTATATAAAATATCTTATACTTTTAACAGGCTATATTAAGCAGATAACAATGTAATTTTCATCACATACAAAAATCTTACACTTCACCTCACACACACATTTTATGTTTTTGATGACACTATTTACAATTTTTAAATAATTTTTATTCCTTAACATATTATTATTGCTATAGTTGCTTTTAATAGTTTTGTCTTTTAAACTGCAAACTGTAATTTAAATCCAAAATATGTTCCTTTTACAATGTATATAACTTTAATCTCTAAAGTAAATGTAAACTTTTTGACTATTTCTCTTTAAAATCGAGAAAAATAATAATGTATTAGTCAGGGTTCCCTAGAGGGACAGAAGTAATAAGATAGATGTATATATAAAGGGGAGTGTTTTAAGGAGTACTAACTCACATGATCACAAGGTTCCACAGTAGGCCGTCTGCAAGCTGAGGAGCAAGGAAGCCAGTCTGAGTCCCAGAGCTGAAGAACTTGGAGTCTGATGTTCGAGGGCGGAGGCATCCAGGACAAAAGAAAGATGTAGGCTGGGAGGCTAAGCCAGTCTGGCCTTTTCATGTTCTTCTACCTGCTTTTATTCTGGCTGCAATGGCAGTTGATTAGATTGTACCCACACAGATTAAGTGTGGGTCTGCCTTTCTCAGTCCACTGATTCAAATGTTAATCTCCTTTGGCAAGACCCTGACAGACACACCCAGGAACAATACTTTGCATCCTTCAATCCAGTCAAGTTGACACTCAGTATTAATCATCACAAATCACAAACACAGATTAAAAGAAAGATAAATGTAAATAACTTATCCATTTTACTGAGAATGATAAAAATTAGGAGGACATATTTTATAGTAGATTTGTACTTCCCAGTTTGTATTGGTTTTTACATAGGTTGAATACTGTATTCTAATTTTAAGATGAAAAAAAAGAGTATTTTGCATCCCTATGCTCTCTCTGCTTGGTTCTTATGTGCTATGTAGGAGAGATATATTTTTTGACTAAAGCTAAAGGAAGAAAGAGATAAGGCTATTAAAAAAAGACTGTCATTCATCTGGTAACCTCTCTACTTTTTAGTGTATCTCAATTAAAATCACCTTAATATAGGCCTAATTACCATCTTCTTAGAGCAAAGATTTTTAAATTAAGTATAAGACAGAGTACAAGAGAAAGCCTTACTGCTAGATTTTGGCACCCACAGAACAAAAGAAAATTTGACCAATATTTCAAATTGTCTCTTATTTGGCATCCTGCAATTAATTTTGCATCAAAGACTACATATGGTAAACAGAGAATAGGTGAGAGGTAAGTCTTTCTTTTGTTGTGATGGGGTTGTAGGAAGGATCATGCCTTCTCAAATGTGGGGAGACCTCAACAAAACAAAATTATAAATGATTACCTATGGAAAACAATAATCTGAACATTAATTATCATGAAATTACTAGTATCAACGTATATCTGGGAACATTTTAATTTTCCGTGGTATATGTAAGCCAGTATGAAGACAGCTAGACTAATATCTTCTGATTACAGGGCTTGTTTGATGTACAAATGCCTAAGTAGATATCTTTACTCTAGAAATAAAGAGAATCATTAAAGGCTTTGGAATGAAGAAAACAATGGAAGGTGAGGGAAAATAAACTAATCTATTTTAATAATTTAATAATAGCAATGTATTTAATTCTCATTGTGCATCAATTTATTTTTATCTACATTTATGACAACTTTGTGAATGAGGTATTATGATCCTTATTTAACAGATGAAGAAATTGAGACTTGGATAAACTAAGTTGTAAATCATATCACACTTAAATGCTAGAGCTGGGATTAAAACTATGTGAGTCTAACGTCAAAGCCTCTCTTCTTATTTACATAATTTTATTCAGTGATAACACAATGTTGCCGAATAAGTTTCTATGGGTCTCTGATATTTCTGCATGTTGGGGAGTAATTCTTCATGGGTCTTTAATATTTCTGCATGTTTTGCAAACAGCAGAACTGGTTATCTTTTATCCAGACTCTCTTCTCAAGGTGGTTTCTATAAACAACAGTGTTGGAAGATAAAGATAACATATGTTAGCTTGAACTTCCAATAAATGTCTTCATGTAAGGCAGGAATTTGTATTTAATAAGTTTTGAGGATTTAGCTAAGACCCCAATTCACTGGAGGCATAGAATTCACCTGGGTCTTTTGTGTCTCCACCATAACATTTGGGAAGTAGTGGAAATGTATGGAAGTGTGAGGATCACACTGCTTGCTGTGTTTTGAATAATAAAGAACTACGTTTCTGACCTAGAAGTCTCTAGTCTTCTGCCTACCTCAAAGACAATGTGTCAGGCTATCTTTTCTGCTTGCAAATAGGATAAAATCTTAAATGCTCCATAGCTGTTGACAGATATTTTTGGTAGAATTCACAGATCTTAATTGTACAAAAAGATAAAGGCACCCCTGATTGGTAAGCACCTCTCAGATAAAGATATAGCTCAAGATATAGAATGCCAGCATTGTAGTTGTAGTCTCACAATTCAAAGCCCCAGGGGAACCCCACATGTTGCATGATTCCCTTTCCTATTATCAAAAAATAGGGAGATATTTTAATTATGTGCAATGTAAATTTCTGAATAGCTACATTACATTTTGGAATAAACAGGAAAAGCCAAGGAATAATATCATTCAGAGATCTAAACTTATGAAAAAGAAAAGGTAATGTAATGATTAAAATTTATTAAGAATTTGATCTTGTTATTTAGATGTGTGATAGGTAGAAACAGGAAATTCAGTTTATTATTATGATTTTAAATACAGATGTATTGTGTTAAAAGAATAAAAGTCATCTACACTGCAAGTAGCCAGAAGACACGTAGAAATATACACATTGCATTCATTCATCTGCAAAGAAATTAGAGACTGAGAGACTGAGAAATAAAATGTAACTCAGATGTTTAATGAGTAAAAGAAAGAAAAGAACCTGCCTTGAGGAAGTTGAGGTAAATGCAGTCTTAAAAACAACTATTAGTTTTGTGATTTGATGGCTGAGAGTAAGGAATTCAGGGAATGAGGGGAAGTTAAGCATAGAACGGAAAGACAATAAAATGTTAATTCTTAGATACAAGTTATTTAAAAGGAGGAATATAGTTTGAAGTTAAAATAGAAGTAGTATCATTAAGTGTCATCCCTGTGCTTTTTATTATTATTATTTTTCTTTTTTTCTTTGTTTCTTTCTTTTTTTTTTTTTTTTTTTTTTTTTTTTGCAAGACGGAGTTTTGCTCTCTTGCCCAGGCTGCAGTGCAGTGGTGAGATCTCGGCTCACTGCAACCTCGGCCTCCTGGGTTCAAGTGATTCTCCTGCCTCAGCCTCCTGAGTACCTGGGATTATGGGCACCCGCCACCATGCCCAGCTAATTTTTGTATTTTTAGTAGACACGGGGTTTTGCCATATTGGTCATTCTGGTCTCGAACTCCTGACCTCAGGTGATTCACCCATCTCGGCCTCCCAAAGTGCTAGGATTATGGTCCTGAGCCACTGAGCCTGGCCCTCATCTGTGCTTTTTTTGTTTGTTTTTCTTGTTTTTTTTTTTTTTAACCTGTCTGACAAATCAGAACAAGAAGAATGAGAACCATAGCACACAGGAATCAGGACAGTATATAACTGAAAATTTAAGTTTGGCAAAATTGGTTTTTGGCAGTAGTACAAAGCTTTTGGCCTGAGGCTGGAGGGTAGAAAGAGGAAGTAAGAAAATTAAAAATGAGGACAGATGTCACTTCCTATAGATTTGATTTCTCAATAAATATTTTAGATTTATCTGTTGCATTTAGGTGAGTGAATATAAAACTGAGAAAAGTGGAAAAGTTTTGGAACAGATACTGTGGTAGTATAGCCCAATATTAATGTAAATATTATCAAAATCTTTTAGGGCCTAATAGATATTAGTACAGTATCTTTGATTAGTAAGAGCTGAAAATGTTGATACAGCCTATAATATTCATGAATAAACATTCTGTATAAGAACAAAATATGCCAGATAATGATATATCCATATCCTAGAGGAGAGTCAATTTTCATCCTTTTTCTTGCTCCAACTTCAAACTAATGACTTTTAAAAAATGCTTACACAAGCTCATCAATATCATCACTTATTATAGGTAATTTTTCAAACCATTTCACCTGAGAATAGTTCCTATAAAATATATTTTCTATAATTTCTCTACATTTTTATTTTTCTGACCATTATTATAAAACTTTATAGTAACTTTATAATTGTTAGATTATTATTAAGATCTTAATATGTATACAGTATATACGGTAAGCAAAGCTTGAAAAAATCACCATTCTTCTAAAGCATTCCTTTAAAATCTCACATCCACAGAAAGAGAATACTGATATATCATATTATGCATTCTATTGATGATGAACTATATATATAAGTTAAAGACTCTATACCAACAGTCTAGACTTGTACAATTAAAATGTTGTATAAATATCTTATACAGCCAAATTCTGTAGAAGTTTTTTGAGTAAAAGTATTATAAAAGTTTACTTTCAAGTAAAAGTGTTAACAGTGATAATGATAACATTCTTGCTACTGTCCTCTGTATGTGACCACATGTAGATTTCTTAGAGTTGCTATCAGTTTAAATATATAGAAACTCTTTTATCTCCCTTTGAGTGTGTAAAGCTGAATATTGCAAAGTATTTTTCTTCTATTTAAAAAATAAGATTTTTTCTTTTTTTTTTTGAGATGGAGTCTTGCTCTGTCACCCAGGCTGGAGTGCAGTGGCACGATCTCAGCTCACTGCAACCTCCACCTCCCAGGTTCAAGTGATTCTCCTGCCTCAGCCTCCCGAGTAGCTGGGGCTGCAGGTGCCCACCACCACGCCCGGCTAATTTTTGTATTTTTAGTAGACACGGTTTCACCATGTTGGCCAGGATGGTCTCGATCTCTTGAACTCGTGATCCACCCTCCTCAGCCTCCCAAAGTGCTGGGATTACCACGCCCGGCAAAAAATAAGACTTTTTGAGCATTAACAGAACACATGGATAAACATAGACAGCCATAAAGGGGTGGAATTACCCTACATATTTTTTGAGAACAAAGAGCAAGTGATTGAATTTTTAAAGATGATATTAGTAAAAATCTTTAGAGTCAAAATAAAGAAAGAACTCAGATAATGTTACTGTTGACATCATTCAGGTTAATTATTGGCATTGTTAACTGAGAATATTGAGTTACTTTAATTGAGCAAATCTGGATTTGCATTATATATTACTCTTATAATATGAAAAAGAAAACATGAGATTTCTATTTTTTCTAACTTTCTTTTTATTTTATCACTTTTTCTATGTGTTAGTATTTTCTGCCAAATTTCGTATTTCTAAGAAAAAAACTCTATGATATGTATTATGTTTTCACGTTTTTTAAGAGTTCATTCTTTGTTTTCTGAATTTTCATTATTTTTATCATTCTCTCTTCCCTCCTACCTTTATTTTCTTCCTCCTTTCTCCCTTCTATCCTTTGCATATCAAAATTTAGATATATCTATGTAGATATAATTTGCATATCTATTTACATATATTTAATTTACATTTTTCCACCCTCAGGATATATGTTACTTTTTAAAAATTTATTTTTAATTTTTGTGAATGCATAGTAGGTGTATATATGTATGGAGTACATGAGATTTTTTGGTACAGGCATGCAATGTGAAATAATCACATCACAGAGAATGGGGTATCCATCTTCTCAAGAATGTACCCTTTGTGTTACACACCATCCAAGCACACACTTTAAGTTATTTTAAAATGTATCATTAAGTTATTAGTTACTATAGTCAGCATGTTGTGCTATCGAATAGAAGGTCTTCTTCATTCTTTCTAAATGCTGTCTTTTGTAACCATTAACCATCACCCCCTCTCCAACAACCTCAGACTACAATTCTCAACCTTTGTCTCTCTACTCTCTGTCTCCATGAGTTCAATTGATTTGATTTTTAGATCTCACAAGTAAATGAGAACAGGCACTGTTTGTCTTTCTGTACCTGCCTTATTTCACTTGGCATAATGATTTCCAATTCCCTCCATGTTGTTTCAAACGACAGGATCTCATTCTTTTTTTTATGGCTAAATAGTGCTCTGTTGTGTAAATGTACCATATTATCTTTATCCATTCATCTGTTAAAGGACACGTAGGTTGCTTCTAATATCTTATTAGAGTGCAGATATCTCTTTGATACATTGATGTATTTTTTTGTGGGTATACACCCAGCAGTGGTATGTTGAAACATATGGTAGCTAAATTTTCAGATTTTGAGAAACCTAGGAACTGTTATCTATAATCATTGTGCTAACTTACATTTCCACCAACAGTGTATGAGGGTTTTCTTTTCTCCACATCCTTCACAGTATTTGTTATTGCCTGTCATTTGGATAAAATCCATTTTAACTGGAGTGAGATGATATCACATTTTAGTTTTGATTCACATTTCTCTATGATCCATGATGCCAAGCCCCTATTCATATGACTGTTTGCCATTTGTATATATTCTTTTGAAAATTGCTTATTCAAATCTTTTGCCCATTTTTGACCAAATTATGAGATTCTTTTTGTTATACAGTTGTTTGAACTCCTTATATATTCTGGATACCAATCCCTCGTCAGATGGATAGCTTGCAAATATTTTCTACCACAGTGAGGGTTGTCTTTTCACTCTGTAGCTTGTTTCTTTTGCTGTGCAAAAGCTTTTTAACTTGTGATCACATTTGTCCATTTTTGCTTTCATTGCATATGCTTGTGGGGTATTGCTCATTAAATTTTTGACCAAATCAATGTCCTGAAGACTTTCTCCAATGTTTTTTTTTGTAGTAGTTTCCTAGCTTGAGGTCTCAGATTTAAGTCTTTAATCCATTTTAATTTGATTTTGTATACAGTGGCAGATAGGGGTCTAGTGTCATTTTTCTGCATATGGATATCCACTTTTCCGAGCTTCATTTATTGAAGAGACTGTCTCCCCAGGGTATGTTCTTGGCACCTCTGTCGAAAATGAATCCACTGTGTGGATTTGTTTCTGGATTCTCTATTCTGTTTCATTGGTCTATGTGTCTGTTTTATGCCAGTTCCATGCTGTTTTGGTTAGTATCACCCTGTAGTATAATTTGGAGTCAGGTAATGTAATTCCTCCAGGTTTGTTCTTTTTGCTTAAGATAGCTTTGGCTATTCTGGGTCCTTTGTGGTCCCTAAGATTTTTTTTTTCTATTTCTCTGACAAATATCATTGGTATTTTCATAGGGATTGCATTGAATCTGTAGAAATTGCATTAGTCCATTCTCACAATGCCAATAAAGACATATCTGAGACTGGGTAATTTAAAAAGAAAAAAGGTTTGGTTGACTCACAGTTCAGCATGTCTGAGGAGGCCTCAGGAAACTTATAATCATGGCAGAAGGAAAAGCAAACATTTCCTTCTTCACAAAGAAGCAGCAAGGAAAAGTGCAGAGCAAAGCAGGGGAAAAGCCAGTTATAAAACCATCAGCTCTTGTGAGAACTTACTCACTATCATGAGAACAGGATGGAAGTGACTGAACTCACAATTCAATTACCTCCCACTCGGTCCCTCCCATGACACACGTGGATTATGGGAACTACAATTCAAGATGAGATTTGGGTGGGGACAAAACAAAATTATATCATTCTGCCTCTGGCCCCTCCCAAATCTCATGTCTTCGCATTTGAAAACATAAGCATGCCTTTCCAATGGTCCCCCAAAATCTTAGCTCATTTCAGCATTAACTCAAAAGTCCAAGTCCAATGTCTCATCTGAGCCTAGGCAAGTCCCTTCTGCCTATAAGCCTGTAAAATCAAAAGCAAGCTAGTTACTTCCTAGATACAATGGGGGTATAGGGATTGGGTAAATACACCCATTCCAACATGAAGAAATTAATGAAAACAAAGGGGCTACAGGCAATATGAAAGTCCAAAATCCAACAAGGGAGTAAGTGAATCTTAAAGCCACAAAATAATCTCCTTTGACTTCATGTCTCACATCCAAATTACACTGATGCAAGAGGTAAGCTCCCATGGCCCGGAGCAGCTCCACCCCTGTGGCTTTGCAGGGTATAGCCCACCTCTTGACTGTTTTCACAGGCTGGTGCTGAGTGTCTGCCACCCTCCAGGTGCATGGCGCAAGCTGTTGGTGTATCTACCTTTCTGGGGTCCGGAAGATGGTGGCCCTCTTGTCACAGCTCCACTAGGCAGCGCCTGAGTGGGAACTCCTTGTGGGGATCTGACCCCACCTTTCTCTTCCACACTGTCCTAGCAGAGGTTCTCCAAGAGGTTCTCTGCACCTGCAGCAAACTTCTGCCTGGACATCCAGGCATTTCCATACATCCTCTGAAATCTAGGTGGAGGTTCCCAAACTTCAATGCCTGACTTCTGTGCACCTGCAGACCCAACACCACATGGAAGCTGCCAAGGTTTGGGGCTTGTACCCTCCAAAGCAACAGCCTGAGCTGTACATTTGCCCCTTTTAGCCACAGCTAGAGCTGAAGCAGCTGGGATTCAAGGCACTATGTACCAAAGATGCACAAAGCTGGGGGTCCCTGGCCTGTCTTAGGAAACCATTTTTCCCTCCTAGACCTCCAGGCCTGTGATGGGAAGGTCTGGCATGCCTAGAGACATTTTCTCCATTGTCTTTGTAATTAACATTTGGCTCCTTGTTACTTATGCAAATTTCTGAAGCAGGGTTGAATTTCTCCCTAGAAAATGTTTTTTGTTTTTTACTCTCACATCATCAGACTGCAAATATTCCAAACTTTCAGGTTCTGCTTTCTCTTGAATGCTTTGCCACTTAGAAATTTCTTCTGCCAGTTACCCTAAATCATCTCTCTCAGTTTCAAAGTTCCACAGATCTCTAGGGCAGAGGCAAAATGCCACCAGTTTCTTTGCATAGCAAGAGTAAACTTTACTCTAGTTCTCAAAACGGCCCTCATCTCCATCTGAGACCACCTCAGCCTGGACTTCATTGTCTATATTACTATCAGCATTTTGCTCAAAGCTACTCAACAAGTCTTCAGGAAGTTCCAAACTTTCCCACATCTTCCTGTTTTCTGAGCTCTCCAAGTCTCTAGAAAGTTCAAAACTTTCCCACATTTTTCTATCTTCTTCTGAGCCCTTCAAACTGTTCCAACCTCTGCCTGTTACCCAGTTCCAAAGTTGTCTCCACATTTTAGGGTATCTTTACAGCAGCGCTCCACTCCCTCAGTACCAATTTGTTGTGTTAGTCTGTTCTCAAAGTGCTAATAAAGACATACCCAAGACTGGACAATTTGTAAAGGAAAGAAGTTTAATTGACTCACATTTCAGCATGGCTCAAGAGGCCTTAGGAAACTTACAATCATGGCAGAAGGGGAAGCAAACATGTCCTCCTTCACATGGTGGCAGCAACAAGTGTAGAGTGAAGTGGGGGAAAAGCTTCTTATAAAACAATCACATTAGTGAGAACTCACTCACTGTCATGAGAACAGCATGGAGGTAACATCCCCCAGGATTCAATTACCTCACACTGGGTCTTTCCCACAGCACGTGGGGATTATGGGAACTACATATAATTCAAAATGAAATTTGGCCATATCAAACATTTTAACAATACTGATTCTTCTAATCTATGAACATGGCATATTTTTCCTTTTTTATTGGTGTCCTTTTCAATTTATTTTATCAGTGTTTTACAGTTTTCATTATAGAGCTCTTTCCCTTCTTTAGTTAATTCCCAGGCGTTTGTTTGTTTGTTTGTTTATTTATTTATTTATTTATTTATTTATTTATTTATTTATTTTGAGACAGAGTCTCACTCTGTTGCCCAGGCTCGAATACAGTGGCGTAATCTTGGCTTACTGCAACCTCTGCCTCCTGAGTTCAAGTGATTCTCCTGCCTCAGCCTCCTGAGTAGCTGAGATTACAAGCGCACACCACCATGCCTGGCTCATTTTTTTGTATTTTTAGTAGAGACGGAGGTTCACCAGGGTGGTCAGGCTGGTCTCGAACTCCTGACCTGATGATCCCCCTACTTGGTCTCCTAAAGTGCTAGGATTACAGGCATGAGCCACCATGTTCGGCCCTAGGCATTTAATTTTATGTGTGGCTATTGTAAATGGGATTACTTTTTAAAAAATCTATTTCCAAATGCCTCACTGTTGGCACATAGAAATGCTACTAATTTTTGTAGGTTGAGTTTGTATTCCGCAACTTTACTAAATTTATCAATTCTGATAATGTTCTTATAGTCTCTAAAATTTTCTAAATGTAGAGTCATATCATCTTGAATTAAGGATAATTTGACTTCTTCCATTCCAATTTGGATGCCCTATATTTCTTTCTCTGGTCTAATTGCTTTAGCTAGGACTTCCAGTACCATGTTAAATAGCACTGGTGAAAGTAGGCATCCTTGTCATGTTCCAGATCTCAGAGGAAAAGCTTTCAGTTTTTCCCTATTCAGTCTGATACTAGCTGAGGGCGTATTGTATACTGCTTTTATTATGCTAAGGTATGTTCCCTCTACGCTTAGTTTTTTTAGGGTTTTATCATGCAGAGATGTCAAATTTTATCAACTGCTTTTTCACCATAAATTGAAATGATCCTATGGTTTTATCCTTCATTCTGGTGTTATGATGTATCAAATTGAGTGATTTGCATGTGTTGAACCATACTTGCATCCCAGGGATAAATCCCCCTTTGTCATAATGAATGATATTTCTAATGTTTGCTGAATTCAGTTTGCTAGTATTTTGTTGAGGATTTTTGTGTCAATATTCACCACAGATATTGGCCAGTGGTTTTCTTTTTTTGATGTGTTTTTGTCCGGTTTTGGTATCAACGTGATACTGGTTTTGGAAAATGAGTTTGGAAGTATTCCCTCCTCCTCTATTCTTTGGAATAGTTTGAGTAAGATTTGTATTCTTTCCTTAAGTGCTTGGTAAAATCCAGCAGGAAACCCAGCAGTTCCTGGGCTTTTCTCTACTGGGAGACATTTTATTATGGCTTTAATCTTGTTACTTGTTATTGGTTTGTTCAGGTTTTGGATTTCTTCCTGGTTATTCTTTATAGTTTGTATGTATTTAGGAAATTGTTCATTTCTTCTAGATTTTCCACTTTATTGGCATATAGTTGCTAATAGTAGCTGCCAATGATCATTTAAATAACTGAAGTATCAGTTGTAATGTCTCCTTTTTCCCTTCTGATTTTATTTATTTTAATCTTCCTTTTTTTCTTAGTTCAGCTAAAGGTTTGTCTTTTTGTTTAACTTTTCAAAGAAACCAACTTTTTGTTTCATTGATCTTTTGTACTGTTTTCTTCATTTCAATTTCATTTTTTTCCTCTGAACTTTTTTCTTCTTCTACTGATTTTGGGTTTGGTTTGCTCTTGCTTTTCTGCTTTTCTAGTTTTTTGAGATGCATCATTAGATTCTTTATCAGGTGTTTTTCCTCTTTTATTATGTAAGCACTTATAAGTTCTCCTTTTAATAGTGTTTTTGCTATATCCAAAATGTTCTGGTATATTGTGTTTCCATTACTCGTTTCAAGACCTTTTTCAATTTTCTTCTTAATTTCTTCATAAACCCACTGGTCATTCAGAACATATTGTTTAATTTTTGTGTATTTGTATAGTTTTCATAATTCCACTTGTTATTAATTTCTAGTTTTATTCATGTTTTGTCAGAGAAGATACTTGATATTATCTCAATTTTTTGAATATTTTAAAACTTGTTTTGTGACCTAACATATGGCCTACCATTGAGAATGATCCATGTGCTGAGGAAAGGAATGTTCATTCTTTAGCCATTGGATGAAATGTTCTAAATGTTCTCTAAATATCTACTAGATCCATTTGATCAATAGTGCAAATTAAGTCCGATGTTTCTTTGTTGATTTTCTGTCTGGAAGATTTGTCCAATGCTGAAAGTAGTATCTTGAAGTCTCCATCTATCATTATAATGGGGCCTATCTCTCTCTCTCTCTCTTTAGATCCAGTAATAATTTCTTTATACATCTGGGTGCTCCAGTGTTGGGTACATGCATATTTAAAACTGTTATATTGTCTTGCTGAATTGACCCCTTTATCATTGCATAGTGATCATCTTTGTCATTTCTTATAGTTTTTGTCTTGAAATATATTATGTCTGATTTAAGTACAGCTACTCCTGCCTTTTTTTTTTTTTTTTTTTTTGGTTTCCACTGACATGGAATCTTTTTCCATCTCTATATTTTCAGTCTACTTGTATCTTTATATGTGAAGTGTATTTGTTGTAGGCAACAGACCAATATGTCTTGTTTTTTAATCCATTCAACTACATATTAAAATAATTCATTTAACTACTTATTATTAGATTAGAAAGTTTAGTCCACGTAAGTTCAATGTTATTATTGGTAAGTAAGGACTTAATCCTGCCATTTTGCTAGTTGTTTTCTGGTTGTTTTCCGATATCTTCTTCTTTTTTTTCATTCCTGTCTTTCTTTAGTGAAGGTAATTTTCTCTAATAAGATGATTTAGTTTATTGCTTTTAAATTTTGTGTGTGCATTCATTGTATGTTTTTTGGTTTGAAGTTACCATAAGGCTAACAAGTATTTTATGTTTCTATTTTATCAAATAGGCTTTGTTATCTTTTTATATTAAATGGTTACCTCAAATGCCAGGTGCTCCTGGGCAATTTATATTTAAGAATGAAGCACTATAATTCTGCTTAGAATCTCTGTTAACCACACATCAGACCCACTGCCATATCACTGACTGAATGGGTCAGGACCAATCAGCACCATTGGAGAATTCTTTGGTTATAGTTACTTTTCAGAGAGTAATAACTTCATCATTGCTTCTATCATAATATGTTTTGCTATTATCTATATAAGTATTGAAAAGGAGAATGAGTGCTAGGTATCAAACCATTTAGATAAAACCACCTTAGCATTTATCTTCCTTTAAGTGGAATTATCTTACTTTATCTTATTTTATATGGAATTAGGAAAGTCTAGGCATTGTGGACTTTTTCCAATACTAGAGAATGTATTCTATTATTTTCAATGGACAAAAAATAAAGTCAATGAAAAGAACTTGCATATTGTATATTTTCTTCATTATTGGACAAAAGTAAAGCTTTTGTAGGCTTTCTCTGCCTTATAAACCTTTACATGATAATAAATAATTTAGTTGCATATAAATTGGCACATGGAATAAATCATACAATGCAAAAGGGAGGTTAACAGAGTATAAATAATGTGTATGATTAATACATAAATAAAAAGAAATGAGAGATTGTATTATAACCAAAAGAAGTCTTTTTTTTTCTCTTTCTAGTTCTGTATTTTGAATGGTAAAATTAAGCTGCCTCACTCATTTCTTTAATATGCATTCACCCACATTAAACTGAAGGACTTTGAGACTACAGAAATGGATTCCTTCAAAAAGACTCCTCCAATTTACATCAGATACTCAGAGTTCAGTTAAGGATCAATGCTTTTATTACTGGAGAGGCTCTATCACTTTCTGGAAATAATAGTTCCTGGAATGGTGAAACATTTCCCATTTGATATTGGTGGTAAACTAAAATTTATGACTTAACCTTGTTGGCACTGAGAGCTCCATTTTTCCTCTCCAGCCTGACCATTGTCTTGACCAGAAAGAATACGTTTTCACTATTTAGCCAAGTGCATCTGAGAAGGTTGCCATGGTTTAGGAGGCACTTATGTAGCCCTTCTTTAGTTTCACACACAAGGAAGGAGCAGATAACTTTTACTATGAATAAATCAATAAGACTGATGCACTAGAAATGTAGTTTGAAAGGGCAGCAGCCTTCTAAAAGCTTTGAAAGCTAACTTTTAACTTTAGAGAGAGAGTTGAAAGTTGAAATTCACATAGTGGTATTATAGCCATTATCTTTTTTCATGTTATAAAAGAACTGTAACTCACTAGGACTTACAGCAACAGTAAGAGCCTCTCCAAGAGATGAAGAAACATAACAATTGCTCCGTAGCACTTCAAGATATTTTGTTTCTTCTGTAAAAACAAAAACTACTTATTTTATGAACTGTCCATATATTGGTCTGGTATTAGAAGAAGACTTAACATGTGACAATGATTGTAATAGAAGTAGGAAAGCAGAATCATTATATTTAAAATGCAATTCTGTACAATATAGACTTCCCTTTATAACATAAGAAAATAGATAGTTCATATTGCTACCTAATTCTGATAAAATAATAATCACAAGATGCATTTTGGTGTGACTATTTATAAAGCAATAATCTGTGGCAGTGATGGTGTTATTTGGTTTGCAGCCCTTATATGGGAATACTGGAATTCTACCTTCAAACAAATTTCTTAGGGTGAAATATTTGCGACTTTGGTAGCTATAAATAAAAACTAAGTAAACAGCAGTGGAATTCAGACTGCTTCATTTTTTTATACATATAAAAGGCTTATTTGAGGTTTTTCTGTGTGATTAGCAGATTGGTTTTAAACACAATATAATTCCAACAGATTGTAATATTTTGTTTATTTTCTGGTTTATTTCATACAGAAGGAGTAATAATAATAGTGCACGTAGAGATAAAGTGCAAGTAGAGAGTTGAATTGAAAAGCCAAGAGGTTTGTGGGGTTTTTTCATCTTTTGAAAATTATGTTTAAAAATTGCTGGCATACTATTTATAATATATAAAATATTTAAATCAATATTTTAGATTTTGGAAAGACAAGTGGGGAGGTTGTGGAAAGTATGATGCAGGTTAAAGATATGACTTCTGTCTTCTAAGAATTTTACAATGCAATGGAAGAATGAGAGAAGTGCACACATCAGATAAGAATAATTAATATAGAGAACTACAAAGCATAGGTTGAGAATGGAGAAAGCCAGGTTTTATGTTACAATGCTGAGTGCATTTATAAGGCACAGAGATTTGTACTACACTTTAAAAACACCTACAACTAATTGGAAGTGATAAGATCAAATAATAAAAGACTGAGTGTTGTGTTATGCCAATAGCAATTTGTTTGGAAGAAAGAAAAAGGATTGATTCAGGGTAAATTCATATTGTACTTCAATCAGGAAAGATTTTATGACATTTCCAGTTAAAAATCTCCATTCTATCACCAAAGTTTATTTCCCCTGCTATATAATTTATCTTTCCCTTTTTTATTCACTTAAGGAGCTGTGAATTTTTTTTCTGTATTCTCCTTAACAACCCAGTTTTTATTCCCAGTGACATGGTGACATATGTAGCTGAGCAAACAGGAACTTGGAGATTAGTAGAACAATAAGCATTTACTAAAGTATGCTATCTGGGGACATTATGCCCCCCAAGAACTGATCCTAAGGATCTCATAAATTTATTCATTCCAGCAAAATAAATGTCTCCCTAGGGTTCACATTTGCTGATAAAATTTGAAGAACTTCTTCATATATTACATAGACATTAAAAATCCCTAACATTCAAATTCATATGTGTATATATCGGGAGTGGGGGATGCTAGTTAGTTAGAAACTTCCTAACACATTTTTCTAGGATGTAAAACTTATTTGTATAATGGTTGTTGGTAAGCCAAGGTCTCTTGGAAATGAAATTACTGTGCTACAGGAAAAAAAAAAAAACTCTTTCTCTCCTTCTGAAAGCAAAATTGTTCTAGCTGTTGAATATAACATAGATTGTCAGTGAAAATCCAGATTCAAAATAGTGAGCCTATTAAGCAGCTTTTAGAGAAAGGATGATAGGTGGAAGAAAACATTGACAAGGGTATTGGAAGTGTGGAATTTGAGTAGCTGTCACATACTTAAAATCTATAGAACTCTGTGACTTGGCTAAATGTCTTAGTCTGTTTAGTGTTGCTGCCAATAATACTTGAGACTGGTTAATGCATAAAGAAAAGTTTATTTGGCTCAAAATTCAGGTGTCTGGAATGTCCAAGATTGGGCAGCTGCATCTAGTGAGGGCCTCAAGCTGCTTCAACTCATGGCTGAAAGCAGAAGGGAAGCAGTTATGTGTGAAGAGATCATATGGTAAGAAAGGAAACAAGAGAAAAGCTGAGGAAGCCAGACTCTCTTTAACAACTTTCTCTCTCAAGAAATACTGCATCATTCTTGTGAGAGCAATTCCTGTCTGTGGGAATGAGGGCATTAATCTATACATGAGAAATTTGACTATATGACTCAAACACTTACCATGAGGTTCTATCTCCCAATACCCCCATACAGAGGATCAAATTTCAACATTTGTTTTGGAAGAGAAAATTCATATCCAAACCATGTAATTCTGCCCTTAGGTCCCCAAAACTCATGTCCTTCTCACATGCAAAATGCAATCAGTCATACCTTCTCAATAGTACCAGAAGTCTTGACTTGTTCTAGCACCAACTTAAAAGCCTCAAAGTCCAGCTCTGACCTTATAAAATCAAAAACAAGCTATTTACTTTCAAGATACAATGGTGGAATAGACATAGGGTAGACATTCCTATTCAAGAGGAGAGAAAGAAACTAAAAGAAGATAGAAATAATAGGCCCCTAATGCAAGCAAGTCTGAAACTCAGCAGTGCAAACATTAAATATGAAAGTTCCAGAATAATATCCTTTGACTTCATGTCCCACATCCTGGTCACACTGGTGCAAGGAGTAGTCTCCCAAGGCCTCTGGCACTCTCATCCCTTGACTGCTCAGAGCAATCCATTTGGCTTTTTCATGGTTTCCACCTACGTGCCTACAGCTTTTCCAGGCTGAGATTGGATGCTTCCAGTTACTACAATTCTAGGGTTCCAGCAGCTTCCCCACCCTGGGCATTGCCCTGGTGGGGACTCTCTGCAGTATCTCCTACCCTAAATTTCCTTTCAATATTGCCCTAGTAGAGATTTTCTGGACTGGCTCAGTCCCTGTGACAAGTCTCTACCTGGGCCTGCAGGTTTCTCTGTAAATGTTTTGAAATCTCAATGGAGGAAGCCATCTCTCCATAGTTCCTGCATTCCATGTGCCTGCAGAATTAAGACTATCTAGACTCCAAAGCTTCCTACTTGTGCCCTTGCAAGTGGTGACATGAGCCTCACCTTGGGCAATGTGAGCCATGGCTGTTCCATCTGGAGTGGCCAGGTTGCAGAGAGCAGTCTCCCAAGACATCTCAAGGCAGTAGTGCCCTGGGCCAGTGCCCTGAAAACATTATGTTCTCCTAGTCTTCTGGGCCTGTGATGGGAGGGGTAGTCTAGAATACTTTTGAAATATCTTTAGGGCTTTTTTCCTATAGTTTTGACTATTAGCACCTGGATCCCTTTTATCTGTGCTAATTCCTTCAGCAAAAAGTCCTAGCCAATGCACCCTTGACTCCCTCTTTTGAAAATGCTCTTTCATTCTCTACCAAATGCCCAAGCTGTGAATTTCACAAATGTTTACACTCTTCTTCCCTTTTAATTGTAAATGCTGCCTTCAGTTTATCCCTTTGTTGTTGTAACTCAATGTAAGCTGTTAAAAGTAACCACACAGCTTCTTGATTGCTTTGCTGCTTAGAAATTTCTTCTATTAGGTATACTAGTTCATAACTCTTAGGTTCTGCCTTCCATAACTCTTAGAGCATGAACACAATGCAGCCAAGTTCTTTGCTGTGGGCCTGTGATGAGAGGGCCCACAGCAAAGAACTTGGCTGCATTGTGTTTATGCCCTAACACTGCATTGTAACAAGGATGATCTTTTCTGTGGTACCCAATATGATGTTGTTCCTCATTTCCACCCGAGATTTCATCAAAACGGCCTTTACTTTCCATATTTCTATCAGCATTTTGGCCATAACCCTATAACCAATGGCTAAGAAGTTCCAAACTTTCCATTGTGTTTTTGACTTTTTCTGAGCCCTCAGCAGAATTACCATTAATGCTCTATTTATGGCAATACAGACTCTTTAGACTGCTTCTTCCAGTTCTTCCAGCCATTACTCATTACCCAGCTTCAAAGCTGCTTTCATATTTTCAGGTATCTGTATAGCAACACCCCACTCTTCAGTACCAATTTTCTGCCTTAATCTATTTAGTGTTGCTGTAACAGAATGCCTAGGACTAAGGAATTTACAAAGAAAAGAGAATTGGCTCACAATTCTGATGGCTAGAAAGGTCAAGATTGAGCAGCCGCATCTGGTGAGGGCCTCAAACTGTTTCAATACTTGGCAGAAAACCAATACTTGGTGTGGGCATGTTCATAGACATTACATGGTGAAAAAGAAAGCAAAAGAGTAAAACCAAGGATGCCAGGCTTTTTTTAGCAACCTTCTTTCTCAGGAATTAGTAAGTTGGTGCAAAAGTAATTGTGGTTTTTGTCATTTAAAACTAATGGCCCAAACTGCAATTACTTTTGTACCTACCAGTAATTCATTCCTTCAAGAGCAAGAACTCACTCACCCCTGTGAGAGGGCATTAATCTATTCATGAGGGATCCACCTGCATGAGCCAAATATCTCTCACTAGACCCCACCTCCAAACACTGTCATTAAGAATCAAATTTGGACCTGAGTTTTGGGAGGACAAGCCATACCCCTAGATATCACTCAGAGTCAATGAGAAGGATGTTTCTGGTTTGGTTATTTGGAACATTCATTGAATGAGCTTCTTTTCACTATAGTAAAGATTTCTGAAAAGAAGATCATTCACAGAGGACAAATAAATTTGTTATTAGAAAAGTTGTGATTGAGGTAATGAGACAATCCACAAGCATTTGTGAAGCAGAGGTTCAATGTGGTGGTTCTCAGGTTAGAAGACCAGGTATTAGGCTGTTTATGTGTATTTGGATTTGCCTGAGTTTGGTAATAAGTGAAAGAAGGCAAATGAGTATGGTCTCATGAAACAGACATGCAGATTGGCAGAGAAGAAGGTTCTTCATAGAGAACTGGGGAACAACATTTAAATGGTAGATGTAAGAAGAGAAGATAATAAAATAAAAAGTCTTGGATTTAATTATGAGAAGAATAGGAAAACCAATTCAGTGTTTTTCAAGGAATTCATTGGGAAGCCTTTTTTGAAAGTAGGGATTATTCAGTGGAGAGAGATGTTGCCAAAAAAATTAAGGAAAATCAACACTGAAGTTTGCATTGGCTTTGAAGCTAGGAAAATTTCAGAATTAGTGACACAGTTCTAGTGGAGACTTTGATAAAATGAAGCCAGATTGAAAAAATGAAGCCAGATTGAGTAGTGAAAAATAATGAAGAAAAGGCAACAGACAAATGTACTAGAAGAGTAATTTGCCTGAGAAAGGAAGGATGAGTTAACACAATAAGTGGAAGAGGATAAAGGCTGAAAAAACTTTTGGGTGTGGATAAATGATGAGTAAAATGGGATCCTTGACATTTAGAAAGGGATAACAAAAATACTAATTTAAGTTTATAAGTTTGCATTAAAAATTATAACATACAAGAGTGGGAAATAATATACTATTATGACTAATCAGCTGATATTAAATATGTATTTCTTAAATCTGTCTTTAAAATCACAGAGTCTGTTAAAGCCAGAGCCAATTCTTTTAGAACTAATTTAAAATTCTTAATGATGTTAATGAAGAGAAATTCCTTTTTAATCTTAATAGTTAAATTTTGAAAACTGCATAATACATATTTCTTGATGTTCTCTAATAATATTTTTAATCATAATAGTTAAATTTTGAAAACAGCATAATATTTATTGATGTTCTCTAATAATATTTTCTAGTATGCAGTGTGTGTGTGTGTGTGTGTGTGTGTGTGTGTGTGTGTGTCCTTAGTATAGTTATAAACTCTGCCTTTAGAATATTGGGAATTATACACCATTGCCCCTGCTTCAGTGTGCTGAGCACTAATTTTGTACTTAGCCACATAATACAAGCATAAAAAGTGTCACTTTTACTGTCTAAAACCAAGAAATATAAGGCCTAAACATCATCCGAATCAGGCAAACCTGCAGGTTTTCTTTTCCTTTGCATTTCAAATCCATGCTGTCTTGGTAAATACTCAATTACTATGATTTTCTGGAATATAATCCTAATAATTCTAAAGACATATAAAATAATTTAAACATATTATTAAACTTATTATTCAGCATTCGTTTTTTGAAAACAAAATGGTGATACACATATCCTTGAATTTACATGGACAGATTTTGATCTATGTGACATTTTTATTATATTTTCTTCTCTGGAAACAATGAAAACAAAATTTATGAATATATTTTATTCTATTTATCTAATTTTACTCCATTTCATTAGGATGCATCTTTTCATTATTTCCCCAGTATTTAGAGCATCTTTCAAATTATCACAAGAATCATCTAGATACTCACTTCAAGACTATTGATTTAGGATAGGATTTGAAACTTTTGAGAGCAGAAATGTTACTTACTCTCTCAAAAAATAAAATAACTGCCATGTCTTCATGCTCCACAGAACAGTAAGAAGAATTCACAGCAGTGTGCCCTTTCTGAAAGAACTGCTCTCACAGCCTGGGAAAAAAAAAAAAAAAAAATATATATATATATATATATATATATATATGCAACTCTGTTGATTTCTTTCACTCAGTAGCATGGCATTATTTGTTCCTTGCTTTCCTTATGTCATTGTTGTAGAAATGCTCATTCCTCTTGCTCTACGTGGGCTACCCAGACACTGGAAGTTCCAACGCAAGGAAATATTTATTTAAAATTATAACACAGCTAGGCTTTTACCAGTGTCACAGTTTTGTCAAAACCAAAGCCAGTCCTTCTAACCATAACACTTGGTCTCAAGATCCTCTTCCTGATGTCTTTCAGAACTCCAGGAAATAAACTTGTACTCACTGTCCAAAGGTGAACAGAGTCATCACCATGCTGGATCAGACACACAGGATGCACAGGTGTAAACCCGAAGTAAGGCAGACCTGGATTCAAATTTACCTAGTATGTGACTGGACAATTTTTAAATCTTCTATCTAAACCAACACGTTATCTTCTTTTTTTTCTCATTTATTGCACAAGCCGCGCTTCAGTGATATCTTTATCTCCACATTTGCCTTTCTATAGCATATTCTCTAGAGAGTAACAGGGAATATTTTTTTAAAAACCCGTAGATGAGCTCTTATTAGCCCCATGCTCAAAGGTGTATATGAGACTACAATTTCCCCACTCCTTCTGTTTCTGACCTTGCCTGCTTTTACTATCTCTCTTGTTGCCTCCATTCCAGACATAACAGCTTCCATGATGGTCTTCAAATATCAGACAAGGTCTACCTCATGGCTTTTCTGCTGGTTATTCCTCTACCTGAGATAATTTTTGTCTCCCCTCATTAAACTTTTTATCAATAGTCACTTTCTTTATGAACCCAAACCTAATTGACTACAACAGATAACAGTGCAATCCCCTCTTCTTCACTCGTATGCCCCCCTTACCTGCTTTACATTTCATAGCCCTAATTACCTTCTAACATCCTATGTAAACTAGTAGCTTTAATTTTGCTTGCTGCATATTTCCTCATACCAGAATATGAACAACACAAAACTAGGCCAGTTTGCGTGTTTTGTTCACTTTTGTACCCCACTGCCTACTTTGGGGCTTGGCACATAGGGAGCACTCAATAAATACTTAATCGAGGCATGACTAATTACAAAATTTCAAACAATAATCCCCTTCTCAGAAAGACATTTAAAAATTCGGGAAGATAGGCTATATTTTGCACTGTACTGGACACACAGAGCTCTGTGACATCTGTCATTAGTGTGCTGCTGTTATAGATGTTAATGTTATCAGTGGAGGATTCATAAGTAGTGTTGTTTGAGGAAATGAACTGGGTGAGCTGTTAACCAATTATGCACACACATCTATGCATATACATACACACAGTTTACACACTCACTCACATGATCTTGGAAAGGCATACCAAAGCTTGAATTTAAAGCAAAGTGACTCATTCTGGTCTTTGGCCAAACCCTGGCAAACAATGGCTTACCTAGTGCTCAACAACCTGCAAAGTGGTCACTTCGAAAAAGACATCAGGCAGAACCTCACATTAGGATGCTGTGAGCAGAACCAAACTCCAAAATAGTGATTGCATCTGGAAATCAAAGTCTGATCAGAAGGAGTTCCAGGTGAATGTCTTTCTTCCAGGCACACACACACACATGCATGCACACACACACAACTATCTAACAGTAAGACATTTGTTAAGTATCTAGAAGGTAATATATTAATACATTTTAGAAAACCTAGCATTCTCCCTTTAGAATCACTTTATGCACTACCAGTGATTTTTTTTTTAGGTTTTAATTGTAACATTTCTTTTCATTTATTTCTCAGCCCATTATAAAATTCCTGGATATTTTCCCATTTGTGATTACAGTCACTGATGTATCTTGCTACTCAGAAAAATGTACGTGTACAGTAAGAGAAAGTAGGATTAAGTTACAGTAGCAATAACCATGTCTTCACAGCTACTATTTAGATTACTTAAGCATCCAATTATTTAATCCAAAAAGATTAATTTTACTTTGATTTTAGTGCAAAAGATCTATTAATGACATGGAAGGAAGTTTTCATTTGGTTAATCACTTGAATGAGGGTCATTCATATCTATCGTCAGAAGCAGACAGCTGAAGCTAAGTCATGAAAATAAATGTTCTCTCTCTCGCTGTGAGTGTGGATCAGCTTGGAAGGACTGGACTAGGTACTGGGACATATCAACATGGATTGAAATATAGACGCTACATGGAATATGATAGGACAGTAGCTAATTCTCATATACAGGGTAACATTTGTATGTTCAACATTTCAACATTTTGTCAGTGTTCTCTAGTTCTGGGTTTTACCTAAAAATGAACAATAAATTGTAGTTTCCCCTTATTCTAAATATAAATATTTTCCACTGATACTACATTCACAAGTACTTTCTTAACAATTTCTGTAACGTGTGAAGTCTTTTAAGTTTGCTTTAACTCAACGAAGAAGGAAAATGCAGTCATTGATTATAGCTTGTCCAAATATTTTACACAAATCTCCTTTAAGTGTTAACTCTCCTTTTCTCTGCATGAGATCTGAATAGTTAATGAGACAAATGGTGCTAAACTGGTGTGCACTATGGAAATTTTGCATTTCAGTGACTCCAGACTAGCTTTTGTAATAAGGCCATTTAATAAATTGTTTCAGATACTGTTCCAAGCTAAACTAATAAGTTAGCTTTAATACAGGTTATATAGACACATGAAGCAAACACAAACATACTACACATGTGTTTTCATTTTTGCATTCAGCACTTTTGTAAATAACATATGAAAATAAACAAAAGTGACTCTGGCCTTATAAAAATCTATTTTTGGAAGTATTTGTATAAATTTTCAAATGTTCTATAAAGGGATGTAAAGTGATGTAAAGTAATGAACCCTCTATAGCAGTCACTATTTTTTTAAGCAATTGTACTCAGCTAGAACATAGCAAAGAAAAGCCTTGCTTTCCTTTTCCCTTCCTCTCCAAAGTTAGACTGTTCAACGAGTTTCTTCAAGGGCAACTATAATCTTTCTGCTGCCTTCTTCGAAATCATACAATGAATGGCTTCATATTGCCTATCAAGGAAAGCATAATTTCCTTACCCTGGAATTTGAAATATCTGTAATTTTAAAAAATCTGTTCTAACTACCAGAAGATCATCAACTGAACTATTAGACAACTTGACCCACTGGGACATTTAGGCAGAACTAAAGTCAGAAATACCATTATGACTAAGCATTGGCCTCTCCAATAAAATTTTCATTTTTTCCAATCCCAAGGAATATAGTAAACTGGGTCTTGATATATGTCAATGACAATATAAAATGGCATCTGGTCTAGTAATGGTGCCTAGGGCATGTTAACCTGTGTCATCAAACATAATAGAAGCACAAGCACATTACAGAGTAGGCCACAGCCTACAAGTGGGAATAAGGTGAATGTTCCATTTTGAGGTGAGAGGCATCTGCCCATGACATGGTAAGGGGTAGGATCCAAGACAGGAAGGTGAAAGCAGAGATAAACTTTGTTGTTCAGAAATGGAGAGTGGTGGCAGGGGGTCAGTGGGGACACCACATTTTATGGACTGAAGATCTCCCTAATTACAATTAATAACTTCAGCTTAAAAAACATGAAGATGCCCAGGATTCATTCCAGAATCCTGCAAATCAGTATTCTTGATCACGCTTTATGTGAAATTCCCCACCACAATGCCATAAATAATTTTGTTCCTGATTTTCTCAAATTGAATAAGATTAAGAATACCGATCAGTGGTTGGTGGAGAAAACTATAAAGCAAAATTCTGTTTTTGTGTTCCTTGAAACCAGGCTGAAATCAGGGGTATGGGAAGGGGATCCTGGAGGTTATCAAGTTGAATAAGATCTTTTGAAAATCCAGGACTAAGTCTTTCTTTTAAAAAAAAAAAGAAAAAAAAGGAAGAAAGAAAGAGAGAGAAGAAAAATCCAGGTAAGTAAATAAATTGTGCTTTATCATATGCAGATTCAGAGCCTACCTACGTTTTGGTGGATCTGTTGATGTACATTATGTTACATAAGGGATTAGAAGAACAAAGTTACCAGCTTCAATTGCTTTTGATAAAAACCAAATAAAGCACGTTTTGTTTTTTAAAAAGACCCAGCCTTACAATGAAATCCAGCCCTTGCTATAATCATCATGTCAATGGTGCTATGTGTGGAACTAAAGGATTAGCCAAAAAGAGTGTGTAGGTTTCTGTTTTGTCATTTTTAATTTTTCAATACTGTCAAGCTGAAGAGAAGAATGATAAGTACTTTTGTGCATGATTAAATAATGATTTATTTATTGACCACATGGAAGATAAAGAAACTTTGCAAAATATAGAATAGGAGATAATTCCTTTCTTAGTAAGAGTTTTAAGTTTTGGACTCAAAAACGTAAATACCTATAGGAATTTGCCAAGCATGTAATACAAATAGGCTTGGTGTAAGAAAATCTCATTGCCAAATCATAATCACACCTTCTTTATTTCACGAAACTAATTGATAAGCATATTACTTTATCCAGCTGTGTATAGAAAAGGGGATTATATTTTAAATTGGAAATCTTAACAGTTGAAAATAGAAATGCTCAATTATGTTCATTTTAATTCTATAACATTTTAATTAGTGAAATACAACCTAATCTTTTGTTTTATTATTTACGCATGTTAAAGTCAGATCTTGTATTTTTGTGCTGTACAAAATTTACACTTGAATCTTTTAGCTGATGATAATGCATATTTTAATGGTCTTAAAATTGAAAAAAAAATCCTCTGTATAATGGAGTTATTTGAAGGGAGTTAATAGAGGTATAACACTGCACAATAGTGTTTTTCTTTTTATTTCAAGTTGTTTTTAAAATCCTGACACTCCAATATCATCACACAGAGTTATGAAAGTCTTTCCCAATCTTATACAATGAATACATGTGTAATTGTTCATTTACTTGATCAGTAGTTATTAAGAAAAAAAATCTGATCAATGTTATTTTGTTATTTTATAAACTCTTTTTGAAATTCAGATTTCAGTTCCGCATGTGTAGTTCAGAGTATTCATTCATTTGCCAAATCAATGTTGAGCAAATATTTTGTCCCAAACACTATTCTACTCAGGTACTGAAGGTACCATGTGAATATGAAAATATTCCTGCTCTCATAAAACTTAAATTCTAAAGAAGAAACCAAAATTGGAGATGATAAGTTGTAAAGAAAGTCCTTTTTAAAGGGATAACATTTATGCTGATGAGTGAATGACAACCAAATGTTGATTGCATACATAGTTATGAGAATAGAAGTCCAATCTGAGGAGACAGCACATTTATTTCTACATACTGGTGTGAGGCTAAAAAAAAAAATCAAAATTACATAATGAGTTTTTCAATTTACAATAACACCCGGAAAAAGTGAATCACAACAGGACAATATGGAAAGTGTTGATAAAGGCTGTAATTTCGAACATAGAGGTCAGTACACTCTTTGCTGGTGAATCAAAGTGGGACATTACTGTTAAGTAACATTATTATGGTAGAATCTTAGGAAAACTCCCCAAATGCTGCTTGAGACATCTGATACTAACATACATAATTTTCCCTACACTGTGGAACAGATGGGACAACATAGTATTGTCAATTTTCTGAAGAAAATTGTGCTAAGGTCATATCACACTCTCTAGAAGACAGTTCACAGGTCTTTACTAAAAGAAGAATGCGTATTTTTAGAGAACCAAAGGTGAAAATTCCTCTGGTTGGGAAGTCACTTTGTTTGTGGTTGATTAGTATGACTCCATAGATAGGTTGTATCTGTTTAGCCAAATAAGGCAAATTTTATTTGTCTGGAAAAACTAATAAAGCCTATTAGAATATGTGGCCATTTGCTGAAAGGCACTCAGTGTTAGATACTAAATGCCTAGTTGAACACGCCCTGGTTAGTTGACTGAAAAATACTAAACAGGTGAAAAAACTTGCTACCCTTAGAGAGCAGAGAAAGTGAGGTACGAGAATAGGGTCTGGAGACAGGAAACCTAAGGCCAGTTTGTGCGGATTCCCCAGAACTGGATCAGAGGGAAAACCCCACCTCTCCATGCCCAAGTACCAAAGACCAGAAGCCACTTTCCCTAAAAACCCCCACTTTACTGCCAACACAAATGTAAAGTGCCTATGACTGGCCGTAGGCCACTCCTTCAATTGCATAAGGCATCAATTCACTCTGGCTTCTGAGTAGGTAGGCCACTCCTTTGCTTAGGCCTCTAATTGGCCATGGACCATGCCTTCATTTGCATAGGGTGGCAACTCATCACTGGCCTCTAGTTGGCTGGGGCCAATTCACTTCAGCCTCTAATTGGCCACAGGCCAAATCCTTCATTCACCTGGGGGTAACCAATAGGAAACCTCTAAAGAGTACCTAAACCCCAGAAAACTTTGCAACTGGAGCTCTTGAGCCACTTGCTCTAGCCACTCCCACCCTGTGGAGTGTACTCTGGCTTCAATAAATCTCTGCTTTCACTGTTGTATTGTTCCTTTTTTTGTGCATTTTATACAATTCTTTGTTCAACATGCCAAAAACTTAGACAACTCACACTCAAGACCTTAATTCCATTAACAGAAGTAATGTGGATAATATCTGGATATTGTTTAGAATTACATTGAAATATTCCTCAACTAGAAAGCTCTCTGAAATGTAGTGTTCATCTTACTGATGTACACTGAGACATGATTCCAGAAAGACCTAGATCTTGTAAACTGCACTAATGGGAGAAAATGTAATGGCCTTAGTATGAGATCACTACTAGAAGAATCAAAGGGGGATTTTTTTAAGCTCCTGTTCGGGCCAAAAATAAAGCAAAGGCAAGGGAACAAGTTAGAATCTCAGGAATGACCCTTCAGTGGACCACGCAATGTAGTTATTTTTACAAAATTTTTTAAGACCTTCCTGGCCAATATGGTGAAACCCCGCCTTTACTAAAAATACAAAAATTAGCTGGACGTGGTGGCATGTGCCTGTAGTCCCAGCTACTCAGGAGGCTGAGGCAGGAGAATAGCTTGAACCCAGGAGGCAGAGGTTGCAGTGAGCCAAGATTGCACCACTGCACTCCAGCCTGCCAACAGAGCGAGAACTCTCAAAAAAAAAAAAAAAAAAAAAAAAAACTATACATGTATTTAGACTTCAGCAAGTGTACATCAGAAAAATAGAATATCATTGTTCCTGTGAGTCCTGACCAAATGCAACATCCTCCCTATTTAAAGGATAACGTTATTCATTATTTCATTAATGTATGCAGTGAGATGTAGTTTGACCTAATGGTTAATGTATTAGTCCGTTTTCACGCTGCTGATAGAGACATACTTGACACTGCACAATTTACAAAAGAAAGAAGTTTAATTGGACTTACAGTTCCACGTGGCTAGGGAAACCTCACAATCATGACTCAAGACAAGGAGAAGCAAGTCATGTCTTATAAGGGGATGGCAGCAGGCAAAGAGAGAGATTGGGCAGGGAAACTCCCCCTTACATTACCGTCAAATCTCCTGAGACTTATTCACTATCATGAGAACAGCATGGTGGGAAAGATGATTCAATTACCTCCCACAGGGTTTCTCCCACAACACGTGGAAATTCAAGATGCGATTTGGGTGGGAACATAGCCAACATATATCAGTTAAGATGCTGAATTCTAGTATTAACTATTTGAAATTAAAATTCTGTTCATTTACCTGTTGACTGTGTGACTTTTGGCAAGGTATTGAAACTATGGCTTAGTTTCTAAATCTGAAAATTAAAAATATAATAGCATTTACCTCTTATGCCTCTTGGGTAGAAGATTAAAAAAATTTAAATATGTAATGTGCTTAAAATGTGTCCAAAATATTGTAAGTACTCACTAAATATTAGGAAGAGGAGCTGGAAAGGGCATGGTGCGAGAGGAAGCTGATCTTTCCCTGAAGTCCAGCAGTTTCCAATGGGGCTACTCTCTGAAGTTGTACCATCCGAAGTTAGTCTCGGACGCTCAGTTGCTTCTTCTCCTCTCAACATTCAGCTGCTTATCTCTCTTCCAGCTGAGGCCTGGGGTTTATATGGGCACAGGACAGGGAGGGTGGGGGTGGAGAGCAGAGTAGGCCAAAAAATTAACATTTGAGCAGAAAAACAGGGATAACTGCTCTTATTTATGGTCGTGTTTTCCAGGCTTGAGGGTGGGACCTTTTCCGGGGAACTGCCCTCTTCTACCCAGTATTTCCCTACCTCCTGTTCATATTGTAATGATTAAATTGTTTGCAATATTTGATGCTGTAGAAACAGTAAGGAGGGATTTTTACCTTCACCTTTACCTTCACCTTAACATGCCCATGGGAGAAATTCTTTATGATTTTATGACTTTTGATATCCTGTAGCCAGTGACCACCAGGAATTCACCAGCAGTTCATCAGTTGGGTTTGTCAGTTTTTTTATTAATATGCTGGAGAGAACTACAGGGCACCTCAGGAAAAGTGTGTTAAAAGAGGCTTAATACATGGTTTGGATTTGTGCCAGGGGATTTGGAGGACAATTTAAGAAAATGCCAGTTTGTTCTGGATTGGGTGTTGTCAAAAGCAAGGGCAGTTCTGATTGGTTATCCATAAATACATTTTTGATAACAGTCATCCTAACGGGTATGGAGTGGATCATATTGTGGTTTTGATTTACGTTTTCCTAATGATTAGTGATGTCAAGCATCTTTTTTATGTGCTTTTCTGCCATTTTATATCTTCTTGAAGAAATGTTTATTCTGTTTCTTTGTCCGTTTTTGAACAGTGATATGGTTTGGCTTTGTGTCCCCCCGCCCCCCATATCACATCTCGAATTGTAATCCCCACGTGTTGGAGTAGGGGCTTGGTGGGAGGTGATTGTATCATAGGGGTGGACTTTCTCCTTGCTGTTCTTGTGATAGTGTGTGAGTTATCACAAGATGTGGTTGTTTGAAAATGTGTGGCACTTTCCGCTTCACTCGCTGTCTCCCTCCTCCTCTGCCATGGTAAGACGTGCTTGCTTCCCCTTCACATTCTTCAATGATTGTAAGTTTCCTGAGGCCTCCTATTCATGCTTCCTGTTAAGCCTGTGGAACTGTGAGTCAATTAAACTTGTTTTATTCATAAATTACCCAGTCTCCAGTAGTTCTTCACAGCAGTGTGAGACCAGACAAATACAAATAGATTATTTGTTTTTTACTTGTTAAGCCATACAAGATTTTTATATATTCTAGATATCAACTCCTTATCAGATACACGATTTGCAAAAGTTTCTCTTATCACGTGGCTGGCTTTTTTACTCTGTTGGTAATGTCTTTCAATTTGAAAACTTCTAGTTTTTGTGAGATCCAACTCCCTTTTTTTTCCTTTTGTAGCCTGTGCTTTTGGGGTGATATTCAAAAACATCATTTCCAGAAAGCTATTTAGTTCAGTCCCTAATATTCATTCTAGTCCCCCTACTGAATTATCTTGTTTATAGTTATTTGATTGGTTATCTTGGAGTTCCTATTTAGATGATCCTTGTAGACAGTCACTTCTTTTTCAACATTTATCATTGATTTTTTTTCTTTCCTTTCTGCAGTTGATAAAGTCGAGGGATTTTCAAGCTAAATTATTGTAAAGCTAATTTTATCTTAATAATTTTTTGAAATTTACATTTGATTTTGTCAGGATTTGCATAAAGCTGAAGGCTATGGAGCAGATCCTAAATGTATTATAAATAATGCCAATGCAGTTTCAGAGAGAAAAGCAAAAACATATTGAGAAATAAAGGAGAAAGATTAGTTACATAATTTAGGTAATAAAGAGGAGCATGTCAATAAGAAATGAGAGTTTAGATGACAATATATTATATTTTGCAAATAGAGGTAGAGAAATGCTTGTCCTTTTTAGGCCATCAGGGTTTGTAAGAATGATAGATGAGAAGAGACTAATCTGAAGTATTTCTACAATTTATTGTACAACGTATTATAGTGCCAGAACTGCCCAAAGTTTCCAGACAGTATCTAACCTAATTGCAGAGAGGTAGTAAAGACTGACAATGGTACTACCTACTTCTGTGATAGTGGCAGTGTTGTGGTGCTGATGAGTGAGGCAGCTGGTTCTTTGCTTTCTGACAAACTTTAGAGAAATGATCTAGACAGTGAACTTATTCATCTAGCTATATCTATTAATACTTTAATAGCTAAACAATACCTCAGTACATGTAGTAAAAAAAATGTTGAATTGCTCAAAAGAATTGAGAATTAAGAGGTGAAAAACTCTGCTAATCACCACAACAATGCCACCTTATGGCATTGTCCCAATTCTCACTTCAGAGCTAACAACACCGAGCAAGTTGTGATATATCTTTCCAGAGTTTTAAAAATGAATTTTAGAATCCATAGGTACATAAATAGATATAGTAATTTAGCTTACTTTCTACATACATGAAATCACACTATGCATATTGTTCAGACATTTTCTTTATTCCATCTAATAATGTATCACAGATATATCTTCCTATTTCAAATTGTATCTCGAATTTATTTGTTCTATTATATCATAAAAATTTATCCAGTCTTTTCTGGTTGAATATTTATATCATTTCAAACTTCATATTTTATGCATATGTTAATGATACTATTAATATATCTTTGTACATATTTAGAGGATAGATATATCTAAATTTAGAAATAATTTTCGAACGAGTATACAGATTTTCATATAAAACATAATATATCCTTTGAAAAAAGATTGTATAAATTTATATTCTTGACTTTTGAAATTTAATTAATCCATTAAAGCCAAAGTTAATGCTGTGTTTCCTTTCTATTATGTGAGATGTCATTTACCTTATTTTAAAAATCTGTGTGATTGTTTTACAATTTGAGTATACTTTTGAAATTGCATTAACCTTTTGGTTACATAGAGTTACATGTTAACATTAGAATACTATATTCATGCATTATGAGGAAAACAGCGTTAGTGAAAGGAAGCACAGCCTTTGGAGTCATATGGCTCTGCCTACATTACAGTCCCACTTTCATGATTTGTCACTTTTCTGACCTGGGTAAACAACTTAATCATATGAAGCTTTAGTTTTTTACTCTGTGAAATAGAATTAGTAATGCAAACCTAAAATTTCATACCAGATGTCACCAAAAAAAAATGTTTAATCCCATCAATTATATTTACAAGTGGCTGAAGTCATTAAGTTTACTTAATTTAAATAATATCAGTATTTTTAATCTGGAATAAAAACAAGATCTGTGCATTCAAGGAGCCCTTGATGAAATATTCAATTTTTTGTTAAAATAGAATTTACTTTTTATTTCCATAAGTTTTGGGGAACAGGTGGTGTTTGGTTACATAAATAAGTTATTTAGTGGTGAGTTCTGAGATTTTGGTGCACCTATCACCCAAGCAGTGTACATTGTACCAAACATGTAGTCTTTTATCCCTCACCCTCTACCCACCCTTTCTCCTGGTCCCCAAAGTCCATCGTATTATTCTTATGCCTTTACATCCTCATAGTTTAACTCCCACATATGAGTGAGAATATACAGCGTTAGTTTTTCATTCCTGAGTTACTTACCTTACAATAATCGTCTCCAAATCCATTCAGGTTGCTGCAAAGGCCATTATTTTGTTCTTTTATATGGCTGAGTAGTATTTCATGGTGTGTATATGTACCATGTATATATAGCTGTGATATATATATTACATTTTCTTTATCCACTAATTGATTGATGGGCATTTGGGCTGGTTCCCTATTTTTGCAATTGCATATTGTGCTGCTATAAACATGTGTGTTCAAATATTCCTTTTTATTAGATAATGGCTTCTTTTCCTCTGGGTAGAGACCTAGTAGTGGGCTTGCTAAATCAAATGGTAGATGTACTTTTAGTTTTTAAAAAAATTTCCACACTGTTTTCCATAGTGGTTGTACTAGTTTACATTCCCATCAATAGCATAAAAGCTCTCCCTTTTCACTGCATCCATGCCAACATCTACTATTTTTTTATTTTTTGATTATAGCCATTATTGCAGGAGTAATGTGCTATCGCATTGTGGTTTGGATTTGCATTTCCCTGATAATTACTGATGTTGAGCATTTTTTCCATATGCTCATTGGCCATTTGTATATCTTCTTTTGATAATTGTCTATTCATGTTCTTAGCCCATTTTTTTGATGAGACTTCTTGTTTTATTGCTGATATGTTTGACTTCCTTGTAGATTCTGGATATTAGTCCTTTGTAGGCTGTATAGATTGTGAAGATTTTCTCCCACTCTGTGGGGTGTCTGTTTACTCTGCTGATTGTTTCTTTTGCTGTGCAGAAGCTTTTTAGTTTAATTAAGTCCCATTTATTTATCTTTGCTTTTGTTCCATTTCCTTTTGAGTTCTTGGTAATGAAGTCTTTGTCTAAACCAATGTCTAGAAGTGTTTTTCTGATGTTAAGTTCTAGAATTTTTATGGTTTTGGGTCTTAGATTTAAGTCTTTGATTCATCTTGAGTTGATTTTTGTAGAAAGTGAGAGATGAGGATTCAGTTTCATTCTGCTACATGTGGCTTGCCAATTATCCCAGCACCATTTGTTGAATAGGGTGTATTTTCCCCACTTTATGTTTTTGTTTACTTTGTCAAAGATCAGTTGTCTGTAAGTATTTGGTTTATTTCTGGGTTCTCTATTCTGTTTCATTGGTCTATGTCCCTATTTTTATACCAGAACCATGCTGTTTTGGTGACCATGTTCTTATAGTATAGTTTAAAGTCGCGTAATGTGATGCTTCCATTCAAGACTACTATGAACATCTTTGCATGCATACACTAGAAAACCTAGAGGAGATGGATAAATCCTTGGAAATATACAACTCTCTTAGATTAAACCAGGAAGAAATAGAAACTCTGAACTGACCAATAACAAGTGGTGAGATTGAAATAGTAATTTAAAAATTGCCCACAACAAAAAAGTCCAGGACCAGATGGATCCACAGCTGAATTCTATCAGATAATCAAAGATGAATTGGTACCAATCTTATTGACACTATTCCACAAGATAGAGAAAGAGGGAATTCTCCCTCAATCTTTCTATGAAGCCCATATTACCCTAATACCAAAATCAGGAAAGGACATAACAAGAAAAGAAAACTACAGACCAATATCTCTGATGAATATAGATGAAAGAATCATTAATAAAATACTAGCTAACTGAATCCAACAGCATATCAAAGATACAATCCACCATGATCAAGTGGGTTTAATACAAGGGATGCAGGGATGGTTTAACATAGGCAAGTCAATGAATGTGATACACCACATAAACAGAATTAAAAACAAAAATTATAAGATCATCTCAGTAGATGCAGGAAAAGCATTTGACAAAATCCAGCATCCTTTATGATTAAAACCCTCTGCAAAATCGGCATAGAAGGGAGATAGCTTCAGGTAATAAAAGTCATCTATGACACACCCACAGCCAACATAATACTGAATGGGGAAAAGTTGAAAGCATTTCCCCTGAGAAGTGGAACAAGACAAGGATGCCCACTCTCACCACTTCTGTTCAACATAGTACTGGAAGTCCTAGCCACAGCAATCAAACAGAAATAATTAAAGGGCATCCAAATCAGTAAAGAAGTCAAACTGTGGCTTTTCACTAGGTATATAATTGTATACCTAGAAAATACTAAAGACTCCTCCAAAAAGCTCCTAGAACTGATACATGAATTCAGCAAAGTTTCAGGATACAAAATTAATGTACATGATCAGTAGCTCTGCTATACACCAACGGTGACCAGGCTAATGATCAAATCAAGAATTCAACCCCTTTTACAATAGCTGCAAAAAAAAATTAAAATACTTAGGAACATATCTATCCGAGGACATGAAAGACCTCTACAAATAAAACTACAAAACACTACTGAAAGAAACTGTGACACAAACAAATGGAAACATATCTCATGCTCATGGATGGGTAGAATTAATATTGTTAAAATAACCATACTGCCAAAAGCAATCTACAAATTCAATGCAATTCCCATCAAAATACCACCACCATTCTTCACAGAACTAGAAAAAACAATCCTAAAATTCATATGGAACAAAAAAAGAGCCTTCATAACCAAAGCAAGACTAAGCAAAAAGAATAAAATTGAAAATTTTAACAAAGTACCCTTAGAATTCTGAGCTTTAAGCAACAGGTTTATTAATGTGCTGTATAAGATATATTCAGATATGGCCGGGAGTGGTGGCTCATGCCTATAATCCCAGAGCTTTGGGAGGCTGAGGCGGGTGGATCACCTGAGGTCAGGGGTTCCAAACCAGCCTGGCCAACATAGTGAAAATACAAAATTACTACTAAAAATACAAAAATTTGCTGGGTGTGGTGGTGGATACCTGTAATTCCAGATACTCGAGAGGCTGAGGCCGGAGAATCACTTGAACCCGGGAGGTGGAGGTTGCAGTGAGCCAATATTGTGCTATTGCACTCCAGCCTGCGCAACAAGAGTGAAACTCCATCTAAAATATATATAATATATATATATATGTATATACTCAGATATTTGTTCAGCTATATTTGCATTTTAGCTGTTATTTTTTTTTTGGAATTGGAACTGTGTCTACTGAAGAATAGAACCTATAAATAGAATAAATAGAAATCAAAGTCATATTTTTGAACATCTAATATATTATACCTTCTGTTTCATTATATAAGATTAGTTGGTGAATAAGGGAAAATGGAGAAAAATAATGTGACATGCGTATGGATAAATTTTTGTTAGTTTTGATAAACTTTTGAAAGCACTTTTATTGGACACATTTATTTCATATTTATTAATGAATCCATGTACACAAATCCTATACCATTACTTTTGTCTGGCATATATATATATATATATATATATATATATATATATATATATATATATAAAATATTTACACCACAGGGGTAAAAAAGGGTAACAAAATAATTAAAACATAGAAAATAGGTGGAGATACTTCATTTGTGAAAGGAGTACATAAATATAAATCATTCATTCGGAAACTTAAGTCAGGTTAAATTAGTTGTATAAATGTATAATCATGATGTGGTTAAAATGTATGTTACCCTCACAATAGGCTAATAATAATAACACCTTATGAAATAAAATCACAACATCTTGGTAAGCATGCAATTATGAGGAATTTTTATAAACATTCTGCTCATATTATTTGGTTGAATCACTAAGATTTTTACAGAATAAAAGTGTATGTTAAAATGGATTAATCATGGCTTATCATTTACACAGAACATTTCTCTTTAAATATGTTGGGTTTGACCACGGTGTTTTAACAGTATAAGGAGTGTCTAATGGATTCCCTCGAGCAGAATCTGAGACAAGGTTTCTTGTGGAGGTGATTTATTAAGAAAATGGTCCCAGGAGAATCTGGTAAGGGACTAAAGGGAGGCCTGTTGGAAAAGGGGAAAGAAGTCAACCAGGTAAATACTGGCCTCAGCTTTATTCAGCAAGGCTCAGGGTCATGAAAACCACTGCAGAGTTTGTTTTTCATTGATATGAGAGTGCTACACTTTCTTAATCCTACACTAGTCAATTGTTGGGGTTGGTGTGTTGAAATTCCAGCACATTTGGTTCTTGGAACATCTGAAGATCTGGGCATGTGGTACAATTTAGAACCATTAAGGGAACCCTAGATGATCAGGACAAGATCACTGACTGTAGTTGCTGCAAAGAATTCGAATAAGTTTGGTGGACAGAATTGTAAAAGACATTTCGCTTTAATTCTGTAACATTCCTAGTAACTGAGCTCTTTTAACATCATATTTCATAATTATGAATCACTAGGAGAAACGATCATAAATTCATTGAGAAAATAGTCAATGAATAACAATGATAATCCCAATATTAAGTCAGCAGAAGCTGTGGGGTGGGGATTTATAAATGATTACATAAATGGAGATTCTTCTTATGTGACGTGAAATGCTGTGTTGTGATGAGGAATCATAACATAAACATGATATTAACATTAATGTGCTGAGAAATTAACATCCATGGAGCAACCACCATATGCTAGGTATGTTATAATCCATATTTAATTTCACTTTTAATATAACCTATTTTGTAGGTATTATTTTTCTATTTTAGAAATGAAGATACTGAGAGTATAGAAAATTTAATAATTTGTCCAAGCCTACAGTTATTGACTGAACTTGGAACTCGTCAGTTCTCTCAGTGCTAAGATTTGTACTATTTTCAAAAGCATTCTATATATTTCCTGGAATATATTTTTGATTATTAGATTTTTGGGATTAGAATTAAAAAGTTGATTTAAGCCTGTGAATAGAAATTTTCCTCTTGGGATTTTGATCATTTCCTTAAATAATAAGAATGATGCTTTTACACTGTTGGTGGGAGTGTAAATTAGTTCAACCATTGTGGAAGACAGTGTGGCGATTCATCAAGGATCTAGAACTAGAAATACCATTTGACCCAGCAATCCTATTACTGGGCATATACCCAAAGGATTATAAATCATTCTATTATAAAGACATATGCACATGTATGTTTACTGAGGCACCGTTCACAATAGCAAAGACTTGGAACCAACCCAAATGTTCATCAATGATAGACTGGATTAAGAAAATGTGGCACACATACACTATGGAATACTATGCAGCCATAAAAAAGGATGAGTTCATGTCCTTTGCAGGGACATGGATGAAGCTGGAAACCATCATTCTCAGCAAAGTAACACAGGGACAGAAAACCAAACACTGCATGTTCTCACTTATAAGTGGGAGTTGAACAATGAGAACACATGGACACGAGGAGGCGAACATCACACACTGGGGCCTGTTGGAGGGCAGGGAGCTAGGGGAGGGATAATATCAGGAGAAATACCTAATGTAGGTGACGGGCTGATGGGTGCAGCAAACCACCACGGCACATGTATACTTATGTAACAAAACTGCACGTTCTGCACATGTAACCCAGAACTTAAAGTATAATTTTTTAAAAAAAGAATGATGCCACCACTAGATGTTAGAATGTAAACAGTAAATCTGAGTAAAGAATCAAGAAGCAAAATTTTACTAGTCTGTAAGAAACAGCCATGCACATGGCATAATCTAATAAACTTGCATCTCTGAGTAGGATAGTAGGCAAGCCTATCTTCTGCCTGGGCCTTAAAAAAATAATGAAATAAAATTTTTCTCCTGTTCTTCTTCCCCATCTGATTTAAAATTTCTTTTTTAATAAATATTCAATTTTATAAACAACTAAATTAGTTGACCCATGTGGATATGGACAGAGTAGGAAAAAAAAACAGTAATAGGCTATGCTAACTTTTATTGCATTTAATCCATAGATTTAATTATGAGTCAAGTATTTGTGTGTGTGTGTGCGCATGCACGTGTGTGTGTGTAAATTTGTGGTGTTAATTCACTGTCATAGAGAAAATATTCATGTACACTTAGGCTCTGCATACTCAATCTCCTGAAAGACTTTTAGTGATGACTTTCAGCAGTAGTTTGAAGAAGGTTTAAATGAGGGTAAGAAATATGTAACCTCTATAATCACATCCTCTTTAATCACCATATTAGTTTTTTTTAATCTCATTATCAGAGGTTGTTTTTAACAGAATTTTATGTCCCCCACAATGGAAGAGACAAACATAGAGTTGCAGGCAAACAATTACATTTTTCAGGATGCAAAGGAGACCTGACTTTCAAAAAAACTTGGGAAATGTATTTTCTGACTGATACCAACTTCAGGTACAGAAGAAGAAGAGTTTTGTTTTCAAAGTGTATTCATTTCCTAGGTCTGCTATAACAAAGTACCACAAACTGGGTGGCTTAAAACAACAGACATCTGTTGTTTCACAGTCCTGGAGGCTAACAGTTCAAAATCAGGGTATCTGTAGGTCTGTGCTTCCTCTGAAACATGTAGGGAAGAATCCTTCCTTGCCTGTTCCTAGCTTCGGGTGATAGCCATCAATCATCAGCATTCCATGGTTTGTAGATGCATCATTTCAATCTCTGCCTCCATCTTCTCATGGAGCTCTCCCTGTGTGTCTGTCTTCACATGATTATCTTCACATGGCCACCAGTCATATTGGATTAGGAGTACATCCTACTGCAACATGAACTAATCTTAACTTGTGGCATCTGCAATATCCCTGTTTCCAAAGAAGGTCACATTTGGAAGAACTGCAGATTTGGACTTATCTTTCTTAAGAGGAACATAATTCAGTCTATTACATAAGGGGAATATAGGCAATAGGCATACTGGTAGGAAATCACAGCCTCTGCTGTAGTCCGGAGACCCACAATTATTGACCATGATTCAGTTTGTTTTTTGACTGGAAGTAGGTCTCGAGTTCTGAAGGAGTAGAGAGAAAAGATCTGGTGATAATTAGCCAGACAAAACAATCAATTCTTCTTTAAATACAACTTGATATTTAGCCCATAATCTGGTAATAAAATGATAAGTGCATTATATTTATTGAAGTTTCTATTCTGGAAACATTTCTCACAATTTATGCTGATAAGTTCCATGTTAAAAACAAATATGTAGTTATTAATTTACAATTTATAAATTCTCAAGAGGTAATAGATTTTTCAATTAGGAATGGTTCTGCTTTGAATTTATTAAGATAATTAGGACAATCTGACACATAAAAAATAAATTGATTAATCATCCAAACTTTTCTTGTGAAGCTAGTAATTTCATTAAGTTTCACGTGCCCAGTTTGCAAGACAATTGTCTTTTACCTTTCTTCTGCTGAGAACGTTTTTTTTTTTAAAAAAAAAAAAAGAGGATATTTTAAAGGTTGATCTGAAAAGCTTTTCTGTGAAAACAGTTGTGCCTTGTCAAATATTAAGAAGAAAAGATGAGAAGTGATTCATTTAGGCAATAACACCGGTGACAATGAGCTGTGAAAGGTTTTATTTTTATAATAGAACTAATTCAAGAAGTAACTATGGAAAAGTTGAAACCCCGTGAGCTTGTAAAGCACACTGCTGTAATTATCTCTGCTTTCTGCTTCTTTCACAGGAATGAAATCACTTCAAACAAAACTACTTTAAAAAGAGACAAAGAAAGCCCCCATATCTAATATCCTCATGCCCAGGAAAAGTCAGTGATTTTAATGACTGCAAAACAAAGTCCCATAAAATGAATGGCATTGAGTAGTGTGAGCATAATTTCCATTTTTTGCCTTCCTTTTAGGAAACTGTCTTTATGCTTTGTTTTTTAAAAAAGGTAAAAATAAAATAAACCTTTACAATGGCAACTGGAACTGTTAGTAAATTGCAGATTTTTGTTTCCACACAAGACCATTCTAAAGAGAAAACTTGCTTTTTTATTAGTAAATGTAATAAAATACAACACTTATTTCTAACATTTTGCTTTCAATCATTCAAACATTAACTTTTGAGCATAATTGAAATAGTCTTTAAATGACATTATGTTTCAATCTAATTACCAAGAATGCTTACAAAATAACTATTTGTTAACTCGATTAAAGCAATAGAAATCACTCCAACAAATAAAGCAAATAATATGAGTTAAAAAGGATTATTGATGATTAAATTATATATTTTTATTAGGTGTTGTTTAGCTATATGGTGCATGTGGTAAAATTCACCTTTTTGTTGTGCAATTTTATGCTTTGCATCATTTGAGCCCATATAGTAACCATCACAATCAAAATATAGAAAGGTTCCATCACCCCAAAACATTCCCTGATGTTGTCATTATACAGTCATTCCCTCTCACTCCCCACAGCTTCAAGACACCACTGATGAGTTTCCTATTTGTATACTTTTCTAAAATGTCATGTGAATGAAATTATATAGAGTAAAACTTTTTAACTCAGGCTTCTTTCATTTGAAATTCATTCACGTTATTGCATGTGGCAGTGGTTATTCCTTTTAATTGTTGAGGAGTATAGCGTTTCTGTCTTCTTGCCAGTTTTGATCTGCACATTTTCAGTTACTCAAGGTCAATTGCAGTCCAAAATTATTAAATGGAAAACTTCAGAATTAGACAATTCATAGGTGTTTAATTACACACATGGCTTTCTGAGTAGCATGATTCAATCTTGTTTCATCTCACTGTCTCACCTGGGACGTGACTCCTCACTTTGTCCAGCAGATCCACACTGTGGACCCTTTGGCTCATCAATCACTTAATAGCTGTCTAGGTTTTTAGACTGACTGTTATGGTATCTAAGTACTTGTACAACAAGGAACCCTTATTTTACCTCATAATGGCTCCAAAACACAAGAGTAGGGATGCCAGCCATTCAGATATTCCAAAGAGAAGACATAAAGTGTTTTCTTTAAGGGAAAAGGTGAAAGTCCTCAACTTAAGGAAAGAAAAAAAAAATCTTCTTCTGAGGTTCCTCAGATCTATAGTCAGAACAAATCTACCCATAAAACTGTGGAGAAGAAAAAAAAACTCATGCTAGTATTGCTGTGGCATCACACTGCAAAAGTTGTCACTATAGTGTGTGATAAGTGCTTAGCTATAATGGAAAAGGCATTAAAATTTTGGGTGGAAGGCATGAACTGAAATGGGTACTGATTGACAGCAACGTGTTGCACCACAAACCATTAAGCCTACACAAAGACTTCAGCAAGGGATCCCCTGTAAAATGTCACACCGAGCCATTTGCTGCAAGTAAGAGATGGTTACACAGATTCAGGAATAGGATTGGACTGAAAAATATAAAACTTACTGGAGAGGCTTTGTCTGCTCATGAAGAAGTTTCTCCTTCATGAGTATAGTAAAATATTTTGAAAGAGAGGGAAGCCACATTCATATAACTTTTATTACAGCATATTGTTACAATTGTTCTATTTTATTAATAGTTATTGTTATTAATCTTTTGCTATGTCTAATTTATAAGTTAGACTTTATTATAGTTTTGTATGTACAGGGAAAAAAATACATAGTATATGTAGGGTTTGGTACTATCTGAGGTTTCAGGCATCTACTGGAGGTCTTGGAACATACTCCCCCATGGACAAAGGAGGACAACTGTATCTGATTGTAGGATTATAAGGCAGTTTGTTTATCCATTTATCAGATGAAGGACATTTGAATTCTTCTAGTTTTTGGTGACTAGGAATAAAGCTGTTATAAACATTCATATATGGGTTTTTGTATGAACATAGCTTTCAAGTTGTTTGGGTAAAAGCCTATAAATGAGATAGCTGGATAGTACAAGGGACTAGGGGAAGCCTGTTTAGCTTTATAAGAAACTGCCAATCTGTTTTCCAAACTGGCTGTGTCACCAGACATATATAGGAGTCCCAGTCGGTTTGTGTTCTGTGCCAGTGTTTATAATTGCCATTTTATTTTACTTTTGCTATTCTAGTAGGTGTGCAGAAAATATTCTTTACAAAATAAAAAGTAGAAAGAGCAAACTGATCATTTAAGTAAAGTCATTTAGTTGAGCATAAAAAATAACGTCAAGAAGTGAATGTCTCTTGTGTTCTCATAAGTAAAGCCTAGTTCTCTTCAGAATGAATTCATAGGGCAGGTGCAGTGGCTCACGCTTGTAATCCCAGCACTTTGGGAGGCCGAGGTGGGCAGATCACGAGGTCAGGAGTTTGATATCAGCCTGGCCAACACAGTGTAAGCCAGTCTCTACTAAAAGTACGAAAATTGGCCAGGCGTGGTGGTAAGTGCCTGTAATCCCAGCTACTCGGGAGGCTGAGGCAGGAGAATCGCTTGAACCCGGGAGGCAGAGGTTGCAGTGAGCCAAGATTGCGCCACTGCACTCCAGCCTGAGTGACAGAGCTAGACTCCATCTCAAAAAAAAAAAAAAAAAGAGAATGAATTCATAGATATTGTCATCAATTCAAGATATTTTATAGTTTCATGAATTGACAAATTTTGGTGTTATACCAGTATATGTCTTCAGCAGATATCTCCATAGCTATCGGCAATTAACTATTCTCTTTTTGGCCACTAGATATCTGCATAAAACACAAAATTGTTAATTTTTTAGGTGAAAAGATAGATTGAGTACCCAACTTTTTTCTCAACTAAATTTCAATAAGCAATATAAATGGAATTAAATTGAAAAGAAGCAAATACATTTCCTAAGCACTATAATACTTGGAGCAAGAAGTATACAGTTTAATTATAATACATTGTAGGATTTGGGTCATAAACAAAATTACTTCAAGTTTTACACTTCAAGAAATATAAAAACTCTAGGATTTAAGAAAAGTAAAAATACCCCAATCACTAGCTTTTGTTTTAATATCAATAATAAGCAGAAGGCAACATCTCTGACAACCATTGTCTAATTCTAATTTTTTGTAAAGTTTTATCATCTTAATCTCATTAGTGATGGACTCAGTTCTAGATAATTTTACTTATTTAGCAGATATTTTATAAATGCATTGTAGCTCTCATAGAGTTAGCTTTAGTAATTAAAAGTTGACAAGTTGCTTTCTCAAGGTCATTCCAGGAATTCAGGAATCTGACACTTTGCAAAGGTCCTGAAAAAATGGGATGATTCCATAGAGCGAATGTTTAAATTTTGATTGCACACGCACAAAAAAGAAAAATATAAGTATAAATAGAGCACCATATTGGGGAAACACTTAATAAAGAGCTTCAATTTGTTGCATCCATTATTCTACTTGAGCTTTATTGCTATATGATTTTGGGAGTAGTTTACTTAATGTTTTCTTCAGTTAATTTCCACAGCATTGACAAAGTGTGTTTATTAAATATAAAAAGTATGTAAAATTTGAAAAATATTAATGACTTATATTTTATATAACTATTAAAATATGTTTACAACTAAAATAATTTATAATTGTTTATAACTTATTTTATTGATACTCTATGCAAAGAGAATGCACAGAATTGGGTGTCATCACGGTGCTTTTTTCTTCATTTTTCTATTGCAACAAATCAAACTATGTTAGCATTATGCTGAAATTATAAGAAAACTGTTTTCCTCAAAGTTACTGAATAGGTTGGTCATGCAAAAATATATAATGGAAACCGGATAAATTTTCATATTGTTATCTTCTCAGTATCTTCTTAATGAAGGAGATTGCAACTGTCATTTCTGTGCTCCAAAGAGGCTCTGGTTTACCAGAGACATTGTGGCATATTTTTTGTATGCTTTAAGACTAAATTTAATGTGCCAGAATATAACAAGGGCACAAAGACAATAGAGGCTGATACCTGTCAAACTCGACCAAGCTAATTAGGATAAACTGACATGCAGGCAGTTAATTGTGTCAGATGAAATATCACACTTTAATTATGTGTTTAAGAGATCTGGTACTAGCTTCAACCCAATCACTTTTTATTGCAAAAGTTCTAGCTACTTCCATATATGGAATTTTTTGTTTGGTTTTTGGTATTTTTTTAGGAGAGGAGTAAAATTCAAAAATTATTTTTTTTATACATTAGCCTTCAGGTTTCCACCACTGCTTATAAACTAGATAGGCTAATAAGACAAAAGAGACCTGCGAACTCCCAGAAATAAACCTTCATCCTAAGATTTACCTTAGAGTGGAGCCAAATGGAGAGTTGGTTGTCTGTAGTTTAAAAAGACAAAGCAGAAATAATAAACACTCAAAAACATACCACCAGTTTTGCCTTTAATAGGCATTCAATAAAATTATGTTAAATAATTGTTTATCATTTCCCTATGAAATCTGAACTGAAAAATGTAGCGTAATGAGATTTACAGAATTGAGTTTGAATTCAAAGTTGAATGTAAAGAAAGTATTCACTGAGAGATACTCATCTAAAAATTGTCTCTCAGAGATAGGTTCCCATTGGAAAAAACTTTCTCAATAAATAAAAAACTACTGAGGTGAGTTTAGTTTATATTTTGCAGATATGACTAATACAGTATGTAGAAATGACAAAGGTCTAAAAGAACTGTTAACATTGAAACTAACATATTTTAACCCTTTTATCTTGTAGTTACAGAGTTGGCTAGAGAGGTTAATTAGTGAGCCGAGGTTGCATTTTTTTTTTTTTTGTAGAAGAGTAAACATCATTTTAGGCTAGATCTGAGCCCGAAACCTGATTTGCCATCTAAATATTAGCTATATGACATTGGTTGGACAAGCTACTTGGACCATATATCTTATCCTAAAAAATATAAGCACTTCTGAGTGTAAAACCAGGCAATATAATTATCACAGGACAGTGGCAGAGACCAGGACTATCCCAGGTAAACTGGCAATTAATGATCACTTGCTTATAACTTCTCAGCTTCACTTTCTTCATCTGATACAGTTCCCATCTATTGGTTTGACAAGTCACTCAAAACAAAAATAAAGAAAGAAAGAAAAATAAATAAAGTAAAAGCTACTTCTAGAACTTGTACCTACTTCAGCCCTTTTGCCATCTGTGGCAGGTTTGATAGGTGTTAGTAATTTACAGATATAGAATACAGTAGGTTATTTACTTATCAGAGCCTATAGTAAGGTCATAAAGGAGAGAAAATCATTTTAGTAAACTAGCCAGTCAGAAAGCTCAGAGGTGGCTTTAGATCAGGTACACAACTCAGTTGCTTTTTCTGCCAGTAGCTATGTACACAGTGAAAATCAGATAACCATGCACCTTGGCAAACTGAAGAATCTGAAGTTTTTGATACCCCATAATAACTGTGCAGTTTAGGAAACTGGGATAAGGATAACAGACAGCAGCAAGAGTAGTTAAGAAAACCTGATGCCTACGACTACTTGTACATATCTCCTGCTAATGGTGTCTCAGTTGAATTCGTCCTGGCTCTCACTGACATTTTGGCTGAAGAAATTCAGGAAGAAAATGCATTTATCCTTTCTGTTACCTTTCCCTGATACTTATAAATATATGTCAGAATAGACACTTAACGTCATACTGCTTATTTGCCGTGCTTGGATTTGGTGAAATACCATACCTAGCTAGTTGGGTGAACACTAACCATGGGATACTGACTTGCTAAGAAGATGGAGTGAGACAGCCCAGGTCACTCAGATGCTACCAACAATGAGTTTATAAAATAGCCTTTGAAGACAAAATAGCCTGGTGTGTCTGCAGCAGCCTGTCTCCACATGACTGACTATTGGAACTTTGAATCGCTTTTTTACAGTGAACACATCCCTGGTAGAAGGATGAAGGCTGGCAGGTGACTTGTTGAGACAGCTTCTCCCTTCCATGAAGATGCACAACATTGTGTCAGGAGGGTGTCTTCTCCAAACACCAAGCCTTCCATATGCCATTAACAACAATTACCCCAGAATATGTTGACTCATCCACACCCACGATCTGATTTTGCTCTTGTTTTTAAAAAAAAGGGATGTCCCTGCTGGCTCAAGACAGGGATGAGTCAACTTGCGACTGTGTGTTTTTAAGACCTTTACTACTCTCGCTGATATCATTAATTTATCTCTACCAATTGGAACATTTAGATCAGCATACAAACATAGCCTGTTCTATTGTGTCTCCTTATTAAAAAAAAAATTTTGCTTAACTCCAATTTTCCTTGCAGTCTCTGTTACCCTTCTCTATAATATTTCTCTGAAAGTTTGTTCACAGATATTGTCTTCCTCTCCTCACTTGCATTCAGTTTTCAATACCCTTAATCATCTTTCATCTGAACAGCTGCAGCATTCTCCTCGCTTACTCCTACTACCCCAAATGTCTTTTCCACTAAATAGGAAGAGTAACTAAAAAAAAAGAAGAAGAAGAATTTAATTACATTATCACTACCCTGCAATGACTCCACTTAATGTCTTCTCATTAAGCTCTCAGTAGACCTCAGGATACTTTGTAATAGGATTCTGTCTTCTCCATCAGTGCCTCCCTCCTAATCTCCAGATAAACTGATATATGTATCAGTGTATATAATATCTGAGGATTATGATACACTCCTATATACATATCACATATGAATAGATATCATGAATATATATATCACATTTAAATGTATATATCATGAATATATATCACATATAAATATTATATATATCATATATATAAAGTATTTTACCTCCTATATGTACATTTTATGCTTAAACATAACAAACTTGTCCTAACTTAAGAATGTTGCACTGGCTGTCTCCTCTACTTAAGACCTCTCTACATAACTCTCAGCATCAACCTCTTTCACCATTCAAATCTCAAATAATGTTTCTTTTCAAAGAACTTCCTTGATGAGTCTAAAGAACTGCCCACTACCAGTTTCTCTTTATCATATTATTTGTTTAATTTTGATGGCATTTTGCACTAAAATTATTATGTTTATTGATTCACTTTAATATTTTGCCTATATCTATGGAGTAATCTCCAAAGGAAGAAAAGGAAGCTTTTCTTTCTTGTTCATAATTGTCTCTCAGTGTTTGGAACAGAGCCTGACATCTTATAGATACCAATAAAATATTTTTTGGAAAAATTGTGTTATATATAAATGTCAGAGTATATTACACAATTACATTAAGACCACACCTGAAGAAATGTAGCTAAGGTAAATATATTTTGTAATTTCCTTATCCAAAATAAAACACTGGGAAGGAAACATCACCTAATCTGTTAACAAATTATAAGAACTATGGGTTTATAAAGAGATTTCTCTCTAAAACCTGGAACATACATTTGGAATAAAACATAAAATCGTAACATAAAACCTCCTAGGAAATCAAAGCCAAGCAAACAAGCAAAATACTGAAAAACAAAGCTACTATTTCTTGTCAAGTAGTGTATCATTTGCCTTTATTTTGATGACACACTGCCAATAAATTCCCAAGGAAATTCTTATATATTGTGAGATTAAATATGATTTTAGAAAAGACAGACTTGTTCCAAGGTGTACCATGGTGCAGATACAATTCCTTGTCTACAGAATTTAGCTGTAGATTAATCTTTTAATGAGTTTTCAAAAGTCATGGAGCAAATGATAAATATGACAATTAAACATTATGAAATCAGCGTGTATTTTTAAAGATACAGTAAGTGCTTCGCTTGGGGGCATCTCATGCATCCACAAATGTCCCTTTGGTTAAAGGAAGGGGAAATATATTTAACTCTCAAGTTCATACACAAATCAGTGTCAACCCAAACATTTTGGGGGAAGTTAATTGAGATTGAATAATTCAGAAAGCTGAGTGCAGTGGAGGCTTTACAATGCCTGAAGTTAGCCACTTGGAATTACACTGAAAACAAACAAAACAAACCTAATGGCTGTTAAATAGCTGGTCTTACAGGGAGAAAGAAATATATTATCAAACAACAACAACTTTTAACAGAGAATAATTTATAATCAAAAGTTGTCAGTTCGTTACTTCCAAAGTACCGAGTGAGATGTATGAACTATTAGTTATAAAGCCTATTTCTATTTTTGATCACCTAGAGAAAATAATCTGAACTTTTGAATAAGGGCATTTTAAAAGTATTAACTGTAACAAAACAAAAGATTTAGTATTCTGCTTTCTCTTGCCATCAACAATTGTAATACAAAGTGGAAATATAATAATGCTATAGGATATGATGGAAATCCTTCAGAGAAAAATAGAGACAGCGTTAATTTAATATTGGGCTATTCATCACATATGTTAACAAATCCGTACTGCAGATGTCAATTAATTAACGAGGAAAAATTGAGACTTTAACGGTTTTGTGATAAAAATATTCTCCTTTTGTCTTTATTGTCTTAAATTAATCACAGCAACATTTGAGTTTACTAGGAAGAAATGACATCGGTGGTCCTCCACCATATGGATCTCTGGTGTTATGCATAAGTGGTCTACACACAAGTGAAAGAGCTGACATCCTAAAATAGTGATGCTTGCTATAGCAATGTTTAGTGGTGAGGATTTCATGACAGATGATGTAAATACGTGCACAAGTTTACAAAAAGATTTTTTTAAAAAATTAAATATAAAAATGATTGGTTTACCTTCTTTGGGGAAGGAACAGAAAGAGAGTTAAGATAAAGTGAAAAGCCACTGTGTTCCAGTTACATTGAAAGACATATTAGGTTGCTTTTCTCAGGGAATTTTCTTCACAACCATGTGCATTACATTTTATATCCATCTCATGGTTGATAAAAGTTAAAAATCCATGTAATTTGTCTGAATGTCCAGCAGTGGTTTCTGAGCTATTGTCCTGAATGGTGAGTACATGATGTAGCTTCCACAAGACCTTGTGGTCTCATTCTGTGTTGGAGAGAGGGAAAGGGACAAATAGGAGGAAACACTGAGGTCGTTGTTGAATGGAGCAAGTTAACAAGAAATCTCAAACTCAAACCCTTTTTTTTTTTTAAACTCACATCCTTCAGATGGGCTAGCTCTATTACATAATGCCATAGAAAATAAATTATACGAGGAATCCAGCATTTCAAATGGCCTGTGTATAATCTTTCATGACGCCTGATGTAAGGCAAATAGCACGATCTCCCACATGGGACACAATTTGTTTAAATTTTTTTCTTTTCTTTTCTTTTTTTTTTTTTTTTGGAGACAGAGTCTCGCTCTTTCGCCACGCTGGAGTGCAGTGGCGCGATCCAGGCTTGTGGCGCGATCCAGGCTTACTGCAATCTCTGCCTCCCCGGTTCAAGCCATTCTCCTGCCTCAGCATTCTGAGTAGCTGGGACTACAGGCACCCGCCACCATGCCCAGCTAATTTTTGTATTTTTAGTAAAAACGGGGTTTCACCATGTTAGCTAGGATGGTCTCGATGTCCTGACCTCATGATCTGCCTGCCTCAGCCTCCCAAAGTGCTGGGATTACAGGCGTGAGCCACCGTGCCTGGCTTAATTTTCTTTAAAATTTAAAATTTTAAAGAACATTTAAAAAATGTTATTTTTTTCCATTGTCTCCAATGAAGTAAAGCTGTGGCTTTTCAGTGCAAGGCAAATCTCTTTGATACCAGACTAATATTCATCCCAGCCACATAGCTATTTGAACTTCCTCTGACCTCTGAGATAAAGATTAAGTAGACTAAATTGGCTGGACTATCTATAGAGGAATCAGTCCGCATTTCTATGAAAACGAAAACTTTTCGTCGCCAAATGGTGCCATAAAGCTGCAATTAGCATCAGAAACATTACACTAAACTAGATGGCAGAATAGCAAACATAAATCACAAGCGGATTACTTAGGGCTTTTAAAGGCAGGCATTTATACCTCCCATTAACAAACCACGATAAAAATGGCTTACACGAAGAGAGATGAGAAAATGCATCTATATAGAATCTATTAGTTTGACAATCTATTGATTTTTTACTGTTACACATATGGGCACTGGATGCATAATTTACTCCATTATTACCAAACATGTGTTGACTTATGTCAGATGCCATTATTATGCAAATTATATCTCAAGATACTACAGAACATTTTTATATTTGTGTTTCTCTTCGGAAGATTTTCTAGTTACACTAAATTTAATGTTTGGAAGTTGTTTTTAAATAGATTTATGCCTAATAGGTAACTACTGTGGGTTTGGTTACATTGGTGGCTGGACCAAACTAGAGAAAAATCTATCTATGGTTGTAATTCAAACTCAACTTTTCAACCTATTCTTTGGAGATTTGGTTGATTTTATGTGCCAATATCCTACCACATCAAAGAAGAATTGTAGCTGTCAATAGTGTTAACTACCCGGCATTACTTTAAATTGCTGGATTATTTTCAATAGTGAAATATCTAACTTTTAAGGGTCTCATTATTTTGTACATATGTAGAAATAAAATATGTTAAATGAAAGTTTTCTATGATCTTCATTTTCAATTCTGGATGCGCATTACAAACATGTACACAGGGGATAATTTATGACCCTCTTTCAAATTATGCATTCTAATTCCTTGTTTCTCCTATGTGAGTATCTACCATTCTGACACTTACTAACCCTCTACTCCACTCTTATTTAATATACTCAATTTTCCTGATGCCCTTCTGCTCCCCAAGTTTCTCAGTGATCATTTCTACATTGATTGTACTATCAATCATCTATTTACTTCAAATTAGATTTGCATTTGTGGCTTTTTCTGTTTATTACACTTGCAATTCGACCTCTTCAATGTGCCACAACTTTCTTCCAACATAAAGCGTAGACTCGTAAAATGCATGTGTCTATACACAAACTGTTTAGCTCTTGATGTGGTTTGGATATGATCTGTTTGTCCCTAATAACACTCATATTGAAATTTGATCCCCTCTGTGACCATGCTGGGAAGGCGGTGGAGGAGAGGGTTCGTGGGAGGTGTTTGGGTTATGGGGAAAGATCCCTCATGTATGGCCTGGTGCTGTTCTGGAAGCAGTGAGTGAGCTCTCATTCTATAGAGACTGGATTAGTTCTTGCAGGAATGGACAGTTACCAAAAGAGTGGGTTCTTATAAAGCTAGGACTCCCTTCATGTTTCTTAGCATTTGCACATGTCTGTTCACACTTTGACCTTCTCTGCCATGTTTTCAGGAAGCACAGAAGCCCTAATTAGAAGCCAGACATGCCCTTGAACTCAGCCTGCATAACCATGAGCCAAATAAACCTTTAATTTACAAATTATCCAGTCTCAGGTACTCTTTTATAGCAACACAAAATGGACTAAGACAGCTCTCCTCCCCCAATCTTGTAAAAAATTATAATCAAAATATCATCTAGTTTACCAGTTTTAGGACTTAATGTATAAGACTAAAAAGCTGACCACCATTTTAGGACAGTAAAACTACTGTGTATGATACAATGTGATGCATATATGTCATTATACATTAGTCCAAACCCGTGGAATGTACAATACCAAGAGGGAACCCTTATGTGAACTATGGGTGATTAGTATGTATCAATGTAGGTTCATCAATTGTGACAGATGTCTCCTATGGTGAGGAATGTTGATTATAGGGGAGTCTATGTGTGTGTGGGGGCAGGGGTTATATAGGAAACTTCTATACCTTTTCCTCAGTTGTGTTATGAACCTAAAAGTGCTCTAAAAGTTTTAAAAATAACAACAACAAAACCTCACTAGGGGGCTTACCTCTCCTAAATCTAACAATTATGTTAGGAAAACACACACACACACACACACACACACACACAGCCCAAATCCCTTAATTTCTTTCATAAGGAAATAATTCTTTATACGTAAAGGTGAATGCTAATTGCTAATGATTATATCCTTCACACAAAACACACACACGCACAAAAACAGATGAAGCTCATTTAGATTAGAGGCAATTTTTAACCACCTACCTATTCATGTAAAATATGCCAGAGAATAATATTACTACAATAGTTTACACTTCTAATTGCAGTTTATTTACAAGGAAATCAGTTATCTAGAAAATTTAGCCAAATAAAAATACCCCAGTAGGATAAATACCCCAGTCTCATTGGTAATAAACTGAGTTTGAAATTAAGAGGAGTGGGGGTAGGAGGTAAGTGGAACATTTTGTTTTAGCTGATGGAGACAGTTAATTAAAGAAAAAGTTGACTCAGCCTGTGACATTTATTCCAGGTGCTTTGTCTTTCAATTATAGGTGAACAAGAGGTTTTGAAACTCTGCTTGCTTATTGATTGCTTCACCTTAAGGCCCTCACCTGGGATGTGTGACTACAACTTAGTATTCATAGGCAGCAAGAAAGCAACACCATCATTTGTAAGTATGGAGGGATGTATTTTGTGATTTCTCTTCTCTGTCACCCTCTGATGATATTTGTTGTGAGTACAAACTTCTTAGTTATTCAATTATTTGATTATTTATTGATTTATTTATTCAAACAGCCATATAAACTTAGGAGAAAACAGAAACATTAATGAATGTTAATTAAACTGCAAAAATGGTAATGTAAATGTTTATAAGAATATACTTTTAAAATACATTGGGGTGGGGAGGGAGAAAATGGGGAAATATAGGTCAAAGGATACAAAGTAGGAGATATGTAAGATGAACAAGTCTAGAGATAGAATGTATAAAGTGAGTTCTATAGTTAATAAAAGTTAATTAGAGATTTGTGTTAAATGAGTAGATTTCAGTTGCTCTCATCACACACCAAAAAGTAACTACGTGAGAGGTAGATATGTTAATTTGCTTTACTACTGCTATTATGGTTAAAATAAAAAAGTATATAAAACTATGTGGTAGTTGAATGTTGAGGAACCGAAGACATACTCATACATTGCTTATGGAAATGCTAATTTGTCCACCCACGTTAGAAAGCAGTTTGGCATTTTCTTATAAGTTCAGCATACACTTATGATTAGGACACTTATCAAAATAGACTTGTAAACAAGGAAAATCATCAGAGTTTTAAAGGGATACTTTGTAAAGATAAAGATCAATTTATTAAGAGGACATAGTGCTTAAGAATGGGAATCATTTAAATAAATGAAGCAAAATTTCACAAAACTGAGAAGAGAAATAGACAAATGCAACAATGAATAATACAAGGGGATCTTCTCAATTTTATAGTTATCTATTGGAAACCTACAGTTAACATCACACTAATGGTGAAAGTTTGAATGTGTTTTCTATAAGAGGAAGAAAAAAGCAAGAATGTTTTTTATTTTTTTTTCAATTTTATACTAGAGATTTTAGCTAGTGCAATATGGAAACAGATATGGGGAAAAAAAAGCAATACAGCCTTTATTTGCAGATGGTGTGATTGTGTATATAGGAACTCTGAATAAATATATGTATTATCTGATGTGGTTTGGCTGTGTCACCACACAAATCTCATCTTGAATTGTAGATCCCACAATTCCCACATGTCATGGGAGGGACACAGTGGAAGGTAATTGAATCATGGGGATGGGTCTTTCCTGTGCTGTTCTCATGATAGTGAATAAATCTCATGAGATCTCATGGTTTTAAAAAGGGGAGATCCCCTGTACACACTCCTTTGCCTGTTACCATGTAAAACGTGCTTTGCTTTGCTCTTCCTCCACCTTCTGCCATGACTGTGAGGCCTCCCCAGCCATGTGGAACTGTGAATACATTAAACTTTTTTTTTAATAAGTTACCAAGTCTCAGTTATGTCTTTATTAGCAGCATGAGAATGGGCTAGTATATCATCAGAACTAAGAAGTGAATTTAGCAAGGTCTGTATGCAAGCATCAATTATACATCTATGTATTTCCAATGAGTACATAAAAAATAAAATATCACATGTCATTTACAATATCATCAGAAAAGATTACTTAAGAATAAATTAAACAAAATATGTGCAAGACTGGTACAGTGAAACATTAACGATAAAAACATTGATGATAGTGATTAATACCTAAAGTTATGTATGTGTTTTAGAAGACTCAATATTGATAGTGTTCATCTTCTCCAAGATATAGATTTAATATAGTTTCCATTGAAATTCTAGCATGGTATTTTGGGTATTCACAAGCTGATTGTAAAAGTGTGTAAGAAGACCTAAAATAATTTTGAATGATATAGGAGAACTTACAGTACCTTACTTCAAAATACACAATAAAGCTACAACAATTAAAGCAGTGTAGTATTAGCATAAGTATAGACATATAGATCAATGGAACAAAATAGAGTGTCTACAAATAGACCTAATATACATATATAAGATTTTTTTTCAGGAACGGTAATTTAGTGGGAGAGATGAATAATTTCTTTCCTTCAGCAGAGTCTAATTTACTGTATATTCCTTTATAAATTTTTTTAAATTATATTTTTTGCTCTAGAATTTCTCTATAGTTCTATATGTTATATTACACTTACTTTGCCTTACATATATCGTTTCCTTTAAATTCTGAAATGTATTTATAATAAATGCATTAAAGTACTCATCTGCTAATTCTTCCATATTGTCATAGTGCCTCTTTGTAGGAATCTGTGGGTGAATATAGGACCCACATAATGTTTTCCTATTCTCAGTGATCATAATTCTGTACTACCTGCTGTACAATGTCTAACAACTTTTGTTTTAGAAGTGTTATCTCATTTCTTAAAGCTCTTTTGGGCAGAACAATTTACCCGTTACTTCTTCAAGCAGGCATACCTATTTCTGTCTGTTCATATCTAGATCTAGATACAGATATAAGATATACAGATATAGATAAAATGAAAATATTTCCTTGCTGCATATTTCATACCTTAAAGTACTTGGTCACTATATTATAATAAAAATGTTTTCATTTGGGCAATATAACCTAAACTTGAAAAGAAGAAATTTAAGTAATGAGTCTCATTCATATGATATAAATAACCAATGATATCTATATGACACCCATATGCACTATCCACTGAACAAAGAAATATGGGTAATACTAAATGCTCACAGGAAAATAAGATAGAAAATTCTATGAGTGCTAACTTTATTTTCATACTCAAGAAATCGTATAATGAGAAGCAAACTACATGTGATAGTTGGTACAACTAATTAGAATAAATCTGCATGACTCATCACATAGGTTAAGAATTCTCTTTTAGAAGGGTACTCGTAGATAAATGTCTCACTCTAGTTTACAAATATAAATTTTAACACATATAATAATAAAAATTATACACAAGAACATACTGAGTGATTGCACAATTTGATAGGCTCAAACGCTAAATAAATCCTGTCATTCCTTCATCTTTCTCTAATAGGATTAGGTCTGATTACATATGAGAACACACACACAGGCATACACACAATAAATATGGCTAAAACAAGATATAAGCTTATCTCAAAAAATTAATTTGGAGTTAAATATCTTGGACATTATAGAGTCTCGCTAATATCTTCAGGGATTCTAGCTCGATCTCGCGGCTCTGGGATCCTAAAGTATACCTCCTTATTCAAAATGACTGCTAAAACTGCAACAATTACTACGGAATTCTTAGGCAGAGGAAAGGAAGATTAATTTTCTCTTATATGGATTGCCTGAAGGCCCTTTACATCACTTTTTCTGATATTTCATCATTGAAATATTAATGCATAATCATACTGGCCTGTAAAAGATGCTGGACAATGTAGAATTTTTAAATATCTAGGTAAGAGTGTGCTAGGTTAAAAGTTTAGACTTCTATGACTAAGGAAAGTAGACGATAGATATTGAAAATTCACCAACAACGATTGCCACATTTATCCATTAATTTATTTCACTGTATTATATATATTTTTTGCCTTCAAAAGAGCACACAATTTAATGGAAAAATTAAATGAGCAATGCTAATTTTATGATGTCATCCAGAAACGATTAATAAATTTATAAGTGCAATGCTATTGCAATCTGAAGAAATCCAGACAAGCTTACTGAACTGGATATATATTCAGCCAAGTCTTGAAGAATGGATTAAGGCCAATGAATTTCTTCATTCAGCATTATTAAATGATAGTTCAGGAACAAGAGAGTGAAGTCTAATCTAAATGAGACCATTAGTCAGTTCATGAGGAAATAGTATTCATACTATAGAAATAATTAAACTTAAAAAAAATCCTTTTATTTATTTTATGGTTATAACAGGGCTACACTAAATTTCACTCCATGGGCAAACTTGAATATGTGTTTTAACTAAAAAATAAATAGGTAATAGTTTACCTGTTACCATTTTTTATAAGTTTTACCACTATTAAGGAAATAGCAAATAAAATAAAATAATTTCTATGATGATACCCAAAATTTAGTTTGTTGCTAGCAAGGGGCAGGTACCCATTATGAAACAGGGTCTAAAAGGAACTAAGGACCACAAGTTTCCAGCCAACAGTTTTAATTGTACTGGTCTTTGGACTTGTGTTAGTATATGAATAAATGATTGCCTCTAATTACATGTTTGATAGAAAGCTTATGGCAGTTGTTTCAATACGCTAAAGCACTGAAGTATCAGAATATATTAAATCCAGAAATAAAAGACAAATCATTTGCATTTCACCTGCTTCTTAAAATACTGTATTCTGTTCTTTTCAGGGTGTTTTGTCTTTCATCTCAGGACCCCAAGTGACAATGTCACTGGCAGTTAGAGCACATTGACATACTTGATATCCAATTTAGTTAATGCTAGGTCAGTCTGGGAGATGTAGAAACACTACTATGTATGCAGCACAGAAGACTGTGTGACTACTGAGGAATGCCCTCTAATTCCCAAGATACTTGTTAAACAATTGTAATGTTGCAATACAAGCAAGAGAACCCAAACAATGAATGTCACAATAAAATGCAGAGGTAACAGATTGTTTTGAGATGTAATGTCTTAAAATGTATTGTCTTTCTTTATACAATTTTTGAAATGGTTATTTCCATAGTTCTCATGGTTAAAGATTCAGAGAGATGACAATTGCTGTTACATAGTATTATTGGAATAATCATTACAGTCATGATATTTTTAATGCAGTAAAGTGTTTATTTATTAAAGCTTTTTAGTATAGTTGAATTTATCCAATGTCTATCAACTTTCGGAAGGACTAATCAGCAAAGTACAGTTAGTTGTTACATTATCAAAGCTATAAACACACAATGATACATGTTGCCAATGTGAATTAATATCAAGAGTTTTCTATATTGCATCTCACTTATTAAAATTTGCATATACTGATAAAACTGATTCCTTTGTTGCTTTTATTTATAAGTTATATTTTATGGTTTTTTTTTTAGTTTTTAGGTAAAGTCATTTCTGTAGATAATTTTTTTTTAGATGGAGTCTTGCTCTGTTGCCCAGGCTGGAGTGCAAGCGCACGATCTCAGCTCATTGCAACCTCCGCCTCCCAGCTTCATGAGATTCTCATGCTTCAGCCTCCAGAGTAGCTGGGATTACAGGCACCTGCCACCACACTGAGCTAATTTTTTTACTAGAGCCAGGGTTTCACCATGTTGGCCAGGCTGGCCTCAAACTCCTGACCTCAGGTGATCCACCTGCCTCAACCTCCCAAAGTGCTGGGATTATAGGCGCAAGCCACCGCACCTGGCCATAAATATTTTTTATAATTGCTATTGAATTACTAGGCAAATTGTCATATGTTAGAAACTTTATTCTTGAATATCAAGGAAGTTATATCTCTTTTCAAAATGACTTATTTCAAACTACAAATTTATTCTTGATATTTCCATACTTAAAGGATTTTTTTTATTTGATTTCCAACAATGTGCCAGGCACTATGTTAGGTGTTGGGAACAGAAAAAAAACTACCTCAATCATCTGATTTTCCAGAGAGTCATTTAAATTTTAAGGTACGTTTATCCTTCAAAGTGTTTTGGCACTTACAAATGGAATGAGAGGTGCATTTCATTCAAAGCTGGGTCATGTTACCATCAAAAACACTAAAATCAAAACTTTTAATAAGGTTTTTAATAAACTTTTAGAACAATTTTAGATTTATAGAAAATGGCAAAGATAATACTTGAAGTTCCTACGTAGCCACATAGTTTTCCCTCTTAGTAACATCTTTCATTACTATGGTACATATTTTATAATCAGCAAAATTACATTGATATATTGTAATTAACTAATACCCACACTTTAAACACATTTCCTCAGTTTTTACCTCATATCCTTTTTCTATTCTGAGATTGAATCCAGAATATCACATTATATTTAGTCATGGTGTTTCCTTAGACTCTTCTTGGCTGTGATAAGTTTCCCACTTTCGTTGGTTTTGACAGCCTTAATGGTTTTGAAGAGTAGTGGTAAGTTGTTTCATAGAATATCCTTTAATTGGGATTTGTCTGAAGTTTTTCTCATGATTAGACCAAATGGGTTACATCTTTATTTTCTGGCTTCCAGTTGATTTGGCCAATAGAGGATCCTAGCAGGGAATCAAATGGGAATTAAGTTTTATTTTTCCATGATTCTCTGTATGTAAGGAATTTGAGCTGGCCGTATGCCCCAAATACAGGGCACAAAACTGCTGAAAGTGTCTCTACAGCTCTCAGGTTCTTGAAGCCACTCTCTCCTTGTTACTTCTGATACTAAAAGAAGTCGCAGCTTCACTAATTATTCCTAGATTACTTTATTACCCCTTCTGATTTCCAGGCACCTCAAACACCTGTTTGTAAATAATCCTCTTATTAAACCCTCTTTAAATTGTCCTAATGAAACTGTGTCACTCCCACTGCCCCCAGTGGAAGTTTGAACAATAAGCTATTAACGAAAGTTAGCTTCTCCAGACATTAAGGTAGAACTAACTGCTTTTAAAAGGTACGTCTATGGTACCACAATATTTGATATGAGAAACTATTTGTTGATAATTATTGCTGTCCTTAGAGTAACTCTCATCTCTTTGGAATCATTCTACCTCTGCTTCCAGTGTGACAGAGATTCATTTATTTATTTATTTTTCTCTTACTTTTCTCTTTACAACTGACTCTAGTTCCAAATAATTCAATTTGATTGTCTCGTTTCCCCATGGGCTAGCTAAATACCTGTTTACCATTACAGAACTGACTACATCTGTGACTATAGTCACAGGGAATAGCCACAGACCGTTTATAACCTTTTCCTGGATTCTTGAGCTCCCACAAAAGAAATCCAACCACTCTGTGCATGCTGTCCTCATGGAGGTGCCTCTGACAATGACAGATGAGTCCAGTCTTCCATCCAACCTCTCCAAGCCACTAGACATGTTAGTGAAGGAATCATGTATCTTGCCACTGAGCCCATCAGCTAGATGGAGACTACAGAGTTTTCTCGTGTGATGTCACATGGTACAGAATTAACTAGCCAAGATCTTCCCAAATAGCTGCCCTATAAAATAATAAGAAATAATTTTAAAAGTTGTCATTTAAAGCCAGGTTATGTAGTTTGCTGTGTAGAAATAGAGAACCAGAATAGAATCCAGTATTTGAAATGAGGTTCTTTTGTAACACCCTGAACATACGACATAGATTGGGGAATGAAGCAGACAGCAGAAGCTGCATGGGCCTTCAGGAGACTGACAGTAAAAGCTAATAAAACCTCAAGAATACTTGATAAGGGATTTAAGGATAATAAAGAAAATATTATGAGGGCCTGGAAAAGAGGAGACTTTTGTTCCATGACCAAAGGTTTGTCAACACTGTCACCTGTGGAAATGTAGAAAACTGTAGCAATATACTCAAGCTTGAGTTAGAAGGCTTTGAACAGCTCGTGTTTTGACACAATACAAGACACACTAAAAGCAATAGTATTATTCTATTTGTGGGATTTTATGATAAGCATTTAATAATAAAAAGTACATACACACATGTGAATTTAAAAACAATGGGAATGTGTATCATGATGGTATTTCATTAATCCAACAAGAAAGTTTCTTGACTTCTTATGGATTTCGGCAATGCTAATCTCCATGTGACTTGAAATATTCCCATTCTTCTTATTAATATTCAATTTCTCCTTTTAAATTATATTCTAATGAAAATACTTCATTATATCACTTAGATATTCACATCAGTAACCACAATTATCAAAGATTATAATTGTGCATTAAATCTAAACAATACATTTCTCTCCTGCTTTTACACATTTCTAGAGTTAGCAAGTATGAATATTAATTGTAATATAATGGTAGATTCAGGGTTGTAAGAATCATTGAAGATTTTTATGCACTGGCTTTGAAGTATATTTGTAGGTCAGTATCCTGGATGTGAGAAAAATAAATGTGCTTAAAATTGTATTAGCTCTTCCAAAAGTGAGACGGTGCCTAAATCGATCTTAAAAATGTTCAATTTAGCTGAAATCTTCTTTGTCAAGTAATCAATGTGTTTACTGAATGATAAAAGTGGTGTCAAGGAGCTAGCGAGACTAAAAGTTATTTGGAAGATATAATGCAGGCCAGGGAAGTTTCACCAACTTGAACGTTACCGTCATTAGTTAGATCTGATGATAGGCGAGAGAGAAGTGGAACATCTGTTTGCATTTTTCCAAAGGATATGAGTGAGGTAAGTAGTTGACCTCATGAATCAACATTGAAAAAAGATTCAGTAAAAATAGGTATGCACAACAGATGGTGTCATCTTCATTGATGACTTTGATTCTGATTTCAGAGAGTGTAAATATTTTAGGAGCTGAGTTCAAATAAAACACGAAGAATGTAAATAATAGGTGACAGCTGAATAAATGTAGTTTGTTCTTGTTTTTAGGCTCTTGCCTTTCATTTATTATCTTTTATACAAAGGAAAATATGAAATATATAAGGTATATATTACTATGTCTTAACTATCACCTGTAGTACAGCAGAAGTAGATAACTTATGCTTTTTCTTTCTCATTTTGTTAATCACATTAATCATTATTTAAATGTGAAAAATAGACATCAAGTTATGAAAAGAAGGAAGCCTTGAAGAAATGTCCTTGATGCTGAACAAGGCTTATACAAGTGAGAACATATTGAGTGCAGAGTAAATGAGGTAATTACAATTCAGTTTTACAGGTGGAAAAGCTGAGTCACCAGGAGGTTAAGTGACGTGCCCAAGGTCACAGAAGAAGCCATTAGCATTATTATGTAGTTTCCCTTATTCTGATTTCTTCTCTTACATTTTATCTAATACAGCAAGAAGCATTGAAAGATAAATATTCCCCACATATGCAGCAAGTTCGCTCTTGCAATTTGGTACTGATGCAAAATCAGGGAAAGCAAATTTCAGTTTTTGTTTTGTTTTACTTTTTTTCCATGTGAATATATTTTATTCTTTATTTCTTTTTTCCTTGTAATTGCAGAAATTTGTTTGTTCCCTTATGTCACTAAGACAGCAGATACCAACTAGAATACAGGGAGTTTTCTACATTAGTGTGTTGGAAAGTGAACATATGTAAATGGAAACCCCTCTCTGAACTAAATCCTATTTGTCCTCCACTTATAGAAAATCATGTTGCAATATATAAATTACAGAGAAGCCAGTAAACTATCAAAAATAATATTGATGTTATATTACACAAAAGTACTACAGCGTATGTATAAATGGTAAGTATTCTGATATTTATAAGTTAGATAAAATGTAACAAAAATAAGGATAGAAAGTGGCATATGTGGTGCATATAATACTCAGATAGCACTGAACTTTTTATGGAACCTGTAATTGGTGTGTGTGTGTGTGGTGTGTGTGTGTGTGTGTGTGTGTGTCTTCATTTTATTTCAATTAATTAATAGACTTTATTTTTGAATAGTTTTAGAGTTAATAGGAAAAATGAGCTAAATACAGAGAATTCCCATGTCCCTCTTTATCATCCCAAACATCTTTATCTCCTTTTAATGTACACAACTCAATGAATTTGGATATAAGTACACACCCGTGAAACCATTTTAACTTGAAGTAAATGACAGTTTTACATAATGTTATATTTATGGGTTCCATGGGAACCAGTTTGTTCTGTTGAATATGAGCTCACTTCATAAATGAGGATGAAACTATAGCTTTTAAATAGAAGCTGATAACGTCTTTCCATCTCCAGAGAATGCCATACACAGACATTTTTACCCCTTCTCACATGGTTTTGACCCAGAACATGTCAAAAAGTACCTTCTTGCTGTATTCATCCAACTAGATACATAACTCTGTAAAGTTTTCCTCTGTGAGTGCTGCAAAATATATCTATAGAAAAATATATATATATATTCATCAATTTGTCACTCTTGTCTTTCTCAAGGGCAGACAGTTTCTTCTCTATGACATGTCAACACATACCCAGAGGGTCTAGTCATATATGTCAAAGACACACGATATTTTTATAATAGCAGTGAAGTTTCCATTTCAAGAATCTGGTCTATAGCCAAGTAGTAGATACAACTCAACAACACTCCAGCTTGCTATGAAACCCTGGTCAAAGCCAGGGCTATGCTGCTGTTATAGAGGAAGAATTATGCCAAGACAGTAATTTGTAATTAAAACTAACTTTTCAGTTCTTTTTCTCCTTCATAACTACAGCTTTCCTCTCTCATTTCTTGAAATACATTTTCTCTTTCCTTGGCTTAATGTTCAATTCATTGTATCTTGGTTTTCTTTCTAACTCTTTTCTAACAATTCTCATTTTGTTGTTGTCTTGTTTTTCTGTTTTGCTTTTCCCCCATCTGCTTCTCTTCTGATTAGGGAACTTTAAGTATCAGTATCTTTCTTTTCCCTTCTCTTCCTTCTCAGGACAATTTTCACAAACAAAATTACCAAGGATCTGTTGATATTCCTAAAACTATAGCTCCATGAAAATTTGGCTGCATAATAATTCTTGGGCACTTTATAATTTCTCAAACTTAAAATGGCAGTGATTTAACTTAATATATGTCAATCAAAATATTTTCCCTTTCCTATGTGATTTATCTGAGTGAATGGGGCCAGTGACATTCATATCAGTCAACTTTCACTAGATTATGCTATGCGAAAACAAAACAACAACAACAAAAACCTTCAAACATTATTCAGTTTAGGTAATTCTGTTCAGTTACCCAAACTAAAGACCTGGGTGTTATCATTAAACACTTCCTCTCATATATAACCCATAACCAATTGGTCAAAAGGCTTTGTTAAAAAGGTTTGTTTACTCTTTTCCCTTATTTTCTCATTTTTTTCTACTTTTACTACCATTACTTAATTTATCAGTATACATCTCTTGTCTGAATTACTGCAGTAGCTTTCTAAACCAGTGCCCTTTCACTAGTTCTGACTGGCTTTATATAATTATATTCTCCCTGCTATAGGAATAACATTTCCATAATATGAATGCATTAAAACATATATTTTGGTATAGATGGAATTGCTGTTTCACGATATTTTCTCTTCCTGAAGAAAAATTATAGTTTCCCAGCTCTGTAAATTCCAACTTGATTGTATGATTTGCTTTAATGAATGAGGTTTGTAAAGAAATCTGGCAGGGAGGATTGTTTGAGAGACAAAACATATTTACTACAGTCTCTCTTACCTCTGCTACTGTTGAGGGGTGAAGCCAGCTGGACATCCTGGGTCAAGTGGGGACTTGGAGGACTTTTCTGTCTTACAAGAGGATTGTAAAATGCATGAATCAGCAGTCTGTAGCTAGGATTGCAAAATGCCTCAATCAGCACTCTGTGGCTAGCTAGAGCTTTGTAAAATTGGACCGATCAGCACTCTGTAAAATGGACCAATCAGTAGGATGTGGGCAGAGACAAATAAGGCAATAAAAGCTGGCCACCCCAGTGAGCAGCAGCAACCTGCTTGGACCCCCTTTCACGCTGTGGAAACTTTGTTCTTTCGCTCTTCACAATAAATCTTTCTGCTGCTCACTCTTTGGGTCTGTGTCATCTTTAAGAGCTATAACACTCACCGCGAAGGTCTGCAGCTCCATTCTGGAAGTCAGTGAGACCACGAACCCACCAGAAGGAACAAACTCCGGACACATCTTGGAAACTATGAAGGGACTATCGCCAAGTGGTGAGTACCATTGGACCCCTTTCACTTGCTATTCTGTCCTATTATTCCTTAGAATTTGGGGGCTAAACACCGAGCACCTGTCAGCCAGTTAAAAGCAACTAGCATGGCCGCTGGACTAAAGACATGGGTGTCAGGCTTTCTGGGAAAGGGCTCTCTAACAACCCCCAACTCTTTGGAGTTGGGAGCGTTGGTTTGCCTGGAACCAGTTTCTGCTTTTCTTGTACTTCTGGGCTGAGCCGAGGGTTGACAGAGAGAAAAGCCATTCAGCTCCGGAGTCCCAACAAAAAGTTGGTTGACCCTGTAGCCATGAGGGGAACTCTCAAAGTCACGTCGCCCAAGTGAGACTTGACCATGTATCCTATCTATCCTCATCCTTGCCTCCTGGGTCCTAATGCCTGTCAGACAAACTTCCTCCTGTGTCTTTTCTGAGGCTAGTCCTGCTTCTAAAAACCACTCCCTTCTCTGGTGATTTTCTAGTTTCTCTTATAAGAATGATTTCTAATATAAATGTCAGGACTCTGTTCCCTTCCTTAGGCACCCAAGCTCACCAATCAGAAAGACGTAATTTTTGCCCAAAGCCCCATCAGGGTAGCTGGTGGGGGGTTTACTATCTGGAATTTTAGGATCCCTCTTCAGACTTGCAGGCCTAACAAATTATATCCCTGAAGCTAGGATATGGGGAGCCTCAGAAATCATATCCTTCCTATCCATATGATGAGAAATGAGGAAAAAAGGTGTCACTCTTCCAACCCTGGAGATCCCTTCCCTCCCTCAGGGTATGGCCCTCCAAATTTGAGACATAACGTCTTTATAGGACAAGGGTAAGTTCTAAGCAGAAAATGCTTAGAACGCTAACAAGCTTATGAGAATGCATCAGTAAGGGCCACTAAATCTGATTTTTCTCGGACTTCTTTGTGGTCTAAAAGGAAAGGCAAGGGTGCAGGTTTTTGAGAATGTGTCAGTAAGAGCCACTAAATCCGACCTTCCTTGGTCCTCATTCTGGACTAGGAGGAAAACTATTGTTTCTGCTGCTGCATCGGTGAGCACAACTATTCTGATCAGCGGGGTCCAGGGACTGTTGAGGGTTCTTGGGCAGGGGGTGGGAAACAAACCAAAACTGCAGGCGGTTTTTTCTTTCACATGGGAAGCACTCAGGCCTCAACAGGCTCAACCTTGAAATGTATCCTAAGCCACTGGGACCAATTGGACCTGTGAACCCTGACAAAGAGGCAGCTGATCTTTTTCTGCCCTATGACCTGGCCCCAATATTCTCTCTCTGATAGGGAAAAATGGTCACCTCAGGGAAGTATAAATATTAATACTATCCTGCAGCTTGATCTTTTCTGTAAGAGGGAAGGCAAATGGAGTGAAATACCCTATGTCCAAGCTTTCTTTTCATTGAAGGATAATCCACAACTATGCAAAGCTTGCAATTTACATTCCACAGGAGGACATCTCAGCATACCTCCATATCCTAGCTTTCCTATAGCTCCCCTTCCTATTAATGATAAGCCTCCTCTAATCTCCCCTGCCCAGAAAGAAACAAGCAAAGAAATCTCCAGAGGACCACAAAAACTCCCAGGCTATCAGTTTTGTCCCCTTCAAGTTGTAGGGAGAAGGAAATTTGGCACAACCTGGGTACATGTCCCCTTCTCCCTTTCTGATTTAAAGCAGATCAAGGTAGACCTGGGGAAGTTTTCAGATGTCCTACAGGGTCTAGGGCAAACCTTTGACCTCACTTGGAGATGTGTCTTGCTATTGTTAGATCAAACCCTCACCTTTAATGAAAAGAATGTGGCTTTAGATGCAGCCCGAGAGTTTGGAGATACTTGGTATCTTAGTCAAGTAAACGATAGAATGACAGCCAAAGAAAGGGACAAATTCCCTAACAGTCAGCAAGCCATCCCCAGTATGGATCCCCACTGGGACCTCAACTCAAATCATGGGGACTGGAGTCGCAAACATCTGCTGACCTCTGTTATAGAAGGAGTAAGAAGAATTAGGAAAAAGTCCATGAATTATTCAATGATGTCCACCATAACTCAGGGAAAGAAAGAAAATCCTTCTGCCTTCCTCGAGCAGCTACAGGAGACCTTAAGAAAATATACTTCCTTGTCACCCAACTCTCTCAAAGGGTCAATTGATCCTAAAAGATAAGTTTATTACCCAATCAGCCACAGATATCAGGAGAAAGCTCCAAAAGTGAGCCCTGGGCCCTGAATAAAATCTGGAGGCATTATTAAACCTGGCAACCTTGGTGTTTTATAATAAGGACCAAGAGGAACAGGCCGAAAAGGAAAAGTGAGATCAGAGAAAGGCTGCAGCCTTAGTCATGGCCCTCAGACAAACAAACCTTGGTGGTTCAGAGAGGACAGAAAATGGAGCAGGCCAATCAACCAGTAGGGCTTGTTATCAGTGTGGCTTGCAAGGACATTTTAAAAAAGATTGTCCAACGAGAAACAAGCTGCCCCCTCACCCATGTCCACTATGCCAAGGCAATCATTGGAAGGTGCACTGCCCCAGAGGACAAAATTTCTCTGGGCCAGAAGCCCACAACCAGATGATCCAACAACATGACTGAGGGTGCCCGGGGCAAGCGCCAGCTCATGTCATCACCCTCACTGAACCCCAGGTACGTTTAACCATTGAGGGCCAGGAAATTGACTTCTCCTGGACACTGGTGTGGCTTCCTCAGTGTTAATCTCTTGTCCCAGACAGCTGTCCTCAAGGTCCGTTACCATCCAAGGAATCCTGAGACAGCCTGTAACCTGGTATTTCTCCCACCTCCTCAGCTGTAATTGGGAGACTTTGCTCTTTTCACATGATTTTCTTGTTATGCCTGGAAGTCCCATACCCTTATTAGGGAGGGACATATTAGCGAAAGCTGGAGCTATTATCTACATGAATATGGGGAACGAGTTGCCCATTTGTTGTCCCCTGCTTGAGGAGGGAATCAACCCTGAAGTCGGGGCATTGGAAAGACAATTTGGAAGGCCAAAAAATGCCTGCCCAGTCCAAATCAGGCTAAAAGACCACACCACTTTTCCTTATCAAAGGCAATATCCCTTAAGGCCTGAAGCTCATAAAGGATTACAGGATATTGTTAGACATTTAAAAGCTCAAGTCTTAGTAAGAAAATGCAGCAGTCCCTGCAACACCCCAATTCTAGGAGTACAAAAACCGAATGGTCAGTGGAGACTAGTGCAAGATCTTAGACTCACCAATGAGTCAGTAATTCCTCTATACACAATTGTACCCAACCCTTATACGCTGCTCTCTCAAATACCAGAGGAAGCAGAATGGTTCGCTGTTCTGGGCCTCAAGGATGCCTTCTTCTGTATTCCCCTCCACTCTGACTCCCAGTTTCTCTTTGCCTTTGAGGATCCAACAGATCACACATCCCAAATTACATGGACAGTCTTGCCCCATGGCTTTAGGGATAGCCCTCATCTATTTGATCAGGCACTAGCCCAAGATCTAGGCCACTTCTGAAGTCCAGGCATTCTAGTCCTTCAGTATGTGGATGATTTACTTTTGGCTACCAGTTTGGAAGCCTCATGCCAGCAGGCTACTTGAGATCTCTTGAACTTTCTAGCTAATCAAGGGTGTATGGCATCTAAATTGAAAGTCCAGCTCTGCCTACAACAAGTCAAATATCTAGGCCTAATCTTAGATAGAAGAACCAGGGCCCTCAGCAAGGAATGAATAAAGCCTATGCTGGCTTATCGTCACCCTAAGACATTAAAACAATTGTGGGGGTTCCTTGGAATCACTGGCTTTTGCCGACTATGGATCCCTGGATAGAGTGAGATAGCCAGGCCCCCTCTATACTCTAATCAAGGAGACCCAGAGGGCAAATACTTATCTAGTATAATGGGAACCAGAGGCAGAAACAGCCTTCAAAACCTTAAAGGAGACCCTAGTACAAGCTCCAGCTTTAAGCCTTCCCACAGGACAAAACTTCTCTTTATATGTCACAGAGAGAGCAGGAATAGCTCCTGGAGTCCTTACTCAGACTTTTGGACAACCCCACAGCCAGTGGCATACCTAAGTAAGGAAATTGATATAGTAGCAAAAGGCTGGCCTCACTGTTTATGGGTAGTTGCGGCTGTGGCAGTCTTACTGTCAAAGGCTATCAAAATAATACAAGGAAAGGATTTCACTATCTGGACTACTCATGAGGTAAATGGCATATTAGGTGCCAAAGGAAGTTTATGGCTATCAGACAACCACCTGCTCAGATACCAGGCACTACTGCTTGAGAGACCAGTGCTTTAAATATGCATGTGTGTGTGTGGCCCTCAACCCTGCCACTGTTCTCCCAGAAGATGGAGAACCAATGAAGCATGACTGTCAACAAATTAGAGTCCAGAGTTATGCTGCCTGAGAGGATCTCTTAGAAGTCCCCTTAGCTAATCCTGACCTTAACCTATATGCTGATGGAAGTTCACTTGTGGAGAATGGGATACGAAAAGCACATTATGCCATAGTTAGTGAGGTAACAGTACTTGAAAGTAAGCCTATTCCCCCATGGACCAGAGCCCAGTTAGCAGAACTAGTGGCACTTACCCAAGCCTTAGAACTAGGAAAGGGAAAAATAATAAATGTGTATACAGATAGCAAGTATGCTTATCTAATCCTACATGCCCATGCTGCAGTATGGAAAGAAAGGGAGTTCCTAACCTCTGGGGGAACCCCCATTAAATACCAGAAGGAAATCATGGAGTTATTGCATGCAGTGCAAAAACTCAAGTAGGTGGCAGTTTTACACTGCTGAAGCTATGGGGAAGGAGAGAGGAGAACAGCAGCATAAGTGGCTAGCAGAGGCAGTGAAAGACTAGCAGAGAGGAGAGGTAGGGGAAAGACAGAAAGTCAAAGAAAAGAAGTCAAAGACAGACAGAGAAAGAGACAGAGGGAGCCAGAGAGAAAGAAAAGAGAGAAAGAAAGAGACAGAAAGTCAAAGAAAGAGAGAGAGGAAGAGACAGAGACAAAGAAGGAGTCAGAGAGAAAGAGATAGAAAGTCAAAGAGAAAGAAAGTGAGAAAGAGAGATGGAAATAGTAAAGAAAAAACAGTGTACCCTATTCCTTTAAAAGCCAGGGTAAATTTAAAACGTATAATTTTATAATTGAAGGTCTTCTCCATAACCCTATAACATTAAAATACCACCTTGTTGTCAGTGTAAACAAGAGCATAGCCCAAAAGCACTGAGGCCACTGACAACCCATAGCCTTCCTATCAAAAATCCTTAACTCTGCAGGTTTCCTAACAGGGGATCTAAATCTTAACTAATCACCATACAAAGGTCCGACCAGACCTAGGAGAAACTCCCTTCAGGACAGAAGGATGGATGGTTCCTCCCAGGCCATTAAGGGAAAAAGACACAATGGGTATTCAGTAAGTGATAAGGGAACTCTTGTAGAAGCAGTTAGGAAGATTGCCTAATAATTGGTCTGCTCAAATGTGCCAGCTGTTTGCACTCAGCTAAACCTTAAATTACTTACAGAATTAGGAAGGAGCCATCTATACCAATTCTGAGTTAATATGAACTGAACAAGTTCTTATTAATAGCAAAGAATCATTGAAATCTCAAACTTGCAAAGTTTTCAACAAAAGTAAAGTTTGCTGAAAGTTAACAGTGTAACATGTATTATCCTAACTTCTAATCTTGTGGAAATCAGACCCTATCAGTGCCCCTCAAAGCTGAAGTCCATCAGCATATGGCCATACAACTAATACCCCTATTTATAGGGTTAGGAATGGCCACTGCTACAGGAATGGGAGTAACAGGTTTATCTACTTCATTATCCTATTACCACACACTCTTAAAGGATTTCTCAGACAGTTTACAAGAAATAACAAAATCTATCCTTACTCTATAATCCCAAATAGATTCTTTGGCAGCAGTGACTCTCCAAAACCACTGAGACCTAGACCTCCTTACTGCTGAGAAAGGAGGATTTTGCACCTTCTTAGGGGAAGAGTGTTGCTTTTACACTACAGTCAGGGATAGTAAGAGATGCCACCTGGTGTTTACAGGAAAAGGCTTCTGAAATCAGGCAATGCCTTTCAAACTCTTATACCAACTACTGGAGTCAGGCGACATGGCTTCCCCCCTTTCTAGGTCCTGTGACAGCCATCTTGCTATTACTCATCTTCAGGCCCTGTGTTTTTAGACTCCTTGTCAAATTTGTTTCTTCCAGGATTGATGCCATCAAGCTACAGATGGTCTTACAAATGGAACACCAAATGAGCTCTACTAACAATTTCTACTGTGGACCACTGGACTGACCCACTGACCCTTTGGCTGGCCTAGAGAGATCTGCTCTGTAGGACACTACCACTGCCACTGCAGGGCCCCTTCTTTGCCTCTATCCAACAGGAAGTAGCTAGAGTGGTCATCACCCAATTCCCAACAGCAGTTAGGGTGTCCTGTTTAGAGGGGGGATTGAGCGATGAAGCCAGCCGGACTTCCTGGGTTGAGTGGGGTCTTGGAGAACTTTTCTGTCATACAAGAGGTTTGTAAAACACACCAATCAGTGTTCTGTGGCTAGCTAGAGGTTTGTAAAGTGCTCCAATCAGTGCTCTGTAAAAACGCACCAATCAGCGCTCTGTGGCTAGCTAGAGGTTTGTAAAATAGACCAATCAGCACTCTGTAAAATGGACCAATCAGCAGGATGTGGGCAGGGACAAATGAGGGAATAAAAGCTGGCCACCCCAGCCAGCAGTGGTAAGCCACTCGGGTCCCCTTCCACGCTGTGGAAGCTTTGTTCTTTTGCTCTTCACAATAAATCTTGCTGCTGTTCTCTCTTTGGGTCTGTGCCATCTTTAAGAGCTGTAACACTCACTGCGAAGGTCCACGGTGCATTCTTGAAGTCAGTGAGACCGCAAACCCACCAGAAGGAACAAACTCCAGACACACTGTCATAGGTAAAGTCCCACAAAATGCTTGCATTGTTGCTTTGTCTACCAAACACCTAGAATAAGGAAGATAATAACAGAACCTAGCAGAGCTCCTGGCTATCTGGGAAGTATGCTTTATAAGGGTAAGAACTGTGCCTATGTTGTTTAAAGTAACAGAGATATCATGGTTGTTTATTACTGCAGCATAACCTTGTCTACACTGACTAGTGAAACATTTGGCTACAGAGCCTTTGAAGCACTTGCCATGTTTAAAATATTTCCTCCCTCGAACTTAGTGACTCAGAGCCCATGTCTTACTTTGTTAGTTGATGTGCTTCCAGAGAAACAGACAGATAGATAGATATGTCTATCAATCTGTGTATTTATCCATCTGAGAGAAATTTATCTTAAGAAACAGGCTTGCACAATTGTGGATGTTGGCAAGACAAAAATCTAAAGAGTAGATGGGCAGAGTGAGGAATCAGGGAAGAGTTGCAATTTAAATTCAAAAAATATCTTCTGACAGAATTTCTTCTTCTTCCAGAGAGGTCAGTACTTTTCTATTAAGGCTTTCAATTAATTAGTTGAGGCCCATCCACATTCTGGAAAGTAATCTGCTTTATTCAAGATCTATTGGTTTAAATGTTAATTTCATCCAAAAACGCCTTCTCAGGAACATATAGAAAATGTTTGACCAAATATCTGGGTACCATTGCCTAGCCAAGCTGACACACAAAATTAACTGTCACAAGTCCACTCCTTGTCAACTTGGTATTCATCTATCTATCTACCTACCTACCTATATCATCTTTACATATATCCAATTAAAACATACTTAATATTTAAATAAATAAGATCATAATTCCACCTACCATAATACAACTATCCTACTATCCTGAAAACAACCAAAAATACACTAACTTTTCCCCAGAAGAGGATGCAAAGTCCTTGGTTGGTGTTTACTTTTCTCTTTGGTATCTCATTATTCAATACTATGATGTAAAGTTAACAATACATGAACATTATGCTATAAAGTCAATACATCCTATATTACATGATGAAGGAATAAAAGAAGAAAGAAAATATATTTGTTGTAAACACAAATATATATTTATAACAAAATAAGGAAGAAATGCTCATGGCAATTACAATTCTAGTTTCCGTAACTGGTCACATGGTCATAGCAGGCATTTGTAACTGCTTACTGGAATAGACTCTCTCTATTAGAATTGCCTTGCCTGCATGCAATGCTTCTGTCAAAACTACCATCTATGGATTTATTAAATTCCTTATACACTGTCATGGTATCCACACAGCATTACTTCTGATCAAGAAACTTATGTCAAAGTAAATGAAGTATGGCAAAGCCATATTCATGGAATTCACTGGCGTTATCACACCATTCAGAAGCAGCTGGCTTAATAAAATGACAGAACAGCCTTTCGAAGTTTCAGTTACCACACCAATTAAGTAACAATAAATGTAACGACTGGAGCAATGTCCACCAGGAGGCTTTATATGCTCTGAGTCAGCTTCCAATATATGGTTCTTTTTCTTCCATAGCCAGGATTCATGGGTCTAGGAATAAAGGAGTAGAAATCAGAGTGGTATCATTCACTATTTTCCCTACTGACCCACTATCAAAATTTTTGCTTTCTGTTTCCAACACCTTATTATCCACTGTCCTACAGGTCTTAGTTCCAAAGGAAGGAATGCTTTCACTAGGGGACACAACAATGATTCTATATAACTCATGTTAAAACTGCTGCTCTGCCACTTTGTTCTCCTCATGTCTCTGAGTCAGCAGGCAAGGAAAAGAAGAGAGTTACTGTTTTGGCTGGGGTAATTGATCTTGACTACCAAGAAGAACATGGATGGATACTCCACAATGGAGGTAAGGAAGAGTATTTGTAGCATACAGGAGATGCCTTATGGTATCTCTTAGTGTTACCATGCCCTGCAATTAAAGCCATTGGAGAACTACAGCCCAAATCAGGCAGAACTTCTGATGGTCCACCCTTCTGGCTTTAATTACCTAACGAGTAAAGAATCATCACCAGTTGAGGTACTTGCTGAAGGCTAAGGGAATACCTAATGAGTAGTGGAAGAAAGTAGTTATAAATACCAGCTATGACCACGTGACCAGTTATTGAAATTAGGATTGTAATTGTCATAATTATTTCTTCCTTATTTTGTTATAAATATATATTTATATGTATAAAAATATGTTTCCTTCCTTCTCTTATTCCTTTGACATGTAATATAGGATGTATTGACTCTATATCATAATGTTCATGTATTGTTTACTTTACATTGTAGTATTGAATAATGAGATACCAAAGAGAAAAGTAAACAACACCCAAGGACTTTGCATCCTCTTCCGGGAAAAAGTTAGTGTATTTTTGGTTGTTTTCAGGACACAAGATCTTGTTTGACACAAGATCGCTGGCTGATAACTGGCATCATACCCAGGGAATGTTGCCAAACTGGGGTCTCATTATTGGTCTCTGCTATAGGCAAATTGGAGTCTTAACAGGTGTTGTAACCAGGTCAATCTCAGTAAGTAGAAGTTCGTGTTGCTAAGGCCATGCATAACCTGAATCCCTGCCATCATGGCCACTTTGTTCGTGAGTCCATAGGGCAATGACAGAGGTGGTTAAGGAAAGAGACTGGCTGATATCCACAGAACGGGTTATCCTATCTACTTGACTATCAAAATTTTCCTCTGCTAAGGTGATCCTTTGGTCAATATTCACATAAGACAAAAATTTTCTTAACATTTTTTGCCATTCAAAGAGGACATACCTCTTCTCCAGACTTCCCTATCACTATTTTTTTTTTTTTTTTTTTTGAGACAGAGTCTCGCTCTGTCACCCAGGCTGGAGGGCAGTGGCACGATCTCGGCTCTCGGCAAGCTCTGCCTCCCAGGTTCACAACATGCTCCTGCCTCAGCCTCCCGAGTAGCTGGGACTACAGGCGCCAGCCACCACGCCCAGCTAATTTTTTTTGTATTTTTCAGTCGAGACAGGGGTTCACCGTGTTAGCCAGGATGGTCTCGATCTCCTTTCCTCATGATCCGCCCCCCTCGGCCTCCCAAAGTGCTGGGATTACAAGCGTAAGCCACCGCGTCCCGCCCCCTATCACTAATTTTTGAATCATGCTCCTTTCAACTTCCTGACCATACAACCAAACATTGGCTAAACCTCATAAATTGATGTATAATTGCACTTCTGGTTATTTCTCCTTCCAAGCAAAATTAGTATCAGGGGAAAATCTTCAAGGTTCTGCCCACTGGGAAAATTCTATTTCACCATTGTCTTTCAGTAATGTCCCAGAAAAGGGCTATAATGCTGCAGCTATTCACTTTCAGGTGTATCTGTACATCATTTAAAACCATCTGTATAATAGGACCAAGTCTTCTCTTCCTCTTTCAACTGATCATAGGAAACTCCTCATGAGGCCATAAATACAGGTACACATACCCATGCACACATATTTATCTTCCTTCTTTTGTGAGCAACGACTGGTTTCTCTTATTAAGTACCATAGCAGATGTTTGTAAAAAATTTGTAATGGGACACAACAACTTTTATTATCAAATGCAAACTTTGTCGTTTTGTGTTTTAGCCTATACCTAACTCTCTGACCATTTTCAATGTGTTTCTTTCTTCTTGAATTCTGTGATTTACCTTCTGTGTAATTTTCTCTGCCCTGGACAATCTCTTTCATTATTGAGTGGGTTATGTAGGCTTACTCAATAAATTTAAAAGTCACTAGCCCTAAACTTCCAAAATAAAACTCTTACTCTCTCATTAGTTTGGGCCATTTTTTGTCCCTCCATAATGCTTACTTTATTTATTTCTATAAATCACATAGTACTGTATTATTTTAACAATCATCACAGTTTTTGAGATTTTTCATTAGATTTTAAATCTCTTAGGACAGAAGCCACAAAATCATTGTCTTTTCATTCCCAGACTTGAGGCAACACCTAGGTATTTTGCAATGTTTAATATCTGGCACATGTTGAATACATTAAAAATTACATAAATAAAAACTACAACAAAAACATAAGAAATAAATGAAAGTAAAATGAAATAGAAAATGAAAAGGACAAGATGGTAAAGATCAGAAAAATATTATTAGAAAAGTTGGCTTTTTAGGCATGCATATGAGTAAGTTGGATTGGGGTATGAAGAGATGGTGAGAAAGGACCTTGCTTGTTTTCATCTAGAAATTTCAATTAGGTACACATGGAGAATTTATAGAATTATAATATTTCCAACACAAGCAAGCACTACATATTATTTTTCTTGTAAAGTAAAAAACTCATCAATACAGATAAATCAGTGAAATTAATATATTTAGAACTCAGTTCATACAGACAAAGTGAGACTGTAATTAGCTCTCTAAGTAAATCTGTAGGTCATCGGTAAAATTGACACAGAAAAAGGGGGAAAGGTGGAAAGGAGTTAGAAATGCATGAATGGTTAGACAAATATGTTCTGTGAGGTGTACTTGGAATCAATCACTATTAATATTGTTCAGTCAGGTGGGCAATTGTTTAACTAGACTGCTTTTCTGAACTTACCGCTTGCTTTAGCCAATTTTTGCTATGTCTTTATTGATTGCCAATGAAATTGTCATTTTGACTAATGCATTTATTTAAGGGTATCAAGCAATGATGATCTTGTCCCTTTGTCTTGTAGAAAAGTGATGCCCCTCTGGATTTCAGAGAGAAGATATACAGAATAAAGGTATATTTAAAAAAATATGATATGTGCAGAATAAGCAAGAAGAAGGAAGAGAAAAAAGGAAATGAAAATTTAAAAAAACCTGACATGGCATAAAATATTTAATTGTTTGTTCCTATTTAAGATGTATCTATTGTCCTCTGGGTTTGATAATTATGTGATACTCATATCATTTCCTTAAATTTTATTTTCTTAGGAAACTTATGCAAGGTTCTACTTGGATGACAAGAAAGGGAGAAAGGATGGCTAAAATGCAAATTATGTAGTTGGATCACTCTTGATTCACTTTCTGGAGGCTTTGTGCCTCCCGTGGTGTTCTTCACCACTATAACACAGTGATCACCTCACAAGGCACTCTTGATTATTACTTCCCTGCATGCATTCCTCAGTGATATTTTCTACTCTTCCTAATTTGACAAAGGGAAGTATTCCAAAAATCCTGACTAGTCACCTATCTTCACCTTGCCTCCTATGTCAGCTTTCTCACATTGTGGGCTTTTTTGTTTGTTTGTTTGTTTTCTGTTTTTACTTCTGCCCTCTAAATGTCTGGAGACTGAGAAGTAGCCTTTTCCCTTCCCTTCGGTTCCCTTCCCTTCCCTTCCCTTCCCTTCCCTTCCCTTCCTTTCTCTCCCCTCCTCCCCTCCCTTCCCTTCCTGTCTTTTCTTTTCTTTTTTCTTTTCTCTTTTCTTTTCTTTTTTTCTTTTCTTTATTCTCTTTTCTCTTTTCTTTTCTTTTCTTTTCCTACTTTTCCTCTTCTCTTCTCTTCTCTCCTCTTCTCTCCTCTCCTCTCTTCTCTTCTCTTTCTCTTTTCTTTTCTTTTGTGAGACAGGGTGTCACTCTGTCACCCAGACTGAAGTGCAGTGGTGCAATCTCTGCTCACCACAGCCTCCACCTCCCAGGCTCAAGCGATTCTCCTGCCTTAGCCTCCAGAGTAGCTAAGACTACAGGCATGTGCCACTACTGCCCAGCTATTTTTTTTTTTAGTAAAGATGGGGTTTTATCATGTTCACCAGGCTGGTCTCGAACTCCTGACCTCAAATGATCCACCCACCTTGGCCTCCCAAAGTGCTAGGATTATAGGCATGAGCCACCATCACCAGCCAGTATTATTTTCTACCTGTAAGATGTCTTTTCCAGTTTGGCACATGTATTCATTAAGTGAAGGTTTAGTCTGACAACTGTATGACAGTGAAAACAACTTTAGTCTCATTTTGTCCATGACATGGTAGGTCTTTGAGTAGCTTACTCTTATCATGCCATTTGCAGTAGACTGATTTACCACACTGTTGCATGTGATATGGTTTGGCTGTGTTCCCACCCAAATCTCATATTTAATTGTAGCTCCCATAATCCCCATGTGTCATAGAAGAGACCCGATTGGAGGGAATTAAATCATGGGAGTGGGCTTTTCCCATGCTGTTCCCCTGACAGTCAATAAGTCTCACATGAGCTGATGGTTTTACAAAGATCAGTTCCCCTGCACATGCTCTATTGCCTGCTGCCATGTAAGATGTGCCTTTGCTAGACTTTTGCCTTCTGCCATGATTGTGAAGCCTCCTTAGCCATGTGGAACTGTGAATTCATTAAACCTCTTTCTCCTTATAAATTACCCAGTCTCAGGTATTTTTTCATAGCAGTATGTAAATGGACTAATACTGTAAGTTGGTACTGGGAGTGGGGCACTGCAATTAAGATACACAAAAATGTAGAAGCAACTTTGGAACTGGATAACAGTCAGAGGTTGAAACAATTTGGAGGACTCAGAAGAAAACAGGAATATGTGGGAAAGTCTGGAGCTTCCTAGAGACTTGTTGAAAGTTTTTTATCAAAAAGTGCAGGCTGAGGTGGCCTCAGATAGAGATGAGGAACTTATGGGACCTGGAGCAAAGGTATTCTTGCTATGCTTTAGCAAAGAGACTGCAGGCATTTTGCCCCTGCCCTAGAGATCTTTGGAATTTTAAACTTGATATAGATGATTTAGGGTATCTGGCAGAAGGAATTTCTAAGCAGCAAAGCACTCAAGAGATGACTTGTGTGCTCTTAAAAGCATTCAGTTTTATTCATTCATAAAGATATGTTTTGGAATTGGGACTTATGCTTAAAAGTAAAGCAGAGCATAAAAGTTTGGAAAATTTGTAATAGAAAAGAAAAACCCATTTTCTGAGGAGCAATTTAAGCTGGCTACAGAAATTTGCATAAGGAACAAGGAGCCAAATGTTAATCACCAGGACAACTGGGAAAATGTCTCCAGGGCATGCCAGAGGTCTTAATGGCAGCCCCTATTATCACAAGCCAGGAGGTTTAGGAGGAAAAAATGGTTTCATGGGCCAGGCCTAAGGCCTTGCTGCCCTTTGTAGTTTTGGGACTTGGTGCCCTGCATCCCAGCCATGGATAAAAGGTATAAATGAAAGCTCAGGGCTGTGGCTTCAAAGGGTGCAAGCCCCACGCCTTGGTGGTTTACAAATGGTGTTGAGCCTGTGGGTGCACAGAAGCCAAGAATTGAGGTTTGAGAACCTCTGCCTAGATTTCAGAGGATGAATGGGAATGTCTGGATGTCCAGGCAGAGGTTGTGCTGCAGGAAGTGAGCCCTTATGGAGAACCTCTGCTACAGCAGTGTGAAAGCAAAATGTGGAGTGGGAACCCCCATGCAGAATCTTTACTGGGACACTGTCTGAAGTCTTGAGAAGAGGACCATCATCCTCCAGACCCCAAAATGTTAGATCCACCAAAAACTTGCACTAGGTACCTGAAGAAGCCACAGATACTGAATGCCAGCCCATGACAGCAGCCAGAGGGGGGCTGTACCCTGCAAAGCCACAGGGGTGGAGCTGTCCAAGGCCATGGGAACCCACCTTTTGCATCAGTATGACCAGGATGTGAGACATGTAGTCAAAGGAGATCATTTTGGAGCTTTAAGATTTGACTGCCCCACTGGATTTTGGACTTGGACTTGCATGGAGCCTGTAGCCCATGTTTTGGTCAATTTCTCCCATTTGGAATGGGTATATTTACCCAATGCCTGTACCCCCATTTTATCTAGGAAGTAACTAACTTGCTTTTGATTTTACAAGATCATAGGCAGAAGGGACTTGCCTTGTCTCAGATGAGACTTTGAACTGTGGACTTTTGAGTTAATGCTGAAATGAATTGTGACTTTGGGGGACTGTAGGTAAGGCATGATTGGTTTTGAAATGTAGGGACATGAGATTTGTGGGGGGCAGGTGTGAGATGATATGGTTTGGCTGTGTTCCTACCAAGATCTCATCTTGCATTGTAGCTGCCATAATTCCCAGGTGTTGTGGGACAGATCTTGTGGGAGGCAGTTTAATCATGGGGGCAGGTTTTTCCCGTGCTGTTCTCATGATAGTCAAAAAGTCTCACAAGATCTGATGGTTTTATAAAGGGCAGTTCCCTTGCACATGCTCTCTTGCTTGCCACTGTGTAAAATGTGCCTTTGCTCCTCCTTCACCTTCTGCCATGATTGTGAGGCCTCCTCAGCCATGTGGAACTTTGAGTCCATTAAACGTCTTTTTCTTTATAAATTACCCAGTCTAGGGTATTTCTTCATAGCAGTATGATAATGGACTAATACACCATGTGTTATTATTCTGCAGTTCTTCCACAAAAAGGTTGATCATTTTTTCCTGTCCTTTTTGTTTTTTGGTGGGAGAGAGTGCTTGGCCATGTGGCATTTTTTTGGCCAATGAAATATAAGGGAGAAATGATACCGAGCCTGTTTCAAGCTTCAGCCTTCTTTTCCTCCTGTCTTCTGGACATCACTGTAAATAGAACATGCCAAGGTCTAATGGCTCAGGGAGGATGGCCCAAGGAGGATGAGACACATCCTCCATGGGGATCTACAACATTGAATAGCTGTCCCTAGATACCACAGTCAAAGCAGAATTGCCCTAGTCACCCACCTGTTTATGAGAATATGTGAGTGTTGGTTATGGAGTTGTGAAAGGATTTGTTATATAGCAATATGGCTTCATTAATTGACTAATGCACCCCTCTTATGTGCTCCTGTATTTCCTTCATTTAACAATTTGCACTATATTTAAATTGCAAACTTAATTAATCATCCATCATCTTCTTGACAGCAATTTCAGAGAAATTAGAGGTTTATATCTGTCTCAATTCCCAATATGTCTGCTGTGCCTTTCATGGAGCTAGGCATAAAATAAATGTTCATTACATATTTGTTTAATTTAACTTTTACCAGATTGTAAGATTTTTATGGACAAGTATTTTGTTTTATTTACTTCTCATTTACTTTCAATCTGCAACCACAACACCTATATCACCTATTAAATAATATATTGTATATACACATATATGTGTGTGTATATATATACCCACATATACATATGTATTATATCTAAATAAACAACATATGTGAATAGGTGTATAGATAAATGTGTAGTGTAAGTTTAAGGTAAATCGGTTATAATAAACATGGCCAGATTAACAGGAAGAGTAGAAAGTGAGAAACTGAATACACAAATAATGACTAGACCGCATACAAAAACGGACATGTGAAACATAGTCTGCAACAACCTGCCCAGGAAATCAGCCTATTATTTACATAACCAGCTCAGGAAAGCCAAATTGCTGTAAGTGGGTGGTAGTAGGAAGTCAGTCTGCCATCCCTATGACAGTCCATGAAGCCAAACATTAACTCCTATAACAAGTGGCCTAAAATGACTAGGGCTTGATCTATAACTGACAGCTTTTCTAATTTTTGTCCCTGATTCAAACTTAGGACCAACCAAAGAAAGCCAAATATGAAACCTTAATCAATCATATAACATGACCGCTTCTAGTTAGACTACCTACTGTTTCCCATGCTAACAGCCACTGATCAGGGCACACCTGAAGCCTTCCCTTTTGTCCACTGTAAAACTTCCCCACTCCTCTACCTTCTCTGAAATCTCTGCTAAAATGCAAATAACAGTGGCTGACTCCCTTGCTATTGCAAGCTTTGAATAAACAGTCTTTACTTTTTCTAATTAGCTTGGACTTCATTTATTTCCAATGAGCTATCTGATTTTGTAGTCAACATTTTTGTCTGGTCACCTAGTTTTGACCTGCTGGATACAAAACAGGGCTCTAAGCTAAAATCGCTTATAACAGAGAGAAAGGGCATGTAGAATGTGTAGGTCTGGGAGGACAAAGGCTGATAGATTTTTAGCTGTGTATATTTCACAGTTAAGGAACGCATGAAATATTTAAAAGGGAGAAAGATCTTGTATGGATTATGAAAAAGTCATACGAAACATATTGTAAAATATTGCTACTGATAATTTATATGAAAATATTTTATTTGAATAATACTTCTTATTGAGTTAAGATTGGAATACTGGAATTTTGAATTATACTGAAAAATACACGGTCTGTGAAAGTGACAGGAATGAGAAGAGTTTAGCTCCACACAAGGGCAGCATAACACTTGTAGAACACCATGCTGAAAGTGAATATGTGTATTTCGTTTGATATGTATATGTAATCCTTCTTGAAGAGGGTCATTTACCTAAGCAAATATTGAAAAGGTTTTATTTTAGCAATAACTACCCCCGACAATGATGTGTTCAACTCCCATCTTTCCACTGGAAAAGCTTGCTTCCTTAACAATATCCCAGTTTACTTTCAGAACTTTTAGTCACTCTTTATTAAGCAGTCACTTTTATTATTTAGAATTTTATGAAACCTCAGTCTCATATTCATTTTGAACCTCTTATCTTCACCTGCTGAGTCTAGACCAATAATATCTGAGTCTTGGAGTGGAGCGGTCATGTGGTCTGCTCTTTAGCAGCAACTTTCCTCCCCGCCTCTGCCCTGTTCTTGACCCTCAGGAAGAGTCCTGGGACAGGGAAAAGACAGACTCCTCCCTGACTATATAAGCTGATAGCTCCCCACCTTTTTGGGTGTCACTAGTAATATAAAAAATAAAAATAAAAATAAAAATCAACTGATGCCAAAACGTTTAAAATGTAATATAAAATTAATAACTTTTATAGGATAAAACATATGTTTTAAAATCCATCACTTAGGTAAATAAATGTATGCACTTAATTAGATTTCCTGTCAGAAAAATCAAAAGCAGTATTTTAATATCATACAGTTTTACATATTTTTTCTGATTAACTAAAGAATAATCTGTTAATTTTAATGTGTTAACCTATGCAATTGAGAAATGAATCCCAAGCTAGCAGATAAAAAACTAATAACCAAATAATTTATCTTTAATTTTAGTTACTACTATAGTGCAAACATTTGTTGGAGAATCAAATGATCTTATCAATCAATTTGACTATACCTTCTCATCCTTCACTCTTTTTTCTACCCAAATTTTAAAAATTAAAATAAAACACTGGAAGCATAGACACATTAGAATCACTTACAAAATAAAACTCAGTGAGGAAATCAGTTCACTTCTTTACCTCCATGAATACAAATATGCAAAACATGCACTTATATAAATGTTAGATGATTTTTATTTCCAGAGTTTCTAAATTAAAAATAAGTTGTTAATAACTATACATAGCATTTTCCCTAAGTATGTTAAAGTAAGTCAATAAAAATACTTTAATCTTTAAATTATTAGGTTCAATTATTTAGATGAAGGTATAAAATGTACTTTCCACAAACATGATGTTGGCCAGAATCACAACAATCAGAGCCAATTAATATACTTTTTTATTAGCTGAGAAGTTATGGAAGGCAGCCATTCTCCATGGAGACCGAGAGATTTGCACTTTGCTTGTTGTCATTGTGTCAAGAGCATAAACACAAGGACTGGGATCCAACAGCAGCACGTGGAGAAGATACCTTCTTGTGAAGAATTAAAGGTTGGGTGAAGTGTAAAATTTGTATAATTGATAAAACCTTGGACTAGACATACATAGGTGTAAGATAAATGGAATTTCTTTTTTCCTCTCTCTTTCTTTCTCTCTTTCTTTCTTTCTCTGTTTCTTTCTCTCTCTTTCTTTCTTTCTTTCTTTCTTTCTTTCTTTCTTTCTTTCTTTCTTTCTTTCTTTCTTTCTTTCCTTCTTTCTTTCTTTCTTTCATCTGTGATTCCAAGTTTAAATCGAGGAACGCAAGTAAAATTTCTATTTTCAGCACCAGGGAGAGTTCCTCGCTCCCAACAGACAATTTTTTTTTTTTTTTTTTTTAATACTTTAAGTTCTGGGATACATGTGCAGAACGTGCAGGTTTGTTGCATAGGTATACATGCATCATGGTGGTTTGCTGCTTATTTGTTTGTTTAGGCCATAGGAGAAAGTCAGGAAGTCTCTAAATTTTTGTCAGTGACTGAAAGTGAAGAATGCAGAGAAAAACACCTGAGTGAAAAAGGTTTTTAGTTTAAAAAATAGTCTGCATTGTGCTTTTATTATAGTTAAAAATAACCTATATTATTAACTGAATTAATATAAACTTAACTCACGACATAGAATGGAATTTTTTATAGCTTTGATTTTATGATTAAAATATAGTATTTGGACTGGAATAATCGTTTGCCTAGGTTGTTGATTAAAATTCTGTCATCCAAAAGCTGGCTTTAGAAAGACATCACAGATAGATATAGTGCCATTAATTATGCTTTAGTTGAGTAATTATTGGCCACTGTGGAATACTCATTTCAAATCACCACGAAGGCTTTCTTGGAATAGAAGAAAACATGAATCTGGACTAATTTTTTATATTTTTACTTAATTTACAATGTAAAATATTTTGCACTACTAGACATTTGAACTAATGGCTAGTATCTGCTTCTCTTTTCTTTTTAATATTATAATCAAATACATGTGAGAGAAGATTAAGAAACTAAAGAAACAGTAATTAGTAAGTTGATAGGTTAGCAAGTCTCCCACAGTATAATTACTGCAACTAGTTAATGAAGACATACTTACAGTTCCAAAAATGAATTTGTATTTCATACATTTTCTTTTAAGATTTATTCTTCTTTTACTACTCCTTCTATTTCTCCTCTTATCTCTCTCTAACCTCCTTTCTCCCACCCTCTCCTCCTCACTTTACTTTTCCTCTTTCACCTCCTCTAATTTCTTTTATAAACTATATTAGAATGTAAGCCCTATATAGAACAGAATCCCTATAATAGATTATAACATAAAGCCAAAAGTGAAAGTGTTTGATAATGACTCTTCTCCAAAAGTATACATACAAAGATGTATTGATATGAGAATATTCTGTGCTGACTATTCTTGTTTGATTATAGTCAATCTCCTTTCTCACCTAAAGTCTTTTCTGTACTCTACTATCTGCCTAAAATGTTCTACCATCCCCTTCTTACTTTTATATGATAATTTCATCTGTCTTTCAGTTCAGCATAATGCCTTCTAGAAAGACTTGCCTAGCTTCTTAACCTCATCAGATAGGAAGTCCTCTTTTATGATCCAATAACTTTCTGGAATTATTTTCAGCATTATATTTAACTCACTTTTAAATAACTATTTGTTTATACATCTTTTCCCACAAAAGTATAGACACCTTTTGAGAATAAATATTCTTTTTTTGAGACAAAGTCTCACTCTGTCACCCAGGCTGGAGTGCAGTGGCATGATCTAGACTCATTGCAACCTCCGCCTCCCGGGTTCAAGAGATTCTTCTGCCTCAGCCTCCCAAGTAGCTAGGATTACAGGTGCCCATCACCACACCGAGCTAATCTGTATATTTTTAGTAGAGACAGGGTTTCACTATGTTGGCCAGGCTGGTCTCAAACTCCTAACCTCAGATGATCCACCTGCCTTGGCCTTCCAAAGTGCTGGGATTACAGGCATGAGCCACCATGCCCAGCCGAGAATAAATATTTTTAAATTATTCTTATTTTATTTAGAATTTTGTATGGTACCTGATACATGTTGAGGTTCAAAACACATGTGAATTTTAAAAATGAACTAAAAAATTACTTTATGTAACATAATTAATATGTATTTAATTAATTTTGTTATTTGCTTAAGGGACCATATTCTATGTAATTAATTATTCTATTTTGAGAGAAAATCTTGGTCTTTCAATCAGGCTGGAGTGCAGTATCAGGAACATAGTTCACTGCAGTATAGAAATCCTGGGCTTAAGCAATCCTCCCCCCTTAGCCTCCAAAGTAGCTGGGACTACAGATGCCCAGCTCACCTTAATTTAAAAATTATTTTAGAGATGGGATCTTGGTATGCTGCCCTGATTGGTCTCAAGCTCTTGGCCTCAAAGAATTCTCCCACTTCAGCCTCTCAAAGTGTTGGGATTATAGGCATGAACAACCACATGCAGCCTAGATATTGTTTGTTTGTTTGTTTTTAAAAAAGCAAGAAATAATTCCTTGCTCCAAGTTTTCAGAAAGAAAACACATATATTTTTAGAATATAAATTGATATTATATTTCATAAATATGTAGCTTGATTTACTGGCATGTGAAAGATATGAACTGGTGCTTTTGAAAATTAGCCATTGACCAGCTCTTGAAATTACATGTAGATAAAGGTTCTAACTCAGTGCCTGTCATATAGTTGCTTAATAAATAATGAATGCATTATTGAATGGACAAACTTTCTCTTAAATCCTTTCTCTCTTGGTGATGAACATCTCTTTGTTCTACATTTTATCTTGATTTTTTCAAAAGATTTTCTTCATTGTCTTCTATTAACCAATGAATGTGGGCCATCTTGGGCCCACTACTGCGATGGAACAATAAAACAGAGGCTGGGTTCTTGAAAACTTCCAAGTTACAGAGATACTATAGTTGGTTCTTTCCCATGGGAGATAAATAAAATTCTATTTGCTTCTGCTGTGTTTGAGTTACAGAACATAGATCCTATTTAAAATACTACTATTAATTAACATACCCTCACTAGCAGTATACAAGAGTTTCTATACTGTAGCAATAGCTATTTTAGATGTTCTAAATTTTTACCAGTATGATGGTGTGAAAAAGAATTTTATTCTCTTGATTAAAGTAGAAATTTGCCTATGTTTTTCCTATGGGTTTTCTAATATATTCTGACATCTATAGGCATTGCATTTGTATTATAAAGCAATGTCCCCTCAGTCTCTACTTGTTCTGCTTTATGATGTTACTTGGTGAACAGAAAGTTTTTACATTAATGTTGTTAAAGTTTTCCTTCGTAATTTTTCACTTTATATTAGGTTTGAGAATTATTTTTCTAACCAGATATTATGAAGATATTCTTCAATATTTTTCAGTAAGACTTTTAGAAGTCTCTCTTTCACATTTAGACCTTTACTCCACCAGGAATTAATGTTTTTGTGTGGATAAACAAAAATTATAGGAGGCTATTGTGTTGGGCTGAGCTCCTGCACTAGGCCCCAACAGACCAGGCCAAACCAAAGTTTAAGGAAACAGGGAGGTTCCCAAACAGATCAGTTATTCCAGAAATCAGGAGATTCTGGTCTACCTGAGTCATTGTAATAAGGAAGTCCTTTGTGCTTTAACCATTACAAAAAAAGTAACCTCATGTCAACCAATGAGTTCTTTTTCTTTCCATTGTTCTGTTTCCATGTTTCCTTCTTTCAAAAGGTTCTGCCATTGCCGAGTGGGAGCTCTCATTCTATTTTGTAGGATCGAAGCTACCATAATTCCTGAATGACAAATAAAAGCCAATTAATTAGATCTTTAACTAAATTTGTTATAATTTTGTCTTTTGACAGTATTTAATGTGAGATAGGGAGAGGTATTTAAGCATGTTTGTTTATTTTTTTATTTTTTTGCTTATATATTTATCTGCAATATGAATGGCAGGAAAGAAGATGATCTAAAAATATTCTTCACTCAGGTTAAATAAATATTCTTAGGTTGAGAGAAAGTGAATCTATTAAAATGTTTTAGCTTATGATGGTATAACTCATATAATTTAATGGCTTTCAGAATTAAAAATTGGTGTTGGAGATATTGGAACCATAACTAAGGAAGAATTAGTCAGAATTTATAGCTAGTCAATTTTGTTATTGTATGATTAGAGAACAAGGGTAGAATCAAACATAAAAGGTAGAGTAGAATTGGCGGAGGGATGAACAATAAAGCATTTATCTCTGATCATGTTAGACAAGATATTAAAAAACAACCCATATTCTGGGTGACTACATTTGTTATGGCCTTGATTCATAATGGGCATAATGTCAACATCCAGGAAATGGTTTCTGACTGAATGTGAATTGTTCAATGAATAAAAACCATGGGATAGAATTAATATTAAGATGTTATCAGATAGCCAGACATTATTATCTTGAGAAATGAAAATTTTGAGACTATCAATGGATACCATCAGTCTATTATTTCCAGAAAGCCAGCTAAGGCAGGGTTTAGCATACAGAACTGGGATCTCACCCCTGAGGGGCAAGAAAGTATGCAATTTGAATGTCTGTGCTGGCGATGCTAGGTTAATCTGTGAGTTTATAGTTGACTCACCTTGCTCTCTAATATACTTTATTCTTGCTAAGCATGAGGCTTTCCTGTTCGCAGGCATTATTTGTTGTCAGAAGGAGGCCGAGCAGATACAGGTGAATATTGATTCTAGTGAAAAGAGGAACAGAGAAAATGCTGAATACGATGTGACAGGCAGGCACTCAAGCAGAAATACTGAGGAGAATTCCAAAGATGTTAGACTGGACACTGGCAACCATCTGACATGATGGATAGTTTAAGGTTTATTAACATTTCATAATAGAATAGATAAAACACACTCTATCAAAAAAATAATTGAAGTTAAATTGAGTACCCTAACTCTTCAGCCAAAACCAGACTAATGCAATAATAATAGTTACCATTTATTAATTAGATACTTTTCCCAATAACCTATTTGATTCTCACAACACCCTTATGAGGTAGCTTTGATTACTTAACTCACTTATCTGAAATGGGAAATGAAAGGTTAAGTGGCTTTCCCCAGATCATTCAAGAGGTAAATGGCAGAAGCAGGGATCCAAATTTATGTCCGCCTGTCCCTAAACCTAGCAATTTTATTTCTAAACTATTTCGCCTTCCCACCTGGAGAAGCAACTACAGAGAATACAATTTCTGAGAAGCAGAAAAAGGATTTGCTCATAGAACACATACTCCTGCCTGCCGAGTGATGCTTAAAATCCCCTTAACAGGGTGTTAAATTTTTTGCTTCCACGGTCTGAGATAAGGTTTAAAATGCAAATAAACTTTAGAGAGATAGCATTTGGTTGTAAATTCATGAAAATAAAATAAAATCTTTTTGTGAGCAGATTTGTTGAGGGAATAAAGATGATATGCCACATGGTACATAAAGGAGGAGGCAAACTGGGGCAAGGGAAAGGGAAGGAGAGCAGGGACCATGCAAGACAAGAAAGATAATCTTGTCCTGCATCACTGTTATTCCTAGGTGACAATCTGTTCTAAGTCTTGTGCTGTCATGTCATTAAGATCTTTAGAGAAACAATAACAACCGAAAATAAAAACATTGTTTTAGATGGACTTTCATATTTTAGAAATATAAAAAGGGAATAAAAACAATCATACTTAGAGGAAAGTGAACATACTTAATTCCTCATTTTGATTTCCCAAAAAGTGCTACGAAGCCATAATGCTATATTTTGCTTCCCCCTTTTATTTTTCTCTTTAAAAGCTGTGCTTTCAACTGTGCTCAGAGAGCCATTTCTACCTGCCAATGATGTCTCTGGGAAAAAAGGCAAGTTAAAAGGACATTTTTTGCTGCTTGTGTAATATCAGAAAATTTGCACAGATACTACAAATATGTTACAATGGTAACATCTGGAAAGAGAGTTTCCTATTTGATTAAATCATTGACATTCAGCAACAAATATACATCTACTCTTATACTTTCCCTTCTATCTTCTCCAATCCACAGTTCATAACAACCTCCAAAAAAAAACTTTAAAAATGCCTGCATTTCTCTCCTAAATTTGAAATTATCCCAAAGTGTATAATGTTTAATGTTTGATTAGAAAATTGCACACATTAAAGAGTGTTCAATATTAAAACTGGAATCGTTTTGCTGAATTCTCAGTGTTTTCTATTAACATTAAATAATTAACTGACCTATGTTAAACAACTGAAGAAAGTACTGAGCAAATCACAAAATTAAAACTTCAGTATTTGTTATATGCATGAGTAATGTCTATGGAAGTTTAAATTATCAAATGGGGAGATATCAAAGAATGCTAGTTTGTAATAATAAAACAAAATACTTTAAGAAGAAGTTGGGAAAGAAATCTCTAGGTCTCTAATTTCTTTCTCTCTCTCACTCGCTTTTTTTTTTTTTTTTGCATAGCATACATGTCTTCTCAACTAATTTTTTTAAATCACGATTTCCACTAGAGCAAAAAGTAAAATAAAATCAAATTTTTTCCTGTGGAATTTCAAGAACTGCTGTTAATCAACAGAAAATGTTTTCATGAACAATTTTAACTTTGCCAATTTAAATTGTATCATTTTGGGCTTCATATAACAGAAAACTCTTATTTATGCTGATGCAAAGAAAAAAAGTAAAAAGAATGCAATAAGGCAGTTTATTTCAAAATTAAAGTAAAATAAAGCAATAAGTATTACACACACACACATTCTCCCTATTAAATAACTGACATAATGTTAAGCTTAAATAAAATAATTAAATGAGACCGTAAGTTCTCTCAGAGGATTTCACCAACCATTATGCATTATGAATTGTCAAAGGTAGATAAAATATGGAATATTGTCCAAATTCACTGGATTATGGGAACAGTTTTAAAGAACTACAAGTACTACAAATTATTGACTATTTATGATATGCCATACACTGCCTAAAGGACCTTGCATATTTCATTCAATCAGCTAACAACTACATCATCTTGTGAGCAATGTCTTTCATTAGTTCAATTGAAAAGAATTGGAATCAAGTTCTCAGAGTTTAGGCAATTGTCAACAGACAGACAAAATAGAAAAAAAAAATTTGAACCTATCTCCCTGATCCCCACTTCTGTCTTTGTTATTCTGCTCTATTACCAACAACAGTGTAAACTGAATCCTGATTAAAAAAATTTGAACCTATCTCCCTGATCCCCACTTCTGTCTTTGTTATTCTGCTCTATTACCAACAACAGTGTAAACTGAATCCTGATTAATATAGTATGTCAGTACCCAAACAAAATGTTCTCTGATATTTGTGGTCATTTTTCAAGCAGAGACAGAAATCTCATGAAGGAGTTATTTACATTAGACAGCACTCAGCACATATAGCCTATGGCAATTTATTTGCTAGCAATGCCTCTATTTTCAAGTAGATAAACTTGTTGATTTGCACAAAGGATCCTAATGTAAAGTGTATGATTACATTATTTTCAAATGTATATAGTTTTTCATGTAGTATAAGACCACTGTTAACCATTACTTACACTCTGATTTTTCATCTATATATTTTAATAAGAGTAATGCATCTGTGGAGCAATCCAATGCTTGAAATATAATTCAAGTGCTATGTTGCCAGATCTATGTTTGGGTGAAAACAAAACGATAAAATAAAAGAATGAATAAAAAGGGGTGGGGAGTGAAGGAAGAAAGAAAGAAAACAAGAAGAAAGGAAAGAAGAAGGAAGGAAGTTACTTAAATAAAAGGAAACATTTTATGTTCTTCATTTAAAAGTGATAAAAGTATATAAGTAATTGACCAAAGTAGCAAACATATTATAAGTCTTATCTGTAGATCACAATCATACATTAGTTTTATTTTTTAAAAATGCTTAATTAAATCACTAGCTTGAATTACTGTTATTTCATGATATTAAGGGATTTGTCTGCTCATTATATATTTAATATAAAATACACCAGTCTATGGCTAGCTTTTCACTGTTCCTATCAGCAAAACTCTTTGAACACTACTTCCATAGTTTTATATGTGTTTGGAGAACAGAGTATTTTGATTGTATTTAAGTTGAAAATGTTTTATTGCCCCTGTACTAAAACTTTTGAGCATAATATATTTTATGCACAGGATTTCTCATTTATTTTAACTATATCTTAACACTCATAGCAGTTCATGTTTGCTATGTATCTTAATTATCCATCTAGTAATAATTCATACATTTGTTATTTGCATTTTAAGACATATGCAAAATAAACATTTTTAAAAGCTTAAATTCATCAGGATTTCTATGCTCCAATTTAATGCCAGTATAATTCATTTAACAGAACTTCAAAATAGATAAAATTCCTATTGAAACATTTATGTTTGAGAAAGAATGCAATGTGCATTACTTTCTGACTCTCAGAGCTACATTTTTACATTTGCATTTTGGTAAAAATGGCTCCCTTCTTAATGAATGTTTTACTTTTCATGTTAAAGTAAATACAGTTTTTTTCTATTGTCTTTTCTTTATTCAGCCTAGCTCAATCTGACTATCTCTAAAAGTTATCAAATTTCACAGCGTCATGAAACAGTGCCTAAAAAATTAAGGAGAGTTGCACATCAGCTTATTATAAATTATTGTAATTATCCTTATAATTAAAATGGGTAAGTTGAAATGAAATTAGAACGATTAGTAGAAATGAAAGTAACAGCTTGATGATCTGGTATTATATTTGAGAAGGACTTATACTTCAGTAGTCTGCATCTTAAGTTGTTAAGGGGTGATACAGAAATTGCTACTTACTCTTTATTGACCAAGGCACTGACCATCTATAAATATTATAATATATATTTAAATTTACTTTTCTCTGTGCAGAATTATAATATTCTAGCATGGCCCTCTGGTGTTCTTGCACTATGTAATCTCCTAGTCTTAAATGTGAGTGGGATTTGTGACTATGAAGAGATATCATGCTGGTGCTTATGTTATGGGATAGAAGGAATTTTGCTGATATCATTAAGGTCTCTAATCAGTTGACATAGAGTTAATTAAAAGAGATATTATAATGAGTAGGGTATGTCCTTAAAAGTAGTCTGAGAGATTTACAGAGAGATTCTCATGATAGCCTTAAAGAAGCAAGATGCCACGTTTTGGAGAGGGCCACATGTCAGGGTATGGTTGGCAACTTCTAGGAGTTAAGAATATCCAATGTTGACAGCCAGCAAGATAGTGGTGACCTCAGTTCTATGACAACAAAGAAATGCATTCTACCAGCAGCTCATGCACTTAGAGAAAATCCTTAACCTCAGATAGGATCACCTTTCTGACCTGTCTGAAACTTTGATTTCGGGCTGTGAGGATCCAGTCACTGAGTATCAGGATTCCAACTTAATAGAACTATGAGATAATAAAAGCCACTAAATGTGTGGTAATTTGTCACTCAACAGTAGAAAATAAGCACAACACTCCTCATTTTGGGGGGCATCTGCCACTGTTTAAATCTTGGTAGAACTTAAAAATATTCAGAAAGGGCCGGTAAGAGAAGTACCCTGAGGGAAATTGTGGAAAATCTCAGCAGACATAGTAGCAAGTGCCCACTGATGACACAGTCTTGCCAGTCACCATCTATACTTTAACTTATGTATTTCAAGACATGGGAGAAACTAAAACAGGTCCTGATTAGATTCTTATGATTCTTTTTCCAATGAAGATGCTGAACTTAACACTGCTCTTAGCTTTCTCCTCAAAGAGCAATCCTTGGAGGGAATACAGAAGGGAAATTAGAAAAAGAGAAAAATGGTAGGAAATTTCCAATGTAACTGAGGTTTGCATTGACCTGGCATGTGTGGGGTGGTGGCTTTAGACTGAAGCAGAAGACTGCAAGGCACCCCTCTAGCAAAATAATGTAAGATAGTAAATAATGGGGTCTCGCTCATTCGTTTACCATTTCCACCTCTACCTTGGCCCACACACATTCACTCACCACACACCTGTTCAGTCTGTGCCAACTCAGCCCTCCCTCATCATTTGCTTTGGACAAACAGTGCCAGTCATGATCCACCTGGATAGTGACTTAATGCTCAGCTTCATGTGTCCTCATGAGTAAAATCAGAACACCACTGAGCCTCTGTGCCTTAAATAGCTGACAAAACCATGTGGAGCTCAGTTAACTCTGGGTAAAGTTGCATGCTGCTATCCTCTAAACTCTTATAGCTGAAGAATTAAAATCTCAGGCACAGTCCTTTCTAAAACCACTTATTTACTGGGGGCAAAGGATAAAACCCAGAGTTGAGGCATTCCAATGAGTAATGGCTAAATGTGCTCTGTGGGACTCACAGCTTTTAATACTCAGGCCAGTCAACCCTAATACTAAACTCAGATGAGATCAAATGGTAATCTGGTTTCTTTTCTTATGAGTTGACTGACAAGTAGCTGACAACACTAGGTGATTTTGAACTTGTGGGCCTCAATAACAACATATTTGAGGAGCATGATTACTTCAAAAAAAATATATAATACTTCTGATGCTTCCCCATCAGAAGCAGACATATATAATAAGTGCAACCATGTAATCCATCATCCATATTAGTATATTTTAGAAGTGGAAGTAGACACTATTAACAATTCCACTTTGACAACAGATATAAATCTGGACAGCCTCATGTAAATTGATCTACAGTGAGTCTATTAATAAATATATTAAAATAGATAAGGAATGATATGAGCAGTATTAAGAAAAAATGCTGCATTAAAAAAGAAGCAAGCAGCATTATTAAGAAAAATTTACTTGTTGAAATAAGGAAATAGGAGGAAATGTTGTCTTCAGCATCTAGAAAGGTCTGTAATCAGAACTCACCTCCCAGCATTTACATCTCATAAAAATTAGTTGTATTAATAACATACAGCATTTTTCTTCATTTGTAAAATGAATATAATAGCACTGTCTACTGTCTTTTGGCTAGGCCATGGGATCTAGGGATACTGTAATAAAATTATTTTGTTTTCATTGTAACATTAATAGCTACCTTCTATTTATTGCTAATGTAATACTTTAAAGTGGATAACATTGAAATAAAGTTTCTTTTTAAAAAAGAATGTGCTTAGGTTTAAAAAGAGTGAGGAAATTTAAAGAAGATATTAAATAAACATAGTGTTAATAGAAGAGAAAAATTTCCAAAGATCTACCAGTGATTGAGTTTTAAATAAACTGTGCAAGTGAATATTGGAGAAAAGGAAATATAGGCCCAAGAAGAATAACTATCAAAAAAGAACAAAAAGAAAAGAAAGAAAAAGAGGAAAAGCAAACCAAAGGGAAAATGAAGCATGGAAAATCTGGAATATGTTGAAATTTCAAGAAGTAATTTGGAATAAAGAAAGTAAAAACTGCCATCAAAGCATGGCAAGAAATAGACCAAACAGAAAAGAAAGAACAGATCATAGTGTGTCAATATACTTAAGCTATATTAAGAATTTTGTATTTGCCCTTGAATATAATGGGTGTTTACATGGTATAGTAATATAATAAAATGTGCTCCTTTTATAAAGATTGTTTGGCAGCAATATACAGTAGAAGGGAGAGAGGTGTGATATGTTAGAGATGCCAAAATCAATTTGATCCTATAGCAACAGTCCAAGCAAAGTGTAAGTTACTGCCTTGTGATGCTGGCAGAGCAAATGGAGGGGTGTTAATAAATAATGACAGTCAGTATGATGAAGGTAAAAGTGGGTAAGCCTAAGTGGCTAATGGGACCTGGGCCTCAGAGGGAAGATGAAGTCTGGGATGTGCCCCAAGTTTCTGACTTGGATGAGTCCTTAAATTACTTTTACTGCATTTAGTATTTATTCTTATTACAATAGGAGGCAAACAAATTTTCTTGACAACTAATTATGTGCCAGGCTCTGTGCTAAGCACTTTCCTAAATTATTACATCTAATCCTTAGAATCAACAAGCTAACTTGGCTATGTTATTATGCATCTTTCACACACAGAAGCTAAGATTAACAGTGGTTAAGTAGCTCCCCTGCAGTACAGAAATTTGAATCTGGGCTACTTTACTCCACCAACAGGGCTCTTAAAACTCCCTTTATCTACTATGCACCTCATGATACTGTTTATGAACTGAAGATTACAGCAAAAAAAAAAAAAGAAAAAAGAGAGAGAGATTTGTGTGAGATAGCATAGTTTTCCATTGTGTAGTGGTTATCACATTTGCCTAACACAATGCAGATTTCTAATATGCAATATTAGAAGAATTAAAGCTAGTTATTATGATTTGAGAACTACCAGGAAGCAGGCAGTAGGTGAAGCATGAAAGGACAACAGGTAATTTCAAAGATGTAGATGTACATAAGAAATTCAAAGGCAAAACAGAGAAAGAATGGCATTTCTGTAACTGGTAGAAGAGGAGAAAGGAACTAAGACTGGGAGAAAAGTGAAGGTATAAATAGAAGAAAACCCAGAATGAGGTTACCAAGCATCTAAATACTGTTACGCACAAAAAAACGGTTTAGCATTAATAATGCCACACAGGAGCCAATAAAAATAAGTCTTTACAAATGACCTTTGGATTTGGCACCTCCATTGGCACTGACAGTCTAAGAAAGAGCAGTTTGGAAGAAGTTAGGTGGACAGATAACTCTTGCTGATGAGTTTTGAGAAGGTCAAAAAGTGGTAGATACTCCATTAAAAATATGTGAATGAGAAGGAGGGAGAAATATGATTACAGTGGAAAATGGAGTTAAAGGATGGATTTGTTTAAAAGATGAGGAAGAGTGAGGTTTGTCTTCAGAGTGAGGGGAAACACTGGCAGAAAAGGAGAGATTACACATACAGAAGAGGGGGAGATATTTGATGAGAAAAATTCCTAAAGAAAAAGTAAGCTTGGGCCAGGTGTGGTGGCTCACACCTGTAATCCCAGCATTTTGGGAGGCCAAGGCTAGTGGATCACCTGATTTTGGGAGTTCTAGACTAGCCTGACCAACATGGAGAAACCCCATCTCTACTGAAAATACAAAATTAGCCAGGTGTGGTCGTGCATGCCTGTACTCCCAGCTACCTGGGAGGCTGAGGCAGGAGAATTGCTTGAATCCAGGAGGCAGAGGTTGCAGTGTGCTGAGATTGTGCCATTGCACTCCAGCTTGGGCAACAAGAGCAAAACTCCAAAAAAAGAGAGAGAGGAGGAGGAAGGAAGGAATGAAGGAAGGAAGGGAGGGAGGGAGGGAGGGAGGGAAGGAGGGAGGGAGGGAAGAAAGAAGAAAGAAGAAAGCAAAGAAGGCAAGAAAGCAAGAAAGAAAGAAAGAAAAGAAAAGAAAAGAAAAGAAAAAGGAAAGAAAGAGTAAGCTTGGGATTTACCATACATGCAGACCAACTACTGACAGGATGAACAAGATATATTAGAGACTTGAAGGGAGGTATAGGCCAGATATCAATAGGTTTTTAGGTCGAGGGTAAGAAATTTGGATTCTGTATTAGTTAGCTCTCACTTTACTAAAAAAAGATATCTAAGATTGGATAATTTACAAAGAAAGTAAGTTTAATGGGCTCATAATTCCACAGGCTGTACAGGAAGCATGAGGCTGGCATCTGCTTGACTTACGGGAAGGCCTCAGGAAACTTTCAGTTATAGCGAAAGGCAAAGAAGAAGCAGGAACATCTTACATGGCTGGAGCAGGAACAGATGAGAGGGGGTGAGGTGACACACTTTTAGACAACCAGATCTCATGAGAACTCACTCACTCAGTATCACAAGGATAGCACCAGGCGATGATGCTAAGCCATTCATGAGAACTCTGCCTCCATGATCCAGTCACCTCTCACTAGGCCCCACCTCCAACAATGGGGATTGTAATTCGACATGAGATAGGGCAGGGACACAGATCCAAACCATATGAGATTCCCACCCAAAAATCTTCATTTCTCTGTGAAACATAAAACAAGTTTTCTTTCTCTGAGGGATCCAAGGTGTAAAGGAATAAGAGAGATACCCTGTGAAACAGTAAAAAGTCTAGAATAAATTCTCAGGGAAAGAATAAAGCTGTCAGAAAGAGATGCAAAAGGATTGCTAAGTACTATTTTCTCCAGTGATAGAGGCTGACAACAGGAACTGAGGAGGGAGATGTGATGGAGGGAAGCTTTGAGATTGGCCCAAGGTAGAAACTGCATGCAGGACTTCATGGTGAAGAAAAAACTATAAGCAAAATTATCTGAAATGATGGGAATTTTACTGTATAAGAAATATAACAAGTGCAGGTGGACTTATTAGCAAGTGAGTAAAAATGGTAGCATTACTAAAGATCAGTTTTAGGTCAGGACAATTTTCAGTGAAATTTTCCATTTTCACTTCAGCTGTAAGTGAGTTGTGCCAGTAGAGTTGTAATGGTTTTAAAGTTAGGGATGTAATAGAGATTGGAGCTACATAGCTTCAATATTATTTAAACCGATGCTATAATTTTCTAGGAATACAACATGACTTGGTTAAAAATCCAGTTGTGCAAGGCTCCAGTGAAATCCAGTTTTCTTGTAGGATGGAGGACGATGTAGCATGATGTATTAGTTCATTTTCATGCTGCTGATAAAGACATACCCGAGACTGGGCAATTTACAAAAGAAAGGTTTAATGGACTTATAGCTCCACATGGCTGGTGAGGCCTCACAATCACGGCAAAGGGCAAGGAGGAGCAAGTCACATCTTAAGTGGATAGCAGCAGGCAAAGAGAGAGAACTTGTGGAGGGAAACTCCCGTTTTTAAAACCATCAGATCTTGTGAGACTTACTCACTATCATGACAACAGCATGGAAAAGACCCACCACCCCCATGATTTAATTACCTCCCACAAGGCCCCTCCTACAACATGTGGGAATTCAAGATGAGATTTGGGTGGGGACAGAGCCAAACCATATCACAGGTTTTCACAAGGCTAGAGTATAAATATTTTTGCATAAAGGTGGAAGAGTAATACTTTTGAAATGGCAAGGATTTTATCCCCACTGCCTCACTTTAGCCCCTTGATATTTTAGGGAGAAATATTTGTTGTTGCTTGTGTCGTCATTGCAGTTTGGGGTCTGTCTTAAGATAAAGGCTGGGTGACAAATCACAAAGTCAAAAACACCAGTAGGAGAGGACAGATCCCATAGAGGCAGATCAGTGATGACAGCCCTGGGAATCACAGGAGCATGTTTACTTGAGATGATCCAAAAAAACTTCCCCCACATCACATATTTTTTACAGAAGTGGTTTTCAATGTAGAAGATCTGGTAGCCTAGGCTATTCTATTTAAAACATTTTTAAAATTTTATAACTGTTTATTTTCCAGCTTCTAAATTTAAATTTTGGGATAATGCTCACCTCAGCAATTCAGTATTTACAGCCAATGTTTATAAATTAGAACAAAAAAGTGTATGCAGTTATTTATCAGGTAGGAAAATTTAACAGGTGGGGAAAAATGGAGTGATTATAAATTATATATTTGTGTGCAAGAACTTAAGTTGTGCAAAATACGCTATTCCATCAGCAAAACTCATTGCATTTATAGATCAGTAAAACATCTTTGAACATTCTTCAAATATCAGGCTTAGCAAAAACTTGAAAAGGCACTTAGTCATGTATTTTTGTGCTTGATAGTAAAGCCTATGAATAGTTCACAAGGCACATTTAATCTTCATTGTTCTATAGCATCTATGTCAGGTCCCATCCATGCTGAATTCATAGAAAATATTACCATTTCTGAATCATACACTTATTTTGACAGGAAAGATTATGAGATCTCAAGGCTATCGGGGCTATTAAGATCAGGGGTTCATCCACTCAACTGGGCAAACTTTTCTATGATTAGAGGTTTTGTCATAATGATCCTCAGTTTCTAAGGGAATGTGAATCCTACTATTGCCTTTGCGAACCATCACACCAGCTGACTCTTAGGCCTAATGCCCCATCACAGCCAACATGGAGTAAGGTTGTGTTACAATTATTTTGTCATGATGAGACAGCTATTTGGGGGTGTTATGGGCTAAATTGTATCACCCCCAAATTTATAAGTTGAAGTCCTAACCCCTAGTATCTCAGACTGTGACTGTGTTTGAATATATCATATTTGAAAGGATAATTAAGTTAAAGTACAATCATTAGTGTGCATCCTAATCCAATGTGACAGATGTCCTTTTAAGAAGAGGAAATTAGGACATAAACACACACAGAAGGATGATTATGTGAAGACAGAAGAATATGGCTATGTGCAAGCCAAAGAGAGAGATCCCAGGGGAAACCAGCCCTTCACACACCCTGATCCTGGACTTCTGGTCTCCAGATTTGTGGGAAAGTAAATTTCTATTGTTGAAGACAAAGTCCATCATACCTTGTTATAGCAGCCCCATCAAACCAATACAGGAGGTGTATTAGTACATTTTCACACTGTTATAAAGAACTACCTGAGACTGGAAAATTTATAAAGAGAAGAAGTTTAATTGACTCAGCTCTGCATGACTGGGGAGGCCTCAGGAAACTTACATTCACAGTGGCAGAAGGCGAAGGGAAAGCAAGGCACATCTTTCATGGCGGCAGGAGAGAGACAGAGGGTAAAGGGGCAAGTACCAAATTTGTAAACCCTCAGATCTCGTGAGAACTCACTATCATGAGAGCAAGATAGGAAAATTCAACCCCATGATCCAATCACCTCCTACTAGGACCCTCCCATGACATGTGGAGAGTAGATGAGATTTGGTTACCATATTAGGAGGTAAAAGGAAAATAACCCTTAATATGCCAGTTCACTCATTCTAGATCCAGTTTGTTAAGACTCTGTTTCTGCCTTGCTAGTGACAACCCAGTTATCCTTACACAGAAGAAAGATACAAACAGCTAAAATAGAGGAATCAAGGCTGCTGAAGGATCTTTGTGTGTCCTGGAATTCTGATTTTGTACTATTTTTGCCCCTCATATTTCAGAAGGAAGGTTTGAAAAACAAGTTTAATATTCCCTGGGGCAAAAGGGGTGGGGAGAAGAAAGAATTTAAATTACCTGCTAATGACTAAAACTCCTTGGTGTATAAAGCTAAACTTTAAGTTACTAATTCAAGGATTTTCTGTTTAATGTATGATTTCAGAGTACACTTCAATTTAGTGTTTAGGGCATTAGGAAAATGGAGAAGCAAAGCTTGAATGCATTCTAATTATAAAATTAAAAGAATGGATATTGAACTACTTAGTATGCCACTTACATACTTTCAACCAATAATGAGTGTTTCAAAATAAGCAGTAGACTTATAACGTTCAGAGGGATGGTAGTTAAGTTGTGGTAAATGTGAGTAAAACATGATTTCCTTATCTGAAAAGCAGCACATAGAAAGAGAACATACTAAATAGTTGCCAGCGAATGCCAACAACATAGTAAATCACTGCAATATTTTGGGGAATTACAGAACAGATAGAAAATGACTCAGTAATAAACCAAATTGTTTATACTGGTAACTTTTTAAATTCATAAAACATTTCCTATAGGTAAACACTTACTTTCTTTTTTTACCTCTCTGTTGATGTACACTGTGATGAAAGTCCTCCAACACTGCCACACAATTAAACTGAGAACCTTGATGATCATGTCATGATATGACTGAGGATGTTCATTTACTAGAAGATTATATGGGGATTGAAATTGTTCTGTGAGTTATTCCTACTGAGAAATCTATTACTAAGCATTAAACAGTAAATTACATCTATGAAATGGGAAACTATTTACATTTTTTCAGTTGGAAAACCCATGCCAGTAAGATGTTTTCTGATGCTTTTGCCCCTAGCTAAAAGAAAAACCTTAGCAGAATTCAATTTAACAGAGTTTGAGCAAAGAACAATTCACAAATTGGGCAGGCTCCTGAGTCACAGAAGGTTCAGGAACTCCAGGGAATCCACTTGATGGAAGATTTATTGACAGAAAAAAGGAAAGCAATGCATAGAAAATGGAAATGGGGTACAGAAACAGTCAAATTAGTTACAAAGTGGCATCTGCCTTATTTGAACACAGTTTGGACAGTTGGCCACCTTTGGCACAAGAGTAGGCTACAGTCTGTTTACAACTACCTTTAGGTTATAGTTCATAACATACACAGAAATCTTTAGGCTGAACTTAAGGGAACAAGAACTTCACGTTGTTTGTTTGTTTGTTTGTTTGTTTGTTTTTGTAAGGGCAAGAGTAGAGGGTGCCCTTATGCTGGCGTATTAGTCTTTTCTCATGCTCCTAATAAAAACATATCCAAGACTGAGTAATTTATAAAGAAAAAGAGATTTAATGGACTCATGTTTCATGTGGCTGGGGAGAACTCACAATCATGGTGGAAGGCAGAGGAGGAGCAAAGTCACCTTTTACATGGTGGCAGGCAAGAGAGAGCTTGTGTAAGGGAACCCCCCTTTATAAAACCATCAGATCTTATTAGACTTACCCACTATCATAAAAACACCACAGGAAAGACCAGTCCCCATGATTCAATTACCTCCCAAAAGGTCCCTCCCACAACATGTGTGGATTATGGGAGCTACAATTCAAGATGAGATTTGGGTGGCGACATGGCCAACCCATATTGGCTGGAATGTTCTGTTTACAGGGGAAAACAAAACCTGGCTGTTTTAGGATCTATGTGTTTCCTTAAAGTCTTAGTTTGGCTATGTCAGATTCAGCATAAGTGACCCTATTTTGGTTTGGTCTGGTCTGTTGGGGCCTAGTGCATGGCCCCCCGATAATTTTGTTTAAAAATTTTCCCCTTTTGGTCAGGTTCTCATTTAGGTGAGAGTGTGACCAAAACTTAGGGCCATAGTATCACCCTCAGTTACCATCAGCCTCTGCAGGTCATTCAAAGGTTATAGTGCCCTCATGGCCACGTATTTCTTTCTGCTCTTGTCATCTCAGTTGAAGAGAGACCATGTGACATTCTAGAGATGGCTGCATGCAAATATTTAAAACTTTTGGGAGAATAAAGTGCACCAGGGCGAATACTATTATGACTATCAGAAGGATAATACCAAGAATTTGTAGTATGCTCTTTAGCCATAAGCCAAACCAACTAAAAACAAATAGATCAAAGGATAAGCCAGATAAAGAGTCTACTCACTTTAACTTATCATTTTGAATAATCCTGTTTATCTCACTTTTGGATGCTTCAGGAGCCCTCTGTAGCATCCCAAAGTTAGAGGTCAAGAAAGACAACTTTGAAGCTGAAATTTGAGTTTAGAAGGCATGTCAAATATGTCAAAGGTTTTAAACACTTGACCAAAATAGGATCACAGGCCAACATGAAACAATAGTCATTCATTTAGCCAAAGTGATAATTACAAGATTTCCAATAACAACAACCTGTACTCTTTGATAAGGCAGACTCAACTTTTCACTAGAAATCAGGGTTACTAAGATGCAAAAACTTGATATGAGAGAAATAATTCTATATACGGAATGTATAAACAAAAGTAGGATATCTGTTTGATGAGAAAAGTCATAAAGGCATAACAATATGTGTGTGTTAAAAATCTTGTCTGGTTTGAAGTTACTTAAAGGTTTCAAACTGAAGAAGTAAAAAAAATAGATAAAACAAGATGAATATAGAAAGTAGAGGGAAAATGTAAAACAAAAGGTTTATGGAAATCTAGTGTGGTTAAAAGATGGCAGATTTTATAAATTTATGAGATTTTATTAAAATTAGTTTTAGTATTGATAACACACTAATATAAAAGTAAAATTTGGTTTTCTGTTTGAACAAATTTTTTGTGTAGTATTTATAAGACACAGTAAAACATTTTTATTCATCTTTTGAGTAAACTGTGAAAGGAAAAGAAAAGAGAAAGAAAAGAAGAGACAGATCCTGTCTCATGCTGTGTCAGGTCTTTTGACTTTTTGGAAAGCTGAGTCTCCTTTATCAAAAAGTACAGGTTTTTATTTTTAAAAATCATGTAATGAAAACTTGTAGTGAAAAATCTTTTTTATTAAAAAAATTGGGGTTGACATTTATAGTTATATTAATTCAAGGGTGAAAGTTGTCTTTCTTTCTCTTGAACAAGATTTTCACATAATATTAAAGGATAATGAGATATTTTTGTTTCCTTGTGAATAAACTACAAAAAAAGGAAAGAAGAAGACAGGAGACAGATTGATTGGAAAGCTAAGTCTTCCCTCTTAATGAATGTGATGGTAAATATTCAATGAAGTGTCAACATGCTTGGATTAAAGGATGCAAAGTATTGTTCCTGGGTGTCTGTGAGGGTGCTGCCAAAGGAAATTAATATCTGAGTCAATGGACTGGGAGAGGCAGATCCACCCTCAGTGTGGGGATGCACAATGTAATCACCTTCCAGTGGGGCTAGAATGAAATAGGCAAGAGAAGATTAAAGGAAAATAGGCAGGAGAAGACTTGCTGAGGCTTCCAGACCCCATCTTTCTCCCATGCTGAATGCTTCCTGCCCTCGAACATAAGGCTCCAAGTTCTTCAGCTTTTGGACAATTGGACTTACACCAGTGATTTGCCAGAGGCTCTCAGGCCTTCAGCTACAGACTGAAGTCTACACTGTCAGCTTCCTGACTTTTAAGGTTTTAGGACTCAGACTGATCCACCACTGGCTTCCTTGTCCCTCAACTTGCAGACGTCTGTCTTGAGACTTCACCTTGTTATGGTGTGAGTCAATTCTCCCAATAAACTCCCCTTCGTATAGACATATATCCTATTAGTTCTGTTCCTTTAAAGACCCCTGATTAATACAATGAGTAAAGGTTTTTGCCTTGTAAAAAATTTTTTGAGTCATCATTTTGGCTAAATAAATAACTTACAGTAATCTGGAATTCTATTTCATAATATCAAGTGTTTTAAATCTCCAGCATATCTAACAGGCTTCATAAAATCAAATTTCAGCTTCAAAAATTGTCTTTTCTAACCCCTAACTTTTGGATGCCACAGAGGCCCCCTGGAGCATCCAAAAGAGAAGTAAACAGGATTATTTGACATGTTCAGTTACATGGGATTTCCAAAATAAAAATAAGGTTTAATTTTATTCAGATTATATTTTAGTGAATAATATTAATACATAATCCAAAATTGTATGGGATTTCCAAAATTCTAATATCTGAGTATATGCTATCAATCATATTTAAGCTTATTGTGTTAAGTTATTGTAAACCACAGAAATAACCAAATTTCTTTGTCAATTGTGTTTTTGACTGTCACTGCCTGGACATGTTATCATTCACAGACAATTGTTATCTTGATTTGATCAAAAGATGGTTTATAATCAGCTATAGGGCTTTGAATATTATAGCTACTCTCAAATGCAGGTTTCTGATGACTTTGGAGATTGTGACATTGGAATAAAGGAAAAACATACAAGACTCATAAAGAGCTGAAATGCTCATGAATATCAGGCAGAATAAGAGTTAACTGAATGGACTGAACCAGCAGAAAACTAAAGTAATCTTTTTTAACTGTTTGCTTAAAACATTGTTGATCTTTGTTTTGTTTGTCAGAGTCAAGGAAACTTTTTCTTTTGAGGTATCTACAGCTTTTAATAATTGAATAAGTTATAATCCTGTGAAAAAATTTGGAGCATATTTGTTCCTCTCCACCTGGCTTCTCCAGAATTTGGAAACTGTGAGTATTCTTAACTTATGGTGATATAATTATTTGCATCAGTGCAATAACAATCCATTTTCTTTTGCAACAGGATGCAATTGCAGAAACTGGTTGTTTTACCAAGGCTTTGACGGAAATGGCAAGCTTTCCTTCAAGGTATCAAGCTAGACTTGCAGAGCCAATAAAAGCCTCTTGAGAAAACTGACCTGATACTGTATCTACACACTCCCTGTTCAGGGTTCCTAACTTATGGTGAGTAAAGAATGTCACTCTCTAATAGGCCCAAGAGCCCTGACCTATCTTTGGACCTCAAGAGAGAGGAATTTCCCCAACTCGTAAGTGTTTGAGGGACAAAACCCATGACTGGGCTCAGCTTTAAAAGGTGTTATCTGAGTTTCTTTGTGGAATAGAGTTTCATCAAAGCCAATTTAAAAAACTATGTGAAAAATAATTATTCTTCCTGCACTTTTATGCAAATAATTAGGCCAAATATAAAACTAAAGTTTATTTTGCAAACAATTCAGTCCTATCATGATTTGTTTTTAACAAAAATGGAACTGGAGAGAGAAAAATTATGTTTAAAGACTTACCACACACATCATTAAATTCTAGTTCCATTAGTTGTTTTTAAGTTTTTGCCTACATTTTAGACTAACCCTGCTCATTCCTGTGAACCAACCAGTGATCTCTGGCTGCAGCTCAGAAGAAAACAAAGGGATAGGTAATGTAAAAATCTGAATCAATATTCTACTTCTGGGCAATTATCCTGTAAATCATGATGGGTGATAGAGGTAAATGGGTTTCCGTAAACCAAAGGTTTCTTTATTTGGGAAAATAATACCAAGGAACCTAACTAAAGCCAAGTCCCATACTCCAAAATCTTAGCTGGCACAACTATAGCCCACCAGTTATCTCAGCATACTGGCAGCCTCAGGATTTTTAAGCAGTCTTTACCCCTCTCTTTCATTTTGATTCATGTTTTCTAATAACCCAGTTTGTGTCTTCTCACCTTCAGGCCATCAAACTTCAAATGGTCATGCAACTGGAGCCTCGGACGATGGCTCTCTTTTACTAGGGACCCTTAGATAGCCCTCTGAGGGAGATCTGACTGCTACCTTCCCAAAACAACACCCCCTGTCAGCAGGAAGCAGTTAAGATTGCTCATCCTCCTTATCCTAACAGCATTTAGATGTACCTCTTCAAATGGGGGAAATGCGACCAGCAGGAAGCAAACAAATAGGCAGACAGGAATGTGTCCCCAGTAAAACCCCACCTTCAAGCTGAAGACAGTCCCAGGTAAATTACTGGACCTGACTGAGGACTTGTCTTCCTGTTTGTCAGGCATTCCTGTGATTGATCCCTACCCTTCACCTATTTTACATATACCTACCCTTCCCTCATTGGTTTTTTACACTGTCATGCCCACCTTTGAGTGGTGCCTTTGTTTTAACCCTTTTGCATACTCCCAAACCAATGAGCATGCACTCCCCTTTTCTGAGCCCATTAAAAGCGCCAGATTCAGCCACACTGGGAGAAACCACCTGACTGTGGGGGTGGGGGACCACCCCCATGTCCCCTCTCCACTGAGAGCTGTTCCATCGCTCCATAAAATTCTTCTCTGCCATCCTCATCCTTCGAAATGTCAGCATGTTTCCATTCTTTTTGGACGCAGGACAAGAGCTTACCTGCCAAATGCAGGTACAGGCTGTAACACAGGCAGGCTGAATGGGCAGGGTGACTCCCACAGCAGGGCCAGGGCATTGCTGGCTGTGGAGGTTGCCCTGGCTGGCAAAGTGGCCGAGAAAAACCCTGAGTCATTTTGAAGATCCACTTGATCAACTTAGCCAATGATTTTTCCCTACCTAAGTATGCAAGAAAGAAGAAACAAAGGGAATGGAACACAAAATTCCCTGCAAATTTTCAAAAGCCAAATTTTACCCTCCTTGTAATATTGCCATTTACTACCAGTTTCTTTCTGACCCAGTCAGACATAAGAGGACTCTAACTGGTTCCAAGCCAGTTAAGTATCAGATCCAATCTGATTCTGGACCTAGCCCATTTTCTATCATGACTTCTAAACCCAGTTTGGATCAGAAATTTGCTCAAAGAAACTGAGAGCTCAAAACACAAATCTGTGGAGCTTTGGAATCAGAGAGAGAACTTACCACAATCCCCAGTTGCTGTGAGAGAGCAATGAACATAATGGGCCCGGCCAGTACCTCACTTAGTCACTCAGTGTTCCTGGCACTTGCTGGAAGCCCAACTTTGGATCCCACTTCTAATGTCATCAGTTAAAAGAAAACTATAGTTGAATTAAATTTAACAGAGTTTAATTGAGCAAAGAAAGATTCATGAATCGGGGAATCTCCCGAGCCAGCGTAGGTTCAGAAACTCTTTATGAACAGAAAAAGGAGAATGACATACTGAAAATGGAAATGAAGAACAGAGACAGCAAAATTGGTTACAGCTTTATGTCTGCCTTACTTGAACACAGTTTGAACAGTTGGCCACCTTTGATTAGCCAAAACTCAGTGGCTGGCACAATAGTCTACAGTCTGTTTACAACTCCCTTTAGGTTATATTTCACAATGTACAGAGAAACCTTCAGGCCGAACTTAAAGTAGGTAAGGAGGCAGCTTTAGGCTAAACTTGACAACAGCCTCAGTTATGTCCCTGAATTCAAGCAGAATAGCTATTTATGTGAAGAAAGAACACAAATCAGAAAGGACATAAAAAATATGAGAAATTGAGGACCGGTTTTCATTGACTTCATGGGTTAATCAACAACCATCTATAAAAGTAATTTTCAGGGCTGGGCGTGGTGGCTCACACCTGTAATCCCAACACTTTGGGAGGCCGAGGCAATCAGATCACGAGGTCAGGAGTTCAAGTCTGGCCGACTTAGTGAAACCCTCTCTGTACTAAAAATACAAAAAACTAGCTGGGCTTGGTCGTGGGCGCCTCTAATCCCAGCTACTCGTGAGGCTGAGGCAGGAGAATCCCTTGAACCTGGGAGGTAGAGTTCGGAGTGAGCGGAGATCACGCAATTACCCTCCAGCCCAGGTGACAGCAAGAGACTCCATCTCAAAAAAAAAAAGTAATTTTGCAAGTTTATTCTTTGGCTTTAAAGCCTCCTAATTTTATATTTTGCTGAATACATTTATAATTCATTATGAAATATCCCCAAAGAGTACCTCAAATAGTTGGGCTGGCAGTTAATTTTGGCATTATGACATAGTATATATGTTGTTTTTAAATTCCTTTCAAAACATGTTCTAGTATTTATGGCAGGCTTCACAATAGATTTATTGCACCTAGTTAATATATTTTTTTATTTCAAAAACGTGGTTTTCATTTTACTTATCTTTCACTTTTACAACTTTAGGATAAAATACTATATTTTTAAAAATTAACTTGACAAATGGAAATAACAGTTTAGTTTCCCTGCTTTTAAGAATCTCACTGAAATGATGTATGTTAGTATGGAATTTGCTAACCTTCTCACCTAATTCATGGTCAAAGATTTTTTAACACCTTCTAAGGCCTTGATTCACACAAAGCCAGGAAAATAAAAGAAGGTCTTTGTTAAGATAAAAAAAGAAATACAACAGTAATTGTGTCAGCCTTAGCTAAAAAACAAAACAAAACAAAACAAAACAAAACAAAAACATTAACAAGAGGAGTAACAGTTGATATGAACAATATAAATGTTTAATGTGTGTTTGTATATTGATTCAAGTTTGACTGGACAGTTTTTGTTCATTATTCCCTCACTCCTCAGATCCCTAATGAGAAACCTGAAGGATCTGAAGCTATTTCCTCTTCTGCTTCTTTAAAGAGAAAATTGATAGAGAGCTTGAGTCAAGTTTGAGAGGAAGAAATGGGACGCTAAGGGGGTAAAAAATTATAAAAGTCTGAGAAGACTATTATGAGTTAAAGAAAGAAAAAAGGAGTGCAGTAGGAAGGAATTCCCTAATCTCACAGATAGATAACAGCGTAGACTGATGGGGATTCACAGGTGCCTGAGGGAAAATATTAAAAACAAACAGGCAAACACAAAATTTTTCGACACCATTCTCTGGATTTCATGTATATACGTGATCATATAAAGCTGTGTTTTTTACTTATGGGAATAAACTGTACTTTGCTACATCAGTTAGACCATGAGGAATTACATACAGAAGTACACAGATAAAAGGAACTTGACAGCAGAGGTGGAAAAAAGCTGTTGACAATACCATAGCTGAGGAGCCCACAGACACAAACAGAGATGACAACATCATCAGAAAGTGTTTTTCCATTAGAATTCACAAATAATTCTAAAATTAGGAGCAGAGGCCGTGAAGGCAAGAAGAAAGAGACTTTTACTTGTGCACCAACTTAATCCATGGACAATGGAGCCCTCGACTTCTCTGGCTTGCAGCTGAGTAGGGAGGACCTGAGACCAGGGCAGAAAAGCAGTGACTCCAGACCAGGCTGGGGCAGTAAACAACCAGGTTTCGAAGACACAATCATCACGAGCTTAGTTCTTATGATCAGAATTGCATTTACCACAAATATACTCTCTTTGGATTAAGGACTAATATTTTACTTACCAATTTTGCTTAAAATTAATTTCAAATATGAAGCTAATTTAGAATACAAACAATAAATTCTCACCAAACATTTAAAGACAGTTATTTAAGATTTTTATTTTAAAAAGCCTTTAAGAGTGGCATAAAAATACTTCGTGGCCGGGCACGGTGGCTCACACCTGTAATCCCAGCACTTTGGGAGGCTGAGGCAGGCAGATCCCGAGGTCAGGGGTTTGAGACCAGCCTGACCTACGTGGTGAAACCCTGTCTGTACTAAAAATACAAAACTTAGCCAGGTGTAGTGGTGCGCACCTCTAGTCCCAGATACTCAGGAGGCTCAGACAGGACAATCGCTTGAAGCCAGGAGGCAGAGGTTGCAATGAGCCGAGATCGCGCCACTGCACTCCAGCCTGGCAACAGAGCGAGACTCTATCTCAAAAAAAAAAAAAAAAAATACTGCCTAAGAGTATTATAGATGAAACATTTAACAATTAAGGTAAATATCATCTGTATCAAAAAAATTAAATGTTAACATATCCATTTTATTCTCTAAAAAGCATAGGTTGTTAACAAAATATTAATGTTGTAGGGAAAAAGATAATGGAGAAACAAAATTAAACCAAGTATTAGTCAAAGGCCATAATTGAAATAGCTGAGGATAAAATTAAGGAATCCCAAATCTGAGGAGTGGGGTTCTCTCATAACATATCTGAAATACAAAAAACTTCAGAAACTGTGTGAAGAAGTGCAATAGACGTTTATAGTAGATGCAAAAGTTTCACTTAAAGTAAAGGAAGAGGGAAAGAAGGAAGAGGAGGAATTAAGACACAAGTTAAAAGGAAGACATGGAGGTAATCCTACATACAATAATATCTCCATTTGGATCATGTGAGTACTGAATATATAATTTATTTAGCTAATACTAAGTGCCAGTCATCATCATTCTAAACAGTTTACGATCATTTGCACATTTAATTTCATAGCAGACTGTAAGAAAGGTCACACCATCATTTTATAGATGAAGTCCCAGAGGTTTAGAAGGGATATTCGTGATCTTCAAGTTATTCAGGTAACAGATTATGTCATCAGCCTGCCTTTCAAAATTCTAAAATATTTAGGGATTTGGGTCTTTTAATCTGGATCAGGTGTGAATTTTGCAGTGCCGGATGCAAATAACTACAAAATATCCAAATAAGCATGATGCTTTGAAGTATAATACTTTAGCAGGTATAGTAATGCATTTTCAAGAAAGAGAAGTCAAGTCTGTGAAACATAAGTGGAACAGTGTAACACACCAGCATACATTTTCAGAATAAACTTCTCTCCTCTCCCTGTTGGTTTAATAGTACCTTCATATCTACCACAACAGATTTGCCAAAACTGAAAATGATAATGAACCATACAAATAAGAGATTGTCTACTGTCTTGCTACTGATTGGATAACTTTTATTACTGTTAATGGTAATTTTGGAGTCAAAAATTCTCTGTGAAAAATCTTTGTTTTACAAGTTTTCATTCAGCACTTGACATGATTTTGGGTTTGACAATGGCCATCTTACTATTCTTTACTTTTCTTGTACGTTGTATCTTTTTTTTTGTTTTGTGGCAAGGAGTTAGAGTGTCAAAATAAATATATTTTATATATGAAAATGTTTTTATTATTGATATAATTTTTGTTCTAGTGCTATGTTAACTTTTCATTGCTTTTCTTTCACAATCTATCTTTCTATTAAACCACAAAGTTTAAGTTTTTTTGTGTTTTGTTTCAGATGGAAAGGAGAGAATTAAAGGTTAGATTTATAAAGATCTGACATATTCCAAATATAATAAACATCTTTATTTTTTCCTAAATATTTAATCATTTTAACTTATTTACAAAATAGTAAAGTTTAAGCAGGAAAAGAAATGTATTGCCTCCTTGTTATTTCCTTGCCTATCAATATTGATTTGACTAAAAAGAGCATTTTTCAATAATATGCTTAGAAATTAGAACAAAACACTGATCCCAAAACATGGAGAAACTGTTAAATTTTGTCAAAAGTGTTAATTGGTTAAATCATAGTGCCTGTATTATGAGAATAGTTTTTACCTCTTTGTTCTAACTGCCAATGACTTTACATCATTGTCCCACTGAAAAAAGAGAAAGAATATACATTTATTCAGAGAGGGTTAGAGACTTTGAATGGAAATACAAATAAAACTAGCATTTTTGGAACATTTATAAAACATAGTGTTGAGAATTTTTTATTTTTAATTCACATAACACAACATCTTGAAATGTAGGCATGTAGAATCCTGATTTTACAGATGGCAAACCAAAGATGCAGTAAGAAACCAAGAGAACCACTTGTTAGTGGTGTAGCTCAAGAGCTTCAAAACTCATGTTCATCACAACTCACTGGAAAGCACTGCACTTGAGTTTTTCTTGTTTGTTTGTTTCTCATAACTAGAGACCATGCCAGAACATTTCTTTTGGGAGGAAAAAAAAAAGGGAAAACATAAACTATTTTGATTTTGGATAGTAGAACATACCTGCTTTTTTGTAGGTTTGGTGAATCTCTCCTCTACAATCAGAATCTGTCAATCAGCCCTGCTTGAGCACAAGCTTAATGGCCATAAATGTAAGAGCAGGATAAGGAGAGTAACTGGGAGAACAGTTACTGACAGTCTTAACAAGCTCTGATCAATTGATTTATGTAGAAAATCCAATTAGACTTGGCCGACTAGAGCTCTGTTGACATCAGAATGAAGTCTGATTGTGAATAGAGTTTGTTGTTAGGCTCCCCTCCGGCCAGCTGAATTGATCAAGCATTTAAGCCCCCTTTGGTTTATATCCCATAATAAATATACTACCATTACTTGTCTACATATATTAAAAGCCAAACCCTTGAAAAAGGTGTAACAAATAACTAGTTGCTAAACATAATCATGTAATTTTATTTTCATACATGTATAAATAATGTTATTTTTTCTTAATCAAATGATTCACGACTAATTTATCTACTTTTATGAAAAAGTCCTAAAAATAGTGAAAGAGCATTTCACTTAGTTTTGTTACCAGAACTCTATAAAACCTCACAAATTATTTTACAATTATTTAGCACAGTGGTTAAAAGTTGCCTCCACTCACTTTAATTCTACTTAATTTTTCTTTACTATTTTGGATATACAGCTTTTATGCAGATTCCTAGTAAAATTCTATGTCGTAATTCCAAAGTTAATGTACACTAAATGAACATGTTAACCAGACTCTTTCAACTTGATTCTTCTCTTCTTCGACCTATTACTAGTGGCTGAGTTTGTTCTTGGTCCCAAAGCAGGAGAAATGTCAATCAGTTTCATCTTCCATACAAGCTCAGAACAGTTCATCTTTTTTTTTTTTTTTTTTTTTTTTTTTTTTTTATTTTTGAGACGGAGTCTCACTCTGTCGCCCAGGCTGGAGTGCAGTGGGGCGCCATCTCGGCTCACGGCAAGCTCTGCCTCCCGGGTTCACGCCATTCTCCTGCCTCAGCCGGAGTAGCTGGGACTACAGGCGCCTGCCACCACACCTGGCTAATTTCTTTTTCTATTTTTAGTAGAGACGGGGTTTCACCGTGTTAGCCACGATGGTCTCGATCTCCTGACCTCGTGATCTGCCCGCCTCGGCCTCCCAAAGTGCAGGGATTACAGGCGTGAGCCACTGCAACCAACCAGAACAGTTCATCTTAATTAGGCTTTTGTATTTCAAACTCTAGTAGTATTCTTGTAGTGAATTTCTACAAGATTGTTCCAACACAAACCTAACATTAATCAAATTTTGATTGTCCCTTTGTAGCATTAAGATTAGATATTTAATAGCAGAAGCTAGTGAAGCCATTAGAAGGATATAAGGTATCCTTAGATTTGCACAGCTGGCATAAAAGACAGAAATAATACATCAGTTTCTTGCCGTCAGGTTAGTACACTTCCTAGTATTTCACATTTGACACTATATTCTTTATTTTTTTTCTTCCAGGTATACATATTTTTAATTGGTGAAAAGGGTAACAGAGCAGAGTTCATTGATCCTTGTCTGCATACAGCTGTATTTTGTAGCATACAACGACTTTCTTCTAGATCTGTTTTTTTAATTTAAACAATCATTTTTTCAACAGTAACCAATACAGTGATTGGCACGCAATATATGATTACTACATCTTTCTCCAATAAACTAATGAGCGATATGTATGAGAAATACATGCTACATATAGATGTGTATCTACTTACGTTAGCCCCCAAAAGGGTGAAGTACACTGAGAATAAAAATCATAACATTTTAACTTTTGCATCATAGCACACACATAAGACCTGACACATAATAAAATCACAAGTATTTGTTGAAGAAACAAACAAGTGAGTAATTCAATTAATATATACGATATTTGCTATGGTTTGAATGTTTGCTCTCTTCAAACTTATGTTGAAAGGTAATTGTCATTGTAACAGTATTAAGAAGGGGGCCAGGCGCGGTGGCTCAGGTCTGTAATCCCAGCACTTTGGAAGGCTGAGGCAGGCAGATCACAAGGTCAAGAGATCAAGACCATTCTGGCCAACATGGAGAAACCCATCTCTACTAAAAATACAAAAATAAGCTGGGCGTGGTGGCACGTGCCTGCAGTCTCAGCTACTCAGGAGGCTGAGGCAGGAGAATCCCTTGAACCCGGGACGCAGAGGTTGCAGTGAGCTGAGATCGCGCCACTGCACTCCAGCCTGGCAACAGAGTGAGACTCCGGCTCAAAAAAAAAAAAAAAGAAAAAAAAAAAAAAAAGAAGGAGTTGAGGCTTTAAGAACTGATTAGGTGATGAAATCTATGCCTTCATGAATGGATTAATTCCATTATTGCAGAAGTGGGTTCATTACAAAAGAGTAAGTTTGGCCCTATTCTCTTTTTCTCTCTAGTTTTTCTCTCTTCTTCCCTGCCCCTAATAACTCTGCCTTTCTGCCTTGTGATGCCATCCACCATGTAATGGTGCAGCAAGAATTCCCTCCCTAGATGCCAGCACTTTGATCTTGGACCTCCTGGCCTTTGGAACTGTGAGAAATAAATGTCTGTTCATTATAAATTACTGTGGTAGTTTGTAATAGTAGCACAAAATATACCAAAACAATATTTGTATGTAAACATTCAAAAATATTTCACAAACTTACATTGTGGGGAAAAAATTACTTGACTCTCATAATGTCATATCAACTATTTTCCACACTTTATTTGAGAATTTTCTTCTCTAGGATATTATTTATAAAACAGGTTTTAGATATAGATATCTAACAGATATTTAATGATCCCTTTAAAATATCTTCAAATGTAGGACTTTTTAATTCATTCAATAATACCACAAAGTGAACAGCCTGAAAAGCCTTTGGCCTTTCCTAAGCAGAGCCTCCTTCTACTGTGCCTTCACCTCCTGCTTTGCTCAGCATGGCTGGCTTCCCCCGACACCACATGCTGGCCAGCTCCTTTGTGGTCACCGTAGACCCAACACCATGATTAGTGATGACAAACCAGATTATGACCTAGATTTATTTTTTATAGCTGATTATTACATGGAGGGTTTGAAAAAGGTGTTTATTCTTCATGGACTAATTAAGGGCAGGGCCAAATATGTGATGCTCAATACGTGATGTAGGAGATGGGAGGCCATGACATTGTAGCCCTCTGTGTGTTCAAGGGGGCTATGAATTATTTGCTCACCTGCTGGATTACATCAAAGCGCTGATTAGAAATAGTCATAGTTCCATTCCTATGCTATAGATTTTATCAGACTGAAGAGCTACTGTAATCACCAGTCAAAAGGGGAGTGTAAAAGTAATTGGCTGAGATAATCTCTTAAATTTAACCAGAAAGAATGTCACGATTATTAAGATATAATTAACACTGGTGAAATAATGCAAAGCTTGCTTTCCTTGGTCAGAGATAGTCAGGATTGCAAGCTTGCTGGTGAACATGACTCCAGAAAGTGTTGGATATACACCAGCCTCATGTTTGTGTTATCAGTGAAACTAAAGTTGACTTTGGAGACATCTGAAGTCCCATCAGTATCTCCAGTAAAACCATAAAATACTTTAGTTTTGTGACATCTGCTTAGTAGAGATATTTGCATGTACTTTCTAAAAATTTTATCTGCTTTGCATTTGGAAATTGTCAGTTGTTACATTCCTGAAATCTTTATTTGCATTATAAGCCCATAATCTATCAGTTTTCTTTGGGTAGAATGTTGTTTAATGAATGGAAACAGTCTCTTAAACCACACCACTATTGAATAAAAATATTACAATTGTATCTGTAAGAACCATTTAAAGGGAAGACATATTCGTTTTTAAGTTTTTATTTTAATTTTTATATAATTAGGAAAGAACAGAAGTGATAAAATACTCTTAATTATGCCACTGCATATTTAGGAAAGGAAGAAGCAGTCAGTTTACTTATCAATGACAGCACCTAAGAGACTTTGTTCTGTTGAATAAACTTCTGTCCTGGAATTATTTTAGTAGTGCTCCAGTTGTGTGGACTGTATTTTGCCAAAGGTTCAGTGTATTTCTGGTGAATCTTTGTCAGCAGTTCTTCTTAAAATAAATCAATAATTTCCAAAAAAATTTCATTCCATAAAGAATGGGAAGTTGTTCAGGAATAGAATTTGTACAATAAAAAATAAACTAGTAGAATTGTGCACATAAGCATGTGAGATCTCTTCAGAAAAAGGAACGTCATCAACCTGACAAACCTTTGTATCAAATCAATTGTGTGAAACCTTTTTCTTTCTTACAACAAAGGGAAATTTCACCATGTGTTATTAAGACTCTCTCAAAGACTAATAGAACAAAACACAGGACAAAACATCACTCTCTTCATGACCAAAGGACGCTTGGCCCCTACTTGAGAAAAGTGTACTTAATTCATAACAGTGGAGCAAAAGTAATAGTAAAACCATGGACTCTAGGTTGTAGGCTACTCAGAAAATAGAAGGAGATAAGGAAGAATCTGCTTCCAATTGAACTTCATGAGTCGTAAGTTCTTTACAAACTAGTGTGAATAACTTCAAATGGTGGGTTGTCCTTCTGTGAACTGTAAATAATAACCTCGGAGCAGCTTTCAAACAACCAGGAAAAATAGCCACTGGATCTTTAGCATGGACAAAACACAACTGGATCTAAGAGAAAACAACAACAACAACAAAATGTTAAAAAAAAAAAAAGCTGGGGGAGAACAGGAATGTGCTGCAAGAAAAGAGAGTAAAAAAATAAAGAATAACAAAACACACCAAATATTTTGTTAACCTTTCCCCCAGTATTCCTTCAAATCAATTTTGTTGATAACTTGTAAAGCTTATATCATGGACCATGTTTTTGAACATTATGGATAGCAATATTTTATGAAAGAAAGTGGAGAACCTTTCTATAAATCTAGCAAGTATTGCAAAATTTTGAAATTTGTTTTGTTTTTGTTTTGGATCTTTTCTGCTTTTTTAGCTTTTACTTTAGATTCAAGGGGACATGTGCAGGCTTGTTACAAGGGTATGCTTCATGATGCTGAGGTTTGGAGTATGACTGCACCCATCACTCAGGTGATCATAGTACCCAATAGGTAGTTTTTTAACCTTTGCTCCCATCCTACCCTCTATCCTCTTGTAGTCTCCATGTCTGTTGTTTCCATTTTTATGTCTTTGTGTATGCAAAACTTAGCTCTCACTTATAAGTGAGAAGATGTGGTATTTGGTTTTCTGTTTCTGAATTAGTTTGCTTGGGATAATCGTTTCCAGTTTTATCCATGTTGCTACAAAGGATTAATTTTATTATTTTTTATGGCTACATAGTATTCCATGGCATATAGTACCACATTTTCTATATCCAATATACCATTTATGGATGCCTAGGTTGGTTCTATGTTTTCAATATTGTGAATAGTGCTGCAATGAACGTACGATTGCATGAGGGTTTTTGGTAGAATGATTTAATTTCCTTTGGATATACACCCAGTAATGAAATTGCTGGGTCAAATGGTAGTTCCATTTTTAGTTCATTGAGAAATGTCCAAACTGCTTCCCACAGTGGGTGAACTAATTTACCTTCCCACCATCAGTGTGTAAGCATTCCCTTTTCTTTGAACCTTCACCAATATCTTTTATTTTTTGAGTTTTTAATCATAGCCTTTCTGCCTGGTGTAAGATGGTCTTTTATTATGGTTTGGATTTGCTTTTCTCTGATGATTAGTGATGATGAGCATTTTTTGTATGTTTGTTGGCTACTTGTATATCTTCTTTCGAGAAATATCTGTTTATGTTCTTGCCCACTTTTTAAAGAGTTATTTCTTTTGTAGTTGTTGATTTGTTTAAGTTCCTTATAGATTCTGGACATTAGACCTTTGTCACATCGTTTGTGAATATGTTCTCCCATTCTGTAAGTTGTCTGTTTACTTTGTTGATAGTTTCTTTTGCACTACAGAAGTGCTTCAGTTTAATTAGTTTTGAGTTGTCAATTTTTGTTTTTGTTGCAATTGTTTTTGAAGACTTAGCTATAAATTTTTTGCCAATGCCGGCATTGAGAAGGGTACTTCCTAGGTTTTCTTCTAGGTTTCTTATAGTTTGGGGTCTTAGCTTTAAGTCTTTAATTCATCTCGAGTTAATTGTTTTTTTGGAGAAAAGTAGGGGCCAAGTAGCATTCCTCTGCATGTGGTGAGCCAGTTATCTGAGCACCATTTATTGAATAGGGACTCTTCCCCATTGTTTATTTTTGTCAACTATGTTGAAGAGAAGATGGCTGTAGATATGTAGCTCTATTTCTGGGTTCTCTATTCTATTCTATTGCTCTGTGTGTCAGTTTTTGTACCAGTACCATGCTATTTCATTACAGTAGCCTTGTAGTATAGCATAAAGTCTGGTAATGTGATGCCTCCATGTTGGTTCTTTTTGCTTAGGATTTCTTTGGCTCTTTGGACTCTTTTTTGGTTCCATATGAATTTTACAATAATTTTTTCTAATTCTGTGAAAAATAGCAATGGATAGGAATGGCATTGAATCTCTAGATTACTCTAGGCAGTATGACCATTTTACTAATGTTTATTTTTCCAATCCATGAAATCTTTTTCCAATCCATGGAATGTTTTTGCATCTGTTTGTGTCACCTATTATTTCTTTCAGCAGTGTTTTGTAGTTCTCCTTGTAGAGACCTTTCACTTTCTCGGTTAGATGTATCCCTAGGTATTTTTTGTTTGTATTATAAATGGTATTCTGTTCTTGATTTGGCTCTTAGCTTGAATGTTGTCAATGTATAGGAATGCTACTGAATTTTTACATTGATGTTGTACCTGAAACATTATTAAAGTTGTTTATCAGTTACAGGGGAGACTTTTGGTAAGTCTTCAGGGTTTTCTAGGCATGAAATTATATCATCAATAAAGATGGATAGTTTAACTTCTTCTTTTCCTTTGTGAATCCATATTATTTCTTTCCCTTGTATGATTGTTCTGGCTAAGACTTCTCATACTATGTTGAATAGGAATGGTGAGAGGAGACATCCTTACCATCTTCCAGCTCTCAAGGGAATGCTTCTAGCTTTTGCTCATTCAGTATGATATTGGTGATGGGTCTGTCATAAAAGGCTCTTATTATTTTGAGGTATCTTCTTTCAATGCCTAGTTTATTGAGGGTTTTATCATAAAGGGATGCTGGTTTTTATTAAAAGCTTTTACTGCATTTATTGAGAAGATCATGTAGTATTGATTTTTAATTATCTTTATGTGGTAAATCACATTTATTGAACCAACCTTGCATCCCAGGAATAAAGCCTACTTGATTGTGGTGAATTAACTGTTTTTTGTTTGTTTGTTTGTTTGTTTTTTTGTTGTTGTTGTTGTTGTTGTTGTTTGAGATGGAGTCTCCCTCTTGTTGCCCAGGCTGGAGTGCAATGGAATGATCTTGGCTCACGAAACCTTCGCCTCCTGGGTTCAAACTATTCTCCTCCCTGAGCCTCCCAAGTAGCTGTGATTACAGGCACCCACCAGATTGTGGTGAATTAACTTTTTGATGTGCTTTGTGCTGGATTTGGTTTGCGGGTATTTTGTTGAGAATTTTTGTGTCTATGTTCATCATGGCTATTTCCCCATAGGTTTCTTCTTTCTTTATGTTTTTGCCAAATTTTGATATCAGTAATGCTGGTTTCATAGAATGAGGGAGGGAGTAGTCCCTCCTTTTCAATTTTTTGAATAGTTTCAGTAGGATTGGTACCAGTTCTTCTTTGTATGTCTGGTAGGATTTGGCTGTGAATCCATCTGATTTAGGGATTTGGGGTAGTAGATGTTTTATTGCTGACTCGATTTTAGAGCTCATTATTTGTGTGTTAAGGGTTTTCATTTATTCCTGATTCAATCTTGGGTGGTTGTATATTTCCAAGAATCAAAATTTTAAAAATAAATTGTTTCACATGCCTAGCCACATCAAAAAATTACACTGATTAGATATGATAAGGCAAAAGGAAGAATTCTGGCTAAGGAAACATTTTGTAAATTGTTTTGTTTTGTTTGGTAGTTTTTTTTTCCCTTACCTAATATACATTCTCCAGACTCAAAAATTTTGTTGGCATTATATCCCCAGAATTAGTAAACTAGTTATGCCAAACAGAGCTGAAAGGATTCTTTTATTTGGACTCCATTGAGATGATCCACATATAACTTTTGACTTTCCCAAACTTTACTAATAGCCTACTGTTGATCAGAAGCATTACTAATAACATACATAGTTAACACATATTTTATGTTGTATCTATTATATACTGTATTATTATAACAGCATAAACTTGAGAAAAGAAAATGTTATTAAAAAAATCATAAGAAAGAGAAAATATATTTACTATTTGTGTTAGTCTGTTCTCATGCTGCTAATAAAGACAGACCTGAGACTGGGTAATTTATAAAGGAAATAGGTTTAATTTGCTCACAGTTCCACATGGCCAGGAAGACCTCACAATCATGGTGGAAGGCAAAGGAGGAATGAGGCATGTCTTACATGGCGGCAGGCAAGAAAGCATGTGCAGGGAAACTGCCCTTTATAAAACTATTACACCCTGTGAGACTTGTTCACTATCATGAGAACAGCATGGGGAAAACCCACTCCATGTTTTAATTACCTCCCACCAGGTCCCTCCCATGACACTTGGGCATTATGGGAGCTATAATTCAAGATATGTTTGGGTGGAGACACAGTTCTCCCATTTCAAAACCAATCATGCATTCCCAACAATTCCTCAAAGTCTTAACTCATTATAGCATGAACTCAAAAGTCATACCCCAAATTTTTCTTTTGCCCTGCCCTATCAGAGGTTCTCCACGAGCACTCCATCCCTTCAGTACACCGCTGCCTGTATATCCAGACATTTCCATACAACCTCTGAAATCTAGGTGGATGTTCCCAAACCTCAATCTGAGATCACCTCATCCTGAACCCTGAACATAATTGTCCATATTACTATCAGCATTTTTGTCAAAGCCATTCAACAAGCCTCTAGGAAGTTCCGAACTTTCCCACATTTTCCTTTCTTCTTCTGGGACCTCCAAACTGTTCCAATCTCTGCCTGTTACCCAGTTCCAAAGTTGTTTGCACATTTTTGGGTATCTTTACAGAAGTGCCCCACTACCCAGTATCAATTTACTATATTAGTCTGTTCTCCCACTGCTAATAAAGACATAACCAAGACTGCATAATTTATAATGAAAATAAGTTTAATTTACTTACCACATGGCTGTGGAGGCCTCACAATCTTGGCAGAAGGTGAAAGAGGAGTAAGGATATGTCTGACATGGTGGCAGGCAAGAAAGCATGTGTATGGGAACTGCCCTTTATAAAACCATCAGATCTCATGAGATTGGTTCACTATCACAAGAACAGCATAGGAAAATCTGCCTGCATGATTCAATTACCTCCCACTGGCTCCCTCCCATGGCACATGGGGACTATGTCATGCCACCCCTGGACCCTCTCAAATATCATGTACTCACATTTCAAAACCAATCATGTCTTCCCAACAGTTCCTCAAAGTCTTAACTCATTTCAGCATTAACTCAAAAATTGACAGTCTAAAATTTTATCTGAGACAAGGCAAGTTTCTTTTGCCTATGAGCCTGTAAAATCAAAAACAAGTTAGTCACTTCTAGATACAATGAGGTTACAGGCATTGAGTAAATACACCCATTCCAAATGGGAGAATTTGGCCAAAACAAGGGGGCTACAGGCCCATATAAGTCAGCAATCCAGCAGGGCAGTCAAATCTTAAAGCTCCAAAATGATCTCCTTTGACTCCACGTCTCCCATCCAGGTCACACTGATGCAAGAGGTGAGTTCCCATGGTCTTGAGCAGCTCCACCCCTGTGGCTTTTCAGGGTACACCCTCCCTCCTGGTTGCTTTCATGGGCTGGTGTTGAGTGTCTGTGGTTTTCCAGATACATGGTGCAAGCTGCCATTGAGTCTATTATTCTGGGGTCTAGAGGATTGTAGCTCTCTTCTCACAGCTCCACTAGTCAGTGCCCCAGTGGGACTCTGTGTGAAGTCTCATACCCCACATTTTTCTTCTGCCCTGCCCTAGCAGAGGGTCTCCATGAGGGCTCCACCCTTGCAGTATACCTCTGCCTGTACATCCAGGCATTTCCATACAACCTCTGAAATCTAGGCAGAGATTCCCAAACCTCAATTATTGTTTCCTGTGTACCTGCAGGCCCAACAGCATGTGTAAGCCACCAGGGCTTAGGACTTGCACCATTTGAAGCAATGGCCTGAGCTGTATGCTGGCCCCCTTTAGCCATGGCTGGGGTGTAGGGCAAGTCCCAAGACTGCACAAAGCAGCAAGGCACTGGGCCCAGCCCAGGAAACCATTTTTCTCTCCCAGGCTTCTGGGCCTGTGTGAAGACCTCTGACATGCCCTGGAGACATTTTCCCCATTGTCTTGGTGTTTAAGATTTAGCTCCTCATTATTTATGCAAATTTCTGCAGTGGGCTTTAATTTCTCCTCAGAAAGTGGGTTTTCCTTTTCTATCAAATAGGTTGCAAAATTTCTGAACTTTTATGCTCTGCTTCCCTTTTAAACATAAGTTCCAATTTCAAATTATATATTTGTGAATAAATACAACTGAATACTTTTAAGAGCACCCAAGTCACATCTTGACTGCCCTGATGCTTAGAAATTTCTTCTGCCAGATATGCTCAATCATCTCTCTCAAGTTCAAAGTTTCACAGATCCTTAGGACAGGGGCAAAATGCCACCAGTGTCTTTGCTAAAGCATAACAAGTGTTACCTTTGCTCCAATTCCTAAGAACTTCCTCATTTCAATCTGAGAGCACCTCAACCTGAACTTTATTGTCCATATCACTAGCAGCATTTTGGTCAAAGCCATTCACCAAGTATCTAGGAAGTTCCAAACTTTCCCTCATTTTCCTTTCTTCTTCTGGGCCCTCCAAACTGTTCCAACCTCTGCCTGTTACCCAGGTCCAAAGTTGCTTGCACATTTTTGGGTATCTTTACAGAAGTGCTCCACTACCCAGTATCAATTTACTGTATTAGTCTATTCTCACACTGCCAATAAAGACATATCCAAGACTGGGTAATTTATAAGGAAAAGAGATTTAATTGACTTACAGTTCCAAATGGCTGGGGAGGCTTCACAGTCATGGCGGAAGACAAAGGAGGACCAAAGATATGTCTTACATGGTGTCAGACAAGAAAGCATGTGGCGGGAACTGCCCTTTACAAAACCATCAGAGCTCCTGAGACTTGTTCACTATCACAAGAACAGCACAGAAAAACCTTCCCTCATGATTCAAGTACCTCCCACCGGGTCCCTCCCATGACACATGGGGATTATGGCAGCTACAATTCAAGATGAGATTTCAGTGGAGACACAGTCAAACCATATCACTATGCACTAATTAAAAGTGGCTCATTATAAAAGTCTTTATCCTTGTTGTCTTCAAGTTGAGTGGCCTGAGGAAGAGGAGGAAGACGAGAGGTCTGGTTGTCTCAGGGGAGGCACAGACGGAAGAAAATCTTCTTACAAGTGGACCCACACAGTTCAAATCCAAGTTGTTCAAGGGTTAGCTATATGATATGTTTGTGTACGTGTGTGTGTGCGTACTGTTGCTGTGGTTTGAATACTTGTGTGCTCCCAAAATTTCTATGTTAAAATCTAAACCCCAAAGTGATGATATTAGGATGTGAGGTATTGGGGAGAGGATTAGGTCATGAGGGTGGAGCCTTTATGGATGATGTTAATGCTTTATCAGAGACCTGAGAGAGCTCCCTTGCCCTTTCCTCCAGGTGAGAACAAAGCAAGAAGTTACCATCTTGCTATCTTTGAACCAGAAAGTGGGCACTCACCAAACAGCAAATCTGCTGGAGCCTTGATCTCAGACTTCTCAGCTTCTAGAATTTGTGAAAAAAAAACTATATTATTAATTAGCTACCCAGTTTATAGTATTTTTATAGCAGCCTGAATGGACTAAGAGAACTGGTAAATTAATCTAGTAAAACACAGCTTTGGAAATCCACATAGAATTTGTTTCACATCTTCAGGGAATGACAGTAAGGTAACTTTCAAAGAATGTCTAATGGATATTTATCTAAGTGAAAGAGTCCTGACTTTCACTTATAAAGAAGATATATTTAAACGCACTTTCATTCATTTATAAAGCTTGTTTCTTAAAATGTGACATTATAAACCCAAACATCTGAATTCAATGAAGCTATATTCATAAAATTTATATGTTTATACAAAGTGAGGCAATAAAGTTAACTGGAGGACCCGCAACTGTTGGGTTACCTGCAGCAGCTTGAATAATCTGCCCTCTTGTCCAGACAGGGAAATCCCAAGGTACCCTCTGTCAATGTGCTCACATCCCAGTTGAGCAGACTGAGACACAAGCTGATGACCAAATGAAATGACTTTGCTCTAGAGGAGGGCAAGGGAGCTGGCAGGGTCACTGTGCCTCTGACATCAAACTCCAGAAGACCTCTTTCCTCTCAAATTCAATTCATAGACCATTGTATGAGCTATTACATTAAAACTAACTCAACTGTGGCATATTTTTTAACAGACAGGAAAAGAAGGTAATAATAAACAATGAACTAAAGGAAATGCCTATCTGTTAATAAGTCAGAATTCTTACCCAGCAGGATGAATTTAAATCTTTAGATGGAAAAGAGGAGTGAAATCTGCTCTGGTCTATTTAAACTTCCTTTATTATTATTATTTTTAATGCTTTCAGCAATTGCATAACTTCTCTATAATTCTGTGATGAAAGGAAAAATTATTTAAACAAAAGCATTCAATTATTTAATGTTTCAAATATTATGTTTTAAATGCAATATTTCTCTAATTATCTTAACAAAGAGGAGGTTTTCTCTAACTCATAAAAGAAAATGATTTTTGCTTTATGTGTTTACACTTGCAACTTTGAGACTCTCTTATCCTATGGTTTTTTTTTTTTTTGTTTTGTTTTGTTTTTTGCTGCCTTTGCTTTTGGCCTTGATGTAAAAATGTGAAGTATATTTTAAGTTACTTTTATTTCAAGAGAATAATATACATTTTAGATAGGGCCTTGGGTTAAAATCAATCTACTTAAGCATAAATATGGTTATTACATGTGTAACATTATGAATACAGTTTCTCGTTGCCACAGTTTTGCGTTTTATAATTTCTGTGGGACAATGATGCGTAGACTTTGGGAATTTGTGAACCATTTAGAAAAATGAGTAGCCAGAGAATCACAGAATGTTGCCCTTTTCTTTCCAGGTTAGTATGTTAAAAACAAAACCAGATGATTCACTTATCATCATATTTCATAAAGTACATATAAAAAAAGAAATAGCAAGTTCAGTGTAATGGCAATTTCTCAAATCATAAGGACTTAGTTTTTTAAAAAATACTCTCTGTATCATCCTAATTTCTCTAGTCTTGATGGACTCTGGCATTTTTCATCAATCAGTTAGGAACTTAATGACCATAGACATGGTTTCTTGTATAGTCAGTTCTTGAATATTGAATACTCTGTACAATATGGCCCTGAAATATGCATCCATTTTGTGGCATCATTTATTGAATATAATTATTTTATAGGAGTTGTTTTTATAGTCTATGTCATAACTATAACTTTTAAGAAATTAAGCAAGCATTGTTTAATAGTTTTTAACTTTTCTGTTGCTTAACTATAACTCTATTGTCTCATTTTGGGGAGTGTGACTTTTCACGATGCTGTGTTTAAGAGAATTATTATTAATCCAACATAATTACGCCTAGAATTTTCTCCTAGTTATTTATTAGGTAAGTAAATCCAGGGATAAAATAATTGGAGTTTTGCAGTGTATAAAAGATCTAGAGCTAAAACTACTTACATGATGAAACTGCTCTATTAGGAGAATACATTGAGAAGAGATGTCCCAACTTTGATCTTTCTCACACCCAGTGGGCAAGCACTTTTATTATTTTCCTATAAATACTTTCAGTTTTATTTTCATAAATATAAGCAACATTTATGTTACACAGTTTGTATGTTGATCTTTCTTGCACAAAACTAGCAACTATAGACCTTATGTGCCTTGCTTTATTCACTTAATAAAAATCTCTGTATTGTCTTTCCATGTCAATGCATAGACAATAATTTAATTCTCTTTTCTACATCTAATGAAATGGAACAAGCCGAAAGAAATATAGCTCTATATATTTCCCATAGGTGAAGTCACCAATTTAATTATTTCATTTGAAAATGCATTTTGCACATCGTTAGATAACAGTATATATCATGGAGGTTAATGTTCACAGGTTATTTTGTTTATTTATCAGGCTAGAAGGGATGTTTAAAAAACACTATGGTAGGAAGGTTTCAATTTGTTTATTGTTCAAGGGAAAAAACAATCACTCATCATAGTTACTTGATATTCCCTTTTAACCTCTATTAAATGTGTGCTGGAACAAGTGACTTAGGAGCTATATAGATAATGGCAGTAATAATGAATAGACACAAACATCCTATATGTTTTTAAAAATTGAAATAACTAAGACAAAATCAATAAGTTTAAATGTTTTAAAATCCTAAATGTCATTTTAGCTAAACTAATAATTTCACATGTGATCAGAACATACATTCTATTTAAAAGCCATTCCATATCTATACCAATGTTTCACTTCGACAGTCCAAAAAATGGTGTAGTAGACACAGAGCTGATAAGATGATAGCCTAATGGTTAGAAGTTTAGAGTGGGTCTGATAGAGCTTAGTTGTATTCCAAGAAAGTTATGCGTGAGAAGTGTGAACTTGGAAAGCAAGTGTATACCTTCTAAACTTCAACTGCCTGATTTATGAAATGGGAAACCTACTTCATAATACTATTGCCATTCTTAAATGAGAAATATGTATCTAATAAAGAACCTGGAAAAAGTGCACTTACAAAAGCAACTAAATAGGTGATGACTATGATGAAAATGATGATTATGACTAGCAGTCCCAATGAAAACAAAATAAACATTAATAGAAATAGAGTTAGAATAGTGATTACATTATGTATGAGGCTTATCTCTATCCTTGATATCAGTGTTTAAAAAAACTGAAATTAATGCATCACCTGAGGTCAGGAGTTCGAGACCAGCCTGGCCAACATGGCGAAAACTTGTCTCTACTAAAAGTGCAAACATTAGCCGGGTGTGGTGTTGTGCGCCTATAATCCCAGCTACCCAGGAGGCTGAGGCAGGCGAGTAACTTGAACCTCGGAGGTGGAGGTTGCAGTGAGCCAAGATTGCGCCACTGCACTCCAGCCTGGGCGACAAGAGGGAGACTCCATCTCAAAAACAAACAAACAAACAAAAACAAAAACAAAATCCCTGAAATTAACTCTTAAACTCATGTTCAATTCAGGTAAAAAGTGACTTTCTATTACATATTTTTATACGAGATATATATTTTATTAATGATTTTGATGGTATTTATCAACATATCTGAAAGTGTTCGTTTTGTACAAAATAAATGTTAATGCTACTAATACTAACCTACAGGGGTGCTAAATTTTTATAAAGATACAAAATAATTTAAAATCAATAAGAAATATGTAATAATTCATTAAAATTATGTACTAAATGTTTGTACATATAGACACATAAACACAAACATCTGGGATATATATATATTATATATATATACACACAAAAGTTACACATAAACACATGTATCTCAGATACGTGTCTATATGTACAAAAGTTTATTCCTAAGATTGAAGAAAATATGTGACAGGAAATTCTGAATTTACCAATGTGAATTTTGTTAGACTCCTTGGGTGAGTGAAACATTTATTTTAGATCTCAATGATCCTATTCACTTTTCTGTAATTTTAGTGTCTATACTGTATTATACCACAATTGCTTGTGAACCTGAATGCAATTATCTAAATGTGTACCCAAGGAAATATGACAATATGCTTAGAAGTATATTGTAATTTGTGGGCTGGGTGCAGTGGCTCACGCCTGTAATTCCAACACTTTGGGAGGCTGAGGCGGGCGGATCACGAGGTCAGGAGTTCAAGACCAGTCTGGCCAATATGGTGAAACCCCGGCTCTACTAAAAATACAAAAATTAGCTGGGCATGGTGGCGCTCACCTGTAGTTCCAGCTACTTGGGAGGCCGAGGCAGAAGAATCACTTGAACCCGGGAGGCAGAGGTTGCAGTGAGACAAGATTGTGCCATTACACTCTAGCCTGGGTGACAGTGTGAGACTGTGTCTCAAAACACAAAAAAAGAACTATAATGTAATTTGTATTCAAAATTTTTACCCACAGAATTTGGTATCAATCACACATATCTAGAAAATATTTATTACTTTTATATTTTGCAAAAACAAATTCATCTTCAAAATAATATTGCTATCCCCCTTACTCTGTCTCTTTCATTTGATCATTCTTATTACACAGCCTCTGAATCTCATTTAAAACTCTCTTCCATAATCCCTGGGTATAACTCTACTATCCATTATAATTGCAACATCTGCTTAATTTATCTTAATTCTAACTCATGATCTTGTCTTAATAAAATTCCATTGTTTGCATACATTTTTGTTGGACTTGCTTGATAAGATTTGGATGGTTATTACAGTAACTTTTTGAAAAGAGAAAGGATTGAAGCCTGGCAGAACTGTATTAAAATCCCTTTTGCATTTACTGGTTAAGTAAACCTAGGCAAGCTATTTCAGATTACTGGGTCTTCGAATCCTCATCTGTAAAATAAAACATTTTGTTTACATCACTGTTGTAAAGATTAAATAAGATGATCCATATTAAGTTCCTCACTTTGCTCCTGAACATAGAAGACCCTCAGTCATAGTAATTTTTATAATTATTCATACAATTATTTTCTGAAGTGGTTGCATTTCCCAATTACTGGTGTGGTACTCATTGTTTTCATTAAGCTAGAGGACGCCCTTGAGAAATGATCTAAGTGGAAAAGATAAAGAATGAGTGTAAAGGAAGCAAGTAGTTAGGAGCACTGCAAATTTATAGTGGAATAGTGGAAAGGTTTTATTATGTGTTAATGGCAGCCAGTAGCACTGAAAATTCAAATGTATTATATTAAAATTATTGTACAGTCCTATAAAGATGGTTTTATTTTTTAAACTTTGGATAGGTATTTGTTAAGTTCAATTTTTGCATAGACTTTACTCACAGAATTGTGAGAATGAAGCATCTTATTTATACTAGAATTAAGGGATTAGTAGTGGGTCTAAATATTTTAATCAATAGAGTCTCAAATTTCTTCACTGGGTTCAGACTGAAGTTGAGATAGATTTAGCCCATTATTCACTTTTTCTCCCACTGATTACAATTAAAAATTCTAGGGCCGGGCGTGGTGGCTCATGCCTGTAATCCTAGCACTTTGGGAGGCTGAAGCAGGCTGATCACAAGGTCAGGAGAGAGATCGAGACCATCCTGGCTAACGTGGTGAAAACCCATCTCTACTAAAAATACAAAAAAATTAGCTGGGCTTGGTGGCGGGCACCTGTAGTCCCAGCTACTCAGGAGGCTGAGGCAGGAGAACGATGTAAACCCAGGAGGCAGAGCTTGCAGTGAGCCGAGATGGTGCCACTGCACTCCAGCCTGGGCGACAGAGCGAGACTCCATCTCAAAACAAACAAACAAACAAACAAACAAACAAAAAAACAAAAAAAACCCCGAAGTAAATACATAAAAAAATTACCTAATGACTCTGAGAAGTATAAAAAGTATATAACAATGACCAGATTGAGATGGAAAGTGAAATCTTGAAGAATGACAAGAACCACATGACCTTTTTCTCCTTATGTATTCCAGCTTTGGTTTGAAGGTAGCTGAATCCCACAAATGCTTGTGTCCTTGGACGATAAATTCTCTAGGATAAAAAATCTCTTTCTGTTCAACACTTTGAAGTGAAAGGCCTCTGTAAGACACGAGAGTAAGTTAAGGAAAATACCTTGTTTCCCTCAATCTCTCTCCCAGCCCAAGAAATCTCAGCATCAAAGTCCCACTGCTGCTGTGGCAGGGATATTGGCAATGCAGCCCCACCAGCATCTAAATCCCTATTAAATGGCAAGAGAATTTAGGGAAGGTGAGGGGAAGGTCTTTTCTGGTCCAAGGAGTATTAGGTGACGTTTCTTATTTTCTCTTCCCTTTTTTTCTGGCTGCTCCCTTCTGACCAGTTACATAAATATGCAAACAGGGCAAGGGGCTAGAATCCTGAGACAAATCAATTTTTCCTGATGAAAGACATCAGGAAGAGAAGCCCTTGGGATCAGGAGAGTGTGGGGAGGAAGGAGCAAGAAGCTAGAAAAAGGTATACCCTAAATCTGCACATGACCTGACCCAAGTCTCAGGCTCACCGCTGAGCTCAACATGAATCTAACAGGTCACTAGCAACACATGAAAGGCATTGAGAACTGAGCTGCAGTGCAGACCACCCCTCAAGCACGCCCAACAACAGTGGCAGCAAAGTTTAGAGCATAAAACAGACCTTTTAAAGGAATTGAAAAGAAAGCACATCAACTGACAATAACAGAAATAATCTAAAAGTCAATTAACACAAAGATTACTGGAAAACCTGAAATATTTGGAAATTTTAAAACGTACCGCTAAATAATTTATGGGTAAAAGAGTAAACTTCAAAAATGTTAGAAAATGTACTGAACTAAAAGAACATGAAAACAAAGTATTTAAAATTTGTGGGATGAAGATTAAAAGGGTACTTAGACAAAAAAAAAGTCTACCAGTAAATTCCTGTGTTAGAAATAAAGTTCTCAAATAAGTAATCTAAGATTTCACCATAAGAAACTAGGAAAAGAATAAACTCAATCTAAATCAAGCAAAAAGAAAATCAATTAATGAAGATAAGAGCAAAAATTTTAAAATTGAAAACATAACAAAAAGTAGAGAAAACTCAATGAAATCAAAAATTGCTTAAGCAAGACATGGCATTTGGCATCATGAAAATGATGAATCAAACATTAAAATTGTGATTTACCAAGAAAAATAATTGCAAGGAGTACAAAAATAATAAAAGTAGTGGTAGAGTTACTCTCTAAGAACATTGAGGAAAAGCTCAAATTGATTGTTATTTGCAGAGTCTCACTGCAGAGAGAGTTCATGGAGAAGAAAGAGGTCATTTGGCTGGGTGGAGGATGTAGCATATATAATCTACCTGAAGCAGGAGACAGCATACTTAGTTTGTACAGTGTAATTTGTACAAGAATATCAAGATTAGATCCTATCGAGTAACAGAGACCATGGTGCAAGCTATGAGAATAAAACATTCATTTTTTTACTCAAGAAATGTTTATTAGATCCTACTACTTGTTCTAGGTGCTAAGATTAGAGTATTAATAAAAAGAGTCAGCCAGGCACAGTGGCTCATGCCTGTAATCCCAGCACTTCAGGAAGCTGAGGCAGGCGGATTGCTTGAGGCCAGGAGTTTGAGACAGCCTGGCCAACATAGTGAAACCCCGTCTCTACTAAATATACAAAAATTAGCCAAGCAATGTGGCAGGCACCTGTAGTCTCAGCTACTCGGGAGGCTGAGGCAGGAGAATTGCTTGAGTCAGGAGGCTGAGGCTACAGTGAGCCAAGATCGTGCCTCTGCACTCCAAGATGGATGTCAGAGACTCCATCTTGGAAAAAAAGAAAAAAGAAAAAAGAAAGAGTCAAAGCAATTGCCCTAATGGAACTCAACAAACTTGCAGGGGAACACAATAAACAAATAAATAATAAATATATAAGTAGTCGAATGGTTTTGGGTGCTACGGAGAAAGTGAAATAGGATAAAAGAGATAGGGAATGTGAGGAATGGGTGAAGATTGCTATATTACAATAAGTGATAAGGGACGACCTTTTTGATTTTGTAAACTTTGAGCAGAGATCAGAAAGGAGTTAGGTATGAAGATATGTGGCTGAGAAGGATTCAAGGTAGCGGAACAACAAGTGTAAATGACTTATGGTCAGAGCACGGCTGATGTATTCAGAGAGCAGTAAGGTGTTGAGAGTGATTGGAGAGTGAAAGAGAGAGAGAAGAAGAAAACAGCCGGATCACACAGGCCCAGCCGAGCAGATCATGCATATACTCTGACAGTGGAGAATCTCCAACAGAGGAGTGATGCAACCTGAGCTACCTTCCGAAAGGGTCTTTCTGGCTGTTATGTGGAGAACAGACTGGGGACTTGGAGGCAAGAAATCAATATTGGAATGAGTTCAATGGGAAATGGAAGGAGAGTAAGTGGAAACAGCTAATTTAAATAACTTTTTAAAATAATTTTGCTGTAAAGGGAAAGGAGGAATGAAGCAGTAGATAGAGTGGCATGTGGCGTGAAGGAAGTGTTTTTATTATTTTTCACAGTGAAAATATGTTAACAAATGTTTGTTTTGATAAAAACAATCCACAGAGCTGGAAATACTAACGATGCAGAATATGGAGGGGAGGATTACTGTAGTTTAGAGTTCCAAGTTGTCAAAAGTAGAGGACTGGATGGAAATACAGGACTGGGGCATACATGCTTGGTTACAGGAGGGAAGACAGATGTAGGTAAAGATGTACATGGTTTGCTTCAATATGGTGTGGGGAACTTGTGGAATTTCTTTCCTGAATGCTTCTGTATTTGTTTGTTTCTTTGTGTTTTTCCCCTTGGAGTTGGAAATAAATTCATCAGCTGAAATTAAAGATAATGGAGGAGATTTTGAAAAATTGCCATAATGGGGAATAATGTAATTTTTGTTTTAGGAAAGAAAGTCTAGTATAGAAGTGGATTATAAGTGTATTTTTAGGTATGCCTCTCCAAACGTACTATTCGATTTGACTTGAAACTCTGGAAAAAAAATGGCAGTAAAATTACTCGGGTTTCTTTAGAGAAATAGAACCAATAGGAGGGGTGTGCGTGTGTGTGTGTGTTTGTGTGTGTGTGTGTGTGTGTGTAAGGAGGAAGAGAGATTTATTTTAAGTAATTGGTTTATGTTATTATGGGGGATGGAAAGCTTGCAATCTGCAGGGCAGGCCAGCAGGCTGTAGACCCAAGGAAGAGTTAATGTTGCAGTCTCATGTCTGAAGGCAATCTGGAGGCAGAATTCCTTTTTCCCTGGGGAACCTCAGTCTTTTCTCTTAAGTCCCTCAATTGATTGGATGAGGTCTACCCACATTATAGAGGGTAATCTGCTTTACTCAAATTCTACTGATTAAAATGTTAATCATATCTCAAAAATACCTTCACAGAAACATCTAGACTGGCATCTGAACAAAGACTGAGTCCCATGGCTTAACCAAGTTGATACATAAAATTAACCAGCATATGCTGTAACCAGAAAGGAGGCTAAACTCTAGGTCTTCCAGCAATTCTTTTGCTTTTTGCACTACTACATATTCTAGAAAGCTAAATCAGTACTTAGTATGCAAATATGGGGTTTCCTTCTTATTTCATGGATATTCATCTAGTAAATTCTTGCTTTGATGAAATTTTAATAAAACCATCAGAGAAGATCAGCAGAGTGTGGGGAGGATGTTGAAGTTAAAACATATAAACAAATGATACACACAATTAAGTATTAGCAAGGAACTGCTACTGTTACTTTATATCATGCAATCCCCACCCTAAGTTTAAAAATTTTGGTATTATAAATTCCTTATTACAGACAAGAAAAAGGAGATTAGAAGATGTGACAATGTATGCTCTAGAGTCTAGGATTCAAATGCAGAACTCTGTGACTTCAGGGTCCAAGCTGTTATATTTTAAAATGCTCTGCCTTGGGCTACAGTCTGAAAAGAAGATGCAGGCTTGAGTTCTGGCTCAACCAATGGCTAACCATATTCCCTGGCATATCTTGTAAATAATATAAGTGCCAGTTTCTTTCTCTATACATGATAAAAATAACATTATGTGCTCTGTCTGGCAGTACTTTTTGAGGAACAGATGAGAAACTTCATGTAAAAGTCTTTCTAAATTTTAAAACAGACCTCATATATAAGTTTTTACTTCCTATGATCTGAATGTTTGTGTCTTCCCAAAATTTAGATGTTGGAACTTAATCTCCAATGTGATAGTATTAAGAGATTGGTAATTGGGCAGGTGATTAGGCAATGAGGGCTCTGCCCTCATGAATGAGATTAGTGTTCTTATAAAAGAGGCCTGAGGGAGCTTCTTTGCCCCTTCCACCATGTGAAGGAAAGGCACCATCTTTGAAGCAGAGAGTGGGCCCTCAGCAGACACTGGACCTGCTGGCCCCCTGAATTTGACACCCCAGCCACCAGCACCCTGAGCAATAAATTTCTGTTCTTTATAAATTACCCAGTCTAAAATATTTTGCAACAGCAGTCCAAATGGACTAAGAAATTACTATTATCATGTGAAAACAATTAGCATTTCCCCCATGTATATTGATCTGCAGAATTATTTTAAAAATGGAGCTACCTCACTATTGCTGACTTTGGAAATCCATATAATTTTAGAAAACAGAGGGTCCCAGGGCTTAGCAATTTGGAGTGATCATTGTTTTCTTTATAATATTTGAAGAAAAAGTAAAAAGTAATTCAATTTAAATGTAAGAAATGTCCCTAGTTGATAAGAATTCAAGTATGCATTCAATAAATTGCAATATGGCATTCAATTCCAAAAGAAAAATGCTAACAAAATACATATTAATTTTAATATCCATCTTGTCTACTGAATGATTTTACTCTGATGACACACACCTGCCATGTTAACACCTAGAGCAGAATTAGACTCATATAATTAATTAGCTATATCTCACAATCCTTTCTATGCCGTGGGCCTGCAGGTGCCCACTGATTTGGGATTCATTTAATCTCAGTTTTGTGACAGCCGAGCAAGATCTGGGAATACAGCAGCCAAAATTACAACAAAATTCCACAACTTACTTGAAGAGTGTTTAAAAGGTAACTTTTATTTCCTCAAACTACAATAAATATCTCAGAGACTGTTCTTTATACCTGGATCCAATAATGGAATCTATAAAATGCTAAATTAATAAAATTCAGCAGTAGAAATTACAAAAATATCCCATTATTTGTGGCTAATGATACTTTCTGTGGATGATACTTTTTGTCTATTGAAGAAAATTCATTATTAAATATAATACTCTTATTCTAATTATCTTCTTTAAAATATAATTTAGTCATTTCATTAGAGTATTACTAGTGCTGTGAAAATGAAAAGCTGGTGATATATAATGGAACCACTATACTATTCTTTATTCCTATATTTTAATTATAAAAAATGCATTTTATATTTTCTCTTATGCATTATATTCAGTTTCTACATGTACACACATGTTCACACTTAAACAGAATGAAGAAACTGAAATGTGATTTGAATTGGTCAATTAAGCAACCTGTTGTAACTAATTTTGTCTTCTTTTAAACTGCATATTTTTTTAAAAAATTGAATTTATTTTTGGTCATGTGCTTATTGCTCCAAAAAGTGTGTGTGATATTTTACTCTTATAAAAATCTTTTCTTGGTTTTATTCCTTTTATTGTCTTGTCTACACAGCATGTTTTATATACGTTTAAGCTATGCTTTGCACTCTTTTTTGTTTTTGTTATTTTGTTTGTAGTACAGATGAAATTGTAGTACTCTTTTGGTTTCTTTGTATTTCTCATTATGTTTTGGAAGAAGGCGCAAATAAAGAATTAATTCTGATCTCCACTAATTCCCTCATTACAAAATATATGCAGTTCTTTTAGGTCTGGGTCACTTGGAGTTTTATGTTATCACTTATATTCAGTCTCCTAATGCTCATTCAAGAAACTGTATTCAATAAGAGATGATATAATAATAATAGAAGTTAGTATTTACTGTGCTTTTACTGTATAGTTAGTATCTTTTTGCAATATTACTAATTAAGTTTTATTACTATACTTATTTTACAAATGAGAAAATTGTGGTCCTGTAATTTAATACAATTTTTCAATGACACACTCCTAGCAAATGGCAGAGGTTGGCTTTGGTCCAGGTTGGCTTTATTGGCCTAAGTAAAGAGCCACACAGCTATAAACTTTGTTATCATGCTCTAATGATGCTATTTGTAGAAAAGTCAGCTTGCCCTCTTGAAAAACTGCAGTGTCTCTCATGGTAGTTGCTCCCTGCTCTGAATCTTCCCTGATAGAAAATAATCTTCCTTTTCATGCAGTTCTACCCTTTGAAGACCATAAAAAATTCAGATACCCATGGGATATAGAATAAATACATAGAAGGGAAGACAGTCTTGTGCACAATTAGTGCATACTTTTATACTATAACTCTACATTGCTTATTAATAATGTCATAATGTAGTGGGTTTTTTTATTTGTTTGTTTGTTTTGAGACGGAGTCTCGCTCTGTCACCCAGACTAGAGTGCAGTGGCGCCATCTCGGCTCACTGCAAGCTCCGCCTCCCAGGTTCACACCATTCTCCTGCCTCAGCCTCTCGAGTAGCTGGGACTACAGGCGCTTGCCACCACGCCCGGCTAATTTTTTTTGTATTTTTAGTAGAGACGGGGTTTCACCGTGTTAGCCAGGATGGTCTCGATCTCCTGACCTCGTGATCCACCCACGTCGGCCTCCCAAAGTGCTGGGATTACAGGCATGAGCCACCGCGCCCGGTCCATAATGTAGTTTTAATTGACTAATGTCATATCAATTGTCATAGTATTTATTAAACTATTAACGGACTAAACATAAAATAATAAGCTTTGATAGTTTTTAAAATTATTTGTGATCACCTGCATTTTGTCCTCCTGCTTCCAGGTGTTTGTTAATTTTAGAAAAGCCAATTATATACATTTCCCTACAAGCCTAATGTCTACTTACAGTGACATTTGAAGATATTATTTGAATCTAATTTTTCCAACTCTCACCTGCTTTCATGTCACGAGATGGTTGGTGAGTCCTCACCTTTAGGACTTCTCTTTTTCATAATGGCCTCTAGGGTCTGGTTTCTTCTTTGGCTCTGGTTTTCTTTTTTCTTCTACAGGCTAGTGGCTCAAGCCCTGTTTTTTCAATGGAGGTATCCATCTGATAATAAGGAGAACTATATGGGCCGGGCGCAGTGGCTCAGGCCTGTAACCCTGGCACTTTGGGAGGCTGAGGCAGGTGGATCACGAGGTCAGGAAATCGAGACCATCCTGGCCAACATGGTGAAACCCCGTCTCTACTAAAAAAGAAATACAAAAAAAAAATTAGCCAGGTGTGGTGGCGAGCACCTTTAGTCCCAGCTACTCAGAAGGCCGAGGCAGGGGAATGGCTTGAACCCAGGAGGCGGAAGTTGCAGCGAGCCGAGATCGCACCACTGCACTCCAGCCTGGCGACAGAGCAAGACTCCATCTCAAAAAAATAAAATAAAATAAAAATAAAAAAATAATGAGGACTATATCAGCTCTCTCAGCTTAAGCAGAGAGAGGATTCGCAGGCATTTACAGAGAATACCAGTAGAACATGTTCACATTCTTGTCGCGCTAAAGCACTTACCTTTCCATGATTTGCTTTTTCCAACTTTATAAATGGTTCTGTAAGCAACCTAAATGTAAGCTCTGATTTCGGGATCATCAAATGCTCTTTCTATAAAGATATTCAATTTATATTTATAAAATGCAAATCACATTAAACTTCATCTATTCTTTCATTAATTTAATGTTAAATGTAATGTATTTGTTGAGCAATTGTGGAAGGTGAAGAACATTGTGAAGATTTGTGCAATTGCAATTAAAGAAATGAATAAAATAAAAAGAAAATCATGAAGTCTACATAGCTGAGAAATAAGGCCTCTAATACAAAAGGAGCTTGAGAACTTTCAGTAACTTAAAGCATAAATATAAAGAAGCTTCTGTAGCGATAAACGCACCACCTCTCTTGAAAACTTGATGTCCAGTCTATCCACAAAGCTATAAATTCTAAATCCAAATGTGTCAGCTATCATTTTTACTTCATTCTGCTTTCACACTCTATTTGCACTGTTGCAATTATTTCTTAATATATTTTCCAGCTTTCATTCTTAATCATTCACTTCAATCAATCTCCACATAGAAATTTGAGTGAGTTTTAATAAGCACGTATCATGTCATGTTGTTGGTCTGCATAAAGTCTAACAATGTCCATTATAAATGGTGTCCTGGTACTATGGTCTGAATGTTTGTACTCCCTAAAATCCATGTGTTGAAACCTAGTCCCCAGTGTGATAGCAAAAAGAGGTGCAGCTTTGGGGAAGTGATTATCTCAAGAGAGTGGAGCTGTTATGAATGGGATTAGAGTCCTTATATAAAAAAAAAAAGACCCAAGGGGGCCAGGCTCAGTGGTTCACGACTGCAATCCCAGCAATTTGGGAGGCTGAGGAAGGCAGATCACTTGAGGTCAGGAGTTCGAGACCAGCCTGGCCAATATGGTGAAACCTCATCTCTACTAAAAATACAAAAACTAGCTGGACGTGGTTGTGTGCCCCTGTAGTCACAGCTACTTATGAAGCTGAGACAGGAGAATGGCTTGAACCTGGGAAGCGGAGGTTGCAGTGAGCCAAGATCACACCATTGGACTCCAGCCTGGAAGTCACAGCAAGACCCCATGTCAAACAAACAAACAAAAAAATACTGGACCCAAGGGAGCTCATTAGCTTTGCCACCATCTAGGAACACAGTAAGAAGGGGTCATCTATGAGAAAACAGGCCTTCAATAGATATTGAATCTGCCAGTACCTCAATATTGGACTTCCCAGCCACTAAAACTGTGAGAAATAAATTTTGGTTGTTCATAAGCCACCTGGCTGAGGAAGAATAAAATTCAAATTTCTAACCTTGACCTACTTTGTCTTTACTTCCCTCTGTAATTCCATCTCCCAATATTCCCTGTTCCATATAGTAAATACCTGATGTAAAAAGAAAAACAGCATAGTTCTTTATAAGGGTGGTTCCTCCTTGATGTTTAGGTCTTAGCTTAAATTGTTTCTCCTCACAGACAGCTTTCATGAACACTTGCTAGGATGAATTGTGGCAGCATAGAATCAAAATAAAACAAAAGGCAAATAAATACATATGTTAAGAAATAAAAATGGGCTTCTTAAATATTATGAGTAAGCAATACAGGATTGAGATGGTGGCTAGTTCTGTCTTACTACTTGATTACCTCAGTGGAGACAGGGACAGGTTCTATTTTAAATGTTATCTCTTAGCAAAGAGGGCACACCTTCTAGCTGAGTTAACCCTGTTTTTCTATTTTACCAACATTTTACTCTGACAGATTTTTACAAATATCTATTAGCCATTTGTATTTGTAATATGTTATTAACAAATATAATGATTAATACTTAAGATAAAATATTTATTAAAATGTTTGTACATTTTTAAACTTACTGTGGAGGAGAAAAAGTTAGAAGGGTTACTCATCAAAAGTGACTTGGGCCGGGAGCGGTGACTCACGCCTGTAATCCCAGCACTTTGGGAGGCCGAGGCGGGCAGATCATGAGGTCAAGAAATCGAGATCATCCTGGCAAACATGATGAAATCTCATCTCTGCTAAAAATACAAAAAATAGCTGGGCGTGGTGGTGCATGCCTGTAGTCCCAACTACTCAGGAGGCTGAGGCAGGAGGAGCGCTTGAACCCAGGAGGCAGAGGTTGCAGTGAGCCGAGATGGTGCCACTGCTCTCCAGCCTGGTGACAAAGAGAGACTCCATCTCAAAAAATAACCAAAAAAAAGAGGGAGACTTGATGGATAATATTCAAAATATATAATGAGAGGCTGATAGCACTGAGAACTCCAAGGAGAGGGCAGTGGAACAATGGGTCAGCAAGACCAGTGCCCACCAGCTGATTATTAGCCCTGACTTGCCCCAAAGCAACCATTTAACTCAGGAGTATGTGGTTAAATAAAAGCTCTACAGTAAAAGGTTCTGAAGATGGCCTATCTTTTGTTGGTTGCCCAAAGGAGGAGGAGCATATTTGGGAAAAGAAGAGTCCGACTGTGGATTTCTCTAAGTGGACAATCCAGAGGAGCCTAGTAGAGAGATCTGGTATCCAGACACACATTTGGAGGTCAGAACACACATTTGGTCACTGAAATTCTAAAGAGCAGGCCTTCTAAAGAGCAGCCATACTTTTTTGGACAGCACCTGTTAAATGGCAAATTCAGAGTCAGCAGGATTGAGCGAAGCGTGAAATTCATATTTCTGACAACTTCACAAATGAGACTCGTGCTAATCCACAGACCATGCTTTGGATAGCAAGGTTCTCTGCTGGTGTATGGAAGAGAAGATAAATTAGGAAACCATTTTTAAGGGAGAAGTAGGAAAAGAGGAGGCAGCAAGGAAATTGAGAAAGTGTGATGTGAAAGGAGTCCAGGAGAAAATGAGAAAAGAGAAAATGAGCAAGAAAATTGAGAAAGTGTGATAAAAAGAAGTACAGGAGAAAATGGTGTCACTGAAGTCATATTTTTGTTGCTTTTTTCTTTCAGTTTATATTAACTAAAATTAAACAGTATTTGAGTAATTCTCTGGAGTAGCTTGATTTTTCTAAATAATTTTTGTTGTGGTTCTTATAAGGTGCAAAGACAAAAAAGATGCTCATTCTTTGTTGCAGACAGAATACTAGTCCTTGTGGGGTGAACACATTTTATTCAGTATCTAGCACCTGAAAAGCATGTTGGTTTGTAAGTGATTAAAATTCAATTCAGACCAATTTGTGCCCTAAGAAACAATACTGCATTATAGAATTGGCAGAGGAGTCAAAAACTCAACTGCAGGGAGGGTGGTGTTGCTGCTGGGCTTCAACATTAACTAAACATTGGGCCTTAGATACAATCACGACCTCAGCACACAGATGTAATTCTCTGAGCCAACAGAGAAGCTTTCTCTTCATGGAGTGATAAGGTTTCCACGTTCAATAGTTTATATTTTAAAACTTTTGTCTCCTATATGGCAAAATATCAAGAAAACAATGATCTAATCTAGCATAGCCTGTATCAGGATTACGTAAGAGAGAGAAGATGTCCAGGACTCATATGATTAGAGCTTGAAAGAGAGCAGTTGTCAGAATATGGGAAAAATTAGGGAGAAATTAGGCAAATCAGGCAGGTGAGTGCTGGGTCAGAGAACAAAATGTATCCACTACAACAAAAAACATAAATACACGCACTATTATATCTCCTGATGTTAGTCGGTGACATTATTAATAGAGATTATATAGGTTCCCAAAAAGTATAGGATTAGGCAGACATGTAGGAACTTAATACCATGCCATTGATGTATATGTTCTAATGAATGAATTGAGTTACTTTGAAACAATGAATGTATACACACACTAACACCACTCACATTCACTGAGAATAAAATTATATATCTTTTCTGAAAACTCCTGTGTTTTCCGTATAGCAGCAAGTTGCCAGAATATTTATTTTTGATGCCTCTATCTACAGTTACATCCTTTTTTTGTTACATCCTTAAACTCAAGGAAGAGCAACAACATGTCCCCCTATATGCAATAAATGCAAGTTTAAACATATTTATAAGAAACAGTTAAAATTAGCATATAATAATCTTTTTGAATTTGTCAAATAAGCATTAAACAAAGAAGTCCGATGTTGAAAAACGGATAAAAGTGACAGATTTTTATCAGAATATTGAAAACTTCAAAATAGTTTCTAGTATACAACTATTAAAAATGTTCTTAAAATTTCCATTTAGACATTTCAGCAGTTCGGAAGTACTCATAGTCCATTTGCACTTCTTTTCTCTGCTTCCAGCTATGAGCTTGAAATTGTTTCCTTCGGGGAACTAAAAATCCTTTCTAGAACTTGCTTTTCTCTCCTCTATTTTATCACACATCTCATCTTGCTAAGATACCAAATCCACATTTAAATACTAATGTGATAAAAATATATTTATCATGGAAGAAAGTGATATCTTTTATTTGAATTTGAATGGGTGGAGACATTTCAAATTTTATCTGGAATAAGAGAGCATAGTTTGGAAATAATAAGTCAGAGGAGAATCTCCAGAGCATACTCGTGTATGCCAACTGGAGGTTAGATTTAAATAATTAGTGAAATCACTGTTTGTATGCTAGAAATGTGACATCTCTGCTCTGCACATTACTGCTGCAGAGATCAAATCCAGAAAATTGTCTTCCAGGAACTTTAAGATCCACCACATTGACAAAGCCATAGGGAAATTTTACCCTTAATTAAGAGTTAGAAGTTGTATTGGTATAAGTGAATCATTATAAAGGTGGAAAAAACAAGATTAGCTATCTCTATATGGAAAAGCAATAATTACTAATGAGCATGGATCATTAGTGAGAGCCAATTTTTTTTCTGTTTTTAATTACAGGTAGCATGATTTTTTAATAAGTCCTTAGTGTTTTATCTTCATGCAGGTCCACTCAGAATAGGAGGGATCAGTAATGAGGTGATTCTGGGGAACTGGACACCCAACTTTATGACTTACCTAGACTGATATGGTTTGGATGATTGTCCCCTCCAAAGTTCATATTGAAATTTAATCCCCATTGTTGGAGGTGGGGCCTAGTGGGAGGTGTTTGTGTCACTGGGCCAGATCCCTCAATAATAGCTTGCTGCCATTCTCGTGGTAATAGATGAGTCCTCACTTTGAGTTCGTGCTAGACCTGGTTGTTTAAAAGACTGTTACACCACCCCACTTCTTTCTCTCTTGTTCCTATGCTCACTAGGTGATATGCCTGCTCCTCCTTCACCTCCCACCATGATTGGAAGCTTCCTGAGTCCCTCACCAGAAGCAGATCCCACCACCATGTATCCATGAAGCCTGTAGTGCTGTCAGCCAAAATAAACCACTATTCTTTATAAATTACCCAACCTCATGTATTTCTTTAGAGTGATACAAGAATGGAATAATACAGGAAAAGAACAGGAGGGATCAGTAATGAGGTGATTCCAGGGAAAATAATGAAGTGATTCTGTGTCTATTTCCTTTATAATATATCTAGACAGTCTAGGAGAAAAAAGACGGTTAAGCATTACCAAGGAAGTAATACTGAGGTTTTCTGGAGCTATGAAAGTAACCAAGATGGATGATAAATCTGTCAAGTCCTTCCTGCAGCATCTCCTTAAGGCCAGATTATATCATGGAAACTCAATGACCAGCTACTAATGTCGATATTTCCTCAGCTTAAATAAACCATTTTTTTTTTATAATTCTTGTGGCTTGATGGAAAAAAACAGGAAACTTTCTTTTTATACTTGTCATTTTTAATCATTAGTTAAGTGGAGTTTAAGAACTATTATAGTTTGTTCTATATATTTCCCATTTCTTCCTTACATGCTCATGTGTGTCACCCTACTTGCAGTTTACAGTGTTTTAAAAATGCTTATCCACACTCTCATCACCATCCTGCCTTTACCTCAGTAAGTTTGTCCTTGTAGCCAGGACATTTATTAGTTTTCAGAATGTTATTGGGAAATAGCTCAGAAAAAAAACAAGATTATGATTTCCTTTCCTTGGGACCCTTCTATTTTCACATAATTTTAGCACACTTTTCTTCCATAACAGCTTGTGACATGAGTCAATCAATACTAGGCTCATCACCATTTCCTCATTTGCCAGCAACTTTAAAATTATTGCACTACACAACTGTATTGATCCATAAATAAATGGCTGATAGTTTGACTGGAAGTTTTATGGTTTTATAGAAATTATAAAGTAGACCCAAAGATTCTAAATGACTCTACTTCACAGAGAGTAGATGGCTAATATTCTACGGGATATAAAAAGGAAGTAGAACATGAAGATCTAAAGGTTTTTTTAGTATTTATATCCATAGACCCATATGTTATACTGTTCTAACAGTAGGATCTTCTTTATATATTAAAAGGTTGATGTAGGTAACATTGCTTTCGGGAAATCAATACTGAAGACAGTATGACTTGGGAAAGGGAATAGTAAAATCCCAGGGCCTGCTACTGAAACAACTGGCTCTGAGTTAAGAAAGAAGATGTATACTTTAGACATTGCAAATAGAAAGTGGTATATAAATTATAGACCTAAAATTTTTAATACATCAAAAACGGATGTTTTTACATCAGTTTACATGAAAGTTTAAACTTTCCTTCTTCTATCACCTCTCTGCCCTGCCTTCTAGGTAAAAAATGTGTGGCTCTCAACACCAACGAATGAAGTATGTTTGCCTAATTCCTATAACTTTCTAGGATAAAGATTGTTTCTATGAAGAGAGAGTACTCAGTAGTACGCCTGTGGCAAACGATGACAGGAATTCTAACATGATGAAGGAGGCAATGAAAGCTGAAAGCTGTGGAGTACAGGTACTCTAGTTTATCAAGATAAGATGTTGATAAAGCATTTTACATAAACTAAAGACATTCAGAAAGTGTAATTTTGCAAGAATCAAATATCACAGATGTCTACAGGCTGTCCAGTGTCTCTTTGCTTGGCTAGAATTCTTATCTGGCCACTGTTGAAAGACCCTCAGGTGATGATATTAGGTTGGTGCTAAAGTAATGGCAAAAAGCACAGTTACTTTGGCATCAATCTAGTACATCTGATGAATGTACCTTCTCAATCCTCCCTAATTCTCAGCACACTGTGACCTGAAATGAGCCAAAAATGGTATGTTATTCAGAGGTATAGAGCCACAAGAACAGAAAAGCAAACACCACATGTTCTCACTCGTAAGTGGGAGTTGAACAATGAGAACACATGGACACAGGGAGGGAAACACCAATCACATGCTGGGGCCTGTCGGTGGGGATGGGGGTAGAGGAGGGATAGCATTAGGAGAAATACCTAATGTAGGTGACGGGTTGATGGGTGCAACAAACCACCGTGGCACGTATATACCTATGTAAAAACCTGCACGTTCTAAACATGTACGCCAGAACTTAAAGTATAATAAAAAAAAAAAAAGGAGTTACAATTTTTAGTACAGAATTTTGATCCTGAAATTACACTTTGTTGTCCAAGAATTAATTGGGAAATAACTAATGCCTCATTGGAGTTCTGCATATGTACGTGTACATACACATGTTTGAATAATAAATAGATATCTATGAACCATGTGGAATTGTTCAGATTAGATTACTGTCGACCTTCAAAATAGGATTTTTTTTACAATTCAACTTGTAATTGACGAGGCCATAAAAATAGAAATTTTGAAGAAAAATATTTTTCTTCTCTTCGTCACTCCTTGGAGTTCCTGGCACATGAGAAGTGTTGCATAAGTACTTCTAATTCTAAGGAAGAGGCGTATCTCAAATACCACTGTTAGCAATGGTGTACCTGACCTTCCCTAGCAGAAAATTATTTATCTTCCTATTCAATGCAAGTGCATCCTCCCAGCTTTCAGAAAAAAAAGATTTAGAAATGAACATGTTTCACTACTCTATCTGATACAGGTTTACAGAACTAAGCTTTCGTTGTTGTTGTTGTTAGCATAATTATGTAAATGTCAGTGGTTTTTTGACTCTGTTTTTCAGTCTGTCCTTTTTCCTCTAAATTACTGTTGTATTAAATTGAATGAAGTTGAGAAAAATACATTTTTCAAGCATAAGTTAAATATGAATTGGTAACAGGTATTATAGTTTGAAATTATTTAGAGTTACAACATTTTTCCTATAGAATAAAGAATGATAGAAAGCATTTATTTATCTCAAGATTCATGCAATTCACAGAAGAAAGAGAAAATTCAGAAATAATAGAAGATCATTCCAAAACTAATTACTGGTTGGTATTTTCTAACTACTGCTTAGACAAATATGACACCTACCAATTAAATATATTTTGAAACACTTTTCAAATTATTATTTCCTCAAAAATTCTGACAACTCAATATTGGCCGTTTGGGGTTTATATAGTTCAGTTTCTTTCGCTTCTTCACAGAGATAACATTCCCTCCACAGCAATGGTCCTAGGATCCTAATTCAAGTGTTTGATCAACATCCTGTTGACATAGTTTGTCTTTAAGACAGTTCTGTATAACATAGTCTGCATATCCAAGATTCTGGTAGATCACTTCACAGTTGCAGAATCTGGGTTTCAGATACCTACATAAGAATGTGGTTTAACATTCCAGGCCTGTGAGTCCCAAGCACTCTGGTATGCTATATTGGTTTTGTGGTAGAAGGAACATACAGTATATCAATTGAGAAGTAAAAATGTCTCTTCATTCAGATCCAGTATATCTAGTAAAGCTTCCTTAAATAAGGTAAATATATATCAATACTTGACAAATACTCGTTGGTCTTATTTTTTCTAGTTTTTTTAAATTGTTGAAGGTACATGGAAGGTGTACATATTTATGGAATACATGAAATGCTTTGATACAGGCATGCAATGCGAAATAAGCACATCATGGAGAATGGGGTATCCATCCCCTTAAGCATTTATTCTTTGAGTTACAAATAACCCAATTACATTCTTCAAGTTATTTTAAAGTATACAATTTATTATTGCCTATAGTCACCCTATTGTGCTATTAAATGGTAAGTCTTATTTGCATTCTGGTTTTTTTGTGCCCATTAACGATCCCCACCTACCCCTTAGCCCCCTGCTACTCTTCCAGACTCTGGTAACCACCCTTCGACTCTCTATATCCATGAGTTCAATTGATTTGATTTTTAGATCCCACAAATAAGTGCACTTATGCAATATTTGTCTTTCTGTGCCTGGATTATTTCACTTAAGATAGTGATCTTCAGTTCCATCCATGTTGTTGCAATGACTGGGTCTCATTATTTTGTATGGCTGAATAGTACTCCATTGTGTATATGTACCACATTTTCTTTATTCAGTCATCTGTGGATGGACACTTAGGTTGCTCGTATCTTGGCTACTGTAAACAGTGCTGCACCAAACATGGGAGTGCAGATATCTCTTTGATATACTGACTTCCTTTCTTTTGTGTATATACCCAGCAGTGGGATTGCTGGATCATATGATAGCTTAATTTTTAGGGTTTTGAGGAACCTCCAAACTGTTCTCCATAGTGGTTGTACTAATTTACATTCCTGCCAACAGTATACAAGCTTCCTTTTCTCTACATCCTTGTCAACATTTGTTATTGCCTGTGTATTTGATACAAGCCTTTTTAGCTGTGGTGAGATGATATCTCATTGAAGCCTTTTTTTTTTTTTTAGACAGGGTCTTATTCTGTCACCCAGGCTGGAGTGCAGTGGCATGATCTTGGGTCACTGCATCCTCCGCCTCCCAGGTTCAAGTGAGTCTGTGGATTGTAAAATGTCCATTTTAACAACATTGATTCTTTCAATCCATGAACATAGAATATTCTTCCATTTTTTGGTGTCTTCTTTGATTTCCTGCATCAGTGTTTTATAATTTTTATTATGGAGATCTTTCACTTCTTGGGTTAATTTTTAGGTATTTCATTTTATGTGTGGCTACTGTAAATGGGATTACTTTTTTATTTCCTTTTCATATTCTTCACTGTTGGCATATACAAATGTTTTGTATGTTTATTTTGTATGTTGAATTGTATCCAAATTCAACTTTACTGAATTTGTGTATCAGTGTTAATAGTTTTCTTCTGAAGTCTTTACGCTTTTTGAATTATAAGATCATATCATCAGCAAACAAGCATAATTTGACTTCTTCCTTTCCAATTTGGATGCCTTTCGTAGCTTTCTCTTGTCTTATTGAGAAAGCTAAGACTTCCAGTACTACATTGAATAACAGTGTTGACAGTGGGCATCCTTGTTTTGTTCCCAATCTTAGGGAAAAGGCTTTTTTTTTCCCCAATAAATATACTAGATGTGGATTTCTCAAACATGACTTTTATTATGTTAGGGTATGTTCCTTCTATGCCCAGTTTTTAAGGATTTTCATAATACTGTGCCATTAAATTTTATCAAACACTTTTTCAGCATCAATTCATGTGATCATATGGTTTTTATTCTTCATTCTTTCGATATGATGTATCATGTTGATTGATTTGTGTATGTTGAACCGTCCTTGCATCCCAGAGATAAATCTCACTTGATCATGATGAATAATCTTTATAATGTATTGTTGAATTTGGTTTGCTAGTTTTTTTTTGAGGATTATTGCATCAATATTCTTCAGAGATATTGACCTGTTGTTTTCTGCCTTATAGTGTGTCTTTGTCTGGTTTTGGTATCAGGGTAATACTGGTCTCCTAGAATGAGTTTGGTAGTATTCCCTTCTCTATTTTTCAGAATAGTTTGAGTAAGATTTGTATTAGTTCTTTAAATGTTTGGTAGAATTCAGCAGTGAAGCCATTGTGTTCCAGGCTTTTCTTTACTGGGAGACTTTAATTACAGCTTCAATTTCATGACTTATTATTGGTCTTTTCAGGTTTGGGATTTTTTTTTTTCTGATTTAATCTTGGCAGGTTTTGTTTATCTTGGGATTTTTTTCTTTCTCCTAGATTTTCCAATTCATTGGCTTATTGTTGCTCATAGTGGCCACTAATGATTCTTTGAATTTTTGCAATATCAGTTATAATGTCTTGTTTTTCATTTATAATTTTATTTATTTGGGTCTTTTTTTTTCACAGTTAGTCTGGATAAAGGTTTGTCAATTTTGTTTCTTTTCAAAAAACCGGCTTAATATTTTATTGATCTTTTGTATTGTTTTCCTCATTCCAGTTTCATTCTTTTCTGCTCTGATCTTTATTATTTCTTTCATTCTACTAATTTTGGTTTGGTTTGAGCTTGCTTTTATAGTTCCTTAAAGTGCATTGCTAGATTGCTAATTTGAATTGTTTTTTTTTTTGTGATGCGGGCACTCATAGCTATAAACTTCCCTCTGAGTACTGCATTTGTTGTATCCAATAGGTTTTGGTGCATTGTATTATCATTTGTTTCAAGACATTTTTCAATTTTCTTCTTAATTTCTTCATGGACCACTGGTAATTCAGGAGCATATTGTTTAATTTCCACGGTTTGATTTATCATCTCAACAAATTCAGAAAAAATTGACAAAATTTAAAAAAAGTTTATGATAAAAATCAGCAAATTTCAAATAGAAGGAAAACATCCTTAGTCCATTAAAATGCACACAGATATCCAAAATTTTCCAGTGAATCATTTTCAAAACCAGTATCACATGTTATGTTGTTAAATAATGAATTGCTAAGTTGAATCAATACCATCATTCCGTTATATTGCTATATTTTTCAAAGTTGTGAAACCGATATCATTTAATTACCATTTTAATAAAATTTATTTAAGAGACCATTTATAGTTTCTTAATACTATTTAAAGAGTATATTATTTTTCTAGGGCTACTATAATAAATTACTATAAACTGTGTGCTTTACAACAACAGAAATTTAGAAGTCTGTAGTCAAGATATTAGCATGTCCATGCTTTCTCTGAAGACTCTAGGGAAGGTTTCTTTATTGCTTCTCTCTAGCTTTTCGTGTTTTTTTTAATTTTTATTTATTTATTTATTTATTTATTTATTTATTTATTGGCAAATCTTGTCATCTCCTGGCTTGTAGATGCATCACTCCAATTCTGATTCTGCTTACATGTGTTCTCCTCGTGTATTTCTCTGTGTCTTCACATGGCCTTCTTCTAAGGACACCACTCATATGCTAATGCAGTCTGACCTCATTTTAACTAATTATATCTGCCAAGACCCTATATCCAGCTACGTTCATTTTGAGGTTCCAAATGGACATGAATTTTGGAAGGACGATTTGCTACTCAGTACAAAGTCCTTTCATTGAAATTCAGGACTATGTTTTTCTATGGCATTGTTTTTCTTCAAAAATATAGACAGAATTTATTTGTAATGAAATGAACATAACAGTGAATGGTTTTATAAAAGAAGATTCAACAGCAATGTCATATGTTACTTTAAAATATTCACTTTTAAATATTCACAACTATAGCTAAAATTTGTGATATGCTAATAGTAGGTAGCATACTATTAACTTTTAGTATTACAGAAAAAATATTTATTTCCATAATTGTAGCATAATTATTTCTCTGTTTTATTACAGGTTTATGAAGTTTTCAAATTCTATGTATTCCTGTGGTCCTTGATCCTAAAGTCTCCTATACAATAATTTATGAATTTTAATTAAAATCCAATATTACTAGGTAACTGTATTGTAGAATTACTCTTGATCTGGTTGCCTTTAGCCAAGGTGATAAGTGGTCGTATTTAAAATTATATTGAATCCTATTTTTTATGTAAGTTTCTGCAAGCTCCTTTGTATATGAAAATATGCAGTATTTTAATCTAAACTTTTTCATCAATTTTTAAATAAACTTAATGTCCTTTCTCCAATTCATTGTTTTAGAAACTTCATTTTTCCTAATACAATTCTTTGACATACTCATCTTGAAATAAGTCTTATGTTCATTTTTGTTTTCAAAAAATAATTACCCTATATTATATATGGATTATGTTGCCTGTTATGCATCTATTTATTAAGGCAGAATGCATTTAGGAAATGTATACAAATAAAAAAATATGTTCCTTAAAGCAAAATGATGTTACCCTTGGATAACTTACAGTTCACTATGTAGTTCACAGCACCTATGTTCCCCAAGAGATACCATCAAAGGTCAGAACTTCTCAGTGGAAACAAAAGTAAACCACTTAGATGATTATTTTATTTTTGTTATTGATAATTAAAAAATGATAGTGTAGGTGGAAAGCAGTGGCTTACCTCCTACTGGGAGGCTGAGGTGGATGAATGGCTTCAGCTCATGAGTTAGAGACCGTCTTGGGCAACATGGTGAAACCCCATCTCTACAAAAGCAAAACAAAACAACAACAACAACAAATAGAAGAACATGATGGCTTGCTCCTGAAGTCTCAGCTACATGGGAGGCTGAGGTGGGAGGATCACTTGAGCCTAGGAGACAGGGATTACAGTGAAACATGATCACTCCACTGCACTTCAGCCTGGCAGCCTGGGCAACAGAGTGAGACCCTTTCTCAAAAAAAAAAAAAAAAAAAAAAAGTAAAGAAAAGAAAAAAGAGATGATGTAATAAATGACACCAAATGTGTTTATTTTTCATTGGAATTTAATCAAATGAGTGGTAATTATATGCTCAAATTCACTGGTAAATAATGAAAAAAAGGCTGAACAGTGAAAGCTCTTTCGCAAGAAGCTAACTGACATAATGGAGACACGGTCAAGTACACAACAGCAATTATGAAAACTTTGACAACAATGTAGCATACAACAGTAATTGGAGGCATTTTGCTATCTATTATTTGCTATTCATTAATGAGAAATGTATATTTGATTTATAAATTTATCATTGGATTATGCATACATGCATTCCTCCATCTCATTAAAAATTACTTTTATAATTGTATTACTTTGTTTATTGAATTGACTCCCAAGAAATATTTGGTAACCCTGAATGCACTTTACATATTTTATTTTTATAATGAACAATTTTTCAGAAAACACAATTAATTGGGAATATATTCTAAAGAACATTTTTGGTATGGTTATTAATTTTTTATTCCTAAAACTCTAGGCAAATTTATGTTTCATAGCACAACCTACACTAAAATTTTTATTTCCGTAAAACTAAAAGATATTGGATAGTCGTGTGCTCCTTGATATTGCTTCTGTGATTCAAAAATGATTCTGCTCTCTTTCTCATCTATCTATCTACGCTTTTACTAAATAAGTATCCAGAAGTCTTCAGAAACATATGGTAAACCCCAAGTTTATAAGATTTTAAGTTTATGAGAAGATTATCTATTGTTTTTAGCTGAAAACTTACAATTGAAACTCTTGGAATGTGAATATATTCCAAAGAGGTTTTTTTTCTTTTTTTTTGTTTTTAATTTTTTGCAGGACTTTCTGTACTATGTTAAGTAGCAGTTGGGAACATGGGCACCCTTATTTTGTTCTAGTTCTTACAGAGAAAGATTTCAGTTTTTCCCTGTTCAGTATAATGTTGGCTGTGGACTTGCAATATTTGACCTTCTTTTTATGCCAAATTTGTGAGTTTTAATTATGAAGGGGTGCTGAATTTTATCAAATGCTTTCTCTGCATCTATTGAGATAATCATATGGTTTTGGTCTTTTATTCTGTTTATGTGATGTATTACATTTATTAATATGCATATGTTGAACTATCCTCACATCCATGGTATAAAGCTCACTTGATTATGGTATATTATCTCTTTGATGTGCTGTTGGATTCAGTTTGTTATGTTCATCAGGGATATTGGCCTGTAGTTTTCTTTTTTGTTGTGTCCTTGACCAGTTTTGGTACTTGGGGTGATACTAGACATGTATAATTAATTAGGGAGTATCCATCTTCCTTGAATTTTTGGAAGAGTTTCAGGAGGACTTGTATTAGTTATTAGTTTTTCTATTTTTTTTTTCTTTTTTGTACTAAAATAACTAGTACAAAGTGGAATTCATCTGTGAATCCATCTGGTCCTTGGCTTTTTTATTGTTGGGAGATTTATTATTACTGATTCCATCTCAGTATTCATTATTGGCCTGTGCAGGTTTTCTATTTTTTCCAGGTTCAGGCTTGGTAGATTGTATGTTTCCAGGAATTCGCCAATTTCCTCCAGGATTTCCACTGTGTAAGCACAGAGTTGTTCATAATAGTCTCTGATGATCTTTTATATTTCTGTGGCATCAGTTTCAATGTCTCCTTTTTCAATTCCAATCTTGTTTATTGAATCTTTTCTCTTTTGTTCTTGGTTACTCTAGCTAGTGTGTAATCAATTTTTTTTGTCTTTTTGAAGAATCAACTTATAGTTTTATCAAACCTTTGCATTGTTTATTTTGGTCGCCTACATTTCTTACATTTAATTGTGCCTTGATCTTTTTTTTAAATTTTTTTCTGATAACTTTGGGTTTAGTTTGTTCTTGTTTTTCTAGTTCCTTGAAGTGTGAAGTTATTAATTTATGATCTTTCTACTTTTCTGATATAGATATTTAATGCTATAAATTACTGCTTAGCATTACTTTTCCTGTATCCCAAAGGTTTTGGAATGGTATTTCAATATTATTCATTTTAAAAGTTTTTTAAATTTTTATTTTAAATCCTTTGTTGATGCAAAGATTGTCAAGGAGCGTTATTTAATTTCCATGTATTTGTACACTTTCAGAACTGTACTGATACTTTCATGAGTTATTTATTTAAAGAGATTTTCTAAACTTTTTGAGTTTTCTTCCTGCTCAGCAATATTTATAATTTATAAGTTTCAGAACTGTACAAATAGTTTGCCTTGGTATTGATTTCTAGTTTTCATCCATGGTGGCCTATGAAGATACTGGATATGATTTTGATTTTTTAAAAATGTATTTATATGTGTTTTGTGGCCTAACATATTGTTTATCTTGAACAATGTTTCATGTGCTGATGAGAAAATGTATATTTTGCAGTTGTTGGGCAGAACATTCTGTGAAGATTTGTTAGGTGTATTTGGTCTAAAGTATAATTTAAGTCCAATGTTTCTTTATTGATTTTATGTCTTGATCATCTGTCTAGTGCTGTGAGTGGGGTGTTGAAGTCTCTTACTATTATTGTACTGCTATCTCTTTCTTTAGGTACGGTAATATTTGTATTATGAATCTAGGTGCTTCAATGTTGCATTTCTATATATTTACAATTGTTATATTCTCTGATTTAATTGATCTCTTTATCAACTAATATATGTATAATGTCTTATATGTATGATAATCTTTCTTCTTTTTAATTTTTTTTTTTTACTTACAGTCTATCTGATAAATGGATAGCTTTCCTATTTGGGTTATTATTTTTATTCATTCTGCTAGTCTGTCTTTTAAGTAGAGGATTTAATCAATTTATATTCAAGGTTAATGTTGATATTTGAGGTTTTATTCCTGTCATAATAAAAAGTACTTTCTAGTTGTTTTATCAATTCTTTATTTTTTTTCTCTTTCTGTTTGTATGTGGAATTTGGTGGAATTCTGTCTTGTTGCCTTTTGATTCCTTTTTCTTCTGCATTTGTGTGTTTTTTTAAGACTTGAGAGTTTTATACTTGCATGTGTTTTTATTTTGGTAAATATCAGCCTTTCATTTCCACATTTAGAAGTCCTTTAAGTATTTCTTATAGTTTTGGTCTCGAGGTGATGAATTCCCTCAGTGTTTCCTTGTCTAAGAAAGACTTTATTTCTCTTTCATTTAAGAAATAATAAAATACAGCTGAAAATACAATTTTGGGGTGAAAGGTTTTTTTTTTTCTATTTCAGCATTTTGAAAATCTCATCCCATTCTTTTCTTGCATATAAGGTTTCTACTAAGAGGTCCACATTAGTTTGATGGGGCATCCTTTATAGGTGACTAGATGCTTTTCTCTTTTTGATTTTAAAATTCTCTCCTTAACTTTGGCTTCAAATAGTATGATGACAATATGTTGTGGTGAATCTCTGTTTTCAATGCATTTTTTTCGGGAGATCAGTGGGCCTCCTGTAGCTGGATGTCTAAATCTGCTGCTAGACATGACTAGAGGAATACTTTCATCAGTTATTTCTTTAAAGAGGTTTTCCAAACTTTTTGAGTTTTCTTCCCACTCAGCAATATTTATAATTTATAAGATTGATTGCTTTATGTAGTCCCATACATCTTGAAGGCCTTTTTTATTTTTTCGTTATTTTTTCTTCATTTTTTTTTTTTGCCTGACTATATTGCTTCAAAATACCTGTCTTCAAGTTCTGAGATTTTTTTTCTTTTACTTGGTATAGTCTATTGATAAAGTTTTCAAATGTATTTTGTCATTCCTTCAATGAATTTTTCACTTCCAGGATTTCTGCTTGTTTTGTTTTTTTTTGTTTTTAAGTTATCTATCTCCTTAATAAATATCTCATTCATATCTTAAATTGACTTTCCTATTTCTTTGTACTTGTCTTCAGATTTCTTTTGCATCTTATTAAGCTTCTTTAAAATCAATATTTTGAATTCTTTATCTGGGATTTTGAAGATTTCTTTTTTATTAAGATCTATTGCTGGATAATGATTGTGATCTTTTGAAGATGTCATAATAACTTGTTTTTAATGCTTTCTGCATCTTCACACTGATTTCTGTGCATCTAAAGTAATAGTCACTTCTTATTTTTGAATTACTTTTTCATGTGGGGAACTTTTTCTTGAAGATGTGAATATGATGTATGTTGGATATAGTCATTTTGCTTTTCTGCTTTGTGTGTGCAGTGGAAAAGATTCTGCATGATTTCTTTGGCTATAAATACCATTGGTGTGATCTCTCTCTGTAATGCTGGTTATAGTATCAATGTATGAGGCAGGTGAACAGGCTCATGGTATCTTGAGAAGCTGGGGTGGTGTGGCCAATGGGGTTAGCCGTGGTTGTGAGAAGCTTTTCTTGTTCCCAAGCAGTATGCTTTTGTGTCATTAATTGTTGTAATAGACTGCAGGCAAAATTCTAAGCCAATAGGTTGTGCTTACAGGTAAGAGCCAGCTGTAGTGGTAGCAATAAGTTTAATGTCCAACATCTGTTAATCAGGAGAAGCACTCCAGTGTCCCTGGTCGTGGATTGGGCCACAAATTCCCACAGGCCTGGGTCCTGCTCTCCATCTTTGAAGGTAGGTGAAGCTGGGCAGAGGAAGATCAAGGAAGCCTGCATTCAGGCCTCCCAATGGTGAGTTCAAGCACCAATTCTCATAAAGGGGGGAAGGAAGTCCTCAGACCTCTTAACAAGCTGCCCAGATGAAGGGTGACTGCTTCTGCACTGAGGTCTCAGAGCAAGAAGAAAGAGATTGCCTGAGCACAATGTCTTGGCCAGAATGAGTGAAAACTGCCTTCTGTGCATAACCCAGGTCCACCAGAGCTCATTCTCTCACCCTAATTATGATAGGCAGTGAAGGTTATTCAGTTAGTCAGTGCAATTTGCCTCTAATTTGAAAAGGTCAATGCCACACCTCCCTGCCAACTCTTCTCCTGCTCCATTCCCTGAGGATAGAGGGAAAGTGCCTGATTCCAGCATCAGCAGCTTGAACCACACTACACTCATATCTCAGTTCTGGCTGCAGGAATCCCACCCTTTCTTGAGCCCCATTTTTTTACCCCCTGACCCCAGTCTCTCTAGCACCCAAAACTGCTGCTGCTGCTAGCTCCCAGGACTCCATTCACCTTGAGGAGAGCTTTGATTATGAATGGAATTCTACTTTAAGCACCTAGTTATGGGGGAGTGCATGGGACACTTCCTGGAGCAGTTCCTTTTCACTCTCTGCTGGCCATTCTCCAAGTTAGAGCCACACCTTGGGAGGGTTAAGGTACTCTCCCATGCCTTGGATTGCACACTTCTCCAGTAAGGAGTGAATGTCAGAGTGACACTCATTCAACTTTTCTCATTCATATTGCAGATTCACACCCAGTTTTCAGTCAGTTCTGGATATATGGGCAGCCCACCTTTTTTCTCTCAGATTCTAAAATTCCTTTTTGTTTTTTTCTTTTGGACTTCCTTGTTTTTTCTTTTTCTTTGGTAAGTATTTAAAGTGTGATTGTCTACAGCTCTAATTTGGTTGTAAGTTAATGAGAAGCCCTGGAAAAGTCTTTAGTCTGCCATCTTGGAAACAAGGCATTTCTTAACACAGTTCTCTATGTAAACTACTGATTAATTTCAATTGTCAAGAAGAGAAGCACATTGATAAAATGTCAAAATAATATTTGAATTCTATGCCAAATTATTTAAGTAGAAAAATAAATCTTAAATTTTAATTAAATTAAAATGTCTTTATGTTTTAAAAAATCTTTCATACACAACAGAAAAACTCAATAATTGGGAACTTCCATTCAGGGAAGATGGAATAGATGTTCTTTGCCCTATTCCTCTGGCTGGGCACAAGTAAAAACCATGACTATAGATATAAATCCAACATAAAATGGCTTTGGAATGCCAAGTAAGAAGGCAGACTAGCTAGGAACCTCAGGACACTGAGAAAGATGTGGTAGTGATTTAGTTGAGGTTATCTTTTGTCTCATATATCCCAGACTTGGAGCTGAAGAGGCCAACAATCTGGACATGCCAATGAATGTATACAATAAAAGATCCAACAAAAGCGTTTACTCTCTAGATAAAGAACAAGAAAATGCTCATGAAGCAGAATAGAGAACATTTGACACTGACTGTTCTACTTCAAATACCACAGAAAACCTGTGTCTGCACCCACAGCCACTGCATCAAACTCCATGTGGGGAGCCTTGACTACTGTCTTGGCCAGCTCTAAAGAGATGTTCCAACCCTCCAACCTCAACCTCTTCCTTGGTCATGTCAGAGAAGGCCAGTCAGGAAGTGAAGCTTTTTATCCCTATGTTGCATAAGAAGGTTACCTTGACACAATAAGCCAGGAGAGATTGCATGGGGAACTGGACTTCCCCTCCACCTTGCAGTAAAGAGACACCTGACCTTTGTTAGAAGGGTAGTTTCAGAGGCAGCTGAAGATTAAGGATTTAACCAATACTCACTGTTAATGAGAAGTGCCCCTCTCCATGTGTGTCCCATGGGGAGCAGAAATAGTGCACTACTACCCTACCCTGCCTAGGAGTTATTAGTGAAGGCATCTTGGGGATCCAGAATTGCTACCTCTGCCTAACAGTAATAAGGACTCAGAGTGTCAATGAAGGCTTTCTGAGGAACTTAGGCTTTTGCCTGCACTTAGCCAATTGCCTGTCTGTGATAGTGTACTTTAGTTTTCTAAGATATTATCTTTGGGAAAACTAAGAAAAGGATCTGCAGGATCTGTATTATTTCTATAACTATATGTGAATCCACATTTATCTCAAAATAAAATTTATTTTTAAAAAGTTAATTTTAGAACTATTTGCTTTGTTTTTAACAATTTTGTCTTTAAATTGTATAAAGAACTTTTCCAAGGTTTAATATTTCCTCTGCTTTGATGATGAGATTATGCCTTTCAAAACTGAAATGTTATTGTGTCATTTTGCAGGAAAACAGAACTACATTATTTTATTAATGTATCTTGTAAACAGGAGGCCAATTCCCAGAGTGTACAATGCCTAATCCCTTTTCCAAATCCCTAGGAAAAAAAGGGGATTGTCACAATCTGCATTAAGGTTGAGTTTGGGCTTTGACACATGCTGATGATGGTGGTCGTGATTGATTATAGAGATTGTGTCTACATAGAGACAGAATTCAACACTAGGCCACGGGACCCCAAATATTTGAATTGAAGGCCCTAGAAAGAAAAAGAGAATCCTAACACAAAATTTCGGAACTAAAAATAAGGAAATCAAATGAGGAACTGCAAAAGAAAAAAACTGAAGTGGGAAGTTGGGGAAAAACATCCTGACAAACAGGGTCGTAATAGTGGCTTTTGAAGAGATACCTCTGACCTCTAAAGTGAATAAGTAGTGGTCTACTACAGGACTCTGACTGGATTGAGAAGTAATAAAAATTTGTAGTATGATCTCACAGAAAATTATTCTTTGATAATCATGGATTATTCTGAAAGAGGACTAGTAACTATAATATTGGTACCTATCTCATAAGATTTTTTGAGAATTAAATTAGACAATTTGCTAAGATTTCATTTGCATAGCATTGATCCAGTAACATTAATTATTTTTACTGATAGCCAAATTTTTTTCACTTACACACATAAAATTTTTTTTATTTCTCTCTTTTTTTTTTTTTTTTTAATTTTTGAGATGGAGTCATGCTCGGTCTCCCAGGCTGGAGTGCAGTGGCACAATCTCAGCTCACTGCAACCTCCACCTCCCAGGCTCAAGCAATTCTCCTGTTTCAGCTTCCCTGAGTAGCTAGGACTACAAGCACATGCCACCATGCCCAGCTAATTTTTGTATTTTTAGTAGAGATGGTGTTTTGCCATATTGGTCAGGCTGGTCTCAAACTCCTGACCTCAGGTCATCCACCTGCCTCGGCCTCCCAAAGGGCTGGGTTTACAGGCTTGAGCCACCACACTTGGCCCTGATTTCACTTAATAGTTTCCCCAAGGTCCTCTATAATTTTGGCATCACACTTGAGAGAGTCAAGAAATTTTTTTCTATTCTCTAAAAACAAACAGTATTTATTGCCATACCACCAAGAGTAGTTGTAATTTTTGGTTATCATTGTTGCTATAGAACATAGCTTACTCAACTCACTATTCTCTGTTTTTTTCTTCTTAAAATATTGTTTTTATTTTTCTACATAAATCTCCAATTTTCCCAGAAAAAATTATTAAAAACACAAGCGTTTGTCATAAGGCAAGTGACTTATCTGTGCTATATACTAGGATTTATTTCTTTAAATTACTTCTGTATTGTTTCTTGTTTTGCTCCAAAAGTACCTTGCCTTATGCCTTTTGCTTGTATCTTTATGCTAAGTCTTGAAATCTAGTAATGTAAATTTCCCAGTGTTCTTTTTAAAGACTTCCTTTGTTTTTATGAGTTTTTTTTTTAATCCTTCTAGATAACTTTTACAATCATCTTGCCAATTTTTCACATGCAAACAAACTTCTGGAATTTAATCTGTATTACATTTAATATAATAATCAATTTGGGAATAGAGTCATCTTAAAAATGAATTAACCTAAACATGAATATGAATATATCTTCTTTATTTAGGTAATCATAAAATTTTTAGTAATATTTTCAAATTTTTAGTGTAAAAATTTTACATGTTTTCTATATTTTTCTAGATATTTGAAGTTTTAATACCACTCAAAATGTGTTATAAATCTAATTTTATTGTACATTTTTATACTGTCTGGAAGTTTAAATGATTTGTTATATTGCCCTGGCATCCAGAGACACTGGTAAATTCACTTATTACTTTTAATAATATATTTATAGTTTAACTTCAATTTACTGCACAATGATGGCTTAAAACTAGGCTAAATTCCAATTTTTTAATCATGTTTAAAATATCAAAATATGAGATATAACTTTTCCTATGTAAATGTGATCAGTCTCTTAGTTGCCTTTCTTGCTGAAGTCTTACTCGAGAATCTGGTCTTTTGATGGCTTTAGAAACATTTTTTTTTAAAAACTAATTTTCTCCAGACCTCTGGAACTTAGTGTTTTTAGCTGCAGGGCAAATTTTCACCTTTAGTCTATAATTTTTATGGGAAATTATGTCTTAGTTTTCTCTTAAGAACTTGAAAAGTAAACTAAAATTTTTTCCATTGATTGGTGCTACACTTGTATAAGAGATGGGAATTATCTGGAATGTTATGAAGAGCACTTTGGATATCTGGGGGCATTCCTAAAACGTTGAAAACTAGAAAACTTGAAATGGTGACTTTCAAAAATATTACCATTTTTTCTAAATATTTGTTTCAGAAGATAATTCTTTTAAAAATTTTGTTGGGTTTATTGATTGATGCTTTTAGAATAATTTAGGCTCTCCAAATCTTAAGATGATTTATTTATAAAGTGATTCAGAAACCAGTAACAATCTTAAGATTACATGATATTCAAATCATTCCACAAGCTTCAATTTTCTAATAAGGCTTAGTTATAGGGAAAAGAAAGGTTTGTAATCATGAACTGAATATTTTTCTCATCACTGAGTTTGGGAAGAGAGTAGGAAATTTAGGCAGAGTCATCCATACATTCATTTCTCAATATTTGTAGCGTGATTTTAATATGCCAATTGCTATGCTAAGTCGTGCACAATGATGAAAAAGAGAATCTGAGCAAATGCAAAGACTAAAGCCCAAGCTGTACACAGGCTAATATGGAATTGCTTCTGAGTAACATAAGGTATTGAGCACTAAGCTCCGATTTTTTTTACCTTGCTGAAATTCCTATCTAAGGATAGACCCTTAGATCTAGGGAGTCATGCTCTACAAACCATAAGTTCTCATCAGTTGGGTTTTATTTGACCCTATATATCGTGATTTACTTTCCAATCTCACTCTGGCATGACATTATAAGAAAAAAAATCAAAATATTTAACCCCAATATACATTTCCTTGCCATACCTTGAATTTGCCCTGCAAAATCTCTTGTGGGAAAAATCCACATTCTATAGAGAATGCCCTTTCACCTTTGTTTTCCTTCCTTCCTTTCCAGATCCAGAAGATAATCAACTAAGAGCCAGGCACCCTTTTAGGTCCAATAAGAAACATTTTACAACCTGCTTTCTCTCTGAAGTCTGCTATCTGAGAGCTTCCTCTGCACAATAAAATTTGGTCTCCACAAACCTTTATCCTAACCTAAACATTCCTTCCATTAATCCTGCATCTTCAGATAAGCTCAACCAATTGTCAACCAGAACATATTTAAATTTACCTATAGCCTGGAAGCCCCCGACTTTGAGTTGTCCCACCTTTCTGAACCAAACCAATGTATCTCTTTAATGTATTTGATTTTTGCTTCATGCCTCCCTAAAATATATAAAACCAAGCTGTATCCCCACCACCTTGGGCACATGTTCTCAGAACCTTCTGAGGGCTGTGTCACGGGCCATGGTCAGTCATATTTGGCTCAAAATAAATCTCTTCAAATATTTTACAGAGTTTGACTCTTTTCGTCGACAGTATAGAATGGTAGGCATGAGTGAAATGTTGGGAAGCAGGACTGGAGTCCAGGCTTCCACAGGTCATGCTGTGAGCATATGGATGGGTTTTTCCTAAAAGGCCACTTCTTCTAAAGAGAAATATGATATTTTCCCTGAATGGTGAATTCAGGGTAGAGGATCATATATTTCTGTTGATAGCAGAAAAAAAGAAAGCCTCTTATTACCCACTAGTTTTGAAATCATTGCAAAAGCTTTAAGATTTGGAAGTATAATGGTTGGTGTAACATTGAAAGAAAACCTGGCCCTGCATAATGGTGCTACGTTTCTCCCCCAACCCCTGTTCACATGAGCATCCTCTTTTCAAGATGCTGTTGGGGGAAGAGAATGCCACAAATTGCCATTCCCAGACGAAGTTACAGAAGGAGTAATCTTCCAAGATCTGGAAAAACATAATCAGTTTTCTCAAGGAACTTTGGAGAATACACTGCATTGAAAAATGATGGTATAATGCACAATATATTTTAAATATTCAGTGGAGGGTATCACTGATAATAACCTTCAAGTTTTTATCATTAATTTTAAATTGTCTATTAGAAAAGAAATGCATCCTCAGCATATGAAGGACTTTGCTGTTTTATTTACATATATTTCAAGGTAATTTGAAAAAGTCCACTCTTGCTCTCTTGCTCTCTTTGTGTCCAGTTAAGAGAAATGGCATGGTGGATAGAATTGTACGGAGAGAGAATACAAATTAAAAGTGATGAAATATCCTATACTAATCACAACAAGAATTCCTATTAATTTTTCATGTTAACTATCAGAAATTGTAAACCAGTCTTGGAATAGAGGTTAAGATAAAGCTTTCGGAGACCTTTCTATTTAGAAAGCTTAGTAAAGGTAACTTAATTCCAGTAAGTTTTAAGCTAACCTACACAGCATTAAAGAGGTCTTAATAATGGAGCAGTAAGATTATTTCTTTTTTTGACATGATACAGTTTTTTTAATTTGCAAATAAGAGTAAAATTGATAAATATAGAAATTGGTTTAGTAGGAGAGGTTTCTAAACTTGATTTTTTTCCTTTAAGATAATGTTTTTAGAGTGCATCTATGTTTATGCCTTTAGTTTAGCTTTAGTTTAGGGGTTGGCAAACTAAAGCCCACACATCAAATCTGACCTTCACAAGTTTTTATATAGCCTGATTTTCACACTTTTAAATGGATGAAAAAATTTTTAAAAAAAGAATGATGTCTTATGACACATGAAAATTATAATAATTTCAAATGTCAATGTCCATAATTAAGTTTTATTGAAACCAGCCAGGCTCACTTATTTATGTATTGTATGTGGCTACTTTCATGCTATAATGGCAGAGTTGAATAGTTGTAGTAGTAGAGGACGGGGCATATTTTCATGTGCCTTAAACCCAGCCTCTTAATATAGATGTTTTAATTCTTTACTAGACTCTCCTTATTACACACCTACTAACTCCAAATATTCTAGAATGAAAATTCCCTGGGAAATGGAGTCCTCCTTGAAGCTGCTCTCTGTTTTCTTCTCTTTGCTTTGTCTCATCTCCCAAAGAGTCATCTCTGCTTCAGGATTCTACTGGCCATATCTCTGTTGGCTGCCCTCTTGCTTCCTCCCCACTCCAGCCCAGCGGTTTTACAGAATTGCATATAATTATTATTATTAGTCCATTTTGAATTGTGTTAATAAAAATTGTAGAACTTTGTTCTATCTGTTTTAAATAAGGACCTGTATAACATACTTGATTTTGCCGCTTGGATCGCAAAACATAAAATATTTTTTACCTGATCATTTACTCCCTGCCCTCACAAAAAATTGCCAATACTGGCTTTATTTCATGCTACTTTAATTACAGTTGGTTTTTTTTTTGTTTTTTGTTTTTTGTTCTTTTGAGACGGAGATTTTGCTCTTGTTGCCCAGGCTGGAGTGCAATGGCACGATCTCAGCTCACCGCAACCTCCACCTCCCGGGTTCAAGCAATTCTCCTGCCTCAGCCTCCCGAGTAGCTGGGATTACAGGCATGTGCCACCATGCCTGGCTAATTTTTTTTGTAGTTTTAGTAGAGACGGGGTTTCTCCATTTTGGTCAGGCTGGTCTCGAACTCCTGACCTCAGATGATCCGCCCACCTCAGCCTCCCAAAATGCTGGGATTACAGGCGTGAGCCACTGCGCCTGGCCTAATTACTGGTTTTATTGTATGACTATGTCATCATTTATTTATTCATTTCTCTATTGATGGGCAGTTTTTATTTTCCAAATGTTTTGCTTTTTAAAATAAGACAGTAACAAATACTGTTATTAGGTTTCTTTGTACACAGACACATACCATTTACGTTTTACATGTGAACTAAAAATAAAAAGTGTTATGGAAGACATTAGAGTAGGAGCACTCAACAATTTTTTTTTTGCCAGATGATGTCTAAATTATTTTTTCCATCGTATATGATATCTTTCCTGAAAAAGTAAGTCACATCTTAAATTCTATTAGGTCCACGGTGCTTCTTTCACCTTTGGCATGCTTTTCCTGACTTGCACAAGTCTTTAAATTTAAAAATGTGTGTGTGTGTACATATATGGAAAAGATATATATACACTTATATATGTAGAATATATATACTTTTATGTACATTATATGTAGAGAGAAAATATATATATACATATATTTAGTTTGTATATATTTATTAAAAACCCATTCTTTAACTTTTTCTAGTAGTCTCATTATTATTCAGAAAATGTACAATTTTAATGTGATTTTACTACTTAATTCTACTTACAAAATGTATCAAAAAACAATTTTCAAAATATTTTGTTTTCTTGTTTGCCTTTGAAATGTGTACAGTAGATAAATTGAAATGTATATAGTTGTTAACTATATGTATGCAGTTATTAAAATTAAACTTTGGAAGAAAAGCATATTAAATATTATAAATTATTATATTTAAAACACAGCATTTGTCATTTATATGTCTAAATATAGTATTGATGTAAGAAACTTTATTTTTTACATATCTTGATTTTTACTTGAGCTTAAGAAAAAATATGTAAGTATATAGGCTCAGGCCACTTAAAAAATGATAGGCATAAATTACTTTGGAAATGGGAAAGTATAGTCAGAAAACCACTCCCCACAAAAAGAAAGAAACCAAAAAATGTTCAGAAGGAAATTGAGGCTCAAAGAAACTGAAACACACACACACACACACACACACACACACACACACTCATAATCTTTATTGAAGTAATTTTGAATTCCTGAGATTAATATCCCTAGTCATTGGCATTCCAATGTAGAAATGAATGCCTGGCATAAATGTTGAAATAAAATGTTGTGATTTGTTTTTAAATTCTGAATGGTAGGTGTGACAGCAATTTTAAAAACTGACGCAAGATAGCCAGAATTTTTCCAAAGAAAGCATCAGAACTTTTCTATTAAGTCAAAAGTTGTAACCTCACTATCTATAATATCTTGATATTTTAAATAAGATGATTCTATTTTATTAATTATAATGAAATGCAAATGAATGAATTAAAACTAATTTTAAAATTTTACATTCTTCCATAGAATAATGTTAATAATTCAGTATCTAGGACATAAATCAGCCAATGATTTTAGCAAACAAAGGGCCAGATACTAAATGTTTTAGGCTTTGCAGCCTAAGTGGCAAAGCTGAAGATGTACAGATCTCCGAGCTGAGCGTGGTGGAACATGCCTGTAGTCCCAGTTACTCAGGAAGCCCAGGTAGGAGGACTGCTTGAGCCCAGGAGTTTGAAAGCCTGGGCAACATAGCAAAACCCTGTCTATACTGAAATATAGAATAAATTTTTAGAAAAGATCCCATTGCCACTATTTAGCTCTTCCATTAACACTTGAAAGTAGCCACATAGAAAATACAAGAAAGAATATTTGGCAGTATTTGAATAAAACTTTCTTTATGGCTATGATATTTGGATTGTTTTCCTCTTTTGATTACTTTTAACAGTTTAAAAATGTGAAAATATCCTTTGTTCATGTGTTGTATATACAAAAAACAGGTAGCAGGTTGGATTTGGGCTGTAAGTTGTGTTTTGCTAACCTGTGATTGGCGACTCTAACCAGTGAATAATCTTAAAATGGGGATAAAATTTAGAGCTATAAGGCTAAATATTGATTATTTCAAAATCTGTTGATGATCCAGCTGAGGCTATTGCTTTCTTCCATGTGCACTCAAGGCACTTGGCTCTTTCTGAAAGTTTCCTAAATAGGGGCACTGAGTACTGAGTTTCTGACAACTATTTGGAAATGGTCTTGGTCTCATCACCATAAGGGAAGAGAATGCACAGCAATCTCCATCAAATTTCTACCCTAAAGAAACAAGCTGTTAGGATTTTCAGAAAGAGCAGTCATGTTTCAAAAGTTATTCAATCTGAAATGTCTAGCTTCCTGTAGGAAACTATAACTGAACAAGATTATCCTCTTCTTCTTTACCTTGTTGATGGGTTGAACAGTGTCCCCAAAAAAGATATGTTAGTCTAATTCTTGGAACCTGTGAATGTTAAATTATTTGGAAAAAGGGTCTTTGCAGACGAATTAAGTTAAAGATCTTCAGATGGAGGGCTCATCCTGGATTATACATTGAGCCCTAAATTCAATGACAAGTGTTCTTACAAGAGAATACACAGTTTCTGACAGACAAAAGAGGAGAAGAATGTGGGAAGATAGTGTCAGAGATTGGAGACAGGCAGCCACAAGCCAAAGAATGCTAACAGTCACCAGAGGCTTGAAACAGGAAGGAACAAATCTTTCTTGAATTTGTTGAGAAGATCATCTATTTCCCCTTTATGTTATTAATATGTTGAATTGCATTGATTGACATTTAAAATTGAAAAATCTCCTAAAAATTATTATAAGTGAAATAAACCAGGCTCAGTAGACTATAAAATGTATCATTACATTTATATATATTTCAAAAACAGGCAAAACTAATGTAAGCTATTAAAAGTTCAAGTGTGACAACTAGCTTTGGAGAGAAAGAGATAGGTAGTGATTTAGATTTACAGAATTAAGAAGAGGCTTTTAATTCTCAGTCATAATTTGTATTCTCATGATCTGTGTTTCTTCCTGTATGCTATACTTCCAAAAAAGAAAAATAATTAACATATTTCAGTAAATATGGATTAATCAGTATCATTTGGAGAAGAGTCAATTCTCACAGAAAATCCATATGTGTTACATTTTATGATAATTCACATATGCTATTATTTCCCTTATTCATTCTCAAACTGAACATTAATGATAGAGAATAAATGATCTAAAATTATTTAACTTTGGGTGTTTAGAACTTGTTCAATATTAATAAAATTATTTCCAACAATGAAAATGGATGATTTTCAAAGATTTCTCTAGTTCTACTTTTAAAGATATGTGGAGAATTTTGAATAAACTAATCAAATTAATCAGTAAAATGTTTATCCGTTCAATTAGTAAAGGCTATTAAACATTTAAAAAGTGATAAAATTAATTAGAGTTGTTAAACTAATAAGTTGTTATGTAAAGTTTATCACGGCTTCTTCACTTTCTAGCTGTGTGACTTTCAGGATATCGTATAATCTATCTGAACCTGTTTCTTCATTTTTAAAACTAGCAAAAACTGTAATAAATATCTCATTCTGTCATTGTGTCAACTCAATAAAATAATCCATTAAAAAACAAAAACAAAGCACAGCAGACGGCCAGCATCACTGTGTGTGTCAAATAGATGAGAAATAAATGGAGCATTTATTTTTAGTTGTGCATTCTCCATCCAGATGTCAGTATTATGAATATAACTATGTTAATTTTATAAGGAACAATCTATAAACAGGTATCTCAAATCAAAATTTCTCTCAAACAGTAGCTTGATTGGCTTCATCTCACAGAATTTGAGGACATGAGGACAATGTGGATGCAGAAAAACCAAAATAATTATCACTGATTTTTGGTCTTATTTTTATACAATTCTAATTCTTTTTAATTTCTGAAAGTCTTTTCTGTTAATAAAATAACACCATCAACAAATATATAAGATGCAATTTTAATAATCATGACTTTTCTTTTATAAATAGGCATTAACCTAATTTTTTACAGTACCAGACTGGCTTAAAATCTTGATTTGAACATTAGGTGAAATTTATATTTCTCATTGTAAAGTGTTAAAGCCTATCCTTCTGAACGCACACAAGGAAAATAAAACACTAGGGCTTTGCAGTACTGGTCAATATAATAATCAAACTACAAAGAAATTTCTCCCAAAGAACTAGAATCCTCCATTTAATATTTTTAAGTGTTTCATAAGCAAGGTGTCCAAAATATTTGTCTTAATTTGTCAAAGTAAACCCTTGGTAGATGTGAATTAATTAGATGCATACAGCATAATTAGTTCAGTAGCTGGAACTAAACAACTCTTGTCAATTTCCAAGAATGGACATGATCCCATTATAACCACAATCAGGATTTCTGGTACTTTTTCTAATAAATTTGTTTCACTTATTTAAAATTATGATTTTTTTTACTTCATTTCTAAGCCAAGCTCTATAAACAATAATTTATCAGTTTGGGAGATTATATAATTATTATCACATTTTAATTAATAATTTATAAAATATTTTTAACTTTGTTGGTACAATTAGTCTAACTAAGAGTAGCTGGACATAATTTTGAAGTTACTGAATTGCCCTAATTAATCTAAGAAAAATATATTAAAACAAATTTTCCTCTGATTAATTGCGGTAATGAAGGCAGTAAGAAAAGAACACAGATCAGAAGTTTTATTTTTAAAGCTGTAAAAAATATACAATCCAGTTGCAACTGAAATACAGAGATTTTCCCTGTGAATTTCTTATTGACTGATATTCCCCAACTTTTAACATTTCATGACATTTCACATATACACACATACACATGCATGCACACCCACTATATCATAGATTGGCCTTTTTGGAAATATTTGAGAGCAAGTTGTTAATACTTCTCTGTTTTTCCTCAAAAGACATTCTCCTGTATAACCTCCATATAACCTTCCAACTGAGGAAATAAATAATGATATATACTACCAGCCTATCCTCAGACCCCCTCATTGGTTACTTTTCACTGCTCCCAACAAGGCACTTTTTCTTCTGATTCAAGATTTCATCCACAAGCACAGCTCACATTATTTGTTTTATTTTATCCTCCTCAGTTTCCCCCCATTTTCCTGTTTTTCATTATTTTACAGTTTTACATTACGTATTAACTCTATCAGCCTGACTCTATTCAATGTCTCCTCATGACCAGAGTCCTGGCCAGGCCATGCTTTCTGTGCAATATACCACCAAAGCGATGCTATGTTCTTCTCAGTCTATCTCATCTGTGGGCATTGTTGACCTGTTACATCAGAGGTGTTATTAAACTTGGACACCTGGACATGTTGGTGTCCTACAGGTTTTTTCACAAAAAGATCACCGTTTCTCCTTTTGAAATTGAATATAATTATTTTGGAGCTATTTTACAATTAAACCAATATTCTGCTCCTCCCTTTCTCATCAAACCTCTACCCATTGATATCAGCCAGCAGCCTCCACTGATGACTGCCATCTAAATCAATTACTGTGATAGTTGACAAACAGAGGCATTCTATTTCTATCATTGTTTCTACATTATAAATTGGCACCCTGTGATATTAAAGGACCTCTCTTCTGATTTGTTACAGGCCAAATTGTGTTTTTCAAAAGTGCATATGTTGAAGTCTAAACCCTTAGTACCTCTGAAGGTGACTATATTTGAAAATAAGATTTTTAAAGAGGTAATTAATTTAACATGAAGTCATTATGGTAGGCCCTTATCCAGTATGATTTATGGTTTTATTAGAAGAGGAAATTAGTGCACAATTATTACACAGAGAAAAGACAATGTGAAGACAGGAGAAAGACTTCCATCTGGAAGCCAAGATGAGAGGCCTCAGAAGGAACCAAGTGGCTAACACCTTGATTTGAAATTCTAAGCTCCAGAGTGCTCAGAAAATAAATTTCTGCTGTTTAAGCCATACAGTTTGTGGTACTTCATTATAGCAGCCCTAGCTAGGGCTATTTATTTCAGTCTGGAATCATAGATTCTTATTTTATTCATGGAACTTTACCCATTACTATAATTATTTACAGTGATGCTTAAATCATATCAGATTTAGCCACGGAGACACCCTTTAAAGAGGCTTCACTGTACTTTCACAAGTCTTGATTGTTCGTTGAACACTTCCTTATTTTCTGGCATAATAAGATGTTCCCGATTCATCCCTATTCCAGTCCTGGAATTAGACGTTTCTGCAATAATTCATTGTTGATTTTAATGAAGGATGGTGAGTAGAAATTAAGATTTGGATATTCAGTATGCTCTTTGTATCTAGGCCTTCTTAGCTGACATAGCCATGAAATATATGTATGTTACACATTTTCACACGTGCAATCATAATTATTTCTAAATCTATGAATGTATGCTATAAAAAGTGAGTTTGTATCAATAACCCTATTCCTCCAAAATATTTACTTATTTGCTCAATGTTCTTATTTGTTGCATATAACCAATCTCCCAACATCTTTGTTTCCTTTATCCTATACTTCCATTTTGCTTCTTCAATCCCCAAGCTTCTTGCAACTTTGAGTGTAAACAGGCTGCCTCCATCTTCTTGACTATAATGAGAGCAAAAAGTAGGACATATAAAAGGAAGGATAGGAAAGAAAGAGAGAGAAAGAAGAGAAGAAATAGAGGGAACAATTGCTTGAATGTTTATATTTTTTAAAAGAAATGAGAACTTCATTGAGATGACAGCAACATGTATAAGTAGAATATTTACTATTCTTGCTGTAGAAAATAGAAAAAGTGGCCTGGCTAATGCTAGGTTGAAATCCCTCCATGACCATGCAAGTGAAGTGCTGGATTCCTCCTGCTACCACCACCAGCAGCAGTACCCTGACCTCACCCAATTATTACCACTTTGTACATTTTATTGAGGAATAATTAAAGGACAATAAACTGCACTCATTTAAATTGTTCAACTCATTGGGTTTGACAGATATATTCATCCTTGAAATCACTGCCACAATTATTGGAAATCCTATTCAGCAGTGAATCAACTCTACTCTCTGTAGGTCACATCTCATTTAACATTTTCTATGGTTATTCTCCAAAGACCAATAAACATGACAAACTCAGAATCCTCACTGCAAACTCTATGCCTTTCCTTTTCCTTCCATGTCCTGTATGCAATAACTACCTCAAATTTCTATTATTACAACTTTGCCTAGATCCCACTGTCTTTTGTACTTTCAGGGTTTCTATCTGCCCCTGATAATAAAAGGTTTCTTTGAAACCCTTCCTCAGTATATTTCCTAATTGGAACCAGCAGTTGGGGTGCCTTCAACGATCTTGCTGAAGAACATAGTATATGTTTATTATAACTATTTTATTTCTAACCTTCAGAAATTAGAATAGATAAGCCTTCACAGAATTCTGGGATATATTATTTCTCTGGAGAAGAGATTATATGTGTGTGGGAATGTGCACACTAACACACACACACAGATGTATATTATTAGGATATACTGTAAAAATATATGAAGCCATTTCATCAGTCATTATTTTTATTTCATCCACTAGAAATTACATTTTTTTTAAAAAAAATCATACTTCATTTTCTTTGTAAAAAATTTTACTCCCCTCCAAGAACGATTAAATCTTATCTGCAATACCTAATGAGGGAAGTTGCCCTCAGGATTTGGGTATATTGGAAAAAAATAAATGACGTATCTATATTCCTGAAAACAAAAATACAACAAACTTTCTTTTTATCTGCTACCCAGAACCTACTTTAAAACCTAAATCAAACAATCTGTTTAGCCACAAGGCTACAAAATCATTTTAATTCATTCTTTGAAGAATGAGCAGTATTGATGCTAAAGAGGCTTGAATGGAATGATTTTGTCTCTGCTGATTTCTACATAATCAGCAAGAGCTGTCCTTCTTAAGCCCAATGTCTTGGACACTTACCTACTCTAACAGTTATTAAACAAATATTTATTCAGTGCATTCTATGTTAATGATAAGACAAGAATAAAATTGTAATGTTGATCTCAAGCCGATTATAGTTTAATGGGTGAATTTAAAATATAGTCCCCGTATTCATGGGAAATAAACAATGGAAAATAAGCAATGCTAAATGCTGCAGGAGAAACAACTAATATTAAAGCGTTAGTCATGTTCTTACAGGCAATTTGCATTGTCCTTCTTTGTTTTTTACTTACCATGCTTTCTCTTTTTCCCCATCCCTGGCTTCCAGTCTCCCACTGGATTAAATATTTTCTCTATTCTATTGATTCCTTATCTTCTTTGGCATTTACATTGTGGTGGGGAGAGCAGTTAGTTCTCCAATAACCATTCTTTTTCTCTTAGAGGGTATAGTGATAAACCCTCTAATTTTTAGAATGATAAATAGTCACCTATACCACAGTGTAAGTCAATGTCACTGAGCCAGGTGACTAAAATCTTGAGAGATAGATTTAAGCCAAAGTATCCTGTGTCCAATTTATTATAAGACAAATGGCTAGTGGCCTATGCTCCTCAACTCCATTTTTTTTTCTTTCCTAATTCTAATGGATGCGCTATAGGTAGATATTTGGATCTGGAGTCAATGCTTTAAATCATGAGAGGAATTTGGAATGCTACACATGGGGTAGGACAAAAGAGAGGAAGGTTAGATCCCTAGGGAAGTAAGAGAGAAGAATCATTATGTGATGGTTAATCTTAGGTGTCAACTTGACTGGACTAAGGGATGCCCAGGTAGCTGCCAAACTTTTCTTCCTGAGTGTGGCTGTGAGGATGCTTTGGAAAGATTAGTATTTGAAGTGATAGACTGAGTAATGATATTAATAATTACCCTCACCAAAGCCAGTGGGCATCATCCAATCCATTGTGGGCCTAAATGGAACCAAAGTTCAGAGAAAGAGATTTTTCTTTCTTTGCTGTTGATGAGATATTTATCTTCTCCTACTCTCAAACATTCATGCCCCTGCTTCTCAGGGCTCAGACTTGGACTGGGATTTACATCATTGGAACTCCTGGTGCTTAGGCTTATAGCTTTGGACTGGAGCTGCACCCTCAGCATCCAGCTTGCAGATGGTAGCTCATGGGACTTCTCAGTTTCCATAATTAAGTGGGCCATTTTCTTTTAATTCATCTTTTTACATATCTATTTATGTATCCTATTTCTCTGTTTAGGTTCTGTTTCTTGGAGAACCCTGACTAAGACACATCACAGTAGTTCTGTGGACTTTCATGCGAGATAAATATCTTCCCTATTTAAACCATTGACACTTTTATTTGATCATCCCCAGTCAAATTTAATCATTGTGACACACTTCTGAGAACATGCAAACCTTAACCTCACAAGATAGGAATCTCATCACAAATTTACTTCTTTCTACATGTTCTATTTTTTTTTAATTTTGGTTTTAGATGAGTACAAAAATATGTATTATTTTACATTCTTATCTGTACAGAAAGAAGTTCATTATTCTATTTGCTTACCATTGTTTTTGGTATCTATTTTCTTTCTTCTGAATTCATCCATCCATCCTCCATCGGGAACATTATCCAGAGTCCTTCAGGGATAGTCTGCTAAAGATAAATTTACTAAATACCTTTTGACCATTTTATTCATTATTCAAATTGTGGGATGCAAAGCAATTTGTCTGAAGACAAATTTATTAAATCAAAGTTTATTTTTATTTATTTCTTTGTAGAAGATGCTCATTGTTTTCTTGATCCAAGTACTGATGACAGTAATTCTGAAGTCAGTATGAATTTTATTGCTGTGTAGGTATTTTATGTCTTGACTCTGCCAGCTTTGGGGATTTTCCTTCTCTCTTGAAAAACAATCGTAATATTTTATAATTCGTAGGGTTTTTTTCAGCTTGGCTGGTGCTTATTGAAGTCTTTCAATCTGAGGATTGTGTCTTCCTTTCATTATGGAAAATTCTTAGCTTTCATGTCTTCAGTAATTGTATCACTATCTTATTCTTTATTCTCTACTGCTGAAACACTGCCAGAGAAAGGTTAGTGCCTCTCTATTCTTCCTCTCTTTTTTTTTTCTATTTACTTTCAATTTTATTCTGATGTCTTGTGTGTTGGGAAAATTTCTGTCTCTAATTTTTCACATAATTAATATTTCTTTAGTTATATGCATTCTACTACCCAATCCACATATTATTTTTTAGTTTAGTAATTATATATTTTGTTTCCGAACCCTCCAATAAAGTCTTCTTTTAATTGCCAATTATTTTCTTTGTAAATGTAACACCCTATTTTAATCTCTGAACAAATTCATTGAATTTATTTTAAATATCCCTTTTTCCTTGAGCCTAACAATTTGTTGCCTTAGATGGTCCTAGCACACACCTCAATGATTTGGTAGTTATTGACCAAAAGCTCATTTCTGCAGTTGAGAATACATGGTAGACTATGGGCTATTAAGGCTTGTGATTTCCACCTGGTGAACAGGAATAAGTACTTCTGGGACTCGTATTCACCTCTGTGAGAGTAAGAGATGAGAAAGATATATGATAGGATTCAATCTCAAAAGCTATTGTTTGGTCTTAATTTCTCACAGCTTTTTCAGTCACCCAGGACACTGTTCTGGCCATGAAATTCCATGAAGAAAAGAAGGATACTTGTAATGTTTATTGACTTTTGGATTCCAAGTTCAAACAGTCATTCTCCCAATCAAATATATCTTTCATACATTTTTACAGGCGTACTGTTGGGAAGCTTTCAAAACACTTTCACTGAAACTTCACAGAGATTCATAGATTGTATTTTGTGGAAAGTTGATTCTGTTTTGAAGAAGGAATGGTTAACTTATGCCACAAATTGATTACTTTCCTTTTGATAACGCAGCTGTTGGACAAAATTTATTTTTTTCTCCAGAACATTCCATATTCAAAAGCTTAGGCAAACTTTAAAAAATGTGCTAACCACCTAACAAATAACTCAAAAATAATATCAAACTCTTACAACAATTGGTAAATTAATATTCCAAAAAATACATTCTCACATCACAATTATGAGTAAACTTCAAAACACAGATAACTAAATATCATCTGGTAGCATCAACAGTTATTCTCGGTTTGGAAAAAAACTATAAATCCAAGTTTTTTAAAATCAACACAAACACTCGTCTTTACTTCTCTGAAATTTCTTCTTGATAAAGTATAATTAATGCCACATATTTCACAATAATATTACCATTTATAATAGTTATTTCTTCTTTATAGTAACACATAGACTTGAACTTCCTCTATAATCATCTATGCTCCTTTTTTTTTTTTTCCCAGATGGAGTCTTGCTCTGTCACCCAGGCTGGAGTGCAGTGGCATGATCGTGGCTCAATGCAGTTTCTCCCTCCTGGGTTCAAGCAATTATCCTGCCTTAGCCTCCCAAGTAGCTGGGATTACAGGTGCCTGCCACCGTGCTCAGCTATTTTTGGTATTTAGTAGAGATGGGGTTTCATCATGTTGGCCAGGCTCGTCTCATGCTGCTCTTTGCATGAACTTCCATCCTTTTCTGGTAAGATGGAAATAACAGTTCTTTTTTAAATGTTAAATATAGATTCAAATACAGTAGAGTGTGCAGATTGTTAATATATATAGTTTGATGAGATTTGACATGTATATATAAATCAATGCATCCGGGAACCCAGTAAAAAAATATTATATTTCCTTTACCCTGAAAATTTCTCTCATACTCCTGTTTTTGTATTGACCACACCTCAACACAGATAGTCACTATTCTTATTGCTACCAACATAAATAAATAATTTTTATTTGTCATAGAACTTCATATTACTGGAATCCTAAAGAGTGTGTACTTCTTTGTGTCTGATTTCTTTTGCTCAACATAATGACTTGAGATTAGGTTATACTTTGCACACAGCATTAGCTGATTCTGTTTCATTGCTGAGTGGAATACCACAATTTTCCACTCATTCACACATTGAACATTTTTTTCTCCCCAATTTGGCTAATGCAGAGATAGCTGCTCTGAAATTCATATAGAAGCCTTTGTGTAGACATATTTTTCTTCCTCTTGGGTAAATACGTAGGAGGAGAATTTATGGATCAAATGGTAAGTGTATGTGATTTTATTAAAAGCTTCCAAATTGTTTCCCAAAGCAATTGTATCACTTAGAACTCCCATCAACTTAATGACATTAAGCATCATTTTATGTGCTTACGACCTATCTGAACTCTGCTTTTGTGAAGATTTTATTTTTTGGTATTTGATATGGTTTGTATCTGTGTCCCTGCCCAAGTCTCATATCAAATTATAATCCCTAATGTTGGAGGTGGGGCTGATGGGAAGTGATTGAATCATGGAGGTGAATTTCTCCCTTTTGTGTTGTTCTCATGAAAGAATTCTCACAAGATCTGGTTGTTTTAAAGTGTGTAGCACCTCCCACTCCCCCCCAGCTCTTGGTCCTGCTTTGGCCATGTAAGATGTGCCTGTTTTTCCTTCCCCTTCCACCCATAATTGAAAGTTCCCTGGGGCTTCCCTGGAAGCTGAGAGGATTCCAGCATCATGTTTCCTGTATAGCCTGTGGAACTGTGAATGAATTAAACCTCTGTTCTTTATAAATTTTCCCATATCAGTTATTTCTTCATAGCAATGCAAGAACAGACTAATACAGAAAATTGGTGCTGAGTAGTAGAGCATTGTTATAAAGAAACCTGAAAAATGTGGAAGCAACTTTGGAGCTGGTTAACAGACAGAGGGTGGAGGAGTTTAAAGGGCTCAGAAGAAGACAGGAAGATGAGAGGAAGTTTGGAACTTCACAGAGATTGGTTAAATGGTTGTGACAAAAATTCTGTTAATGATATAGACAGTGAAGTCCAGGCTGAGGAGGTTTCAGATGGGGATGAGGGACTTATTGAGAACTGGAGCAAAGGTCACTTTTTTTATGCTTTAGCAAAGAGCTTTGTTGGATTGTGCCCCTGTCCTAGTGATCTGTGGAATTTTGAACTTGAGAGAGATGATTTCAGGTGTCTAGTAGAAGAAATTTGTAAGTAGCAAAGCACTCAAGAAGTGACCTGACTCCTTCTAACAACCTATGTTAATAGGTATGAAAATTTGTAGCTTGGCCATGTGGTAGAAAAGAAAATTCCATTTTCAGGGGAGTAATTCAAGCCAGCTGCAGAAATTTGAATAACTAAAAGGAAGGCAAATGCTGATAGCAAAGACAATGGGGAAAAGTCCTCAAAGTCATTTCAGAAACCTCCATGGCAGTCCCTCCCTTCAGAGGCCCAGAGGCCTACAAGGGAAAAATGGTTTCATGGGCTGGGACCAGGGCCCCACCGCCCTGAAGAGTCTCAGGACACTGCTCCTTACATCCCAGCCATGGCTAAAAGGGGGACAGATATAGCTTGGGGTGCTGCTTCAGAGTGTGCTAGCCATAAGCCTTGAGAGTTTCTATATGATATTAAGCTTACAGGTGCACAGAATGCAAGAATTGAGGTTTGGGAGCCTCCACCTAGATTTCAGATGATTTGTGGAAAAGCCTGAATGTCCAGGCAGAAGCCTGCTACAGAGGAGTAACCCTCATGGACAAACTCTAGTAGGATGGTGTGGAGGGGAAATGTGGGGTTGGAGCCCTCACACAGAGTTCCCACTGGAAAACTGCCTAGTGGAGCAGTGAGAAGAGGGCCACCAGACACTGGGATGGGTAAACCTACCAATAGCTTTCACCCTGTGCCTGGAAAAGCCACAGGCACTCAATGCTAGCCCATGAGAGAAGCTGTCGGGGCTGAATCCTGCAAAATCACAGGGGTGGAACTACCCAATGCTTTGGGAGCCCACCCTTTGCATCAGTGCCCTTGATGTCAGACATGGAGTCAAAGGAGATTATTTTAGAGCTTTAAGATTTAATAACTGCCCTGCTGGGTTTCGGACTTGCATGGGACATGTACTCCCTTTCTTTTGGTGGATTTCTCCCTTTTGTAAGGGGAACTTTTACCCAATGCCTATAACTCCATTTTTTCCTGGGAGTAACTAACTGGTTTTTCATTTTACAGGCTCACAGAGAGAAGAGACTAAGACTACTAGTCTTGTGTTAGATGGGACTTTGGACTTTGGACTTTTGAGTTAATGTTGGAATCAGTTAAGATTTTGGGAGACTGTTGGGAAGGCATAATTTTATTTTGCACTGTGAGAAGAACATGAGATTTGGGAAGGGCCAAGGGTGGAATGATATAGTTTAGATCTGTGTCCATGCCTAAATCTCATGTCAAATTATAATCCCCAATTTTGGAGGTGAAGCCTGGTGGGAGGAGATTGGATCCAATCATGGCAGCAACTTTTCCCCTTTGGTGCTGTTCTTATAATAGAATTCACAAGAAATACGGTTGTTAGAAAGCATGTGGCACCTTCCCCACTTGGTTCTGCTCCAGCCATGTACATGCTTGCATGCCCTTGGCCTTCCATCATTACTGAAAGTTTCCTGAGGCCTCCCCAGAAGCAAGGCAGATGCCAGGATCATGTTTCCTCTACAGCCTGCATAACTGAGAGCCAATTAAACCTTTTTTCTTAAATTATCCAGTCTCAGATATTTCTTTATAGCAATGTGTGAACAGATAAATACAGTATTCTTATTAAGGTAAATGTTTTATAATTCTGGAAAAAAGAATTTTGGTCAGATATATGTATTGTGATATTTTCTCTCAATCTGTGGCTCTGTGGCTTATCTTTTTTATATTTATTTTGTTCCCTATCTTTTTAAGGTATTTTGTTTATTCTTTCTTTGCCTACCCTAAAGTCTCAAAGATTAACTCCTTTTTTGTTCTTCTAAATTGTTTTACAACTTTAACTATTAAATGTAGGTCTTATGATCTATTACCAATTAATTTTTCTCTGTGGTATGTCGAAGAGTTCATAATTTCTTTACTTTTGACACGGATATCCAATGTTTCAGCATTATATGCTATAAAAAGTTGTCATTTAATCATTGAGTTACTTTGATCCCTCTATAAATGCAATGTCCACATGGCCTTGGTTATTACAGCTTTAGAGTAAGCTTTAAAATCAGATTAACATGAATTCCCAATATTATTATTTATTTCACATTGTTTTGGTTCAAAATTCACTTGTTTCTTTTAGTAGCTTTTAAAAAGTTTTTTTTTTAGTATTGGTTAATATAGTATTTTTAGTATTGGTTAATATCTTTCATAAATAAACAGTTTTACTTCCTGCTTTACAATCATTATGACTTGTTTTCTAGAAATAGTCATTGACTAGGGTCTCTAGCACAATGTTCACTACAAATCATGAGTGGACATTTCTGCATTTAAACTGCTACTATTTTACAGAGATGTTTGCATCAAGGTTAATGTGGAATATTAGCCTTTAATGTCCTTTTGTTGTAACATCTTTGTGAGATTTTTGTATTAGTGATATGTTTGCTTCATAAAATAATCTCAAAATTGTCTTTTTTTTAATATTCTAAAAGAGTTCCTGTTAAATTGGCATTTTTTTAAATTAAATGTTTGGTTGAATTAACCAATGAAATAAACTTTGCTTTGAGTATTTTTGCTTAATTTCCTAATACTTGATTATTTTGAAATATTATTTCTATTTTAATACCACTGTTGACAGAAGGTTTTTGATAATACATTCAATTTCTTTAGTAATTATATGGCTATCTAAATATCCTAATTAAATTAGCCCTAGCTTTTTAAAGTTGTATCTTTTAAGGAATTAGATTATATTATCTAAGTTGTTGAATTCGTTGTCGTTAAGTTGTACATAATGTTCTCTGATTATCATGTCAATGACCTCAAGCTGCAAATCGATGTCCCTATATAATCCCTAATATTGATCAATTATGTTATCTTTTTTATTGGTTAGCAAAACTAAAGATTTTCCATTTTCTTGATCTTTTTAAAGGCCTATATTTTTCCTCTTTTTACCCTATCTTTTTAGAGACCTATATTTTTACTTCTTTGTTTATCCGAAATACTATTTGTGTTTTTCAATTTAACTGACTTCTGTTCTTTTTTATACAGTATTTTTTCTATATTTGTTGTGTTTACTTTCTTTTATTTTCTAACCTCTATATTTATTTTTAATTTGCAGATAATATTGTATGTATTTATCATGAAAAACCTGATATTTTAAGATACACGATGATAAAAGAAAAACTTCAGTCAAATTAAATTTAAAGGAGTGTAACTGAGGGATGAAGGATTCAAGAATTGGGCAGTTTCCTGAGCCAGAATAAGCTCGGAGACTCCAGCGTAGCCACATGGTGGAAGAAGATTTATGGACAGAAAAAAGAAAGCGACATACAGAAAATGGAAGTGAGGTACAGAAACAGCTGGATTGGTTACAGCTCAGTGTTTGCCTTATTTGAACATGGTTCAAACAGTCAGCTACATTTAATGGCCAAAACTCAGTGACTGGCACAGGTGTGGGCTACAGTCTATGTCTCCACTTGTTATATTTCATGATGTACAGAGAAACCTTTAGGTCGAACTTAAAATATTTAAAAAGGAAGCTTTACGTTAAACCTGATTTAACAACATACATAGTGAAATGTTTAGCTAATTAACAAATGCATTACTTCACACAGTTATATTTGTGGGCTCCTGGTATGTTTTAAGAATACAATATATCATCATTAACTGTAGTCATCCTGCTGTACAATAAATCTCTAGAATTTACTGTACCTATCTAACTATATTTATGGATCTTTTAACCAACTTCTCCCCATTTCCGCCTAGTCCACCATTCCTCCTAACTACCTCAGTCTCTGGTAACACTAACTTCCTTCAGTATACTCTGAGAAAACTAATTTTTAAAATCTCTCCTAATAAAGTATTTGAAGACATGGTCTCTAAGAACTGCTTTAGCTACATTCCACAAATTTAGATATGTTATGTGTTCGTTTGTATGCAGTTAATATATTTTCTTTTTATCTTTGTGGTTCCTTTTTATACTCCTGGTTTATTTAGAGATGTTTGTCTTCATTCTCTAATAGTTATTTTGAAATATCTTTTCTATTTCTTTCTTTCTTTCTTTTTTTTTTTTTTTTTTGAGACAGATTATTGCTGTCACCCAGGTTGTAGTGCAGTGGCACAATCTCAGCTAATTGCAACCTCCACCTCCCAAGTTCAAGTGATTCTCCTGTCTCAGCCTCCTGAGCAGCTGGGATTACAGACGTGAGCCACCAAGCCAAGATAATTTTTTTTTTTTTGTATTTTTAGTAGAGATGAGGTTTCACCATGCTGGCCAGGCTGATCTCGAACTCCCGACCTCAAGCGATCCGCTCACCTTGGCCTCCCAAAGTGCTGGGGTTACAGGCTTGAACCACCGTGCCTGGCCCCTATTTCTTTTTAATTCCACTGTTTACAGAAAACATATACTGTAAGTTTTTTTTTTTCAAATTTATTAAGTCTGTTTTATGCCCCAGCACATGGTAAACACTGAGAATAAGGGATTGTCACATTTTCCTAAATTCTGCGGCACTTGAAACATACAATTCCAGCAATGGGCAGGCATGAAATTTCTGGGAAATTACTTCAGTCTTACAGTAGTCACTTTCCCCTTGACTCCTTGAAGAACTGCTCATGCATGCACAATTCTGTGATCTGCCCTACATTTCAGGGGAATTTACATATATCTGATAGGGATTCTCTTTCTGGGGCTCCCTCATTTCTGGATTATCTGTCTACAATTTATCTCTAAATTAGCACCCCAAAACTCCATCCTTTGACTTTTTATGCCAAAAAGACCAAATTTCTCCTTGATTTCTATCTACTTTGTACTACAGAATTGTAAAGTTCTCCCAGAGCAAAAATTTTATAAATATAAATCTCACCTGGTGTGATTCCTTTGTGTCAAGAATCCAGTTTCATTTTTTCTGCTTTTAATCTGCTATTCATTCTAACAAAAAGTCTCTGCAAGGCTTTCAATCTGTTATTCATTATAATTTGTCTGGAGTTTACAACAGTTATTTGCAGTAGGATTAATGTGATAAATGTTACTCCGCTATTATAAAAAGCAGAACTTCAACATTGAAAGTATCTTCCACCTGGCTAAAATAATAATAGATTATAAATTTCGAGTGAGTATACAGCCTCCATTCTCATTACTTTACACATATAAACAAAATCCTTAGAAGAGCTCAGAAGTTAGCTTTAATATGATCTCTATTTTGTGGATGAAAAAACAGGGAACTTTTTTTTAACCAAAACCACAGAACTATCAAGTAAAGAAACTTGTTTTGCAACTTAGTAAAACTTCTTCATAGCCCACACTTGTGACCAGTTCTCCATAATGCTGCTTATAAATTGAATATCTCTCTACCACCTTTTTTCCCAAATAATGTGTCCCTAATGCTTTTTTTACACTTAACTTGTCAGTAGAATGCATTCTTTTTTCTTACGTGGAGAAAACTCCTATTTGTCCTGTAAGACATTGCTATAATGCTGCTGCCTCTGACATTTTCTCCTCTGCCATTGTGCCCTCACTGCTTCTATTTGTTCCTTGCATGTTTGTTCTCAATGCCTTTATCAGAGCATCCACACACTCTACTGTAACAATTTGATGAATTTATTGCACATTTACTAAGTGGAAACAGGGCTCTGGAGACCAAGTAATGAGTAAAGTATTTCCTTCCTTTTTAGAGTTTGAAGTCTAAAGAGAGAATTTCAATTAATAGTTGAAATGTTTGGTCCTGCCAACACAATGATTTCAAACTTCTACACTCTAGAACTGTAATATAATATGAAGTTTCTGTTGTTTTAACCCATTTTGTAGCACTTTTTAAATGAGAGCCCTAGGAAACTAATACAGAGTTTAGAGGTAAGCAAGAGTCAAATTATATAGGACCAGTAGTCTTCCGTGTTTATTTGTTTGTTTTTGCTCAAAACCATGAATTCATTGAATTCTTCAGGGTTGTTTTTTCTTTTTGTTTCTTTCCTTTCTGCTCTCTTTTTCACTTTTATTCAGTCCAAGATGCACTTAAACCAAACTGAAGATGTTTTGACATTCCCAGCCCTTTCAGGTTTTCATTTATAGCACTACTAGAGTCCTAGACTAGGTTTTCTTTTTTTTCTTCTTCTTCTTCTTTTTACTTATTGGTATTTTCCCCTGGTCCTCAGCAAGATAAAAAAGTATGTAATAAACATATGGAAATGGTGGTAAAACTGGGAAAAATCTTGTCAAGAAGATCATATGAATTGAATATCCCATGGATACGTATTGATAGAAAATCAATTCAAAGTCTCTAGGCAAAGTGAAATGGAGCAGCTCTTCTGACAGATGACTAAAACAAAGAACTTGCTAGTTAGAAGCAATGGTTTTATTGGGAAAATAAGTAAATAACCCAATCTCATTCATGGGACATCAATGATTTTTTTTAGGTAATATATGTCTAAAACAACTTCTCCAAATTAGTTTTTTTGTTGTTATTCTTTTTCTTTCCAAATCAGTTTTTAAAAAATTTTATTATTATAGCAGGACGGTTCCCAGAAACTAAAACTTATATGTATGGCAGGTATTAGTAATAAGTTACAGTGTCTGATTAGAGATTTTAAAAGCTTGACTTATTTTTGTCAATGTGGGGTCTTATCGTAGAGTAAGAAAATAATTTATTTCATGACACTCAAAGAAAGAAGTCTAGATTATAGGGTTTAATTAGAAAATTCAAGATCGAATGAATTCAGTTTCCATATGTTCAACCTTCTCTTATCTTAAATATGAGGGTGAGTTATTTCCTGCATGAAGCTATAAAATATATCATTCTGATGCATAATCTTTTAAAAGTATAATAAGATGTTTCACCGATAACTAGAATATAGCAATGTATGGTCAACCATCCCCTTTTAAAAGTGAAGCTTTTGCTTTTACTCAAAATCTCTGTCAATGGTGGGCCCCCTCACGCCCCAAAAGGAAGGTCTGTGTTAATTAAAATTGGATGTTGTATATCTCTGAATGGTCTTAATCACTTCAATTAAACTATAGTAAGCAAAATCACAGAATAATAATTTGGAAATGAGATTATATCATCTAGATCCTCAAGGGGATCATAGATGGAGTTAAAGATCAGTTTTCTGTAGGTCAACAACCAGTATGGGTCATAGAAAATTAAGAGTATTTTTTATATTATCAAGATGCTTTTATTAGCATCCTGAAATCTAGAGCATAGACCACCTCCTGCCTTGTTATAAAAAGACATACTGACAAATTTATATTTTAAAAGGTGAGAGGGAAAAAAAAGAAAACCTGTTTTCATTGCAATATTTTGCAATTCTTCCATAATTCAGGATCTTGTTAATACAGTGTAAGTTAAAGGTACATTTACCATGAAGCTAATAAGGAAAAACTTCAGCTGCCATTACTTTTATAAATCCTTTGTAAGGTGTTGGGTAGGCCCTTGCAATGTGTTCACATGTCCCTCTGCTTTTGCAAAATTTTCAAATATACATTATTTTCGTTGCTGTAGATTAATACTACTATCTCTTTCTGCTTTGACCTCCCAACTTTTCACACTTTGCCTTAGTTGGTGTTTGAGTGGCTTCAGAATACTTCAGGGATCAGGCTTAAAGGGATGTTGGGTTAGAGGTATATTTAGTTTGGGATTAAAGTGTACAGTCACTTACATGTATAGTTTATTGCTAACTGTCTTGTCACCAGAATTTCTGCCAGAACTCTTTATAGCATCACTGTGTCCATTTACATAACTCTTTTACTGAAGGTGGCCTGGGCAGGCTCCACAGTCTTCAGTTCTTGTCCTCTTGGGAGAAAGAATTCAGCCAAGAGACAGAAGTAGATTTAAGACAGAAAGAAGAGTTTATTGAAGAAAAGAAAAGTACACTTGGAAAGAACCTAGCAGCTGACTCAAAAGATTGCATCCCACCTGATCATTGCCTCAGGGCTCTTATAGAGTTACTATTTCCTAGTTATTCCTGGTTTCCTTCCCCTGTCCTTTCCCTTGAGTGGGCTCTTGGCTAATCTCTGCATGAACAATGACTTGCCAGTATCTGGAAGGGGTCACATGTGCCATTTGGTGGCTGAAGTTATGCACATGTCCTATTACGGCAATTTTCCCTTACTGGTCTAGCACCCCAGAGGAAGGTCATATATGAGTCAAACTCCACCATTTTGTCCCTTACTGTGCATGCCTGGACAAGACCCCAGAGGAAAGTCAAATTCTGCCATTTTGCTCCTTACTTTGCATGCCTGGGTATGTCCTCAGAGGATGGTCAAACTCTGCCATTTTAAGTTCTTATCAGGAAATTTTTGTCCACAAGCTCAAGATGTCTCCTGTTGTTAGGAAATTTCTCCCTTCCCATCACCAGCATCCTTACATTTGCTTAATACTCACCTGACCGTCACCAGACATTCTTTGAGGCCTTATCCTGCCCTTCTCAGATCTGCCTATCTACTTACTCTAACAGCACCACAACACAAGGGTGCTGGTGTGTATAGTCAAGGAGCTTGAATTCACAGAGCCAGAAGCTTGCCTGTGGAAAATAATTAGTGGGAGTTTCAGTTCTTATAAATACTTGGTCACAATGGAAGTTTTCTCTTGTTAGAAAAAAATGCCTGATAAATGAAAAATGCCAGTTCACATAATTTGCTTTATATATTCTTTTTTAAATATTTGATAGAAAGTGCCCCTAAATTGAATTTACTAACTACAGAAAGTATACGTGTAAAGCAACATGTTTTATAAATTCCAAATATTAAATAAAAATGCAATTTTCTTTCAGCCAGTTGTAAAGAGATGTAATTACCTCTATATTATTTCTATAAAAAAATAAAATAAAATCAAAATTATTGTTCTTTGCAGAAGCAAGCAGAGTAACTATCCAGAGATGTGAGAGGAAAATAAGTATTATAGAGGTGTATTCAAAAATGAATGAAAACAAATACTATGTAATTTTTCTATATATTTTAATGTTAATGTTATATGGCTGCATTCAAAATTATTAATTTGCCCAGGCACGGTGGCTCATGCCTGTAATCCCAGCACTTTGGAAGGCCAAGGTGGGTGGATCACTTGAGGTCAGGAGTTTGAGACCAGCCTAGCCAACATGGTGAAATCCTGTTTATACTAAAAATATAAAAAATTAGCTGGGTATGGTGGCGGCCTCCTGTAATCTCAGCTACTCAGAAGGCATAGGCAGGAGGATCGCTTGAACCTGGGAGGCAGAGATTGCAGTGAGCCGAGATCACGCCATTGCACTCCACCCTGGGCAACAAGAGTAAAACTCTGTCTCAGTAAATAAATAAATAAATAAATAAATAAATAAATAAATAAAATTATTAATTTGTATTCACAAACTAACCTTTGTTTTACAATTCTATATTACTGTCTTAAAGAAGGTCTCCAAATTTGTACAAGTTTCAGTCTTTACAATACCTAAAATATTAGACACTTCACATAGACTAATAAAATATTATAAAAAAGTATCAGGGCCAATAGGAGAGACTGGCTTCTAATTTTACCTTAGCCCCAATACATAGGTTTCTGTCCTAGAATGTTCCCCCTCTTTATTCACATTTTGATCAAACAGCAATTTTGTAATTTCTACCTGGACATTTTGGTGTTTGCTTTACTTTTCATCTCTAACACAACTACTTCTATAAAAAAAAAAAGACTAGGAGAAAAATATTCAGATTTTACAGGGATCTATATTTATTAAGCATCTCACACATCCCTATTCTATTACTTCACACTATTAGCCTCAGCTTTTGTATACTCTATTGGAGTATGTCAGTCACTACTAACACATAACTAAAATAGATGCCAAATAGTTGAAAAAGTGCTGTTGAATACTAAAAACATTATTGAAAAAAAAGTTGAAAAACCTAGAATATTTTTTCTCAAAATGGGCCAGTAAACAAATTCACCTTTTAGTAAAAATGAGTGTTGGAACTGTTCCCACTTGAGTGACACTAGCATTATCTTTGATTGCAGTGATAATTAGATCTGTGCTCTATCCTGAGGTCCTACATCTGGTAAATTATTTTCTTGACTGAGCTAGATTCCAGTCAGCAAGGACAACAGAAGGCACTCCGTGCCTAAGCGCATCTCATCTGGCCACTTCTCTTTGACCTGTGAACTCCTACAGAGTAGTGTCTTGTACTTCCCCCACACTACATGACTGAATTTTGTATCCATTTGTGACCTTTACTCAGCCATCAAATATGAATAAGGGATAGACAGGGGCTCTCATATCCATAGTGGAACCAGTTCATCACACAGGTGGTTGAGTCATTTATGGAAGCATTCTCTAAATTGTCTTTGTGACAGTCTCTTTACTTGAGATGGAAAAGGGATACATCTAAATATGTTTATGAATAGTAAATAATATTGGAAGAAAAACATTTTCTATATCTATAGACATAAATTGTATCAAGAAATAGAGGGAATTTCTGTGGCTTCTCTATATTTCTAAAAGTTTGCCAATATTACAGTGAAATCCCAGAATAATTGGTTATTTGTCCTTTCTGAGGTTAGAATCCACTTATTTATTTACATTTATGTATATATCTACCTCCACTCATGATGTAATGCTGAAAGTGCTGCCTGAGTCAAGCTGCAGTTTCTAGAATTCTTCAACAATTGTATGACCAACAATAATTAGGTCATACACTATGGTTGACTCAGTGACATCTGATCAAGAGACCCACATAACAGAAAAGGATGCCACTAAATGTGCCCACTACGGAGTAAGAAATAAAAAAACTAATATTTTTGACTAAACCTAATTCCTTGATATAGTGAACACTAAAATGATTCTTTTCAGAAACTATTCAAGTCTTTGAAAAAGCAGAGACTTTACCGTGGTAGGCGAAATTCCTTCTTCATGGTAAGTCCCTCTTCCGTAGCCAATCTATGATTGGATTCAGGAATGAGTTGTGAATAAAAGAAACAGAAATCATATCTAATCAATAGGTTTCCTAAACCCTGAAGCATTTGGGAGCATTCCTATGATAAACAACCTGACTGAAATGCTAACTAGAAAGAATTAAAATGCTCATTTTGCTAAAAACCCAAGTTCAAAGTTGAGATAAAAAATTGAGACTCACTGAGAAAAAAAAAATCGATTGGAAAAGATAAAAATGAAGCATAGGGTCTTAAAAGAGTAACTATCTATATAATTCTTCCATCCGAATTATTGGAAGCCCTTTGTTAGTAATACTGTGATTAATTCAATATGCATTTTTGAAAATCCACTATGGGCATGTACTGTATTAGGTAAAGTTGAACTATGGTTATAAAATAATTAGCATACATTGTATCAAATAGTATTTATTTAGATCAAGAACCCCCCTGCTCACATGAAGGATACAAATATAACTTCAGATTAGCCATCTGGAAGCCAAAGATTTAAAAAATAAAATAAAAAGTCTAGCAAGGGTCTGAAAAAACAGATAATATATGTTATATATTAGAATAGGAGCATAGGCTAAAATTCAATATGTATTTCTTCTCTAGTCATCTAACTGATACCAAAGTACTATCTGGTTGCTGGAAAACTTGTTCATTTTTGTGCAAACAATGCTGAGAATGGATATTCAAACCTTGTGTGCATAGCTTCACTCTGTAAGGCAATAGCCCAATTTTTGACAATTAAGAAAGGTCACATTTTCGATAATCAGATATGTTGGGAAAACAGAAACAAAAGAATAAAAGAATCTAACACAACTAACAATGCCTTCTGTACTTCACGGTCCCCAGACAACAGATTTCAAACAAGGAAGTATTATGTTTGTGTCTTTTGTGTGCATCATAGCAAGAAGAGTTTGGTTTATATGTGCTTTACTTGAAATCACCAGTTAACTGGTGGGCAGGTTGCAAAGTAAGCAAGTACACAAAGAGTTTCAATCCATCTTTTGTTAAGTTATTTGGTGTCATTATACTATTGATGTGAGAATCATAAGCAGTTTACACTTAAATGCCACTGTCCAAACTGATAATAATATAAGTCTAGTCCACCTGGAAATGGGCTTTTATTGTCTTAGAAACTATGAGCAAAAGAAGCACCATTTTGGTTAAAATCTGGGCCAAGATTCCCTAGACCAGGTATATCATTATATAATGCCTGTGATATCACAGAGCCTAGGTTTGGTCTAGACATGTCCTAATTGTATGGAGGAAACTTAAGCCTTGCAAGCCAATTGAATGGAGAACTAGGCACCCCACAACCACCAACAATGCACATGTATATTAAAAAAAAAGGTCTTTACCAAAGAGGGAGTCAAGAAGATAAATACCGTTTGATCAATTCAATCATGGCTCCACCAAATAGTGGTATCTGTACAGCTGCTGTAATTGTGATAATCTTGTCTTTGTTGTTCAAAGCATGTCCCAAGATTCAAATAAATCTTTAATAAGAAGCTGCTTAACCAAGATGTCTGATGAGACCTACAAAATAAAGACTATGTTGAATACATAACTTACATGATTTCTATAGATCACCACTAGGGTAAACAGTTGTCTTCTCTGGGTTATTTCTTTATAGAAGTATAAAAAGACTCTGCTCCATATATAGAAAGTTGGAAAAAGTCACCTAACCTGAGGCTTCAACGTTCTAGTGAATATACATCAATAACAACTAGGATCATGTCATTATTGTGTTACTCTCATCTCTTCAGCCAACATAATCAATTCATAGAGTCTTAAGTTCCTCACGCTCATTAATAGAAAGAAAATGCAGCCTCACTAACCACTCATTGTATATAAAAATGTACAGGTATGTATAATAATAATTGACAGCTCTCTGTGTATAATACAATGCAGGTCAGGAAAAATCACACAAAATTTGATGACACCAATAACATCATAGACCTAAGAGGAAAAAACAGATATATCCTGCTTGATTACCCTCCATAGAACCTCCCTACGTGGACCATTTACCATGTTTGAATATCCAGCAGTTTACTTATTTTAATTTAGTGTGGTTTTCATTAACAGTATAAATCAGCATCCAATTTTCTTCTAAAAATTAAATATTCAAGGAGACATTCTGAAAGACATATAAAATTTGCATAGCAAGATGCTAAAAATCTAAACCTAGGTGAGCAGCAAATTAAAAGACTTAAACATGCTTGCCAGAGTAGAAAGTTATCTTAGTTCAGTTAAACATAGCTTGTCATATATCCACCCTGGAATTATCAGGTTGTACTGCAGCAAAGCATGAGAAGCAGTGTATCAAAAATAGGGGAATTATAATAGCTGTTCTGTGACCTCTGGAAAAACCAGATAATCTGCTCCCATTTAAGAACCCCAAGAGACAAAGGGGTAAAGTGTTCTAAAATCAAACTGAAAAAGATTTAAATATCAGATCTGGTTATATTGGTTACAAAGTCCACTTTGTCCCTTGTGATCTTCTTTGGGTAAAAGCAAGTAGAATAAAGTTATATTATTGGAGTTTTTATTAAAATTTTTAAAAGGTGAGAATTCCAAGATATATAGTATAGTTTTTCAATCCAAGATGCTATTGATAAGATACATTTTAATCACCAAATTGCTAGAAAGCAAAATCAGTGCGCCTCTTAGTGCACTCTCTTTTAACCACATCTATGCCAACATCTGTTGGATTTTTTTTTTTAACTTTTTAATAACAGCCATTCTTGCAGGGGTAGGGGGGTATTTCATTTTGGTTTTAATTTGCATTTCCCTGATCATCAGGGATGTCGAGCATTTTTTATATGTTGGTTGATCATTTATATATGTTCTCTTGAGAAATATCTACTTGTGTTATTTGCCCACTTTTGAAGATCCTATTTAGTTTTTTCTTTCTGATTTGAGTTACTTGTAGATTCTTGATATTGCTCCTTTGTCAGACACATAGTTTGCAAATATTTTCTCCCCGTCTGTGGGCTATCGGTTTACTCTGATGATTCTTTTGCTGAACAGAAGCTTTTTAGTTTAACTATGTCCCATTTATTTATTTTTGTTTTAGTTGCATTTGCTTTTGAGGTCTTAGTCATGCATTCTTTGCCAAGGCCAAGTCAATGTTCAGAACAGTAATTCCTAGGTTATCTTCTAGAATTTTCATGGTTTCAGGCTTTAGACCTAAATCTTTGATCAATCTTAAGTTGATTTTTGTTTAAGGTGACCTATCTGTGGTTAGCCAGTTTTCCCAGGATCATTTATTAAGTAGGATGTCCTTCCCCAATTTATGTTTTTGTATACTCTGTTGAAAATCAGTTGGTTTTATGTATTTAGCTTTATTTCTGGGTTCTCTATGCTGTTTCATTTGTTCGTGTCTACTTTTATTTACACCAGTATCTTTTTTTTTTTTTTTTTTTTTTTTGAGACAGCGTCTCGCACTGCTCACTGCTGCCCCAGGCTGGAGTGCAACGGTGCAATCTCAGCTCACTGCAGCCTGGACCTCTCAGGCTCAAGTGATCCTCACACCCCAGCCTACTTCATAGCTGAGACTACAAGTGCATGCCATGACACCTGGCAAATTCTGGAATATTTTATAGGACTGGGTTTTGCCATGTTGCCCAAGCTAGTCTTGAACTCCTAAGCACAAGAAATCCTCTCACTTCTGCCTCCCAAATTGCTAGAATCATAGGTGTGAGCCACCATCTCTGGCCAGGATTGCTTTCCTAATTCTGTGAAAAATGATGTTGGTATTTTGACAGGAATTGGAGTTTGGGGTATGTAGGATACACACTTTTTAAAAAATATATATGCTCATAAGTGGGATAGCTAGATTATATGATAGTTCTATTGTTGATATTTGGAGGAACTTCAATATTGACTTCCATAGAGGTTGCATGACTTTGCATTCCCACTAACAGTGTACAAGCATTCCAATTTCTTCACATCCTTACAACATTAGTGATAACTCTCTTTTATAATAGTTAGTTTATAATATATTAGTGATAACTCTCTTTTATAATAGTCATCCTAACAGATGTGAGATGATATCCCATTGTGATTTTTTTGCTTTGCATTTCCCAAATGATTAGTAATGTGAAACATTTTTTCATATTCCTGTTGGTCATTTGTATGTTTTTACTAGAGAAATGTTGGTTCAAATACTTCACCCATTTTTAATCAGTTTATTATGTGTGTTTTGTTTCATTTTGTTTGCTTTTGTTTTTTGCTCTTGAGTTGTAGGAGTTACTCATATATTTTATTAACCCATTATCACATATATAATTTGCAAATATTTTCTCTCATCTTGTAGGTAACCTTTTCACTCTGTTCATTGTTTCTTTTGCTATGCAAAAGATTTTAGTTTTATATAGTCCCACTTGCCTATTTTTGCTTTTGTTGCTTGTGCTTTCAGTCCATATTCAAGAAATCATTGCCAAGACCAGTGTCATGAAGCTTTTCCTTTATGTTTTCTTCTAGGAGTTTTACAGTTTCCAGTATTTTTTATCTTTAAGTTTTTAATCCATTTTGAATTCATTTTTGTACATGTTGTAATGAAAGTTTTCACGTAAATATCAACTGATGATACATATGTAGGTGCTGGGTGTTCTATTCTGTTACATTGGTCCGTATGTCTCTATGAATGCCAGTATCCTACTATTTCAATTAGTGTAGGTTTACAGTACATTTTGAAGTTAGGAAGTGTGATGTGTCCAGCTTTGTTCTTCTTTCTCAAGATTACTTTGTATATTCAGGATATTTTGTGGTTTCATAAAATTTTAACCAGGGACTGGAAAAGATATCTGCACTCATATATGCTTTGCAGCGTTATTCACAACAGCCAAAATGTGGAAACAACTTAGATGCCCATTGCCAAATTAATGAATAAAGAACATGTGGTACACAGATACAATGGAATATTATACAGCCTTAAGAAAGAGGAAAATACTGTCAAATATGACAACATGGATGAATCTGGAGAACATTATGCTGAGGAAATAAGCCAGTCACAGAAACACAAATGCTGTGTTTTTCCACTTATATCGGGTATTAAAAGTAATCAAATTTATAAAACCAGAATAGAATGGTGTTTTCCAGGGAGTGGGCAATGGGAAGTTGCTGCTTAATAGGTGTTAAGTTTCAGTTATGCAAAATCAATAAGTTATAGAGATCTTTTGTACAACAGTTTTCCTCTAGTTAATAATACTGTGCACTTAAAATTTGATTAAGAGGGTATATAATATGTTTAATGTTCTTACCACAAGGAATTTAAGGAAGGAAGGAAGGAAGGAAGGAAGGAAGGAAGGAAGGAAGGAAGGAAGGGATACATTCACTTCTTACACCCTTCCAAGAAACCTATGTAATAAGGTAAGAAATAATGAACAATATTTACTATGTGAAAGAGATAGATTATTTTTATTCATTTATGCTTTCACTCTAGAAATGTAAAGGTGTAAATGTATCCAAAAATAATAACATTTATGTGTCAGATGGTTTATATGAATTATCATTTGGTTAAAAAAGTAATACTATAAAGCAGTTATGCTTTTTAGCTCAATTTTATAGATGAATAAATAGAGGCACAGTTTATCCAATATCACATAGCTAGAAAGTGAGAAATCCGGGGTTTGGACACAAATAGTGTACTTGCCTAGTCGATGCCTTTAAGAACTATACCATGTAAGTTCAGTAAGGTGGCTGGGAATAAAATTAATTTAAATAATTAGAGTATTTCCATGCATCTACAAGAGCTAACTTAAAATTAAACAGAACTATCTCATTTGGATATCAAAATGTTGACTATATTGAAATGAATTTATTTGAATGTGCAAGACATGTATGGATAAATATAAAATTTTGTTGAAGATCATAAGTGTTTAAATCAATGGGCAGTTACTATTTCCAGATTTAAAAATATTTAAAAATGGCTATTGTAATAAATGAAGTGCAACAAACTTCAAAATCTGAGGGCCTTAAAACAGAGTTTTTCTCCTAAATTAAGAAAAAAAATTGATGAGATGAGCCCAAACAAAGGATGTGGCAAATAAGAATGAAGAGTAGAGCTGAACTTATGGATATGTGCGCATACCAAACTCAAGTAGTCCACAGAGTTAGATTCTGCCTCAAGAAGGAACTTGTGAAATAATGCCAAAACAGGTTCCTGAATAAATAACAACTGAGTTATATATAAACAGTATAACATTAAAAAGTAGGCAAAAAGGGACACAGCATTCCATAAGAAATATTAATTCAATTGCAAATATTCAGAGAACAAAAGTAGTTCATTTTGTGTACAAATTAGGTTTTCACTAATAATCAAAATAGAAAACAAAATAAATAGAACAAAAAAGTATATGACTATCTTTTACTATCTCTTACTTGATAAAATACAGTACTAATACATTTTTTAATTCCTACATTTTTCCTTTCTGTGTTGGGTAAAACAAAAGTTTGAAGAGGGTAGGAAAATTAGTAACCCTTCAGAATTTTGGAGGCCCTGTACAAAATAATTCTTTTTTATTTAATCAAATGAAAACAGTACAATAATATAAAGGATTTTTTTTTAAAGTTTAGCTTTCTATCTCTGTGTAAAAGAAGATGCTTTATAGTATTTATTCATCGGCACGGGTGTCTCTAAGTGAATTCCTAAGCAAAAATTAATGAATGTTAACTTTTCTGTCAGAGAGAGATCATACTGATAATTTCACATAACCAAAAACTGACTAATGTTTCTAAAGCTGAAAATAATATAATTATATAGTTCTCTATTGAAGACTATTTAAAACTTATTTTGCATTTCAATCAATTACATAGTTAAAGGAAATTTTTCATTGTTCTTTCACAACAAATTTTTAACTCAAAAAAGAAATTTTACTGTTTGAAAAAATGTCAAGAATGACTTACATGAATGGGCCTCTGTATTAGAGCCTGTCGCATCTTACCCTGCTCAGGATCTCAATATATTTTCTGCTTACTTTTTCTAAAATATATTATTTAGTTATATACTGTGGTTGTCTCAATTCTTGAAAATTTCCATTCTGTTATAATCAAAGAAGAGTGCAATTGTCCCACTGATTCATTTTTAATTTAAATCAAATATAAAATATCCTAGGAAATTTTAAAAAGTATGTTCAATAGTATATTCATTCTTTACATTTTCCTCCCCTGTATATATTCCCTAAGATGAAGTGTTGTTTTAAGGTTTGTCTTACTTTTACTTCTCCTTTTTAGGACAAAAGCAGCTTAGTTAGAAGGATTTATCTTCTCCAAATTTAGACAGTAGTAGCCCACTTGCATTGATATCAAAACCATTATATATTTTAATGCCATGGTAACTCTACTTAGAATCATAGGACCATGGGCTTGTATAGGTAGTAAGATATCTTGGAGATTTTTCAGTTGTAAGATGGGGAAAGCTCACTGTCTAAACTCCATATAGAAACTCTCAGAGATTCAACATTAAGTCTGGATCTCTACCTAGTAACAACACTCCATAAAGTTTAGATAAATTACATAATACTGGAAAGGGTTTCAATAATTAAGCTAAACTATGTTACAATAGGTTTTGAAAATTACAAATTATTTTACTATGTTTATAGATTGAAATGTTCCAATTTTTCACTTTTCACAAAATATAGGTGTTTAAATCGATTTGGACTTCCATTACAAAATATCATAAACTGGATAGCTTATAAACAACAAAAATTTATTTCTCACAGTTCTGGATTCTGGAAATATGAGATCAGAGTGTCAGAGTGGTCAGTTTCTGGTGAGAACTTTTTTGGGGTCTCAGACTGCCAACTTCTTACTGTAACTTCACATGACAGAAGGGAGTAGACAGCTCGCTGTCTTTTATAAGGGCACTGACTCCCCTTCTCCACCCTCATGACCTAATCCAATCCCGAAGGCCCCTTTTCCTAGTATCTTCACATTGGGGAGTAGGATTTCAGCATATGAATTTAAGACAAGCACAAACATTCAATCTATAGCAATAGGCAAAATTACTGATGATATCTAATACCTCTTGGATGCTTAATTTGTATAAGATGTTTTTCAAAACTCATTTTCCTTCCTCTCCAAAGCCCTAAAAAATTGGACCATTATTATGTCCATTTTATACAAGAGAAATCAAGAACTCCCCAGCGATGGTGCAGCTGGTTAGAAGAAAGAATTAGAAGAAAGACAACGTGGTTGCAGTGTAGACACCATTCTCTTAGTGTGATACAGTGCTAATCCTCCTAGGATAACAGTGAAATAATTTATAGAAGGTCCAGGCAAATTGCACTTACATATTCTTTTTTTCTCTAATTTAATGATGTAAATTAAACAAGATTATCCAGCATTTTTTAATATAGTTGTATTCTGTTACTTAGCTCATATCATGAAATCACATATTTATTAAAATATTAATTGAATCTAGCTAAATGCATTTTAAATATAAGTAGTTTCCAGAGAAACATTTCACTTTTTCTGTTCAGATGCTCCCTTCAGAATTAGACAATGTGTATTTCCTGAGATAAGAAAAGCTTTATAATTCTCCACTGCAGTAATTTTCTCCCGGGCCGCAACTATGTCCAGTCTAAGAAGAGTAGTTAAAGCAAATTAGTCATTCTAAGTATGACTTACTTTCCTTCCAGCATTTGAAAGGTATGTAGAATCACCTAGAAAGAGGGTAATTAAGAGAATTTCCAAATTCTCTATCTACCATATTCCTAATTGATTCATATTTCTTCTTCTTCATTTTTCTACTAATATTCCACTTTATTTTTTCATTCATGAATATAGAAATTCCCTCTGCTTAAATGATTTCAGATGTTTGCTCAGAGCTAAATAATGTATATGTATTGTTGTCTATTTTCTTGAAAATTTGACACCCACAGCAAAAGTTATTCTTGCAATGCATATTATATCAAACAAATTAAAGAAAAATCGATATGATGAATTAATTATAATAAATGGCTTCACACTTTGTATAGTATAATTATTTCAGATTAAATAAATTATAAGTTGGGTACATTGGTTTTCAGTTGAGCAAGAATATTCTTTTCTTTTTCAGTCAGGCAACTAATGTATCATAACTGAAAAATGTAATAACATAAACGTTTCAATTTCCAAACAGAGGAAAGGGGAATGTAAAATTTGCCTATAAGTCAAATGGTCATTCAGATTCCAAGCAAATTTCGAATAATACACATTGTATCAGTGTTGGAAATAATGCCATATCTCTTTCTCTCTGAGGAGTAGAGTGGATACAAACAGAGCTACCATAATTTTGCCACAATTTTTTTTATCCTTCCATTTTGATTCTTTAGCTCTTTCCTGTGGAAAACCAGTGATCAATGGGGTCATTTTATTACATCACATCAAGTGGAACAGTTGCTTTACTGCCAATAGTGATGGCTAATATATTTGACTTCATGGATCCCATGTTCAATAAAATAATATGTCTGCAATAACATTAAATGTAGGAAGTGATATTAACCTAACTTTTTAAAGACAAATAACAATGTATGCTGTGTAAACTGCTTAGAAGCATGAACCACTTCCTTGGTAATAACATACTCAGTAAGAATTACCATGGACTTTATCTCCTACCAATGTACTGTCTTCCTCCCAAGTCTCTTTCTGGATACAATTTTTTATATTTTTAAAGGAGGCCTGATAGTGACTGAGAGGAAGGCAGGCCCCATAGCAATTGGAACACTAATGCTGTCATTTCCTAGCAACTTGCTTAATAAACTAAGCAAGTTACTGGACTTTCTTAAGCTTCCATTTTTTACCTATTAAATGAAGAAAATATACCTATTACATAGGATTACAAATGTTATTAAAATAAATAGCACTGGCAATATGACACACAATAAACATTCAGTAAATGCTAACAATCTTCATTGGTGTTTCTGTTTCTGTTGCCTAAGAGATTATTTTTCACAGTGCCCTGATCACTGATGATGTTCAGCCATTCTTCAAGTAGGCTTAATCTTTATAAACTACACATGCTCTTTCACTGTCTTTGGTCATGCCTTCTAAGCAATGTTTTCTTTTCTGCCTAGACTTTTAGTTATCAATGATTCTTATTCAGATGCCCCACATTTTTTTAATTAAATGCCCCCTCACTAGGTCCATTTATTTAGATTCCATATTTCTTTTATACATGAACATAAGAATGTACTGTATTCTGAAATAAACTCTGAAGTATAATAATTGTACTAATGTATAATTTAATATTGTTACCCATTGAGTAATACAGGTGGAAATATACATGATTATGAAAGCTTTCTTATACTAAATCTCCTTTGAGGAATCTGAAATGAATGAAAGAATGTTGGTTTCAATTAGAAACCCCTGCAGAAACACTGGAAATCCTTCCTCAATTACAGTCATTTCTACATTCACATTGAACTGAAAAATAAGAGTAGCTCCTTGTGGATTTCTAAGACTTGTTGGTCACATCATTTTTGCAAAAGTGTTGATGATGTGAAATATTAGTAACAACTACAGTCCCTAAAACTTAACCAAATATTTGGGGACCTAGTTCATTTTGTATTGCAAATAGTCTGAAATTTCCAACAAAAATTCTGTCTAAAATATCTGATGATCAGCTTCAATAAACTTCTTAAATGAAACTATGCACAATTGGACAGTGAAGCAAGTTAAATAAAACCTTATTGTGGGGGATTCTGAGGCACTGATATGTATCAAAAATATCTTCTTATATCAGGAAAAATATGATTTAATATTTGCATTAAAACTACTTTTCATCTAACTTATAGATGCTTTATCTTGTTAGATATGATTGGATCTTCTTTAATTTTTTAATATTAAGAAAGGAATTAGTAATAAACACTTATTCTTATTTATATCTGTCTATCTATCCATCAACTGCAGAGCATGTAAGGTTAATAGCAAAGTCCCTGTCTAATCAGAAGTTGATCTAGTGACTAATACATTGCATCGAACTGACAAGTAGAGCATAGAGGAAGTTAATATAGACAACCGATAGGAAGAATAGATTGTTTTACCCCTTGAATCTTCTGAATATGAGAAAGATCTTTGCCCCCAATTTAAAACCAAACCAACTCAGAGCTTTCCACAACAAGGTCAGCCAATATTGAGAGAACATGGCTTGTCATCAACATATTGTGTATCTCTTCCAAACTGGTCTGTGCATTCACCCTCCTGCACCTCCATTACATTATATCGATATCTTCCTTTTCTATTTCATTTTCTTGCCCTCTCTACTTCCACTCACTTGGTTAATGTTTCCTTAATTATTTAAATTGTGAACCACTGTGAACACATATAGCCTAGCCACAGGAAGGGATAAAAATATACTTTATTCCAGTGAATGGAAATAAGTGGAATGGAAAATAGCAATAATAGTATATCACAAAATATGCAGATTTTGCACTATTCACAGAAGAGAGATAATTATTTGTCCAGTTTAAATGAAGTTGTAGCCACTCCACTTTTTTATTACTGAATTTAATTTTTAACTAGTAAAGTATAAAAAGATATAAAAGACTTCTTTTAGCTGAAATTCAATTAAGTCTCATTTCAATCAAAGAGAGCTCTACACATTTTTGAACGAATAACAGTTTAATGTTTTTAATCTGAAGTATCCTCTGTTATTTGAAAATTTTATTGTTAGGAAACATAACAAGAATTCCTAGAGTAGTGTAAGACATTTTTAATTTAATTCAGCTTTTCTAATACAATGCAATATATTCTTATCAAAATTGTCTCACAGTTCAGATCCCTGATTAGGAATATAATGAAAGCCAGAGAGCTTTAAACAAGAATTTGCTTTCTTTCAGAGGGCATAGGATACATCAAAAATTGCCTCACATTCAAATTGAAAAAGAGGAAGTTAAATTATCTCTGTTCACTGATGATATAATCTTATACCTATAAAACCCCAAGCCTCCTCCAAAAGATTTTCAGATTTGCTAAATGACTTCAGTAAACTCTCAAGATACAAAATCAACATACAATAATCAGTAGCATTTCTATATAGCAATAACAATCAAGCGGAAAAAATCAAATCAAGAACTCAATCCCATTTGCAAAGGTCAACAAATTTTTTTTTTTTTCAAGATGAAGTCTCACTCTGTCACCCAGTCTGCAGTGCAGTGGCGTCATCTCGACTAACTGCTACCTCCACCTCCCTGGTTCAAGCAATTCCCCTGCCTCTGCCTCCCGAGTAGCTGGGATTACAGGCACATGCCACCACGCCTGGCTAAATTTTGTATTTTCAGTAGAGATTGGGTTTCACCATGTTGGCAAGACTGGTCTCGAACTCCTGACCTCAGGCAATCCATCCACTTTGGCCTCCCAAAGTGCTGGGATTACAGGCGTGAGCCACCACGCCTGGCAAAATTTTTTTTTTTAATACCTAGGAATACATTTAATTCAGAAACTGCAATATCTCTGCAAGGAGAACTGCAAAACACTGATTAAGGAAATCATAGGTGAAACAAACAAATGAAAAAAACACCCAATGTTCATGGATCAGAATTACTATTGTTAAAATGACCAGGCATCCCAAAGCAATCTACAAATTCAGTTCAATTCCTATCAAAATAACAATGCCATGTTTTACAAAAACTGAAGAAACAATCCTAAAATTCATATGGAATAAAATAGAGCCCAAATAGCCAAAGCAATCCTGAGCAAAATAAACAAAGCTGGAGGTATCACATTACCTGACTTCAAATTATAATACAAAGCTACAATAACCAAAATGGAATGGTACTGGCTTAAAAATAAACACATAGAACAACAGAACAGAATAAAGAACCCAGAAATAAAGCTACATATATAAATCAAATACATCTTTGACAAAGTTGACAAAAATATACACTGAGAATGGACACCGTATTCAATAAATGGTGCTGGGGAGATTGGAGAGTCATGTGCAGAGGAATGAAATCAGATCCCTATCTCTCACCATACATGCGAATTAACTCAAGATGGATTAAGCACTTAAATGTGAGAGCTGAAACTATAAAAACCTACAAGTAAATCTAGGAAAAACTCTCCTGGATGTTGGCCTAGCCAAAAAAAATTACTACTAAGTTTATGACTAAATTGACTAAGTCCTCAAAAGGAAATGCAACAAAAACAAAAATAAACAAATGAGACTTAATTAAATGAAAAATATTCTATACAGCAAAAGAATCAATAGAGTAAACAGAAAACCTATGGAATGAGAGAAAATATTTTCAAATTATTCATCCAAGAGGGAATCAATATCCAGAATATGCAAGGAACTAAAATAACTAATCAGAAAACAAAACAAACAATTCCATTAAAAAAGGCAAAATACATGAATAAACATTTCCCGAAAGAAGATGTACAAATGGCCAACTGATACATGAAAAGAATGCTCAGCATCACTAATCATCAGAGAAATGCAAATTAAAACCACACTGAGATACTATCTCACATCAGTCAGAATGGCAATTATTAAAAAGCCAGAAAAAAAAGATGTCAGTGACAATGAGGATAGAAGAGAATGTTTACACACTGTTGGCAGGAATGTAAACTAATATAACATCTATGGAAAAATGTATGGAGATTTCTCAAACAACTAAATAGAATTGCCCTGTGATTCAGCAATTCCACTACTGGGTATGTATACAAGGAAAAAACAAACATTTTTTCAAAAAGACATCTGTACTCATATATTCATCACAGCACTATTTACCATAGCAAAGTCATGAAATCAACTTAGGTGTCCATCGATGGATGATTGGTTCTAAAAAATATGATATATATAGACCATGGAATACTACTTAGCCATAAAAAAAGAAACATCATTTGCAGCAACATGGAGAGAAATAGAGGCCATCATCCTAAATGAAATGACTCAGAAATGACAAAGTCAAAAACCACATGTTATGACTTATAAGTGGGAGCTAAACAATGGGTATACACAGAGTGGAATAACAGACATGGGATACTCCAAAAGGTGAGAAGATAGGAGGGGGGTAAAGGATGAAATACTACCTGTTGGGTGCAATGCACTCTTTTTGGATGATGAGTACACTAAAAGCCCAGACGTCAACACTATACAATATATCCATGTAACACAACTGCCCTTGTACCCCAAAATCTATAAAAATAAAAATTTTAAAAAAGAAACTGCCTGAAAGGCAAAACAAATATTCTTGTCATTCTTGTCAGAAATGGGAAAAGTAGCTGACTTGGAAATGTTTCTATCATTAGAAAAAAATACAGGACTTTATGAAAATTATTTATCCTTTTTTTTGTGATGGCTCTTGAGATACACCACCATTCAAATTCCGCATATGACATTTACTACCTCTAGGATATTGCTATGTGTTGTAATTACTATAAATTTTCTTACCGTAAAATGGATAAAATAAATAATGTATTGTTTTAAAAGTTGTAAAACTCAGTGAGATAATAAGTCTTTCGTACAGAGGCTAGTACATAATACACAATCAGTGAAAGGTAGTCCATTATTATGAAGGATATAGAAAGAGTTTTTTTTTATTTTTGAGATGGGCATTAAGGAAGAAATGACCTTTTCCTATATAAATATGGCTTATGTTTTCCAAAATTTGAGCAGGGTCCCATATAAAAACTAACTTGCTAAACAATATTAATCAGCATAAATATAAGAAGAAAAGTGGGGATGGGGGAGAATGAGAGAGACATATATAGAGAGAAAGAGAGAACATGGAGACCAAAATAAAATTGAGTAAGCCAGTAATGAGCCAGTAATGATAAATGGCCAACAAAAGATCTTGGCTTAGAGATAAATTTATGGTTATTTTAGTGGAAAGACATTTTGTTTGCCAAATAATTATAAATTTATTTTCCCCTTGGATTACAAAATTTGTTAATTTTCTGCTTAAAAGAATCAGAATATTAATACGAAATGCATGCTTTGAGGATTAACTACCAAAGTCGCTACTCATTATTGAAATTAATCAACTGCTATGGGACTATGAAGATTTCTGTTATCAGAAAACATTAGCTTTAAAGGATAAACTGTTAAGAAGTTTATGATGACTATTATTTATTAAAGAGTACTTACAGTATTGTGAAAGTTTGCTTTTAAGCAAAGCATTTTAACAAGAAATTTACTTCATTACCATAAATATCAAGTCGTTGGTCAATTTTTTAAAACTATTGACCTTCTGGTTAATATGTATATTTGCAAATTCCATAAATATTCAAAACAACTCCCAGGCTTTCCATTTGCCAATATTCTTTGACTGTATTAATCATTATAAAACTTATTTCTTGTCTTAGCTTAGAAAATTTTATTCCGGGAACAACACCTGTTTGATGATCATTGTTTTTATGCATAAAGAAATTACCCATTGAAATTTCATTTTTACTTAAGCAAAGATCATTCTATGACATTATGGATTCATGTAAGAAGAACTATTAACTTTAACTATTGTGACACACTACCTCACAGGATGGATACTTACATATTATAGATACATTTAATTTTAAACATACTTAAAATTATTATTCTTGGCAATTAAATGTATATCTTATAAACAAGTTAAACTATTGCATGTATTGTATACATATAAAAATTTATGAATGTCTCTAATGTTCTACATTAGGATTAAAATATAGTTTTATTTATTTAAAATTTGTGAGCAAAAGTGGTGAAATATTTCTTGGCATTTTTTGTTTATTTGTACCTTTGGATTTAAATGGCAAGACATTTAAAGTTTATGTTTTCATTTTGTTGGTTTTCATTGTATGTTTTCTCCAATGGTTTTTAGAATAACCAATGGCAGAGTTGAAGGGAAATAAGAAATAGAGAAGGAAACAAAAATAAAACAAAAGAAACCTTTCATCATATATGAAACAATATAAATGTTACAGTTTTCAAACACAAATTCTGTAAGAGAATCTGGATCTAGGTGAGAATGCTATTTGAAGGCTAAACACGTTCCACTTTAGACCTGGAGCATGCTATATATTTCCTCCAAAGTAAGTTTTACCGAGAAAGACATAACCATCAATCTTTGAATAAAATAATACAATTTAGAGGCATTAATTGGGCACATGAAGGAGAACTAGTTTAAGAGGAGGTGACAAGTTAGAGACTCTAGAGCAGAGGTAGAATTAGAGAGGAGGGAAATAGACACGAGCAGCACAATTCTAATGTTTATTATCTGTGGTTCTCAAATTTTAACATGCATCAAATTATGCTTATACCTGTAGAATTTATTGAAACACAGATTTCTGAGTCCCAAACACAACATTGCTGATTTAGTAGGTGCAAGGTGGGGCTCACAAATGTGCATTTTAAAGAAGTTTCTAGTTAATGAAGATATGGCTGGTTCAGGGCCACAACTGAAGAAACACAGGTCCCTATAACCTAACTTACCGGCACAGGAGTAACTCAACCATTAAAGAAATAGAGGAAAAGGAGACAGAAAATTTTGCTGTGAGCCATATAGACATGAAAGTGAAAGCTAGGGGGAAATCCAAGTGGGGAGGCAGGTTGACATAGCCCAGACTCTGAACCCTGTATCCCCTCACCAGGCAGAAACACACACACACACACACACACACGCACGTGCACACGCTACAACATACACACTACAGCACACACACACACACACGCTACAATTATTTAGAAAATAATGTGAAAAGTCATTTTCAAAGGAAGATCAGAAAGAATCCCACAGTGGTCCTAGTCAGAAAAACAGCCAAAAATATAAAAAGAAGCTTAAACAGAAAAGGAACTAAAAAATAAAAATAAAAATGCAGTTTAAGAAAAATATGACATTTGTAAACAGCTTTTCATGTCCTGAAATATATTACACACAATATCAACTTTTAATTTTGCAATGTCAAAGATATATGCACAAGAAGAAATGAGAAGTTTCAAAACAGAGAGGAAAATGTTATTAGGCCAAGATGATGAAAAAATAAGATGAAGGAATAATTGGAAAAAGAAGTAAATGTTATAAACATAGAGATAATTGAATATTTAAAATTAATAAGTACAATAAATGATATGAAAATATAGTTAAATAAGTGCTAATTAGGCCTAATGAAAATACATACAGAAGAAACAGAAAGTATAAGAATAACAGATACATATAGAAGAGAAACATAAGACTCAAAGTAGACAACACTTGGTTACTAATAAACATAAAAATGAAAAAAAAACCTCAAATATATTTAAAAACCTTTCTGACACTAAAGAAATAAAAACATGCTAAAAAGTGATGCCATGTACAGATAATATTTTGAAAGGATTAAAGACCCAAATGTGAAAACAAAACCTTAAAATTATTGGAAAAATAATTTGAGAATATACTTCGAAACTTGGGTAAACAGAAAGATTTTTAAAATAGGCCCCAAAGGTTTAAATCCTATTGAAAAGAGGGTATAGATTAAGCAATACAAAATTAAAACTTCTGAACATGGAAGAATGTTTGTGTTGTATGAGAGTTTGAATCAGGTTGAAGCTCTCTCAACAAGGAAAAGGCTAAGATATATACGTATATTTGTTTTTGGTTTCTGAAGCAAAAAATATTTTCCCCTTGGTTTCAGTGTTGCTATAATATTTTAATAATATTTTAAAATACTTTACATATTATTTCTATATTGTTGAGAAACTTTTAAATAAAACCATCCCTGGATATTTACCAAAATTGTTATTCAGCTTTACTTGTGTTAAGATCAAGTAAAATTATATTCAATATTTTTACAATGACAGATAGTATGATTCATTTAATATAAAAATTACTCATACACTATCTAAATATATAACATTGTGCTTCTATAAGGCTTGCATTATTAGAGTATTATTCTGCCATTAAAATTATATTTTCTAGATGATTAAAATAAAATGTTTGAATGCACACTAAAGCTTCAACTATGTATTATAAAATCGATGATATACATATGAAAATATTAGAATAAATAGCTAAAATATACGTGGTCATTATCTGTTTGGTTGAGTTATAAGTAATAGTATTTTCTCTAATGTCTAAACTATTATAGGCCTAATGACGGTGTCATCTTATATTTTCTATGAATGTGTTATACCAAAAACTTTATGAAGGTGAGTTTTACAAATGGGAAACCATGCTGTGAATTATGTGAACCTGCTCTCCAGGAGGCAAATGAATAGACTGTAGAAAGTGGTCTATAGGTCGCCACCAGTCAAGAATACTCTAGTGAGCCTAATGTATTTAACACCTAGCTGTGTTCTGAGTAGTGTTCAAACAGATTCTGTCCTTTGCATGCCAGATATTAAAAAATGTATATTTTGGTGGGAAACAGCTGGTTGAGGTTAAGAACCAAAACTGAAATCAACAACTTACCTTCAGTGTGGTGGTTAATATTGAGCGTCAACTTGATTGGATTGAAGGATACAAAGTATTGTTCCTGGGTGTGTCTGTGAAAGTGTTGCCAAAGGAGACTAAAATTTGAGTCAGTGGACTGGAAAATGCAGACCCACCTTCAATCTGGGTGGCCACAATCTAATCAGCTGCCAGCACGGCCAGAATAAAATCTGCCAGAAGAACATGAGAAGATTAAACTGATTTAGTCTTCTTGCCTACATCTTTCACCCAAGCTGAATACTTCCTGCTCTCGAACATCAGACTCCAAGTTTTTTTCAGCTTTGGTACTTGGACTGACTTCCTTGACCCTCAGCTTGCAGATGGCATATTGTGTGACCTCACCTTGTGATTGTGTCAGTCAATACTCCTTAATAAACTCCCCTTTATATAGACATCTATCCTATTAGTTCTGTCCTTCTAGAGAACCCTGACTAATACATTCAGCAATACTACATTTTTAATTTGTAGTGTATTAGTTTATTGAAGTTTTCTCCTAGTTATGAAATGGTAATGATGGGAATATTTGCTTCATGAGGTTGCTCTGATAATTAAATGAGATCACACAGGCAAATGTGTTTGGTATAAAATAAGCACTCAATATATGCTGTACATTTTTTTAATAAATCCAATAGTAATTGTAAAAAAAAAAAAAAAAGAAAATAAGAACTGAAGAGCAACATTTTGCCCCCCAGGGGCCATGAGCACAGCAAGACTTGGGTTAGAGGGCATTACCTAGAGAAGAAAAAACAGTGGAAGAGACATCATTTGGGTGGGCTCCACAATGGTGAACTTACAAAGAGAAGCTTATCCTTCTGGAAAAATAAAAGGCAATGTCACCATCTGCCTGATGTCTACCATGTACCGATCTAAATTCTATATCCATGATAATTTGCTGTGCATCTTTAGACAGGTTCCTATGTTTTCCAGTATGTTCCATGTACCCATATTAGCTCCTATAAATTAAGGTAATTAACCACATATCTGTGTTCAAAATATAGCCCACAGTGCCGTCTCACAGTTATTGAGATATCATTTACTGTCGAACATTTCTCTGTATTTTACTTCAATATTTTTCATTCTTGTTCCTGGTACTTTTGCACTAAGGCATCTGGAATGGTTTTAAAATTTAAGATTCGTGGCTGGGGTAACCCTTTTGTAAACTACTGAAAACTTTTGAGGATAAACCTCAGAATCTGATGCCTCTAATTTTCTATTCACAGAAAACAAAATACTAAGTCATAATAGGCTTTATATTTTTTTCTTTAACCCTTAATCAGTAATTTTCAAACAGTCACTTGGGGTTATTTGATTCTGTTTATAAGAAATCTCAATTTTAATAATGATCTTGGGTAAAACTGATGGAGAGCTATATGTATCATACTTGGAAGAAATGCCTTAATATTATGATTTTATACATTAAGCACCTGATAATACACCAACCTGAATGGTTATTTAAAAGCTTTGCATGCATACATCTTTTACGTTTTTTTAAACTAAAATATAAGCTTCTGGAATGCTGGGTTACAGTTTCAAGCAAGCAGTTTTTGTATTATTAGTACAGATCAGTAAAATACAATTCATACAAAGAATTACATGAAAGTTGTAACTGATAAATGTTTTCAAAATTGCTAGCTGGCCTAGAGAATAGGAAACTGCTCTGTTCCCAAGATTCTTATCTGATACATTTCTGAACATACAGTGGGTATAATACAACTTCTCCAGGTTGAATATCCCAGTCTAAAACCTGCAGCAAACAATATATATAATAAATAAGGATTTATGTGTGTACTCTACAGATGTGAAGTTAACATCGAGTATGTAAAAACAGACAAATAGAAAGCAAAAATTGTGTAGGTTGGAATTGTGTAGGTAGAAAAACAGATGGCTACTAATAATTATTCTGTGGGTGACTTTGATGATGTTATCTTGCATAATAAATAATACAGTTATTTGCTATTCTTAGATGGTTTCAAATGTTCTTCCACCTGCCTCAGAAGCTTGATACTGTGCATTTAGTGATTCACTAATGCATGTCTGTATATATCAAACAGAAAGTTGCACCTCATATGCATAAAACACAGTCTGAACACATTGAGGAGAATTTTAACAAATTGGAAGGGCTTTTTGTCACACATTTTAAGTTTTGCTAAAAGAAAAATGACTCATCTGACATTATTTCCCTGATATTTATTTTGTTTTACTTATTTAAAACAAAATCACTCAAAGCATGCTAGGACTGTTCATATGTAATACATTTTATGGATTTGTCTGAAATTAAAATACCACATTTTATTGGAATGACAACTGAGTGACAAGTGCTAAGTGTCTTTAGGGGGAAATTGTTTAATAAAAACATATTTTGAAATTTCGTGGTGAATTGATCTTTATTTCTAACACTAAAATTTTTATAGGAATGAAAGATGAATGAGATGGTGATAAAGGCAAATAGTTTTTATGATTTTATGGGATTTTGTCTTGTTTTGTACGATGTTTGACAAATAGCGACATCTGTCTAAAATCTGTCAATATGATGGATGGGAAGCATAAATCACATTATCTTATGTCAACATTCCTCTCAGAACAATATTTTAACACAAATTCACTATTATGTCATGAGTGTGACCCTTGGGAATAAAGAAAGAACAAATAACATTCAGCTGAATCTTATATACATAGTTATTTTTGACCTCTTCTGACTTAGGAAACCAAAACTTTCCAAATAAAAAATTCAGATATAAAATATATTCCATATGGTTTGGCAGCTGTTAATATGATATTGGAATAAAATTGTTACACATATGTGCTATATCCGCAATGGCATTTCTAGTGAAATCATGCTTTGAAGGTAATGCAGTTAAAACATTCAATGCCCGAATTTGGATTTGTTAACTAAAATTTACTTGTATGCATTTATAAAAACAAAGTTGTTGTTGTTGTTGTTCGTTCTTGAGATGGAGTCTTGCACCGTCATTGAGGCTGGAGTGCAGAGGCGAAATCTCAGCTCACTGCAACCTCAACCTCCAGGGTTCAAGTGATTCTCCTGCTTCTGCCTCTTGAGTAGCTGGGATTACATGCAGAAGCCACCACACCCCACCATAATTTTTTATGTTTTTAGCAGAGACGGGGTTTCACTGTGTTGGCCAGGCTGGTCTCAAACTCCTGACTTCAGGAGATCTGCCCTTCTTGACCTCCCAAAGTGCTGGGATTACAGGCATGAGCCACAGCGCCCAGCCAAGATTATTTACCTCTTTGGTTAAATTTATTCATTGTTATTTTATTTATTTTTAGCTACTGTAAATGCAATTGCCTTCTTGATTTCTTTCTTGTCTAGATCATTATTCATACATAGAAACATTATTAATTTTGTATGTTGCTTTTATATCCTACAACTTAATTCATTAGAGATTTTTGATGGAGTCTTTAGCTTTTTCTAGATATAAAACCATACCATCAGCAAAGTGAGACAATTTCACTTCCTGTTTTCCAATCTGAATGTCTTTTACTTCTTTTTCTTGCCTGATTGCTCTGGCTAGGACTTCCAGAACTATGCTGAATAGGAGTGGTGAAAATGGGTATGCTTGAGTTGTTCCAGTTCTTAGAGAAAAGACTTTCCACTTTTCCCCATTTAGTATAACGTTAGCTGTGGGTTTATCATAAAAGGCCTTTATTATTTTGAGGCATGTTTCTTGCATTTCTAATTTGTTGAGTTTTTATCATGAAAGGATATTGAATTCTATCAAATTCTTTCTCTGAGTCTTTTTGGAGGATCACATGATTTTTGTTCTTCATTCAGTTGATGGTGGTATAAGTCCCACTAGATTGTGGTGTATTATCTTTTTGATGTGCTGCTGGATTTGGCTTGCTAGGACTTTGTCGAAGATTTTTACATCTATATACGTCAGAGATATTGGCCAGAAGGTTTCTTCTTTTGTTGTGTCCTTGTCCGGTTTTTGTATTGGAGTGATGCCATATGCCATACTCTCTAATTGACAATTGCTTTAAATCATTTTGCATGATAAAGTGATTAAGTTCAGGCTTCCAAATAGTGAGATCAAGGGAATTATTTAATCTCTCTGCACTGCAAATTCCTTGTCTTCAAAGTAGGAGAATAAAAAGACCTACTTCGTCGTGTTCATAGGGACTAGATAAGAGTAGCCACATTAAAGTGTTGGTAGTAACTAGGCTGATGCCTTGAATGTTTGGAAGTTTAATAAATCTTTTTGAATAAGTGAACAAAGAGAAAAGTGGTGTATCTAAACTGCTATTTTATGATGTCACCTTCATATTCATTATCAGTTTTTAGTTTATGAAAAGACTGAACTCAGTTTTTTCACTACTTTGAATATATCGCTTGAATTTTCTCCCTTTACAAAACAAATAAAAAGTACTTAAACAACTAAGACGAACTCAAACTATATTTTATTTTTTGTCTAATGGGGTTTCTTCCTATTGCTTCTAAGTCTCTTCCAGTTATCCTGAAGCAGAGATTAGACATGGCATGCTGCTCTAATTGCTGTTTTGTTTAAAGGAAATTAGCCTCAACTCTCAGGGCACAAAATGAAGTGATATTCTGATAGATAGTTTTAACCACAATATGATAAATAGAACCACCACAAACACTAATTTAAGCACTGAAGCATTATTATTGTTAATGTCTTTGTCTTTTGCTTTTGTTTGTTCACTACTAAATCATCTGGTTTAAATTGCATTTGCCAAAAAGGAAACTAAAAGCTCGCTCCATTTAGCACTGTGCGGTTTTGATGGCATTCTGCCTAACCATTTATGCAAAGAAGATAACTTGGTAGTCAGTAGATATGGTCACACCAAATAATTTAGACACTCGACACTGTTTTATGTCACAGCACTTTTCTATGTATTTAACCTTGATAATTATTCAAGCTGTATACTGAAGCTAGCTACACATGCAAGTCCACTTGAAGAAAATGATAATTTGATTACATTTAGTGATCTGGTAACTAACCTAGAAATAAAGTATAGTTTAGGTTCAACTTAGTTATGTAAACTTTATTTCACTTTTTTCTTTCAACCCTGATAGATATTTCTATTCTCTGTCACAGTATTCAACTCTAAATTGTAACATAAGAAAGGTTATCAAAATTATGTAAAGATTAGTTTATGTAGTGTAAATCTTGATTTGAGAATAGCTCCAATAGCTCTCATATCTTTGCCTAAGAATGACAAGTGACTCAGATTAACTACCAGGCCAATCTGGATTTCCCAAAACAAAACATATTTCAGGTCAGGTAGGACAAGCCTCTATGATGGATTGGCTATTACTCTGAGATGAATGCAGTTACGGTTTCAAGTGAGTCTAGATGTTCCCTTACTGTCCTTATTGCAATTCTCAATAAGGTGACAACCACTTACTGAACCATAAAGGTGACAATAACCTTAGATAAAAAAGAAAAATTGTAAGATATTGGGAAGATGATAATATAATGGAGAAAATTGAATAATCTTGTTTAACCAATTTATTCCAAAGATAAATAAGAGTTAGCAAAAATTTGAATTTAATTTATAGAAATATGAGATCAACATCTTCTTTCAAAATAGTCTTCTTAGGCATTACAAGTATATAACGAGTGATATACATGAATATGGAAATGCAATCTAGTAATAATTATGAAGAATATCAAAGGTGGATGGCCGCTTTTCACTATGTACAAAGCAATTCGAAAAGAAAACTGTATTTAAGTAAAGGAAATGTTAACATCATTATTTATGTCCTCATCCCAATTTCTTTTTAGCCTCACCCCCTTCCTACAATTAGGAACATGCATTAAAGGAAAGTTATGATAAGAATTATAATATTATTTATGCAGGAATGAAATGAGGAAAAAGATAAACCTAACAACATGTTTTAAAAATAACTCAATTGTGAAGGGTAATATGACAAGCAGCCACATTGTGAGCTACTTGATATAGTGGATAGGCTTATCCAATGTCTCTATCCCCTCCCTGGGCATAATTTCCAAGAGAGTGATTGTTATAAAGAACTACCTGTGCCAACAACCACTGAATAAATAGTATGGGAAGCTTACTCACTATTATGGGAACCATCACCTGAGCCAGAAGCTTGAACCAAGATACTGCAACATACTAAATACATATCAGTACCTTTTAATGCCAGTTTTTACTGTAGAACTACAATACATTCCTCAACCAGGTAGAGAGTTTTAAAAGATGCCCCAACGTTGAGCTAACGCAACATTAAAATGCAAGTTCTTTTCTTTACTTCTGTTTCTTAGTGGCAAGAGAAAAATCAATTACCAGTGTGACATTATTGCCAATCTTCTAATGTTTAAAAAGCCATCATTAATTTTCTGGTGATAGTCATCTTATCCCACGGTGTGTCAGTGACAGTACCTCTGAGAAGTGACAGCGTGCTGGCAGTCCTCACAGCCCTTGTTCGCTCTCGGCGCCTCCTCTGCCTGGGCTCCCACTTTGGTGGCACTTGAGGAACGCTTCAGCCCACCACTGCACTGTGGGAGCCACTTTCTGGGCTGGCCAAGGCCGGAGCCGGCTCCCTCAGCTTGCGGAGAAGTGTGGAGGGAGAGGCGCGGCCGGGAACCCTGGCTGCGCGCGGTGCTTGCCGGCCAGCACGAGTTCCGGGTGGGTGTGGGCTTGGCGGGCCCCGCACTAGGAGCAGCTGACCGGCCCTGCCGGCCCAGACAATGAGGGGCTTAGCACCCTGGCCAGCGGCTGCAGAGGGCGTGCTGGGTCCCCCAGCAGTGCCGGCCCACCGACGCTGCGCTGGATATCTCGCCAGGCCTTAGCTGCCTCCCCGCGGGGCAGGGCTCGGGACCTGCAGCACCCCATGCCTGAGCCTTCCCCCCGCGCCCCCCCCGGCCCCCCCCCCGCCCCCCGTGGGCTCCTGTGCGGCCCAAGCCTCCCCGATGAGCGCCACCCCCTGCTCCAGGCGCCCAGTCCCATCGACCACCCAAGGGCTGAGGAGTGCGGGCACAAGGCGCGGGACTGGCAGGCAGCTCCACTTGCAGCCCCTGTGCGGGATCCACTGGGTGAAGCCCGCTGGGCTCCTGAGTCTGGTGGGGACGTGGAGAAACTTTGTGTCTAGCTCAGGGATTGTAAACGCACCAATCAGCGCCCTGTCAAAACAGACCACTCGGCTCTACCAATCAGCAGGATGTGGGTGGGGCCAGATAAAAGAATAAAACCAGGCTGCCCGAGCCCACAGTGACAAACCGCTGGGGTCCCCTTCCACGGTGTGGAAGCTTTGTTCTTTTGCTCTTTGCAATAAATCTTGCTGCTGCTCACTCTTTGGGTCCACACTGCCTTTATGAGCTGTAACACTCACCGCGAAGGTCTGCAGCTTCATTCCTGAAGCCAGCGAGACCACGAGCCCACCGGGAGGAACTAACAACTCCAGACGCACCGCCTTAAGAGCTGTAACACTCACCGCGAAGGTCTGCAGCTTCACTCCTGAGCCAACGAGACCACGAACCCACCAGAAGGAAGAAACTCTGAACACTTCTGAACATCAGAAGGAACAAACTCCGGACACGCCGCCTTTAAGAACTGTAACACTCACCGCGACGGTCCGCGGCTTCATTCCTGAAGTCAGTGAGACCAAGAACCCACCAATTCCGGACACACCTCCAGCATAAAACCTCAGGCAGCAATGCATGATCGGATTCATTGCTGTAAGTTGCGGTACCCTGAGAGGCATTTTCATTGTCCTCAAATTCAAAGAACAAAAATCTCAGGATAATACGTTATTTCCATTATGCATTTAAGATTGATGTAAGGATAGAAAGATTTTGAAAGAAAAATCTATCAGGTCTTTCCTTTAAACATGGGGGGTTTCTTGAATAAGAGCTAGTAACAATGTGAAGATAATTAATCAAGATCAGATATATGTGGACAGCTCATTGCTGACTTTCATGGCATATCTGGATTTAGAATAAAGATAAGCCCTATTAGAGAGAGAGGCATTTAAGGAGATGGCATTTCTTATAATTATGTGTAAGAGTAAAAATAGGATGTCAGGCAAAGCATAAGTAAAGTAGTCCTTTCAGCATAAAAGCTCGTTATAAGAAATTTCAAATAAATCACATCAGGACAGAGAATTCCTCTGATCCATATGACTTGAAGCCATTTTATCACCTTCTGAGTGGCAGAATCATGGTTACTCATCAATTTTTCCTTGTGGAGCTTACATTAACAATTTATTAAACATAGGCAAATTGATAGCCTTAAATTGTTGAGGGAAGAGTAACAACACTGTCATCCTTAAGGCACTGATGAAAACCAACTGCACCTAAAAAAGGGAACGAAAAACACTCTGCTCCTGGGGATGGAGCAGGCAAAAGTACCTGACCCTGAACTATACAAGAGGAAGAGCAAGGGCACTGAATAGCCCCCATCACCTCAGAGAAGACCATGACCAGTTATCCATGACTAAGGATAAATCAGAAGAGCAGGGAATATTCTCCATCACCTACTGCTAGGCTAGAGAACATTTCCAATCACCCACCACTAGGCCAGGCTAGCAACTGATGGAGTAGCAACTAAAATAAAAAAGCAGACTCTCAGAGGCACAGCACAAAGGGGAACTTAAAATTGAGAGGCTACAATAGAAATTGAAAGAAAATAAAAATAAATAAAGAAAAACACTCTGACAAACCAGCCTCTACCTTAAATACAGTGTTAATAAAGAACTTCAAAATTGTGCTGAATTTAGCTTAACCATATCAACCATAAATCTCAAACCCAGACCAACGCTTACTTAGATTAAGTCCCCTCATCTCCTATATTATAAGCCAAGCAGAGGGCACACTCACTCGTTGGCATGAAACTATTTACTTTAATTGCACCTGTAAAATTGCCCTCACTTTTGGCACATAAGGTACAGGCAAACACATCAGCTGGTTTCTATTCTCACTCATGGCAGAACAGAGAAACCCAGCAGCACTTCAGGCACCTCCCTACATTCTAAAGGATTGTGAGCAAGCGATATTTTGAACTGGAACATTGATCTTTGGCTTTTGTATAAATCTCTGGAACTAACTCTAAACACAATTTCACTAAAGATAAGGAATTACTGTTATGTATCTTTTTTGCTAAGCTGAAAAGTCACTAGGTGATTCATAGCATTCACAAAATAAGTTATTAAACATTGCTCAATGGAAGACTAATTATCCGTCCGACTTATATTCATATTTTTCATTTTACTTGAAGTGATTTTATTGCACATGTAGGATTTGAAGCCACAGTTCCTGCATGTGGCATTTGCAAGCTGTCTCTTTGTCTATATAACTGCAAATATTTAAGTTATTTTTAGATGTAAAGGGTAATCCAGAGACAATATTCCACAACAATAATCTTTAAATTTTTCTTAATAACAGTATTGAGCATGCTAAAGAGAAAGTACAGTAGCATCAGCTAATGAAAGGTAGATAGTAATAATCGGGTATAGAGTCAGGCTTCAGGAGACTGAAACTCTAGCAAATATCATAAGATGTAGATTACATAAATCCTAAAATGTAAAAAATCGTAAGTGAAAACCAAAAATATTCAAACCGTGTTCAGAAAGTAAAGAGGTATTTTTCAACTAGAAGTATCATAGAAATCTTCATGAAAGAAATGGTATTAGTCAAGAATATTAAGATGGATACAATTTGTACAATTAGGGAAGAAGAACTTCCCACTTGAAGGGAACGACATGGATAATCTAGTAAAGAAGGAAGAAAAAGCATAATTGTAAAATGTCAATTTGGTTGGGAATAATAATAGGGAATCATTGCTGTGGTTTTTGTGGAAGACAATGTAACCACTGTTTTTCCAAGGAGCAATCTAATGAGACAGACAAAAGTTGGAAGTTCTAGAATTGGTAAGGTAGGTACTAAAAGTATGTGTTTGAGAGAACTTCACCAAATTGACTCATTATTCTCTGAAAAACAAGATGCAATAATTTTTTTGCATAGAATTATAAAGGCTGATAGATTTTTACATTTGAAGACAGTGCAAGAGTTATGAAGCAACTGTTTTGGGGGATGCCAGCCATCATTTTGAGTTTAAGAAAGGGTTTTTTGAGAGGTAACAAGGGCCCAAATATTGTCAAAATACACTTGTCATTGAATCTTGGGAAACTTTGCTTTTTCTCCCCTCAGTGTCTAGTTTCCTAATACGTGAATGAAATACATCAGTAGGATTTTACCCAAAACAAATAACCCCACAGAAGTAAAAGTCCTCTGAAAGACAGTTAAGATGAAACAGATGCTGAGAATCTATGAAATGTGATAAGGGTAAACAAAGTAGAGTGGATGAGAGAGGGGAGAATTTTAAGCTGGAGGATTGTAGTTATAACTTCAGAGTTAAAACGCTTAGAGCTAGAGTAATTTTACACAATGCTGAGATCTAAAGATAGGTCTAACTATAAGGATTGTATTTCCAGTACCATAAAGATTAAAGATACTATAATTCAGGTGTACAAGGGCCTGGGGTTAAAGAATTGAGAAAATCATCAACACAGTAATTAAAATATTTAAATAGCATCAATGATAGGAATTAAAATCCCTAAAATATTGGCAGATGAAGTGAGAACTTTTCATCCAAGTGGTAGTAATAATTGAATACAATGGAAGGAGATGAGTAGATAACATCAATCTAGTTCTAAACATTGCTATAGAAGTGGTTGGTGTCAACTTCAAAAAAAAAGGTGGTGAAATATTGAAAGGGCTAATCATGATTTTTTGGAATCAGTAGAGAGCATTGAATTTGTCAACTCCTAACCTTCATCTTAAGAAATAGTGATAGGGCAGGAAAAATACCTTAACTATAGACTATAGAATCAGTAAGACAGAAATTAAATGATGAGACAATCATTAAAGCATGCTTGTTACTATCTAGTAGTTAAAGACACAATGAAGAATTCTGCCAAGTATAGAGTGTCTACATTGAAAAGTTTTGGCTCACTTATGACAAATACTTTGAAGGAAAGTTTAAGTGAAAAGGTACAGAATATTAAAATAAAAAATTTCATAAAACAATGAAAGAGGCTTCTTGAGCAAGATAAAGGAGTAATTTGGGAGAAAATGAGCAAAGCCCATTTTCAGTATGATAAGATTACTATATTTGCAGATAATAACAGATTGGACATCATATCTCATATATTTACCTTTGTAGTGCTGGCTTCATTGAATAATATCTGCATATGAATTTTGCAGTACTTTTGCCACCAACTATCACCTAGCCCTAGTGGATTCAACAAACTCTTTGAGGAGGTTCAAATAATTACGTAACAAGATTCAGAGAGTAGATAACTGACTTTTTTTCTACTTTGAGCATAAAGTGAGGCATCCAACATTCTCATTTTATAATCATGGCTGTTTTCTGGGAATGGTGATTTCTTAAACAGAATTACCAGGTAGAGCGTTGAAAGATTATACTGTACTACATAAAGAAAGAATATTTTTGGGGGGAAAAAAGGTGAATTGCATTATTTTTAAAAAATGATCTAAAAGAACTTTGTTAAAAGAAATAATAGTAATAATATTTATTGTTTATAGTACATGTAGAAGTTGAATAAGATCACAATGGGCAGAAAAAGGGGAATTATAAATATTCTGTTATAAGAAATCTTAATTTCTTGTGGAATTTACCTTTAAAGTCTTTGTAAATACATTTGTATAGACTACAGTCCGTATAAAGTATAGAAAGATAGTGTTAATAGAAAACTTGCAGTTAAAAATTGTAAACCAGCAAATTTTACCTTTCCATTGCATGACAAATGCAATAGAAGAGCTCCTGACTTCAGAAAGTTCAAATGAATCTAAATTCTAATGTGCAATTCTCTTTCAAAACATAATATCTATAGTAACATTTTATATGATTAAATATTACTATACATAAAATGGTTGAACCTCTAGTATAAATATATTTTATATGATTGTTATGGTTATTTCTTACATTGAATTTATAGAGGTTTATTTTTCTACTATTCATGAAGTTTTATTAACATACAGCTATGTCAAAGTAGTGGGAATAAATAATCTAAAAGTTCTTATCTGAAAGAAATTTTTCATCAAATTGTAGCCTTTTAACCTAGAGATAGCTGTTTAAGATCATGTTTTATAAGATACTAACAATAAAAGTCATCCATCTGTAGTATTAATTAATCAGTGCTATATGTTACAATAAATTGTACATAAAGTATGAGGAAAAATCTGGAAAATTAAATGCTAATGTGTTCCTAGATAAAATTCATGACATATATAATTATAGAAAAGTAAACATCAAATATAAAGTGTCATCACTGTTTTAATTACTATAAATATGTTCGTAATCACATGAATTTCTGAAATATGGACAGGGAAAGGTTTATAAAAATGCACTTGAAGAAACACATGAAATGTCATAATTTTTTGAAATTACTTAAAATTCAATAAAATATTTTTATTCCCTTAAAGACATACATAAAGTTATAACGCAGTATGGGCCAGTATAAAATAGTAGAACATAACAAAACATCATAGTTCATAGCCTTAAAATGAAAAATGTGTATTGATTCCCTGGCATAATCATAATTGCCTTTATACATTGTCTGAATCTTAGGGAGAACAGAGATGTTGCTTATGAAAATCCAATTAATGTTTATATGCACATTATATGTAGACACAATATATACCCATATGGACTGAACTGTAGAAGTTGTTCTATTATTAAATGCAAATCTATTGGTTATATAGATTATGTTGCAGTATAAAATCTACTGGAGCATTGCAACAATTCACTCAGGTGAAGACCTGGCCTTAGAACTAATCTTTGAAGTCAAAGATTTTCTTGACTACTGGGAAAGCTAGAAACTTCTCGAATCATAAGCAATGAGTTATTCTTTTTCATAATTCTTGAAGAAAATTAACAGCACTCCAAACTTTATGTAAAGTGTTCTATTATCATTAACAGAGCATAACACATAGCTATATTTAGCATATAGAGTTGAACAACTTTCTTCCTTCAACTGTATATTTACAATCACTGATAAATAACTACAATTTTTAAAAAAATGAATGCACATTATCACATTTGTTTTTAACCAAGAAAACATTTTTCCCCTCAAGATTCAGTTATCTATAGCAGAATTTGTGGCTTTTATTTTAAATACCTCTCTTCAGAAATAGGAAATACTTCACAGAGAAATTAAAAATCACGTTTTTTTTTTCTTTTTTTCACCACATATTTTTCTGTGTTAGAGAACAGATTGAAAAACAATTGTTCTTTTAAGCAGTATATGTAATAGAAAGCTGAGAGAACCAATGGAGGTGAAGTAGGCATTTTAACATGATACTTGTGCTAAATTATTGTAGTAATAAGAAGAAATAAAAATAAATAAATGCATTACTGAATAAAATAAAGGCCACTAGTCAGATGTGGTAAATATTAATTTGATTGTGATACTGAGATAGGAAAAGATAGAACCGTCAAGTAAAACTCAGAAGAATCAGAGATCTCACCCAGTGTAAATTTGCCCCAAAATTTTAGAAGCAGTTCAATGTACTAGTTCAGCCATAACTCTGTTGTATTTAGTATACTGAAATTATTTATATATTGAAATACATGTAAGGTAAGGACATATGAAGCAGAAGGTGTAACATCGTTTCTGCTGGTTACATCATTATTTTTCTTAGAAAATAATACACTTTTAGAATAATTTATAATTGTATATCATAATTAATAATAATATGGTTTTTAGCATCACACTTTAGTGATTTCAGTTATCTGCTAAGTGCTCTTTAGCAAATATACTTTAATTATATTTTGCATAGGTTTGTACATCCTTTTTAAAAAATTATTTTATTACAAATGTGATATGTTAGTTTTTTTATTTGAGATGTAGATCTTGTACAAACATCTACCAGTTAAGTTCCTTTGCACTGTGTCTGATATTTTGTATTTTCTAGAGACATATAATAAAATTTTTGTTCCTGGTTTCTTGTGAAGATTTAGATGTACATCTAATTGTATTTGGCCTTCTATTGCTTACACTTCCCTTTGTTCTTCATTCTCACTTCTGAAATTCACTATATATATATATATACACACACACACGTATATATACACATATACACACACGTATATATACACATATGCACACACGTATATATACACATATACACACACGTATATATACACATATACACACACGTATATATACACATATACACACACGTATATATACACATATATACACACGTATATGCACATATATACACACGTATATGCACATATATACACACGTATATACATATATACATATATACACACATATACACATATATACGTATATACACATATATACATATATACACATATATACGTATATACACATACATACATATATACACATATATACACATATATACATATATACACATATATATACATATATACACACATATATACATATATATACACACATGTATATATAGGCAGAGAGAGAAAGACCCAAATTAGTTTTATATATATATAGATATAGATATAGATATGTATAAACTTTTTATATCCTGATTCGAAGTTGGCCTTATTTTACTAATTTGGGTCACTGCTTCCATTTCTGTCAGTTTGAAATCACCTTTTCTTTTCCAGGTAAGGTTTCACTAAGCAGACACTGGCTTATTATGTCAACACTTTTTCATGTCAGTCTTTGCTCATGGACCCACCCTATTAAATGTCCTCAAAATTTATTTTATACTTTAAAGAAATATATTGCCATTGGCTGTATTCTACCAAGAATATATTCACTTTTATATCTGTGTTATTTTATCCAAAATTAAATAAATATGAAGTTGATTTATAAAATAAAATACATAAAACAAGTAATATATTAGAAGTAATATTATCAACTGAAACAACCATTTTTTCTCTTCATTTGTTTATTCAACAAGTATTTAATATTTGATTGCTTCTTAACATTGTGCTAGTTATGGGAAAAAATGAATCAGAAATGAAATGTGCCCCCTAGGATTTTGGTCTGATAGATGAGATTAAATATGTTCAAAAATATAAAATATAAAAGGCCCACATGATATGGGAGAATAATATATATTACCTATCAGAACAGATGAACAAAAATCAGAGATAAGTATAGTTTTTCATACCTAGTAGTTTGAGTGCATTGCTGAATTCCCTAGGTAGATTTTCAACAGGCAGTCAAATATCTCCCCCTTTTTTCAACAGGCAGTCAAATATCTCCCCCTTAAAAAACTTCTTTTACACCAATTGTCAAAATATCCAGGTTTTTCAAGGTCTAAAGAGGTTGAAGTTATTATTTGGTATGACAATAATCTTTGGGGTTTAAAAAGTTAACATAATTTATAACCAGTCAAATTATTATTTTGTAAAAATATCATATATTAGTCATGATTTAGTGACAAGACGAGGGGTATTTTAAGGAACTTGTAAAAGGAGGCAAGAAGTCATGGCAGTAATAGTAAGTGATGAATAGACTTAAGAATGTAGGGACAGTGGGCCTAATCATACATCTGACTTTGTCATATTGCTTTCTCTGTCGACAATTTTTTTGCAGACTCTTTTTCCTGTCAAGCTTCCTTAAGTGTTATTCTTCTCAGATTTCTTCCTTAACATTGCCCTTTATTGATGATGCTTTCTGCCTTTTGGGGTACTAGCCTACACCCATTATAGAGTCAGAATCTAAAATAATCCCTAAGATTCCAGTTTCCCGGTGTACCCTTTCCCTTGAGTGTGGGCCAGAGCTTTGAAATAATGAAATATCATTCTCCCATGATTATATTATGTAGACAAAGGGATTTTGAAGATATATTTAAGATTCCTCATTAGTTGACTTTGAGTTTATCAAAATAAAAAAAGTCTCTACTGCTGGCTTCGAAGAAACAAACTTTTCTGATGTAGAGTGAGTCACGTACTACAAAACGGTGAATGATCTTTGGGAACAGAGAACAGGCCCAGTTGACAACCAGCAAGGTAGTGGGTATCTCAATCCCACAACCTCAATGAACTAAATTCTACCAAAAAGTGAAATTGGAAGAGATCTCTGAGACTCAAATGAAATTGTAATCCTGGCCAACACCTTAATGTTAGCCTGGTGAAACCCTGACAGAAAACTCAGTTAGGCCCTACAAAGACTTCTGATCTGTAGAACTATGAGATAATAAATGAGTGTTCTCTTAAGCTGCCAAATTTTTGTTAATTTGTTATTCCACATAAAAATGTAATGCATGTGTCTTTAATTACAACAAAACCTGATGTATACAAGCATAGTAACTAGATATGTCTTCAGAGCTCCAGACCATATTAAATGTTTTCATATCATCTTTACATAGTTGGCCCAACGATGGCTGCAAACCAACATATCCCATACTGGACACATTATCTCATCCCCAGCTGCACTCTGCTCCTTGTTCCTCTATTCAAGCCAGAAATATGAAAGACATGGGAGTCATTCGTAATTCCACTCTGTCTCCCTCATTCTCTCTACCTAATCAGGCACTGAACTCTGTGCAATTCCCTACTTTAATATGTCTTAAATTCAATCACATAGTTCCATCCTACCACCATATCTTGTTTAGGCCGATATCTGATTTCAACGATAGCTACACAGACTCCTATATGCTTTTCCTCACCCCTTATTGGCCCCCGTCTGATACATTCTGCAAACTGCAGCTAGTGTAATCTTTGTATGATATAAGCATGAGTTCCTATTTGCTCTGTGATGCATCCCTTGTGCCCTCAGGAAGAAAACACAAATACAGTCATACACCACAAACAGCATTTTGGTCAACAGTGAACATCGTATAAAAAAAGTGGTCCTGTAAGATTATAATGGAGCTGCCACATACTCCATTCTTTCTGACTCCTTTAAACATGTAACATTTTGTTTTCTCTAACATACTCGTCTTATTTCATAACAAAGCAAAGTAGTTCTTGAATGACATTGTCATTAACTCATTTTATTATGAGTTTCTATTTTATTTATTATAAGAATAACTCTATTTTATTAAAAAACATTTCCATAAAATAACACTGCACTGACCAGTATCTAAAAACACTAACCATGCTGATTCCGATTTGCAGGGCTACATTTGGTCTTTCATTTTCTTTGAGTTTTTCTGTTTCCTGAATACTAACTGAGGACCCCATTTTCCCTTTGAATATAGACTACTATCTCGGCCCGGCTCTTTGAGGCAGAACCTAAAGATACAAACTGCTCAACACTCAGTACTAACGACACCTTCCAGAATCAAGCTAATCTCCTAAAAAAAGCTTGCTCTCAGGTGGTTGTATTCTGGAAAAATACCTGCTAGGCTATTTCATCATAATGCATCAATTATAATATAGTACCACGATGATCCCCTACATTTCTCAATGATGTTGGGTTTATGAATGTAAATGCTAGCTAATTTTATGTAATTAATGGAAAAATGTATAAATAAATGAATTGATGGTCTAAAACAAATCTAAGAAGTTATCAAAATTGGTAGAAAGTGGCCTTAACAGGGACTGGGGGAATTCGGCTTCAGTTCAAATTCTGCTAGCTACTAACACTCTAATATGTAAAATTTCTTAGTCTGTAACATGACAGCACTGGGGTAAATAATTTCTATGTATAATTAAGTTTTATTATTTACCTTTAATACACTAGGCCTAACAGTAAGTATGAGAGTAAAGAATTTTGACCATGGAGCTCTCCTGACAATCCACAATTCAAAGTATTTAATGAGCCACCTACTCCTCTGGTTACCCAAAGTTTATAGGCATACATTAGTTACTCCATTTTAAAGACAACATCTATTGAAAAATACCAAATCCTCACAACAGGAAAAATCTGTTCAATCCAATGGCTTTGGTTATTTGATTCATTACATTAGCTAGAAATGGCAGAATGCTCTTGTGTTCTAGGACATAATTCCTTCCCTTTGGGCTGAAAAAAATAATTCAAAGGATTATTCCACCACAGACAATTGTCCCTCAGAATAGAAAGTAGCATAACATGATATGCTCCAGTGATCAGGAAGAGATAGTATATTTCCCCCCATAATATTAACTCCAGCCAGTTTTTTCACAATCACAGTCAACAGTAATTGATTGTTTGCCATTTCTATGGCCAATGCTGTGAAAGGTGCTTAAGCCAAGAGGCACCTGCACACAGTGGTGAGCAATGAATAGCAATGAGAGGTTGCCTTGGGGTAGTATGAAAAAAAGGAGGATATATTTTCATACCAAAAAACTCCTACCAAAAATGATTAATTCTCACTTCTAAGAAATTTTATTTGGTGCTAAGCTCTGTAAACCATGGATTCCTCCCAAGAAAAATTTTCATCATTCAGTTAAATCACAGTTGAGAAATTTGCTTGGAATTTATCATTTAGATCACAGCTGAAAAAGTAAATAGATTTAAATCCTTTGAATCTGAGTGGAACTGCATATGCAAGAGTTCTTTTCTTGGCATCTTGCTTGCATTGAGTGTGCAGAAATGATTTGCTATCATTGTGCTCACCATCAGATATCTGCAAACACTGGTCCCTAACCAGAGGCTGCAGTAAATACACACCAAATGGGTACTTACATAAAAAGGAATCACTAGGACGAAGCTGGCATCAATAGATATTTTTAACTGTAAATGTTAACTGTATACAAACAATATTGCTCTAGCTTATGATTAACATTTTTATAAGATGTTTTCAGTTATATAAATTAAAAATTCCCAAGACTGTTTTCTTTTCTCCCGTGTGATATTAAATTATTACATTTTGAATGATTTACATCCTTATGACTGTAATGGTCTTTTAACCAAACGGCACATATTCACGAAATAAATTATGTCTCCCTTATACCAGAGTGTGTCCACTCTCATACTATCCATATAAATACTATTAAATAAAAACATTCTTTCTAAAAAAGGCATGAAGTACTCTGCATTTAATCTACAAGAATGTCTTTAAAATGAAGAAAGTGTTACTTCATTGCTGCTTATTATTGCCACAGTGTGAATGAACATTGTTGGAAACAGATATTTTGGCTTTTCTGCATGTATGACTTAGAATTATCATCTTTGTGATAGAATTTATGTTTAGTTAAAAATCATTTCAATACACATTAACAGCTGTCTAAACAATTAATCTATTAGTGTATAAATGATAAAGCTGACTGTATAATTATCATAGCATTAAAATACAGGATAGTGTTTTTGTAGTCTTCAACAGGGAAGGATAAAGCCACAAATGAAGATTGATATATTTAACTATATGAAAATGAGTAACTAGGCCGGACGCGGTGACTCACACTTGTAATTCCAGCACTTTGGGAGGTTGAGGTGGGCCAATCTCCCGAGGTCAGGAGTTCAAGACCAGCCTGGCCAACATGGTGAAATCCTGTCTCTACAAAAAATACAAAAATGAGCTGGGCGTGGTGGTGGGCACCTCTAGTCACAGCTATTTGGGATTGAGGCAGGAGAATCTCTTGAACTTGGGAGGCAGAGGTTGCAGTGAGCTAGGATCATGGCACTGCGCCCCAGCCTGGGAGACAGAGCAAGACTCTGTCTAGAAAGAAAAAAAGAAGGAAGGAAAGAAAGAAGGAAGGAAGGAAGGAAGGAAGGAAGGAAGGAAGGAAGGAAGGAAAGAAGGAAAGAAAGAAAGAAAGAAAGAAAGAAAGAAAGAAAGAAAGAAAGAAAGAAAGAAAGAGAAAGAAAGAAAGAGAAAGAGAGAAAGAAAGAAAGAAAGAAAGAAAGAAAGAAAGAAAGAAAGAAAGAAAGAAAGAAAGAAAGAAAGGAAAGAAGGAGGAAAGAAGGAAGGAAGGAAGGGAGGGAAGGAAAAGAAAATGAGAAACTAGATTCTCAAAATAAAACAATATTATGACATAAAAGATCTATTTAACTTTTTTTGAGTCTTTTATTAGTTTATCAGAGATGTACATATGTAGGGAAGTACAAGTGATATTTTCATACATGTATACAATGAGTAATGATTAAATCAGGGTAATTGGGATATCCATCATCTCAAACTTTGTTCTTTTCTTCGTATTGCGAACATTAAGATTCTCTTCTATTTTGAAATATACAATAAATAATTGTTTTTTATTATTATTATACTTTAAGTTCCATGTACATGTGCACAACGTGCAGGTTTGTTATATATGTATACACGTGCCATGTTGGTGTGCTTCACCCATTAACTCATCATTTACATTAGGTATATCTCCTAATGCTATCCCTCCCCCCACTCCCCAGCCCACGACAGGCCCCAGTGTGTGGTGTTCATCACCCTGTGTCCAAGTGTTCTCATTGTTCAGTTCCCACCTATGAGTGAGAAAATGCGGTGTTTGGTTTTCCATCCTTGTGATAGTTTGCTCTAAGTGATGGTTTCCAGCTTCATCCATGTCCCTACAAAGGACATGAACTCATCCTTTTTTACAGCTGCATAGTATTCCATGGTGTATATATGCCACATTTCCTTAATCCAGTCTATCATTGATGGACATTTGGGTTGGTTCCAAGTCTTTGCTATTGTGAATAGTGCCACAATAAACATACGTGTGCATGTGTCTTTATAGCAGCATGATTTATAATGCTTTGGGTATATACCCAGCAATGGGATGACTGGGTCAAATGGTATTTCTAGTTCTAGATCCTTGAGGAATCGCCGCACTGTCTTCCACAATGGTTGAACTAATTTACAGTCCCATCAACAGCGTAAAAGTGTTCCTACTTCGCCACATCCTCTCCAGCACCTGTTGTTTCCTGACTTTTTAATGATCACCATTCTAACTGGTGTGAGATGGTATCTCATTGTGGTTTTGATTTGCATTTCTCTGATGGCAAGTGATGATGAGCATTTTTTCACGTGTCTATTGGCTGCATAAATGTCTTCTTTTGAGAAGTGTCTGTTCATATCCTTCGCCCACTTTTTGATGGGGTTGTTTGATTTTTTCTTGTAAATTTGTTTAAGTTCTTTGTAGATTCTGGATATTAGCCCTTTGTCAGAGGGGTAGATTGCAAAAATTTTCTCCCATTCTGTAGGCTGCCTGTTCACTCTGATGGTAGTTTCTTTTGCTGTGCAGAAGCTGTTTAGTTTAATTAGATCCCATTTCTCAGTCTTGGCTTTTGTTGCCATTGCTTTTAGTGTTTTAGACATGGAAGTCCTTGCCCATGCCTGTAACCTGAATGGTATTGCCTAGGTTTTCTTCTAGGGTTTTTGTGGTTTTAGGTCTATTTAAGTCTTTAATGCATCTTGAATTAATTTTTGTATAAGGTGTAAGGAAGGGATCCAGTTTCAGCTTTCTACATATGGCCAGCCAGTTTTCCCAGCACCATTTATTAAATAGGGAATCCTTTCCCCATTGCTTGTTTTTCTCAGGTTTGGCAAAGATCAGATGGTTGTAGATGTGTGGTATTATTTCTGAGGGCTCTGTTCTGTTCCATTGGTCTATATCTCTGGTTTGGTAACAGAACCATGCTGTTTTGGTTACTGTAGCCTTGTAGTATAGTTTGAAGTCAGGTAGTGTGATGCCTCCAGCTTTGTTCTTTTGGCTTAGGCTGGACTTGGCAATACAGGCTCTTTTTTGGTTCCATACGAACTTTAAAGTAGTTTTTTCCAATTCTGTGAAGAAAGTCATTGGTAGCTTGATGGGGATGGAATTGAATCTATAAATTACCTTGAGCAGTATGGCCATTTTCACGATATTGGTTCTTCCTATCCATGGGCATGGAATGTTCTCCCATTTGTTTGTGTCCTCTTTTATTTTGTTGAGCAGTGGTTTGTAACTCTCCTTGAAGAGGTCCTTCACATCCCTTGTAAGTTGGATTCCTAGGTATTTTATTATCTTTGAAGCAATTGTGAATGGGAGTTTTACTCATGATTTGGCTCTCTGTTTGTTATTGGTGTTTAGGAATGCTTATGATTTCTGCTCATTGATTTTGTATCCTGAGGCTTTGCTGAAGTTGCTTATCAGCTTAAGGAGATTTTGGGCTGAGATGATGGGGTTTTCTAAATATGCAATCATGTCATCTGCAAACAGGGACAATTTGATTTCCTCTTTTCCTAATTGAATATCCTTTATTTCTTTCTCCTGCCTGATTGCCCTGGCCAGAACTTCCAACACTATGTTGAATAGGAGTGGCGAGAGATGGCTTCCCTGTCTTGTGCCAGTTTTCAAAGGGAATGCTTCCAGTTTTTGCCCATTCACTGTGACATTGGCTGTGGGTTTGTCACAAATAGCTCTTATTATTTTGAGATACGTCCCATCAATACCTAATTTATTGAGAGTTTTTAGCATGAAGGGTTGTTGAATTTTGTCGAAGGCATTTTCTGCATCGCTTGAGATAATCATGTGGTTTTTGTCTTTGATTCTGTTTATATGCTGGATTACGTTTATTGATTTGTGTATGTTGAACCAGCCTTGTATCCCAGGGATGGAGCCACTTGATCATGTCGGATAAGCTTTTTGATGTGCTGCTGGATTCGGTTTGTCAGTATTTTATTGAGGATTTTCACATCGATGTTCATCAGGGATATTGGTCTAAAATTCTCTTTTTTTTGTTATGTCTCTGCCAGGCTTTGGTATCAGGATGATGCTGGCCTCATAAAATGAGTTAGGGAGGATTCCTTCTTTTTCTATTGATTGGAATAGTTTCAGAAGAAATGGTACCAGCTCCTCTTTGTACCTCTGGTAGAATTCAGCTGTGAATCCATCTGGTCCTGGACTTTTTTTGGTTGGTAGGCTCTTAATTATTGCCTCAATTTCAGAGCCTCTTATTGGTCTATTTAGGGATTCAACTTCTTCCTGGTTTAGTCTTTGGAGAGTGTATGTGTCCAGGAATTTATCCATTTCTCCTAGATTTTCTAGTTTATTTGGGTAGAGTTGTTTATAGTATTCTCTAATGGTAGTTTGTATTTCTGTGGGATCGGTGGTTATATCCCCTTTATCAGTTTTTATTGCATCTATTTGATTCTTCTCTCTTTTCTTCTTTATTAGTCTTGCTAGCGGTCTATCAATTTTGTTGATCTTTTCAGAAAACAAGCTCCTGGATTCATTGACTTTTTGAAGGGATTTTTTTATCTCTATCTCCTTCAGTTCTGCTCTGACCTTAGTTATTTCTTGCCTTCTGCTAACTTTCGAGTGTGTTTGCTCTTGCTTCTCTAGTTCTTTTAATTGTGATGTTAGGGTATCAATTTTAGATCTTTCCTGCTTTCACTTGTGGGCATTTAGTGCTCTAAATTTCCCTCTACACACTGCTTTAAATGTGTCCCAGAGATTCTGGTATGTTTTGTCTTTGTTCTCATTGGTTTCAAATAACATCTTTATTTCTGCCTTCATTTCATTATGTACCCAGTAATCATTCAGGAGCAGGTTGTTCAGTTTCCATGTACTTGAGCTGTTTGGGGTTTCTTAATCCTGAGTTCTAGTTTGATTGCACTGTGGTCTGAGAGACAGTTTGTTATAATTTCTGTTCTTTTAGATTTGCTGAGGAGTGCTTTACTTCCAACTATGTGGTCAGTTTTGCAATAAGTGCGATGTGGTGCTAAGAAGAATGTATATTCTGTTGATTTGGGGTGCAGAGTTCTGTAGATGTCTGTTAGGTCCACCTGGTGCAGAGCTGAGTTCAATTCCTGGATATCCTTGTTAACTTTCTTTCTCATGGATCTGTCTAATGTTGACAGTGGGGTGTTAAAGTCTCCCAGTATTATTGTGTGGGAGTCTAAGTCTGTTTGCAGGTCTCTAAGGACTTGCTTTATGAATCTAGGTGCTCCTGTGTTGGGTGCATATACATTTAGGATAGTTAGCACTTCTTGTTGAATTGATCCCTTTACCATTATGTAATGGCCTTCTTTATGTCTTCTGATCTTTGTTGGTTGAAAGTCTGTTTTATCAGAGACTAGGATTGCAACCCCTGCTTTTTTTTGTTTTCCATTTGCTTGGTAGATCTTCCTTCATCCCTGTATTTTGAGTCTATGTGTGTCTCTGTATGTGAAATGGGTTTCTGAATACAGCACACTGATGGGTCTTGATTCTTCATCCAATTTGCCAGTCTGTGTCTTTTAATTGGGGCATTTAGCCCATTTACATTTAAGGTTAATATTGTTATGTGTGAATTTGATCCTGTCATTATGATGTTAGCTGGTTATTTTGCTCATTAGTTGAGGCAGTTTCTTCCTAGTAGCGATGGTCTTTACAATTTGGGATGTTTTTGCAGTGGCTGGTACTGGTTGTTCCTTTCCATGTTTAGTGCTTCCTTCAGGAGCTCTTGTAAGGCAGGCCTGGGGGTGACAAAATCTGTCAGCATTTGCTTGTTTGTAAAGGATTTTATTTCTCCTTCACTTATGAAGCTTAGTTTTGCTGGATATGAAATTCTGGGTTGAAAATTATTTTCTTTAAGAATGTTGAATATTGGCCCCCACTCTCTTCTGGCTTGTAGAGTTTCTGCCGAGAGATCTGCTGTTAGTGTGATGGGCTTCCCTTTGTGGGTAACCCAACCTTTCTCTCTAGCTGCCCTTAACATTTTTTCCTTCATTTCAACTTTGGTGAATCTGACAATTATGTGTCTTGGAGTTGCTCTTCTCCAGGAGTATCTTTGTGGCATTCTCTGTATTTCCTAAATTTGAATGTTAGCCTGCCTTGGTAGGTTGGGGAAGTTCTCCTGGATTATATCCTGCAGAGTGTTTTCCAACTTGGTTCCATTCTCCCCATCACTTTCAGGTACACCAATCAGACATAGATTTGGTCTTTTCACATAGTCCCATATTTCTTGGAGGCTTTGTTCATTTCTTTTTAGTCTTTTTTCTCTAAACTTCTCTTCTCACCTCCTTTCATTCATTTGATCTTCAATCACTGATACCCTTTCTTCCAGTTGATCAAATCAGCTACTGAAGCTTGTGCATGCATTACGTAGTTCTTGTGCCATGGTTTTCAGCTCCATCGGGTCATTTAAGGTCTTCTCTATGCCGTTTATTCTAGTTAACCATTCGTCCAATCTTTTTTCAAAGTTCTTAGCTTCTTTGTGATTGTTTCGAAGATCCTCCTTTATCTCGGAGAAGTTTGTTATTACTGATCTTCTGAAGCCTTCTTCTCTCAACTTGTCAAAGTCATTCTCCTTCCAGCTTTGTTCCATTGCTGGCAAGGAGCTCCATTCCTTTGGAAGAGAAGAGGCACTCTGATTTTTAGAATTTTCAGTTTTTCTGATCTGGTTTCTCCCCATCTTTGTGGTTTTATCTACCTTTGGTCTTTGATGATGGTGACGTACAGATGGGATTTTGGTGTGGATGTCCTTTCTGCTTGTTAGTTTACCTTCTAACAGTCAGGACCCTCAGCTGCAGGTCTGTTGGAGTTTGCTGGAGGCCCACTCCAGACCCTGTTTGCCTGGGTGTCACCATCGGAGGCTGCAGAACTGCAAATATTGCAGAAGAGCAAATGTTGCTCCCTGATCAATCCTCTGGAAGCTTCGTCTCAGAGGGGCACCTGGCCTTATGAGGTGTCAGTCAGCCCCTACTGGGAGGTGCCTCCCAGTTAGGCTACTCGGAATTCAGGGACCCACTTGAGGAGGCAGTCTGTTGGTTCTCAGATCTCATACTCCATGCTGGGAGAATCACTACTCTCTTCAAAGCTGTCAGATAGGGACATTTAAGTCTGCAGAAGTTTCTGCTGCCTTTTGTTCAGCTATGCCCTGCCCCCAGAGGTGGAGTCTACAGAGGCAGGCAGGCCTCCTTGAGCTGTTCTGGGCTCCATCCAGTTCGAGCTTCTAGGCTGCTTTGTTTACCTACTCAAGCCTCAGCAATGGTGAGCGTCCCTCCCCCAGCCTTGCTGCCACCTTGCAGTTCGATCTCAGGCTGCTGTGCTGGCAGTGAGCAAGGCCCCATGAGCATAGGACCCTCTGAGCCAGGTGTGGGATATAATCTCCTGGTGTGCCATTTGCTAAGACCATTGGAAAAGCAGAGTATTAGGGTGGGAGTAACCCGATTTTCCAGGTGCTGTCTCTCATGGCTTCCCTTGGCTAGGAAAGGAAATTCCCCGACCCCTTGCACTTCCCGGGTGAGGCCATGTCTCGCTCTGCTTCAGCTCATGGTCCGTGGGCTGCACCCACTGTCCTGCACCCACTGTCTGACAAGTCCCAGTGAGATGAACCCAGTACCTCAGTTGGAAATGCAGAAATCACCCGTCTTCTGCATGACTCACGCTGGGAGCTGTAGACTGGAGCTGTTCCTATTCGGCCATCTTGGAACCTCCCTGAACTTGATGTTTGTGCAAACTACTAGTACTGGAATGCCCAAGTTATGTGTAAGTGTATCCGCACCCAGAGGTAAAACTACACTGTCATCTTTGTCTTCTTGTGATGCAGTATTTCTTCTCAGGGGAGAAGCCAGGAAGTCTTCTCCTGGCTCTACATATTCTTGGAAGTCTCTAATCACCAGCAGTAGCATGTTCTTCCCCACAGGGAGCTTGGAGCACGAGCGGCTGGAGACCTCGCTGAGGATGCAGGACCAAAGGTTCTGCCCATCCTCGACATCTCCTGCCGCAGCCACAATAAATAATTGTTAACCGTAACTTCCTCACTGTACTGTTGAATGCTAGAACTGATTCGTTCCACCTACCAATATTTTTATACCCATTTTATCAGTCTGTTCTCACACTGCTATAAAGGCATACCTGAGGTTGGGTAATTTTTAAAGAAAACAGGTTTAATTGGCCCACAGTTCTGAAGGATATACAGGTTTTGCTGCTGGGGAGGCCTCAGGAAACTTACAATCTTGGAGGAAGGGGAACTGAGTACATCTTCAGATGGCCTGCAGGAGAGAGAAAGAGAAGAGGAAAGTGCTACACATTTTTAAACAACCAGATCTCAGGAGAACTCACTCACTATTGCAAGAACAGCAAGGGTGAAGTCTGCCTCCATAATTCTCTCACCGTCCAGCAGACCCCTCCACAAACACTGAGGATCACAACTCAACATGACATCTGTGTGGGCACACAGAGCCAAACCATATCACTCATTAACTCACTTCCCTTTATCTCTCACACCCTCTTTCTTTCTCTGCCTCTAGTAACCACGATTCTACTCTCTACTTCCATGACATCCACTTTTTTTAACTCCCATATATGAGTGAGAACATATGAAGTTTGCCTTTCTGTGTCTGGTTTATTTCATTTAAGATTATGACCTTCAGTTCCATTCATGTTGCTGCAGATGACAAGATTTCACTCCTTTTTATGGCTGAAAAATATTTCATTGTTTACATATGACACATTTTCTTTATCCATTCATCTGTTGATGGACACTTAGGTTGATTCCATATCTTGGCTATTGTGAATAGTGCTGCAAAAAACATAGCCATTTGGACATTTCTTTGATATACTGAGTTTCTTTCTTTTGGATATATACCCAACAGTGGGATTGTTAAATTATACAGTAATTCTGTATTTAGCTTTCTGAGGAATTTCTATACTGTTTTGCATAATGGCTATACTACTTAATATTCCCACCAACAATGTATGAGCATTCCCCTGTCTCTGCATCCTTGCTAGCATTTGTTAGGTTTTGCCTTTTTGATAATAGCAATCCTAAATGGAGTAAGATGATGTCTCATTGTGGTTCTGATTTGCTGGAAATCCCTGATGACTAGTAATGTGGAGCATCTTTTTTATATACTTGCTGGTCATTTTTTTTTAACTTGCTGGTCATTTTTATGTCTTCTTTTGAGAAATATTTATTCAAGTCTTTTCCTCATTTTAAAATCAGCATACTTGTAAAAGTTGTACTATGAGTTTAGTAACACATTATGAATTAAAAATGTAAAACTGTTCTAATATTGCTTGTTCTACCTGAACTACAACCCTTTATACATTTTTATAGGTCAAATTTGAAGTCTATATATGTATTTTTTTTTTTTGAGACAGAGTCTTGCTCTGTCACCCAGGCTGGAGTGCAGTGGCACGATCTCAGCTCACTGCAACCTCCACCTCCCTGGTTCAAGCAATCCTCCTGCCTCAGCCTCCCGAGTAGCTGGGACTACAGGTGTGTGCCACCACCTCTGGATAATTTTTTGTATTTTTAGTAGAGACGGGGTTTCACATGTTATCCAGGATGGTCTCGATCACCTGACCTCATGATCCACCCACCTAAGCCTCCCAAAGTGCCGGGATTAGAGACGTGAGCCACTGAGCCTGGCCTGAAGTTCCATATATCTTTATGCTCAATTTTTTTCCTTTAGTCTTGTCAGTAAAAGGAAAGTATATGTAATCATTTTGCAAATTGTCTTAATTCTATTCATGGTACAAAGCACTTATTGGAACAGACAAGGTCCTCATTGCTCTCAACTTCTTCGACAAGGGTCTTCCAGGGGGCTTATCCTGTTCTGGAACTTGCATGTTTCCATGTGCTATGAAACCAGCACTACAAATACTAAGGCAAAGATTTACAATATGATATTCCAATAAAGTGGAAATCAGCCTTATAAGTATGCTAATACATCAAGCTATTTTTACATGATGTATTTATTTCATAGTAAATTAGTTTTTATATACTGATATAACCTATGAAAAACTTAAAGATCAAGATAGTTTATATGGGTTATTGCTTTTCACAAAAATAAAATTCACCAAAAAATGATTTAATTCTACATGTAATGTCACCTATGCATCCACACAGAGAATTATAAAAATATAAGTAATGTCAGTAGGTCGATTATGTTCAAATTAGTGATCAAAACCTGTTTACCAATTTAGGTCACATTTTTGCAATATTGTAGATCAGATTATTCATTTTAAGAGTAGGTTCTATTTCTATTTTCTTTCTAAGAATGTGATATGATGTTCCCAAAACTACTAGAAGCATTTAATGTGTGTGGTCTCACATCTTCAGGAGTGAATATTTGTCTATGGTAATATTTAGTGAATGTTAGCCTATGTAAAAATCAATTGTTCATTCTCAAAATGGTGGACTAGATGGCTTCAGGTCATCTCTTCCACTGAGAACAACTAAAATAGTTGGCACTAAATATGAAAAGTGTATGTGTTCAATGGCATGAGAAAGTTGCCACAGTCTGTAAGAGTGATGGAGAGAACCAGGTAAAGAATGTGGCGCTGTTTATTCCGTGGGTATCTTCTAAATTCCATGGCATGACTCAAAGGCAGAAATGAGCAAACTTTTCCGGACACTCACCAGGCCATTAGGACAAATATTAAGGTTCATGCCCTACAACAAGGGAAGATTCCTGGCAATTACCAAGGGTTTGGGTAAAACTTGAAGTCGGGAACTGAATCCCAACTTCCAATTATGTAAATATTTTATTAGTTGGTGGTGACAAAGGGCTGCTTGCACCTCTAACCAAGCTGTCAGCAAGAAAACAAGTAAATCCTTTCTGGAGGAAAATACCATCGAAGCCACAAGTTTTTAGGTAAATTTTCAGGTAATATGATAAACACACACAGAAATCAGTATACAAAGAATATCACTAAAAATTAAGACAATAGAATAAAAAACTTTTTTAAGAATAACTGTCTGGGTCTCCGGATAATGGAAATACTTGGACAGATGTTAAAAGATCACTCTTACGAAACTGGAAGAAAAGGTAAAAACCTGGAAAATATAAAGTAAAAAACCATAAAATACATAAGCTGAAAACATACTTAAATATTTCATAACTGGCATCAACACTATTGACAAAAGTAAGAATTTAATAATCTGGAGTGTAGACTAGAGGAAAAGATCCAGATTTAAACATGAAGAGAAAAAAGAATGAAGAACAAAGCAGGTTTCATAGGCAAATAATATTGGAAAGGAGATTATTTGTAACATTTGTATGCAATTGTAATCTCAGAAAAGGAAGAGAAAGAAAATGAGGACATGCAATATATTAAGATAATGGCTAACAGTTTTCTAAAAATGATATAAAACAGCAATCTTTGACTTTAATAAATTCTACCAACTCCAAGGTCCATAAACAAAAATAAAGCCACACCAAAGAACAATATTACAAAACTGCCAATCACTAAAGATAAACAGAAAAGAAAAAAATCAGTATTAAATGTACAAAAGGATATCATCCTGCAAATATAACAAAAAAGAAATAAAGCAAGATGGACCCCGATTGCAACAGTATAACATATCACACTCCATCCTAAGTGCTACTTATGTCATATTTATTCTTATCTTTATGTCACCTATATTCTTCATAATCCTCACACACAACTTATCACTTTGATTTAAACAATAGGTTATCATTTTAAAAAGTTAAAAGCTTAACAAAATCGTTTACTATATTTCCCACATATTTCCCATTTCCAGAGCTCTTTAATTCTGTAAATTCAGCTTCACATCAGATATGATTCCAACTTGAAGAACTATATTAAGTATTCCCTGTAATGCAGTTCTGCTTGAGATCGTATTCATTTTGAATTGTGCCACTATAAAAATATTGCCACCAACTTAGCAGCTTCAAACAACACTCATTAATTATCTCATATTTCAAGAGCTCAGACAGCCAAGTTCTTTTGTCTGGCTCTCTGTTAGGGTCTCACACAGCTAAAATCGAGGTGTCAGCTAGTCTGGCAAAAATTGTTAAAGTTGGTAACATCAAGGATTGGTGAGAATGCAGAACAACTGAAACTCATACATTGCTGGTGAAAAATTAAATTTGTTTAACAACTTTGAAAAACTGTTTGTCGGTTTCTAATAACTTGAACATATTCCTACTCTCTGACCCAGGAATTCTGCTTCTAGATATATAGTTAAAGAAAATGAGCACATGTGTTTACAAAGTATATCCCTTAGTTTATGTTTGATTAGTTGTTGTATTTCCTTTGTGATATTTTGTCATTTGTGATATTTATATCACAAGCATGAAATGTGCTTTTTGCACATTTTATGCTTCAATGAAATATTTAAATAAAACATATGTAATTTGTAGGAGTTTAAATTCTTTTATAACATTTCCATGATGTTAATTGTTCATTCTCTATTCTCTGAACATTAGTTTATATGTATATAGTTTTTATATTTGTGAAAGAGAAACAATCTAAGAAATGTCTTAGAAACATATAGGAAATTCATGGTAGTTATTTGCATGTGGACAGTATTAAATGGGTATTTGTGGGATGAATGAACAGGTAGAAGCAAATATCAGTGTTCTAGGAAAGCTTTCTGGAATCTCCTAGCTTAATATTTTCATTTTAAGTTGACGACATTGGATTAAGACTCTGAGTATTTCATTTTCTAACTTTGTCATAGATTGGTGACACAACAATTAGCAAATTTTTGTACTTCCCAAGATTCTTTTCTAGATTTTATTCTATATCATTTTAATTCACAAACTCAGGAGTATAAATTCTAGCAAATTAGATATTTCAAAGTTTTGCTTTTAATTTGAAGTACAAAACTTATGCATATGGGATAACTTATATACCAATTATGTATTTATTTTCTTAACTAATTGTTGGTATTTTAAAACAAGTAAAAAACAACTTTTGCTGACAATCCAATGAAAGGGATATTTTACAGAGATTCAACTCAACAAAATAATTGTTTAACAAAATTTTAATATGATTTTTCAAGTCTCTCTAGGGCACCCAAAAATATTTTTTCCAAATATAAACCATAGCCAAATACAAACCACAGCCAAACTTCTTAGAGTATTCTATACCATACTGCCTAGTAATAGTCTTCCCCTTTGCAATTCCCAAAATACTCCAATCAACTCAGCCAAACTACAATTTGAATTATCTTTTTTTTTTTTTCTCTCTCTCTCCCTTCCCTCCAGTATTCTCTTCATGTATGATTTAAATCCTCCCAGCCTCTGGGCCTTCACCTTTTCATTTCCCATGCCCCTTCACTTCATAATGGGTGAAGTGGTAGCCATGGAAATTGTCACAATATCCACCCACTTTCAATGATTGATTTCACAGTAGCCATTTCACGTCCAGTGACTGAATATACAGTATCTATTTCATCTCCAATTATTGGGTCACATTATACGTTTTATCTCCAGTGGATCAGTTTGATAATTCAAATCTGGCTGACAAAAATTAGGTGGACATGGGTTTGTAAAGCAAGTCTTGACACTGATAGCAAGAGTTTACTGCGTGCCTTAGAAAAAGTTTTCATCTTCTCAAGAAAGAGAAAAACATTGTATGTTTACATATACCTGCAAATGCTGTAGCCATCTTTCATCAATCTGGAGAAAACGTAAGCAAGTGATGATAGCAGGCAGAAGCTCTGCTCAATCAGCCCTAATATGTGCCTGTCTATGAACCACTGATGCCTATGCTAATTAAAAAACAAAAGTATTGTTCAAACCAGAATTGAAGTTGATTGTTTTTAAGAGACTGCTTCCCAGCCGGGTGCGGTGGCTCACGCCTGTAATACCAGCAGTTTGGGAGGCCGAGGCAGGCGGATCACGAGGTCAGGAGATCGAGACCATCCTGGCTAACACGGTGAAAACCCGTCTCTACTAAAAATACAAAAAATCAGCTGGGCATGGTGGCAGGCACCTGTAGTCCCAGCTACTCGGGAGGCTGAGGCAGGAGAATGGCGTGAACCCAGGAAGCGGAGGTGTTGCAGTGAGCCGAGAAGGTGCCACTGCACTCCAGACTGGGTGACAGAGCGAGACTCCGTCTCAAATAATAATAATAATAATAATAATAATAATAATAATAAATTAAAAATGTTTAAAAAAGAGAATGCTTCCTAATTGAAATAACTGTAATCTCCACAATAAGGCTCCAGTATGATTGAACAACAGGTTGTATTTCTTAGAAGAATGGGCAGGGCACAAGGAAGCAGGACCACACGGTTGAAGGAATGAGTGGTGTGTGGGGAATGACAGACTCCTCAGAAGAAGTCTGGAGGAATGAAAAGGGAAGGGCCAGGAGAAGTCCTACACTCATAGTTTGTTCCTGAAACAATAAAAAGATTATATGGTTTAATAAAATAGGTTCTAAAAGTGTGTTTTTCTCGATGATCATATGTATGTCAGAATTATATATTAACTTCAATTCACAAAAGAAAAGTCCTCACAAAACATTTGGCAGTTCTTTAACAAAGTGTAGTTTCACTTTACGTAATTCAAAGATCATTCACATGTAAGATTTCAGCTTTTTCTCCTGTTTAATTGTTACAATTATGTATTAATGAAGAAAAATTAACCTATCTAAATTAACCTATCTTTATTATTCAGCAGCGAGGCTGCAGTTTAGATGGGTAAGAAATCTGCTGTCATAGAATAGAGATAAAAGTAATTACACTTGTGTATTAATTGGCAAATTAACTTTATGTGGTCAATATTGTTTTAAACTTCATGCTTAATTATTTTATAGGTACATGAGTTTCCTAAAGAGTATGAGACGCTATGTCTTATTTGACAGATGAAATTTTGGAGTTGTTGAATTCTCTATTAAAGCTTTCAAGGAAATACATTTTGTTTACCTTTGCTGCATTTTTGTTCTAATTGAATTGTCTACACAATAAAAAAAATTACCAGTTAATGTATGTAATTCTCTAAAATAATTTGAGTGAAAATTGTTTTTTGTCTAAATAGCCTGAGGTTGGCTTGCATATTTAGAAAACAAAATAAGCCATGGTTTCCACAAGCATATGTTTGCATTGATATGTTTGCGTGTGTCTAGTAGATAAAAAACCCAGATGCAGAAATCTCTTAATTTTAAAATGGGTGATTGATCTCAAGAGCACACAGCATTAATTTATTTTCTGAAATTTATCATGAGCACAGATTATAGGCATGGATTTTACCTCTTGAAATTAAAAAAGGAATTGAGTATTTCCAAATTATGTTAGTAAACTGAAAATGTTTGTTTACTTCTCCTTTTTCACAATTTCATTAAAATTATTTTAAAAACATATTTAATCAATTTTTTTTTATCTTGGCAATAATGGACTAAAAGGGATAGGATTTGACTTCACGTCTTAAACTTCTAGGAAACAGGACAAAAGGTATTTAACAATTATTTTCAAGTGTTTAACAACAGAGGACACATGGCTGTGACTCCTGAAAAAAGGAAAAGTATGAAGTGAATCCTAAGATTGTCCAGGCTTCATGCCACAAGGCACATTCTGAGCCACAGGGCAGGGGGGAAATAAGATCAATAGACTATGACAGTCTTACTAAGCTGAGAAGACAAAGATCAGAGTTCATGGATACAGCTGGAGGTTATAGGATAGAGTTCTGAAGAAAGAGAAATAGTTAAGAAAAAGACTCAAAATCTGCATTTCTTTGAAATTTATTGAATACTAAGATATTGTGTATAGGATAAATCTCCACAAGGTCATGAAAATGACAAGCTAGGAGCTGATTGGTTTCCAGAGTTCACAAAAGGCTGGGAATTATTTCTGTTTCTACCAGATCAGAGAGTCCTCAGTAATCAAATGTAACATGCACTAGAAATCCCAGAAGGGTCATGCCTAAGTAATGGTGATAAATTACCCAGAGAGTAAATGCTGTTTTAGATAATCCTAAAAAAAACACTAAAATAAACCTCCTAATGATAATATAGAACTGAAAGTAAATGAACAGTTTACCAAAAAGAAAAAAAAAAAGCCCTTTTTTTAAAGTATACAAAACTCAGTATTCAGCAACAATAATAAAAAAGTATTAGACTTGCTAAGACTTAGGAAATTATGAAAAATAACCAAGAGAGTGAAATAATAGAAAGAAACCTGGAAATAATAGAGATGGTAGAATAAGCAAATACAATAAAACAGATACTAAAAGTTTATCAAAAAAATACGTGAAGCTAGTGAAGATAAAAATGAAAGATGTTTTAAAAATCATTAGTATATAAAATTAAAATCCAATGGATAGATTAATTGCATTTTTAGACCTTGAACAATAAATTATTAGTAAACTTGAAGACAACGCAATGGGAATTATTGAAAATTCAGCATAAACAGAAAAAAAATGCAGAAAAAAGAATGAAAACTTTGGTAATCTGAGAGATGATAGCATGTGGTTGATGTGTAATTAAAGTCCAAGAAGGACAGGGTAGGAAGATCAAACATTTTCTAAGTTTGATGAATAATCAAAACTTCAAAATCCATATATGGAAGAAATTCAATCCCCAAGCAAAAAAGAAGGACAAAGATAAAATGTAACACATGCTTCTGGTGAGAAACTGTGTACTCAAGAAGACATGAAAATACTATCTTTACTGTTAAAGAAAAAAATATTGTCAAGTAACTATACATTTTTATTGTATAGACATAACATTTGTTCTTTATCCATTGAAAGGATATGTTAAAATAAAGATTAAAAAAACTTTTCAAATAATAAGCTGAAATATAATTAACATCAGACTTTTACTATAAGAAATGTTAAAGTACAAGAGAAAGAAAAGAATAACAGAAGAAAACATGGATGTGCACAAAGAAATAGAGTGCCCAAAATGGTAAATATGTAGACAAATAAATTAAAAAAATTATGCCAATTTTCAATTTGTAAAAGAGAATAAATTGTAAATAAACTTAAAAATAATGTATTATAGGAGACAAGACATATGTAGTACTAAAATATTAAATCACACAAAGGAAGGAAAAAATTGAAATATAATCATTAAAATTATCAAATTAGACATGAAATGGTACAATGTTAGTTGAAGAGATATATTGACAAGTTTAAAAAGTATATTTTAAAGTTCCAAGTAATCACTAAAAAAAAAAAAGTGACTAAAACACTATAGCTACAAAGCCTTTAGTGGAGATAAAATATTTGAAATACTCATTGATCAAAACATACTCACATAATCCAAATATTTAATCTAATATAAGGCAGAAAAATAAGAAACAGAAAAAGGGAGAAAGGTGGTAAATAGGAAACAAATGACAGGAATAATAGATTTCAAACAAAACATTGCTAATTTTATTAAATACAAATGGCCTGAAAACCCTCATTAAATAGTATTCATTGCCTTATTGCATTAAAAAGAACTAATTATATGCTGTTTATAAGAAAACAATGTTTAATATGAAAATAAAGATATGTTAAAAATAAGTAATGAAATAACACACAAACACTAATTATAAAAAATCTAAAGTGGCTGTATAATATAATTCAAAGTAGACTTCACAAGAAGAAATGTTACCAGAACAAAGAGAGGCATTTTATATTGATAGAAGCATCAATTCAACAAGCAACTATAATAATTTTACATATGGGTACCTCCAATAACTGAGCTTCTAAATATATAGAAGCAATAACACAGAAAAATAAAAGGAAGGAGAAATGGGCACATCTCCATTTGTAGTTGAAGATGTCAACATTCCTGTCTCATTAATTGATATAGAAATTAACCAACAAATCAACATGGATATAAAAAACTTGAAAAGCACTATCAAGCAGCTTCACACTATGGATAGATCACTCCTCCTAAACTAAGAGAATATACAATCTGTTTAGGATACATAGGAAATTCATCAAGCTAAACAACATGCTAAATGCCATAAAAATAATTTTTAAAAGTTGGTACAGTACAGAGTTAATCCCTGACCAAAGTGGAAAAATAAATAAATCATTATCTGATAATGCTTAGCAACTAAACAAAACAGTTATAAAATAATTCTCAGGCAAGATATCCCATTTGAAGTGAACAGTTGCAGACAAAAATGGATAGAAAAATATTGAAGTAGAAATTAAATGCACCAACTAAAGTCACCTCTAGCCAAGATGGATTTGAAATCATGTTTATTAAATCTTTCAGAAAAAAATAATTAATATTTATTTGAACCTTTGTAAAGAGATATTTTTTCAGAAAAAAATGGAAATCATTTAATTCAGTTTTGAATCTGCCATCTGTTCTGTAACATTCCAATTAGTTACACACATACTCAGGTAAAATGAAAAGCTTTCCCCACTTATAAATATTAATGAAAATTCCCCAATAGATTGCTAACAGCTTTAATCTAACACTGTATTTTTCTAAATGTACCATATAAAATTTATGTTAGAAATGCAAGTATAGTCAAAGAGGGCAAATACAACAAAGTGATTTGGATTTAATAACCCTATTAAGACTTGATAAAATAAAATGGATGTGATATACATATAAGATACACTGGAACATACATATATCTCTTTATTTTTGAAATACTCTAAAATAGAAACTTGACAAATTAGTGAGCATGTTTCAGAACCTATTCCTACCAATTTTTCCCCTTCTGACAATGACATAGATGCTTCTATGAGACCAAGCCTCCTGCATGCACAACGGCTGTAAATTCTGGATAAAATGAGAAACCCAAACACTCACCTGAAGCTACTAGAAAATGAACAAAGCACAGAATCTAGTGGATATTCTGCACTTGAATGAAAGGAACGACACTTCATGAGTCCTGGCCTTTGGCCTGAAAGCAGGCCACAATTGGCACCATGGAGAACAATACAAACCTACAGTTTTAGTGGCTTGAGAAACCAGAGGGCAGAATTTGGGGTAAACAGAGCAGCTGGAGCGTAAGAGGAAAAACACAGAAAGAACGAAGCCGGTGAGGTATTAACGTTATCTACTGTTAAATAAAAAATACAGCCAAAACTTATTTAAAAAGAACAACCATCATATTTCTTCCTTCACAATTCTGGGAGTTGCCTGGGCATTACTAGGCAACTCTCTCAAGGTTCTCTCATGGGGTTGCCATTATATGGTGGCTGGAGCTGCTGTCATCTCAAAGACTGTCACTCATGGAACTTGATGTTAACTGTTGATTGATATCTCAAATGGGGCTGCTTTCCAGAAGGCAGTCTCAGAGCATGCGGTTTGCTCCAATAAGAAGCATTCTAAGAAATAGTACATGGAAACTGTATTACTTTTTACCACCTACTTTCAAAAGTTATACAGCATCACTTCCACATGAGTCACAGGCCTGTCCAGATTTAAGGGGAAGGAATATAGACCACTGCCTGTTGATGAGCAAGTTTCTGCATCACCTCGTAAAAAGCATATGTAGGGTGGTGGTGTGGTAGGTAGAAAAATATACCCCCGTGAAATGTGATAATCCCTGGAGCCCTGGAACCTGTGAATATGTAAACTTCCATAGCAAAAGAACTTTGCAGATGTGATTAAGACTAAGTTCCTTAAGATGGGAGATTATTCTGAATGATCCAAGTAAACCCAAACTAATCACATGTGTCCTTAAAGGTGAAATGCCCTTCCTAAGATCAGAGATAGATGTAACTATAGAAGTATAGCAGAGGGTCAGGAAGGTGCAGCAGTGCTGGCTTTGAAGATGGAGAAAGGAAACCACAGTGAAGGAATGTTGGCAGCCTCTATAAACAAACAAACTAACTAACTAAAACTAACTAACTAACTAAAACACATAGGATATTTTATTTTGCCACAGAGGTATAGCCTCTGGATATGGATTCTGTGTAAATTATAGCTAACCCCTAAGCTATGCATGCATTGAGCAGACAATGAACAGCCTAGCTAAGAATAAAATAATTGAAGAGACATTCCACCTCCTGCCCATCTGAGGGATACAGAGTTTACAGTTTAAGTCCAGTCAAAGTAACTTTCTACGAAAGAAAATAAATAGATACTTTTCAGAGGAACAAAGGAAAATCAAGGATCTCTGCTTAATGTCATTTACAAAATTGGGAATGCAAGTCAAATTTAATAGACATGTAAACAAAAGAGAATTTGGCCCCTATTAACAGAAAATGTTCTGAATGTAAATTAATTATGAGATGATTCAGATGTAGAATTAGCAAACAAGTATTTTAAAGAGGCTATTATACACATTGTCATAATTAATGACTGTAAAGAAAGCCTCAGCAGAGAAATAAAAACAGAAAAATATCAAATGAAAATTATAGAACACAATATATTCTGTAAAGTAAATCTATGGAGTTATATACAGATTGAACCTAACAGAAAACAGGTCATTAAATTTGAAAATGGGCCAACAAACATCATCATATATGTAGAACAGCAACAAAATGAAAAAAGTTAACAGTGTCAATAACTTTTAAATCAATATCAAAAGGTTTAATAACAGTATAATTGGAGTAAAGTACCAGAACTAAAAGATAAGGGGATAAAAAAAAAATATTTGAAGACAGATGGACAAAAGTCTTCTAAACTTAGGGGAATACTTTAAAGATTCAAGAAACTCATCAAGGTCTAAGCAGATAAATACAGAGAAAATGTCATCTAGCAAAATCATAGTCAAATTGATGGAAACCAAAAATAAAGAGAAAATCTTGAAACACAGAGAAAGCAGCATATCATATTCAGCAGGTCCAGGATGCAAGTTACATTTGTCGTATCTGTAGAAACAGTGAGAAACAGTATCACTGAGAATACTCTGTAGAGCAAAAACATCCAGCAATAATGAAAGTCAAATGAAGATATTTTTTGATAAAATAAAACTAACAAGATGTGTTGCCATAAGAGATACACTAACAGAAACAACCAAAAAAACTGTTCAGACTGAAAAGAAATGACACCAGATGAAAACTCAAATCTTTAGAAACAAAAATGATCACCATATATGATAAATCTATGAATAAATACAAAAATAGACTATTCTCTTTATAGTTTCTTTAAAGCACATACAACTGTTTAATACAAAAGGAATAACAATAACAACTCATAAAATAGTTTTGTGCAGTTGTGTATGTAAATGTAATGCATATGACAACTACAGGATAAAGTAAGGAAAGAGGGGGATAAACAAATCTTTTAGTTGCAAGGTTCTTAAATTTTCTGTGAACTGCTTTAATAGTAACTGCATTGTAAATTGTAGAAGTTAAATTGTAGATTGCAATCTTTAGAGCAATACCTAAAGAAATTATGCAGAGTTATAGTGCAAACACTATACATTAAAATGGAGTTTTAAAAATGTATATTTAACCCGAAAGAAAGTAGTAGAAGAGTAAAAAGGAATTAAAATAGAAAAGGCAACACTGGGTACAATTGCAGATATGTTTTATATGTTTTACATTCTAAGATTCCTATTTATATTTCTTATTTCTGATTCTTATGTAATTGCACTTATGAACTTTTAGAACAATTTCAGCTAATAAAAATCAGCCTTTATTGTTTCACAGTTTTAATGGGAATATCTATAATATTTCATGAATATCATATATCCATTTTTTAATTCCAATCCTCCTTCAGAGTTATTATTAAGCACATCACATCCAAAATTCAGGTTGCCCTTATGAAAAATGTAAATATTTGTAAATTCATTTCATATAACTTTTTGGAATCTACATAAATTGTGTTAAAAATCAACACGTGCATTATCTTTATGCATTTTGGGGGGAATACTGTTAAATGATGATTGGATATAAAAAGAAGCTGAGAGATAATAAAGGAAGACCACATCTTAGAATGTTTCTCCTTTGGCATCTGTGAGGAAGAAGGGAGATGAGACTACTGTTAAGAGAAGCTGACCATTCCAACTACAGTTGGATTGGAGCAATGAGTATAGAAGAGAGAAAGGCAGGATTCAATATTTTCAGAGATGCAAAAAGCTAAAACCCAACCATCCAAATAAGTAAAAGTCTGCCTAGTTTTTCTCTAAGAACAGAAACAAAATGGTAAATACTGGGTAAAAATGGGGTGGGAGATGTGATAAGATGAGAAAGGACCACAGGTAAGCATCTGCACATCAAGATTGTAAATGCAAAATAATGTAAGACCTAGTGTTTCTCATTGAAGACCTTTAGTGGGAATTCACTGATATTCCTTTTAGTGTGCTGCTTAGTGAATCAAATCTGAAGTCTATTAAGGCTTTCATTGATTACTCTTGCTTTTTCTGGCTATTTTCTCTATGAGATCTCAATTACCTCCAGTGTAAATTCTCCCACCACTGAGGTTAAATAGAAACATAACTTGAATTAGCACTGTGGCACTAAGTAAATTGCACACTAAGGTTGGTATTCTTTAAGGAAAAATTAATACACAAAATATTTCTAAAAGTACAAGCAAAATATAAGATACCACAAGAAAGAATGTGGTGCCCTGGGTCTGATGAAAGTTGCTGCAGTTACTGCTTTTGCTCTGAATAGGTAAAGCAAGGGGCCACGTGTTTACCAGAACCAAAGCAGAGAGGGGGTTGTGGGGAGAGAGACCCTTTTGGGAAGTGGGCACTCTGTGTGAAGAGGGTGACCTCGGTGGAGAGGTCCCCTAGTATGGAAAAAGTCCCCTAAATCCAGAGAGGGTCACCTTCATGCAAAGAACTAACCATGCAGGGAGAGAGGAGCAAGATTAAATACCTTGACTTTGCTTCCTTTCCTTTGTTTTCTGGCTAGTGCTTCCATCAGCCAAACAAAGAAAAGACCTTGTGCATTTCATCCATGGAGATCCCGCTTTCATGAGCAGACCAGGGAGAAGAATGAAGAAGCCGATCTAGATTGGCAAAGGGCAGAATCCTTCGTATTTCCCCACTGCTGGGGAGAAATCTTGATTCCTAGAAAAACTCTCTCTTCAAACTTAAACAGTGCATAATTTTTGTAATGAATTAGAAACAGTGTTTCTATACAGTATGCCAGTTTTTATGCATTTTGACAACTTTCAAATAATATTAACTTGATTACTGACTAAACGAATCAATTTATTTAGGAAAAATATCTTGTTCAAAATGTAATTCTCTATGCCATAATTTAGTTCTGTACTATATAGTTATAACTTGTCTACCCAGTATAAAAACTGACAGTTTTCATGATGATTTCTGAAATTTGTAATATAAATTTAATTAAAACCTTATATTAAATGTAAACAATTTATGTCACACATTCCCTCACATATGCCAATGAATTTATGTGGATATAATGTGTATATATATGTATATATGTAGAAAAATTTCTGCATTTCTTTCTAAATCTGTTTTATGTGTTTTCATTTCTTCCCAAATCTCTTCTTACCCATTAAATTTTGTTTCTAGATTGCTACCTCAGAACAGTTCATACGTCTTTTTTAGTTGATGTTTTCATTTATGTTAAAATAATTTTTTGGTACATAATCCTTTCAAGTCTTTCATATGCCTTTGAAAGCTTCATTAGATCTTCTTAGGCCACTAGTAAATTACTACTTCAGTGCACCAAATGGTGCCCTTATCACCTAAAATAGATTCTACAGCTTCTGAAATAGTTCAACTTGCTCTCAATCATTTCTCAGTGAGAGGCTGTCTGTGAGAAAAAAATAGCACAATTAATAGAACGTTATTATTTGTCAGTGATTATGTTTTCTGCTCTAGGTGGCAGCTTGGTTCATCAGTGAATTCATGGAGATCTCAAAGTAAAAGGTGAATATACATCTCTGCCAAAGAAAGCAGACTGTCATTTACCTGGCCCTCTTCCATGAAAACAGGATGTGCAGGTGTAAACATAGAACTAGGGACAGAAATCATATGGAAGTTCCCCTAGGCTATGCGATGACCTGTATACCACTAGACATGGGTCAGCAGAGGGTTTCAGAAAAATGAAGAAAATGGAAAATTCTTAAATTCAGCACAGTCCTCAAAATTTGGGAAGAGGCCTCTGTAATGAGGGTAAAATGTATATAGGACAAATTGAGAAACTTTAAACACATAAGAAACACAATTTTAAATAGTTGAACAAAACGGATTTTGCGCATACTGATATCAGGGAAGTATTTCTAAAACACAAATTTGCAGCAGATTATTCTAAGGCTATTTGCCCTTTAATTGCACAGGGCATTGTTTTCAATAATCAAAATCTTTCTCCCAAATAGGGAGTCAATAGAGTTCACTTCTGTGTAAGGACTTCAAAGGACCCAGAGACACATTCTGCCCTAGAGAATCTTCCTCTCTAGGGGAGAAGAGAAAGCACTTATAAATATATTTGAGAAAAACATGATAAATGTTATTGTTACATTGTTCTCTAGAGGTGGAGCATATCTGTTGGACTCACATGGGTTAGCCCGCTCTTTTAGCCTACTCCTTCAAAATAACATAGATTTCATTACCAAAAAAATTGACTATTTTGGTTTCTAATGAGGAAAGCTCTTTAGTTAAATAAGGGGAAAAAGCCTTGTGGAAGTTTTCACCACTGGTTAAGATAAATTAAATGTGTTTAATTGGAATATGGCACGTACCTTATGATAGGGCTTGAAAGAGATCAAGACTAATTATACTTCCCAGTTCCTACAACTATGTCTGCATTAACGGGGAATAAGTCAAACAATTTGAAGACTCTACATAGCTTAGGATTTCCCTCTCAGCTATGTTAATATCCTTTATGATGTTTTATTTATTTTGTTTGTTCATTTATTTATGGAAATAAAACAGACATTAAACCTAGCATGTTAAATTTTACTTCTTTCTGGTAAGCTACAACAGAAAGTTGAAATATATAAACTCAGATTTGGATAGTATCAAGAATTCCTAAAGTGGTGCCACATAATTACACACAAATGGCTAAACTCTTCACACTGAGATGTGCCTGTGTTTCGCACTGAATAATATATCTTAGATGTTTTTCCCTAACAGCTGTTACAGATCTACTTCATTTATTCTGACAGCAGCAGAATAAAGATGTGCTATAATTTGCTTAACTAACACACACTTGATAGAGAGTTTTCTTGAAACCAATTAATTAGTTTTGTTTTATATTAAAGCAATATTAATGAGCATGTTTGCACATGTATTCAGCAAATATTAATGACTATATTTTGTAAGTAAATTCAATTAGACTGTTTTATCAAGGAAAGGTACCTTCTCCAGTTTGGGTGGATATTGACAAATTGCCCTCAATAAACTCTACATCTTTTACACATCTTTTACCATTATGTAAGAATTCCTGCTTTCCACACCCTTGATAATATTGACAGTCACAAAAATTAACATAGTTGGAATAGGAAACTTTACTGAGTATATAATTATTTGATTCTTCCCTAAGAAATTTCTGGCATGATCAAAGTAACATACTACTAAATAAACACTTTTTTAAATCTTTTATATTTATTAATAAGTGATATGCACAGAAAAGGTGGTAGAAGAAAAGAAGAGGTAATTTCTAGAACCCAGTTGAAACCCACACAGACAACATATCCCACAAATATCAAAAGCCACCTGTGATCACAGCCAGATGACTATACTGGGAGATAGTTTGCAGAGCTGTATTGTTAGCTCAATCAGTATAAAACTCGGAAGAGATAAGTTAAATTTTTTAGAGTACAGATATGGTGAGGTCAGATTTTGGAATGGTCGTCAGTAATATGACAGCACCTGGTAGGCAAAGAATAAGAGTGCATTACTCTTTATGACTCCTCTGCCTTTCTTTATTCTAACATTCCTTTAATGTTTCTTTCTGCTTCACACACAAACATCCATTTATTTATATATCATCTCTTTTTTCTTCTCGTTTTCATTCCAAGCTTATTTCATCTTTGATATTATTATCCATACTACACACCATACCCACAGTCTTACAAAAAAAATTATTGGAAGATTAGTCTCATGACAGTTCAACTGATTCTACCAATCTACTCCTTAAAAGAAAATAATGACAACAAACAATCATTTTCTTTTGCTCACTCCTGCCTCAAAATAGCTCTTTATGGTGAGGGTGAGATATACATTCAATACACACTTAATTTGACAAGATCAGGACTAAATTGCTTTTCTGAGTAGTCCTGATTACAGCATATTGTGCTAAACTGTTATGTCTAACTGTGTAATCAAATACACTATAAACCATCTTTTCTCTGAAGTGTGCCAATGTCATACAAAAAGGAAATGGATAAGAAATATGCAAGTACAAATTCAAGCACTTTACTTAGGAAACACACAAATGATGTTACACAGAGCATTTCATCCAGAATCTGATCAAATAAACCTTTAAACACAGAGCTGGGTAGACAAAGCAATGTATTACACTAGCACAGCTTTATGAAACCCCACAAAGACAAATAGAGGTCATCTCAAAACCTGGCAATTTATGCAATGTGTGTGGAGTTAGATATGTCAAGTGCAATTTTCTAACAATAGATCTAATGGAGTAGGTATTATAGACATCCACAGCGTATTCTAATGTGTCAATTCTCTAGAATTAACCAGGACCTCTTTTGAATGAAAATATTAGGGACTTCTTTATTCACTGACAAAGATTCTAAGACTTCATTATTTTGGTTTAAATACATGTTCTGAGTCTTTTTATCTCATCAGTTGCTCCCATGAATTAATTTAGTTTGAGCAAATGTAGAGAATGAATACAAGCCCTCCAAGTCAAGTTTAGTAGACGTCAGCGTTTTCACGAATTGTTGTCAGGTATGTTAAAAAGAGCAACCATTTTTGACCTCCAAAAGGCACTAAAATGAAGAGTATATAATTACAATGTCTACTTACTACTTCCTTTAGATCAAATTTATATCCTTGTATATTTAAACGATATATTCAGCCATAAATCAAAACCTCTCTGGGATAAGGTCACTGAGGGATGGAAAAGGACCCCCAAAAGTTAGGTAGAAAAAATGTGGTGATTATTTTCCAGGGACATCTTTGCCAGTGGCATAGAATGCTACTAAGTTATTTCCAAAGCATAGAGTCAAGATAACATGAAATGTTTGAGGGTACTCTTGTGTAGTGAAAAAATAATTGATTTAGCTGTAAAGAGGAGGGATTTCCACTACGTTCTTCAGAATAACTTTCTTTGTGATTGTCCAAAAATGACATCATATTTTTAGGTTTCAGTTGTACTTACCTAAATACCAATCATTTTTAAGATTTTCTTTATCTCCATAATAATTTAGTTTTATATATGGATCTATCAATATAGACATTTTGATAAACATATTATTTTCTCATCTAAAATAATGGCATAGATCACACTTTGCGTAAATTTTTATAAAAATGTTTACAACTTCAGGCCAGGCACGGTGGCTCACGCCTATAACCCCAGCACTTTGAGAGGCCAAGGCAGGCAGATCACCTGAGATCAGGAGTTAACAGGCCAGCTTGGCCAACATGGTGAAACCGTATCTCTACTGAAAATACAAAAATTAGGCTGAGGCAGGAGAATTGCTTGAACCCGGGTGGCGGAGGTTGCAGTGAGCCGAGATCGCACCACTACGCTCCAGACAGAAAAAAAAGTTGCAACTTCACCAAGAGATAGTAATTTATTAAAGATTTTATTTTTAATAGCCTATACTGTCCCAAGAACTGAGTTGTAGTGGATTTTGTGTATAAGCTTAAGCAGATATGGTTTTTCATGCAGAGATTATTGTAAATACAAGAATTTCAATAGATGCAGGATTGATAACAATGTGAGTTCAAAATATGAAAGGAAATATGCCAGTAAAGACTCATTTTGAGTAAAGAAAACAAACACGAAAACAAGAACATTTTAAAATCTTTAGACTACTATGACTAAATCTATGTATAGCTTATAAAGATGAAAGGGCTAGTAAAAAGTATGTATATTTCATTAGCACTATTAAAAAAATGAACTACTTAGGCATAAATCTAACAAAATATGTACCTGATACATGGCAGGAAAACTACAAGACTCACGTTAAAGAAATCAAGGATCTTAATAAATGGAGAGATATCCTATGTTCATGAATAAAAAGACTCAATATTGTCAAGATGTCATTTTTTCCCAAGTTAACTATAGAGTCAACCAAATCCCAATCAAAATCCCAGCAAGTTATTGTGTAGATATTGACAAGCTATTTCAAAAGTTTATGTGAAGGGGCAAAAGACCCAGAAAAGCCGAAAGAATATTGGAAAAGAACAAGTTTGAAGGACTGACGCTGTCCAACTTCAAAACTTATTATAAAGCTACAATTATCAAGACATTTTTGTATTTGTGAAAGAATAGGCAAATAGTTGAATAGAACAAAATAAGGAGGACAAAAGCAGACCCACACAAATACAATCAACTGATTTTTGGCAATAGAATAAAGGCAAATCAATAGAGAAAAGATAGTCTTTTCAATAAATGGTGCTGAAACAACTGCATATCTACATGCAAAATAATGAGCCTAGACTCAGCTGTTACCCAAAATTTGACTCAAAATGGGTCATATACCTGACGCAAATGCAAAACTATAAAACTTCTGGAAGATAAGAAAAAAAAATCTAGGTAAATTGTATTTGGTTGTGATTTTTAAGAAACATAAGAAAGGCATGATTCATGAAGAAAGATAAATTGGACTTTATTAACATTAATTACTCTTTCTCGAAAATGGTACTATTAAGAAAATAAAAACCCAAATCAAAGACTGGCAGAATAAATTCTGAAAATATATATTTGATAAAATATAAAACAATTACAAGCCCAAATGCCAGCAAAAATGTGGATTGATATGAACTCTCTCTCATTGCCACTTGGGGTACAAAATGGTACAGCTATTTGGAAAAACAGGTTGGCAATTTTTTCCAAAGCTAACCATTATCTTACCGTCTGATTTTGCAACTGTCCTCTTAGGTATTTGCAGAAATTACTTGTAAACTTATGTCCACACAAAAATCTGCATACAGATGTGATTGCCAACAATTGGATGCTACCAAGATGTCCTTCAACAGGTGAGTGGATAAATAAACTGTGGTCCTTCCAGACAATGGAATATTATTCAGCGCTTAAAAGAAATGAGCTATGAAGATATAAAAAGACATACAGTAATCTTAAATGCTCAACTTTTTACCTTAAATTAGTATGTGAAAGAAGCCAGTCTGAAAATGATACATACTATATGATTCCAATCATATGCCATTCTGGAAAAGACAAAACTGTAGAGACAGTAAAAACACCATTGGCTACCAAGACTTTGAGTGGAGAAAGGGAGAAATGGATAGGTGAAACACAGATAATTTTTAGGACTGTAAAACTATTCTATATGATATTGTAATGTTGAATACATGCCATTTTACATTTGACAAAACTCATAAAACTGTATAACACAGCGTGAACCCTAATAAAAACTATGAACTTTAGTTAATAATAATGTGTCAATATCAGCTCATCAATTATAATAAATATATCATACCAATGCAAAATGTTAATAAGCATGAAAATTTTGTTGGTGGGGAGAGATGGATTATGGGAACTCTACTTTCTGCTTAATTTTTTTTACAAAGTTGAAACTGCTCTAAAAATCTATTTTAAAATATGTGCATTTTATTAAGAATTTTTGGAGAAAAATTAGTTCAAAGTATGACATACTAGAATCAGCAACGACCTCAGGAATATGTATCTAGTTTTAAAACAATCTTTGAAAACAGAGAAATCAGAGAAACACTAGGTACGGTTACCATATTATTGGCAAGATGTGTAACTGGAGCTTTTCCATTTAGAGCATTTTCTGTTAATATAAAGAAGACCACAGCAAAAGGAAAAGAAGGGATTTATGCTGAGAGAACAAAGCCCTCTGAGTTCATCACCTCTGTGTACATCTTCTAACAGCCAAAGAAACTAAATATGTCATGGATTATTCAGATCAACACTTTGAAAATCAATGTAGTCCCAAAGCTTATGTCCTTCTTCTGAGTTTCCCCAGGGTCTACACCAAAAGTAGCATTTGATCTCCTGAATAAACAGATAGCCTTTGTTTGTGACTCCAGATCAAAGCTAGTACACAGATGGGGAATCTCATGGGAAAGGAAGTAGAAAGGATTCATGGCTTATACTAAGCTGGCTCTATATTTTCTGACTTCCTGAGTGTCTATAAAAATGTACTAAATCACCTGGCTATCGACATCACTGTACAAAAATACTTTAGATATTTCTCTTTATATTTAGGTCTTGGAAAAAAGTAAAAACCAGCACTGATGCTTTCATAAGCTTCTCTCTTTGCTATCCTCAATAGATATAATCTTTATTATTTCATTACTTTGGTTATAGTGAAAATGCCTTTGCAAAAAATTATATCAGTGAGAAAAATTATAACAGTGAACTGAACTAACCCACCCCCTCGCCCCCATCTTGCCTTCCTTTAATTACTCCTGAGCTACTGGGCCAAGCTAACTTTGGAAGACATTTAGGCATTTAATTTAAATGATAACAGACCTTGCCCAAAACTCAACCACTTTTGTAAAGCTAATGGAGGCCATCAGGCTTGTGGGGAGGAGGGGCTCCTGAGTCCTGCTAAGGTGCAGACATAAAGGACTGTCAGCCATTATTCCAGAAGTTATAAGATATGCAACTTCCCCAGTTACTCCTGCAAATAATACCACTATTGTACATTGGCCTTTTGAGATATCTTTCCAGGTTTTTTGCATGTCTGATACCCATGGTTCCACTCGGACCAGATGGTTCCACCTGGACTGCCAACCCCACTCTCATGGCCCCACCCAGAAGTGACTCAGCCTGCAGGAGGACAGCTTCCACCCCCTGTGATTTCATCTCCACCCTAACCAATCAGCAGCAGACACCTGTTACCTGGCCATTCCCACACTTTCCCCTAAACTGCCTTTGAAAAACCCCTACCGTAGAAGCTTTAGAGAGGTTTTGACTAAGAATTCCACCTTCCATGTGGTATGGCCAGCCTTCTGTCTTTTAAACCCTTTCTCAACTACAATGCCATGGTCTTTCTTTATGCAGCGGACAGCAAGAACCCCTCAGGCAGTTACAATAAAAACGTTATGTTGGTACTATATTATGCTGATTAAAGGCACTTGGTAATGTCCCCAAGAGTGTGTCATTAAATCACTCATGAAATTCTGAGTCTCCTTTTATCTAAATTTGGTGAAAAACAGTGCATCCTGTATGTGTATGAATGTGTGTGTATGCACATACATGCCAATGGGTGTATGTTGCTGAAGTTGATTACATTTTAGCTAGTTTGGTACCTGCTTGCCATTACCATACATAACACAATAAAAGACTCTTCTAAAAACACATAAAATACAGTCAAGTGGCTACAAGAAAAGGCATACATCAGTAAGACACCGTGGGCTTCCCTAGGAAGAGTGTAGCTATGGGAAAATATGTTTTGTGCTCTTGAAAGCACACTGACAAAATGAACTTTTGGACTACAGGTTATTCTGAAGATGGAGACAGCCTGGAGGTACAATTCTCACAGCAGTGTGAGAGTAAAAAACAATTCTTAAATCCCACAGCTAGTTACTGGTTATATCTGCTGTCTAGGTCACCTGCTCTTCAGTTCACTGCTCTTTCTACTAAATTTTGCTGCTTTTGTTCTTGCTTTCTCACCTACCAAATCATATTTGACAAGTACCGCTTAAGGTTACCATTGCAGATCATTAGAGTTCATTTCCCTAGCACCTCAAACCAAAGGGAAATAGGATAAAGAAAATGAAGAAAAAAATAAACCCTTGGGTTCAAAGGAAAGTGCAGAGGGCCATGCCTTTCTCAGGGCTATAGACACCATTAATTCATATAGCTCCAGAATAAAATAAGCAGTCTGTGCTGCTGATATGACTATTTTTCTTCTAAAATTGTGTGCCTGGATCTAATATTGCTATCATGACTTTGTGTTCTGATCTTCTGTTTTATTTTTAGATTACTGAGCTTTTAGAGCACTTTGGTGTTTTATGGAGAAACAACGTGGTATGTGTGCTCTTCTCTTCTATATAGAAAAGTAAAGAACCTTGAGTCTCTAAGAAACTCAACTGCTGTGTCTGAACTTGTCTATATGAAGCTTTACTTTCTTTACTTTCTTTCCCCTTTCAATTTAGTACTACAGCTCCCCCTAATTTCTTTTGCAGCTTCCTTTAGCCAACTAAATATTTGTCAATTCTATCTCCATTTTTTATTATCCTTAACTCACACAAAGGGAAGCAATTCTTTTAAAATGAAGAACTTCATAATTTGAGGCTTGAATTCCTACAGAGGGTAATGTTGAAACTTTTAAACAAAGTAATCTACATCTGACCCGTACATGAAATGGGGTTATTATCAACTCATTTTATGAGGTTGTTACTATTTGTAAATCAAGGTTAATAACAATGTTGATTATGGATCAGATAATGCATGTAAATGAACTTGAACAGCATGTGATATACAGTAACTGCAAACTAAATGCAGTCTATTGTTGTTCTTCATTCTCCCATTGCTCCTCCAAATTCCTTTTCTACCCTTCTCTGTCCTGTTTCATGCCCTGGGAGGTTGCTGTCTGTGGAATGCAACACTTGAGCAAACTTGTCCGTGGCTTTCTGTTGGCTGCCCTTGGGAGGCATTCCAGGACATCAGACAGCAGGAGGAAAGAGTATTTGAAGTATTTATCACCCCTACACCTGAGTTGCTTCCATCAAGTAGCTAACATCGGTTATCTTGAGTCACAGGCCTGTACATGGCTCATCTATGATATTAACTCTCACTCACTCAGTTCACATTCCTCCCTAGGACCAGGCTCAAGACTGCTTTTAATGTTGCTAGTCTCTTGGTTGTCTCCTGTTGGTTCCATGTATTCGGTCCATGAAACTATAGATAATCCTTCATGAAACTGTCTTCAATCAAGCCTTTTCAGTGTATCATTTGATCCCTGCTATGAATTTGAATTCTATAACAATAATAAAAATTACCACCTCTACCACCACTAGTGCTAGAAAACCAGTACTAGAAAACCACTTGTGTTGTTATAAAAACTACTACTGTTACTACTACAATTACTGTTATTAATGCTAGTACTACTGCTGCTGCTACAATTACCATTACTGAAGTGGAATAATACCAGCAATAACAATAATGCCACTGTGCTAGTATGAGGATAAGTTGAAACGAGAAATTATATTTATTTTCTTCCACAAATAAAAGCATTCCAACACCACGCCTTTCAAATTTAGGGCGCCAATCATTTAATTTATTTTATTTTCCTGTATTTCTGGCAACTATTTTCATTTTCTTTTTCCTTCACTCACTGTCTAGGCAGGATTTCCCTTCTATTCCCACAACCACAGCTCATTCCACAGAAGAGTCTTTCCTTTTTGTCCAAATAAGTAGAAATAAATCAGTAGGGTAGTTTCATACTTTTAGTTACTTGACCAACCATTCAGTAAGTTAGGTGATATAATCGTAGACAGGAAATCATCACAAAGACATTTGTGACATGCTTCACCTTGATTTCATATTTTCTTTAACTTTTAATTCATTACTGTTCAAAATAGATTCCATCAAAGAAATATCCAATTGATATGATAAATACAATGTTTTATTGGACACATCTGTCTTGAACTAGTAATGTTAAATCATCTTAGCTATATTGTCACTTCTATGAATCTTTAAAATTCCTATATTGTTGTTCTCAGTGGCATCAGGTGATACATCTTAACTGCAAAGTGCCCTGTGTTCAAAACTCCAATTTTTCTATATCCTTATTAGAATTAGTATTTCAGCAAAAGTGCACCCAGCTTAATTTTAAAAATCTGTTCTGTCACATAGATTCCTGTTTTTTTTTTTATCAAGCGTCATTAATACAAGAAAAAAAATTCCGTAATATAGTGAGTGTTTTGATTGACACTCCTGCCTCATTCCATTTGGCAAGTTTAAGTATTTTATTATGCCATAGACATGCATCTTTTTATATGGTTGTAATTGTGATAGGCATATAAGTGACAGTATCAAAATTGTTCTTGTTTGGGAGTCTTGTTAGTTTGAAGCAGATGTCAAAATCTCCCTTCTCTAAAAATTATTAATTCCATCTTAACTCCTCTCCTGCACAAATTCTGGCAAATTGTGTTTTCCTCTACTTTTCATTTAGGAGTCCTGGAATTATATTTGCTCAATGATCAATTGATCTAACCCTACCTCGATCTTCTCCAATAAATTCTCACATAAATTGCAAACAAGTATTTACTTAAACAAGTATTTACTAAAAGCAGCCTTTTTAAGATTTTTTCTCTATTTCCTTTTTTCTCTCCTCTTTCTAGCATCTGAAGCCATCCTTTTTTGAGCTCAAACAGGTCCTTTTAAAATGCCACTTCAGATTTTCTCTGGGTTACTATTTTTCAAAAACACCTGCAATAAGGAGTATTTATTGACCACATACTTTAGGCGAGGCAGTGGGCGGGGTGCCTGGGATAAAATCATGACCAGAACCTGAAACAGTCCTTGCCCTCAAAGATTTAGAGCTTAATAAGAGAACAGCACTAGTCACATAATCTCACAAATGCATGTAAAATTATAATTAGAATAATGATTAAAAATATGTATTTTGTAAGAGTATATAGCAGAGTAGCCTCACCTGATCTGTATAAACAGGGTAAGCAAGTGTAGAAACCAGAGAAAGTTCTGTAAGCCACAATGAATATTTTTCTCTGTTTTGCTTAGAGCATTGAAAGTCCAATTAAAGATTGTAAAAGGGTGAAATACGATCAGACTTGCCATTTTAAAATTTAACTCGGATTTCCATTTCATAAGTGATGTAATGGCAAAATGGATGCAGGAGATCATTTAAGTGGCTATGCTCTGATTCTAGGTAGTTTTTTGTTTGTTTGTTTGTTTGTTTTTTGTTTTTGAGACAGAGTCTCACTCTGTCGCTCAGGATGGAGTGCAGTGGCGCTATCTTGGCTCACTGCAAGCTCCGCCTCCCGGGTTCACGCCATTCTCCTATCTCAGCCTCTCGGGTAGCTGGGACTACAGGCGCCCACCACCACGCCGAGCTAATTTTTTGTATTTTTAGTAGAAACGGGGTTTCACCTGTTAGCCAGGATGTTCTCCATCTCCTGACCTCGTGATCCACCCGCCTCGGCCTCCTAAAGTGCTAGGTCTTTCAGTTATCGATTGCTTCATCACAAAACACCTCCAAACTTAGAGGGATAAAACAACCACCATTTTGTTAAGCTCCTAAATTCACACAGAGACACAGGAAATAAGCTTTTCTCTGCTTTAGACTATCTGGGCCTCAGCTGAGAAGACTAGAATAACTGCGGGTGACTCCCTGAGCTCAGAGCTGAAGTCGTGTGGAGGCTTTTCCACCAACACCTGGTCCAGGGTGACTTGAAGGTGAGCACAGCTGGCTTGTGGCCAGAGCAACTGCACACGTCCTTTGCACGGGGAGTTGGCTTCTAGTCAGACTGCTTATGTGGTGACTTCAAATTCCTGGTGTAACGATTCCCAGTAAACAATAGGAAGCTGCTGGGCTCTTTATGACTTGCCCTTAGAAGTAACATGGCATCACTCCTACCCTGCTCTGTAGGTCAAAGTCTTCACAAGCTCAGTGAAATTCAAGGAGAAAGGACCAAAATTCCTACAGCTTAATGGAATAAGTGTCAAAAAATTTGAAGCCCTGTTTTAACTTTCACTATAATCAACAGGTAACGCCAATTGGGATTACAGAAGTTAATATAACCAGAATAGAGTATATTTGAAGAATATTGGCAGGCTTTTATGATGTAACAATGTCCCTGATTCATTCCTGATACCCATTTTTGTTTGTTTTCATTTTCTTAGAAGCATTCTTTCTACAGGTTTAGAATTGCATTGATCTTTGCAAAACATCAACTTTTGTATTTGTTAGCTGTTTCTATTATTAATTTTTTTCTATTTCAGTAATTGTTATGTTTATTATTTCCTCCCTTCTCCTTACAGGGATAATTTGCAGATCCTTTGCTAACTCATTAAAACGGTTGCTTAGAACTTTTATTTCAGCCTTTGTATAAAATGTATATTTCAGCTCTACATTTATGCTTAAGGTCTGTCTCAGTGACATTTTTCCAATTTTGATATGTAGCATTTTAATATTCACTTATTAAAAATATTAAATCATTTCCATTGTGAGGTGTTTTTTTTGACCACAGACTTTAAAAGTGTATCTGTTAATTTCCAAATATATAAGGATTTTCTGTTTACTTTTCTGTATTAGTTTTTACCTTAACTGTGGTCAGAGAGCATAACGTATGTTGTCAGTGCTTTGAAATGTGTTGAGACTTGCTTTATATCTCAGTACAAGTTATTTTCATCAGTGTTTCATGAATTCTTAAAAAGAATATGTATTTTGCAATTTTTGAGTTCAATTGTTCTGTATATGGCAGTCAAACAATTTAGTTTATTATGCTTTCAAATCTTCTACATTTTTGCATATTTTTCTGCTGCTCTCTTTTTTACTGAGAGCTTAAAATATCTTACTGATTTCAGAATTGTTAAATTTTTTTTAGTCAATAGTTTTCTGCTGTATACATGTAATACTGTATAATTAGATATATAGAAAATTGTATCTTCCTGGTTAATTGACACTTTTGTTATTTCCAATGTCTCGATTTAAAATAATGCTTTTTGCTTTTTGTCTGATATTTAGTATAACTCACTCTTTCTTTTTGTTACTGTTTGTGTGGCATCTTTTATTTTATTTATTCTTTATTGTCTCCCTTTACATATTCCTATATTTTTTGTGCGAATATTGTAAGTAGTATATAATTTAGCATTCCCCAGTATTACATACTGGGTCTTTTAACTGTTTCTTTACTCTGTCATTACTGATGAATTAGTATTTAGGTCGAACTTTACCTTCTGCTTTGTTTGATTTAACACTTACTCTTTATTCTTTTTTCTTCTTCTTCTTTTGATATGTTTAGGCTTCATTAAGTGTTTTCATTTTCTTCTCTATTTGATTTTTTAGCTATTCATTTTATTAGTCTACTTTGATAACTACTTAGGTATGGACGGATCCTAGGGCACTATATAATTCCATTTAACTTCTTTTTTGTATTTTGTACAATTACTATCATATATTTCAATTTTGTATGTTTAAAATGTCATAAATGTTATTGCTTTGTTTTATGCAAGTGGTATATATTTAGTTTTACACATATGTGTACCATCTCGTCATTCTTCATTTCTTTCTGTTATGAAATCTCAGATTATGTTCTACCCACCCCCAAAATAAATATTCCCATGAATAAAGAATCTAATTTGGCAGTAATTTGCTTTCAAATACTTTACATCATTCCTTGTTTTTGTTAATAAATTGGTTGTTTATCTCAGTTTTGCTCCTTGGAAGACAATATGTCTTTACTCCTTGACTACTTGCATGAATTATTTTTTTGCCTTTAGTTTTCAGCACACTTGCTGTAATGTGCTTAGGATTTTTGCATTTATTTCTAGTGGTTCAAGAAAATTCAGAAAAACTCTGACCTATTTTTTTTTATAGGTACTTTTAACCCATCCTCACTCTCTTCTCCTTCTGGACTCTGATTGTATACATGTTAATACTTTTCTCCTTGATCCAAATTTATCTTACACTCTCTTATATATTTTTCTCATTTTGTCTTTCTTTACTTCAGTGAATATATTTTCTACTAACGTACCTTCTGATGCACTAATACTCTATCATCTGAATAGGTTTTATAGTCAGTGTTACTTTATTTCTAGATTTTCCATTAGCTATTTTTAATACTTTTGAATTATTTTCTGAAATACCTAACAATGTCATTTAATTACTAGAAAATTTAATTACATTTATTTTAAAGTTCTGCCCTATCTGGATATAGAATAGAGTTCTTTCTCTTGTCAGTTATTAAACATGATTTATGGTCAATTCTAGTCTTATGGAATTTGTTTATTTTTTTAGATAGCATCAATAAAAGAATTCCAGGATACTCAAAGAGAACATATTTTTTCTTCAATAAAGCATCTGGATATGGATATCCAATTATATTCCAAATAAACATTGAGATCATTGGAACCCAGCCTCAATGTCTTTTGGGACGGGTCAATTCTTCAGTCACCTTTAGAACTTTATGGTTCCATCTGAAAGCCTGGCAGTGACTATTAAAGACCATCATTTTTTTAAAAATACTTTTTTAAAGAGCAATTTTACAATCACAGGAAATTGAGAGGAAGATACAGAGATGCCCTGTATACTCCTTATCCCCACGCTTGCATAGCCTCTACCATTATCAACATCCCCCCTCAGAGTGATACATTTGTTATACCTGATGAACCTACATTGACACATTGATATGCTTTGCCTCTGTGTCCCCAGCTAAATCTCATGTTGAATTGTAATCCCCAATGTTGGTGGAGAGACCTGGTGGGAGATGACTAGATCGTGGTGGCAGATTTCCCCCTTGCTATTCTCATGATAGTGAGTTCTCATGAGATCTGGTTGCTCGAAAGTATGTAGCATCTTCCCCCTTTAACTCTCTCTCTCTCTCGCTCTACCATGTGAGGATGGTGCTTGCTTCCCCTTCACCTTCCACCATGATTGTAAGTTTCCTGAGGCCTCTCCAACAGCAGAAGCCTGTACAGCCTGCAGAACCATGAGCCAATTAAACCTATTTTTTTTTATAAATTACCCAGTCTCAGGTAGTTCTTTATAGCAGTGTGAGAATGGACTAATACACATCATAATTATTTGAAGTCCCTAGTTCACATTAGGGCTCAATACTGACATTGCACATTCTGTGGGATAGGGCAAATGTATAATGAATGACATGTATCCACATTTATGCTATCATATAGAGTATTTTGACAGCCTTAAAAATCCCCTGTGCTCTGCCTATTCATCCCTCTTTCCTGCACCTCAGACTCTGGAGACTCCTGATCTTCTTACTCTTTCCTTAGTTTCTGCCTGTTCCAGAAAGTGATATAATTGGAAACCGACAGTATGGAGCCCTTTTAGACTGGCTTCTTTCACTTAGTAATATCCATAAGGTCACCCCATATCTTTCTATAGCCGAATAGCTCATTTCTTTTTAGCTTTGAATAATATTCCATTGTATGGATACACCATAGTTTATTTAGCCATTTACCTGTTGAAGGGCATCTTGGTAACACCCAAGTTTTGGTCATTATAAATAAAGCTGCTATAAATATCCACATCCAGGTTTTTGTGTAGACATAAATTTTTAATAGTTTTGGTTAGATACCAAGGAATTTGATTGCTGAATCATATGGTAAGACTATGCTTTGTTAGAAACCACCAAACTGTCTTCTGAAGTGGCTGTGTCAATTTGCATTCCCACTGGCAGTGAGTGAGACTGTTCATTGTGCCATCTTCTCGATAGCATTTGTTGTTGTCAGTGTTCTGGATTTTGGCCATTCTAATAGTTGTGTAGTGGTATCCCACAGTCGTTTTAATTTGCATTTCTCTAATGACATATGATGTGGAGCATCTTTTCGTATGCTTGTTTACCATCTGTATATTTTCTTTGAAGAGGTGTCTGTTGAGGTCTTCAGTAGGGCCTGTCATCTTTAATGGATCGTGAACACCATTTTTTGTTTTCCATCTCCATGAGTTAGCTGAAAGCTACCATCACTCTTTTGGATTTCTAGTCTCTGATTTTAAATCATCAAGTGCCTTGATGAGAAAAGTCATATTGAATTTTGGGATTACTTGACATCTATTCTCTCTGGAATTTTGGTATCACAATCCTTACTCCCTTGCTATTTCACATAGATTTTTTGAAAGTATTTCCTCTGCTTTACTTGTTAACCTCAGTAGGAAGATGTTTTCTACCATTGCCAGAAGCAGATATCTCTTCCTGCTTCAATATTCTTCATAGGTTTGCCCCTGGCTAAATATTAGAGATTTATGCAGTTGCTGGCTGGCCCTTTTCACAATAACACACAGCAATTTTATCTGCTTGTTGTGTATTTTTCCCCATTCTATGTTTTACTCATAAGTTTGAGAATAGTGGCAGTCACATAGGAAGTAGGCATTACTCATTCATGGGAATAGAATTCAGACAAGAGGTTAGAGTAGAAAACACCAATTCTGGAAAATGTTGATGAAGTTTTGTTCTCTCAAGGAGTTTTATCACACATATGGACTGTTCAGTAGAATCCTGATTGATCAAGTGGACCAACCAATACAATGTTTATGCTTGAAAAACCAAGATTAACACAAATGATGTGTGTGTTATTGAACATCTTAATGTTAGTGGGAAATCATCATGTGTACACATAAATATAAATCATAACAGCAACTCTGATGTATGCAGAAAGTTCATATCTTTCAAAACATAAAAATAGTGATACGAGTTCTCATGGTCAGGGTAAAATGAGTATATCATTTTAAATTGCATTGCATTATATTTTTAAATTTGTAATTAATATCACAAATAATCAGTTAATTTAAATTCCTTTTTAAATTATACTTAATTTGTTTACAAATGCAGAAGTTAACTATGTGTTAACTCTCATAATGCACAATAAAGATGTTGATTTTTAAGATTCTAATAGACACAATTTTCATTTTTGACATTTTAGCAACCATCTTAAATTACAGAAAATTATAACAACTTGAAACCATGTTCATTTCAACAGGAATAAATAGCATTGTTTAACGCTAAGACAATTGATGACAAAATGACAGTCAATAAAATCAAAGCACTATCCAAACCATACCTGGTGAATCTGTCTTAAGCAACATCAATCAAATAATGAAATACAGATTTCAAAAATGCCTCAAAATGCATAAGGTACAAGGAGATATACATTGACATAAACCTTATTATTTAGTTTTCTGGAAAAGCAAAGCAATAATTTTCTTAAAAAGTTGTTCAGCATGACTTAAAACTCATGTTTCATGATGCCAAATTAAGCAGTGGAATAAAATTTAAGCAGTTACATTTTTAGAAAAAATCAGAATTAGCAAATTCAGCATTTAAATCAGTGCACCAGGCAAAACATGAAATAAGCCATAATATATAGGAAAAGGAAATGAATAAAGTTAAAAGCTAAAATATTTGAATTGACTCACTCATACACCAAATTTGATAAATCAACCTAAAGGATTATATTTTTAATTGACCTAGTTGTTATATGAGATTTTAAGAAATAATTTTCTATTATACAATAAAATATAAGGATCACAGAACAAGAATACATAATGACATATCACAACATTTTAAAACCTAGGTGAAGTCAGTACATTTTTATGAGCATGGATTATTGAAATTCTCTGAAAAGAAATAAAAATATTGACGTAAAAACAAGAAGGATTTGTTTTTTGTTTTTTGTTTTTTGTTTAAAAAAAAAACAAAAACAACTTACCCCCAAACAAGTACGAGATCTAGTTAAATCCATGGATTCATAGGTATGACATTAGCTTTTTGACTAGGCTATGAATAGAAGCTAGAAAGATATCAAGAAGACTGTTAGCAGGAAAACAAAAGACACTAAGAAAATATTTATAAGAACCTGGAATAAAGATCACATATGTGACAGAAAGTTTATTTAGTAAAACTGTGCCCTGCGAAAACATGAAAAATAAAAAGCAATCTTAGATCTGGGAATCTAACTTGGGATTTCCAAGCAGAATATCAAAAGTGTCAACTGGTTTATTTCAACTGTATATGATAGGTGGGAATAGAGACAGAAATGTAGAGTAAAACTTGAAATATTTTACTTTAAGCAGAATTTAGCCAAAATATAAAGAAGCCAGCATTTTCTGGGATAGAAAATAAAAATGTTTTTCACTATAATCTTTCCATTTAGCAAAAATGTCTTCAAAGTAGGAAATAACATAATGGTAAAGTTAATATCCACAATACTACTATGGAAACAAAACCTCAAGGTAAAGCTCGTATCATGGGGGTGATTGTAAAGCCTTTGTTAAGACCTCAGAAAGACTTAAGACAGACTTTTGAAAACCATCTCGTCTAGACTAGAGGACAGTACATTTTTTGTAAGCCCCAGACAGTAAATATTTTAGACATTTCTGGCCATATGATGTCTGCAGCAACCCTCAACTCTGTCACTTTAAGGAGACTATGGGACTGGAGAGTATGGGAGAAGAAAGAAGTGAGGAAAGGAAGGAGAGGAGAAGAGAGTTGAGAACAAAACAAAACAATATATAAATTATGTACATTTCAGCATGCTATAACCTCCAAAAATTATTAAAACATATATTGCTCCCTGGTCAGCTTTGGTGAGGCTGCTTTAAAAGCGGGGGGATTAGGACTGGCACCAACCTGAGACAAATTCCAAACTCATCTTTACTTTGCCTTTTATCTTATAGTGCCTGGTCAACAGCCTGTATGAAAAGGTTTATCCTGAGCTACTGCAATCTTCTCCAGAATTCTCCTCCAGTTCCTAGCCCCTGGCATTCGCCTCTCTCGAGTTGCATGGGTCTTCTTGGTATAACTTCCTAGTTCATTTCAGATACTGTCTCCTGCTTTCAGTCTCAGGCTTTGGCTCACTAGTTTCCTTTACTGGACACTGCAGCTTCATTATAAGTCTTCTCTGGGATCAGAGGGACTTCATCGCCTGGTTATTTTTCTCTGCCCACCTTTCAATCCAGATATTTTTGCTACTTTCATATCCCTGACTTTCATCTCTCCCACACTTAAAAATCTGGGTAAATTTTTGCTATATTTCTCCCAATTTCCTGCCATTGCCACCATTCTCTCCTACCTTAGAACTTTTGTTTTTTGTTTGTTTTTGTTTTTTTGAGACAGGGTCTCCCTTTGCCACCTAGGCTAGATGCAGTGGTGCAATTACGATTTACTATAGCTTCGACTGCCCGGACTCAAGGAATCCTCCTCCCTCAGCCTCCCAGGTAACTGAGACTACAGGCATGTGCCACCATGCCTGGCAAAATTTAAAAAAATGTTAAAGAGTCTCACTATGTTGCCCCAGCTACACTTGAACTCTCAATCTAAAACGACCCTCCTGCCTCACCCTCCCAAAGTGCAGGGATTATAAGCACTGGCCAGTGCACCTGGCCTACTTCAGAACTTTGCATTCATCATTGGGACAACTATGATTTGGTTGTTTTTTTAATTGTTTGTGAGTACCTAAAGATGGTCACTCTCGGGAGATTGGGATGAATTATGAGATACATGTTACACTTCATTACTTTGTAGAAACTCTAAAAATTTTTTAATCCTATGCAAAATGTTTTGATGGAAGCCATGTGATTTTATTAAAGTTAAAGCTGAAGAAATAAACACATTCTCAAGTGCTACTGCAAATAATGTATTAAAGTTGAACATGGTTAAAATGTTTGCAGCCCTTAGGTAAAGTATTTAACTGAAAATAATAAAGAACTTGATGACAACTAATTGGCTGCTTTTTGATGTTATAAACCAAAAGACAATTTTTTAAGCATAAACTACACAACCTCAAACATAACCATGAGGATCCACTAACAATTCAAACGTAGCATAATGTGTTGTCTCCCGATCTTTATTTCAATGACATTTAAGATAGTAAGGTCTATGAGATCTGTAGCTATAAATATTTCTACATTTTAGTCTCTGAGGTTTCACTTTCTCAAAGGGAGTAAGTGGTTTTAGGAGATATTGCTAAGTGATATGAAATATCTGAACCACCAATTTTAACACAGAATTCTGAAAGTTCTTCATTCTAACTGTTGCTGACGTCTCTGCAATTTCTCCACTTTTTAATATCACAAGAGAAAACACAGGCTGAGATTGTTTTCTGCCACTATGCTGGTGGTCATAGTTTCAGTGTTACTGTTCACAAGACAAGAACTCTACTCTGGTGTCACTTTGCCATGTTCATCACCTGTAAATATTTTCCTTGAAGGGACTATTGTAAAAAATAAATCTACCCTTTCAAGTCATTTTTGAAAACTTAGTATGTGCTCATGTGAGACGGTTACGAAAATGTTCAAAAAGCATGGTATTTGTTTCTTCTCCAAGGATAAATCTCATCAGCTGTAGAGGAAGCATCAGTGTTACCAGCTGAGGGCGGCAGAGAGACATAAGACAGGTGAAAAGAAAGGTCATGTTGGGTTGTCAGTAATCCTAATTCTTTTGGAATTCAGAAATTCTGTCCCTGGGATCAGATGTAAATTAGTTTCAATTAGTAGTGACAGTGTCTAGAGTTAGTCTGGGAAGGAAAGACTTTAGCTCTCCTTCCCCCTTTGTCCTGCATTTATTTAAATATAGGCAATTGTGTTTTGGAAATCAATTTTACATACATTTATATGCAAACCCTTCTTAGATTACTTCTTACAAGAGTTTTGTCCTTCTGTAAAAATTCTGAAGTTTCCACCTCCATTGTTCCATTTAGGGATTACAATAATACAGATTACATTAATTTACAGGTGCAGTGGATTAAGGTAGCCCTTGGCCAAAAAATAAACTCAAAGATAGATGTTAAAAAAAAAACCCTATGTAAATTATCTCATCCACAGATACATTTTTTTAATTGGAGGCCCATAGCCTTCACTTTTAGAAAAATAACATGTTAAAAATAAAATACATTTTTTATTCAAATCTAATATTTACTTGATGAATATTAGTTTTTTCTTTCCATTCACTCCAATTCTATTATGTTAACTTGATTTATTTCATTTGTCTATTCTGATTTTATAATCCATGGTAATAGCTGGTGCTTGTTACATATATTTTTGGCATTTTATTTTCTATTGTTTCATATTTTATCCCAGATTCTTTTAGAACAATTTTGATTTTAAATATTTTCTATTTCTTTCCCCCCAGCAATAACAGAGCATTTGAATTTTAATCTCACTTGTATTTAACCAGAAGTTAATAAATTCTAAATATACTCAAGTATGATTTTAGATATTTCTTTAAGAATGCTCTTTTTATGTTATAGTTTTATCCTTACATTATTCTATTTTTATTATTAAGAATAGAATTTTTATTATCTTTAGGATTCCAAGGTGTGCTAATATTTTAAAACTTTTATTGATGCACAATTGATTAGTACATGTCTGACAAGCTTATAAATAGCTTAAGTAATTATAATAAATTGTTAATTTTTTATGCTGCTATTTTCAGCAAAGTAATAATTTCATTTTAATGGTTTACCCCATAATAATTATGGTTTACATGGCACTACAAAACCATTACATGGAATTCTTGAAGTAATTATAATGAAACTGTTGGTTGCCACTTAACATTCATTCTCTTTTTTCCTTTATAAAAGACTAAAACTAGGCCGGGCGCAGTGGCTCACGCCTGTAATCCCAGCACTTTGGGGGGCCAAGTCAGGTGGGTCACTTGAGGCCAGGATTTCGAAAGCAGCCTGGCCAACATGGTGAAACCCCATCTCTACTAAAAATACAAAAATTAGCCAGGTGTGGTGATGCACACCTGTAATCCCAGCTACTTGGGAGGCTGAAGCAGGGGAATCGCTTGAACCTGGGAGGCAGAGGTTGTAGTGAGCTGAGATCGTGTCACTGTACTCCAGCCTGGGCAACAGAGTGAGACCCTGTCTCAAAAAAAAAAAAAAAAAAAAAAAACACTGAAACTAAAGTTACAACAAAATGTGTTTTTTGTAGTATTGTTAAAAATAATAAACGTCTTAGATTTTCTTGAAGCAAGAGTGGCCAAGTAACTCAACTCTAGGTCATAATATTTATTTAAGAATACTGATGGAGGGTTCCAGAAAAAGTCTTTTACAAATAGTCATATTCGAGTGGCCTGACTCTGCAGTCCTGCGCCCTGTATCTCTTCCTCCTGTCTGGATCACAGAAGCAGCATCCATAGCCAGAGCAACTGTTACATGAAGGGGTTTTCTCTTGTTTATAGGTAAACACACTCCTGACTGATGAAGATGTTATCCTTACATTTTGTGTTCAATCATTTATCTCTAGGACTTGGAAAAAAAAAACATATTGGGCCTGGAATATGGATTTTAGAATTCCTGGCATTTCTTTTTCTGTGTTATTGCTTTCAAATTATTGAAGATACTGAAAAAAGCAAAAAAAAAAAAGAATAAAGAATAACTTAGAACATCAATATCTATGATTCAGATTATGAAAGTGTAGAGAAGCAGATGAGTAGCGGTTCTTTGTATTGTTTGATGATTGTGGTGTATCTTTTTGTTCTATTTTCTAACATAATTTTTGTTATTGTTTGTAAACTCTTTGTTTATAATATCCATAGGGCTGACTCCTATTCTAAAATCTTATTTTGGATACTCACTTCATTTGTTTCCTTATTTTATATCTTTATTTTTGGCAGGCATTTTCAATGAACATTTTAAAAATAATACCAATGCTAACAATTATAATTATTCCTCTAAGTATATTTGGCCAAATCTTTATAATTTTAATAAACTTTTTCTTACCCTTATCTAAATTTGTTATATTCTGTTGTCATATTACATTATATCATTTATGTATGCTATATACAGTATTTCTTTTATTAGCTTATTAGATAAAATACAAATTTACTGAATTACTTCTTAAATACTAAGCCATAAAATCTTAAAATCTTGTATCGTTTATTTCCAATGTATTTGTTCAGGTAATGTGACAAGTCGCACATAAAATGTTTTGAAATATATTAAAGTATTATTTGCAATTAATTTTACAATCAATTTCTATTTAAAATTTTGGGTTGTTAGGTCCAAACACTGTTTTCACGTAAAATTTAGTCTTGTTAATTATATTGTTAAATTCCATCATGTTCTTTTTTACTCTGTCGTAGGATATAAGTGCTATGTTAAAAATCTCTCACAGAATGTTTTATCTATTTCCCTGTTTTTTTCTTTTTTAAGACGGACTCTCGCTCTGTCTCCCAGGCTGGAGGGCAGTGGCGCGATCTCCGCTCACTGCAAGCTCCACCTCCCGGGTTCACGCCATTCTCCTGCCTCAGCCTCCCGAGTAGCTGGGACTACAGGTGCCCGCCACCACGCCTGGCTAATTTTTTGTATTTTTAGTAGGGACGGAGTTTCACCGTGTTAGCCAGGATGGTCTGGATCTCCTGACCTCGTGATCTGCCCGCCTCGGCCTCCCAAAGTGCTGGGATTACAGGCGTGAGCCACCACACCAGGCCCTGTTTCCCTATATTTTAACAAATTCATGGGTTTTTTTTGTTCTTGGCCCGGTGACATAATTTGGCCAATGAAGTGCAAGGAGAGGCTTTCAAGCTAGTTGGCAGAAGATTGAACAGGCAGCACTCATTTCTTCTTGCATAGTTTCCTCTGCCACAAGAACTGCAGTAGTCTACAGGCCGTTCTGTTGGCTTCCATGTGGAGTGAAGATCATGCGAAGCATTGGCATAGCTGGTCCACAATGGACGTGCAGAATGAATGAAATAATTCGAATTACTTATGGGGTTGTTTTCACTTGCAGCATATCTTACCTTTTGATAATTGGTAAAATAATTAAGTGTAGATGAAACAGATAAATGAGATGAGATAAAAAATAAATGAGTCTGAATTTCAGGGGAGATATATGGGTAGGAGGTATAACTTCGATGGTCAGTAACACAGATGGTGTTATCCAACGGAATAAGTGTAGAGAACAAGACAAGAAATCGGAAGACGGAGGTCTGGGACCCGCAACGTTAAGAGAGCTGAAAGAAAAAGAGGAAGCAGAAACAGAAATAAAAATGTTGAAAACAAAGAGGTAAATGGGAAACCAAAAGAGTATGGTAACCTGGGAGTTTAATAAAAAATGAGTTTCAAAGAGAAGGAAACCCTCAGCTACATCAAATGCTGCATATTGGTGGTGTGAAATTGACAATTGACCACAGGGTTTAGCAACTTGAAGATCACTGGTGAGCTTGACCAGTTGTGGGGGAAGAGTGGAGACAAACGCATGTTTGGACAGGATTTAAGAGAAAATTGGAAAAGAAATGTTGGAGACATCAGATGCAAACAACAGTTCTGAGAGGCACTGAAAAGGGAAGAAAATAAACAGCAATAGCAGCTGGGGAAATGGGATAAGAAAAAAGAGTTTTTTAAAAGAGGAGAAACTGCGGAATGTTAATGAAAGTAACATACAGAGATAAACATGATAATGCAAGAGAAACAGGTGAGAATTGAAAATGTGCCCCAAGTCTGTGCAATAGAATGGAATTCACTGCAAAAATTATTGGAAATATCTTCAGATAAGAATATGATTAGTTATTCTGTAGTAACAAGATGAAAACAACAATATATGAGTACAGATGCTGGTACATGGTGGTAGTAATCTGTGTGCTTGACTTCAAGTTCCCTAGAAGCGAGCCTAAAATGGGGATTCCCGTGCAAGTGACTTATCTAGCAGCTGTTCTTGGAAGCTAAACCTACCAGAAGGTTAGAAAAGCAACTCTGCATCCATTCTTTTGTATCAGTGAGTCATTGGCTAACAACCATTTGCCAGTGGTATGAGAGGGTTAGTATAACTTTCCAAGCACTTCCAGAAAAGATGATTTCTGTGGCTAAAGACAAGTCTCTGGGGAAGTGTATGAGTGATAAACAATTAGCAGCCAATACTCAGCAGCTTGAGATTGGAAGCATCAGTCCAGGAAGCAGCACCAACTGCTATGCTTTCAGAATTATCTGATTACTTCAGTTTTCTCTGCGAAGTAGGAAGCAAGGTCATTAAATGAAAGAGGATGAAAAAGGAGGTGGTTGATATTTGAGAAGAAAAATACATACATATATGTATTTTATGTATATATAATACATTATACATACATATAAACTCACACACATACCATAGCCATATGTAAGTATGTGTGTATATGTGTATGTGTGTGTATATATATATGTGTGTGTGTATATATATGTATATATATACACATGCACAATCATATGACTCATAGGGCTGTGTGTGTGCATACACACACTCATACATACATACATATGGCTATAGTATCCGTACATATGGATAGACATACACACACAAATATACATGTATACATATACACATATAGAAAGAGAGAGAGATAAATTTACTTCAAGAAATTGGCTTATGTGATTGCTGCCTCTGGCAAGCCTGGAATCTGTAATCCTCAGGGCAGACTAGCAGAATGGAAATTCTCTCAGGCAAGAACTGATGCTGAAGATTTAAGGCAAAATTTCTTCTTCCTTAGAAAAACCTCATTATTTCTCCTAAGACTTTTCAACTGATTCGATGAAGTCCACCCATATTGTCAAGGTACTATCCTTTACATAGAATAAACTGATGATAGATATTAACTACATCTACAAAATACCTTCGTGGCAACACCTAGATTAGTGTTTGGTTAAATAACTGGGCACTAGAGTGCAGCCAAGTTGATGCAAAAACCTAACCATCACACACATGAACTTGAGATTATGGCAGGGTTGCATTTATTGGTGATGACAAACTTTATAGTATGGTGATGGTAGGTACTTGAGTTTGGTAGGTAGTGGTTGAATTGGGTTTGGGGGTAAGATCACTGAAGAACAAATCAGGAACAAAGTACTGAAAGTATTAAATACCAAAATTTTCAAAAATTAATTCAAGAGTAGTATTGGAGGGTGTGATAGTGATTTAGAAGCCCGAAATCATCAAGAAATGAGAGGAATAACCCAGGGAATATAAAATGTTTCAAGGAGAGAAAGTTTATGAAAATGCAATAATCTGATATTTAAGGCTGGGGGCTGGGTAAAATAATTTAACTTTACATCTTTCTGTAAATATTTTTGTAGATCTATTGTAAATCTACAATAACTACAAAATGTGATATACACTCAGTAACCTACTCTATTTTTATACTTCTGGTTCAATTACTGAACTCCCCACATAGGTAAAAGCAAGGAATCAGTTTCAGAGCTGGGAGTCAGGGACAGAACTCTAGCAGTTCCTTTCAAAAGTGGTCAAAAATGACAAATCAGGATCTCAATCCTGACAAAATCTGGGGAGCTAGTTTTTAGTACTATCCAGTGATACAGCCCAAGATAAAGATAGAAACATTCTTACTAAAGCCAGGAAAATGTTCAGAAATGGATTTTGTGTTCATGCCCTTCCAAATGTTCCCTGTCTCATTGTTTGGTGGTAACACACCAGGGAATGCTCAACCCAGAAATATAGATGTGACACAAAGAGTAACATTTGTTTTCACACCCTACCTGACCACAGGCCCACTGATCGCCCATCCCTGAATATGTCTCAAGTGGGTTCACTTGCCTTCATCTTTATAACCATTGTTCTAGTACAAACCACAATTATTTCTTAGATGTCCTACAATAATCTCCTCATATGCCTTCAGACTTACTTTACACTAATTTATTTGAAAAATACAAAGAGGATTATGTTTCCCCCAGCTTAAAGCCCATCACTATTATTTTTGCCTTTAACATGAAGCCTAAAGTTATAAAGCTGGCTTACTGTGGCCTTTATGATCTGACTCTGCCTCTTTTTCATCTCTATGTTGTTCTACCCCCTTGGTCTTGTCTACCAGGCTCTGACATGATTGAGCTTATCAAATGCCCTGTGTTTGTCCTGAGTCAAAGCCTCCATGAAACCATTTCCCTCTGTCTCCACATTGTCACCTCTCTTCACTTATTTACTTTCTAATATCATAAAGAATGTGCTTGTTGGTAGGGAGCATTATAAATGAAGGTTTGTGCCCCCTCAGAACTTGTAGGTTGAACCCCTAATCCCCAATGTGATGGTATTTGGAGACAGAGTCTTTGGAGGTAACTGAGGTTCAATGAGGTCATTAGCGATTAGTGTTCTTCTAAGAAGAGACAATAGAGACCTTAATCTTTCTCACCCCTCACACACAAGCGCTGTGGAAAGTCCTCACGAGGATGTAGGAGAAGGCAGCAGTTTGTAAGCCATGAAGCGAGCCCTCATCAGGAACCAATGGATTGATACCTTGATCTTGGAATTTATAGCCTTCAGAACTGTGCAAAAATAAATTTTCATTTTTTAACAACCCAGTATAAGGTATCTTCTTATGGAAGCCTAAGCTAACTAAGATTTCTTAATAAGTTTGGCTCCTGGGGTAATTCACTCTGAATTTTTCTTTTTGAGTAAAGTTTCACATTTGCCGTTCAGGGAAAATGGCTCTTTTCCTCGAGTGTGTAAACATCTACAGGGACAGAGAATGTGCTTGTCTTGTTCATTGTTGAAACCTAACCTCCTGACACAAACCATTTGTCTCATAAAAAGCATCCAATAAATATTTACTCATTGAAAAAACAAGTAGATTAATAAATGAATGAATGAATGAAGCCAATTTCACACATTTATCTTCCCCACAAGCTGCATTGAGCTAATAGATCAGGAGGACTGGATCTGTATACAAGATGAACAGTACTCAGCTGTGGAGATTAGAGAATATCAGTGGAGACAGGTATACATTTTGTTTAATAGTGGAGGTTTAGGAATCATAGGACCATGGACAAAGACTTTGGGTAAATCATAATAAAATAATTAGTTCAGTGAATAGAAGAGGAACTATTGTGCAGAGTAATAAAAACAAGAGTATAAAATTTCAATTATTAGAGAAGTTGTGATAATTTTCAAATACAATAGGAAATTCTATAAATTTTGAAATGAACCAAATAAATGAAGTTAAGAGTGACATGTAAAATTAAATCCCGATTTACAGGTTATTAAAATGTGATAGATGAAAAAAATGTTGCAGAAGCAAAAATGATCTATTATCTGAGGAGTTTAGAAAGAAAGAAAAAAGACCTGCAAATCAGAAAGGCATTGCTAAAATAAGGATGGGCCTATGCATATTTGGAGTTGATAGGGAAGGAGTTGGAAATCAGAAAGCGATAGGCCGGGCACAGTGGCTCATGCTTGTAATCCCAGCACTTTGGGAGGCAGAGGTGGGCGGATCACGAGGTCAGGAGATCGAGACCATCCTGGCTAACACGGTGAAACTCCCTCTCTACTAAAAATACAAAAAATTAGCCAGGCGTGGTGGCGGGCACCTGTAGTCCCAGCTACTCAGGAGGCTGAGGCAGGAGAATGGCATGAACCCGGGAGGCGGAGCTTGCAGTGAGCGGAGATCACGCCACTGCACTGCAGCCTGGGCCACAGAGTGAGACTCCATCTCAAAAAAAAAAAAAAAGAAAGAAAAGAAAATCAGATAGAGATAGAAAAGAATGACCTCCTAGAAAAGATGGGGCATGAATAACATGTGAAAGTATGAATGAGTTTATGCTAGAAGGATGTGGATTATATATACGGTAAATATGTGCCAATGTTAATTAAACTTATGCAGTTGATTACTTATAGAATTGTATTTCAATCATACCATTTTGAATCTTTTACTTGTTTGCCATATAAAAATTAAACAAACAATAAAATCTGTTATATACATGATTAATGTGAGGATTTCACATTTAGTAGAAGGTTATATGCAATAATTTTCTATTTTCATTCCAAATGATAAATATGATTATGCTAGAATATCTCAGAAAGCCAACACAAGATTCTATAAATGCATCAGTCAGTACACAAACTATTTCTCTATGTATTCTTGAGTTCTGTATTCATATTAAGTTGGCTTTCTGCAAATTACTCTGCACTGATCACCATTGTCTATGGTAAATTAAAGCATAATAGCACAGGTTTTAGATATTTAGGTCATTTAAGAAAAATGATCATTAGCAAAGAATTGTCCCAAATGTCTTTACATTATCTACAATGGATGTTGTGACCTAATCAGTATTTTAGAATAAAAAGAAACATTTTTTGTTTAGGGATAATTTTTTCTTGCCAAAATGTATGTTTCCACAGGTATGGCATTCAACGCAGTAAGTTTTCATTTCCTGATTTTGCACAAGTATTTTCTAGTAAAAAAAATGCATCACTGAGGTCAAAGGTGTTTATGGCCCTCTCTTCAGCTAATCTTCTCAAGAGTTTTTTTTACTTCACCCAGTAAGATGGGATTATAACTTTACAACATCCTTTGATTTTCAGATCTGAAGGAAGAAACAGAAAAATGTTAAAATGATTCAAAGGTCATTATGCATTCCCTATTAGAAGGAATGCGGATATAAAATGGATGTAGCATTCTTGGCTATAGAATGTGTAAGCATCCTTCTCTATTTTAGAGAAACTTCAGAATAAACTGCAGTAACAGGATTAGCAGCTGAAAACAGCCTCACTCTGGCCTTGCCAAAGTGAGATGATGAATCTAAAATTCTAAGTATTGGGCCAGGTGCAGTGGCTCACACTTATCATCCCAGCCTTTCAGGAGGTTGAGATGGGAGATTGCTTGAGCTCAGGAGTTCAAGACCAGCCTGGGCAACATGGTAAGACTCCGCCTCTACAAAAATTAAAAAATTAACCTGGTGTGGTCATGCGCTCCTGAAGTCCCGTTTACTCAGGAGTCTGAGGCAAGAGAATCTCTTGAGCCTGGGAGGTCGAGGATGCAGTGAGCCATGTTCAGGCCACTGCACTCCAGCATGGGTGACAGAGTGGGACCCTGTCTCAAAACAATAAATAAATAAAATAAAACTCTAAGTATTACTGGATTTTCCTTGATTGGGTAATTAAATTTAAAAATTCAAGGAAAATTGAGTAATACTTAGAATTCTAATTTATTATTTTTTTTAAGGCTAGATAATATCTCTACCTCATGCATGCATGCACACGCACATGTGCACACACACACATATAATCATGTCTTGGATTACTGATACATACACAAGTAACTCCATGAAATACCTAAAAGATCAACTTACATACTCTTTGTAAAGGACCTCTATATTATCCCATTCCAAAGTCCTAGAATAACGCAGTTGAAAGGAGCTACAATTATTCTAGCATTCCTAGAGGGAAAACTATTTAAAATATGAGAAAAAATTATTACTGTAAATTTTCCCCAATTGACTATAAATATCTTGTTGCTTATTACTACTGTAATTTAGAAAACAAAAGGTTTTGTTTTCAAAAGTCAATATTGGGTCCAAGACTTTCATCCCTGACAATGCTACTGCAATATAAAATTAACGTATTACATGTAGAGATATATATCTAACCCCTGGAGTCAGCTCAATTAAGTCTTAGTGTGAGTTAATTCCTATTTATTGTCATTTTTCTCTCCTACTGCTATGATTGATTTTGGCTGGCCCAGTTGTAGTTTGAATAGATAATTAGATTATTTTTATAATTCACTAAACACACAAAAAATAATTGAATGAAAATTTTCCAATGAAAATAATACTTGACATAAGCATTTACTATATTAATCTAGAAACTAGACCTAGCCTGATTGTCAATATCTGAGTTTTTCTTTTTAAAGAAATTACATTTTAATTAATTTCCAATTTTTAAAATTGAACTCGTGAAAAAATGATTTTTTCTATACTAGATTTGATGTGTTTCACTGAGAACAATATTATACTTCTCTGGCATTTTTTATTTAAAAAAATTTAACTTCTTAACTTTGAGTTTTTCTTGAGAATGTTGTATTTTATGTTCATATCTGTATGTTATAAAAATATTACTACATCTCTAAGAAAATTTTATCTCAGGTTTTAAACACTAACATTATATTTGCTATATCAGACATAATATATTTAAAACATATGGACTTGGAAAATATTATTTTTCTTTACCTGATTTCTTCTTAGTATCTATGCAGTTTTTGTATTTGCTTTATTTTTTCATTTCAATACCAAATTTAGTGAAATCTACCAACAACTGAGATAATTATGTGTCAAATATCAGAACATAAATGTATCAAGTCTTAAAATATACTTTTTAAGTGTTCTCATTTTTAAAAACCATAGCTGAATATAAATTATTTGCACTTTGAGGGCTTTCTTGCAAATATTTTAAAAGTAATTGCCTAGAACAATGTATCAGGTAATCTGAATATAATTAATCCTTTGTACTTTGTGATTGACCTTCTTATAGGTGATATACAAAGTAGAATAAGGATGTATGTATTCTACTGCATTAGTTTGCAAATAGACTTTTTTCTTATTGAAATATCATTATATTGCAACATTTTCATTTAGTTTTAAAGTACTAGTAACCTGAAATGATACGCTTGTATTGTATATTTTTAAACATTTTTTTGAAAAGATAAATTAATTGTTTCACTAATCCACTTTTGGAATTTACCCAGAATCTCCACCAAACTAAATTAATTCACATATTCTCTATATGTTGCTTTCAGAGATAATATAGACTATGTACTACCCCTTTCAGGCCACCACAGATTCATTGTAATCATTACTACAGTAATAAAGTACTACCCAGAGGATTAAAAGAACACATGTTTTACTCATTTACAAGCTTAGTAACAAAGCATACTGCAGATGCCATACAACAATTGACAGGACAAGCCCGGAATCTTCTCTTTCTTCAGTATCTAAAGAATTTTAGCCCCATAAAAATGTGACTCTTTTTCAAAGTTTTGCCACAATTCACTTTTATATCCATTGTCCCTTTCAAAAACATGCATAAATCTTATCAGAGCTTATGAATTTTCAAATGTCTCTTTTTCTATAATTTTTTTAATTAATGGAATAGAGTATAAATATATGAGTGTGACCCAAAAGAAACAAAAGATCAGAACTTTATGTCTTTTAACAATTACTTTGTGCTCATTTATTAGCATAATTTTGAAAATGTTAAGCTGAAGTATCAAAGAAGATTTCAAGAAAGGGTTTGTGTTAGTAATTTTTCCATTCATGTGATTTATACACATGGAAATATGGTGATAAGGAATGAAAAGAAAGCAAGCATAAATAAGTAAATACACCTAAACCTCATAATTAGAATATTTCAAGAAATTCACCCAAAGAAAGCCTAGAAATAATCAACAGAATTAATTTTACTCAAAGACCTGAGTTAAAATTTTCTATTTTAAATCAGTGTTCAGCTACCATATTATAGGCTGGAAGAAAGGACACTTGAATAGGGAAGTTGCCATGATGCAATTCAGAGATTTCCAACAGCAAAACAGGAGACAGAAGGGAGTACAAATGCCAAAAATAAAGTAATACTAAAGCAATATTTTTAAAAATTCAGGTAACCATGTAAGAACTTTCACAAGGAAGATGAAGATAAAGCATAAGGAGAGGGACGAGGAAATAGTAATTTCCACTAGAGGCCACTATCAACTGAGCATTCTCACAGAAAAAGAAGAAGACAAAAAAGAATTTTAAAGCTAGTTGGAACTTCCCATTTTAGCTCCAACATGTAACAAGGTTAGACGTTCTCACTTTCATTCTTGCAACATGAAGAAAAGCAAGCAAACTGAAAACCAATGATTTTTTTTGTTGGACACAGAGAAATGAGTTTGCAGGGCAAATTACCACCCTGAAATCTGGAAAGACAAGTGAATCGAGAAAAGTCACACTCAAAATCTGATTATCTGAAAGAGAAGCTGCTGGAGACATAGACTAGTAATAATACAGAAGTGGTGAATTTGTGAGATTTCTGGATGCTAAGTAGGAACTGCTGTATAAATGAAAAATCCTGAAAGGTACAGGTGAAGCGGAGTCCCCACACTTTTATGAATTTTACCTTTAGGAAATGTACCAGGTTTTTGTAGGGAAGATCCAGGAAATAGTCCTTTGTGCTTGGAGTAGGAGGAAAGGAAGAGCAATCCTTGGGAAGTGCACCCAGAGCCTTTTCCATTTAAAAGGCCGACTCTCCAGGGGAAAAGGCTGCCAGAGACTTGCCCCAGTCAGATGAAGGAAGAGCATTCTTTCCCTCCACTAGTTCCTAAGCTTTCTGTCTCATCAAACTAGAAACACTGGTGAAAGTAACAAACAACTGACAAATAAAAGACTGAGATTTAACTGAAATAAATATGTAAAACTCACCTTCCACAACACCTAGCTCAATATTATCAAGGCTCCAGTATAATAATAATGGAAAACAGCTGAAAGAGTTGTAAGGCACAGATAAAAAGAACGACAAATACAAGGTCACTAGAGGTGGTTGAAGCCTCTAGATATACCCACAGCAAACATTCAACAAATCTCCTACCAATATGAACGTAAATTTTCAACTAAAGGCCTATTAACCTTAGATCCCATTGCCTGGATATCAAGAACAAGTTTCAAGGCAATGTAAAAGGCAGAACAAAACAGTCTGAAGAGATAGTGCAAGTATTAGAACTAAACTGATAAGACTCACATTTTAGGATTATCAGACAGGAATTTAAAATATGACTAATATGTTAAAGGTCTAAATGGAAAAAGGAGACAACAGATTGGTAATATAAGCAAAGATATGGAAAACCTAAGAAATAATCTAAAGGAAATGCTAGAGATCAAAACTACTGTAACAGAAATGATGAATGCCTTCAATCAACTTAGCAATAGAATGGACATCACTGAGGAGTAGGTGAAGATACGTCGATAGAAACTTCTCAAACTGAAATACAAAGAGAAGAAAACAATGAAAAAAATAAATGAAGAAAACATCAGAAAACTGTAGGACAATCTGAAAAAGTATAGCACAAACAAAGTTGGGATGCCAGAAGGAAATGTAAGCGAACACTGCAGAAGAAATATTTGAAGTAATAATGACAGAAAGCTTTCAAAATTTCATGACAGATTCCAAACCACAGATTCAAGAAGTGAAGAGAACATTAAGCAGGATAAATACCAAAAACAAATGGTTATATACAGAAATATTTATAGAAATGTGTATCTACGTGGATTAGGATACTCACATATGTCCCCTTGAGAGCATAACAACAAGCACACGCCAGAAGTCACAAGCACACCTAGTACCCAAATCTTGGTTTCTAATACCATTCCACAGTAAAAGTAACAAGCGCTCTTTGGAGAAATAGGTGATTCTAGGCCTGATGCAAGAAATTTACACAGTGAGCCTGGAACAACATCTAGCTTCAAAAATTAGGAAAGTCTTCCCCTTCCCCCCACAAAAAAAAAACTCCCTTCAGTGATGAGGGTTTGCTAAAGACATACAGGAGCCAACTGAAAGCATACCCAATGGCCAAAGCTGTAACAAGTTGAGCAACAAAATAAATGAAATTGTATAGGATTTTGATACAAAATAGAAAATAAATATCTGTGATTGTATACCAATAAAAATAAATGATGACTAAAGAAATCAATGGCGGGGGGGGGAATAGAAAATTTCCCTGTGCAGAAGAATTCTAACTTCTGTAGGTTTTTCTCTCTTAGAATGATGGAGTATAAATTCCCACTCCTTAAATGTGGGCTTCACACAATGACTACTTCTCCCTTTCCATACTCTACTCTTTGGAAGACTTCTACTCTTTGGTAGACTTGTAGATTGTTGGTAGAGCTCTTCCAAAGAGTAGAGTATGGAAAGGGGGAAGAAAATTAGTAACTTTTCAGTTGAGGGGCCTAACATCAACCTAAGTGATCAAGATTAGCATCCACAGTGATAAATCATATTTAGGATATAACGTAATGAGGATAACACTTTATCTCTGTGGTCTTTCTCCAAGCCTATGTATAACAAAACCACCAAATAAGTGCCAGTCGAGAAATGTTTTACAAAATACCTGACCAGCACCCCTCAAAACTGTCAATATCGTCAAAAAGAAGGAAATACTGAAAAATTGTCACAGCCAAAAGGAACCTAAGGAGAGGTGACAACTAAATGTAATGTGGCATCCTGGATTGGATTCTGGAACAGAAAAAAAAAGGCCATTAGGAAAAAAAAATGAGGAAATCTGAGGAAAGTGTGAACTTTAATCCCGATGAATCAGTATCTATTTATTAACGATGTCAGACGCACCATACTAATGTAAATTATGAATAAGAAAGCAGGTGTGGAGTATATGGGATCTGTCAGCACTATCTTTGCAGTAATTCCCTATATCTAAAACTTTTCTAAGATGAAAAAGTTTGTGCTTAAAAATGATACAGGAGAAATTTAAAAATCAGTTTATTTGATTATGGTTTCCCACTCTTAAATAATTAAGTCCTAGTTTTGAGGGGGGAAAATTTCATTATCACTTTTGTATTCGTAGAAATCCTTCCTACTTCCACACTGTTTTAGCTTTCCTCACCTTGTCCTTCCTTTACTCATATATTCATTCCACAGATCGACAGGTCTATTCTATACAGTTCTATTTACAGGTGGCCTGATTTTCAATGTACTTTCAAACAGCCAGTGTAGAAAGGTTAGCATTAGATTCTCAGTCTGAAAGAGCTGCAGTGTAGTGTTCCAAGATTGAATTAGAGGCGATCACCAAAGCTTTGGGTAAATAAGAGGAAAAAAGGAAAGAAAAAGCAAAAAAAAAAAACACCAGTTTCTGAGGATACAAGAAAGACAGGCATAGGATTCAGATCTGGAGAAAAAGTAATTTACCAGTCATAGAATTTACTTGATTCAAATTTACCTGATTTGACAAAATAAGCAGTGTTACACCTCTTCAACATCGCTGATCAGAAAAAGTTTAAAAAAATAGTTTATATTTGTCCTCTATAATTAAAGACACTACTAAATAGCTATAATTTATAAAATACTTTATAATAGTCTAAATCATTTCTGTGCATCCACTATTTACATAAAATCATGACAGGACACTTCTGAGCAAGTAGGCCAGCATTATTCTTTGAGCACCAATAGAAAATTGGATATAAGGCTCTGGGTAAGATAGAACTAGGATAGAACAGGGAGTTAGCCTGGGGAATAGCCAGTCACATCAACTCTAGTGTCCGTGGCTGAACAATAACGTGTAATGACGGATTCAGTGGCCAGAGTTTGGAAAGATACAAACTAGGCAACAAAGTTGGTACACAAGTGACTTCTTTGTGGGTACTCTGTGCAAGAGACTTGTGGATTTGAAAATTGTATTTCATAACATTTTTAATTGGTCATTAAATGAAATATCTATTCTCCATTTATATTATGACAACATGAACACTCTAATATCCATTGTGTGTATACATTTTTATTAATAGAAAAGCAACATAAGAGAAATAAAAATTTAAATATTTATTTTTTATATACAGGATATTGCTATGATATATTTCTTATACATTTGAGTTTAAAAAGAGATGTGTATAAAAGCAAATTTAACATATGTAGTCAATTTACATGATTTTTTATATGCATTTGTGCATTTTTAGTTACTGTCACTTTTGTTACCTTTTAGTTATTGTCACTAAATCAATTAACTTTTCCTGGTAGAAAGTGAACACTTAATTGTTTTTATTTAAACAAAAATATTAAAGCAAAATTTTTAATGCATAATTTTAAACAAACACTCAAAAAGTCTATCACTGCATGAAGTGTCCAAATGGTTTTATTGTAATAAAGGGAATTCAAATTTTAGAAAGATATGTCATTGCTCTTTAAATAATTTACATTATTTATTAATGTTTTGAAAAATTCCTAGAAGTATTTTTTTATAATCTTATTTGGTGATGATCCTAATTAGCTAACAGTTATATGTATGGTCCTACACTTTTATTTTTTATGCTATGCTTGCCTCAAGACCTACCTTCAAAAGAACACTGATTTTTCCTTCTGTTTCTTTCTTAATGTGGAACTACTAGAATGTTTCTATATATCAAATGAATGTTTTCCATTATTTATACAAAAATCCTACTTTTTACTCTCATACTCTTTTCTAACTTACTATTCATTACTTCAGTAATTTATTCTAATCGGTTTTTTAATTCTATAAAATTTTCAATATTCAGTTAGCTTATATTTCTTTTCTAAAATAGTATTCTCCATTATCACAATGAGATAACAATCTCTCTACTTTGAAATACTGCATCTATTTTTTGTATTCTTTCCTTTTTGTTTGTCATATTTGTCTCTTTTTAAATTTTTTATATTTCATTTGTTTCTATAAGACTAGATTTAGTAAACTAGGGGTAACAAGACACAAGTCCTCTGTCAATTTTTCCTTCTTTTTCTACTCTAGTTAGACTCATCTTATGTGTCATCAGATTCCACAATCTTAGTAAAAAAGTTGCAGCCAATTTTTACAGGACCTGTCTTCACAAGGTCACTCAAAGAGAAACAGATCTTAAAGAATGTAGAAAAAAAATAATGTTTGAATAATTTAATTGGATTTGTCATTTTAACTCATTTAGAGAAATATTTAACTTACTAAAAGTCAAGCAAATGTCAAGTCACATTTTTGCCTAAATAGATCTGTTACTGTATTGTACACTAGTAATTTTGTAAGCTTAATATAGACACTGCCAGAGAAAATTTCCCTATTGTTCTGAATAGAGATTGTTATTTTCTCACTCCATTGATATCAGAATCTTGCTTATAGAGGGCTGTATATTTTGTACGCATATGTAACCACAATCCTGGCTAGCTTTCTTGCTGTGAACACCACTAGAATTGAGAATTTTAGTAATCTCGTCATAAATCATTCCAACTGTTAAACATCCAGAGACAGTAATAAAAAATAAAATCTATTCATAAGAAAATTATGAATTCTACCTCCTCACACCCAAAATGTACATCCACTTAGAACCACAGTGTATCAATCTATTCACAATAATTGTTTTCATAAAATTATAGAACTTAGATTTAAAGAAGATATTAAAGATATTTATTCATCAACCCATTTTATGATAGCTGTAATATTATTTTTATGAAAGACATCAAATGCAATGTATGTCTTCCTGATGTATATGTCACTGTTTAAAAACAATATTAGTCATCTTTTGGTCACAAATAGTTAATTCTAAACACTTCATATTATTTCAGTTATCTCAAGTAGGTTGTTATAGCCCCCATGAAGCATATAGTCATACAATTAATCATTTATTACACATAATTTAAATCACAGAATAATTTATATATTTTTCACAGATGGTATCTTTTGTCTACATGTAAAATAGTGATTTCAAAAATACTTTCATAAGACAAAACTAATCACAGACATTACTATATCTATTTATGATTCTTTTATATATTTTACCAAAAGTAAATGGGGCACAATTATAGATCTTCTCAATTGCATTCCAGTGTAATACAAAGCATAAATTTAATTTATCAAACAGCATCCTCCTAATTCAATTACACATATCCAGAATTAATTCTGCTGCCCTTTAGTTTTTATTCTTTAATCTATTTAATTCTTTTATTGGTTTTGTAGAGATATATTTGAAAGTCTTTTTTTATTTCAAGGCTTGTTTTCAAAACAATTGTAATTCTCAAAAAGCTTCAAAACCCAAATGTTTGGGGCTATAGCATTTGATTTCCATGATTAAAAATTCTCAACTGATTTTGAGGAAATTATAACCAAATTTCAAGAGCTCACAGCAATATTTAATACTTTGTAGGACCCTCAGATTCATTTGGAAAATAAGTTTCAAAATTGTAAAGATCTGATTAATAATGGAAAAAACATAAAAACTGCTTTCACAATTTTTTGTGTGTTCTTCATCAGCATTTTGACAAATGTTGCAGCTTATTAATATTCACATAGTCATTTATATATTTTCACAATGAAAGCTTCCATATTTTTATAATTTTAAAAAGTAATTGATATTTTCAGAGAAGTTTTAGATTTAAAGGAATGTTAGGAACAAAATACAGAGAGGTCTCATGTGGGCCTAACCTAATTTCCCCTATTACTATCATCTTACATTGGTATGGTAAATTTGGTACAAATTACAAACAAATATTGATACATTATAATTAACTAAATTCCATACTTTGTTTCTATTTCCTCAGTTTTTTCCTGCTGTTCTTTTTCTGTTCCAGGATCCTATTCAGGATGCCACATTGCATTTAGTTGTCATATTTCCTCAGGCTCCTTCTGGCTGTGACATTTTCTCAGACTGTCCTTCCTTTTTTGATGGATGACCTTGATGGTTTTGAGGAGTGCTGGTCAGGTATTTTGTAGAATGCTACTCAGTTTGGATTTGTCTGGTGTTTTTCTTATGATTACTCTGGAGTCATATGTTTCTGGGGAGGAAACTCACCACTAAATTCAAGGTCAGTTAGTTTTATCCTTATATGCTTTCTTCAAGAAGTTTTATAGTTTTGGGTTTTACACTTAGAACTATAATACATTTTTAGTTAATTTTTGAGAAAGGATAGATAGATGGATGGATAGATAGATAGATAGATAGATAGATAGATAGATAGATAGATAGATCCCACCCTTTCCCCTCCCACATACGGGTGTTCAATTGTTCCAGCACTATTTGTTCAAAAGATTTTGCTCCTCTGTCAAAAACTCAGTTACCTACAATTATGGTAACCTATTTATGTGCTCTCTATTCTGTTACTCTAATCGGTATGTCTGTTATTTTGTCAATGCCTTGCTATCTTGATTACTGTAGCTTTATATTAAGTATAAATACAGTATAAATACTGCAGCTTTATGGTAAATATAGATAGGTAATGTGAGCCCTCCAGCTTCGTTCTTTTTTTTACTATTGTCTAGGTTTTTCTAGGTTGTTTGTCTTCCCATGTAACCCTTAGAAGAATAAGTTTGGCACTATCTACAAAATAGAATCCTGGGATTCTAACTGAGATTGCATCGAATCTATAGGTCAACTTGGTAAGAATTAACATCTTTACAAAATTGGGTCGTCCAATTCATGGTGTCCATTTATTTCAATCCCCTTTAATGTCTTTGACAAGGTTTTCATAGTTTTCCATATCTGTGCTTTCTACATATTTTGTTAAATTTAATCCTAGGTATTTTATTCTGTTGAATGTTATGGTAAATAATATAATTTCTTAATTTTATATTTTAATTGTACATTGCTCATAAAGAAGCAATTGACTTTTCTATATCATCTTGTATCTTACAGAAATGCTGATTTGGAATTTTTTGCTTAAATAATCATATCATTTGTGAACAAAGTTTTATTTCTTTCTTCTTCATCTATTTATATATCATTTATTTGTTGTCTTATTGCACTAGTAAGGACTTCCAATATGATACTGAATAGGAGTGGTGAGACAAGACATCCTGCCTTATTCTCGATCATGGCATCCAGTTCCTCAGGATCAAGAATGGTACTAGCTTTAAGATTTTTTTGTAGATATTCTTTATCAAATTTAGAAAGTTTTCTATTTCTAGTTTGCTGAGATTTTTAAGGTGTACATGTTTTGGATTTTGTTCAATACTTCTTCTGTATTGATATGATAGACAAATTTTCTTCTTTAGCTTTTAGGTTTGGTGCAAAATACCAATTCATTTTCAAATATCAAATTAGTCTTGTGTATTCTGAACAAATTGTACTTTGTCATGGTGTATAATTCTTTCCATATATTGTTGGATTCTATTCGCTAATATTTTGTTGAGATTTTTTACACCTATATTCAAAAGAAATATTGACCCAAACTTTTCCTTTCTTGTAATTACTATACCTAATTTTGATATTCAGATAATGATAGTCTTATATGATGAGTTTAGGAAGTGTTCCCCCTCATCCTATGTTCTGAAATAGATTGTGGAAAATTGGTATCATTTCTTCTTTAAATGTTTCTTAGAATTCACCATTGGGCCTTGGGATTTGTTTTTGTTTTTGTTTTTGAAGATTATTAATTTTTAATTTAATTTAGTTAATACATATAGGGCAATTAAAATGATCTGTTTCCCATTGTATGAGTTTGAATTGCTTGTATCTTTCCAAGAATTGGTCCCTTTCATCTACATTATTAAATTTAGGGGCACAGAGTTATTCAAAATCTTTCTTTATCATCCTTTTAATGTCTATGGAATCAATTTTGATAGCCCCTCTTTTATTCATGGTATGGCATTTTTTGTCTTTTGTCTTGGTTATTCTTGATTGAAGTTTATCAGCTTTATTAATCTTTTCAGAAAACCAGCATTTATCTTCATTTACTTCTGCGCTATTTTCTGTTTTCAATTTCATTGATTTCTCCTCTAATTCATTTCTTCCTTATGCTCAATTTAGGCTTACATTACTCTTCTTACTCTAGGTTCATAAACTAAAAGCTTGGAGTGTTGATTTTAGATATTTTCTAATATGTTAATTAAACACTAGAAATGTCCCTCTCTCGTTTTTACTGCACACTACATGTTTTGATAAGTTGCCTTTTACTTTTATTTCAACAAAATATTTTTTAACTTCTCTTGAGCACTCTTTTTGAGCATTTTACTATTTACAATTATATTTTAAGTTATCACATATTTGTAATATCCAGCTATATTTCTGTTATTGATTTTTAGGTTAATTCCAGTGTGGCCTGAGAATATACTTTCTATGGTATCTATACCTTAAAATTTGTTAAAGTATTTTTATGAATCAATCTTTGGTTTTTCTTGATGAATGTTTCATATGATATTAAGAAGAATATATATTTTGTGGTTGGAGGAATATTCTATAAATGTCAGTTAAATCAAGTTGATTGATTGTGTTGTTCATGTCAACTATATATATCCTTACGGATTTTCTGCCTTGATCTATCAATTACTAAATCAGAGGTTTTGACATTTCCAGCTGTAACACTAGATTTGTCTATTTCTCTTTTCAGTTCTGTCAGTTTTTGTCTCACATTTGATGATCACTTGTTAGAAACATTTAAGCTGAGGATTGTTGTATCTCCTTAAATAATTTATTCCTTTATCATTATATAATGCTCATCTTTATCACTGATAATCTTCCTGTTCCAAAGTCCACTTTGTCTGAAATTAATATAGCTTTTTCTTTTCTTTTTTTTTTTCAGGTAGAATATATTTTATTTCTGGGTCAGAATGAGAGCTTCAAGGCAATGCTATAATAATATTCTGTTCACTGCTTGACCATGGAACTTTGATTTTATTATTATTATTTTTTTTATTATACTTTAAGTTTTAAGGTACATGTGCACAATGTGCAGGTTAGTTACATATGTATACATGTGCCATGCTGGTGCGCTGCACCCACTAACTCGTCATCTAGCATTAGGTATATCTCCTAATGCTATCCCTCCCCCGCCCCCCACCCCACAACAGTCGCCAGAGTGTGATGTTCCCCTTCCTGTGTCCATGTGTTCTCATTGTTCATTTCCCACCTATGACTGAGAATATACGGTGTTTGGTTTTTTGTTCTTGCGATAGTTTACTGAGAATGATGATTTCCAATTTCATCCATGTCCCTACAAAGGACATGAACTCATCATTTTTTATGGCTGCATAGTATTCCATGGTGTATATGTGCCACATTTTCTTAATCCAGTCTATCATTGTTGGACATTTGGGTTGGTTCCACGTCTTTGCTATTGTGAATAGTGCCGCAATAAACATATGTGTGCATGTGTCTTTAGAGCAGCATGATTTATAGTCCTTTGGGTATATACTCAGTAATGGGATGGCTGGGTCAAATGGTATTTCTAGTTCTAGATCCCTGAGGAATCGCCACACTGACTTCCACAATGGTTGAACTAGTTTACAGTCCCACCAACAGTGTAAAAGTATTCCTATTTCTCCACCTCCTCTCCAGCACCTGTTGTTTCCTGACGTTTTAATGACAGCCATTCTAACTGGTGTGAGATGATATCTCATTGTGGTTTTGATTTGCATTTCTCTGATGGCCAGTGATGGTGAGCATTTTTTCATGTGTTTTTTGGCTGCATAAATGTCTTATTTTGAGAAGTGTCTGTTCATGTCCTTCGCCCACTTTTTGATGGGGTTGTTTGTTTTTTCTTGTAAATTTGTTTGAGTTCATTGTAGATTCTGGATATTAGCCCTTTGTCAGATGAGTAGGTTGCAAAAATTTTCTCCCATTTTGTGGGTTGCCTGTTCACTCTGATGGTAGTTTCTTTTGCTGTGCAGAAGCTCTTTAGTTTAATTAGATCCCATTTGTCAATTTTGGCTTTTGTTGCCATTGCTTTTGGTGTTTTAGTAATGAAGTCCTTACCCATGCCTGTGTCCTGAATGGTAATGCCTAGGTTTTCTTCTAGGGTTTTTATGGTTTTAGGTCTAACGTTTAAATCTTTAATCCATCTTGAATTGATGTTTGTATAAGGTGTAAGGAAGGGATCCAGTTTCAGCTTTCTACATATGGCCAGCCAGTTTTCCCAGCACCATTTATTAAATAGGGAATCTTTTCCCCATTGCTTGTTTTTCTCAGGTTTGTCAAAGATCAGATAGTTGTAGATATACGGTGTTATTTCTGAGGGCTCTGTTCTGTTCCATTGATCTATATCTCTGTTTTCGTACCAGTACCATGCTGTTTTGGTTACTGTAGCCCTGTAGTATAGTTTGAAGTCAGGTAGTGTGATGCCTCCAGCTTTGTTCTTTTGGCTTAGGATTGACTTGGCGATGCGGGCTCTTTTTTGGTTCCATATGAACTTTAAAGTAGTTTTTTCCAATTCTGTGAGGAAAGTCATTGGTAGCTTGATGGGGATTGCATTGAATCTATAAATTACCTTGGGCAGTATGGCCATTTTCACGATATTGATTCTTCCTACCCATGAGCATGGAATGTTCTTCCATTTGTTTGTATCCTCTTTTATTTCATTGAGCAGTGGTTTGTAGTTCTCCTTGAAGAGGTCCTTCATGTCCCTTGTAAGGTGGATTCCTAGGTATTTTATTGTCTTTGAAGCAATTGTGAATGGGAGTTCACTCATGATTTGTCTCTCTGTTTGTCTGTTACTGGTGTATAAGAATGCTTGTGATTTTTGTACATTGATTTTGTACCCTGAGACTTTGCTGAAGTTGCTTATCAGCTTAAGGAGATTTTGGGCTGAGACAATGGGGTTTTCTAGATATAAAATCATGTCGTCTGCAAACAGGGACAATTTGACTTCCTCTTTTCCTAATTGAATACCTTTATTTCCTTCTCCTTCCTAATTGCCCTGGCCAGAATTTCCAACACTATGTTGAATAGGAGTGGTGAGAGAGGGCATCCCTGTCTTGTGCCAGTTTTCAAAGGGAATGCTTCCAGTTTTTGCCCATTCAGTATGATATTGGCTGTGGGTTTGTCATAGATAGCTCTTATTATTTTGAGATATGTCCCATCAATACCTAATTTATTGAGAGTTTTTAGCATGAAGGGTTGTTGAATTTTGTCGAAGGCCTTTTCTGCATCTATTGAGATAATCATGTGGTTTTTGTCTTTGGTTCTGTTTATGTGCTGGATTACATTTATTGATTTGCATATATTGAACCAGCCTTGCATCCCAGGGATGAAGCCCACTTGATCATGGTGGATAAGCTTTTTGATGTGCTGCTGGATTCGGTTTACCAGTATTTTATTGAGGATTTTTGCATCAATGTTCATCAAGGATATTGGTCTAAAATTCTCTTTTTTTGTTGTGTCTCTGCCCGGCTTTGGTATCAGGATGATGCTGGCCTCATAAAATGAGTTAGGGAGGATTCCCTCTTTTTCTATTGATTGGAATAGTTTCAGAAGGAATGGTACCAGTTCCTCCTTGTACCTCTGGTAGAATTCAGCTGTGAATCCATCTGGTCCTGGACTCTTTTTGGTTGGTAAGCTATTGATTATTGCCACAATTTCAGCTCCTGTTATTGGTCTATTCAGAGATTCAACTTCTTCCTGGTTTAGTCTTGGGAGGGTGTATGTGTCCAGGAATTTATCCATTTCTTCTAGATTTTCTAGTTTATTTGTGTAGAGGTGTTTGTAGTAATCTCTGATGGTAGTTTGTATTTCTGTGGGATCGGTGGTGATATCCCCTTTATCATTTTTTATTGCATCTATTTGATTCTTCTCTCTTTTTTTCTTTATTAGTCTTGCTAGCAGTCTATCAATTTTGTTGATCCTTTCAAAAAACCAGCTCCTGGATTCATTAATTTTTTGAAGGGTTTTTTGTGTCTCTATTTCCTTCAGTTCTGCTCTGATTTTAGTTATTTCTTGCCTTCTGCTAGCTTTTGAATGTGTTTGCTCTTGCTTTTCTAGTTCTTTTAATTGTGATGTTAGGGTGTCAATTTTGGATCTTTCCTGCTTTCTCTTGTGGGCATTTAGTGCTATAAATTTCCCTCTACACACTGCTTTGAATGTGTCCCAGAGATTCTGGTATGTTGTGTCTTTGTTCTCGTTGGTTTCAAAGAACATCTTTATTTCTGCCTTCATTTCGTTATGTACCCAGTAGTCATTCAGGAGCAGGTTGTTCAGTTTCCATGTAGTTGAGCGGTTTTGAGTGAGTTTCTTAATCCTGAGTTCTAGTTTGATTGCACTGTGGTCTGAGAGACAGTTTGTTATAATTTCTGTTCTTTTAGATTTGCTGAGGAGAGCTTTACTTCCAAGTATGTGGTCAATTTTGGAATAGGTGTGGTGTGGTGCTGAAAAAAATGTATATTATGTTGATTTGGGGTGGAGAGTTCTGTAGATGTCTATTAGGTCCGCTTGGTGCAGAGCTGAGTTCAATTCCTGGGTATCCTTGTTAACTTTCTGTCTCGTTGATCTGTCTAATGTTGACAGTGGGGTGTTAAAGTCTCCCATTATTAACGTGTGGGAGTCTAAGTCTCTTTGTAGGTCATTCAGGACTTGCTTTATGAATCTGGGTGCTCCTGTATTGGGTGCATATATATTTAGGATCATTAGCTCTTCTTGTTGAATTGATCCCTTTACCATTATGTAATGGCCTTCTTTGTCTCTTTTGATCTTTGTTGGTTTAAAGTCTGTCTTATCAGAGACTAGGATTGTAACCCCTGCCTTTTTTTGTTTTCCATTTGCTTGGTAGATCTTCCTCCATCCTCTTATTTTGAGCCTATGTGTATCTCTGCATGTGAGATGGGCTTCCTGAATACAGCACACTGATGGGTCTTGACTCTTTATCCAATTTGCCAGTCTGTGTCTTTTAATTGGAGCATTTAGTCCATTTACATTTAAAGTTAATATTGTTATATGTGAATTTGATCCTGTCATTATGATGTTAGCTGGTTATTTTGCTTGTTAGTTGATGCAGTTTCTTCCTAGTCTTGATGGTCTTTACATTTTGGCATGATTTTACAGCTGCTGGTACCGGTTGTTCCTTTCCATGTTTAGTGCTTCCTTCAGGAGCTCTTTTAAGGCAGGCCTGGTGGTGACAAAATCTCTCAGCATTTGCTTGTCTGTAAAGTATTTTATTTCTCCTTCACTTATGAAGCTTAGTTTGGCTGGATATGAAATTCTGGGTTGAAAATTCTTTTCTTTAAGAATGTTGAATATTGGCCCCCACTCTCTTCTGGCTTGTAGAGTTTCTGCTGAGAGATCAGCTGTTAGTCTGATGGGCTTCCCTTTGTGGGTAACCCGACCTTTCTCTCTGGCTGCCCTTAACATTTTTTCCTTCATTTCAACTTTGGTGAATCTGACAATTATGTGTCTTGGAGTTGCTCTTCTCAAGGAGTATCTTTGTGGTGTTATCTGTATTTCCTGAATCTGAATGTTGGCCTGCCTTCCTAGATTGGGAAGTTCTCCTGGATAATATCCTGCAGAGTGTTTTCCAACTTGGTTCCATTCTCCCCGTCACTTTCAGGTACACCAATCAGACGTAGATTTGGTCTTTTCACATAGTCCCATATTTCTTGGAGGCTTTGTTTGTTTCTTTTTATTCTTTTTTCTCTAAACTTCCCTTCTTGCTTCATTTCATTCATTTCATCTTCCATCGCTGATACCCTTTCTTCCAGTTGATCGCATCGGCTCCTGAGGCTTCTGCATTCTTCATGTAGTTCTCGAGCCTTGGCTTTCAGCTCCAGCTCCTTTAAGCACTTCTCTGTATCGGTTATTCTAGTTATACATTCTTCTAAATTTTTTTCAAGTTTTTAACTTCTTTGCCTTTGGTTTGAATTTCCTCCTGTAGCTCATAGTTTGATCGTCTGAAGCCTTCTTCTCTCAACTCGTCGTTCTCCGTCCAGCTTTGTTCCATTGCTGGTGAGGAACTGCGTTCCTTTGGAGGAGGAGAGGTGCTCTGATTTTTAGAGTTTCCAGTTTTTCTGCTCTTTTTTTTCCCCATCTTTGTGGTTTTATCTACTTTTGGTCTTTGATGATGGTGATGGGTTTTTGGTGTGGATGTCCTTTCTGTTTGTTAGTTTTCCTTCTAACAGACAGGACCCTCAGCTGCAGGTCTGTTGGAGTTTGTTAGAGGTCCATTCCAGACCCTGTTTGCCTGGGTATCCGCAGCAGTGTTTGCAGAACAGCGGTTTTTCGTGAACCCCGAATGCTGCTGTCTGATCGTTCCTCTGGAAGTTTTGTCTCAGAGGAGTACCCGGCAGTATGAAGTGTCAGTCTGCCCCTACTGGGGGTTGCCTCCCAGTTAGGCTGCTCAGGGGTCAGGGATCAGGAACCCACTTGAGGAGGCAGTCTGCCCGTTCTCAGATCTCCAGCTGCGTGCTGGGAGAACCACTGCTCTCTTCAAAGCTGTCAGACAGGGACATTTAAGTCTGCAGAGGTTACTGCTGTCTTTTTGTTTGTCTGTGCCCTGCCCCCAGAGGTGGAGCCTACAGAGGCAGGCAGGCCTCCTTGAGCTGTGGTGGGCTCCACCCAGTTCCAGCTTCCCAGCTGCTTTGTTTACTTAAGGGAGCCTGGGCAATGGCGGGCGCCCCTCCCCCAGCCTCGCTGCCGCCTTGCAGTTTGATCTCAGACTGCTGTGCTAGCAATCAGCGAGACTCCGTGGGCGTAGAACCCTCCCAGCCAGGTGCGGGATATTATCTCCTGGTGTGCCGTTTTTTAAGCCAGTCAGAAAAGCGCATTATTCGGGTGGGAGTGACCTGATTTTCCAGGTGCCGTCTGTCACACCTTTCTTTGATTAGGAAAGGGAACTCCCCGACCCCTTGCGCTTCCCGAGTGAGGCAATGCCTCGCCCTGTTTCCGCTCGTGCACGGTGCACTGCACCCACTGACCTGCACCCACTGTCTGGCACTCCCTAGTGAGATGAACCCGGTACCTCAGATGGAAATGCAGAAATCACCTGTCTTCTGCGTCGCTCACGCTGGGAGCTGTAGACCGGAGCTGTTCCTATTTGGCCATCTTGGCTCCTCCCAGCTTTTTCTTTAGTGTACTCTGATAACCTCTCTTTTAATTGGGATATTTAGATAATTCATATTTAAAGTGATTACTGATATAACTTCATTACATTTCTATTGCCAGAGAAAAGAACCAATAAGATACACACACACGTTCACACACAAACATACACAAAAATATTTATTATAAGGTTTTGTTTCAAGTGATTATGAAGACTGACAAGTATCAATAACCACAGAGTGAACTGGCAAGGCGAAGACCCAGGAGAGCTGATTGTGGTGTTCCAGTTGGAGTCCAAAAGCCTGTGGACTAGGAAAGCTGATTCTGTAGCTTCCATCTGATGGTTGGCAGGCTTGAGATCCATGAGCTTCTGAAGTTTCAGCTCTGGTTCAAAGTCAGGGGAAAAGTTGATATCTCGATTCAAAGGCAGTAAGGCACGAAATAATTCCCTCTTACTCAAGGGAGGGTTAGATTTTGGATCTATTCAGGCCTTCAATTGAAGGAATTAGGCCCACCCATAAGAGGAAGGACAATCAGCTTTACTCAATCTACTGATTTCAATGCTAATTTTGTTCATTTTATCAAAATCATCATCACAGAAACACTGAGAATGTTTAATCCAATATCTAGAAACTCCATGGCACAATCAAGTTGACATACAAAATTAACTATCATAATATTTATAAAGTTTAGGACATTTTCTATTTGTTGAACTTGTTCTTGTCCATATTCCCATTCTTTTTTTCTGTTTTTCATGGTTTTAATTGACCATTTTATATTTCCATTTTATCTCCTAAATTTAAAAAAAAACACTGGTTGCTCTAGAGTTTGCAATATTCATTCACAACTAATCTAAGTCCACCTTCCAATAACACCATGATGCTTCATATCCAGTGGAAGTACTTTATGACAGAGTAGTTCAAATCCTACTTCCTGTGCCTCGTAAGTTTAGTTTGTTCATCTAATCAATTCATATGCTATAATCCGTTAATACATTATTACTGTTATTAAACAGTTGGTTTTTAGGTCAATTAAGAATAAGAATAATAAAACATTTTATTTTGACTTCATTTATTTTTCTCCAATGCTTTTTCTTTCTCTATAGGGATTTGACTATCTGACCTATATCATTTTTCTCTTCTATGAGAAGCGTATTTGGAAATTTCTTATAGGGCATGTCTGCTGGTAACGAATTCTTTCAGTGTTTGTTATCTGAGAAAATCTACTTCACATTTAAAAGATATTTCTGCTGGATATAGAATTCAAGTTTAGTGAGCTTCTTTTTTAACATGGTAAATATTTTACTTCATTCCTTTCTTGCTTGCATAGTTTCAGACAAAAATTATTATCTTGTCCCTCTATAAGGTGTCTTTCCTTCACCCTGGTTCCTTTCAACATGTTTTCTTTGTCTTTGGTTTTCTGTAGTGTAAACAATATTCTTGGTGTAGATTTTTTGGTATTTATCTTGCTTGATGCTGTTGTGTGTCCTTAATTTTTAAAATTACTCTGCCATTATCGCTACAAATATATACATATATTTTTGGCTGTGTTCATTTCTACTTTTTTTTTCTTGGATCTCAATTATGCGTTTGTGCCTAGGCTACACCTTTTGAGATTGTCCCATGGTTCTTGAATGTTTTCTCCTGTTTATCTCTTTAATTCTTTTCTTTTTCCTTTTCTATTTGGGTTTTGGAAGTTTTCATGGACATATCTTTAAGCTTACTGACTCTTTCCTCAGCCATATCCTATCTAATTGTGAGCTGATGAAAAGTATTCTTCATTTCTGTTGTCATTTTTATGTCTAGCATTTCTTTTTGGTTTTCTTATGGTTTCCATCTTTTTGCTTATATTACCAATCTCTTTTTTATGTTGTTTACTTTTTTCATTAGGCTTCTTAACTTATCAATTATAGCTATATTAAATTCCTGCCTGATGATTCCAAAATGTAACTCATACCTGAATCTGGTTAGGATCTTAGCTTTGTTTTTTTCAGGCTGTTTTGTCTTGTCTTTTAGCTTGCCTTATAAATTGTTATTGATATCCAGGGATGTTTTATCAAGTAGTAGAAACTGGAGTAAATAGGCCTTTAGTTAAAATTTTATGTTAACATGAGTAGGAGTTGGACTTTGTTGAGGTTTGCTCTAGGTATAAATGCCTAAGGCTTCAGCTACCTCCAATATATTTGTATCTCTCCTCTTGACTTTTGGCTTCACTAAGCATTCCTCTTATATAGATACTATACCTTGTAGCTGTTTTTACTATTATTCAGTGTTGTTATACTGTAGTTCTTTTGATATGGTTGTAAGACGTTTGGAAGAAAATGTGCCCCATAGTCGTTTGATTTAGTCTCAGTCTTTTAGTCTGTGTCCCTGGGCTGTGATCTTCACAAGAGTTTCTTATTCTCATTCCCTTAGGTGAGACAAGAATTCTAGAGGGGTGTAGGAGGAGTGTTGTATCTACCGTTCCTGAAGGTGGAATAAGATTCTGGCAAAATATTTCCCCTTTAGAGTAGCCTTGTTTTGTCTGGAATATTCTGACCTTATGTTAAAATTGTTACTCTCCCATCCCTCTGGTAGAGTCATGAAGGATTTTTCTCGACTCCACAGCATAAGGACGTGGTTAGGTTATTGAACTTAAAACTCACAAAAGTGTGGAGACCATCTAAGAATACATTCTTCAGGGGTTTCTCACTCTCATGCTAGTCCATAATTACCCTCAAGAAAATTGTTCAAAATTATTATTTAGATGTTCTTACCAGTTTATGGCTCCAGCATCTTCTACTCCAGGTAAGTAGATTCTGACTCTGACTTTATTAGCCAGATTATACAGACTGAATGTATTCATCCAAAATTCATATGTTAAAACTAAATTCCCAGTGTGATGTTATTTGATGGTGGTGTGTTAGGGGGGTGATTAGGTCATGAGAGTGTAATTCTCATGAATGATATTCGTGTCCTAATGAAAGAGATCTCCTTTCTCCCTTATACTGTGTAAGGACACAGAGAGAAGACAGCTTTCTATGAACCAGGAAGTGGGCCCTCACTGGACACCAAATCTTCCTTTGCCTGGATCTTAGACTTTCCAGTCTCCAGAACTGTGAGAAATAATTTTTGTTTCTTACAAGCCACCTACTTACAGTATTTTGTTACATTAGCTCAAATAGACCAAAACACCAGTTTCTCCAGCGTTCAGTGGAATAATTTGTCCTGTCACCTCAGTTATCTGATGAGTTTAAAGGAAGCTGATTATCACTTTGCTTAACTATCTTCTTGTTGTAAGGATGGAGATAAAAATTGCTAAGCTCTTTATATGTTAGAGCTGAAATCAGAGTTTCTATTTCCAGAATATTGAAATTTCTGGATACAATTAGGAAATATGTGAGCATTCAGCCAATTTCAAATACATGTCTGTCTCAAAGTTTTGGGGTTTTAGTCTTCTTGGTTTTCTTTGTTTCTTCTAAGATCATAGTTGTAATCATAATAGTACTACAAATTTTCTATTTTTATTATTGCCAGGAAAAAAATTTAGCTTCAATACTTAATATTTTAAATAAATTTACAATAGCATTCACAATAATACTGGATATATTATCATTGACAGAATTAACTTATAAAATCTCTATTCAATGAATTGGATGCTAAAAAATCAAACCATTACTGGAATTAGTTTTGAAGAATCTGATGTCACTGGTGTCAACGAAGAATTCGTGAACTTCTTCTAACAGAGTCAACATATTAATTTTGTTTTCATTTCTTTTTTACAAGTGCAAGACAATTTGAATAAAAATGGAGCAAGAGTAATTTGGAAAACCAGGCACTTGATCTAAATGGAAAGTCATGCTTTACAGTGTGATATGTAATGACAACATTTGCTGTTGCACATATCAAACCATAATGTTCAATACAATCTATGAAAAAACACATCAAAGACATTCAAACTTCTCTCCCTATATTCATTCCTCAATAGGGTGGCTCATCTTCTATTTCTCGTACACATCTTGGGTAACTGTAACCTGCAATTTATTTTGTTTTCAATTGATACTGCTGACTGCAACCTAATAACCGATCTCTCAGACCTCAACTTCACTGCTGGCAGGATCAGTGCACATTGAGTTATTTCTCTGATCACAGTCTGAGTCCAAATGACTTAGCTTTTCTTAGGTACCTGTGTCTGCAAGCATTTAATTTTGTTAGTGCAATATGCTATGTTTTTGGAAGGAAGGTGTTGGTTATGTTCTATATAGAAAAGATTGAGAAAATATCCAAGGGATTTCTGATTACTGTTCAAATTAAACCACAGTGGGGATTCTGTTTAATGCAGAGGTCTCATACACTACCAAAAGAGGCCATGATAGAAACCAGAAGTACAAAGTGAGAAAAATAAGTTCATCTGGATTTATTTTAATGCAATGAAGAATTGATTCAATGATAAATAAGAGAAGTATTGAGGCAATAGACCTGGATAAAGTGGGGGATTCGTTTTTACCTTATCTGTTTTTGTTCTTTCTCCAAGCTAAACACCCTTGGTGGCTTGGCAATTCTTATACAAAATAGCTCATTTCACCATTATTTTCTTTTCTTCTGGTGAAATCCAGTTTGTGAGTAAGTTTGTTAAAGGAGAGTCATCAAAATGAAACACCACACTCTGAGTGTTGTGTCACCTGAAGTAAGAAGAATGGGAAACAGCTCCCCTCCCTGCCATCTTTGCTCTAAATGAGAACATAATTATATCAATGTGGCCTAAGTCCAAATCAAGTTTTGGATCATTCCAATTATCTTTTTCTGTGTAGAAACTACTCCAATGTTGAGTGCCTAAATATAACGATTTACAACAATGTATTATGATGTGTCCTGGTTCTAGAGATTGACAGACTCAACTGAACAGTTATTGCTTGGGGTATCACATATGTTGTAACCAGGCAGCAGCTGAGGCTGGAGTCAAGTGGAGGCTTCTCCATTTACATGCCTCATGGCAGGCCTGTCTACTCATCTCTCTCTCAATACGACTAGTGTACACCCCTCATTGCATGGTGGTCCCAGGGCAGGCTGACTTGTATGGCAGCTTGCTTCTTCCAGAGTGAGCATTCCAAGAGACCAGTGAGAACCTGCAAGACTTTTTCTGACTAGCCCCAGTTGTCATCTCAATGTTACATTGACTACATTTTATCAGTTGCAAATGAGTCATACAGCCAGCCCAAATTCATGTGGAAGAGAACTGGGAGTTACAGTTCATTGGGTATCCATCTTTGGTTAAATTTATTTTTAAAATAGTTTTGCTTTAGTTGGCATGTCTAGAATATAGTTTTAGTTTATGCTAATCTTTCCCTTAACTAAAACTTTTATTTTTCCAACATTATGTTATTAAAATTTGTTTTTCTCTTGGCCTTTAATATTCTCATTTCTTTCCTCCTCCTTCTACTTTTATCTCTGCTGCTTTTGTCTGCCCATCGCTATCCATTTTTTTATTTCAAACTTTTACATTTAACCTGTCTTTCTAGCTTGCTAAGAGCCTTCTGAATGCTTAATTTGTTATCTATAATATTTATTATTATTTCCAACTCCATGTCTGCACAAGTTTAGTAAGGATCTTATCAAAGTTTGCAGCCAATTCATAGATATATGGCAAAGAAGAGAGTCAGGGAAAAATCACAGAACATGTCAAAATGAGTTGAACTTGAGCCCTGTTGATGGGTCTTTGGTTATATTCATTTGCCCAATTTGCCATACTGTGTACATTTCTCCATTTTACACAACAGTATATCATGTGAGGGTTTGTCAAGCAGCTTTCTGAAAACCATTTTCATTTTCTCTGCAGCACATCCCTGAGCTTATAGTCTCATAACCATATCAAAAAAGACAATTGAACTAGCTTAGTGTGACTTGTTTAATGGCTTATATTAGTTCCTCATCATCACCACTCTCCTTTATAGGTGTTCTAACACTGTTCTTTTATTAATAGACTCTGGGAAATTATTCAAACTGGCATCAAGATCTCTGGTTTGCAGAATATGCCTTCTTTTTGGTCTCAAAGGTTGCAAATGCCTTTGACAGTCTAATTTCTCCTATGCTACTCAACTAATTGTTAGTAGTAAAAATTCCACATTTTAATTGCCATATCTTTTAGTGCCTTAAAATTTAATTCGTCCAGTGCAGAATATGAAAAACAGTTTTGTCATTCTCACAATTTCTTTATTTTTGACTCAGATTCCTCTTACTTATAGCCACTGCTACAAATTCCATTCTAGTGTAAAATATTTTCTTTAACAACAGAAAAAGAGGGCACAACATGAGTGAAATAATATTTCTTTCCTCAGTGTCATTATTAATATTTTCTCAAGGAGGGGGCTGACAGCTTTTTGGCTCCTCTTTCTCTTAGCATTGCTAAAATCACCTTTTTAAATTCTTGATTAGTTTTCATCTTTTCCTATAAATGCCAGTTTATCATTTGGGATGTGACTGATTCTTGATTATATCTTTTTCAGGTTTTATACAAAAAAATTCAGTCTGAGCTTAACCCAGAGGTGTTGTTGTTGTTGTTGTTTGTAAAATCAGATCAGTCTCTTTACATAGTTATGATTTATGCCTTGCTTTTCCCCACCAAACATTTAAGGTGATTATATTTCAGTACATTCCAAAATTCTTCCTCACTGAGTCATTCATAATTATGCATTCAGAATTATTTTTTTTCAAAACCTGCCAGTACTGCTCTAACACCTTCCCATTTAGAGACTTAGCAGCAATTGCTCTTCCTTTCTAAAATCCGGAAATACAATCCTGTGTGCATCTTTCTCCTATTTGCTGACAATTCTCTGATGACATATAAATATTCCCCTAAGGTCATTGATATGGTTTGGCTCTGTGTCCTGACCCAAATCTCACGTTGAATTGTGATCCTGAGTGTTGGAGGTAGAGCCTGGTGGGAGGTGATTGGCTCAGGGGAGTGGCCAATTTCTCCCTCTTGGAATGGAAGAATTTACCCAATGCCTGTACTCCCATTGTATCTTGGAGGTACCTAACTTGTTTTTTTTTTTTTTTTTAATTTTATAGGCACATAGGTGAAAGGGTCTTGCTTTGCCTCCGATGAGGCTTTGGACTTGGACTTCTGAGTTAATTCTAGAATGAGTTAATACTCTGGGGGACTGTTGGGAAGGCATGATCGTGTTTTGAAATGTCAGAGGGATATGAGATTTGAGAGGGGCCAGGAGCAGAATGATATGGTTTGGTTTGTGTTGCCACCCAAATCTCATGTTGAATTGGGATCCTGATCCTGAGTGTTGGAGGTGCAGCCTGGTAGGAAGTGACTGGATCATGAGATGGTTTCTAATGGTTTAGCACATCCTCCTAGTGCTGTCTCATGATGGAGTTCTCATGAGATCTGGTTGTTTGAAACTGTGTAGCACTTCCCCTTTTGCTCTCTCTCTTTCCTGCTCTGCCATTTGAACATGTGGCAGCTTCCCCTTTCCGTCTGCCGTAACTGTGATTTCCCTGAGGCCTCCCCAGTCACGCCTCCTGTACAGCTTGTGGAACTGTGAGCCAATTAAACTTCTTTTCTTTATAAATTACTGAGTCTCAGCTTTAGTTGAGTTCAATCTATACACACTTTTTATAACTAGTTTATATATGATCTTTTATGTCTTTCATCCCTTTGTTTTCATTTTTTAGACTTATAATATTTGGTTTGATATATTAATTAATATTCCTATTTATTCCTATTTTATTCCTACTTAGTATCCAAATATTATCAATATGCTGATATTGTATTGATAGCATCTAAATAGTATCAATAGGCTAATATTGTTACCAAGCAATATTGTTACCAAGCAATATTTGCGCATAGAAGCAAATACCATGGCACTAGATTTTGAGAATAGAGAAGATTTATTGCAAGTTGACTGGCACATAGACAAGAGGAAACTCTCAAATCTGTCTCCCCAAGCTGAAGAATGAATTGGGATTTATAAGCAAGGTTATGGGGTGTGAGCTGATTGGATCTTGCAATGAGGTGATGCCAGGATACATAATCTAACAGGATCAGTCCCTAGAGCAACACAAGAAAGGACTTGATCTGATTGACTATTAGATCCTGCCATGCAGTATCCACCTCTTCATTCAGTCCCCACTCCTTGGTTTGAGCACTTGAGTTTCACCTAAGTGGTTATGTACTTGGCTCATCTGGACATGCTCAGTTCATGTGACCTTCAACCTGGGGGTTCATAGCAACTAAAAAATAACTCACAAGTTTATTACATAAAAGTTGAGACAGATTGTTCTAGTGAAATTACAATTAAATTTCTCTTTTTAATAGCATCTTTCCCTAGTTAAAAATATATCGTAATGTTTACTTTTTCAAATTATAGAATTTTCACAGATTACTCTTTCATCTTCATTTCAATCTTTGTTATAATCATAGAATTAACATGTGTATGCCTGTGAAAAGAATTTCTCACCACCAATCCTTTAAAATTATTTTCCCAATTTTCCTTTGGTTAAAATAAAGTCTCTTCTATAATAAATCATCTATAATAAATTTTACCTGAACAGCTCATGAGTATAATATCCACCAAATTATTGCATGTTGAAAATAGTTTTCCATATTCTTGATTCTTAAAATGTTTGTCTTGAATTTTTAAAAAATTGTTACTCTAAACTTATAAATTATAAAGGATATCATTAAGACATTTTATACTAAACTTGTTTGGCTTTTTAATTTTTTGTTTCTTTTGACTTTTTCTTTTCTTTGATGTTTTTCGTGAACACCCAAAAGGACTTTTTTCCTCATGTCAAAGTTAAACGATAGAAAAATTATTTTTCAGAATTGATCTTTCTAGCTAAATTTTCTAGTTAAGTACTACCTCCATTAATTCCAGCCTGGACAACATGATGAAACCATGTCTCTACCGAAAATACAAAAATTAGCCAGACAGGTGATGCACACGTGTAATCCCAGCTGCTCAAGTGGCTGAGGCAGGAGAATCACTTGAACCCAGGAGGCAGAGGTTGTAGTAAGCAAAAGGCCATGCCACTGTATCTAGCTGGGACATCACAGTGAGACTGTAAAAAAAATAAAAATAAAAATAAAAATAAAAAATAAAAAAGAACTAGCTCCATTCAAAATGAAGTTTCTTATTTTTTTTTTATTTCTGAAACATAGTTAGAAATTCATTTAATGTTAAACGTTAGTACTATTGATAGGTGGAGCAAGATGGAAGAACAGAACCCTCCAAACATCTCCTCTCCCCACCGTAGGAACACAAAATTGAACAACTATCCACACAAGAAAGCACCTTGATAAGAACCAAAAATCAAGTGAGTAATCACAGTGCCTGGTTTTAACATCATTACAGGGAAAGAGAAACTGAAGACGGAAGGAAAAGACTGTCTTGAATTCCCAGTGCCATCCTTCACCATCCCCCCACAGCAGCTGTATAGTGCAGGGAGATAATCTGTGTGTTTTGGGAGAGAGAGCTTGTGAGACTGCATTGGAACTCAATACTGCCCTCTCACAGCAGAAAGCAATACAGAGAAGAACTCAGCTTGTGCCCACAGAGAAAGTCTTTAGACCAGACCTAGACAGAGGTGACTGAAACTTAGGGCACCAGGCAGTGTGTTGAGGCCAGCATTCCAGCCTCTAGCTTCTTGATGACATTTCTAGACACACCATGGGCCAGAAGGAAACCCACTGCCTTGAATGGAAGGATCCAGTCCTGGCAGAATTCATCACCTGCTGACTAAAGAGCCCTAGGACTGTGAATAATCTGCAATGGTAGCCAGGCAGCACTCAGTGCAGGCCTTGGGTGAGACACAAGGCTGTGCTGGCTTTAGGTGTGACAGAGCATACTCCCAGCCATGTGTGCATACAGGGAAAGACTCCTTGTTGAAGAAAGAAGAAGGAAGAGTAAAGAGAACTTTGTCTTCCAGCTTGGGCATCAGCTTGCCCACAGTAGGGTAGAACATGAAGCAGGCTCCTGGGGTCCCTAATTGCAGGGCTTGTCTCCTGGAGTCCCTAATTCCAGGGCTTGGCTCCTGGGAGGCATTTCTAGATCTGCCCTGTGCCAGAAGGGAGCCCACTTCCCTGAAGGGATAACCAATGCCTAAGAGCATTCACCAAAAGCTGACTGAGAAGCCCTTGGACATTGAAGAACACTGGTGGTAGCCAGGCAGTGCTCACAACAGGTCTGGGGCAGTGGTGGCCACAGGGAGAGATTCTGTCTGCGTGAAGAAGGAAGAGGGAAGAGTGACAAAGTCACTTGGTTGCCAGCTCAGCCACAATAGAATAGAGCACCAGGTAGATTCCTAAGGTCCCCAACTGTGGGTCTTGGCTCCTGGACAGCATTTCTGGACCTGCCTGGACCAGGGGGAGCTCACCATCCCCAAGGGAAAGACATAAGTCTGGCTGGCTTTACCATCTGCTGACTGCATAGTCCTTGGGCCTTGAATGAACACTGACAGTAGCCAGGCAGTGGGCACCGTGTTCCTTGGGTGAGACTCAGTGCTATGCTGTCTTTGAGTCTGACCCACTGCAGTCCCAGTGATGGTGACCACAGGGGTGCCTGTGTTGTCCCTAACCCACCTCCAGGTATCTCAGCATGGAAAGAGTAATCTGTTTAAGGGAAGGGAAGAAAACAAGAGTCTCTGCCTGGTAATTCAGGTAATTCTTCTGGATCTTACCCAAGACAACCAAGTTGGTACCCCCATGAGGCTTCAAGAGCCACATCATTACTGGGCTTGGGGTGCTCCTTGATGCAGATATGGCTCCAGTAATCAAAGATTTAGATCACAATACATAATACCCTTAAATACTTGGAAAGTCTTTCCAAGAAGGATAGGCACAAACAAGCCCAGACTGCAAACACTGCAGTAAATACCAACTCTTCAATGCCCAGACATCTACAAATATCCACAAGCATCAAAAGCATCCATGAAAACATGACCTCACCAAACAAACTAAATAAGAAACCACTGACCAATCCCAGAGTGACAGAGATGTCTGATCTTTTAGACTGATAATTCAAAATAGCTGTTTTGAGGGCGCTCAACAAAATTCAAGATAACACAGAGAAGGAATTTAGAATCGTATCAGATAAGCTTAACAAAGAGATCGAAGTAATTTTTAAAAATTAAGCAGAAATTCTGGAGCTGAAAAATTCATTTGACACTAAAGAATACATCAGAGTCTCTATAGCAGAATTGGTCAAGCAGAAGAAAGAATTAGTAAACTTGAAAACAGGCTATTTGAAAATACACAGTTATAGGAGACAAAAGAAAGAAGAATGAAAAAGAATAAAGAATGCCTGCAAAATATAGAAAATAAACTTAAAAGGGTAAATGTAAGAGTTATTGGCCTTAAAGAGAAGGAAAAGGGATATTGGGGTAGAAAGTTTATTCAAAGGGATGATAATAGAGAATAGAATGTACCAAACCTAGAAAAAGATATCAATACTCAACTATAAGAAGGTTATAAGACACTAAGCAGATTTAACTAAAATTAAACATAGCACCAGAGAAAATTACTTTCATTTAAAGGAAGACAGGGCCAGGTGTGGTGGTTCATGCCTGTAATCCAAGCACTTGGTGGGGAAGAGTGGGTGGATCACTTGAGGTCAGGAGTTCAAGACCAGCCTGGCCAACACAGTGAAACTCCATCTCCACTAAAAATGCAAAAATTAGCCATTCATGGTGACATGCGCCAGTAATCCCAGCTACTTGGGAAGCTGAGGCAGTAGAATTGCTTGAACCTGGGAGGCAGAGGTTGCAGTGAGCCAAGATCACACAACTGCACTCCAGCTTGGGCAACAGAGCAAGACTACATATTAAAAAAAAAAAAAAAAAAAAAAAAAAAAAAAAGGAAGACAGGAAGGAAAGAATGGAGGAAGAGAAAAACACAAAACAACAACAACAAAATAACAAAATGGCAAGAGTAAGTCCTCACTTATTAATAATAATATTGAATGTAAATGGGCTAAATTCTCCAGTCAAAAGACATAGAGTGACTCAATGAATTAAACACAAGACCCAACAGTCTGTTGCCTACAAGAAACACACTTCAACTATAAAGACATACATACACTGAAAATAAAGGGATGGAAAAAGGTATTCCATGCAAATGGAAACCAAAAAACAGCAGGAGTAGCTATACTTATATCAGACAAAATATATTTCGAGACAAAAACTATAAACAGAGAAAAATAGGTCATTATATAATGATAAAGGAGTCAATTCAGCAAAAGAATATAATATTTGTTATATAATATATAATAATTATATATAATATATAATAATTGTAAATATATACACATACAACATAGAAACACACAGACATATAAGCAAACAGTTTTAGAGCTACACTATTAGCTGGAGACTTCTACACCACACTTTCAGCACTGGACATATCATCCAAAGAGAAAATCAACAAAGAAACTTGATGGCTTCAGTGCTGAATTCCACCAAACATTTAGAGAAGATACCAACTCTACTAAAACTACTCCAAAAAACAGAGGAGGAGGGAATACTTCCAGATTCATTCTACAAGTCCAGTATTATCCTGATACCAAAATCAGACAAAGACATAATTAAAAAAAGAAAACTACAGGCCAATATACCTGATGTAACTGATGCAAAAATCTTCAGGAAAATACTAGCAAACTGAATTCAACAACACATTAAAAAGATCATTTCTCATGACCAAGTGGGATTTATCTCAGGAATGAAAGTATGGTTTTACACAAATCCATCAACATGGTATATCGTATCAATGGAATGAAGGACAAAAATCATGTGATCATTTCAACTGATGCTAAAGAAGTATTTGATAAAAATTAAGTATCCCTTTATGATTAAAAAACTTCACAAAACTGGGTACAGAAGGAACATACCTCAACACAATAAAAGCCAGATACAACATATGCACACCTAGTATCATACTGAATGGGGTAAAAAGAAAGCCTTTCCTCTAAGCACTGAAACAATACAAGGATGCCCACTTTCATTGCTCAACATAGTACTGGAAGTCTTAACTAGAACAATTTAACAAGAGAAAAAAATGAAGAACCACATTGGAAATGATAAAGTTAAATTATCCTTATTTTCAGATGACATGATCTTATATTTAGAAAACCCTAAAGACTCCACCAAAAACACTATTAGCACTGATAAACAAATTCAGTAAATTTGTAGAATATAAAATCAACGTACAAAAGTGTGTAGCATTTCTATATGCCAACAATGAGCAATCTGAAAAAAAAACTTAAAAAGTAATCAAATTTATAATGGCCACAAATAAAATAAAATACATGGGAATTAACATAACCAAAGAAGTGAAAGATCTCTATACTGACAACTATAAAATACAAATGAAAGAAATTGAAGAGGACAACAAAAAAAATGGAAATGACATTCTTATGGAAATAGAAAAAAAATTCTATTACTTTCTTTTTTTTGACATGGAGTTTTGCTCTTGTTGCCCAGGCTAGAGTGCAACAGCACAATCTCGGCTCACTGCAACCTCCGCCTCCCGGGTTCAAGTGATTCTCGTGCCTCAGCCTCCTGAGTAACTGGGATTACAGGCATGCACCACTACTCCCGGCTAATTTTTTTGTATTTTTTGGAGAAATGGGATTTCTCCATGTTGGCCAGGCTGGTCTCGAACTTCCAGCCTCAGGTGATCCTCCCACCTCGAATTCTCAAAGTGCTGGGATTACAGGTGTGAGCCACCACGTCTGGCCAAAAAAAAAAAAAATCAAATATTTATATGGAACTACAAAAGATTCAGAATAGCCAAAGTCATCCTGAGAAAAAAAGAACAAAACTGGAGGAATCACATTACCTGACTTCTAATTATACTATATAGTTATAGGAAAACAAACAGCACAGCATAAAAACAGACACATAGACCAATGGAACAGAGTAGAGAACCCAAAAATAAATTGGCAAAGGTGCCAAGAACATACATTGGAAAAAGGACAATTTTTCCAGGAAACGGTTCTGGAAAACTGGATATCCATATGCAGAAGAATAAAACTAGACCCTTATCTCTCACCATATAGAAAAATCAAATCAAAATGAATTAAAGGCTTAAATCTAAGATCTCAACCTATGACCACTGAAAGACAACATTGAGGAAACTCTCCAGGACATTGGTTTGGGCAAAAATTTATTGGATAATACCCCACAAGCATGGGCAACCAAAGTAAACATGAACAAATGGGAACACATCAAGTTAAGAAGCTTCTGCATAACGAAGAATATAACAAAGTGAAGAAACAACTACAGAATGGAAGAAAATATTTGCAAACTATTAATCTAGCAATGTATTAATAACCAGAACATGTAAACAGCTCAAACAACTCAATAGGAAAAAATTAATAGTCTGATTTAAAAATGGGCAAAAGATCTGAACAGACATATCTTAGATGAAAACATACTAATGGAAAACAGGTATATAAAAAAGATGTTCAACATCATTGATCATCAGAGAAACGCAAATCAAAACTAAAATGAAATATCATCTTACCCCAGTAAAAATGGCTTTTATCCAAAAAGCAGGCAATAATGAATTCTGACAAAAATGTGGAGAAAAGGGAATGCTTTTACCCTGTTGGTGGGAGTGTAAATTAATAATGCTACTATCAAGAACAGTAGACAGGTCCCTCAAAATCTGAAACTAGAGCTGCCATATGATCCAGCAATCCCACTGCTAGGTATCTACCCCAAAGAAGGTAACTCAGTATATCGAAGAAATTTCTGCATTCCCACGTTTATTGCAGCACTATTCACAGTAGCCAATATGTGGAAGCAACCTAAGTGCCCATCAACAGATGAATGAATAAGGAAAATATGGTGCATATACACAATGGAGTATATAAAGCCATAAAAAGGAGATCCTGTCATTTTCAGTATCCAGGATGGAACTAGAGATCATTATGTTAAGGGAAATAAGCCAGGCACTGAAAGACAAATTTGCATGTTGTCATTCATTTGTGGGAGCTAAAAATTAAAATAATTGAAGTCATGGAAATAAAGAGTAGAATGATGGGTACCAGAGGCTGGGAAGGATAGTGGGTGGAGGGGGTTAATGGGTACAAAAATATATTTCGATAGAATGAGTAAGATCTACTATTTCATAGCACAACAGGGTGACTATAGCCAAAAATAATTTATTGTACATTTAAAAATAACTAAAAGAATATAATTGGAATGCTTGTAACACAAAGGAATTATAAATTCTTGGGATGATGGACACTGCATTTACCCTGTTGCAAACATTGCACATTGTATGTCTGTATCAAAATATTTCATGTGCCCCATAAATATATACACCTACTGTGTATTCATAAAAATAAAAAGATGAAAATTAGTTCTTTTTACATTATGATTATTTCTATTTTTCAGAATGTCCAATCATATTTATGTTGAATCATTTCTGCCTTCAACATCTATCACTTTATTTCTATTTTTTAAATACTTCTTTTCCTGTGTCATTTTCTTGAATCTTTTTATGCAATTCTTTGTTTTTCTTATTGAATTCTCATCATATGCATTCATACTTTGCAATTTGTTCTTATTTTCTGAAATAATCTTTTTCTTATTCTTAAGTATCTTTCCTAAAATTTACTTGGCTTGGTTTAAATTACCCTGTATCTGCATTTGCTTTCGTATGTAAATTTTCTTGTTTTGTTATTATAATTTGCTTCATGGTTTTATATTGTATGTACGTGCATATGTGCATGTTTGTGTATTTTCTGCTAATGATTTTTTATTCTTATTTTCATTTTTCTTATAACAACTGTGCTGTTAATGAATTTTCTGGTGGTATTTATATTCATTTTTAAGATTTTTAAACTAGCAGTAGCAGGGGAGCTTATGAAAGCTTTTGTAGTTTAAGAGCAGACACTTCTGTTGCTACAACAAAGCACTATTTCTTCAATGTATAGTGCTTTTCTTTTTTGCATCTCACCTTCTGCTTCTTTTATTCTATCTTGTTTTATTATGGTCATTCAACATTGCTTTCTCTATTTTAGCACTAAGCCTACAAGAAAACATTTCTCCTCTCCAAAATGTGTTTGTCATCATGAAATGGCATCTTTCTAAGACTACCACCTGTGGTCTTGCAGACTCTCCAAATTTCTAATTACCAGTACTTAACACTTTGATTCATTAGAATTCAGACCTGCTTGCAGTATTTCCATTCATGGAAAAGTCTTCTTCTTCTGGGAATAAAACGGCATTGGTGAGATACTCATTTTCACCTCTAGGATCTTCTTAATATACTATGCTCTCTTCCCTGTTGTCTTTAGCATGCATGGGAGTATAACGTGGGCTCTGTACGCATTTTTGTAAGTCTCAGATATGGTTTTCCCATTTATATGTAAATAAAAGTTACATAAATAAAATGAAAGTCCCTGTCTCCTACTAACATGAAATCATGGTCTACAGGTGATTTTATTTTCTCTTGATTTCATTTTTGAGTTTTAGGAAGATGTATTGATATATGATAATTTAGTTTGATGCTATTGTACTAGAAAATCTAGAACACTTGTTTAACTTTTAAACTTGATAAACAATAAATTTTAAGTAAATGAAAAATATAAGTATAACCCACTCTACTAAAATCATAGTATAATTTATTCAAATGACCACAAAGGGAAGAAATTAAACACAGATAAAAGCAAGTAAACAATTAACCACACAAAAATATAGGTATCAGAAATAATTTAAAAACCAAGACAGTTATTGACTAAGTTTATAACGTAGTTTGAATCACAATATATTAGATAAATATGAATTCAGAAATTAACATTTAAAATGATAACAAAACAGATCAAACCACAAAAGATACAAGCACTATAAATTTTTTTACCAAATTAAAACAAAATATGAAAATATAAAGCAAAAATCAAGGAAGTTCAAGGGATACTCAGTAAAGTCTACAGTAGGGAAACTTAACTGACTACTTTGAGTTTAGATAATAACAGAGATAAAGTTTTTGAATAATATAATGCATTGTTCTAGTAAACATATAGATCACTCTTTAAACCCTGATGACACCAAGTAAATAGTTTTAGATGACATAAAATATTCATAAAAATTGACTGAAAGTAAACCTCAATGAATCTCTTTACGTAGAAATTATAGAACAACCAGTTTCTATCATTATGCTGATCTAGCAAAACCTGTTGGCATCTTCCCCAAACCAACCCTAGAGAAATTAGACTAAAACATCAAGGGAGGAAAAACTCTTGGGGAAAATGTTTGTCTTTTGAACAGGTATGTCTTAGTGGTAGTTGCTTTAGCTTGTGGCAAGAGGCAGACAGGTATCATTCTAGTAAGATAATATAGATTTTGTGATATTCTTTTTTATATCTAAGCCTACCTTACCTTCAAATTGTCACTGTCTAATTGTACACCTATGGCAAATCAGACCTCTGTGGTGGGTGTACACAGAAATAATATTTAAAATTTTGTGGGTTAGTTGCTGGAAGAAAAAGATGTGTGGGAACTGACCGGCTTCTCGAATTTGCTTTACAAACACTAGTCGTAGTAATATCCTGGGCTGGGGAAGAACAATCAAAGGAGTGGAGTCCTTCCCTTGGGTCTGCTTCTCACTGCAAGTGAAGGGGAAAGCCTTGAAGGAATGAGTTGTCTCCTTGGTTTGAGAATAGATTAATTGTACTGCTATCATCTGTAGATTTCTATTGTAGGACTCATTGCTACTTACCTTTAGTTTATTGAAGCTGATTCAGATAGAGGTCTGACCTTGGGACCTTTTCTTATACGCATTATTGAATACTGAGCATGGGTCTCAATATCCTCAGTGGAAATGTAAACACACAGGCCTAAATAATCTGAATTTGAGGAGCTCACTCTATCAAATGAAAAAGAATAAATGATGCATGTCATCTGACACAGACATATTAGAACAGATGGATCAAGGATTCAGTATAATTTATCTAATGTACTAAAAACTGAGATGATTTTAACAAAATGAAACAAAAAGAGAAATTTAAAAAAGATTTAGCTGAAAGGAATATAATAGTTGAAACAAAGAACATAACAGATAGTGTGGAAAGACAAGCCACTCTATCTCTGAGTGATGTTTGTAACTCAGTCGCAACCGTTCTTGGAAGATGTTGACTCAGCAGTCAGCTGAAACCAAGAAAAGAATGTTTTGCAGAACGGCAAGATGGTAACACAGATTGTAAATTTTAGACATTTCCAAATATCCTGCATGATCTCTCTCTACTCTTTCTACTAATATGTCTTTCTGGAGTATAACAGTTCATAGAAAACAAACAAACAAAAAGCAGGTCCAAGGAGTCCTTTCAGTGTGATGGCAGGAGTTTAGAGAACTATATGCATTCTGTTGACCATTTTCCTCCAAACTCCTCAAATAAACTAGTTTTACTTGTGCACCTTATGTAAGTTGTAGTGCTTAGGGGTTAACAGCTGAAGTAGATAATAGCATGAATACATCTGAGGAATAAATTAGTTCATTATGAAACAAGATTGAGAAAATCACTCCCAAAAGAAGAGAAGAATAAACATATAGTGAGTATAATAAAAAAGAGAAGAGAGTTGAAATACTAAACGTCAGGTAATATAAGTCCCAGAAACAGTAAAAATACAAATGAAAATGATAAATATTTGAAAAATAATAATAGAGGTAAATTTTTCAGATGTACCAAATAAAACTAAGAGCACCCATAAATAATAAAGGGGAGCAATGAAAAAACCTCACTTGCAATTTTATTTAAAGTTGAGAATATAAAAGAGAAAGAAAATTCTAGAAGCTCTCAGAGAGAAAAAAAGATTGTACATAGAATGATAATGTATATATAAATATATATATATATATATATATATATTTTTGAGATGGAATTTTGCTCTTGTTGCCCAGGCTGGAGTGCAACGGTGCGATCCCAGCTAACTGCAACCTCCGTCTCCTGGGTTCAAGAGATTTTCTTGCCTCAGCCTTCCGTGTAGCTGGGATTACAGGCATGTGCCACGCCCGGCTAATTTTGTATTTTTACTAGAGACGGGATTTCCACATGTTGGTCAGCCTGGTCTCGAACTCCCGACCTCAGGTGATCTGCCCGTCTCAGGCTCCCAAAGTGCTGGGATTACAGGCGTGAGCCACTGCACCCAGCCGATAATGTATGTTTACACAGCAACATTTGGTACAAGAAGACAGTATTTTCAAAGTATGGGAGGAAAATATCTTTGAAACTAGAATTTTATAGCCAGCCAAACTGTTATTCAAATACGAAATCATGATGAAAATGTTCTCAGGAATAGAGAAATACAAGCCTCAGAAGTTGTGCATACATACAAAAGAATTTCAAACTTATTTAAAACTTATTCAGGAAAAATACCCTTAAAGATGATTGCTTTAGGAGCCCAGCTTTGGCTTTAAAATAATAGTAATGAAAGATAAGACAACATCACAGAATTAAAGTAGAAATAAAATATTTCTCACATAACAGAGTTAGACACCAAAATGGTGTCAAGGAAAACATAAAGCTCAAGCACAGCTCTGACTTTTAACAAAATAAAAGCGATACTTTACATTTATATTTGTATCTTCTCAACAAGGACACACAAGATTCAGGTTGTTTTTTCCAAGTACATTCCACCAAACTTTCAAGACATCATCTTGATTTTTTAGAAAGTATTCCAGAAAACAGAAAAAGATAAAATATGCCTCAATTCATTATATAAAACCAGCCTAACAATAATAATACTGCTAACAACACCACAATCACATGTTACATCTGCCAGAGAGGAGAGGTTGCCTATTATGAAATGGACCACTAAGAACGGCCATAGCATGAAGGGAAATGTCAGGAAATTAATTGAAATCTGTATCACCAATGACAGAAGGCTGAGAATCGGGCATTGCTGTGCTCCTGAGTGGCCGTGTAACTATGAACAAAGGCGATCTGTAATAGAGCTGATTGTAGGCTTGGCACAAAATGGAGCATACCCTCCCATCCACACTAGCTAAGAAAGAAATATTAATAGAAATAGCATGCAAATTGATATTTGCCTCTTTTTCTCTGGTCCAAACCTTCCCCATCAGAAGGCCTAAAAGATTATGGGCAGACACAAAGGAAAAAGCCAAAAGGTCACAAAACACAAGTTTATTCATCTTCTCAAGAGGAATTTGTGAGCCCGTCAGTACTGAAATTAGGAGAAAAATCTATGTAGAATCAGATACAACATGCGTTTTCAATGAATATAATTAGATTGTTAACAATTGTTAGGCAAAATTAGGTTTCCTCTTAATGATAAAATTAACCAAAATATCATGGAAACTGCTTAAAATGTTTAGTGGCAAGGGAAAGAAACTCCAACATGGCACATTTGAAAACAGTAATGGGAGAAAAATTTTCTTCAGTTAGTTATGACTTTCTATGGTAGAGAGAAGCTATGAATCTCCATCAATAATTCAGGATAAGCTTTGTCCATTATTCATGCCAAAAAATTCCTTGTAAATATTTTCGGTTTTTTAATCAAAACATAACATTAATATTCAAGTTGATATATCTGTATTTTTATATTGGTTTAATCCCAGTGGTTACTGATCAAATTAAATTAGCAAAGAAATTAATAAAAAGTCATAGCATACTAATATAAGCAGGAGTTTACTTTATCTCTAGGAAATATTTTCTTTGGAATTAATTTACAGAAGGTTTTATTTAAGTGAATTTAATAGTGGAAACAAGTTCAATATCACCTAGACTGATCTAATCTTTTTTTTTTACATAAATATGTTTTGGATGAATAAAAACACAGGAATAATAATTTGATGAGTGTTGTTAATTTGGTAAAAATGTGTCTAATCACTAAAGCCAGTTTTACAGACTAAAGAAATGGACATCTGATTCATTAATTTATCTTAATGATGCTAATTGCCAGATAAGCAATTCTGTTAATGGGATCAGTATCTATCTTGTAAAGACACGTTACAAAATTGAATTGGCATTCCATGGTGTGGCATAGAATTCATCTAATTAACCCCAAATCATTAAGCATTTATTATGTACAAGGCCTAATTTAGAATATACAAAAGAAGAGGATATTCCTCGAAAGCAGTTATAGAGAAATAAATTGTCAAAACAATTGTTGTAAGCAATAATGCTTTAAGATTGCAGAGTGGATAGAAATTGCTGTGGAGTAAGGGTTGGGAAAAGTTCAGAGGACAGTGGAAGGCATTTAGAATGAGAATACAACCAAGGGTACCAGATAATTAGGGCACGCTTTTAGAGGAAATTATAAAATTTTAATTGTGCATTATGATAATATCTTTAGACATTTTTAAGCTTCAAATTGATGACATTAATTTTACTCTTCATTTGTTTATTTCAGGACAAATTCTAGGCTTCATCTTGAGAGGAGAGAAACTTCTATACACCACTTATCTTCTAGCGGTCCTTCCCCTAAGGAAAATTTTCCCATGCTCAGATTAAGGCTGGAATTAAACGAGTTATAAGGTAGTAGAGATAAGAAAGTAGCATTTCAGGTAGAGGGACTGTGGGAAGCAGAAAGGTAGAGATTAATTTGCTGGAGAGCACAGCCTTAGGGAACATGACCAAAGATAAAGTGAGGATGGAAATTCAGATTTACATGTTGGAAAACCTTTCATAATAAAAAGTTTTAAGTTTTTCCTATCAAAACATTTGTTTGGAATAAAGTAATGTAAAAAAAATCATATTTTAAGAAGATTAACCTGGAATCGGAGAGAATGGATTTGCCAGGAAGGACAATGACATGTATTTAATTTTGTTGTGTCAAGTTAAATGTTGAGTATGTGTTGCGTATCTTTACTCTTCCATTCATTGAGTATTCATGGCCCCATTTTGTACCAGGCACTAGACTAGGAGCTGGTAATGTAGTAAAAAGCAACACAGGCAAGTTATTCACTCTTGCAGAGTTTAGGGGCCCCATGGAGAAATAAAGGATTAATACATAAACCGCAAAATAATTTCAGATTGTGCTAACTTCTCTGATAAGAAATTAAAATGGTAATGTGATAGGGTGATGGTAAGTTGGAGTTTGGACTCAATGTTTAAGGGCTAGAAGAGTCTCCCTGGAACTTTGAGTTAGACACTAGGGGAAGAGGGTGTGGTAGGAATCTTTGAGAAAAGTATTTGAGGACAAAAAGCTGTGTAGTTTTAGTGAGGGATGGAAGGGCAAGGGAGGAGGGAGCAGTGTAATAGTTGCTATCACCTAGATATTTTAAGGATAAAAAAACACAGTCAATTCAAATAACTGTCTGACTTCACACGCAAGTACATTTTGCTAAGTCCAAACCTAGTTATTTTGACAATTACAAATTATATTAATAAGTGCATGGAAAATAAGGGTGACATTTAGTTATGTGTAATTTAGCATACAGTGAGGTTAAGCAGACATAGGTAAATAACTGTGAACACAGTATGCTGTAGGAGTTTGTTTGTTGTTTGTTGTTTTTTTCTAATTTGTAGTTCTTCCCAAATTAAAAGATGGAGATCTTAGCTATCATGGCTCTGTTCTGGAAGAATCTGCATTTTCAATATTAGTTTGTACTATGAAATATATCATATATATTAAACAGTGTGTGTGTGTGTGTGTGTGTGTGTGTGTGTGTGTGTATGGGTGGTTTAACAAATACTTGTAGAATCACCCATGCACTCACTGCTGAGTTTAAGAGAGGACAGGAGAGGACAGGTAGGGCGTGGTGGCTCATGCCTATAATCCTAGCGCTTTGGGAGGCCAAGGCTCAGGAGTTCAAGACCAGTCTGGGCAACAGGGTGAAACCCTGTCTCTCCAAAAAATACACAAGTTAGCCAGGTATGGTGGCTCACACCTGTAGTCCCAGCTACTTGGAAGGCTGACAAGGCAGGAGGATTGCTTGAGCCCATGAGGTCAAGGCTGCAGTGAGCCAAGATTGTGTGACTGCCCTCCAGCATGGGCAAGAGAGTGAGACCCTGTCTCAAAAAAAAAAAAAAAAAAAAAAAAGACAGTAAAACCAAGTTTATAATTATCTATGTATGTATGCTACCCCACTAGTCTGTGAGCTCATAAAAGGCAGAGAAAGTTCATTGTTCATCATTATGATCCTGGCTTTTAAAGAAGGCGAGACTATAAGGTGCACATTCATATAGCTGTATATAAGATATTGTTATAAAATTTCAGGTTTTTATCCTCATCTATTCTCTTTTGTTCAACTGTCTATGTAAAAATAACTTTCTGCTTCAATACAGCGATACAGTATTTGTGAAATTTTTATGAAGTTCCCTTTGCTTTAGAAGCAAAGTTAAAACCTATTTATATACTGTTAAGTTTTAGGATTTCATAACTATTATAGCTGCTATTCCTCTCTTTGTCATTTTATGCCTAAAATAATGTCTTCTGGTTCTTTGTATAAAGATCACAATAAAATAACCTGAGGTTTTTATGTATGGTTTAAGAAGTCAATGTATGCACATGATCACACTGTAACATGAGCTAATGATATACTTGTGGAAAATAACCTGATTTAAGAACTAAGGTAGGTATTATATTTTTGGTTCGGCTCCCAAGATCTAATCTGCTGTTTCTAAAGTTACTAAAATATTAGTCTTTTTAAATTATTTTTCCTTTAATTGGACTTTATTCCTTCATCATTTTATTTTCATCTATTATAATTATATTACTTTGCAATATGTATAATTTGTATGTTCTCTTATGCATATGGGCCTAATTTCTTTAGCAGATACTTTCCAAATATCACAGAAGCAGCTGGAGAACTTCTATGTTCTAATGTTTGTATTCACTGATACAAGAAGAAAATCAACCATACAACAGGGGAGATAAGATGGTTGACAGCACTAAGCTGCCTTCACCAAGGAATGCTGATGGCTGCATTTTTGGCAACCATGATTTTGGCAACCATTTGGGCAACTTTCATGATTAAAAGGGAAAAAAAGCAGTCTTAGATTTCCACTGGCAACTTTAGGAATATACTTTGGAATAAATTTAATGGTATATCATCAAAACATTTCACAATACATCTTAAGCACTACCAGCATTTCTTTGTGTTCAAAATTCATCCGAGAGTTAATTCCTCATGCTTAATAGCTTACAGCTATTAGTAACTAAAAGGCTAGTAATGCAGAAAGAGTCCTTGTGTTGTAAGGATAAATCCATCAATTCAGAAAATTATCTCAAAATCCATGGGTATATGTATATGGACTTTGGCAGCAAAGCAATGTATAAATATTCAACACATTCTGTTAGATATTTATGTTTATAAATATACTTTTAAAACCTAATAAAATGAGTAGAAATATCAAGGGCTCTATTAACATCTTCATTCCATCTAATGAAAAGCAAAATACAAATGTGCTAGAGTAATTAGGTGACTTACATTATCCTATTTTTTAGACTAAAACTAGAAAATGAGGCATATATTTAGATACAAATGCAGCATATTAAGAAAGCTGAACATTTGCTATATGAAACAAGGTTCCAGAGAGATAGCATAGAATTTTTAAAAATAGTCTATTGGCTAAAGCATAATAATCTTGTCAAGGAAACTACTAGAAGGAAGGTGTCAGCCATTTTCTGGCACAAACACCTTGTTGCTGGTTTCACCTCATTGGCATAAAGCATCAGTGGAGCCGGCAATTCTCTCTCCCTTCCCACTCACTCTTTCTTCATTTTCTCTGACACCTCGACTAGAAGCACATATGTCCAGCTCTACAAGGAAGAGGCAACAAGACTGACATAGATGAAAACTTACCCTCCCAGGCTTCTACCTCATGCTGTTTGCATTGATGCTAGTGATGGTGGGGTTCCCAGCTTGTGTTCACTGGGTTCTAGCTGGCTCATGGCATTCCCTTCCTGGCTAATGGACTGAGGGCTTTGTGCTCCAGCCTTACATGTGGAGACAGCCCTGCAGAGATTGCTTCACTAGCCCCACCAATTGCTTTATCCGACTTCCTGTAATAAGTCTGTCATCTAGCATCTATCAGTCTACTATTATTGCTGCTTCTCTGGTTGAACCCTGACTGGCACAAGTAAGTCTAGTAAGTCTAGAAAGCCTAGTATGTCTAGTAAGTCTAGAAAAAAAAAGTTCTATGAATATCTAATTATTTACCACTTTAGCTGATACCCCATCAAAGTCATCAAATATAAAAGTTCCCTAATGTTAGCAGTTTCCTAGTATTACCATCTTATGGAGCCATGATACCATTGTTAACAGTAAGAAATTAACACTATATTAGCAGTAACTAAATCGCAGACTTTATTTGGATATTACCAGTTTTCAGTTTTTACAATAATGTCCTTGTTGTGTTCCAGAGGCCAATCCAGGAAACCATATTAAATTTAATCATTACAGTTTTTTTAGTCTCCTCCAATCCGCAACCATTTCTTTGTATTTGTACTTTTTGTTTTCTTTTTTTCCCCATGACATTAAGGGTCATCGAGTGGGGTGGTCAAGAGGACAATATTAAAGAGTCCTCATCACATATTTCTTCAGTGCAATTCTCAATTTGGGTTCCATTGATTTTGTGTGTGTGTGTGATTAGAATGGGAGTATGTGTTTTCAGGAAGAAGAATACAAACATGAAAGCCCTCATCATTGTACTCTATCAGGGCACATGATATTAACATACTATCAACATCACTCACCATGGGGTAAAGGAATTATCTGCCAGAGGTCTTCACCTGAAAGCTACTAGTTTTTTTCTCCACTCTATTCTTTAAAAAGTTGCTTTTAAAATTTAAGATCTTTATTTTTTCCATCATGATTGAACAGTTACATGTTTTGTAAGTTTTTCAAAATTAGATGCAATCCTGCAATAAAATATCAAAAATGTAAGTTAAAATAAATTAAACTAAAAATCTGAACATAAAAAATTTCCATAATACAACCTTATGTCTGGCTTATTAAATGAGAGAGTGAGAAAGGAAACAAAGGTGTGTAGAGGGAAAGAACAAGGAAGAGAAAAAAATGGAAAGGAAAGAAAGATTGAATGAAAAAAAGGAAGGAAAAAAGAAAAGAAGGAAAAAAAATAAGAAAAAAGGCCCACAGCAATTTACAATAATGTGCCCAATGAAAAATGTGCATTGCTATTTATTCAGAATATCAGAAAATGTTTTGCATATATACATATAATTTGACTTTAAGTTCCGGGATACATGTGCTAAACGTGCAGATTTGTTACATAGGTATAATGTGCCATGTGATTTGCTGCACCTATCAACCCATCATCTGGGTTTTAAGCCCCACATGCATTAGGTATTTGTCCTAATGCTTTCCCTCCCCTTGCCCCCAACGCCCTGACAGGCCAAGGTTGTGATGTTCCTCTCCCTGTGTCCATGTGTTCTCATTGTTCAACTCCCACTTATGAGTGAGAACATGTGGTGTTTGGTTTTCTGTTCCTGTGTTAGTTTGCTGAGAATGTTGGTTTCCAGCTTCATCCCTGTTCCTGCAAGGTTCATGAACTCATTGCTTTTATGGCTGCATAGTATTCCATGGTGTATATGTGTCACAATTTGTTTATCCAGTCTATCATTGATGGGCGTTTGGGTTGATTCCAAGTCTTTGCTATCATAAATAGTGCTGCAATAAACATACGTGTGCATGTGTAGAATGATTTATCCAGTAATGGGATTGCCGGGTAAAATGGTATTTCTGGTTTTAGATCCTTGAGGAATCACCACACTGTCTTCCACAATGGTTGAACTAATTTACACTCCCAGCAACAGTGTAAAAGCATTCCTATTTCTCGACATTCACTCCAGCATCTATTGTTTCCTGACTTTTTAATGATCATGAGATGGTATCTCATTGTGGTTTTGATTTGCATTTTTCTAATGACCAGTGATGATGAGCTTTTTTTCATGTTTCTTGGCCGCATAAATGCCTTCTTTTGAGAAGTATCTCTTCATGTCCTTTGCATGTTTTTTGATGGGGTGGTTTGTTTGTTTTTTTTCTTGTAAATTTGTTTAAGCTCCTTGTAGCTTCTGGATATACCTTTGTCAGATGGATGGATTACAAAAACTTTCTCCCATTCTGTAGGTTGCTTGGTCACTCTAATGATAGTTTCTTTGCTGTGCAGAAGCTCTTTAGTTTAATTGGATCCCATTTGTCAATTTTGGCTTTTGTTGCAATTGCTTTCGGTGTTTTAGTCATGAAGTCCTTGCCCATGCCTATGTCCTGAATGGTATTGCCTAGGTTTTCTTCTAGGGTTTCTATGGTTTTAGGTCTAACATTTAAGTCTTTAATCCATCTTTAGTTAATTTTTGTATAAGGCGTAAGGAAGGGGTCCAGTTTCTGTCTTCTGCATATAGAGTTATTGCCTATTCTTTAACAAATCTCTAGGTAGTTAAAAAAAAACACAAATATTATATGGTAAATTATGTCTCCTCAAGAAACTTATATCATGAGAAATTATCTGTGAATGCCTTCAAAACCATCCTGGAAATTGGTCAACAGCAGAAATGACCCTCACTTTTTCCCTCTCCAGTGTACACAAACACAAATACACACAGATGTTGCATCATATACACAGTGCACATATTCACATATGATGGATGATGTGGTAATAGTAAATGTACCTGAAGAAGTGAGTTCAGGATTCGTGTTGCTCACACTATGGTCTTTCACCCAAAGCCCACTTCTGGGTACTAAGCACTCATTACCCCCGCTGCAGGCTAGAAATGTTGTTTGTTGACACCTCACACCTGTGTCCCTCCCTGGCTATTGCTATTTCCCCAGGTTGTCACCCTCCTTGAGTGCAGTCTATAGCCAGTGACTATATGTGGCCAAAACAATCACTAGCTATGTTCGTTGAGGGGAGTCAGAGGAATCCTTTGTTTCCAATGTGATAAAGAATGAGCTGATAAGGGGGACAGAAGCACTGTTGAGAAGCTCAGTGGTGGCTTTTCTTTGCTGGCCAGGGTTTTGCATGGATGATATATACTCTTACAGGCGGTGTTTTTTGACAGTGCTTCCCTAATAACTACCTGCTTGTAAGTCTCCATCTCGGCATCTATCTTAAGAAGACTGACCTATGACTTCTGACTTTTCATCTGTGTCTTGGGATAAGAAATTGTCAGGGAATGGGTTATGCTTGGAATGGTCGTGACTGTTCAACTTCTTACACAACATATGCACATATACCCTACAATTAACTTCACATTTTAAGCACGTTCTGACTGAGATCAGCTACCCTGATTCTATCTATCTTCTTGTTTAATTAATATGTTGTGTGACATAAATTTAAAAGGAAGAGGCAAAAAATTAATTCAGGTTTCCTCATTGAGTTTTGAATAAGAATAAAACCATGGAACAAAGAAATTATCGAATGATTATTCATAGAAAAAATATTTTACTTGTGTTTTCTTCTATATTTTTGTTTTCAAAAATTTCTCCATTAATGGCAACTTCAAGAGGGCAAAAGGATGGACAAAAAGGTTTGGCTCACAGTTTAAACAAAAATCAACTCATTGTATCAGAAGATTAAAAAAGACTTTTTAAACACTTGTTTATAATTTAATTATTTAAAACTTTTCCTGACCTACTACATAAAGATTTCAAAATTAATTCCCTTTGGAGAATGCACTTCACAGAGGAACAAAACATTATTTGACCTCTTTTAACTCATGTTGCAACCTAAGAGTGAGTTATTGTTTTAAAACATCATTTCTTTTTCTTTTTTTTTTTCTTTTTTTTTTTTTTTTTTTTGAGACTGAGTCTCGCTCTGTCGCCCAAGCTGGAGTGCAGTGGCGCGATATCTCTGCTCACTGCAAGCTCTGCCTCCCGGGTTCACACCATTCTCCTGCCTCAGCCTCCCAAGTAGCTGGGACTACAGGTGCCTGCCACCACGCCAGGCTAATTTTTTTTTTTTTTTTTTTTTTTTTTTTTTTGTATTTTTAGTAGAGACAGGGTTTCGCCGTGTTAGCCAGGATGGTCTCAATCTCCTGACCTCGTGATCCGCCCGCCTCGGCCTCACAAAGTGCTGGGATTACAGGCGTGAGCCACCACGCCCAGCCGCTTAAAACATCATTTCTGTAGTTCTGCTTGAGTCCGACTACACTCCACTTTTCTATTTGGATGGTCATCTGTCTCAGCCTTTTTAGTAGCATTTTATTTGTACTAACTTTCTAACTTTATGTTTTTCCAGCAATGTTTTTCTTATGTTTCATTCCATGTGTCCTTTCTGATTCTTTTGATGTTAGAAAAAATAAATACTGTGCAGGAGGATCACTGAAGTTTTATAATGCAGACTCCAGCAGAACAGAAACTGAAATTAGGAAAGGTAGGCACACATATACACAGAGTCACTTGAGGCTGATAAATTATGACCACAACTGCAGCCAGTATCATTTAAGTACTCTTTAGTTTCTGATGATAAAGCTCTAGCTTATCACCATGCTGACAACTGCAAACCCCTGTGGCCCTTAGCTTCTGTCTTTGCTATTTGTTACCTAGTCAGCCACATGGAATTTAACAGCTTAGTAAAGTATCTTTCTAAGTAGACTTCCAGAAAAGACAGAACAAAGCTAGTAGGGGCTTATGTCTTGGTTAAAGACATTATTTCTTCCATTTAAGTTCCACTTCCCCATTGCAGAGAGAAAAAACAGGTATGAAATTACTGTTTTGTCTGTAAATATCTCTACCCTGTTAACTATTGTTTTGAAGGAGAAAGAAAAAATTATTTGGGCTTGAATATTAAAAGTAAAAGATTCCATGTTTAGTTCATAATTTCAGAATGATTATATATTTTGATTTGTGCTTGCTACTTCTACTTGAGAGAAAAGAATCTTTATGTCTACATGCTAAACAAAACATTATACTGCTAGAATTTCTTTTAAATAGGACTTAAAATTAAATATATGTATATTATTTTTCAATTATGGGCTCTTGATATTCAAATTAAGAATTACAGGAGAACTAGGATAGCAACAGAGTAAAACAAAAGTTTTGATGGCAAATTAGCCTGCTTCATTTTGCCAGTTTTAGGATCATTATCTGCTACTTCTACAGGTCAATAAAGCAGGTAAGCCGAGAATACATTTATCCTTCTGATCAGGTAGATGTAAATGCGAATGTTCAAACAGTTTAGAATATTCTAAACTAAAGCAGTTCAGTTTAGAATATAGATAAGTATAAAAGAGGCAGAATATTTTTTAAATAGCCAGGCAATATTTTTCTTTTTAGGGTTATGTAAGTGTCTATCTTATGCCAGCAATCAACATGATGATATATTACCTGTTATATAACAATTTTAAGTAAATACTATATCTATTTCCATTAAATGAGCATTTGAATATTGCAGCAACTTTAAATTACATAATTTATAAAAATAAATATTGTATAATGAAAGTTTTACTTTAGTATTTTTCATCATTCCCTTTTATACTTCTGTTCTATCATTATCTAAAAAATATACATAACTAGATAAGAAATCCTATTTTTGGCCGGGCACAGTGGCTCACGCCTGTAATCCCAGCACTTTGGGAGGCCGAGGCGGGCGGATTACGAGGTCAAGAGATCGAGACCATCCTGGCTAACATGGTGAAACCCCATCTCTACTAAAAAATACAAAAAATTAGCTGGGTGTGGTGGTGGGCGCCTGTAGTCCCAGCTACTCGGGAGGCTGAGGCAGGAGAATGGCGTGAACCCAGGAGGTGGAGCTTGCAGTGAGCCAAGATTGTGCCACTGCGCTCCAGCCTGGGCGACAGAGCCAGACTCCATCTCGAAAAAAAAAAAAAAAAAGAAAAGAAAAGAAAAAGAGAAAAAAGAAGAAATCCTATTTTTTACTGGCTCTATGTCGGTGTTTTTATTTTACAGTTTTGCCATTGGCATCAGGCAAAGAAAATGGAGACTAAAAGTGATTTTGATGTGTTATCATCAAGCTAGATTCTAGTAACTTTAATAATGTGAGTGTTTTCTTTAGTAAGGTGATAGAATATTAATCAAAAAACTTTTTAAAATAAATCAGAATATTTTCTAGTGCTTGAAGGAGAAAATAATAAAGGGTGAAAACATGTAGTCAGATAATATTATGCTGACTTGAGAAGATTTCTTAGACAAAACCAAGTAATATTATTAATACTTTCCTCAGTTTTCCTTCTCTTTACTTGATTATTTTCTCATGTCATGTAATTTATTCTAACTTGAGCATTAACTCATTCTCTTTTTTTTCTTTCCTATGGAAAAGGCTCTAAGAATCAGCATATACGCTAGTTATACATAATAGCAAGTAAATTGCATTTTTTTAGAGATATCTGCAGAAAAGAACCAATTTTTATTATCTTCATTACATATTCAAGTCTGGTTGGAAAATTTCATTCTAAAACTAGGTAATCAACCTACCTAAAGATTGTTCTTAAAGCTTTTTCATTAATGAACCTTTAGTGCAACCAGTGAAAGTTAAACTTTTCTCCAAGGGCCCATGTACTTAAAAGCAAACACAGATAAAATAATTTGCTCATAATTCCAGTAGGTTAATAGAACTTATGGACCCATCCATAGATTCAAATTAATCAAGCCCAAGCAAATCCTAGTTAAGTAATTTAAGACAACTTTAGAATCTTAATACATATTGATTTCACTTTAGCTTCTTTCTTGAGAGAATATCCAATCTATCGCACCATCCAGAACATTACATTTGTTTTCTAGTTTTCTTAAATAATGTCCAGCTTTTAATCAAAACCACTCAGAGTACAGAAAGATTAGACTTAAGTTTTAACATTCAGTCAAAACAAACAGTAAAATTTGACCTAGGGTAAGAAGCAGTTATTGGAGTTATCAGCCAAAGACTTTTAAAAAAATGATTTATAGTCACAAAATCAAGAGAAAAGATGAGAAAAGTTGGCAGAGGTCAGTAAAACAAGTACATAAATAATGTTATTGTGGGCTGGATGCAGTGGCTCACACCTGTATTTCTAGCACTTTGGGAGACCAAGGCAGGCAGATTGCTTGAGCTCAGGAGTTTGAGACCAGCCTGGGCAATATGGTGAAACCTCATCTATACAAAAAATACAAAAATAAGCCAGGCATGGTGGCACATGCCTGTAGTGCCAGCTAGGGAGGCTGAGGTGGGAGGATTGCTTGAGCCTAGAAGGTTGAGGCTACAGTGAGCCATAATCGAGCCACTTCACTCAAGCCTGAGCAACAGAGTGAGACTCTGCCTCAATAATAACAATAATAATAATGTTATTCTTAGTTATATGAAATATAAACAAAGATACAGAAGTAATATTTTAAAATGCATCAAGATACAAATTCAAGAACAGTTATAAACTTCAGGAAGGGTAAATTTCTTCAAGCTTTTTTTAAATAAATAAAACTTTCACGTTGGCACATCATTAAAGATTGCTGAAAACCAAACACAAAAAGAAAACTAAAAGAACCCAAATGGTGCGGGGTGGGATTATAACCTTCCAAAGTAAATGATTTTACTGAGAACTAACTTCACAAAAAAAGAAACAAACAAAAGAAAACAAAATATGAAAGACAAAGGAATGACATCGTCACAACAATTTTTGAAAAATAATGGCCAATCTAGAGTACAAGACAACTTTTAAGTGATTCAAAATAGTAATGAAAAATGTTAAATGCTATGTCCATTGTGAACACCTTTGGACAATAAAGAAAAAAAATATTTCAAGCAACCAAAGAAAGTGACAGCATGTTACCACCAATAGAAAGAAATTAATACAATTTAATTATGTGGAAATATAAAATAAAAAAGGAGTTTAAAAAAAGAAAGAAATGAAAGAAATAAAAATTCAAATATTTGACCAAACATAACAAGCCAGTACCATTAATAACAATATATTGTGAGGTTACAAATTCAATAAAGTTTTAACTGAACAAGAGAACTCAAGGCAGAAGAGGTTAAATGGAGCAAAATACACAATAAAATACTAATTTATAATATTCTTTCATAGTCAGGGATGGATCTTGTAACCTCAAAGAAAATAATACTAATATATAATTGTCCAGTCATATTCATGCTTTTTACATCTATGGAGTCAACCGATGGAGATCAAATGTATTTCCACAAAGAAACAAAAATATAAGTACAACTATACTGACCATTTACAGACTTGTTCTTGTAATTATTCCCTAACAATGCAGTATAACAACAATTTACATAACATTTACATTAAAGTAAGTATTGCAAGTAATCTAGAAATGATTTAAAGTACATGGGAGGATGTGTGTAAGTTACATGCAAATACTATATCCCAAATTTTGGTATCCAAGGGGGATCCTGGAACAAATCCCTTACAGATACTGAGGGATGATTGTTCTAAAAGAATACAGAAACAAAAAACTAAGAGCAAATAAATAAATTCTAAAACTATAATTTATAAATGTGAAGAAAGGACAGAAAAAAGGGACATTAAATACCTCTGATGAATACATAAGAATGTGATTGTATACATAAATAAAAATATCTTCATTACACTAAATGCTAATGGTTAAAATATTCTAACTGAAATATAAATAAGTGCCATTTGCCACTTAAAAGAGACACAACTTTTTAAAAAGAATATAAAAATGTTAAATATAAAAGGACAGATGCAGTATACTGTATACATTTTAACTCAAAGAAAGCTACAGTAATATTATACAAATTGTTAGACTTTAAGGCAAGAAGCACTATTAGAGTATAAGAGGAATATGTCTAATAATAAAAGTGACAATGCCCAAAGGGGTTAAATTCTAATTTAGGTAATACTAATCAAAGAAAATTTGACAGAAATAAAAGTGGAACTGGACAAATTCACAAACAGAACAAAAAGCCTTTAAAACGTATTTTTCACATTATAGAATAAGAATACCAACACTCAGTAAATAGTTATAAAAATTTAACAGCATCAATAGCAAGCTTGAACTAATTAGTCTATGTATAATAGCACATTCCGACATAGAATACTTTGATTTTTAAGTCAGAATGGAAAAATTAGCAAAATTAATCATATGTTGGGTCAGAAGACAAGTCTTAGGAGTTACAAAGGATTTAAATAATAAAATATGATTTCCAAAATGACAAAAAATTAGTCTTCTGTACATGTATGTTATGAAGGAACAACATTAAATTGAACCAAGCAATTGAAAAAATAATCAATATAGGTGTAAAAATAATAAAATATAAAATAAATATACTATGAAGAAGATCAACAAATGAAAAATTATTATTTTATAAATGAGTTAAATGGTAAAAATTATTTGACAAAATTAAAAAGACAAAAGATAGGCATAAATAACTAATATCAAGAATGATAAAGGAAATATTAGCAAAACTCCTGTAAAAATAAGATTATTTGAAAAATTATATATCAATTAACTTCAATATTTAGATTAAGTTCCCAGAAAAGGGCACATTATTAAAACTGGCAGAAATCTAAATCAAAATTTTGAAAAATAATAATTTTCAGTTATATTTTCATTTAAAGACTATCAAAATAACACCAACCCAATGGGTTTTGCTTGTAAATTCTATGAAACTCTTACAGAAGAAAATACATCCATCTTACAAACAATTAATCAGAGCACAAAAAAATAGAAACACTTACATGAAAAAGTTTTTATGAGATCAGCTTAACCGTGATAACTAACCTGATAAGACACTACAAGAAAGAAAAGTTAGAGAATTATGTTATCAAGATGATGGAACGGAAGTCCCAATCCTCATCCCCACACAGTAACAATGATCAATTTAACAAAGATATACAGAGCAAAATATATTTATAAGAAGTCCAGAATCCAATTAAAAAGTTGCTGTACACCAGAGAAACACAAAGCCAAAAACAGCCACATTGAAAAGAGTTAAAAAAGCAATTTCATTTTGTCCACATCAGCTCCTACCCCAAGGAGGAAGGGCTCAAAGCTGAGGGAAATCACCTCAGCCCCTCATTAGGGAGAAAGAGAGATTGGAGTGTACTTCCAACATCCCTGGCATTTTGCGCCACAACCTGAGGAGATCTTTATTTATTCTATTTCATCTGCAGCACTGAGGAAACTGGCATGATTTAAATCCTTGGAGACAGCTAAGAAAAAAGAAGAAAAGTGAGTGGCTCGCTACAGCTGGTACAGCTCTGCAATATGGGGAGAAGTTACATGACTTAAGACTTCTCCTTTAAACGAGAGGGAGAGAAGTAGAGCATGAATATTCATAGGAAAATTTTGAGAGGCTCCCAGAACCTCTCGCTGGGCTGTCTGGTGAAGGTCTTTCCCTGTTACAGACAATATGTAAAAACTGGAAGAGGTGGCTGTTTCTTCAAATGTGTACATACCACTGCAAAGCTACAAGGAACATGAAGAATAAGGGAACATGGCCAAAGGAACAAATAAATCTCCAGTAATTGACCCTAAAGAAATGGAGTTTTATAAATTTTTGTGACAACGTATTCAAAATATTTGTCTTAAGGAAGTTTAATGAGTTGCAAGAGAATATAGATAGGCAACTATACAAAATCAGGAAAACAATACATGAAGAAAATTGGTATTTCAACAAAGATAAACCATAACAAAGAATGAAAAAATCTATGAAGCTGAATAATACAATAACTGAAATGAAAAATTTAATAGAGAGCTTCAATAGTATACTTGATCAAGCAGAAGAAAGAAATCAGTAAATTTAAAGATAGGTCAGCCAGAGAAACAAAAAGAAAAAGGAATGAAAAAGAATGAAGAATACCTAAAGGACTTATAGGACCCACATACACAGTAAGGTTTCAAGAAGAAGAGCGAGAGAGAAGTAGAAACCTTATTTAAAGGGGGAAAATATGGCTTAATGCTCGCCAAGCTGAGAAAGGATATGTAGATCCATATTTTTGAGGCCAAAATATCAAACAGAATGAAACCACAGAAATTAACAGCAAGACACATTAAAATAAGATTGTCAAAAGTAAAAGACAAAAGGAGAATTTTGAAAGTACAAGAGAAGAGCAACTTGTCACATGGGAGGGTTTCATAAGACTATCAGTTAATTTATCAGCAGAAACTTTGTGGCCAGGAGAAAGCGGGACAATATATGGAAAGGGCTGAAATAAAAAGTCTTCCAAGGAAGAATACTATAACCAAAAATATTATCCTTCAAAAATGAAGAAGAAATATTTTGCCAGACCAAAAAAGCTGAGGACCTGATTTATAAGAGATGCTATAGGGTGTTTTTCACACTGAAATAAAAAAGATGATAAACAGCAACACAAAATCATATGAAAGCACAAACTCACTGGTAAATATGCAAATATGTAGAAAAACACAGAATATGGTAATAGTATATTTACTATTAATTTATTACAGAAGTTAAAAGACAATAATATTAAGAATATTAAAGCTACTAAAAATTTTAATAGATATACAATATTCAAATGTAAATGGTGGCATCAATAACAAAGTATGAGAGGGTGGGGAAGTAAAAGTGTTGGGTATTTATATGTGATCAAAATTTGATTGTTATCATCTTAAAATAGACTGTAATAACCATATTTTAGGTAAGCTTCATGGTAATCACAAAGATAACACCTATAGAAGATGTCCAAAGAAAAACAGAAGAAATCAAAACATCACTACAAAAAATATCAATGAAACACAAAGGAAAACAGCAAGAGAGAAAAAGAAAAACAACTATAAGACAGAATGCAATTAACAAAATAGCAATAGTAATTCTTCTCTACCACAAATTATTTTAAGTGGATTAAACTCTCCAGTCAAGATATATATAGTGATTTAATTATTCTTAAAAATAAAACAAAACCCAACTGTATGCTTTTTGCAAGACACTCACTTTATATTTAGGTATACACTTCAGCTGTAAGGTGAAGGCATGGAAAAGATAGTTTGTGCAAATGGGGAGCAAAAGAAAGAAGGGGTGGCTATAATTGTATTAGACAAATAGACTTTGAGTTGAAAACTGTAGCAAAAGACAAAGAAGAACATTTTATATTAATAAACGTCCAATTAATCAGGAAGATATGACACTTATAAATATGTATGCACCCAACATAAGTGCATTTAAATCTACAAAGCAAATACTGACATCTCTGAAGGGAGGTGTAGACAGCAACAATAGTAGGAGATTTCGACATCTCATTTTCAATAATGGATGGAACATGCAGACAGAAAATAAGTAAATGGTAAATGTAAACAAAACTTTAGAAAAAGTCAAACTAACAGATATATACAGAGCATTCCAATCAATAACAATGGAGTATACAACTGTTCCCAAATGCACATGGAACATCCTCCAAAATAGATTATGTCTTAGATCACAGGATAAGTTGGAACACATTTAAGAAGACTGAAATTACGCTGAGTATCTTTTTTGACCACAATGGTATGAAACTAGAAGTCAACAGCAGAAGAAAAATTGGAAAATTTAGAAATACATGGAAATTAAACAACATACTCCTAAATAACCAATGGATTAAATGAGAGTTCAAAAGAGAATAATAAAAATATTTAATCAAATGAAGATGAAAATAAAATACACCAAAATATACGGCATGCATAAAAAGGAAGTTTTTACTCACAAATGTCTTCATTTAAGAAGACAAAATATCATGCAGTATTTGCCCTTCTGTGACTGGCTTATTTTACTAAGTTGTCACAAATGACAGGATTCCCATCTTTTTTAAGGTGGAATAATATTTCATTGTACATATATGCCAATTTTTTAAATCTATTTACACATTGATAGACATTTAGGTTGTTCCCTTCTCTTGTTTATTATGAGTAATACTGCAATGGACAAATATTGCATGATTTTGCGCATATGAATTATCTCAAATAGTTAAAGTCACAGAAGCGGAGAGTAGAATGGTGGTTATCAGGGCCTGGAGAGAAGAACAAATGAGACATTGTGGTTCAAGAGACATAAGATTTCAGTTATGCAAGATGAATGAGTTTTAAAGATCTGCTACACAGCATAGTGCCTATAGTTAAAAATTATGTGTTGTACACTTAAAAATTTGTTAAGAGGGTAGATTTTATGTTGTGTTCTTACCACAGAAAAACAAAACAACAAGCACCACGAAGGAGCAGGAGGAAGCTGTTGGAGGTGATGAATATGTTTATTACGTTGATTATGGTGTTGGTTTCACAGGTGTATGCGTATGTCCAAATTCATCATATTGTATACAGGAAATATGTGCAGTTTTTGGTATCTCCATTATACCTCAAAAAAGACGTAAAAGAAAGAAAATTTAAACTAGTCATTCTCGTAAAAGACAAAAATCTGAAACAAAATATGTTAGCAAAGAAATTAATATATTAGGAACAAATGTCTTTTATAGAGAGATTTGGTATGATGCTCACACCCTACTGCTCCAGAACCTGTGCATATGTTACGTTCCATGACAAAAGGGACTTTGCAGATATGATTATGGTAGGGGTTTTTGAGATGAGGAGATTATCCTGGATTACCTGTGTGCTTCCTAGTCTAATCACATGGATCTTTAAAAACAGAGAAGCTTCCCTGGATGGGTCAGAGACATGTGATTTGAGCGGGACATGACTTATCATCAGTGGTTTTGCAAATGGAGGAAAGGGCCAGGATCCAAGGAATGTCTGTGGCCTTTAGAAGCTGGAAACAGGCATCAACTTATAGCCTCCAAAAAAAGAGGAATCTCAGTCCTATTACAGCAAATAATTGAGTTTTGCCAAAAACCTGAATGAGAAGGAAACAGACCCTCCTTTAGAGGGTCTTTAGAGATGTCAGAATGAAATGCAACCCTGCCAGCACCTTAATTTTAACCCCTGAGACCTGTATACTAAACTTCTGACCTATAGGTCAGAGTTTCTAAGATAATAAGTTTGTGTTTTTTAAGCTGCTAAATTTGTAGCAGCAATAGAAAACTAATGCAAAAGATGAAAGTGATTTAGCCTTCAAAAATTTTAAGTGTGATTTTTAACAAAAAAAGAATAAAACATATGATCCATAACTTTGATGTAGAAAAAATCATTTATTTGATAAAATTCAATAATTGTTCATGAAAAAACCCTTAGCAAATGAGAAATAATATAGAAACCTGCTAAATATGATAAAGATTGTTTCACATAAGCTACATCAGAAATTTTCCAGTACAGTGTTATGTTAAAATCTTTTTCTCAGAGAATTAAAATAAGGCCAGGATGCCCACTATTACCACTTTTGAATAAAAATAACTTTGGAAAAATAAGAAAAAAGGGAGTCAACATGATAGATTGATTGCAAAATTTACCCCAATTCTTTATTTCTCATTAAATCTATGTTTTTGCAAGAGGTAGAGTTTACCTTATACTGCTCCCTTGAATCTGGGTAGGTTTTGTGAATTGTTTTGGCCAATAGAATGCGGTGGAAGTGACAGTTTGACCTCGAAAAGTCTTCTACCCGCTGTCTCTTTTAGATCCTTGCTTTCACCATGTCAAAAAGCCTGAACTAGTTTCCTAGATAATAGAGGCTGTGACTAACAAAGCTGAGGAAACACATGGCCAACTGACATCCACCCCAAGCCAGTGAGAGAGCCATACCCAGGTTAGCATAGCCCCTTATCTGACTCCCAGCTGACTGCCAAAATATGAGTGAGCTCAAATGAGACCAGAACAAAAGTCCTAGTTATCCATCATCTCGTGAGCAACCATTTTAATAAGTTGTTTTTAGCCACTTCATTTGAAGCACTTTGATATTCAACTTTATTGTCATACTGGGTAACTAATAGGATTAAGTATTATAGAGAAAATATGACACATATCTATTTACTAGCAGGTAGTGACTTATATTCATCAATTACATTACATACCTGTAAGTAATTTACAGGTGCATGTCTAATTCAACAGCTTAGCTAATATAGTTATAAATGTATTAATATTTACTGATACGTTCTCAAACTTATCTTAAATTTGGATAGAAGTTACTGACTACTGAATTTGTGCCCAAGTAACAACTGACTATTTCCAATAAAGTCCACCAATAATTTTTATTAACTGGTTATGGCAGAAGAGATACTCAACCAAATAGTAAAGTAAATAATAGTAGAGAAATTATGATGTTCAAAAAATAGATAAAATGTTTACAAGAAAAAAACAACAATATAGTTAGCATCGACTGCATTGTCAGATGTAGAAAAAAAGGAGTTTCAGAAGTTTGCCCTTGTGTTCTATTGGCTAAGATCTGTCAAATTCAACTTCCTTCAACTGCTCAATGCCCATTGTTCTTTGCCTCTCTACTACATTTATCTTGAAGAAAGTAGAACCAAGGAAAATAGTACTCCGCGCCTATCCATCTTGATAACTTAATGCTTCTCTATGCCTGCAGCATTGCACATTAACGTTTTGAGTAAAATCTATAGGTCGATAAATCTCCTGCTTGAAGCACAGTGCCAATCTCTCATGCACTGTAAGGTACCGTCTCTCCTCTAACCAAATTTTTAGACCCTAAATTGATTTTTTCCAGATGATCCTGTCACAATGTTGGATGACAGAAAACAAGCCATATGTTAGCTATGCTTACACACATCCTGATAAGCGTTAGCATGAACTACTACTTGATATATGACCACATTAATGTAAATATATCTTCGTTTTAAATCTATGGGCCATGGGATTGCTGAAAAAATAATTCTAACATTACATTATCCACAAAAGGAAAATAAACTACAAAGCAAAAATTTTCAGATTCTATAACACAGATAATAATATTTCTTGCCATTATTTTACATAAACATTACATAAAGTGCCTATCTAATTAGAGATTTGTACAGTATGACTACTTAAAATTACAAATATTTGCAGGAATATGTGTTCACATAAACAGCTGCATTAGCAATACAACCTAGGGGCAACTACTTAAACTCTCTGAGTTTCGATATGTTCTTTTACAGAATATACTAATGACACTTCCTAAGACCAAAAGAAGGTAATAGGTAAGTATTTGCTGTTTTCTTGCATCAGATATTATGTTCAGCACTTGAGAAATACTGTCTCAATTAATTTAAATTAAACATAATATTAACTAAATGAAGTAACAAAATGTATGGGCAGTTCTTAGAATACTGATTTTAAAAAGTACATGATAAATGCCAGTCTCCATTGTACTCCATCTTATTGGAAATATGACAAAAGTGTTGTATTTATGCACTTGTATTGGTGTCCACTTCAACACTTTAAGCTCAAAGGGCCCTAAACCATCCCAGTCACTGCTAGATAAAATGTGTTGGATTAGATTACCTTTACCTCCCATCAAGCTAATTGGCACCCATTTGTAATTACTGAGGAAAGAAATCATATCACACTACAAATCAAAAGTCTGTGCCACATGGCCTAATAGAGAAGAATTTAATATAAAAATTCCTAGTAATTTATCTTTGTTTCCCCATAATGGTTTGCTCCAATAAGAATGAAATATCACCACCAAAGTTGGTATGATTTTTGGGTGCCTTACATCTTTTAGAGGAATACTTAGATCTCATGGTCCAATATATTGAATCTATCAAAAAATACTAAGTGAAGTTGACCAAATTGACATGCTCCTTTAGTTCATGCTATGCAGTGTAACAGTGAACTGTATTACTTCCTTTTTTTACAGTACTGTAAACCCCTTATTCCTCATCCTGTATTTAATATGTTTCTTTATTTCCCTTTTTAAATGAAAAAAATAGTGGCGATATAAAAGCAATTTGTGGCAGTTTTCTATCTTAAGAGACATCAAGATATATAAGCAAATTCCAGAATTAGTAATATTTACAAAATTTCCCTGTGACAAATTGTCCAAAAATGTGTTGACTTGCTGTGAAAGTTGCTATTAAAACACACAGCAGGACCTGTCCACTTTAAGAGCCCCAAATGCAGTCTTGGAGCTCTGAGTGTACCTCACCATGGCCTGTAATATCTGCCCTAAGAGAAATAAAAGGAGTCAGAATGAATACCACCTTGTGGTAAATATCCTCTACCTATATTGTGAAAAAAAGCAGGGTTGAGATATGCTTACCCATATAAAACCTCGAGACAAAACATCACAAGCAGACAAATAAAACAATGTGGTTAATATATAAATATTATCAAATAATCCTAGAGTAGTCTCTAGACAGATTATAAATGTTCTGAAAGTTTTCCCTTAATTGTTAGCCATAAAAATGAGTGGTAGTCTACCAAAAGGTATAAATTCTAATTCTATCAGATTCTTAATAATATGTAGCTTCTAAAGATGTCTGTGCTGAGCTGCAGATTCCTTAAAGAGACATTCCCGTGCTTATAAAGCATTATAACAGTTCTTAGTAGGTAAGGTGTCTCCACCTTATTAGTACTAGAGTCAGTCAATAAAAAATTAAAATGATCCAATCATATTTTTCCTTGAGAGAAAGAATAACTTATACACGAACACAAGGTGTGTACCATGCCATGTACATATCATGTTTGCCGTGTATATCTTTAGCTTATTAGACATTTTCACATTCATGGGAAAATCAATATTTCTGTATATCCCTCTTCTATGAAAAAAAGACCAACATTTTCCATTTTTCTTCTATGTGCCATTTAAATAGAGAGAAAAGGAAAGCTTTGGTTTAAATATCATTGGGGAATAAGTAAATATGATATTATCTACCTCCAAAGAACTATTGTAATGATTCAAAAGAGGCATGGGAATAAACGGGATATTTTAATCTTTATTTCCACACTGCAGGTATTGACATGGACTCTTTTGTCTGTCCACACTGACACTAAGCTCTCAAGATTGCATCGTTAAGCATTATGATCTATGGGTCTTGTAAATGCCCAGCACTGTGGGTAAGTGCAAGCACTTTGAATTTCAACCTCATGTGTTTTCTTTATAGGTCTGTGGATATTGCCTCTGAGATCCAGTTATATTTCCCAGAATGACGGCATTCGGTGTAAATTCACTCAGTAGTCAGCGGGTTGCAATTGTTGGGAGTGGGGTTCTAAGAACTCACATAGAGAAAAATGAAGCTTCCTGTTCAGAGGTCCATGTGAGCAATAAGAAAGTCTTCTGGCTCCAGCTCAGGGTTCAGGGTTATTGTCCGCGACCATCAGGCAGTGGGCTGTAGCAACTTCAAGCATACAACAGTAACAAAGCAACAAAACAGCTCAAAGGAGATTTGCCTTGAGAGGGGTAGAATATGACCAGACAATGCGAAAACAGCATAGATTCTCTTCCAGCAACACTGACAATGCTCCTTTTCAACTAGAACAGAAGTAGGATGAGCACGTGTTCTCTCTTGCAATGTAGCTTGATTAAAAAAAAATCCAATTAGACAATAACTGTAGCTACTTGTTACTTTTATTGATATTTTAATTTTATTTATAACTCAAAAAAGTTAACATCAATGATAATATCATCCTTATCCCTTCCCCCAACTCAAATTTCATCGTATATTGACCTCCATATATAAACAAATAAATTTTTACGTAGCTGTAATAATAACAACTAAAAGAAAAAGCCAATAGTTGCTTTTATGTCAGGCAACATGAACAATAAGTATCTGTGTATGCTCCAGGCTTTATATATTGCCAATATAATTTCAAACTATTAGTCTGCTAATTTTTATAACTGTTAGGAATTCCAAAGCATAAATGTATCTTTAATGTCTAATATGAATATATGTCGCATTATGACCTCCATGAAAATACACAAGTTTTAACCCTGAAGAGGAAGTAATTGGATTTAAAGGCCGGCCCAAATACTCTCCAAAGGAATTCAACTGGGAAAGTGATGTAGCATCTCAAAGCCTCAATTTCTTTACTTTCAAAATGGGGATAAAATTGGTTTTATTTACAGCATTATTTATTTACTCCATAATTAATATTTACTTCATGGAAAATGCTGAGGAAATATTATCTGTACAGTACTTAAGAAATAAATACAATTTAAAAGAGCTGATGTGCTATTTCCACTACAAAATTGTGCTCTTATGGGATGCTGTGGGAAAATAAGCTGTTTCTTTTTCGTGAATATAGCACTATTGAAATTTATAAGGACTAACAGAGGTAGGCTTAGCTCTGTAAAATTACTTTCATTAATGTGCACTATTTTAAAGCATAACTCTATAAGAATGTGTTTTCAGTTTTTTGAATAAGCAACTTCAGAATAATTCACTTATTTTGAAAATAATTAAATGTGAAAGAAAAATATGCCTCTTCAATTAATTACAATTTTTCTACATTTCTCCCTATAGACTTCTTTCCAATTACTATGTCAAATAAATATATCCATTGATTTGACTGTTTGCTAACATAATGTGCTTCTCCTCGATAGCACCTTCTCTCTTTCTCTCTTACTCCTGAATTGTTTGAGCTGCCAAAAGATGAGTTCTTGGCATCACCCTTCACGACACTTAGAATTTCATAAACTTTGGCTGGGCAGGGTGGTTCATGCCTGTAATCCCAGCACTTTTGGAGGCCAAGGCGGGTGATCATCTAAGGTCAGGAGTTTGAGAACAGCCTGGTCGACATGGCAAAATGACATCTCTACTAAAAATACAAAAAACTAGCCGGGCGTATTGGCAGACGCCTGTAATCCCAGCTACTTGGGAGGCTGAGGGAGGAGATTTGCTTAAACCTAGGAGGTGGAGGTTGCAGTGAGCCGAGATCGTGCCATTGCAATCCAGCCTGGGCAACAGAGCGAGAATCGGTCTCAAAAAAAAAAAAAAAAAGAGAGAGAATTTTCTAGGCCTTACCTGTAATTGCAAACTGCAATTCAGAGTGCTATCGGAAAGTGTAATATAAAACGAAATATTGTTGAATATATAATAAGTAAATACATCAAAACAAATAATGTCTATAAATATTAGATTTAAGACAAAAGTAGGACATACCTCATTTATATTGAACAAAATTTGAAAAATTAAAATCCTTTGGAAACCTCTTTTTCTGTTTTTAAGTTCATCTCGTGAATTTATTGCAATACTATCTGGGGGACTTGTTATGACTTCTACATTATTTCACTAAATAAAATCTTTCCAAAGAACTCTATACATTAATCACAAATAGAGCATTTAAATTTTTAAACTTTTAAATGCTCTATTTGTGACTTTCAAGTCCAAGAATTCTATTTTATTTTATGCAAACAAAAATGAAAAAGCATGTGGAGGACAAGCATACACTATAACAGTTAATGATACATTTTACCCCATTTGTTACAATATCAATTTTATTTATTTTATTTGGCAGCATTAAGGAGAAATGGTGGAATGTTAATATCAAGTAGCAGAACACATTGTTTTTCAATTTTCTTGCTTCTTTGGAGCAGTCTACATAAATATAAATAACATGATCTTAAGTAATAGAATAAAGAATGATTCAAACATTTTATATGCCTACAGACTTTTAAGCTGTAAGCAAGAGTATAATCTTCAAAAGCTCTCTTACAGAAAGGAACACTGTCTTAACAATCAAATAATAAATTTGAATCTAATGTATATATTTAATTTGGCTTAAAATAAGTAATTACTAGGTAAACAATTAAGATAGCTATTATGGGAATATATACATATGCCTATTCAAAGTCACTGTCTTATCCAAAGCCAATAATGAACATGAATATAAGAATTATGTGTTTATAGACTTGATTCTATTGTTTTTACTATAATAGAAATATAGTGTTAGTGCTGTGCTACAAACTTCTTCTACCAAGAAACATCCTTTGTAGAAAACATACTTCATTCTGTCTATGAATTTTGACAAAATAGAGTCTCTTTAAAGAAACAGATTGTGAATAAATGGCATTATAATTGCACTAAAAATTATATACTTTTATATCAACACAGGCTATAGCAAAAAAATTAACTGGCTAATAGTATGAAAGTATTACTTAGGATTATAGACTTTAGGGCAAAGCCAGAATTGAACACTATGTCATTTCACAAAAATATTTGGTAATCTATTGAAAATTCAACATTTTTTCTGGTTAATAAAACAAAAATATATTGTCATTGAAAAAAATTCTTTTAGGAGGATTCAAAGATAATCACAATGAATCTTGACGTGATCTTGTCCTACATATGGTGATACTGATCCTAGAGTTTAGCTTTTCTTCCTTCCCTTTCTTCCTTCTTCTTTTCTACCTTTCTTCCTGCCTGACTTTTCTCTGGCTTTCTTTTTCTCTCCTTCCATCTGTCCTCCCACCTTATAGTCTCCTGCTGTCTGTCTGCCTGTCTCTCCTGGTTATTTACTTGTCCTGTATTTCACACTTGCCTGTCTATTCCCTCTATTTCTAGAATTGGGAAACTGCACGGTGTATTTCATTGCCAGATGATTGATGGCGTATGTATTACTGCATTTTCACACTGATATAAAGAACTGCCCAAGACTGGTTAATTTTTGAAGGAAAGAGGTTCGATTGATTCACATAGTTCAGCATGGCTGGGGAGGCCTCAGGAAACTTACAATCATAGTGGAAAGTGAAGGGGAAGCAAAACACCTTCTTCACAATGCGACAGGAAGGAGAATGAAAGCAGGAGGAACTGTCAAACACAAAAAAAATTAGATCTCATGAGAACTCATTCACTATCACAAGAACAGCATGGGGGGAAACTGCCTCAATGATTCAGTTACATCCACCTGGTCTTCCCCTTGACATATGGGGATTATGAGGATTATGGGAATAACAATTGTATTAGTCTATTTTCATACTGTAAAGACATACCCAAGACTGGGAAGAAAAAGAGGTTTAATTGGACTTACAGTTCCACATGGCTGGGAAGGCTTCAGAAACATGGTGGGAGGTGAAAGGCACTTCTTTCATGGCAGCAGCAAGAGAAAATGAGGAAGAAGCAAAAGCAGAAACCCCGATAAACCTATAAGATCTCATAAGACTTATTCACTATCATGAGAATAGCATGGGAAAGACCGGCCCCTATGATTTAATTACCTACCCCTAAGTCTCTCCCACAATATATGGGAATTCTGGAAGATACAATTCAAGTGGAGTTTTGGGTGGGGACACAGCAAACCATATCATTCCACCCCTGGCCCCTCCAAATCTCCTGTCCTCACATTTCAAAATCAATCATCCCTTCCCAACAGTCCCCAAAACTCTTCACTCATTTCAGCATTAACCCAGAAGTTCACAGTCCAAAGTCTCATCCAAGACAAGGAAAGTCCCTTCTGCCTATGAGCTGGTAAAATCAAAAGCAAGTGAGTTACTTCCTAGATACAATGGGAGTACAGGTATTGGGTATATACAGCCATTCCAAATCGGAGAAACTGATCAAAACAAAGGGGTTATAGGGCCCATGAAAGTGTGAAATCCAGCAGGGCAGTCAAATTTTAAAGCTCCAAAATGATCTGCCTTGACTCCAGGTCTCACATCCATGTCACGCTATGCAAGAGATGGGTTCCTATGGTCTTGGGCAGCTCCACCCCTGTGGTTTTGCAGGGTACAGCCTCCATCCCAGCTGCCTTCATGGGCTGGCATTTAGTGCCTGTGGTTTTTCCAGGTGATGGTGCAAGCTGTTGGTGGATCTACCATTCTGGGGTCTGGAGGATGGTGGCTGTCTTCTCATAGCTCCACTAGGCAGTGCCCAAGTAGGGACTCTGTGTGGGGGCTCTGACCCCACATTTCCCTTCCACACTGCCCTCACAGTTCTCCATGAGGGCCCCATCCCTGCAGCAAACTTTTGCCTGGACATCCAAGCATTTCCATACATCTTCTGACATCTAGGTGGAGACTCCTAAACCTCCATTCTTGACTTCTGTGTACCCCCAGGCTTAACATCACGTGGAAGCTGCCAGGGCTTGAGACTTCTACCCTCTGAAGTCACAGCTTGAGCTGTACTTTGGCCTCTGTCAGCCAAGGCTGGAGCAGCTGAGACACAAGGCACCAAGTTCCTAGGCTGCAAACAGCATGGGGATCCTCAGTCCAGCCCATGAAACCACTTTTTCCTCCTGGGCCTCTGGGCATGTGATGACAGCAGCTGCTGTGAAGGTCTCTGAAATGGCCGGGAGACATTTTGTCCATGGTCCTGGAGATTAACATTAGGCTCCTTGCTACTTGTGCAAATTTCTGCAGCTGGCTTGAATTTCTCCCCGGAAAATGTTTTTTTTTTTTTTTCTATTGCATAGTCAGGATGCAAATTTTCCAAACGTTGTCCTCTGTTTCCCTTATAAAACTGAATGCCTTTAATAGCACCCAAGTCACCTCTTGAACACTTTGCTGCTTAGAAATTTCTTCTGCCAGTACCTAAATCATCTCTCTCAAGTTCAAAGTTCCACAAATCTCTGGGGCAGGGACAAAATGCCACCAGTCTGTTTGCTAAAACATAACAAGAGTCACCTTTGCTCCAGTTCCCAACAAGTTTCTCATCTCCATCTGAAACCACCTGAATTTCAACCTGGATTTCATTGTCCATATCACAGAATTTTGTTCAAAGCCATTCTACAAGTCTCTAGGAAGTTCCAAACATTCCCACATTTTCCTGTCTTCTTCTAAGCCCCTCAAACTGTTCCAGCCTCTACCTGTTACCCAGTTCCAATATCACTTCCACATTTTCGGGTATGTTTTCAGCAGTACCCAACTCTACTGGTAACAATTTACTGTGTTAGTTCATTTTTATGCTGCCAATAAAGACATGCCTGAGACTGGAAAGACAAAGAGGTTTAATTAGACTTACACTTACACATGGCTGGGAAGTCCTCAGAATCATGGCAGGAGGCGAAAGGCACTCCTTACATGGCAATTGCAAGAGAAAATGAGGAAGAAGCAAAAGCATAAACCTCTGATAAGCCTATCAGATTTTGTGAGACTTATTCACTATCACAAAATTAGCATGGGAAGACCGGCCCCGATGATTCAATTATCTCCTCCTGGGTCCCTCCCACAACATGCCAGGATTCTGGGAGATAAAATTCAAGCTGAGATTTGGGTAGGGACACAGCCAAACCATATCAACAATTCAAGATGAAATTTTGCATGGAACACAGCCAAACCATAGTAGCTTCCTACTAACTCCTGACAACAAGAAGCACTGGCAAAAGATCAAATGGCAAAAGGAAGAGAGGAGATACAATCTTCTGGTTCTGATATGTGACCTTTGCCACCAATACCAGGAATCTGCTAACATTATAACTTGAGGGGCTGGGGATGGGGTGGGGAGAGAAGAGAGGAGACATCTGGCCTTTGGGTGGTTCAAGTTTTGGCTGAAGTTGCACCACTTCAGGGGATCCAAAACCAATCACAATAACATCTCCAACATTACAGCCATAGATGTAGCTTTGTAGCCCTCATCACAGGAGCATCTGCAGTTTCTCACCACTGGCCTCACCATTTTCTCCTGTCTGATATTCCAGGCCCCCCACCTGGTCTACCCCATCCCTCTCCCTTCATCTTTTCTATCCTTATACCACTTTGTAAACAGTTACCTGTAATAAACTGGTTTTCTTTGAAATGTCTAGACTTGTTTCTGTTTCACTCATGTTGCCTATTTGTCTATCTGTGTCTATCCTTCTGTCTATCTATCTATTTATTCATCCCTCTATCCATCTATTCACCTCTTTATCATCACTTAGTCCATCACATCTGTCTTCCTTTTATCTGTATATTATCTCATGCATCATAGAAATACATAAATATGGTGTGTACAATGTTTTATAAATGTTTATGTTCATATGACAACATATTGTGGATATCTTTACATGTCAACCTCTATAAAATACATTTATGATATGCATTTTAAGTAATTTATTTGACCAATCTTTTAGCTGTTTCCAAGGTTTCTCTTATTATAGATAATATCACAGTTGTATAGGTAATTTTTGCACACATAGTTATTTATTGCTAATATCCTAGAGCAGAAATTATTGTGTCAACATTGACATATTTTTCTACAAAGGATTACATCATAGTTACACTTCTCCCTGTAGTAAATTACAGTGACTGTTTCTCTCAAACTCTGGTCTCAAATATTTTTTATATTGTATTCTGAGAGTTGTATTGGTAAAAATTTTATTGTTTTGATCTCCAATGAGGCAGACTATATCCATCATTTATATTTCTTTTTTTTTAATTGCCTAGGATGATTATTGCTCACTATTTTACTAGAATATTTATTTTTCTTATTTAAACTTTTAAATTTATCTCTAAATAAGGCTAGTGCACATTACAAGAGTTATTTTAGGTATAAATTTTAAACTATTATGTATTTACATTCACCTTTCTTTTTATAATGATTTTGCCTCTTCTTATCAGACTCAAAAGACCTTTTCTAATACACATCTGCAGAGACCTACAAATATATTTTATTCTCATTAATACCACCGTTAATCTGTTCTACTAAAGTCAGAAGTAATGAGTTCATGTTTGAAAAATTCCCTCTCCTTATATATCAAGTTGTGTTGATTCTACTTCCAAAATGTTTCCCAAACCCACTTGTATAACAAGTCAATGGCCATCACCCTCCTCCACACTATATTCTAGCCCTAGAAATTATGCAATTGCCTTCAAGCTGGTCTTTCCAGTTTCACTCTTACTTTCAAAATCCATTATCCACATTCTGAGTAATTATTTTACAAATATAAATGGAATTAATGTCTCCTGCCTGAAACCCTGTAAGTGTTCACCTTTTCTTAGAATTAAACCTAAACCCTTCCTATGTTTGGCCTGGGCTTCCAACATCTCCAAGCTCATTGGATAACACAGGCATCAGTCATTAACTTCATATCACAATGGCTGTATTAGTTTGGTCTCATGCTACTATGAAGAAATACCTGAGACTGAGTAATTTATAAAGAAAAGAGATTCAATCGACTCACAATTCCACATGACTGGGGATGCCTCGGAAAACCTATAATCATAGGGGAAGGCACCTCTTCACAGGGTGGCAGGAAAGAAGTGCAGAGTGAAGCAGGGAAAAGCCTCTTATAAAACCATCAGATGTCGTGAGAACTCACTCACTATCATGAGAACAGCATGGGGGATCTGCCCCTCACATATGTCCTCACATTTCAAAACACAATCATGTCCTTCCAACAGTCCCCCAAAGTCTTATCTCATTCCAGGATTAACCCAAAAGTCCAAGTTCAAAGTTTCATTTGACACACGGCAAGTCCCTTCTGCCTATGAGCCTGTAAGATCAAAAACAAGTTAGTTCCTTCTTAGATATAATGGGAATACAGGCATTGGTTATACATCCATTCTAAATGGGAGAACTTGGCCAAAACAAAGGGGCTAAAAGCCCCATGCAAGTCCAAAATCCAATAGGGCATTTATTAAACTTTAAAGTCACAAAACGATCTCCTTTGACTCCATGTCTCACTCCAGGTCATGCTGATGTAAGAGGTGGACTCCGATGGCCTTGGGTAGCTCTGTCCCTATGGCTAGGCAGGGTACAGTCCCCCTCCCAGGTGCTTCCATGGCTGGTGCTGAGTGTCTGTGACTTTTCCAGACACATGTTGCAAGTTGTCTGTGGATCTACCATTGTGGGGTCTGTCTGGAGGATAGTGGACCTATTCTTACATCTCCACTAGGCAGTGCCCCAGTGGGGACTCTGTGTGGGGGCTCAGACCCCCCATTTCCTCTTCTGTACTGCCTTAGCAAAGTTCTCCATGAGGGCTCTGCTCCTGTAGCCGACATCTGCATGGACATCCAGGCATTTTTCTAGATCCTCTGAAATCTAGATGGAGGTTCCCAAACCTCAATTCTTGACTTCTGTGCACCCACAGGCTCAAAACCAGATGGAAGCCACCATGGCCTGAGGCTTGCACACTCTGAAGCAATGGCCTGAACTATATCTTGGACCCTTTTAGCCATGGCTGGAGTGGCTGGGATGCAGGGCACCAAGTCCCAAGGCTGGACACAGCAGAGGGGACCTGGACCAGCCCAGGAAACCATTATTTCTTCTAGGCCTCCGGGCCTTTGATGGGAGGGGCTGCTGCAAAGGTCTTTGATGTGCCTTGGGGACATTTTCCCCATTGTCTTGGAGATTAACATTCAGCTCCCTTGTTATTTATGCAAATTTCTGCAGAAGGCTTGAATATCTCCCCAGAAAATGTGTTTTTCTTTTCTATTACATCATCAGGCTGCATATTTTCCAACCTTTTATACTCTACTTCCTCTTGAATGCTTTGCTGTTTATAAATTTATTCTGCAAGATACCCTAAATCACCTCTCTCAAGTTCAAGTTTCCACAGATCTCTAGAGCAGGGGCAAAATACTGCCCGTCCCTTCGCTAAAGCATAGCAAGAGTCACCTTTGTTCCAGTTCCCAACAATTTCCTCATCTCCATGCGAGACCATCTCAGCCTGGACTTCATTGTCTACATCACTATCAGTACTTTGGTAAAGTTATTCAACAAGCCTCTAGGAAGTTCCAAACATTCCCGTATCTTCTTCTCTTCTGAGCCCTTCAAGTCTCTAGGAAGTTCCTAACTTTCCCACATTTTCCTGTCTTCTTCTTAGTCCTCCAAACTGTTCCAATCTCTGCCTGTGACCCAGTTCCAAACTTGCTTCTACATTTTTGGGTATCCTTATAGCAGTGTCCCACTCTCTCAGTACCAATTTGCTGTATTAGTCCATTATCAGACTGCTATGAAGAAATGCCTGACACTGGGTAATTTATAAATAAAATAAGTTTAATTGAATCACAGTTCTGCATGGCTTAGGAGCCCTCAGGAAACGTACAATCATGGCAGAAGGCACCTCTTCACAGTGTGGTAGGAGAAAGAAGTGCATAGCAAAGTGGGGGAAAGCCCCTTATAAAACCATCAGATCTCTTGAGAACTCACAATTTTGAGAACATCATGGGGGAACTGCCCCCATGACCTAATCACCTCCCACGAGGTCCCTCCCTCAACACCTGGAGTTACAATTTAGATTACAATTCAACATGAGATCTGGATAGGGGCCCAGAGCCAGAACATATCACTGGCTTACTTCTGTTACTTCCCAGAAAACACTAGTCTCTTTGTCACATTAAGACTCCTCTTTAGTTATTCCTTTTCCTGTTAATATTCTTCTCCAGCTTCTCACAATCTAAACTTCTCCTTTTCAGCTTAACCTGTAAGACCTGCCAGCTTTTCTCTATTACATAAGCCCTTTAATTTCCTTAATAAAAACTTGATTCATTTACTCTTTCTTTTATGTGTGTACTATTTATCTTCCTCATAAGACTGTAAGTAGATTGTATGATCTTTGAGGGTAGAAATTCAAACTATGTTGTTCACTATGGTATTGTAATCTTATCATAGTGCCTGTCATAAAGTAGATGATAAGTAAATGAGTATTTGCCTAAAGAAGGAGAAAAAAATGAGTGAATCTAAATTTTTCAAATGAAGAAATTGAAGCCTAGAGAATTAAAATTTTGTCTTCGTAATGTTAAGCCATTGTTTTCTCATTAACTTAATATATATGTGTGTTTTAAACATGTCTGTTATTATTGCAAAGAAAGTATATGTTCCCCATAGCTTCAGAAGGCAAATTTTTTTAAATCTAGATATCACATAAGGGCCCTGTCAATTGTATTCAGATATAGTAAGTTAGAATCTCTTCTCATATATGGTCTTATAAGTTACATTGATGACTTCAAGCTTCACACTAAGGATGACAAGTCACCCAGTTGTTTTGTTGGAAAACAATGTGATTGGATATGCTCAAATGAAAATATACTTTTATCTTGTGGGACATTGGACTAGATGACCTCTGAGATTTAGCCAAAACTATGGTCCATGATTATGTGACTTTAACTTTTAAATGTTCAGTTAATATTATTTTAATATTCAACTTGGGGAAATTAACAACAATGATTGTGTTTCTGTTTTCTGATAGAATACTCTGTTTGCAGGCAAATAGCATAAGTCCCAAATGGGGTCTTTGAAACTGTGTCATGTTTTTAAAACTTGTATTAGCATGTCTAAAATACAGCAAGTTTCTCACAAAGACTTTGACAGACTCATTTGAAATTCTAATCCATGAAACATATTGCACCATGTGATAGGGAAGTGTACCATATATTTTTGCCCATTTTTTAGAACATGTGTGTAAAAATATATCACGTATAAAATTTAGTATGTCTATTGCATATTAGATTGTATACAAAGAAAAGCAATAAAATATGCAAAAGTATGCAGAAGATTTTACTTAAATAATGAACTGAACTCTTTCCTCTTCTAGATCTTGGTGTGGATGGCTTTTGTGTGTGTATCACCAACGGCTTCTCATCTCAGAAGTCTTTGGCACTCTCATCCAAGAATGATCCTACTCTCCATAGGTCACCCTCTATCATATTATTCATTTTTATTATGTTTATGAAACTATTTTCTACTTCAAGATATTTGTTTATCTTTCTCCCCTTGTAGCATGTAAATTCAATGAGAGCATTGACTTCATCTGTTGTTTCCATTATATAATCCTAATACTTAAAGTTGTTCTTCCTGATTCACAAGAATATATTGGTGAACAAATGAAAGACCAAATCAACAGTTATGTTAAGTTATAAAATCTCATTTCAAATCTTACTTTTGCCACTTATTAGTTATAAGGCTTTGATCAAACCACTTAACCACCCTAGGCCTGGGGATTCCCACTTAACTTAAAGCAAAATTCCTTCACAGTATTGTTTTAGTGCTAAAATAAAATAATACATATAAAAATACATGTCAAACAGTAACAAATAAAATTTAAGAAATCATGACTGATATCTTACTGAAGAAAAATCATTTACTATTAAGAAAATTTCTGAAATAATTTGAAACAAATTAAGTAAATAATTATTCAAATCACACATAAACAAAGTGTATAGAAAAATTAATTCAAATGTATTCTGCCATTCACATTTCACTGTTTCACAATGGGGCTGAGCATCTCCACTGACAAAATAAACATAAACTAGGATATTCAAGCCTAAAATTGAAATTGGCACCTGGGGACAATGATATCATTGATATATGTCATTTTTCCATTCTTTATTTAATTATTATTATTTTTTAAATTATACTTTAAGTTCTAGGGTACATGTGCACAATGTGCAGTTTTGTTACATGGGTATACATGTGCCATGTTGGTTTGCTGCACCCATCAACCCACCATTTACATAGGTATTTCTCCTAATGCTATCCCTCTCCCAGTCCCCCACCCCGCAACAGGCTCCAGTGTGTGATGTTCCCCGCCCTGTTTCCAAGTGTTCTCATTGCTCAACTCCCACCTATGAGTGAGAACATGCAGTGTTTGGTTTTCTGTCCTTGTGATAGTTTGCTGAGAATGATGGTTTCCAGTTTTATCCATGTCCCTGCAAATGACATTAATTCATCGTTTTTTATGGCTGCATAGTAATCCATGGTGTATATGTGCCACATTTTCTTAATCCAGTCTATCATTGATGGACATTTGGCTTGGTTCCAAGTCTTTGCTATTGTGTATACTGCCGCAATAAACCTAAGTGTGCATGTGTCTTTATAGTAGCATGATTTACAATCCTTTGGGTATATACCCAGTAATGGTATTGCTGGGTAAAAGGGTATTTCTGGTTCTAGATCCTTAAAGAATCACCACACTGTCTTCCACAATGGTTGAAATAATTTACACTCCCACCAACAGTCTAAAAGTGTTCCTATTTCTCCAATTCCTCTCCAACATCTGTTGTTTCTTGACTTTTTAATGATCGTCATCCTAACTGGTATGACATGGTATCTCATTGTGGTTTTGATTTGCATTTCTCTGATGAAGAGTGATGATGAGCATTTTTTCATGTGTCTGTTGGCTGCATGCATGTCTCCTTTTGAGAAGTGTCTGTTCATATCCTTTGCCCATTTTTTGATGGAGTTGTTTTTCTCTTATAAATTTGTTTAAGTTTTTTGTAGATTCTGGATATTAGCCTTTGTCAGAGGGGTAGATTGCAAAAATTTTCTCCCATTCTGTAGGTTGCCTGTTCACTCTGATGGTAGTTTCTTTTGCTGTGCAGAAGCTCTTTAGTGTAATTAGATACCATTGGTCTATTTTGGCTTTTGTTGCCATTGCTTTTGGTGTTTTAGTCATGAAGTCTTTGCCCATGTCTATGTCCTGAATGGTATTGCCTAGGATTTCTTCTAGGGTTTTTATGGTTTTAGGTATAATATTTAAGTCTTCAATACATCTTGAATTAATTTTTGTATAAGGTGTAAGGAAGGGATCCAGTTTCAGCTTTCTACTTATGGCTAGCCAGTTTTCCCAGCACCATTTATTAAATAGGGAATCCTTTCCCCATTTCCTGTTTTTGCCAGGTATGTTAAAGATCAGATGGTTGTAGATGTGTGGCATTATTTCTGAGGCCTCTGTTCTGTTCCATTGATCTATATCTCTGTTTTAGTACCAGTACCATGCTGTTTTGGTTACTGTAGCCTTGTAGTATAGTTTAAAGTCAGATAGTGTGATGCCTCCAGCTTTGATCTTTTTGCTTAGGATTGTCTTGGCTATGCAGGGTCTTTTTTGGTTCCATATGAACTTTAAAGTAGTTTTCCCAATTCTGTGAAGAAAGTCATTGGTAGCTTGATGGGGATGGCATTGAATCTATAAATTACCTTGACCTGTATAGCCATTTTCACAATATTGATTCTTCCTATCCATGAGCATGGAATATTCTTCCATTTGTTTGTGTCCTCTTTTATTTTGTTGAGCAGTGGTTTGTAGTTCTCCTTGAAGAGGTCCTTCACATCCCTTGGAAGTTGGATTCCTAGGTACTTTATTCACTTTGTAGCAATTGTGAATGGGAGTTCACTCATGATTTGGCTCTCTGTTTGTCTGTTATTGATGTATAGGAATGGTTGTGATTTTTGCACATTGATTTTGTATCCTGAGATTTTGCTGAAGTTGCTTATCAGCTTAAGGAGATTTTGGGCTGAGACAATGGGGTTTTCTAAATATACAATCATGTCATCTGCAAACAGGGACAATTTGACTTCCTCTTTTCCTAATTAAATACCCTTTATTTCTTTCTCTGGCCTCATTGCCCTTGCCAGAACTAACAACATTATGTTGAATAGTGGTAGAGAGGGCATACTTGTCTTTTGCCAGTTTTCAAAGGGAATGCTTCCAGTTTTTGCACATTCAGTATGATATTAGCTGTGGGTTTGTCATAAATAACGCTTATTATTTTGAGATATGTTCCATCGATACCTAGTTTATTGAGAGTTTTTAGCATTAATGGCTATTGAATTTTGTCGAAGGCCTTTTCTGCATCTATTGAGATAATCATGTGGTTTTTGTCATTGGTTCTGTGTAGGGGTGGGTTGCCCCTCCACACCTGTGGGTGTTTCTCGTAAGGTGGAATGAGAGACTTAGGAAAGAAAAAGACACAGAGACAAAGTATAGAGAAAGAAATAAGGGGATCCGGGGAACCAGCGTTCAGCATATGGAGGATCCCGCCAGCCTCTGAGTTCCCTTAGTATTTATTGATCATTCGTGGGTGTTTCTCAAAGAGGGGGATGTGTCAGGGTCACAAGACAATTGTGGGGAGAGGGTCAGCAGACAAACACGTGAACAAAGGTCTTTGCATCATAGACAATGTAAAGGATTAAGTGCTGTGCTTTTAGATATGCATACACATAAACATCTCAATGCTTTACAAAGCAGTATTGCTGCCCGCAGGTCCCACCTCCAGCCCTAAGGCGGTTTTTCCCTATCTCAGTAGATGGAGCATACAATCGGGTTTTATAACGAGACATTCCATTGCCCAGGGACAGGCAGGAGACAGATGCCTTCCTCTTGTCTCAACTGCAAGAGGCATGCCTTCCTCTTATACTAATCCTCCTCAGCACAGACCCTTTACGGGTGTCGGGCTGGGGGACGGTCAGGTCTTTCCCTTCCCACGAGGCCATATTTCAGACTATCACATGGGGAGAAACCTTGGACAATACCTGGCTTTCCTAGGCAGAGGTCCCTGCAGCCTTCCGCAGTTTTTGTGTCCCTGGGTACTTGAGATGAGGGAGTGGTGATGACTCTTAAGGAGCATGCTGCCTTCAAGCATCTGTTTAACAAAGCACATCTTGCACCGCCCTTAATCCATTCATCTCTGAGTTGACACAGCACATGTTTCAGAGAGCATGGGGTTGGGGGTAAGGTCACAGAATCTCAAGGCAGAAGAATTTTTCTTAGTACATAACAAAATGGAGTCTCCTATGTCTACTTCTTTCTACACAGACACAGCAACAATCTGATCGCTCTTGCTTTTCCCCACATTTCCCCCTTTTCTTTTCGACAAAACCACCATCGTAATCATGGCCCGTTCTCGATGGTCGCTGTCTCTTTGGAGCTGTTGGTTACACCTGCAGACTAACAACAGACAAAACAGGCACACAAGGATTAATATGAGATTTATAATTGTAGTACTTCCGATGGTCTTAACCCAAGTGACAGGGTTAAGATTTGCGAGGCCATCAGCAACTCCTGCAATTGCCTCAGTTCCTGGCACCAAATTTAAATGGGTTTTTGATGCTTCGAAAATTTGTTCTTTTAACTTGGAAATGTCTAAAGTGAGATTATCTTCTCTTCCCTGTAGATGCCGTCTAACCATGTCCCAGTGATGCTCAGACTCATTATAAATTTGGGGTGTAATACAAAAGTCTGACATATTCCAGTCACACTGTAACTGGAAACGATGTTCTAAGCTCATGAGTCTGTCTCCCATCCAAATGACAGTTTGTCTAAGATCATTAATTTGATTTGCCAATTTTTGATCAATACTAGATTGTGAATTCCACAATCTTGTAGAATTTTTTTGCCAATCATTAACAAAGTTTACCGACTGAACAGAAGAGTGCAATGCAACTCCTGCTACAGCAGCCATAGCTGTGACTGCAATTAATCCCATAATCACTGCAATTAAAGTAAAAATGAATCTTTTGGATCTATTTAAAACACCTTTTAATACTTCAGTCAAAATATGGATGGATGGCGAGGCCTCCCACGGTCGGTCCATGGACACAGGGATCCACACGCCCTCTCTTGCTCTCACCAGCAGAATACGGTGTTGCCAATTAAAAGTTGAATCAATGCAAGTAAGCAATCTACAATTTTCACAGGTTATAGTCTGGGAGTCTGGTTTAATAGCTATATTTCCTACAACTAGCATATAAGGGGGCTTTACGCAACTTTGTAAAGGAACCGTTAGACTGGAATTTAGGTCGATAGTATAAAATGGCTTATGATCTCTTGTTTCTAAAGTCTGATTTCCAGACCAAATTCTAATGTGGTGTGAGGCCACAGTAAGCCTCCATAATTCTGGATGTTCAGGACCAGAAACAGGACTTATTATTTTTGGTCTTGGGGTAGAGATTCCTTTTTCTCCCCATTCCCAAGGGTAGAAAGACTGCAATTTTTTATGCTTATGTTTGTCTAAACTTTCTGTTAAGTCGCTATCAACAGCTGGACTCACTTGTGCACTTGGACACGACTGAGTTCATCCTGAGCAATTGTGGTAGAATTGACCTCGAGGTGCCCAATCTATAATAGTTCCAAATTCATTGTTTTGTAATATCACTGCACTATTGGCCACACATTCTTCCCAAACTAAAACTTCTGTATTTTTTGATTCTTTGGGAATTTCCTTGGGGCAAGGTTTCCCTTTAGGTCTAAATTTTAATGATCTTTGATAAGAAAAGTCTTGTAAATAATTTACCCGTGGCCTGAGTGACATCCCGCTTACCATGTGATAAGTGAATCTACTGATGGGACTGACAGTAGGTACTTCTACCAACCAATTTTGGACTGCAGGCATTAAACATCCTGGTGCTCTCCCTAGGCAAATAGGAGGATAACGATACCCAGTGGAAATATTTATCATCATCCCTTCTTCCTCAGGTTTGGCAGGGCAGCGATCATCTGTGGGGCCAGGAACCCATACACTATCATTAACATATACTTCTATAGGATTATCCATCCATGTGACTGCCCAAATTAAGGGCGGGAAAGGCACATAGGCCCAGTAGGTATAGTTAGCTGCAGCTGCTCCTGCAGGCATAGGGAGACTTACCACCATTGATACAATCATCAAGGCTGCAAGCAGCATACTCTCTGGGGTTTGTGTCACCTTTGTGTTCTCTAGACATTTTGTAGCTAACTGCGTCAGCTTCTTTAGTTGTGCCCAAGTCAGCGGCTCTGCCTTCTTGGTGGATGGCAACTTCATCTCTTCTTCTGACGTCACCATTTTGTTCATCTTGTGAGTCAACGGTGCTCGATTGCAGTGTCTCCGTCTCCGCGGAGGTGCTTTTCTTTGCATCTCCGATGGGTTCATTGTAGAACTTCAAATGTCTAGTGGGTATCCAAACAGGAAGCTGATTTTCTCCTGGTGAAACACAAGCAAAACCTCTCCCCCACGTTATCACCTTCCCTATTTCCCATGTCTTATTTTTATTATCTTTCCACCAAATTAGTTTTCCTTCATGTGGGCTGTTCTTTTAACCAGTAAGATGTTGTTCTGCAGAAGTAGTAGTCTGATTTCTATAAATGTTTAAAAAATTTAAAGTATAGAGTGCTAGATTAAGTTGCATCTGAGGAGTGGTACACTCCTTACTGTCTCCCCCTTCTTTTTGTTTAACTGAGTGTTGAGTGTTCTATTAGTTCTTTCAACTATGGCCTGTCCTTGGGAATTATAAGGAATTCCTGTTGTATGTGAAATTTTCCACTGACTTAAGAATTTTTGGAAAGCTTTACTACAATATCCTGGTCCATTGTCAGTTTTGATTTTTTCTGGAACTCCCATTACAGCAAAACAAGACAATAAATGTTTTTTAACATGGGAAGTACTTTCTCCTGTTTGGCAAGTTGCCCATATGAAATGTGAATAAGTATCAACTGTTACATGAACATATGATAATCTTCCAAATGAAGGTACATGCGTGACATCCACTTGCCATAATGCATTAGGACACAGACCTCTGGGATTAACTCCTGCCTCTTGAGTGGGCAGGTGTAAGACTTGACACTGGGTGCAATGTTGTACAATATCTTTTGCCTGTTTCCATGTGACATCAAATTTGTTTTTTAATCCTGCTGCATTTACATGAGTCAAAGCATGAAGTTCTTGTGCTTTTATGAATGCAGATGATACCAGTAAGTCAGCTTGTTCATTTGCTTTAGTCAAAGGCCCTGGTAAATTAGTGTGTGCTCGAATATGAGTAATATAAAATGGGAAATTTCTTTTTCTTACAGTTTGTTGTAATAAATTGAATAGCTGGTTTAACTGATCATCCATGCTATATTTAATTAGAGCTGTCTCAACATCCCTTGTAGCCTGTACTACATATGCAGAATCTGATATAATATTGATAGGTTGGTCAAAATCTTGTAACACTTTAATGACTGCAACCAACTCTGCTCTTTGAGCTGATTGATATGGAGTTTTGATTACTCATTCTTTCGGCCCTGTGTAAGCTGCTTTTCCATTGCTGGAACCATCAGTAAATATTGTTAGAGCATTTTCTAAAGGTTCATGTCTGGTAATTTTAGGTAGAATCCAAGTAGTCAATTTTAAGAACTGGAAGATCTTTGTTTTTGGGTAATGATTATCAATAATTCCCACAAAATTAGCAAGACCAATCTGCCATGCACCAGAATTGATAAAGGCTTGTCTAACTTGTTCCTTGGTTAAAGGGACAACTATTTTGTCTGGGTCATTTCCACATAATTTTATTATTCGTAATCTTGTCTGACCAATTAATGTAGCTATTTGATCCAAGTACAATGTAAAAGTCTTAACTGTACTGTGAGGAAGGAATGACCACTCCACAAGATCAGTATTTTGAATAATGATGCCTGTTGGAGAATGTGCAGTGGCAAAAATCAAAAGTTGGAGTGGGGCTAAGGGATCTATTCTATTTATTTGCACTGACTGAATTTTTTCTTCCACTAATTTAATTTCTTTTGTTGCCTCTGGGGTTAACATTCTTTTACTATTTAAGTCTGAGTCTCCTCTTAAGATAGAGAACAAATTTGACATGGCATAAGTAGGAATGCCTAGAGTTGGCCGAATCCAATTAATATCTCCCAGCAATTTTTGAAAATCATTTAGTGTTTTTAATGTGTATTTTCTTATTTCTATTTTTTGTGGCTTAATTTTTCTATTTTCTATCTGCATCCCTAAATAATGAAAAGGAGTAGAGGTTTGGATCTTATCAGATGCTATTGCCAGTCCTGCGTTGGCAACCTCTGCTTGCAGAAATGTATAACAGTCAATTAATTTATCTTTCGTTTCTGCAGCACATAAAATATCATCAATATAATGAATAATATAACAGTCTGAAAACTTGTCTCTAACTGGTTGAAGAGCTCGACCTACAAAAGTCTGACAAATAGTTGGACTATTAAGCATTCCCTGAGGTAACACTTTCCACTGAAACCTGGTGGCTGGTTCTTTATTATTTATGGCTAGTATAGTAAAGGCAAATTTTTCGCAATCCTGCTCCGCCAGAGGGATGGTAAAAAAGCAATCCTTTAGATCAATTATAATTAAAGGCCAATCTTTTGGGATCATGGCCGGAGAGGGCAACCCAGATTGGAGAGGCCCCATGGGTTGAATTATGGCGTTTACGGCCCTTAAGTCAGTTAACATACGCCATTTGCCTGATTTCTTCTGAATCACAAACACAGGAGAATTCCAAGGCGAGAATGAAGGCTCAATATGACCCTTTTCTAACTGTTCATTTGCTAATAAATGTAAAGCCTCCAGTTTTTGTTTTGGTAGCGGCCACTGATTTACCCACACCGGTTTTTCTGTTTTCCAAGTTAATGGTATGGGTTTAGGAGGCTCTACAGTGGCCGCCCCTAAAAAGGATACCCTATTCCTTCTCTTTTTTGATTTATTTTAGCCTCAACTGGAACTTTAATGCCATCTTCATTTTTCCCTAGTCCCTTTCCTGGTATATATCCCATCTTGGTCATGATTTTTTGACTCGTGGGGCTATATAATGGAGCGGGCATGGTGATTTCCACACCCCATTGTTGTAATAAATCTTGACCCCACAGATTAAGAGGAATTGAAGTAATCATTGGCTGAACAGTACTTTCTTGATTATCTGGCCCTAAGCAATGTAAAATCTCAGTACTTTGATACACTTCTGAGGCTGTGCCTATGCCGACAAGTCCTGTAACAGCCTTTTGTTTAGGCCAATTTTTTGGCCACTGATTTAAAGCAATGATAGAGACATCTGCTTCAGTGTCTACCAACCCTTCAAACTGTTTTCCTTGAATAATGGCCTTACACACAGGTCTGTTCTCTGAGACCTGACTTGCCCAATATGCAGCCTTTCCTGTCGGATCAGTGCTTCCAAACTCTCCTATTCTTTTTATTTCACTATTTCCACCCTTAATGTATGGCAGGAGTAATAATTGAGCAATCCTGTCTCCTGGACTGGCACTCCAAGGAACTGAAGAGCTAATAACCAATTGAATTTCACCTTTATAGTCTGTATCTACCACACTAGTATGAATTTGAACTCCTTTTAGATTTAGACTTGATCTTCCCAAGATTAGTCCTACAGTCCCCTCAGGCAGTGGGCCATATACCCCTGTGGGGATTTTTTGTGGGGGCTCCCCTGGAAGCAGAGAGACTGCTTGTATAGTACATAAATCTACTGCTGCACTGCCGCTTGTGGCGGGGGACAATTGTTGTATTGTGGTAACTGGCTTATTCCCTGAAACACTTGGGACAGTGGGGGTTGTTGTCCCTGAAAACCCTGAGGAACAAATGGCTGAATTGGGAATGCCCCAGTTTGTTGTGGGGCCTGAGGCTGGCCCCTTTGCTCATTTCCCGACAATGGTTGCCCATTTTTATCAAATTTAGAACAACATTGACTAGCCCAATGTTTTCCTTTTTTACATCTTGGACATAAGTCAGCTGGCTCTCTACCTGTTGTGGTAGTAGCTTGAATAGTTATATTCTGTTTATTTAAGACTGGGCAGTTCTTTTTTAAGTGACCAATTTGACCACAATTATATCATTTTCCTCCAAATGTTCTAACTTGTCCTCCTAAAACAACTCCTGTTATTGCTTGAGCCATAAGCATAGCTTTATGCATAGCTCCTCCGATTCCATCACAGGCTTTTACATATTCTGAGATTACATCTGATCCTGCAGGAACCTTTGCTTTTAATGGCTTAATGGCTGATTGACACTCAAGATTGGCGTTTTCATATGCCATCAACTCCACTATGACCTTATGGGCTTTTTCATTGGCAATTGACTTTTGAGCAACATCTTGGAGCCTTGCCACAAAATCAAGGTAGGGCTCTTTCGAACCTTGTCTTACTGTATTAAATGAGGGGCAGGCGCTTCCTGGGTCTTGGATTTTTTCCCAGGCTCTAAGGCAGATAGCTCTAACTTGCTCAATGGCCTCATTTTGCATTAACGCTTGTTGACTAATAGTACTCCAATTTTGACCTGTTCCTAATAGTTGATCTGCATCTATGTTAACTGGAGGATTGGCAGCCCTATTTCTTCGGACCTGTTCTTGTACCCCATCAATCCACCAAGTCTTAAATTGTAAAAATAGAGAGGGTGAGAGAGACGATTTTGCCAGAATCTCCCAATCATAAGGAATGAGTCTATGTCCATGAGCAATGGAATCTAATAATGTCCTCATATAAGGGGAGTTGGGTCCATACTGTTTTACTCCCTCTTTCATATCTTTTAGCATTTTTATCGAAAAAGACTTGTATCTGGCCTCAACTGTGAGAGGCTCTCCCTCTTGGGCTCCTTCTCCAGGTGGCATCGGTTCTAACGTTACTGGGAATTGCCATGCCTCAGTATCTCCTTCCTTTCTTGATTTATCAATAATTTCATGTAATTCACTACCCTGTCTACTAGGTGGTGCCATAGGATTAAGTCTCCTAGTGGGTGGCTGAGGGTATGGCACCCTGCCCTGTGGTGCTGGGGGTATTCCTGGATATCCATACTGACTTTCTGGGGGTGGCCGATACTGAAGTTCAGCCGGCAGCCAGTATTGATAGGCTACTGGCGGTTGGGTCTTATTTTCTTTAACCTGCGTTTGAGGTTGTAATGTTACAGGCACCTGACCTGCTGGAAGAGGACTTGTGCCTCATGGTTTAGACTCTAATGGCCCCACTAATTCGGGACCTTTTCCTTCTAATTTTAACGTTTCAGGATATATCACCTCCTGTAATTGATTATAGTCAACATTTTGTGTTGACTGAGCCATCACCGGCTCTGCTACATATTCGCAATGTAAACCTTCCATTTCTTTCTGGGATTTTTTCCTTGTCTTTTCATTACAATCTATTAAACAGCTTCCAGGGGCATCAGAAACTGAAACACTATCTTCTTCTGTTTGAAATGGTTCTAAAGCTGCTTTAATAATGGCCCAATCATTCCATACTGTAAGTGGAATGATATTACCCTTCCTACCTGCTTGTTTTAGTTCCTTACCAATTCTTTTCCAATCTTTTAGATCTAAAGTTCCTTGTTCTGGAAACCATGGGCAAAATTGTTCTATTATTTGAAATAGCTTGATTAGATTTTTTGTAGATACTTTAACTCCCCCTCTTTTTAAAAGAATTTTAATAAAGCTGAGATAAGAGGCATATTTACTCTTAATTTTACTTTTAGTTTGCCCCATTATCACCCTAGCTTCTTCCAAGCGCACAAGCTTACCGAAAGGCTGACTGTAGACGTACTCGGGATCTCTCGTCGACTTGTCCTCAATGACCATGCTCGAGCGTACCTTCACCCTAGAGAAAAGCCTCCACGTTGGGCACCAGATGTAGGGGTGGGTTGCCCCTCCACACCTGTGGGTGTTTCTCGTAAAGGTGGAATGAGAGACTTAGGAAAGAAAAAGACACAGAGGCAAAGTATAGAGAAAGAAATAAGGGGACCTAGGGAACCAGCGTTCAGCATATGGAGGATCCCGCCAGCCTCTGAGTTCCCTTAGTATTTATTGATCATTCGTGGGTGTTTCTCAAAGAGGGGGATGTGTCAGGGTCACAAGACAATTGTGGGGAGAGGGTCAGCAGACAAACACGTGAACAAAGGTCTTTGCATCATAGACAATGTAAAGGATTAAGTGCTGTGCTTTTAGATATGCATACACATAAACATCTCAATGCTTTACAAAGCAGTATTGCTGCCTGCAGGTCCCACCTCCAGCCCTAAGGCAGTTTTTCCCTATCTCAGTAGATGGAGCATACAATCGGGTTTTATACTGAGACATTCCATTGCCCAGGGACAGGCAGGAGACAGATGCCTTCCTCTTGTCTCAACTGCAAGAGGCATGCCTTCCTCTTATACTAATCCTCCTCAGCACAGACCCTTTATGGGTGTCGGGCTGGGGGACAGTCAGGTCTTTCCCTTCCCACGAGGCCATATTTCAGACTATGAAACCTTGGACAATACCTGGCTTTCCTAGGCAGAGGTCCCTGCGGCCTTCCGCAGTTTTTGTGTCCCTGGGTACTTGAGATGAGGGAGTGGTGATGACTCTTAAGGAGCATGCTGCCTTCAAGCATCTGTTTAACAAAGCACATCTTGCACTGCCCTTAATCCATTCAACTCTGAGTTGACACAGCACATGTTTCAGAGAGCACGGGGTTGGGGGTAAGGTCACAGAATCTCAAGGCAGAAGAATTTTTCTTAGTACATAACAAAATGGAGTCTCCTATGTCTACTTCTTTCTACACAGACACAGTAACAATCTGATCTCTCTTGCTTTTCCCCACAGTTCTGTTTATATGATGGATTATGTTTATTGATTTGTGTATGTTAAACAAGACTTGCATCCCAGGGATGAAGCTGACTTGATCGTGGTGGATAACCTTTCTGATATGCTGCTGGATTCTGTTTGCCAGTATTTTATTGAGGATTTTCACATTGATGTTCATCAGGGATATTTGTCTAAAATTCTCTTTTTTTTGTTGTGTCTCTGCCGGGCTTTGGTGTCCGGATGATGCTGGCTTCACTAAATGAGTTAGGGAGGATTCCCTCTTTTTCTATTGATTGGAATAGTTTCAGAAGGAATGGTACCAGCTCCTCTTTGTACCTCTGGTAGAATTTGGCTGTGAATCCATCTAGTCCTGGACTTTGGTTAGTTGGTAGGCTATTAATTATTGCCTCAATTTCAGAGCCTGTTTTTGGTCTATTCAGAGATTCGACTTCTTCCTGGTTTAGTCTTGGGAGGGTGTATGTGTCCAGGAATTTATCCATTTCTTCTAGATTTTCTAGTTTATTTGTGTAGAGGTGTTTATAGTATTCTCTGATGGTCATTTGTATTTCTGTGAGATCAGTGGTGATACCCCTTTATCATTTTTTATTGCATCTGTTTGATTCTTCTCTCTTTTCTTCTTTATTAGTCTTACTAGAAATCTATCAATTTCGTTCATCTTTTCAAAAAACCAGCTTCTGGATTCATTGATTTTTTTGAAGGGTTTTATTGTGTCTCTATCTCTGTAAGTTGTGCTCTGATCTTAGTTATTTCTTGCCTTCTGCTAGCTTTTGAATTTGTTTGCTTTTGCTTCTCTAGTTCTTTTAATTGTGCTGTTAGGGTGCCAATTTTAGATCTTTCCTGGTTTCTCTTGTGGCCATTTATTGCTATAAATTTTTCTCTACACACTGCTTTAAATGTGTTCCAGAGATTCTGGTACATTGTGTCTTTGTTCTCATTGGTTTCAAAGAAAATCTTTATTTCTGCCTTCATTTTGTTATTTACCCTGTAGTCATTCAGGATCAGGTTGCTCAGTTTCTATGTAGTTGAGCGGTTTTGAGTGAATTTCTTAATCCTGAGTCCTAATTTGATTGCACTGTGGTCTGAGAGACAGTTTGTTGTGACTTCTGTTCTATTACATTTGCTGAGGAGTGCTTTACTTCCAATTATGTGGTCAATTTTGGAATAAGTCCGATGTGGTGCTGAGAAGAATGTATACTCTGTTGATTTGGGATAGAGAGTTCCGCAGATGTCTATTAGGTCTGCTTGGTGCAGTGCTGACTTCCAGTCCTGGATATCCTTATTAACCTTCTGTTTCATTGATCTGTCTTATATAAAGAGTGGGTTGTTAAAGTCTCCCATTATTATTATGTGGGAATCTAAGTCTCTTTGTAGGTCTCTAAGGACTTGCTTTATGAATCAGGGTGCCCCTGTATTAGGTGCATATATATTTAGGATAGTTAGCTCTTCTTGTTGAATTGATCCCTTTACCATTATGTAATGGCCTTCTTTGTCTCTTTTGATCTTGTTGGTTTAAAGTCTGTTTTATCAGAGACTACGATTGCAACCCCTGCTTTTTTTTTCTGCTTTCCATTTGCTTGGTAGATCTTCCTCCATCCCTTTATTTTAAGCCTATATGTGTCTGTGCACGTGAGATGGGTCTCCTGAATACAGTACACTGATAGGTCTTGACTCTTTAGCCAAATGGCCAGTCTGTGTCTTTTAATTGGGGCATTTAGCCCATTTACATTTAAGGTTAATATTGTTATGTGTGAATTTGATCCTGTCATTATGATGTTAGCTGGTTATTTTGCTCATTAGTTGATGCAGTTTCTTCCTAGCCTTGATGGTCTTTACAATTTGGGATGTTTTTGCAGTGGCTGGTACTGGTTGTTCCTTTCCGTGTTTAGTGCTTCCTTCAGGAGGTCTTGTAAGGCAGGCCTGGTGGTGACAAAATCTCTCTGCAATTGCTTGTTTGTAAAGGGTTTTATTTCTCCTGCACTTATAAAGCTTAATTTGGCTGGATATAAAATTCTGGGCTGAAAATTCTTTTCTTTAAGAATGTTGAATATTGGTTCCCACTCTCTTCTGCCACTTCTCTTTCTGCCAAGAGATCTGCTGTTAGTCTGATGGACTTCCCTTTGTGGGTAACCCAACCTTTCTCTCTGGCTGCCCTTAACATTTTTTCCTTCTTTTCAACCTTGGTGAATCTGACAATTATGTGTCTTGGAGTTGCTGTTCTCGAGGAGTGTCTTTATGGTGTTCTCTGTATTTCCTGAATTTGAATGTTGGCCTGCCTTGCTAGGTTGGGGAAGTTTTTCTGGATAATACCCTGAAGAGTGTTTTCCAACTTGGTTCCATTCTCCCCATCACTTTCAGGTACACCAGTCAAACATATATTTGGTCTTTTCACATAGTCCCATATTTCTTGGAGGCTTTGTTCATTACTTTTTCTCTTTTTTCTCTAATCTTGTCTTCTCACTTTATTTCATTAATTTAATCTTCAATCACTGATATCCTTTCTTCTATTTGATTGAATCAGCTATTGAAGCTTTTGCATGTGTCATGAAGTTCTCGTGCCATGGTTTTCAGCTCCATCAGGTCACTTAAGGTCTTCTCTGCACTGTTTATTCTAGTTAACCATTCATCTAACCTTTTTTCAAGGTTTTTAGCTTCCTTGTGATGGGTTAGAACATGCTCCTTTAGCTCGGAGAAGTTTGTTATTACTGACCTTCTGAAGCCTACTTCTGTCAACTCGTGAAAGTCATTCTCCATCCAGCTTTGTTCTGTTGTTGGCAAGGAGCTATGATCCTTTGGAGGAGAAGAGGTGCTCTGGTTTTTAGAATTTTCAGATTTTTTGCTCTGGTTTCTCCCCATCTTTGTGGTTTTATCTACCTTTGGTCTTTGATGTTGATGACCTACAGATGAGGTTTTGATGTGGATGTCTTTTGTGTTGATGTTGGTGCTATTCCTTTCTGTTTGTTAGTTTTCCTTCTAACAGGTCCCTCAGCTGCAGGTCTGTTGGAGTTTGCTGGAGGTACACTCCAGAACCTGTTTGCCTGGCTATCACCAGCAGAGGCTACAGAACAGCAAATACTGCAGAACAGCAAATATTTCTGCCTGATCTTTCCTCTGGAAGGTTCATCCCAGAGGAGTACCCACCTGTATGAGGTGTCTGTCGGCTCCTACTGGGAGGCATCTCCCAGTTAGGCTACACAGGGGTCAGGGATCCACTTGAGGAAGCAGTCTGTCTGTTCTCAGAGCTCAAATGCTATGCTGGAAAAACCACTGCTCATCTGAGCTGTCAGACAGGGACATTTAAGTCTGTAGAAGTTGTCTGCTGTCTTTTAAGCTATGCCCTGTCCACAGAGGTGGAGTCTATAGAGGCAGTAGTCCTTGCTGAGGTGTGGTGGGCTCTGCCCAGTTCGAGCTTCCTGGCTACTTTGTTTACCTACCCAAGCCTCAGCAATGGCAGATGCCCCTCCCCCAGCTAGACTGCAGCCTTGCAGGTCAATCTCAGACTTCTGTGCTAGCACTGGGCAAGGCTCTGTGAGCATCAGACCCGCCGAGCCAGGCATGGGAGAGAAACTCCTAGTCTGCCAGTTGCTAAGACGATGGGAAAAGTGCAGTATTTGGGCAGAAGTGTACTGATTTTCCAGGTACAGTCTGTCACAGCTTTCCTTAGCTGGGAAAGGGAAATCCCCCAACCCCTTGCACTTCCTGGGTGTGGCAACACCCCACTCTGTTTTGGTTCACCCTCTGTGGGCTGCACCCACTGTCCAACCAGTCCCAATGAGATGAACCAGGTATCTCAGTTGGAAATGCAGAAATCACCCTTCTGCTGTGTTGATCACGCTGGGAGCTTCAGACCAGAGCTGTTCCTATTCGTTCATCTTGGAAAGGAATTCCATTTTTTTTTCCGTTCTGTAAAAGCAAGATGTTGAGTAAATCCATCTTACTAAATATGAAGTTAATCTATACAGATCTCTAATAATTCACTCAGCAAATATGTTGCTTTCCCATGCATCTCTTATTTGCCACTCAAAGCATTTTTACTGAGGAACAATTTTTCTTGAAACTATGACCTTTTATATTTGAAAACTTGCAATACATATACTCAAGTTGAAGAGACTATATGTGACAAAACCTACACAATATAATTTTTGAAAATTATGAGTCACATTTTAGGCATAATCAATGTTGAAGATATAAAAAGTGGGATTTGTGTCTAAATCTCAGAGATATTTTCTAAAAACCCAATTTCATTAAATAAAAGCATAAGGATATGAATTCCAAGACAAAATGCTACTTTCATATATTTAAATGCATATTATATATGCATCAAAGTCAGGTATATATACATGAATAAACACAATCCACTTCCTGAACTGTCAATAATTGTTAATTCTTGCAAAAACAATCTTATGTACTCAAATTAATACATTTAGAGTCTTTAATTTTTTATATTTGTGCTTAAAGCATTAGTCTATTTGGATTTAACTAGCAGAATTCAATATTTTTATCTTCATTCAGTTAACAAATCTAAGAAAAGTGTTGCCTAACAACCACAAATCAAGAGACTGTGCCAACCGCCCCTTGTTCTATGGTCAGCTTGATTTTGCTTCCTCTAATATCTAGCACCAGAGGCTGTGAGGTAGAAGAGAAAGCGTTCTGACTGCATAGGCTGAGAGCCTTATCCTGTGTCATGGCCCTTCTCTTAAAACAGCTGCAGGCCTCTGAGCCACCCAGCATTAATTATTTCAGTATTTATTGACAGCCTACTGGGTACAGGATGAGGTATTAGGTGTTGAAGAAGATTCAAATTTAAATGAAATTTTCTCCCTGGATTTAAGTCACTGATAATAAAACAGGTGTGAGACATATACTCTGCCAAACAAAATCTACAAAAGTATGTTAGTAGGTTAGAAACAATATACTAGGAGTAAGAAAACGAATTCAAAATAGGGCAAGAGGTCCTGTATACTAATATACTGTATACTAATATACAGGACCTCTTGATAACAGTATAATATACAATATCCTCCTTGTCCTCTACTCCTCTTCTTTTTTCCCTCATAGTACCAATTCTTTTCCTAGTAACAATAGCAAAGCTAGGTTTTTACATGCTTCATCTTGGTTAATCTTCGCACTGGTCTGGAAAAGTAAATAGCAGTAATGTCATTTACCACTGGTTAAAAGCTCAGTCAGCATTGTTACAGTACTTGTTTAAGGTCACAATATTGGTGTCAGGGTCAGAATTCAAACCCAGAACTGTGTTCTGAAAACAGTTTCTAGATAAACTGGAAAAAGCATGATATTTTATCCACGTTGCTATAATTGTGTCCACACTTCACTTTAATGAAAGAATGTAAACTGTTTTGCCGAATTGGAAGATGCACATTAGACCCTGAGGAGCATATGATCTCATTAAAGAGCATATTTTTATGAGGTTGTTGTGTAGAGCTCCTGAGAACAGTAGCAGCAAATTAAACTGAAAAGAAGACTTGGGACCAGGTCATAGATCATCTCTCTAAGGAATTCAGGCTGTATTTAAAAAGCTGTGGAGTCATTATTTTTGTTTAACAAGTAGAAATATTATGAGATAAGCAGTGTAGTAAGAATATATTAATTAGGACATTTAAGAGGTATCAAATAAATGTTTGATAAACCAAACAAAGAGGGTGGACGAAAGGATCTATTAGATGATCTCTAGGAAGATAAGAATGAAGTAATAAACTATGACAGTAGAAAAAACAATAGATTTATCAGATTGGGAGAAAGCGAAACTTGGTTTAAACCTTATTTAGTCACTAACACAGAGACATGCTTTCCCCCCTCCAGAAGCAACAGTGTTCTCAACTAAACAATGGGGACATTAATGATCAAATCTCTTAGCTTAAAAATTATGTGACTTTGATCTAATCGATTATTTTATTTTTTTTAATGAAACAATTTTGAGTGTGAGCATACCAGATCTTTGTAGTAGATGAATCGTGTTTGCTGCAAGGGGCAAATGATTTCTACTAGATAGGTTGGAATAATACCACTAATGCAGCACTGAATATGGGTGAAGGATATTTCTGTGAAAATAATGAGCTCAAGTTGGAGCAGGAGCTCAGTGACTGGTAGATTAAGGCAGACTCTTTGGAAATGCCCTATGAAAAGCCACACTGCAAATCACAAACACTGGGATATAATCCAAATTGGGAAGATAGTCCAAGGAAACATATATAAAGCCTCTAAACAAAGCCTCATGAGGACATTGATAAAATCTGGAGAAAACACTTAGAATGAGAGGAAGGAATCAGTAACACAGACAAGTGTCCTAGAAAAAAATATGCCAGTGGAAGAGATTGTGCAATAAGAAAACCACAGAAAAGCTGAGAGGGAATGGTCAGTGCAATAATAGCAGATTCAAGAATGTGCACCTGGCCAGGCATCTGTGACTCAAGCCTGTAATCCTAGCAGTTTGGGAGGCTGAGGTGGGAGGATTGTTTGAGTCTAGGAGTTCAAGATCAGCCAACACAATAAGCAAGACCCCATCTCTGCAATAAATGAAAAAATTAGCTAGGTAAAGTGATGTGCACCTGTAGCCCCAGATAAAGGAGAAGCTGAGATGGGAGGATCACTTGAGCCCAGTAAGTCTAGGTTGCAGTGAACTATGATCATGCCACTGCACTCCAACCTGGGCACAGAGTGAGACCCTGTGTCAAAAAAAAAAAAAAAAAAAAAAGGTAAGAATGTGTACCCTTTCAGAAAAAAAAAAGAACAATTGACCCTTGAACAACGTGGGGGATAGAGGGTTAGGTGGTTATGAGTACCACTCCCTACACAGTAAAAAAATCCACGTGTAACAGTTGACTCCCTAAAAACTTATCTAGTAATATTTCACTGTTCACCAGAAGCCTTACAAATAACATAAATAGTTGATTAACACAGATTTTCTATGCTATGTGTATTATATACTGCATTCTTGCAATAGAGCAAACTAGAGAGAGAAAATGTTTTTACAAAAATCATAAGGAAAGAAAAATATATTTACCGTGAATTAAGTGGAAATGGATCATCATAAAAGTTTTCAGCCTCATCATCTTCCTGTTGAATAGGCTCAGGAGGAGGAAGAGGAGGAATTGTCTTGTTGTCTCAAGGGTGGCAGTGGCAGAAGAAAATCTGTGTATAAGTGAATCCACACAGTTCAAACCCAGGTTGTTCAAGGGTCAACTGTCGTGCTAAATATAACCTTTCTCCTATAGTGTCACATGCAGTAGAGAGATAATTTAAAACAATATTATTCAAAGAGAGAGCTTAAAGTATTGTACAAGGAAGGTCATTATTGACCTTCAGTATAGTTCCACTTTGTGATAGGGCCTAAAGCCAAAGAATAATAAGTGTTTTAGGAGAAATACAAAATATACCGTTAGTATTTCAAGATATTCAGAGATGTAGAAAGGAAGTAAGTCCTGTTTAATGTGTAAGCCAGATCCACAAAAGACTTTTTAATACTCTGAGTTACTTGTATATCCTATGATACATAAGAAATTTATTTTCTTGCACTGAGTGTTGAAAAATACACATTGACTTGAACTAAATAACATCAATTTGGGCAAAATGTAAGCAGAGACAATTATTTTTAAAAATGTAAAAGTATAAAAGAAGCCAAGAATACTTAATGGAGAAAGGCAACAGAAGTTGGGGATGAAGAGGGTATCACAAATAATATTACAGAAAATAAATTGGGGATATAATAATAGTGAAAAAGGAGAAACAATGTAAATGTAGTAAGAAATTCTAGCTATGCAAGGATGGTGTGGCTGGAGGATAGGGTTTGTCAAGAAAGCAAATGTGTAGAAATTCCTGAGAAAGTGCTGGCAGTTTGCACACATCATGGAAAGCTGAGCCAAGGTTGGATAACATGAAATTCTAATGCGTTGTAACAAAAGGAGTCTTCACCTATTTTGCTTCTCTTCGATTAGGTTTGGAAACCGAGGGAGAGAAGAGTACAAAAGAAGTGACATGTAGTCAAGATCAATATCAAGCTTTTTTTCCCTTACTTCTGCAAGGATCATATGCATTCACAGCACAGGGTGCTGAAATAAATCACAGATAAAAACTATGGTTGGGGAAGAGTCATCTGCATGATAGTGAAGTTACCTAGATTGAAGACAGAGGTGGGATTTTTGACTCTATTGCAAGTGGAGTTTTTGAAAGTATTATTAAAAAATCTGAACTTTAAGCATTGTGTCCATTGAAAGATTAAAGGGAGTCTCCAGGCCATTCCAGGGAATGAGGCCGCTAGGTCCTGTCAGTGTTTTGGAGACAGCATTTACTCCTTGGCAATAACGGAGGGATTGAGCAGAACATCCTGGGGTGTTATGGGAAGTGTCCCCGGGAGAGCAGACCAGAGAACAGGGTAGCTTGCAAGGACAAAGATTATAAAATCTCAGCTTGACCAAGCCATAAAGCTGCCTGACTTCAAGGACCATATGAGCTCAGATCCTGAATCTTTCAACAGTGATTACGAGGGGCTGAAACAGCTGTACTGCCTGCAGTTTTCAGGTACCATAAAAGTAAATATCACGTACACTTCTCTTTACCTGAAAAAAGTCAAACTCATTACTTTAAAGTTATACCTTGTATTGAAATTTCCTAAAAAGAGTGGTTTTCATGTCTCCCCTGGAGGTTATGTATAAGTTAAATCTAATATATTGTAATATGTGATAATGTAATTGAGGAACAGAAAGTAATTGAAATTCACTAATGAATTAATCCTTGGAAGACTACTATAAGATACAGAGGGGATAGATATTGTTTTATCTCAGGAAAAACTGAGGCATTGAGTAGCTGCCTATCTAAAGCCATTTAAAAAAGAAGTTGAAAGCTATAAATTGTAGATGATTTTATATTGTACCTGACCTAGCTCTGAAAAAAAAAAAATCAAAAGAGGCAGATTCATGCTTTCCAGGCATGCCCGGGGAATGATGGAGGATTCTCTTTTTATGTTAATCCATTCTCTTTGAGTCAAAAGCTGACAGTGCACAGACAACAAAGGGACTGCTAAGTCTGCTGTCCAAAAATACTCACCACAATTTGTCAGGCTTCACATTATACATGGCTTTTTACACATCGCTGGCCTCTAAACATAAAAGATCCTGTTGGTTTCCCTAATTAAATAGAGTGAGATCAAAGGTTCACCAATGTCTATCTGACTGTCTCACGGTATTCCAGAACTGAAAGCAAATAAGAAGTGTATGAAAAATGTATCAGAAGTTCCAGAGATTGAGCTCTCTTTTTGGTTTCTTTACCTTTAGAAAAATAAAAATAAAGCCAAGGCAGCCTCTGAATGTTGCTCATATTTCTTTTGTTGGTGTTTTTCCTTAACTAGATAATTGTTTTGTCCTCACAGTTGGGGAAGACTGAAGTTCAGAATATAGAGATACCAGACATTTCATCTGTGTAGAAAAGATGACATTGCATTAGGGTCCAGAAATGCTATAATGAATATTTTCTAGGTACAAAAAAGACCCTGACACACGCTTTTTCATAAGCCAATAATATATAATAGAAGAAGATGCATTAAAATAAAATATGGCTGGTCTTCAGTGACTAAACTCCTACTTTAGAATTGTGAATCCATCCATAGATTGTTCACAATGGAGTTACTGTTTACAGGAAATTCCAATGTCAAAGAGATGATCTAATCCTGATTCCTTTGGGGTGAGTCAATATTGATTATTCTCATTAGGGGAACAATAAGTAATGGATTTGGAAAAGGCCTTCTCTTTTAGGACTATTATGCTTTGGCTGAAAAAAACTTTGAAAAAAATTCTTAAATATCTAAGGAAAATGTGCTAGGATGTACTCACTACATCTTTCTCCCTCCAAACATATTTAATTATTCCAAGATTCATAAAGATAAAAATAAAATAAATTTGAAATATTAAATAAATAACTTTTATCTAGTAGATGTTTTGTATCTGATATGGTCTCTTATATGACTCTAAACATACTTCAAAGACCTTCACATGGGTTTTCTATGTAACATAAAATAGGCTAACCAAAAGTTTAAATGACAAATAATTATCAATGAAAGGTTACCAGGAAAAAAAAAGTAAATGCTTGCATACTTTACTAAGCAACAAAAATTACTTTCTTCAATATGCTCTTTATTAAAATGTAATAAAAATCTATCCTGAGAACCAGATGGTAGATGACATGATAAATTAAAGCCCTACATAAGCGCAAATAGAAAAAAAAATAACTTGCTGCTGACATAAATGACATTTACAATATCACATGTTTTTTCTAATGAATATGAGATGATCTTGATATTGCAAAAGACCTTTATTCCAGAAATGAAACAGCTAGAGGAGAAAAAAGTGAGGCAGCAACTTGCAGTTCTATAGAAATAGCAAATGCTATCTATGACCTATATATTACAATTTGAAAAAGAATATTTGAATAGTAATGAAAAATTGACACAGCTAGAAAGAATACTGATTATTTTTCAATTAGGATGTTCTCTTATTCTTTTATTTCTATTTGTCTGACATGGAATAAAAATAAATTATGTGTCTAATATATTTAATACTTACCTAACTACCTTGATTCTGGTCAAATGCGCTCCAAATTATTATGTTAATATTTTTATGATTATGCCACAACTTAACTTACCAGCATATGGAAAGGTCTAAGTAAGTGCTTATGAGAACCTATGACATTCTGGGTTATCACAGGCTTAATTTGAAATATTTCTCCACCATTTACCAGCTGTATGATTTTGGGCATGTTACTGAACTACTGAACTACTCTAATCTTTTGATTTCTTTTCCTAAAATTGGGGATTTCATTAGTATATATGCTAAAATAGTAGATTTAAACAGGGTGATGTAAACAACACTTAATAAACATCTGACACAGGGTAGACTTCAATAAAGCATCAGTCATCATTATTATAGTTCACAGGTTATAATAAATACGACAAAAATGTAAATTAAATACTTCAACATTAATTGAAGGCCATTTGCTGTCTCAGTTATAAGTCTCATTTCTTAAGCTAAAACATAACCTGTTTTGGCAGACTCTTTTCAACAGTTGTTATTCGTGCCTGGCTATGAAAATATTAATGGCTGTGCATACCAAACAGATCTCAACTATCGCCATGAACCAAATATATAAACATTTTAGGAATTGTTTCTTGTTAGAAATTGCCAATAAACTGCTTATTGCTTTGCAAATATTGGACCTGGGAAAATAATGCTACATCTACTAAAACCTTACAGGGAGTACCTGATGGCCCATTAATTACATAAATGTGGAAGAAACAAACAAGAATTGTAGGACCTTAAGAAATCTGGTCATTATGCATGCTCATACCAAGCTTAGAAAGAGGTAACATTTTGAAAAAGAAAAATAAATAAATAAATAATATTCTTAGATAAATTTTAGATTGATCATAACAAAATGTAATAGATAGAGAGCTATGAAAATGAGAATATTTAAACTGAAAGCCCATATTCAGTTAACCTTATCTCAGTAGTAGCACCTTTTCTCACCTAAGTATATGGCAGTAACTAACTTTACTGGTAGACTGTCTCAGTGTTAAAAATAAAGTTGAATGCCAGCCCACGTCAACAAAGTCATATATATTGATATAAATTAATAATAGGAGAGATTTTCATCTTACCTAAGAATTTGAACTCAACATTTTTGCAAACATTACATTTTCTTGGCATTTGTAGAGTCAAGATGTGAGGGTTGAGTCTGGGAACTAATCTCACATACTGTATTTAGTAAACAGTTCATTTGTTTCCCAGTTGATCATCATTCATATCACATATTGTATATTAAAGATACATAAAAGAAACTGATTTATAAATTCACATGGATGATATACGAGTTAAAGGCCCAGCATGAAACAAATGGTCTTCAAAGTGTTTAACTGAAACAAATTTCATAGGGGGTGTCTATACATGGAGGTGAGGATGAAGTTAAGGACACCAAGAAAAGCTAGAGAAACAGCAAGGAAATAGCAACAGCAGAAAGCCAATAGCTCCCTGAGCTGAAAGGGCTAAAAGAGAGTGCAGTGTTTATGATTGCCCAGCCAGAGAGAGATCTATGGAAGCGAACAGCCAATAGGAGCTGAAGGCACGGAGGAAGAGAACCACTCACAGAATAAGAGAGCAGTAAGTATTAACACCCAGACCAGTCTTTCCTCCTAGCTGTCATCTCCATCACATACCTCCCATTGGCTGAACACGACGGAAAATCAGAGGACAAGGAGCTGACAGAATCTCTAAGGTTCAAACTCCCAGAACAGAATAGCATAGAGAAGAGCTGGGATTGAATAAGGAGTTCTGGGGTGAGAGAGAGGATAAACAAAATGAAAAGCACAGATGAATAAAATGTGATTGGATTGCAAACTTAACTTTTAAAGTGCATGATAGTGATACTATAAAAAGCAATGATAAAACTTTTCTTTATGGTAACTGTTTCACGATATGCACGAAATTGTTTCATCCACCACATTTCAGCTTCAAGTATTTTTTAATTCATACAAATACGTGCAATAAAGTGCAATTACAGCTCGATTAAAGTTCCAGTGCAATTAAAGCACATTGAAAATAAATGATACAAAACAAATCGTTGGTGTTGTTTTTGTTTGCTTTTACTGGGATTTTGGTTCTTTAAAGCACCAATCTGTTATAGAGATATAGTGGAAATATATGGACTTTCTATGTAGTTTAACCAATAAACAAGTTATAATAAGTCATTTATCAAAATACCCCATTTAAATTGTATATAAAAATCTTGGATTTGAAATGGCAAAGAGAAGGTTAAAATAAGCATTTGTGCATTCAAATTGAAGGATATATGCATTAAAGGTTTGGTGGCATTTTAATGGAAGAAATTGGGAGAGCTGACAAGCTCTCAAAATGTTCAAAGATGACATAGGCATCAAAATCAGTAAATGAATTTAAAAATACTAATGCTGAATAAAATATCTGCTTTCATTTGCAACCCAAACAACGAATGCTATGTGTACACTTATCTTCTGGGTTCTAACAGAGTAGAATGTTATGGGAGGTTAGAATCAGGGCTAAAGAATAAACAAATATTCCCTTGACTCATATTATATTAAGAAATTCAAAATATCAGACTAAGTGATGCTGGTAACACAAGGAAGTCTACAATATTGCTTCCCATTTCTAATGTTTACAATTGAAATGAAGAGGTGAGACTTCGACACATCAATATTCTGTTTACACACACACACACACACACAATAGTACTATAGAAGAGTTTGATAAAATACTTACATCAAGTGATACATAAATAGGAAATAATTAAAAAGAAAGTGGCATTTGGATTGAACTTGACAGATGTGTAATAATGAGCTCGGAAGAGAAGGACACTCAAAGAATGGAAAATGGGGCAGAAATAAAATTAGTTGAGAAAACGATATATACACATACACATACACACCATTTAAACGGCATTATCTAAATGGAATTCTTGAGGGAATACTTTGCAGTATGTATAGATAACTTTGCAAAAGCAGGCAAAATCTAATTATGAGTGACCTTATGATGGAGATTATCCCAAAGGCATAATCTGACGTTCATCCCATAGACAATAGGAAACCACCAAAGCTATTTCTGATGAGGAATGGTCTGATAAAAGAGATTTAGAATGAACTGCAACAGTTAGAGAAAAGAAGAAGAAATAAGATATTTACAGAGGGATATGAGACTGAAATTGTAAGAATAAGTGGTAAAGATTTTTCTTTTTTTTGAGACAGAGTTTCACTCTTGTTGCCCCGGCTGGAGTGCAATGGCAGGATCTCGGCTCACTGCAGCCTCCACCTCCCAGGTTCAATCAATTCTCCTGCCTCAGTCTCCCAAGTAGCTGGGATTACAGGTATGTGCCACCAAGCCTGGCTAATTTTTTGTATTTTTAGTAGAGATGGGGTTTCACCATGTTGGCCAGACTGGTCTCGAACTCCTGATCTCAGGTAATCCACCCACCTCGGCCTCCCAAAGTGCTGGGATTACAGGCATGAGCCACAGTGCCCTGCCTGATAAAGATTTTTTAAAAGTATGTGTGTGGGGAGGGAAAGATATCAGAAATATTTAGGGAATAAATAAGGTAAACTTGCTTTTTGTTTAGAACAGGACACCTGTGGAGACTAGAGAGTTAATGATGAGTTAAAGATGACTCCAAGATCTCAGTCATGGTGATCAGAACAATGCCAGCACTGGAAACCACGGTAGACAGCTGGCCGTAGAGAGAGAGCTCAGGCCCTCTGGCATAAAGCAGCCTCAGAGGGCAGTTCTCAGACCAGCTTTGGAGAGAAAACTTCAGTGCCTGTACTCAAAAGTCCTCAGACTGTGTGATAACCCCCAGGAAATTTTGTTACTGTTGGTCTTTTAAATTGTATTTATTTTTATTTTTAGGTTTTATTTTATTCCTAATTGACAAATAATAATTGAATATATTTATAGGGCAGAACGTGATGTTTCAGTACATGTATACATTGTGGAATGATCCAATTTGGCTAATTAGAATATCCATCACTTCAAATACAATATTTGTCATTACTTTATGATGAGAACATTTAAAATCTCCTCAGCTACTTTGTAATATCAATACATTATTATGAACTATAGTCACCATGCTGTGAAATAGAACACCAGAGCTTATTTCTTTTATCTAACTGAATATTTGTACCTGTCTCTCTCTTCTCATCCACCACATCCCTTTTACATCCTCTGGTACCAATCATTCTACGCTCTACTTCCGTAAGTTGAAGTTTTGGAGATTTCACATATTAGTCAGATTACATGGTATTTGTCTCTCTGTGCCTGACTTATTCCACTTAACATATGTCCTCTAGCTTCATGTATGATGTTGCAAATGACAGAATTTTCTGTATATAGAAAACTATAAAACACTGAGGAAAGATGACATAAATAGAAAGATATCCCATATTAATATATTAGAAGAATTAATAATGTTAAAATGTCGATAGCACTCAAAGCAATCTGCAGATTTAATAAAATTCTTATCAAAATTTTAATGTCATTCTTCACAGAAATTGAAAATTCAAAAATCTCTATGGAACCATGAAAGACCCCAAATAGCCAAGGAAATCTTGACCAAAAAGAACAAAGATGGAGGCATCACAGTACTGAACTTTAAAATATATTACAAAGCTATAGTAATCTAAACAGCAACATACTGGCATAAAGATAGCAACATCGACTAATGGAATAGGACAGGGAACACAGAAATAAACCTACACATCTAGGATCAGTTGATTTTTGACAATGGTGCCAAGAACACTCACTCAATGGGGAAAAACGGTCTCTCTAATAAATGGTATTGGGAATACGGGACATCTATATACAGAGAATGAAAATAGATCCTTATCTCACCCTCTCTATAAGAATCAAATAAAATGGATTAAAGACTTAAATGTAAGAATCAAGAAATTTTATGCTTTCTAGATTTCATAGTTCCAACCAAATGCTTTAGGGCAATCTTGAAGACGTTTTACCCCCAGATTATGAAAGTGTTACTTATAGTCATGTTTAAGTTTATATGCTATTATAAATATGTTGAGTGTCTTGTGATTCCTAGGGTTCTGTGAGGCAGAATAGAAATGGTGGTGATGAGAGTGGTGTGAGTAATAGCGGAAGATGGCCATCACTCCTTGTTCCCAGGAACTTATAATCTAAATCTGAGTTGAAGATTCAAATGTTCCCTTTATATTTTACCAGAAAGTTTTTCAAACTTCTAAATTCTGGTAAGAAATATTTTGATCGCACTAAGCTGATTTGTAGCCAAATAGTCTATTAAAAATCTTTCGACATTGGCATCAATTATGTGAACCACAAAAGATAAAATATATTAAATTTCACTTTTCTCTCTGACTTCAGAGGAAAAGTGTCTCTTAGAAATTGCAAGGCAATATATACAGCATAGTGAGAAGGAGTCAAGGACATTAATCCACAAAGAAAAGGCACTAGAGTGTAGTTTCAGATGCTGAATCAGAAACTTTTTTGTCTTATAGTTGTTCTTATGGTGTTAATATTTTTTGTTATAAACTTTTGAAAGGCATCACATATCTCTGTATTCCTACCTCTCCTCTCAGATTGTTTTTAAGGATAAAATAGGGAGAAAGTATGAAGGCATGTGAACTGCTTTGAAGAATGTAAGATTCTATACATTCATGATCTCTCAACACAGAGAATATTGATACCCCTTCCAGTCACTGAATACTGATAATACTTTTAATAAAATTCAGTGAGTGCTTCAGGAAAACAGAGCTCAGGCTTAATAGTTCAGAAGAGATCACTTATTATGCGGAACTAGTTGCTGAAGTCTTGGATGATCTGAAAGGCCAAAATGGAGACTGTGGGGCAAACCAAAGTTTACCAGGCAGTCCCCATGATATATCCAACTCTACAGGAATCAAAATTCATGGACAGGAGTTGGTGTTAAAGCCTAAGACCTGCGATGACAAGGTGGCTGCTTTGCCAAAAAAAAAAAAAAAAAAAGGACGAACTAAGGGGAAAAAGAGTTTTGACTGGCAGTTGGAACGCCTGAGAAGATGTAGCCACTGCTGGGGATGTGCCCGAAGCAGAGAAGTTGGAAAGAAAAACTCTGACTTTTTAATTCTTTCTACCAGTGCCTTCCTATTGGGGGAGATTAGATAGAACCTTGTTGACAAGAAAAACTTGGAAAAGGAGACTGCAGGGATTAGATCACTACAAAATAGCAAACAGAGAAGGGTGAAGAGTGGATCTGAGGGCAAATTATCAGCATAGAAAGAAAATAAGATAAAATAAATGACTTGAATGAAAACAAAAATTACCATCTAATCTAGTTAAGAAACAAAAGCATAAAAATCAGTGAAATTATACTAACCTGTCTTATTTATGTAGATGAAGGGCTTCGAACCTGACCGAGACCTGTCAATACAACTTTTACATGTAAGTTGAACTCTTCTTCTTAATTCAGGCAATTGTCTCCTAACTGGAAATGTTTAATAACCTAAAATCCTTCCAATACATCACTCATACTACCCTTATGTGAAAATTTAAAGATAAATCATGCCAAATATCTAATTAAAAGCTTTAAATTTACTGGTCATTATGTTGTCAACAGGATTATGACCAAAGTACTTTCAAAGCATTCCAAAGTATCTAAAATCTAAGCCTTGCCTGCCACTATGCCCTGTCTTACACTGATCTCCACTCACATTTAAAGTGCCAGCCACACATACTATTTACAGTTTTCAGAAAGTACTGCTGTATTTGTCAACCTCTAAGCCTATTCCCATAGGACCCACTTTGAAATATCCTTGACTTCCATGTCCAACCCTACCTAACCCATAATAATACTTCCATATTTCTTTTATGTATCAGCTTCTCTATGAAATCTTTTCTAAAACCATCTTGCTAAGTAAAATTGATTACACTCTTCTGTTCTACTGCTCATTCCTGTATATCTGCAATAGCAATTACAATACTAGTAGGCTGCCCCACCAGAGATTAAAATTAGATTTTTAATTTTCCCTAATATAGAAAGATGGATGCTAAATAATCTTTAAAGGGAACTGCTCTAGAAGACTGCCAAAATCACCTTAGAGTTTCTAGAAGTAGTTTTCATCAAAAAAATAATGTAGAACAGTAGACTTAAGGATAATTGTCCTTGGAAGACGGAGGAGTCATTTAGATTCGAAGGAAAGAAAAATGTCAGGAAGAAAATAAAGACATGGCTGCTGAGATATGTTGGAACATTACTAAATTTGAAAGCAGCATTTTTGGGAAAAGGAAGCATTCTAACTGATACCTTTGAATGGAAGTTCATAGATCTGGACTACAGTCTTAGAAGACTAACCATGGTTATGACAGAAGGTTACAATGAATGAACAACAATTTCACTAAAGAAGCACTGCAGCATTGGCTAGAATGATGACCAGAAGTCACCATGACACTGACACAGTATCTTTGGCCTCTGTGTAGAGGACTTCAACAGCCGTGGCTGTGGGAGTCAATGGCAGAAGTGGGCAATTGATCTTCTTGGTTATAGTGGCTGACTGCTTCCCTGCTTAGACTCTGTAAGCCAATTTCAAGAGGAATTAGAGTAAATGCAAGTGGGGCTACCAAGATAAAGTATCAGGCCATTATGGGTTTGAGCAAGTAAATGGAAAATTAAATACATATGCTCAGGGTCTTGCTCTGTCACCCAGGCTGGAGTGCAATGGCACAGTCATGGCTCACTGCATGCATCCTTGGTCTCCTGGGCTCAAGTGACCCTCTCATCTCAGCCTCCCAAGTAGCTGGGACTACAGGCTTGCACCACCACAACTGGCTACTTTTTTAATTTTGGGGGGAGATATGAGGTCTGACTATGTTGCCCAGACTAGTCTCTAACTCCTGGCCTCAAGTGATCTTTCCATCTCAGCCTCCTAAAGTGTTGGGATTACAGGTGCTTGCCACTGTGCCCAGCTTGTTCATAGTTTTTATACTAAAGTTTATACCGTCAAGATTTATATTACTTTATCCTACTTAAATATTAATTAATTATAATTCACTGTTTACATGTTTACCCCTCCTCTACTCTAATTTTTTGGAGGATAGGAAATAGATTTTATTTACTTAGTGTCTCAAGTGTCGTCCACAGTTTTTGGAATCTATTAAATAATCAGTGAGATTTCATTATAAAAAGTCATTAATATATAAACAAATCATTTTACTAATCTCACTTGTTTTAAATAAAGGCAAATTCAAGGAGGAAAATGACACTAAAATCATCTTTCCATACATTGGCAAAAAAGAAAAAAATCAAAATATAACATTTATCTGATCAAAGTCTATAATATCTTCCAAGTAGGTTTAGTGAAGAATATTAATGTTAGGGAGTGGATTATATAATCAAAAGCAGAAATCTATAGTTTTAGCTACTTTTATCCATACTATACAGATAAGTAGTTGATAACAGATAATTACATTCTCTGAGCTATGGAGTCAAGGTACATGCCCCATTATCTGAGTCATTCATTTTCTAATACCATTGAAAGATAAAATTATTAAATTTATGTGTGAGAAATGTTATAAGCTTATTGTGACCTGTACATATTTACGGATTTGCAATATCACCTCAGTTTTACATGGCTAAAGTAAAAGACACACTTTTAAAATAAATAACAGATGTTATAAAAGGAGACAAAGGATATTAAGAAGTTCCTTTAAACTATCCTTGATGTTATTGGTATCTATAGGCAAGGCTTTTCTGCACATTTTCCAGAGAACAAATTGCAAATAGAGAAATTGTAATAAAAACCAGGAAGACAGAAGTGGACATGTGCTGATGAAGAGGGAAGCTTGAAGAAAATAGTCTACTTAAGATAAAAAATGATGAGTTCATGTCCTTTGTAGGGACATGGATGAAATTGGAAATCATCATTCTCAGTAAACTATCGCAAGAACAAAAAACCAAACACCGCATATTCTCACTCATAGGTGGGAATTGAACAATGAGATCACATGGACACAGGAAGGGGAACATCACACTCTGGGGACTGTTGTGGGGTGGGGGGAGGGGGGCGGATAGCATTGGGAGATATACCTAATGCTAGATGATGAGTTAGTGGGTGCAGCACACCAGCGTGGCACATGTATACATACGTAACTAACCTGCACAATGTGCACATGTACCCTAAAACTTAAAGTATAATAATAAAAGAAAAAAAAAAAAAGAAAAAAAAAAAAGAGTGTGATATGTTCTGAAGCCAGAGGACAGTACTTGTTTTCAGTAAAGCAAAGGGTTAATTAATGAGATGAGGTAGGAAAAGTAATGCAACTGAAGAATTACTTAGGTGAGAAGCTTAAGTCCTCTAGTCTGCAAGGATAGCTCATCTTTAGGCTTTAAATAAATCACTCATGTGAATGTCAAAAAAAAAAAACTCGTTATTTTCGTATGCTTTTCTCCAGGGATTCTAAGAGAACTGAAGTTTTTCATCCTTACTTCTGACTCTAATTTTCTGCTTCTACTTACTTCTTAATTTCTGCAAGTTTTATTCTTTTCCAAATAGCCCTTTTTTGGGAAACATGCCAATCACTTAAATAAGAATGGAAATGTGGGAGGTTTTTATTGAAGTGTTGAAGTAACGGGAAGAATAAACTGCAGTAAGGCATTAAGAAAGGACTTACAATTAGAATTAGTAATCCTTGCTAATTATAGATTAAGTTGCAGAAACAAAATGAATCCAGAATTCAGTGGCTCAAGCAAAATAGAACTTTATTTCAATTTCGTGTAAAAGTACAGAGTTGAGGAGAATCAGGGTAGTATGATAGTTTTTATGCCCAAAGGGTGGCTTCTTGTGCCCACCATTTCCAAACCCATGGAAATGGTGAAGGAGGAAGCCCAGGGAAACTGGGGTCTTCTTTATACATATGACTCACAGCTATAAGTATCTCTTCTGGGCAAAACCCACTGGGCCCCATTTAGTGTCCTGGAAAGATCTAGCTGCAAGAGAGGCTGGGAATTAGAGTTATGACTCTGACAACCAGATGCGATAGGAAGAATGCATTGGTCTCTTCTATATCCTGGTATGTGTATATACACACACAGATATATATATATATATATCTCCAAGATCTTATTGTTCCTACTTGCCTTAATAAGCTAAAATATCTTCTTACTATGTTGTACAAAGAAATTTACTCAATTTTATCTCACTTTTGCCTTCTAGACAATGCCTTGATGATTTACTATCTTCTAGCAAATAAAGCCCACCTTGGTATTTTTCTTAACTAAGAGCATATGCCCAAGTGAATAATTTTGTTTCTTCCCATAGGAAACAGAAATTCAGATGGTAAGTTTTACAGAGTAATCTCTTTTTCACCACTGTCACAGGCAAAGACCTGAGTGTGGAAGACTGAATGCAATCATAACATATTTGCACACTAAGAAGTAGGTTATATGGAGTCTTTGAAGATTTTCGTAAATTGGAAGATCTTTCTTCTTTAGAAGGCACACGAGGCTGATCTTGTATGCAGGCTGAATTATAATAGGAGGGGTGAAAGCTGGACCCATTCAGAAAGGAAGATTTGTTCATAATGCTATGCAACATCAAATATAGCTTTAACAGGGTGTTTAGATTATGTCCCCACAAATATCTTGTTACTCAAGTTGGCCTTTGTTCTAGTTGTAGCCTTCTGTGCCCCTATTAATAAGTGCTATATAAACAGAACCCCACAAAATCAAATTGAATGAAGAAATTTGAAGATAGAAAGATATAATCTCTGACCCCTTGAAGGTTACAACCTAGAAAGAGCAAAGACAGGAGGATAGACAATTGTGACACAATATAGTAGATACTTTATTAGAGGTTGGCAGTGGATGCCTAGGCTGAAAAAGCATCCTAGAAAAAATAGGGAGATTTTCTCAGAGGAGTTGACATCAAATAATTAATGGAGGAAACATAAATATTAACAAGAGGACAGAGGAAAGGGTGTAGAAAAAAATATCCTAGCAAAATGATGAACGCCTAGGCTAGAAAGATCTCAGACATAGGAGACAGCAAGGAGAGTGTGTTGATTTAAATATGGTATCAAAAAGACAATAGGAAGATGAGACTGATGGCTTTTATGTTTCACTAAAATTCGTGAGTTTTCACATGATTGCATTAGAGCACCATTAAAGGATATTAAAATCTTCCTTTATAAAGATCAACTTGGTGGATTTGAATTACACCAAAAGTATAGTGACAAATTAAACACTGTTGGTATTAAGCATGTGGTCGCCTCCCCAGCATCCAAATGTTGTAGCCACAGAGATTGGCTACATTGGTCCCATCACTAGAGGCAACCATGTGAAAATTCTGATACAGGATAGAGTATAACTTTACATAATTCAGTGCATTATTTAAATGTAGAAATTTTAAAATATGTAATTTGAATATATATATATAAATATATTTATATATGGGTATAAAACTTTTGGAAAATTAATCAGTAATAGAACTCAACCTTGAAAATCAAACAGCATATATATATATATATATATATATGGGTATAAAACTTTTGGAAAATTAATCAGTAATAGAACTCAACCCTGAAAATCAAACAGCAGCCAAGGCAAACATTTCAGAATGACACCAGGCCATTTAAATCTCTTCACAAAATCTCCCCATGGCTTTCCATCAGACATAGAATAGAAACTGGTTTACCATCTCCAACAAAGCCCTCATGATTTGACCAGACTTTTTGATCTCATTTCTTGCCACTTTCCACTCACTTCCTGGATCATCCACTCTGGCGATCATGAAAGTGCAGACTTTTTGCAAGTAAATCCTAACTACCTAGAATAGCACCTAGTACCTATCAAGCACTCAACACATTTTGGCAAATACATTTTGAATGCATATGGGCAATACAAAACAGCTGTCTAATTACAGTGTTTTTCTAATGTCACATTTTCTGTGGGAAGTTGGCCAAATTGCCCCACAATACAGCACAAACCGTAGATTTTCTCCCACACTCTAAGCTATTAACATTCTTTGAACATCCCAGAGGGTGATATTGGTGTCATCCATCTTAATTAACATTGTTTTAAAGTGGCAAGATGAGAAACCAAGAAAAATTGGGTACAAACGTTGATGAAACTGGAATGGTTTAAGCGTTCACTGTTTAAAAAGAGACACCTTACCAGTTAATGGTAATAATTGCAAGGAATTCAGTTCAGTGAAACAGTGAAAACTGATATTCACAGTATTTCTGGCCTTAAACTCACTTAAAACATCGTATTTTATTGCTAGCCCCTGTAAGGTAAGAAGAAAAAATGTTACCCAAGCTATACCCCCAGGGAGGTACAATCAAGTTGGTCGGATTAAGCTTAGTATTCAATGTATCCAAGTATTCAATTCAGATGTTATAGGTCAATGATATAGCACAGACAGTAAATAGTGTGGCTGTCTAAGGGGGCAGAATGAACAAGGCACTGTGACTGTTAAATGTTATTGATGTAAACTTCTTAAACAGGTTGGGTTAAATGGAAAATTAAAGAGAGAAGAGGGAGGGAAGTAATGTTCAAGGCTTAAAGGCCAGCATGCATAAAACAAGTTATCAAAAAAAAGGAGTTGGCCTGCTAGGCTTAAAATTTGAAAATGCTGGATTAGTAAAGAAGTATGCTTGAAATGTAAGAGAATCAGATTATGAAGGAACTCAAACATTAGGATAAGTGGGTAAATATTTCTGATTAATTTATTTATGCAGATTGAGAACTGCAGGGATTTCTGTCATTGTCTCATCTGTTTTAGCCTTTGCACTAACCTACATCTCAAATTTTGTTTGATAACCCCTAAGACTCTGTAGTAATGTGTAAACAGTACATAAAAGTCAGAATTACGGGTAGAATGAGAAGCTGTATATACTATCTCAGAAAAAAAGAGCAACAAAGGCCACTAATTAAAAAATTCATCATTTAACATGAAGTGGTTCACAATGTTTACACTTTATAAATAAAATTTAATTTCTACAAGAATGTGGTAAATTTATTTCAAAAAATATACTTTCTGGGTTAAATATTTCTGCTGCTGTAGAGAAATGTATTCATTGTTTATTAACTAGAAGAATTACAAGTTTATGATCAAAGTGGAGTGTTAAAGCTCTCTGAATTTTAAAATTTACTGGTTCTAGTGATGGCTTTATAGTATAATCCATAGAGCAATATTGCTAACTAATACCACTACTTCCTACTTAGAGCTAGCTTAGTGAAGTCATAGCTTAGGTACATGTCAGTTTCTCAAATGGCATTTCTAAATGAAAAAACAATTATAAAATTTGCATATTGTGAAATTACCCTTGAAAAAATAGCCACAAACTAACCATAAATTACAGTATAGTTATTGGCGTAACAACTTGATATGTTAATTTTCACATGCACTGTAGTTTGTGAACCACAGAATTTAAATAAATCAGAAGTCTACATGTATATGCTCGGATATTGAAGACATTTTGGCTCCTGGTAACTGTGGTACTCTAAGGATTAAAAGATACAGAGAGGAGGTCTAAAATTTTCTTTCAAGTGCATTAAATTTACTTCATTTTGCTAGCATTAAGTTTTTATAACATTAAAACATATATTCATATATATTTCTTTTTGGAGATGGGGTCTCACTCTGTTGGCCAAGGCTGGAGTATAGTGGTGCAATCATAGCTCACCGAAGCCTGGAACCCCTGGACTAACGTGATCCTCCTGCCTCGGCCTCATCTAGGGCTACAGGCACATACCACCATTTGGCTATAACATTAAAACATATTAATAGACCTGTTATTCTTCTCTTTCCTTCTTTGTTTCTTTTTTTCTTTTTTTTAGAACTGAATAAAAAAATGCAGAGCTTCCCAACCAGTGTGCCATGGTATTCCACAGTGCATTACAAATTTGTTGGGAGATTTAGATAGTTTTTTACATCCATTGAAAAATTTACATTTAGAATTATATTTGAATACTGTAAGTATCGCATTCTCTGCAAACTCCTGTATTTAAAAATTATTATCTTGCTCTTTAAGACTTTATTTTTAGCATCCACCAACAAAGAAATCTCTACAGCATTTAAAACGAACATCTCCCCTGAGTAACACATTTAATATCCCAGGTAGTCTTATTACTTCAATTTGCATCTGTAATCATCAGTGAAGTTCTTTCTATGTGAACATTTAAAATATTTAGCTTTGCTTTTGATTTCATGTACTCTTATTTTTTACATTTTTATTATGCTTGTAAGACTTTTTAGATAACACCCACCAACATAAACAGCTCTGTGGCCGCTATGCCATGTTGCACATTTCTCTGACCTTACCATTGGTTCATTTCAGTTAGTGAGATTAATACTTAAGTAATAAGGTATTTATCATGAGTAAAATTCTGTATTTGCTATGGACATTTTTATTGTACTATATTAATCTACTGAGGTTAGTACATAGCTGATAGCACTAGTTAAAATCCTTGAAGAAAAATGATAGAAAAAGATTATTTCTTGCACAAAGATATATAAAAATAAAGCAATTGAAAATAAAATCCTAAAATATTCAGCATGATAAATGGATATTATGAAGCACATAAGATATTACAGACACTAACACTACCTTAGAGTAGTCCAAGAACAACAATTTGATATTCAATTAATAACTTGTTTTGTTCACTGAAATGCTATCTATGTGTAAAATTTGACCACAACTTTAATTTTATTAAGCAATATGAAAATAACACTATGCATACACTGCAGTGCAGTCTGCTTAAATTCTGACAATACCAGTGCCAGCAAAGATGTAGAGCAACAGGAATTCAAAAACGGGGCTAGAAGGAGTGAAAATTTGTATAACCTTTGGAAAACTGTCAGTATTTTCTAATGCTAAAAATATACATACCCTAAGACCAAGAATTTCACATAGGAATGCAGAAATTCATATGTATGTGAATCAAAAGACAGGTACCAACATGTTTATAAAAGCATTATTAATAAGTGGCAAAAATAGAAATACCCCAAATATGTGCTAACAACAAAATGGATAAATCAATATATTCATATAATGGAATACTCGGTAATAAAAATGATAAAAGTACTGACACATAAAACAACATAGGTGCATTTTCCAAATGTCTTATTGGGTGAAAGAAATGTTAAAAACTCACACAAACAATAGATACACATTGAGATTGTTACCATTATTTTAATACCTTCTAATTTTATTACACAAATGTCTTATTGAACGCTCTTAGTAGAAATTCACTGATCATGTGAATTAAGCTTGAATCCAATTCTATTTTGCATGCCAAATTATTTTAAGTGATGATAACGATTTCTCTCAAATATACACAGATGTTGCTCAATTATTCACTAGCATATGAATCAGAAAATTGTCTAAATTTTATTAATGAATGAGTACTTAATAAACTTTCTAGCAAAGTAAAATGGCATTTATTGAAAAACATCTTCTCATAAACAAATTAAGAGTCTACAACTTGAAGAATTATCACAAACTAAACCCATCTAAGAAATTGTCACCTACCACAAACAAGGTAAAGCACTCCAGACATTCCCTTTATGCTCTGCTCAATCACTACCCAACTCTTCAATACAAAGGGAACAATCACCCTGACTTTTAACATTAAGTTTCATGTTGGCTCTTCTGATTTGCAGCCAATCCTGCTGCTAGTTAAATGAAGGCACTTTCTTCTTCCTAAGTACATCTAGGAGGGCATTAACAGGTTTCCATGAACCTCTTTTGTATTTTATTCCCTTGCTTTCTCTCTTATGCTTTAGACATTGACATTATTATTTTGTACTTGATTCCTTTTAAGTGGTTTTTAACACTTCCTTTCATAGGCACTTTCGGGTCGAGAGTTACTTGAATCCTCTAGACTAAAGCATTTGTGTGAGGGTTCAAAATTGTTACACATCCTTACCTTTACAGATATGAAGCAAAGAAAATGCCTGAATGCAACACAGTACTCTAAACAGAATGAAAGCAGATTCTTTGCTTTTCTTTCTCTAGTTGTTTCAGCAGACAAAATATCTGATAGCACCAAGATTTATATACCCTTTTCTGGAAGCTGACAGAATTAGTCATTGCTTTTCAGAAGTAATTATCAAGGACAGTTAAAATCCAGTCTCTGGAAGCATCTTCGATCATGCCCAAAGCCTAAATCTCATGAAAGCTCTTTAAGTTAGAATGGGAAGCTTATGAGAATTTTCCCAATCAAAAGAAAAAAAATGTCTTAGCCTGGGGATGATAAACAAAATGATTTTTTGCAGACAGTCTGAAAAATATGCTTTATGCAATTATGATATGTAAAGATATAACAAAAAATCAATTTACAGACTTCTAACTTAACTTTAATAAGTTCTCGTAATTCATTATCAATTTAAACTAAATTAATTTAAACTACCAGCCTTAGAAAGAATTATTTTCTTGTCCTTTACACACATCCAGCCCATTCTGCCCTCAATGACCTCAGACCAAAAGATACAGTCTCTTTCTATTGAATGAAATTTAATAAAAAGGAGCCATTTTATAACAATGAATAATGGCAAACTTCATCCTGTCATTTTCACTATTGAAAGTTATGGCTACAGAAGACTGCTCAGGGATATCCTGTTTTTAGAAAGTTTAATCAAAGTTGGCAGCCTATGCGGGGGTAGACATCATAGAATAGTGTAAAGAATTTTCTTCCTGATGGGTGGTTGCACATGAAAGATCTTTGGGAAAGTAAGTTTTGTTTTCTTCCTAAGTGAGAATAGCACATGAGAATGTCTCTGAGTTTCTTAGAAGAAACCATGAATTTTGTACAAAAGTGGAACAGATATGGGTTATTCTTTTAGGTCACAAATGCTTTTACCATCTGTAATCTATTTATAAGTAAAAAAAAAAAAATTCACCTTTGTAAAAGAATGAATTTTTTAAAAAGTCAATTGGTAGAAGAATATTGACTATTTTTGGAAAAACCAGAAACTCACCGGTATAAGTATATAATATTGATTCTCAAAGGGTTGTTAATATACTTAATTACCGTAAAACATATTAAATAACATTGTCTTTTAGTTTTTATGTTTGTTTTCGTCTCTTCATAGCTCTGTTAATGTTCTAAATTTTAAATGATGTACTTAGGATCATACTACACCAAATAGAATCATAGCATAATTCCAGGTCGTTTTACTGTCAATTTTCTTCTATAAAAATATGATTTTTACATTAGAGGAGGGGTTTTGATAATGATATTTCACACAAAATCCACGTTTTTATAATGAGATTTTATGTGTGAAGATGGATAATATAACCTGTTTTTCATTCATTACTCAGGCGATGCATAAAGAATCACAGAAAAGTAAGAATCCATTCTTGTTAAAAGGACCTTGGAAAGAGACTCACCGTAACTTTCTCACTGTCAAAAAAGACTTTACTACTTGCTGATTCAAATTTGTCATGCTTAATATTAAGCCTAGTTTCCTATGTCCTGTCTTTAATATAAGAAAGTTATTTATTACTATAGTTGTGCAAAGCCCTTCACATATGTGAGGATTTATTAAATCTTCGAATTCTGTCTTCAATAGTTAGATTCCTAGTTCTTTATTTTTCTAATTTTATTCAACTCATCCCTTTCCTTTAAATGCTTTCCTACTTTACATTTCTTACTTTGGAATATCACTCTTAACTGATAAAAATTCAAAGCACTATGACAACGAGAAGATTTTTGGTTTAGCTAATATTAACTATTCTAGTAATTAGCAAAGACTGTATAAAATATATTTGATTTTATTTTAATTAAGAAGATAACACCTCCTTAAGCCCCCCTTTTTTTTTTGGCAGCTGTTTCTTTTTCTACCTTGCCATATTTTCTAATTACAATTTAAATTCACAACTGTTATAGTATACTCCTCCTTAAAAGTGGGTAACCTTACACATACTAAACAGCAATGAAGTACTGTTTTTTGTTGTTGTTGTTGTTGTTGTTGTTGTTGTTTTGAGATGGAGATTTGCTCTTGTTGCCCAGGCTGGAGTGCAATGTCGCAATCTTGGTTCACTACAATCTCTGCCTCTCGGGTTCACGCGAGTCTCCTGCCTCAGCCTTCAGAGTAGCTGGGATTACAGGAACCCACCACCACGCCCAGCTAATGTTTTGTATTTTTAGTCGAAATGGGGTTTCACCATGTTGGCCAGTCTGGTCTTGAACTCCTGACCTCAGGTGATCCACCCACCTCGGCCTCCCAAAATGCTGGGATTAAAGGTATGAGCCACTGCACCTGGCCTGAAGTATTGTTAAATAAATGAATATATGTTATCAAAACTATTTTTGATTCTTTTTTCTGTCTTTTCTTTAGTAATACCTTTTTGTTTTCTGATTTTATCTATGTCACATTTATATTTTATCATCAAGTAATTTTTAAACACAGATGCTTAGCTCCTTAGCTCACCATAGCCAGAATCATTCTTAATACTTAATTATTTTCAGCATTTTGTACATTCAATTTAAAAACTTATCACACATGTGGCCATTGTCATTCTTTTTTGGATAAGTCTTCTGCAATTAGAATTGCCTATATGGTGGGGCTTAAAAAGAAAAACTTTCTCCCTAAATATAAAGGTTTCAAATATTTGTATTTAAATAAATGAAATAGAATATCATAGTTTCCACTATTTCTCATCAGTGTCATAAAATTATAATGAATATAACATTTAAGTTATTCAATTATCATGTAATTTGAAGCAATATCTTAAATCAATTCAGATATTTATCTAATTGTTTGCTAAAACTAGAAAACATTATGTAAACATAACAAATATACATTATAAATATATATAAAATAGTATATTAGATGAACATATTTCAGAGAATGTTGGTTCCCTGTTTTCAATGTCCCTTTCTTCTTCAGTAACAAAATCCAATGTTATTTTAATGTTGCGACATATTCAACTTAAAGATGACATTTTTGGTCTTCCTTGATGCTGGATGAGCTATGTGGTTATGTAAAGAGCCAGCTGGAAGATACCATTTGGCCCTTTCTTTCTGCTTCCTGGAATGGAATGAAATGAAGTTTCAACATTTGTCTTAGGCATGAAGTAACCTGGAACTCAGAAACCGGTGCTAGGGAAGAAATAGCTGGAAGACAGAAGGTCCCTGTGTTCCTGATTACTGTAGAGTCACTATATCGTATCCAGGACCTATTAATACTCTCTTTGTTTATGTGAAAAAAAATAAAATCATTGTATGCAGAAGCCATTTGTTAAGAGCCAAGAGATGCAATCAAAGATGGAGGAACGAAAATGGAATTTTATTCCTTAGTTAAAATGATAGAGTCATGTGTAGTGGACACTGTGGGCCACTGCTCTGCTTCTGCCTCAGCACTGAAGAATGTAAACCTTTCACTGCTGGGACTGTAAGCAGCTGGTAGCCTTTGGCTCCTGCCAACTCCAACAGTTGCCCTTGACTGAAAGAATCACTCTATGCAAAATTGCACTCCTTTTCTGGGAGCAACCACCATCCAATGATTTGTTCATGTGAGCGTATAAATCCCAGGCCCTGATACACCATTTAGGGACAACTCTGAAAGGCCATTCCAGCTTCAGAAGTCTACATGGAGCCTGTGGAGGTGTTAGTCAAGTTTTCATGGCACCCTAACTTTGCCTCTGCTTTTTCCTTCTTCTTTCCCTTTGATTGTCAGAGCACTTCCTAATAAACTTCCCACACACTAATCTCCATCTCAGAGGCTGCTTCTGGGAAAACCAATCTGCAATGGTATTCATAGAAGGATTAAACATTAACATTTAATTTAAAGAACTTGCTTGGGATGGTGAGATCAGCCTTAGTGTTAAATAAATAAATTCCTCATCTCATATATGTGCATGTTATTTTAAGTTTGGTAAAGTTTGGACCACAAAAATCAAAAGACTTAAAAGCTTTTTGGGATGAAAAAAGTAATGTTTCACTTCCCATGTATTACCTTAGAACTTCTTGGAATATCTTTCATTATGTGCATATAAAATTTTTATTTAAAAATTAACAGAAGTCAATTAAATTCAATGTATTTTTGATCATTTGTTAAAATTAATGCATATTGCCATATACTGAGGAAAGAAAATTATGTTTAAGAAAGTCTTGGCCAGGCGTGGGGTGGCTCACACCTGTAATAGCAGCACTTTGGGAGGCTGAGGCCACCAGATCACCTGAAGTCAGGAGTTCAAGACCTGCCTGGCCGACATGGTGAAACCCTGTCTCTACTAAAAATACAAAAATTATCTGGGAGTGGTGGTGCAGGCCTGTAATCCCAGCTACTCAGGAGGCTAAGGCAGGAGAATCACTTGAACCTGGGAGGCGGAGGTTGCAGTGAGCCATGATCGTGCCACTGCACTCCAGCCCGGGTGATAGAGTGAGACTCCATCTCAAAAAATAAAAGTAAAAATAAAATAAAAAAGTTTTAACCCTGGAGAAACTCATAATTGCAAAAGAGAAACTGGGAAGCAAATAATATTTAAAATAACTATTTTAAGATCTCCATCACCAATGAAGCATCAAACTAGCCCTGAACTCACTGCAGTTTTTAATGAGTGAACTGAGTTCAAACAGACACAAAAGAAAAGGAACACAACACATTCTTAAGTATAAAGTATTTTCTTCACAAGCACATAAAAATTGTCTCAAATATGAGAAAGTACATTTAATTCTTTTTTTTAACTTAGTTAAAAAAAGGCCCATTTCACTTTATTTCAGAGTTATACTTAATGTAACATCCATATATCTAGTCACATTATAGGATCTGTCTATACTGAACAAGGTACCACAAAATTATACAGTTTGCTACTCTAGTCAACTAGAATAGTAACACTCCCATACTTGCCTCAAACTACCTCTTCTTCAGTAACATTCTGAACACAAATATTACAATAAGTGCAATTTGCCACAGGACACCCTACAACAGTACTCACTAAAGAAAATTTATTGTCAAAGAACATAACAATTAGAAGATATATGTTGCATTCATTTGAATGATGCCAATGAATTAAGGCAAATATACATAAATGAATAAAAATCAAAAGCTTTACTTTTGAAAATCGTCCATATATTCATTAATTTACTCAACAGATAGGTCTTCAGTGTGTATGATGTGAAAGGCACTCATTTGGGTAGCCTATGTTTCATTAAACTGCTCAACTTCTTGACCGTAAATACAGTGTTGAGATAACTAAAAACGGGGGAGAGTGGATTTGACAAGGGGTGTTCACACTTCTTAAGGACACAAATAGTATTTTTTCCCTCAAAAGGAAAAGTGTTTGCAAATAAAAACAGGTTTTCTGACTGTGATTAGAAAATGATTTTTACTCACGCAGACAATCGCAATTCAAGAATTGACAGAGTTTAATGTTGTGGTCCTTGTGGTGCATTTCCACGCAAATACAAGTGCAAATTGCACTGCAATATTAAAGGACTTGTCTGTCTTGGATGTCAAAGGACATTTCTCTGGTTGGCACCGTAGTTATGATTTGATATACATCTATGTCTGGTGCCACTTAATCAAGTAAAGTTTTCCCTTGCAATAAAAGGCTTTGTGAATTTTACAGAAAAGCCACAATCATGTGTTTTTTAATGCAAAATGACATTTCCATTCTTCTTGAGCAGGTAGTGACATTTCCCCTTGAGCTCTCCTAAAGCTCTTTTCCCCGTAAATATCCTACCCTTCCTTAAATGGAGTTAGAAGTCATTTATTTTTTATTAAAAAATCACTGCCATGAAGTCAAGGTTTTTCTATCTGAGGATGAAAATTATGCTAACCAAAATGTGTACATTTCATTTTAAAAAAGTGTTTTCAGACAAGAGGCCTGAGGTATTATCTAATTTTTCAGTATCCTTTCACAATGTTAATATCTACTCTGAGAAAGCCCTGTGCTGTTGGAATAACTAACTCCCATGTTTTCAGTTATAGTTTTTTAATCACACTAGAAATTAGACAAAGTTGAAATGTCATATCATCCAGTCATCTTATAATCACCTAAAGTGTAAGTCAATCCTATTTACATGACACGATTCTTAGAAGTGAAATATTCTGTTGTCAATAATTGTTACACTAAATTAAATTTGCCTTATTCAAACTATTTTGTTTGTGTTCATGGAGCACTTTTCAATTCATTGAAATTTTAGACAAAAATAAAAGCCAAACTCAAATACAGAACATAATCTTTTTAAAGAAAGCATATCATACAAAACAAACACATGCACGAGAGAGAGAGAGGGAGAGAGAATGAGAGAGAGTCTTATTTTAAGGAATTAGCTCAAATGGTTGTGGAGGCCGTCAAATTCAACATCTGCAGGGTAGGCTGTCAGGCTGGAGGCCCAAAAAGAATTGATGTTGTAGCTTGAGTCTGATGACAGTTTTGAAAAGCTATTTCTTTTCCCTGACACCTCTGTTTATTTTATCTCAAAGTCTTCGACTGACTAGATGAGACCCACCTGCATTATGGAGGGTGATTTTCTTTATTCAAAGTCTACTGATTTGATTGTTAATCTTATCTTAAAAATACTTCACAGCAACATCCAGAGTGTTTTTTGACCAAATCCTGAGACATTTTGTCCTAGTCAAACTGACACATAAAATTAACCATCACAGACATTAAATAGATCCAGTTGCTGGTACAAGATTATTGATATGTTTTGGATGTTTTGTCCCCTTCAAATCTCATGTTGAAAGTGACCTCCAATGTTGGAGGTGGGCCTAGTGGGAGATGTTTGGACCATGGGGAAGAATTCCTCATGAATGGCTTAGTGCTGTCCTCACAGTAATGAGTGAGTTCTCACTCTGAATTCATGCAAGATCTGGTGTTAAAAAGAGACTCACATGTCTTCCCTCTCTCTTGCTCCCTGTCTTGCTATATGACACATTGGCTCCCCTTCATCTTCCGCCATGATTGTAAGCTTTCTAAGGCCTGATGTGAAGCAGATGCTGGCACCATGTTGCTTGTATAGCCAGCAGAACTGTGAGCCAAATAAACCTATTTTCTTTATAAATTTTACAATTTCATGTATTTCTTTATAGCAATGCAAATGGATTAATACAATCATTATCCAATTCATTTTGTGTGTATATGTAGAAATGTACACGCTGTTAATCTCTTCCCATTGCTATAATGAATAGAATACACAGATCTTAAAACAATACGGGAAATTTGGTTATATTGATAAAAGAATTGGTTGGATCATTCTGGAATTCGAATGATTTAGCAATCTTTTCCCACAGCACTAAGGACCATGAGTATTGAGAGCAGTAGCTTTTCCAGCTCAGCACCTTCAAATTGATGGGCTATAAGCATAGAATTAAAAACAAAATCATTTGTTAATTTAACACCTCGCAGTTTTGTATAATAACTATTGTACTTGAATGTCAAAGATCATGGCAAATTCAAAAAAACATATATTTTTATTTTGTATTTAGTTGTAATGTTTTAATAATCAAACATACTCCTGAGACAGTAGTTATGTTTCAAAGAAAAATTGGAATAAATAGAAAAGAAATTGCTCTGACAAGAAATCTGAAAACAAATATAAGACGTATTCAGTTTTACTAACCATCTTTAATACAGGCATCAAGTACAGACATAAAGGTCTTTTTTCTCAACACACATATGCATAGCTCCTCTTCTTTCATATGCCTTTAATGACACTATGTGTTTGTTATTTTACTGTATGTTTAATCACCATACTTTACTAAATTTTATTTTGGAGTAAGCAATGCATTTATACGGTTCAAAAATCAGTAAAATTATCCACTTAAATTCCTCCGCATACTTGTCTCTCATTTCCCTAGTTTTCCCCTCATCTATTCATCCCCCCAGTGTTATTACTTTCCTATACATCCCTCCATGTGCATGTTTAATGCATTGTGATGGAGATAATGAGTGTGCCCTCAGTAGCTACTCTGTATTTCTTTCTCAGTAAAATATGTTTTAGTTAGACCTAGAACTACCATGCTAAAATCTAAAAGCTACATTCACAGCTGCATTATGTCTAAGTTAAAGTAACTGATGTGAATGGAAGAGATATGAACAATTAAAAAGGAGAGTGTTCTCTTGCTTACACACCTTTACCTAATCCCACTGCCCTGCATTCAGATACACTGTTGGAAGAGAATCAGTTATCCTTGATCATGAAAATACCACGTCAAAGACTTTATAAGAACAAAATAGGAGTCTGAAACTTCAACCACATGGAGTACTTTCTTTAGAAAACTTCCAAAAGGCCTTAAAATTATCTTCAAATGATTCTTTTTTTATCATTTTAATTTTATTTGGGGGACTCCGTATATTGGCCATCTCTTATCAACTTCTATGTCTAGCTTTAGCTCTGTCTCTAAAGAGAGATAGTTTGTCTTTATTCTTTCAATTGTGTCTTTTATGTTAGTGGATCTCCTTATTTCCACTTTTCATTACCTTACTATCTTTTCCATGTGTATACATTCCTTCTTATGCTTTTATTTTTGGTGGGATAGGGCAGATTTTATTTTACTTTCTTCCTTAGTTGCCCTAGCTTACATTTCATCTCTTGCTTTTGTTTCATGATCTCCTACCTATTACTGAAATTTTCTTTCAAAGATCTTTTTCAAAGATATAATTTCTCTTCCTATTCCTCCTCCTTCTCTCTCTTACTATTATTTACAGAAGAACATTTGTCCCCAATTTTCATTTTTTATAAAATATTTTTCTGGTCAGTATAAATTGATTTTCATAAATGTTGTGAAATGTCTTCTACATTTTCCCTTATGGTACCAGTTCTTTATTTTTTCCTATTTTAAAACATGAATTAGTAAATGAGTTGGATTATCTTAGACCATATATTTGCAGAAAGTTTCTGTGGAAATGAAATAGTGAAATGATGCATAACCAAAGCTTTCCTCCTTCTCTGCTAATTCAGAGACAGGCAGCATCTTTCCAGTATGGCTCATTTGTGTGAATCACTGTAAAATCTGTTCTTTACTGCTTTTCACACCACCTTATTTTCTTCATTTCCTACAACCTTTGTTAAAAATTAAGCACATGGATTTGACATTTTAAAGTGGATCGCTCACCTAAGAATTTGTCATATCTGCCATCACTTTCTCACTCTCACATTCTTGGATTCTCTTTACCTTTATTGATCAAAGTTCACATTCTCATGAAATAAATAGTAATGGGATATGGAAAAATGGATGATCTATTTAGACAAACTTCTTGAAAGGACAGGGCAAGGATTTGTGACTAATTATTCAAGGTAGAGATGTTGGAGTACTCAAGGGAGTAGTCTGGATTTATCAATAAGACATCATACTGAGATAGTAAGTTCAATATTTAAGGGGGTATGGTACAATTATTAACATTTTCTACTGACTAGGTCATAGTCAATGTAAATAACTGAGGTGTTCATGCATTCAAATAGCCTTATCGCTCCTACCCAGAGGTCATAGCTGCAGAATTGAAAGCTCCAGTAATAGTGGACAAGTATATTTTGCTTAATAATTTGATTGAACTGTCTTGGGCTGCTGTCACCATTTGGAGAGCTTGGGAGCTTCTTGTTCTCCCTAGCCCTGGTTAAAATCAAGTCAACAAACATTGCTCAAAATTCTTTTTCAAACATATTTGAAAAAGTGTTGAGTATATTTCTTCCTTTGAACCATGAGAATAAATATGCAGTGATGACCAGAAAATATGTGAAGAGATGCAGGTAAAATAAAATGTCTTCCAAATGTTTAAATGAATTTGGGAAATACCTCTTTTACTTACATATTTCAAAAATAATCAGATAACTTTATTTGGAAGCATTCTTCATTTTCAGATTCCTACAGGTTTGCTAACTGCATCAAAACTTAGAGGAATATGGTATTTTCAATCCTTTATTAAAATCTAATCTTGAGACAGTCTTGGCCTACTTTTAAAATTAAAAGTTTTCATAGTTTAGTGAAATTCAGCTAAATTTTCAAAGATTGCTGTCTTTACAGGAATCTTCCCTTATTTACTATTGAGCCATTATATCCAGTTCATGTATGTTAAAGAATTTTAATAATACAACTATTAAATCCTGCTGCTTTTATTTCAAGAAAATGAAAGTGGACTAGAGCAGCATAGATAATATAAAGTAACTTACAGATACACTAACAAAAGAATCCATTCTCATCAAAATACACTCAGCATTAATGAACCTATTCCTATCTTAGAAAACAGTATTCTTTTCCCTCCCTTATGTTCCTCCCCACCACCACTACCACGCAAAAGCATTCAATGGCTGGATTTCAGTTGGTGATGATTTGAACAATACATATTTGGAATTAGGAACGATCACAGCACAGAGCTGTAGAAAGAATTGTTAAATGAATTTATATAAGCCTGTCACTAACTAGTTGGTCCTGATACTAGCTAGTTGATTGACTTTAGAAACAGAATTTTATAAAATCCTTAAGACCTCTCCATTTCATTTTATTCATAATAAAATTGATTTTCTTAAAATGGAAACATCAGGGTAGTCTAGGTACATTATTATATAGTAAAGCCTGTTTAACAATGTTAAAATATTACCATTAAATTATCGGTTGCTTGCATCTATTATAATGATATAATTAAGCATTCTAAATCTCTTCGGAACCAGTATTCTCCACACATTTGATGAGAGAGATAAAAATACTAATAAAATAGACTTAAATATTTGCATTTCAAACTATCCATAAATAGCAAACTCTATGATATCTAACATTAGGTGTGGATGTAGAGGCAATTCCTGTCATTTGCAACAATATGGATGAAACTGGAAGACATATGGTAAGTGAAATACACCAGACACAGAAATACAAAAAGCATGCTCTCACTCATATATGGAAACCAAAAGAGTTGACATCATAGAAGTAGTGGATAGAACTGTGGTCATCAGAGAATGAGGGGGTGGAAGGAGTGGGGAAAGATTGGTCAACGGGTACAAAGTTACAATGAGTAAGGAAGAAAAAGTTCTAGTATCCTTTTTCATAATAGAGTGACTGCAGTCAACAAAAAGATATTGTATACCCCAAAATAGCAAGAGAGGATTCTGAATATTCCTACCACAAATAAACGATAAATTTTTGTTATAGTTACATTAATTATCCTGATTTGATTATTACAGGGTGTATATATGAAGTGAAATATTACATTATACAGCATAAATATGTACAATTGTTATTGGCCAATAAAAAAATAATAATTTTAAAAGATTAATATAGCAGAAACTATCAGTTCCAGGTGTGGGTCCCCTCATATCCCTGAGACTTTTTCTGTGATGTCTAGCTTTATCATGTGTCTGATTGCATAAGCAAGCCCTCATCTCAGACTGTCTTTGCGATATTGCACTCCAGGTACTAGAGCAGATTTGCTTAAGTAAGCAGCGAAAGCAGAAGAAATCTTTACTCAATAAATGATGAATGCAGGTGTAAGCTCAGCCGCCATAGCCAGAGCAAAAAAAAAAAAAAAAAAAAATTCTGTTGTAATTTATGGCTGAGTCTGGGACATCTTTGGCTTATTCGCCTTCTATCTTCTCCTTCCTCTATTTATTCACTGATTTTGTCTGAAAATGGTCCCTAAATTAATTACTGACAAGTGAATTCTCACCTAAAACTGTGCTGTCAGAAAACCAAATCTAAGATAGATACCTTTTGAAAGTAGAGAAATGAGACATAGAAAATTTTGAGTGAAAACAGCCACTTAAGTACTATCTAATTATTTTTTTTAGAAAACCATCTGGATTTTTCAGTTTTATCTTTATTAAAGCTACCCAAGATCTAAAAACAGGTTAATATTCTAGAAACATGGAACTCGAAGCCCTTCAGAGTATGGTCTTAAACTGCCTTTCATTTCTTATCCATTGCAAAAATTCTGAGCATAATTTATATTTAAACCATTGTAAGCATCATTCTTCCAATACCCCAAATTATACTATAATAGTATGCCTCAGTTCTTTTTTTTTTTATTTTTCCTTCACCAGTTGAAATATGACAGATATTTTTGAGCCTCAAACGAAAGTGATATTGATATATAATTGTTCACTTCTAATAGAGGTTACTTGGAAGGAAAATAACACTTCAAATTAAATTGTGGAGAAAATGAAAGATTTGTTGAAGGAAAGAAAGATTACTAGATAATTTCAACATTAATGAGAGTGAGGAAATAGCAAATAATAAGAATAAGATAAGACAAAGAGCATTTTATAAAGTTTTGTATTTAAATTTAGTCATTAGAAAAAAGACAACCTTATAAAAAATGAATAATACATTTAAAATTATAAATTAAAAAAACAAAAAATACAGTCATATAGATGTCAGGTCATAAAAAGGAGAGAAATAATAGTTTAGAAATATCAGAAATTAAAAGAAAACTGCACTACAGATCTTTTAGTCATTAAAAAGATAAATTCTTTTATGAGAGTGATGGACTGTCTTTTGGATAGCTCACCAGAATAAAACATCTATCACACATGGCTAAAATGAAAAAGCAACTACCTAAAAGTGCTGGGTAGTGGACAGAAGCAGACAAACTCTTGTAAAATGTATATTCTTGAAGGGCAGTTAGAAGGACCTGCATTAAAGAAGTTTCCTTTTTTAGGACATGCAGTCCCAATGTGGCATACACAGTTAGCAGGGGTGTGAGGGGAAAAAATATATTTTTCTTAATGAGATTGTTAGTATAACAAAGCCGGAGAAATCATGGCTACCATAAATGACTAAAGAATGCTATAAGAAAAGAGTCAAAAAAGGGGTATCTAAATCCTGTCTACCTATAAGTCTGACTGACCCCCAAATCATTCATGCAATATGCCCACTAAAAAAAAGAAAAATGTTAAGAAGATCTCAACAGAAGCCAGAAATGCCACCCAAGATCCAGAGTTTGGAAGTCAAGAGAAGAAAAATAATAATTAAAAAAACACCAGAATCCACAATCTCACATATTAACGTGAATAATGAGCAGTATATAATTCACAAAGCCCCAAAAGAACAAGAGCAACAATTGAATGCATACTCTAGAGAAAAATAAATCCACCAAATCTGGCATTGAGATGGACCAGAAATATTCCTTTGTTTTGTTATGTTTCATGTAACGTCTACCCTAACTATTCTAAATTAAGTGAAGCAAATTAGTCTGACAATGAATAAAATGATAGAGAAAAGTAGGAGACAATTCAAGCAGAAAAATTGAAATACACAAAAACCAAAGAAAAATTTCAAATAAAGACTACCTAAAATTAAAATAAACAAAAAGTTACTAGATGGAAGGAAGAGCAGAATGAAATGATAGAGGTCAGATCTGGTGAGCTTGAAACAGAAAATTTATCTCCAATGTGAGGAAGCAGAAAGAGAAAAAAAATGGCAACAAAATAAACAGAGCCTCAGAGTCTGTGAGATAGTATCAAACTATTTAATATGTGTGGCATTTGAGTCCAGGAGGAAGAGAACAACAGTGGACTTCTTTGAAGAGGTCACTTAATTGTTTTCTGGCTTGCATAGTTTTTGTTGAGAAGTCTGCATAATTCATATGTTTCTTCTTTTGTATGTAATGCATCTTTTTTTTTGTTTTACTTCTATCTTCAAGATTTTTTCCTTATCTTTAATCATCAGAAGTTTAAATCTTATGTGTTTAGGTGTGTTTTATTGCTGTTTTGTTTTTATTCTGATTGAGATTATCTGAAGTTTATCTATCTGTGCTTTTGTGGTGTTTATATTTGTAGGTAATTCTCAACCATTATATCTTCATATATTTATTCTTCCTGGTGCTTTCTCTGTATTCGTTTTGGGAATCCGGTCACACATAAATGGATGTTTTCTCGTTTTATTTTTATATTTTTATGTTTTTATTTTTTTGAGATGGAGTCTTGCTCTGTCACCCAGGCTGGAATGCAGTGGTGCAATCTCAGCTTAATGTAGCCTCTGCCTCCCGGGTTCCAGCGATTCTCCTGCCTCAACCTCCTGGGTAGCTGGGATTACAGGTGCATGCCACCATGCCCAGCTAATTTTTGTATTTTTAGTAGAGACAGGGTTTCACTATGTTAGCCAGGCTGGTCTCGAACACCTGACCTCAGGTGATCCGCCTGCCTCACCCCCCAAATTGCTGGGATTACAGGCTTGAGCCATGGTGCCCAGCAGTTTTATTTTTAAAACTTATTTTTTTTTCCTTTTTCAAGTTTTGCTTTGGGTAATGTCTAGTGATCTGTCTTTATGTTCGGTGAACCTTGCCTCCACGATGTTAAATCTATTAAGGAGCCCATCAAAGGAATTTTTCACCTCTGATGCATGTTTATTTGTTTGTTTTATTCTTAGCCATTCCAATTGACTCATTATTATATATTCCCTCTTTCTGTTAATAATTCTGTCTACTTAATGATGTTGTCCACCTATTTCACTATATTCTTTAACCTATGATTTATATTATTTTAAATTCCCTCTTCACACCCACAGCAGGCACTATATTGATGGAAGTCTTCTCTCATTATTCCTATCCCACATTCAGATTTCAGCTATCCCTGCTTACCTGTACCACACATGGAGACTACCTCTGGATTATTTTCTCTCTGCTAGTGCTAGGCTTCTGTTTCTTGTTACATAATGCCTGCCAGGTTTGTGGTGAGAAGTGCCTTGTCCCTTATATTCTTTGTCCAACCTCAGTCTCAGGAAGAACCTGCGAACTTGAGTGTCAGAAATAGTACCTTCACAGCATTCCTCTTCCTCCTGCTTGTGGCATCCAAACTTGTATCTATGTCAGGTCTTGTGTGGTAGAGTTTCCTTTACCAGAAAAAGGAGACTTTTACTGGCAGTGGCATAAGGTAATAGGCCTAAGACAACTTTTGTCCTCTCCTACAGAATTATAAGCATATTTTCTTCCAGCAGTAATTGGGCAGAGTTTGTGTCCTATGTTTGGGTGGAATTACGACGACTATCCCAGTGGCTTAAGGTTTCTGCCTCAAATGAGAGAAGTTTCCAGAAAAAGATGCATAGTTTCATGGCTCTCAGGCAGCACTTCCACACCCATCCCCCTAAAGGCAGCTTTCTCTGGTCTCCACTTCTCTCTCAATCTTTTTTGTGAATATCTGGTGGAGGTTTCTGGAAAAAAGACTGAGCGAGTGCAAACTGCTTTTGTGTTTAAAGCTACCAGGGGTTATATAAGTTAAGCTAAACTGTAAGCAATTTGTTACAATTGTATCTAACTTGTTTTTCCCCACATGTGTGGTAATCACTGACTCTTCCTCCTGAGTGCTGTAGCAAGTAAGCCAATCCTCATTGTCTCTCACTGGAGTGTCCCTATGCCGGGTTCAAGCTGTCTATCAACTCCCCTTAGCTATCTGTTGGGCTCAAAAAATTGGTATTTGGTAGTTCATTCATATTCGTCTTATTGTTAAGACAGTCACAATGTAATAGGCAAAAATTGAATTAATCTAACAGTATAAGAAGGACACAACAAAATGGCTACTAAATCACATTAATAAATCACAGCTTATCACATTAACAGATTATAAGGAGAAAAAACATACAACCATCTCAATAGATGCAGTAAAAACACGTGTTTAAATTCAAGACCCATTCATAATCACACATAACGAAAAAGTAACGGAAGGCAACTTTCCTAATCTGCTTAAGAGTGTGTACAAATAAGCAAGTGTACAGCAGCATTACATTTAATTGTGAATGATTGAAGTCTTCTATTCTGAGATTGGGAAATACACAAGGATACCTACTGTCACTATTTCTATGCAGCATTGTACCTAAGGTCTCAATCAAAGCAATAATGATAAAGAAAGAGGACTAAAATATTAACTCATTGGGAAAAAATAAAACTGTTCTTATACTGAGATAAAATTATTGCATATGAGAAAAATTAAAAACTCTAAAGATAATTATTGGAAATAATACTTGATATTAGCAATGCTATTTAGACACAAAATCAATGTTTGAAAATAGGGTATATTTCATTTTAAAACATCACATTTGTAAAAGCAACAAAACTAACCAAATACATAGCAAATACATCTAATTCCTAATTTCTCAATGAAAAATTTGAAATATTATTAAGAGAATATTTTTAAAACTTAAAGGAATATAGTTTCCAGTATTTAAAGAATTAATAATTATACTATATAAATTCCCTTCAAACGTATGTATAGGTTAAATCTATTATCAAAGTATCACCAGTGCTCTTCTGAAATTGAAAAGTTGATTGCAATTCATACATAAATAAAAATATACATAAATTGCCAAGAGGATCTTTCTTAAAAAAGCTGGATAAGAAGGAGGGGAGCAAGATAGCTGAATAGAAGCCTCCAACAATCATCCCCACTGCAGGAACACCAAACTAAACAACTATTCAAACAAAATGGCACCTTCATAAGAATCAAAAATCAGTTGATCACAGTACCTAGTTTTAAAATCATATTAAGGAAAAAATACACTGAACGAGGTAGGAAAGACTGTTCTGAATCACCTACACCACCTTTTCCCCATCCCCCAGCAGCAGCTGTATGGCACAAAGATTCTCTGCACTTGGGAGAAGAGTACAGTGATTGCAGGACTTTGCACTGGAACTCAATACTGCCTGGCACATGGGGCAGAACTCAGCCAGCACTCATGGAGGGAGCATCTAGACCAGCTCCAGGAAGAGGCAAATTGTCCATCCCAACAGTAGAAACCTGGGCTCCAGCAAGCCCTGCCACCACAGGCTAAAGCTCTCTAGGGTTCTAAGTAAACTTGAAAGGCAGCCTAGGCCACAAGGACTGGAATTCCTGGGCAAGCCCTAGAGTTGTGCTGGGCCCAGAGCCAGAGGAATTGGGCTGCGCATGAACTACTGAGATACTGGCTGGGACAGCTGAGGGAGTGCTTGCATCACCCCACCACCCCTCCCCCAACCCAAGGCAGCCAGCTCGCAGCTCTGAGAGACACTCCTTCAATCTGCACGAGGAGAAGAGAGGGAAGAGTACAGAAGATTTTGCTTTGAAACTTGGATACCAGCTCAGCCACAGTAGAATAGGGCATCAGGCAGACTGCTAAGACCACCATTCGAGGCCCCAGCTCCCAGGTGACATTTCCAGATACACCCTGGAGCAGGAGAGAAGCCATTGCCCTGAAAAGAAGGACCCAGTCCTGGAAGAATTTATGATCTGTTGACTAGGGCCATGAATAAACAGCAATGGTAGCCAGGTAATACTCACCATGAGACTTAGGGGAGGTTCAGAATTGTGCTGACTTCAGGTGTGACCCAAAACATTCCCAGCCATGGTGGCTAGAGGGAAAAGTCTCCTCTGCTTGAGTAAAAGAAAGTAGTAAGGGGAACTTTGTCTTACACCTTGGTTACCAGCCAGGACACAGTGGGGTAGAGCACCAACAAGTTCCTGGCATTATGGATTTAAGGCTTTGCCTCTTGGACAGCATTTCTAGACCTGCCCTTGGCCAGAGGGCAGCTTTCTGCCCTGACAGAGAGATTCAGGACTGGCAGCATTCACCACAAGCTGACCAAAGAGCCCTTCAGCCTGGAGTAAACATTGGGGTAGCCAGGCATTACTTGCCATGGGCCTGGAGCACAGGTAGCCCCTTTCACTTGAGGAAAGGGGAGGAAAGAGTGGGAACAACTTTGTCTTGTGACATAAGTGCCAGCTCAGTTGCAGTAGAACAGAGCACCAGGTAGGTTCCTAGCATTCCTGACTCCAGGACCTGGATCTGAGATGGAGTTCCTGGACCTGCCTGGGGCCGGCCGGCAGGGTGGGGAGCTCACCATCCTAAAGGGAGGGACACAAGCCTGACTGGATTTGCCACCTGCTGACTGTAGAGCCCTTGGGCCTGAGTGAACGTAAGTAGTAGCCAGGGAATTGTCACGGAAGCCCATCTACAAAACCCAGTGCTATACTAGCTTCAAATCTGGCATAGCACAGTCCCATTGGTGGTGGCCACAGGGTGCCTGTGTCATCTTTCCCAGAGCTCCAGGCAGCTCAGCATCAAGAGAAAGAGATATCATTTGTTTGGAGAAAAGTAAGAGAAGACAATAGTCTCTGCCTTCTAATCCAGAAAATTCTTCTGAATCTTATCCAAGACCACCAAGGCAGTACTTCTACATGTCTGCAAGAGCCACAGCATTACTGCACTCGGGGTGCCCCCTGAAGCAGATACAGCTGCGGTGACCAAAGACATAGGTCACAACACGCAAGTCCCTTCAAATACCTGGAAGGCCTTCCCAACATGAATGGGTACAAACAAGCGCAGGCTGTGAAGACCACAATAAATACCTAATTCTTTAATGCCCAGAGCCCAGACACTGACAAACATTCACGAGCACCAAGACCATTCCGAAAAACGAACTCACCAAACAAACTAAATAAGTCACTGATCAACCCAAGAAAGACAGAAATAGAGTTATGTGACATTTCAGACAAAGAATTCAAAATAGTAATTTTGAGGAATCTTGATGAAATCTAACACAGAGAAGAAATTAGGAATTCTATCAGATACATTTAACAAAGTGATTGAAATAATTAAAAAGAACTATGTAGACATTCTGGAGTTCAAAAATGCAATTGACATACTGAAAAATGCATCAGAGTGTTTGAGTAGAAAGACAGAAACATGCACCCATAACAAATAAAACCTTCAACAAATTTTCAAGAAATAAAATACTTATTAACAGAAACTACAAAAGGTTAAAAAGTGGAGAATGAAGTTAAAGTGTAGAGTTTTTATTAGTTTTCTCTATGCTTGCTTGCTAGTTTATTTGTTTTGCAATCAGTGTTAAATTGTCATCAGTTTAAAATAATGATGTTATTTGCAAGCCTCATGGTAACTTCAAATAAAAAAGGGGTATAACAGATATACAAAAAATAAAAAGCAAGAAATTAAAACACACCACCAGAAAAAAATTACCTTAATTAAAAGGAAGACAGAAATAAAAGAAGGGAGGAAAAGAAGACCACAAAACAAAACAAAAAATCAAATAATAAAATAGCAGGAGTAGGTCCTAACTCATTAATAATAATAATGAATGTAATTGAACTAATCAAAGACATAGAGTGGCTGAATAAATTAAATACAAGACCGAACTATCAGTTGCCCATGAGAAACACACTTCACCTATAAAGACACAAATAGAGTGAAAATAAAGGGGTGGAAAAGGATATTTTATGCAATGGAAACCAAAAATAGCAGGAGTAGCTATACTTATATGAGACAAAATAGGTTTCAGGACAACCATAAAACACAGAAAAAAATGATTATTTTATAATGATAAAGGGGTCAATTCAGCAAGAGGATATAACAATTGTAAATATATATGCACACAACACTGAAAACCACAGATACATAAAGCAAATATTGTTAGAGCTAAAGAGAGAGAAAGAGCACAATACACTAATAGCAAGCGACTTCCACACCCCCACTTTTACCATTGGCTATATCTTTCACACAGAAAATCAAAAACAACAACAACAACCAAAAAAAAAAAAGGACATAATCTGTTCTATAGACTCAATAACCCTAACAAATATTTACAGAACATTTCATCCAACAGCTGAAGAACATACATTCTTCTCAGCACATAAATCATTCTCAAGGATAGACCATATGCTATGTCACAAAATAAACCATTGAAAAGTAAAAAAAAAAAAAATGAAATTGTATCAAGTTTCTTCTCTGACCACAATGGAATAAAACTAGAAATCAATAACAAGAGGAGCTTTGGAAACTACACAAATACATGGAAATTGAACAATATGCTCCTGAATTAGCAGCAAGTTAATGGAGAAATTAAGAAGGAAATTTTAAAATTTCTTGAAATAAATAAAAATGAAATGGAACATACCAAAACGTATGGGATACAGTGAAAGAAGCAACAAGAACAAAGTTTATAGCAATAAGCACCTACATCAAAAAAGGAGAAAAACTTCAAATAAACAACCTAATAATGATGCATCTTAAAGAACTAGAAAAGCAAGAGCCAACCAAACCCCAAGTTACTAAAAAAAAAGAAATTAAAAATATCAGAGCAGAAATGAATGAATTTGACAAGAAAACCATACAAAAACCAATGAAACAAAAAGTTATGAGTTATGTGTTTCTTTAAAGATAAACAAAATTGACAAATATTTAGCCAGACTAAACAAGAAAAAAAGACGGAAGTCCAAAATAAACAGAATCAGAGATGAAAAAGAAGACATTACAGCTGATAATGCAGAAAAGCAAATGATCAATAGAGGCTACTCTGACAAACTATATGCCAATAAATAGGAAAACCTAGAATAAATGGAGAAACCTAAACACATAAAACTTACTAATAAGTGGACCATGAAGAAGTGGACCATGGACCATGAAGAAGTCCAAAACCTCAGCCACCAAATAAGAAGTCTTTAGATCAAAGCCATAATAAAAAGCCTCCAAGCAAGGAAATGCCCAGGACCCAATGGTTTCACTGGTTAATTTTACCAAACATTTAAAGAACAAATAGTACCAATCCTACTCAAACTATTCCGGAAAATAGAGGGCAAAGGAATACTTCCAAACTCATTCTATGAGGCCAGAATTACCATGATACTGAAACCAGACAAAGACACACAAAAAAAGAAAACTACAGGCCAATATCCCTGATGAACATTGATGCAAAATTTTTGAACAAAATACTAGCAAACTGAATTCAACAACACATTAAGAAGTCCATTCATTACATCCAAATGTGATTTATCCCAACAATGCAAGGATGTTTCAACATAGGCAAATCATTCAATGTGATACATCATATCAACCAAATGAAGGACAAAAAACATATAATCATTACAATTTATGTTGAAACAGCATTTGCTATAATTCAATATTCCTTCATGATAAAAATATTTTAAAAACTGGGTACAGAAGGAACATACATCAACACATAAAAGCCACATACGGCAGACCCACAACTAGTATCATACTGAAGGGGGAAAAACTGAAAGCCTTTCATCTAAGAACTGAAAGAAAACAAGAATGCCTGCTTTCAGCACTGTTATTCAACGTAGTACTGGAAGTCCTAGCTACAGTCATAAGACAAGAGTAAGAAAGAAAGGGCATTCAAATTGGAAAGTAAAAAAAAAATCAAATTATCCTTGTTTGCAGATGACATAATCTTAAATTTGGAAAAACCTAAAGATTCCACCAAAAAAAAATAGAATTGATAAGTTACAGGAAACAAAATCAACATACAAACATAGGTAGCATTTTAATATGTCAACGGTGAATAATTTGAATCAAGAAAGTTATCCCATTTACAACAGCTATAAATTAAATAAAATAAAAGACTTAGGAATAAACTTAACCAAAGAAGTGAAAGAGCTCCACAGTGAAAACCATAAAACACTGATGCAAGAAATTGAAGAGGATACAAAAAATGAAAAGATATTCCATGTTTGTGTATTGGGAGTATCAATATTGTTTAAATGTCAATACTATTTAAAGCAGTCTACAGATTCAATGCAATCCCTATAAAAATACCAATGGTATTCATCCCAGAAATTTAAAAAAAATTCTAAAAATGTATATGAAACCACAAAATACCTGGAATAGCTAAAGCTAAGTAGAAAGAACAAAACTGGAGGAATCACATGACCTGACTTCGAATTACTGCACACAGCAATAGGAACAAAAACAGAATGTTACTGGCATGAAAACAGACACATAGACCAATGGACCATAATAGAGAACCCAGAAATAAATCCATACATCTATAGCGAATTCACTTTCAACAAAGGTGCCAAGAACATGCACTGGGGAAAGACAGTCTCTTCAATAAATGGTGCTGGAAAAACTGGACATCCATATACAGAGAATGAAACTAGACCCTCATATTTCACCATTTACAAAAATCAAATTAAAATGAATTAAAAAGTTAAACATAAGATCTCAAACCATGAACCTACTAAAAGAAAACATTGGGGAACCTCTGCAGCACATTGAACTGTGCAAAGATTTCATGAGTAATATCATACAAGCACAGGAAACCAAAGCAAAAATAGACAAATGGGATCACATCAAGTTAAAAAGCTTTTGCTCAGCAAAAGAAACATTCAACAAAGAGATAACCCACATTATGGGAGAAAACATTTGCAACTATCTAATTGACAAAGAATTAATAACTAAAATATATAAGCAGTTCAAACAAGTTGATAGGAAAAGAAATCTAATAATCCAACTAGAAAATTGTCATAAAATGTTAACAGCTATTTCTCAAAAGAAGACATTCAAATGGCAAGGAGTATATAAAAAGGTGATCAATGTTACTGATCATCCGAGAAATGCAAATCAAAGCTCCAATGAGATATCATCTTATTCTGGTTAAAATGGCTTTTATCCAAAAGATGTGCAATAACAAATGCTGGCCAGGATGTGGAGAAAAGGTAACCCTTCATAAACTCTTGGCAGGAATGTAAGTTAGTATAATCATTATGAAAAACAGTTTGAAAATTTCTCAAAAAACTAAAAATAAGACTACCAGATGAACCAGCAATCCCAATGCTGGGTATATAACCAAAAGAAAGGAAATCAGTATATTGAAGAGTTGTCTGCACTCACATATTTATTGCAACATTATCCACAATAGCCAAGATTTGGAAGCAACCTAAGTGTCCAATAACAGACAAACGGATAAAGAAAATATGGTAGGTATACCTTATGGAGCACTATTTAGACATAAAAAAAGAATACAATTCTGTCATTTGCAATAACGTGTGAAACTGGAGGTGTTTTGAGATTCTGTCATTTGCAGTAATATGGATGAAACTGGAGGTTAAGTGAAATAAGCCAGGCACAGAAAGACAATCTTTGCATGTTCTCACTAATTTGTAGTAGCTGAAAAACATTAAAACACTTGGACTAATGGAGATGGAGAGTAGAATGTTGATTACCAGAGGCTAGGAAGTGTAGTGGGTAGAGGTAAGTGGAAATGGTTAATGGATACAAAAATATAGTTAGATAGAATGAATAAATTCTAGTATTTAATAGCATAACCTGGTGACTACAGTCAACAATAGTTTATCACACATTTTATAATAACAAAAAGAGTGTAATTGGATTTTTTTAACACAAGGAAATATAAATGCATGATGTGATGGAAACCCCATTCACTCTGCTGTGATTATTAGGCATTGCATGCCAGTATCAAATATCTCATGTACCCTATAAATATATACACCTACTATGTACCCACAAATGTTAAAAATAAAAATTTTAAAAGCTGGAGCACTAGCATAATTGGATATTAACATATAAAACTACAGCAGAAGTATTAGACAATAAGCCAGTCAGGCATGTTACAAAGAGACACAGACATGAGGAATTTCTTCATGATGAATTTCTCCATGACAAATTTGTTACCCCCATTTGAACAGTGGGTAACAAATGGAATTTTCACCAAGAGATGCTGGATCAAATGGACTTCTATGCAGGAAAATAATAGTATTTGAAAAGTGCCTCACAGTATGTAGAAGGCTAAACAATAACACTTTTAGTAGAAAACAGAACAATATTATCACTGCCTTGGGTAAGAAACATTTGTTAAATCAAACACAGAAACCATTAGCTTAAAGAGCAAAATGATAATTGGATGACATTAAAATTAAGAACTTCTGTTAATCAAAATTACCATTATGTGAATGTCAAAGTAAATCACATATTAAAAGAAGGCATTTACAATATGCATATTTGAAAAGAGAAATACATTCAGAAAAATGAAAGACTACAAAATCAAAAAGAAAAAGACAGCTCAATTAAAACTAGCAAAAGACTTCAAGCAGCCACTTCATGCAAAAAAAAGATATACGAGTGTCCAAATATCCAACAAACATTTGAATTTTGCTGAATTACATTAGTCATCAGAGAAATGTTAATTAAAACCACAGCAAGATACCACTACACACTCACCAACAAAGCTAAAATATAGCACACTAAAATACAAAGGTTTTTGTCTTTTTTCCCTATGCTCTCTCTGTCTCAACCAACAAAGATTGAATGAAGAGTTGTGTAACTAAATTTTTTGTACATTGGTAGTAAATTGGTATAGCCTTTTATAAAAATGTGTTTACTAAACTTAAGCAAACAAATGCTGTTATCCAACAATCCTACTCCTAAATATATATCCCAAAGAAATTTACTAGAATGTTTGCAGTAGCTCTACTGAAAAAAGCCAATAATTGAGGGCAGCCCAGATGCCCTTCTACAGTCGAGTGGATAAACATCTTCTATAATGGTTTCACAGGTTGAGTTCTCTGGAGGAAGATTCTGAGATGGAGTCTGGAGTGCAAGATGATCATTAGGGACCAATACCTGTGAAAAGAAGGAAAAAGAAGTACTCATTGAACAGAGAGGCAAGTCGAACTGATGCAGGAACATCAAAGCCTTAGTCTGAAACAGGCCAGGATCTCAGGCATGCGAACTGCCCATCAGAGTTGTCTAGATTGGGTTAAATTCGTGGGGATTTTGTAACACTCATCATACTCAGTAACCAGATGTGGAGTGTCCCAGGAAGTACATAACGTAAGTGAGGGAGTTCTCTGCAGCTAAAACAGAACATGAAGGAGATGACAGATGGAGGATGTTTGCTGACATTGGTCTCTTCAGCTGGACAGCTCTGAGCACCCATCGCCAGGTCAGCAACTACTATTATGGAATATCATATATTCAATGACAATGGATAAATTATTGTTGAATGAAATAGGAATAAATCTTACAAATATCATTTTAGGTAAACAAATAGATGGCATAATTTCATTTATATAAAGTTCAAAAACAGGCAAAGTTGAACCTGATGTTCAAAACCAGTATATTTTTACTTAGGGAGAGGGGTCAGTGACTGGGAGGACGCCAGGGGCTTCTTGGGTGATGGCAATGTTCTATTTATTGGCTAACTGCATCACACATGGGTGTGCTCGCTTTGTTAAAATTAATTCAACACTACTTTTATGTTCACATTTCCTTAGACATGTTATATGCTAGAAGAAGGCAAATGAAAAGTGGTTGATAGTTATGCTCCTTAAAACGGCCAACAACTCTCCTAGAGCAGAAATAAAACATATACAAGGAAGGTAGAAAGAATCTCACTGGTCACAGGAAATTTTAAGACATCTCTTACAATTAAGTAGACAAAATGTAAATAAATATAGAAAATCTAAAAAACATAATCAAAAGTGTGTGTGTTTATCACATATACTTATATACACGAGCCATGGTAAAAATAAATACACTTTTTAAAATACTCATGGAACATTCATCAAGAACTTCTCATATATTAGACCACAAAAGACAAGCAACAAAAACAACCCTCCCACCCATAGTTTCCAAAGATTCAAATAACAAAAACAGCATTTTCTAACTACAATGAAATAAAACTTACATTGAAAACATATCAAAAATAAAAAAGGTCCTTCCACTGGTGAATAAAAATTACATTTTAAATCAAAGAAGAAGTACAAAGCAAATTTCATGAATTTCTGGAAAATAAAGTGAAAATAAAATTTATCAAAATTATGGGCTATAAAATGCAGGTAAAATGTTTCCACCTCCCTTATACACACAGCATGGTTCAAGGGAACTTGATAAATTAAGGCTTGTCAATATTTTTTCCTAGAATATTATTTTTTCTATTTCAATCTCACCCTTTTTTCGGATCCATCATTGAACACCTCTTCATTTTCTCCAAAACCAAATATAAGCTTGCCTTGTTTAATATTCATAGAAGATATAAATAAGTTGATTTAAATTCTGTTTGATTCAGAGATGTGAGTAGACAACAGGATGTCTTTGTACATCTTTATTGATACTTTTATTTCCTATTATGCTTTGCTATTATTTGTCAACTTTTCTTAATCTCTAATTTAAAACAGAAGCTAGGCCAAAGTTTGTGTGTCTTTACACAGTGTACACTCAGTAAAGTGCATTGCTAATAGATGGTAAATAATAAATATTTCTAACTAAATAAAAACTGTCTAAATGGTCATTGTGCATTTTATTCCTCATTTTCTTCATCAGGTATGTTTCTTAAAAAAATTAATAAAAAAATTATAATTATGATTTTGTCATTTATATTTTACACAAAACTCTGTAAACCCAAGAATTCAATGGCACACAACTATATACATTTTAAACCAAGTGAAAATTTTATTTCTGAATCAGCAATTCTTAATTAGTCATTTTGGAAATGCTTAATATTTTGGACGGAAATAACTGACATATCTTTTTCTCAGTGTCTCTATATGAACAGTAATCACTGGTAGCGATTAAGACTGCTTAATTTTTGACGAGCATATTTTAGTTCACTTATGAGTTTCTCTCTTGCTTCTTCTGTGTTTAATGATAGACTGATGACTTTTAATGTTATATTGATTTTTTTTTAACAGTAGAATCTCAGGACAGATCAGGTTAAATTTTCCCCAGTGCCTTAATAATTAGAAGAATGTTTCCGGTGTGTACTTGAAAACTACAGGCATAACATTTAATATAAGTCAGCATGCCAAACATAAATGGTGGCAGCATTCCAGAAAGGATTAAATTCATTGAATAGTTGTTAATAAGGTTTTTACTCAGGAGTAATTCTTCTCTCTCATTTCCTCTCTCTGTGTTAGCAACTCCAAAAACAGCCCTTCCTAATGAATTATTGAATCAACCAAGATAAAATAATATAAATGAATATACACAATTTTCCATTAAATGATACAATCCTAAAGACTTTTACAAACTCATTTATTATGTAAAATAAGCTTAGATAGCAAAAGAACATAGAAACAATGAGATTAATAAACACCTCCTATGACAAAAGACTTATGGAGATATATTAGTTATATATAAATGTGTCCTTAGTGAAGGTGCAGTTTGAATATGCGGTTTAGACTCTAAGTTTAGAAGAAGGCAGAAAAAAAAGTATAATTTTTGTATGTTGCCAAGTATAAGAAGGCATTTATACAATGAAGGAAACTGGGTTTATTTCATGCAAATTAGTCACATGATTCACAAGTTAGACATTTATAAGGAACAAATTCATATTGAGATACTAGTTTGGATAGTTAGGTCCTTCCCACAGCCAGATGAGAGCATTATATTACTGTGCTTTCTTCTTTAAAAATTCACACATCCCCTCTTTGTGCTCCCACTGCTAAAATACATGAGAGGCAAAATATTCATGAGAGGCAAAATTTTCAGGTAAGAAAAATGTCAGTTGGAGAAAAATATGATGTTAAGGTCATTAAGTTAGAGAAAATAATTTTAGAGACTACCTTTGTCTTATCTATTACCAGTATGAATAAAAAATATCTCCTTCATAAAATCCTGTGTTATTCAAATGTCAGCTACAGGGTTTTTTTTTAACCACTTACTAAAAAATATGCTAATGTGTTGCTTATACATTTAATAAATCCTTTTATTTTAACCTCATAGTGAGAACCAGTGTCTCATACTACTACAGAGTATAGGCTTTATGGTTAGACGCACCTGTGTTTTAATTACTTTTCTAACCTGCTGTGTAATCCTGGAAAATTTAGTTCACTGCTTTGAGCTTCAGTTTTCTAATATACAAAATGGTCAAAATAACAGTTGTCTCACAGTGTTATTCTGAAAATTAAATAAGATAACACATATAAAGGGCCTTGCAGATTGTCTGGTTCATATAACTGTAAAATAAACAGAAATGGTTATTGTTAACATAAATATCATTAACACTATCATTATTATGAAATATTGCATCTGTCCCAATATCCTCTTTAGTCCTTTCTGAAATTGTCTTTCATTATACCCTATAGTTCTCTCTAAACTTCTGTAAACCCCAGTGTGCTGAGGTTATAACCTCAAACAACAATAATCTAAAAGAGATACAGCTTCCACTTCACACATAGAAAGGATACACTTACCTTCTTCTCTGCAGTGGTAAAATATGTGATCTTTGAAGTTTCTGAAATTGGTACTGATTTCAAAGTTTACTTGGTAGAAGGAAATAAACCCTGAATTTTAAAATCTTCAAATTATATATCACAGTGATAATACAGCAAAGTGCAAATGGTATATTTAGCAAATATTTGATAAATGAATGAGTCAATGAAGTGAAAAACCTGAGACATACTTCTTCAACATGCCTTCCTTCATGTTGCACTGGACCATAAAGTCTTCCACATTTTAGTGGTGAGTTTGGGACTAATATAACTAATATACTAGTTATTCTTACAGAATTCTTCCCTTGGAAGTTCTAAGAGGATCTACTTTATGCCTACTTGATATTTTCCGTTTTCCTTTTTTCTTAAAGAGATTCTGCACCTTTGGTGACACAAACAATTAATGAGATTATTATACTATATGTTCGTTCATCAAAACATGCATTACTTTTGATTGTATTAAAACACAAAGGTGCTCATGTCAGAAAAGTATTATTCTAAACACAAGATTAAGACACAGAATCATTTGCTCAGTGTTAAAACTCCGTATAAATTACTGGATCTTGCAATCCATTTTCTTATACTTTTCTATATTCTTCTCCACAATGACTCTGACCATCTTCAGTAGTGCCTGTTCCCCTGAAACTAAATCCCAAGATAATGATTCCAGTGCAATGGCTTTATTTGGAAGACAGAGACCATAATCACAGGGGAATGAAGAAGTGAGATGAAAAAGGGGCAGGAAGCTAAAAACCACAGTGATCATCCGTAATTTAACCACGTGGAGAATTGTGAGAACTAGGTAAACACATATCTTAGGATTTTTCCATCTTAGGAAAATTCCTAGGCAAGGGGAGAAGATACTGGAGCATTTGTATACCAACTCCTGTTCTTCATGGGATTAAGATTGTGCTTCAGGAGTCTAATTCCTTAGCATTCGGTGTGACCTTAGAGGGAAAGAGGGTTTCAAACAAAGTCCTCAGACCCCAACATGCACAGCTTTGCAATTGGAAGTCTACCACAGGCTGCTTTACACTAACTCTGCAACTATTACATGAGTGGCTATAAGAGGCAGAGAGAAATAGAAACAGCCAGCCAGAGAGAGAAAAAGGAATGGGGAGAGAGAGACGGAGGAGAGAGGAGATAAATTATTCGGTTGCCTTTTTTTCTCTGCTAAATGTCATCTTGCCATTTTATAAGGATGACAAAATACAATTTAAAGAAATTAGTATATTTCCATTTTCTCATTCCTTATAAGTGGATATACAAGCAGATACTCTCATATTGCAGAGCTCAGCAAAATTGTTTAAAAAAAATGACGGCTGGTTTACAGAGAAGGAAAGTGGGATTCTTGCTCATTTCAAAGTGATTTCAACACAGTTGTCTTGTTTTCATTGAAAGTAGGCAAAAGTGAGAAAATTTTCATAAATAAGCAATTTAAACAGGACGAATTTTATTTCTCTATAACATCATAGTTGCAGAGAAAGGCTGGCATTTCTCTCTGTGAAAACATTGATAATACACCCCACGAAACTATTTTGTTTTCTGTTTATATAGTCACATGATACTTAATGATAGCAGATTATTTCTAAAAATGATTTTATGTCTTTCTATTCTTTGTCTCCTTGGAATCTGTAATAAGTACATCTGTTTTATGACCCACAAAATTAGAAAGCAAATACAAGGACAAATGTGTCTAAAGTCTCCAACAATCTCAGGAGCCATAACAATGACAAGTTAATGAGGTATCCAAGTTCATGAATGTCTGATGTGTGGCATTTGACACCGAACAATTAATTTTTTTTTTTTTGAAACAAAGTCTCACTCTGTCACCCAGACTGGAGTGCAGTTGCATGATCTCGGCTCACTGCGACCTCCACCTCCCGGGTTCAAGTGATTCTCCTGCCTCAGCCTCCCAAGTAGCTGGGATTACAGGCACCCACCAACATGCCCAGCTAATTTTTGTAGTTTTAGTAGAGACAGGGTTTCCCTATACTGGCCAGGCTGGTCTTGAATTCCTGACCTCAGGTGATCCGCCTGCCTCTGCCTCCCAAAGTGTTGGGATTACAGGCATGAGCAACTTAATTCTTAGATTCATCAAATTTGCTAAGAGATTATAAACTATGGCTAACATAAAAGTATGTGTAGATTCCAAAATGTGTTATGATATTGGGGAAAGAAGGCAGATTTCAGATGATCAACCTAAAATTAAACAACTATTTTCTATACTTATATTTAATTAGAAATACACAAGCAAGTTTCAATATAAACCCTAATGTTATATTTTTTAAAGAAATGACCTCATCACTTTATGCTGTTCATAAGTATTTCCATTTCTAGTCATTTATTTCCTGATACCCATATCTACCATGAAGTGGATTACCCTGTTCACTGATGTTTAGATGGTGATGATCCCCAAGCAGAACTGTACCTTCATTTTATAAATAAACTTTTGATTATAGAATAGTTTGGGATTTACAGAAAAGTTGCAAAGGCATGATGAGTTCCCGTTTACCCCAAACCCAGCTTGCCCTACTATTAACTTCTTATATTATTATTGTATCTTTGTCACAAATAATGAACCAACATTGATACATTCTTATTAACTGAACACCATGTTTATTTGCAGTCCATTTGTTTTTCTGGAATGTCCCTTTTCTGTTCCATGATTCAATTCAGGTTACTACACTGCATTCAGTCTTCATGTGTCCTTAGCCTCCTCTGGATGAGGGAGTTGCTTAGACTTACCTTGCTTTCAATGACTTCCAATGAGTTTTAAGGAGTGCTGATCAGCTAATTTATAGAATGCTTTCAATGTTTGTTTGTCTCATGGTTGGAAAAAAAATAGTATGATTTTGGGGGAAAAGGTTACAGAGGTGAAGTGCCATTCTCATGATACCAGATCAAGGGTACACACTTCAGTTTGATTTAACACCAATGATGTTAACCAGGTCACCTTGCTAAAATAATGTTTGCAGTTTTCTTCACTGTAAAGTGTTTGTTTTTATTTTTGTTTTCAATGCTCTATTCTTCTGAAACAAAGCACTAAGCTCAGCTCACTTTTAAAGTTCCACCTCTAATATGATTTGGCTCTATGTCCCCAACCAATCTCAGCTAGAATTGTAATCCTCACAATCCCCACATGTGGAGGGCAGGACCTGGTGGGAGGTGATTGGATCATGGGGGCAGTTTCCTTCATGCTGTTCTCATGATAGTGAGTTCTTTCAGGAGATCTGATAGTTTTATAAGAGGCTCTTCCGTCTTCACTGGTTCACTCTCTCTTGCCTGCCGCTAGGTAAGACATGCCTTTGCTTCTCTCTCACCTTTTGCCATGATTCTGTTTCCTAAGGCTTCCCTAAACATGCAGAATTGTGAGTCAAATAACCTCTTTCCTTTATAGATTACCCAGTCTTGGGTCTGTCTTTATAGCAGTGTGAGAGTGGACTAAGACAACCTCCTTGAGGAATGGGTATGTATATAAGTTATTTGATATTCTGTAATTGAGATTATTTCATCTCCCCCATGTATTTAATTATTCAGTCATTATTTATACCAATAGACACTCGTGGATATTTATTTGATATTTTGGCTCATAATCCAATAGCATATTATATAATATGTTGCAGCCCTAGCTATTGGGAGCCCTTTCAGGTTGGATCTTGTATCCCTTTGACATACCTTTGTTACTTTGTACTTCTGAGTACTTTCTCAGCTATTTAAAAATATTCAATAATCTCATAATGTAGGGAAAAATGGACTAGTCAACATAAATAATGACACCAGAAAACCTTAATTAGGAAGAAAATGCAATTCTCTAGGCAATACACTAAACTTAAATTTATGCTTCATATCTCTTTGTGTAAAATATACATGCAGATTTTGATATCTGAATGTACCAAGACATTTGTGTTGAGCTATGTTTACTCTGCCTTTTGGCATTTACATAATTTCAAAAATAATTTAGTTTTATTCACACCAACCATGCATTTTAGTTGATTTGTAAATGTATATTATGCACATTTATGATATTTACTATGTGTTTTTTTCAATGTTAAGTAATAATAAATTTTTTGAAATCCATGGTCCAACAATAAGATATATATGATAACTAATTAGGAGTATTTTCCAGGTAAATAAAGTTTATATTTTCAAGATAAAATTTAGTAAACTGCATTTCATAGATCTAAATCCATTACATTATGTCCATTAAATATTTGATTAATTGAATAGATGAATTTGGTTAAACAAAAAGTTAATCAGCATATGTAATTTCCCTTGAATACCATGCCCAAATCCAGACCCACTCTTGGAAAGATAATCATCAGGATAAATTTGATGTCCTTTTTACAGGTTGTTCACTAAAATTACATACTTTTCTAAGAATCTAAGAAAAAAGATAATATGTATATATTTTTCATTTTAAATAACTTCTCTGTGAAATGGGTATAACAATAGTTTTGCCTCAAGTTTTTGGGAGGATTTTGTTAATATGACTGGAGCTTAGATCAATATCTGGTATATAGAAGCTCTCTGTGAGTATCATCTATTGTTTTCATTTCTGGAATATACTGAGAATAGTTTTATAAATATACATGCATGAATTCTAATATTTTTAACCATTTCATTGTATTTCTTCCATAGAATGTGTGTCTATGTAGTTTATTGAAATAATTGTTTATCAATGAGCTTTTATATTTGTTTCAATATTTTTAATTATTTCAAACTTTGCTGTCACTGTCATTTTTGTGACAGTTGCCTTGAATATATATGTAACAGAAGACATGTAAATATGTGAAACCTTAATAAGCCTCGTTAAATAGCCCTCTGGCATGCCTATAACTATTTATGCTCCAACATTTACATCAAATGAGACCTACTTTTGATATATCTAAGCTTCCTTTTTTATTGTTAGATTTATTGGTAAACAATGGCATTTTGTATTGCTATTTTCTTGTCAACAAAATTAAACATGTTTTCAGATATTACTGACAATTAGAATGTCCTTTCAGTAAATTGTCTGGTTTTTTTACTTCATTTTTATTCACATATATTTTTGACATCTTCTAAATATTTGAAATATTTTACTGTCAGTGCTGTGTTTCTTTTTAACTTTTTAGATGCTGTTCCTTTTGGGATCAGAAATTTATAATTTATCAACGTGATCTAGCTTTTTCTTTTGCTTTGCATTTCATATTGTATTTAAGATGACATTTGCTATTGATATGCCATAAACTTCTTTTTCTATATTTTCTGCTAATATTTAAATTTTTTTTCAGTTTTTTCTTGAATATGTCAGGAATTTAATTTATTTTGGCAAATAGTACATTACAGGTTTACATTTGTTATTTTATAAATAGCCAAGAATCCCAGATCGATTCATTGATTTGCTTATTCTTTCTCTAACATCTCAAAAAGCCACTATTATAGTAAATTCTCAGATTTGACTTTTCCTAAGCCCACTGTCTTGTTCCATAATTTTTAAAAGTTATTTTTGCAATTTGCTATTTGTTATATGAGTTTTAGAATCAGTTCATCAGTTTGCATGAAAACACTGTACTAATTTCTTAATAACATTGTACTGCATTTATGTATAAATTAAGGAAGAAATGACAAAATACAATATCAGGAATTTCTACACGGAAACATGGTATGTTTCTCTATTCATACAGAAATTCTGCTCATTAGTGCAGTTTTATATTTCTGTTTATATTGGTCTTATACATTATGATCAGTTCTATTCCAATTTATTTTATAATTTTACTGCTATGTTAGATGAAAACATATTTCATTTTAAATTGCTTATTTCTGAAGCATAATAAACAACAATTTTATGTCAATAACATAACTGGTCATATTGTTAAACTATTTTAGTTTAGTGTTTCTCAGTTAATTCTGAGATTATCACATTCTTAGGTTGATTATCATATTTCCTACAAAATGCAAAAGAGTTTTCTAGTAAGTAATAAAAGCATAAATCTTTTATTTTTTCCATAATTTTTAATAAAAACAAGTGGCCTTTTATTATTCAATAGTATTAGTGAGAACAACTATCTTGCTTTATTTTTACTTAATTTGAACTGCTTTTAATATTACTTCCCAAATATATTTGGATATATTTGGAAATAAAATTGTCACAAATACATTCAGAGCATTGATTGAGATGAATAAATTTTCTCTTTAATATATTGATAAGTATTTTCACTTCAATATTATTTGTAATATTTAATCATTTTGTTATTGCAAGGCAAATAACAAATGGAACTCACTTAACTATATCATTATTTTAATAACCAATAAACTTATTTTAATAATGTTTTATTTAAAATTTGCACATCCCAATGGATATATAAGATTAATTTTTGAGTGCTGGATTTACTTTATTGCTTGTTTTTTTGCATGATTTAAGGTTAGCTTTCTTCCCCCCACCATTTTTTTGTATTTTCTACCCCGATCTTATCTCTTTTTATATTAGAAATATTAGTCTATTAAAGTAAATTGAATATCTTTTTGTCCTGTTCTGTGATCTGGAATACTTTGTGCAATTGAAATGATCTGCTGTCAGTGTTTAGAAACTAAGCACTTGTCGGATCATCTGGGTCTGGTGTCCAGTTTAGACACAAATCTATGACTTCCTTCCTTCTTATATTATTATGGATTCAATTTTGGAAGGCAACTATTTAGAATTTCTATACACATCAAACATTATTCACTGTGTCTAAAATAAAATTATATTATAATTAAGATTTGAACACTAATAGCTTGCTTTTTTTTATCTAAAACACTCTCATTATTAATCTCACTATGTGGTATTTCAAACATGAATCCAGCTAAAGCTGGGTGTAGAAAAGAAGTAGCGAGGACAGATGAGAGAAAAAAAACTTTAATTTGGTGAAACTAGAATTTTTATCACTACTAAACCATGACTATTCGTTAATTTTTGCCATCTGTGCACACTTTTATCTCACCTGCGGGTAGGAAGGAAAGAGTAACCCAGTAAGGCAAATTTGAAGGAACTATAGAAGAGAATAAATGAGTAAAGTTGCTTTCTCCTCACTCCTGACAGACTCCAGCTTGTCCCGTAAATCACTTCCACTAGCTAGTAGTATTACTTAAATTTGCAGGATATAGCTCTTACCTCATTGAAGAAAATTTTTATAAATTAGTATAAATGGTGAGTCATGGTGGCTCACACCTGTGATCCCACCACTTTGGGAGGCCAAGGTGGGAGGATGGCTTGAGCCCAGGATTTCAAGACCAACTTGGGCAACATAATGAAACCTCATCTCTACAAAAAAATACAAAGATTAGCCAGGCATTGTGGCAAATGTCTGTGGTCCCAAAGGCTAAGCTGGAAGGATCCCTTGAGCCAGAAAGTTGGAGGTTTCAGTGAGCAGTGATTGCACCACTGCACTCCAGCCTGGATGACAGAGTGAGACCCTGTCTCAAAAATAAATAAATAAATTTAAATTTTAAAAAATCTAGTATGAAGCAGATTTTATTTCCTCACGCATAGCCTTTTCCTATTTTATAATCATATCACTTCTTTACTATCACATTATCAAAATAATTTTTCTGAAACAAAGGAAACTTCCAAAAATTAATTCAAACCTCTATCTCTAATGAAATATTCATTTTTTATTGAGATTTGATGTCTACAAATGGCTTCTGTTCTCACTCTGAGCTCGATTCTATTCATCAATAACTCAGATGATACAACCCTTCTACAGTTATATTCCAGTACATAAGACTACAACTTGCTATAAAGTAGATAATAGTATTTGACATATATATATTTCACACACAAGCATGCACACACATGTGCACAGAAGACAGTGACCCACGTTCACATTAACTTTTTCAGGTCTGACCTGCTGTTGTGTTCCAAGTCATTTACGTTGAGATAAGGCCGTCTTGGTCTCTCTATCCTTCGCTAATTCAACCAATCTGTAATACAGTACTTCCCAGTGTGTTATCTTGATTTTATTATCCATTCTCTCAGAGAAATACAGATGCGGAAGATCTCCTTTCTACTTACTCTCTTGGTTATACAGATGTGAAAGTAGTAAGTGTAGCTAACTCTCCCTGCCACCCCCGCCAAAAAAAAAAAAAAAAAAAATTCTAATTTGTGCAGAGGTATTGAGACATGATTCTGACCAACAGGGATGGAACAGTAAAGCATCATTATTTTTCCCCTTTTGGGATTCCAGCACCTATTTGCCAATGAGAACAAGAGCCAATCAGGGCAACTCAGCAACTTGGAAAGAAATTGTATGTTGTTTCTTAGGACCCTATTACTTTTCTACTACCCGAAACAGAAAAGCAATGTGCTACAATTGACTTTAATTTTACTTTTTTTGCATTGGTTCTTCAGACTTTACACAATATCTGATACCTGAATGAGCCTAAGGTAAGGGACAAGGGTGACTGCTTCAGCATTTCAATATGTTAAATTTGCCATATTGTTATGTTACTGGAGAATAAAAGTAGAGGCATCCTTAGTTTCTTTAACCTTGCTGCCAGGCTTTGACTACATTGTGAACGAAGTGAAATTTGATGCAAGCCATTCTGATGGAAGCCATAATCTGTAAAAGAATTTTTGGTATCATGTAAGAACCATGATATACATCAAAATTCTGATGCCCAGTCATTCCACAGAAACATTTGCGAACATTGAGCAACACTGTGCTTATTCCACTCCCCACCCCACCCACCCCCAGTGCAGGGAGAATACATTTTCCTGAATTTACAGAGAAATACTTTTGGTAACTCTCTCTATCTATCTACTTTCCACCATCTAGCTCAAAGCAGAACATAAATGATATTAACAAAAAATTTCTCAAAAGCTTGAACTCTCAGTTGTCTTGAGTTTTGAAGAGAAACATGACTCTGGAAGCAAGCAGGTGCTCTGAAGATGTCAAGTATGTAGTAGAAGTGTTTTTTCCAAAAATCTTTGTTTTCTTTTGAGTTTTGCAAGGTAAAGTATAAAACATGTCTAGGAAGGATGGATTTCAAAATGAACATTAAATTTGTAAAAAATGAAAATAAGGAAATGTATTTTGGAGTAGAATTTGGAAGATTTCTTCCTCACCTAAAAAATTTCAATCAAGAAATCTCCACACTATTCTCCATCGTGGTTGCAGTAATTTACATTCCCACCAACAGTGTCAAAGTGTTCTCTTTTCACCACATTCACACCAACATTTATTATTTTTAGGTTTTTGGTTATGGCCACTCTTGCAGGTATGAGGTGGTATCACATTGTGGTTTTAATTTGCATTTTCCTGATAATTAGTGATGTTGAGCATTTTTCCATATGCTTCTTGGCCATTTGTATATCTTCTTTTGAGAATTGTCTAGTCCTGTCTTTAGCCCACTTTTTGACAGGATTGTTTGGTTTTCTTTCTTGCTGATCTGTTTGAGTTCTTTGTAGATTCTGAATATTAGTCCTTTGTCGGATGAACAGATTGTAGATTTTCTCCCATTCTGAGGGTTGTCTGCTAACTCTGCTGAATATTTCGTTTGCTGTGCAGAAGCTTTTTAAGTCCTATCTGTTTATCTTTGTTTTCGTTGCATTTGCTTTTGGGTTCTTGGTCATGAAGTCGGCCTAAGTCAATGTCTAGAAGGGTTTTTCCAATGTTATCTTCTATAATCTTTATGGTTTCAGGTCTTAGATTTAAGGCTTTAATCTATCTTGAGTTGATTTTTGTATAAAATCAGAGATGGGGATCCAGTTTTATTCTTCTACATGGGGCTTGCCAAATATCCCAGCACCAATTGTTGAATAGAGTATCCTTCCCCCACTTAATGTTTTTGTTTGCTTTGTCAAAGATGAGTTGGTTGTAAATATTTGACCTTATTTCTGGGTTCTATATTCTGCTCCATTGGTCTATGTGCCTATTTTATACCAATATCATACTGTTTTGGTGACTATGGCCTTACAGTGTAGTTTGAAGTCAGGTAATGTGATGCCTCTAGATTTCTTCTTTTTGTTTAGTTTTTCTTTGGTTATGCAGGCTGTTTTTTGGTTCCATATGAATTTTAGGATTGCTTTTTCTAGTTCTGTGAAGAAGGTTGGTGGTATTTTGATGGGAATTGCATTGAATTTGTAGATTGCTTTTGGCAGTATGGATTTTTTCATAAAATTATTTTACCCATCAATAACCATGGGATATGTTTTCATTTGTTTATGTTGTCTATGATTTCTTTCAGCAGTGTTTTGTAGTTTTCCTTGCAGAGGTCTTTCACCTCCTTGGTTAGGTATGTTCCTAAGTATTTGATTTTTTTTTTATTTTTTGCAGTTATTGTGAAAGGGTTTGAGTTCTTGATTTGATCCTCAGCTTGGTCACTGTTGGCCGTTTGATCCAGCAATCCCACTACTAGGTATCTACCCAGAAGAAAAGAAGTCATTATATGAAAAAATACTTGCACACACATGCTTATATCAGCACAATTTGCAATTACAAAAATATGGAACCAGCTCAAATGCTCATCAGTCAATAAGTGGATAAAGAAAATTATTTATACAATGGAATACTATTCAGCCATTAAAAGGAACAAAATAATAGCATTTGCAGCAACCTGGATGGAATTGGAGACTATTCTTCTAAGTGAAGTATCTCAGAAATAGAAAACCAAACATTGCATGTTCTCACTGATATATGGGAGCTAAGCTAGGAGGAAGCAAAGGAGTAAGAATGGACACATTGGACCTTGTGAACTCAGGGGAAAGGGTGAGGAGTGGCAAGGGATAAAAGACTACACATTGGGTGCAGAGGTATAAAAGGAAAAATTACTCCCTTTGAATTGCTTCAATGATATCAAAAAAAATGACATCTAGTCATTTTTCTGAATCATAAAGCTGCTTTTGAAAATTTGCTAAAATATAGCGAACACTAATATAACATTTAACATAAAGACATTCTAATATTTTGAATCTTGTTGACCCGAGCCTCTCTCATTTCATCTCTCCCTCTCTTTCTGTCTCTCTCTCATATATATATGAGATATATTTATGAGATATATGTAAGGATTGTATAGATATATATATATTACATTATATATATATTTACACACACACACACATATATATACACACACACACAATCCTTAATGCACTGAATGAGTAGAGTATAAACAAAGTTCTCCCAATACAGTAAGAGATGGGCTTAAAATTTGTTTGTGTTTCTTTATTAGTTCGTTAGTTGGTTTTTTTTTTTTATTTTCCTAGACTTCTAAAAGGCAATGTATTTTAAGAGATATGCAATCTTTCCCAATGTAATCATAATTCAACTTCTAAAAGCTCTTCATCAGACCTCTAGATTCAGGGGATGTGGATTTATGAATAGAGTCTAAGTTCAGTGAATTCTAATCCCAGCCCCACTGGTGATTTGTGGTGTGAAACTGGGCAAATTGCCTAACATCTCAGGAACATTTCCTTTTCTCATCTACTAAAAGGAAACAATAAAAACACTTCTCTTGAAGAAAGTGGGTGTGGTTCAACTGATCAAATGTGTTAAAGCATTAGAAAAACACATTTCCATAAATCACGTTCATGTGGCACATTCTGGTTCAGATACAGTTGTATTTAAATAAATTGTTTAAAGCTTGCCCTTGATAAATCAACACTTTCGTTCATTCAGGATGGATTTATCAAAGATGTGTGCTTAGTGAGGCCCTAAAACATCAGCCACACACCTGTCCCCTGGAGATAGATCCATACACATATGCTTATTTGTTGAATGCCAAACAGAAAATAGTTATTGACCCAGGAGGATTAAATTTTAGTGCAGAATGCCAAGTAATTAGAGAAGTGACATTGGACCATCATGTACAGCCCCATGTAATCGTGAATGACAAAGTCAACTGAAACAAGAGCAAATGAATGAAAGCCAGGAGCTCACAGAAGCCCCTGAAAAGCACAGCACTTGCAAAAGTTAGCACACAAACACCAGCCCAACACAGGATTCCAGCCGAATTTTGAAACAATTATTGCCTGCTTTTCCTAGCAGAAGTCAGTACTAATAATACAATTCTTGAGCTAAGTCAATAAAATCAAGTAAATGTTATTTTCCCATATGTCCTTTATCTGGGTGGAAAATTACAGTAATAGCCATCCTTATCAGAGTAGGGTGAACACGTTGTATTACAGAGAATATGCTATCATTTAGCAGGGGCTTAAAATGTTCCCCTTTTACTCAAGTAACAAGTATAATTTTCTAATTCATTTTTGAGGACCCATTATTTTTACCTACTTTTATTTTCAATAAATGGTATAAATAACTAAATCTTTGAAAACCTAATTTTAAAAAATAAAGAAATTCTGAAACACACTGAAATTTGGACAATTAGTTTGGTTTCCTTAACTTGTGTTCACTTCATATTTCAAAGAGAAATGTCTGTATACTCCCAACACACCAAATTTGGTTTTCTAAAACTTTTCAAAGACAACATTCCAATGGATTTTCTACTTTAAAATAGTTTTGTAACAGTAATATTTTTTCAAGCACAATTTAGGTAACAGATCAATGCTTTGAAGGACATGAAGTAAGAATACATTTGAATAAGTGTTCCCATTTAGTACGGTTAATTTTTTAAAAATTAGTAAAAATTGAGATTCAGATAAGCTGAAAATTTACCATATGTGTGAAATAATGTATACAATTTGTTTACTTAGAAAAAGTAATACAACGTAAATTATAAAGTCGTTTGTGACAATACACTATATTACGTAAAATAATATTGATCAAGCATGTACTTTTTAATACATATTATATATACATTTTATACACATACAGAGCCATTTAATCCTCACAACAGTATATGAGGTATAAAATTTGTGCTATTATAATTATTTCATATAACACAGTTCGTCTTTGCTGCCTTAAAAAAACACTCCAAAATAGTGGCTTGAACAAAAATATTTATTATTGCCCACGAGACTCCAGGTGTGTTGGGTGGTTCTGCTTACCTGTGTGGGGCAAGGCAGATCTCACCTAGGTTTGCTCACCCATCTGCAATTAGCTGGCAAGTCAGATGGAGGCTGGATGGTAGAGCTTGGCCTCATAATGGTGATTCAATGGCTCTGGTCCCGTGGTCTCTCCTCCAGTGGGCTTGGCCAGATTAGTTCTCACATAAAGGCAGGAGTCCAAGAGAATGAGCAAAGCATATGCCTCTAGGCCTAATCTCAGACCTGGCACCCCATCATTTCGCCCACATTCTGTTGGCCAAAATAAATCACAGGCTAGTTCAAATTCAGAGTAGGAAAATAAACTCTGCTTCTTGATGGAAGAAGCTATAAAGTCACACTGCAAGGCTACATATAGGCGAAGGGGAAGAATTGGGGCCACTTTTACAATTAATTGATCACAGTGTCTAAATTTCAAATAAGAAAATAGAGAGAAATTTAGACATTTGAAAAATGCCATTTGAAAATATATTGAAATAATGTAAATGTTATAATTTAAAATCTAGAAATATTTCTGTCTCCATATCTGTAAAGTTGCCAAATACGTCCTTGAAAAAGCTTTAAACAATACTCAGTAGCAATAGCCAAACTAGAGTAAAATAAAATCATACATAAAATTATTCTTAGCACTGCAATGTGAGATGAGATATAAAAACAAAAGTCTCCATTAGAACACTTACCATTCAGGTTGCTAGGATAGAGTGGAAAGTTTATACAACACAAATATTTCAGCACAAACAATCCCAGCATCTAAAGTGTCCTACTGTTAGAATACAATTATAATAATTTTTACTTCATTAATCTGCAAACCCAATTACTTTCATAAAATATTCCAACAGTTTCAACTTACTTCTTACAAACATCTTACAGTAATAGGCTGTTTTTTCTTGCAACTTCATGACTTTCATAAAACATACATTCATTTAAAAATTTGTGAAATAAATTAAATAAAGCTGAATTATCTGTAATCAAGTAAAACACATTATATCTTAGAGAATAAATCTAGCTAGTTATAAGTCAAAAATCTGGAAGACGTGATGGTCTCTACTATAGATTGAAAATTCAACATCTAGTGGAAAACGCAGGTGTATTCCAACTGGAAATGCCTGTGAGCAAATCTGGAGAGAAGAGTAAGCTGTAAGACACAAAACTTCATTTTGCAGAGATTTGACATTAGCACACACTTTCAAGAAGCAATCAAGTTAAGCATTGTCACGAAATATATCCGTTACCTATTGCTATGTAACAAAGCATCCCAATATTTAGTAGCTTCAAGTAACTATTGATTTGGCTTGCTATTCTGTGGTTTAGGAACTTAGGCTAGACTCAACAGGGATGCTTTTCTGCTCATGAGTAGAATTCCTCATGCAATTGTGGTTAGCTGTGGGTTTCCTGTGAGTTATCTTTTGTTAATCATGGCTCAGGTGTCTCACATGTATGGAGTCTTAGCCAGGACATCTCACTGATTCAACTCTGATCCATGTTGTCTTTAGTCCTCCAGTCCCCTAGCTTATGCTTATTGCGATAAGAGGGACAAAGATGCAAAAAAGCAAGTGGAAGTGCACACAGCTTCATGAGACCTAGGCTTAGAACTGGGACCCATAACCACCAGCTCATTGTATTGGCCAAAAAAAGTCACAAAGCTAGTCTACGTTAAAAAGGTAGGAGAACCTTGAGAAAACCTTTAAAGCCCACTTGAGAAAAGCTTTAAAGTCACATTCTAAACACATTGGTATAGGCAGAGGAATGTCTGTGGCCAGTTTTCCAAGTCATCTTCTACAGGAATATAGTTCATATTCTTTCGGTTGTCACAATAGGGGATGCGGGTTACTTAATGAGATCTAGTGGATAGAAGTGGGAATGCTGCTAAATATTCTGCAATGCACAGGAAGGTCTCCCACACAAAAATTATCTGGCTGAAAATATCAATAGTACAGAAATTGAGAAACCCTGATAGAAGGGGCAGGATTATACATTATTCTGTTCCAGATAGATGATGAATTCTAGAATACAGCCTAGAAACTCATTAATTTAACTTATTTTGTGGTACAGAAGGAAATGAAAATATTTCCCTCTAAAATACCAGGAATTGTCGGGCTAAGAGGAAGGATAAAAGGCAGAGGCAAACTCTGCCCTCCCCTCTGCCTTTCCCACATAAAGATGGGCCCATTTGCAGCACTTACTTATAATCTCGGAAACAGAACTCAGAGACAGTGATGCCAGAAGGTCTAGAAACAGGCTCTACTCTTCCCATAAATTTACCTTCCCACATATTTCCACCTTTTGGAAGCCAGAAGATACTGTCTCATTTGTCTTGTCACCATACAGGATTTATGACTGTTTCATAAAATACTATCTAAGCAAGTCTCCTAAGCCACTACCTTGAGAGAGATGCTTTTGAACTAAGGTCTTTTCCATTTGATGGGTACAGCACATGTTAATAAACTTCTATTTATTTTTCTTTTGTTACTCTTTCGTTTTCAGAAGAGTATCTCAGCTAAGAACCTAAAAAGGAAAAAAATATGTTTCCTTCTGTATTAGTCTGTTCTCACACTACTAATAAAGACATACCCAGGACTGGGTAATTTATAAAGGAAAGAAGTTTAATTGACTCACAGTTCCACGTGGCTGGGGAGGCCCTCACAGTCATGGCAGAAGACAAAGGAAGAACAAAGGGATGTCTTACATGGCAGCAGGCAAGAGAGCTTGCACAGCAGAACTCTCACTTATAAAACCATTAGATCTCGTGAGACTTATTCACTACCACAAGAACAGTATGGGGGAAACTGCCCCCATGATCCAATTATCTCCATCAGGCCCTGCCCTTGACACATGGGGATTATTACAAATCAAAGTGAGTTTCAGGTGAGGACACAGCCAAACCATATCACCTTCCCTACAGTACTCATGGACATGAATAGCACATATTTACTATATTAGTTCTGTTTCCATCCATTTAATCACACCATTGCTATATTACAGACCTATTTTTGCTTCTTAAATATTCTTTTCTAAATTTTCTCATAGGCAGGAATATTTTGATAAACTGACAGTCAGTTTACTTTGCATCTGTCTTTCTTTCTTAGAACTGTATCAAGAAGGTGTTTCTAAGTTGCTATGTAATCTTCAAATTAAAATAGGCCCTAATAACATTCATAATACTTCATCAATTGGCATGGGAGGCTTTAGCCCAAACTGTGGAATTAGGAGAATGTTTTTGGAGAAAACTGTGTTCAAGTTGAGGCTTGAAAAAAGAGTTTAGTTTAACTAGATGTGGAATACAGACAGGAGTATTCTAGAAACATGAAATAACATATATGACAGTCCCAAAGGGATGAGAGTATGAGAGCCTTGAGGACCTCAGAAAAACCCAAGTGGTTTAAATAAAGTGATGGAAGTGACGAGTGTGGCAAGACAGCTCAAGATTATGTTGGAAATTTTGAAAGTATGTTGGGATTTCAGATTATAAAACAGGAGTCATTAAATGGTTTTAAGGAGGGAAGAGACATAATGTATTCATATACAAATAATGGCCCTGACAGCCACATTCTGTAAAGGGAAGGCTCTACGGGTGGAAAATGCAAGGGAACCAATTCCCAGTTGTCTTCTAAATCCCATTTCTGCTGTAACTCTGTATTGATTGACGTGATCAATATACTAGAGCCAAAACTGTCATATGCATCATTCACTGGTTAAGTAAGTTGTTTTGAAAATAGTTTGTTTTAAGAAGTCATTGTTTCTTTATCAATGAAATTTGTTCTGATTTCTAAAATCCTCAGTCCTTGTTTTTCTGTATAATAATGCATAACCTTGTAAGAAGTGATGTCAGCATTGACCTCTATTCATAGTGTTGGAATTTTTTATTCAGTACAAAGAGGACATCTGATGACATTTATTGTAAATGTCTTTTTTTTTTTTTTTTTTTTAGATGGAGTCTTGCTCTGTCGCCAAGGCTGGAGTGCAGTGGTGCGATCTCGGCTCACCACAACCTCCGCCTCCCGGGTTCAAGCTATTTCAAGCTATTCTCCTGCCTCAGCCTCCTGAGTAGCTGGGATTACAGGTGCGCACCACCATGCCTGGCTAATTTTTTTGTATTTTTAGTAGAGACGGGTTTTCACCATGTTGGTCAAGCTGGTCTCGAACTCCTGACCTCGTGATCCGCCCACCTCAGCCTCCCAAAGTGCTGGGATTACAGGTGTGAGCCACCGCACCCAGCCAAATTTCTCTTTCTTAAATAATTCTTATGCACACATCAAAATGGATTTTGGTTTTGAATCTATGAAAATTTATTTGTACATGATTGGTGGCTGATTATGCTTTTGCCAATGTACATTTGAGAGCAAATGAATAAACACTCACATTAGTAATTGCCCCTGGGATTTTTCTGTCTGCTACTATGAATTTAATTAAATAGCAACCTTTTGTACATATATAATAAACATATACACACATACATATATACATATATGTTCATGTGTATATACATGTAGTAAATTTCACATGCATCATGTGAAAAATATATTTCTATATTATATTTCTACTTGAGTAACTTCACTAAAGCGTCTCAGTTATACATTACATAGTCCTTTTGAAAAAACATTTCTAATTTTCTTTTGATTCAGAATATATAACTCCCTTTCCCTCAACTCTTCTACTCCAGTCCCAGATCAAATCCTGTTGTTTTTCTCTCACATATCTTGAATCTGTTTTCTGTTCTCTATAACATCTACCATGACTGAATGTCCAAACTCTTGAACTTGTCTTCAGTCTCTTCTTGACTTCGTCCTCTTCACATTCCCACTGGAGCCAGAGTTCATCATGCCAGCTTAATCATGTCCCGTTCAAAGATATTCATGAGCCCCTCAGCCAGGAACATAAGTACTTACATGATCCGAACTCTGCCTCCCTCTTCAGCCTCACCTTTCATCACATGATGTTTAAAATGTATGCGCTCACAAGTCGTCACAAAGATAAGGCATTCACCACATGATTTCACAGCACTACACCTATTGTTCTGAATCCAGAATGTCCTAGATTGTTTCTCTGATTGATCTTCAGTATGCTATTTGTGTACAAGTATCTCTCAAAAAATTTCTTTGATCACAATCTCATAAATTAATCCTTTATTACTTGGAGTTATTTCTTTAACCATCATTACATTTTTGTATTACTTTGTTTACATGTCTAAAACCTAATATCTTTTTGAGGGAAAGAGCATTATCTTACTCAGAGCAGAACATTCTGATACAGTCATATTTAATGTGGACATAATGTTGATGGAGCCATTTGGAGCAGTCATGAATTGAAATATCTCTGTCAAAGTGCAACTTGACTTTCATTACTAAGGATCTCGTCCCCCTTGTTATATGGGATTTAAATTTCCATTTAATAAAATATTACTTTCTCATATTTTATAAAGAAAATAATACCTGTACAGCAATAAATGTATAAAGATATCACTTTAAGTCTCTTAGAATTGGAAACTGTTCCTCCCCTCACATACTACTTACTTCCCACGGTGGACTTTGTTCAAATAACACCATCTCTGTGAGGGATTCTCTGCCAACCCTGTTATACATTTTGATAACAACCACAAAGGTTCTCTCTATCCTCTTTCTCCATCTTCCTTTATTTTAAGTTTTGTTTGTTTGTTCGTTTTTGTTTGTTTTGAAACAGAGTCTTGCTCTTTCACACAGGCTGGATGGAGTGCAGTCAGGAAATCATGGTTCACTGAAGCCTTGACCTCCCTGGCTCAATCCTCCCACCTCAGCCTCCAGAGTAGCTGGGACTGCAGGTGCGCACCCCCATGGCTGGCTAATTTTCTAAATTTTTTGTAGAGATGAGGTCTCACTATGTTGCCTGGGCTGGTCTTTTCCCATCTTAATATTATCTTCGGTGCTTCCCAATGATATAATATAATCGTGTGTGTGTGTGTGTGTGTGTGTGTATTGTGTTTATGTGTGTATATTTATTTGTGTTGCCCTCTGTCTGCTAGAATATAAGTCCCATATGGAAGATAATTTTTTCTGTTTTTTTCATATACTAAGCTATCCACAAATATTTATTGAATAAAATTTATCTTAATTTTGTTTACCCCCAACACATAACTAGAAACACAGATTAAACACAAGTAGTTTATCTGAGAAATCATTCCAGGAAACACAGGTAGTGGGGTGAGTAAGGAAAGTAGAAAAAGACAAAAGACAACGGTAATCAAAAGGCAAGTAATCCAGCACGTTGCCACTGTGGGTAACGTCAGGTTCATCTGTTAAGTAATCCAGCAAGTTGCCACCATGGGTAACGTCAGGTTCATCTTGAGAAAAAGTATAGAACATGTGCTTCAGCATTATGCCACTTAATGGTTGAGAGAACTGAGGTGTTCATAGGCCCACTCAGTCTTTGGTTGGTGGTCATTGGTTGGTGGCTACTCCTAGAGGGCATGATTTTTCCTGTATTTCCAATTTACCTCATGGAAGGAAAGAAGGTTTTGGCTACTAAAGAAAATCCTTAGGAAAAAAAATGCAGGTAGAAATTAAGTTAATGCATTGAGAAAGTAAAAGCTGCAGGGTATGGGCAAGGTGCCATCAGCATCTGCTACAGAATTATAAAGAAGTCTTATGATATATGATATATAATGAATATTGGGTTGTCTATATATGTGCATAGTATATACTATAGTATATACAGCATAGTGTATACATCAAAGCTTCCCATGTCTTTACAAAGAAAATGAAACAGATTTACTCTATAGATAAAAGATAAAATAACAATGAATTCAGAATTTCGCCCAACCTATTTGCTTTAATGAATTTTCTATGCATGTTCTATTTGGTCCTATCCCATATTTAGCTCTAATAACACAAAAATAGGTATCTTAAGTTAATTAGAATTACTAATCTGACCCAGAAGATGCTAAAGAAACTTAGGTTATGCAAATATTCTCACTACTGGTAGAGTTTAGGCCAGATGCTTTAATGAGCTCTCACTTCATGAACTGCCTCAAAAGCTCCAGGCCAAGAAGACAATTTCTACAGAAATTGTGGGAAGAAGTTAATGAGGCAAAACAGGTAACTGCTGTAATGAAGACAGGAAACAGGGCTTCTAAACGTCTTAATATGACTGAACACACAATTGCATGTGATGTTATTTAATTAATATTTACTTTGGATGGAGACAAAATTGATGAATAGACTTCATAAAATAAGTTTATAACATTTAAATTTTCTTTAAGCCCTAACACATTATAATGTAATTAAGGAATTCAGTAATAGTAATTCTTAACCATTTAAAAAGTATATTGAGTAAACCATTATTAAATCAATAATGAATACTAGAAATATATTTACTGAATTTGGAAAATGAATTACATCTAAGTACTTTGAAAGTATTTTCTAGAAAGCCAACAAAATAATCTTTTTAAACTTACTTGAGTTGCACTCAAAACTGCTTAAGTTTTCACATCGACATTTAATGTAATAACTTATTCTTGGGTGTTTTTATAGCAGCAACAATGCAGGATGTCAATTTTCTTGTGGCGCTGTATCTAATTTTATTAACCTGGATTTTTATACAAATATTTTCTAAGTTAGGCATTACATTTACCATTACTGATAAGTTTACAAATCAATTACAAACACAATAATATATAGAATTCACAAACAATATGTTCTCACTCGACTTTTTTTAGACTTTTTTAAGATATTAAGTTATTAGGGATTAAGTTATGAAGATCAGTTCACACTCTTTGTTAGATATAAAATGTAACAAGATACACTTATTTTCATTGATTTTTTTAAAGTAGGTATTACAATTTTTAGGAGATTGAACATCCTCCCTTTTCTTTCTCTTTTTTTAAAAGACTGCATTGTCATCATCATAATGACCTTTACAATATTTTTAAGTTCACAAAGCTTACTTCAAACATGACAGTTACATTTGTATATATAAGAATTTATATTATACATTCATATACAATTTCAGAATGCCTGGCATAGAATTAAATTTAGGCTGAGTGATAAACATATTACAAATAATGTAGAGCAATAATCAAACTATATTTTTTAAACCCAGTCCATGTTACAGTGATTCAGAGGTATTACAAAGTACACAGGAAAAAATAAAAAAGAACAAAACTATTTTATTTGACAAAATAAATAAAATTGATAAATATTTAGCAAGCCTTGTAAGAAAAACATTCCTTTCACAAATTGAAAACAAAATGAGTAATATGAATTAAAGCCAACAATTTTGAAAAATTGCTATTAAAATAACTTACCACAATTGTCATAGGAAGCAATCGAAATTCTGTATTTTCAAACTTTCAGTCTTTTCTTTTGTAGTTTTGAACTCATAAAGTAGACACTTATTTACTGCATACGGTAAGGTTAGTATTCTTTACAAGTCGGGTTTTATTTTTCATGAGTGGGCCAAGTATTGAGAAGGTTAGAAGACACTTTCAGAAAATAGTTTAATTAGTGTTGACTTTATATGGTCCATGTGTAACAGAAAAAACATTTTTCTTTTGATAGAAGAAATATCAGGAAAGTAAAATAACACTCTTGAAAAGATTACTATCACTTTCTTTTCATGTCCCAATCTGAAAGAAAAGAACATCTTCAAAGAAAAATTAATTAAATATTCAATGCATCATAGGTAGTAAAATGTATTGCTAAAAGCCTTCCATTGATTATTCTCTAAATGTCAGACACTATTTGAACAATTCTGAATAAATGCTGCCTGTCAGTTTGCAGGGCTTTATCTCACTCTCCAAAACAAAGGAAACAGTTATAGATAAGTTGAATAAATGATGACATGCAAACTATGTAGTGTAACTTTTTAAAGTATCTTCAGGGCCTGTTGGGGGCTTTGCAGATGTGGCAGCCTCCTATGACCCCTGAGGGTGAAAAAGTGGAGACAGTCAGGTGGGCAACAAGCTGAAGCATGAGCTGGCCAAATGCCAAGAAGTTTGTGGTGTTGAGGAAGCTGTGTGGATATAGCCACATTCCTGGTAGCCAAGGAAAGTGTGATGATGTGAGTGCCCAGCAGAGGAGCCTACTTATACCTCACGTCTAAGTAGGCAGCAGTGAGGGGGTATCTGAGCAGGGGTGATGGAGTACCCAATAGCCAAAGTTGTGGGAGAGGGACTGAGCAAATACAGAAATACATCAAGGGTTATGACCAGGTTTGTCAATGTTAGAGAAGAATCTACAAATACGGCATGTAGGCAAACTGGAAAATAACTGAGATGTTGCATTAAAATTGGAGGTATTATTGTAAAAGAGTTTTTATTTTAAATATAAAGAAATAGATATAGATGTATGTGTATGCCTATGTGTATAAATATATTTCATAGCTCTCTCTGCTGAGAGGATCTAGAAGCAATGATAACTCACTAACAATGAGCACAAGTATTTTTAATTTTTATTTTTTAACAGCCCTGATCTAACTGTATCCCCTTAGCTAAAGTGCAATAGTGTAGTCCTATCTCACCACAAACTCAAACTCCTGGGTTCAAGCAATCTTCCCACCTCAGCTTCCTGAGTAGCTAGGACTACAGGCATGTGCTATCACACCTGGTTATTATTTTATTTTTATTTTTGTAGAGATGCGGTCTTCGTATCTTGCCCAGTACTTTGGAAGGCCAAGGTGGGTGGATCACTTAAGGCCAGGAGTTCAAGACCAGCATGGCCAACATGGCAAAACCCTGTCTCTACTAAAAATACAAAAAAATTAGCCGGGTGTAGTGGCATGTGCCTGTAATCTGAGCTACTCTGGAGGCTGAGACAGGAGAATTGCTTGAGCCTGGGAGGCAGAGGTTACAGTGAGTCAAAATCATGCCACTGCACTCCAGCCTAGGTGACAGAATGAGATTCCATCTCAAAAAAAGAAAGAAAAAAAAACCCAAAGACAAAACAACAACAAAAAAGAATCCATAAGTCCATACTGATATAAATAAAAAGCATACATCTGCAAGAGACGAAAAAGTATATCCTTATAGTAAAAAGACAACTAAAAGCTACAGGGAAAATAATGAAAATAATAATACACCATATGACAAGTATAATGGTGCTTGATTCACATATAAATCTATGGATGCTTAGGCGGTGAGTAAAGGTTTGAGGAATAGCAGAATATTGGCCTAGATTTGGAGTATCCTCCTGATATAGTTTGGCTCTGTGTCCCCACCCAAATCTCATCTCAGGCCATGGCATCAGAGGGTGCAAGTCCCAAGCCTTGGAAGCTTACACATGATATTGAGCCTGTGGGTGCCCAGAAGGCAAGAACTGAGGTTTGAGAACCTCCATCTAGATTTCAGAGGATGTGTGGAAATGCCTGGATGTCCAGGCAGTGGTTTGCTGCAGACACGGAGCCCTCATGGAGCACTTTTACTAGGGCACTGCAGAGGAGAAATGGAGAAATGTGGGGTTGGAGCCCCCACACAGAGTCCCCACTGGGGCACTGCCTAGTGCAGTTGTGAGAAGAGAGCCACAATCCTCCAGACCCCAGAATGGTAGATCCACCAATGAGCTTGCACAGTCCACCTGGAAAAGCCACAGGCACTCAACACCAGCCCATGAAAGCAGCTGCAGGGGCTGTATCCTGCAGACTTATAGGAGTGGAGCTGCCCAAGGCCTTAGGAACCCACCTTTATCATCAGGGTGCCCTGCATGTGAGACATAAGAGTCAAAGAAGATTATTTTGGAACTTTAAAATATAATGGCTACCTTGCTGGGTTTCAGACTCGTATGGGGCCTGTAGCCCCTTTGTTTTGGCCAATTTCTCCCATTTGGAATGCCTGTACCCCCTTGGTATCTAGGAAGTAATGAACTTGCTTTTGATTTTACAGGCTCGTAGGTGGAAGAGACTTGCCTTGTGCCAGCTGATACTTTAGACTTGGACTTCTCAGTTAAATGCTGGAGTGAGTTAAGACTTTGGAGGACTATTAGGAATGCATGATTGTGTTTTGAAATGTGAGCTGGACATGAGATTTGTGAGGAACCAGGGGTGAAATAATATGGTTTGGCTCTGTGTCCTTACTCAAATCTCCTCTCGAATTTTATTCCTCATGTGCCAAGGGAGGGACCTGGTGGGAGGTGATTGGATCACGATAGCAGTTTCCCCCATGCTGTTCTCATGATAGTGAATGAGTTCTCACGAGGTGTGTGGCAGTTCTCCCCTCCCTCTTGCCACCATGTAAGACATATCTTGTTTCCCCTTCCACCATCACTGTAAGTTTTCTGAGGCCTCCCAAGACTTGCGGAACTGTGAGTCAATTAAACCTCCTTTGTATATAAATTACTCAGTCTCAGGTAGTCCTTTACAGCAGTGTGAAAATGGTCTAATACCCTTTCCATCAATTATAAATCAGAAAATGCTGTCTTTCTGATGGAGAAATCTGATCAACACCAAATTTACCACATAATTGAGGTTGCCAGCACCATTGGCAGAATGTTTTCTCCTGACGTAATTCCCTGAGACCAGCATTGCATCACTTCCATGGAATTCCTACACACAATGTAAGGCTCCAGTTTGATTATGAGGAAAAAATCACATAAGCACAGCTTATACTTAAAAAAAAACCTGTCAACATTTTGAAAGAATGGGGCAACTGAGAAACTGTTCCACATGAAAAAAGACTGAAATGACATGGCAAATATATATCACACATGATCCTGGATTAGATCCAGGATCAAAAAGGCAAAAGAAACATTGTCCATTAGAATATAAATGAAAATAAGTGGAGAAATGTGAATGAGGTCTGGGAATTGAATGGTGGGGTGTATCAATGTTGTTCTCCTAATTTAGAAGTAGGGTGACCCCCTGTCCTGGTATGCCCAGGACTATCCAGATTTTATTAATGAAGATCCAGTGTCCTGAGAAACCTCTTTTCAGACCCAAAATATTCTTGTTTTGATTATAGGTACAGAAGCTCAGGGGAAGGCTGGGCACAGTGGCTCATGCCTATAATCCCAGCACTTTGGGAGGCCGAGGTGGGCGGATCACTGGAGGTCAGGAGTTTGAGACCAGCCTGGCCAATATGGTGAAACCCCATTTCTACTAAAAATACAAATAATTAGCTGGGCATGGTGGCATGCACCTGTAATCCCAGCTACTTGGGAGGATGAGGCAGGGGAATTGTTTGAACCCAGGAGGCAGAGGTTGCAGTGTGCTGAGATGGAGATCACGCCACTGAACTCCAGCCTGGGTGACAAAAATAAAAAATAAAAACAAACAAATAAATAAAAAAGATTACGGGAAGACTACAAAACCCCTATCATGAGTCCCCCAACATGGAAAACAAAAGTAACACTGTTTTTGGTGTCAAATGAATATAGCACTGATTATTTGTCTTTCATAGTCACTGCTGCTGCTTTACCCCAGGCCACTAATATTGATAACGGGATTTATGAATCTCAATTATGGACCACTCATGGTTGCATCGCGCTCAACAATGTGACCTAAATGTGCAACTTATGTGGGTTATAATCATGAGGTTAACAACTCATTCTTTGATGCCACTTGTGGATTAACTGTTGTGCGTTGTATCCAACTAGTACTGGTTCAATGTTTAACTTCTCAAATATTAGAAGCATATTTTGTAAGTGTTTATATAAGAAAAATGGAAATAAACACAATAGCAACGCCATCATGAAACATACCACAGGATACGAAGATTTAACCCTACTTTTTTTTAAGACAGAGGAACACATACAAATGGATCAGGCAGGTAGTACACAAAAGAGCATACTGTATAATATGTAGAAAAAAATTGGGACTGGGAACACTAGAAAAGGGTGGTGGAAGCACATATGGTGACTGAATGTAACAATACTGGGAAGAGACCAAGTTCTTTTAAATCAATAAAAACGTTTCATCTGGCAAAAGGACACAAATTCTCAGTCAGAAATAGCAGCACTGAATTAACTCGGGCATACCACATTGGGCATCATTGTATCATTCCCTTATTGATCTATGAAAGGGAATCAGAGGTTGCAGCTAAATTATCTGAGGGTAAACAAAAGGAAAGATTTTGATAACGCATGAATTAGCCCTTTACAGTGAAGAATTGATTGTGTCAGATCTTACCAAGTATCATGCTTTCTATAGTATACCAAGTGATACATCAGATCACAGCAATAACAAAAATGTTTCCCTTAGCTTTTAGATACTCTGATTTGAAAAATGGATTTCAAATTATATTCTTGAATTATATGAAAATTGTAATACAACTTCAGAAAACATAACATAAAAAATTGCTAATACCTAGCCCAAATAAAAATTAGATTTTCTGCACCTATTGCATATTCTGTAGATGGTGCAAATGTAAATGTTTGCAATTTCTATTCAATGCATAACCTTCTTACCAAATGAAATTATATTTTCTTCTAAATGTCTTACATACCTTGCACACAGCACTGCTAAAACAGGATTTGGTTTGTCTACCTGTGATGTTGAGGCTTTCATCATCCTTTTGATAATTTTTAGTTTTCTCAGTATGTGTGGAAGCACTTAATGAGATATTTGACTTTTTTTTTTTTATTTTTATTTTTTTGAGACGGAGTCTCGCTCTGTGGCCCAGGCTGGAGTGCGGTGGCGTGATCTCGGCTCACTGCAAGCTCCGCCTCCCAGGTTCACGCCATTCTCCTGCCTCAGCCTCCCGAGTAGCTGGGACTACAGGCGCCTGCCAATAGGCCCGGCTAATATTTTTTTTTTGTATTTTTAGTAGAGACGGGGTTTCACCGTGTTAGCCAGGATGCTCTCGATCTCCTGACCTCGTGATCCGCCTGCCTCGGCTTCCCAAAGCGCTGGGATTACAGGCGTGTGCCACCACCGTGCCCGGCCGAGATATTTGACTTTATAGAAATTGAAGGTGATAGCCTCCTTAGGCATGTCCCAACAAGATGACTATCATCATTGCCATCAATAACAAAAAATAAGTAATTTATTGTTCTGTTATAGCACCATATTTTTCAAAATGTGGGACAAGAGCAACGTCTTCCAATCTGAAAATGCATTGAAAATAAGAATCATTAAGAAGATGGTAGAAAAACAAAAATTTATGTTTTGTTTCTTCAAGATTGTTTGGTGATTTTTTCTTTTTTGTTTGTTTGTTTGTTTGTTTTGAGACAGTCTCACTCTGTCGCCCAGGCTGGAGTGCAGTGGTGCGATCTTGGCTTGCTGCAAGCTCCGCCTCCCGGGTTCACACCATTCTCCTGCCTCAGCCTCCGGAGTAGCTGGGACTACAGGCGCCCGCCACCACGCCCGGAGAATTTTTTGTATTTTTAGTGGAGACGGGGTTTCACCGTGTTAGCCAGGATGGTCTTGATCTCCTGACCTTGTGATCCACCCGCCTCGGCCTCCGAAAGTGCTGGGATTACAGGCGTGAGCCACCGCGCTTGGCCTGTTTGGTGATTTTTGAAGAGGCCATAAGGAACCTAGAAAAGGCAGAACTGACTGTATCTCCCTTTTTCAGTAGTATATGCAGGTTATAACAAAACCTGTGTAGAAAGAAATCATTTTTTGGAAGTTAAGATTGGTTCAGTATTCAAAAAAGCCACCAGAATATTGCAGACAATTAAAAAAAAAACAGAAAAGTGTAGTCAATTAAAAAAAAAAGTTCTCCATTTCTTTACAAAAATAAAATGTATTTGGAATCCACCTTATGTGTCATGGGTTACAATTTCCACTGTGCTTTAAAATCAGTTTCCCTAAAAAAGAGAGGTTTATCCTATGTAGTTCATAGTGTAGACAAGGAAAGCTTATATGATTATGATGAATATGTAGATGGGAAACAAATGATTGAAAAATAGCTGGTCTACCAGAACAAGCTTGTAGATACAGAGGTTGAACATGTTTGAAGAGGTGAAAACCAATAATTCCTACAAGTCTACCATCTGTAATAATTGTAAGTAAAATCCTAAATATTGTCTCTACTTCACACTGTATAGGAAAATTAATATGAAACATATCAAAGACCTAATTGAAAGCTTAAGCTACAGAATTCTTAGAAGAAAACAGTGACATCTATTTATAATCTTGGATTTGGCAATGGAATATTAGATATGACATTAATGAAAAGCACAATAAAACAACTGTGACATCAATCAAAGCACATTGAAAAAATAGGTAAGTTTGACTTCATAAATTACACCAAAGCACATTATCAAGAGTGAAAAGACATCACACAGAATGGGATATATTTGCAAATCATATACCTGATTAGGGTCTAGTATCCAAAATATATAAAGAACACTTATAACTCAAACACAAAAGAGCAAGCAATCTAATTAAAATGGGCAAAAGATTTAAATTGATATTTTTCAGAACAAGATAACACAAGTGGCCAAAAAGCACATGAAAAGCTGTTCAACATCATTAGTCATTAGGAAAATGCAAATCCACACAAAAATGAGATACCACTTTACATCCACTAGAATGGCTATAATAAAAAAAAAATTTTTTAACAAAAAAAAAAAACAAGTAGTTGCAAAGATGTGGAGATATTGGAACTCTTGCATATTGTTGGTGAAAATGTAACGTGGCTTAGTCACTATGGGAAAAAGTCTGGTCACTGCTCAAAAAGGTAAACCTACAATTATCATATATTCCAGCATTTCCACTCCTGGGTATATATCCAAAAGAACTGAAAATATGTATTCAGAAAAACATATATACATCTATATGGCAGTTTTATTCATGAACCAAAAAGTGGAAACAACTCACATGCCCAACAATAAGTGAATAGATAAACAAAATATGTGGTATTCACATGGAATATTATTCAATGGAATATTATTCAGCCATAAAAAGAATAAAGTTTTGATATCTGCTACAACATAGATGAACCTCAAAAACATTATGCTGATGTTTCTTTAGTGAAAGGAATCTAAGAAGATAAAATGTCATGTGTTGTATGATTCCATTTATATGATATATCCAGCATAGGTAAATCCACAGAGACAGAAAGCAGATTAATACTGGCCAGGGCCCTGGGGAAGGGAGAATGGTGAGTGCTATGGTCTGAAAATTTGTGTCCCCCGCAAATTCATATGTTGAATTCTTAACCCCTAGAGTGATAATATTAGGTTAAGTAGTGAGCTCTTTGGGAGGTTGATTAGATCATGAAGGCAGAGCCCTCATGAATGAGATTAGTACCCCTATAAAAGAGACTGCAGAGAGCTATCTAGCCCTCCCACCATGTAAGGACACAGTTGGAAGCTACCATCCATGAGGAACAGGCCCTTACCAGATATTGAATCTGCCAGTGTCTTGATATTGTACTTCCCTGCTTCCAGAATTGTGACAAAAAAAAAAGTCTGTTGTTTATAAGCCACCCTATTAATAGTATTTTTGTCATTGGAGTCCTGACAACCTGAGACAGTGATTGACTGATTAGTAGGTACAGTGTTTTCTGTTTGGGCTGTTGAAAATATTTTGGAACTAGATAGAGATTATGATTGTGCAACATTGTAAATGGACTAAATGCTACTGAATTGTGCACATTTATAAAATAGTTAATTTTATATTATGTGAATTTTACCTCAATAAAATTTTTTAAATTAATATTCTTTAAAAAATCATAAGTATCCCAAGCTCCAGTGCTTTTGTGGAGAGGATATTTAGTGTAATGTCATCACATTGGACTGACACCAGGAATCAATGGAGTGTGTACTTGACAAAAGCAGACCTGCAAGTCAAAGTGAAGGTTATGTTTATGACTATTCAGTTTTACCACTACGTAAAAGAAGCAAAACATGTCCTAAAGGCTGAAGATGGTTTAGAGGTCTAATGTTAGAAAAGAAAACAGAAAGTAAAAATATCTTACTGTACCATATGAAGGAAAGAAACGTGTCACTGTTACCTCTTGATAAGTAAAACTAATATCTATTTAATTGGTCTTACTGTGTTTACATTATCCATTTTAAAAAACTTAAACTTATGTATCTTAATACGTAATATAGCTACAGTTTCACCTTATTAGCTAGGATGGTCTCGATCTCCTGACCTCGTGATCAGCCCGCCTCGGCCTCCCAAAGTGCTGGGATTACATGTGTGAGCCACCACGCCTGGCCAATATAAACATTCAATAAAGATTTGTTTAAATTGTTCAAATAAACGATTCTATCAGAACACAGAAACCTTACAAAATATTGTTGTATTAATTGACATATTATTTAATTAACCATATTAATTTAAAATGCCACTGTTAAAATAATAGCATTTATGTAGAAAGGCTACAGAAAAGCAAATACAGAATCATATATAATTTCAAATAAACACCATCTTTTCTTATATTTATGTTAAAATAACCACATGTGTACACTCATCAATTATATATGATATATATTTTATTGGTCTGTTATGGCTGTTGCCTGAGTTGGCCTTCTAAAAAGTTGGTTACCCTATTCAGAAGGTTGTATGGAGGTAATGAATAAAGTATACTTATTTAAGGAAAATTTATACTGGAGTATTTAGGGGTAAAGACATATTATGTTTATAGCTTGCTCAAATGGTTGAGAAAGAGACTGATGATAATGGATATTGGTACAGCTATAGATATAGATATAAATCCATCTAATACATTTTACTGTATATAAATTATACCTCAATGAAAATAAGTTTTTAAAAAATCATTGTTAAGTCCCTTTACTTGTTACACTGCCAAAATTGAGTTCTGTGTCGTTTGTTCTCTGTCATAAGCAAACATATATCTGAATGTCTTTGAAAAATAAAAAATTTTACAATGTTCTTCAAAATCAGTGGTTCTTAAAAAAAAAAAAAGTATGCTGCTAGCTTCTCTAGTTACAAAGCAAGGTCACGTATTTGGATTTAGCATTCCCACAGAGCCTGGCAATGGGTTGTTGTAGCAGTGGGTGGACAGCAAGCAAGTCTTTAGCTAAAGGAGGTGAGGAGTTCACAAGCAGGACACACGTGATAGAGGAGAAGCTAATCTGCTTTCCCACTGTGTGCCATTAGGCAAGTCACTTAGCATTTCTGAGCCCCAACTTATTCTCTGCAAACAAAATCAAAACCTATTATTCCATCCAGCTTTGGATAGTTATTTCTTTATTTTCACGAACAGGTGACATGAATATAATTATTTGACTCAGTGAATGATATAGTGAAGTTAAGACGTATTTAAAAGAGCAATATTTTCTTTATGATTCACATTGCCACGTTCTGACACACCAACAAAAAGACCAAGAGTGTGAAGGCAGAAACTACAGATGTTTGGATGTTCACGTTGGCTTATTACCAAGAAGCTAAGCCTGACTGCTTTGAAGTAAAAAGCAAACAGCAAATCTCTGGAGGCCGAAGCTGCCCCTGAGATTTCTCCAATGTGTTTGGTTCTGGCAGGGCCACTCAGCCTTCCAGAACATCCTTTTACAACCCATTTACCCACGTTTTGAAGTGAAATTCTGAATCATTTTCTGTTCCAATCTTTCAAACAGTTCTATCTATTCTAAGTACTTTTTAATAAAACTCATGTCATGTCCTTAATTTCTCCTGAAAATTTTATAGCAAGAAAAACAGCTAAAGATATAGATATTAATAAATACAAAGTTTTATTAGGGCAAATTTATTCTTGTTTCAAAATATTTTTGTTAGCCTTATTTTTATATATTCATGAAGAACATATAATTTTAAAAAGATGCATTTGAACAATTAAGGCATATTTCAACATAGTTCTTATTGTCTTTAGAACATAATTCAAGCAGCCATCAAATCTATTCTTATTACCTAATCAACTTTGTAAAGTTGCTTTCGTTAATTCATACTGTAATTCTGTTTGAATTATTCCATAAGAATGGTGAAAGATAAATATGAAATTACTTTGATATTCATGCTAGGAATTTTATTAATTGATATTGATTTTTATTTTGTTATTATCTAAATTATGGCTCCATGACTCAACCACACCCTCCAAAAAATGCACAGTCTTTCCTGGTTTGGGGAGTATCAGGAGACAGAGGGCATATAGAAAGGATTTCTCTCAAGAGGCTATGGACTTTCTAGGTCCATGTTTTTAAAATTATGTCCCGCTAAATAACTAATTCCATAAGACATTACTAGATTAAAAAAATAAAATCATTCTGTGGTGAAATTTAGGTACTTAAGCATCCTAGATTCCCTTCTTGAAGATTCACAATACTCCTCTGTATTTTAAAGCTCTGAGAAGTTCCAAAGTGAAATAAACCAACTATCAAAATTACCTGTCAGTTTCTTTAGTTCATCTGACTTTGTCCTGGGCTCTCCCTCCCACCTCCCTTACTGTAGGTGATCCCTGTACTCTAAACTGCATTCTGGCACAATCTGTGTTGAACATCATAGATGACTGAGGGTTGCCAAGGTGTATCCAAGACTTTACCATAGACCCCCATTGTCTATGATTCTAGCCTCTATGGTGCTCTCTTCAAAGAAATATTAAAATCATTTGATTACCAGAACAAATTACCATTGATGCCCTCCAGCCTTTCAAATGACTACCTTGGTCTATTTCTTCCTCAATCTTCCTCTGCTGAAAAAGTAGCAGGGCAGTCTTAAAATATTCCTACATTTTACTTCAAATAATCACCACATGAGGGAAGACACATTCTTAAAAGTAAAGCTTAATGTGAAAACTCATTAGGAGGTCAGAAAGAGTCTAGCATTGAATCAGGTTCAGTCTGATTGATGCTTTTCTAGTAATTCTTTTAATTATTTTTCCTACCTTTATATATATATATATATAAAACTGAAGTACGTTCATGGAAATGTTTCCAGCTGGGAAGGCCATAGACTCAGGAGGAAGTCCAATTATATCTTATTTGCATTTCTTTACCTGCCTATTAAATTTTAATCACCCACTGCATCACTTTTGTGTTTTCATTTTTGTTTCTTGACACAGTGTTTGGGGTGGCAAGGAAAGAATGAAAAATTATAAATCCTAGTTTTTCAGTGAAAGAATGTGGCAGTAGTAATGGAAAAAGGAAAAGTATTCTCTACACGCATCTCTCATGCACCTGATATGTGTTTTACCCTTTAACACTTGGGAGAATCCTATGAGGTGGGTATTATCATTTCCATGTTGTAGATGAGGATTTATGCTCAGAGAGATTTTCTTAAAAAAATAAAACAGATTGATGATTATATTCTCTAAATTTTTAAAATTTAGACTACATATAATGGTTTAGACTACATATAATGGTTTGGTGAAAACATAATATTTGGATATTAAATACTTGATGTAAATAAGGTTATTATTTATTTGGAGACATATCCTTTAGATCCTTCATTTTGCCCTTTATATATCTATGTGTGTGTGTATATATATATATACACACACACATATATGCACATATACACTTATACATATATATATATATACACATATATAAAGATTTGCATTACATTCCAATTCTGAAATAGCATTTATATTATATTAATCATGATTTCCATAATCATTTACTTATTTCTTCTTCAAACTGATCAGTAATTTTGGTAGTGACTCCTCAGATTTTCTGAGAAGAAATTCTGATAATTTCCCTCTGATGCTTCTATTCATTTAAGTACAGTATTGTCTGTCACTCAAAAAAGCAGCAATAATCCCAGATAGTCATGCTCTGTGCACAGTGATAAATGATCTAGCATCAAGCAGTGCTAGGTATGAGATGAGTTATATACAGATGCTTATGCCCATCACCCAACTAGCTTGATCAATAGCATTCAGTATGATACAATACAATTCCAAGTGGAAACAAACAAATAAGTGTTGAAATCGAAACCAGCTAAATTCTTGCCAACTACTTAATTGTATTTTATGCTCAACACTTAAACACTCATACACATTTACAGGTTTACATGAGCAAATCTAAACTCTCCAGTTATAAATTCATTGATTAAGGAAGGCACTGCTATATGTAAATCATACTGGTCTTGTTGATAAAGTCAAGTTCCAGACAACCTGTGGTATATGTCAAAATGTTTTCAAAATTAATAGTAATGATAGCAATTTAATGAATGTTTTGCAATGGTATTTAAGAGATTGTTCCAATGAATCCCTTACTTCTTTTAATGAATTAAAATCAGTACATTTCTTTGCTAAAATTTTAGTAATCTGCTCCTCCCTTTATTAAAGGAAAGAATTTAAAACTAATTTGTCAACTGCATTTTGAGCAAAAGACGTAAACAAAAATTTTCTACCCTTGAAAGGTTTGTATTTGAAAAGACCAGTGAGTGGAATGCACTGATTCTCCATATAGACCACAGATACGCTATACCTCTTTTCTGAAAAGTGGAGAAAAAAGGAAGTGATTAGGTCTTTTAATATCTCATAAACTTATTATTTCTTCAACATGTATAAGCAGATTTCATGCCAGATCTAAAACCTATTTAGGTTTATGAAATATATCAATAAGAGCTTTCAATTATTTAGAGATAATTATGTGGCCTATCCTAGGCTAAATGCTTTACATACACTAAAAAGCTGCAAGCAGTTTCGAACGGCACCTACGAGGGAGGACCCCACTTTACAGGTTATGGAAATTGAATTCTAAAAATTTAGTAAAATGATAAAAATGCTTAAAAATGACTGGTCCAAGGAGGGTCAGATCATATCTACTCTGCATGGAATCTCTGTACTACGCTGCCTCTCTGATTCTCCTTATGGTGGCTTGTAAAGTATCTGCATAACTGGCAACAATACTTTGCTTGCTGCTGCATAGACTCAATCTTCTTAAGAAATAGTGTGAGCACAGCTGTATTTGAGGCAGGGTGCTTTAGAAATACCCAGCCACCTGGAAAACCATAACAAATATGACTTGGTAATCAGCTTTTTCCCAAAGCTGTGATGTCTCACATGTCAAAAGTTGTAAGCAGTTCCTAGAGCTTTGACAAAATTACACCCAAATGAAATTTCTTCCTCACAGGGGAATCTCTAGAGCAATGAGTTGCTCTGGTGCATTTATAAACCACACTCCTGAGTGCATAGTGATTTTTCCCCCTCTCTAAAGAACCATCAGTAAATAAATCCACAGACTTTCCTAAGGGGAGTAATACAAATGCAATCCTTGCAGCCAATACTATAGTCAAGATAGTAATTATAGAAAAAAAAATCGACCTGATAATTTCACCCAAGAAATCAGACATTAGACTAGCCTAAACATTGGGATGGAACCCTTGCTAGAGGTTTATGTGTGCATGGAAATGACTGTCCTTCAGCTTCTTTTTGAGCCCCCTGCCGCTCTACTGAGTAGAGACTTCTCTAGGGAGTGGAGAAATCACGTCTAAGGCCCCTGTATGTCATTCTCTGCATGGCTCTTGGGCACGCACCAAAGTATTGCAGGTGCCAGCTGTGCCCAAGGCTGCAGGATGCCGACCAGCAATTCTTTACTCTCACTGAAGAATAAACCTGAATTGAGCAGAAATTCAAGGAAGAAAAAAGAAAAATGACTGCCCTCCCTTTGGGGATTTTAGCTGTGGTCACAGACATCAAAAGTAACAACATGGGAAAATCAAGCTGAATTATAGTAGAATCTATGTGGCTTTTCACCCTGTGTTTAATTTAGTCAGATGGCTCAGTAAATGATACAAACCTTTTAATGTAGCTATCTTAGTTTCAACTCCATGCATGGTACAGGAACTCTGGCTAAATTAATTATAGTTGATCACGTAATTTCTTTTCTTAAAATGTTTTCCTATACATTGAAGTCTAATTTCCTTAGCATTTAATCTCAGATTCTTCATTACTCCAAATAGTTTATTCACAATAATGCCTTATTTTTTTCTAGTTTCTCTAACTTCCTCAGCATTTAATTCTAGTTTCTTCATTACTCCAAATAGTTTATTCACACTAATGTTTTACTTTTTTTTAATTTCTCTATATTGAATGTCCGTCTCCCACACAATCTTCTCTGCCTCTCAAACCACATAGACCCTTTATTATTTCTTCTTTAAAACTCTTCTTACACATTACCGCCTCCTCCACTCCCTCTGCCTTTTAAAATGAATGACACTCTTAGCCCTTTTTGTGTTCCCATAGCACTGTGTTCCTAACTTTAATGCACTACCTAATTTATTCTCCTAGCTGTGGTTCCATTTGTTCTAGGACAGTATCAGAGCCTTGTTCACCACTGTGTCTCAGTGTTTGTTGAAGGAATCAATTAGTAAATATGCTGTTTATAGATGTATGTCCATTACATAATATATGAAACATAGCAGGAATTCATTAAATATTTTGGAGTGAATGAACGAATGATTCTACTAACTTTATGAGTCCAAGTAACATCTTTATGCTGTACTTAAGATGTAAACCAAAAGTAAAGTTGTATTTTAGGTTTATAATCAGTCCTTTTCCTTAGGATCTATTGACCCCACCTAAGTGGGAAAACTTCTCTAAGTCCTAAGAAGTGAGTAGGATGCCTTTAATTTAAATGGAATGTCCCTCTTAGGGTTCTACAGGCAAAGAATTGGTGATAAAATGTGAGTTCTCTTCCTGATACAAATACATTTCACAGAAATAAGAAGTAAATATTCAAAGGTAAACATTGAAGAAGGGAGGATACTGGCTTTATTTAATTATAAAATGACAAATGGGAAAGAACCTTTTAAGAAAATTCTTCTCAAACTGTTGGTGAGATGCATATGTTAAAACATAAATAATTCCATCTATAAAATATTACTTCACTAAATTTGGCTTAGTGATCTGGTCAAGATGGCCAGGATTTTTTTTCCACCTATGGGGAAAGTTGGAGGAGATAGATGAATCACAATTCATGAAATGTTGATAATTTTTGTAACTCTCAAGGGTCTATAGTAAAATTCTCTTGGCTTTTGTATAGTTCAAAAATTTCCATAATTGCAAATTGAAAACAAAGTGATCAAGATCCAGATCTATCTATCTGTCTGTCTATCTATCTATGGAAATCTTACAGAGAAACATAAACTCAGATTATCCTTTGTCTATGGTTAAAGATCCTTATGTTCCCTAATAATTTCTCATTCCTATTTACTCTCCTTCTTTATGTTGGTTTCATTTTAAAGATATGTTGTATCAGTAGAAATTAAATTAAGTGCAATTATGTTATTTGAAATAATATTAGAGTAATACTTAGTTATTAGCATTTAATTCTAGATGCTTAATAATAAGCATTAAATATGCCTAACAATGTCTAGAACTTTGTAGGTTTTAAATAAATTATAGGTTTTTAAAGAATTACTTATAATTATGAATTATTACTTTTTTGTTTTTATTAGTTTTATTTTTATTATTAATAATAGTTTTTAAGAATTTGTAATAATTATATATCATACAGATGAGTATGATAGATAATATGATGATACAATAATATATAATTATATATATAATTATTAACTCCAAAAATGGTTTTAAAGGATTTCTTAGAGAAGACATGAGAGTATGACATCACCATAATAAAAATTTATTTATTCATCATGTTTCTAAAAGTAGTGTGTGTCATGGTATTAATTTACTCTTAATGCATCAAAGACTGCATTCTGATTATCTTAGCTTGTAACAAAAATTAACTTTGAAAACCATCAAGTAATCATGATAGTATTCCTTAATATGCAAATGTATACAAATTCTGTGTCATTCACATGATGTTAGATTCACCTAAAGGCAAGATCTCTTTATCATGATTTCTCAATTATTTAGGGGATAAAGAGGTAACATTTTGCATGACTTTCACAAACCACAGAAATTTGAAAATATGAAAATTATAGAATAATTCACAGCAGTTTTTAAAATGTATTCACAACACTAAATTGATTACATTAGAAAATAGATAATTTAACTCCTACATAAATTATTCAACTGAGTATGAAATCACAATATTTCTGAAGTAAAGACATAGCAGGCATAATGCTGATCATGTTCATTGTTCTTTACAAAACATGGAATTTTCTTATGCTAAGATAGTTTTAAAATATTTCAGTTTATCTGTGTATTTTCAGAATAAATTCTTTACATGAAAGAGATGTAGAAAAACAGGAAATAGATAAAACTAATGAAACATTCAAAAAAGAGGGGGTTAAAAACCCTCAAGATAATTGGTATCTAGTGAAAGAAGATTCTGGTGAACTAGAATTGCACAACTTTCCTGAAAGTGAAATGGGTTCCTCATATAGACCTTGCTTCAGCATTGGGAAAATTTCTTTTCCATTACAATCATGTGTTGCTTAGCAAAGAGAATACATTCTGAGAAATGCATAGTTAGGTGATTTCCTTGTTGTGTAAACATCATAGAATATATTCACACAAACCTTAGGATATAGCCTGATATACACCTAAGCTATTTGGCATAGCGTACTGCTCCTAGGCTACAAAACTGAACAACATGTTACTGTAGTGAATACTGTAGGCAACTGTAACACAATGGTAACTATCTATCTAAACATAGATAACCATAGAAAAGGTACAGTAAAATTACAATATAAAAAATACAAAATGATATACATATATAGGTAGCTCCGTTATAATAGAGCAAATCCATTATAATCTTATGGAACCACTATTATATATGGAGGCCTGTCATTGGCCAGAATATTGTTATGCAGTACATGACTCTCCTTACTTTCATATCTTGGAGCCTATTTCTTCTCCTAAATCCCTTGGGGATGCGTATGAATTACATGTTTGAAAGTAGATTCTCCCTGGGGACTTCAATTTTGCTATACAATTTCTGCTTGCTCATGACTAGAAACTTAAAGATTGCTTTTGGGACTGGAAAAACAGATTTTTCAGCTCAGAAATGTGGTTTCTTTGATAACATAATGATCTCAAAATGTAGTAGGCATTTGGTCTATTTGCTTGCAGTTGGTTCGATAACCATGCATAAACTTCTTTTCTGGACTTAACAATTATGGAAACACCATCGTATTTACTGTCTTCGTTCCTTTTCCTTAAATCTTGATTCTTGGGATACAGAAGCAGCCAGACTTTTTAGTCTTGTGGAGCCTCAAATTTCTGGATCTTTCTATGTCTTTTTCTGTTTACACACGGGAAAATTCTTACCAAGATTCATCTGTTCTTTGTTAAAAACAACCAGGAACAGGTAAGATACATCAACATTATTGCTCTCATCTCAAAGCTACAAGCACTGTAGCCATTTCCCTCGAAGGCACTTTAGAGCATTTTCCTTCCATGTAGCTGTAGATGACAATTTTAACAAATGTTTGGCTAAGGTCTCACAAGGTCTCAACCTGTAGCATCAGATTCTCTATAGTTGTTACGTGACCACTAGGCCAAAACCACATATTTTTAAGTCTGCTCTGTTGCACTCACTTCTGGTTTCAAATAATGTGGCACGCAGAGTTCAGTGGAGGAAACAAACTTGTTATTCTAGGTATTTTAAACATAAAGAGGAATATAGTGGAATAGGCTCTTACAAAATCCTGTAAAGGATAAAGAAGCATGTTCTGGCCCAAGTCTCTTAGAAAACCAAAACAGTAAAGAAATGGCTCATGATGGAGCTACTTCCTCTGAGACCATTGCTGGAGCAATTTCATCGAGGTCTACAGCCACTACCACTACCCTAGTATCTTGGACCACAAGAAACTAAAGGTTAGGCAGTTGAAGCCATAATCCAAAGAATTACCGTGTCAGAGCAAGAAACCAATGCAACCCTCACTGTTTCTTAACACTCGGGAAGCTATAAATACATGCTGGAACCTGCTTCTGGAAAATTACTACCTTACTAGCTGATGTGCATGGGGTTTCAGAGGGAATCGCCTTTCTCTAACATGCTAACATGTGTCATTCAAATTCACATTAAGGAGTTTCTTTGTACAATTTCATTTTTACCGAGAACACTAAATCCAAGAAATAAAGAAAGCCAACTCAAAAAGATACCACGCTGGCAAAAGCCAAGGAATAAAGACGAGGTTCCCTGTAGGATGACTGCTGTGGGCTGCATCCTAAATATGTCCTCCAAGAGTTTTACCCCCTTGTTATTCAATCAAATGCTACTCTGGGTGCCAATTATAGAGGATTTTGTAGATGTAGTTAAGGTTGTGGTTCTTAAAATGGAGAGATTATCCTGGATTATCCAGGTAAATCCAATCTAATTCCATGAACCTTTTTTTAAAGCAGAGAAAATTCTACAGCTGGAGGCAGAAGAGATTCTGTAGAAGGGGAAGTCAGAGAGATTCAAAGCATAAAAAAGACACTACCTGCTGTATGGCTTTGAAGATGGTGGAACAAGGCCACTCGCCAAGGTACAAGGAGCCTCTAGAAAGCTGAACAGGATGTCAGCTGACAATCAACAAGAAAACAAGGACCTCACCCTTAAGACCACCACGTGGATCTGAATTCTGTGAACAACTTGCATGAATTTGGGAGCAAATTCATTTCCAGAACCTCCAGCAAAGGAATCCAGCCCTGGTGACACCTTGATATTGGCCTTGAGAGACTCTAAGCAGAGAACCAGCTGAGCCACTCTGCACCTAAACTTCTAACTCAGAACATTGTAAACCAATACATTTGTGTTGTTTTAAGCCACTAAATATATGTGATTTATTCTGAGTAATAGAACTTTAATATGCTGAGATGCCATTAACACACTACACACAGACACACACACACACACACACACACACACACACACACTACAATAAAGGGTGGGGGGAGGAGAGGATTCAAAGAACAGAGTAGTCAATCTTGCCCAGAATTTTCAAAGAAAATTCCTTATAGGCAATGCGATATGGTCTACATAAGGCTTAAATAAGTGTAGAGAGGTAGAGAAGAAAGAAATATTTATCAGTGAGGAAAATGGCCTGAGTAAGATACAGGTAATTCAAGAGACTATGAATCCGATCAGGGATTTTTGTTTGTTTGTTTTTGTTATTTCTTGGAGAAAAAGATGATAGAACTGATGTTGAAGGATAAAGTTGGGAGGGAAAAAATTAGACAGAATGTGGAGGGCTATAACAAGAGCCAGCTAATATATTTTAGAAAAAATATCATGTCACAATATACAGCACACACAAGAAATAGGAGACCTATGAGTATGTGTCTAGAAAAGACAATACTACCAACATTTTCATGAAGATATTTCTGCTTACATAACTGGTGCATCAGTTTGCTCTGTCACTGAAATTTTCTTCCAACCTGTGGAAATCTCCGCCATGGACAACAAGCTTCTTAACTTTTCTATGCATAGAATTACTGCTGATGCCTGTCGGCATCAATGTTTAATATTTGCCTAGACTTATGGCCATGTCTAAACCATAGTACATATGAGCCAAAAGTAGATCAAGTAATAAAATTCAACATGACTGTGTAACCCTGATAAAGATCAAGAGAGAAAAGCTATGTTTTCACTCATTTGCATGTTGACATTGTTAACACGTGGACATCATCTTTTCCCATAACAAATGCATGCACATAACATAGTAAGTCTCCATCTCTCAAAGTTGTTTCATGTGATTCTCTATTAGGCAGCAGCTGGTTTTTATTCAAGCATATTTGATTAATCTTTAAAAATCACCAGATTCCCCCATTCTACTTTCATCCACAAACAGTTTTTAATTTCCCAATAAAGTATATCAGTATGACTAGAACACTCACATATTATCTATGTGCATTCAGTTTTACTTGCCAGTTGTAGAATGCTGGTGCTGGATAAGCATTTGTAAACTGAGAAATACAATTGCAAAAACAAACACATACAAAGCCTTTTAGCAAACTGGTGGATGCCTGTGGAGCTGCCATCCTCAGATGATGCATCCAGCTCATTCATGCCTCCAACTGGAACAGCATTAAACAAAAATGCGCCGGATTCAGGTCCAAATAGCGGTACATGCTAGCAACAAATCCTGTGTACCTTCTTCTTCCCTCCCTCAAATGGCAACATTTCAAGCTAAAATAGCTTTTTTAAAAAAAGACAACAAATTTTTCATTACACCGTATCACCAACAACTGACTTGCTGTAATGTCAAATATATTCAAATTGGCAGGATCAGTTACACGTGGGTAAGGATGCATCCTTAAATTTTAAAGCAGACATTTAGTAATTTTAATTTATCATTTTAATTTTACCTGGGTGACTCAAATACCTTAAATATGGATTATTAAAACTTTCTTTTTGAAAATTAAAACATTTTTTAGAAGGACATTTTCTACTATTACATTAAGTTTTAAGTATGTCAAAGGGAAGGGCACAATGTCACCCTTCTCTTTGCATAGCAAGAGTGACCTTTACTCCAGTTCCCACCAAGTTCCTCATCTCCATCTGAGACCACCTCAGCCTGGACTTTATTGTCCATATCACTATCCGCATTTTGGTCAGAGCCATTCAACAAGTCTCTAGGAATTTTCAAACTTTTCCACATTTTCCTGTTTTCTGAGCCCTCCAAACTGTTCCAGTTTCTGCCTGTTACCCAGTTGCAAAGTCTCCTCCACATTTTTTAGTATCTTTACAGCAATGCCCCATTAGCCAGTACCAATTTACTACATTAGTCTGTTCTCTGCCAGTAATAAATACATACCCGAGACAGGGTGATTTATAATGGGAGGAGGTTTAATGGATTCACAGTTCCACATGGCTGGGGAGGCCTCACAATCATGGCAGAAGGCCAAGAGGAAGAAAGACACATCTTACATGGTGGCAGTCAAGAAAGCTTGTGTAGGGGAACTCCCGTTTATAAAACCATCAGATCTCATGAGGCTTATTCACTACCATGAGAACAGTATAGGGGAAACTGCCCCATGACTCAGTTACCTCCACCTGGTCCTGCCCTTGACACGTAGGGATTATTACAATTCAAGGTGAGATTTGGGTGGGGACACGGCCAAATAATATCAGGCCTCAAACAATTTAGGAAGTTTATTTTGCCAAGGTTAAGGATGCAAGCCCAGGAGACAGGTCTATGCCTTTCTCCCAAGATGATTTTGAGGACTTCAATATTTAACCAGGAAAGAGCAGATATTTAGGAAAGAGGAAGAAATGTTTAAAATGTGTGGATAGATAAGAGATAAACAGTTGCCTTCTTCTGAGTCTTCGATCAGCCTTTCAAAGAATATACAATTTACATGTCAGAGAGGAGTAGAGGAATCTTCACTTATGACTTCTACCTTAGTGAATCTGCATTTTTACATCAGAGGAAGCAATCAGTTATGTATTTGTCTCAGGTGAGCAGAGGGATGACTTAGAGTTCTCTTCTTTGTCCCACACCTGTGAAGATAAGCTATCAGTTTACATTGTCAGGGTAAAATTCAACAGAACTCTTTCAGGGTAAAGATCTTGGGACCCACAAGGAATCTTCTAGGGGGAAATATGTAGCTCTTTTATCTTTGTAGATATCTTATTTAGGAATAAAATGTGAGCCAGGTTTGCCTCATGCAGTGTCCAGCTTGACTTGTCCCTTTGGGTTAGTGATTTGAGGGTCATGAGATTTATTTTCTTTTCACAAATAAAAAGAAAAATCTGTCAGATTGCCATTGCAATCTGAAGATGCTTAGAAGATTCTGGAAGAGCTAGTCTATCAACTACTGCAGACATTAACCTTTGGTTTTCTTTTGTTTCCATAGAAATGTCTTTTATGAAAGATCTGTTTGCCTGTACCATATATAGAGACTTAGGCCATTTATTTGCAGTGCCACCTCCTGGAATGGGACACTGTCGTTTAACTGAACTGATCTATTCTCAGGACCAAGAGACTGACTAGAAGATATGGCATGATATATTTAAATTTGCTCTTTTCTGCTTATCCCAATTTGTCTTTCAACTCCTTTGTCTATTTGTATCAGACAACCTCTAACCTATAGCTCTTCAAATCTATCAGTGTGGCTTTTAGTATGTAAAACTTTTTTAAGTTTCAAAGAGCGGACTGAAGGAAATCAAAATATTTTACCCCGAAATGTATTTCTTTGACATATTTTGTGATGGCTGCCAGAGGGCCAGCAAATAGAAGGGGCCCTGTAAAACTGTCTTTTGCATCTGTAGAGAATCTCCTATCATACAGCAAGGCCTTCCCTTGTCTGGATCTAGGAAAGATGAACTGAGAATCTTACAGATTTAAAGATTTGGGAAAAAAAACAGACAAAAACACTTACCATATATTATTTCTGAGGGCTGTGACCTATGAGGTTTTATCTACATAACAAGATTACTTTTACTAGTCAAGTCTCCTCTTCTCTCTCTCCCATAACCTGTCTTGCCATGTGATTTATCACCCTAACCGGTTTTAGGTCATGTTCCAAGTTCCCAGTCTTTCTCTAAATTGAAGATAGCATGTAAGTTTCTGCACCTTATTGGGGTATTGGGTTCTTCATTCTGAAGGCTCCTGTGTCATGAAAAACTATCATCAAATACATGTGTATGCTTTTTTTCCTATTAATCTGCTTTTGTGAGTTGATTTTTCATTGGACCTTCTGAAGCAAAGGGGAAGCTTTTCCTCTGCCCCTATAGAGAGAAGAGAAAAAAAAAACCTAGAGGGTTTCATTACAAAATACCAACTTCCCTCGCCTCATTAAGCACTGAGATAAGAGAATTTCAGGTTTGATTTTCTAATCATTCTCTTCTGATTGCACTTGGAAATATCCCCTGCTGTTGCCTGAAAAATTCCTAGCAATGTTCTAAACACAGAGGACCAAAAAAACCTTTGTCTGTTTGTATTTGTCTATAACTAAAGTAAAAACAAGTTTTCCTTTAGTTTGGCTTATATTGTCAACAAGAATTAATTAGTATTCTAGTTATTACAGGGAAAGTTTAGCTTCCCAATCTAAGAAGAATGTGCTGCTATTCAAAGCTATTATGGCTCCCCATGCAGAAAACTTACATTACAGTATAAACATATGGCTGGTCATTGTCTGGTAGTCCCTCCAGTTACCCTGTTTAACATTCTTTTGTGAGCATTTCTAAATATTGGCTTTATGCTTAAAATGTGCTTAAAGAGAAAACACTTTTTCCTTTCTAATACTTGTGAAGTCAGTCAACTAGGATTTACAAACCAAATTAATATATCCCTGGAGGTCCTCACCAATAAGAAATAAAAACATTAAGAAACAAACTTACGAAGCAGAAACCTAAAGCAATTGTCATGTAACCAAAAGCTGAGGGCTTTTTGGAAAATTGGGGGATATCTTTTAGACTCAGCATCATCAAATCCTTCACAACTTTAGAAAGTGTTAGCACAATTGAAATTATAGATGATCCTTGGATGAAATGTACTGAATTATAATCTATGAAATTAAAACTTGATAATTAAGTCTATCTCTAAAGTCTCTTTGTTATAATGTATTCAAAATATTTTTTCATTCAAAAATATTTAAATTGCATCTTTTTCAAGAACTTATCTAAACCCTGATGGTTTACTCACAACAGATATTACTCAAAGCTTCAAGAGGGCCATATGTGCTCTAATTTAGAAACTCCACATTTTGGGGGAATTTCTGGAAACGTTTTGTGCTCTTGTTCACTTATAATAACTTTATGCAAAATAGGTTATCACTGTTAATTACCTTGACGTGACTCGTATTGTGAATTTTAAAGAGGATAAAATAGATAAGCTCTGGAGAACTTCAAACACTTGGAGGTACAATTTAAAAGAAATGGGGTCGATAAGAATTAAGGAGGTAGAAATATTTAGTAACTGAAAACACGCAGGTGTATTGACTTAGAGAAGAATCTAGGTATGAAATCTACTTAATCACACAAGTCCCAGACCAATAATTACTGTTATATATAATTATTACAAAGAAGAGATTATCACTTGTCCTAATACTTTGAAAATTTGCCAGTAATTGTATGTTTCTCCTCTAATGAGAAGCCTTAGCATGTATGTGCTATCCAATCTCAAAGGAAATGAAAACTAAAAATGGTTCCAATCCAGGGAAAGATTACAAATAGCATTTCTTGATGTGAATGTGGTTTTCTTAAATTTATAATCAGAACCCATTGGAAGTATTTCAGACACAGGTGAGAAATGTTCCTACAAAATGTGGGGAACAGAAGACTCATCTGTTATCTCCGCCTTCACCATCCATAGAAATTTCTAGGGTCAGACACACAGGTTAATAAATACATTGCAGTGGAGATTTTTCAATGTGAGATTATTAGGTATGTATCCAACCCCTGCTGCTTTCAGCCCCAGGTTTGAGAGGTGGGTCATATGCTCTTGCTTAAGTTTACCAGCTCAGTGGTATTTCAGCAGAATGGACCACCTGTCAGGCAGAAAATGTGACCCAGTGGGAGGTCTGCACTAGCATCAAAAGTTATCATGAAACTTGTTCATTTGTCTTCTTTCTATATTTAATCAGCGTTAGGAATGTTGGAACATGGTAGAAATGAAACACATAGCATTTTTCTTCTTAAGTGAGCATATTGTAGAGTTTGGGAGCCCTAGATTCTTCTCACAGGAGTGACTGTGAGCTGTCAGGAAGTAGCTTTCAAGCACAGCAGGAACCTTAATGAACAGTGGGAATAATATCTCCATATGTGACTGTGAAGACTGAGAATAAAAGGAAGATAATAGCAAACGAATGATATTATTGAAAACATGATTTTAAGTGGAACTGTTGAAATGTGTTCCACTTTGGGGAGGCGGCAACAATTTGTTACAGCACACAAACCAGCAAGCATTGTTTTTATTGTGTTCTTATGAATTTGTGATAAGATGCCAAGGTCTGAACATATGAAAAAGCTAATATGATAAATAGAAAGATTAATGTCTTCAGGAAAATGAAGTAGTAGGTGTTTAAGAGCATATGAAAAATTTTAATAATTTTTTTGTATCTGAAGCTTGTGATGTTTTGATAAATAAAAAGTAAGACATAAAGTAACTTGATTCGACTTTGCAATATATTTACCTTATTAACAATAGCTCATTGAAATTCAATGGCTATTCAGAACTTGAGACAAAAACAAAAGGTAATGGGTCTCCAACTCTCAGAGGCCTTCAAACCAGAGCAACTCCATCTTGAATAGGGGCTGGGTAAAATAAGACTGAGACCTACTGGACTGCTTTCCCAGGAGGTTAGGCATTCTTAGTGACAGGATGAGATAGGATGTCTGCATAAGATACAGGTCACAAAGGCCCTGCTAATAAAACAGGATGCAGTAAAGAAGCCGGCCCAAACCCACCAAAACCAAGACGGTGCTGAAAGTAACCTCTGGTCGTCCTCACTGCTCACTATACACTAATTATAATGCATCAGCATGCTAAAAGGCACTCCCACCAATGCCATGACAGTTTACAAGTGCCATGGCAATGTTCAGAAGCTACCCTATATAGTCTAAAAAGGGGAGGATCTGCAGTTCTGGGAAATCTCTGCCCCTTTCCCCCTGGAAAGCTCATGAATAATCCACCCCTTGTTCAGCATATCATCATGAAATAACTGTAAGTATACTCAGTCAAGCATCCCATACCACTACTCTGCCTATGGAGTAGCCATTATTTTCTTACTTTCTTAATAAACTTGTTTTTACTTTGTGGACTTGCCCTTAATTATTTCTTGCATGATATTCAAAAACCCTCTCTTGGGGTCTGGATGGGGACCCCCTTCCAGGAAACAACTGGTGGTCATGGAATGGTAGTATATAAAAATTTACATAAAAAGCTAATGTCAGAAAGAAAAGTGTAAGGGGTCTGAAATGTTTTTAATTTAAAAGGCAGTTTTCCTTTGGTCTTCCCAAATGACACTTCTTAGGCTCTTATCCTTCTTTAGGATAAGGTTCTTAACATACCTCAGGGATCAAAACACTACTCAGTTTCTTGGAGGATAACACATTTGACTCTACCCATAGCTTGGGTGTGGTTCCCAGGAAGTCAACCTTGAGGACTGGATGTGCTTGCAATTGATTTATTAAGGATGTGAGGTGTATTAGTTTGTTTTCACACTGTTGATAAAGACATACCAGAGACAGGGCTATTTATAAAAGAAAGAGGTTTAATGGACTTACAGTTCCACATGGCTGGGGAAGCCTCACAATCATGGTGGAAGGCAAGGAGGAGCAAGTCACTTTTTACATGGATGGCAGCAGGCAAAGAGAGTGTTTGTGGCAGGGAAATTCCCCCTTATAAAACCATCAGATCTGGTGAGACTTATTCACTATCACAAGAATGGCAAAGGAAAGACCTGCCCCCATGATTCAATTACCTCCCACCAGGTTCCTCCCACAACATGTAGAAATTCAAGATGAGATTTGGGTAGGGACAGAGCAAAACCATATCAGGAAGCCAGGAAAAACTGAGGAAAGAAATGGGTGAAGTAAGGACAGTGAAGAGGAAAAAGAAAAGCAGAAGCAAGACTGCAGAAAGAGACCTAACTTCAATGCAATAGTAGAGCACAAGTTTGGAGTGTTAATTATGCCTCAGCATTTGTCCTTAAAGTCAAAGGAGATGGGCTGTGCTGGTCCCACTCTAATACTTGAATATAGGCTCAATCCAGCTGGAACTATAGGTGTGTACCACCACACCAAGTTATTATTATTATTATTATTATTATTATTGAAGTTCTAGGGTACATGTGCACAACGTGCGGGTTTGTTACATATGTATACATGTGCCATGTTGGTGTGCTGCACCCATTAACTGGTCATTTACATTAGGTATTTCTCTTAATGCCATCCCTCCTCCCTCCCCCCACCCCACGACAGGTTCCAGTGTGTGATGTTCCCTGCCCTGTGTCCAAGTGTCCTCATTGTTCAATTCCCACCTATGAGTGAGAACATGAGGTGTTTCGTTTTCTGTCCTTGCAATAGTTTGCTCAGAATGATGGTTTCCAGCTTCATCCATGTCCCTACAAAGGACATGAACTCATCCTTTTTATGGCTGCATAGTATTCCATGGTGTATATGTGCCACATTTTCTTAATCCAGTCTATCATTGATGGACATTTGGGTTGGTTCCAAGTCTTTGCTATTGTGAACAGTGCCACAATAAACATATATGTGCATGTGTCTTCATAGGAGCATGATTTATAATCCTTTGGGTATATACCCAGTAATGGGACGGCTGGGTCAAATGGTATTTCTAGTTCTAGATCCTTGAGAAATCGCCACACTATCTTCCACAACGGTTGAACTAGTTTACACTCCCACCAACAGTGTAAAAGCACTCCTATTTCTCCACATCCTCTCCAGCACCTGTTGTTTCCTGACTTTTTAATGATCACCATTCTAACCAGTGTGAGATAGTATCTCATTGTGGTTTTGACTTGCATTTCTCTGATGACCAGTGATGATGAGCATTTTTTCATGTGTCTGTTGGCTGCATAAATGTCTTGAGAAGTGTCTGTTCATATCCTTTGCCCACTTTTTGATGAGGTTGTTTGATTTTTTCTTGTAAATTTGTTTAAGTTCTTTGTAGATTGTGGATATTAGCCCTTTGTCAGATGGGTAGATTGAAAAAATTTTCTCCCGTTCTATAGATTGCTTGTTCACTCTGATGGTAGTTTCTTTCGTTGTGCAGAAGCTCTTTAGATTAATTAGATCCCATTTGTCTATTTTGGCTTTTGTTGGCATTGCTTTTGGTGTTTTAGTAATGAAGTCCTTGCCCATGTCTATGTCCTGAATGGTATATATATATTATTTTTAGCAGAGACGAGACTCTACTAAAGGCCAGGCTGGTCTCAAACTCCTGGCCTCAAACTACTAACCTCAAGGGATCTTCCTGCCTTGGTCTCCCAAAGGGCTGGGGATACAGGCATGAGTCACCACTCCCACCCATAGCATTCTTAACATACTAGTGCCACTTACCAATCAGCTAACCACTTTCTTCTGTTCCATCTGTATACAAGAAAATTGAAATAAAATATATAACTGCATCAGAACAATTATTTTTTATGCAGTGTATATGAATCCTTGTTAAGTTGCTACATTAAAGTACTGAAAAAGAAAATATTAACAAGTAAAAACAAATTGTAAGATAGAAATGTGCTATGAAAATATGAACAGCAATAAAACTGGCTTGGGATCATGGTCTATATGAAGGTATGTCTTTGTGGCCTTACCCCTTTCCTTGACTTTTTCATGTGTATTTTCTTCAGGTAAAAAGTACAAAATGAACGTATCAATCCTCTCACCTGGAAATTAGCCTTTAAAGTATACAGAGCTAGTTCGAAAAATGTGTGGTTCACTCGAAATAGTTAGTTCTTCAGAATTCTATTCTACATAATATTACCTTTATTGAACAATAATTCACTTTGTAAAATTTAAGCCAAATTTCATATTCCGTTCTGAGATCTTTAACAAAGAATGAAAGAGATAGAAAATGTGCTATGTAAGAAACTTTTCTCTAGGTCACTTCACCCTACACATGTACTGTCATCTAGACAAGCGCTATTTCACTGTAAGAAATAAAATCCCCACTCTGGCTGTGTGACTGTCCCCAGTGATCATTTGCTCCTGTGATGCCCTTCACATTCAAGCCTTAGCACAGACAATCTGGTCACTTCTTGGGAGTCCATAATGCCCCCAGGACAGAGTAAGAGGCCTGGCATTATTCCAGTTCATATAATTGCACTCTTACTACCTAACATTTCCTCATATTTCCAATTAAATATGGCACTTCATTTTATCAAATCCCTATGTGCCAGTGAACAGTTGTTATGTTCTAATTTGTTCTTCACCTCATGACAGGTAATGTTTACAAAGTCTGTAAATTTACAACCTTAAATGACACTATGTAAATATGAACAAATCAATTTCATCCCAGATCTAACTTTGACCATTTATGAGGGAGTTACAGGCCTTCCAAGCTTCTTTCAGAACATCAGTAGTTTGCCTGGAATCATATTTGAGCATTGTCCCAAATTTTGATGTCAAGTGACCTTTCCTGTTTAATGGAAAAAATAAAAAATTTTATACCCAGGGAATCGAATCTAGATAGATTGTTGGTTACAGGAAGTAAATGATGAAAGCACATCACGTAATAATGGAAGAGGCCATAAAACCCCATAAATGTCACTGCTTTCTAGGTAATTATACCGAATGAAAGACAGACTAGCTCATTGATGAGTTTACCCCTGTATACTTTCAACTCAAAAGAAATAACTGTGGCTCTAACACAAAAATCTTAGCGAGGATTTCTGGTCTCATAGACTAACAACATTTAATCATAGACCACATTTATAAAGCTATCTTACACTTCATTTCAAATATCTACACTTTAAACTGTCTAGAAACACTTCGTTCAGCTCAATTGTCCCAAGGACCTTTAGTGATGACATGTGGGTAAGGCACCAACTACAACAGGTAACAATGATTTTTATGCTCTTTGTGGTGTTTAAATAATTCTTAGTCTGTAATCAAACAAGTTGAATGCAAACATACTATTTTATTTGATTCTTTTTGCCATGTCTGAAGATCTTCTCCTTGCAGTTAAAGTATAAGGCCCTTAGGCTATATTTCTATATTTTTTTAGCTTCTAGTGGAATTTAGGGCATGAGGTACATGTAACATGGGTACATACAGACGAAAAAAATATCTGGCCATTGGAGTTAACTGATTTGAGTAATCACAGCCAGTAATGGAAATACCAAATCAAATTGTAAGTTTTCTGATTCAGTATACAGTACGCTTCCAACTCCATTGCAGAATTCCTCCTGAGAGAGGGAGTTTGTCCTTAAGCATTCTCAGCTGCTTTCTGGCTCACCTTTCGGGATAGAATATTTCATGAGGTAGAGCATGCTATTTCAACTCCAAACAGCTTTACTGATTGGAGAATGAACCTTTTGATAGAGGGGATGGACATTAGAGATAAATCTTATTGGTACATAGCATCACTAGGGGCTTTTCTGACTGGCTAGGAAATCCACTCCAATGTAGACATAGAACAAAAGCTTATTCACTTTTAGGCAGAATCTAATCAGTAACACTGCAATCACCAGCTGCATCTCAGTGTTGGGTATTTGCAGCACATTAGTCCTTGGGGCAATTAAAATGTAGCAAGAAGCAACATTTCATCTTTGTGTAGAACAAAGCCTGGCAAAGAGTATGTAATCAATACATGCTCACTGATTTTGATTGCATTGCTCTCTGGAATCATAACATTTCTAATACGCTTATATACTCATTCAAGGAAATATAATACAGAAACATTAGAGGGAGGATGTGGGATGAGTAGTTTCCACTTAGGAGTACTACAGAGATGCTGCAATTTTGGAGAATAATTGAGTTTTAGTGATGGCTGGGAACACATAGAGCCCATTGGGGAAAAAAGATCAGGATGGGATAATTTTGTTTACCAAGAGCCTATATTCCTGAAGATATATAAGGATTAAAAACGGAAGTAGATTTTACATATCAGACCATATATCATACACCCCACATGCAGTACCTTCTGTGGTCATTGAAGCAAGCTCATGAAGTAAGTACTGATTTCTATCCTATAAAGCTAGAAAATACATTGCAAGCTGGGTGCAGTGGCCTGTAATCCTAGCACTTTAGGAGGCTGAGGCAGGTGGATCACTTGAGGTCAGGAGTTCAAGACCAGCCTGGCCAACATGGTGAAACCCCATCTCTACTGAAAATACGAAAATTAGCTAGGCACGGTGGCATGTGCCTGTAGTCTCAGCTACTCAGGAGGCCAAGGCAGGAGAATTGCTTGGACCTGGGAGGAGGAGGTTGCTGTGAGCCGAGATCGCACCATTGTACCCCAACCTGGGTGACAAAGTGAGATTCCATCTCAAATTAAAAAAAATTAAAAAATTGCAAAAAAAAAACCCCACCTAGAATTCACAAACAAGTCTTTCTTACATTAAAACTCTTAATCTTACAGTTTATCCTGCCAATAATGAAACACAAGACAATATTCAGATAAGTTCATAAAAATGTATGTCAGTTATATTTAATAAAGTGATTTTCTAAAAGTATATAGGGGTATGTTGTGAATTTAAGAGCTGAAGTGCAATTTTTAAGGGAAGAAGATTGAGATGGAAATCCAGCAGGGTTAAATACCTCTCAAGGTTCAAATGGCTCAGCCCAAGGCTGCCTATCAGCAAAGGCCAAAACTCTGAAATGGTCCTCTAGAGAGTCCTGTGAATACTGGTGAGTTGTTTAGGTTTTCTTCCATATACCCCTCCCTAGCTGGATGGAAATGGGGAACAACTAACTTGAGAAAGTCCAATCTGGGTAGTGGGCATGAGGAAGCTTTGGGTCCTACATGTACTGTGAGAAGTTTGAAAAGACCAAAACTCTGAAGTTTCCTCATCAATTACAGAGAAAGGAAAGAAGAGCTCTGGCTACAACCTCAAATTCAGTAGATTTTAACCCTGGCTGTGTTTTAACCCTTGAATTAGCTGGAGAGAATAAATATTGTTTTGGTGTTTCAGTCTCAAAGATTCTGATTTTAATTTGTCTATAGTGAAGGAAAAGCTCAGATTTTTGGTTTTTGTTGTTGTGTTTCTCCCCCCTTAGTAATTAGCTTTGAAAGCTAAGTTGGAGAACAATTCATAATTATTTCCCTCATTGTGAATGGGAAGGTAAGTTTATGAGCTATTTCAGAACCCCAAGAAAAGTATGAACACAATCATTGAAGTAGATAATTTTAAATAGCTCGAAACTATATTAAAAACCCCAAACACTAGAACAGACAATTCTACATTGCAAAGAACCACATAAGAAAAAGCATTACAATTTTAAAGAAGAAATCAATCTAAATGTCACTTTTGAGAAGAACATTCTGATTTGGGTCAAAGAGATAAGCAGTTTTATTAACCTGCATGTAAAGTTTAGAAAGTTAGAAAAAGGTAACATCAAAGGTACATAACCAAAGGAGGAAACCCTATTCTTTGGAAATATTGATATTTTCCTTTGTCTTCTTGTGTTATTTGATTAGAAAACTTTTAATCTTTCTATTGAGTATTGTGATAACAGAAATGAAAAAAAGTGGTTAAGGGACTGCTTGTAAGTTACAGACAGAGAAAAGAACTTAACAGCTGGTTTGGTAAAAGACAATTAATTTTCAAAACATACATTTATTTTTACTGTACAGCAAACCATTTTAGGGACTAAAATCCCTTGTTCTTAATAAGATATAGAAAGCACATTCTAGCCATTCTACCTCTAAACGTGTTGCAAAATTTGGATGTTTTTTAAAAACATTTTGCAATGCAAGGCAGAAATAATTAGATTCAGCCTTCTACTAAGATTATCAGTTTTCCCATTTGGTTATTGAAGGCTTAATTTTGGCAAATCACCACACCACAAGAGAGACAGAGGCTTTAGTAGTAAGTATGTACATTTGCAGCTATGTTAAATTTAGTAAATCCCTGAAAATTAATATGTTCTGCCTGCTGAGAGAAAGCTCAACCAAGATATTTACAGACACTTGGCATTGTTCACTTTGAGAAGCTCTACTAACCAAGCATTTGCCAGCTTTATTAATTCTTCCTGACTGTTGGGTTTTCCCGATTGTTTATTTGTTTGCTACCATTAGCAGACTTCTTTATAAATCCTCTCAATGCTGCCATATGTTGCCGCCTACCATCAGTCACAAGTGGACTGGAGCAGCCAGCAGAGGAAATTGAATTATGGCAGAATTGAGGAAGAATGTAGCTATTTCTTTCTTACTGAAATACAATTTGTTCTTTTCAGCTGGTGATATGGAATTAAGAATTGTGCAATGAAACAATTGTGGTACCCATCCAAATGGACTGTTGACTTTTTATAGAAGTTGAAGAAGAAAACATCTCATAGCTCATGTGCCAGCATTATAATAGTCATTTTCAATGTGTTTCTTTATATTTTAATCCCAAATTGTAAATAATCTACAAGTTTTGAAAATATTATTTTTTTGAAAATGTTTCTGAGTAAATCTTTAGGCAACTAGATTGCTTTGTTGTTACTGATTGTTTTAATAAGAAATCTCCACAATTAAAAATTTTTCTTACAATCAAGAGAAATCTATTGAAGGATCTTCAACAATATTTATGAATATATATAAGATAATATTTTTTAAATACTAAGGCCAGGCATGGTGGCTTATGCCTGTAATTCTAGCTCTTTTGGAGGCTGAGGCAGGAGGATTCCTTAAGCCCGGGAGTTTGAGACCAGCTTGGGAAACATAGGGAGACACTGTCTCTATTAAAAAATAAAAATAAAAAATTTAAATACTAAAATAATACAGATGGTGTTTGGAAATAACAGGTTACAAGGAAGAATTAGTTCAGAAAGTCAAATAACAAACCCCATTATCTGCTTGAAGATATAACATATTTCTACTGTAAAGATACATTCATTGTTTGGATTTTACATTCTAGATATCCAGAGAAATATCACTGTGGAAAAATAGATTACGTTTTAATTCTTTTTCTGCCCCAAATTTGGTTTATTTTACTAGTCAATTTACACACACCATCTATGTTGATTTATTCCATCAGTTAGTCAATATTTACTCTGTGCCTGGTAAGTCCAGCAGAGAGAATAGCAGGTGCTTTGAAGGGAAAGTACATTACACAAACATCGAGGATATGTGTGGACAGAGAAGCTAGCAAAGGGAAGCAAATAGGAGATAAGAATAAGAGATATCAGGGAAACAAAATTGGACTTTGACTCTAAATAAGGAGAGAAGCTATTGGGCTAATATAACAGAAGGAAAAATTCATGTTTCAGGTGTATCTCTGGCTGCAATGTGGAAAATAGTGACAAAGGAGGGATGAAGAAAAAAAAGAAATGTGGAAGCAAGTTTGGCTTTAATTGAACAAGAGAAATAATGGTGGTGTGGTCCAGAGTAATACCAACAGGAGCAGTGGAAAGGAGACAGATTTAGGGTATACTTTGAAGGCAGGGCTATCAGAATTTGCTGATGGATTGGATTGTGAGGAAAAGAGAGTAGTCAAGGATACTTCCCAGGCTTTTGGTCTCAGGAACTATAAATGTTGAATTACCATTTTCAAGATGATGAAGACAAGAAAAGGAGGTTTAGGAGCAAAACAAGGACTTTGTTTTCAACCACGTTGATTATAAGATGTTCATTATGGAGTCAAATGAATCTTTCAGATAGTCAGCTTCATGTAAGAGTAGACTTTAGAGAGCAATCTATCTTTGAGATATAAATTTGGGAGTTATCAGCATGGAGATAAAATTCACAGATATGAAATGAAATGATACAATTTACAAAATGAGTATAGATTTGAGAGAAGTTCATGAAGTAAGCCATAGAGCATTTCAAGGGTGAAAGATTGAGGAGAAAAGTGAAGTTCAACAAAGGGGAACCAGGTGAAACAGATGGTGAGGTAGGGAAGAGCCTATAGAATAATTATTTGAGACCAAGTGAAGGAAGTGTTTCAAGAAAAAGAAACCAGTAAATGACTCCAAAGTTTGACAACGGTTGAGTACTACAGGGGTGAGGGTTAGATTGAACTAGACTGGATCAGATTACAGTAGACAATTTGGAGGTTACTGGTGATTTGGAGAAAGCCGTTTCGTTGAATGGTGGAGATAAAAGTTGGGTTGGACTAAATCCAAATGAAAATGAAAGGAGAGGATGCAAATAAGAAAAGCATAAATCACCCTTTGAGGAGTGTGAACCCAAAAGTATTTAGAAAGTTCACTTTGCCAAGGTTAAGGATGTGCCCATGACATAGCCTCAGGAGGTTCTGACAACATGTGCCCAAGGGAGTCAAGGCACAGCTTGGCTTTGTACATTATAGGGAAACCTAAGACATCAGTCAATATGTGTAAGATGTACATTGGTCCATAAAGACAGGACAACTCAAAGCAGGGTAAATTATAGGTAAATATGGGATTTATTTAAATTAACATAATGAGGAAAGAAGTAGAAGAGATAATAAGAAACCAGAGAATTATGAAAGAAAAAATGATAATTGATGATGTTTTTAAGTACAGATTATACACTACAGAAGGTAAATAGTTATTATAGGTAAATAAGATACAACAGTTTGCATTCTTTTGTGTCTTTGATCAGCCTTCCACTGAATACACAATTTTCATGTTAGAGAGGGATAGACAAATAGTCACTTAATGCCTTAGACTGGCTCAGTGAATCTGCATCTTTACATAACAATAGGACAGAAAAAAGCAATCAGATATGTATTTGCCTGAGGTGAGCAGAGGGATGACTAAGAGTTGTATCCTGTGTCCTGCAGCTGTGTAGATAAGCTATCAATTTACATTTCCAGGGTGAAATTCAACAGAATGATTTCAGGGTAAATGTCTTGAGGCCCACAGGGAATTTCCTTGTAGACAAATTGTGAGGGAGGTACGTAGCTTCTAAAAATATATATTTGTAGCTATTTTATTTAGCAATAAAATGGGAGCCAGGTTTTCCTGATGAAGTTCCCAGCTTGACTTTTCCCTTTGACTTAGCGACGTTGGGTTTGCAAGATTTATTTTCTTTTCACAGGAGTTTATCTGCATAGAAGAGAAGGGAAATGGGATCAACACATGGATGGAGGAATTGTGGGCAGATGAAAACATGAATGGGCTAGTTTTTTGTTTGTTTGTTTGTTTTTTAAGGATTCAGGATATTGTATGATTGGGGAAAAGGGGGATGGTATAGTGTTAAAACTATTGAATAAAGAGAAATATAGAAGAATTATTGGAGCAAAGTCCTTGAGTAGGAGGAGTAGATGAGTGTTAGTGCACAAATGTTGGCACAGGTCACTGTAAATAGCGTAAACCATTCATGCAAGGTGATAGTAGGAAAGGCAGAGTGTATGTGCTCAGATGCCTGTAGGTAGATATGTGTGATAAAAGCTCCTGATTGTTCTCTTCTTCTTGTTTCAAGTTTTCTCAAATATCTAGAAAACAAAGCCAATCAGCTAGTAATGAAGAGAACATAATTGAGATGAGATATGTAGAGAAATAAAAAATATAAAATGTTCACCTAAAACATTAATACTTGAGGTACAGAATTTGTGGTGCCAGATTCTAGAAAGGTAGAGCTACTCAGGGAAAAACCTTTACATATATACATAGAGAGCATCTTGAAGGATTCACTAGTTATTAACCTGTGCATATGTAAAGTGAAATTCCATGATACTGAGTAAAGAACAACTTTCAGGGAAAGAACAATTATAGGGGACTGTAAGCTAAATAATCAACAGAACACACTAAAGGCCAATAAATATTCAAAGTCTCACTAGCCAGAGTGAAGAAACCTTGTTGAATATAAGAGAACTGCAGCTGAAAATGCAGGAATGCCATGCCTTTGTTGTGGGGCTAAATTAGCTCAACTGTATAGATTATGATAGATCGCCTTTTAATCGCTTCTTTAAAATGTTGAAAGCTCAAACTCATCTGCCAAAAACTTAATTGAGTGCAACAGCAAAGTCCAAGACTCTTAAAAACAACAAAAGTCAGCATTTAACAACGTAAAGTACACAATGACCATAAACCAATAGAAAATACTACATATACATAAACAGAAAACTGTGACCAATATTCATCAGAGGACAAAAAGGGAAAGACAAAAAAAATGACAGAGATAACAGTTAAGTGACAAGGGCATTAAAATAGCAATTATAAGTATGTATGCTCAAGGATTTATTTAAATTAACAAAATGAGGAAAGAAGTAGAAGATATAATAAGAAACCAAAGAGAATTATGAAAGAAAAAATGATAATCGATGATATGTTTTTAAGTATTGATTATACACTACGGAAGAAAACAGAACAATCTAAAGTCATAGCAATAGAACATATCCTGAATGGAGTACAGAGAAGAAAGAATGAAAAAAAAAAAAAAGAACAGAGGTTTAATGATTCAATGATTGCAGGACAATGTTATGTGACATACATAGTTGTAACTTGAATCCCAGATTGTGACCATAGGTGTATAGTCCATTTTCACACTGCTATAAAGAATGACCTGAGACTGGGTTATTTATAAAGAAAAGAGGTTTAATTGATTCACAGTTCTGCATGGCTGGGGAGGCCTCAGGAAACTTACAATCATGGAGGAAGGCAAAGGGGAATCAAAGCACATCTTGTATGGCAGCAGGAGAGAGAAAGAGAGGGAGAAAGTGCTGTGCTTTTAAACCATCAGATCTCATGAGAACTCACTCACTATCAGGAGAACAGCATAGGGGAAACCGCCCCCATGATCCAATCACCTCCCACCAGGTTCCTCCACAACACTGGGGATTACAATTTGAGATGAAATTTGGGTGCAGACACAGAGTCACATCATATTAGTAGGGATCAGAAAAAAAATGTTTGAAGAAATAATGACCAAAATTTTTCCAATTTTGGTAAAAACTATAAACCCACAGATATAATCTTAATGATTCCCAAGTTCAATAAACAAAGCAAACCATGCAAATGCATGATACAATCAACTTTCTGAAAACCACCAATAAAAATAAAAACCTTTAAAGCTGCCAGCAATACAAACGCATTACATAGAAAATAAAGAATAACTTCTCAGAAATCATGCAAGCAAAAAGATGGAGGAATGACCTTTTAAAAAAATCTCAATTACCATCTCACATCAGTTAGAATGGCAATCATTAAAAAGTCAGGAAACAACAGGTGCTGGAGAGGATGTGGAGAAATAGGAACACTTTTACACTGTTGGTGGGACTGTAAACTAGTTCAACCATTGTGGAAGTCAGTGTGGTGATTCCTCAGGGATCTAGAACTGGAAATACCATGTGACCCAGCCAACCTGTTACTGGGTATATACCCAAAGGATTATAAATCATGCTGCTATAAAGACACGTGCACACGTTATGTTTATTGTGGCACTATTCACAATAGCAAAGACTTGGAACCAACCCAAATGTCCATCAGTGATAGACCGCATTAAGAAAATGTGGCACATATACACCATGGAATACTATGCAGCCATAAAAAATGATGAGTTCATGTCCTTTGTAGGAACATGGATGAAGCTGGAAACCATCATTCTCAGCAAACTATCACAAGGACAAAAAACAAAACACCTCATGTTCTCACTCATAGGTGGGAATTGAACAATGAGAACACATGGGCACAGGAAGGGGAATATCACACAGCGGGCACTGTTGTGGGGTGGTGGGAGGGGGGAGGGATAGCATTAGGAGATATACCTAATGCTAAATGACGAGTTAATGGGTGCAGCACACCAACATGGCACATGTATACATATGTAACAAACCTGCACGGTGTGCACATGTACCCTAAAACTTAAAGGATAATAACAATAAAATTAAAAAAAAGAATTTTATATAATATTTTAAAAATCTCAATTAAAAAACCTTATAAACCTAGAATTCTATATTCAGTGAAAATATTCCTCAAAAACAAAGGCGATATAAAGAATGTTTCAGGTGGGTAAAAGACGAGAGAACTTACCTTCAGCAGGACTGGACTTTCAGAAATATTAAATAAAGCTCTTCAGGCAGAAGAAAAACAATACCAGGTGAAGACTTGAATATGGGGGAGGAATGCAGAGTACTGGACATGGTAAATGTGTGGGTAAATATAAAACACATTTTTATTACAATTAATTTTTTTAAATACAACTGAGTGTTTAAAGTAAAACTAGAATAATACATTTTGGTGTTTTTAATGTATGCATAAGTAAAGGGTATGAGAGCTAAACACAGAGGGGAGAAGAGGAAAAGGAAATCCAATTAAATTTCCATAAGCTCCTTTATTATATTTGAAATAGTACAATGTTAGTGAATATTGACTGTAATCAGTTAATTTTAGATATTGTAGGACACAGAGTAGCCCTTAAAAAACAGTGGTGAGTAGACAAAAATTTTTAAAGTTCATAAATTGTGAAGAATGATGGCAAAGCAAAGACAAAAAGTAACAGATGAAACAAACAGAAAATGTCAACATGGTAGATTTAAAATCCCAAATATAAATACTTATATTAAATGTAAATGATCTAAATACATCAATTAAAAGGTACCTCTTATCAGATTAAACAAGGCAAGGTAGAATTATTTGCTGTCTAAAGGATACATTTTAAATAAAAAGGGAAGTTAAAAACAAAATGATAAAAATATATATTATGCCATTCGCTAATCAAAGGAAATACGAGTTGTGAGATAACTATCAGAAAAGTAGTCTTCAGGACAAAGAATTATACCAGAGATAAAAGTGGGTCATTCTGTAATGATAAGGGTCAATTCATGTAGAAGACATTGCAATCTTAAATGTTCAAAATGCATGAAACAAAAACTGACAGAACCAAAAGGAGAAATAGACAAATTTACAATTGTAGTTGGAGATGTTAATGCTCCTCTCAGCAACTAATACTGACAGAACAAAAAGATTAAAATGAATAACGATAGAGAATACATGAACTACATTATCGACCAACTGGTCCTAATTGACCTTTATAAAATACCACATCCATTCTATTGGGTTGAATAGTGTCCCCACCCAAATTAATGTCCACCTGAAACCTCAGGATATGTATTTATTTGGAATAAGGATCTTTGCAAATATAGTTAAGATGAAGATCTCAAGATGTGATCATCCTGGATTGAAGGTGGGCTCAAATCCAATGATATCATCCTTATAAAGACTGAAAGAGGGAAGATATAAAGAAAGTGACAAAAATATCAAGGCATAGCTTGGAGTATGTTTATGCTTTGTAGGGAAGCCAGAGATCATCTCTAACTCCTCCTTTTAGTTCTTAGTGGGCTCTTCAGCTGGATCTAAAAACCAAATTGACTTCAGGAAGATCAACAAGAGAAAAGTATACAGATTTTATTAGTTTTACATCTACAGGGGATTTTTGCAAGAGAGTGAAGATGGAAGAACTGGTCAAAGCATGATGCTTTTATGCTTTTCAGAAAAAAAGAACTATAAAGTTGAGAAGAAATGGCAGGACAAATAATACCTGGCTAAGGGAGTCAATTTCTAGGGAAGTCACCAGGAGATATACAGGGGGAGTGTAAAACAGGTGGAAGATAAGAGTTATTTTATTAAGTATATTTATTCAGGTCCATTGCAACCCCCAATTCCCAGTCTCTGGTGAGAAGGGCTATTTTCTCACCCTGGTATGGCAAGGGTATGCCTCCTACAGGAATCTGTATGGTTTGCTGCATGTTTCTGAAACTACAATTTCTCCAATGTTTTAACTCAAAATAATAAGTACACCAATCTGGCATATTTTAGGATGGCACATTCTTTACTCCTTAAGCTTCTAAAAATCAAGGCACACCAAGAATCATTGACGGCCACTGAAGCTAAGGAAGAGGAATTGGAATGGATTCTCCCACAGAGCCTAGAAAAGGAACAAACCTTGTCAAAACTTGATTTCAGACTTCTGGCCTCCAGAACTCTGAGAGGATAAATTTCTGTTGCTTTAAGTAGCTTAATTTGTTGTAATTTATTACAACAGTCCTAAGAAACTAATACACCCACCCAATGACAGTGTAATACCCATTCTTTTTCTGTTCTTCAACTTTTATTTTAAGGTCTGGGGTATATATGCAGGATGTGCAGGTTTGTCGCATAGGTAAACAGCTATTCTTCCTGATGCTCTCCCTCATGAAATCTTCGCCCATACCTATGTCCTGAATGTTATTGCCTAGATTTTATTCTAGGGTTTTTATAGCTTTGGGTTTTACCTTTAAGTTTCTAATCCATCTTGAGTTAATTTTTGTATAAGGCATAAGGAAGGGGTCCAGTTTCAAATTTCTACATATGGCTAGCTAGTTCTCCCAGCACCATTTATTAAATAGGGACTCGTTTCCCCATTGCGTGTTTTTGTCAGGTTTGTCGAAGATCAGATGGTTGTAGGTGTGCGGTCTTATTTCTGAGTTCTCGATTCTGTTCCATTTGTCTATGTGTCTGTTTTTGTACCAGTATCATACTTTTTGGTTACTGTAGCCTTGTAATATAGTTTGAAGTTGTAATACCAATTCTTTACAAATGCACATGTAACTTTCACTAAGATTGACAAGTTGATCATTCTAAACACATTGAGATCTTGTAGAGAATCTTCCCAGGTGACAATATTAAATTAGAAATCAGCTACTGAAAAATGTTTTGAACTTACCAGTATTTTGAAACTAAACAAAAAACTCCTAAATAAATCATAGGTCAAGGAAGAAATCACAAGACAAACTAGAGAATACTTTGAACTGATGGAAAATAAAAACACAAAATCTATGGGAGGCAATTATGATAGTGATTAAAGTTACAGTTGTATGTTTTGCTTTAAATGCTTTTATTAAAAAACAAGTCAAAAATTAATAATCTAAAAATCCATAATAAGAAGCTAAAAGAATATTAGCAAATTAAATACAAATAAATAGAAGAAAAACAAAGTCAATGAAATAGATACAGAAATCACAGAGAGAAAATCATAAGGGAAAAAAACCCAATAACACCAAAAGGTAGTTCTCTAAAAAGATCAAAAACATTTGGCGGGCAAATGTTTGGTCACTCAGACCGATAATCCCAGAGGTCTCTGAAGGCTCAATTGGGAGGATCACTTGAGCCCAGAAGTTCTACACGATGGTCAGTCCTGCTATTGCACTCCAGCCTAGGTGACAGAGCAAGACCCAATCTCTTAAAAAAATTATATTCCTCTATTATAATAATCATTTAAAAAAACACAAATAACTAATATCAGGAATAAAATAAGAGAGAGAAGTACATATCTTACAGACATTACCAGAACAATGAAGGAAAATTACAAGCAAATAATGAAAATAAACTTAATAATCTACATGAAATTATCAAACTATTTGCAAGCCACAAATTACCAAAACGGACTCAAAATGAAATAAAAATGGCTGCATATCTATGAACAAAATTGACTTTATAATGAAAAATGGAATGCAAAGAAAACCTCAGGCCTGTATAAAATCTGTAAAACATTGTTAGTAATAACAAATCTCACATTTAGAAAATCGAAGAGAATATACCAATTCATACGAAGTGTCTAAATTATTAATTATACTGATACCCAAACTTGAAAATCTAAAAATGTGTTTATACAAATAAGTGAGTGTAGTAAGTTCTCATAATAAAAAGTTAATATATTAAAAACACTTTTAGTTTTACGTACTAGCAATAAAACTTTGAAAATGGAAACAAAAAATAAGAGCTATAACTGTATACACTTGAAGCTGTTAAACATTAAGAGAAACTGATCAAGATCCAAATAAACAGTGAAATGTAACATGATGATTCGAAACAGTCGCTTCTTGTCAAATCAAGTTATCAAGCCATTGAGTCCCAATAGCAAATTTCATGGTAAATTTTTCTAAAAATTGACGAGCTGATTCTAAAATTTATATGGAAATTCAAATATAATAGAATAGCCAAAATAGTGGCTAAAAATAAAATCGTTGGGATACAGGACTTACAGTAAAGCCACAGTAAAAAAATAATGTGGTATTCATGAATAGAAAGACACATAGATGAATGAAACAGGATAGGGAGTTTTGAAATAGATTCACGTATGTGGTCAGTCAATTTTCACCAAAGGTGTAAAGTTTACAAAATTGAAGAAGGATCATTTTTCAACAAATGATGCAGGAAAAGATGGATTTCCATTTATAAAAATGACCTTAGCCAATTGTTCATATTATACACAAAGAATAACCTAGAATTTATCATGCCATAAAAGCTAAACATTCCTTTTAAAAGAAAAATATCAAGAAAAGTTTTGCAACTTTGGGTTAGAAAAATATTTTTCTTGATATGTTTTTCTCTATGTGGTAAAAAATACATAACATAAAATGTACCATGTTAATCATTTTTAATCATACAGTTCAGTGGCATTAATTATATTCACATTGTATTGACACAGATTTCCAGAACATTTTTATCTTGCAAATCTGAAATTCTATATCCATTAAACAATTCCCCTTTTTCCTCATCCTCCCAGCCCCTGGTATCCACCATTGTTTTGTTTCTTTTGTATGTTTTGTTGTTGTTGTTTCAAATGGAGTCTTGCTCTGTCACTCAGGCTGGAGTGCAGTGGAATGATCTTGGCTCACTGCAAACTCCGCCTCATGGGTTCAAGTGATTCTCCTGCCTCAGCCTCCTGAGTAGCTGGGATTGCAGGCTCCCACCACCACATCCAGCTAATTTTTGTATTTTTAGTAGATGGGGGTTTCACCATGTTGGACCAGGCTGGTCTTGAACTCCTGACCTCAGGTGATCTGCCCGCCTTGGCCTCCCAAAGTGCTGGGATTATAGACCTTGAGCCACCATGGCCACCCACCATTGTTCTTTCTATTTCTATGAATTTGACTACATTAGATACTTTATATAAGTGGAATTATGCATATTTGTTTCCTTGTGAATGATTTATTTCATTTAGCATAATGTCCTCAAGGTTCATCCACATTGTGGCATGTGATAGAATTTTCTTCCTTTTTAAGGCTGAATAATAGTCCACTGTATGCATATATCACATTTTCTTTATTGATTAACTGATGGATATTTAGAATACTTCCATTTCTTGTCTATTGTGAATAGTGCTTCTATGACCCTGGGTATGCAAATATGTCTTTGGGATCTTGCCTTAAATTCTTTAGGGCAGGGGTTCCCACAGGGGTCTCCAACCTTGGGGCAATGGACTGGTACCAGTGTGTGGCCGATTAGGAACTGGGCCACACAACAGGAAGTGAGTGGTGGGTGAATGAGCATGACTATCTGAGCTCCTCCTCCTGTCAGAGCAATGGCAGCATTAGATTCTACTAGGAGCATGAATCCCATTGTGAATTGTGCATGCAAAGGATCTAGGTTGCACCCTCTTTATGAGAGTCTAACTAATGCCTGATGATCTGAGGTGGAATAGTTTCCCTCAACCATCCCCCCTCCATCCGTGGAAAAATTGTCTTCCATGAAACTGGTCCCTGGTTCCACAAAGGTTGGGGACTGCTGCTTTAGCGTATATACACTCAGAAGTGTGACTGCTGAATCATATGGTGTATTCGTTCCTTCTCACACTGCTATAAAGTAATATCTGAGACTGAGTAATTTATAAAGAAAAGAGGTTTAATTGGCTCACTGTTCTGAAGGCTGTACAGGAAGCATGGCTAGGGAGGCCTCAGGCAACTAACAATCATGGCAGAAGATGAATGGGATGGGAAAGATGGCACATCTTCACGTGGCCAGAGCAGAAGGAAGAGAGAGAGTGGGGAGGTGCTACACACTTTTAAACAAACAGATCGTGCAATAACTCACTCTTGCCATGACAAAACCAAGGGGGATGGTGTTAAACCATGAGAAACTGCCCCTATGATCCAATCACCTTCTATCAGGCCCCACTTCCAACATTGGTGATTACAATTCAACATGAGATTTGGGTGGGGACACAGATCCAAACCAGATCATATGGTAGGTCTATTTTTTTTTAATTTTAGGAAGTGGTAGACTGTGTTTCATAGTATTTGCATTATTTAGAATCCCACCAGCAATGCACAAAGGCCCCAATTTCCTCCACATTCTTATGAACACTTTGTTCAAGAATTTTCTGATAATGGCCATTCTTAAAGGATGTGAGGTGATATCCCTTTGTACTTTTCATTTGCATTTCCTTGATGATTAGTGATGTTGTGCATCTTTTCTTATGCTTGTTGGCCATTTGTACATCATCTTTGTAGAAATGCCTATTCAAGCACTTTACCCATTTAAAAAAAATTTTATTTTACTTTATGTTCTGAGATACATGTGCAGAATGTACAGGTTTGTTACATAGATATACATGTGCCATGGTGGTTTGCTGCACCTATCAACCTGTCATCTAGGTTTCAAGCCCCAAATGCACTAGGTATTTGTCCTAATGCTCTCCCTCCCCTTCCCCCCACCCCTCACAGTCCCCAGTATGTGTTGTTCCCCTCCCTGTGTCCATGTGTTCTCATTGTTCAACTCCCACTTATGTGTGAGAACATGGAGCGTTTGGTTTTCTATTCCTGTTAGTTTGCTGAGAATGATGGTTTCCAGCTTCATCCATGTTCTTGCAAAGGACATGAACTCATTCTTTTTTATGGTTGCATGGTATTCCATGGTGTATATGTGGCACATTTTCTTTATCCAGTTTATCATTGATGGGCATTTGGGTTGGTTCCAAGCCTTTGCTGTAGTAAAAAGTGCTGCAATAAACATATGTGCATGTATCTTTATAGTAGAATGATTTATAATCTTTTGGTTATATATCCAGTAATGGGATTGCTGGGTCAAGTGATATTTCTGGTTCTAGATCCTTGAGGAATCTCCACACTGTTTTCCACAATGATTGAACTAATTTACACTCCCAGGTTATTCAATTTTTTGTTGAGTTGTAAGAGTTATTTATACGTTATAGAAATTAACCCTTTATCAGATATGTAACTTCTAAAATGCCTTAGTTTATTCCATATTTTGCCTTTTCACTCTGTTGACTGTGTCCTTTGATGTACACATTTTTTAAAGCTTGTTGTAGTCTCACTTTGTCTATTGCTGGTTTTATTGCCTGTGCTTTTGGTGTCACATCCAGAAAACATTGCCAATTCAATGTCATAAAGATTTTCTGTTTCCTTCTAGGAGTTTTGTAGTTTTAGGTTTCACGTTGCAGTCTTTAATCCATTTTTAGTTAGGTTTTATATGTTGTTAAATAAGAGTCCAGCTTTATTGTTTTATAGTTAATATTCAGTTTTCCTCACACCATTTGTTAAGGAGCCTGCCCTTTCTTTTAGGAGTGGTCTTAAGATTTTTTTGTTGAAGGTTATTTGACCATATATTTGAGGATTTATTCCTGAACTCTCCATTATATTTCATTGTTCTATTTATCTGTCTTTATGCTTGTGTTACACTGTTTTATTACTGCAGCTCTGTAATATGTTTTGAAATTAGGAAATGTGAACTTTTCAGTTTTGTTCTTTTTCAAATGTTTTGGTATTTTGGGGTTCCTAGAGACTCCTTTTAAATTTTCAGTATGTTTTCTTTATGTGGCAAATATGACATTGTGATTTTGAAAAGGATTGTAGTGAATCTGTACATCTCTTTTTGTAGTATGGACAACTAAAGAATATTAAGTTTTTTTAATCCATAAACATAAAATGCTTTTCATTTATTTGTTTTCTTTAATTTATTTCAAAAATATTTTATAATTTTAACATACATGACTTATACCTCCTTGGTTAGATTTTTATTCCTAAGTATTTTATGATTTATGATCCTATTGCACATTAAATTGCTTTCTTAATTACATTTTTGGAAAGTTCATTTTAGTGTATAAAAAGAAAACGATTTCCATGTTGATTTTGCATCCTGAAACTTTACTGAGTTAATTTATTAGTCCTAACAGGTTTTTTTTTCAGTCTTTAGAACTTTCTACATATAAGTCTATATCATCTATGAAAACAGATAATTTAACTTCTTTTTTCCAATTTGAATATCTTGTATTTCTTTTTATTGCTTAATATTTCTGGCCAGAGTCTCTAGCATTATGTTGAAAAGAAATGGTAAGAGCCAGGATCCTTGACTTGTTCCGGAACATAGGAAAAAGCTTTCAGACTTTCTTCGTTCACTGTGATGTTAGCTGTGAGCTTTTCAGAAATGGCATTTATTATGTTGAGGTACTTTCCTTGTATTCTTAATTAGGTTGAAAGATTTTATAAAATGTTGTTAAATCTTGTCAAATGTTTTTTCTGCATCAGTTGAGATGATCATGTGAATTTTTTCTCCATTCTGCTAATGTGCTGTATTACCCCAATTGTTGAGCCATCTTTGAATTCTAGGAATAAACCTACACCTTCACAGCTCCAGCTACTCCACACACAAACACTTTATGTTATCAATGTCAAAATTACATCTTTATATATTATATATCCATGAACATAGATGTAAATTTAAAATTTTTTTTATCATTTAAATTCTATTCACTAAATTACAATAGTACAGGTTACTATATTTGACCATACATTTACCTTCACTGGAGAAACTTATATATTCATACAGGTTCCTATTGCTGTCTATCATCTTTTTGTCTAAATTTGAAGGACTCTAGCATTTCTTGTACAGCAGGCCTAGTGGCAACCTCAGCTATTATTTATCTGGGAAGCCATTCATTCCTCCTTTTTTTGTGGGGGAGGGCATGGAGGAGAGAGTCTTGCTCTGTTGCCAGGCTGAAGTACAGCAGCACGATTTTGGCTCACTGCAATCTCCACCTCCCAGCTTCAAGTGATTCTCCTGCCTCAGCCTCCTGAGTAGCTGGGCTTACAGGCATGTGCCACCATGTTCAGCTAATATTTGTAGTTTTAGTAGAGACTGGGTTTCACCATGTTGGCCAGGCTGGTCTTGAACTCTTGACCTCAGGGGATCTGCCTGCCTCAGCCTCCTAAAGTGCTGGGATTACAGGTGTGAGCCACTTCACCTAGCCACTTTCTCCTTCATTTTTGAAACACAGTTTTGCTACATGCAATATTTTTGATTTACATTTTTTCTTCCGTACTTTGAATATATCATCCCTCTACCATCCTGCAAATTTCTGCTAAGAAATCTGCTGATAATTTTTTGGAGCTCCCTTGAATGTGAATTGTTTTCTTTTTGCAACATTCAAGATTCTGTCTTTGTCTCTGACTTTAAACAGTTTGATTACCTGTCTTGGCATGTTTCTCTTTTGATTTATTATAATTTAAATTATGTGAGCTTCTTGAATCTGCATGTCTATTTTTTTCCTCAGATTTTATAATTTTCAGCCATGATTTCTTCAAATAACTTCTCTGTTCCTTTCTGTTTCTCTTCTCTTTATGTGATTTATATGCTTACATTGTTCTCCTTGACAGTGCCCCATTAGTCCATTAAGCTCTGATTTCCTTCATTTTTCTTGCTCCTCTGACTTTAACTGTCTTCAAGCTCACTGATTCTTTTATCTGCCTAATGAAGTCTGCTGTTGAACCTCTCTAAGAAATTTTTCAGTTTAGTTGTTGCATTATTCAGCTTCAGAATTTCTATTTGTTACTTTTTTATAGTTTTTGTCTCTTTCTTATATTCTCATTTTGTTTATGGATAATTTTTCTGGTTTTGTTTAGTTGTCTATTTGGGTTCTCTTTTAGCTCATTTGGCATCTTTATAACAGTTGTTTTAAATTCTTTGTCAGACAGCTCATAGGTCTGAATTTCTTTAGAGTAAGTCTCTGAAGTTTTTTTTTATTTCTTTTATTGAGACTTATTACTTTGCCCCTTTGTATGCCATGTTTTTATATTTTACTGGGATTGGGCATGTGTAAAAACAACCATCGCTCCTAGGCTTTGCTTTCTGGTTTCATGCAAGGGAAGAGCTTCACCAATCACCCTTGCTGAAGATTCTAGGACATTTCATACCTTTTCTGATCTGTTGCTCCCTCTCATGACTGCCTGTGGAATTATACCTGTAGTGTATTGCTTGTCTGTTTTCAGGAGCTTCTAAACTCTGGTGCAGGTTCAATTAACGCTCTGAATCAGACAGGCAGCAACTAATCCCTTCAGCAGCCCTCAGACCAGCCCAGAATGTTGACTGTGTGTCCATTCCTCTGTTTTCATCCCAAGAGAGGATTCCCAGTATGAAAGGCTTCCTATCAATTGCATCATGCTATGCTGAATAGGGAGAGGGGCTCAAATGAGCTCACCAAATGCTATGTGTTTTCTATTCTTTTTGCTGAAATCCTGTCTTGGTTTTATAATAGCTTGGATGTTATTGATTCTCAGCTGGTCTCTTGAGTTTTCATAGAGGTGCTCTGGTCCACATGTTCTTTTACTCAGTGTCTCTGTGAGGAAAGGAGGGCTTATAGCTTCTTAGTCTACCATGTTGCTTATATCCAGAAAGAGATTTCTTAAATTGGACACTAAAGGATCATCTACTAACAGTTACAAGATGAAAACCCTGGCTCAAAATATTTAAATGGATACTTTTCAGGGTAAAATATACAGATGACCAATAAAAAATTGTATCACTCCTCATCAAATAAATGCAAACTAAATGTAAAATTATGCATCATTACACACATGCTTTAATGGCTAAAATTTGTAAAATTTTAGTAGCAACTTCAACTTTTTCCAAGGATGTGAAGCAACAATACCTCTTGTACATTTCTGGTTAAAATGTAAAATGGCAAAATCACCTTAGATAACAGTTAAGCAATTTTTTAAACAGTTAAATGTATACTTACCATACAACCCAGTTATTCCACCTTTATATATTTACACAAGATAAAGGAAAACATATACACACAGACACATGTGTACCCTAATGTTCAAGACAGTTATAGTCATAGTTCTCAAACATTTGAAACAATTAAAATGTTCATAAATGATTAAATGGACAAATATAACACAGTCTAACCATGATATAAAATACTACTCAACAATAAAAATGAACATGACTAATGCATGCAAAATAATGAATGCATCTAAAAATATTATGCTGAGTGAAAAAAACCAGATTCAAAGAGAATATACTATGATTTTATATATGAAATTATAGAAAATAGATAGTAAAAGGAAATAGAACTAGATAATTGGCAATTTACCTTAAATTTTAAAATTCCTTGAATTGAGGTTCTATTAATTTTCCATCTATTCACTTTTTTTGAATATTTCATCTATTCATATTTTAGAAATGGCTAGGTTCCGTGCTTTTACATTAAAAGACTCTGACTATTCTACCAACTACTGTATTTTTTCTCTATATATAGAAAATCCTAACTACAAGTTTTTGCCCATGCCTATGTCCTGAATGGTGTTGCTTAGGTTTTCTTCTAGGATTTTTATGGTTTTAGGTCTTACATTTAAGTCTTTAATCCATCTTGAGTTAATTTTTGTATAAGCTATAAGGAAGGGGTCCAGCTTCAGTTTTCTGCATGTGGCTAGCCAGTTTTTGCAACACCATTTATTAAATAGGGAATCCTTTCCCCTTTGCTTGTTTTTGTCAGGTTTGTAAAAGATCAGATGGTTGTAGATACATGGCATTATTTCTGAGGCCTCTGTTCTGTTCCATTGGTCTATATATCTGTTTTGGTACCAGTATCATGCTGTTTCGGTTACCGCGGCCTTGTAGTATAGTTTGAAGTCACGTAGCATGATGCCTCCAGCTTTGTTCTTTTTGCTTAGGATTATCTTGGCTATGTGGGTGCTTTTTTGGTTCCATATGAAATTTAAAGTAGTTTTTTTTCTAATTCTGTGAAGAAAGTCAATGGTAGCTTGATAGGGATATCACTATAAACTACTTTGGACAGTATGGCCATTTTCACAATATTGATTCTTCCTGTCCATGAGCATAGAATGTTCATGACTAAAACACCAAAAGCAAAGACAATAAAAGCCAAAATTGACAAATGGGTTCTAATCAAACTAAAGAGCTTCTACACAGCAAAAGAAACTATCATCAGAGTAAACAGGCAACCTGTAGAATGGGAGAAAATTTTTGCAATCTATCCATCTGACAAAGAGCTAATATCCAGAATCTGTAAGGAACTTAAACAAATTTACAAGAAAAAAAACCCATCAAAAACTAGGCAAAGGGTATGAACAGACACTTCTCAAAAAAAGACATTTATGTGGCCAAGAAACATATGAAAAAAAGCTTAGCCTCACTGGTCATTAGAGAAATGCAAATCAAAACAACAGTGAGATACCATCTCACACCAGTTAGAATGGCTATCATTAAAAAGTCAGGAAACAATAGATGCTGGAGAGGATGTGGAGAAATAGGAATGCTTTTACACTATTGGTGGGAGTGCAAATTAGTTCAACCATTGTGGAAGATGGGGTGGCGATTCCTCAAGGATCTAGAACCAGAAATATCTTTTGATCCAGCAATTATAAATTATAAATTATTCTACTATAAAGACACATGCACATGTATGTTTATTGCTGCACTGTTCACAATAGCAAAGACTTGGAACCAACCCAAAGGCCCATCAATGATAGACTGGGTAAAGAAAATGTGGCACATATACACCATGGAATACCATGCAGCCATAAAAAACGATGAGTTCATGTCCTTTGCAGGGACATGGATTAAGCTGGAAACCATCATTTTCAGCAAACTGACACAGGAATAGAAAATCAAACACTGCATGTTCTCACTCATATGTGGGAGTTGAACAATGAGAACACATGGACACAGGGAGAGGAACATCACACTCTGTGGCCTGTCAGGGGTTGTGGTGCCAGGGGAGGGATAGCATTAGGAGAAATACCTAATGTAGATGACGGGTTGATAGGTGCAGCAAACCACCATGGCATGTGTATTCCTATGTAACAATCCTGCACGTTCTGCATATGTATCCCAGAACTTAAAGTATAATAATAATTAAAAAAAAGAAAGAAAATCCTAACTACAAAAACTGACCATTTTTAATAAGCCAAATCATTGACACATCCATGGATAAAAACATATCAACTGATAAGAATGTTTTAAGAAACAAACTGATTAGTTAGCTTAATTAAGCATTAACTCAGATTTTTAAATTCTACATATATATATACTGTGTATATATATTTATTTATTTATGATGGAAATGCAGTAGCTTTTTTCTTAAAGATTAAAGTATAGGTTTCTTGATACGTATTATTTTTCTTCCCATTTGCAATTACTCTCATATTTTATGTTTGCTTACGTGACACCCACATTTGAGAAAATTGCATGTGCTTTCTATATTATAATAAAAGTTTCTATTGGACATTTTTTCTTCTAAGAGCCAATTTAGTCTATGTAAGAGTAAATGTGAATATTTTTTCTAAGTAAGAGTACATGTGTGGATATTTGAATTCTATTTAAGTTTGTTTATTGAATAGAAATTGAGAATTGTTTAACTAGTTTTCACACTTCTTCAACAGGTCTAGGAGTTGAAAGCAAAAGTTGATATTATGTTCTGGATTATTTAGTTCTCTTATTAAGTTCTGAAGAAATGAGAATAATCTTAATCTAAACATGTGTTCAGACACTTCACATATTCATTCCTGCATCTAGAGAAACTAAAAATTTCTTCCAGAACAGGCTTTTTACTCATTTTTCACGGTGATTGTCTCCAGGACCAGACAGAATTAAAAATTATGGCATTTCACCTGTACACATACTTTTTAACAATGTATACAAGTTTTGCTGAGCTTAGAAATTATGCTGAAGGTTAATTTGTGTTCAGAGCAAAGGGTGACTTCTTTCTTATTGCAAACTATTTCGCTACGTCAATCTTCTCATCTAACAAGAGGCAGAATTTCCTTCAGAAAGTCATAGCCTTGCAGGAATACAAATTAGGAGTCAAACAAGCAGTCCTCAGGAAATATAAAAGTTAATAGTAAGTGACCTGATTTGCATGCACGTCCCATCGAACAAGACTGTTCTAGATTGGATGGCTTAGTGAGAAAATGATTTTTCCTTTAAATCCTGACAGTATGTTCTTGCTACTATCTTCACTATCTCACCATGGTTAAAAAATATCCTGTCATGAGATGCTGAGCAAATGAAGTATGTATTTTAAAAGACAAAACTATCTATGATTCATCTCACTTAGGCAAGTCTGCTTAACATCTTAATAAAGGATGGCTTAGAATTTGGCAAAACTCCGACCTCTAATATTAGACGATATAGAGACAAAAGTACATGAAACCCATGATTATTACTCTTCAGGGTTCAAAAGAAGATAAGCGATCATCATTAATAGTGAATAATACAAGCATTCCCAAAAAAGAACAAACTAAAAGAAATAAGGATACACTTATGCTCATTGATATGTGTAAGTAAGCATGCAAAAAATAATGATAAGAACCAGTTTTTTGGGAGAATCCAGGCTGCATTTAAGAATTCTTGATTGGAATCACTATTGATCCATTCATCTGTCTCTATCTTGAATGAGAGATCAATGTTAATAATTAATTTAAGTAAACGTCAGACAATATATTTCCTGTGCATGAATGAGAGTCTACAAAATTTCAAATATGTTTTTGTAGGAAGCTCAGTTACCTTTCTTCTGAAATTTTTTTCAAAATTGATCTACGGCTGACATTAATACACAGAAAAATAGCACATGATTGATATCCATATTCATACATAATATATATTTGGGTGTTCATATATGTGTTTAGTGTGTATGGTTTAAAGAAAGAACTTCAAAAGGAAAATCTTGTGCACACTTTAGAAAGATAGTCCCTATTATTTTATTATTAATTTAGGTAAATAGATTTTTTAAAGAATATTAATATGATCTCAATGGATCATGTTTTCTTGATGTATTAGCAACATTTGAGGGCCTGTTCTTTGGAAAGTGTCTACACTTGAGTGTCTGATTTTTTTGGTATTTTCAACTTATAGTATATTACTACTGCCAACTAACAGTATTGTAGTTTATTTGTTACAAAAATGCCGGGGGTTTGGTCTAGGTCCTGCTGCTCTCCTCACAGAAAGCCAATCACTGAGACACCTACATTTGAGCATCTGCTCTATGGAAAGTTCTTGCAAAAGTCTGAGCACGCAAAAATAACTAGGGAATATGTCTACTTTCAAAATTCATAGTATAATAAGCTTTACTAAATTTGAAATACTAAAAAGACAGCACAAAACAATTGCAATCTCTAAAAGAAAAAGACCTCAAGACTTCTTATATCTTTCTGAAGTGTTTTGAGAAATATTCCATATTCTAATCTATTTGCTAAATGTTATTGTAAATTTCATAGATTATTTTTATTAAAGTAATACATGCACATAGTTTAAAATTGCATTGGCTTAAAATAAAGGACAATGGTTTCTTTCTCCATTGTTCACTTTGTTAACCCCACTTGAAGAACTCCTATAAAGTATGTATTTCCATTTTTCTATGGTTATTTTCAAATCTCTAAATAATATGCTCATGTGGCCCTGTCTTGATGCTCCATTGTCTTTGACATTTTATAAAATAAAAATATTAGCAAATATATTGTTCTGTCACCAGTTTACAACATGAAGGATAGAATTTACATTCTCCACAATCATAATTTGATGTGACCTTTGCCCATTAATTACTTTTAAATGTTGAAAAGTTAATACACTAAAATATACATTATTATGAATGTATAAATATTATTTAATGTACCGTCAAGTAGTATGTTATGATGATATGTTCTTTCTTGAACAAGTTTTTTGGTATTTTGTATTTTTACTCCATCATAGACTTAGGGAGTTAAAAAACTAATTTATACTACATTTTTATTAATTATTTTTAATTTTTGCTTTTTCCCAAATATAACATCTCAAATTTTGCTGAGATCACAAGATTTTTAAAAAGTTTATTTCTGTTCTCTTAATTGTCTCTCTTTGCACAGGGTCTGTTTTCTGCTTATTTTGGTCTTTTCTTCTTTGTTTTTTCTTCTAATTTTTCTTAGGAGTGTTCTTTCTTATCCTGTTAATTTAAGAATGAAGCAATGGAAAGGTTTTTGGCATTTCTCAGTGTCTTACTGGATATTGCTGACTGGCAGGATTTGCATAGGAATTCATTGTTGGGCAGCTATTACGTGAAGGTATCACAAGTAAAACAAAAATTGGCTTTATTTTGCAGCACAAATACATTAGCTGAAGCATCATCTCATAATCACTTTCATTTCTGTAAGAAATCATTCATAAATATGTGTGTGTTTGCATTCTTCTGGCAAAAACGTAAACATCTTTCTCTGTTCTCTTCATGTAATTGTTTGGAGAGTCTACTACGTCGTGGAGGTTTCCTCCATCAGTGCTTTGTTTCCTACCTAACTTCTTTCTCAGCTTCCACCATCCAGCTGAATCAGGAGCCCTGTTGTTTTGCTATGTGCATGTTCTATATTCCAGCTGTTCTTCTTCTATTCCATTTCCCCCAACACTCCTCTTACACATGATTTCCCTCATTCTACTGTTCTACTTTAAACACTTCTTTTGTTCTGCTGTTTCACTTTAAAAACTCCTTTATTCTCATTATAATGTATGCTCAGGAAGGAGAAACTATAAACGCTTGTTCTGCCTATGAACAAGTGATCTAGCTCCTAATTTTCCATCTATGAAATGAAAGGGGTTCAGATATTTGGCTTAAATTAGCATTCCCTTCACTATGTACCTCAGAATACTTGTTCCATGAAGTATTAATAGATATTTTATGATTAAATAATAGATGCTGCATAATCTATCCACTGCTAGAGACTTACATACACTTCACTATATGAACATCTCTGAAAATCCAGCAAAGAAACTTCTTTAACATTTTGTAAATCGACATTACTCACTGTGAAAATCTATAATTAATGAAGAACCTATACTATCTCAAAGAACTAGCAGATTTGTAAAAATTTTATATATAATGACTCTGTGAAGTTAGGGAAAAGTCTATGTCACAAATGTCCTACAATTGAAAATGGGAAATTTTCACAGCACATTCGATTGTTTGTTTAGAAATTATTGTAAAAACACTGCAAAAAGAAGCAATCAATGGAAGTACTAAAGAGGAAAGACCTCATGAATAGTCTACTCTTAACTGACATTTGTGACACATTAAGATACCTACTTATTAATATAGTCAAAAGTGTAGACCCTGCCAAACATTCTTGGTCATTGTGTAAATCTGTACTTACGAGAAGAAAATAGTTTAAAAGAGATGACCTAATTGCTCTAATGCTTATAGGAATCTAAGAAAATCAAAACTCTGCAAAAAAAAATTTATGAATGGTTAAATAATAATGCTGATTATCATGCATGCTGATTTTCTTGGTGTTTTCAACTTACAGTTTATTATTACTGCCAACTAACAGTATTGTATATTTGTTATCAAAACACTGGGGGTTTGATCTAAGTCCTGTTGCTCTCCTCTCAGAAAATCAATCAATGAGACAATGATTGCTGGGGAAGAAGGCTTTATTTGGGTGCTGCAGATCAGTCTCAAATTCATCTCCTTAATGGACTAAAATTAAGGGTTTATATAGCAGGGAAGAGGTGTAATTATGTGTGGGTATACAGGAATTAGGGAAGGATGAGGAAGAGAACTTGGTCAACTGACAGCAGGTGATCAGTTAGGCAATCAGGACAGGTGAGGGGTCTGGCATTTCATTGTCCAGATATGGAGATCTGGTACGTTTCAGTTCCTTAATACCATCTAGGAGACATGATGTTTGGTTTCCTGAGAAAGGAATTGAGATAAGACAAATGTAACTTTCTCTAGTTTTAAGACTGGGAAGGTCAATTTCTAGGTTTATCCAAGAGAAACCATAAAGCTCATTTCTATGGGATAGTAGGGCCAGTTTTATATTCAGCATTGAAGTTTAAAACAAGGCTATATAAAACCTTATCTAAATATCAAAATTCCTTGAATGAAGGGTAACTTTTTGTAGTTGGGAAACACAGCTAAAGTTAACTCTAAGTTTTTCTCCTTATTTCATATGGTCTCTACACAGATCCTGACTTCCAATCAAGGTCCATCTTGTCTCATATATATATATAGAGAGAGAGAGAGAGAGAGACAGAGCCTTGCTTTGTTGCTCAGACTGGACTGCAGTGGTGCGATGTCCATTGCAACCTCTGCCTCCCAGGTTCAAGCAATTCTCCTGCCTCAGGTGTTTTATATTATTTTATTATTTATTATTTGTTGGCTCTATATCCCTTAGTCTCCCTATCTAAACTGTGATTTCTTGAAAGCATATTAATTTTATTCAACACCTACCTATTAGTGAACCCATCATAATTATTAAGATGCTTGTTGATTGATTGGAATGCAAAAAGGAGAATCAAGATAGTTCTTTTTAAGCCAAAATATGAATCATGTGAAATGAAACTTCAAGTACACATTACAGAATTTGAGAGAATATGGAAATTCATCAATAATTTTGAACTGTTTTTATTAATAAATAAACATATGATAAATGCCCATACATTTTGACCCAATGAACTGCACAAACACATTTACATCCTAATTGAATGTATATTTTCGCAGTATTCACAGAATCTTGAAACATAACTATGGAGTCTCCACTTTAAGACCCACAACTACTCTAATGAATAAAAACAAACAAGAAGATACATTCGCTACAATCTTTTGTACATTAAATAAAACCAGTAACCGCCTAAAAGAGATATCTATAGATGTATATAGATACATGTCTGTGTATATATGTGTGTGTGTGTGTGTATTAGATACCTTACATACACACACACATATACATATACACACACACACAAACATTTATACAAATATAATACATGTACATGTTTTGGGAATTTGCTTTCATTATGTAATTGTCAAGCATCATGCAACCTCAGATTGTTTTTTTCAGCCTATTGGCACATATAGTTGACGTTATTCTATGTAGTATATTTTAATATTTCGTCCATAATTGTGTATGTAACTTAAAATATCTCTCTTGATTGAGTAACAGAACTAATAAAGGCTATTCAAATATAATAACAATGCTTCAAAGTTTTACCAAAAATATAAACAATTATTGAAGGATAGATAATGAACTGGATACTTTGTATAATTAAAATTTAATTATATATTATTATTGCCTTCAAATATAACTAAAATAAAATAAGAAAGTATAAATAAATGTATTCATTTTAATTTATTAATAAGTTACCTATAACATAAACAATAGAAGAAAAACAAGAAGGTTATGAGGAATAGCTTTATAAGAAGGTAACAATTAAGCTGGATATACTAGCCTCTGTTAATACTTGAAGGACCTGAAGTTTCCTTAAGACTTTTTTTTCTTTTATTCAATAAGTACATAATGAATGCCTACTATGAACCAAAGATATTTATGATGGTAGAAAATCTTCAATTTTTAAGACTAGATATGGTTCATTAAACTTTCTAAAGTCACCAGATCCTACATGGTGATGAATTTAGGTAATACTATGTTTGATCTAAAAGTACATGTGAATTTAAAGCAGTAAAGTAGAGTTTTGATTATGGCTTGTAAAATACATTCAAGGACATATTTTAAAAGTGTCACAACATTGTTTTGATTGATTGCAACAATTTTTAGAAAAAAAGAGGATTATTTTAAAGGACAACTTGTACTGGAAAATTGTTAGATTAAAGATAATTATTTTTATAAGGTATAGCCACACCAAAGATCCACAGGCTTAAAACAGCATTAACTAAGATCTAAGATAAAACAAGGACAAGATTTATAATGTTGCAGATCATTTAGACATGACTTGTTTCTTCTTCCTTGCTGATTAAGATAATTATTAATATTCCATAGCTCATACATTTAGTGTAAGACTTAAGTAGACCAAACTTTTTAAGTAATTTGCTTTTTGGAGAAAAATTTGCTTAGCTAAGTGAGTGTGAGATATATACTGTCACGAATTAATTCACTTGATTACTGTTTTCTTAAGTATTTTTCTAGGAATCCTAGCCCAAAGAAATGTTTCTATAGTCAAAATAAATTTCAAGCCACAGACTCAGATGTTCAAGGAATATAATATTCTATACTTTTTTTCATTAAACACAATTCTATTTTGAGACTGTATTCCAACTGATTATAGAAATACAGTTTTAATCACTCAAGGACCATAGAAGGATAAGGAACTCTTGGTAGGATTTGTTGTTGTTTACCACAGATAATGTCTTCTGAGATGCCCTTTTCCCTTTCTCATGCTTGGTGACTAGGCCATGCAGGCCACCCCTAAACCATCACTGCATGCTGTTCAGGGCTGCTGGCTCTCTGTGCTAGGTCCACACTGGTCTCATTCACATAAGAAACATTCTTCTGCTGCACTTTCATGGAGCCAGGACACAGGCTCCCTGTGCTTTAATTTATCAGCTTTTTATTTCCCCTATGATACTTCTCTCTTCCATCCAGTTCACACACACACACACACACACACACACACACAAGAAATACCTTATGGAGTTTCCCAAGAGGAAACCTAATCATACAGGCTATTCTAAAAATTCCGAATCAGAAATCCTTTTCAATTTGACATTCTTAAAACTTATTATAGGGCACTTTAAAACAAACATCTATTAGCATTCACCAGAACGAATGTTCCCAAGAACACAACTTGAGAAACACCTGGACTCATCCTTACAATATTTTGGTAGCAGTAAATGTGCAATTAAAACTTATTGCTACTGTTTAGAAATAAGGGAGAAAACTGTATAAATAAAGTTACTGAAGTGTTTTGACGTGCAATGACATCTAATTTAAAATTCTGTTCAGTTTTATTTTTAAATATTTTTGTTTTGGAAATAAATATTTAAAATAGATGCTCAAAGAACAGAATAGGACATTTTATCATAAACCCAAATTATGTAATTTTGAAGTAGTTTCCTTGTTTCAGAGGAACACCTACAGTCTTTCCCATGAATCTGATACAATTAGTAGATAATGAATGTCCTTTGTAACATGCACTAAAGAAAGAGCAGTTGGCTTGCCATGTAATGTCATGCTTGGGCATTTCATTAGGTTTATATAAAGCCTTACTAGTTAGATCTCAAAAATCTAAGACCTTTTCAACAGTTTGCCCTTTTAGGTCCACTCCACAGTTAGACATTTATTTAAATTATTTTTAAGTATTTTTAATTCTCTAATGGGAAGTTAGAAAGTAGATAAGCATATATTTAATATCATCATAAAAGCATTACTATACATTTTGGAATCAGCATCATGATGCATTGTATGTCCAAATTAATGTTCCTTGGGAAACAGTATATAAATTTATGATTCGTGTTATCAGAATTATCTTATGAAATTAACTCTGAATCCACAAGCAGAGCTTTGTATATTAAAAACTAGTTTCATCTGTAGATTTGAAATGTTCCTGATTTGCTTAAGGCTTCCCCCCTCCCCATATTTCCAAGTGTGATAAAAGTGAGTAATGGTAATGAGATTAGGATGTCTTTATTTTTCTTTAGATTGTCAGTGACATCTGAATATGTTAGTATTTGATGCTTTGGATTTGAGAATCTCTGCAACAAAAAATAAATTAAGTAAACTAAAGATTAGTGCAAGTAAGTGAGAAACATGTAAATACAGGGATTATGTAGATCGTGAACATTTGCTGGATGATATGACAAGATAAATGTTTTTTGTGTCATGGAAACTGTAGAACTTTTAAAATCTTACCTTTACACAATTGACATACTGAAAATATTTTGATTTTTACTATAACAATGTATTTTAAACATAAGATTTTAACATGTAAATATTATTTTAAAAATTTATTAAATAAATGGGTTTAAAATACAGACAAAACTGGAATTTATAACCCCTCTAATTTTATTTTTTTTCCACATATAAGGCTAATAAAAATGAAATTAAGAGACTGAAAAACAGTTGAAAAGCCACTTTTATGGGAGACTAAGGAGAAAAGAAAATCAGAAATCATGGCTCTATCCCTAACTGGCTGTTTGCCATTTGGCCAGAAATTTAATTAATGTGCCTAAAATTCATCAATTATAATAAATGTCTGCCATGTAAAGAAAATTTATGACTTAATTAATATAAGACTGTTATGACATGTTGCATTCAAAGTCCTCCTATAGTGTCAACTGCTATATATTCATCTGAAGTTATGTTTTATCATTAAGCTACTGTCCCACCACGTACTAATGCCTGTCAGAGTGTTGGAGGTGGTAAATGACTGAGATTTATTTATCTTTGACAAACTTCTGCCCTATAATAACAGGGTACTTTGGATAATGGTCCTGGGTAGTATTTGGTTTGTCATTAGTGTAAGGTATTGGATGTTTTTAGAACTAGTATAGGAAAGCAGAAACAAACCTAAACGTTATTATCCTAAAATGACAAAATCAATGCCAATTTGAACGATCATGCTGAAATCTTCCTTGGGCAGCTTTCCATCTCTGCATTGATGATCAAGCAGTAACTCAGAAGTAATAGAAAGTATAACTCTCACACCACAAGAGCTTTCAGAATGCAAACGGAGTGCCTTAAGCTGAGTCAGTCATAAAACTGGGTAGGCAGATAGAATGAGGAATAGTAGTTCTCAATATACCAATGAATTTTAAATCACCACCCAGTCAATTTTATAAGATGCCACCCAGTCAATTTTATAAGATGCCACCCAATCAATTTTATAAGAAATCTCATTGGTGCACTAGAGATTTCTCTCCACCAAATTTTATTTTGGTGGCAAAATTCTGTCAGCATGATGACATGATCTGATTGTGCAAAAGTAAAATGTAAAATTAAAGATAATTTTTTTCACTACCAGAAAAAAATCTAGGGGCTTAAAAACGAAAATTTCTCCTTTTACATAAGATTTATTATTTATTCATTCTATTTATTTATAATTACTATTGTAAACTAAATTTTATTAAATGTACAAAATTATTTTTATATCTTTACTTTTCGTGATAGAGTACTGATTGCTATTTATATAAAAATTTGGACCCAATTTTAATTAGATACATATCAAGTGAGTTTTTTTATGTACCAATTTTTTTGAAAAATGAGAAACTTCCTCTATGTGTCAAGACCAGAACTCAAAATAATTGTACGTTTGATACTTAACCCAATGATCACATTGTACCAGGGATTATTTAAATAGATTTCAATTTATATCATAAATATACGTAGTTACAAAACTGCTAATCTCCACAATCTTGAGCAAATCATATCAATGATGAAATAAGAAAATACTGTGAGGGCAGTGTGTTATGTTCAAATTATATCAATGCACACATATATCTATAAAATTATAATTTTGAAACCATAGCCACATATGAATGCAAAACAAAACTGTTTTTTTGCATGGACTTGATGTGTTGTGTTATTTTAACAACATTTGGGGTGCCCTTTTTATTATAAAGTAACCTTGTTCAAACAGTTCATTTGGAAAACATTAAAATGTAAAAAAAAAGAAAAAAAATTACTTCTAACCAGACCACTCAGTGATTACCTTGAACACCTGAGATGATTTTTCAAAATATCTTTTTCTATTCTAATGCAATTAAATCAAATGCAATTAAATCATTTGTAAAATCAAATGATTTTACAAAAAATATATTCATTTTTTCTACTTCTTTACATTTGCCAAAATATTTTGAACGTTTTTTAATCATAAGATATTCTTTTATACCACCCTATTAAATAGGTTACATGTGTGCCATTACCTATTTAAGTTCTTCTATTTAAAAATATTTTATTGTGGTAGGAACTTAACATGAGATCAATTATCTTAACACATTTTTAGTGTACAATGCAGTATTGTTGACTATAAGCACGATGTTGTGCAGCATATCTCTGGAATTTATTCATCTTGTTTAACTGAAACTTTATGCCCATTGTTTTAGTAACTCCCCATTTCACCCTTCCTCAAGCCCCTAAAAAACCACCCTTTCACTTTTTGATTCTATGAATTTCACTATTTTAGATACTTCATATAAGTGGAATTATATACTATTTATCTTTCTGTGACTAGCACAATGCCTTCAACATTCACCTATGTTGTTGCATATTGGAGAATTTTCTTCCTTTGTAAGACTGAATAGTATTCCATTGTATATATGTAGACAAATATATGTACACCACATTTTCTTTATCTATTATTCCTCGTTGATGAATATTTAGGTTGTTTCCACATTTTGTCTCTTGTGAATAAGTGCTGCAGTGAACATAGAAATGCTAATATCTCTTGGGAGATCCTAATTTCATTTTTTTGATAAGTAAACAGAAGTGTGTTTATTACATACACTTCTTTATTGAATTGTTGGATCATTTGGTATTTGTATTTTTAATTTTCTGAATAACCTCCATATTGCTTTCCATAGCAACTGTATCATTTTGGATTCCTATCAATAGTGTAACAAGGGTTGTAATTTCTCCACGTCCTCACCAACACCTGTGGTGTTTTGATTTTTTTCATAAAAACCATGCTGAGAGGTGTGAGATAATATCTCATTGTGGTTTTGCTTTGCATTTCCCTGATAATTAGTGATGTTGGGCATCTTTTCAAACACCTATTGGCCATTTGTATTCCTTCTTTAAAGAAATGTCTGTCAAAGTCCTTAGTCCATTGTTTAATTGGGTTATTAGGGTTTTTTTGCTATTTAGTTGCAGGAGTTTCTTAAATATTTTGGAGAATAACCTATTTTAAAATATATGGTTTGCAAATATTCTCTCCATTCCATAGATTGAATTTACTTTTTGACTGTTTCCTTTGCTGTGCAAAAGCTTTTTCAGTTTGATGTAATTGCATTTGTTCATTTTTGCTTTTGTTGCCTGTGTTTTTGGAATCATAGCTAAGAAATCATGTCTACGACCAGTGTTGTGAAGCTTTTTTATTTGTTTTCTTCTAGTAGTTTTAAAATTTTGGTTACTTACGTTTAAGTCTTTTATCTACTTGGAGTTGATATTTGTGTGTAGTATAGCATAAGTGTTTAATTTTACTCTTTTGTACATGGCTATCCAGTTTTTGCAACATCATTTATTGAAAAGGCTATCCTTTTCCTAGTCTGTATTATTGGCACTATTGTCAAAGTTTAGTTGATGATATTACATGGATTTATTTCCAGGGTCTTTATTCTATTCTACTGGCCTATATGTCTGTCTTTATTCCAGTACCATGAATACAGAAAGAATAAAACTCACATGATCATCTCAAAGGATGCAGAAAAATCATTTGACAAAATTCATACTGGAATCAAACTGCTTTGATTACTACAGCTTTGTAATATATTTTGAATTAGGAAATGTGATTCCTCCAGCATTCTTTTGTTTTCCCAAAATTCATTTGGTTATTTATGAACTTTTGTGGTGCCATATAAATTATAGCACTGTATTTTCTATTCCTATTAAAAAATGCTATTGGATTTAGATGGGAGTTTCATTGAATCTGTAGAGTGCTTTGAGTGGTACGGACATTTTACCAATATTAAGTGTTTCAATTAAAGAACATAAGTTATTATTCCATTTTTGTGTCTTCATTAATTTGTTTCATTAATGTTTTGCTGTTTTCAATATACAAGTCTTTAACCTCCTTAGTTATGTTTCTTCCTAAGTACTTTTCTGGTGGTATTATAAACGACAGTTGCTTTTCTGATATCCTTTTCAGAGAGGTCATTGTTAATGTATACTAGGGCAACTGAGTTTGTATGTTGATTTTGTATACTGCAATTTTACTGAATTCATTAGCAGTTCTAACTTTTTTTGGTGGAGTTGTTAGTGTTTTCTATATATAAGATGTCATCTGCTAATAGTAACAATTTTACTTCCTTCTACTTTGGGTGTCTTTTATTTCTTTTTCTTGAATAATTTTTATGGCTAGGAATTTCAGTATTATGTTAAATAGATGTGGCAAGGGTAAGCCTCCTTGTCTTACTCCTGATCTTAGAGGAAAAGCTGTCAATTCTTCACCATTGGGTATTACGGTAGCATTGGGCTTTTCATACATGGTGTTTATTATGTTGAGGCACTTAGCTTCCTTTCCCAGTATGTCAAGAATTTTTATCATGAAATGATGTTGAATTTTGTCCAATTCTTTTTCTATATCAACTAAGATAATATCATGATTTTTTATCGTTTGTTCTGTTAATGTCATACATCACATTAGTTGATTTCCATAGGTTGAACCAACCTTGCATTCCAGGAATAAATCCCACTTGATCATGCTGTATGATCATTTAAATGTGCTGTTTGGAACAGCTACTTAGTATTTTTTTTTTGAGGAGTTTTACCTTATATTCACCAGGGATATTGACTTACAGTTGTGTTTTCTTGTAATGTCTTCGTGTGTCTTTGGTAATGCTGCTTTTAAAAAATTAATTTGGAAGTGTTTCCTTCTATTAAATATTTTTTGAAGATTTTGAGAATCATTATTAATTTTTTAAGTGTTGGTATAATTGATCCTGGGCTGTTTATTGAGAGGATTTTTGTTATGGATTCCATCTTCATACTAGTTATGGGTCTCTTCAGGCTGTCTATTTTTTCTTGACTAAATCTTGCTAGGTGGTATGTGTGTAAGACTTTATCCATTTCTTCTGGGTTATCCAGTTTGTTGGCATATAACTGTTCATAGCAGTCTTTATAATTCTTTTTATTTCTTTGGCATAAATTTTAAAGTCTTTTTTATTTCTGATTTGAGTCTGGTCTCCCTTTTTTTATCCTTAGTGTAGCTAAGGGTTTGTCAATTTTGTTTACCTCTTCAAAAACTTAACTCAGTTACATTGATTTTCTTCTATTGCTTTTCTATCTTCTAATTCATGTACTTTGATTCTAATCTTTGTTATTTCTCTTCTTTTGCTTGATTTGGGTTTAGTTTGTTCTTTTTCTAAGTCTTTGATGGGGTAAAGTTTTCTTATTTACTTGAGATCTTACTTATTTAATGTAGGAATTTATCAAAATAACCTTTCTCTTAGTACTTCTTTTTCTGCATTCCATATGTCGCTATGTTGTGCTTTTATTTTTGGTTTTGTTTTTATTTGTCTCGAGGCATTTTCCAGTTCACCTTTTTAAATCATTTTTTAATCAATGATTGTTCAAGAGTGTTTTTTAATTTACACATAGTTGTAAATTTTTCTGTTTTTTTTCTGCTATTGATTTCTAGTGTTATTGCACTGCAGTCAGAAAAAGGTAATTGGTATGATTTCAATCCTCATATATTTGTTAAGACTTGTTTTGTGACCTAACATGTGATCTATCCTGGAGAAAGTTTCATATACACTTGAGAAGAGTGTGTATTCCTCCCATGTTAGGTAAAATGTTCTACATATTTTTGTTAGGTGCACTTGCACTACAGAGTTGTTTGAGTCCTCTGTTTTCTTATTGATCTTCTGTCTGACGTTCTATCTGTTATTGAAGGTAGGCATTAAAGTCTCCTATTATTATTTTATGGCTGTCTATTTTACCCTTTGGTCTGTTAATGTTTGCTTTATATATTTAGATATTCTGATGTTGGGGCATATATATTTATGATTATTACATTTTCCTAGTGGATTGACCCTTTTATCATTATAAAATGTCCTCATTTGTCTCTCATGAGAGATTTTGACTTAAAGTCTATTTTGTCTGGTCTCACTATAGCCAATCCTGAACTCTTTCATTTACCACTTGAATGGGCTACCTTTTTCAGCCCTTCACTTTAATCCTATGTGAGCCCTTAAATATGAAGTTCAGGTAACTGGAAACTCTCTCAAACAAATCATTTTTGGTTTTGGAAACTTCATTACATTATCCTGATTGATTAAATCATTGGCACTGGAAATCACCTAATGGCTTTATGTGTGTGTATATATATTAAAATAGATTAATATGTGATATATATATACACACACACACACACACATATATATATATTTCACAGCATCAGTTATCCCACCTCTCCATGATCCCTTTCATCAAAATGATCATCTAAGTCAAAAGGTACTGATACATTACTAGAATTCCATTCAGTCATGAGTAATTAGTGCAGCCTATCATCATATCATATGGAAATGTGTCTCACGCAGAGGACACTCAGGTTTGCAGCCTCTCATTTAGTCTTGTCAGGTTCCAAACACAGGAGTAGTCTTGGAAAAGATACAGCTTCACCCTTTAGGCATGTGATATAATTGAGCTAAAGACAATATCATCTTTTGCTCTGAGCCTCTTCTGAGATGTTAATGTAATATTGGATTTCCCTCAATTCATAACCCAGTTATTTATGTCTTTATCTCAGCTATTATTTCTCTCTCCATTGATATCCAAACTTTTTACCTTTGGATGGGACATTAGAATTAGCAACTATGCTAGTCTAGACATTAGGCAGTAATACCAGTTTAGCAAGTACCTCCTCCTCAATATATATTTGTTGACATTTTTCTACATTTACCAGTGTTATAACTATTAAATAATGGTGACCAACCAGAGTAAAAAGAACACAGTGTTGTTCATAAAATGAATTTTGCTAGTTGTGTAATATGAAACTCGTAAATAGTACCTGGACATTTGTACCTTTACTTTGGAGGAACATAGATTATACAGCTAATAATAATCATATTGTAATTGCTAATTTTCATTTATTTTAAACTGTATATTTCCATGTAATATATAAAGGTGTTCTTATGTATTTTTATTTGATAATCAAAAACTTAAAATTAACATTTCTCTATAAACAATCAATCTATGCAGTTTGCTGAACTGGACAATTATTTTCCTTTCTGTAGAAATTCATTTTTATCAAAATAGTTTAAATCTGATTCATCACATTACTAAAAATTTCTAAAACCCTAACACCTTCTTGTGGTCCTTTATTAGTAATGTAGTTTAAAAGTGCACCTTACTCAGCAATCTTTTCTGTAGTAGGTCCAATTTTTGGACTTTTATTTTCAACTTCCGGAATTCTGACATTGATTTCTTAATAACAAATGAGGCATGCTGGGATAGAGCATATAGCTTCCAGAAGAACCTCATGGGAATAATGCCTTCAAAATTCTTTGCACACCAATGTATTAAAAGGTACTTCCTTTGCATTTTATACTATGCCTTGACAATGATAAAGGCAGATTGAGTTTGGGATTCTGGTTCTCACTCAGATTTCACAACTCAGTTCTTGGCATTTGATTCACTACAAGGTTTATTGCTTATCTTTATTATCCTCTAAGATGATGCCCCAACCCCCGAACCGTGTTCTGCAAATTTCACTTTATACTTAATGATCTCATGTTGGCTTCTGTGCATATCTTAGAATTAAAATCAAGTGCATTTTGTAAGATTACTAAAGCACATGTATTTTCATCACCTAAATATTAACATAATAAGTTTAAAATTTCAAAATGTGGCTTCCTTTAACCTATCTCTTTCAAAATTTTAATATTCTATAATGACACAACCCAGTCAGCAGAACTCAAAACCCCCTTAACTTCTCCCTCTCCTTCATTCCCTACTGGCTAGCAGTGTCCAATTTCTCTCTATTTTGCTCTGATACCTCTTTTCACCCATTCTCTCTATAAGAAGCTCACACACTCCTGACTGCTTCAAGGCCCATTAAATCCAGAAAATGTTTCTTAGATCTCCTAAAGTTGAACTCTTTTTTGTTCTCTGCCAAAATACCCACAGAATCATAGAAAACATGGTGTTAAAGCAGTCTAAGAGATCTAATCTAACTCTTTGTCTGTGTTTTCCTGAAAGAGAGCTCGGTTTGTGTCTTCCTTGACATCTGGCTCAAAATTCACCATGGCTTCCTCTAACTGAAATTAAGTTCAAACACTTCAGCTTGTCATTTAAACTTGGAACCATCTGCAGCCAATTCGTCTCTCTGTCTTTGTTGCTTTCCACTCCTGACTAGGATTTGTACACTCCAGCTTGCCCATCTTACCCCTTTCTAGTCATGTACTAATATATTTTTCTTTTCCAACCCCCATCTATCAATATTTGATTCATACCAGTCCATATTTATCTAATGTTACTCTAGCTAAAGATAACTTCAATCTTTGAGTTATACATATGTATGTACATAGCTATTGCTATGTACATACAGCATGGCTCATCACCATCTTGTGTACCATACTAGAATAAATACCACTTTGTCTTTCTTTCCTATCAAGATAGTAATCTTCTTGAAACATTAGACTATCTATATTAGGCTCACATCTTTTTCTTCTATCGAGCACTTCCAATTGAGCTTTACATATAGGAGTTTTGAATAAATCTTTGATGAGTGAGTGAATTAAATCAAAAGATAGCTTTTTATTGGCCTTCCAATTATCCTTTTGGAATCTTTCAGAATACAGGCACTGAGCTCGTAACTTTCCCAGCCTCAAGAAAAAAAAATACATATATAATATATATATATAATATATATATTATATATATAACATATCTATCTATATATAATATGTACACTGATATTTTTCATGGGTCTCTATGTTTTAATGACCATGTTCCAGAGATCTTTATTTTATTTGCTCTGTACTGTTTTGTGCAGTTCTAGCAATATTATTTTCCCTCTCTGAATGGCAGTTCTGTACCTGCAAATGATAAAATCATAGGTTCAGTGACTTCCTATAGTGAATAATAAGATGATTGCCATTTCAGTAGTGATAAAAGCATCTTTACAAAATACACACTCAAAAACAAACAAAAAAGTGATGATATGCTGCTTTGCTTTTTAATCTTCTTATCTTTTTTATATAAAAATCCCATCTCACATGTTTTTCTCCTTGGCATAAAAATAATGAACTTCTAGGAGAAAAAATCTCTCTAACTGATTTTTATCATGATGTTAGTGTCCTCAGTTTTCATATTATAAAGAAAAAAAGCATGTTATTTACTACTTTACTTATTCATGAATTAATTTATGAAAGAGTATATAGTTTTATAAGTCATTCTAAATTTTATATGTTAACTTCTTAGTTTAGTTTTAACTTAAGGTAAGAACAATCCAATTTGTACTAAAATGTCATATTTCCTTTTCACCCTTAGCTACAATACGATGTAAACATTTACCCACAAGACTAAGTTTCACTTTCCAGGTTCATATGATCAAGATAATCTTACTCCATCTTTTTTCTGCCACAAGGAATGGAAAAGCATGTTAAAGAGTTTAAGAATGAAAATTAACACATCTGGAGAGTCTGCAGTAAACATGGATGATGGTTAATTTTATGTGTCCATTTGGCTGGGCTAAGGGATGCCCAGATGGCTGAGAAAACATTATTTCTGGAGGAGTCTGAGAGGTTGTAGCTGAAAGAGATTAGCATTTGACTCAGTAGACTGAGCACAGAAGATCCACCCTCACCAATGTAGCCATCATCCAATGCATCCAAAGCACAGAGTGCCCAAATGGAACAACAAAGGAAGAGGAAGGGCAAGGAAGAAATCTTCTTCAGTTGATCTATCTTCTCCTGTCCTCAGACATCAGAGCTCCTGGTTCTTGGGCACCCCCATCCCATACCTGCACACTCCTCTCCCTGTTTTTAGGCCATTGGCCTCTGTCTGGACTGAGAGTTCACACAGTTCCCTTGAATCCCTTGATTCTCAGGACTTCAGACTCAGACTGGAACCACACCACTAGCTTTCCTGTTCTCTAACCTGCAGATGGAAGATCTTGGGAGTTCTTTTTCTCCTTAATCGTGTGAGTGAATTCTCATAATAAATCTCCTTTTATATACCTGTAATTATATATGTTCTATTGGTTCTACTTCCCTGGAAAACCACAACTAATGCAACGTGGTTGTGCAATATGACTTAACATATATGAGTTTAAGCTTAGACTTGTTTCCATCTTAATACCTACATTATAGGTATTTCAAAACTTCTACGACTACATGGTACAAGTCTACAACGAAACATCTCCCTTAAATATCTAAATTTTGTTTAACTATTTAGCATATCCATAGTTTTAAAATGCATTCTTGTGAAAAAAAATAACATAAATATTTTTAATTAAATGCTGACTTTTGCCTTATATAAAATTACCTAACTTAGTAATGTAGCCTATATGCAAGTTTTTTTTCTTTCTTCTTTAATCCAAGAAAACACTTATTAAGTTCCAATTTTGTACCAGATTCTATCCTTGTCACTGGAGATGTAAAATTAAGTAAAGCACGCTTCAGCCAACAAAGGGCTTACAGCTTAGAGGAAGGAGACACAAGTTTACATAAGAGAAGACAATCCCATTTCACTGGTGTGGGAAACAGCTTACAGCTTAGAGGAAGGAGACACAAGTTTACGTAAGAGAAGACAACCTCATTTCACTAGTGTGGTATCTTATACAATTAGAAAATATATTAAACTGAGCCATATGAAAATGTGATTTTGTAAGTCAAGAGTGGTCGAATATCAAAAACTTGATGTGGCTCTACTTACAGAAAGGAATAAACAACTCTAAAGGAAGAAGAATGATGATTAGAAATAAAACAACTCTTGAATAACGAATCCACATTCTCTAGACCAGGTGAAATACAAATTGTGTCTGTCTTAGACTTGTTTGTCTTTAGATCTATTTCATTCTTCCTCTTTTCTTTGTCACAAAGGAAAGACGCATTTAAGCTGCGGTTTGGCCAATTGAGGCATTATCAGGGGCTTGGAAGATAGCACTTCTATATCTCTTGAGGTGTCTTTGTCAGTGTGTGTATGTCTTCTCAGTGGCTAAAACTTCTACTGGGCAAACTCACCATTATTTCTGGTTTTTCTACATGACCAAAAACCCTTAGGTGCTGGTAATATTATCTCCTTCCTTTGTCCCTCTAGTTGAGGATTTGCAATGTCCTTCTGCTATTATGAATCCCCAGTTGTCCCATTGCCCTGCCTAGCTTTTCAGGTTTTTAAAATTACCTGCTTTAAATTATCTCAGATTTACATATGTGTAATATTTTGTCTTAATGGTAAACTTTGACTGATACAAAATAAGGAGCCAATGTGCTCACATCTCTTTCATTTTCTCAATTAATTGCTTAAGTCTGCATCTGCCTGGTTGGCAGGAAATTCAAGACTTTCCTCCTCACTCTGTTTTCTTCACTAACCTTGAGGAATAATGTAATCCAGATATGTGTTGACCTTGAAAGGGAGCAGATCAAATTCTCATTGTTGAACAGCTGTCCTATAGGTAGACTTATATTATATAACAGAACATGGTGAGCCATTACTATAATGGCATCTTGCTGATCTACATCCTAGCATAAACCACCACCACATGCCCCTGAAGAAGAATCATCCCATTCCTTCAAAGCTGCCTTAGCCAAGATGCCCCGTTCTTGGGGTCTGTTGTTCCCTTTTCTAATGTTCAGGTCATTGGACTATGCTACGTGTCAAGGGTCTGTTAGCCACATGACAGCCAGCAAAGGAGTATCTGGGATGAAGCTCCACAACATGCAAAACTTCCTCCCTTACTTTGTCTGAGTCCACAAAAAGTTGAAGCCCTTTACCAATTAGACCTGGAAACATAAAGTGAACTATACAACTTCCTCCCCCTGGAGAATCGTTCTACTCACACATCTTCCTGAGGAGGGATGCTTTTCAGTGCCTTCGGAGGACTGGCCGACGATTCCAAAGTATCTGACTATGAGGAGAGGTTTCTTCCATTGATTTGCAGGCTATTTTCTGTCCTACAGAGCTGGCAAATTCCCTTTGCTAAATAAAAAGAAAAACAAGCTAAAGGTAAAATGTAAGACCTCTCTGACAAGCTTTCCTTTACTCCAGGATTTCTGTTACAGGGGAATGATCATTCCAAGAAGAGACATGGCACTGTGAAACAACAGGGGGGTTTTGGGGATTCTAGTTGTAGATGGCTAAACTAGGAGTAGGCTAAAAGGCATAGAGAAAAATGATATGAAAGTAGGGGCAGAAAAATCAAACTATACTTTCCTTAAGTAAAATCTGTTTCATATCAATACAATGTTTTAAAATCTCCTGTGAGAAATAAGATAGTTGCTTTTTTTCTTTAACACAGAGGAACTGTTATTTTCTCTATATTCTTAAAGTGGTTCATCCCAGCACAACTCAGTTGTTAGCCTCAGTTTTCAGTTCTAATATTTATACTGATTACTGGTCTGACCTGAGGAGTATGCAGGAATGTGAGAAAAAAATTGACATGTTACCCTGAAGATTTTCATATCAAAGAGTTAATTTAACCAAAGTTATCTATTGGGATAGAGAATAAAAGTGGAAGCCATGAGAACAGTTAGAATTTATTAAAATGCACACATGTAAAATGGTCCTGAGCTTTAGTGGCTACATAGACATTACAGGAAACTGGATTCCAGACACATTAGAAACATCAATTTTTGAAATGTTGTGGATAATACTAAAATGTAAAGAAAGAAGAAATATTACTGTCAGGATTCCAGACATTAAAAAAGACATAAAGGCTCTGTAATCAGAAGTACAGCTACCTGGAGGAAAGATTTATCAGAGAAGTGAGATAATCCATTCCTGACCATAGGCCATCATTTCTGTCTGAATACCTCTGCTCTTCAGAGACATTTCTTTCCTTCAAGAACAACATCTGATCCACCACCGTCCTAGGAAAGATAAAGGTCATACTTGCCCAACCTCCTTGATTTCTTTAGAGACAAACATGATTAAGCCTATTGACCAATCATTAAGCTAAAGATTTGTACTGCTTCTAAATGAGCTTCCCTCATCTCATCAAGTACTATTCTTTTCTAGTAACTAGGAAGCCTTAATTTTAGCCAAGATACTTTCTGCCAAGTAACCGTGATCCTAAGAATAATTTGTCAGTCTCTGACCTCTTGATGGCACTGGTGGCTAGATGTAAGAGTTTAACAAAATATATAAACCAGGCTATGTAAAATATATTCAAGATATATATTCAAGACTTCTTCTAGAAATACAGACATTAACATTTTGCCCAGAAATTCTGACTCGGGGGGTCTGAGTGTGTCTAAGAAACCTATTTTAGTGGAATATCCCAAGAATATTCTGATGAAGATTGTCCATGGACCATGCTGAGATACGCTGCACCAGGGAAAATAACCAGAAACACGTGGATATTTGGGTTCAAATAGCTGGCCTTCTTATTCAATGCCAGTGGGTCAGTGTCCTTGAGATAGTCTTTCTCCTGAAAAGCTGTTGGTCTAAAAACTTTGTAATTAACACATTTCTAAAGAACTTCTTCGTGATTCTACTTTTTCGGGACTAGAACCTTGAGTTGCTGATGACCTTTTGATGTAAGAAACCAAACATGATTTTCAGAGTACGGCCATGCAAGGTGTATATATGTATATATAATCTACTTATCTGCTAAAATTGGGATTCAGATGGAATCAACTCACATATGAGTAATATAAAAAGACATCATAAGAAAAAATAAGCCTATGTATGTTTATTTTTACTTCTTGAAAGAAAAAGAATAAGTTTCCTTAAATGGCTCTAAGAGATTTTCTGGGGTATCAACCCAATATCATTTAACTGGATTATGCTGCTCAAGCTCAGGAATCATTAACATTCTTTATTTATTGAGTTACAGTGAATCAGTCTGAATGATGTAACATTGAATGACAAAATAAATCAAATTTTTTGTCTCCTAGTATTTGTCCTTTTTTTAATAATTAGTGATGAGAAATAAAGATTATACTAACTATAATTTCTTTATTATCATTTTAAAGATAGGGAGATAGTATAAATAAGCTTACGTAAACAGACTTTTCAAATGTATATTGACTTGGCTGAAACTTCAAGTTTTGGACTGCACAGGGAAACAGCAATGATTCCTCAAGTCATAGGAAGAAGGGGAAAATAGACATTTTGTAGGGATCAACTTAGGACTGAGTTCCTATTTCCAAGACACTTGTTTGGGGAACGCTTGCTTCTTGGAGACATATTGCAGAAACTATCACAAAGCAATAATAGCCTGAGTGCTTACACTTTGGCATGAAATTGGTCATGAGATCTTTAAAACATTGATGGAAAATAGCACATTATTTTTATTTTGTTAAATTAAGTTACTTTCTACACATGGATTTACATTGCTCTTTGTTTTCAACGTACTGTGTATTCTTGGAGAAATATGTGCATTTATTCTTATTTAAGCTATTGTACAAAGGAAATAAGGAGTTGAGCTCCAGAAGGTTATCAAAGTAATGGACAACGATTGGTCTCTTCCTCACATTGCAGCATCATTAAAAAAGAAACTATTCTGGCTAGGCATGGTGTAGTTTGACCTTTAACACTAATATCACCACATGTGACAAATTAACCCACAGTGTAAGAAACGCTAAGCAATGAAAGTGCTCTTCTTTTATTACATAATTTACAGAGAATAAAATGTGAGAAAACAACCCTCATCTACATACATGTACCTCCTCTATGAAAGCTGAACTATTATAATGTGAAATGATTGTCTTTGGAGACGATAGGTGGAATTACATCCTTATGGGAAGGATATGGGGGAATCTGTTCAAGGATATATGCATTTCCACTGCCAATTATGTGGAATAGTATGAGACACAGAAAGAAACAAAACAAAAATGAGTCATTGGAAAGCAGACCGAAACCATGAAGAGACATGTTTTCTTTCTCTGAATCTTGCTTTCATTGGCTTTGATTCTAAGGACACCAGTTATTATTAGGAGTGCTGTCTGCAGGTTGAGAAAAAGCAGCCTCTGGCATTTTAAACCAGGTTTAGAGCTAGATAAAAATGAGTCGCAAACCTGGTAGATTGAAGCCATGTTGATGGAGTGGTAGGCATCGTATAGTGGGTACCATGAAGATGAGCTGCTCAATACCTGAACTTTCAAAGAAGTCAATATCCAGCATTTCCTCATACTCCATTAGTAAGTATGGTTATATAGACTTTTTTATACTCTTCCAATTTCTTTAATATGAGGCATTAACTCAGCTTCCACTGGAGACATAAATTGCTCTCTAGGTATCATTCCCTTATTTAATCTCCCACGTGTTAGTAGTGTTATATATCATAAATTCTTCGCCAGACCACAGGATAATCATATGTAAAAAGGGGAGGGTGAAAGAACCTTACTTCGCACTATACAAAAAATTAACTTGAACTAGACTGTAGACCAAAATGTAGAAACTAAAACTACAAAAATTTAAGAATTAAACATTGGAGAGAAAATCTTTTGACTTTGAAGCCCTCAAACATTTCTTTTTCTTTTCTTTTTTTTTTTTTTTTTTTTTTTTTTTTAAAGACGGAGTCTCACTCTGTCACGCAGGCTGGAGTGCAGTGGTGCGATCTCGGCTCACTGCAAGCTCCGCCTCCAGGGTTCACGCCATTCTCCTGCCTCAGCCTCCCGAGTAGCTGGGACTACAGGCGCCCACCACCACTCCCGGCTAATTTTTTGTATTTTTAGTACAGACAGGGTTTCACCATGTTGGCCTGGATGGTCTCGCATCTCCTGACCTCGTGATCCGCCCGCCTCGGCCTCCCAAAGTGCTGGGATTACAGGCGTGAGCCACCGCACCCAGCCAAACATTTCTAATACTGCACACAAACAGCATAAGCCATAAAAGACTGCAAGAGACACCACAAGGAAAAGAAAGACAAGCCACATATTGGGAGAAAACATTTGATAAGGACTGTTAGCCAGACTAGATAAAGAATTCTTATAAATTAATAATAAAGGCAAACAACCACATTTTTAATGGCAAGAAGATTTGAACTAACATTTTATTTTAAATGATATACAAATGTCCAATAACCACATAAAATGTGCTCTGTGTCATTGGTTGTCAGGCAAAAGCAAATTAAAATTATAGTGAGATACCACTTCACATACCTCAGAATAACTAAAAATAAAAAGACTGAAAATACAAAATGTTAGCAAGGACGTTAGAGCAACCAGAGAGCTCACACATTGTCAGTGGAAGTGTAAAATGGTACAACCCTATTGAAACAATTTACGACAGTTTCTTCTAAAACTCAATGCAAATTTACCCAATAATCCAGCAATTCTACTCCAGGACTTTACTCAAGAGAAATGAAAACATATGTTCACAAAAAAAGCATTTTACAAGGGTGTTTACAGCAATTTTATTCCTAATAGATTTAAATTGGAAGAAAAACTCCCTCAATAGGAAAATAGAAATAAATATTCAATGGAATATTACTCAGTAATAAAAACGAATTCATACAACAACATGAATAAATCTCAAAAAACTATACACAGGAAAAAAAGGCTAAATATAAAATCTATAATGGCAAAATAAAATTCCAGAAAAGAAAAAAACAATCTATGATGAAAAATAAAGTTGATTGTGTCTGGGAGAATTGGAGCCAAATTTGATTGTGAAGAGGCATGAGAAAATATTCTGGAGTAAAGGCAATATTCCATATATTGATATGAGTTTGTTTCACAGGTGTATGTATTTTTCATGAAAAAAGTTGCATCAAAACTCTGGACATATTAAAATTCATTTATCGAATTGCATGTTCAGATATTTGGGATAAAATGCACTATCATCTGCAATGTACTCTGAAGCAAAACATAAGTTTCTTTGTTGAATTAAGAATAGACTAGTGAACAGAAATATGTTTTTTTTAAATCTTGTAGCAAAATGTAATGATTGGAATATAGGTGGTGGATACATACACATTAAGTATAAACTCTCTCTTAAATTTACTGTATATATTTTTTAAATTATTTAGAAGTTTGGAGAAAAGTAAGGTTTTGAAAAGATGTTGCAAAAAGAAGATATATGGAATAAGCATACGTAAAAATATTCACCACTAATCATCAGAAAAACATTAATTAAAACACATTGAGATACTACTAGACAGCTATAAGAATGGCTAAAATTTAAAAGGCAAACAATTGTAAGTGTTGATGAGATTGTGGAGTAAACAGGACCTTTCATACCTTGATGACAGGAATGTAAAATTGTACAACCACTTTGAATAACAATTTGGCAGTTTCTTATACTATATAACCCAATAATTCCATTCCAAAGTATTCAGCCAAGATAAATTAAAGCACATATCCATACAAAGACCTATGTCAATGAATCTTCAAAGTAGCTTTATCTATAATAGCCAAAAACTAGAAACAAATCAAATGTCTAACAACCAGTGAATGGACATATAGTGGTATATCCATCCAATTGAATACTACCGAGTAATAAAAAAGATTGGATTCCTGATAGGTGCAATATCATGGGTGAGTCCAAAACCATCATGCTAAACAAAAGATACCAAAATTAAAAGAGTACATTTATATGAAAGTGTAGAATAGCAAACTAATGTTAGTTTCAGAAAACACTGGAGGTAGAACAATTGACAGCAAAGATGAGTGAAGTTTTGAGGTTGTTGGAAATATCTCAAATCTTCTCCATTGTGGTGTATGTACACATGGGTGTGTACATTTGTCAAAACTTACAGAACTGTGATCTTAAAATGAGAGTGTTTAATTGTAAGTACTTTAAACTCAATATAGTCAATTAAATATGAAAACATGAATTGCTGTGATGAGCTCTGCTGTGAAAAATGTAGAGCGTTCCATGCTTGGGAACAAGGTGGTAAATTACAGGATGGTGTCTCCTCAAGTGTGAAGGAGACCAGCAGTTCTAGGTCATTGTTCTGTACCTCCCCAGGGGATAGAGGTGTGTTTGACACAGGAATAGCCTCTGTCATCACTGAAGCCAGGCAGAAAGGAAAGTGAGAAAGGTAAAGAAAAAAACCAGGGTCAAAAAAAAAAGAAAAGAAAAGAAAAAGAAAAAAGTCACAGACCTGGTCTTAGAATTGGAAGTTTTTTTTTAGAGTGATTACATATCTTGGGTTTCCAGGGATCATTTCCTGTTTATTACTACTGTCCTAATGTAGTTACTAATAGTGCCCCCTTGTACTCTGGAAGGATATTGCAGGTAGAATCTTAATATTACAGTCACCAATCTTGCCATATATTCAATACTAATGATTAGAATCACAGCTGATATGGGAGATCAGCTTACTGTTTCTTAACAAGTTTTGACTATTTCTTAGGTTTTTTAACTCCTGTGATATATCCCTTATTCAAAACTGGGAACATTTCTATAGATCATTTTTAGAATTTTTCTAGCTGTTTGTATCTTTGGACCATGTTCCCACCTGTTAGGTTTAAACCCCAGAACCACATGCTGAAAGCAAGTCCTTCCTCCTGACCTAGTGCTTGGGACTCACACCTCATATCACACTTTCTTTCTATCTTCTCTGATTGGCCACCTTATTTCATAGCAGAGTGTAAACCTCATTCTTCATGCTATCTAATATATTTTAAACAATTTTATTAATTTTGTTGTTTAAAAAGTTTAATTATATTATCAGAGTTTAATTTGAAAATGCTTCCTAAAATATATGAATTTACTTCAAAGTTGAGTTGATCTCATTCATTCTGGGTAATAATAGAACTGTATATTCCCCAACTATCTGGACATTCTTTTCGTGATTTTCTAAACTATACATGAATTATATAAAATCTTATAAAATCACATGAATGAATGCTTTTCTTTTTTTGTTTTGTTTTGTTTTTTAGATGAGAAAGAAGCCCTTGTAACGTGCATTTTACAGTTTCCTCCTGAGTGTTCAAATGCTTGTGACCTAATTGCTGTTAAATTCTTATGAGTTTAGACTGTGTCAATTATCCTCAAGTACCTCATTCTATGCTCAGAGAGGTATAGGTGTACAATAACGGTTTGCAAGTTAAAATAAATTGTATTTGTGATCTGACTGCATAAAATAAGAGTGAAACAAAGAGACAGAAAAAGAGGAAAAGAGAGAGATTGCAAGAAGTTGTACTGCCTGTTTGGGAAGTGCACAAAGCTAGGAATCTCATATGGTTTATTGAGCATGCTGAAGACAAATCAATAATCAATAATATAGACACAGGATAGCATTAGTATTTGCTATACCCTGTTTAGGAGGAATTACTATTGTAGTTCAGTGCAGTTCTAACGCATATGGAAAATCAAATTTATTGACAGGAATACTTTACCTTAAAAAGCCATGAAAACAAAATGGCAACCCACAGAGATGTCAAAACACAAATGTGTTTACTTTTACTATCCAAAAAGGATATAGTTTTTGATCTATTATCATAAAGTTGCAGAGTACATTAACATTGTTTCACTCTTCTCTTGCTCTGTGTACCACTTTTTGAGGAATATCAAACATAACTGCCTGTTTAACTATCTTTTGAAAGAAAAACAGAAGTAATTATTGAAATTATCCTACTGCTTTGACATTGTGTTAGTATTGTATCTAGTCACCAGCACCAGTTGCTAAGGGGTGTCTTGTTTGCCGTACACTTTCATAAGTCATTTTTTAATTACAAGTGTGCAAGCTAACAGCAATATTAAATTGCTGGAGGAAAAGAGAAAGCAAGAATGAAACCTTATCTAATCTGTAAAATACAATGATTAAGTGTACTGTCTTCAGTAAGGTAGTATAGAAAGTCAAACGATGAAATTTCCCATCACGATTCTGAATTATGCAGGGGAGAAATATTCAACAGCAACATTTAGCAACACTACAAGTGTCAGGGAGGTAGGAGGAAATTGTAAAATGCCCTTTACAAGGGCTTGTCTTACATTAGAAAATAGTTTATTGGAGTGATTTTTAATAATATTTTATAAAATTCATGCATAATTTAGAAGAAAAATCACACTAAATTATATTCTTTATTTATAACTTTGGGTAATGTGTCAGTGTTAGTCTTATTGTTTGAGTAGTTGATTTGGAAAATAATCAAAAACTAACACACAAATCCTTAAATTAAAACTCAAGTAAGAATAAAAAAATTATCTCATAATCCTAAGGGTTTTTTTAGCTATAATATATTATTGCTTTCATAAAAATCTATGCTCTTCAACTGGCCTATATTTTCTTTGGTGGAGATTTTAGCTACTATATAAGTAAAACTTAAAGCATGGAAAAAGGCTTTCTTGTAGCTGGACTTGCTTTTCAAATATTCACTCAAAGATCATGGTTTGATTATGTAAACAGTGACCAAAAAAGAAAAAGGAAGAAAGAAACATGTATGCAGAAACTGAAAAAACAGTAACAAATGCTTGTATTTTAAGATACTTCCCAATTTAGATAACATTTTCCCAGATATTACCATGCAGTTCACTCAAATACAGGCACTATCATCCCGTTCTATAGATGAAACAACTGAGCAATGGTAAATGTAAGTTGGTTCCTACTCTCACCAGTCAATAAATAACAGAGCAAAGAGTCAAGCCCAGGTCTTCTATCTCCAAAACTGAATTGTTGCTGTAATTGTAATCTACCGGTTGTTTGCATCCAAACTCTCCGTGATCTGTTTGAAAAAATGAGATGAGTGGCAACTAATTGTATAAAGCAGGCATAGTTCCAGAACAGCCTCAGATTTGTTAATACCACAAATATTTGGAATGTCACCAAAATTCATATAGTTTTAAAAGTGTGTGAGTGTGTGTGTGTGTCTGTCTGTGTGTGTCTGTATCTGTTATTACCAGAGTACACATTTCAAAACAGACCATTTTATAAATATGCTTGCTTATGTAGAGCTATCCATGTTTGGGAAAGTTATTTATGGTCTTAGGATTTTTGGTTGAGAGTAACAAAACAACCTATTCAAGATGAAAAATGTTTATCATTGTTTGTCTGCTTTTAAATGTCGTCACACTCAAAATTTCAACATCATATTGCCCATATTTCGTTGTAGTCTGTCTTTTTCTAGTTTATTCTATTAGAAAGGTTAAAATCAGCATCTGTATTGCTAAGAAACATCTTTGAAAGTGATGGTACCAACAGGTTTCCAAAGGCCCAATGATGACACGTAAGGTCACCTGGAAGTGACTGCTTTGACAGTAATTATGTTTATGTATCTTAAAATCAGGCACTCCCCCTCAAAAATAATCCTGTATTCGACCACATCTACGGCCATTTCTCTCATGTCATCTACATCTCTTGACTCTCCTATGAGTATTCACTTTACCCTCAAGTTGTTTCTGTGTCTCCTCCCATTAAATGATGCACAAAATGTATGATTCTTTTCTCATTTCTCCTATTAGATCTTGGCTTTTGTGCTGCCCTCTCCCCATCCCACCTAAATCCCTGCATCCCACATAAATATGAGTGGTCCCCATTTTTTAACTGTGTTGCCTTTTCTTGCTAAACTATTTGTCTTGAGTGAGACTCAAACAAAAGTAGTGAAAGAATTCAAATTTGGGGCCAGACAGACATGTATCCAAATCTCTGTCTGCCACCTACAATCTGTGTGAATTTTAGCAAGTTATCTGTGCTTTCTGGGCACCACTTCCACCTCTATAAATGGAGGAGGGAAGTGGGTGATAATACCTGCTGCAAAGAGTTGTAAGAAATAGTAAATCAACATATAAAGCACTAAGCCATTGGAACATAGTAGAGGTTTGATCACTGATATTAAAATGTTATGAAAAATGATGTGATTAACTCCTACCACTTCCAATATTACTAATGTGGAGATGGTTCCCAAATCTATATCTCTCTATAATAATTACGAAGTTTTTTATGTTATCTATGCTTTACATTGCATCTTAAGTTTTTGCAATTTTGTCAAATCTGTTTTAATAAGATGTTAGATCTTATTGAAACTGTGTTCTTATTATCCTTAAAAATATGGATGAAAGAGTGTATGTATAATATCTACATACAATCCATCACGATATAGATACAATGATAATGAAAGGAAAAATAATAGAAAGAGCATAATCCCCCAATTTTTATTATTGTTGTTTCAATTATATTGGTATTGCACTCTAAGACTGTTGTGTGTAAAATGTGGGATAATGTATATGAGTAATTATGTCATATTCTAACATTTGTGTGTAATTGGACACCAGAATTTTCAGTAAGGAAAAAAGAAAATACAAAAGTAAAACACAAGATATAAAGTGAAAAATTATATGGAATTTGAAGTAACAGATGAAATAAATAAAATATTTTATCTTTAGATAATATAAAAATATACATGTAATACTTACACCTAGAACATTTTAATATATGTGAGGTGATTGAATTTGCATATATGTGTATGTAGACTATAAACACGCTAAAATAAATATACGTCCAATCTCTGCCTTACTCATTTTTATAAAGAATACAGTTGTTTCTACAGTTTCTTAGATGATTAATGATGGGGGATTGGACCCTTCTCTTCAGTGATTCTCAAAAATATATTTGACATTGAGAGTTTCTTGTCCACATGCCTCTGATTGTACATATTCTACTGGTTGCAAGAAAGGGAAAAAATATGAGGACTTAGGTGGAGAAGAACTGTTAAAATAAGACCAAAAAAAGTTTTTTTTGTTTGTCTTCATGGATACCATTTCTACTTACCATTCCATTCCATTGCCATTGTTAATGTGTATTTATTGACTGGAGCACACATGTAAAATCAGGCTCTTTTGTAAACAAGCTTGCCTGTGTAGAGTTAACCTTGTTTGGGGAAGCTATTTAGAGTGTTGGGTTGATTGCTCAAAAACAAAACAACCTATTCAAGTGGAAAGATGTTCAGTAGTGATATAAACATTTATACGCTTCTACCACAGATAGATGAGAAACATATAACTAGATGTAATTGGATACATTTAGAAATATTAACTGCTGCTAAGCTTGGTGCATCCCCAAACTTTAAGCATGATGGTTTTGTTTTTGTTTTTGTTTTTCTAAATCACATTGAATTCTATTTTGTAGTAACACACTTCCGTGGGCTGACTTCAGAACTATTGGCATGGAGAGCTTGTCCTCTGGACTTTTTTTGTGTGTCTTCTAGCACTATTTCTTTTTTTCTTTTCTTTTTTTTTTTTTGAAACGGGAGTCTCGCTCTGTCACCCAGGCTGGAGTGCAGTGGCCAGTGGCACGATCTCGGCTCACTGCAAGCTCTGCCTCCCGGGTTCGCACCATTCTCCTGCCTCAGCCTCCCGAGTAGCTGGGACTACAGGCGCCCGCCACCACGCCCGGCTAATTTTTTGTATTTTTAGTAGAGATGGGGTTTCACCGTGTTAGTCCGGATGGTCTCGATCTCCTTACCTCGTGATCTGCCCACCTCGGCCTCCCAAAGTGCTGGGATTACAGGCGTGAGCCACCGCTGCCCGGCCTTCTAGCAGTATTTCTGATAAATGATTCTATCTCTTCAACCTGCTTATTTGTTAAGAGGTAATTAAGGCACATCATATATATGTTTTTTCCAGATTTTGAACCAATAAGAAGCCATGTGTCATCCCCTCTTCCAAATTACTCTTCATAATCTCTCCCATTTAGCTGAAGCAAAAGAAACAGTTTGCTTACAACCTGAAACTTCTGAGAACAACTTTTGTCTTTGGGGCTCCACAAAGTTTTCCCATACTGCCTCCTGGCTTTTGCATTTTTCTATTTCTTTGTAAGAAAAAATTTTATTTTCTTTTCTGCTTGAAATATCTCTAGCCATTGATGCAGATTAGGTGGTCTTTGAAATTTCAAAACACTAACACTTCTATTAATCACAGATTAAACTTTTCAAAACAAACTTTCCTAATTAGAGAACTCATCAAAAATGTAAGTCAATTTATTAAAAACATATTTTTACCAATAATAGGAAAAAATATTTTCCAGATTTTCTATAAGAAGACTCAATTGAGTTTCCTCATATTACTTCTGGGGTCATGATTTTATTCAAATATTGGGGTCTCTATTGTACAGATTTTGAGGGACCACCTCTGTTTCTTACAGAAATATCTCAAAATGATTTTGATACATTTAAAAACTCTTGAAATGGTTCTTCAGAAAGCATCTGTCTATTTTATTAACAAAATAAGAGTGGGAGCATTGTTGGCTGAGGTAACACACAGGAAGTGTTTAAGAGAAGAAGAGAGAAATAAGGCATCTAAAATTAACACCCATATTAAGGGGGAAGCAGAAAAAAAGAAACCAAGGAAGGAGAATAAAAATAACTAGCAATGTAGACTTGTAAGAAGAACAAGAAGTGCATCTTAGAAAGAGAGAAAAATTTTACTAAGTCATATGCCTCCCCTTTTTAAAAATAACTTTCTTGAAATACATTTCAGAGTCATATGGATTTGACTATATTTCCTGCCAAAGTGGGAAACTGGTCTCTAAAAGAAGTAACAGAGCAGCAAGTCACCCTGAGTGTTATGTGCATTTAGATGGAAATCTGCGACACCCCGGCAAAATAAAGACCAAGGTAGCAAACGGTCTTATTTCATGAAAGGTGCTATGAATAGAAAATTGAATATCTATGAAGACCTGTGTTTTATTGAAGAATTTATATTAAAGATGACATGACACCTCCTTTGAACCACAATATCAACATAGATATAAGAAGTTTACAAAAATTACTTTTTTAAAAAATTAGGTAAGTTTCTACAGTTTTCTTTTGCTATTTCAGCTTAGGAGCTTCTGAAAGAAACACCTCTCTTCATAATTTCCCTCATTCTTGTGCAATGTAATCTCCATTTTAAATAAATAACCTCATTCACACGTACACACTCCAACAATACCCAGACTCATCTATCTAGAATTTCTTGTCCCCAGAATGTTCTAGGACTGAGATCTCTCTCAAGTCCTCTTGAGAGTAGAACATAGATTGACTTTTTGTCCTTCACCTCACTGCTGCAAGATCTGAGGCTAGAGCTACTTGATGAGAAGCAGTGGGGATGGCCGGTCCATAGGAGTAAATATTTTCATCACAATTGAAAGTGGATAATAAAGTAGGAACAGAGCAACAACGTGGAAAACACAGGAGAAATAGACTCTAGACCCCTACCATAAATCTAAGAGTAATTCATATGTTTATGTGTTTCGAATGTACTAGGAACTTTTCTAAATTGTTAATGTGTATATATTGAGTGAATCCTCCCCAAACCCTGTGGAGTAGGAAGTAAAATATTTCCCACTTTACAGATGAGAAAACCATGGCACAGACAATGTAAGTAGCTTGCCAAGGTCACACAGATTGGCCAACTCATACCTAGGCATTCTAATTCTAGAGATCACCCTCCTAACCATGACAATGTATTATCTCCCAGGAGATGGGAAATATTTTGGCCTCCACAGGATAGTTTCAGGAGTTGGCTGTGACTCAGGGGAGTTACTGACTCCTCCTCTTATTGATGTTCTTCTGGCCTCTGAAATACCTGAGAATGAGCCACTACAAGAACTGGATCTGGTTCAGGTGTGTAATCACACAAACATATACATGATTGATATTATACCGCTTTGTACCAACTACTATTTTAATTCATTAATTCAACAGGGAAAGCAGGTTGATGACAAAGCACACCTAGACATTTTTACTCTGGAATTTTAATAAGAAAAAGTTACAGTAAATTATATGAGAATGTTGTGGCCATGTTGATGAATCCCTGATAGCTTCTCAGTAAGCCAGCTTCCAATTCGGTGGTCTTGCTGACAAGTTCAGAGGTGATTTTCTGCTGATAAGTACTAGTAGAGTTCTTCCAGTTAATTTGGGCACCATCCGATTTTGACTGGTCAGTGCCTATATACCACTTAAAACTTTGACCCCTTCATCACATCACTAGTGTTTTCCAACACACTCTTCACTCCTCCCTTTCCACACCCACACCTGTAGATGGGGCGGCAGATTATAGCCAGAAGTAAAAGTGAGAGAGTTGCTAGATGCGTTTGATTCCTCAAAATGAACAAGGCCAAATGGACTTTGTTTCCAGTGCAGAAACCAAAATACAGATGATGAAGGCACAATATGTGTGCTCAATTTAACTTGTTCAGGAACTTCTCTGAACTGATGTCTTCCAAAATTGTATCTTTCCCAAAATATAGAATGACTACAAACTCCTCTCTAGGACCTCACCTTGAGTTTCATAGTATTGGAGAGCATATTTTGAAAATTTCAGGGTATAGAGAAATCATTCCAAGATTTCACACTGTCCTCAACTCTTTCAAAGATTATGCCTTAAAAGAATAGCCCTACAGTGGGGCAAAGAAAGGCATGGTTTTCTCTCATTTTCTCTAGTGTCTCTACATTCACACCAACCCAGGTATCTTTCATTTGAAATTTCTCTGAGCTTCTTTATGTCCTTAGAATTTTTGCATCTGGCCATTTGGCCATTGTTTTCAACTCCTATCACTGGAAAACTCTAAATTCCTGACCAAGGCATTTATGGCTTAAATCAGCCATCCCCAACCTTTTTGGCATGAGGGACCAGTTTCACGGAAGACAATTTTTCCATGGATGGTGGAAGGGGGATGGTTTCAGGATGAAACTGTCCCACCACAGATCATCAGGTATTAGATTCTCATAAGGAGTGCAAAACCTAGATCCCTCACATGCACAGTTCACAATAGGGTTCATGCTCCCATGAGAATCTAATGCTGCTGATGATCTGACAGGAGGCGGTAATGCTCGCTCAACTGCCACTCACCTCCTGCTGTGGAGCCCACTTTCCTAACAGGCCATAGACTGGTACTGGTCCGGGGTCCACGGGTTAGAGACCCCTGGCTAAAATAATCTCCTTATCTTTCTTTTTGCATGGTTTTCTCATTTCTTTCTTGTTTCCTTTGATTTTACATTCTGTTTCAATTCTTGTTACTCATTCTGTCTATATAACTGATTCTAATTCTTCACAGCAGATTTTCTTCATTTTCATTTCACTTTGGAGCAATGTAATTTAGATGCTATGAACTTGTCTTTACTTCAATACAGAGTGTCCTATAAATAAGACCAAATTAGAGCATTAACATCAAATAAATATACATATATTGTAAATAACTGAAAATTTTAAGCAGTCAGTAAGACATGGGAGGCAGCTTCATCCTTTAATAGAAAGTAATTTTTCTCCTTACCTCTAATGTCGCCATCTGTGCTTCTATTTTCAATACCTGTTTTAAGGCAGTATTATGCTGTTCTTTGGCTAAAAGACAGGAATGACCTGGAACAAGTGGTTAGCACTAGCCCTGCAGTGGTTACATCGAAGGTAACAGACCTGGACAGCACTACCCTTTATATGGTGAAATTTAAGTTTTGTTTCCTCTAAATTTTAGATAGAAAGTTGCTAGAACTCAAATTTCAGTTTCTGTTTTAAAAACAAAACACAATTTCAAAAACAGCAAAAAAGAAAGACATATATCTATATGATTATACAAAATAGAGAACTTCATGTTAACCATATAGCTAACTTTTTGGAGGCCACTGATATGTACCAAGGCACTCTCAATTATGTATTAGCAATGTAATACCAACATATGCGTTATGCCTGATTATGGCTTATGTTTTATTGTTATTCTCATTACCACTGTTTTAATTTTCTCCTTATAATAAGGTTTTCATTTTTATATCAGATGCTGAAAACTATATCTGATTGCCTCAAATAGTTATGTTATTTTTATAATGTATTTTAGTTATGTTTTATTAAACCTTTTGACTATTTCATAGACTACACACCTAAAGAAGACCTGCAACTAAATAATAATTTACTACACAGTATAAAAAATGCAAAGGTAAATATTTCTATTCGTATACCCTCCAAACTAATGAAGTTACCTATTTACACATGTCTACATGTAGCCAAAATGTAAAAAAAAAAAATCTGTAACTTTCAAGGAGCATTTTCAAACTAGAATTCTTGAATCCAAAGAATGACTCTCTGGTATGACCATTCACCTGCCAGACATTTTCCTTGTCTTAAAGTTTTTGGCTTGGATAAGTTGAGGAAAAGAGCATATATACACCATGGAATACTATGCAGCCATAAAAAATGATGAGTTCATGTCCTTTGTAGGGACATGGATGAAGCTGGAAACCATCATTCTCAGCAAACTATTGCAAGGACAAAAAACCAAACACCGCATGTTCTCACTCATAGGTGGGAATTGAACAATGAGAACACATGGACACAGGAAGGGGAACATCACACACCGGGGACTGTTGTGGGGTGGGGGGAGGAGGGAGGGATAGCATTAGGAGATACACCTAATGCTAAATGACGAGTTAATGGGTGCAGCACACCAACATGGCACATGTATACATATGTAACAAACCTGCACGTTGTGCACATGTACCCTAAAACTTAAAGGATAATAATAATTAAAAAAAAGAGGAAGCAGAGCAGAACTTCCACAATAGAGAAAATAATTCAATTCTATTATTTCATAGAATGGAGTCATTTAAAAGTTTGATTGTGATAAATATTTTTGAAAGATGTTACTTTAAAAAGAAGAAAAAAGGAAAATAACGAGAAAAGAAGAAGGAGAAGAGGTGGAGGAGGAGGAATAGGAGAGTAGTAAATAATTATTTAGGGCATTCATCCTCTTCATGTGATGTAATTGAAAGTTTAAACTGTGCAAATATTTGGTTTATAACTACACAACAGGTAAAAGATTAGTATAATCTTCCCCAAAGTTAAAGGATACTCTGTAACCTTGAAAAAGAAAAAGAAGTATGCATTGATGGTTTCATCCTTCCTTTTTAATGGTAAAACTTTATCTTTCTGGTTTAAGATATTTGGTGTAATGATTTTGAATTCCTAAAAATGCTATATCATTTAACTTCCCTGAGGCTATTGTTACAGTAACATCAATAGCAACACCACCACCACCACCACACACATAACCCCACAAATTGACGATGGTTTCAGTAACCAAAGTTTAATTCTCGCTCATATAAATAAACAAATGTTATTGTCTTTGGCGGGAAGAGTCAAGTGGAGACCTGTCCCACATCCAGGCTGAAGGAGCAAATGGGCTGGGACACTGTCATCTCCATGATAGAGAAGAGATGGCAGTACCACTCGTGGCTTTTGAACTTTTTTGTTGAAAGGGGTATACATCACTACTAATCACAATTCACTGGCTAACCAAGACACATGGCAAGGTTGCAATCTCTGGGAAAGTAAAATCCTCTCATTAAAGGAAGAAAAATGAAAATCACATGATCGTGCCTGATTATGGAGGAGGTGGAGAATCTTTCATAGGCAAGAAACATTTGGAAGTTGTACAGAGATGCTCTTCAACTTACGATGGGGTATACATCCTGATAAACCCATTGTAAGTTGAAAATATAAGTCAAAAGTGCACGGAATACACCTAATTTACTGAACATCTTAGATTAGGCTAACCCACCTTAAGTTGAAAATATCGTAAGTCAAAAGAGCACAGAATACACCTAATTTACTGAACATCATAGATTAGGCTAGCCTACCTTAAATGTGTGCAGAACACTTACATTCTCCTACAACTGGGCAAAAGCACCTGGCAACTCAGTATACTGTAGAGCATTGTTCATCCTGGTGATCCCGTTGTTGACTATGAGCTATAGCTCACAGCCTCTGCCCAGCATTGCTGGAGAGGATTGTCTTGTTTTCTACTGAGTGCAGATTGCTTTTGCACGTCCTAAAGTCAAGAAATTATAAGTCAAACCACAGTAAGTTAGGAACTGCCTGTAATGTAATCAACCACAAATACCTAAGCAATTAGAATTAGGACTAGTAGTTTGCAATCAAGAACAAGAATTAGAGGTTTCCTTTTTAAATGAATATGTCAAAATTGAAATTTGCCACTAAATCAGCATTTTAAAAGTCACTGCCCTTAGATATTCCATTCGAAATTTAGAACTTTAATATTTAAAAAGCATGGAGCCATTTGGTGATTGTCTTCTCCAGAACATTTAAATTCCTCCAGCATCAAAGAGTGTTATTTCCATACCTTTAAAAGCAACTTCATGCTTTTCTATATGGAATTCACTTTCAAACAAGAATATTTATTCTCCCCTGTTGCCAGGACCATAAGGTGAAAAGTGCTTCTCAGTAGTTGTCTCACCACTAATGGGAATTTTTAATCAAGAAATATTGTCATGCTAATCTAAAAGACTTTAAGACCTCAGTGTCACTGAAGCCTGAAATATCCCTGCATTTCCACATACAGAAATCTCTGAATAATGCAGTCCATCCCTAAAGAGGTATTATGCAAATGAATGAATTTAGTTAATATGTACTGTAAACAGATCACTTCTTCTATATTCCTTTCTAAATCACAGCAGAGATTAAAGCTGTAATACTCTTATTACCTAACAAAATAGCTAAACATTTAAAGTAGATCTGCAAAGAGCTTCAAGACCAAGATAACAGCCCCTTGAATTTGGATTGGGCTTTTCTTCCAAAGGTCGTAGCATCTTCTTACATGCTTTGTCCCAAACCCCAAGAAGGAACATTTCTCTTAGAAATGTAAGTTACACTGGCTTTCTCTGGCCACTAAGAGACTAGTATATATCTTACATTCCCCTATTACCAAATTCCCATCCAGTACTCACTGACAAATGCAACATTGCCAATCTTACATAACATACAAATGGGAAAAAAATCAAACTCAAGATGCAGAAGCGTTAGTAGAATGTCGTTGATTGTTTACTTCCAATTTAGTGTCCTCTCAGTGAGCTAATGTCAATCTCTATTAGAACTCCTCCCTGCCACATTGACCGATTTCAGCACTAGTAAATGATTTCAGATGAGAATGAAAACTGAATAATGATCTTTTCATTTGTCTTTCCAACCTTTATTGAATTCAGACAATGAAGTAGAATGCTATGGCTTTGGCTATATAATTTTAAAGGGTTGATTTTTATGATGGTATTTTTGAGCCATGATAAAAGTTGGATGATACTGACAGCAAAGCTTTTCCTCTCAATTATGCAGAAGCCAATTGATCAAACAGTGCTGGTTTCATTAAACATGCCCAGCATCCCCTTGGGATGGTGTATTGTCTGCCAGAGAACTTTCCATCTATTTCAAAGACATAAAAACAGAGCATGGATAAATGATAACTTTTAAATCAGCAAATTTGCTTTCACTTTTCTGTTTTTAATTTGCTATCAAATTGAGGCTGTATATTCCTTTATTGTTCAAAAACAGAGAGAACAAAAGAAACTCCAGTCCAGTTTTGTAGTTGAAGCAGAAAAGTTCTGCAACCTCACACAGGGGAAAGAGGCGAGGGAACAGATAAATCTACACTGGTCACTCTCAAGGAAAGGGAGACTCAATCACATACATCACAGCTTCCTTAGAGAGGAAAATAGGCCTCAGTGCAGCACTGAAAGGCAAGTTTTAACAGTGAAGAAAATTATTGGCTCAGAGTAGTGTAGCAGGCTGTAAGAAAATGTTGTCAGAGGGTGTTCCGTGTTCTTACTAATGGCCATTTTGATTTGCCATTGGTACATAATAGATGATTGTCCTTGAGGTGTGAAGAGGCCTGTAATGTTCAGAGTGGTAAAAAGACTTCCAGCACCCAGCATTCTCTAAGGCAGCTAGACCAGATATATGAGTGTCAGGAGAAAAACAGAATGTACTAGGAAATCTGAGATACAGCCTATGTATTCATCAGGTTTTCAAATGCCTATTTCACTTGTTCTTTGTCCTTTTTCAATGACACTTTTCTATTTCATTTCTGCTGTTTTGCATATCTCTTTTTTATTTTAATAAAATTATTTCTATTTTCATTCCTGTTTTCTTATATTGATGCTTCAATTTTCTCTAGTCTTTTTCCTTTTTTTGTCCTTTGTGATAAAAAGGAAAAAGGGCATCATTCTTTTTGTTTCCTACTGCTGTTTGTAACCTTTAACTTTATACAGAAACCTAGGGTTGTCTAAGTAATTATGGGATTTATAACAAGAGTGAAAACAATCAAATTGATTTTAAAAGATATGTTTCCATTTTCATCAACATGTATCAATTTTTCCCAAAGAAATATGTCATGATTAAGGCTGTTAATATTTTCAGAAGGTCCTTGTTGTGGTTTACAAAATAACGTTGTTATTCTGTGTTTTACTTTCTAAAATATTTTCACTGCATTTATTGATGGGCAATAAATAGAAATCATGGTAAAATTTTAAAGTATAGAGCCATTGAAATAAGAATATGATTACCACAATAAAAACCAAACTCCCTGTAGTGGAGTAGAATGGAAGTTCATCAAACTATATGTTCATATGCTAATCCCCAAATTGACGAATGTTTTCCTATTTGGAAAAAAGGGGTATTTCCAGGAACAATTAAATTAAGGATCTTGAGATGAAAAGGAGATCATCTTGGATTATGCAGGTAGACCTGAAATGTGATGACAAGTGTCTTTATAGGAAACACACAGAAGAGGAGAAAACATACGCACAGAGGCGGTGTGAAGACAGAGGCAGAGATTGGAATGACATGGCCATAAGCCAAGGAAGCCAGGGGACATCAACAGCCACCAAATGCCGGAGGAGGCAAGCAAAAGTTCTTCCCGAGAATCTCCAGATAGCAAGCCCCGGCTGACACCTTGATTTTGGACGTATGATCTTCAAAACTGTGAGAGAACAATTTTTGTTGTTTTTAGCCATCCAGTTTATAGAAATTTATTACAGCAATTGTAGGACACTAATGCATTTTCCAACATATATATATATACATCTCTCTCCCTCAAAATCCTCTGTATGAATTGTTAAGAGATACATATATATATGTATGTGTATATATATGTGTGTGTGTGTGTATATATATATATATATATATATATATATATATGGAGACCTTTTATAGACTGAAATAAGCATTCCATTTTATAGTTATTTATAAGCTTTTTCTCAAAGCACATTTGCAACCACATCATTTCCTTTGATGCCATATATAAATTTTCTTCAAGTTCTATTTGCGATTATCTTGCCTTGTGGCAGCGAGCAAAATGGAGAATCAGGTCTCTGTGTGAGCGGCAAATTTCCAACAGAAGATGTTGTTCTAATCTCTCCTCAGAAATTAGAAATAAAATCCTATTGAGGATATTTGCATTCATTTTGGGTTTACTTCTGTTTACAAGTACGTAGATGAGTTAGAAAGAGATTAGTATGTTGGTTGTGATATATAATACAGTATATAATTCTTAATCACTGATTATGTTTAAAACATTGATCCAATAAGTAAAACAAAGCATTTCAACTTTGTCCTTTGAGGTCTAACCCAACCCAAGTATTTCTTAATGCAGCCTGCCTGACCTCAACATTCTTGATCTTTCTTCCTACTCTATATTTCTTTCTTTTTCCATTTATCATCTATTATTTGTAGTATGTGTTTAATAATATTGATGATTTTGTTGTTGTTGTTGCTAATTGTCTGATAACCCAGCTTGAACACAGCCTCCACGTGGTTAGGAATCTTGGTATGCTCTGTTCCCTTATGTATCCTAAGCACCTGGAACAACACATGGTCCATGCTCAATATGTACTCAATAAATGAATGTACTCAATAAATGAACAATTAGAACCCCGGTTGCTCTCCTCTGCCAAGGTCTATGGGGAAATGAGATCAAACTAATGTGCTCGAAGGGAAGGAAAAATGAATAGAACAACTGCTTCTGAAGATCAAGAACATGGGAGAGGGCATAGGAGGGGAAATTAAAATTTGAGATGGCTGTGACTGTTGTGAGGCCCATTGTTGTTACAATGATTCTGTTATTATAGTTCTCTCCTAAAAATGAGTTAAATATTAAAATATTGAGGGGTGAAGTAAAGTATAACCAAAAAAGGACTAGTAACCCTGTATTCAAAATCATCCACATCCATCCTTAAGATTATTAGAAAGCCAAGAGCAGGAAAGGAAATGGTCAATTGTTTCTTTGCAGATTGTTGTTGTTCACAGTTCTACCTTTTCCCCTCATTGGGTTCTTCCCTTTTTTTGAAGTGCTCATTTGTGTTGAGTGATGAGTGAGATATAAGACGGTGTCTTAGTTTGTTCTGGCTGCTGTAACAAAATACCATAAACTGGGTGGCTCATTAAAAAATATATGTATTTCTTACATATAGAGGCTGAGACATCCAATATCAAGGTAACAGCAGATTTGGTGCCTGGTGAGGGCTTTCTGTTTCATAGATGGCACCTTCTTGCTATGACCTCACATAGTGGAAAGGGGAAGGCAGCTCTCTGGGGCCTCTTTTGTAAGGACACTAATGCCACTCATGAGGGCTACACCCTCACAACTCAATCACCTCCCAATGCCTGCCCTCCTAATATTACCACCTTGAAGGGTAGAATTTCAACATATAAATTTTGGGGGAATCATAAACACTCAGACCATAGTAGGAGGATTGAGGTGGTGTTATTTTTCTCATTGCATTTCTAAAGACACATTTGTTTTGTCTTTACAATAACTTTAGCAGAGGAAACAGATATTATTCCTATGTCACAGCTAATGAAGCTGAGGTTAGAACTATTGAAGGACTTACACAAGTTTACATGTCTAGGTAATTTGGCAAAGGGTTTACGAATTTTTGATACTGACTTTTCAGTTCTTTGTCTCTCTAGTAATCTCTTTTTCACATCTGTTTTCTAGCTCACTAATTCTGTGAAATAGATTCTATCCTTTCATTTATCCATATATTTTTTTTATTTAAACAAGTAAAGAATTTCAGATCAGAATTTGAAATCAGTACTCGCAGGTTAAAATTTATGTCTGCCACCTAATCATTATATGATTTTGAGAAAATTACTCAAGATCTCTGACACTCCTTTTACATGTCTGCAGAATATGAACAATAGATTGTCATACATTATTATTATTTCCCATTATTATTGTTTTAAATTTACTCTCATATTTACAATTTTCTGTGCTCTTTATTATTTCCTGAATGTCACATATTCATTCTGAGATCCCTTTTCTTATGTCTGAAGCATATACTTTAGAATTTATTTTACTATGAATGTGCTGAGTACAAACTCAGTTTGTGTTTGTCTGCTCTTGCTATTGAAAGAAATTTTCACTGCTCATAAAATATTGGTTAGATAAACATTATCTTTTAGCACATTATCTTCAGTATGACGTCACTGTCTTCTGGTTTCCACTATTGCATATGCAAAGACAGCTGTCAATCTAACCATTTCACAATTAAAATGAATCTGTTCATTCTGACTGCTTCTAAGATTTCTGTTTTTGGGTGTTCCATACTTTCACAATGTATAAGGTGGGTATTTTTTCTTTGATTATCTTGCTTGAGGTTTTTGGGGCTTTCCACATTGGTTTTGTGATTCCATCAGTTCCATAAATTTTTGAATACTATACCTTCAAATAGTTTCATTGTCGTACTCTCTTTCTCTTCTACTTTTAGAAGTAAAATTAGATGTATATTAAACCTTCTAACTTTGTTCTTTACATAACAACACCTTTTCTATTTTATATTTTGTATCTCTTTCTTGTCTTTCTTTAGATCTAACTTCTATTTTATTAATTTCTTACCTAATTTCTGTTAAAATTGTCCACTGAGTTCTAATTTCAATTATTTAGGTTTTCATTTCTAGATGTTTATTGTGTTATTTTTCAACAATTCTTTATTATTATTATTTCTTATTTGCTGCACAAATTTCAAGATTTCATTTTATATCATTAAACATAATAGTCATTTTAAAGTCTGAAGGTTTTTGAAATGTATATTACATATTTTACTATTTTCAACAGGCAAGGCTATTCAAGTATCTAGCCCACCATGTCATTAAACCAACATGAAAATGGAGGTAATACTCCAAGCTCAGAATTGTTATGAGGATTAAGTAAGGCTATGTATGAAAACTCACAGTTTGGCACAGAATAAGCATGTGGTACATGTAAACAGTTTTTACTATTCAAAATTTATAACAATTATTTTAAGTTGAATACGGGTTAGAGCATTAGAACTTTCCTTAAATCTTTAATGTAGCAATTATCAACCTCTGTTTTGAAAAATAGTTACAGAATGCACTGGGTTATTTATCCTTTTCTAAGAGTTACAACAAATGACATGACTTAGGGCAAAAACACACCAATGCAAAATATTACAGGCCATTGATGCATTTCTCTAATTATTCATATTGTAGGTCTTCAACTACAGTCCTTTTCTTTCTTCCTTTGTAAAATGCCCTGAAAATGTACACATTTGCTCTGTGTAGTAGTCAACTCAGGCTGCCATAACAAAATACCATAAATTTCTTTAAATGAAAGAAATGTATTTTCTCACAGTTCTGGAGACTGGGAAGTCCTAGATCAAAGTGTCAGCTAATTTGTTTCCTGATGAGCATTCTCCTCCTGGCTTGCATTTGGCGACCTTCTCACTATGTCTTCACATGGCAGAGAGTGAGGGAGAAAGCGGTCTTCCCCTTCACTTAAAGCCACAGCTTTATTAGATTAGGGCCCCACACTTAAGACCACATTTGAATAATTACCTCTTAGGGATCCCATCTCCTGATACAGTCACACTGGGGGATACGGTTCCTACACATAAATTTTGAGGGGAAACAATTCAGTCCAGAACACCCTGCTTTTTTGTGCAAAGTATGAAGACTCCTAGAAATGTAAATTTAGGTCACTCACACTGTAATATATTCATTCACAATCTATTAATCTGTAAGATAGTAAGTATCTGATATGGTTTGGCTGTGTCCCCACCCAAATCTCATCTTGAATTGTAGTTCCCATAATCCCTACATGTTGTGGGAAGGACCCAGTGGGAAGTAGTTAAATTATGGAGGTAGTTACCCCCATGCTGTTCTCATGATAGTGAGTGAGTTCTCATGAGATCTGATGGTTTTTCAAGGGGCTTTCCCCACTTTGCTCAGCACTTCTCTCTCCTACTGACACCACCATGTGAAGAAGGACGTGTATGCATCCTTTTCCACCATAAGTTTCCTGTGGCCTCCTCAGCCATCTGGAATTGTGAATCAATTAAACCTCCTGCCTTTATAAATTACCCTGTCTCAGGCAGTTCTTTATAGCAGCATGAGAACAGACTAATAGAGTATCATTGAATTTTACCAGTTTAACACACTAACTATTGCAGATGTTTATCTTTAAATCACTAAATTATATATTCCATATATCTTAGCTCACTATTCAAGAACTCCTTTTTTGGGTCATTGTGTCAGTGATATCTGGTCATGAGTTCCTGTCATGGTTAATATTGAATGTCAACTTGATTGGACTGAAGGATGCAAAGTACTGTTCCTGGGTGTTTTTGTGTGGGTGTTGCCAAAAGAGATTAACATTTGAATCAGTGGGCTAGGAGAGGCAGACCAACCCGCAATCTTTCTGGGCACCATCTAATCAGCTGCCAGCATGGCAAGGATAAAAGCAGGAAGAGGAAGTTGGAAGGACTAGACGGGCTAAGTCTTCCAGCCCTCATCTTTCTCCAGTGCTGGATGCTTCCTGCCCTTGAACATTGGACTCCAAGTTCTTCAGCTTTAGGACTCCTGGACTTACACCAGAGGTTTGCCAGGGGCTCTCAGGCCTACAGCCACAGACTGAAGGGCCCACTGTCAACTTCCCTACTTTTGAGGTTTTGGAACTGGAACTAGCTTCCTTGTTCCTCAGCTTGCAGATGGTAAGGACTGAAGTTGGACTTCACCTTGTGATCATTTGAGTCAATTCTCCTTAATAAACTGCTTTTCATATATACATCTCTCTCTCTCCTATTATCCCTGTCCCTCTACAGAACTCTGGCTAATACAGTTCTTGGGTGAAGATACAGAGAAAAGAACTAAAAAAATGGAAATGTAAATACTGATAGAAAAAGAAAGCCATCCTTGAGAGAAACAGAAAGTCAATACACCATATAGAAAAATGAGTTTTTAAGAAGATTTAAAATTAAGCTATTTAATTTGTGGAATATATAATAGCAGAAACTCATAAAAATGTGACTAATGCATTATCAGAAAAATGAGACAGCTATTCCAGAGATATTTTATAACTGAAGGTGTATATGATAGCATAATTCATTTTGAGGCAGGCTGTTCTAATAGACTCTATGTAACCTTTGGACTTGGATATACATGAGTTTGTACCTTGGACCTGACATAAAATTTAACGGTCGAATATTGGCTATCCTACTCATCATCTTTTGTCTAAAACACTGCAACCCCTGGAAATACTAATATCTAAGTCGACTTGCTGAATGAATAAAATTAAGTAAGAAAAAACAGAAGCATGTATATAACTGGTGCTTTCATATATATATATTATATATAATATAATATATATATAATATATTATATATAATATAAAATATATATAATATATTATATATAATATAAAATATATATAATATATTATATATAATATAAAATATATATAATATATTATATATAATATAAAATATATATAATATATTATATATAATATAAAATATATATATTATATATATAAAATATATAATATATATAATAATTATTTATAATAATATATTATATATAGGTTTTATTCAGTTTTAGTTTTCTTATCTATAAAATGTGATATTATATATATTAAATATATAATTATATATAATAATTATATATAATAATATATTATATATATATAGGTTTTATTCAGTTTTAGTTTTCTTATCTATAAAATGTGATAATCTCCCTGGTTTGTTTTCCTGAATAAATAAAATTATTTATATAAGGTATTTAGTTCAATGGCTGGCACAAAGTAAATACACAAGAGTTATATTTTTTCTTTCTTTTCTCTTTCTTATTTTTTCTCATTTATGCTAGTTAATTGAAATTAATCATCAATAAAAATATGACAGAAAGAAAAGAGGGCCAAAGACAAAACACTGGGAAAATCTTACACTAAAATTTGAAAAACCTGAGAGAAACCAGCAAAATATTTAAAGTAGTCACAAACGCAGGAGGAGAAAATCAGTTGGGCAGAATGTTCAGGATGTTGAAGGTACACAGACATTATAAATAAGAATCAGACAACAATATTAAAGTCAAAAGAGGAATAAGAATTTTAGAGTGCTAAGAAAAGGATATTGATTTTGCAATTTGAAACTTGCTGGTTTCTTTGAAGAACAGTTTTAACAGAATAGGAGGAGAGGAAATCACATTGTGTGGAATGGTTGAAAATGTGGGAAGTGTGTTATGGTGATAAAAGAATGAAGAGAGAGTGTGATTGTCTGCAGGAAACCAAGACCAAATGGGTTATTTTCCTCCCCTTAAGAAAAAATATTTTACGTATTTATGAAATGTAGTTAGGGAAAATGGTTAATTTAAGAGTGAGAAAAGTAAGACAGGAAGGGAGGGGTCAAAGGCGTAGGTGAAGACAGTCATTTAGCAAAGAAAGCACATTCCTTCCTTCTGAACAGGCAGAAATGAAGGAGGAAGAACTGACAGAATGAGATGGTAGAGTTTTAAAGGGTTAAGGGTGTTGCATAGGAAGATATTTTGACAAGGAAGAGATAGACTATGAAAGTGGACCCTGGATGACTGTTTTTTCTCAATGAATAGGAGGTGAGTTTCTCTCCAGGAGAGTCAAAGAACACTGTTTTCTGCTGTGGAAGCTCACGGAAAAGTACCAAACAATATGTAACTGTTCCTGAATTTTCAGAACTTGGGATAGTGGTGCATATTTAGTGCTTAAAAATCACTGCTGAGTTGAAACGCACACTTCAATCTTGAGGAGAATGGAAATGGTTTGGAAGAGCCAACATAAGAAAGCAAAAAGAAAAAAGAAAGAATTAACACACACACAATTGAACAGTTTTGGTGACAGCTCAATTGAAGTTAGAGAACATAAATTTGAAGTAGACCTAGCCTTGGAAGATAACTCCTATTTTAAATCCTAAGGGAAGCCAGGTAATGAAATCCATTAAGAATACACTACCCAGTTGAAAGTTGAAAAGGAGATTAGGGAAGACAAATGTAATTACCCGACTTGTAATTTGGTCAAGACACCAAGGTTAATAACATTCTTCGTTTTTCAAAAGTTGCCATGAACTTTTTAATACCTTATAATGGCCAGTGTCACAATTTTTATTCCTTATACAAGAGATGAACTCTTCAATATGCATTTTTAAATGTTAAGCATGTATGTACGGATATGTATTCCCCATTACACATGCACATACATTTGCACATATATAAATATTAGAAAATGAATTTTTTTAACTAAGTAAAATGCTTAGATGGAAAATAGTTGGCTTTTTCCATTGCAAATCTGTTGAGGAGTTTTGAGTAAAACTAAACGCTTTTATGACAGTTAAAAGTGGAGATTAATGTTTAGGCCACAACATTATTTAGAGGTTAAGAGTCTGGTCATCAGAGAGACTTCAGTTCAAGCCAGACTGACATAGACCAGTTACATATCCTCTTTAAATTCATCTTACTTCTTTACAATAAAGAAATAAACTATATTATATCATAGAAACTTTGAAGGAAAGGTAAAGCATATAGAATGTTTAACATAAATATATTATCAATAAATATTAATTATATAACCTATTAATAATATTTAGTTGGTGCTTCTTTGATCTCAAGTATTGATATATGAACCAGTAATTATAGAAAGTAAAGTTCAGAAAATGTCATCACTCTTTGGTAATGTCAGAATATGGAACAACCAGCTACCTTATATATTTATTATGCTAAACTCTTCTGGTATACATGTATCTTTCTTGGTATAAATGTTGACCTATTTGCATTTGTATAATAATGATCCATTTTATTAAAGGATCCTACCATTTGTTTAATTTTGAAGACAATGTTGAAGTGGTATTAAGCATTAAAACTACATAAATAGTACAGTGATTCTTCAATATCTCTTCAGAAATTATCTTCTCTCTTGAGTAAAGCATATTTGTGTTTGGCAAATTCCATATTCCTAAAAATATGAGAAAGCTTTAAATAACTAAACAAAATCAAATTTCTGAAATCAGGAGAAAAACAAAAAAATATATATAGAGAGAGAGAGCATGTTACTGGCATTAAGGAACAAAAGCAAAACTCACTTTTTTATACATTGAGGAACATTGATTTGACTAGGAAAAGGCAATAAAATGATAAACTCAATACTCTTCATGCAATCCACATTGTAAAAGTACTTGAATAAATGTCATGATTAATTTTACTAGTATAGTTATTATCATTAGCTATCATTTATTATAATAATAAATTATTTTATTCTTTAATCATATGTGACAACTAGTTTCAATATTAAAGAAAACTAACTTTCCAGCATTGTTTAAGAAAATATACTGGATGACATAGCTATAAACAATATTATACAAACAACTTAGTGTTGCCATTACCCTTTCCTCTTAAAATGCCTTTAAAAGAAGAGTGAGAGGAACTGTTTAAGAAATGAACAATGTGGACACAGGGAGGGGAACATCACACACCAGGGCCTGTTGGGGGTGGGGGGCCAGGGGAGGGATAGTGTTAGAATAAATACCTAATATAAATGATGAGTTGATGGGTGCAGCAAACCAATATGGCACATGTATACCTATGTAACAAACCTGCACGTTGTGCACATGTACCCTACAACTTAAAGTATACCAAAAAAAAAAAAAAGAAAGAAATTAACAAGGCAGGGCACAGTGGCTCATTTCTGTAATTCCAGTACTTTGGGAGGCCTAGGTGGGAGGATCACTTGAGCCTAGAAGTTTGAAATCATCCATAGCAAGATCTGGTCTCTCTATAAAAAAAAAAAATTAGCTGGGCATGGTGGTGTGCCCTTGTAGTACCAGCTACTCTAGAGGCTGAGGTGGGAGGATCCCTTGAGCCCAGGAGTTTGAGGCTGCAGTGAGGTATGTTCCTACCATTGCACTACAGCCTGGAAGACAGAGAGAGATCCTGTCTTGAAAGCAAGCAAGGAAGGAAGGAAGGAGGGAAGGGGGAAGGAGGGAGATTGGAGGGAGGGAGGAATGGAGGGAGGGAGGGAGGAGAAAAAAAGAACATAATATATGTCTTTATCAAGCTACAGTTCATATCCAAATATTTTAATCACAACCCTTTTATTCAAACTAGCTTAAGCAAAAATGCATTTGATTAGCCTCAGTAAATAGGAATTCTGGGGCATGGAGCTATTATCTTAAAGATTATTAAATCTCTCTCTTTCATACACATGCTTAGCACTCTTTATTTTCAGTGCAGTTTATCTCTGTGTTGATATCTTTCCCACTTGTTGAAGAAAATGGCTGAACATAGTTTCAGACTTTCATCAAGTCAGCTTAAGAACTACTGAATAAAGAGAGAAAGTGCTTTTCCCAGTGCCTTTACATAAAATCCTGGACATCTATTTGCCTTGGGCTTTGTGTCCATTTGTGAACTAATCACTATGACCAGGATAATGGAGCTTTGATTGCACAGGTATGGGTCAAATGCCCAGCTATACGTTGGCAGGAACTGGAAAACTACGTATGATTCGTAACCATATAAACCAGAAACCTATTGAACAGAGAAGAGATTGTCCCTAAAGCAAATGGAATCATGTTGTCAGAAGAATGGAAGGAAGAATATTATGTAGATAAAATTGGCAGCTACATTAATTTTGTGATAGGTTTCCATTAAATTAATAAAGACAAAGTGGAATTACAGAAAACATTACACAAAAATAAATACATTTTGCACAATATGTTATGCACTGTGATGAAGACCCTGTGTTAGCTTTGTATAGGACTTTTTTCAAATCACTGACACTCTCTGTAATTTAGTGTCTTCAATTATAAAACTAGGAAGCTCAACTTTCAACTTACCTTCACTAGATTCAAAACATTATAGCTTTTAGGTAAGTCCAAAGGTATGTTTCCTGGATATTCTCAATTTAAAGGGAAGTGGTAGAGGTGGGTATATAATAGGCTTTCGGGTCACATGTATCTATGCCTTAGATCTGTCATTTACTAGATGTTTAAACTTGTACAAAGAAGCAGTTTCTTCTTTTATATAATGGCGGTAGAGAGATAGCTATATCACCTACATCATAAAGGTGGTTGTGATGAATACTTGAGATAATCACAGTGTCTGTCATGTAAACACCATTTAATAAATGTCAGATTTTTTTTGTAATTACTGCTATTATTTGTTGTTTCTATGCCTTTCAGAAAAGATTTTACATATTCCTCATTCACTACATGTCTAAATACTCAACATTTTTTGAATATAAAAATATTTTAAAAATTATTCTTCAACCAATTTATGAATTCAGTTGGTGATAAATCAAAAGTGAAGTGTTTTTTAAAATAACCTGCAACAACATCAGGAAGTTATAAAAAGCTCAAGTTCAATTCCTTCTAGAGTATTTGGAATAACATGTTTTCTGTTCAGACTAATTATGGGGTCACAGAAAGCAAGAATGCTACCACTTACTTCTCTTCTTTCTCTTGCCCCAGTAAATGGGAAGGGAGGGAAAGTGGAGCAGTCATTATGGACATCTCTCCATAGAATGATGTCATTAAAAAAATTCTCATCAGAAAATGACACTTAACTGACATGAAAAGTTAAATACTGTTTTACGTTAAGTGGCCATCACCAGCATTTTCAAGAGCTAATGAAAGGAAAGTACATTTCTTTTTTAAAAGCACTTGTTGAACACTATAAATTCAAAATGACCTTTATGTAATTGCAGAAAGAGGGATGGAGAATCTTCTGTGATTTGTATTATATCTTCTAATGTAAAGTTTTGACTATTTTATGAGGGACCAGCATGAGATGAATAGCATCGAATTCAAAGAAGCAGCAGGAAAAAAAGTGAAAGAATGAATGGATGCCAGACACATTGCCTATTTTTTCAGTTATTAGTGGGTAGGATTGATAGCTCCCATCGAAGCCTCACTTTCTTTTTATTTTTAATATACATATTTATCTGTAAATATATTAAGTCAATACACATATACATTTACAGATACACCATATACATATTTTGACTGAATACCTAATGGCTACTTCGAAATTATGTTGAAATTAAGATTGATCCAAAACAAAGACTGAAGCCAAATATCTCTATGTACAGAACAAACTGAATGAACTCTGTGATGTAAGAGTCCATCTAAAATGAAAGTAATGAAAACAAGGAACTGTAGCCAATTCAAAAGGCCTAAACATATAGTGACTATGCACAGGAAAATAGGAAAACTTATTTTATATTTGTGACAGTGTAACTTATTATCAACACTTTGGATGATGGGTAATATCCAGTGAATGTCCCCTGAGCCCATAATTCCATGTCTCCACATGAACTCTGAGGAATACCTGGGTTTGTGCATAGATAGTGTGTGTAAGTATGCTCACCACAGCAATGTTTGCAGCAAACAACCAGAAAAAGCAAGCCATAAATATCTATAAGATAAATGGATTTTCAGCTCTTAAACACATTGGTAAACCTCAGAAATATTTAATTAAGTAAAAAAAGCAGATAAAAATTACATGATCATATTTACATGTATTTTATGAAAGACATAGATATGTAGTTAAAAATTAAAAAAAAAAATAGTTGCCTCCAGAGTGGAAAGAGACTAATAATGACACTGAGGAGAGAATTGAGAATTCAACATTTTAAATAATCATTACAAAAAATTTTGAAATAGAGTAATGACACCGTAGTGGGTAAACATGTGAAGGCTATATTATCCTGCTTATTTTCTGTATGTTTTAAACCTTTAAATTAAATTCAAGGAACATTTACTAAATTTACCTCTCTAGTGTTCTATTACAAAATTAATGTGAATATAAATGATTCTCTAATAATCACTACTTCTACTATTGGCATATTTTGGAGTCTTCAAGTTAAATGAAGAAAGATAAATAGCAATGATAAAACAAAGGATGCTGTTGTTTCTTTCTATCAAGGTTAAGAAAAAATGTAAATTTAAAAATAAAGCTACCCTTCTTGTGATTTATAAGACTAAATTGAGCCCAAGTCTGTGTCTGTGTATGTGTGATTAAGGGAAAAATAGGAATTGAAGATGTAGAAGCTGCAAGTGAGTGAAGTGACTTTAAATCTTTTGATTACTGAAACCACTGATCTTTAAATATTAAAACACTTTTAGATAACAAAGACTGCATTGCACCTTTTTTGTATTTTTCAAAAGAACACTGAGCCTATTGAAAGTTGTTTAAAGTTTTATTTCCTTTTTTTTTTTTTTTTTTTTTTTTTTTGAGACAAGGTCTCACTCGCTCACCCAGGCTGACGTGCACTGGCACAATCACAGCTCATTGCAGTGCTGACCTCCCCCCTTCAGCCTCCTCAGTAACTGGGATTACAGGTGTGAGCCACCACACCTAGGCAACAATTTTCTTAATTATACTAACTTACTGATGTTGAGGTGCTTCATAAACATTTCATTTCACATGTTGAGATTTATCTTTGTCATTAAGCTATGCACATTTGATGTGATAACTCTCCAGCTCTATGCATTACATAGCTAGCAAGTTGGATAAATATAAGGGCCAGAGTAGCTTGGGATTCCTACATATTCCTGTAAAGAATGTTGTTTTTTATATTTTATGTATAATTCAAAAGAAAACCTAAAGCTTCACAAGTTCTTAATTTTTTTCTTAAGTGTGTTATGTTACAAAATTTTTCACGTTCTGTCACTAATTTGAAAATATCCAGAAATTATAAAATGTAATCTTGAATATTGTTTTCTATCAAATATTGAATAAACAAATATATTCCACATAAATTTAGCTATCCTTATTAATAGTAGTTCTTTATATTCCTGATATGGTTTGGCTCTATGTTCCCACCCAAATCTCATCTTGTAGCTCTCAGAATTCCCACATGTTGTGGGATGTGGGAGTGACCCTGTGGGAGATAACTGAATCATGGGGGTGGGTCTTTCCCATGCTGTTCTCCTGATAGTGAATAAGTCTCATGAGATCTGATGGTTTTACAAATGAGAGTTTCCCTGCACAAGCTCTCTTTGCTCACTGCCATCCACATAAGACATGACTTGCTCCTCCTTGCCTTCCATCATGATGGTGATGTCTCCCCAGCCACGTGCAACTGTAAGTCCATTAAACCTCTTTCTTTTGTAAATTGCCTAGTCTTGGGTATGTCTTTATCAGCAGCATGAAAATGGCCTAATACAGTAAATTGGTACCAGTAGAATGGAGCACTGCTGAAAAGATACCTGAAAATGTGGATGTGACTTTGGAACTGGGTAACAGGCAGAGGCTGGAAGAGTTTGGAGGGCTCAGAAGAAGACAGGAAAATATCTCCCTAGAGACTTGTTGAATGGCTTTGACCAAAATGCTGATAATGATATGGACAATGAAATCCAAACTGAGGTGGTCTCAGATGGAGATGAGGGACTTGTTGGAAACTGGAGCAAAGGTGACTCTTGCTATGTTTTAGCGAAGAGACTGGCAGCATTTTGTCTCTGCCCTAGAGAGTAGAGGAACTTTTAACTTGAGAGAGATGATTTAGCATATCTTGCAGAAGAAATTTCTAAGCAGAAAATCATTCAAGAGGTGACTTGGGTGCTGTTAAAGGCATTCAGTTTTAAAAGGGAAACAGGGCATAAAAGTTTGGAAAATTTGTAGCCTGACAATGCAGTAGAAAAGAAAATCCCATTTTCTGAGGAGAAATTCAAGCTGGCTGCAGAAATTTGCATAAGTAATGAGGAGCTGAATGTTAATCACCAAGACACTGGGGAAAATATCTCCAGGGCATGTCAGAGACCTTTGTGGCAGCCCCTCCCATCACAGGCCTGGAGGTTTAGGAGGAAAAAAATGATTTCATGGGCCAATCCTAGGGTGCCTCTGCTGTGTGCAGCCTAGTAACTTGGTTCCCTGCATCCCAGCCACTCCATCCATGACTAAAAGGGGTCAAGGTACAGCTTGGGCTGTGGTTTCAGAGGGTGCAATGTGGGAGTTCAGTCAGGCAGGTGGGAAAAATTTTAAGATGAAATTATAGGAATTGAACACAAACCCTTTTGGAAGGCCTGGGGGTTTGCATAAAGGGTTTGGCTGAAGGCAGCTGAAATCTCTTAAAAGCTTAGGGGGTAGATACATAAGAATGTAGAGTAATTTATCTAAATAGCTTGTTTACTCATGTGGTCCTAAGACAACCTTTGATCAACCCCGGTGTGCATAACTGCTCTCTACTCAGGGAGTCGGCAACCAAGTCAATTATACTCTAGTGGTGTTTACTCAAGACCTTTGTCATTTAATCTATATTGAATAAATGTGAGCTTCGCTGGCTGAATGAAGCCACAGGTGCTACTCTTTACAGCACCTTCTTTGGTGACTGTGAGTGGGCCAAGACCCTTAGCAGGACTGACAGGTAGCATATCTTTGTCAGTGTACATTATTGATCTGTCGTTGGGTCGGGGTCTGTGGAATGGACCCCTGCATTGCAAGCCTCAAGATTTGGCAGCTTCCACATGGTGTTGAGCTTGCAAGTGCACAGAAGTCAAGACTCAGGGTTTGGGAACCTCCACCTAGATTTCAGAGGATGTATGGAAATACCTGGATGCCCAGGCAGAAGTTTGGTGCAGGGATGGGGCCCTCATGGACAACCTCTGCTAGGACAGTGCTGAAGGGAAATGTGGGGTCAGAGCCCCCATATGGAGTCCCTACTGGGGCACTGCCTAGTGGAGCTGTGAGAAGAGGACAGCCATCCTCCAGACCCCAGAATGGTAGATCCATTGACAGCTTGCACCGTGCACCTGGAAAACCCACAGACATTCAACACCAGCCCATGAAAGCAGCCAGGAGGGAGGCAGTATCCTGAAAAGCCACAAGTGCAGAGCTGCCCAAGACCATGGGAGCCCACCTCTTGCAGCAATATAACCTGAATGTGAGACATGGAGTCAAACGAGATCATTTTTTAGCTTTAAGATCTGACTTCCCCACTGGATTTTGGACTTGCATGGGGCCTGTAGCCCCTTTGTTTTGGCAATTTCTCCCATTTGGAATGGCTGTATTTACCCAATGCCTGTATCCCCATTGTATCTAGGAAGCAACTAACTTGTTTTTGATTATACAAGCTCATAGGCAGAAGGGACTTGCCTTGTCTCACATGAGACTTCAGACTATGGACTTTTGAGTTGATGCTGAAATAAGATTTTGGGGGACTGTTGGGAAGGCATGATTGGTTTTGAAATGTGAAGACATGCGATTTGTGAGGGACTGGGACAGAATGATATGGTTTGGCTCTGTTTCCCCACTCAAATCTTATCTTGTAGCTCCCATAGTTCCCATGTGTGGTGGGAGGTACCCCATGGGAGGTAACTGAATCATGGGGATAGGCCTTTCCCATGCAGTTCTTGTGACAGTGAATAAGTCTCATGAGATCTGATGGGTTTAAAAATGAGAGTTTCCCTGTACAAGCCCTCTTTTTGCATGCTGCCATCCATGTAAGATGTGACTTGCTCCTCCTTGCCTTTCACCATGATGGTGAGGTCTCCCCAGCCATGTGCAACTGTAAGTCCATTAAACCTCTTTCTTTTGTAAATTGCCCAGTCTTGCGTATGTCTTTATTAGTGGCAAAAAAACAGACTAACACAATCTCCAAATAATTTCTATATTCAATAATATTTCCAAAATATTTCACACATTGATAAATACTATTTAGACTGTTTTCACCTAATGTATTTTTGACTCTTCACCTCTACTAGATTGATAAGTAATTTTATCCCAATATTGAAGATATAGGAAATTCTAGATTTCATACTCTGAGTGAAGAAAAAGCAACAGATTATAAAATTATAAACTGAAAATTTTCATGGTTATACAAATAGACATGTCAAACTGTATTGGAGATATATTACTGCCTGATTAGGCAGTAATATATGACTTCCAAGTTCGCTCAAAAAAATGCTTTAGATTCTTTGTTAAACCGTAACATTTCTCCATGTTCTAAAAGTTTAATGAAAACTGTTGTCCATATAGTCACTATAGTTAATAACAGTGTATTGTATACTTGCAAATTGCTAAGGGAGGAGATGTTTTGTTTTCACCACAATAAACATGGTGATAAGTATGTGAGGTTATTATATGGTGATTAGCTTGATTTAGCCATTTCACAATGTATTCATTTTTTAAAACATCATGTTGTACACCATAAATATATATGATTTTTAACAATTTTTAACTAAATAATTTTTTTAAATCCCTGGAGATACTGGGACATAAGCTACACTTCTGCCTTAGGAGAGATAGGCTTTCAAGACAATTTTATGCATAGCTTAAAGGTTACATCTACTCAAGCAAGCTAAGGACTTAGGGGATGTCCAGGTGGCTCATATCTTAGTTATAATCTTTCTTACATTGAAAATGTCTTGGTCTTAAAGTTATAAGTATTTATATATGCTATACACATAAAATATTTCATATACACACAAAATATACATATTTGCCTTGAGCCTCACTATTTTACAATGAACTAGCAACACTTTAGAGGAACAAAACCAGTTTAAAAGAACAGATGTTTTCTACCTATGCTGCCACATTGTCTTTTACTAACATGAACTCTCAGGAAAGACAAGTTCATATGTAGACAAGAGGAGATTTGCCAGTTGTGTTGATTAGAATGTTCCAAGGAAAGTCCCACTGGGAAAATAGTATTTTCTCCAACTAAATGCCAAATGCTTAAGAATAAATAGTTATTTAGTTGGGTCCATCCTAGTCCTCAGTGGAGAACCACTATTAAACTACAAATACTCTAGGAAGGAAAAAAGTAGAACACAATAATGAAACAGGTAGCCACAGCCCTACACAGTAAACAACTAGACAATCAGAGAAGACTACATTGGCTACATTAAGCATTTAACATGATGACAAAATCCAGATATGGATGATGTGTTCTAATGGTGTCTTCCTGCCCTATTGACAATTGGAAGCAGAGAAATGAAAAATCATTTCAGAAGTAACTGATAGTTACACCCAAATACAGGGATGAAGGCAACTAAAGTAATTGCAAGAATAGGTTGACCATGGACTTTGATATGAAGACAAGCCTAGATTATTCAGTTCTGCAAAGTGAAGAGAGACCATATTAAACACTGTATACATTTGTATATTATTGTAAGGGAACCATTTTTTTCTCTCATCATACAACAAAATAGAAGTAGAAGACAGAGCTCCTTAAAATTACAGCAAGGCAGAATTAAGATAAACAAAAGGATCCATTATCATAAAAGAAAAGTATTGTAGTCAGAAGCACAGATGAAAACCAAAGAATGGGGGCAAATTGATAAGTGTTTCTATGATAAATCACCATTAGAACACCTAGGATATAGAAATATAACACTGGAGACAGCTGTCAGCCTCCTCTTGGCAGAGAAGCAGGGGGTAGTTTAGAATCATTATTGACAATAAAACTATGGACAGAGTTGATGTATAACACATATAGAAATTTCCATGTCTCAATAAATAGTCAAAACACTGGGATTCCACTTTTAATTAAAAATTCAGCTTTAAAAAAAGGAATAAAAATTCTGCTGAAACTCACTCTAAGGTACAACATTGTGCCCTCAGGGATTCTCAGCATTGCTAAGGCATTCAGTGTTTTCCAATGCCTGAAATCTTTACTGAGCATATACAATATATTCTGTACCAGACACAGTAAATAAGACACACATGGGTTCTGTCCTCACTGAGCTACAATGTATAAGGTAGATGATCTACAAGAAATTATATTTATTATATTGCTGTTATAACATTATAACAGCATTTAAAAATTATATTTTTAAAAAATTATATTTATTACATTGCTGTTATAACAATACTGTCTTAAAAGAAAGGCATGCTATGCTGTAGAACTAAAGAGCAGGAATATAGAGCATATGATAAGGGGTAATCAAGGGTGTGAATCAGAATAGGTTTCCTGGTCTTAAAAAATTCAGCTGAAAGCTAATCCATATAAACAGTAAGGCAGAGAACTCCTTGACACTGGTTTTGGCAATGATTTTTTGAATATGGAAACATAAACAAAAATTAATGAGTAGGACTGCCTCACATTAAAAGCTTCCACAGGCCAGGTGCGGTGGCTCACACCTGTAGTCCCAGCACTTTGGGAGGCCAAGGTGGGCAGATCACTTGAGCTCAAGAGTTCGAGACTAGCCTGGGCAACATGGTGAAACCCTGTCCCTACAAAAAATACAAAAATTGCCAGGCTTGGTGGTACAAGCCTGTAATTCCAGCTATCCGGAAGGCTGAATTGGCAGTATTGCTTGAGCCAAGGAGGTCGAGGGTGCAGTGAGCCAGTATCATGCCACTGCATTCCAGCCTGGGAAACAGAGTAAGACTTTGTCTCAAAAAAATAATAATAATAAAAAAAGAAAAGAATAGAAAAAGCTTCTACACAGTAAAGGAAACAATTAACAATATAAACAGGTGGTCAATGGAATAGGAGAAAATATTTACAAATCATGTATTTGATAAGGGATTCGTATCTAAAATATGTAAGAAATCCATACAAGTCAAATAAATAAATAAATAAATTTTAAAAATGGCCAAAGGATCTGAATACACATTTCTCCAAAGAAGATACACAAATGGCAGCCTGCAGGTACATGAAAAAGTGTTCACCATCACCTCACTAATTATCAGGGAAATGCAAGTCAAAACCACAATCACTTCGCATCTGTTTGAATGGCTATTATAAAATACAAAATAAACAAGAGATAACAAAGTTTGGCAAAGATGTGGAGAAAAGGGAATCCTTGTACATCATTGGTCAGAGAATAAATTGGTACAGCCATTATGGAAAAAATATAGAAATTCCTTAAAAAATTAAAATAGAAATACCATGTGATTTGCCAATTCCCTTTCTAGATATATATCCAAAGGAAACAAAATAAGTTTCCAGAAGAAATATCTTCACTCCCATGTTCATTGCAGAATTATTCATAATAGCCAAGATATGGAAACAACCTAAGTGTCAGTCAATGGATGAATGAGTGAAGAAAAGCAATATATGTATACCATCGAATATTATTCAGCCAAAAACAGAAGACAATACTGACATTTTTGACAATATGGATGAAACTGAAGGGCATTATGGTAAGTGGAATAAGCCAGAGAGAGAAAGATACACACTGTATGGTATCATTTGTGTGTGAAATCTTTTTTGAAAAAAGTGAAATTCACAGAAAGAAAGTAGAATGTTGGTTGCCAGGGACTGTGGGGTTAGGGAAGTGAAGAGATGTCAATTAAAGAGTACAAACTTCCAGTTACAAGAAAAATAACTTCTTAGGATCTAATGGATAGCATGATGATTGTATATGTTGCATTCTTGAAATTTGCTAAGAGAATAGATATTAAGCATTCTCATGAAAAAAAAGAAGGCAACTATGTGAGATGATGGATGTGTTAATTAGCTTGATTGTGGTAATTATTTCACAATGTATATGTAGATCAAATCTTCAGACTGTACACTTTAAAAATGTACAATCCTATTTTTCAATTATACCTCAATAAAGCTAAAAAATGTTAGGCAACAGATGGAAATAGTACTTATGTATTCCAAATAGATATAACTTTTGAGGAATTAAATTTAGTATGACTGGGGTTTATTATTTGAATGGGGTTTAGTACGATGTAAGGTGAGAGAAGCACAAATTGGGACTTTTCACCTCATGCTAGCAGACTACGCTTTCCCTGCCCCTCAAAGGGCAATAAGAAGAAATTGAAGGGATTTCAGCAGCAGAGTGATAGAATCAGCTTTATATTTCAGAAAAGAAATTTACCCATAGGAGAAAAGCCTGGATTAGAACTGGAGATTGGGAAAGCATTCAGTGAGGTGTTGATGAAGTGGAGTCTAAAACAAGTCATACCTTGATATGTGATGGTGATGGTGAGGATGGTGAGAACGGAAGCATTCGAAAGACAAAGTCTTGTGGCTCATCAGGAAATTAGGGAGAAAAAGCAGCTAAGAAAGACTCCCAGGTTTCTAATTTGTCCAACTAGGTGGCTCATGATACCATGCTCTAAATTAGCAAGTGTTACCAAAGAAGTAGGTTTTGCTCCCCTACCTCTGAGAGAGGAAGATGGAGGTAGGGATTGGGATTCGTTTGTGGAGATGATAAATTCATTTTAAGAATTCCTGAGTTTCAAGTAACAGAGAACACTCAATTTGAAAGAAGTGGGAGAACTAGAAAAGTGTAGAAGTCATAAAAAAGAAAGCTTTTATTTTTCTTTACAAAATAGAGTTATCTATTTTGTGATAAAAGGAAGATGCATTAAATAGTGACAGAAAATTTGTATTTGACTTAACTACATGCAAGACACAGGTGACCTTCATTTGAGCTGCTTAGAGGAATGTCATGAAAAGTCAGATTATAGTGGATTGGGGAGAAGGTTGGAGTTGAGAAGGTTCAGATAATGTTTCTCAATGTATGAGGAAGATATACAGAACAATAGCAACTAGGGCAGTACCTACATGTAGATGAAGAGGAAAGGGAGGGCTGTTTGTTTTGTAAGATAGAGTCTGTATAAATACTGAGAAGAAGCACATAGAGAAAAAAACTATAAAAATCATCTTATCTCACTGTCTGAAACAAAATAGAAAGCACACTATTCCCTAGAACAAGATACTGAAGTTCATATCTCTTTGGTTGAGCTACATACATAAGTAAAAAAGAATGTCCTCATGATACTTATTCAATGCATAGCCTCTTCTATACCAAATATAATTTAATGAAGGCTATTAAAGGCTAATAAAGTTCAGCCACTGTCGAATGCAAGCTGAACCTGTGAAAGGTCTCAACAATTACTTGAATCATCCAGTATAACTTCTGTATTAGCATTGTCATTTTTTGTCCTCTAAACTTCAGATCTTTCTTGTTTATACCTTATTGCAATACCTTATCCCTCTAAAAGTTATTTTCCCCAATTATATTAATTACTTGAATTTCAAATGAAGTCCAAAAAGCCCCATATTGGCACTTAATGGCACTAAAGTTAAAAGAAAAAAAAGAAGATAAACTGTTTTGGCACTGTCTTTAAAACCTGGCTTTGGGCCTTATTTTAAAACATATCACCAAAGGCCTCATCATATTTCTTCCTGTATTCGATAAATGGTTAAGTGGTCATGCATTCATTATGCCATAAGCTGCATACAGATGCAAATGGATACCATTTATAATATTTTACAGTGTTTTGAAGTTCCAAGCCCATCTAGAATGATAAAGACCTGGAAAATGTTAACCCACCTCAAAGTCTTTTTTTACTGCATTCTTTAATAGATTGGTGCAATTTCTTTGCATGCTATAAAAGTCAAGAAAGTATTTCCATGGTATTAAATGGTAACACATGGAGACCATTTCGTTTTCAAGAAGAATGTTCTCTACTTTGTGATTTGTGTTTTTTAATGCCCTTTTTCTTCCTCTTGTTCTTTCAGGGACAGTTTGATTCAGAGTAATGGAGCGGTGGAAATTAAATGAGTGTGCATGAAGTCCAATGAACTCAGTATACTGCTTATCTTGTAACTATACTTAATCTAAATAACCTTTTTTATGCTCTGCTGGAATGGCATTTTCAAAAGGCTATATAGTAGTAAATGAGAGTATATGTCAGCAAGGATTTGCTAGACAAATCAGATCTCACAGAGAAGTATATCTATCCATTACTATTTAATACACACTTCAGTTTGAAGGACAATTTTTGTGTGTGAGATCAGACCATTAACTTTTACTGTCATTTGGACTATGTTTTCCAACTTTTCTACTTTCCCTTTTCATTTTAATTTCCTTTATTTTTTTTCCAACAGGGGCTTTCGGACAAATCACCTCCAAAAGAAAGAATGGAACAATTTATATATGCACAAGTCATTGGCTCAGTTATTACATTTTTTTACCAGATGTATACCCTCAGAAATCAAAGATTTCTAAGAGATAATGTCAACACATATGGTAGTATCCTGGAAAAAATGTAATCCACATACACAAAACACATGGCAGGCATGTTCTCTGGTAGCAACTTTTACTTGCTTTTCAGTGGCATAGCTTTCCTTTATTATTACATTTGGGGGAATGATTTCATAAGCAGGATTTAGAAAATAGCTTTTCTACCTTAGCAACTGCTCCTCGTCTTTTGTGGAAAGTGGTATATAAGTGTAAGTTATCTTATAATGCGTTGTTTCTTCCAAAATCTTAAAACAAACCTTATGGTACATTTGGACATTTAGGCTTTCTGCTTAGTTCTAGTTAACAGGACCAGTATTTTCACCCTCTTTTAGAACAGCAGGCACTGATCTATCCTGCCAGACCCTGTCCCATTGCCCAGTGTTTTGTCTCTGAGACACGGTTATTGGTTGCGTTCCCACCAGCTGTCTGATTTTCTTGATGCTAACTTCCTCCTGGCTGCCACTCTGCATGCCCACCTGCCCCTGTTGCCCAATGTTTGCTTCCACTGCGATCATCTAGAGCCAGACCCTTGGATTTACAGGCTCCGATCACCCTAATAAGCCATTCACCATCTGCATTCAGGTCAGTTCTGTAAGTTCCTCATTAGATGGGTGGATAAAATCACAAATTCTGCATGCTTCCAATCTCTTCTATTTGATTAAAGCAATCCAGTCATGACTTGAGTTCAGAGATAAAATTCTGAAAAGTTAGCCTTTTGATTTCAATGTTACCAGAATTGACATTTCCAAAATATTTTTACAGTTTCAACAGCAACAGAAATTCCATTCTGGGATACCTTACTGTAACCTCGAAAGTAGTTACTGCCTTCACTATGATAAAACACAGAACCAGAAGTTCTGTTCTGGAGGAAGAGGTGAATGAGGAAGAAAGAGGTGAATGAGATGAGAGACTATGTCCTTAAATGTTGCACCCTAGAGCCTCCCTCTCCTTACCCTAGTCCCAGTCCAAGATTCCCTTTACCAATTACGTTCAATTCTCTCATTATATTCCAACAATACAACACTCTAATTTTTTATTTCAATGCCTTTCACATTTCTACTCTCCTTATACCTTGGAAAGCTCATATCTGTAGGAAGTTTCTCCAGCTGGTTATCTTAGCTTTAGAGTCTGTTAACCTCATCCAAACTGTTCTTTCTCCTTTTTTTCAAATGAATTTTACTAAAAGTTGCTTTTATCAACTTTTCTTTTACCTAAGAATCTTCCAATAATTATAATTTCCAGTTCTATTAAGTACAATATCCTCTGATTGAAACTAAAGACCTTTATAATTTGGGTTCTCAGAATGTGGTCTTCACACAGGTGGCATCAGTAACACCTGGGGACTTGTTGGAAGTGAAAATTCTTGAGACTCACTCCAAACTTACTAAATCCTACAGATGGAGTGAGCAAGTTGTGTTTTAATAAGACTTCCATGTGAGTCTGATGTTAAATTAAGAATGAGAGCAATTGGCCCCTTTTCCCATTTACTTGCTTGCGAATGAATATCCACATGAAGTTTTCAAAAATGGAACTTTTAATTAGATAAGCTGCACCCTCTTTTCAAAATCAAATAGTACCAGAATTGAATAACGTATTACACAATTTAAAAATCAAATCACTTGACAATTGAGACATAGAGTCTAAATTTTAAAGGGAAAATCCAACTTAAAATTATAGACTCTTTAAAAATTAGGAATTATATGTTAAAATGTGGAATGCAGGCAAAACCATATTTAAATTAAGAGTTATGTATCTCAATGTTTTAGTTATTAGACAGGAAAGAAAATAATACATGAACTAATACATTTCACTCAAGAAGTTAGAATAAGAACAACAAAATAATTCTGAGAAGAGCATGGCTTAAAAGTAGAATTAATGAATTAGAAAACAATTAAAAATACAATTACAGAGGAGTCCAAACAGACATAGTATCCTTTGGAAAAGTTAATAAAAAAGATAATATAAATACACAAAGACACTAAAACTGCAATGGAAAGAATACTGCACTAATACATTTAAAAATTAACATTAAGTAGAAATTTTATGAGGAAATATAAACAACCAAAAGGTAACTCAAATAAAAAGATAAAAATCTGAAAGCCATTGAAGTTTTGTCAATGAATTTACTCCAAAACTGTTCCTAGATCCAGAAACTTTTATCAATGACTTCTTTCAGATTTTCAAGAAATAGTATTTCAAGTGTTCCAGAACACAGAGTAAGATAGTAAGCTTTGCAATTTATTTTACTAGTTTGACTTGTTAACACCATCACTTAAAAAGAAAACTCTATGAGAGGAAACTTCAGTCTTAGCTAATTCATCCAACTAATATATGAAAATAATTGTGAGGTCATGGTATACTGCATGAAGACAAAGTCGGCTTTCTTTCAAGATTGTTTGAAAGGTAATACTGTTATTGATCATCTCAGCAGGTAAGAAAGAAAAAGATACTTAACTTGTTAATCATCGAAAAGTCATATGATGAAAATAACATCTTTAATTTCTTAAAATTGTAACATCTCAGAGTTTATATCATTCTCTAATTAATAACCAACAACATACTTAATTTTAATACAAATATTCCCATAAAAGAGAATGCCCACTAATACTTTCACCACTCAATATAATTTTAGAAGTTGTAGCCAAGTCAATGAGATAAAAATGAATAAATTTTACATTTAGAAGGGAGGAGATTAAATTATCATCATTTGTAGAGAATATGATTTGCTGCTGAAAATAAAATGTTATTTGCTGAAAATAAACTAAAAGTTATTACCATTAATAGGAGAGTCTTGTAAGCTTACTAGATTTAGTATAATACTACAACTACTCAATAGATTTCTCATTTATGACTTAGAAGTCACAATAATAAACTTTAAATAGTAAATGAATGTATAAACAGAACAAAAAGATAAATCATAAGCATGAGGTGAAAAGTCCAGAAAACATCCTAGAAGTAGAACATAATTTAGTATATCTTAAGAATAATATTTTAAATCGAAAATGGGTGGATGATGTACTAAATGGTAGAGAGACAATCTACTAACCACTTAAAAATGAACAGTAGTATCTTTTTTAAATTGAGAGAAAATATCCATGTCTGAATAAAAATACTATAAAAGCAATATTTCAGTATTAAATTTAGATAATGAATATAAAGGATTTAACAGAGTATTTAGCCAATAATAATTGCTATTTAGGCAACCCCTATTCAATTCCAAAGACTCCCTTCACTGTAAGAGAGACTTGTTTTCCAAATGCTGAGAAAAGTCAGCTCTCATTTCCTGTTTTACACTATTGTTTATATCTCCATTATCAAAATTACCCCAATCAGAACGTGATTTATCTGAGGTCCCTCGGATTCTAAACACCTCAGTTATCCCCTCCACCAGCCCCAGTGAAAGCCTTCCTTCTGTCAGGATGAGCTATATAAGCCATGATCCCGGTCTTCTTTAATCTATTCTCTACTTAAACTCCAACCACATTGTGTTAAAAGTCAATATAAATTTTTTCGAGTCAACACAAATCTCCTCCTCCAACTCCTCCATGTTTTGCTTTTTTTTTTTTTTTTTTGAGACGGAGTCTTACTCTGTTGCCAGGCTGGAGTGCAATAACGCGATCTCGGCCCACTGCAACGGCTGCCTCGCGGTTCACGCGATTCTCCTGCCTCAGCCTCCCAAGTAGCTGAGATTATAGGCACGCACCACGACGCCCAGCTAATTTTTGCATTTTTAGTAGAGACAGGGTTTCACCATGTTGACCAGGATGGTCTCGATTTCCTGACCTTGTGATCTGCCCGCCTCTAGGCCTCCTAAAGTGCTGGGATTACAGGCGTGAGTCACTGCTCCCAACCTGTTTTGCCTTTTTTCGAAGCCAGTATCTCTGACTCCTTTCCCGCCCACATCATTTCCCTTCTACCAACTAGAGTTGTCATTTCCATTTAGCCAATCCAAATACTTTTCACTCCTTATGTTGCTGTACTCAAGTTTCACCTCATTCACAAGAACTTCCCAGACTGCTCCATACTACACAGGTGTCTTCCTTTTCCCTTTATTACACACATAATGTAGCAAAATCTCTTTACACACATAATGTAGCAAAATCTCTTTATAAATATAATCTTGTTTGCTCAACTATATTATACATTCCTTTGAAAATGCCCCACAAAATTCTGTGCAAATTATATTCAATAAATATCTGTTCAACAATTATGTAGTTGATTTAAAGGACAAATCCAAAACTATATCCAGGAAGATGAGATGTTTTCCAAGAAAAAAACAAAGTAAGTGTATATCTAATTATGGAACCAACTAATGGAAACAAAGAAATTATTTCCTTTTCAGAGCAATGAACTCTAGAGACTCACTTATAAAAACAGGGTTAAAAAAAAAACCAAGCAAAAAGCACCTTTACAAGCATGAAGCTTAACTGAAATACCACTTATTCAAACTACAGAAACTTTAAAATGAAATGTCATTATATCTAGAAATAATTTTAAATATAAAATATCCAGAAACTCATTAATGAACAGGCCAATGGAAAAATGCATTTTCAAAACACTTAAAAATATGAGGATTTCATAGGTATTTAAAATCTAAATCCTGCAAACATTTATTTGCGGTTCTCTTTCCCATAATTATCATTTCTTTCTTAGAAGGTCTCTGGCTGAGTTCATTTATTCTTGATGGTGGCATTGAATAAATTGGCACCCAAAACAACAGAGAATTCTAAGCCAAAGGAGAGCAACTTTCAAAAGCAAAGATAACCCTTGATTGATACAGCTCCCTGAAGAGATAGAACACAAAGGAACAGTCCCTGGAATGTATTCTTTTCTATTTCATTGACTTGGGTAAAGATTCTCCTCTCTGATTACTTTTTAATTGGATTATACATTTCTTCTATAAAAATTCAAGAAAAGGAAAATTTGTTTGAACAATGAGCATATCTTATATATAGGTTACTATATAATGGAATTCAATGTTGGCAGCCTGATTCTGTGTGCTTGCTTGTTTGATTGATTGACTAAATATATGGTGTTTGCACTTGTGTGTCACAATATGGTGAAAAGAAATTTAGTTCTTTTTTTCTTTTGCCCTCCCCTGGAACACTCTCTCCTTTATAGGACCCCTTATGTAGAAAAATAAAAAGAATATGTCTGTTTTTTAAAACCTATGTTTCATTACATTCAAGTAAGGTATTAAACTGTTCAGAAATCAAATGGCTATTTCAGAAGCAAGTCCAGGTTTTTGGGCAATGATGGAAAAGTAAAGCTGAAACAAATAATTTCCCTTTTCTGGTTGTTATAGAATGAATAAGAACGACAGAAACAGTAGGGGGCAAAAAACCCATAATTCAATATTAACAACCGTACAATCTCATGCCATAAACCTCAGAAAATGATAGCCAAGAAAAGAAACAGAAAATGTTGACAGTGCAGTTTGGATGCTAACTCCAGGCCCATACCAAAGAAGTGTTACTGAGGATTAAGTAGGAAGTGAAAATATCTTCAGAATTTTTATTCATAACCCCCACTATCCTATAGACAGACAGACAGACACACACACACACACCACACCACTACCACCACCACTACTACAACCATACACTGGAGAGAAGAAAGAAGCCAACTGTAGCAGCTAAGGAAAACATCAGAATAAAACCAGCGAGCACAGAGGCAATAGCTTAACAGAGGCAGGGAAGGTGGCCATGGTAAGCTATTCTTCTACTTTTTCTACCGAAAAAAAAAGAAACATAAGATATATGAACAGCAAAAAATATTATATGGATTTAAAAATAGTAGAAACCAATTATGTCATGTTAAAAATCTGGTACTTAATATTTCTTTTTTAAATTGGAATTGTCCATTTTTATTTATTTATATATAGAATGGATGTTCTTTATATTTACAGTACTCTACAATAAAATACTTCTGTTTTTAGAGTCAAATATCTAGTGTTTTTACTATTTAATTCCCAGCAATAATATGTTTTTATTTTTTAATTCCTAGTAGCTATCAAACTATCTGATATGTGGAAAAGATAAATATATTTTCATTTAACAAATGAGCCTAAAATAAATCTTCAGATCTAAAGATGATTACCTCATACAAAATAGCACAACCTTTAGGTTTTTATTTGGTAGTTTAAACAAAGTTTTAATTCTCAGTAATATTGTTTGGCTTGGCCATTTTAAGACAAAAGTTAAGGGCTAGGTCGGAAGCTAAACCCTCTTAGGCATTCACACTGTAATCTCAAGTCTCTGAGGCAACTGCCTCAAGATTCTCAATATAACCACAAACCCAGATGGTGGGGACCTGAGGAACACTTTTGTAAATAGAAAGGACAAATGAAGCAAGACATATCTCTAGACCTTGCCTTATCTCTCTGTGTAGAAAGACCATGTGAATTAATCAGAAACAACAGACTCTTTTCATTATAGTAAAATCATCAAGTAAACGAGCTAAAAATGTTCAGGATCAATTCAGGAAGGAAATTGTATAAAACAGTTTCTGAATATGTATAAATAACATTAGGTTTTGAAGGGTCTTACAATTTTTCTCTTCATCACAATATTGAGAACTTATTGCTAAATTACCAAAAATCTTACCAGTCTTAAGAAGGCAACCAGCCGGGCTCGGTGGCTCACGCCTGTAATCCCAGCACTTTGGGAGGCCGAGGCGGGCAGATCACGAGGTCAGGAGATTGAGACCAGCCTGGCTAACACAGTGAAACCCCGCCTCTACTAAAAATACCAAACAAAAAACAAAAAAATTAGCCGGGGCGAGGCGGCGGGCGCCTGTAGTCCCAGCTGCTCTGGAGGCTGAGGCGTGAACCCGGGAGGCGGAGCTTGCAGTGAGCTGAGATCGCACCACTGCACTCCAGCCTTGCGGGGGCGGCAGAGCGAGACTCCGACACAAAAAAAAAAAAAAAGAAGGCAACCATAACTTTTAAATGTAGCCTACATTAACATTCTTACCATGACTGTTCAAATGTATAATTTTTATAACGTTGCCCTCTAATTTATAATTATCAGAAATGTATTATTTGAGTGATTTTAAAATATACTGCAATTGCACGTGACCAATCGCATGCTTGAATAGCTAGTAACATTTAATATATATTTATGATATATGTACCTCAATAAGAAAATTCTAAGTAACCATGAATTGAAAACATTTATAAGAATCTTTGGATAAATCAAAATATTAGAGTGAAGAAGTAAACATTATCTTCAGAAATATGCTATTATCCATCCTATAATTCCATAGGTTTAAAGCAGATGTTGTTCTCTAATAATTTACGATATAAAAATAGAAGTCAAAGATGTTGTAGGAGATAAAGAGGAAAAAGTAAATCAGTTTCATGTGTGTGTATGCACATATATATCCACATATATATACACACACACATAGAAATATATCTGTACATATTAATGTTCATATATACATATACCACTAAATGAATGAGTAAGATGGTACTATTGAGGTTTGTTGTTTATCAGTATGGGAAAGATGTAAAATGAAAGAGTTCTGTCATATAATCTCTAATATTTCTGTAATATCAATGCCTAACACAGTTTTGAAATGCACACATTAAAGGATATTAAGTGAAAAAAAGTATTTATTAGATCAAGACATTCTGCTTCTCAAATCATAAAAATTATATCCTTTCTACATGAGTTTCTATTGCATGGCCTACTAAAATTTCTTCCTATCATATAATTAATTAATGCTCTGCTTAATGTTATGCTGGGCTATTCTTCAGTGTGCTATCCTAGGTAGATTTTGGTTATGACTCTATTGATATGTACATTTTGTAGCAACAGCCTCCCACTTGAACTTTTGCCTCAGTTCTCCTACTAATCCGCATACCCACTGTTCTACCACCTGCTGTATACAAACAGGAGAGCATAATTTAGTACTCAGGTAGATTCATTCTTGCTTATGTAATAAAGGCCAAACTCCTTATTATGGCATCAAGGCCCTTTACATTGCAGCACCTATTTTTTTTTTAACTTATTCCCTCCACTGAAAAACCTTGTCACACACCACACACACACACACACACACGCACACACTATCACAATCATATACAGACACTATATAATCTGTGTTCTTTTCACTTGGAACTACCCAGTGTTACCTCAGTGCATCACCTTCTTGCCCTCCTCTAAGGCTTGTGGAAATACCCTTTCTACACCCATCAACCCATCACCTACATTAGGTATTTCTCCTAATGCTATCTCTCTCCTAGCCCCCCACCCCCCAACAGGCCCTGGTGTGTGAACCACCACAGCACGTGTATACCTATGTAACAAAACTGCACGTTCCACACAAGTACCCCAGAACTTAAAGTACAATAATAAAAAAAGTATGTCTAATAGGGAATAAAAGTTAATATTACAAAAAAGAAATACCATTTCTACCCTTCTCCTTCTAGAGAACTTCTACTCATCCCTCAAGTTACCAACCCAAAAATGCTTCTTTAATGCTGTTTTCTAGCTTCCCAGCCTAAAATCATTCCTCTTCCCACTAGATATCTAAAGAACATTCTTTCACTGAACACTGAATAAGACAATTTCTGCACTCAAACGCATAAACACTAATTGTAAGAATAAAGAAGGAATTAAAGAAAGCACTTATCCCCTTACATGGTAATTGTTTATTTATCTTGACAACTACTGGGTTCCAGACACTGTGCATGGCACTAGAATTTCAAAACTGAACAATACAGGCTCTGCCTGAAACACAAATACCAACTGTTAAGAATCTTGAATCAATCAAACAAGATCTATCACTCTGTAATTTTTAACTATTTGTTTGCTGTTCTTTCTAATCTAAACCATAAAAGAAAGCAGAGAAAACTTATTTATATTTGTAACTCCAGAACTTAGTACAACATCAGTTACATGGTAGATATGGAAATATATTTTGAATTAATAGCTAAGAAAACAAATTAATGAAAAACATCTAAAAGAAAACAAAAGAAATATACAAAACATAGCCTAGTGAAAGGAAAAGAATATGTGAAATTGTTATTAATAATAGCATTGTCATAAATAAAATTAAAACTATTAATGAGCCATCTGCTTCCAGACAAAGTGGAGTACTAAGAACAAGATTTACACTTCCACCAAACAAAAACAAAAATTACAAAATATATAAAGCAATTTTCAGGACACTAAACAGCACATGATAAAGAACAGTGATCTCTGGTTGATGGAACACAAATGAGGTGACCCTACATTTGCCTCAGCTTTCTGCCGTAATTGAGTTTCTAGGTCATATCACAGAAAGAGGAACTCAGGTTGAGCCTGGCGGACTTCCTAAGTTAAAAAGATGGAGCCATTCTAACTGGTGTGAGATGGTATCTCACTGTGGTTTTGATTTGCATTTCTCTGATGGCCAGTGATGATGAGCATTTTCTCATGTGTCTTTTGGCTGCATAAATGTCTTCTTTTGAGAAGTGTCTGTTCATATCCTTCGCCCACTTGTTGATGGGGTTGATGCCATGTCCTTTGTAGGGACATGGATAAAGCTGGAAACCATCACTCTCAGCAAACTATCACAAGGATAAAAAACCAAACACCGCATGTTCTCACTCATAGGTGGGAATTGAACAATGAGAACACATGGACACAGGAAGGGGAACATCACACACCAGGGCCTGTTTTGGGGTGGGGGGATGGGGGAGGGATAGCATTAGGAGATATACCTAATGCTAAATGACGAGTTAATGGGTGCAGCACACCAACATGGCACATGTATACATATGTAACAAACCTGCACGTTGTGCACATGTACCTTAAAACTTAAAGTATAATTTTAAAAATGCTATATAAAAAAAGAAATAAAACTAAAATACAAAAATAAAAATGATCAATAAAATGAAAATTTGTTTTGAAAAATAATATGAACAAACTTCAACCCAACTTTACGAAGAATGAAAAAGAGAAGACCCAAATAAATAAAATCAGAGATGAAAAGGAGACATTACAAACAATACCACAGAATTCAAAGGATCATTAGCGGCTACTATGAACAACTGTGTGCCAATGAATTGGAAAACCTGGAATAATTTGATAAAAACCTTGACACATTGATTGAACCAGGAAGAAATCCAAAACCTCAATAGACCAATAACTAATAATGAGGTCAAAGCTATAATAAAAAGTCTCCCAGTGATACGGTTTGGCCCATCCAAATCTCCTCTAGAATTGTAGTTCCCATAATCCCCACATGTCATGGGAGGGACCCAGTGGGAGATAATTTAATCATGGTGGCAGTTGCTTTCATGCTGTTCTCATGACAGTGAGTGAGTTCTCACTAAACCTGATTGTTTTGTAAGGAGCCTTTCCTCATTTTGCTCATTCTTCTCTCTCCTGCCACCATGTAAAACAGAATGTGTTTGCTTCCCCTTCTGCCATGACTGTAAGTTTACTGAGGCCTCCCAGCCATGCAAAACTGTGGGTCAATTGAACCTCTTTCCTTTAAAAACCGCCCAGTCTTGGGTATGTCCTTATAACAGTGTGAGAACAGACTAATATAGTAAATTGGTACCACAAGAGTGGGGTGCTGCTGTAAAGATACCTGAAAATGTAAAAGTGACATTGAAACTAGGTACCAGGCCGAAGTTGGAATGGTTTGGAGGACTCAGAAGAAGACAGGAAAATGTGGGAAAGTTTGGAACTTCCTAGAGACTTGGAGGGCTCAGAAGACAGGAAGATATGAGAAAGTTTGGAACTTCCTAGAGACTTGTTGAATAGTTTTGACCAAAATGCTGATAGTGATATGGACAATGAAATCCAGGCTGAGGTGGTCTCAGATGGAGGTGAGGAACTTGCTGGAAATTGGAGTAAAGGTCACTCTTGCTAGCAAAGAGATTGGTGGCATTTTGCTCCTGCCCTAGTGATCTGTGGAATGTTGAACTTGAGAGAGATAATTTAGGGTATCTGGTGGAAGAAATTTCTAAGTGGCAAGGCATTCAAAGAAAGCAGAGCATAAAGATTTGGAAAGTTTGAAGCCTGGTGATGCAATAGAAAAGGAAAACCAATTTTCTGGGAAGAAATTCAAGTCTGCTGCAGAAATTTGCATAAGTAATGAGAAGCCCTATGTTAATCACCAAGACAATGAGGAAAATACCTCCAGGGCATGTCAGAGACCTTTGCAGCAGCCCCTTATATCACAGGTCTGAAGGCTTAGGAGAAAGAAATTGTTTCCTGGGGCAGGCCCACGCGCCGTCTGTTGTGTGCAGCCTAGAAACTTGGCACCCTGTGTCCCAGCTGCTCTAGTGGTGGCTAAAAGGGGCAAAGGTACAGATCAGGCCATCGCTTCAGAGAGTGCATGCCCCAAACCTTGGTAGCTTCCATATGGTGTTGAGCCTATGGGTGCGCAGAAGACAAGAATTGAGGTTTGGGAAGCTCCGCCTAGATTTCAGAAAATGTATGGAAATATCCGGATGTCCAGGAAGAAATCAGCTGCAGGAGCAGAACCCTCATGGAGAACTTTGCTAGAGCAGTGCAGAAGGGAAATATGGTGTGGGAGCCCCCACAGAGAGTCTCCAGTGGGGCACAGCCTCGTGGAGTTGTGAGAAGAGGGCCATGATCTTTCAAACCCCAGAATGGTAGATTCACCAACAGCTTATACTGTGTACCTGGAAAAGCCACAGACGCTCAATGCCAGCTCATGAAAGCAGACAGAGGGGGGTGTTGTACCATGCAAAGCCACAGGTACGGAGCTGCCCAAGGCTGTGGGAGCCCACCTCTTGCATCAGCATGCCCTGGATGTGACACCTGGAGTCAAAGGAGATCATTTTGGAACTTTAAGTTTTAATGACTGCCCTATTGGATTTCAGACTTGCATGGAGCCTGTAGCCCCTTTGTTTTGGCCAAATTCTCCCATTTGCAACAGGTGTATTTGCCCAATGTCTATAGCCCCATTGTATCTAGGAAATAACTAACTTGCTTTTAATTTTGAAGGCTCATAAGCAGAAGAGACTTGCCTTGTCTCAGATGAGACTTTGAACTTGGACTTTTGAGTTAAGGTTGAAATGAGTTAAGACTTTGGGGAACTGCTGGGAAGGCATGATTGTATTTGAAGTGTGAGGACATGAGATATGAGAGGGATGAGGGACAGAATGATATATTTTGGCTATATGTCCCAAATGTCATCTTGAACTGTAGTTCCCCACGAGTCATGGGAGGGACCAGGTGGGAGGTAATTTAATCTTGGGAGCAGTTACCCTCAGACTGTTCTCATGGTAGTGAAGGAGTTCCCATGAGATCTAATGGTTTTATAAGGTGCCTTTCCCCCTTTTGTTCATTCTTCCCTCCCCTGCTGCCATGTAAAGAAGGACATGTTTGCTTCTCCTTTTCCCGTGATTAAGTTTCATGAGGCCTCCCAACTATGCAAAACTGTGAGTCAATTAAACCTCTTTTCTTTATAAATTTCCCAGTCTTGTATATGTCCTTATAGCAGCATGAGAACAGACTAATACACCAAGCAAAAGAAAGCCCAGACTCCAATGGCCTAACTGTTGAATGTTACCAAACATTTAAAGAATAACTACTACAAATCCTGCTGAAACTATTCCAAAAAACAGATGATGAGGGATGATATGGTCTGGTCCTGTGTCCACACCCAAATCTCATCTTGAATTATAACCTGAATTTTAATATCATAATGCAAATTGTAATCCCCATGTGTCAGGGGAGGGACCTCAAGGGAGGTAATTGAATCATGGAGGTGGTAACCTTTATGCTGTTCTTGTGATACTGAGTGAGTTCTCATGAGATCTGATGGTTTTATAAAAGGCTTTTCCCTGTTTGCTTGGCATTTCTCCTTCCTACCATCATGTGAAGAAGAACATGTTTGCTTCCCCTTCCAGCGTGATTGTAAGTTTCCTGAGGCCTCCCCTCCTGTGGAACTGTGAGTTAATTAAATATCTTTCCTTCATAAATTACCTAATTGAAATATCTCTTCATAGCAGTGTGATAATAGACTCATACAGTAATTTGGTACCAAGAGTAGTGAGGCTTTCCTGTAAAGATACCTGAAAATGTGGAAGCAACTTTGAAACTGGGTAACAGGCAGAGGTTGGAATGGTTTGGAGGGCTCAGAAGAAGACAGGAAAATGTGGGCAAGTTTGGAACTTCCTAGAGACTTGGAGGACTCAGAAGACGGAAAGATGTGGGAAGGTTTGGAACTTCCTAGAGACTTGTTGAATGGTTTTGACTAAAATGATGATAGTGATAGGGACAATGAAATCCAGGCTGAGGTGGTCTCAGATAGAGATGAGGCACTTCTTGGGAACTTGAATAAAGGCCACTCTTGTTATACAGAAATACTGGTGACATTTGGCTCCTGATCTAGAGATCTGTGGAACTTTGAACTTGAGAGGTGATTTAGGGTATCTGGTGGAAGAAATTTCTAAGTGGCAAAGCATTCAAAAGGAAGCAGTACATAAAACTTTGAAAACTTTGCAAGCTGATTTTGCAATAGAAAAGAAAAACCCATTTTCTGGGGAGAAACTGAAGCCAGTGATAGAAATTTGCATAAGTAATGAAGAGCCCAAAGTTAATCACCAAGACAATGGGAAAAATGTCTCCAGGGCATGTCAGAGACCTTCTCCACAGACCCTCCCATCACAGGTCCAGAGGCCTAGGAAGGAAAAGTGGTTTTATGGATGGGTTCTAGGGCCTCCCTGTTGTGTGCAGCCTTAGGACATGGCATCCTGTGTCTCAGATGCTCCAGCTCTAGCCATGTCTAAATGGGGACAACATATAGCTCAGGCCATTGCTTCAGAGAGTGCAACCCCCAAGCCTTGGAAGTTACATGTGCTGTTGGGTCTGTGGGTGCACATAAGACAAGAATTGAGGTTTGGGTACCTCCTCCTAGATTTCAGAGGATGTATGCAAGTGCCTGGATGTCAAGGCAGTAGTCTGCTGCAGGGGCGGAGCCCTCATGAAGAACCTTTTTTAGGGCATTGCAGAAGGGAAGTGTGGGGTTGCAGTCCTCACACAGTGTCCCCACTGGGGCATTGCCTAGTGGAACTGTGAAGAGAGGGCCACCCTCCTCCAGAACACAGAATGGTAGATTCATGGACAGCTTGCATCAGGCACCTATGAATGCCACAGACACTCAATGCTAGTCCATGAAAGTAGTTTGGAGGAGAGCTGTATCCAGAAAAGCCACAGAGGCAGAGCTGCCCAAGCCCATTGAATCCCACCTCTTGTATCAGTGTGACTTCAATGTGAGACATGGTGTCAAAAGAGGTCATTTCAGAACTTTAAGGTTTAATGACTTCCCTGTTGGATTTTGGGTATGCATGGGGCCTGTAGCCCCTTTGTTGTGGATAATTTCTCCCATTTGGAATGGGTGTATTTACCCAGTTCCTGTACCCCCACTGAATTCAGAAAGTGACTAACTTGCTTTCAATTTTACAGGCTCATAGGTGGAAGGGACTTGCCTTGTCTCAGATGAAACTATGGTCTTGGACTTTTGGGTTAATGCTGAAATTAGTTAAGACTTTGGGGAACTGTTGGGAAGGCATAATTGTGTTTTGAAATGTGAGAAAGAGATTTTGGAGGGGCCAGGGGCAGAATGATATGATCTGGCTCTATGTACCCACCCAAGTCTCATCTTGAATTGTACTCCGAATTGTAATATTGTAATACAGATTTTAATCCCCATGTGTTGGGGAAGGGACCTCATGGGAAGTAATTGAATCATGGGGGTAGTTACTCTCATGCTGTTCTTGTGATAGTGAGTTCTCATGAGATCTGATGGTTTTGAAAGGAGCTTTTACTGTTTGCTCAGTACTTCTCCTTTCTGCCACCATACGAAGAAGGACTGTTTGCTCCAGCTTCTGCTATAATTGTATTTTCTGAGGCCACCTAGCCCTAGAGAACTATGAGTCAATTAAACCTCTTTTCTTTATAAATTACCCAGTCTCGAGAATTTCTTCATACCAAATGTGGCACATATACACCATGGAATAATATGCAGCCATAAAAAATGGTGAGTTCATGTCATTTATAGGGACATGGATGAAGCTGGAAACCATCATTCTCAGCAAACTATCGCAAGGACAGAAAACCAAACACCGCATGTTCTCACTCATAGGTGGGAATTGAACAATGAGAACACATGGACACAGGAAGGGGAACATCACACACCGGGGACTGTTGTGGGGTGGGGGGAAGGGGAGGGATAGCATTAGGAGATATACTTAATGCTAAATGACGAGTTAATGGGTGCAGCACACCAACACGGCACATGTATGCATATGTAATAAACCTGCACGTTGTGCACATGTACCCTAAAACTTAAAGTATAATAATAATAATAAAAAAAGAAGACATTTAAGCAAAAACTTGAAGGAGGTGATGAAGTTTGGTGAGATCATTATACTACAATCATGGGAGTTATTTTTCATCCATGTTAACATTTTTACCACTTTAATAATAAACAAGATATTCTTATAAATGTACTTTTGTACCATAATCATGAAAAGCTATAAGTCACTAATGTAATGACAAAACAAATTGTGGTACATCCATATGATGGTATATGATGTAGTGATTAAAAATGTTCTCCAAGACTATTAACATAAAAAAAATTAATAAAATGAGTTTTTAGATATGAAAATGTAAAAAAAAAAAAAAAACAGAATTTCTTCATACCAGCATGAGAATGGACTAATACTAGGGAATATCTCTCAATTCATTCTACAAGGCCACTATTACCTTGATACCAAAAGCAGACAACACATAGAAAAAAACTACAGGCCAATATTCTTTATGAAAATTGATGCAAAATTTCTCAGCAAAATACTAGCAAACTGAACTGAATAAAATGTTAAAAACATCATTTCTCATGACCAAGTGAGATTTATTCCAGGGATACAAGGATGGCTCAACCTATGCAAATCAGTATAATACATGATATCAACAGAATGAAGGACAAAAAATGTATGAACATTTTAATTGATGTTGAAGAAGAATTTGATAAAATTCAACATCCCTTTATGATAAAAACACACTAATTTGTATATAGAAGAAAGATACCTCAACTCAAGAAAAGCCATATATGACAAATCCACAGGTAGTATACTGAATGGAGAAAAACTGAAAGCCTTTTCTCTAAGATCTGGAACAAGTCAAAGATGCCCTCTTTCATGACTGGTACTCAAAATAGTACTGACAGTCCTAGCTAGAGCAATCAGACAAAAGAAAGAAATAAAGGGAAAAAAAATCAAATTTTTTGTGTTTGCAGATAATATGTTCTTACAATTGGAAAACCCTAAAGACTCCATCAAAAAAAAACTAGACCTCATAAATAAATACAGTAAAGTTTCAGGATACAAAATAATCTTACAAAACTCAGTAGCATTTCTGTATGCCAACAGTGAACAATCTGAAAAAAAAATCAAGAAAGTAACACCATTTCCAATAGCTACAAATAAAATAAAATGAAATACCTAGAAATAAACTTAATCAGAGAAATGAAATACCTCTGCAATGAAAACTATAAAACATTGATGAAAGAAATTGAAGATGATGACAAAAAATAGGAAGATGTTCCATACGCATGGACTGAAGGAATTAATATTTTTTAAATGTCCATACTACCTATATTAGTCCATTCTCACACTGCTATGAAGAAATACCCAAGACTGGGTAATTTATAAAGCAAAGAGGTTTAATTGACTCACACCTCTGCATCGCTTGAGGTGCTTCAGGAAACTTAAAATCATGGTCAAAGGCAAAGGAGAAACAAGCACTTTCATTCACAGGGCAGCAGGACAGAGTGAGTGCAAGTACGGGAAATGTCAGACACTTATGGAATCATCAGATCTCATGAGAGTCACTCACCATCACGAGAACAGCATGGGGGGAACCACCCCATGATCTCATTGCCTCCACCTGGTCCCATCCTTGGCACATGCGGATTATGGGCATAGGGGGATCCCACCCCCAATATTTCAATGTAGGTTCTTTCCATTTTCCCTAAGTGTCAGCTGGTATGAGAAATAAAGAAAAAGAGTACAAAGAGAGGAATTTTACAGCTGGGCTGCCAGGGGTGACATCATATATCGGTAGGTCCGTGATGCCCAGCTGAACCACAAAACCAGCAAGTTTTTATTAGGGATTTCAAAAGGGGAGTAGGTGTATGAACAGGGAGTGGGTCACAAAGATCACATGCTTTAAGGGGCAAAAAGGAAAACAAAGATCACATGCTTCTTAGGAAACAGGACCAGGGCAAAATCAGAAACTCCTGATAAGGGTCTATGTTCAGCGGTGCACGTATTGTCTTGATAAACATCTTAACAGAAAACAGGGTTCGAGAGCAGAGAACCAGTCTGACCTCAAATTTACCAGGGCTGTGGTTTCCCAATCCTAGTAAGCCTGAGGGTACTGCAGGAAACCAGGGCATATCTCAGTCCTCATCTCAACCACATAGGACAGACACTCCCAGAGCAACTGTTTATAGACATCCCCCCAGCAATGCAATTCTTTTCCTAGGGTCTTAATATTATATTTCTTGCTAGGAAAAGAATTTAGCGATATCTCTCCTACTTGCACGTCTGTTTATAGGCTCTCTGCAAGAAGAAACATATGGCTCTTTTTGCCCGACCCCGCAGGCAATCAGACCTTAATGGTTGTCTTCTCTTGTTCCCTAAAATTGCTGTTATTCTGTCCATTTTCAAGGTGCACTGATTTCATATTGTTCAAACACACATGTTTTACAATCATTTTGTACAGTTACAGTCATCACAGGGTCCTGAGGTGATGTACATCCTCAGCTTACAAAGATAACAGGATTAAGAGATTAAAGTAAGACAGGCATAAGAAAGTGTAAGAGTATTATTAGGGAAGGGATAAATGTCCATGAAATCTTCACAATTTATGTTTCCTCTGCTACGGCTCCAGCCGGTCCCTCCATTCATGGTCCCTGACTTCCCGCAACAATGGGGATTATAATTCAAGATGAGATTTTATGTGGGCACACAGTCAACCATATCACTACCCAAAGCAATACGAACAATCTATTGATTGTAATTCCTATCAAAATACCAAAGACATTTTTCAAAGAAATATAAAAAATAGTACTAAAATTTATATGGAACCACAAAAGAATACCAAACCTATCCTGAGCAAAAGGAACAAAACTGGAGGAATCATATTACCTGCCTTCAAATTATTGTACACAGCCATAGTAACCATAACAGCACGGTACTGGCATAAAAACAGACACATATACCAATGGAACAGAATAGAGAACCTAGATATAAATCCATAAATCTACAGTGAACTCATTTTTGACAAAGATGCCAAGAGCATACATTGGGGAAACAACAATTTCTTCAATAAAACCTGCTGGGAAAGCTGGATATCTGCATCCAGAAGAATGAAACTAGATCCTTATTGTTCACCATATCAAAATGAATTAAAGACAAATCTAATTGTCTTTAATGGCAAAGACTTTAAACTATAAAACTACTACAAGAAAACATTGGGGAACATCTCCAGGAAATTGGACCAGGCAAAGATTTCTTGAGTAATGCCCCACAAACACAGGCAACCAAAGCAAAAATGGACAAATGGGATCACACTAAGTTAAAAAACTTCTGCATGGCAAAGGAAATACCAACAAAGTGATGAGGCAACCCACAGAATTGAACAAAATATTTGCCAACTATTCATCTGACAAGGGCCTAGTAATCAGAATACATGAGTGCAAATAATCAATAAAAAGTCAATAATTTAATTAAAAAATGAGAAAAAATCTCAAAAGACATTTCTAAAAGGGAGACATGAAATGGCAAACAGCTATTTAAAAATATGTTCAACATCAGTGATAGAGAAATGCCAATCAAAACTACAATGATATATCATTTCGCCCCAGTTAAAATTGCTTTTATCCAAAGGACAGGCAATAATAAATCCTGATGAGGATGTGGAGAAAAGGGAGCCCTTATACACTGTTGGTGGGAATGTAAATTAGTACCACAACTGTGAAGAACAATTTGGAGCTTCCTCCAAAAAAGTAAAAATAGAGCTAAAATATGGTCCAGAAATTTCACTGTTAGCTATATGCACAAAAGAAAGGATATCAGTATATTAAAGAGATATCTGCACTCCTAAGCACAGAAAGAAAAACTTCACATGTTCTCACTTACTGGTGGGAGATTAAAAAAATATTGAACTCATGGAAATAGAGAATAGAATGATAGTTACCAGAGGCTGAGAAGTGTAGTGGGATTACTTAATGGTTACAGAAATATGATTAGAATTAGAGAGATCTAGTATTTGATATCACAACAGGGGTGACTAGAGTCAACAATCATTTAATGTACATTTTACATTAACTTAAAGAGTATAATTGGACTGTTTGTAATACAAAGAAAGGATAAATGCTTGAGGTGAAGAATACCCCATTACCACATTATGCATTGTGTGACTATATCAAAACATTTTCTGTACCCCATAAATATATACACCTACTATTAACTACAAAAATTCAAAATAAAAAAATTAAAAACAAACAAGTGAATAGAAAACCTGGTATATCCACACAATGGTATACTGCTCAGCAATAAATGGTAATGGACTATTCACATGTATAACAGTATGAATAAATTTCAAACTCACTATACTAAGTGAAAGTAGCCAGACACAGAAAGGGTATACACTATGTGTTTCTATTTATACTGACAGTAGATAGTGTTTTCCTGGTACTTGGGGGATGGGGAGAAATGGCAGGAAGGAATTAGAAAAAAGCAAAAAGAAACTTTGAGGTGATATAGTTTGGATATTTGTCCCCACCAAAATCTCATGTGGAAATGTAATCCCCAATGTTGAAAGTGGGGCCTGGTGAAATGTGTTTGGATCATGAGGGCAAGTCCCTCATGAATGGCTTCTGCTATCCCCTTTGTGATAAGTGAGCTTTTTCTTTGAGTTCACATGAGATCTGATGGTTTAAAAGCATGTGGCACCTTCCACCCACTCTTTCTTTCTTGCTCCTGCTTTCACAGTGTGAAGTGACTGCTCCTGCTTTATCTTCTGCAATGATTGTAAGCTTCTCAAGGCCTCCCCAAAAGCTGGGCAGATGTTGGCACACATGCTTCCTGTAAAGCCTGCAGAACCATTAGCCAATCAGAAATCTTTTCTTTATTAATTACCCAGTCTCAGGTATTTCTTTGTTGCAATTCAAGAACAGCCTATGGGTGAATCATGAGGTCAAGAGATCAAGACCATCCTGACCAACATGGTGAAACCCTGTCTCTACTAAAAATACAAAAAATTATCCAGGCATGGTAGCAGATGCCTGTAGTCCCAGCTACTCAGGAGGCTGAGGCAGGAGAATGGTGTGAACCCAGGAGGCGGAGCTTGCAGTGAGCCAACATTGCACCACTGCACTCCAGCCTAGGTGACAGAGCAAGACTCCATCTCAAAAAAAAAAAAAAAAAAAAAAAAGAACAGCCTAAATATAGATAACTGGTACCAGGGATTTGGATATTGCCATAAAGACACTTGAAAATGTGGAAGGGACTTTGGAACTGGGTAAGAGGCAGGAATTGGAAGAGTTTGGAGGGCTCAAAAGAAGACAGGAAGATAAGGAAAAGTCTGGAAAGTCTAAGAGGCTGGTTAAATGGTTGTGACTAATGTGAACACAGTGATATGGACAGTGAAGTCCAGGCCGACAAGCTCTTAGATGGAAATGAGGACTTACTGGGAACTGGAACAAAGGTTATGCATGTTATGCCTTAGCCAAGAGCTTGGCTACGTTCTGTTCATGCCCTAGAAATCTAGGGAAGCTTCTAGTGGAAGTTTGAACTAAAAAAGCAATGATTTAGGGTATCTGGCAGAAGAAATGTCTAAGCAGCAAAGTGTTCAAGATGTGGTCTGGCTGCTTCTAACAGCCTATCTTAATGTAGAAGTAAATAAATGACTTGAAGTATATATTTAAAAGGTAAGCAGAACATAAAAGTTTGGAAAATTTTCAGGCTGGCCGTATGGAAGAGAAAGAAAAAGCTTTTGGGGGAAGAAGATTCAAGCAGGGTGCAGAGCAATCACTTGCTAGAGATATTTGCATAAATAAAAGGAATCCAATTGCTAATATCCCAGACAATGTGGAAAAGACCTTAAAGACATTTCAGAGACCTTTAAGGCAGCCACTTCTATCACAGAACCAGATACCTGGAAAAACAGAATGGTTTTACAGGTCAGGCACAGGACCCCACTGCCGTGAACAGCCTCAGGACACTGCTTCCCACATCCTGGCTGCTTCAGCTCCAGCTGTAGCTCAAAGTGGCCAAGGTACAGCTCAGTCTACCACATTGGAAACTGCAAGCCATAAGCCTTGGTGGCTTCCACATGGTGTTAAACCTGTTAGTGGACAGAATGCAAGAGCAAAGAATGCTTGGCAGCCTCCCCCTAGATTTCAGAGGATGCATGGAAAAACCTGGGTGTCCAGGCAGAGACCTGCTGCAGAATGGAGCCCTCATAGAGAACCTCTACTAGGGCAATCCCAAGAAAGAATGTAGGGTTGGAGACCCCATAGAGAGTCGCCACTGTGGCACTGCCTTGGAACTGTTGAGGTGGGAACCACTGCCCTCCAGACACTGGAGTGGTAGAGCCACCAGCAGCTTGCAACCTCAACGTGGAAAAGCCACAGAGGCTGATCTGTCCAAGGTTTTGAGGGCTCAAATCTTGCAGCAGTGTTCCCTGGATGCAGCATACAGAGTCAAAGATTATTTTGGAGCATTAAGATTTAACGACTGTCAACATAGTGTTGGAAGTTCTGGCCAAGGCAATCAGGCAGGAGAAGGAAATAAAGGGTATTCAATTAGGAAAAGAGGAAGTCAAATTGTCCCTGTTTGCAGATGACATGATTGTATATCTAGAAAACCCAATTTACTCAGCCTAAAATCTCCTTAAGCTGATAAGCAACTTCAGCAAAGTCTCAGGATACAAAATCAATGTGCAAAAATCACAAGCATTCTTATACACCAACAACAGACAAACAGAGAGCCAAATCATGAGTGAACTCCCTTTCACAATTGCTTCAAAGAGAATAAAATACCTAGGAATCCAGCTTACAAGGGACATGAAGGACCTCTTCAAGGAGAATTACAAACCACTGCTCAATGAAATAAAAGAGGATACAAGCAAATGGAAGAACATTCCAAGCTCATGGGTAGGAAGAATCAATATCATGAAAATGGCCATACTGTCCAAGGTAATTTATAGACTCAGTGCCATCCCCATCAAGCTACCAATGACTTTCTTCAAAGAATTGGAAAAAAACTACTTTAAAGTTCCTATGGAACCAAAAAAGAGCCCGCATCGCCAAGTCAATCCTAAGCCAAAAGAACAAAGCTGGAGGCATCACACTACCTGACTTCAAGCTATACTTCAAGGCTACAGCAACCAAAACAGCATGATACTGGTACCAAAACGGAGATATAGACCAATGGAATGGAACAGAGCCCTCAGAAATAATGCCACATATGTACAACTATTTGATCTTTGACAAACCTGACAAAAACAAGAAATGGGGAAAGGATTCCCTATTTAATAAATGGTGCTGGGAAAACTGGCTAGCCATATGTAGAAAGCTGAAACTGGATCCCTTCCTTACACCTTATACAAAAATTAATTCGAGATGGATTAAAGACTTAAATGTTAGACCTAAAACCATAAAAACCCTAGAAGAAAACCTGGGCAATACCATTCAGGACACAGGCATGAGCAAGGACTTCATGTCTAAAACACCAAAAGCAATGGCAACAAAAGCCAAAATTGACAAATGAGATCTCATTAAACTAGAGAGCTTCTGCACAGCAAAAGAAACTACCATCAGAGTGAACAGGCAACCTACAGAATGGGAGAACATTTTTGCAATCTACCCATCTGACAAAGGGCTAATATCCAGAATCTACAATGAACTCAAACAAATTTACAAGAAAAAACAAACAACCCCATCAACAAGTGGGCAAAGGATATGAACAGACACTTCTCAAAAGAAGACATTTATGCAGCCAAAAGACACATGAAAAAATGCTCATCATCACTGGCTATCAGAGAAATGCAAATCAAAACCACAATGAGATACCATCTCACACCAGTTAGAATGGTGATCATTAAAAAGTCAGGAAACAACAGGTGCTGGAGAGGATGTGGAGAAATAGGAACACTTTTACACTGTTGGTGGGACTGTAAACTAGTTCAACCATTGTGGAAGTCAGTGTGGCAATTCCTCAGGGATCTAGAACTAGAAATACCATTTGACCCAGCCATCCCATTGCTGGGTATACACCCAAAGGTTTATAAATCATGCTGCTATAAAGACACATGCACACATATGTTTATTGCAGCACTGTTCACAATAGCAAAGATTTGGAACCAACCCAAATGCCCATCAATGATAGACTTGGTAAAGAAAATGTGGCACATATAAACCATGGAATACCATGCAGCCATAAAAAACGATGAGTTCATGTCCTTTGTAGGGACATGGATGAAGCTGGAAACCATCATTCTCAGCAAACTATCGCAAGGACAAAAAACCAAACACCGCATGTTCTCACTCATAGGTGGGAATTGAACAATGAGAACACATGGACACAGGAAGGGGAACATCACACACCGGGGCCTGTTGTGGGGTACGGGGAGGGGGGAGGGATAGCCTTAGAGATATACCTAATGTTAAATGATGAGTTAATGGGTGCAGCAAACCAACGTGGCACATGTATATATATGTAGCAAACCTGCACGTTGTGCACATGTACCCTAAAACTTAAAGTATAATAAAAATAAATAAATAAAAAATAAAAAAAGATTTAATAATTGTCCTGCTGTGTTTTGAACTTATGTGAGACCTGTAACCCCTTTCTTTTGGCTGATTTCTCCCTTTTGAAATGGCAAGGTTTACCCAATGCCTATACCCCCATTGTATCTTGGAAGTAAATAACTTATTTTTTATTTTACAGGCTAATAGATGGAAGAGACTTGCCTTCTCTCAGATGAGCCTTTGGGCGTTGGACTTCTGAGTTAATCCTGGAATGAGTTAAGACTTTGGGGGACTATTAGGAACGCATGATTATATTTTGCAATGTGAGAAGAACAGGAGATTCAGTGGGTGGGCAGAGGCAGAATGATATAGTTTGGATATTTCTCCCTGCCCAAATCTCATGTTGAAATGCCATCTCCAGTGTTGGAGGTGGGGCCTAGTGGGAGGTGTTTGAATCATGGGGGGAAGATCCCTCAAGAATGGCTTGGGCCATCCCCTTGGTGATAGGTAAGCTCTCCTTCTAAGCTCCTGGTTTTTTAAAAGTTTGTGGCACCTCCCCCCGACACACACACACTCTGTGTCTCTCTTGCTCCCGTTCTTGCTATGTGAAACACCTACTCTCCCACTTCACATTTTGCCATAAGTAAATCTCTCTGAAACCTCCCCTGAAGTAGATGCTGGCACTATGCTTCTGGTACAGCCTGCAGAACCATGAGCCAATTAAACATCTTTTCTTATAAATTACTCAGTCTCGTGTATTCCTTTATAGCAATGCAAGAACGGCCTAATACAGGGGGTGATAGATACATTCATTATCTTTATTACAATGATGATTTTATGGGTGTTTACACATGTCAAGACTACAAATTATACACTACAAGTATGTTTAGTTTTTATATGTCATTAATTATATCTATAAAACTGTTAAAAATGTTGCTAATTAGTCATGTATTACGGGAAACTTCAACTAGTTCTCACATCTGCCAAAGTATTTTTTTAACGAATGATTCTTTGTTTCTGTGCTCAAAGTTTATTTACAGTAATAATTTACTGATAATTTATTGATCACAACATAGTTAGCCTGTGTTTTTTTGAATTCATATCAAAACTACAATTTCTTATTATAATCCAAAAATCACAAAGAAAGAGATGATAAACTTTGAGTTTGAGCAAAGTAACTCATTACAGTGTGGTCAAAAGGATTTGATAATTTTTCACATTTGTTAATATCTGCTCCTTAATCTCAATGTCCATGGTCAATCTAGACTGTATAAACTGCTGAGTTTCAAAATGTCTTTAGATACATGTTTCTCCGTCAGTGTCACTAATGCTCTCACCTACTCACTCTAAAATGTATTTGTTCCTTGATTATTCTCTAACAGCATGTTTGCTTATGTAGTCAGAACTGCATTCCTCTAAATACTGAACAGTATGCCTCCTGGTTAGTGATATGCAGTCATTAAGTGATGAAGGTGTTAGCATCATACAGAATTGTAAGTGAATCTCAGTTTTGTCTCTTCTTAAAAAGTTTATTTGTGGCCTTAAACTAACGTCTTTAAATTTCAGTTTCATCATTTTATTTTTTATTTTCTTAGAGATGAGATCTTGCTCTGTTGTCCAGGCTTGTTTCAAACTCCTAACCTCAAGAGATCCACCTGCTTCAGCCTCCCAAGTAGCTGGGATTACAAGTAGAAGCCACCGTGCCTGGCTCCCATCTTTTTTAACATAGTATAACTGAACTGAATTTATAGAGTTTTGATTGTGGTGACATATGGAAAGCAATTTCACACAGTGCCTGAGACATGGTAAATTTTCAAAAAGTGAATGTTTATAAAAGTTATTATCCTTATGTTTGACCTATAATTGAAGTCAGATGTTAGAAGACATGGCATGATATACAATCTTACAACCAAAAAAAAATTTTGAATATCTAAAATCATGCCACAATCTCGGTAGCTTACACTTCTTGTTTTTTTTTCCCCCTTAGGATTTCCTAATCAAATAAGCTTGCACATTAAAATATACACTGATGAAAATGTTATATTTATAGAACAAAGTTTTAAACTTCAAAATTGGAAGTAAAGATTACACAGTATACATACCGTCAACTCAGCATTCCCCAAAGTGTACTTGGTGAAAATATAATCCTGCAAAATGCCCTTTGAAAAAAACTAGTCCTGTGGTCAAATAAACATGGAGAATATTGCACACTGTATGTTTCTTTGGGGGATTCACAAAACAAATAGTATCGTAAAGAGTCTTAGAAGTCTTGCAGTTAAAAACAACAACAAAAAAAGTGTTTCACTTTATTTGACCTTATGTTTTTCAAACTTACCTGAATAAAGAACTCCTTTTTCATATAACATCAATGTATATTCCTCTTTGGGAAGAGTTTCCTTGACTCTTATTTCTTAATTCTTCTTTTCTGTTAAGAGACATAATGAGTGAAAATCCTACTTTCACCTGCCAATAGTCCCTGGTCTTGTAAACAGATTGTCAGGGTTTGATAGTAAAGTCCTTATAGCTTCCATCCCACTGGCAGCTGTCAGCTATCTCAGTGTCTTCCTTGCTTGGCTACCAACATAATTCCCCAGAGGTGTCTATCTCTCTCATTCTTCTCAGTTCTAAGCAACTGGACAGGAATCACAATAGAAAGAAGAATCTAGTATCACCCGTATCTGCACAAAAACAATAAGAATTGAATTAATTTATATGTTCTAATCAGGAGAGAATTATTCTCTCCTTTTTAAACTAATTTATCTAAATTTCTACTTCTTTAATGAACAATAACTTGAAATTTGCAAAACCCAGTTTAAGTGCATTACTGAAAATTACTATAGTAGTTATATCAGTTATTTTTTGTCATGTAAATGCTATGTATCAAACCACCCAAGAGCTTAGAGCCTAAAAACACTTAAGTATGTACAACCGATCCCAGATTTTTGAATGAGCTGGTGCTATAGACTAAATGTTTATGTTTCCCCAAAATTCATATGTTGAAATCCTAACTCCAAATGTGATGGTATTAGAAGATGGAAACTTTGACAGGTAATTAGGTCATAAAAGTGGAGCCCTCATCAATGGGATTAGGACCCTTATGAAAGTAGCCCCAGAGAGCTCCTTTGCCCTTTCCACCATGTGAGGATGCAGAGGAGCAGGCTGTCTGTGAACCAGGAAGCAGGCTGTCACCAAACACAAACTCTGCTGCTGCCTTGACCTTGGATTCCCCAGGTTCTGGAACTGTGAGGAATTAACTTCCATTGTTTGTAAGCCACCCAGTCTAGAGTATTTTGTTATAGCAGCCCAATCATGCCAAGACAGCAGCAGTTTTGACCTCTTATAGGCTCACTCACAGACCTACTATCAGCTATAAATTAGGTAAATCATTCTTCTAATTTTGGTTGATGAAATGTTTGCTGGATGCTGGGTATTGCCTGGTCTAGCCCTTCTTTATGTATGTCATATCCTTCCTGCAATAGCCCAGAATGGTCTCATAGTGGAACAGAGGTCTGAGAGAGAGGAAAAAGGTAAAAGTGTGCAAAGCATCTTTACAGCTAGGCTAAGAACTGGCTCGCAGTCATTTATGCTATATTTTGTTTCAAAACAAAGTCACAAGGTCTATCAAGATTCAAACAATAGTGAAATTCACTCTTTCTCTTCATAAGTGGAGCTCAAAGTCATATTGCAAAGAATATGGATTCAGTGACGGATAAAGAATTGAGGGCCACATTTGCCATCAATCTACTATCATCTCGTTTTCTGTCTGGCTCCAATTTTATACCATTCCCATATAGAAATCATACTCACCTTCTCCCAAGGAACCCAAAATTCCCTTTCAGTTATAATGTTCTCAAAATTCAGCATCTTTTGGTCTATATCAGGTCCACATAAGACTATTCAGATGTGGCTCATTTTGATTCAGAGATTGATAAGGTTAAAAATAAAAATAGTTATTTGTGCCCCACAATCACTGCCAAGCATACAATGATGAGACAAAGACAGGAAAGTTGTATTAAACAGTACCTCCATTTAAAAAGCCAAAGATGGGAAATACATAGAACTCTGGATGTTAACAGTTCTGAAAACCAACTGGGCAAATGTTTCTAGGTGTCCTGACACTTGGGAGAACAGACCAGTCACAGATTTGGCCTCCATTCTGCTCCCTTGGACAGGCGCCGCAGTCCATTATTTTCCATAATTTCACCATCTGAGAACTTCCTTTTCCAACTTTCTCCTCCCCCATTTTAAAAGGCTAGGGAAAGTTATGTCCTATAAATTTTTTTTTTTTTTTAGCCAACTTTCTGGTCATAGAACGATGGGGACTCAGAAGCCTTTTGCATTTTGAACAATCTCAATACCTGTGAGGCCAGAATGATGGCACTTTTGCCTACACGGCCCCTTAAAACTGTTGTAGGCTTTCAGGTAATTTGAATTAATTTATCCACTCCACTCAATAAATTATTTTTAATCACATTCATTTGAAGCATATTAAATATCTATGGGAGACACTCTGTTCCTAGCAGTCCTTTTGTCTGCCTGTGAGGGCCTGCTAAGCACTTTCAATTTTTCCATAGGGTTTACCAAGGGATCGTAAGCAATGTTGATGATTTAATCTATGCCCCCAGGTTATACAGACAGTCCTGACTTAGGATGGTTCAACTTACAATGATTTCATTAAGTAGAAACCATACTTCAAGTATCCTTATAACCATTCTGTTTACTTTCAGTACAGTATACAATACATTACATGAGATAGTACAACACTTTATTATAAAATAGACTTTGTGTTAGATGATTTTGCTCAACTGTAGGTTAATGAAAGTGCTTTGAACACATTTGAGGTAGGCAAGACTAAGCTATTATGTTCAATAGTAGGTGTATTCAACGCATTTTTAACTTACGGTATTTTCAACTTGGAATGAGTTTAAGGGGGTGCAACTCTATCATACGTTGAGGAGCATCTAGCACTTTAATAAGCTTCTCCTGACTAGAGAGACTAGAGATAAGAAACTGCTTTATTTTGTAGCCCACAGGTCTGGCCCTCTCATCTACCCATAAAGTCCTGCTTGGAAAGTGGCCAACTTTTTCTTTAGTTCATCACTTTCTTGCTGTCCTACTTGCAATTAAGAAAATCCAACTGACATTTTGAACACTTGCCTAGAGATCTCCTTAGGCAAATCCAAAAGTCATTAGGTACATTTTCCATCTTCCAAGTTACTGCAGGCAAGAGTTTTGTCAATTATTTTGTGATGGCATTACATGCATAATCATTTTTCCAGGCTCTGATTACACTTTCTTTATCATGTTTCAAGTCTTTGTTAACAGTTTGCAACTTTTTCCAATCCCCACTTGTAACCAGTTGCAAAACCAGTGCCACATATTTCAAGTTTCTCTTGAACTAAAAAGACAAGTTATGTGTTAGCACCTTATATTATCAATCTCTATTACTTTTTATTACCACAAATAAAAATCTTAATAAACCACCCCTACACTCAATGGCTTAAAACCATACTGATATATTATTGCTCACAAAGTTTTGCATAGGATAGATGGCTCTTTGGTTTTGATTGTGCTAAGTCTGCAGTGCACTGTGGGTCAGATTGGAAGAGGCTGGGCTGATCTTGATGGGCTCTCTCAAACATGTGGGTGTGGCTGACTGTTGGCTACACTTGTCCATGTGCTTTTCACATCTTCCGAAGTTCTAATCTAGGCACGTTCTCATGGCAAAGCCATAGTACAAGAAAAAAAAAAAAGGATTCAAAGATTTTGAGTCCCAAGTTTGGAAATAGTACAGTCACCAGTCACCTCTGTTTGCTAAACTTAGTCACAAGACCAGCTCAGATTTGACAGACGACAAATGGGAAGAGCTTCAAAGACAGATGGTAAAGGCTGTTGATAAAGAAGGCTGTGGAAAATTAAGTCAATTTTTACAATCAGTCTACCACACAGGTGAACAGAGCTTTGGTATCTCTTTTCTGATGTTCATGCTTTATCAGAACAGCTAAGTATCATGATTCTTCCTATTAAAGAAAGATAACCAACCTTGTGTTTAATCTGATCATGAGTGTCATTTACTATACATATAAGAGTAAATATAAAAAAGAGAAGAAAATAAAAATCTACCCACTTTAACTGAAGAAAATTGCTATAATTTGATGCTGTTTTCTTTAAAATGTTCTATATTCATTTGATATAGATCCATATATGTTTGCAAACTTAGTTGATATGTATAGTTAATGCATTCTGCTTTTTTCACTTAACATCATGAACACTCAACCATCATTTAAAAATATGATTAAAACATCCAATGGCTTATTAATAGCTTATGTATATTTAAAACTTCATTACCATTTTTCTAATATTGTATGTCTACAAGTTTTGTCAAGTTGATTTTTACGGCCTGAGAGATAATTTCAAGTCTTTCAATGTTTCAGATTATTTTATTGTTATTCCTACAATCTTTAAAATTTATTTGAATTTTACTCTTTGATATATAGGGATACATGGCAGATCTTCTCATGTAATATAACGCTTTTCATTAAAAAATACAACTCTATCATTATCAATTTTAAAAATTTTTATTCAACCTTTTCTGATATTGAGAATATTTTACATTTTTAAAAGCGTGCTTCATCACAGCATTCTCTGATCATCATTCTAAATTGTCTCCCCTTTTAATCTCTTTTCTAATGCCCAGTTATTTTTCTTTATAAACCAATCACAATTTTAACTACAAATTTTTCTTGGTAAACTATTTCACTTTAATATTTTGTGTAAATACTAAAACAAACTAATGAAAAGCCAACTCTCTTTCTCTGACTCTTTCTAGACACAAGGTAATCAATATCTCTCTTTAGGACAGAATACACGGTACTGATAAATACAATGAGCTAGGAACTGAGTGGCTAGAGAACTTTCAGTCCCAGGTGATAGTGGGAGGTGAACAGAAATCTGTATTGTCTGAAGCTACTGGGTCTACCACTGGGCAAAGTGAAAGGTGGTAAATTATGCACAAGTAGACCATGAAATATATGCAGCAAATAAGAGTCAAATAGTCATGTTGTACAGTTCATAGAGAGTATTTTGAACCTGCTTGTTGTAATTTTTCATTTATTAGATAGCATAGTCTAAAACTATACTTGTTAGTCATATTGTACAGTTCATAGAGAGTATTTTGAACCCGCTTGTTGTAATTTTTCACTTATTAGATAGCGTAGTCTAAAACTATACTTGTTACTTTTTATTCCCACATGTTCTTTTGCTGTAAGATGCAATGAGCTCTACTGAGCTTTGGCAGCAATGAGCTCTAAAAAATGAAAGTACAAGTTTAAAAATTCAGCACCAAAATTCCATTTCTCATGAGATATCATTATTAACATGTAACATTTACAAAATGTTTTTTGACCCTCTCCTCTTAGGGCCATAGTGATACAGGGATACAAAACAGAAAGCACAAATATTAAAGAACCATTTGTTTTTACTTCAAAAGATAATCGCTTTTCATTTTAAAAGTTGAGATGAAAAATGGCAATTTAATGTGTAGTTTCAAAAAGTGTGTTTACTTACTAAAGTAAATGATACTTTATCCTGTGTAGTTTTTTATTTATATCAAAAATGATCATTTAAATATTCTTACAAGCTAATATTTCATGTTCTATTCAAAATAAAAATAAAGCTACAACTACTAATGATATAATCCATTAGCAAAAGAATTCTACAGATTTGAAGAATGCCAGATTTTTTATCAATAACACAGGTGGTTTAAATAGAAATCCAGTTAATTTCAATAGTTTTGATATTTTTATTTAAATTATACAATGTAAAGATTCAGAAATATATTTAAAGTTGAAGGTAAAACATTTAACATTATAGCGAATGCTATTGTAAATTCAGTTGAAAAGTTCAACATTAATGTTAAAATTATTTCTATCATTATATTTTGCTGAAATAATAAGAATGCAAGCTTTAATGGAACACATTGTCAAGATAAAGAGTTGTTCTGTTTGTTTTCTAAATTAAGACATTTGTATGGCTGGGATGCTATTGGAATTAGCTCTTATAATTGGTAGATACGATACACATGGAACCTATAGTTGTCAAAATTACCTCTCTCTCTCTCTCTCTGGTTATTTTTAACTGGTTAATTTGATAATCTATAAAAGAACAGAATAAATTGGGACTGCCCTATTATTTATTTTTTGGGTTTTTGTTTGTTCATTTGTTTGGAGAAACAGAGTCTTAGGATGTTGCCCAGGCGGGTCCTAAACTTCTGGCCGCTAATAATCCCTCCTGTGTTGCCTTCCAAAGTGCTGGGATTAGAGGCCTGTGCCAGGGTGCCCAGGCTTGCCCTATGATTTTACAGCTTTTTATTGACAATAGTAAAGAATCATAAAAAAGATAACTTATTTGTCTTATTTTTTAAAGAAAGTTCCTCTGAATAAAGAACAATGGAGAGTACAAATGAACTTACTTCAGATAAAATATTTACACATTTAAATAAAAAATGTAATGTTTATAGTAACCTCCATTTAACAGCATAGCCTCTGAATGTATTAGGGACTTCAGCAACTTTAGTGTATTTTTTTCAGATTAAAATATTATAATGTACATAAGTGAGTGAATTAAAAATGTTAATATTTTAAATGTATTGCCCCCAAAATTTAACTTCAACTATTATTGATTTTATTTTTAAATATTTACTTATTTTCAGATTATTTGTTATCAAAAAAGGTGGCATCTTATCAGAGACATATAATTTAAAAACTGAAAAAATAATATGAATACGTAGCATGTAGAATATTTTGCTTATGTTAATTTTTAATGTTTTGATACTCAATCTGAAGTTTATTTTAATTTTGCTTTAATGTACAAAAATGCATTTTTTAATATTTTAGAAAAAAATTATACAGTATTTGAATAGTTTTTTTTTGTTTTGTATATATAATAAAACCAATTTATTAATCTGGAAATCTAGTCTAATTCAAGCATTATATAATTTTAATTAATTTAGCATCCCTTTTATTCTCAATAGTGTCCTGGTTCAGATGACGAATTAAATAGTCCTCTTAACTACAGTTGACAAAAATAAATTCTTCAGCTTTTACTTATTTATTCCAGTTAGGTTTAATCCACAAAGTGAAGCTGATTTTTGTGGTCAGGTCCTGAGAAGGATTATTAGGCCACAAACTGATATGAATGGTTTGGCTACTGTATATAATACTTTCATTACTCTGGAGTTTAAGAGTGGGGCTTTTGAATTATTCTCATCTCATCATGTCCTAACTGATCTCATTCAAGTGAAGGAAGGCCAGTTGGCATTTTCTGACACGTTTCTACTTCACAAGTACTAGAATAAACAGGCTTCACTTTGCAAAGAGCTTTCATCAGATAGACAGTCTCCACTTTGCACAGCTGTGTGGTACCATAAAAATGAATGTGCAAACTGAAACCATGCAAAATGACCTTAAATAATTTAATAGAAAAAACTACAATTGTTCTGTCGACCTTTGAATTTTTTTTTCCAAAATTTGAGAAGCTCTTATTGTCAGTTGTAAATATATACAGAAAGGAAAAAAATTTTTCAACATTTCCAAGGTCAGATATTTTGCCTATAACAAAATTACATTCAATTCAGATTTTGCTTCTAGTATTATCACTTTGCCCCTGTTTTTTGCTGCACTTTCAACTTTATTCCATTCCTTAAAGACTTAAGAGAAGAGTCAACTATAGATCTTAAATAGTTCTTATAATCACTTCCTTGAATGTAAGGGGTGTGTCTTGTCAATTCCCTAAACTGCATTCTACTTCAAAGTAGAAAGATTCAAAGATTTTGTTAAAAATGAGAATTTCTACATCAGAGAAAAACAGACAATGTAGAAAAACCTGACAGAAGGAACCACCAGCGATGTAATATTTCATTCTGTTGAACCATGCATGCTTTCTTAGGCTAATTCTGGAAAGCCTGCCACCTCCTTGTGAGTTTCCACAAATCAAAACTTGGTAATGTAGAACTGCTGGCGGCAACTCAGTTATGGTTTAATTACAACGAATGACTAGTTTCTCTCCTGGTGACTTCAGAAGGTAAATTTGTATTCTTGGGCAGTCTGTCAATCAACTGGAGTTTTGTTGTGGCCTTCTTTTTCCTTTTTCTTCTTCCCCCAAAGAAGTAATTCAGTGAAGACTCAATGTGCTGAACTGAGCCACTCACATTTCTGGGAAAATTAAGGTCTATTATTTTACATATTTCTAGGCTTTATAAGCAGTCCCTAAAATAGAAAAAAAAAAAAGACACATAAAAAGAGCAAAAAGAGTAACATCTTCCTAGAAAACTGCCAAGAATGTAGTATCAAATTCACCTCCCTGGACTTTTTGTTCATTCTCTTTTATTTCCACAAAAGCATCCCTCCCCACATTTACTTGAAAGAAAAAACAGAAAACAATCAAAAAAAAAAAAACAGCCATGGAAATGAAGTAATTGCAGTCCTATTTAATGTCATTGCCCAGGTGAATACAAATATTATTTGAAAAAATAACTGGAAGTATATTTTCATAATCTACAAGGTTTAAATTGCTGCAGTCAATGCTTCTCCCTACTCGGCCTCATATAATCTAGCTGTACATTTTTTTTAAAAAAATATTCAGCATAACATCATTTGAAAATTGTTAGCTCATTATCATTTCTCTATTTTTTAGTTAATGCGCAACCAGATAGCTTATATTAATCTCCAATAAAATGTTTCACAATCCTTCCTAGAAGAGGTTCTCTTATCAATGGCCATATAATAAAAATACATCATTTGGCAATGCTTGTGAAATGAATAAACCAAAATTTGTAAGGGAAAATTAGTCTTGCCAGAATTCCTTAATTCAAGGAAAGACTTCACTTGAGCAGTTGTCGCTTACAGCTTGGCTCATGAATTTCTTCTCTAATTGTTAATTGTATTAGCTTAAAAGTCTGCACTACCTTTCAACTAAGAGAAACACTTTTCTGAACCCCATACTATCTTTTACCTGCTAGCTTATGTTTCTGTTCCCCGTAGTCATATTAAAGTGACACAAAAGTGTTTTCTGCAATGGTGTCCACTTTCTCACGGTCTTTCACTTTCTTCTTTGAAATGAAAAGCCCCTATTGTTTTATTTAGATAGGAAGAAAGTGGTGGGAATAGTTTAGATTTGTTTGATAAGAAACCAAAATTATCTTCTGTATGCTCTAATGCATATGGAATGTTTCTGAATATTCCATGTATGTTTGAAGAGAAATATTTATTTCCCCTTTTAAGAATACATATAAAACTATGTATAAAAACAAACAGTATATACACACATACTCATGCACACGCTTGTAGAATGTTTTATTCAGTTGTTATACCCATTATTTTTGTCTGCTCTGCTGAGTTTCTAAGGTTTAAAATCCTTCCATGTCAGAATTGGTATATTTATCCATGCTGTCTATAAATTTTTGTTCTACTTATTTTGTAACTCGGTACGTACAGAAGTTCATGACTGTCATATCACTGTTATTTTTACCATTGTGAAATATTTCCCTTTGCCTCATACAAATCATTCGCATTGAATTGTATTTTGTCTCATGATAACATTTCCTCAGCTTCTTTCTTTTGATTAATATCTGCTAGGGATACATTATTCTATCCTTTTGCATTCAATCTTTTTTATGTATTTTAATTTTAAGTGTGGCTCTCGTATAGCAATGGATTGTTTTTGGAAGTTTTTAAGACATTCAAAAAATATCTGTATTTTCACAGTAGAATTTAACTCATTTTTTATTAATCAATGCTTGTAGGTATACCCACCATTTTACTTTATGCATTCTATTTTTTGTGATTTTTTTTAAAAAAAACTATTTTCTTTTTCTTTCACTCTTTTCTGATTATATAGTAGTTATCTGTTGTTATGATTTTATATTTTTTCCTATTATTTGGAAGTTACATAGCCTTTTTCTTTTGTGCTGCTAGTAATTCGGTATTTAAAACATATAAGTAAATCTCTAGACTACATTTAGAAGCTACATAGCACTGTAGAACATCTGATATGTCTGATTTTTTTTACATTATCATAAAAATTTATTTAGTCTCAATTACGTTTATTTACACACCACTGTTTCTTTATATCAAACTCCTGTATAATTTTATTAGTTTCATAGGATTTTACTAAAAACATCCTTAAATAAAACATGTTAAAGGGGCTCATGAGTGCTAAACTTTCTGAGGTTCTCTTTCTCCAAAATATGTCCATTATTCTCCAACTCTTGAATGCTAATTTAAAAACTCTAAATTCAAAATTGTTTTATGACAGTTGAAGATTTAGTTTGCTAATGCCAACTTTTATTTTCTTCTTGGTAACTATTTTTAAAATAGACTATTCTAGAACAGTCTTAGATAAAAAAATGCAAAGATAATACAGAGTTCAAAACAGCTCCAGTTCCTCCATTATTAACACATTACCCTAATATGATTAATGACCTAATATTTATACATTATTTTTAACTAACGTCTATATTGTATTCAGATTTTTTTCCATTTTTACCTAATGTTCTCATTGCATTCCAAGGTCTCATATATATTCTACTAGTTGTCATGTCTCCCTACGTTCTCCTTGGCTGTGATGATTTCCCAGATTTTCCTTGTTTGTGATGAGCTTGACAGCTTCAAGGAGGTGTAGTCAGGTGTTTTCTAGGATGTCCTTTAACATTTCTCTGATATTTTTTTCATGGTTAAGGAGGAAGACCTCAATAGTAAAGTGCCATTTTCATCACATCATAGCAAAAAGATATACTATCAACATGATTTGCCATTGTTGATGTTGACGTTCAACAACTGACTGAATTACTGTTTGTCAGATTTCTCTACTGTAAATTTACCATTACATTTCCTCCATTTTTACTGTACTCTTTAGAAAGCTATTATGTGCAGCCCACTGTTAGGAAGTAGAGAGTTTTTCTCCACCTTCTCGAAGATAGGTAGAGTATCTATATTTCCTTATTTAAAATTTTTCTGGGTAGGAGAGTTGTCTCCTTACTCTCGCTTGTTTATTTATTCAATTATTTATTTATATAAGTATGTATTCCTGGATATTTATTTTATACTTTGAATTAAAATCAAAAATTTATTTACTCATTTTATTGCTCAAGTTTCTCCAATATTGGCCATTGGGAGCGCTTTCAGCTAGTACCTGTGTTCTCTTGAAGCTACATAGCACACTGGAACATCTTGGAATGCAAAATTGGACAGCCATTAAAAAAATAGTTTGGAAATTTTTTACAAACTAAATCGCCTCATTAGAAGACAGTTTGGCAATTTACAAACCTAAAACATAGTCCTACTATACAATCCAGCAATCACACCACTGCTTTTTTTTTGCATTCCAAAAAAATAGTCTCTATTTTTGAGTGCTTTCTTACTTTCTGGTGCTACAGGATGTTCCAGATTCATCTTCCATATTTCCTGCCTTAGTTGCAGAACTATTTCTTCAAGGAAAATTGGTTCTTTTTTATTGGGAATTGGTATTAGAAACCAAGGTCTGTGTGATAGATATGCTTGTTATTCCTGGGATGTGGTTGCTTCTAGGTCTTCTTAGCTGACAGAGCAAGGAAACATATGTGTGTGGACTAACCCATGTGTATACATATATCTATACATATTTCTATACGTAATTATTTGTATCTGTATTAAGCTAAACATGAGTTCATGCCAATATCTCCAACTCAAATATATGACCACATGGATTATTCTAGGTTCCTCTAGTTATGTGTAAACTCACTCTTTAACAGTAAGAAACCTGGCTCTCATCATGTATTTACTTAATTGTTTAATTCTAACTATGTATATACCAATATCGTAATGATTACCCCTGATGCTGATGGGAACTTATTTTGTCTACCAGAGTACATTGCTGAGATACATTTTTTAAAATTTTAACCTTACAAACTCCACACATTTTTAAGGTTTATTACATAAGCAACTTTCTCCCATTGCCTTCAACAAGGTTTTCATACATTTATATTTTAGTTATTTTATTACATTCTGCATTCTGTGCTGGGATCCTCCAACCTCCATTTTAAAATTTGCATGCATTTAAGTTCACCCTTAGTGCTGTAAAGTTCTATAGATTTTGACAAATGCAGAGTGTATCAAGTATCCACTTTTGCAGTGTCACGTTTATAATAGTTTCAATTCCCTAAAATTACCCTGGTGCTTCCTCTATCCAAGCCTACTCCTAAACCAAGAGGAACCACTGATCTTTATACAGTTGCTGTAGTTTTGCTTTTTCCAAAAGGTCATGTATAATATGAATCAGATAGTATGTGGCTTTCTCAGATTGTTGTTTTTTTCACTTTGAAATATGTGTTTAAGATCTATCCCTTTTTATGGCTTGATAGCTCCATTATGTTTATCACTGAATAATAGTTCATTATATTGATGTGCTATACTTTGCTCATCCATTCACCTATGGAAGGACAACTCGATTGCTTCCAGGTTTTGATGATTAGGAATAAAGCCACTATTAACATTCATGTGTAAGTTTTGCATGGACATAAGTTTCAGTTGAGTAAATATCTAGTGATGTGATTGCTGGATTGTATGGTAAGACTATATTTTAGATTTGTAAGTTGCCAAACTGTCTTCTAATGAGATGATTTAGTTCTGGCAACAAGAAATTGCCAAACTATTTTTTAAATGGCTGTCCAATTTTGCATTCCACCATTAAGGAATGAGAATTTCTGTTGCTCTGCATCATTGTTAGCAGTTTACATTGTCACTTTTTGGACTTTAGCCCTTCTAATAAGTACATAGGGGTATCTTATGATTGTTTGTAATTTGCCATTACCTCATCACAAGTGAAGTTGAGCATCTTTTTATATGTTTATTTGCTACTTGTATAACTCCTTTCATGTGATGTTTATTCAGACAATTGGTCCATTTTCTTTCAGATTCAGGGGGTACATGTGCATGTTTGTTACATAGGTATATTGCATGCTGATGGGGATTCAACTTCTAGTTTACTCATTATCCAAATAGTTAACATTGCACCCAATAGGTAATTTTTCAGCTCTTGTCACTCTCCTAATCTCCTCCCTTTTGGAGTCCTCATTGTCTATTATTTCTATCTTTTTGGCACTGTGTACCCATTGTTTAGTTCCCACATAAGTAAGAATATATGGTATTTGGTTTTCTGGTTCTGAGTTCGTTCACTTAGGATAATGACCTTCAGCTTTATCCATGTTGCTGCAAAAGACATGAATTCCTTCTTTTTGGGGCCACACAGTATTCCATGGTGTATATATACCACATTTTATTTATCCAGTCAACCATTAATGGACACTTTTGTTGGGTCGATGACTTGCTATTGTGAGTAGCATAGCAGTGAACATACAAGTGCAGGTGTATCTTTTAAATAATGATTTATCTTCCTTTGGGTAGATATCCAGTAGTGAGACTGCTAGGCCAAATGATAGTTCTATTTTTAGTTATTTGAGAAATCTCCATATTGTTTTCCACCGAGGTTGAACTAATAAACATTCCCACCAATAATGTGTAAGTGTTCCCTTTCTCCACATCCATACCAACATCTTGACTTTTTAGCAGTGGCCATTTTGACCGGTATAAGATGATATCTTATTGTGGTTTTAATTTGTATTTCTCTGATAATCAGTGACGTTGAGCATTTTGTCCTAAGTAAAAAGAAAAAATCTACAGGCATCACGTTGCCTGACTTCAAATATGCTATAAGGCTATAGTAACTAAATCTGCATGGTACTGGTACAAAAAGAGAGATAGATTAGTGGAAGAGAATAGATAATGCAAAAATAAAGCTACATACTTATAACCAACTGATCTTCCACAAAGTTGACAAAAATAAACAATGAGGAGAGGATGTTCTATTCAATAAATGGTGCTGGGAAAATTGGCAAGCCATATATAGAAGAATAAAACTGCACCCCTATCTCTCACCATACACAAAAATTAACTCCAACTCTCGATAATCTCCAACTCTAGTATATTACCACATGGATCATTCTAGCTTCCTCTCATTATTTGTAAAGATGAATTAAAGACTTAAATGTAAGACCCAAAGTTCTAAGAATCTTAGAAGAAAATCTAGAAAACACTCTTCTGGACATTGGCCTAGGCAAATAATTTATGATGAAGACTCTGATATGCTTTGGATCTGTGTCCCCACCAAATCTCATGTTGAAATGTAATCCCCAGTATTGGAGGTTGGGCCTGGTGGGAGGTGTTTGGATAATGGGAGCAAATCCCTCATGGCTTGCTGCTGTCCTTGCAATAGTGAGTTTTCACCAGATCTTGTTTAAAAGTATGTGGCACCTCCCCAGACTCTCTTGCTCCCACTCTTGGCATGTGAGATGCCTGCTCCCCCTTTGCCTTCTGCCATGATTATAGGCTTCCTGAGGCTCACCAGAAGCTGACGCTGATATTTTGCTTCCCATACAGGTTGGAGAACTGTTAGCTAATGAAACTGCTTTTCTCATAAATTATCGAGTCTCAGAATATTTCTTTATAGCAACACAAGAAGGCCTAATACCAACTCCAAAAGCAAATGCAATAAAAACAAAAATAGACAAATGGAACTTAATTAAACTAAAAAGCTTCTGCACAGCAACAGAAATAACCAGCAGAATAAACAGACAACCTACAGAATGGGACAATATACTTGCAAATTAAACCTCTGACAAAGGATTAATATCTGGAATCTGCAAGGAACTTAAATAATTCAACAAGAAAAAAATAACCCCATTAAAAGCTGGGCAAAAGATATGAACATACATTTCTCAAAAGAAATACAAGTGGTCCATTGTTTCTTTATGTATGAACTTTTAAGAACTCTTTCTATATTTCACATACAAGTCATTTATCATATATGTGTTTTAGAAATATTTCTCCCAGTCTGTAATTTGTTTTTTATAATTCCCTTAACAGTGTCATTTGCAAAGCAAAGCAAAAGTTTTTAAATTTTTTTTTGTTTTATTTTGTTCTTTGGTGCTCTACAGGTTGAGCATACCTAATCAGAAAACTCAAAATTCAAAATGCTCAAAAATCTGAAATTGTGAATGCTGACATGACAAGTGGAAAATTCCACACATAAGTACTTAACACAAACTTAGTTTTATACATTAAATCATTTAAAAGATTGCACAAAATTACTTTCAGGCTATGTGTATATGGTGTATATGAAACATAAATAAATGTGTGTTTAGACGTGGCTCCCATTCCCAAGATATCTCATTATGAATATGTAAATATTTCAAAGTCTGAAAAATGTGAAATCTGAAACACTTCTGGTTTCATGCATTTTAGATACATGTATTTAAAAATAATTTTTGTCCGAAATAACTTGTGTCTTGTGTCTTGTATCTAAAACAACTTATATCTAAAAACAACTTGTATCTAAAAACTAATTACCAAAGTAAAGTCATGTAGTTGTCTTCTATAATTTTTTCTGGATGTTTTGTCATTTTGTGCTGTACATTTAGGTCTATGATTCATTTTGAGATTTTTTAAGATATAATGTCTGTGTGCAGATTAAGTTTTTAACATAAGGATGTCAATTTTTCTATCATCGTTTGTTGAAAATATTATCCTTTTCCATTGAACTTTCCTTTACCAGTTTTCAAAGATTTGTTGATTATATATATTTGTGACTATTTCTGTATATTCTGTTCCATCGATCTACATGACCATCTTATTGACAAAATCACTTCCTTGCTGTAGCTTTATAGTAAGTTTTGAAATAGAGGAATAAGTTTTTCATTTTGTTTTTCTTCAGTTTGTCTATTATTAGTCCTTTGCCTTCCCATCTAAATATTAGAATTAGTTTGTCAATGTGTACAAAATAGCTTCCTGGGATTTGGGTTGGAATTACATTTACACTATTGACCAAATTTGGAAGAATTTACATCTTAACAATATTGACCCTCCCAATCCATGAATATATCGCCATTATTTAGATTTCATTTTATTTCTCTTATCAGAGTTTTGGACTTTTTGCATATAAATCCTGTACATGCATTGTTAGATTTAGAGTTAAGTGCTTTATTTGGTGGTACAATTGTGAAGAGTATTGAGTTTTAATTCCAGTTTTAATTGTTTAACACTGATATCTAGGAAATCCACTTGTTTTTGGATGTTTTCTTTTGATCCTAAATTTGTGGGAATAGGATTGTTCATAGTAACCCTTTATTATCCTCTTAATGTTCATGAGACCAGTAGTGCTGACTACTCTTTCACTTCCAGTATTTGTAATTTATGTCACTTCTCTTTTATTCCTATTTAGCTTGGCTGGAAGCTGATTACTGTTATTGACTTTTCCAAAGGATCAGCTTCAAGTTTTCTTGATTTTCTTTTCTTTATTCCTGTATTCGGTTTCATTAATTTCTGTTGTAATTCTTATTTACTTTAGAATTAACTTCTCTGTTTACTTTAGAATTAACTTTCTCTTCTCTGCTTTCCTAAGAATTAAGCTTATATTATTGATTTTAAATATTTCCTCTTTTGTAATATAAGTATTTTATGCTATAAATTTTTCTCAAAGCACTGCTTTGGCTGCATCCCACAAATTTTGATACATTGTATTTTTATTTGATTAAAAATATTTTAAAATATTCTATTGAAACTCATTCTTGGACCCATATGTTATGCATATTATTTAATTTCCAAATATTTGGAAATTTTTTAATCTTTTCAGCTATCTTTCTGTCATTGGTATTATTACCACATTAAAGAATGAGTATCTTTTTAAAAAATAGATCAATTAATAAAAGAAAAATTAGAGCTTTCACTTTATCTTTTCACTAATGCTCTTCTTTTCTTTATATAGATTTCAATTTGTGGCCAATGTTACTTCTTTTAAAAATTTTGCAGGATGGGTCAACTAGCAATGAATTCCTTAAGTTTTTGTTTGTCTGAGATCATCTTTATTTTATCCTCACTTTGAAGGATAATTTCATAGAATAGAATAGAATACTGAATAGAATAATAGATTTATAAAATTTTTCTTCCAACATTTTAAATATTCCACTCCATTCTCTTCTTGTTTGCATGGTTTCTAGTGAGAAGTCTGCTGTAATTCTTATTCTTGTTTTTCTATAGGTAGATTTATTTTCATTTGTCTTATTTCAAGATTTGTAATGTGTTATTGTTTTCTATACTTTAAATATTAAAAAATCTAAATACCATTTTTTTTGTATTCCTCTTGATTGATGTTCTTTGGTCTTCTTGTATTTTTAGGTTGGTGTCTGTTATTAATTTTTGAAAATTGTCAGCTATCACTACTTCAAATATTCATGGTATATTTCTATTTCTGCTTCTGGTATTCCAATTATCTGTATTACAGTTTTTGAAATTGTCTTATGTCTTACAGTTATTGGATGATCTGTCACTTTTTTTTGTTTGTTTGTTTTACTGTTTACAATTCAGTTTGGGAAGTTGCTATTGACTTAATTTCTGGGTCTTTTCTTGGCTGTGTCCAGTCTACTAATAAGCCTTTCAAGGGCATTCTTAACTTTTTAAAATAATATTTTGGTGTTTTATTGATAGCATTTCATTTTGATTTTTTCTTAAGAGTTTCCATCCCTCTGCTTATATTACCCATCTATCATTGCACATGGTCTACCTTTTCCACTGGAGCCCTTAACATGTGAATCACGGCTATTTAAAATTATCTGTCTAATAATTCCACTTTGGTGTTATATTTTAGTTTTAATTATTCTTTTATTTCTTCAGAATTCTTTTTTTTGTCTTTCAGCATGCCTTGTAATTTTTTGGTAATAGCTGGGCAAAATGTTTTGGATGTTAGGAACTGAAATAAATGGGTCTTCAGTGTGAGGATTTATGTTAATCTGACTATGAGCAGGGCTGTGTTTGTATATTACATATCTAGATGCTAAAGTCTTTAAAGTTCTTTAGAATTCTTTTTTTTTTTTTTCTCACCTCTCCTAATTTTGGGCTTTTCCAAGAGCTCTTTTTCAGATAGGGTCCGCATCTTGCAGCTCTTTTAGCTGTAATCTACTGTTATTATACTGGAGTCCTGTTGGTATGATGATAAGGTATATGGAAGAGGTAGCATTCTATAATTGTATAACTACATCTCAATCTTTTGTGGGTTTGTATCCCTGGTTGTGAATTTCACAAGAGTTTCTTAGCTTTGTTCTCACCCTTATGTGAGACAGGCGGACTAGAAAGGGCTAACAGGTGAGAAGCCTGAGAAATTCTTTTCTTTACAGGTAGGATAAGGATTTGGTAAAGTAATTTCCCCTAGAGAGTAGATATTTGTAGTGGAGCAAGCTCTGGCTGTATTTCTCAATGGTTATTCTCTTTTTTTCCCACTGCTAGAGCCAAGAGCATACTTTTCTTGGATCTTGAACATGAGAACCTGGTGAGTCTCCTGGGAGTAAAACACAAAAGTGTGGGGGCCTCCTTAAGACCCTAGTACCTATGAGTTTTCACTCTCAAGCTAGTCCACACACAGCTTCAGCAATTTGTCCAAGTTAATGGCTCCAGTGCCTTCTGCTCCATGTAAGAACATCTCAGCATGACTCTTTAGATCTGCCTGTCTATCCATGCTTCTGGATGGAAGTTTGTTCTATGACATTAGTTCTCTTATGGGTCTGAGAAAAGTTATTGATTTTTTAATTTGCTCATCTTTACTGTTGTTGTAACAATGGGAGTTATGACTTCTGAACTCTGTACATGTTAGAGCTAAAACCAAAAGCTCCTTCATAGATTTTTAGTTCAGTTTCAGAAATTGGCTTACTTGTGACTTTTTTGTTTGGTTGCTTAATTTTGTTGTTGTTGTGGTTTGGTTCAGTTTGCTTTTATTTCACTTTTAAAAAAATTAAATGTGAATTCACCAACCTAGTCAATACCATTAAGTGTTTTCACTTAGTAAGATAGAGCCAGTGAGCTAATAGTATTTGGCCCCTATTCCCTTCACTTGATCTTAGGAAGAAATATATCACTTAGAGTTGACATTATGCCCCTCTACTTAACTCCTTTACCCTAGTAAGAACCTCAAATAAAAGGAATAAGTGAAATGCTTGCCTTTCCTTGAAAGAACAAATAAACAATGGTGTCTATTAAAGCTTTCAGTCCTGAGTCACACTGGGGCTACTTTCATTAGTACTAGATCCAACTTACTGAGAGTTCCAACCATTTCTTAGGGGGAAAAAATTGATTATTTGAAGTCAAGCCATGATCTATATTGAATAACATCTATTTCTAATAAATAACTAATTAGATAATAAAAGTCTTCACAAAGTGGTGTAAGGGCTGTTAAAGGATGGGACCAAAAATGCAAGGGAGCTTGACCTATATATATTTAGGTTGAGAGAGAGATATTTTCAATATTTCATGTGGTGATGGTTAATTTTATATGTCAACTTAAGTAGGCTAGGGGATATCCAGAAAGCAGGTAAAACATTATTTCTAGGGGTGTCTGTGAGGGTGTTTTTGGAAGAGTTTAGCATTTGAATAGGTAGACAGTAAAGATCATCCTCACCAGTGCAAGTGAACATCATCCAATTTCTTTGGGGCCTCAATAGAACAAGAAGGTGGAGGAAGAGTAAACTCACTCACTCTGCTTGAGCTGGGCCATCCATCTATCCGCTCCTGACCTAGGACATTTGTGTTCCTGGTTCTCAGGCCTTGGGGCTTGGACTGAAACGACACCACCAGCCTTCTTGGGCCTCCAGCTTGCAAAAAGTTAATCACAGGATTTCTGAGCTTCCATAACTGTGTGAGCCAATCTTCATAATAAGTATCTTTCTACACACACACACATACAGACACAGACACACACACACACACACACACACACACAATTTGTTTTATTACTCAGGAGAACCCTGATAAATACAAGTGCCATGATAATTTTCCATTTTGCTTCTGCTTTAAATAAATAGATCTCCAGAGCTTAAAATAACTAAATTATCTTTATCTATGCATGTGGACTAAAGAGAAATAAAATGAAATGACTATAAATGTTCAAAGCTGGCCACGAAGGCATTCTTCAATAGCCCAAAAGCTTACATAGTTAATAATTGGTAGAGAAAATAGTCTTGAACTGGATCTATCCAAAGCCACCCATGTACTTTTCACTAGAATGCTCTGCTTCCCATTTACTTTTGACTTTTGAGCCAAGTAAAAAGTGAATAATAAAATGCACTTAAATAAATAAATATCCACACAAACACACACACAAAAGCTAGTTATTTAATTTTTGGTGGTATCTTAGTATGTCTTATATTCACCTACAATAAATATTCAGAAAAATACTACCCACATATGCTTCAAAAGGTTTTACAGGATGTACTAAAATGCATACTGGGGTAAAAGTAAATATAAATTTTTCTTCATTGATAAATTGAGCTCATTCTCTCCCAGTATCTATGAATAACATTTTTTCATTTATTTTTTCAGCAGCAAAACTTATAAAGAAGATGTCTACCTTGTTATCTTAGAATCACAATTTCTAATATACTTAACTGTTACATAAAAACACATTAAGTCTTTGATTATTTCCAGAGGTGTAACAATTTCTTTCAGATTTACCATTTATCTGGGCTCTGTCATTTGAAAAGGAAAAAGATAAATGAGTAAAAGTAAAATAGATTAGGAAGAGTAGGTAAAAGAAGGAGTCTGTCCTCTTCTTATTCACAAGCATGTTCACTGTAGATATTTAGTTTGAATGGTAATTATTAAACCATGATTTCTTAGTCTCTTATCAAGAAATCTATGTATCTGATTGTAAGATCCCAATAACTTCTTTGCAAAACTGTGACAATAATGTTATTTTTATTTTATAGAAGAAACCACTTTTGTTGATTGCATGTTATCTATAATCGTAAACTCAGTATAAGACCTTCTAACCTGAAGTACAGTGTTTTTGAACTCTGAGATCTCTTGTTCCAGGCTCTCTAAAGAGGTAGTGTCTACTGCCTATGTTCCTGTCAACAGGTTCCTCCCTGTTAAGTAAGCCCAAGTAGAGCGGATATTGTTGGTTGCATACCCAGAATTAGAACTCTCCTTCCCATATCTACTATCAAGATTATCATTCAGGTTGTACAACTTCCAAACTCCACTCATAAGCTTCAGGGAAGATGATACTATCTTCATTTCCAGCTGTGCATCTGATTGACTTTATTCAATTGCCTCCTGCCATTCACCTGGATGTAGTCATTGCTTTAGTGTCAAGTTAATAGCAAGGTTCTATTTTAATATGCTGGTAATGAAACAGAAAACACGTAAGTTGAATTGCTACTGGTAACTTTTCTAACCACAAGGGTAGTCCCTTTAACATGAAGTTGCCTGCAGAAAAGGATAGCATTGAAAAGGTCGAAAACTGGTCCTTCATTACGTTCTGTAACTATTGAATCAGATAACACTAAATCGACTTTAACTGAATTGGTGCTTGAGCCAGTAATTTCCTTTAATTGTTAAGGCAGTGTATTAGTCCAGGTTTTCCAGAGTGACAGAACCAATAAAAGATCTATCTCTTTATCTGTCTATTGAGAGATTACAATGAATTGGCTCATGCAGTTATGGAGGCTAAGAAGTCCCCAAACTTGCAAGCTGGAGTCCCAGGAGAGCTGACGGTATAGGTCCATTCTGAATCCGAAGGCCTGAGAATGAGGAGAGCAGAGGGTGTTAGTTCCAGTCTGAGACTGAATTCAAGGCAGAGGAAACCCTCAGGAAGTGAGAATGAATTCATTAAGTTCTATTCAAGCCTTCAATGGATTGAATGAGTCCCACCAACATTGGGCAGGCAATCTGCTGTACCCAATCTACCTATTCAAACATTAATCTCTTCCAGAAACACCCTTTTAGACACACAGAGAATAAAGTTTAAATAAATATCTGGGCACCCTGTGGCCCAGTCAAATTGAAACATAAAATTAACCATCACAGCCACATTAAGCAGAATCTTCATTACTTGCAGCATAAAACATTTTAACCAATATGCAAGTTTTTTCATCTCTGAAGGATGTAGCATTTCTTAACTGTTTGATGATTTAAAGCCAGCATTTTTCACCATTTATATTACTTATCATTAATTACATCTTATATATGTGATCACCATAAAATTTCCTCCTACACTTTATAGCCAATAATTATTAGAAGAGTTTAATAAGCATGAAAATAATTCTGTAAGACTATCAAGAAAGAAACAGGAAGAAAAGTGAGCCAAATTTTTCAGACAACCCTAGGAAAACACATGAATACAGGCCCAATGGGAAAACTCAAGATCAAGTTATTGCTTTTTTTCTTTCTTCATTTCTTTGTGTGTATGTTTCTGTGCATGCACATGCAGACACCAGTGTATAAGTCAATCACGCTGAAAAGCTAAATAATTTCAAAGGCCAGGAATCACCTCAGCTGGTATTTTGTATATCCAGTACTCTGTATGCATTTTCCAACACTGTGATTAGGTGTAAGTTTTATATTACAGGAATTGGGGTTATCTATATGATATTATAATCACAATCCATTGCAAGCTTTTCATCTATAATTCTTTACAGCTTAGCTTATATTTCACTTTTTCAAATTCCAATTAATTGAATAGATTTAAAACTATGCACTAACATATGGCAAAATTCCTGAGAATAAATGGAAGCTCTTGAACTCTATTTCTACTTTATGAAAGACTAAGCCAAGTTCTATCAAGGCCTCAAATACAGAAATGGTTAGATTCAAAGGATAGTTTACCAACTTATTAAAATATGACTATTTCAGCTAGTTAGATAGTTATGAGATTTTGTTCAGACAACAAGCATATTTTTTCTTTTCTTTTTTCTTTTTTTTTGTATTAGGTTACAGCAGCTATAGGCAGGCCCTCCCTATCAGTAAATAGAACAAAAGCGCAGTTAGAAATGTGATTTCAACAGCTTTGAAAAGTAACTCACCCCAAAATGACTTATTAGCCCATTAACACTTAAAAGTGGAATCGTTTTCAGATTAACAAGCTTCCACAAGCACAGAATGGATGAAGTCACAAATGCACCTGTTCTAATACCAAATTTTCTTTCTTATTGCAAAAGTGATACACTTTCATTTGAGGACGTTTAGGGAATATACAATAATTAAAGAAAAAAATAGAAGTCACCCACAAGCTCACTAGCTAAACATCACTACTCTTAACATTTGGTTGAATATACTTGCTTTTTGTTGATTTATATATGTGTAAAAATATATGATGTTTAAAACTTAATGTTATCCCTTAGAGGTGCAGATATTTAATTTTATTTCTTTATAGCTGGGTTTGTTCACCACTCTTTCTTTTCGCATTTGTAGTGGAAAATAAATTTAAGTTTTTCATTTTAAGCTGATTGAAATACTTCTCATTAGCTGAATCATTTCTGCATTAGCTCACTCATTTTTTCAAAGTTTCAACCCCTCCCTCTTTCCATTTTCTTTCTCTTCATGGTGTAATGGCATGGTGGAAAGGTCTTCAGCTTGCACACAACCTCAGCTGGTTAGCTGAGAGATCACACAGACAATTGTGTTTGGATGTGAATATCTGTTCCTGATGCATCTGCTCTTGACCTTCTTTTGTCATAGGCAACACATGGTAGTTTCTTCTGCAAAGCTCCCTGCTGTCCAGTTGCTAGTTAACACCTTGGCCTATATTTCAACTTGCATTCACCTCCCAGTTTAAGCATATACATTCCTCCTTACCCACCACCTCAATGGGTTCTGAGAAGGCTCAGAAACACACACAATCTCTAAAGGCCTGTCCTGAGGACACTGAGACAGCACACTTAGACAGCTGTGCCTAAGAAGGCATTCAGTTTGGTAATGTACTCCCTCCTTCTCTGACTCATACTCCTTTTTCCCTTTCTTCTGCTTTCCTGGGATTGCTCTCACTAAATAAATGTTAGCACATAGGCTTCTGCCTCCAGATCTGTTTTCTTGAGAACATGTGCTAAGACAGGGTGCATTTATTTTGTGTGTGGGGGTGAGACTAATCCCACATTTTCTTTTTTAAGTACATCATGTTGTTTTGGATGATAGACTTACCCTTCTAAAATATTTTGCATATGTTAATGTCAAGTTGATTTTTATTACACTGCACTCATATTACCTACACAAAATAAACACTTCATTCCTTTTTCTTGTATTAATACTTTTTGTGTGCCTGTCAAAGGAAATGGGGACATAAGGTGCATTGACTTTAAATGGTTTATTTTAAATATATAAAAGCATGGAGTAAGAACAAATTTTCATCTGCCAAACCACTTGGCTAAGTTTACTATAAAATATTGGTAGCAGTGCACATGGCTCTGATTGAGTAATAATAGACCATTCGTCAAGAATGAACATTTTCTCTAAACTAGTATTTCAATATACAACTTGGTCTTCCCTGTTTGCTTAGGCTATCATCTTCTTCAAGTTATTTTTCTAATGATTCCTATTTAAATTATGTCTTTTGTCTTATTTTATTTTATAGCACTTATCACCAATTGATATACTACAAAGTTTATCTATTATTGTTATTTCAATTCACTAATGTATAAGATCTATCAGGGCAGAAATTATTTTCTGTTTTTTTACTGCTGTCTTCTCAATTCCTAGAACAGTACAACTGAAATATAGTAGGTACCTATGCATATTTGATAAATGAATGCATTCTGATTTAGAAAAGATTCTTATTTGCTTATTTAGATATTCTAAGTAATGTCTTAAATATATACAACATCTCAAAAATTACAAAGGGACTTTATATCACTTTGTTTATCCCTAATAAGAATCTTATCAGGTAGGAAAAGCAGCTTTTTTTGTGCCCTTTTTACAGATAAAGAATCTACAACTTTCGGAGGTCATGTGTCTTCTCCAAGTTAATCGTCTTAGATATGAGAATAACCATCACCTTTCTTGCTTTTTTTGAACTTCAAGGCTATTATTATGTGTTTAAGAATAAGTGATGTCTGATTATAATATCACAGCAGCCAGTCCCTTTTATCGTGGCTGCATACCTGACATATATTGAGACCACAGTCACTGAAACTATGCAAATTGATAAATTTCCTCTGACACTAAAACAGCTTGGCACGTATGTATTCTCATATCCAACTGTTGATCTACCTTCTCTATGGGCTGAAAGTTAAGGAACGAATGAAGTGGGATCAGTGTTGAGTGCATTTGTTAATATAACACACACATATGAGCATGTATATGCACAGAGGCTATGCCATTAGGTAGTATTTTAAAGGAAACAGATCACTAAATAATTTACTCCTATGATTCTCCAGTTGATTTCCATTAAAGTCTGCTGATAATCCTAGCATTTCATCATCCTAAATCTAATTTTCCTTTTTGCCTCAACTTATCACCTGTGTATTACACTGAAAAAACCTTTTCAATTTTGTGTGATTCAAGAACCAATCTCCTGACCCACTACTCTTGCCAATCAAATTAGTTAAAACTAACTAGTATGGAAACAAATGTGATCATCTAAGGAGATTTTTATCTCTTGCCTTTATTGGAAAACAAAGACTATGGTATGAACTACTTAGGTTATGTATGGATTGCTTTAGTCAGTAGCAAAATAGTAACTCCTCCCCATTTTAAAGCTATTTAAAAGCCAATAGTGGTTTCCAATTATTCACCAAATATGTATATCTCATGTATTAACCAGTGACAATACAAAATGACAAAAGAATAATGGAATTTCTCATTCAACTCAACTGTATTATATGCCATGCAAAGACGTGCTACTCACACTGAAACAGACAATGAATACACATTGTGTGACACACAAGGCTTAAAAATAGAGATGTGTGGGTAGCAAAGTATCTGCTGTGACAAAGTTCTGATTTACTAATTATCTGCAACACATTTTGGATCCCATAAATGCTACCCCAATCTTTTTACAATTCACCAGAGGGTGATTTTGGCAGGTTGTCAGCAGGCAAATAGGGAAATGAGTTGGGAAACATTAATAAAGGTTGAAAACAACAGCTTTTCATGCTTTGGGCTCATCATTCAAATATAACCAAAAAAAATCATGAGATGAGGAACAGGAACAATAGGCTGAAAAGAAGAGAAAGAAGGAAGCAAGTGTTTAATGAAAGTAAAGTTACATTTGTGAAGTTCTTGTCAAATGTTTCTTGTAGTGTTTTTCTTGAAGTTGTCTTATTTTTTTTTTAGAAAATCAATAAAATTTTACTCCATGATAGTAAAATAATTTGTTCCTAAATATAGCAAAATCTTCATCCATTTTAACATCTAAAGCAACAACTTATTATCAAGGTTCCAAAAAGAGGAACAAAATTATAACAGCTATAAAGATATTTAAAAAAATAAAACCAGAGCATCGATATAGAGAATAGGCTTTCTATGATTAAAACAAGATGGAATTCCTAACAGTACATATTTTCTTTCATTTCCTAATGTGTATTTCTGGAATTTTTACTGCATTTATATGCAAAATATGTGTATGCTGGGTTCAGTACATTAGACTACATATTGACTGAATGAAACCCCTACTTTATAAGGAAGTGTGAATATTAGGAATAAGTGGAGCTTATACTGTGTGTTTAGCTTAGAAGTGTATGTCAGTCATGTGTGATGGAAAGAAAAAAACCTAGAGTAAAACAACTGAGTTTCAACTTTTATCTCTTCTATTTACCAGTTCTGTACCCTCGGGCAAGCTTTTAACTTCTAGGAACCTCAGACTTGCTGTTCGTGAAATAGGCACCTCCTTTAGAAAGTTGTTAACCTGAAATAAATATGGATGTGACAGCGCCCAGCACAACTGAAGAACACACATCATAGTTTGTTAAGTAAAATTTAAAAATGGAAACATAATGTTATGAAGTATAAAATGATATTTCTGTTTCAAGAAATCAATGATAGCGCATTCAAATATTCCATATATTGAAATAAAACTTTTTATCCTCCATAACAAAAAATGAAAATAATGGGTTTATTGTGTGTTTTTTGTTTTGTTTTGTTTTTATATGGAGTCTCACTCTGTCATTCAGGCTGGAGTGCAGTGGTGTGATCTCGGTTCACTGTAACCTCCACCTCCCGGGTTCAAGTGATTCTCCTACCTTAGCTTCCCAAGTAGCTGGGATTACAGGTGCGTGCCACAACATCCAGCTAATTTTTTGTACTTTTAGTAGAGATGGGGTTTCACCATGTTGGCCAGGCCGGTCTTGAACTCCTGACCTCAAGTGATCCATCCACCTCGGCCTCCCAAAGTGCTGGGATTACCAGCGTGAAAATAATGTTTTAACTGACCTATAGTCATAAGATTTGTGTAATTAAAAATATAGAAAGAATAATACAATAAACTCCTGTTTAATGCTATTGTTATATATAGTTTAAATATAATTTTATATGAAATATTATGAGCTTGAAGCTTTCTTTCTAGCCCATCCCTAGTCTTATTTATTTCCTCCATTCCAGTAATTAACTAGAATTTCATCCATCTTATTTTTAGCATTCTTACATACATGTGCATCTGTTGAAGGTAAATTATTTCAAGTATTATTCTGAGACTAACATTTTTGGCATTCAACATTCTGTATTTGTGATCTTTCTATACACACCTAGACCTAGTTTATTATTTTAAACAGCTAAATAATATTTTGCCACATAAACATAGAATGTTTTATTTCTTTCTACTGATGGGCACTGAAGTTCATTTAAATTTTGCTTTAAACAACATTTTATTGAGGATCTTTATACATACTTTCTTATGCACATGTACAATAATAATATTAGATTGTTTACCCAGGAGCTCAATTGCTCCTGGGGAGTTATCAGGTTTTAAAACTAATAGATATCTTAGAGATCATATGATATTATACACTCATTTCATTGAGACACAGTTAAACCAATTACAGCAGTGGCAAAGCTAAAAGTAGACTCCAAGCCTTCTTAATCTTATTTCTGTGCATTTGTGTCAATACTCTATCCACCTATGCTTTTTGCTATACAGATGCTTGTATATTTATTCCCAATACAACCCAAGAAAGTGCTCCCTTACTACTTAATCAAAGCATCCTATAAAGTTGTTGACTAGGCATTTACATGAGGTTGCAAGAACACTGGATTGGGAATCGGGAAGCCTTCAGCTTTACTCTATACTGTGCTATTAACTCCCTGTGGTCACTGTAGAACACATGTAACTTCTATGTCTCAACCTCGGCCCTTAGACCTTTCTTTGGAGCTACAAAGAAAGAAATCACTCACTTGGTATTTCTGCTTGACTCTGTCCTGGGCATCTCAATTTTAACACATACAGAGCCGAACTCACTCTATGAGTCCTCCTCCATTCTATCCTTTCCCTACTCTGTTCCTCCTCTAGCTTCTCAATAAATAATAATTTTTTAAAAACCCCAATAGCTCAAAACAAAAACCTGAGAGAAATTCTTTACTACACATGCTCTCTGCCTCCCAATATTAAATATTTGCTCATTATCAATAATCTACTAAAACCCACCTAATCCAAGCCTGATTTCCTGCTCCATTGCTGTCACTGTTTCCCTCCATATCATGACTTACATAGTAGTTAGAATTTATTTAAAAGATACATTGGATAAGGTCACCACTTGCTTAAAACCCATTCATGTCTCCTAACTAAAGGAATTGCTCTTAGAATAAAAGTCAAATTCCTTACCAGCCAAATCCCTTAGAATAAAAATCAAAGTCCAATTTACTTACCAGGAATTTATCAGCCTCATCGTGTACCACTCTCACCTTCATTAGCTGTGCAACAGCCACACTAGCCTTTTTTCAACTCCTTACTTGCGGCAAGTTATTTCCTATACCAGGGCCTTTGCACATGTTCTTTCTCCTGCCCAGATCACTCTGCCTCATACCTCACATGGCTGGCTCATTCTTCAGGTGTCAGATCAATTATAAGTTCCTCAAAGAGGTCTCCTTTGCCCATCAGATCTAAAGTAAGCCCTATCACCTTATCCACTCCTAGTATTACCAATAATTTTCTTTTTGTATTTATCACTGTATTAGTTTTCTAGGAATGCCATAACAAAGTACCACAAACTGGGTGGCTGAAACAACAGAATTTATTATCTCACAGTTTCAAGGACTAGAAGTCTTAGATGGAGATGTTAGCAGGGTCAGTTCCTTCTAGGGGGTGTGAGGAAGAATCTGTTCCATTCCTCTCCCTTAGTTCCTGGTGGTTTGCTGGGAATCTTTGGCATTCCTTGGATTTCAGAAGCAGCACTTTGACCTCTGCCTCCATCTTCACATGGAGCTCTCTGTGTGTTTATGTCAGTGTCAAAATTTCCCCTTCTTACAAGAACTCTGGTCATATTAGATTAGGGGCCAACCCTACACCAGTTTGACCTCATCTTAAATAATTATACCTCTAGTTATGTTATTTTCAAATAAAGTTACATTTTGAGATATTGGGGGTCAGGACTTGAACATATGAATTTTTAGGGGACATAATTCAACAAATAACAAGGATTTATTCAAATTTATAATTCTATATGTGTTTAATGACCATTTCCTCTAACAGATTCTAAATTTATTCACAAAGACAGTTTTTTTTCTTTTTCTTTTATTTTTTTAAACATGTATAGCCAATGCCCTCTACAGACTCGGCATCTGATAAACAATAAATATTTGTTATTTCTCTACCAATATAATTACATGATTTATAAAGTCTATTACTGTTCTGAGTTTTGTGATTTTGCTTTGGCTGTGCCCAAATTTATCATAAAAATTTTATCCAATGCCATCCTAGGGCAAAGTTTTCCAAATGTAAACTATATGTCAAAATAAGGCAGACATAAATCCTGTTTTGTTTCATAACTTCCTAAATAATTTAAACCAAAATATGTATGCTTTTAGAAAGGAGATGAAAATATTGCCATAGTTCACTTAGTAATATTTCAAACAGCATTCAATTTACTTTAGCTCTGAGGAAAGAGATCTAAGAATAATAATATAAAATGTAATCCCACTATGTTTTATGCTGGACAACAGAAATTCAGGAGAATTAATCTCTACAGTTCAAAATATCACTGTCTATGCTGTCAGCAAGAGTTGTCTTTCCTTCTTTTTATATCTATCCAACTCCACCGCCAGAGCCCTGAATCCAAACATAATCCTGCATTTAGTCTATTTTTTTCCCAGCCTTCTCTTACTCGTCCTTTTTACCAGTTCCATTTCCTATGCTGTCAAAAAAGCATGAGTCTTTCATTTTAAGAAGTCTTGTTTAAATCTTCCAAATCTATTATTGGATCTGGTCTCTCAACTCAACCTCCTTGATATTTTTCTTTAGCATCTTTAAATCAATCCTGTCACCTCTGCTAGATGAATCTTCCAAAAATGGCATTTTCCTTATGCCACTTCCCTGATTTAAAACTGCTTTGGTACCATATCACCTATTGAATCAACTTTAAGATTCTAACTCTCCATTAACTAGATTTAAATTGTTCATCCTTTATACATTTCCACTGTGTCTCAGAATTAAGCCATTTGCTCTATTCTCCCAACAAATCTTGCCGGTTTCTACCTCTCACTTCATGTTGCTTTTCCAAATAAGAAAGACCTACCTATTCCTTCCAGTAAAATCCAGCTCTATCCAGTCATTAAATTCCAGGTTAGGAATTTTCTCTCACGGACATGACTCTTGCAATCCACGCAATCTTCTCTGTCTGAAATTCTACAGCAATTTTTGTTTAAGAAGCAACATACAAAAGATATATTTTTAGTCAGATGAGTGAACATTAAACTTTTGGTTCATCTGTGCTTTTTGGCATTCTTCAAATCTCAATAAATATATAACCATCTTCGGTACCATCTACGATTAAGCCTGAGTTACATGAAATCAATAAAGACATATCTTTCAGCAAGACTGAGTCTATCTTATATATAAACTATTCTTTTTATGTTTTTAATTGTTTTATATTTCTATTATCTTAATAGCTAAGTACTCTCTTGACACCAGCCCTTATATATAAATTAGGTATAATTGTAAGATTTCATAAGAAATAAGCTACTTTTGTAATAACCTAGAAAAGGTCTATAGTGCTTAGTAACAAGCCTTTGCAAACACATGCCAGCAGAAATCTTAGAAATTATAAAGCTATGGGAAATGCATGGAAAAATGTTAAATTTTCTCTTATCCTAAATGAAGTTTTCCTTGAAAACTTTTCTTTATTTTACAACAAGCTACTTTAATTTTTTAAATCATATATAATTGTATTAAAGGATTATTATGCTCTGGCTTATACCTCTCTAACTTCAAACTTACAACGTAATCCTGACATGGGAAAAGTGGGAAGCACAAAGATGAAAGAATGCCAGTAGACTACAAAAGTATGTTAATTTAGAATACGTTCCCTAAAAAATGCCAAGAGTGATCTCACTCACATAGAAAAACACATTATCTGTAGCATATGTGAAGTGGAAATTCATTACATGTACTCAGCAATATTTATTTTATGTACAGTCATGCCATGCTTAACGATAGGGAGACATTCTGTGAAATGCATCGTTAGGCAGTTTCCTCATTGCGCAAACATCATAGAGTTTACTTACAGCAACCTAGATGGTATAGCCGGCTGCAAACCTAAGCTACATGTATAGCATTTTGCTTCTAGACTACACACCTGTACAGCATGTTACTGTACAGGATACTGTAGGCAACTGGAACACAAGGATAAGTATTTGTTTATCTAAACATATCTACACATAGAAAAGGTAAAATACTATATTATAATCTTACAGGACTACCATTGTACATGAAGTCTGTCATTGACCAAAACATTTTTATGCCGCACATGATTGCAATGCTTTTTGAGACATATTGCTAAATATTGCACTTGTAATTTATTGTTCAGAATCTGTTTTCCGCACTAGACTATAAATGGTAAGAAAGTAGTCATGTCTTTGTTGCTTCTTAGTGTATTCTCACCATCTAAACCACACTACCAATAGTCACCCACCACATGTGGCTATCGTATGCTTGAAACGTGTCTAATCTGAATTGAACTGAACTATAAATAAAATACACACTAAATGTTGAAGGCTTGATTTTAAAAATTGCAGTATTTAAATAATGTTTATTTTTAAAGTGATCATATTTTACATATTGTGCTAAATAAAATTTATAAAAATCTAATTTACCTCTATATTTTCTACTATTCTTAGTAAAGAAACTATAAAATTTAAAAATGCATATATGTGGTTTGCATTATATTTCTATTGGAAAATACTGATTTAAATATTGCATAACATGTTATCGACTCTGCACAAACTCCCTCATAGAATAAATGAACATATTTCGGTCGGGCACAGTGGCTTACGTCTGTAATCCCAGCATTTTGGGAGGACGAGGTGGGCAGATCACCTGAGGTCAGAAGTTTGAGACTAGCCTGTTTAATATGGGAAAACCTCATCTCTACTAAAAATACAAAAATTAGCTGGGCGTGGTGGCATGCACCTGTAGTACCAGCTACTCGAGAGGCTGAGGCAGGAGGATTGCTTAAACCCAGAAGGCAGAGGTTGCAGTGAGCTGAGATCACACCACTGCACTCCTGCCTGGGCAACAGAGGGAGACTCCGTCAAAACAACAACAAAAATAGAATGAATAAACATATTTCATAATGTGTTAAAGTAGCTGTTTCATGCCACAACTAATTATTGTCAGTTTATAACACTAATTAAGACCATATTCTTTTAAAATTCTAGGAAATTTTCTGGAGAAATATTTTTTCTCTTTTATGTTCAATATAGCTGATTTTATTTTTCAATATATTACTATTGTTCACATTACTTATACCATGCAGTACAGGTAAATTTTAGTTTCTTAATAGGATATGACACAGTGAAACATGCTTGTTTAAAAGAAAATCAAGATTTGCAATTTTTCTCATAAAACAAATGACATTTTCCTACTTTATTTTAAATTGAATTACTATTTTCTCTGAATTGACAGGATGTTTTGACATTGTTAAACCTTTTGATGATACATACCATGATATTTAAAACAAATATTTTACCAATATTCTTTGAAATAGAGGCATGCTGCTAATATACCCCCCAGCAAAGGCCATCTGCCTCCTCTCTGTTTTGCAGATGCTTGCTCACTGCGGCACAAGTTCTTTTCAAGAACCAGCCTATTTATCTAAGTTAGTACTTACGGGCAAGACCAAAGCTCTACTGAGTTGAATATTAAATTTAATAGAGCTTGGGAACATCCAGTTTAAATATGATTAAATTAAGAGTTACAGTTAAAGCGCATTTTTGAGAGCATCATTTGGCTCTCCTCTACCTGAAGCATTCGTGGTCTATAAAATTGAGATATCGATCTTAATGACAAGAAATGATCATGGATTCTGATAGAATACAAACACAAGATGAGTTTTTCAGCAGCACAAGAAAGTATGTTTTAAATAGAACTTTTTTTTCCCCCAGAGAATTCTGTAACTGGCCCATGAAATCTAGCCCAACCCTCTTATATCACAAATGAACCAACCGAATGACTTTGACAGGTAAAGTGAGGGGCTCAAGGTCTCAGAGTGAAATCAACCAATTATCTTCCCAATATTTTACGTGATCCTCCCTTTATTCTGAAATTATTTTGTAAGATATGTCCATACTGACTGACTGAACCAGGGTTTACAAATGAACTATCAAAATACCTCACATCTGGCATATAAGGAAAATAATCAGTAGGGTGGGCTACAATTGCTTAAAATTAATAAGAACAGTGAAATAACTGATGGCATCCAGAAATATTAATGAATCACTTTTCAGCATGGTAACTGCCAGAAGTATCATTTTATCTTTTTACACTTGTGGGTACGTATTCATTTTTTTTCTTCTGTATTTGTGAGTATGTTTGTTCTAATTACAAATTAAATCATATTAAAACTGACAATCCCAGAATCCTCTATCCCGAGCCACACCCTCCCTCCTTTGAACCCTTTGGAATAATCCTATCAGTGGTTTGGCATGTAGGGCTGTCTAATGTGATTTTAAATGATTCAGACACTTCTCCTTTACAGCTACGTCATGATTGCAAGGGTCTTGAGTACAGTAACTATGTTTTATAAATTATTATAATAGACTCTCATCAGAGGTCTAATGCTCAGCAGAATACATTGTGCCTATTAAACAATTAATAGATGCACATTGATTGACTATTAGGATTGTCTCTCTTCATTGGGTTTGTGAGAGTGAGGCTAATATGTGCCAGGTGCTGAAGGAAAGATTAGAATAGAAGGAATTAGCAATTGGTAATACCTATCATTGATCATGTGTCATAGGGACCTCTGAATGAATACAGACATGAAGGGTTCAGGCAGTTTCCAAGCTAGGACTCTGTAATGTCTATACAGTCTCTCTGGCCTCACATATCTGCACTGTTTTTCTGGATTACAGGTCAGAGCACTTTACAGACAATGTCATATTTACCTTTATGGTATTCTCTGACAGTTGAGAAGGGGCTAATGCTCAGCCTATTTCCCTCTATTGCCACAGGGAAAAATACAAGCAAAGAGCGTCTGAATCATTTATACAGCACCGCACCATAAGGCAATGAAAGAGGCAGGTGCAGGTCTCAGATGGTTGTCTAAGTCCAAATTCCACGCTCTATCTGCTAGATAATCCTGCCTTCCCTCTCAATAGAATATTTCCCTAGATAGTTCCTGAAACATTTATAGCAGAAGGCTGCAGAGTGACTGTTATAGAAGTTTGTGGAAAACTTCCAGGCATCTAAAAATGTAAGAAACGGCCACATTTCACTTTGGGTATTCACATTTGAGAAATGATGTGTTTTTTTTTCCTTCCCTCAAATATTCAAAAGTTTGATCTAAGGCAAAAGTTTTACTATTCTGCCCTAAACTGAAGGAATGAAAACATCCATGAATTTTCATCAGTTTGCTGTAGGCAGAAATTTGCTAGTTTGCAGGAAAATGGCTTAAGAATCGAAGCTGAGATGAAATACTTGAACTTCTTATGTGAACCTACGAACCTATATTTTTCTTTATCAGCTGATGTGAAGCTTTGCACAACCCTACATTACTTCAGTATAAAAATGCCTTTTCCTGTCTAAAATGTCACAAAACTATTTGGATTTTTAGAACACATTCATAAAAGGATTCTCGTTCCCTTAATTTTGGCATATGCCATCATTTTCCTTTTATTCTTTATCTATTCCCATATTTAACAGAAAATCCCTGTAACTAACTTCCTTTAACCTTCACTGTAAGCTACACGTGTGATGAGTGGAAAATGGGATCAAATTGGAGAACTTTATCTTTCTCAGAGTGTGAAAAGCATGCAAAGACAGAAATTTGCCTTCTACCTAGCAGGAAACTGTGATCATATTGAACGTAGTAGATGCTACTATGTTCTACTAGGCTCTAGTAAGTATAGCCATCTGACTCAGTTGCCACAGGAAACATACCCACTGAGTCTGTGTTTTCCTGAATTATCAGCTGCACTGTGGTGATAACATGGCACTCATGTAGGCCATTTGGTTGTCAGTTATAATCACCACAGGCAAAGTCACTTATGCAGTGATATGCTTCTCCCACCAATGGCACCAGAAAAATCCATTTGATGACACTTGGTCTATTTCTTTATCACACCCAGCTGGTGAGTCAGTTTTACCTCTATGGCATGCATCTAATCAAAGTCATTTCTCAAAGATATTTTTACGTCAGATCAATAAATATTTTTTGGAGGCATCAATTACCTGAAAGCTGCTATAATATATGCTATAAAAGATTTATGCTAATAATGCCATTAGCAATGTAAACATGAATTTATAGATCCATCCAATCACAGGCATCTATTTGTTTAAAAAATTAGTTTGCATTATAAGATGTGTGCTTCCTGTTCAAAGGACTTATGGATGAAGTACTCAATAATCCTTTCACTAATATTCTTCTGCAAACCATTTTGTAAGCTTTCTTAATTGTTAGAATTTAAAGCCAACTAAAACACTAAACAAAGTGAACATATCAGAATGTTGAAGCGATTTCACTACTTTTTGCTTATGCATATCTCTACATCACTTTCCAATATAGATCGTGCCTCAGAAATATTCTCTTGTCAGAAGGGCATAGTTTTGAGAGGCTTTTCAATAGTAATTCTGTACATCTTCACACTTTCTTGTTAACTAATCTTTCCCGTCTTGTTTTAAGTAAGAAATAATTGAAAGGTTGCTGAGTGGATTAGGAGTACAGGTTATCATAAGTGAATGAAGGAAAGCCAATTGGTATATATAAGAAGCAAGAAATACTTATGGCTTCATTAGTATTACAACTCAGTGTATAGTTTACTTAAACTCCATGAATTGACTTGTGCCAACACACATGTGCTACTGCAGTTTCTCAGAAAAGCAGATGCCAAGACAGGATTAGATGGGCAATAGATTTATTAGGGAAAATGTCTATGAAGGAAAATTGGGAGAGAACCAGGAAAGCCTTGGAGAGCTCTCAAACAAAGATGCTCATCTGACCCTTGTGGAGGACAGAGGGAGAGAGGATTGAGTGGAAGAAGGCAGTTCTAAGAAAGTTTGTCAAGGTCAATGGCCAACGGGAAGGACTTGAGCCAAGTGACCCATCAGAGGATTCCCCCATCTTCCAGGAATGACCTACCCAGCGGCTGCTGCACTCAGTAAGCAAATGCTGAGGAAAGCAATAAGGAGAGAAGCCTTGGCACAATAGTGGTGACGAATTTCAGAGCTCAGCAGCTAGAGTCCTTGCTTAATTATACTCCTGTCAGCTGGAACTCTGAAAGGCACAATTTGATGGTCGCCATAGTCTACCTCTTGCAACACGTAAATTTACTTCACAACACAGGGTGTGGGAGTGGCTCCCCCATGGGCCTCTCTCCTTGACAAGAAGCTCAGAAGGAAGACGTAGTTTTGATGCAATTGATCTCAGGACCACAGTTGATATTCAAATGCTCTCTTCTCTTATATGCATTCAGAATTCCCTTCACACTCTGTGATCGCCTGTGCAGGTTGTTAGTGCTATACCCTGTAGTGTGATCCAAACCTTCGTTTCTGGGAGGTCTGTATTCTTGCTAATCATACTCTTCTCAGGCAGGGTTGCTGCATATGACCATTGGCATTTAGAATGGGGCAAGTGGGAACTAGGAGGTGCTCACATGAGTCACCAGGATTCCATACATAGTCCTCACCACTTCTATTGTATCAGAAATAGCCCATTTCCCCATGCTGGTAAAGGTCAATTGCCTCTGCCCAGTATGATGATTTCTCTTCTACCTTGGTGGTTTCTGGGCCCAAGGGGTCCATAGTGCCTAGGCAGTAACTGTAACATGTATTTCAAAGGGACCTCTCTGTGTTCCATTGCAAGAGGATGTCCACTTTTCTTACAGGGACCTCCAACTCCGCAAAACCTAAAGTGGCAGAGTACAGTGGAACAGAATCCCGGAGCAGGTAATTGCTAGTGATGGTAAGTAAGTACATGCCTGCTTCCACTCTGTGGCTCCTGGATCCATATATTCTTCCCATGGGGGACACAGCACCACATAAAGGTCTCTGATTTAATGCGTACACTACATTCTAAGGATTGATCCCCATAATTTCAGAGTGTTGCTTTAAGGCTGACATTTGAATTGGGGTTTTAAAAGCTGTTCCAGAGTTCTGGACAGTTCTAGATGGTGCAGGATGAGACATAGCCATTGGATGCCATGGTTGTCTGACCTTTACCTCACCTCTTTCATTGTAAAGGATGCCCACTCATTGGATGTTATGTTGTGTGAGATTCCTTGCCTATGGATCAGGCATTCTGTGAAGCCCCAGATGTCAGGGTTAGCTGAGATTATGAAGACAGAAAACTCAAGCTTATGTATAGAATAAGCATCTATCCTTGAGAACAAACTACCGGGCTTTCCATGATAGAAGGGGCCCAATGTAGTCAGCTTGGCAGCAAGTGGCGGTTTGGTCCCCTCAAGGAATAATGCCACACTGGAGTCTCAGTAGTCAGTCATGTCTCATTGACAGGCCAGGCATTCAGAGACAACAGTAGCTTGATTAGCCTTGGTAGGTAGGTAAGCGTGGTTTGCTGTTGAACCCCTATGTAGACTCTGCCTTTGCCAACATGGCCACTCTACATGTACCCAACATGCCAAATCTGGAGTGGCTGATAATGAAGGCCGGTTAGTGTCAACCAGCTGAGTTATATTTGTTACTTTGCTGTTCAGAGTCTTTCTATGGTAGACATTTCTATTGTGCATTAATGTGTAAAACAAAAAATGTTTACAACGTGTGCTGAGTTTCATATGTTCAACACCATGATACTACTCTAAACCTCCCAGTCTCTGATATTCAGCCCTTTTCCTTCCAGACCCCTGGCAAAATGTCCAAGCCATTGACCAATGTCCAGGAATATCAAGGTTATTCTACATTCCACACAAAGTCAATGACCAGGTACACTGCTTATGATTTTATCCATTGAGGTTTCCTCTTTATACAATTTTTCAATAGCTCAAATGAAGGAGTATCCATTCTTGGATTGCATCCCGAGACAGGAAATACAAATACCAAGCAAGTTGGCCCTTCCCCCACTCCATCCCCTGTTTCATCTAGTAATACAGGATGCACCATAGGACAATAAGAGTGAGCCAGAGGGAAGGGCATTTGTACAACTCTGGTGAGTGACATGGAGGTCTGGGCTACCTGGTCAGTGGTTTGCTAATGCTCTCTGGCCCTCCACCAGTTTAATCACAAACATAACATTTTTATCTTAGTATGAACTGCTCCATACCAACAGCATGTGAAACTTTGTGACTTGGTGAATCTGACAGAATTCAGTTCATAATGGGCAGTTCTGGATGCATTGCTGCTTGGTGTTGCATGTCTAAGCTTTGTGTCTCCACCAGGGCCCCAAAACACAGCAGTAGCTGTTTCTCAGTGGGGTACATTTTCCTGACTCAAGTGACATTGACTTGAATCCCAGGAGCAAGTAGCAAATCTCCCACTAGAGTTTGCCATAAGTTCCATACTGCACCTTTTTCACCACTGATACATTCAACACCAAAATGTCCGTGAGATTTTGAAGCACAGGTCTTCGAGTTTTCATACAATTCATCTCCCACCCCTTGGAGTGCATGTGTCTTCTAGTTTCCAGCATAGTAACCACCTTGTGCATTTCCTGTCCAATCAACATGATGTCATCCATGTAATGGATCAGTGTGATTCTGTGGAATGCCCCAGCCACATGATGGAGACAGGAGAGTAAACACAGAGTTCACATAGAGCTGAGGCAGAATTGTGGAGGAATATCATTGTCCACCCCATGTGAGTACCTAATTCTGCTCCAATCACATCATGAAAACAACCAACTGCTAATAGTGATATTCCAAACTGAAGGAAAGTAAATGAGTGCTAGAGTTTGCCAGGAGATATTGAAAGCTGACCCATCTCTGTCCCAGGAAAAGCCTTTTTATTTTAGTATTTCCATATTCAATTAGTTATATTACTTCCTCCATGTAGGTAGCATGGTGCCATCCCCTCCCCAAAGAGTTTTTTTAATCAAGATTAGCTCATAGGATGGTTTCAGCTGTGCCTTAGCCTATTGTCCTCAGATTTTTGTGATCAAATGTGGAAGGTTTTTCCCATACACCGAGCAATGGACACCAACTGGGTGTCCTCTAATTTAATTCAATTCTGATGCTCTCTCCCTGAACAGGTTAAGGGTTCAGCCTCTAAGATGGCACCCCCTCAATACCAGTCACAAGTCTGGGCCTCCAGAACTTCTGACTGACTGGCTTCAAGTTGGGGTTCCCATGATCAATCCCCAATTCGGGTTCGAATAATCTGTTAGAGAAGTTCACAGAACTCAGGGAAAACTTACTTACATTTATCAGTTTACTACAAAGGATATTACAGAGGATGCAGATGAAGACACATGTAAGGTGAGGAATGGGAGAAGGTGCACAAGCTTCCATACCCTCCCTGGGTGCACCACCCTCTGGGAACCTCCATGTGTTCAGCTATCCAGAAGCTCTCTGAACTCTTTCCCTTTAGATTTTTATGGAGGCTTCAGAACATAGGCATGATTGACAACCATGTAGAAACATGATTGGATAAAACGGGTATGATCCCCATAGGCTGGACAAAACCAGCAAGGCCTCCTTGTTCAGAGTCTTCTTCATCTCTCTGTGCAGCATTTGTCCTTCCAGAGTATAGATAAGGACCCTCTCTGGAATGAGGGCCTTTTGACTCACAATCAAGTTAGGGCCCTGCCTTTGGCTGGTAAAGGGAGGACAGAAGATCAGACAGGGAGATTCTGTTTCCTGAAGCCTGCTTCTGAGGCCTGAGGCACCCAAACATTATAACGAAAGACTATGACAAGGGCTAAGGGAGATATAAGCCAGGAACCATGGATGAAAACCATATATATAAAATCATAATATCCCAGCCATCTTCACCATTCCCTGTGGGTCAAGCTCCTTTGTCTGTTCATTTGACTAGAATAATTGTGGCCTCCAAGTATCTGGTGTTTAAGCTCTACTACCTGGCCTCTGAAGGCTGTGTCAGTTTCTCCTACCATTAGCACTGGGCTGCAGAGGAGGCCTCTACTGAACTTTTTGATGATGCTGGTGCCCCTCTCACTGGAATGCTGGCGTGGAGAATGATGTGACCTCTTGGCTTCCTATGGAGCATAATCGTCTGCTGGCTCTTCTGGCCTCACATGATGTATCCACTCCAGCATGCCTGCTTCCCAGCCTCTATTCCTGCCTTTAACATTTCACAAAGCAACTCAGGCTTTCCTACTTCACTTAGTGCTGGAGGATATCATTTTTTTTTTCAGGCCTCCAAGAGCCACCCCCTCAGCAACTTTGCCCCATCTCCTAAGATCCAACTATGATGTGCCTTATCCTGAGAAAATTAATGGCCCCACATCAAAAAATACTTACTTAGATGGTCTTACATTCTGGCCTCTTTGATCAAAAGCCTTTAAAATCACCTTCTAGGGATGTACTCCTGGCTTAATGATAGCTAATTCTTTCAACTTTTTCAGTGTATGTAGTTTTCTTCCTTCTTTAGAGGGTCCAATGTGGTTATTCTGGTAGTTAACACTAATTTTCGTGCTGCAGACAGAAGTGGATAAGGGTGCTGCTTTTGGGGGTACCACCTGTTTCCTTAGGGAGGAGTGGCCTCTGCAGGGTGTTTCAGTACAGAGAAAGTAACAGCTCTCTCTAAGGGACAGTAATCCGCCTCTGGAGCCCAGAGGGTTAATGTGAAATTTCAGAGGCAATATCCTCAGGGCATCTGATATGGTTTGGCTGTGTCCCCACCCAAATCTCATCTTGAACTGTAGCCCCCATAGTCCCCATGTGTCGTAAGAAGGACCCAGTGGGAGGTAACTGAATCATGGGGGCAGCTTTTTCCTGTGCTGTTCTTGTGATAGTGAATAAGTCTCACAAGATCTGATGATTTTATAAAAGGGCCACTGACAGCTTGCACTGTGTACCTGGAAAAGCCTAAAACACTCAACACCAGCCCATGAAAGCAGCCAGGAGTGGGGCTGTACCCTGCAAAGCCACAGGCAGGAGCTGCCCAAGGTCATGGAGCCTACTTCTTGCATCAGTGTGACCTGGAGGTGAGACATGAAGTCAAATGAGATTTTCAGAGCTTTAAGATTGAATTACTGCTTCGTTGGATTTCAGACTTCCATGGGGTCTGTAGTTCCTTTGTTTTGGCCAATTTCTCACATTTTGAATGGGTGCATTTATGCAATGCCTCGACCTCTATTGTATCCAGGAAATAACCAGCTGGCTTTTGATTTTACAGGCTCATAGGCAGAAGGATTTGCCTTGTCTCAGATGAGACTTTAGACTTGGACTTTTGAGTTAATACCGGAATGATTTAAGACTTTGTGGGATTCTTGGGAAGGCATGATTGTGTTTTGAAACGTGAGGACATGAGATTTGGGGAGGGCAGGGGTAGAATGATATGGTTTGGCTGTGTCCCCACCCAGATCTCATCTTGAATTGTAGCTCCCATAATCCCCACATGTAGCAGGAGGGTCCAAGTGGGAGGTAATTGAATCAAGGGGGTGGGGTTTTCCCATGCTGTTCTCATGATAGTGAATAAGTCTCATGATATCTCATGGTTTTATAAAAGGGCAGTTCCCCTTCACATGCTCTTTTGTCTCAGCCATGTAAGACATGGCTTTGCTCCTCCTTCACCTTCTGCCATGACTGTGAGGCCACCCCAGCCATGTGGAAACTGTGAGCCTATTAAACCTCTTTTTCTTTATAAATTACCCAGTCTCAGGTATGTCTTTATTAGCAGTGTGAGAAGAGACTAATACAGCATCCATCAAGATACCCAACCCATGTTTCAGAACCTCAGGTTTTCCTAACCAGCACCTTTGCCTTTGCATAGCCAAGGAGGGCACTGAGAGATCTTTCAAATGTCTCTGAAGCTTCAAAACACTATTTTAGACCTTTGGCTGTTACACAGCTGTGTCTGCTCCACCACATGCAATAAGGGCCTCTTTGTAAGATGCCAAAGCTTGTTAACAGCCATCAGTCTCTTATTATCTCTCTGCAGACCATCAATACAACTTAGAAGTAACAGGCAAACTTTGCTGTCTTTACATGCACTGTCAACTCAAACCTTCCAAATGCCTAACTCTTTATACGCTACCATAACATTTTTGTGCACCTGGACATTTTCCAGTCACCACCAGTGACATCCTTAGCAATTAGCATCACCTTATGCAAAGGATATTGTCGCCTCCATCTACGAGACAGGATGATGTCCTTTTCACTCACTGAACAGTGAGTAAGCCAGTCCCAAATACCAATTCTATTCTTTTTTTAATGTATATAACTCTTGATATCACTTGTGTTATTTGGATACTCCAAGAAGGAGGTGATATTGAGACAGAATTAGATGTGTAAAAATGTATTAGGGGAAACATTCATGATTGAAACTGGAGAAGGAGCTGGAAGAGGCCAGGAAAGTTGACAAGTCTTAATACAGTTCTGACTCTAGTGAGGGAAAAAGGAAGAAAGATAAGTTGGGTGCAAGAGTTGTAGACAACCTGGCCAGTCTAAGAAAGTTTGGCAAGGTTATTTGTGAGTCTGAAGTCACAGCTGCCTGTCAGAGGAGTTCCCATCTGCCAATGTCAGGGCTGTCTTAGCATTCTTTAGTCCCCACGGCACATTGTAGTGATAAGTTTCTCTGGCCCTTACACATGGGGAAAAAAGTACACCTTCTTCAACTGTGAATTAAGCTACTAAAGAGAAGTGTTTAGTTTCGCCAAAACTTAAAGAACAGGAGAATTTAGTGACCTTCATAGTCTATATCTCTTAAAATTAATAGCTCTGTTCTTTATTTTGCTATGTTTTTGTCATTGCTGAAATTCATATATTTCATTGTTCTATAATTTTATTGTTACTAGCTCTTTAAAATCTACAAGAATTTCAGAGAAATTGTTAAATACATAAAATGCTATATGATTAAATTATTATCTCTAAATTGTTGTGAATCCTAGATGAATTGGTTTAGGGGTAAGAGTGGCTACAAGTTATTTTTTTTTTCAGAATGTATGTTTTCAGTTATAAATTAAGTATAATCATAGTAATTATTTTGGTAAAATTAATCACTCTCCATATGCTATTATATCAACATAGATATTATCTCTAGAGATGCACAGCTTCAGTCTTTTTCTGTTTTGTTTTGTTTGAGACAGAATCTTGCTCTGTTGCCCAGGGTGGAGTGTAGTGGTATGATCCTGGCTCACTGCAACCTCCACCTCCCAGGTTCAAGAGATTCTTGTGCCTCAGCCTCCCGAGTATTTGGGACTGCAGGCACGCCCCACCATGCTCAGCTAATTTTTATATTTTTAGTAGAGACGGGGTTTTGCCATGTTGGCCAGACTGGTCTAGAACTCCTGGCCTCAAGTGATCCACCTGCCTTGACCTTCCAAAGTGCTGGGATTACAGGTGTGAGCCACCGTGCCCAGCCCAGTCTTCCCTTCAGATTCACTTTACCAGCATTTTTTCCTTTTGTCATATTCTTCCATGCATAGAGGCTTGAGATATGTGATTTTACCTGAATTTCCACCTCTAACAAAATTTCATCAGGATGTTTTAATTTTTTGAAGCAGAATGTTCACACAATTCAGCATTAAATGTCTAAAAAAACAGCACCTAGATACTCAAAATTATGTCAGTTATAACTAATTTGAGAATATCAGTTCATGTATTTGGGATTTTCCTGTTACTCTTATCATTTCAAGCTTTTTCATTTTTACCTGTGTTTTGCCAGTACATGTAATACCCTATTTATATTATACCTGATATATGTACCTAATGATATATCTGGGGAGAAACTCATAGAGAAAAAGAATTTTATAAGCAAAGTCAATTTTTTCCTGAGTGAAATTCACATCTACCTTTTCAAATGATTTCAGAGAAGATAATAAACTTTGTCAATACAGTACAATTGATTCCATTTGCCTGTTATTATTTTATAAGAATGGCCCATCTCCAAAGAAATTATCAAATTGACCATGAAGAAATCCACACTGACATTAATATTGGCATCAGTATAACAGAAAATAAGGTAGTCTGCTCTCTTCCAGCTGGATAGACAACAGCCTGAGACAGGAGACTAATATTTTCAGTAAATAATATGATGAGTTAATTTACTTTGAATCCTTTGTGAAGAGAAAGATTTATCATGACTGTAATCCTGTCGAGTTAGGTTTTTTAACATTTTTATTTTACCAATTCTCAAAGCAATCTTTGCTAGATTTGAACTGAGTATGTGGGTCACAAGTACTCCCTTTTGGCTTGCTATGTGACTGCTTGGACTGTTCTCCTGGGAACCTGGGTTGGGATCATGTAGGAAATGGAACAACCATTTTTGGATTTTTAGCTTAAGGCCTTCAGTAGAAGCCACTCTGAGACAACTACTCCATCATTCATCTTTCTGGAGTCCTGCTCTAGAAACCTGTGAGGATGCTTAACCTATGAGGATGAAAGCTATTGCCAATCAAAGAACATACCCACGTCCATTAGAAGTACAGATATATAGTAGAGAAAAGGTGCACCCTGTCTTAGAATTCTCCAGAGAAACAGAAACGATAGAATGCATATACAATTAAATAACGTGGGTTTGAGCTGTGCAGGTTCACAAATCCATCGATTTTTTTTCCAATCGGGGTACTGAAAAATTTTGGAGATTTGCAACAATTAAAAAAAAACCTTCCAGACAAACCATGTGGCTTAGAAATATCAAAAGAAAAGTTTAAAAGGTTACATATGTCATGAATGCATAAAATATACGTAGATACTATTTTATCATTTACTACCATAAAATATGTACAATTTTTTATAAAAAATTAAAATTTTTCAAAACTTATGTACACACTTAGACCATACACGGTACCATTCACAGTTGAGAGAAATGTAAACAAATGTAAAGATGCAGTATTAAATCATAACTGCATAAAATTAACTGTCCATACTACACAACTGTAATAATTTTAATGCCACCTCCTCTTGCTAATTCAAGTGTTGTGCCAGCTTAAAATGCTGAGTGATGCTAAACCTTTCTGTGTGAGCAATTCCTTTCTCCAGTAAATTGCATATTATGGTAAAAAATTATCTCTCATAGTTCTCATATATTTTTTATTATGTTTAGTGCAATACTGTAAACCTGGAATAACACCATGGGGCCCATATGAAGTACCACTAGTCATGCTGGTAGTGCTCCCAAGAAGCAGAGAAAAGTCATGAAAATATAAGAAAAAGTTGAATTGCTTGGTACGTACTATAGATTGAGATCTGTAGCTGTGGTTGCCTGCATTTGAAGATAAATGAATTCAGTGTAAAGACAAATGTTAAAAAGAAAACGATGTTCATGAAGCCATCACTGCAGCTATGTGAGCAGGCATAGAAGCCTTGCACTTTCTGCAAAATACCTTTTTATCGTGTATTGAAAATGCAGCTTTAATATGGGTGTAGAATTTCTATAAGGAAGGCATACCTATAGACTCTCATGTAAGTCAAGAAAAGGGGAAGTCCTAAAGGAAGGTGAAGGGTTGAAAGCTGATGAATTCAATGTCAGCAAAGGATGGTTCGATAATTTTAGAAAATGATTTGGCTTAAAAATGTAGGATAACAGGAAAAGCAGCTTCTTTGCTAACCAAGAGGCAGCAGATGATTTCCCAGATACCATTAAGAAAATCATTGAGGAGAAAGAATATGTTCCTGAACAGGTTTTCAATGCAGATGAAAGTACTCTATTTGGGGGGGAAAAAGACCATAAAAAACATTTGTTAATAAAGAGAAATGAGCACCAGGATTTTAGACAGGAAGGAACAGGCTGACTACTATTTTGTGCCAGTGCAGTTGACTTTATGATCAGGACTGTCCTTATCTATAAAGCTGCAAAACACCAAGCCTTGGAGGAAAAAGATAAACACTAGCTGCCATTCTCTTAGTTATACATGAAGGCCTGGACAATGAGAATCCCTTTTCTGGACTGGTGTCATTGATGTTTTGTCCCTGAAGTCAGAAAATACCTTGCCAATAAGGGACTGCCTTTGAAGTTCTTCTGATATTGGACAATGGCCCTGGCCACCCAGACCTCATGAGTTCAACACTAAAAGCATCAGAGTGGGCTACTTGCCCTCAAACACAACATCTCTAATACAGCTTCAAGATAAAGGGATCATATGGATTTTTAAGGCTCATTACACACAGTACTCTATGGAAAGGATTATTAACACTACGAAAGAAAACCCCGATAGAGGGAATATCATGAAAATCTGGAAGAATTACAACATTGAAGATGCCATCATTGTTATAGAAAAAGCCACAAAAGCCATTAAGCCATCAAGCCAAAAATAACAAATTCTGCTGGAGAAAACTGTGCCCAGATGTTGTTTGTGACTTCACAGGATTTACAACAGAGACAATCAAGGAAATCATGAAAGAGACTGTGGATATGACAAAAAAAAAAAAAAAAAAAGGTGGGGACTGAAGCTTTCCAGATACGAATCTTGGAGAAACTCAAGAGCTAATAAACATCACACCAGAGGAATTAACAGAAGATGACTTGATATGGATGAGTGCTTCTGAATCAGTGTCCAGAAGAAGAAAAAAGACACACAAGAAGCAGTGCCAGAAAATAAATTGACATTAGACAGTCTCTCAGTCTCGCGGAAGTGTTCTGATTATTCAAGACTGCTTTTGACTTATTTTATGACATGGATGCATCTATGATTCAAGCACTGAAACTACAGCAAATGGTAGAAGGATTGGTATTGAATAGAAATCTTTTTTAAAAAACAAAAAAGCACTAATTCAGACTGAACTTATGATGCATTTCTGTAAAGTGACACCAAGTATGTCTCCCTCTCCTGCTTCCCCTTTCACGTCCTCCATCTCTGCCATCTCTGCCACCTCCGCCACCCCCAAGACAGCAAGACCAACCCCTCCTCTTCCGTCTTCCTCCTCCTCAGCCTACTCAATATGAAGGTAATGAGAATGAAGACATTTATGATGATCCACTTCCACATAATGAATAATAGATTTTCTCTTTTCTATAAATTTAATAACATTTTTCTCTAGTTTACTTTATTCCAAGAATACAATTTGTAATACATATACCAAATACTTATCAACTGTCTTTATGTTATCAGTAAGGCTTTTAGTCAACAATAGGCTGTTAGTAAAGTTTTTGGAGAGTCAAAAATTATACATGGCTATTTTACTGGACAGGAGGCTTGGCACCCCTAACCCCCAAGTTTTTCAAGGGTATATTCTATTAATGATTTTTCCAATATATGATTTATTATAAGAAATTGACTTACATGATTATGGAGGCTGGGAAGTCCCAGAATCTGCTTTCTGCAAGCTAGGATCCAGATAGCCAATGGTGGAGTTCTGAGAACTAAAAGGTGAAGGGCTAAGCAAGCCCCAGTTGAGGGCAGAAGATTGAGGTTCCAGCTCAAACAGTCCGATAGAGAGAGTGAATTCCTCCTTCCTCTGCCATTGTTTCCTATGGCAGCTCTATTGGATTTGGAAGATGCCTATGCACATTGGGAAAGGTCATTTTCTCTACTCAGTCCACTGATTCAAATGCTAATTTCTTATTGAAACACTCTTACACACACACACACCGAGAAATAATGTTTAATCCAGGCACCCCATGTCCCAATTAATTGAGATGTAAAATTAACCATCACCTACCCAAAGAGCAGTCTGAGGAGTGGAAGAAGAAATAACAAAGTAACAACCAGAGAAAGTAAACATTCCCTTCCATTTATACTTACTGTATTCTTTATTGTTAAAACCTACATGCCACAATGGTGTTTCTGAAGATTCCATTTTTCTATTTAGATATAAGTTTCCAGCAGGTTGAAAATAAATTTAAACAGAAAGTTGTATGTATTCCATAGATCAGTAGTCCTTTACTTAGCGTAGGAGAATCAGCTCATTTGCTAAAAATTATTTGCAAAATAGTATGAATATGCATTTATCTTAACAGAGGATTCTTAGCTTTCATCAAATCCTCATTGGGTCTATTTTTAAAAAAACTACAACACAGACAATATTAAGGATGACTGTTGTACTTCTTTGTGTGTTTTTTTTTTCCTGTTGTCTGTCATATTTCTTTCACTGTTGTGGAGTTTCTTTGGCACAGGGAAAGTATTCGCTTCTGGCTTTCTCAACCTATAAGTCTAGCGCAATTTTCATTGTTCCTCAGATCCAAATCTTTACTTTCAAAGATTTTTTCACCTTCCACTTCACATAGAAAAAAAGTCACATGATGTTATCATTTCAACTTAAAAAGTGCTTTTTCTCAACAGGGTAACTTTTTTTCTAAAAAGTTAGAGCAGGTCCCTCATATTCTCCAATATTTATTTATCCACCCCGAGCATCAAGCACATTTCTCCAATTTTCAGAGAATCCCAGCTACCGTAATTAATGCATTTCCTCAAGCCTTGTCAATTTTACCTATGCCTTAATGTAAATTGTCACCTTCTTGTGAAATTCACCTTTCTCCCTTACAAATACATACTTCAAAATTTATACCAACAAAAATGCCAATTAGAATGAGTCTAACTCTAAGATAACTAGAAGAAAGCATAATTAAATCTCACATTAGTAGAAGAAAGGTACCTTTCAACATTAAAGAAAGAAAAGGTCAAAAAGAAGAATAAGAATATATTTCAACATACAAATTAAAAGAAAAAAAACTTATGACTTTTAAAGTAAGCCAGGTGTGGTGGTGTAGGCCTGTAGTCCCCACTACTTGTGAGGCTGAGTTGTGAGGATGGCTGGAAGTCAGGACTTTGAGGCAGCAGTGAGCCATAATTGCACCGTTGCACTCCAGCCTCAGCAACAGAGTGAGATCTTCTCTCCAAAAACAAAAACAAAAAAATGTAATGTTAAATTGAATTTACTGATGAAATACAAACAAAAGGCCAGGCGCGGTGGTTCACGCACGTAATCCCAGCACTTTGGGAGGTCCAGGCAGGTGGATCACCTGAGGTTGGGAGTTTGAGACCAGCCTGACTGACATGGAGAAACCCCATGTCTATTAGAAATACAAAACATTAGTTGGGCATGGTGGTGCATGCCCATAAACCCAGCTACTCAGGAGGCTGAGGCAAGAGAATTGCTTGAACCTGCGAGGCGGCAGTTGTGGTGAGCTGAGATGGCGCCATTGTACTCCAGCCTGGGCAATAAGAGTGAAACACTGTCTCAAAAAAAAATAAATAAATAAAAAGAAGGGGGAAAAAGAAGGAAATACAAACAAAAAAAAATATATAGGGCAGATAACAACCTAAATACATAATTAGTTCTTACAAATCAATATCTTATGAAGATATGCCAAAGTATTTTTCCAAAATAAAATACATAAAGAGGATGAGAAGTTAATTTACATACCAAAAAAGTACAAATTTATTCTTGCATTCAAAAAAGATAGTTTGAAAGTCTACCTTGTATCAGGTACTGTTTTAGGGGTTATTGAGAGAACAATAACCATAACAAAAGAGAAAAGAGCTTATGTTCTAATAGGAATAGACTAAAAATAAAGAAGGTATATATATGTGTGTGTGTGTGTGTGTGTGCATATGGTATGGCACTACGTCTTCTAAAGTTGTTTTTAAGTAAAGAAAAAAACTACGTTAGTTGGAAGTAAGTTAACAATAAATATAATCAACCTCAGCTTATATCAAAGTATAATTAAAGTAACAATATAATTCAATTATTTGGGCCGGGCATGGTGGCTCACACCTGTAATTCCAGCACTTTGGGAAGCCAAAGTGGGAGGATTGCTTGTATGGAGACCAGCCTGGGCAACATGATGAAACCCTGTCTCTACAAAAGATACGAAACTTAGCTAGACGTGGTGGTGTGCACATGTAGTCCCAGCTACTCCGGAGGCCAAAGTGGGAGAATCACTTGAGGCCAGGAGGATGAGGCTGCAGTGAGCCGTGATTGCACCACCGCACTCCAGCCTGCAACAGAGTGAGACCCTGTCTTATTCATACATACATACATATATATATATATATATATAACATATATAATAATTTAATTATTCACTTAAATATTTTTCAAGGTTTTAAAAATATAATAATACCAGTGTGGGTGTGAGTGAGGAGAGATGGTTACTTAAAACCTGCTGGTGACAGCGTAAATTAGTGGAGTCTGTCTGGAAAAACAACATGGCCATATGCTGAAAGTGCCTTTTGAGGATCTAAGATTTTATTTCAGCAATAGCATTTTTAGAAATTTATCCTGCAGAAAAAAAACACACTGAACAAGTGGGAAAAGATGAATACAGATGCTCCTCAACTTACCATGGCATGATATCCCAATAAGCCAGGTAAAGTCAAAAAAATCATAAATCCAACTGTCGTAGGCCAGGGACCGTCTCCAAGTAAAGATGTTTATTACAGCACTAGTTTAAAAAGCTAAATCAGGAGGCCAGCTAAATGATGAAGAATAGGGTTAATAAAATAAATTTGTTACCAGCATACCAGAAACGCTGTGCAGTTTTTAAATCATATTTTAAAATGTACCTGGTTACCTTTAAAGTAGTAATAACATACTATTATTTCAAACAATGTAGCCCCTGTGTTTTTAACTATATGTTCTGTTTGAATTATATATTCAAGTCTGGAAATATATAAACCAAAATGTTAGTTTTTTAGAAATTCTGGGTAGTAGAATTCTGACTTGCTCATTTTTTTGCATTATATTATTCTATAATTTCTAAGTTTTCTAAAAAGAAAGAGTTGCATGTTAGACTTATAAAATTACAAAAATGGGTGTTATTTTAAAACAGGTTCCAAACAGATGATTGAAACTTTTATGAATGAAAAAATTACTTTTAAATAGAACATAATGTTGTCATATTAATCTGCAAAAGTCCACAGTCAGTGATAGAAAAATACTAAGGTAAACCTTCTTGTTCTAAAGCCAGTGCTCTTTGTAGGTTTATGTAAACTTAAAAGGCCTCTACTCAGAGTAACTTATCACTACATGGAAAGCAATTATGTAATTTAAAAACTTCTCTTGATTTATCAGAAATAGAATATTGAGAAAAAATGACATCTAATTTTAAAAGTTTATCTTAAAAAAGATAATCCGTTGTCTCTAATAAAATAAAAAGCAACTGACCTATTTTATAGTTTTGTATAAAGATAAAATACAATATAAATTTGAAAGATCTTTATAAATTGCAAAATCTGTGCATATTTTACTAATTATATTAAAAATACATAAAATGAAGTATTTCTTTATTTTGTTACCTAGAATCTCAAATAGTTAAGAACTTCTCAAATGAGTAATGCAAGGTCCTAAACACTCTGCTCTGTAGAAGGGTTGCATAATTTGTGGTTGGAAAGTACACTTGAAAAAAAGAGTTACTGTCCTCCAGAAAAAAAGAAAATTAAAATATTTAAAAGAATGTATTCTTGGCTTCAAAATAAACGCTGTGCTTGGCATTCTTGTAGATAAATAGATGAGATGGATGGATGGATAGATAGATAGACAGACAGACAGACAGACAGATAGATAGATAGAACACACATCTATTTATGCATGTATGTGTATATGCATACATGTGTACATTCTCTGCCAATATGAATAATATTTAAAATCTCAAAATAGCCTGAATATAATTGAAAGGAGAATGCTTTATTCCTTACCCAAAAAGTGATGGATTTAGCATCAAGAGACAAATGTTCATTTGCTTGAATCTCTAAACATTTAGATGATGCCAGAACTTCTTCCCCAACCCTCCCCTCACTCGCACCAGAATCTTTCTTTCTCATGAAATTCCAGAAACTTAGTCATTTCCCACACTTCTGCAGAGTTTGTGTTTTTCACAAACCTTGCTGAGACTGCCTCAGTTGTATGAGCAAAATGATTGGCATGGCTGAGAAAGAATGTGAAGATTGAAAGTACCAGGCCAGCCACACTCTCCTCCAGGAATAATAGGAATGTGGCAAGGCTTTAATATCTACGAAGAATAATACAGAAAGTGCACTTGGACAAAATGCAAATGATGGCAGCAATTATACCCTCAGAGATGATAGGATTTAAAGAAACAGTCTGATTACTCAAAAATAACCATTATAATGCTACAAAGTTCCTGTGGAATTAAGAAAATCTCAATATCCCCTAAAGAGGTACATCATTTTAGTGACAGAAAAACGTTTATACTACATTATCCTTTTAAAGAATCCTGCTAGCAAAAGATATCAATATTTGTTTGAAAATAGGATGAAAGCCATATTTGGCAGGAGCATGTTTGAAGTCTTTCCAGAATGTATTTTTGCTCTCAATGGGACAACAGAACTTGGCCTTTCCCCAACTTTAGAAAGGCATACACATATTCATATGTGTACATGTTTATGTCAAAGCAAATGAAAAGTATAACTTTAACAGATGTTCCTCCCTCCCCTCTAACCCAAGTCACTTTTTCCCTGACAGTCATGCATAAACACAATTAGTAAAGACCGACATAATGATGATAGCTGTGTTGATGCTTTGAAGGGCTATTTGTGTGACCAAGAAAAAAAAAAAAGACCATCAGGTGTCCTTTTTCATATGTGTTTATATATGTGAGATATCTGTTTGAAAGCATACAGCTTCATAAATACTATGTCATGTCAGTCATCTGCAACTTCTTTGCCTACACTCAGAAACATGTCCTGGAGTGTTTTTCATTGCTAAACATAACTTCTTTTAACTATGCCCAAGATCCATTACATAATAATGGCTAACATTTATTTAACACTTATTATGCACAAGACATTTTGGTATTTTACCTGGACCGTTTTATTCAATTCTCATAAATGAGTTAGATATACATTAGGATTTCTAATTTACAAATAGAAAATAAAGTCACAGAGAAGTATAGCTACATTCTCAAGGTCACACTGTGAGGAAACAGCAGAGCTGAATTTTGAATCCAGATGGTTGGATTCTTCTCTATAATAATTTACAGCCTCCTTTATAGATGCCTACTTTTTAAAATATTCCCTCATTAGTGGACAATTAGTTTATTACAAGTTTTGCTTAATAAACATTGCTTCTGTAAACATCCCTGTCTCAACCTCTTTGTGTGCTCATTTGAGCAACCCTCTTATACACTTAGACGTGCAGTTCCTAGAGGAAGATTACTCATAGGTCGTCCTTCAGCACTTACCTTAACATAAAGCCTAGAAGTTAAGAGCTTTCAGCTATGAATCACTCAGACCTAAATTCAAATATGTTTTCTAGTAAGGGGCTTTGGGGAAAAGGTCTTTGGAAACCTGTTTGCTCATATGTACAGTGAGAATACTGACACTACCTCTCAAAATTTTGTTAGAGAATAAACGAGTTAATGCACATGAAGAGCTTAATCTAGTACCTAGTACATGGTGAGTATTCAGGAAATAATTACTATTGTTATCAACTTTATTGGGAAACCTCTGTATCCCAAGTCTAAGGTAAATGTATTACTATACATTCCCATTTTATCCTATGATGCCCTATAAACCATACATCATTCCTTCCCATTATAACGTAAGCAATCTCTCTCTCTCTGTCTCTCCATGTGTCTGTAAAGGTACCTGATACCATCCATGTTTCATGAAAATAGCAAGTAATGGAGGTGTAGAAAATAAATTCCCCAAAGGCTCTTTCTAATTCTACCCCATCTTTTTGACCATCAATCTAAGAATCTTTTAATCATATTGATTTCTTTATATTCCTTTAATCCAAACATAATTTTTCTTTGTTGAATTATTTCATGGGCCAATATGCTTTAAAATAACTGAACGAAAGACAACCACTTTTAAAAGACTGAAATCCCTTTGAAATATACAACTGGGCCAAATTCAACCCCCCAAAATGACACGTTTACGTTCTGATCAGATCAATGACAACCATGCAGGCTTCTGCAGGCCACAAAGTAAAAATGTGGTTCCAGCTCTCGCCTTTAGTGATGCACATTGATCAAAATAAGTGAACAATGAGAAATTTCCATTTTACTCTGTGTGGTATAGACACAGCATGAAGTTGTTGCAGTTTGTTTTATTCAGTTTGCCTGAGGGAAAACTCATTTTGCAGTTTTAATAATATATTGAGATGGTTTAATGATGAATAGCATTTCAGAACTTTTAATCAGCTCACCACAATAACTAGAGTAAACTGAACCTGTGAAGTCTTAATAGAGATGAGAGGAAACGTCACCTAACTTATACTAACTATACTAACATCACTTATTATCACCTTATCATATACTTTTAATTTTTATTTCATTAATTCTGTGAGGTTTCTTCCCACCCTTTTTTCCTGCCTTGCTAGATTTTATTCTTCATTCATTTCATATAACTTTGTGTCTTCATAACTGACTTCGACTCCTATATTTGGAAATTCTGCTATCACTTGAATAGAAACTTGGGGTTCATTCTTATTAAGGTCAAAGGAAGAAGTATCTGCAGCTGAATTTGTTGCTTGTCAAAGTACACAAGTGAAATGAAATATAGGGAAAGTTTCCAAAGTGAGAATGAAAAGAGATACACAATATTATGGAATTGGAAGTAAACTGGGTTTCATCTCCCTGATCCATGTAATTTCTCCTCTTTTCCACTGTTTTCATCATTCTGTATGTGCATGTTGCATAATTTGTTATGAGAAAACTGTGAGAGAATTTAAAGAATGAAGTGGAGACTTGGGAGTTGGGTTCAATCCTGAAATTCATTTATGTCAACATCAGGCAGTAAAGGAAGGAAGTAAGTTGCAGAACTTCAAGAGAGACTTTATCCAAAGCAGCATAGAAAGAGAGACAGAACATAAAAGAATAAGGAGCAGAGTCCTGTCTGTGCCCAGATGCAAAAACTTGGAAAGTATTTGTCAGCTCTGGCAGCTTCTGCCAAACAAGCAATACTGTAAGGCAGAGGCAGACGTCCAAATGGCCTGAACCATCAGTCCCAATCCTACCACCATGTACCCAAAACACCCATTAAGGGTTGATGCACAGCAGCCTTGATCCTGTGCCCACTGTGATAGGTTCCAACTCTCCTTCCAGAGAGCAGAGTGATTATTTCTGACTCCTCTCCTACTAACCACTACACTAATGAGTTGTTCCTTTAATGATCATGTGAGGTTTTGAAAGAAATAATTGGCTTAGTATAGAAAAGAGAAACATTAAAATTGTGTCTTCAATATCATTTTAAAAACCTCTCCGTGTGATATATCAAAGTTCCAAAACAAAACTATAATTAGTTGGATCTCTAATGGAAAATATAGGTATAGTGAAGTTTTAAAAACTTCTCTGTGTCATACATCAAAGTTCCAAAACAAAAGTATAATTAGTTGGGGCTCTAGTGAAAAATACGGGTATAGTGAAGTTCTTATATTAACTTCAGCACCTTAGCCCAGCAGAATTGGTAAAATTCTCAGCTGTAAGAAATGCTTGGTTCTCTCAAGATACTCTTCTCAGGTAAATTTCCCAGTTCTTTTGTATCCACCATATAGTCATGATCTATGACTAATCACAACCCATAATATACTGGGCATTTCCTTATATTTGTGCTGATAAATATTTTCCTTAGTGTTTCTGACAGCTATTGTTCGGTTTTGTAGATTCTGCTTTTATTAAACCTCTGTGGCTCTAAGAACGGCTACTACTAATTTGATACTCTCAAAGCCAAAAGGTATGGTGGCTCATTAATTTGCAACTGATGTTGTGCAAATGCTCTCAGTAACTTCTGATCGCTTCCATAGGATTGCCTTCTGAGTTGCATTCCAACTACCCAGAAGTAATTGGTTATACTTCATTCTTGGATAGTCTTCTAAAATAGCTTCCTAAATTAACGCTAAGGTGTTATGTACACATCTCTGGGTCAATGAGGTGTGGTTTACAAAAGCATTTATTCATTCATTTAATAATTCATAAATCACTTATTGAAAACACATTTATGTTGAAGCAATGTGAATGACCCAGGGCTATGAAGACATGGCTTATTCACATTACAATCAGGTAGAGAGAGATAACATATAAACCAGCATGTGTACAAAATATGATATACACTGTAAAAAAGATTCAGCAGAAGAAAAAGGCAATGGTCAACTCTACCTGGGGAGAAAAAAAATAGTCTTTTCTACAGCCCAAGAATTCTTGAAGTACCATTAAAAGACTATTGTGTGCAGCTGAAATATGTGTCATCAAATTAAAACTTTGAATATATAACATTATGGACAAACAAAGATATTCAGTGAACGTTCCAAAACTTTACCCTCCTCCACTTCCAGAAGCAAAAAATGAATTCATAGCTTGTAAATGTTGATCTCAAATGGGAAAATAAAGAAAAACATTTGTTTCCTAGCATCTTTTCTAGAAATTTCCAGTTTTCTTCTCTTTGTGTTTCACCTCCTTGTCAGAACTTAGTAAAGTCAAACTTTCCAACAAAAAGTTAATGGCTGTGCTCACTTCCGAAGAGAATCAATTAAACTTATACATTTCATAATTTTTTACAATGCTAGACTTATGTTGAAAAGATTGATTTTTGTATTCCATTCTCCTTAAGTTAATCTTTAAAAGAAGCATACTTTAAAATATTTTAATATAAGATAAAAATTATACATTAAATATTCTCAGTGAAACACAACTTTATGCTGTCACCTTTCATCTTTAAGCCCCCAAATTCAGTATAAAATTGTAGGTCTATAGCATTAATTGCTACTGCTTTCTATAAAAAGGTTTTTGATAATTTTCATGTTTCAGATCTGCAAATTCCATTCTGTGATACTTTTTTTGTTTCAAAGTAATCATTAATAGAATTAATTCATTTTTAGTTATCAGGTATATAAAGACTAGGAACAACATTTGTTGGCAGATTCATAGGATTTTCTAGTTGAGATTGATGTGATTATTTATAGCATTAAATCTCTAAAAAGCATGAAATTCTCTTTCATACTCTCACCTTCATGAAGTCTATGAAAATCGATCAGTTGGAATAGTTCATATTCTACTTCCTATAATAAATAAAGTCAGTAAAAAAAGGTAGATAAAGCTTGTCTTTACTGTGGACATTATAAAATCCAATTTTAAAAATAAGAGTTTTGATCTGTATATGATGATTCTGAGCACATAACCATTAATTTAACAATAGAAGGCAGATAAGAATTATTTGACCCATATGGTCTAATAAAGTTTTAGAAATTAAATAATGCATGTACTTTTGTAGAAAGCAAAGAAAGGCATTTGAAAGGATATAATCACCTATCATCTCTTCCCACAGGACAACCACTATTTTCTAGTACACACACACACACACACACACACACACACACGATGCATGAACAAAAGCATTAAAGAACTGTTTCTTTTCAAAGATAGAAAATGTCCATTAAAATCACTCTTACAGCTATTAAAACTATTATAACATTAAAATAAAAGATTAAAAACAAACTCCAATGCACAGAAGTATTCAACTTTTTGAAAATTTCTTTCCTCCACTAAATAAGTTAGTAGTTAATAAATAAATTTTAATTTTTTATAATAAGTAGCAACAGACATTGCAAAAAGCTAACATACCCATCAAAAGAAATATTACCACTGACAACATGCATGTGTACTGTAGGTTTTGTGTATTTCTCAGGCTGCAATAATGCCATTGAGACAGTGGGGATATCAGAGCTGACACTGAGTGATCAAACTGAATTAAAAAATAAAAAAGTAAACCTTGTTAGTCACAAAGGCAGCGGGAGCAGCAGGGAGGGCTGGGGGTGGCAAAGAAATGTGCTTTTTAGTCTTACCTCCTACAGCCCCAGAGGAAATATGTTGATTTTTGGTGCGATTAGTTGCCACAAAAACTCTGCTCTAAGGAACCCTGTCTATTTCTTTACCTTCCAGGAACTATTATAATATTTTTAATTATTATGAAGCTTTCACGAAGATGCTCAGGGTGTTACATCAACAATTAAAACATCATCATCATAAACAATAACAATTAAAACCACATAAAGTGCACAGCACAAAACAGCCACAGAATACCGAGTACAATGGCACTGTTCAATGAGAAGGGCCCTTTTTGTAGTGTTTTCTGTAATGTGACATTACATAATTATATTCTGAAGTTCAAGACCGGAAGCAGTCAAAAAGCATCATCTGTCGACAAACTACAAAACAACTCCACATTGGTCTATGGAACATTGGCCTCATATTTGGGGGAATTACCTAGTATCCACTGCTTTCTTTAAAATCATGACTTTAAAAAAAATTGAATGCCAATTAAAATGAAGAAAGAACCCACTGACAGAGATTCTGGCAGAATAGAAAATGCTTGTAGGATTTTAGTACCTCTGTCTCCTCTTCCATATTCCACTGATTGTGGCGATTAGTAAGTTGCTTAAGCCCTTTATAATTCCATTTCAGCGTCTGTGAACAAGGAGCAAAATTGTTTCTGGCACCAGAGAAATTACTTTAGGATGTACTAACGAAAGATTCTGCTACTCAAGTAATTCACATAACACTGCCCACGAATCCACTGTATAGCCAGGGATACCAACTCTCTGGTTTGAAATATACATTTCCTTTGTAGATATTTTAAGTAAATGATATTCAGTGACTTCTTCATTATAGAAATGGCAAATATATATATTCTTTTCTTTTATAATTGAATAAAGTTTTTATTGAAATCTATCCTACACACCATAAGGTAAGGCGAGAATATAGATATAGCTTGAGGAATTTTCACAAATCAAGCATACCCATGCACTCACCACTCAGATGAATAAATTGGACAATCCACTAACACAGTAACCTCCTTTCTGTCTGCTCCAAGTTGTTACACTATTCCCAAAAAGGTAACCAGTGGGCTGCCTTCTTTGGCTATCTCTTTGCTCTACCTGGTTTTGTGCTTCATGGAAATAGGTTTATACCGCACTTAGTGTTTTATGTTTCTTCTTTTGCTCAATATAATGTTTGTGAAATTCACCCATGTTGCTGTGAGCAGTAATAGTGCCTTCATTTACATTATCGTATGGCATCACTTTATGTGAACATACCATGACTACTTGGTTATATTAGGTTTTAGGCTGCTGTCATGAACGTTCTTGTGTATGTCATTTGATGTGCATAGCTTTTCATTTAAGTATACATCTATGATAGAATGTCACAGAGTTTCTGAATGTTCAGAATGTCATAGAGTTTGTGGATCTTCAGCTTCAGTAAATACTGCCCAACAATCTTTCAAAGTGGCTAGCTCATTTTACATAATGACTACCTGAATATAAGATTTCCATTTGTTCAACATCCTTATCAAGAATTTTCATTTTCAGCGTTTTAAATTTTAAACTTTCATTTTTAAGTTAATTTATTCTGCTTCATTTTTAATATAATCTCATTTTGGTTTTAATTTTAATTTCTCTGATGACTAATGATGCTGAGCAGCTGTCTATGCATATTGGACATTTGAATATCTTCTTTTCTTCAATACTTTTGCCCTTTTTCTAAATTCTAAAAATTAAGTCTGTTTTTCTTGATTTAAAGAAGTTACATTCATACTCCTGAACATAGGAGTTTAGGAAAGGAGGACTGCCTTTCTCATGAATATGTATTGCCAACATAGTCTTCCACTCGGAGGTTTATCTTTTTTGTTTCTTACTGGCCATTTTTAATAAATAGAAGCAATAAATTTTCATAAAGTCCACTCTAGAAGTCTTTTACTTTTCTAGCAAATTTTTTGATAGCCTATTTGAGAAATATTTATAAACCCCAAAATCACAAGGACAGTCTCTGTTATCTTTTAAAAGGTGTTTGTTTTACATTTAAATTTAGATCTACAATCCACGGAGATTGCTATTTCTTTTTAATCATCTGAGGTAGCAATCAAGAGAAACATTTTTTTTTTCCATATGAATATTCAATTGACCTAGAACCACTTATTGAAAAAGAACACCTTTTCCCAATTGCACTAGACAGGAACTTTGTCATAATTCAAGTGAGTGTATCTGGATGCTGTGTGTGGCTTTGTTTATCCTTACTTTATCACTCCACTGTCTTAATTACTGGTGATTTAAAGTGTAGATATTTAGCAATGTGAGATTCCTCACTTTGTTCTTTTCCAAAATTTTCATTTCTATTCTTGGTCTTTTGCTTTTCCACACATATTTATATTCAGCTTGTCAATTTCCAACAAAAAATGATGGAATTTTGATTGGAATTCCATTGACTATATAAATCAATTAGGGCATACTGGATATACAACACTAGATTATCCAGTCCATGAACATGGTATCATTATTCACTCATTTAGTCTTCTCTAATTCCTTTATGCCTCCTAGCTTTATTTGTAGAGATCCTGAATATACTGTATTAGGTTTATTCCTAGGTATTTGATGTATTTTAAAGCTATTCTAAAAGTTACCATTATAAAATTTTTATTTTCTAAAGTTTGCTTATATTTAGAAATGTTTGATGGTTATGTTAATCTTACATGTAACACTGCTGAATTTACTAGTTAATTTTTACTAGTTATTCAATTGTATTTTACACAAATTATGACATATTTTTTTTCCTCCAACACATTGCTATATATTTATTTATTTACTTCATTGTACTGGCCAAGAACTGCAGGATGATGTTGAATAGAATTGGTGATGGTGGCATTGTTATCTCAATTTTCTCAAGAGAAAGTTTTCAATATTTAACCATTAAATAGGATGTTTGCTATAGGTTTTTGTTGATATCTTTTATCAGATTAAGAACATTCCTTGTTTGCTAAAAATTGTTATTATGGAAAGGGGTTGAATTTTATCAAATGCCTTTTCTACATCTATTATGATGATCATATTGTATTTTTCTTCTTTATTCTGTTAGCATAATTAAATTACACTGATTGATTTTTGAATGTTAACCTAATGTTCAATTCCCATAATAATATGCTGGATAATTTTCTTACATTTTCTAGAATATGTCAAGTATGAAAAAAGGTTTCATTATAAAAATAATAAGACTTTAAAAATTATCTTATTTTTACTAGTTTCTGACTCCTTTCTGTAAGGCATGCAAAGCTACCTGCTGCAGATCACCTCACTGGTTTTAATTGACCCTCAGGTATGCTTTTGTGATGAACTGGGGAATTCATGCTCTCTTTGTCCATTATAGCTTATATAACTGAGTAACTGGTAGCTGAGCATCTTAATATAGGAATAAATATAAAATGTTATTTATTTCATTGTAGGAAAATGGCTTACCCTTAAGCAATTTTTAAAATATTGTCTAATAACAGTTATTATTGTCTAAAGACTGTCAATACAGGGCTTTTGTAATAATCAGTTCTGGTGTCCACTTTAAAATATTGATGAAGGCTTTTAGTATTATAAACAAAGTTTTTCTGAGCTTCCTCAGATCTGATTAGTAATTTACTTTTCAGAACCTCTTCCAACCTATCTTATAATTCTAGATGGCAAATGTAGTACAAATAAAAGATATATTTTATGAAAAATGTAAATGCCACACAAAAATGTATAAGCTCAGTCACTTTAAAAACATGATGTGGCCTTCTACCCCCAGATGTCTATACCTTTCAACAAAATTTGGAAGTGGAGGGGATCCCTGGGCAAGATGGCCAAACAGGAACAGCTCTGGTCTGCAGCTCCAAGCAACACCAATGCAGAAAGCAGTTGATTTCTGCATTTCCAACTGAGGTATCCAGTTCATCTCATTGGGACTGGTTAGACAGTGGGTGCAGCCAACGGAGGGCGAGCAGAAGCAGGGTGGGCTATTGCCTCACCCAGGAAACTCAAGAGGTTGGGGAACTCCCTCCCCTAACCAAGGATAGCCATGAGGGACTGTGCCTTGAGGGACAGAGCATTCAGGCCCAGGTACGCTTTTATCACAGCCTTCCCAACCCACAACCAGGAGATTTGCTCAGGTGTCTACACCACCAGGGCCCTGGGTTTCAAGCACAAAACTGGATGACCATTTGGGCAGACACTGACCTAGCTGCAGGAGTTTTTTTTTCATACCCCAGTGCCACTTGGAGTGTCAGCAAGACAGAACCATTCACTCCCCTGGAAAGGGGACTAAAGCTAGGGAGCCAAGTGATATAGTTATGCGAATCCCACCCCAAAGAGCCCAGCAAGGTAAAATCCACTGGCTTGAAATTCTTGCTGCCAGCATAGCAGTCTGAAGTCAACCCGGGATGCTCGATCTTGAAGAGGGGGGACGGGCGTCTGCCATTAATGAGGCTTGAGTAGGCAGTTTTCCCCTCACAATACAAACAAAGCCCCCAGGAAGTTTGGACTGGGTGGAGCCCATCACAGCTCAGCAAGGCCCTTGTGGCCAGATTGCCTCTCTAGATTCCTCCTCTCTGGGCAGGGCATCTTTGCAAGAAATGCATCAGCCCCAGTCAAGGGCATATAGATAAAACTCCCATCTCCCCGGGACAGAGTACCTGGGGGAAGGGGTGGCTGTTGGCGCAGCTTCAGCAGACTTAAATATTCCTTCCTGCCAGGTCTGAAGAGAGCAGCAGATCTCCCAGCACAGTGCTCAAGCTCTGCTAAGGGACAGACTGCCTCCTCAAGTGGGTCCCTGACACCCCCGTTGTCTCCTGATGGGGAGGCACCTCCCAGCAGGGGTCGACAGACACCTCATACAGGAGAGCTCTGGCTGGTATCTGGCGAGTGCCCCTCTGGGACAAAGCTTCCAGAGAAGGGAACAGCCAGCAATCTTTGCTGTTCTGCAACCTCAGCTGGTGATATCCATGGAAACAAGGTCTGGATTGGACCCCCAGCAAACTCCAGCAAACCTGCAGAAGAGGGACCTGACTGTTAGAAGGAAAACCAACAAACAGAAAGCAATGGCATCAACATCAACAAAAAGGATGATCATGGAAAAACTTCATCCAAAGGCTACCAACAGCAAAGACAAAAGGTAGATAAATCCATGAAGATGAGGGAAAACCAGTGCAAAAAGGCTGAAAATTCCAAAAATCGGAATGCCACTTCTCCTCCAAAGGATCACAACTTCATGCCAGCAAGGGAACAAAACTGGATGGAGAATGAGTTTGACAAATTGACAAAAGTAGGTTTCAGGAGGTGGGTAATAACAAATTCCTCTGAGCCAAAGGACCATGTTCTAACCCAATGCAAGGAAGCCAAGAACCTTGAAAAAAGGTTAGAGGAATTGCTAACTAGAATAACAAGTTTAGAGAAGAACATAAATGACCTGATGAAGCTGAGAAACATAGCATGAGAACTTCGTGAAGCATACACAAATATCAATAGACAAATCAATAAAGCGGAAGAAAGGATACCAGAGATTGAAGATCCACTTAATGAAATAAAGCATAAGATTAGAGAAAAAAGAATGAAAAAGAATGAGCAAAGACTCTAAGAAATATGGGACTATGTGAAAAGACAAAATCTACGTTTGATTGGTGTACCTGAAAGTGACAGAGAGAATGGAACCAAGTTGGAAAACACACTTCAGGATATTATCCAGGAGAATTTCCCCAACCTAGCAAGACAGGCCAACATTCAAATTCAGGAAATACACAGAACACCACTAAGATACTCCTTGAGAAGAGCAACCCCAAGACACATAATTGTCAGATTCTCCAAGGTTGAAATGAAGGAAAAAATGTTAAGGGCAGCCAGAGAGTAAGGTCAAGTTACCCACAAAGGGAAGCCCATCAAACTAAGCAGATGTCTCTGCAGAAACCCTACAAGCCAATATTCAACATTCTTAAAGAAAAGAATTTTCAACCCAGAATTTCATATCCAGCCAAACTAAGCTTCATAAGTGAAGGAGAAATAAAATCCTTTACAGATAAGCAAATGCGGAGGGATTTTGACACCACCAGGCCTGCTTTACAAGAGTTCCTGAAAGAAGCACTAAATATGGAAAGGAAAAACCAGTACCAGACACTGCAAAAACAAAGCAAAATGTAAAGATCATTGACACTATGGAAAAACTACATCAACTTATGGGCAAAAAAAACAGCTAGCATCATAATGATGAGATCAAATTCACACATAACAATATTAAACTTAAATGTAAATGTGCTAAATGCCCCCAATTAAAAGGCACAGACTGGCAAATCTGATAGAGTGCAGACCCATCAGGTGCCGTATTCAGGAGACACATCTCACGTGCAGAGACACACATAGGCTCAAAATAAAGGGACGGAGGAAGATTTACCAAGCAAATGGAAAGCAAAAAAAGCAGAAGATTGAATCCTAGTCTCTGATAAAACAGACTTTAAACCAACAAAGATAAAAAAAAAGACAAAGAAGGACATTACATAATGGTAAAGGGATCAATGTAGCAAGACCTAACTATATTAAATATATATGCATCTAATATAGGAGCACCCAGATTCATAAAGCAAGTTCTTAGAGGTCTACAAAGAGACTTAGACTCACACACAATAATAGTAGGAGACTTTAACACTCCACTGTCAATATTAGACAGATCAACAAGACAGAAAATTAATAAGGATATTCAGGACTTGAACTCAGCTCTGGATCAAGCAAACCTAATAGACATCTACAGAACTCTCCACCCCAAATCTACAGAATATACATTCTTCTCAGCACCATGTCGTGCTTGTTCTAAAAATCAACCACATAATTGGAAGTAAAACACTCCTCAGTAAATGCAAAAGAATGGAAATCATAACAAACAGTTTCTCAGACCACAGTGCAATCAAATTAGAACTCACAATTAAGAAACTCACTCAAAACTGTACAACTACACGGAAACTGAACAACCTGCTCCTGAATGACTACTGGGTAAATAACGAAGTGAAGGCAGAAATAAATAAGTTCTTTGAAACCAATGAGAACAAATACACAATGTACCAGAATTTTGGGGACACAGCTGAAGCAGTGTTTAGAGGGAAATTTATAGCACTAAATGCCCACAGGAGAAAGCAGGAAAGACCTAAAATCGGCACCCTAACATCACAATTAAAAGAGCTAGAAAAGCAAGGGCAAACAAATTCAAAAGCTAGGAGAGGGCAAGAAATAACTAAGATCAGAGCAGAACTGAAGGAGATAGAGACACAAAAAACCCTTCAAAAAATCAATGCATCTAGGAGCTAGTTTTTTGAAAAGATTAACAAAATAGATATACTACTAGCCAGACTAATAAAAAAGAAAAGAGAGAAGAAGAAAATAGACACAATAAAACATGATAAAAGAGAGATCACCACTGATCCCACAGAAATACAAACTACCATCAGAGAATAATATAAATACCTCTATGCAAATAAACTAGAAAATCTAGGAGAAAGAGAAAAATTCCCAGACACATACACCCTGCCAAGACTAAACCAAGAATAAGTCAAATCCCTGAATAGACTAATAACAAGTTATGAAATTGAGGCAGTGATTGATAGCCTACCAACCAAAAAAAAGCCCAGAACCAGACGGATTCACAGTTGAATTCTACCAAAGGTACAAACAGGAGCTGGTACCATTCCTTCTGAAACTGTTCCAAACAATAGAAAAAAAGAGACTTTTCCCTAACTCATTTTATGAGGCCACCATCATCCTGATACCAAAACCAGGCAGAGACACAATGAAAAAAGAAAATTTCAGGTCAATATCCCTGATGAATATCAATGCAAAAATCTTCAATAAAATACTGGCAAACCTAATCCAGCAGCACATCAAAAGGCTTATCCACCACGATCACGTCAGCTTCATCCCAGGGAGGCAAGGCTGGTTCAACCTATGCAAATCAATAAATGTAATCCATCACATAAACAGAACCAATGACAAAAACCACATGATTATCTCAATAGTTGCAGAAAAGGTCTGTGATAAAATACAACACCCCTTCATGTTAAAAACACTAAATAAACTAGGTGTTGATGGAATGTATCTCAAAATAATAAGAGCTATCTATGACAAACCCACAGCCAATATCATACTGAATTGGCAAAAACTGGAAGCATTCCCTTTGAAAACCAGCACAAGAAAAAGATGCCCTCTCTCACCACTACTATTCAACATAGTATTGGATGTTCTGGCCAGGGCAATCGGGCAAAAGAACAAAATAAAGTATTCAAATAGGAAGAGAGGAAGTCAAATTGTATCTGTTTGCAGATGACATGATTGTATATTTAGAAAACCGCATCATCTCAGCCCCAAAACTCCTTAAGCTGATAGGCAACTTCAGCAAAGTTTCAGGATATAAAATCAATGTGCAAAAATCACATGTATTTTTTTACACCAATAATAGCCAAATCATGAGTGAATTCCCATTCACAATTACTACAAAGAGAATAAAATACCTAGGAATACAATTTACAAGGGGTGTGAAGGACCTATAAACCACTGCTCAAGGAAATAAGGACACAAATAAATGGAAAAACATTCCATGCTCATGGATAGGAAGAATCAATATCATAAAAATGGCCCATACTGCCCAAAGTAATTTATGCATTCAATGCTATTCCCATCAAGATACCATTGAATTTCTTCACAGAATTGGAAAAAACTACTTTAAGTTTCATATGGAAACAAAAAAGCGCCTGTATACCCAAGACAGTCCTAAGCAAAAAGAACAAAGCTGGAGGCATCACGCTACCTGACTTCAAACTATACTACAAGTCTGCAGTAACCAAAACAGCATGGTACTTGTACCAAAACAGATATATAGACCAATGGAACAGAACAGAGGCCTCAGAAATAAAGCCACACATCCACAACCATCTGATCTTTGACAAACCTGACAAAAACAAGAAATGGGGAAAGGATTCCCTATTTTATAAGTGGTGTTGGGAAAACTGGCTAGCCGTATGCAGAAAACTGAAACTGGACCCCTTCCTTACACCTTATGCAAAAATTAACCCAAGATAGATTAAAGACTTAAATATAAGACCTAAAGCCATAAAAGCCCTAGAAGAAAACCTAGGCAATATCATTCAGGACATAGGCATGGGCAAAGATTTCATGACTAAAACACCAAAAGCAATGGCAACAAAAGCCAAAATTGACAAATGGGATCTAATTAAATTAAAGAGCTCCTGCACACCAAAAGCAACTATCAACAGAGTAAAAAGGCAACCTACAGAATGGGAGAAAATTTTTGCAGTCTATCGATCTGACAAAGGCTAATATCCAGAATCTACAAGGAACTTAAACAAATTTACAAGAAAAAAAAATCAAAAAGTGGGCAAAGGATATGAACAGATATTTTTCAAAAGAAGACATTTATGCAGCCAACAAACATATGAAAAAAAAAGCTCATCATCACTGGTCATTAGAGAAATGCAAATCAAAACCACAATGAGATACCATTAACACCAGTTAGAATGGTGATCATTAAAAAGTCAGGAAACAACAGATACTAGAGAGGACTGGAGAAATATGAACGCTTTTACACTGTTGGTGGGTGTGTAAATTAGTTCAACCGTTATGGAAGACAGTGTGGCAATTCCTCAATAATCTAGAACCAGAAATACATTTGACCTAACAATCCCGTTACTGGTTATATACCCAGAGGATTATAAATCATTTTCTGCTATAAAGACACAGGCACACATATGTTTATTACAGCACTGTTCACAATAGCAAAGACTTGGAACCAATCCAAATGCCCATCAATGTTAGACTGGATAAAGAAAATGTGGCACATATACACCATGGAATACTCTGCAGTCATGAAAAAGAATGAGTTCGTGTCCTTTGCAGGGACATGGATGAAGCTGGAAACCATCATTCTCAGCAAAATAATAGAGGGACAGAAAGCCATACACCGCATGTTCTCACTCATAAGTCAGAGTTGAACAAGAGAACACATGGACACAGGGAGGGGAACATCACACACCAGGGCCTGTCAAGGGGTGGGGGACCAGGGGCAGGATGGCATTAGGAGAAATACGTAATGTAGATGACGGGTTGATGGGTGCAGCAAACCACCATGGCACATGTATACCTATGTAACAAACCTGCACGTTCTGCACATGTATCCCAGAACTTAAAGTATAATAAAAGTAAAGGAAAAAAAATTTTTGGAAGTGTAAACGCTGTATACAAAGTGGAAGTACCTAAGTGGCAGCAGATTTGCCTTTTCTAAGAAGAATTTGGATAAAAAAAATTTTGGTTGTTACATAAAAGGAGCAATCACTAACCAAATGAAGTGAGTGAAAGAATTTACAAGCAAGCCACTTAGAATTTTAGAGTTGCTGCATATTTTAGGTGAGGGATTAATAGACAGTATTTGGAACTCCAATAATGTCTCTTTTCAAATCGAAAAATGGAAACTAAACCAAGATGTTAGTTTGGGAAGCAGCTGCAGCCCATTGTAGGAGAATACATGCGCATTCCTTCAATGCTGTTACTAAGATACCAAATTTAGCACAAAACAATACAACTTTGAAAAACCAAAGAACTTGGGCTTAGAAATTCACTTTTACCAAGAATGTAAAATTTGTGATAGGTTTGCTGTAATAAGTTCATATGATCTAGCTCAGATAAATTGTTTCCTTTAGCCCTTTGCAGTAAAAAGTGTTTTTTCTGTGTACTCTCTCTTTAAAGCCTGTTAGTATTAAAATTCCATCTTATCTAATTTATAATTCCATCTTATCTAATTTATAAAAATGTTTAATCAAATAAGATTTTGAACATTAATTATATTCCTCAAACAGTTTCTAGGAATCATCTCCTAAGTTTCTGAATTCCAAGCAAGTAGTACTGTGCCTGCCATTCAGTAGTCAATATATTCTTATATTAACTATATTAATATAACATTATTACTATTAACTATATTAGTTAATAGTAAATATTTATGATAAATAAATGTTTAATTAAAGAATGAAGTCATTCAACTTTAAAATTTTTATCTTTCAAAATCTTGATGAAAAAATAGTCCATGAATCAAATTTATTAGCTTATATGAAAAGAGTCCATATCTTTACTCCTACCTCTCACTTGTTACTATTACCTTTTGGGTATTTTTGGAGTTTGGTGTTCATGCTTGAAACAACTATTTTATTTTAGTAATAAATGTAAAACTTTCTCATATGTTCTCAAGAGAAAGCATCATTAAGATGCAAAAATAAAAAATAGAAATATTTTTAAAGAGAAATATTCTCTTTAGAAAGAGATTATGTTTTTCCATTCAAATTTTCTTTTCCATTTCTTATCTCATTCTCTCCATGCAATCTCTCGTGGGACACTTTAAAAAAAAAGTTTTTCCAAAAGTTGAATTAAATGAAGTTCCTTTTTATATGAATACTTCCTATAATAGATTTATCTCATACTTTCAGACATATCCTGATATATAAAAATAAAGAAATTAGTTTTATGGGCCAGGCACAATGGCTTATACCTGTAATATCAGAACTTTGGGAGGCCAAGGAGGGAGGACTGCTTGTGTCCAAGAGATCAAGACCAGCCTGGGCAGCATAGTGAGACCCCCATCTCTACAAAAAAAAATAAAAAATTAGACAGATCTGGTGGTGCATGCCTATAGTCCCAGCTATTTGAGAGGCTGACCTAGGAGAATAACTTGAGCCCAGCCAATCAAGGCTGCAGTGAGCTGTGATCATGCCACGACACTCAGCCTGAACAACGGAACGGGATGAGATCCTGTCTCAAATAAATAAATAAATAAATTAGTTTCAAGACCTTATTTTATTTATTGAATATTGAATAATTATGGGCACCCTCCATGCATCTTCTTGTTGTATTCATAGATCACAAATTGCTTTCTTCAGATTGTATAAAGCAGAATTGGCCAGTGTTCAAGCTCTTTGATTAAACAAAATGTAAAGGAATATAATATCCCCCTAAAAGAGAAGATGCGGTGTGGTGGAGCCTTCCCACAGTGTCTGACACAGCAGGATTACCACTGTCATATCCACGCTCCAATCGCTCCCTTGTCAGTCCTTCAAATATTTCAGCACTTTTTCTTTCCTTTAATTATTCATTTAAACAATGAAATAGGGAGGGAACTTCACCCACTTGGTTAATAGCCTTTGATTATAGAGTGAGAATGGAGAACCTTACTGGGAATTCTAAGTTCAACTGCACACTGAAAAGTTTATAAATAAAGTTTCCTGTTAGCTAACCAGAAGTGTCTAAAAATCACCATGTCACATTCATAGTTTAGTCTAGAAATTTAGAGCTAGAGCTGGGGAACATTATACCTGGGAATATAAACAAAATAATTCATTAGACGCTCACTGTATGTGTACACAAGAACAAAGGGAACACTTGTATATAAAACATAAAATTTTGCTACTACCATATCTTGAAAGGATAAAACGTCCTTAATCACATCTAACAACTATGCTTGAATGAAATGTGCCCTATTGTTACATTTGAATTGTAGAGTTTTTTGGTGTTATGTTGGTGACATTAGTGTTGAACTTTGTTTATTTCGCTACAGCACTAGCAATCTAGAAACAAATATAACACATCATGGACTTTCTAACTAAAGAGAGATTAGGAATGAATTCAAAGAATTTCAACTGGCCAAACCTGGTGGCTCAGGCCTTTAGTCCCAGATACTTCGGAGGCTGAGGCTGGAGGATTGCTTGAGCCCGGGAGTTTGAGGCTGCAGTGAGCTATGACCATGCCACTGCACTCCAGCCTGGGAGAGAGAGTGAGACCCTGTCTCCAAAAAAGAAAAAAGAAAGAATTGCAGGCATGTTTTGTTTATGCAATATAAAAGATATTTCACCATACACAGTGGTCCTCCTCTTATCTGTGGTTTCACATTCCATGGAAAGTCCAGAGTATCCATGTTGTAGATGCTACCTGCTTATTAGTAGCCGTCTCCTTGGTGGGTGACTGTTGAATTGTATTGTAGTGTTTATGTTCAAGTAACTTTTATTTTACTTAATAGTGGCCCCAAAGTGCAAAAGTAATGATGCTGGCAATTTGGATTCGCCAAACAGATGTCTAAAAGTGTTTCCTTTAAGTGATAAGCTGAAAATTATCTTAATAAGGAAAGGAAAATAACCATATACTGAGGTTACTAAGATCTACAGTAATAAAGAATCTTATATCTGTGAAATTATGAAAAGTAGATTGCTATAATTATTCTCATCTCTTACTGTGCCCAATTTTATAAATTAAACTTTATCATAGGTATGTTTTATTAAAAAAGAAAACAGAGTGTATAAAGGGTTCAATATTATCCACAGTTTCAGGCACCCACTGCAGGTCTTGAAACATATCCTCCGTGGGCCAGGCATGGTGGCTTATGCCTGTAATCCCAGCACTTTGGGAGGCCGAGGCAGGTAGATCCTCTGAGATCAGGAGTTCGAGATCAGCCTGGTCAACATGGTGAAACCCTGTCTCTACTAAAAGTACAAAACTAGCCGGGTGTGGTGGCGGGCGCCTGTAGTCCCAGCTACTCAGGAGGCTGAGATAGGAGAATCACTTGAACCTGTGAGGCAGAAGCTGCAGTGAGCTGAGATCGCACCGCTGCGCTCTAGCCTGGGCAACAGAGCAAGACTCCATCTCAAAACAACAACAACAACAACAACAACAACAAAATCTACCCCATGGATAAGAGGACACTACTGTATACTATATACAATATAACGCTCAATATTTTTATGGATAAGAACAGCATCAATATAAAGTACTCATTCCAAAGCATTGCAACTCAAAATGCTGAACTCATAAAATTTAAGACATACTAACATTAGCCAAATATTGAAATTAAGCTATACTATATGATTTAAATAAATATTATACATCTGTATATATAAAAATGTGAAATGTATTCCTAAATAGGTTAAGATTTTTTGATAAAAGATTAAAAATAAAACAAAATTCTCCATCTCCAAGAATTTTAGAACTGGCTACCAAACTGCCTTTTGTAATGTCTGGAAATAATTGCAAATATATGTGTAAATATATAAATAACACTGCATTTCTGTATTTTCACCTTATTGCAATAATTTTACTACAAGCAAACTGTATTCTTAGAAAGCAGATATTTTTTATTATGCAATATGCCTCCTTTGGACAAGATCAACATTCATTCAAGGTGAAGTCTAACCAGCTATTTCTGATGACTTTCCTATTACTCTTAATCTCATAGCAATCACTCCCCTCTATGCTTCTCTGCTTTTTTCACATTGTTATGTAATTCTGCCTGTGAATTCATGTCCCCTTTTGTTTCCACACCTGTTTATATGGCACCTAGTAGGTGTTCAATATATGCTTTTGAATAGTATTTAATGATTTATTTTATTTCCAGAGACCTTGGACATTTGACTTGATGATATGACTTCCAAATGTCTCTTTTACCCATTCGTTCTTTTAAATTATTCACTGTTAATCTCATGCTTAGAAGTCTCTCAATCTACAGTTTTATTCGTGCTGAATAATGCCACCAGAATAATCATTATAAAGCAATGCTGTCATCGTGCCACACTTTTACATTAAAAACCATCCACACGACCTACTGCCTACAGGATACATTAATTTATTCAGTGAGAAAACATTTATAGAGTGTTTTCTATGTGCCGAGATGTTGTTCAAACATTCAAGTCCCTCTGAATTTGGCTATAATCAACATTTGCATCAAAATCTCCAAACTTTGACCTTCTTGGATCTGACACTCTAGCTATTTTTATTTTATTGTCTCCTTTACGTATATCTGTGCCTTCCCACTTTCCAAATTCTGCACATTAAGACTGCTCTTTTCTTCAATGACTAATCTAATTTTTAAGACATAATTAAATTTCTCCTTTTATGAAAATTTTACAAGCCATTTCAGATATGAATAATTTGTTTTCTATTGTACTCAACTCTCTTTTAATTGTAAGCTGCCTTCTAATAGATTTAATTTTACTGTATTAATTTTATTATAGAAGTCAGAATATACAATTAAAAATGAGGGCTTTAGAATTGATTGTATTTAAGTTGAAATTACCAGTAAGATAAATGCTAGTCATATGATTTTGGTTAAATTAATGTCTGAATTAGTTTCCTACTTCTAAAGTGAAATTAGTAATAACTAGTTTCTAGACAGTAAGAATTTAATGAGATAGCATTGGTATTTATTGATGATAACTTTTGTACAGTTTTGCAAATTTTGTATTTATGTTTATCAACTAGTTTGCAAGGCCTTGAGAACAAACGGGTATATCATATTTTATTATATATACTATTATGAGAAGCAGAATCATGGAAAATATTTCTGTCATAATGGATTATTTAATTATTTAGTTTTTCTATAATATACTTCTGGGAAAACAATAAACCATGGATACAACAATATGACAGAAAGATAATACCTGATCAGTGAATAATATGTCAAATTTTATATGTGTTTATGTATGTGTGTTTATTTTGTATATATATTTAAGTTTATAGGTATATAAATGTACATGTATACTAGTATATATAGATACGTGCATACATACATAGACGCACTCAAATGTATGTAGATATGTATATAAATACGCATATGAAGTGTGTTCATACAAAATACCCATATATACACATTTCTACACACACATTTACTCACATACAGACATAATTCAGATAAGAAACTATTTTGGCCATTCCTGTTATGACTAATTTGTTTTCTATTGTACTCAACTGTCTTTTAATTGTAAGCTGCCTTCCAATAGATTTAATTTTGTTGTATTGATTTTACTATGGAAGACAGAATTATACAATTAAAAATGAGGGCTTTATAATTGGTTGTATTTGAGTTCAAATTATCAGTAAGATAAATACTAGTCATGTGATTGTGGTTAAATTAATTTCTGAATTAGTTTATTACCTCTAAAGTGAAATCAGTAATAACTAGTTTCTAGATGATAAGAATTCACTCAAACATTTGTAGATATGTACATAAACATACATATGAACAGTGTTCATATAAAATACCCATATATATACACTATTTGAACAAATTAGTGATATCCGGAATTGCCAAAATAGTTTCTTATCTGATTTTACTATGTTTGTATGTGAGTATGTGTGTGTAGAAATGTGTACATATGGGTATTTTATATGAACACTGTTCAGATGTATATTAATGTACATATCTATATACATTTGAGTGTGTCTATGTGTGTATGTACATATCTGCATTTACAAATATTTCTAGAGAGCACAGTTCTGTTGGAAATGCAACTGGAGGTAATAGTGCACTTTGTTAGGAGCTAAAATATCAACATTTTAAAGATTTCCAGACTTCAACTTGAAGAGGGCTCAAAATGGATATTTTGAACTGATCAGGTTCAATTACATTAAAGAAAGACCAATAAATCAGTAAAATATACAAGAATCTTTTAAAGATTATACTAATCGAAAAAATTATTTCTCTAAAGATTTTGTTTTAAAGAAAGTTTCTTGATTTAGGGAGAATTTTAAGCTTAATCTTACATTGCATTATTGATCAACTGGATGAAAGGAGCAACTTCCATTTTTCCATTTTTTATTTCTTCTATTAAAACCCAAGCACACAGTTCTATGGCATTGCCCTTCATTTGTTCTGCCCAGTTGGAATGCATGGCTAAGCTCTCAAGGGAATGTTCTTGCTATTTATTATTGATTTTATAGCTCAAAAATGTGAGTGGGCAGTGAATGGCTGGATTGCAGATTAGGAAATAACCACTTAGAAGAAGAAGCCAGCTGGACACTTGTGATAAATTGCTATTTTCTGTCTGAATTTTATACCTAGTTATAGGTAGTTTACAGAATTAAGCTCCATATGGACAAAATGCTACTGAGGGGACTACAACATAACCTGTGCGTAGTTACAGATGCTTTTCTCATTCTTTTGGGACACGTTGTAGGAGAAATATGTCATAATCAGGGATTTAGAAATAATGAAAGATTTGGCTTTCATCTGTTTTTCATGGATTTGCCAGAGCTGAGATAAAGAAAACAAACATACACAAATGTTAGCTCTGATAGCATTAAAACAGACTAAACAAATGCTCCCTGAATGCGATTAGACACACACACAGACACACACACAAGCTCTAGCACCACTTTCACCAGCAGCACTGTAATTCTCAGCATAGAAAAGTTTCAATGCTTTTAAGTAATGTTGAAATAAATTGTCTGCCATAAAATAATCTTGATAAATTATCCAATTGTTTTTCTTGACTTAATAATATCACATTAGTCAGCTCAAGCTGCTATATAACAGAATACCATAGACTAAGTTTCATAAACAACAAACATTTATTTCTCACAGTTCTGGAGACTGGGAAGTCCAAGATCAAATTTCTGCCAGCTCTAGTGTCTGGTAAGGGTACTCTATGTGGTTTGCACATGGTCATCTCTTCATTGTGTCTTCACATGGCAGAGAGTAGAGACAGAGGGAAAGAGAGAGAAGCATAAGTGTGTCTCTTCTTATGAGGGCGCTAATCCCATTTATTAGGGCTCCACCTTCATGACCTAATCCCCTCCCAAAGGCCCCACCTATTAATACTATAACATCAGAAGTTAGGGTTTCAACTTATGAGTTTGGGGGTAGGGTTGGGAGGACATACACATTCAGTCCAGAACAATCATCTAAACTAAACATAAGAAATGCACATTTTCCAATGAGTTTTCCAATTTATAATGATTTTAAATTATAGATTAGCATTCTTTAAAATTATTATGAAGAATGTATCAGCCAGGGCTCGACCAGGAAACAGAAACAACGTATTTGGAACTGATATAAAATTTAATGCAGCAAATTTTATATATATCTGATGACAGAACTGAATAGCCAAATAGGGGGAGGAAGCAATGCTGAGATTTTAAAAAGACATAAGGTCACTACTACTCACAGGCTACAGAGACAACAGGGAGTGGGTAATATTATGGAGCCTGGAGCCAGCCAGGGATTTCCAAGATACTGGGGCCAATGTGTACCTTTCAAGCAGGGCTTGGACCCATGGAGGTGATACAGCTATTGCTAGAAGTGCTACCTAAAGCAAAGAGGAAGAGGAAAAGCAACCTGGCTTCTCCACCAGTGCCAACCAGTACCCCCCCATTAGCTAAATCCATCTAGAAGCCAACTAACATGGAAGAAACACTTCCTGCTGGATCAATACCCTTGTGATTTTCCTTTCTGGGAAAAAACGAGGAATTGATCTCCTGAGGGTAAACCAGCCCAGTAACAGCACAGATATTTATCATTTTTATATTATAACTTATCAAGCTTCAAATTATTTAAAATGTAATAGATTAACTCAAAATTCCAATTGCATGTAGAATTTCATTGTCAAACTATTAAAAAATGGAAACAAAAAAATTGAAGTTAAAGAAAAATTGTTTGCACCTCTGAAAATTTAGATGCTTCTTATGTCAATGCCAACAAAAAAGTCCATTTTTATTGTAGTTGATCAGGCAAAGATAATAACTACACTGAATTGTTTGAACAAATATAACAATTAAATAGTTCATATATACTCATCAATCTATCTTAGCATTTATATGATCAACTTTTCCTAAAATCAACATCATCAAATTTAGGAAAATAATAGTGTATTTTATAAAATTTAATAATTTTGTGAATTACATATCAAAGTACTCAATTGGAGACAGGAAAGCCAGCTCTATTTACCTGTTTTTTAAGTTTTTATTATCATTTATTTAAGAAATAATTGACCAGTCATGTCAAGGGCAGACTTTAGATTTAACTTTTCTAAACTTTTCACAGTATGTGTTGCTCTAGCTATAAGTTAAAAGGGCAAAAATATGATCAAATCTTTTAAAATAAATTGAAAAGGGCATTTTCTGTGATACATTCTAATTAAAAATTACATTTAAACCCACGGGAATGGGATCAATAAAAATAAGCTTGTGGTATTTTTCTCAATTTATTTCCTTTATTCCCTGGTGTTTCACCAGGGGCCTATTTCTTTAGGAAGTTATTTCCTTGAAAATAGTCTCATAAGCTTCAAGAAGAATATTTTTAGTAGAAACTAAATTTTTACATAGGTCTGGTGCAGTCATCTCCATTACATAACAAACTGTCATTACCATATGATGGTACAGGAAATCACGAACAATAGCAGATCATAACCATATCACAGGCTATCATGATCTAGAACTTAAATTAGTTCTATTGCATTTCTTTCTGACTGCCACCACGTTAACCGTGAAGATCCTGAATTTCTGGTCCATCTTGGATTACCCTAAAATACAAAAAAAAAAAAATACTGTAGACAACTATGACAAACTGATTAAAACCAAGAAACACAAACTTTTCTAAAATGATAAAACAATACATAATGACCATAGGCAATGCCATTGTAAACCTGGCTCTTAACTAGACTTCCTGGTAAAGATACTAGCAGAAATGTGATGGAGAGCACTTATCTACAAAATACTTTTAGCAGGATACACTTGATTTTTTTTTTTTTTAGATTACTCATTTTTAAAAACCTGGGATTTATGGGTTTATCGGGGAATGACAGGCTTTGGCAATGTTGAAGAAAAAGGACATTCTGGGAGCTCTGTTAATGGTGTTGGACTTCTTTTGGACTTCTTCAAAGAAAGAAGCATTTTCCTGTGTCTTGTGATTGCTCCTGAGTCTAATGTGACCCTTTGTTTTATCTCATTGTCCTTTCAAATTCTAAAGTCTCTTCATTAATTAATGAATATAAGGTTGGGAGATGAGAAAGATGCAAATGGAAAAATTGCCAACATTAAAACTACCTCCACAAAACCTCAATAAAGCATTAGTCAATACCCTCTGAATAACTGACCCTACCTTCGCCCTACTGAAAATCATTTCCAGAATATTCTGAGGTTTGGGAAAAAACAAACATCCTGCACTATTCCCAAAATGAGATAAAAAAATTCTGATGCCAAATCTTGAAATACTCTCATGTAGTCCTTCCAACTTTCATATAAAGAAATTTGCAACATTGGAATTAGAATTCTAGGGTATATGGGATCCAGACCTTAAAGCTTCTCTACATTAAATGATAATTACCAACCCTGGAATAAGACCTTCTGCAAAACAGAAATTTGGCAAATCTTGAGTTTCTTATCTACACATCTTAAAAACACCCCTTAATTTCAGGAAAATGTATCAATTATAATTCAGAGTTACATATTTATAATTATTTAGAAATGTTTTAAGATGTTTCCATTTTAGAAGAACAGATTTACAGTAATCTATCATCTATTCATCATTCCCAATATATAAAAATTAAACAGAAATTAATAAAAATTAAACAGAAATTAGAGATCTAATAATCAGCAAACTGGGAATATTCTGTTCTTAAAAGGTTCTATAATATTTTTAAAAGATTAATCAAAATGGCATTAGTCAAAGTAACTACAATGTTTTCATATAAAAGAATATAATAGAAAGGAAATGAAAACATCCAAATTAGAGATTAATATTTCTTTCTTTTAAGTGGAAGAAATTGTAAATGGAAAGATGTTGCACATAAGATGCTTAGTTTAATGAATCAGAACAGATGAGGCTAATGGAGGAGGAGAAAGAGGAAGAAGTAACGAATAAACAAGTGATAAATACCTTGGTTTTTTCATGTTATTTTTGTTGTTCTTTACTCAGAATGATTTTTAAATTAACAAATACAACACACATATTCACATAAACAGAAAACTAAGCTTCCTCTATAATACTGACATGATGAAAGGGGGCACAATAGCCTTCAATCCATAATGAGAACCCATAATAAATGAGAACATACATTATAATCATACATTTTCTTAAATACATCTATGTGCATACACATAGCCCATGCTAATTTTTAAAACATGCCCTCCCAAATTTTTATATCCAGATACATATATATTCTATGCTGAGACACACATACAAAAAGTGACAAATATATGTGTAATTCTAGGTTAATCAATAACACCCATTCACACATACATATTACAGTTAGTTTGTCATTTGTGTCAGTTATAATTAGAGAAACACAATACGTGCTCATATTTATGTGCATATGTGCCATCTATTTCTACCCCCACATGCATAAACACTTGCAGAAGATCAAAGTGATGGTTTAGTTGCACAGTGCATGAGTTCGCGGCTGTAAGAAAGAGTAACTTGTTTAATACATACACTGGAGTATCTCTTATAATTAAAGTAAGGCTAGGCAACCACACTTCAGTGAAATACGAACCTGACCAGGCATGGGTAAGTTGGCATTGCAACTTGTAGATTTTTTCCTGTTGAACTCTACTATTGATGTGACGTAACCACCAAAACCATATTTCTCAGTTGCAATTTTCAAGTGACAAGATTTGAATAGCTCAGCTTAAGTCAGGTGCCTATTTTCATGTACACGTTCATTCAAAAGTTGTTGAGCCTCTACTATACACAATGTAGTGTGGACCAGGTTCTCCAATTACCAACCCCAAGAGAGAATTCCCACTGCATGGAGAATAGCAAAGATTATCACTATACCAACCACCAGAAATAGGACTCCAAACACTTTTGCCCACTGCACCTTGGGCTATAGTTTTATCAATTGCCTGAGTCCGATGAGACAGAACACTCACACACAACAAGTTACATAAAATAGATTTATTACTTACAGATAGGCAGCAAGCAGCAAAAGAAGTCTAGGATCCATTGTGATCCAGTCCCTCAAGGCTCAAGAAAGCTGCCTGGGGCAGATGGAGGAAGGCTGAACTTTGGGTGTTCCACTTGTATTGTGGCTGAGGGACCTCAAAAGTTGTTCCAACCCAAGTTATATACCTCAGGGCAATATGGCTCACTGGGCAAAGATTTGAAGGACATCCTGCTTCCAGGAGAAGGAGGAACAAAGCCCAATTTGTCTCAGACAGTTCCTCCCTAGCTCAAGATGTTACATTTTCTGGTTGGGACAAGAACAAGACCCAGACAGTTTCAGGCAGTTTTTGCCTAGATCTCAGGATGAATGTAGTCCCAGCACATTCTACAGTTTTTCCAAGAACTACATGCAGGAAAGTGGGAGCGAATTGGGTCAGTCCAAAGCCATCCAGAGATCTGTCCTGCAGATTAAGTTTTCGATATACTGAGGTTCAACACAGCAGACACGTCATGACTATGAACGTGGGTAAGCAGAACTGCACAGCAGAAACATGGTTGTCTAGAGCCTATACTTGGGGAGCAGAAAAGAGAGGATCTGCTGATTGGAGAGCAGAAATAAGAGGCACTGCTGATAACCAAATAGTCTTTACTAAAAGACTGTACCTGGTAGTTAGCTATGGTTAGTTCGCTGGACAAAGGAAAATAATTTGAAAAGACAAGTGAATGTATTGCCTGCATAACTATCCTAAGAAACCACTTCCTGGTTAGATATTTAAACTCAATGTCTTTATATTCTTTCATTCATCTGTTACTTGCTATTGGTAAGTAAATACAAGGTCAGTGAATTCAAATACATCTTCCTGAACAATTTAAAGTTGGAAAGAAAGATGTCTCTATAACAGAATTTCCTTTTTTAGCCTAGTACAATGAGTTTACAAAATGTCAGTATCCTATTTCATGTTCTTGTCTGTTGTGAAATTTCACTAATAAAATATACCTCTGAAAAAGTAACTATAAATTGTCTTTAATACTGTGTAATATAAACTTACTTCTCTGTTCACTCATATTGGTAGTTTCAAATCAAGGAAAACTTGAATTATTACATGTACTGATAAAACCCAATTTACTAATTTTTTAAACCTGTTGTGCAAGGCTTTATTGGGAAAATAGCCTGCCACATAACTTTTACCTTATTTTCACTCCATAATAGTGGGATCCCAATATAATTAATGGGATATTGCATCTTTACTAGAGACTTAAACCAATTATTAATTAATACAAATGGCATGCAATTTTAAGACTTCTCTCTACCTCCCTTTGGCCCAACAGCATTACATTAGCAGAATTAGAAATCAAACAATTTGACTTTTCCAATTCAATAAATCTAAGGCACTATGCGCTATGCATAATAAAGTAACATTTTTGGTCACCATCAGTGCACATAAAAATCAAACAGTGACTCATTTTTTTCTCCAGAAAGAACATTTGAAAGATGGTAATCACAAGAGTGTGGAGTCTGAAATACTAAAAGGAGTATGAGAAAAATAAAAAAATACAATTCAAATTAATAATTTTAGAAAGCTGATAACATTGACAGAAAAAAATTGCAGCATTTTACCTCCCTAAAGGAAGACAAAAGAGACATATTGCCAAGTGGAAAATAGGAAATCATCAAAAACTATACAGAAAGTAATCTATGAATTAATTTATTTTATAAATAAGGATTATATGCTTCCAGATGGGTTGAAAAAATATGGGCAGTCTAACCTCACAATAAGGGCAGCACAGCCAAGAGGCCACTAGAGTTCAACGGGGTAAGAGCTAGAAGAAGGTTATATCTCACTATGGTTTTAATTGGCATGTCCCTAATGATTAGTGATGCAGAGCATTTTTTCATAAACCTGTTAAACATTGTATGTATTTTTAGGAATTGTCTGTTTAGGTCTTTTGCTTACTTTTAAATGGGGTTATTTGCTTTATTGCTATTGAATTGTTTGAGTTTTTTTATTTATTTTGGATATTAACCCCTTATCAGATACATGGTTTGCAAATATTTTCTCCCACTCTGGATTGTCTCTTCACTTTGTTAGTTGTTCTATTTGCTGTGCAGACACCTTTAATTTGATTTCAAATCAAATTAATTCCATTTGCAATTCCATTTGTCTATTTTTGCTTTTGTTCTCTGTGCTTTTGGATTTATATTTTTTAAAAAATCATTGACAAAAATGGAGCCTTTTCTCTTTTTTTCCTAGTAGTTTTATAGTTGCAGGTCTCATATTTAAGTATTTGATCCATTTTATTTTTATATATAGCGTGAGATAAGGAATTAATTTCCTTCTTCTGCATGTAGATATCCAGTTTTCCCCATACCATTTACAGCAGAGGCTGGCCAATCATGTGTTCCTGGACACCTTAGTTGAAAATCAATTCACTATAAATGCATGAGTCTATTTCTCAGCTTTCTATTCATTCCATTGGTTGATGTGTCTGTTTTTATTCTACTGTCATGCTGTTTTGATTATAATTGCTTTATAATATTTTTGAAATCTGAATGTGTGATGACCCCAGATTTGTTCTTTGTATCCAAGATTATTTTGGCTACTTGAGACCTTTTGTGGTTCCATAGATATCATGTCACACCTTTTAGAATGGCTAGTATCAAAAAGATGAAAGATAAAAGGTATTGGCAAGGATGCAAATAAAAGGGACACCTTGTAAAGTGTTGGTAGTAATGTAAGTTAGTACAGTTATTATGTAAAACAGTATGGAGATTCTTCCAAAACTAAAAATAGAATTACCATATGATCCAGCAGTCTCTCTTCTGGGTACATATATCCAAAGGAATTGAATTCAATCTGTCAACGGGATATTTTTTGCACTCCTATGTTCATTACAGCATTATTCACAATAGCCAAGATAAGGAATCAACCTAAGTGTCCATCAACAGATAAATGGATTTTAAAAGTGTGGCATATGTACACGGTGGAATACTATTCAGCCTTAAAAATGAAGGAAATCTTGTCATTTGTAACATGGAAGAACCTGGAAGACATTATGCTAAGCAAAATAAGCCAGGGACAGAAAGAAAGGCATATATCACATGATTTCACTTATATGTGGAGTCTAAGAATGTCAAACTCATAGAAGCAGAAAATAGAATGACAGTAACTAGAGGCTGGGAGTGGGAAGGAAGGAGGGAATGGGGAGATGATGGCCCAAGAGTTTCAGGTAAACAGATGGAATACCTTTGGAGTCTATTGCGTAGTGGAGTGACTATCTCCAATAATTATGATGTATTGTACAATTCAAAATAACTAAGGGAGTAAATTTCAAATGTTTCATCACAAAAATGATAAGAAGGTGAGGTGGTGGATCTGTTAATTAATTTGGTTTAATCATACTACGTTGTATACAAATATCAAAACATCACTTTGTACCCCAACAAATGTACATAATTTTGATTTTCCAATTAAAAATAATAATAATTTTAAAAAGCAAAAGCAATTTTTTTATAAAGGCCTAGGAGAAGGAAAGTAGAGGACTCCATGGAAAAATGTGGGCTGGGGACTAAACCTGCTTGGGAGGAGAGGGTGGAGTCTAGGCTGCAAAGAAGAATTTTGCAGTTGAGACCGGGAGGATGAGTTAGCCTTGGGAAGAAGCAGAAAGTGAGCACGAGCAGTAGGGTTAGAGAGGAGGATTTTCCAGCCAAAGGGCCCATTGTATGCAGAGGGCAGAAGATCAGGAAGGCAAGAAAATAAGATTTGTTTGAAGACACACAAAAAAATGAGTAGGGCTGGAGCCTACCGACATTAGAAACTGTAACGTTTCCCAAGAGAGATGGAAATAACTGTAGGTTTTCATGCAGAGAACAACTATGATTAGATTTCCAAAGTAATCTTTAAAAAAAATTCCTTAGAAGTATGATGGGATGGGATGGAATAGTTAGTAGGTTTTCTCACTATGGTGGGTGAGATCTGATGAAAGCCCAGCAGGAGAGTAGAAAAGACCAGGAGATAAATGGATTCATACAAGAGATATTAGAAGTATTTTGAGGCTTATTTTGATATAGATAATTAATGAAATTGAATAGTAAAGAAAAAAATGATGTCCAATCATTGATTAGTAATGCAGTAGTGCTGCGTACTCTTCAATAGCAAAGGGGTGCCAGGAGAGCAGGAGCTATGCATCATTATCATCCCAAAAAAATGTGAGGAGGGGAAAAAAACAAGCAGATTAATGGGTTTCAATTTTGAATTATTCTAAGAGAGCTGAATAATTCAAAAAAGTCACAATTATTCGAGATGTCATACAAAATAATATAAATAAATGAGAATAATGTTGGAGATGCCATACCACAAAATAAAACACATAAAAATGCAAATAATTAGATACGTGAATTGGAAAACAGAAGGTTAAGAAAAGAAAATATAGATAAATTAGCTAATTTGAAAGGTGAGCAAAGGAGAGCTGAAGTTTATAGTGTCTATTTGACTACTAGTTAATGATATGCAAATCTAGTTAAGAAATCCTGCAAAGAAAAACTCAAGAGGGAATTTTAAATTAAGTTTAAACAGCCTCAACATGTTAGAGGTTTTAAAACCACTTATATCATACACTGTGAAATATATCTCAGACACATTTATACCTGAGTATGCATTCTTTTGAGATGCTAGGTGACCAACCAGAACAAAAAAAAATTGGAGAGAGTAAAACTTTGTTAAAATGAGGATATGTATCTAGTGAGACATAATTCTCCCCCTCAGGAACCTAATGAAAAATGTTTTCACATATTAAAGCAGGCTACACATATTTGTCAAAAATAAATCATGTCAAGCATAGTGCTTTTCTTTGATCTTTTAGGTAGGAAAACATAGTATATGTTATGTGGAAATTAGTCTGGCTTTGAACATTCACACTTGGCAAACAAAGATTGGCAAATGAGAAGACTGATAGCTCTCTGGCATATCAAGAATGTCAAAGAAGAAATTGCAAAATTAGACAAGAGACTGTTTTGAATATAAAAAAGGGGAAAACTTCAAAAGAAAGGAGTATTTCTTTTTGTGATTAAGAAAAAAACCATGTGATGTAGACTTGCTTCTTTCAAATAATTTAAAACTTTATTTTTGTTGAAAGCAAATATAAGAATTATGACAATTAAATTGATTCTTTCAATTATTCAACAAGTTTTAAGTACCCACTGTGTAATAGGGAAGGCTCTGAGGATACAGAGATGAAAGGTTCTACCTAATAGAACTTAGAGTTTAGGTTGGAACTGACAAGTAAACAAGCAGCTTGCAACACGTAATTGAGGAAAAACAAGGCCCTATGGAAGTATATGGGAAAAGAGTTAACTTTATGCATCAGAGAAATCTTCCCAGAGGAAGGAAAGCCTTAAGGGAGATTTCAGGATGAATACAAGTTAATCAGTAAAGAGAGGAAATATGCTTCATTCAGAGGGAATAGCCTGTGCCGGTGCCCAATAAGAAATTTTACAGGTTTCAAGTTGAAGTACAGAAGAGGAAGACGGTAAGGGAAGAAGATATGACTAACCAATATGAATATATTATCAATCTTTATCAGAATTTATTTTTACAGGCATTAAGACTTTGTGTACAACAGCATAATTTATCTAATACATTGTAATGAATCAGTGGTTCATTGTACACCTTGTCGAAACAACAACAAAAATGTTTCCAAATATCTTTCCCAATGTTATGACTGACATATGACCATTTTTTATTTCTGAACAATAAATGTACTAGATATGTGTATTGAGTTAATAATATTAAAAGATAATTGGTACTTCCATAATTGATCAGCCAATTACAGCATTTTCATGTTCAGGGCTTTATCATTCTCATTGTTTTCTTTATGTGTATTTCTTTTCCAAAAAATGAAAGATCATCTATAAAATCTCTTAACAATATTCATCAAACTCCTACGAAATAGCAAATCTATTCTTTAGTATTATTCATACCTTCCAAACCCATCACATGCTGAAAGAAAAAGAATCATTAGGAAGGAAGAATAAAGAGAAGAAAGGAGGGAGGCAAAGAGGAGGAATGTTATTTTGACCAAAAATGCATTCTGCTTCTAATCCAATCATTAGCAGCTTAAATCAAGAAGATTATTAAATTCTAATAATCCAATCATTAGCAGCTTAAATCACAAAGATTGTACCTCTTAACAAATGTGTATTTGTTCATTTGTTTGAAAAAATTTCTAAAAGAAATTGTTTACTGTTACTGGATCAGTGGTTCAACAACACAAAAACCACCATCACTATAGTTTCCATGTCTTTTCCCTCATAGGAAAATACTAGATAATGGCTGCAGTTCTGAGCATTTTGACTACAGCCATGGTAGGAAAGACAGTGGAAAGAACAATACCACCTTCATCTTTCCTTTTCAGCAAAGAGTAGAAATCTTTCCAGAATCCTCCAAGAGGAATTCCATTTATGTTTCGTTGACCTGGAATGTATCACATGGTAATGCTTAGACTCAAGGGAAGCTGGGAAAGTAATTATAGCTTTTCTGGATACTATGTTGGGTGTTAGCCAAGTGAATCAAGTGGATAGATATTCAGAATGAGTGTTGGACCCACTATTAATTTTTAATACACTAATGGAAGAATCAGAAATTTGATAAATGAATGAACTTTTTTTGCCAGATTTTTGTTTGTTTTGGTATAGATTTAGTGGGTACAAGGGCAGTTTTATTACATGCATATATCATGTAGTAGTGCAGTCTGGGCTTTTAATGTGGCCATCACCCAGATAGCGTACATTGTACCTATTAAATAATTTCTCATCCCTTACCCCACTCCCACCTTCTCACTCTTCCTAGTCTCCAGTGTCTATTATTCTACACTTTATGTCCAGGAAATCATGTCTCTCAAATGAACATTTATGACCTTACAACAAGTAGATGTTTGTAACTCAAATAATTACTCTCTTTTTGGAATAATCTTTTTACCTGTTTGAGCTTCAATACCTTTATGGGAAGAAAGGCACTAGAATAACACAACTTGTATTGTGAAGATCAAATGAGACATTGTATGTGAAACTGCTGTGTGAGCTGAGGCCTATAAATTATTTATTATTACGTTGGGAATGTGATAGGCTAGAGATATGGATATGAATAACTAAATAATGCATCGTATAAATGATTTTACTTCAAATTTCTTTCTGTCGGATGATCTGAAATTAATAACGAAAGGCAAAATGAATGACCAGTGAGTCTATTCAACCCAGTCTAAGGAAAGCAACTGTAGATGGTATATTTCTTTTAATAATTTCTTTGGCCTACTTCAGCTACCACATTCTATCCTTAAGATGAAGATAAAAATCAAAAGATCTTTTAAACAGGTCTTTCTATAGAAAATTTTAAGCATCTGTAAATATTTATCCAGAAAAATACCCACTACAGGCATATTAACCATCCTCAAACTTTTAAAGGCCCACCAAATAAAAACTGTATTGAAGGTTTAACCTTTTATATATGACCCTAAATATGTGAAAAAAAGAAGTAATAGAGAAATAAATTTCATCTCAAATGTAAAAGAAAAAATTACAGTTGTCAATGTAGCTGATGAAATTTTCCAAAAATGGTACCAATAATTTATTGTATTCCACATGCTATTCTGCAATGGAAACTTGCCCTGCCTGCACTCAGGAAATGAAATATTCTTATCTACTCCATTGAACCTGTGCAGGCTCTGTGATTATTTGGACCAACAGGATATGGCAGAAGATATGCCATGTAATTTCTGAGACGAGGTCATAACAAGCCTTGCAGCTTCCAGTTGCATCTCCTGCAGTGCTTGCTCTTGAGAATCTCCCCCTCAAGACCCAGCCACCACACTACAAGAAACTCAAATCCCATGGAGAAGCTAAACGGAGACATTCTAGTTGAAAGTCCCAGCTGAGCTCCCAGTCAACAACCAGTCATGGGTCTGTGTATTCTTAGACGTTTTCCTTAGGCAAGTATTTGGATATGTCTTGCTTCTCAGCTACCTGACAGCAAAAACATATAAGCGATTCAAGTGAGAACCATGCAACTGAGCCCAGTTAATGTATAGGAAAATTAGAGACAATCATGGAATGATTGATTATGCAACAAGAGATAACCAAAATACTCAAAGATGAATAAAACACTGTTTCATATGGCATCAATGTTTTAATGTTTACTGAGTGCTTACTATATGTTATATACTGTTCTGAAATACTTTATACACATTATGGTTTTGGTTCTTCACTTAATCATCTTAGATAAGTACAATTATTATCCTTGTTTTACAGATAAATAAACTGAGGCATATAGAAAAACAAAATGGTCACCTAGCTAGTAAATTCTTAACTGGTATTCCATTAAGACTCCTTTAAACATTTTAGTTGCAAAAATAGGCAAAGCATTTACCTTTGGTATACAAAGAGCTAACCATTAGATTCTTGTTTCCAGCATGAGTGATTTCTATGCCTACCATTGGATGACAGGGGGAGCAAACAGAAAAGAAGGGATAAAGAGAGAAGGAGCTGAAAAGACAGGTTATGTATTTTTAATGCTACACTTACTATATAGATATATTAAGAGTACTTCAGAGTGAACATTTATTCATCAATTCATTCAAGAAATTTTGAGCGAAGTTTTAATATGTACAAGGCATTGGTTAGATTCAGGTGATAACAATATTGAAAAAACTAAAAAGCAATGCCCATGCCCTCAAAGAGCTCAATTTTCATGAGTAGTGGGTTTTTTGTTAAGGAATGTACCTGAAAAGACTAGAAAACCACCTGAAGAAGCCATTAAAGGCAAAATTCAAGAATAAGGAGAAGAATTGCAATAGAAAGCTGTTAAGCTTCATTTTAGCCCCAAGACTTTATGATTTTACTTTGCAAGGAACTCATATCTACTTTTCATGGTCTGATAATCTAGGTCAGATAGATATAGTCCTGGTTAGCAGGAAAAAAAAAAAAGTTGATGGTGTCTTTTAATTCCAGGGAGGTTTCTGTGAGCTGAATCAGAGATATTATTTTGTAGGGTGTTTTACCACCAGATTGCTCTTTTCTCCCTAGACTAGGCTGACCTCACAACCAAATGACATATTTCTTCTTACTATCTGCACTGCCACATAAGTCCCTAATGACACCACAGCAATAGAACAAGGAGGCTCAAATAATGTCTATTTTTGGAGGAAACTCGGGCTTTATCACTTTTTTGAAGGTGACATAGGAAAGTAGGGCAGGACTAATCACAGGTAAGATTGGATTTTAAAAAAAAAGAACCTTTTCATAAATCAGAGAATGTTATAACAGAAATGAATCATAGAATTTGTAGGGAAAGGTAAGAAATCATTACTAACAGAGGCAAATCTTCAATAAGAGCAGTGAGAGATCTTTCCACAATGAAATGAGATATCTTTGTAAAAAAATCTTCAAACTATTTCAGTTCCTTTTAAAGTAACTCCGAAGTCCTCCCCACCCACTCAATGAATAAAATATTCTATTTTAGCTTATCTGAGGCACCTAAATTTTGTTTTGTAAGCAAATCATTGTTTTTCATAATCTAAAGTGAATTTTATTTGAAAGAGCATCCCCTAATAACTCAGAAAGTTTAAACAACGCCAACTTCCATTTTCACAAGGCCTTTTGATTCAAGTTATGGTGGCTTTGGAAAAGCCGGGCTGCAGAAGGGAAATTCTACCATGAATGCTGCCTGCACAGGGCTGAGCTCCCCAAGGAGCAGAGACAATCCTTGACAACGCTCTGAGGTAAGATTTCTTTTACTTAATCTGTATGGGGTTTTTTTTTTTATCATTTTTGATGAATCTGATTCTCATTCACTTCGACAGCCTTTGAGGTGTTTTGATTCAGAGAGCTCACACTGACTTCATTGAAAGGACCTGTAAAGTGCAGCTCCAGTTGCCCCTGAAAGCTCCTACTGCCTTAAGAAGCACAGGAGCACGCTTTTGGCAGATAATGTAGCATCCATAAGTACAATGCTCTGGCAGCCACTATAGATAAATATTTTTTATCTGCCTTAATTTTTTCCCTTTGTCTGATGAATCTCCTCCAATTTACAAAAAAGAAAAATACTTCATTAGTTAGTCACATTTTAAAATTTTTTCCACATGTAGGCAGTATTTCCATGCCATATGAACTATGTAAGCAAATTTTTCCTTTTTTTTATAGATTATCTCTGTGAGTTAGTCAGCCAGCGCTTTGTGAATTAGGGGAGTTAAATAAATAAAAGGGGCAAATACAAACTGAGAGCCTGATGTTTTTCCCCAATAATAAAGACAGTGATTGCTTAAAGAGATCCCCAATTTCTGTCTCAATGTCAGCTCTGAACTAACAGGATGATACAGAACCTATTTATGCCAGGGAAAGCTTAGAAAATTTCTTGCTTAGTCCTCTGGCTCTGGAGAATTCCAAATGCCTAAAATGATTCTCAGCATGCAGAGACCACAATGAAGATGACGCAAACTTGATACAGCGCAGTCAGATGTTCTACATGTCAGGCTACAATGGGTGAGAGTCAACTCTGGTTGGTCTGAGTGTTGTCCCATGGTTGGATCTCCCCAGGCACATTACAGACAGAACCTCATTTCTAGGCCTGCCTTGAACTACCGTCATTCCTCAAGGAACATTTTAGATGTAAACTCCCTCAAGAATAGTTTGAGGGTGATCCTTTGCTACTTTGCAGCTAGCTAGGACCCAAATGGTCCACTGGTATCCACAGTGGGGAAGTGATTTGCTTGTTCTGATGGAAGCATAGTAGAGTGAGAAGAGAGAAGATTTCTCTCTTCTCATTCTTGGACTATGCAAGAGAATAATCATTGCCCAGCCTATTAATACCTGGAATTTGGCTACACACTTTATGCATATAAGCTCATGTTTCTTTGCAACAAACCTGTGATTCAGGCATTCTCAGCTCCATGGTTCTCACACATGGCCATGCCCATCTGCACAGATGCAAACACACACAAAAGCTTCTTAGGGAGAGTACATACTCATCCGAGTATTAGACATATTAAATGTAGTGTGAGCATTGAGATTTGAGTCTACTGGACTTTCAAGTCTTTTCTTTCCTGGGATTCTGTTCTATTTGTACAACTTACTAAATTCTAGATTTTTCTGAAGGTAACTCAATTTTTTAAAAACCTGGTTTATTCATCCTTACTATGAAGATAAAATACCTTCAGTTTACGCAATTGCTGTAAAAATGAAATGCAGTAACATATGCATACGCCTTTTTTTTTTTTTTTTTGAGATGGTATCTCATTCTGTCACTCAGGCTGGAGCTCAATGGCCGCCATCTCAGCTCACTCAACCTCTACCTCCTGGGTTCAAGCAATTCTCCTGCCTCACTCTCCCGAGTAGCCTGGATTACAGGTGTGTGCTGCTACACCTGGCTAATTTTTTTTATTTTTAGTAGAGACGGGGTTTCACTATGGTGGCCCAGCTGATCTCGAACTCCCGACCTCAGGTGATCCACCTGGCTCAGCCTCCCAAAGTGCTGGGATTACAGGCACGAGCCACAGCGCCCGGCCTGCATAAGGCAATTTTAATCCATCCTAGGATATGGTCTTTAATAACATTAGTTCATTTCTCTTTATCTTGTTTCCCCAAATGGATATAGTGTTTCCTGATATGCTCTCACTAAACAGGCTCTTCCAATCATTTTAAAGTGACCAAATATTTAAGTTACCCATAGAAAATGTCTATATATGCATGTAAGACATGTATTTATGGATTTGTATTTTCAGTATTTCCAACGTTCATTATTTTTATTCATTCAGGCAGTTTTTAGTTTGACGTGCATTCATTGGCTACATACAGAACTCTGTTCCAGGCCCTGTAGGTGGCACTGGAGCTAGGAAGATGGAAACACAGGCTCTCCATCCAAGGCGGTGCTGTCTTAGCCTGAGAAATAGACATTTACAACACAATGTGGAAACCACTGTCATGGAAACAAGAACTTACAGAACAGAAATCTGAATCAACATTAACCGTGTCTGGAAAGGGCTTTGGTAGAAGGAGATGTCAGGCCAAGAGTAGAATGAGTAGGAGTTAGCCAGGCAATGGAGGAGGGAAGGTGCTGCTGTCCACCAGATGGGCAAGACACAGCTGAATCCAGGAAGCCAAGTAATGTAGCTTCCTGTGTAGCTCAGTACTGACCTCTGAGAGAATAGGCATTAGTTTAAAATACAGCATTCAAAAGTCCGGAGGAACTGGTATTCTTATCTCACCAAGTCTACATAAGTTTAGACAGTGAGAAACGCCTCCATTGGGTAGAAAGCAGTGATACCTGATAATCAACTCCTTGGAAGAAATGTACTCAACACTGTGACCTAGGTGTTTAGTCACATGAATACTGGGAGAAATTCCAATCTTCACCTCGGCCAGCAAGGAAAGGTAAAAGATATCAAAGATCCAAGGGCAAAGAACCAAGGGCAAAATTACCCTCCTCTCCAGGAGCTGAAACATCAAAGGAAATGCAATTAAAAGCCTAATGACAAGGTTCATCTACAGAAGTTCTATTTGTACAACTTACTAAATGTTAGATTTTTCTGAAACAACTCAATTTTTAAAAAGCCTGGTTTACTCATCCTTACTATGAATATAAAATACCTTCAGTTTACCCAATTGCTATAAAAATGAGATGCAGTAACATATGCATAAGCCATTTTATTTTATTTTTTTTGAGATGGTGTCTCATTCTGTCATGCAGGCTGGAGCACAAGGCAATGGGTCCACTAGACTGTGCCAGACTCACATGGGCATCCACGGCACAGGCCTACAGCTGGACACCTAATTCCTGACTGTGTGAACTGGCTGCCCTAGGTTGGCTGTTATGCTGTCTTGAAAAACAAAAGGTACGATAGTCAAAGCAAAATCAAACAAACCAGAGAGTCTTGAGCTTTAGATTCAAGCTCAGATTCCAATCTCAATTTGTCCAGCTTCTCTGTGTTCCCATGATTAATTTACTACTATCTTCTTCCAGCCTCAGTTTTCTCATCTGTAAAAATGAGCTGTAGCGGCCGGGCACGATGGCTCATGCCTGTAATCCCAGCACTTTGGGAGGCCAAGGCAGGCAGATCACGAGGTCAGGAGATCGAGGCCATCCTGGCTAACACCGTGAAACCTCATCTCTACCAAAAATACGAAAAATTAGCCAGGCATGGTGGCAGGTGCCTGTAGTCCTAGCTACTTGGGAGGCTGAGGCAGGAGAATCACTTGAACCCGGGAGGCAGAGGTTGCAGTGAGCGGAGATCGCACCACTGAACTCCAGCCTGGGCGATAGAGTGAGACTCTGTCTCAAAAAAAAAAAAAAAAAAAAAAAAAAGAGCTGTACAGTCTGTATCACAGGGATGTGTCATGAGTAGGAAACATAAATGGAAAATAATTTTGCAAGCTGAAAAGCACTGCAAATTAATATGAGAAAAAGGTTTATTTAAATCTGAGCACACTTGATATACAACTATTACTGTTTGCATTGCTTTGAATAGCAAAAACAGTATATCTATAAAATACTTATTTTTGAGAATTTTGAAACAGAAAAAATTGACTATGGACACACAGAATGTTTAAACTTTATGATTTACTTCACTTCTGAATACACACGTCTCTTCTGAGCAATAGAACCAGTTCGGTTCCCATCGTATAACTTCACTGCAAAGTTAACTCTTCTCTTTTCTGACTTTACTTATTTGTACTGATTCTATTTTCAGCAGCTGTAGTGCTTTTTATTTATTAACTTTTTTAATATAACAGGAATATCTAAGACAAAAATCGATATATTCATAATAATGTCTCCACACTGTTTTATAATATAAATGACAAACTTACAGATGTAAAAAAATGATTTTTAAGTTAAATTTAGTTGTTCAAATTTTTCTATTATTAGTTTGAAGCTTCTGAGTGGAAAACAGCAACCGTGATGTTTAAAAAGTATTCAAACTTTACATCTTATTTCCTCAACACAGGCTAGCCCTAGGCAAATCTAACCATGTCAGACGCCTGCTAAAATTCCTTCCATGGCTCTCCACTGCCTTCATGATTGAATCTAAACTCCTTAACTTGGCAATCAAGGTCATCTTCTTGATTATCCCCTTATTTACCTTTGAACTCATCTCTACCACTAACCAGCCAACATCCTGATCCCCAGCCATTCCAAAGTCCTTGAAATCTCAGAAGTCTCGTGCTCCATTTTTCCTCCCTGAATTTGTTTTGGCTGCTGTCTCCCCTATAAAGTCATTTTTTTTTTCTATCACTTGTCTCATATTTATCTAGAATATACCATCCCTGTGTAAACCTTCAGGAATGCAATCAATGGCATCAACTGTCAGCCGTTTTCCTACTCGTATCCAATTCTACCTGCCTCTATTTAGCTTTGCTCTCAAACACATTCTGTTCTTGGGGCAGCAAGACCACCACTGTCAGTCCCAGTCTTACATACCGTATTCCTGTGCTTCCCCTGAGAGCTCCAGCAAAAAATCCCAGGGAAAACTCTGATTGGCCCATCTTAGATCAGTACACAGCCTAGAACCAATGTCTGTGGCCATGGGAATGAAGAACTTTCATTCTTGCCAGTCTGAGTTATATGCCCGTATCCATTTTGATGGAAGAGAAGACAATAACACCACTTCAAATCTATAAACTACTATAGCAAAGAGAAATGGTGTGATTCTGGTCCTCCAAAAGCAGGTATACTGACATTACGTAAAATAATATATGTAATTCTTCTTTTGTAAGTGTCATCATGCTTCTAACCCAAGGAATTAAGTATTTTTATTTATTGTTAACAGTACTGTTACCAGTATCTCAATTACTTTTATTTGCTTTTACCAGTAACAGTTTTTTATTATTGTTTTTTGTTATTGTTCTGTTTTTTGTTTTTGCATTCAACTGAAATTGCTTATTAGAGGCCAACATTCTAGTTAAATACACAAAAATTAGAAATCCAATTATCATGGTAATGGTTAGTTAACATTTGAAAGAACTTTAGAATAAAGCGTTTTTATACATAACGATTGCACATTGTGAAAATGAGTGATTTTAGCATGAAAGCCAACAAAATTAGAATACACAGCAAACATCAGCCATAAATATTTCTGAAAGAGAGCTACAATGTTGGGGAAAGATAAACAGAAGAAAAGAATGGAGGGTAGAGGAGGAGGAGGAGGAACAGGAAAAGGAAAAAAGAGAAGAGAAGGAAGTAGGAAAGAAAGGAGAAGGAAGTAGGAAAGAAAGGAGGAAGAGAGAAAAAGGGCCGCAAAAGTAAAGGAAATATAATTTTTCGAGGAATAATTTTTTTTCTCTTCATACAACATACCAAAACTTGAATCCTCATGTTGCAATAGTCATGTGTTTTAAATATCTAAGACACTAAGTTGTCTGAATCTATTTCCTGGGAACTGGAAATAGGAAAAATAGATCCTTCCCTATATACAAAGATTAATTACACAATTTAGCATGGTTTTCTAAGGCAGCACGTTTTCATTGACATGCAAACTGAAGTATTTTTTTTTTTGCATGAATCACCCTGAAAGTACTAATTAGAACTTAAAATTCTCATTTGTAAATCATATGAATCTTATGAAACATGCTTCTGCCTTAGAGAACCATTTCCTAAGGGCTAGCATATGACCAGAGTGTGGAGCAGATGTTCTCAAACAGATGAAGACAACCTTTTAAAGCTCAGAGCAGCCCATGATAGTGGGGGTAGCAAAGCCCTATTGGATTTCTACAAGTAAGCACTAGGAAAGGAAAATGTTTTGCATTAAGTGGTCCACTAGGCTTTTAGTTAGGTGAGCATCTGTACTCCTAGGTCATAGTCTCTGAAAGTAAATGAGTTAAAATCCCTGATTCAGTTAGGAAGATGCAAAAGTGATCCACTTATAATTTAGAGGAAACAATTAGAAGTAAGGACTTAGATTCGATTGGAACTCAATCTTTATTGATCTGTATGTAAACTATATGCACTAATGTCTGTAAGGATCTCTTCACACAGAGCTTGTTATGCTTACCTCTAGGAAGCCATGTGGCAAGACTTAACAGTGTAATCACACTGCAAGAGGCCTTGAGTGCCGAATATGTTTAAGATACTTTCTGAAAACACCTCTAAGATGGCTCTCCAGATTTGGCAAACAAAGACTTCCTGAGCTGCTGCTGCTGTCCATTGTCCTGATTTGGCATTACTCCCTTGATATTTTTTTAGTTGCAGCTGTGAAATTTGAGCATCTCCAAGCTCACGGTGATAATATACATCATCTCTCAAAATCTGGGCTATGAGAGCATTTTTCAGATTTCAGCAAATTTTATACCTCCTCTACCTCATCCATGCAATAAAATATTGATTTCTAAATCAAATTGAAAGGCAATCAAAGTGTAAGTGTCAACAATGTGTTCTCCAGCTTCCACTTATTTTCCCTTTGACCCTAATTAGTCCTTTACATTTCCTGATATCATCCTTTATTGTTATTTTTCACTCATAACACAAAAATAGCTCTGATCTTGAATCTGTCTTAGCTTCCCTTTGGTCATACTAAAATCATATGACATCGACTTTGCTGCCAACCACAGAGTTTCTCAATTTGATGCATATTTTGAATAGCAAAAGCTGGAGATAGAACACACAAAGTCATTTTAACAGTATTAAGCCTGCCTTCCCCCTGCAGCTCTTTTAGCACAGCTCTACTGAACATCAAGAGCGGAGATTTAGCTTAGGTGACTTCAGTCCTTCCCTTTCTAACCCCCTCCCCGCTTTCAGGTGCTCAGTGAGTCTTTCCTGTGGACTCTGGCTCAGTTTTACTTGTTCTCAGAAAAGAATGCTTTGCTTGAAAGAGATTTTAGCCATCAAAAAGCTGGTTTGAAAATAAAGTAGGAAATTAGGGTAGACCTCCTAAGGGCTTTAAAAACTATATCATCTTTCCTGTTGTTTGAGATTCCCTAAGGTTCAGAAACCAGAAGGAAAAATATTCTGAAGATGCACAACTTTAGCCCAGCACAACTTCTGTCTCCCTACTTGTTCCTCATACCTTTGTAAAACTCACCAGCCAAAGAACAGAGTACATGCTCAGGGTTTTAAATGACATTATCAGCACACTCTGAAACAATGCACTTTTATTGTCATAGAGGCACGCTGCCAAATTTGTAATTACTTTAGTATGTAACCTGAAATGGTTTTCTGTCTCTCAATGTTGCCAAAAAAAAATGGAAATGCTAAATTATCTTCTTAGGAAGTATATGCCCCATCATAGCAAAATGAAACATGATATCATCTTAATAATAGTTCATTTACCCTTTAGAAAGAAGATTACATCTTTATTTGGTGAAGAGCCTTGATAACGCACAGGTGTGGAATATAGGATCCAAGAGTACAAGTGTCAGTAGGAGAAGCTACTACTAAGGTGGAGCTTAAACAAGCTTGCTGGAATGGATAGGAAAGGTTACTGGGGATTTTCTGGAAATGGAGAGATCAAAGACTATTTTCATGTGTTGGGGTTCAATGTGGGGTTATAACTATTATAAATACCATTCATATCATTCATATGTTCCCACAACTCCTCAATTCTACTACTCTTGCAGATACCTTGAAGGATGGAGGCATATCTGGGGTAAGTTGAGCAAGAGTCTATTTCACGTCTGCACTGTGCCACTAAAGTGCCTGCATGTAAGACAAGAAAGGAATGAGAAGAAGAGGGGGTCTGGAAATGGGCACCACATTCTCTTCAACTTACAGAAGCCTTGAGGATTTATCTGGCTTCCATCCAGTATTAACAGATGTCCAAGCAAGTCTTAAGGGGTCAGAAAATCCCAGTTGACATCTAGGTTACACTTGGTTATCTCATTTTCTAGCTAGGAACTTGCATCCATCTGTCAGAGTTTCAGGAATACAAAGCATTAAGGTGTCTTATGAGAGAGTATTTTCCCAGATTGGCTGGGAAAGCCATGCTCTGTAACTTCTTGCTTCTACTACCAACCTTAATGACAATTTTAGCAGGGACTAGATAAGCAATGGACTGAAAGAAACTCACTATGGCTTTATGAACCTGTAAAAATCAATTCCAACAGATACAGTATGTGCATAAGCAACCAGGACATTTTTAGGCAATTGAGAGTGAAATAAAAAGCAATCAATTACTAAGTGGGTCATTTTTGTCACCATCATCTGTGTCAGACTTAGTCTAGAGATGTATCATAAAATGATTTATCATTTAACTTAAATATGAATAAAAACTACAGGGGTTTTCTGGTAAAAAATACAAAGAGTTTCATCAATATTCTTTGAATTAATTAAAAGATTAGCCACTGGAAGAATTACGATGTCAGTAACCATGACGTAGTCAGGGCAGGCAGGGAAATCTATCTGTTAGCCACCATATAAAAAAGAAAGGAGTATTTTCCACTAGAGATAGAGCTGCAAAGCATTGATTCACTGTTAATATATCCAAGGTAAAGAAGAGGGAGAAAAAATACCCAACCCACTGACACACTTATTCCATTATTTGTAACACAGAGGAGTTATAATGCTTCTTAGACGAGGGCTATAAAATACTGAGAGCTCCCCAGAGGAAAGAGTAGCCTAGGAACAAGGTTTTATTAATTGAAGAGTTTATTAAGCATGAATCAATTTCCTTTGCTTCCTCATATACTTAGGCTTACTACTCATTCATAGGAATTTCTTGGTCCAGAATAATTTTATCTTTCAGGCCAGATGGAGGCTACAATGAAGAGTAGTTTTTACTACACACACGCACACACACACACATATATATGCATATATATGAGACATGCTCTCACTCTGTTACCCAGGCTGGAGTGCAGTGGCTCCATCATAGCTCATTATAACCTCAAACTCCTGGGCTCAAGAGATCCTCCTGCCTCAGCCTTCAGAGTAGCTAGGACTACAGACACAAACCACCATACCTGGAAAATTGGGGATTTTTGTTTGGTTGGGTTCTTTTTTGTTTGCTTTTGTTTTTGTTTTTTGTTTTTGTAGAGACATGGGTCTCACTATGTTGCCCAGGCTGGTCTTGAACTCCTGGCCATATGCAATCCTCCTGCCTCGGCTTCCCAAAGTGCGAACATGAGCCAACATGCCCAGCCCTATGTTTGTTTCTATAGATGAATATTTTATACTTCATGATGTCTTTTCTTTTATGGTAAATTTTTGTCTTTTTTTGTTGTTGTCTTCTTTAGTTCCTTTTTAATCTTTAAATCTCAAATAAGAAAAAGGACAGAAATAAAACATCTGGGTTGTTTCTCCACTTCTGAGAATTATGTTGTTTGTACTTGTAACCTCAGTGCCTAGAAGAGTATATCATATATAGTAGATGTTCAATAAACAATTTTAGAGTGAATGCCTAGACTATATATCTAGGCCCATATGCTGCCTGTGTTCTGTTTTTCTTCCAGATTCATTTTGATCCTTCTCCACTGGGCACTGTGTCTTGGGAGTGAGGATGGCCAGCATGAAGTGCATCGGCAGGATCCCTTGCCCTCTGGCTTACTCTTGACTTTGGCTAATGAGAGACATCACAGAAGACCAGAGAATGGGGTGGATGAAGTCTAGATATTTCTCCTCCATGCTCCTTCCCTGGAAAGTCACCCCAAAGACCACAGTTTCTGTCAGGTGATCTTCTCTGTGTAACTATCTTCTCTGTATACCAGAAACCACCTCTCTGTGTCCTTTCAAGTCTTGGCAGAGATATGGCCCCAAACTGTTGCTAACCCCAGCAAACTCCAGTGTACCTTACTGGTTTCCCTATATCCTGTCCATGACTTTGGAAATCATCTCTTTTCTACACTTTCCTCAATTACCCAATTGATTGTTTTATCTCACTCCTGCTGGAACCCTGACTAATGAAGCCTTATGATTTATAAAATGCTATCAAAGTTCAAATAGTAATTAAATGAAAAATTCAACTTCTGAACATTTTTTTTAAAATGACATCTGGGTCTGTTGATTATCTAATACCTCGGGCTTATTTTTTAATTGAAGGCAGAATCAGTTTTCATTCCTTTCCTGAATAAATGTTTAACCAGTTTTATTGAACTAGTTATGATGTGGGAGCTTTGTTCTGATGAAGGTGCTCAGAAGTGTTTGTAGTTAGTAGCTACAATAGCTATAAAAATATATTTCTGTTTAAAGTATGTATTAAATTATACGTCTGTGAAATTTGTATTAAAGTAAGAAGAATAAGAAAAAGAAACTATGAAATATGTTGTTAAGCAAAATTATTTAGATCATTTTACAACAAAATTTTACTAAATATTCATCTATACTACAAATAAGGAAATTAAAGCAAAAAAGTCTCTTCAATCACTGTGAACTATATTATATTACACATGATTGAATCAATGTGAGCTTATATTTTAAGTATCTATAATATAATAAAATATTATTTAATAAATTAAAAGAATAAAATTATGTTCTAAATATCTAGTGTCCTGAATTTTCTTTTAAGTAACTCATTTGAATGGAATTTATTTTACATATCATATCTTCATTATATGTGAAGAAACTAAATTCAAACCTATATTGATTCAATATTAGAAAAAATAGTCATTTTAGATCTTTTCCAAGATCTTCAGATTTTAAAAAATAGAACAGAAAAAGAAGTCATAGCATTTTTCCATTCATCTTCATATGAATTTTCCCAATCAAATATAAAGATAAAGAATAGATTAAAGGTAAAAGGGTATAAGTAGGAAAAAAAAAGTAGAGCAAGAGAACCTCCAAACTACTATTTTCCTTTTTTCCTTATTGGATTTCAACATTAGTACTCTGGATGCCAAATGGCAGCTTCTAAAATATAGAATTACAGCTAAATTAGATTAAGCTGAAAATGCCCTTCAGCATCTCAGTGTTTTTTTTTTTTTTTTAATGTGAATGAAAGAACAGATTTCTCCTCTTGCATTATCATTTCTTTCCTCCTTGGTGATGTGTTTTGGCAGGATGGAAAGTGGAGGTGGTATGCAAGGGATATTCATCTGTTAATTATAAACTGGCTCCCCACTTATTTCTTCTTACTGAGCTCCTCTCTTTTTCCACTTTTCTTTACATACTGGTCTGTGAAATTCTTGCTGTCACTAAATCACTTAGCATGGATTAAAATATCTATTAGAAGTGAGTTGAGTGGACCATTCTGGAAGCAATAACCAAAACCTTGGTGCATGCTGTCACTAAACTGCCACCACCTGACTCACTGACGTGTTTTGGTGCCGTGTACTTATCACCTCATGAACCTTATTCCTAACTTCTGCCTCTCCTTTTTGAAGTGTCTCATATACATTGCCAAACTGAGTTTCCTAAGAGTCCAATTTTATAATTTCAGAAAACAAAGAGGTTCTTCATTGTATATTGCTTCCAGTCTTAACTTCTTCATGTAAACTTTCCTAAAGCTGCTGGGTTTGGTTGCTTTCTTCATGCTCAGTCAAATGCCCTACTACTTCCTAGCAAAAGCCTCTGCTCTAGTCATAACAGATCCAAAGACATTACCCACATCTTGCTCCCAATCAAAACTACTCATCCTTAGTTGAATACAGTCTACTGCCTTTTCTGTTTGTTTCCAGTTTTCCCTTTGTTGGTTTTATTGTTTAAGAATCTTTTATGCAGTCAGTACCGAGGAGGTAGCGAGACAAAGCAAGTGGACATTTTGTTATCATGCACTGGGTTCTTAAAGCCATTGGCTTTTGACTTCAACAGCCTGGGCACAGAGCCGCAAAAGCCACCCAAAGCCAGAGGTCCCTTCAGTTTGGAGAGAGAATTGCAAAGCCTCCTGTATTAGTCAGGGTTCTCTAGAGGAACAGAACTAATAGGATAGATATATATGTAAGAGGAAATTTATTAAGTATTAACTCAGACAATCATGATGTCCCACAATAGGCTGTCTGCAAACTGAGGAGCAAGGAGAGCCCGTCTGAGTCCCAAAGCGGAAGAACTTGGAGTTGGATGTTTGAAAGCAGGAAGCATCCGGCAAGGGAGACAGATGTAGGCTGGGAGGCTAAGCCACTCTTGTCTTTTCACGTTTTTCTGCCTGCTTTATATTCTAGCCACACTGGCAGCTGATTAGGTGGTGCCTACCTGGATTAAGGGTGGATCTGCCTTCCCCAGCCCAGTGACTCAAATGTTAATCTCCTTTGGCAACACCCTCACAGACACACCCAGGATAAATACTTTGCATCCTTCAATCCAATCAAATTGACATTCAGTATTAACTATCACACCTCCAAATCTATTGTTTACTTTTAACTTTATTACACTTTGGCCAGAGAACATTGTTCACATACTATTCTTTGTTATTTCTTAAAACTTCCTTTGTAGGGTGGGTTGGAGTCAAATTTTGTAAATATTCCATGTATATCGAAAAACTATGAGTTTGCTCTGTACATTGGGCAAAGTAACATATGCACACACACACATGTGCATACACACACACATGCATACATACACACATGCATGCATGCACACATAAATGTGATGAAAATAGTTTCTTATGTTCTCATCCCCCATATTTTCTTGATATTTTTGCCTCCTTGATCTATAAGTTTCTATTAAAATTTATTAAAATATCCAAGGAATACAGATTTCTCTATTGCTTCTTCTATATCTGCTAGATTTTTATTTAAGCATTTTAAGGTTGTGTTTAATTCTGGATTATTCTTTGGGTGAATAACGTGAATCTCATCTTGCCAAATGAGAAATTTGGTGTAGCTCTATGGTAGGACTGTGTCATAAACCCCCAGATATACTGTATTAGGAAGATGTTTGAGAACAAATGGTGTGGTTGATACTCAGAAAATTATTAGAGATGAGCATGTGCTGCTTGATGGTAAGGATGAAATCTAATTCATTTCTATGTCTGCATTGCTCAGCTTATTCTCTAGGACACTGAGTTATCAATAAATGATTGCTGGGGACTGTAGAAGCTTTCTTTTCATTTCAACTTTTATTTTAGATTCAGGGGGTACACGTACAGGTTATTTACATGAATATATTGCATGATACTGATGTGAGGGGTATGAATAACCTCGTCATCCAGGTAGTGAGCATAGTACCCAATAGCTTTTCAACCACTGCTCCCTTTCTCCCTTCCCCCTTTAGTAGTCCCCAGTGTTTCTTGTTGCCATTTTTATGTTCACGTGAACCCAATGTTTAGCTCCCACATATAAGTGAGAACATGTGGTATTTGTTTTTTTTGTTTCTTCATTAGTGTGCATAGGTTAATGGCCTCCAGCTTCATCCAGGTTGCTACAAAGGACATAATTCCATTATTTTTCATGGATCCATAGTATTTCATGGTATATTTGTACCACATTTCTTTATCCAGTCCACATTGATTGGCACTGAGGATGATTCCATGTCTTTGCTATTGGGAATAGTGCTGCTATGAACACACATACTCAGTAGTGGGATTGCTGGATTAAATGGCAATTCTGTTCTAAGTTCTTTGAAAAATCTCTGTGGCTGAACTAATTTTCATTCCTCCCAACAATATAGAAGCATTCCCAGTGCTCTGCAGCCTCTCCAGTATCTAGTGTTTTTTGACTTTTTAATGGTAGCCATTCTGACTGGTGTGAGATGCTATCTCACTGTGGTTTTGATTTGCATTTTTCTGATGATTAGGGATGGTGAGAATTTTTACATATGTTTGCTGGCTATTTGTATGTCTTCTTTCGAGAAGTGTCTGTTCATGTATTTTGCCCACTCATCGATGAGGTTATGTGTTTTTTTGTCTGGTGAATTGTTTATATTCCATATAGATTATGTATATTAGACCTTTGTCGGATGCAGAGTTTGAAAATATTTTTTCCCATTCTGTAAGTTGTTTATTCTATTCATAGTCTATTTTGCTGTGCAGGAGCTCTTTAGTCTAATTGGGTCATGCTTGTCAACTTTTGTTTTTGTTGCAATTGCTTTTGAGGACATAGTTATAAATTATTTCTCAAGGCCAATGTCCAGAATGGTATTTCCTAGGTTTTCTTCCAGAATTCTTATAGCTTGAGGTCTTACATTTAAATAGTTAATCCATCTTGAGTTAATATTTGCATATGGTAAAAGGACCAGTTTCATTCTTCTGCATATGGCTAGCCAGCCAGCTGGCCAAGCACTATTTATTGAATAGAGAGTCCTTTCCTGATTGCTTATTTTTATTAACTTTGTCAAAGATCAGATGGCTGTAGGTGTGTGGCTTTATTTCTGGGTTCTCTATTCTGTTCTATTGGTCTTTATGTTCTGTTTCTATAACCATGCTGCTTTGGTTACTGTAATCTTACAGTATAGCTTGAAGTCTGCTAATGTGAAGCCGCTGGCTTTGTTCTTTTTGCTTAGGATTATTTTGGCTATTCAGGCTCTTTTTGGTTCCACATAAATTTTAGCATAGTTTTTTCTAATTCTGTGAAAAACGATGTTGGTAGTTTGATAGACATAATGTGGAATCTGTACATTGCTTTGGGCAGTAAGGTCATTTTAACAATATTGATTCTTCCAATCCATAAGCATGAAACGTTTTTCCATCTTTGTTATTGGTCACCTCTAATTTCTTTTGGCAGTGTTCTGTAGCTTTTTTGTCGAGATCTTTCATCTCCTTTGTCAGAGGTATTGCTAGGTATTTCAGGATTTTTGTGGCTATTGTCAATGGGATTGCATTATTGCTCCTAGCTTGAACGTTTCTGGTTTATAGACATGCTACTGATTTTTATACATTGATTTTGTATATTGAAACTTTATTGAAGTCATTTATCAGTTCTAGAAGACTTTTTGTGAAGTCTTTAGTGTTTCTTAGGAACAAAATCATATCATCAGTGAAGGGAGATAATTTGATTTCTTATTTTCCTATTTGGATACCTGGTATTTCTTTCTCTTGCTTGATTACTCTAGCTAGAACTTCAGTACTATGTTGAATAGAAGTGGTGAGAGTGTCTTGTCTTGTTCCTCCTCTTTTTTTTTTTTATTATACTTTAAGTTTTAGGGTACATGTGCACATTGTGCAGGTTAGTTACATATGTATACATGTGCCATGCTGGTGTGCTGCACCCACTAACTCATCATCTAGCCTTAGGTATATCTCTCGATGCTATCCCTCCCCCCTCCCCCAACCCCACCATATTCCCCAGAGTGTGATATTCCCCTTCCTGTGTCCATGTGATCTCATTGTTCAATTCCCATCTATGAGTGAGAATATGTGGTGTTTGGTTCTTTGTTCTTGCGATAGTTTACTGAGAATGATGATTTCCAATTTCATCCATGTCCCTACAAAGGACATGAACTCATCATTTTTTATGGCTGCATAGTATTCCATGGTGTATATGTGCCACATTTTCTTAACCCAGTCTATCATTGTTGGACATTTGGGTTGGTTCCAAGTCTTTGCTATTGTGAATAATGCCGCAATAAACATACGTGTGCATGTGTCTTTATAGCAGCATGATTTATAGTCCTTTGGGTATATACCCAGTAATGGGATGGCTGGGTCAAATGGTATTTCTAGTTCTAGATCCCTGAGGAATCGCCACACTGACTTCCACAATGGTTGAACTAGTTTGCAGTCCCACCAACAGTGTAAAAGTGTTCCTATTTCTCCACATCCTCTCCAGCACCTGTTGTTTCCTGACTTTTTAATGATTGCCATTCTAACTGGTGTGAGATGGTATCTCATTGTGGTTTTGATTTGCATTTCTCTGATGGCCAGTGATGGTGAGCATTTTTTCATGTGTTTTTTGGCTGCATAAATGTCTTCTTTTGAGAAGTGTCTGTTCATGTCCTTTGCCCACTTTTTGGTGGGGTTGTTTGTTTTTTTCTTGTAAATTTGTTTGAGTTCATTGTAGATTCTGGATATTAGCCCTTTGTCAGATGAGTAGGTTGCGAAAATTTTCTCCCATTTTGTAGGTTGCCTGTTCACTCTGATGGTAGTTTCTTTTGCTGTGCAGAAGCTCTTTAGTTTAATGAGATCTCATTTGTCAATTTTGGCTTTTGTTGCCATTGCTTTTGGTGTTTTAGACATGAAGTCCTTGCCCATGCCTATGTCCTGAATAGTAATGCCTAGGTTTTCTTCTAGGGTTTTTATGGTTTTAGGTCTAACGTTTAAATCTTTAATCCATCTTGAATTGATTTTTGTATAAGGTGTAAGGAAGGGATCCAGTTTCAGCTTTGTACATATGGCTAGCCAGCTTTCCCAGCACCATTTATTAAATAGGGAATCCTTTCCCCATTGCTTGTTTTTCTCAGGTTTGTCAAAGATCAGATAGTTGTAGATATGTGGCGTTATTTCTGAGGGCTCTGTTCTGTTCCATTGATCTATATCTCTGTTTTGGTACCAGTACCATGCTGTTTTGGTTACTGTAGCCTTGTAGTATAGTTTGAAGTCAGGTAGTGTGATGCCTCCAGCTTTGTTCTTATGGCTTAGGATTGACTTGGCGCTGTGGGCTCTTTTTTGGTTCCATATGAACTTTAAAGTAGTTTTTTCCAATTCTGTGAAGAAAGTCATTGGTAGCTTTATGGGGATGGCATTGAATCTGTAAATTACTTTGGGCAGTATGGCCGTTTTCACGATATTGATTCTTCCTACCCATGAGCATGGAATGTTCTTCCATTTGTTTGTATCCTCTTTGATTTCCTTGAGCAGTGGTTTGTAGTTCTCCTTGAAGAGGTCCTTCACATCCCTTGTAAGTTGGATTCCTAGGTATTTTATTCTCTTTGAAGCAATTGTGAATGGGAGTTCACTCATGATTTGGCTCTCTGTTTGTCTGTTGTTGGTGTATAAGAATGCTTGTGATTTTTGTACATTGATTTTGTATCCTGAGACTTTGCTGAAGTTGCTTATCAGCTTAAGGAGATTTTGGGCTGAGACAATGGGGTTTTCTAGATATACAATCATGTCGTCTGCAAACAGGGACAATTTGAGTTCCTCTTTTCCTAACTGAATACCCTTTATTTCCTTCTCCTGCCGAATTGCCCTGGCCAGAACTTCCAACACTATGTTGAAAAGGAGTGGTGAGAGAGGGCATCCCTGTCTTGTGCCAGTTTTCAAAGGGAATGCTGCCAGTTTTTGCACATTCAGTATGATATTGGTTGTGGGTTTGTCATAGATAGCTCTTATTATTTTGAAATACGTCCCATCAATACCTAATTTATTGAGAGTTTTTAGCATGAAGGGTTGTTGAATTTTGTCAAAGGCCTTTTCTGCATCTATTGAGATAATCATGTGGTTTTTGTCTTTGGCTCTGTTTATATGCTGGATTACATTTATTGATTTGCGTATATTGAACCAGCCTTGCATCCCAGGGATGAAGCCCACTTGATCATGGTGGATAAGCTTTTTGATGTGCTGCTGGATTCGTTTTGCCAGTATTTTATTGAGGATGTTTGCACCAATGTTCATCAAGGATATTGGTCTAAAATTCTCTTTTTTGGTTGTGTCTCTGCCCGGCTTTGGTATCAGAATGATGCTGGCCTCATAAAATGAGTTAGGGAGGATTCCCTCTTTTTCTATTGATTGGAATAATTTCAGAAGGAATGGTACCAGTTCCTCCTTGTACCTCTGGTAGAATTCGGCTGTGAATCCATCTGGTCCTGGACTCTTTTTGGTTGGTAAACTATTGATTATTGCCACAATTTCAGCTCCTGTTATTGGTCTATTCAGAGATTCAACTTCTTCCTGGTTTAGTCTTGGGAGAGTGTATGTGTCAAGGAATTTATCCATTTCTTCTAGATTTTCTAGTTTATTTGTGTAGAGGTGTTTGTAGTATTCTCTGATGGTAGTTTGTATTTCTGTGGGATCGGTGATGATATCCCCTTTATCATTTTTTATTGTGTCTATTTGATTTTTCTCTCTTTTTTTCTTTATTAGTCTTGCTAGCGGTCTATCAATTTTGTTGATCCTTTCAAAAAACCAGCTCCTGGATTCATTGATTTTTTGAAGGATTTTTTGTGTCTCTATTTCCTTCAGTCCTGCTCTGATTTTAGTTATTTCTTGCCTTCTGCTAGCTTTTGAATGTGTTTGCTCTTGCTTTTCTAGTTCTTTTAATTGTGATGTTAGGGTGTCAGTTTTGGATCTTTCCTGCTTTCTCTTGTGGGCATTTAGTGCTATAAATTTCCCTCTACACACTGCTTTGAATGCGTCCCAGAGATTCTGGTATGTTGTGTCTTTGTTCTCGTTGGTTTCAAAGAACATCTTTATTTCTGCCTTCATTTCGTTATGTACCCAGTAGTCATTCAGGAGCAGGTTGTTTAGTTTCCATGTAGTTGAGTGGCTTTGAGTGAGATTCTTAATCCTAAGTTCTAGTTTGATTTCACTGTGGTCTGAGAGATAGTTTGTTATAATTTCTGTCCTTTTACATTTGCTGAGGAGAGCTTTACTTCCAACTATGTGGTCAATTTTGGAATAGGTGTGGTGTGGTGCTGAAAAAAATGTATATTCTGTTGATTTGGGGTGGAGAGTTCTGTAGATGTCTATTAGGTCCGCTTGGTGCAGAGCTGAGTTCAATTCCTGGGTATCCTTGTTGACTTTCTGTCTCATTGATCTGTCTAATGTTGACAGTGGGGTGTTAAAGTCTCCCGTTATTAATGTGTGGGAGTCTAATTCTCTTTGTAGGTCACTCAGGACTTGCATTATGAATCTGGGTGCTCCTGTATTGGGTGCATATATATTTAGGATAGTTAGCTCTTCTTGTTGAATTGATCCCTTTACCATTATGTAATGGCCTTCTTTGTCTCTTTTGATCTTTGTTGGTTTAAAGTCTGTTTTATCAGAGACTAGGATTGCAACCCCTGCCTTTTTTTGTTTTCCATTTGCTTGGTAGATCTTCCTCCATCCTTTTATTTTGAGCCTATGTGTGTCTCTGCACGTGAGATGGGTTTCCTGAATACAGCACACTGATGGGTCTGGACTCTTTATCCAATTTGCCAGTCTGTGTCTTTTAATTGGAGAATTTAGTCCATTTACATTTAAAGTTAATATGGTTATGTGTGAATTTGATCCTGTCATTATGATGTTAGCTGGTGATTTTGCTCGTTAGTTGATGCAGTTTCTTCCTAGTCTCGATGGTCTTTACATTTTGGCATGATTTTGCAGCGGCTGGTACCGGTTGTTCCTTTCCATGTTTAGCACTTCCTTCAGGAGCTCTTTTAGGGCAGGCCTGGTGGTGACAAAATCTCTCAGCATTTGCTTGTCTGTAAAGGATTTTATTTCTCCTTCACTTATGAAGCTTAGTTTGGCTGGATATGAAATTCTGGGTTGAAAATTCTTTTCTTTAAGAATGTTGAATATTGGCCCCCACTCTCTTCTGGCTTGTAGGGTTTCTGCCGAGAGATCCCCTGTTAGTCTGATGGGCTTCCCTTTGAGGGTAACCCGACCTTTCTCTCTGGCTGCCCTTAACATTTTTTCCTTCATTTCTACTTTGGTGAATCTGACAATTATGTGTCTTGGAGTTGCTCTTCTCGAGGAGTATCTTTGTGGCGTTCTCTGTATTTCCTGAATCTGAACATTGGCCTGCCTTGCTAGACTGGGGAAGTTCTCCTGGATAATATCCTGCAGAGTGTTTTCCAACTTGGTTCCATTCTCCCCATCACTTTCAGGTACACCAATCAGACGTAGATTTGGTCTTTTCACATAGTCCCATATTTCTTCGAGGCTTTGCTCATTTCTTTTTATTCTTTTTTCTCTAAACTTCCCTTCTCGCTTCATTTCACTCATTTCATCTTCCATTGCTGATACCCTTTCTTCCAGTTGATCGCATCGGCTCCTGAGGCTTCTGCATTCTTCACGTAGTTCTCGAGCCTTGGTTTTCAGCTCCATCAGCTCCTTTAAGCACTTCTCTGTATTGGTTATTCTAGTTATACATTCTTCTAAATTTTTTTCAAAGTTTTCAACTTCTTTGACTTTGGTTTCAATGTCCTCCCATAGCTCAGAGTATTTTGATCGTCTGAAGCCTTCTTCTCTCAGCTCGTCAAAGTCATTCTCCATCCAGCTTTGTTCCGTTGCTGGTGAGGAACTGCGTTCCTTTGGAGGAGGAGAGGCGCTCTGCGTTTTAGAGTTTCCAGTTTTTCTGTTCTGTTTTTTCCCCATCTTTGTGGTTTTATCTACTTTTGGTCTTTGATGATGGTGTTGTACAGATGGGTTTTTGGTGTGGATGTCCTTTCTGTTTGTTAGTTTTCCTTCTAACAGACAGGACCCTCAGCTGCAGGTCTGTTGGAATACCCTGCCGTGTGAGGTGTCAGTGTGCCCCTGCTGGGGGGTGCCTCCCAGTTAGGCTGCTCAGGGGTCAGGGGTCAGGGACCCACTTGAGGAGGCAGTCTGCCGGTTCTCAGATCTCCAGCTGCGTGCTGGGAGAACCACTGCTCTCTTCAAAGCTGTCAGACAGGGACATTTAAGTCTGCAGAGGTTACTGCTGTCTTTTTGTTTGTCTGTGCCCTGCCCCCAGAGGTGGAGCCTACAGAGGCAGGCAGGCCTCCTTGAGCTGTGGTGGGCTCCACCCAGTTCTAGCTTCCTGGCTGCTTTGTTTACCTAAGCAAGCCTGGGCAATGGCGGGCGCCCCTCCCCCAGCCTCGCTGCCGCCTTGCAGTTTGATCTCAGACTGCTGTGCTAGCAATCAGCGAGATTCTGTGGGCGTAGGACCCTCCGAGCCAGGTGTGGGATATAATCTCGTGGTGCGCCGTTTTTTAAGCCGGTCTGAAAAGCTCAATATTCGGGTGGGAGTGACCCGATTTTCCAGGTGCGTCCGTCACCCCTTTCTTTGACTCGGAAAGGGAACTCCCTGACCCCTTGCGCTTCCCAGGTGAGGCAATGCCTCGCCCTGCTTCGGCTCACGCATGGTGCGCGCACCCACTGACCTGCGCCCACTGTCTGGCACTCCCTAGTGAGATGAACCCGGTACCTCAGATGGAAATGCAGAAATCACCCGTCTTCTGCGCCGCTCACGCTGGGAGCTGTAGACTGGAGCTGTTCCTATTCGGCCATCTTGGCTCCTCGTTCCTGCTCTTAAGGGAAATGTTTCCAGCTTTTGCCTGTTCAGTATGAGGTTGGCTGTGGGTTTGTCATAAATGGTTTTCATTATTTTGAGGTATGCTCCTTCAATGTCTGGTTCCTTGAGGACTTTAACATGAAGGGATGTTGGATTTAATAGAAAGCTTTTTCTGCATCTATTGAGAAGATTACATGGTTTTTTTCTTTTAATACTGTTTATGTGGTAAATTACATTTATTGATTTGCATACATTGAACCAAACTTACAGCCCAAGAATGAAACCTACTTCACTATGGCAAACTAACTTTTTGATGAGCTGCTGAATTCAGTTTGCTAGTATTTTGTTGATGATTTTTGCATCTATACACATCAGGAATACTGGCCTGTAGTTGTCTTTTTTGTTGTGTCTTTGCCAGGTTTTGGTATCAAGGTGATGCTGGATTTATAAAATAAACTGTGGAGAAGTCCTTCCTTGTTCATTTTCTGGAATAATTTCACTGGAATTGGCACTAGCCCTTCTTTGGACATCTGGTAGAATTTGGCTGTGAATCCATCTGGTCCAGGGCTTTTTCTTGTTGGTAGGTTTTTTATTACCCATTAAGTTTCAGCACTCAATATTGGTCTGTTCAGTGTTTTAACTTCTTCTTGATTCAACCCTAAGAGGTTGTATGTTTCCAGGAATTTATTCATTTCTTCTGCATTTTCTAGTTTGTGTGTATAGAGGTGTTCATAAGAGTCTCTGAAGATCTTTTGTATTTCCATGGGATTGGCTATAATATCACCTTTGTCATTTCTGATCATGCTTATTTCTATCTTTTCTCTTTTTTCTTTGTTAATCTAGCTAGCAATCTCAATCCTGTTTATCCTTTCAAAAAATCAAATTATAGTTTCATCAGTTCTTTGGATTATTGGGTCCCAACTTCATTCAGTTCTGCTATAATTTTAGTATTTATTTTCTCCCGCTAGCTTTGGAATTAGTTTGCTCTTCATTTTCTAGTCCTTCTAGGTGTCACATTAGTTCATTAATTTGAGATATTTCTACCCTCTCGAGGTAGGCATTTAGTGCTATATACTCTCTTCTTAACACTGCTTTTGATGCATTTCAGAGATTGTGATATGTTTTGCTTCTGTTTTTATTTATTTCAAATATTTTTTTAATTTCTGCCTTAGTATTGTTTACACAAAAGTTATTCAGGAGCAAGTTACTTAATTTCCAGATAATTGTGTAGTTTTGGAGACATCTTCCTAGTATTAATTTTTACTTTCGTTCCACAGTGATCCAAGAGTATGCTTGGTATTATTTTCATTTTTTTGAATTTATTGAGACTAGCTTTATGGCTGGGCACATGGTTGATCTTGGAGTACGTTCCACGTGCAGACAAGAAGAATGCATATTCTGTGGTTGATGGATGGGGTATTCTGTGGATGCCTATTAAGTCCAATTGGTCATATGTCAATTTTAAGTCCAGAATTTGTTAGTTTTATTGCTCGATGATCTGTCTAATGCTGTCAGTGGGGTGTTGAAGGCCTCCTCTATTACCATGTGGCTAAGTCTTTTGGGAAGTCTAGAAGTATGTTTTATGAATCTGGCGCTCCAATATTGGGTTCATATATATTTAGGATACTTAAATCTTCCTGTTGAATTGAAACCTTTATCATTATGTAATGTCCTTCTTTGTCCTTTTTTACTTTTTTATAATTTAAAGTCTGTTTTATCTGATATAAGAATGATTATCTCTGTTCTTTTTTGTTTTCAGTTTGCATGGTAGATCTCTCTCCAACCCTTTATTCTGAGCCTACTGGTGCTGTTACATGTGAGATGGGTCTCTTGAAGACAGAAGACAAGTGAGTTTTGTTTTTTTATCTAATTTCCCATTCGGTGCCTTTTAAGTGGGGTGTTTAGACCATTTACATTCAAGGTTAATATAGATATGTGAGGTTTTGATCCTATCATGAAGTTGATAGCTGGTTGCTTTGTAGTTTCCATTGTGTGGTTTCTTTATAGCATCTGTGGTCCATGTACTTAAGTGTGGTTATTTGTTGTTGTTGTTTGTTTTTATGGTAGCAGGTATTGTTCTTTCATTTTCATGTTTAGAACTCCCTTAAGGATCTCTTGTGAGGTTGGTCTAGTGGTAACACATTTTCCTGGAGCTCATTTGTCAGAAAAAGATTGTATTTCTCCTTTGCTTATAAAGCTTAGCTGGGCAAAATATGAAATTCTAGTTTGGCATTTATTTTCTTTAAGCCTGCTGAAAATAAGCCCCCAATCTTTCCTGGCTTGTAAGATTTCTGTTGAAAGTCAACTGTTAGCCTGATGAGGCTTCCTTTTTATGTGATCTGATGTTTTTCCCTAGCTGCCTTTAAAATTTTTTTCTTTAGCATTGACCTTGGATAGCCCAGTAACTGTATGTCTTAGTGATGTTTGTTTTATACAGTATCTCACAGGTGTTCTCTGGATTCCTTGTATATGGATTTTTGTTTTTTTGAAACAGAGTCTCACTCTTGCTAGAGGTAGAAATCCAGAAACAAGGATTTCTACCTCCAGCAAGATTGGACAAATTTTCTTGAATTATTATTCCTTCAAATATGTTTTCCAGATTATTTACTTTTTCTCCTTCACTCTCAGGAATGCCAATAATTCATAGGCTTGGTCACTTTACACAATATTTCTTGAAGACTTTGTTCATTTTGTAAAATTCTTTTTTCTTTATTTTTATCTGACTGGGCTAATGTGAAAGACTAGTCCTCAAGCTCTGAAATCTTTCTTCTGCTTCATCTTGTCTGTTGATAAATTGAATTGTATTTTAAAATTTCTCAAGTGAGTTTTCCAATTCCAGATGCTCTGACTGATTTCTTTTTAAGACACTTATCTCTTCCTTCATTTCCTGGACTGCTTTAGAAATTTATTTCCTTTGATTTTCCACCTTGTCTTGGATCTCATTAAGCTTCCTTGCAATTCATATTTTGAATTCTTTATCTGTCAGTTCTGAGTTTCCATTTTGGATAAGAATCAATGCTGGAGAGCTCATGTGATCCTTTGGTGGTATCACGACATTCAGATTTTTCATGGTGTCAGAATTCTTGTACTGGATCCTTCTCATCTGGAGATGCTAGCACTTCTAATTTTTGTAACTTTTTTCATGCAGATAGGATATTTACTTTCTTTCTTTCTTCCTTTTTCTTTCTTTCCCTATAATATTTTTTTCTCTTTCCCTTTACCCACTCCCTAGGGGGTGTGACAATAAAGAATGTTGGGTAGGGTCTTTTGGCTTTGCTTCTATAGCCCGATGCACTTCTGTCAGCAGGTTTTATATTGGGCTATATGGTTTGACCTATAAGCCCATAGATAGCACTTATGGATAGAGCTGGCTGTGGCCAAAGCAGCTGGGTATATCTTGATCCTTGTTTACCGGGAGAAGCTCTCTGTTGCCTCTCACAATGGGCTGATCTGTGGAGTTCACAGTGGTCTGAGCTCCCTGGTCAGCCCCACAGGAGTGGGAGGCAAGATGGGTGGAGCAGGACTGTGCAGATCCTACAGGTCCCCTGATGACAGGCACCAGTGACAAGGGAGAATTCAGTAGGTGGCCACCAAGAACCCAGAAGTGTGCCTAAGTGTGGATCTGGGAAACCTCTTCAGTCCATGTTCTCTACATGGGCAGAATGGGAAGTTTAAACCCCTAATCCAGGAGAGTGGGTACTCCAGATGCCTGAAGATCTGCCCGGGCATAAAGTGTATAGGGTCCTATCTCACCACAGTCTCTACACAGGAAGGGTGGGCTGGCTTAGGCTGCTGGTTCAGATGAGCAGATGTCCTGAATGCCTAGAGATCTTCGTGGGCATGAACGGAGAGGACCCCACTTCGCCACAATCAGAGTTTTTTGTTTTGTTTTGTTTTGTTTTTCTCTCAGGGTATGACAGTCAAGTAAAATCAGAACAGTTGCTATTCATTTGCCCAATCCATTGTCAAAATTCTGATTCCCAACTAAGCTTATGAAAGAAAAGTTTTTTTATAATTAAATTGTGGGAAACTCAGGAAAGAAGGAGAAAGATAATGAATATAATATATAATGATGTGAATAATAATTTTTGAATACTTTCTGTATTACAGCACCATTAGGTTATTTTATATTGCATATCTGAATTAATATTCTTAACAGTATTATGGTTGCTATTTCTATCTCCACTTTATAGATAAAAATCAAACACCAGAATACCTAAATAATGTTTTCAAATAACTAATAAGAAGCTGAAAAAAGGATCAAAAGTATGTGAATGTCTTACAACCAAAACCCACAGGGAATGCCCTCTAGTTGAAGAAGATTTGGCTTATTACTTGTTGCATCGAAAATCGTAGGGTATCTCAGTAAGTTGTCTTTGGCTGGGTAATTTGGGGGAGAACCTACAAAAGTGGGGGTTCACTCAAAGTTGTATGCTGTCTGAAGCAGAGGAGCATCTATGAGAGCGTATCTCGATAAACTTTACTGATAAGAAAGAGATGTAATTGATAAATATCAGTCACAAACTTTGAAGAGGTAAAAGGATGTTTGATACTTTGTGGGTGTCATAGTGACCTTGTTTCTATCTGTGTTTAGACAGAATTATGAAATGTCCTTGACTTGTCTCCTTTCATCATGATCTTGTCTGAGGTTAGTAAACTTGTCTGAGTTTAGTATTCTGTGAGATTGTTTATGTCTAGTCAGACAATAATAAGACCTCGTGTGAGAGCCAAGTCAGCTTCCAAATGTCAGATACTGCTCCTTTTTTCTCTTTCCCAATCAGAACTCAGAAAATCATGTTTCTTCTAATTATGCTGTATAATAAAAATAGAAAGAAACTTGAAGAGTCATTTCTGCATGTCTGTTTTCCACCACATTACCACTACTTAATAGTGACACATAGAGAAATATCAGAGAATAAAATGTTCTACTCCTATTTCCCATAAGGGAAAAATAATACTCTGAACCAAACTTAGTTATTCTATTAGGAACATAGACCTCTTAACCAAAGGGAGATATTTATATGCTACTTTTTCATTGAAAAACACTGCCTTTTACCACAGAACAAAAGGAACCTTGTAAAACAATGTAGGAGTAATATTTGACAAAAGCTGTCTACCTAGGTGTTGCACTTTTCTGCCTTCTCTATTTATAAGATTCTAGAACATATGCGAGAAGAATAAAAGTTGATTCAGATGGCTGTAAAATTAAATAGTTCAAAGAATAAGGATGAAAAGCAGTGATCTTTCTTCCTTCGGATGGAAAAAGTCTTCGTGCTTCATCAATGCACAGACAGCTGTCACTTATCCCCGATGGATGCCAGAGAAGACAATCTTTTTTAAAATATATCTAGTTAAATATAGAGAGATGAATCTTGAGGGTATGGTTTAAAGAGAAACAAGTTGCTATACAAATTGTCACATGAATTATCCATCAAGTTATTTGGTGAAATTTGATGAGATTTTAAAGAATGTATTTTTTCCTGAAACAGTTAATCTATTAAAAGTATTCACAGACAATACTCTTGGATGTTTGGGGAAAATGAATGCAATGATTCTGTGTTCTATCAAATTCTTGTTTAGTCACCTATTAGTTATGTGAAGTGATCAAATAACTTTTGGAGCCTCAATTCCATTTTAGATAATAAAAATGCCTGCATAGCCATCCCCACAGGGCTTTCTGGGTATCAAATAAGAAAACGCATATGAAAGTACTTGGCAAACTACAAAGAAACACACATGTGTAAATTATCATTATCTAAGATACAATGTACCCAATATCCACAAAAAGTAATCTCTACTAATTTACTCACAGACAAGGGCTCTTTTTGTAACTTTACTTAAGTTTCTTCAATATGATCTTATACCTTAAACTCAGTATGTTTAATATTGGATCGTCCTTACTGAATGTGAGTTTACATAGCAAGTATATAAACTTAACACATTACTGTGAAAATTTAGAAACGTCACCATTTACTTTCAAGCACAAATGAGCATAATGAAGACGGGCATCTGAAATGCAGAAAGTAACAGGACTAACAAAAAAAAATTTATTTCTTAACTTTCAACGTTTACATATTTTGAATGAATAAATTAGGTTTCTAAGGGCACAGTTTATATTGTCATATAAATATTTAATGATAAAATCATGGTGCAGCTAACTTCCTAAGTATCATTACTTTTACAAAATTTTCCCTAGACTATGAGGATCAACTGCAAGTAAATTTCATTGTATTGAAATGCTAAAAAAGGAGTATAATTGAATGATAAAAGCGTGACTTTTTATATTTAATTATTTCTCATAACTATAACACTATTGCATTTATTTTAATTTTTAGAATTTTTCAAGACAACAGAAAGAAAAATAGACTCTGAGACATCTGTTGATAAAAACACACATCCTTGGGAATGGTAAAATGCTCTGTCCATAGTACATTTCTAGTTTCAGCACACTACCTCTGTACAAATCGAAACACATAGATGATCCTTGTTATGGCAGAAATGTTAACAGTAATGTATTATGACCAGCTTGGCACACATTTACCTGTTCTTTTTTACCAGACATCAAGTTAGAGACAAATTTAGATTGATGCAGGTAGTTAGAAAACAATTTCTAACAAATAGATATCTACAAACTTGTTTGTGACATGTTCTCTGTACGTACATAATAAAGTTGATATTAGATCCCTGGCCTTAAATTGATAACACCTGGTCCTGTTTATAACTTTCCTTGCCATTAAATGTTCAAATCTTTTAGGAAAATATTTTCCTGAGTGATTTCCTGATAGGGACCCTTTTGTCTCCATTTCTGAAATTAACACTTTAATTTTGGAACTAATTCCCTATTCTCTGGAGTTATCTAAATAATTGAAGTCAAGATTACTTAATTAATCTGAATATTGTATTAGCTATCATTATACTACTCTACTATTTCAGCTGAGAAAATATAGCTGTTGAGTCAACCCACAGGTGTAACCTTGTTCTTTTCTCTCTGATTTATATAACAGCTGCACTTTTTAGTTCAACTCCACACAGTTCAAAGGCGAGTCTTCTATAGAGTCCGCTCTTGCTGGAGGCCATTACCTAATTGGCTACCCTCTTGTCCAGATCTATCAATTCTCAGACAGGTTCTTCACAGGTGAAGCAAAGTGTAGGCATGCCACTATTAACAGAGAGACTCAGGCAAATATTATTGAGGTTATGATCAAAAGATAAAGAAATACGCACACTGTTTTTTCTGATGTTATTCTCTGACAGGCTAGATAAGACAGGAGCAGTACAAGTGATTTCAAACGATCTCTAATGTTGGATTTTTGCTGCTGCTGTTACTGCTATTAGCGGTAGTAGCAGTGACAGCTGAGGTACCATTAGCATCTTAGTCAAAGTCACATACTAGTAAAGGGAAAACTCTGGAATTTATTTATCAACAAAGATTAATTGAATACCTTTTATGGACCAGAATCTGTGCTAAGATTACAATCTGCAAAATAATACAGGGACTACCACTGGGCCCTCCAAACCACAACCACTCAAAGCCACAATAACTAATTTACAGATATTGAGTGAGAACCACAGTTCATTGCACTGCTAAAGCCCAGCTATAGATAGATGAGTAGTGAAGTAAGGTAATATCTAGAGGCTGATAAAAGATATTGCCCCGTAATTTCCTTATCCTGAATCATATCTTTATCCTGATTATGGGCATTTACATATGTGACAAACTATTTATCACAAACTTAATCTGAGAATTGTGATCCCAAATACCATTTATAAATAGCATAAAGTGATGGATGGTGCAATTTTCTGAATATTAGACAGTCAGCAATTATTGATTGCTAAAGTAATTGTGGGATATGAAGTAAGTGTACTCTACTTCTGGAATCAAGGCACAAGTATGTCAAAATATTAGCAACAATTCAAAACAAAATAGAAGCCCTGAGTAACATTATAGAGAATGAAAGCTGTGAGAGTTGAGAGGAGGAGAGGTGAATGTAGACAAATGTGTTCAAAAAGTCTTCAGAGGCTAAAAGGAACACATTTGATTTTTTAAAGAGCAGAGTTAAAATAGAGGAAGAAATTTTTATGTATAATGTTTGATTTCAGTTTATTTTGTTTAAAAATTCCAAGCCAATGTTAGAAGGATTAATTAATTCTAGGCAGGATACTCGGAATTTAAATTGTACTAACTAAAATGGGATGCCCTGTATTAAATCTAGAGAGCCCAGTAACAGTCATCTGAGTCTTATCACTTAGTATACAACTAACCAGTTATGTCTTTTCTATGAAAACATGCATTCATTGAATGATTCAAATATATTTATTAATTCACAAATATAATCAAATGCCATGCACTAGGTTGAAACCGCAGCACACTTTGACAAGTAAAACATGATCTCTGCTTTCATGAATATTTCTCAGTACAATGGGAAAAGTATAAAATAAAAATAATCAACAAATAAATAATAATATTAAAAATGTGTTAAGTGCCAGAAAATAAATGAGTAAGTTTCCATGATGGAAATAAATGCTGAATTGGGAGGGGAAGCAATACTTTAAAAGATTGGAAAAGAAGATGTTTAGAAGGAAAATATTTACCTAAACCTGATGGATGAGGAGACAATTTTGAAAAGAGGTGGGAAGATTATGCATGCAAAGGCCCTAAATTGGGTCTTGTGAAGGTCCCCTAGGAGGGATTGTTTTGGCAAAGGCCCTGAAGTCAGACAGACCTTGGAGGATTTCCAGAACAGTCATGAAGCCAGTGCAGATAAAGCAGAAAAACAGCAGGAGGTCAGGATGTTGGGACTAACAGAGGCTTATTAGATTCAACAATTGTAAGCTTCCTCAATAGATGCAGAAAAGTCCTTCCATAAAATTCAACATCCCTTCATGTTAAAAACTCTCAATAAACTAGGTATTAATGGAACATATCTCAAAATAATGAGAGCCATTTGTGACAAACCCACAGCCAATATCATACTGAATGTGCAAAAGCTTGAAGCATTCCCACTGAAAACCGGCAGAAGAAAAGGAAGCCTTCTCTCACCACCCCCATTCAAAATAGTATTGGAAGTTCTGGCCAGGGAAGTCAGGCAAGAGAAAGAAATAAAGCGTATTCAAATAGGAAGAGAGGAAGTCAAACTGTCTCTGTTTGCAGATGACATGATCCTATATCTAGAAAACCTCAGCCCAAAAGCTCTTTAAGCTGATAAGCAACTTCAGCAAAGTCTCAGGATATAAAATCAATGTGCAAAAATTACATGCATTCCTATACACCAACAATAAACAAGCAGAGAGCCAAATCATGAATGAACTGCCATTCACAGTTGCTACAAAGAGAATAAAATAACATGAGTATAGCTATCATAGGAATACAGCTAACAAGAGAAGTGAAGGGCCTCTTCAATGAGAACTACAAACCACTGCTCAAGGAAAACAGAGAGGACACAAACAAGTGGAAAAACATTCCATGCTCATGGATAGGAAGAATCAATATCACGAAAATGGCCATACTGCCCTAAGTAATTTATAGTTTCAATGCTATTCCCATTCAATTACCATTTTTTTTAATTTGCAGAATTAAAAACAAAATCTACTTTAAAATTCGAATGGAACCAAAAAAGAGCCTGTGTAGCCAAGACAATCCTAAGCAAAAAGAACAAAGCTGCAGGCATCGTGCTACCTGATTTCAAACTACACTACAAGGCTACAGTAACCAAAACAGCATGGTACTGGTACAAAAACAGACAAATAGACCAATGGAACAGAATAGAGACCTCAGAAATAAGACCACACATCTACAGCCATCTGACCTTTGATAAATGTGACAAAAACAAGCAATGGGGAAAGGATTCCCTATTTAATAAATGGTGCTGGGAAACCTAGCTAGGCATATGTGGAAAACTGAAACCAGATCCCTTCTTTATACCTTATACAAACAATGACTCAAGATGGATTAAAGACTTAAATGTAAAACCCAAAACTATAAAAATCCTAGACGAAAATCTAGGCAATACCATTCAGGACATAGGCATGGGCAAAGATTTCATGAAGAAAACGTCTAAAGCAATTGCAACAAAAGCAAAATTTGCCAAATCAGATCTAATTAAACTAAAGAGCTTCTGCACAGCAAAAGAACCAACATCAAAGTGAACAGATAACATGCAGAATGGGAGAAAATTTTGCAATATATCCATGTAACAAAAATCTAATATCCAGAATCTACAAGGAACTTAAGCAAATTTACAAGAAAAAAACAAACAACTCCATTAAAAAGTGAGCAAAGGACGTGAACAGACACTTCTCAAAAGAAGACGTTTATGTCATCAACGAACATATGAAGAAAAGCTCAACATCACTGATCATTAGAGAAATGCAAATCAAAACCACAATGAGATACCATCTCATGCCAGTCAGAATAGTGATTATTAAAAAGTCAAGAAATAACAGATACTGGTGAGGCTGTGGAGAAATGGGAATGCTTTTACAAGGTTGATGGGAACGTAAATTAGTTCAACCATTGGGGAAGATGGTGTGGCAATTCCTCAAAGACCTAGAATCAGAAATACCATTTGACCCAGCAATCCCATTACTGAGTATATTCCCAAAGGAATATAAATCATTCTATTACAACGATACATGCACGCATATGTTCACTGCAGCACTATTCACAATAGCAAAGGCATGGAATCAACCCAAATGTCCATCAATGATAGACTGGTTAAAGAAAAGTGATACCTATACACTATGGAATACTATGAGCCATAAAAAGGAATGAGATCATGTCCTTTGCAGGGACATGGATGGAGCTGGAAGGTATTATCTTCAGCAAACTAACACAGGAACAGAAAACCAAATACCATATATTCTCACTTATAAGTGGGAGCTGAACTATGAGAACACATGGACACAAGGAGGGGAACAACACACACTGGGGTCTGTCAGGAGGTTGGGAGGGAGAGCATTAGGATAAACAGCATGCAGGGCTATCTAGATAATGGGTTGATAGGTGCAGCAAACCACCATGGCACATGTTTACCTATGTAACAAACCTGCACATCCTCTACATGTATCCCAGAACTTAAAGTTAAATTACATTACAAAAATAATTGTAGGCTTAGTGCAATTGGAGATGCATTCAATAAATGGAAGTGGTAACCTCATATGTATGCTATGAAAAGATGACTTTTGTGAGAAGGGAGCCATAAAAGGCAGAATTCAAACCAGAGACTACCACAGTCATCTAAGCAAGGAAGGAAGAGGGCTGAGACTAAAGTTAAGGTACAAAAGTAAATTATTTCAAGGTATGTATTAGAAGTAAAACCAACAGGACTGGCAGGTGGATTGAATGTGGGAGATAAAAAAGAGAGAGGAACCAGGGACTGAACAAATGAGGGAATACTGGTGCCATTTGCTCAGATAAGAAATATTTAGGGAAGATTCGATTCTGAAAGATAAATCAAGAGTTAACTTTTGGCTACTGCTATGGTCTGAATATATGTGCCTTCTGCTCAAATTCAGATGTCAAAACCTAACCCCCAAGATGATGCTATTAGGATGTGGACCTTTGGGAGATATTAAGGTTAGACCTTAGCCTCCTTATGAAAAAGGCCTGAGAGAGCTTCTAAGCTTGTTTTTGCCTTTCTACCAAGTAAGGATACATAGAAGTCACCATCTATGAGAAACTGGCCCTCACCAAACACTAAATCTGCTGGCATCCTGTATCTTGGACTTCCTAGCTTCCAGAAATGTGTGCAATAAATTTCTGTTACTTATAAATTACCCAGTCTAAGGTATTGTTATAGAAGCCCAAATGGACTAAGACAGCCATGTTATTTTTGACATTCCCAAGAGACACAGATATGAAGATGTCATTAAGACTTGTCCTAATCTTGGAAGAGAATTTGAACCAGAAACATTTAATTGGCTTTTTTTTTTTTTTTTTTTGTGGCTATAAAGATAGTACTGACATTTTGGAAACTAGATGGCGTCGTCTAAGTGTACGGTTTAGACAGAAAAAAAGAAGACCTGGAAAAGTGCTAAAAAAAAATGCTAATTTGTAAATGTGTTATAAAAAAGAGGTAGCCAAAAATCCTGACTAAAATGAAGTGACCAGGTAAATAAGGTGAAAACCAGGAGAATACGGTGTCATAAACCTAAAAATTAGAAGTGTTTCAAGGTGAAGAAATGGTAAACCAAGTTAAATGTTGCCAAAAGGTCAAATATGATGAGGATAAAGAACCAGATGACAGGATTTGGCAACCTGGAGGTTCATGATTATCTTGACATTAAGTTTCACTGAAATTGTGGAATTAGAAGCCAAATTTAAATGGATTGATTAGTGAATGAAAATAAATAAATAGATGAAATATGTGAAGACAGCTTTGGGTTTTTATAAGCTTATCTACTTTAGGGAGCAGGAAACTGGGGTTGATGCCTGTATTGTATAGGATTTATTTCTTTTAAGATAAGTGTTTCTAGAGATTGTTTTCTGGTAGAAATTATTAGGCAGAGATAATAAGGCTAATTTAAAAAGCTAGAGTGGATAATGGGAGTGCCCAAAGTCCTTGAGAAGAGGATGTGAAATGCATAAGGGGTTGGCCTTTGATTGGAGGAGGACAGAGCCTGCCTCATCGTAGGAAAGCAAGAGATGACAGATGCATAAAGAGTCAGGCCTGCTGATGAGATCACAGTAAACGAGGAAATCTACTGACAGCTTCTATTGTTTTCAGCAAATTATTAGTTTGAAGAGAAGGGAGAGTGAATGAGGTAGGAAATTTAGGGAAAGAAGAAAAGTGTATCCGTTACAAATGTGTTTGGTTATGGGTATCCTAACATGATTTTGGATTTTTTCTATAGTTGCAGGATGGTTGCTTCAACCTCAACCATTATGTCTTTGTTCCAGAATCAGGAAGGAGGGCATGTAAATAACTTGCCCAGAAACGTCTAGATTTCTATATGTGTAATATTAGCTCAAATAGTCACGTGGCCACTGATTCTGGGAAGAGAGGCTGGGAAATACAAGAGTTTGGCAACACATTTGGCTGCCTTAAAGAAAATCATGGAGTCATTAGTGCTGAGGAAGGAGTGAAGGGATATTGATAAGCAACTAGCAATAAAATGAAGCAATAAAACAGTCATCTGGGAAAGAAAGAAAGAGAGAGAGAGAGACGAGAGAATTTACCAGAAAATCTCAGAAAGATTTCCAGAGATTATTGAGGTTTGGGATGATTAATTTCAAGTCAAATGTGATGGTTTTGCAGTCACTACTAATGAAGATGTGACATCTACTAAAGGCCAGAAAGGCCAAATGCAATGGCTCACACCAATAATCCCAGCACTTTTGGAGGCCAAGACAGGCAGATTGCTTGAGCTCAGGAGTTCAAGACCAGCCTGGGAAACATAGTTAGACCCCCATATCTACAAAAAGTATAAAAATTAACCGGATGTGATGGTGTATGCCTGTAGTCCCAGCTAGTCTGGTGGCTGAAGTGGGAGGATCACTTGAGCCCAGGAGGTCAAGGCTGCAGTGAGCCGTGATTGCACCACTGCACTACAGCCTTGGCAACAGAGTGAGATCCTGTCTCAAAAAAAAAAAACCTGAAGGAAGTGACAAACTGAGGCAAGTGTATATAAAGAGAAGAGCAGTTCAGGTGGAGGAAAGAGCCAGCAGGGAGTGTGACTGATACGCTGGGGCAGAGGGACTGAGGAAAGATCACTACACAATGCAACAAGGGAGATAAAGGGGACCATGTCACCTTGAGTCCTGTAAATTCTTTGGGACTTTGGATTTTACTCTTAAGAGAGTGAAAGGTTTTTGAGGAGAGAAGTCTAATGATTTGGCTATGTGTTATGTTAAACTTAGATTGTAGATTCAAGGGTGGAAGCAGGGAGACCAAGAGGCGATGGCAGTCATCCAACGCAGACATGACAGTAGCTTTAACAAGGATGGTAGCATTGGATGGAGTGAGAAGTGCTCAGATTCTGGATCTGTTTGGAAGGTACAGCCAAGAGTCTCCCAATCGATTGAATGTGGATTCAAGAAAAATAAAGGGTAAAGGATGACTCCAAGGCTTTCCACCTTAACAATAAAAGAAATGGAGATGCCACCAAGTGCAGATAGACAAGGTTTGGCCATGGAGATCAGTCACGCTTATTGCACTTGTTCAGTCTGAGATGTCCATTAGATATGCAAGTGTAGATAATTTACTTTTACATTTCTTTTTATTGATTGAGCCTCTGCAGTATTTGGCACAGGAGGTACTAAAACCATGAAGCCACCTAAGTCACACTCTTTTTTAATGCAGAAGTAAGCACACTTCTTTGATAAAGATCTAATAGTACATATTTGAACAGCCTTTACCATTTCCTTTAGAACTACTCTACCATAATAGTGCGAAAGCAACCCTAGAGAATACACAAACAAATGAGTGTTGCTGTGTTTCAACAAAACTTTATTTATAAACAGAGAGTGACTTGGATTTGATGTGCAGGCTATAGTTTACTGACTCTTGCTTAATGGAAATTTAAGAGAAAAATTTTGAACCCCAAACAAGGTTATATAATCTAGTTTATCTCCAACTGTGGATGTACATAGTCAACAAAATTATTTTAGGTGATACAAAGACTGGCATTAAGTAACCTTAAAAAGCAAAATAATATGCTTATTTACCAATATTATTTATTTGTAATTCTCTATTAATTTATTGAATACATCATGAAAAAGGCTCCATTTGGTAGAGATATGGCTTTAGCAGCAGCTTGATACTTAATCATCTCTCTTTACAATATAAATAGAGAAAGTCTTTGGTCTGAAAGACTTCTTCAAGCTAGAAATGTAGCCAGAGTCTAATAATATTGTTAAGCCTTTATCAAATGTATTCGCCAAATTTCTAGTATCAGTTAATTATGTCCAGTGTCAATAGTGATGTGATGTATTAATGTGATCTTTAATCACATTAAAGATCTTTAAATAGATTTAAGAAAAAAATGTGAATGATTCTCTGAAAATACAAAGTAAAGCATAGTATAGGTGATATTTAAATATAATAAATATCTTAAAGCTGGCCAGTGAAGCACTGCTCTAATTCAACCCTTTCAAATGAAGAGGGGGGAGAGTGGCAGATTGGTTGGTTGGCTTGTACTTTGTTCCCATAGCTTACAAATGACAGGACTAAAATTAGGACCCTTGAATCTCACCCAAGTGCTTTATCCACATCACCAAAATGGCCTGGTTTCCTCATGCTGGAATGGAATTGTACAATTATTAATTAGGTGCTTGCCTAGAAAAACCACTGGGTTAACCTCAAACTGCCATTTCCTTATTAGGTCATAAACAGAAGAGGCAATAGAAAGAGTAACGATTTCTTTTCCGTTCAGATGCATAGTGAGCCTAGAGGTGGATGTGCCACAAAGCTAATGAAGCTGAAATTTTCAGGTTTCTCACCTTTTGAGGCCCTAGCAATGTGTACGCTAAGTCATATGTTTTGTAAAATTTATGAAAATAAAAGTTTGTGCATGTCTTCTTATATAAAACTTTCAAAACTCTATATGCTTCGGCCTCTACAAAACCCAGATCTGCTTCCATGTGTGTTCAAATCCCATGACAATTTCATTCCAATTTCAAAAAAATAAAAGGTTCTATCAGCCAAATAACAAACTTACTCTTTATTCTTTCTTTATCAATCATTTTTGGAAAATTGTAAAATATTGAGCTCAGTAATAGATATCATGATCTCTGTGAGAACAAGGAATTCAATTCAGTTCAATCTCTGTTTAGTGTTAGTCTAGAATGTCCTCTCCAAGACATCTAGGTAGCTCTCTGTTTTGCCCCAGGGTTTTATGCCACTTTCTGCTCAAATGTCCTTCCCTGAAGAATCCTCCCTAAACACTTTATCTAAAGTAGCATCCCTCAACCCTGTCTCCTTACATGGTGTTATTTTTGTCATTATATTTATGACCACTAACATATTTCATATCATTTGTTTATATGGGTGTTGTCTATCTCCCTCCTCCCCACATCCCTCCTGCCAACGGAAATATCATGCACGAAGAGTCTTCATCTGTTTTATTTTATTGCTGCAACACCAATGTCTAGAATAGTCACTTGTATACTAGAGAATATAAATAGAAAATTGTGCAGTAGATAAGTATTTATAGAACACTTACTCTGTGTCAGGGCTGTGCTAAGCACTGGGGATTCAGCAGTGGTATTCTCATCATAGATGCTAATAATTAATGGCTGGTGCAGTGAGTACTTCAAACACAGAGTTGCAGGTGCTAATGGGGTATATACCAAGACTATTGGCATAGCCTACTGAAGTATGAAAGACCTCTCTGAGACAGCGATGGGTATTTTATATGACTCCAGAGGCCTGTGACCTATGTGTGGTTATTACATTCAAGGGAAAGAAAAAATTAGGTCCTCTTTCAGCTCATTATAAGTAGAAACTTTCTTAGTAGTAGAAAAATGCCACCACGCCAAAAGAAATGTGCTGCCTAGATATATACTGAATTTTCCATATAACAAGAAATATTCAGACAAGCTGTCAGATCACTTGATACAATAAATAAAGGGTTAGATTAGTTGATCTTGAATTTATCTACTAACTCAAGGAGCCTATAATTAATTACTTTATTCTTTCATTACATAAATATTTATTAAGTACCTACTAAATGTCAGACATTGAAAAGCTAAAACTCAGAGTGTTGTCTCTGTGAATAAAGAATGTCATAACTGGACTCATCTCTTCCTCTGTTGCTATATTTCAGCTCACAGACAACTGCCAGCTAATCTCCAGACGCATCAAGGCTCAAAATATTCAGCAATTCCCCTGCCCAAAAAGCAATCCAAACCCCTTACCTGGCATTAAAAGCCTGCTATTCTTGGCCCTAAACATTTCCCAGTACTCATCAACTCTGCCCTGTGCTGCAATTCTGTTTATTACTCAGAAGCACATAGGAAGGCATATTCCTCTACACTTTTGTTTATAAACCTTCCTCAGCTTTTGCTTTTCCCAGGCCCTTACAGTTATTCAGAAAATCCTCCGTCTGGGAGTATCAGCCCTTCCTAGTGCCAGAACTAAATATGGACAATCCCTTATATGATGTAGATGTTGCAAGTGGGTTGGGAATAAAAGAGCTCCTCATGTAAAATGAGCCTCTACTGTGGGATCCTAAAGTTCAGGCTTCTTGGGCCTTTTACAGTGATGATCATGTGATAAAGCTTCCACCTCAATCTTTTGTTTGAGTTCCACTTCCTTATTAATACTAGAGTTCTGCTCTGAGCTCTGGCTTTCTTGGCTGGGGCTCTGATCCATGGCCCAATTCTTGTCAGCATCCATCTAAGGCAGACTGGGCTCCTGGGTCCCAATTCCCTCATCCATAGCTGCTGGGCTTGGACTCCACCTAAGGTGGGCTGAGATAAATCTGTGTGGTGGGGATCTACAGATGGGAGCTCAGCTGGGCAGAGATGTCACCTGGAATGAATGAATGTAGCTGTGCCAAAGAGACCACTAACATGGAGAGAGAAGGGGCAGTAAATGGAGCCAAAAACTGCCAAAGAAATGGAGGCATTCAGAAGCTAATTAGGTACTAGGAAATGATCTGGTAGGTAAAGCCATGTGGGGAAACAGAGCGAGACAGAGTGAGCGCCTTGCCATGATGAGGTCTGGTGTGCCCAGTTTGTCTGTTGGTGGGTGCCAGCTTCACAACTCATTGGTAATTTAGAAGAGGACGCAAGGTGAACAGCTGGTCTTGTTCCAAAGTGGATTGATCATCCTGAAACAAAAAGCTGACATCTGTGATCAGTGAACAGCACAACTGCCTGGAAAACTCAGTTGACTTTCTTCTTAGACATCAGACTCACCTCTAAATAGGTTCATGTTATCCATGCCACACCCTTGGATTTAGAGTTTGACTGATAGTCATTCCACCCAGAGGTAAATCCTGTTGCAGGGCCAGTTTCTGCAGCCTCAACTCCAGCATTCTCCTGTTCTTTGAATGTTTGCTGCCAAAAATGTATTTGCCTTGAGATCAAGCCTGCACCAGTAGGACAGCATATTTCACCCTATTCATCTGAAAAGTCCTCCTCTATCTTTCTGCTTCTCTTCTGTCTTCAAGATCTAACTCAAATCTTGTCTCCTCCAAGTCACTGGAACCATCCCCAAGAGATCTTTCCATCTACTGAATAGTATAATCCCATTTTACAATATCCACTGAGCATCTTTCATTTATATAACACTTGCTATATGCCAGCTGCTAGGTGTTTTATAAATATCAACTCATTTAATCTTTCTAGTAGCCTTATGAGGTAAGTATTATTACAATCCCAATTTTGCAGATAAAGAACTGGGTCACAGACAGCTTAAGTAACTTGCTCAGAGATCCCCAGTTAGTAAGACCCAGCTGGAATTTGAACTGAGACAATTTGGCTTCAGAATTCATGCCCTGAACTACCTTCCATTCTAGGGTGCTCCTCAGATTATGCTGAACTTGATTTGCAGACTGTACTAGCTGTAAATACACAAAAAGTAAAGACTAGATCTGCGGCTTTTTGAAGGTAGGGGTTGTGTATTTACCGCTTCAGTGTCAGGGCTTTATATATGTTACACATGTATCTATCCACAGGCATATACTCTTTAAATACATTCATACATACTTTATGCATATAAGACATCAAGAAATGTTTACTGGTTATGGTGATATTGAAAATAATGTTGATGGAATTAAAGATAGCTCAGATATATCCATGGATTAATTAGCTCTTATAATCACATGCAATCAAGAGTAAGATGTCCCTGAATAATTCAGCTAACCTATTTATTTTTCTTTGAAACATCCAAGTGATTTGCACAAGCCACCTTCTATTTCTACAGGCCTCTTATAAATCAGTATACTAACACCTTGGGATGACATGTCCATGAAAAGTGCTAGAGAGAATGAAATTTGATATCTTTCCCGCTTGACAGATAACTAACTTATAAATAAACCGTAATTCCCCCTAAAGGAGAAAAGGCCTAGCTTTGGCCAACCCACGAATTACAGGATATATATTGTTTTACCACCACTGACAGTTGCCACTCTTGTGATTTCCAGAAGCTTGTCTATTCCTCTTGAGTAGAGTAATTCTACAGCAGAGTAAAAGGAGCAAAAATGTAAAATAGCTTGACACTGAAGGATCAAATGTCTCCTAGCAAAGTCCCAAAGAATAGATTTGGAGTTTTCCTTCATGAAAACTGTAAAATGAAATTATAAGCAATAGGCAATTTTCAGGTTGTCAAATATCCATAATCATTATTATTTCTGAACTTAATACAATGTGTTATGATTATTGTTGCTTTTCTGCCCGAAAATATTATACATTTCCACTTAAACATACATTTTATAGTTATGAAAACCCACTAAAAATGATGTAGTCAAATTTCAAAATTAGGGGTTTTTTAACTTCTAATATGTAGTTTCCAATCCCTTAGAAAAAGCTATTATAAGGCTATCATAAGGATTTTTTTTCCTATTATGAATGCTGAAATATTTAAACATCTGAAAGAAATACGCAAATGTTTCTATGTAAAAAGAAACACTGTTCTTTGGAAAACATGAATTATATAAACTATAATTAGAGCTTCAAAACTGCAAGTGTTTAAACTAAGATTACAAATTGCTGTGTTAAAAAGATACTGAGACGCTCAGGGGGAAAATAATTAAATGCCGACTAACTAAATTAATTCTCCCACATCCCAAGCTGTTCTATCTCCCTTATGCCTTTCCCTCTGCCATCACTGATGATCACGTACGTATCTGTTAGAACCTGCTTCTATAATGAATTCAAGTTACAATGAATTCAGGTTTGATTTGCCTCCTTTTCTTACCATTATAGTTGGCAGTGTCGACTTGAAAGTATTCATTTCTATTAATAATCTTCAACTAAATATAGTGTACTGGAAAAAGTAAACTGAAATAGTTAAAAAAAAATGCAATTGAATTCTATGTTTCAAACTAAACTAGAACTTGTTATTTTTTTAAAAAAATAAAATGAGTTTTGTGTGTTTTGGGGAGCACAGAGTAAAGATCTGGAAATTAATTGAATTTCATTAGCCTAGATTCATACCACTAATATATATGAAAGTATGGTCAGGGGTATGAGCAGAATGAGGCTTGAATTGTCTAAAAGTATCTCTCTAAATCTAAACAATGTGCACTTACACAGATAACTACCAAATTATTATTTATTTGGGGCTGCCTGGTCTATTTTCCTACAATAATATTTCAGCTCTATTTTAAAGTAAAACTTCAGGTTAATTTAAAAAATCCAAAAATGATTGAAAATCTCCATATGCACATTAACTAGCCATATGACTATACAGTTAAATATTTTGGTTTGGAGCTGCAAAACTAGTGCCCTCTGCATTTATTTCTAAAAAGCCATTATACTTTATAGTTGAGAGACCACAGGAGTTCATTTAATTCTGTTACACTGCCAAAATATACTTTAAAGAAAAAAATCATGGCTAATTGTGGGAATGAAGCTATGTGATCAGTTTTCTCTGAACTAGAATCAATGCATGCTTCAACATCTGATTTCCTAAACTCAGTTGCCACTGAGGATGCTTTAAGCACACTGTAAACACATGTCACAACTTTACATCACAGGCGGCTTTAAACCTAAATTCTCCATCCATATTACCTCCAAAAATATAGTATACTTTTAATCCATTACTAGAGCAATGGCGCCTAAAAACAAAAGCCCTTTTTAAACAATGGGACACACCCTTTAGCAGACTGAATGGATTGGGGTAATGATGGAGGCAGACCAAGAAACCAAAGAAAACATGGAAGAGAACAAGATAATTGAAACAACTGTGCTGCATATTCCTGACTTAGGGCGGACAGATATTACTCATGAGAATGTTTAAAGAGTTTGAAGTATTTAGTCTATATTGTTAAGTAAAAAAGGCATTTGGCATTTGTCTCCAGGCTTTTGAATCCTTAATCACTGAATGAAGATGACTAATATGTCATGGACATTGACTGAGTGATCTACATGAAATTAACCTTCTCCTGGAATAACATGTCAAGGTACCACAAAGCAAAAGGTGGGAGAAGAACCAATAATGAGTTTTGAACTGACTGAGAATAAAGAAGCGCTGGGTTAATTCTTGTTTTAATAAGCTGTTGTGAAATTTAAAAGATTGGCACCCCCCCTCCACAATCACACATGCAAAGTTTTAAAAATATTATTATCCTAGTTATCAGGAGTAGTTCTTTATCCATTACAATTCAAAGTTCAGAAAGGAGAGACACATCTTTCTTTGTACTCTTCTCAGTGTCTACCATAGGAGGGTTTAGTCCCAGTAGATACCCAATTAGAAATGCTCGCTTCCTTATATCACTCATCAATAGGGAATGCTGGGGTTCTTCCATTTCTAAGTCACTTTTAGATGTTTCCTATTAACATAACACTGGGCGTTACTGTAAAGTACCAGTAAAAGGATAGTGGGAAGAAAGTAATTGTTACCTACACATTAATAAACTTAGGATTGTACCTAAAAAGATGACTCATTAAACCAGAAAGTTTTTCTAAATATTGCCTATGTTGAAGTAAGATACATATACCCTAGCACCCTAGGCACCCTGCTGGTCTGTAGGAAAACAATTTGTTTGAAGAGTGCTCTTCCCCCAGTGTTGTAGCACAGGTTTACAAGATACCAATCAGGGTTAAGTAGCACCAGTCAAGAATCAATTTTCCTGGTTTAACATATGCCCAAAATGTTTACTGTCACTCTGAATTTATATTCACTCTTTGGAAGTATTTGCAATGGAATCTGGCACACTGAGCAACTGTAGAAAATATAACAGGGTTATAAGATGGCAATTTTATGGAAATCCAGTTATTAAATCAGATTTATTAAAAGTGCACTTACAGAAAAAGATTATAATGATTATAGAAAAATCTTGATCCATTTGTGTTAATAATTTGTGTTAGGAAGCCTTTTAGCAATTCAGTGAGTGGCACTATTATACAAAAAAAAATTTCTAGAGTCTACATTGAAAAATATGAGAACCTTCCATATATTAAAAATAATGGAGAATATTCCTATAAAAGTACAACTTTTTCACAACAAAGAGGAGAATGTATATGAAGAGGTGCTTCTTCCTTCATCTCAACATCACCACTTCTTTGATATTGATTTTTTTCACTTAATCTCTATAGGCTAAAAGACAATCTGAGTTTTGTTCTCACTTTCCCTCCAAAGTATGCAGAAATTCACAGCTTTGATAGTACTTTATTGAATTTACCTTATCCCTACAGCTAAATAGTCACTATGCATATTTTTGTGAGCATCCACAAAATCACTACAACCTAGTCTACATAATTTGGTTGTGACTCACACAGCTTTCCCCCAGCCTGCTGAACTACCTTTCAAGATACCAGTCTTTTCCTTTTTCTTTTTAATATGTATGTTCTTCAGGCAATGACTTTTGAAATTTTCTAAGCTTCCTCCCAATTCTTAGCCTTATCATATCAAAGAAAAGAGTTGAGATTTTTTTCACTGGAGGCTTTTTCAACAGATACTTGGAAATTTATGATCCCATAATTGATCTGGGCTCAACTGCATAGTGCCAAAATCTAATAAATAATAATGCCTAAATGTATATAATATCTCATAGCTTACAATGCACCTTCACAAATATTATTTTATTTGATCATCACAAAATCCTCTGCAGTGGGTAGCGCAGATATAATCACCGTTTTATGTGTGTCAAGTAAAGTCATGATGTGATGCAATGGCAGATTTGAAAATAGAAGCCACTTCTAAAATTTTTGTCTCCCATCTACTTTTCCCTAATACACTTAGCTCCTATTATACATGGGGAACTGCATAAATATCTGTCATGTCTTACTTTGATATGTTTATACATTCTAGTACCGAGATATGAGGATCTGTGGTGTTATTCAAATAAATTAGTAAATAAAGATTTTATATCTTCTGAAGTTGGTGATATATAAAGAATGAAAAGCAATTCATCTTCCCCCAGTATAATTAATGTTTCAAATGGCAAAACTAATGAGAAAATTTATTTTCAAACTATAAATATTTAGTATAAGGCCTTGTTCTCCAAGTTCCAGTTTTGCATTTACTTGTGATACAATAAATCAACATTATAAAACTTCATACTACTGAAAAAATACATCCAGTGTGTAATTTTGGTGAAGGAAGATTTCCATGTAGCTTTTCAGTTTTTGATGCTTTAAATATTTTAACATTATACACAAGTATATGACATATGATTCTCATCCTTTATACCTTACCATGAAAGTTCAGTGTTAATATTATGGAAAAAAATTATACTTAGGTATAAATATTGTCAAAAATCACTGGCTGAGTGCAAATGGGAAATCACCAGCAAAGCAACGTACGGCTTATTCAGATGAGGAACAGTCAGGAATCATACATAATGCAGCAGTGAGCATCAGCAAACAACAGACCCAGAAGATCATCCCCACCAGAGTTGGACAAAACTCAGAAAAATCCACCTGGTAAACAAAACCCAATAGTTTCCAGTTATCTTGTAAGTCCAGACAGGTCTTAGTTGAAGCCAAGTGTTCATATTCAAATCTGAGACCAAGGAAGAAAGAGCCACACGCAAAAAAATAATAAGTACAATTTGGCTCCCCATCCCCTAACTCGATGAGAGCTTATCAGGCCAAAGGGATAGAGAAGTGCACAATTATCCGGTAAATTAGTTTTGATCAAGAGAGTCAATCTGGATAATTGAGGCCTTGTGATTCACTTCCACTTGAATCATCCTGAACACATTCAATATAATATATAATTATGCAACTCTCTTCTTCAGCTCCTAGTCATGGATTCATTGCTAAAAATGTGCATTAGGGTTGTGAGAGTATATTAATATGGGGTGATTATAGACCTCCTCAAAGCTAACTTCTTTTGTGTTATTTCTGAGCTTCTGGTTTCACATGGTGTCTTGTCTTGTCTGTCTCTATATTAAGGGAAAAACTCAAATGTTAATAAAAGACTGAGAATTGAATTAAGCCAGTCTTCTCTCTACCAAATATATCTAGATTGATTTTACATTGCTTTGATGCATCTAATTAGTCATATTTCAAATATAGAAATGAAAAGATATTTTCATGCAGTAGACATTACAGATCCCTCCAAAACTGAGTTCAGAAATGATTTACTGACCTTGTATATATCTGGACTCTATCACATTTACTTGGCATGTTCTTAAAATTTTTCCCCAAAATGGCTTAGCATTTTTCTTCAGAAAAAGAAGCAGAGCAAGGGAGGAATAAAAGTCTAGTCTGTTCATTTGGGATGAGTCAGAAGTCAACACGCCACAATAAAGACGACTTTATGCTATTTCTCAGTGGAAAGAAGTGTTCAGAAGATATCCCAATGAGAATCCATCTCTGTAGGTTTCATGGCAACACTGAAAATTTTATTATTTCTGCAGGCTTTCTTCTATATACAAGTATTAAATACCTCAAAACTTGGACTTAAACCATTTAATTATGAAGGTCAGAAAAGATTACTTATCATTATTATTATTATTGGAACACATTCTCTGAGGCTGTGATTATGTTTTTTGAGAATAATTTTAGTTAGCTTTTTGAATCAATGACTTGTTTTTAATTAATTTTTGTTTTTATAGTTCAACAAATATTGAGCACATGACATGTGTTAGATGCAGTAATATGTGCTGGAGATGTAAAAATGAATACAATCTCATCTCTAACCTCAAGAAACCAAAACACACAGCAAAACACACAGGCACACACACACACACTTTTCAACAAAGTGAAACAATGGTTTGCATAAGGTACCATCAAAGAACACATGAGGGGAAATATACTAGGTTGAGGTGGGGATAGTGAGAGATCACGGAGCTCAGGAAGCCTCCTTAGAATAGATAAAGCACGAGACTTGTCTTGAAGCGCAAATCAATATTCTCCAACAAACAGAAGTACAAGGCTGGCATTTGCAGGAACCTGAGAGCAACAGCCCCTCAAATTGTGTGCCCCTCTCTTACCTACCCTACTTTGGAGGCTCAGAAAGAAGAAAACACTTTACATCACGTTGGTTTAAAATAGATTTCATAGAAATATTATTCAAAATAATTATTAAATATACATTCTCAAATAACTTGAATTGTTTAATGTGCTATATTGTAGCTAAACTCACTGGAAAATATAGACTTGCAGTGCTAGATTTCTTCTTGCTCTATTCATGATCTTAAATAAATATACCTGCGGGGGGCCCTCTTCTCATTCCAATATATAGAGTAGGGACCCAATCATTCACCTGATTGTCAGAGAAAAGGAACATGCGGCGGGCGTGGTAGCTCACGCCTGTAATCCCAGCACTTTGGGAGGCCAAGGCCGGCGGATCACCTGAGTTCAGGAGTTGGAGACCAGCTTGGCCAAGATGGCAAAACCCCGTCACTACTAAAAATACAAAAATTAGCCCAGCGTGGTGGCACGCACCTGTAATCCCAGCTTCTTAGGAGGTTGGGGCAGGAGACTTGCTTGAACCGGGGAGGCGGAGGTTGCAGTGAGCCGAGATCACGCCACTGCACTCCAACCTGGGCAACAACAGCGAAACTCCAACTCAAAAAAAAAAAGAAAGAAAGAAAGAAAAGAAAAGGGACATGCACATACTGTTTGCTATTGCTATTTTTCAGAAACAGAATTTCTAAAATCTTAAAATTGGTAATTCCTTGGGACATGGTATAATTTACCATCCAACCCCGAACACTTTTGAGAATGAAAAGAAAGTGCTATTTATCATTTTACTGCAACAATAGGCATAAACCACGACTGTTTCAGGCAAACCAGGATGCATGGCTACCCTAATTATTCCCACTATTATCATCAACTAAAGAACTATGCAAAACTCAGCAGCAGCTTTTAAAACAAAGGAAAATTCCTCCTCAACATCACCACACCAGAAGCTTAGAACCAAGCAGAGACATTCTTTTACCTTGACCTCAAACAGCATGGATTCTCGGTGATGTCTGTCTGTGTACTACTTTCCCAGACACGGAAGTCATGACCACAAACTTGGATGTGTTTTGACTGTCCCTCCTCAACCACTCATGCGAATCAACAAAGGGTAGTCCGGGGGAATTAACCTCACACAAACAGATATGTCTGAATAGGTCACAGAAGACCATGCTGTGGAGGGCTGCTTTCACTTAGTCTGTTGGAGAATATTGACTTTGAGCTACTCACTTCCTTCAGCAAAAATTTTTCTTTCATTTGTCACTCTGACCCATCTCAGCTGGGTCATTTTTTTTTAAAGATGTTAAAGTTAAAAAGGAACTCTTGTTGCTTATATAAGAAAGAAAACAAAGGTGGGGGAAAATAAACTCCAAACTCAAAACAGGTTATTTGAAGAATCTTCTCCTTCAGTAACTTTAGATATTTAAAAGGAGAACTAGGGTCAAAGATGAGTGCAAAGTAAAGAAGCAATTTAGATAGTACTCTTAGCCAACTTCTTGCTACTCCTCCCTTTTTTACCCATTGACTGCCTCTTTGATATCAGTCTTCGTTCTTCGATCATCCACTCCCTCTTGATAACAAGGGAACTCCAGCTGATATAGAAAGCTCTAATATTGACTACAAGACATTTTCTCTCTTTATTTCAAGGGGAACATGGAAATAGTGTACCCAAAGGTGATCATAAGTAATTAGGATTTCTCTACCATCTCCCACAGGACCCACTGAGTTGGCTTTACCCTGCAGTTGAATTATTGCCTCCTGAACACCATGTTTCACTTTAATTATTCGGCATTAATTCAGAACCTCAGGTTTTTCACATACTGGAGAAATAAGAATGAATTAGGCATGTTTTATGCCATCAACGGAGTTTCTTGTAATCACTTCGGGGGATAAAATGATCAGGGGTTCCTATTTCCTAGACTTTCCTGCCACAAAGCAGGAATATCCCATCACACAATGTGTCAACTAGATATGAAATTGAAAGTCTAGCAATTCTCAACATTGCCCTAGGGAGACAATCCACCAAAGGCCAGACTGCAGCAGCATAGTCACCATTTGCTGTGCTAAATATCATTAACTACTATGATATCACTCTGAAAATCATCTATGCTTTCAAGTTTTTATGCAGTCATCTCACAGCTATGTATTCTAACTCATTTATAATGATAGTGTATCATTAACTGATTGTTTAGAAGCCCCCTGGTAAAAAATATTTTCTCCTCCTAAAAATTTGTTAGGAAAAGTAATCTCAGAGCTGAAGTTTACAAATTCAATTTTGCTTAAATAATTGTTTTCATTTAGCTTATATTTTATCGTGCTTATTTTTTTAAAATAAGTGATTTGTTTACATAGTTGAAAAACCGAAAGAAAATAGAAATATGTATAATAAGAGGATGCCTTCCACCTTGTTCCCTCATCTAATTCCCATCCTTTTAAATACACACGGTTACCACTGTTATTTGTTGTGTATGTCCTTGTCATATGCTTATACAAGCAATGCAAACATATATTTTTAATTATTCACTCATTTTTAACTTAAACATTAGCAGAAAATACAACTTTTCTCACTTCAAGGGTTGGTTTATTAGTTCTATAATTTCTCTTTTTATATTCATTAATCCCTGATTTGTATCTTTTTCTATTCTTTCTAATTTTCCTCATATTAATTTGCTATCCCCGTTTTTCCTTTTTGAGTTGAAGGTTGTCACAGAGACTATAAACTGGCCGCCAAATTCTCTCTCCTGTTCTTCCTGAGTTACCTTATTCAACTCTATACTTCCCAGTCTCCATAGCAGTTAGGAATGCCCATATGAGCGATCAAACCAATGGAAAATGAAGGAAAGTGATGAGATCTTTCTCAGGGCAGGCTTTTAAAAAGAGTTTGCATCTCCTCTGTGGTTCTTCCCTATTTGCTGGCTGCAAGCAGGTGATGATTAAATCCTAGGATATAAAAGTCTAGACGCCTGAACTGCTGCACTTAGAAGAGTCTCCACTGACCAGTAACCTCTACCTGGATCTATTACATAAGCAAGACATAAACTTCTTTGTTATTTGATTCTACTTACATTTTGTATACCTGTCAGTATAGACAGTATGTTTAGCTCTCCTGATATTTAGAAAGCACAGTAGTTTTGCTGGATGTCTTACCATTACAATTGATTTATAATTTATGCACACCCATGATGCTGAATTTTTAGGTAGTATTTTTCTTCCTATAATATTTTTCAATAATAGCTATTTTGTATTTTCCTTTGAATACAACATATGCTTTTTTCTTCTCTTATCACAATTATTAATGGACAAAGCCCATTTTTCCAATAATATCTCTATAATTGAGATGTGTTTTACAATCCAGGATATGTTACAACTAGAATTGGAGGTGTGTGTTGTGTGTGTGTGTGTGTGTGTTGTTGTTGTTGTTGTTGTTGTTTGTACTCGGTGAGTGGCAGATCTTTCCTCCTCTGTTATAACCACTGACACTGACATTCTATACCATCACTCTAATCCCCATAATTATTTTAATTTTTGCTCTAGAAGCAGATATATTCAGTGCTCGCTTCTGTCTCTTGGCTGAAGTTTCCGCCAGTTGACATTCATGACCTACCAGACAGCTCTGTGGCTGTTCCCTCTGCCTGCACAGAGGCAAACTGCTTCCTGCTAGCATTGTATCCCTCTATGCAGGCCCACCTCCTTTCCTTCTCAGAGACAAACTGAGTCTGGCAAGGCTTCTGTCTCTAGCCTGATGACCCCTAGTTTCATCAACACTGTGAAAGGCAAGGACAAAGCTTTTGCCATTTCAGGAAGTGTGTATTTGCTTCTATTTTCTGAAATCTGTTTTCCCCGGCTCCTCTTTCTCCTCTGTGTGCTTCTTCCCTTTAATTCCTTCTTCATGGCTTTCACGAGATCTCAGATGCTCCTGGCAGTTCTTACATATATTTTAAAGGATGTACATTATACCTGTCTCCTGGTTCAATTGAAAAGGAAATTTGTAGGGTTTTTGTTTCTTGGTTTTCCATGCTCTTTGTTGGTCTTGTTATGATTTGCAGGAGGAGAAGGATGAAATTGCTGACTTCTGCAGCCATGTTCACACTGGAAGTCAACTTTATTTATTTCAGGGCAGTTCTCCATCTACAGATGTTATGATCCAAATGTAAAAGAAAGCAGAGTTTTATGATTTAGAAGTAAACTGAATTCACTTGAATATAACAAATGTAGTTTAGAACAGCAATTTATATCTCAACAATCTTAAATCTTCATGTGGTAAAAGACAACTTTATGAGATATGGGCATGTGTAACTTGATGCAACATTTGGAAGTAAGAATAGTTAGTTATTTTCCTTGGAATTAGTGCTTAAGTAAGCAAATCTAAGTATCACTTTTAAAAAGTATTTTTAAAAGAAGCACATGTATTTTCTCAAATGCTCAATAGACCTATAAATTGAAATGTCATCTTGGTTGTGGAAAAAGAGGATCATATTTGTTTTTACTGATTTCTTTCTTTAATACATCAGTTAACACCTGGAACAATACATTTGCAGCCAATGTGAAAGAGATTATCTACACATTTGCTTTTGAAAATTGCTAATCCTCAACTCAAGATATTCTTAGAAAGAATCTACCCACTTGTCTATTAAATATGGATCAATACCATTCAAGGTTAACAGCACATCAGTCAATGCAGAAGTAAAATATTTAAAAACTCCTCACAACATTAATCTTTCCTTAATTTAATTTTTTTCCTTCGGAAATGATCCATAAAGAGTAACACTAAAATAAAACAAATTTGAGAGAAACTACTTACAATACTTAGTTTTATACCATTCTATATACAAAGGATTATGTTGCCTAGCAGTATATGGAAATATTGGCTCATTCAAATCCAAGGTCTAAACTATTAAAATGTTCCTTGTTGTTATTCCTTCATAATTTACTGCCATTACTTAAATATGTGATATTTATGATAGTAATATAGTAAAGATTCTAAGAAAAATTTTCAACTCTCTCCTTAACAGATTAAAATAAATATAATGCTGCGGGGGCGTTTCTTCTCAGAAACCAGTTTTTGTTGCTTTTGACAGAATAGTGCAGCTACTTGACCATAGAATAGTTATTATTTCAAGAGAACAGGCGTCTTCAGGGGGAGTACCTAAAGATTAGTGAGGAAAGAAGATCCACCTAAGCAGCCAGGAGGATTTGTAAAATTAGTTCATGGATGATAAATGTCACATTCAAACTGACTGAATATTCTGTTACTGCTTCCAGCCCAGGGATGACAAATGCATGGCTTGAATGATGCCAATCCCCCTTTTCATGGCCATGCCAGACATTGCTAATTGACAACAGCAATCCTCTTCTGTGTTTGAATGCAGCCTTAGAACCTTTTCAACATAGCACAGCAAGTGATCAGAGTGGGTCTCACTGGGAGCCCATTTCCCAATCTCATAAAAGTGGCAAAGCCACGATTTGAATCCAGAAAGTCTGTCTCCTCAACCTTAACCACTATAATCCTTAATCATTGTGCATAGCCAGTTTTGCTCCCTACTTCCCAAACTAAACATCTTTTATTTTATTGTTTCTATAAGTGTTCTGGCTTTCTTTGGAGAAATAATTAATGAAGTGAAAAATGTGTAGTCTTCATAAATGAAAAAAGTCCCCCAGTGACTACGCTTGAGACTGTTTCTATTACTATTACTGTTACTGTCATTTATACATTGGAATATAGCCAAGGCCAATAGAAAGGCTTTGACTAGAATGTATCACCAGAGACCAAGGTCACTTCCACCTCCAGAACCTAGGCAGGTGTTGGAGAGGGCAAAAAAGTTTAAGGTGAACCTCAGAACTGTTTATGTGACTTTATGGTAAAAGAAGGAAAGAGTTGTTATAAAAATCTCTTCCATAATTAGATCAAAAATTGATAAGAATTATGCTTGCAAAAAAAAGAACCCTTTTTCAGAGTTTAGTGGCTTATAGGTTGCTTGTTTTTGCCTTCTCTACAGTTATAGCTAGTGAAAGTCAAAGACAGCTACCTTCCCCTCTCAGAGTCATTGAAAATAAGACACCATAATAATCACATGAGCCTTTTATTTCTAGCCTTCTTTCACTGCAATCCTAACAAAAGTATGGTCCCCCCAACATTCAAAGAGTTGGATTCTCCCTGTGTTATGTTCTCAGTGAAAATCAAAGAAAGTAAAAAGTAAAAGCCCTGTGAATCATTTAAGGCTCCTTCCATGAATCTGTTAAAGGACTTTTATAGAATTTTATCCCACAATCCTCTACTCTCAATACCTTGAATTGTGGAGGGACTCTTTCATAAGCCTATTTTTTTATTTTCTGAAATAAAGGGTGATATGGTTTGGCTCTGTGTCCCCATCCAAATCTCACCTTGAATTGTAATTCCAATAATCCCCACATGTCAAGCAGAGAGACTAGATGGAGATGACTGAATCATGGGGGTGGTTTTCCCCATGCTGCTCTTGTGAGAGTCAGTGACTCTCAAGAGATCTGATGGTTTTATAAAGGGCATTTCCCCTGCCCTCACTCACATGCGCTCCCACCTGCCACCATGTAAGACATGCCTTTGTTTCTCCTTCAACTTCCACCATCATTGTAAGCTTCCTGAGGACTCCCCAGCAATGGAGAACTGTGAACCCATTAAACTTCTTTGTGTTTATAAATTACCTCATCTTGGGTATTTCTTAATAGCAGTATGAGAATGGACTAATACAAAGGTCTTGGTCTTTGTTTACTTATGGATTTTTTTAAACTAGAATTATAGATTGTTTGTATTACAGTATTGAAAAAATATACGTTTCTCTGTTACTATACAAATAATATGACACAGCTGAGTTCACCTGGAATAAGTTCTACTACATTTAGTATTCTTATTGTGAATGTGAGCCCTGTAATACCTACACATTACCATTTCTATTTTATGCAGCATTTGTACCCTGCCCAGCCTCTCTAACACAAAACATCTCATGATCTCCTGTATGTGAACCTGTACATTGTTCACTTGTTTTTAGTTTTTTCAAAAAGCCAAAAATGTTGAGCATCACAGTGCCCTCAGATGTTGAGACACCAGTTATAGTCTGACGTTTTGACATGAACAATCTGTGGAAAACCTTTTCTTCATTGTGCAGGGAATAAATCAGCCTTGTCACAAAATTATTGTTCTAGTTGTGCTAGCCCCTTTATATCAGACATATATTCACTTCTCACAGTAGTTACCTCCTCTTACTAATTCTTCTCTGGCTTTCATGGCTGTCTTTGATATTGCTACTGCTTTTGCTCCGACACCATATAATCAATAGCTGGATGTACCAAAAATTAAATCGTTTAACAGATTTCTGGTTGAGTTCATTTAGGTCACTAGGTTTCTACTCCTGCTGGCAGCCAGCATAATTTTATATCCCTGTATTGTCATAACAATACACATTTCTACTTGACTGCTGTCCTATGGCATGTCATACCAGGAGGCAGTTTAGCTGTGTTTTCTAAGACTATGCAAAGATGCTTGATATTAGCTATGCTTAAAGACACCTAAAGAAATACTGGTGCAGAACACATTGTTTTCTTCCTCCAGAGAGAGCTATTATAAGAAACCACCCCTAAACTGCAGGCGTATACATTATCTGCTTCAATATAAGCCTTACAGCATGAATGCATGCATAAAGCAGAGGTACTATGAAGACTTACAGCTTCAACCGAATACTGTATAACCCTTAATGTTGTGCAGCAGATGCCTGCTGATATATTGGGTATAAAGGACCAGCCAGACTAGAAATACATCAGTTCATATTACCAGTCACATCCATAAGCAAATTCAAACTGAAGGATCATAACTACTTCTTATTTGGTCATTAAATTTTATCTTTTCAAAGGAAATGTCATGCTCATGAGACGGCAGATTCACTCCCTTGTTTTTCAGACTGTTCTTTGTAAGTAATTTGACCTAAAGAGAAAGGAGTCAATTAAATGGTAACTTTTAACCTCTAGAGTTGATCTCTGGCCTATCTGTAAGATATCTCACAAGGGTTCCACTGTCGTCTTGTGAAAACCTTCTTTCATAAAGCCTAGAAGGCATTAAATAGGCACGCATGTGTGCCCTGGATGAACCCTAGCTGACTAAGAGGCAATCCACAGCCTCAAATCCTGGCTCACGGCTCCTCACTGAATGTGCCCATGAGCACCTGACTTGATCTGCGACCTCTGCCTCTGACCACAGGGTGACCAACAGTGACCTTCTCCCTCTTGCTGTTCAAGTGTTAAGACCCTTCCATCCTCCTGGATATAGTTGGGAAGGACAAAAAGGACTCAGAATAGCCAATATCCGTCAGAAAGGAAATGCTTGTTAATTCAATGTATCAGTGGTTCTCAGCCAGTGGCATTTTGCCCCTACCCTCCTCCGTAAATATCTGGAGACACTTTTGGTTGTCATATTAGGGTAGTGGTACCACTGGCATCTAGTGAGATATTAATGATACTATTAAACATGCAACCATGCACAAGATAGCACAAAACACAGAATTATCCATCCCAAACAGTCAATAGTGTCAAGGTTTAGAAACTGCAATAATGCTTACCCAGTGAATAAAATACTTTGTCCCAGGCACTGTAAGGTTCAGAATTGACCTCATGTAAAACTGTGAGGTAGTCCCATGCTTGTTTTTCAGCAGCTTCGAGATCATTGTGGTAACCTCATCTCACAGATACCCAACAGACTTTGTTCTGAACCTCTTCCTCCACAATAACCCGAAGAACAGCATATTTTATCCTATGGCCCATGTTCTAAGGACTTATTTTCCCAGTTCTGAAATTCTAATCTTGTGAATGCTCCTATATTATTACATTAAATCTTATTTATAAAATCATGAGATTTTGATGGAGAAAAGCTAAAGACAAAGTGGCGTAGCTAATATTCACATGTTTAACACCCAGCTTAATTCTCTCTCTTTCCCCCTCTCTCTCTTACATGCACACACACACAAACACACACATCTTCCTACACAAAAAAAATCCATAATTATCATATGCCCTTGAGAGTACAAAATTCTGGTTTTCAGGTAGGAAGAGGACATTTCTGTTTGATAATGATTTGGATAAAATATGTTTCCAAAGTCGTCATTTCTGAAGTCTACTTAGGCCTCCTAGCCTACTAAACAATCTTGATAAATTATCAGTGACCAAGAGAGTCATTATATATTTGCTCTCAAGCAAAAGTAAATTTAATCAGCTGATTTCAAACAGAGCCAGCTTAGACTAGGAAAAATAAAGATCACTCTTTTAATACATGTCCTGCAGGGCCTGCGTTGGCAATCTCTCCCATACATGGCCTCAAATGCCATCTAAATTTCACTAACTTCCAAATGTATACCTTCTAGCCAGACCATGTCCCTGATCTCTAGAGCAATCTACATATTGTCAACTCAACTTCATCATGTAGATGTTTTAAAACCAGTCCCAACTCAATAAATCCCCAACTATAATAATTCCATGATTTCTGTCTTCACTCTATTTCTGTCCATCCACAAGAAAGAAAAAGATCTTATCCACTTAATTGTGTTACAGCTTTTTTCTATCTCAACAAATTTTATTCATTTATTCAGTTATATAAACTAAAAATTCAGAAATAATTCTTGAGAACTCCCTTCTCTTCTTCCCATATACCAAATCTATTAGCAAATCTTATAAATTTTCTCCTTGTCAATAACCTTCACGTTCTATTTTCTCTCCTGATACCACCAAAGCCATTCACTATCATCTCTTGAAAGTACTGCCTCTCCAGTTCTCTGGCCTCCCAGAGCTCTTAGGAAAAGGCACAGTCCTGCCTTCTCCAGCATTGTCATATGCTATCTATCCTTTGCATTTTATGCTTCACCAGCTCAGGCTAGCTTTTTTCCTCAAACTAACCACGTGCTTGCCTACCTTGTGAAATTGTACTTGATGCTGACTCTACTTGAAATGTTCTCTACCTGTCCCTTTGACTAATAACTCATATTCATGATTCAGACTTCAACTAAACTGTCCTTTCCTTAAGCAAACCTTCTTTGATTCTTGTCCACCATCCATCCTTATATCCACACATTTCTTTAGATTAGTTTATTCATGCATGTCGTTAAAATGACTTCTGTTATTTAGTATAATTTCATTTAAAAAGATAAATTACTGTTTGATTAAAGTGTGATTTCTCTCACTAGACAACAAGCTAAGCATTCTTTCCTGTGTTTTAGTTGCATAGAACACAGTCAATATCTATATGTTAAAAAAGCACATGTAATTCAGATATGACATACTTATACCACAAAGTTAAGTATTTTCTTAACAAATGCAAATTTAAGCTCAAGAAATCATTTATTCCTTCCTTTATTATTCTTTCTGAAAGATGTTATTATAATTTTCACGTTATACAGTAAAATGATATCATTTATTCATAAGCTATTATAACTCAGGGATTCATAAATCAGAATGCACACACTATAAGGTGTTCACAAACAACTTTAAAATTATATTCAAAATTTTTGTGTAATATGCATTTTGCTGTGAGTAGAGTTCAAATCTTTCATCAGATTGTCACTTCGATACTAGAGAGATTTAAAAGTATGCTATCAGTGTTTAACATTTTAACATTTACTGTTAAAATATCACTATTACTGGAACTACTAAATATGGCTGAAAATTCTATGACTGATATTGTCTCTTTAAAATAGCATTATTATTCCTAGCATTATTTGGACTATATAAACACTTCGTTAATGAAAAAGGGACACCACAGATCAGTGGAATAAGAATGTTTTTTTCAGGACATAGGCATAGGCAAGGACTTCATGTCTAAAACACCAAAAGCAATGGCAACAAGACAAAATTGACAAATGGGATCTAATTAAACTAAAGAGCTTCTGCACAGCAAAAGAAACTACCATCAGAGTGAACAGGCAACCTACAAAATGGGAGAAAATTTTTGCAACCTACTCATCTGACAAAGGGCTAATATCCAGAATCTACAATGAACTCAAACAAATTTACAAGAAAAAAACAAACAACCCCATCAAAAAGTGCGCGAAGGACATAAACAGACACTTCTCAAAAGAAGACATTTATGCAGCCAAAAAACACATGAAAAAATGCTCATCATCACTGGCCATCAGAGAAATGCAAATCAAAACCACAATGAGATACCATCTCACACCAGTTAGAATGGCAATCATTAAAAAGTCAGGAAACAACAGGTGCTGGAGAGGATGTGGAGAAATAGGAACACTTTTACACTGTTGGTGGGACTGTAAACTAGTTCAACCATTGTGGAAGTCAGTGTGGCGATTCCTCAGGGATCTAGAACTGGAAATACCATTTGACCCAGCCATCCCATTACTGGGTATATACCCAAAGGACTATAAATCATGCTGCTATAAAGACACATGCACATGTATATTTATTGCGGCATTATTCACAATAGCAAAGACTTGGAACCAACCCGAATGTCCAACAATGATAGACTGGATTAAGAAAATGTGGCACATATACACCATGGAATACTATGCAGCCATAAAAAATGATGAGTTCATGTCCTTTGTAGGGACATGGATGAAATTGGAAACCATCATTCTCAGTAAACTATCGCAAGAACAAAAAACCAAACACCGCATATTCTCACTCATAGGTGGGAATTGAACAATGAGATCACATGGACACGGGAAGGGGAATATCACACTCTGGGGACTGTTGTGGGGTGGGGGGAGGGGGGAGGGATAGCATCGGGAGATATACCTAATGCTAGATGACAAGTTAGTGGGTGCAGCGCACCAGCATGGTACATGTATACATATGTAACTAACCTGCACAATGTGCACATGTACCCTAAAACTTAAAGTATAATAATAAAAAAAGAATGTTTTTTTCAAAAAAAAAATGGTGTCAAATAAACTGGATATAGATAGATACATGATAGAGATTTAAATATAGATATAGATATAATAAGTCATAAAAAGTAAACCTCACACTATATTCAAAAATCAATTCCAGGTGGGTTAAAAATGTAAATCTAGGCCAGGCATGGTGGCTCACGCCTGTAGTCCCAGAACTTTGGGAGGCCAAGGCGGGTCGCTTGAGGTCAGTAGTTCGAGACCAGCCTGGCCAACACAGTGAAACCTTGTCTCTACTAAAAATACAAAAAAAAATTAGCCAGGCATGGTAGCAGGTGCCTGTAATTCCAGCTACTTGGGAGGCTGCAGCAGGAGAGTCTCAGGAACCCAGGAGAAGGAGGTTGCAGTGAGCCGAGATTGTGCCACTGCACTCCAGCCTGGGCAACAGAGGGAGACTCCCTCTCAAAAAAAAAAAAATTGTATATATATACACTTTAAGAAAATTTTAAGTAATAACATAAAAGAATATCTTTATAACTCTGAAGTAGCCAAAATATTTTAAATGGGACATAGAAAGTATTAATTAAAATAGATAGATAAACCAGAATATATTGAAAGTAAGAACTTTTCATCCAAACAAAGCATTAAGAGACAGAAGACAAACTGTAGCATAGGAAATAAGTTTATAATATATTTTGTACCCAAAACATTTGTATACAGCATATATAAAGAACTTCTAAAAAATCAACAAGAAAAAAAGAAAACAGAAATTCCATTTGATAAATGAACAGAAGACTTAAGAAATCACTTTAGAAAAGTGGACATTTAAATGGCCAATGAATATGTGAAAAGACACCCAGCCTCATTAGTTGTCAGATTCCAATCCACTCCCACCTGAATAGGTAAAATTAAAAATGCTGACAATACTGAGTATTGGTGAAGAACTCTCAAACATCAATTTACACTCTAACATTTCTAAGAAAAGTGCAAATTGATATAACAACATTAAAAATCTCTCACTAATGTTTTCTAAGGCTGTATATATAAATATTCTATGACTCGACATTACCATTCCTTGTATATATCCAGAAATAAGTAACTATATTCCTTAAAAGACATGAATGTAGGTATTTGTACAGCATTATTCACAGTGGCCAAAAACTAAAAGAAATATTTCATCAATAGTAAAATAAACACATCATGGTATAGCTATAATATTTCTAAAATAAGCTAAATCTATAAAATATATAAAATGGAAACATATACATAATTTAAAAGGAACAGCTATTGCTAAAAACAATGTAGGTTAATCTCATGAAGAAAATGTTGGGCAAAAGAAACCAGATCCAAAAAGTACATAGTGAATAATTCCATTTATATAAAATTCAAAAGTCTAGAAAATTTGTCTGCAATATGGGAATTCAGCATGATGCTTCTCTGTGGGAAGGAGGAGTAACTGACTTGGAGGTGGGTAAGAGAGGTGAGATCTCAGTGCCTGTGATACTCTACTAATTAATCTGGATGATATTCACGTTGTGAAAATTTACCAAAATGTACATTTAACATTTGTAAACTTTCCTCGATGTATGTTATACTTACATGAATAAATTTATTTTTTTAAATAGAACATATTTAACTCAACTTAAAATGTCTGTATTAATAGAATAAATATATGGCATGGTCTTATATGGAGTTGGCTATCCTTTTTATTTGAGTCATACAAAATGACAGTCAAATTACCAGTCACTACAAAGTGGCTTGAATTAGAAAATCCCTTTTCTTCTCCTAAGGACTTAGATGTAAAACTAGAGTACCTATAGAAAACAAACAAATAAAAAAGAAACAACAACAACAACAAAACAGAAATCTTAAGGAAATGGATTTTCTTCACTTGATTTCTTTCAGTTGTTCCTTGTGTAACTCTCCTCATGGGATACTTGAGGAAGTATTAAAAACATATTGTTTAATTATATTTTTTCAGTTTAAGAGAGAACAATTGTCTCTAGTAGTAGCTGAGAACTAATTATCTAAGGAAAGATGTACTCATATACATGAGAATTATAAAGCTAGATAAAAGTTATATAAGTTTATGTAGAAGTATATAGACAAACTTCCTCTTTCTACTGATACGGGCACTGAGGTGTATCTATTTATTGTAACCAGACAGAAATCAAGAGGGCTTTCAAATCATAGGTTTTCTCAATTTAGGATGCATGAAGAACTTTCCTCTTCTTTCTCATGTCTACTCCAGTGTTGCATTTGTCACCAAGAAAAGATGGCAAATATATATGACTGACTACCAGTATGGCTGGGAAATTGCTGTATATTCTCAGCTGCTAGAATTTCATTTACTGATTTTCTTATAAAATACTTAAGCCCTTACTATGTGTCAGGCACTGAATTACATGCATGATCCTTGCCATCAAGGAGCTTGGATTCTAGCAGCCAAAAGAAAGGAAAACGGAGAAAGAAAACAACCAAGTAAATAAAACAAATACACATTTTGATAAATCCTATAATGTACAGGAGGGGGAAATGAAATACAGAAAATTATAACACAGGCTAGTTTCAGCCAAGGTTCCCATGAAAGGCCTCTTTGAGGCAAGAGATGCTTAAGATGAGATCTGAAGGTTAGGAAGATGTCTATTCAAAGAGAGGATATGAAGGACAGTGAGTGCTAGACAACACTACAGTAACTAACACCAATAGCTAATTCTTGCTGAACACTTAGGATCTGCTGGTCAGTCTTCTAAACATTTTACATTCCATTCTCAGAGCAACGCTGTAATGTTGAAACTTATTTTTCATGTGTATGAGAAAATGAATTTAGGCACAGAGAGCTTAGGTAATTTGCCCAAAGCCTCCCAGCTGGCAAGTGATATGGTCAGAATACAAAGCCTGTCTGCAGAATGCAGGCATTTGAGCACTGCACTATTCTCCTTCTATGGCAAGGAGACCACGATATAGGAAAGAAGTTGGTGTGTTTTCAAAAATTCTGAAGATCTGTATACATGGAACAGCATCAAAACCTTAAATTAGAGAAACAAATTGAAACCAGATTTTGCCTGGCTTTATAGCCTGTGTAACAAGTTTGGACTTTTTATATGTGCATTGCGAAATCATTAAAGGACTTTAAATGATGTGTTAATGTATTATGGTTTGTACTTTATGAATTTCACTCTTCATGCTGCTGTGTGGAGACTGGATTTAAAGGAGAAAAAGAAGGAATGGGGACCTGTCTGGGGCAACTGCCATAGTCCAGAAGATAGAGGAGGGTAGCCCCAACAAGGAGGCAACAGAGGAAAAGTAGAAAGAAGCAGACAATTGCAAGGTATATTTTGAAAGAGAACTAACATTATTTGCTGATGAGTTGAAAGAGTGGGAGGAGGCCGGGCGCGGTGGCTCACGCCTGTAATCCCAGCACTTTGGCAGGCCGCGGCGGGCGGATCACGAGGTCAGGAGATCGAGACCATCTTGGCTAACACGGTGAAACCCCGTCTCTACTAAAAATACAAAAACTTAGCCGGGCGCGGTGTCGGGTGCCTGTAGTCCCAGCTACTCGGGAGGCTGAGGCAGGAGAATGGCGTGAACCTGGGAGGCGGAGCTTGCAGTGAGCCGAGATAGTCCGGCCTGGGCGAAAGAGCGAGACTCCGTCTCAAAAAAAAAAAAAAAAAAAAAAAAAAAAAAAAAAAAAAGAGTGGGAGGAAAGCACAGTCCACAATGACTCCTAAGATTCTGGTTTGAAAAAGCAGGTGGATGGAGTTTCTACTTACTGCATAGACTAGTAAAAGACACATTGGCTGACAAATCAAGACTTCTCTTTTGCAATTCTTGTTTAGTTTGAGATGTCTGTGAGATATCTAAAAAGACATGTCAGGTAGCCAATTGCATAGGCAAGTGCAGAGCTCAGGGGAGAGGTCTGTGCTGGAGACACCACACGAGAAGTGAGTTTATATGAAGAATGGAAACCCATGCAGATCGCCGCAGTCATCTAAGGAAAGAGCAGAGAAAGAGGAAAAGGCCCAGGTGTGTCATAGGAAGATTTTGATGTGCATTGAGTAGGAGGAAGCAAAAAGAAGACCGAGAAATGTACCACAGGTAGGAGGTTAACCAGAAGAGTGCCAGGAAAGAAGCATGTTTAAGGAGGGAGGAAGTGACCAATTGTGTCAACGTTACTAGTTTGAGTAAGATGGAGAGAAATATCTGTTGGATTTGGCAACATTTTGTGGAATTGTTATGGTCCAAAGCAGATTAAAAAGGGTTGGAGAATGAATGAGAGCCAATGAAGTGGAGACAAGAGGTATGGACAACTCTTCCAGATGGAAACCACTGTCGGCATCACTGGTATAGATTGTTCCACAGGCTCTAGGCTCCAGAAATTACTTTTATTAGGGAAAAAAAAAAAAAACAAAAAAAACCAGAAATATGGTTCACACTAGGAAAATGGAAAGCATTAGCCAAATAGTAAATAGCAACAATCTGGCTTTCTAAGTAGTAAGAATTGAAGAAGGAGAATTATATAAAATAAATTATCAAAAATCAAGAAAATATTTGTTGTTCCTTTGATCATTTTGACTGGTATGATATTTGATGCAGTATTAAACGAGACACATATTAATCACTTCTGGTCATGGTATACATACAAAAATCATCCTACCAATGTTTTTTTCCTAAGTTCTGGCATTGGCTGGACGTTGGGGTTCAAAGGCAAAGAAGTGAACAAAATACAAACCCTGTTCACGAGGAGCTAACAGTTCAGAGAGGAAAATAAAAAACATCATCCATTGTGGAAAACTTAATTTCATATCAAAATCATAATGTAAAACCAGATGCAGCAAAATGACAGGCTAAAGAACATGTGAAGGCATGCCTTTAATTTGCTATTTGGGCCCATCCCTTGAGACTCTTAACACTTGTCAATCACCTGAAGTAGGACCATTTCTATGGCTATTTTGAACAATGAGGTAAATTATGCTAACAGTATGCCCACTTTATTCTAAATAATTATAGTCTTTTGGACAGAGGTATTGCTCTATACATAACTATGGCATTTTAGAACATGCATTTTCTTGATAGCTAAAAATATATGCACACAGATCTGTATCTTTGCACACTTTGATTACCTAAACTTCTAAAACAAAGAAAGACTAAAGCACAATACTGGCTAGGAAATTTTTAATTCTTTTAAGTAAAATAAAGACATTTTATTGCATAGAACAAGTATTTTTTAAGTATTATACAAATATCTATCATTTACATAAACTACAACAGCTTATACACTATCTTTATAATTTGTCAAGTACGTTCAACAGGAACCCTAATAAATTACGTTTCTTTTAAGGAAAGTACAACAGTTCTACAGCATTAGCAGCCATAGCTAAATTCTCCATCAATGCCAAAGATGTTTTGTTTCCATGACTCATTTAAAATTACCCAGCCTCTTCAGACGAATCAAGAAACAGCTTTGGCTGCTCATGTGGGAGAGCAGCAGGGTGAAAGGTGGTACATCTCCATGAAGTGAAATTTAACAGCGCAGCTTCTGAACGTGTGAGACAAAAATTGGAAACAATCCAAATGTCTATCAACATGAAAACAGAAAAACAATTTGTGCGAGATCCACACGCTGGAATACTAATCAGCGATAAAAATGAACAAACTACTGATACAGACTCTATTTCTACAGACACACTGGTGAATCTCAAGAACGTGTTTTAAGTACATATTGTACAATCCCATTTGATTGAAATTCTTAATCAGGTAAAACTCATCTTTGGTGGTAGAAATAAGAAAGTAGTTGTACCTACTGGTAGAAAGGGGATTACTTAGGATCCTGAGGAAACTTTCTGGGATAGTGAAGCATCCTCTTTTCTAGAAGTGTACACAACTGTCAAAACCCATCAAACTGGAACGTTTAAGTTCTACACATCCTATGCTATGCAAATGTGTAATTTCTTTTAAATAAAAAGTTACTTTTTTATAAGCGAAGAAAGATGGTTTGGAAACAGATTGATAGAAGGCAAAGTAATCCATACTTTTTTTAAAAAAAAAATCCTCTTTAGGATTTATAAATAATCATACTTTCTAAAATTCTCTTGTTGAATTTATTATTATCCTTTTTTAAAATTAAAAAGAGCAAGAATTACTGAAGATCCTATGAATATCTCATCAAGTTTTAGCCTTTCTATTGATGGAGGTGTTTAATATTCTTTTTCAGAGAGATCAACTGACACTTTGATGTTATTTCAGAGATGCAAAATTCTCCCACATTAAAAAAAAAAATTCCTGCATCAACAATTTTGGAAATAATGAAGAAGCCTGTTTCTCATTTTGACTTATTGTATTCTTTTCATGGAACACTTAACTCAATTAAAGTTGTTGACATGTCACATTCCAATTTTTAATGTCATGATGCAGCAATTGACCTCTTTTACTCCAGGGTATTTTTTTTTTTTATTAATCGTGTTTATATGGCACATGTTGGCTCAAGACTCAGAATGACAGACCCTTCGTGACTGACTTTTAATTAATTGATTTTACCAGAAATATCTTCTCAATACTATAAGACACAGAACATTGAAACACATACTGGGATTTAATGTTTTGAAACTCAGATAAGCTGGGCTCATTAAAAATTAAATAATAGTGGGCAACTCTTATTAAATTACCACCTATTGGATATGGGATTAATAAATGAAAAGGATAAAGGTTACTGGATGCCTGGCTGACAATGGTCTTGTCTGAATTGAGAGTTCCAGGACAATGTCGTTTCCCATGAAAGTGCCTCCCAAATTGGTCATTCAGGTCACTATAGCAGAGACCAAGAGAGGGAGAAGGCCATCAGTAAGTAGTACCATGATAAAATTATCAGCTCAATTTCATTTTAAATATCTTCAAAGAATTTGCACATGCCTTATTTAAAAAAAAGATACAGTGTGGTATATCCAAAAGGGTTATTATAATTTTTTCATCTACAAAGACATTAGCACACCATGAATGCAGATTGACCTTTTGCCCCATACCAATTTGCTCATCTTCTCACCAGGACAGCAAGTCAATTGCACAAGTCCCCTGATGGGAAGAGCAGACTTTAGTGTGTCTGATATATGCTGTTTAAGTTATAGGTTTTAGAGCTGTGAAAAAAGCTGGAAAATAGAATTAGAGCTATAGAAAAGATAAAAAGAAAGATCACTCTCACAGCCCAATTGACTTTGTAAATAATGCTGGGCTCCCCTGGGGGATTTATTGTTATCACCGAATTTACATTTTAAAAATCTCCAAAATTTGCTTCCTTGTGAAGCTTTAACCTGAACCATAAATCCTACCCAATTATAACATGTGAAAAAGTGGTTGTTAGCTAAACAATAGCTCTCATTACACAGAACGTGGTACTTTATCTTTGTATTACTATCATTGTTTTTGCCAACATTATTCACTTAAAAAAATCCTTTACTTTTTTTTTTTAGGCAAAAACCTGGTGTCCATGGTATAGGCATTCATTATTTATACATAATATTGCTAATGCGTGTAAAAAATAAAAAGAAATTCATGGTAGGCAACCAAAGGAAAATAAAATTGTAAACTAACATCCTTTTTTTCCAGATAATGTGTTTCTGTTACCTTACTTCAACTGCATTAAAAAGCAAGAACAACTCAACCTCTCCTTTATTTCAGACATAGTTTAAATAATTGCTGTCATTGATACAATCATATCAGAGAACTTTTTTGTGCATGGAAGAGTAGTCTCACAAACTGTACAGCAAAGCCTCATTTTTTAAAGGATTGCATTAAGATCAATGTCATGACATCAAAAAATAATTTTTCTGAAAATTTGACTCTCCAAAAATATTACAAGAACTAAAAATAAGCTTACAGACGTATCAAACATCTTTCAAGAATGAATTTAAGTGTGACGAGAAAATAAATTTACTTCACAGAAGGGGAAGAAAAATCTTAGTACATGCCACCCACGAGGAGAATCTATTCTATTCCAAACATGATGTATGAAAATACAGAAAGACTTTTTAGCCACTACCTTTGGGAAACTTTGATGCTAGTTGGAAAGATAAAATGTGCAGCTTTGAAAATAAAAATAAAAAGCTTGGAAGGGGGAAGATATCTAGAGTAAGAGAAATAGTATGGTTAAAAAACAAAACATTATCTTTTTATTAGAAACATATAAATTATGGAAAAGACTGCTATGAACTTATTTTCTTGTTGAAGTTTTCACAGAAGTCATCATTATGATTTGGACCTTCAAGAAAATAGAATTTCAATTAGGACACCCAAAAGAAATACTCCCACAGGAAGAAGAGCAAAAATTACTGGAGGAAGGAATGAGCATGGATTGTGAAAGTCCTTTGTAAATCCTAAAAACGTATGTAAAGGTGAAGGTTGATAATTACTGAACTATGCTGGATGGTGACAAAGGAGAAGAACTGAGATGCTGAGAAGAGCATCTGAATTGAACAGCAGCAGATGGATTTGAATAGGTAAGGCAGAACCACTCACGTGAGGAAAGACAGATAAATTCAATCCGAAATCTTCATAAAGCATTGTGAAACTTTTGTAGATTTTTAACTAGGAAGGAAAACCGTAAGAGCAGTGCTTTATTCATCTATCAGCTGTGTGCAAGATGGCTTGCGGCAAGAATGCCTTGGAGACAAGGAAATGAATTATGAAGCTATTGAGGTAATCTTTGAAATCATAAGAATTTGGAATGTTCTAGGTCAGATTAACATTTATTGAGCACCAAGTGTGGTCTAGGCACTGCACGGGGCTTTAGGGGTAGAAGGATGCAAGGACTCTGCTGCTTAGGATCTTGCAGAATGTTGAACCTCATTCTTCTGCAAGCTGGCAGTGACAATGTTGTCTATAAGCAGCTTTGGAGGTAGGAGAAGAGACACTTAGCCAAGCTTAAGTGGGAAAAGGAAGGTCACTTGAGTCAGTTATGCTTTGAACTGAGTCTTGAAGGTTGAGTAAAAATTACTAATGTCAGGAAAGAGGGGTCAATCTGAAGCAGGAGGCCTTTGTGATACAAAACAGAGGACAAGGGCAGTCTCCTGGGTCATAAGACAGGGCTTGATATTGATTTTTCAGAAAAAGAATACCATTCTAATTATAAGAGCAGTATTGTCAGATTTGTGTTTTAGAAGTATCAGTCAGGCATAAATTAGGACAAGATTAAACTGGAAAAAAGGAACCTAGTTAGGATAGTGTTAGAAGAATTCCAATGAGAAAGGAGCATTAGAGCTGTGCAGCAGTGGAAGTGATGGAAAAATAAGAAGAGACTCTAGAAATATTTGAGAGTGAAAATAGAAGAGACTGATTGCGTTGTAGGGCTGATTGGATAGAAAAAGTAAGAAACAAAACATCTCAGATGATTGCTGACATTCTGTCTGTCACCCAGCTCAATGGGTGGTGTGTCAGTAATGGTCATTTGGAATTGGAGAGGATGATTCAAAGGAGGGCAGGACAATGGATTCAGTTATGAACATGGTTAATCTGAGGTGCCTGTGAAAATCAAATGGGTAGGTGGAGCAGATTGCATAAATCCAAACATCCTTGGGGCAGTCCAGGTAAAATGTATACATTTGGCAATCATTAGCATTTAGGTAATTATAAAATGAAGGTAAGATGAGATTTCTAAGGGAAAGAATGTAGCCTGAGGAGGGCAGTGGGCAGAAGGTAAATTTCTGGGAATAACAGCAGCTAAGGGATTAGAGGAAGAAAGGGAGGTGAGGAAGGAGGCTGAGAAAAAACTGGCAAAGTTGTAGGAAGAAAACTGGTAGCAATCGAAAAGATAAAAGCCGAAGAAGTAGGAGACTAGCAAAGAGAAGCCTGTGCTGCACATAATTGACAGAAAACAGAGACTGATGTGATTCAGAGATGGTACTAAAAAATTGAGTTATAATTCCTCACAAGGACTTACTCCAGGGAACTGGGACAAATGTTCTAACACTGACGAAAACACTTGAGGTAGATGAGCCTAAGAGATACCTTATGGATGTGAGATTTTTTTTTGCTTCTCCTCATTTGCTGGCCTGTCAATCGATGTGAGTCTACAAAATACTGAATAGTTTGTGACTCAATCGCATTGAAACTCAACTCCATCCCTGTGTTCAAGGACTATCAGGCTCAATCAAGGAACTCTTAACAGTTGGTAGACTTCACAAATCAGAAGGAACAAGACAATTTCCAGGAAGGACTGTGATTCTTATAGTTGTTTCCTTTCCTCACTTTATAATGGTATCATTAGTTAGACTTCCAGATACTACATAAAGTGAAACCATTCACTCAGGCTGACATTTATACAGGCTAATCAAATGCTTGTGAGGTAGAGCAAATAACTAACCATAGTACCTGAAAGAGGTTGAAAAAAAATCATAAAACACACTCACAGTGTATTCTGAAAAGCTGGCAAGTAAGGTTTCTCTCAGCAAATTTGAGACAAATTTGGAGAAAGGTAATTATGCAGGCAATTCAATACCCACTGAAGTGGGCGTGCTGAAAACCCTCCCCCGCTTCTCCAGCACTGTGTAAGACACCCTAAAGCAAAAGCAAGCTTAAATTGGTGACAGTTTCAACATTGTCTCCTCCTCTTCAGCTGCCATATGAAAGCCACTCAGCCACACTTCTCACAATTTGCAAAATTGTGCAGATGAGGACACCTTTGAAACCGTCATATTGAAGGGAGATTGGGATGCAGGAGCATGCAACACCCTTCCAGGGCTACTGCAGGGCAGCCCCACCTGTCATTTCAGCAGGTTTCCAGTGCAAGAGAAAGACACACTACCTGTGCATGATTGATGTGGGAGCCTCCTGGGTGGCCTTATATGTCTCCAAAGTTACACTGAGGATATTCCTAAGGTATCAACCTTTATTCTTAATTTGCAGCTAGATCTAAAGATCCATAAAACTGTTTAGTTGCACGTACCTGTTTGGATTTGTAGAAAATTAAGAAACACTAACTAGAACAAAAAGAATGCCTTAAATTCAGTGTGCAATTTGCTATGGGGCAGGAAGTCCTTAATACAAAAAAAAATTTTTTTTTCTTTGTATCCTCTGTATTTCCTTTAAGTCTAGCAGTCAGTAAAACCAAATACAAGAAGTGTTAAGTATACTACACAAACAACTTTAGTCTGCAGAGTTCATGGGTACAAGATGTGCAGTCACTTGAAAACAGTACTTTGTTCCTCAATAGCATCTTTAGGTCAAGGGTCTTGGAGTATTTACAAACATGAATTACCCCTAAAACACTCTGTGAATCCACCCACGTTTTGCACTGGCAATCTTCAGAGAGATTTCACAGTAGCAAGTGCCACTGCATTGCAAGTAACTTGGGGAGTCAGAAATAAATCCCAAGACTTTTTGCTGCCTGTACTCTGCTCTAAGCATGATTTGACATTTCTGTCCTTATTTTGAATCACTGGTTCTTCAAATATTAGGAGATGTGGCATCAAAGAAGAAATTTATGAAAGTAAAATGTTGAGTCTGAAGACAAAAAAAAAAATACTACAATGATTTGAAGGTACCCAAATTCTTGCCGTTCAACATACTACTTTCAGGGTTAATGTTTTAAAATCCAAAATTGCACACTATTTCCTCATTTATGCAGAAAACCTACTTTTTCTTTCTCTTTCTTGGTCTCTCTCTCTCTTTCTCTGTTTCTCTCTCTAGCACTCTTGTTCTCTTTTTCTCACTCTTGCTTCCACTTCAAATTTTAAAAAAACCTCACATATTAATGACTTCCTTGGATATTTCTTTTCTAGAAAAATGTACAGAAAACTCTAGAAAGTAAAATGACACCTAGGTGCTCAAATAAATGTCAGGAGGCCCATGTACCAAATCATGTCTCCTCTCTCTCCCAGAGAGTTCTTTAGTTTTTACCTTTCCTGTGGGTGGAAAGTCTAGGCACAGCTTATTTTGCCCTCTCTTCAAAGGTGTCTCACAAGTTTCCAATCAACATTCTAACAATTCTTGGACCAGAAGCTTTTCTCAAAGCATGAGAGATGCTTAAAGTGTGAAATAATTTATTCCCTTACTTTTTCTGAAGCTGTATTGTCTTCCCAGTTCAAATGACACGATTGTGATTGGAATGTTCCTCAGCTCCTTACGTTTTGGTTGTTAAATGTTTTCTTCTTAAGTCATAAATAACAAAGTGTTAATAACTGTGAAAATATAGTTAAAATCTGAAAGTTGCCCACTCCCAGCTACCCCTTACAATCATTTAATTTAGAAGACTTTCAAATTAAGTGCTCCAGAAATACTAACCCTCTTGAGTAAGAATCTCTGAGAGAGTGGCCAGAGAACTTGAATATAATTGTTTTAAATCACCAAGGGATTCTGATGTACAAGAAAACCTGAGACCAATAGTTTAACAACAGTGATCCAAAAAAGGAAAATACAAAAATCTGAATAAGATGACAGATGCAATTTTTTATTAAATAGCTTCTCTTGGTTGGAAATAAAATAAAATATCCTCCTGCAATTCTTAGTGTGCACATAAGTGGATTAAATTGGTTAATGAATTTATCTGATATGCCACCTTTGCACAGTTTCCCATTGAGTGATTGATGGTTGAGCAGAACAGAAATCCTGAGGGGAAAATAGCGACTTACATAGGCTTCAGAACATGAGACCTTTGATTAACTGTTTAAAGTCATTTGTAAAAAACTTGTATACCATGCAGGGGCACTTTGCTTGAATATAGATATAGATACAGATATATCTATAGATAGATAGAATATATCTATATCTATATTCAGGCAAAGTGTACCCGCATGCTATACAAGATAGATATAGATATATCTGTATCTATAGATAGATAGATAGATAGATAGATAGATAGATAGATACATAGATACATACATACATACATACATACATACATACATACATAGAGATATATTCTACCTACTTATCTATCTATAAGCACAACCAGTGGAGAGGTGATACTCCCAAGAAAGGGTAAAATATTGGCAACTGAGGGTATTGAAGAACCAGTGCAATGCCTCATGACTTTTGGGTGACAATTCTCCATGGGTCTTTCACATTTCTATACGTACATCCTCTGAGCAGAGGCATTGTTAGCTTTTGTTCTAGACTATCCTTTCAAGAATATTTGGATAGCAAACAACTTTGAAAGATAGAGAGAAGGCCTCCATTGGGACAGAGGGCAATTTGTCTCCTGATCAAAATAATAAAGATAGTATCTTTCCCTAGGGAAAGGGGTAGCTTTGTTTGCCTCCCTTCACAAGATTGGGGTTTCCCTAAGCTCAGGAAGCCTCAGCCGTGACACATCACCCACTGCATTCAGAGAATCCACCTGGATCCCTATGGGATTGCTGGACGAGAGGAACTGACGCAAACATGAAGCTCCCTCTCCCTGGTGTGCTGGGCTGTGAGTGGCAAAGTCCTTTGTCTCCAACCCAGGACTCTGTGTCTTCTGACTGCACCCATGAAACTGCGGCAGGCTCGATTTGTGTAAGATCTCCAACCCTTCACAGTTCTAGACAGATTGTTGCATGTCTAAGTTCTGCTTTGTAACTAAGATCAGATCTCTAGGCCCCTCATGCCATTTCCGGTTTCTGCTGTTGGCTTCCAATCAAGAATTCTCACTCTGCCTCCACTTCAGCAGCACGTTTCTGTATAATGTGGGAGCAGAATCTTCAAATGAAATGACTCTACCAGCGAACTAGCTTTTGACTGAACACAGGTATGTCCTGTGGCAGTAACTCTGCATCAGAAACTGTAAGAAAAACCCTAGCACTGTCCTTTACTGCATAAAAGTGAAATGGCTGGTAATTCTGGCCCTGTGGATGACATTTATGGTCCTCCGCTGAAGGCAGAGAGCCAAAGGTGCTTCATATAAGGATATAGAAATTCCCTGTCCCTGGATAGTGGCCATTTAAATGTAAGAGCTTTGACCAGCTCTTTATACTGGCAGCAAAAGCCGGTGGCTTTTTAAAGTGTAAAGGGCATTAGATAGCTAAGGACTGGGCTGAAGTATTTCAAGCTTAAAATAGTTCCACGTGGGAGCTACACTGTCATGGCAGCTTTGATTCACAGAGATCAAATCCACCAACGATGCTTCCCCTTTAATCTCTACATCATCACTATGAAAAGCAAAAGAGCAAGTATCGTTTTTCCCATGCTATAGAAACTGATTGGCAAAGTACTAAAGTAATATACCTGCTGTTATATTAATCATTGGCTAAGCTGAAATTTCCTCCCATTGACTTCCCTTGCCAATAGTTTGAAAGCCGCTAATTTTAAAGCTGAAGTAAAGAAAAAAAGAATATACTTACTGTATAGATTCCAAATCTTTAGCCTAGAGATCAGACTTGACAGGTGGGAGTTCTACTTGCCAAGGAAAAATAAAGATTGTTTTCTCTTCAGAAATTCCATAGGGCAATTTTTTTCTGAGCTAGAAGTGGAAAATCCATAAAGAATAGATTGGTCAAAAGTTAATTTTGATCTCTGGGGGAATTATTTAATTAAAAGAACAATTCCCCACTCAACCAACAAGTATTTGCAAAATGTCTGCAATGAACCTAGCACTGTTAGATGCTAGGGATTCACTGCTAAATTAGGCACCCAGTCATAGCAATGTGAGGCACCTGATGGAGAGGTGGTGAAGGTTTACTACAGAAGAAGTCGGCCAGATACATGACAGATGTACAGAGCATCCTCCAGTGGGAGGGAATAGTGGTGTTTGTTTTGTTTTGTTTTGTTTTGAGATGGAGTCTCACTCTGTCACCCAGACTGGAGTGCAGTGGCACGATCTCTGCAACCTCCGCCTCCTAAGTTCAAGCAATTTTCCTGCCTCAGCCTCCTGAGTAGCTGGGACTACAGATGCCTGCCACCACACCCAGTTAATTTTTGTATTTTTAGGAGAGGCGGGTTTTCACCACGTTGGCCAGGCTGGTCTCAAACTCCTGACCTCAAGTGATCCATCCACCTCAGCTTCCCAAAGTGCTGGGATTACAATCGTGAGCCACCACGCCCAGCCAAAATAGCAGTTCTTAAAAGTTATAAGCCTGAGCATGTGTATACCTATGTAACAAACCTGCACATGTGCACATGTATCCCAGAACTTAAATTTTAAAAGAAAAAAAGAATACGAAGTGGGTGATGCATTTATCTCACTGGTCCCCAGATGACTCTACTCTAGCAGCCCCGGAAAAGAATCTGCAGGCTCATCTATACCTGTGGGTTGATATGCCTCCCAAAAACTGTCTCACTCAATTGTGAAGCTGAAATAAATCATGTGTTCACCTCAAAAAAAAAAAAAAAAGTTATAAGCCTGAGAATCCAGAGGTGATGGTGGATAGTGGTCTAAGTGGACTAAGACCATGTGTCTTAGTCCATTTGCAATGCTGTAACGAAATACCTGAGACTCGGTAATTGATCAGTAATAGAAACTTATTTCTCATGGTTCTGGAGGCTAGGATGTCTAAGATGAAGGTGCCAGTAGGTTTGGTATCTGGTGAGCACCCTCTTATTGCATCCTCACATGGCAGAAGGCAGAAAAGCAAAAAAAAAAAAAAAAAAAAAAAAAAAATGCCTAAGCTAATTATGCAGCCCTTTTTATAGACTTAATTAGTTCCCAACAGGTCCCACCTATTAACTAGTACAGTAATTTCCCCTTATCGGTCAGTGTCTTTGCTTTGCACAGTTTCAGTTACCTGCAGTCAACCATAGTCCAAAAATATGTATGGTATAGTAAGACATTTTGAGAGAGAGAGATTACATTCACATAACTTTTATTCTTTTATTACAATATATTGTTACACTTATTCTATTTTAGTATTAATAACTACTGTTAATGGCTTATTCTGCATAATTTATGATTTATAAAATTTAATTTATAAATAAAAACTTTATTATAGGTATGCATATTTAGGGTTCGGTACTATCCACAATTTCAGCATCCACTGGGGGTCTTGGAACACATCCTCTGTGGATAAAGGGGGACTACTGTACTATCAAAATAGAAATTAAGTTTCAACATAAATCTTGGAGGGAACACATTCAAACAACAGCACCATGGTCTGTCCAAGATTTATTTAATAATCATTATTAGAAGATATATAAACCTTGGTCTGTCTCAGAAAGAATCTTTATCTATATCCCATCTATAGGAATTATTGTGAGGAAGGTGAGATTTGAAGGCTGACTTCTTCCTTCCTTTTGTTTTTACCCATCTCCTTCATCATGCCCTTGCCACCCCAGTAACCAATATTCACAGACAGGTCCTTCCCACCCCACCATCACACACTGCATCAAGACACCTAGGCATGCCATCCTGTCGGTATCCTCTATTCTAAACATACCTATCCTCAGCCTCATTCACATAACGCCTGTTATTCCTAGGAAGCGTAAATCATGCCTCATTTTTCCCTCCTGACCTGGGCAAGGGAGTTAAGACTTGGAATTCTGACAGAATTCAGTCATGGGCTAAAGGCTTCCCCAGGGAGATATGAACTCCCAGGTGCTTCTACCTCAGGGCTTGCTATGGATTGAATTGTGTCCTCCCAGAATTCACATATTGCAGCCCTAACCCCTAATGTGATGATACTTGGATTGGGGCATTTAGGAGGTAATTAGGGTGAAATGAGTTCCTGAAAGTAGAGCCCTGATGAGAGGATTAGTGGCCTTATAAGGAGAGATGGAAGACAGTGTTTCTTTCTCTCTCTCTCTCTGTCTCTCTCTGTCTGTTTTCTTCTCTCTCTCCCCTCTCTCCCCCAACCCATGTCAGGACAGAGAGAAGGTGGCCATCTACAAGCCAGGAAGGGTTCTTCCTCGGAAACTAATCATGCTAGCACCTTGAGCTGGGACTTTCAGCCTCCAAAACTGTGAAAAATTTAATTTCTGTTGTTTAAGCCACCCAGCCTATGGTGTTTTGTTATGGCAGTCCAAGCTGACTAAGTCAGTGTTTCACATGGCACAGTGGTTCCAGTACCCAAGGCATCATCCAAATGGAGTTGCAGCTGTGAGCCATGAGAAAAAAGGACACAGAAGCCAACGGATGCCCAGAAGGAAATGCTAACAAGGGGTCCCAAAGAATCTGGACAGAACACTGACGAAGTTTTCCATAAGAGTTAAAGAGTAAAAGCAAGACAAATTGAGTAGGGAGCGAATGATTCTGACTATCCAGAACACAGTTTGCTCTTCAATGCAGGATGGAGGAGGTAGAGTAAGCTACTATCTGTAGTTTAAAGAAACCCAGCGGGGTGTGAGCCCCACTGCTACTGTGGTAATGGATGTCTAAAATGTAATCCTGTGGGTTTTGTAGTTAACATGCAATAGTACTAGACTTTTTTTTTTTTTTTTTTTTTTTTTTTTTGGAGACAGAGTTTCGCTCTTGTTGCCCAGGCTGGACTGCAATGGTGCAATCTCGGCCCACTGCAACCTCTGTCTCCTGGGTTCCAGTGATTTTCCTGCCTCAGCCTCTCCCATAGCTGGGATTACAGGCGGCTGCCACCACACCCAGCTAATTTTTGTATTTTTAGTAGAGACGAAGTTTCACCACGTTGGCTAGGCTGGTCTCAAACTCCTGACCTCGGGTGACCCACCCACCGTGGCCTCCCAAAGTGTTGAATTACAGGCGTGAGTCACTGCGCTCGGCCAGTACCAGACTCTTTATGGCATGGGCATTCACATATATATCAAGAGTTTCAAAGCTCAGTCATGTCAATTCTTATTGCAGTGCGGCTGTTTCATCAGAGGCTGAGGACACTCTTTATGTTAAGTAAGGGATGGAAACAGATGGAATGAGTTTCATCTGGAGTTCTAGTTCTATCACGGAGAACATAAAATGGCCCTGTGCTGAATATAGTTTATTTTCCCCTCCAAAGTCAATTCATCACCTTCTGCATCCTATTCTGGCCTCAAAAGCTGGCCTATATGAAATTCATCAGCAGGCCCCTCTGCCCTTTTGCTTATAGCTGATTTTAGCCATTTGGAGGTACAGATAGGCAATGTGAGAGCAAAAGGAGTGCAAGTTGGCATTTATCTCTCCAGTTCTCTGTCTGCCAGGTGTCTATGAGTCATGGGGCTTCCCTAAGGGGAAGGGCACCATTTATCTAAGGCAGATCACCCCATATAGTCACCCCTTTGAGAGTGGCACTAGGCATGGTGAGAACTCTTCTTACTCTACTCAGGGTATTTCAATATTTCCTTAAACTCTGCTGACACCTTTATAAATTATCTAAAAATACCTAGTGTGTATGCGTGCACCAACTGACTAATGCCAAGAATAAAAAAAAAAGAGTTTCATAGAGTGAACTTATTTGTAACCTTTCACTAACATACATCACCCTTATAATCCTAGAGCAACCAAAGCAGGAATGAGACCATTGTTTCCATTTTTAACATTAGCATTATACATGTTACTATCTCCAATAACCAAAATCACACACTATTCCAAAACAGATTTCCACTAAGAAGACATTTCTGGAAATCACTGAACAATGACAGCCATTACCAAAACATAATTATTTCTAAATTTTCCATAGCTATTTTTTTTCATTCACAAAATAGACTGGTTCATTTATGCTGCCGAATCTTATGATACTTGTGCACCTTTATCTCTTTGATATCATTCAAATTCATTGGATGGTAAAGCACTTACTGAACTGAAATCAGGATCCAAGGTCAAAAATATTTTTGAAATACAGGAAGAACATTTATATATTTTTTTTATTATTGGGCTTCCCAGAGCCAACAGCGCATTGTACTACTTTCTGTGCGTTGTTAATTTCCAAGAGGAGCTACACTGCTATGAAGTGCCTTCCGAATATATTTGACCAAAGAACTTTTATTGTTTTTATAAAATATGTATTAACATCTCTTGCAAAATGAGGATTTGGCAGAACTCTGTTAAAGAAATAACACACAAGAGAGTAATGGTTCTCAGTGCTCCACATCTCAGCCACCCCCTGGGCTATCAGCAAATTGGTGCCAGAGACTGCATCTTTGCTGTCACTTTACACCTTGCAGTTCCTTCTATATAAAGAAAATTCCCTTGTGACTCTCTATCACAGCCTCCACTCATTCAATCTTAGCACTTCACTCTCTACAATATTATTTGTGTGCACTAATTTATCATATTCCATGTCCCCCTGCTAGGCATGTGTAAGCACCATGCAGGTAGAGATGTCTATTTTGCACACTGCTGTCTACCCAGCACTAGAGGAGGGCCTGGCATTCAGTAAATATTTGAAATAATGAAGGACTCCTGCAGAAGATGTGGTTAATATTTTGTCAGTTCAGTATAATTCAATATGTGTGTGTGTGTAGACTGACTCAATCAAACCACCAGACAGTCTATCAGTCCCAGAATGGAAATGCTCTGTTTGTGTGAAAATATGCAGGTTGCGCTATCATATTAACGAAGCTTTGTTTTTTGGCTTTGACTATACTTACAAACATAAATATTTTAATTATGTATTACATTCATTATACCACATATAATCTTTTTAGAGAAAGCAGAGTAGAGAAAAAAATATCAATAAACTGAATGCATCATTGCTACTATTTCCTCTGCAACCTGGGTCATTATATATTGTTCATGCCTGCCTCACATATATTGGTGACAAGGTTGATTAAAAGATGCTATATCAAAGGATATGAGGCTTAGAAGCAAAGAAGAAGTGTGTATTAATATTAGTTTTTCTTTTTAATAGGTCTCTATTGGGTAATTCTTTGTGAAGATATGCATGGTAACAATTGGTTAGGTTGGATTATGTAGCAGAAATGAGGGATGTTAGGTATGTTATATAGCATGCACATTGCAGTATTTCACAGCAAACAGCAGTCCTGGAGGCCAGTAGCTACTGATTCAACTGAGCAATAAAGCAAATCTCATATGTTAACCACCAACCCTCTGACAAGCCATGCCTGCCATGAACCGTGGGTGAGAAATGTGGTCATGCTTCTAAACCAATTATTCTAATCAAGGCTTTGATTCAGCGTGCTCAAAACGGAGAAGATTGGCCAGGGAATTTCCCATTTAAGAAAGAATGTTGATCAGTATGAATCTGATGCTTATCTTTAAGGATAAGATATCACACATAATGACACAATAAAATATATTCTACTCTAAGAAACTTAAATATATGAATGAAGTTTCTGAAAGAGATTTTTTTTATTCCGTTCAGCCATCTTGTATCTTTCCTCTTTTCCCTCTGTTTATCAACCCTTGAAAATGGGAATGCTATGATATTTAATGTTTACTTCTATGAAAATAATATTAGTCAGTGTTTTCCAGGGAAACAGAATCAATTTATTATGACACTTGGCCTATCCAATGACAGAGGCTGAGAATTTCCAACAGCTGCTGTCTACACACTGAAGAACCAGGAAAGCTCGTGGTGTAAATCAGTTCGTGTCCAAAGGCTGGAGAACCGGGGGAGCCAGTGGTCTAAGCCCTAAAGTGCAAAGACCCAAGAACCAGGAGCTGCAATGCCTGAGGATAGGAACAGATGGATGTCCCAGCACAGAAAGAGAGAATTCAGTCTTCCTCCATCTTTGTGTTCACTTTGGGCCCACAACAAATTAAATGGTGCCTTCCTACACTGGTGAGGATGAATCTTCTTTTCTTAGTCCACTGATTCAAATCCTAATCTCGTTCATAAACACCCTCCCAGACTCACCCAGAAATAATGTTTTCCAGCTATTTCGGCATCCCTTACCCCAGTTAGGGTGACACCTAACATTACCATCACACTTGTAAATCCTATAACATTGCTTCTATACAAGCACTTCAGTGAAAATTATCAATGTTGCTATGTCAAGCATTTCACATAGGTAATGATACCCTAAGAGGCCAAATTTTCCCATTCACCATATTAGTATTTTTAAATGATTTTAGTGATTGGATGATAAAGATAAGAACTTCTCAATAATGCAGACAGACTCTGAGGAGTGATGAGTCATTATAGGACCACTATAACCCAATCAAGAGGGCAATCTAGTGACTTACAGCATCATTTGCCCCTTGAAGGCACGGCTGCTTGGAAGTTTGGGCTTGGCTTTCTTTTTTGGTCTTATCAAGCTGACCAGGCACAGTCCTTGAGTGCCTTTATGGTGTGTATCCATTTAAAACTGAGCAATACCACTACTGGCCAGAATTTTTGGTAGATCTCTGCTGTAATCAATGCTACTACAGAAGGCTAAGACCAGGAAAGTGGTACTGAGAAAGGGAACATCTCATTCAGCTGGACACAAAATGAATCGATCAGTAGAGGAGAAAGGGAATGCACAGAAGATAAATGCAATAGTTTTTTCAACTTCTTTGCCTTCTGTCACGTTGAAGAAACAAGGCAGACTTAATGTAATTCCTCTGCCTGGATGAACCTGTTCATGGTTTAGACTCTCTGCACTTTTTTCTCTTTAACTTAGCTGATCAGAGATATGTCCACTCAGTGCTATAGCTATGCCTCAAATGTTATGTCTCTCCCACACCAGTGAAGTAGACCTCCAACATAATTATACATTTCTTACACTTAAAAATCAAGATCATCAATAAATTTGCAGTTAAAAAATTAGAACTTATTAAAATAAGTTACCATAATTCACTTTCAAAAACAATGTCACTGAATTATAAATGAACACATTATAAAGTATGTTATAGATAAGTAAACCCTTGAGAAAATGTTTGTGTTATAAAGATAATATTTTCATATCCTAATGTCTCCATTGACAGTATGTGTATTTTTAAAAATAATTTTACTGGTGGGATGGCAAATTTACCAGTTGGATAGGCTCAATAGCCCATTTGAGTTTTACATAGGCTGACATAGACTTTATGAATTCTGTTTGAGAAATTTGGTTTGTCAAATCGTAGCATGTGTCCTCATCCATTTAAATGCCAATTGAATAATGCCATCATCCACATGTATAGTTACCATTAAATTATCTGCACAAGATTGCATACTCTTAATAAACATTGACATTTAAAAATGAATGTCTTGATGTTTTTAAGACATTCAAAAATAATTAAAAGTTTTGTAGCCTCCTTCCTTTTCATATCACTGAAACAAATGTGAATTATTTTACAAGGAGAGAAAAAACAGTGGGTCAAGTAGCAACAGGTATTCTGGTACTTAGATAAGGATTCCAGATGCCCTGGTTCTTGACAAACTGTTTTTGTTTTGTTTTGTTTTGTTATGTTGTGTTGTGTTGTGTTTGTCTAAGATTTGGTTTTTCTTGACCTCAAATATTTTCTCTACAGACACTTATGGGCAATGGATTTGAAAGAAAGTGCATTGTCCCAAGAGGAAGTTCTCTTCCAAGAGCAATATTTCAAAGATATGTGTACAGCTTTGTAAATGTCCATATTAGCATTTTAGCTTAAAAGGAATACAACGTTTCACAAACCACTGACATAATCTCAGCATTTTTGTAAAATTACATATGACCTATACCTTCATAAAAGCCAATAAAAATTTGTTCAATTACTACCCCCAAAAAAAGTTGTGTGCTGCTGGAATCAACAAGGTTTGGGAAATTATGACTAATTTGTTAAGAATCAATTCAAACATATTTTAGCCCTCTGTTAATATAAATACCAAATACAGACATAATATTAATAATTTATGCCTACAGTTTCACAACCCTTATACCAGGCTACTATTATTTGTTAAATATATATATATATATAACATATATATATATAAAAAAGTGTGTATATATATAACATATGTGTATAAATATAACTTATGTGTATATATACACATATTCCTTGAAAAATTATAGAAACTAAGAGACATAAATATGTACATATCCTTTCACTTCATGTGTGAACCCACGTTTACAGAGCATTTTGGCATTAATGGCATAGATTTCACTTTCTTCCAAGCCAAGGGGGTTCAAATTCTTCTTCCAAGTAAAGGAGCCTTCTGATTTCAGTTAAGGTTTGTGATTGCCCTTGGAAACGTCCAATGGGCTGCAGGAAACCAAGTGGTATTGTCACGATGGTTGGTCCTGCTCAGCATGAAGTGAAGAAAGAGGGATGGAGAAGGCATGGCCAACACAGTGCTCCATAACATTCAAAAATGTATTGTTGATCTTTTCTCCATCGTTATCCAATCTACAGATCCTTATTCTCACCACTCTTTGTATTGCTCTTACACTTTCATGCTACAGCAAATGCATATTCTACTCTTTTGTCCTTCTTTCCTGCCAACTGTTTCTAAGGACTTGTTGGACACTCCTTGGCTCTTAGGATAACCTTGAAGATGGGAGAACTTATTGAACATGATTAGAAGGATCCTTGATACTCAAGAATGTTGGCTGTAACATAAGAGGACATTCAGCCTTCTCAAGTAACAATAACAACTAATATTCTCTTAGAATTTCTTATGGGCCTGGTGAGCTAAGGTTCTCTTTGAAACCTCAAAACAATTTAAGAGATAAAAACTATTCATGCATCCCTTTATTCATTCAAAGGAATGAAGGCAAGTACTCCTGACTTACCAGTATCATGCTACCTGCAAGGTATGCTATGATAAACAAAAGATCCATTACAGTGCCTTTACAGAACTCACAGAAAAACAGTTCCACATATAAAGCAACAGAATTGTGATTTTAAACTTATGATATGGTTTGGATGTGTCCCCACCCAAATCTCATCTTGAATTATAGCTCCCATGATTCCTACATGTCATGGGAGGGACCCAGTGGGAGGTAATTGAATCATGGAGGCGGGTCTTTCCCATACTCTTCTCGTGAAAGTGAGTAAGTTTTATGAGATCTGATGGTTTTATAAATGGGAGTTTCCCTGCACATGCCCTTTTGCCTGCCACCATGTAAGACATGACTTTGGTCCTCATTGGCCTTCTGCCATTATTGTGAGACCTCCCTAGCCTTCTGGAACTGTGAGTCAATTAAACCTCTTCCCTTTATAAATTTCCCAGTCTCGAGTATGTCTTTATTAGCAGCCTGAGAACAAACTAATACACTTTACATCCTCTCAACTACTAAGATGCATGGCCTTAACCACATATCCCACTAAGGGACATACAAAGCTGTCCATGTCCTTTTCTAGCTAAATAATTGATCAGATGTTGAACCTTTAAGCCAAAGATCCTCATTCAAAGCCCTCCATTGGGTAGTTATAAATTTTGTTCGTCACTGTAACCTTGGGGAAAGCACTTGTTCTCTCAGAGACCCAATTTCCCAATTCAAAAATGACCTTGCATGATTAGGTGATCTTTGAGTCCCTTCCAGCTGTGGAATTTTAAATTTCTTGATGGAAATTGGTTCTACATAACAGATGGGCCCAGCAAGATTTTTAGGTTAAGCAACCTATGAAATATGGCCTGTCCATTCACAGCTAAGGACATGGGCAAAGTAGGGTAGTTTAGCAGGATAATGGGGTCAGTGAAAAAAGGAGCTCATTCTATGACACAATTTTCTTTTATAATACAATTCTGTCCTTGATACTGGGCATGCATTTTGATGACCATTGCCCACTACAGCACTATATTCTCAAATGGTTAGAATCCTCTGCTATTTTTAAGGTAGGGAAAGAGAGAGAGAGAATTAGGAGAGAGTAGCAGAGATGTGATGAGAACAGAGATAGGCCAAGGAGCCCACCTAGTGAATTACATAAACACAGAAATGCAAGAGTACAGAGAATGGGTAGAGAGTTAGAAACCAAAGGAAGTGTCAATAACATTAAAAGATTCCTCTTTAATCGTTTTTGTGGATGTAGGATTTCCGAGCTGAAGAGTATTTGGAAGATTCATATGTTATGGAAAATGCATAGACTGAATTAAGATAGACCTAGGTTTGGGGCAAAGCTATATGACCTTAAAATTCTGTTTTAATTTAACTTAGCCTCCATTTTAATATCTAGAAAATGGGAATAATAATACCCATTTGAAATTTAAATAGACATTGTATATAAAAAAATGACATTCAGAGGCATTCACAGATGAGGTTCCCACCTGCCTTTTGCTTAGAAAACTGCAAATCAAAGAGATTAAGTCATTTTCCCAAGATTCCACAGCTAGTGTTAGAGTCAACTTACTAGAAAAAAAAAGAAAGAATGTTTTTCTACCTTCCTACTAGTCTGCTTTTTCCTTTCTTTTCCTTCTCAAATTAAGATCCTTTCCTCATTGTAGAAAGCCAAGAGTGTTAAAGGTACTAATCTAAACCTTGTACTAAATAATAAGTTTATTCAAAACTTTATCCACTACTATTCCTACCTCACATACTTGCATTTATGTTCCTTGCATCTGTTTGGTGTTCTTCATGAAGTTTGAAACAAAGGCATATAGGACCAAATAACGAATTAACCAACTCAGTATCCATTGGCACTATCATTTCTTTAAAATTTTTTACAAATGCTTAATGACATTACTAAGGGTCAAATGTTTTAACCTAACCCCTTTATGAACTTGTCCACATTCATGACTTATACTATAATTTCTATTATTCAAAGGGCATATTTCTATAATACATTTCCGAGAAACCTTAACCAAGCATACTATCTTTGCATAGAGCCAAACGCTCTATATGTGGGATACAGTAAACTTAAGAGATGTTTTACAAGGCTAACCCTTATGAAAAGAGATTTTTTTATGGATTTGGATTTATTACTGGAGATTCCCTGTACCAAAACTCTGTCCTATTCCACAAATAAACACAGAAGCCACTAAAAATGAATGTCACTAACTCACAACTCCCAAACCGACAAACATTCTTAAACCCACTTTTCCTTCTTACCATGAAATCAATATTGTATCCTGATATAACATGAATCCTGCCACCCATGATTTCCATGTCTTCACCTTTGTTCACTTAGGTCCCTGGCTTGGTCATTTATAGCTTCTCTCTTTAGTATAATCAATGTGTTTCTCTTTACTGTCTCCTTTCTGTTCGCCTCTAGACACACAGATGTCTCCCATCTTAGAAAACCTTTCCCTGTTCCCCTATCCAGCTACTGTCTTATCTCCACCCTCTCCTTCAGAGCCAACTACCTTGAAATATCTTTTTATATTTTCTGTTTTATTTTATCCACTTCATATGTACTCTTCAATTCACATCACTCTTACTTCTCCCCCTACCACTTTCTAAAGCATTTGCCTGTGTCCACTTTCGATAAATCTATTAGAGGCTTTTACTCTTTATGTGACCTCACAGCAGGATTTTTTCACTAATGGCTACTTCTACTGTTTTTGAAATATTCTCTTTTCTATCACTTTTAGGTCATCATAACCTATGATTGTTGCTGCTGTCATTTCTAATAGTATTAGTAGTAATAGCAATAGCATATGATGACTTCTGAACCCCCCTTTCTAACCCAAATCTTTCCAATGAACCTGAGTGTGGAACTTACTTTTCACATCCACCCTAAACTAATCCAGTTCAGAACTTACCTCCTCTCCTTCAACACTTCCTCAGAATGTTCTCCTCCTCTTACACTCCTTGGCTCAGTGAACAGTGTCACAGTCCACTTCTTAGCACAAAGCATAAACTCAATGTCACTCTTTACCATTTTTCTTCACTTTCTACGTCCAACTAATCAAATTCTGTTGATTATATTTCTGTCATGAATTTTTAATTCACTTATTAATCTCTATCCCCACTAACATTCTTCTAGCTCAGTGCACTACCATCTATTGCCTTGACATACTCACCAGTCTCTTAACTGAAATTCGACGTTAGTCTCATTCCTTCTAAAACATAAATCCAACTATATTGCTCCCCTAGTTAAAATCAGCAATGCTCATAGGCTCAAGTCCATCTCTCCATCCCTTCTCAGCCTATCTCATTTTCATTCTTTGGATTTTAGTTTAGATGTCACTAAGGTCTGGATCAGGTTCTTTCTCATATGCACCCACAGCATCCTAGCTTCTACATTTTTTCTGTGACATAGCAATGACACTTGTAATTGTCAGTTTGCCTGCTTATAATCCTAAGAAACCAAGATTCAGAAGGATGGAGCTGGTCTATCTTGCTTTTGCCATATTTTCAGCATTCATCTCAGAAGCGAGCACAGAAGTTCTCTCCACCAAAATGTCTGCTATATTGCACCTCCTCCCAAGGAATCAACTTTTCCTTTGTTGAAACTGCCCAAGCTTTTCACTTTAACCACACTTTCCCCTGACACACTGCTTGCCTTGCCAACACTGTACTACCTTCTCCACGTCTGGGGCCCCTTGCTAATCTAAACTCATTTGATTTTTTTCTTTTTTTCTTTTTTTCTTTTCGAGATGGGACTTGTTCTCCAACCCAGGCTGGAGTTCAGTGGCACAATTATAACTCTCTGTAGCCTTAAAGTCCTGGGCTCAAGCTATCCTCCCACCTCAGACTTCATAGTACCTGGGACTACAGGCACATGTCACTAGGTTCTAATAATTTGTGAGTTGTTGTTGTTGTTTTTAAATAGAGATGGGGTCTCACCATGTTGTTCAGGCTGGTCTTGTGCTCCTGGTCTCAAGTGATTCTCCCACCTCTGCTTCCCAAGTAGTTGGGATTACAGGCATGAGCCACCACACCCAGCTTGAACTCATGGTTTTGGACACAAATATTGAGACACAATATATAGAACTGAGGTGTGAGAGAAGCATACAGGTACTCACTTTCCCCTACAAGTTCTTTTCTTTTGATAATTACCAATTATTTTCTTTCTATCTCTAGTTTAGGTGTTTTACTTCAGTCCTTAGGCTGAATTAAAATATTTCACCACCCCAAATAAATAAATTTAATACCCTCCAAAAAAAAAAAAAAGAAAAGAAAAGTCCTCCTATTTTGTCCACATGTACTTAACAATAGATTTTTCTCAAGACTTCAATTACCACATCTTCATGAAAGATCCCAACACTAAACTTTTATCTGGGTTCTGTATCTCAACTCTGAACTCTTTTCTAAGTTCTAGATCTGGATCTTCATCTGCCAATTAAATATGTCCACTCAGATTTCATCACCATCTTAAATTCAAAATGTTCCAAATAAACTCAAATTTTTCTAAACAAACCAGCATTCTGTACCATGCTCTTCCAACTCCCTGCCTTCTATATACAACAAGCCAAGACTTTCTTTCTCAGCTTTCTTTGATATGTGTTTGACTTTTTGTCTTTTCTCACCTGGGAAATTCTTCTTTTTATAAAAACAGCTTGTGTTTTTCACATGACATTATTTTGGGCTATCCAAGATCTGTGGACACTTGTATTAGTCTGCTAGGGCTGCCATAACAACTACCAAAGACTAGGTGGCCACAGAATGGATCAAGGTGTCAGCAAGACTGGTTTCATCTGAGGCTTCTTACTTAGCTTATAGATGGCCCTCTTCTCTTGATCTTCCTCTTCACATGATCTTCCTCTGGGCACATCTGTCCCCTAATCCCTTCTTCTAAGGACACCAGTTGTATTGGAGTAGGGCCCAATCCCAATGACTTTATTTAACCCAAATTACCTCTTTAAAGACCCTATCTTCAAATACAGCCTTATGTTGAGGTACCAGGAGTTAGGATTTCAACATATGAATTTTAAGGGGGCACACTTCAGCCTATAACACCATTCTTATACAATTTAGGAACCTCCTACATTATAAATCTTTTCCTACCATCATTGAAGTCAAATTTTCAGACTCCTTTGCATGTGACTTGAGCTCACTGGCAACCTAGTGATGTAAAGAAGGCAGGACTCTGAGCAATACAATCTGGAGAAGACAAGGTAGGTACATCTAGTTTCCAAAGGCAGCAGTACCAAGATTCTTGCTTTGTATCTAGTACTCAACTATGGTATAAGTGGTATTTCTCCTGGAAAAGGTCTGTGGTAGAGTTTGGTGTACTATTCTGGAGAGAAAGTCTCCACAACTAGTGTTCTGAACCTCTCAGAGAATCCATGAGTTATTTTGCATCTTTCTTAAATTTATCTTGACCTAAATTAAGGGTCTGTTTCTGTTGTTTGCAACTAAGGACCCCAATTGATACCTTGAATTTTAAAGTGATTTACATAATCCTTATCCTTATTGAAGTATTGTTACAAAAGAGATTAATCAGAATCTATCAATTACTAATATTAACTTCATAAAACAACCTTCTTTTTTCTTGCTTTCATTAATTATAAAAAAGGCAACTCTCAGCCCATTATAAGTATCCTAATTTGGATTTTATGAAATGCATCTTTATCTAGCCTTTCTGAAATACTTTCACTCACTACAATAAATCCTGCCTATTACCACCAGGTGGATTTGTTTAAAGTACATTATTTTTAACCAGTACACTACCCTGCCTTATTACTTTCAAAATCTAGCCATCGCCTATATGATAAAGTTTATATGCCTCTTGTGTGCATTTAAGTTTTCCTCAGTCTAACTCAAGTGTACTTCATCTTCCATTATAAACTCTCTCCTTCTTTTAAGAAACATAAAATAGAGCAGTCAAATTTATTTAACACATAGAGTGGATGGCATTCTCAAAAACCTGTTAATAAATGTTTTTTCTTACTATACGTAAAACTGTAGGTTTATTACCAACTTTTGCATATAAGAAATCTGAGACTAGAAAAATTAACTAAATTTCCTAAGGTCACACAAATAATAAATGATAAAACTAGGTTTTGAAATCAAGTGTTTCCTAGCCTCTTCTCGCCTTGTGATTCTCTTCACTGTTTCCCACATATTTTCCAGCCTCTAAGCTTTTCTTATGCTGCGCTGTGGCCTGGAATATTCAACCAATCCCTGCTATGTTTATCCAAATATTACTCATACTTTAGAGTCCAGCTCAAGACCTTCAGCCTCAATAAGCTTCTCTGATGTCTTCAGCTAATCTGATTTTTCTCCTGAAACCTAGTATAGTTTTTATGATCACTATCACTTTCTTTGCTATTTTGTTATATATTATATCCTATTAACCACTTCTTATGTATTTGCATTTCCTCCTGTTTGTGAGAGTCAAATCCGTTAGGTGTGAGATTGTCATCCTTTGCGTGCTCCTAGGTACCCTGCACACTGTTAAGTACAGAGGGAGTGTTGCTACACAGCTATCCAATTGAATATTCCCCATTACTGTGCCGTAAAAAAGGATATTAACATCATGTTTTACATTACTTTTAGCTTTCAAGTGAAAGATACCTCCCAGAGGCCTTGAATGAGCGTAACTTTGATATTAACTTCTTTTTATAAAGGGAAAAGATTCTTACACCTTTTTATCATTTACCTTCCATTCATGGGGACAAATATATTTTCAAAAGCACTTTTGAAAACTTCAGCACGGTAGGCAACAAATCTTAAGTCCATTGGTAAGCTGGGTGATTCGAGTTTAATGGAAAAAAATAGTCTGTGATTAAGAAGTTAGTGTACAGCAGTTTATAGCAGTTTTTTAATTCTTAGAAATCAAATGGGCTCATTTCATTGCCTCTGCACCATAACCCACTGAAAGCAATAGACTTCTAGAGATTTAAGGTAGGTTTTTAAAAATGTGATTTTAAGGCCAAGAAAATATGAATACAAGCTCGTTAAAAAATATTTTATGTTTCTTGCTAATCCACAGACCACAACCATATGGAACTAGCCACTCAACCTCTGTAATTAGACTCTTATACATCAGAAGACATAAGAAATAAGATATTCAGAGATGCACTGGTACCTGACTACATCAAATTTGCTTTTGTAAAAAAGTGTCAGTGACCATATGAAATGGCCCAATTACTATCCTCTTTTGTGTAGAATTCCAAGCTCCACTTTATCCTTTGTGTGCATGTAAAGTACAAAAGAATGACTGTTTGAACTATAATTTTGTGCTTCTATCCTCAGTAATGCAAACATTCTTTCCATCACTGATATAAAGATCTAAATTTTAGTTTTGGAAATATCAGCAGTAATTTAAAATTATTTTAAAATTCTGTATAAGACCATTGAATCTAAGTAACTTAATTGCTCTAATGTTTACTCTCCATTTTGACTGTACATCACAGCACCCCTTGAAAAGAGAGTCAACAGTATTCACTCTGGCTGCCCCAGTGATTACACAACTGTTACCTAGAAATGGAGGCTGGGAAATTCCAACAGATTTTCTTCTTTATTCATGACATAGCCCATGTCCACTTAAATATTTGCCTGGTGTCTTTTGGTGTCTAATTGATGTGAGTAGACTGTCTGTGGGAGAATCAAGTCATACATTCTGGAGAGTCTTTGTAAATAGTTTTGCCTACAACTAACCATGGTATGATATGACATGATGATGGGAAAGCTGAAAGGGCTACACTAATTATGCCCCAATTATGTTATCCTATCATGTAGCTCTAGAGTTATTAGAAACCAAGAGTTCAGAAGCAATCATATAAAAATTTAAAATTCTGTTAGCATAATGATCATTCAGGTTACATTTCTATTGCTTATGTTTTATCATGGGATGGGACTAATATGAGTTGGTAAACCATCAGACACATGTGCAAGCTACAGGGTTAGGTATGTAGGAAATGCCCCTCAAAGTTTGTGTTGGAATAAAGCTAAGTCATTCCTTTCCTTCAACTTGGGCAAACAAAACTCAGAGTGCAGACAAATAAACAAAAAATATATATATATAGGTGAGGAAGATAAAGCCTGATAAGATGTCTGAGATGTGTAAGTCTTCTTTCCATCTGGCACATCTTTGAAGGGCCCAGGATACATGTAGGAATTTCACACGTGAGAAAGATCGCAAATATTAATTGAGGACCACTATGTGCTGGGCACTGTGGTAGGCACTGAGAATTCAGTGCTGTGGAGATACACGGCTGATGAAGAAGTTACAGCCCAGCAGAGAAGAAGCTCAATAAACCAATCAATTCACAAATTACCAATTAATAAAATTTGCACTAAGTGCTTCAAAAATAAGTAAAAATTTTGCATAACCATAGACATTACATTTGAGTGGTCAGAAAACATTTTCCCAACAGATAATATTTAAGATGGGGCCTGAAAAATAATTAAAATTGACATGACAAGATGCATTGTGTATTTAACATCATTCTATTCTTTCATTTTATTTTAAACATCAGAGAGCCCTGTGTATATCTAAAATCTGTTTGGAAGGACCAAATAAAAAGTAAGAGATTAAAGATACAGCAAAGTGGAGGATTCATGCATAGTGTAAATTCCCTGTGAAGTTAGGAGAGAAGTGGAAGGTCTTATCTGACCTTAGATAAGAGAAGAGATGCCTCCTCTTAGAGTTTCTGCCAAATAATTTAAATTTCAACTTCACTATGGTAACTTGCCACCCATGGTTTTTGTTTTTTGTTTTGTTTTGTTTTTTTGTTTTTTGTTTTTTTTTTTGAGACAGAGTCTCGCTCTGTTGCCCAGGCTGGAGTGCAATGGCAAGATCTCGGCTCACTGCAACCATTGCCTCCCGGGTTCAAGCAATTCTCGTGCCTCAGCCTCCTGAGTAGCTGGGATTACAGGTGCCCACGACCACGCCCAGCTAATTTTTGTATTTTTAGTATAGACGGGGTTTCACCATGTTCGCCAGGCTGATCTCGAACTCCTGACCTCAGGTGATCCACCTGCCTCGGCCTCCCAAAGTGCTAGGATTACAAGCATTAGTCACAGCACCCAGCCCCTATGTTAATTACTTTATATGATTTCAAATTATGTTAATACATCATCTCCTTACTTCATACATGATATTCACACATATATGAATCTATGAATATCTATGGATATATCTTCTAATGCAAAAGTTTGAATATACAGTTCTTGATATTCTTTCACATCAAACACATTTGCAAAGGTTGATAAAATCATTAATTATTTATATGTAGTAAGTATTCTGCTCAGTTGCTTCGGCTATTTACAAACTTTAGCTCTGCCTGTGGTCATCTATCATCTGCATGAGCTGCTATTTCTCTGATTTCCACATATCAAGATTATCTAAATACTTTTCTAAATGTGTCCTTGTAGCAGTATTTTTTTCTTTATTGATGTTTACATAGCCAATTTCCAGTCATACTACCTAATTGCTAATCCAACCAAGATAAATCTAAACCTTTTCCCACAATACCATTCCCAAAAACACTTGTTTAATGCATAGCCCAAGATCTACTTTACTCACACAGCCCAGGTACTACAGCTCACAATGGAAACGCTTCTTGTGAATTTCTTTAACCCTTCATGTTCTGTTGAGAAAATTTTAGATTTGGGCCGAATGTAGTAGCTCATACCTGTAATCCCAGCATTTTGGGAGACTGAGGAGGGTGGATTACTTGAGGTCAGGAGTTTGAGAACAGCCTGGCCAACATGGTGAAACCCCGTCTCTACTAAAAATACAAAAAAAAAAAAATTAGCTGGGGGTTGTGGCAGGCACCTGTAATCCCAGCTACTTGGGAGGCTGAGGCAGGAGAATCGCTTGAACCCAGGAGGTGGAGGTTGCAGTGAGCCAAGATCGCACCACTGCACTCCAGCCTGGGTGACAGAGTGAGTGAGACTGTCTCAAAAACAAACAAACAAAAAAGTTTAAATTTAACTAAAAACTGCTTTAGTGATTCATTACTTTTTCTGCCATGCATGTAAATATCACCACTAAAATACTTTAATTTGGTCTTCCTATTTGTTACAGCTTATTGGTTTTTCCCACAATTCCCAGCATCATCTGCAGCACATAATCGATGCTAAATAGATACATTCCATTTGGACTTTGTGATATTCCAACAATGCTAGTGAACTGGTCCAAATCCCAAATGCTATCGCTGCTGCATTTGCATTAAATGAGATTTATAAGTTAATTTAACAAAGCCTCTCAAGGAAATCAGAACAAACTTTGTCATGGGGCCACGTTTCTGAGTTTCACAATCATATTGAGGTTGACCACCACTGAGAAGGTCTTTACGTTGTCTATATGTAATTTAAAGTCACGTTTAGTGCCACTGTGAATACATCCTCCTCAAGCACAGACTGGATATACAGATTTGTTTTTGTCTTTTATCAGGTCATTGTTTTATATTATATTGCTGAAACGGCAGAATGGTAATGGTTTTCTCTTGTGTAGTTCATGGAAAATTTTTACTGCTTTTAGACTCCTTATATAACTACATTTTCTTCAGGCTTAAGTCCATTTGACTGTCCCTACTCTGAAAAATTATCTGTAATCTCTTGTGAGTCTTTGTGTGGGAGCATTTCTAGATGACTGACTCAGGATCTTTTCAAAGATGCCAATAGCATATTGAGTCATGAGAGCTTTGCTGAAGGATTAAGTGTAGCAGAACAAGAGATGTGCTTGTTCCGTGATGCACCCTCATCTAAGCAAATGAGCATGTATATAATAAATCTGCACTCACTGCACAATTTATTTAACTTGATTTTCATAAAAAATGTATCAGCAGAGCACAGTCAAGTCTAACACAGCCTGCCACACATTCACAAAGTCCCCTTAGAAACTCAGTGATATTCTTTTTTTTTTTTTTTTTTGAGACAGCGTCTGGCTCTGTCGCCCAGGCTGGAGTGCAGTGGCGCGATCTCGGCTCACTGCAAGCTCCGCATCCTGGGTTCACGCCATTCTCCTGCCTCAGCCTCTCAAGTAGCTGGGACTACAGGAGCCCGCCACCGCTCCCGGCTAATTTTTTGTATTTTTAGTAGAGATGGGGTTTCACTGTGTTAGCCAGGATGGTCTCGATCTCCTGACCTCATGATCCACCCGCCTCGGCCTCCCAAAGTGCTGGGATTACAGGCGTGAGCCACCGCGCCCGGCCTCAGTGATATTCTTATGACAACCAATTCTACCTCTCAATAATACTTCCAGGTAAAGCGTTTTTGGGAAGTTAATTAATATTACATCATCATTATTGAGGGACATATATTGAGAACCCATGACATTAGGTGACACTTAAAACTTGGAAATAATAATCCTTGTTCCCATAGTAATTCCCAAAGCCTACTTGTAGAATAAACTCCTTGATACTCTATTTCTCACTAGTCATTCTGCTAAAGAAAACTGTCTTCTCAATTAGAGAAAGCTTAATGTGGAAACTGTACAACTAATAGCATTATCTACCAGAATCTTTGAATAACAGAGAAATGGGTGCTCAAACAAAGCACCACAATTTGAGTTCTTGCCTTCCTTTTCAAAACTGGTTATAATTCTCTTTGTTGTGTGTGTTGAAGACAAGCTCTCATGGACATTACATCAACTTCTACTTTCGCTTCTTATGTTATTCTTCCTTAACCCTTCCAAAAGAAGTAAAGGAGCTTCATAAAAAGAATCAATAGCAGCAATTTCAGAAGGACCAATTTATATCATTTACAAGGAGGCTTTATTGGAGCTCATGAACACCAATAGCAAAAAAGATGCTTTTTATATGGTGAGCTTTACCATATCAAATTTAAATTCATTTTCGTTTTTCCTTTTAAGGTATAAAAACAAGACGAGATCAATTTCTAAATGAATCAGGAGAGATAAAGGTGATTGTTGGAATCAACAACAGGTATAAAGATTTATATTCTTTACTGCTCCTAAAGCTCATGTTATGTCAATAGTAGAAAATTCAGTGATGAAAAAGAGTACTCATCCTTAGCTTAAAAAAAAGAATAATTCTAGTAAATATCACTAGAACAATATGTCCTGTCCTGGTAGCAGCAAAAAATGTATTGACTAAGAACTATTGTAATTTTATTGTTTGCAATTAACTTTTCTATCGTAATGCCAGTATTTCAGAGAAAAATTCATTTACTAAAGGCTGTATAGGTCAGAACCATAGTATTACAAAAGATTTTCTCAAACTACCTGATAAAGTTCTGCTGCTTAAAAAAGGACAATGTAACAGAGTGTCCTATGTGGCATTTTGATTTTCTCGATTAGAAATGGCTAGTACCATCTCTAAAAGCATTTTGTAAGCAGTGTTTTTACAGGGGTGGAATTGTCTCTGTTTGTTTGCATATGTTCATGCTGATGTTTAGTCTGTGGTATGAATGAGAACATTGAAATGACAGTCCTTGACACTCCGTTTCATTAACCTTGTCGAGTGCTGTGCCATGCCATGCCATGCTCAGATGGACAGTTTAAAAACTGCTGCTTGATGATGTTGATGATGATGATGATGATGATGATGATGATGATGACAATGACCACTAGTAGGTTAGTTGGGGACCTTCTGCTGTCCCCTAAATATGATTTCCTCCAGTTGGTCAATTATTTTCCTTGCCCTACTAATGGTAAAGGGCAATTATAAAGTGAATGCTAAAAATTGTAATACCTTCTCAAAATATTAGTTATTGCAAAGCTGGTAAAGGTAAATTATTACCAAGTTTAGAGAAGCTTGCATAGGTCAGTATACACAAAACATTTTAAGACGTTTATATTTAGGAAAATATTTTGTAAAAATAGTATTTTCATTGTAACAAAACATTTACAATATAAAATATATAAAGCAAAAATACGTTTTTATTTCTCTTTAAGACCTCTTCTCAATTTCTCCTCCCCTCTCTAAATGCTTTTGCCATAAACAGAATAATTAATAGCATAAATATTCCTAGAAACATATTCCTTTACGTGTGTAATCTCCAGTTGACAGTCACATGTTTGATTCTATTTGGAGGGGATAAAGATATTCCTGAGCTATTAGGTCCTTGTTTTAAAATGTTATGAGTTATCTCTGAGGTAAAATGGCACACTAAGGAGACAGCCTCTCACATCTTTTCTCTAATCCCTCAACCTATAAAAGACCCTATGCACCTCATAGCACCTGCCTTGTTGCTTAGAACTGACGTTAGGGAAGAAGCCCTCCCGGTTATCAAATACCTTCTCTTGTCAGTTTGCAATGTATTCGTCAATAAAAGTCCTGCTGCTGGAGCATTCAGTCAAGGTGGTCTGAGTCTCAGCAAGATGGAATGGCAGCCTATGGGGAGCAATTGAGCCCTTTATAAGTTGCCCAGGCTGCAGCAGAAGGACCACCTGCTGTCTCACAGCCTCAGGGAGGCTCAACTCCCTGCTCATTCTGAAATAATTTAGAGGCCAGACTGGTGCACAATAGCACTTAGCTCTTCAGTAAATGGAAATAATTTTAAAAGGACTATTAAAGTATTGGGAAAGATTTTTTCTTCCTGTAAAACTTGTGTTTTATTAGTGTAGGATGAACTCTAAACCATGTGTCTATAAAACTGTCCTTTTCCTGTCTTTGTATTAGAGTTTGAATTCTTTTACAGGCACAAACCTGAAAGATGAGAGTTTTGTTCTTTGCATCGTATATCTGAGGTCTTTGATATTTCATTGTCCTTACTTAAAAGGAAATGTTGATTGGATTTTCCCAGTCCATCATCCGTAAGTGTCAGGTTGAACATGGAATAAAATGACAATAAAAGTTCACGTGACTAAAAAATCCCAACCATGAGCACCTACACATGAAGCAAACCGGTTTGAGCTTCGTAACTCAATAAAGCTTTACCTTCAAAGGGAAGAATCAGTGATTTGGTATTTGAGTTAAGGATTAATCATAGGTCAGAAAAATAAGAAGAAATATATGAATGAGTACCGTATCATGATGTGATGCAGAATTTCTTTTCATTAAAATCAGAAACAAAACTGTTTGATTTTATTTCCAACATCTCGGAAAGCAGAAAATAATTTATGATTACTCCAAGAAAAAATGAATGCTCCATTCAAAAAAGTGCAGATTTGATAATGCATTTTTATCAAAAAAAAAAGCAGATAATGAAGACTAATTAATAAATACGGAAGGTAAAGATCAAAAGTGAAATTAAACACAAAGCTGAATAAATGGTCAAACAATAACTTCCCATTTTAAAACTTTACAAAAAAGCAGATATATTCAGAATTATAACCCCAAAAATCTAGGGAACACTATTTCTGCATACATGCTTCAGTCTGCTTTGATCAACTATTTTTTAAATGCAAAACATAAAAGGATAAGTTTTCAGATAAAACCAATAAAATAATTTCTAAGTAAAATTATCCAAAAAATTTGATTTGTAGCTTTTAACTTTATAAAGACAAATCCATAAAATGATTTTTACTAATAAACTTTGGAATATTAGAATATAATTAGAAGGCTAATGACCAATTTCTCTGACTCATATCTGAAGCACCTGAAAACATGGGCTAAGCCTTTAACACAGCAATTAATTTCTCACCTACCTTCACTCCACATTCATAAACTACCTAACATGTGCCAGGCACTGTGGTAGGGATCAACGAGACATATGATAAGAATGCAACCCTTATCTTTCAGGACTGACAATGTTAAGAGGAAATGGTCAGGTGTAGATAAATGATTACAGAAATCCAAATGCCATAATAGAAGCATGCACAGAATAAAGTTATTTGGTCTTTTTGGGGAGATAAAAATGGCAAGGCATTCAAAATTTCAGCCAAAGATTCAAGGTTGAGTTGGAATTTTCCTAGTGAACAAAAGCTTAAAAAGAGGGAGGAGGAAACAGACTTTCTAGAAAGTGGACACAGCAAGTGCAAAGGCATGACATCAAGAGAAAAAAGAAAAAAATGAAAACACTATGAATTCGGGGAACTATGCAAATGTCTGAAATGGCAGAATGCAGGACTCCGGAAGAATAGGTAGGTAAGTCCTTTGCATTTTATCCCAAAGAGTTTGGACTCTGTGTTATATATAGTAAGGAACCAAGTCAGGGTTTTAGTAAGAAATTGGTGGGATCAGATTTGAGTTTGGGAGATTAATCTCTTGGTATGAATGAAATTATGAATGGCTGAATGAAGGTACAAAACCCCGAGTATATTATCAAAGACTTTCTTGCAATTATTGACTGTGTGCATAAGGCATGGTTTAGGATAAAATCTTCAGGACTTGGTTTGGATGGAAATAAAACCATTAATTTACCCTAGTATCATAGTCTGCTCAAAATGGATGGAATTATTTAGATTACTTTTTCTACCCCCATTCTTATCACAAATTTATTCATCCATTAGTTTCTCAAATATTTACTGAGCATCTACAATGTACTAGACATACTCCCTGCTGCAATGAAACATACAGCCTACTCCATCCAGACAATGAAGAATTATGAAATTAAACTTACATTTATAAGTAGTGATACATGCATAGTAGTAATATACAACATATGATTCTATGAGAATGTTACAGGAGCCTCATTTAGAGAGCAGACATGGCAAAGGCCTATTTGAGAAAGTGATTATTAATTAAGACCTGAAGAATGATTAGGAGACAATTAGATAAAAAGGGAAGAAGAGAAATAATGGGCTAAGGCAGTGAGGCAGAGAAGAGCTTCTTTTATTCCAGAAATGAAAGAAGCCAGACAAGTTTGGGGATGAGTAAATAAGGAAGGGGATGGCAAGGGAGACACAGGGGGTTTTGGTGGCAGCGATCAGGGAATTGTAGCAAAGCGAAGTAATGTAGCCAAGAAAAATCTGTGTGTATGAGTTCAAAGTCAAACCCACGTCTCATAATTCCTAGTCAGTGCTCTTTCTTTTAGAGCCTAGAAACAAAAAATAAGTGAAATAGACATATAGGAGTTTCCTATAATTCAGTATCTCCTCATGTCACCTACATTGGGAAAAAAAAAGTCTTCTTGCTTCTAGTATATTGATTACATTTTTTGGTACTATTTTTAAAAATGGATTATACAATCTCATGGTGATCTATAACAATTTCATCTACTCTGGCTGGCCATATCATTTCCCAGGCCTCCTGAATAAGAATTCAAATAAAAAAGCATTAAAGACTATGATCCAAACATCAGAGGCTCACCAGGATTATAAACAGGAAAAGAAAAAAACAGGATATGAGTGACTAGTAAGTTATTCATGAATTCAAACTATGTAGAATAATTAAAATATCTACTTTCAGCAAATAAGCCATTAACTGCAATTTCACTATTTTGTAATGATCTAATTCACACTGTTTCCAGAAGTTTCCCTTAATCTATGTACATGATTATGTAGATCAATGTTTACATTTTTGCATTCCTATAGACATGCAGTGAAAATAAAGTGCATAAATAAGTTGTCCCCTGGTTACCTGAAAATGTTTACATGTATGAAAAGTATTTAGACTATAATAACATAGATAAGGGTTTTAGGGGTCGAAGAGACCAGGCAATTTCAATTCCCAATGTTTTTCTCCATTATTTGTGGGCATGGTGGAACTAATATCCTAAACATGCTTCCCCCTCATAATGAATTTCCCAAGCTTCTCAAATAAGCAGTGTTGTAAAAAGTGGTAAGTTTCCATTATATGAAGAGAAATGTGTGAATTTTTTGTTCACACAGATTTTTACTCAAGTAACTCGGAGAAGGAATTTATTTTTCACCACTTCAAGCTTGTCATTTATTTAGCCCTCAGTGGGGAATAGTGTCTTTGCTTTGGTGGAACTGAGCAATTTGTAGAGGAAAGGATAAGGTCCCTGTAGTAAGTTCTGAGGCCAATCTTTTATAGATCTCTAGCACAAGCAATGATAAATACCTCTAAAGATAAATACACTTAGTTTGTAATCCTTATGTCTAAGTTAACTTAATTTTTATATGTCTTTACCCTTTCAGTTCTGAAACGATAATGTTAATTCTGTTCTTGATGAATATAAATTCTGATGGTAAACAATGTAGACGATTCTCTATGCGTGTCTTTGAACTTCGGATTTGGTGCCTTTAATGGAAAAAGGAAAGTAAACTATATTTAGGTGCTTTGATTGTATCTTGTATCCGTGGCTATGAATACTGCACACTCTATATACTCTAAGAACAAATTGGAATAGAAATATTCTAAGGGTGAGCTTCTGAGATATGTTTTCCATTCAACAAATATTTGGTGCCTAAATATTTGCCTAAAATCATTCTGCTTTCCTGTGACAGTGCAGGGAGGGGAGGGGGAAGATCCTGGAAATAAATAAATAAAAATTAAACTAATATATTAATATCTGAGGGTCACTATAAGCATATACAGATAGGTGGTTAGACAATGTCTATATTATATATAAAGAGAGATTATATAGCAAGATAAGCAATGTACTAGAGATGAAATACTTCTTTCTAATGCATTAATTTAAACACTGCTTCTATCATTTATCAGTTATTTGTCTTAAGGTTGTTATTTACATATTCACGACCTCAGTTTACCTACCTTATAGGGTATGTGGACTGACAAACTGTTATACATATAAATGCTAGCATCAGTGAAAATTCTTTATCTTCTTCCTTTCCCAGAGCATGAAGAAATAAGAATAAAAAATGGTGAATGTAATAAAACACAGGTACTAATACATAAAGTAGTCTTCAAATCAGAAAGGAGGAAAAGAAAATCAAAAGATGAGGTAGGGATTTAAAAGGGAGGAAAAGCAAAAGAATTGTGTGTTGTGGTGAGCAGTAGAATCTGAGCACAATTTTCATTTTAAAAATTTCTCCAAAATCTGTGCCAAGAATTTCCTAACCCAGTTACATTGAGAGTAGTTACACATAGATGTACCCGAAACACGACAAGGACTAGAGTTTTTCAATCAGAACTGAGTTTCCATTTGCATAGAGCCTTCATCACAGAACCTGTCGTTTCTAGTTTCTGTTAACAGAGATTTAGTATTATATTAACTAATGGGCCTTATTGAAGATGACAACAAATGCAATCTTCAGAGCCTTTAGCCATTTTTTTCAGAAATTTAAATAATATCCTGAACTCAGGGGATAAATTAAGCTCAATGGTGTATGTCCACTTAAAGGAGAAAGGAAAACAATTTTTGGATCTATAACGCTTGAAACTGGTAAATCAACATCAAAGAATCTTCTAAACCTAGTCTGTATATGACCAATCAATCAAAAAATTCCTAAAAAGAAAAAGTAAGCTACTATGTGGCTCTGTGGTGAAAAATCTCTCCAAATAATTTTAATCTTTTGCAATAGAGAAATGCATCCTATTTTTCACAACTGAGAATCTGTCATTTGATATTTTCCTATAAGGGTCAAGTTAATGGGCAAAAATGACGTCCTTCAATTCAAATTCAGGGGATAATTGATAAAGCTTGATTTCAATCAGAGCACTCCATGAGCAAGATTTAAATATTCACTTGCCTCAAATCAGTAGTCACCCAGATAATAACTCACCAGGTGCAATCTGCTTCCAACACACTTTGCTAGGACTCATTTCTTCCATCTCTTTTTGGACTTTAAATTGTTAAGTAACCTTGTTTGTAGAGTGATCTACTACTATTTGTCCTATTTCAAAAAAAATCTCATTATTAATGAACCAGTGACGATTAAGTAATAGTAGTTGTTACTGACAAGAACAAAAACATGAATTCAGGCTTTAAGCTAGAAGGGAGCACTCATTTATAAGGTATTCATTCCGATGATCCAGAATATGCATATATTATATTACATTTTCAAAATTAAATTTTTCTAGAGAATTCTCAGACACTGAAATTATATCTGCATTTTGTTTAATGATGTAATTTGCTAAAAGTTGGCTAACACATTAAATAACCCAGGTACGTCTGCATTCTAAAAAGAAACTTTCTAAAATGACAAAGACTTTAAGATGCCAAGCAATTAGTTTTAAAGGTTGAATAACAGACAGATGGTGAGGAAAATATTTGAGGCCTATAAAGGCTTTCCCAGGGCTCCCTAAATCCCATCCTGGAGTCAGCCGTTTGCTGTGTTTTCTCCTAAGATATTTTTGGAGAATAAGCACCTCTGTATGTAAGAGTTCTTATCATAATAGATAAAATTCCTGAAGCAAAATATGATATAATATCCTATTATTAATACCTCACTAAACTGTAATTGGATATAATTTACAAGAATGTAATCTTTCACACATCTCTGTTCAAAGGCATAATTTCCATTATTTTTTGAAAAGTAATCTGGCATCTATGGCTTTGGGATGTACACAGGGATTTCAAAAAAGCATTTTTTGTCCCCCATCCAACCCAAAATTTATTTCCAAATAAAAGAAATAAGATTGTCACCTGACACTGTAACTAAAAAATCAACACAGAACAGGTTGAAACACACATGTATAAACTCACATTAAGTTGTAGAAGTTTGCCCTTGAATGAACAAGATTTCAGTAATGAGACAATCAGAAAGCAAATTGTCAGGAACCCAAGCACATATGAGACAAGGTAAAAAAAAATACATATTAAAAACCAACAGCATCGACCGTACCCACTAAAATTCTTAAATGCCCAAGGATTTGACTTGCTTCATCGGTGTATCATGTGTATGTTTTAGAGATGAATGTTGCATGCTAATTTAACAGATGTCCTCAATACCCATAGAATTATTAATTTCTTTCTGTTCTAATTCAATATTCACCAGGAACTTTATGATTATAATGTGGTCTCTTAAGACACATGTCTACAAAGAAAGAAAGTATTGGCCACAGAACGTGTGTCCAAGATCCTGGCCAATTTACTCCTTATTATAATGAAATCAACTGATTTTCTGGTTTTATATATCACTGTCTACAAATGCAGTTAACATGTGTCCAGCATGAGAAACAGTCACTCTCATCATTCCCAAAAAACATGGTTCCAAACCCACAGGCTGAGAGTTAGATTAAGGAGTACAGTGAATTCACAAAGCCAGAAGCACCCTGAGGTCTACTCTAGACAACTAGCTGACCTGTTCTGGTTACATTCTGATCCTGATCTCTTCTTAAAATTCCAACATGAACAGGATAAAAGTGAGACAATTGATCAGCAGAAAAAATAAAGTCCAAGTAGTCTGATATTAGGAGAAATATCAACATGACTAGGAGTCAAGTGAGAGGTACGGGAGTAGGAAGCGCCTAAGGCAAGGCTTGATATGATGGAAAGACAGCGGATTTTGAGTGACCTTGTTTGTTCTCAATTTCTCTGAGCCTGATCGTTTAGCTAAATAATAAGAATGCCAAAGTCATAGGGTTTTTGTGGGGTTTATTTTATGGGGGAATTAAAGGAAATAATAGATGTTGATCACAGAACCTGACATATGTACTTAATACATAATTTATTTTTCTCCTTATCATAATTTTATTCATGTGTATTCATACTAGAAGACCCTGCCCAATCCAATAAAGAATTTGAAAACAGGCATCTCTAGTCTCCATATGGTATCTTTTCTGCCAAAGGGTCTGCTTCTCTTATGACATTGCTCTTCTACCATGAATGGAAGGAAGCAGGATGGATACAACAATTTGTTCTCAGATGTTGGTAACTCCTATTATTATTAATGAGTATTTCACAGAATCCAAGGACCTTTGAAATCTTTTTGTCCAATCTGTCACTTAGGTTGATCATTAGGCTTAATCCAGTGATAGTATAATTGGCTCACTATTTTGCAAGTCTTTGTAAAATATTCAGCTGGGAGAGAGCACTGTTTAACCCTGAGGATGAATGGCTACTTTGGAAAGCTAAGCATTTAGGAAAAGACATGTCAACCCAGACATCTTAATTTATTTTATTTTATTCCAGTAGCTTTTGAGGTACAAGTGGTTTTTGGTTACACGGATGAATTCTATAGTGGTGAATTCTGAGATTTAGTGCACCCGTCACCCAAGTATGTTTGCAAACTATGCATCTGGCAAAGGACTAATATCCAGAATCTACAAGGAACTCAAACAAATCAGTAAGAAAAAAATCCCATCAAAAAGTGGGCAAAGAACATGAATAAACATTTTTCAAAAGATCTTACTTTTAAAGCAAACTCCAAGGACACCACTTACGCAGTTTTCCCACATGTTCCCAAGAATACAAACATTGCTTAAGGGACTAAGAGGTTTTAGTCTTTGTGCTAATCTTTGGGTTTTTTTCAGCCTTTCCCTGGAAAAAAAAAAAAAAAGAAAAAGTATACTTTAATTCTGTATCACTTAATTTTGGACATGTGCTTTGCAATTTTAGCTGTGTTTGTGATAGATCATGTTATTAATATTACATCTTGTTTCCATTATACTGTATCAATTTCATATATAAGGTAGGTGGCATAGCAGGTCATCATTTATCAAAAAAAAGAGTAAGAGAAAATGTCAAATAAGAAGAGTAAGTATGTTATGGCTCTACTGTATGGAGCACAAGTAACTTGAGGAAATCCAGTTTCAAAGTTATAATTTAATTTAAGTCACAGTCTAGTGACTGTAGACAGGAAATTTAAAAAAAACAGGTTGTGGCAATAGTGAATACAAATTCAAAGGAGAACTGGCTCCTGGAACTTCTACAAAGAACTGTATGTCAAGCCTTAAGGAAATGCCTATATTAAGGTCCCAGTGATGAAACCATGCTATGTTTCCACATATCAAGGTGAAATATGCCTTATGTGGCCTAGTCAGGGAATAAGCTGCTTCATTCCATACTAATGATCAGCATTAGTGGATTGACTACCTACTATGTGCCTGACACTTTTCTAAGCTCTTGTTATACAATAACCCCAATGAAATAGATACTGTTGCTATTCCCATTTTACTATTGTGGATACAAAAGCACAGAATGTTCAGTGTCATGTCCAAGTATATGCCACTTGACAATGGCAAAGCTGAAACTTAAATCTAAGCAATTTCACTCTAGAGCTGAATTCTTAACCAAGTTAATCTATTGTTTTTCTTTTAAATACACACATTCCTGCTGTCATACTGTATACTATATACTATATATGTTTCTAGGGGGCAGAAAGCACATGCTTTACTGTAAAATCGCATGGCAAATAAAACACAGGCTACAGGGAAAAAATAGGGTTGGAAAAGGAATCGCAAAATGTATTATACCCAGAGAACACAAAAACAATAGCAATCCATTAAAAAACCCTCACAAATGCATTTAAAATATGCTTGGGATTGGTGTCTACTATCACAGTTAGTTCTTCTCATCTTAAACCCTGGGGCTTATGCAGTTTCCTGAAATGTAATTCCTGGAGGGCATTTGCTTCTAATAGAGACATGTTCATCAGAATCAAAAATCTTATCCAGACTGTAGCCTGTTTTGTTAATCCATTGTTTTAATAAGGAAAGAAATGTCAGCACATCACCTTCACGTTCACTTGTGTTTCACTGTAGCTTTATATGGGGAAGTGCAGGCATAGCTTGCACTAAAAGAGATACTTTTGTAGAGTTTTATATGGAGTTTATATATTGCTAAGGCTTTTCTTTAATTGTGAGAGAGCTCGCTCCAATTACTTAAAAAAATTCACACTCAGAAAAATCACGTATGAATCAATACCTCTTTCACATTATACCAACTTCACTATCTGTCTTCATCCATTCTTGCTGCTATAAAAAAAATACCAGACACCGGGTAACTTATAACTCATAAATGATAGAAATTATTTGTCAAGATCAAGGGACTAGCACATTTAGTGTCTGGTGAGGGCCTCTCTCTGCTTCCAAGATGGTACTTTCTTGCTATATCTTCAAATGGCAGAAGGGCAAAAGGGGCAGGACAAATGCTGTGTCCTCACATAGCAGAAGAGATGGAAGGTTGAGGCAGGTCTCTGAAACCTCTTTTATAAGGGCATTGGTCCCATTCACAAAGGCACAGCCTTCAAGACTTAATCATTCCCCAAAGGCCTCAGTTCCTGATTTCATTCCCTTGATGATTAAGTTTCAACATATGAATCTTGGAGGAACACATATATTAAAACCATAGCATTCCCACATTTATCAATCACATAAGAAGTAATCAGTGTAAAAACAAACAGTAATCATAGAAGAACAAACAAGACTGTAACTAGTTGTGATTAGTTCTATTATTCCACATGCCAAAATGGTCAAAGTGCTGTTTAATCACATTTACTTACAGTTTAAACTATCCCGAACATGCTGTTTGTCATTTTTTTTTCAGCAAATATTTATTGACCATCTACCATGCATGAGGCATGGTGTAGAAGGCTGGGGATAGAGTGAGGCACAAGATGGACATGACCCCTCCCATCCTAAAGACCTGAATTTCTCTTAGGTTTTTCACAAGAAATATACAAATCCTACTGTGACTCCAGGCTCTCATGATTTTACCAGAGAAGTATAAATTTTGGATTGTTGTACTAACTATTGGATAAACTAACTTTTCATATTCCAGGTTTTGCTCCCAGTCATGACAACTTTCCCACTGCACACATCTACATATATCTAAAAACATAGAAAACAAATGAGCATGATCCAAATATGCATTTCTCAACCCACTGACTTTTTAAAATATTATCATGAAACACTTCATCCATCTGACATGTTATGCAAACTTGGTGCTCTGAGTGATTTAATTGTCCTAGAAACTGAAATACATCCCAAGCTTGGAAATCCTATTTTAAAAAGAAAGAATTCTCCTAAGAGTCTAATATTCTAAGATTCCTGCTCTGATTTCTTAAATAAAATGCAGTGCCCAAAATATAACCCCACTGAGATCAAATTGAGAAATCTAAGTCTCCTAATGCCATTCCCATCCTTCTTACCCTTTCAACCTCTGCAGGCTGATTTCAGATACTGAGCATGCTCATTATAATATTATATGGCACAATTTTCACTTGGGATGGTGTATATACCACATGGGCCAGTTCAGGTCCTCTGAGACATTGACACAAAGACGGCATTAGACATGCTCACGAGAACCAGTAAATCTATCACCCATGAAGTCCAGAGGAGCAAAGAGCAGAAATAGGTGGGAAGAGCTTTCAGGTAGCGATATAGATCTGACACCTGTGAAAGGAGAGGCAGCAGAGAGAATTGAGTAGGGATAGCTGCATACCACAGCACAGTACTGAGAAAGTCTCAGCCAGGCCGGAGGGCAGTTCCTGCCTATTAGAAGAGTGTTGCATTCAAGAGAAATGGCCCCATACCAGCCCAGTCACTGCTATGCTCAGTCATCGGCTGGTAGCAGCTTGGGGGAAGCATAGCCTCAGCTCCCAGGCTGTCAGTCAGCAATGCTCCCCACAGCAGCCCCTTCTCAGCAGTGCTCCTCCATGCCATCTAAAATGTTACAAGAATTGGCTATTCTTTGCTAGAGATTAATAAGAATAAACTATGGGAGGAGAAAAGCATCTATTACTTCGAAAAGTATGTCTGGCCACACTTTTGGAAGGTATGAGGGGCTGGTATTTTCTTGAGGTTTCAGTAATTCTATCTATTGACAGAGACACTGTAGCCAGTTCTCCCATGTTTTCAAAGGCAAAGCAAGTCACCCTGTCAGGCAATCAGGTGATATCACTACTAAATTCTACTAGCTTTTATTGAACATTGTCACTGCTTTCAGAATCTCAACTACCACATATACACTCATTTATCAAGCAGAACAAAGGCATTTATTGTCACCAATTCTATTCTTACATTATTAGCATGAAAAAAGTGAAAGAGATACATTGATAGGGGTAAAAAGAACAGTTCCACATTATACACGTCACCCCTCCTGAAAGGCAGCACAACTCAGTGCCAAGAGATGTCCCCACTCTCACCTGTTCAACACAGTACTGAAAGTCCTAGCCAGAGCAATTACGCAGGAAAAAGAAATAAAAGGCATCCAAATAAAAAAGTAAGTAATGCATTGTCTCTGTTTGCAGATTACAGGATCTTATGTATAGAAAGCCCTAAAGACTCCACATTATAAAACTGTTAGAATTAGTAAATGACTTCTGTAAGGTTGCAGAATAAAAATCAATATACTAAAATCAGTTGCATTTATATGCACTAAAAACAAACTACCCCCAAAAAAATTAGGAAAACAATTCCATTTACAGTAGTATAAGAATAAAATACATAGGAATAAATTTAAAGAGCTGAAAGAGCTGTACACTTAAATCTGTAAGATATCACTGAAAAAAAATGAAGAAGACACAAATAAATGAAAAGATAGCCCATGTTCATGTGGAGAAATAGGGACACTTTTACCCTGTTGGTGGGAGTGTAAATTACTTCAAACATGACTTCAATCATGGCAATTCCTCAAAGATCTAGAACCAGAAATACCATTTGAGCCAGCAATCCTTACTGGGTATATACCCAAAGGATTAAAATCATTCTACTATAAAGACACATACATACATATGTTTATTGCAGCACTGTTCACAATAGCAAAGACTTGGAACCAACCCAAATGTCCATCAATGATAGACTGAATAAAGAAAATGTGGCACATATACACCATGGAATACGATGCAGCCATAAAAAGGGATGAGTTCATGTCCTTTGCAGGGACATGAATGAAGCTGGAAACCAACATTCTCAGCAAACTAACACAGAAACAGAAAACCAAGCACCGCATATTCTCACTTACAAGTGGGAGCTGAACAATGAGAACACATGGACACAGTGAGGAGAACAACACACTCTGGGGCTTGTCAGTGGGTGGGGCAGGGCAGGAAGAGCATTAAGGAGAAATACCTAATGTAGATGATGGGTTGATGGGTGTAGCAAACCACCATGGCACGTTTATACCTGTGTAACAAACCTGCACATTCTGCACATGTATCCCAGAACTTAAAGTATAATAAAAAAATAACTATTTTATAAATAACCCTGTTTCCCAAGCTAGAGAGTTTTGAGCGGGCTTCTCACCTACCATTAAGCTTTATAATTATTTAGTCACCAGAGTCCTTTGAGGAACCTATAAGCACCTGGTGAAAGACCTAACACAATGTCTGGCACATAGATAAATAATACATTTCAGTTGATTCTAGATCAAAGAGATATAGCTTGCTGTCAGATAAGTATATTAATAATCTATTATTTGTAATAAAACATTTTTATAATTCAATTATTTAGAAGGCTTACAAGTTACAGAGCTAGTGCCAGATTACTGCAGAACCTTCCCTGACTTTATAAATTAGACCTTATGTCAAGATTACCTATAAAATAATCTTTGTGCCACTGAAGCAGCATTGAATCTATTGTGCAAAGTCTGATAAACCTCCATCTATCCACCATTTCTATGCAAATCCCCCTAAACCTTTGGAAACATTTATCATTTCTGAGTGCATTATACTTCCAAAATAGTTGTCAGGAAAAGCAAAGTGGTGAGTTATAGCAGTGTTCTGGGGTAATCCAATTATTGGGGTATATTGGATACCTAAGGTCTGAGTGCCTCTAGAGAGCTGAATAAAATAGATTCTATCACCCTGTGAAAGGCTTTCCCAAATTATCTTCATATTTCCAGAAAATATATCTTCTCATGACTTTCTCTGATTCCAACAGCTTGTTCCTGCTGAATTGTGCTATCTTAAATGTAGAGCTTAGTCTCATCCTTGATTTACACACATATGGACACATACAATCAAAACACCAACAAACATACTGTAGTAGGTGACTTCTAAGTTAGCCCCCAAGGTTCCCCACCTCTCAGTATTCATCCCCTGTGTAATCCCTCCCATTGAGTATGAGCTGAAACTAGTTACTGGCTTCTGACTGATAGGATACTGAAAAGGTGATGGGATGTCACTTCCATGGTTAGGTAAGAAGAGATTGCAACTTCCATCTCTTTGGCAGACTGTCTCTACTGCTTTCTGGACTACACACTTTGATGAAGCCAGCTGCCATACTGAAGAGACCCAAGTGGCAAAGAACTGAGGGTGGGCTTCATCTAGCAGCCATTAAGGAACTGATGGCCTCAGTCCAACAGCTAGGAAGCAGATTCTTCCCCAGTCAAGTCTTCAGAAAAGTCCCTGGTCCTGGCCAATACCTGATGGCAGCTGTGTGACAGACCCTAAAGTGGGGAACCCAGTTAAGCCATACTCAGATTTCCAAACCACCGAAACAGTGAAATATTCAGTGTATGTTATTTTAAACTGCTGATTTTAGTGGTGACTTGTTATGCAACAATAGATAACTAATACATATATAAATGGAAACGCATACACATATGCCCTTTATGTTTGGCATACTTTTCTGGAGACTTGGAAAGGTTAAATAGGAGTTTACACCATAAACATGTAAAAAAAATGCAAATTGAATGTTAGAAATTATACTCAGTCCTTCAACAGCTTACTATGGCGGTTTTGTTTTGATGTGATTTGGGTTTATTTTGGAGGAAGGTTTTTTGTTTTCTGTTTTTTGTTTTTTGGCTTTTATTCAACTAACCAACAGCTATTCCCTCACTCTGTATTTTTCTTCAGTTCTTCCCTCTCAGATTTCATTTCAGTTTTTCCAACTCCTACTCCAAGTTTATCTCCAGGATCTTTCTCCACCCACCCCCCACCCACCCGAGACAGAGTCTTGCTCTGTCACCCAGGCTAGAGTGCAATGGCACAATCTTGGCTCACTGCAACCTCCACTTCCTGGGTTCAAGCAATTCTCCTGCCTCAGCCTCCCGAGTAGCTGGGATTACAGGTCTGTGCCACCACACCTGGCTAATTTTTGTATTTTTAGTAGGGATGGGGTTTAACCGTGGTGGCCAGGCTGGTCTCGAACTCCTGACCTCATGATCCACCAGCCATGGCCTCCCCAAGTGCTGGGATTACAGGCATAAGCCACTCCGCCCAGCCCAGGATCTTTTTTCAATATACAAGTTATTCAGGGCATTGCAGAAATAGGATCCACCTTCCTTATTTTTCATTTGTTTTTTTCAGCAATGATCCATTAAATCCAAGGCAGTACTCTCAGCACTAAGTTAACAGTGGTAAATTCAAAAGACCTGGTCCATGTCCTTACCTAGCTTATGGTCAACTTTGTGAGGACAAACATTGAACAGGCAAATGAATATATAAATGAATAATTACACATGAGGAAAGTGCTTGGAAGATAAGAAACATGGACTGTGCTGAAGATAAAGGAGACAGACCTGCTGAGATTTGTTTTCATTAATCCCAGAAAAGCTCTTTCTTTTCAAATAATATTTAGTTTGAGATTTGAAGAATGGGGATTGAGGGAAGGACACCTTGGATAGAGGATCTCCAGGTGAAAGCCTGTGTATGAAGGCTTTGAGGGAGGACACAGTGTGGGGTGTTCTAAGAACTAACACATGGATAATTGGCTGGAGCAATAGTGAGAAAAACTGGCTCAAAATGAAGCTGGAGAAGAAAGCAGAGGTCAACACAGCTAGGATTCTGTAACTCAAGGTCAGGAGGTTGCACGTAATTCAACATGCAATGGGAAGCCATTGAAGGGCTTAAGTGAGAGAAAGACAAGATTTGATTTACCTTTTTTGCAAGGATGGAGATGGTGAATAAAAAAAAGGAATACAAATGTATTTATTGCTACTGAGCTGTACACTTAAAAGTGGCAAAGGTGGTAAATTATATATGTATATTTTACCTCAATAAAAATAATTTTTAATTTAAAGATTTACCATTTTATAGAATCACTATGGCTGCTGCATTAAAAAAAAATGGGTTGGAAGGGATATAAAAAGAAAGCATGTGGACCAGTTAAGGAATATCTAAAATAGACAATAGAGAGAAGCTGGTATAACAGATAAGAGAGTGGGAATGGAATAGGGAAAAGATCGACAGGTTCAAAGATACTGGCAGAATCAACAGGTTTGGTGAGGGAGAGAAAAGAATCAAAGATAACTCCCAGATTCTAAATAATCCAGAAGGCAGTTGTAATCATATATAGCATGTTCTTTTGCTTTGTTACCTAGGGACATGGAACTCTTTAAAAAAAAAAAAGAAGAAGAAGAAGAAGTGACGTTCCCAGCAGTACCCTATATTGCTATTTGGTCTTTCTCAACACCTTTCATTAAAATATTTGGCTTCAAATTGCTTCAGATACTATGGTGGCATATCATTGCTGTTTCTTGTTCTTATTTTATGTAAATAGATGGTTTAAAAATGGCTTTAATTATTTACATTATATCTTCTTGCTTCCCTCCTGTGCATTGAAGCAATAGGACATAATTTTCAAGAAAAAAAGAACCACAGAAAGGGTCAAGTATCACAGGTGTTCGAAAGAGATCTTTTGCCCAGCACATCACATAGCTGTTCTTTGGCACTTTTTATGTGCTAAACATTTGGCTAACGTTATCGCTGAATCTTCAGAAATTTCAGGGCAGGTAAGTTTCATGGTCCCCAATTATAGAAGGAGAGAGGTAAAGAGGTTAAATGACATACTTCTAAGCAGAAAGAAGAATCGGCCTCAAAGCTAGGGGAAGCCCTCAGAGTATCTTAATCTTAATTATATATTCATTATATTCAGCAGAAATTAAATATCATTAATTAATGCCTGTGAAGTGGTTTAAATTCAGGGAGGGATTTAGAGAGAGTAGACTAGAAGGATGCTATAGGGGGAGACATCTTATTTTGTGCTAACTGTACACCAGGCTTTCTGATAAGCAGCCTTGTTTCTTATTAACCACTGTAAGATCTTGTCGGTAAAAGGAGAAGAAAACTGTACCAGCTTTACAAAGCAGACGATGCTCTGTTTATTAATCAATAGGAAGAGGAAAAATCATTTTAGTGACAGAGCACTATTAACTTCATGGATGCTTTGAAAGTAGAGCTATGAAGAAATTTAGTTGTTGCAGTGAGAAAACCAGAGGATAAAGGAACATGTAAAAGAGTGTGTAGGAAATCTGAACAGGATTCATCCACACTGAAATACAGTACACAGCCCACCTTTTCCTCATGTATCCTGAGTGCATTGCTATTCTAACTTCAGTTTGTATCAGAATAACCTGAAGGTGCTTATCAAATATGTTTAATCCACTGTGCTATGCCCAGAGATTCTGGTAGGTCAGGTCTGGGTCAGAATTCAAGAATCTGGGCTTAACAGGTTTCAATGTAGACAATAGTTCAAGGTTGACGCCCACCATAATTTGGGGCACACAGCCCAACACTGCCACTCTCTGTCTAGGTGAATGTCCTCCTTCCTTCTGCCAGTCACATTCCCCTGAGCTGATGGGTTCCAAGCATCATGAATCACTTAAAACGGTCATCCATGTTACCTCCCTTGTGAAGTGTTTCCTGAGTTCCCCTAAGCTAAAAGAGCTGCTTAGTGCTTCCAAAGCTCTGTTTAATACTTTTATTATAGCAGTTATCAAATTATATTATAATTATCTTCTTATGTGAGTCATTCCCCTATCAAAATATGGGCAACTTAAATATGGCGGGTTCATTTTCACACCTCTGGCATCCTGCACACTTCTTGGCACAAAGCAGGCATTGAATAATCTTTTTTTTTTTTGAATGGGAAAAATGAAAATATAAAAGAACAATGAATATTAAAGTGTGACAGGTCTTGGTAGTACATCATATCACAATTGTTGACCCCTGAGCAATGCAGGCGTTAGAGGTGCCAACTCCCTGTGCAGCCAAACATCCATGTATAAATTTTGACTCCTCCAAACTTAACTGCTAATAGCTAATTGACTGGAAGCCAGCAAACAGTTGATTAACACCTATTTTACATGTTATATGTATTATATACTGTATTCTTACAAGAAAGTAAGCTAGAAAAAATAAAATGGGTATTAAGAAAATCATGAGGAAGAGAAAGTATAATTACTATTTATTCATTAAATGGATCCTATTCATTAAATGGATCATCATCAATGTCTTCATTCTCATTGTTTTTCATACTGAATAAGCTGAGAAGGAGGCTAAATAGGAGGAGGGGTTGGTCTTGTTATCTCAGTGGTGGCAGAGGCAAAAGAAGTAAAGTAGATGGAAGAGGAGGCAGAAGAGGCAGACACACCTGGAGTCACTTTTATTGAAAAGAATCTGCATGTAAGTGAACCCACACAGCTCAAGTTCATGCTGTTTAAGGGTCAACTGTATATGGTTTACCTAGATGAATGAGTGTCTTATTCTGCCGAGGCTGCCATAAAAACATACCAAAGACTGAATGCTTAAACAACAGAAATGTACATCTCACAGTTCTGAAGACTGGAAGATCCAAGATCATGGTGCCTGCAAGGTAGACTCTGGGGCCTCTTCTCTTGACTTGTAGGCTGCCACATTCTTGCTGTGTGTTCACATGACTTCTTCTTTGTGTGATCTTGGGGAGAGAGAGAAAAAACAAGCTCTCTGATGTCTCTCTCTTTTTAATTTTATTATTATTATTATTTTGAGAAAAAGTTTTGCTCTTGTGACCCAGGCTGGAGTTCAATGGCACCATCTCGGCTCACCACAACCTCTGCCTCCTGAGATCAAGCAATTCTCCTGCCTCAGCCTGCTGAGTAACTGGGATTACAAGCATGTGCCACCATGCCCAGATAATTTTTATATTTTTAGTACAACATGGTTTCGCCATTTGGCCAGGCTGGTCTCAAACTCCTAACCTCAGGTGATCCACCCGCCTCAGCCTCCAAAAGTGCTAGAATTAACAGGCATGAGCCACCACGCCCAGCCCGATGTCTCCTCTTATAAGAGCACTAATCCAATCATGAAGGCCCCCGCCTTATCACCTCATCTAACCCTCATGACCTCCCAAAGACCCTCCAAATATGATCACATTGGGGATGAGGACTTCGACATATGAATTTTAGGGAGACACACTGAGTCCATAACAGAAGGTAATAAACCAATTGTCTGAAGCTTGTTCTCTGGCTTGAGCTTCTTCCCTTAATATTAAACCACATGGAGTCCTAGATTCTGCATCTATAAAATGAGATCTTACTTTCCCCATCACGGTTATTGTTCAGGAAACATGCTGAAAGGGCCCTGAAAATGGGAAAACATTATACACAGTGGGGTTAATATAAGGTCCTCTTTAATTTGGAGGCTGCTGTAGTCTGTGAGAAACTCCTAAATTGCTAGCAGTGCCACACAGAAACTCAGCAGGACTGGCAATCAGTAAAGCTTGTGTTTTCTCTCTTTGACTGCTTAGAAATTTTTGCCACGATGTAATTTTTATTAATTTATTTGAATAATTTGATAAACAGAATTTAATCTGTATAATGTCATTAGCTTTGTTTGTAGGCAAACTCTTTAATGAGAATGCAGAAGGAAATTTCGTGCACTGCATTAGCTTTTATTTGTATTTTTTTGGCAGCCATAACACAAGGTTGGCTCCTTATTGTGAGGCTAATGCTGAACTAAAACCCTATCCATTGCCCCAGCGGTATGCCAGGGGCCAATCATTCTTTTTTTTTTTTCTTTTTCTAGAAGGAAATCTTTACTGTCATGTAATGCTCAGGTTTATGCTGCATAGGGGGTAACAGAGAGAACATATATCCCTAGAGGGTGGCAGGAAGGAAGAGGATAGGAAAAGACTGGCTTGAAGATAGATGAGTTCCTGCTCTTTCTGCGTTAGCCATTTACCCGGGTAAGCAACTTGTCACCATAAGAAACATTAAGGAAGTATAAGAGGAGATGAAGTCATTAAAAACTGCAATGAGGCAAACTATGGCAGTGATCATCTTTGGATGCCTCAGTGGAGTGAAAGGGGCAAAGAAAAAAAAATGAGATAAACTTGAAGTACTGACAAGAGTGGGTACTGCCAAAAAAAAAAAAATGCAGCTCTGTATAAACTAATAAGGTGTGGCTAGCCTCTTCTTTGCAATGCCCAGGACTTTTTCTCTTGCTTTCTCATGCTTTTTCTCACATATTCCTTGCCTTCTTGCAGGCTGATCTTTTCTTCCCTTGACTATTCTCTGTTGTACATTGTGCATAAAGAAAGGGAAATGATGCTTTGGGAGAATTTCTAGCAAAGTATCTTTACTTTTATCATATCAGCACACAGTACATCCAGTCTCTCTAGCTCTGAGATTGTTCATTTATGATACAACCTTTTGATCTCAGAGTGAGACACAGAAAGCCAATAGAAGGAGCACTCCTACATCTACAGAATAAAGATAAATCTGAATGACTCTGACCCACAGGCCTAGCCACCTGAAAGTGCCACATACAGACAGAAATAAATGTTCTCTAAAGACTTCTTGCTGGCCATTTAAATTTTAATTTTATCCAAAGTCATTCCATGTTCTACATTTTTGTCTGATCACACACAAACAAAATGGCAGTGTTAGGAATGGGGAAGAAATGGAACAAAAGCTTTTTCAAAGCAAAATCACAGCTAAAATTTTAAGGCAAAAGGCATAATTGTAGGTTCAACACTTTTCACTACTTCCATAACTTTTGCATTTACATGAAGTGCTGGAAAAGCAAGGTGTCTTATTTTGGGAAAATCAATTTCAACTTTAGCCTGGCCTCGCTTATTATTTTGCATCTGATTTTTTAAAGAATAATTTAAAAACCTGAAAGCAGACAACATTATTATCATCATTAGAGCCACTGCTTTTTAAAAATAACTTCAGGTTGTGAGATTATGTCCAAGCCTGTCTCCTTTCTGTTCTTCTTTCTTTAGAATGAATTTTCTTGTCTGCATATTTTGTGGTCCAGAATGACTGTGAACAACAGATAATCACTGGAATATACCAAAATTCCCTTTTTGAGTCATTTGTCCTCGTCCTCATCTTGACTTATCCTTCTTGTCTCTAAAGCCCTGATCTTAGAAACAAATACTTCTCTTTGGTTGATATCCTGTTGAGTGCTGTAGTCTTTGTAATACTGAGATAGAGAAAACTGTGTACCCTAGGCTTCCAGAGTTTGGAGCGTGTACTTAGTAAACATGCAGGCCGAGATGCAAAAACAGGTATAGTTTCAATTTCCATACAAATCTTTGACTAGTAAGGGGTTTCTCACATCTCCAGGTTGCATCAAGCTGACTCATGACAGTGGCATTAGAAGCACCCTGAAGAGTCTCCATGAGGCTTTGCTTACTGTATTAGCCAGGGTTCACTAGAGGGACAGAGCTAACAGGATAGATGTGTATATGAAAGCGAGTTTATTAAAGGAGAATTGACTCACATGTTCACAAGTTTAAGTCCCATGATAGGCCGTCTGCAAGTTGAGGAGCAAGGAAGCCGGTGGTGGATCAGTCAGAGTCCCAAAACCTCAAAAGTCGGGAAGCCAACTGTGCACTTACAGTCTGTTTCCAAGGGCCCGAGAGCCCCTGTCAAACCGCTGGTGTCAATCCAAGAGTCCAAAAGCTGAAGAACTTGGAGTCTGATGTTTGAGGGCAGGAGGCATCCAGCATGAGACAAAGATGAAGGCTGGAAGACTCGGCAAATCTGCTCTTCCATCTTCTCTTGCTGCTTTATTCTAGCCACTTTGGCAGCTGACTAGATGGTGCCTACCGAGATTAAGGGTGAGTCTGCCTCTCCCAGTCCACTGACTCAAATGTTAATCTCCTTTGGCAACACCTTCACAGACACACCCAGGAACAATACTTTGCATCTTTCAATCCAATCAAGTTGACACTCAATATTAACCATCACATTTACCAACTGCCATTTACCTGTGTGATGTATTAGACTTCTGTAAGCTGGTAATGTCCTGACCACCACCTGCACTGTCAATTAAAATAAGAAGACTCATGTTTTTACTATACTATTTATTTTCCATTCTTTTCTTCTCTGAATCACACATTGAGCAAAACTATATAAAGCACCAATGATGTGTCACATATATGCTTATATTCTTGAAAAATAAATATTAATGTTCTACACTTTCAAGAAGCTCATAGTCTAGTGGGGAAAAAAATGCATAACCTTATCTATCCAGTTCAGAGAAAAATGTCATGCAAGCACCTTTAGAAACTTAGCACAGTATCTTCTGATAAATATGGATAGAGATTATTTTTAATTGGGAAAAATAAAAATGAAATCAATAGTCATTACCCAGTACTTATACATAAACAAGTTCATGTGAGTGGTAATTGCATGACAAGTAAATGCTTTCATTTATTGAAACTCTACTCTTGAACCTGGCATTAAGTTTCTTTAAAATCTAGCTTTAGTCATCACAGAGGAAGAAGGAAACATAAATAAGTAAATATTTAATTTTTAAAAAATCTAGCTTTAGACTATTCGGGAACATCACCTATTTTCCCTAACACAGATGCACCTGCAGCTTTAAACTCCTTTCCTGGAACTTCTCTAAGTAAACCAGGTACATTCATTTTATGATTCATTTATTATATATTTCTGGAGCACTGATGATGTGACAGATTCTGTGTGAGAAAGCATTGAGAATGAAAGGGTGAGCAGGAGTTACTAAAAGAAAGAGGTTAGCATGAGATGGGGTTGCGATTCAGAATGAAAAGCAAATACAGAACCATCCCCTCACACCCCTCCCCCAGCAGTAAGATACAGTACATTGACACTAAAAAACTATACCTCACTCCAGGGAGCAGAGCAGTAAGAATTGAGTCTTCAAGGGAGGGCAGGGCCAGATGATGAAGCATGCTGCACTCCATGCCAAAGAGAACAGACCCAGGCAGCAGACAGGAGGGCCAGAAAACACAGGGAATAGTCTCTTGCAAAGAGCCAAGGGGAAAAAAATGAACTAAACAAGAATTTTATCGGAATGAGGAGAAGTGCAAGGATTTGAGAAATGTTAGATGTAGAAAAGATATATTATGAGGAATTATTTAATCTGGTGTTGGGAAGCAAGAAGGGAAAATGAGAGGAAAAGCTTGAGTTTCAGCTCTAAGCAACAAGATAAATAATAATGGTGCCATTTTCTGAGATATAGGCCAGAAGTGAAGCTTTGTAGGAGGGCAGGGGGCAAGGGAAGATTAGGATTTCAATCTGGACCATGCTGGGTTTTGAGGCACGTATGTGACATTATACGGACATGGTCTCTAGAAAACATGAATCTTGAGCTCAATAGTGCACAAATTGGAAGAAAAGAAATCTCCCAGTCAGAGTTTTAGAGTAGAAAGAGAATGTAGAGCAGAATTCCTCAAATACGATCTGAGCTTTATATTATTCAATTATTCAAAATTACATTTTAATATGCAATAACTACAGCTTTAATTGCTCATTCATTCATCCAAGTTTATTAATCCATTTCTATGTGTTAGATGTAGACACAGAACACTGAACAAGATGTAATCCTGTTAAGTGTGTCCTCAAACTCAAAATGTGCAGAAAAGCCTTTTTGGCATAGAAACTGAAAAGGCCTTCCCTCAGCCTCACATGGAAAGAAGTAAAGTTTAGTGTTTGCAGAAACATGCCTAGAACCAGATTGGTTGGGTTTAAATTGCAGCTTCACCACCTGCTGGATAAGATTAGAAAGTTTCTTAAACTTTCTGTGCTGCTTCTTTTTCTCCCACCCATCTTAAAAGCAATAGTAATAATAGTTACTCTTTCATAGGGTTGTTATGAAGATTAAAACAAAGCAGTTGGAATACTCCCTGGCACCGAGCAAATGCAATAAAAGTGTCAGCCATTATTGGTGCTACCTAAGTACATTCAAGGATCTCACTCGAAAAAGCACATGAAGGAGAAGCTCACCACATAGGCTTTGCTGACTTTGTATAATTGCCTGCCAGGAGGTGCCAGGCTAGTAGACTGTGAATCATAATTGAAACTGAAAAAATTAATTATAAAATTTTGAGCAATTTAAAGTTAATTTCACTAATATTACACCATGAAACATGAAGTATTATGAAGACTCCTGATAAAAGAACAAAAGAGAAGAATAAATGCTGCATAATCATTTGATTCACCCTGGAGTCAGGTTCAGTAGTTACACCCCAAACATGGAGACTCTCAAACACCACAGTTTTCAGTAAAAATCAATGTGGCTGTACAACATTAATTTCTAATCTTGAGGCCTACTATTGAAAAATGCAGACACACCGGCTCTATAAAGAGAGCTGCTTTAAGCCGCGCTGATCCAAAAACATATGAACTACCTCATTTCAAAGCACTCCAGATGTATCGACTTCTTTCAACATACACTGGAGTGGAGCACTTTCCACTGGTTTGCACAGTGCTCATCTTCTATATACAGCTTATTCTTCCTTCTCCTCTGTAAATAGTCATGAAGTGTGATTCATTCTATTCCTAAAGGACTCCTTCAATCACAGCACAGGTCCCGAATGAGAGATGGCAACGGATCTGGAAAATAAGTTTGCTATGCTCTAGCATGAGCTAACACTGCCTATATCATTCAAAATGACTGGCTCACAGTCATGGATGTGGTGGCTCCAATTAACCTGCTCCATAAATACTTTTTAGCGAAGTCGGGCCAAAGAGATTAATGTATTTCAATTTGGAAATATTATTTAAAATTGACTGGTCCTGAGAGAGATTAGAAACACTGCAATTGACCACACACACAGAGTCATGAACCAATTATTTTACTGGCAATGTAATAACTGAGAAACTATTCCTATCTTCCGTTCCACCATCTATTGAAAGCCACATCAAAAACTTAATAGGCTGCATGTATATTGAAGAAAAAGGGGGGAGCCAGCAATAACTGGATACATATCTTGCAGAAGATTTATGTGCAGTGCAATCCTATGGTGATTCCAAGGTAGAATTGACTAGACACCCATATCTAGAATCTTCTTAGTTATTACGCTTTGAAAATGCAATGAATAGGTACATTGGATATTTGTTTTGTAAAGAACACTGAACATTAAAGAGTGAAGATAAAATTCAGTTTACTACTGTCTTGTCCATACAACCACAGAATGCTAGCTATGATTGAAAGATCTTGTATCTGCGAGAATCAATATTTATGAGACCTAACAATTGTCTTAGAGAGATGGACTTAATGAACTGCATGCAGTAACTTAAATTGACCAAATATTTTGATAGATTTGTCGGAGTCCAAAATCAAGTAAAATAATGTCATAGAGTTTTATATTAACTTGTAAAATGGATTAGTTTCAATCCTTTTATGACAGTGCATTAAAAAATAATAACCCATACTCATCTAAAATTTCTGTTCATCTGATCACAGTGAGCCTCATCCCCTACCACACTCTTCCATCTCTGTGTGCTGTTCTAGAAGGGAATTCTCTCTGTGATTTTCACTTGGCAGGAAGTCATAATTAAGATAATTAGTCTTATCTAATTTTTATTTGACTTCAAATACTTATTTTTCCCTTCAAACTCTTAAAATAATTGCAGTATTGAACTCCATCTGAAAGAATTATTGGGAAGGTCATGCAGTGTCTCGATTTGTCAGCCAACTCACGTTACTTCCAAGTAATTAACTTTGCTGTTTACTAACTCAGAACAGGGGGGAAAAAAAGAAAAAAAAAAAAATATATATATATATATATATGTATATTTAAACTCCTGAACTCACAACCTATGGAGGGTACTAAAAGTATGAAAGTGCTTCAAAGAACCCAACAGGTTGGCAATTTCAAGATAGAAAGCTGAAGATCCTTAAAATTAAGACATGTGCAAAAACAATAAATTAATCAGCACTGCAAGTTCCCCAAATTTATGTCATTTCTAATATGATATACTTACTAATAAAAAAAACTGAAAACTTGTCAATAAAATCAAATCTGTTCTTCTGTATAAAGCAATGAGGAAATAACAATGAAACATAAAGAATAAAAGCACTAACACATGCCACAACTAATTGTGACAATCTTTATAATATCAATCATTTCCAGTTTTCAAGTTTGTCTAAAGCTGTCATTCTTAACATATTTTTTCTTTGATATACTTGTTAGATTCATTGTTTCAAGTGCTTTTACGTAAAACCACATCACGTCTACTGAACTATCTGCTATCATTGTCTCCAAGCCATTATTAAAAAAGAAATTCAGATCCCTGGGTTCAAAAAAATCATCTAAAATATTTCAAGTAACAAATATAAATGTTAAATGCAAAAGCCAAAAGTTAAAAAAGCCACTGTGACATTTTTAATTACCTTTGCTATAGGCTGAATTGTGTTTCTCAAAAAAGATATGCTGAAATCTTAATCCCCAGTACCTCAGAATATGAGCTTATTTTGAAGTGGGATTTTTACAAAGGTAATCAAGTTAAAATGAGGTCATTGGGTGGACCACAATCCAACATGATGGGTGGCCTTATAAGAAGGGGAAATTTGGATACAGAGGCAGGCATGCAAGGAAAGCTGATATGAAGGGACACAAGGAGAACACCATGTGAAGACAGGGGACTAGAGTGATGCATCAACAAACCATGTGATTCCAGAGATTGCCAGCAAACCACTGGAAACTTGAAAGAAGCAAGGAAGGATTCCCCTACAGGTTTTAGAGAGATGCCCTGCTGACATCTTGATTTTAGACTTTTAGCCTTCTACCACACAATACATTTCTATTGTTCTAAGCTACCCAGTTTATGGTTCTTTCATACACCAGGCCTAGGAAGCTCATATGCTTCCATTACAAAGCTAGTGTCAGAGCCCAAAAATAAATCCATGCATTTATGGTCAATCAACTGATTTTCGACAACAGTACAAAGAACACACAATAGGGAAAGGACAGTCTTTTCCGTAAATGGTGCTGGGAAAACTTGATATCCACATGCAGAAGATTGGAATTGGATGCTTATCTCATGCTACATTTTTAAAAAATCAACTCAAAATGGATTAGACTTACAGGTAAGACCTAAACTACTACTAGAAGAAACACTACTAGAAGAAAATGTAGGGAGAAAGCTCCATGGCATTGGTCTGGGCAATGATTATTTGGATATGGCACCAAAAGCACATGCAGTAAAAACAAAAATAGACAAAGAAGATTACATCAAATGAAAAAGTTTCTGCACAGCACTGGAAACAATCAACAGAGTGAAGAGATTTCAACCCACAGACTGGAAGAAAATATTTGCAAACCATATGTCTTAGTCCATTTTCTGTTGCTATAACAGAATACCACAGACTGGGTAATTTATAGAGAAATGGAGTTTGTTTTTAGCTCATGCTTCTGAAGGCTGAGAAGTTCAAGAGCACGGCACTGACATCTGGTGAGGACCTTCTTATTGCCTCATAACATGAACAGAGGGCACCACATGGAAAGTGGGCAAGAACAAAAGAGTCAGAGAGCTTGATTTTACAACAAAGCCACTGCCTTAATAACAACCCCACTCCTGTGATATTAGCATTAATCCATTAACCCATTCATGAGGGCATTAACCCATTCATGAGGGCACAGGAATTGAGTTTCCAATACATGAACTTTTGTAGAACACATTTAAACCATAGCACCATAAATTTAGTAAGTTAATAATATCCAAAATATGTAAGGAACTCAAACAACTCAATAGCAAAAAATAATAATAACCTGATTTTAAAATGGGCAAAGAACCTGATTAACAGGTATGAGCGATATCTCATCAATATGTTAAAATGGCAATTATCAAAATGACAAATAATAACAAGTGCTAATGGGCATGTGGAGAAAAGAGAACCCTTGCCTGCTGTTGGTGAGAATATACATTAGTACAGCTATTATGGAAAACAATATAAAGAGTCCTCAAAAAATTAAAAATAGAACTGCCATATGATACAGCAATCCCACTGTTGAGTACATATTCAAAGGAAAGGAAGTCAGTATATCAAAAAGATGTCTGCAGTCCCATGGTCACTGACTTTTTCACAATAGCCAAGATGTGGAATCAACCTAAATGCCCATCAATGAATGAATGGATAAAGAATATTTGAGATATATATTTTTTCCATTTTATATATATATATATATATATATATATATACACATACATATATATATGGAATATTATTTAGCCTTTAAAAAGAAGGAAATCCTACCATTTGCTGAACATGGATGACATTAAGTTACATGAAATGAGCCAGGCTCAGAAAGACAACTACCACATGATCTCATTTATATGTGGAATCTAAAAGAAGTTTAATTTATAGAAGTGGAGAGTAGAATAGTGGTTAACAGGGGCTGTGTGCAGGGGTAGAAGAAGAGATGTTGGTTAAAGTATACAAAATTTTATTTAGATCAAAGGAGCAAGTTCAATAAATAAATAAAGCTAGTGTCCTTAGTGTCACTAATTTCTTAGCAGTTTTATTTTTTCAGAGATTTATATTATACCATACCATTTTCCTAGAGCAAAATAGTGAGGTGGAGCCAGGGAAAAAAAAATGAAACAGAAATGTCACATCACCTGAAAATCATGTAATATTCACTTAGAAAAATATAAATTTTTATTCAAGTATAATAATAGGAAAGTTAAGATACATTAGTCTTGAAACAAAGCTATCATAAATAAAAATTCAGGCAAATTCAAATTGTAGAATATTATTGCCAAGATATGGTAAATATTTTAAACCCTACAGGTATCACAAGTTCAAATTACCAAGGGAGATTAAAACCTAGATGATCCATAAGAAGAGAGCCTATTTTTTTTCCTCTTATAGAATTACATCAGAGGGTGGAGGTTGGGAGAAGGGAGAGGATCAGGAAAAATAACTAATGGGTACTGGGCTTAATACCTGAGTGATGAAGTAATCTGTACAACAAACCCCCATGACACAAGTTTACTCTATGTAACAAACCTGAATTTGTACCCCAAACTTAAAATACAAGTGTTTTTTAAAAGATATGATAGATTTTTTTTTAATGTAGGAAAGTCTAATTAAGAGGCATTTATACAAAATGTCCTGCAGAGGCTAACAAAACTGCCTGTATGAACTTTATCACATTTAACAAACCATTACCAGTAATTTCACAGAGGAGGGGAATTATCCATTCTTTTCTTTCAAAATAAATTTTACAGGTTAGCATAACCCTCTTCCCTACTTCCTCACAATTTTCATGTTTGTAACAATTATAAGGATATTCAAGGTGTCTGTTTGCATGCCAAATGATAAAAACAAAGCTGGTGTGGGAGCTATCATACAAGGTTTTAATTCAAGCTATCACAAGCCAAGGTCACGCTTGATCTCAGCTCCCAGAGGTGCTAACAGGCAACTTTCAATGGATTCAAATTATGGGCCAGATCATTAAATGAGCTGACTGACTCACTCATTCTTGCTATTAATAAAGAACTCATCTTGGAGATTTTCCGCACGGCTGTATGGATAACCTGAATTTATGTGGACCTCAGCAGTTCAAAGCCTGAATTCATTTTCTTGAAACAAGCAGAATCTGAAGTTTATTAGCATGGAAAAGAGTTCTCTTTTTATTAGATTATTCTGAAGTGCTGTCCATTACATAATATGCCACGCATGTGGAACCTTTAGAATAAAAATTGTGATTGCCACTCAATGAGGGAGTATTTCTAAGATGTGACAGATTTTATAACTGTGAAGAAGGAAATATCTGCCTGTCTGGGTATCTTAGCCTTTCAAACATGCTCTTTAAATTAAAATTATAGCACATAGAAAACTTCATTACCTGTTTCAGCGGTAGATAATTGTTTCTCCTCTTTGAATATGTGCCCTTTTCAGGATAAGTATTCTGGACTATACAGAGCTGAACAAGTGGTAAATGGGTTTTCTCTGCTTTTCTATTGGCTGTCCCCAAGCAATTACCTACACCCTGTTATAAATTAGGATACAAGAAACAGTGACCTACATTTTAATTAAGTCTTAAGTAATTTTTTACTTATGTTTTTAATAAATACAAAAGGGGTTAAGTGATTTAAAGTTTTTTCCTGCCAAATATTACTTAAAAGACACTAAAGTAATCAATGGCAATGAAATACAATCAATCCCATTGAAATGAAATGGCTAGGAAATTTAAAAGAAATGATAAAAGATTGGTTCATTGTCCTTAAAATTATTTAAAAATTGAAAATGATTCAAGGGATCATGGTATTTTCTATATTCTCATTTACTTATTTTTAATCCATTTATCAAGCAACTACTCTTGGGAGTATTAGTCATATCTCACTCAATAGGGATGCAAAGATAGCCTCCATCCTCAAATAATTCACTGTTTAAATAGCGCAAACAAATATCGAGAAATAACTGAGTAATTTTTGGTAAAGGTTGGAAAATGTGCCCTGATGGTATCAAAGAGTGGGTCCCAGAACCTCAATAAAAAGAGAGAAAGAGAAGAAACTCACAGAACAGGACACAGTTGGTTGGCATCTTAAACAATGAATAGAGCTTCAACAAGTGAGCAAAGTAAGGAAGGAAGCTTCATCAACATCTTGGCATACGAAATGGAACTCCCAAGACCTTGACATGCTTGAAGCATAGGTTGTGAGTAGTGTCTTGGGGAAAGGAAGATTAGCAAGAGGGACCAAAAGGGTCAGAGGAAAGAGATGAAGTCATGAAGGAATGAATGCAGAAGAGAGTGGACCTCTCTGTTGTCAATAGGATGCCATTAAGGGATTTTATCAAGGTCTGTCTAATGTGCCTTTTATTATTAAAAGATAATTGTGGAAGTTGCTATAGTTAGTCGGCTGATAGTTCTGCATGTCTTCTTCTGGCCTAAAAATGACCAAAAAAAAAAAAAAAAAAGAAACAAAAAGTTACATTAACAAAATAAATTCCTAAGACTAAGTAAGAATGGCAGAATGGCAAAATAAGTGGCAAAGGTGGACTAGAAATGTAAGAACAAAGATAGAAGGGAAAACATCAAGAGACTATGATTCCAAGGTAGGTGTATTAGTTTGCTAGGGCTGACATAACAAAAGCAACGTGCCACAGGCTGGGTGGCTTAAAAAACTGAAGTTTATTTTCTCACAGTTCTAGAGGCTGTGAGTCTAAGATCAAGGTGTCAGCAGGTTTGGTTTCTCCTGAGGCCTCTCTCTGGTTTATATATGGCTATTTTCTTGCCGTGACTCCATGGTCTTAGTCAATACAGGCTAGTATGCCAAAATATCATAAACTGGGCGGCTTAAAAACAACAAATATTTATTTTTGTTACAGTTCTGCTGACTGGAAGCCCCAAATCAGGGTGCCGGCAGGATCAGGTTCTGATGAGGACCCTCTTCTGGGTTGCAGAACGCCAGCTTCTTGTTGAATTGCCACATGGCAGAAAGTGGAGAAGGAAAGCAAGCATTCTCGTGACTCATGAGGGCACTAACGCCACTTATGAGGGCTCCTTTTAAATGAACTTACCTAATCCTAATTATATCCCAGAGGTCTACCTTCTAATACTATCACAATGTAGGTAGGGGCCCGACATATCAATTTTGGGGGAAAACACACATCCAGTCTATAACACTGCTTTTTCTCTGTGTGCACACCCCTGGTGTGCCTTCCGCTCCTTATAAAGACACTAGTCATTTTGGATTCGGGCCACACCCTTATGACCTCATTTAAACTTAATCATTTCTTTACAGTCCTATCTCTAAATACAGCCACATTCTTAGGTACCGGGTATAGAACTTTAATATATGAATTTAGAGAACACAATTTAGTCCTTAACAGTAGGGTAGAGCAAGGGCCTCTACAGCCAGAATCAATGGGTATAGTTATAGGGTTAAAGTTTGTCTGAAGGCATATCATTCCTTTCCTGTCTGCAATCAGTGTATACAGTATGTACAATGAGCTATTAAGCAGCTGCAAATAAGCTAACAAAGGAGTACATATGCTAAGATCATGGCTAAGGCCATGATAATACAGGGCTATGACCTCCAGGAGGAATAGGGAAGCCCCAGTCTCAAAAGGCAAGCTTGTGATAATCAGGCAAATAGCAGAATATACATAGCAAAAGACTGTGTTAATGCACAAAAGTATTAAGGCAATAAATTCTTTCAGAAGTCTTTGCAAACAGACATAGGGATGGAATGTATGACTGGATGGTTACATGTCATGGAAGGCATATCAAGAAAGTTCAACATCTATCTAATAGGAGTTTTAGAACTGGGCTGCAAGACAGAGCAAAACTCCATCAAGAAAAGAAAGAGAGAGAAAGAGAGAGAGAGAGAAAGGAAGAAAGAGAAAGAAAAGAAAGGCAAGGCAAGGAAAGCAAGAAAGCAAGCAAGCAAGCAAGCAAGAAAGAAAGAAAGAAAGAAAGAGAAAAATTATAGCAAGGACACTGCCAGAGCAAGAATTTTTTTTAAGTCCCAGAAATGAAGACAAATGGAAGAATTCAGTTTAAAGGGGCCTTGTGAGTTCTGAAGAGAATGCAAATAAACAGATTCACGTGCAGACACATTGTGGTGACGTTTCAGAACTCCGAGAATAAACACACATTTCTTAAAATCATCTAGACACATGTTTCTTAAAATCTTTTAGAGAAACAGAAAGGACTAATCACATTACATTAGATTTAAGGATGCCAGATATAATACAGGATGTTCAGTTAATATATAAGTTCCAGATAAACACCAGATCACGTTGTAGTGTAAGTATTCCCAAATTGCATACTGCATGGGAAATATTTACAATTTTAAAAGTACTATATTCATTGTATCTCTGAAACTCAAATTTAACTTGGTGTCCTGTATAAATATTTGCTAAATCTGGCAACCTTAATTACATTCTTCATCCACAAGATAACACTGAATTGATATTGTCAGTCTTCTAAATATAGGATGTATGTCCAGCCAAATGATTATTCAGAAAAGTTAACCCTACAAAAATTCTCAAAAAAATTACTAAAGGATATATGTAGCACTTTCCTTTCCATTGGCCTGGAATGCTCTCCCCAGACACCTGAACTCTTTCACCTCCTTCAGCACTTTCATTATAGATCATCTTCTCGTGGTCTTTCTATCCACTTTAAGTAAAATTACAATGCCCATTGGTACTTCCTATCTTTCCCTTTTTCAAATTTAAATCTTTCCATATCACTGATCAGCAGCAAGCATAGTGTGTGGTATAAAATCTAAGCCCCATGAGGGATGGCATATAGTAAGCACTGGATAAATATTTGTTCAATTAAATCAATTAATCAATTAGATCAATAGAATTCAATAAACCTAAACCACTAAATCAGCGGATAGTAGTTATGGTGGTTAAAGGGGTGGGGGTGGTAAGAGAAAAAGCAGAGTCAAAAATAACTGGCTAGATAACTAGTTATATTGAGGAGACTGAGGTACTGAATGAATGATAATAAATCCAGTCTTCGGGTCAAGATGCCCCATATATAGATGGAGATGTAAGTTGAAGATGCAGTCTTCCATTTTCCATTTGAATGAAAATGTGCTATGCTGGAAATTTGCATTTGGGTGTTAAATATAGGTGACAGATAAACATGTAGATGAGCTAAGATTGTCCATTGAGTGTTTGTAGAATGAAAAGAAAGCTAAGGATAGAAACTCTGGAGCCAACAGTCTTTCTGGTGGAGATAATTAAGGACTATCAAGAATGCTCAGAGGCAGAAGGACAATGAAAGACAGTGGAGTTATGGTAGACATCAGGGTGAAAACTCAAAAGCCTCCACTTTCACTCATTCTCTTGGAATCCTGCCACCAGGCCCACGAATGACTGCTGAGACATCAATAAGCATAGCTGAGACTAGAAGAGTCATGCAGATATTCCATAGATGTCTGAATAATAATAAATGCTTAGTAAGTCACTGAATTATGAGGTGGTTTATTACACAGCAATAACTGATATAAACAGTTAAAATAGGGCTAGTCACTGAAAAAAAAAAATGCACTGGGCTAATGGAATGCAGTTTAAGGAAATAAAGATAGCAACTATGAAATACTCTTAGTGGCCAGACACGGTGGCTCATGCTTGTACTCCCAACACTGTGGGAGGCTGAGGGAGCAGGATCCCTGAAGCCCAGGAGTTTGAGGCTACAGTGAGCTATGATCATGTCACTGCATTCCAGCCAAGGTGATAAAGTGAGACCCTGTCTCAAAAAAAAAAAAAAAAACTTTTTAAATCAAAAATAAAATACTCTTAGAAAGCTGTGTGAAGGAAAAAAGAAAGCTAAAGTCAAAGGAAGGATCCATATTTAATTTATGAGCCTTAATCAGTGTTTATTCACAGGCTGTGAGAAAGGAACTGATGGAGAATAAAATGCTCTGCATAAAGGGGAAGGCTAGAGAGATGATGATGAAGAAAATGCCCGGGAGGAAATGGAAAGAATGAAATCTAGAACACAAGTCAATCAATTAACTGTAGAAAGCAGAAGGGACTCCTTTTGCAGCAATAGAGGAATGAGGATAAGGGCTTTAAGTGGCAGGACATTACATGCAAACAAGTTTGTGGATGCATGGGGAAAGCTGAGGGAGGTCATAGTGGATAGCCTTTATTTTCTCTGTTGAAAAGGAGCTAAGAGGCAAGATCACCTTCTGCAAGAAAGTACAGTAATGGCCTGGAGGGCTTACCACTGCATTTCTCAACTTTGGCACTACTGACATTTGGACCAGATAATTCTTTGTTGTGAGGGCGTGTACTAAACATTGTAGAATCTTTAGCAGCATCCTCGGCCTCTAAACACTTCATGCCAGTAGCAGCCTTCCCAGTTGTGACAACAAAATATATCTGCAGGCATTGGCAATTGTCCTAACTCATTAAACACCTCTCTGCAACCCCAGTTGAGAACCACTGGCTTCATGGAATGGGAGAGTGAGATAACCTAGGAAAAACTTGCAAATGTCTGGGGAGTCACAATCATTTCCTAATTGATCAACTTAAAATAGATTAAGAATATATTCTGCAACATTTTCAAAAATAGATTAAGAATATGTTCTGCAACATTTTCAAAAATGCATACCTGATGTCACTTGAAAAATCTCCAGCTTTAGTATGGTTTCCATGGTCAACAAAGATGTTCTTGCTAAATTTTCTCTTCTATGCTCAAGAGCTGAACCATGGGTTTTCTAAAGAGAGAAGCCTATAGCAAATACTTAGAATAAAATTAAATGTTCTCCAAAAATAGAATGCAATTTTCCCCGTTTAACCATCTTCCATTTTACCTGTCAGTTCCCAAACTCTTTGTTCTTTATGTGCAATAATGAATCAAGCTTTTGTATCCTAGACTTTTTATTAAGACTCCTTTTAGCTCAACTCCAAGAAAGTCCCTCCAGAGCAGTACAATCCGGTGTGATTTGTAAGAGGTATAACTGGCTTCTGGAGCCTTTTCCAACAGATTGCATGCAAGGTGACAGGTCTGAATATTAAACAAGTGAAGGGGAGATGATACCCACACACATCATTGTAAATTGTGCCTTCATTCATAAAACCATTTAACTTAGCTCTAATTACTCTGCTACCCATTCATGCAAGTGAGGCATCCAGGAAACAAACTTGATTGGTGAACAAACGCAAATTAAATGACAGGGACAGAGGTAGGCATATGAAAACTGAGAAGAGGCATTCAGTATGCAAATTCCCAAGTCTGTATATACATCCATGTACAGCTTCTGCCTTAGAATCAATTGTAGAGCAATAAAAGCTACTGCTTTTCTCCTCCATTCTGATTTTGAAAGCCTGGATGGCAGAAGAATGGGAGTTGGTTCCCAGCAGAATTACAGAGCTTACTCATATAACTGTCAGACTCTCTTAAAGGAAGGCAAACTTAGCTGCACTATCTGTGCTGGGAGAAGTCTTTTCTTTGTTGGTAATCTACTCACAGAATTAGCGTTTAACAAATATGTTAATTAAAGCTCTAGACTACATGTTATGTTTGTCATGCGTCTTGTGACAAGTTCTATTGTGTTTTGTGTTAATATTATTCTTCAGCAGATAACATTGTTCCTCATTCAGTCAAATCAAAATGTTAAAACTAGGCACAGTATCTAAGTAGAAAAAAACAGGGCTTTTTTCCTGCTCACTATGTTTGATTCTGATGGGGACAACTACTAAAAAAGTAAAAATTTTCATTTTATCTAAACCAAGTATGAAATCTCATTGAGTATTTTTTACTGACAGAAAAGATGAAAGAAACAAAAGAAAGAAGAAAAGGAAAAAAGAGGGGAAAATACGTACTGATTTCATTATTCTGGGGGGGAGGAAAAAAAAACAGCTGGTAACTACCTTCACAGCTTGCAGTAACATCCTGAATTGAGATTCTAGTCAAGGGGCAATTTCCATTTGTTATGTATATGTATGCATTTTTCATCTAACGTGACACAGGCTCATACAACATGAGATTAAGATAAATCGAGGTCTTTCTCTTTCCTTCTTAATTTACTTTCTTATTCTATGTTCAAGGAACCTGCTTAAATATGAGAGATTTGACCTAAATTCCATTTTATCAAGAAGGTTGCCTGAAGTTTACAATGTGAAAACAAGAGTGAGGGGGACATGCATTTGATTTCCCAAAGTTCAAATCTGGGAAATATTAGCATAAGCACTTTGATGATCGTGACAGTAAGTCTAGAGAATTAATCTCTAAAGCAATCAGAATTCAGATCTTCTACAGCTTTATAGATCAGAATGACCTATTTTAATTAACTATTCCAGATACAAAGAGACAGCTGCTCTACATAGAAGATTGGAGCTGTTATCTACTTTCAGGATGACGTTACCTTGAGTAAATTGCTCTCAAAACCTGACTTCATATGTGATTTTTTGAGTGATCTTTAAACTGGAAAAAAGCTATGTGGCCCTGCTGTCAGGCAGCACAGCAACATGAATGAGAGTCACGCCACCTGGGTTTGCATTCTGGCTGCATTGTTTATTAGCTGTTTGATATCGGGGAAGTGATTTAACCTCTTTGTGACTCCATTTTGTCATCTATAAAACGTTGGCAACCTTATTACATTAATAAATAACTCAATCAGGCCTATTATTACTTGTATAGCTATTATGATTATCATGTATCTATGATTATTTATAAGACAGCATAAAGCCTTATAGATACATTTCATAAATTGTAATTCATAAAGCAGTTATTATCCACTGTGTTACATATTGCTTATCTGCTTCATTCTAACCTTTAAATAAGTATATTCATGTATATAAAAACTGAATGAAATAATTAAAATAAGTAATTGTTAATACTTACTGATCACTTACCATGAGACATGGTTCAAAATGCTTTTTTAGATGTTATCTTATATAATGTCCACAATAAACCAATGGGGTTGGTGCTCTAATTATATTTCCATTTTACAGATAAAAAAACTGAGGCATAAAGAATTTGCCTAAGCATGGGCACATTGGCTCACACCTGTAATCCCAGCACCTTGGGAGGCCAAGGCAGGACAATCTCTTGAGCCCAGGAGTTCAAGACCAGCCTAGGCGACAAAGTGAGACCCCATTTCTACAAAAAAATAGAAAAAATTAGCCAGGCACAGTCATATGCACCTATAGTCCCACCTACTCAGGAGGCTGAGGTGGGAGGATCACTTGAGCCTAGGAGGCTGGCGCTGCAGTGAGCTGTGATCACACCACTCTATTCTAGCCTGGGTGACAGAGCAAGACTCTGTCTCAGGAAAAAAAAAAAAAAAAAAAAAAAAGGACTTGCCTAAAGTCAGAGAAGCATTAAGTGGCAAAGTGGGGATACCAGGTCAGGACATCTGGTACCCACTGTCATGCCCTTAATCAGTATCTTGAAACCCATTTCCCAGATTAAGAAATATTAGCTGCTGTTGTTATTTATTAGACATGTATATTTTAATCTACTGGTTTGGTATGTGGTGGAGATGTAAATAATTATTGAGAATTGGATGAATAAATAAATTAATGAATTAATGATAATATGTAAGAATTGAATCAAATAAGAAAGTAGCTTTAGCTTCTTTGAATCTGAGGAGGGCTGGATAAAGAATCATTTTTACGAATATTCAAACCATTAGTTTTTATTTGCCCCAAAAGTCAAATCTTTAATATAGTTAATAATGGTGTATTTTTCTTTTATGGGAGCACTATTTTGCATATTAATTAACTTCCATTGTTGCAAGCTGTAAGCCACCACTGGAAAATTTTTTTTTCCAAACAGCCAGCACCAGAAACAGTTAGAAAGAATTTACTAAGTCAATGGACAAATATTTCTACATGGGAGTTGACATTTAATAACTTCCCTGAGTCATTTTAAAAAGAAATATTAGAAACTAAAATCATTATCAAGTCAAAAAACATGGCAAAAAAAATATGAATGTCTAAGAATGTCATTTTATCCAGCAGTTTCAGCCATCATTAGCCAAACTGTCTTCAATACTTTCAGAAGCTAAACCATGTCTAATGATATCCTCACTAATAGCAGAAAGACATTTGAGTAAATTCATTTTTTAAAGGATCATTGAGTGCCTTAGCTAGTTAAACCGGAAGCCCACAGTAATCAGAAAGAGGCATTGCTCGCCTTCTCCTATGGTTTCTTCATTAGCAGTGGTAATAACGACAATAGGTAGTTCATAACTAGTACATTGTTAAGATGAACACCGGGGTGTCCTTATACACTCTATTTAATTTTGGCTTCCAGATTGGTCGGTTTATTTCACGAGCCAATTGCCTCCCTGCCATACCCAGCTCTCCAGAGTTTGCCTAACTTAAGAAAATCAAGCTGTTTTCTTTCTGCTTCATGCATCATTGCTAACAACAGCCAAATAGTTGAACACAGAATTCAGTCTTCCACACTTGGGCTATGTAAGCATCTGAAAATTTACAACTGTATTTTTAAAGTCAGGATCCAGTCTCTTCTATCTCATGTCATTGTATTTGCATTTTAATATGTGCATTAGACTCTGTTGCTTTGTTACTAAATAATTGTTCTCATGTCTTTGTGAAACATTTGGTCAGCTCTAAATATGGTGGTTTTTCTTCAGTACCTCCCAATGTGTTTTACATGTTCTCTACTCTCCCCCCACACACCATCACACATAGCACCTACATTGCTGCTTCATATACAGTAGGCATCTAATAAATGCTTATTAATTAACAGCAACTAAACAACATGATGTATAGCGCAAACTATTTAGTAAACACGTGGATGCTGACAAACCAAGCTAACTCTTATTTTTAATGTTCAAATGTGCCACTCCCAAACAATGGCACCACATATTTCTATTCATACAGCTCTTGAGGAGTGCAAATTAGTTCAGGTTTCCATTGATCTCTTTTCCAAACTAGACATAACAGATTACAGTATGCAATTTCTCCAGTAATTCCTTCCTCATGACAATTTTTCATATCTCCCTGAATCTATACACCTTCTATGTATATCCTTCTAAGTAGAATTGCTATAAAAAATGAAATGGAAAGAAGAGGTAAATCTTTCAAATAATTATAGAATAAAATAGAATATTGTTTTCATGCTTGAATGGTCCAAATTAGTTGCACACATTGATTTATTGTATTGATCATCAATATAAACTCTATTTTAATTCTGCCCAGGGAATAAATACTGGATAATAAAGCAGTCTACTCCCTGCCTTACTGCAATTGATATCAAAATTTCGGAATAAATCTTCTGCTTAAAACTTTCAAATGATTATGGAAACGATTCTTTAAAGTTGGAGGGAAGTCAAAATCCCTGGCCAGAGAATCCAGTGATTTGTCAATATGCTGCTATTAAAATGAATAGAAATAAATGTTATTTCGGTATTTGTTTCTATAAAGAAATTTTTATAATGCTATTCTTTTTTCTTAGAATATAAAATGATTTCAAACTTTACAAAGGAGACTATGGAAGACATAGACTCTTCTGTTTTTTCTTTTTTTAGCAATTTAATTTCCTCCTGTCCTGATTCTATTAGAGTAACATAAATTATAACAAAAATTTAATAAAGTGGACAGTTAAGTGGATTTAATCTATTCTCTTCAGAATAAATAAGATTAACCAGATAAGATGCAGATTTAAAAAATATTTTAACTGATAAGGTAAATCAGAACTCAAAAACATCCCTGAAACTACATAGTCAGATAATCAAGGAAAATAAAGGGTAACAACATCATTGTGATTTCTTTCCTCGAAAAATAATTAACCTTTGGAAAGGCTTTCCATCAATGCCGTCTTTGTCAGTTAACAGAGTCAGACACATTCCTGAAAAGCAAATAACAGGAAGCAAGTCTTGGTTGTATTCAGTCTCTAGGGAAGAAAGACTTCCCAAGTTTTTCTTCCCATTTTTAAAATCCATGATTTTTCTTTCGGGTTATTATTTCTTATCATTATACAGATTAACGCAACACATTAAAATCATCAAAATAAATATATAGCACCTGGAGAATTTATAGCAGGGCTAAAATGCAGTAACCATAAGAGTTCTCTATTACACAGCTGGCTAGGAACAGATTTGAAGTCCGATGAACGTGGGAAGAAAAAAAACAACTTTATGGTTCTTGACAGGCTTTTCAAGTCCTTTGTGGACCTAGTCTAACAGAGATTAAAACTGATTTTTCTCTGATTGTTAAATCAGCAGATTAGCCTATTTCTGAAAAAGAACAAATGTCCAATAGATGGTTGATGAATAAAATATTAAAATATAATTTAATAGAATCAAATAGAATTAAAATTCACCTCTCTGGGACGAAACTGACATCAATTAATTATCCCAAAGTACCTATTTTTTTCGTATTTAAGAAAAAAATTACTTTTCAATAACTGATTTGCTGATCATTTTGTTCACTGTGTGGTTAAAATTAACTTGGGAGTCAAATTAAAATATCATCATTCTTTAGAAATAACCCTGAACCAATTTCAACGTTATTGTTTATAAGTCAATATTATCATCTATGTTTGTGTATCTCTCTTATGGAAAGGAAAGTGATAATCCCACTATTGCCAAAATGTATTTGGCCTCAGACTCCCAAATACACCACTTCAGATATGAAGAGAGCAAGTGGGAAGACGTGGGGACTGTAGGAGTGACAGTTTCAATAGGAGGGGTTTCTAGATATGGTACTTACATACAAGATCAAAACAACTCTGAAAGTTCTTGGTAACCAAGGAACCTACTTGCTAAGAGATCAGAGCTTGGGTGACAGGAATGTTAAAATTGGGGGACCAGGTGTGGTGGCTTATGCCTCTAATCCCAGCACTTCAGGAAGCTGAGGCTGGCAGGCAGCTTGAGCTCAGGAGTTCCAGACCAGCCTTGGCAACATGGTAAAACCCATGTCTCTACCAAAAATACAAAAAAAAATAGCCAAGTGTGGTGGCACACACCTGTGGTCCCAGCTATTCAGGAGGATGAGGTGGGAGGATCACTCGAGCCCAGGTAGTCAAGGCTGCAGTGAGCCAATATCATGCCACTACACTCTAGCCTGGGTGACAGAGTAAGATCTTGTCTCAAGAAACAACCAACAACAACAACAACAAAATCTTTGGAGTAATTCACTGAGTAATATTCTGAGTGTTGTTTTCCCTTAAAATTAGTCAACTTCGTTATCGTGAAGCAAAAGTAAAAATACAGCTGAATAATTCCATTTCAAGTGAATTATCAAATGCTTCATGGGAAAAGAACATAGATGGGAGATTTCTTTAGTGTTAAACATTTAAATTTTCATGAAGGATATTTATTCACCTTGAATAAAAAATAATGAAAACAGTTACAAAGCACAAGTCATTGAGTATGCCTTTTTAATGCTAAAGAAATTAAGAAAATCAATATTCATTAATTTAATATCAAATTGCATATATATGTACTTATTCTTTTATTGGTTGGTCATATGCAAAGTAAAAGAATCTCACTTATCCCTAGTTAATTCTCCATGTTCTCATTTCATGTTATCTCATAATGACTGATATAAACTTGATGAGCAGGAAAGCTCCTACGTCATCTACACGTAGACTATTCTATAACATCTATGTGTTTTTCCAAACAATTCCTACAATGAATCCTTTTTTATTAGCATTTGAATTTCCTAATATATAGCATTTATAGTGAACCAATTTCAGGAAAATGAAAAAATAGTAATTAACTCCTTTGGATTTATTGCCTTCCAAAGAATGCAATTTTTATTGCTTGTAACACAAAGGATAAATGCTTGAGAGGGTGGATATGGCATTCCACATGATGTGATTATTAAGCATTGAATGCCTATAACAAATCATCTCATGTACCCCATAAATACATACACCTATCTACCCACAAAAATTAAACATTGAAAAAGAATGCAATGTTTAATAGAAATTTTTCTTCATTGTAACACCTCAAAATTGAACAAGAAGTATCATATCCCTATTCTCATTCCTGATTTACAGACAAGGAAAAGATCTAAGCCTAAAAAAAAGTTCCCCCAAAGTAGATATTGTCATTGACTTAAGACTCCTGTCATTACACAATAGCTTTTTTTTCTTTAATACAGTGCTGCTACGTATGTCAAAACTAACTGCAAAACCCAGGACGCACATGTCCAGATTGGAGTCTGAAGTCCTGGACAATTGTAACTGTAACTTTCCTCATTCTTGCTGTTATCTGAAGTCAATATGTACAATCCCTCTGTAGACATAAAAATATTTCAAGCCTCCTTTCTATATTACTTTAAGCAGAAACACACACAAGAATGTCACACTAGCACCCTGCCTCCTTCCCACTCCACATACCCCAAACCCCACAGTCACAGAAGGATATGGTAGTCTTGCCAGATGAAAGCAACAGGATGTCTTTGACAGTGAAAGGGAGTTCTTTCTCCAATTGTTTTTAGTCAGTATCCCCCTAGAGATATTTTTTAAAAGATAGATAATAGATTATATGCACACAAATACGTATGCGTATATAAATTGAAACATATGTGTATATATTATGCAGAAGAGCAGAACGCATGATATTATTTTCAAGTAATACTTGAAAATGGTCTTGTCAGTTGGAAAAGATAGACATTTCAGCAGGAGGACAATACAGGCTTGGGATTTGTTCGAGTCTTCTCCTGACAGTGGGCAGACAGAAGGGTTAAAGAGCATGCAATTTGCTTTACCACTCCAGTTCTGTAGGAAAGCAGTGAATGCTGAGACCCATATATTTTCCTTTTTGATGGACATCGATGGTCCTCCTTCTTCCCGAGGCATGCTAGGCTGATGCTCACAGTGTTTTATGCACACCATTCCATAGCAATTCTGCCTAGCGTATGAATCTGTTAGGTAACAATGACTCTCAGATTCACAACAAAAGCCTTGGCTTCAAAGACTCCTCAGCAGCATTTTCCTCCAGAAGAAAATCATTTGCAATTTTTCTTCTTTGTATACGGATACTTTAATAGGCTGCTGAAGTTTTGAAGGAATTCCAATTTATGCAAAATGAAGAAAGGGAGGAAAAAATAACAATGATAATGATACTAATATAAACTCATACTTCAAAAGGCCTGCAGTGGTATTGTGTTTATTGCAGCACTAGACACCTTATCAGTTATTCCCCTAAAGGTGTTTAAAATGGGCTTGGGAGGTTTGAACCAAACTCTGTTAGCAGTTAATCAGCCAGTTTAGAATATATTGGCATATCTTTCTAGAGAGAAAGAAAGGAAGAAAATGAAAGCAAAGATTTTTTTTTTTTTTTTTTGTGATAGCAGTTTTACTAACCCTGTGGAAAGAGATTTATTTTTAGACAAATGTAGGGTCTGACCTTTCATGTTTCAAGACAACCTGGCATAGTGCGGGCTTTCCTGTTATCTTTTGCTTCTGCTTGTCCCCTAGAGGCAAGTCCCTCCTATCAAGAGCCAGATTAAGGGAAATTTTGGAAGAAAGAGACAGGCAGGAATAAACTGGAACTAAAGCCCTTAATATCCATGAAGTGATTAAAATGCAGCCATGCCCAGCAAGACCACACTGCTGTTATCAAACAGACATTGACAACTTCGTTGAACTCAAGTCAATGGTATAAGGGGGAACATAAAAACTTTTAAGTTTGGGGTGTCTCCAGGAAATACACTCAGATTTCTCAACACACACTGGCAGCGTTCACACATTACCCATCGCTGACGGCGATCTCACACTTCGCTTGTCCTCTGCCAAATGGACTCTAGGGCCTCATCCAGGAAAGCAGCATGCTGCCCAGGTGTATGGGATGACTGGCTAGTTTATCGATTTGTGATGCTTCAAAAGTTGGCAAATCAAAAAAAAAAAAAAAAAAAAAACATCCTGTACTGCAGATTACACACATTTTAATCCACTGCTGTTACTGATCAAAAACAGTTTCACCGACTACATTGTTTTTGGAATCTAGTTTTCAAAGAAACTAGTAGAGAGGGGATTCTTTTTCCATTTTGACTTTGGCCATGACACTGAAGAAATACCTGACCTAAATGCTTTTCTGTTTTTTTTTTTTTTTCGTGGGGAAGGGGGCAGAAGGTCAGGAGAGGAACATCCATGCAAAATAAAAATAGCACCTCACTCTCATATTTACTTAAAAAGAAAAAAAGTAAGGAAAAAAAGGCACCAACATCTTATTCTATTTGGTTTTCTTTTTGCTAAATTGCTAAGTGAGCAACCAACACCCTCAAAATAGAACTAATAACTGCAATCAAATACAAGAATATTTATATTTTAGAAGATTTACATTTAAGCTCCATATCTGTGTTAGCCAAGATTCTTTTCACTTCCTCCTATGAAAACCACCCTCACTAAACCATCAAAAGTCTCAGTGGCTTATTCATCTGTTAAAGCATCCGTGCAATGCTTGACAAGCCATCCTGGGGCCATGGAGAAGCAAGAATGGGGACAGTACAAAGGATGCTGTACCTTTGGAAGATCTAGTGTGAAGAGCCCTAGACTGCCATGTGCTGTCACTAGGACAAAATCCAAAAGGTGCAAGCAGGTATCACTTACTATTGCAATTTAGTATTAATGAAAGCATTTGAAAATCTGTGTATGAGAAAGTGTATTTGCTATCTCACATGGCAGGGGCTTGGCATCATGAAGAATCTTGGCTCATTGCTGATTGGCAGAGTCTGTAACATCTGAAACTAGTGAAGAGAGAACGGATTGGCGGTCCTCAGATGACATTCATCATCACCAGTGCACTTGAGGGTGGTGCTTCTGACCGTAACATTTCCAGCCTCCATGATTTTCAACTGTCAGTATAATAACTCGAAATCCAGCCATACAATATTATCCTTTGTGTGCAAACGTCTTAAAAAGTGGACAAAAGTTATTCAAAGAGTTGAACTAAAACGTTCTCATTTTTCATTATCATATCAGGCAAAAAATGAAGGACTCTTTTAATGTTTTTGTTATTTACATCTATTTTAAAACAAATAGATATAATTCCCATAGGTCAATAGTTCAATTGCCACCATTCTTCCAAGTACCCTGTGGGAGGATTAGTTAAGAATGCTTATGTAATATAGTTCTAGAACTGAATTAAGAAAGATAATGAGCTGATACATAGTGCACTTTATGTATAATAACTGAATCTGCAGAGTCTTTGAGATATGGTAATATAGCATATTTTCTGATTATAAAGTATTCTACTTAAAAAAATTACATAGCTCAGATTTCTGTCTTATATTATCCCCATTTTACAAAAAGGAACCCCAGAATCTAAACCAAAAACATTCTTCTTGGCCAAAAACCATTCAGACAACTGTCAAAATATATGCAAAAAGGTCAATAAAATGCTTTTATCTTTTAAATCAGAACAGCCATAAAATGGGATAAATTTTTCAATGTGTTCATTATTTATATCATCTCCATTTCAAAACACATATGCTCTTCATTTTTTCTCTGGCTTCCGCTTTGCTATTTTCACTCTGTTGAAGGTTGAGAAATCAGAAAAACTAGCTTAATTCATAAATAGGGATAAGAAAGCCCTAATTAAAATCTTGAGGACTGGCTGGGCATGGTGGCTCATGCCTGTAATCCCAGCGCTTTGGGAGGCCAAAGACAGGCAGATCACCTGAGGTCAGGAGTTCGAGACCAGCCTCCAACATGGTAAAACCCGTCTCTACTAAAAATACAAAATTAGCCGGGTGTGGTGACTTGTGCCTGTAATCTCAGCTATTTGGGAGGGTGAGACAGGCAAATTAATTGAACCCAGGAGGCAGGGGTTGCAGTGAGCTGAGATCTCGCCATTGCACTCCAGCCTGGGCAACAAGAGTGAAACGCCTCCCTCTCAAAAGAAAAAAAAAAAAAAATCCTGAGGGTCTAGTTAGGAGAATGTTCACCAAATACCAACCCACAGATTTTTCTGGGATATACATCATAAGCAACTACTACAACTCAGAGAGCTCTTCTAATTTCAAGCTGTCACTGAAATTTCAAATGGTTAAAATTGCCAGATAAGGGATGCCACAATGAGTAAACAGTGGTATGTGTATTCTTTTTCAACAGGTATATTTCTTCATTTTAAATTGGCACTTGGCATAAGCGCTTCTTAAGCTAAGCAGCATTCTTAAAGAAAAAAGAAAAAGGTCAGTGCTAACCCAACATGATTAAAAAGAAATACTCCATAATGAGAGGTTATATCAGTACTTTACAAAGCATTAGAAACTTAATTTAAGATATTAAAATAGTCTGGACATCATTCTGTTGAAAAAGTACAGAGAAGTATTTCTAAAAATAATATAGGTTCTTGGCAATATGAACTCTGAGGAGAGATTAAGTGAATAGATAATGTTTAGCTCCTCAAAATTCACTTACGTAGGTGGAGAAGAACAATTTAGTATAATATAAATAATCTACCTGAAAGGGAAATGCACAAGGGAAAAGAATTGGAGATGCTACTAGTCAGAAAGACAGCCAAAAATAATAAGCTTAATATCTTTTTTTTTTTTTTTTTGGAGACAGAGTCCACTCTGCTGCCCAGGCTGGAGTGCAGTGGCAGAATCACACCTTCTGCAACCTCTACCTCCAGTGCTCGAGCAATCCTCCCACCTCAGCCTCCCAGGTGGCTGGGTCTACAGGCATGTGCCACCACGCCTGTCTAATTTTAAAATTTTTTGTAGAGACAGGGTTTTGCCATGTTGCCCAGCTGGTCTCGAACTCCTGGTCTCAAGCAATCCACCTGCCTCAGCCTCCCAAAGTGCCACTGCACGGGCCAAACTTCACCACTTTAACAGTAAGTGTCAGATAAAGCAATATTCTTAGGCAGTAAATACAAGAAAGTAATGTAACCGTATACTTACTATAATAAAATCACTCTTTCTTCCCCCTCCAGCAATAATCTAAAAGAAAGTTTATCTTGTCCTCCATCAAGATCAATTAAATACCCACTCACTGGTTCAGAGGATGGTCCTAGGAACCCAGATATCTGGTGTGTATTTAATACACAATCATTAGAAATTTTCCCTCTTCTAAATTAAAATAATCCACATGTATTTTTGACTGTTTTAGAATGAAAGAAGCAACAGAATAAAGAAAAGAAAAATGAAAAGTAGACCTGTCAGCCTAATTACCAACTGAGTGTATTTACTAAATCCTCATCACGCATCCTTCCTGAAGATAAAATTAATTAAAATTATTTTAAAAATTCTGGCCCTGATGAGTCTACAACAACATAAAGGCCAACATTTTTGAAACACAGAAAGTTCAGTTATCTATACACCGAAGTTATATGAAAAATAGAAGAAATATTTGCAACGCGTTCAGTAAAGACTTCAAAAAGAAAAGAATTTTAAAAATTATAATTCAATCTTAGTATTTCCCAAAAGGCATGTTACCTGTAAAAGCCCACATGGGGTAAGCCACATAGAGCCTTTCCAAATATTATGGTTATTGGAGATCACTTGAGCTCAGTACAGTAAATAAATCACAGCTCATGGTGGTAACCATCCAAGTGTCTTCTTCTGACTCCTAGAACCATCACTGCAAAGCTTCAATTTACTTAATATTAGTGAGAGAAATCATATAATATGTATCTTGATCATGCATAACACTATGTTTAATAATTGTTAGATACCTAGAAACAAAATATATTCCCCATTCTCAAAAGGCTCCAGTGTAATCAGCAAGGAGAAAAATGATAAGAATTAGGGAGAAAAACAATGCTTCTTAAATAATTTAGTACAATAAGAAAATTGCCATCATGATTAATAAATATTCACTTAAAAGCACCTACTTCTCCTTCAGAGTTCAGCTCAAATGTTATTTCTTCCAGGAAATCATTATTCAATACTCCTCTTCCTTGACTTAACAGAAATTAAGTCAGGGACCTTTAATATATGTTCTTATTACCCATTCTATTTAATAACAAAGTATTTGTACTTATCATGCTCCGGGTTTTTTTGTTGTTGTTGTTCACACTGTTTACTCTTTGAAATCAGGCGTTATGTCATTTTTGTAGATAAATTTCTAACAAGAGAAAGCTACGTCTTTAGGTCTGACAAGTAGGAAATGTCTAATAAATATTCATTTAATTAATCAATAACACCTAGTATCTGCTTAATAAATATTTCTAAATTTTGTTGAATTGCCAAGTGCACAGAGAAGTATTTCAATTTCAAAAAATAGAACAATTTCAAAGGAATGTGGGGAACTAATCACTTTAAATTTTAGCCATATCACTTTCATTTCTTATTTTGAGACAAGGTCTCACTCCATCACCCAGGTTCATGTGCAGAGGTGCAATTATGACTCACTGCAGCCTCCATCCCCTATGCTCAAGCAATCCTCCCGCTTCAGCCTCCCAAAGTGCTGGGATTACAGGCATGAGCTATGCCATACTATTCAACAGAGTTTACTCCAATGATATTTCAATCTGTCCAATCTCAAATTCATAGACAGAAAGGATAAAATTTTTCACCACCTCAATAATCCAAAGATAGTAATTTAACTTCTCAATTCAAAAATCATACATTTATAGATACCAACTTTAGGATCAGAAAGCTCATCATTGCATATAGGAGTTCTGTGACTTAAAATGTCATGTGTATACCATATAAAAGACACATGACAATTATTTTTTCAGAAATCTTTAATGAAGGCAATAATTTCTAATCTATTTTCTAATGCAGAGGTCCCAAAATGACCTATTTTGAAATGCTACCTAGACCTATATCAACTACTAAAGCTCAGCAATTGAAATGCTTAAATGCTGCAGACATCAAATACAATAAATGTTATTCATTCACTTATTCATACAATCAATCAACACATGCATTTTGAGCACTTCCTGTGTTCCCAGACATGGGCTAAACATTGCAAACACAAAGGCAATTAAAAAATAGAAAAAGATATGGCCTAGCCCCCGCCAAGCTCGCCATCTAGCCAGTGGAAAGGAATGGATACTAACCACACATTCGCAAACATGATTGTAAAACTGTAGCATCGTGCCAATGATACAAAGAAGATGTACTAAAGAGCTGAGTCTCTCAGGGCCAGAGAAGGTGTTTCTGAGAAACTCACAGCATAGCCTAAATCTGAAGAAAAGTAGACTCTTGGGGCAAAGGGAAGGGTATAAAGAAGCTTCCAAGCAGGGGGGGCAATATATACAAATGACCTGTGATAGAAAGAACTGAAGCCATGCGAGGGACTCAAAAGGCTATTGGAGTGGGAGTGCATAAAACAGTGTCCTGCAGATGGAGGCAGTGAGATCCCAGTGAACCAGCCTAAGCCAATCCTCTACAGATGGCAATATAAGGTTTTTCTATTTATTCCAAGAACAGTGGGAAGCCATGGAATTTTTCTAAGCAGAGTAGTGACAAGATCTGCATTCTCAGCCAATCACTGTGACTGCAGAATGGAGGACAAATTTGCATGAGGGTGGAGTGACTGTGGAAAGCCCTTTTTGGAGGGATTTAGAGTGGTCCGGCAAGACACTGTGTTGGCTTGAAGAATAGTGTCTGTGGCATGGAAAGAGGAGAAAGACATGTAGGTGGAAATGTCTATTGCACTCAATGATGGATTGAATCCACTTACGGGGAGTGAGAGCTAAGATTTATGAGTAAGTTCTAGCTTTATCTTATTCCTTGTGCTTTAGAGATGGAGGTTTTTTTTTTTTTCCAGATGAAAGAGTCCTGTTAGTTTTTCAACCCCCAATCCCCAAAATGGACTGCATGAACCCTTCCTCTCACATCACACCCAGGACACCTGGTAAGGAGTAGGAAGGTTTATGTCATACACATGTGCACACAGACACATGATGGACAGCCCATATCTAATCAACTCTGCTTAATATGGACCAAAATACATTGAATTTAGTTTAATCAAAATATAATATCAAATAATGAAGGATTCTGGGCAGATGAACACTAGATCCATTTGACAAAGAAAAACTGGTTGATTTTCTTTTCCTCCTTACTTGCTGCAGATGCTGCTTCACGAGTGCCTGAGACCTGAACCATAGCATCTCTCAACCATGCGACCATGAGCTTGGGGAGACAATGCCAACTACTAAGGCAGGAAAGAAATCATAGATCATGGATGTCATTGTTGAGCCATCCCGGAAGCCATAGACCTGATGGTCATTTGTTATGTGAAATAATTAACTATCTTGTTTGTTTGTTTACAGCCATTGCTAACTTCCACCAGATAAGGTATACTTCTGAGGCTGAAGTGCAAGAAATACGAAATTCAAATCCTTTGAATGATAAAAAGAAACCCACACTGGAAGCAGCTCATGATATATGACACATCCAAAACTCTACATAAGAATGTTCTGAGGGTGTCCAAGATGGCCGAATAGGAACAGCTCCAGTCTATAGCTCCCAGCATGAGTGACACAGAAGACAGGTGATTTCTGCATTTCCAACTGAGGTACCAGGTTCATCTCACTGGGGCTTGTCAGACACTGGGTGCAGGACAGTGGGTGCAACTCACCGAGTATAAGCCGAAGCAGGGCAAGACACCGCCTCACCCGGGAAGCACAAGTGGTCAGGGAATTCCCTTTCCTAGCCAAGGGAAGCTGTGACAGATGGCACCTGGAAATTGGGTCACTCCCACCCTAATACTGCACTTTTCCAATGGCCTTAGCAAATGGCACACCAGGAGATTATATCCCGTGCCTGGCTCGGAGGATCCCATGCCCATGGAGCCTCACTCATTGCTAACACAGCAGTCTGAGATCCAACTGCAAGGCAGCAGCAAGGCTGGGGGAAGGGGCGCCTGCCATTGCTGAGGCTTGAGTAGGTAAACAAAGCTGCAGGGAAGCTCGAACTGGGTGGAGCCCACCACAGCTCAAGGAGGCCTGCCTGCCTCTGTAGACTCCACCTCTGGGGGCAGGGCATAGCCAAACAAAAAGACAGCAGTAACCTCTGCAGACTTAAATGTCCCTCTCTGACAGCTTTGAAGAGAGCAGTGGTTCTCCCAGCACGGAGTTTGAGATCTGAGAACAGACAGACTGCCTCCTCAAGTGGGTCCCTGACCCCTGAGTAGCCTAACTGGGAGGCACCTCCCAGTAGGGGCAGACTGACACCTCACATGGCCGGGTACCCCTCTGAGACAAAGCTTCCAGAGGAACGATCAGGCAGCAACATTTGCTGTTCACCAATATTCACTGTTCTGCAGCCTCTGCTGCTGATACCCAGGCAAACAGGGTCTGGAGTGGACCTCCAGCAAACTCCAACAGACCTGCAGCTGAGGGTCCTGACTGTTAGAAGGAAAACTAACAAACAGAAAGGACATCCACACCAAAACCCCATCTGTACGTCACCATCATCAAAGACCAAAGGGAGATAAAACCACAAAGATGTGGAAAAAACAGAGCAGAAAAGCTGAAAATTCTAAAAATCAGAGCGCCTCTCCTCCTCCAAAGGAACGCAGCTCCTTGCCAGCAATGGAACAAAGTTTGACGGAGAATGACTTTGACAAGTTGAGAGAAGAAGGCTTCAGATGATCAAACTTCTCCAAGCTAAAGGAGGAAGTTCGAACCCATCGCAAAGAAGCTAAAAATCTTGAAAAAAGATTAGACGAATGGCTAACTAGAATAACCAGTGTACAGAAGTCCTTAAATGACCTGATGGAGCTGAAAACCATGGCATAAGAACTACGTGACGAATGCACAAGCTTCAGTAGCCGATTTGATCAACTGGAAGAAAGGGCAGCAGTGATTGAAGATCAAATGAATGAAATGAAGCGAGAAGAGAAGTTTAGAGAAAAAAGAGTAAAAAGAAATTAACGAAGACTCCAAGAAATATGGGACTATGTGAAAAGACCAAATCTATGTCTGATTGGTGTTCCTCAAAGTGACGGGGAGAATGGAACCAAACTGGAAAACACTCTGCAGGATATTATCCAGGAGAACTTCCCCAACCTAGCAAGACAGGCCAACATTCAAATTCAGGAAATACAGAGAACGCCACAAAGATACTCCTCGAGAAGAGCAACTCAAAGACTCATAATTGTCAGATTCACCGAAGTTGAAATGAAGGAAAAAATGTTAAGGGCAGCCAGAGAGAAAGGTCAGGTTACCCACAAAGGGAAGCCCAACAGACTAACAGCAGATCTCTCAGCAGAAACTCTACAAGCCAGAAGAGAGTGCGGGCCAATATTCAACATTCTTAAAGAAAAGAATTTTCAACCCAGAATTTCATATCCAGCCAAACTAAGCTTCAAAGTGAAGGAGAAATAAAATCCTTTACAGACAAGCAAATGCTGACAGATTTTGTCACCACCATGCCTGCCCTACAAGAGCCCTGAAGGAAGCACCAAACATGGAAAGGAAACACCGGTACCAACACACCAGTACCTCAGTGTGTGAGGTGTCAGTCTGCCCCTACTGGGGGGTGCCTCCCAGTTAGGCTACTTGGGGGTCAGGGACCCACTTGAGGAGGCAGTCTGTCCAGTCTCAGATCTCAAACTCCGTGCTGGGAGAACCACTACTCTCTTCAAAGCTTTCAGACAGGGACATTTAAGTCTGCAGAGGTTTCTTTTGCCTTTTGTTCGGCTATGCCCTGCCCCAAGAAGTGGAGTCTACATGCCAAATTTTAAAGACCATCGATGCTAGGAAGAAACTGCATCAACTAACGAGCAAAATAACCAGCTAACATCATAATGACAGGATCAAATTCACACATAACAATATTAACCTTAAATGTAAATGGACTAAATGCTCCAATTAAAAGACACAGACTGGCAAATTGGATAGAGTCAAGACCCATCAGTGTGCTGTATTCAGGAGACCCATCTCACATGCAGAGACACACATAGGCTCAAAATAAATGGATGGAGGAAGATCTACCAAGCAAATGGAAAATAAACCAAAAAAAAAAAAAAAAAGCAGGGGTTGCAATCCTAGTCTCTGATAAAACAGAATTTAAACCAACAAAGATCAAAAGAGACAAAGAAGGCCATTACATAATGGTAAAGGGATCAATTCAACAAGAAGAGCTAACTATCCTAAATATATATGAACCCAATACAGGAGCACCCAGATTCATAAAGCAAGCCCTTAGAGACCTACCAAGAGACTTAGACTCCTACACAATAATAGTGGGAGACTTTAGCACCCCATTCTCAACAATAGACAGATCCACAAGACAGAAAGTTAACAAGGATATCCAGGAATTGAACTCAGCTCTGCACGAAGCAGACCTAATAGACATCTACAGAACGCTCCACCCCAAATCAACAGAATATACATTCTTCTCAGCACCACATCACACTTATTCCAAAATTGACCACATAGTTGGAAGTAAAGCTCTCCTCAGCAAATGTAAAAGAACAGACATTATAACAAACTATCTCTCAGACCACACTGCAATCAAACTAGAACTCAGGATTAAGAAACTCACTCAAAACCACTCAACTACGTGGAAACTGAACAACCTGCTCCTGAATGACTACTGGGTACATAACGAAATGAAGGCAGAAATAAAGATGTTCTTTGAAACCAATGAGAACAAAGACACAACATACCAGAATCTCTGGGACACATTTAAAGCAGTGTGTAGAGGGAAATTTACAGCACTAAATGCCCACAAAAGAAATCAGGAAAGACCTAAAATTGACACCCTAACATCACAATTAAAAGAACTAGAGAAGCAAGAGAAAACACATTCAAAAGCTAGCAGAAGGCAAGAAATAACTAAGATCAGAGCAGAACTGAAGGAGATAGAGACACAAAAAAAACCCTTCAAAAAATCAATGAATCCAGGAGCTGGTTTTTTGAAAAGATCAACAAAATTGATAAACTGTTAGCAAGACTAATAAAGAAGAAAAGAGAGAAGAATCAAATAGATGCAACAAAAAATGAGAAAGGGGATATCACCACTGATCCCACAGAAATACAAACTACCATCAGAGAATACTATAAGAAACTCCACGCAAATAAACTAAAAAATCTAGAAGAAATGGATAAATTCCTGGACACATATACCCTCCCAAGACTAAACCAGGAAGAAGTTGAATCTCTGAATAGACCAATAACAGGCTCTGAAATTGAGGCAATAATTAATAGCCTACCAACCAAAAAAAGTCCAGGACCTGATGGATTCACAGCCAAATTCTAACAGAGGTGCAAGGAGAAGCTGGTACCACTCCTTCTGAAACTATTCCAATCAATAGAAAAAGAGGGAATCCTCCCTAACTCATTTTACAAGGCCAGTATCATCCTGATACCAAAGCCTGGCAGAGACACAACAAAAAAAGAGAATTTTAGACCAATATCCCTAAAGAACATCAATGCAAAAATCCTCAATAAAATACTGGCAAACTGAATCCAGCAGCACATCAAAAAGCTTATCCACCATGATCATGTGGGCTTCAACCCTGGGATGCAAGGCTGGTTCAACATATGCAAATCAATAAACGTAATCCAGCATATAAACAGAACCAACAACAAAAACCACATGATTATCTCAATAGATGCCGAAAAGGCCTTTGACAAAATTCAACAACACTTCATGCTAAAAACTCGCAATAAATTAGGTATTGATGGGACATATCTCAAAATCATAAGAGCTATTTATGACAAACCCACAGCCAATATCATACTGAATGGGCAAAAACTGGCAGCATTCCCTTTGAAAACTGGCACAAGACAGGGATGCCCTCTCTCACCACTCCAATTCAACATAGTGTTGGAAGTTCTGGCCACAGCAATCAGGCAGGAGAAAGAAATAAAGGGTATTCAATTAGGAAAAGAAGAAGTCAAATTGTCCCTGTTTGCAGGTAACATGATTCTATATTTAGAAAACCCCATTATCTCAGCACAAAACCTCCTTAAGCTGATAAGCAACTTCAGCAAAGTCTCAGGATACAAAATCAGTGTGCAAAAATCACAAGCATTCCTATACACCAATAACAGACAAATAGCCAAATCATGAGTGAACTCCCATTCACAATTGCTTCAAAGACAATAAAATACCTAGGAATCCATCTTACAAGGGATGTGAAGGACCTCTTCAAGGAGAACTACAAACTACTGCTCAACGAAATAAAAGAGGACACAAACAAATGGAAGAACATTCCATGCTCATGGATAGGTGGAATCAATATCATCAAAATGGCCATACTGCCCAAGGTAATTTATAGATTCAATGCCATCTCCATCAAGCTACCAATGACTTACTTCACAGAATTGGAAAAAACTACTTTAAAGTTCCTATGGAACCAAAAAGAGCCCACATCGCCAAGTCAATCCTAAGCCAAAAGAACAAAGCTGGAGGCATCACGCTACCTGACGTCAAACTATACTTCAAGGCTGCAGTAACCAAAACAGCATGATACTGGTACCAAAACAGAGATATAGATCAATGGAACAGAACAGAGCCCTCAGAAGTAATACCACACATCTACAACCATCTGATCGTTGACAAACCTGACAAAAACAAGAAATGGGGAAAGGATTCCCTATTTAATAAATGGTGCTGGGAAAACTGGCTAGCCATATGTAGAAAGCTGAAACTGGATCACTTCCTTACACCTTATACAAAAATTAATTCAAGATGGATCAAAGACTTAAATGTTAGACCTAAAACCATAAAAACCCTAGAAGAAAATCTAGGCAATACCATTCAAGACACAGGCATGGACAAGGACTTCATGTCTAAAACACCAAAAGCAATGGCAACAAAAGCCAAAATTGACAAATGGGATCTAATTAAACTAAAGAGCTTCTGCACAGCAAAAGAAACTACCATCAGAGTGAACAGGCAACCTACAGAATGGGAGAACATTTTTGCAATCTACTCATCTGACAAAGGGCTAATATCCAGAATCTACAAAGAACTCAAACAAATTTACAAGAAAAAAACAACCCCATCAACAAGTGGGCAAAGGACATGAACAGACACTTCTTAAAAGAAGACATTTATGCAGCCAAAAGACACATAAAAAAATGCTCATCATCACTGGCCATCAGAGAAATGCAAATCAAAACCACAATGAGATACCATCTCACACTAGTTAGAATGGCAATCATTAAAAAGTCAGGAAACAACAGGTGCTGGAGAGGATGTGGAAAAATAGGAACACTTTTAAACTGTTGGTGGGACTGTAAACTAGTTCAACCATTGTGGAAGACAGTATGGTGATTCCTCAGGGATCTAGAACTAGAAATACCATTTGACCAGCCATCCCATTACTGGGTATATACCCAAAGGATTATAAATCATGCTGCTGTAAAGACACATGCACACATATGTTTATTGTGGCACTATTCACAATAGCAAAGACTTGGAACCAACCCAAATGCCCATCAATGATAGACCAGATTAAGAAAATGTGGCACATACATACCATGGATTACTATGCAGCCATAAAAAATGATGAGTTCATGTCCTTTGTAAGGATATGGATGAAGCTGGAAACCATCATTCTCAGCAAACTATCACAAGGACAAAAAACCAAACACCACATGTTCTCACTCATAAGTGGGAATTGAACAATGAGAAGACTTGGACACAGGAAGGGGAACATCACACACCAGGGCCTGTCGTGGGGTCGGGGGAGCAGGGAGGGATAGCATTAGAAGATACACCTAATGTAAATGATGAGTTAATGGGTGCAGCACACCAACATGGCACATGTATACATACGTAACAAACCTGCACATTGTGCACATGTACCCTAGAACTTAAAGTATTAAAAAAAAAAAAAAAAAGAATGTCCTATGTGCCCAGTTAAAACATCTTATTTTGGACCGGGCGTAGTGGCTCATGCCTGTAATCCCAGCACTTTGGGAGGCGGATCACGAGGTCAGGAGATCAAGACCATCCTGGCTAACATGGTGAAACCCCGTCTCTACTAAAAATATTTTTAAAAAAATTAGCCGGGCGTGGTGGCTGGCTCCCGTAGTCCCAGCTACTCCAGAGGCTGAGGCAGGAGAATGACATGAACCTGGGAGGCAGAGCTTGCAGTGAGCCGAGATCGCGCCACTGCACTCCAGCCTGGGCACAGAGCGAGACCCCGTCTTAAAAAAAAAAAAAAAACTTATTTGATTAGACTATTTTTAGGAAAATATGAATACGCAGTAAGAATTCCATATAAAACTGTTTTGAAATTTCCTGGAATGTTTTTGCTAATATTCTAAAGGAAAAAATCTTAAGGAAATATGAGTTTTATGAAACCTGCCTTACTCAAGAGGACATGAGCAGCCTTCTCTTGTTAAAAGGCTCTTACTTTGTATGTACATCCATTGTTCATCTATTCTCTCAAGCCATAAATTCTTTAAAAAGATGAGAGTTTTGCTTTGTTTTGTTCTTTGCTTTTGTCTTCAATGTTATTAGAAATCCTATCTGAAACTATTGCTTGAATTTTTAAAAAAAGAAATTATTACCACATTAGGATCCAGATTTGGTTGAATTTTCTTGGTCATGAAATACATCTGTGATACTGGGCAAACCATTTAGTTTCTCTGGAGCCAAGTTTCCTCATCTGAAATGTAAGGAGCTTAATATGGTTTGGCCATGTCCCCACCCAAATCTCATCTTGAATTGTAGTTCTCATAATCCCCACGTATCCTGGGAGGGACCCAGTGGGAGGTAATTAAATCATGGGGGTGGCTGCCCTCATGATGGGCTTGTGATAGTGAGTGAGTTCTCACAAGATCTAATGGTTTTGTAAGGGGATTTTCCCCCTTTGCTCGGCATTTCTCCTTCTTGCCACCATGTGAAGAAGGACGTGTTTGCTTCCCCTTCCACCATGATTGTAAGTTTCCTAAGGTCTCCCCAGCTCTGCAGAATTGTGAGTCAATTAAAGCTTTTACCCAGTCTCGGGTATGTCTTTATTAGCAGCATGAGAACAGTCAGTACAAGTCTTATTAGCAGCAGAATTACACATCCCAAGAACTCCTACTATATAAAATAAAGAAAATTCCCCTCATCAGGCTGGGCATGGTGGCTCACGCCTGTAATCCTAGCACTTTGGGAGGCCAAGGTGGGAGGATTGCTTGAGCCCAGGTGTTTAAGATCAGCCTGGGCAATACAGTGAGACCCCAACTGTACAAAATTCAAAAATTAGCTGGGTATGGTGGTGCATGCTTGTGGTCCCAGCTACTTTGGAGGCTGGAGTGAGAGAATCACTTGCACTGGGGAGGTCAAGGCTGTTGTGAGCTGTGATTGCACACTGCACCCTAATTTGGGTAACAGAGTGAGACCCATCTCAAAAAAAAAAATCTCCTCATCAGAAAGGAGTGGGGAGCACAGAGCTGTATGTGTTTAACTTCAACTTCATTCCTACTACCTCCACCCCATTTACCAACCTTATTCCTACCTCGTCCTTAGGGAAAAAATAAAATTTACTGAATGTGATCATCTTTAATGTACCTTCCAGCTTTTAACAATGAACAAAAATAGGAACAAGGAGGGTGAATACTTTGTTAAATTTATTGCAAGATTAAAGTTCCTTCAAAAAGCAAGATAAATTAACGACTTCATTATGCACATGGAAAACTTTGTGATTATTATACCAATATGATTATTATACTACTATTGGTTTCTGCCTTTACATTCTAGGTGAGAAAAAGTATCAGTCACTTCATAGACTTTAAGATAAGCAACTCAGATCTATCCGAGTTTGGAAATGTTCTAATCCATGTAAAAAGTTAGAATAACAGATTTTCTGAAGCCCAAGAGAAATAGATTGAAACATTAAAATTCCAGTCCAATTTAGATACTGCAAAGACATTGCCTGCAAAGGCAAACATCATACCTTTGAGATAGAATAGCAAAGGTAGAATATAATTTTATTTTGTTTAATAGTTTTCAGACCTATGCAATTATCTTTTTTGTTTCTAACTCTCAAACTTCAGACCCAATATTACTGTTAATTATTCTGCTCAAATTGAGTGACACTTAAGTGTCAGAGGCCCTGGTGATTTTCATATAGAACATTGTCCCTGAAACACAAAGTCCCAAGCAATTGTAATTACTCTGGTTAATCCTCACTTCAGCAAAGTTATTTAGTAGTCATTGTTCCATTTACTGGAAAACATTTACCACAGTAACCTAAACCTTTCAGACAGTGCCAGAAAGCCTCAGAGGCCTAAAGTATTAAGCATTCCAGCTATAGCATACACAAAAGAAACTGTTAAACAAATGAGAAGATAAATGTTACAAATAACATTTTAAAAAATGTATTCCATTCATAAGACATATGCTATGTTATGCTGCCAAAGATGAATATTTATTTCAAAGACGACTTTTTTTTTTTTTTTGGTCTGTTGAAGTGACATCAGCAAGCAGGCAAGTAGAACAGCCCTAAAACCATTAGTTGGTTACCTGAATTTTGTGCCCCTCCTTGAACAACTGACACGACCTTTTACTGTGGTTTTAAGGCTTAGGTGCCCATTCATTAGGTTGACAAACTTGTCAAAAGCCTCCAGGACTTTGTCAGTTATGTCAGAAACACTTACAAGAGAGACAGTACATGTCAGGATTCAACTGAGTCCTGTCAACCACTGCCAAAATGACAAAAAAAACCCTTCTGGGGAAAAAGGGTTGTAGAGAAATATGAGCCCTCCCACTCAGGTTCTGTTGACTCGCCAACCCAGTCATACTTGTGCAGTTCAGAGCAATTCTGTCTCTGCTACTTGAATGCCTTAGTCTTTCTGGATGCATTTTATGATGTATTTTAAGAATCCCAAATTCTTCCGAATGCTTTGGCAGTCACAATGAAAGCTGATCAACCCTAGTTTTTGATGTAGAATCCAAACACAAGCCCATATCTTGACGAAGGACAGTTAAAACAAAATGCATGATTGCGAAAATCCAGAAACAAAAACAAAAACCAAATTCAAGTAAATAAAGCTGGGAAAATGTTCAGGCATAATAATGAAATGATTTCTATTCTGACAAGGAAACATGGAATGTAGGTAGCTAAAATAATAGAGAGGTGCATTAAGTATTTTCATTGAAAAAATTTACAACTTGAGGATTGGCAAAAGCCAGATAAGTGGCAATAAGACAAACTAAAATATTTCTATTTAGACATCAATAAGTGACTTCTGTAAATGTTTCTGATATAACTGACATATTCCTGGAGCTGGAACTATTTTCATAGAATTTAAAATGTTTTAAAATTAGAATGCTTACGTTATGTGAAAGACATGGAGGAACAAAGTAACTCAGAATAAAAATTTTAAAAGGGTTAAAGATAGAAGTGCGGGCAATAAAGTAGATTCTAAATCCCCCCCCCAGGCTGCCAGTGTAGCAGTCTGAAAACTGCTCTTCTGAGAATTTCTTTCGAGCTTCATGCATTCCAGTTGAATTCTGCCAACAGGAGGGACTTGCATGAGATTAGAAGGTGAGAACAAGAAAGATAACAGAAGCATTGGTAAGAGTGTGGGCTCCTTAGATCCTGCTCAAAGCAAGGGTTCTGACAACATTAGCAATGAGGGCAGATTCATAAGCTCTGGATAAAACCACTTTATCCCTTTTGCTTCTCCAGCCCATCCTTCACTTTGATAACCAATTCCTCATATTAAACCCCAATAGAGTAGTTTCTGCTTCCCTGATTAAAAGATCCCAAAAATTGTTTCATTCATGTTTACCACTCAGTTACAAAGGTGAGAAATAAAGACCTGTCATTCTACTAGCCTTGGGGCAAATGATCGCCATATCTATTGTATCAAAAATAACAGTAAAATTCCCCAAGTGTCTGGAAGAGTAAACTTTAGGGGACTGTCCATATACAAATAGTTTATTTATATGAAATAGCCTATTTTACACAAGATGTATATATGTGATTGCTTTTAGTATCATCTCACATTGCAAATTTAAATACACAAACAATTGGCTTTGGTACCTTAAAAAAAACCCAAATAGTCATAGGACACTCAGATGTTAAACTTAAAGACAAGCTAAAAATCAATTTGCAGCAATGCAATATATTTGAAGACATCTGGGAAATAATGTGACCTCAGGAACTTGCTGGAATGCTTCTATCAAAAATGACTGAATCAGTATATCCCTAAAGCTAAAAGACAGAGCTGAAAATATATGGAAGCTCAGAATGTCAGCAGAAAAGCAAACTTCACAAGAAATTCATGTGGAAAATAATTAGTTTTACTGGTCATACTTGTCCACTTAGGAGAGCTCACAGCTCACATATGTTTGTTTGCTTTGGGTTTATTTTTAGGACCCATATTGTTTCAAAAGAAAATTAAAGTGAATTGCAAAGATGAATATAATAGAGCAAAATAAGAACAATCAAGAGTAAGAATCATATAGCATAAATAAAGACTGGGAAAATAAGATGGATGTAGGACAAAATACATATGGTAATAAAACTTTCTAGCAGCCAGTAAGATGACACAGATGTGATTCATTACAAGTTTTAGATTCCCCATAAAGTAGAAAAATGTAATAGCAGGTGCAACTATTCCTATTCCTGAGACAGGTAATAATAATATTAGTAATATTATTACTTATGGAACACTTGTCTCTGCTAAACACTGTCCTAAACACTTTACATAAATCCATATGTTTGATCACAAACAAAACTGTTAAACAAGAAGTACTATTGTAATCTCCATTTTACAGATGACGAAATTGAATCAAAGTAAGAGCAAATGCCAGGCCTAAGCTGTTCAGCTAGGAAATACAGGAGTTGGGATTGGAGTCCAGACAGTCTGGCATCACAGTCTATCTTTTTAACCACTATATTTATAAAATGTCCAAGTAGTGATCAAAATATCCCTATAGTAAACTTGGAGATGGATTCCAGAAGGTCCCTTTCTTGTGTCACAAGGCCTTTGGCATCAGACCAAAGCACAGATCTAGAAAATCAATACTAGAAAGTAAAATGATGTGGCCCAGTGATACAGTTTGGATGCTTGTCCCTTCCCAATCTCATGTTAAAATGTCATTCCCAGTACTGGGGGTGGGGCCTGGGGGGAGGTGATTGGATCATGGGAACAGATCCCTCATGAATGACTAAGCACCATACCCTTGGTGATGAGTGAGTTCTCGCTCTGAGTCCACACAAGATCTGGTTGTGTAAAAGCACATGGCACCTCTCCCCATTCTCTTGCTCCCACTCTCACCATGTGACGTGCCTGTTCCCCCCTCACCTTCCGCTATGATTGTAAGTTTCCTAAGACCCTCAGCAGAAGCAGATGCTGACACCACAATTCCTGTACAGCTTGCAGAACTGTGAGCCAGTTAATCCTCTTTTCTTTATAAATTACCAAGCCTCAGATATTCTGTTGTAGCCATGCAAAATAGACGAATACACTCAAGTACCCAGCTCTTTGTTCTTTTAGCTTAATCCATAGTTAGGCTGTTACCCAGGTGTTGTAAACACCAGCACTTGTAGGGAACAAACAGATAATCTAAATCAGACAGGCAACCTAAATCAATGATTTAAGGAATAAGGACAATAACCAAAGAAGGAATTGTTTCTCAAGTCTGGGTGTTTGTTGCCATGCAGGGATATGTGCCTAGTCTTGGTATATTTTTTTTTTCCAGGGACATTTATATTTTATGCAAATTGTACATTCCCTGTTAAAGTGTGTGTGTGTGTGTGTGTCTGTGTGTGTGCCGTTGTGTACACACGCACATGCGCTGGATAGAGAGAACATGTCCATAAGGTGGATTTGATCAAGAAGTCTCCAGGTTATCACTCCTACTTTAGGGTAGCTCGAGCAGTGTTTCTCAAATTGTATCCACATCAACATCTGAGAGAGGCATCAACATCTGAGAGAGGCATGAATCACACACACAAAAAAATCACCCTCACCTTGGGAACAAGGCCCTCCTACAGAGAGGATGTAAGAGTTCCCCCATTCCTCCTTCCCCCTTTTTCCTGTACATCCCCAAATTCCATTCAATGAGAATCACTGATTCACAGAGATGAATCTATTGCTTTTCTCTCAGGCAATCCTCCATAAAGTTTGTTTTTCTCTACTAAGCTTTAGAAAAATATTGGAAGGGTGAGAGTTTGGAACTACATTCCCTGTTAAGTACCACGAGTACCTACAATGCAGCTATGTTGGGCAGCCAGGTAAATGCAGAGCCGGTGTGAGAAAAATAAACCTCTCTACATATTCTTTTGTGAAATTTGCGTTGCCTAACCAACCAAATTTTGTTGCCGAGAGGCAAACCGAAGGGTTATCAGCTCATAAGCAAAATCAAAGTTTTCTGTAGAATGTAATTCTAGGTTTATTCACACGGTAATGAAAGAAAAAGAGAGAGAATAAATATGAGTTTCTGTGATTTTATGTCATAACTGGGGAAAAAGAATTGTAGTCTTAAAATCCCTTCATTCATCTTGCTTTTCTCAACCACTATTTTTCCTAAGTCAATCATATGGCAAATGTGCTCAGGGGAAAACTCTAAAAATATTTAAAACAATAACAGAAGGGAGGAGGTATCATTTTTACTATGTTCAGAATATCCCAACAAAATGTTAAAGGAACCAGCAGGGAGCAAATAGCTAAAATATAAATTCCGTTATAATATGTCTCCAATTTATTCTTAGTGTTATTAGTCAACACTGCCATGTCCAATGGTAAATAAGTTTGCTAAGGTTTCTTTACTTAGAGTTCCTGAGAACATGTCAAAGACATGCATAATTATCAGTACAACAGCTATCATGTCATGTAGTTTTATGCTGAGTGCCTAAGACAGCACAGAAGAGTAAAAACAATCCCGTCAACACTGAAGGGCAGTGTGATATGGTGTAGACAAGTGGAAAATTGGAGTACTCACTAGAGAAATCCCAACCAAGCAATGGATTATAGGAAATTAAAATCTACTTCTAGAAAAGGGTACAGGGTTGCAAGGAATGACCATCATCTCCCATTCTCTGATCCTGGGCATCACAGCACCGACAAGCAAAACTGCTCTCCCTATTTTAACATATGATGGTCTCTACAAGAAATAAAGTCCCCAACACATGTTACAGCAGATTGGAAGGTACAGTTGTCCCCCAAAGCCCTCCTTGGTTTCATTATGCTCTTCCCACAGAAAAAAAAAAGTGTTCATCCCAGCATTACTTATAGTTCTTAAAACCTAGAAAAGATGATGTATAAACAATAAAGCAAGGATGGAAATACATTATAATACAGCTAACATTATGCAGCCTTTTAAATACTTTCCAAAGGTTTGCAATGAGAAGAGGAAATACCTATGTTACAACAGTACGTGAAAAGGACAGAAGATAAAACTGATTACACAGAAAGGTCTCACATATGTCAACCTGGATATGGAAAAACATTAGCAGTGATTACTTCCAGGTGGTAAAGTGAAAAGTGTGTTTTCACCATTTTATTTTTTCCTTCTGTGTATTTCAAATGTTGCTCAGTACACATGCAATGATTTTTATAGAACCGCAAAATTCAAACTTCTTATAGACCTATTGGCCCTGAAGATATGGATAATACATGGACTGACGTTCTTCCTGCCAAGAAATTCTGCCTTCTACAGGTGAAAAGAAAAAGTATAGTCTTACAGGGTAACAATAGACAAAGTCCTTAAGTCTCTCTCTGGATTTTCTGTTTCAGTCACACACAAAGCACTATCTCTAAAGTCCCCATCTAGTGACACTAAAACACCCAGGAACTGCAAACACCACAGAGAGGTAGCCTTCATTTCTTATTGACTGGCTTTTCTTCATTTACCATCACATAAAGATAACATCTACTCAATTTGTTGAGGCAATTTTGTGATGAAAAACTGATGAAGTTAAAGTCATTAGCATTGTTGCAGAAATATTTAAGATGTAACTCACATATTTTTGTAGTCTTCGCCAAATTAATGTTATGCATGAAGGATAAAAGGGAGACAATAGGACCTCCAACAGAATTATATTTCTTTTGAATCAATGATACAGAAATGAATTGGGCCATTTGCAACACTTCCTATAGTATTAAAAAAGAGAAAAATTTAATACTGCGAAGAAATTTAGGTTGGCAATTTGCAATTATTAGTCATTGATTTTGTGCAAGCACTGTCTATGCTGAATGCTTCTGTAGGGATAAGATATATTTAAATATTGGGACTGAAGTTGGCTAAGCCTACACTTCTCTGATTAAATAATACATCAATTTCATCCATGTTTTTTTTTAGTTCCTGCAACTATGAAGTGTTGTTCACTAAGATCATAATATAGAAAATAGTCATTTGAAGTCATCTCTGAGAAAAATGAAATGCCAATTAAGGTTAAGACTAGCTTTATCATTAAATCCACCTGGTGCTGTTATAAAATAACAGCTGCCAGTTTTGTGTGTTTAAACCATTAGAATTGGCAGTTAGCCCCACCTCATAGAAGAGGTAAGTGTGGCTCATGAAGTTTAAGTAACTTGTTCAAGATCACACAGACACCAAATTTTGCAAATCATCAGCTGCCCACTCTGTATTGATAGCCCAGTACTTTAGAAAGTAAAGACATTCTTTTCATCTTATTGTCCAATTATGACTTCACAACTTTTTCACTTATCTCTACTTACTTCACTCTCTCTAATCACAGACTGGCTTCCTATATATAAACTTCACATCTCCAAACATCTAGTGTATTTTCTCTCCTAAAAAAAAATCCAGCAGAATTTTTTATTCATCCTGAATAATACGATACCACTCCCCGGACCAATCAAATGTGGCCTGTGGGTGAGGTCTCGTGAGAAACGCATGCTCTCTTTCTTCCAAATGCAAGCCCTTTTTGTTAGAGTAGAGAAAGAAGTAGTTCTACAGAGGAGGGAGAGTCTTCAAGGTAACAAAATAATCAGTATCCATTAGAGTGTAATAAACAACTATAAGTAAATATAATGAAATACAGTTTGTGATTTAAACCGTATGATTTTTTTCATTCACTTAACTTTACGATTCTTTGCCACTTAACAGCAGAAGCTTTGTATCATTATGTGAATAGAAATAATATAGGAAGAACAAAAAGACAAATTTTTAAATTTTGATCCTAAGTAGATTAGATCTATTAAGGCAAATAGCAGAAATAACATTCTCACTTTTGGTTACTAGAGCTACATTAGTGAATTTTTAAAAAATATTCTTATGAATTCCAATGGCTTAGATTTAAATATCAACAGTCAAATCCCAGAGGAATTAGAGCATAAAAGGTAATGCCATAAAACAAAGTATGGAAGAATAATGACTATTTTCTCTGACAGAAAAAAAGACCAACTATAGGTGAATATAAAAAGAGATGTATCAGAGAAATTCCACCAGCACTTAGATGCTGAGAAGCTCCCAGTAAATCCTTGAGCCTGGATGAGTCCTTAGAAGGGGTGTATGCTACAAAATAATTGAAATTGTGATAGAAAACAGGCAGTAATCCCCAAGCCAAAGGGGCAGTTACATGGCTTTCCCAGGCTTGATCTAGGAGACGGCAAACTTTTTAGGGAGGCTGGTGATCCAATACGAATCCCCAGTGGCTGATGCCTGTGTCCAGGTAAATGCTTCCGAAGGCAGCAGCCACAAAGAGTTCTTTCTACCCCTGGGTATGGAGAAATAGCTATTTCTTGAGGTAGATGGCATAGGCTAGTAAACTACAAGGGATGTCCCAGTCTCAGAGAAGAGAGAAACTGTCATGCAGCTGACAACTGGAGGCCAAGGTGGAAGTACTGACCTTCACCACAGATGCATTTGGAATTACAAAAGTTATACCCAAAAGCAAGAAGAAGGAATCACACTTCAGCAGAAGGCAATAAAGATCAAAGGCCACCATAGACCAGCGGTGCACCTCATACCGCACCCTCAATGCCATGAAATTTAGGGAAGTCGCCCAAATGCAGTTGCTAACAGGGAAAAAGCAATGAATGAAAGGGTGGTAGTGGGGGTAAGTTCTGAACTGAGAGAGTAATTACCCCAAAGTGACTGAGTTTAAAATTGGATGTGACTGTGTTGGCTTACAAGAGCTAGAACAAGGCACCTACAGCCAAGCAAAAATGAAAGCTTATGAGTTCAATAGGATTTTAAAGAAATAATCACATTATGTTTTTGAACAACCTGGATTGTGACTGCGTAAAATAACCATTATGAATATGTAATGTATTTTTATATATGCACTCATTTTATATGCCTGTACATGCATTTATATGCGTACATAAAATCAAATGTGGAGTATTTGATTTAGAGTGCTAAATTAATATAATTTTAATTATGAAAATATTTAAATGAATTACATTGTCTCTTTCTTAAGCTGAGCATTGCTCATCTGTGGAATTTTTTAAAATTTATGTGATAATGAGCTCAATAATCTCCCTTACTTCCCCTGAACAAGGCAGGGATTCACCATGTTACTGAGATAATGCAGTAATGAATACATAACCGTGCAATGTATGGCACAGTAACAATCAAATGAAAGAAGAAAAGTATTTTGGCAAGCTGTTGACACTAGGTCTTTGGTCTGACTGAATTTCTCATTGCATTTGCTAGTTTGGGTACCATATAAACAACTCTTCAATCGATATTCTCTTTACTATTTTACATATATTTTACTTATTTCTGCCTGATTTTTTGACTGCCCCCATTAGTTGTTTCATAATCTCCTCCCTGTGCCTGCCACCACTCTTGAAGGAGCTCCCTCAGACAGCAACTGGCAATGAGTGTGTAAATCTTATGATGATGTGTAGACAATATCCTGCTTTCTGTACAATGAAACCAAATTCACAGTTGATACAGATTTCATATGTCCATCTACTGACTGGTTATTAGTAATAAAATGATGCACTGCATTTACACACTCATTATATACTAGTGACATTTTATTCTTATAGAATTGGACATATTGCACTTTTCTGTATATGATTTATGCAAACACAGCTATTAACCAATACACACCAATAGAAGACAAACAAAAGTAAAAAGGCAATAATACAATTAAACAAACCAACTCTCAATTGTTTTAAAAATTAAAAGAATATGTCAAATAGAATGTCAAAGAAACATATCTTACTAATTTTATAAGACCTACATGATCTTGATTCCACTGTAATTTGAAATACAAGTAGACACATTATGATAAATTGCAAAACAATTACCCTATACACTAGTTATATTTATCATGTGAGTTATTACAATAAATACTAAAACAAAAACCTGTATCACATAAGTAAAGTAAAAGTTATTTGAGAGCTTGCTTTCTTTAAACAGTGATTAGTACAGCAGAAGTTCAGGACATTTTTTTAAAAGGCAGAAAAAGAACATACCTGTTTGTTTCAATGGTACCATATCTGCAGTTTATATCTTTTTCTATGTTGAAGCTGCCACATACCATCAACAAGAAAATAAAGCAAGATATCAGGAAAGAAAAGTGCTAGAGTCCTAAAATATTACAGATTGAAATCCTTCTTATGTATGAAATATATTAAATGTTACAGTATATCCTATAATATCATATATGTTAATGAAGGACTATAATGTTCTTCATTAATTATCACCTAATGGTAGATTCACAAAGAAGTGGCCCAAAACAGGAATGAAAACATCCCTATGGCTTTGTTCTTCTGTCTAGTGATAAAAAGTGTTCCAGAGAAACAGCCCATCATCAATGGATAACCAGATATATAGCTATTTCAGAACACACCATAATGCTTTCTTAGAATGGGATTGGGATTTTTTCTATTACTTGCTAATAGAACCAGACTCTAAATGGAATTTTGCAAGAAGTTCCATATAAATAGTTCAATATATTACTTTATTTCTCTTTAAAACTGAAAATTACCTGGACGTGGTGGTGCATGCCTATAATCCCAGCTACTCAGGAGGCTGAGGCACAAGGTAGGCAGAGGTTGCAGTGAGCCAAGATTGCACCACTGCACTCCAACCTGGGCGACAGAGCAAGACTGTCTCAAAAAAATTTAAAAAGTATAAAGAAAAATAAAACTGAAACTTCCCAACAACGAAATGAAGGCACTAGAAGCTTTTCGGCAACAGGTAGTTGAAGAAAAAATTGTGTCATAAAAAAGCAGAGTAGGCTACTGTGCGGGCCATGGCTGTTGACCCCTTGAAGGTTTGCTGAAAACTCAACTTGCAAAAGGCAGATTAATAGGATAAAAGGCATACATATTTATTTAATGTGTATACACAGGAGCCCTCAGAAAGAAGACGCAATCCAACAATAAGGCACAGAAACTTATATACCACCTGAGGTTATAGAAAGAATGCAGGCTTGGAGCATGGCCAAAAACAGGTGATTCTGGTAAGTCAGGGTTAGTGGCAAGACAGTTAAGACATGGAGAAAGAAGAGTCCTGGCTAGCAAAGGTGGCCTTATTATGTAGATGAAGCCACATAAATAATAGTCGTCAGAAAGAATAGATGGAAAATGTCTATTTTCAGATCCTTAAAGGTGTCAGACTCAGTTAACCTCTTTTAAATCCAGGAAATGCCTGGCTACATTAAAGAGGATTCTCTACAGAGGCAGATTTCCACCCCCTCAGTCAGCTGACCCTGGGGCAGCCATTTCAAAATATGTCAAAGAAAATATATTTTGGGTTAAAATATTTTTATTTCCTTCAGTCCTCATTTTGAAACTTAAAACAATTTCATATATTAAAAGCCAAATGGGCTTTTTGTCTATATCTTACAAGCTCGAAACCAAATTTCTCCAAAACGATAGCTTTGGAGAAATTTGGGTTGGAGCTTGTTAGACAGAGATAAACAAAAACTAGAATGATGAATTGGGATAAACAGAAAAGAGAATATTTAAACATATTGTCCCATATCTTCTCTAGTCACTCTTTCAGTCCTGAGAATAGATCAATTCAATTAAACAGCTGTGTCCCACTGCAGGATGTAGCACTGCAGATGGGTGCGACATCTATCTATGATACAGAAAAACAGATCCTTAATAAGAGCCATTTCTGTAGAAACAAACGAAAAAGAAAAGTTAATGTCTGGAGCAGTGAGTCTACACAATAGTTTTTCTAGAGTCTCTGAAGCATCTTCAGACTGCAGTGACAACCTGACAAATTTTTCTGGAGTGTAGTTTGTATCAGGTATTCAAGTGAACTTTCTGAGAAGTCCATACATCAGGAGGCAGGCATGAAGATTGTTTATATAAAAGTTGATGTTATTTCTCGCAAAGTTTAAGTTGTCTAGCTTCAGCTTTCAGGACTTTAAGAAAAGCACAATTTTAATTTCTACTGATTCCAAGTAAGAAAATTGGAAGAAAAATTTTGGAAATGTTGGTTTGAAGACTCATAGGCAGGAAAGAATCCAGGATCTCATCTAAATTGTAGACTAATAATTTCAAAACTCAAAAATAATGGGCAAGGCTAGAATCCAATAACAGGTGTACTGCAGTTTCTTATGAAACATAATTTTTCTCTCCCCAGTCCTCCATTTTTACCAAAGGCAAATCATAGTAGAACCAAATTTTTGCAAAATAAATTTTAGTCTTATTATACTTGGCCTGATTATTTGCATTAAGTGCCCCAAGAGTAATTATTGGCGAAATAGGCTCTTTTAAATTCGCTTTGTTAGGACTTTTTCATAAGGAATCTCAGGATAGACTTTTTAAAACCTTCTCCAGCCTATTCAAGCCAAGTTTTTGCCGTCAAACTGTCTGTAAATACCTGCAATTCCTCTTTTCTCGGGGTCCCAAAATAACTTGAGGTTCCTGGCCCTGTCCGAAAGTAGCAATCTTTACTCACCACAGGTCAGGAACTTTGTAAAGGAACTGCAAAGAAAAAGGACCAGGCCAGTCTTTCCAAGGGGCTTTTAACAGCTCTATAAAGCCAACCTCAATTCCTCAAAGCAATCTGGTTATATTTCAAAATATGCCATTTCAATCAAAGCCTTGGTAAAATAACCAGTGTCTCCAATTGTGTCCTATTATAAAACAAAGCAGATTCTTACTGAACTGATGTAAATAACTATATTGCCATAAATCATGAATACCCACAAGTAGTTTCCAAATTCTGGAGAAATCAAGTAGACAGAAAGAAATATGCTTCAAATTTTGCTCACAAGAGTATACTTTTCCCACATGTTAAAAGCTTTGTAACATCTAGCAGGTAGTATCTGATCAATAGACCCAAACAAAAATGTCTACATTAAATTCTGAAGACATTTCTGTTTTATCTAACCAATAATTTTAAAATTATCTTTATCTACCAATAAAGATATTAAAGTCATGTGACCTTGAAACATATTTGCACTTATTTAATATATGAGTACTCATTTATTTTTAAGTTAATTTGGTACCACGTATAGATAATACATAAACATATGTATAGGCATATACTTACATGTAGACACAACATACAACATACACATGTATGCACAAAGACTTTACAGTTTTGATTTTAGAATTTTAGCCATATGACAAGGAAAACTCACCAATTTAAAAGGACAGTTGGATTTAAACTATGCCTTTGTAAATAGAAAAGTTTAAAGTTTATCTGGAAGAAAATTTGACTGAATTTTAGAGAAAGTGGGTAGCAAATTTGCATCTCAAAGCACAAAGAAGACATAGAATTTAAGATTTTCCAAGAAGGTTGACTGTGTTAAAGGAAGATTAAAAATGGATGTCACGGTAACACAAAATCATAGGACTCTACCATGGGATTTTATGAGGAGATCAATTTTATTTAGATAGGTTGTTTTTAATTTAGTTTTTATTTTTTAACTGGACCACTGACCTCAGGGCAGAACCATACTGAATCCCATGACACCAGAGAGGAATGCCATGAGGACTGAGTCACGAAACACTTTCACAGTGCACCTCACTGCAAGGACATTCCTCCAGGGCTGGTGGGCAGCCCAATGTCAATCAGCCCACTCTGTGATAAGCTCATCCCCCAAGGGAGTCTTATCTCTCAGTAGGGAGTGTTTCCATACCCTTTAGGTGCCTAGTACCATGCTTATCCAAAATATGCAAAGAAACAGTGGCCTCCTATAGTAATAACTATTGATTATAAGCAATGCCATCAGAGACCTCTAAAACTGTATCTCTTACTTAGCCATTACACAGAGAAACCAAGTTTTCTCACAAAGCAAAGTAATTTCTCGTACCCCCAAAAGCCAAAGAAATCAGGTAATAAAATAGAAAGCAGAGCTTTAGACCTGAGAAGAGTCTGCCTACAAATCTTGAACCTCCACAAGGAAGACAGAAGATCCCCCAAAAGGCATGAGTGGCACCTTTTTTCTGCATTCCTTAAGGGGTGAATGACACCTTTTTTCTGAGTTCCTTAAGGGGCCTGAGTCGTCAAAAGTCCTCTAATGGGACAAGGAGAAAGAAAAAGTAGATGGAGTAAAAGTAAATAGGAGAATGATTTTTAAGAAAGGAAGCAAATGGCAGTACCAAGCACAAAGGTTTTGGGGGGGGAAAAAAGATTTTAATCCACTGAAATATTTTTCCAAAACCAGCATTGAAAGAGAAAAAGCAAAAGGGCCTTTTAAATATATACATATATATATATATAGCTTGGGTATTAGCTTTTAATTAAGCACTCCTCAGAGAGAATAGATGGTAAATGATGTTTTTGCAGACTTTTAAAGGTATCAGATTCAGTTCATCTCTCCCAGGTCCAGGAAATGCCTAGAAAGAAAAGGCCTGGCTACATTAATGAGGATTTTCTACAGAGGGAAATTTCTCCCACCTCAGTCTGCCTGGCCCTGTGGTAGCCATTTCAAAAATATGACAATGAAGTCCGGGCATAGTGACACACACTTGTAGTCCCAGCTACTCAGGAGGCTGAGGTGGGAGGATTGCTTGAGCCCAGGAGGTCAAGGCTGCAGTGAGTCATGATCACACCACTGCACTTCAGCCTGGGCAACAGAATGAGACTCTGTCTCTAAATAAAAAATAAATAAATAAATAAAAATGTAAATAAATATAAATATATAGGTCAAAGAAAAGATATCCTGGGGTAAAATATTTTGATTTCCTTTACTACATAATGCCCCACTTCAAATTCCAAACATTGTTCCTCCTTACTCAAAATTTCTGTGACTGTAGTTTTCACTAAGTACAAACAGTTACTATTTGAGGACAATGTAATTAATTTATTTTTATTTGAAAACATGGCTATATACCAGGGAATATTTGAAATACTCTATAGATATGAATTTCTTTAAACCTCATAGTAACACAATGTGATAGGTACTAGAAATATGCCATTTAAAAGGTGAGTAAACTGAGACACAGAGTGCTAAGGGTCTTGCCCTAGGACAAACAGGTAATAAGTGGCATACCCAGTGTTCATACCTTGGCAGTCTGAATCCAGATTCTGTGTCCCTAAACACTTTACCATTTCATCATGGAAATGTGGATGCCTCCATTGTGACAGAGTAGCCCACATTCACTCAAATCCTACACTCTTCAACCTACCTTCATGGTTTTCACCAGAATTTTACTAAGGGTCGCAGTTAGCTAAACAAATTAGTGAAAAAGAGTAATAAATATTTTTTTTTCTTATGTTACCTTTTATCATGCAATCTTTTGTTCTGCAACTTTATTGACTGCCAAAAAAAAAAGAGTAGAGGAAGATGAATTTCTACCCCAAAACTGCTACATCCTTGACCCTTAATATGACACTCCAATACCCACAAGAAAATATTTTTCTCGCTAGACAACAACTCTGTAATCATGTCTGATTACATGATACATATACTTCACTCTGAGGCATACATTTCCGACATGTGCCTCAGAGTGAAGTATCTCGAGATGAGATTTTGTATATTGCATAGCAGAATGCATTTGATACAAAGATTTAGAAGAGCTTAGGGTGTGCTTCAGTCTGAGTGTGGCTTACATTAATCACACTGACACTGACTTACTTTATTGACAGCAATATGCATGGAAAGAACTGTAATTTGGAAAGTCCTGGAACTCTCTATGTAGTAACGGGACTGGAAATTTTCTTTTTTTTTTTTTTTTTTGAGATGGAGTCTTGCTCTGTCACCCAGGCTAAGGTGCAGTGGCACGATCTTGGCTCACTGCAACCTCCGCCTCCCAGGTTCAAGCAATTCTCCTGCCTCAGCCTCCAGAGTAGCTGGGATTACAGGTGCATGCCACCACACCCGGCTAATTTTTGTATTTTTAGTGGAGACCGGGTTTCTCCATGTTGGTCAGGCTGGACTCGAACTCCTGACCTCATGACCTGCCCGCCTCAGCCTCCCAAAATGCTGGGATTACAGGAGTGAGCCACCGTGCCTGGAAATTTTCTATTCTTGGGGAGGCTAAAAATATTTCCTGTTTCTGCTATGAGAAATAATCTTCTTGTGTTTTTCTGTTCTCCATGACACATATTAGCTGCAGTAAACCACAGATCATGGAGAGGCAGCTCTTTTGCTTTCAGTGGAAAGAGCACAGTATTTGGAGTCAGAGATTATGGAACTGAACCTTAATTTTGCCACATTCTGGCTATGAGGTCTTGAGCCAATCACTCACCATCTCCGACCTGCAGAATCCTCATCTACAAGAAGAACATGATATTAGTACGTTCCTCACAGGACTGTTGGCTAGCTAAATAAATTTTGCATGGGACAGGGTAATTTAAAGCTAATTGTTGGAATCTAATATTAGTTTTGGTAGTAACTAGAAGAAAAGTGACGAATAGCCAAAAATTGTAAGTATCTGAAATTTAGTACCTAATTGCTGAACATAGGAAGCAATAATGATTTATTTACAAATAAGCTCTATATTTATTATATATAACCAGTTATTTTTTCTTTAAAGAAATTTAAACAAAGACCTTTGGATATTCCAAAAGATTTAGATGACTGGTTCCTAGAATGCTATTTTAAAAAGGCTTTTCTAACATTATTTTGAGACTCTTGTATCCAACAAATCTTGTAGTAGAAATGTCATAATTACCAACCCAATTTCTTTAGCTAAGAGATTTAAGGGAGCAACTAAATACTTTCTGAAAATCCATACTGTGTTTGGTCTATTTGGAATCACATTCATAAGACCAACTTGTGCTCTTCCACAATGCAAGACAAGAATTTAGCTTTTATTAACTTTCCATAAATCTGAGGGAAGAGAAATTATCAGATCTTTAAGCAATTTAGACATGTTACTCATGTGAGCAGGTCAAGAAAGTCTGTTCGAATGAACTTAGCTGAAAACAGACTCCTACAGCATGAAAATCCTTTGATGTGCCTCTTGAAAAAAGTTCACTCGTAGCACTTCCACATGAAAAAGCTCAGTGTCAAAAGTGTTTCTCAAGACAAGGGGCACATGCAAAATGAAGAAACAAGCAAAGTTCTTTCTGATAATTCCCTAGCTCCACTTCCCGGGGATTCTGTGTGCTTTATAGGAAAGCTTTTCTCACCCCTGACGAGCAAGAGTACTCTTAGCCATCTTGTTTCCCACCTAGCCAGTGAGAATTTATTTCTGATAAATCGATTTCTAAAAGGAAATAGTGACTCAATATGTTACCTTCTCATGACTTAATATGTTACCTTCCTTAGGTAAATAATGCAAACATTGCATCTCCCAAAATAAGATACTTTGGTCAGAGAAACATTGGTGTCTGCAAGATAATATCGACCAAACACACATGTAGTTGCCCTCCTTAAGACCTGATCTGGTTTTCAGATCTTGAGATCCTTTTGAGGAGAACCTAATCCCAATGTACATGGTGTTCTAGAAACATCCAGGTAGAAAACAGAGCACACGACACTGTTCTTTTTACCAAATTAAAGTCCCTAGCAACATGGTTAGCTCAAAAGCAGGCAAAATCAGAGTTGTATTTAAATAGCGCTTCTTTTCCCAAAATAAATGATTGCCAGAGGGAAATTTTCAGTTCTTTATCAAAATACACATTTGTGGCTCCAGATAATAGAGAAGCTACTTTTTTCTTTTATTTAAAGATAGCTCGGTTTCATATTGCAACCAGAAAAGATTGAGTAGTAACGCATAACTAAATTTTAATTGGTGTATTTGTAGGCAATCCCTACCTGAAAGCCATATGTAAAAATACATTACTTTAAGCATTGAATGGGATACTAGAAAAATTGACATATTTTAGGTAAAAAACTGTTGATTTTTTTTCATACTCTGTATTACAATTATTTGTTTGGGAATTGAATTTCTTCCCAAATGTCATTGAAACATTCTATTAAGAGGTCTTATTGTAAGAAAAGCCTCCTCTCCTAGGGAAAAAAAAAAATCTGAAATGAACCCATTATACCATACGAGAATCTAAAATCTTTCACTTTCTATTGAATTTTACCCAGTAGTTATTTTGACTTCATTCCTTTTGTCTCCATTGCTTTATTTTGTTGTTGTTTGAAACCGTTTAATTTGACATGATCATTAATATACGATTGGGTAAATGTAGCTAAGAAATGTATAGCTTTGTATTTCTTATGTTCGGAAACATACATTTTTTAAAAATAAAGAAAAGTCTAATATTGTCTGCAAATCCTTTTCAAGGGGGTGAATTTCTGAGGAAGAATGCACGGTAACGTGTAGACGGTTATCACACAAAGAGGAACATCAATTGCAAATGCCATGTTAAACAAATGAAATACAGTAAATTAAATGAAACTACTTTCTGTAACACTTTATGCCTCTATCTGTTAATTTTCAAGAAGGCACCATAGTGAGGCTTATTTCAGTACAAAGTCATATCATGCAGATGTACTACATTTATTTATTTTTCTTTATGAAAAAAATATATAAAACTTTGTAGCCTGCCCCAGTTTTGTATTAGGAATAGCACAAAAAGCTTTCCTATGCCTAACTTCCTCAATCCTCTCTAGATCTCTCTTTGACATTTTCTCTGACTTATACCACGCAGTGTTTCAAACCTGTCCCTGAACCAACCCTACAGACAAAGGTCGGGGATGCAGTGTCTATTCTTTCGCCCCTCCTGGTACTATTGACCCATCTCCTCCAACATCCTCTAAGATATTATTCTCACAATTATGCCCTTTCTTCTATATCTGCACCATCTTCAATGGCTCTTTCCCCTCAGCCTTTATCTATAAACAAAATGATAAATAGCTTTTCTATTTTAAGAAAATAAAAAATGAAACTTCTTTAATTTATTTCTCCTCAGGTTACTGACCTCTGCAACTCCTTCCCTCCTCAACTGACTTCATTCGAGTGTCTCCTCCCTTAAGGCGGCCACTCACTCCCTCCACTCCCTCCCCGTCCATTGTCCTCACTCCTCATCCTCTGCTCTCAGTCTTCCACCAATACCACCCAGCTCACAGTGCACAGAACAAGCTTCTAAAAGCCAAATTCAAGGCTCCTTTCATCCTTAAATAACTTGACCTCTCACAGCCCGAGGCATTGCCTACCAAGTTATCCCTTTCTTTTCAAAACTCTCTTTTCCATTTCCTCTAAGTTCTCCTATATTTCTGACTCCTTTTTGTAAGTCTCCTGCCAGACCCCCTCCATGCCCACCTCCACAAAGGCTGTTGGGGATCTGTCCTTGGTCCTCTTTTTATTTCCAGAGATTCTCTTCCTAACTCTGCTCATTCCATTTCTGTCACATTCTCTGATCCTTCCTCTACCCAACTCAGAAAATCTGTTGCTTCTCAAGACTCCTCCCATGGAACTCTTTGTTTCTGTATCTATAAAATGTCATTAGTACTAGCAATTACAATCTAACCATACGCTGTTAGATGATTAATGAGATGGTCCATGTAAAGTATTTGGCATGGTGCACAGCACAGCATCAGTAATTATTGGTGACTGTTTTTCTAGTTCCTTTATATATACTTCCCTCTAGGTAAGCCCGTCTACAATGAACCAATATTCCAGGAACTCCCAAATCTCTCAAGTAAGATTCTGCAGCCCCTCTGTTCACTGCAGAGCTCGAAGCTGTGCTCTCTTCATCTATTCAGCAAACACTTATTTAAAATATTCTGCATGTGAAGCACTCTTTTAAGAATAGACTAAAAAATTGGACAAGACTTTTAAAAAGAAGAAAAAAGTTTTTGAAATCAAGTTGCTCAAAGTCTATTGGGGAATCTGGACAAGTAAACAAACTTATTAAATAATGTAGTAAATCTGAGAGGATGTTGGTGCAAAATCAAGGCATAGCATTTTTTATCTAAGCAAAAAACCTGGAAATCAACCTTCTACTGTTCCCTATCTGGATATAAAAATAGGGTCAGTGAATGGGACAGAAAAGAAGTCAAGTCCTGAGATACTGCCTTTTTTTTTTTTTTTTTTTTTTCGAGACAGAGTCTTGCTCTCACTCTGTTGCCAGCCCAGAGTGCATTGGCGCAATCTCCGCTCACTGAAACCTCTGACTCCCGGGTTCAAGCAATTCTCCTGCCTCACCCTCTGGAGTAGCTGGGATTACAGGCACATGCCACCATGCCCAGTTAATTTTTGTATTTTTAGTAGAGACAGAGTTTCACCATGTTTGCCAGGATGGTCTCAATCTCCTGACCTCAAGATCCACCCACCTCGGCCTCCCAAAGTGTGGGGATTACAGGAATGAGCCACTGCGCCCGGCTGAGATACTGCTTTTTAAATAATTCCTGAAATCCATCCACTTCTCTCTATTGCCACTTTCACTGCTTTCTATCAGTAACCGCTCTTCTGTACAATTTGCCCTTTTTGTCATCTTCCTAACATACAAACCTAATCCATTTTGTCCCTTACTTGAAGACTATCAGTGGATTCCTACCATCTACAGAAAAAAAAAATTTAAATCTGCAGAAGGCAGAGAAGGATGACTTTTGTGTTTCCAGTTTCATCTGACCCACACATGTTCTATACTCTAGACAAAAGGAATTGCCTACCTGGAAACACCAACAATGGATCTTTTCTCAGTGCCTTTGCATATGCTTTTTCTCCTGCCTGCTGAATTTCTCTCCTCTCAAGGTGGTCTGGCCCTAATGCCAGCCAAATAATTATGGAGAGGCATTACGTGTTTAGAGGATCACAGGAAAACTGAGAATAGCAAGCCATGACAAAGTCCACAGAGGCAACATCAAGTGCAAAACCAAAGTCAGGATCAAAGTGATGAGGATGTCGTATCCTGGAAATAATAAGGTTAAGTGGTGGAGATGGGAGAGGAGTAACTGGCAAGAACACACATGGTTGCTCAAAGCCTTTTTTAAGTTAGCAAGTTATCTGGCTTGTGGATGGATCCAGTGGTCTTATAAAAATAGTAGCAAAGAATTCAGTGATATGCACTTAACTTCTTTTTTTTTTTTTTTTTTTTTTTTTTGAGATGGAGTCTTACTCTGTCACCCAAGCTGGAGTGCAGTGACGCCATCTCGGCTTACTGCAACCTCTGCCTCCCGGGTTCAAGCAATTCTCTGCCTCAGCCTCCTGAGTAGCTGGGATTACAGGCACCCACCAAGACACCTGGCTAATTTTTTTTTTTTTTTGTATTTTTAGTAGAGACGGGGTTTCACCATCTTGGCCAGGCTGGTCTTGAACTCCTGACCTTGTGATCTGCCCGCCTCAGCATCCCAAAGTGCTGGGATTACGGACATGAGCCACCATGCCCAGCTCACTTAACTTCTGTCTTGGGAAATATTGCTAATCTTTTGTACATCTTCGTACAGTCTGATATTTTTTGTGTGTAAAAGCTTCCCTAAATTCTCCTTCTCCTAGGCAGAGAAACACTTCATTCTCTTTAGACTCATAAGATCTTTTAGTTCTTATCAAACTTATGACTGTTCATTAGTTTCATGTTTGTCTTCTCAATTTGACTGTAAATCTCAAATAACAGAAAACTCATTTTGCTCATATAGGCATTTCACAAATCTTTGTTGAAGGAATAAGAGAATAGGTAAATAAACAAATGCCATCTATTCTTCCTCCCTGTGAAAAGGTTAATAGTGAGCAGATTGCTGAGACAGGTCTTTTCCCATGAACATCCGCAGTTGGAAGAATTAAGATATAAGTGCGTGCATAGCATGAGCCCAAATGTCTGACAAAAGCCTTCCTCCAGGGTTTACGATATCAACACTGATATCATAAATGATATCAATGATGAAAATGCTGTTTTCATCATTATGAATAAAAATAATAAAATACAGGTTCAAGTTGAAGGTAAAATGTCCAAAGTTAACTAACTCTTGTGTGAGTTTTTCTTGTTGTTGTTGTATGTGGTTTCTTTTCCCTTTCTCACACATTTGTGAACCTCCAAAGAATAGTTTCTGGTTGCAAAACTGCAATCACTTCTCAGCCTTTCACACATGCTTTGGGTATTCATTCACTGATCTTGATGATATTGTGTGAAACAACTGTGCTAAATTAGACTCAACTCTTCTGCAGAACTTCAGCAGGGAATTGTAACTCATCTGCATAATATGATGTTGGGACTGAATTGGGCCATCCTGCGGTAACTTTTTTAAAAAATTTTAAGCAACAGGAACAAACTGTTAGGGAAATGTCCTCTCAATTCCCTCAACTATGCATTTAGCAGATTTCCACCATCAGGCTTTATGTTCATTAACATTCATACCATTGTCTGTAACCTCATTTGTTTCAGTGTTTGCTTTGGATTTGCCTCACTGAAATATTTGCCTTTATTCTTTTTCTTACCGCTTCTTCTGAACTTTGACGGTTCTTTTTGGTTTTAGCAGAATCTTCTAGGAAGACAATTACTAGAAACTTATTTATAAACACAATTTATAGATTTTTTTCTAAAAAGAAATACATATATGAGGTCACTTTATAGTGATAGGAACAATTTTCTGAAAGATATATCTATTGAATATAGTGCCTCCCCCCACCCAATCTCCCAGTCTCATTTCAAAAGTGGAGGAACAGTTGTCAATACCTGCATTTCCTGTTGTGAATTATTTGTTTCCTAATGAAAAGTCTTCTCTTCCTGGGCCTAACTATAATCTGAGTGATTAGTCAGGACATCAGCTTTAGGCATTTTTTTATTTTGCTGTTAAAGATGATAGGTTTTCACAAAAATACCCACCCTCTTTCATTTGGTTCCCCTTGTGACTAAATTGCACACACTTCTAAAAGCTCATGTATATTGGTTTTGGGAATGCAGAGCAAAAATGTGGCTGTCTTTGCTTGAGCAAATTTGTTCAGCCCATATATATATGTGTGTGTGTGTGTGTGTGTGTATATATATATATATATATATGTATGTATATGTATATAATGATATATGTATGTATATATATATATATATAACATTCATGCCCTTGGTTTTATTATTGTAATGTTCTAAACAGATTAATAGATACTATATAGTATCAGGACCTTCATTAAAAATAAACATTTTTGATCCATTTTGATATTTTATTTTTTTCATGTTTGTATCCATATGACGAAGGAGGATGGGAAGAAAGAACTCAAATAAGGTGAAGGGAGGGAAGAAGGAAGAATCTCTGTCTTTCTTTCTAACTTATTTTCTTACTGTTTCTGAAAGTCACCAGAAAATGCCCCACAGATGTCTCTGAATAAATAATTCCCCAGATTTCTCCCTGACTCCCATATGAAGATGGAGATGCATCAGTAAGCTTTAGCATAACCATTGTTGCTAGGACCGTGTGGCTCATGGTGCTTCCAATTAATAGTTAAGAATTTACACTGTGTCCAACAATGCTTGCTGAAGTCTGCATGATAAAAGGCAGGGCCCTATTCCCCTATATCAAGATTTCTCAACAGTGGCACTAATGACATATGGGCACAGGTAATTTTTGTTAGGAATGAAGAGGGATGACTGTCTTTTGCCTTTTCAGATATTTAGCAGCATGCCTGGCCTTTACACGTTAGATGCTAGAGAACCCCTTCACCCAGTCTTGACAGTCAAAAGTGTCCCCAGATATTGCCAAACGTCATCTGAAGGGTGGGAAAGAATTGCGTCCAGTTGAAAACCACTGCCCTATATAAACACTTGTCTCAGTACAACAGCCATAATACCTCACAGATTTTTTTAGAGCCAGGGAGATCACTCTAAATTTCTCTGCAAGAGTCAAACACAGATCTCTTTGGGCTTGCTGAGGGATCAACCTCAGCACACTCTGCAATGTAGCCACTTCTACCCCTCCTCACCCCCCAGATCCTTTGGCCCTGAGTTGCCATTTCTTCTTCCAGCCATCCGTCTCCCACCCAGTGGCCTCTAACCAACCCATTCACGCATAGTTTGAATTTAATTTTCAAAGTATCAATAAACAAGCTAAATACGTTAGTCAGGTATATATTACTTCTTTGATAACAGAGTTATAGTCTAGGCCCTGTTGTTGATGATTCTATCTGACTGGGTTCATAGTATGACTGGCTTATAAAGGATGATGAAATTCTCATGAGGCAGAATAGCACATGTGTTTCAGTTAAGAATTTACGTTCTGAATTTGGACACTCTGGGTTTAAATCCTAGCTCCACAATTTTCCAGATGTCTGTAACTTTGGGCAAATGACTATTCTCTGCCTCAGTTATGATCATCAATAAAACGGGCATAATAATAGTACTTTTCTCATGAAACAGTTATGAAGTTTAAATAAGATACTACCTGGGAAACTACTTAGAAGAATGTTTAATAATAAGCTATTTTTTCTATCTAAAATAATAGCATATCTTACAAGAGTATCCTGCACACAAATACACATATAATACAACATATGCACACAAAACAACCAAAAGCATGTTTTATTGTAGTCATTAAGTTTGTAATTAAATAGAATGCCATGTTACATATTGCTTGATCTTATCTTACAACACTAGCATTCTTGATTTGCTTTTATTTCCATCTTAATCAGCAGATGCTTAAGTGGCATACTGTTCTGGGAGGAGAAAATATTTAGGCATTTTTGGTTACAATTAGCATTAACTGTAGCCTATAACATCAATGGTGATTTCAGTGGTCTTAGTTCTCTTGCTCCATAGCATTGCACCCACTGACACATTGTTCTTCATATTTAATCAGTTTTTCTTTAAAAAATATATATATAATCAAAAGTGGATATATAAATAACATGAGAGGGAAGAGATCAATAAGTTTTAATGATTTATAGATTACGATGGGAAGAATAGAGGGTGAGAGAATGAGGTAATGGGAAGAATTTTATGATGACTAGGTTTCCATCCTATAGTGTGCATGAAACAGAAAATTCAAAAGAAGGAACTATTGTTAGAGGAAAGATGATTAAGTCCAATTTAAACGTGTATAGATGGAAAAGAGGAGTTGAGAAGAAGCCTGGTGCTATCTGGACCTTGGATCACAGTAAAGAATAAGAGCATTCTCTATGCGATGATTGGAGGAGAATTTGAAGAAAATCTGCAAAGGAATTTCCAGCTTAACTAAAATTTTTGGAAGCCCAGAGAAAATATATGGTTAGCTCTGTTATCGTACAAATAAGTTTCCATTAACAGTCTGAATTTCCTACAAGAAGGTACTTAGTTTCCTTGCTACAACATCATTTCAGTTGAAAGGACTGAAGGCATTATTATTCATGTAAAACTAGAAGAGGTTGCCATCACCCTTTTAACTATTTTCATTTCTAAATATCACTGTCATTTATCTATAAAAATCAATAAGACAAATGGCATTTATGGTCTTCAAAGGCAGAAGAGATATTAGTAGCTTCATTTAGTTGATATGGAAACCAAATCTCAGCTAATTTATATGACGTATCTGAGAACAGGCTCCTGTAACTGGTAAAGGAGGAACTAAAACTTAGGGTTTTAAAATTCATCCATATTATCTCCTATCCATTCATTTTGGGTAGACACTTAATAAACATTTGTGTAAAAAATGAAGAAATTAACCTCCCTGCCCATTACTTCAAAGCAGATACAATCTCAAGGGACAGCTTTCTATTGTCAGAAAAGTATTAAAATATTGCTTTTATCAAAAGCTTTGTAATAGAATGTTTGACAAACTGCACAAGAGTCCCTTGTCCATCAAACTCACAAAATGCCATTTTGGCAAGAACAGTGGATAAAATTACAAGTAGTCTAACATAAGCTTAAAAGAGAAGAAAAGATAGGGAGGGCAAAGCTGTACCTCTCATCCTCGTGGGCAGTAGCCAGTTTGAGTTTCTATCCCAGACTACTCCTAGGAGATAGGTAGGAAAATAAAAGTGGCATTAGTCTTGTTTTACCAAAATCAAAACAAAAATTAGACAACAATAGGGGATTTACCTAAAATCACACAGATAGTCCATTAAAGAACAAATAGAATTCAATTGCTTTTAGCTATCCTTTCCAATAGGTTATGCCACCACCTATTACAGACATGTGAACAATTAAATTGGAAAGTGGCTCAAAAGCAAATGAAATCTCCTTTAATTTGCTAGTCTTTCTATAAAAAAGGAGCCACTTTGGAGCTTCACTATAATGTGACTCACTGTGGTGCAGAATTTAATATAGTAAATGCATCCTTAGAATTAACTTCAGGAACTTATCTACCAAAATTCTTAAAGAATCTGTTCATAATATGAATTTGACTCACCATTGAGATTAAGCCTGGGAAAACTGCCACAGAGAGAAACAGCAGCTCTTTGAAGTAACTGACAATTACCATTTTATTTCTTCTGCTCTTTTTCTAAATCTTATAGAGAATATTTTGCCATTGCCCATCTAATGACATTACCTAGTCACAGCTGTAAAGTGGGATAATAATAGTATTCTGCCTCATATGTTTGTTAGGAGGATTAAATGAGTAAATAAGTTAATATTTTTAAGTATTTAAGATAAAAGTATTTGTTACAAAAAGAAAACATATAGTTCATTCTTCCATGCTGGACTGTCAGTGTATCTAACTACAAAATGTTTTCGGACTTGAGCTACTGTTTAAAGACAGAAAGGTAAAGGAAAATATTGAAATAGAAAAGTACTGTTTACAAAGGTCACTTAAGGATCCGATCAAATGAAGTAAAAAAAAAAAAAAAAGAAAAAAAAAAAAAAAAAGCTTTCTTGCTCTGAAAGGATTTTTTTTTAACACAAGGGAGAAAGAAACCATTTTCTCTATAAATTTCCAGAAATGCAAAGGGGTGTAATGAGTAATTAACTGGAATTCCTAATTAAATACATACAGAGCAGTGGATGTTTCTTGCTTTACTTTATCATCTAGTAACATTTCCATGAAGTGGCATCATCTTACACAAGGAACTAAAATGCAAATTCATTATGATTCTGATGACCTTGAATTTGAGCAGAAAGGGACACAAAACTAAGAAGTTTTCTTGAATGTCCCTGAGGGTTTAAAGGTGGAGAAGTATTGAATGTGTATAAATAGTACAAGGAGGTTGCTGTATCCTATTTTCCTAACTTAGAAATTGACAGGACAAACCCAAGAAGTAGCCCTTGGCACTAGCTGATATTCTAGGTGTGTGGTGAGCTAAGGAGGCATGACCCAAAGCTAAAAATTTACTAGACCTGTTGAATGTATTCAGATAAAGGAATAAGAGTAAAAAGCAGGTCTTTCTACTTGGAAACTTTGAGACCTCAGTCCAAAGTAAAATATTTATTTAAACCACGATACTAAGCTTCATTTGAGTGTCTAATGGCTGAACTATGCTACATAAAGATTGTTCTAAATATGAAGGGCTGTTACACTCACAATTACACTACTTTGTGAACGGAATAAAGAGTAGTATAAGGAAAGGACCATAACAGCAAAGTTACCCAGACTAAAAAGCACTTAGAATCATTTCCATTTATAGTTTTGTTTCATTTCTAACCCAGTTACATTCATCAAGTTAAGGATCTGAAAAAGCAATTTGAAAGTTACAAATTGAACAAATTGAACCTTTCCTAAACCAGTTTGCATCGAGGTGATGTTATGACTGTGAACTTCACAGCTTTCGTATTCAGAGGTCCCAATTAATAAGATACCCCTGAAGATGCAGCTGAAACTCACTGCCAATATGGATTTAAGGGACAGTTTAAAATACTCTCCCTACAGAATATACTAAAATGTTGGATAGTCATTAAAATGTTGTGGAAAATACAGTGTGTTTTTGAGTTCACACTAATTTGGATTCAAGCACTGACTCTCATATAATTGCTTACCACTTTGAGAACTTCTTTGAACATATTTAGCCACAGATTCCTCACCTATAAAATGCATATAGTAGCATCAACAACATAACTTACTGGGGAATAAAGTAGATAATTTATGTGGTGCAATTATAAGGTAAATATTCAACAAATGGAAGCTATTATTATTGACCAAAAAAAGGGAAAATCCACTTTCCATTAGCCATATTATTCTCTTATCACACTGTGTGTGAAATGATGAAAGCATTTCACAGATTCTGTTGAAATTAAAGTGTTTCTCCTCTTTAATTAAAGGGAGATGATATAAAGATTAGGGACTCCTACCTCCACATATCTGTGCTTAATACCGGTGAATACTTCTGATAGGAATTTTCTCTGTTTCCTACTGAATATGTTATTACACAGCAATGATTTCATTGTGGTTTAAAAGCCCTTTTGAGATGCTTTTCTCTTATCATTTTTATACAAGATATCTTCCTTCTTATTTGAGAACAGTTAGCTTTAAGTTCAGGAAGCAATGATTTGCCTTTAACCTTTTATCACGTGAGCTGCCTAAAGTCAGGTGATCCAAATTTCTGAAAATGTCAGAAAGGTGGGATGGTAAATGTGAATCTGACTCTTCCCTTTGACTGAAATAATATTCTCAGCTTACATATTGAAAGTGCCCCCAAAGGTAGATTAACACATATATCCAATGACATAGTGTCTTAAAGTGCAGTTGGCACAATGAAGCAGCCCTTGTTTTGTTGTTTCACTCTGTTTTTGAGTTCAGTAGCTATACAGTAGACTTTTGTCTTGGAAATTAAATTACAGACCAAATTTTTATGTCTAATATTGGCTTAATCAGAGCACCATCCATAATGGTCTGGCATATAGCATCCACAGAAATAGCCTCCAAAGCCCAACGACAAGGCAATTTCTTCAAGCCAAATATGAAAGCTGGAATAAACTTTGAAGTACCCCAAATTAGCGGGAATAATTTATCTTACTTATTTTATTATTATAGTCTAATTGTCCATGAATTTGGCTTACCAAATTTTCATATATGCTATCTTATGTAACGAATGAATAGAAAGCTAAATAAAGATAAGGGGCAACGAATTAAAAGCATCACCTCTGTACCTCTGTATTTCTAATTAAGAAAGATGTTAATTGAAATCAGATTGACATAGGACCCTGTGCAACAATCTCCCTGGCATTGTAATTGGTTTGTGGAGCTGTAGCCCCAGGGTCACTCACTGGAATGATTCCTGCCTGGACTGGGATTGACTGAAAATCTTCACCTAAAAAGAAAGCTCCAACTATGAAATAGGACTTCCAGTGCATAAGCAAATACATCCATGTCCAAATTAGATTTTCTTTAAACATTTGCAGAGAAAGTATTTGAAGTCAGACCATTTTTCTAATCAGTCGGCCTCAGTGGTTCTTCCCCCATGCATTTCCCTTTTGTCAACTTTGGTCACATCTAGACCTTTCAATGACTTCACATAGCCTACAGAACAAAGCAGGGTATATCTCAGGACTCTTCAGCATCTGGTCACAAACTACCTGTCCACTCATTTCTCTTACTCCTCTCCTTCCACCCACTGTACATTCCAACCACAGTTTACTCCCCATACCTGCGTGCCCTGGGCTTCCCACCAAATAGGTAATAATATATTCACATTGTTACACTCACTGGACAACTCTTATGCATTCTCCTCTTCTCTGGAATAACAGAGGCTTAACAAATCCAACCAATCATATCATGCAATACTCAGCCCAAATAACACCTTTTCCAATACATTTTTAATTGTTCCTCTTGGCTAAAAATAACATCATCTTGTTTGAACTCCCATACCTGTTTATCTGGATCTCCCACTGAGTTTCTCCCTCTCTACCTAGTAGGTGCTAAACACCTTCAAGATAAAAACCATGTCTTGTTAGTCTTTGTAGTCCTGTGTATCAGTTTGTTCTTGCTTTGCTATAAAGAAATACCTGAGACTGGGTACTCTATAAAGAAAAGAGGTTTCATTGGCTCATGGTTTTGCAGGCTGTACAGGAAGCATGAAGGCATGTGTTGGGCTTCTGAGGAGGCCTCTGGAAACTTGTAGTTGTGGCAGAAGGTGAATGGGAAGCCAAGCATCTTACATGGTAGAGCAGGAGCAAGAGAGGGCAGAGGTGCTACACACTTAAAACAACCAGATCTCATGAGAACTCACTCACTCATTATCACAAGAACAGTATCGAGGGAATGCGGCTAAACCATTCATGAGAATTCTGCCTCCACGATCCAATCACCTTCCAGCAGGCCCCACCCCCAATACTGGGGATTACAATTCGACATGTGATTTGGTTAGGGACACAGATCCAAACCATATCACCCTGCTATATCCCCTATACTTATCCTCTGTTAGGCAACTATTAAGTATTCATAAAATAAATTTTGGATTCAAAACTAGATTTATATATTAGCAAGTTCAAATACGTATTTTAAAATCTTTATTTGGAATACTACGGAATGCTGTATACTCCTCTGCATTTATTAAGAAAAAGATTAAATATGGATAAATGAAGAGAAAAAGATTTAAAAATAAGAGTAACTAGAACATTAAAAAATTTTGAGTAGAAAATAAAGACAATTTACATCTTTTTATCTTATAATATAAAGCCCTTAGTATATCTTATAGAAATACATAAGATGTAATATAATAAAACTGAGTATTTCAGAATTAATGTACATGTGTCTTGATTCAATATTATCAAAATCTCTGAAAAAGTAATTGTCGTCTTAAGTCTAATTTAAGGCAGTGAATATTGGTTCACTCCAAGAAAGGCAGAATGTTAGGAATTCAAGTGATAAAATTATGTAATATATCCTTATCCTCAAGGATTCCACAAGCAAGACACAATCAAACAAACTTATGTAGGAAATAGAATATGCACATGCCAAGAGGGTGTACAAACAAAGTTATAAGAATTTAATATTTGGAGGAAAAAAGTGCTTTCTTTAATGAATTTGTGGAATTTAAAATAGACTTTGAGAAAGAGCAGAATGGCTATAGATAGAAAATGGGTAAAGAATTCCATGCAGAGAAAAGAGCATAAGCAAAGATATTGAGGAAAGACATTTTTCAGAATTATTCCAGTTTGCCAGAAATACCAACTGCAGGTGGCTAATATTAATTATAGTAACACCTAACATCTTTTAAGTGGTTCCCACGTACTGGCATTGTCATAAACACTTTACATGTCTTAAATTCTTCATTTAATTTTTGCAACAGTATGTGACTTGAGAACTATATTTCCATTAAATAGTTGAGGAAAATGAAGTACAGTGGGTGGAAAGAGAATGACAGCTTTGAAGATTAGTTGAAATCATGATGTAAACTGGATGGAGGAGGTAATGTTTGACCCTTCATCTTCCTCTAATGAATGCATTCTGGTTTTCTGGAAGATGAAGATGGTGGAAAAGAGAGGAGACACCAGCTGGAAAAGGCATGGAGGTCAGAAGCAGCACAGCATGTGTGCACATGCCAAGGGCAGGGGCAAAAGAGGACTGTGAGAAGCTAGTTTTTGTTGGAGAGTGCCATATAAATAGGCTGGAAAGTTTGGTAAACAGCATGAAGATCATGCACCCCATGCTGATCATGCATTTTATATAGGTCACCCTTCCACCTATGTGGGGAATAAATTTGAAGAGAATTAAAGTGTCAGCAGGGAGACCAAATAAGAAGCCATTGGCCTTAATATTCCAGCAAAAGGTATGTAGAAAAAGGGATGGAAAATGTGGCACATTATATTATCCAAAAGTGGGTGCCATAATTCCCATCCCACAATTCCAATTCCCAATGTAACTTGAAGACTTCTCTGATCAAGAGGCGGGGTCAATGTTTCCTCCCCTATAATTACAGCAGAAGTAACACTATCTGACTTGTATTTCTATGATGTTTGGGGGTTTGAGGGGAAGGGATTGTTGGGGGTTGTTTTGAAACAGGGTCTCTCTCTGTCACCCAGGCTGGGGTGCAGTAGCATGATCACGGCTCACCGCAGCCTCAACCTCCTGGGCTCAAGTTATCCTCCCATCTCAGCCTCCTAAATAGCTGAGACTACAGGCGTGCACCAACGTCCGCAGCTAATTTTTTATTTTTTTGTAGATATGGGGGTCTCACTACATTGCCCAGGCTGGCCTCAAATGCCTGGCCTCACTGATTCTCCCACCTTGCCCTCCCATAGTGCTGGGATTATAGGCCTGAGCCACAACACCCAGCCGCCTGGCTGGATACTAGCTCTTGGAGCCCAGCTGCCATATTATAAGGGGGCCCCAACTATCTTTATGTGGAGAAACACACAGAAAGGCCACATGTAAACATCAGCCATCAGCCCAGCTGTGATCCCAGGCGGTACACACCATTAACTGCCAGACGTGTGAATTAAGGTGCCTGCTGATGAGTCCAACCCCGAGCCTTCAAGTCTTCCCAGCTGAGACCAGGATACCCTGAAGGAGAGATTAGCTACCTCTGCTGTTGTTGCTTTAAGCCACTGAGTCTGAAATAGTTTATTACTGGAACAGGAGGGAATTGATAAATTTCAGAAGAGAGAATCAAAAGGATTTGATGGTTTCTAACAATGATAGCTCCACTGACTTAGAGCTCTGATGGTTGGTAGCAGACTCTAAGACAAATTCTTAATATAATGGCCTGAAGGAAAACTCGAGTAACTCGATATCCCTTTAAAATAAAAAAAAATCATATTCAAAAATATTCATATATTTACTAATAAATATACATTCTACTGTAAGCAAGTAACTTGCATGTTCAAAAGCAATATTCTCGAAATTATCATTTCAGGCAGTTAACACAATTTTGTCCCTAGAAAACTACAAATACTTGAAAATACTTGGAATTTAATATGGGGTAGTTTGAAGGAAGATTATCTCTTGCTTTGTTTTCTTCATTTTTCATGATTCCTATTTATTATGTAGAAATATGTCATGTTTCCAAATAATCTGCCCAAGATTACTGTAGCCAGACTTTTATGATATATGACTCAGTAGCAATATGGTGGATACCTGGTAGTTTTTAAAAACATATTCCTTAGGATGGAATGCTTAAACAAATGAGCCAAGCCAGGATAAAACTACTATAGAAAGAAACACTTTTTTTTTTTTGTAAGAAGTGATTTTATAAATCATGATTTACTCTCAATATGTTTGTGGTTTTGGGGAGCAATGGTCAGAGGGTGGTTTCATTCTACTAGATGACTTCTCTTCTTGCATCAAAAAGTAACATCTAATTGTTTTTCCTTAGGAATCCCAGCACTTTGAGAGCCCAAGGTGGGCGGATCACAAGGTCAGAAGTTCGAGACCAGCCTGGCCAACAGGGTGAAATCCTGTCTCTACTAAAAATAAAAAAAATTTAGCCGAGCATGGTGGCAGGCGCCTGTAGTCCCAGCTACTTGGGAGACTGAGGCAGGAGAATTGCTTGAACCCGGGAGGTGGAGGTTGCAGTGAGCCGACATCGCGCCACTGCACTCCAGCCTAGGCAACAATGCGAGACTCCATTTCAAAATTTAAAAAAAGCAAAGAAGCAAATTGAAGGAATATATTTTCCTTAGTACTAAATTACCTCCATATGCTAGAGAACACAGGACAAGCATCTTACTGAGCAAGCACTCAGAATTTTCCCTGTACAACTAAACTAATTAATGCCAAATAGAAAAAGAAACATGGAGGACAGCTTATTCTACATCTCTGTGCTGCATCATTTGCATTAGACTCTGTTTGATTCTTACCAGTCTTCTCCTCTGATTCCTTTTAGTCCCCAAGTATGGCCAATGTAGTTGATCATCAAAGTTGTACTTAGTAATCAGTCATTGCCAGTAATTATTGCATAACAAAATGGTATATAGGGGAGGAAATTTTTTTTTCACCCATCACCAGGTTCAGGCTAAGGCACCTCTAATAAAAGACAGATGGAAAAGAGAATAGCATACAAATTTATTTAATAAATTGTATGTGACATGGGAGGCTTCAGAAATAAAGACCCAAAGAAAAAGGAAAACCTGTGTATTTTTATGCTTAGTTTGAGGAAGAATGGAGAGTTGTGCAAAAGTATGATTGAGCAAAGGGGGTGTAATCTAATGGTAATCAATTGGAGGGAGCTTAGCAAGGTCTGTTTGTTCTCATTTTTCTCTATGTCCCTGTATTTTCAGAGATAAGGACATTCCTCTCCTCTGGTTGTAAGAAGAATACCTCTTGAGTGAGAGTCTTATGGCCTGCTTCAGAGGAGTAGGGTGGGAAAAGGTCAGAGAGTGACCTTCCTATATCTACTATCTTCTCACATGGCAAGGAGCCATATTTTACATAGTGTGTCCTGAATCCCATCTCTTGGCAAACACAGAGAATATGAAACTCGCTCACGTTAGCATCATCATCATAGTCTGTCTCACTATCCCAGACTTCCCTTTTCTCTAAAACTGTCTCTAAACAAATTCACTAATGTGATTTTGGAATTAAGTCGATGAGTCATGGTCAAAGAGATGTACTCATGAAAATATTAAGTTTGTAGACCCATGTAAGGTCATGGAACACCATGTATAAATAAAAACTGTTTTAATCACACACATTTTTATGTCAGAAGCTCAATATATACATACTCTGTATGTTTGTGTCTATCTCTGGTGTTTCAGAAGCTAATATTTTTAATATATGATAAAAGTATGGGATTTTAGTTTCGATTTGCGTGCTTCTGCAAAACCTTCAATGGCATACTTTTTATTTTTTTTATTTTTTTTTTTTTGAGACAGAGTCTTGCTCTGTTGCCCAGGCTGGAGTGCAGTGGCACGATCTCAGCTCACTGCAAGCTCCACCTCCCAGGTTCACACCATTCTCCTGCCTCAGCCTCCCAAGTAGCTGGGACTACAGGTGCCCGCCACCACACCCGGCCAATTTTTTTGTATTTTTAGTAGAGACGGGGTTTCACCATGTTAGCCAGGATGGTCTCGATCTCCTGACCTCGTGATCCACCCACCTCGGCCTCCCAAAGTGCTGGGATTACAGGCGTGAGCCACCATGCCCAGCAGCAGCATACTTTTTAAAAGTAATTGATGGCCAATATTGTATAATGTAGCAGGAAACACTAGTTTGTTGCTAAGCTAAATGGACAATTGAGGTTATACATATTCATAAGGCTTTGGAACTGTTCCAATAAATGCTGCAACATGTAAAAAGAAGAATGGGCTTGCATTCAATATGTTTTGGTAATTGGCCATGCAAACCCCCAACTCCCCTGGGTATGCAACTCTTAAGGAATCATCTTCTAAACCATAATGATTACACAAGCTCTAATGCAATGATTTTACATAATTAAATTTTAAAGTAAATTTAATGAAATGCTCAAGAATTTTAGAAAATAAGTATTATTACTGCAAACAGGCTAGCAAAACAAGAATGCTCACATATTCCTTCTATCTTTTTCTTATAGCCAGATTTAATATGTACTTAAGTATGTGTGTGTGTATACATATAAATATATACACTAAATATATATATGTTATATATAATTAGTTCCACAGAAAATAACCTCTCTTTTAAATAAGAAAAAAGCAAGCAAGAAAGAAATTTCAATGAAAAATAAAATATATAAGCTTCTTCAAACATAGTGGAAAACACAGCTTACTTTGGAGAAACATGGTTGAAACCATAGCTTACTTTGTGGTTTTTTTAATACATAAATGGATTTAATCTGGTATGTATTCTTCTTTTTTTCTAGAAAAGGATTGGAACTATAGTTTAAACCATTATAAACAGCTAGAAATTCAAGTGGTTTAACCAAACTGCAATGCCAAATCAAATTAACATTAAATGAAATGTTTTGGGGAAATTTTGTATAAAAGACCTGAGTTAAGAACTGTATTTTTGTCTCATCCGCTAATTCGACTCTGTGCTAAGCAAAAGGTTATAAAAAAACAATTATGATTATGTGCACTAAAATAGAAGATTGTTATTTGACGAACTATGAGTGAGTAGATTTTTTTATTGCTGCCTTTGAAGAGAAGCCCTTGACAAGCTGCAGTGCAGCCCATTGTCAGTGGTGGTACTGCATATGTCACGGCCAGGTGGCACTGGCCAACAATGAGCTGAAACAAAGAGACGGTAGCAAGCTCTGTCCAAAGTTTTCAAAATATATTCATAGGAGCAAACTAAATATTTTTAAGAGTGATCTGGATTTAGTAACTTACTTACAAATTATAAACAACGGAAAAGTGAAGAACAGTGTATTTGCTTCCTAGGGCTGTCATAACAAAGTATCACAAATTGCCTGGCTTAAAACAACAGAAAATTTGAAACCACGATTGCAAAATTATGACTGAGACAGTGTAAGAGATCTGACCTAAACCACTCCATCTTGCTTCTAACCTCCAAGCTGTCCTTGTTCATTCCTGGGCATACACTGAACTAACTTTGGGAGGAACTTAGTTTATATAGTTTGAAACAAAGACGATAACAGCCCTTTCCCAAAACAAACCCCCTTCCTGCATGGGGCTAGACCGCCTTTGCAGGACTAACAAATTAGCCCTGAGATTAGAAATTATGGTTTGGGAGCCATGCAGCTGGAGACTGCAAGATTCTAAACCTCCTCAAATTGCTCCTGGGGACAACATCACTATTGTAAAACCTAAGATCAGTGTTTGAGATATTTTGCAGACCCTGCACTAGATGGATCAACTGGTATCACCCAGATTGATAAACTGGTTCATCTGGTCTTGTGGCCCCAACCCAGGAACTGACTCAGCACAAGAGGACAGCTCCAACTCCCTGATTTTCATCTCTGACCATGCCAATCAGAACTCCTGATTCACTGGCCCCCCTGCCTACCAAATTATCCTTAAAAACTTCAATCCCCAAATTCTCGAGGGGACTGATTTGAGTAATAATAAAACTCCAGTCTCCCACACAGCCAGCTCTGTGTGAATTACTCTTTCTCTGTCACAATTCTCCTGTCTTGATAAATTGGCTCTGTCTAGCCAGCGGGCAAGGTGAACCCATTGAGCGGTTACAATTTGTCACCTCCCAGTTCTGGAATCTAGAAGTTCAAAATCAAAGTGTTAGCAAGGCCATGCTTCCTCTGAAGCATGTAGGAGAGAATCCTTCCTGCCTCTGCCCTGCTTCTGGGGTAGCTGTGAATCCCTGGTCTGCAGCTGCATTGCTCCAAATCCTTCCTCTGTCATCACATGGCATTCTCCCTGTGTGTCGCTGTGTCTTCACAGACACTTCACATGGTGATTTCCCTGCTTCTAAGGACACCAGTCATACTGGATTAGGGCCCACCCTAGTGACTTCATCTTAACTTGATTAAATTTGCAACCACTCTACTTCCAAAAAGGTTACATTTACAGGTACTGGGTGCTAGGACTTCAGCATATTTTTTTAGAAGACACAATTGGACACATAAAAGGCGGTTATGTAGAATAAAGAAATCTGGCAAACACAACTTTAACCAAGTGGTCAATGTTAATATCACTACCGGTAGGTCATGTTGCTGTCTTGCACTCCCTGTAATATGTGATGAGAACATATTTCATATCTGTGGACTCCCTCCCCAAAACCCATAATTTCAGGCTAATCATGAGAAACATCTCTTACAAATTAAACTGAGGAACAGTCTACAAAACACCTGGCACAGTCTCCTTAGGAGGCTAAGGAGACATGAAGACTAAATGCAATACAGTTTCTTGGAATGGATCCTGAAACAGAAAAACGACATTAGAAAAACTAGTGAAATCCAAATAAAGCCTGTAGTTTAATTAACAGCAATACTATTAACGTTACCTTCTTAGTTTTGACAAACGTACTAAGATATTAACATTATAGGTGAAAGGTATAAGAACTATCTATACTATCTGTAGCTTTGATATAAATCTAAAATTATTCCAAAATTTTAAGTTTATTTAAAAAAATAAGGAAATTATATTTATTTTTTCATTATAGGAAAAGCTATCACATTAACAACTTATAAAGATGATCTGCTCTAATTAGAGAGATGGGGAGTATTTACCTCCTCTCTTTATTCAACAGAGATCTTCCCATTCATAAGGAGGCAAGCTTGAGATAGCAGTGAGTCTATAATGCGCAAATGTTATTGATAACATGTATATTCATTTAAAGGTAGTATTGCACAGGTAGTGTAAACAGTGGGCCAAGCTCAGGTATTGGAACCACAAAACTAATCTCTAGTATCCTCACTCCACGATATAGGCTACATGACTTTTTCAAGAGTTTTTTACTTGGTTCGATTCTTTCATCTATAAGACTGGAATATGATAGGCCTATAAGACAGGGACAGAATGAAAATATATATTAATGCTAACTAAATGGTAGATGGTAACTATTTGGGGTCATTATTTACAATGAGAAAAAGGAAGAAAAAAATGTATTGTGAGACTGTAACATTGGCAACAATACTTTTAACCTTTCAATTCAACATTGATGGTGCAGGAGTGATGACAGAGTCAAGAAGCAAGTAACTAGACACTTCCCTACAGAAAGTCACAATAATTGAGCCATTATTGACCTTTGCAAACAATTACTTATCTAACATCCTCCCTGATAATATTTCCCTTTCTGTCCATACAAGAATACAAGAATTATACATTACATTTTGAAGTATACGTATACTCTCTATTGTCAAAAATAAGGGGAAAACAGATTTTTTTATGTTGCAAACAAGAGTAGTTTCCAGTGTTCAGGGTTAGCTGGATTCCAAATGTTCCCTTCTATAAGGGCAGCAAGCTTGAGACAACAAGTCTAAATGTGCAAATGTTACTGATGACATATATATGCAAAGGAAGCATTGCACAGCTAGTGTCAATGATGGCAAAGCTCAGGTCTTGAATAGCATTCGAAACATGAGAAAGTGAAAACCAAGTCAATTATACACTTAAATTAATGTAGAGAAGAGCCTTCAGTGATAAGCTTGTGATAGGCTAGAATGCTAGAATGGAGAGCAGATAGCCAGTTCTTCAGGTTTCAGCTCAGGGATTTCATTATCAAGGAGGAATTTCCTGCACAGCCAGCCATCACTCTGCCCAGATGCCTTTGTCAACTGACAACTCCCTGCAGGTTTTATTCATCCCTGAATCTCAGGGCCTAGCTTTGGCACATATAGCAGGCAACATATTCATCTTGGCCAATCTAAACTGAAACTTTGTGAGGCTTTGAAAAAACGCGAAACACTGATTCCGGATTATTGGAGAACTGTATTCTATTCTACCAATATTTCCTTTTGTGGTTTATTTTTCCTCTAGTGTAATCTCTTTGCTCTCTATTCCTTTTTTTCTCCCAAGCATCATTGATAATCTTGCCCCATTACAAGAATACATATATCCCCCTACTAAATAAAAGTTATCCACTTAAGTATGTTTTTATCTGTGCTTCTTATACATCATTATGGCAAAGTAAATGTAGCCAAAGTAAGTCTTTCCATCTCCCAAGATTACTCCATTAATTTATGGTTAATTTCACTAATTTCAATTTGTCTTCAAGTGGTTTGCAATGAAATATTTGTAATGAAAATATGCAGGCATGCTTAGTTGGGGAATTACCTTCATATTCCACATGAGCCCATGCCTCTCTTCACTGAGGCTCTTCCAGCCTCTCAAAGGAAATGAAATGGGGGTGGGGAAAACCAGAGTGAGGGCAAGCTTTTAAAGAATTGAGTGGGTCATGGATGTGCTGACCTTCCTGGAATGACATATTCTTAGTTTGAAAAGGGATATGAGCTGTGGGTAATTTGCAAATGAATGCATCTGCAAATGAATGAATGCATCAAACACAATGAAAACATTGTGTCCGAGATTATACCATATTGCTCGTTGCAGCAACTTCCACAGAATTTGTTTCTTCACCATCTGCACCAGTTCTATTACACTATTGGACACGAGGCCTTGAAAAATGCCAGCCACTAAGAATATCTTGTGAAAGGGGCTGTGTGAACAGTTATTATGCTTGTGTTACTTCCTTAATACCCTTTTTGATGAAAAAGAAGAAACCTACATCAGAAGCAGCACTTAAAATTCAGTTTGGAGAGTCTTCTGGCCTCCACTGAGTAGCTTTTCCCCCTAATCTCTTTCTTCTTTTCTTCTTTGTTACGTAATAACACGTTTGGGCTAAGAGAAAGCTAAATTCTCACACCCATCTCTAAGGAGCAAAAGCTTACTTTTAAGGGAATAAATGAATAACTTCATCATCTAGATTTTACAACAGATATAAGTATGATCTAGTAATGACATTTTAATATTGACATATATTATCCACAATGTACCTTTTTTCACTCCACCAAAGTACTCACCTTCTCATAATTTCTTGCTTATGAGCAATTGAATTCCAATTGCATTTTTTTAAGTAACTGTATTCCTTTCATACATATCTAGTTTGATGATTGTATGTCAAAACTAGCACTAACAAAGCTAACTAAAATACCTAAGACTGAATTAATTTAACTACTTTCCATAGTTGGGCCTACACCGGAAAAATGGGAAGGATGCACCCTTGGTTGCCGTTGTGTCTCTTATTTTCAGAACATGTGTTTGCTGCAGAACAGTGGGTTTTACCTCAACAGACTCCTGGGCTCCAAATCCTAAATTTATATCCTGGGCCCTGCAGGTAAATTTTTGATGGCATCTGTGTGTTTCTGTAATGAGATCCATAGCATCTGCAATAGGTACTTTCCCCTTTGAAATGTGCGTTCAAAAGAAAAAACAATACATTGAAAATTAAAGAAAGTACACAAGCATGTGTTGTCATTGCTTTGATAAAAATTCCTTCAGGAGTCTGGGAAATGGGTTTGACCAATTCACTACACTACTCAAATAAGTCCAGGAAAAGGCTGAATTTCTAACAAATCTTTAAACATTTCAAGAGGGTTAATGATTTCTAATCAATGATCCAAGCATTCTCCAGTGTTATTCATTCATTCATTCCTAAGTGAAATGGTTACACAGTGTTCAAACCAATATAAAACTGTCTAGAGTTATTACACTATCTAAATACTGTGATCAGAGAGTACTTACAAAAGCACTATTTATGAAAATGCTCTCACCATCAGTTTACCCAAGACAAGTTGTGTGTCTGTGTTACAGCATAACACAGAGAAAATTCATAAAAAATCCATCCAACAGAGACCAAGCCCCCTTTCTGGAAAACATAGGTTTCCTTTCCTATTCACAGGTATATTTTCTTTTTTTTTAAATTATACTTTAAGTTTTCACAGGTATATTTTCAATAATTTAGTAGGTTATTTGCAGTCTGTAGGCCCCAGTTTGAGGACAGAACACTTCTCTAAAATTTTTCCAACTTTCTGAAAGTTAAATAGCTTATACAAGCAATAAGAACAAAAACAGAAAATACAGGTAAACACCAATCTTTTCTGTATTAATCTCAGTTAAGTTTTTTCTTTCCTTCAAATTCAGTTCAAAGAAGATTTCATTAGTATATTTCACCAACTCCGTAAGAGTGTATAATTTTAACTACATGGAGGCAAAACAACCTAACAAAAATGTGATTTATCTTTGCTAAATTACCAGTGTGACGTGGCATTACTTTGTCTAAATTAAGCAGCTATGACACAATGGCTGAAGAATACTACAATGAAAAAGTCATCCATTCCTGCTATTTTGTAAATATAGGAACACTTTTAAATGCAACCAATATACAATGTTTTAAATCTGTCAAGAAAAATAATTGAAACAATTATGAATTAATTTTAAAAGAATGTTATATATGCTACAACAATTAGGAGTAACAGAGGTGGATGCATGAGTGGATAGTTTGCTAGTTTATCTCAATTGAAAAAAATCATACCGTGAGTATTTTTTTCTGGTAAGTAACTTATAACAGGTTAGTGTATTATTACCGCATTAATAAAGCCTCCTTAAATGACCAAATTTTCCACTATTTATTGGTAAGAGGAATTACATAAACTTTACTTGAGAAAGAGTGCTCATGTTAAAAACAATATTACTTTAAACTAAAAAACATGATGAGTTTAAAACAGAATAATGAGGAAAGGGGGAGAAATTCTCAATATATAAATGTGATACCAGTTTCTTACCTATTCTGTTCATGAATCTAATAAAAAATGATATGAAAAGGTTAAATTCTCCTGAACATTTAGAATTTTTTAAATGAGTTAAAGGCTGGTATATAGGTAAAATGCGTATCTCTCCCTTTGATGCTTAAACATCCCTTTACTAACTGCTGTGAAATGAAATTAAATGTTTAGAAGAAAACCCCTTCTTAGTTCATTAATATTAAAAAAGTTAAAATTTTCTCTGGATTTCAAAAATTAAAACATCTTGCCCTTTTATTTCTAACAGATGTTCTGTTGACTCACACGGAAATGTAGTCACTACACTGCCATTGGTCAACTTTTCATGGGGACATTTGTTAATCCAATGGTGCTTCTGCTGGAGACATGGAGATGAACCCACTAGGCACTGAGAAGAATGCAGTGTCTCTTCCCTGCACAGGATTTTAACTTAATATGTATGCTGGGACTGGCAAGTGCCCAAGGGACCCATCTCTACCCATTGGCTGTCAGCCAGAGAACAGCCTGGTCTTGGGAGTGTAGATGAATCCATTGGGTTTTTAGCTCCTAAATAAAAAGTTTCATTGTCATTTGTGCTTCTTTTATATTAGTTCATGTTACTTTAGGATTTATCCTTTTATTGGTTCAATACTGAAGGATGGCAGAATATTTCACCTCAAAATATGCTACTTTGACATAAGGATTAGATTGAGCTAAAGGCACTTAAAAAAAAAAAAAAAAAAAAAAAAAGCAGGTGCAAGAAGGGCATTTTGACCATCCCCTTTATTTCCTGAAAGCAGGAGATATAACCTTCCTATGGAAGATGTCTTCCCTCTACCAGGAGGAAAGTAACATTCTTATCATTAAGGATGAGAAATTGAGACCCAGAGAACTCTATTCAAACAGACCTTGTTAAAATTATTCTAATATTCCTTTAGTCTCCCCACGTAGTTTGCTTTTCCACATTGCCTCTCTTTATTCAACCCGGTCTAAAAGCATTTAGATTTTGCCACTTCTTTGGAGCTTCATTTCCCTATGGGGGCTTCCATGTCATATAAAAATTACATGAAATAAATTTGAATGCTCTTCTCCTATTAATCTGTCTTATGTCAGTTTAATTCTCAGGCTCAGTCAAAAAACCCTAAGAGGGTAGAGGTAAAATTTTGCTTCTACATTTTTAAAAAGTTACTATATCCTAATTTTTACAACCTGCTTTGAATATTTTTAACTTTTATATTTTAATCTCATTACTGTTTTTTATAAACTTAAGTTTTCTATTTTATGGTAAAGATGGTATCTCATGATATCTAGTCCTTATTCCAAATATTTAATTTTTTTCTTAAATTTATTTTTATCTTATTTACTCTAAGAATAGCAAGCAGAAAACAGAAGAACATGGGATTCAGCTGGGAAGGGAGTCTTTGACAGCATTTCTTAATCTATCAATGGTGGATGATATGGTTTGGCTATGTCCTCAACCAAATCTCATCTTAAATTGTAGCTCCCATAATTCCCATGAGTTGTGGGAGGGACTCAGTGGAAGGTAATTGAATCATGAGGCAGTTTCCCCCATACTGTTCTTGTGGTAGTGAATAAGTCACACAAGATCTGATGGTTTATAAATGGGAGCTCCCCTGCACAAGCTCTCTTGCCTGCCACCATGTAAGACATGACTTTGCTTCTCCTTTGCCTTCCACCATGATTGTGAGGCCTCCCTGGCCATGTAGAACTGTGAGTCCCTTAAACCTCTGCTTAAATTACCCAGTCTTGAGTATATCTTTATTAGAAGCATAAGAACAGACTAATACATTGGAGGACCAGGTTTTTCCCTCAATTTGGGCAGATCCATACTTTCGTACAACACGAGAAAAATAAATTTCTGGAAAATAAAATGAAAACAAGGCATGCAAAATAAAAGCCTAAACACTATTGTTACAGTCAACATGATATATTACTCCTTCAGATTGTTTTAAAACTTTCTGGATATTAACTCTCATTCTATACATCTCTTGTCACGGTCTGGTGTCGACAGTTTGCAACCAGCACCAGTCCGTGATTCGGTCTGTGATTATAGCATGTCAGCTTGCCTCTTTCTCTCCAGCTGGCCTTTCCTCCAGAAAGTCTCCCTCTCCTGCAGACTAGGTCTGACTTCCCTATTATATGCTCTCCTAGTCCTCTGCATTTCTCCATACCATCAAATAATTGAATAATGAATGTATAACCGGTCCTCTAATTTGTGTCTGCCTTGCCCAGAGGACACAAGCTGGATGTTTTTTATGAAGGAGTAAACAGACACGGGTTTACTTTGAAGCTAATGAAAGATCAAGTTCAGGTCTCATTTGCTGGCAGAGGCACCTTCCACCTCTTCGTGAAAGTTGCAGAGAGTTACAGAGTGTTCTAGGTGAGAAGGGGGACAGGTTACAATCAGAAAGCATAGCTGTAGAAATATTTTTGGCAAATCCCTTAAAGGGATCTAAGAAGAAAGAGACCCAAGGTTTGAAGAATATGATGTGGTATCTTTTATATTATAAATAATTACTTCGGCACCTAATTTTATATTTGAAATTTTACATTTTTCGAAAGTGAATCCCAATTTATGTAAGTTTTAAGCCCTGCAAACTCTGGACCTTTGTCAAACATTGTATCTCTAATAAATAACACAGTGCGTTGCCTGGAGTTATCAGTCTGTGACTATCCTCTGAATGAGAAATGATCAAATTATCAGCTAACTGGTTTAAAACTCCTCATGATTCCTGTGAGAAGGTACCATAAGAGTCCTTCACTCATCTCCTAGAAACCCTTTACACTAGCCTACTTTCAATAAAGGTACAGTAGGCCCACCTTATCCACAAGGGATGCAATCCAAGAACCCCAGTACATGCATGGAATCATGGGTGGTACCTGCTATGGTTTAGATGTTTGTCCCCCTAAACCCAACGTTTAAATTTGATCTCCAGTATTGGAGGTAGGGCCTCATTAAGGAGGTGTTTGGGTCATGGGGGCAGTTCTCTTACGAATGGCCTACTGCCATCTGGCTATAAAGAGTGAGTTCTCACTTTACTAGTTCCCACAAGAGCTGGTTGTTAAAAGGAGCCTGGCATTTCCCTCCTCTCTCTCTCTCTTTCTTCCTCTCTTGCCGTGTGATCTCTATAGGTGTGGCTCTGCTTCACCTTCCACCATGAATGGGAGCAGCCTTAGGTCCTGACCAGAAGCAGATGCTGGTGCCAGGGTTCTTATAAAACCTGCAGAACCAAGAGCCAAATAAGCTTCTTTTCTTTATAAATTACCCAGTCTCGTGTATTTCCTTACAGCAACACCAAAGAGACTAAGACACTACTGAACCCTACATATACTATGTTTTGTCCTATACATACATACCTATGATAAATTTATAAATTAGATACAGTAAGAGATTAACAATAACAGTAAAATAGAACAATTATAACTATATACTGTAATAAAAGCTACGTGATTGTGGTCTCTCTCTCTAAATATTAATATATATTAAATATATTGTAATGGACCACAGGTAACTGAAACCACAGAAAGGGGAGATGACTGAATTAACATTTACTCTACACAGAATTCAGGAGGATTTTTAAAACTGTAGATGGTTACCACTTAGTGGTTTGTAAAAATCAACTTAGTTGGTGACGGAATCAGAATGTTTTGGATTTTCTTTTTACAATGGAATGGAAGGAATACAATGAAAAGTACACATAGTGCATCACAAGAAGTAAAGGTGTTAGTTCATAAAATCTTTGTGTCAATTGTGTTTGTACATGTATGTGTGCACTAGATATCTATGTAAAATGTGTTTTTTACATTTTTTAAAAAACATAAATTTGGGGTACAGGACTTCCTTATATCCTTCTCTGATTAAAAAGACGCATAGAAGTCACTTAGAACTAAGAATATACCTGAGAGATGTTTTTGGATGGTTTGCTTGCTTTGTTTTGTGTTTTATATTTTACACATATACTCCTTTTTTGAATCATCCCTATAAAGATAAATCAGAAACTCTGGTTTTCACGATCCTTGAGAAAGAACATAGGCTTATTCTATGACCTTAAGCATGGGCTTTAAAATGTTTCTTGACATTTTCAAGAATCTCTTGTACCCATATCCTCAGCTCCTAAAAAATAAAGAGGTTTGCCCTTGTGGCATGTTAGAGTTCACTTTCTGTTTGTTCTCTCACTGCATTTACTTTGCCTGTGATATCTTCCACAACAATCGTCCTCATGAATAGCCACAGAATGACTTTTGAACCTATGTCTCCAGCTGTGGTCGCTCTTGAGTTCCAGGCCCTTGTAATAACTGCCTGCCAGGCACATCTATCGAGCAACTGGAACCTCCAGAAACGACAGCGATTACATTTCCAAATAAAACCTACTTATCTTCTCGCTATACTGAGATTAACAGTTCCACTATGCACCCAATTTTTTTTTTGTTACATGAATAAGCTCTGTAGTGGTGATTTCTGAGACTTTGGTGCACCCATTACCAGAGCAGTGTACACTGTACCCAATGTGTAATCTTTTATATCTCGCCACCCCCACCATTTCCCCTGAGTCATCAAAGTCCAGTGTATCATTCTTTTGCCTTGGTATCCTCATAGCTTAGCTCCCACATATAAGAGAACATACAATATTTGGTTTTCCATTCCCGAGTTACTTCACCTATAATAATGGTCTACAATTCCATCCAGGTTGCCATAAATGCCATTATTTCAGTCCTTTTTAAGGCTGAGTAGTATTTCAATATATATATATATCACAATTTCCTTATCTACTCATTGATTGATGGACATTTGTGCTGGTTTCATATATTTGCAGTAGAAATTATGTTGCTATAAACATGCATGTGCAAGTATCTTTTTCATATAATGACTTCTTTTCCTCTGGGTAGCTACCTAATAGTGGGATTTCTGTATCAAGTGGTAAATCTACTTTTAGTTTTTTAAGGAATCTCCACACTGTTTTCCATAGTGGTTGTACTAGTTTACATTCCCACCAACAGTGTAAAAGGGTTCCCTTTTAAACACATCCTCTCCAACATCTATAATTTTTTTGATTTTTTGATTATGGCCATTCTTGGAGGAGTGAGATGGTAATGCTTCTTTGTAGATTCTAGATATTAGTATTTTCTCAGATGTATAGATTATGAAGATTTTCTTCCACTCTCTGGGTTGTTAACTCTGCTAATTATTTCTTTTGCTGTGCAGAAGGTTTCAGTTTCATTAAGTCCCATCTATTTATCTTTGTTTTTGTTGCATTTGCTTTTGGGTTCTTGGTCATGAAGTCTTTGCCTAAGCCAATGTCTAGAAGGGTTTTTCTGATGTTATCTTCTACAATCATTAGGACAGATCTTAGATTTAAATCTTTGATCCATCTTGAGTTGATTTTTGTATAAGGTGAGTGATGAGGATCCAGTTTCATTCTTCTACATGTGGCTTGCCAATTATCCCAGCACCATTTGTTGAATAGGGTATCATTTCCTCACTTTATTACTATTATCATATTATTTTGCTTTGTCAAAGATCAGTTGGCTATAAGTTATTTGGCTTTTTTTCTGGGTTCTCTATTCTGTTCCATTGGTCTATGTGCCTATTTTTATACTAGTACCCTGCTGATTTGGTGACTACAGCCTTATACTATAATTTGAAGTTGAGTAATGTGATGCCACTAGATTTGTGCATTCAAATGTTTTTGATTAGTCTTGCATTGGCTACGTGGGCTCTTTTTTGGTTCCATATGAATTTTATAATTGTTTTTTCTAGTTCTGTGAAGTATGATGGTGGAATTTTGATGAGAATTGCATTGAATTTGTAGATTGCTTTTGGCAGTATGGTCATTTTCACAATATTGATTCTACCCATCCATAAGCATGGGATGTGTTTCCATTTGTTTGTGTTGTCTATGATTTCTTTCAGCAGTGTTTTGTAGTTTTCCTTGTAGAGGTCTTTCACGTCCTTGGTTAGGTATATTCCTAAGTATTTTAATTTTTTTCAGCTATTGTGAAAGGAGTTCTTGACTTGATTCTCAGCTTGGTCACTGTCGGTGTATAGCAGAGCTACTGATTCGTGTACATTAATTTTGTATCCTGAAACTTTGCTGACTTTACTTACCAGTTCTAGGAGCTTTTTGGATGACTCTTTACGGTTTCTAGGTATATGATCATATCATCAGCAAACAGTGACAGTTTGATATCCTCTTTACTGATTTTGATGTATTTTATTTCTTTCTCTTGTCTGATTGCTCTGGCTAGGACTTTCAGTACTAGGTTGAATAGAAGTGGTGAAAGTGGGCATTCTTGTCTTACTCCAGATCTCAGGGGAAATGCTTTCGACTTTTCCCCATTCAGTATAATGATGGCTGTAGGTTCATCGTGGATGGCTTTTATTACCTTAAGGTATGTTTATGCTGATCTTGTTGAGGGTTTTAATCATAAAGGGATGCTGGATTTTGTCAAATGCTTTTTCTGCATCTGTTGAGCTAATCATGTGATTTTTGTTTTTAATTCTCTGCATGTGGTGTATCACATTTATTGACCTACATATGTTAAACCAACCCTGCATTTCTGGTATGAAACCCACTTGATCATGGAGTATTATATTTTTAAAATGCTGTTGGATTTGGTTCACTAATATTTTGTTAAGGATTTTTGCATGTATGTTCATCAGGGATATTGGTCTGTAGTTTTGTTGTTGTTGTTATGTCTTTCCCTGGTTTTTGTATTAGGGTGATAATGACTTCATAGAATGATTTAAGGAGGATATCTTTTGGAATAGTGTCAATAGGATTGGTACCAATTATTCTTTGAATGTCTGATAGAATTCACCCTTGAATCCAACTGGTCCTGGACTTTTTTGTTGGCAATTTTTTTATTATCTCGCTGCTAGTTATTTACCTGTTCAGATTCTGTATCTTCCTGGTTTAATCTAGGAGGGTGGTATATTTCCAGGGATTTACCATCTCCTCTGGGTTTTCTCGTTTATGCACATAAAGGTGTTCATAGTAGCCTTGAATAATATTTGTGTTTCTGTAGTATCAGTTGTACTGCTTCCCATTTTGTTTCTAATTGAGCTTATTTGGATCTTCTCTCTTCTTTTCTTGGTTAATCTCACTAATGGTCTATCAATTTTATTTCTCTTTTCAAATAAGCAGCTTTTTGTTTCATTTATCTTTTCTATTTTGTTGTTGTTGTTTCAATTTCATTTAGTTCTGCTCTAATATTTGTTATTTCTTTTCTTCTGCTGGGTTTGGATTGTTCTTGTTTCTATAGTTTCATGAGGTATGACCTTAGATTGTCTGTTTGTGCTCTTTTAGACTTTTCAATGTAGGCATTTAATGCTATGAACTTTCCTCTTAGCACCATTTTGCTGTATCACAGAGGTTTTGATAGGTTGTGTCACTATTATCATTCAGTTCAAAGAATTTGTTAATTTCCATCTTGATTTCATTATTAACCCAACAGTCTTTCAGGAGCAGATTATTTAATTTCCATGCATTTGCATGGTTTTGAGGGTTCTTTTGGGGTTGATTTCCAATTTTATTCCACTGTGATCTGAGCGAGTAATTTATATAATTTCATTTATCTTCAATTTACTGACACTTGTTTTGTGGCCTATCATATGGTCTATCTTGAAGAATGTTCCATGTGCTAATGAATAGAATGTATATTCTGCAGTTGTTGGGTAGAATGTTCTGTAAGTATCTGTTAAGTCCAAAGTCCATTTGTTGTAGGGAATAGTTTAAGTCCATTGTTTCTTTGTTTACTTTGTCTTGATAACCTATCTAGTGCTTTCAGCAGAGCATTAAAGTCCCACACTATCATTGTGTTGCCATCTATCTTATTCCTTTTTTTTTAATTATACTTCAAGTTCTGGGATACATGGGCAGAACGTTCAGGTTTGTTACATAGGTATACACGCGCCATGGTGGTTTGCTGCACTCATCAACCCATCATCTACATTAGGTATTTCTCCTATTGCTATCCCTCCCCTAGCCCCCCAGATGCCAACAGGGCCCGGTGTGTGATGTTCCCCTCCCTGTGCCCATGTGTTCTCATTGTTCAACTACCCCTTATGAGTGAGAACATGTGGTGTGTGGCTTTCTGTTCCTGTGTTAGTTTGGTGAGAATGATGGTTTCCAGCTTCATCTATGTCCCTGCAAGGGACATAAACTCATTCTTTTTTATGGCTGCATAGTATTCCATGGTATATATGTGCCACATTTTCTTTATCCAGTTATCAGTGATGGGCATTTGGGTTGGTTCCAAGTCTTTGCTATTGGGAATAGTGCTGCAATAAACATACGTGTGCATGTGTCTTTATAGTGGAATGATTTATAATCCTTTGGGTCTGTACCCAGTAATGGGATTGCTGGGTCAAATGGTATTTCTGATTCTAGATCCTTGTGGAATCACCACACAATCTTCCACAATGGTTGAACTAATTTACACTCCCACCAACAGTGTAAAAGCATTCCTTTTTCTCCACATCCTCTCCGGCATGTTTTTTCCTGACTTTTTAATGATCGCCATTCTAACTGGCATGAGATGGTATCTCATTGTGGTTTTGATTTGCATTTCTCTAATGACCACTGATGATGAGCTTTTTTCATATGTTTGTTGGCTGCTTATTTCTTAGGTCTAGTAGTAATTGTTTTATAAATTTGAGAGCTCCAATGTAAGGTGCATATATATTTACAACTATATTTTCCTGTTGGACTAGTCTTTTTATCATTATATAATGTGCCTCTTTGTCTATTTTAACCGCTGTTGCTTTGAAGTTTATTTTGTCTGATATAAGAATAGCTACTCTGCTCACTTTGGGTGTCCATTTGCATGGAATATCTTTTTCCACCCCTTTACCTTAAGTTTATGTGAGTCCTTATGTGTTAGGTGAGTGTCCTGAAGACAATAGACACTTAGTTAGTGAATTCTTATCCATTCTTCCCATCTGTATCTTTTAAGTGAAGCATTTAGGCCATTTGCATTCAACGTGAGTATTGAGATGTGGGGTACTATTCTACTCCTCATGCCTGAATACCTTATATTATTTTTCATTGTGTTATTGTTATATAGGTCCTGTAAGATTTATGCTTTAAGGAGGTTCTATTTTTGTGTATTTTAAGGATTTGTTTCAAGATTTAGAGATCCTTTTAGCAGTTCTTGTAGTGCTGGCTTGTCAATGGCAAATTCTCTCAGCATTTGGTAGTCTGGAAAAGACTACATCTTTCCTTCATTTATGAAGCATAGTTTTGCTGTATACAAAATTCTTGACTGATAATTGTTTTTGTTAAAGGAGGCTAAAAATAGGGCCCCAATCCCTTCTAGCTTGTAGAGTTTCTGCTGAGAAATTTGCTATTAATCTGATAGGTTTTCCTTTATAGGTTACCTGATGCTTTAGCCTCACAGCTCTTAAGATTCTTTCCCTCATCTTGTCTTTAGATAATCTAATGATCATGTGCTTAGGTGATGATCTTTTGTGATTAATTTCCCAGGTGTTCTTTGAGCTTCTTGTATTTGGGTATCTAGATCTCTAGCAAGGCTGGGGAAGTTTTCCTTGATTATTCCTTTAAATACGGTTTCCAAACTTTTAGATTTCTCTTCTTCCTCAAGAACACCAATTATTCTTAGGTTTGGATGTTTAACATAATCCCAAACTTCTTGGAGACTTTGTTCATTTCTTTTTTATTCTTTTTTGTCTTTGATGGATTGGGTTAATTCAAAAGCCTTGTCTTCAAGCTCTGAGGTTCTTTCTTCTGCTTAATTCTATGGCTGATACTTTCCAGTGCATTTTGCATTTCTCTAAGTGTGTCCTTGATTTCCAGAAGTTGTGATTTTTTTATGCTATTTCACTGAATAATTTTCCTTTCATATCCTGTATAATGCTTTTGATTTCTTTATGTTGAACTTCACCTTTCTTGATACCTCCTTGATTAGCTTAATAATCGACCATCTGAATTCTTTTGCTGGCAATACAGAGATTTCTTCTTGGTTTAGATCCATTGTTGGTGAGTTAGAATGATCTTTTGGGGGTGTAAAAAAACCCTTGTTTTACCATGTTACCAGAATTATTTTTCTGGTTCCTTGTCATTTGGGTAGACTATGTCAGAGGGAAGAGCTAGGGCTCAAGGGCTATTGTTCAGATTTTTTTGTTCCACAGAATTCTCCCTTGATGTAGTGCTCTCCCCTTTCCCCTAAAAATGGGGATTCCTGAGAGCTGAACTGTAGTGATTGTTTTTGCTCTTCTGGGTCTAGCTACCCAGTGGAGCTACTGAGCTCTGATCTGGTACTGAGGAGCATCTGCAGAGTCTTGTGATGTGATTTGTCTTCGGGTCTTGCAGCCATGGATACTAGCACATGCTTCAGCGGAGTTAGCGGGGGAGTAAAGTGGATTATGTGAGGGTCCTTGGTAGTGTTTTTGTTTCATGCCCTGGTTTTGTGTTGGTTGGCCTCCAGCCAGGAGGTGGCGCTTTCAAGAGCACAGCTGCAGTCCTGCATGGAGGATGCCAACTTGCCCTGGGGACACCTGGTTAGGCATTCAGGTTTGTCAGGTGGTGGTCAGAGCTATAGAGCTCCCAAGAGATTATGACCTTTGTCTTGGACTACCAGGGCAGGTAGAGAAAGATCATCAGATAGAGGAAGGTATGGGCATGTCTGAGCTCAGCCTCTCCTTGGGCAGGGCTTGTTACAGCTGCTGTGGGGAATAGGGGTGTGTTACAGCTGCTGTGGGGAATATAAGTCCAATGGACTTACATTCCCAAGGGGATTATGTCTGCCTCTGCTGACTCGTACAGATAGCCAGGGAAGTAGAGGAAAGTTGGCAGTCACAGGCCTCACCCCGCTCCCACATAGCCCACAGTCCTAAAGGCTGGTCTCACTCCCACAGTGCCCCACCAACAGCACCAAGTCTATTTCCAGGCAGCTGGTGACCACGGCTGAGAACTCACCCCAGACCACGAGCCTCCCCATTGAGAAAGCAAGCAGACTCACAGTGTTTCAGTGTCTCAGGGAGCCTGCAGCAGTGATCCAGTTCCTTCAAAGGATCTGTGGATTCTCTCGGCTTCTCTGGTATGTTCCTGCAGTAGTTCTTGGAGCAAAAGTTCATGATGTGAGTCCCCACATGCTGTTCTGTCCACTGAGCAGGAGCTGCAAGTTAGTCCTGCCTTCCACCCACCGTCTTAATCTCCCATAATCTAATCTTAACACATAGACACTATTCTAACAGCCTCCATCACCTCCAGTAACTAACGAGGAGTGCCCATTAAAACTCTAGCATTTTCCACACCCCTCCCTTTCTCTCCATCCCTGTGATTGTTTCTGTCTTGGTTGCTGACCTGGGCTATTACCTTAGTCTTCTAACTAATGTCCTACCCTGGCTCTCACCCCTCCCTCAGTTCTTTCCATGGACTCCAGATGGTTCTTTCCAAACCACAAAATCGATCATGTTATATTCCTGGGTAAAATTCTCCAAATAATTGAGGTTGTTTCTGAAAGACCAAACTCCAGCAGCAGGTGTGTGACTCTAAGAGGAACCCACCTGGCCCAAGTTATCTAGTAACCCAAAAATAAAATAGAAGAAAAAGCAAATGTGTCATCCATTATCGTGAAGTGTAATGGAAATGTACAGAGCACAGGCTCACTATAATCTGTCATCCAGAATAAGTCCTCCCATCACCTGAGTTGCCTTTAAATAGACCTTCTTACTATGGTCATGAATGACAGGAATTAAAATAGCAGGAACTTAGGAATTTCTAACTGGATATTTCAAGTGTCAGCTGTTTAATGTTTTCTCTAAGTTTTATTATGGTTCTTATCAAATCTGAGAGGAATAAAGAAATACTAGGAGAGGAAAGGTAAAACCCATTGAATATCAATGCTCTTACTCTTTCTGAACAGTAAATGTAGGAATGTTTAAATAACAATTTCATCAGCTTTACTTTAAATTTTGTTCCTTTGTAGAACAAGAAGGAAAAAGCATCTATTCACTCAAGAAGGATTTTTTGAACATCAGCTATGTACTTGGCATAGCATTAAGTACTGGAAATTTAAAAAATTAATGTCACAATCTCTGCCTTTAAGAAACACACATTGCAGTGGTGAAAATATGTAAAAATGTAATTAGCATAGCAAATACTTCTATAGCAATTACTATGTGCCAGACACTGTCCTAAGAGCTTTACATATATTTACTCATTTATTCTTCACAACAATCCTATGAAGTAGATCGTATTATCCCTGTTTTACCATTGAAGAAAATGAGGCACAGAGAGGTTAGCAACTTGCTCAGCGCCACACAACTAGTATGCATCAGAACCCAAACTCAGACCCATACACTCTGGCCTCACAACACTGCATTGCCTGTAAATGATAAGTTAAGAAATAGAAATATGCTCATGATATTATAGGAACAGGTTCAGATTTATTAGACAAGGTTTAGAGAAGTTATTTTAATACTAATAATCAATATTATGTATTATACACTAATCAAAAGCTAATGCATATTGTGCTCATTTATTATGTTCTATATACTTTTATGTGTTGACTCCTTTCAACCTCACAACAATCTCATGAGATTGGTTTCATTATTATCCCCATTTTTCAAATAAGGAAAATGAGGGGTTTGGAGTGATATGGTTTGGCTGTGTCCCCACCCAAATCTCATCTTGAATTGTAGTTCCTATAATCCCCACATGTCATGAGAGGGACCAGGTGGAGGTAATTGAATTATGGATGTGGTTTCCCCCATGCTGTTCTTATGATGATGAGTGAGTCTCACCAGATCTGATGGTTTTATAATCTTCTGTCATTTCCCCTGCTTGCACTCATTGTCTCTCCTGCCACCCTGTAAAGAGGTGCCTTCTGCCATGATTGTAAGTTTCCTGAGGCCTCCCCAGCCATGCAGAACTGTGAGTCAATTAAACCTCTATTCTTTATAAATTACCCAGTCTCGAGTATTTCTTCGTAGCAGCATGAGAACAGACTAATACACAAAGGTTACGCAGCTAGTAAGTGGAAGAAGTTTCTATAGCAGGCAGAGTAGAATTTGATCTTAAATACATATATGCAGTTAGCCAAGCCACCAAGTCAGAGACCAGAAGTATGGGTAAAGAGGACACTCTGTTCAGGGACACATGTGGAGAAAAAGAGGTACCTGGGCCACAGAGACCTGCACACGTCTCCAGCACATGAACGGCCAAAGCACAGCTCAGAGTGAGAAGAATTAGGCAAAGCAGATGATGGAGGGACCAGTATGCACAGTTTGATTTTACCTCTAGAAAACAGGGGCCTTTGAAGGACTTTTAGGCAGGGACTGACATGGCCAGGTTTTAATTTTAGATAGGACACTAATGATTGTGAATCAATTTGAAAGGGGAAAGATGGAGACCCTTGAACTTGTCCAGGAGGCTCACTTCTAAAGTAGGACAGTGGTGGTAGAGTGAAAAACTAGAAGGGATGTAAAACCAGCAAGTTGCTCCATTCACACCACAATCTCTTCTCTTTCTGAATGGTTATTGGATTATTCACACAACCACCCATCCATAGCCAGTCTCCCCTTTTTTTTCTGTAACATTAGAGAAGTCAATATATTTATAGCTAATCACTCTTATCTTTACTGTATCCTCTTCAACTAGTGGCTCTCAAAAACCTTGCACTTAATTACTCTCAGTGTTCTCACTGAAAATTATTATATACTTTTTACCAAAAAAGTACAACATGACCAAAAGTCCAAACAACATGAAAAAGACTAAACTTCCTATGGTTCAGTTATCCCAATTCTGTTTCTTTTGGTGTGTAAGTAAGTACAGATGAGTTCTCTCTTTATCTAGACTGTGCTAGGCAGTTTGGGTACAACTCCACTTTAAGGCATTTTCATTAGCTCCTTTATTATGTCAACTAATGTTAACATAACTAATAGTTAAAACACAATACATTATGTCCCTAGTGAGGGACATTATGTTAACTAATACTTAAAACACAATACAAAAACAAAGTAAACAATGAAAAATAAATACAAAAATACTAAAACATTACACCATTTTCAAAAACATAATGTAATAGTCAAGACTGGCATGACTAGATTTGGGCTGCAAGTAAACAAAAATCACAGTGGTTTAACCAAAAAGGGATTTTTTTTATGACTTAACAGGAAATGCAGAGGGAGGCAGATCAAGAAAGAAAGACCAGGCTCTGTCCAGCACCCTGCTTTGTCCTCTTAAGCATGAGGCTCTTACCCTCATGGTCATAGTCCGGCTTGTGTATCTTCAGTCATCTGTGTGCATGCTTGGCTTTCTCAGCAAAACCAAGGGAGAAGGAAGAAAGCACATGTCCGTTTTTAGCTAGAAAACAATGTTTCCCAGTTAAGCCCATTCTCTAAACATTTTATTCCATCTCATTGCTCAAAATTAGTTCAAAAGAATCTGGAAAAATGACTACATGTATCTGCAATACCTTTCAACTCCAATAAAATCAGGATTCTATTGGAAAAGAAGAATGGATACTGAGTACATAAATTGGCAGTCTGACACCCTGAGAAACACTGGTATTTGCAGGATGGATGGGATGATAGGAGCACAGGAAGGGAGTAGAGAGGTGCATTATGAGAAGCACATGGACAAGCCTGAGAGGAATCACAGAAGCATCAAATTCAGCCTCAGTTTCCAATAAGAGGTTGACAGAAACACGCCAGCTGCATCTCACAATTAGGACACGACTGGTGATGTTTGAATACAAAGGGGACTCTTTCATGAAGGAAGAATTAAAACAATTCAGTGTATCCAAGAGTGTAGACATTAGAATAAGCAGCATTAATGTACCTGGTAGAAAGATGTGCATAGAAGTTAAGGAGATAACTTGTCCTACAGGGACTGGCAAAAATAACCAGAGATGGTCTAGCCAGAGAGAGCCTGTGTTGCTGTCTGCGTTATGCTACCTAAGTTTACAAAAATTGTTCCTGCATTAAGAGTCTGATCTGAGAAAATAAAGGGAACTCTCTTTCTTTTAAAGTTCCCTACCTCTTAAGTAGTGTTACCATCCACCGCAATGGCAGAGAATGAGAAGAGAGCCTCCCTCCTTCAATTACACATCCTGTCAACATATTTCCTTCCTTTTGCCTCTGGATTAAAGAAATCATATTAACAGCTATAATTGCAAGGCAGGTGGTCAACAGATCAGATAGGCTGCTTTTACAAAGTGCACACTCTATTTTACCTAGTTCTCTTCATTTGTACCCTAAATAATTTTTTTTGCATATTTTTGTCATATTCTAAAAGGAACTAGGCTTTGAGACAACATCACCCTTAATTCCTGAGAGCACAGTGGGAACCAAAAAATTGCTTTCGAGTATTCTAATGTCTTTTTTGGTATAAGATGAGCAATCTTTTAACAAAGAAGAAATTTGCAGAAATATTATATTGATTTTCTTGAAGTTATCCTGCATAAAGTATCCTAACTTCCATGACTCAGAATATTAACCAATTATTCAAAGTCCAATTTGTCACCCGAAGCATATTTTGAACCTGGAAATCTTAATAAAGTGTTATGCTACAGATAAAAGTAAACTTACTTTTTTTGTTTTATCTCAATACAAGTCAACTACCTCCCAGATTTTGAGTCTGTTAAAATTTGTCAAATGTGGATCATTGATTTCTTTAGCCTGACATAGTAACTAAATGGAAACTTTGTCAATTAACTGTTCTCAGAGATGCCTACAATATGGATAGTGTCATGGATTTGAGCTCTTAGGTAAAGTACCTTTCTACTCAGAACGTATTTTTTCTCTTTATCATGTTTAAAGACAAATACCTTGAAATCTAATATCTGTATGGTCTCACATTTAACTGAATTTATCATATTCAACTGAATCCCTTTGGTAAAACTAAATCCAGTTTTGATAAACAAAAGTTCTATCTAAAAACCTGTTAGATTAAAATCTATAAAATGAATGCCACATTCTAGTGCTGTCCCTGCTCAAGTACACATGTTCCTTTGAGGGGGTCTGGACATCCTATTAGGTGAGAAATAATTATAGAAATGATGAATATATGTGATAATGTTCAGATCTTGGAGGACACTAGGGGTTCTCCAAATACTGATTATTAAGCGGAAGAAGTCGTAAGAAAGAAAAAGAAAGGATGGATTTCAGCATATTGTGAAGGACTTCCTACTATTAGGAATGGTGGTGAGTTTAACTTTAATTAAACACTGAATTCCTTTTCACTTAAAGGGTTTAAACACTTGAAACCCAACAATGTTTCAATGATCCATCAATCAACCAACTGATAATAAGAAAGCCACCTCTTTGTCATCCCAGGAGACATCATTCACATTTTTGTCTGCATGAATGACATTCCACCAGCCCGGCTCTGTAAAATAGTTTAGAAAGGTCTGCCTTCACTGGATAAGAAGATGAAGGTAATGCAAGTCACAGGGACACAAATGATGGGCAAAAAAAGAAAGCCAATTTTTTTTTTTTTTTTTTTTTGAGACAGAGTCTCGCTCTGTTGCCCAGGCTGGAGTTCAGTGGCACGATCTTGGCTCACTGCAAGCTCTGCCTCCCGGGTTCACGCCATTCTCCTGCCTCAACCTTCCGAGTACCTGGGACTACAGGGGCCCACCACCACGCCCGGCTAATTTTTTGTATTTTTAGTAGAGATGGGGTTTCACCTTGTTAGCCAGGATGGTCTCGGTCTCCTGACCTCGTGATCTGCCCGCCTCGGCCTCCCAAAGTGCTGGGATTACAGGCGTGAGCCACCGCGCCCGGCCAAGAGAGCCAATTTTAAGGAGGGAGGGATACCACTTGGCTACTCATCAGACCCAGGGTATAAAACAAAAGAAATTGGTTAGAATTTCAAGATTTCAAAATTGTGTGACCACATGAATGATGCAGCTTTTACAGAGAGGGGATTTAGAACAAGGACTCCATTTTGGAAGAAGGCAAGAATAAATAATGCTACTGGATGATGACATGAAGTCTCCACATTGGAAGCCTAATGGAAATTGTGTACACGTTTCGTCAGTCCACTAAGACTGAAACCTTATTGAAAGTCCTGACTCTCTCATGCCTTTTATTCTACACGCAACTCGTGCTGAAGAGTTTTCACAAAGTAGAACTTAAAACACACTTACTGAATTGAACTAATCATGTTTTACATCATGTATTGGTTTCTCTCAACATACATCTCGCCAGACTCTTGGTGTGAAAATTGTATTATTGGCATGAACAAGGCACTGGAAACCTGCATTAACTTCTGCCAGCCACTAGAATACCACTCAGAAAATTACAGCTTCCATGGCTAAAATGAGTTAATATCCTGCCAAATAGAAAGAAATGTGTTCTCTCCATGTTGCCAACAGATTAACTTAAATGCCTGTGGCAAAGACCACTGAGCCCATTCAATCAGGATTATATTTGACCAAAGTTGTAATTTCATCAAAGGACATTGTAAACAAGAGCAGAAGCAAGATTCCCATTTGACATAATTAGAAGTATGCTTAGATATGAAACTTAAATCTTAGGAGAGAGAGAGTAAAATATTACAGAACATAAGGCTTGAGCTGTGTATGTAATAAGAGATGACTTCAAATTTCAACCATGGAACTGTCTTCATTGTAAATGTTTGGCTGATATACAAAATATTATTACATTATTTATTTAAGCCAAGTTTGAGTTCTCATATGTACTATAGTCAGTGTTCAAGAAGTGTTTATTAAATGGACGTCATGCATTCATCTATTCCGTGAATACATATTGCAAATCATGAAGCTTACTGTTTAGTGAGGGAAATTAAAAAACAATTCTATACATACACAAATGTGTATATTTACAAATTGTGAATGTGTTAGTAGAAAATCCAGCGTGGCTCCTCAGTTGGAAGCCAGGTGAATGCATAGCAGGTTTCTATTCTATACTGAAAAGATATGAGAGCAAAGACTTTTCACAACGTTGTCATGTCTCAGCACGTAGTACAATGCCAGGCACACAGAACATTGGAATTTGGACAGAAATTAGAAGACTAAGTAAGAATTAACCAGGTAAAGTCTAGGGCTAGGCACCAGTACACTGAAAGAACCATCCAGGTCAAGGCAACTTGTGAAACATTACAAGATGAGTAGGAAAATCAGGCATTTGAGGAACTTACAGAAACACCAAAGTAGTGGGGGGTGGGGGGGCGGGGGCGAGGCATGGAGGGGAAGCAAAGAGAAAAGCAATAAGACATGAAGGAGATCATGCCTGGCTTTACAGCTCACCTCAAAGATTTTGATCATTATCTTGAGAACAGCAGGAAATGCTTCAATGTTTTTAAGGAGTAAAGCAGCATTATCGGATTTGCTTCTGTAAAAACACGACTTTAGTTACAGGGCAGAATAGGTAGATTGGAAGGTAACTAAAGAGATGTAGTAAGGAAGCTGTTGCAGCCAAGCCGTGATGGTAGCTCAGGCTAGAGTGGTGGCAATGGGGATAAAGAGAAATGAATAGATTTGGGAACTAATAAGTAAAATCTAATTGCTAGTGTGTAGTGGACATTATGTTTTGACAGTTACAAACAAAGTAACTTCCTTTGAAGAGCTAAGATTCTAGTTTAAGGAAAAAAAATACATGTATCAACAATAGCACCTTAAGAGACATTTATAAGCATAAGAAATTAAAAATACCAATATGATAAATGACAATAGGAATGGGTGAGCCTTTAGATAAGGTGTTCACGGAAAGTTTCTTTAAGGGGGAAGTGTTTGAGATGAGAAATGAATGAAGAATAGAATATTTCTATGGAAAGAATTAGAGACAAGATATTCCAGGCAGAAGTAAGAGCAAGTGCAGAGATCTTGTGATAGAAGTTCTCTTGTTTTATTCAAAGAATGGCAAGCAGGCCAGTATAGGTGGTACAAAGCACAGGAGGACGTTGAAGGAGATGTGGTCAGAGACGTAGTGTTCACAGCAACAGGAAACACAGAAGACTGAGTTTGGGATGGGAGGTCATTGGTGCCGTTTTAGACATGTTGAGTTTGAGGCACCTTTGAAACATCTAAAGAGAAACTTTTCAATAAGCACAATGTGGATTTGCAAAATTGGAGCTAAGAGATAAAAATATCCATTTCAGGGTTCTTATCATACAGATGGTAGTTTAAACTACGGATGTGAATAAGATACACTAGGGAGAATACACAGAAAACAGAAGGGAGCAAAGAATCTTGGAGTCTTGAGGAATTTTAACACTCAACAGCCAGGCAGAGGGAAATGAGCCTGCAGAGGAAAGATGTAGCTTGAAAGGGAACCCCACATAGCTGCCCCGAAGCCCAAGGATGGGAATAGTTCAAGGAGAGTGGCCAAGAGCGTCAGTTGCTACTGTGAAGCAAAACTCATAGAGATGGATTTCGTGATAAGGATTTCACTGGTGGTTTTAAAGAATCTTTTGCTGAAGTAAAGAGAAAAAGCCAGATTAAAGTGGACTGAGGAGTGAGGAGGGAATGGAAAGTGATAAAGTGTTGCCACTTGGGTAGACAAGTTTTCTGAGAATTTTGGATGTGAGGATAAAGTTTTCAAAGGTAGAAGTTAGAAGAAAAAAAATATTCTTAGGTGTTTTCCTTGGTTTTTTATTTTTGAAAAGGAGGAAATTTAAGTATATTTGGATGCTGAGAAGAAACATCAGAATATACAGTCAGAGAAATTAAAGCAAAGGTCCTACTCATATAGAAGGAGACATTTTCTCAGTCTTGTTATTAATTGAAAATTTTAACAATTACTTATTGTGAGCATATACAAATTCTAGGCAAAACAGTGTTTTGTATATACAAATTCCTATTTTCATTATTATAATAATTTTATTTTCTTCATATTGTTAGAACATTCTAACAAAATTAAGTGGGAAGTTTACACATTCAATATTTAGTGTGTATATATATACATACATACATATATGTATATATATGTGATTATAGATTTGACCTTTATTCACTATTTTATCATGACATTCGACACCATGCATTCATTTTAAACAGGGATCTTTTATTAAAAGTTTCATTCATTTTGACATTTTCTTTTCAGCAATTAAAAATACAGGAAAAAAACACTCTAAATGTATTTCAGTTAGCTGTTTTTACCAAAGAAATTTAATTTGAAAAAAGTAATTCACAGACATAGTCACTACATCTTCATAATGGTATTATGGTTTGTATGACTAAAAATGAATGAATAGGAAAATTAGAAATTTCATTCAGTTGACTCTCGACATTAAATGTTGTAGTCTGAAAAGAGATAGTGTTCAAATATCTAATATAAGATATTCAAATACCGAAATCATCAATTTAAAAAAACAATGTACCGTATGTATATTATTCCTACAAAATCAGTATACAATTTACAATTAGTATTATTGTTTTCTCTCTTGCAAAGATATAAGATAACATTGAAAATATATATGATGCAAATTATTTTGAGCCTTGCCTGAGAAGATAAAGTTTGAATTCCATACTATATCACAGTGAAAATCCTCTGAAATGTTTGTTCAGCAAACAGAAAGTACATGATAAGGTGTGAGGTTGGTTGGACCCTTAAAGATTAATTCAATGTTCAATCATTCAAGAAATATTTGAGTGTCTCCTACATATCAAACAACGTTTTAAAAGGTGAACCATAGGCCAAAAGCCTGAAACCTCCCTATTTCAAATCATGAAATTTAAGTCACTCCTCTGCATACTGATTCCTCTATCCAAAAAAGAATGTTGTAGGTATTTCTTGAGAGCATTCTGTAAGACTCTAGGTAGAACAAACAGGTAGTAAATATGGTATACTCAAAAATAAAGGAATTAGGAAAGCATTGGAGATTCAAGAAGCAAATACATCACTCAAGGATAATAAAGAATATGTTTGTTAAGGAAACTTGCAGGAGATACTCAATGATTACACGCATCCACACACACAAACACAGCTATTGCTTTCCTATGATTGTCAGATCTGACTAATGCAGAATTTTATTTCAGGTATTTTTCCCAATGATTGGCCAATGCCACGTGCTAGAGGTATAATCAGGTAGTCCACCAGAGACACAATAGCGGTTACCAGGAGCGAGGACTTGTGTGGCTCAAATTCTAGCAGTTCACAGGTAAAGAACTGTCATTGAAAAGACCAATCAAATAATCCCAGTAAAAAGTGGGCAAAGGACATAAACAGACATTTTTCAAAGGAAGACCTACAAATGGCCAGCAAGTGCATGAAAAAATGCTCAGCATCACTAATCATCAGATAAATGCAAATGAAACCACAATGATATATCATCTTATGCCAGTCAGAATAGTTACTATTAAAAAGTCATGGCCGGCCGGGCGTGGTGGCTCATGCCTGTAATCTCAGCACTTTGGGAGGCCGAGGCGGGCGGATCACGAGGTCAGGAAATCGAGACCATCCTAGCTAACACATGGTGAAACCCCATCTCTACTAAAAATACAAAAAAAAAATTAGCCGGGCGTGGGGGCGGGCACCTGTAGTCCCAGCTACTCAGGAGGCTGAGGCAGGAGAACAGCGTGAACCCGGGAGGCGGAGCTTGCAGTGAGCCGAGATCGCGCCACTGCACTCCAGCCTGGGAGACAGAGCAAGACTCCGGTCAAAAAACAAACAAACAAAAAAAAACAGATATTGACAAGGATCAGGAGGAAAAGGAAAACTTATACACTACTGGTGGGAATGTAACTTAGTGCAACCACTATGGAAAACAGTATGGAAATTTCTCAAAGAACTAAAAATAGAACTATGATTTACCCAGCAATCACAGATACCCATAATTGTCCTTTTTTTTTAGGCGGAGTCTCGATCTGTCACCCAGGCTGCAATACAGTGGTGCAATCTGGGCTCACTGCAATCTCTGCCTTGCAGGTCTAAGCGATTCTCCCACCTCAGCCACCCAAGTAGCTGGGATTACAGGTGCATGCCACCACGCCTGGCTAATTTTTGTATTTTTTTTTTTTTTTTAGTAGGGATGGGGTTTCACCATGTTGGCCAGGCTGGTCTTGAACTCCTGATCTCAAGTGACCCGCCCGCCTTGGCCCTCCAAAGTGCTGGGATTATGGGCATGAGCCACTGCGCCCAGCCATACTCGTACTTTTATAGCAGCACTATTCATAATAGCAAAGATATGAAATCAACTTAAGTGTCCATCAACAGATGACTGGATAAATGTGGTGTACATATATATACATACACACATATAAATAAAAGAAAATGCAGTATATATACACATATATATTTTATATACACATGCATATATATTTTATATATATGTATAAACACACACCAGATGTGTGTGTGTATATATACATTTATGTGCCATAGAATACTACTCAGGAAAACCATATACATATATATGTGTATATACATATATAAACCATATACATATATTATGTGCCATGGAATACTAAGGCAAACCATATACATATATGTGTGTATACACTACATATATGTATATGTAGCATATATACACATATATAATAACATATACACATAACATACACACACACACACACACACACACTACTCAGGCAAACCATGGTTTGCCTCAGTATTCCATGGCACATGGATGTAGTATACATACATACATATATATGTAGTATACATATGCATACTATATGCTATACATATATACATATCTACATACATACATAACATATATACCTATATACTATATATATATATACACCATACAAATATACATATGCTACATGCATGTATATATACACACACACATCACATATATATGAGACATGGAAACTCAGGCAAACAAAAGAATGAAATCATTCATGTCTTTTGCAGCAACATGGAACTGGACGCCAATACCATAAGTGAAATAACTCAGAAACAGAAAGTCAAATACCACGTATTTTCACTTATAAGTGGGAGCTAAAAGATGTGTACACATGGACATGGTGAAATAATAGACATTGAAGACTCAGAAGGGTACAGGGTGGAATGGGGATAAGGGATGAGAAATGACTTAGTGGTTACACTGCACATTATTCACATGATGGCTATTCTCAAATCTCAAACTTCACCACTGCACAATATATCCACATAACAAAACTGTACTTGTACCCTCTAAATTTATGCAAATAAAAAAAGAGAAGACCAGTCAAGTCATGATATAAATTTGTAGAAGAGGATAAACTGCAGATTTAGCAGAGAAAAAGGTGGTAGAGCAATTCTGCTCACTGTGACCACTATGTGGGTGGCATTTGGCCTCAAGACCAGAGAAAACCTTAGGTGGTTTCATCTCTGATGCTGGAAAGTATAAGGAGAAATTCACCCCTTTCAGGTTGGAAATTTTCCCTGAAATTTTAACTGAGACAAATCCAAACTTGAAAGAAGCTTAAAAGAGTCAGGCTTAGAGATGTAATCTACATAATTTTTAAACTGTGTGGAAATATACAGTTAGAAAGAAATTCACCCAGGACCTTGAAATACTTGCACATAAAATATTCTTCAGTCGATGGGATATATTCACAAGTTTAAACATAGGCACACACACAGACCAATAGAGAAAGACCATTTACCATTGTATGCCACAGTGAGACTTTAATAGCTGCAAGTATTTTATGAATATTTCTGAAGGATTGAACTGTTTGTCACAGTGTTGACATGAAATCATTCAAAGTTTCCTCTGTAGTAATGAATACTAGCAAAAATTAAGCACAAAGCAATGAACTGACAGCACCAATATTTCTCCATATACTTTCTGTTAATCATTATTCACTAGTTACATTTTCTTTTTTTGATAACTCACAAATCCAAAAAAATGCAAGCACACCCACAGACACTGATGATTAATGATAGGTCCAGATATTGTAAGGTTAAAGAACAAATGATTAACCACTTCATCATTGCCCTGCTGATTTTGAGAATGATGTCAGTGTGAAGGATTCTCTGAAAACAAACAAACATTATCATCAACTGGTTTCAGGCAAACTGTGGTTCTTCTAAACCTGTGGTCCTAAATATTGACTTTTTAAAAGGTATCAGGTATAACAAGTGACCTCAGAGGACTCAGTTACTGTGAGCTACAGCCTAAATCCCAGAGTGACTCAAATCAGGGAAACGTCTAAACTCTGGGTAATCTCCAGCGAGAACAATCACTTCTAAAGAATCTGTGCAAAGTGCCTGCCTCAGACTTTGGTTCATGTTTATAATCCAAGTAATGCAGACATGACAGTTTCTTATGTCTAATGTGCAAGGTTAAAAAGAAAAGCGAGTTTATTTAAAACGTACTAAGTGGTCTAAGGAAAAAGAAACAGCACATTTTTATGTTTATGGAGTCCTAATAGTTTAATTGTACTCTATGGAAAGCTTATATCTGTATATCAAATATTCATGTCTTTGACATAATTCCATATATTCTAACTACCTTCACCCACACTACACTTTGTGCTATATCTTGTGTATTTTGTTTTTATGTCATTTCCAAGTTCTTAGCTTTTTGCATTGAGGATTAAGATAAGTATTTAAAAATTGCTAGAGGCACTAACCCTAGCCATTTTCTTTTTTTATTATACTTTAAGTTCTGGGATACATGTGCAGAACATGCAGGTTACATAGGTATACATGTGCCATGGTGGCTCGCTGCACCCATCATCTGTGTTTTAAACCCCACATGTGTTAGGTATTTCTCCTAATGCTATCCCTCCCCTTGCTTCCCCCACCCCTCGACAGGCCCCAGTGTGTCATGTTCCCCTCCCTGTGTCCATGTGTTCTCACTGTTCAACTCCCACTTATGAGTGAGAACATGCGGTGTTTGGTTTTCCATTCCTGTGTTAGTTTGCTGAGAATTATGGTTTCCAGCTTCATCCATGTTCCTGCAAAGGACATGAACTCATTCTTTTTTATGGCTGCATAGTATTCCATGGTATATATGTGACACATTTTCTTTATCCAATTTATCAGTGATGGGCATTTGGGTTGGCTCCAAATCTTTGCTATTGTAAATAGTGCTGCAATAAACACATATGTGCCTGTGTCTTTAGAGAATGATTTATAATCCTTTAGGTATATACCCAGTAATGGGATTGACCCCTACCATTTTCATCACAGTTATTCAATCTTTATCAAAAACTTATGGTAATAATACTCTTTGACTAAAATTATAATCTAGTCTTAGCACTCTGAATTTTATAATGACTAGTTACTTAAACCAAGTCCGTAATTTTCTTAGTTAACATATGTATATATTTATAAATTTTTCCCCAAAAATACATAAGACATAATTTTAACTTTCTTCTAAAGCTCTATCAAAATAGTCAGATTTTATGTGTATCTTGGTTGTTTTTAAAGTGTAAAGCTCTTTAGCTTACAAATACATCATCCTAACAGACTGCCATCCTCCAAGATTGGAGGATTTTATGGAACTTACTTCAAAATACTTCTGAAATTCTTGGGATTAATAGTGGCTGCTTTGGACAACAGGCAGAGTTAAGAGGTATAAGAAATACTTTTATTTACGTTTTTATTTCTGTATGTATTGCCACCCGGGAGCCCTGGCAGAAGAAAGGTGTTATAGAAATATAATTTATTAATAATAATTTGTTTCAGGACGGTTTACAATGAAAAGGGAAGAGGAAAGGATCTGTGAAAACCCACAAAATTCCTTGAGAAGGTGGCTTACTAGCAGTGTTAAGTATTTACAACCAGAATAAAAGGATAGCTCTCACAACTGTTTTTATGAGCAAAGAACTGCATTGGTAGCTCCTAGCCAGGCTTGACAGCTTCTTTGGAGCAGACTAAGTAATTTTCTGTGGTACAAATTCACTAGACCAATTTCTGTCTCACCCAACAAACAATGGCAGATTACCCAAGCCCTTATCGGCTAAATGCCTCACTTTCCCCTTACTCATACAACTTCTTTAGAAAAAAGGAAATCTGATACAAGGATGATTTAGAAATAGTCATTTGAACTCGAGCAACTCGTTTATTTGAATAAGTCATGCAAAGACCAGGAAATATTTATTCTTCCTGTATCAGAAATAAGTCAGACCTTTGTTGATATAGGGTATCCAGATTAAAAAGGATGTGAGGCAGCTTGCATTGTTCCCTACATAAATAGCAAAAATGTGGAAAATATTTCCAGTGACAAAAATTTAAGAGAAGTTTGTTGGCTTAGCCAAGAGTAAAAAACTTTAAGAATTTGCCAAATGTAAGTATAGAAATTACTTTATTTTCTGGGAGAGGGAAGGAACATTTGTAATTAATTTAACTTTGGAGCATTCAGTTAGAGGCATGGTTCTCAACCCTGGTTGCTCATCACAATACCTGGGGAGCTTTAAAAAAACACTGATCCCTAAAGTGCATTCACAATAATTCTAGGGTAATGAGGGGTACCCAGGTATGTGTAGTTTGTAAAAGCTCTCCAGATGTTTTCAATATGTAGCCAGGGTTGGAAACCAGTGAATTAAAGACTATTTACATAGTTGAAAACAGCTGAGATTATCAGGGAATTAAAGAAGACATTTTAGGTTATTTTATTTTGTTTGTTTTTTTTACAAACCAGGGCATTGATCAACATCAAAATCACCTGGATTGCAGTGGTAACTACCCAGGACAGGCCCACTTTCCACACCTCTCATCCAAACCAAAGCTCCCCATGACAATTTGACAATGACTATTTCCTTGACCAAACTTCAGTCAGGTCTCTGAGCGCTCTTCTCAAGTAGGTCTCAGCTTTGATCCCTGCCCCACCCCAACCCCTGCAGCCCATCCCCTCATCCTTGCTGGGCCTACATAACACAGCAGCAAACTTTTAACAAGAAACCTGTTCAGCCTGCTAGAGAGAATCCCCCCACACTTCATATCCAATCCCCTTCATTCAAATTCTACATCCCCCAACTCCCACCCATCCCTCATATTCGGTCACCCTGGCCTGCCTTCAGAAAGAATTCTATTAGGTCAGTTCAGCGAGAATTCCCCCAGTTCTCGCTACCTTTGATGTCTCCTCTTGTTCATTTTCCATCCACTGATTATTTCCCCCACCACTCACCCTCCACACCCTGACAACCTGCTCCTTGGCTATAAATTCCTATTTGATCTTGTTGTCTTCAGAGTTAAGCCTGTACTCTCTCTACTCTATTGCAATCGTCTTGACACTCATCACAGTAGTCCTGAATAAAGTCTTCCTTACCATTTTCACAAGTGTCAGAATAATTCTTTCTTTAGCAAATAAGATTCTGGGGCAGTGATGTTGGCAGCCTTCCTCCTCCTACCCTCCTCCTACCTCCTGCCCACATGGGGAACCACTCCTTTATGCCACCCAGGTGACACCACTCTAAAATGTGCTACCACTCAAGTGCTATGAACTTCAGCACTATCAGTGTCCCTAAGGAAGACTGCAGTAGAAAACAGTATATACAAAAAAAAAGGATATATGATTTTTCCCCCAACAGAAAAGATAAATGTGGCCTAGCAGTAAATATTGAAGGAATAAAATCCCTTTGGGATAACAGAAATGCAGAACTGTAAAAATGTATAAAGGGTTTGATTGATTGTTTGTTAGTAACATGGTATGTATTAAAGAGAGAGAGAGACAGAGAAAGAGGCAACAAAATAGGAGAAAGAAATACAAGCCAGCACTTTTAAGAGAATATGATTTAAGAAAGAAAAAAGAATGTTAAAATTCAGTGCCAAACCTAGAATGAGATCTGTGGAATGTAGGCCAGGTGACAGATTCCTGAGTCAGGACCTATAGGTCCTAATGGCTTTAATGAAAGTGGATTACCTTACTTTAAATATGTTAATGATTAACCTTGGAAATTAAGACCCAACTAGGCTGTGGCTAATAAATACATTCACCTCTGCAACAGACAACAGCTACTCTTTTGTCTTGCCATACAATGCATACTTATAATACATGTAAATCACCTTGTAATCTTTTTCATGTAAAATTCTACAAAAATAACATTAAAATACATTAAGCATTTAAAAATGTTCATAAATAAAATGAGACGGCAACTTTCTATCCTTATGAAATAAATGTGCCTGAAAGTAGACTTAACCAGATAACCTTGCAAAGTCTCTTCCATTTCTAAACCTATCTTTCTTTAGTTCATCAGCAAGTTTATAGAGAATCTATTTTTAGGCTGATTTTATAGATGGGAAAATAGAGGAAGTAATGGTAAATGGACTTCCCAAGGTGTTAGAGAGGATGTCTATTGGAGTTAAAATTATAATTTACAGTCCCTTAATTGCCCAACTAATTACCAAGCCTGCTGTTAAAAGCACTAAGTTATATTTTTTGAATATAAAGTTTGATGCATATTTCCTCTGATATCAAGAGAATTACATCAAATAGAAAGCCTGCTCCACTTTTTATGGGTATTTCAAATTGAATGCCGCATCAATTACATGTGGTTTTGAGAAGTATGCTGCCCACAATATGTAGGATAACTCACTTGTACAGGACACATGGACACAGTTGTGAATTCTTTGACCTTTCTGTGCCTTTTGAATTCTCTTCAAGATGCACTAAAGATACAAAATAGCTCTGCATCAATGTAAACCAAGAGTTTGGAAAACCAAACTTTGTTATTATATGCACGATATAGAAAAAGTGAACAGTTACATGTTATGAAATATGTTTTGCACCAACTTGAAATTTTAAAAGCACACTAACAAATGTACCTTCATTTCAAGAAATAGGAATTGTTTCGTCTATTCCAGGCACTGCGGAAGACACTGGATAGGAATGTGCAAGAAGACAGTGTAAGCTGAGAAGGGGGCCCAATCTGACTTGTATTTAGATTGCTGGCTTCTGAATAGACTTTAGGAGGTGTTATGGGATGAATTCACAAGTGCTCCCCCCAGAATTCATATGTTGAAATCCTAACCCCCAGTAACTCAGAATGTGGCTGTATTTGGAGACAGAGTCTTTAAAGAGGTTGTTAAGGTAAAATGAGGTCACTACTCTTATTATATTATTATATTATCTTATTATTATCTTATATTATATTATATTATAATATATTATTATATATTATATTATCTTATTATATTAAGGATAGACTACTGATATAGTTTGGCTGTGTCCCCACCCAAATCTCATCTTGAATTGTAGCTTCCATAATTTCCATGTGTTGTGGGAGGCACCCAGTGGGAGGTAATTGAATCAGGTAGTTGAATGGGGGTGCGTCTTTCCTGTGCTATTCTCGTGATAGTGAATAGTGATAGTGAGTAAGTCTCAGGAGATCTGATGGTTTTATGAAGGGGAGTTCTCCTGCACACATTCTCTTGCCTGCCACTATGTAAGACGCGACTTTGCTCCTCATTTGCCTTTCACCATCATTGTGAGGCCTCCCCAGCCCTGTGGAACCATGAGTTAATTAAACCTCTTTCTTTTATAAATTACCCAATCTTGGGTATGTCTTTATTAGCAGTGTGAGAACAGACTAATACAACTACCCTTAATATAATATGATGGTGTCCTACAAGAAGAGGAAATTGGCACACAGAAGGAAGACCATATGAAGACACAGGGAGAAGATGGTCATCTACAAGCTGAAGAGAGGCCCACAGAAAAAAACCAACCCTGCTGACACATGAAATATGGTCTGGGACTTTATGCCTCCAGAATTGTGAGAATAGTAAGCCACCCAGTCAATGCTACATTGTAAAGACAGCCCCAATAAACTAATATGGAAGCAATCCAATGAAGCTGAAACTGTCCAGGTATCATCAAAATTATTCTAAAATTAAAACAGTACGGTTGAATTCAGAAAATGGCTCTCTTTCTGATGCAGCATGTTGTCTAAATACAAAAGAATAGCCAGGGACCTGATGATTACTATTTTCTTGCTTTTGATATAGTTCATGTATAAGATTAATGTTTTCTACATAATATGATGCAAAAATTTTAAATAAAATTTTAAAACTAAGAGAGGAAAATGAATGGAAACAAAGAGTCCTAGGACAGAGAGCTGCGAGGAGTATCAAAAAAAAGTCTGGAAACATAATTTCTGAATAGGCCTTTCAAGTAGCATGCCCAAGCACTGTCTGTACAGTTGTAGCTGGTGATGTTAGGTTATCATTAGTCTCATCTTGATACTTCCGAGTCTACCTAACATCTAGGGCCATGTTGTTTATTAATTTAAGAGGTCAGTGGACTGCTACAAAGAATAACTGTCCTAGAAGTTGATATGAATCACAATTTTCTTTCCCTCACGTTGATTTTGGCTTAGCTTTTATCCATCATCTTCTAAATTAGGAGTTTAAAAATTGGGGTTATGAGAGGCAGGATTAGGAAAGGGTTCCCAGAATGACTCTTCTCTTCAAAAGACCAAAAACCCAAAATGTGTCTCCTTTCCCATTATTTGCCTTGTTCCCAAATAAACTACCTAACAAGAAAAAAAAGGGGGTTTAAAAGAAGACATCTCCCACACAGCTGGTTATATATTGATAAATAAATCCAATTTTTTTCACATGCCAGAATGTGACCACTGGGAATCTTCCCAGTAAAACATTAACCAACTCTGTCCTTATTGAATCAAGACAATGAATAACAAAAGAGGACTTTGACTCTAATCTGAAGCCATAAAACAAACTGGATGAGGCATGATAATTCAACAGGAAAGAGATTACTGACCCTTCATAGACTGGCAGCTCTTTCAATTAAGATGAGTCCTAAGAGAAAAGGTAAGGTTCTTACAGGTCAGGCAGCAGGCTTTCTTGCTAAAATTAAAGTTGAGTATTAGTCCACTGAGTTTATAAGGAAAACAAAGCAAATATAAATAAGAAAGAATAGAATTTTCAGAGTGGTGTAGTAGAGTGTCACAAAATCAGACAGACTTATATATTAGCTAAATTCTAACACCCTTAAATTGTCAGGCTATAGAAAATTAACATTTTAAGCCCCAATTCCATTCATATAAATGGGATAATAATATTTACCTCCCAGAGAGATTGTGAAGACAAAACAACATAGCATATGTAAAGCATTTAGTACAATGCCTGGTACTTGGAAGACACAGTAACTATTACATTTTTATGTCTTCCTTTCTGCCTTTCCCATGAATATATTTACAGCATTGCCTGAACCCTCAACTAATTTTTATCAAGGAATGTGAAGGCAAGACACTCTTTTAAGTTTTTTGATATGTTTTCCAAACTTAAAAGACCAAAGTGATCTGGCAAATATTTCTAACATACTTTGTTCTTCCCACTTTACCTTCGTTCTTTCTTCTCTTATTTGCTACAGTAGTTGTCTAGAGTAGAAGATCTGTGTCATTCTAGTGACTATGTGAGAAAGGATGAAAGAAAAAAAAGAAACACTAATGGTAATACTTGAATCATTAGTATGAATTTTATAAGAAATATGAGAAATATGCTTAATAGTCAACTAAATAACAAAATCAAAAACAAACTAGATTGAAATTATTTTTAGTTTGTCTTAGTGAGCTTGGGCTGCTATAACAGAATGCCACAGACTGGGTGACTTAAAAGTACACTAATTCCATCATGGAGGTCCCCACCATCCTTTTGACCTAATCCAACTTTAATTACTTCCTAAAAGCCTCATTTCCAAATACTATCACATTGGTTGTCAGGTTTTAAACATGTGAATGAGAGGGGCACAATTCAGTCCACAGCATAGTTTATAAACAAATACGTTTTTTCTTTACATTTCAAACAAATGTAAGCATCCCTGTTGAAAAACTCTAAGAAGTTTCATGAGTACGTTGTCAGCCCCCAGTACCTTACAGAAGGTAGGTACTCAGAAATTATTTCAAATGAAACCTAAACAAAGACCTTCAGGAATAAGCTTTATTAAAGCACAAAAGAACTACCAAATTTTAAAAGATCTATATTTCTCTAGACAAAGCATTCAACATAAGCTCAAAAAACAAATAAGGATATATTGAAAAATGCCATTTCCAAAATGGAAAATGGCTTAGGAAATAAAAAAATACTAGTAAAAATGTAAAATTCCACCTAGTTTTGGATCCTGTAGGAGATAAGATTAAATCATACCACTGCATTAGGATGAAGAAAAAAGACTTTGCAAGTGTGAAGAATAAAGTAATGGAACTGAGAGAAAGAGTGTGAATGAGGGCCGCCTACAGCAGAAGTCAAATACATGGAAGTAAAATTCTCAAAAGAGATGAGTTAGGGAGGAAAGAATCCACTGCATGATTTGGAATTGGGACTGGCAACGAAGGTAAGCGAGATGCTTTATGAAGCTTCCAGCTGTATGGTCTCTATTCTGAGAGGAAATACTGCTGGGAATGAGAAAGAGGCAAGAAACTTAGGAAGTGGCTATGGTTGTGTCAGAAGTACTAACATGAACATGGACAAGAATTCCTGACACTCCATCATCTCCTGGCAATAGGAATCAAAATCATGACCCCAATAGAAACGGCAGGCTAATGCCCAATGACATCTTCCCATTGTTTTCCATGAAGTTGCCTCTTGGGGTTGGCTACATAATTTGCAGGGCCTAGTGCAAAATGAAAATTTGTGGTCCTGACTGGGAACAGAGAGGTCAATCATTTCTTCCCACGGGCCTGTGACTCCATCCCATGTCAAACTGGTGTAGTTCAACAGATTGCAACTTCCCTGCGGGATGCCCTTAGTACTTGAATGAGTACAGCCTTGGAGAAGATAGCCACAGCCTTATTCCCCTCTGAAACACCACCAGGCACTTGCCTAACTCCAGCTTTCCCTGGGCTAACACCCAAGTGCCCCCTAGAGGCAGAAGGCACGGGCAGATGCAGACACATTGCCGCCCGCACGACCCAAAGTGCAACAGCCATTTTGAGGCTCCAAGACTCCAAACTCCCAGGTCACATTCTATTGTTTCGTTGAACTTCACTTTTAAAACACAGAGTCAAAGATACAATTATTAAGAACTTCAAGACTGTAACTACACGGCCAGGTGGCGGTGGCTCATGCCTGTAATCCCAGCACTTTGGGAGGCCAAGGCGGGTGGATCACCTGAGGTCAAGAGTTCGACACCAGCCTGGCCAAAATGGTGAAATCCTGTCTCTGCTTAAAAAAAAAAAAAAAATACAAAAAAAAAATACAAAAATTAGCTGGGCGTGGTGGCGGGCCCCTGTAATCCTAACTACGTGCAAGGCTGAGGCAGAGAATCACTTGCAGTGAGCCAAGATTGCGCCATTGCACTCCAGCCTGGGTGACAGAGTGAGACTCCGCCTCAAAAAGAAAAACAAAAAACAAAAAGACTGTAACCACAGAGCATTAAACTCCAAAATTTAAAACATCCACAAGATTTGAAAAAGAGGGCACTGTTAAAATTGTTTGCTGTTTGCTGTTTTCTTTGACCCTATGTCAAAGACATGGGACTTTTTCTTTCTAAAACTAGTTATTTTTATCATCATTATCATTATAAAACATTACTCAACACAGTAAAATAAATCTCAAGTAATACAGAAGGATGGAAAAGTAAAAATATCTCAACGCCTCCTGTTCCCAGAAACCAAGGGTTAACCTTAGTAGATTTCTCAGTTATACTAGTGGCTACTGATGTAGAGTTAAATAAAATACACCTTTAATTCTTCCTTTGTCAACAATAAAAATGAAAACTATAGCTTTCAAAATCTTCTATACCGTTCCCAACTCTTTTTTTTTTTTTTTTTTTCTTGAGACGGAGTTTCACACTTGTAACCTAGGCTGGAGTGCAATGGTGCGATCTCGGCTCACTGCAACCTCTGCCTCCCAGGTTCAAGAGATTATCCTGCCTCAGTTTCTGAAGTAGCTGGGATTACAGGAGCCTGTCACCATGCCCAGCTAATTTTTTTAAACATTCTCCTGGCCATATTTAGCTGTTGCCCTGGCAGTGTATCAACTCATACTCTCTCCTTTTTTATCCTAAGTACCTGCTGGATAATTTTTCATATAGTATATTATGTGTAATGGTCAGGGTTTATACGTGTTCAAAATGTAAATTTGGATACGATATGTAATAGACATTTTGAAGTATATTGGAGAATTTTACAAGTTGACAATTATTTTTGCTATAACTTTTAAGTCCTAGTTGCATTGCCTTCTAGTATTCAGAGTTGCTAAGATAATTATTCTCTTCCTGTTGTAAACAAATGATCTCCATGTCTCCAGGAGCTTTTAAGAATTATTCTGTTCCTTTGGAATTTTGAAATTAAAATAGAATCATTTCTACTAGTCTTTTTCATGAATTTCTCTTAGGATTCAGTTTGCCCTCAAGGTCTCCCAAAACCTGAACTTTCTACTTTTGGAAGAGAATGTCTCCTATTAACTTTTTTAATTATTTTGTCTTCTACAGAGATTATTTGAAGATTTGTTATACTTACTTTTATATTTTGCATCTCTAAATTTTATTCTGAATTCCAGGAGATTTTGTTAACTTTATCTTCTACAGATTTTGTTTCCAGCCATGCTCATTCCATTATTCATTTGTCCCAACTGCTTGATTAATTTTAGCATTAATTGGCATATCATCTGGCCTTAAATTAGTACCCATTTAACATTTGAGTATGGTAATCGCTCCAAAGTCACTATCAAAACTTTCTTCATTTTATGCAGAGAATGGGACCCAGTTACGTCTGTGACTGAAATATTAAAGTTACTATGTTGAAAAAAGTTTGAAAACAAGCGTAGACAGATTCAAAGAATAATTACGATGTCTCATTTTTGGAAACAGACTAAGACTACATGTGGTAAATAAAAGACAGTGATGTAAATTAAACTGACTTGGAGAAGAAAATAAACTACAACTTCCCTAAGGGGAAAAACATTAGAATAAAGTAATTATTCCAAGAGATAGAAGATACTTGATTGACTAAATACAGAGAAAGCTAGACAGAGTGGATTAAGAGTAAGTTATGAAGAGACGGTGGTTAAAACTCTGCATATGTGAAGGATATTAATATCTGATTACTGTTCAAAATGCCAGACACTGGTATAAAGAAGATACAATTAGACGTAGCCTTATTAATTAACAGCTTACATTTTCAAGGTGCCTCATTACTATAATTACTCACAACAGATCAGGGGAAAAATTTTCTCACCTTTCTGTGAATCAGCATTAGTAACAGAGATTTGAATCCTCAATTCTGTATTTAGTACCTTTTACTATTTTGATCTCATATTACTTGAGCACATTTCACAAAAAGAAAGAACCAACGTATTTCTACTTTAGGTGCCAGGTTTTATTGATTTTGAACATATGGGCCATATAATTAAATTTAACATTATACTTTCTAGTGAATAGACTAACTCAATACATGAGAAATACATACATTAAAGCTAATAGGTTAAAATCAGCAAAATTCTTAAGAAGCTGCTATAGTGTGGTTTGTCTTACCCTTTCAAATCTCATCTTGAAATTTGATTTCCAATGTTGTAGTTGGGACTTAGTAGGAGGTTTTTTGGGTCACAAGGGCAGATCCCTTATGAATAGATTAATGCCCTTTCTGGGGGTAGGAGGAAGTAAGTTCTCATTCTATTAGTTCTTGTGAGAGCTTGTTGTTAAAAACGGCACCTCCGTCTCTCTCTCTCTTGCTTCCTCTCTCGCCATGTAACCTCTGCAAATGCTGTCTTCTCTTTACCTTCCCATCATGAGTGGAAGCAGCCAGAGGCCCTCACCAGAAGCAGATGCTGGTCCCATGCTTCTCATACAGCCTGCAGAACCATGAGCCAAATAATCTTTTCTTTAGCAATTACCCAGCCTCAGGTATTCCTCTATAGCAACACAAATGGACTATAACAGAAGCCTATCTATCAAACGTTGTACCATTCACTGAAGTATTATAAATCAATGAAATGACAAATATTAATAGCAAGCTGTTAAGTTAATATTTTCTATTACACCATCATGGAAATTGGATCAGTCAAGTGTCTGTGGATTCAGATTTGCTTGAATTTGTTTTGTTTTTAAATTTACAACCCTTCAGAGTTTATTTTCTCTAAGTCAAGAAGCATAGCATTCTAGCTCTAAAGGAGTTTTTTAAATAGGGATCATTCTTTAATAAGAAGTATGCAGTCGGGTCAGCTTGTGGTTTACAATAAGAGATACTATGACTAGTGGAGACTGAATCAAATAGTACTTCCAATTACCTTCTACCCAAGAGAGTTTGATCTCATTATTTTGTTTGAATTTCTAAACCCATACTTTCATCTTTCTTTGGTCATGTTCCCAGAAACATCTGATGTATTTAAAACAAATAAATAATTTGTAGCTGTTGTTTCAGATGAGTGAGGAAATGACCAAATTAGTATTTTCTCTGGGTCAACATGTGCTCTGTGAAAATGGGATACATAGTAGATAGCCTGAACAAAATTGGAGCCTGGCCAGTGGAAAAATACAGAAGTCTGATCTTTGATGTATTAGAGCACTCATTAAAGAAAAAAAAAAAACTAAAAAGGAACTCACCCTTTTTCATCAGTATCATGTTTTATGAGAAAGAAATGAAGTATCCAATGATGAAAATTATGATTCTTCTCACACTTGAAACATGGAAGTTTTGAAATGCAAGACTTTCAGAAAACCCATTCTAATCTAGTATTGAAATATTTCTTGCATCAATCATAATTATAACTTTTAATTGTGTTGACATCTCAGGAAGACTAGGTAAAATTTGCCATTTTGGGGAGATCACTATAGAATAAGTTAAAACTGGGGTTGGGTGTGGTGGCTCACACCTATAATCCCAGCACTTTGGGAGGCTGAGGCAGGTGAATCACGAGGTCAGGAGATCAAGACCATCCTGGCTAACATGGTGAAACCTCATCTCTACTAAAAATACAAAAAATTAGCTGGGCGTGGTGGCACACACCTGTAGTCCCAGCTACTTGGGAGGCTGAGGCAGGGGAATCACTTGAACCCAGGAGGCAGAGGTTGCAGTGAGCCGAGATTGCACCACTGCACTCCATCCTGGGTGAGACAGTGAGACTTGTCTCAAAAAACAAAACAAACAAAAACTTCCACTCGTCTAAATTTCATCAAGATAGTATAATTTAAATTCTTATTGTAGTCTGTCAGCTTGTTCTATACCATGTATATGGATGGTTAAAATGGTTATACTTGCTTTCTGGGTAGTTACTTCCTTTAATATGGCAAAATAGAAATTATGGTTTTAAAGATGCAGGGCAAATTAAAGGGTTTTCTTTCAGTAATCAGGATTAATTTCTTTGTTTTAGCAACTATTATAATTTTAGATGAACTCTCATTTGCTAAGGAAGAAGAAAAAAATCAGGGACAGTACACATTCTAGGTAATCTACATTTATCTGCCATTATGAATGAATTTGGATAATTTCTCAGACTTCCATCTCTTTATTTTACACATTAGGAAAACCCAGGATGAGACAGACTAGAAAATGCAGCTTAATGTCAGCAGCCAGCTATTATATTTAGTTATCAAGCTAAGATTAAAACTCAGACCTCTGATATTTAGTTGGTTAGCCTTTCCACAATATCATACTGCATCTCCTTAACATAAAAAGATTTTAAAAATATATTAAGCGAGATGGGAAAAGAAATTCAAAGTAACTAAGAGCTTCTAAGAAAGCAGTAGTTGTAGATTAGCCTTGAAAAGGGAGAGTTCTTTCTTCTACATTTCTTATAAAGTCATGTTTTAGATTTTAGGTTGAATAATTATGTGTCTGCCTATAAAGGATCATAAGTAGATTGCTAGGTGTGTTACACATAGAATAATTTAAGTCCCGAAGATCAAATTCCTTTGTTTTCCTCTCAAATGGTTGTTCACATTCTATTTTTTGCAGTGTAACCCACTTTCCAAACCGATGTTACTGCCATAAATAGATCAATGAACCCATTGTAATGAATCATTACTAGGTTTTCAAAAAATAAATATAAAAAGGCTATGATAACTACATAGCTAGAATGTAGTTTTTAAACAACTGGACATAAGACCAATAAAAGGCAAGCCCTTCTTTTGGAACATTAACATGGCATTACCATTGGCAGAACTATCAGTTGGTAGGTGACAACACATCTTTAAGATAAAGATTCTAGGCCGGGCGCGGTGGCTCACGCCTGTAATCCCAGCACTTTGGGAGGCCATGGCGGGCGGATCACAAGGTCAGAAGATCGAGACAATCCTGGCTAACACGGTGAAACCTCGTCTCTACTAAAAATACAAAAAAAATTAGCCGGGCGTGGTGGCGGGCGCCTGTAGTCCCAGCTACTCGGGAGGCTGAGGCAGGAGAATGGTGTGAACCCGGGAGGCGGAGCTTGCAGTGAGCCGAGATTGCACCACTGGGCGACAGTGCGAGACTCCGTCTAAAAAAAAAAAAAAAAAGATTCTGAGGGAAACATAAGATATTGCCAGTGTTCAAATAAGTCATTCAGTAACAGTCAGAAAGAAGAGCTTACTAGGAATCTGGGCAAGGGAAAGTCTGTGGATAAACAATGGGTCCTGAAAGGCTGTTCACAGAAAGCGCACAATGAAAAGGGATGAGGTTAGAATATGGCATATACATCTGGTATATCTGCTCACCTCTCTAGAACCTGTTTTAAATTTCACATTCAAGCATTCTTGTTTCAGTTATTTACTCTCTGCCATAAGGTTTTGGAAGATAGGATTTTGATAGGTGAATAAATAATGCAGTGACTTGAGTATAGAGACAAAGATCAGTGTGGAGACTGGGAAGCCACAGATTCATTGGAGGAAAGTCTAAGAGGGTCAGAGACCCTTTCCAGCTCAGAAAGTCTATTAGTTCAACCTTTAAAGCCAACGGGAGATTTTATAAAAGGCAGCAGAATTTAAACTATGGAAAAAGAAGAATAATGGCAATAAAGGTATTTTATCTAGTTTGCCCTTATTGAAAAATCCAGAAGTAAAGACACAATAAAAATGTAATGATAGATTTAATTCAGTAGGGCTGCGTTAAAAAGAATATGGCAAATAATGAAATAATATCATACAGGATTCAGTCTTGAGATAAGAATTTTCTCTTATCAGGTATGTATGACCTGATGAAGGAAGTTTAATTTTTAACCATCCACCCAGTTTTTTGTTTTATTTTTAGCCATTGATTTATGATAGAAATAAGCATTGAGAAGGAACCTTAAACTATATCTTTGTTCTTTAGGTTTCATTTGAGCAGAGAACTGTAACTTTAATCGCCCTGTATGTCTTTAATACGTACGTCAATAGAACTAAAATCAAAATTGCTTTAAATAACTGTCTGAACTGTCTGCAGCTGTAGTCACACGGAAAGCATTTAACCAAAATGTAAATTCAGTCAATTTAATATGACCATTGTTGGAAATATTTTCTTTATGAGTCATAGTAACTAGATAGAAAAGCATTCACAATCAAGTTTTTGAAATACCCAAGAAAATAAAGGAATTTATAGGAATATTATTTTTCCTTGAAATAAATTTATTTTACAATATTAAAAAAAAGAAGGTAGCAGTTTCTTACATACTCACAAACTTACTTTTAATAAGAATATACATTAAATAGTGTTCAATAATTTAAAAATAAAGCAAACACAAGAAATCACTTGTAGAAACAATAAAGCAGATATAAAACTGCAAAAAAGGTTAAATCAACACTATGACAAAAACAAAGAGTTGAGAGAAAACTAAATGGAGTAAAGAATAGAAGGAAAGATACCAGGCACAAAGAGAGAAAACAGGGATGCAAACTGAAAATAATAAACTTCTTGGGAGAAGTTAAATGAGTAAATAGTTCAGAACTGGTAGTTATATATATATAGAAAGAAACATTTTAATCAGAAAAAAAGAAAAAGAAAAACCTGAAGTTTTGCCTAGGCAAATTTAATCAGAACTGAACAACTAGAAATATCTCAATAAAAACTTAAATTTCAAAGATAAATAGGTAACCCAAGAAGCACTCTAGGAGGACAATAATTAAAATAATATTAGCCTCAGCCGCCTTCTCTGCAAAAATAAATGTCAGAAAGTAATTATATGAAGGCAGCCAGTGAAATTGGGGAGGGGCTACAGGGTTAAGGAAGCTCCTAGCTGAATTTTGTAATAATTTCGACTGAGCACGAATTTTCCTGAACAGAATCCAGAAGGGGAGTGTGGGGAAGAGGGGGGAGGAGGAAGAGGCAGTGGGGTGACAGGGTGGCAGTGCAAATAAGAAGTTCAGATACAAGCTCAGAAGCCACAGCCAAGGATGCAGGCATGTTGGGAGGGCAAGGCCTAATAGCCCTGCTTGCTTTTTCAGTGGGGAGGCTTGTAACTTGGGATAAGATCTCAGCACTGCACATGGAACATTCTCCAGGATAGACCATGACAGGCCACAAAACAAGTCTCAATAAATTTAAGAAAATTGAAATTATATCAAGTACTCTCTCAGACAACAGTGGAATAAAATTGGAAATTAACTCCAAAAGGAAACCTCAAAACAGTACAAATACATGGAAATTAAATAATCTGCTCCTGAATGATTGAGTCAACAATGAAATCAAGATGGAAATTTAAAAATGCTTTGAACTGAACAAAAATAATGACACAACCCATCAAAACCTCTGGGACACAACAAAAGTGGTGCTAAGAGGAAGGTCATAACATTAAATGCCTGCATCAAAAAATCTGAAACAGCACAAACAGACAATCTAGGTCATACCTCACCGAACTATAGAAACAAGAACAATCCAAACCCAAACCCAACAGAAGAAAAGAAATAAAGATTAGAGTAGAACTAATCGAAGTTGAAACAGTAACAACGAGCAAAAACAAAACAAAAAAAAAGGATAAATGAAACAAAAAGCTGGTTCTTTGAAAGGATGAATAAAATTGATAGACCATTAGTGAGATTAACCAAGACAAGAAGAGAGAAGGTCCAAATAAACTCAATTAGAAACGAAATGGGAGATATTACAACCAATACCACAAAAATACAAAAAAACCATTCCACACTAATATGAACACCTATATGTGCACAAACTAGAAAACCTAGAGGAGATGGTAGACTCCTGGAAATAAACAACCCTCCTACATTAAACCAGGAAGAAACAGAAACTCTGAACAGACCAATAACAACTAATGAGATTGAAGCAGTAATAAAAAAAAAAAAAAATTTGCCCACAAGACAAGTATGCCCGTTCTCACCACTCCTATTCAACATAGTATTGGAAGTTCTGGCCAGGGCAATCAGGCAAGAGAAAGAAATAAAGGTATTCAAACAGGAAGAGAGGAAGTCAAATTGTCTCTGTTTGCAGATGACATGATTGTATATTTAGAAAACTCCATCATCTCAGCCCAAAATCTCCTTAAGCTGATAAGCAACTTCAGCAGAGGCTCAGGATAAAAAATCAATGTGCAAAAATCACAAGCATTCCTATACACCAATAATAGACAAACAGAGAGTCAAATCATGAGTGAACTCCCATTCACAATTGCTACAAAGAGAATAAAATACCTAGGAATCCAACTTACAAGGGATGCCAAGGACCTCTTCAAGGAGAACTACAAAGCACTGCTCAAGGAAATAAGAGAGGACACAAGCAAATGGAAAAACATTAAATGCTCATGGATAGGAAGAATCAGTATTGTGAAAATGGCCATACTGCCCAAAGTAATATACAGATTCAATGCTATTCCCATCAAGCTACCATTGACTTTCTTCACAAAATTAGAAAAAACTACTTTAAATTTCATATGGAAACAAAAACAAGCCCTTATAGCCAAGACAATCCTAAGCAAAAAGAACAAAGCTGGAGGCATCTTGCTACCTAACTTCAAACTATACTACAAGACTACAGTAACCAAAACAGCATGGTACTGATACCAAAACAGACATATAGATCCATGGAACAGAACAGCGGCCTCAGAAATAATACCACACATCTACAACCATCTGATCTTTGACAAAGCTGACAAAAACAAGCAATGGGGAAAGTATTCCCTATTTAATAAATGATGTTGGGAAAACTGGCTAGCCATATGCAGAAAACTGAAATGGGACCCCTTCCTTACACCTTATACAAAAGTTAACTAATGATGGATTAAAGACTTAAATGTAAGACCTAAAACCACAAAAACCCTAGAAGAATACATACGCAATACCATTCAGGACATAGGCATGGGCAAAGACTTCATGACTAGAACACCAAAAGCGATTGCAACAAAAGCCAAAATTGACAAATGGGATCTAATTAAACTAAAGAGCTTCTGCACACCAAAAGAAACCATCATCAGAGTGAAAAAGCAACCTATAGAATGGGAGAAAATTTTTGCAATCTATCCACCTGTCAAAGGACCAATATCCAGAATCTACAAGGAACTTAAACAAATTTACAAGAAAAAAAAACCATCAAAAAGTGGGTGAAGGATATGAACAGATGCTTCTCAAATGAAGACATTTATGTGGCCAACAAACATATGAAAAAAAGCTCACCATCACGGGTCATTAGAGAAATGCAAATCAAAACCATGATGAGATACCATCTCATGCCAGGATGGCAATCATTAAAAAGTCAGGAAACAACAGATGCTGGAGAGGATGTGGAGAAATAGGAATGCTCTTAGACTGTTGGTGGTAGTGTAAATTAGTTCAACCATTGTGGAAGACAATGTGGCGATTCCTCAAGGATCTAGAACCAGAAATAACATTTGACCCAGCAATCCCATTACTGGGTATATACCCAAAGGATTATAAATCATTCTACTATAAAGGCACATGCACACATATGTTTATTGCAGCACTATTTACAATAGCAAAGACTTGGAACCAATCCAAATGCCCATCAATGATAGACTGGATAAAGAAAATATGGCACATATACACCATGGAATACTATGCAGCCATAAAAAAGAATGAGTTCATGTCCTTTGCAGGGACATGGATGAAACTGGAAACCATCATTCTCAGCAAACTTACACAGGAACAGAAAACCAAATCCCACATGTTGTCACCCGTAAGTAGGAGTTGAACAATGAGAACACACGGACACAGAGAGGGGAACATCACACACCGGGGCCTGTTGGAGGGTGGGCAGCAAGGGGAGGGCAAGCATTAGGAGAAATACCTAATGTAGATGACAGGTTGATGGATGCAGCAAATCACCATGGCACCTGTACACCTATGTAACAAACCTACATTTCTGCACATGTATCCCAGAACTTATGGTATAATTAAAAAAAAAAAATTTAATTGCCAACAAAAAAAAAAGTCTAAGGCCAGGTGGATTCACAGCTGAATTCCATCAGACATTCAAAGAATTGGTACCAATCCTACTGAAAGTATTACAAAAGATAAAGAGGGAATCCTCCCTAAATCATTCTATGAAGCCAGTATTACCCTAATACCAAAACCAGGAAACGACATAACAAAGAAAGAAAACTACGGATCAATATCCTTGAGGAATATAGATGCAAAAATCTTCAACAAAAAACTAGCTAACCAAATCCAACAGCATATCAAAAAGATAATACACCATGATCAAGTGGGTTTCATACCAGGGAGGCAGGTTGGTTTAACATACACAAGTTGATAAATTTGATATACCACATAAACAGAAGTAAAAACAAAATCATATGTTCCTCCCAATAGATGCAGAAAAAGCATTTGACAAAAATCTAACATCCTTTTGTGATTAAAACCCTCAGCAAAATTGGCATAGAAAGGACATACCTGAAGGTAATAAAAGCCATCTACAACAAACCTACCACCAACATTATGCTGAACAGGGCAAAATTGAAAGCATTTCCCCTGAGAACTGTAACAAGACAAGAATGCCCAGTTTCATCACTTCTATTCAACCTAATCCTGGAAGTCCTAGCCAGAGCAATCAGACAAGAGAAAAAATAAAAATCATCCAAATCGGTAAAAAGGAAATCAAACTGTCACTGTTTGCTGATGATATGATCATATGCCTAGAAAACCCTAAAAACTCATCCAAATTGCTCCTAGATTTGATAATTAAACTCAGTAAAGTTTCAGGATACAAAATCAATGTACACAAATCAGTAACACTGCTATATACCAACAGCAACCAAGCTGAGGATCAAATCAAGAAATCAAACTCTTTTACAACAGCTGCAAAAAATTAAATGAAATACTTACGAATATACCTAACCAAATAAGTGAAAGATCTCTACAAGGAAACCTACAAAACACTGCTTAAGTAAATCATAGACAACACAAACAAATGGAAACACATCCCATGTTCATGGATGGGTAGAATCAATATTGTGAAAATGACCACACTGCCAAAAGCAATCTACAAATTCAAAGCAATTCTCATCAAAATATCAATACCATTCTTCACAGAACTAGAAAAAAAAATCGTAAAATTCATATGGAACCAAAAAAGGAGCTCGCATAGCCAAAGCAAGACTAAGCAAAAAGAACAAATCTGAAGACATCACATAACCTGACTTCAAACTACACTATAAGGCCATAGTCACCAAATCAGCATGGTACTAGTATAAAAATAGGCACATAGACCAATGGAACAGAATAGAGAACCCAGAAATGAAGCCAAATACTTACAGCCAACTGATCTTTGACAAAGCAAACAAAAACATGAAGTGGGGAAAGGCCACCCTGTTCAACAAATGATGCTGGGATAATTGGCAAGCCACATGTAGGAGAATGAACCTGGATCCTCATCTCTCACCTTATACAAAAATCAACTCAAGATGGATAAAAGACTTAAATCTAAGACCTGAAACCATAAAAATTCTAAAAGATAACATCAGAAAAACCCTTCTAGACATTGGCTTATGCAAAGACTTCGTGACCAAGAACCCAAAAGCAAATGTGATAAAAACAATGATAAACAGATGGAATTTAAATTAAAAGGCTCTGCACAGCGAAAGAAATAATCAGCAGAGTAAACAGACAACCCACAGAGTGGGAGAAAATCTTCACAATCCATGTATCCGACAAAGGACTAATATAGAGAATCTACAAAAATTCAAACAAATCAGCAAGAAAAAAAACAAACAATCCCATCAAAAAGTGGGCTAAGGACATGAATAGACAATTCTCAAAGGAAGATATACAAATGGCCAACAAGCATATGGAAAAATGCTCAACATCACTAATTATCAGGGATATGCAAATAAAAGCCACGATGCGATACCACCTTACTCCTCCAAGAATGGTCATAATTTAAAAATTTAAAAAAATATAGGTGTTGGTGTGAATGTGGTGAAAAGGGAACACTTTTATACTGCTGGTGGGAAGGTAAACTAGTACAACCACTATGGAAAACAGTACGGACATTCCTTAAAGAAATAAAAGAGAAACTACCATTTGATTCAGCAATCCCACTACTAGGTATCTACCCAGAGGAAAAGAAGTTATTATATGAAAAATATACTTGCACATGCATGTTTATAGCAGCAAAATTCACAACTGCAAAGATACGGAACCAGCCTAAATGCCCATCAACCAACAAGTGAATAAAGAAAATGTGATATATATATATACCTACACACACACATACATACGCACCCTGGACTACTACTCATAGAAAATGTGATATATATATATATATACACACACACACACACACACATATACATACACACATATGTATATATATGTACACGCATACACATTTATGTATACACACATACACATATGTGTGTGTATACACACACACAACATGGAATACTACTCAGCCATAAAAAGGAACAAAATAATGTCATTTGCAGCAACCCGGATGGAGTTGGAGACCATTATTCTAAGTGAAGTAACTTAGGAATGGTATACCAAACGTCATATGTTCTCACTTATAAGTGGGAGCTAAGCTATGAAGACGCAAAGGCAAAAGAATGACACAATGGACTCTGGAAACTTGGGGGGAAGAGTGGGAGGGGAGTGAGGGACAAAAGAGTGCACATTGGGTGCAGTGTACACTTCTCATGTGATGGGTGCGCCAGAATCTCAGAAATCACACCTAAAGAACGTATCCATGTAACCAAACACCACCCGTTCCCCCAAAACTATTGAAATTATCATCATTTTAAAAAATTTAAATAAAAATTAAAAAAGAAATTAATTATATATACAAAACCTTCCATTTCAAAAAAGTATTTCCTTAATTAATTCTATGCTAGCTAAACACCTTTTATATCAAAAAAATTGGAAGATATCTAAAATCTGAAAGATTCGGAGTATTTATCATCTTATTATTTTTCCTACAGAAGTGATAATTATTTTGAGTATACAAGAATATACCATGCAATATTTGGGACATAGTTATACTAAAATAAAATTCATTGTTTACCTGAAATTCAAATTTGACTGGGTACCCAGTACTTAATCTGGCAACCTTATGCATAAGTGAATTGGGTTGAGGAAAGAAGAACCAAATTGGCTATACAGAAGGACTTTTTAAATAGCTATGAATTTAGGCTACCAACTACCATGTAGGCTGCCATAGTGGTATCAAGTGGTGACACCGCCCCCACCCAGTAACTCTAAGACATCTACATCACCGCTATGGTTCTATTCTGCAGGAACTCCTAAGGACTTAGGGCTTTTCCAACACATCTAGCATCTGATTAAAACATGGGAAAGCCTTACTCCATGTCATAGTCAGCTATTTGGAACCATGTTTGTAATTTGTTTTACTGCCTGGGGGACTCTCAGGCTATCTCATTATTCCATTTCAGACAAAATTCCTGAAAAAAAATCTATGTCTTTATTTAGCACAGAAATCACTTTTATTTTAGAGTCCCAAAGTAGAGCCCATATTCTCTTCTCCTCAAATCAAACATTCCTGCAATCTTCATGCCTAGCTTGCAATTGAACTGTGTCTGCATCTCCTGAATAAAACTTATCACTCTAAACCTCATCCCCAAAAGCCTCAAGTTTCTGGCATCTTTCTCTGTTTCCCAATAGTTCCCTCTCCCTACACTTGCACTCTTTTTGTTCTCAGCATGCACTGCAACACATTTTCTCCCTGTGTGGACCAAAGCCATGCTATAGAAACAAATAAATAAGAACCCCAACCGACCATTGCTGTGAAGTTCACTATAATTCCTGTCATAGAAAAACAGCATCAACCATAATGACAGTTAGAAGTGTGCATTACACTAAGAAAGTAAACCAAATTAAATTCCAGGAATATTATTTAATTAATATAAAATTAGCTTTAGCATTGACAGTTTATTATACGATAGAACAAATAAAGCTCTATTACTTGTTACTTGTATATTTTGTTCCAAGATTGCATTAAAATTATAACTTACAGCTTTTTAAATTTATAACTATAATTTAACAAGATTCAAAAAACTCAAGAAAATCAAATGCTTTCTATAATATTGTACACTGCTAATAATTAGATAATGATGATCTAAAACCCCTCTAAATGTTGATGCGCCTTTTGAACCTTAATTCACTCAGTATATACTGATCACCATGTTTTTGCATAAGACTATGCTGCAGTCTTTGGAGATATCAAATACATGGCACTGCAATACAATCTTTCTTTGAATTACAATCTAATTATCAAGAGAGGAATGTATTATTATATGCATAAAATGTCAAATTGTAAAATATCTTCAATGACGGTGCAACATTTTCTAAATTTTTCAACTAACTCAAGCTCTTAACGTCTCCTACACACGTGCTTAAAAGAAAAGGTGTTATATGATAAAAATTAATTAAGGATGGAATTACTAATTCAGCAATGCAGTTGCAGTCTGCCATGCTTTCTGACATGAGCTCTTCTTAATCTGGCATAAGCTTTCCCTCTCACCCCTCTTGCATAACCAGGTTTGCTCAGGCCATAATTACAATAGAGTTTGTTCCATAGCTGCGGTATCTGTATGTGTCATTTTTCACAACATCTCTCACCTTTTTACAACCGATGAGTTTGTCTTCAAATGCCTACATTTGCAATTTGGTTCTGTCAGGTTCAATTAATTACTGCTGATAATAATATCAGATCTCATAACCTACTTATTTCTCCATCTCCTTAGTGACTGCCAAATGGAACAAATACACATAAACAGAAAATAAAGACTAAAGATGCTATTTGAGCGGAGGATAAATTAAGGAATAATCTACTATCAAACAGAATAAGAAAAGCATAAGCAATCAGAAAATGCAATAATCCCTCATTAGAACTCCCTTAACCTTTTCTGCAGCTCACATGCCCTCCCTGCATCCACAAGGACCTCCAGCATTGCCTAAGAAGCTGCTTGGAGTCTTCCTTTAAATTGGATTTTTCTTTTGTTTCTATCATATTGTCTTCGACTCCTACTATCCACTCAGACACCCACGGAAAAGTTTTAAATTGAAAAGCCTTCTAGAGAAAGAGTTACTGTGAACTAAGTAATGCTTTGATTTCTAGAAAGCTTTTAATTTTAAGCACAAATGGAAATATGCATGTCATGATTGATGGTGTGCTGAGGCGTATTTGTTTATGACCTTCAAAAATAGGTTTCAAATGCCAAAAATAAAAAGTTTTTTAATATGCTACTTTTAGTGTACTACCTCACTGTGCTTGTATCATTGGTTTGTCATTGTACAAATATTTATAGCCAGAAATCCACCTGTCTTGGTTAATATTCCAAATCAATTAAACTGTGGGAAAATCTCAGACTAAACCTTAGTGTTAAGCAGGAGAATATAATTTAATTTCAACTTTTATTTTAGATACATGTTTGTCACATGAGTATATTGCACCCGCATAGTGAACACAATACCCAATAGGTTGTTTTTCAACCCACAGCCTCATCCTTCCCTACCCCATGTAGCAGTGTTTATTGTTCTTATGTTTATATCCGTATGTGCTCCATGGTTACCACCCACTTATAGTGACAGCATGCAGTATTTTGTTTTCTGTTCCTGTGTTAATTTGATTAGAATTATCATCTCCAGCTCCATCCATTTTGCTGCAAAGAGCATGATTCCATTCTTTTTTATAGCTGCATAGTATTCCCTAATGTATATGTACCATATTTTCTTTAATTCATCATTGACGGGCACATAGGTTGATTCTACATCCTTGCAATTTGTGAATAGCATGGCAATCAGCGTAGGAATGCATGCATCTTTTAGGTATAATAATCTAGGGAAAATAAAATTTAAGACAATAAAACTTCGCTATAAAACTGAAGGATTTTAAAATGCTCTAGTTGTTTAGTTAATGGAAATAATCAAACATAACTTAGGCCCAAGCTCCCTCATTTCATTCAACAGTGTACTTTTTATCTAAATTACCCTATAACTGTCTCAGCTCCTCATTTGAAAATACTGCCATAGAGTTGAACTTAGAAAGTCAGTTTTCATAATGAGAAAATTCCTAAACTCCATTAAACATTTTCAGAGCCAAAGAAAGTCAGTCCTCTTTGAGAATAACAACTTTAAAAAAAAAAAATTTTACACCATTCAAATAGTAAAAGAATCATTTAATTTATAGACACATTAATGATATACCAACATAAAGAGATTCTCAGTCTTGGTTAAAACAAACAAGATAAAAATGAATCATTTGCATATTTTAAAAATTTATTTTATGAAAGCACTTGGGGATTATAGACAGAGTCTAAGCTCCAGTGTCCAAGTTTACATAAAACTTCACTTGGGGGAGTTTTTTATAGAGCTCCAATAGATGCCAAAACTTCTACATGGGCCCTATATTTATTAAGGCAAAACCCAAGTGATTTTCAAAAGAGTGAATTCAGGACTCTTGATCAATTAGATATTTCTGTTTTATAAGTTTGATCTTTAATTTTTTTTTAAAGGATGGAACATGGCAAAGTTCACGAGAAGGAGCAAACAGTATTTGAAGACCTCTTTGAAAAGTCTCCCCAGGAGCAGGACAGATAGGCGCCTGCTGTACCAGTCAGAGACACCTCCCTACTGTGATGTTAATAAGATGAAGGGTACCAGTACAAAAAGCCACAGTAATTATAGGGAGAGGTAAATACTTTTTTTATTATTCACAGACTGCCTCTCCATGCAGCCTGCACGTTAACGTGTACATGTGAATTCAACATTTCTTTAGAATTTTGCCTTTCACTAATAGGTCAGAGAAGAGCCACAATAGGGACAAATCATTGCCAATCGTATAGGATATTAGAAGATGCCTATGTCTCCTAATTCTTTTGTTCTGTCTTTCAAGAAAGTTATTTGCCACCAATTTTTCAAATACCTGTCACAAATATTAATGCCAACTGGTTTCCAGAAACATGTGGATTAAGGGGATAACAGAATAACTAGATCATTTTATATACACCCAAGAGGGCACCCAAAAGTAAAATACATGATAGGGAAATAGAATGCAGCCATGGAATTCCTGTAAAATGTCTTTAACATCTCATTGAGTCTCTTCTGCAGGAAAATGATGTCAAAAAAGAGACAGAAAACAACATTGGCTTTTAGCCAAGTGTGAAGTTCTGTATTTAGTAATCCTGAATTTTCACAATAATCATGCGATTATTTAGCTTAGTGTGGTTTCCTGAATATATAACTGAAAAGAAAAAAATGGATTCTGATCCACTGAATCCAAGAATGTATGAAATTCTAAAACGAAGTTGTTGTGCAAAAGCTTGGCATGAGTCTATTTCCCTAAATGAATCAAGTGAGAAGCAGGGAGGTTGTCAGGAAGTAGAGATTTTCTTTTTTTTTTTTTCAAAAGGAGCAAGCATATATTTAAATCCCTAGTTGGTTTAACTAATTGGTGTGGAGTGAAGTAAATTAGCGGCCCTAATGCAGACAGTTCAGAGTCTGACAATATGGGAGCATGTAGGTTATGATCTTATCCTACGTAATAGTGACTATGCCCTAAATGCAGATTCTGGAAAGAAGATAAAATAAGCATGTGTCCCTGACCTTAAGGAGAATCATTTCTAGGACACTGTTTCAGCCTTCTGCATATATGATTCACTTAACATTTGCCTACTTTTCAGAACTTAAAAAACAGGATTATTTTTCTACAATGATAAAGAAAGGTTGAACCATTGAGATGTAATCTGCTACAGATAATAAGTGAAAAGGGCTAAATATGCCATAGACACTCTCCCACAATTCTTTATGAATGTACCCTGTGATTTATAATTGCTTTAAAGAGTCAGGCTCAAGGGTGGGGGTGGTGTATAGCTAGGGAGAAGTGGTCAAAGGGAATGCCATTCTTGGGGCGTCTCATTTCACGATTATTGCATAAGCTCACCCAGACGACACAGATATATAGAATGTCCTTAGAATAGAAAATCCTGGAATTGGAAAGAAAACAGTGGTGACCAAATCCAATCCCTCCCCATAAGCAGAAAATGACCCTGAAACATCAAGGGTTTTACAGCACTCAATCCCTCCAGTGATGAAGAGCTATTCCGCCTTTGACAAGCCCAAATCATTTTTGGGCAGCTGTGACTATGAGACAGGGCTACGTTTTACACAATCGATATCTGCCTCCCTGTGGCTTCTCTCCAATGGTTTATTCCCTAGGCTTTCATCCAAATTGCTATGAAAATATTGAACAACACAGGGTCAGAGTCCTCCCCGCAGATATGCAAGGATCACCTGGTGAACACTCCTTGCTTAATCTCCTAAGGTTCCCCTAATTGTTCAGTTCTTTGTGGGAAAGCACCTCCCTGAACCTAAGGATAGTATCTGTGTGCTGCCTATCAAATGCAGAAGAGGGATTTTACAACCTATCAAACTCAAAAGAGGGATTTGGCAAGACCCTTCTGAGTGATTTCACTTTGGCTGTGAGTTATTAGCACTTCTCTTTTAAGTACCAGCAGACAATCTTTTCTAGAATTTGGCTGGGGATAAAGGCAGGGTGCCAAAACTGATTTCATATACTTCTCAATGTAGTCCACAGCTAACCCTAGGCCTACAAAAAAAAAAAATTACATCTCAGCATCCTTATAAAACTATAATTATGCCACGGTTCCAGCATTTGAGAGAAAAACACTGATTTGACACTCAGTGTGTCCACATGGGACAAAATCTCTTCTGAGAACATTTACATTTTTAGTGATATCTTACAACATCTTAAAATAACAACAACAACAAAAATCCTTTGGTGTGCAGGAGGACCAATGTTTTAAGATGGTGTTTTTTAGATCTATTTCCATGGAATATGCATGTCAACCTCTGTTTTTTCTTCAAGCTCCTCCTTTGGCTTCAGTATCTCCATGCTTGCTTTTCCCTAAACTTCTCTGACTTTCCTTTGTTAGTCCCTTTTACTATATTCTCTTCCTACACTCGTCTGTTATTGTTGGTGTTTTCCTTATTTTCTCTACATTATTTCCTTCAATAATATCTTCCCATGACTTTAGCAACTGCCAAAAAGTCAATAACTTCCCAAACCTGTATTTCCAGCCCTGACAGCTTCCGGGAGCCCACTCATGAGGAAAACCCCATACTCTGTCATCCCTGCCTTTGGATCATGCTACCTTCTTTATGAAAGGTCCCTTCCTCCCACCTTTCCTACTAGCATAATTTAACTCCCTCTCCATAGTGCAATGCAACATAAATGTCCATTCACATTTTTAATTGGCTAATACTTATCTCACTGCACGATACCTGCTATATGGATGCATATGGCTTATCCCTAAGCCATAAGCTCCTTGAGGACAAGAACTGCAGTATATCCACCTTTATATTTCTAGGACTTAGACTAATGCATGAATTATTCTAGGGGCTAAATGAAATATCAGTTGAATGAAATAGAATATGAAATGAGTTTCTCACTAAGCAGAAGCATTGAGGTGCCGGTGCTTGCAACTCAATCACTGAATACATAAAAAGCAAGTGCTTTTTCAGATGGGTATTTGGTGTGCATGCTTACAAAGCATGCATGGTTTATCCTCTCAATGGCCTGTGCTTAATGCTCCCTAGGTACCCTGGGGCTTGGTAATCTTTGAAAGCACTGCACCAAAGTTAAAAGCCTAGCAAGCATGCACAGATAATGGCATTTAAAGCTAGAACTTCCCCTTCCTGTTAGAATAACCCAACTAGCACATTCTCACAATAAAACAAAATATTTGTCAAAGTTCATATGATTTCTCAGTGAAATATTCTGCAAGCTATGAAATGTAGCCACCTCTAAATAAACATAGTAATGCACAGCATAGCATCCCAAAGTAAAACTGAAAATCAGTATCTTTTCAATGCAAATTAACATAGAGAATCTCATGTCCCACAGTACTTCCTGTGTCTTCTAAATTCCCATGATTAAATGTTCCAAGTGTTTGTTTAGAATGGTCTTGATGTTAGTCACAGTGTTACAGTGAGAACCATGATTTTTTTACAGAGAACTCCGGGATCTGAAGGAGCCACAGAGAGATGAGTGTTAGCAGGTGCAGGGACAAGATTTAAAGGTGGATGCTGAAATGATCAATGGAGCATTTTTTGTGTGTGTGAAAAAGAATGAATAGAAACATTTGTAATGAGATGAAGAGCACAAAAACAAAGGCAACCCATAGAATATCATGAGAGAATATATACTTCCTGGGAAGTATCACGCACTAATGGGAAACACATTTAAGCGAAAAAGAATGGATAGGTTAGGAACCAAGAACAAATGAGCTTCAACCATGTGCTAGGCATGGGCTGGGTGCTGCACACCGTTTGACACTGGACATTAGAAGAAAGCTGATCTAATACTCATTTAGTCTCTATTTTTAAAATGAAAATATTTATTTTGAGATTAGCAGCTTCCTCTCTAATGAATCTTATGTATCCCGTATGAATACTTTGCAGCTATAAATGAAAGCAGCCAAATGAGTTTCTCTGTAATCACCCCACTTCCAACTCAGAGATTCTTGAAAATGATATCTGAATCACATCATTACTTGTCTTTTCTTTGAATAATGCATATTTGGATAATGGGCAAAGTAAATGTGCATAACATGGCAGAGGATGAACAAGGTTACATGAGTATAAAATATACTCATTAAAGAAAAAAGTTTATCATGGAGGATCAGCAATATTGGATGGGACAGTAAAATGAATATGTACCTATATATAATTAGAGAAAGTATTTCTTTCATCTTTCTCCGTTCCCTGTGGCACTTAAGTGCACAAGAAATATTCTTTGAAGTCAATGAGCACCGTCTACTGGATTTGGAGGACATGATGTTGGGAACAATTTAAACGGAGTTTCATTTTCTAAAGTACAGATGAATGTCTTAAGAATTAACAGTGTAGAACACGATAGGTAAAAATGAACAATGTGATAAAAACAAACTTGAACATGCTGCTCAATGGCCTTGGATTTCTAGTAATTATGCTCTTTCTCTGAATCTCCTTAGGGCTCAGGCATAATTAAAATAGCAATTACTGACAACAGCAAGATTTTCTATCATAGATATATGAAATAACTAGCAGCAACATAAATGAGGATGAATGTAAAGATTATATTTAAAAGTTTCACATCATACTTCATAGAATGATAGCTTTTTTAAAAAAGTATATCTCTGGGTATATAATTTGCAAGTGCATAAACACAGAACTTCCAATTTAAGAATGCCCCCAGGTAATGAGAATGAGTGCTGCTGTCATATGACATTGGCAAGCCTCTGAAATAGTGTAGCACTGGATTTCTTAACTTTATCTTGCCAGGGTTCAGTGATAAGAATGGAGGGAAATCCATACCGGGCCACTCTTACAACACAGCCCCCAGGGCACCATGCTCAACCCCTGGCACAGGGTGACATGTCTGATGTTGCTCTGCCAAATTCTCCCCCACCTCACACTTTTTCTCCTTCCGAAGAGTAGAGTTATGAATGTCTAAGATCAAAGTCACCATCATCGCCTGCTTCTAATCAAGAAATTTCATTGTTTTCTGGAACACAGATAGATCCCAGTTCTCCCTCCAAAGGGACACATTTTCTAATCAGCTTGTCACTATTGAAAGCACCAGCATCCTTTACTCCACACATCTTTCCAGCTGAGTTGTATGCACAGGTCGATACCATTTCATGGATAGCATGAGACCAAGCCCATTTATGGATTTACAATAAACATTAAAGAATATTACCATGGCTACATACATGGGGAGAAAGTACAGACACTAAATCTCCAGCCGATTGCCATTTCCTTTTATAACAACTTGGTGGTCGTGCAAATTAGTATAACTCTTGAATGCCTTTAAAGGAGCAGATATGAGTTTAGTGGGAGTTGTGGCTCATTGACTTTAGCGGGAGAATATGACTCAAATCCTCTGAGTTTTATAAGGTAATGAGTTAGTTTAGGTTAAAGCAAACCTTGGAACATAATTTGATTGGTTTTTCCTCTATCAGTGATGGATGATGCTTGATAATCACTTTCTGCCTATTATATCAATAAATCAACTGCAATTCAATTTTAATCTGTAAATAAAGTTAAATCAGGGCTATGAGCAAATTACACGCCTGCATTAGCTACTTAGAAGTGTCATTACTGTCTGTGGTTATTGAGCCGAATGTAGATATTTGAGCTTTTAAATTCTAGTTTTAAAGAAGCTGAGATAAATTTCTTGAATGTTCTTACAAGAAACACCATACACTCTGAGAAATTTGTACCTGCCTGAAATTGCAAACATAAATTATACGATATCAGAACAAATAAGGATTTCTAGCTTCAAGCACCAAGTGATATTATCTTCGGATTGTCAGTAGGCATGCAGGGAACACAATATAGAATGAAGTTAAATGCTCCTCATGGAGAAGAAAAATGGGACAATAATCCCATCTCGGCTTAAGAAATTAAAGCTAGGAAAAATACCCAGTGTGTCAACCTGCCATGTTGTACTGTGCTCACAGCTGGACTCCATCATATGGGCAGTCTTACGGCACCTAGCACATTATGAGTGCTCAGTAAATATCACAGAATGATATTAACCAGTGCAAGGCACCACAGGCTCTAAATCTCTAACATAATGGGACATGTCTATATGAATGTGAAGCACAGCAGGCTGGATGAAAGCAAATGTCAGCCCAGGAGATAGAAAGGAGACTGGCCAAGCCTCTGTGAGAATGGTGAGAGATAGAACCACCCAGAAACAATAGTGACCACTGCACTTAGTTCTGTTTGTGTGGACAGATCAATTCCTCAGCCTTTTGTGACTGAAATCAACTAAGAAAACCAGAGTGTAATTTTATGCCAGTCATGTTTGACTCACTGCACCTTTGTGACAAGGTACTGAGAGGTAAACATTCCAGAATGATAACTATTTTCCAGTTAATGGGGGCTACAGAAAGTCATGCATGCGGAGCCCTTTCCTCATTCCTTTCACTGCTGCGGCCACAGCCATGAGTATGCTTCGGCTTCAGAAGAGGCTCGCCTCTAGTGTCCTCCACTGGGGCAAGAAGAAGGTCTGGTTGGACCCCGATGAGATCAATGAAATCGCCAATGCCAACTCTCGTCAGTAGATCCGGAAGCTGATCAAAGATGGGCTGATCATCTGGAAGCCTGTGACTGTCCATTCCCAGGCTCAATTCTGGAAAAACACCTTGGCCCACCAGAAGGGCAAGCACATGTGCATAGGTAAGAAAAAGCATACAGCCAAATGCCCAAATGCCAGGGCAGGTCACTTGGATAAGGAGAACGAGGATTCTGTGTCGGCTGCTCAGAAGATACCATGAATCTAAGAAAATTGATTGCCACATGTATCACAGCCTGTACCTGCAGATGAAGGGGAATGTGTTCAAAAACAAGCAGATTCTCATGGAATACATCCGCAAGCTGAAGGCAGGCAAGGCCTGCAAGAAGCTCCTGGCTGACCAGGCTGAGGCCCGCAGGTCCAAGACCAAGGACGCACGCAAGCACAGTGAAGAGCGCCTCCAGGCCAAGAAGTGGGAGATGATGAAGACTTTGTCCAAGGAGGAAGACACCAAGAAATAAAAGCTCCCCATTTGTCTGTAATGCTGGCCTCCATGATTACATAGATCAGCCATTAAAATAAAACAAGCCTTTATCTGCAAAAAAAAAAAAAGTCATGCATGCATATTCTGAAAAGGAATATGTATGTAATTTTATCACATGAATAAAAGTTAAATCACCCATAATGCCTGTTAAAAACCTGAACTTAGCACAATTCTGCTCCAAATTAAACTTGAACAAGACTTCCTACAGATTTTAGGATATTAATCAGAACTTAAAAGATCTGGACAGGTATTGAACTTTGAAGATAAATGTGATTTTCTTATATCTTGTTTAACTTTTGTGTTGTCAAAACCGCTTCCCTCTTTGAATTAATTGTTTAAGTTATCAGGCCTTAGACAGGTTTTGTTTGTTTCCTTGGTTATATTATAGGGAAGAGTTGAGGAAAATAGAGCTCACCAGGATACTGGGCACCGACGTAAACACACTGAAAGTCTAATTCCACTAGTAAAGCAGCCAAGAAAACAAACACTGATTCATGTGCAGAGTTCACAACACAGGATAAGGGGAGCTTAAGCAAAGCAAGGAGTGGACTTAAAGGGGATTCACATTGTCTGCATCTGCTTTTCTGACTTACGTGTTAATATAAGTTCAGTGGGTAAATCCTGAATGTATTTGTTGGAGATGTGTTTTTTATCTCAGAGTATGGGAAAAAATCGTGGAAAGAAAAGAAATAATTATATATATGTACACACACATATATGCATATATTATGTATATATTCATATTATGCAGAGAGAGAACATAAACATCTCAGATTTAGTGATTAAATAAATTGGAAGGTTCAAGTGGCTCACTCTACAACATACAGGACAGTGTATCTAAAATAGCTCTAGGTCAGGCATGGTGGCTCACAACTGTAATCCCAGCACTTTGGGAGGTTGAGGCAGGCAGATCACTTGAGCCAGGAGTTCAAGACTAGCCTGGGCAACATGGCTAAATGCTGTCTCTACAAAAAATTCGCCAGACATGGTGGCACACACCTGTCAGCTACTTGGGAGGGTGAGGTGCGAAGATCACCTGAGCCTGAGAGGTCAAGGCTACAGTGGGCCATGATCATGCCATTGCACTCCAGCCTGGGTGACAGAGTGAGAACCTATTTTAAAAAAAAAAAGATAGTTCCATCCATCTTACTTCACAGAAAGTCCTGGAGTTGCAGCCACTAAGTTCATATTCAGACTCCATTATAAGTATAGCCTTCTTTCCGAATCTAATCAAAATAGCCAAAGCACCAAAACAGAATTTTCAGGATAAAATTTGAAATAGTCTCATAAGAAGGACCCTAGAGCCATGCCTCCTGAATTGTCACATTCACTTAAGATTTGGTACTGTTTTAGTATCAAGTATATTCTGTTTTGCAGACTGGGATACTGTTGTATTAGTCTGTTCTCACAGTGCTATAAAGAAATAGCTGAGACTGGGTAATTTATTAAAAAAAAGAGGTGTATTGGCTTGCAGTTCTGCAGGCTGTACAGGAAGCATGATGCTGGCATCTGCTCAACTTCTGAGGAGGCCTCAGAAAACTTACAATAATGGCAAAAGGTGAAGGCGGAGCAGGAACATCTTACATGGCCAGAATAGGAGGAAGAAAGAGAGGGAGAAGGCACTACACACTCTAAAACAACCAGATCACACCAGAACTCACTGTTGCAACAATAGCACTAAGAGGGATGGTATTGAACCATGAGAAACTGCCCCATGATCAAACCACCTCCCACCAGACCCCACCTCCTGCAGTAATCCTGAGGATTACATTTCAACATGAGATTTGGGTGAGGACACAGATCCAAATCATATCACTGCTAGAAACCAAAGCTTTACTAAACCAATAGCAGGGCCTATCAAACTCTTTTACTTTTTCATTATTCAGTGGGAAAAAGGTGAAACCCACAGACAGTAGAATAACTCCACCATTCGCACTCGTTTCCCCAAACCATTCAGCAAATATATGATCCATGCATCAGAATCAGTCCCCAGCTCTGTTAGTGCCTCTCCCTCCACTCCCTGCAAATCTTAGCCACCAAACCCATCCCTCACAGTCCTACCTCTCCACAATGATTCCAAGTGTTGGGTAAATGTACCATTCTTCAAAATAAAATGGGCCTTCCTCTTACTTATGGTAATTTTCAGTTAACGATCATGTTGATTTTGCCATAAAATTGCATAGTTTTAACTAATTTCCATAGTTTTAACTTTTAACATAATTTTGGAAAACTGATATTTAACAAATTCATTCCTATTTTGCTTATCTGGCATTCCTTACCCTGATGAGCAACTACAATTTATATTCAAAATCTCATATTCTCTTCCCTGAGAAAATTGCCATATAAAAATAATCAATATACAGTCTGCTTTCAGAGAAAAGAATATGATAATGCCCTCTGTTTCAGAACACAAGCCACCAATCTTTGTCAAGCATGGAACATTAACAAAAGTAGAAATGTGGAATATTGGCTAGCACAACCTGAGAAAGACTCCTAATTTCTCTTTACCATTAGAGAAGTAGACTCTAACCTTATCCCCTGCAAATGATAATGAGTAGGGGATATTGAAATCTTGGACACCTGTTGGCCAGATGTTTCACCACCACTAGAAATAATGATTTCTTGCTAAAAGCCAAGCTGATAGATAGATATGTACTTCCATTGTTTATCGTAAGGAAAAATAAATAAGAGTAATAAATAAGAGTAATTCTTACAATAAAAAATGGAAGTAAATTATATACTCAGTAAAGGCACAACATGTTATTTCCAGAGTTATGGAATTTAAATGGAAGAGCATTTGTCTAAAGAGCATCTTGTCTACTATAATATGCCTGAGGAGTAGTGGTTCATCCTGTCTATGGTAGGAAAATACTTCCCAGAAGTCAATGATACCACGGTACAGCCTTAATCACTAGAAGTACTTTTCTCTTACCAAAATGTTAATGGTAGTTACCCCCATGGAAGTGGGATGAGGTAAGGGAAGTAGGGCTTTCACTTTTACATTAATTGGATTTTCCATAATGTATTAGTCTGTTTTCACACTGCTATAAAGAATTGCCTGGGACTGGGTAATTTATACACAAAAGAGGTTTAATTGACTCATAGTTCCACATGGCTGGGCAGGCCTCTGGAAACTTGCAATCATGGTGGAATGCAAAGGGGATGCAGGCACCTTCTTTACAAGATGGCAGAAGAGAGAGCCAGGGAGGAACTGCCAAATACTTTTAAACCACCAGATCTTGTGAGAACTCACTCACTATCACAAAAAAAGCATGGTAGAAACTGCCCCCATGATCCATCACCTCCCACCATGTCCCTCCCTCAACACGTGGAGATTACTATTGGAGATGACATTTGGATGGGGACACAGAGCCAAACCATATCACTTAATAACAGTATTTTAGTTTATAACTCAAATAAGTACATAACAAGTGATTTGAAATCTGATTTCATTTACTTTCCTTGTTTTACCTAATAAGGGGCCCAAGGGGCACAGACGAAACTCTTTCCACTTCATTGCTTGAAGACAGAGATCAGGATACCCTCCGTCTTTGTTTCTTTATAACAAACAGTCTCAGTTCCTCCACAAGACATTTTGCTGGGTACTGTTGGGAGAAAATTCTTGATGGATCTCCCACATTTGTGCACACCTTGCAAGCAGAGACACCAACTGCCTTTCTTCCTGACAAATTTTTTCAACAATGTTTGTGTAATGAAGAGTCTTAGAAGACAGAAATAATGTCTCCCTCTAGAACAAAAGAGGCAGACATCCTTATTACCCGTTATAATAGATTTGGTTTTCCTAAGCTTAGGGTTCCCCTCCAGCAAAGCAACCTACTGTATGTGCAGATGTCATCTGGCCCTCTTTGTATTGCCCTATAGGTATTGAGGCTTGGGGGACAGATGCCAGAAGGTCTGTAATTCTGGGCACTACTATTACTATGAATAATAAGGTCTTTTGCCTCTGACCCAAGAGTTTCCTGCATTCTTCCAACATCTATGAAACTGCATCAGTCTAACTAATTAAAACCGCAAGACCTTTCACAGGTTTTTACACATACTTTAGAGAGTTGAGTTGAAAATATGTTCTTGTTCTTGAGGAGATTATAATCTAAAAATGTCAAACTTGTAAATTTTTGAAATACATATAATTGGATAAGCTTAAAAGTGTATTTGAATACTTTCAAAAATAAAATATAAAGAAGAAGCAGAGTTATAATGGTCATAAAGTCTACTCAACAAAGAGTAAAACAAAGTCATCAGATACACTAAGGATAAGGGAACGTCCTATGATCATGAAAGGTGTTTTTCTTTCAGTTGTATAAACAAACTTGAAGGGTTTTAGGGATGGCAGTGACATTTTACCCCCATAACCTGTAACTCAAAAGTTCCCGATATAGTTTGGATATTTGTCCCTACCCAAATCTCATGTTGAATTATAATCCCCAATTCTAGAGGTGGGGCCTGGTCAGAGGTGTTTGGATCATGGGGGTGGATCCCTCATGGCTTAGTACTGTCTCCATGATAGTGAGTTCTCATGAGATCTGGTGATTTAAATGCATGTGGCACCTCCTTCCCCACTTTCTCCTACTCCTGCCATGTGAGACACCTGCTCCCTTTCATCTTCCACCATGATTGTAAACTTCCTGAGCCCCACCCCCCACAGGAAGCCAAGCAAATGCCATCACCATGCTTCGTATAAAGCCTGCAGAACCACGAGCCAAATAAATCTCCTTTCGTTTTAAATTACCCAGTTTCAGGCATTTCTTAGTAGCCATGCAAGAATGGCCTAATACAGCTCCTAAACAGTTTGCCTTTTATGTTCATCTATGGGGTATTGATGAGTCCTATCATAAAAAGGTTTTCCTCACCTGCTGAATCCCCTGGGTCTACCAGCGTCTATTTTTATCGCTCCCTCCTGAAGCCATGCCCTGGGCTCAATATGTTGAGGTGCTGATATGGCAACAGCTGATTTCAAAGACTTGCAAAACTTCAATTCAATCAGCTTTACCACTGCTGAGACATTTGCCTTCTTCAGCCAGCACTTGTGGAACTCAGATTTCTTAAACTAATTGAGCACTTAATATACAGCTATAAATTAATCACATTGAAATGGTGCTAATTATTTCATTAGCTCCCAACCAATCCAATCTAAATAATCACTTATTAGGACTCAACTGCTAAATTTCTTTAAATATTGATTAAAATGTGCTATAAATTACATATGCAGATAACATTTCTGTGTAATTTTCTGGAAATCCATGTATATAACGAAGGAGTGTGTATGTTTCCGATCAGTTTTCTTTTCTTTTTTTCTTTTTTTTTTTTCCTGCAGCATATACAGCAGTAACTGCAATCCATAGCCACATGAATAAAGCAAGGTCAGAACAAATTTTCATCCCACCAGTCCCAAGGCAGACTGATGAGCAGAAAAGCTCTTTGCTCTCCCTTTTCCCCCTCCCCGCCACCCCGAACATCTTGACTGGCAGGCTGGTAGATAATCCTGTTCAGAGCTAATGTGTAGTAACAGGATTGAGGGAAACTGACTTAAGAGGCTTGCATCTGGGCCAGGACACATCGTATCGATGCCATATTTAAAGATGTTCCCTCTGTTCACCTCTGTGAAGATAAATGTCTGAACATTGAGCTTAAAAGCAAAAAGGGAGAGAGACACTCAGAGATGGGTGATGAATTGTCAAACTGTGGAAAAGAGCTTTCACCAAAGAAGCATGTTTGCTTTGTACAGGGCGGGGAGTAAAGAAGAAATGGAGAAAATAATTAAAATGCTCTTCCTTCTCTAAGCTCTGTTAGCTGGAAACCAAATTCTTAATGGGTATAGAGGAAGCTCAGCTATTTTAACTCATGAAGAGGAGCCCTCTTGAGCAACAAGAATAATAGAATTCAGCCTCCTGTGCCCAATAAAATAGGCCAAAGGCCTGGTTGTGCAATTCATTTGGCAATTCATCAGCACTATCCCATGTAAAAGCATCTATAATCATAAAATGCTATTGCAATCTTTTATCAGCATTTAACCTGATAGTCACTCTTTTCTCAAGCTGGAGTATAAGAATCTTATGAGTACGGAACTGTCTAATGCATCTTTGTTTTCTTTCTCTGCAAGGCTTAGCTCCGTCTTTTCATTAGGACAATTTCAACTAGTAAATGTTCATGTGATTTGCTAATGACGTTTGAGAGTTTAGATAGTAGCCTAATGGTGGAATTCAAGCTTTTAAGCATGGGAATTTAAAGGTGAAGATATGCCTTTCTCTTAAAAGCCTAAAAGCCATCACTTATCCATTTAGTTTGCCCAAGCACAATTTTGGAGCCTAAAGAGACAGACAACAACAGGTGACCTCTGGAAGTGAACGTGAAGGGACACCAACATCAATACCCCATAGTTTCCAAGAGGTCTGGATTCTGACAATATACCGTTCCACTCTACTGAGTTGCAATGAAATGTGTGTGTGTGTATGTGTGTGTTATCAGAAAATCAGTGTAACACTAATCTTAAGGTATGACTCTGCAATAAGCTGAACTACCATATTGTCAGAGTACCTATGAACTTCTTGTATTGTCTCAGGATAAAGCTACGTGACTTGTTTTGCAGTTCTCTCAGTATCTGTATTTGCTCTCCACTTTGGTGACTTTTTTTCAAAGATCTACCACTCTGCACTTTATTTTAGGCACTGCATTTAAAAGTATGTATCAAAGGGCAACATGCCAATGCTGCCAATGACATCAAACAACTTACAGCATAATTATATTTTTCCACAGGTGAAAAGTTGATCATACTGTAAGCTTCATGAAAGCAGGCACTATATGTTTTCTTCCTTCTTGAGAAGGAAGCACCTAGAATTGTATCTGACATACAAAAGACTCTATAAATATATACATAAATGAATGAAAGAGTAATACCAATTCTATTGTATTTGTTATTTTAAAAGCCTTCTATTAGTCTATTTTGCCAGATAGATTTTGCTATACCTAAATTGTCTTGAGAGTGTCTCTATGTAAGGAGTTTCTTTTCTGGAATTCCTCCAAAACATGAACCCTCTGATTCTGACAACTTCAAATATCTTTAATGATTTCTTTAAAGAGCAATAAAACGACCAGCTACTAAAAAGGAGATAACTGTACCAACTCTTTTTGTGAATAGACTTAGCAAGCATTTAAGGGGCCTTAACGTCAATCTTCCACAGCTAGATTTATAACACATTCATTCTATGAATCCCTTTGACTTCGATCCTAAAGCCCCTAGGCACAATTTTGCAGGGAATTCCTATGACACGCATACATTAAACTGAGAAGCAGGAGATACAATTCTCCTAGAGGCTGGTATTCACCTACTTTGATTATTCTGCACAGTAAGACAGGTTAGGTTTGTCAGGTCATTATCTGATGGATATTGCCAACGATAGGAAAAAAAAACAGGGCAAGGGGGCCTTAACATTAAATAAACTGAAACACATCCAAGCCATGGAAATATTTTATTAAACTAACAGTAAAAACTAGAGTTAGTGTCTTCAGCATTCATTCCAGCCTAACCACTGAATATTCATTTGTGCCTTTTTTGGGACATTTAATGAATCTATGCTTTATGAAGAAAATAACATGGTAAATGAGCTACTAGACTTTTCATTTTGCCTTTGAGATTGGCAGAGTTATTTTTTAAGGTCCTCAGATCTCCCCGAATAGGTAACAATTTTTAAAAGACTTGAGTGCATGAGCCAAATGTGACCTTGAATAAGCTCCTGTCACAGTTCATCTCTTAATAATACACAAATCAAATATCTTTACACCTGTACAATTTTTTAAACATTGTTTTGATATATATCCCTTGACATGCATATTTGCAAGCCCTTCAGCACTCCCTCCAAAAACGCTTTACAATTAAATGTAATTGTAAATGAAATCAAAGGGTCATAGAAGTCTATGGTTGGTAGATACCATGTAATCATCTTGCTAATCGTCCCTTCCACTGGATGTGTCATTATATAGTAACCCTGACAAATTCTGCTTTAGTTTCTCCACATATGGGGAACTCAGTAGCTAGCAAGATACACTTCATTACATAAGCAGCAGTAGATATGAAACGATTATTTCCCATTAAAATAACTTCCACTTCTGCATCACTCCATGCAGTTTGCACTGCATTTTCACAAACATCATCCCATTCTAGCCCCATGACACTATGGTCAAGTAGGAATCATTAATTCTAATTTCCAGGTAAGAAAATTGAAGCTCAAAAATATATAAATACAAAATTCTAATAAAATGGTCTTTTCACATTTCAACCTATGTAAGAAAACCAAGTATAGATCTGATAAATATATGCCCTTGGGATCTGTCTTCATTTGCTCCAAAATGCATCCCTGGCTTGAGGCAAATAGTGCTTATTTAGATCTTGATAAGGCTATAGAAGTAGCACCTTCTTCTGCTTAGAGAGATCGGGGGTATAATTGTTACCACTGGAATAAGCTGGTGCTAGAACAGCTGTTCCCACAGAAACCAAGATGGTTTGACATATTAAAGATCCATAAAGAACATATTAATGACATATCATGTCTTCACAACTAAAGATACTACATGTAAAACAGTAAGCCAAGTAATGGAAAATGCCCTTTTGAGAGGATTTTTTTCAATAATTTATAAAGCAACAGGCAATAAATGGTAACTCAAGTGCAAACATCATCTTAAAGTAAACTTGAAAGAGTAGATTCTATATTTTATAGTATTTTCCATCATCATAGGCATTCTTGAATGTGTAAGTACTGTTCTACCATTCAGCCAGGAGCTACATGTAAGGAGTCCAGTCACAAGCTAACTGATTTTCCATCTTAGGATACAAAAGAAGTCACTTCTTCAATTAGAGTACAATGACACTAATGAATGCACTCTGGTTGTTCCCTTTCTTACAAGACTTTCTTATCTGGCAGCTCCAGTGATGTGATGAGAAGGCGATTTGCAAGTCTGATTTGGAAGTTTTTTTGATCACAAGAGACTAGGGAGTATAAAGTCTCTGCTTACAGTCTTAGGGACATTACAGAAAATTAGCTCTGGTAATGTATTGAAATTATTCAAATAGAAATAGACTCTTAACTTTGTGATCCTTCCTTCTTAACTTGCACAAGGACTGTGATGTAAATGAGAACTCTTATGGTTATTCTTTAGAGACTTCTGTTTAGTAACTGAATCTCTTTGAATTTTGCATTATACAGCTCTCTCTGGTCAGTGGGCGGGAATAGAAATAGAGATATTTTCAGGGCTTCAAATATTCTATTCATTTCCTTGATGAATTTGAATCAACAGTTCTAAACAAGTTTTAATAATCAATTGGCAAGATTTGTATGCAGAAAAGCTAACTGCTTTACTTTATCGTTTTGTACATATACATGACACCATCCATCATATTGCTCTCCCATGTTATCTGAACATCTTGAAAGTAAAATAAATACTCATATTATTACAAGAAGTGTTATTTCTGGTCTACATATACTAGAAGATAGAAAATCCTAGATAAATGCTGTATTAAGCAAACTACAGCACTAAAGTATTATTCATGGAACTAAGCATAATGATAAAAGCAATCTACTGATAATATCATGGGTAAGTAAATGTGGAAACAGTCAGAAAAATATTTCTTTGCTTTATGGTGCAAAAAAACAATATATTCAGCCTATTGGTCCCTGAAAGACAGATGCATATAATGTAGCCCGTTCCACTATAGAGCACATTCTATTAGACCAGTGGTAAGGCTGAACTTCATCAGTTTTTGGAGGGGCCACCTCAACTCCCCTTCCATCTGGGTGATTGAGAGCACTGCCAGATGGAGATTGGCCAGGTGCACTGAAGGAGAATAAGATGTCAGAAAGGCAAAAGATAATTTGTTTTCTCCTCTGGGGTAACCTAGATATGTTCTTTTTCTCCAAACTGTTAAGTTTCAAGAAAATATGCCTACGCCAAGTTTTGAATTATTAGCAAGCTTAACATCCATGTGCCACCTAATGCAGATGCATTTGGAGGTAGGCGAAGATCAATTTTCTGTTCCTAATTTTTAATTGAGTCTAATGACCAGCAATGACCTAGAAGGCCTTCAGCCTTGGGAGAAAAAGCATTAAGCAGATCTGGGGAATGACATACTTCTCCTTGCATGAAGATTTTTTATTTCAGATTCTGTCCCTGAATCTGCCAACATGACAATGCTCTTCAATAATAAAAAGACGTGTTCTGAGCTTTTGCAAAGATGACATCTGCTTGAGTGACAGCCTATTCCCGCACGCTGGTTCCTCAGCTCTAGTTACACAGCAATCTGTCAGCCACTTAGATGACATGCATTCTTTAAACCATTAAAGAGTTAACATACATTACTTTTTTTAATCTGGTAAAATAAATGTCTGGCCATAATTCTTGGGGTGGCAAAATTGCTCTCCAAAATAAATAACACTATTGAAAGGTTAATTACTTGATTAATGTGTATTTTCCTGCAACACTTGCTCTTCATTTAGACAGGCTGAAGAATCTCCCTCTATATCTTATTTTAAATATCTTCCTTTACTTTACTTTCTCTGTTTGTCCAAAGAGATAATTTCTGATGGGTCTTCAACACATAAATCAAAACATTATTCTACTTTTTTGTTGTTACTGTTGTTGTTTAAAAGATCTGCTTTCATTATTGACATGCAGGTAACTTGATTGAAAGTGGATGAGCCATTTTTCACTCCCCTCCACGTGGGTAGAGCTGGGAATTATTTCTCATCATTAAGTAAAAAACATTTTACTTTTGGTTGGCATGAAAATGACATAAGTGCTCTCCTTCACTTTCTGAGGCATCTGGAAAGTGAAAACCTTTCAGCACAAGACACAAAGTCAATCTTTTACACTCCCATTAATGTTAAAGGTGACCATGTGGGCAAATTCATATACATACAAATATGGTTTATTCAGAATCCAATTAGCAATCAGCATTGTGTTGCTTTTCCAGAGCAACTATAAAAACATAAAATAATGTCAGAAACTCAGCTTATATGTTTGGAAAGAACTGTGGCATTAAGGACAAGAATATTGTCTATTTACTCCATCTGAAGACCTTCCACAAGATCAGTGGTAACCCTACAGACAGACTCAAGAGTGACTGTACTGTGGTCAACAGAACTTTTAGGTAAAATTGGTCTTTTTCCCTCCTCTGCCTCTGAAATTTCCAAAACTTCCTGAGGAGGTAGAAAACACATATGCAGGTATGAACAATCAAAGAAAACTTGCACTTTGTGGATTGTATTTCCATAAGAAAATACACTCTATGTCACTATGCACAGGATGGATCTGCCAACTAACTCTGGCAGACGGAATGAACTATGGTGGACTGGGGAGAGGGAAAAAAGTGGAAGGAGAAAAAGATAAGCGGGAGAAAGTAAAATCAGCAGGTGTGTACTGGATATATTTCCAAAGGAATCAACAGAATGTGATCACTCATGATTCTGTTTTTCTAAAACATGTACAAAGCTTCTTCTCTTGATCTAATAAACCCAGTGAGAACACATATTTTTATTTTCCTACAAATTTGATTTCCTTTATTCTTCAAAAATAAATAAAATATGTATGTCTAAATCAATTGTAGTAAATTAGGGAGGAAGACCTACCAGAAACAGAAGACACTCAGAAGCATCTTTCATAGATAAACATAGAGAAAATGGGGACAATATATTAACAGGTATTTTAGAAATACCTATTGGAAGAAACTTTTACATTCAACGCATTCACAAAATTTGCAGTTATGCTTCCTACATTTTGGGGAATAAAGTGTAAGATTCCATAGGCAAATAAAAAGTATCACTCTGGTTTCGTATGGGGTGGTGTGTTGAGGGGACTTGCTGGGGTATAGTTATCTGGATCTCCCAACAGGTCCGGTGAAAACAGAATTAATGTAAGTGCTAGTAGGAAAAGTAGGATTAGGAAAGAGGAAGACAGAAATAAAACCAAAAGAAAAAGCCCACTGATCCTGCTGTATTTGTTTTCTACTGTTGTGTAACAAAGTACTATAAACTCTGCAATTTAAAACAACACAGATTTATCATCTCATAGTCTCTGTGGTTCAGAAATCTGGGCACAACTCACTAGTTCCTCTGCTCAAGGCTGCAATCAAGGTGTCAGCCACCCGCATTCTCATCTTGAACTCAGGTTCCTCTTCTAACTGCCTATGATTGTTGGCAGAATTCAGAATTCAGCTCCTTGCAGCTATAGGACTGAGGTCCTCAGCTTTTAGAGACCACCCATGTTTTCCTGCTATGTGATGCTCTGCATGGGCAATTTATATCATAGCAGCTTGTTTCTTTGAGGTTATCGGAAGAGTCTCTCTAGTGCATGCTAACAAGACAGAGCCGTATATGCATGTGGGTAGGTAGACAGACAGACAAACTGACCTAATTATGGGAGTAACATCCCATCATCTTTGCCATATTCTATTGGTTAAAACCAAGTCATAGGTCCCACCCACATTCAAGAGGAGGGAATAATACAGGCTATGTCCATGGAGTTATCCTAAAAGCTATCTGACACAGCTATGAAAAGAATTCCCCGCAGCTCATAATACAGAGAGCATTCCTTACATATCCAAGAAGCCTTTTCTTGGCATGCAACCTCCTATTTAAATGCCAAATCAGTCCTGCAAAAATATTTATTTCTGGTTCTGATCATTGCTCAAAAACAAAATGAGAAATATCCTAGTGTTCAATGGAATGTAGTTGTTCATCAGTGTGTAACATTATGAAACAATGGTGTGAACCTAGTTGATGACTATGTTTCAAATTATGGCTTGGTTGATATTCTAAATGTCTTCAAAATGCCTCCCTAATGTTTTATTTCTCTGATAGGAATGGCTTATCATGTGAAGACAACTGTAAACACGCAATGAAATGGCCTTATGAGAAAGTTAATGTCTCTATCCAGCACCAGGATGGTAAAGGCTAGAACCCAATGGTGTGTTTGAACAGGTCGTTAAGGAGACAGGAATGTCCACGCCTGTTTAAATGCTGACACAGACTCCTCTAATATATGCTGCTTTCAAGAAAAAAAGTGTTGACATCTTATCCAACTCACTGAAACTATTATGCAAAAATGAAATTGGTTAACGCAGGGAATTTTTAGATGCATATTTTCCATAAGCATTTATTTAACTTAAAAGCAAATAAAGGTATATTTTTGCTATTATTTTGACGTCAGCCCAAAAAAATACTGAATGTATTTATTACTACTGATGGGATTTCCCTGTTGTCTTTCATAACATACCATCTATGACGTCTGGTTTTGTTTTCTTTAAAGTGGAGAAAGAACACACTAACAAAGTACAGGTTTTTAAAGTAAACTTTCCAGATTTAAATATTTATACATCTATTTGAACAGCAATTGTTAGCAACTCATATCTACCGAATCTTTCAAACGCATTTTTCAAAGTGATCAACTCCCTTCCATTCTATACTTATATTTTATGAGTAAAATGCAATTGACTTGCAAAACCACCATAACCAGTTCAAATAACATTAACAGGTTTAGCACCAATCCCAGCCAACTTTTGGTAATGGTCTTACCCTTAAACAGAGCAGTCTACTAGGCATAGCGCTCGAGTGCTTTGGGCAATAGCATGCTCCAAGAAGGAATGAAGAGTGTCATTTAATCCAGTAGATCGGTCAAGGGAAAGTCATTTAAAAGAGCTTCTGCTCTTCAAAGATGCAATCAACATGCACACATTAAATATTTGTTGAACTTCTACTATGTGCTAAATCATGGGAATAAGTGTCTGCTATTCCTCAGAGGAAAAAAAATGATTGTTGCCCTTGAAGATTCCAATACAATTACTTTGAAAGATACCATTGCATTTATGTGTTTATAGCATACAAGGGGTTGCTATCTGTTTTAACACTAAAAAGCTTTTGATGTTAGCCTGGATTCTGGCAGGTGCTGAAGAATGGTGAGAAATTCACTGAGGTCCTAAGGTTATTGCTTGATGATTTATGACTCATCAGTCCTTAGTTGAAAGTGCCCTGTCAAATTCATTTTTTAACACCAACAAATATGAGGTTGAATTGTAAAATAGGTTCCATTTAATCCAATTTATTTTATGTGGCTGTGCTCAAGGATGCATGGAGGGGCCTCTGCTACATAAGAAATTCTTTCAAAGAGTATGAGAGATGAAAATTTACCCAAGAAAAACCACAGGGGTATATTCCACTCTCCTCTCCTGCACCCTGTATTTAATCAGTCACCAAATCACGCCACTCAAAACTGTCCATCCTCCCCACTAATTTATGTCCCTGCCTCCTCCCACCACAATTTTCCATGTCACTGCTTTAGTACAATCCTAATCTCCCCAAAAATTCCCTATCCTCTTCCTGACCCCAATCTTCTACCTCCAGCCCACACCCATAGAGCTTCCAAAGTTCACAAATCTGTTATGACTCTCATTTTTAGAGCCTACTATGGCTTTCCACATTCAGAGAATAGTGGATAAGCTTCTCCGAATGGGATATGGATTTACCATATTTTACCAGCAACATTTATGATTGTTTCCACCCATGTGGTCTAATTGCAGCTTCATAAATCCATCCCCATTTTTCTGCAAGAATAAAAACTTTTTAAAATCATTTTGTATCATTGCAATTCTGTTCTGTGTTTTGGAACCCCTTTTCCTTAAATTTTTGGCAAACTTCCATGCATCCTTCAAGACCGACTCTTTACACTCTTACCCAAATCTTCCAAGACCAACTCTTTACACTCTTACTCAAATCTTCCATGCAGAGTTTGGCCACAAAATTTTAGGCAGCTTTCTTTCATAGCACGAATTCTACTGCACAAGTATTTACTGAATCTCAAACATTGGGTTGGGTTCTAGGGATATAGAGGTAAACAAAAACACTGTAGTGTACTATTATTTTTGTTTATTGATTTATTGTATCTGTTATGTTTTAAACCCTGGGACAGCAGGAAGCATATCTTACTCATTTTTATATCAGTCACAACTATTTAATGCAAGGCACCCATACCAGGCACTGTACTTATGTTTATTGAATGAGTGACTGCACATTAGTAGCATTAAATATAATGATAACACAGTTTTTGGTTTTTATTAAAATGTTTCCCATGAACTGTCTGCAGGATTTTAGGAAATACATGGGGGCGGTATTCTGAAGTGAATAGCCTTGTGGCCCTTTGAGCTTTTGATTGCAAAAACATTTCTCTGTGCTTATTGAATTAAATATGCCCTCATTAGTTTAAAAATCCAAATGGATAAATATGTCTGCATGCTATTCCCATGACGTGTGGAAGTGCGGAAATTATAGAAATCAATCCACCATTTGGTATCATATACATATAGTAAATAATCAGATTGACGTAGATTTTCAATGAACTGGCTATTTCTTGTTTAGGCAGTAGTTTTAGAATCATATTTATGCTTTGAAATCATCTATTCTAATTGGGATAGAAGGTAGATTATTAGTTCCATATCTTAATAGAAACGTAAAACTTTTCATATTAATTTCAACTCAGCAACACACCTAATTTCTTTACTGCTTACACATCATGTACCACCTTTACAATATGTACTATAGTGATAGTGTAATTGACATGCAGTTAGAACATTTTCCCTTTTAGTCAATTGAGGTTTACATCAAAGCTTTTAAAGATAATTGAGGATCATAACTTTCTGTTCATTCAATTTCTTGAAAATCTTATCTACCTTTGATTATCTGGCAAACCTCTAATGATAGCTGTTAATTTAATTGTATGTATTAATACCTTGCCATAAGTGTAACCAGAAGTTTTAAGACAATCCTTTATCTTGCAAAAAAGTAAAGATGAGAAGGGGAAAGAGCCAATATTCCTAAATTAATCCATTATAAAAATGAATTTTCTGCTATTTCTGGATATTTTGGCAGAAAACTTCAGTGAAACACTAGTTGTGGACATTAAGATGTTTTATTCACTTGGAAACATACGGTTACCAAGACTAACTCTGATCAAAATGTGCAATTCTTCAGAATGCACTGCTGAAATAATTTGCTATGTGTTTGGTTTACTTACTGAAATCCCTGAAGATATTTGGACCTTTTGATCATTAGAGGCTGTTATTGCTATAAATTTTCCACTACTAATTTCAAACATTTGAATCAGTGTCACATGGACACTTTCAAAAGCAGGATGATAAAATCGAAGATTTTTGGGGGAGCAATATAAGTAATTTGGGAGTACAAATAGTGTATCATAATAGCTATTTGGTAGCAGAGGACAACGTGATCTTTCTAAAAAGAAGTATTACATGCCACTAATTTTATGTGGGTATGAACTGTCCAGTTATCTAGAAATTAAAATGTATAAAATTATGCTCGTTGAAAATTGAGAACCAATGTGTTAACAGTACTAATTGGAAGTTAATAGTCCTAATTGGAAGGCATGGATTGCTCCAGAACAATGAGCAACACACATTGGAGGAGCATAGAAGAGACTATACACATGAAGGAAGGATGGAGAGAAGTTGATGGTCCCCACAACAGACTCCCTGGTTAGCTGCATCCAACACCTATCCCAACCTGTCCCTTGGTAGACATGCAAATATCTGTAGTACAATTTTTTTAATGACTAAATGAAGGATAGTACAAATAAGAGAGAAAGTGGCTGTAGATCCTTGAGAAGGAAACAATATTGGCATATTTTTAAAAATTGCTTTAAAATATTTACAGTCTTCACACTGCCCTAGCTTAGAATTCTTATATTTCAAGTTAGTGACATGTTTCCTAAGGAGATGTGTTAGGTACTTATCTAAATTGAACCACATCTGAGATTTCCCTTCAAAACCTTATTTAATCAAAGACATTCATACATGATCCTGCAATCTCCATCCCTGCCTTTCACATATAGAAACACAAAAGAAGGAACAAAGCAGCAGCTGAAATCACTGAGATTAAGATGCTACTGTTCAGAATGAAGATATTAGCAGAGAGGACAAAGCTAAATAAAATCTCAGATTCTTATCATCCAAGTTCATTGGCAATCTTGGAATGTAAAGTCTGAATAATAAAACTAAAATGTTTTCATTGTGCTCACATTTATTTAGTAACTTGAAGTTTGGGAATAATTCATGATAGCACTGTCTTTATAATACCACTATTCTAAGCATTATTGACCACCACGTATGTGTCAGTTGCATTGCATATATGTAAACCTATGCTTCCAAAATACTTGAAAGTATATTTGTTTTGGTTATTAAGTATCCCAGGCATTAGTCAGGACTTTTTTGGTTGCAACTAACCAAATGCCAGGTTGGATTAAGTGAAGTAAAAAGGAATAAATGGGGCCAGGCACGGTGACTCACGCCAGTAATCCCAGCACTTAGGGAGGCCGAGGTGGGTGGATCACCTGAGGTCAGGAGTTCAAGACTAACCTGGCCAACATGGTAAAATCCCATCTCTACTAAAAATACAAAAATTAGCCCAGTGTGGTGGTGCATGTCTGTAGTGGCAGCTACTCAGGAGGCTGAGGCAAGAGAATCACTTGAACCCAGGAGGCAGAGGTTGCAGTGAGCCCATATCGAACCATTTCACTGCAGCCCAGGTGACAGAATGAGACTCCTTCTTAAAAAAAAAAAAAAAAAAAAAGGAATGAATGGGAGAGTACTAAAATTGACTTCTGAATCAAAGGAGAAACTGGCCAATGGGAGGGCACCCCTCATCTGGAGGAACTCCAGACAACAACAGCACATTCACCACCACGTGCCGGTTCCCTAAAACCCAGGAGGAACCATTAAAACCCCTGTGACATGGAAAGGTGTCCATACTGTGCCCACTCTCCTCCCCTTGACATCCTGATACCACTGTTTACTGGCAGCACTTTTCTTTGTTACCTCAAATTTTGGAGCATCAGAAACAAAAAAAATATGTAAGTCTAAGAGACAGAAAAATAACCTTTTCTCCTTTCTGTCCCCCTCTCTCGCCACACCCCACCCCACACTGGGTAATGTTACATTTTAGAAGAAATTTTGTCCAAAGTAACATAAACTTTAAGGAAGTGAACAGCAATTTAATAACACAATTGGATATGCTATTTGTGCTGCATAAATTTACTGTTCCCTTCATAATTTCAGTCCCATTAATATTTTCTCTTCTATGTGTTTTAGTTAACTTCTCTCTTCAAACAGAATATGTACTTTTAAGTATATAACAATATACATATATACATTTATATGACATATTTTCATTATTCTCTAATAAAAGTAAAATAATTTTGGAGAAGCTATTCTCCCTAACTTCTGCTTAGAAAGAAGCAGCTTTATTTCCTTGGGAGAAGCCTTTAACCATCTTCATATCCAAAGAAACTGTAGCTTCTTTCTTTCTCATAATACATTTGAGTATCCTTACGAGTTGCTGGATAGCAGGGCCTGAGAATAAACTTTCAATGTCCCAGCTTATGGTACCACAAAGGAATCCCCTTAGGATAAATCTTAGGCTTTTAGTTTTCCACCCCTTCCCTTCTTCTTCTCCTATTTCTGTTCAAGATGGCACCAAAGCATATGAGGAGATAGGGAGAGTGGTAACTAGACCTTCACTGGTCCTTGCTGGAGCCTGACTAGTCAGGTCTGTTTACAAAGCTGGTGGCCAGCAAGGTACTGAGTCCCACATGGACTTAGAGCATCACATTTGTACCCACAGCCATTACTAGTGCATGATCCTGGTCATTGCCCCTGTGAAAGTTGCCCATGTTCTATGGAATCCTAAGCCCTACTCCAGGCCTTATTAAGCCCTTATCCCTTTACCATCCTATCCATCTATCTCACTGTCCTCTTCCAGAACTCCATCCCATTGCCTTCCTGAGATGCTGGACCACTGTGGGCAGCTGCTCTTGGAAGAAGAATGCTATCGTCTTCTTCAAACCCCTTAAAGTCTCAGCTTCTCTCATACTTTTGGAAATTCTCAAGATTGAATAGAGTAAGCTTCTGCTTCTTCCTCAGTATCATTAGTTCTTTCTATACTACAGAGGAAATTCCAATCTGAACATAAGGGAAATATATTTTGGATTAATAAATTCTTCTAAAAGTATCTGTATTAGTCTGTTTTCATGCTGCTGATAAAGACATACCAAGACTGGGAAGAAAAAGAGGTTTAATCGGACTTACAGTTCCACATGGCTGGGGAGACCTCAGAATCATGGCAGAGGGTGAAAGGTATTTCTTACATGGCAGCAGCAAGAGAAAATAAGGATGCAAAAGTTGAAACCCCTGATAAAACCATCAGATCACATGAGACTTGCTCATACCATGAGAACAGTATGGGGGAAACCACCCCATGATTCAAATTATCTCCCACCAGTTACCTCCCACAACACAAGGGAATTATGGGAGTACAATTCAAGATGAGATTTGGATGGGAACACAGAGCCAAACCATAGCATTCCACCCCAGCCCCTCCAAATCTCACGTCCTCACATTTCAAAACCAATCATGCCTTACCAACAATCCCCCAAAGTCTTAACTCATTTCACCATTACCTCAAAAGTCCACAGTCCAAAGTCTCAGAGAGAGAAGGCAAGTGCCTTCGGCCTATGAGCCTTTAAAATCAAAAGCAAGCTGGTTACATACTAGATACAATGGGGGTACATGTATCGGGTAAATACAGCTGTTCCAAATGGAAGAAATTGGCCAAAACAAAGGGTTTATAGAGCCCATGCAAGTCCAAAATCCAGCAGGGCAGTCAAATTTTAAAGCTCCAGAATGATCTCCTTTGACTCCAGGTCTCAGGTCCAGGTCAGGCTGATGCAAGAGATGGGTTCCCATGGTCTTGGGCAGCTCTGCCCCTGTGGCTTTGCAGGGTACAGCCTCCCTCCTGGCTTCTTTCACAGCTGGCGTTGAGTGTCTACAGCTTTTCCAAATACGTGGTGCAAGCTGTTGGTGGATCTACCATTCAGGGGTCTGGAGAACGGTGGCCCTCTTCTCACAGCTCCACTAGGCAGTGCTCTAGTAGGGAAACTGTGTGGGGGCTCCAACCCCACATTTCCCTTCTATACTGCCCTAGAAGAAGTTCTCCATGAGGGCCCCACCCCTGCAGCAAACTTTTGCCTGGGCATCCAGGTGTTTCCATACATCTTCTGAAATCTAGACACAGGTTCCCAAACCTCAATTCTTGACTTCTATGCACCCGCAGGCTGAATGCCACATGAAAACTGCCAAGGCTTGGGGTTTCCACCCTCTAAAGCCACAGCCCAAGCTGTACTTTGGCCCCTTTCGGCCACAGCTGGAGCAGCTGGGACACACAGCACCAAGTCCCTTGGCTGCACACAGCACAGGGACCCTGGGCCAGGCCCATGAAACCATTTTTTCCTCCAGGACCTTGGGCTTGTAATGGGAGGGGCTTCTGTGAAGGTCTCTGACATGGCCTGGAGACATTTCCCCCATGGTCTTTGAGATTAACATTAGGCTCCTTGCTACTTAAGCAAATTTCTGCAGCCAGCTTGAATTTCTTCCCAGAAAATGAGTTTTTCTCTTCTATTGCATAGTCAGGCTGCAAATTTTCCAAACTTTTATCTTCTGCTTCCCTTTTAAAACTGAATGCCTTTAACAGTACCCAAGTCACCTCTTGAATGCTTTGCTGCTTAGAAATTTCATCCACCAGATACCCTAAATCATCTTAAGTTCAAAGTTCCACAAATCTCTAGGGAAGGGGCAAAATGCTGCCAGTCTCTTTGCTAAAACATAAGAGTCACCTTTACTCCAGTTCCCAACAAGTTCCTCATCTCTATCTGAGACCACCTCAGCCTGGATTTTATTGTCCATATCACTACCAGCATTTTGGGCAAAGCCATTCAACAAGTATCTAGGAAGTTCTAAACTCTCCAACATTTTCCTGTCTTCTTATGAGACCTTCAAACTGTTCCAATCCCTGCCTGTTACCCAGTTCCAAAGTCGCTTCCACATTTTTGGGTGTCTTTTCAGCAACACCCCACTCTACTGCTACCAATCTACTGTATTCATCTGTTTTCACACCGCTAATAGAGACATACCCGAGACTGGGAAGAAAAAAGAAGTTTAACTGGACTTAAAGTTCCACATGGCTGGAGAGGCCTCAGAATCATGGCAGAGGAAGAAAGGCACTTCTTACATGGTGGCGGCGGGAGAAAATGAGGCTGCAAAAGAGGAAACCCCTGGTAAAACCATCAGATCTCATGAGACTTATTCACTACCACGAGAACAGTATGGGGGAAGCCATCCCCATGATTCAAATTATCTTCCACAGAGTCCCTCCCAAAACATATGGGAATTATAGGAGTACAATTCAAGATGATATTTAGGTGGGGACACAGAGCCAAATCGTAGCAGTATCCATGTTTCAATAACGTAAAATTACCATCTTCCAATCCCCAGCCCATGCCCTGAGCTCTAGCCACCTTAAACCTTGTCTTTCTGCTGATTGTTTCTGCCACGTGGAACATACAAGCTCTATTCCTCCACCTGAGTAGCTTTTCCTTGTCCTCTGAGAGGCCTGCAAAGTGAATCTTCCCCGGATAATCTTTCCTGCTTTGTCCAGACCAGAATAAGTTACTCAGCGGCTCCTTTCAAAGTGTCCTACCTGTTGCTCTCACTGTGCCATGGCTGCTGTCTATATCCATGCTAAGCAGTAGAAATATAATGCAAGCCACAAATCCAAGTTGCATATGTAATTTCACATTTTCTACTAGCCACATTTTAAAAAATTTAAAATAGGTGAAATTAATCTTAATATATTTTATGTAACCCAACATATCAAAAATATTTCACCATGTAATCAATATTGAAAAATTATTAGGTGTTTTTTGTTCTAAATTCTTTGAAATTCACCGTGTATTTACATTTACAACGCATCTCAATTCAGACTAGACGTGTTTCAGGGGCTCAGTAGCCACATGTGGTTAGTGGCTCACGTGTTTATTGCACCATGAATCTACGTGTGGTTGAGTCTGTGTAAGCATGCCTAGCACTGTTAGGTACTCAGGAAACGTTTGTAGAATGAACTGTGAAGAAAAGCTCTTATTAACCAAAGAGTTACAATTCTGGGTGAATATTAAACACTTCTGGGAATTCTAGTTTCAGGAGAGAAAACTGGTTGTGTTAATTAAGTCATTCATGGGAAAACAAAAGTGAGAAAAACCCAAAAGAAAAATAGCAAAGAAGATGAAGCTAATATGGCATCTCTGCCACTCCAGAAATGTTACTGAAAAACATTCAAAACACCTGAGAGTGCCGGTCTGCTCAGAGGGAGAGGCAGCTACCTTTCTTTATCCCCTCCCCTCCCCACCCCACCCCCACCATCTTTCTGTTCTGGCTCGGAAGAGAGAAAAATTTAGTGATGTGACTGGCAGAAAAGACATAGCAAATGAGACATCTTGCTGGAACTAGCAAAAGACAGTGCTCCAAAAAGGTGTTAGCTTCGGTGTGGGGTAAGCTCCTAATTACAGATCCGCTGCTGCTGGAGGGAAGAGGCTGGAGTTAACACAAGAGCCTTGAAACACATGGGATTTTTCAAGAGACGCATCAAGGCTTCTAAAATATAAAGTTGTTGGAAGCTACCTTCTGGCAAGTTGCATGAGTGAACTTTAAACCTCCAGACTCAGAAGTAAAAGGGATTCGGACTCTGAAATAGTTGCATTTAGTTAAATAAGTATGACTGGAGCGCAAGGCAGAAGTGTTACTGGGGGAGGGGGACTCACTTGCTCTTTGTTTTGATTTTATTGTTCTGATTTTAAATTGTTGATTTTATAACATTTTCCTGGGTAATACGGAAAAATACCTGTGCTAACCAATGAAGTCCTAGTTTTGTACATAGAAAGCAAAAATTAGCAGCATGGAGTGGTTTTATCTGGAAGATTTTGAGTCCTTTATTGGAAATTCTTGACAAGCATAGGAAAAGCACCATCTCCAGGTGAATATCCTACCACCGGCAGCTACCGACTTGGCTCTGGTTCCTCACAAGAGTTTGAGAGAAGTCTTAAACAATTCATTTCACTTGTGGATGACATCACAGAATTTTCTCTAGTGAATGACCTGGTAATTTTAGTAAGTGATTTACTTTGTTCACAAAATGCCAACATTTATTCAATTCAATGGAGGGAAAAATCGGGCCAGTGTTTGGATATTACATATTCATAGACAGTTTGATTAAAGTGCCCTTATTTTCAACGTGCAACAAGGTCCTTATCTGTATATTTTTAAGTATCCAACTTTTAGTCATTGAGGAAAAAAATGGGCACTGGAATAGCTTCGTAATTGAAATCTACAAATAATCTAGCATTTCAATCTAGCAAAATGTTTCCCTTTACTACTTACTAATAAGAAGCAAAAAGACTGATTTACATTCCACTATGGATTTCTCATGGTCTCCATTACCCTTGTTATCACTGTCCCCATTAGCACAGATAATTGAGAAGTATGTGTACCTCACCGTTAAATGATGAGATCTCATTCTTTACCTCCCACCCAGCACAAATTGCTGCTCATCCTCAGTAAATAGCTATTTACAAAAATGATTTACCTGCTTATGCACATGGCTCCATGCTGTTTATTATGGTGACACCCTTTTAAAAATGGTTTTTAAAACTAGTGATATGGAAGCTGGTCTCAGTAATAAGAGCCCTCCTGAGTTAGAAGGTTAATTGTTGAAGGGAGATGCTCCCTCAGAAACATGTCATAGATTTTTATTCTTTAAGGCATAATTGCATGTAGGATGCAAGGTAATAAGGAAGACAGAGCAAAGGAAAAATATTTGTTTTCAAACAGGCTCAAAGGCAGAAAGGGTAAGAGAAGAAGCAGTTAATTAGGAAGGGTCATCTCACAGTTTTATTACATTGTTCATAATTTTGCCCTAAAAACTGGCCATCCTAAGTGGTCTTGTCACTCTGCACCAGACATGAGCTAAGAATAAGATTTTGTTGGAAGGTCGGGGAAAATCCCAAAAGGCCATCCCAAAAGAGCAATACTAAAAGGTAAAGTTGGAAGACAAGACGTGCCACACTTGAATGTGGCAGCTCATTGGTGGCTTCCAGTGGGGCTCAGTTATGAGTGTCAGAAAATCAGTAACAGATGGGGAAATGATCTCTTATGTTTGGGCCTCTGGAATAATTAATAGGTTCAGCATGTTAATACAAAATGTGCAGCTGAAGCAGAGGAAATAACTGAAGAGAAGTTTCCTAGAGACCCACACAAGAAAGGTCTTGTGTAGAAATAGTTTAGTTTTTCTTTTTTTCTGGTTTAATAGGGCCTGGCTATCATGAAAATTGCTCTACTTTCTTACAATATTTTATCTATCTGTATTCTCTCTCCCATAATAATGCCCCTTGAGTTATACAATTGTCATGCCTGCCTTTTCCTGAAAAGATGGGTTTATGCTGAAATGAGACTCGGTATTGGAGTCAAATGACCTACAGTCCCATCCCAGCTTCACTACTTACCTGCTCTGCTGAGTCTCAGGGCTTCAGGACTGTCCTGTATAAAATAGGGAGACTAATATCTATCTCACAGGATTGTAGGTGCGATTAAATGAGATGATGCTTTTCAATTCTCTGGTTGATACCAAAGGATCTAGAAACTTTTTCCTTCCTCCCTTATCTAGTTTACCTCTTTGGTGCCCCCAATCTTACTCTGAATCAGAATTTTCTACCATCTGAATGTCCTTCAAAAACTTACCCTCCTATCTTTAAAATAATCCCCCAAATTGCACTCATTCCATTCCATAAGGCTTTGCTCAGTTAAGTAGATTAGAACCTAGGACTACAAACATTCCCTCCCCTGCACAACTAGCAAAACTCTGGGAACTAAAATTCCAGCTTTCTATGAAGTAGGGGGTGGCTCCTTCCCTTTGACTCCTCCCAGCCCAATTAGGCCCTTTAAAACAAGAGAATCTGGGGAGAAGCCACTAAAGTCAGCAGGGTCTGGGCAAAGGCCAAGACTTTTTATTTTCCCTCCCTCCATCTGCTTCTGGTTGTTGCCAGGAGATAGCTAGGGGCAGATTCTGCAGGTTTTAATCAAGAAAACGCAGTTTCCCTCTAATCAAGTTTACGTGGTTTTCAGAGGGGTAGATAATTTAGCATCCTAAGCCGTTTAGGAAGATGTCTCTGCTGTAAGAGTTCTTATCCAGAACTACAGATTTCTTAGTGTAATTTCCTATGAATTAGTTCATTGAGTCCTTAGAAAATGCTTGTGTAGATTTTAAGAGTCACAATTTTCCCATTCAGATGTTGTGCTAGTTTTAACCTGTCAGGTTATAAATATCCAAGTGAGCTCTTCTCTATTTTTAAGTGATTTTTTTTTTCAATCAGTTGCCCTAAAAATATAGCCAGGATACAAAGCCAGCAAACCTAGTAAATTCTTCCAGTTGCAGCTTTTCAGATAAGTCATCTCTCTATCGCTTATGTATCATTGTGAATCTGAAATACCAGTAAATCCATGCAATTACTATAACCAATGGAGGATAATTAGATTCATTTACTTGTTCATTCAGTACCATATGAAGCACCTTTGTAATAAATACTCATTGCCTCTGGAATGCATGCTAAGGGCATATGGCAAAGGCATAGGTAAAAGTCACTAACACATAAGTCCTAATCCTTTGCTCTAAGACTGTTCGTCTCAGAATGCACTCCCAGAACTGCAGCATTAGTATCATCTGGGAACTTGTTAAATATGGAAATTCTCAGGACCCAGCCCATATCTACATACAGAATCAGAAAAACTCTAGGGGTGAGGCCCAGCAATCTATTTTAACAGGCTTCCAGGTGATCCTGATACACACTAACATTTGCAAAACACTGCTCTCTAAGATTCATCTTAAAGTATATTACTCATTTTTCTTAATAACCTCATATTTAGGGCTGGGCATGGCGGCTCACGCCTATAATCCCAGCACCTTGGGAAACTGAGGAGGGAGGATCACCTGAGGCCAGGAGTTCAAGGCTGCAGTGAGCCATGATTGCACCACGGCAGCCTGTGCGACAGAGCAAGACCCCAATTCAAAACAAACAGACAAACAAATAACCTCATATCTAGATGATAAATACACTGCACATTTATTAGAATTGAACTACATAACAATTCAAAGGTATCACTAGCCTCTAGGTAGAACGGACATAATACCTTCCTCATGAAGCCCCATCACACCGTTAGCTCCTGCCCACCTCTCAGAGCTCCTCCTCCAGGCAGGCTTCCTTAACCCTCGTGGACTCTGTAGTATGCCCTTCTGCTTTCTCTCACCACACCTGCTGTATTAGTCTCTTTTTATGCTGCTAATAAAGACATACCCAAGACTGGGAAGAAAAGGAGGTTGAATTTGACTTACAGTTCCACATGGCCGGGGAGGTCTCACAATCATGGCGGAGAGCAAAAGGCACTTCTTACATGGTGGCAGCAAGAGATAATGAGGAAGAAGCAAAAGCAGAAACCCCTGATAAACCTATCAGATCTCGTGAGACTTATTCAGGATCACAAGAGTAGCAAGGGAAAGACCAGGCCCCATGATTCAATTACCTCCCCCGGGTCCCTCCCACAACACGTGGGAATTCCGGGTGATACAATTCAAGCTGAGATTTGAATGGGGACACAGCCAAACCATATCACCTGCATTTCCCCCATCTTGACAACTACTGCACTTTCTGGTAACTTTTCTATGAGGGTGCAAATGATATATTGTTCTCCATTGACTCTTCAGTGCTTACTGCAGTGCTTAGCATATTATGTGATCAATATATATTTAATGAGTAAATGAATAAGTGATGTCATATATAAGCAGGCAGATTTAGTTATGAGATTTACAATTATGATACGTTATCAATTATATAAATTGTTTTCAGAAACTCTAAGATAAAAGGAGAAAAGACTTAATTTGAGGAAAATTTTCAGTCTTTTTTCCTCTATCAATTAGCTATTTTGTTGCAAGTTTTTGATGTGATCAGCACTCAAAGACATATTTATTTTAGTGTAATATTTGATGCTGAAGAAGTCAGTTTTTCTTGTGATTCTTCATTGATAATTTAAACCAGAACACAGTTTGATTTTTATCAATATCAAAAAGGCAATAAGAGAGGCAGATAAATGACACAGAAAAAACACTGGGCCAGGCCCAGTGGCTCATGCCTGTAATCCCAGCACTTTGGGAGGCCGAGGCAGGCAGATCACTTGAGACCAGGAGTTTGAGACCAGCGTGGCCAACATGGCGAAACCCCATCTCTACTAAAAATACAAAAACAAAAAAGGTGGCACACACCTGTAATCCCAGCTACTTGAGAGGCTGAGGCACGAGAATCACTTGAAGCCAGGTGGTGGAGGATGCAGTGAGCTGAGATTGTGCTGCTGTACTGCGGCCTGGGTGACAGAGCAAGACCCTGTCTAAAAAAAAAGAAAGAAAGAAAGAAAGAAAAGTAAAAAGAAAAAAACACTGGACTTGGATCCCAAAATATAGATTGCAATCCTATTTCTGATACAAATAATCCATCTTGTTACCTCTAGAAAGTCAAGTCACCTCAATATTTCATCTGCAAGATGAGATTTAAGAATATCTGCCCAATCCACAACAAGAGATTAGTGGCAGACCATGAGGTCAAGAGATCGAGACCATCCTGGCCAACATGGTGAAACCCCCTCTCTACCAAAAATTCAAAACTTAGCTGGGCATGGTGGCACATGCCTGCAGTCCCAGCTACTCAGGAAGCTGAGGCAGGAGAATCGCTTGAACCTGGGAGGCAGAGGTTGCAGTGAGCCAAGATCGTGCCACTGCACTCCAGCCTGGCGACAGAGTGAGACTCCATCTCAAAAAAAAAAGAAGAAAGAGAAAGAGAAAGAGAAGGAAAGAAAGAAGGAAAGAAAGAAAGAAAGAAAGAAAGAAAGAAAGAAAGAAAGAAAGAAAGAAAGAAAGAAAGAAAGAAAGAAAATAGTGAATATGAAATTACTTTGCAAATTTCATAGTACAATACAAGAATAAGAAATCATTATTTGTTACCATTTTTTAAATGGTCTTGTTGGGTTAACTGGAGCTTAATTAACTTAATCAGTGGAGGTGAAGAGTCAAGACTCTACAAGGAGACAGATACATTTTCTCTGTGGTGCAAGATCACATCTAGTAAAATGTACATTTGGCCTATTTGTATAGAGGATCCAGTACCTTCCCTGACTATTCTAACTGGTCTTCCACAAAATGACATTTTTTCTAAACTTTTAGACATTAATGTCACCTAAACTGTTCTAACAGTCTTTGATCAGTAACCATAAACCCCTGCTGAGTTCTTAATGAGAATTCTAAACCTAACAAAATAAATGAGTTTTCATTATACTCCAATGTTTTTTTGAAAAACCAAATATCATAAGTAAAATTATGAATCTAAAAGTTATATAGAAACAAGGAAATAATCTGCAACCAAACTAGAGTTTAATCACATTTTAGGTCAATAAATGACTGGATTCTCTTCTCTCTTTCATGATCTAAATTCTATCATTATGTCAAGTTCAGTATAAGCCTTATTTCTGCCATAAAGCTGCCCCCAACTCTGGCACCCCATAACAACTTTTCCTCCCGTTATATTCTTTAATGTTTGTGGTGGAGATTATTAATGCTCACCAAATACTGGCAACATACAGTCATAATTCCAAACCTTCCTCAGAGTTAGATTTGAGTCAGTGAGCTAGTTCTGCCCAATGAACTGGAGAGGAAGTGATATGTAAGTCAAGAGCTCTTGTACTTCTTCCACTTCTCTACTCCCTTGTTGAGCTACCTTGGAAGCCACAGAAGAGATTTCCTCCAAATGTAGAACTACACTAGATCCTGGAAATCTGCATGGAGGAGAGATATCCTGAAAATTGCCCCAACATGCACTGACTTATGTCCAAGTGGGAAATATACTTTAATCATGTAAAGCCACTAAATTTAAGGCTATATTTATTATCACAGCATAACCTGGCCTATCCTCACTAATAGAAGTACATAGTAGGCACTGCACAGATTCACAGTTAATTATATATCATTCTAAAGTGTATTCAATTTTTAAAATTTAACAGAAATAGGTAGCTCAATGTTGGTCCTCAAGGATCTATAGCACAACAAAGGAAACAGAATTATAAATACATGGATTGATGAATGTAGTTTTATATGTGCCTGTGAATACATACATATGATAAAGAAAGACATGCAATAAAAAGACATTTAACTCTCCCTGTAATGGGGAAAGGGAGAGATTCCAGAAAAGCTTACTACAAGAAGTAATACTAAAGACGTATTTGTTCCCTTGACAAAATATAGTGCACGCTTCCTTGTGCCAAGCACTGCATTGGTTAAATTTTGAGGACTAGCATTTATTAGAAGGGGAAAAAAAGGAAAGGAAGAAAGAGAAAGAAAGGAAAGGAACAGAAAGGAAAGGAAAGGAAAGCAAAGGAAAGGAAAGGAGGAAGGAAGGAAGGAGAGAAAGAGAGAGAAAGAAAGAGAAGGGAGAGAAAGAAAGAAAGAGAGAGAGGAAGAAGAAGGAGGAGGAGGAGAAGAAAGGAAGGCAGACAGGTGTTCTTAGCACAGGAAGCAGTAGGCACAAAAAGGAGATCAGAAACAAGTGAGTTTCTTCAGAATGTTTACACTATTTACATTGACAGGTATAAAATATAATGATGATAGGAAATGAATATGGAGAGGTGACCATTTCTAGAAGGGTCTTATATACCACTATAAGGAATTTTGATTTTAAACTGTCAACAATGGAAAGAAAGTAGGAGACGTATCAAATCTATCTCTTGGAAAGATCACGGCCTTGTCATTTTTGTTTAGGAGGTGATCATGAAATGGAGTCCTAACTAAGAGTCTATTCTGAGAGAAGAGGTGAGAGATTATGAGATGTAGTAATGTGCTAGTAAATATTCAACAGCCAGCTCTCCAGAGGAAAAAAAAATCCTGATTTGTGGCCATTTTTTAAGCTCCAAAATGATGCCATTGGACATGAAGTAGGGAAGAGAAGTTCACAGTTGTACAAGCCAGCTCTGGCACAAAACTGACATTGAGATAGCACCGTTGCATCACCTGCAAGTTACTGACACGTTAAGTGCATAATTAATAGACAGTTATCGAATAAATGAATGATTATGGGCATACAAACAGAAGGAAGAAGGCAGATTACAGAAATATTTATAAGTAAAATCAAAAGCATATGGTGACCAGAGATTTTTTAAAATGACTACTAGGATAATAATAATGGGACAGATACTTAACTGCCTTTCAGCCTCAGTATCCTCATTTCTAAAATGGGCATAATAACATTTTCTTCAGCATAGTGCTTGAAATACTTGCCCACATATAGGAAAGAGTATGTGCAAAGAATAGGATAAATAAAATAACTTAACATTTTGCAGTAACCATGTATAGTTTCTTAGTTGGAGTATCAGGTCGGAAGAATGACTGGGGAAAGATGAGGTTGAATAAAAGTCAACCTCATTTAGAGGGATTTTTATGCACCATACTGGCATTTATAGACTCCAGACAATAAGTAATAGAGGATCCTTAATAAATATCAAAGTGCAGAGTAACAATTAAATGTACATATTTGGATCATTCTGGGTACCGTACAGGATGTGATGTAGTAATGGAGGCCTGTTCAAATTAGAAACCTATTTGCAGTAGCCCATTCAAGGTATACAAAGTTAAAGGAATTTGTAGAGGGTTTTGTGAAAAGGAGACAGACTAAAAATACACAGAAAGTAGACTAAATGGGACTTGGTGACCATTCGATATGGATGGTGAGAGCAAGTACTGAATGTGGACACCACCCAACAAGAACAGTGGTAAAGTAAGAAGAGAAGGTTTGATAAGGATGTCCATAAGTTTATCTTTAAACTCGTTGGACTCAATGTTCTCGTAGAAGCTTGGGTGGCAACTCTAGGAAGCCTAGAATTCCAAGAAGGGCTTATCACGTTCCTTTTAATAACAAGTATCTCCTCAAACACTCCTATTTTGGTGAGCTTTTTGCAACTTTTTAAAAAATCTGTAAATTGATGATGAAGGTATGCTGGAAAACATATATGCACCTCAGTCACCCTAAGATGCAAAAGAAGGAGAAAACACCGGAAATAAGTGTATATCTCCTACCACTGGAGAAAATAATGTTATCTAAATTGTCAGGTAAAGTTACAAAGATGAAATTGGGTGAAAAGTTCTCAAATGTCTCTTCATCCTCGTAGTCTTCTTTTCTAATCCTACCTTTGGAGAAGACTACGGGAACCTGCCCATATTTGTCTTCTTCACATAAGACCAGAACCAGTTTTGAGATAATAGTTTTCTGGGTTGCTGTTCAAAACCAGAAAGTGGGACAGTAGAGATCCAAGCGGGTTTTTTTTTTTTAAGTATGCTTATTATAGCCCACCGAGGATGTTATCTGGAATGGCAGCAAAAAGTCTTTAGAGAGGAGAGAAACGTTCATTGCTGATTTTATAAATCTCTCCAAAGTTCCTGAAGGCTAATTCTATTCTCACCCAGAGTTCAAAGTCTGACCACCAGACAGAGTGGTTTGAAGTAGAAAAGTAGGATGGAATAATTTCTATACTTTGAAGTCCAGAGAAAGGAGGATCATTTCAGGGGCCTAAAGCACACACACCAAACTCTCTTTCTTTCTCAACACCACTGCAATCAAAGGGCGAGGTTGAATAGAAATTTAAAAACCTTAGAGGAAAATTATCTTCCTGCTTTCAAATCTAGATTTGCTTCCTCTCAAATTATAATTCTTTCTCAACATGGAAAGCCCATTTTCATTGCCCAAAAAACATATGTAAGTCTTAAAAATTAGTACATGCAAAACACAATTATTTCGTATATCTGGCATGGCTGAAATATTTTGCAGTGGTTTTGTTTCCAAAGGAAAAATAAATTTGTATATTTTAAGTTCAAGACATCTAAAAAGTTACAAGTTATAGATAATGTTATAAAAGCCCATAATAATATTTTCACAATGTGGTTTTCCTTTTCCCCAACATATAATGCATTGGGTTGTACACTTCTCATCCGCTATATCGCACGAGGTCATTAACAAATCTTCCAGTTTCTCCTCCTGCACTCTCCAGCCTAGCTTTTTAAAGGCAGCCAGAATTATTTAAATTGCACATCTTTATAATTAATGGTTATAAATGGACTCTCAAGTAGTTAATGGCTTTCTCGAAACTGTGCAACCATGGTAGAGTTTCCAAAGAATACAATTTAATTGATGAATAGACCTAATGGTTTTAATGTAAGTTATTTGATGGGAGGAATTTGATTGTGGATTCTTGGATCCATGAGATCATGAAGCCAAGTGCCTTGCACAAAATTGACATTTTTTCTCTTAAAGAGATTTTCTGTCTCCACTTAAAACATGGATATGCCGTCTTATTTAGCCATTCTACACCTTCACATGGTGTCTGCCTATTATTTCAAAGAAAAAAAAGGAAAATGAAAAAGCTACTTCTGGCTTTAGCATTTATGGCTCCCAGAACCAGAAAATAAAGACTGATGTTAACCGAGTTGATAGCTGGACTGGGAGAAATGTAAAGCTAAGAGCTGGGAGATCTAGTGGACACTAGCACAAAACTTTAAAAGGAAAATGCAACTTCTAAGCAGCACGCAAGTGAGTTGTAAGTCTCTCATGATGTGTGTCTCCAGAAACCCAACTGATCTCAGTATGATTGATATATGAGAATGACCTTGAGGTAGGTGTGAGACTAGTGTTTTTTTGTTGCTTGCTTGTTGTTTTCATGACTTAAAGGAAAGTAGTTCGAGGTGTCAGTTGCTGTACTGCTAATCTTCTCTAGGCCAGCGTGAGCTGAGCACTAAGCTGGAATTCCTGCCTGTCTTTGACAGATTACTAAAATAGCTGCCCTCGGAAGGCTGGTGCTTTTGGGTGTAACTTACTCATTTGCTGCATCCTCCGCATTGCTCCCTAGATCTGCCACTTTCCTCATCAGGGCTACTGCCACAATGTTAGCATCAGATCTGCTTAATGTCACTCTCCTGTAAATGGACCACAGTAAACATATTGGGCAGTCTACAAGAAACGCTGGAGATGAACAATTTAGCCTTAATATCTGTCAGTGAGAGCAGGGACCATCTGGACAAGGCAGTTAATGATCAGCATTACAGCAGCATGCATTGCTAGGCTTAGCTATAATCTCTGGGCCTCAGTTTAACAAATGTAGGGGAACTGAGAGGGAATTTGAGCAATACAGCAAAAGATCCCCCAAGGTCCTGAAAGAATGAAAAAAGATTGAGTCTCACCTGGCAGTAACTAAAATATCCACACATTGTCACTCTCAAACAACAGACACAGCCCAGTTTAGGGCAAAAGCGAAGAGGATTAAGGTTAACTGCTTTGGAAATTTAAATATTCCTCTTTTTCCCTGCCCTCCTCCCCTCCCCACCCACCCAAAAAAGAGAGAGCTTTTGCCAGCATTACTCAGACACCTGAAATCTGCTGTTGACCATAGAGAATCAATTAATTCTTGCTGGGGCTCATGATGTAGGCTGGTAAAAAGAACCCCTATTTATTTATTAGCTTTAGCCTTTGGATGAGCTCTAGGAAGAAGAGTGCAGGAAGGAGAGAAGCTTTTATCCGGACAAAGGCGAAAGATTGAGATTCATTGGAAATAGTCCTAAAGGTCAAGGGGAAGTGGCCCCAATCATAAAAACCCATTCCTAAAAAAGTACATTTAATGTTTTCAAAAATTAATGCTACAATGGTTTTAATGATAGGTCATTTTATTCATTATGCTGAAATTGAGTTTCAAAAGCATTATCCATTTTGTTTTTCAGGAACTAAAGAAGTAGAGAAAACATTTCACAACATTTTGGTGGTTTTGTTTGCTTTTTTTCTTCAAGATTTTAGTTATCAGAACCATGAGTTTAAACAATAACAAGAAAAATGCAACTTTATATACACAGTCAGAACTTCCTCATTTCAAAATGAAATAAGTATTATTGAGTTTGCGATTAGGTCTTAAGCATTTATCTATGCATTTAACAGGAAACTTTCCAGGAACATTTGCACAAGCCGAACAGCCACATGTCATCTACATACATCAAGGATGGAAAACACCTTGTTTGCCTGCTACCACTGTCCCCATGGCATTTCCCATGGCAAACTTTCTTAATTGTCCATAACCCTGTTTCCCAGTGCACTCAAAGAGAGCTTCACAATCCTTCTTAACACATCCAGTTGCAATCCTTGTCTCAGGAGGCAAGCTGAATCTATTTTTATTTATATCAGACATACTATAAGTTCCAGGGAAAATATTTCGGATGGGAAAAATATAGGAAGAAAAGAAGGAAAAAATGAATTATTTAGTGCTTGTTATATATAAAATGTTTACTTTATGTACCTTATGTATTTAGCTCTCACAACAACACTTATGTATTTGATTTACCAACAAGTCAAAGGCCGAGAACCAAAAGCAACTTAAAGTCCTCCCACCCTCCTTCATGTGATTATAATATAAATTAGTTTTACTATTCCATAAAAAGTAGAGGAGATGATTTGGAAAAAAAAAATTTAAAGTATACCATGTCCTCTAGCAATTATATCAGGTATCAAAAACCTGGCAAGAGAAGAGAAGAGAGAAGAGAAGAGAAGAAAAGAGAAGAGAAGAGAAGAGAAGAAAGGAGAGGAGAGGAGAGGAGAGGAGAGAAGAGAAGAGAAGGCATTAAAGAAAATGTGTGTGTAGCTTTTATTCAACGAAAATGGAACAAACAACACCACTTGGAGTGCCCATGAGGCTATGATTATCCTAAGTCCAAGTACCAAGAGTGCAGTTAAAAATAAGAAGGAAGAAGAAAATCAAGTTGGGTACAGTGGCTCACATCTTTGGGAGGCTTAGGCAGGAGGATAGCTTGAGCCCAAGAGGTTGAGGCTGCAGTGAGCTGAGACTGCACCACTGCACTTCAGCCTGGGTGGCAGGGCCAGACCCTGTCTCAAAAAAAGAAAGAAAACTACTCCATCTACATGTCCATCTCATGAGTCTTCCAACCCTTCCTGAAAACTCTTGGACTCTCCTCACAGACTGCAGATTTTCTGAAAGCATCCACTCTTTATCAACACTCTACTCTTCCCGTGTTCAGCTTCAGAGATGAGAAGAGTGCTGCCTGAAATTCCTCCAGTAGTAGAAACCCCAGTTCTATGATTGGACTAACAGCTGAAAACACTTCCTCAGGACACCATGGAGACTGAGGTCCTTTTCCATTTCTTACAAAAAATCAACATCCTTTACTTTGGAATTTTCTGTAACTTTGCCATCTAAAAGGAATGATGCTTCACAGCATTGGTGCCTTTCATAGTGGGCTTTTGCAAATTTTTACCAGTAAATTGTTTTTACAGGTGAGGAGCTGAGGTTCCCAGGGGTTAGATAACTCACTCCATGCTACATGGCTAGTGAGGGTTTGCTCAGCATTTAAACCCAAATTTGCCCATTTCCAAAAAAAAAAAACAAAAGCAAAAAACATGCATTTTTATTTACACAATGGTAGCAAGTAGACTTCTATGAACTTAGAGATAGACACTGTCAATTCAAAGACACTTTGGACTGCTCTCTGCTAATTGTGTTCATTGTACATAAATCCACTCCTGGCCTCTTCAACCATAAGTTTTGATTTCAAGGGATCTGCCCCATAGAACCTTCAAGCATGGCCTTAGTCTTATAACCATTTTCTGGTCCCTCGAATACTAACAAATCACATTTGTAGCACTTCATAATTTAATAAAAGTAAATTATCCCTCAAAAGTAAGGAATCGTATCCACTTCTTAATGACTGAGAAAGAATTAAATATCCTGCCCAAGATCACAGATAAGGAAAAGCTCAAGACTTGAACCTAAACTTGTGATGACCATTTCAAACTTTCTTCTATTAAATTATGCTATTAGGTAAGTTTGATATTCACCAGAAGAGAGACAGAGATAAAGAGTAATGAGAGTTGAAAGGGCCAAATCAGGAATGAGTTATTGATGTGGTGGCATTTGAACTGTCTTTAAAAAGAGTGTTTTAACATGTAGATATAGGTGGAGAGGAATTTCAAGTAAAAATGAGGATAAACAAAAAGACTTAACAAAGAATAATAGATCTGGGAAGGGACTAATAAGTTCTATGTATCTAGAGCAAAAATAAAGTAGGTTAGTGCCAGATTACAAAGGAGGACATAATTCATCTCAAGAATATTTTTCTTTGGGTAAACGGTTTTTGAAAAGATACTATAATGAACAATTTTATGTTTTGGGAAGATATTTTACTTGAAGCCATGCAAACACTAGGTTAGAAATAGCAGGGGGAAAAAACAAGGTGTCTGGTGCTAATCCAGTGAGAAATTAAGTGAGTCTGAAATGAAGCAGAGGCTCTGTGGGAATGGAGGCCCTGAGGAGGATGGAGGACAGGAGCAAAAGAGAAGAGCTTGTGGAAGAGTTTGAGGTGCCTGGTTTGAGCATCAGGATGACTCGTGAGGTAATTAGCTGACGTCGGTGATTTAAGTAATTTAGGGAGAAAATTAATTAGCTTGGCTTTGAACTTACTGAATTTAGGTGCCTTCATCCCACCAGTCTGTTGGAAATATGGAAGTACAGCACACAGTGTCAAATGAGAGTAGACAAATAGATAAATGCTGGAGTCACTACTTAATAGGTGCTATGCACAGACAACAACAAATAGTGTATTTGGCCCTGAAAATGGTACCCAAAGAGGAAGTTTTGAAAAATCTTGTTGAAGACTTGATGTGAATGTGAAGAGCTTTGTTGGCTTAAAGGGCTTGGAGTTTTATTATAGCAAGCCATTGTGTGTCATATTTGGTTGTGAAGGTTGGAGACCATGCCATTAATACCAAGAGCTGGAAGAAGGTGAGTTTGGGAGTGTTCTGTGAGCACACAAGTGAAAAACAAGTACAGAAGGTGCTGTGGCTGCTGGCCTCATGCGCAGCCTGCAAATTCTCCTTCTCAGTTATAATAACAGCACTCAGCCGTGTGGCACGTTTTCACTCTTGGAAAGAAGTTTATTTCCAAAATTAGGTTTTTCTTCTAAAAGGTTTTTGAGTCCTACGAGATAATTAGGAAACCATGCCTCAAAACAGAATCTGACGTAACCCGCTTTGTTTTCACTTTCAAAGGATGGTTTTTCAGAGTTTGTCAGACTTTCAAGCTCTGAGACAGGCCAAAAAAAATTTTTTTTTCAAAATTTCAGGGTAGGGACCATGACTGGTAGAACATTTTATTTCTCATGGCACCTAGCTCGAAACTGTTCACAAATAAATAAATAAAGACAAGTGCAAATCTTGATAATGTCAAAATTATACCTTATTAGCAGGTTATGATGAGGAGTGGGGGAACCTGAGATACCAGATTTTAACGGGCAGACTTTACATGTAAGGACTAGTTCTCACACAGGTTTTGTTGATACTGCAAAACTTCCAATTGCTAGAACTTTTTTTTTTTCATCTATTTGAAGCAAATGCTAAGTGAAAAGTGACAGGATGCTACGCCTTCAAGATAGGTCTGTGCCTGTTGGAGAAGAGTCTGCCATTACGACTGCAACAGCACTTCACCAGCTAAGGCTGGCAAAACAGAGGAAAAGCTGTGCCCCACCTGGGAATGAGGAGCGTATTTCTCTTAAGCATCCCAGGGAAAAGAAAAATACCGCAGTGGCCTGTCCTCAAATTAGATTATAAATGCACAAAGCAGGGCTCCTCTCCATCTTTCAAACTTGATGAGCTCAGAATTGCTGGTGCTGTCCCCTGGCATCTTAAACTCGCCCCTTCCTCCTTTCTTATCACATTTCTAAATTCTTCCCTAGGCTTCCAAATCGAACTGGGCCCCATCCCATCTGGGGAGATTTCTTTCACCATCTCCATCCAGCCCACTTTCTTCTCTCACTCCTTTAGCTTTACATCCTTCCCTGGGATGTAAGACCACCTGGTATTTGTGCTTCGTGAACTAGCCTTTTCAAGGCATTGATGTTTTGCTTCCCCAGTAAGGATTGAAGGCAAATAAATAGCATCCCATCTTACTTTGTATAATACCAACAGCCCAGTGAGTACAAACTGCTTAACCTGTTCATCTCTTTCCTGAGAATAGATCAAGTTATACATAATCATATGTTAAGTTTTTAAATTCAGCACCCATGTAAAGATAAATTATTTTTTACTTGGACAATAAGTCATATAACCACTTTCCAAAGCAAATACTTTCTAAAATCAGGGGGGAAAGGGGGACAAATCAATCCCCGATGGGCAGCAGGAGAGAAGACCGCATATAAAAACAGCATTTATCAGAATCTACATTTTAAACTTTGCAACTGTTGATGGTTTAGGACAGGTTTTCCTTCTGGGCTTCATAAAAACTGAGACCAGCCAGGAATAACGGGTACAATAAAACAATGAGAATTGTGAGTGTATTCTTCAAAGAGCACTGACTATGCCAGACAACAGCATGTGGGGTTTGTGGGTGCCACCATCAAGTGATTGAATACTTTTTGAGGCTTATGATTAAAAGTTCTAGAAAATTCTAGGATTATTGTATCTTTAAAAGTCCTGCATCTTGGCTATGGCCACGTCTTTAAAAAGCATTACAAAATGGAGTTTTATTCTCCCTTCCACGACTCGACTTCGCAGACCACTTGAGTAAAGAGAAGGAGTGGGATGCTTGTTTTTCTCCTATCCTCTCCTCCAATTAATTTGTCACAGGAGACTTTAGTTTCCCTTGTTGTGTTTTGGCCCCTGGCTCCACCGCAGGCCATGCAGGTGATGACCCTGGAACAAAATGGGGACATTCTCTGTGCCTAATTGGAAGCAAGTTCACACACCCACTCCTTCTCCAAGGTAGGCCAGCTTCTCACTTCCCCACAGCGTTCCTTAAATTTATAGAAAGCAAGAAGAAAATACAAGATTAGCAGAGCAAACCACAGAGCAATGGCACCAAATGGAAGACTGGCCTAAGATCAGTAGCATTTCTAAGAACTCACAATTATCCCAATAGGAAAAAAAGAAGATAAAATGACAAATATTCCAAAGCAAATTTATGTTTTACCAATATATGTGTTCTGGTGTTTGAGATCCAAAAGCTGGTTCTTTCTCTTGTAGATTTTCACTGGGAAATTCAAATTTGCTTCCATTCCTTGATAACCCAGAGAGGTAAGTGTAATTGTTTCCTACTGCACCAGTAACAAATTACCACAAGCTTAGTGGTAGTTTATTCTCTTACAGTTTTGGTCAGAAGTCTAAAATCAAGGCACTTGGCACAGCTGCACCAAGCCTCTTTCTTCTGGAGGGTTTAGGAGAGAATGGGCTTCCTTATTTTTTCCAGCATCTAGTGGCTGCCTACATTCCTTGGCTCATGGTCTCTTCCTCCAACTTCAAAGCCCATCACTCCAACCTCTGGTTGCATAAGCATATCTTTTCCTCTCTGACTCCAACTCCACTGCTTTCCTCTTATAAGGACCCTTGGGATCACATTAGATCCACCTGAATAGCCCAAGGTAATCGCCCCATCTCAAGATCCTTAACTTAACCACATCTGCAGTCCCTTTTGCCGTCTTAAGTAACATGTTAACAGGATCCAGGTATTAAGACATAGACCTCTTTGGTAGGTAATTATTTAGGCCACCACAGTAGCCAAATTCAATCTCTGATCAAGTGCATGGACAGAGAATTCATATAGTGTACAAATAATCAAGATTTGGCTATAATTAATAATCTCAATATGTTACTCAGTTCAGGCTGCTTTACAAAAGTACCATAGACTGGGTGGTTTATACACAACAAAAATGTATTACTCAATGTTCTGGAGGCCAGAAGTCCAAGATCAGGGTGCCAGCAAGGTCAGGCTCTGGTGAGGGTCCTCTTCCGTGTGCAGGCTGCAGACTTCTGTACCCGCACCCGTTGGAAAGAAGGTGAATGAGTTCTCTCTGGGGTCCCTTTTATAAGAGCATTAATCCTTTCATGAGACCTACACCTCCATAATCTAATTACCTTCCAAAACCCCATTCTCTAATACCATCACATTGGGGGTTAGGATTTCAACATATGAATTTAGTGGGAGAAACACAAACATTCAGTCCATAACATAGTCTTCAAAAAATAAATCAAATGACACTTTAAATTGCAAGATAACATACCGCTGAACCACAGAGATTTCCAAAATATTACTTCTCTTTCTAGCCTCAAGGGTTTTTTCCCTTCTCCTATGTTATTTGGGTGAGGAGAAAAAAGAGAGTATTAAATATAATGGAAAATGGGCCTGGTGTGGTGGCTCATGCCTGTAATCCCACCACTTTGGGAGGCCAAAGCAAGTGGATCACTTGAGGTCAGGAGTTCCAGACCAGCCTGAGCAACATGGCGAAACCCCTTCTCTGCTAAAAATACAAAAATTAGCCGGGTGTGATGGCAGGCACTGCTAATCCCAGCTACTCATGAAGCTGAGGCAGTAAAATTGTTTGAACCTGGGAGGCGGAGGTTGCAGTGAGCCAAGATCATGTCACTGCACTCCAGCCTGGGCAACAGAGCAAGACTCTGTCTCAAAAAAAAAAAAAAAAAAAAAAAAAGAACAAAAATATATGCATGGGTGGATAGATAGATAGATAGATAGATAGATAGATAGATAGGAAAATGGCCAAGTTGGCAGTTTGTATGTGGAAAAACTCTCTTCAGAATAACTTGAACTGGAAAAAAAAGAAAACAAAACTTTTTTAAAAAAGACTTTGATGAAACGTTTCAAACTGCAAAAGTGAAATCTATTCTCTTTTACAGAATTGAATTCTCATATCTTTATGTCCTGGGTACTTCTTTTTCCAAACATATTGTGGTAGTGGAGATATAAGCTCAGGAAACACTAAGCAAATTCCAACAGATTAGCAAAGGTGATTTAGATATATTATGTTGATTTAGATATCAACATGCTATGAGAGATTACTTCTACTGATCACAGCAGCTAAGAAGACTGAGTATTAATCAGCTAATGTTTGCAGCTCTTGGGGGGACAGAGGTAGTAGATACAAACTGAGAATTATAAAGAGAACAAAAGGAGCATTAGTCAGATAGGTAGGAATAAGTAAACATCATAAATTAGGGTAATAGCAGGACTCTACATCTTTCTTTCCCTCCTACCTTGAAAAAAACCTGAAACTGAAGCTTAATGCATTTCGTGCATATTCACATACATTCATTTAACACATGCTCTATTCAATATTAACTAAAATCAGTTCCCACAATCTTTAAATAACGTCCAGGATAAAGTCCAAATAAAGTCTTTAAATTTTAAACCTGTTTAAAATTCTTGGCCTAATCCTTCTAAACTTATTCTATTCATTTGGAAGCCAGTGTGTAATAATGGAAATAAAATAGAAATAGGGGGATGCCCAAAAACCAAGGTTTTAGATCTCACTCTTCTGCAACCCCCCTCCATGACTTCAGACAAACCTCTTGTCTCAATGTGCTTCAATGGCTTTACCTGTTAAGATAAAATAAAATGTTTAAATTAGTTAAAAATCATATAATTTAGTAAATCAGAACTTGTAATGCATCCTAGATACTGTATAGTAAATATAATTTCTCCATTGATGATAATTATGCCACCTATACCACAAAACTAGTTGGAACTTGGTAAAAAACAAAATGCAACTCACTTTTTAAAAATATGTTTGCTCGGGTCACATAGGAAAATATAAGAGATGTCAGTATTATTAGGACTAATAATATTGGATCTTATAAGTATGTTATCTATTAATAATAGCAGAGGTTGGCAAACTCTAGTCACCAGGCCAAATCAGGCCAGCCATCTGTTTTTGTAAGTTTTATTAGAACATTGCAAACATGCCCATTCATTCACATATTGTCTATGGCTAATTTCAGGCTACAGTGACAGAGTTGAGTCACTGTGATAGAGAAAGTATGGCCTACAAACCCTAAAATATTTACCATCTGTTCATGTACAAAAAAAAAGTTTCCTGACCCCTATCTAATAAAATAAAATGATGCAGGGACAGTGATAAATTCTTTATCTCACATTAAAATCAAATACAATTTTGTAAAGCACAGTTAAAGTAATTGATTTCTCATTTTATATTTTTTCACATGTTATAGAAAATGTGCTATCTCTTTAGTAAATACTTTGTGATACATTCTTTTAGTTGGTTTTCTTTTCTGGGAGAGGAGCTAATCTATTACTTTTATTACTGTTAAGGAAGTAAGGATGGAAAACATGCAGCAGGAATAAACAGTCTCCCAAATCTTAATGACTTGTAACCACAAAGGCTCATTTCTCATGTCCACCGGGCCAGCTGGGGGTTCCATGTGTCCTCTCTGTCTCCAGGAACCAAGCTGACAGAACTCTTCCGTGGAGAAGTACCCATCACTGTGGCAGAGGGAAACCGAGCACAGCAAAATGGCACAAAGTCTTTTAAAGCTTCCACCCAGAGTGAAACATCGACTCCAATCATATTTCATTGTTCAAATCAAGTCACATGGTCATGTTGAATCTAAAGAGAATGAGTCAGTCCAGTTCTACCATACGCCCAGAAGGAAGAAAGCCAGATTATCTGAAACAAACTCTTAGGACAGTCACTGTAACCCAGCCAAAAACAATCTGAAAGAGAGATACAGTTAAAGGGCTCTTGCTTGTGGAGACTGCACCAAAGATGGTACTACCATAGAAAGCATGACACTGTCATCTCATTGTAATTTACCAATGTCTAGATTCTGTGGCTCTGAGGTCATAGAATATTGGTAAAAGTGCTAAACCATTCTTACAAATCCTGTGATAAAGATTTCTTTAGCAGTGTGAAGAATTATTCTTTTGACTGAAATGTTAGGTTTTGGTTTTTTTTTCTGAATTCTTGGGCATTTCTGGATTCCATTTATTTGATATTAATAATAATTCCTTGGTACTTTCCAACACTTAAAAATAGCCACTGAAGTTTACCTCTGAATGTTCTTAATGTTTATAAAAATTTATATGACACACAAGTAAAACATATTTTTTAAATCATTTTTCCACTATTAGAAAGTATATTTAGGCCAGGCATAGTGGCTTACACCTGCAATCCCAGCACTCTAGGAGGCCCAGGCAGGAGGATCACTTGAGCCCAGAAGTTTGAGACCAGCCTGGGCAACATAGTGAGACCCCATCTCAAAAACAACAACAACAAAAAAGAGCATTTAAATCATGGTCTATTTTAGTTTCTAAAATTACTTTCCTGGGTTTTTGAAAGAAAACAACCAAATTAGAATTCACAAATGATGTGCCAAGTTATTTTCATTTAAATACCTATTAAAAGGGAATGAATTTGGTTTTACTTAACATGTTGCATTTACCTGTTAGTTACTTAGCATATCAGAGTGGTCAGACATAAGCAAAGAATTTGTGCCAAGACTCCTTTTTGAAAGTTACATCTTTAAATGCTATTGACCAATACAACTTCCAATGCTACACATCAGAAAAAAGGATATCAAAACTATAAATCATTTTCAAATTGCAAAAACTAAAAGGAAATTTTTTGTTTAAGGTTAGTCAGATATGGGACTCAGAGACTCCATAGTAAATCGCTATATTTAGTGAACACTCTTAAACTCTTGTTACAATACAATTAATATTTAGTATGTAGGCATGGAACTATTCTATACCATCAGTATAGGAGTTTTTTTTTTACAATAATGGCTTAAGGAAAACAATGTATCAATAAAATATATATTGCTTTCTTGGTCAAATATAAGTTGATTCTATTTAATGCAGAAAACAAGATTATTTTCAGTCTGAGTGTCTTCACTATTGATAAAATAGGCTGTGGATGGGCTCCTCTAGCTAGAAGGACCATATGCACAAGAAACTGCTTGCAGTGAACATGACATATGTCATACCATGTGCCAAATACCATCCTAGATCTGGAAGTGACAATTTTCTCATATATACTGGCACTTCAAGCTCTGTAGCTATGGATTCATTGCTCCATAAGAGCTCAAATGTGTGTTTCTGAAAAGCTTGGTAGGAGATTTTCTGGCAATTAGCTGTACTACATTTTATATTTCTTATCTAATATCCTTTAATTAATATGCTTTGTGAACTATTTTTGTTGTGCCTCTCAAAGGTCAGACATGAACTTAAATAATGTACTCTATAATCTTCAGATTTCTAAGGAAAATGGAACCATACCCTTAGACAAACAAAACAGATATAAACTTTGTTCCTTTATCTATGAAATTAACCTAGTTTCTCTAGAAAAGGAGGCTAATTCTACTGTCTCTATGTACCTTATTGTTCTAGTCAATTCACACACACAAAAAAAATCCACATGCTGAATGGCCAACTGCCATATTTATTAACTAATCTATTGATCAAAATATTTGTTTTTAAAAAGCAACTACTGATAAAGCTTCTAGCAATATATATGATGGGATGGTTTCTGATATAGTGAGGATTCCTGCAAGGTTTTAGTTGACTGATTTTTATTTCAGAATTTTATATGGAAATTTCCAGTTTATGCTGATGTTTCTCCAGTTCTTTTATGTCATTTCTGCTTTTAGAAAATGTTGAGATTCATTTACTAACTTTCATGTAGTATACCAACATTAGTATGTGATTTCTAGCAATTAATAGCCAACATTTAACGTAGAACATGATTGTTCTTGTCTTTCCCTAATTCAAATTTCCTGTCTATTTAGCATATTTAAGGTTTTACTATTTTTAAGATTTAACCAAATTCATGTGGGGTTTTTTTAGCCATGTATTGCTCTTTTCACTCGTGCTTACTGTCTTTCCATTGTTATCATAAGTGGTAGTGATCCCTCCCATGCATTCTCACTTCCTGACCATGACTTTGAAAGGTATGCAAGTTCTGTCTTGAATCTCTTTACTAACAACTGCCACGTCAACACATCACCCTTATTAGAACCCATATTTTTTTGCGTGACATGATTATTTTGGCCTCTTCTGATTTCTGTTACGCATGTCTAAAAGTTATTTACTTTTTATTTTTAAAATAAAGTGTAGGTATGTTTACTATTCCACACCAATACCTTCAATTAGTACATAAGCCTTAATTTGTGTTTCTAGCAACAAAGGTTTACATTTCAATGTGATGTGATTTTTTTCATCTGCTTTTGAATATCCAAAGTTTTTGGCGAATGGATACAATTGGATAAATTGGCATGCTGGCTATTTGAAGAATTGGCTATTCACTTACTTGATCATTTATTGGACTGGTTTTGGGTAAATTGGTCTGCTTCCCTAGATCACGAATATCTGGTAATGAGGAAGGTGGAAGATGTGCATGTTCTATTCACACATATACACATTATGAGTTACTGTATTTTACATTATGAGTTACTGTATTTTTCTGCCTGCAATTCAAACATTGAATTGAAACTCCAAGTTTCAAGTATTATGCTGGGAAAGCAACATTTCTGCCTCATTTCCCCTAGTTGTCCACTTGGAAGTGTCTCCCGCAAACAAGTATTTCCAGCTTCACGCCAGATCATGGTTCACCTCAGTGTCAATCAAAGTGGAAAGTCTTAGACCTAGGAGTTCCAGTATGAGGCTTTTTCTTCTCTGAGAGCAACAGAGATGTGTGGAACAGACAACACTTCTTCCTGCAAGCTGTGACCTCCAGCAGTTAACAGGAATTGCAGTGTAGGACATAGAAATGTACAGCTGAGCAACACTAGTGGTTATTCCTAGATTCCGGGGGTAAATGACAAAGTTAAGCCCTTTAGAGGGAGAATTCTCTGGGCCTCACTCAGTCCCAACCTGGCCCCTCACCTTCTAGCCTCAATCAAGCCACAGAAACCTACCTCATCTCCTTCCAGGTGTTTCTCCTGCTCACCCTGTCCCTCTGGAATCCCTTTCCTCTAGTCTGAATTTCAGTCCAAAGCAGCAGTACCCAGGCACAGCTGCACATTCAAGTCATCCAGGGAGCATATTTTAAATTTCAACGCCCAGACCTTACCCAGAAATTATTATTTGATTGTTTTGTGGGGGCTAGAAGTGCGTTTTAAAGCCTGAAGTTCCCCAGATGATCCTGAAGTGCAGCTAAGCCTAAGAACACATGTCTACGGAGAGATTACCAAACCTTTCCACGTGACTTCCCACATTATAATCATACTGGGGAGGCACACTGCGGTGAACTGGGAAGGCTGCTGGGGGTTGGGGATGGTGTGATGGTTTGTGGGGACAGCAAGCAGTGAGAAGTTCTGCTTGACCAGATCTCACTCAGCCATTTAGCCAATGAAGCTCTACACCCATAAGCCATGTGTGGCATTCCTGTTTATTTGTGGGAAAAAGATTTGGTTGCTGTGATCTATAGTAATAATCAGAGGAGCTTCCACAGACTGGTCGGAGATGACTAATGACATCTCAAGTGCTGAACCACTGTCCAGCCCAGTACATGGTAGGCATGGCCCTCCCAGTATGTTTCATTTGGAGATTACCCACTGCACACACACAATTTTCAAATTGTCCATGGACTTGCTAGAAAACATATGTGCACTCAGAAGGCTAGAACCATGTAGGAATATGGGAACTATGTGTTCCTCCTATTAGGTAGCCTAAACATAGACCCACAGGACACTTTCCATAATATTAACTGACTAGTTCAAATCTACTCATCCTGATCAGCAGCCATCATCAGTAAAAGCCCATAATCAAACTCATCAAGTAGTAAAATTTGAAGAACAGGGAAAAGGCTGCAACCTCACTGACAAGAAATGATTAATTTTAAAAGTTGCTGTCTTACTTGGGTAGGCAGGTAATACTCAATCATTCCTCCGCACTCAGATCAGAACTGGGATGGAGGAGTGGAAAGCCCAACACCGAGCACTCAGATGCCACCGTGTCACCCCGTAGGAGGCTAAACAGACAGTGCTGTTTAGGAAGAATCAGCAGCAGATTGTCCTGGATTTAAATAAATTGGCTTCATGGGGAGTGGGTACAGCACATGCTCACACATGAGCATGCCAGCACAACAAGCTGCAGAGCTTAAGGCAGGAAATACGGTAGCAATTGTGCACAGACCATGTCATGGCCCTTTTCCTTGGCCAAGATAGGGGAGCTGCCTTCTTTTTATGTAGGTCCTTTGGATACCATGTTAGGTCTTTATATACCATGTTGGGTCTTTGTGTATGGTTTAGATGATAATAACACAAGCCCACTGGGTAAGCTGCCTCCAAACCATTTGAGACTAAGGCTGTCATGACTCTATCTTGTGCTTTTTAAATTTTCTTTGCTTTGCTTTTGTTCTATTGTTGTTGTTGTTTGGTCTGAGCCACATTTTCACCTGTGAGAATTAGAGTACACAAGAGTTTCTATTATGATGCCTTTTAAAAAATATTGATGGCACCTGCCTATAGCTACAAGCAAAAAACAAAAGATTGGGAATGCATAGAATAACACTTCCTGCAAGGAAAATTTGACAATGGGAAGCATGTCAGTCTTTCCTTCTGTGTTAAATTCAGGTTTTGAGGCATAATGGTGCATGCTCTAGTTTCAGCTACTCAGGAGGCTGAGGCAGGAGGATTATATGAGCCCAGGAGTTTCAGACTGTAGTTCACTATTATTGCAGCTGTGAATAGCCACTTAACTCCAGCCTGGGCAATATTGCAAGATCCTATCTCTCTAAAAAAAAAAAAAAAGGCAAAAAAATTCAGACTTTTGTGTCCAGGAGATAGCATTATCCATGCATGCCATCCTAAGTAGTAGAATTATCAGAGGGATAATAATCAGCTGGGATTAGCTGATGAAAGCTCAAATAAAAAATGTGGCTTACTTGGAGTACACATTACCTTTCCTTTTCCTAGTTTCAAATGTTATATCATTTACTGAAAGTTGAGGGACCATGAGTCTTATTCAGTCAGAATATTGATCCAAGGAATTGATCCCCTCTGTTTGTTAATGTTGGCCTTTGCCCTGTTTTCCCTAACAGAACAAACGTGGCTCAGGTTGAAATTATTGGTGGATTATATGATAAAAGTAGAAAAACTTTGCTTACTTCACTGCAAAAATATGGGACTCCATGTGACACAGAGGTTGACTGCTCTGTAGGATATCACAGGGGTCAAATACAAGGCTGTCTCAAACCAAACAAAAAATTAGATGAGGTGAATTGTGGTACAGGTACCCCCTGGCTTAGTCTACTCCCCTTAAGTTCATCAGAATTCAAGGAGAGCTGTGTAAAGTAAACCAAGCATCCTTCCCAACCTGAAGAGGATCAGGCTACAGAAAAAAGCAAAATTGGAACTGTATCTGTCTAGGCATAAGAGACAACTTGGGAAGATGGGAGCAATCCCACAAAGCAAGAGCTGCCATGATTGACCCAAAGTTTCTCCAATCTCACTTAAAAAATGTAATACAAGGCTGGGTGTGGTGGCACATGCCTGTAATCTCAGCACTTTGGGAGACCAAGTCGGGAGCATTACTTGAGGCCAGGAGTTCAAGACCGGCCTGGGCAACATTGTGAGATCTCCATCTCTACAAGTTTTTTTTCATTAGCTGGGCATGGTGGCATACACCTGTAGGCTTAGCAACTCTGGAGGCTGAGGCAAGACGATTGCTTGAGCCCAGGAGTTGGAGGGTGCGGTGAGCCATGTTTGCACTACAGCACTACTGCACTACTGCACTCCAGCCTGGGCAACAGAGAGAAACACTGTCTCAAAAAATAAAAGAAAAAGGCAGTATTACATGACCTAGAATTTTATGCTTACTCAATTGTTGTAATTATTTGATGCTGTTTGGCAGAAAATATTCCCCTGTTATTATGTAAAGAAATGAGCCCAGGGCGAAGATAGGATAAGGTGCAGCACAATAGAGTTGCATTGTCATTTAATGTTTAAGATCACCACTCCAACTTCCTGACAGAAAGGTGATCTGAAACATCAAATCTCTGATTGCTCTAGGAGGATCGCAAAGTATGTATCTGAAAGAGGCCATGAAAATGACTCTCATCCTAGAGGGATATATGGAATAATTTCCTCTGAGCTCCAAGTGGAAGGTAAAATAGAAGGAACACTGGAGATGTGGCATATCAGCAATTATCTATTGCAAGAGCAGTGCACATTTGCAAGTAAGGGAGCCAATGAATCACAAAGAGTTCACAGCACAGGCTGTTTTTATTCTAACCAGGTAGCTCAATCCCTTTTAATTGTTCCGGTCAGAACCTTACTATTGACATTTCTAGAGTGTACTAAAATGAAATAGAAACAAGGAAATTTGCTTTTTGGCCCCGTGGCATTAAGTGCCAAGAAAGTTTAATTTTGGAGGTACTGTTACAACAACTAACATAGCACTGGGGACACAGAAGAAATCAGACCCATCTGGTCAAGGAAACAAAAACAAAAATGTTCATTGAAACATTGTCTATAACAACTCAAAATTAGAAACATACTAAAATGTCCATCATCTAGCTAAATGAATCGCATGAATGCTCCATAGAACATGATAGGGAAGGCAAAATAAGTAAATTTAAGCCATGTGTTTCAAAATCATAATATTGGGCCAATAAAAGCAGTTTACAGAATGGTACTTCATAAAATGTTACTTGCTAAAAATCTATATTTTATTTATGGATGTATGTGTTTAATAACGATAAAATGCATGCATAGAAGTGATAAACAACACATTTAAGGTAGCACTTACCTTGAAGGAGACCTCTGGCCTCCTCCAAGGTGAATGGGAAGGGGAGAAAGGGATACCCAGGTGACTGTAATTGTTTCTGCAGGTTTTATTTCTTTGAAATAACTAAAACAGGTTTAGAAAATGTCAAGATTTCATTGAACTCATTGGTGAGCAGGTATTCAGTGTTATTTTCTATACTGCTCTGCATGTTTGAAATATACCAGAAAATATTTAAAAAAATACCAGAAAACAGTGTGTGTTATGGGGCGGGCAGATTACAGTGGAAGATAGCAATATGCAAAAAAAAAAATGGGCAAGAAACAGAACAAAGTTATTTATGATGGATAAGAGTCACTGTTTCTGGGTTTAGCTCTTAGGTTTGATAAAGAGGTAGTCACTTTTAGAAGAATAGAGTGGAAGAATTGCATTATCACAGTGAAAGGTTATACCATTCTTTCAGTGTTGCATTGTAAAATTCATCATTAAATAAGAAAAGAAATAAAGGAAAAACCAAAAAATGTGTCATAAATGGGGTCTTTTTATACAGCAATCAAATTAGAAAGACACATAAAAGTTAGAAGATGTTGCATGGGTAGATTGATGAGAGAGGAAATTTGGATTAGAGGAAGGAAATGTATTACAATTATTAGAAAAATAATTTGTAAAGTTAGTGAATTTAGAGAAAAGTGTATATGTTACCAAAATATTTTAGGGAAACAAATACAAGGAGAGAAAACAACAAGAAGTGTAGAAGTTTTGCATTTTTGCAACAAAAGAAAAGAGAGAGAGAGAGAAGAGGCACAAAAGGACTGTAGGAATTTAGGCCAATTAGGTTCCAGTTTTCTCTAAAAGAAACTACATCTGTCTTTGCCTTCACTGGGCTTCTTTCCTTTTTGATAGCATTTTACTAAGAAACCACCTGAAAAACAATAACTTGTTCTTCAAGGTACAGAAGCACTTTATGAAGGTGGTTCCACCTCAGAGGAAAGTTGGAGAAACCATGAACAGGGATGTGTGGATGAAACAAAATGTCAGAGTGAGGAGGCGGAGAGAAAAGCAAGGTCCTGGCTCTGGATCCAGATCACCAGTTGTGCCCTTGGTATTGCTGCTGGGAACACCCTCGGCCTGGTCATTCTTCTTCAGAGGAAATATATGCTCTAGAAAAGTCTCTTGGATTTTTTGCAGTGTCATGGTATTTGTTCATCAGAACATAAAATGCAAAATACACCGAAAGACTCTTTACCAATCCAATAAGCAAGCAGGCAAACAAACAAAAACCCTTAAGCCTGCTTCGTTTAGTTAGTTTAGTGAGTGTCCTGTGTAAGCCAGCAAGCAACTAGAAGTTGGAATCCAGAGCAGAACAGTGAATTAATGCCCCCACTTCCACAACAGCTCAAGCAAGTGTGCACACAGAGTTAGGAGGGGCAGCCTGCAGAGAAATCTGGAAACCATACTCATCTTCTACAGAAGGGGCCAATGCAAGTCCTCTCCGCCTCTTTCTCTACAGGCTCGGTCCTCATCAATTTTTTCCAAAATAGCCCAGCACAGAGTATGAGACAAGAGTGGCAGACACTCACCCCAGCTCCTTCACCAACTATGTGACTTTGAGGCCCAGCAAGGCTGAGGGCCTTGATCGAAACCCCACAGGCAGTTACTGGCACGTCTCCATTATCGCTCCTCTTTATATACCACTACCTTATTTGAAAAATGACATTTTTTCCTGGCAAAAATTGACAAATAAATGATTGTCTCCTTCTTTCTAATTAGTTTAACTAACTAAACAGAACAGATTTAAGGAGGGTTTTTTGTTTTTTGCTGATTGGACCGGCAAGAGTCTTTGGGTATATTCCTCAATTTTTGCTCCAATAACCAAATTCCAGATTTCTTCTTGAGTATATTTTGAGATTTAAAAAGCCTTCCTAAACTTGGTCAAAATGTTTTAATTGCATTCAAACAGCCCATACTATGTTATCACATGGCAAAGGCCAAAGTAATTGAGGCTGAATGAAACAGGATGCTTGCTGTATTTTTTTTTTAAGGAAACATACACACATGGAGAATCTTTAAAAGAATAGAATGTTTGAGTTCGGTGCTCTGGTAACAAAAAGCTATTCTGTTTTAGCATTTATTTATTAGTGATGCTCAATGCTGACTACACAGGCAGATCACCTGGAGAGCTTTGAAAATATCCTGATGCCAGGGCACCATCCCTGACCAATTAAAGTGATCTCTCTGGACGTAGGCACTAGGCATTGGCAAATTTTAAAAACTCCCTAGGTGATTTCTAATATGCAGTCAGGGTTGAGAACCACTGATTTAGACATTGCTGTCCCAATTAATATTTAAATAGTCACAGCCCGTTAGCTCCACTAATCCAGTTGCATTACCACCGGCATACAAAAGATTATTTTTTAAATACCATATGAAAAGGAAGATCAATGGACTCATGAAGTACAAGTTACTCTGTAATCCTTCTGATGAACTGTCCATTCTGGGAGTCCTCTGGTGTTTTAACTCATTGCCTGGGCTTTTGTAGAACTGAAAGTGTTAATCCCTTTTCACGGACTCTAGTGCAAACCTTGATATTGAATAAGCCACTGAGTTGTGTGCTTAAGATCTTTGCTTCATTAAGTCATCAGATATTCCTGGCAGCAGAAGAGTGGCAAGATGTCAACCTGAGATTTGCTGAGCCAAAAGAATTAGCTTTTACCGTATTTCTAAAGATGAATGTGCTCTTAAACAGCATGTCCATTAGCCCCAGTACTCTAATGAATGTATGGCTTGACAGACACAATAATTGGCATAGTTCAGAGTGTAAGAGAATCAATTTGATGAATCAGAATAAGGTCAAGTGAAAGAAGAAACAAGGATTTAGTTTGCACATATTTCTAACCATAGCAACAAGAAAGATTAAATAGTAAAAAGCAGGATTAGGTAGTCTTTGATAATCCATCAACGTGGGGCCCTCTCATTTCATTAATACTAATCAATAGAAAGGTGGCTGCACTATAAAACAGTGGCACTCAAGTTCCATAGGAGTCCCTGTGTATCCTAGCAATGTCTTTTTTTTTTCTTTAGAAGTCTGGGAATCTTATCTGTGGTAGCTAATCTCTGGAATTTCTGGCCTTTTCTCGTCATTACCACCCAATGAGATAATTCACTTGGAACAGTAGATGATTTTATTTCCCCACTGGGTTGATCATCACTTTTTCTCGGAAAATATCAGCCCCGACCTTAAATGTATCAGGGCTTTCCCTGTTGTCTATGGAAACATTTATAGCACTCAGGTATAATTCTTCTGATTGAAATATGTTTTGCTTCCACTCTTCTGTGAAACAATAAAGGCAGATTGCAGAGTGAGCCCTTTTATTCCTCCTAAAAGGACCTGCTGTGAACTACAAAAGAGAAATACAAAAGTAAATCACTTAAAACTAACATGAGACCTGCTCACTCCTGCTGGGTCATACTAAAAGAGACTTCCTTCTTTCCTGGCAGTAACTAAGGGAGGTCTAATTTCTAACCGAGCTTGACATGTGTCTGAGACAAAGTTTTAGTCATGCTTGGCTTCCCCTTCTCAGGAATCTCTTGTTTAATTTAACTCGATGACTTTGGATTGTAAAGGAGGAACTGATCCTAAACCTGAGTTAGATGAAAAGAATCCAAACAGAAACTTAAAACCATTTCTACCTCCTCTGCATTCCAACTTTGCCATAATGAAGAAAAACAAATCAAGCTAGAAGAAAGGGATCTCTTTCCCTGATGGAATCAGAGATTTGAGGGTTAAAAAACTGGAATTGATTGTGATAAGCTATTTGTAATTTTTGAAAGGTGCTTTTCATAACTGATAACTATCTCATGGCCTATTTTTTTAATAAATTCCAAACAGATTTGGCTTAAAAACACACACGATAGAAAGTTGATGGGTATGCTACTGACGGGCAGGGATGATGGGCAAAGCTACAGGGTTATAATGCTGAGCTAGTTAAAATAATACAGGCTAGATCTCATCTTCTTTAGTTACCCACCTCTGTATTTTTTCAATTGGTCAATTAGCAAAAATGTTTCATATGAGTACTAAGTTCTTCATATTACAAGACATACAGAAAAGTTATACGGCCACTTCTACCTCAAGCAGCTTAACTTCTGCTGGAGAGATCAAAACACCTTTAAACAAGTTATGTTTTAGCAGTGGCAAAGACTGTCGGGCTATGTTTAAGGGAATTGTGAATTATAGAGTCCACTGCCTTCTCTTCTGTGTTTCAGCGGTTTCCTACTTCACAAAGTTAAGGGACAATTTGACTTGTGCCTATTTGGGGACTGGTCCTTATATCCTTGGGAAAATTCTCTCTGTAAATTATTCTTCATTTTATGTCAGATGAACCCAATCCAACCCAATCCAATATTCTCTGGTGGCTTTCACAGATTTTTGACCCCATTGTGAGAAAAGTATTTTACATCATGGTATCACACACACTATAGTCATATAACTGATAGAAAATTTTGATGAAACTGTTGTAAGCTTTACAATGCATGATCCCCTCTGACACTTTCTATTTGATTTAACTTTATTAGACTTCCTTTAAAAAAAAACCCTACTGATCATGACCCACTGAATTGATTTTACAACTCATGAATGGGGTCATCCTGCTACAGTTTAAAAAACGTTATTTCAGAGTCTAGATCTTTATGTGGAATGGGCCTAGTGAAATGGGTCATGGACTTAAGGATCAGACACCCCTTAAATAAATTACAACTAGTTTTCAAACAGGGGCTTTAAAAATATGAGTTCACTTCATAAGCACCTGTAAGCATGGGTCATAGATACACGCTTGAATCAGCCTTAAGTCCTTATGCACTTCATACTTTCAGCTTGAGCGAGTCAGAGATTTGTTTTTCCAACTTTGCAACCTTTGGGCACTACCTCCAGCTTCTAATATTAAAACTGAAGCTTCATTAGACAAAACTCGTTTTGATATCTGGCTTCCACCACAGTCCTAGTGTTGCTACTTAGGGTCAATTTAAAGAAATAAAGTGCCCCTGGGCATGAACAATCCACTGGTTTTCTCATCAGGCACCACAAACTCAAGGGGAGACCTCTCCAATACACTTCTCGGAAATATGAAGATCTTTAAAACATTTGGCCTTAGGATCCTAAAATTGTGGATATCTTGAACTGAAATTAAAATTAAAGAGATAGAAGGGGAAGATAAAATAATCTGTCTTAATGCTGAAGACTGAATCCAATATTCAAATGCATAAAATTTCTAATGAAAAAAACATCAAATTACTTTCAGTCCAAGGGCAGCAGAAATTCCTTGTTAACAAAAGAAGCACATTAGAGATAGTCTGTGTTATTACAGGAAAGATACATTTTATCTCATTATTTACACAGGGGACACAATTAACCAATTGGATTAGTAATGGACCTAGTTTGTTTTTTGTTTTTTTTTTTTTTGTTTTTTTTTTTTGGCAGTTGCAAGATTTAATAGAGTGAAATAGAGTGAAAACAGAGCTCCCATACAACGGGAGGGGACCCAAAGGGGGTTGCCGTTGCTGGCTCAAATGCCTGGGTTTATATCCCGATCCTTGTCCCTCCCACTGTGCTCTCAGGCAATAGATGATTGGCTATTTATTTATCTCCTGCTTTTGCCTAATTAGCATTTTAGTGAGCTCTCTGATTGGTTGGGTGTGAACTAAGTTTCAAGCCCCGTGTTTAAAGGTGGATGCGGTCACCTTCCCAGCTAGGCTTAGGGATTCTTAGTCGGCCTAGGAAATCCAGGTAGTCCTGTCTCTCAGTACCCCCTCTCAACAGGAAAACCCAAGTGCTGTTGGGGAGGTTGGCCAATGAACGCTCTAACTGCTTCCTGTTGAATTGGGGTGTAGTAGGGGTTGTGCAGTTGAGATTTCCTCGGGAGGGGTGCCTTCGATGTCATTAACATCAGAGCATGGGCTGGCAGGCCGGTAATGGACCTAGATTTTTATCATTTGTTTGCAGTCTGACTTGACAGGTGGAAAATGTAAAGATTATCATTCATTTAGTAAACACCTATTGAGCATTTCCTGCATACCAAACACTATCCTACGCTCTGAGGAAGCAGATGAGCAAGCCAGGCACTGTCATAAAGATCTCTAAGACCTTAAACCATAAAAACCCTAGAAGAAAACCTAGGCAATATCATTCAGGACATAGGCATGGGCAAAGACTTCATGACTACAACACCAAAAGCAATTGCAACAAAAGCCAGAATTGACAAATGGGATCTAATTAAACTAAAGAGCTTCTGCACAGCAAAAGAAACTACCATCAGAGTAAACAGGCAACCTACAGAATAGGAGAAAATGTTTGCAATCTATTCATCTGACAAAGGGCCAATATCCAGAATCTACAAGGAACTTAAACAAATTTATAAGAAAAAAACAAACAACCCCATCAAAAATTGGGCAAAGGATATAAACAGACACTTCTCGAAAGAAGACATTTATGTGGCCAACAAACATACGCAAAAAAGCTCCTCATCATTAAAGAAATGCAAATCAAGACCACAATGAGATACCATCTCACACCAGTTAGAATGGCGATCATTAAAAAGTCAGGAAACAATAGATGCTGGAGAGGATGTGGAGAAATAGGAATGCTCTTACACTGTTGGTGGGAGTGTAAATTAGCTCAACCATTGTAGAAGACAGTGTGGCGATTCTTCAAGGATCTAGAGCCAGAAATACCATTTGACCCAGCAATCCCATTACTGGGTATATACCCAAAGGATTATGAATCATTCTACTATAAAGACACATGCACACATATGTTTATTGCAGCACTATTTACAATAGCAAAGACTTGGAACCAACCCAAATGTCCATCAATGATAGACTGGATAAAGAAAATGTGACACATATACACCATGGAATACTATGTAGCCATAAAAAAGGATGACTTCATGTCCTTTGCAGGGACATGGATGAAGCTGGAAACCATCATTCTCAGCAAACTATCACAAGAACAGAAAACCAAACACCACATATTCTCACTCATAAGTGGGAGTTGACCAATGAGAACACATGGACACAGGGAGGGGAACATCACACACTGGGGCCTGTTAGGGGGTGGGGGGCAAGCATTAGGGAAAACATTAGGACAAATATCTAATCCATGTGGGGCTTAAAATCTAGATGACGGGTTGATGTGTGAGCAAACCACCACGGCACACATATACCTACGTAATAAACCTGCATGTTCTGCACGTGTATCCCAGAATGTAAAGTACAACTTTAAAAAAAAAAAAAATCTGTATTTGCCTGGCATGGTGGCTCTCACACCTGTAATCCTAGAAATCTGGGAGGCCAAGGTGGGCGGATCACTTGAGGTCAGAAATTCGAGACCAGCCTGGCTAACATGGCAAAACCTCATCTCTACTAAAAATACAAAAAATAGCTGGGCATGGTGGCAGGCGCCTGTAATCCCAGCTACTGAAAAGACTGAGGCAGAAGAATCGTTTGAACCCAGGAGGCGGAGGTTGTAGCTAGCCGAGATCACACCACTGCACTCCAGCCTGGGTGAAAACAGGGAGACTCTGTCTCACTAAATAAATAAGTAAATAAATAAGGTCTGTATTTCACTGGGTGAAGGCAGCCTAAGCACAAGAATAATAAATAAGGGAGGCGAGCACTCTTAATGGTAAGGGTATGGAGTTAATTGAAAGAGGTGATATGATGTCATATGCGCTACTACCGACAGATTGGTTAGGGAGAGCCTCTCTGCAAATGTGACGATGTAATCAACAGGTATGTGACAGTGGAGGGTGGGCACGGAGTGAATGGAGGAATGAGCAGTGCCCACCGAGGAACAGGCCTGCGGGGTGAGTGGTACCAGGGTGTAGTAGGCAAGAGGGGGAGCAGTGCAAGATGATGTATGGGAGAAGGTGGGGATCACATCATGTTTGGATTGTATCTTAAGTAGTATTAAAAGCCTTTACAGTGTTTCAGGCTAATCTGACCCTACTTTTAAAAGACCACCCTGATTGTCATGTGGAGAGTGGATTGCAGGGAAATCAGAGTGGAAGCCAGGAGGCCAATTAGAAAGCCGCTGTGGTAGCCAGGAGAGAGATGCCATTACCTTAGACTAGGGTGGCAATGGCAGGAGCTTTATTACTTGATGATAATAGGTGATGTAGCTGATCTGAGGGTGAAGGTAAAATGATGCACATAAAAAGCGATCTGCGTGGCATGTCATTCTGTGAATGCCTCAAGAATAAAGCAGAAAACAAACGCAGGGATAGAGATTTCACCTCTCATTCCTGTGTACATTTTCAAGATGCGAACAATTGTCATTCTGGCATTTTCTTTGCACTGAAAGTCTCAGAAACCACCATTGTTCTCAATCCTTGTTAAACTAGGGTATCATACATGATAGGGCTCAGGATAAAATGAGCTTGAGAATCGTTCATCAAAGAGGCTTGGTTCCATAAAGAACTCACCACAAGAGAGTAAGGGATTAAAATGCTGAAAAGAAACTGGGAGAACTGAGAGAGAAAAACAGTAATTAAGAAACAAATTATGAACAGAAGTTTCTAGAAAGTCAAGAAAGAAAGAGGAAACAGAAAGAAACTTTAAAACGTACCCAAATGCTCTGATCAAAACTCTTCTTAAGCCAGCAAGCAGCAATATCAAACTATGACTTCTGCAAGTCAGGATGGTATTTCAAAAGGCCCCCAGAAATCATCGAGCCTACAAAAACATTTGTAGAATCAGATTGAATTCAACTGAATTTTACAGAGAAGGAATTTGTGCCTTTATCCTCCCTAAGAGAGCTTCGTTGGTGATTTCAACTCCATGCTAACCACAAAGTTTGATGCATTAAAATAATAATCTAATTTCAAAAGTGCCCAAGAATAAGTCTCTGCCATCCATTTCTCTCTATGAGTTTATGTTCTGGAAATTTCTTTGTAAACTCCTTTTGTTATTCAATATGTGAGGATATACCTTCTTGTTATAAATTGACATTCATTGAGAGTTAACTTTTCACAGTTGGAGGGTTTTTGCACCTTAGGTTACTTTAGAAACCATTACTCAGATTACCTTTAAGTTTCGTTACTTAGTTAAACAAATTATCCCTATTTCCTCCTCTTCTAGACTCACATTTTTATAATTGAAACCGCTCTTCCTTGAGGCATATACTTCATTTTGTCCCTACTTTGGCTGGTTGCCTTTTCCCTTCATAGTAACCAGAATTAATTTTAATCAGAATTTCTCCTCTACAGGTTTCCTTAACATCAACATTATAGTAATGTAGCTTTTTATTTCAAAAAAGAAATGTAGTTATGATTCCTTGGGCTATGATGTACATAATTTCCATAAAATAAGCTTTTATAAAAGCCAAGATATTCTGTGTCTTTTTTTTCAGTGCTCACTTGATCACATTTTATAAATACTTTCAGGTCTATGCCATTTATAACACCACGTATTTCTTGTCCACTTAAACCTGACTCATTGCACTTGGCTCATTCCTAGGACTAATATCCAAAAAGGCTAAAACCACGGGAAGTAGGAAGCTGCTAGAGAAGGGATTCTTGTTACACCAAGAGCCAATCTCTGGTTCTTCTCAGCTATGCTGTGATTATCCCAATCAGTATCTCACAAGTTAAACATACAAGTTTCAGCTCTCTATTCATCTAACCGTTCTTAGAAAAAAAACTTTTCCCATCCCATCTGTTCTTTATGATTGGCTCTTCAAAACGTAAGATTAAGTAGGACAAAGAGGATCTTATATGTATAATTTAAAATAAATGGGATTTGAGACCTAAATTATTCAATTAATTGCTTAATTGTTCACTTTCAAGTGAGAGAGTGATTAAAGAAGAGGCAGAAGAAAAGAGAAGGCTTCTATAAATAAAATACAATTTTTTTGAGAGCCTGACAGAGGAGTTTTAAAAATAAACCCAAATTGTTCAATTGTCTCTACATTTTGACAGGAGTAAAACCCCAAACAAAAATTGTGAAAAAGAGACTCTTAGCTATTCTGGGGGCCATTCTCTCCCATAACATGGTCAGTAGGATCTTATTACATTTGCATAGCTGACAGTGGCAGGCAAAAAAAAGAAAGAGAAAAAAAAACCACCCTAAAATTGAACAATATAAAACAAACAAAACTAATGAATAAAATCTGCACTTCTTGTATGCTGCAGATGCCAAAATTATAATGCATAACAGTCTATTTTTTTCTAAATTAAACAAGACTCTTTGTGTCTGCCCTCTAGGGAAGGTTAATTAATTCATGTCAGGGGAGAAATAATTCCTCTGGCACCTTCCTTCCCCTTACAGATGGTGGAGGAGGGGAGATTGGGACAAGCCAGAGCAGTCTGTCCATTGGCAAGCACAGGGTATCAGGGAGTATTATAATATGCAGATTTAGGCTCGGAGAGACCCCAAATGCTGCCCTTGATAAGGTAGAAGAGATTTGTTGGAAAACATGGTGTTTCCAGGAGCCAGGAGAAAGGAGAGAGATTGAATGAGAGCCAAATGCATTGGAGGCTAGAGACTGTCAAAGAGAGTTACTCAAGGATTTTAGACAATCTATGAATTTGCCAAATAATCAATTATAAGTTGTTTGTATTACAATGGCTCCTACATCTTACAGATGCATTAATAAAGTTCACTATACATGTGGACTTTTTAATGGGCACGGGGGCTGGGGATCAAGGAAGAGGAACATTGTCACATTTGGAAAACCAAGGCATACAATAGGGTGGCACACTTGGAATAGCAAAGTAACTCATAAAATTGGCAGCTGCAGTTGAAGCCAGAGATGCCTCAAGAAACCAGAGAAGGATGCTAGAGTTCAATGACAAATGGGTTTGGCTTCATCAAGACAATGTCACTTGCATTTAAATATAAAGAAGAAAGAAGAAAAGACAGGAAAAGACAGGGAGCTGGAGAAGAAGTGAGGAAGGAAGGAGAAAAGGAAGAAAGCAAGGGAGGAAGGAAGAAAGAGATAAAGTTACCTCACTGAAATTTCAATATTTGTCCCTAGGATCTTGAGATGAAATTAATACTGTCTATAAATCATAACTTTCTGGCACCACCATCTGACTAATACAGTACACCCCCTGATGCAGTTTGTCTCTGTGCCCCCACCCAAATCCCATGTCAAATTGTAATCCTCATTATTGGAGAAGGGGCCTGGTGGGAGGTGACTGGATCATGGGGTCAGATTTCCCCTTGCCGTTTTCATGACAATGAGTGAGTTCTCATGAGACCTGGTTGTTTAAAAGTGTGTAGCACCTCCCCCTTTATCTCTTCCTCCTTCTCCAGCCATGTAAGTCATGCCTGCTTCTGCTTCACCTTCTGCCATGATTGTAAGTTCCCTGAGGTTTCCCCAGCCATGCTTCCTGTATAGCCTGTGGAACTGTGATTCAATTAAACCTCGTTTCTATGTGGTACATGTACACCATGGAATGCTAGGCAGCCATAAAAAGGAACAAGATCCTGTCCTTTACAGGGACATGGTGGACCTGGGAGCCATCATCGTCAGCAGTTTAACACAGGAACAGAAAACCAAACACCGCATGTTCTCATTTACAAGCGGGAGCTTCTAACAATGAGAACACATGGACACAGGGAGGGGAACGATACACACTGGGGCCTGTCAGGGGAGCAGGAAGAGGGAGAGCATCAGGATAAATATTAATAGCTAATGCATGCTGGGCTAATACCTAGGTGATGGGTTGCTAGGTGCAGCAAACCACCATGCCACACACTTACCTATGTAGCAAACCTGCACGTCCTGCACATGTATCCTGGAATTTAAAATAAAATAAGAATTAATTTTAAAAAAACTCTGTTCTCCATGAATTACCTATCTCGGGTAGTTCCTCTTAGCAATGCAAGAACGGACTAATATACCTGCTTATCCACAAGCCATCAAAATACATTTCAAGACTGTTGGTGGATGCCTAAATCTGTGGAAAGCACCAAACGCTATGCATACTATGTTTTTTCCTATATGAACATGCTTATGATAAAGTTTAATTTATAAATTAGGCACAGTAAGAGATTAACAGCAATAACTAATAATAAAATAGAATAATTACAACCATATACTATAATAAAAGCTACATGAATATGGTGTCTCTCTCTCTTTCACTCCCTCTGTCTAAAAATATCTTCTTATACTGTGCTCATTTATTTTCTGACCATGACTGACAGAAAGTAACTGAAACTGCAGAAAGAAAAACTGTATATAATGGGGAACAATTGTATAGCATCAGCCCAGAGGCTGAATGGCCTGGCCTTATAAAATTGGTCCCGCTTTAATAAGGGTTATTTAGGCAGATACTATAATTACATTTAAATTGTTTTCCATACACCGTTAATCAATATCATTTTTTCCACAGGTTTGCTGGTTTCATAAACAATAGTTCTGTTTCTTCTATTTGGTTTTCCCCACTTTCCAATAAGAACCATATTGTGCTTTAAAGATGTGTTAAAATGGCAGGCATGGTGGCTCACACCTGTAATCCCAATACTTTGGGAGGCTGAGGTGGGAGGATCACTTGAGTCCAGCAGTTCAAGACCACCCTGGGCAAAATAGGGAGACCTCATATTTACAAGTAATTTTCAAAGATTTCCGGGTGTGGTGGCACATATCTGTGGTCTCAGCTACTCAGAAGGCTGAAACAGGAGGATCACCTAAGCCAGGGAGGTTGTGGCTGCAGTGAGCCATGATCACTCACACCATTGCACTCCCGCCTGGGGGAGAGACCCAGTCTCAAAAAAACTAAAAGTATGTTAAATACAAAGTCTATCTCTTCGTTCAACCTAATTTTGCAATAATGGAGTTGAAATAACAAAAAGTGAAACTCATAAATCCTATTGCAAAATGACTTGAATTTTGTAAGCCTAGATAGGGTGATCTGTCTGTGTCTGTGTTTGTGTGTGTGTGTGTGTGTGTATGTATGTGTATATATATACACATACACGTATATATATACACATATATATGACGTGAACCATATTTTTTCATAACTTTTGGAGTTGGAGAAACAATGACTTGACAAAATTTAGTACGCATGGTATGTAGCTTTGTGTTTTTCTATAGCAGAAAAGTTGGCAAATTCCAACATTTGGACCGAAAAAAAAAAAAAAAACCTTTACTGGACTTATTCATTCATTTGCTCTACAACAGCAGATGTAGTTGCAACAGATACCACTATATGGCCCAAAGAGGCTAAAATTTTTGCTAACTGGCCCTTCACAGAAAAAGTTAGCAGACAACTGCCACAGCACATTATCACCAATAGTTATTACCATGGTCTGTGTAGGTGCTCAAAAATATTTAATGAAAATCTGAATTATATAAAGGTTTATTAAGGTTAAAACAGCCTGGAATTTTTCCCTCTGCCCTTCAGATCCATTCTTTACTCTTAGCTAGCTCTGAGCCCTGGAAGCTCACCCTGTATGGATGCAACAGCAACAGGGTCCTTTTCCCATAATTTCCTGTTGGATGTGGGTGCTCATCAAGGGGAATTCAAAGGGTGGAAGGTTTAAGGTGCTCCCACCCACAGGTGCCTTCCAGCCTAGCAGCTGTTGAGTTGGTTGTATCCCTCCATGCTCCTGTCTGTCAGTCCCCTTTGAAGTTCCAGCCACTTGTTATGGGTTATGGTCACTACTCCTTTTCCTGAGCCCCTCAGACCTAGCATAAAGTCTGGCAGATCTTGGTAGGGGGCTTCACGATTCTTTGTCAGTTTTCCTGCTCTCATATGCAAAGATGTTGTTTGGTAAGGTCTCCTGGGTTACCCCACTGGAGTGGGCATTTTTCTTCAGGGACCTTGACTGAGGCACAAAGTAAACTTCCAATGCCTGTACCCATGTAGATGTGGACTTAAATACTATGTATTTCAGTGACTAGCTGTGTAACTTTGAGAAAGTTCTTTTACTTCCCTAGCCTTCTCTGAAAGAGACAGATAATAATACCAACTGCAAGGAATAGTTGCAAGAATTGAGTGGTATGTTGATAAAGTGCTTAATACAATGTGGGACACTCAGGAAATTCTCAATAAATAGCATAAATGGCAACTACTACTGTTTTTCAGTTTAAACATCTATGACATTCCCACATTAAGAAAAAAAATTTCAAGAATTAAGTAAAGAATGCATCAGGAGGTTAATATTATCTTAATAACTTTATAGTCAATTCTAACATTTTTTCTTCAAGTATTTTGCTTCAAATGACTACATTAAAGCAGTGATTCTCAATATGCAACAATTCCCTCCCCTTCTCCCACCCAGGGGACATTGGCAATGTCTGGAGACACGTTATATTGTAATAATGGTGTGAGGATATGCTGCAAGCATCTAGAGGGGAGAAGTCAGGGATGCAACTAAACATCAAGCAATGCAGAGGATGGTCTCTCAAAACAAAAAATTTGCTAGTCCAAAATCATGAGAAACCCTAAATTAGTGGGATAATTTTAAGCCAACTTTTTGGGGAGCCCAGAAGAGTGAGGAATCCAGTCAACTTCATATTCCATACACTTTCCAATTTGCAATAGCTCTCCATGATAAGTATGGAGTTGAGAATAAAGTTTTTCTAATATTTCAATGCTAACAGGAAATATTAGTCATAAATAGGCAAATCCCTTAAAAAACTGTTTAAAAAACTTTTAAAGCAATAAAATTTCCACTGCTCATTAAACATGAAAGTGAGCCAGTGGTATTAACATCCATTTTAATAATTTTAAAATGGAAGAAAGCAATTATGCACTTTGTTCATCATCACAAAATTTAATCATAATACAAGTGGCCTCAGTTATTCATTTTCTCTTCTTCCCCATCTTCTCTCCCATTCTATGGCCTCTTCCTCTAAATCCTACAACACAGCAATGCATTTCTGCTGAGCTACATCACTTTCCACTTTGCCCCGCAATTTCACACGCTACACATGTATGGAGTCTTTCAGCAATCAGTCAAAGAAGCAGAGTATTTTTGTTCATTTGGTTTTGGTTTTATGGGGTGGGGATGTTGTTTTGGGTGTTGTTTAGTTTTTTGTTTGTTTGTTTACAAAGTGGACAGGCACTCTTCCCACTTGTTGTGTTGCGTCTTATCAGTGTTGGTACCAAGGCAGTGCCTGATAGATTCCCTAGTCAATCAGTGCTTTCAGTTTTCACTTAAAGCCATCCTTCCCAGCAAGATTTCTTACACACACTTCACAGAACTCAGAATCCACAGGAAGGAGGCCACGGGACTGGCCTGGAAGACAACTCAGCTACAAACGAGACTCCATGCCGAACTCAAAATCTCTGCTTCCTTCTGAAGATGAAGTCTTTGTTATTGGGTCAAGCTTGACTCCTCCTCTGCCTTTCTCAGAAGGCATCCTCTCCCAGGAAATTTCCTCCATCCTTTGTCCTTCATGCAATGAGGAGGCAGTGCCCTGTAGGGTTTCAGAGATGACCAGACATGTCTGTATCCAAAGGGTCTGGCTCAGGCAAGACCCTAGCTCATGGTATTTATCATATTCTGACCTCTCACATAATCAAAGCCATAAGCTTCAACCCTCCCTGACCCCCAAAATTGCTTAGTAGACCAATATTTTGCTTGCTGAACTCTTTACTAACTCTGATTTTTATCAAATAATCATTATCCAAATATTTGATAAAAAATTAATACCATCATAGAAGTCTGCCAAGTGAACATGTTCAATGGACACCATGGAATATACCGAGAAAGAGGCATTCGGATGATTCCTCAGGTAAGTGCCTTTATTATGCAACTTTAGGGAAAATACAATAAAACCCTATTATGAACTGCCTTCCTATACCATTAATCCAATTATACTCTGGGACAAAATTGTATTTCTGTGTTAAAATGAAATATACTTTATTTCTCCTTCTATTATATAGAAGTATATTGGGTTATTTTCCTTGGTAAAAGTGACTTAATGGTGATGCATCACACTTGACTACCTTAAAATTAACTCCCGATATATTGCATTATTTACAAAAATATGAAAGAAGAGCAAAACACCTATTTTTTCTATTAAAAACTCCTATTTTCTCTTACTGTGTTAATGTGCAGAACAACGGCAGTTCATGTATTATAATTACATCTTTTTTTCTCTCGATCCAGCAGAGGATATACTAGATTTTAGAAGCTCAAACAGAAAGACCTTTGAATAGGTTTAGAACTGCAAAGATGAAATGCAGAAGTGAATGTACAAAGACGTAATACTCAGGGTCATTCTTGGGCTTTGTCTCCAGAGAGTCACTTCCAATGGCACCAGAAAGGTTTGTGCAAGGCAATCGTCTGCCCACAACAGCAGGGTGACTGTCTATGATTGCGGAATCTTGGAGATGGTGTGCTGCCAAGGTCAAAGAACACAGAAAGAGGACCATACAATGGCTTCTGTTCTGAGAAAGAATGTTCTGCCACATATATAAATGTGGATTGAAGAGAAAAGTGGCATTTTAGCAATTTTATGAAAATGGAAGTTATCCAGTAAACTAAGCCTGTGTTCTTCTCAGGGTCAGCTAATGTGACTCCAAAAAACATTCTGCTCCGTTAAACATGCATGAAGAAGTTATATTTTGTGTAAATGTACTTCCCAGTGTGATTAGCGTTCTTTCAAGGAGATACCTTATTGAATAGGTTTTTCAACTTCACATGTTCACATTCTTGAAAGAATAATGGATCCTTCATTAAAGACATCACAGCGTTTTGGGTGTCATGCTTGATGACACACAATGAATTGGTCATTAAGGAAATTCAGCCACGCAGAAAGGACAGGAGAACAACTGGTTGACTCTTCTAATGACTCAGACAATGCTGGCAAAGCTGCTTTCACTTATGGCTGGTTTATAGTTGCAGAACAAGCATTAATTTTTCAGACATAACAAATAGGTGAAAGATTCAACCACCTCAGGAGCAAGTGTCCATCTTCTGGAAAAACAGTTTGCATACTGGTGTTTTTCATCGAAACAGATCTATTCACACGTGACTGCTGCCCCATTCTATTGCTGTTGGCTGAAAAATTTTGTGCATCTTAGACATAAGTCAAAGTAATCATACCTAGGTACCTAATTATTTTCTCATTCGATCATATGGATTCAAGAGAGCACACTTTTAAGATTATGGTATTTTGAAATAGAAATGCATGTTGCACTATCCTCATTGCTCCGTGTGGCTTTGTTTACCTTAGGCTGAATCCATTTTGATTTCTTACTAGCAATGACAAGACACTTTGCTTGTCCGTTGTGTCTGGTTAACCAGGCCTTCCCATGAAAGTCTCAGGAATGAATAGCTCTGTATTCCTTCATCTGAGATTGTCTAAATATTTGAACTCAAGATTTTTCTGTGTCTGGCTGAAAGGTGAATGAGAATTAGAGAGGAAACCCAGTGTCTGACAGCAACTTCACTATCCCCTTCTCCTCCCCATTGTCATAGGAAAAAAGGTTCTGGTGAAGGTTATTCTTTCAAGGATAAGCTGACAATTTGGTAAGCCTGTGTAAAAGCACTCTGGCAACTTCTTGATTAATTTTGAGATTTTTTTTTTTCACCTTGTGCTGCTTCAAGGCTAAATGAGCCTTCAAGGAGGTCATAGGAATGTAAGATCATAAGAAATGCCATAATAGGTCAAATTAATGAGCCAGTTAGTGTGATACGCTGTCTCTGAGAGTGGCAACAAGGTACATTTTGTGCATGTTGTCAGCTTCCAAATATTTGAGGCTATAAGCAGGAGTGTTTCTCAGATCAAGCATCTATTTCAAATGTCCGTGACTTCCTTTATTAATGTGTAATACATCTTTATCCATAAATTCACTTAAACCCATCTGATGATGTTTTAAATCATGCACTGCTTTTTGTATCATGAGCTTTATAAATGTTTTCTCTAATTTTGCCTAAACTGCTTGTGTCACATTTTCAAGGGTTTCCCGATTGGAGCTGATAGACCAGTGACTGTGGTTGTATGCATTTCATTTGATTGAGGTGTCTGTACTGAGTTGACTAAATGGTAAAGCCTTTCAAACAGGTGGTGGTAAACTGTCCACCTGCAACTCCTAGCACTTTCGGCCAGCTTTTCTTTTATTGCTCCAGGGTCAATACGTTCTATCGTATACTCAAATATTTCCATTAGTTAGTTTTTTGGTTGGCTTGGGCTGCTATAAGAAAATGCCATAGGCTGGGTGTCTTAAACAACAGATATTTATTTCATTCTCACAGTTCTGGAAGCTGGGAAGACTGAGAGCAAGGTGCCAGCCCATTTGGTTCCTGGTGAAGGCCCTTTTCCTTGTCTGCCTTCTCACTGTGCCCCCACATGGCAGAGAGAGAGACAAAGTGTGCTCTGGTTTTTCTTCCTCTTGCTATAAAAGTACTAATCCCATGATGTGGGCCCCATTCTCATGACCTCATCTAAATCTAATTACCTCTCTAAGGCCCCATCTCTACATACCATCACATTAGGGGTTAGAGCCTCGACAGATGAATTTGAGAAAGACACAAACATTCAGTCCATAACAGTTAGCCAATTTCCTCTTTTTACGAGAAAGAACTAATCGGGATTCTTCTCACTAAATAAATAAATAAACAGTGTTTCTCAGGACTTCACAACAGAAGCTGGACTATCAAGGATGTATGATGTGCACCCGACATGGGTCCATGAGCAGCTGGGCTGTGGAGATGTATTTTTAATTGACAACAAAAAAAAAATAGCAATTCAAAAACCCATTGAAAAGGCAAGAATAAGGAACAAAAATGGGTATTGTGTTCTTTTATCCACAACAATAAAATGACTTTGGTACAAGATCTGTCTGGCATGTTGCAGAATAAATGAAAACCCAAATGAAACAAAATGACATTTTATCAGATTGAAAGGAAGTGAGCATTTAATTTTTAAAAATGAGAGAAGAGGAATCCATGCCTGGAGTTGCAGAAGTTCAAATGAGGGCCTCTCCGCCCCTGCTGAACTGCCTCCTATCTTGCCCCACTGCTATCATAATTTTTGGTTGGTTAAGAATAGGATGGCTCAATCTTAGAACCAGAAGGGATGTGAGAGATTTTTTTCTTGTATTATAGGTTAAGAAACTGGACTCCAGAGAGTTTAAATGGCTTTCTTGCAGCCACACAGCTGGTTTTTGTCTTGGGCAAAGATAGGTCTTAGATGCAAGTATGTCGGCCACCAAGCAGGCATGGACAGCAGGGCTGCCCTGATTCCATGCATATAGATGGGATCTGTTCTTTCCTGAGACCACTTAAGATTACTAACAGGATGTCTTCTTGCAATAAGACTTTCTTTTCTTCTAAACTCACACATCACATGCAGTTATTTAGTGAGTAATTAAAAAGAAAAAGGCAAAACAAATACACCCAAATCCTACCTTCATTTCTCAATCTATTGAGTAATCCAATAAATTATTTACTTTTGGATTACTTGGGTTAAACAGCATTCCCTGCATACTAGATGAGATGTCTTTGATCTTGAGCTTGTTTTAAATAAATAGTTCTATCAAAATAGAATGGCCTTAACTTTCAGCCCTGGGAATAAACAAATAGTCTCAATCAATGATGCTGAGACAACCATTTAATATTTTTCAAGAGGCTAAGAAAAGAAATATTTTCATGCCTACAACATTAAGTCAGAAATAGCCTTTGGCACATATTTCGCTTGGTCTTTTCAAAGGTTGTGGGAAAATATGGGGAAAAATATATAAGCAAAATTAGCAAGGCTACCATGACAACAGCAAGTACGCAGAGGCAGAGCTAAAACTCTGGAACTCTCAGAGGGAAGGAAAGGAGGGTCCTTAGGATAGTTTATCAGGAAAGAGGCATCAAGCATAAAGAGAATTATTGCTAAGTGGACAGATACTGGAACAGATATTTATTGTAATGGATTTCCTGTGGTGTGAAATTTTATCAAAAGGGCACTGTTACTGGGGAGAGACCATTTGTTTGAAATTATAAGTGGTTTTTGTTGTAGTGAACTCAGTGTAGAAATAGATGTCCGACACATTCATTTCTGTGGGCTGTCATTTGTTTTTGTTTCATGCACACAAGAAGCTGCATGTTTGAGAGTGAGGATAAAAATATGTAGAGAAGTTTTTTTAGTTGAGTTCTCCAAAGTGGCTGACTCAGGACTCAAGAGTAGACACCGGGCCTCCCAGTGCTCTTTTGATCACAGCATGATTTTTTTTTCCATTTAACTTGTAAGCCTTAAATATTTACATTCTTTCATTGGATCAAGAAATATGTATAGGAAATTACTGTGTGCTGGTCTTCCATAGCTGTTGGGAATACAGTGCCAAACAGGAAAGAGAGCAACATTACCTCTGTGTGAGGGGAGGAAGAAAAGACACAATAAACAAGTGAACCAATATATAAACAAGAAAATTTCTAGACAAGAGGACCAACAAATGCAAAGGCCTTGAGTCAGTAATGAGTATGACATGTGTCAAGGACAAGAGGAGGCAAGTCTACCCAGAGTGCAGTCAGCCAAAGAAAGTGTGGTGTGTGATGAGGTTTGAGACGTAAGTAGGGATCAGACCATTGGAGGTGTGCAGTGGAAAATTAGCATTCATCCCCAACCAGATGTTTTTGAGACATCTATTAGAATTATCTAAAAACATAACTAATCTCTCATCTGGATTGTTGCAGTAAACGTAGATTCTTTATTCACAAGGAATGTTGAATCTAAAACTGATAAGACTTGAGGATAGTGTGGATGTGGGAATATTAAGGAAAGGAAGCAATAACAACTCCAATGTTTTTAGCCCGAGGCAGTGAGTGGATGGTGCCATTTACTGGCATGGGCAAGCCAGGGAGAACAAATACAAGGGGAAACTGCCTGATGGACATATTAACTTTGGAGTGTCCATTAGGCCTCCAAACAATGCGGTCAAGTGGACAGTTACATACATAGTCCACAGCTCGGGAGAAAGACCAAAGATGGAGCTATAAATTTGCATGTCATCAGCCTAGAGTTAACACAAAGTAATGGGCCCAAATGAAATCACTTAATGTGCAGAGAAGAGATAAGATCCATAGCCTAGCGCTGGGCACCTTTGATATAGAAGAGAACAGGGAGTGGAGGAATCAACAAGAAGCCTGAGAAGATGTCACAAAAAGATAATAAGAATGAGGTTAGTATATATCAAAGAAACCATGAGAGAAAACCATTTCCAAAAAGATAATCGGCTAGGTCAGATACTGCTGAGGGACTCAATAACAAGGAAACAGAGAAGTGTATGTTGGACAATTAGAAGGTCATTGGTGATATCTAAGACTAGTTTTCCTGCAGTGACAGGGATGACTACAGTTTTGAGGGAATTGAATCATGAATGAGAAATGTGAAAGGAAAAGCTGTTGAGTGTAGGTAAACATCTGTTCAACAAGGAAATAGAAAAAAAACTGAACACCCACTCAAGTAAAGGCATACTTAGTTTTATTGTTCTTGACTTTATTGTGCTTTGTAGATAATGCATTTTTTACAAATTGAAGGTTTGTGGCAACCTCGCATTGAGCAAGTCTATTGGTGCCATTTTTCCCGTACCACGTGTTCACTTCATATCTCTGTCACAATATTAATTTTCATAATATTTCAAACTTTTAAAATAAATGTTATTATTATATGTTATGGCAATCTGTAATCAGTGATCTTTTATGTTACTATTGTAATTGTTCCGGGGAGCCACGAACCATGCCCGTATAAGATGGTGAACTTAATTTTTAAATGTGTATGTTTTGACTACTCTACCAACTGACCATTCCCCTATCTCTCTCCCTCTTCTCAGGCCCCTACTATTCTCTGAGACACAATAATAATGAAATTAGATCAATTAATTATCCCAATGGTCTCTAAGTGTTCAAGTGAAAGAAAAAGTTACATCTCTCACTTTTTTTTGTTGTTGTTGTTGTTTTTGAGACAGAGTCTCACTATGTTGCCCAGGCTGGAGTGCAGTGTCACAATCTTGGCTCCCTGCAGCCTCCGCCTCCCAGGTTCAAGCAATTCTTGTGCCTCAGCCTCCCTGAGTAGCTGGGATTACAAATGCCTGCCACCATGCTCAGCTAATTTTTTTTTTTTTTTTTTTTTTTTTTAGTAGAGATGGCATTTCACCATGTTGGTCACGCTGGTCTTGAACTCTTGACCTCAAGTGATCTGCCTGCCTCAGCCTCCCAAAGTGCTGGGATTACGGGCATGAGCCACTGTGCCTGGCCTCCCACTTTAAATCAAAAACTAAAAATAATTAAGCTTAGTGAGGAAGGTATGCCAAAAGATGAGACAGGCCCAAAGTTGGGCCTTTTGCATCAAGCAGCCAAGTTGTGAATGCAAAGGAAAAGTTCTTAAGGGAAATTGAAAGTGCTACTCCAGTGAACACTTGAATGATAAGAAAGTAAAACAGACTTATTGCTGATATGGAGAAAGTATGAGGGGTATGGAGAGAAGACGAAACCAGCCACAACATTCCCTTAAGCCAAAGACTAATCCAGAGCAAAGCCCTAACTCTCTTTAATTCTATGAAGGCTGAGATAGGTAAGGAAGCTGCAGAAGAAAAGTTAGAAGCTATGAGATTAACCATGAGGCTTAAGGAAAGAAGCCATTTACATAACATAAAAGTGCAAGGTGAAGCCACAGGTGCTAATATAAAACCTGCAGCAAGTTATCCAGAAGAGCTAGCTAAGATAACTGATGAAGGTGGCTACACTAAACAACAGATGTTCAATGGAGATAAAACAGCCTGCTATTGGAAGAAGATGCTGCCTAGGACTTTCATGGCTAGAGAGGAGAAGTCAATTCATGGCTTCAATGCTTCAAAGGATAAGCTAACTCTCTTATTAGAGGCTAATGCGGCTGGTGACTTTAACTGGAAGCCAATGCTCACAGACCATTTCAAAAATCCTAGAGCTCCTAAGAATTATGCTAAATCTACTCTGCCTGAGCTCTATCAGAGGAACAACAAAGCCTGGATGACAGCACATCAGTTTACAGCATGGTTTACTGAATATTTTAAGTTCACTGTTGAGATCTACTGCTCAGAAAAAAGATTCTTTTAAAACATTACTGCTCATTTTCAATGCACCTGATCACCCAAGAGCTCTGATGGAGATGTACAAGGAGGTTAATGATGTTTCATACCTGCGAACACAACATCCATTCTGCAGGCCATGGATCAAGGAGTACTTTTGACGTCCAAGTCTTGTTATTTAAGAAATGCATTTCATAAGGCTGTAGCTGCCATAGACAGTGATTCCTTTGATGGACCAGGGCGAAGGAAATTGAAAATCCACTGAAAAGGATTCACCATTCTAAATGTCATTAAGAAAATTTGTGATACATGAAAGGAAGTCAAAATATCAACATTAGCCGGAGTTTGGAAGAAGTTTATTTCAGCCCTCATGGATGACTTTTAGGAGTTCAACACTCCAATGGAGGAAGTAACTGCAGATGGGGTGGAGATAGCAAGATAATTGGAATTTGAAGTGGAGCCCAAAGATGTGACTGAATTGCTGCAATCTCATGATAAATCTTGAGCAAATAAGGAGTTGCTTCTTATGGACGAGCTAAGAAAGTAAGTTCTTGAGATGGAAACTACTTCCGGTTAAAGATACTGTGAACATTGTTGAAATGATAACAAAGATTTAGAATATTACATAAATTTAGTTGCTAAAACAGTGGCAGAGTTAGAGAGGATTGACTCCAAGTTTGAAATAAGCTCTACTGTGGGTAAGATACTGTCAAACAGCATCACATGCTACAGAGAGAAATCTTTTGTGAAAGAGTCAATCAGGAGACCGAGGTGGGCGGATCACTTGAGGTTAGGAGTTCAAGACCAGCCTGGACAACATGGTAAAACTCCATCTCTACTAACAATATGAAAATTAAGGTCAGGCACAGCGGCTCATGCCTGTAATTCCAGCTCTTTGGGAGGCCAAGGCAGGCAGATCACCTGAGGTCGGGAATTTGAGACCAGCCTGGACAACATGGTGAAACCTCATCTCTACTAAAAGTACAAAAATTACCTAGGCGTGGTGGTGCATGCCTGTATTCCCAGCTACTCGGAAGGCTGAGACAGGAGAATCGCTTGAATCTGGGAGGCAGAGGTTGCAGTGAGCCAAGATCGCGCCACTGCACTCCAGCCTGGGCAACAGAGTTAGATTCCGTCTCAAAAAAAATTTTTTTTAATTTTTTAAGTCTATCAATGTAGCAAACTTCATTATTGTCTTATTTTAAGAAATTTCCACAGCCACTTCAGTCTTCGGCAATCACCAACCTTACCATTCAGCAACCACCAACAATGAGGCAAACCCTGCACCAGCAAGAAGATTATGACTTACTGAAAGTTCAGATGATTGTTAGCATTTTTTTAGCAATAACATATTTTTTAATTAAGGTATGTATACTTTTAGACATAATATCATGCACTTAATATAGACTACAGCATAGCGTAAACATAACTTTTATATTTTTGTGGGAAACCACAAAATTTATGTGACTTGCTTCATTGAAATATTTGCCTTATTGTGGTGGTCTGGAACCAAACCCACAATATCTCCAAGGTATGCTTACAATATAGAAGAAAAAGATAAAATTTGAAAGCATTATGTTGGCCAAAAAAGATTCAGGGTGTGTAATCATGACCAAATTTATTTTTACCTCCAACTCTTCTTTTAAACTCAACTCAACGATTACTTTCTTCTTTTTGTCCTGAATGAAAACTTGGGCAATCCCATGACTTTTCTAACTACTCTTAGTAATTGCAAACTCCTACAGTCACCTTAAGTCACAAAACATGATCTCAGTTTGATAATTATAATTACAATCTCCAGGGCCATTTTGAGTCAGAGCTTCCAATTTCATTCAAAGGAAAGTCTTATATATAAATTATAGTTTCATAAAAAATTTCTATATGGAGTTCCAACTTTAAATCCAATAATTCCCATAGAAGTAACAACATATAAATTCCCTGGGTGAGATAAGTCTGCATGCAGTCTGGGGTGGGAAGGAGGAAGAAGGAGGAAGCAGAGACCAAGAGAAATGAAGAGTATGGGTAAATGCTTACAGGACTGGCACTTTGTAAGCCGGCTTTCTGCTCTTGGTTTGGTGGATGTTTAAAGTTGTCACTTGTGAAGCTTTCTGCACAGGTTTCCTACAATCTTTGACCACTTGTGGCCTCTCGCTTGCCTTTCCCCAGCCAGATGAATGTCCTCTATTCTTGCAGGTCCCTAATCTCTCCTCAGGTCATCTCCAGCTTCTTCTCTGCTGAAGCCTTTTCAATCTTCTAAAGATGATCCTATTAGGTCAAATCAACAAGGACCTCCAGAACAGCTTTTTCTCACTTACAGTGCTCAACAAATCCCCAAGAAACACTCATAAGTTTTTTTTGCCCAAACAGATCCTGGGAATAGAGTTAGACCTTAGGCAGCCTCAATATGTCTTCACTTTGGTTTTCTCGACTATCCCATCTCTGCCTTTTAAGTATTTCAATATGGGGTCGCACACCTGAATTAAGGCATCATCACGCTCTCAAGTCGTGTCTTGAAGGTCTTGTCACACACCCGAGATGAGAGACAGCAGAGAAGGGAAGAAGACTCATCTCACGGGGGCTGCTTGTGTTCAAAGAAATCCTCTCCAAATATTGCTTTTAATCTGAGCCTTTTCTTCTCGAAGTGCATGTAGAATTCCAGGGTCATGTAACAACTTTTCTAAAGCTCCTTTGGAAATTCTGCATATTCCTACTCTGGAATGCAGCATCTATCTTATTTAGATACTCGGCTGAAATTGCACATTTAAATCCTGTTGTGGATATTTTTAAATACAGAATAATCCAGAGAAAGATCATAGGTTGACTTGAATGATCAAGAGGGAAAATTTGATGATCCAAGAAAGAAAAGTAGTAACTACAGAAGGAAAGTGCCAGGAGTAAGAAAGAGGCAACAGATTCAAGGGAGCTGGAGGACAGATATGATTATGTGTATCTCAAGTATACCAGTATTCAAAGATTCTAATGAAACTTTTTTTTTTTTTGAGACATAGTCTCACTCTGTCACCCAGGCTGGAGTGCAGAGTGCAATGGCGCGATCTCGGCTCACTGCAAGCTCCGCCTCCCAGGTTCAAGCGATTCTCCTGCCTCAGCCTCCTGAGTAGCTGGGTTTACAGGCACGTGCCACCATACCTGGCTAATTTCTGTATTTTTAGTGGAGATGGGGTTTCACCATGTTGGCCAGGCTTGTCTCGAACTCCTGACCTCAAGTGATCTGCCCGCCTGGGTCTCCCAAAGTGCTGGGATTACAGGCATGAGCCACCAAGCCTGGCCTGGCCTGAAAAATTTTTTTAATTTAAATATGTAATTTCAGGCCCGGCGTGGTGGCTCATGCCTGTAATCCCAGCACTTTGGGAGGCCGAGGCAGGTGGATCACCTGAGGTCAGGAGTTCGAGACCAGCCTGACTAACATGGTGAAACCCCGTCTCTACTAAAAATTCAAAATTAGCTGGGCGTGGTGGTGCATGCCTGTAATCCCAGCTACTTGGAAGGCTGAGGCAGGAGAATCACTTGAACCTGGGAGGCAGAGGTTGCAGTGAGCTGAGATCGCACCATTGCACTCCAGCCTGGGCAACAAGAGCAAAACTCCATCTCAAAATTAATAAATAAATATGCAATTTCATCTCATTCTCTTGTGAAGCAAACAAAAATGCTTGCATCTGTATAAACTAGTTACCAGTAATACTTACTTATACTATCTTTATGTCAACACATTATAACAGAATATTTCCATATATTTTAAAGATATTATAAACATTTAATGTTTTAAAATAATCTCACTATGCATCCTTTTATTGATAAATATTTCAAAGCTTCACAAAGTCTACCAGGTTGTAGCAGAAAAGCAAAATTGGTACAGACCCATAATTCTTTTTTTGAAATTCCAAAATCTAAAAAGCTCTGAAAAACTTCAAGATTTTTCATAAGCTTGATGACAAAATCTGATCTGAACTGAGGAGAGCATGTTTTCTATTTATCCTGCTTACTGCAAACGTTCACATTTTCTGGAAAAATATTAATGTGTTTGATAGTGGGGTTTTACCTAGACTTTGTTGATAGCATTGATTGCGTCATATGCAATATGTGCATAATATTATCTTTCTAAAGTTTGGGGGAGGGAGAATTTGAGCTTTTAAGAGTATTTCAGATCCCAAGAGTTTTGAATGAGAGATTGTAAACCTTTTTTATAAACTAAAATGTAGTATTTTGTGATTTTATGCATTTAAGGAAGCCCAAATTTACAGAATTTAATTATAATGCAGAAACTCTGCCTTAGAGTAATAGTAGAAAGACCTTTTTGTAACCTTGCCTTACCTATATCACCAGTAGCGTGTACAGACTCCAAGGAGCAAATTAAAGCAAGATAGAGTGTACTGTCTCCAAAGAAAGCTGGGCTTTTCTGCTGGCTTCCTTATTTCATCTGGCCTACAACATTAAGCATGTTAATAACCAGAACACTCCTGCAAGTCGTTTGACCAAGCCGGCCTTCAGGTCCCTGGAGTTCACGCAGACCTGCACAGTAAATCTATTGTAGTAATTTGAAATATGTATTACAAATACAAAGGAATCTACATTTAATCCATCTCTAAAAATCATATTTAAAAATCATTGGAAAGGAGGATAAAGTTTATGGGGCATAATCCCATCCGTGTGGAATTTTGGCTGACCATCAAAATACCTTTTGATACCATAAATCTGTTTTAATCTTTAAGAAGTTCTGCACTGAACCAAAAAGGTTTCCAAGTGCGATGGTGCTGAAATGTGTGCAGTCGACCACGGTGTTGAGTCCCGCATCACTCACTGGGTTATCACCCAAGGAAAATAGTACTTTCGACCTCTTGATAATCATGACCATGCAAATGTCTCATTTCTTCTGTGTTCAATCTGACTCACAATTAAATTAGACAGTAAACATAGACATGTGTAAATACCAGATAATATTTCTCAACCTGAGTTTGGGGAACAGAAACCTTTTCAAACCTTTTAATGACAAATAAGCCACTAAGGAAATGCGAAATGTATATGTTGCAACGCAACGCTGCTCTGTTGATGCCTCTGGACACTCGACTGTGGTGGAAATAGGATACTCTAAAAAGACAATGTTGAATAACAAAAATGTAATTTTGCTTAGAAATCGATAAAATGTCTAAATGTTATTAGAACTTATGGATAAGCATCAAGTGTACAGTGGCTGGCCTGACTTCCAAAATATCAGTTCAGTAAATAAACTATGAGCTTAATAGAAAGCTATAACATAGGTGCTAATTACATTCCCCCAAAAACAATGTCATAGAGAGAGTTCTGCATGAGGACATTCCTTTGATGTCTGTATCTCAGAGTACCCAAAAATACTATTTTCTGTTAGGATTAATATTTTTGGGGGGGTTTGGTTGTCTCCTGGTTCTTAGTAAGTGTGCAAGGATTATTAATATTTGTTTAGGTTTTGTCTATCAATTTTCTTTTCTGCATAAATTTCTAGCAAGTATCATGATAGAGAAGAAGGGAAAAGGGAAGAGAAGACGAGAACAAGATGAAAGTAGATGAGGCAAGAAACTCTCACTTATATACATCAGTCAACTGATATAAACACTAATGACTGCTTAATTTTGAGATGCTGGGGTTTTCTTTTTTCTTTCTCTTCAGCTCACATTCTGTTTTTCTTGGTTGTGTTGTTATTTAGTCTATATTTTGATTTTATTATAGACTCTACACATTCCTGAGAGTAGCCATTTCATCCTGTCTTTTGAATTTCTGGTACTCAGAATAAATGAAAGTAAATGTCCAAAGAGGCTTAGCAATAACGTACTAAACATCCTTATCAGATAGGCTTAAAAATAAGCAAAAACTAAGAGTTCATCAAATGAGAGGCTGTGTAGTTGATGTTGAGTTTTAGACTCTCAAACTCCATTTGTTTTGTTTTGTTTTTTAAGATATAGGATGACCAATTGTACTAGAGCAACATGAAGACCAACAGAAGTTATTGTTGGGAGTTTTCTTCTGAGAAATAAATTTGCTTTCTTAGCTTTCAATGTCCTGCCTAAATAATATGACTTAAGAATGTAGGGCCAGGTGCGGTGGCTCATGTGGTAATTCCAACACTTTGGGAGGCCAAGGCGAGAGGATCACAAGGTCAGGAGTTCAAGACCAGCCTGGCCAACATAGTGAAACCCCGTCTCTACTAAAAATACAAAACTTAGCCAGGCATGGTGGCACGCGCCTATAGTTCCAGCTACTTGGGAGGCTGAGGCAGAAGAATTGCTTGAACCTGGGAGGCGGAGGTTGCAATGAGCCAAGATCTCGCCACTGCACTCCAGCCTGGGCGACAGAGTGAGACTCCGTCTCAAAAAAAAAAAAAAATGTAAAGCTTGCAACTCAATTGTAGCAATTGGTTGCAGACCTGATGTTAGACCACTGCCCAAATCTGCACTGTGTAATGTAAAGGACAGTCTTCTGAGGTCAGAGCTATTATTACGGCTTTATTTGCCATATGTTTAAGTGGGAAGTGCATATTTCAGTCAAGTTCACTCATTTTTGTTTCCAGTCTACTGTGCTGCTTTTGTAACTAGAAAACATTTTTAAAATAAAAATGTTAAAAGCAGAATCAATGGAAATAATGAAAATATCTATTCAGTCGTGATTCCCCATACAGGTTAACATGACTGGAAAGAAACCTGTAGCAGTGGAGAGGTATTGCACCTCCCTAAACGTCTTTCAGTTCCCAGGTGGGAATGGAAAGCAACCTTTCTCATACACTTTCTCCTTTTTCTCTGACTATAATGTTTTCTGATTCTATTTAGGAGTGTGTCTAATTGATTTTTCCAGTTTAGCAAGACTTGCCCTGAGTCATTTCCTGTTTCCTCTTTTGCTGCGAACAGAGACATCTCTGCAGAAAGCCTTTCCATCCCATGATAGCTTCCTTGGACCGAGCATATTCAAGTCCAGCGCTATGCAGCCAGGAGGGTGTCTGCTCCCTTAAGAACCCACCTCATAGTGTGGAAATAAACAAACAAGGGAAGGCAATTCAATAACAAAAGAAAGCAACTCAAAAGCTAAGGAAACCTAGCTTCAAAGTCCCTGAAAAATAAACACATTTATGAGACAGTCCTATTTGACACTTTTTTAAGAATTTTTGATAACATTTCATAAAATAGAAACCTAGGTTCTCACCCTTTTTCTATTGTTTAAAAATCTTTATTGTTGAAATTAAAAGAAATTAGAGAATAAAGGTCTGTTCTTTATTAAGAAAATAATTTAGAGTACATCCATTTCTTGACCTCACTACTCATTATATTTCCATTAAGGGCATTACTTTCCACTTGGCATAGCAGTCACTTGAATACTAAACTTGTGCTCAAAAAAGAATACACCCACCTTTTATTTTTTAATTCCTACTAAATGAAAATTAGTTCATTTTGGCTTACATTTCTTTAAGCTGATTTTGAAAATAGCCTTTTTGATGTGTACTCAGGCCAATAAAACCTCCCTACTACCCAGGGCCATTCCAATCCCTTCTCAAAAATCATGCTCTTGGCCAGGCAGGTGCGGTGGCTCACGCTTGTAATCCCAGCACTTTGGGAGGTGGAGGTGTGCGGATCATGAGGTCAAGAGATCGAGACCAGCCTGGCCAACATGGTGAAACCCCATCTCTACTAAAAATACAAAAATTAGCTGGGCATGGTGGCACGCGCCTGTAGTCGCAGTTACTCGGGAGGCTAAGGGAGGAGAATCGCTTGAACCCGGGAGGCAGAGGTTGCAGTGAGCTGAGATGGGGCCACTGCACTCCAGCCTGGTACAGCAAGACTACGTCTCAAAAAAAAAAAAAATCACACTTTTACCTGCCACCATGACAGTGTCATGGTTTCCATTTTTCTTTTCTTCTCTCTCTTGCTTTTCTTTTCTTATAATCTGTCAGTAGATTGGCAACAGAAAAATATGAATATATCATGTGATATTAAATACACTTAAAAGGACATGATTTTTGTGTTTTTTTTTTTTTAACGTGCACGCAGTTCAAAGGGGAAAAAGTACTCACGTTTTTTAAAGTAGTCAAGAGAACACTGCACATGTGTGGGAGGAAGCTGTGTCTCACTTGTTATAACCGGGTTAAGGATTTTACTCTATTACTATATAGCAGACAATAAAAGCAGTAGATATTGATATCTAAAAAAATCACCATTTAATCGTCTTAAACTTCACACATATAAGTAAACTTTTAAATTGATTGTCCTTCGTGCAATAATTCACTTATTGTTCAGCCCACAGAGTTTAAAATTATATATACTTCCTAAAGATGAGTACAGGCAGGAGGAAAAAAAAAAGGTAGCTTGTAACAGCTACAGCTTCTCTATTACTATCTACCATGAATACCTTCAACTGAAAAACACCTCACAGAAACAAAATAAAGGTAAAACTATGTATTAGTCCATTTTCACACTGCTGTAAAGAACTACCCAAGACTGGAAATTTATAAAGGAAAGAGGTTTTATTGACTCACAGTTCCACATGGATGGGGAGACCTCAGGAAACTTACAATCATGGAGGACAAAGGGGAGGCAAGGATCTTCTTCACATGGCAGCAGGAGAGAGAAGAGCTAGCAAGAGCAGGGAAAACTGCCTTATAAAACCATCAGATCTCATGAGAACTCATCACTATCATGAGAACAGCAGGGGGGCAACTGCCCCCATGATTCAGTCACTTCCCACCAGGTCTCTCCCTCAACATCTGGGGATTACAATTCAAGATGAGATTTGGGCAGGGACACAAAGCCTGACCATATTAAACTGGTTTGTGTGTTTTGCAAACACAACTTCAGAAAGCAGCCCCTAACTCACCTTTCCAATTCCCTCTCCTGTTACCATGCACATAGATGACAGGCTTGAGGGCCATTTGCAAAGATTCCAGTTCTCCACTGGCTTTGTGGGAGGGTTGTGTTTCCTATCATGTCATGTGACTTGCTGTGGCCAAAGAAATGGAAGCACAAAGGAAACACATAATTTAGCAGAAGTTTTAAGCGCCGCATTCTCTAGTCCCTGGGAAGTTCATGTCCAAATCGAGCCTCCATTGGCTTCTTCTACCCGTGAGTGACAACAATGAGTAGTGCCCCCGCTTTGCAGATTCACAATGAACATGTAACCTGAGGAAAAAAATAAACTTTTGTGCTAATTCACCAAAATTTTGAGATTTGTTTGTCTTACTGCAACTTAACCTCCCCTAACACATCATCTCATTTAGAAACATAAGCGATCCCACAGGAGGCAGCAAAAGTTAGCAAACATCATAACAGGTTTATTCAAAATAGCATGAATAAAATATTACTAAAAATCTATAAAAAGTAAGTTGTTCTTATTAAAATCTAAAGATTTTAAAATCTAAAAATCCATTGCTTTTCCTTAAAAAGTAAGTTTTTAAATTATAGTGATGTTTTCAGCAGTAGTGTTAAAATAGTACTTAACAGTAATAACGATAAAATTTACATTTGCATAGCACCCCAAAACAGTTTAAATCTGCGTTTTATGTTAATTTGATTAGAATTGAGGGATGTCTCATCAGAAGGTTCTCAGTTTTATCATGTGTGTTGTACAGAAAATATGACAATTCCAATGTCACACTAATTGAAACACATTTTGAAAAACAATAGGAGAGTAAGTAAAAATATTAGACTTAGTAGAAGGAAATTAAATACTATTTCTATCAAAGAGAGAATATGGTCTTATTCTAGATGTTCTAATGCAATATCTGTAAGAAAAAAAAAAAAAACAATAGCTCTAGGTTAGACTACTTGCCAGAATCCTAGAAATGTCTCAAAGAAATTATTAGGAAGTTAAAGAGCAGTAGCTCAAGGTCTCAGTGTGCACTCACATGAGATGGCAGGGTTGCAAATCCCTGCTGAATAGTGGGGCTTCATCATGCTTCTCAGGAAAGAAAAATCAGAAAGAAAGCCACCAAGAGCTATCACCTACGAACCACGAGATATGGCAGTGTCAAAAAGTGACTGGTCATTCTACAAAGCTGGATAAACGACACTTCTCTGATGGTTTCAGGCAATGTAATTAACAGAAAAATGTGTGAACTTGAGGAAATACTAGGACCCAAAGCCATCCAATAGCATTTAAAAACTCAATAAAGGAGACAATTATATATTCTTTTGGCAAATATTAGTCGTGTGCGTGTGTGTGTGTGTGTGTTCTACACAACTGACCATTATTTGACAAGTATTTTTTGAGGACTTTTTTTTTTTTTTTTTAAGAGACAGAGTCTCGCTCCATCACCCAGGCTGGAGTGCAGTGGCGTGATCTCAGCTCACTGCAACTTCTGCCTCTCAGGTTCAAGCAATTCTCATGCCTCAGCCTCCAGAGTAGCTGGGACTCCAAGCACGCGCCACCACACCAAGCTAATTTTTTTCTTTTAATTTTAATAGAGATGGGGTTTTACTATGTTACCCAAGCTGGTGTCAAACTCCAGAGCTCAGGCAATCGTCCCACCCCAGCCTCCCAGAGTGCTAGGATGACAGGCGTGAGCCACCACACCCAGTCTATTGAGGACTTATTGTGTAAAATTTTCTCCACTTGGCAGCATGGACGGTACAAAGATGTTTGAAAAACATCCTGTGGTCTCCCAAAAGTTACAACCTATTCCATGCCAAGCACTCTAAGCCCTGGAGACAGATATAGGCCCTGGAGAGCACTTTGGAACCCAGCCCATGCTTTCATTATAGTAAAGATTTCATAGATACTTACTTGAATGAATAAACAATCATTTAGAATTAACCTCCTCCATTTATTTCTTATATATAAAACCTCAATTTCTAAACATTTGCTGTTCTTCATTTAGGATATTCACAAAGCCCCTGCAATATAGTTTTTCTCTACTCTACAGCATGATGAAATATTGTGACAACTTTATAATAATCATGATATTCCAATTTAAAAGCATATAGCCAGAGCTTTATATATGAAAAAAGTGAATAGTTGACCTACAGATAGCCAAGAGGGAAAAACGAGTTAAGGAGATAATGATTTTAAGCAAGAACATTGAAATAAAATATCCCATAAGGTTCTGAGTCAGCTCATGTTCATTTTCTTGTTAATTAGAAACAGTGAGGACAAATATTTGGTAGTTTAGTCTTTAACTTGCATAGTCTTTCTATATTTAAAAATACAGTCCAGGCACAGTAACTCATGCCTACAATCCCAGAACTTTGGGAGGCCGAGGCAGGTGGATCACTTGAGGTCAGAAGTTCAAGACCAGCCTGGCCAACATGGTGAAACCCCATCTCTACCAAAAATACAAGAATTAGCTGGCCGTGGTGGTGCACACCTGTAATCCCAGCTACTCAGGAGGCTGAGGCAGGAGAATTGCTTGAACTCAGGAGGCAGAAGTTACAGTGAGCCAAGATTTTGCCATTGCACTCCAGCCTGGAGACAGAGCGAGACTCTGTCTCAAAAAAAAAAAAAAATAGGGAAAAGTAACATTTATAAAGTTTCAACCATATAACAGATGGCATATATGTGTATATACACATGTATATTTTTATTTTTTTCTCTCATCTCTTCCTAATACTGGCCTTATGGAAAATAAAGCCTACTATCTAGATGTTTCAGGATGCAAATAATTAACTAACAAGAAAACCTACTCACACTGGCATATATCAAGAAGTCCTGGTTGGTTAATTCAGTTGCTCGTCAATGTCCTGAAAAACCTCAGTCCTGTTCAAATGTTTTTTGAGTCCTACTCAGCCTATCACCGTGGTTTAAGAGGCCATCCCTGCTGTCTGCTGTTCTAGACAGGCACAAAATCTTTCAACAACAAAAAAAGAAGAAGGGTATCTCTTCTGCTGTATCTTTTAACCAGCAAGAAATAATCTCCCCTCCACCCCACCCCTCATTAGCTAGACTGGGTCACACGCCCTTCCCTAAACTTTTCACTGGAGAAGGGAACGGGGGCCCTCATGAATGTTGTAGTTGATTATGGTTTAGCAGAGGTCTGGGGCTCTCTGAGCATACAGCTACACAGAAAACAGCTGGCCAACAAGGCACAAGCTGGACATGAAGGGTAGGAAACCAAGAGTGTCTGCTAGCAACATATCCCTTTTCATGTACAGTTAATCTTCTATCCACAGATCAAGATTTGAAAATTCGTCTACTGGATAAAATTTACTTTAACCCCCAAATCAGTACTTACTGCATCCTTTCAGTCATTCACAGACTTACGCAGCAGGGAATGGGGGTTGGTAGAAATGAAAATTTTGAGTCACCCAACGGGCATTTCCATTCCAGACTGAGGCCGAACAAGGTGATTCTGTGCCTTCTTGTTTCAGCTCCCAAACTATAAACAAGTGTCCTTTTCACAGTCTACTTAAAAGTGGCACGCTTTTTGGAGTTTTGAGCTTTGTTGGTGATTTCACCATTTCACCAAGCATGGTACTGAAATGCTGTCTAGTGTTTCTGAGTGTAAGAAAACTGTAAAGTACTTTATGGAGAAAATATGTGTGTTAGAGAAGCTTCATTTAAGTATGCGTTATAATGCTGTTACCCACGAGTTCAATGTTAATGAATCGACAATATATACTTAATAAGGTGTTTTTAAACAGAAACACCTGTAAAACAAGGTTATATATTGATCTGTTGACAAAAGTGTTGTAACCAGAGGCTCACAGGAACCTAATCCTGTATTTTCCCAAGGAGCAATGATTCGATATTTGCTAATTCAGTGTTTATGGAAAATGTACAGAGCATAACTACCACAAATAATGAGAATCAATGGTGAAGAGAAACTGTGATTTAACTAGGTCAAGTCACATGGCCATAAATAACAAGCCAGACCTCAAATCCAAATCCTATCCACCTTGTTAAGGACTTTAAATTTTATTCTGAAAGCAGTGGGAAGACATTAAAAGGTTCTAACTGGGGAGAAACATGAACAGATCTGCATTTCTGGAACATTGTTATGGATACAGTCTGGAGAACAAACGAAGAAGTAGGGAGGTTGGATTTAGGGAGACCAGGTAAGAGGGTTATTGCACTAATTCAGACAAGAAGTGACAATAGAGAGTGACAGTAGAATAGGAAGCCAGGAACTTAAGTATCAAATTGTTTTCCTCTGAGACAACAGAAAATAGACCTTGGCCAAAATGTAAACACTAGCCACCAAGAAAGGATGTAAAAGGAACATAATTTTTACGAAGGAAGAGTCAAGTTTGAGAGAGAAAGGGGTGCAGAGTACAGATTTTTAAAAAGGAAAGAATTGTCCCATTTCAAAATATGGCTAGGTACTGGCTAAGTCTGGCCCATTTTCAGATTCTCATCTGAAAATCTTAACAAGAACCTAGCTCATAGCCTCTATTAATATTAAGACATTAAATTTTAATAAGTGGAAAATGGGATTCTTAAGGTTTCTCAGTTGCATCCTATAGGGAGCTGACCAGTCATTTGTGATTTTACATATCTCTTGGTTAAAGCAAAGTTACAAATACATAACTGAGTATTGGGATGCATTATGCAAATGTTTGACTCTCCCTGGAGGACTTTGTGTCCCCAAAGAAATGAGTGAATTGCAATTGAGTTATAAATATATTTCCACCTGTGATCAACAGTAAAATTTTCCTTATGTAGTATTTAAAGTAAAAGCCTTCAGAACCATTGTACATTAGAATGAAGGTAAGTAAAACGAGAATTACGATCTTCATTTATACTATCATGTCACATTTTCATTGAGACACTGTAGAATTTGAAGTATTGTCAAGTCTGCATGGAATTGTATGAAAGAAGGAAAGAGTAATAAGAGAAAGAAAAATATCAATGCCAAAGGATGGTAAAGGCTAGAATGTTGGGGCGTGTACAATCTGTTCCTTATCAAGTGTTGATATCCAGTGCATTGTCATTTCTAGTTCTTATGACATGTGAACGATTTTAATTATCTCATGATAAGAATTTCATAATACATTTTGCTGTACAATATTCAAAACATTAATGCTAATATATGGCCACATGCAAAGCCTTACATGTCATACATTTGAATCACGTGCTGTATATTATTATACATAAGTGATAGGCACACACTTGGATGACCCACTATACAATAAACTTTTAAAATAAACTGTCCTTTGAAACTCAGCCTTTCAAAGGGCTCATAAAAGCCTTTCAGGCAATACTGTCAGTTAGAAAGATAATCAAAAAAACTAGAAATAAGTGAATCATTTTAGAGTATTTTTCAAGTGTTGAAATTAGAAAGAGGCACATAGTAAGGATGTATTCAGTTTGATTCTTCCTACTGTTGACTATGCTGCACATGGTTTGTGCTGAGTATCCCAAAACTAAAATAGGATATTTTTCATATTATATTTATGAAAGTGTTAATAAATGCTAGCTGCTACACCAGACTTTCTTTTTTTTTTTTTTTTTTTTTTTTTTTTTTTTTTGACAGAGTCTCGCTCTGTTGCCCAGGCTGGAGTGCAGTGGCACAGTCTCAGCTCACTGCAACCTCCACCTCCCAGGTTCAAGCGATTCTCGTGCCTCAGCCTCCCGAGTAGCTGGGATTACAGGCGTGTGCCACCACGCCTGGCTAATTTTTGTATTTTTTTTAGAAAAGACAGGGTTTCACCATGTTGGCCAGGCTGGTCTTGAACTCCTGACCTCAGGTGATCCGCCTGCCTTGGCCTCCCAAAGTGCTGAGATTACAGACGAGAGCCACTGTGCTTGGCCTGTAAACATATTTCTCACATCAGAATCAGTAAGAGTCTTCTTGGTTGGGTAGCCTTCCACATGGTCACTTCTTCCATCTTAGGCCATGGGAGTGCTCTTCACTCAGCCGGTAGGTGGTGGAAGACACTGTGGGGTGCCAAGGCTCACCTGTTTCTTAATCACACTGGTTTGGCTGTCACTCCTCTTCATATTCCATTGGTGAGAACTAGTCACATAGCCTGACCTAGGACTGAGACTGGGACATGCAGCCAGGAGCTGAGCTGTCACTGCCCAGTAGCATCTCCTCACTGGACAGGCCCCATAGACTGCTCAGCTATGTGTCTCGGCCACATGTGACATTTGCATTTCTTGCCAATATTCTTTGCCTTTAAAGATCCAAAATTGGTTATGGAGGGAGTCAAATCACCATACATATTCCATATGCAATGAAACTTTCTTGTTATGGGACAGAAATATCTGTGATGCCTCTTTCATACTAAATTAGACTTCAATTGCATCTGGATCTTTATATAAAATAGTGCTGCTACTACTAATAATTATTATTATCATTGAAAATTGGGGTAAAAAAAAGAAAAAATATCAGAATATAAAAAGAATATTCTTCCTTTCCCATCCCACTCTTCACTCCTCTCGAAAGTTTCAAATTTATAATGAAATGTATTTTCCCATTTTCTAAACAGAAAATCATAGGAATATTAGGTACTACACGAATGAAAAGTCCTTTATCCATCAGGGCCTCCATTAGCATCTTGTAGGCTGAGGCCCAACAGGATAGTGACCTTGTTTATTTACACTTTTTCAGATCTTACCAAATTGCAAACCAAGATTCACACCAACATCCAGACCCCACTGATCAGAACACAGTTTGCTATTACTATAACTTTCAGCTGTTGTGAAATCTGAGACTTGTCTTTTTTCCTCAGTGCTAGAGAATAAATCATGTGCCAAGGAAAGTAAGTGCTTATAATTTCATTTCATATCAATGGGGCTGTAAATATAAGATTTGTGTGAACTATAAATGTAAAAATTACCTGGAAATGATCCTAAAGATATTTTAAGTAAAGAAGAAAAAGAAGGGATCTCATTTAAGATGAGGCAGACATCTCATAGACAGCAAGAAAGAAATAAGATGTCTTTGGGCTCAAAAGAAATTATGCTGAACTTCAGCAATAGGATCAGAAGAGAAGAAATAATGCAAAAATGTTGAGGACCACGCTGCCATGATTAATAAAAAACATTCTTTTTCTTGAAAGACCATTTAACTGACGTAATGATACTCCTTTAAAAGCATGGTAATGATGGGTGGTGATGCAATGAGGTAAGGGATGTTTCTTATGAGTACTTTCTAATAGGCACCCGGCAGATGATACTGGGTAAGGATTCTAGGGCTGATGGACAGAAAACATAACATGGAAAGAAATGAAACAAGATGTTTTTTATCCCAGCATGGAGAAACTCTATGGTTCAAATGGAATTCAGATCTAACAAAAAGCAGGGATCAACCTTAAACAATAATTTTGCCTCCTTCACATTGTCCTGAAATTATTTCAAGCCTTAATTAGAAAATCTGAAAAAAGGAACTTTCTGGAGAATAATGAGATTCTCCCTAGTCTGCTGTTTTTGGAGGCACCACCCTGAGTATGTCTCACATTGCTCCTAGCTAGTTTACAACATGGATTGAATAGAAAGAACACTTTCAGATTGAAAATGGCATTTATTGGTTATCAAGATAACCCTTTCTTTAACAGCTCAATTTGGCATGCCTTTGTTTTTAATTTAAACTGAATGAAAATTAATTTTGTCTTCAAATTTTCATGCCACTTTCTGGGATGATTGGAGCTACCCTGGAGGGTGATGAAACTGGAGATGGGGATCACAGTTTTGGTCTCTAGAGAGAAAGAAATAATTTCCATATTTCAAAATCATTTCATTAGTGAATATAGATGGTCTGGATTTTCAAATCTAGGGAACTAACCATATGCTCCCTCTCCTCTGAAGAAAATAGTGGCAAATTGCCACCATCCAACCCAGAAAGAATGGAAGATATCTAGAAACAAGGAATTATAAATACAAGCCTACTTCATTATGCATATTATTTAATATAAATGGATGGTCTCTGTGTTAATCGCAAAGTTTTTTCTTTCCCAAAAGTTAGCGAGTAATGTATCCTATCTTGGAGTTACTAATAGGTCAGGCAGAAGCCAAATGCAATTCAAGAGAGAATGACTGAGAAAGAAAAATGCATTGCAAAATGGCACTATAATGTACAGGAAAGAGTCACTCTACTATGTAGCAGCCTTACCTGTGATTTCTATTTTGTGGATTGTTAATAGGACCTCGGGTTCCAGTGATGGCAATATTCACTGGGGACCAGATTCACTCCCTAGGTTCAAATTAACAGCACAGTGTTGCAGATTTCTCGAGAAAGATATATAAGGCTGTCAAAAACACAGCATATTGTTAAATCATGTGTTAAAAATAAGTTCCAGAAGTCACAGTAAAAAAAAAATTCAAAAACTGTAATTGTGCAATGGAAATATTATTCCTAGAAAACACACATTGTTTTCCAAAACAAAATCTGCTCTCTGTGTAACATTTTTGTATTAAGCCTTTTTAAAAGCATTCTTGCATGGAATTCAGAGAATTTAAAGCAACTTTCACACATGATCTGAAAGCTCCTGGCATCCCTAGGAGTCCAGGAAGGTAAAATTATATTCTCTTTACTATTTTATAAAGAAGGAGGCAGTGAGCAGATAGATTACGTGGGTTATCCAAAGTCACAAGGCAGAAAAGGGGCAGACCCAGGTATCAAACCTCTAACGACCAATTCTGTCCTAGAAAGGGGCCACCAAGCGAACACGTGATCTAACGTTGTCCTCTTACCTTCCCACTTCTCTAAAGCATGCTTGGCCCAAGCAAATAGAGCCCTGATTCATTCTTAAATTTGTAAGGTAATAAGCCTAAAACGAATTAAAAGGCATATCATGCCATGGCCTTGGGAAAAAACATCCTCTCTCATTGCCGTTACAGAGAGAGACGAAATCATATCAAAGTAAGCCAGACAGTTGAAAGGGAATAGGAAATAAAAAGGAAGTGGCCAAGCGGTGCTGGTGGCAGCTGTCTGAAAGGGAACATCAGCAGGATCAAATAACAGAACTTTCTTAGTTGATTCTTGAAAGCACAAACTAAAAAAAAAAAAAAAAATCATACACACTGTTATGCTGAATCTAAATACACATCCACACACACAGTTTAGTTTTAGAAGGTATAATGGTGAGCTTCTCAATGGCAGACCAGATTAAGCACCAAAACTAAATGCCTTTGAAGTCAGCCTAGACAGTCACTTACATGGCCTAGTTTGAGATGAGCTGAAGGCTCACGTCTCTTCATGCCTGGTATGGGGCCTGAAATCTCCTCCAGTAAAGCCATTTCTGAGGATTCTAGCTCAAATGCAGGTATATGACAAGGGAGGGATAATATTAATCTAGATTTACCCATTATTACAATAGTTTGTCAGGATATCTGTGAAAGAATCAGGCATTTTAAAAAGCAGAGAAGGGAAAACAGTAAGGAAAGGTCCAGAGGCCTTTACGGCACCTACAGAGTGTACGTCCCACCATTAGGAAACCCAGGCAATTGCTCTATTTGGTTGAAAGACTGTCAGTGTATATGGATGCTGGAGAGCAGCCTGCTAGGTGGTATAATAATGAATTCGTTTGGCTCCAAAGCAGCATGTCAAGTAAGTTGGTCTAACCATATGCAATTGATGACTTGTTTGAAATATTTCAGAGTGCCCCTTACCCCTCAACCCCTCCATTCCTACCCCCAAGTGAACGACTTGAGTCATTCTTCCAGGAAGCCATAGCCTAGGTGAGATAATGGGTCCCGTTTTATGTTCCAAGTGCCCATATAGAAACAAATCCCACTTAGAATCTTGTTATATAGAGTACTTCAGAAAGTTGGACAAAAACAACTGCAGGACAATTATTGTACAAATCAGTGTGCCCATTGACTACCACAGCTCAACATCTATAAAAAGAACCAGAGGTAGTCAAAAAAAAAAAAAAAAAATCAAAGCAGGATCCTGTAGCTCAGATAATCAAAATAGAAGAGTTAGCCTTAAAAACAGAACCAAAGTGCTTGCAAAGGACCCATGTACAAGTGAGACTCTTCTTTGGTTCTTAGTCTATTTCCAGAACCCTCAACCTTGAGTTGTTAAAACAATCAAGTGGCTGGGCACGGTGGCTCATGCCTGTAATCCCAGCACTTTGGGAGGCCAAGGCAGGCAGATCACCTGAGGTCAGGAGTTTGAGACCAGCCTGGCCAACATGGTGAAACCCCATTTCTACTTAAAAAAAAAAATTAGCCAGGCGTGGTGGTGCGCACCTGTAATCCCAGCTACTCGGAAGGCTGAGGCAGGGCAGACAAATCACTTGAATCCAGGAGGCAGAGGTTGCAGTGAGCCAAGATCACGCCATTGCACTCCAGCATGGGCAAAAAGAGCAAAACTCTGTCTCAAAAAAATTAAATAAATAAACAAAGTATGGTTCAAGGTGAGGGGTCTTTTCGCCCTTCACATACCAGTTCTAATGATGAGAGGAAGAAAAATGCAAACATATACGCAAAATTGGAAAAAAAAAAACCATGTGATTTCCCCATCCATTGTGTAAATATTTCTTTCCTAGGAGAGCATACTCAACCCACTACTTTCTTTAAAACTAGAACTAGAAGGGAGAGGGGAGTATTTAGACCTGTGAATTAAACATATTAGCTTGAAGCTGGGCCTCTAACCTGAAAATAAATAAACCAACAGAGTCAAAAACAAATAGCAATTAACTTTGAAAATAATTAACTGGAACATCTGTACTATCAAAGTGACCCTTTCTTCAGGAACAAATCCTAGAAAATATAAAATAGTATAAATTGCTTAATTAGATTTTTGGCTGTCTAGGTAAGTGTGTTTTTTACTTCAATTTATTATGCTTCCATGATGGTAGCCTATTTTTCAACACTGTATATAGTACCCTATGTACTTAGGAAAAGGTAATTACTTGAAAATTAGTGAATAGATAATGATAACTCATTCATTATTATTGATTCTGATTATAGAGAGTGATGTAGAGAAGGAAAGTAGAGATATAATGACCCAAGTTTTATTTCTGACTCTGAATTTGATTATACATAGTCATTGAATTTGACTGGAATTCTAGTCAGCCTGTTTTTGAGATATAGAATGGATAGATCATGAGGCCAGGCACAGTGGCTCATACCTGTAATCCCAGCACTTTGGGAGGCCGAGGCAGGTGGATCACCTGAGGTTGGGAGTCCGAGACCAACCTGACCAACATGGAGAAACCCCATCTCTACTAAAAATACAAAATTAGCCAGGCATGGTGGTGCATGCCTGTAATCCCAGCTACTCGGGAGGCGGAAGCAGAAGAATCGCTTAAACCTGGGAGGCGGAGGTTGCAGTGAGCTGAGATCGTGCCATTGCACTCCAGCCTGGACAACAAGAGCAAAACTCTGTCTCAAAAAACAAACAAAGAAACAAAAGAATGGATAGATCGTGAACTATAGCCAACCATTGAAATAACATTGTGTCAGGTAAAGATGTATGAAGTCTCATTACTAATGGTTGCAACATTTGAAATATATCTGTAATCACCATGTCTATCATTGGTTCAACTTTTTAAGTATCATTAGATCATGAAATAAAGTATTTTATTTCCTCTTGACTGATAGCAAATGAAACTGCCAATATACACATGAGAAGTAGATGCTTTCCAAAATTTTGTTATGAAGGCCATTGAAGAAAGTTAGCTATAGGATGACCTTCACCATTGGAAATCATGAAGCTGAATATCTCTGCTTTTCATACAGTTTTCTGTATCAAAAGATACCATCCAAGGTGGGATGCGGAGCATGGACATAGGCATGATTTAATCAAAAGTCCTTGGTGCCTAGTCCAGCATTTCAACTTAAGAATTCAAATCCAGTCTCTGCATTTTAAAAATCAAATCCATTCTCTACGGAAAATTTTTACAAAACATCTTGGCACCTGCATTGCTGAAAATAGAACCAATTCTATTTAAGAGAAAGTAACAGCAAATCGGAGATTTGTGCAATGGCAATAAAACGCAGTTAAGTGTGGTAGTGCCAGGTTTTAGTCCACAGACAAGGGGTTTTTATAGCACATTATAAAGTTCTGAAAGGAGAGGTTATTAGAGGATCAGTTCCCTAACTGTGTGGTTCTAGCAGGCTCTGCTCTGTTGCACTCTTTATTCTCCTGCTGGGAGTTCCGTCTTCTGAGGTGCAAAGCACATCCATCAGCCTTTTCAGCTGTTAAGGCACTTCATTTATTCTAGTGTTCCCTTCATCTTATTCCCTTGCCCCTGCCCCCATGGACCTCAGAGATCTACAGTTCTCTTTGGCCTCTTAACAGGTGTAATGGATCACCAGCTGAATGAAGCATCATCACATAGCCCTTCTTGCTCAGAAATTATTTCTGTTCTGCTTCAAATATTCTTCCTTTACACTTGGTGCCTTTCCTTTTGCTGCTGTTCTTGCTGTGTAGTCACCTATATGCAAAGAGATAAAACTTAGTCCAAAATACTGGTTTGCCTTTTGAAGTGGTCTCTTGAATATTGGTCTTTTGATCTTTTCCAACTGACAGTAGATATATAGAGAAAGATATATCTATATACAGACATATATCTATATATAGATATGTGTGTAGATACAGATATATGTGTATAAAGATATATGTATATATAAAGATATATGTCTGTATATAGATATGTACATCTCCAATGTGCAAATATTTGCTCAAGAATAATGTGTTATTATTATTGCATGTCTATTACTTTCATAGATTATTATTTAACTATTTGGAAAATGAGCCCGATTATTAGTATTACAATCCTTTCATGTTGAAAGTCACTTTCCTGGCTCACGCCTGTAATCCCAGCACTTTGGGAGGCTGAAGCGAGAGGATCACTTGAGGCCAGGAGTTTGAGACCAGCCTGGTCAACATGGCGAAACCCTTTCTCTACTAAAATACAGAAATTAGCCAGGTGCAGTGGCACACACCCATAGTCCCAGTTACTCTGGAGGCTGAGGAATGAGAATCGCTTTAACCCAGGAAGTGGAGGTTGCAGTGAGCAGAAACCACACCACTGCACTCCAGCCCAGGTGACAGAGCAAGACTCTGTCTCAAAGAAAAAAAATGGAATGAAAGTCACTTTCCTAAACATAACATTCAGTTTTAGGCAAAAAGAAAGCTACTAAATTTTGTGAGTAACCAGGGAAAATAGGAGGTATCAAAATTCCCCAAAAGAGACAATCCTGAACCCTTGAGATTGTTAGTCACCTTGATGTACTGATGTCCATATGTTCCACACTATTTTCATTAATTAATGATGATCTGGCTGGTCTAATACCTCCAGGAATAACTAAAATATGTACTAGTAGAAACACTGGGTTAGTGGCTAGAAGACCCAGATTCTAGGTTTAGATCTATGTTGATTAATCAGATGGCTTTGGGAAAGTCACCTAAATTCGTGGGGCCTCAATTTCCTTGTCTATATTAAGAGCAGGGTGGAGTAGATCACTATGTCCATTCTAAGTCTAGTACTCTGGGAGAAATTTTCAACTAGCTCCTCCTCCTGTTGTTGCCTGACTGTGTCCTTTATTTGCCTTATATACTCTGTTTTCTGGTCTCTCTGTATATATTCTTCCCTTTCCCCTTTGCTCATTGTTTTTCTTTTTTGCTGAGTCATTGTCTTCCTTTTCTCTAGTCACAGCCCTTTCACTATAAAGCATCTCTCTTTATCAGTTCGGTTTCAGGACAGCCTTCAGTATAGAATTTTCTCAGTTTTTAGCTTTAAAGTCCTGTTGGTTCCCCACTATGACCCAAAATGAAGGTACATTTGGTACCAGGATTAACCCAGCCAGCAGAGTGGCCCCTGAGAATTAAGAAAGATCTTTTAATAGAATAAAGGTCTCAAGAATACCTTGGCCCTCCTCCAGTCTTGTGCCAATCCAGTATTACATAATGGAGAAAATTTAAAAGTTAACCAATTCCTATTGCAAACATGGGAGCAATGTAATTAATCACCAGGACAGATTACTTTTACTTAGGAAAACATATTGAGGGTCTTTCTTGATATGAAAGGTGGGTTCCCTCTACTCCCTGCACTGAAAAATAGAGAACTAAATTGCCTTTGGAAAGATATTTTAAGTTCCTTCCCCTGAAATAGAAAGGGTGAGTGCCCCAAAAATTGAGGAAGAGGGCATATGTAAGGCAGCTTAAGGAAAAGAGGGATTTCTAAACACCACTTAATTTTAGGGGCCAGCCACTGTGGCTCATGCCTATAATCTCAACATTTTGGGAGGCTGAGGCAGAAGGATTGCTTGAAGCCAGGAGTTCAAGACCAGCCTGGGCAATAAAGCAAGACCTCGTCTCTACAAAAAGTAATAAAGTAGCCAGGCATGGTGGCACATGCCTGTGGCCCCAGCTACTCAGGAGACTAAGGAGGGAAGATTGCTTGAGCCCAGGAGGTTAAGGCTGCAGTGAGCTGTGATCATACCACTGCACTCCAGCTTGGATGGCAGAGTGAGATCCTGTCTCTAAGAAAACAAAAAATAAATATAAATATAAATAAACTTTAGGAAACATTTAGACCTAATGTTGAATGTATTCTAACAATTTACTCCCTTCACCACCCGCATTTTCCACTGCTGCATTCTAAAGCTACAGTGAAAATCTGCCGCCCATAATAGGCTTGTGTTGCTGATACTTTATCCAAAAAAATAAAAATAAAAGAGGTGATGTCCAGTATGGGGTGAAATAGTAGGAAAGTGGAGCCTCCAGAACCAAGAGAGACAGGAGTGGGAGGCAGGCTCCAGCACGTACACATGGAAGAGAGGTATGAACTCTCATTGCCATGGGCAGAGCCACCCAGACCACTGCTGAGCATTCTGGGAAGCTCCCAGGGCCCTATCAGTGCATGGCATGGAAGCTGGAATCACTTTATTTGAATAGTGAAGTCTACAACAACCTCTGAAGTCTGAAGACGAGAATCCTTCAAGGTGACAGGCCTTGGCCCATCCCTGAACCCTTTCCCTCATCCTCCCAACAGTCCTTCCCCAATGCCTCATTTTCTTCTACTTGTAGCAAAAACCATTCTTATCAACTCAGAAATGAACATGTCTCCAGAGTATAGCCAAACATGTCTCCAGAATACAGCCATTCAACATCCAGTAATCAAGGAGAAGGATATGCAGCCTTGGGCTGGCTTGTGCCCTCTGCTTGTTTTGTGGATATCTGGTCATCTCCATTGTATATCAGCACTGCTGCAGGAGAGAGGTGTGGGAGTGTCATTATCTTCTAGATCAGATGCCTGTAAAGCTGCACACAGAATTGGGACCAGCTCCAGCTAAACAGTGGGTTGTAGCATCTACTGAGGATTGCAAATTAGGACAAATCATTATCTTCTCCCTCTTTCTCTCTTCCTCAGCTCTTTCTCAATCTTTACTACCCTTTTACACACACACACACACACACACACACAAACACACACACTTAGACTAGAAGAGTCATTTAACATGAGAACATGAACATCTAGAGATATGGTTTGGCTATATCCCCACCCAAATCTCATCTTGAATTGTAGCTCCAATAATTCCCATATATTGTAGGAGGGACTTGGTGGGAGATAATTGAATAATAGGGGCAGTTTCCCACATGTGTTCTCATGGTAGTGAATAAGTCTCACGAGATCTGATGGTTTTATAAGGTAAACCCCTTTTACTTGCTTCTCATTCTTTCTTGCCTGCTGCCATGTAAGACATGCTTTTGCCTTCCGCCATGATTGTGAGGCCTCCCCAGGCCTCCCAAACTGTGAGTCCATTAAACCTCTTTTTCTTTATAAATTACCCAGTCTCGGGTATGTCTTTATCAGCAGCATGAAAATGGACTAATACATCTAGTCTTTATATGTTACTTAAGGATGAAATATGTATTTTACTTCATTTTTTCAAAATAGACACAGCTTTTTGTTTTTTATGCTTATCAGTGCTTATCATAAAATAATTAGAAATTGTAGAAATAAAGAAAGAAAAAAATAAAGGTCATTCGAGATGGTACTAGCCAGATGACACAGTTTACATTTTAGGATATAATCTTCCCTGCTTTTTCTAAATATGTTGTTTATTCTTCTCATCAATTACTCATAGAATTTTATACCCTGCTTTTTTCAACTAAATATATATCATGGATCTCTTTTGCTATCAATAGATATCTGCCTTCTCATAGCTAAGTAATATCCCACTTTATAAGTGTACATGAGTCATTTAGCTGTCCCATTTATGAATACTTGTTCTTTTACTAATTTTTCCTATTAAAAATAACACTACAACGTTTAGCCCTGTGTGATTATTGTGTTTGTTGAACAATTTTCTGATATAAAATTCCTAGAAGTGAAATTTTGGTACATAATGTCAAATAACTCTCTAGAAAAAGTAATCCGATTTTTGACCCTGACCAGAATAGTATAAAATAAAAATCCTCCTCCCCACTCTTCTTGCCTACCTTGGACATTGTCAATTATTTCAATTTCTGCTAATTTTGTTGTAATGTGAATTCATTTGATTACTACTGCAAATGAGATTAAAGAGCCTTTCATATGTTAATCAGCCATCTTCACGTCTTCTTATGTGAACTATTTTTTTCACATACTAGAAATATTAGGTCCTTTATTTTATATATTTTGCAAGCATTTTTCCAGGTGGCAAAGGTCTATGTTGTTAAGGCCTGGAGAAATTTTTAATTTTTATGCACACCAATCAAACAATGGTTTTCTCTATCTTCCTGCCTCTTTGATGCCATACTCAGAAATGCTCTGCACAGATCAAGATTGTAAAAATATTCATCTATATTTTCTTTTTGTTCTTTTTCTTTTTCATATGAAAACATTTAACACTTTTCAAATTGGATTCCTGTAGATGTAATTTTTAAAAGCCAAATCGTCAGCAGGTTGCCCAACAAATTTCTCATCTATTCACTATTAAAATGCCATTTGTATCACATATTGAAGTACTATACTTATGTGGATCTTTTTCTAGCACTTCTACTCTGTTGTGTTAATCTATATATCCATGTAATCTGTAGAGGGGTCATGAAGACTCTCTGCTTCTCTTATGCACAATCCCTTCTGGTTTTTCTATACAATACCCACACATTTTTTAACTGTTCTATTTTTATATCCTTCCAAATTTTCTATTTTTGTGTGCTTTCTGCTTCTTGCTGAGGCCCTGCTATGCCCACACTATTTCAATTACAATAGCATTCCATTATGTTTTAATACCAGGAAAGCATTCCTCTCACTATTCTTTTTTTTCTTTCTTTTTTAATGTTTTTCTCATACATTTCTTCATCCAAGTCAATTTTAGAATCATTTGCACTTTCAAAAAAATATCCAGTGCTGTCTTAAAAAGAAAAAAAGTCACTAAAGTGAAAATCAGATTGAGCTGTCTGAAAGTAGAGAGAAATTTTGACAGAGTAGAAAGAGCCAAAACCTGCACTTGAGGTTTGACTCCCAACTAAAGCTATAAATTTGGCAAGCTTTTCAGCTCGTCTGAACCTCAGATCCTCATCTAAAGATGGAATTAATAAAACCTGCGGGTAGCAGGCATCTCACATGCTCCTTGGCCACCCACCATTGGAACCCCATTCCTAAATTTGGAGAATTCTTCACCTAAAACTCTTGCAAGAGGCACCGATAATTCTATAGAAAGCGAATAATGCCGGGAACTCACTCTTCCACCCTCTTTTGTACTGATGCTCAGTCAAGAGATCTAGGTTCTGGCAATCATAGGCACATGCCCTGGTTGGAATTAGTAGCTGATAAGACAAGGAAAAAGGTCCATGAGGAAGAATCTCTAGCCATAAAGGCAGCTTCCACCATGGCTGGAGTCTCAGAGCAGTGGCATCTGTGACATAGGCACACAGTAAGCAGCTGTGGTGTCCTCCCTGAACCTGGCTCTCCAGCTCTACTGGAGATCCCAGAAGGATGTCAATATCTTCTCCTGCTTAAGCCAGCCAGTGGGTTCTGTTGTTTCCAGCTATAAACCCTGCCTGATGCAATCCACCCTGAGATAGTGGAGAATGAGATTGCACAATGAAATGAGGAAAAGCATGCGTTCTCAGTACACTTCTTCCTTCTCACCCTGATCTGTCCACTCATATGTTAATGGACTGCACTAAGGAGCTCCCTTCTGTTCTGGTTTCCAGTTGACTTCAGCCAATAGAGCGCCTCAGCATGAGATGTGATAGAGGAAGGAGAGCTGGGGAAATGTGTTTCTTCTTATTCCTTCAGCTCTCTCTCTCTCTCTCAAGGGTTGCTGTTCACTGACTGCATGGTTCCATAGAGTTAGAATTCCTGAGTCAGCTGTGTCTCTCTGAGTTCCATTTGCCCTTCCGGCTTAGGTGTCATGAATACCATGCCTAGCCTCTTCTGGTTTTTCTTCTATGTGATACTCACACATTTTAAATTGTTCTATTTTTATATCCTTCCCAAATTTGCTATTTTTCCTCTGCTTTCTGTTTCAATCTGGGGCCCCAATATGCAAGCAAAAGCTCCTAGTACAGTACCTGGCTTACAAGAGAACTCCAGAAAATTTCCATGAATAAAGATACAAAATGTATTTCTTTTCTCCTATTCCGTGGATGTGGTAATGCAAGAGAGCCAAGAATTAGATAAGAATTAATTGTATTTGTATCTGCAGCCCTCTGGTACTTTCAAACAAAGGTTACTGGAATTTTCTACCTCCTGAGTCTCAGACTAGAAAATCAAAAGCAGGTCCCTCAAATAGAAATTTTCCCAGTTTAGCATTCCCAGTAGACCCTCATGCCAAAGTTTCTGGAATCTTTGCTAGGGTATGCATTTAGGCATTCCTAAATGTCAGAGTGCACACATGTGCATAGGAATGTCACCAGCACCACCTTCACCACAACCACCTGTTCCCTGCTCTACTCACCTCTCAAATCTAATGGGCATCTATCATAACCATCAAACCCCCCCCCCTTCCTGCCCCCATTCCCATTCCACTCACCAGTACTCAAGTGTAGCTTTGGATGGATTACAGCAATCTATCAAACCGACTCTGTGGAGCAGTAAAACTTCCCTTCAAACGCTCTTTCTGTATTTATATAATAAATGATCATAGATGCTCCTTGACTGTCCAGTTTTTTGTATCAATATATGAGTGTGAAGTGCAATTAGCCACTGAAATAAAATTGGTAACGAATGCTAATTACTTCATTCTATGGGTTTTGGGGTAATGTATTCCAAGGCTTTTCTCATTACTTTGAGAAATTGAGAGGCGGCTCTATAGTGATCTACAGAAATTCTGAAATGTACTTAAAGCATCAGACATTAGCTGAAGCTCCGTATAATTGGATCTGTTCTGCACCCCTTGCATATAAGTTTTCTTGATGCAGAGCCCTGAGTGCATAAAGAAAAGAGAACGTGGAAAGAAGAGCAGCTTCAATCTGCTTTGCTGTCATTTGGATCTTTTGAGTTCTGAATTCTTTTGGCAGCTCTAATATAACAGAAGAGCTTTTCCTTCGGTGACTATAAAATCCCAATTTGGAATGTTTTTCTCACAGACTTATGTGAACGTTGCCAATGGCTACTTTTCACAAAATTAATTCTCACCCTCAATAATGATTTACAAAAGTTTACTGAAGTACTGATAGTAAATATTAGGAACTGTAAAACAGATATCTTTGCCACCGAAGAAAAGTGCTTTCTCTATGTACACAAATGTTCAGGAATCAAACACAGTTTCAGTAGATGTTGAAATAAATTTTGAGAAACAAAAAACATCACTTCTTATAATTTATTATACTCTGCGTTATTATCAGTAATTCCTGTCACAACAAAAGTAAAATGAAATCACTCTATAGGGACAGAAAATTCCTGACATAAGGAGGATGCTGGTTGTGGGAAATACACAGAAAACAGAAAAGCTTTTTCTATCAGGCATGTTCTACACCTGAAGTAAAGCTAGATTCTGGTCCCCCCGCTCTGCCACTAATAGACCTCTGGAAAAGTCACCTGACTTCCCTTAATCGCTCTTATCTGAATAATGACTGAGTTAGCCTAAATTATTTCAAAGAGCCCTCCCAGTACCAATCGTTGTTTGTTTTATAATTTCCTAAATATCCAGTAAATTTTGTCAATGGGGAATCAAACTAGATCAAATTTAACCTCTCCTATTCTTTAGCAGTCAGGATTTTAAAAACTCACTTTATTTGAAGGTTTGCTTCAACAATAACGATTACATTTGAAAGTAGTAATCAGAAATCAAAGTTTCCATCACATAATGCATGTTTTGCTTTCGTGCCAAGATATCTGTCATAGCACTGGTAAGGAGACACTTCTTAATAGGTAGCACCTCCCCTAGTGATGTGCAGTGTCCAGCAGGAATGGTCTGAAAAAAATGCCCACTTTTCCTTAAATCCTATTCTGGTCACAAAATATTAAAGACAGATTCTTGCCATCTTCCTTTGGGGCTGCAAACTTTGTGTGGATCTTCACTGGTCCTCCTGAGACAGGAGGCATGACGCTGTTGCCCTCACCAGGGTCTCACCTCTCATTATTTGGCTCTGAATTGCCCCAGGCTGTAGATGAGAGTATGGAGATTGCAATGTGTGCCCCATCTGCAGCCTGGGACACTGGCACAACTAGCCACTTGCTCTGGTCTTCAGGATTGCTGGACGATGAATAGCACTATGTGGAGTCATATTCTGTTTCATTCTAGTCCATTATTTCAGATGAGCTCAGGAGCAAGTGGATTGAATACATGAAGGTCAGCCAGCATCATGGCAGGGTGAGAGAGATGAGAGAGCTGAACTTCCAGCTCCCAGCACTAGTTAATGGAAATAATAGAACCAGAAGGGATTGGTAACAGTTTGCAATGAATGACCTCCCTCTACAAACTAATATATACATGTTTCCATTTCTTTCATTTTAACTACTACTATTAATAGGATACTTTGCATGAATCCCTCAATCCATTAATCTGCTTTTTTTAGAACCAAAACATGCATAGGAGAAGGTTAATCTGTCTTCTCTCTCTCTCCTTTCTCTCCCTGAAAACAGAAAACAGCACCAGCAAGAGCAGCAGTAGAAAGACAAGGGAAATCTGGCCCAGAATAAATTGGTTGTGCTGAAACATTTGTAATTAAGCATGATAACCAATTACGGAAATACCTGGGGTAGTTCAGTGATTCTCTCTCCCACATCAGAGGTCTCCTAATCAATTTGAAATAACCAAACACTATAGAAAATAAGCAAGATCACAGCGTTTGCAAATGAGTCTCAAAAACGGATTTCACTGCATGAAAATGTTCATTGTCAGGAGAAAGACTGTTTTCACAATCTTGCAGGTCATTTGCATTTGCATTTGATTGGAGAAAAGTCCTTTGTTCTTTTCTCTCTTCTCATATCCTTTACAACACTACTGATTTTTTTCTTCTGGTGATTTAGTATTTTTGTATCAGTGTGTTGTACCAAGCCCTAAAAATACACCAAAATAAAACCTTTTGTGCTGAAGTAGCTAGTATCCACTTCAATTATTACTTAATTTCACTGCATTGAATGGGTTTCCTGGAATTTAAATTAGCAGATTTATGACATTGTGAGAGGTTGTTGGACAGAAGTTGCAGTTGTAGAAGTCTGAAGGCATGGTGAAAGCCACATAGTGTATCATGGACAATACCATTCAAATATTTCTTCACTGCAAAGCCCCAGCAACCCTCTCCTCAGATATTTGAACTATCATGGGCAAGCATTTTGAGGGCTTCCAAATCAAAAAAAAAAAAAGGATAGACCATTCAAAATCTGTGATGGTGCATCACAAGCCTGATACATTTCTGCCATTTCCACAGAAAAGAAACATGGAAAGAAGGGTCAGGGAGTTGGAAGAGGAGAGAACATGACATGCGATACTTCCACTTTCTTAAAGGCAACATTACATAAGACATCTGCAGCGCTGTGCTGGTCAACGCTAGATTGGGTGAGTCTCTTAGTAAATTTCATCTATCAGTCTCTTAATAAAGCCATAATTTATTCAAAAATCTCTCTCAAGTTCTTTTTTTAAATATTCCTCCCAAAATCATATTTTAGGGGAATCTGTGTCTCTTCTGTCTCTCATCTTTCTCGTCCATCCTATCCTATTCCACTACTGTACACCCTATGATCCCTGTCTTCTCTCCCCCTATTCCCTGTTCCCTCACTTTTCTCTTCTCTTAGCTGTTCTAGCTCTCTATGTATATTTGCAAAGCCTGCATGACTGAAAGTGTGTTATCACTTCCTGTCTTCCTCAGGACTTAGACAGCATGACCTCTGAAGTGTGCATAGCTCGGCCATATTCACAGTGATCCTAGCCATGCCCTCTTCCTGTCGCCTCTGTTAACAGAAAATCATCACGCCCACAACTTAATGTTCCACTCAGAGAGGTGCCCAGTTTGTGCTAGCTAATTTAATCCTTCACGTTTTTAAAAATTTTTAAATAGAAGACATTTTTATTCTGAATTATTCTCACAACTCTTGCTTATCTTTTTAAAGTTGACAAAGTAATCACACTTTTCAAGTTAGTTAGGAAACTATTTATCCGACCCAGTACAAGAAAAAATGATCTAATTTCATTCTTGGCAAATACAAGAGTCCTATGTCTTTCTAAAAACGTTCTGCAAAATTCTTGGGTCCAATCCTTGAAATAGTTTTGGTTTCTGTACTTACCTTTCTTCCTTTGCGTCCTCAAGATTTCTTTCTTTCATCCTTACTACCCTGCTAATACACACCTGCCCTCTCACACACTCACAAGCAAGGGGAACCAACAGGATATTAACAAGTAAATATAAAAATATGTACCATTGCTTGCCACGTTTTTTCTTCAGCTGTGCTCAGTGCTGCTTTATTTGCATCTTTCAAGTATCAGCTCAATTGTCTCTTCCACAGAACCTTGCCTGAGCACACTGAGTGGGGTTAACCTCCTGCTTCCATCCTGCCACTGTCACTTTCCATCATATATTTTTAGTGGCTCTTATCAGTATACAAAATTATCCCGCTTATCTATTTGTGTGCATCTGTATTTATATATAAACATCTGTATATGTGCATATATGTGTGCATATACACATTTGCTTATGTGTATATATGTGGGTGCATATACACATATATATGTGTGTGGCATTCCTAGAAACTAGTCCCCAAGTTTATTGTGAATCCCTTCAGAGACAGGAAACTTAAAAGCAGCCAGACACTATGCCTTTGAACCAGCTAGCCCACACCAGAGTCCTGCAGCCATGACAACCTGTTGCACTTTCCATTTCCATCTTGAAGGCTTTAGTCTCATATTGTCTTAATAATCATTCTACTTAACACTCATACACTCCTACACTCCTCTAGACTCTTGCAGAGCCTGTCTTTGATCTCACAAATGTCGTTTGGACCTGATACTCAGTACTGCTTCTGTGATGCTGAAATCAGCCCTCTTCCTCCACTGCAATCTCTGGTAACTCTTACTAGATACTACAGGAGAAACCTCCGCCCAGTGGATATCAGGCCTTCTCTCCTACCCCATCACTGTCTTATGCAGCCTTTTTTAAAGAAAAGTTTTAAGTTTAGAGAAAAATTGAGTAGCAAGTACAGGGAGTTCCCATATCCCTCCCTCACCCCCAGTTCCCACACAGTTTCCCCTCTTATTAACATCTTGCATTAGTACGGCATATTTTTTACTGTCAGTGAACCAGCATTGACACCTCATTATCTGCCAAGTCCACAGTTTAAATTAGGGTTCACTTTTGATGTTGTACATTCTATGGTTGTGTGTAAATGCATAATGACATGCATCCACCATTAGAGTATAATGCACATTCGTTTCACTGCCCTAAAAATCCCTTCTGCTTCACCTGTTCATCCTTTCCTCCCTCCCCCTGAATCTCCGCCAACCACAGATCTTTTTACTGTCACTATAGTTTTGCCTTCCCAAAATGTCCAATGGTTGGAATTACACAGTAGGTAGCCTTTTTCAAATTTATTTCTTTCATTGAGCAATATGCATTTAAGTTTCCTCCATGTCTTTTTATAGCTTGATAACTGATTTCTATTTATCACTGAATAATATGCCATAGTTTGGATGTACCACAGTTTGTTCATCCAGTCACCTATTGAAGGACAACTGTAAACATTCTAGTGCAGGTATCTAGTTCAGGTGGACCTAAATTTTCAACTCCTTTGGGTAAATATCAAAGAGCACGGTTGCTGGATCATAGAGTAAAAACATCTTTAGTTTTGTAAGAAACCACCAAACTGTCTTCCAAAGTGGCTGTACCATTTTGCATTCCCAGCAGCAATGAGTGTTCCTGTTTCTCCACATCCTTGCCAACATGTGGTGTTGTCAGTGTTTTGGATTGTAGCCATTCTAATAGGTGGATAGTGGCATCTCATTGTCAGTTTCATGTGGGCTTTTTCTTAATGGAGTTTTCCTCTTTTAAAAAGAAACTGGACAACTCAGTGTTTTCATGGGCAAGCTATGGCCTAATCGGGAGCTGACTATTAAAAGTTTTTCCCTTAGAGTTAGCCAAAGTTTTTTTCCCTATAACTTCTAGATACTAATGCTAGTCAAACCTTTGAGACCATGAAGCTCCAGACAAATATCTTTTCCTCATGATGCTACTTCCACTATTTTTTTAAACTCTATATTCTCTGAGTTTTCTCTTATCATAGAAAAGTACTCATTTAACAGCATAGATTTAATAACTTTTGACATTATCTAACTACATTCCAATTTGTCTATATATCCTGAAAATGTGGAACCCATAATTGTCCACAAACCATACATAAATTGTACATAAATAGATGGAGTCTGACCAATACCAGAGGGGAGATCTTCAACTTCCTCCTTCTGTTCTCCAAATAAGTCTAAGATTTCATTGACATATGGCTACCCTATTACAGATGACCTTTTCTGAGAATCTGCTACATTCAGTTGCTAAGCAGGAAGGTTTTTTGCTTTTAAGGTAGGACTTTACCTGTATCCCTATTAAATTTCATCTTGTTAGAGGAAGCTTGTCAAAATGTTTTCAGATTCTGATTCTGTCATCTAATATATTTGCTATCCATTCCAGCCTCAGGTCATTTGCAAATCTGATAAGCATACATTCTATGTATTCAAACACATCATTGATACATGAGTGTAACAAGATGTGGCTAAAAGCAGAGCTCAGCAGTCCACTATTAGAATCACCTTCAGGCTGGCATCTCCCTGTTAATCAGCATCCATTGAGCAACTCTGTACAAGACGCCACGCTAGGCACTGCAAGGGATGTAAAGTGGCCCAGTTTACTCCTTCCTAATAGGGATGTTTTAAAGGATTCTTAGCAAAGAGAAGACATGATGAAAGAAGTGTTTCTGGAAGATAAGCCTGAGTGGTTGTCCACTAGGAATTGAAGTACTAGAAATAGGAACTTCATACACTCTTACAATATTACAAATGGGAGAAAGAAAAGTCTGGATGACAATCTTTATTCGAGAAGACAAGTTATTGTTCACTCATGAGCTCAAAGCAATTTGTCGACCACCTTTCTATAAAAATGAAGCAACCCCACTAAATTTTCAGATGAGAGTAGGATTTACTTTTATTCATGTCAGAAAGCAACGGATAATGTGTGCACCCTCTGTGCCAAGTACTGGGCTAAATGATGGGTAAACCAAGATACAAATATAACTTTCTTCTTACCTTCTCAACTCACTCAAGAGCCAGATGCATACACAGTATATATATACAATCAACCATAATATATGTGCTATATTATTATATGATAATAATGTACCAGCAGTCAAGGAATACTTCCCCCAAAAAATGACCATTGAATCAGAAACCAGGAGAGTAAGATGTTGCTTAATGAAATTCAGATCTTTCATGAGGTGGGATATTGCAATCAAGCATGATTCAATAGATCTATGACATCTGTACGCTGCCTCAAATTCCAGAGAGTAAAAAACTCAAGCAGACATGCTGATCAAGTTGTTTCCCCATTAAGTATAAGGATTTCTTGTCCTTAAAGTTAACCAATGCTTAAAAACTTCAAGGTCTTTTAGACAGAAACAATTTCACTCACAAAAAAATAAAACCATGAATTACTAGCATTCTTAGGAGGAATTAAACATGAGAATGATAAATGTTTGGCTAAAAATAGGAACCTACATGGAAATGAAGGAGCACTCCCTTTTTCTGTGTTATGTGTCCTTCTTGGAATCTTGTCTTTTCAATGCCTTGCCCTAGGCTAATTTGTCTGGAGCAAAGTTCACTTAGGGTATGCACAAAAGAACAAAGGATGTGATCACCAAGCAGGAAGCTTCTGAATACATTCCCTCTGTCTATAGAGTCCAAAGGCTCTGGTATGTCTGTCAAAGCAAGTTGTAACTTTCACTTCCTGGGGTGTGCGTTCAGAAGAAATAAGAAGAAAAACAAGAGAAGGTGAACCTTACAGCCCAGCAGTAAACTAGTAACTCAGAATTGCAAGCTAGCAAATAATGCATGCCACTGAATCACCAAGGATTCAGAGACAAGCTCGTTATTGCCCTCACCATTCATAGACCGTTCACTGCTTATCCGCGACTCCTCTCTTCTCATGTTGCCTTTATAAAAGTGCTTAGCAGAGCTTCTCCAAATATAAGCACATCATCAGTCCTTAAGTCAGAGTACCAGAGCGCTTTTCCCACTGTTACCCGAACTAGCCCAGGATATTTGAACAAAGCTTGAGGAAACCTGTCCTAACTTTTTTTAAGCATTTGGCTCTTTTTCTTTAGTTTTGCAAAGTTGTCATTCATCCCAGGCAGGCACTTAGAAATTCAGTCTGATGTTTCTAATTTTAATGAACTAATTTGATAAGCATCATTAAGACCAAAAAAAAAATTAATACCACCCAATCAAATAATTCTATAGATAGCTATTAAATGTCAAAACATTACTAAATAGTTTAATGCAATGCAGGAAAAAAACACAAGAAACATACATTAATCTCCTAGACTCCTATTGGATTTTTTCTGAAGTAATACACAATTATAGAATCTTCGAAGAAATGTGTAATATCTATCCCCAATTCTATTGTTTCCTCTACACATAACTAATCAATAATAATTTCCTTTTAACCGGATTCTGTCTTTTACACAACTCACAGTTAATTTGAATAGTGTTTTCCTAGTCCATCTTTCCCCATTGAGCTCTAGTCAAGAAACATTTTTTGAGAACCTTCTACAGTGCCAGATATTCTCTTATGTCTTAAGAATACCAAGAAAAATTATCCTCAGCAAACTAATGCAGGAGCAGAAAACCAAACACCACGTGCTCTCACTTATAAGTGGGAGCTGAACGATGAGAATACATGGACACAGGGAGGGGAACAACACACACTGGGGCCTGTTGGGGGATCGAGTTGGGGCAGGGAGAACATCAGGATAAATAGTTAATGGATGCTGGGCTTAATACCTAGGTAATGGGTTGATCTGTGCGGCAAACCACCATGACATACGTTTACCCATGTAACAAACCCGCACATCCTGCACATGTACCCCAAGAACTAAAAATAAAAATAAAAGAATACCAAGGCAAAAGTCAAAATTCCTTTCGTTAAAGAACTTATGTTTTTGTCAGAAAAATAAACATGCAGAGAGATAGTAACTGTTCAGTATGACTCATAAAAAAATAAAAGTAATATTGGAATAATACAAAGCAAAGAATAATTACCTATGTATGGTGATCAAGGCAAAAGAATCATAGAATTTATATAGACCTATTATGAAAATTCTGAACTCCAGCCTGACTATTCCTGGCATGATGCACTATCCTTTCTTTGAACTCCAGCTCAATCTGGTTCATACACTCCCTGGATGACAGGCCAATCAAAAAAAATAGTAGGGGATTCTAATTTGATTCTGGATTCTGGATGCTGAGGATAATCAGCTGCCTGGATTCTCCTTTTAGACTGGCATGGCCTTAGACCATAAGGACAATGAACACTCTGGTCTAATGATTTTAGACCAGGAGGACACTACCCCTAAAATGTCTCAGCAGGTCAAAGTTGGGATTCTTTGGATCTCTGTAAGTTTTATAACAATGTTCTCTCCTTCTAATATCTCACATTTCTGGATCAAATGTCTGAGCATAAGGAGGCGAGGTTTGGAAAGTGGTAACGTTATTACTACTTGAAGAAGACAGGACAATTTGTGACACTGGAGGAACAGCAACAATCCAGGAAATGAGAAAGGGAACATCTTATATCCTGGAATGTTCAGAGGAAAGAGAAGCTTCCCACTTGGAGCCTTCCCCAGGGAAAGAATAAAAGCCCCAGTGAAGGTCTCCCAAACTGTTGACAGTATGTTAAATTTAACTGGCTGACAGGGTTTACCATGCCCCACTAGATAGCTCTGACTACAATTTGCTCACCATTTTTCTCACTAAGAAATCCATCAGCAACTGCAGGTAAGGCCCCAGCTCCTGCACCTTCCTTGCAAAATACACATTAATACCTCTTGATGTCTCCCGGCCAGTCTCAATCATTCCATGGGGCACACCAATGCGACCTGGCAAGGTGTAAAAAAAAAAAAAAAACAGAAAAGATTGAACTGATGGTTCTTGGTCATTCCTTCCAAAGGCTCAATTATTCAGACTGAACTGGGAACCCAAAGGCTTATCAGTGAGCCAGAAAGCCACGCTGGAAGCACTGTCAACCTACGTCCTACGTCTCACATAGGTCCCACTTGGGAGGGCTTCAACCAATAGAAACAGTGCTTCCTTTCCAAAGGCTCTGTGTGTGCCCCCAGAATCATACTTCTTGTAACTGACCCTTGGTGGAAGATAATTAGCTCAGTTTGAACTTGTTAAGGTTTGGGAGTCTGTGAAACAGACTGGAGAGATCCAAAAGCTTCTTGACACTCAGCAAAAAGAATGAAGCGCATGTCACACTTTTTCCTACCTCTCTCCCTTCTACCTACTGTTCTCATCCTCTCTGAAAAAGCATTTTCTTCATTGAATTTCCATAATTAGCTCCTTTTATAACTCGTTTTTCATTTCTCCATTACTTGTAAAATATCCATTAGATGATTACCCACGTATGTATGCACACTCACTCACACGTATGTACAAAATCATAAATGTATTTGACAGAGTGATTTATATCCTTGCTGCTCAAGGTGTAGTCCATGGACTGCAGCGTTCATGTCACTTGGGGCTTGGGTACAATTGCAGAATCTCAGGCCCCACACCAGGCCTTCTAAGTAAGAATCTGGGCCTTAATGAAATCCCCCAAAGATTTGTATGCACAATGATATTTGAGAAGCATTGTTCTAGATTATTATTCTTAATCAAATATGGGCACACAGAGGGGGAAAATACATATCAAAATAAATATATCTAACTTATATGCATATAATAGGTTTTTTCTAATAACTTTCTAAAATATAATGATCTAACTCAAATAAAAGGAGAGGTATATGATAAGGCTGAGTTGGAAAGATTGCTGTGCACATGGTTAATCCTGGACATGTATTTAGTAAACACTGGTTAAACAGATGACTTGTGAAGTTCCAACTCAATAATTCTGTAAATGATAATATAATAAAGAGAGTTGGACTGAAAGTCAGGAGATGTGGATTAAAGTCAGGCCTTAGTTTAGCCCGCTATGGGATCTGGGGACTTGCAGTTAACATTTCTGAACCACTTTCCTCCTCAGTACAATGCCAAGCCTTCTCTCCTTACTCCGCAGTGTTGGTGTCAGAATCAAATACAATATTACATAGCATAGTAGTTGTGAATTATAAAGCAAAAGTGTAGTGGTATTGTTTTAGGCTAGCTTCTACATATGTAATTATACAGAGACATGTACTGTTGTATATTCATCCACCAGAACGCCTAAAATAAGTAAGTCATGCCTATTTTTAAATTCTGTATTTCTGTATCTAATGATATCCATTATAGAGGCTTCATGTATTACAAATTCATTTCAGATAAAAGGAAAATATAAGGATTAAAAACACTTACTGACTGCTCACTAAGAAAATGCCTTGACCTAAATTCTTTACATACACGAATTTATTTAGTTTCCTAAAGCAAACCCATGAGGCAAAAACTATTGTTATCAGGCCCATTTAACAGACAAGGAGACTGAGGGGCAAAAAGTTTTAATAACTTGTCCAAAATCACCTAATTATTAAGTGGCATAGCCAAGTTGTGGTTAAGCATTCTGGTCCCACAGCCCATGCTCCTACCTACAGTGCTATACAAGCCAACCATTCATTCATTCCTGCATTCTACAAATCTTTATTAAGCACCTACCATCTGTCGGGCCCTGTTCAAGGTGCTGAAAATACAGAGAGAAACAAAATACACATTCATGTCCTTGTGGAACTTACATTCCGGTGGCAGAAAACAATGAAAAAGTGACCAAATAATGTATAATTACAAATCATGTAAAATTCTATGAAGTCAAGGAATGGAATGCAGTAAGAAAGAAAACTAGAATAGGGTAGAGCTTAGATTAGATTTGGAAGGACTCTCTAATGAGGTAACGTTTAAATTGAGATTCAAAAATGCTTTCTAATGATTAAAAAAAGCAAAACCATAAATGCATACATAAGCATTGCCACAGTAAACATAATAGCCTACTTATAATGGATGGTATTTGAAAATCTGGAGGATGCAAAATTATGTCAAAAACTATTATTGACCCATTACATGTAAGGAATCCACGTCAGAAATCACACCCTAACTTTTTTCCCCAACTTTCTCTTCATCCTTTGCTGTAAAAACCAAATAGGAAAAAAGGATTGATTTATCTACATTATCTTTCTAATCTCCCAGGGAAGGCACAAGCCTCTTGACTCTCCTGCCCTCCCCTGTGGAATATACCTTGTTATAGAAATACATGTGTACTATTGTCCTGCAAGAAGAGAAAGGAAACAATATGAAGCCACTTCCAACCAAAGAATATTTGTCTCCCTCACAAAGACTTTGATTTGTACACATGCAAAAGAGAGCTGTCTATATTCTTTGATGTGAGCAATTTATGGTATTCATTTACTATGAAATTGAAAAAGGAAAAAATTAAACATGGTTGATGACTTTTGTCCATAGAAGAGAAGGTAAATTGTTTGATGACTCTTAGTTTAGCTTAGAGCTCTTTAAGAAAAGAATACACACCAACGCACACACAGAAGAGACAAATACACACAGACACAGATACACATGCACGTGTGCACACTTAAACCTACAAGTGTGTATGTATTACACATATATATATTATGTGTGTATATATTGCTTTATCTTACTCTTCTTTCTATAATTCTATAAATCCTGAAGTGAAACTATGGAAAAGATGGTGATATGGAGAAGTTTGGCTTATTTATTCTTTTATTCACCTTTGTAAAAAAACAAGTTTCCCACTGCATAAGTGGACTTGAGAGAATATTGTTGCCTTTAAAGGTGGTAATATTGTTCTCATGGGGAGGTTCAAGGTGAGAGCATATTGGGGCAAAGTGGTTCACTTGCAAAACTGGTTTGAAACAACAATCATGTTTATACATCAAATATAAAATGCATGTACATAAAATATAGAATTATACAAACATATACTTATATGTTCATATCTATGTATTGTGTATATACATACATATGCATGTACATGTATGAATATATGAGATGTTTTATATAATTTCAAGTTTTATTTTAGATTAAGGGGTACACATGCAGGTTTGTGACATGGGTATATTGCATGATGCTGAGGTTTTGGGTACAAATGATCTTGTGCATAGTACCCAATAGGTGGTTTTTCAGCCCATACCCTCTCTCCCTCCCCTTTACATATGAAATTTAAAGAAGAAGCAGTGCTATGTCCCTTTTCCAATGGGATGTCATCCAATTATCACCCAGACTAGCCTTAATCTTATGAATTGAAAGTTTCTATTTTGAATGCTAATTTTGAAGAGAGAATTTTTGAATTAATTGACTTCATTTTTTTAGAGCAGTTGATGGATTCAGGACATGCTATCCCAAAACTGGCGCCTTGGCATTTGAGAAAACAGCAGAAGCAGGAAGGTCTCTCTGACCTTTTCCTTCCCTTCTTCCCTGAAGCAGGCCATAAAGGAAATATCTGACCTTCCTCTAAGTAGGTGATAGACCCTCATTCAAGAGGTGCCCACTGTATACTAGAGGAAGGGAATGTCACACAAGGACACAGGGAAAAATCTGAATAAACAGGCCTTGCTAAATTCAGCCTAGTTATTACCATTCGAACACACTCACTCGTCCTCTAATCATACTTCTGCATGGCTGTCCATAAAAATACAGTTTCCCCTGTTGTTTCGTGGGGTTTTCAATTCTGAAGGCTTCTATGTCACACAGAACTTATATTAAATACATTTGTATGCCTTTTTCTTGTAAATCTGCCAGTTGTTATAGGGATCTCAGCCATGAACCCAGTAATGGGTAAGAAAAGTCTTTTCTCCCCTACACAGTTTTAAGTTGACAGAAAAACTGAACAGAAAAAACAGAGTTCTCATATATCTCCCCCACCCCTTCACACACACAGTTGCCCCACTATTAACATATTGCATTAGCGTAATACATTTGTTATAATTTATAAGCCAATATTGATACATTATTATTAACTAAAGTCCATAGGATTCAGGTTGTATGTATAATGCAATAGTCCACCATTCCAGTATCATACAGGGTAGTTACACTGTCCTCGAATTCATCTGTGCTTCATCCTATTCGTCTCTCCTCCTCAGCCCTCCCACCCCTGTCCCTGCAAACTACTGGTCTTACTCTGTCTCTGTAGCTATGCCTTTCTCGGGATATCAAATAGGAGAAATCATACAGTATATAGTCTTTTCAGGCTGACTTCTTTCACTTAGCGACATTCATTTAAGTTTCCTCTTTGCCTTTTCATAGCTTCATAGCTCATTTCTTTTTATCACTGAATAGTATTTCATTGTATGGACATAACAAGTTGACGACCCTATTCACCTATGGAAGAACATCTTATCTCCTTACAAGCTTTGGACATTATCAATAAAGCTGCAGAAGAGAGAATTTTTAAAAATCTATCTCTACCTCTTCTTTCCTAAGGATCCTAATTTCTAGAAAAGTCAACCTACTGGAAATCCCTCTAGAGTTGTGCTGTTGCTCATGTATTTTAAACCATGGCAAGGAAAAAGCATGGAATTTTAACAGTGGCCGTAACCTTCACAGAACACACACACAAAATTTTTTTAATGTTCAGCTGATACTGAGGAACTTGAGTATACACACAAATATTTCTATCTAAATGTTATTAGATTACCTAAGCAACTTATATTTTCTTTCTTCTCAGGAAATGTATAAAGACGTTCCATAACCTGAAAAAAATACTATGAATATCATATACACATGTGCTCATTTGTCATAAATGCATGTGCAATGGTTCTGTTTGCAGAGAGGAAAGGTACTTTTCTCTAAAAATCTATCTATTTGTGAAAAAATGTAATAAAACATATTTGATTTATTACATCCAACTTACTAGTTTCCACAAATTAATTATATCAATGTCTAGGACTGGAATTCAAGCTAATAATTCTACATCATTAGAATTTCATTTATAACGTATTGACAGCCTCGATTCCTTATCTTGTTCAAGGAAGTTCAAACTAAGGCCTCATTATCTATTATTGATAGCTATCAATAAAATAACATTATTGTATCATGTAAGTCTTATATTGATTTTTAACCCAATGTCAGCTACACTGAAAATATAAGTTCTATATTAAATGGACAGATCCCTTCCTGCCCAATAAACGTGGAAACAAGACAAGGGAAGCCCAATTATTGAGCAAGCGTAGGGAGGCGGACGATGCGTGCCTTTACTGATTGTCTAACCACACCAGACACAGAGCAGCATCTTTGCTCCTGGCCATGTGCCTCCTCCGAGCACCTGAGGCTGACCTCATTTAGTGCTGTGCAAAACCCAGGAGGCAGGCACAAGGCTGCCCTTTTGCACTGGTGTGGGTCATCCTTAGTCCCTCCATAATGAATGATTTAGCTCAGCCTCCATTTGTCACCAAGCTGCTCTTCACGTAGGTCCCCTTAGCCTGGATCTAAATGCTGCCACAAGCTTTATCATATCACATTGCTTTTCACTTAAAATAATGTCTGCATCATTTCATTACTAAACCACATATAAATCATTTTTATCCCAAGTCTACTCCATGGTATCACTTAATATTATTCCAACAATTTTGTGCCTTTTTCCCCCTTCTGATTTCTAGCCAAAAAAACTGCTCTACTTCCAAAGCTGACATCAAGGACCTTCCTGCCTAGAATCTGAATTACCACTACTAAATCTCCTGAACTTATCCCCAAAGTGTCCATTCTAAAATGGCTAACTTTTTACTCCCATATATAAAATCCTTACACAAATATCCACTTATGTGTCTGTGTTTTTTGAAATATGCCTTGGTTTTGACTTCACTTTTGTTACGTTTTTATTTCTGCTTTTGTCTTCTCTTTGTGTGCCTCTCTTTTTTTTAATAGAGGCAAGATAAAAAATTATCACTTATGCGAGAGTTGCTTTTCCTTTTAACTTCTCCTTAAACAACAGGTGAGCTCTTTCAAGGCCTGTCCTGCCAGCAGGTGGGTACTGTTCTTCAGCATTCTTCACCTTATCCAGGTATAATGGGGTAGTACCAGATAGTAGAGAAGGCCAAAGTTAAATGTTTTATTTCATTTTATGAAGGCTAAAGGGTGCTAAAGAATTCAAACGTTAACAGATTTTGAATAACAAATTGGTAACTCAAAAGCAGCATTTTGGGGAAATTGATCTCCATAATTCCTTCTCTCTAGGTTTTATTATTAGCTTAGTACGGGTCAAAGGCCATAATCTTTTCTCATCACTAATCCCTTAAATTAAGATTTTTCTTATGATTTTTCTATATAAGAACAAAAGTGTTTTCTCAAGAGAAATGACAACAGTAAGCTGCTGTTGATAAACAGAAGTTTATACACAACCTGGCAATGAAATATCTCCCATGTGGGAGATATCATAACCACAAGTTGGAATACTGATCATGGTAAAAAAAAAAAAATATTTAAATATGAAAGTATAAATGTCTATCTTGATGTATGCTGCATAAAAACATAGAACAAACCCATTCCAAAAGCCCATCACAGAAAATGTTATATGAGAGAAAGAAGAAGGAATAAGAATGGGAAAAGGAAAGTGATTTTAAATGCAATTTTGTACTTTAGAAACTAATTTCTTACTCTGAGAAATCAGAAGACAGATTTCCATGCTGTGTTATAAAAACATAAGTAGAGAGGACAAGTTTTGCATTTTAGTAATTGGAAATTGTGGTCCACTTCTTTATTTGAGGGGATGATGAATTCTCTCCTTGATTCAAATGGCAGCTTGACAAAAGAAACTATTAAAACTATTTACAGAAGAAGTTTGAACCTATAGAAGTGCAAGAAAAAAGAAATGATGATCTCATATTGTAATCCTTCACAGATTATGAAAACATAGCATTTAAAGATCTAATGTTTATAAAAGTATATTTTCCATTGACAATTACTTTGCAACGTTGATATGTATTGAATCATTTTGTGGTCGATACTGCATGTTAACAAGAAAAGGAAGCAAAGGCAAATGGCTCTGAAATTAATTATCAGCAACAGGAAGGCAAACATTTTCCCAACAGACATTGAAGGGACACACTTTCCTCCTCCCTATATCCCAGTTTGGAGCATCCCTTAAAACCAGGTTGGTGCTTTGAACACTCACAATGACCATGTCTGAAGAGCACCTTTAGTGATCAGGCTAAGCCCTAATGATGGTTGCTGCTTTGCCCTTATTGGAAAAATGAAAGTTTGCAGGAGTACAAAGTTACATGGCTGTGTAGGCCCAAACCTATCTCACTAAAAAGCCCCAAACCTCAACTCTGGACAATTATCCTTATTCCCATCCTTTTTAACAAAGTTATTCAAAGAAGTAAAAGGCCTTTCTTGGCTTCTCCAGTCTATTCACCCTTTCAACTACTTTTCATGTTTAGCTCCTTTTACCAATTAGGGTCATATACTTCTTAATATTTTCTTGAGGTTATATAGAACTACACACGAACACACACACAAATATGAAAGAACTGTCATCATACTGCACATTTTTTCACTCATCAATATAGCACAAATTTTTTTCATGTTATTACATATAACTCTACCTTATTCTTTTTGATGGCTACATAAAGCCCTTTGTAAAGATTTATTCCACCATTTTCTTATTAACAGACATTCGTGTTTGCAATAAGCACACACATATGCTTTTGAACCATTGCTATAAGAAGGATTCCTCAAAATGATATTTCTAGGTTATAAGAAATGAGCACTTAAAATGTTAATAGCTATTACCAAACTAATCTCCAAAGGTCTTGCAAATTTACTTTAATACTGTAGGGAATGAGAAGGTCACATTCATGCCACAGATCAGCCCAGTATAGCACAGCACACAAAGTTTTTCATTTTCTTCATATTATCCCAGTCTAAAAGCCAAAAAGGGATGTCATGTTTTTATTTTCATTGTTTTTATTAATACTGAGATTGAGAACTTCCTATCTGTTTATAGGTCATGTCTAGTTCTTCATCTCCGAATTGCCTATTCATATTCTTTGTCCATTTTTATGTTACATGGTTATTGTTTTTTCTTAACGTAGTGAAGGAACTCTTTAAATATTAGGAATATTTGCTATACATACTTATTATATATGGGACAAATATTTTCACATTAGCTGTTTGTGTTTTAACTTTTCATTTGCTGTCCTTTAGAGAATTTAGAATTTTAACAAACTCAAATCTGCCCATGATGTTTTCTTTATGGGGTCTGATTTCCATGTCTTACTTAAGAATGCTACTCCAAGCTTATAAACATTTTCTACAAGCTTATAAACATCTACAAAATACTTTGTAGATTTTACATTTAGACTTTTATCTATCTGTAGCTTGTCCTTTTCATATGGTGTGAGGGAGGAATCTAATTTTGTGTTCTGCTTTTGAATACCCAATTGTCCAAACCTCTCATGGATTTGAAATACTCTGCTTAACAAATACTACACTCCCTTATGTAGGGATTTGGTTTTGGCCATTGTCTACTTGGGTTCCATTGATCTGCCTGTCTATCTTTTGATATCATCTTGTTTCATTGAAGCAATTTTTATCTTTCAATATCACTGTACATACCTCATCATTATTAATTCTGTTGGATTTTTTCATATGAAATTTAATATCAACTCTTTAGATACTGATTAGGATTGAAATATATATATATATAAAATATATATATATATATCTTTGTTTTTATGTATTTATTTATTTTGATACAGGGTCTTGCTTTGGCACCCAGGCTAGAGTGCAATGGCACAATCATAACTCACTGCAGCCTCAACTTCCTGGGTTCCAGCTACCCTCCTGACTCAGCCACCTAAATAGCTAGGACCACAGGCATGCACCACCACACTCAGCTAATTTTTTTTTTTCAGTAGAGATGAAGTCTTGCTGTGTTTCCCAGGCTAGACTTGAACTCCTGGGCTCAAGTGATCCTCCTACCTTGGCCCCTCAAAGTGCTAGGATTACAGGTTTGAGCCACCACACCCAGCCAATATTGAATTTTATTTTATATTCATTTACTAAAAATTAACATCTTCTTATTATTAATTATTCCTACCCAGGGAAGATTCTTCAAACTTCATTTTATGTAAGACAAAAATGTTTTTAAACATATTTTTATGGGTCCTGAAGGACAAGCATTGATGAGAGTAAATTTTAAGTCAACTCTCTAACACAGCAGGATATAATTATAAAGAAACTATGAAGCTAACTTTATGAATCTGTTAAATCTAGACTTTGCTCTAAATGAGGAGAAACGTCTGTCATTTTCGGGACTATGTTTTTTTCTTTTCTAACACTGCTTTTGCTTTTGTCCCCCTGGGGGTGAAAATGCTGGACTAAATTCAGCATGAATAAAGATTTGGTCACAGAGATCATCAAAAGAATTGAGGATGTGTCATTAGAGACAGGCTCAGTTTAACTCAGGTTGCAACAATGAATGGTTTCCTCCTCTCTGCCCAGTGAATGGGATGACCTGGTGCAATGAGCTCAATACATGAGCAATGGTGTGAAAAGACAGAGCACTTTGTCACCTTTCCTTATGACCCCCTTAACCCTGTTGCTGAGACTATCAACCAGGGAGACAATTAGTAACAGTTACATTCTAGTCTTGTGACATGGACAGCTATTCACCAGGAAAGAGACCAATTCATTTCATCCAGGTCGCTGAAGAATCGCTGGATCATAAAGACTTTTAGTCACTGCCAAACTGAACTACATTTGAACCACCGGACCTAGTTGTGTGACTCCATCGATCACTGCCATTCCAACTGGTCACCCATAAAGACATTGCATTAAATACAATAGCCCCCAAGATGATTTATAAGTTGTCTTCTAAATACAAGTATATGTCTTAGATATGGGGAAAAAATTATACAGAAGGGATGTATAGATATTTTTATGTCTCCTACCTCTTCATTCTAATATGTCTTATTGAATGCATCATTATTTACTGCATGCAGTTATAAAGCTTAAGTCACAGGTAGTCCTTATTTCTCTTCTATCTCAGTTTCTCTTGGCTCATACACTGCTTACTTCACATAAATACTATAGAACATAGGGAAAAAAGGATCCAAGGTTTAAAAGCGTACCATGACTGTCTTACAAAAGACAGAGGTTTGTAATATCCAAAGGTCTAAGTTACAAAACCTTTTATAACTGGCCGTTTTTCTCCTCTTCAGACCTAGATAAAAGTTTAGTGAATTGGTTAATTGTCCACCTAGAGTGGACAATAAAAGATGGTGGTTGTATAAAATAATAGAAGCCTGAAGAGTTTCAGATGCTGTGTGGGGCTGGCAGAGTGCTTAGTCTGGATACTGGCTATGCCTTATAAATAAAATATGAGGTCTGAATGGGATAAATTTTCTGAGCCATTCTTGAGAAATAACCAGTGTTTCATCACCTTTAACATTGTTTTTTTTGTTTTGTTTTGTTTTGTTTTGCCAACCAACACAAATGAAGATAAACCAATCTTCTAGGTTAAAGAAAAGAACAAGTTGTTTTTTTTTGTTGTTGTTGTTTGTTTTTGTTTTTGTTTTTTGCAGCCAGAGTTAAATCTTGAATGAACAGCAAATTCTCAAGTTGAGAGTAAGTATGGATTATATATCTTCATCACTTTCTCAGATTAATTATATATTTTTAAGCTGAATTAATGTTATGGGCAAATCAAAAGAGATTGCTTAACTTGGAACAAGTACTAAATGAAATCACAACCAGTAGTTTTCTTGTCTCCCTAGTGGATGCTATAATGGAAATGGACAAAGGGTCTGTGTATCGGATGTCAACATACCATGCCAAGAAGCCATGTAAATGCACCAAGAGATCCTGTTTTTGAAGTCTCCTCTTTAACACACAGAATCAAAATGGCAACATCCATGATGGAGAAGGAAGAGGGTCCCCAGCCCTTACCAGCCAGGAGAACTCTGATGACATTCAATGTGCAGTCATGCCTTGGCATCAGAAACCTCAAGGGAGTTGGCTTTTTTTCCATTATGGTCATAGTCTGGTAACAAATCATCTGTTTAAAAATGTAGAGCCATGTTTATTTCCTTACTTCATTTCAAAGTGCTTCTCTGAGATAACTGATAAAATGCAATTCATCTTCCAAGGGGGGAAGAAAAACCTGTCAGTGACAAGAAAACCCAAATTTGAAATTAGAAACACAAAATCCAACTTAGCCATGCTGTCTTTTTATAAAATTAAACTCAAAGAAAGAACTGAAAGTTACTTTTTGCAGGAGGAATATTTTGTAAGGACTGTACGAATAAACAACACCAGGTATAAACCTGAGGTTTGCAAGGTTTTAAAATACTGCTCCATGTTGCAGCTATGAAAACATGAGCAAGTGAACTGAAAGAAAGCTTCAGTTGCATATCGGGAGCACATTACATGGGGCGTGAAAAATAGACTCTAGTAACCATTGCTCAGTACAAGAAGCAGCACCTACAGAAAAGAGCAAAGAATTTATGCTATAAATAAAATACAGAGCCTCAAATACAAAGCTGTGAGAAGAAGAGAATAATTTTACTTGCTTAATGGAAAGTATATTCAGGACGTTTATTGTTTTTACTCTTGCTTTCTCTCCACAGAATATATAACTCGAGCTCGTGTTCCTGTCCCAGGAGAGAGAGATGACCCTCTTCTTGGTGCTTTCCCACTTTAGTTTTCATCTTCCATAATTTACGAATAAATGCATAAAATGGAAATGGACTTGAATATGACACATGATTGAAAAGAATGATGTGGAAGTGCCTGGCAGAAAAGCAAAAATGTATTAAATGGTTGAATTTACTTTCATTGATCACTTCGTATGCCCTAGACCCTGTATTAGGCACCTTACATAGATGATCTCAGGTTTTTTTAAACAAAGAGGCTTTTAAAAATTACAATGAAATCAAAATGACAACAATAGAGTTTAAGTAAAAATTTCAGTACAAAAATGATATGCAAGAGCAGGATATGTCACAAAACCACATAGAAAACAAGAGCTTTTCTATGTTCAGTCAATAATCAGCTGGGCAGGAATTAATTTAACAAATGTTTATTAGTAACCTGCCACAGGCAAGCCGAAGCACTGCATTAGCTGTTGGGTTACTAAGACGGGAAATCAAGACAAGTAAGAAAGGAAAGCTGCACCATCAGAATACATACGAAGAGTGAATTGGGAGACACTGTTTTTGGTTTTGTTTCCATAGACTGTAATGGTAATAGCGTCCAGCAGTTCAGTACTCAAAAACAGACTAGTATTTACTTCTCAATTAGATCATAAGTTCCCAGGAGGCTGCAACCATGTCTTGTAGGCCCATTATCCCCAGCACAGTCCTAGATATACAAGCTAGTTTATTGAGTATTGATATTAGAAACTAGGAGATCCTGGTATACTTAATAATCAATGTTCAAGATGTTTTAAATCCAAGATAACCAAATGGGGTTTTTGGTCACCCCAGTTACAGGGCACGATTTATCTTCAACTATGAAGGAAGTAATACATTGACAAACACCATCACTAAGGACCCAGTTACAGTGTGGAAATGGGCAAAAAGAGATGAAGTGCTTTCAGTTTTTCCAGCAGTTATCATCAAGGGGAGAATATTGCTTTAAGGCCAATACATATTCCCCAATGGTCATAGTTGCTCCATTTTATATGGTATCCATTCAGCATTTTTTGGCTTCTTTGGCCCAGAGGGGAATTGGGAATTCAAGCCAGTCATTTGAGAATCCATGCTGTGCTACAGAGAAATCCTGCTGGTATCCCATGGCTGTGTTGCTGCTGGTCCTGTTAGCTAAGTCCTTCCTGGCTCAGCAATGTTGTGTTACACTACACACAGCTGTAGGTAGAGGATCATGCCAAAAACCAACAGTCAGGGTGTTTTTATAGACCTAACATTTACTCAGTGTTCATAATATGCCTGCAAATATTCTAAGCTCTTTACATAGATTGATTCATACAAGCCTCACACCAACCCTATTGGATGGGTACTGAAATTATCTCCAGTTTAAGATGAAGAAACTGAGGCAGAGAGACATTAGGAAACTTTCTGAAACCCACACAGCTATTAAAGGGAGACACTGGGATATAGATCCAGTCTCTGAGGTGACTAAGTCCAGAGTCTCAACTGTCCTACACTTTATCAGACTTCAGAGGTCCCTGCCACCACATCACTTTTGCTGAGGGCCTCCGCTCCTGCTTACTGGAATCCCTGGTCTAACAGCCACCCCACTGTTCTCTACATGCCTGCTACACAGCACTGTGGGACCTAAGCACTTACATCCCTTCATTCCACTTTCTTATCCTGATATGGTCTGGATCTGTGTCCCCACCAAACCTCACGTCCAGTTGTAATCCTCAGTGTTGGAGGTGGGACCTGGCAGGAGGTGACTGAATCGTGGGGTTGGATTTCTCATGAATGCTTTAGCACCACCCTTCTTGGTACTGTCCTGATAGTGAGTGAGTTCTCATGATACCTGGTCATTTAAAAGTGTGTAACACTTGTTGGGCGCAGTGGCTCATACCTATAATCCCAGCACTTTGGGAGGCTGAGGCGGGTAGATCACCTCAGGTCAGGAGTTTGAGACCAGCCTGGTCAACATGGTGAAACCCCATCTCTACTAAAAATACAAAAATTAGCCAGGCGTAGTGGTGGGTACCTGCAATCCCAGCTACTCGGGAGGCTGAGGCAGGAGAATCACTTGAACCCAGGAGGCGGAGGTTGCAGTGAGCTGAGATCGTGCCACTGTACTACAGCCTAGGCAACAAGAGAAAAACTCCACCTCAAAAAAAAGTGGGTAGCATCTCCCCCTTCTCTGTCTTGCCCCTGCTCCAGCCACATAAGACGTGCCTGCTCCCCCTTTGCCTTCCACCATGATGGAAAGTTTCCTGAGGCCTCTCCAGAAGCTGAGCAGATGCCAGCATCATGCTTCCTGTACAGCCTGTGGACCTCTGAGCCAATTAAACCTCTTTTCTTGATAAATTACCCAGTCTCAGATATTTCTTTATAACTGTTGAACAGACTAATACATATCCTTAATCCTTTCTTTCCACATCACCCCATGTGTCATGTGCCCACTGCATACCTGCCATACTTCTACCAGCAGCTTCATACTACATCCTGTGGAATACCCTGTTTAATCTTCAAACCCTTTCTCAGGAGCATTTTCAAAGTAGGGACAAAAAAAGAGGGTATAGATACAGAAACATATCAGACAGATGCAAAAATAAAAGAAGGTTTGGTGCAATTAGATAAGCACAATTCCTTAATTTTCTTTGCCAGTGATAAGATATATTGATGATACATGAATATATTCCAAAGCCTACTGGTGAGACAATACCTATGTTACATAAGGGAGTGAAAATAAAAGTTAGTAACTAGGGATCTTCAACACCAGAAACACCATAAAAGACACTCTGTGTAACTGTTGAGACAGGCCTTCATGTTCTTCATGTTTGTAAAAATATGTCCCTGGTATGATAAATATCACTCCCAAAAGTCACTTTGAAAAATTCTGAAACTGCTTTCCAGACTCATTCATAAAGAGTGTAAAAAATTTACCGTGCACCACAGTCAGCATCAATGACCACGGAAGGATGATCAATCCATTCCCATAGCCTCCCCAGCTGGTGATGTGGGGTGGGCTGGGCTGCTGGGGGAAGTGCTGCACTCAGGCCAGACACAGCAGGCTGAGAGTGTGGGCACATTAACATTTCTCTGGACAGAATCTCTGGACTTCACCTTTTCCCTTCCTGTTCCTGGATGATATGCTATTACACATAAACTCAGAAGTGTAGCATTATTTATCTCCGCATTTCTCACCTGAAATGTTAGTCTTTGCCTTGTTATTATCAATTCCACCACTAGCATAGGTGGCTCCATAAACTATAAAGGGAGTAGAGAGAGAAGGTTGAAGTTACTGCAGGGTTTGATGTCATTTCTTTACTAGGTAGGAAACTAGACTTATGACTGTCAGGTGTGTTTTTATTATTTCACTTGTAAGGAAATAGGAGGCTCTGAGAGAGGTTATCTGTGAATGATCATCTCCAAATGGGCTTATATATTCTCTTCTGTTTCATTCAAAATTAAGTAGAGTGACCATATAATTACTTATCGTCCAAGCCAAAACACTTTTGACAGTAAAATAAGGCATGATTAATAATTAAGTCAGTATAACCAGTATACCAGAACTATCTCAGACAAACTAGGCTGGATGATTACCCTAAAGCTAGGCAAAATGCTTTTCTACTCAGAACTGAGCCTGGTAGAGTTTATCATTGGTGCTCTCTCCACAGGAGCTGGGCCACCTGACCAATATTTCATGTGATGTCCACACTGGCTACAACCACAGCATCTCCTTCACCACTGATACAGTCTCCATCATTTATTCTCTCTTGTTATTAACATTCAAAAATATGGCTGTCCATGTAAGTATGTATTAGCTTGAATTGAAAATATTTATTATTTCCCTGGCTGACTTACATAATATGGCCAATCATCCCTGAGTTCTCTTTGCAGAAAACTAAATGCAGTTTAATTGCATGGTTTATTTTGCAATTTTAGTATCATTAACTCAGCAAGCTCGTCACAGAGTCAAAAAGAGTGATCAACCAATACATTCACTACAGCTAACACCATGGATGGGAGTGCCCAGTACATCAAGCTTTGATTTCTATTCCCTGGGAAGGTGAAAATGAAAGTTGGGCAACTACTTATAGAATTGAAACAAGCTGGATGAATTTGTCTTTTAAATCATCCTCACTATCCAAAGCATGGAGATCATTACAGCTCAAGAAATGAATGAGTGTTCATTCTGCATCAAATTCTCACAGTATCTCGCTGCCATCATAATCTAATAATTTAATACCAATAGATTACCAATGTACAGTTATTTGACCTATTGACATTTTAATTTTAACCGGTTTGTAAAACGAAAATGTCTTCAAGGCCCACAGAAATAAATCTCCATATGAATGACTTCAGATATTTGACCCACACCAGTATTCCTTGAATCATTATTACCCAGGGAAGAACACAGTGTTTGATTTGATGTGACCCAACTTGCCTGTAAAGACACCTGACCATCTGCATCTCTGGGAACCAACTATTCCACATAAATGAATTACCAAATTTTTGAAACACACCTATTCAGATGCTAAACATCATCAACTCATTCTCCAACTTCTTAAAAAATTATTAGTAGCTTTCTAAGGGAAAGTGACTATAAATTAACTTTTCTTGAGTTTCAGAGTCATCTTTGTGAGCCTTCATCATAGTATTGCTGCAGCAATACCCTCAGTGCCTGCTTTTTTTGTGGTGGTGGTTGTTCTCTTTCCACTCAAGGTCAGCTGTCACTTCTACTGTTATTAAGCTTCCTTCTAACACTATGTCAACTCCTGTCCTTCTCATTTATTGCTGCAAAACTGCCAAATGGTCAAAAACTAAATGTTGAGGCTGGGCGTGGTGGCTCATGCCTGTAATCCCAGCACTTTGGGAGGCCGAGGATGGCCGATCACGAGGTCAGGAGATCGAGACCATCCTGGCTAACACGGTGAAACGCTGTCTCTACTAAAAAAAATACAAAAAAATTAGCCGGGTGTGGTGGCGGGTGCCTGCAGTCCCAGCTACTCAGGAGGCTGAGGCAGGAGGGTGGCATGAACCCGAGAGGCAGAGCTTGAAGTGAGCTGAGATCGCGCCACTGCACTCCAGCCTGGGCAACCTAGTGAGACTCTGTCTCAAAAAAAAAAAAAAAAAAAAAAAAACTAGATGTTGAATATAATTAAGGATGGATTGTTAAGAAACAGTCACTTGGATACCATCTTTGTTTTTCTCATTTTGGATTTGGAACTAAGTTGTCAAAAATTCAAAACGAACCTTCTAAGTAGACTGGGACTATCGTCCCTTACTGAGTCTTCCTTCTAGCCCTTTCTGTGAAAAACATGTGATTTTCTTTTCTTACTTGTTAGCCATTTCCTAGCATTTTGTGATTTTTACATCTCTCTTGTTAGTTGAATAAATCCAAAATACAGGGGGTTTTTTCTCCATTTTTTACACTATATTTTAAGAGCTTCACAAGAATAAGAAAGTCAAAAGACGAAACAGGTGAAAAACAATTTCCAAACATCTGGTCTATTCAAAAGAACTACAGAAAAAGAATCACGATTGCCTGAGCTGGGCTTCAAGACGATCTGAGAGGGAACAGAAAACGAATGCACACAGCTGCCAAGCGTTCCATTTCAACCTCATCTTCCAAATTTCAAAATTCCTGTGCTTGAGGCAAAGTCATGCCAAATTCCCTCATGTCCTAACATTAGGCATTCCTGAATTACCTTTGTCTTGCGTTCTCCTGAAAATAGCATCATAGAAGGTCCAGAACGCTGATAAAAACAAAATAATGACTGGCACCCCAGGCTGAATTACACAGATCACGGGATTCCATCAATGTGAACTTGACTGTCACTGTCATCTCTCCCAACATGCATAAACCAGAATGTCATCAGCAAAACAAGGCAGAGAACAGAAGTAATTACCTGGCTAATTCAAACAGAAATAAATGTCTCTTGTTTTGGCTACATTACTAAGGGAATCCAGGCAGAAGTGTCTCTCCTACCTGGATTCTCTAAGCAATTACCTCAAACATCCACTTCATTACGAAGCCTGTCAAAGAATATCCAGTCCTCAAATTTATAAACAATAGTATCTCTAAGCAAATTACTGAAGTAACATTTAAATCTAGCTGTCGATCCCTCCAAGGTAAAATTCATAGCATTTTATTCTGCAGCTAGCTATGCAGAGGAGGGAAATGGCTGAAAGAAATGCTAAAATCCCAAGCACAAATTTGCTATAGAATTAATATCACAATTTGTCACTGATAATGAAAGCATATAAAACAGGTCCTGACAGCACGTTATTTCTGTTGCAGATCATTCTTTATAAAATCCAAACAAGGTTTTCCCTTGCAACCATGGAAATTATTTTTTCCTTAAATTTACAAAGCAAAATAATATTAATATTGTGGTTAGTAGCCATCTGCTGCATGAGAGTCCTGTGCAATCATTAGTCTAAACTGATGGCATTGTGGCAAGCTGCCACCTCCCAAGAGGCTAGCCTCTAAAACCCATCAGCATCTTGCAATTAGTCTCAAATCCGAGAGGGCAAACCGCAAACCCGGAAATCGGCTCTACGGGAAGATCCATGTCATTAAACTCTGTTCTTAGATATTGAACCCCAAAATATTGTCATACCCCAGTCTATATTCAGAGCCATGCATCAGCCAGGCCAGTCAAATGGAGTCACCGGGCGGCAACAAATAAACATGAGGCATTTGGGTCCAATGCCAGGTCCAGCAGAGAAACTAGCGACCTGTATTCCACTCAACAACAGTGGTTTTCACTACAAAGTCAGAAGAGGATCAAGCTGTGAGGAGTTCAGCTTATCACAAAATCTCACTGAAGTCACTGTAACTTTTAGGTTTAAAAAAAAAAAAGCCACAGAGGCAGCAACATGCAGAGGAATTCAAAGGAGGTGTGAACTAAGTAATATTTCTCACACGGTCTCCACCATAAAAACTTGCACCAGAAATATCTAAATTTAAATGTTTCATCCAGTAGGCTCTGTACTCTCTTGCCATTTTTACTAGCCTGTTCTAATGATTTTCATTTAGAAATGCAAAAGGATGCTGTATTTTTAATGTTTAATCAATCTTCAAGAACTCTGTATGTTTGTAATCATGGGCCATATGAATGCTTGCAGAGTAAGACACGTGCCCAAAAATGATTTAGCAAGATGCACTGTAACTGCTTTTCTCTGGTATCATAATCACATAATCATTTTCTTTTTGGGTAGCCTAGATGCTCCAAGCAGTGGGTGGAAAGGGGGAAGAAGAGGTAATAAGGAATGAAGAAATCAAACTAGGATGTCACAGTTAAATGTAATCTTGCAATACTTATGCAGATAATTCAAGTTCCACCAAACATTTTGTCTCATATAGAAGTTTATGGAAAAACTTGAGTGTAGGAACAGGGGGATGCATGTGATAGAGTTGGAGCATAAACTCACGTATACACAGAACAAGTCACGCTGTGAGAATCTACTTGTTTTCAGTATAAAAATGATGTTTTTTGATAAAACTTATGTGGGGCCTAAATGCATTTGTAGATAAACGCACAAAAAAAGTAATAAATGAAACCACCATCTTTAAGCACACCATATAACTTGCATGCACTTATCCAAAACCCTCATTGACAAACTGTCAGAGATGTTTTAAAAAGAAAAAAAAAAGACAATGCAGAGGCATGTAACATTGCACAATGTATTAGACTAATCTTACATGTACCATCAGTTATTTAAAATAAAACTCTTAGAAGAATCATCCATTTAATTTTGAACTGTCATATAAAATTATCAGGTCTTCCCCCTTGTCTCGTGGCATCTTGAAGTTCTGAAGGAAACTGAGGAGAGGCAAGCTTCGTGCTTCCTTCTTCTTCCACTTTAAGTAAATATCATATTAAAATGAACAAAAAGCAAAATGAATCTTAAGAGATGAAAGGCTGAGCTGTGAGGATCAGGTAGAGACAGGAAGAGTCTACCACCCATTGCTAGAGGTGGTAGAAATACTAATTAACTAGTTGGATGTCATCATATCAGTAGACAGGGTTTAGGCTCCAAGCACTACAATTCACTGCTCAGAGCCAATCTCTCCAAGGCAACAGCCCCAATTTGCTATACAATAGGGTAGCTCTGCACTTATTTTTCACCAAAAAAATCGTATTTTGCAAAATAAACAGCAAACTAGCAGAAACCTTACCCTCCTCTTCTATTGCATATAATCTCTCACCTCCACATAAAGCCATGGGATTCTTTCCTGCCTTATCAGCTGCAACTTGGGTCATATTCATATCAAAGAACAGAAAGTGTCAACACAACCATTTGAAACAAATATGATACCTGAACCTCATTAAATATATTGAGTTAAAATCACATGCAAGATTTGGGTTCAGCTGTGACCACTGGCTGGCTCAGTGACTTAGACACGTTATTTAATCTCTCTGAGATACATGTTACTTATCAATAAAGTGAGATTATAAATAAAGTGAGATGAATGACTTTAGAAAGTTTTCATGGGAATCAAAAAGGCAACTTATAAAGCACTGCTTGTGTTCCTGGCCCATAATAGGCACTCAATAAATGGAGTGATTATTGTTGTTCAAAAACACAAAGTTCTAAGTTTTCTGAGAATTTTAGGGTCTTGTTTTTAAGTTAGAGACAAGTAAACTATAAGAATAAGCTTTTCAAAACAAAGAGCTCAGGATTTAGAAGTTTTCATCTCATCCCCAGATTCTGTTTCTAATAGTTGAAGATAAAGTACTCTTGTGTCTACTATAAAACGACTAGAAGAAAACAGAGAAAACACTTTGGAACACTGATCAAGGCAAAGAATTTATGGCTCAGACCTCAGCAGCACAGGCAACAAAAACAAAAATAGACAAATGGGACTGTATTTAACTAAAATGCTCCTACACAGCAAAGTAAACAATCAATAGAGTAAAGAGACAACCTGTTGAATGGGAGAAAATATTTGCAAACTAGTCATCCAGCAAGGGACTAATATCTAGAATACACAAGGAATAAAAATAACTCAACAGTAAAAAATTATAATAATTAAAAATGGGCAAAGGATGCAAACAGACATTTCTCTAAAGAAGACATACAAATGGCCAATAGGTATACGAAAAAATATGCTCAACATCACTAATCATCAGGGAAATGCAAATTAAAACCACAGTGAGATCTCATCTTAGCCCAGTTGAAATAGCTATTATTTAAAAGATAAAAAATAACAGACAGTAAGAATATAGAGAAAAGGGAACTCCTATACACAGCTGGTCGGAATGTAAATTAGTACAGCTGCTATGGAAAACAGTATGGAGATTTCTCAAAAAACTAAAAATAGAACTACCATATGATCCAACAATTCCACTACTGGGTATTTATCCAAAGGAAAAGAAACCAATATGTCAAGGGGATACCTGCACTGGCATGTTTATTGAAGCACTACTCACAATAGCAAAGATGTGGAATCAATTTAAGTGTCCATCAATGGATGACTGGATCAAGAAAATGTGGTATATACACACTATGGAATACTATTTGACCATAAAAAATGAAATCAAGTCATTTGCGGCAACATGGATGGAACTGGAGGTCATTATGTTAAGTGAAATAAGCCATGCACAGAAAGACAAATATCACATGTTCTCACTCATATGTGGGAGCTAAAAAAGTTGATCTCATAGAGGCAAAAGTAGAATGATAGTTACCAGAGGATGCAAAGAGTGTGGACAAGAGGGGAGACGAAAAGAAGGTTGAGAGGTTAGTTACTGGTTACAAACATACAGTTAGATAGAAAGAATGAGTTAATAACATTCAATAGCACAGAAGCATGACTATGGTTAACCACACATGTTATATATTTCAACACAGCTAGAAGAGAGGACTTGAAATGCCCCCAACACGTGGAAATGACAAATACTGGAGGTGATGGATACCCCAAATATGACTTGCTCATTACACATTTTGCATGTAACAAAATATCATATGTTCCCCATAAATATGTACAAATATTATATATCCATTTAAAAAAACCCTTGTTTCTAAATCAATTCTAACTTCAAACAGTAGATTCTTGTTCAGGACTCTTAACCTGTCTTGAGTTTGCTTGCCCTACCTGAAAAAATGATGGCCAATGTAAATGCACCCTCTACTGAAGAGAACTGGAGTGAACATGCAGAGGAGTAATGGACATGAAGCATTTTATAATCTGGATAGTGCTGTATAACACAGGCTATTACATTGGGCAGCGATGTGCCGCGCTGATGTGGGGTGCCAGAGTTCAAAGCTCCACTCTGCTACCCGCTGGCAGTAGCAGTGTGAGAAGCCATGGACATTAAACTCTGTAACTCTCCATTTACTCACGGGCATGATAAGAATGATTACTTCACAGAGCTGTCCAAAGAAACAAAAGAATATGAACAAAAACTTTTAATACATCGCCTGGCACACTGTAAGTGTTCAATAAAGATTAGCTACTAAAACGTATTATGGACCTTTTTGGTTTACAAAATATTGAGTTCCTTCTCCACTTTGCAATTAGAAATGTTTCATTTGTATTGCTTTCGTTTTTTTAAAGGTTAACTGATTATTAGCAATTTTGATAACCACTAAAAAATGTCAAAACATCCTTTAAATGTCTTTATCTGCATTCTTAAGACATCATGGTTTGTGATATTTTTCAAAGACTTATATCCCTGATTTTTAATGGGCTCAGTGAAATCTCATACATGGTAATATTCATGGAGATATGTGATTACGCTTATAAAGACTTTACTAGTCATAGAAACAGTAATAATCGCTTTCCTCAAATTCTTAAATCTTACAAAGAAGTACCAGTTCATATCACACTGTAATACCAATTAATAAAAAGGCATTTTAACGTATTCGATGCCTCATTAAGAAAAATCAGCTTTCCCTGTGGTTGTTCTTCAAGACTATTATTCCAAATCCATAATGGGCAGCGACAGTTTCAACAGAAAGAGCTTTCCTTTGTCCCCCTAGTGGTCACATGCAAAATAACAATAGGTAAAGAAAAGGCTTTCAGAACTGCTGGAGTAAAAAGCCATTCAACGCCTTCATTCTACAGAAGAAGAAACTAAGGCCAAGAGATGAGGACTTGGCCAAAACTACACAATTTTTCAGCAAGCCATCAGCATATGAAAAAGGCTTTTGGATATTATGAATATTATGACGTCTGGAAAGATACCCCAAAATAGACTTACCTAAGATTTTACAATTTTCTTGTCAATTGACACTAAGAAGCTTTATTTCCAGTTTTCTTTTGCCTTCTCAGAGAGATAATAAGTACAGTTTCCCAGGGGCAAAGATAAGACCTCAGCTGTGACCAAGAATTCTGCCTGAATCCTTGGTGAAGGATTCCTTTTTGAGGAATAAAGACTACCCCTGAGGGTTGAGAAGTGTACAAAGATAGCTCTCCACAGAAAAGACCAGCAAGAGTCAATGCATCTTTTCAGATGGTCAAGGGCCCACAATGAGTAAGACATAAAGGTCAATAAATAAGTTAAATTCAGTTTTTCTCAACTTTAAGGTACCCCCAAATAGGGAAAAATTGGAAGCAGGCAGGGTACACACATGGCAGAAGATAAAACTGAATTTTCTTAATTTGAGAAAAAGAAAACTTATTTGCATTATTAGTAAGCCTGTGTTAGCCCAAAAATTTAACAAAAGTACAGCTTTTGTTTGAACATAAATTAAGGAACTGAAGCCATTATCCAGATATTTTGAGGCAAATAATAAAGAAGACAGTCACGTAACACCCAAAATATGTTTATCTTAAAATTAGAAATTTCAGACTAGAGCAGGTTTCAATTTTTACATCACTTCACATAGATTCCACAGAAAGTTCTGTCAATCTGGAGGCACCTACGTGATGATTATGACCACAGGAATTCACCTCAAAGTGTATGTTCAAACCTCAGCTCAGACGCATACTAACTGCGTGATCTTAAGCAAATTACTTTACCTCCCATTCCTCAGTTTCCTTATCTACGCACAAGAATGATAACAGTATCTAGCGCATAGGCTGTCAGAGGATTAAATGTGAAAAATATACATGGCGAACAAGTACTTGGCACATTGTATGTATGCAGTAAATATTAGTTACTGTTCTTATCAAAATATTAAGGAACCCATTTTCTATACTTTAAGCCTGAAGAGAAAGCAAAGATAAGCAGTGAATAAAAGTAGCTTCAGACTGGATCATGGGAGACATGCTAGTCTGGCCTCTCTAGCTCTAATGAGATGTCTGACTTCGGAGAAATCTCTCAACTGGTGTGATCCTTGTTTTCTTATCTGCAAAAAATAAGAGGTTGGATCCAAGTTCACGAACCTCAAGCTTGACAAAAATGTAAAAGATCATTCACTTCCAAATCTGATACTTGAGCTCATTTACAACAAGAGCTTGTCTAGATTGTGATTAAATGTCTTCAGGGATGGGGCTCATGTCTATCCTAAAGCTGTCAGGCCCTTTTATCTTGAACACAAATGGCCTGAAAATCCTTTCGTATGTTGAGCTGAAATCAACCATCTGCATGTCATCAGGGCTACAATACCAATGGCAAGAAGTAGCACCATTCCTTAATGTGTTGCTGAGAAAGAAGAGACACTGACAAGTATACCATGACATGATGTTTTCTTATTATGTCAATCGTAAGAGACATCTAAATTTCAGAGTTGTTAAAATATGAAAATATGGGTGTCTTAGAATCAACTAAATGCAATTATCGTCCAGCGGCTTCACTAGCTGATCCTAATCGAAGTGTATGGCACATTAAAACCCAGTCTAATTTTCTTCCATAGGACAGTTCCTAAAGTATTTGCAAAGTATCCTTGACCAACTTAAACCTTTCCTTTTCCAGTCTTACTACCTTTAGCTCATATGCAAATCTTAAGACTATAACCATCTCCAGCTTCTGTCTACAGAACCCATTCTAGTTTATCTGAATCTCTTCTCATTCATACATGCGAGCACTAAGCACTTTTTCTACCACCCCAGATAAAATGATGACCAAAACAGACAATGACTCTGCCATCAATAATTCAATGGATATGCACTCTAGAACATGTAAACAATGACATCAAGCCAAAGTACTATAGGTATTCTATGAAATGCAGTAGAGACATAGCAAAAAAAAAAAAAGAAAGAAAAAAAAAGTATATTTAAGTGTGGTACTCAAAGAGGAACAGAAGGCTGTAGGTGAGGTCTGTCTATTCTGAAGAGACTACTAAAGCCTAGACAGAGGGTTGTCTTTCTATCTTCTCATCTTAATCTTTGTCTTCTTTTTGACAGCCATGATATACTGTAAAATTCTGATGTTCTCACAATCTATAAAATCCCAAAATATTTTTTAGCACATGCTATTATATTGTCTTTCCCACTCCAACCTGTCACTCTTCCCATCAAGTGCTTCTATAATTGGAAGGGGGTTGGTGGGAGAGAATTATTTTTCCCTCTGGAGGAAAGTAGAAGATGTTCTGTTTATTCTGGTCTATACACTTATTTAGAAGAATGTACTGAGGCAACACATTTCCTCTTAAGGAACTGTTTCTTCTAAACAAGGACATGCCCCTTCATTCCCATAATACAATCTTGATTCTCAGTCTACCAAGCTTGAGTTGTACATATCTGATCAGGCAAATTTATATTTTACTACAAACCAGTGAATAAAATGTAAAAATAATTCAGCAAAATTGAAGTCCACACTACTTACTATGAAATACCCAGAGTACTAAAATACCCTGTGTAGGTCAATAACATTTTGCTGCTGTGCATTTATCACATTTGGAAATCTTCTGGCATATTGCAATCTACCTATAGTGATGAGTCAACTATAATGATGAAGATGTCTTAATGCATCCTGGGATCCAACCCACTTTAAATACAGTATTGGAAGCTGTCCCAGGATTAGAAAACCTGGATAATCACATGAATTTTGTGTGAATTTATTTTACTTTGTATTGAGATGTCTATGGCTCTTACAAAAAGGGAATTCCATCGAGGTTTCTTGTCTCCTTTGTTTCAATTCAATAATATCCAGAGTGGTTAAAGCTTTTTTCCCCCTTAAACACAGTATGTGTATGGCGTGTGTGTGTGTGTGTGTGTGCGTGCGTGCAGCAGAGGTAGGGGATGGTCATTCATTCCTCACTGAAATCTGTGCTCGTGCACACCATGATGATTAAGCCATAAGCATTGTACTATGTGTGCTTTTCCTAGCAGCAACACATGTAGGGCTAAGTTTTAGATCAATGATTTGGATTGGTTGATCAGAGCTGCCGATGCCAATATTCTTAATTAAGTTCATGTTTTAAAAAGTGAATTTTTTCTCCTAATCAAGAATAATTGTTAATGATCATGAAAACATTTTTTATCAGGTAATCATTGCATACAGATTTGTATTATCTAAAAGAAAGTCAGAAAACATAATTATTTATTTATATGCATCCCCATTATAAAGATAAGATAGCCTCTTAATCATCTGAAGAGAGATTTAGTGGAAGTTGGAAAATCCTTCATCAAAATTAATATCCCTAATAATGGTTTATAAAGGAGATTTTTTTAAAAAAAAGAAATTGAAACTTTGCAAGCTGTAAAAGGAGAGAAGCACCAGTAATTTTGACTGAGGCATCTAAAGTAATGAAGTAGCCTAAAAACTGATGAGATGTTTCAGCTGTACCAAACTACTGAACAAAACAAGAGAATTGGGGAACAGGACACTTTCTGGATTGTCTTCCCAGGATATAAGGACACTCCTTAAATGCTCCCCCCTCTATTTGGTCCTGGGGGTGCTAGCCCCAGCTGATGGGTCCAAGACAGTACCGGACCAATCAGGGTCATTTTCTTTTCTCTCTCTCTTTTTTTTTTTTTTTTTTTTTTTTTTTTGAGACAGCGTCTCACTCTGTGGCCCAGGCTGGAGTGCAGTGGTGCAATCTTGGCCCACTGCAACCTCTGCCTCCTGGGTTCAAGCAATTCTCCCACCTCAGCCTCCCAAGTAGCTGGGATTACAGGGGCGCACCACCACACCCGGCTACATTTTTTTGTATTTTTAGTAGAGACAGGGTTTCACCATGTTGGCCAGGCTGGTCTCAAACTCCTGACCTCAAATGATCCTCCTGCCTTGGCCTCCCAAAGGGCTGAGATTACAGGCTTGAGCCACCGTGCCGGGCGTCAGGGCCATTTTCTAAGAAATTAGAAAGGGGGCTGAAAGAGAAGCCCTCTTTTCGACAGGTAAGCTCTGGAACTGTTGGGGTGCTGTTCTGCCCTGTGGACTGGAGGATGAAGGAGGCAGGTGTGAATGGAGACAAAAGGAAAGCAGAAGTGTCCTGAGGAGGAGATAGAGCTAGGGGAAGAATGCTGGCGGCTTCTCCGGGCCTGCCCCTGGGCCTTTCCAGAGACTCTGCAGAATTTCCACCCTTAACTTTCAGGAGAAACCCTATACAATAATGACACATACCTCTTCATTTGCTTAACTATCTCTGATGGGCTACTGTTACTTGCCAACATGTTTTGGTGTGATGATAGAGAACAAACCAGAAACAGAACTTACACAACTCCAAGTAATCATTTAGCCTCAGTAACTCTCAGTTCCTAGTCTCTGAAATGAGGGTAAAATAATTCTAGATATTTACATCAATCCTGTATTTGAAGATGAATAATTATTGTGACAAATATTACTAGAAAGCCTCAAAAATCACATAAAATCCTTTAGTACAAGAGCTGTCTTTTATATAATTTCATGCTGCCACCTGAACTGTTCAGAAGCAAACGGATTGTCCACTCATACAGTTGTTGTTCTAAACACCTTTGACATGTAGCTTAATGGGGTTTGAAGAATAGTATATTGCAAACAATTAGAGGTTTCCTTTGTGAGATATTAACTGGTTCAACAGACAGAAAATCAACTTCACTATCAACCCTCTTCTACCATAAAAATCAGCCAATTTGCACATTTTTTCTGCTAAAGGTGGTCTTAAAATATGACTTATTTTATTGACATATTTACGTATTATGTATTCATGTATTATCCTACTACCACATATGCTAATAAATTATACCTGTACATATAATCTGTGGGTCTCTATGTCTGCATACACACCTGCACACCCTTTTACCAATAATATTTCTGCTTCTTGTGTGTTCCAGTTTCACTGCCTTGGACATGTTATGTAACTTCTGTTGTCTCTTCATCAGTCTGTTTTCTCTGTCTTAATTGGGAAAATATGACACCACTTATTGAAGGATGAATTAAATAAAATAGTCTACAAAAGTACTTTGTAAACAGTAAAGGACTACACAGACACACAGAGCTAATATTTCCAATTAAATGTATAAGAAATTCATAATCTGACGAATGGACTATGAATCTAAAGCAGCTTTCTTCTCCCCCATTCTTACTTCATACGTGTTTAAAGAGCTCTATAAAAAGAAAATGTTCAGCCTCTTCTCACAAATTGGTAGCAATTCTTCATTTGGGGAAGGTCTTTTCCAGAAAGAAACTCAAATCTTTCCATCTTCCATGTGCAGAACATCTGTGCTAAAACCATTCCATGCACACTTCTTTGAAGCACTGGCTGCCTAAAGGAATACTTTTGATTTGGGCTTTATTTAAATGCCTGAACTTCTATTGGAGAAACAAAAGGTTTTCTAGTAAGAGCTCAGTTGGGAACAGGACCAACCTCCAGCCAGTTTAACTACTCAGAGGCCAAGCAGCCTGGCATTTCTTAGAGCTCTGTGCAATGGAAATCTCCCTGAGAACTTGCAGCACAGGCGAACAGCTGGTTTGGGAGGCTAGTGACCCTGGGTGCAATCACTGTGGTAATTAGATTTAATTTTCCTAATCCAACAGTGGCTGACTCCATCATGCCTATGTCTCCTATGTAGAAAATCATTACTCTCATTTAATGGTACTTTGACATGTTTCACATTTTTGTGGCTTAGTACCTTAACATTAGATATTACCTCTTTGTAACTATCAATCTAGCCATTCAAACAGCTATGTGTACTAAAGAGTTTAATTTGAAGGTTATCCAACTTCGGCAACTTTCCAGAAGGATCTTCGAACGTTAAGCAGACCTTGAATATCATTGTACACCCCTCTTCTGCAAGTCTTTTGTATGCTTGTATCAATTCATTTAGAACGATGGCATCAGTCATAAGTCATTGGCAAGCCTGAAGGGTTTGGGTTTTCAGTGTTTCTGCAAGCCCAGGGAAGCATGGCTTCATGCTACGACATCCTGGGGTCACTCCAAAAGAGTAACAGAGATCATGGGGCTACGTGAAAGCGTGTCTTCCTGGGAGGAGAGAAGGAAAGACATGTATGAATCTATCCATGTCTGCTTGCATCTGGAGAACGCCTGTTTATGTTGTAAAGAAAAGCCATCGGTATTGTCATCTCAGGAGACCGGCTTGTTTTATGTGTGTGCATGTTATACGTGCTATCACACGAAGCTGGCCAACTGATAGAGTGACGAGGTACTGTGTCCCTGGGAATTGTAATTGCTTGGTCGGTGAAAAAAAAAGAACATCAGACCATTGCTGATAATAGCACAAGGTGCATTTTGATAGTACAAAAGAGGAAACAGACGGAGTCATACAAGTTCTGAGTATATCTTAAACCCCCTCCAACAAAAAAAAGAAAGAAAGAAAGAAAGAAAGAAAGCAAGGGAAAGCCTGGGGCTGAAGGAGTGTTCCAGGGAGCGAATTGCTCAGGACTTCAAACACTGGGAGTCATTCTGTCAAGGGGAGGGGGCGGGCGGGGGCAGGCACTGGGCCTCTTTAACAAAGTCCTCCTCTCTTTGCTCCCTCCCACTTCATTCACTTGCAAATCAGTGTGTGCCCACAAGAGCCAGCTCTCCCGAGCCCGTAACCTTCGCATCCCAAGAGCTGCAGTTTCAGCCGCGACAGCAAGAACGGCAGAGCCGGCGACCGCGGCGGCGGCGGCGGCGGAGGCAGGAGCAGCCTGGGCGGGTCGCAGGGTCTCCGCGGGCGCAGGAAGGCGAGCAGAGGTGGGTTCGGGCTCCGTTGGCTATGCATACATCTCCCTTTTTTTTTTTTTAATTCTGTAGCGTTGATAGAAGCCAATCAGAGAGAGAGCCCTCTCCGCCCGGTGGGTGCCGCGCCGGAGTTGGGAGGGATGCTCTCAGCCTGCGAGCCCGGGTCGGGGCGGGCGCGCGGGTCCGGCTGCGCGGGCGGCGCTGCTGCCGCTGCTCAGGACCGACGCCGCTTCCCGGGGAGCCTGGGCACCGCTCCTCCGCCTCCTGGTAAGACCGATCCGCCGTGGGGCTGGGTGGGGGCACCGGGAAGCGGGCCGCCGCAGAAGAACCCGCTGCCTTTCTCTACGCCGGCAGAGGCTGCCAGGGGAGCTCTGGCATTTGCAAAGTTGGCTGGTCAATTACCAAAGGGCGCTGGTGCGTGCAGGTCCCGCCGAGCCGTTTGGGGCTTGATTTATCTCCACCTGCCCGCATCATAAGGGTCTGCGTGGTGACTGCTTGGGCTGAGTTACATTTCTTAGCTTTTGGGGTAAAGCAGAAAATCAGGTAGTCTGAAAACTCTGGAATGCTCCCAGTAAGGAAAACTTAAACTAAAGAGACGATTTGGCTGGTAGAAGGAGCTAAAGAAAACTGTTAGCTTGCACGTTCCGGGCAACGCCTGCCGGCTCATCTAGGACAGAAATGCTTAGGTTGCAAGGAAAGTCCAACACTGGACTCCGAAAATGGAGCACACTGTCCAGGGAAAAGTCATATGGAAGGCGCAGTTCGCTCGTGCTCCTCCACGGCTGGCCAGGCTCAAATCTGGGGGATAAAGCCTTCCCCGGACTGATTGGAGAGTGGTTGGAGTGCGCTTGGTTTTCGGTGCCAGATGCTGGAAAATTGGAGCCCCCAATGCGTTAATCCCAGAATTTAATAAAAAGGGACGCTGCAATGTTGTGGACTGCAGCAGTTGCAGAGCTGAGATTACTTCTTCCGTAGTTAGATATTCTGTCATGAGTTACCGTAGATCTCGAGATGGGAGATGCTGGAGAGGTCAGCGTGGTGCTAAGAAGTGTCACTGCTGCAATAAAATCCATATTTTATGGGGAGTTAAATGCAGGTCTCTGTCAGTGCAAAGGGCTGGCCACCTGAGTTAACTATGACTCAGAACATTCAAGAACCAAGAAGTTTAATCATCTGGAATAGCCACACATTTCTGTCTCCTACTCCCATTAAAAAAAAAAAAAATTTAAATGATGATAGTCATACTATAGAGGTGTATCAGACCGTGTCTCTGCGAATCTTCACTTTCACTTCGTAAAGCACACAGTGGGAAAGAAGGAAGAGGTTTTCCCTGCAAGAATGTTGCAGGAGTGGCTGTTGTGTACATATATGGCTGCTCTGGAGGGGTGCAGATCAAAATGTGGGCTTTCTGAGTGGTTAATTATCCAGGGGGTTGCAAACTCCTCCCTGTGTTGGAAAAAGGAACCCAGGGATATGCCTAGTTAATGTACAACTCTTCCAAGAAGGACTAACAAATATGCTTATATGAATAGTGCCAAGGGTTGCTTATTTCCTTTCTTTTCTTGCTGAAAGCTTTACCTGAAAAGGAAAACCCTTAGGATTTTACTTTGAGAGAGAGAAAAAAAATCTCTTCCAGTTTCACCTGAGACTTGAGCATCATCCCGTGTGTAATAGTACTTGCACGGCTCTATGCTTGCATTTTAGAGAACCGTAAAACCAGTTGTGTGAAGAAAGGGGTATGCTTGAGCAGATGTCTTCATTATGTCATAACCAGGAGGGTAAAGTTTATGCCAGAGGCCAGATTGTCAATGCAGAGCTCAGAAACTTAAAAGAAACCCAACAATTGACTGGAAAATGCAATCACATAGGGTTGTATCTCATCCCCTTTTGCTCTTTGATGTGTTCTAATTAAAAAGGTACTGAAGGAAAATAAAAGACAGATCTTTTCCCACCTAATGTAATGGTTCATGCCATACTTTTGAAGCAGAGGAAGTAACCAATTTCTTCAGAAAAACTAAGAGGCAGCAGCCCAATTTTGAAGGAAAATGGTGCCAATTCAGTTCTACTGTATTTGTGTCTACAATTATCTTTTGCTACCATTACAAGAAAGTGACAGTTTGGTATCTCCATAGGGACTTTTAGTCCCTTTACTATCTGGCTTTTACACCAATTTATTGCACTTACATTTTGTACTGCTAACTCTGCAAAGATAATATATGGAAACATAATCATTTTCTACCAAGTTGCCTACTATCAAAAAACGTGTACCCTACCTCTTCCACCCACCACTTCCATCAGCTTTGCAAGGAAAAACTTAGTGAGGCACTCTTCCTTTTTAAGAAAAAATGTACCTTGCAAAATACTGCTCGAGACACTTGAAAACAGCTAAAAATTTTCTAGAAAGCACAGCTACAGTCACAGGGTATTATATGATACTGTATTATTATAGCACCAAATCTGAAAATTAGGACTAATTGAGTGAATGTCCCACAGAGATTTCTTTAAAAGGAATGAAATGTGACCAATATTCTGAGTGAAACTACAATCTTCCTAAGGAATTGAAATGTGTGGTCCCCCCTTCTGGCCCGGTAGTTGCTTTGCAGTCACGAATGCCAACACACTAAGGCTGAATCCTTTGAACTATTCAAACTTTTTTTAGTTGGAAGGGACCTCTAGTGGGTCACTCCATGCATTTCTCCCTGGAGTTCAGCTGCAGAATGGATTTTGTTACCTAAGATAAGAGTATAACAACTTTTTCTCTGTAGACAAGTTAGTATTCTCTAAGCACTATCTTAATATTTGTGACAGGTCAAATCATTATTGCTATTATTTCTGTACTTCCTCTAATTTAGGGGACTTACAAATATTTTTATGGTTTTCTGAATATCTAGACTTTTGGTAACTGCTGGATGATTCCAAATGAAAGCAATGGCCAATTAATAAAGAATTTACCATCATCAATATAAGATTTTCTTATTTCTGATCTTTTCCAAGACTCTACTTCCTTACTTCTAATTTACTCAATAACAATAATAACATTATATTTAGAACTCCAAAAGTTCTACATGAAGAGCGCCGCCGCCCCCCGCCCCCCAACCAACAACAAGAAAAGAAATATTTGCAGGAAAAAAAAGTGCAATGACTGTTTCAGAAATCTGTGAACATTCACAAGTTATGCTGAACTAAGGCCATCTAATTCAAAGAATTCCCCGTTCAAATAAATATATGTTGAACATCCAAAAGCTGTTTAGATACCTGTGTCATCCTTACTCCAGGTTTTTTCTGTTTCATTTCTTTCCTTGATGTATCACAACACATTTTAGGTAACCTACTCCTTAAAATACTCTGCCTGGAACTTGGAGCAGCATAATTTCTGTAGGGTGAATCAGCCTCTTCTGCTGACAGCCTGCAGGTTTCAACTTCCAATTTAAAAATCTGTTCTAAAGTTTGAAATGTGTTCCAAATAAGATAACATCCAGCAGAATCCAGTTGCCTTGTGCTTCTTGCTTAGTCATGGCTGCTTATTCTTTGGTGTCCGTCAGAATTAGGGTCTCACTTATAAAAATAACAAGCAGTGACTCAGTCTGAATTGCATTCTTAACAGTGTTTCAACCTAGTCAGTGTCTACTGAGCACACTTTATTTACTTCACAAAAAAAGTGAAAATGTAGACAATCAAACTTTCTCTGGTTTAAATATTTTTCTGAATAATGATTCTAAATTCAAAGACTCAAGAACATTATGGTAATAGGAGAACTGCAGAAAGAAGAAGGCATACACACACACGCAAACACAGCACCCAGTTGTGACAATGTTCCAAGAATATTAGAGAAGAAATACAGAAATGCAGCATATGGGCTGATTTTCTTTTCTTCTTCGTTTTTTTCATGTTGTTTTCTCCCTTGGGATTTTTATTTTATTTTGAAGACAGATGAGTGCTTGAAGCACTTTACTGAAACTAAATAGTAATATTTTTGTTCCAGCTTGCCTTTTCCAAAGATTAACTGGTCTACTTTTTTAAGTTTCTATTCGTACAGAAGCCTCTCTTTTTCAAAACAATCTTATGAGGAACTTCAGGTTCTCTCTAATTAGCTATTGAACCAAATGTGTATAGTGTTTGTGATGCTATCACCCACAAAGTAGGAAGATAAGGGAAGAGGGGAGAGTATAAACAACCCTTCAAAGAAGTGGTGCATTCAAAATTACTACTAAATAGTTGGGTCAGAGGGAGCCATCTGCAGCCAACAGTCTAGTTGTTCAAAATTGAACTCTCCAAGAAACTTTCAACTCTTCCAACAAAGAAAAGTTATTGAAGGCTGAATGCTCTGAGCACACATTCATAAATGTGGAGTAGACTCATATGCAGAGACTATTAAAGATTATTTCATCTGTTTAATATCTTTACACTAACACCATTGGGTGCTGGTTTCTTCCAGGAATCAGATCACCTTGTTATGATTTATAAGAGGTAGAATTTCATTAATGCCAGAGTGTTAATATTAAATTTGATTTGTCATGTAAATGGGCAGCATGGTTTGCAAGCTTTTCTTAGTGTATGTGGTACTATCTTGTGGGAGAAACGACTTATGAAGAAGATGAGGCACATAAAGCTAGCATACCACAGGGTATGATTTATCTTCATATTTCAGCACTTGAAAGAACACTGTGTTTTCTCTTTCTCTAATTTCCTAAATTGGTAGGTCTGGCCAAAAGATATCCAAGAGACCTAATAAGTTATAGGAAGAGAAAACAGCAAGAAAAAATTAACTTGGGGAAGTGTCCAAGTGAGTGAAATGGAAAGAGATGAGGACGTAAATTTTTACAGCAGAGGGAAACATAAGAATAGAAATAGAATCAAAATTGCCATTTTTACATAGGGTGCATTTTCCTCTTTATAAATAGTGCTACTGTTAAATGCCACCTTATAAACATAATTACATCATTAACATATTTATACACACTACTCATCTCTACCATAAAATGCAAACTTGAAAATTACCTTTAAAAAATCACCATCTAAGGGAGGTAACCCTGGGTGGATGGTAAATTAACTGGAGGAATATCTTTTTCAAAGTGGTCTGAAATTGCATCAGAATCAACGAAAAGATTTCCTTAGTGCATTGAAGAATATCAACTCTTTTCCTTCTATTATCTTTATTGTCCTGCATGCTAAATAGAAAAACCATGTATTCCTCTGATGCCTGCAATCCAAAGTATACAGTAATAATATAGACCAAGTATTCTACTTGTCACCCATTTGGATCCTGTGTGTGATATAGCATGATGAAAGGCAGAGCTACAAGACAGCAACCCCTCACCTCTTTACATGGTAAATATATATATATACACACACATACACACACACACATATGTGTATATATATATGCTCAGAGCATATATATCTATACACACACATATATATAGTGGACAGAAGGAAAAGAGTTGATAATATATGTGTGTGTATATACATATGGTGTATATATATGATGTATATATATGATATATATGGTGTATATATGTATATATGTACTTTACATGGTGTATATATGTACACACATATGTGTATATATACACACACATATGTGTATATATACACACACATATGTGTATATATGTACACACACATATGTGTATATATATGTACACACACATATGTGTATATATATGTATACACACATATGTGTATATATATGCTCAGAGCATATATATCTATACACACACATATATATATCATGGATAGAAGGAAAAGAGTTGATAATATATACGTTTGTGTGTGTGTGTATGTGTGTGTGTGTATGTGTGTGTGTGTGTGTATATATATATATATATATATATATATATATCTCAAAGATAAAAAGCACTCACCAGTATCTTGGCTCAGAACTTTTATACATCCAAATAATAATGATAATAAATAATAAACTAACCTTTACTGAGCTTTTCTATGTCACACCCTCTTCTAAGTATTTTACATGCATTTCGCATAGCAATAATTACACAGTAAATCAAAATGACCCTACTATACTTGTATCCTCTTTACTTAGCCCTTTTTTGGTTTGAATTTCCAGGGAATCTCTGTTTGAGCCAAGCACTTAATGAAGGTGCTGTTAACAAACAGTTGTGATGTCTTAGAAGTAAAAGTGTGACTCTCTCTGAGAACTACAGAGCAGCAGAGGGCATGGGAATGATTTGATTATTTTGACCAGAGCTTGGCAGATGTGAAGGCTCAGGAAGATGTTTTTAAGTTATTCATTTTTGAAAAATCATCTGCAAGCATGTGTCAGAATTTATAATTGTAGTAGAAAGCATTGTGTGGGCCATTTTTATGAACATAATGATGGTACTTTTTATATGAGAATAAATTATCTTATCCTGCCTTCAGAGGGATCTTTATGAGGAAAGGGGTATTTCAGGAAGGTAGCTAAAATGACACCTGTTCATTGCATTGAGAGGGGAGGGACACCTCAACCTCACAGCACCCACTAAGGGCATCAGTCCATTCTCAGCTCGTTGACATTACCATGGATGTAGCATTTGGGACTCTGGGTAGAGCTAAGTAAGATAGTGTTTGTGTCCTTCTTCATCTAGTAAGTAAAAATAATTTTTTATGACCACATTTATTTTGTTACTTCATTACTATCACAATTTGGTATTTGTTCTGAATGATTTACCAAGTAAAATTTCACACATACATACACACACACACACACACACACACACACACATATACACACCACTACCATGCCACCAGAAAACAATCGCCACAAAAGCAAGGAAAGAAAGAGGGAGGGAGGAAAGGAGAAAGGGAGGGAAGTTGGGAGAAGGAAGGAGGGAGAGAGAGGAGTGAGGGAGAGAGGGAGGAAGGGAGGGAGGAAGAAACCCTCTTAATACAGTCACGTTTTATATGGTTGACATTGATGAGCCATTTTCATTATATTCTCTTCTTTCTATTGCCGCCATTCAAAAAGTCATGTAGTTAATCTAGCCTTCAAGGAAAGTTTGATCATTAGAAATATAATCAGAGAATGTGAGACACAGGAAGGAGCTTAAAGATGACTTTATCTAATACTCTTCATTTAACTGTGAGATAACTGATGACCAGAGAGATGAATAACTTATCCATGGATATATTTGATTTATTTTGTTCTCTTATCTCTATCTTTCTCTGCTGTGGCTTGATTTCTAGTTGTTGAATGTTATTGCTTTTTATCATCACCATTTAATTCTGGCATTAAAAATTAAAGAGGAAATTTAAATAAAGAATATTATTATTTATAATTATTCTGTGAAGGGACAAATGTGGATACTTGCGGTGAAGATAAGGATGTAGGCTTCTTTAAGAATTTTGTGTGTTCCTACATTTTGCAAATTTCCTATTGCAAAGAAGAATTAATATTTTCCCTCAAAATATTGACCATTGCTAGGGAGACATATGATAAGGTTTGGGGTTTTGTTTTATTTGTAATGGATTGATGGCAGTTTTGAGTAAACCTTATCTAAATCAGTGATTCCCCAGGAGACCCAAAGTTGTATCCATCTTTGAAATAAAAAAAATCATTGGTCAGTGGTTAGATATGAGAAATGATGACAACCTATTGTGTGTCTCATAAATCTCAATTTATTTGATTTAAAGAAATCAGACAGTAACCTTCCCACTGCTTTGAAGTTAAAATGTCAATTCTTTCATGGAAATATGGGGAAAGATTATGATGGCTCTTTCCTTGGCAAAATTTAAATTTGGCAAGTAACTCAATGTCAATCCTCTCCCCTTTAAAAAATAAAACTGTTAATGTTCCATGAAATCCAAAAGTCTGGGGACCACTGGTTTAATACAATGACTGACATCATGTTGAGAAATGATTGACCTGGTTCTCTTCCTTCTTATCTGGATGAACAAAAAGTAAAGGGGAATTATAATTATATTTAAAACACCAAAAAGACAAACTAAACAAAAGCCATTTAATGAAAAGGTATCCTTGGGTCTCTTAATTAAAACTTACAGAGATTAATACTAACATTTGGAATACTAATATGATCTTTGACCATATTAACATATCCTCAAAAAAAATATGCTTTGCCAAGCTCATGGCCAGAATGTGTCATTAATAGTGAATTTGCCCACTTGATTACAAAGCGGATAATTCAGTGGGAAATGAAAAGTTTTAAATTTATATCTAACTCTATAAGCCGGAACAAACACAGCCCACCTTAACCATATAAATTATAAAATCAGTGTCTTTTTTTTTCTAAAAGTGAACTTTGTATAATTGTAGACAAAAATTTACTAACATGTTGGTCTGTGTTTTGAGATATACATTTTTACTTCAAAAAGCAATTGCCTTCTAGTGTATAGTATAGATTTCAGTCATTAAAATGAGCTTATCGTATTTTTAACTGCAAAGCTTAAATCTCCTTTTGCAGAATTAAAAAAGAAAGAGAGTCTCATTAATCTACTAGCATCCACTTTAAAATATTTGCAGGCCGGGCATGGTGGCTCATGCCTCTAATCCCAGCACTTTGGGAGGCCAAGGCAGGCGGATCAACTGAGGTTAGGAGTTTGAGACCAGCCTGACCAACATAGTGAAACCCCATCTCTACTAAAAATACAAAAAACTTAGCCAGATATGGTGGCAGGCACCTATAATCCCAGCTACTCAGGAGGCTGAGAGGGAGAATCGCTGGAACCCAGGAGGCGGAGGTTGCAGTGAGCCCAGATCACGCCATTCTACTCCAGCCTGGGTGATAAGAGCAAAACTTCACCTCAAAAAAATATATATATATACACACACATATATATATATGCAACTGTATGTATATATACACATATATACATACATGCGTATATATGTTACATATATACATATATGCGTGTATATATGTAACATATACACGCATATATGTATATGTCACATATATATGTGTATATATGTGACATATATAAAACTATATGTATATATACACACACATATATATATGCAAAATATATATATATTTGCAACTGCTCAGTTTTGTACTCAACAAAATATTCTAAGCTCCCCTTAGCAACAGTTTCTAATTTAATACCAATCAAAATGGCTTGTGGTCAGTCTAATTACCAATGCAAAATGATAAAATCTACCTTGACTGTTACATTACTGCTGACTCCTCATTTGAACCAAGTTCAGCGACTTTTCTCCCAACAATTATTCTTGTATTAAGCTACTTGTTTAAAAGTATCTAGTAGAGATATTGTCAGTGTTTCATAAAAGATTAATTCTATTAGTGTGGCCTTGTGATAAATATCAGTTCCACATTTTCCCTCTCTGATTTACCTGCTTTTTTATAAAGCGAGAGAGAGAGAGAGATGTTTCAGGCAGGTCCTTTTTTTTTTTTATTTATTTTTTATTATTATACTTTAAGTTTTAGGGTACATGTGCACATTGTGCAGGTTAGTTACATATGTATACATGTGCCATGCTGGTGCGCTGCACCCACTAACTCGTCATCTAGCATTAGGTATATCTCCCAATGCTATCCCTCCCCCCTCCCCCCACCCCACAACAGTCCCCAGAGTGTGATATTCCCCTTCCTGTGTCCATGTGATCTCATTGTTCAATTCCCACCTATGAGTGAGAATATGCGGTGTTTGGTTTTTTGTTCTTGCGACAGTTTACTGAGAATGATGATTTCCAATTTCATCCATGTCCCTACAAAGGACATGAACTCATCATTTTTTATGGCTGCATAGTATTCCATGGTGTATATGTGCCACATTTTCTTAATCCAGTCTATCATTGATGGACATTTGGGTTGGTTCCAAGTCTTTGCTATCGTGAATAATGCCACAATAAACATACGTGTGCATGTGTCTTTATAGCAGCATGATTTATAGTCCTTTGGGTATATACCCAGTAATGGGATGGCTGGGTCAAATGGTATTTCCAGTTCTAGATCCCTGAGGAATCGCCACACTGACTTCCACAATGGTTGAACTAGTTTACAGTCCCACCAACAGTGTAAAAGTGTTCCTATTTCTCCACATCCTCTCCAGCACCTGTTGTTTCCTGATTTTTTAATGATTGTCAGGCAGGTCCTAATTAAGACAACAGAATGAAGTGGAGTCACTTACGAGTTAATGTACCCAAGAGGAGGTGGTCCCAAACCTCCAGATACAAAAAGTGCCTGCTCAGCCATAACTTTTGCATTCATAGCAAATGCTATTACCTGGAAGAAAATTGCATTTAAGATAAGAATGCAGGAATGTCAAATGCAAGTGCTGTATTTAGATATTTTGTCTGATACTTTTTTTCTTCCTCAAGTTCACTTTTGATTCTGTTACCACACTCCAAAATATCTTTCCAAAGAGCACTGTGGTTTGTTTTTCTTAGAAAACTTTTTCTTCTTGAGTTTAAATGGGCATGTACTTTGTGTTCCAAAAAGCAATGAAATTAAATTGAAGAGATGACCTCAGTACATGAGTGGACAGAGCAAGGTGCTTAGTGGTTATCTGAATAACCACTTTCTCCCCAAACGTAACGCTAGGGAGGACGGGTACTTTATTTAAAATATGAAGTTGGAAGCAACATAAGAGTAAAGTGCTCTCAAGCAACTGAGTTTAATTTGATATAATAAAAGATTTCTATGTGGTGGGCAGAGAAAGGAGAAATTATTGAAACCGTAGGCTGGATTAATTGGGCACTATAGAATAAAAAGTTGGCTTTGCACCTTTGAGGTTCTGAACATTAATTGAGCATATGTTTGCTTCCCAATTTCTCACTAAACCAAAATGGATTTTTAAATGGCTTTTTTCTCTTTTTTCTTTGTATGATAATCTTTTTATCACGGCTGGTTAGAGAAACCAATCACAGAAGATGAGAGCCAAACCTGTCCCGTTTTGGATTTTAAAATATGCACTAATGTCTATAATCTTGTAAAAGACTTTAAAGCGAGAAGTGAAATTTGGACTGCATGTTAAACTCCACAATCAAAAAAAAGCAGCTACAAGATTCTGACTACCAAGGAGATGCTGAGTTTGTCAAGTACTTTCCAATTTAGGTTTTACCTGATTGACAAGTGTTCCTAAGAATGATATTCAGCCAAGACTTTTGGGAAAATCCATTATTTGATTCCCTGCACAGCAAAAGCCCACCTGATACAAACATAAGATGCTTTATGGAATAGATAAATCCAGGTTGGGGGAGAAAGGAGAAAATGGCTTTAAAATATCACTTTGCCAACTCAAGATGAGAGTTTTAAGATGAGGGCATCCCTTGTAACTGTAAGCACATAGGGAAGGCTCAATAAATGCTTACTAGGTGAAATTCTTCTCATGTAAGCTACGAAAGCATCTCTTAAATATTTTTACAACTGATTTCCTGTTCAAGCTCATGCTTGCCAGTGAAAATACACTTTTCTATCTCATGCTAACAACTTAATTTTTTATAATTCTGACCACTTTCAAATGAGCCTATTTTGAAGGAAGCCCTATCAGTGGTGTCCTGAGAGCCAGGAAGACTAAGCAACTTGATAGGGCAGCCCAGCTTTCAATAACGGAGCCACCAGCCCTCACCTTCCTCCAGGCAGGCGTTTTATTAAGGTTGGTATTCAACATTGTTGCCTGAAGCCTGATTAATAATTTATGCCTTCCTAAGCAGATTAGCAGAAGTCTGTCATTTTGATATTTTAATTCTTAGTTTGTGTTTGGAAACAGAATGTACCCCTGAGTTTACACTTTTAACATATTTTATTTTTTAGAATTCATACCTAAACTAAACAATGTCCTTGCCAAGATTTTTTTTCTCTTACAGTTTTAGTAGCCATATGTGTGACCATGTATTTTCTATCATAAATAAAACAATTGCTTATTTGCTAAGTGAATGACTTTTTTTTGCCTCTCATCCAAATAATCCTATATGTTCTTTTTAAAGTATTTTGAATTTTGTTACTTAAGGATTAAAAATAAGAAAGATGACTGGGAAAATGAAGTAGAATAATAAAACCTAACGCTTAGCACTTACAATATTTCAGGCATCATTCTAAATATCTTACATGAGTTTAATGTTCACAACAAGACTTTCAAGTAAATACTGTCAATCTTCTCAGTTTTAAAGATAAAACTAGGGAACAGAACAATTAAGCAATTTGCCCAAGGTCACATAGTTGGTTCTTTTTGGAGCTAAAATTCAATCGTGGCACCCTTGAGAACCCACATTGTTTGAACTGTTGCATTCTTGTGCCTTTTGTGCTCTATATACATGTACTGAGATCATAGAATAGATAGATGACAGATAGATAGATAGATGATAGAATAGATGGAAAATAGACAGATAGATAGGTAGATAGATGGATACATAGAAAATAGACAGGATAGATAGATTCAAATGTATGAATCTCAAATACAAAAAAAGTCAAAGGTATGGGTATTTTATATATACATATATCTTATATGTAACATGTACACATTTCTCAAGGCTTAAAAATACAGTTAGAAAGGAAATCCATTTTCTTTTTCATCCTTCAGTGAGTGTACCAGTATATTCTATAACAAGTGAGATCAATTAATTATAGCCCAAAGCAACAGGTTTCAGCCTCATAGAGGCCTTTTAGCTTTAGGCCTATCTGTTCGCTTTAATTTGAGTCAGTCTTATAATCACTTACTGTTGGTCCCAAGGGAAACCTCGCAAGGGTGTTTGAAAGGTTCAGATTCATCATTAATTACTTTATTCATTCTGTAATGTTTACCGAGGGCCCCTGTGCTCAGTTCTGCAGAGAAAGCAGGTAACAAGACAAACATACATCGACTAGCAATTTACGGAAAATAGATTATTTCCTCATACTCTATCCAAGACCAATAATACTAGCTTTGTATATAATGAATAGGATATTCAGAATTGATTATGTTTTCTATTCGCCCATACTTACATCTTACATTAATACAGAAATTAGCTTTGAGTTTCATGATTTGTAAGGTTTCTATTCATTTTCAGGTTTGGCTTTGAACCTCCTACTCAGCTTAGAAAGAAGCACCATACCTCCCTTCACTACCAAAAGCTTAACATGGTTTTATATTTTTGACGATATGCCTCAGAATATTTTCTTGGTGGTCCCTTCACTAATCCCTACAATTTCCCCAGTGATTTTGCCACAAAGCACAAAGCCATACATATACTGGTCAGTCAAAATACAGTTCAGCAAGAAATCACTCTACACAAGAAGACTAGTTAAAATTTAGGATTGAGGTGATAGGATTTCAATTCGACTCAGCCATTTAATGAACACTTTTGGGCAAGGCATTGTGTCAAGTGCCACAGATAATGCCATGCCTTGATGTCAGATGAGGTGCAGTATGTGGTCAAAATTAAACATGACCATTAAAAGCTGCTATTTTAGAAAGTTATTCTTTCAGAATTCAGGTCTTTTAGTCATGAAATCTATTGGGATCTTCCATTACTAACTCTGGAGTTGAATGTGTTGACACTCACACTCCTTGCTAATATCCAGCTGACCAGTGCTCCCACTCATCTTCACCTGGCCAAATCTTATTGGATCTTCAGGACAAAGACCAAGAATCTGCTTCTCCAAGAAGCATTCTCTGACCCCCACCTACCTATCTGACTCTTAGCTTAGATTCCTAATGGTGTGAGTGTGTCAGAGCCTTTACTTAGTCTAAGCGTAACTGTAAAAACATCTTTTCAAAAGTCTCTGCATGACTGTCTAGGTCTCACCTATCACACTGTAAACATCTGGAAAACAAAGCCACTGAGTCTTCCTTTTACCAAAAAGGCCTAGCCTTGTTTTTGACAAATGGCAAGAACACATTAGATGTTTGTTGAGAGAACAAAAGGAGAGAACTCATTATGAAACTCTGGACAACATTTATATACCTCTCTACATTTTTTGTGTTGGAGGTTAGTTTTCTTTTCTAATAATTTGATTTCTTTGGATACATCGAGGCAATACACTTAAGAAGCAAGAAGATTGGGGCCAGCCTTCTAGACTGTTCAAAGGGTTACACCCAACAGAAGGGAAATATTCCCGAGATGACCTTGGTGCCTGTTGGGGTGATCAAGCCCAACACCAGGCCGTCGGGGCTACAAAGTCCAGTGGGGTCAAAGGAATGAGAAAAGACAAGTTAAGAGTGCATAAAGTGTATCCAGGGGGCTAACGCTAGATTGGAGGCTGTGAAGGCCCGGAGCTCTGGGAGCCCACACTATTTATTGCTGGAGTAGAAAGGTAGCAGTGCATCAAGTGTAGCTGTGACAGTTTAGCATTTTCTTTGACACATATAGAATATGCTCTGCTGCTTGATATAATGGAGAGCATGTTTATGAGCCTGGGAGAGCAACCAACAAGTCTGTGCACATTCCAGAGGCTACGAGGGGCTTTATGCCCTGAGCCCTGGATTCCATCCAAGCCGCAAGGGGTTTTATGCCCTGGGCTTAGATTTGTGGCGTGGCAGTGCAGCCTTCCACCCTTTGGCACAGAGCTTGGTGTTCCAAAGGCCACGAGGGGTTTTAGACCCTGGACCCCGGACATCCTCCAAGGATCTTTTATATTACGACAAACAAGCCAGTCCTGCCTCAGCTCTTCTACCAACAGGTACCTTTGGCCAAATGTCTGAAATAGGGTTACAGATTCTATAACTGATGGATCTCCTAACAGGATAATTGAGTGTCTTATAGGGAAGTTGACATTTTTTTGGTTACTCTACTCCAAGGCATTGAATTGTTTACAGTTTTTATTTGTTCATGGTGGAAACTGTGGCTGTATATTATTTCTTATTGGTGTAGGCTAGTATGATAAACTTTGCTTATCTTTTAGTTTGTTATCAACCCATAGTAGCACATCAAACTGAATCTACAAAAAAAACTATGGAAAACCCTTATGTATGTGTTTCATGAGCAAAATTACCTTTGCTTCAAATTCCAACCTTGGAAATGTTTCTTGAGTTTCTACAGGTAGTCTAATACCAGATTCTATGTACCTTGTTGTAACCTTGAACATGGCTGTACCAAAAAGACTGAATTAAATTCAACTGATTATGTAGTCCAATTTCATTCCTCAAGTGGCCGTCAATGCATGGAATAGGATCTTCATGAATATTGCTTGGCAGTGAAACATGCAGTTCAACCCAGCTCTATCTGAGCATGCCAACTGTTTTGTAAGGTTGTGAGATGAAGTGGGAGAGGTCTGGATGATTTCCCTTATAATTCCCTATTTAATGTGATATCCATCATTCTGAAGCCAAAGGTATATGGAGAATTTTAAACTTACTAATCAATAGAATAGAAATTAGGTTTTTATGTTTGTTTGTTTTTTTAACATAAGTGAATTTCCTAGACTAGAGTAGGTACCATGGTAGCTTTTGGCAAATCTTCTACTGCATCTCACCACTGTGGGAAATTGCAACTTCCAAGGAAAAGGAGTAGAAACTACAGGCTCAAAAAAATGAGATCAGTGATTCCCAGCATTGTGTTTGAGCCTCTGCACAATTCTCTTGCTTAAAGCCTTCCAATCAGTAACCTCTCTTATTAATACAAGTGATCTAAACTGGTTTAGGGCATCCTCTCCCACACTGCACATCCCCAGCTTTAGAATGAGAAGTAGAGAGTTAAAAAATTTTCAGGAGTGATTAAGCTAGTGGGAGTAAAGGGGAAGGCAATAAGTAACCCTATTAACGGGAAAGGCGGTCAGAAAAGCAAGCTACAGTCATTCATGCTCAGCATCCTAAAGATCTGATTGCTTCTCACTCTGATTCTCTAAGTGTTTTCAGCTGGTATATTGGGACACTTTGGACTATGAGTAAGAGAAAATCCCATCTCGAACTGGATTAAACAGAAGTAAAATTATTATTTTACATAAGAGACAGTCTACAGGAAAGCAGGCTGCAATCGATCTGTTAGATCAGTGATATAACCAAAATTTCAGGATCTTTCTATCTCCCTCCTGCTATCCTCAGCATCAAAGTCATTCACCTGGTGATTTGCCTCAGAGTCGAAGATGGTTGCTGGTGGCAATTGGAGCTACACCCTTCCATATTTTTGTCTAGTAGAAAAGAGAAAAAAAAATCTTTCTCACAATTAAGGATTAAGGGTAATGTCCTTCAGCTCATTGTGCCAACTTAGGTCATATGACCACTCAATACAATATTAAGTGCTGGAAATTCTAGGTGCTATTTAGCTTTTTAGAATAAAGACCCATTCTTGGGACCAGCTTTTCTTAAATTGTGTGTGTGTGTGTGTGTGTGTGTGTGTGTGTTTGCAGAAGGCAAATACTTGAACAAAACTGAGATTCTGTTTGGAAGAAAGAAAAGGGTGAGAAAGATGCTGGGTAGTCAACAAACACCATAAACTATGATTTAGTCACTTAAAGTCAGTATCGCTGGGGGTGCGGCGACTCACGCCTATAATCCCAGCACTTTGGGAGGCCGAGGTGGGTGGATTGCTTGAGGCCAGGAGTTCGAGTTAACATGGTGAAACCCATCTCTACTAAAAATACAAAAATTTGCCGGGCATGGTCGTGCGTGCCTGTAATCCCAGCTACTCAGGAGGCTGAGGCAGGAGAATCCCTTGAACCTGGAAGGCGGAGGTTGCAGTGAGCCGAGATCACGCCACTGCACTCCAGACTGGTTAACAGAACGAGACTTCATCTCAATAAATAAATAAATAAGTATTGCTGATACTTTGTGATTCTGATACTAAGTGAAAATATAAGTACAGTCATCAGTATCTGTAGAGAATTGGTTTCAGGACACCCCTCCTTCCCCCAGCAGATACCAAAATCCAAGGATGCTCAAGTCCCTTATATAAATGGTGAAGTATTTGCACATAACCTACCTACATCCTCCCATATACTTTAAATCAACTCTAAATTACTTATAATACCTAATACACTATCAATGCAATGTAAATAGTTGTTTTACTGTATTTTTGTACTTGTATTATTTTGTATTGTTATTTTTTGGGTTTTTTTTCCTGAATATTTTTGATCCATGATTGGTGGAATCTGTGGAAGCTGAACGCACAGATACAGAGGGCCAACTGTATTGTATAAGCAAAGGATTCAATGGAATTCTATTTAATAAACTATAGCTTTAGAGGTAATAGATAACAAGACCCAAATCCACGAATTCTGTTCAATGAGGGTTACCTGCAAAATGACAATTTAGAGCAATACTAATTATTTGAAGGACCTCTGTTCCTATCTTTTATTTTAGCCTGTGTGTGAAGTGGGTTTTTGGTGTGTTTGTTTTGGGAATAGACTGACTAGAAATACATCACTGTCCAAAAGGAAAACATTTTTTTCATCTAGGGATTTGAGGCTTAACTAGCTGAAAGGAAAATATAATTTCATTTTGTTCTCATAGTCTCATTTAGAAAATAACCTTAAGAGATTCAAAGGACATCAGGCTATGTGAGCACTTTCCATGCTCTGTGGGGTGGGGGGATTTGGCTTGGGCTTCAACTTTATGAGTATGTTCTGAAGTGCTTCTTAAGAAAGTTTTTGCCTTTAGCTCTTTCCTAACCACTAGAGCTTTAAGAAACTTGAAAAAAAAAAATGTTCTTCAAAAATAGAATCACAAAACAGTTTTCTTTTTTCTTTCTTACTATAAATATCCCAAATCCTTCTTTAGGGACTTTATTTTTCTTTTAGGTTTTATTGGAAAGGCGAATAAGCTGAAATGCAGATGTTTATCTAAATCCAAGTCAAAACAGTGTGAGAAATAATTATAAAATATAAAATGAAAAGCCAACAGAGTTCTACATCTATTATCTGGGTAATTTTAGGCAAAAAAATGAGGTTCTGGGGTTGTTTTTTTTCACAAATGCATTTAGGTGGTTGTGATGTATGCCACACAACAGGATGTTCCCAAAGTGGAATAAAATCTAGAATCTTAAATTTTGTTCTTGATCTTGTTTGTATTCCCTGAGAACTGACCTTGCCACGGTGTGAGTTCACCTCTCTGCAAATGTAACTAGGACAAATATGTTTTGTTTGTGGTTGGGTTTTGTGCTTTGTGGGGTTTTGCTGTTGTTTGTTTGTTTGGCCTAGCAATCTGGGGACAGAATTAAGGAACCATAACCATAAAAGCTCCATATTTAATTAGGAGACTAGCTGTATGTGTGTGAAATTTGGAGAAAAGGGGGTATCTCATCACTGAGCTCTTCATCTGTCCTACTTTTGTATGACGAATGAATCCCAAGTTGACTGTCTAAGTATAAGAACTACCTTGTCCAAAAGATGCCCTGTTGGACATTTCTCTCGTGCAGTTTCCACCAATAAAATGAGAATAATGATAGTTTTGACTTAATCAAGGTGTTGTGAGGAATAACTCAGTTAATTGCTAATAGAACTTCCACAAGGGGCCTAGCATGTGAAAATACCCCCAAAATGTCAGATGTTTCTGCTGCTGCTATTGCTGTTGTTACTATTATTTCTTCCAAATTTTCAATCAACTTGGAGGTCCTGGGTATTTTTAAGCAACCTGCAAGCTTTTTAAAAAATTTTTCATTAATTGGAATGAGCCATGACATTTTTTTGTGTACAAATATAATGTGCCACCGGGGCTAATATTCCCATAATTCTACTCACTGAAACGTGATTTGGCTGAAACCGTAATGTGCCAAATGCGGCTGAAATTCAGAATTCCTCAGAGCCTCTTCAGCACCATTCCCTAGAAAATCTGCAACCCGATTTCATTCTCATTTGGGCTTAGGAAGGTGTGAACCAACTGCAGCCAAAATTAAGTAAGAATGGGAGATGTAAAATCTGTGAAGAAGTTTGTCATCTTGGCCTGAGGGTATTACTCTAACCTGTTTGCCGGCCTGCCCTTGTCCACGGGGTAACGACTGGAGAAAAGTGATAGATCACAACTGTGGCATCAAAAACTCATGGTGTTCACATGAACGTGCACACACACACACACACACACACAGCTCCACCACCAAAAATGCCCCAAATAAAATAGGAGAATTGACTTATAATTCTAGAAATCAAGGCTACCAGCTAGTTGAAGCTGCTTTTCTAGCCCACGTAGGTGCCCCTGGACACCTTCCTTTGCTATTCCCCACTCCTATTTTTCCCGTAGTCATTTATTCATACTCATTCATTTACTCATTTCTATCTTCAACAAGTACTGATTGTTTGCCTACTATGCACTAATTACAGAAGATAAGATGATAAGCATAATTACTTTTCCTTCACTGAGAGCTTTATGTCTCTAGAAAAATTCTCAAAAAATATGTGGTAGAAGTTATTTTGAATGCGTACTCTTCAAATCTGAAAACATAGATGCAAGCTACACCGCTGGCTAGATAATAGGGATGTTATCTGTAGATAATAGGATGGGAAAGAATGTTAGAACTCAAACAATGAAAGCGCAGAATTAAGGCTGCAATCCACCCATCAGAAAATCTCCCAAGCAGCACAAGTTGCAGATATTCAAATGCAGAACGGATGCATTTTACTGCAAGGATGAAATGCTTAAAATCAAAATTGTATCTCCAAATCACACTCACAGGAATTGGCTGTTGGTGTCTCTGTCCTGTGTGGAGCTCAGCAAGAAAACAGGGGTGCTCCTTAGCTGTTGGGTGAAAGGCTCTAGAGCGTGGGTGAGGGGTTGGTTAGGGTGGTGGGTAAAGGAAAACAGCAGACTGTTAAGTGAAAGAAACAGACCAATCTGTGCGATAAACTGCTGCTTAAACAGGTTTATGCAGAATGTGACTGTATGTCTTTTTAACAGCCTCTAAAAGTCCTTTTTTTAAAGCCTTTTCGGAAGTAGTTTCCTCTTTTCCTGTTGGACTGTCAGTTGGCAGATGCCTCTGGGAAACGGGGTTCTGCTTTCTAAAAGGCTCTTAAATAATGTTGGTTAAAAATTGCTTTTAAAGCTATCAGCCGAATAGCACATTGCCCTCTTCCCCTCACCCTCCCCAGCCCTATCTGATTTGTCAATTACCTCCTTCAGAAACCTCTCGCGTTCTCTGACACCTGTGCTGACATAACATCCCCCCTCCTGGCAGGCACCTGCCAATTCTCACTGAAAAATGATTGCTAAACATTTCAGCACCAGCTCCCAAGAAGAATTCCCTCCTCTGCCCATTGGCACCATAGAAACAGCCATTGTTCCTCATAATTGTGAGTCCGAGGCTTCTACTTTGTAACTCCCTACCCCTGTGGCATTCATGAGCTCTGGAACGTCACAACTGGGGAGGGCCTGTGTTGAAACGGCAATGATTTACCAGAGGGGGCCTTGATGACCAGAAAGGTGCACGGAAAGGAATCTGTGCCTTAAAAAAAAAAAAAAAAAACAGGCAGCAGTCTGGGAAAAAACCAGACACACTGGGCAAAGCTTCTGACTTCAGAAAGAGGTCACAAGGCATGTCAAACAACTCAATCACTCTTGTTTTTAACGTTTTTCAGAATTAAATTCTGCAGGCCATTTTTCTACATCCTAAGGGGAATAAAATATCATCCATATATTTTTAAAAGGCATTAATTAAGTTTAGCTCTGACACCCAAGAGTAATGGTCCCTGACCTAAGCCCCAACCTCCAACTAGGGGATTTGGATGAGGCTAATGGTGGTTGCACAATCAGATCTGTGTCGCATATTGAATATAGGTCAAAGGATGACTGCTCTCTGCAGAAAACAAAAATAATCTTTCTAAGACACCATTTCATATTAGCATAGGCCCATATGCTCAGGATCAGAAAGAAATTATGTTGTATCTAAAAGAAATCACATTGGAAGAAAATCACATTCGAAGCTAAGGCATTTGGCAATGGAACTACATTTCTGTAAGCCTTTATTTACTGATTGCAGATAAATTTTGACCTGAAATTAATGAAAAAATGTGAGCATGTCCTGATAAAGTTTTGGAACCTCATAGAAACTGCCAATTTTGAATGATTTCATACTATAACATTCATCTCGCTACTTTCAAAATGTCTAGCTTCAAAATGTTTGAACCTTCGATGTAAAAAGCTTCACAATTCATATCAGTTCATTCCTGAGATCCAATGGAAATGGATTAAGTTGCATATATGAGTGATTCGATTTTACTGTTTTTTTATCTAGTTTCTATGATTGAAATTATAGTCCTGCTGCTGAGGAGGTATCTTACCCACTTTGGGATAAATTGGCAACTTTTTTCTGCTATAATTCTCACTGAATATTCTTTTGAATGATGTGTATAATTAACATTAGTATATTTTCAACTATAATTAGAAGAAAAGTCCTTTAGTAAGCACAATCAACTAGTTAGTGATGCTTTCTGACACTTTGTTTATTGAAAACACTTAATTACTTTTTAATCCTTTAAGTACAATATCACATAGATACTACATTTATTGGACCATAATAAACCGCTGTAGGTATGAATACTATTCAACCTAGGTTTCAATATAGTTTCTACACTGGTCCCTGAAATAGTTTAAGACATTTAATTTTCTAGTTTTACTATCCACACCTTTAAGAATGCTGTGAAGGTAATAGGTTTAGGGGTACCATCAATATTTAGGTAATAAAAAATGTAAAACCAAATAGCTGGAAGCCAATTCAGTTCTACCATGTAAAATAATTGCTGACTGGAGCAAATCAATGCTTTGAAGATGTAACCTAATAAAAAATATAACTCTGATAAAGTTAGGTAAATTGAAAATTCTAGGTCTGGTGTGCAGCAGACTCATTATTTATTCCAAAATGATGATTTTAATGTCTCCATGTCTATTTCTCTTTTTTTTTCTCATTGTGGGTATTCAAAGTCTCCATGTCTAAAGTAAAGAGCTTTGCCACAGGTATCCAGATGCAGGACGGAATCAAGTCTAAGAGCCAAAGCCTTCACCTGGTACTCACCAGCAGAGTGAGCCTGAGAAATCTCTTTTTCTCTCCATGTCCTAACTCCTAACATTATTAGGAAGATTGAATGAGATGGATGGTAAAGGCTTTGCACAGTTCTTGACTCACATGTAAGGAAACCAGGCAGCTCCCTTCACAGAATCAAACCTGGATTATCCAATTTGACGATGGACAGCAAATTTCCACATAGCAACCAAGAGACAGATGACCTAAAACCTGTGTTTCCTGATAATGACTGTGTGTTTACACTCACCATCATAAAGTAGGAAGAAGGCCCTTTGGTTTTTTTTCAAAATCTATGCCCTCCTACAGCAAAAGTATAAAGGGGTCTTAAGGTGTTTTAAAGTTCTACAACATAGTCTATTATATTATTTAGATCATGCATTTATGTACACATTCAATGAAGTTTTGGAACTTAAAATACATCTGACTTTTTTTTTTTGAAAACTTAGGGTCTGTTCTAAAAAATGAAATAATTTCAGAGTTTAAGAAGTTTGCTTGCAATCTAATGCTTATTTTGTCAATTCAGTTGCACGTAAACATTACTGTACATGCCTTGAGGGAAAAAATGTTGTTGCTCCAATACAGGGGACAGCAATCTATGGCTCTCAGGCCAAATCCAGCCACTGCCTGCTTTTGTGTGGCCTGCAGGCTGAAAATGGTTTGTCCATTTTTAAATAGTTAAAAAGAATCAACAGAAAAACAGTATTTTATGATATATACTGTATTACATATTATTTTATATAAAATTCAAATTTCAGTGTCCATAAATAAAATTTTTGGAACAAATTGTGTATGTATTGCCTATAGCTGTTTTCACTCTACCATAGCATAGTCAAATAGTTGCAACAGAGATGTGTATGGCCCACATACACATCTAGTGTATGTGGTAGTAAAGATAGTAAAAATCTTTACTATCTGGCCCTTTAGAAAAACAGTCCACTGACTCCTGCTGTAATATAGCAAGCCCTGCCACCAAAAAAAAAAAAAAAATGCAACAAGGAGTATTCAACTTAGAGATAGGTTTTATACAAAAAATTCATTGGGAAGTCAGTTATCCATGAAAACCAAATAATAAATGGCAGTTTGACTCCTGACTAGCCCGCAAATGCCAATTAACTTATAATTGATTTTAACTGTAGTACTAAAAGCCTGAGTTATGAAGTTTAGAAATATGTGACTGTTAAGTTGCATAAGAGATGAGGAAAAGATTTCCATAAACTTTTTCTGGTTGAGAGACGGTAGAGAGGCTCATGTGTGGTTTTAGGGTCCTTCTCCCTGGGTGCTGTTGTGCTCTCTGAGCAGAGGGACCTTTTATTATGCATGTTGATATTCCTCACAGTAATTCAGCCCAGGGCGTGTATAGGTGCAACAATATAGACCTGTTAAATGAAGTGGGGTTCGTACATTTCTATGTTCTGTGTGTTGAATAGTCAATTTTCCACATAATCTTTGTCTCTCTTTTGTTAGTAGGCAAAATTTTTCATAAATTTAGATCCGTTTTAAGAAAAACATTTTTAACTTTCAAATATAGTGGTTTTCAACTTTTTAAATTGTAAACCACAATAAGAAATACATTTCACATCACAGCCTAATGCACACATCCATATATACTCATAATTAAAACAAAGGTTATTCAAAAAAAGAAATTTTCTACATCAAAAAGTATCTGTTCTTTCATATTCTATTCCGTTTAACTGTTTTTAAATTCTCATCAGTCTTACCAGATGGGTTTAGTGGCCTACTAATGCGTCATAACCAACAGTGTGAAAACCTGGACCTATATTATTTCAAAATAAATAGCTGGATACTCACAAGTGAACTGATTCAATCAATCAGTTATTTCAGGACTATTAATTGAGCACTTTAATAAGTACCTGGGCCAGACACCATGCCAGACACTGGGATGCTGTAATCAACAAGACATCCTCCCTAACCTCAAAGAACTGAATGGTTAGGTGGCGAGGTAAAACACAGTAACTGATGTTGAGGGGGTGAACATTTTTCAGCTCAGCCACAGGTACACACAAGTTACAATATAAAGCCTCTAGGAGTAAGAGAATAAATCCAAGTCCCAGGCCCAGCTCTGCCTCTATTTAACTAATGTTTTCATTAACCTTGGATTTAAGGCATGGCTTCCTGTTTCGTTTAAGCTATATTTAGCTTAAATACAGTTAAAACATTGTTAAATTGTTAAATACAGTTAAAAACTGTAAAAGATACAGTTAAAAATTGAATGTAAGTACAGATGAAGCTAAAATTCGATATTTAGTAGTTTTCTTGCTGAAATAGAGATGGCATTTGTTTTTTTATTGTCATTAAAGTCTATTAAGTTAATTTTAATTTGTTTTTACAACCAATTACTAAAAATGGCATTATTATTATAATACATTTGAAATTCCAGAACAGTTAAAATCATGGAAATACCAAGTTGAAATATACTTGCAATATGTTCTTGCAACCATTACTATTTTAAGCTTAATTATAATATATTATCCAATGAAGCAATTAGGCATTTTATAAGCAGATAAATTCACAAAAACAGAAAAAAAGGACACAATGCTCAATCATTGTATTTAAAATTATAGCCAAAAGAAAACTATACCTGAAAGAGGTTTATCTCACATGTCTCAAAGATTTATAGTTAATTAAAGTAAAACATGGGTAGGTAATTCCAAAGGCACAGCAATTTCATCCATTTAACAAAGAGCTCATTTTACTGGTAGAAATTGTAGATATGAGAAAGCACAGGGGTTTTTGTTTTTAAAGAAATTGGACCCACTCTCGTTTATTTCGACAGAAAGTTCCTAAGTGTGTTCTTGCTATCTTCCCCCATTCTACCCAAGCCCAGGGTAAGCTCTGGGTTCCTTTTCTGTGAGCCCCACATTCAGCCCATCAGAGCACAGTCATCTCTTCTGCCCAAATATGTCCAGAATCCATTTCCTTTCCTCTCTCCACTTGCAGAACCTAAGTCCAAACCACAATTTATTTCCCCCTGCCCAAACTCCAGCACAGACCTCCAGCTTGTATCCCTGCTTTCTGTCTCTTGCTTCTGTGAAATCCAGGGTCTAACACAGGGTCATCTATAAAATTTAAGTCAGAGCATGTTACTCCTGCTGCTTCAAAAGCTCCCGTGGTTCCCACAGCACTAACCCACTCTCATCCCCTACCACTTCGCTCTTTCCTAGCACACTCTGCTTCAGTCACATTTAACTTCTTTCCTAGATGGGATGGTTAATTTTATGGGTCACCTTGGCTGAACCAAGGTGCCCAGATCATTATGCCAAATGTTTCTATTAAGGTGATTTTTGGATGAGATCAACGCATTTTTAAATTGGTGGATTTTGAGCGGATTAGCTTCCATAATGTAGGAGGGCCTCATCCAAGCAATTGAAGGCCGAATAGAACAAAGACTCAAACACACAAACACAGCAAGAAGGAATTCTGCCAGCAGATGGCCTTTGGACTCAAACTGCAATTCTCTTCTGTGTCTCCAGGTTACCTGTGTTTTAAAGTCCTACAAGATAAGCCATCAGATTTTTTTGACTCACCAAGCCTCCATCCACAATTGTGCAAGCTAGTTCCTTAAAGTCTCTCTCTCTAGATAGGTAGGTAGGTAGAGAGAGACAGAGAGATACACATACACACAGCCACACACATCACATCCTGTAGGTTCTGTTTTTCTGGAGCACCCTGGCTATAATACATCAAACATATCCAATTTTCCCTGTAACACTTTTGCTCTTGCCATTCCTACTCTCTGAAACTCCCTTTCCAGGCTCAACATATGACTGCCTTCTTCACATCATTCATGCCCTCTTTGAGCTGAGGCATGAATGATGTAAATGAGGCAGTTATATGTTGAGCTCACCCCAGATACACCATCACATTACCCAGTTTCATTTCCTGCATGGAGTTTCTCATCCTGAAATGACTTCTATTCATTTGTTTATTTGTATATTGTCCAATTTCCCCTGATGGATTCCAAGTTCCAGGAGGGAAAAGACCTGTTATATATTGTTCTTTGTTGGGTTCCCAGCACCTAGAACAATGCATGGGACAAGTATTCAGTAAGTATTTATTGAATAAATGAATTAGTTAAAATGTTAAAAATTCAAGTGACTTCTATGCACTATCAATCAACCATCAGAATTTGTTTTGTCCAGGAGGTCAATCTCCATTCACAGTTCATACAATGAAGAAGACAGTTGTATATCACATGAAAAAGTTGTTCCCCTCTTAATTTCCACACATATTGTATCGTTTAAGTCTTAAATGGGGAAACTCAGATACTTACTAAAATTGTCTTAAACCTCTCTTTTATTTTGCATAGTTTAGTGTAATACATTTGTTATTAAATTAGAGCTAGAACCTTATTCTTCCTTTGTACACTTCCACAATTAAAAACAGTTCTTTATATTTTTCTGTGACACATCTTCCATGTTGGAGAGCATCAAAGCATCTTGTCAGTGTGTGGACCTAGTTTCAAAGGTTCTACCTGCTAACCAGTTCCTTTTTTGAATTAATGAGACAATGTTGTTCATGTTGCCAAAATCAAAGCAAAATACTGATTTTTTTAAATGTGAGAACTCAGGAAGCAGGACCAACTCCAACAGATATGCTAAATCCACTTAAAAGTGTTTGGAATATTTTAACTTCATAAGCACATTATACTGCACTCCTTATATCTCATAGTATCTGATACTCTTAGAGTTAGTGTGAGTTATTAAAGTGAGGGATGCCAAATTCTCTATTTATTTCTTCTCTCATCTGTTCATTCATTTCATTATGAGGCATTGCTAAGGACCAAGTACTGAACTAGGTGCTAAGTATACATAGGTGAATAAAATAGACACAGTCCCTGCCCTTGAGAAGCTTACAGTCTCATGGAGGAAGGAAAAAAAAGGTAAACAAATAAGTCAATACATATGTACATAAAAACTATAATGCGTGCTATGAAGAAGGTGGACCTGGAAATAATGGTAGCAAATCACTGAGGGGGCATATTCTCTGATACAGAAGTTATAAAAAGCCTCTTCGTAACAGTGATATTTTATCCCCCAACCTGAAGGATGAAAAGGAGGAAGCCAAGAGAAAAACTGGGGGTGGGAAGATGAAAACTGGCCAAGAGTCCCAGGAAGAGGGGTCAGCATGGGTAAGGAGTGTAGGGAAGCAAGTGACTGATCCAGTTTAAGAACTAAAGGGATTTTTTTCCATGGGGCATCATCCTGAACATCTGGATTTATTCTTTCCCTTAGCCTTTGACTAAGATCTTAAGCTGTCTTGCCTGAATTCTCACCCTATCCTGGATACAGGCTGTTCAGGGGGGAGACATTTAAATAGAAACCATGTAGTTTGTCATGCAAATTGAATCTCTTGAGCAGAATTCGATTTAATAAATGTCCCAAATGTTCATTATGCAAGCACAGCCTGGCTGCACATTGACGAAGTCCTTTGTCAACAGCAGCGACTCAGTCTGTCCCCAGTCACTCACTCACCAGTCAAGCACTCCAGCTGACTGCCAGAACCCTTTAGAAAGTAAACACTACTGATTAGATAGGTTGAATCAATACTTCTTTTCCTTACATACCAGTAGTGTTGATTTCATAGGCCAGAACCAGAAACCCTTTATTGGTCTTGTGCTCAACTCACATACATTTCAGTCATCTGCAGTCAACTTTAATTCTATTCAGAAAGAATTAACACGCAACAGCTCCAAGTAATGGAATCTTGGAATTAAGAGAGAAATCATTCTCTAGAATTTTCAAAAAACTTATTTCATTGATGAAGATTTTATCTTTTTTTCAATATTTTTTCACTGACCTTTATTAAACATTTTATTAAATACACCTGAGAAAAGACTGTCTTCAAAGATTGATGACTCGTGGAAGAAATTGGAAGGAATCAGAAAGCCTGGCTTAGAGTTATGATGAAACTTGATGACGGTGCCATCTTGCACTTGATCTTTTATTCACAATTTGCACAAGCTAACAAGCTTAGGCACATTCGTCAGTTAATCAATGCAAATGTCATGTAAGGTACTGGGGAGAGAGTTGTTTAAGAAAGATGATGTGATGTGGTAGACAAGCTTGGGTTGTAGAATATTACACATGAAACTTAAAATTCCAATTTGGCCATTACGAGTTAGGAGTTTTTGAGACAGGTAGTTCCTCAAGTTATTTAATTTTTTTTTTCACTTGCAAAAGTGGGGATCAAATCTGCTAGACTTGTTGTGTGGATTATATGAGAAACCATATGTAAAACCATCCGGGAGGCTTTCTCCCAGCTAGTCAGCTTTAGAATGTGTTAGCTTGCCTTTCTCTACCCACTAACATTTTCAATGCAACTATAAAATACCTTTTTCTATTGTAGTTTTAAAAATAGGAAAGACTTCCCTTCTATAAAACTTCTTACAAGAGAAATAAATCTTAAAATGGCCAAGTGACTTTTTTTCAATAGGGATATTCACTACTTCTAGGAATGTTTTAATATTGGAAATATGTAACTGTTAATACCTGATACATAATGACAAAACTCTGACAATCAAATGAACATTCCTTAATGCCAATTTTTCCTTATTCTAAGAATGTAATCCTGCCACCTTGTAAAAGTGATTGATACAGGTATAAAGTTTGCCCTGCATATAAATCAGAGAAAGTGAATTAGATATAAGTATGTTAAGTTCCTTATTTCTCTATTTGTCATATGAATCAAATTTTATGCATTTTACATTTTGTCTGGAACAATGCTACAGAAAGTTTTTTTAATTAAAACTTTCCAAAGGAATATATTAAATCGAGCTTAATATGAAAGTGTTTTCTGCTGATGATTCAGATATCAGTGCAATTAGAATCATCTCCTGGGTGCCAAGTTCAGTGCTAAGACTTTAGTACATTTTATCTCACTTAATCCTCTTAATATCTATAAAACATAAGTATATATTTACACATATAGAGATAAATTCATTACACAGATGAGAAATTGAGATCCAGAGAAATTAAGAACTTCCTTAAAGTAGAATAATTCACTAATGGTGATTTTATAACCTAAATCAAAGTCTGTCTAATTCCACAGAGCCTCTATTACACTTGGCAAAAATAAAACTAAGCCAATCTACTATAAATTATAGGTCATCTGCTGTTTTCATTATTTTGTGCATTATCCTAATCAATACCATGATCCTTAGATATTTGAGGGACTATATTTTCTTGCAAAGTTCTCACTTTTTTGAGACGGTGAACTCATTTGTTCTTTTGCAATACCAACTCTCTCTCTCTCCCGCACTTTTCCTCTTTCTCTCTCACTTTTCCTCTCTCTTACTCTTTCTCTCTCTCTCTCACACACACATTCTTTTCAGCCACCTCTTCACTCTCTCAAGCTACACAGTGTCTTTCAGTACCTGAAAAAAATACATCTCATTTTCTTTCCCTGTTGACTTATGTACAAGTTCATTGATGCCATCTTTATCTTTAGAGTAGTAGAGATTTATTTAGAAGCCCTTTTAAAAGTGAACCGCATTTTAAGGACACAGTTTCACAGTGGCGGATAAAAATTGCTCTTAGAACTTGTTTGATGCATTTTCATCTCTTTCTTTAACTGCTTTGCTCACAATATTCTGACTTTGTATTTATTTCTCCTTGAAGAATTTGTTGTCAAAAAAATTAATTACTTTGCTGCTAATAAAATTAGGATTTCAAAAAAATGGAAGCTTTGTAACATTATCCCTCCTTCTGGGAAACATACTTGTGCTCTCTAATGTGGAACTTAGGAGTTTTGTAAATCCAGTACTTTGTTTAAATAGTTTAATGAGATTCTTATTTTATTCTTGTTTGTAATTATTTGTAGAATGTGCAGCTCTCAGTGATTTCATTCTTAAAAAACTAATTAGTATGCTATGGAATGATTTGTCTTTTGTTAATTTCTATTAACATTACATTTTGGTTCCGGTGGTGTATGTTGCACTGGATTCCTTGTGGGCATCAGTGGATGAAAGGCATGTTTAACTGTGTCCAATATAATCATTACTAATTAATGGACAAGTGAAAAGAAAGAAGAATGGATATTTTGATGCACCCTTCATTTGGAAGGCTAAAGTTTGAAATTCTATAAAAGAATTTAAAATGTATTTGCCAAAATAATTATTTTTTAAAGCTATATTTTATGATTGAAGAATACTGCCCTGCTGCATAGAGAAAGATTTATCAATGATGGTGATAATGACAATGGTGGTGGCAGTGGCGATAAACAACAATGAAAAAAATAATTGTCAACATGTACTAAGTGCTTCTGTGGGCCCAACATTATGACACTATCTCATTTAATCCTCATGGTAACCCTGCGTACTAGTCTGTCTTCAGACTGCTAATAAAGACATACCTGAAACTGGGAAATTTACAAAAGAAAGAGGTTTAATAGACTTACAGCTCCATATGGCTGGAGAAGCCTCACAATCATGGCTGAAGCAAGGAAGAACAAGTCACATCTCACATGGATGGCAGTAGGCAAAGAGAGAGAGTTTGTGCGGGGGAACTCCTCTTTATAAAACCATCAGATCTCATGAGACTTATTCACTATCGTGAGAAGAGCACAAGAAATACCTGCCCCCATGATTCAGTTACCTCCCACTGGGTCCTCCCCACAACATGTGGGAATTCAAGATGAGATCTGGGTGGGGACACAGCTAAACCATATCACCCTGTAAGACATGGATGATTTTTATCCCCATTTCACAAATGACAGAACTTAAACTTTGAGAGTTTAAGTAAATTATCTAAAGTAATATGGACAGCTAGAAGACACAGTTAATCTCCAAGTTTCCAGAGACAAAATTTGAATCACTCTCATTAGTGGGTTTTTGTTTGTCTGAGACAGGGTCTCACTCTGTCATCCAGGCTGGAGCACAGTGGCCCAATTATGGCTCACTGCAGCCGTGACCTCCCTAAGCTCAAGTGATCCTCCCACCTCAGCCTCCCAAGTAGCTGGGACTACAGGCACGTGCCACCACACCCCTCTAAATTTTGTAGAACAGGATTTTGCCTTGTTGCCCAGGCTTGTCTCAAACTCTTGGGCTCAAGTGATCCACCTTCCTCAGCGTCCCAAAGTGCTGGGAGTACACACATAAGTCACTGCACCCAGCTCTCAATACTCTTTTTAGCCTTTATAAATTAACATGTAATCTCACAATATTTATATTTCAGCCAAGTTTTCTGTATTGCTTAACTCATAATTTTAAAGCAATGGTTGTCAACTACAGGTGATTTTGCTCCCCAGGGAACATTTGGCAATACCTGGAGGCATCTCTGACTGTTACAACTGGGAGGTGCTACTGGTGTCTAACAGGTAGAAGCCAGGGATGCCACTAACATCCTGCAATGCACAGGACAGTCCCACAACAAAGAATGGTCTGGCCCAAATGCAAATAGTGCTGAGGTTTTGAAACCCTGTTTTACGGAGTTGTCCAATGAATGATTTTCTGGTAATCATGCCTTTTTATGGCTCGATTTCTGTTCTAACTGTTCTATTTGATGCATAAATGACTCTGGGCTTTGTGTTTATAGAAGACACTGCATCAACGCAGAGGGCTGACATCATCCCTCAGAGTCTCAGAGGATGTGAGCCATGTATTCTTTGGGCTTGTTGATATTATTACTCTTACTATAGACACAACATGAGAGCTCATTCTAGACATACACTGTCTGTATTAGTCATTCCCGCATTGCGATAAAGAACTACTGAGACTGGGTAATTTATAAAGAAAAGAGGTTTAATTGGCTCACAGTTCCACAGGCTGTACAGGAAGCATGGCAGAGGAAGCCTCAGGAAACTTACAATCTTGGTGGTTGGCGAAGGGGAAGCAGATATACCTTACGTGGCCGGAGCAGGAGGAAGAGAGAGAAGGGGGAGGTGCTACACACTTTTAAACAGCCAGATTGTGTGAGAACTCACTAACTGTCATGAGAACAGCAAGAGGGAAGTTCACCCCCATGATCCAGTCACCTCCCATCAGGCCTATCCTCCAACAGTGGGGATTACAATTCGACATGAGATTTGGGTGGGGACACAGAGCCAAACCATATCACTGTCCAACTGTGTTACATATTCAAATGTGCATAATGGTACTGCATGGTGGGTGCGGTTTTCCCCACAGAGTATTGTGGATAAGGAATCTGAATAGCACAGAGGTTAAATAACTCTCCTAAAATTGCGTAGCTGGTAAGTAAATGAACCAGAATGCACATTCCAAGTACATACTCCATTCAACATACCCCAGGTATAATTAGCAGGAGAAACATAGAGTCCTACATCCTGCCCTGGTCCTTTGCTGCCCTAAGAATAGGGTTTTTCCTGAAATAAAGTAATGCACTTCTCAGGTTAGATATAACTAAGTAGCCCATTGGGTAGGAGGTTTGAGAAGACATGTTCTCATTACACAGAAAAATATACTTTGAACAGTATACACAGAGTACGTATGTATGTATGTATTTTTGAGATAGCATCTCACTCAGTCACCCAGGCTGGATTGTAGTGGCAAAATCTCGGCTCACTGCAACCTCCCCTTCCCAGGTTCAAGTGATTCTCCTGTCTCAGCCTCCCAAGTAGCTGGGATTACAGGCGCCCACCACCACGCCCAGCTAATTTTTGTATTTTTAATAGAGACGAGGTTTCACCATGTTGGCCAGGGTGGTCTCAAACTCCTAACCTCAGGTGATCCGCCCACCTTGGCCTCCCAAAGTGCTGGGATCACAGGCATGAGCCACTGCGCCCGGCCCAGAGTACTTATTTCTGATGGCATACAAGTGATCATCTCTTCAAGTAATCAGCCGCTTTCTTTTCTTGGAAGAGGAACCCAGGGCACAGAGAGGTTGTGCGACTTGGCCATGTTCACACAGCATATTAGGGAAGTTCACAACCAGAGTGCAGTTCTCCTACTTCTTGTCCCTTTTTGCCTCCTCTCCCAGGGTCCCCACCTCCTTCCTACCAACACGAGAAGAAAACGGTCAGTTCAAACTCCTCTTGAACATGAAATGCTTTTACAAACTAGGAACACAAATTCGTCGTTTTTGCTATTTTCAGAAACTGTTTGGGACTGCAAATACGTTGTGAAAAACTAGGCTTTTGAAGATGAGACAGTGAAATCCCACTATCCTCATTATTATGCAATCAAATCACTCTGTGAGACTAATTAAGGATTTTGAAGTATGTTGTGTTTCTCAGAATCAAATGTGAAGAAAGGTGGTCTCATGGCTTTCATAAGAAAGGGCTGAGCCTGTTCCAACCATATAAGGGCAAAGCCTGAAAATGACCCATCCCTGGAAGCTGCTCAGCTTCTCCTAGCACCACACATCGGGTTACAGCAGACACACTCCTCTTAAAACAGGGCTCCTCAAACTCCAAAGCACACAAATCTCCCTGCCTAGCTGATGCTCGGAAAGAAGAGTGGAGGTATCTCCTCACCCTATCCCACTTCACCCCCTTTCTGAAACTAAGTTGGGCGAGAGACAAGGAAAGGAACGTACGGCGGGAAAGCACCTCCGCCCGTCAAACCACATTCTCCCAAACCCTCCTCACCCTCTCCTCCACTCCACGGTGGACGTGGAAGACAATCTACTTGGGCTTTGGGATACTTTACATATTTTCATTATGTACCCTTTCAACTGATATTTTTTATTTGCCCAGTCCCATATACTGTATACAAGTATAGAAGTACATTAATATAATAAGCATAATATAATAAATAAACAAGCATATACATTTTGAAGTTATTTGCTTTATAGTTTTTGGGAGTTCAGAAGAGAAATATTTCCTGGCTTTTTCCCAGCGTTCTAGAATAGAATGTACACCTCCCCCTCCCTAGCAGTGCATCAGAGGCAAACACCCTAGTTCTTCAACCTCTTCCTAAAACCTCACAGATCAAGGCTTCTGCCAAGGTTCCTCCAGAATTTACATCCTTTTGGCCTCCAACTCCAATTTTATTCTGTAAAGAATCAAATATAGCTTCCCTGTCAGCCACAAGCTGTGGCCGTGCTTCTCAGATATTCCCTGCTCATCAACATGCCCAGTCTCCATGCTCCATCCCACCTCCTGAGGGAACGGACCCCTACCTTAACCATCCTACATCTAAACAAACGAAGCTTAAGAAACCCAGAAAAGACAAGGAACCAGTATTAGTTGCTTCTTGCTGCTGCAACGCACACCACAAAACACATTACCACAAAACAATACAAACTTATTCTCGTACAGATTTATAGGTCAGAGGTCAGAGGTGATTACAGTGGGCTAAAAATCAGCCTGTCGGTGTGCTTGTGTTCTTTCTACAGGCTCTAGAGGAGAAGCCACTTCCTTACCATCCCCAGCTTCCAGAGGTCACCTGTTTTCTTGGCCCCTTCCGCCATTTTCAAAGCCAACAGTGTAGCATGTTTAAATCTCTCTCTCTTTGTCTCGGACTCATGCCTCACTGTCCCATCTTCTCTGACCCACCTGCCTCCCTCTTTTAAGGTCTAAGGACCTTTGTGGTTATATTGGACCCACCCAGATGATCCAGGATAATCTCCACAGCTCAAGATCCTTAACCATATCTGCGGTCTCTTTTGCCATGTGAGGTATTAATAACATAGTTCTGTGGATTGGGACGTGGGCATATTTGGAAGGCCTTTGTTCTGCCTGCTGCAGATCCCCAGTGCCAAGGTTCAGGAAGTGAATCAGCTGGAGAAGGAAGCTGCATTCACCTTGATTCCAAACTTTGTGGAATGGAGAAAAGTATGTCCCAGGGTCAGACACCCATGGACTCCCACCCCAGCTTTGCCAATAACCCAGTTGTACAATCCTAGGCAGTGGTCCCCAACCTTTTTGGCACTAGGAACTGGTTTTGTGGAAGAAAATTTTTCCACAGATGTGGTGGGGTGAGCAGAGGATATGGTTTCAGGATGAAACTGTCCCACCTCAGATCATCATGCGTTAGCTACATACTCATAAGGAGCACGCAACCTGCATCCCTCACATGCGCAGTTCACAATAGGGTTCGCCCTCCTATGAGAATCTAATGCCTCTAATACAGGAGGCGGAGCTCAGGCTACAATGCTGGTTCACCTGCCACTCACCTCCTGCTGTGTGGCCGGGTTCCTAACAGGCTGCAGACTGGTACTGGTCCATGGCCCCAGAGGTTGGGGAACCCCTGATCTTAGGCATGTTATTTGATCTCTCCAAGATTTATTTCCTTTCCTGTAATGTGGGGAAAATAATGCATCTCTCATAGGGCATAAAAAGTACAAAAGTACCTTATATAATGATAGACTCTTAGTAGATGTTCAATACAGGTTAGTTCTTTCTCCATTCTGACACTGACAGGTCTAATTACCCGTCATACTAACTAGCACTTGCGTGCCATTTCCAAGGGTACCAACTGCCCAAACTATATCATTTTATTTAATCTACAACACAGCCCTCAAGCTCTACCCGATTCTCCAAAACCTGAGTCCGATCAAGGTGAAGAGACTCAGTCAGTGATAAAGGAAGAAAGGGCAAAACAAAGACTGCAAGCCTACTGGTTTGACTCCAAATCTGGTGCTTTACTACCCTGGCTAACAGACCTCTTGTTATCCAGTTCTGGTCACCATACTGGTTAGAAATTAAATGTTTGGCCAAAATAGATTGGAGGGTAGGAAATGAAGCATATTGCCTGTTATCTTTGTGAAGTTTGCAGAAAAGCAAAACAGAATGAGGAACTGGAGGCTCAGGAAAATATTTTCTCTCTGGAGCTGTTAGGCATTTGTAACAAGTTGTTAAGGCAGCTTGGCTCTTACGACTGTATGGCTGGTGCCAATTTGGAAGCTTTTATAGGTCTCTAGTTCCCCTGATATTATTGGCTAAACCAATAAGTGGTTAATTTTTTTATGTAAAAAGAATTCTAACTCTGAAAACACTTGTGAGAATTCAAGAAACTCCGGAGTCCCACCTAAGGATTTTTTAGTGAAAGAATGAATTATGACAAAGAGAAATGCAATTGTGGACCATCATAGTAGCTGAATAAACATTTCTCAGTACTTAATGTCACAGAACATAGGAAGAAGTTTTGTGTTTTTGTTGTTGTTGCTCTTAATTGGGATTATTAAGGAGCAGCATAATTACGGGCTGAGGCTTTTTGCCCTTGGTGACGTAAGGGACTTTGCTCTCCATTCTCCTGGCTGGTGATTATCAGGCCAGTGACTTGGATCCTGGTATGACAATTAAGATTGAGTAGTGTCATCTGTTTCATAATTAAATTCTATCTTCCATATCCTTTGAATGCTGTATGGGCGTTTAATTGGCGGATGCTATTTCTGCTGCCACTGTGGCGTGTCTGAACAACAAAGTCAAAATAACAGTGATTCCGCTCCTTGCAGAATATCCCAGTTGAAGAGAATTTGCTTTCTCTTTGGCACAGAAAGAGCCCTGAAGTCCCAATTTAGACACAGCAGTTAAGAAGTTGAGGGCCTCTGAATTCCTGCAGGTTCTCACTCAAGGTGATATTTAGGGTCTACCATTGCAAATTAAAAGATCAACTTAACTTGCATGGGAGAAAAGTCATCTCTGTCCTGTAGATGACTTCTCCAAAGACATAGAGAACTCACTAGGGGATCATACACAGGTTTGTCTGTATAACCATCACAGGCAGAGAATATCTTTTTTTAAAAGTCTGGCTCATTTTCCTTCACTTACTAGAAAAAGAGTCTCTGAGAGTATGTATTAAAGTATTTATGTTAAACACCGTTAAAATACACTTCCAGTGTATTTATTAACAGAGAATTCAGAAGCATTAGGCCTCCTCTACAGATGTATCTTCCTGTTGCATCTTTAAGAAAGCAGCGGAAGATGTTTAAGACCATGAGTAATGTACTCAGTGAAAAATGAGAAAAGAAACTTATAGGCAAAGCAAAGAGAAACAAATCCTCCGTGCAAAAATGAAAATGCTATTTTTTTAAAAACTAACCTATGATTTAGAAACCATCTGCAGAATAATCTTGATTGTGTCCTCAAGTAGAACAACAAATCCATTGAGTTTAATCAAACTCAAAATAATTCTAAAGAGAAATTAGAGATGTATACAAAAGAAGCTAAACAATACAGTATAGCATCCAGGTAAAAATATTATATGCTAATTAATAAACAATTGTAGGGGACTTCATGAACTGTGAATGAAAAGATTAGTGTGAATCTTTATGCAAAATGCTTAAATCCATGTTAAGACGAACAAACTCTTTAAAATGTAAAACCTACACATATAAAAATATGCAGGAAACACAATATGCTCTTTTAAATATTCTTCTAATCACATGATTATATTTTAATTATAGTTTTCATTTGTTGAAAGTATATTCAAATGCAATATTTTTCTTTTCTTCTGGATAACAGTCTTCACTGCCTTATTTTCATCTTAGGGTGATTCAGCCTATAATGATTTAGAGGCCAAATGTTCAAACTCTTTTTAACAGATTACTCACGATGCAATTAAAATTAAATTATGTGCATAAAATTGATATTTTAATCAAATCATTGCGTATCTCCATAGTGGTTTAGCAATAAGGAGAAAAAGACTGGCCTGAAATTCCCAGGATTTTGTCTTCCTTGCCCTTTGGGAATTTCTTTCCTTTTTAGTATCCTTAACAGATTACTGTTTGGCGGGGTCAGAATTCCCATGAATCATATTTAAAGCAGTTCCAGCTTATTTTGAATATTTCATGGACGCTTCCTGTCTCAGTCCATTTTCTGTTGCTCGTAACAGAATGCCTGAAACTGGGTAATTTATAAAGAAAAGGAATTTATTTCTACAATTTGGAGAGCTGAGAAGTCCAAGGTCAAGGGGACATATCTGGTGAGGGCTTTCTTGCTGGTAGAGACTCTATGCAGAGTCCCAAGGTGGCACAGGCCACCACATGGCAAGGAGGCTGAGTGTGCTAGCTCAGATCTTTCTTCCTCTTCTTATAAAGCCTCCAGCTTTACTCCCCATGATAACTCACTAATTCATTAACCCACTATTTCATTAATCCATTAATCCATGCATGAACCTCTTAAAGGTCCCACGTCTCAATAATGCCACACTGGGGATTAAATTTCAACATAAGTTTTGGAGGGGATAAATATTCAAACCATAGCACTTCCTCTGTAGCTCAGCCTCTAACATAAAGAGATAAAAGGGCATTACCATGTCCAGTTTTAGACCTTTGCTCTTAGAAGAAAAATATTCACTTAAGGAGTAGAGTAAGCCTACTATAATTATGTTTCTTTTCAAATCACCCTGATTTGTTTCTCTTGTTCTGCAGGAATTATTTTGTATCTTCCCATTCTTGACCTCTATGTCAAGTGACTGTTTCAGACTTCACAACTTAGGCATCACCATTTAGCTTCTACTTCTGGTCTTACACTACTTTGTTTCTCACTCTTTAATTAGAAATGGTTAATTTGACTTCATGTCTTAAGGCAAGGAGAAAATGAGTCTTAAACAGTATTAAGCTCCCATAAATATTTCACTTTATGCTAATTCCTGTGCTTCCAGCTGAGCCGTTTGAAGTTCTCAAAAAAGTGTTTCTGTTCCCCTCAATTAAATACATAACTGGAAAACAGTAAAATAATTATCAGTTTTACTACCCTGCACTTTATTTTCCAAGCTTTCATTCTGGACGTTTTAAATTTTTCTTCCACATTTTTCTTCCACTAACCCAACCCAGTGTCATAGGTGCTGCCTCCAGCCTGGTTAGACTCTAAGACCCAGGCTTTGGAGGAATCTTAGAGCTCCCTCAAGTGGACATACGTTTAATGCACCCTTAATCTCTACAAAACGTTTTTGGCTGCACCCTCGGTCCAGGACAGGAGTATTTAACTGTCCCAATTTAGAAACATAAGTAGTTTCCTCTTTAAGCTAAAAATATTCTGAAAAGAAAGAAAAGTTCAAACAAGTTTGCAAAGCAAATGGATTTGAGTGGCCAATGAAAACATATCAAGTCAGGCTTTTTAGTTATTGGTTTTGCTTGTGAGAATGTAACTTGGAATTATTAATTACAATATCATCTATTCATTTGGATAAAATGTTATCTGTTGAGGAAATTATAAATGCAACACTTATATGGCACTTATGCTATTGCCACATGTACCATACACCAGGCATTGTTCTAAGAGTTTTCCATATATTAATTCATTTCATCCTCACAACATTCCTCCAAAATAGGTCCTTTAATACTCCCCGTTGTACAGATGAAGAAACTGAGTCACAGAGAAGTTAAATAACCTTTCAAAGGTTGCAGAGCTAGAATATGGAAGAGCCAGTGTGCAAACCCAGGCAGCCCAAAGTTCACTATATCATGCTGTTTCTTACCATGCAATGAACAACTGAATATACAAATACACACACACGCGTACATAGACATATCTCTATAAACACACTTATATATGCACATACGCCTTCACATGTTACACATCCACACACATATACACACAAATGCACACATATACACATACAGAGAGTATATATTATAAGGAGCATATTTTACACAAAAAAATAAAGTATAAAAGCTAAAAGAGAAGAGAGATAAATTACAAACATTTTAATCAAAGCTTTAAAAACTTTACTTATCCAACCTGGGCAACATGGCAATGCCCCGTCTCTACAAAAAAAAAAAAAATACAAAAATTAACCGGGCATAGTTGTGCACACCTGTAGTCCCAGCTACTCAGGAGGCCGAGGTGGGAGGATCGCTTGAGCCTGGGAGGTGGAGGTTGCCATGAGCCAAGATCATGCCACTGCACTCCAGCTGGCATGACAGAGTGGGACTCTGTCTCAAAAAAAAAAAACAAAACAAAAACTTTGCTTATCATATTTCCTTGTTATTGCTTATCATTACTCATTAAAATTTCTGGTCATCTCATCTCTTACTCTAATTCACTTACTCTGACCTTGCTTCATTAAGACCATTGAAAGTTTCTTTCCTGTGTGGCTACGACATTTGCTGTTTTTTCTACTGGAAACTTCCGCCAGTTCTTCCCATGACTGGCTCATTGTCATGATTCCAGTTTCTTCACGGAGAGGTCCTCCTTGACTTTATAAAACACCCACCGCCTCACTCTCTACTACTCAGCATCCCTTTACCCATTCCACTTTACCTCCATAGGCCTCACCAATGATTCAAAAATATATTACCTGACTATCATTCACTTGCTTCGAGTGTGTCTCCTCTACTAGAACGTAAATTCCATGAGGCAGGACATGTTAGGAACTCAAAAGATAATTCTCAGTGAATGATTGAATTATTACATGTTCCATTCTGATGGCTTTTGAACAAATGAAAAATTGTGATAATAGTCTATATCTCAAATACATTTTTTTCATAATGTTTTTCTGTTTAAAGTGTGTTCTTAATACTTTGACTAAGTATCAAATTTTAAAGTCTGAAAATATTTAAATGTGTAGCCTCATAACAATTGTATTTAAAGGTTTTTTTTATTCTTTATTAACATGTTACTCTTGCCTGATGTTGTAACAAGAACTGATGATAAACTAGATGTTTAAGTACATGCAAAAATTGTGCTAAAATAGTACCAGAAAAGAAAATTTGTAAATCTGTAAATTTCTATAAACTGGGATAAAATCTTAAAAGACTTTTTCTGGTTTTATTCATGGACTGTGTCACCATTTTAGAATCTTATCACATATATGGAGTGTATGTCTGCTAATTAAGTCATATTTAGCAAAACCATCAGAGATTGATAATGGGAAGGTATCCACAGAGTAACTACCCTAAAAGAGTGTTACTAATAACTAGATGCCATTTTCCTCATACTTGCCATTCAGCATCCTATACAGCTGATAGGTGGGGAATCCCATCTCCACCTCCACTCCACCACCAGGTTCTCACTGTAAATCATAGAATGTCCACATTCCTTCCTTTCCACTTCTTTGCTTCTCTTCTGTGACTCTTCTCACTCCCTACCACAAGTATTTCATCAGTTTTTATAAAAATAGACCTTTCTTCTTTTCTAGGCTCCAGACCTTCTTTCTTAGGCCTCTATTATTATATTGATTAGCTCAAATTATATACATAAACATATACATACATATGCATGACACATATGCATACATATATACATGCATGCACATATGCATGTGTATATAGGTTTGCACATATACATACATACATATATACTCTTTATGATATTGAAGCTACTTTAAAATTAATTTCTTGCTCTATTAGCCTAAGTAACTCAAAGCATCCTGTCCCCAAGCACTCCATTATCCACAAGTGTGTAATATGAAGGCCTCCCTGTGGGGGTGAGGGAGTTTGCCATACTGTACTCAATATCATCAATTAATAGATGGTTCAACCTATTTTAGATTTTGAGATACTGAGCGAGTTGCCAAATATCCAGCTGAGAAGACCATGGGGTAGAAGAAAATTTTTGAATCACCCATTCAATCCTAGATCCTACTACCATATAATCAATTTCTTTAGGGTTTAAATATATTTTTATGATACCATATAATTTCATCTTTTCTATTCCTTTTTCTTTTTTTTTTTTTTTTTGCCTTGTATGCCATTCTTTCAAGCCCAAAGTTAGAAAAATTCCATTTTTTTCAGTCAATCCATTACATCAGAGGCAACACCAACAAGAGTAATTTTGTGATTTGAGTGGCTTTTGTGTGTCCATAAGAAAATGTTGTTTTGTGATTTCATTTCAAACTCGACAGTTATATAGCTATCCTCCATTCTAATACATTTAGAGTCTTCTTCTATTTGATTTTTACTGTTCTCCTTTATTCTTTTGTCTCCAGTTTGCTCTAATGACAGTGAAAACTAAGTACTCATACAATTTCTCTGCAAGCAGCTACTGACCACGTGGCAGGAAACAGCGAATGTTATGCATGACTTACTACACAAACCCTTTACTTTAGAGAAACAAGCCCCAAATAAGTAATTTATTTGTAGCAATAAAACCCAAATGAATAAATCTTGTTTTCAGAGAACAAATGAAAGACAATCTCATTTCCAAACATATGTTCTGGTTTTTTAACCCCAAATGAAAGGCCAAAAACTGAATATACTGAAACACAGGCAAGAAGCAATACTTTAGCCACATTCTAGAATATTGTTTTAATTATGGAATTTAAATTTATTATAAAATAATTGTTTTACAATTTTTACAATTTTTCTTTTCCTTTGATCAGAAAGGAATTGTGGACATTTTGAGACATTCATTAACCATATTTGTATTAATTTATGCCCATTGTTTGTACTCATACGATTGATATTTGCATTTCTATTTGCTTTTAATTGCCAATAATTTATTCTTTTTTCCATTCAGTTTTTGAACTATAGAAAACATTTGTCAGATTTTTTAATGAGAACCAGATGCCTAAAAATATATAACAATTTATTATGCGGTATAAATTTTTATTAATGGTGTATATACAAATAGCAGTTCTACACTGTGGCAAATGATTTACATTTTCTATATTCAGTTGGCTAAATTTAAGTAGTTTTGTTAATCACAGGAAAATTAATGGGAAAATTTGAAGACATTCCTAAATAATGACAATATTCACATCAATTATCCTCATTGTACTCTATAGTTTACTAATAACCACCTCAATCAAGGTGTCTTTCACTGAAACAAATCACTCGAGTTTATTTCAGTTACAGTTATATGACTCATTGAAGGATCATAATATAGTCCTCTAATTGAGAAGGGGTGGGCACACAATATGAATGAAGGTGATGGGAAGCAGAGAAAAGGAGGCACATTTCTCTCCGATCGTCTTAGTTCCCCAAGGTGTCCTTCCCAGGCCCTGCCTCGTGGTGAGCTCTGGCACACCTTTGTTGCCACGTGCTGCATCCTACCACAAACACCATTAAATCCTCTCCAACTTTGGCTGGCCTCTCTGCTATTAATCTACTGGAACATTACTGGGGATTTAAAAAAAAGGAGGGCTCTGCTTGGGAGGGATTCCCCGCCCCCCATCTCCCAGTGTCATTTTGTCCTCTCTCTGAACTTGAGTGTGCTGGCTGTGAACCTGTTTTGATCAGCAGAATTTGAAAATCTGGTCCCTCATGCTGGGATTTAATGTCAATATTTGTGCCCAACATCTGAACGGAGAAGGGGGTCCCCAAGCACTGTTCTCTCCTCTAACTGTCTTTCATCACAATTACTGCCTTATTCGATGTGATTTCAGATGCTTGGGGAGTGCTGTGGAATCATGCTAATAGGATGGTAAGGAGCAAAATTTGTCTCATTTTGGAAGAAAATTCACATAGATTTGTACGTTTAAGAATACATTGCCACTTAGCCATATTTTTGAACATGCAGAAAAATAACTTTTTGGCAAGATAGTATGTTTTTAAGAATGAATGAATCCATTTTGTTTATCTAAACCTCACCGTGTTTCAGAGAGGACAGCTGAACGAGGCAGGTTAATGTAAGGAATAATATTTAGTAAATAGTTAGCAATCAAAGACATGTCATTTGGAAAAGAATGAATCAGCCACCAGGTTTAGGGTCCACGTTATCCCAAGGCTAAAAGGAGCTCTCAGTAGACTCTCAAGGGCATTGCACGAGGTAAGCAAATCTGTGTCCTTAAAAGGATGGAGGTGTCAGCAGATGGCGATAGCCACATGGTTTCCCACATGCTATCAGCACCCTAGATCATATGGCGAACACTTTGAACCACGCTATCCACAAGCTATTTATTTATTGTTCAGAGAGATCATACTTCATGTTGCTCACATCAGGGTCAAGGGCAGGCTGAAGGCAGAGTCCAGTCTCTATCTTATGTAAGGAGGTTTATTCCTCACCAACAGTAATAAATCTGAGCCTCTCTCCATATAGAATCTCCAACCCTGAACTCAGCATTTTTGATAGGTTGACCCCCAGACAACCTTAAACCATATAATTAAAAATTGACTTTTCATCCCTGAGACAGAGGTAAGAGAATGGATATGACCATTTTCCCCCCATTATTTCTTTGTGTGTGATACACATGTCACATCCTCAATTCTTTTCACACCTTGTTATTCCTTTCACATTTTTTTTCCGGGAGACAAAGGAGAAGCAGTGAAGTAGCAGTGGAAGTAGCAGCGAACAGAATGCATTGCTGACCCTGTATTATGCATTGTGCAAATGCGGGCAGCCTATTCAACTTCTTGCAAACTCTGGAGTCAGTTTCCTCCTCTGTCAATGGAGATCATGAGGTCTACCCTGCAGGATTGTTGCAATAGTTAAGTATTCCAAAGATTTTTTAATCCCCTTCCCTAATGCCTAGTACCTAAAAGATGGCCAATGGATGTTAATTCCTTTCTCTTCCTTTGGCTCTTCTCTTTAATGAAAACTTGAAGGAAGAAGAAAAGACATTCTCTGAAATTAGGACCATCTAAATCTTTGTTCAGATATTCTTGCAATTTTTGCTTTTTACACAAGTAACAAATTGATTTTTTAAATTATCTTAAGGGGTACATCTAGGGATTTTTTAGTCTGGTATGTAATTGTCAGAGGGTGGCAGCTGATGATAATTTAATCAAATTCTATTGTGCATTTTAAGTGTTCTTTAAAACAATCCAATGGGAGAGCCAGAATAATGCCCTGTGCTCTCTGGTGAGAACTGAAATGTACCCATTACAAAGTATATTTTACTATTTCAAGGAAAGATAGTCCATGCATAGGAGTGGCCTTCCCTGTCACTGTCTCCCCAGACCCTCTCACTCCAAACTGCTCTACTTTCCATGGAGCTATCTTGGTTCAGCTGTTCCCTTGAAAGGAGACAGAAAGAACTGTCTTTCTAAATTGTTTTTTTCTTCTTCTTTTGTTTTCACTATCGTAATCCTAACAATTACTGCAATTATGGCAGTAAGAAAGTAGTGAAAGAATCATATGTGTTTTAAAGAGAATGGAAACCATAAGTTTTAAAGTAAAAATAGATGTAAAAGTTTTTTTAAAATAGTGAGATATTTTACTTTGTTTTGTGCTGAGTCTTCAAAATCTGGTGTGTATGTTTTGCACATCTCAGTTCAGACTAGCAATATCTCAAGTGCCAATAGACACGTGTAGCTAATAGCTACTGAACTGGACAACATAGCTCTGGAAAGTTTTGCCTCTTCTCTATACTGTGTGTATGTCAGCTTTTTCCTAACTTTGTTCTTACTGGCAATGTAGGATATTCAGAAGTTAAAAGCTAGTCTGAGTTTTTGATCATACATTTACTTCTCTATATATGTTTAGGAAAAAGTAACACACTTAAGTAGTCAAATGCCCAAATACAATTTTGACCAATGGCTAGAACAACCATGCCAGTTCATCCTTCATAAAATAATGGGGAATGATATTGCTGGTTAGGGCATCTATTTCAATGTATCGTGGCTGTGTGGTTCCGGAAATCATAACTGTTCCTCCGCAGGGCATCATATGGTAGATACATATTGAAATCTGCTAAATGTGAAAATTTGGAAAAATAGTAGGAGAATCATAGAATTTCATAGCTCTAAAAGTCCCTAGAGGATATTGTGTCCAGCCTTCTTATTTTACAGTTAAAGAAACTGAGGCCTAGAGAAGTTAAGAAACTTGCCAAGGGCCACAGAACAAATTAGGAACACAGAAGAAATAGAAACTGGATTTCTTGGCTTCAAGTTCAGACTTATTTTATTGTACACATAATGAAAAGTGGTTTAGTTATTGCTGGGATACTTCTGATGCTTACCAAATCCGTATTTCTTATCCACACTGTTATAGTGGAAGTTTACTTCTCCGCTTATGTTTAAAGGTTTTTAAAAATAGAATTTATCTTATTAGAAAACACTGATATGAAATGTGAAATGATATAAAGAAGCATCCCTAGAAGCATATGGAAGTACCTATTTACAAATGAGTGGCTAATAAAAGCAACTGTAAAAGCAAGGTGAATTTAGGGTTTACCCCAATTATAACAAAATGTGTGACCTGCCAGCAGTGCTTCTCTTATCCTCATAGGCAGTTTAAAGGGGGCGCATGTGATGAAAAGTGAAGAATCTGACAAGGCAAAGGCATAGCATTCATTTTAAAACTCACTTGCACAAAGGCTGTCTATTAGAAGAGTCACAGAGGAATCCATAGCTCTTTAGTACAGGGATGAAACATGCTTGCCAGTTTCACCGGCCTTCACTTTATCAGGGGATGGTCTACCCCTCTCTCTAGTCTAGGAAAAAAGCACATAATTTGAACAGAGACAATTCTTCAAATAATCTTTCAGATAAATGAATAGGATTTTACTTTCTCTTTTTATTCATATCAATTTATTACCTGTGAATTTTTCTGCAAAAGGGGAAATGAATTGGACCAGCAGGTCTCAAAGTATGAGCTGATGAACATTCACTCCTCCAAGAAATCTAGGGTAAAAAGAGAGTCCCAGGCCTTAAAAGCCTGTGGAATTCTGCTTTGTATATGACTGTCATGAGATCCATTCCACACTTGAGCATATTAAAGGCTGTGAAAAGACCTGAGGTAAAGAAAAAACTATTGCCTTTGTTTAGTCCAGATTTACCCAAGTTATTTGACCATAGTGATTTTTTTCCTTCTATAGCATTTATATATATCCAATACAATTACAGTCCTATGAAACACACTTTGGGAAATGCTAACTTTAGGTATTTCTTTCTTCAATTTGCGGGATTAAGAGGACCTCCCAAGACCAGAGGTGCTGATTGGTGTAGGACATGAGGAAAAGTTTCCACCAACATTAGTACTCTGAAGCTCCCTGGCCTTTACTTAGAGACCAAGTGTTGCAGGCCACAATCAGATCATTTAGGCCACTCTTGAAGCAGAAAATATGAGGCCAAACCAGTGACACCATCATCCTGCACCTCACAGGCAGCAGCTCCACTAAGAATACCTCCCTCTGCTAGGAAAACTTCGCTCTACTCAGACAGCTCACCAACTACCAAGAAGAAACACAGCAATTTTTATTTATTCATTTATGAATTCATTTTTTCCACAATTAGAAGACAGAGTGCTAGGATTCATTCCGATTATCCTCCATGCTCATCTGGCAGCGCAGAGTGAAAACTAGAGAAAATGGGCGTGTCATGATAGTGTCGCTCTGAGTTGTGTGTGGCACAGTTGAACATTACGAAATGACTTTATCTCTCTTCCATTGCTACATTGTTTCATGCTTTCTGAATCTCTCTTTCCTACCCTATCCATAACAACTTGGACAAATTCCTTAACTTTCTGATTGCCTTGTCATTTTTATAGTCCAGGCTAGTCCTGTCCAATTGGAAGTTCCAGTGTCATATGTAATCTAAAGCTTTTTCAGTTCCTTGGCCTCAGCCAGGCTGCAGCCCCAAGGAAACTGGATTGGGGAGAGATTGTTTCCCTTTTCCTCATTTCCATGAATCTTCTAGTTCTAACCCCTCATCATCAGGTACAGAGAGGAGAAAATGGACAAAGCAAGTGTCTCTTATCTTACTGGTCATGGCGTCTCTCAGCCCATCTTTGCTGGCCATCAATACTCTCTGTGTGGCTGGCATTCAAATAAAGCTCTCCCATGTGAACCAAGGCTGAGTTTTCAGGCATCCAACAGAGCTGCCTGACTGTACAGTTTCCTAAGATGATAGACCCACTCCAGCTCAACCTCCTCCAACTCTTGTGTTTGCATCTCCTTGTAGTCTCTTGCTGTTTGGATCCCCTCATCCAGAAAGTATTCCTCATGGATGGAATATAGGAATCAAGGCCTGTGGCCAGGCTCTCGTCTGAAGTGTGCCATTGACCCAAGGGGTTAGCTTTTAAGGGGCTTTCTATTAGTTGGGGTAATGCCAGCTGCTATAACACATAAACCTGAAAATGAAAGTGCTTTAACTGGCAGAAGTTTATTTCTCTTCTGAGTAAAGCCTGAAGTGGGTGTCCTTGGTCAGATGATGATGACTTTCAGATACCCCTGCTCCATCTGTCTTACAGCTCTGTCCTTCTCTAGAGCCCTGGCATCATCAGCATTAAGCCTCTGAACAAATGGAGTGCAGAAGATTGCATGGGAAGTTTTTATAGGATAGGCCTGGAAATAGCAAACGCTGCTTTCTTCACAGTCCACTAATAGACCTTTGGAGGTCAAAACTAGCTGCAAAGCAGGTTGGAAATTATAGTCTCACCATGTGCCTAGAAGGAAAAAGGAAATGTGTTTTCGTGCCTATATTGCAGTCTATGCCATAGAGTTGTTCCACTCTTCCATTACCTTTTTCCACTCTCCATGGCAGTAATAAGTGTCATTCAACAGCATCCCTGAGCTACTCTTGGCCCCTATTGCAAAGCACCAACCTTATTTCCCCTTGATAATCAGGGTGAATCATCCCACAACACAGTGGCATAGTTTTTCCCTTTTGGCCCAGTAGCCTGCAGAGCCCAATAATCAAATGGCAGTCTCAACATTCAATTAAATGGACCCATTGTTATGTCCCCTAGTGAAAGTAATTTTCTTTTGCATCACGAAATCTTTGAGCTAGCAGAGCCCAAATCTGTGGAATTGGAAAATAAAATATTTACAAGTGAGATTTACATGTAATAATGAGAACTACCATTCTAACTATAAATTCAGTTTATGGAGACATTGAGCTCTAGATTGAGCTCTAGATCAGCTAAATGTTAATCACTAGATCAGAGCATCCCATGGGATAGTAGCCCAACCTCACAATGTTGTCTCTCAACTCTTGCTGGAACTGAGTTCTCAACAGGCCAATCCACTCTTTTGGGTAATGAGGAACATGGTAAAAATCAGAGAATCCCATGGGCATGAACCCACTGCTTTGCTTTTTTTGTTGTTGTTGTTCAGAAGCAGTGTTGGGTGGCTCACCATAACAGTGAATGTTGCAATGTAAGTCCGTTGATAGTAGCAGTGGCAGGATCGTAGCATGCAGGGAAAGCAAATCTATATCCAGAATTGTGTCTTTTACAAGAGGGAGGAGATCTGATAGAACTAAACTGCAGTCAAGCTGCTGCCTGGTCTTCTCTACAGAATAAGAATGGGGGGGGGCGGTTAGAAGAAAATATATACCACATTTTGGTCATGTGCAGTGGCTCACACCTGTAATCTCAGCACTTTGAGAGGCTGAGGTGGGAGGATCACTTGAGCTCAGGAGCTTGCCACCAGCCTGGGCAACATAATGAGACCTCGCCTCTACTAAAAAAAAAAAAAAGGTAAAATGAGCCAGGCATGGTGGCATGCACCTGTTAAGGTAGATGAGCAGTCACAAAAAAATAAGTGCACTTCAAGTTTCTATCACTCTAAGTCTTTGGATTCCTGCTACTATGTTGTACTGATGAATCCCTGGCACTGATAAGACCTGTTTTGAATCAACCAACCAAGCCAATAGAACCCAGAATATCTGCTAAGTGCATACATGCACAATCAAAAATTGTGTTTCTCTCTACCTAGTATAATACCCTTAGACTCTCCTTCTTCTCAAAATCTTGCAGTTCTTCTGGTGTGAGAACCCTCCACTCCTGGGTCTGATTTTGTAATTAGCCAATGGAGCCTGCTGAGGTCGGCCGCTAGATACAGGTCTGGAGGCAGTGCGGGCTGGTAAGGTGGGGACATGAGGAGAAGGGGCATGTCTTGCAAGGTAACCATCCCAATTAGGTTACTAAGCCATCTTTAAGCCAGACCACATCAGTCTCAGCAGACAGAGGAAGATGGCCTGCTATGGCCAGCAAGGAAGCACAGGGGGTGGTTGGGGTTTCAGAATATTCAGCTCATCGGAATCTTCAGTGTTTCTGAAGATTTTAGTGAAAATAGTTCTTTCAATTTCTACTTGCAGCCCCCTCTCTCCCTAAGACTCACGTCTGAGTCCCTGGGGGACAAATCCAAGTGACAGCATCATGCCATGCTTGGAATTGTCCTTCCAATGTGATGGCTGAGGCTTCTTTACTGGCCCAAGCTTGCCTGCTTGACACTTCCCTCCCTGAGAACAACTTCTCTCCTGGGAGGCATCATAGCATCTCCAGCTCAGACTCCAGGCAGGCTGACCCTAAGTATGTCAGACACATCTGGACCTGTTAGATCCCAGAGGTAAACACAGCTCATGCTAAAACAGGAGTCCCTGCTACTTTCTTTAAAGCAAACCTCGATTCTATCTACTCTCTGCTCAACATCATCAAAGACATCTCATGAAAATGTGCAAATAAAATGTTTGCTTCCAATCTCACGTATAGGTTGGGCACCAAGCCTATAAATACTATTTTTAAAGGAAAAGTTCATGATGTGAATTTGAGACAGTTTTAAAGTTCATTTGTTTTTATGACAATTTCAGGCCAATTTTGTACAGTCTTGTTTTTATGGCCAAATCAAACTCCAAAAGCGCTGGATTACCTGCCCAAAGATGTTAAATGTGCTGCAGTGACTTAATTTTGGTGTCATGTTTATATATTTTTAATTGTATTTATTAGGAAGTATTTGCCTATTTTTCTAACTGAATTAAGCCAGATGTGTGTATGATAAGGATGAAGTCTCTTCCCAACTCAGTTGAAACTTATTATCAAGACAATGTAGACAAGGATAGAGATGCAACTCCCATCCTGTGCAGAACTTACAGCTGGAATGAAGGACAACTTCATCAAATCAAGAACATAAAAGGTGGTCATAGAGAGGATTCTGAGATGAGATTACTGAAGAAATTCCTTTGGAAGGCTCTGTTATTGCAGACTCCCCACCCACCTTTGTTAAGAGGAGCTGCTACCTTCCCATCTTAAGCCTAATTAAGGGAATACTTCATTAAGGGGGACTCAATTGTATGACACAGAGAGCTATGAAATGTGTTCCCTGCAGTTGGGAGGCTCATGCTGGAGAGAGGGAAAGCAGACAAGAACTGGGGACTGAGAGGGGCTGGCTCACTATTCAGGTGACCGAGCCAGGAGCATTCTGCTTCACTGGGATCAGCAAGAGTTTATCAGTATATAGATGTGTATTTCCCATGGACCAGATGTGGGCCACTTGGGAAAGAACTGTCATGGGGTTGCCTTGGGCTGTAAACAATAGGGCTGCCTCGAGGAACAAGGTGGCCTGAATAGAAAGAGTCTTGAAATGCCTGGGACCTAGGAAAGCAGCCCCAACCTGAATAGAACCATCTATGCCTGGGGCAAGGTACTTACTATAGGAGAAGAGGGTCCAGAGTTAGACGACCTCTGAGGACTCCATCAAAGTTCTCCAAGAGAGGAAATGTCCACTCTAATCATATACTGAGCCCCCCACAAACAGCAGCTTGAACAGCCAGGCCCAGAAAATATAAAGAAGAGTCCCATGACCTTGCTATTTATCCTTACTAGCAACTTTGACACTGACATGGAGCAGGAAACAAAGTCATAAATGGGGATCTGTGGCTAGGAGAGAGGAAACAGAAGAACCACATCTCTTGCCCCAGTGCAGACTTCTAGCAGGAAGCAAGTCCCAGTGGAGGAGGGAAGATTCACACCAAGCTGAGTTTGGAGGTTTGACCACTGCATGTATATGACACAGTCTGATTACTGAATTGAGGCTATCTACCAACTAAGGAAGGCCTAAAATAGTCATGGACCCTGGAACAAGGAGAGATTACTTCCATCAAAGGAAATTTCAACAGGCAGCGGGAGATCACTTGCATGGTGATTTCAATTCTTTTCCCTGTTATAAATAGACCATCACTGAGTTTGTCCTTATTCTTCTTCTCTTTCTTTCTCTCTCTTTCCCTTTCTCTCTCTTTTCCTCTGTCTTTCCCTTTCTCTCTCTTTTCCTCTGTCTTTCCCGTCAGCTTACAGGCCTTTGTCCAGGATGAAATGTTAAAAGCCCTTTCCTACCTCTGCAATTTCCACAACTTGTGTGTCCCAGCTCACGGGGGTTAAGAGGCTTGCTGGCTAACAGGGGACATTACAGGGTTTTTACTTTTAAGTTGAATAGTTGTTTAACTCATCGGAATGGCAGAAAGTTGAAAACTAATATAAACCATGATTATTCCTCATCATGGATTTTTATCTACAAGAAATATTTAACCTAAGCCATGAACCCAGTTATCTACGTAGCCAGCTCCTCAAAGCATGTTTTTAACTTTCTTCTCACTTAATCTAAAAGTTATCCACAAATTTCTTAAGACACCTAGGATAAGATTCAACCTCTACTTCTAATACGCCATAATTTCTAGAGCAAGTCTCCTGACTAAAGCCATCTTAACATTTTCTTTTCTCTCTCTCTCTCTTTTTTTTTTTTTTTTTTTTTTTTTGTGAGACAGAGTTTTGCTCGTCACCCAGGCTGGAGTGCAATGGCACAATCTCTGCTCACTGCAACCTCCACCTCCTGGGTTCAAGCAATTCTCTTGCCTCAGCCTCCCAAGTAGCTGGGATTACAGGCACACACCACCACACCCAGCTAAATTTTTTTTGTATTTTTAGTAGAGACAGGGTTTCACTATGTTGGCCAGGATTGTCTCCATCTCCTGACCTCATGATCCACCCACTTTGGCCTCCCAAAGTGCTGGGATTATAGCCATGAGCCACCGCACCCAGCCTTAACATTTTCTTAATGGACTCCAACATAGCGATGTGACAAGAGCAACATAGAGTGGCACATGCTTTACTGTTGCTTAATTTTTCTCACTAAGGAATAGAAATTTGTTTTCTGCATCCCCCACTCCATTGCACCCTATTGCTCAGCCAAATGAGTTAAAATTTTAAATTAAAATGTCAAGGATAATTTATAGGTGAGAACCTACCCTGACTATGTTTCAATTGGGGATGAAGTGGGATGGTCAGGGGGAGGAAGCTCCACCTATCATCTATACAGTAGAAAGCAGGGTTTACAGACGTCTATGTTATCTGGTGTTTCTCCAGCGCAGCCCAGGTGGGCCACACTCAAGCCCAGGATTGTGCAAGAGGCCAGGCAAAGCCACAGTGTGAAGGTGACCCTAGAGCATCAGATTTACAAACTTTGAGGGGCAAACATGATTTTGGCAATAAAACAATTTAGAATTCTTATTGAGTAGACCGCAAAATGTGCATAGGTGTTTAAGATAACATTGAAGAGTTTTTTGTGTTTTGTTTTTTGTTCTGTTGTTTTGTTTTGTTTTGTTTCTGAGACAGAGTCTTGCTCTGCCACCCAGGCTGGAGTGCAATGGCATAATCTCGGCTCACTGCAACCTCTGCCTCCCAGTTCAAGCAATTCTCCTGCCTCAGCCTACCAGGTAGCTTACTGGCAGGTGCCACTATGCTTGGCTAATATTTTGTATTTTTAGTAGAGACGGGGTTTCACCATGTTAGCCAGGCTGGTCTTGAACTCCTGACCTCAGGTGATCTGCCTGCCTTAGCCTCCCAAAGTGTTGGGATTACAGGCATGAGCTACCGCACCCGGCCTAAAGACTTTTTTAATTCCGCATTTTGGGTTCTGCCCTCATACCTTTCAGGGATCTTAACTCAGGACATCTCTGCAGAAGAGTTTGAGAATGGGCTGGCTATCATAAAATCAAAAGTTATCGATGATCAAGAGTTATCAATTCACCAAATCTTTACCAAAAAATGACTTAAAAATAGCTAGTAGGTATCTGCTCCTCTGCACACCTGAGTCATTTGTTCTCCACATTAATACCTTAGGACATGAATATGGTCACTCCTCAGTTTAGAGGAGAAGAAGCTAAAACTTTAAAAGGTTAAGTAACATGTCCAAAGACTCATAAGTAAAGTAAAAATTTCAACCCATATCCAGCTGATTGCAAAGCTCATTCTCTTAATCAGAACATTCCACCTGCTTCTATCTGGTGGCATATTGGTTTGCTGCCCCCACATTGACTGGAGAGGATTGCCTTAGACAAGAAAACATCCAAGGATGCTGTGGCAGGTGTCTTGGTGTCTCACAGGCAATTGCCACTACAATCACTCATCAAAGATAAAGTGCCAAAGTCATTTTTCTTTAGTTGTAAGCAGCAGGAAGTGTTGTGCATGCAGACAGCAATCTGTTGAGCTATGAAAAGTGATGATTCATTCTGTTTTTAAAAAATATTTCTAAATGACTTTAAATGAAAACAAATATTTTCCCATTAGTGGTAGCATCAGAACACATAGTAAATTTCAAAGCACCTGTGACCAAAGTTTTAGGATGAACGCTGCCTTGTTCTTAGCAGTTTTCCAGGTTTATATAAAGTGTGGCTGACTCTAATTGCATTAGCAAAATAAAGGATTCCTGTAAAATTACCCTGCAGCCCAAATAGAAACAACCAGAGAAGGCTCAACAACCAAGAGCTGTGAGAGGTTATTTATTTGCTAAAATCTTATTCTGGAGACTTTTTTCCATATAGTTCAACGTAATTTAGTTTTAAAAACTAAAAACCTGTCTTATGTAAATGAAGGTGCCTAGCCAACATAAGGAAATTGTTTTAAAGGTTTTTATTAAGTATGTGTGTTATATGATTCTTCTTTTAAGCAATTACACTATCCACTCTGGCCAGGAAAGCTTTCTTCCTAATGATATTAAAACAAGAAAAAGGACTCATTGGCATGAGTACGATGTTTAACTGTTCAAATTAAAAGCAGACCTCAAAGCAATCTTTCAAAGTAAGTATTGGAAATAACTTTTCTGTGAACTAAAGCTGGTAATGACTTGGGGGAAGCAAAACCACCTCTCTGTCCTTTTTCCACTCATTTCCAACTACTCTGTGCTAAGGTAGTCCCTGATAATCATACATATTTTATTTTCATCCAACTTATCAGGCGTCTTAATTTAAAAAAGAATCCCATAGTAAAGTACTTACTCAACACGATGAAAGTTCCCTTGCCTTTTGCAATTTCTATTTCATGACAGCCTTCTCTTTATATAGTTCTTTTCATCTCTTTACTTTAAGGACTTGTTTTAGACTCTAATTATTCTTGAGACTTCGGGTTAACACTACCATTAAATCTTGTATAGGTAGATGATAAATTGGTGGCTAACAAGTTGTACTGATCTTTTTCTCAGAATTCTTCTTGTTTGAACTCAACCATCATAAAGCAATATTAAGAAATATCCACATTCCTGAATCCTCTCACAAGCAAAACATGCACACACACACACACACACAATTATACCACCCCAAAAAACCTAGGTAGTATTATGAGAGATCATGCATTGTCTCTAGAAAAGGATTTATGTTGGCCCTTTGGCAGGCAATTTGAGGAAAAATTCTAAATAAGTTATGTCATAGTTTGCAAATTTCATGCTTCATGCCTTTAACCATTTCAAAAGGATCTTAGTCTCCCCCTTCATCCCCTCAATAAGAATTCATTAAATTAGTGTTCCCTTAAAATAAAGATAAGATGGAATGCAGAGGGTTTTTTTTCCCTAAAAAGTTCTCACCACGAAAATAATAATGATGTGAGGTTATGCATATGTTAATTAGCTAGATCTAATCATTCCACAATGTATATATACTTCAAAACATCATGTAGTACCCAACAAATACATGCAATTTTATATATTTTTTAAATAAATTTGGGGAAAAAAAGGTGAGCCTAACCACTGATAGTCTGTGTTCCTTTCCTTCACAGCACAAATGAGGATGTCCCATTTTCTGCCTTTTGGGTTTTACCAGCTGCTGTAGGTTTTCCACACTGAGTAGTTGCAGTAGACTGGCTGCCCTCTGTCCAACATGCAATGCCACTTGGTATCATTCATGGTTTGATCCCGAGAACAATCCACCTATTATATAATTTTCCCCTCACATGTCATTCCACTGACCTCAATCAACTGATGTGGTGATGAAATGAAACACGTTCATGGAGAAGCTGAGAAAAGTGTGCAAAGTACACCTACAAGGAGAGTTTCCCCATGTTTTCCATAATGTGGCCATCCAGAATGAGGAAGGAACAAGAATACTTGAACATCACAGAGACCAAACCATTTCCATATGTCAAAACCAGAGAGCCTGGGATCAAAGTTATACTTGGAAAAGGGCTGTAAGAAATGAAAAACCACCTAGCAGCATCTGTACTTCCCTTAAAATCCAACCTCCACTGGCTTCCTCTGAATCCATCAGGGTCTTAAATATTTAAAGAAAGGCTAAATTCAGAAGGTATTTAAGAAATGGGCAGGCCCTGCTGGGTCCTGATGAGTCCAGTGCCTCCGGGAGCTGCCCAATGGGCCAGCAGTCTCTGTGGAATCCAGGTGACCCTTCCCACTAGGGATTGGACCAACACTTCACGCAGCTTTCTTCCGAGGACCCCAACGAAGGAGTGATTTGAACCCAAGTCAAAAGGGTGCCCTACAAGGCTAGTTTGAACAGAACCCCTACCCTGATGTGACTCCCAGAGAACAACTGACCAGAGAAATTGGCACTCCAGAATTTAGAATACAGATGTGGTTTCGAAACCAGAGAACACAACACCTCAGACAGAGTCTACTGGGGTCTGGATTGGGGTCGATTTCCTGGAATTGCTATCAGGGAAGAACTGGCTGCACAAACAGGCCTCTCAGAGTCCAGAACTCAGATATGGTTTCATAACCAAAGAGCTCGGCACTGTGGCCAGAGTTGTAGACTTGTGAATTCCCTGGCAGAAGGCCCCAAGTCGGAGACCTCACATGACTGTGTGACAAGGCAAGGCAACTTGTGCATGGCCCCTAGCAGTGGGGTCACTTCCCTCCCTCCAGTTCTTTCAGCAACAACCAGCTCTTCTTCCACCTCACACATGCTTTGGTTCTTGGGTTCCCCCTGGGCTCGGAGTGAGCCAGGCACCAAGGGTCATGATGCTCCACCCACCAGGCTGTGCTGGGAGGAGAGATCTCTCCACCTCTTCTGACACTTAGGAGTCACATGTCAACAGGCCCAGCTCTAGGAGGGGCGCTCTTACATCCTCTGGCTCCTTTCCAGCCCCCACACCAAGGAAGATGCCAGGATGACAAGGACAGAGACACATGGCCTGGCAGTACTGCCCTGTAAGGACTCTACACAGCCCCAACCTGGCAATCCTAAGCACCAGTTGCAGGGAACTGGTCAGCAAGACACATCTCACCTTATGCAGTGGTGGCACAAGGGGCCCCAAGGAGTGATGTCAAATGGCCAGCTGGAGCAGGGGCACTTCAGCAGCCCACAGAGCCTGCACACACCTGGACATCCCTGTGGCAGTAGCGGGCACCACCAGCTGCAGAGCCATCTCAGCCACTCGAGCAACCGCACAGCTCTCTGCAAAACCCACCCTTTTAGGTCAATGCCTGTCAATTGTATAGTTTCAGAAAAAGACACAAGCCTGCCTGAATCCAAGTCCACAGGAAAAGGTCCCTCCACCACTTGAACCACCTCTCAGTGAGGAAGAATTTGATGCTCTGCCTGATGTGATGCAGACCTCACCAGGGTGTCAGCTTTGGGAGGAGCAAGGCCTCCTTCTCACCTCCACCATCTAGGCCACTTTCCTGGACACAGAATCAATGTGATACCAAGAAGGACAAACAATGCACACACTGTGTTTGGCAGCAAGACCAATGCGAGAAAAAGCACCAAACACTTAGAAACCCAAAGGGAGCATTTTGACTCAGTCTTGTGGGAGGCGCTTGACTTCTCCTCTCACTTAATGGCCTATATGATTGTTGCAAAGCTCTCTACTGCCCCTGTAAGGCATCATGGGCACCAAGCCATGAATGCCTTCACTGCATCCTGAAGAACCAAAGCATTTTTATAGCAAACATCACCTACTCCCTGCAATCCTCACCGCTTGGGCAGTCTGGACTATACAGGAACTGGAACCAAACCAAACCAGGGCGAGGACACTAGGTCTAAGGGGGACAGCTCCACACTTCTTTCCTTCTGGCAAGTTCAGAAGTCACACCTGAAAGCAGGTAGATGTCTAGAATATAGAGGGATGCTGTATTTTCTTGTTCTGTGAGTTGATAACAAGGAGTTTTTAATCTCAGCTCTGAGAGTTGCAAATGGGAATTGGAAGTCACTTCACTACCCACCTCTTGGGAACTGATTCCACAAGTTTATATCCATAATCCCGAGTAGGCTTCATGACCAGTTTTCCCTCTGAACATTGAAATGTAGAGAAAATGACAGAAGTTAGAATAGCAACTCCCTTAGATCATTGAACAAAGCATATGAATGTTACTCTTCTCACATTGTTAGCATTTCTGTATGTTAACCTGTACTTCTACCCATCAAGCTGCCCTTTTTATTATAAATAAATGTCAAGTTTAAATAAATCTGAAGTAAGATTATTTTTATGTTCATATTCCAAAATGACACTTCAGAAGTTTATAAAAAATTCCAGGCCAAGCAAAATAAAGACTGCGCCTAATTTCCTCTTTCCCATATAGCTGAAGCTGTATTTTCTAGACATTTTAGTCCATATCCATCAAGAAAAAAATTCTGGGACAAAAATTGGAGCCTTTAATGCTGATTCTTTGCATCTTAATTAATGGTTGCCCATGACCTGGAACACCAACTATTGCACTTCTGGCATTATCTGAGGGTGGCTGTGATTCAATTAATTGAAATTTTTTGCTGTGGCTAAAGAAAATGTGAAATGAGATATTTATAACCATGGATACCTGGTTTTTATTTACAGTCATAAGAAAGAAATTCTACATTAGTACGGGAACCACAACATCTTCTAAAGACAGGATGTCAGAAATACTTGACAGAATACTTTTAAGGTGTATTATGTGTGTGTGGTGTGTGTGTGTGTGTGTGTGTGTATTTTTATTAATCATAAAAATGCTCATTTTACAAAAACTTTTTACTGAGTTGTGGAAAAAATAAACAGCTTCATGAAGTCCATTAAACAATTGCTAATCAAATAATCCAGTCAATAATTTGGATGCTCCAAATGGAATGATACCTGAGTTTGACAGTAGTTTATAGAGCTAAATTATATTTTGGCTTAGTTTTCATGTTCAGGGAAACTCGTGTGATAATTGGTAGGTGTGCAAATATACTGGCACTTTAGATTCTTATAAGGAAAAATACATTAGGAAATTCTATTTGTCCTGTCAAATGAAATAAATAAGAGCAAGTCAATGGCATGCTTAAGTACCAAACGATGCCTGTTCTTAGGTATAAAGTTTTCTTTTCTGAAGAAAAATAATACATAGAAAAAAGAGCTTTTTGTTTTTTTTTTAAGAAGGCTGCCTTTTATGATACTCTGACAATGTTCTTTACTGATATTAACTGACTCAAATACAGTAAATTGTTACATGTGCTAGTCTCATATGGCTCTTTGCAGGCAATAATATTAAAATCAGTACTGGCTAATATTTATTTCCTGATAATGTAGCAATGTGCTAAGTGTTTTATGTACTTTATATGTTAGTCTGCTCAAGCTGTTATAACAAAAATACCATGGACTAAGTGGCTTATAAACAACAGAAATTTATATCTCAATGTTTTGGAAACTAGGAAGTCCAAGATCAAGGCACCAGCAAATTCAGTGCCCAGGGAGGCCTGGCTTCCTGATTCATGGACTATCTTCCTGCTTTGTCCTCACATGCCAGAAGGGGTCAGGGATCTCATATGGTTTGGTTCTGTGTCCCCACCCAAATCTCATCTTGAATTGTAGTTCCCATAATCCCCACATGCCGTCGGAGGGACCCAGTGGGAGGTAATTTATCATGGGGGCAGTTACCCTCATGCTGTTCTCATGATAATGAGTGAGTTCTCACAAGATCTGATGGTTTTACAAGGGGCTTTTCTCTCTTTGCTCAGCACTTCTCCTTCCTGCCATCATGTGAAGAAGGACATGTTTGCTTTCCCCTTCCTCCATGATTGTAAGTTTCCTGAGGCCTCCCCAGCCCTGCTGAATTGTGAGCCAATTAAGCCTCTTTCCTTTATAAATTACCCAGTCTTGGGTATGTCTTTATTAGCAGAGTGAGAACAGAGTAATACAGGACCTCTCTGGGATCTCCTTTCTAAGGGCACTAATCTCATTCATGAAGGCAATGCCCTCATGATCTAATCACCTTCCAAATAACTCACCTCCAAATACCATCACATTGGGGATTAGGTTTCAACATATAATTTTTGCAAGCATATATATATTCAATCAATAGCACTGTATCATATTTAATTTTTATAATAAACCTGTGGAGCCTTAGAAGAAACCTAACTCAACTATCTCACCTGGAGTGAAATTTTAAATAGGACAGCCAAACTATAACAGGACTGATACAGGGTTTTTTTTTTTTAGAAGCGAATCTGAATGAAATTGTTAATATTGACTAACTTTTCAGAAAAATCTGCTTTTTAAAAAAAGAAAAGGTAAATACAGTAATCCCTCCTGATCTGAGGTTTCTCTTTCCATGGCTTCAGTTACCCACAGTCGACCACAGTCCAAAAATATTACATGGAAAATTCCAGAAATAAATAATTCATAAATTTTAAGCTGCACACTGTTCTGGACAGCGTGGTGAAATCTTGCCCCCTCCCACAACATCCTGCCTGGATTGTGAATTTTCCTTTTTACCAGCTTATCCACGCTGTCTACACGACCCACCTGTTAGTCACTTAGCCCTCGTGGTTATCAAATAGACTGTCCAAGTATCACAGTGCTTGTGTTCAGGTCACCCTAATTTTATATTTTAATGCCCTAAAGTGCAAAAGTAGTGATACCAGCCATTTGGAAATGCCAAAGATAAGTTGTAAAGTGCTTCCTTTAAGTGAAAAGGTGAATGTTCTCCACTTAATAAGGAAAGAAAAAAAATTGTATGCCGAGGTTGCTAAGATCTTCAGTAAGAACGAATCTTCTATTCATTTGTGAAATCATGGAGAAGGAAAAAGAAATTTGTGCTAGTTTTGCTGTCTCATGTCAAACTGCAAAAGTTATGGCCATAGTACATGATAAGTGCTTAGTTAAGATGGAAAAGGCATTACATTGTGGGTGGAAGACATGAACAGAAATGTCTTCCAACTGACAGCAATTGGGTTCGATACTATCCTTGATTTCAGGCACCTATTGGGGGTCTTAGAACGTGTTCCCTGAGGATAAAGAGGACAACTGTACCAGTTATGCTGTTTAGGAAAATAATTTTCTTAATAATGATATTGATAATTAGTGCGATGTGCGCATTTTATTTCTCCAAAAGATTACAAACTTATTTTTGATATTTTTTCTTCGGATTTTTTCATAAAGCTACAGAGATAACCGGATGTATCTTAGAAAGACTGATTTCATTTTGTTTTTTAGATCATTCACTGCTTTCCAATATCAGTCTTTACTAACACAAGTAATCATCATTAACAAATGGAGAAAGTGGAGAAACTAAAAGAATAAAGAAAGTGTAAAAGTTGGTAACCTATTAAAATTAGAACTAAAAACTCAATATCATCAAAATATTTCTCTTTCTACACAAATGCTCTTTCTATTAAAAAATATTTTTCTGTAGTTTTAAATAATTAAAGGGCCACATTACCGACCTATTAAAAATGCAACATCCAAATATTCTGATATTCTACCATGGAATAACTGAATAGATGAAGGAAATTGAAAAGTGCTTGATTTGATTACTTCGAAACATCAAGCAACAATGAGCAATTATTTTGAACAACAGCTCCCAGTGGGAATTGGCTTTTCCTTGGCCCTCATTGCGTTCTTGTGCCCATTGTTTATAATTACACAAGCGCACTGTGACGGTGCCGTCGTTAAATTAGAAATGGGGCGTCTTTGACAACTGCAGTAAAACTCAACAAAAGACGAATGTGATTTTTTTCTGCTTCCCTTCTTCTTTCACATATTTAAACATGTATTAATTAACTTGTTCTGGCAAGTGTTTAGTAAACATCGAACAAGGGCATTTCTTTGGTGGTATAATTAAAATTCTCTTTTAAATGTTTTGCGTGATATTTTATGTGCAGTTTGACTCTAGTAAACAGAGGTTCTAATTAAAGTTTTTAAATTAAGGCAATCAAAATTGATAAAACATCCAGCATCCCATTCAAACACATTCTCTTCCTGTCTAGAGCAAGTTTAATTTGACGGTCAGTTAACACAAACCTGAATTAGTGAAGATGTCCACACCTTCACAAGCCCCCTTCTGTCTTATTAATAGTTAGTCTCAGGGAAGAAACCTTTTGGTGTTGCAGTATCCCTTTAAGTTATTATACAAAATTTATTACATTAATTATTCTAAGTTATTATACCAAGATATTATGAGAAGCATCTGATTTGCATTATGAATTCTCTGCAAATAAACTTACATAAAACATATTGAATGAACAAAGCTATCCAAACAGCAAGTGGAGCTTTGATTATTTCTTTCCATTATAACTTGGCATAAAGGGTTACACCTCTGTAAATACTGCTATCCTTTTGGGGGAGAAGTGTCATGGTAGTGTTTCAACGCTAACAGGCAAGTATCTGAAGAATCACTATCCCTTTTTGCTGTGTGTATGTGTGTGTTTAGTGGGAAAGGTGAAGAGAGACAGAAAAGAATTCATTTGGCCTGTAATGCATTGATTGACCTGAAGTGAAAGATATTTTCAGGGAAACTTTAAATTCCCCATCTTTAAATTATTCATACATTTTTTTTCATTTTAGTGATGTTGTAAACAACTCCAAAAAGCAAAGCTTTAAATACAGGAACGGTCGGTAAGTAATGAGTGATTTACTGGCTGTCAGGATTACTGATGTCTCAAATGATCTTTTTTAATTAGTGGGGATTAAAACAGATTCCTCCCCATCACTTTCTTCAGACCTTGGGGTCTGTAACTGAGCTGGCCAAGGGTGGGAACAGAAAGGCATTCCCTCTGGCTCGGAACTTAGAATTGGAGCTTGCCACCCAGAGATAAGAACCACTTGTGCTTTTGTAAAAGAAAGAGCAAAATAAAGTGTAACTCCGACTCCATGGAGAGCTTGCCTAATTCTGGGATTTTCTTAGCAAGCCTTCGTGGCCCTTACACTAAGCCATCTTTCCAACCTGGCTGTCTTTTGTTTTTGTTTTTCAGTAATAAAGGTGATATATTGGTCTTCATCCAACACTCCTGTATTTCTTAATCTTTGGAGTTTGGAAGAAAAAGGAAGATGCTATTTATCAGGTGCCTCCCCTGAGACCCCAAAACTTTACTATTCTTGATTTAAAGAAGAGGAAATTGGAACACATTGTATCAAGTTACTTGCCAATGTCTCATAGCTAATAAGTATTGATACTGGGATAAAAATTGGTAAACTGGCCGCCTCTGTGTTTCTAAACACACTGCTATTCTATCCCTGGGTATGAGCACATCGGCCCTAATTGTATACATGAGAAACAAGAGCCGAGAGAGGTGGAATAGCTTGTCTGAGATCACAAGAGAAGAAAGAGAGTAAGATCTAAACCCCAGCTCTTCTAAATACCACTATCACGACTTTCGACAGTAATTTTCCTTTTATTTATTCTGCACATCCATGCCTTTTCAAACCAAACATTCAAAAGAACTTGGACCTTTGCTTAATGGTTCAAGGTCATTTTTATGAATATCAGTGTGCTGTATTTGTAACATGGTGATACCTCCAAGTGCTGTGAAGTATTCGCATGTTTGTTTGTTTGTTTGTTTTGAGACGGAGTCTTGCTCTGTCGCCCAGGTGGAGTGCAGTGGCGCGATCTCGGCTCACTGCAAGCTCCGCCTCCCGGGTTCACGCCATTCTCCTGCCTCAGCCTCCAGAGTAGCTGGGACTACAGGTGCCCGCCACCACGCTCGGCTAATTTTTTTGTATTTTTAGTAGAGATGGGGTTTCACCGTGTTAGCCGGGATGGTCCCGATCTCCTGACCTCGTGATCCACCCGTCTCAGCCTCCCAAAGTGCTAGGATTACAGGCGTGAGCCACCGCGCCTGGCCACATGTTCGTTTTTATAGTCATTAGTCATATCTTCAATTCACGCATTTAGTCATTCTTACATTCAGCCATGCACGCATTCATCTATACATTTGCTTATTTTACAAATGTTTATCTGGTGTTACTATGTGCCAGGCACTGTTCTTGGCACTGGGATGTAGGACTTCATCAGTCTCCCAAGACCAGCCCCTGACTTGTTTTGTTCTGTGCTCAGTTCTTCTGCCTGCCTTTTGTAGCTACTCTGTCTGTGCCTTTCAGCTACCCCCTCCCACTAATGTTGATAATCCAGCCTCCAGCACTCACTCATCCCTTCAATTTGTGGGGGATTTAAAAACCTGATGATAAATTTTTTCAAATTTTGTCTGAAATGAGAGTAAATACAACCTAGATGCTGTTTCCATGAGCAAAATACAAATGACATTGTGGATATTACAGCTAAGAAGGAGCCTCTAGGTTAGTTGGGTTTTATCGAAGTTCTGCCACTCACTAGCTATGTACTCTGGGCAAAGTATTCAGTCCCTCTAAGTCTGTGTTTCTTATCTCTCTGAAAGAGAGGATAAGAAAATGGTCCCCATCATGGAGTGTAAATTAGTTCAACCATTGTGGAAGACAATGTGGCAATTCCTCAAGGATCTAGAACTAGAAATACCATTTGACCCAGCAATCTCATTTATAGGTATATACCCAAATGATTATAAATTATTCTACTATAAAGACACATGCACACATATGTTTACTGCGGCACTGTTCACAATAGCAAAAACTTGAAACCAACCCAAATGCCCATCAGTGATAGACTGGATAAAGAAAATGTGGCACATATACACCATAGAATGCTATGCAGCCATAAAAAAGGATGAGTTCATGTCCTTTGCAGGGACATGGATGACGCTGGAAATCATTATTCTCAGCAAACTAACACAAGAACAGAAAACCAAACACCGCATGTTCTCACCCATAAGTGGGAGTTGAACAATGGGAACACATGGACACAGGGAAGGGAACATCACACACCGGGGCCTGTTTGTGGGTGAGGGGCTAGGGGAGGGATAGCATTAGGAGAAATACCTAATGTAGATGACAGATTGATGGGTGCAACAAACCACCATGGCATGTGTATATCTATGAAACAAACCTGCATGTTCTGCACGTGTACCCCAGAACTTAAAGTATAATTTAAAAAAAAAAGAAAAGAAAATGGTCCCCATTACAAAGGATTGTTGCAAGACTTCCATGTGTGTAGAGCATTTATCCCATTACCTGGCACATTTGTTTGCTGCTCTTAGTTAGCTTGTAAGTTTTGTAACAACTCTTTTTACCTCTTGGAGACCTCCGTTGGTGTTATTTTTTAGGGAATTCATGAAGACTCAATTCTAAGGCCACAACTAGATTGAGCACTTGTCATGTGGGCAGCAGCCTGGCACACACCCCCTTAGAGTGCATTCAGAGTGAGGGCACCCTAGTCTGATGCATGAATTGGGATCTGGCTTTATTACATACTCACTGCATGACCGTGGACAAGCTATTTGACCTAAGTTTCAGTTTCTTATCTGCAGAAATCAGAAGAATGTTATCCACCTCTCAGGATTGTCACGAGAATTCACGAAAGCACCTTTGTGATGGGCTTAGCAAGGTGCCTAGCACATAACAAGTTCAGGGGTAGAATATAGCAATGTTAACCAGTATTATTATTTATGAATTAGACATCATGTAATTGATAAAAGACGTACATATATCATCCAAAATTAATTAAATATCTCTACTCTTTGTAACACTTTATGCAAGTATTAGCCTCTAAAAATCATCTATGATATGCCAAGTTCACAATTACTTAATGGTAAACTGAACCATGTGATTGCTTTTGCAATTTAATCAAGTTAATTCTGTTTTGGACTTGCCATCCTCACTAAGATACCTTCATCTCCTGCAGGCCCAGAGCTGCCAGCCAATACTCTCTGGCTGCCCTTTCACTGAGCTGTTAAAAGAAGAGCTAGCTCATAGAAATCATCCATGCTAATTTGTAAGAGGGTTTTAACATCTCCCGGTCTTGTTTAAGCTTCATTGTCTTCCATGGCCATGTGTCTAAAAGAATTAATGTAGCTGCCAGAGAACCTAACATTTAAGCAGAGAATAATATGAAACCCAGTCTTTCCTACAATTCTGCAACCTAAACCTATAGTTTGCTACAGAAATGTTTAAATTCATACCATGAAGAGCTAATTAAAAGTATAAAAATGCTTTCTCTTCTTCTTTGTTCGCATGAGTAAATCTTTTGGGAAAAGACAGGGTCCACGTGCCCAAAGGGCCATCAAGAGCCAGGCAAGGTGCTTAAAGGAATGAAGCAAGCAGGTCTAGGAAAACCCCAGTGGAAGGGAGATGGCAAATGGCATTTGAACATAAGGCCCCAGCAGGGGAGCACAGGAAGGACAGTGGGGACCGTGGCAGCCCGGGAAGCCCTTGCACTGCTGTGGGAGCAGCTCCCTCCACTCCAGAAATAAAGGCCACCAGAACTTTTGAGGTTTCAAGTTAATCCACAAATGAGGATGTATTGATTCCTTGAAGAGTAGCAACTGACTTAAGTTTCTTAATTGTAGAATAAAAGGCATAACAAAAAATGCACAAGAGGCAAAGTGTGGCCCTAGGATGGCCTATATGTGTCGTCTGCTAAGATCTTTGGCAGTTTAAGTAGCTGTAGCCATCTTCATGTTCATAAGTAAGACCTCACATGAATTCATTCATTTTTATGCTCACAGCTATCCTATGAGGTAGGTACTATTAATGTCATCCCATTTTACAGGTAAAGAAACTGAGACACAAATTGGTCCCCTCTTTGTCCAGCCAGCGTTGTGCGGGGCTGAGATTCTCACCTTGACATGTGGCATGCCGGAGTCTGCTCTTCATCATATTCTCATATTTAAATAGTTTAGTAGTTCTCACAATTAAATAGTTTGGACTTTGCCCCCACATGTGGTAGAAAAACTTTGTCTTTATGCTCTGATTTAAGTTTTGATCCATTTTGTTTTCTGTTCCAAGTATTTCACTTCAGCCCCCAACTACATATAAAATGCCATTTTATGTGCTGTAACACATTGGATTTTATCTTTATTAATGCAATGTGTGGAATATGATTTCAGAACAAGGGCAATCCTGTTAAAATCGCTTCATCTGGAAATACATCAGTTTGCAAACAGATTGGCCTATTATCCACAAATATAAACATTTACAAAAATATATATCAGGCATCATTTGGTGGCTCTTGCCATAATGATTCATTGGCACAAGAGAAGTGCTTCATGGTGAGAGGTGCCAAAGCTGTTTGACACATTTCAGTGGAGTTCATTACACACACGAAACGGAACCAATTTTACTCAACAGTGACTTTGACATTTACAGAAAGATGAAATGGAGGTTTAGAAATGAAGACTTCATGTGAAATCCCTACCAAAACTTTTAAATTGGTTCTATCCTTATGATACCACTTCTAGAAGATCAGCCATGCTCTATAGACACATTTTTATTCACAGCAGGTGGCCACCTATTCAAAACAAAGTTTCTTGGGTTATCGGGAAATTGATCTTGAGCAAGCTTAATTGGCTGTAAAACTCTTCTCTCAGAATAAATACCATATTTTTTTTTAAGATGTACTTGTAGGAAGGCATGTTTCCCTTTGGCTTCACTCTGTTTAATTCATCTTCCTTATTTTTTCATTCTGTTTCCTTAATTTTCTGAGCTTTCATGGATTAAGTACCATCTTCATCCTCATTGCCCACAAAGACAGGGCAGGACTCTTGAGATTTCAGGCTCAGAGTTGTAATGCAGTAAGAGAGATGTTAAAAAGTCATAAATAACCAGCTGTTTTCTACTTCCTTAATGATATAATGCAAGAAAATGTACCAAAAAGTAATAAGGTATTTATGATACTTATGCTAAAAAGAGTTCTATATTTATGGGTTAGGAAGAGTTAAGTGTAGATCATCCAATGGGGTAGGATGATCTAAGTATAGACCACATTTACAGAAATGTAAAGTACTATGCCACAGTATGTGTATGCAACACCATTTATCTGAAGAAACAATTCATAATAGGTTGTAAAACATTCTCTTACTATGGTAACTGGTTAAAGTATATTAATAACGTTGCTTTACTGAATGCTTATTGTGCTTTCAATGCCAAAGTTAAGGCTCCGCATACTAAAGAACAAATGTGCTTGGTTTAATTTGTAAGTCTAGATAGCATTATAGTAATATTGCACTGATTAGAATTAATCAACAACACCAGAACAAGTCTATGTCAAGTCTAAATTTTAAAACTTGAACGTAATTATATTGCTTTCAAATCTGTCTTATATTTACTTAGTCTGCAAATAGTGTAATAAAATCAGTATCTCAAAACCAGATAATACATTTGAGTCATTCAAACTGCTATCAAACATGTCACCAGAGAAGCAATTCAATCAATAAAAAAAATTCTAATTAGCATATTAATTATTTGCGAATAAAAGTTGATTCCAAAGTACACTAGGGAACTTGAGGACATGCTAGTTTGTCTTCTCATTCTATATATCCCTATGAAATATTTTTGCACTATTAATTTCCAATAACCTAGGGAAAAAGATTTTGCTAATCAAAAGAAAACGTCAGCCCAGCCTTTGCATTAATTATCACATATTCTATCTTGATAGGACTTGAATTAATAAGGCCCAGGCTCCTCCAAAATGGCACGTATTAAATAAAATCTGGACTTGACCATGCACTCTTGTGGATATTGAAGTACATATGCATATTGGCTGCCAGGCAAATAAATGTTCAAAGTATGCAATTACCAAAGCTATGTGGGCCTTGCCCCACTATCCATAAACATCTCAATTACCTTCTAGTCATCAATAAAACAGGGTTCTGCAAAGATTCAAACTAGTTTTCTTGACCACCAACCACTTTTGCATATCAAATTTCCGAGCATACAAACGATTCCCTGTAGAAAATAGAAAGTTCCTCACAAAAAACTAAGATCCCAACAAAAAGAAAAGAAGAGACATAGTCTATTAAGCAGCCTTTTACGTCCACTGCTAAACTGTCATTAGACTATAATTAGGTAGTTCACGTTTTATTTTTATCGAGTTGTTCATGTTTCTAATTGGTTGGCTCCTAATGCTAAGAGGGAATGCAGGGTAGGGTGAGGGCAGAAAAAAGGTTCAACATCTACTTCGTTTTGCTTTTCCTCCCTCCCACCATCTAGTCTTCAGGTATTTTGTGATTGAATAACCCTGCCTGCTATTTTAAGTTCAGTATCTGAGCATGCCCTTACTTCTTTCCCCTTTCCATTTACTTCCTGACATCTACAAAATGAGCCACCACATCTGATTGCCACTTACCACATGGTTCCCCTCTACTTTGCCTGCTCAGAAATCAACCGTTTCCCACAGTTCTCAAAGTTGCGCTGCTTCCGGGCCATTGTCTTCCTTTGCTTGAACGTATGACCGTTCTGCACCGTAAGAATCCTGTTTTTTGCATTTAGGGGCATGCTTGCAGCATACTAATTTTTTTCCCATTTACGGTTTTTCAGGTTAAGTAAAATCTAAAATTTGGAAATTGTTTTAGTTCATTTTCTATTGCTTATAACAGAATACCTGAAACTGGATAATTTATAAAGAAAAGGATTTTATTTCTTAAAGTTATAGAAACTAAGTGCAAGGTCGAGGTGCCACATCTGGTGAGGACCTTCTTACTGGTGGGGACTCTCTGCATAGTATCACATGGTGAGGGGGCTCAGCATGCTAACATGTGATTCAGGTCTCTCTTCTTTTTTTTTTTTTTTTTCCAGACAGTTTTGCTCTTGTCGCCCAGGCTGGAGTGCAATAGCATGATCTCTGCTCACTGCAACCTCCGCATCCTGGGTTCAAGCGCCTCCTGCCTCAGCCTCCTGAGTAGCTGGGATTACAGGCACCTGCCACCATGCCCAGCTAATTTTTGTTTTTTGGGGTCTTTTTTTTTTTTTTTTTTTTTGGTAGAGATGGGGTTTCACCATGTTAGCCAGGCTGGTCTCCAACTCCTGACCTCAGGCGATCCACCCACCTCGGCCTTCCAAAGTGCTGGAATTACAGGCATGAGCCACTGCACTTGGCCTCTCTTCCTCTTCTTATAAAGCCACCACTCCCACTCTCATGATAACCCATTAATCCATTAATCCATGAACAAGTTAATCCATTCATGAGGGCAGAAAGAACCCTCACAATCCAATCATGTTTTAAAATCCCCACCTCTTAATACTGCCACATGGGGGATTAAATTTCAACATGAGTTTTGGAGGGGGCAGATATTCAAACCATAGCAGATATCATTCATTTTAACTTATCAAATTCTTTTCTGATATAACATTAGAATAATATCAGTATGTTAATTACCTGTACCATTTTTACAGGGGCAAAATTACTAAGTTAAAGCTAGTTCTGATTTTCTTTCACCTGAATAAAGATGACTTTTAAAATCTTAACGTAATAAAATGGAAAGAAGAAAATATAGATTCTATGAATGAGTCCATCCTCCAGTGAACTTTCTTTTGGCCCATATTCTTCTTCTTCATGCAAACAGTGGTGACAAGTCACACAGTATCTCTGCCTTCCCTGTTTCTATACCACTACTGTTAAATGCTGAATTGAAGTCCACACAAAAGAAAACAATTAGTATATAAATTACTTTAGATTTTTCAAGTGTTTCTATTCTTTAATTTTAAGAAAATTTTGACTTGCTTAGAGATGTTTTCTGATCAATAAACTATCTTCTGCAGATGTTTGCAATGTATTGTAGATGGATTCTATACATGCAATACAAATGAGAATAACAACAATAATTAGTGATTAGAATACCTAATACTTATTAATACCTTACCAAATGCCAGGCACTGTTCTAAATGGTTTGCATGTAATGCCTCATTTAATCCTTATAACACCCTATGAGGTGGATAGTATCATTATCCCATTTACAGAATAAAGAAACTGAGGTACATTGAAATGAAACCATTTTCCCAGGTTCACAGAGACTAATGTTGCAGACCCCAGCACTGTTGATCATAACCACTATGCAATCCTGCCTATTAAGAAATAGTAAATGAGAATTGCTAAGTTATATATTCAACAGTTTAAAGGGGTTTTTTAAAAAAACTATAGAATTTCACAGAGAAATCTATCCCTCTAAAAAACTAACATCAAATATGAGTTTGAGCATATTGATCATAGTAATTCAATTACATATATTAAGTTTTTAGCAAGGATGCACCCTGTCAAGTTGATACAAAAAGAACTGGGTTGTAGCAAAATTAGATGTTGTAGCCTACTTGGAAATACTACTTAAATTTTTATCACTTAAAATCTCATTACCAACTAAGAAAAAGAATGAAATACTTGACATTTTGGTATCTGTGATATTAAAAAGAACTAATATTTAATATTCAAGTGGCAACAGCTTGTAGAGTTTGCACACAACACCCACAGGGATCGATTTTTCTCTAAAACGGCCTTCAGGAGTCTGCCTTTTAAACAGCTGACACCTCCATTCTCTGCATCCCTCTTTCCTGCCAGCACCATGGGGTGCTCACAGAGTGCAGCAGCAGACGTGTAATTCTTCACTGCAGGATTTGTCTTTGCAAATAATGGAGAATGAGGGAAATTAAGAAAAATGTAATTTCCACAGAATCGACCTCAGTGTAATCTCTGCTACTAAAAATGAATAGATGTCTTTAGAGGGCTTTTCTCCATATGCACTCTCAGTCCCTTTTATATACCATCTATGAGGAGAGAGAAGAATCATTCGTACCTAATTGATCGTCAGTCATTCCACCCCTGTACCAAGGCTGCATTATGACAAGTATACTGTTGCCTGGCATTTTTCCAGTATGGCTAATTGTCGCAGTACTAATTTACTTACCTGTGGAATATACAACTTCCCCAGCCTGCTGTCAAGAAGATGCATAATAATGGAATAAAGGATTTAAAATGCCGAATACTATAAAATATTTCACTTATCTTTCAATAGAAGGCTTTGACTAAGCCATGTATTAGGTGGCTATAATTACTCATTGCTGGAGTGTAAAACAAACAAAAACCTTGTCACATATACATTTACCTGGTAGAATGACAAGAATCAAGTGAACCAATCTTTTCTGATGTAGAGAAAAAAATACTAATCAGATTACCTAAAACATGTTCTTGATCTGCATGGTTTAGAGTAAATGTACCAGTTCAATTACTATTATATTCCGAATTACAAAACACTTCCTTTTTGTTGTTGTTGTTGTTAGTATTATTTAAGACAATGTTTTTTTTTTTTTTTTTTTTTTTGAGATGGAGTCTCACTCTGTCGCCCAGGCTGGAGTGCAGTGGTGCAATCTTGGCTCACTGCAAGCTCCGTCTCCTGGGTTCACGCCATTCTCCTGCCTCAGCCTCCCAAGTAGCTGGGACTACAGGTGCCCGCCACCACGCCCGGCTAATTTTTTGTATTTTTTTAGTAGAGACGGGGTTTCATTATGTTAGCCAGGATGGTCTCGATCTCCTGACCTCATGATCTGCCCACCTCGGCCTCCCAAATTTGCTGGGATTACAGGCATGAGCCACTGTGCCTGGCAAGACAATGTTTTTTCTATATCAAATAGTAAGACAAAGGAGTAATTTACTGTTTTTTTCGCCCAAAAATGTGGCAAAGTTTCTAAAGGAGATATAGGCATATATGGCTTTAATTGCATAAACTAGTAAACCAATTTGGGACATCTGTACCAAGCAATCTGGCCACCAGGATTTTTTTAATGGTAGATTGTGTTTTTGAAAATTAATATTTCCCATGGAAAAGTATCACTCAAAAGTATAATAGCTGACTTTTTTGTTACAGTTTGTTACAGTTCTTACAGTTGATGGCCCTCACTGGTACTTAGATATGTTTGACACATCTGTGAAAATGACCTAGCAACTGTGCAACTGTAATTTTTGTTATAACAAATGTCATTGTAGTTTTACCAGTTTTAACAAATATGCTTGATTGTTTATGATACAGGCAAAAATTTATAGATAAAGTTTAGGATTTCCTAAGGAAATTTGAATAGAATCGCTCATTTAATTCTTACAGTCTATTAAATACAAATTCTATAGGTTGCTGAATCACCCATCCTATAGTATTATTAGGTCCTCTAAGGAAAAAAAAAAAAGTTTTCTGGTCAAGTTTGGGAAATGCTGGATTAAATATGTATAGGCTTATCTTTATTGTTGCAAAATATCACTTTAAAAACTTTATTTCAGGCACTTTGATATGCTAATCTGCACTCCGAAAAGAAGGTGTATGGTCTTTTCCAACCTTATTTGACCCAAAGGTCCTATCACAGCTCATCTCTGAAGCCAAGAGTCTGCAGAGCTGGCTCTGCCTGACTCACGCCTGGCACATCTCAGGGATTCAATACATTTTAGCAAAATTTCAACATTATCCACTTTCAATTGAATTCAAATGGTCTGTGATATACTTTGCCTTAAACTTGTTCATGAGGATAAATATGCAAATAGAATCAGAAACACAAACTCATTTTTTCTACCAGATCTCAGCCCACATATTCCAAGGTAAAAGAGTAGCGCAATAATCCATTCTGGCACATTGACCTATGGCAACACTATTCCTTAAAATAGGATTTTTAAGCGGTAGAAAAGGAGAAAGAAAACAACAGCTTCCTACCCAGCACATGCCTTCCATTTAGCATGTCTGGAAGACCGTCTCCTTCGTTTCAAAATTGATAGCCAACTTTTTTTGTTGTTTTGCTATTCAAATTTCTGTCCTCTTTTTTCCCAGCCTATTTGCTCTAACACTGAATTTTAAGCATCTCTAAAAATGCTTGTTATGTTATTATTCTTTCCAGATATCCTCTGAGAGCCAAGCAAAGAACATTAAGGAAGGAAGGAGGAATGAGGCTGGATACGGTGCAGTGAAAAAGGCACTTCCAAGAGTGGGGCACTCACTACGCACAGACTCGACGGTGCCATCAGCATGAGAACTTACCGCTACTTCTTGCTGCTCTTTTGGGTGGGCCAGCCCTACCCAACTCTCTCAACTCCACTATCAAAGAGGACTAGTGGTTTCCCAGCAAAGAAAAGGGCCCTGGAGCTCTCTGGAAACAGCAAAAATGAGCTGAACCGTTCAAAAAGGAGCTGGATGTGGAATCAGTTCTTTCTCCTGGAGGAATACACAGGATCCGATTATCAGTATGTGGGCAAGGTAGGATTCCTTTGAGTGCTTTGACATTCTGGGTTTAAAGCCTGAAGAAGTTACTTCTAATAAATAGATGGGGAGGATGTGTACTATTCCCCAATATAGTAAGAATTGTTGCTTAACTGGTAAGACTTTTTTTTTTTCCACTTGAGTAGTTTCGGGAAGAAGACTAGCAAAAAGCTGAGAAATGTTAGCCCTGCAACAAAGAGAGAGAAAATGCTCCAGTTGAAACACCCACAACCATCCGCATAGGATTATCATAAATCCTTTAATTTTTACTGTAGCTTAAAAAATGTGGTCTGGCTATTCTATAAAGTAGGGTGTATTAAAAATCGGAATGGAGAGATTAAGCTGTAAGGAAAGGAAGTCTCCTTTTTCTCTCATTCTAAAAGCAAATGTTCTGAGCTATAGTCCTTTGGCCAAGTTCAAATTAACTACTTCTTAACTCTGCTACCTATAGAACCATCCATTCTCTGGCCAAATGGAGCCCTTTGCTGTCAAAACCCACCACTGCCTTAGATTTGGCAGCTGCTGCTGCTGCTACTGTTTAGTCTTATCTCAAATAGTTGGCAAAAAACAGGTATTTCAAAATCTTTTGATTTAACTGTGGCAAAATTTGTAAAAGAGAAAAATGCTTATGTAAAGGTACTCTTTCCAAATATCATCTGACCATTTTATTGACTCCAGAAAGTAAAGTGAGGAGGCATCACTTATTATAGCCCTCACAGATTCTGGAGCTGAGTCAGGGAAACAGCTTGGTTAGCCTGTCATCGTGAGTTTCGTTGGAATTTTATCATCAGCTCCATCCTTGTTGCAGAATATCTGCATACTGAAAAGATGTCAAAGAAAAAACCAGGGTTACAGGTTCTGTGCCTCATAAGGTAATGTTGATTTTTTAAAAATCATTGTCACACATCCCTTCATAAACAAACTGATAATGAACATAAAAAGATACATGAGAAAATGCATTCATTTGTGATTACAGCTATGATTTTAAGACATCTATATTAGGATATCATGCAAAAAACATACACTTTGCAGATTCCAAAGGCTGCATGTTCACACTTCAATCTGTGATCAAATATCCCTGAATAACCATATGTAAATATTCTCTTTAAGTATTTACCACCGTAAATGAAGGAAAGCCATCCACGGCTTGGGCTGATGTAACCAGGAAGTATTCCAATGATGTGAATTATTAATGTAGAATAAAGTAAGAGAGGAAGTATTCAGTGAAGGGGTGAACGTCAACACAGATCCCCAAGGATCTAGCCATGTATTTGCTGTGAAATTCACACTCTGTGTGACTACTAAAGACAGTTCAGCTACTCGTACTTCACTCCATTTCCTTTGTGAAATCTGAAGAACTCTAGGTGAATCAGGTGATGGTTGTAAAAAATAATCATCATCTTAAAATCTTTAAAGCACTTTTTACAACACAAATAGCATTGTTGCCATAGAAGATTAAGTTTTAAAAAGTGCTTTATCTAAATGATGTTTCCCCTTTTTCCTTTCCAGTTTTCCTCTCCAATTGTGATGCCATTTTACATCTATAATGCCACATATTCTTAAAAAAAAAAAAAAAAGCGGGGGGGGCAGGTTATTTCAGGATACTAGAAACAGCAGTGGCTAAAACCTCGTAAGAATCAGTTTTACAATTATAATTGTGAGAATATTGCCATGGGGAAAAGTTACAAGCTGTGGACTCAAACAGATCCGAGAATGTGTCACAGTGCTGCCAGTTGCCAATTATGTGACCTAGGACAGGTTGTTAACCTTTCTGGGCTTTCATTTCTTCATCTAGAAAGTGCATGCAGCAATGCCTACCTGGTGGAGTTGCAGTAAAGTGATAAAGGCACTAGTGACAGGGACAAAGTAGGTGCATAAAGAAGTTACTATTATTGGTAAAAAATCCGTTGTATATGTTCTACTAAATCCATGTGCAACACATTGAAGTGGCATATTGACTTTCATATCACTGCAGAAGTAAACTGAGGTAATTAACAAAGCTCAGTGGAAAATACACAGAATCATGGCAAAATCTCTTTACAACCACAGCTTTGACTGGATTCGTTGGATTTGGATATTTTATGGGCAGCTAGATAAATTTCCCTCCCTCTTCATCACCTGTCCTTCCCTGCTGCCCCTCCTTCTCCTCCTTGTAGTTATAACACATGAGATATTTGCTGGAAAAAAAAATCAAGGGCAACAACTGAATTTGTCAAAGTTGCCTCATGGCTGTATCAGACACGCGTTAGAGGTGGTTTTGAGCTGTTGATATGGCATTTCCTCAAATTCCTCTTTGAAGTTATATGATATAAACAGATGAAACAATTAGACTAGTATTTTTTACCACAATTAAAAATAATAGAAAAAAATACATTTTTAAAAAAGATAAAGGAGAGAGTTGCCCCTCATTTGTGGCCACAAGTTGGTCCACCTTTAATTTATCTGGGATAAAAGAGACACCTGATGCGATTATCCAGCTCCACTAGGTCAGGAAACTTTTGGCAGGAAAAAACGATTAGACCAGAGCAGAGGTTCCAAAACTTTCTTGGTTCACAGAGCCCTTAGGCTCAAAGAAATACCTTATAGTGCCATGTATTAAATAGTTAGACTCAAACAACTTAATAAGAATTTTTGTTCTAACAACTTAATAATTATTTGAAAAAATAATACACGTAAATTGACAAAAAAAATTATTTCACTCTTAACCACACTTACAAATGGTATGTGTGCATCTCTTGAGCACAGCACAATTTCTCAATCAGATCAAACACAGCCCTCTCATTTCCTTTTCCACTTTGATTTTTCCACTGTAATTGCTTTTTATCACAGCCACTATGGAAAACCCAGCTTTATAAATATAAATCATTGAAAGGAATGCAGCACCACCTACTGTTGAAACTGTGAATTACCTTGAGCTAGTAATTCGCAAGGGGTCTGCAGAGGTCACGTGCTGCTTATTTCCCTCCTTTTCCTTCCTTTTTTTTATTTTATTTATTTTTTCTTCTTTTTTGAGCTGGGGTCTTGCTCTGTCACCCAGGTTTAAGTTCAGCAGCGCAGTCTCCGCTTACTGCAGCCTCGACTTCCTGGGCTCAAGATGTCCTCCTGCCCCAACTCCCAACTAGCTGAGACTACAGACATGAACCACCACACCAGGCTATCCCTGAAAATTGTTAAATATTTCCTGGTCAGCTCCCCCCTGCAATCCAGGTTGCCTCAGTGCATACTCTGGGAACCACTAGAATAGTTCGCTTGACATATAAAGGTGTACCAAGGCTAATAGAACCTTTAATCATGCCATTCAAGCAGATTACTACTAAATAAAAATCACTCAGAGCTTAACATGGGTGCCTAACACTCAAAAGATCTATCTGTATGTGGAAGGATAGAAGCATTAACTGAGGAAAAGTAATGCTGTTGAGAAAATAACACTTAAAATAGAAGAAAGAAATATTTACCTTATAAACATCTGTTTGTGTTGATTTGAAATTATGATGACACAAATTAATTTGTGATAAGTCATCGTAGGATGGTGGAGTGAGGAAAATGAGAGTAAGTGAGGGAAACAAAAGGCTTTCAGGTGTAGAAGGGAGGAAAAAAGAGAGGGTCGTGGGTGGCGGTGGGGTTCACAACAGCCAATGACAAGAATAGACAAGATGGTGCTTTACAACTGAAGCACAAGCAACTGCAGCGAGACCTTCCTCCTCTGTCTTAACCTTCCTCAGCCTTCCACTGCGTTCTGTTGCCAGTGAGATGAATGCAGAGACACGGACAAGACAAGGTGGGGAGGAATAGTGGAGAAAGCCCATTATAGCTGAAATATTGACAAACCAAATTCTGATTTATAAGAAAATGTCAACAACCACTCACTTAAAATGGTAGTGGCAGGGACAAGTAACAGGATAGGAAGAAATAAGTGGTCCTGTGTCGGGTAAGTTTCTGAGTTCGTGAGTTTAAGATATAAAAACGGGATGTGATTGTTTTCTAAACCACATCTCCATTTGGGGGCTGCTTGGAGCTGCTTTAGCTTGAGTGGCATCTGTGGCACCTGGGAACTTGTTAGGAAGGCAGAGTCTCGGGCCCCACCTCCAATCTGAATGAATCAGAAATCTGCATTTTAACAAGATCCCCAGGTGAATCGTACGCATGTTAAAATTTGAGAAGTGCTGCTTTTAAAAATACCTTCCCTGGGTCTCACCTCCCCAGAAATTCTGATTTAGTTGGTTTTTAATTATTTATGATTCTAACATGTTGCCAAATTTGGGAACCACTGTCCTAGGAGGATGTTACTGCCAATCGTGATAACAGAATGTGGCAAGTTCAGTGATAAATTGGGCATCCACAAAGTGTTATCAAAATAAAAAGGAGAAGAGCCAACCAGGCTCTGGGGGCTCAGCAGAGCTTCCTAGGTGTTTGAACCCCATCTAAAGACAGAGCCGGTGTTAGCTTATACTGCAGAGGGAGAATTGCCAGGACCTCCCAATTAATCGGATGAAGAAGCCAAAGGTCCGAAAGCTGGAGTTCAAAGAGTGAGAGATTTAGAGATTGAACAACCAGCAGAGTGAATGAGTCCTAACACTGACACAGAAAACAAAGAGGTACATATTTTCTTGTCAGGGGCTAAAGAAAAGAGTATTTTATTTTTGTACAAAATCCACTTGGGTTATCTTTGGCTTATGTAAACTTAATATAATAGAAAAATAGAGGGAAGCCTTATAATTCCACATTTTCAGAGATCCCTGTAACTCTCTAGCCTGTTTTATGTAACATAGCAATTTCTTGATGATGATTGGTATATAGTCTAAGATTACATTCCATAAGAAAAAAAGAGCACAGGTAGACGTAGATACAGATTAGATTTTGAAGACATAGGCATTCATTAATACAAAGATGAATTTACTTAAAATACCAGAATTATGCCTAACTTTAGGCAGAAGATTTGCACAGTACCATTCAACAGCTACAGCAACACTTAATTCCCATCTGCTCCATTTTATCTTCCACAATGTTCTTTAACCCCTCCTTCCACACAATGTATACATAAGACCAGCCTCCACTAACGCATTCGAGGTGCTTCTATTTTTAGTAACATGCCAGGAAATCTGTTTTTATGGAATTTAATAAACTGTATATTTTCAAAGGTATTTTCTGATGGAAGTTGGTGTTGGTTTTGGGGGGATAGTTTTCAAAAAAATTGATAGGCTGTATTTTTTTAAAAACATTATGAAAATGTGGGTTCTATTTGAGGCCTTAATGTACAGGCTTTCCCAATATGCCTTTATCCTCAGTCTTTAAAATTAATGCCTACCCAATTCAATGAAGCCACTCTTCTCAAGATAATTAAACAGTAACGTTTTAACGGACCATAAAAATAAAAGTTGTCAGCCATACACACCTTTAAAATTAGAAATGAGCAATTATTTGTTACTATAATTACATGATCCAAATTAGTAAACATGAAGCAATATTTTATCCGTTCTGAAAGGTTACTTAAAAGATGCCATCGTTGAAATGTTGCTTTTTTAAATTCTTACACTAATTTTTTTTTCCTAAAAAGAGCATAAGCTGAAGAATAGAAACCTCCTGGCACTAATTCCATGCGTGATTCAGCGAGTCTCTGAACCACTTGTTGCTTCAAATAGCAATGTCAGATGAAAGCATCGTCATAGCTGATATTTTCCGAGCATTACTTTGTTCTAAACCCTGTCCTAAGTGCTTCAAGTGGGTTATCTCGTTGGATCCTCGCAGCAACCCTAATGCATGGGTATTGTTTCCATACAGATGAGTAAACTAAGGCTCAGAGCAGTCAAGTATTTCAGGCCATTGTCTCACACTGCTAAGACCCCGACAGACGATACTGTCTGACCACCTAGCTACTCAGTTATACACCCTCGCCTGTATGTCCACTTTGCAAAGCCATTTTGAAGCACAAGTGAAAAAAACCCGGAACATGCGTTGGTGTTCAATGATTGCATTCTACGCAATACCACAAATACTTATTGAGAATCTATTGTGTGAAACCCAAAGGTAGAGAAAAAAAAATTTTTTTAAAGGCTACTTTTAAAGAGCTGCACGAATGTCTGCCTTATTGTTATGCACATTCCTTTCACTTTTTAATTTCCAGAACACATTAGTGGTATTCAAAATAGTTACATGTGAGCATTTTAAAAGTAGATATGCAATTAGTGATCTTTCTGGTCATTGTGATTTTTTTTTAAGCGTCTTTTTCTTTCCCTTGATAACCCTCTCTAAACTTCCGTTCTGGTTCAATGACCTGCAATAATCTTTTCTCCCTGAATCAGGGCAAGTGCCTTGGGCACATCTCTCGTCTTCATCATTTAAATTTAATGCTCAGCCATTTAACTAACATTTTTATGTTTCTATGAGTTAGCACATTTAAGAAAAAGTGCATGCATACACTTGCTCATTGGATATACTTCTTAGAAAATATTTCTAGAAGTAACTTCTCAACAGCCATTATTGGCAATAATCCTCATTTGTTTCCACTGAAAGTGAAACCAACTGATTTCACTTTCTTAATGACAAAAGTTTCAATCTGCTATTTAATACTAAGAAAACGTCTTCTATAGCAGCAATTTTCTGGCTCTTAAACTTCCCTCTGTGCACAGTAGCTCATGTGGAAAGCAGAAAAGTTAGAATGTCTGGCCTTGATCATAAAGCCAAGGTAACTCTTACCCTGGCCAGCCGCACAGCAGAGTAACAGAGAAAGCCTCACAAGGAACCGATCCCAGATCCTCCGGCTTCCATTTCATCATGCCTGTGGAATCCTAGAGCCTCCTGCTCGAATTTAGTTTGTTGAACAAAAGGGAGGGATCGAGCTGGGCATGTGGCTTACGCCTGTAATCCCAGCACTTTGGGAGGCCGAGGCAGGCATATCACTTGAGGTCAGGAATTCGAGACCAGCCTGGCCAACATGGCAAAACCCCATCTCTACTAAAAATACAAAAATTAGACGGGCGTGGTAGCGCATGCCTGGAATCCCAGCTACTCAGGAGACTGAGGCGTGAGAATCACTTGAACCTGGGAGGCAAAGGTTGCAGTGAGCCGAGATCTCGCTACTGCACTCCCAGCCTGGGCAAGAGAATGAGACTCTGTCTCAAATAAATAAATAAATAAACAAGGAGTCAAAGTAAAGAAAAGAGTGAAGAGTTTGGATCCTTTTTGTTCCCACTGTAGCTGTTACTTCCACACTCCAACAAGTTAAACAGAGGTAGAAGTTGTTGCAAGGTTAGAGAGGCTCCCGTGCTCATTTTGGGCACAGCCCTTTGAGTCTATTCTATAGGCATTGTTAAGTATTTCTTTATTGATCAGCATAACTTGTTCGTAGTATTAGTAAACCACGTAGATACTGATTGCACCAGAGTTCTTCATTTTTTTGTCATAATATGGTCTGTAGTAGCAGATAAGAATATAAATAAGCTGAATGCCAACATCCTAGTTTACATTTCTTTCAAAATCAAGATCTCTAATTGTTTTCAACTTCATTTTAGATTCAGAGAGTACATGTACAGGTTTGTTAGCTGATTATATTCCGTGAAGCTGAGGTTTGGGGTATGGCTGATCCCATCACCCAGGTACTGAGCATAGTACTCTACAGTTAGTTTTTCAACTCCTGCCCCTCTCCCTCCCACCTCCCTCCCCACTCTAGTAGTCCCCAGTGCCTATTGTTGCCATCCTTACGTCCATGAGTACCCGATGTTTAGCTCCCGCTTATAAGTGAGAACATGCCATATTTGGTTTTCTGTTCTTGTGTTAATTCACTTAGGATAATGGCCTCCAGCTGCATCCATGTTGTTACAAAGGACATGATTTCATTCTTTTTTATGGCTGCATAGTATTCCATGGTGTATACAGACCACATTTTCTTTATCCAGTCTACCACTGATGGGCACCTAGGTTGATTCCATGTCTTTGCTATTGTGAATAATGCTGCATTGAACATGTGAGTCCATGTCTCTTTTTGGTAGAACAAAAATCCCTAATTTTAATTTTGACTAAATTTTATTTCAAAAATCAGATAATAAATTCCTGACATACTGTAATCAAGCATCAGTAGATTCCTAAACCATGGGTGTTTTTCATTTCCATTGATATGAAAAGCCAAGAATACATTGTAACCAGAATTATACATTTAACTTTTAGAGGCCTCAACCTCTCTAGCCAAATTTTAAAATGTCTTCCTTATGTTCCACCCACATTTACCAAAAATAAACAGACATACGGGAGGGGTCCTCCCTTTGACAGCCTTCATCAAATTAGGAGATTATGTTTAGATGTCAATGTGCCATTGCAACCTCGAGGGGGCAACTCTGTGTGTGTTGGTGTAGGCTGCTGGGCGCAAACTCCCATCTTCCTACAAGCTTTTATTTTGCCAGTTACCAAGATGACAATAAAATGTAACCGTCATGAACATGCTAAATACATCAGCGTTCTTTGCAAACCTTTCTTTCCATCTAGAATTGAAGATCAAAAAGAAGTACAGAATTCCCCATAAGAAAATTAGAGCTTTTTTATCACAATTATCAATACATAAGTAAAAGTAATGGGTATTCTCAAAGGCCCATGTAAGGAGTCAAATTTGAAATTATGTGACCTGGAATAAGAAGCAAAGAAGCATGCCAAAATATTTCCCAGGGAAAGCATTTATAATTTCTTCCAGTTTTTTATTCACAGAGAATATATATGCTCAAAAAAGAGAGGCATTTTAAAAGATTAAAATATATACATATAAAAATATGAATAAATATTTTAGGTGAGTTGGTGTGTTTCAAAGGACTTGAGGGCAGTGATAAGGGCATAATAAAAAGCTTGAAATATCACTCTGAATATGGGATTTAATGCCCACTAGAGGGAATGGAGATTGGAGTTAAGAAGGTAGTTGAAGAAGTTATCTCAGTTATGGCCTTTTTGGAATAGATTTGGAGAGAAAATGCTTTTCATTCATTCAACAATTACTTGCTAGAGAGTGTAAGTCCATAGCATGAGCAGACTGTCTATGTTTCAGCCTCAGCTGCACTTCTGACTACGTGTGTAATATTAGGCAAGTAATTTAATCTCCCTGTGCCCCCTCGATTCCTCAACTGTTAAATGAAAGGAGTCATAAAATTATTGAGGTGAGAATTAAATAACTTAATACACAGAAAAGGCTTAGAACGGGGCCCAAGATATCACACTTACCAGTAAGGAACTAAAGCAAGATCCACGTAAGGAGGGAAGGTGCCCTGCTGTGAAGTGTGCCTTCAAAGAACAGGTGAAATGGAGAGAAAGAAGAGCCAAAGGTGAACAGGTGATCCCACTGATGGCCAATGTTGTGAAGCCAAGTATTATGGGTCAGAAGATGCTGCCAAAGCAGTGAAGGCAGCTGAGTCTGATGCATTAACAGCAATTCGGGGCATGAGTTTATATAAAAATATGAAGTTGCCTTTATTATTCTAACTATAAGAAAAATAATATGCACACGACACCTCACATTGTTTGATGATCCCTGGCAACTGGTAGATTCCCCTCTATTTAAGGATATTTATCCTTTCATTTGAAAACATCATCACTTTATGGTACAATTTGGGGTTTATATTATTTCAATTGCCATGAATGTTATTATAGAATCCGGTTAACTCTTGTTTGTTTGTAATAAGAAAGTTTAAGGCACCCAACAATTTTTTAAATGATCTTTTCACTTGGGTTATAATAAGGTTTTAAATAGGAATCGTTATCACAGTTAAGTTAGGATTAATATCGTAATCTCCTTATATAATTGAACCAAAGTTTTATTTTGAGAAAATTACTGTTGATTTAATTATTTAATTACCCTGAATGTTTCACCTTTTTAAGAGCAGAATAATTAATTCTTTGTTTAAGGTTGAACTTTGACCTTAAATATATTGAGCAGTGTTTCAAATTGGATCCCAGGCCTACTCTTTCAATTAGCACTTCAGATATCGAATGCAAACTCTGGAATACTTACATCTTTGCAAACTCTGCAAGACCCTAGCCTACATGTCTTACTCATCCTTATATACCCAGTAGTGCCTAGCACATATTTTTGCACATAAAAACAGCCAAATACTACTTGAATTAAGCTACAGTGAGCACAGAATATTAAAAAACCACCTTGTTATCTAAAAACTACCTTCCAATTTTTCCAGCTTTATTGAGGTATAATTGACAAAAATTATATATACTTAGGGAGTACAATATGATATTTTGATATACGTTGTGAAATGATTACTATCATGTTAATTAGCATATCCATTACCTCACATAGTTACCATTTGTGTGTATGTGTATTTGTGTGTGTGTGATGAGAACATTTAAGATCTATTCCCTTAGCCAATTTTAAGTATACAGTATTATATTAACTATAGTCTCCATGTTGACATTTGATTTCTATGCCTCCCAATTGATTGATGCAATGGTTTGATATGAATATCTTTGATAGTGTTTTGCAGCATTAGCTTAACAATGGAAAATCTAATGTCTTTAAAGTTCAAGGATGTTTTAGATAGTAAACATATAAACCAAGTGTGTTATGAAAGTCTTTCTATGAAAACTACCTCTGGAAATTTCATATCAAAATGGCACAAATATTTTATGATACAAAAGAAGAAAACTCAAGCTTCCTTAGTGCAAAACAAGGGAACTAAAGACAACATGGTGGTCCGTGCACAAACTAACAAGAAAAATAAGAAAAGATATAACAAATAATATTGTATCATGAAAGCTGGTTCCTTTGAGACTTTTACAAATTAAAATCAGACATTATTTAGGGTCTCAGTAGAAGAAAGTTTGAAACAAAATGAGAAAAAGGCAAACAGATTTGGCCAATGGAAAACAAATTTATTTTTCTTAAAATTGCTAAGAAGCTACATTGTACAGACAATTCAAGTGTTCAGCAAAAGAGAAATCATTTAAAACCTGAGATTGTTGATTGCAACCATTCACAAAAATATCAGCTATAGAGAGAAATGTGATAATATAGGGACAGAAAAATTATATGTAATGACATTCTTTTTTTAACCAACTATATATCTTTTAATCAACATATTTTGAGTTCTCACAGAAAACAATCATTTCTGGAAAATAATCTCATCTTAATGCTTTCTACTACTTATGAGTACAAATCAGAAAAGAAGCACAAAAGAGGAAATGTAGAGAAAATCCTGCTTTAAAATACAGTTACACAAAGCTTTAGCATGCTGGATTGTTTTGTTTTCATAAATTGTGAAACATAAAAATCTGGCTCATTTCCTTATTATTCTAGAGCATGAGGCTTTTTGAGGGGTCAGAGGTATTAGGGGTCAATGAGGATCAACATCCCCCAGGCAGCAAAGTTCCCCTTTAAGAAATAAGAAAAGCATTATACTTGAACATTGAACAACCCAAGGGTTCAGGGCACCAACCTGCATAGTTGAAAATTCTTGTATAACTTTCAACTCCCCAAAAACTTAGCTACAAATGGCCTACCATTGACTGGCCGCCTTAACACATATTGTGTATGTTATATTTTTATATACTGTACTCTTAAAGTAAGCTAGAGAAAAGAATATATTTTTAAGAAAATCATGGCTGGGCACAATGGCTCATGTTTGTAATCCAAGCACTTTGGGAGGCCGAGGTGGGTGGATCACCTGAGCCCAGAAGTGCCAGACCAGCCTGGGCAACATGGGAAAACTCCATCTCTACCAAAAAAGAAAAAAATTACAAAAAATTAGCCAGGCGTGGTGGCATGCACCTGTAGTCTCAGCTACCTGAGGTCGGAGGATCTCTTGAGACCAGGAGGTCAAGACTGCAGTGAGCAAGATCATGCCACTGCACTCTAGCCTGGGTGACAAAGTGAGACCCTGCCTCAAAAAATATATATATAATAATAAAAACTAATAAGAAAATCATAAGAAAGGGAAAATATGTTTACTATTGATTAAGTGGAGGTGGATCATCATAAAGGTCTTCATCCTCATAGCCTTCATGTTGGGGAGGCTGAGGAAGAAGGAGGGGTTGGTCTTACTGCCTCGGGGGTGGCAGAGGCAGAAGAAAATCTAAGTATAAGTGGACGCATACAGTTCAAATTCATGTTGTTCAAAGGTCAACTGTACTTTCTTATGCTGTTTGTGCCTTGACTGTTCTGTCTATCCTCCCAACCACATATATCATGTTAAAAGAAAAAACAAAGGGCAGCTATTTAGCTTGTATTAAAGCTATGATCTTGCTGATTACCAATCCACTTGCCTCTTAAAGGAAAATAGAGTCTTCAAGTCAAATCGAGAAAATTCAGTGACTTGGGCAAAGTTGAGTGGTGGTACTTCATTTCATTTTATCTCCTTTTCAACAGTAGACATCGCTTCCCTGAGTTTTAAAATGATAACGTGGCCATTGAAATCTTGACTGCCACGCAAACCAGCAATTAACACCTGAAGAAGGGGAAGGTGTAGGGTGGGAGAGAGAGAAAAGAGAATTCAACACAAGAGAAAGTATTCCCTGGCAGGCTACGAGTCATCACAGATTATCTTTTAGCAGAGTTTCATGGCAGAAAACTTGTAGTGAAGATAGGGAGCAATGATAATATTGTCTCGCATTGTGTCGAGCTTTACAGCTTATAAAATGCTGTCACATGTACAAGCATTCCTCAGGTGATCCACATAACCACTCTCTAGTTGAACTTTCTCAGGGGATCCACATAACCACTCTCTAGTTGAACATGATTCATTCCTTTTGCGTGTAAGCAAACACAAGCTCAGAGGAGTTCAGGGACCCCAGGGCCATTGCCAGCACAGTACCAAAGCTGAGGCTAGAGTTCAGCTTTCTTGAGGGGTTTAAGTCTGATACTCTTTCCCTATATCACATTATTAAGTTATTAAAGTAGCAGAGAGTATTTCAGATACGGTGGGCAAATGAAACAATGACATACGTGGGAGGGAGAGGAGCACAAATTTCATGCCACTGACATTGCAGTGAGGAAACTTTCCCCAGCGGGGTCGTCAGATAGTATGAATTTCTCTTTGCTAATGTTTCAGTTGGTTTCTTTAACTGAAAGAGGAGGAGGGGGAGAAGGAGAGCTTTTGAAATGGAGGAGGAAGAGGAGAGGAGGAGAAGAAAAAGGACAACAGAGAAAGGAGAAAGGAGAAAGGGAGCTTTCAAAATGAGGAGGATGAGGAGAGCTTTTGAAATCTAAGCTGGCTCCCAAGCAAAAAAAAAAAAAACTAATAAATGAGCTCATTATCTTCTTTCCTAGAATCATTTGCTATTAATTCCCTGATGGTATGAGAGGTTATAGAATTCAATTTACTCATCATTTATTGTGCACATACAGGATGCTTGAGAGTTATGAATTCAAGTAAAAAAATAGTCATTTGTCTTATAGAGATACATAGCTTTAACTTTTTAGATCCTAAGTAAAAGTCAACATAAAAGAATATAATATCCAACATATTTTTTACCTTTCAGGAAGAACATGTTTTAGAAAAAGTCCATTTGCTATTAAGGAACACATTTTTTTAAATTTCTGCCCTTTGAATTATCATATCTCAAATGCCTGCATTTTATCTATTGATACTCTCCTCCAAGACATATGTGTCAAAGAGAAAGAGAGAGAGAGGGAGAAAGAGAAAGGGGGCTGGGGGAGTGTGTGTGGGGGGTGTGTTTGTGTGTGTGTGTCCTTTTTTGGTGATTGCTGAAGAGGTTACACTATAAAGCAAAAAAGGTAGCATTCTAACTGGTGAGTTACAACGCCTTACTCAATCAATTTTTGACTGGGATCTGGCTCTCAGCTTGATTTACCACTGGCTTTCTGAAAATGAAAATGTTAGACTAAGCAGGAGCTGAGACTAATGTCACAGTCTGCCAAGGCAAGAGGGACCTTGGACTTCAAAAGCCAAGCATAAAGCAGTAAACAATGCCTTTTTGGGGAAATAACTTTATGCAGTTAATAAACTAAAAGGCATTTGTTTAATTGACAAATCCTGAATGAACAATAACATTTATTATAGTTTGTATCATTTGTGGCAGTAGAATTTACAAATAACTTAGCCTGGGGTCTGATAATAAATACAACGAATACAGAAATGTTTATAATCAGTGTGGGGAGGGTTGCTTTGATGTGAATGAGAATAGACTTTGGAGTCAGGCAGGCCTTGGTATCCTTTCTGGCTCTGCGCTTAACTTTGGGTAAATTACTTAATCTCTCTGGCCTCAGTTTCCTAATCTGAAAAAAATGGAGAAAATAAAAGTTACCCCCTGGAGTCATTGTGAGAATTAATGCATGCAACACACCAACCATTTTTGCAGTACCTGATACACAGTAAAGTGTTCAGGAAGGGTTAGTTTTCCTCCCTCCTCCACTGGGATTCTTGAAGGACCACACGCAGTTTCAGTTCACGTTGAATTTCAGAAATATGGAGCTACTGTCTTAGTTTCTTGTTGCTGCTGTAACAAGTCACCACAGATTTGTGGCTTAACACAATATAAATTTATCATCTCATAATTCTGGAGGTCAGAAATGGGTTTCACTGGGCTAAAATCAAGGTGTCTGCAAGATGTCTTTATGGAGGCTTCAGGGAAGGATCCATTTCCCGTCTTTTCCAGCTTCTAGATACCACCTGCATTCTTTGGCTTCTCAGCTCATGGCGCCTTCCTCCGTCTTCAAGCCCAGAAGCATAGAGACTTCAAATTCTCTCTCTCTCTTTCTCTCTTCCTCTCTCTCTCTCTCTGTCCTTGGCTCCTATCATCACATTTCCATCTCTCACTCCAACTCTCCCCTCTTTCCCTTGTAAGGACCCTTGCAATTACCTTGGGCTCACCTGGGTAATCCAAGATAATCTCCCCATCTCAAAATCCTTATCTTGATCACATGTGTAAAGTTCTTTTTGCCATGTGAGGAAACACAGTCACAGGTCCCGGGAATTAGGACATGGACATCTTTGGGGGAGCAGGTGCATTAGTCTGCCTACTACCACTATTATCACTCTAAAGTTTTGTTCATTTAAGTTACTCTGGTACTTTTGACATGAAATTCAAGGTATTGAGTGTAAAAAATAATTGTCAAGGGAATTAGTAAATTTCTGCTGTGTTTAGGCTTAAACTTCTTTTGCTTTTAGCACTTTGTCAAACATTCTCCTCCACATGACACAAGGTCTATTTCAGGGGTTATTAAATGTAACAAAAAACAAAAAATTGAATTGAGTAGGGTTATACTGAATCTCTGCAAATACAGATCCCTTATGGTATTATTTAAGTGTATTTTAAAAGTCACAAAGTACACATTGATAAGAAAGATGGAAGGATGGATGGATGGATGGATGGATGGAAGGAAAAAGAGAGAGAGACAGACAGACAGATTTAAGTTTGATCAATGTTCTCAATTTTCTGACCCCAGGGGACATTTGGAAATATCTGGAGACATTTTTGGCTGTCACATCTTGGGAAGACGCTACTGGCACCTAGTAGGTAGGGACAAAGGACTCTGCTGAACATCCTATAATGTATGGGACAGCTCCCCAAACAGTTACCTAGCCCAAAATGCCAATAGAGCAGAGACTGAAAAACACTGAATTAGATAATTCGTTGTAACTCAAAATATTGTTTGGTACAGAGTAAGCTTTTAATGAATGTTTACAGAACTAAATGTAAAAACACAGGGAAAAAAATGTGTTGTGGTTAATAGAGTAGGCCACCTGGACTCAAATCTTGCTCTTATTCATCGTGCCATGCTGAGAAGTGATTTACCTCCTATATTGCCTCAGTTGCCTCATCACTTAAGCGGGGATAAGAATAGAATCATAATGAGTAACAAATTATGTAATCTTTGTGACCAGTTCAGGTCATGTCCCGGCCCATGATATGGGCTTAACAAATGTCTGCTATTATCATTTTTCCAAATCCCAGCCAGACCAATTGCCAGATGATGAATCACAAAAGAGAAGACTTTGAAGATAAAATATTTACACCATTATAAAAATCAATTAAATCATTTCTACTATATAGGAAAATACAAATATGGGGGGTCATAAGAGCCAACATGGTGTAATAGAAAAAGAACAGGAGATATGAAGGCAGCCTGATCCCAGGTTTTGTCAGAAAAATAGATTTTCTAGATTCTCTCTTTTTTTTATTTTTTTTAAGATGGAGTCTCACTCTGTCTCCCAGGCTTGAGTACAGTGGCACGATCTCAGTTCACTGCAACCTCCGCCTCCTGGGTTCAAGCGATTCTCCTGCCTCAGCCTCCTTAGTAGCTGGGCCTACAGGCAGGCACCACCACGCCCAGCTAATTTTTGTGTTTTGGGTAGAGACAGGGTTTTGCCATGTTGCCCAGGCTGGTCTCAAACTCCTGAGCTCAAGCAGTTCACCCACGTTGTCCTCCCAAAGTGCTGAGATTACAGGAATGAGCCACCGTGCCCAGCCCTATTTTCTAGATCCTTTTCAAGCCCATTTTGTAGATCAAGAAATAAGCTGGCCAACCAAAATAAAACTCACTAATTCCATGTATAAATGTAGTCACCAAGCATTACTTGCAGCATGCTCTGGCATGTAGGTCATTTTTCCACCCCAGCTATCTCAATGGGGTTTGTACTAGGAATTGGCCCTTCCATCTACTGAAGTTTGTATGGTAGGACATTCCCAAAACCAAGGAACTTCACATTCCTGGATGTCAAATAACACATACAAAGACTTATTTCTACTGCCCTGAGACACATGAATCTGAATCCACAGGGTGGAACAGTGGCAAGGTTTGGGTAAAGGTGAAAGCAGAGTGGGTTTTTCCCACTTGCCCTGGGGCGATCACGTGGTGAGGGAGAAGCCCTGTTTCATTCCCATGAGCCTTCCTGGGCTTCTCCAGAACAAGAAGGGGGTGGATTGATCCAATAGATGGTCCAGTAGAAGGACAAAGAAATCCTGTAGCTAGGACTACATGTGCTAAGGGTGACAAAGAAGACATAGCCAGACCTCGAGGGCAGTATGTGATGCCAGTGAGGGACGTGAGATGTAGCTATTCACCTTGATCACTGGAGAGCAAAGGTCATGATCTGCCAGAACCACAGATGCCACTGAGGAAAGTAATACATAAGAGATATTCTCTAGAGACCAGAGGATCAGAGGGCAGCATGAGGACTATCCTTGGCTCCAAAAGCCCCCAAATTCCTCACTGGCAAAGGCCATGTGGCTTCCTCTCCTTCATACATGCAGATGTCATCTCGGACTGGATCAGGAGCAAAGCAGGAGGAGAAAGAAACCAGAAAGACTGGGATTTATCCTAAAGAGACCGTATTACTGAATCAGGAAGATTTTATTGGGATTGCACTAAATTACTGAGTTGATATTCAACCTGTATTGAGCTTCTAATCCTCAATGGCACTAGAGCTTGAGGGAAAAGCTATAAACAAAAATAATTATAAGGAAGCTGCATCTTTCCTTGCACATTTGAGTGCAGTGTGAGAAAATATGTGACCCTGCAACTTACGGGAAGGAGTGTTTCTATTTTTGCTGACTTTATGGCTTTTCTTACCCCAGGCACATACTCAAGACCTCTTCTGATTTTCTCCCACACTGAGCCTTGAAACCATGCCATGTGCTCATATCGGTTGCTAAATCATTTTTCTCCCATCAGTAGTCTAAGCTTCTCCAAGAAGTCTTCCTAAACCATCAAAGAGCTTTCACATTCCCTGATTCAGTCTTCTCCAACTTACAAGTTCCTTCTATGCTATTCTCCAGCTTTTTACTTACCTTGTGAATCCTAATACCTAATAACAGTAAAGTGTCTAATTTCTGCTTTTTTCTGTATATTTTATTCCAACGTAAATGGCAAGTTTATAGAAGGCAGAGTTTAGATGCTTTTATTCATTGCTTTATGCAACTGGTCAGACCAATTAGTGTTTTTAAATGGTTGTGGTTGACAGAATTAAATTATTTTATTATGAAATAATGTTTCCATGAAATAGAGCATTTCTCTTTAGTTGCTGCAACAGGAGGATACTTGAAATATAGTTCGGTAAAATCTTGCAGCTTTTTCACCATTAACAGATGACTTCTGACCCAGCATCCAATGTATTTATGATGGTCAATGAATTCAATGTACTTACAATTGGTCCATTTTTGTCAACAAATCCAATACAAGTTGGCTTTACTATTGTGTTGAAGTTGAATTTGTTATTAAAGAAATGCTTTCAGGTCTGAGGCAATAACTTGAATTACCTCCTCAGATTGTTCAGATTAGACCATGTGTCTAATGTTTAGTAGTAATTGATAAATTATCTGGCAATTTCAGGAACGTATATTTTTGATCTACAGAATTATCCTAAAGTCAAGAAAGAGTATAGAGGACACTAAGATTTATTGAGTGTCTGCTATGTGCCAGAAACCTTCACTGATCATTGATATCTTATCCAATTTAATTTTTACAAGATTCATTTATTTATTCTTTCATTCATTCCTTGCTATCATTGACTATTAGTGTCTATAAAGTGCCTGTATATCAGGCTCTGAGGATACAGAAGTGACCTAGACAGGTTTGGTGCCTTCCTTTATGAACCTGCAATCTAGCTTGGAAAACAGCTGTGAAACACATCATCAGCAACAATAGAATGTGCTGATGGCTAAGTGGGGAATGAATTGATTGCATATAGGAGGAGACTGTAACTTAGACCAGCAGCTTAAGGAAGGCTTCTCTGAGGTGATAAAGATTAAGCAGACCTGGCACAAGAGTTGGCTTAACTAGGTGAGGATATTAAAAGGGATTGATGTCAAGGGAACCACATGCAGGAAGGCGTAGCTACGAAAGAGCTAGTTAGTGATGTTATCTTCAAGAAACTGCAAGAAGTAGGGTATGGCTGGAACCAGGAGAGTTAAGGGGAGAACGATGGCTGATGAAGCCAAAGAGAGGAGGAGCAGAGGCCGTGCCGGGCTTTGGAGGCCATGCGAAGGGGTGGGGATGAGGGCTTTATCCCAAGAGTAAAGAGGACACTGCAGGATTTAATTAGAGGAGACTGGCATCTTCAGAGTTGGTGTTGTTCTTAAGTTGATCTAGTTACAGAAAGGAAAATCTAAAGAAAGCAAGCCTGGGTGTGTGTTTGGAGGGCCTCCTTGCAATAGACCAATGAGAAAAGGCAGTAGCATGGACCAGGGTGACAGCAGTGAAAATGGGAAAAGGAAAAAAGTAGGTGAATCAAGATATACATAAGAGGTAGAATTGACTAGAGTTGGTGGCTTAATGAATGTGGGGATAGTGGCAGAGGGTATGGCCTAGGATGACTCCCTGGTGGCTTTTACAGAGATGAGAGGAGGAAAATGATTTGGAGAGAAGGTGATGAGGTCAATATTGGATGTGCTGAGTGTAAGTTGTCTAAGAGAAAGAGGTGACTATATTCTTGACTCCAGATCTCAAGAAAATGTTCTTCCCTGGGGTAACAGATAGATTTAGGCACTGATGGTACAGAGATAGCAATTGAATCCATGAAAAGAGATAGAGGATCTCATGTGGGGAGAGCATGTGAAAGGAGGGAGACAAGGACCAAAGACACAGGCCTACAGGATACCAGCATATAAGGGGCAGATAGAGGAGGCAAAGTTAATCATTTCCAGTTCTATATTAGGACTGAATGGAGACTAAGATCAGTTAATTTATTTCACTGATTGATAGGAAAGTCAGAATTCAGATCCAAATCCCACCACTTTCCCAAAATCCACCTTTGGATATTTGGTGTTTATGAATTCAAGAGTAATTTATTGAAGGTTTTCTCTGAGGTAGGCCCTCTACTAAGCATCTTACATACATTATTTTATTTATTGTCTGAGAAACCTACTTGTAAATTAAGTATTATTATTATTCCCATCACATGGATGAGGAAATAAAGGCCTGGAGAGGTTAACTAAGTTCCCCAAGGTTATGTGACAAGTACAGAGCATAAATTTACACTCACCTCTTTCCCTTGCCTGTGTCCATGCTAGTAAGTACTATGATTGTACTAGTTAAGGCAGTGGCTCTCAAACTTGAGCACTCATCAGAACTACCTAAGGAGTTTCTTAAAACACAGCACTGGTGGGCATCCCCTGAGTTTCTGATTCTGGAGGTAGGTGGGGCCAGAAATTTGCATTTCTAACTAGTTCCCAGGTAATGCCAATGTGGCTGGTCCAGGGACCGCACTTTGAGAACCACCGACTTAGGGTCAACGCAGAACTACAATAACAACAACAAAACTTCAAAAACATAATGGTTGTAGTGCAATGTCTTTTTTTCCTCTTTCACATTACAGGCTGGTCGGATATGAGGTTATTCTAGAACCTGGGTTCCTTCCACTTTGTGGCTTGCCATCCCCTTGGGCACTGTTCTCATCAGCCTGGTGGAAACCAGGTCACTGCCTCATTTACATTGCAACCTGTGGAAAAAAGAAAAAATAGGACTAGAGCAAGCCAATTCCTGCTAAACCAGGGACACTGAAGTTGCACCCTTTACATTCACACATATTACAATGTGAAAACTGAATCACAGGGCTGAACAGCCACACACCCAGCTGACCCACAGCTGGGAACCTGCCACAATCATATGCTGCCATCAGCTTTCTAATTGGTAAAATAATCATCACATATAAATTAGTTAACTCATGCCAAATTATTAACATTCAAATACAGCAGAATAAAATGTGTCATATGGAATTTTATTAAAATGCACTTTTGATTTACCTAATCCTATAATCTCTAAAACAGAAGCAACTCTAATCCCTGCCATGTACTTCAAGCAAGTTCAATTTCTTCCTGATATAAACTCTACCCAACAAGCTTTTCCCAGCCTTCACAACACTGTCTATTTATTAGCATTACGTATACATGCATTATATATAAAGATGTATGTATACATGTAGACATCTATACGTATACATAGATATTGATGCAGTTAAGCCTCAATTTGTCATAATTTGATTGATTGTGCTAATTTAAAGTAACATTCCACCTATTTAACACAAAGATGTTCTCTCTCTCTGCTGTAATTCCTGTTTCTTTCCTCAATCCCAGACAGCATCTTTTCAACACCACTGTTCTCTAATTGTCTTATAATAGCTCAGATTAGCAACCATAACATTTCTTAAAGAGCAACATTACATTTGCACTACACCGTACAAGTCCTTAGCCATAATTCAATATTTCATTTTAGCCAAACATCACTTCATACCTTTTCTAAGCCCACGTAAGGCTGCTGTAGGTACTTTTCTATGTGTGTCATCTAGGTAAGCTTTTGTTTGGATTGTTTTTGTTGGGGGGAGAGGGGGTTCTTTTATTTAATTTTTATTTTAGATTCAGAGGGTACATGCACTTGTTACGTGAGTATTACACGTGTAATGGTGGGGGTTGGGCCTCTAGTGTACCTATCACCCCAGTATTGGACATTGTACCCAGTAGGTGATTTTTCAGCCATCACTCCCCTTCTTCCCCACTTTGGAGTCCCAGAGTCTATTTTCCCCATGTTATGTCCATGTGTACTTTTTGTTTAGCTCCCACTTATAAGTAAGAACATGTGGTATTTGATTTTCTGTGTCTGTGTTAGTTCATTTAGGATAATGGCCTCCAGCTCCATCCATGTTACTGCAAAGGACATGATTTCATTCTTTTTTACAGCTTTGTAGTATTCTGGGGTGTATATGTACCACATTTTCTTTATCCAGTCAACTGTTGGTGAACACATAGGTTGGTTCCATGCCTTTGCTGTTGTGAATGGTGTTATGATAAACATATGAATGCAGGTGTCATTCTGATAGAATGATTTCTTTTCCTTTGGATAGATTACAGAATGATCTACTGAATTGCTGGGTCAAATGGTAATTCTACTTTTAGTTCTCTGAGAAATCTCCATACTGTTTTCCATAGAGATTGAATTAATTTACCTTCCCACCAACAGTGTATGAGAGTTCCCGTTTCTCCACACCCTCACCAACATTGTTTGGACTGTTTTCTGTCTTAACAATGCATATGCTGCGGAGATTGCATTTGGTCACTGACTCAGATGGTGACTTGGGGACACACAGGAAATGGGAGCAATAAGGCAGCATTAGCTGGCTTCATAGACGACTAAAAATCTTTGTTATGCCTTTGAATTTGATTTAAAGTCAAGTTGGAATTCAGCACATTTAGCATGTAAAAACATGCTGTGTCCCCAGGAAACCACAACACCCAGCAGGCAAAGATGCTGCCATGGTTTTGGTCCCACCCACCATGGAGCTACATCTACAACCAAAATCCCTGTGTTTATTTGCCAAGATGCTGTATTAAAAAAAAAAATGGGCACAGTGGCTCACACCTGTAATCCCGGCACTTTGGGAGGCCCAAGGCGGACAGATCACTTGAGGTCAGGAGTTTGAGACCAGCCTGGCCAACATGGTAAAACTCTGTCTCTACTAAAAATACACAAAAAATTAGCCAGGTGTGGTGGTGGATGCCTGTAATCCCAGCTACACGGCAGGCTGAGCCAAGAGAATTGCTTGAACCTGGAAGGCAGTGGTTGCAGTGAGCCGAGATCGCACCACTGCACTCCAGCCTGGGCAACAGAGTGAGACTCCATCTCTTAATAAGTAAACACATTTTAAAAATCAACAGAGGAAACAGACAAAGACCAAGAGCTCCCTCTGGCACGAAATGCTACAGGTACAGTAGTAAAAAGTCTTACCAGCGACAGGTGAGATGTGACTTTCTGTGGCAAGTGGATAGTTTTTACTTGATGGTGAATCGTTAAAAGTGAACCAGATGATTAAACTTAATGGAACAGCCACATTAAACTGAAATTAGTAAAAACATGCCTTGGGCAGCCTACAGCCTTTTATTTGTTGTTGTTTAACTTCTGTCTTTTACAGTGGCCATGATGGATGACATCACAAAAGAAAAAATCCAATTAAAATCTAAGTGCTCAATAAACCCCTAATGTCTGATTTTCACCACCACTTTCACAGGCACTGATGTCTTATGTTTCCTTTTTTTCCCAAGAAAAGAACTGGCCCCAGGGGAGTTTGATGGCAGAGGAGGAGAGTGGGGAGAAAAAGCAGAGGCTTTGGGAGGTTTCTGCTCCGTGTACTCGGTCAGACCCAGAAAATGCACTTTGGAGGGAGGAAGGGGGAGGAAGTGAAATTGCTTTACTATCAGACGATGCAAAGAGAAGAGATACATTTTCCCACTAGTTTTCAAATATTGATAAATCAGAATTGTGATCTGCAAAGCAACCCTTGCTCACACTCTTCTCACTCTTCTTTAACGTCTCCTCTGCCCTTTAACATTGTTTCGGGTGTTTGTTCTATAAGTCATCGAAATGGTCTCACCTGACAGCTAAAAATACATTTCTGATTACTTTTACCTGAATAAATCTTGTGACCAGATGTGGAATTCACCTATTAAGTGTGCAACAATTACATACTGAAACCGATGAAAGAACTAGTGGAGGAGAGTGTATAATCCAGTGGAATGCAGAGTATAATAAATCATATGTAAAGATAGCAATTGCCCCCCGCCGCCCAGTTAAAGAATACTGGCTTTTGATCACAGATTTTACCTTAGAGATACCATGTGTCTGTAAAATTGGGTTTTCAAAGTCTTCAAAACAAAGTTCTCAAAAGTCAAAATAGGAGAAAAAGCATGCTGATTATAAACTAAGAGTTAATAACGGTAGCACTCTCTTAAATTTGGGAGGCACTTTGTAATCTATAAGACCCATATTATGCTTTTGTTGCATGTTTACATGGTGGTTAATGTACTATTTGCATGTGGTCTTCAATTAGATCTTCACAACAGCCTGGCCATGTAGCTCTTATTATCCTCATTTTGCAGATAAGAATCCTGGCTGAGGGAGGTTAATTGACTCTGCTGTGTTCTTACACTTGCTGAGTGAAAAAGAATGAACATGGCTCATGCCTAGGAACGTGCCCCCCGCACTGTGCCAGGCTGCTGACCACAGCTGCCCTAGAGCAAGGATCCGCCAGGTGGTGACATTGCTTTCCTTACTCATGGGTTAATGAAATAGCTTTTTAAGAGCCTCTTCAGTCATTCGAATTTGACGATGGAGAGTTAAACTTTCCCCAGTGGCTCTTTGTGTGTCATGATGGTTTCAGCGTTTCCTTAGCATATCCCATCACTCAAATCATGGGATGCTCTTGTTTTACATTTCTGATTGCATTTATCTCACTTCTAAGCAATTTCCTCCCCATTCGAATTTATCTTCCATTATTTCTGCCAAATTGCTTTCAAGACTACTAATTATATGAATAATATTCTCTTCCCCAAACACCACGATTAACTAGCTTTTGCTGTGTTACATTAAACACGGTTTCTCTACCTCTAAATATGAGGAAGTTGCACCAAATAATCTATAAAGCCTCTTCCTGCGCTCAAGAGTTAATCTTCAGACTCTTTTCCCATGAGCTGTGTGATTTTGGAAACATAGCACGCACCGGATTCTCAGTTTTCTTGACTCTACAATGATGGATTTTAAATTAGTTCATGTTTCCCAAAGTATCTTTTTTGGAAAACTGGTATGGGGGATATCGATATAAGTTACACCCAAAAAGGATTCTTTAAACAAGACAGGGAAAACTAAATTACACAGAATCAAATGTAGTTTCAAACTGCAGACACTCAGAGCCTTTGACATGTCAACAGTGACTCTAAGAAAGAGGCCGTATATAAAGTATTTCTTTCCCTCAGCACTTCCTGTAAATGATATTACATGGAATACACTTTTAGACTAGGTTGGATTATTTTTAAAGTCTCTTTTTGCCCTAAGAGTCTATTTTCAAATGTGTAATGCTTCTCCGAGCATTTTGTGCAGTATTAACCAACAAGAGAAAGACTTGGCATAACTGTTGTTGCTGTTGTTGTAGCATAGCCCATATTCTGTTTAGACAGAATTGAAACAAGGTAGAGAGTAGCAGCCTTCCCACTAACACTAACTTCTCTATATACCATGGATGCTTAAAACTCTGGGGGTTTATAAATAGTCCTCCTCAATAAAAAGCACTTTTCGAAAATTTGCAAATAGGGTTAAATTATCTGAAAACCTGCAGACTGAATATATATATATATATGTGCGTGTGTGTATGTGTGTATATGTATATATATGTGTGTGCATATATATATATGTGTGCATATATATATATATATATATATATGTGTGCATATATATATATATATATATATGTATGTGTTTGTGTATATATGTCCTATAGACCTATAGTTAGGTCTAGGTACCATCTAAAGGTATCATCTAACCTTTTGCTGGGTGGGAAAAAGGGAATTTAGGAAACAATAGGAAATCAACACTGTGGATATAATCTCTGGGAAAGGAAACATGGACTACTTATCCAAGTTAGGATTCTCATCTTCTATTTCCACGGTATCCTTAGTATTCATTTAATTCCAACTTTTACCCAAACCCATTTCACTGACAGTTAGTCATCAGAGTCTCTGCTTGATTACCTTTAGGAGCAGGGAACTCACCACTCATAAGACAGACTATTTCAATTTTAGGTTGGCTCTAATTATTAGAAGGTCCTTTCCTATCTTATACTTAAGTATAAATATGAAATGCTATTGTTCCAAGTGACCTGTAAATTATCTAGTCAGGTGATTTTCAAGGTATTGCCCTTGGCAGCACTTAGGATATTTCTCAAATGCTTTGAGTTGAATTTCATAAATAAATAAATATCACATCTTCCCAGAAAAAAATGATTATAATCTCTATCACTAAAGACTCAAGGAGGTTGCCAAGCTTCCCTAAATTCACCAAGATAATAAATGTAAGGTAGAAATAGAATATACCCAAGTCTCTCTGATTCAAAAATCAAAGTCCTTTTCTAAATAGGATATTGCTTCCCTAATATGTTTGTGTACATGCAAGTGAGGGCGAGAGTGTATTAGTGGAATGTGAAAGCTGTAGTGAAAAATAGGAAAATCGTGAAAAGAGTCTCATTCCAGCCACCCTAATACGTCCTTGGCCACCTTGCTATTGCTCTTGCCTTTTGTTTTCCCTTCTTCAAAATAAAGATTACTAAATTTTCTCCCAAACTCTGTTCCAGTTCTGAAAAATTCCATGATTATAAGGAAACATGTTCATTAATGAATGGTATTTACCATTAAGAGGTTACGTAAATAGTAAAAAAAAAAAAACTTGTATTCCTTAGAAAGAATTTAATAAAAGTTAATGTAGCATGCACCAAAAAGACAAAAACAGTTTAGAACCACATGCTTGACTTTTACTTTCTTTAATTTTTTTTTTCTACACTAGTTACATTCAGACCAGGATAGAGGAGATGGATCACTTAAATATATCCTTTCAGGAGATGGAGCAGGAGATCTCTTCATTATTAATGAAAACACAGGCGACATACAGGCCACCAAGAGGCTGGACAGGGAAGAAAAACCCGTTTACATCCTTCGAGCTCAAGCTATAAACAGAAGGACAGGGAGACCCGTGGAGCCCGAGTCTGAATTCATCATCAAGATCCATGACATCAATGACAATGAACCAATATTCACCAAGGAGGTTTACACAGCCACTGTCCCTGAAATGTCTGATGTCGGTGAGTGAGACGTGACTTCAGCCAAAAGCTGGCTTTCCCCTAGTGCATCCACTGAGTAAGGAATCCCACGAGCTCAAAGTACTGAACTGCATGAATTTAGATGCTAACTTCTTCAATCCATGTATGTCCTTTCTGTAAGTGCATATGTTTCCTAATATTACTCTAGTCTCATTTTGTGATTATTTTAAAAACCACATTTCCTCTAAAGAGGGTCTGAAAAGTGGCAGGGTGGGAGTGGGAGGTTGAAAGAGAGACCATCTCCTTTCTCTCCCACCCTAAATGCCCATTCTCTTTCTTGGGCTGAAAGCAACCTTCTCCACTTCTCTTAGCCTATGTGGGTGTTAGGGTCCAAGTAACAATCTCCCAAATAGAAAATAAAAGCTTACATTTACAATCCAGTCTAAAAAGTAGTGATAGTTGCTTTAAGTAACTAGTAACTGTATATTTGGGAAGGAGATCAAAGAACTTTTTTTAATCCATAAACAATAGGCACGTTATGTCTAGGGAGTGGATCCTTTACTACATGGTGGAAATGAAAAGACTTTCATAACATACATAGAGTGAATTAATATTTTTTACACAATACCTCTACTTTTTTAAATAACTAGTGGATTTAATTTGTTTAAATTGAGAGAAGTAAACAGGATTTAAATTAAGAAAAAGAATTCTACTGACATCACTCTTAGCCACATTGAAATACTTCATGGGAGACACTGACAAATTTTAAACTACTTATATAAAGGATTATTTTTATTTTCACTCTGTCAGATTCAAAAGGGCTGAAATTACATATTAACTTTATTATGATTCTGTCAGTTAGATATCAGAGACATTGTAGTTCACAGATCCAAGACATAGAAAATAACAAATCCATGGAAATCGTTGTAAAACATCTACATTTTTCTTATGAAGAAATTGCTTTTCTCATTATTTAAAGCCACTTTGTTTTGTTACAAAAATTGCAAGCCTCACAAAGCAAAGAGGGAGATGACTGGAATTTTGTTTTTTCTTCTTCTTCTTCTTCACTGCTTATAGCAGCAATAGAATGGCATTCTTTAAATTTGTTAGGAAAAAAATTTCTCCTCTACGTGGTAAAAGGCAGAAGAATTCATGAAGAATAGTCTCTTCATCAGCACCACTCAGGGCAACTGTAACCAGCTATGCAGGTATTGCACTGCACAACTCTAGGGAGTGCCATTCACTTTTGAAGCCATTATAGAATTAAATTTGTATTACAAACATTTAGGGGTAGTTGACAGTAACATGTCTTGAGAAAAATAAAAAGGCTTTTTTCAGTTTGCACACAGACACAGTTATGGTGACATTGATCATCCTTAATTGATATCTCATTATTGTGATTATAGAAAGGCATCTTCGAGAAATTACATAAAGGCAGTGGGACAACAGCATGGGAGCAAAAATGGACTTTGGTATCAAACAGAACTGAATTTGAAACTATCTCCACTAAGAACCAGCAGTGTAGCCCTGGGCAAATTATTTGATTTCTCTGATCCTCTAGTTTTGTATCTTGAAAAAATAAATAATAAATGTCAACTCCAAAGGGCTATCATGAGGATTAGATGATAAAACAGGTACAGAGTCCCTAGTACAATATCTGGCAACGAATAGACATTTAAAATGTCCAGATATCATATTCTAAAGCAATCAAATTTTGTGTTAATGTTAAATAAGAACTTGAGTGTTTGTTGACTTGACTCACCCTAAAATCATAAGATGTTCTCAGTCTCCCCACCTCCCTTGCCAAATTACAACGGTGGGTGGTCTGTTTTGTGCATCAGCACTATACATTCAGGGCATCCAACCCTAACATACTACAATCTATTTCTTCAATAAGTGAAATTGGCTATATAATACAAAAGCAATGTAGAATTCCTAATATTCCCTGGATGTAACTTACCTACCCCTTTCATGGAAAGGGGAACTCCAGCAGTATGCTTACTGGTTATCTGATACAAATAACAAAAAACAGCCATTAAGTGATCTTAATCCGAGACTCTTATCCTTTCGGGAAGTCACAGAGCCCTTTGAGGATCATATAAAATCTACAGAATTTCTCCTCAGTGAAATAGACATGTAGGCATACACATGAAAATTTATGTGGAATTTCAGGGGGTTAGGAATACTTTGAAGATTATTAGGCAACTGTGGGGTCTAAAATAAGAATGCTGATCTGAAATGTAATAGCCTTCTTTGTATATTTAAGTATAATGACCTTTTGGAATTGCAGATTCCAGATGTTTGTGCTTTGCTGTTCCAATTCATTGATTCTTTATGTAATCCATAACTACATTCTTTAAGTTTCAAGGTCTTTCAACCGTTTAGAACTATCAGATAGATTTATCATTTAGGATGCTTTTATTGGTAAGTAACAAGAAATCCAACTCGAACTAGTTTAAACAACAACAAATAAGTATTTATTTGTCACATTACTTAAGTCCAAAAGTAAAGCGGGCTTTGGACAGGATTTGATCTGAGTTCTAGCTGTTTTTCTGTGATTTTCTATTCTATCCAGCTTTGTCCTCAGGCTGGCATTTCTAAGATCACAAAATAGCTGCTGCAAATGTATATCAGCACATTACGGTCCAAGAAAAAGAGTATCTATGACAGAATTTCCAGCAAAATCATGAGTGGCCCCTGATTGGACAATTCCTAAACTAATTCCTGTGGACAAAGGAAGCAAGATGCTGATTGACTTTGTCCTGGATAACTCGAAAGAATCACTAAAGCAAGAGTCCAGTCAAATCCCGCCATTGGAGATGGGTTGGAATCAGTTCCACCCCAAGTCATGATCATTCCCATGCTTTTCTGTAACCTAATCCTTAAAATATTTCTAAATGTTGATTGTATTTCTTTAAAGAATCCAATCCTTTTTCACCCAGCATCCTACCAAAGTTCTCGACTTCCTCAGCATGATATTTCCATACAAAATTAAGATCGTGCTGGTTTTGGTGTGTGTCAAAGATTGATATGAACTCTTGATGTGTTTTCAGTTTATATTTCTGTCATTACAGGTACATTTGTTGTCCAAGTCACTGCGACGGATGCAGATGATCCAACATATGGGAACAGTGCTAAAGTTGTCTACAGTATTCTACAGGGACAGCCCTATTTTTCAGTTGAATCAGAAACAGGTTAGACTTTTTGATCTTCCTTTTTATAATCTATAATTTTAATTGACATGCTCAGCTGAGCTAGCATATTTTTAATAAAAATAATCAATGTGATTGGATTTTCTTGCATACATCCACCAAACACTAATGATATATTTGTAAACATGACATCTGAATAATTTTAATCAAAAAATCTGGCAATGAATCTTTCACCCACCCTTTCTATGGAGTAGATTGAGAAAAATTATGTATTGCCTTAGTTTTCTTCCAGTTTGGGGTGAAGCTAAAAGGTAAACCCCTTTTTGATAGTATTGGCCTGTTTACAGATATTCAGAATCTTCTTTTTCTAATTATTTAGTAGGATTGTGTCTCTCTATTCTGCTCTGAAATTAGATGTAGCCATGTGATTTATTTGGGTGAATAAAATGTGATAATGATACAAGTCGCTTCTAATTAAAATTTTCAAAGCTGGTACACAATCTGCCACATTGCTGTCCCTTGCCACAGTGATCATGGAAACCAATGTTGAGATGTAGTCTGTAGCCTGAATGTCTGAGTGGTATGGTGAACAAAGCTACCTGCTTACCTGCTCAGAGCATGAGTGAAAAATAAACTTTAGTTGTGTGAAGCCACTAAGATTTTGCATTGTTTGTTATCAAATCATTGTCTAGCCCATCCTAACTGATGGAGTCCTAATCAAAGTGAAATGCCATCTGGAATCCTCTTTTCAACATCTCATTTTTCTGTTTTCTGTATTTTCTCCACAAAGTAGCAACCTATCTTATAATGATTTGTTTTTAGCAAATATCATTTGTATTGTACAGTAAATTGCACACATATTTTTATCATAATGAGTCAATTTCCTTTTATACATTTTTTAAACATCCATTATTCTTAGTAGAAATCAAAACTTCCCTAGGTTCCCACATCCAGTTGGAAATCTCTGTGTTAAGTGCTGCAATGAACTTGGAAAGAATCCCAAGGAGAAAGAAAATGTTGAGTTGAAAAACAATGAGGATGAAAAATTAGAATTATTCAACTTAAAGGACAAAAGGCTGAGGTGATCTCCTGTATTTAAATAGAGAAGTACTATTATTTGGAGAACAGAAAGCAGCCGCACTTTCACTGAAGGCAGGACTATAGGAATAAAATTGACCTGTTGTCTGAAGTATTCTTGTTAAAAATTTTAAAAAAGATATTTTCGCTTCATTAGTTGTTAAGCACTAGAATGTGTTTCTGCAGAAGGTTATAAAGGCTTCTCCAGTGAAATTTGAAAGAAAGTTAATTTAAGCATAAACCTTACATAGAAATTGGGCAAACTTTTAGAAGTTCTTTAACTATTTTATAACAACCTAACAACAGAGATAAATTTAACCTAACTTAAAAATTTTGGTTGTCATTGGGGCCAGTTGAACTAAAGTTCACGGTCAGCTTTAGGAATTCTAAAAGGCTGAAAGACCTTGAACCTTAATTCCAAAATTCTCTAGAATCATACAAGATGATCATTATGAGAGAATTGATGTTCTATTTTCTAAAGACCATAGTTTTACAATTTAGAAAATCCTCAGAGCATTCGTTATGGTAGGTGTATCTGAGGGATAATTAGCTAATCCATAATGGGAAACTCAACAGTCAGTTCAAGTATGTGGCTTTCCTAACAATTTCCTCATAATTCACCTAAATGTCTTTTATCAAGCATATTATAGTATACCTTTATACCACAAGCCATTTTAGATTCTGCTGTGTCATCTTATAACACTTAATGTTTATACATCCATAATGTAATTATAATATTGAGTGTCTTATAACCCTTAATAGTCTATACTATTGCAGAATCTGACTTGTACTTATTTTTATTCTCCTTGTATTACAGGCTTTTTTTAATGTATCTATCTCCCCTGTGTGGTTGTAATATCCTTCAGTATAAAGGCTGCATATAATTATTTTTATGTCACCATGACATCTGCATAGCATTTTGCATATTGTGGGTGACAGTTTATGTTGTTTGCATAAATCAATGATTCCATAAAGTATTCTTAATGCATCCCTTTGCACTCTTAAATTTCACATCCACAGGTATTATCAAGACAGCTTTGCTCAACATGGATCGAGAAAACAGGGAGCAGTACCAAGTGGTGATTCAAGCCAAGGATATGGGCGGCCAGATGGGAGGATTATCTGGGACCACCACCGTGAACATCACACTGACTGATGTCAACGACAACCCTCCCCGATTCCCCCAGAGTAGGAACATTTGATTGAATGAATTTCTTCAATGTGCTTTTATAAAACTCGAACTTTAAGAATTTTTATTTTCCATTGTCATCATTATTGTCAAAGTTAGTGGACTTAAGAAGAACTGGTACTTTTATTAAAAATGAGTTGACAACATGGCATACACTCAGGAAATGTGAACATTTATGTTCCTCTATTGGTAATTACCTGAGTGATTTCTGCTGTTGTTGTAAAGGCAACATCATTGTTTCATTTCTCCTTATTAAGAAAACTACCACAGACATAAATCTGCTCATGCAGAACATATGTATACAAGCATGCTGCAATTTGTTGGAAAAAATTTGACTTTATGTTTTGTGAATTTAATCAGGCATGTAATCTCTTTTAAATCCTCACAAAGCTTTATAAGGGGAGGATTTATTATTTTACTGTTTCTAAAAATACAACTGTGGAAGTAACTAGGTACTTAATCCATTTGTAATCATAAGTCGTTTTCTACATTATGGTTAGTTGAGATACCGAAAGTTGTCTCCAAAATCATTAACTCTAGTGATTAGATAAAAGGAAGAAGAAGGAAAAACAACCTCCATGAATACCAACTTGGTATCAGGAGTATGCTAAAAATTCTCACATAGAGCTACCCAAGAGGGAACTAGTTTTAACGTAACTTTTCATCCAGGAACAAAATCCCTTTGGGACCATGATCTCCTACGAAAGCTATCTCAATTATTCAATAGAAAACCCACTCATTCTATCATGACATTTTAAAAAAACTAATCAGCTGATACGGGCTTCCTTTAGGGTAGAGCTATACATGGATCAATAGGAAGTAGTTTTATTTTCTTTATTTTTTCAAGTTTTTAATCAGAGTTAGCTAAATGCAAAAAGATCAGAGCTAATTAAAGAATATCTCATATAACAAGTAGAAGAAAGGTTCTATGAGGCCTACCATTTCCCTTACAGAGGCCTGAAATGAAAACTATTAGGATCACCAACAGTTTGCCCAAAACCTACTTTTTAATATGGAGATTCCCTGGGGAAGAATAACATAAGGATTCCCCCGCACCCTGGTACCACAGGAATTTGTAACTCACTCTGCTCTGCTTAGATAGCCTGTGACTTGTTAATGAGCAATATGCCAAGGCAAGGGAGGGAGAAGTTAGAAAGGGGCAGGAGGCCCTAAAAATGGAAGTTGAAAACACTAGAGAATACTTAACCTGGGGCACACCAACTCATGCCTGTAATCCCAGAGCTTTGGGAGGCTGAGGGAGGAAGACTGTGTGAGGCCAAGAGTTCAAGAGCAGCCGAGGCAACATAGTGAGACCCTGTGTCTACAACAAGTAAAAAGAAATTAGTCAGGCACGATGGTGTGCACCTGTAGTCCCAGCTACTCAGAAGGCTGAGGTGGGAGGATTGCTTGAGCCCAGAAGTTTGAGGCTGCAGTGAGCCATGATCACGCCACTGCACTCCAGCCTGAGCAACAGGAGGAAATCCTGTCCAAAAAAAATGCTCTTTTTGAGTTACGTACTTGAGTCAAAAAAAGTTTAAAAATTTTTTTAACCTGCTTTATCATTTTACCAAGTATGAACTCAAGGGATTACTATTACTGAACGCCTACATTTTAGTAGTGCCATAGACTGTTTAAATTCTTTTCAAATCATTTGTATGAATGGTTAACAAAATGTAATTGAAAAGGGTAGAATAAGCCTTGGTTTTACTATTTTATATTTTTGGTGCTAAGTATATCATGGCCTGGCCAATCTAAACTGAAACTCATATGTAGTCTCTCTAAACTAAGTTTGCAACAGGAGCATATTTTTTTTAAAAAGTGTCTATATAGGAAACATAGGTTTCAAATTAGAATTACAAATATAAGTATGGGAGAAATCTATGCATAAAATAATAAAATTTAAGAGTCAAAAGAAAAAAATTAGGAGTTTTATCACTTAATGTATTTACCTATATCTCTAACTCTACAACTAGGTCCAGCTCCATGTATGAATAAAAGAATATCTACCTGGATACAGCCTCCAAGTTGCTATAATTTCTTTCCACCTCCAGCTATTATTAGCAACGGTAGAAAGAACTCTTTTAAAGAATACCTAGTAATTAACTAAAAGTCGCAGTTCAGATTAAATTCTTCTCTACTCTTTCTGTTAGATGAAGTTAACAAAGGGCTTTGAAACCTTCTATGCCTCCTGTAGCCATTCAGTTGTTCTCACAATCACACCATAAACTTTGGAGCCTGTTTACAGACAAGAAAAGTGTTCTCCATTTGCAAGGAAACAGGTCATGAAATAGAAGAAACATTCTTAACAACCACGAAAGTAGACATAAGAAGAACAGGCCACCATTAGTTATTTTGAGGAAAGCACACATCTACCTGATGGTAATGTCTTAAAGAACTGTTAGAGAATAGGTTTTGTTTTTATGATGATAAGAGTGTGGTTAGTCTATGTTTGACTTATATCTGTCTGGTGATTAATAGGTACATACCAGTTTAAAACTCCTGAATCTTCTCCACCGGGGACACCAATTGGCAGAATCAAAGCCAGCGACGCTGATGTGGGAGAAAATGCTGAAATTGAGTACAGCATCACAGACGGTGAGGGGCTGGATATGTTTGATGTCATCACCGACCAGGAAACCCAGGAAGGGATTATAACTGTCAAAAAGGTAATGCCGCTTCTTAAACACCATACAGAGTGAACCCATTTACTTTTCTCCAGTTCCTAAGTTACCAGGGGCAATTATATCTCACATAAACATTCCTTTAGATTTTTATTTTACTTATTATTTTCAGAAAAATGCCAGTTCTGGCCGGGCATGGTGGCTCCCGCCTGTAATCCCAGCACTTTTGGGGGCCAAGGCAGGAGGATCTCTTGAGTCCTGGAGTTTGAGACCAACATGGCAAAACCTATCTCTGTTAAAAATACAAAAATTAGCCAGGCGTGGTGGTGGGTGCCTGTAATCCCAGCTACTCTGGAGACTGAGGCAAGAGGATCGCTTGAGCCTGGGCAGCAGAGGTTGCAGTGAGCCAAGATCACACCACTGCACTCCAGCCTAGGTGACAGAGTGAGACTCTGAAAAAAAAAAAAAAAGAAGAAAGAAGGAAGGAAGGAAGGAAGGAGAAAGAAAGAAAGAAAGAAAGAAGAAAGAGAGAGAGAGAGAGAGAGAGAAAGAAAGAAAGAAAGAAAGAAAGAAAGAAAGAAAGAAAGAAAGAAAGAAAGAGAAAGAAAGGAAGAAAGGAGGGAAGGAAGGAAGGAAAGAAAGAAAGAAAAAAAGAAAGAAAGAAAGAAAGAAAGAAAGAAAGAAAGAAAGAAAGAAAGAAAGAAGGAAAGAAAAGAAAGAAAGAAAGAAAGAAAACCAATTCTAATGACACTGAGATCTCTTGGGTTGGCTTTCAGGAACCTAAAATGATATGCATTCATGTTAATTCTATACATCCAATGAATTTTTATTAAGAACCTCCTAAGTAAATAAGTAATATAAACAAATGATATTCGTAAAAATATATAAAGTAAATACTTTAAATGAACAGTAAATAAACAGTGCCAGACATTGCTCTAGGTGCTGGAGGTGCACTGGTACATACAACAGATGTTCTCTGCCCTCATGATACTTCCAGTCTAGGGGGAAAGAGACAAGGAGCCAAGTAAACAAACAAACAAACAAATATACAACTACAAATTGTGATGCATACTGTGAAGGAAGAGAGTACAGCAAGCAGTGATCAAGATGACTTGCATCACAAAAAGAGGATGTATAAAGACCACAAGTTTAAATTAAATACCATAACAAATTTAAATTAAATACCATAAATTTCCTGGTACCTCTTTAGCTACTTTTTGGAACACAACAATAAATCTTTTGTGTTCTGATTTCTATTTTTTTCCAAAGTACTGGTTCATTATTTTATCCCCCAAATTGTGTAGCACCACAGAGCAGCATACAAAAATACGGCAAAAATTAAAAACCAATGAATTGTATGCTTCAAGACTAAAAATATTAATTTTGGCTAACTTCTTATGATTTCACTTTTATCATGTATGGTGTAATATTTTCTCTCTCCTTTAGCATACTATAATCTTTTCTGGTAAATAAAAGCATCGGTGGATGTAAATAACAAGAGATTTTTTTTTCCTCCCAAGCTTTGGATTACGTGTCTTAATATCTGGAAACACAATAAAACATGTTTAAGTGACACTCAGACTAATGTTTTAAACTATAATATAATTAGGAAGCCCATTAGTGTGCATTAACCTTTTTAATTTTCTTGGTGCCTTATCAGATTCGAACTGAAATTTTGCCTAGACGACTAAATCACATTCACCAACGTCTAGATTAATTGTGTTTCTAGTGAGCCTTGTCATATTATCATCTAAAACTAAAAGTCAGCAATAAGCATTTGGGTTCACCATGTCTCCAAAAGCAGACCTACTTTTCCTAAAGACCCTTGACAACAATGATCACTACTTTCTTTGACAAATAATTAGCCCAATGCCCTTTTCAGGATACCATTTGGAATATTTCATTACCTCATGCAAAAAACAACAACAACAAAAAAAAAAAACTTTAATCTGTGTTGTCTGAATGATGATGAGGGATTCACAATGCAAACCTGTGGCTCTCAATTCTGGCTGCACCACAGAATCACCGGGGGAAGTGTTTAATAATGTAGATATTAATCTGCACGCCCAGATATGTTGGTTTAATGGTCCACGCTGGGGCCAAGACATTGGCCAGTTTTAAACACTCATCAGTGCAATTAAAGCCAGATATGGCCAGGCACCGTGGCTCACGCTTGTAATCCCAGCACTTTGGGAGGCCGAGGCAGGTGGATCACGAGTTCAAGAGATCGAGACCATCCTGGCCAACATGATGAAGCCCTGTTTCTACTAAAAATACAAAAATTAGCTGGGCCTGGTGGTGAGTGCCTGTAGTCCCAGCTACTCGGGAGGCTGAGGCAGGAGAATCACTTGAATCCGGGAGGCAGTGGTTGCAGTGAGCCGAGATCATGCCAATGCACTCCAGCCTGGCGACAGAGCGAGACTCCGTCTCAAAAAAAAAAAAAAAAAAAAAAGCCAGATGTGAGAACATCTGACATGGAATAACCCACTGTGTATTTGCCAACTTGCCCCTGATGGCCCCCTCTAGTGAAACATGAGTATTTTTTAAGTGGGGACAGTGTGGGCTCTACCAGACTCCTGCTTCCAAGTGCCCTTCCTGCCTGGTATGATGCCTTGTACCTCACTACCCACTTTTAAGTCAACAGCAGGCATGGTCTCAGCCCATACATTTTTCAGGGCTGTGTGGCTTCTGAACTCCTTCACAAACTTTATAATCGTTTCCTGCCTAACAGCCTAGATATAAGAAAAAAAATTACATCTTATCTTTTCTCCCTTTGCCCAATATCACACAAATGTGTTTCTCTAAGCAATATGATCGCATTCATTTATCAGTGGTTTACACCAAAAATGTTTCGTGTCTTGGCTTTCTGTGTCTTGGCTGCTTTAAATATGTCACTTCTTCCCCCACCCCCAACCTCAAGCTCTTGGACTTTGAAAAGAAGAAAGTGTATACCCTTAAAGTGGAAGCCTCCAATCCTTATGTTGAGCCACGATTTCTCTACTTGGGGCCTTTCAAAGATTCAGCCACGGTTAGAATTGTGGTGGAGGATGTAGATGAGCCACCTGTCTTCAGCAAACTGGCCTACATCTTACAAATAAGAGAAGATGCTCAGATAAACACCACAATAGGCTCCGTCACAGCCCAAGATCCAGATGCTGCCAGGAATCCTGTCAAGTAAGCACACTTCTGCGACATGTCTCTTTCATAAGCTTCAGTCAATTTATATTCAAATATCTGCCTGCACTTGAGAAAAGATGAATCCCTTTTGTTCCAATTAGACAACTGTGTTTTCCTGAAAAAACTATTCTAAACAGCACCTTTAACTCTCTTTGCTCACTGCATAAATATTATTTTGGCAGAAGTACAGTAGTCCCTTTTTATCCCTGGGGGATTGGTTCCAGGCCCACCCCCATATTAAAATTCACAAATCCGGAAGTTCCTTATAGGAAATGACACAGATTTGCAAATAACCAAAGCTCATCCTCCCCCATACTTTAAGTCATTTCTAGATTACTTATAGTACCAATTCAATGTAAATTCTATGTAAATAGTTATTATCTTGATGTTTTTATTTGTAGTTTTTTTATTGTTTGCTTTTTGTTTTTTCCAAACATTTTTTATTTCCAGTTGGTTGAATCCACATTTGCAGAACCTGTGGATACACAGGGCTGACTGAATAAACCTTAAAAAAACACAAATTTGGGAAGGAAAACAAGCTATAAGGAGTTTACTGCTTAAGTAGAAGTAGTATAAGGTGATGCAGCTGAATAACCTGGGATTATTTTTCAAGATTTGAGATTTTTTTAAGTGTAAGATTTGTCAAAGAGTGGCATAGAAAAAGTATGATTTTTAACAAATCAAGCACTGAGCTTGACAGCCTGTTTTTCAAGTGTAGAAAAACCTATCATGTAACACTTAAAAGACAGAATTATCCTCCATTCGGATGGTTTTTCCTTTTGTAGATGTAGATAAAAACAAGAATCATTTCATGATATACGTCTGTGAAATCCTAGGGAAATTAATACAACAGAGTCCAAATGTATGCTACGTAAACTAATTCTGTTTTCCCTGTGCTTTCCTTACACCTTAGTTGTAAATCATGTTGCAGTAAGGCCTTATTGCTCTTTGGGACCACTGATGCTTCAGTATTCTCGGATCTTAACAGGAAAATGCTGGAGTCAACCAACCTCCAGCCTTCAGCCAGTAGCTTAGTTGACTAAATGAGAAAAGTGCTAGCTGGGCACGGTGGCTCACGCCTGTAATCCCAGCACTTTGGGAGGCCAAGGTGGGCAGATCACTTGAGGTCAGGAGTTCAAGAAAAGTGCTAGACCAGAATAGCATTGTGTCAATTACTCCCCATAAACAAAGTAAGCAGACTGAAAAACTAGAGAAACTCTTGCCAATGAGTTCACAAATAGATTCTGGTCAAGGTGCCAGCCAAGTGCCAGGTACATTCTAGGCACTAGGGAATACAGCCCTCATCCCATGAAGCTTACATTCTAATTGGGGCAAGCAGAAATAGACAAACAGTAAATATGTAATACGTCAGGCAAAAGTAAATTTTAAGTGGAAAATAAGGCAGAATAAGGAAATAAAGAGCACCTGGAGTACTATTTTAGATAATGGGGTCAGATTTGACATTCTTGGTAGGGGACCATTTAGTAAAGATTTGAATGAAATTAAAGGGCGAACCATGTTGATGCTGGGGGAAGAACATTCCAAGAAGAGAGAAAAGCAAGGGTAAGTCTGATACCAGAGCTTGCTTGACAGTTGAAAGAACAGCGAGGAGGCCTCCGCAGCTGGAAGAGAGTGAGAGAGGGAGGCGAGGTCAGATATGAGGCCCCAGAGAGGTTTGATAGCTGATGAGGAGTGTAGCAGGTCCTGTAGGGCTTTGTAGTTGATGGTAAAGACTGGATTTTATTCTGATTGAGATGAGAAGCCACTGGAAACCTTTGAGTATAAGAGTTAACTAATCTAAAACTCCGTTTTAAAAGGATAACACTAGCTGCTACGTGAAGAATATTATTGCAGATAAAAGAATGTGGGGCTCTAAGGCAGCAGTCATTTTCTTACTTTTTCCCAGTTGAGCCTTTGTTCAAATGAAACCTTATGACAAGCCCCACATCTCAAACACAAAAATTCCTGGCTTACTTTCAGGGAACAATTTTAAATCACTGGGCAAATAAACTCTTGTTTTAGCATCCTACTGGAATATCTACAAGACACTTTGAATTGGGCTGTGGTCAGCCATGTGAGCTCCATGGACCAAGTGTTTCTCCACATACATTTAATATTGTTAATAAGGAAATGAATGTGGTTTTCACTAATATAGCTTTCACTAGTATAGTTTTCACTAATATATGTGTAAGTATTTTCACAACTACTCTCTCTTGGAGTTTGTTGTAACTGCATAAGGAAAAAAATCTTAGCAAGTAAGTATCAAATTCAATTTGAAAGTGTTAATGCTAGAAGTTTACAAATATGAGCTTTGGTTATCTCCTTGATAGATCAACTTTTTTTTAATTAAAAGAGAGAATGTTTTGCGAATTCAGGCAATATATTTCCATATCTATATTACTTTTCATACCAAATACCATTTTTACCCACTGCATTATTTTCTGTTTTATGAAAGAAAGTAGTTAGCTTGTCAGATTATGTTGGCTGTCAGCTAATTTTTAAGTTTTTTGCTGCCAGCCTTTCCTTGGTACATATGGATTTGATACGTAGATATAGATTTAAGACTAGAAATACTTATAGATATATTGGTATATAAATGGTATTCCAGTGCCCTTTTATAGGATAAAATTCATTCTTATATTAGAAAAATCCATTCATACATAATTTTTGATTATTCAAGACATAAATGTTGAACAACTAAGTGCTAGACAATATGGTAGGTGAAAAATTAACACTAGAAAATTCTTCCCCAGAGCACTGATTTATCATTACACAAGCACAAATCTTTAATTCTTTAATCACATAAAATTATTTTCTTCTAATAACTTCATCTCAAATTCCCTTTGGTTTCTGTGAAAGAATCTTATAATATGTCACTATACATACAAATTATGAAAAATTTATGCAAACATACATCCTTTTCAGGAAGAACCACAAATCTTCCTGACTTGAGGATACATTAGAAGGCAAATTATTTAATCACAGAATACAATGAAGTCCTGAAAAAAAAAAAAAAGAGCTACCTAGCAGAAGGATCTGCTATGATCATGATGGGATTTTATCTTGTTTCTTATCAGTGATAATTACAATTAATGTGACTGGACAATAAATATCCTTGATATAAATTTAAATTACCTTGGAAGGAAAAAACAACAAACAAGCAAGGCTTGTGTACAAGCAACTTTCCTGAATGATGTGGGCATTTTAGATTTTCTATTAATTTTTAAATGTCCCAATAAAAGGAAAAAATACAATTTTCCTATTTCCTAAATAGTTACTATCTCTTTCAAATTGAAAGCTGCCTTCAACTAAAAATTCTCACCTCTTACCCTTTATGTCAAGGTTTGATAGGAAAATATAATTACTTGTAAAATTTAAAACTACAATGGGGGAAAAGACACAAAGAATAAAACAAGATTATTGCTGTATATTATTGTAACAGCTTACAGAAGCAGCACATCTTAAGCTTAGCATTTTCCATGAGAAAAAATATATATCTAGATAATTATTAAATTTCTTATGAAGTCTATGAATATTGAGATTTCCTTTTTGTAATTAACGATGTGCTATAAATATTTATCATTCTCAAATTTAAAATAAGAAATGATCAAGTAAGTACAATGCTGTTGCCTGAATTCTTAATAAATATTGATTCATGACATAAATGGCAAAACAATAGCTGTTTCATTTGTTTCAACCCTTTTGATAATAAAAACATAAGTTTATGTACATTGAAACTGAAACTCCAATTCAACTTGATATTATACCCATTGTGAACTTCATTAATTCTCTTTAAAATCAGGTTTAAATGGCCTGTGATAATTGAATATCTATTTCATTTAGACACTCACTAGATAACAAAAATAAATTTTATGAAGATAAAATATATTGTTCATTATAATTCACTACTTGTGTTTTAAACCAAAATAATACATTCAAGTAGAATCTTGGGTGCAGTAAACTATGGCAAGTTAGTTACAAGGGTTTATTTTTCTTAGAGCACCCATAATAATTCCACGTATATCTGCCTAGTCAGGTCATTTACTTATATTGAATTTCTACTGAGGCAATGTTTTTAACCTCATAAAGTTTTAAAAATCCAGCTGAAATGGGCAGTTTTTTTTTCTAATGGCCTTAACATATCAACTTTCTTCAGTTTTCTCTGTAATACCCCACCCCCACCCTGCTCATAAACATAGTGTATTAGTCCATTTTTAAACTGCTATAAAGAACTACCTGAGACTTAGTCATTCATGAAAAGGTTTAATTGACTCCCATTTCCACAGGCTGTACAGGAAGCATGGCCGAGAGGCCTCAGGAAACTTACAATCATAGCAGAAGGAGAAGAGGGAAAGGAAGGGGAAAGTGCCACACACTTTTGAACCATCAGATCTCATGAGAACTCACTCACTATCACAATAACAGCAAGGGGGAAGTCTGCCCCATGATTCAGTCACCTCCCACCAGGTGCCTCCTCTGACACATGGGGATTACAATTTGAGATCAGATTTGGGTGGGGACACAGAGCCAAACCATATCATTCTTCCCTTGGCCCCTCCCAAATCTCATGTCCTTTTCACATTTCAAAACCAATCATGCATTCCCAACAGTCCCCCAAAGTCTTAACTCATCCCAGCATTAACTCAAAAGTCCAAGTCCAAAGTTTCATCCAAGACAAGACAGATCCTTTCAGTCTATGAGCCTGTAAAATAAAAAACAAGTTAGTTACTTCCATACAATGGGGTTACAGGTATTGGGTAAATGTTTCCACTCAAAAAGGGAGATATTGGCCACAGGCCCCATGCAAGACTGAAATCCAGCAGCGCAGTCGTTAAATCCTAAGGTTCCAAAATAATCTCCTTTGACTCCATGTCTCACCCCTAGGGCACACTGATAAAGGAGTGGGCTCCCATGGCCTTGGGCAGCTCCATTCCTGTGGCTCTGAAAGATACAGCCCCCGAGGCTGCTTTCATGGGCTGGCATTAAGTGCCTGCAGCTTTCCCAGGCTCATGGTGCAAGCTATTGGTGGATCCACCATTCTGGGGTCTGGAAGAGAGTGGCCCCCTTCTCACAGCTCCACTAAGCAGTGCCCCAGTGTGGACTCTGTGTGGGGGCTCCAACCCCTCATTTTCCCTCCACACTGCTCCAGTAGAGGTACTCCATGATGTCTCCACCACTGCAGCAGATTTCTGCCTAAACATTCAGGCATTTCCATAAATCCTCTGAAATCTAGGTGGGGGTTCCCAAACCTCAACTTCTTGCCTTCTGCACAGCTTCAGGCCCAACACCATGTAGATGCCACCAAGCCTTGGGTCTTGCACCCTCTGAAGCCACAGCCTGAGCTGTACCCCAGAATGGTGGATCCACCAATAGCCACAGCTCGGGCTGGAGTGGCTGGAACACAGGATGCCATGTCCCAAGGCTGCACAGAGCAGCTAGGCCCTAGGCCTTGCCCATAAAACCATTTTTTTTCCTCCTATGCCTCTGGGCCTGTGAGGGAAGGGGCTGCCATCAAGGTCCCCGAAATGCCCTGGAGACATTTTCCCCCTTGTCCTGGCTATTAACATTCGGCTCCTCTTTAGTTAGGGAAATTTCTGCAGCAGGCTTGAATTCCTCCCCAGAAAATGGATCTTTCTTTTCTACCACATGGTCACCATTTTAAATATAAGTTCCAGTTTCACATCATCTCTTTGTTCACACATATGAGCATACACTTTAAGAAACAGCCAGATCACTTCTTGAATGCTTTGCTGCTTAGAAACTTCTTCTGCCAAATATCCTAAATCATCTCTCTCGAGTTCAAAGTTCCACAGATTCTAGCGTAGAGGCAAAACACCACCAGTCTCTTTGCTAGAGCAAAGCAAGAGTGACCTTTAATCCAGTTCCCAATAAGTTCCTCATGTCCCTCTGAGACCTCCTCAGCCTGGACTTCACTGTCCATATCATTGTCAGCATTTTGGTCAAAACCTTTCAACAAGTCTCTAGGAAGTTCCAGACTTTCCCACATCTTTCTTTCTTCTTCTGAACCCTCCAATCTGTTCCAACCTCTGCCTGTTACCCAGTTCCAAAGTTGCTTCCACATTTTCAGCTATCTTTATAGCAGTCCCCCACTTTCCTGGTACCAATTTTCTGTATTAGTTCATTCTCACACTGCTATAAAGAACTACCTGAGACTGCGTAATTTGTGAAGAAAAGAGGCTTAATTGACTCACAGTTCTACAGGCTGTACAGGAAGCGTGGCTAGGAGGCTGCAGAAAACTTGTAATCATGGCGAAATGTAAAGGGGAAGCACTACACTTTTAAACCATCAGATCTCATGAGAATTCACTCACTATCACAAGATCAGCAAGGGAGAAGTCTGCCCCCATGATACAATCACCTCCCATCACGCCCCTCCTTTGACACATGGGGATTACAATTCGAGATTAGATTTGGGTGGGGACACAGAGCCAAACCATATCACATAGCTATTCTAAAAACTAGTAATACATTTACAAATAAGACAACATTTCTCAAAATCCACTAGTCTTCCATCAGTATTAGGGTTGGAATGTTTGGTTTCCAAATGCTTCTCTTGGTTTCCCTCAAATTTATTCAAACTCTCCTTCTTAAATATTTATCAAGTTCCTAGTCTGTTCCAGGCACCACTGTGGTCTCCCACTGATTTAAGTGATGTAAGTGATTCTGTCTTTAGTGTTTTTCTTCCTCCACTGGACATTGTTTTCTTAGACAGCTGAATAGGAAATCTGGGATCAGTCCAGATCTTAATCTAGAGCTTCAGACTAGATATCTCTTCCTGAACTTTTCTCAGGCACCTCAGCTTCAGCATAGCAAAAATGGAACTTACCCATCTTCCCCGAATCCTGTTTTTCACTCCTTTTTTCTCTGTTTGTGGCAGCACCGTTCAACCATTCTCCTCAATTCAACCAGTGATCTTTATTAACAATGATTTAGATTGTGGCATTCCCCTGCTTAAAACCTTTTGTAGCCAGTCGTGGTGGTTCATGACTGTTATCCCAGCACTTCGGGAGGCCGAGGTAGGTGGATCACTTGAGCTCAGGAGTTCAAGACCAGCCCGGGCAAAATGGCCAAATCCTGTCTCTACAAAAAATTAGCAGGGCATGGTGACACGCACCTGTGGTCCCAGCTACTCTGGAGGCTAAGGTGGGAGGATCGCTCAAGCCTGGGAGGTCGAAGTTGCAGTAAACCAAGATCATGCCACTGCACTCCAGCCTGGGTGACAGAGTGAGAGAGTGAGACCCCATCTCAAAACAAACAAACAAACAAAAAAACCCTTGGGTAGATTCGCATTGCATCTAGAATAAATTCCAACTCCTTATCACAGCCTTCTTCTGCAGTCTAGACTCTGGCTCTCTCACCAATGTCATCTCCTATCTCCTTCTTCTGCCTCACTAACCTTGGCCACACTAGCCATCTTTTGCTTATTTCAACAGATGATTTTTAAAATTAAATGGAAAGTAGAAAAATAACCAAAACCCTACATATGCATACAAGCACACACACACACACACACACACACATTAAAGTTCTCAGGTTGTAAAAACTTGAGTTAAAAATGAAACAATTACTATATAAACTTGATCCAAATTTATACATATTAGAAAAGAAAATTTAATGGTGATCTTCAAAGTCATGCAACTTGTCTAGTGAGTTTACTATTAAGACCTCCATTGTGAAGAACTAATTTCTCAAAATATTTTACTTAATGTCAGGTTGTAGATATTCAAATATGCACTAGAGATGGAAAAAAATTTATGCCACAGATACTCTGGGATATGATGTGTACCAGATGTTTTATGATGTTCTATGATGTGAGAATAGGAAATAGAAAGAAAAGCCTTTCTTAATTCCACTCTGCATTTTCAGGTACTCTGTAGATCGACACACAGATATGGACAGAATATTCAACATTGATTCTGGAAATGGTTCGATTTTTACATCGAAACTTCTTGACCGAGAAACACTGCTATGGCACAACATTACAGTGATAGCAACAGAGATCAGTAAGTCCTACCTAATACCGCTGCTGTCCCCTATTAATAGACTGAGTGTCCCAGCAAGGGCTGGTGGAGCGTAGCTTGTCACCATGTATTGACAATCCCACTTGATATATATTGAGGGAAAAAGCCCTGGAGTGGTTTGCAGTAATGTTTCTTCTAGATATACATTGGCTCACACATAAATGGAGAGGCAACCATGGAAGTTCTGTGGTTTGGAAACAATAAAATGGGAATGTATCTCACAAATGAGATTGAATTGGTACTCGGTGGATTTAATTCCAAAAAAGCTTATAAATTAGAACATTACATAAACAGCTGAAAAAAACAGACTCTCAGTCAGACACTGTGTGTGGGGGCAAAAGATGAGAGGGGTCAAGTATATTGTAAAATGTGGGCATTGTTTAGAAAATTTTAGATATCAATTCTCTAGCTTACTATAGAATTTTTATTTCAAAGTCTTTACAGAATTAAGAGAGATAAATTATCACTTTTCTATGGTATACCAAAGTGAGTAATACAAGCCATCAAGTAATCAGTAAAATGATTAGAATGAATTTTATGGTAGCCCCCATGAAATTGAAGGCAAAGAACAATAGTGCCAAAAGAATGCTTCAAATAAAATGATTACACACAATGAAAACTAATGTAGATGGTCAATACAATGTGCAGGCTGAAGAACATAAGTGAAAAATGATCTTTTTTTAATTTTTTTATTATACTTAAGTTCTAGGGTACATGTGCACAATGTGCAGGTTTGTTACATATGTATACCTGTGCCATGTTGGTGTGCTGCACCCATTAACTCGTCATTTACATTAGGTATATCTCCTAATGCTATCCCTCCCCCCTCCCCCCACCCCACAACAGGCCCCGGTTAAAATAGAATTTCAATGTTTAAAACTAGGCTTCTAAATTACAGCTCACTTTTTAGTGTTTGTGTTTAATTTTAAAAGTTCTAAACATTTTTAGCTCACTTTGGGTATCTAGTGTGAAATAGTCCATATCGAATAGTTTATTACATTTGTATTCTCTGTCAATATAACTCATGAGATTTGAAGTGACTAAAGGATATTTGGTAGAATAGTAACCAATATGGGCAAAATGAAGCATTGCTTTTAGATAGTGATAAGGACAGCACATTAGAAATTAGTTAGGTAGGAATTTGCTCTTCAGAATTTTTCAAGATTTATCTTGAAGTTCATGTTAATTTATGTTATGGGACTGATGTAGATACCAAAGACAGAGCATCTTTAAAGTTTTAAAATTATAAATTTATTTCCCACTGAAAATGACCATTTTTCCTAAGACAATGAAATTTTATTTTTTACCAAAGCAGTCATTTCATAAGTATTTTAATCTTTGTGCCTTAAAAAAAGTTTTTAAGATTTAATGTTTCTATGACACATTTGAAAGTATTGGTGACTATCTCTTGAAAGTTAATATTCAGCTGCTCTAACTTTCAAAGAATAATATGAGTAAAATTTTAGACATTTTAAAGAATCTTACTGTCTAATCTTCTTAACAACCTTTGATATAACAGAAACCAAAAGCTTGTGTAAAACCAGCTCCCACTCACCTCGGGGCCTTTGCATATACTGATTCCTCGACCTGAAGAGCCAGAAATATTCACATGGCTTAAACCTTCTCTTCATTCATGTCTCTGGGCAAATGATATCTCATCAGAGAAGCAGTCCTTGGTCATCATTCTAAGTAACACCTCTATTTCTCTCAATCCTTTTTCCCTACTTAATTTCTCTATAGCACTTACCATCTGACACATTATATATTTATGAGTTTATGGTTTGTCCATCCCCATTACAATAAAGCTCCAGGAAACAGGATCTTTGTTATGTTTCCTACGTGCCCCAACATCGCAAATAGAGGCTGCTATATATTAGGTATTAGATGCTCACTAAATAATTACAAAGTGAAAAAACAAATAGACATACAAGTGAAGTAAATGAAGAGAGGTGAGGTGATAGATTCTAACTCCTGATCCTTACACTAGAAATCTGTCTTCCATACTGTGCTAGAAGATTATCACAGAAGGCAACCAAAATACTTCATTTATCTCAGGTCTGCAAACATTGATTCCGCTTTATCATTAATTCCAAATGAACAGCCTGGGCTTTCAGCCTGGGCTTGGAGTCAGACAGATCCAAGTTTGAACCTGGACTTCACTCTTTACCGTCTCTGTAAACACAGATAAATTACTTAACTTCTCCATGTCTCAGTTTCCTCATCTATAAAATGGGGGCAGTACCTCTGTCTACCTCAGAAGTTTGTGAAAATTAAATAACGTAATACAGCAAAGTGTTTAGCATGACATCTTGCTCTCGTTCAGCATTCAAACTAAACCACTAAGACTAATAACTATCCTTTGGTCTTCTGGTGGTTCATTCATTTTCCCTCTCCTTCCTTTTGTCCATATGCTCCCCATCTGCCTGCTTCCTTGAAAATCTACCTCTAAAATGCCTTTCTTGGTTTTGTGTTATCTTAAGGTTTATTATACAGTTGAACTATATCAACACAAGTGGCTTTGTCACCCATGTATCTCTAACAGGTGCATCCAACTCCAGATGTACCAAACAATCTAATTGTACTTTTTGTGACCACACTGGTACTTAATGCCCAGTAGTACAGCAGCTTGGGGAATCTGTGCATGAATGAGAATGAAGGAGTTGAGCGGATGTTGTCTAAAGGGAATCGGCAATCAACATGTAAATGCCTTTTTCTTTCTTTTTGGTTTGTGACAGATAATCCAAAGCAAAGTAGTCGAGTACCTCTATATATTAAAGTTCTAGATGTCAATGACAACGCCCCAGAATTTGCTGAGTTCTATGAAACTTTTGTCTGTGAAAAAGCAAAGGCAGATCAGGTGAGTTTCATTAAAAAGTATATTCAAGTTGAACATCAGATTAATTTAGATCTTCTTATCATTCAGATGATTCACAGAGCTGAAGGAGAGTTGTGAATTATCTATGAAGTGAATGCTACGGAAATTAATACTATAAATAAGAACCAGGACTTACATATGAGAACTAACAGTTTCGAAGAACTGGAAGTTCATCAAAGACTGAGGCTGATTCCAAATCGATCTTAAGTTTTTATTAAATAGATTAGTCTCACCTTTATTGGAAAAATCTTTATTGGTGAACAGATAGTTTAATTACCATATGTACTTGAAGTAATAACTACAACATACTTTATAATTGCCTATAATTCATGATTTCACTTATTTACATTGACCATCTGTGTAAGTAATACAAATTCATGAATGTTTTATTGTTTTACACATTTGTCCCCACATGAAATAGTTCTTTGCTGCCAGTGATATAAAAATTATGTTTCAGTTTGTGAAAATAGAAGTACACTGTTAAAGTACATGTGCAAGTAGAAAGCTGAAGTTACTGTGTTCTATATACTTCTTTTTCATTTTTTGCAAGTTGATAGGTTATGTAATGCTAAGAGTGCATTTCTAGACAGACTGTCCAAAGAGCACTTCTACTTTGTGAAGTTGCAATGTTGTCACCGACTATTGGGATATTTTATAGCTTTGCATCACTCAAGGCTAAATGTTTCTCAATCAGGGTGATTTCCTCCCTGGGGATATTTACAGTATCTTGAGAGAGTTTGATTGTCACACTAGAAGGTGCTACTGATATCTCGTGGGTAGAGGCCAGGGTGGCTGCTAAACATCCTACAATGCACAGGACATCCTACAGTGTCCCCACAACAAAGAATCATTCCCTGCCCTTTGGCTTTCTAACCCATAATAGAGCAGATTCACTGTATATTACTTAAAGGCTATCATTTTTATAATTAAATTTTTAAATCATTTTGTCAAGCAATTTATTGCAAAACGGTAAGAAACACTTTTGAGTTATCAAAATTTTATGGCAGCGTTTTGGTTTTTCTCTTAGTTGATTCAGACCCTGCATGCTGTTGACAAGGATGACCCTTATAGTGGACACCAATTTTCGTTTTCCTTGGCCCCTGAAGCAGCCAGTGGCTCAAACTTTACCATTCAAGACAACAAAGGTAAATGAGTTCAAGTTACCTTCTCTATCTATCTCCATCTATATCCGTAACTGTTTCTGTATGTATATGTGTATATGTATATGTACATATCTGTATCTATATCTATCTTTTCTTATCACAGTTGATTTAATACATGACGCAGTATCCACATACATTCACCACTTTGCTTTCCGGTTCCAGACAACACGGCGGGAATCTTAACTCGGAAAAATGGCTATAATAGACACGAGATGAGCACCTATCTCTTGCCTGTGGTCATTTCAGACAACGACTACCCAGTTCAAAGCAGCACTGGGACAGTGACTGTCCGGGTCTGTGCATGTGACCACCACGGGAACATGCAATCCTGCCATGCGGAGGCGCTCATCCACCCCACGGGACTGAGCACGGGGGCTCTGGTTGCCATCCTTCTGTGCATCGTGATCCTACTAGGTAAACTGGTTCTCCCTGCCTCCTATCTCCCCATGGTGAGGGGCTCACACTGTTACTGTGACACTCTAGATTTATCTGCCTCCCCCATTAAGGCATACAGCCTGATCTAGGTGAGTCGAGTTACATACTGAGAATCTGTGCTGTACGATGTGAACTCATTTTTGCTTGCAAATGGCTTTGGAAAATGAACAGATGTGAAACTTGCTCGTGTCTTTGCTTGCCCAGGAAGCAAAGAATCTCTTGTCTATCAGACTGGGAATGAATCTCGGGGGATTTCAGGGCAACATAAATGTGCCCTTTTCATTTCATTCGTTGTGTAATTTTTTTACTTGGAAAACGTTGTTAAGTGTCTGGCATGGAGTGTATGATGAGGGCCCTTTCTATAAAGGTAAAGTTTAAAGATCTATGGGAAAGTGGGAAGAGGAGTATGATGACTTTTCTCTCATCCTAGAAAAATAAAAACTATGAAATTTTTTTAACCCAGCAAACTAATGTTGATTTACCATTTAAATGATTACCTTCTTAGCATTACTCTCTGATTGCCACATGCATAAGGTCTATTCCTCACACTCAACAATAAATAACTTCTGTGATTGAGGAAATCAGTATGGGGGCCCAAAAGAAATGAATGTAATAAAAATGGAAATCAGGGTCTAACAATGATTCAAATGAAATTTTTACCCCTAACCAACTAATTAAGCCTACAAGTCGAGCTCAGATTTCTCAACAGGTCCTTGACTGTGAACTAAGAAATCAAATATTTGTTAATGCAGCCCTTCCAAAAATGAAAGCAAGATTTGTAAAGCTTGCCTATATAGTGAAAAGAAAAGGTAAGAAGTTAAGAGTCAACCTGAATTATACAGGGGGAAATACTCTTTTTTAAAAAATGAAGACAGAGTGACTTTGAGAAGAGTGAAAGAGAACCCGCATTTCACCAAGAACAGAATGCCCAGGGATCCCTGCTCTAGCGCTCCTTCACGCTCCACATCAACCCTGCTAACTATAACAGAAGCCTTGAAACTCAACTACAGAACTGCGATTCTCTTTGTCAACTAAGACTTGGGGAAAGTATTTTAAGATATGCACATAAATAAAAACTGACAGTGTGCAAAGACAAATCAGTGTTTCTAATGGTGTGAGTCTGTAAGCATTGTTTTGGAAGAGAAAGATATGAATGTTCTTTTTGATCAAAAGGGTGATTTTTTAGAAGCCTTGGATTGGTAGGGCTGTACCCAAGGAGTATTCCATGGACTCTTTTTGTCATCTGTGGAAGGAGAGATAACTCTCATCTGACAGTGGTGATTCTTCCTTTCTGTCATCATCTACCTCCGCCTTTCATTTCCTTCCTCCCATGAATTCACTGTCTCCTCATGACTTGTAATTGGCCTCAGTGCCTCCCACATCTTGTTTAATCTCTTTGGAATTCTGTACCTAATAAAAAAGGAGAAAAATGGGATTTAGCCTTTGTTAGGTATACACCATAGGTCAGATGCTGTGCAAGATGCTTTACAAAGGTTTTTCTCACCTAATCCTCAGCACCATTTGGTGTATAATTATCTGTACCTTAAATATGAAAACTGCAGCTCCAAGATGTGAAGTAATGTAGCCAAGTCACGTGTCTAACACGTGGTAAAACTAAAGTTCCCAACCTAAATTTTCTTCCCCAGGCTTGGTGCCTGAAGACTGCACTCTACTTTCTTTTCAAACTTATGAAATGCAGGGCGATTTCCAGGCCAAAAGACAGCCCAAACTTAAAATGTGACGATTGAAGAAAGTGGAGGAAAATGAAGCAAAGCCACATTGATATAGGAAGAAATCTGGAGTCCAGAAAGTGGATCATATGGTAATGGATATTTTACAAAAATAAAACAACAGTAAAAACAACTAGACAACTACTACATCTCATGTCTTATGGTGCCTTAGAACTTGCAAAACTTTCACATTTATTAACTCATTCATGACAATAAGACTGGGCACTGTGCTATTAATTTTCTTTTACAAATAAGAAAATAGGCTTAGAACGGTCAAATCATTTAATTTAACCCAGATCTCTTTACCCTCTAGTTTTACGATGAAATTTGAACACAAATTTGCCCAATTGTCCCTCTATTCCGCCAAAAATCTTACTGCTGTCCTCTGGCTTCAAAAGGGTAAGGGAAAGGGGGAGACTCAGTTCCTGCTGAGGGCACCTCATAGGGCATCACTTTCTAAGAATGTGTTTGCCCCATGTGCTTAGCAATCACATTTTCACTTTATAAAAGTTAGCTCTGAGAGCTCTCCTTCTAGACAGCGACACTCTCAAGAAATCCTGTTCAGATGTGCATTGGGCTAATGAGAAAAGATATAAGCAGTTTTAGCTGTAGAAGAATTAGACCTTGAATAAATGCCTTTGATTTTTTGAAAGTGCCCTCTCCCTTCTAGACAGTTGCGCTTTCAGACGTGCATAAGACTAAAATAAAAGCTATAGATACCTTAAGCCAGGGAAGAATTAGGAGGTGATAAATGCCTGCCCCTTGCCTTACGTGACTGAATGAGCCCATGTACATAAGAGCTTAATTCTTGGAGAGACAGTTGGCTTGATTCTGTTCTCTAATCCCAATGGATGTCCTTACTTCCAACCCTCTGTTTTGCAAATCCGTGTCATTGTTCACACTGGCAACCAGTATGAAAGGTAGATCATGAGCATCCCTCTGCCCAAAGCCCTGCAGTGCTCTTCATGTCTTTGCTCAAATTATGCAACCTCCCTCCGATAACATATACAAAACTGTGCTGGCTGGGCATGGTGGTTCACGCCTGTAATCCCAACACTTTGCGAGGCCGAGGCAGGTGGATCACTTGAGGTCAGGAGTTCGAGACGAGCCTAATCCAACATGGTGAAACCTCGTCTCTACTAAAAATACAAAAATTAACTGTGCATGGTGGTGGGTGCCTGTACTCCCAGCTACTCAGGAGGCTGAGGCAGGAGAATTGCTTGAACCTGGGAAGCAGAGGTTGTAGTGATCTGAGATCGTGCCACTGCACTCCAGCCTGGGTGACAGAGTGAGATTCTGTCTTAAAAAAAAAAAAAAAAAACTGTGCTGTATGTTCATATGGGCTCCTCAAACATATACAGAAGTATTTTTCTCCACCTTGTTCTGCTCTGCTCTTTCATGTTCATATTGCACTTATCACCTTCTAACAATTTCCTTATTTACTACACACATTGTTTATTTTGTCTCCATCCAACTGTCCCCCACCCCACCCACCCACTCAGTGCCTAGAACTGTACCTGGTACAGGGTAGGCACTACATAAATATTATCAAATGCGTGAATGAATAAATACCCTGAATGGTTGCATCAAACAAGGCATCAGGATACTTTCTGGCAGCAAAAGAGGGTGCATACAACTACAAAACCACACACTTGAAAGTGGCAAAGTTACATTTCCTTTGGAAATAGTCTATACTCCAAATCTGCTTCAAAACATGGCAATTATGAATGCAGGCTTTTTAGTCTGACCAACCTGAATTTGAATTGCATGTACCTGTAACATCTTTAAACTTCAACTTCCTCTTATGTAAAATGGGGTTTTAATGATGGTATCTACTTGTAGGGCTATTATGATAATTAAATGAGATTCAGTATGTTAAGCACTTAGTACAGGGCTTAACACATGGAAAGCTCTCAACGGGTAACCAATTATTATTATTAATACTAATGAAATTTTAATATATAGATACATGGGTGTGCCTACATCTATTATTATATAGGTAGTTTTGTGTACTCACTAAAAAGGCATTATTCTGTAATTCTTATTGCAGTAATTCAGTTTTCATGTCTCATAAAAATTGGGCCTTGTTATGGATAAAATAGTAAAGAGACATTACTGTGACTTCCTGTAATACACTCCTCTGCACAAACCCAGTTTAACAATTCACTTTTTGGCCTAGATGGCTGTTTTCTCTCTAAGCTTTTACTGTGTTTTTATTTTTTCACCCATATGTCCATTCATAGATAGATGTGTCTCTCTACAAGTAGCCAGCTGTGTTCCACCCAGCCAGCTGTGAAGAAAGATCAGGAGCTATTTAAACGCAATTCTTGTTTTACCTCTAATTTGAGTTAGGAGGGAAAAAATCAAAAGAATGAACATTCTCAGTAACAAACTTATAGAACATGAACCTTTGAAAAATAAAAAATAAAAAATCTCACTTACATGTATTTATTTCATTTAGCTCAAACAGAAATAATATGGCATGTGGATTCTTACCTGCCCCCTTCAAATTAGCCAATCTCAAAATCCAAAATGGCTTTCTGAATTATATCTGGGTCTCTCCAGGTATTTTCTGGAATAATATTGCTTTATATGTAGGAAAGGTATGCAAATATTCAGTGTCTACTTTGGATTTTAAACTAATTTTACACTTTTCTCAGGTAAAAAAAAAAAAGGCATAGCGCAAAAGTTATTTTAGATGTGGAGTTGTGCAAACCCTTCAACACATTCCCAAAGGTGCCAGTCTTGTCCTTGTAACCAGTTTCAGAGCATTTTAGGTGTTCAGCATAATTTGCACCCTGATTGCAGTACTTTCACTGAGGCCGAGCTTCTTTTCTTTATTATTTTTTTCCTTACCTTGAAACTAGTTTGCCATTTCAAAGTAAAAAGGAACTACTGCCAAAATATGATGGTGTTTTATCCTCTACTTAAATTATAACCTTCTTTCAAATATTTACTCCATTTTATGGGTCCCGGTTTGATCATGGATGGAGGCAAGTGCATCCTTAAAGAAATAAAAGTTGAGTCTGCATTTTCTAGAGAACTTTTAAAACTTCACATTTGAGCACAGTGTTTCTTCCTGACATTAATTGGGCAGCAAATTAACTTTTCCTTCCCTTTCTGTTTTGTTTTCTGCTTCCAGTGACAGTGGTGCTGTTTGCAGCTCTGAGGCGGCAGCGAAAAAAAGAGCCTTTGATCATTTCCAAAGAGGACATCAGAGATAACATTGTCAGTTACAACGACGAAGGTGGTGGAGAGGAGGACACCCAGGCTTTTGATATCGGCACCCTGAGGAATCCTGAAGCCATAGAGGACAACAAATTACGAAGGGACATTGTGCCCGAAGCCCTTTTCCTACCCCGACGGACTCCAACAGCTCGCGACAACACCGATGTCAGAGATTTCATTAACCAAAGGTTAAAGGAAAATGACACGGACCCCACTGCCCCGCCATACGACTCCTTGGCCACTTACGCCTATGAAGGCACTGGCTCCGTGGCGGATTCCCTGAGCTCGCTGGAGTCAGTGACCACGGATGCAGATCAAGACTATGATTACCTTAGTGACTGGGGACCTCGATTCAAAAAGCTTGCAGATATGTATGGAGGAGTGGACAGTGACAAAGACTCCTAATCTGTTGCCTTTTTCATTTTCCAATACGACACTGAAATATGTGAAGTGGCTATTTCTTTATATTTATCCACTACTCCGTGAAGGCTTCTCTGTTCTACCCGTTCCAAAAGCCAATGGCTGCAGTCCGTGTGGATCCAATGTTAGAGACTTTTTTCTAGTACACTTTTATGAGCTTCCAAGGGGCAAATTTTTATTTTTTAGTGCATCCAGTTAACCAAGTCAGCCCAACAGGCAGGTGCCGGAGGGGAGGACAGGGAACAGTATTTCCACTTGTTCTCAGGGCAGCGTGCCCGCTTCCGCTGTCCTGGTGTTTTACTACACTCCATGTCAGGTCAGCCAACTGCCCTAACTGTACATTTCACAGGCTAATGGGATAAAGGACTGTGCTTTAAAGATAAAAATATCATCATAGTAAAAGAAATGAGGGCATATCGGCTCACAAAGAGATAAACTACATAGGGGTGTTTATTTGTGTCACAAAGAATTTAAAATAACACTTGCCCATGCTATTTGTTCTTCAAGAACTTTCTCTGCCATCAACTACTATTCAAAACCTCAAATCCACCCATATGTTAAAATTCTCATTACTCTTAAGGAATAGAAGCAAATTAAACGGTAACATCCAAAAGCAACCACAAACCTAGTACGACTTCATTCCTTCCACTAACTCATAGTTTGTTATATCCTAGACTAGACATGCGAAAGTTTGCCTTTGTACCATATAAAGGGGGAGGGAAATAGCTAATAATGTTAACCAAGGAAATATATTTTACCATACATTTAAAGTTTTGGCCACCACATGTATCACGGGTCACTTGAAATTCTTTCAGCTATCAGTAGGCTAATGTCAAAATTGTTTAAAAATTCTTGAAAGAATTTTCCTGAGACAAATTTTAACTTCTTGTCTATAGTTGTCAGTATTATTCTACTATACTGTACATGAAAGTAGCAGTGTGAAGTACAATAATTCATATTCTTCATATCCTTCTTACACGACTAAGTTGAATTAGTAAAGTTAGATTAAATAAAACTTAAATCTCACTCTAGGAGTTCAGTGGAGAGGTTAGAGCCAGCCACACTTGAACCTAATACCCTGCCCTTGACATCTGGAAACCTCTACATATTTATATAACGTGATACATTTGGATAAACAACATTGAGATTATGATGAAAACCTACATATTCCATGTTTGGAAGACCCTTGGAAGAGGAAAATTGGATTCCCTTAAACAAAAGTGTTTAAGATTGTAATTAAAATGATAGTTGATTTTCAAAAGCATTAATTTTTTTTCATTGTTTTTAACTTTGCTTTCATGACCATCCTGCCATCCTTGACTTTGAACTAATGATAAAGTAATGATCTCAAACTATGACAGAAAAGTAATGTAAAATCCATCCAATCTATTATTTCTCTAATTATGCAATTAGCCTCATAGTTATTATCCAGAGGACCCAACTGAACTGAACTAATCCTTCTGGCAGATTCAAATCGTTTATTTCACACGCTGTTCTAATGGCACTTATCATTAGAATCTTACCTTGTGCAGTCATCAGAAATTCCAGCGTACTATAATGAAAACATCCTTGTTTTGAAAACCTAAAAGACAGGCTCTGTATATATATATACTTAAGAATATGCTGACTTCACTTATTAGTCTTAGGGATTTATTTTCAATTAATATTAATTTTCTACAAATAATTTTAGTGTCATTTCCATTTGGGGATATTGTCATATCAGCACATATTTTCTGTTTGGAAACACACTGTTGTTTAGTTAAGTTTTAAATAGGTGTATTACCCAAGAAGTAAAGATGGAAACGTTAAAAGAAGAGAAATGTAGTATTTTGGGTTACCTGATTAGAGTGAAAATTTTTTACAATCATATTATTCCTTGTGTCTTCTGAATGGTTTCCGATTTTATAATGGACTGCCCTATATAGTAACAAGTATTTCATGCTTGAGCTATTTCCTGCTTTCAGGGTTTCTTTTTTCTAGTTCTTCATACACACACATACACACACACACACACACACACACACACACACACGAATGCAAACAAAAGGCTATATGAGGTCTTCACTCTAATGAATTGATATGTATCATAGTCACAGGTAAGTGTTGAAAAAAGCTTAGTAAAGTTAGAAGCTACTTACTCATAGCAATAGAACAGCACCTTAATCACACGATTTACTGTAAAATTAAAGAGGTCTCTATCTGTATGTTTCATGTCACGTAACAAATTGAATCAAGGAAGATAGTCCTGTAAAAAGAAAGGTATCATCTGAAGTTGAGGATTGACACTAGCAGTTTCCAATGTTTAAAGGTAAGATCTGAGTTCTCCTAATAAGTAAAAGTAAGTAGTTCTATAGCAGAATATCTGAGATGTAATTGGCAAGGTATTTTATCCCTCCCTGCAGATGACACAGCATACCAAGAACAGGTTAATATGATTACTTATGGAAATAACTTTAATCTCTTATCATAAAAGCTGATGATGAAGTAAATTTATAGGAAATTGGATAATTTGAGACTGGGGCTAAATATTTAGTACCAGGGTACTGTAAGTATCAAGTTGGAGTGACGTTTTCCTATAATTCAGACTCTTTGACATCGTGGAACCAATAAGAGTCATAGTTCCATCATTCTCCAGCTTCGTCTCACTTCCTTCCCACCCCACCTGAGTATCAGGTCAAACATCATTGCATGCGCAGGTTTTTTTTTTAATTGCTAGGTCCCAGGCAACATGAAAGATTATTGGAGAAAAAAATAATTTTCAGCCCAGTTTTTTCATTGTCTGTTTCCTAATTTTAGATGTTGGTGATGGGAAAGATGGAAGGAGAGTGGGAAGAAGTAAAATTTTAATATTTGTTTCAATCACTTTGAAACTAAAATTCATTAAGCATAACCAGATTGCTTTTGTGGGTTGTTTCAAGGACATTGAGAGCTTTCTGATGATATGTTTTTGCCCTCTATTCAAAAGCAAGAGTTCCTTTAAACTACTAAGATATTCCCTAGAATAAGCTGAATTTAAAAAAACATTAAGCCATTGTTTAAAGCCCCTTCACTTCCTGGCCACTTACTTCTGAAAGGCCTAAAAAACATTTGTGCCCAAATAAGTAAATAAACCAAATGGGAAAGAAGCAAAGATTATTCCATAGAACCACAAGAGAGGGAATGTGGGCACAGTAAATAGATGTTTCTTTCAGAACTTTCCTGCCTTTACAGTTTGTGTCCATAAAGGGATGTTCAGCAATGAAATTACTCCCTTTTCAGATGGAACAAAACCTGCCCATTTAATTTTAACGCAGTATAAAAAACGTGTGGTTTAGTTTTTATTTTCAGCTCCCAAAGAGTTGTGCAGAAAATCTTAAAATTTTTTTTTTTTTTTTTTTTTTTTTTTTGAGACAGAATCTCGCTCTGTCGCCCAGGCTGGAATGCAGTGGCGCGATCTCTGCTCACTACAAGCTCCGCCTCCCGGGTTCACGCCATTCTCCTGCCTCAGCGCCCCCAGTAGCTGGGACTACAGGCACACACCACCACGCCCGGCTAATTTTTGTTGTATTTTTTAGTGGAGACAGGGTTTCACCATGTTAGCCAGGATGATCTCCATCTCCTGACCTCGTGGTCCGCCCGCCTCGGCCTCCCAAAGTGCTGGGATTACAGGCGTGAGCCACCGCGCCCGGCCTTAAAAATTGAATCTGTAGCTTAGGCCATCCAAATTTTATAAATCCAAATTAACTTTAGAATGTTTCTATTACTTTCACTTTTACATATATAAATTTTAAGTGTCCTGATTGGCTGAACAATATCTCACATCAAATGCTTTGCCTGGAAATAGATATCCCACTGGGGATAGTGGTGTGTAAACTATGACTTGGACAATTCTATATACTCAAGCACCATAAAAAGTATGCAGTTGAAAAGAAAATCAAAGTTGATTCCTGGGTGCCAACTAAATATTCAAATCAGGTACTCATCCTTATCAGCTAAATTCATTTTCACCAGGAACAGACCACCAAATAAATTATTTTATCCTAATAACTAGTTTTGAAGCAGTGTAATTACTCTGGAAGAAGGCTCTAAAAAGTCATGATTCCCCCACTATTTTGAAATGTATCCTCTAACAAGGATCATTATAGTGTAATCTTAATTTTTATGTTTTATCAAGATGAAATCTTGTTTGAATTGTGATATTATAAAAGGGGACTCAAAAATCCAAGCAGTCTACTGTGTTTAAATTAACACCACAACCTTCCTTATCAGATTATAAGAGTAGAAAAATTAACACTTGGTGTGTGAATCTTCAGGAAAATGAGCTATTTCATAAGCTCAAACAAGCAGCTTCCTTTTCCAGAGAATATAGAATTATATTATGGTCTCCTTAAATGTTTAGTAGCTCTTATGGTCACAGCATTTTTAATCTCCCTATGGCATCTTTATGGAATAATTTTCTAAAGGGTAATTCTCTACTAAAAATATCAGACCCCGACCATATTTAATGTGGAGAGCAATACCCTCTTAGAAAGAAAATACATTGACTCATACACTTGTTAAAAGTTAATAAAGAAATAGCTCATTTTTAAAGCCGGAAGTTTATGGTCTCTGCATCGTCAATTTAATTTAAGCATTGCTGAGACAATCTTTAATCTACTCCCCTTTTTGTAATACCTTATTTATGGTGCATTTTCATTTTTATTTGGGGGAAACGTTAGCCCAACAGAGCCGGCAGATGAAAGTGTTGAAAAGAGGTCAAATGGAAACAAAGGCTCTTACCCGCTGTATTTCAGACAGGACTGAGGCACTTAGCCGAGGAGCCACTGGGTTATTAGATTAATTTCAAAAGAGCTTTTACAAGTTGCTTAATTCCTTTTTTTTTTTTTTTTTTTTTCAAAAACCCATGAACCACAAACTCAAATTTCTCCTCAAATGGGGTTAATCTGACAAACGAGGCATGGACCCAGCCTTGTGGAAAAAGCATTCCACGCTAATGAGATCTTGGTCTTTCTTGTGAGGCTACGTTATTTATGTAAATATGTCTGGAGGCACCTTCTCTAAGCTTTTAGTTTTCTATGATCTATTAGTTTAGTGTTTATTAAAGAATCAAATGTATAGAATTACCAGGCATTCGTGGGGAATGCTGTGTAGCAAATGTAAAACTGACCTGCTCGGAAGAAACGTAGGAACGCTTCAAACCCACTGTAATGTTTGGTTTGAGATTATTTTCATTGCTTTGAGAGTGAACTGCCTAAGAGTAGGCCTTATAATAAATGCTATGTGCGTCTTCAGTAGTTCCAAGCTAAAGCAATTTGGCATTCTCCCACTGTGATTTGTGACTTTTAAACCCACAAAATAAAAGCTTTTTGGTATTGATTGTTTTTAATTAAAAATACTTCCAAGTATAAATTGAAACGGATGCCACCCTTGAAGATTTACTGGCGGGAATGCTCACTCTTGTCGTTTTCCTCAGTATCGTTCATGTCTTTGGCAACAAGAACACCTGATGAAAGCAAGCAATGCTCAGTTCCCATCAACATTTCTAGTTAGGGGGATTCTCATAACCCCACAGTTTACCTGAGAAAGTTTTCTGTGTTAGAAGAATGGGGTCGAGAGTATTACCTTTTAGCTCAGTGTGGCCGGGCCTTTTGTTGCAGTCAAATGGCAAATACGCACTCCTTGAAATGGCTTCTTTTATTTGGTTTTGTTTTCTTAGACTTATAAATTTGAAAAGAATGCAATTTAAAAAGTGATTTCTCACAAAGAGTAAATATGCCTTTTGCAAATCAATTTTTGTAACAAGTTATTTATATGATATTACTTAATAAACTGGTTTTTTTCTAACTTGCTTTTTTTTCAATTCTCTCAAACTATTGTTTGTAATCACAGATTTTTTAAATATACATGCTGACATACTTTATCTTTCTGAACCTGCTGTTTTAACCTCTCAGAGAGCTAACAAAAGCTGACTTGTTGTACAATAATTAGCTTGTAAACAATAGTTTTTCCCAGCCAGCAATATATATCATTGGCACTGCCCTGCAGATTTCTTACTGCTGGGACATCAATAATTCTACTATTATTTATGGAATTGCTTTATTGAGAAGAAAGCTGTTTATTTTCATGGGAATTGCTTTAGATTTTAAAAAAAAAAAAAAAAAAAGGACAGTTCTATATTTTTGCCCCTCCCAAATCTCCATCCATTATTTCACTCCCATAAAAACAATTGTCCATGGGTCTCTGAATTAAAAAAAAAAAAAAAAAAAAAGATAAAACAGCAGTCAGATCTGAGGAACATAAAAATAAAACCCTTCCAGCATTCTGATACTATGAGTAAATAAAATGTTTTTAGCATATTTAGAGCTGTAATATTTTACATGCATGTTCTTTTTTAAGCTGCCTTCTATTTCTACAGGGGCCATTTCATAATTTTTTTTAACTGTGAGAATTCATAGCTTTGCAAAGAAGATTTTCATTTATTCATTTGTTCCATATGTATTAGGCGCTCCACTGTGTGCCGCCAAATATTTGACAGTAAGTCAAATTGGTGTACTTTGCTTCCTCTCCAGAAGCTCATGGTATGGGGGGAAGAAATGAGATAAGCTCATCACCACAGTACACACTAGAAGGTGCTGTGGAGACATCTCATGAGAGATACTGATGAAAGTGTCCTTAGCAGGGAGAAACTGTTTCTGCCCAGGTAGAGGAGTGTGGGGCAGGCTTAGGAATCAGTAGGATTGAGATAAAGTGAGATTAGAAATCAAAAAGAATAGCAGGGGAAAGAGAAAAGAGATTTCAAGCTATGTCACTGGTCTCCGCTGAGGTCCTTGAAAGAGACTAGTCTTGGAAAAATCACATGACATCAGAACACAAGGATCACGAATGCCAAAGAAGATGACATTTGTTGTTTTGCTTTTGTTTTTGTTTTTGTTTTTGTTTTGCCATTTAAAGTTAACTTGGTCAGAAACAGAAACCCACAGAAGGGAATGATGCAATTAGAAATATACTTTTTGAAGAACATGTACATTGTCCAGTAGTATGCACAGTGCTCTACAGCCAAGTCCCTCCCCACACCACCCCACCCTGGCCCCAACTCTGCAACACCACCAGGGTTATGGTACCCCTGAGGCAATGACAGAACAAATAAAGTCTGTAGGATTCTAGAAAACTTCCCTTACCTAATGGTAAGGTAGGCAGGGAGTGCAATGTGAGGTCTCAGACCTGCAAACATTTAGATAGAGTAAGCTTTTTCCCATCACCTGAACAAACCACTTCCCATAATAATTATATATTAGGGTAATTAACCTGGCGGCGGCAGCAGACAAAATCCAACATCTCCATAAAGTGTGTTCCTCACTATTGCAAAGTTCAGGGTGTTTGTAGATCTTTCTTCCCCGGTAGCAATGCCATCTGGAACACACTGCCTGCAAGGTGACCCTGACAAGGAGAATTCAGTCACATGGCCCCAAACTAACTAGGAAGAGGCAGGGAAATGTAAACAAGCACATGTGTATCCACTGAGCGCTAAGAGCTTCTGCCACATACAGCCTCAGTCCCTGTCAATCTTGCAATATCTTTCCCAAATTCCCCCGTTTCAGTCACCATAATAAACTACATTCCGTAATAATCATGAAGGTGTTATTAATGGAGAAGGTAGGAAGTTGTTCACAAATTCAACCTTCAAGTTAAAAACCATTTTAAGAGGTGTTTGTCCACCATGCCTGACTCCGATGCCCATGGCAGACATTGCCAATCAATTGACATTTTTTCATGGATCACCTAGATATAACCCTAGAATCCCTAAAGGGAAGGCCCCAAGCAGCCACCAGTGGCAGCGTAATGTGACCTATGTGCCATCCCAACCCTAAGAGATGAAGTTTTCCAGTAAAAAAACTTGTTTTCTTTCATTCTAAGTTTTGTTGACCACTCACCACCAACATTTGCAAAGACCGTTCTGGTCTTGTGATTGCCAAAAGTTTGGAATAATGAAGAAGCTGAAAAGCCTTGGCATATATCTTGATAATAAATCTGAACCATGAAGTAAGTATCTCTTTGCATAATTCAGACATTAATTTCAGCTTGGTTGAGACATCTCCCATTAGCGATACTCCTGAACTTTTACATTCATTCTACCAAAAATCATTTGAGAACCTATTCTGAGCCAGGCACAGATCAAGGTGATAGGGATTCAGGGTTAAACAGGACACACACCCTGTTTTGTGCACACTCTTCCATCAAAGACTGCCATGGTTTAATATCCTGTCATTAATCTTAATTCGCCTGACTAAACATTTTTTACTGAATTACATCCTGATTTTTTAGAGCACCTTTCTAGGTTTCATTTTCCTGAATTCAATACTTTTCCAAATATGTTATGAATAGATACAGCTCTTTAAAAGAAGTAGATTGTCTCCTACCTCTCTCTACAATATACTTATTCCTTTTTTAAAATGTCTTCCTTGACATATTAGATCATCTTATTGCTTCCTGAGCCATTTGGTCCGCAAACCTTAACTTTTTAACGGCGAATAATGTCATGTTTGCACGTTGGTTTTTTAAAAAGCCTCCTTAGAGTCAGTAAAGGATAGGTTTTATTAAAGCTTTTCACTTTGCTTAGCTGCCTGATAATAATGCCTTACTTTTATACAGCACTTTAGAATAACTATATCTATATTACTTAATATAACTCTCACGAAAGCTCTGTACAATAGGTTCTAACATTCACAAAGAAAGTGGGGTCATTTGCCTTTAAGTCCCCATCACAGGAATTCGAATTAAACTCACTTCTTTTAACTCAGACTCTGCGATCTGCCATCGAGCCCCACATTTTTCCCTTTGAATGCATAGTCCAATCCTACCCATTTATGAGAATATTTATTGGGAGAAAAAAGGATACTTTTTTTCCTTTATACAGATTCAGATGATGTCAGACACTGCTGATGGCTGCAGCCTCAAAGATATTCCTCTCCGTAAGATCAGTCCAAAGCCTCTCTGAAGAAAAAAAAAGAACCCGAAGAGCAAAATTCTGCTATTAACCCCAATTACCTAGCTGATTCCTATTATAAAAACAGAGCAGTATTCCTAAGGAAAAATATCCCCAAGACACATAAAATTCCACCTAAGACTACAAAAGCTCTAATTGCTTTTATAAGAATAAGCTTGACACTGTTGAACTGCAAATATCAGATTGTAATGAGCCCTCTGAAGGGTGGGAGTGCTCTTTGAAAGGTGAGGTAAAAGGAGAGGAATTAGGACTCGCTGTATCTTCTTAGGTGATTTAGACTCTGACTGAAGGAGTAGTTGTAGGGGAGGAAGGGAGTCTTGCTGTGTCCCTGAGCAGCTATGGAATCCACTTCTGCCCCCCCAGAAATCCCCAGAAAACCCAACTGCTCAGTTAGGTGGGTGTCCGCGTGGCAGAAAAGCAGCCACAAATCTTTGTTCCCAAACTAGAAGACACATACTTGCCTAATTTTTCTGGAACTGAACTTAATTTCTGTGTTAAACCCTGGTTCCTCTGAGGAGCAGAAACTCAACTTGAGTCATACAGGGTTTCTTTCCACAGTCATCACTGATATTACAGGTAAGTTCTAAGGGACTAAGGTGATGTCAGGGGTTGAAACTTGGAGGAAGAAGAGACATAGTCAAAGCTTAGAGCTAATCTGCTAAGAGAGCTAGAAGGAGGAGATGGATTCCAGAAAAAACATGGTAATTCTCTATCTTAACCCTCCCTGTCTGTCCTCTCACCCGTCACAAAATGAGAAGACAAGTTTATTGATCAGAAATTTGTTTATGTTATTGCCATTTTTTTCTTATTCTCAGAAGGTCAGGATCAAAAGCTTAAGAAAGATACCTGATTCTTTCCTGACTTATGGTTTTGGCAGAGATTCAGAAAGAGCTGACAGTTATCTCAGAATGCCACTATTTCCAATTTAATGCTAATTTATGACAATGTTTTCTTATGTTTTACTATCTCAAGCATTATTAAATGTATTCAGTTATAGTATTAAAATATATTAAGTAGTATATTAAGGATTGAGCCCATTTTCACCAATTTTTGAACATCTCTTATGCGATAAGTACTTTACCATCTACTTTAAGTGAAAAATATATTCTGTCTTTATCATAAATCAAGAAGAAAATGACAAACTATTTTTTATTTATGAATACATTTATGTAAAAATCCTGCAAAGTTGCAAAAGTTAAATCGCAATTAAATATGTATTTAGTAAGTAATTTATACTGAAAACAATAAATGTGTTAAATCCAGATTGTTCAGCTCCCTTTTGGTCTGATATGGTTTGACTGTGTCTACGCCCCAATCTCATCTTGAATTGTAGTTTCCATATTCCCCACATGTGGTGGGAGGGACCTGGTGGGAGGTAATTGAATCATGTGGGCAGTTACCTCCATGCTGTTCTCATGATAGTGAGTTCTCACAAGATCTGATGGTTTTATAAGGAGGTTTTCCCCCCACCTTCACTCTGCACTTCTCCTTGCTGCCACCATGTAAGGAAGGATATGTTTGCTTCCCCTTCCACCATAATTATAAGTTTCCTGAGGCCTCCCCAGCCATGGTGAACTGTGAATCATTTAAACCTCTTTCCTTTATAAATTACCCAGCTCTGATATGTCTTTATTGGCAGCATGAGAACAGGGTCCAAAGCATTTACCTTAAAAGAGTTCGGCAAAATAAAATTATACAAATGATAGCTATCAAGTGAGAAAAGGTTGAGGGACAGATTGGTTTGGGCATTAGACCTGAGCTGGGCCTCCAAAGAGCACGAGAACCTATAGCAAAATCACCAGAATGCTCTCTAAAGTGCAAATTCCCCAGTCCAACTCCAGAAATAATCAGGGCTGTTTTATGCACTCCACAGGCCTTAGGCATTCCTAAGGGATGAGGAGGGAAGTTCTAATATTTTTAATATGTTAATATTTTATACTGTTTTTAAATTGTATTTATTTATTCATTTAAATATTTAATATTTTAATATCTGCATATACTTTACAACTTACCCGTACCTGTTGGATGCAAAGCATGGGCTTGTCTTGTAAATAATAAAGGGATTAAAACAGGTGCCCTTTCTGGAAAAGGTTGCAAGTTTCTAATTAAAATACCAGGAGTAGTTCACACACATTTATTTAAAACCTCAGATGAAGCTTCCCACAACCCCACATGTTTTTTCAGAACTTTTCTGGCTACTTTCCCTGCATATATCAGTCAATAAGTAGATTGAAATCCCTCTAGAATTGATTCACCAGTCTTCCTAAGCATTTGCTTCTATTTTTCTCTTTTTAGAGTCAGCTGTTATTCTATGAGCCTCGGCTGGGGAACTCCTCTCTCACAGGGCCCAATCAGAATTCCACTTCAATTAGCTTAATTGGAGGAAGACGCAACCACATTTTCAATTAAAGTTCTAAACAGGCTATTAGAACAGACTATTTTTGTCTTCCAGATTAAGCTCTCCTAATAGTCATTTTTTAAAAGGTACAAATCTTAAAGGAGAAAAAGTGGTCACAATTAGATCAATTACTGCTAGTAATCATTTCTCCTAGTAACATTGGGTCTTTTCACTTAGGTAATTTGGAAGTAAGACACTTACTCATTTTTTATTAACTTTAATTTTATTAAATTAATATATTGTTTAAAATGCCAAATAGTTCTTCAAAGCTTATGGCAAAAACTTTCCACTCCACTTCCAACTTGTTACCCACAGATACCCAGTTTGACTCTTCAAGATAGCGCTTCTATTATTGACATCCGTGTTTCTAAATAACAGGAATCATCAGAAGCTACCATTTTCGTAGGCGAAAGGGGGTTAATATCAACAATTTTAGATGGTTCAACTTAACACTACTAGTTCTGGGGTTTATAGTTTTGACTATTGTCTACTGACTTCTCACTATGGAGAGTAAGGATTTAGACTACCTACAATATTCCCAACACCCCTCCCCACCACTGCCCACCTCTCTCTCTCTAAAATACACACACACAAACACACACACACACACACTCACTCACTCTTCCCTCATCATTCCAATATAGTTATAGCACAATTGGTAGTTCAACATTGAAAGTTTCTATTATGACTCCTATGTAAATATTGTTCACAGTTGAGCCTTATACTGCACTATAATTTCACTTTCTTCCTTGTTCCACTTAATTTTTTCCTGAAATTAACTGCCTCTTTTTTTAATTGCTTACTTTTCTATAAACCTGTCATAATTCAGACATAAACCTCCTGACATGATCCTTAAATCCCTCTCAACCATGTAAGGGAATCTCAGCTTGGTTTTTATAATTGTTTTTGTTTGCAATAACACTCTCCATCTCTTTGAAGTCATAAAAATGTTTTAATGTTTTTGTCTGCCCCCTGCTGCTTATCTGTTTTGTTTTATTGGGTTGGTTTTTTGTTGTGGTTGTTTCCTGAGTTTCTTTTCTGTTTGCTTTGGTCTTTGTATTCTAGATAAGAAGTCTTCCTCAACTGTCTGGTGATCTTTAGCTGTCTTTTCATAGTTAATAGTGAGGTACCAAAAAGCTAATTAAAAGCTCTATATGTCAGCTGGCAGGCCTCACAATAGAGTGATCAAAGGAAACCGATGGTTTCATTGGGACACCCAATTGCCAGCATTTGTAAATCTTTCGTTTTGGATCCATTGGTTTCCCCTGAGAAGATTCCTTCAATCTCCTTTCTAAGAGTGTAATTCTGGCTACCAGAACTCAGAGAGCTTTGCAGGGGATCCCAATGTTCAAAACATAGATTTTCACTTAATCTACCTTTGGAGTGCAGCTCTTTCCCCTATTCACAAATGCCTGATGTTCCTGCATGTGGGTCCTCTTTTGATTCTGCTTTTCTGGAGAGTAAATCTCCTACCTTCTGCTGGGATGGGGAAAGAGTCGTCAATAAAGTCATCCAGCTGTGCAGGGTAGGGAAGAGGATCTGAGATCTAACTGCTCCTTATACAGATTTGTAGTCAATCTGTTTAAGCCGCACTCCACATCCTGGCAATCAGAGGCACTTGGCATCTCTGACTCCTGACCTTGTCTGAGTTTTGCATTATGAATCGACTTGCTTCTTATTGGATTCCCATTCCTGTGCTAGCAATTAGGCCTCAGTTTCTCCATTCTGCTAGGTAAGTTGCTATTCATTTATCCTTCTTTCATCGTTTAAACTTTTAGAGACATAAGAAGAGGCGAGTGCAGTAATTGAAACAAGAGGTGAGAATGGCCAGCACTAGCACAGTGGTAACAGCAATTTGAGTTTTACATTCATGGATTCACAAGAGATTTTAAATGAGTTTGTGGTTTGACTACATTGTGGACCATCCCTGCATGTTTCTGAAGTGAGCATTTATGTAGCTTGTGATGCTATTATACAGAGGGTCTAGGAAAAAGAAAATATTTGAGGGAAAGATAATGTGTTCAATTTGAGCATGCTAAGTTTGAGATATTTATGCGACATTCAAGAGAAGTCAAGCAGCAGCTGAATACATAGATTTGAAGTTTATGGTAACCAATTTGGAATGTAGATATAGCTTTGAGAATCAGCAACATAGGGATGATAATTTCAGGCAGAGGAGTGGATGAGATTGTGCAGGGAGAGTCCTTAGGGCAAGAAGGGAAGAGGGACAAGACAAAACCTACCAGAACACCCATATTTAAGGAATAGACAAAACCAAAAGAACTTGCTATGTAGACTGAGAAATATTTACTCAAGAATTAGAAGAAATGCAGGGAGACTTGGTATTTCCAACTTTAGAAAGAGTTATAATAAAGATGGAGAGTTAGCCCAGAGGTCAACTAAGCTAAGGACTGAAAAGTTTCCAGTGGACGTAAAGAAAGGAGGTAACTGAAGACCTTGGCTACAGCAATTGCAGTGGGAGATGACAGGACCTCAGCCAAGTTGCTATGGGTAAGGGTGAGAAGTCGGTGAGCTTTTCCAACTCTCTCTGGCAGTTAAGAAGCGGTGAAAGGAAGGGTGCTGGAGAAGTTGTAAGCTACACATCCTCTAAGATGATAGATTTGGAGTCAGGAAGTTTTGGTGTTCTGTGGAGAAGCAGGCATAGTTACCCCTATGGAGAAGAAAAGAGATGACTGAGAAAGAGAGGGCTTTCCAGATAGTATTAAGGACCAAGTTGGTGTTCAAGACCATGAATTTGCAGTAACCCTTACCTCTATCCTAATGTGATTAAGACTTGAATCATCTCCTTTTCTCCAAAAATGTGAAAGATGTAATGTGATATAAAACCATTCACCTTTCCATTAAACTTGTAAGCTACATAAAAAATGTAGGGAAATAGTAATAACATATTTTTATAGAACAATTCAGTGACATATTCGACAATGTTAAAAATTCAGTCTCTTGACAATCTAGTTCACAGTTTGGAAGATCATGTTTCTTCTCAGAAAAAGCCTATAAATGCTTCTCTTAGACAACTTATCTGATTATTCCTGCTTCCTTAGTTTCAAGTGTTCTTAGAGAATAAGTAGGTTGCAATATGTACAAAATCCACTCTTCTAATCATGAGATCCCAATGTTGCTCTGCATCGACCTTTTGATTTGAATCTATATTATTGTCTTAGGAAACAGAGGACCTCTTTAAGCAAGTCAGACTTATCTTCTTTCACTTGGAAATTTTTTTAAGCATCAGTTCTTGGGATCCTCTCTTCACAGTCAAATTTGCCTAGGTCTACATTCTCCATACAAGAGTGTCCTTAAAATTGTCCTTGGTCGGGCCGGGCGTGGTGGCTCACGACTGTAATCCCAGCACTTTGGGAGGCTGAGGCGGGCGGATCACAAGGTCAGGAGATCGAGACCATCCTGGCTAACATGGTGAAACCCCGTCTCTACTTAAAAAAAAAAAAAAAAAAAAAAAAAATTAAAAAAATTATCCCTGGTTATCAGTGAGTAATATATATGTCTTTTGGGGAACTAAGTTGTTAAAGGGATGCCTAGTGTCATGTTATTACTGTATATAAGGAACAGCTTTCATCACCATTTACAATAATCAGGCTCCTTTATTTCTTCTTTGTTGGTAAAGCCTTCTAAGAAATGATACATATATGGTCAATATGATACCGCATACATCTTTGTTATCCATCAATGTATCTGCTATGTTACATGCACAGTAGGCTTCCAATGAATATTTATTGAATACCTGAATAAGCGAATTTTTCTATTTGAAGAATACTCTTTAATAACTATTCTTCAAGAATGTCAAGCTGTGTCTAAAAGTAATCAAGTGTGACAATTGTAATATTTCCCTAAGCTTTTATACCTTAAATTTTGCATGCTTTCACATTCACTTTCAGGTAGCAAGTGCATTGAGCATCTTTTTCATGTTTGCAATGATTCCACATATTACAGATTCTCAGTGTCGAGCGATCGCATGCATTGACCTTGAAATCCCCAGATACATTATTGGATAGTGACTCAGGAAAAGACATTAAATTTTTCTGTGTGTTGAATATTGCAGCTGGGCTTCTTAATCGGGAGAAAAAAGGTTGAGTACCTGGGGGACAAATGTTATATACACACTGAAAGACAGTGTTCATCTCTTTTGAATACATGACAATGGAGAGGACAGTGGTGCTGAGCAAACATAACGTCAAGGGATTAGTGTGGGCCATGAAAAGACACTGCACAATCAGTGCTGAGGGGGAAAGTCTCATCCAGAAGCTTTGGAAATATTGTTTAAATTTGTCAAAAGTTAGGTTAATTTTTTAAAGGATTTGGAATTAATTGCTTTCTGAATTTGTATCTCTTTGCAGAAAGAAAACATTGTGGGCCGGGCACGGTGGCTCACACTTGTAATCCCAGCACTTTGGGAGGTGGAGATGGCCGGGTTACCTGAGGTCAGGAATTTGAGACCAGTCTAGCCAACATGGTGATACCCCATCTCTACTAAAATACAAAAATTAGCCAGGTGTGGTGGCAGGTGCCTGTAATCCTAGCTACTCGGGAGGCTGAGGTACAAGAATCACTTGAACCTGGGAGGTGGAGGTTGAAGTGAACCGAGATTGTGCCACTGCACTCCAGCCTGGGTAACAGAGCAAGACTGTCTCAAAAAAAAAAAAAGAAAGAAAAAAAGAAAACATTGTTCCAAGCACGGCAGTGGCTCATGCCTGTAATCGCAGCACTTTGGGAGGCAGAGGAGGGAGGATCACTTGAGGCCAGGAGTCTGAGACCAGCCCAGGCAACACAGCTAGACCTCAGGATGATCTATTGTTGGGGTGAGGGTGTGACAAAGAGTGACAGTCGAGAATCAGCAGCTAAAAGTTCCCACCCAGAAAAAAAATTCTTTAATCACTGGTTTAGGTGAAAATAATGATTTTCCAAATGACAGCTAATGGAATGTAACACTTTTTACACATACAAACTATTTTGTTTTCAACTTACTCTCAACCTCCCAAACACCCCAGACATTTAATGTAGGGTTTGCTTTCAGTGCATTTTGGCACTAACTTCTCTTTGTTTCTGGATCCATTTATTCAATTGTTTCTGAAAGCATTTGTTGTGCACCTGCTCCATGTATCCTTCTTTGCAAAGCTCTGTCAGAGATAAAAAGAAAGCAGCGTTCTTGCTTATCCTAGAAGAGTTGTTAAATATTTTCATGCTGGGAATGGCTCAGCATTGCTCATTAAAAATGGCTGTATATACCCTCACCAGTGAGAAGAAGAAATTACTTGATTCCCCTACCTATTTTACCCATAATGAATGCTTTGCTAACTAGCCTGTTAGGTGGCTTGAGTTAATAAACCCCCAAGGAGAAATTAGTAGGCTACCTTTCCATTTATGGAATTGGATACATTGAATGATGCTTCTAAGTATTTCAAGGTATTTAACTTTGCATAATTTTGCATGGAGTGAGGAAAGAAAAACAGCTAAACAAAAAGTATTGCTTCCCATTTGTAGTAAAATTTTAAAAATTAGAATAGTCCAAATTGCTAGTGTTCTTCCTTTATCATATGAATTACCAATTCTTTCATATTATTAGAGGAAAATTACTTAAAAATTAAATTTTTAAGTATTCTATTGATACAAAAATAGTACTTGATGAAGCTAAAAGTATAATCTTTTGACATATCTTTTGATTATTAACTTCTTGTTTCTATATTTTCTATAGGAGAAACCTTTGTATTTTTAGATAATTTTCCAATTCAGAGGAAAACAATATACCCTAAGTGTATTGCTAGAGCAGTGGGTTTTGTTTGTTTCTGAGACAGGGTCTCGCTCTGCCACCCAGGCAAGAGTGCAGTGGCATGATCACAGCTCACTGCAGTCTCGACTTCCCAGGCTCAGGTGATTCTCCGGCTCTAGCCTCCCAAGTAGCTGGGACTAGAGGCGCACGCCACCACACATGGCTAATCTTTTATTTTTTTTGTAGAGACAGGGTCTCACTATGTTGCCCAGGCTGATCTCAAACTACTGAACTCAAGCGATCCTCCCACCGTGGCCTCCCAAAGTGCTGGGATTACAGGCATGAGCCACCATGTCCAGCCTTAGAGCAGGGTTTTTATTATAACTTTCATAGTGTTCATTTGATTAGAACACTAAATGATATTACTAACAAATCTGCATCAAATATTTTTCTCAAGTATCAAAATAACTGGTAATTAAGCAGCATACTTAACGAACAGAGTTCATCATCCTTTGAAAATGTAAAACCAAATATAATTAAATACACAATTAAAAGGACATAAACCCTACATTTTTTAATTTTGTTTAATGTTTGTTTGATTGCTTATTACAAGCAAAGTACTCACTAGAAATAGAAAAAAATTAATAAGACTTAAAAATGTTTATAAGCTGGTTGGAGAACCAAACAGGTAAACCAGTGAATACAATTCAGTGTTATTGTAGTCACCTGGTGAGGTATCTGTCAAGTCATGGTTCCCCAATAAATGACAATCCCACCCCAGCATGATTCGGTTCTTTTACCCATACCTCGTTAGACAAATGCGTTAGGTAGGTCAAGTTTGTTTCCCTTAATTACACCCAAACAAAAGTTGACTAAGAAAACGATGATGAGTAGTGGTTTGGGGTGCAAACAACAGGCAACAGGCAGATCCCAGAGCACCATGCTCCAACACCAATATGCTGGTAGCAGAGGGAAGTGCGTCCTGTCCTCCATCTCCAACATGCAAAAGCTGCTCTAGCTGAGTAGAAGTTGGTGACAGCAGATCAAGTCCAAAGCACCACAGGTGGGACAAAGTCCCTGCCTCACTAGCTACCAAAGAAGTGAAGGCTCCTCAAGGAGGCCACCCACTCCCCAGTGTTCCCTCTGTCTGGACTCAAACTAGCATTATGTGAACTGCATTGCTGCCTTTCCTGCCATTAGACTCCTGTTGGGTCAAACCTATAAACCTCAGCATCTCCACAAACTCAAATTTCAAAGAAAGGAGATAGAGGGGTAATTGGACCACCTTTCCCAGACAACTCTGTGTTTCCTATGCAAATTGCCCTATCTGCTTCAAAGCTGGTTATCCCCTAAGACAACGACAAAGACTGAGTTATACTTTGGGTCCTGGGCTGGACCCTGTCTGATACAAATCTGCACGACCCTGGTCTAAATCAAGGGTCTCTCTGTCTGTTGGGAAAGTGGTTGCCAGGGTCTCTGAGTAATGAAGGGGAAAGAAGCCCTAGGGTACTCAACTTTCTAAAAATGAAGGGGATTGTGAGGGAGAAGTGTCAGTGTCTCACCCATAAAACCCTTTTGAGAAGAGATGACATTCAAATTGAGTCTTCAGTTTGAATAGCAACATTTCAGATGGAGTTGGCAGAGTAGCCTTCCAAGCACAGAGTAGTGAAAAAAAAGTTTCATTGTAGTAAAGGCAAGTCATTTAGTGTGACTAGAGCCAATGATTAGTGTGACTAGAGCCAATGATTAGTGTGGAAACGTTGAGCTGGAAGCACAATGCCAGGGTGTTTGAATTTTCTTCCGCAGGCTGTAGGACGTCCTTGAAGGAGGTAGAGCAGAAAAGTGACATAATCAAATTAGGGATCTACAAAGTTTAAAACAAGAGCAATTTAGAGAATTAAAGTAAAGCTCTGAGTTAGAAGGCTGTTATAGTAATTTAATCAAAATGTAATGAGGGTTTCTAAATAAGACCATTCAGTGAGAATAAAAAATAGGGAAGGCATTTTGGAAGGATATATGCCAGAACTCATTGACTAACTGAGGGTGAGGAAGAGGGAGAAGAGAAGGCTAGGATGACCACTGGCTCTAGTGACTGTGAGAACAATGAGCAGGTGTGAAGAAAAAATATGTCCTATATCGGTTTGCCAAGGTGTTGTAATGTTCCCTGATTTCTTTCCATCCAAAATTCATCATCAGCTTTCTCTGTGGAGTATATTAAGCTAGTGAGTGATGTTTATGCATTAGTTTTCCATTGCTGTGTAAAAACTGCCATGGACTTAGTGACTTAAAACAATACCTGCTTATTAGCTCACATTTCTGTAGGTCAGAAGTCTGGCACATCATGCCTAGGTTCCTTGCTCAGGGTCCCACACTCATGGGATCAGCTGGGCAGGGCTCTTCTCTGGAGGTTTGGGGAAAGAATCTGCTTCAAAGTTCATTCAGATCTTTGTCAAAATCTTGCGCTGTGGGACTGAAGTTCCCATTTACATGCTGGCTGTCAGCCGAGGAGGAGTGTCAGCTTTCAGAGGCTACCTGCATTCCTGGGCATGTGGCCCCCTCCATCTTCAAAGCTAGGAGTGGTGTGCTGAATCCTCATGATGCAAATCTCTCTAACTTTCTATTCTCCCACCAATCAGAGAAAACTCTGCTTTTAAAGGGCTTGCGTGATAAGATGAGGCGCACCCAGGTTGTCTCTCTTTTGGTATGTACCGTGACATCACAGGCGTAACACAATGAAACAAAGGCCACAGGGGCCATCTTAAAACTCAGCCTATCACACCTTCTAAACACAAAGCTAAAAGAAGTGATTCTCCTCCAAGGCCTGGTGGTATGAAGAGGTATATTAAGATCAGAGTAGAGAGTTCAATTAAAACATAGAATCAGAGAGCCAGATGGAGAAGTCAATGTGTCTCCGAAGAGAAGATCCAAAAGCAGAGGCTGCAAGAACGATGAACAAGAGCCAGGAATCGGAGTCCAATAAGTCAGGATAAAAGGGAAAGAGGTAAGCTTGAGGTAAGATGGCAACTTGAACAAAGTATATCACCTCCTGCCCGGCCCCTTGTGATAGTGACACAATGATTTTGAAAATGGTGAAAAAGTTCTGTCAACACTTGAACAACAGAAAATTCCCCCACATGTCATAACTTCAAAGAGTTACAGCTGAGGTGGAACAAGATGATAATAAGTACAGGAGGTCTTGGGGAAACCCCAGCAACATCCTCCAAGTTGGAAGGCCACATATCAAAGAAAAGGACGGATGGTGGAGCAAGCAGGAAGCATGTCCCAGGGAAGCACAATTACTTGGAAGCAACTATGCCATGACCCCAAGAGTGCAGGCTGACCTTCCTAATGGAGAGTTGGTGGCGGCTGGGCTGGATGATGTGACGGGCGGAAGAAACTGGAAAGAACGGCCACCACTTGTGCCCAGAGTAGAAGGTTGAGCCACATCAAAATCTTGGACATAGATATTTGGCCCCTGGAAAACAGTCAGCAGAGATTCAACACGTAGATAAATGCTTAGAACTGAACTCATATCATTGTTACCTGTACTCCTTTCATTAGTCCCGGGGACAATCACAACCTTGATGGGGACTCATCCAACACTCTGTCTCCTCAGCTCATAGCCAGTTAACTTCTCAGAGCTCCAGGCCATATTCCGACTGTTTCCTCAGCATCTGTACTTTTGCTGCACCTAACCCTCTCAAACACAGCATGTCCAAACTTGCCATCTCCCTCAGAACACTCCTGGTCTCCTTCAGGGTTTTATATAACAGGAAAATCATCCTCCAGCCTTTCTGTTTGTGAACACTCAAAACCTAGGTGTCATCTGTAGTATATCCTTTGCTCTCATTTTCATAGCCAAGGTGTCACCAAAGTCCAGATATATTGATCTCTTAAATATCTTCCTAATTCATGCTCTCCACGACACCCTGATCCAGATAACACCGTTTCTAGCTTGGAGTAACTTCCCAACTGGTCTTCTTATATCTGCTTTCATCCCGCCAGTCCATTCTCTATACTGCAGCCAAGGAGATCTTTTCAAATCGTCAATCTGAGTGCTTCACTCCTGCCTAAAACTATTTGGCGTTTTCCCATTGCCCTTAGGATGGAGTAGCAGTTCCCCAACATAGGCTACAAAACTCTGCCTGGTGAGGCATGTGCCGTGCACTCTGCCCTCTCTCACTGCACTGGCCTCTCTTTTCCTCCAACACACTTTGCCCTGAAAGTTCTCTGTACATGCTATTCCCATTCTTGGGATGCTGTTTTCCATCCCAACTTAATTTACTTCTTACTCATCCTTCAGATCTCAGCTGTGTTCACCCAGTTCCCTTCATTTTATTCACACACTATACCACATAACTTTCCTTCATCTATCATTTACCACATTGCAATTACACATTTCCTCTGTGCTGATTTAACATCTGACCACAGTAAACTGGAAGTTCCATAGGGGCTGGAAGTTTTTCCCGTTGTGTTCCCCTTTTATTGCCATCACCTAACACAGCACCTGGCAGGGAATAGATGCTCAGTAAATATGTGTTGGTCCAATGAATGAACGATTTACTGAATGAATGTGTTTCATCTAATTCTAGAAGAGGGCCAGACAGGCTCTACCATACTTGGGTTTTTGTGTATTTGTCTTCCATTTCATACAGCTTTATGTTAGGATTTTTATCTAATTGTTTTTAGCATTTAACTGACAATGACAGACCATTATGGATTGTAAACTTTGTAAGCTTTTTCATTACAAGTGCCTTTTTCTCATTCATTAGTTTCTGCCCTCATTTCAGTCTTGGATCTTGGATAATATTAACATTACAACCCCTGATTCCTTTTTGTCTCCATTTGCCTTGGTTTGTTGTGGGACTTTTTTTGCAGGGGTACAAGAGTTCACCTACCTTTGATTTTCAACCTTGCTGAGTCGTTTTTTCTTTTTTTCTTTCTCTCAAAATCTCAACAGATTGTTTCCTCCACTTGCATTTATTAATCTGATCATATCTTTGGTCTTAGTGCTAAACTTCACTGTTGTTTTATGTTTTTAATACCTACATTGTCTTATATTTTCCTATGTGATCTGATTTCTCTATTTTATTTTTGTGTGGCTTTCTGTTTATAATCAATTTTTAGTTTTTAAATGTTATATGTTTGAATAATACATTTAAACAACCTGAAACAGTATCCATACAAAATTCCTCAAAAGGAGATGAGGAAATTCTCATGCACACCTCTCCTCTCAAATTTATACACCCCTCCGTATACTGATTTGGCCAGTTATATTGTTGTTTTCAATTATTCTGGTGTTATCTTTATGCATTAAAATAATGCACTTAAACCTTCGTCATTTGAATTATCAGTATTAGAATTTCTCAAGCTCCATAATGAAATATTGAATAAGAGGAAATGAAGAAATGGACCCTTCCTCCCATCTCTACTTCCTTCTGACCTCTTGACTATTGTACTAACATCATTATTTCTAACCTCTTGACTACTAAACTAAGATTATTATTTCTATTCGGTTACGATTTTTAACATTCATTCTTTTCTAATGCCCTAATTCCCAGTTGTTTAGACTTGGTACCACATCTAAATAATTTCAGTACTCACATCAGTATTCTCATTTCCTATTCCTGAGCTCATCATTTTCATTAATCTCTTATCTCTTGGTTAGCTGGATTTCAGAGTTAAGTAGATTTTTTTTTTGCCAAAAAAGAAAGCTAATGTGTACCATATTTCCTGAGTGCTTTTGTGTGTCAAATTAATCTGTTTTCTATATACTTGAATGACATTTAACCGAGTATAGAAGTCTCAGAACACATTTTCTTTCCCCCAAAGACTTTGTAATGATTGCTTCACCATTTTCTAGTATTGTTGCTATGAAATTTAATACCAACTTGGTTTTCCCTCAATATAGGTGAATTACCTTATTGTCTGGTTTGGTTGTATTCATTTATTCAACAAATATTAGTTGAGTGTCTATTATGTAATAGGTACTATCCCAACTGCTAGGTTTATATCAGATTCTGTATTCTTGACCCCCCACAACTTTACCATTATCAATTGTCCCAAGACAGGAGGCCATGGTATGCACCTTCAATCCACAGAATCAAGTCTTCTTCTATAGCAGCAATTGTTTATAGCAGCAATTTTTATAGCATTAAAATCTTTTCAAGGGGGTCTATTAATTCTGTTCCCTTCCTCATGCAAAAGTATTTAAAATTGTATTCACTTCATGATTAAATTCACCTTTGGATGTGTATTGTCTATTTGCCTTTATTTTGTTTTTTACTCCACTCACCCTACTTGCTTTTGTGGTCTTTCTTTTTTGCCTTCTAGCTGTCAAATACCTGTACATGAGTCTATGCTAGATTCTTTCTCATTATGACTTTTTTTTTTGTTTTTGAGACAGGGTCTCACTCTGTTGCCCAGGCTGGAGTGTAGTGGCACAGTCTCGATTCACTGCAACCTCCACCTCCTAGGTTCAAACGATTCTTGTTCCTCAAGCCTCCCAAGTAGCTGGTACTACAGGTGCATGCCACCACCCCCAGCTAATTTTTTTATTTTGGTCTCAAACTCCCGACCTCAAGTGATCCACCACGGGATTACAGGCATAAGCCACCATGCCCAGTCACATTATGACTCATTTTTAAACAAGGGAAGCTCCATCTTGTTCAGTTTTTTGCTCAAGAGTTGTATGAGGAAGGAAAAGGGAAGAGAGAGCCAGGTCTACAGGAGTAATATTGTCCTGGATGACTTTCTCATCTACTCTGCTGTGCCTTTGCTGCAAGGACATTTCTTCTCCCAGTGACCCACATTCCTTCTAAGAATGAGCAGAAGGTTTCTGTGGCTCACAGTGAAGCCCCATAAGGTTCTAGTTCTCTGTACAGTGATTTGGCATTTATTTTCATTCTCCTCAGCTGACATGGATTTACTGATCAAAGATGACTCCATATCCAGAGCAGAAATGCCCCAGGGCATGGAGGTTAAGAGGACAGGCTTGGCATTTGAATCCAGGCTCTGTAACTGACTTGTAAAATTGGGATAATAATAGTACCATCCTCATAGAAATTATCTTTGAAGATTAACTAAGTTGATACATGTAAACTACTTAAATTAGTGCCTAGCACACAGTAAGCACTCACTAAATACCAGCAATTGTTATGTGTTACTGCTAACAGTGGTATTATTATTACATCATGTGCCACCAGCACATTTTCTGCAAAGTTCATGGATTTTTTTCCTTCCAGTCCCATCTGGTCTGCAGTTCCTCAGGGCAGGATGTAGAATTAGTGATTCCCAGTAAGGGACAACTGGAAAAGCCCTTTGGAGCTGTGCCACCTACTGTTGGAGAACTCTGCAATGTGAATGGACTATCCAATGTGAATCTACATTTGGCATCTTCTGGAATTGGGGCCAAATGCCCCTATATTTAGAAGCAATTCTTCATAGCTTGGGGTTGTGTCTACTAGTTTTGTTAAAGATGGACTCTTTGGTTAGAATTTGTGTTGCTTTCAGTTGATATTAAAGAGTAGAGCTTAGTGCAATTATCTTTATGCTGTCATCTTCAAGCAGAAGCTCTTAATATTCTTAAATCCAGAAATATTTTTAAATAAGCGAGAGAATGGCAAACTCCTTTTTCTCCACTGAAGCTTAAATATGAAGACATTATAAGAAGGATTTAAGAGTTCTTAATGCGGTGTTCATAAAAGCACAGTTTAAACCCCAAAATCAGTTCCTACAGGAGATTATTAAATCTTATTCCAATTTTGCACTTGTGACTAAATATTTCTTTATTTAGAAAATTGTTTTGCATGAGAAATGGAAGTATAGTTTTAATATAAAATCTTGGTAAATTTCAAATTATTTAAAATTTTCATGAAATTTTAACTGAGTATAGATATACCTTATTACCTTTTTATATATAAGTATATATTTTATATTATATATAGTGTGTATATATGTAAATATAGATATTCAAAAGAAATCTATCTATATAAAAGATACATTATTCTTCAAATAATATAAACCTGGTTTCAACCTGTTTTGCACGGATCAGTTTGAATTTTATGGATTTCACTTTTTTTGAGTCCATGTCTGTCTTAGTCGATTAAGAAAAGCAGAATAATTAAGCCAGTTAAGGGTTATTTGTGATTTTCATGGTGATGGTGGTGGTGACAATCATGAGGATAATGATCTCACATTTATAGTGGATGGGTACTATGTTTATAAATTATTTCATTCTCTTGTCAAAACAACCACATGAGGTAAGATCAATTATTATGCCTACTTCACAGATAAGAAAACCAAGACCTAGGGAGTTAAGTCATGTTCCCAGCATTGTGCAACCAGCAAGCAGCAGATTTGCCAAGCCAGACTGGCTCAAAATCCACGCTCTTTAACAATGAGTGAAGCCATTCCCCCATCCTCTAATACTACCTCTCCAGTAATATGGGCACCACAATACTCATTTTATAGGAGGAAAGAAAGTAAATTTTCAACTCAAAAATTGGCTCAAGTTCACGTAACTCAAAAGAGAGAATCTTAACATACACTAATGCTCTTTTCACTACAGCTCTTGAATATTAGAAAACTGAAGGTATATGTCCCAGAATAAGTGAGAAACTTTTAAGCAATATTTTCTAAATTCACTTATAATTCTTTTAAGACCTATTTTCCCTGTCCTAAGAAAGAAGCAGGGGGGAAATGCTCTCAAAAATGTTCTTTTCCATGGGTGGCCAGGTCTTCTAAAGCATGAATGAATCTCCAAAACAAATGATCACTTGGCCATTCAATGTAGGGAGAAAGAAATTGCTCTGAACAATGATGCATATAAACTGAATTTTTGAGGTATAATAAATATGATTCTCCTTGAAGGAGATTTTTTTAAATCAGGTTGCTGAAGTAAGTCAAAAGAGACAAATATAACTCTTTGCTTGTGGAGGTTAATCATAAAATGCATCTTTGTTTTAAAATCCCATGAATGTTGGAACAGAAGACCATCCAATGTCAGTTCATAAATGAACCATTCCCTTTGAAACTTTGACAAATGACTCCCTGATGTTGCTTCTGTTTGCTGAGGAGGGAAGCAGTGGCCTTCTGGGGCAGCAAGTTAAAGATATTTCTATGAGATTTATGTGGCACAAAGCACTCTCAAAGACAAATCAGTGTATCCAAGTAGAGCATTCTAATGTAATCACGCTGATCAAGAAAAGTGTTTCATCAACACAGATCTGTCATTTCTTCCTCTCATTGTGTGGAGCTGCCTAAAGGTTTTATGTCCCTGAAACAAGGCTCTGAATGGCAGTCTTCAGTCACATTTGATATTAACAGAATTCCATAAAATCAGTCATCACTCTGGATGCATACTTTCCCTTAGGAAAACCATTTAAGTTCAAACTTGGTGGGAGAAGTATCAGAACAAAACTACTAAAGAAACCTTGGGGCTGGGCACAGTGGCTCACGCCTGTAATCCCAGCACTTTGGGAGGCTGAGACAGGCAGACTATTTGAGGTCAGGAGTTTGAGACCAGCCTGACCAACATACTGAAATCCCATCTCTACTAAAAATACAAAAATTGGCCAGGTGTGGTGACACACACCTGTAGTCCCAGCTACTCAGGAGGCTGAGGCAAGAGAATCACTTGAACCTGGGAGGCAGAGGTTGTGGTGAGCCCAGATTGTGCCACTGCACTCCAGCCTGGGCCACAGAGCAAGACTCTGTCTCAAAAAGAAGGAAAAGAAAAAAACATGGGGACTGGCCATGGTGGCTCACATCTGTAATCCCAGCATTTTGGGAGGCCAAGGTGGGAGGATCCTTTGAGCTCAGGAGTTTGAGACCAGCCGGGGCAACATAGTGAGACCTCATCTACAAAAAAAATGAAAATTAGCTGGGCATGGTGGCATGTAACCATGGTCCCAGCTGCTGAAGTGGCTGAGGTGGGAGGATTGCTTGAGCACAGGAGGTTCAGGCTGTAGTGAGCCAAGGTCTCACCACTGCACTTCAGCCTGAGGGACAGAGCAAGACCATCTCTGGAAAAAAAAAAAAAAAGGAAAGAAAAAAACATGGGCCTGGATTATGGCCTCAGAATTTGTTGTGAACCCATATTTACACACAATGTTGACCTCAAATACTTTGGCAAATCATAAAGTCTGTAGGGGTGCAGGAATGATGATGTCATTCATTGATCCACACCACTTCTGAGAGAAGATTTACGGGTATCTTGATTATGGTGGGATTCTCACCAGGCCTCATCTTCAGCACTCTCCAGTTCCAGGTGATGCACAGCCTAGCAACCCTCCCCCTGCTGAGATCAAGCCTTTGAGCATCACTGCCCTGGTTTTTCTTTAATGAAGCTAAACAGTGCCCTGATTAAAATTTTCCAAGCTCTTGACATTGAAATAAATGGAGTGAGGGAGAAAAAAAAAACTGCCTCAAAATTGTGTATGAGAATGTATTTAAGAAGGAAAACAGGTTGTTGATGGAATTTTAGAGGGTCAGTAAATATCCTTCTCCCTGTTGTGAACTGAACTGTGAACCCCACCTCCACCCAAAATTTATATGTTGATGTTGTAAACCCCAGTGCCTCAGCATGTGACTGTATTTGGAGACAGGGGTCTTTAAAGAGGTAACTAAGTTAAAATGAGGTCAGTCAGGTGGACCCCATAAGAAAAAGTTAAGAAAGAGGCCAGGCGCAGTGGCTCACACCTGTAATCCCAACACTCTGGGAGGCCAAGGCGAGTGGATCACCTGAGGTTGGGAGTTCGAGACCAGCCTGACCAGCATGGAGAAAACCTGTCTCTACTAAAAATACAATTAGCCGGGCCTGGTGGTGCATGCCTGTAGTCCCAGCTACTCGGGAGGCTGAGGCAAGAGAATCGCTTGAACCCAGGAGGCGGAGGTTGCGGTGAGCCAAGATCGCGCCATTGCACTCCGGCCTGGGCAAAAAGAGCGAAACTCCATCTCAAAAAAAAAAAGAAAGAAAGAAAAGAAAAAGAAATTAAGACAAAGAATCACACAGCAGGAAGACTCCATGAAGACACAAGGAGAAGGTGGCCCTCTACAAAGGGGAAAAGTCTCAGTAGAAACCAACTCTACCAACACTTTGATCTCAGATTTCTGGCCTCCAGAACTGCAAGAAAATAAATTTCTGTTATTTAAGCCACCCAGTCTGTGTCATACTTTGTTATGACAGCCCCAGTAAACAAATACGCTCTACTCCAGAGTTCAGGACCACTGGTAAATAAGGCTGGACACAGAGCAATGGCGCCAAAGAGTTAGCCATATTATTGATAAAATCCATTTGAGAACATGGCTTTAAATCAGCAGTCATAGGATTTGCATGGAATGTATCACCTCCAAACAGGCAGTCTGCCCTGGAAACATGTCATATGGAGGAGCTGAGGAAGTGCTCCATGGATGAGCAGACAGATATGAAAGAAAGAGGACTCTCTGGGGGGAGTAAGGGGATGGGGAGGAGCTGGGAGTGTTCCTCCTGTCCTTTTTCCTCTGGGTGGGGCAGCAGAAATCCCTCTCTTCTCTGGAAGTATGAGAAATAGGAAAGGAGTGTCTCCATGCTCCCACCCCCAACGGATCTCAAGCTTCATTCTGCCATGTGCTTCCTAGAGAGGTGAGGTCAACTCTGGTCATCTTCACTTGGAAAGGCCATATTCAGCTAAAATGTCACAAAAGGAAATCTCACCTTCCCCCTTCAATGTGCTGATCTTTCTATAATTCTTTCCCAGGAGGAACGACATCATCTTCCAACCCTGGGCTAGTTTTCTCTTTCTTCCTGTTCTATGGATTCTTCCTCTTAAATAGCTTACAAACCTGTCTGCCCCACTTCAGCCCATGGCCAATGCTTCAGTCAATCCCCTCATTACCCACCCTGCTGGATTCCAGCCCCATCTTCCCTACTGGCTTCTCTGCCATGTGTGTTCTTCACATTGGCACCAAAGTGAAACGCCTAAAAGCCCAGTTGGACCACAACTTCCCATAAATTAAAATCCTTCTGGTTCCTGAGAAGTCTGCATGTCCTGGCTTCCTCTCCCACTGGGTCTAGCCAGAGCCAGGGGGAACCAGAGTCCAAGGGTCCTCAGACATCGGAGATACCAGGCTTTGATGATGAACAACGGGAAGACATGTTCTGCACAAGGTCTTGGGCGAATCTCCACTGGCAGTGAGGAAGATTTATCTCTCACACCACGTGGAGGGACATCCTGGAGGCGAAACCTCAGCCTCCTTCCTTCCCTCTACTCCTTCCTCCCCACCAGAGCAAGAAATTAAAGAATTGAACCAATATATCCCTCTCTTTTCTGGCATCTGCCTGCCCATAGAGAAGGTGTCATACTCTTAGGACTAAGGGTAAATTTTCATGTAGAGGCTTTGTCCCTGCAGGAGAAAGTGTACATCCCAAACACCAGCTTAAAGAAGTGAGTTGTTTTAATTCTCGGGGGCAAACTAAGGAAGTCCATTTGACTCTAAGACTAAGCCTCGGCCTCTTTAAAGTTTTGTCAGCACTAAAGATAATTTGTTGATCTCCATCTACCTGACTCTGGAGTTTCCATTCTGAACCTGCTTAAGGAAAAATGATGTCTTTCAAACTCACTCAACCCCAACAGTTTTGAAGGCTTGTGATTCTGCCCCTGGGTTATGGGTCTGTGATGTTAAGAGATTATAAATGGACATGGTAGGAAATGTCACAGTTAATGACGTTTGCTTATAAAAGGGGTGAATTATAGCAGAGAGGCCCCTTGGATTGTCATGCAATTAAGGATCATCTATGACAGAGGCTTTCAGTCTTTATCACTCGCTGTTTGTGGAGCCTGTTGCTCTCAAAAACCTCTTCCTTTTGAGTTCTCCATTTTCATCAATAATACCACTTTCTTGATAATCATCTGACATCAAAGCTCTGTCACTATCTTCCTCCTTTAATTCTTTCCAACAAATTTATTAGCAAGCTATGAAGATTCTACATCACTGCATCATCTCCTTCCACTTAACCATCATCTGTCATTATTGCTTCTCATTGGAATATTACAATAGCTTCCTAACCCGTCTCTCTGAATTTTGTCTCCCTCTTCTGCAATTCAGCCAATTCTTTGCTAGCAGATTAATATTTCTGAAGGGCATATTTGATTATGTCTTTCTCCTATTCAAAAACAGTCAGGGAGTCCCCACTGGCTTCTACGTTAAATCTGATTTCTTCTGCTGGAATTCAAGGAAAGCCCTTCACAGTAAGGTTCCAACTTCCCCTTTCAGCTCTGTTTCTCAACATTTTTGTATCATAGACTGGCATTACCATCACACAGCTCTACACTTGTCTGCCCTTTTGCTTTTGCTGGTATGTTCCTATGTCTGAGGGTATCTTTCTTTCCCCCTGTGATGGAGCTTCAAAAATAAGTAACAATAATAGGCAAACCACAACTATTTTGTGAAATCTCTTATCCTCCCAATCCTGACAAAAGGTTGAGCTTTTCTCCCTTTTGACACCATAGCATCAGAGTACTTTGTGCTTTTCTTACCCCATTTATTTTATTCTACTACCATAGACATATATTGATTCGCCTCTTCTGTCCAGCAGCTCCAAAATTTTCTTTGGATAATTGTCCCTTTCCTATTCTCAGGCACGTGGTTTGGGTGGAATTTGCTTTCCCATTGTTTTCAAGCAAAACATACTGCTTCCTATCTCCTCCTCCTCTCTTCTGTTTCAGAGTCTTGAGAATTTGTTTAGGGAAGAAGATAAGACTTGATTAAGAACCAGGAGACCTAAGAGATATCGGCTGGGACTTTGAGAATAAGAGCCTCCATTATCTTCCGAAAGAACTCCAAGAAGACACATCCTCACTTTCTCAGATGTTGTAGTGAGGGTGTAAGGTCTAGAATTGCACAAGTCATGTTGGTAGCATGAGGGGGGCCAGCCCAGAGATAAATCGGGCACATAAAGGAGGGGACATGAGCTAAAACAGTCATAGAGAAATTGTGATATTTTGAACCTCTGGATAAAACAGCACTTGCAGCCAGGCCTAATTTTGTACTTGTCAGTTAAGTTAATAAATTTCTAATTTTGTGTAAGCCCATCTGAGTTTGGTGTTCTGACTCCAGCAACAAATCTTCTGTCTTCATACTAGACATATGGTATCTTTTTGTGGGGATAGTTTAAATCTACTGTAATGGATCTCACAGTGCCTTACGTAGCAGCTTTTTAATGGACCTCTTTTAATGGGATTGATTTGTGCAGTGGGAAAAAAAATGTTTCCATGAACTTACTCAGGCAACATTTTTGAAAAGAAAATAGAATATTCACTGTTTGCTGAATTGAATTGGATACACTGATACTTACTAAAAACACATTTTATCAAACAGATGGATTGTGGAAAATAGCTTGCAAACCCCATCTTTAAAATTTCTGGTTGTTTAGGAAAGTAGTCAGCAGGTTCTTTTCCTTATAGTAGAGATTTTGTAAAATAAAAGGTAATTCTCATACATCATCTACAATAATAAACAACTCCTGAAATTTGATTATCTAGGCCATTTCTATATTTAAAATGGTCTAGCCCATGAATAGACATGGAGCCACGTATATTTTTAATAACAAAAATAAGGGTTCTGAGTTTATATGCTTAACTGCATAGAAAACAATATATTATAAATTTTAAAGGCCCCAAGGGCCATTTCCAAGGCTTCCAAAATTTATTCTAGGTATATTTTACCTTAGAGGCTGGACAGAGATGGACTCTCTGATAAATGTGTGGCTCCAGGTAAAAGTCTCACTGCTTAACTGAGTCTCATTCCTAGAAAGCTGGAGTCCATGCACAGAGGTGGAGAAACCAGAAAAGTGCAGACTGCTATATGGGTTTTCTATTGCTGAGTAGCAAATTACTATACATTTAGCAGCTTAAAAAACAATGCCTGTTTATTAGCTCACAGTTCTGTAGGTTTGGAGTTTGGCACAGCATGGCTGTGTTCTCTGCGTAGGGTCTCACAAGGCTGACATCAAAGTGCTGACTGGGCTGAGTCCTTCTCCGGAGGCTCTAAGCCATTCATTCTGCCTCCAAACTATTCGCACTGTTCACAGAATTCAGTTCCTTGAAGTTGTAGAATTAAGGTTCCTGTTTCCTTGCTGGCTGTCAGCCAGGACTGCTTTCAGCAGCTCAAGGCCACCCACATTCCTTAGTATGTGGCCTCCTCCATCTTTAAGCCAGCAATGGTGTGTCAAGTTGGGTTTTTTTCTTTCTTTCTTTCTTTCTTTTTAAAGACAGGATCTCACTCTGTTGTACAAGCTGGACTGCAGTGACAGGACCACAGCTCACTGTAGCTTCACCCTCCCAGATTCAAGCAGTCCTCCCCACCTCAGCCCCCTGAGTAGCTGAGACCACAGGTATGAGCCACCACACCTAGCTAATTTTTTTTAGTTTTTTTTATACAGGTCTTGCTATGTTGCTGGGGCTGGTCGTGAACTCCTGACTCAAGCCATTCTCCCCCCTCAGCCTCCCAAAGAGCTAGGATTACCGGTGTGAGCCAGTGCTCCTGGCCTCAAGTCCTTCTTGTGCTTTGAATTACTGACTTCCTGTCTCTGACCTCTAGATCCAAATTTGAAGGGCTCATGTGATTAGGTCAGGCCCACCCACATGCACGCCCTATCTAATGTCAACTGATTTGGGAGCTCAATCACATCTGCAAAACTTCCTAGATCTGCAAAACTTCCACAGCAGCACCTAGATTAGTGTTTGATTAAATAATTGGAAGAAAGTATGTGTATATCAGGACCAGGAGTCTTGAGGGGCATCTTAAAACTGCCTATTATACCTGCAGTAATCAAACATCAGCCCCCTCCACAATGGGCCACCAGATCTCTTCAGGAAATAACAATTCTCCTGTACCTTGGGTTTTCTTCTCAATCTGGACTAGCCTGGGCCTTTCTATTTCCCCTCCCATCCGAGTGATACGGAAATCAAGCCTTACACCCTTCTCTTCATTTCCTCTCAGATCTGTCTTTGTTAGCTCAGGCTGCCATAAGAAAATGCCACGAATAAATTTATTTTCTTACAGTTTTGGAGGCTGGAAGTCTGTGATGAGGGGCCAGCATGGCTGAGTTCAGGAAAGTGCCCTCTTCCTAGTTTGCAGATGGCCCATCTTCTTGCTAGGTTCCTCATGTGGCAGAGAGACTGAGCAAGTTCTCTGCCATCTCTTCTTATAAGGACACTAATTGTATCATGAAAGCCCCACCCTCATGACCTCATTTTAACCTGATTACCTTTCAAAGGTCCCATCTCCAAACACCATCACATTGGAGGTTAGAGCTGCAACATATGAATTTTGGGGGGACACAATTCAATACATAGCAGTACCAAAATAAAAATTTCACTCATCGCACCAGAGATAATGAACACTTTGAGTACAAGGATATCCCAAACCATACAGAACAAAAAAAATATTTTTTTCCTACCACTTCTTCCAGCCTGTTGTCACAGTCTATGCTATTCCCCACAAACAGCAACAGCAAAATGTGTCTGGAGACACATTTCTATCTAAGCTGGATTCAGAAATCTATGCTCCTAAAATAGGCTTTTAACACTTCAGTCTCAAACATCTACATCCAGGTTAGAGTTGACTTCAGCCTAGTCCTCGAGAACAGTGGTCCCCAAACGTTTTGGCACCAGGAACCAGTTTCATGGAAGACAATTTTGCCGTGGACTGAAGGTGGAGGATGGTTTCCAGATGAAACTGTTCCACCTCCGATCATCAGGCATTAGTTAGCTTCTCATAAGGAGTGCACAACCTAGATCCCTCGCATGCGCAATTCGCACTAGGTTTCACGCTCCTATGAGAATCTAACTCCCCCGGCTGATCCAACAGGAGGCAAAGCTCAGGCGGTAATGGTCACTCACCTGCTGTTCACCTCCTGCTGTGCGGCCCAGTTCCTAACAGGCCATGGACCAGTACCACTCTGCAGGTGGAGAGCTGGGGACCCCTGCTATAGAATGAAGGGTGGGCACAGATTTACATCTCATACAGACTGTCAAAGTAATAAGTTTACCATAATGGCTCTTGAAAATTACACTACTTTGCAAACAATGATTCTTTGCATTAGTTTCCTATTTCTGCTGTCACACATATCCACAAATTTAGTGCCTTAAAAACAACATATTATCTTCCAATTTCCAGGATGAAAAGTCTAAAATAGAAAGGCAAAGACTACATTCCTTCTGGAATCTCCAGGGGGAATCCATTTCCTTGCCTCTTCCAGCTTCTAGAGACCCCCCGTCTGTATCCTCATCTAGCGGTTCCTTGCTTGCAACTGCTTCCGTCGTCACTTTGCTTTCTCTGATCCCCTGCCCTTCCCCTACTCATAAGGACACTAGCAATGACAATGGCCCACCTGGATGATCCACAATAATCCCTCCACCCCAAGATCTTTAACATAACCACATCTGCAAAGTCTCTTTTGCCACATAAGGTAACATATTCATGAGTTACGAGAATTTTGACATGGACATCGTTGGGCGGAGGCCATTATTCTGCCTATCACGTGCCTTGTTTCAGTATAATGACTTTTGTATCCCAAGACATACTAAATAAATGAGATATACGAAATCATATTCTGAAACTATATGTTCAGGCAAAGCCACATTCACCAATTTACTCAGTCCAATGGTTTCTAGTTAGAGAATATCAACTGGAAAAAATCTGAATTGCGCACATTTAAATGTTTAGCTTTCTGTATATATACACAGAGAAAAAGAAATGAAAAAGTGGCCTCTTCCACTATCTTCAGTCTATTGCACTCTTGCACTATTTCCACATCTTCCAAAGTGCTGTCATGTTTAGCTCTATTTTGCCCTGAAGAAATTTGTGCTTAAACTTAATTTCAAATGCAGTTTGAATACAACATAAACACAAGTCCCAAAGTGGTTGAAAAACTGGTGAAGAAAGTGGCGCAGGGAAAAAATATGTATACTAAACCTCCATTACATTACATTTTATGTGCAAATTCTATGTGCTTTACAATTGTTGTTTATTAACTATTTAATCTTGTTTTCATTATCCAAATGATGTATTTATCTCTCTGAGAAAATTGGTTGTGAGAATTTCAGGTGAGGACAGAATTAATTACAATTAATGGAAATATTTTTCATGTAATAGCTTTTCACTTAATGCCTGGAAAGAATTTAAGCGACAGGAGGGTGTTAAGGGTATTTGCTTTGAAGCAGTTCACCCAGAACAAAAGAACCATCTTCTTTCTCTTTCTTCCTTCCTTCTTTTCTTTCTTTTCTCCTTCCTTTCTTTCCTTCCTTCCTACCTCCCTCCCTCCCTCCCTTCTTTCCTTTCTTCCCTCCTTCCTTTCTTGACAGAGTCTTGCTCTGTCACCCAGGCTGGAGGGTAATAGCACGATCTTGGTGCACTGCAACCTCTGCCTCCTGGTTTCAAGCAATTCTCCTGCCTCAGCCGCCCAAGTAGCTGGAATTACAGGCGTGCGCCACCACGCGGCTAATTTTTATATTTTTAGTAGAGAGGGGGTTTCACCATGTTGGCCAGGCTGGTCTCGAACTCCTGACCTCAGGCGATCCACCCACCTCGACCTTCCAAAGTGTTGGGATTACAGGCGTGAGCCACCCCACCCAGTTGAACTATCTTCTTTAGAAAGGAACTCTGAGGCCTCCACTGAAGTAGACAACTGCTGGCAGTTTTTAAATGGCAGGTTTTCCAACTTCTTCCCAGACTTCAAAAACCCTAGGGCTGAATTTCAACCACAGCACCTGTTAGAGGTATAAATATGTGTATGGAATTTGATTTTGATTAATCCTCGTTCCATAATGTTGGCTCTGAAGAAGCTTGCTCCTGGGTGGCCAGATGAATGGCCAGAAAGCAAAGGTGGTTTTCACATATTACATTCTAGCAAAGCAATCTACCCCCAATGCTTCCAGGGTGCTGTCATTGGGAAAGCAAAATTGCACTGTAGAGGTCAGAAGCTCCTATTCACCTCTTCCTCTTCCTAGCCACATGATGAGAATTTTTCTTTGGTAGAACCATGATATCATTGTGGAACAGCATGAATATAACTGTAGTGCCATGGGTTGAAGACATTTTTAGAAATTAAATCTCAGCTCATTCTGTGACTTTTTTGAGTTCCGTAAATACTTTCAAGGGATGTCAGGCTGAAATGTTTAATCATACTAATTGTTCCTACCAGTCCTAAACCAATGTGGGATATATATATAGACCTTACTCACCTCTCTAGCCTCTAAGAATGAGCTCAGCAGCATGTTGAAAGTGGTACTGCATGTACTGCCTGAAGCACTGATTGGGGGATGTCATGCATATCACTCATTCACCTGTACCAGAATGTGTCTCTACTGTTTGGTTCCATTCGCCCAAGAAAATAATGAAGGATATTGGCCAGAGTTGTAGGTATAAAGAACACCCAGACAAAGAAGTGATCTCAGTGCACAAAGGGGCTTTTGCTTGACAACACTACAAGGGTTTGCTGAGCCGTCTCCTTGACCTGCATAATTCACAGTTCTTCATTCCAGGGCCATCACTTGTTTAAGCATGGGTCACATGACTTCAGGTTTCACTCATAACTTCCTATACTCTGTCAGTCTCCTGCCTCTGAGAGGACATGGGTTTGTCACAGACCATGACTTTCGGGTCCTCTAACTGTGCTTCCAAAAGCCTAGGGTTGAGTGAGAAAAAGATAGTGATTGATGGGCTACAGCTCAAGCTAAACCTAGGGTGGTGTGTGTGTGTGTGCGTGTGTGTGTGTGTGTGTGTGTGTGTGTAAGCCTTGAGAACTACTCCCACTACATTTCACAGAAGACAATCCAAATTCCAAATGTATCATCCCAAGGCTCCAATTGCCATGGCACAACTTTTGATACAATCCCAATAACTATTTTTGAAAAGCCCTGCCTATCTAAGCTTTGCATGTTGTTTGTCCTTCTCCTATCTCTTGTCCATCATGTCTATTTCCTATTGTTCTGGTGGTTGCCGTCTTTGCCCATAGAGTCTGGGAATTCTCGCAGAGCTCTGCAAAGCCTCTTTGTGATGCACAGTATTTCATATTCTTAGAACAATTATCAGAGGTATTTTTATCTTTAGTATGCATATTCTATTAGCATAGACCACTGCAGCATATAGCACAAACAAATCACACACAGGCTCATGATTATTTTTTTCTAGTTTAATTAATATAAAGGTAACATGGATATATTGTAAGAAAAAAATCAAATAGGAAAAAACAATTTTTGATGGAAAGAAATAGTCTCCTACCTTCCCCCCAGTTCCTCTCCCAAGAAACAACATCTTAACTGTTTCAGTTCTTTAATTCTTATACTTGCTACTTTCAAAATACTAAATAACGTGCATATGAGATTTCTGAATGTATCAAATTTATATTTAGCCTATTGTCTCCCAGAAATGAAAGATGAGGATTTAATTAACTTATACAACCATCCTCTCTTCTCCCACCTTTTCCTCCTTCTAATATTTGATGTATTATCATTTTTACTTCTTTGCTTGTTTATCTTTAATTACTTTAAATAATATACTTATGCCTCAATTTCTTTTGTAGCAAGGTTCAATTTTCTCCGGCCATGTTCTTGGGCACTTAAAAAAAAAAAAAAGATTAACTTTATTTTCTGTAACTAAAAGACCACATTTTACCAGCTGACATAAACCTTAATCATTGTCGATTCCAAGCAAGCACAGTCATTTTACATTTAAACTCTATACAGTCCAACTGAATTCCTCCATTACCTCCCACTTTCCTGGGAGGGCAGGTCTTTTCTTGGGGATTTATGTGGTGCCAAAGCACTTTGGGGAGGTATCCTAGGTAGGTATGCCCTAAATAGATATGGTTGACCTCTGTCCTACTTGGCATCTCCTGATGTTTGGTCATTAACATCTCTTGACATCTGCTGAGCTGTTCCAGGCACCGCCATGAACTCTGGTTATTAGTTCACATGGTTTGAATCATCCATGTTCTCATAAAAGATTTCCTTCAGATCCACTCACCATCTTAACCCTTCTGTGACCCTTTAAGGGAAGTGAACAGTTCTCCAACTGTCTTCTGTGACTATGGGGACACAGGAATCTCAGCAGGGCTGTCTCAGGCCCTCCCCTGAGCCTTGGCCCTCCCCACTACAATTCCCATTGTACAGCTATGGCACACTCTGTTAGGAGGTAGAGGCACTTCTGTGAGTCTTGTGTTTAGCTTGCTGACTCTCAGAAAGGGGTGTACTGCTCCTTTCTTCTCTTACTCTTTTCCAAACTACCCCCTCCCATTACTGGAAAGCGGTCCCTATTCAGACACCAAGAGAGGGTTCTTGGACCTCTCACAAGAAAGAATTCAGGGCAAGTCCGGAGAGTAAAGCAAAAGCAAGTTTATTAAGAAAGTAAAGGAATAAATAATGGCTACTCCATAGGCAGAGCAGTGGTATATACAGCTGCTCAGCTGAGTATACTTAGAGTTATTTCTTGATTATATGCAAAACAAGGGGTAGATTATTCATGAGTTTTCTGGGAAAGGGGCAAGCAATTACCAGAACTGAGGATTCCTCCCCTTTTTAGACCATATAGGGTAACTTCCTGACATCGCCATGGCATTTGTAAACCGTCATGGCACTGGTGGGAGTCTTTTAGCAAGCTAACACATTATAATTAGCATATAATGAGCAGTGAGGACAACCAGAGGTCACTTTCATCCCCATCTTGGTTGTGGTGGGTTTTGGCCGGCTTCTTTACCACATCCTGTTTTATCAGCAGGGTCTTTGTGACCTGTATCTTGTGCTGACCTCCAATCTCATCCTGTGACTAAGAATGCCTAACCTCCTGGGAATGCAGCCCAGAAGGTCTCAGCCTTATGTTACTTAGGGACTATTCAAGATGGAGTCACTCTGGTTCAAACACCTCTGACACTTCCACTCCAGGATTGGGGTTGGGGGCCGAGGGTGGCCAGGACACAAGCAAGCCCCAAGCACTTGCTTTCCCCCTGACTCTCTAAACCTCTATCCTCCTTCCTCACTTCAGGCAAACTAACCTTTATGCCCTAATTCCTTCAGAGATTTTTCCTTGGCTACTTAAAACCAAGCTTTTGGAATTCAATGACATATTTCTTTCTCTTGCAAAGCAAAAGCCTTTGGATTTCAAGAAAATAAATTTCAAAAGCACACTTAGAATTTCAAAAGCCAAGAATTTGATCAATGCATGTAGCCTCATCGGCCCTCCTCTGGAATGCCTAGAATGCCTCAGCCTAAAATATTTTATTAAATAGGGAGAAGATCTCAGGATTAAAAAACAAAAAAAAATGTGGAGGTAGATGAGCAATGATTAAATATCAAAACAGGCAAGATTCCAATGACAGAAGTCAGTTTCTCAATCCTACCCTATGTAAGACAAGGCTATTAGCATCACTGTCCTTCATTCCTTCCTTCCTCCTCACTCCACTTCCTTCTTTTATGTTATTAGCCAGTTGCTGTTCAGTCTCAAGTAACGGAATATTTAATTTATAATGTCCTAAATAGATATGGTTTAATTTACTCAAATATCAATGAGTTCAGGCAATCCAGAACTGATACAGTGGCTAATGATGTCATGAGAAACCTAGACTCTCTTTCTCACTATACCCTCTTCGCACATTGGCTTGCTGTCCCATGGTTGCAAGATGACTGCAGTTCTAGGAATTACATCTGTAATCCGGGCAGCAGGAAGTGGAAAAGGGAAGAGAGGGCCAGGGGCAGCTGCATCATTTACCTTTATCAACCAAGCAAATATTTTTCCTAGAGCAGTTTCCTCCATAAATTTGTGTCTTACTGGCCAGAATTGTGTTGTATTGCTACCACTAGCTGTGTAGGTGGTATTATAGTATAAATACTCACCCACTCACTAGCTGGGTGAGTATTTATAGTTACTCCCTCTACTATAAAAGCAAATAACAGCAAAGGAGGTTGCAAGCAGGTGTTGAGTAATCCAATTTATAGTGTCTGCCAAAGTCCTCCCTTTGGCTCCTCAATATTCATGTATACTCATAGAACATTCCTTACCCCATCACCAAGGGAGACAATCACAGTCTCATTCAGTTGCTGCATCAAGCTTGAAGTCCACAAATTACAGAAAAGGGGTCCCAATCCAGACCCCAAGAGAGGGCTCTTGGATCTCACGCAAGAAAGAATTCAGGGTGAGTCCATAAAGTGAAAGCAAGTTTATTAGAAAAGTAAAGGAATAAAAGAATGTCTACTCCATAGACAGAGCAGCCCCAAGGCATCTTGGCTGATACAGATTACCTTGGACTTTCTTTTCCATGTGGCTGGTTTTTGCCTACGACTGAAGGTTCTTCCTATTTTTTCCCATGACTGATGATGTTCATTCATATTTAACAACAAAAACCTGGGTGACTGGTGTAGCTTTCTTCTGCCATTGTGTAAGTAGATCTATATTCCAAAAGGCTCTCTCTTTGAGGGAATTCTGACTGGGAAGTCTATTCAAATGACTGAAGCATATCAGTGACAGTTTTGCTTTAGCCTGCTTTAGAATAAATGAAGGGCCAGCCTCTGTTAGGTAGTAGGTCTACCACAGGCAATAGCACACAGCTAGAACCTTAAATTTTCCTTTGAGTTCATTTTTGTTTTACAAAATACCCCCTCTGTTTTTGCTGATTGTTTGGATGGTAGGTTGGTGGATTGGTTGGTTGGTTGGTTGGTTGGTTGGTTGGTGGGTTGGTTGGTGGGTTGGTTGGTTGGTTGGTGGGTTGGTTGGTTGGTTGGTTGGTTGGTTGGTGAGTTGGTTGGTTGGTTGGTTGGTTGGTTGGTTGGTGGGTTGGTGGGTTTGTTGGTTGGTGAGTTGGTTGGTTGGTTGGTGGGTTGGTTGGTGGGTTGGTGGCTTGGCTGGTTGGTGGGTTGCTTGGTGGGTTGGTTGATGGATTGGTTGGTTGGTGGGTTGATTGGTTGTTTGGTAAGTTGGTTGGTTGCTTGGTTGGTTGGTGGGTTGGTTGGTGGGTTGGTTGGTGGGTTGGTTGGTTTGTTGGTTGGTTGGTTGCTTGGTGAGTTGGTTGGTTGCTTGGTTGGTTGGTGGGTTGGTTGGTTGCCTGGTTGGTTGGTTTACAGATAAGTCTCAGGCATTTTGCCATTCTGCATACAGAGCTGTGAGAGACAGCTGTACTTTGTACCCTGCATGAAATATGCCCAATGGGAAAACCAGTTCATGTTCACTTTCTTGATTCCATAAACACCCACATGTATTCATAGTAAGTAGAGTTTTAACATAATTCCTATGAGAATTGCACCCACCTATGTAGTTGTTCCATAAGTTGTTCTTTAATTAGTACCCCTTACTCCTGTCCTATCCTATGGTTTGATGTAGAACCTAAAGTCTCTTCAAGTTTCTTGGCTCTTACTTGCTCTACTACCTCCCATAGCATGTTCTGGGCTTCTGTCATTCAACACATTTCTGTTCTCTATCTCCCGGAAATTTATTAAACTGATTAAACTTTCTTATCTATTGGCTGCCCAACTCTCCTTGTCCTTATCCTGGCCTTCTCACTATGGGTTAGCAACTTCTATCCTTTTTTGTCCCCAGTGAGCTTTGGTGACTCAAAAGGCAAACATGTGCTCAACCTGCCATCTTCTAACCAAAGCACATATTTTAGAGTATATCATGTTACACTCCTGCAGAACCTTTCTGAAAGAATGCATCACACACTAATAATGATATCAATATCAAAGTCAATTATCTGTGGAGTCAAAGTCAATATCTGAGATTGGAATCCAGTTTTCCACAGCTCCAAAAGTTTGAGTGTATCATTTTTTTCTGGTTTGCAGGAAGTTTGATGGCATGTCTTTATATCATGGCCATGGGCAGGACTTGGAAAAAGTTTTACCACTAAAGCATCTATGAACTCAAGAAAGAAAACACTGGCTATGTACAATGATGACTGTGATCTTTTAAATTTATCTCAAATAGCGAACCTACCAGTCATAGTAAGTATTTCATTACTTTTTAATCCAGTTACATAGTTTTAATGCCTAACTGTAAAATAATACATGACTCTGTAGAGAAAAAATGAAGTTGAAGTAGTCTATGGAATTTATAAATCCAGCCCTTGTGATTGGAATAGAGTTTGACAAATGGGTCTCCTGGAAACTCTTTCTTTCATTACCAATGTTACTACAGCAACATGAACAGCAGTCCTGATTTTAGGAGAAACTAATCTCTAAATTTGAATTCCCATGATACTCAGATGGAGAGAGGAGATAGAAGAGATTTTCTGAATAATTATTTTTAAGATTACAGAACTATCATCTGTGTATTGTCCCAGCTTCCAACCTCCATTTCACAAATTAAAGTAGGACAGAGTCTAAGGGTTTGACACAAATCCTGGTGCATCAGAGAATGCCACAAACTATGTGGCAAAACTCCATAGGACACTTGAGCAGAGAAACAAAGGGTGGGGTCTTGTTTTGTAGGTGAATTGTTTAACCTCCTGCTCTAATGAAGTACCTAGCAACAGGAGAGGATAGTGAAGGCCCAGAGGGCAAGTAGCCTCCTTCCTCATACTAAACACTGCACGGTGAGCCTCAGAGTCATTCCTCTTGCCCTGGGGAGCCAGGCCCTCAGGTGCAGACTTACATCCCTCTTTGCTTGCAATGAAAGTCCAGAATTAACTGTTGCCCTTTCTGGCAGCAGCCGCCAGCTATTCTGGTCATACTACCTCCACCATCTACCGCCTTTCCCCAAGGCTCTGACCTTAGTGGCTGCCTTTTCCACAGAAATCAAGCATTTCTGATCACTGCTATACTTTGTACCCTGCATGAAACATGCCCAATGGGAAAACCAGTTCATGTCCACTTTCTTGATTCCATAAACACCCACATGTACTCATGATAAGTAGAGTTTTAACAAAACTCCTGTAAGAACTGCATAGATGCAATACTAGGTAAAAAAAATTTTTAACCTATCCCTTAAAATGTTTCCAGTGTGGACATATTTTAAAGCTCTCCAGGTGAGAGAGCAACTACTTATTTGCAAGGTGGTTCTGGGCACTTATTCCCCTACAGTCACTTGATGGCCCATATTTATCTCATTACACTTAAATGGATAATGAGATGTATCCAAAAGAGAAAAGACCACACGGGAGGAAATTCTGCATGAGACTGTCACAAAGCAACCTAGGCAGAAAATAACAGACTATTATGAAATGCTAAACTGGAAAATAAATACCTGAACACCACATTTGCACTGTAACAGAGATAGAGAGTGGCACTGAACATTTAAGCTCTAATCAATCTAAAAAAGAACACCCAAACTATTCAAAGCAAGGCTGGAGACCCGTTTGAGTTGGCAGAGGGTTTGCTTTCAGTGAGTTGGAGTATTTTCTGCTCAGGCTTAGATTTCTTGTCTTTTTGCAGATGTTCATTGTAAGTCCATTTTCGCAGAGACTAATACTTATTCTTAAACAAATAGTGAGTGTGTGTGTGTGTGTTTTCTGCAAAGGGAAGAAAGAGCCAGTTGTAGTTCATGACCCCGCTTACACATGGTCAAGATGGCAATAGCATATTCCTGGAAGGGCTTTGCCAACTATTGCTTTGGTTGCCTTTTCACACCCGTGATTTAAACTGTTCAGTCAGCTAAAATGGATAACAAGTGACCTGGTGCAAATTCCAGGAATTGGCAGGACAAGCTCCAGAAAGCACTCAGCCAAATGACTTCGCAGTTCTATTAGACAACCCACAAATTCTTCTGGGAACGGGCCAGAGACCCGTTTGACAATGAGCATTTCTGATTCAGGGCATCTTGAAGCCCATCTTCAAGTGAAGTGAGAGCATTACTTGAGAAGTGAGTCATTTTCAGGGCTGAGGAGTAGCTGTGCTTTTAATTTATCTATTGAGCTTCAGTCATGATAAGTAATAATCTTATAGAAAATATCAGTTCTTCACTAGGATATTCATACCCTGAAGCAGAGTGAGTGGTTTGCGGGCTTCCTCATAGGACTCAGGAAAGCCTGATTTTAAAGTGCTAACTAAGAATGCCCACAGACCTTTTACAGTCATTCTAATACAAGAGAACAGTGAGACTTGGTACCTAGTTTTTGAGTTTGTTGATCTTGTTTTCTCTGGTAAGGACACTAAAATATAACTCATAAATGTGTTATTGATTTATAAGAGTGAGAAAAATTGAGTGTTTTTTGAATGCCTTTCATCTCCCATAATTAAATTTCTGAGTGTGCTGATGCTCACAGGAAAGGAAGGAAGGAAGGGAATGGAAGTTTTCTGAACAATTAGCAAGATCTGATCATGTGTCCTGGGCTTCACACACTTTATCACATTTAATTCATACACCGCTCTAGGAGATATTTGACATTATTACTTCAATTTTATTTACAAATTTAGCTCTCTAAAGTCACAACATTAGTAAGTTTTGTCTAAACTTTCTGAGAAGACCATACTTCTCCCATGATCTTTTTCCTTCAACCAACTCAAAACTATTATCTAAAAATAAAGTGGTAATTTTTCTTCTTGAACCACCTTAAACATGAAAACACCATTCGTTTTACTCTTGTAGATTACATTATATTACATTAAGCCATGAAAGATCAGAGAAACTCATTGTCGTATTCTTTGTTTTATTTTTTGTGGTTGCAGCTTGCTTCTTTGTTTTATAGATTGAATTCAGGATTAATGCTCAGTCTACTTCCAAGGTAACCCAAAATAATTGACAAACTAACGCACCATATTACATTTACATCATGAATAGAACTTAGCTGGTCAAAAGGAACTAATTCATTCAGTCAGTCAGTCATTCAACAAATATATATTAACTAAGCACTTCTCTGGGAGTCATCTTACCAGGACCAAGATTAACCTATTAGTATACCTAAGTATGCAGTAATATCCTGGTAACAAAGGGGAGAGGGAAATATGATATATTACAAAATTTGCATATTCTAATAAGTTAAAACTTATTAAAATGAATATTAGTATGGAGGTCTGGTGTGGTGGCTCACATCTGTAATCCCAGAACTTTGGTAGACCGAGGCAGACAGATTGCTTGAGCTCAAGAGTTCAAGACCAGCCTGGGCAACATGGCAAAACCCAGACTCTACCAAAAAAAAAAAAAAAAAAAATAGCCGGGCATGGTCGCATGCACCTATAGTTCCAGCTACTCAGGGGGCTGAGGTGGGAGGATCACTTGAGCCCGGGAAGTCAAGGTTGCAGTGAACTGTGATCATGCCACTGCACTCCAGCCTGCATGACACACTGTCTCAAAAAAAAAAAAATCAATAAATTTCACATAAGAAATAAATGATTCCCAGAATAAAAATCAAGTAAATTAGTCATATGGATTTTCATAGAAGGGACATTGAGTAACCCAGTGGATAAAACCAAAAGTGCCATTTTGAAAAGGACAAGGCATGCTGTCCAAATAGATAGTTCTTAAATCGATCCTCCATACACTTACGGTTTATAAGAATTAAACTCTTGGTCATCAAACAACATGGATCAATAACTGGCACAGAGAAGCATTTCTGAACCATCAGACAACAGTACAAGCTTTCAATCCCCACATTACAAGGGAAAAGGATCTTTCCCCCACAAATTTGTTTTTTCAAAAGTGAATTCAGTAAATGATGATACCAATCATCTATTTTTTAAATGCTATGGTATGCTATCAAAAGCCAGATATGCGTTACTTCTAAAATATTCGACATAAAGCACAAGCAGTAGGGATTGTTTAGATTTTGCTTCGTGGGGTTTGAGCGACAATCCAAGATACAGAAAAAGGGGAAAAAATGCCTCAGACATTTATAAAGAGCACCATTCATTTCTTTGCAATAGAAATGATTCTTCCAACCTCCAACAAGACCCTACCTACTTTTTCCTAATTTGGAATTGAGAAGGGATAGAATGTAGTGAACAATTCTTCCAAAAATGCAAGAAAATACTATAATACAAATGTAATAACACGATAAGATGAGGGCTGTGGGCATACCTGGAAAAGTCTGTTTCCTGGTTCTTTTCTTCTTAAAACATGACTACTTTTCTCAGACCTCTCCCTACTTGACATTCTGCAAGCATTTGGCCTTTTTGACAACCCCACTCTTTTTTAGCGTCTGTCCTCATTGCTTTTAAGATGCAAGTGCTCTAGTGATTATCTGCTGCTCTTTTGGACCATGCCTCTCACTCTTATCCTGGTTTCTCTCAACAATATACCTGGACTGTTATGCCCCAGTGCCCCCATCTAAAACAATGTCATCTGACCCTCTGCTCTGCTCAATCTAAACTCTTTTGAGGAAAACTTATTCATTCCTATTGTTTCCATTGTCACCTCAATTTCTCTATGAAAACACTCTTTCACAGAGCTGCAACTCGAACTGTGTCCTCTGAGCTTCTGGCATCTCAAACACAACATGGCAGAAACAAAACACACTCCCTGGCACAGTGCCTCATGCTACATGTCATAGAACAGGTAGCATCATCACCATTCTCCTAGATATGCAGATAAGTTATTTACATGTTGTTAGTTTTGCCTCAACAGTTTCTAGAAAGGTTTTAACCCCTTTTGGCCATGGACCTCTTTGAGAATCCAATAAAAGCCATGTGTCCTTGTGGTGATCATGAACAGGAGCCTCTCTGCTCTCCTGGCTGCTGTGCTGAAACACAGAGCGGCTGCATTGGCACCTAGCCTCTGCTTCTGACAGCCCGTTCCCAATTACTAAACACGGCAGGAATACTAAGCACAGCCATTCCTGGAAGAGTAGAGGCTCCTCCGATGGGTAATTTGGCTGGAGGATTCCCCCTTAACCCTCCTTCCTTCCTTCTCTCTCTGAGAGCTCGCTCAGCCCCTCCCAGCATCCCCTCTGTTTTCTCCCACAGGCATTTCTCCTGTGAAATGTCTTGAATGTTTAATCCCATCTTGGCATCTTCGCTGGGGGATGCTAGCTAACAGAATCCTCTCCCCAGTTACATTCATATGTGACTCCCACAAAATCTGACACATAACCTTTGAGATCTGTGCAGCCCCTCAGTCCACCCATGGGCCTTGTTGGGATCACTGAGCCAACGTGTTAAGAGCCTTGTGCTGGGACTGAGCATGGTGGCTCCCACCTGTAATCTCAGCACTTTGGGAGGCCGAGGTGGGCAGATCACCTGAGGACAGGAGTTCGACACCAGCCTGGCCAACAAGGTAAAATCCCATCTCCACTAAATACAAAATTATCCAGCCATGTTGGTGCGTGCCTGTAATCCCAGCTACTCGGGAGGCTGAGGCACGAGAATCACTTGAACCTGGGAGGTGGCGGTTGCAGTGAGCCGAGATCGTGCCATTGCACTCCAGCCTGGGCAAAAAGAGTGAAACTCTGTTTCAAGAAAAAAAAAGAGAGAGAGAGAGAGAACCTTGTGCTGGAATCTGCCCTTTTCTTTCCACCTGCACCACCTCTCCCCTACACTTCTAGTTCAGGCTTTCACTTGGTACTTAGCACAGTCTTAGATTTATCTTTCACCTCCAACATGTCTCCTTTCCAATCCATTCATCATGATCCTTCCAGAACTTTTTTTCTAAAGAGAAACAAAATCATTTTCATTACACTCATGTTCACCAACCACCAACTGCTTGTCATTACTTACAAGATGGCCCTCAAACAAGGTTGTCTCTGCTTCACCCAACCTTCTCCTTTCCCTACCAATACCCCTTTACAGCCACAAGGAGATTCTTCTCATCCATTAAGTTGCTCCCACGCCCTAAAATGGACTTTCCCACGGTTTTACCAATTAAAAATTCTTCTCTTTCTTTTAGACCCAATTTGACTGCTACCTCTTCCCTGAAGTCTATTTTCTACCTTTCTCTCAACGCTCATCACAAATGGTTCCATGAGAAGCTGCCTTCCCCAGTACGCTGTAGATTCCACAGACGATTTAGTCACCATTTCCTCCCACACAGAGCAGTGCCTTTCCCAGAGCAAGTGCTCAGTAAGTATTCATTGACCTGACCTCCACCCAAATGCATGGAGAATAAACTCAAGGCCCATCACACGGATGTATAAGACTTTCCACAATCCTGTTCCACATAGCACCCTCCCAACCCATGGCAAGGCTGTCCTCAAGAAGCCTCACACGATGATTTTTGTGCTGGCAAATTGACCACCATCCAGTGTCTGATACTCAATCTCAGAAACCAAAAATGGATCTTTCCCATTAGCCAAACTCATTGGTATGATGTAGAAAACCAGAAAGACAGTTTACCATGTCATACTAAGCAATTCCTGTTGAGGAGACTAGAATACTTGAACTGTCTCTGATCAGCACTTCTCTCTCCATAAGCAAATCTAGAAGGAAGGCTAAGTTACAATCAAAAGAATGCATGATGAGTATAAAAAGAGAAGAAGAATTGGATTAACGGAGTATTTAATAACATCATTTATTCGCTCCTTTGTTCATCTAATTGAGCATCTACTCAGGCTCTCTGATGCTGCCTCTCCTGATGCCATGCTCTTCTTGCCAATGAAACCAAAAAATTAGAAATCATTTGGTTAAAACTCCCTCTTGGAGGGCATTAGGACAAATACCTAATGCATGTGAGACTTAAAACCCAGATGACAGGTTTATAGGTGCAGCAAACCACCGTAGCACATGCATACCTATGTAACAAACCTGCATTCAGCACATGTATCCCAGAAATTAAAGTAAAATAAAAAATAAATAAAATGTTTAAAAACCCCCTCTTCCCTGACAGAGTTGGATGGGGACAGCTAAATTTCATTTGCTAGGCTCCTTAGACTGACTAACCCTTCTTCTTCTGATTGTTTTTTTGCCATGTGTTAATTTTATAGATTGTATCTTGTTACACTGCAATCCCCTGGGCCAGGGAATGGCGTTTATTTTAGGGTGGGCTTGTGCATCTATGCTCTGACAGATTATGCACTGGCAGGCTTCTTACCTCCAGTTCTTGGGGGAGTGCATCACTGTGGCCTCCTTGCTATCCTCCACTTGTCTGCTTCATGGAGTTTTCATCCCAGCCAGCCTGCTAGGTTTGTTCTGAAAACACACCTCACTCTACTCTGCTGTAGTACATTCTTCTTACCTGGACCCCACTTCCCTCCCCCTCTAGCTCTCCAAAGCCTGCCCCGTACTTCAAGAATCAGGTCAGACTGCAGTTCCTTCATCTGCTCCCTCCAATTATTCCATCCCATTTGCAAATCCTCCCTTCGTAGAAGGTCCATACGTACTGAATGCCATGTATTGGTCATTTTACCCTGTGCTGCCAGAGCTTTTATTTAACCCTCTACTGAGTGAATACAATGCACCATCAGCTAAATCATAAACTGTTTAAAAACATGGATATTGCCTTATAAAGTCACCATTCAGAGAGCCATCATGCACTTGCAGAGACAGAGAATGCCTTTCCCAGTATCCCCTTCCTGGAGCCCTCTGCCATCATGATGTTGTTCCTCCTAGAAGATTCCTCATGGCTAAGCCCCACTCCAACCTTGTCATTCTTCCCACTCACTATGTGCCCTTCTGCCAAAGTCTAGGCTTAAACCTTACTGGCCCCACCCCCTGCCTCCTGTCCCCCAGCTTCTGTCTTGCCCCCACCCTTTACTCTTTCTTATTACCTTGGAAGCAATCTATTTCCTGCCCCCAACCAGCTCCGTCGAGCACTCTGGCCCCCAGCCTGGGAACTGTAACCCCAGGCTCCCCATCTTCCACCCCACCTGTGCCTCTACCCCCTAAAAATCTGTGTTCTTGCTGAATGTGTTGCCCGTGAAGTAACTATTCCCCACCCTCCCTCCCCAACCCTAGCTGAGAGGAAATCACCACTGGAGATCCCAGAAGCATAACAATTGTCCCTTCCAAGTAGCAAGAAGTTACTTCATCTTCTCATCAGGACAAGGTTTCCAACTCTGTTGCCTCTGCAGGGGTGGATTTGTGGATCCTGAATTCTGGCAGCTGTGTGATCCACACCTTGGCTAGCACCAGAGGTCATTGGCTAAGTGCTATGACAGCAGGGATTCTCCAAGGCCAAGCCCATGGGGTTCAGGCCAGGGATGATCAATCATCAGGCGAAGGTTCCAGGACATGAAGTGCATCACAGGTGCTCTCCAGGAACAGGTACCCAGCCATGCAGGACTAGGAGAGGCCCAGGGCAGCCCTGATTCTCACATGTCCACCCACTGGCAGGAGCTGACAGCTGTGCATGACTAGCTCTCAAAGGCCCAGCTGCATCCTGCCTCCTCCTGCTTCTGTTGAGTCTGGCAGCTACAAGCAAGAGTATGGGAAAGCAGAAGACAGGAAGACAGGTGAACTCATGGAAGACGGAGGCAGAGGGGAAAGTAGAGGCTCTGCAGACCCCATCATGGAGAACAAGAAACCGAGTGGGAGCTTATCGACTTCAGCCTTACCCCAGGACGCACTCTCAACCAAGTTTACTCTCTGAACAGCTCTGAAACTTTTGGTTCAGTCGTGGCTGAACCAACAGGAAATCAAGGGAAATGGCACTTATTTATTATGCAGCCGTAGGCCAATTCCCCAGATGTCATTATTGCACTTCCAGGCCTTTTGCTTAGGCAAAGAAACAGAGACCGAAAGAGACTTCTGAGACAACAGCCAGCAAAGAAGCTCACTGCCTTTTGAAGGGATTCTCCTCCCATGGGAGAAGAGCTGCTCTGGTCACTTCTACAAGTTCTAGCTGACCAGGCAGGGCCCTGGCTGAGATCTTATTTGGGGACTGATCCTCTACCCTCTTCTCTCCACAAATCAGTGAGCTTTGAGGGGAACTTGACTGCCACCAAACATGAGGCTTTAGGACTGGAGAAGCTGGCAGACAATGGGGTCCCCAGTGATGCCCCTCAGATGGGGCAAAGATATTCTCAACTACACCTCTGTCAATGGTATTAATGGTTTTTAAATGGTCTGTCCATTTTTTCATTAAAAAAGACACAGTATTAAAAACTTGCCTGGAGTCAAACAGCTAGTAAGAGGCAAAGCCAGATCTTGAGCTTGGTTTGTCAGGCACATAACCACTCTACATTATCTTGTAAAGGTCAAAGAAATTTTTTTCTTTTTATTGCCTTAAATCTATTTTAATGGGAATCTTTCAGAAATGGAGCCTTATTTCCATTGATCTGAAAATAGAAAACACTGAAGATATTGACACCCCCTCGTTCCTATTCCCTAGCCACTGAACAAAAACAGCAGTTTCCTTCCAGCAGCCGCTGTTTTGGTGTAATCCCAATTTAAGTCACTAAGCTTCAAAAATGCACCCTTCTGTCCTGCAGGCCTTGATGACAGGTGAAGATGAGGAGATGGAGGACTCAGTCGGCCTGCACTGCTTTCTTTTTTTCTTTTTTTCTTTTTTTTTTTTTTTTTGGAGACAGAGTCTCACTCTGTCACCCAGACTGGAGTGCAGTAGCACAATCTCGGCTCACTGCCACCTCCATCACCCCAGTTTAAGTGATTCTCATGCTTCAGCCTCCTGAGTAGCTGGAACTATAGGTGTGTGCCGCCACGCCTGGCTAATTTTTGTATTTTTAGTAGAGACGGGGTTTTGCCATGTTGGCCAGGCTGGTCTTGAACTCCTGACCTCAGGTGATCCACCTGCCTCGGCCTCCCAAAGTGCTGGGATTACAGGCGGGAGCCACCGCACCCAGCTTAAAACATTATTTAATCTTGAGCTTACAAATAAATTTATGATCAATTTTAATGCGTATCATGCATGCCCTAGAAAACAGCATTTAGCCAGGCCTTGATTCAGAGTTCTTATCGTGAATACACAGTATTAGGTTTTTTAATAAAATTATGGTTCTAGGTCTAGAATTTTTTTTATTGTTATAACTCTGGACCTAACATGTCACTGGTTCCAGCTATGTCTCTAACTATTCTGAGACATTCCTTTTCTTTTTCTGTCTTAGTACATACACTGCTTCCCATCTGAAGAGCAGGAGAACTGAGACTCGCACACTTGTTGAAAAGCCTGGACAAGAAGAGTTAGTAAGTCTGAGAGAGAAACTAAGGAATTACATACCTGGCTTTATTTGAGGCAGGAGTTTTTTTGGGTTTTTTTTGTTTTTGTTTTTGTTTTTGTTTTTTTGAGATGGAGTCTCGCTCTGTCACCCAGGCAGGCTGGAGTGCAGTGGTGTGATCTCGGCTCACTGCAAACTCCGCCTCCCGGGTTCATGCCATTCTCCTGCCTCAGCCTCCGGAGTAGCTGGGACTATAGGTGCCCGCCACCATGCCTGGCTAATTTTTTGTATTTTTAGCAGAGATGGGGTTTCACTGTGTTAGCCGGGATGGCTTCGATCTTCTGACCTCGTGATCTGCCCGCCTCGGCCTCCCAAAGTGCTGGGAATACAGGCGTGAGCCACCACGCCTGGCCTGAGGCAGGGTTTCTTAAGTGAGGCGCTTTAAAACTCACTTCTTTGGCAGGGCTGTATTTTGGAGAGTTGAAGATGTAAAGCTGGTAAGTGAGAGTCTCCCCTCTTTAGGTAATCCCACAGCATCCCAAAGGAACAGAGGTGATCTCTTGTTTATTGACAACCAACTTGGACTCCTAAAAGCCACCATCTACTTGAGGCCTTTCCTTGAAAAGACCTCACCTTTCTAGTTACGCTAGTGGTATTTTAGCTGAGCAAAAAATATGTGAACAAAAAGGACAGAGATATAGTATACAGCCGTTACAACTTTATTCCTGAAACTACATTTCAGTCAGCAGAGTGTAAATGACTTATCTGTGCAACCCAGACACATCTGCTAATGTAGCATTCCAATTCATTTGGGTAACGTTGGACCTAGGAGATGTTCCTTCATATTTCTTTTGTGTCAATCATCTCTCGTATCTTGACTTTCTTTTGCTAGTCCTGTCCACAGATGCCTTGTATTCAAACTAAAGGCGAAGATTCCATTCAGAGTCCTCTTCCAAACACTGTGGCTTCCATTCTAAAATACCATGACTAGAGGTGAATAATCCTCACAGCCAGCGATTTATGGCCCAAATCCCTCCAAATTACATTCGATAACAAGTAAACCCTTCTGATTCAGAGGCCCTCCAGTTAATTAACTATAGGACCCAGCTAAAATCATTTTTGGCAGATGTTGTACAAAACGTAACTGGTACATATCCAATTACATAAAACAGGTACATTTATTTAGAAACTAAAATAAGGACATCGTTCAATTAATGCATCCTGACAGTATCAAACTGCTTTGATCAAAACTATGTTATCTTTGGGAACATTATCCAGGTTTTATATGGTCATTGAGGAGAACTAGTACCAACTGCTCTAACAGTTTACGGGCCCAAAGCTTCTTCTCATGCTCTATAGAGTAAAATTTTCAGGGCTTCATTAATCATTTTTTCAATCACCAGAAAAGCCCCCAGAACTATTTCCCAACAACAATTCTAGCTTTCTGCATCTTGTCTCCATGAAGTGGTCAACCAGCTATCAATCCAAGTAGATGCCATACTTTGCCTACTCACATTTCATTAAAAAGTATCAAATTTCCATGTTTTCTTTTTATTTCCAAAGGATATAGTTCCATCCTCAACGGACACACTGTCTCTCTAAAATATAAAACAGTGTCTGAAAATAGAGCCAAACTATCAACTGGCCAATTCTTATCAAAACCACAGGTTAGGAAAAATGATGTCAATGAACAATTATTTAAAATACATAAGATAGGTTGAGTGTGGTGGCTTATGCCTGTAATCCCAGCACTTTGGGGGCCTAGGAGTTTAAGACCAGCCTAGGAAACATAGTGAAATCCTGCCTCTATTTAAAAAAAAAAAATGACCCGATGCCAATGCCATATAGTCTATCCCTTGATCCAATTTGACATCAACACAGTTCAGCACAGAACTGAACCAAGCCCTCTGCAGAATTCCCTTCTCTGAGCTGTATTGTAGGTGCTAAGGCCCTGGCATTAATCAAGAGACACTGGAAGAAAAGCCTTATGATACTAAATGCTATGTTTATTATAGGAATATTGCTTGAAGACATTGCCTTCTCGGTCATTCAGTGCCTCCTTTATGACCCTACTGTGAAATGAACTTTGGAATCCATGTTAACATAATCTATAGCCACCCAGAGAGATATAAGCCTTGTTAAAATCATAGGTGTCACTTACTCCGGTTTGCAATAATGGGTAGATTCTTCCAGTCTAGATATCAATACGATGGTGCCTGGAGGAGCTCCTTAACTCAGGACTTTATGGATCTATTAAAAAGACCAGTGGGGACTGTATACTTTATACGATATAGTAAACTGGAACCTCAGTTATGATGACTTGTAATTCTGCACAACAGAGTTGTGGTATCAGTTACCAGACCTGAATGAAAGGCTGGTTGGGGCTGTATTTTCTTCTTCCTCTTGCTTTGTTTCACTCTCGCTGAAGTGTGTGTTCTTTCCACACCATTCCGGCTCCACCATGTCTGAGTTGGAATTTTCTTTCTGGTTTCAGAGCACCTTTCCCTGATATTCTGTTTGCTTTTGGTCCAGATTACTTCACCTGCAGCCTTTGGCAATTGTTGGCCAGGAGGCACCTCTGCACGTGCCTTCTGCTAAGTTCCTTTACAAGCCCAGGAACGGCGAACCATCCCTTTCTTCCCTCGGTGTCCCCAGTCCGTGCCCTCCATTAAGGATTGTTCTGCTTGGGCAACACTGAGATAATGGGAAGGTTTTATTCTGCTTCTTTTGCCTTGAAAAGTGATGTTCTGCTGATTCACACTCTGGGCAGAATTTGGGGGCACTAAGACAGTCCCTGGCTAACTCTCTGGTGAACAGCCTCCCTGGCTGGCACAGTTCAGGAAGGCCCTGGCTGAGCAATTTTACTCAGTGTGGTGGGAGAGAAGTGAGGGCTTTGGTGCCTTCAGACTTGGCTCTGAATCCTGGACTTGCCTCCTACTGCTGTGTGATCTCAAGCAGGCTAAGTAACCTCTCTGAGCCTTGGTTTCCTCATCTACAAATAGTACTTACCTTGGCAAAGTTTTAGTAATTGATTACAAATTACTGCTTCTCTGGAACAAAGGAAAGGGGAGAAGATAAAGATAGGGGTGGAGGGGAGAAAGGGAGGGGAGAAAGGGAGGTGAGGTGGGGAAGATAGATATGTATGCATTTATTTTCAATAAGAATGAAAAACCACATCTCCCCGTTATTCTTTTGACTCTCAGGAAACTTACAGATAAATCTGATATCCAATTTGAACAGTAAAGTAGCCAAAGTCTTCTGACCTGTAATTTTAAATGTTTATTTCTCCTGGATCTTTTGTTCCTACTTTCACCTATTCCTGGATGCTCATTTTTAAATCATTTTTTTATGGTTCATTATTTTGTGTGGCTTTTTTATGTGAGTTTTGAGCTTTGCCTGAGGCTTGACAAATGTCTGGAATCTTTTCCAGGATGAGATGTAGTATATATAAATACGTACATTTAGAGGTGTTGCTGTGAACATTTTTGTGGCACTATATGATAATCTAATCTGTAAAGCAAGCTCACACCCGGTCTTTCTTAATCCCCCCAATGAACTCCAGGGCTGAGATGAGGCAACTCAGCCTCTGTGAGTCACTTTCCTCAGATCACCAAACTCTCCCAAGGGTCAGAATTTGACGTGCAACCCAGGTCTTTTCTTCTGCTACCGAACTGACTCTCTGCGGTCATAACCCACTCACGTTTGCTACTGGGCCTCATAAATAACCCTGATAACAATAGCACACATGTATCATGCACCTGCTATGCGGTGGACATTTTACATGCATTATTGTATTTAGTGCTCCCCACAAGCCAGTGGCATAGCTACTGTATTATCCTCCTTTATAAACCATGGGCCATCCAAAAGGAGGCTCCCCAAGGTCACACACCCAGAAGGGGAGGACGGGGGACTTGAACCCAGGTTAGCTCAATTCCAGAGGCCTTGCTGTTACCCACTACCCTCCAAGGGCATCAGTTCTGTCACTGAATGACACTTCCTGGGGGTAGTGTTCAAAGAACGCTGGGCCTGTGTGATGTCACTGCGTGGCTGTGATAGAAGCAGACAGCAGCAGCAGGCTGTCCCCGCTTCCCTGACCTCTACCCAGTGGGCAGCGGGATCACCTTTGCCACTAACCTGCCGCGGCTCATTAAAGCCTTAGGCCTCCGTGATCTCCTTTGGATCTGTGCAAAAGGGTCACAATCTCAAGCTTTGTTGAAGTTTTCCTTTGCCGCCTGTTTTAAGACCTTGACATATATGATAATAATAAAACACTCATATGAGGTACTGGCCCTTAGAAGCATCCTGGGACTGGTTTTGGAAGTCTAATTGTTACCTTGAAGTCTATTCTTTTTATCTTTTGGATTTATTCAGCTTTTAGAGTCTTCTACCTTAAGATATGCTTTTAGGTTACGATAAACAAGGCTAAATATTTCTGGAAATATTCAAAGAAGGACGCGTTTCTTTTTCATCTTGATATGTGTGCCACTTCTTTTAATGTTAATAGGATTATTTTGTTTTCTTCGTTGGCTGTCTACCCTCTCAACCGAAGCTCTGGATCTGCCTTCTTTCTGGCTGTATCCACAGTTCCTAGCAGCATGCGTGGTCCCGTCTCTACCCATTCCCAGATGTCTCATCTTAGGTTGCTCCACAAGTTTTTGAAGTCTTGGTTTTGTTTAGTTCTTTTTGTTTGTTTGTTTGTTTGTTTTTTCAATCATGAAATGAGGATAACAATGACTCTTTCTACCTCTCAGGTTGTTATGAGGCTAAAGTGAGATATTGTATGTTAAAGTGCTTTGGAACCACACATTGCCATAAAAAGGTAAGATCGCCACATGGTCCCTGGTGCAAACTTCTGATAAAGAGCATGTGCTTAAGGAACATGCCAACGTTACGAAGGCACCTGGGCCTGCAGCCTAATTACCTGGAAGAAAAGCAGAAAATTCTATAACTCTATCATGTTGACTACCCATCATGAATCACAGGCATTGATTGTGGAACCGAGGTTTTGATGACCAGCATTTTAATCCAGATCATCATGATCAAGTCTGCAGAGACAATGGGCAGAACACAGTGTTTTAGTGCAGTTTCCTTTATGGTGGCAGTTTTCAATCTTCTCAGAGCAGGTGTCAGCAACTATAGCCCCTGGGCCAAAGCCAGCCCGCCATCTGTTTTTATATATTTTGCAAGCTAAGAATTGCTTTTACATTTTTAAATAGTTGAAAAAAAATCAGAAGGATATTTTATGGCATGTAAAAATGAAATGGAATTCAAATGCCAGTGTGTATAAAATTCTGAATGTTATCAATAAAAATTGGTGAAGATTTGTTGTCTTCTTATAAGTGCCTACATAATAGTCTCGATTTTGCCTGTTGGCCCACAAAGGCTAAAATAAGTACTATTCAGGCCGGGTGCAGTGGCTCACGCCTGTAATCCCCACACTTTGGGAGGCCGAGATGGGCAGATCACAAGGTCAGGAGATCGAGACCATCCTGGCTAACACGGTGAAACCCCGTCTCTACTAAAAATACAAAAACATTAGCTAGGTGTGGTGGTGGGCGCCTGTAGTCCCACCTACTGGGGAGGCTGAGGCAGAAGAATGGAGTGAACTCGGGAGGTGGAGCTTGCAGTGAGCCGAGATCTCGCCACTGCACTCCAGCCTGGGTGACAGAGCAAGACTCTACCTCAAAAAAATAAATAAATAAATAATACTATTCAGTCCTTTATACAAACCATTTGTGGCCACTGTCTTAAAGCATTCATTCAGTACTCTGAATCCAAGGCATTCAAAATCCTCATCTATTTGAGCGTCGCCGTGCCTCTTGAGGTACTTAATGTGTTGAGACTCTAACAGAGAGATGAGATCTATTCAGAGAAGGCTGCGACTTGGGGACTGAAAGAGCAGAGCGGTCCATTTGGGACCCAATCAGGATGGAAATGACAAAAAAGGGAAATGGGACAGAGAGGAGAAGAGAGATGGAAAAAGCTAGCAGGGGAAGAAACCAGGTCCCCAGCCCCCTTGGCGATGTGACTGAGATATGGCTAGACCATGTGTGTGCTCTCAGGTCACTTGGTCAGTCTGGATGTTGGACTCAATGCCTCTTTATTCTATTGCTCACTTCCATGATTGAGCAATAGGTGTTTTACTGATGCTCTCTCTGAGGAGACAGAGGGGGGTCTGCCATGTAAACATGTAGCATTTCGTGCCCCTGCCATCGCTGCCTAGACTTTTCTCTGCCCTGCCCCTACCCCATCCCTCCTCTGCCTGGATGGCACTCTCATTATCTGGCTCCCAGCCTCTGAGAACTAGCGGGCACATTCTCACTCTCTTGTTCTCACGCCCTCCCCCCAGGCTTTTGGTTTCTCTTTTCCCTCCTGTGCCATTTAGCGTTGTCCTCCCAAAAGCAATCCTATGTTCCCTACCTTCATTGCTTAACTCTGCCTTGAGGTTTACCAGCAATTTGTCTCCCTGGGGAGTGGGCTATAAATGACGCATGAGGTTTCCCAGCCCCAGCGGACACTGAGGGGTGAGGTGGTGTTTGTGGGCACCTCTGGTGGCAGTTGGGCAGCATTGGCAAGGGCTGCTGAAGACAAAGAGTGTGGCTGAGAGAAATGGAGACGGCCCCATGCTGGAGGAGAGGAGAGACCAAAGCAAACAGAATAATTTCCCTGGCACCCGCCAAGACCCAGGGCACAGGGTTGAATTCTGAAAAAACTAGAAAGGTGACCCTAGATGCAACTGTGATTGTGCCAGGCCAGGACAAAAACAAAAGTGCCATGGCTCCAGGGGGTGCGTGCACACCGAGGCTGTCCTGTCACTCTCAGGCCTTTATGGAGTCTGCAGTCTACATGTGCTCTGTGTGTTGTGCAATGCTGCAACATCAATTAAGCTTCTTCATGTAGCTTTACTAAGAGCGATGGACCCAGGAGGGCTGAAAAAGTGGAGGGAGGTGTACAGATCGCCACTGTTCCCTGCAGTAGGTAAATTCACCGGGCAACTTTTTGATGAGGAAGGACGCATTCCCAAGGGAACGGGGAGAACAACAGAGCAAGTTGGCTGAGCAACGGCCACCTGTGGCACCAAGGACAGAATGTCACTGATGACTTCCCGACAAGTGCCCTTTCCTGGGAATAATCTATTGTGAGAGAATGAAAGCTTATTCTGCCACCAACTCCTTTAAGCAGAAATGAAGTCTTAGTGAGTAAAATAACACTGATGAGCACGGCACTGCAGAGAAGCCTCAAGGGTCGGATTTCACATCCCCTTCGGACTTTCTCTTCAGGCAGTTAAGCATTCACAAGAAAATCCCTTCTCTTTATGTGGCTTCTTCAGCCGCATCATTCATGAAACAATTTTCAAGAGAGGAAACACAATAAACCACCACACTTGCATTTCTCTTATCTGAGATGCCTCTTGAAATTTCCAACTAATCTTGAACATGGTTAATTTCTCCCCACCTTCACGCCTCAACCATTAATTTTTTTTTTAAAGGGAGAGGAAAAAAAAAAACAGAGGTCCCTTGTGTTACTCAGCAAGAGTATGTGATTTGTAAGTTTCTAAAAATCCTTCCAGCCTTGCTTATTTTGACAAAACTACTTAACACTTCAAGCAATGAACTACAGGGCATAAAAGTATAATCTGCAGAGAAAACCTTAATCCTCTATAGTAACCTATTTGAATCTCCTCAAACACATTTCCGTGTGTAGGCCCGGAGAATTAAGTCAATTGTTTGATCTGAGAAGAAAGGCAATTAGGGCTCTCTCTTGATCTTTCTGGTTGAATTCTAGTCAGGGGCAGCCACTGTTCTCCACAGCCCCATTTGAGACCCCTATTATTATAATAATAGAGGTGAGCATTAAAATCGCTACAGTTGAGAGTCTCCCTGCATTTTCATTATAAGTTGTTTTATCCGGGAGTTTCAAATCATGATGGGCTAATATTCAGCATACAAATGATTAGCTAGCGCAGGTCTGGTTTTCTTTTTTTTTTTTTATAACTTCATTTAAAATTTCTTCTTTTACCTGACAAATATTTCAGCTGAAGTGAAAGAAAACTTGCAGAAGCAGCTACTGGGTGATGGGACAGCAGTGCCCATTCACTGCTGAGTTCCTGGCAGAGATGAGGCAGGGGCCTCTTCAAAGGGATGTCTCTGGGGCCACTGACGGTGCAAGAGAGGGACTAAGAATCTAGCTGGGGCAGTCTTGAGGAAAAACTGGGAGTTCTGCCCTCATTTGCTTACTCAGAGCAGCTCCCAAATATCCACCTAGGAACAGCACAGTGACAACAATCTAGCTGGAAATGAAAACTGGAGATGTGTTTATATAGTTCCATTATATAAGATTGAATAGAGATCATTTATCCATAGCAAAGAATATTAGAGAGGGAGTTGTTCCTGGAGATTATGGGAGTCAGTGACTGAAGCCTATCCCAAGCCACCCGATAGTGCTGTCGCTGATGACTAAGCCTTTCCTCAGGTTTCTGGAGTTCTATCTTATCATCTAAAATAATGCTATGGGAGCTGTTATTCAGCTGCTTTGTCCATTTTATATGAGCTCCCTGACTCGGAGAAGTCAGGGAAAAGCCAGAAGACAAGAGAAGATAAGCTCCCCTGCTTCCTGCCAGATTCCACTGGGCTGGTGGGGTCTGTTTAGCTCACAGCCAAATCCAACTGCAGAAATCCAGAGAGGGTGAACCTGCTCCTGTCTCCAGGGAGTCATTCTCTGCCTTAGCCCAAGTCCCTGCAGGAGGGTTGCATCCAGGTAGCGGGAGTTCTACTGTAGGTCAATTGAGGCTTGAGGAAGAATGGCAAGGAATGCCTGGCTATTTTTACTCAGCAAACAGTAATGCAGGGCTCATGAAGAGCCAGGCACTGTGCTAGGAGCCCATGGTTCCAAGGTGGGTCAGTGATGATCTTGTCTGCCAGTAGCTTGTGGCATAGTTGGGGAAGATGGGTAAGTCAAGAGACGGCGACAACTCAGTGTGAAAAACGTGATTCAGGAAAGAGCCCGTGAATGTACCCTGAACCTGGCTTTAAGGTCCAGGGGAAGGTTTGCAGGAGACAGTGCCTGAGCTGAGGCCCAAAAGACAAGTAAAAACTAATCAGCAAGGAGGTCGCCTATTTCAGGCATGGCAAAGTCCTGTAGGGGAGAGATGCAGAATGTATTTAAATGTCTGCAACTGGCCAGGTGCGGTGGCTCATGTCTGTAATCCCAGCACTTCGGGAGGCCGAGGTGGGAGGATCACTTGAGCCCAGGAGTTTGAGACCACCCTGGACAACATGATAAGATCCTGTCTGTACAAGAAATAGAATAATTAGCTGGGTGTGGTAACACACACCAGTGGTTTCAGCTACTCGGGAGGCTGACATGGGAGGATCACCTGAGCCCAAGAGGTCAAGGCTGCAGTGAGCCATGATCACGCCAATGCACTCCAGCCTGGGCGACAGAGTAAGACCCTGTCTCAAAAACAAAAACAAAAAATCTGCAACTAGTTCTGTAAGGCTGGGTTGAATACCTGCTCTTGAGGCAACTAATGCCGTCACAAGGAATTTGGGCTTTATTCTACAGGCTATGGGAAACTCTGGGTGGTGGTTGTTTTGTTTTTTGCTTGTTTGTTTGTTTTTGTTTTTTTGGAGACAGGGTCTTGCCCTGTTGCACAGGCTGGAGTGCGGTGGTAAGATTATGGCTCACTGCAGCCTCAACCTCCAGAGCTCAAGTAATCCTCTTGCTTCAGCCTCCCAAGTAGCTGGGACTACAATTATGTGCCACCAAACACGGCTAATTTTTAAAAAAAAAATTTAATAGAGAAGGGGTCTCACTTTGTTGCCCAGGCTAGTCTCAAACTCCTGAGCTCAAGCGATCCACCAGCCTCAGCCTCCCAAAGTGCTGGGATAACAGGCGTGAGCCACCATGCCCAGCTGATAAAATATTTTAAACACAATAGTAACATGAAGAGATTAGCTGTTTAAAAAGAGAACTGGAGTGCATTAGGTGTTTTGGGGGGAGTTTTGAGACAAGGTCTTGCTCTGTTGCCCAGGCTGGAGGGCAGTGGTGCTATCATGGCTCACTGCAGCCTCGACCTCCCAGCCTCAAGCAATCCTCCCATCTCAATTTCCCCAGTAGCGGGGACTACAGGCGCATGCCACCACACCCCGCTAACTTTTGTATTTTTTTGTAGAGAAAGGGTTTCACCATGTTGCCCAGGCTGGTCTCGAACTCCTGGGCTCAAGCAATCTACCTGCTAAGCGTAAGCCACCATGCCTGGCTAGAATGCATTAGTTTTCTATTACTGCGTAACAAATTTCCTCAAACTTAGGTGCTTAAAGCAACATCTCTAGCCAAGCTGACATATAAAATTAACCATCACAAACATCTATTACCCCAAAGAATTTGAGAGCTGGGACTATTGAAATAATTATTTTGGGGGGCATGGAGGGGGAAAGAATAATGAAATACACATTTGCCACAAATTTTGAACCTAAGCCTTAAAATCAAGCCTTTCTATCGAATACAGATGATAAAGGGAAGAAAAAGTAAATGACACCACAAGAAAGCAATGCATCAAATGCAGAGTGTGGGAAAGACTGTGGGACAACTGACCCAGTTTCTTCAACTAGTCATGAAAAAAAAAGGGAGTGGAGAACTGTTCTAGATTTAAATGACCTAAGAGACAAAAACCAAATGCAATGTGTGGATTTCTCTGTTTTGCAAAGTGCAAGACAGAGATCAAGAATCTAGTTAGGGTGGTCTCAAAGAAAAACTGGAATTTCTGCCCTTATTTACCTCCTCAGGGCAGTTCCCAAATATCTACATGAGAACAGCACAGCAACAACAATCTACTGGGAAATCAACCTGGAGATGTGTTTACACGGCTCAACTATGTAAGAGTGAATAAAGATCATTTGTCCATAGCAAAGAACACCGGAGAGGAAGTCGCTCCTGTAGATCACGGGAGTCGGTGAGTCATTACTGGAACAAACTAGCTGGACATGTGAATATGGACTGTTTTTTTGTTGGTGGTGGTTTTTTTGGTTTGTTTGTTTTGGTTTGGTTTTTTTGAGACAGAGTTTCGCTCTTGTTGCCCAGGCTGAAGTGCAATGGCAATCTCGGCTCACCGCAATATCCGCCTCCTGGGTTCAAGTGATTCTTCTGTCTCAGCCTCCCGAGTAGCTGGGATTACAGGCATGCACCACCACGCCTGGCTAATTTTTTGTATTTTTAATAGAGAGGGGGTGTCTCCATGTTGGTCAGGCTGGTCTGGAACTCTCAACCTCAGGTGATCCACCCGCCTTGGCCTCCCAAAGTGCTAGGATTATGGGCATGAGCCACTGCACCCAGCCTGGACTGGTCATTTTAAGTTATTAAGGAGTCTTTGATAATTTTGTTAGGTGTCATAATGGGAATGTAATTAAAAATAAATATATAAAATGTTTGGCCTGAAAACAAGCTTTTTGTCCTGGGGAGTATGGTAAGGTAAAGTCAGCAGCATGGCAGACTAAAGTCACCCCTGAAGATTAAACTGATCTCTACCCTTCCAGAAGGAATGAGTCACTGTCTCTTCTCTGATCCTCTGTATGGCACCTTATATTCATGGATGTATGTGTTTCCTTTTCTAACTAGAGAGCTCCTTGAGGACAAGGACTCTGCTTTTAACCTTCCACACCCAGGATATATTCGATGTTACAAATACTGATAAAATAAATCTCAGAATGCAACACATCCTCAAAACCCCTAATTCATAAGAATTTATTTTATATCACAGTTGTTATATTTTAAATTTTCTTTTTAATCTAAGAGTAGGGGCATTCCTGAACCACAGGTGAACAAGTCAACATTAAGGAACTATATTAGCCCATTCTTACACTGCTATAGAGAAATACCTGAAACTGGGTAATTTATAACAAAAAGAGGTTTAATTGGCTCATAGTTCCTCAGGCTGTACAGGAAGCATGATGCTGGCATCTGCTCAGCTTCTGGGGAGGCCTCAGGAAAACTTACAATCATGGTAGAAGGCAAACGGGGAGCGAGGTTTCTCATACGGAGAAAACAGGAGGATGGAGGAGGTGCTGCATAAATGATATCTCATGAGAACTCACTATCATGAGAATAGCACCAAGAGGATGGTGTTACAGCATTCATGAGAAATCCACCCTGTATTAGTCCATTCTTGCACTGCTATAAACAAATACCAGAGACTGGGTAATTTATCAAGAAAAGAGTTTCAATCAGCTCACAGTCTGCAGGCTGTACAGGAAGCATGGCAGCATCCACTTCCAGAAAGGCCTCAGGGAGCTTTTACTCATGGTAGAAGGCAAAGCAGAAGCCAGAGCTTCACATGGTGGGAGCAGGAGGAAGAGAGGGCGGGGAGGTGCTGCACACTTTCAACCAAATGTAGAAAGAACTCACTATCACGAGAACAGTACCAAGAGCATGGTGCTAAACCATTCGTGAGAACTCCACCGTCATGATTCAATCACCTCCCATCAGGCCCCACCTCTAACACTGAGGATTACAACTCAACATGAGATTTGATGGGAGACACAGATCCAAACCATATCACAACCCCATGATGCAACCACTTCCCAATAGGCCCCATCTCCAACACTGGGGACACAGATCCAACCATATAATTCCACCCTGGACCTTCAAATCCCATGTCCTTCTCAAACTGCAAAATACAATCATCGCTTCTCAACAGTCCCCCAAAGTCTTAAATCATTTCAGCATTAACTAAAAAGTCCAAAGTCCAAAGTCTCATCTGAGACAAAGCTAGTCTTTTCCACCTATGACCCTGTAAAATAAAAAACAAGTTAGTTACTCCATGATACAATGGGGGTATAGGCATTGGGTAAATACTCCCATTCCAAAAGGCAGAAGTTGGCCAAAAGAAGGGTCTAAGGCCCCATGCAAGGCAGCAGGGCAGTCATTAAATCTTAAAGCTCCAAAATAATCTCCTTTGATTCTATGTCTCACATCCAGGGTGCACTGATGCAAGGGCAAGGGATGGGGTCCCAAGGCCTTAGGCAGCTCCTTCCCTGTGGCTTCTCAGTGTTCAGCCCCTGCAGCTGCTCTCACAGATTGTAGTTGAGTGCCTTTAGCTTTTCTATGTGCAGGATGCAAGCTGATGGTGGCTCTACCATACTGGGGTCTGGAGGATGGTGGCCCTCTTCTCATGGCCCCACTAGGCAGTTCTCCAGCGAGGACTGTGTGTGGGGGCTCCAACCCTACATTTCCCCTCCACACTGCCCTAGTAGAGGTTCTCCATCATGGCTCTGCCCTTGGAACAGGCTTCTGCCTAGACATCCAGCCTTTTCTATCCATCCTCTAAAATCTGGGTGGAAGTTCTCAACACTCAACTCTTGCACTCTGTGCATCTGCAGGCTTAACACCACATGGAAACTGCCAAGGCTTACAGCTTGCATCCTCTGAAGCAGCAGCCCAAGGCATACCTGGGCCCCTTTTAGCCACCAGTGGAGCTGGAGCAAATGGGCTGGGGAAAGCAGTGTCCCAAAGCTGTGCAGGGCAGTAGGGCCCTGGGCCTGGCACATGAAACCATTTTTCCCTCCTAGACTTCTGGGCTGTGATGGGAGAGGCTGCCAGGAAGTTCTCTGAAATGCCTTTGAGGCCTTTTCCCCATTGTCTTGCCTATTAGCACTTGGCTCTTTTTTACTTATGCAAATTTCTGCAGCCTGCCTGAATCACTCCCCTGATAATGGGCTTTTCTTTTCTACCACATAGTCAGGCTGTCACATTTTCCAAACTTTTACACTCTGCTTCCCTTTTAAGTGTAAGTTCCAACTTCAGGTCATTTCTTTACTCATGTATATAAGCATAAGCCATCAGAAGTAGCCAGGCCACATTTTGAATGCTTTGCTGCTTAGAAATTTCTTCCTGGCTGGGTGTGGTGGCTCACGCCTGTAATCCCAGCACTTTGGGAGACCAACATAGGCAGATCACCTGAGGTCAGGAGTTCGAGACCAGCCTGGCCAACATGGTGAAACCCCATCTCTGCTAAAAGTACAAAAATTACCTGGGCATGGTGGTGGGCACCTATAATCCCAGCTACTCATGAGGCTGAGGCAGGAGAAGCTTGAACCCAGGAGGCGGAGGTTGCAGTGAGCTGAGATCACACCACTGCACTCCAGCCTGGGTGACAAGAGCGAGACTCCATCTAAAAAAGAAAGAAAGAAAGAGAGAGAGAGAGAGGGAGGGAGGGAGGGAGGGAAAGAAGGAAAGAAGGAAAGAAGGAAAGAAAGAAAGAAAGAAAGAAAGAAAGAAAGAAAGAAAGAAAGAAAGAAAGAAAGAAAGAAAAGAAAGAAGGAGGAAAGAAAGAGGGAAAGAAGGAGGAAAGAAAGAGAAAGAAAGAGGAAGGGAGGGAGGGAAAGAAAGAAAGAAAGAAAGAAAGAAAGAAAGAAAGAAAGAAAGAAAGAAAGAAAGAAAGAAAGAAATTTCTTCCACTAGATACCCTAAATCATTACTCTCAAGTTCAAAGTTCCACAGGTCCCTAGGGTAGGGGCACAATGCAGCAAAATTCTTTCCTAGGGCATAACAAAAGTGACCTTTGCTTGGTTCCCGATAAGTTCCTGATTTTCATCTGAGACCTCCTCAGCCTGGCCTTCACTGTCCCATATCACTATTAGCATTTTGGTCACAACCATTCAACCAGTCTCTAGGAAGTTCCAAACTTTCCCTCATCTTCCTATCTTTTTCTGAACTCTCCAAACTCTTCCAATCTCTGCCTGTTACCTAGTTCCATAGTCGCTTCCACATTTTCAGGTGTTTTTACAGCAATACCCCACATCTGGTACCAATTTTATTAGGGTGTTCTTGCACTACTATAAAGAAATACCTGAGACTGAGTAATTTATTTTTAAAAAAAAGAGGTTTAATTGACTCACAGTTCCATGGGCTGTACAGGAAGCATGATGCTGGCATCTGCTTGGCTTCCGGGAAGGCCTCAGGAAAACTTACAATCACGGTGGAAGGCAAAGGGGAAGTGAGGCGTCTCGCATGGTGATGTCCAACTTGACATCAACACAGTTCAGCACAGAACTGAAAGAATATTTAAATAGTGTTGTTAAGTACCTGCCTCAAATGGTGGTAGCAGTTGAGGTAACACTAGCTGCTAGAACAGAGAAATCCCCAGACTGAAGTGGCTTAACATATAGGTACTTGTTTCTCACTTACATAGTCTAAGCAGGATCCCCCTATCAACAGAGGGGAAGGGGTGGGGTGGGGTATGAGTGAGAGACTGCTCCATGCAGCCATTCGTGTGCTCGCTGATGGTGGCTGTAAAGGTCACCCTCCCTGGGTATCGAGATCTAGCCAGCAAATCAGGACAAGAGGAGGAAGAAATAGAAAACCTGCTTCCTAACACTGCAGCCTTAGTTCTTTACATTCCTTAGGTGAGAGCTAGCCATGCAGCCTCAATGAAATGCAAAGATACTGAAATGTGGCCTCCAGTTGGGCAGTCATGTTCTGACAATAATTCTACAAGAGGAAGAGAAATCTTTGGGGATCAAGTAACCATCCCGTGTATGTTTTTTTTTTTGGTTTTTGTTTTTTTTGAGACAGAGTTTCGCTCTTGTTGCTCAGGCTGGAGTGCAATGGCGCTATCTTGGCTCACTGCAACCTTCGCCTCCCCAGTTCAAGCGATCTCCTGCCTCAGCCTCCCAAGTAGCTGGGATTACAGGGATGCGCCACCATGCCTAATTTTGTATTTTTAGTAGAGATGGGGTTTCTCCATGTTGGTCAGGCTGGTCTTGAACTCCCAACCTCAGGTGATCCGCCCACCTCGGCCTCCCAAAGTGCTGGCATTACAGGCATGAGCCACTGCACTCAGCCTAGGTTGTTCTCTTAAATGTTCTGATATTTATAAGTAATATGATAATCCCTAATATGCTTATCTTTATTTCATCTTTCATGAGATAATAAACAAGTAATAAGTCTGGTGAAAAATTTTTGGGCTGGTACCTATAAGGAATATTTCTGCAAGGCTTCTGTAAATATGTCTTTACTCCCAGTTCAGAACAATTACCTGGGGAATTCACAAGGGGTCTTCATTTTGTACAAGGTAGTTGTAGAGAAATTTCACAAAAACTTCACAAACTTATGAAAGAAGATGGAAATAATTCTTTAAAAGCCTGCTGGTTTAAGAAAATCTCATCTAGTGATGAAATAATTCAAAGGAGAGTTGAGTTCCTTTGCCATTATAAATTTATCGAATGTATTAAAACTAGTTTCAAAGCAATACATCATTGAAATGGTTTTCTGTCTTCAGCCTGGAAAAACAATGCCCTCCCTTGTAGAAGTACATATGCCACTGATTTTTCTGTGTCTGTTTCTAATCTGTACTTCAGCCCAAGCATCTTTGTTGGGCTACAAAATCATATATGTAACTGCTTATTAAACATCTCCACAGAGGCATTCTACAGTCCCCTCAAGTTCAACAGAGACAACTAAACACCTACTTTCTAATCCTGCTTCTTTGAGACGGAGTTTCGCTCTTGTTGCCCAGGCTGGAGTGCAATGGCGCAATCTCAGCTCACTGCAACTTCCGCCTCCCGTGTTCAAGCAATTCTCCTGCCTCAGCCTCCCGAGTAGCTGGATTACAGGCATGCCCCACCATACCTGGCTAATTTTATATTTTTAGTAGAGATGGAGTTTCACCATGTTAGCCAGGCTGGTCTCAAACTTGTGACCTCTGGTAATCCACCTGCCTTGGCCTCCCAAAGTGCTGGGATTACAGGCATGTAATCGCAGCGCCAGGCCTAATCCTGCTTTTCTAAAAATAGTTTGCATCTTGATTGCACAAAAACTGGCCTGGTGCTCTCTCGCTTCCTTTCTCCTACCCTAGTGGTTCTTGACCAGGGGTGATTTTGCCCCCAGGGGATATTTGGCAATATAGAAAGACATTTTCAGTTGTCACAACTAGGGGAAGGGGTGTTACTAGCACCTTGTGGGCAGACACCAGGGATTCAGCTAAACTCCTTACAATGCACAAGAGAGTCCCCTGCCCCAACAAAGAATTATTGGGCCCCAAATATCAACAGTATTAAAATTGAGATACCTTGCCATACCCCATGACCGGTAGATTTTTCTCTCTTACATGTCTCAAATCTGTTCCATTCCAGCATCCATATTCCCAATGCCTTGTTTCAGACCTTCATCACATCTTTCATGAAACATAATAATAGGTTTGCTACAATCTGAATGTTGGTATCCCTCCACACTTCAAATTCATGTCAGAAACCTAATCACCAATGTGGCATTAGGTAAGGCCTTTTGGTATGTGATTAGGTCAAGAGGACAGAGCCCTTACAGAGAGTAATGCCCTTATAAAAGGCCCCGAGGGCGACCTTGCCTCTTCCACCAGGTGAGGACACCGCAAAAAGTGAGGCTTCACCAGACAACACATCTGCAGGGACTTTGATCTTGGACTTCTCAGCCTCCAGAACTGTGAGAAATACATTTCCCGTTTATAAGTCACCGAGTTTATGGTGCTAGTATTTAGTTACAGCAGCACGAATGGACTAAGGCTCCTAACCCATTTTCTTGCCTCTCAATCCTGTTGCTTCCCTGGAAAGGCATATCTTCCCCCACCTTGCAAACTCCCTCTCATCAAGCTTCAGTGAATTCCTCAAGTATTAACTCCTCTGTGAAGCCTTCCCTGCCTGGGCTACTTTCCCTTCTTTCCTTCCCCATTTAGAAGCCCTTTGTCTGCACACACACCATCATTTGTCTCCCCAGCCAGACCCTAAGTGACTTGTGAGAAGAAACCTACATATTCAGCCTCTGTGACCAATAGCACTTAACACTCAGCTGAGTGAATATTTGAACATCCTCTTGCTGACTCTTCTAATCAAACTGGAACATGTGAGAACATTGGGTTGGGTAGGAGGCGGGGCTGGAATCTGTGGTCATAGGGCCCTCCTGAGTCGGCCTATGTGGCTAGCTAGTTACAGAATTTAGTGTCGGCCTCACCGTTGCTCTATAGAACCCTGGGAGCTAAGCTGCGCTGATGTGCGTGGCAGGTTCCACTACAAGAGGTGCTCTAGTGTTTTATGGACTTGACTTCTCCAGGTTTCAAGAGCCATTAATATGGACAGAGAACTTGAAAAGGGCCAAAGTGCTACAGAGAGTAAAAGTCAAGGTCCAACAAATTCCTGAAAAGCATGTTGGCTTTGACATTATTTTCATGCAATTCAAGAGTAGTAAAAGTGCTTATTTTTTAAAAAATTCAACTATTTCCCCTGCTTTTTTGCTTTTGCTCATAACATTTTCAAGGCCATCAGCATTCTTTTCCTTCCAGTCCTGCTGTCTGCTGCTCATATAACTTAAATAAAATGCTCAGAAAGAGCGCACCAAATAGGGTGGTAGATGTACGGAAACCAGTGTAGCTCAGAAATGAGCTCTCTTGGCCATGCGCGGTGGCTCATGCCTGTAATCCCAGCACCGTGGGAGGCTGAGGAGGGTGGATCGCTTGAGGCCAGGAGTTCGATGTTGGGGTGATCAGACCCAACACCAGGTCGTGGGGGCGACGAAGTCCAGCAGAGTCAAAGGATTGAGAAAAAGAGAGTTTAAAAGAGAAAGGTGGGACACCAGGGGGCCATCACTATTGTGGAGGCTGGGAAGGCCCCGAGCTCTGGGAGCCCACGGTATTTATTGGCAATCCAACAAACAGGTGGTGAGAATGTGGCGGTCAAAAGGACACATTGCATTAAGCATATGATTTACAGCTGTGATGGTTTAGCATTTATATGGAACATGTTCTGCTACTTGAGATAATGGGAATAGGAGCCTAGGAGCCTAGGAGGGCTAGAAGCAAGGAGCCAGCAAGTTTAGACACATTCCAGAGGACATTATGCAAGCCCTGCCTCAGTTTCGCTCCCAACACTTGGCTTTTTCCCAACATGCCCCCCTTCTCTTTTTTGTAAAAGAGAAGGTATCATTATTACTAGCATAAGAGGTGGCCTCTTAATTGAGCAAGGCAATTGCAAGCTGTGCAGCCCTTAATTGCCGGTTGGTGATCCAGCTTCATTTTTCTTAGCCTTTATTCAAACTGGACTTGCTCTGGTTTGAGTGCTTTCCACATATCTCCCCTTTCCCTTTTACAAGAGGACCCTTAATCCTAGGGGTTGCAGAAGGATGAAGGTCCATCTTCTGTAACTTCTTCATGCTGAATAGGGGTGATGATATTCCTGCCTAACTATTAGGGTCTCTTATATTCGGGGTAGAGAGGAGCTGAGTCAGAAAGCATTGGTCCGTTAAGCATCGTGACTCTGGTCGGTCTTCACTCCATCTTCGCATTCAGATTCAACTGGCTCATGGCTCGTACTGGGGAACCCGGTCCATGGTTGGGATTCATGGGTCCCTCCAGTCTCCTGTTCCATGGTCGTACACATCTTGAGGGCATCCACAAGGTTCATTCATCTCCTGCAAAAACACAAGTATACCCTCACACACACCCCCACCCCCATTAGTAAATCTACTGAAACAGAAGCAAAAACTTTTGTGGCTATAGCCGGGAGGTCACTGATAATGAGAAACAGGCCCCTTCTAACAGAAGTCACAGGGAAAGTAAATTGAGGCTTAAAAGCAATCCTTAAACCTTCAATTTGCACCGTACAGGTGGGTCCACTAGATGCGGTGGCTCACAATAGATCTTCAGATATTTGGTGGGCACGCACGTAGGCACCTGATCATCACCTGGAGAGACACAAGCAAATCTTCCCCGTAAAATTATCTTTAGGCAGGGATCGGAGGAAGTAGACTCAGAGGTAAGGAGAATTTTGGGGCCTAACGGCTTCCTGATGTTTGATAGGTGTTCCCTCGGAAGTTAGGAATTCCTTTTCTCTCCATATTGCTGCGTGGGCATGGAGGACTAGGTAAGCATACTTAGGTCTGTATATATATTTACCCTTTTTCCTTCTCCCAATTCTAGTGTATAATGGCCCCTGCTTTTGTTAGGATGTCTCTCCCTAACAAAGGAGTGGGGCTTTCAGGCATAGTTAGAAAGGCATGTGAAAAGAGTAAACTTCCCCAGTCACAACTTAGTGGCTGGGAGAAGTATCCAGTGACTGGCTGTCCTAGGACCCGTCGGATAGTGACAGATCTGGAGGACAGTTTTCCGGGACAGAAGAGTAAGACTGAGAAGGCTGCGCCAGTGTCCAGCAGATGGTTAACCTCCTGGCCCTCAATGGTCAAGCATACCCGGGGCTCTGTGAGGGTGATGGCATGGGCTGGCGCTTGCCCCCGGCACCCTCAGTCCTGCTGCTGTATCATCTGGTTAGTGGCTTCTGACTCAGAGGACCTTCGTCCCCTGGGGCAGTGGGCCTTTCAGTGATTCCCTTGACATAAGGGGCATGGAGGAGGGGGTGGCTTGTTTCTATTCGGACAATCTTTTTTTAAAGTGTCGTTGTAGACCGCACTGGAAGCAAGCCCTATTAGGTATTCAGTTTGCCCAGCCTTTCCCTTTTCCAGAGCCTCCAAAGTCTGCTTGCCTGAGGGCCATGACTAAAGAGGTGGCTTTTTTTTTTTAATCCCGTTTGTCCCGTTCCACCTGCTCCTCCTGATCTCTATTATAAAAAACCTAGGTTGCCAAGTTCAGTAGGGTTTCTAAGTTTTACTCTGGGCCTAAGGCGGACTTTTGAAGTTTTTTCTAATGTCTGCAGCTGACTGAGTGATAAACTTATCCTTTAAGATTAGTTGGCCTTCAAATAGATTCAGGTGACAGAAAGGTATGCTTCCTCAATGCCTCCCTTAGTCTCTCCAGAAAGGCAGTAGGATTTTCTTCCTTTCCCTGTGTTATAGCGGACATCATTGAATAATTTATAGTCTTCCTAGTTTTCCTTAGTCCTTCTAGCATGCAAGTTAGCAAATGTCTGTGGCACCAATCTCCATGTTCTGATTCTACGTCTCAATGAGGGTCTACACTGGGAACTGCCTGCTGGCCTGTGGGGAATTGTTCTCTTTCTTCTGTTGTCATCCTATCATTGACCTGACTGAGATACCAGAGATCGCCAAACTCTCGGGCTGCAGTTATGGTAGCACTTCTCTCATTTGGGGTTAGTGTCTAATTTAGCAGTAACATTATATCTCCATGTCAGATCAAAGGATTGTCCTAACCCTTGTAAAACATCAATATAACCATCAGGGTTATCTGAGAATTTACCTAGGTCTATTTTAATTTGCTTCAGGTCTGAGAGGGAAAAAGGTACATGCACTCTGACTGGGCCGAATTCTCCAGAATACATCTTAGGGGCATTTTTGCCTTGGGGGGGATGTTTCCCATCTGAAAAAAAGAACACAGGGACGCCAGCACCCCTAGTCATTTTCCGATGAGCATTAGTCCTAATGCATCCTCTATGGTCCTAATGCTTTTTCCTTGCCAGGGTGTATAACCACCCATGGGCCTCTGCTTATTGGATTAGTTACGCTCACCACTGTAGCAGTCCTGCACCTGTTTTCCCACCTTTCTTGACCACAAAGAAAGGGGTCCAGGCTGCTGGATTCTAGTGGTCCTTTACCAGCGTGCCCAACATTGCCTTTGCGCTCAGAGGTGAGTTCTACAGCTGGGCTGGGTTCCTGAGTATTTCATAACAACCCGGCTGCCCCATCAAGATGCATTCCCATAAACAACAGTTCTTACGCAAATTCGTTTCAGAGGGTGTAAGTAACCTTTTGAGTCAGGATTGAGATAGTTTTTTGATTCTGTAAGTATTTTAAGTCTTGGCTGAGTGCAAACAGCTCGCATGTTTGAGCGGACCAATTATTAGGCAATTTTCCTAACTCTGCTTCTACAAGAGCTTCCCTATCAATTACTGAATACCCATTGTGGGTTTTTTGTTTTTTCAGTCACCCAGGAGGAACCATCTATCGTCCTGTCCTGAAGGGAGTTCCTCCTAGGTCTGGTCGGACCTTTGTATGGTAATTAAGATTTAAATCCCTCGGTAGGAAACCTGCTGGGTTAAGGGAATTTTCAGTGGTTAATGTTAAATCACCTTTTTCTAACAGAATAGCCCCAAATTACTCAAAAATTTAAGATTTTTGAGTAAGCTACCTTTTTGCTTATATATATATATATATATATAGTATAGCTCTGAACTGGTGAGGTGTGCTCACAATGAGGTTTCCTCTAAAGGTTATTTTTCTATCTTCTGCTAGCCAAGCAGTTGCCGCTACCAATGGAATGCATTTGGGCCATCCGCAGGTTACTGAGTTAAGGATTTTTGATAGGAAGGCTACGGGTTGTCAGTGGTTTCAGTGCTTTTAGGCTATGCTCTTGTTTACACTGACAACAAGGTAGTATTGGAGTGTTATAGGGTCACGGAGAAGACCTTCAATTATACGTTTTAAATTTACCCTGGCTTTTAAAGGAATAGGGTACACTTTTTTCTTTAACTACTTGTATATGTCTGTCTTTCTCCTTTGTAGATGGATTTTAGAAACACAGCGGAGGGACGTTTGCTGTCCTCCCTTGCTGGATTATAGTTATGGGAAATTGCCATGCTTCAGGGTCTCCCTTGGCTCTAGCCTTTTGAATAGAATTTTGTATAGCACCACCAATTGCTCCAGGTTTTAGTGCTGCAACTACAGGAGCAGTAAGTTTTGTAGCTAAGTCATCTTCTTGCCCATTAAGGGGAGAGAGAGGAGGTGGCCTTCACTTAATTCAGCAGGTGGAGCCGAAGGGCTAGTAAAACATACTTTTTCCAGTTTCCCTTTAATTTCCTGTTTCCTGTTCCTCACATTCAGAATCTGTAGTTTTTTACACTCGTCCTCTTCCTTATCTGAATCTGCCTCATCTGTTTGAAATGGCTCAAGAGCTGCTTTTATTGGCGCCCACATTGACCAAACCGAGACTGGAATTTTTGCTCCATCTTTATACGTTTTTTTAAATCTCTGCCAATTCTCTTCCATTCCTCCAACTGCATAGTCCCTTGTTCCGGGAACCACAGGCAAAACCGCTTTACTGCACTAAGGAGTGAGTGATAAATTCTGAGTACTATCTTTCACTCCCCCTCTTCGTAATAAATGCCTTAAGAAATTTAAATAAGCAGAATGTCTGCTTTCACTTTGTCCCATTGTTACCCTGGTTCTTCTGAGTTCTCAGCTTTCCTGCCGAGCTTCTTTTAGACGTTCTCTACTTTCACACATTCTGGCATTCGTTCCTTCACCCGCGGTCTTTGTCGCCCCACGTTGAGCAGCCAGGAATATTGGGGTGATCAGACCCAACACCAGGTTGTGGGGGCGATGAAGTTCAGCGGAGTCAAAGGATTGAGAAAAAGTTTAAGAGAGAAAGGTGGGATAGCAGAGAGGCCATCGCTATTGTGGAGGCTGCGAAGGCCCTGAGCTTTGGGAGCCCACGGTATTTATTGGTAATCAAACAAAGAAACAGGTGGTGAGAATGTGGCGGTCAAAAGGACACGTTGCATTAAGCATATGATTTACAGCTGTGATGGTTTAGCATTTATATAGAATATGTTCTGCTACTTGAAATAATGGGAATAGGAGCCTAGGAGGGCTAGAAGCAAGGAGCCAGCAAGTCTAGACACATTCCAGAGGACATTATGCAAGCCCTGCCTCAGTTTCCCTCCCAACAATCAGCTTTTTTCCAACAGTTTGAGACCAGCCTGGCCAACATGGTGAAACCCCATCTCCACTAAAAATACAAAAATTAGCCAGGCGTGGTGGTGCACACCTATAATCCCAGCTACTTGGGAGGCTGAGGCAGAAGAATCGCTTGAACCCAGGAGGTGAACATTGCAGTGAGCTGAGATCACGCCACTGCACTCCAGACTGGGTGACAAACCAAGACTCTGTCTCAAAAAAAAAAAAAAACAAAAAGAAATAAGCTCTCTTCTCCCTCCTCACTTGTCTCCTGGCATCACTGGTGGGGAGGAAGGGCATCAGGACAAGTTTTTTTTTTAAAGGCACCACCTTACATTTTTATGATTAGCAAATGAAGACATCCTGGAGAAGTATCTCTCTCCAATGTGCATGTGTGTGTGTGTGTGTGTGTGTGTGTGTGTTTGTGTGTGTATACACACCCTCAAAAAGGTATGTGGCAGCACTATGACAATAAATTGCTTACAACCTACACATCTTTGATGAGATTGGTTAATATATATATCTACCATTGGTATATAAGATGTGCATTACTATGTAGCCATCAACAACTATATTATGTAAATGTGAATTTGTCGCTCAAAGATATTCATATTTTAAAAAGTTAGAAAGGCTATGGAAACCATATGTATGGTATCCTGTTGTTAAAACACATGAATGCATGTGTGTATTTAAGTACAAAGACAGTCCAACAGGACATAAAAATTATCTGGGTGATGGAATCATGAGTGATTTATTTATCTTTCTGCTTATGCTTTCTACTTTTTCCATAATAGTTTCTAAGCAACATTTGTTTCTTTCTCCTGCTAATAAAAGTAATGTGTTTTTCAATTTTTATTTTAATTTTTATGTTTTTGAGACTGAGTCTTGCTCTATCACCCAGGCTGGAGTGCAGTGGCGCGATCTTGGCTCACTGCAACCTCTGCCTCCCAGGTTCAAGCGATTCTCATGCCTCAGCCCCCAGAGTAGCTGGGATTACAGGCGCCCGCCACCATGCCTGGGTAATTTTTGTACTTTTAGTAGAGATGGGGTTCCACCATGCTGGCCAGGCTGGTCTCGAACTCCTGACCTAAAGTGATCTGCCTGCCTCAGCCTCCCAAAGGGCTGGGATTACAGGCATAAGCCACCGTGCCTGGCCCATTTTTCAAATGTTTGATAATACATATGTAATATTTAATATTTATATAAGAAACACTCCCAGATACCTGAAGCGTTCACTTCCTCTCCTCTTTCCCATCTTAAATAATACCCTTTTAGGGAGAACTCCTCAAACACCTCATTGAAAACTGCACCCACAAGTTCCTGCTTTATTTCTTGCCATTGGGCTCTTGGTCTGTTGTGGGTATACCTGCACTAGCACCCAAGCTCCTCAAGGACCAGGGGTTTTGTTTGTTCTGTTCACTGCTATAGCCCCAAAGGCTAGAACAGTGTCTGATACATAGGAAGCACTCACTATATATTTGCTGAAATGATGAATGAAACAGATTTGTTTTACAAAGAAGTTTTGCCTTTATTAATAAGAAACCAGTGATGTTTAGTTTGGAATAACTTTTTTTAAAATGTTATGTCTTTGAATGTCATGTTAGCCTTTTACTGCAGGGCCCACTTAGAGAGGCTGATAAAAGCTATAAACCCTCCTCCTTCCTGCTCCCCATGCCCTCTCAAATCTCAAACACACACAGAAAATTGAATATAGTATTGGGAGGTTTTTGACTTCCTTGAAGTCTGTTCATTAACTTCTTAAAGGTTCCACTAACCCCAGGGTGAGAGCACTTGGTTTAAAGTGTGGCCTGGCTTAGAATCATGATTTCTCTCCTATTCTAATGATTCAAAGAATCTGTATGACTTGAATATCAGTCTTTCCCCTTCTCCCATTAGCCAATTAATTGTTAAACGGATTCCTTCTACAAAACACTCACTGCTTAGAGAGAGGTAAGTTCAATATTTGCAGCTGATAACTTGATGAACAGCCACCGGATGAAAGCTGAACAATCTACTTAAAAATCCAGAGATTTGAAAAAGGATAGATGTTACTAGAGCACAGTCAAAATGTCTAGTAAAGTCAATTTTTTACTTGTCAATTGAAAGTCTAGGGTCACAATCTGGGACACAGATGGAAAAACAGGATCTATTCCACATAGAATATGCTTCTTGAATTTTATTATTTAAAGAGCAAAATAAAAGGAAGTAATGCACATTCACCAAAGTCAAGTTTTCCGTTAAATAGAAGAAAAATCTAATACTTTGTAATAAAGACCATCCAGCTAAAAACAGATCATTAAAACAACAATAGCGATTTGACTCTGTATTTTATTTCAATGAGCACACTTCATTCATTGTCTGCAGGAAAACTAGGCTAGGTCTCAATAGACAACAGTCACAGTTACTGAGCAAGTAAATACTCCACACTTGCATGCCCTCCTTTATTTCTTGATGTCTTCAGTCTCATCTGGCTCTCTCTCTTGATGCTCTCTTTCCCACCTCATTTCTTTTAACTCTTGTCTGTACTTCCGTTCGATGAACCGCTTCTGATGGGCCATCTGGGGAAAATTATCTGACACAAGGAAATATATTTTATATTTAATAAAATTATATTTAATAATCTAGTGCAAAGAATAATGCAACTAAACATATACACATACAAATATACGTGCATATGAAATGTGTATAATTGTATTTTATAAGGCACAAGATAGAAAACTGTTTTCTTCCCTTATTCTTTCATCACTCAAAAACATAATGGAAGTCTGGATGAGTGCCCCTGATTGTAAATTTCAGTATCTGATGTGAACTTGGGTATAGCAGGCACCGAACATACAGAAATGCCAAAACACAGACGTGTGGCTTGGGAATGTTACCAAGCAGGTGCTTTAGCATCACTCTCCTAGCAACAGGTGACTTTCTGGGAGAGATGAAAGGATACAGTAAAATGGAGTCACAGTTTTTGAAAAGCTCAAACTAAAAACTTCAAACAAATGATATTATCACACCATTATTTACCAAGAATTAAAGATTCAGAAAAGAGCAAAGAAAGATCAGGTGGACAAAAAGGGGCCACGTTCCAAGTCATTATGTCTGATAATTAATTTTTAGGTTTATGATGACAGGCCCAAAGCTGTATTTGCAAAAGTAACTCAAGTAGAAAACTTATTGGGTTAAAGCGGACACATAACCTCATGTTTCAAACACATGAAGAATCCAAGATGTGGGCGAGCATGGCATGCTTGGGGGCAAGTTCATTTGTTTGCTTTAAGGACAATGCGTAGTGAAGTGGATCTACATATACAGCAGGCCCCTCATCAGTGATCTCGCTCTCCATGGTTTCATTTACACATGATCAACCATGGGCCAAAAATAGGCGAGTAATGTACAATAACATTCTGAAAGACAGAGAAGGCACAGCATACAATCAAGAGTACATTCACACAACTTTCATTATAGTATATTATTGTTCAATTTTATTTAATTATTGTTAATCTTTTTCTGTGCCTGATTTGTAAATTAAATTTCCTCTTTCAATTAAATTTTGCATGTGTAGGAAAAAATATAGTCTATATAATGTTCAGTTTTATCTGCAGCTTTAGGCATCCACTGGGGTCAGGTACCCCCATGGATAAGGGGAGATGACCATATAATAGATCCTAAATTCTTTTTTCCCTCTTAATTATATAGTATACCATCCTTACACCAGGTTGAAGAAGGGACAGGGTGGTAGGAAAAGCATCTGAAAGACAGGTGGGGAATCAGCAAAGACCTGGTATGTCTGGGGGTCAGAGATTGATTTTATTTATTTATTATTTATTTATTTATTTAGAGATGGAATCTCGCTGGAGCGCAGTCCCTCAGCTCACTGCAGCCTCCACCTCCCAGGTTCAAGCAATTCTCTGCCTCTGCCTCCCAAGTAGCTGGGATTACAGGCGTGTGCCACCACAACCGGCTAATTTTTGTATTTTTAGTCGAGATGGGGTTTCGCCATGCTGGCCAGGCTGGTCTCAAACTCCTGGCCTCCTGCCTCGGCCTCCCAAAGTGCTGGGATTAAAGGCATGAGCCACCATGCCCGGCCCAGAGATTGATTTTAAACAAAAAAAGAACATGACATCTGTATTTTGGAAATAAAACAGTAATAAAATCCTATTCCTGAACTGATCAAATTGATTCCTTATGTAGGTTTCAAATATAACTACTTTTTTCAAAAATAAACAAACCCCACTAAGCTGTAAAGCAAGTTTCTACAAAATGAACTCTATTTCCGGAATAAACTCTACTGTAAAATCAAATTTGCATTTGAAAAACAAAATTCACATTTAACTATTGATAAAACTTTAAAAATATATCCTTATAGCCCTTTTCCTATGAAGTTGTACTACATATATATGCAATGTAAATGTGTATATACATACATATATACATATATATACACACACACACATACACCTAGACACTTGAACATTTAAAATCATTACTCATTGGGAAAGTACAATATAGGTATGTATTCATGGGTATACTTTTTTTCACTTATTCTAGTATAAGCATTTTCCCATATCATTAGTTTTTAAAACCATTACTGTAATGCATACAACATTTGGGTATAGCAAGGGTTGGTAAACTACTATCCACAGGCCAAATACAGCTATCTATCTGTTTTTATAAATTTTTATTGGCAGACAGACACACCCATTAAATAGACACATCCATTAGTTTGCACACTATCCAGGCCAGTGGGCTGCAATGGCAGAGTTGGAGAATTGCGACAGAGATTATATGGTCTGGGAAGTCTAAAATGCCTACTATCCGGCCCTTTACAGCAAATGTTTCCTAACCCCTGGGATATACCACAATTTATTAAACATTTTCCTACTCTAAAACACATAGGTTTTTTTTATCTGCTACTATAAATCAAGTTGTCATGATTCTCATGGTATAAACTTTTTTTGGCGGGGAGGGGAAGAGACAGGCTGGAGTGCAGTGGCATGACCATAGCTCACTGCAGCCTCGAACCCCTGGGCTCAAGTGATCCTCTGGCCTCAGCCTTCCAAGTAGCTAGCACTATAAGTGCATGCCACCAAGCCTGGCTAATTTTTTTTTTTTTTTTAATTTTTTGTCTTCCAACTTGGCCTACCAAGGGTATGAACTTCTTTAAGGAACTGCTACATACTGCCAAATTGCTTTCCAGTAGTTTAAACAACTCACTCCTACCAGTATGGATATGCAGGCCTGTCTCAGAATAGGTGATCTCTCCAGTACTGTTTTATAGTTGAAAACAAACAAAAAATGGAATCTCACTTTTATTTCACTCTGATTGCAAATTTATATGTACAATGGATGAAGTTCCTAATAGCCAGCTTAAAACTCTCAGTGAAGAATCCATGGATGCTGGACCCTGGCAGCATCAGCGTCTGCTCCCACTAAACTCCCTGCCCCTGAACAGGAAACTTTGCTGATTTCCACTTGGCTGTTGGCCTGCTTGCCTTTCCTGGAATCTCTCCCATGCCTGAGGATTCTGGGCCTCTTCACTTTTAGCTTCCCGCATTTTGCTGTCTCCTACCTCATTTAGCAGGGTACTTGAAGCATAATAGAATTGCACTGTCATGTTGCGCCCACAGGTTCTGCTGTGCAGCACAACAGACCTCAGAAGAAAAATCCCTTGCACTTAAGCCTTCAGTTTACAAAAGACTATGCAGTTTCCTACAAGGTCAATCATGTAATTGAAGTTTCTTCAACCCACGCATCCCACTCCTGGGAACCTATTCCACAGAACTAAAAAGCACCAATATATAACATTTATTGGTGATAATGATTTAAAAAAAAATGTCCACCAATAATAAAAAGGCTGAATAAAATATTGCACACCTACAGCAGGAAATATTATGCAGCCACTAAGAATGAATTGGAGCTGTTTTCTATAATCTGCAGGGCTGCTCATGATACATTATTGAGCAAAAAAAGGTACAGAGAAGTATGTAATAACAGCCCATTTAATAAAACAATGGCCAAAACAAAAAACAGAAAACCTTCACACGTATACTTTTCTGTTACAAGATTTTAGAGAATAGAGAAATGTATGAAAGAAAACACAGGCCGGGTGCAGTGGCTCATGCCTGTAATCCCAGCACTTTTGGAGGCCCAGGTGGGTGGATCATCTGAGGTTAGGAGTTCCAGACCAGCCGGGCCAATATGGTGAAACCCCATCTCTACTAAAAATACAAAAATTTAGCTGGGTGTGGTAGGAGGCACCTGTAATCCCAGCTACTGGGGAGGCTGAGGCAGGAGAATCACCTGACACCTGGACCGGGGAGGCAGAGGTTGCAGTGAGCCAAGATTGTGCCACTGCACTCCAGCCTGGGCAACAACAGCGAAACTCCATCTCAAAAAAAAAAAAAAGAAAGAAAACACAGCAGGCAGTTCACACAGGTCACCCGCGCTGAGATTAGGACTCTAAGCAAAAAAGGAAACTGCAAATCAAAAAGCACTCAGGAATACTTTTATTTTTAAATATAAGCCCATTTTAGAATGTCTCACATTCTACTATATTCTCTGTGTAAAGAATAATTCTGAAGAAAACAAGATCACATTTTATCAATACTTACCATTTTTCTCCTTCCTCATTTCCTTTCCATAAAACACTCATTACATTATGAACATAATTATAGAAAAAAAAACAGGCTTACATTTTTCAAGCGCATCCATTGCTGCTCCCATTTCCGCTTGCTGAATACTATTAAATAAAATAAAGTAAGACATACTTTAATTTCAAGATTCTTTTTTTTTTTTTTTTTTTTTTTTCAAAAAATGCAAGGTATGGCTACAAATCTTTCAGGCTGATTTTCACGTTCAGTGCATAAAATCTCCTCTGATTACTTACAGTGTCACACACTGAATTGCACAGATAGGAATATACACAAGAGCATGCAGAAATGTCATTGATTTGCACAAAGCCTACTTAAGTTATTCACTCCACACTTTAATACTGCAATAAAATGCCTTCCATTTATGTTAGGTCTGAAGTATTTCATACTTAAGTTTGAATACCCTCACTGTAAAGTTTAAAGAGGAAAAGAATAAAAAAAAATACAGACAGGTTTCAAATCATTTCTCAGTTTAAGATACAGACTGGAGAGTTCAAAGAAAGGTGATAATATACATAATTCTTTTCACCTAAAGATGCTAGCGTTTCCATACAGCTCAGGTGAGTAGTAGTAAATCGAATGTCTAACAGAGCTGGACACAGTGAACTCATACCTAAAATCCCAGCACTTTGGGAGGCTGAGGGGGGGTTGGGACCACTTGAGGTCAGAAGTTCGAGACCAGCTTGGCCAACATGGTAAAACCCTGTCTCTACTAAAAACACAAAAATTAGCAGGCATGGTGGCACATGCCTGTAATACTAGCTTCTCGAGTAGCCAAGGCACAATTAGAGGTTGCAGTGAATGGAGATCATGCCACTGTACCCCAGACTAGGTGACAAAGTGAGACTCTGTCTCCAAAAAAAAAAATAAATAAAAGTCTAATGGTCGTGTCATGTGCGACATGACACATCTTACACACACAGCTTGCATCAAAGTGTGCTCTGGGTAACTAAAACTAGGCAGACCTTCTTGCCAGGTAATATGGTTTTCTCAAGATAGCTAAAGCCCCCTTACACAATGGTATTCCCATGGTCCAGGGCTCGGCTTTGAGACAATTAATGTGGGGACATTAATTCCTGGAATTCACTTTGCTACTACTCTTGAACATTTTATTCTCTGAGTTAAAAAAGACAGATGACTGAGTTTGGAGATAGCAGCTAGGGAATTAGACACACAGGATGTTCATTCAAAGCAATTCCAGGTATTCTCTTCTCATACCTTGGTCCTTTCCCACAGCCTATTCTTTCTCCCTTGAAATAAACAGCCACAGTGTAGGTTCGGGCATGGGATGGGCCCACTGTCTGCAGAGTCCTGAAAGGGAAAGGAAAGAACATTTATTATGGTAAAGTGTTATTTGTCATGGTTACTATGTAACTATGAGGAAAACCATGTACTTAGTGCCTAGACAGAGTTAAGTAAAATAACAGGAAATGTGAAAATGGCAGAAAGGTAAAAAGAGTTAAGTTTTTGATTTGCTAATCCGACAAATATCGAGAGCATTTGAAATAGAAATTTTTAAAAATTCTGCATTGTATTTTAATATTTCTTCCCAAAGTAATATAAATAACATCAAAAGGCTAACAGTGAAGTGTAAAATATTTTCAAAGAATTTCTAAGTGTGCATATTCACAAACTTTTATCATGAAAAGTTAAGAGCTCCTGTCTATTGGTTTTCAGTGCTAATCACAGCCTAAAACAATAAATATTGGGGTAATACACTTCAAGCCACATCTGAATGCTTTCACATCCTTTATGGATTCTTTCTAATGTCTGTATCTTATCTAAAAGATCAGAAAATGTATTTAATTTCTGAAACATCTGAGATCACTTGAAAGGTACGCTATAATGCCAAGTACACAACACAATCGCCAAAAAAACAAAGCTCCAGGTACTTGGGATTTTAATGACATGGTGCAGATTTCAAATGCAGTAAAACTAATAACTTCATGGAAAAGGGAAATTAAAAGTAGCCAACAAAGATAATGGAATGAACATAGTAATCTTAAAAAAAACCATGTAAAACAACCCCATGATCTTGATAAAATGAGCAAACTCATCTTGTACTTTCATTTGGGGGATTTATGAGAAGGGAGCATAGCAATTTCCTTTGTGTTCGTACGCTCCATGGGATGAATGTGCACGAGTGGCTTCTTGAAGGTAGTACTATTACAGTAATCATGCCTTTGCTATGGAAAGTTTAGCATCCTCATTTTATTTATTGAACCTTAATTATCACTCTGATGAGGAAATGCTATGAGCCTTTCATAGAATACAGTTTGGATATTCATTATGCTTATTAGGCACATAATAAAGTGCTATTTCTAAACATTTGGGGCTTTTTTCCCCCAATAAATAAAGGAAATATGGTTTAGCAGTGACAACTTCTTGGTGTAATTTATAGTAGCTTGCTGTGGGGTGACTCAACCTCTTCTTCTGGCCTTAGTTTCTCTTTAGCAAAAAGGCCTATAAAGTGTTGTGACTGTTAAATAAAAACATGCGAAAGGATTGAAAATTCCCAACTGCCAGTCTAATGTTTTTCCTTGTGTATTTTGAAATTTGAGAAAGTCCAAAGGGGAGCTTTTACTCCATACAGAACACACACACAGATGTGTGTGCTTGCAACCGTGTATGCATCCACATGGGGTGAAACAGTTTTGAAACAATCTTTAAACATCCTTAAAATCATGTACCCAGACAATACCTTGAGATGCAACCCACCTATTTCAATAATCCTTTCATTTTGTAATTCCACTTTGAAAGCATCTTCTTAATCAACCTATGTGTGTCTCAAGATAATTACTCTACTTCAGAGCTGAACCTCCTGTTTTCATCAAAACGGGTATTAAGTGGTGTAGTGACCCATTACTCACCTACATTCCTTTTTAATGACTTTTGGCTACCACTCAAAGGATAAAGATATTCAAAGTACATGATGGCTTTTGACACACATTCTGAGAAGAAAAGTTCCAAGTTGAAGCCAATAGGGGTTCAGGGAAAGTGCAGAGAGGTACCCAAATATCGCTACAAATAATCATACATGATCTTCTCATCTGGATGCACAGCCCAGCAGAAGTTACAAGCAAGAAGACAAATATAAAAATGTATATAAAAACCACTGAATCCAAATTTTCTTTTTAATCTCATAATCTTAGTTGGTCTCCCTCCCAGGCAGTAGTTCACAGAGATTTTTAGAAATGGGAGAGAACATTGAGATAATGGAGTGGGACCCACTTATTACAGCTAAGAGTGAGAGCCCCAGTGAGTTTCCCTGTGGGGCCCAAAGTCACACTAACAGCCAAGAAGTCTCAATCCTGGGCTCCTGTCATGATCACCCCACAATGACTCATTCTTCAAGGCACATGGAAAGTCAATTTTAGGCATGCTGGATCCAACCAATGGCCTGCAGGCAACAAGTACTTACTTGTACAGAGGAATGTCTGGCTCTTTTCCTTCTGTCCTAAGTGTCAAGCAACACTGCTGAAGCTGGGATTTGGGGTCATTCCAATCCTGATTCAAAATGAACTCCTGTGGAAGTCCCCCAAAACTATTTAGTAATGGGTTCTGGAATCACCAAACATAAAGCAGACCACTAATTCAAACTTTATATGAGCTTACTTTCAATCGTGGAAAGAAGCAGACATTCATGAAAGTATGAACATATTCCAAATCCTTATCAATGTACAGCGCTGCAATAAATGCTGGGGAAAAAAGAATACTTTAAAATAAACCACAATCACTGCCATCTATCAGAAAGAGTAAGAGACCTAGACCTTTAAGCAAAATTTTAGTAATAGTTTCAACTTCCAGGCCCTCTTTATTTTTCAGTGCTACCATTTCATCTTCCCCCACTTTTTATCATTAATATCAGAAGCAGCAAGAGATGTGTAAGATGCAAATCATAGAGTACAAACACCAAACTGCATTTAGCTAAGGGCTAAAGGAATAGCTTAAAAGGTACACAGAATGCCGCTGTATATCAGGGAAAAAATGCTGAGCACCCAACCCTGTTCACATCAAATAAGTCAAAATATTACTTGAAGATTAGATATGATGCCAGAATACGCACATTCTTGGGTCTTGCCATTTTCAACACCAATCCTGAGATCCCCTGTTTTTAAGGATTCTATGTTAAATTTAATGAACAGAAATGGGGTAATTTATAGATTCAATCTGCCCAAAAAGAGAAAAACTTAATACTGATCTTAATGACAACAATATGTCAAATTTTGCATTAATAAATGGTGACCCCCTAGGATGACTTCATTTAAAGGTACCTTGACAAAGCAAACAAATGGTGCATTTTCAAAAGAAGGAATAAAAATAGCTTTCATTGAGCTAAAAAAAAAAAAAAGAATGATCTCTCTGTTTAATTTTTATGTGATTTTCATCTTTAAATTACTTTTCTTTCATTGAAAAAGAAGTTCTTTTAAGTTCCTTAGTCAGAATGCCTTTGCACTTTGTAAATAAGCTAGTTTTGCATGGTAGACTTTGATACTTGAATATAATTCCCATTGTCAAAAATACCGTAACATTAAAAAAAAAGTTCTAAGGCTCAGTGAATGGCCCACTTATTTTGAAGTAATACAAACAATACAACTATGTGTATAATCCTTTCGTTAACTATAATAGGATTATTTACAATGCTGCCAGACCATATCGGAAACTGCAAAAGACGACATTTGTCCGCAGAGCTTTGCACTCATTCAAAACAATGAATAATAGTTTCAGTATTTAGTGAATAAATTACCCTTCTTTCTTCTGTGCCCCTATATGAAGGCTGCTGGGTGGCAAAAAGGCTCTGATTTACAACAACTGATCTTCATATTCTATTACTGTTTCACACAAAGGGATGTGGTAGCTGAGTGTTAGGATGGAGGGGTATGTGTTGGGGGTACCACTGAACATAGATTGAACATAAAAATTCATTATTCACATGTCTTAGTTTCAAATTATTTTCCTTCAGAAAAGCTTTGGTAAAAAGCATAAAAAATTAAAATAGCAAACAAGGTTTCTTTAGCCAGAACATAATAATAATGAGGAGGAGGACAAATACGGTTACTTGGACTTAAACTCTGAACCTGGAGGTTGAGAGAAAAGTGTGTGGCACTCACATTCCAAAAGGTCCGCCAAGGTCTTGGTGCGAAGCGCCACAGGCCTCTTGGTCTTGTCGTTGGTTATGGCGTACTCCTGCATGCCCAGCTCCTCCGCTACCTTGGCCTGAGTTCTATTATTCACCAAAGAGCTTCGCAACAACTGCCCAAAAGGAATGGCGGTACATTGAGAACACATTTCACTTTTGACCTCTCTTATTCCTGGGTTGGACCCAACTAGCCTGAGAGGCTGTCACTGACAGGGACACCAAAATAAGTGAGGTCTATGGCCTCAACCATCACCCAGATGACAGTGATATGCTCCATGCCCATTTACCTTCTCCTTAATAACGTACTCCACTCTACTATCCTGGATTTTTACCTTACTGACATAAATGGCTCATTTACTTCTTTAGGAGCATTGGGGCAGGGCTGTGGTGGGGGAGGGGGGATGTATAATAAGATTTAAGGTCATAGTTTCTAATAAGTTTAATGCTACAAAATAAGGAAGCATTAAGAGTGTTAAAATCAATTTTATTAAAGTGTAACTTACATTCAATAAAATGCACCCATTTTCAGTGCACAGTTAGATGAGTTTTGAAAAACATGTACATTTTTATCACTCCAAACAAATTCCCAGCATCTCCATGCAGTGAATCCTTCCCAACCCCTGACCAGGCAAACGGCCTGCTTTTTGTCACTGTACATTAATTTTAAAGGATTTTTTTTTAAGTCTAAAATAAGCTTCAAGTTTCACGGCACTGATGCTAATTTTGATATTATAGGACTTAAGTGAGGTTTAAGTAAATACTATGAAAAGATTTAAATTATTTATTTACATTTTTATTTTATTATTATTTTAAAGATTTATGGTATCTAGCTTGAGTCTCAGTTTTTCATACTGATATCCTTTTTTTTGAGACAGGCTCTTGCTCTGTTGCCTAGGCTGGAGTGCAGTGGTGCACCATCTTGGCTCACTGCAACCTCCACCTTCTGGACTCAAGCTATCCTCCCACCTCAGCCTCCCGAGTAGCTGTGACTATAGGCACCTGCCAACATGCCCAGCTAATTTTTGTATTTTTTGTAGAGACAGGGTTTCACCATGTTGCCTAGGCTGGTCTCGAACTCCAGAGCTCAAGTGATCCACCCACCTTGACCTTTCAAAGTGTTGGGATTACAGGCGTGAGCCACTGCGCCCAGCCCATACTGGTATCCTTTGTCTCTAATCAAATTAAAATATAATTTTCATATTTCAACTTTAGGAATTCAAAACAAAAATTTCTACTAGGAATTTCATCAGACAGCTAAGAGTCCTCCAAGAATTTCCAACTAGTAACACTATACACTGCATGAAAATTATGCAACGAATCCATTATAGAAGTGTCCATAAAACAAGTATGGTTTAGGCATTAACACTCATTAACCACTCACTAGGGAAGAGGAGAGGAGGACAGCCGGGAGCAAGGAGGTACATACAAAGATGGGAACTCACCAAACAAAAATGGAACATAATCATCCCTGATCTCTAAGATTTGGGAGAGTAATGCATCTACAACTACAACTTTTCTTAGAATACATATAACAAATTCTCGGTCTATTAAAAAACTTCCTGCTAAGAAACATTCCTGAAAACAGGGACGAGGAACAGGAAGCAGCTGTGAGTTGTGCTGGTATTCCACTCCCTGCTGTTCCATGTTGCACTTTCTTTATTAGATGCAAGTTTTATGCTCTGTGGCTCCATGGTGTCAACAGAGCTTATGAAAATCAAGATTTATTCTTAGTGTCTGATAGTGAATCCTTGACAATAGATAAATAAGAAACAATATGTTCTTAATTTGTCTGACAATGATTCATGAAGCAAAAATATAACTTGATCTTCATAAGCCATGCTTGCTGTTGAATTTCAGGCTATGATTCTTTGCCTGTCTCTGCTTTCTTTCCTCCTCCTGTCTCCCCCTTAGTCCCATCTTTTCTTCAATATAGAGTTTCACTAAAATTAACATCCATAGAGGAGCTCAAAATTACAAGGCTAGCATATAACATTAATATAAGACCCAACCAATAAAGAGCCCACTAGCCTAATATCTTGTAATTATGGAATAATTGAGCTGAAAGTGATATATCTTTTTTGGTTTGGATTTCATATGGGGACGGGGAGCTTTCCTAAAGTAGAGGCTGTGGGGGAATAGGATGGCTACTATGGGAACAAGGCTATGCTGAATAAGTTGGGTCCTCTCCGAATATATGCTTTCGGTATGGGAAGAAAACTCTTTAAGCCGTGTATATGGAATGTTCATGCCTCAGATACAACAAGCCCAACGCACACATGAGCACACACAAATGATGATACCTCACTGGCGGCCAGGCCCCACCTGCCACCTTCCAGTGTCAGGGCCCCTCACTCAGTGCTATACAGTAATGCTGTCTGACGGTGAAGGAGGAAAGCAGTGAGGATGGAATCAGAAGTGCTTCCAGTTTTATTTCAGACAAGCCCTGACAGGTCTTAAAGCAGAAGGGTGGCCAATAATAAGTGAGATCTGTAAGTTCTTGCCAAAAACCCAGAGCCTGAACCAAAAATCAGTGGGGGAGAAGGAAGCTACACATCATCCATATTCTCATCGTCAGTTTAAATTTAGAAAATGAGTTGAAAAGAGAGAAGACCTTGCTCTTTACCTAGACAAGAAAGTCTGAATGGCAGTTCTCTAAATGACAACTTTCATCCTTGTCCTTTGCTGAACTCTACTTCATAATGAATCATGTTATTTGCCAAAGAACATGACCCAGGGGTATCAGCAAGAAAGAAAACCTGAGGTTATGGCAGTTCAGTGCACCAGTGGGTGCAGACCAATTACATGCCAGGCCCCGTGCTGACAGCTGAAGATCCTGAGAGGAGCAACGTGCTGCTGCTGCCCTCAGGAACTGACACCCTCCTCAGAAGCCACGTGCAGACCGGCTGTTGCAATGCACTGTGGTGGCTGCAGTGCCAGCACAGAGACTGCAGATACATGCAGGTGCTCCTCTAGACCTCAGCTTTCCAGGGAGGCCTCCTGGAGGAGGGCTGACATTTGAGTAAAAGCATTTCAGGGCCTCATTTACCTGGCTGTAACACCAGAATCATAAGGTGCTTCTGAAAAGCTGGTGCCCAGGCTTCTTTCAAGAACCAACGAATCAACATTTCTAGAGATCTAACTTTTGAAAAGATTGATGTAGGTGGATTCTGATGAACACAGAATCAGAAGTGAAAAAGACTGAGTCAGCCAGTGAGAGAAGGGTGGGAAAGGGTTTCCAAGGAAGAGAGAGCAGCTATGGCAAATGCAAGGGGCCATTACACAGCAAGGTGACCACTGGGTGGACCTGGAGGGGAAATCAGAGCCAAGGGAGGAGAGCTGATGCAGTGAGGCTGGCAGGTGATGTGAAGAAGACTGCACTTTCCTGTAGGGGAAGGGGAATCCCAAAAGATATCAAATGGGGGCAGTTGTGAGGTAATTTTTTTTTTATTTTAGAAAGATTGTTTTGGCGGAAGGATTTAAATGACATCAAGACATGAAGTTGAAAAGCCTGTAGATGGTGATGTTATAAATTACTATTTTACAAAGGGGAAATATCTATTTATATATTTTAGTGGAAATCTAGAAAATAAACATTAAGCACCCAATTGAGCAGAAGACAGTTATCAGACTATTTTGCAAACAATGCCTCGTGTTAGAGATAGCAAAAAGCAAAAGATTTAGCACCAAGTTACCTGGGTTCAAATTGTGGCTCTGGCACTTCCTAGTTAAGTGAACCTGTCTAAGTTATTAAATATCTCTGAGCCTCAGTTTCCTCATCTATAAAATGGAGAATGTAGTACCTAGCTCTCACGATTGTTTTGAGAATTAGAGTGGATGACATATAATCTAACTACAATGACTGGCATATGATAAACACAACAGAAATGTTAGCTGTTGCTGTGTTATTCACAACAGCATCATCATAATTCGACAAAATATGTTTGCTCTTCAGTTATGGGAAAAGGTTCTAGAAAATTCTAAGAATTCCTCTGAATTTGTTTTCAATGTAAAATGTTTTGGATACCCGTCCTGTCCACTCACTGTCCTCAAAATTCCCCATTTTACCAGGTGCTAACCTGTCATCAACAACTTTAAAAAAAATACTTCCAAAAAGACAAAGTTTAATTTGAAATCACCAGAAATGACTAAGAAGACTATAATTAAAGCTCTCTGTAAACCTGAGGAAAGGACTGCTGAATTCCTGGTGCAATGTCAGAGACCAATGTAAATATCCCAGATCTCAAACTCTGGTATTGAGAATCCAGGATGTTTTCTATTATGCCAGCATAGCAGTCTTTCATCATTACTTTAAACTTTCATAAGAAAAAGATTTATTCGTTTAAATAAAACATACATATTGACAATCTTCCTTCAAGTTCCCAATTTCACTCTTGAATCTGAAGGGAAAAACCACAGCTGGGGGATGAGCTACCAAAGAGGGACACCTAGTGTAAATTAAGCAGACTGTGATTTATTATTTTGAGGGCTTAATATAAGAACACGGGGTGAAAGCAGAATATACTATTGAAAGTGACAATAATATGCCACACAGCTCTATTATAACAAGAGTGGTCGCCAGATGGTCTCCATTTCCTGTGATAACTAAAGAAAAGGTACATAAATGCTAGCAGGCAAATACAGGTCAGATACAAAGAGCCAAATTATGTCAGTGACAGAAATCCTCATACAGGAGGCTGTGTAATCTATCTTCTCAACGAGATCTTTTAGATAAAATACCTGTTTGTCTGAATGATTTATGCTCAGTGCTGTGTGGAAGCATCAGGGCAGGATTAGATCACTGGTTCTTGAGCTTTTTATCTGTAATCCTTGCTCTCTTTCCCATTATCCCAAATCATTAAAAACAAACAAAAACTGTAGGTTCATCACCGCTATAGTGCATGCCACCATTGGGTACAGTGCCTTGAACACAGCAGGCACGGAGATTAGCAACTATTTTTAGCAAAGAGTAAAGGCTAAGAAAGAAGAATGATACAGAGGAGAAAACTCCTATGGCTTAAGATTTCCAAGGGTTACATTACAGGCATCCTGGCCTGTGTAAACACTTAATTTGAGGTGTTCTCACAATTTATACCTTGACCCTACTGCATACACCAACCTAAAAACTAAAAACTTCAGCATATGAAACAGAACTTCCCTCTATAGCCCAATGCAAACTCGGTTATCCTAGAACAATTGGATAAGCCTAACACTCCTTCCCGAGTAGGCCTTTTGAATAGCCAACTTACAGAACAGAATGTTTTTCCCCATCAGCATTCAAAACTTGAAAGCCATATTACATTTGCTCAATTGTCCTTATTCCCTTTAAGTGTGCAAGGGAATGGCTCAAAGCTAATTAATGCCTCCCAATGTGAATTACTGTAGCTGTGTGCTCTTTAATCACAATAATGAATCATTTGCCATCCCCCAACCAATGCAACTGCAATAAGTAATCCTCTCCAAATTTTAAATTAATTTTAATCCTTAGACACTCATAAGTAAGCCTTCCGCTTCTTCCCTTATATATAAAGCAACAGTCCACTTCCCTCCAGTGCCACTGCCTCTTCCCTCTTGACTTAGCTGACTGCACAGTTGTCACTCTTCTATTTATTTAGCAAAGATATACTGAGGGCCTATCATATGCCAGGCACTGCTGAGCATACAGTGATGAACAAAAACATGCTCTCAAAGAACTTCTAGTCCATTGGGGTAGGCAAACTGAGGTAAAGGCCAGGAAGGAAAACAACACAGAATTTTGATGCGGGGGCGGGATGGGTAAGGGTGGTCAGGGAAAGTTTCCCGCATCCAGAAGTCACACCAGAAAGGACATCTAAAGGAAGAGTAGAAGATACCAGGCACATAAAAGTAAGGGCTAGAACAGAACAGCTTCCAGGGAGAGGAAGAGCATACACAAAGGCCTGCTGGCAGGAGGAGGCCTGGAGAAATGCAAATAGCAGCTCAGTGCAGAGGTGCAGAGTGAGAACAAGAGCCTGTGGTACGAGGCTGGGCAGGCGGGCAAGGCCAGACCACCCAGGGCTTTGCCTGTTCTTTAGAAACTATCTGAAGAGCAACTGTAGAGAGTTAAGCTGGGATAGGATGATCATTCAGTCAAAGCATACTTGCTGAGCACTGATATGCCAGGTACTTCCCAGGGACCAAGGAATCAGGAATGGAGAAAACAAACAAAAACCCTGGCCTTCATGGAGTTTACACTCTGATTGGAGAAGACAGATAGTAAACAAGTACATTACATACTATATGCTAAGGAGGAGAAAGGCATGAGAGGTTCCAGGCTGAGGAGGTGTGCTAGGGACAAGGGGAAGTGGTTGCCTATTTATTCAGGGTAGGTTAAGGAAGGCCTTATTGATAAGATGACATCTGAACAGAGACCTGAAGGAGGTGAGCGATTTGGCCGTATAGATTACCAGGAGAACAATACTGCAGCCAGATAAAATGCACTGCAAAGGCCCTGAGGCAAGGGCTTGCTTAGTGTCCTGCAGGAACTGGCATACAGGCCAATGTGAAGAGTCTTATGAAAAACAGAGACAGGGAGCCAGTTCATATAAGGTGACTGTAACAACATTGTCTTTTACTCTTGAGATGGGAAGGTTTGGGAGGTTTTGTGCAGAAGAGGAATGTAATCCGGCTTCTCTTTAAAAATGATCCCTCTAGATGTGCTGAAAATTGACTGGGGCGCGGGGTATGAATCACTTGGGAGGTTATAGCTAATAATCTGGACTGCAGTGGCTCAGACCGGGTGATAACCATAAAAGTGGTCAGAATCTACACAGAACTTAAACAAATGTACAAGAAAAAGGAAAGGGAAAAGGCCAAAGACACAAATTAGGAAGTAGTGTAAAGATGTATTCAAAGCCATGAGACAGAATGAGATCACTTACGGAGCAGAAGTTGACAGAGAGGAGGTCTGACGACTGAGAACTGGGCCACTCCAATGTTAAGAGGTGGAGAGAGGAAGAGAAACAACCAAATGGGACTGAAGATGAATGGCTGGTGTCGTCACAGTGTAGTCACTGTAGATGAAAGGCCAGCGTAGATTTGTTGTGAAGAGACTCCTTTGACTACAGCATGTAAAATGGATTGGGCAGGGGCATGAGTTGACATAGGAAGACCAGGGTAGGAAGCTGCAAAAATGACTTCACAAAGGCCTGAGATCTGGGCCTCTTGAAGGATTTCTGCCTGAGAGGCTGTCCATCTCTCAGAGTTCAAAAATGCCCGTAAGAACAGCAAAGGCAGGCTTTTCAAATATTAGGATACATCCAGGAGACACCTGGGGACTCCAGCAGCCCACTCCTCTCACGGGAAGATGCTGCATTGCCTTATGTTTTGCATGAACACAACCTTCAGATTCCTATCCTTTGCAATTTAATAAACATCACTTCTTTCAACTGGGTCTCTATCAATCACACTGTAACTCTATGTGTGTGTGGTGTGTGTGTGTGTGTGTGTGTCACAGAGAGAGAGAGAGAGAGGGAGACAGAGAGAGAGAGACACAGAGAGAGAGAGAGACAGAGAGAGGAGAGTCTTGCTCTGTTGCCCAGCCTGGAGTGCAGTGGTGCAACCACAGCTCCTGGGCTCAAGCGATCCTCCCACTTCAGCCTCCCAAGTAACTGGGGCTACAAATGCATGCCACTCTACCAAGCTAGTTTTTTATTTTATTGTAGAGATGGAGTCTCATTATGTTGCACAGGCTGGTCTTAAACTCCTGGGCTCAAGCAATCCTCCCAGGTTGGCCTCCCAAAGTGCTGGGATTACAGGCATGAACCACCATACCTGGCCCTTGTAACGTATCAATAGTTATGCAGAAATTAAACTGCAGTGGTCCAGGTGAGTAAGGCAGCTAGGGAGGATGTGGGTGACAGAAAAAAGCTCATAAGGAAGAGGATAAATTCAAGAAATACTTGAGGAATAACACTGTCAGGGCTTGTGAATGGACTGGGATACAGAAAAGGGAGATAGAGAGAGGCATTCAAGATGTCTCCTAGGTTTCTGACATGCAACACTGAATGGGTGGTGCTGCCATTCAATTACTCAGGGAATACTGGACGAGGACCCAGGCAGGAGACTACAAATTCAGTCTTACACATGTTGAGATGTTGAGAAGGCAGCTAGGGCTGGAACTCAGAAGGGAGACAGGACTGAAGAGATCAGTTTAGAAGTCATCTGCCGGTAAGATGAAACTGATGACACACATTGAAAAGACTGGTAGGAGAGACTCTATTAAAAAGAGAACATGGCCTAAGAGTGAGCATTTTAGACATGGACTGTTTATTAGCTGTGAGACTAAGATGTGTCTGCAAAGTAGGCTGAGAAAGAGTAGCTAAAGAGGTAAGAGGAAACCCAGGAAAGTGCACCGTGACAGAAGCCAACAAAGCTTGTGTTTCAAGAAGGAGGAGGGAGCAGCCATGTTAATGCTAATGGGAGTTGGTATCTGTTAGAATCTGCATTTAGCTTATTCTTTGTCTTTGTCTTGCCCGCAGATCTGCTGGTCCTGCTAATTTCTACCAAAGCGTTCTGTGAATATAATTCAAAAAGCCTTCACATAATTTTATCATTTGTCAACATCACTGTAATAAGCTAGTCAAAAACTTTCTAATATTAAGACAGCAGGGCTGTTAAATACATTTTGGATAAAACTACACTTCTGGCATTGAAGTGACTTTGGAAAGAACACAGAACTAGAGTCTCTCATCTAGTCCTAGTTTTACCTTTCTCTAGATCATGGACAGGACTCATGCCTTTCTGAGTTTTGGTTTCCGTACTGTTCAATGCTGGGGGTGGGGGAGTGGGGTGGGAGGGAAAATGTACACGGTGAGCAGGTGGGAAACAATAAACTTCCCATCTCTATAAGATCCTAGCGTTCACAATTAATTTTGTAGGAATACCAGGGGAAATGTGTGTATTTAAAGCAAACATTTTCAAAAGTGGCCTCTATAGGGCCCTAAGATGAATTACTATTTCAAACTATTTAGTTGGTTTGGCCATTTCTCGGGCCAACCAGATACTCTGACACGTATGAAGTGTCAGAGGATATTGAACATGCAATTTATTGTTTTTCTAATGAACAGTAAGATACTATAGTTCATTTCTCAAAAATGTTTATAGTTTATGAATTTAATATTAAGTCATGAAAAAGACACTTTCTTGTCCACCTAAAAACTGTTAACTTTAAATGGTAATCAAACTTAATATAAAAAAAGAGTACTGCTGATTCCTCAGCACTTATGATGGAACTCAAGAGATACTCATCGAGTGAGTGAATGCTAGGCTTAGAAATTCCACTGAAAAATGACATCTAAACAGCCAAGTCACCATATTCTCTCTAGTTCCAATATTTATGTCTCACATAAACTATTTCCAGGGCTCACTCACGGTTACAAAGATAAAATCCAATTCTATTCAAAGCAGAACACACATAAAAACTGTAGAGATGCAAAGTTTGAAAGACTTGTTATTTGCTTCAACATACTAAAGACAGACTGCACTAAGTATCTTGCAGTGTACCAGTATTTTTCTTTGCCCAATAAAGTATTTGCTTTCTCAATGTCCAGTCCTCAAGGGACTTCTCAAAGGTTACTCATTGTGCCTTAAGAGATCATCATGACCTCCTTCTGGATGTTTTGTTCACCATTTCAGGATATTATTGATTGGTTTCACAGAGTAAAAACAGTACGCAACAAATAAAAAAGCTCACAAAAGTTTTATAAAATGAAACCAAAATAAGAGGCATAGGGACCATTTCACTTTGTTTATAAATCAAACCTGTCTCTGTAACTCCCTTTCAACTCTGCCATGGTCTAACCAAACTAAGTCCCTACTGCCTCTCAGTCTTCTCATTTTTTTTATGCCATGCCTTTTCGTTCTGCAGTCCCAGTGTGTGTACTGCCCTTGCATAGACATTTCTTCCCACCAAATCCCAATGGCTAAATCCTAACTATCTTTAAAGGCTCAAACATCATTATACCCATGAAGCCTTCTTTGAACTCCACAGATAGAAGAAACCTCGTATTTTCCTAAACTGCACAAGTACAGCAATTTACCTAGGCTTCTTTATAATATTTAACATGTTCTACCTTGCATTTAGTTATAGTAACTTAAGCTTTCTATAGTGTGTATCTACATGTATAAACTCATGATATATATACAGTGTTTATTTTGTGGTTATTTATTTAAGCTTTAATCTCCTCTAATAATTTTTAAGCTCCTTGTAAACAGACTTGGTGTCAACTTATCTTTGTTCCTTCCATGAGGCCTAGCTCAATATTTTGCACAGAGTAGGCAGTCAGTAAATAAAGGAGTATAAAATGAGCTCTCATTGCATATGTGCTTTGTATACAATTTGCACAATGAAATGAACAAAGCCAATGATAAGCTAAAGTCACTAAGAGTAAGAAATTAATTACATAGATATATATTTGACCCCTCTAATCTTCACTCTGCTTTACAGCAATCTTATTGGAGGAAGTGATTTAACCAACTCACAGTTAAGTGTCCTTCATGATGATCTGGGAAATGAATGAATAAGTACTCTGTGGCTACCAGTTGCATTATGGAGTCACCTAGGAATTCCATTCTCTGATTGTGGCCTCTGGAAAAAGAAACATCAAAGTAAAGAAATCAATAACCATTTATGGATTTCCAAAAAAACACCCAGAATTTTAAAAAAGGAATGACTTAAAAAGACAATGTGTTCATTTTGTTTTAAAGCACAAAACCAAATACAATTCCCTAAGGCCCCTCGATTGAGAAGAGATCTGAGTTAATATAGGCTGAGTTTTAAAGAAGAATAAAGTGAATATTATCTAAGGATTAAACGATTGCCAAAATAAAGACTGGTAAACACTGCCTGGTCAGAAGCTGAAGAGCATAAATTGAAAAATCAAGCATAATACAAACAACAATCTTGAAAGAAAGCAAACAGGTCCAAGACTTTTCTTTGCTAAATTTATTGAAATATATACTCTGGCCGGCTGCAGTGGCTCATGCCTCTAATCCCAGTGCTTTGTGAGGCTGAGGCAGGTGGATCACTTGAGCCCAGGAGTTTGAGACCAGCCTGGCAACATGAAGAAACCCCATCTCTACAAAAAAAAAAAAAAAAAAAAAAAATATATATATATAAAAATTAGCCGTGTGTGTGTGTGTGTATATAAATTAGCCAGGCATGGTAGCACACGCCTATAGTCCCCAGCTACTCAGGAGGCTGAGGCAGGAAGAGTGCTTGAGCCCTGAAGGTCAAGGGCTGCAGTGAGCCGTAATCATGCCACTGCATTCCAGCCTTCGCAACAGAGTGAGATCTGTCAGAAAAAAAAAAGAAAGAAAGAAAGAAAAAGAAAAAGAAATAACATACTCCATTATTCAAAGCTGGAATCCAAATTTTAAAACAAAAAAAAATCTATGATAAGAATCTTTCATCTTTACAGGTTAAAGAGAGTTGGAAATATTTGGTTTGGAAGAGGGGAGTAAAAAAATGAACAAAAAACAACCCCAAAGAAGTAAAATTTTGCTTATTTTCTTAATTGTTTCACTAGCTCACCTTCAAATCATTCATCTAGAGCAGGGGTCAGAGAGCCAAATCCAGCCCACGGACTGTTTCTAAGAATAAAGTTTTACTGGAACACAGCCATGTTCACTCATTTGCATTTCATCGATGGCTGCTTTGATGCTACTATGGCAGAGTCGAATCACTGCACACAGGCCACATGGCCCACAAAACCTAAAATATTTAGTATCTGTCCTGCTGGGAAAAAGTTTATACTTCCTTCACACTTCTCCTAAAACTTAACAGAGAAACCAAGATGCATGACAATGGAACCAACAACATTGGATTGGAGCATAACCCCAGGTCCACACTGAGGTCTGTCTGCTCACCCATCTCACAATGTGACTTTCCTGGAAATATATTTGAAATCCCAATTCCTTCGAAGGGCATGCTCCAAAGGTCTGGGACTGCCTCATCTAAATGGTCACATTGGGACTACATGAGAACTTTTAACTCACAGGGTCAGATGGTTAAATCCCACAGTTCTCAATGTGAATGCCCTTGCCAGAAGTCGAACATGAGTAAAAATTACTCCAATTGCTTCTTCAAACTCAGTAAGTTTTTGTAGAACTGGAGAAGTTTCAATAAGTTGTCGATCAGTATTTGGCTCTTGTAGCTACAGGAAAATAGAAATAAATAAAAATCATTTTTTCATTTTTGGTTGTAAGTGCAATGATCAATTCTAGGACAGTGTTTTGTAAAATTCCTTCTCCCATGAGCAGAAATTTCTGAAATGCCAATAAAGCATGGAAGCTCGTTTCTCATTTCTTTGAATGGCAAACAAATCTAATATTTAAAGAAGGTTCAAATAATATTTTCCAATCTTCTATCAAATTTCAAGGCCAAGTACTGTACACAGATAGTTCAAAATCCCAAGTATTATACTAACTCTCCAAGGAGATTCGAGCTGAAGAACAGCTGGTAGAAAATATATATATCTAGTAAAACAATGGTTCTCAAACTCCAGCATGCATGTTAAACGCAGCAGTCAGCTGGGTCCTGCCCCCAAGATTACTGATTTCCTATGTCTGGAATCAAGACTGGGAATCCGTCTTCCTGACATGTTCCCAGGTGATGCAGATGCTGCTGGTCTGGGTCTGCCCTTTAAAAACTACTGCATTAAAGTAATTTACTACTGTGTTTTCTAGGGACCAACTTATTTTGGCAATGAGCATCATTAAAACAGAGTTCAATGTACATTGGAGATTATTATACCACTAGACAGGTGGTGCTCCAACAATGAGCCTTTAACAACTGGTAGAGAGCAAATATGAAAAGTGTGATTAAAATGAACATTTGCAACAACTTTGGGCACTCATGTATTAATAAAATATTTTTAAAGTACTCTGAATTAATGTCATTTCTTACTGTAAAGCCTCTTATGAGAGTTCAACCACTTCTTACATTTATTTTATATACATATATAAAAATAAGTATATGAGGATACATATGATGTTTACATATATGCATATATCCCAAAGTAAAACAGAAATAAAGGCAAAGAATAGTAAGAATTCTTAAACCATCTGGGGAAATAGGTGCCACCACCATATGTAGAGCTTTTAAATTCCAAAATCTTGAGTGAAAAGCTATCACACTATACTAATTTTTTAATTTACAGGTTTTATACACTCTGAATTGAAGCTTTCAATTTCTAAGATCCAGATTAGATCATACGTTAACAATGTTAATTTAGTATTTGTTCTACTTTTTTAGTATGCTCAGACTCGCTTCCATACTATTAACACTTTCCCTGCAAAAGCAAGTGTGTAGATATACTGGAGTCAACATTTTATGCTTTCAATATCACCTTTTGGTGGTGGTGGGGCATCCATAACTACACAGTAGCTCTTCCTTCCTCACTGAGGGAAGATGACTCCCAATGCTCCCCCTACCCTATTCCAGACCACATAAACACAATGCATGGGTTCATTCTCCTATTGTTCCAAAGTTTTCCAGGTCTGACACCTCAGCTTAAAGGCACAATGCCACCGAAGAGAATCAAAAGATAAAAGTGGGGAAGGAAAAAAAGGCAAAGGAAAGTAACATGAATAGCTGGAGTTATAAAGCTCACTGCAGACAGGGAGGTCATACTTACTTGGAGTGGGTGGAGAGGATAATTGAGCCAGACTTCGCGCAGGTCCTGGAAAATGGAGTGATGCCTTTAATGCTCAAGGGAGCCATTTAACGCACTCTAGAGTACTAAATAAAATGTCATTATTTGAAATACGGAACTATTTCAGACACTGACTCCACTTATGGCAAATTCAACAGTGCTGGCAAACTAATTTTTTTTTTAAGTGTATTCACCACTCAAACCGCCTGTAGTGACTCTAATTAGCCTATTAAGCTACGGGGGAAAAGAGCCTCCTCTAGTCCCAGAAGTCAGACACCTTTTAAAACTAAGTTACATATTTGGTTAACTTAATACACTGCACTAAGCTGCTCTTTTAATCATATTTTTTTCTTACCATTGTCCAGAAATGTGCATCAGCTGTGCCTTTTGTAATTAAAACTCATTTCAAATGTCCTTCATTTTAGGCACTAATTCATTATCATATGAGCTATTTTAAGATGGAGTGGAAAACGCCCCATGTCGTCTTCATAAGATCTTATGTTTATGAGATCATGCTTTTACAGTGGGTCATTACAAATGTTCACTTGAACTACTGGAATGAGTGAATTTTATGGAAACCCCTAGTATATTACTTTATCCACTGACTTAAATCTAGAGGTTATAATGAGAACTTCCTCAGGACTAAAGTGTTTTTCCTTTAGTTTCAGACTCTAGGGAGCCTCTGACTGAATTTACTTCCCGACCTTGATATTAGATTTCTGAAATAAATAACAAAAAAAATTCCTTAAGAGGAAAAAATATTTAAGTTTTTTTTTAGAGGGGAAGAAGTATAGGAAAATTTAGTACCACTTGTAACACACAGGGTAATAAAAGTAAAATACCTAATATTTCTTGCACAACTGATATCTTAATAAAATACACTCAGGGTTTTTTAAATAATATTTTTTAAAAGCATTTAAACATCAAACTTTCTTTGGGGCACTTTAAAGGACTTCTCTTAACCAATTCAGAAATCTTTCCTTTGAAATCTCGGTAGTGCAAATTATATTGATTGTTCTTACCTTCTTACAACTTTCTCTCAATGCTTTTTTTCTTCCTCCTTTCACCCTAAGTGGACATTTATCAAACTTCGGGCCCTTGCCTGACCTATTCATTACCATTTCCACTGGAGAATTCCACTATTTCCAGTGCTTTACTACTTCAGTTTGGATTACTCATTCACTTCTGCTGCAGCACTGACCTCTTACCTAAGCTCCCAGTCCATAACTCTAAATAGCACATGGGCACCTATTACTCCATATGGAACATGATCAAATGATAACTTTTCACCTTTCTCCTTAAACTAGAGCATCTGTTACAGAAGACGGCAGGCTTAGGAGTCAGGCTGCCTGGGTCCAATCCTGATTCCATCTTGGCAAGTGACTTAACCTAAGCTTCCATGTCCTCAAGCTTAAGACAAAGATAATTGTAGGACCTACTCAAGCTGTTCTCTGACAAACACCCTGAGCAATGCACTCAAAGTATTAAACCCAGAGCTGGCCCATAGAAAGTACTACTATTAATAATGATGACAACAACAACAATGATAAAGAGCTATTTCTTCCAACCAACCCCAGTCTCCAAGGCTCAAAATTCCCAGGGATCTTGATTCACCTTTCTTCTATCACCTTCATGTCTTATACCGAAACAAGACTGTGATTCCTCCTTTCATGTCTGCTGCCACCCATCTTGGTGTAATAGCATAACACCCCATGACCAGACTAATGCACCTGTCCATTTCCTTTCATCTACCCCATAGACACCGAGATAGGGTTCTGCTGCACCTTGGTGTCAGGGGAAATATACTGAAAAGATCTAGACTGGAACCCCAGTGCTACCATTTATTAGCTCAAGGACCTTAGGCAAGGTCTCTACCTTTAGCTGGCTCTTCTGGAAAATATTCTGATCAGGTCATTTGTTCATGCAACATGTTTTTACTGAATACCTAACTCTGTCCTAAAGAGGCCTAGTGAGAAAGAATGAAGGTAAATAAGTGCACTTTAATACATTGTGGTAAGTCTCATAATAATGAGATATATACATATAAGTGTTAGGAAAACTGCCTGGAGGTGTCAGATAAAGCTTCAAAGAGGAGATGATTCTTCAGATGTGTCCTGAGAATATGAAGATTTTGGCAAATCAGTAGAGAGTGAGAATCAAAAACGGGGCACCAGAAACATACAAATAATAAGTCTTAAAGTACATAGGCACAAAAAGGTGATTCCTAGTGAATGGCACAAAGAGGGATTAAAAAAACGGCTGACAGATTATGAAAACTATTAAATGCTACGTTATGTAGTATATAGAGCTTGGGAGGCTGTAACCAAAGATTTTAAGCAAGAAAGGCCCTAACCAAATCTGCATATTGAAAAGAAGAAATGTGGTATGAATGATGGACTGGAGCGGTGGGGGATGGCAGCCGGTTAGAGTTCAAGTGAGAAATGAGGAGGACAAAAATGAAAGCAGTAGGGTAGCAATTCAAGAAATATTAGGGTCAGAATTGATAGACTCTTGCAATCGATCAGATAAGAGGAGAAGAAAGCTTAGGGACAAAAATAAATCCTAAGGTTTCTGGTTTAGAAGATAAAAATAAGGAAGGAGGAACACATTTGGGGGTTAAAAGTGATGGGTTCAATGTTACACATGTTGAAATGAGGTATCTGTGAAACACCTGTGAGGTGCCCAGAGGCAACTTGAAAAGACACTTTTTCCAGTTTCTGCAGCTCCAGAGAAAAGGCCTGAGTCAGAGGTACTGGGACAGCTGTGTAAAGAGAAAAGGTGTGGAAAGCAGGGGCATAGGAAAAATCACATTAACACCACTCTAGCTTTCTAAGCGGGCCATTAACATAATCAAAATGAAACAATGGATCTGAATGTACTGGGTCAAACTTGAAGGGTTACACAAAGACCAAAATACAAAACCAGCAAAACTGGGGCTGAAAGAGTAAAACTCAGTTGAGGGTGAAAAAGAAAAAAACAGCCCTGCTGTTTACAGGGCTGAGAAGACAGACACAGATAAAGCCAGCAGCAAAGTGAACAGGAAACAATGTTTTCCTCAAGGTCTTGCAGCTGCTGTAAAATGCCATTATGACCCTCTGACTAAGGATCACCGCAGATACTTAATCGCCAAGCTGCCCTTGCCTTGGGACGGCACCCAATCCCAAAGTAATCTCTTGCTGCTCCTAAACTGGCCACAGCCAAGAACCTCCTAAGAATTATTCAGCACCAGCCCAGGCCTCACAAAGGATGTCTCTCTCCACCCCCACAACACAGCCAATCAACCTGACTTTGTTGCCTACAGGTTTGTCCCTGGCTGTCTTTGGCTAATTAGGCTTTCATGATGCCTTATTCAAAAAAGAAGTACATTGGTTCACTAACATCTCTCACATGCTACAACTAATAGGTGGAAACCAATATGGAGATGTCAAATGAGTCAGTGTCCAAGTTTGTGTACTTCAAAATGCTAAAGAGGAAAACCCATACATTGTGAGCCTTATGCAGTTTCACAAAAGACACACTAAAACAAATTCTGAATCTCAACCACCCTGTTTGTAAGATAATGTTCACACTCTGCTTTTAATCCAGTCATTTATTCACTTCACTCTTCTAACAAATCTGTATTAAACGCTGCACATGCCAGCATTGCACTAGGTACTGGAAACACAAGATAAGCTCACTAAGTAGACAACTGGGAGAGAGGCAGTTTAAAGAGAAAAGAATCTAAACACAGACTGATGCAATTAAAGAAGACAAGTAGAAAACTGCAGCAAAACAGAACAACAGAACACAGTGGATTGGGGGATGCAGGTAAGATGGGAGAAGAGGACAGGGAGGAGGTGGGGGTGGGGGAAGGAGTCTAAAGGGTGCTGGGGGACACACAGACAAGACTGCAGGAAGGAAAGAGAGCAAAGAGGTTGCTGAAATGACCCACAAAAGGTGAAGGCCAGAACAAAGAAAATTTAAGATTTGAGAAAAGGTCTTAAAACACACACCATCTGATACAGATGCAAATCAAGATGCACATGTGTTTATATGTGCAGGACAAAAATGGGGGACACAGAGCATCTGTAGATAATCTTCCCATAAGGAGGAAATTCATCCATAAAAATCATCACATATCTCTAGAAAAACAAATACAAAAATCAAATTCTCAGATATGAACATTGTCCAGGTCATATTTTCCAAAACTATTGATCCTTTTTTAAAAAAACTACCCAAAGTAATACAGTAATAACGTCTGACAGCCATTTAAGCTGAAGGTTTCACAGAGGCTTAAAACTGGCTTCCCGTGTTCTTTATTGCTCCATGAGGGCTATTTCATTCAATTATAATGACATTTCAATTTGGAATACAGAGTTGCTTCCCCCTTTAAATGTTAAATTGACTTGTTTTGGTGCAGAAAGCATCCAGTGTACTCTATTACATGCAGGATTAAAAAGGTGTCTCTGGCAATATTAATAGCTTAATATTTAAGTAACAACAGAAACTATTTTAGAATCTATCATTTTTTCTTAAACTACAATTTGCTTTTAAAAAAGTACTTTCATACTCTTTATCCATAGCCCTATCAGAAACTCCCTATGAACTGACATTTAAAAATAAATAAACATTTATCTAGTCTACATAATTTACATAAAAACAAATCATACACAGAAAAGCCAAAAGGCTATCACTTCAACTAAGCCTGCATGGGGTAGATACCCAATGATTCTAAAATATAAAATCATAATTAGCTTCAAGACACTTCAAAATGAAGCGAAGTCCTATTATATTTGTATTCATATTTAATTTATAAGTGACCATGAGGAAAGACAGGTTCAGGCCAAAGAAAAACTCCTTGTGTAAAGGTCCATGGAACTTTCCATCTGCAAGAGTTGAATAAGCCATTTTGGTGTATTGAAATGTCCCATCTATGGTAGATCTGACTATTTTGTTTCTCCTATATTCTCTTCAAATTACAAAGACCAGCTGAAATAAAATATTCTGTAATAATATATAACAAAAAAAATCAAATGATTCCATAGAAATACCGGATCATTAAAGAGCAAGCGTCCAAATAACTGCTTGGCTTCCTCCAGGCTTCCCTCCAAGTAAACAGCTCCTAGATGAAAAACAGAGAATGCCAAAAGAGAGTCTCCATCAACAGTCAAAGAAAATGACATATCTCTATAATAAAGCAAAAACGCAAGCCAAAAACTACTCACAGAAAACAAATCAACATGTTCAGAAGCAATTGTCTTAAAGGTGACATTTCCCCTTTTTGCTATCCTTTGCATTACAAATTAGACTGAAATAATATGAAATTCAATTTACTAACATCTAAATCTAATATTGTAAGTAAAAGAGGCCAAATATCAACTATTATGAAGGGTAAAGGTATAAACCTTACTAAGGGAGCAATGCACAAATACTTGACTTTAGTAAAGCAAATGTTCTGTTTTATTTTATGCATTTATAGTATACGTTTCAGATCAAATGTATATAGATACCTAAGGAAAAAAAAACCTGATAGACAAAACCCGAGTCTAGATCAATGAAGGCATCTGCAAACAAAATATCAGGGGAAGCTTTACCTTTAATTTGGAATAATTAAGCATTAGGCAAACACATTAATGAATCATAACCAGGAAGTACTATGGTAACATTTTAACTGGGTATCAATTACAATGGAGTACTCATATTTTCTTGAAATCAAATGTTTACACTTGTCTTCAGAAAGGCTACTTTTCCATGTAAAATGTTAAGGCACTTAGTTACCAGGGCTTTTGACAACTAAAGACATTCATTATTTATTGATAATTGTAACAATGATAGTCAGAGTAACAGTGGTAGCAGCTGTTGTGGTTTGGGAAACACTTATGTCCTGGGTACCATGCAAAGCATTTCCACATTCTTATCTTCACTTTCATGGGGTACCTCAGTAGGAGGATGTTAGAAAAGACTTACAGGATTTAGGCTCATATTAGTTGATTTGGGGGGACAGCTTAAGGAAGTAGAGCTTTGCTCTGGATTGGATGCTGCCAGAATCAGATATTAAGATCATTATGACAACTCTGCAAGGTAAGTGATACTATCTCCATCTCACAGGCTCACAGATGAGGAAACTGAGGATCAAAGAGATTAGGTAGCTTGCCAAAGACACAGATCTGATAAATGATGGAACAGGAAATTGAATCATGTCTGGCTGGTTCTGGAGGCAATGGTAACACCAACTGTCAAAAATATTATGTGTACAGAGCAAAGTAATTCCATGTGACAAATTCTTTGAAAATAGACATATTTGTGAAAAACAGACATAGCTGTGAAAAGACTGTGGATAATTATTAAACATTCTCTTCCCACTATCATCAGCATGAAACTACAATGGGAAGCTTTTATATTCATTTTCAAAGGAAGAGGGCAAAAATGGTAAGAACAAAGCCCTTTGAAAGCTAAAATGTACTTGATCATTTACTTTAAAAAAAAATCAAGTTGTCAATCTACTGTAACATTTCATTGTAAAGCATACAAACTTGCAGTCGCCAGCTAATTAACTCTTCATAACTTTCCTGTACCAATGGCTAATTGTATTCTGGTTACAGTCAAAAAGAAGCCAAGGAAGTAAAGTGCCTGAGTGAGGAGTGAAATGTCAACATCAGTCTTGCTTCAAGTGAATCAATAACAGTTATACAGACTCAAACCCTGGGTGGGGCTTAAAAGATGTGGTGTTCTCAAGATGTTTAAAACAGAAATCTTACAAATAGTTTAATCAAAAGCAACACTGGAGTCTCTCAGCAACCTAATCTGTTTGTTTATGTATGTGATCCTGAATCAAATCTGGAAAGTAATCCATCTCCATATTAACTCACCTCATTTCAATTCATTAAATACTAACCATCTACATGACATCAGACACCAGACACCAATTCAGGCAGTAGAATGCAAAAAAAAAAAAAAAAAAAAAAAGAGGCATGTTCACTGCTCTGAAGGAACTGAAATAACTATAATATAAGGTGGTAGGTGTCGTCCTAGGAACCTCATGTGCTTTGGGAACAAGTAATTCTGTCCCAAGTTTCCACACTAAATTTTATGTGCTCTCCAGACTGTTTAGACATGCAAGAAAGTAGACTTCTTGAAGAAGAGAGAAATTACCTATTAACGCTTCAAAACAATTGGCCATTGCATGTCGAAGGTCCGATTCTCTACAAAGGTCAGGCCCGTGAGCATACAGCATAAATCGATCCAGTTCAAGTTTCTACAAAATTCACAATGACAAAACGTAAGAAAGAGTTTGCCAAAATCTTAACTATAGTAACTCAGCATCTCTTGCAGAGAGTTGGTGCGGAGACGAGATGGGGGCAGCGTAATGGTTACAAATCCATGAATATATTAAGAGAGAGTTTAGTTTAACATTCATTAGAAGTCCTATACATACAGCTCAGTTTTCACTAACTCAATTCTTTCCCAAACAGGCTTCTACAAACTCCAATAGTTCAAGTAGGGTTCAGAATTGATCAGATCTGAACTTTCCAATTCCAAGTTCAGATCAAGCACTAGCCCAGGCTGGAATAAGACTCTGCTACAAGCCCCTGGGTTCATCCAATATGCCTAGGGAGAGAATTACAAACCTAACACAAACTTCTGAAAGTCAATTTTACGTCTTTGACTCAAGTCATGTGGTACTGACAATGTCAGCACCATACAAAACAGATTTTTTTTTTTTTTTGAGACGGAATCTGGCTCTGTCGCCCAGGCTGGAGTGCAGTGGTATGATCTTGGCTTACTGCAACCTCCAACTCTTGGGTTCAAGCGATTCTCCTGCCTCACCCACCCGAGTAGATGGGACTACAGGCACCTGCCACCACACCCAGCTAATTTCTGTATTTTTAGTAGAGATGGGGTTTCACCATGTTGGCCAGGCTGGTCTCAAACTCCTGACCTTAGGTGATCCAGCCACCTCAGCCTCCCAAAGTGCTGGGATTACAGGTGTGAGCCACCACGCCTGGCCCAAAATAGATTTTTATGTGGTAGAGTAAGTGAGGACCCTCAGAAGACTTCAAAATGCCTTACACTTCTAAATCTTTATTTTTATTTGTTGTGACGATTTGGGGACCCCTCTGCACTTGTGTCCCCCTCATGAGGTTTCCATACTCATCTCTCTGTGGGTTCACTGAGACCTTCTAAGCAATGAATTGGATTGATCTTAAGGGCTCTGAAAATAGCATTTGTAGTGAATTGTGTTTCCTTTTCTGATTTGGCCTCAGAAGAGTTTAGAGCCAAATTTGTAGCCCAGTTGTAGGTGTAGGGCTGATGAATACGTCAGTGTATACTAACTTTACCTCTGGATTCATTTCACTATCTTACTCATAGTTTTCCTTTACTTTGATCTCTGTGGCTGCTTATTTCTTATCCCATGGCATTACAACATACAAATCAATTCCAGCCTTTTAGAACTAGACACAATGTGAAAGAATATTTTTTATGCAACTCCTGAGATTGAATAAATGGAAATCATAATTCTTTCCATAAAAAAGAAAGCTACAAACATTGCATAAATATGCAATAAATCCATTTCCATTACCATGTAATTCAATTCAATAAATACTAAGCAATAACATGCCACATAACATGGAACAAATCACAAGTCAATGAACAGCCTAGGACAATATGAGTTCCACCAGTCCTCAGACAAAAGACATAGATTCTGTGTGTCTCAGTATGTATCTTAAATATCCATATTTATTCATATTGGAAAAACACAAAGACAATAAAAATAAGACATATATGCTGTAGTATTTTATACTGTTTGAAATTTGTGATTATAAAATATACTCAAATGAGTTTTGACTACCGCAAATGCAATAGCAGAAAATATCTCTTTTTAAAAATTGATCCCAAAGTGCAAGAGTTTATACTAGAATATGTAAATTTCATCTGTTTCACAACTTCACTGGGAAAATTTAATTGTTTGCTATCTCTGGAGCCCTGCTTGCAAGCAGACCGCAAGCCATATTTTATCTTATAAACATCTACTGTATTCTGGAGTGCTGTGATGTGAATTTCCTGACTTCTTCTAGTCTCTACTCTATATTCTTATTTTTCCATGCACGCATTAGCACAACTTCTTTTTTTTTTCTTTGAGAAGGAGTCTTGCTCTGTTGCCCAGGCTGGAGTGCAGTGGCACAATCTAGGCTCACTGCAAGCTCTGCCTCCAGGGTTCACGCCATTCTCCTGCCTCAGCCTCCCGAGTAGCCGGGACTACAGGCGCCTGCCACCACGCCTGGCTAATTTTTTTGTATTTTTTAGTAGAGATGGGGTTTCACCATGTTAGCCAGGATGGTCTTGATCTCCTGACCTCGTGATCTGCCTGCCTCGGCTTACCTCCTGTAATCATGCTGGGATTACAGGCATAAGCCACCACGCCCGGTATTAGTACAACTTTTAAAAAGGATAGAGTGGTGTGCTACTGTTTATGTTTTAAAATGTTCATTAGTCTGGAAGGTGACCTAGAGCTTTCATTAGATTCTCAAAGGGGTCAACAATTCTCCATCAATTCCCTTCCCTTCCAAATGGTTAAGGACTACTGGTCTATACAGAAGAAAGGTGGGACTGCCACAGCCTTCTGCTGCAGCCAATGGGTGTTGAGTACTATGGGAATGGCAAGCCTTGGGCTTGGTGGAAGAAGACCACATAGAAATCCCTGAAGGGAGAAACTAGCCACCTCTGTCATTAGTCATGGCTTTGTACAGCACCCAATGGGTTATATAATAGCTTCTGTTTTCATGCTACGGCAATTCCCCACACTTTGTAAATATCCTCCCTACAAGTGTTTGAAAAATAATTATGCCATTCCATTACATCCAAAACTAAAAACAATAAGGAATGGAGTGACTACCTACTTATTAATATGTATTTCCAGTGGCATTTATGTGAATGATCAGGAAGCATTGTGACAATTAAATCAACCAAACACTTAAGCAGTTTTACATAGAGTTGTGAAATTTCATTCATTGTGAGCCTGCTAAAACCAAGTTGGCTTACCTGGTTGCTTACAGGTTTTCATTAAGACATCAATATTTACTTTCTCAAATGCCACTAAAACCAGTTCAAAGCCTACCACTGTAGCTACAATGATGATGTTATCACATAAAATAAAACAATGTGTTATTGCTAACACATAAGCTAAAATTAACCACATTTTGAATATAATTAATGCCTTGGCAAGATCAAATTAAGAAACCAGTCATAAAGCTAGGATGGGCTTTATCTACTCTTTCTATCAAAATCAAACTTTCATATCAAAATGAAGAAAAGATACAAATTACTTTAGGCAAAACCCACAAAAGTTTTGCCAGTGGATCCTCAGTGCTTGGGGATTTAAGAGCCACCATTCTGCCTACTATTAAATAAACCCAGAAGTCTATAAAAATGTAAGGATTTATCACAAGAACATGGGTAGCATCAATAAAAACAGCCCCTACAAAATTATTAACATCTTTGTGTAATTACTATAAACAAGTATTATGCGTAGCACTTTATAAATGACATCATTAAAACTCATAATCTCATTTAATTCTCACAACCAGGCTGTGTGCCAAGGGCTAATGTCATTTCCATTTTACAGACGAGAAAGCAGAGGCTTGGAGAAGAGAACAACAATTTGTCAATTTGTCCATGGCCACCTGTTTGTAAGAGGAGGAGTGTGGACTGGAATGTTCTTATCAGCCATGATTTATTATAATAAGACATAATATGGAGATGGAAACATCAAATCAGATCACATTTATCTGAATTATGAAAAGGTTCTGTTAGTCACTGAGCTAAGTCAATGAGGCTAGGGGAACAGCCTAAACCCTAAATCTTAATAGGATTTGTGATTTGGGGGATTCTCAAAGGTGTAGAAAGTACCCCTAGTGGATAAAAAATGGTCTGTAATATTCTGTTCAAAGCTATCATTTGGCTTGTTAATGTAAATTAAAAACAAATGTACTACAGAAATACTACACAAAGGGAAAAGACAGTATATTTCATTTCTTTTGCTTTGTTCCCATGTTCCTTTTCCCCAAATGTTTAACTCTGTTCATGCACATCTGTCAAATTTTTCTTCATCTGTTCTCAAGTTACCTCACTGTGGAGTTCATTAGCTGCTGGTGAAACTCACAAAGGTAACAGAACTAATAAGACTGGATCCTTAAAACCCAACAAAAAATACTTCCTGGTCTGTAAAATATTAACACTCCTAATATATCCTAACGAGTTACTTATTCAAATGCAAAATTATGCATGGACCGCAGAAGAGCATGTCAGACGTAACTACAAATGCTGCAGATGTCTTCTATACCTTTGCTAGCATGGCAAGGTGCTGATTCTGAACAATGGCAGTCCGATAGGTTGCTAATCCTCCTTCTTCCAGACTAGGAAACAAATAGTACAAATGGACGCTACAAAAAAAAAAAGAAGTACATGAATAAATATGCATCACGACATTCTGTCTGTGGCTCTGAGTCACAGAAACAGGGCTGGCACACAGTAGCTGTGCAATGGATATCAGGTGAATCAAACTAAAGGATCTGATTAAAGTCTTTGAAAGTTAAATGGTAAGAACAGTATATCTGAATGTGCTAAAACCCAGACAGCACCATTCACTTGTATTTTCACATTTATTTCTGTTAAAAGATTTCTCTGAAATCTGATGACAACAAAGAGCAGAATAATCAGTTACACACTCTAAGAGCAAACACATTAATACTAAAAATTGGGAGTGAAACAAATGCTTTTCCTTGGGCTGTGTTACGTGTGGCCCCTGGAGAGAGGAGTCCCTTCTCCTGATTATGTCCATCTTGTGAAAAGAAATAACCTAAAGAGAATAAAAACAGCTCAAGAGAGTTCCAAGAGAAGCATGTATTGTCTCCCTTTAAAAGAGAAATTGTGTCAGTATAGAAAAGCAAAACACTTTCCTGCCCCTATTCCTTTTTTTTTTTTTTTTTGAGACAGAGTCTCACTCTGTCACCCAGGCTAAAGTGTTGTGGCATAATCTCAGCTCAATGCAACCTCCACCTCCCAGGTTCAAGTGATTCTCCTGCCTCAGACTCCCAGGTAGCTGGGACTACAGGCATGCACCATCACACCTGGCTAATTTTTGAATTTTTAGTAGAGATGTGGTTTCGCCATGTTGGCCAGGCTGGTCTTGAACTCCTGACCTCAGGTGATCCACCCGCCTTGGCCTCCCAAAGTGCTGGGATTCCAGGCGTGAGCCACCGCGCCTAGCGTCCTACCCGTACTTTCAAATTAAGGATCCTAAAACACTTCTGGAGAGAAACACACACACACACACACACACACACACACACACACACACACACACACACACACACTAGAAAATCTGGTCATTAAAATTACTTGTAAGCTTTACTTCCCTTGAGATCAGAAAGAGTAAGAAAGGGATCAAAGACAAATCCTAGAAGATGAAATGACATTTTAAAATATCATCCCTTTCTTTACAAATTGAACATAAGCTCTGAAGCATCTAGACCAAGGCAAGCTGATCTCTTGTGGCTGTAAGCAACTTTAACATATACTTGACAGGACAGAGACACCAGCCTTTCATCTTGTAATCTCACTCATTACAGCATCAGTGAGTGCCAGTTATCAGGGCAAGGGCCACAGACATGTGGCTTCTAAGCTCTACAAAAGAGATAAAATACACGGTGTATCAATGCCTTATTTGGCTAATTACAAAGAAAGCAATGTAATAAGTATGTTACCTATAAAATGTAATTATTGAGGAATTGTAAAAAACAAAAAAGCCTAATTACCTGGTCAGAAATTCAACAACAGCATCACCCAGGAATTCCAACCGTTCATTGTGGTTAATCCTACAATAGGAATTAAAAAGGTTACTTAATACAGCATATTAACACTCCCCCCCACCCACCCACCCCCGCAAGAAAAGAACACATGAGGGTTAGCTCCTTTAGTAATCAAACCACCTTCCCTATTCCTCATAATTAAGAGCACAGACCACCATCTTAGCCTAGAGGCATCTGGCACCTGCCTAATGGGAAGGAGGGGTGCATTCCTTCATATCACGGGGGTCAGGCTTTCTACCAGGGGGCTTCCTTCCCCTGGGAACCACAGCCTTCAAGGTGATATCTCACTAACAATCGTGAGTATTTCCATACTACTATCAGGTAGAAGACATAAAGAAGAATGCCTTCAGTGGATTTTCTGACCACTGAAAAATCTATTTTGATACAATGTCCTAAAGACAGTTCCCCATCACTCCAACTCTAAACTCAACCCAGCATCTGAAGTCCTTCAAAATAAGTGTAATCTACGTTTTCAGTCTCATTACCCACTCCTACCCTATCCTATCTACTCATTGGGCCCTGCTCCAAAACTGCCTGGCACTCTCTGAAAGAGGCATCACTTAAGACACTCAGTGTGCCTCTTCAGGCCAAGCTCCCTGCCACCCTAGAGCCTTCCACTCTCTCGCATACAATGAGCCACACTGAAAATCTACTCACCCCTCAAGGCCTAGCAAAAATGTTATCTTCTTTATGAAGCCCTGCCCGATGCCCCTCATCAAAATTAATACTTCTCCCTCAGTGCACAGATCACACTTTATTTAGACTTTAATTATATGATGAAGTCATATCCCACAGGCTGTTATTTTCTCATGTTCACATACAAGGCTGAAATGACCAAGAAGGTGGCCCACGGAAAACCTCCTCCTGTGTCTCAGTGAAGCCAATGGAGCACCCTCTCTCAGTACTAATGTGCTTCTCTCACTGCCCCGTTGGTTGAGCACAGACATGACATGAAGTGATTTAGGTTTTCAACAGGCCACACTGGCTGCTGTGTAGACACTGAGTGCAGGACAGAGAAGCACTGTGGAGAGGCTGCAGCAGATGCAAGGAGACTTTCCTGCATGGGAGGCTTAGGCTGGGGAGGTCACAGTGGAGAGGAGGGAAACAGTCACATTTGGGATGCATTTTGGAGACACAGCTGAAAATAAGTATTGATAGCTGGCGCTGGGATTTGGAAGCTAAGTGAAAGAAAAGAATGAAGGTCAATGGCTAGGCTTTAGCTTAAGTAGCTTGTGAGGAGTGGTGCCGTTTACTGTGGAGGGGAGGACCAAAAGGAAAGCAGGTTTTGGGGAAAAGCAAGAGGTGCATTTTGGACATGTTAACTTCAAAGTGCCCATCAAATATCCAAATGGAGAGATCCAGTAGAGTGCTACATATTAACCTACTGCTCATGGGCTAGGACACAGTTGCTAATGAATCTTTAGGGTTAGTCAATGTTAGACAGAATTTCAGGTGATGAATTATATGACACCACTTGAGAGGATGCAGCCAGAGGGAAAAAAAGTTCCCAGGAACGAACCCAGGGAGTGCCGAAGTTGAGAAGTCAAGCAGGAGGGAAGCCAGAAAAGAAGACCTGGCCAGGGAGGTAGGAGGAAAACGAAGCCAGTATGCTGTCCTCAAGGACAGCATGGTATCCTCCAGCCATAGGGAAGAATGTGTTTCAAGAGAGAAGTGGTAAGCCATGCCCAATGTTGCTTAGATTCAAGTCAGATGAGAACAGACCACTAATTCAGTCCTGTGAAGTCACTGAGGCCCTTGATAGGCTATCTGTGAAGTGGTGGAGACAAACCTGCATGGGAGTACAGTAGGCTGGAGAAATGATAAGTTGTATGGAATTGTACAACAGCCCTCCCATACCCATGGTTTCACCTTCCACTGTTTCAGTTACCCCTGGCCAACCACAATCTAAAAATATTAAGTGGAAAATTTCAGAAATAAACAAGTCATAAGTTTTAAATTGCATGCTGTTCTTCAACATATGGTAAAATCCTGTGCTGTCCCACCCTATTCCACCTGGGATAATCCCTTTTTCTAGTATCTCTATGCTGTCACTTAGTAGCCATGTGGGCTACCAGATCGATTGTCATAGTATCTCAGTGCCTATGTTCAAGTCATCCTTATTTTACTTAATAATGGTCGCAAAGCACAAGAGTCATGATGCTGGCATACTGTTATTTATTTACTTTTTACTTTTATTTTAGGTTCAGGGGTACCTGTGCAGGTTTGTTACATAGGTAAGCTGCATATCATGGGGTTTGGTGTACAGACAGCATGTTGTTATAACTATTCTATTATTGTTGCTGTTAATCTCTTACTGTGTGTAACTTATAACTTAAACTTCATAATAGGTACGTATGTGTAGGAAAAAACATAGTACATAAAGGGTTATGTACTATCTTTGGTTTTATGCACTCACTAGAGGTGTTGGAAGGATGGGGAGGGATGACTAAATATGAAAAGAACCTTAATGTCTATTTCAAGGCTGGCTGCTGAAAGAGAAAATATGAGTTTGGGGATGTACAAGGGGAGAAAAACCAAAGGGATGCACTGAGGAGGGAAGGAGGACACGCAGAGCCCATGGGGCCTGAGCAAAGACAGCAAAGGACAGGCTTGGGCATGAGCAGAAGCTGGCCTCACTAACTACAGGGGCTTTCTTAAATCTCTCTGACACCAACCCACATCTCCCCAAATAATTCAACAGCTGCCTGTCGAGTCTCAACCCATCTGGCTTTCAAGGCCATTCTTTATCTAGTTTCATCATACCCACCCCTCTTTTATCAACTAGCAACTTTCAAGTCCATGTTGATCAACCTGCACAACTGTACCATGCACACACCATCCCCTCTCCCTTCCCTGCTACCTCTCCCAAACTGCACTCATTCCTACAGTCAACTGGGAGGCCGACCCTAAGTACTGGAGCTGCCAGGGGTGCGGGCTAACTCCCACCATCCCACCCTCATTTCCATAAAACTTCAACACTTATCACTTCGTTTACAACAAAATTAGATCATATCTGTATTATTCTGTTTCATGTGTGCCAGTTTAATTTCCATATTTAAAGTATCCCTATAGTTTCCATATATAGTAGAAAATTTAAAATATTTGTAAATTATTCTTAGCTACAAAATCATCTACTTAGAAATTTAAGCACAACTGCTATCATTTCACTTATCGCATTAGTAAGTTTATTCTTCTACCCTACTATTCCTCCACATTTTGGAATTTTACAGGAAATAAAAGGTAATAGGAAAAATCTGCTAGGTTGTGAACAATGAATAAGTGATTCTGAACCCTCCTTTCAATTTATGGCCTTTAATTTATGTGAAAACATCACTCTGGAAAGCAATTACAGGTTAAGCAACCATAACCCAAAATCCAAAGTGTTCCAAAATTTGAAACTCTTCAGTGTCAATATGATGGCACAAGTGGAAAGTTCCACACCTGACCTTATGTGACAGCTTGCAATCATAACTTTGTCTATACAAAAGTATTAATAATATTGTATAAAATTACCTTCAGGCTATGTGAGTCTAAACCCATCTGGTTTTCAAGGCGATTTCAAGGCCATCTTATATATATTTCTTATGTATGAGATATATATGAAATATAAATGAATTTCAGTTAGAATTGGGTCCTATCCCCAAGATATCTCACTATATGCAAATATTCCAAAATCCAAAAATAATCTGAAACACTGCTGGTCCCAAGCATTTCAGATAAAGGATACTCAACTGTAATAGCCAATAATGGGAAATGAAAAAAAGAGAGAGAGAAAGAGAAAATACATTCATGTCTAGCTGACAAATTCATAATCTCATAATTTAGTTTAAAAAAAAAAAAAGGGCAGGCCAGGTGTGGCTCATGCCTGTAATCCTTTGGGAGACTGAGGTGGGAGACAGCTTAGGCCAGACGTTCAAGACCAGCCTAGGCAACAAAGTAAGACCTTGTCTGTACAAAAAATTTTAAAAATGAGCTGGGTGTGGTGGCACGTGCCTGTAGTCTCAGCTACTCTGGAGGCTGAGGTAGGAGGATCACTTGAGCCTGGGAGGTCAAAGCTGCGGTGAGTTATGATTGTACCATTGCACTCCAGCCTGGATGACAGTGGGAGACCATGTCTCAAAAAAAAAGTAGTAGGTCCTAAGACAAACTTTTCTTATTTTTACCAAATATATGCTAGACTTTAAAGGACTTTTTTTTGTCGCTACTCCACTAGCCAAGAGTGACTCAAAAGTTCCACAGTGGAGTATGACACATTATATTAACAAAAAAAATTTTCAAAACTTTTCAATACTGAGATTTTGCTTTCTGTCAAATACACCAGAACTTCAAAAGCATCTGCCATCATTCTTGGAGAAAACATCAAGGAATAGAGGCATGATTTAATGGTAAGACAATGTTAACTCCTAAGTCCTCCTGCAATTTCAAGAAACCTATTAAGCTGCTGTCCTGGTAAGGATAGAAATAAGAAAGAAATAGTGAGTTTTAAGAAATAAATTCTTTTTCATGAGCCAGTAAAATAAAAATGCATTTTCTGTGGCACAGGCTTTATCTTCTTCCTAATAGTGCAAAGTACTATACAGAAAAATCTTCACATGGAAAGCAAGAAACTGGGGACAAAGGAGCTGGGGACAAACCATATTTGGATGTCTAATGCATTTTTAAAGAATAATAAGACATTTAGTCAAACATGACAATAAGTCATATTTAGTATATGCTTGAAGTCATATACTATTTTAACTGAAGTCATATTGGCATAAGTTTTACCTTAATTTCTTTTATAAACTTTCATGGAGACAAAAACTACATCTAAGGTTTTAATAACCACAAAGTTGGATTATTATTCATTTTGTTGAAATACAAGGTCATGGTTCTAAACAGATTTATTCAACAGAGAGTCTGCCATTTATTAAATAATTTGCCCAAATCCAACATATGTTTTTCTGTATCTACATTATGACTAAACTCTGGCAATAAGCCATAAATAAGAATGGGGATTAAATACCACTTTAGTTTATTATTATACTCTACAATTCCTAAGCCAACGGTTTATCTGGAAAAATGGGAAGAGTGGGCTGCTAGTCCTCACAGCAGTAGCAAATCTTTTGTTCCTTCTTTCATTGTTTAGACTTTCTTTAATCACCCTCTTTATAAATACTAGCAGGATCCAAGATGAGATGTTTACTGAGCAGTAAACACTCCATTTGTTTTTAAGAAGTGAATCAACAGAGGCATTATGAAATCTAGATTAACTGTAACATTTATACAGCACATTTTGTCTGAGGAATTCAATGCACTTTATAAAACACAACCGTCTCCCTGTAACAGTAAGTACTGTAAGGTGCCATTCACTCCAAGGAAAGCCATCTTGGGATAGGCCAAATCCAGTGAGGGTACACAGAATCTTTCGCACTCTGGCATCCCAAGCCTCAAGCAGTGACTCACAGAGTAGGGCTAGAGGGTGCCTTGGAGGTCAGTGGGAACTTCTACCCAACTTAGGATTCCTTCACCTCACTGCATCTGCCTGGACACTTGTAGGGAGGACAGGCCACAGACCCAGGAGATCTGAGATCCAGTAGATCTCAGATCTACTGGACTTGGGAATTTAACTTGAAGCATTTAGGGTGATGGAATTTACATATATTTAATATATATTATTGTGCTTTTAATGCAAAATATACTTGCAACTGCCATTTCCTTAAATATAGAGACATTAACAAATAGTCCATATGTGTCTCTGTTGGTCCGATAGATTTTTTTTTTTTTTTGAGACAGAGTCTCACTCTGTCGCATGATCTTGGCTCACTGCAACCTCCACCTCCTGGGTTCAAGTGATTCTCCTGCCTCAGCCACCCGAGTAGCTGGGATTACAGGAGGCCACCACCATGTCTCGCTGATTTTTGTGTTTTTAGTAGAGAGGGTTTCATCATGTTGGCCAGGCTGGACTTGAACTCCTGACCTCAGGTGATCCACCCACCTCGGCCTCCCAAAGTGCTGGGATTACAGGTGTGAGCCACCACACCTGGCTGAGATTTTTATGCATTATATGTAGCAATGACTCTCCAAAAGAAAAAAAAAATCAAATCAAACCAAGGCAGCTTGGTTTTCCCCTTTGTTCCATTGCTACTCTTCTGGTCCCTCCTTCCCAAGGGTCTTACTGATAATACGTCGATTACTTGAATCCACCAAATGCCTAATCCTTCAGACACCCTTTTTGTGCTAACAGTTCATCACAATTTGCATGAATGAATTAAATATAACTATTCAGCTCAGATTTAGGTGGTTAAACAGTGACATTTTAAAAATTATGGGTGGCATATTTGCTTGAGATAACAGCATCATAAAAGTTAATTATTTTGTAGTTTTCATGGGCAGCCAGGCTATCAAGAATTATTTATTAATTTTAAGGCTTCATGCCTTTTTTGTAAACCCTAGCCCATCCCAACTGAGATTAAGAAAGATACTACCCAGCCATTTAAACTGCTGACCGTAACCCTTCTTGATCCCCCCGCTGCCCTATTTCTAGTCAATAAGTAAATAGCCTGGGATAAAAGTAGTGTGACGAATGGCATTCCTTCCTTTAATACTTATTTACTGAGTACCTGTTCTGTGAAAGGCACTAGTTACAAAGAACAGGGAGAAAAAACATGGGTAGGACCATAGCCCTTCAAAATCTTACAGTCCAGTAAAGAAAAATAGCCCCATAACACAATTATGGGTGCACATAAGAACAAGAATACGTTCCATAAAACAAATACCAGCAGGATTTGAGCAGGATATTACAAGGTTACATGGGCACGACAGAGGAAGTTTTACAATGACGATCAGCACACGGGGAAGGGACAGGGTATGTTTGACAACCCAGGTAAGTAGCTCTGTCTTACTTGGGTCAGTCCCTGTGAGAAGCTGTGCCCAGCTGTGGACTGATAGCTGATAGCAGTCAACTAGCAGCAGATCCTGGCAGTCAAGGCCAAGAGGCTCTTTCTGAACAGACACTTGGGGTCAACTCTGCATCAGCAAAAAGATCATATTCAAGGAAAGAGGCTCTCAACACAAGCAGCAAAGGCCAAATGTCAAAGGACAAGAGAGATTATTTGTTTATTCTCTGTCAATAATATCATTTTCAAAATGGTAAATTCAAACATCACACAGTTTCTCAGGTATCATCCCTTCTGCCACGGTAAGAAAGCCACTACTTTGTAACAGAGCAAAAGAAAACATAAATCATGGGGTTCAAATGACATTATCAAAAGACAATTTACATACCAACAACTGCGGTAGGGGAAGATGAGACAAAGATGATTTAAACCCAGATTTTCATCATTGAAAAGTACATGTCTATGGTGTTCATGCAGCCATGTTAGAGGGCTATGGGTATATAGAATTCTACTTATTAAAATACAGACTTTACAATGTAGCAGGGTAAAATAAAACCATGGTCACACCATCCCCGAGGGTGTGATTAAGGGCTGTTTTAATTCATTCTTTTCTGATCTTAGACTCTCACAGAACATCATAGTGAGGTATATGGGCATATGATCATTTTCAAACAAGAATTTTAAAGCTCTGTCCTGCTTTTCTTTTTACCTCTTGATTGAAGAGGTTTGGTTTCTGATAACCTCAAAAGAGAACAACTCAAGGCAAGTCAATTTTTTAAAAACCTGATATATGAAGGAGATATTGGAAAAGGAAGCCGTGTCAGCCATTGCTGGCAATTTTTGTGGAGGCCAGTGGGCAGCTGAAGTAATTGCCTCGATTTTCTGTCACTTCCAGCCCAACTCTGCCCACCTTTAATCAATCTCAGTCTGGATCCCCAGAATGATAAGCATAGCTATTCCACTTTCCAACTCCCCATCTTAAAAACAAAGCCACCCTCAAGCAGTTTCCTCTACTGGCTTTCCAAATAGAACCTGCTGTACCTCACACACAAAGATAATCCTCCTTGCAAGCAACCCCAGAGCCTCATCAGCCATTAAGCATTTGCTTCCATTCAGTTGTCAAACTGTGTTAATGAGTTTATACAGACCTAGGCCATTCCATTCCCAGATTCTTCAAAGGCCTCAAGACCACACATAAATGAGAATATCAATATGGGAAGGTATCTCATAAAACCAGGAAATTCAATAAGAAAAGCTAACGTACAAAACTTTCCAACTCGTTATATGAGGCCAGTATTACCATTATAATGAAACTAGACAAAACATCACGGGAAAAGAAAACTACAAACAAGTATCTCTTGTGAATACAGACACACAAATCTTAAGCAAAATACTACCAAACTGAATACAGCAGCACATGAGAAGAATGAGACACCACAATCAAGTGGGAGGCATCCCAGGAAAGCCAGGTTGGCTTATCACCCCAAATCAATTAGAATAAAAGAATAAAATGACATGATTATGTTAATAGCTACAGAAAAAGCATGTGACAAAATTCAACACCATTTCATGATAAAAACACTCAGCAAACTAAGATTAGAAGAGACCTTCTTTACTCTGATAAAAAGCATCTATAAAAACCCAACAGCTAACATCTTCCTCAATAGTGAAAGACTGAATGCTTCCTACTGAGATTAGGAAGACAAAGATCTGCTCTCAATACTTCTATTCAGTATTGTACTGGAGGCTCTAGCTAGGGGAACTAAGTTAAGAAAATGAAATTAAAAGGATTACACGGGAAGAAGTAAAACTACTGCTATTTGTAGATGATATTATTTCAAAAATAACAAAATCCTAAGGAATCCACTAAAAGACTATTAGACCTAATGAACAGGAGCAACAAGGTTGGAGGTCATAAAACCAATACACAAAAATTGACTGTATTTCCAAACACTTGCAATGAACAACCTGAAAATGAAATTCAGAAAATAATTCCAGGCCGGGCGTGGTGGCTCACGCCTGTAATCCCAGCACTTTGGGAGGCCAAGGCGGGCGGATCACAAGGTCAGGACATCAAGACCACCCTGGTTAACACAGTGAGACCCTGTCTCTACTAAAAATACAAAAAAATTAGCCGGGTGTGGTGGCGGGCGCCTGTAGTCCCAGCTACTCGGTAGGCTGAGGCGGGAGAATGGCGTGAACCCGGGAGGTAGAGTTTGCAGTGAGCCGAGATCGTACCACTGCACTCCAGCCTGGGCGACAGAGCGAGACTCTGTCTCAAAAAAAAAAAAAAAAAAAAGATTCCATTTATAACAGCACAAAAAAGAATAACATACTTCAGAATAAATTTTGCAAAAGATGTGTAAAATGTATACTCTGAAAACTATAAAACATTATTGAAAAAATTTAAAAAGACAGATAAATGGAAAGACATCCAAGTTTATGAATCAGAAAACTTAAGATTAAGATGGTAAGCCTGGGCAACATAGCAAGAGCCCTGTCTCTATTTAAAAAAAAAAAAAAAAAAGGTTAAGATGGTAATCATCAACCTAAATGCCCTTCAGTGATAGACTACATAAAGAAAATGTGGGGCCAGGCACGGTGACTCAGGCCTGTAATCCCAGCACTTTGGGAGCCCAAGGCAGATGGATAACTTGAGGCCAGGAGTTGGAGACCAGCCTGGCCAACATGGCGAAACCTCGTCTCTACCAAAAATATAAAAATTAGCCAGGCATGCTGGCGCACACCTGTAATCCCAGCTACTCAGGTGTCTGAGGCGTGAGAATCGCTTGAACCCAGGAGGCGGAGGTTGCAGTGAGCTGAGATCATGCCACTGCACCGCAGCCTGGGCAGCAGAATGAGATACTGTCTCGAAAAAAAAAATGTGGTACTTACACACCATGGAATACTATGCAGCCATAAAAGCGAATGAGATCATGTCCTTTGCAGGGACATGGATAGAGCTGGAGGCCATTATCCTTAGCAAACTAACACAGGAACAGAAAACCAAATACCACAGGTTACATGGACACATAGAGGAGAACAACACACACTAGGGCCTTTCGGAAGGTGGAGAACAAAAGGAGGGAGAGGATAAGGAATAATAACTAATAGCTATTAGGCTTAATACTTGGGTGATAAAAAATCTGTACAACAAACCCCCATGACACAAGTTTACCTATGTAACAAACTGCACTTTAAATAAACATTTTTTAAAAAGATGGTAATGATTCCCAAATTGATCTACAGAATCAACATAATGCCTATCAAAATCCCCACTGACTTATTTGCAGAAATTGACAAGCTAATCCAAAAATTCGTGTGGAAATGCAATAAACTCAGAATAGCTAAAACTTCATCAAAAGTTTAGTACTGCAAAGGACGTCATCAAGAGAGAGAAAAGACAATTCACAGAATGAAAAAAATTTTTGCAAATCTGATAAGGAATTTGTATCTGAGAATATATTTAAAAACTACTATAACTCAATAATTTAGAATAACCCAATTAAAAATGGGAAAAGGATCTGAATAGATATTTCTCTGAAGAAGATGAACAAATAGTCAATAAGCACATGAAAAGATGCTCAATTTCATGAGCCCTGAGGGAAAGGCAAATCAAAACCATAATGAGATAATACTTCATATTCACTAGAATAGAAGGGCTAGAATAAAAAAGACAGACAATAACAAGTGTTGACAAAAATGTGAAGACATTGGATCCCTGCTATATTGCTGCTGGGAATATAAAATGGTACAGCCACTTCAGAAAACAGTCTGGCAGTTCCTTAAAAGGTTAAACAGAGTTACCATATGACCCAGCAATTCTACTCCTAAGTATATACCCAAGCAAAATCAAAATATATGTCCAAACAAAATCTGTACACAAATATTCAAAGCAGCATTATTCACCAGCCAAAAAGTGGAAACAATCCATGTGCCCATTAACTGATGAACAGATACATAAAATATGATATGCCCATATCATGGAATATTATTTAGCAATAAAAACAATGAAGTATTGACACATACTATACTATGGACAAATCCTGAAAACATGCTAAGTAAAAGAAGACAATCACAAAGAACTGATTTATATGATGCCTTTCATATAAAATGTTCAGAAGAGACAAATCCATAGAGGTTGAAAATAAATTGGTGGTTGCCTAGGATTGGGCAGGCTAAGGAACATGGGAAGAGATTACTAATGAGTACAGGGTTTCTCTTTGGGGTAATGTCAATGTTGCAAAATTAGATGATGGCCATGGATACACAATTTTGTGAACATACTAAAAACCACTGAATTGTATGCTTTAAATGAGTAAACTGTATAGTACGTGAATTATATATCAATCAGGTTGTTTATTAAAAATCAACTTTACCTCGAGGGAGTTGGGTCATCTTGGCCAAGGCGTGACATGATATTTATCAAGGTGTTAATCCCTATTTAAAATAAAAAACAAATACACAAGTAAATACGGATAGAAGAATTATAGGACCATCATATTACAGTAGAAAAAAATTATCTCATCTCAATGTGATTTTAAAAGGTTTGGAATCTACCTGTCTAAAAGTGTGATAAACAATTATTTAAAACACTGGATAGGAAAAAGAAATTTCTCTAAAAAACTCATCAACCCTTATTATAGTTCTTGCTCAAAGTAAGTATTATAAAAGAGTCTGTGGGGCCAGGCACAGTGGCTCAGGTCTGTAACTTCAGCACTTTGGGAGGCAGAGGCGGATAGATCACTTGAGGTCAGGAGTTCAAGACCAGCCTGGCCAACATGGCAAAACCCTGTCTCTAATAAAAATACAAAAAAACTAGCCAAGTATGGTGGCACATGCCTGTAATCCCAGCTATTTGGGAGGCTAACACAGGAGAATCACTTGAACCCAGGAGGCAAAGTTTGCAGTGAGCTGAGATCGTGCCACTGCACTCCAGCCTGGGTGACAGAGTGAGACCCTGTCTCAAAAAAAAAAAAAAAGAGTCAGTAAGCACTAGAATATGAGACGGTGAAAGAGTCACCCAGGGAACCATTCCTAGAGGCGAAATAATTTACAACAGAAAACACAGGCCAAAATAGGAGATTCACATCTTAAAATCATCCAGACATACCTTTCTTCCGCATGTGCATGTGATGAACTTTTCTGTCTCCGTATTTGGGCTGCCGAATTCCACAGTTAGATAATGAATTCCTGGCATGATCAGGATTCATTCCAAAATTTAAATGATGACTTGGATGAGTCATGGCCAGCTAAAATTTCAATGAAATAAGTTCAGTCTTTAAAACAGCATAAACTGGGTGCAGTGGCTCACGCCTGTAATCCTAAGGTGGAGGGACCACTTTAGCCCAGGAGATCAAGACTAGCCTGGGCAACACAGTGAGACGCCATCTCTACAAAAAATAAAAAATTAGGCTGGTGTGGTGGCACCTGACTGGAGTCCCAGCTACTCAAGAGGCTGAGGTGGGAGGATCACTTGAGCCCAGGAGGTCGAGGCTGCAGTGAGCTATGATCATGCCACTGCACTCTAGCCTGGATGACAGAGGGAGACCCTGTCTCAAAAAACAAAAACAAAACAAAAACTCAGCATGGGAGCACCATCTTTGTATCATCCCAAATTAAGCAGGAAAGGGAGCTGTCTATCCAGTTGAATTCTAAGCCCTGATCTTTCCATCTTATCTCCCCAAGTATCTGTAAACAGACAACCTTCAGAATGGCAGAAAATACTTGCATACTATATATCCAACAAAGGACTAATATCCAGAATCTACAAGGAACTAAAACAAATCAGCAAGAAAAAATAATAACAATAATAATCCCATTAAAAAGTGGGCAAATGACATGAACAAACATTTTTCAAAAGAAGATATACAAATGGCCAACAAACATGAAAGAATGTTCAACATCACTAATCATTAGGGAAATGCAAATTAAAACCACAAGGAGATACCACTTACCACTTTACCCCAGAGAGAATGGCCATTATTAAAAAATCAAAAAACAGCAGGTGTTGGTGTGATGCAGTGAAAAGGGAAGGCTTATAATACACTGAACTTTATATAAACTACATAAATTAGTATAACCTCTAGGAAAAACAGTATGGAGATTTCTCAAGAAACTAAAAGTGGATCTAACACTTGATTCGGTCCTCCCACTACTGTGTATCTACCCAAAGAAAAAGAAGTCATTATATCAAAAAGACACCTGCACTTCTATGCTTATTGCAGCACAATTCACAATTGCAAAGATATGGAATCAACCTAAGTGCCTATCAACGGATGAGTGGATAAAGAAAACGTGGTATACATATACCATGGAATACTACCCAGCAATAAAAAGAATGAAATAATGTATTTTGCAGCAACTCAGTTGGAACTACAGGCCATTATCCTAAGTTAATTAACTCAGAAACAGAAAACCAAATACCGCATATTCTCACTCACAAGTGGAAGCTAAGCTATGGGTACCCAGGGGCATACAGAGTGGTATAACGGACACTGGAGACTCAGATGGGGAGTGTTGGGAGGGGGGTGAGGGATGAAAAACTACCTATTAGGTGTAATGTACACTACTCAGGTGACAGGTAAGCCCAGACTTCACCACTATACAATTCATCCATGTAGTCAAAAACCACTTGTACCCCTAAATCTATTGAAAAAAATTTTAAAGTGGCCAAAACAAACAAAAAACGAATTTCCAGATCTCTGACGCAAGCCCTCTTCTGCAAACAAACATAAAAATCCACATCTTTAGGCTGGGCGTGGTGGCTCACACCTGTAATCCCAGCATTTTGGGAGGCCAAGGCAGGCACATCACCTGAGGTCAGAAGTTCGAGACCAGCCTGGCCAACATGGCAAAAGCCCGTCTCTACTAAAAATACCAAAATTAGCCAGGCATGGTGGCGGGCGCCTGTAATTCCAGCTACTCAGGAGCCTGAGGCAGGAGAATCGCTTGAACCCAGGAGGCGGAGGTTGCAGTGGGCCGAGATCACGCCATTGCACTCCAGCCTGGGAAACAAGAGCGAAACTCTGTACCAGAAAAGAAAAAAAAAATCTACATCTTTCAGAGAAGTTAGAATACTCAGCACCTGGAAAGGAGAGCCATAAAGGAGGAAAAGTCGGAATAAGGTACTCAGAGTTGACAAATTTTAGTTTTAGTCAATTTCTTTAGGGACGGTCTCACATAAATGTAAGAGAATGGGCTGGAAAGCAGCAGAGGCAACCAGGGTAGAGCAATGGAGAGAACTATGTTTCTAACAATCCTTGTCACATCCCAGGATAGAGAACCCAATGTACCATTTGTGACCTGCAAGATGAATTACTCCTATCTTGTTATTATGTGAGTTTACAGGAGAATAATTCTTACCTGCAACAGACAACGATCTTGGAAAGTATATCCTATCAACTTGTCCAAATGCATTAGGCATTGGTGGTAGCGGATATGATGGGTCAGAACAGGTAGCATCATTGCATGCTAGGAAAAAAAAAATTCAATATGTTTAACTTTATAAAAACTTATAAAGTCACTTCATTTATTTTACAACAAGCCAGAACCATTTTCACATTCCAAATTCCATCTCACTAAGTCCTGAAACAGCTTATTGGCTGCATGGCATTCTGGAGAATCCTCTGTGAGAGACTGTAGCTGTTAAGAGTATATAGTCTCTAGAATCAGAATGCCTGGGTCTAAATCCTGCTCTGCCACTCATTCACTGTGTGACCTGGGGCAAGTTATCTTACCTCTCTGCCTCAGTTTCCTCACCCGCACAATGAGAATAATAAATATACCTACTTCCGAGGATAGCTAAAAGGATTAAAAGAGGAAATACAAAAATCTTCTTAGAACAAGGCCTGTTAGCCCTCATTCCATTAGGAATAGCCCTGGTTCTATCAGTATTCAGCAGGGTAGCTTCGAGTAAGTCACATGCATTTCTGTGCCTCCTTGTCTATCTTTAATTAAAAGGGAATGGATTAGGATTCATTCATTCTGAAACTTTTTTAGGGTCAAGATATTTTTGGGAATCCAAGGAAAATGACTCTTTCCCCAGAAAAATGTCCCTGTGCACAAACATGCAAAAGTTGTACACAAGTTTAATGGGTTCACAAACCCCTAAAGCCCACGACTATCCTTGAAGAGCTTCTCAACCAGATATGCCACCCTAAGTTTGACATTTAATGATCTAACATTCTGAAGACAATTTTTATAAAGCCACCAGTATAGTTAAGGTACCCAAGGACACAGAATTTAAATTTTTCCTTCAATCCCTTTTCATTTGGCTATAAATTCCTTATTGGGAGATAATTTCATGGAAGTCATATCTTTTTCTTTTCCTTAATACTATTTCGCAAGAACACAAGAGAATGTAAGGAGTCATTCTTATTCATCAGAACCTGGAGGATGGACCCAGCCCACAGAATGATTGACATATGCTTTATATTATTTCAGTCTTTGAAGTGTTTTAAGCTGGTATTGTTTAAAAATACATGAAAATGGATTTGCTTGAAACTATAGAAATTAGTTATGTTATTAACTTATAAAGAAAGATTCATTCTACCAAATAGGATCTCTAATCAACAAAAAAATCTTTCTTGCCAGTTCAATTCAGTAAGTATATAATTGAGCACCTCCACGTGTAAGGCCTTACAATATGTGTGGAAGACAGAAAAGGTAAAGACATTGTTTTTGCCATTAAAGCTAGAAATATGCCATTAGGATTTGAATTATCGGCACTTTATCCACTTTGCTTTTATAAGTGCTGTGCTGATAAACACAACAATATGGAAACAACATGCACAACCAAAGTCTAATAGTTTTCCAGACATTTAAACTGCAGGAAGCTCAAGAGTTGATGCTAAAAACTCAAGGTGGATAGGACATGGGTTAGGACATGAAGACTATTCAGTGCAACTGCCTTTCTAAAGCATGAACTCAACCTGGTGAATTGTTTACTTTTTTAATATTTCCTATGAGAGATGAATCGCTGCCTGTCAGGAAAATAAAACCCTCTTTAGAGTTTGCTGATTATTAAAAAATTACCTTTATTTTTGAGACAGGGTCTCACTCTGTCACCCAGGCTAGAGTGCAGTGACACAATCACAACTCACTGCAGCCTCGACCTTCCAGGCTCAAGAGATCCTCCCACCTCAGCCACCAAACCCCAGTAGCTGGGACTACAGGCATGCAGCACCACACTCTGCTAATATCTGTGTTTTTTTGTAAAAATGAGGTTTCGCCATGTTGCCCAGGTTGGTCTTAAACTCCTGGGCTCAAGGGATCAGCCTGTCTCAGCCTCCCAAAGTGCTAAGATTACATAGGTGTGAGCCACTGCGCCAGGCCCGAAAATTACTATTAACTTTAAGCCCAAATCTGTATCTTTGGAAGTTTTATCCCTTTAATCCTAGTTCTACTCAGAAACAAAATGCATTTAATGGCAGGCTTTCCACATCTTGTTTTAGCTAACCTACACTTTACTTCCTTGCTTCCTTTAACCTTTTCTCATGTAAAACAGCTTTGAATCCCTTAACCACTTCCTCTAAACCTGCTCCAAACAAAGCCTGTTTCTCCTTCCAAATAACCCTTTCGTGAGTACCTTGGAAGGGTATAGATGACCCGTGTCCATCTTGAATCCCAGACATCAAGTCTCAATGTTACCTACAAGACTTTAAATTTCTAACTCAGTTTTTAAAAGTATCAATCTTTGCAATATAAAAATACAATCATCTTTATGTCTGGCATCTTTATGTCTGCCAACTGCTTTAATTAAAAAAAAAAAAAAACCCTCAAATTCTCCCATAAAAATAGAGCAACTAGACTAGCAAAATGAAAGACCAATGAATATTATCTACATAAAAACTAAATGACAAGGCACCCTCTTGAGTCCCTAAATAAGAGTGTATGAGGAGAAAGAGCTATGTCTCAGCATCTGTGTGAGAGAAGAGAGGCACAGGCCCTGATAATGGAAGAAACTCAAAATTAACAACACATGTTCACCGCAAATAACCCAAACTGGAGAGAGCTCTGCCGAATCTAATTCACTGAGTGAATACGGGAGGACAGTTTAACTATGCTTAAGACACCTGGGACCTACAAACACTGAAAACACAAAAAAACAAAAACTGAAGCTCCCTGCAAGGTAGAAGCCCTACAACCAGGAGAAAGTGTTGGGAGTGAAAGCCACATTTCGCAAGAGAGGGAAACGAAAGGCAAAAGAGAGGAGGCCCAGACAAAAGCAGAGGGGGCAGATTTTAGTGTGAAGCCATATTATTTCTTTTATCACTGCAAAAATAACAGGAGGAGGAGCTCCAGAACCATGAAAAACTATCCTGGCTTATACCTCCTTTCTAAAAGTACAGGAAACTATTTCATTTGGTTTATTTAATTTTTAAGTTTCTTAAACAGCAACAGAAAAGAATCACGATCAAATCCCATTCAAAGATTTTTCTAAGAAGAGGAGTAGAATAACATCCTTGCTGATAATAAAAACATTCCAGAGGCCCGGCACAGTGGTTCACACCTGTAATCCCAGCACTGTGGGAGGCCGAGACAGTTGGATCACGAGGTCAGGAGATCGAGATCATCCTGGCTAACATGGTGAGACCCCGTCTCTACTAAAAACACAAAAAATTAGCCGGGTGTGGTGATGGGCGCCTGTAGTCCCTGCTACTCGGGAGGCTGAGGCAGGAGAATGGCGTGAACCCAGGAGGCGGAGCTTGCAGTGAGCCGAGATCGTGCCACTGCACTCCAGCCTGGGCGACAGAGAGAGACTCTGTCTCAAAAAAAAAAAAAAAAAAAAAATTCCAGAGAAACATACCAATAACCTTCGAAATAAGAAAAGAAATTACTAAAACAATAGAAGGATTAACAAAAATTACAAATAAATATTACATAAATTCAGAAATGAGATTAGAGGAAAGGAAGATTTGAAAAGAAGTGACAAAACTCAGGAAAAAGAAACATAAAAGGAGATAAGCATTTCAAGATTAAACAAGAAGGAACACAAAATCATATCAGCCCAATGAATAGTGCTTTTGAAAAATAGAAATGAAGACTTCAAGAGAAAATGACAGATCCAGAAGAGAAGCAAAAAAGATATAAGATGCATATATCTTATAAGAAGATATAAGATGCAAGAAGTAATTACTACTTCTTGAATGAAGAATTCGAGAGAACATGATAGATCCAGAAGAGAAGCAAAGAAAATACAAGATGCATATAAGTGGAGTACTTTAAAAATCAAAATAATAGAAAATAATGAAACGTGTAATACAAGAAAAAGAAAATTTCCTGAGATAAAAGACAACTTGAAAGTATATACTGAAAGTATATACAGCATACCTGAAAAAATTAACTGAAAAGAGCTGAGACAAGAGCTGAGACATATTCTAGTAAACTATTGGTTTCTAAAGAAAAAGAAAAAATCCTTTGGGCACTCAGATAAAAGGACCAAGTCACTTAAACTCATATTGTTATCACACTTTTTTTTTTTTTTTTTGAGACGGGGTCTCACTCTGTTACCCAGTTTGGAGTGCAGTGGCACTATCTCGGCTCACTGCAACCTCCATCTCCCAGGCTCAAGTGATCCTCCCACCTCAGCCTCCCAAGTAGCTGGGACCACAGGTGTGCACCACCACACCCAGCTAATTTTTTGTATTTTTTGTAGAGACAGGGTTTCGCCATGTTGCCCAGGCTGGTCTCGAACTCCTGAGCTCAGGTGATGCACTTGCCTTGGCCTCCCAAAGTGCTGGGATTACAGTTGTGAGTACCTGTACCTGACCATATTGTTATACTTTTGACAGCAATGTTTTATGCCAGAAAACAATGAGAATGTATTTAAAATATTAAAGAAAGAAAATGGGATCCACAGATTTTATATCCAGCCAAACTGACCGTTAAAACAAAGGCCACAGGCAAACTGTGAGGAACATGCAGAAACTCAAGGACCACTGTTTCTATAAGCCCTTCTTGAGGAATGTTTTAGAAAATGAGCTTCAGACAAACAAAAAAGGGGAGGTGGGAGATTGATAATGACATGATCTGATGATTACTTGCAAATATATTTTTATTGGTAGATAATCACAAGTGAGTCAATATAAGAAATAATTAAACATTCTAACATTGATTAGTACAACCATCAGAAAACAAGGGGAGAATAAGAAATACATAAAGAGTAGGATGAGGTTGCTGTCTGCCTTATTAACTTGCAACAAAAGGATATCACTTCAAATTAGGTGCCAGGTGAGAGAGAGGATTATGGGAAGAAGCAGAGAGAAGCTATTTTTACTAAAAGACAACAAGATACACACACACACACACACACACACACACACAGACACACACACACAGAGAGAGGAAGAGAAGTAAGGGAGAAATGTAATTATACTATAAAGTTGTCAGTATAAAGGTAATCATTAGAATAAAAATACAAGCCTTCCCGAATACAAAGGATATGAAGAGGAAAAAACAAAGCCAATATAATGGATTTCATAGTAACCACTAACATAAAACTGTTTGACAGACAGAAAGCCAAACATATCAATAAGCTCTATATATTACTACAGAGTGATCTCCCAGACACATGGTTTTGTTGTTGTTGTGGTTTGGTTTTGTTTTTTAGAGACAGGGTTTCACTCTGTCGCCCATGCTGGAGTACAGTAGTACAATCATAGCTCACTGCAGCCCCAAACTCCTGGGCTCAAGTGATCCTTCCACATCAGCCTCCTTAGTGGCTAGGACAACAGGTGTGCACCACCACACCTGGCTAAGTTTGCAATCCTCCTGCCTTGACCTTCCAAAGCACTGGAATTTAAGGTCTGAGCCATCACACCTGGTCCAGACACATTGTTAAGTGAACAAAATCTCAGTAGAGAAAAGTGTAAGATACCACCATTCATACAAGAAAGAGGAAAACAAAGAAAAACACATATATATTTGCTTTCATAAAAATAGGAAATTAAGCCTTTTTTTTTTTTTTTTTTTTTATGGAGTCTTACTCTGTTTCCCAGGCTGGAGTTCAGTGGCGTGATCTCGGCTCATTGCAACCTCTGCCTCTTGGGTTCAAGCTATTCTCCTGCCTCAGCCTCCCAGGTAGCTGGGACTACAGGCACACACCACCACTCCCGGCTAATTTTTTGTATTTTTAGTAGAGACAGCGTTTCACCATGTTGGCCAGGCTGGTCTCGAACTACTGACCTCAGGTGATCTGCCCACCTCGGCCTCCCAAAATGCTGGGATTACAGGCGTGAGCCACTGCGTGCGTAGCCAGGTCAAGCCATTTTTAAAAGATAGTTACCTGTCCGGGGTGGGTGGCAAGAAAAGGATACAAGCAACAGAGATAGAAGTTAGACTTAAAAAAAGTACACTTGACCCTGTAAATCTGATTGCAGAGTCATGTAAACATTTTACATAATTATAAAACAATCTTTCATTTTTAAAAGGAACCTAGGCCAGGCACAGTGGCTCATGTCTGTAATCCCAGCACTCTGGGTGGCCGAGGCAAGAGGATCACTTGAACCTAGGAGTTTGAGACGAGCCTGGGCAACAAAACTAGACCCCATCTCTACAAAAAATTGAAAAATTAGCCAGGCATGGTGGCACATGCCTGTGGTCCCAGCTACTTGGGAGGCTGAGGTGGGAGGATGTGTTGGGCCTAGAAGTTCAAGGCTGTAGTGAGCCATGATCGCAGTGTCACTGTACTCCAGCCTAGGTGACACAGCAAGACCCTGACTCAATCAATCTGTCAGTCAGTCAATGGAACTCTTAAAATCAAAAGTAAAATGAAACAAATGAATTCTGTGTATCCAGTTTGTGGCATAACCACGGGATACAGAAAATTGAGTGTAAATCCCCAGTGAGATACAGCTATAGATAATCAAAGACAAAAATGAACACAGACAGTCCCCAACTTACAATGGTAAGACTTACGATTTTTTGACTTTACAATGACATGTAAACAATATTAATTCAGTATGCTTCTTGACTGATGATATGCTGTGTCCCAATAAACCTATCATAAACTGAAAATTCAACTTATGATCTTATGATATTTTCAACCTACTCTGGGTTTACGGGTTTACTGGGATGTAACCCCATTGTAAGTCAAAGACCATCTGTACTCCCAAACAAACAAGCAACTATTTTCCATCACCATATTGGTGGTGGTGCTGTTAAATTGCTAATCTGGGACTACTTGTTGTATGTTATGGAATAAATCAAATGAGTAATTTTTGGTGCTGTCCCACAGGATCTTCATCTCAGGGTAATCAAATAGTTGATGAGGAAAAGATCCTTTTCCAAAAGTATTTTAAGTAATAAATGAAGAAAGACAGAATTTGAATATCATTTTGGCAGACCCTGGGTCTACATAACGATCCATCAGTGACCAATAATGTCACGTACAAATAAAGAGAGTCCTCACCACCAGCTATGAAAATATCTTGCAAAAAAACTGAACTTAAATCTGGTCAGTGCTATTCAACAGAACACTCTATGATGATGGAAATATCCTATTATCTGTGCTGTTGTAATGGGCAGTAGCCACATGTGTCTACTGAGCACTCAAAGTGTGGTGAGGGCAACTGAGAGGCAGAATTTTTAATTTCATTTAATTAATTTAAATTTAAATAGCCACATGCAACCAGTGATACTGGGCAGTGCAGTTTTAGATCTAACTACCAATTTATAGGAAACACAAGGGGCAGAAGTACCTGGTAAATGACACCAGAAAGTTGCAATCAGCAAAACTCAGACTACACTGTAGGAACTCTACAGGACACATAATCCAATTTCTTCAACAACAAATGTTTGCAAGGGAAAAAAAGGAGAAATGGAGTGAGAACCTACAGATTAAAGAGACTTAAACAACATCAACTAATCACAATGTATAGATTTCACATGGATCCAAATTCAAACAGACTAAAATAAATTTAACAGACAATGAGAAAAATGTAAACATTGACTAGGTATTTGATGATATTACAGAAATGCTTCTGAAAACAGTTGAAGCTAAGTGATAGTTCAGAGTTCATTATACTTTTCTCTTGCATCTTGTATGTTTTAAATTATTCCTAATAAAATATAATACTAGCCAGATGAGGTGACATGCACCTGTAGTTCCAGCTATAGGAGGCTGAAGCAGGAGGGTTGCTTAAGCCCAGGAGTCCAATGCAAAAAGGCCAGAGTGCACTATTATTGCACCTGCAAATAGCCACTGGATTCCAGCCTGGGCAACACAGCAAGACTCCCATGTCTTAAAAAAAAAAAAAAAAAAAAAATCTCTCTCAGGTCAGTTAGCCTTTAAACAAATCTTTCCTTTCTTCACAAGCAGCACTACGCTCCAATTAAAAAATCAAGTATCTCATACAGACTAAAAATCAAAATTCCTTTGTTAACAATAACTATGAAGCCATTGCCCTCCCAGACATTCCTCCTTCCCCCGCTACAAGATCTAATTTAGAAAATACATCCTTCAACTTGCTGTCCAAAGTCTCTGAATCTCTAGAGATGTTACTTTTCACTGTTGAGTCATTCCTTGACAAATCATTGAGCAAGAGAATCAGATAGTTTGATAATGCATGGCAGCCTTCCATCCCATTCCAGATGGCCACTCTAGGAAGACAGCATATTCATTAATTAGTCCAAATACAGCTCTCTGTCCACTCAATACAAATACCAACCACCACAACTCAGCTTTCCTCAAAGGCCAACAGTTCTCCAGGCACCTGTGCTTCCTTTTTTTTTCCTTAAGAAGTTACAATGTCTCCGCATTTGGCATGAGTCTCCTACTGGTGATGCGACTGTGATGGTGCAAATTCTTTGCTCCTTTTTTCATGTCTTCTGAGTCAGTTTATTGATTTCCATGGACCACCTTCTCAGTATAGCATAGGGTCCAGGTGCCTCCCTCTACAGAAGATACCAATTTAACCTCAGTGTGTGAAACCCTATTCTTAAAAAATACAGGTCTTACTGCAGCATGTTGCTTTTCTTCCTCTTCTGAGTCATTATGCTGAATTTTTTAGACTCAGATTCAGGTTTTGATTCCTTTTTCTTCCATATTACCCAGAATTCACTCTAACAAGCAGCAACACAGAAAAAATTCTTCAACAATTTATCTACAAACATAGTGACAGGTCCACATTCGGTTCACATATAATTACAAGTTATAGCACCCACCCCTAGGTTTTCAATCCTCTTAACATTGGCTGGGGCACCAGGTAGAATTTTCTAATCTCCTAACAATCCTTGGTAGCTTCTCTGGTTGGGGAAAATGTACTTCCAGAGGGAGATGCTGGTACTGAGGTCACTCCATCTCAGATTTAACGCAATGGTTTCGTCTCCTGCAGAAACCAGATAGCATCTCAAGGCTTTCACTAGCAACCTACTAGCAATTATTACTAAAAAACAGTAGGTTCTATATCAATGAACTACCAAACACAGAGGAAAAACTACCAAGGATTTTAAATAAATCCTTTCTTGTAAAAATTATGAGCCTATCTGTTCAAAGACTTTGAATAATCATAAAATTATTCAAAGTATTCAGTGTATAAATTCACTTAACTGCTATTTCCCAGTCAATTAGATTTTTATTCTTCATTACCAAAAATACTAAATGCTTTTATTTTGGAGGTTTTAAACTGCATTATGATATGCCACCAGCTTATGTGAGGAAAACACAAAAGAAAACATTTATTCTAATATAAGAAATTAAATATCATTGTAAGCCACAGCCAATTCTACTGGCAAAAAACAACAACAAAAACACTGTTGGTCCCTTTCTCAAAAAATTACAGGTTTTATTAAACATTCATTAAAATCTTTATGTTAAGAACAAAGTAAAGGCCAAATAAACAATAAAAAATGTTAGCATATACGACTTGTGACTAGACAAACCTGCACTGGACTAAACATTTATTAAGGACGTAAAAAGACTACCCTATCCTAAAAATACGACCAAAACAGCTTCCAAAATATATTCATAGATGTTTGGTCATTAATGCTACATGATAAAACATTTTATCTGATTTCTTTACAACAAAACTAGAGGGAATGGCTTTGCTGCCACTGAAGGAATTTCAAGGTTAAAAAAATTCAAACAAAATATATGGCAAACATCGATAATTTAAGGGCAACTGTTCAGAACCTTTGTGTGATGCATGTAAAATACCTGAGAATTTTAAAACATAAAAATTCCAGGAAGAGCTAACGTATCAACTGTGGCAAAAACTCTTAGTTAAAATGTACCCAGAAGTTCTCTACTTGTCAAAGATTTTCTGTAAGATGTATCTGTAGAAAGGAAGACTTTCTGACCATTAATATGCAATAGGACAGACTAAGAGAAAGCTCAGTGAGAAGAGTCAAGGGAGTTTCAAATGACTAGCCCATGGCTTGCATAGTCAGTGGTTTATTTATTCCCACATTCATAAAAACAGTTACCACTTCAAACAGTTACCAGTTCCAGTTCATTCTGGAACAAGGAAAGGTATACATAAACATAATGAAAATATTTGTTGCAAAAATACTTATTTTGAGCCCAAAGTCAACTACACTAGTTTACTTTTGCCGTTTTCCCCTAAATCATATTCCCCTAAACCTTACTGTAAGGTTTTTTTTTTTTTTAAGTTTGAACTAGGTTGCTCCCGTGTCATGAATGAGTTGATGAACACCTCCAAATTTCCATATGTTGATGTTTTAAGTTCAATGAAGGTTAACAATTTACTTTCACAACCCCAAGAATATTCACTGATGGTGAAATAATATTTAATATGTCAAAATAAACAGATACTTCATCTGTTCATCTAACCTTGACAGCTAAATAATGCATCCAGGATAATTTGATTTTGGTGTGTAAGGTACTATTTCACCAAAGTACAGGGTTTTTTGGTTTTAATAGTTCACTCTCAGCCCCCATGTTGCCACTGTGTAAGTGGCATTTCCTTCTCTTCCGCTTCTATGGACTTCTCAGGTAGCTTGCTGGCTCATTTTCATTCATTTATATGCAGACATTTCTTTACAAACCATAAAGCAATTCCTTCTGTATTCAGTATATGAACTCATAGGCAACAATTTACATGCTTTATCAAGTCATTTACATATGAGTAATTTTATCAAAATCTTAAAAAGACTTCCATTCAGAGGACCAGAGAATGGAAGCATGGCTTCTAAACAGATGGCAGTTCTCTCTGGAAGAGTGAGAGTTCTACAGAGGGAGGAACGGTTATTAGATCATAAAGCATTCACCTTTGCAGGAGTTTAATCGGGATCCCTTTTCTTCCACCAGTTAGGCAAGGAAACTGAGTGAGTCCTTTTGCCTACCAACCTCGAAACAGAATATAGCATATCACACAGCAAGAGACAAGATCACTTACTCCTCCAGCTGCTTCTCAACTAGCTGAGGGTAGAGGAAGGACATTTGTGATATAGCTGAAGAATACAAAACTGTACTGGAACAGATAATTCAGCACTCTTGTTTGCTTCACAAAAAGAAAAAAAAAGGCTCAATGCTTCAGAAAAAAAAAAAAAAGATACTGTATTCAGTGGCCTTAGGGACTGCTACAGGAGGTGGGGGAGAAATCAAGTAAAACAGGATACTGTCTCCACTCCCATCTCCCACTAGTCAATCAGGCAGTTATTCTTTATCTTTTTACAAATAATGGCTCTAGAAGGGTTTTGTATGAAAAAAAAATACTTTGAAGTTAACCAAAAACACAAGTTCAAAACTACTAACTAGAAGGTCTGGAAGGCGCCTTCTAGTTCTTAATGCTCAACAGTTTTATGATCTCTTAGACAATCAACTCTGACTTATCACTGAGATCATCAGATTTGGAGCAAACTGTCTAGGATTCTGCTCACTGGTCTGATGATGTCCACCTTTGGATGACATTACATTGGTTTTGGGGAAACACTGACAAACAGAAAAACCAGGTGATACGGCTTCAAATGGCCCTGAGAGAGAATCAATGGAAGTAAAATATTCATCTGAAAGTACTGACAGTCATAAGATATTTGTCAATCGGTAAAATAATTGTAGACTTGGTGAAAATAGCTGGCTACCACTGTAGATGATTACCCTGAAAATAGGGCAATATTACACCAATAGCAGTTCATCTTAATGCAAAAATAGTTAGCTTTGGACGTCACTTAGTAAATAAATTGTGTAGCAATACTTTTAAACCCTGCTAGTCAATATAATAATTAAAAGCCAACACTGATTTTTTAAAAAATTCATTATGATGAAATGAACACTAAGAAGAGCTAAGAGTAAGCTGCTTGAACTTACTGCAACACATGCTACCATCGAAACAGATAAATGGAAGCCTGGAAGTATTCTTCCAAAAGGCTGAACACAGCAAACTGCATTACCTAACCATAGCCTGAGTACTCATTTCCTTTACTGTAATTCTCATGGACTTCATCCAATATCAATTGTGACAAAAGAATCAAGTGAAAAAACAGAATATGTTGGTTTAGGGGATCTTTAATCACATATAAATTCCACCCATAGGAAAAACAAAAATGCTTATTAGTCAGTCAGTTACATATAGCAGAAATGTTACTCTATTGCGTTCACCCAGGGAAAATATATTATCATTTGGTTCAAATATGAAGTATACACTGATTCTGTTCATTAATGCCTTCAGTTCTCTGCAATATAAATTGCAATGTAAATTTGAGTCATCAGTCTAGAAAACATACACTTTACGAGTCTGCTTGTATGGCTGCTGGATTATCTCTTTTGTATAAGCACCTATACATGTGCTGCAAACAGGCAGATGCATGAGCAGATGCATGAGGACAGACTTACCTTTATCCAAAGAGAAGACACTGAACTGAACACTACTAAGTAAGCTTCTCCCTGCCCCAGCACCCACAAATACAACATACACACACACACCAGCATCAAAACAGACAACAAAAACAAAATCCAAATAATAGAAAACAATTTATAGTTGATATTCCATTTAGTCTCAAGGTAGTATTTTCTAAAGAACATTCTCAATTAAGAAACCCTCAGTACCAGATTTGTTTTAAAGGAAGAAAAGTATGGGCATAACTGTGTCCTCAGAAGTCTCCCCACCTGACAGACATCAGAACGGATGCCAGTTTTCCAGAATCCTTGGCTACTTAGCTCCACCGTTACTTCTCGTCTCATTGTATTCTTCTGCCGTATTTTTTGGAGGGCTTCCTAGAAAAGAATTCATTATGATGAGTAACACAACTGCTATAAAGCAATAGTAAGCCAAACATCAAGCATTAGAAAATAAGTTGGATTCATTTAATATTACCCCTACATTCAGATACTCAAACCTCTTCATACAAAATTACAATATTTTCTTTAAAATGGAGGCTGGAATGCTCAAAGCTTGGGGTATAACACAGCCCAGCCTTTCTTGGCAACTAGATAAGAAAAACTCTAAACCAAATCTACCATTCTGGTATTTTTGAACAAAATATGCCCTTTCATTGATAAAGGAAGCAAAATGTGGTTTGGGATTTGAAATGAGCATGTAAAATTTTTATCAAGCCTCATGTTAAGTATTTACCTCTAAGAAAGAAAGCAAATTAACCTGCGACCCACATAATTCTAATAGTTGCCTTCTAACTTGCAAACCCTTATAAAAACTCTTGCTACAATGGCATACTTTATATAAAAAAAGACTATGATCCAAAATATCACCTGTGAGACATGATTAGGAACTAACTCTTCCCTTTCACGGCCCTTCAAATAATTGTAAAAATAATTGTATATTTGCATGCATGCAACTGAATCAAAATCTCATAGGAATTCATAATAACAGGAACCACCCCCACCCCCACTATTGATTAAGTTCCTTTTACAGGCCAAATAGCACAAGAGGCCCATTAAATGGCGTATTTCAGAAGTTCATGGAACTACCTTTTTCCTTGAGTGCACCAACGGAGGAACACTTCAGTCAGCCTCTCAACCTTAGTTCCCTCCTTTATAAACAGGCTGATTGGCCTAAATCACAGTAAGTGACAAAGCCAGAATTCAAACACTTTTTCCAGCTTCAAAGCCTTGCTCTTACACAACCCCAGCAGAATAAAACCTCCCTGAGACAATAATCTATGTTGATACTGAAACCGTTTATTCTTATAATTAAAACTAAAACGTAAGTTATCCTGGATTACAGGGATAATACTACCCATTAGTAAGGAAATATGGAATTTGGGATATGAAACCTTACAAAATAAGTTTACCATACTAAACTGGCAGACCAATGGAAGACAATCTTTTCCAACTTTAAGACCAAGAAATCTGAGTAAGGCCCAATGTTGTATAATGTGCAACCAAATTAAAGATAAAAGGCTGATTCAACAAATTTAAGCTTTAATATCTATAAAAGATATGTTTGATTCCCAGTGGTAATAATCCATTAAGAAACTGGCATTTTAGGGATTGATACAGTTAGGATGTTTTGGCCCCTCCAAATTTCACATTGAAATATGATACCCAATGTGAGAGATGGGGCCTGGTGGGAGGTTTTTGCGTCATGGGTGGATCCCTCAAGAATAGCTTGGTGCCTTCCCCACAGTAATGAGTTCATGTGAGATCTGCTTGTTAAAGAGAGTCTGGGACCTCCCTCCTCCCTCTCTTCCTCCCTCTTCTGTCATATGACGTGCCTGCTCCCCATCCACCTTCTACCATGATTAAAAGCATCCTGAGGCCTCCCCAAAAGCCAAGCAGATGCTGGTGCCATGCTTCTTGTACAGCCTGCAGAAACGTGCACCAAATAAACCTCTTTTCTTTATAAATTACCCAGTCTCAGGTATTCCTTTAGAGGAATGCAAAACAGACTAATACAGGGATAAAAAGGCTCTCTTAAATATTAAAAGATTTTTTAAAATCAATTCGTATAATAATGGGGGGAGGAGGGTAAAGTATGATTTTTTTAAAAAAATATTTTTCCATCTTGTACCAGAAGTATAGTGTGATACAACAATCACGAAATAAACCTGAAGCACATCATCGTTAATCACCAAGGAATGGAGTTTGATACAGACCTCCCTCTGTGCCAGCTTCTGTTTGTCAGTTTGTTTGACTTTGGGACTATTTGCTAGGAGGTGGCGAAGTTTCACATAACTCTTCCACAGTTTTTGGTACCTAAGGAAAAGGACAGGCAAACATCTCAGGTAAAGAGGAGGTAAACCTAAAATGCAACAAAACCAGTTATTTTAAGAGGCCTCTTCAAATCATACATTACATTCTTTTGATTATTCTTAATGGCAGAAAGCCATCATTCTAAGGAAGGCTATGACTTTGAGGCTGAGAGTCAGGATGGACAAGAGTCAACTGGAACCTGGTGATTAAGTTGATTATTGCTTATTTCAGTTGGAAATGAGGTGTGACTATATGAATGAATCTCTGGAAAGAATTCCAAAGACACAAAAACACCTCAACCAAAGGAATCATCCTGTTTCTCACTGTTACCTCTTGAAAATAACAGATTTTATTTAAATATACACTTTCTGATATTTGTTGAAAGAAAGACCCCTTCCTTAGGGAGACTGTCAGTTGCTGAACTACTTATACCAAATATAAGTTGAAGAGTATTAGAATAGAGAACCCCATTTGTGCCAAAACCCAAGCTACATAGCTGTATCCATTTGTCCACTGGAGAGGATAAAAGACTAATGGTGTATACCAATTTGTATTTACCATGACAATATAAGCATATTTGTTGCAGCCAAATAAGTGATAACCTAGACCAGTCTAAAGGATACTGTCAAAGCGTCCTGGAAATGAAGCGAATATGCAGTCCTTTATCAATTCACAGTCCTGCCATCTGAGAGTCCACGAGAGCCTCATCACATTCTACTAACATTTTTCTGACAAGAAGGGATTTTCCAAAGATTTTCTGTCACATTAAAACTGTTCCTTTCTTGGCCTTAGCTGGGCCTCTCCTTTTTTGAAAACTTTTTTTTTTTTTTTTAAGAGAATGGAGGAAAGAAAGAAGTACTTACACAGTGCCTGGTTCACTGCTTCATACTTTTATCCAAAGGGGGAAAAAAAAGAACAAAACCCTTTAGCCTCTTCTAATATATGTCAGCCAGAACTGTATTTATGAATTGAAAATCTCCCATGCCCTTTTCTCCCACTATGAATCCTTTTTAAAAAAAAAAAAAAAATAAGTCAGGAAGCTGTTTGTGTGTTTAGCAAGGTAGGAAATCCAAACAGTCCCGAAGAATCTAATGGTACTATCTCCATTCCCACACATCCTAAATCTTCTCCCAGAAAACACTAACATGCCAGTTGGAAAAATCAAAACGTGGAAAGTTACATCAATCCTAAGAGTCAGAAGTCACGGCTCCTACTTCCAACACAACCTTGACTTTGCATGTGATCTTGAACTCTTAAGATGCCCCCAAAAAGAGAACTCTGCATAAATTCGGCAGTGCTAGGAACCAATATGTGCTACTTTCCTCTAGAGGGCACTGAAAAAATAAAAAATAATAATTATTATTATAAGGATGAATAAAGAAAAAGTTCCTTAAAGTTTAAAAACATACAAGGACTTATGTTGACCAAGTTTGCCAAAAATATTCTATTGAATAATAGTTTCTTGCACTCAAATATGTACAGAAAATAATTCTTCAGGAGCTACCACAATTGTTTCATTTGGGTAATCTAAATTGGAAGTATGGCTCATTTCAGGTCTTAATTTTTAAAAAGGAAACATCCACTAAAGGGTATTTCTCTGCTAATTTGGCTGTTAGTAGAAGGTGAAATTGGCTAAGACAAACACTGAGAAATATCTTACTGTGGGTCTCCTGCATAACTCAACTGTGCAGGGCGTATCCCAAAGTGGACGATAATCGGAAAAGTAATCACATCGGGGTTGAACTGTTCACGATCCAGTTGATCGATACGGACAGAGCTTGGTTTCTAGAGAGAAAAATCAAAGCCATTTATTCCCATAAGAAGTCTTTATGTATTGACTTTAACCTAAGTAGGGAAGGAATAAATCGGACTTTTTTCCAGGAAAGCCTTGTCCCCAAAGGGAAAAGGTCATTTAAAACCCTTTAATTACAGCAGCTATACTATCTAAAAACTATAATGTCATCCTTGTAAATGAGCCTATGCCATTTGGCATAATGAACAATGATTTTGTCCTTTTTTGCAGTCCACATAGAAACCTTTAAAAATTAAACTTTTAAAAGGACACCTAGTCAGATATAACTTTTCCTTAACCTCTCTGAAGGCACAGGGGAAGGATTCCACATCACAGGCAGAGCCTCTTCTGCTTTAATTTCACATTTCAGAATGCACAGATGCCTCTATTTAAGTTTTTTCCCTCACTTGTTCTCAGTGGATCTTATGTATTCCTTTAATTCTACATCTTTAAGTTAGAAAGTATAGTGGTGCAAAGGCCAAATAGTTAAGCTTCTTTTATTATGTCCATGTAGGACATTTGTGTATTTTAACAGAGAGCCTCATATTTTTTTCTTCATGTCTAATAAAGGAAGAAGTGAATGGCTCATTCCTTCTGGATCATTTGTGAAATGGCTTTCATCTTGAAAGCTTAAATTTATGAAAAGATGGTAAAATCACAGAGAACAGGTTTCAGCAACCTCCTTCCTTATAATCACCTCTCAGGACAGTCTCAATTAGAGATTCAGTTTTCACTAGCACACTGTAGAGTCTGCGGCTCAGTTGCTTTGGAGGCTAAGGCTGTTAAAACTGATTCACACAGAGGCCAATAATCTTCATTCTGTCCCACAACAATGCCCAACAATTAGAGTCTGGTTGGCTGCCTGGTTTCCCTGGGACAGAGGAATTTCAATGCTAAAACCAGGAAATCTCTCAGCAACTGGGACAAACTGGTCACTCTACCTACAACTGTGATACCAGCCAGCCATCTGACAAATATTCAATGAGGTGACAAAAGGGATAAACTTGGGTGAATTCACCCACATTACTTAAAACACTCAAACCTTTGGGAGGCCAAGGCGGGTGGATCACGAGGTCAGGAGTTCGAGACCAGCCTGGCCAACATAGTGAAACCCCATCTCTACTAAAAATACAAAAATTAGCCGGGCGTGGTGGCGCACACCTGTAGTCCCAGCTACTCAGGGGGCTGAGGCAGGAGAATCACTTGAACCCGGGAGGCGGAGGTTGTAGTGAGCTGAGATCGCACCACTGTGCTCCAGCCTGGGCAACAGAGTGAGACTCTGTCTCAAAAAACAAAACAAAACAAAAAAAAAACCCCTCAAACTTTTTAAGTGTCATTTAACAAACAAAATGTCACTAGCTTCTTGAAAAGTTGGTCTCTGCTCTCAAAATTTGAAAATGGAAAATATTTTGTTCACATGTAATCCATTATAAAATTATTTAAATGCCCATCAACAGTAGCAACGTGCTATTTAAGGTCAAAGAATTACTTTCATTATTTTGTACAACAAAACAGCAGGATACATTTTTAGAATGCGAACTGTGGAATAGAATGCTATTGAATTATTCATGTTTCTGTGATTTTAAACACCATGCCATGGTACCAACACAGGAAACAGTGATTTAAAATATCTATAGTATCTCTAAATTTATGGCAGGGGTTGAGGGAGCAGGAAATGAAATATATTCTAGACTTTGGCTACACCCTATAACATTTATTATGCCATCTTTGTTTAAGAATAAAAAATGACAAAAGTCACTAATGACAAAAGTATTCCTTGGAAGATTAATTCTTTTAAGTTCTGCAGCAATATAGTATTTAAAGTGACCATAATGGCTTGAAATTTTTAATAAATTTCCCAATATTCTTGCCATTTTGCAATCTTTCAAAGCAAGTCCTACAGAGGATGAAATGTAGTGTGGTGTCTACCTTGTCGTATGAGTAACTTGCACACTTCTCAGTAGGATGTTTTCATAATACTGAATTCTCAAGATTTTTTTCCTCCTTTAAGCATATCTTCAGATAAACAGTATAAAAGAATTAACTTCAACACATTCCTAAGCCTGACACTGAAACTTCCAATAAAAATCTTTCATACTGACTAGGTCTGACTTCATGTTGTTAATACTGGCTTTACAGCATCTCAAGGATGCACAGTTAATCATGCCAATAATTTCTACAATTTCTCAATTCCTCAGAGATCTTACTGTTTAGGAAGCACCCCTGGCAAGCCTATCCCAGTGATAGCTCCTAAAATGAGAGGCTTTCCTGATGCATCCATTGGCTCAACCATTCATCAAAGACTCCTTTCATATGTTAGTGGTCTTTGGGTTTTCACCTGGGCAAGCATCATACATTAGTTTGGTGCAAAAATAGTTGCGGTATGGCAGACCCCCGCAACTACTTTTGTGCCAGCCTAACATATAACTTCACTAGCACCTGGCTCATATAGTAGTCCCTTGACAAATTAGTTGAATGATGATCATGGTGATCATAAACTTCATCTATGCCACTGGCTCAAAAACAAGCAGTGAGAAAATCAAACGTTTGAGGATTTTTTTTTAACTACAGAAAACTGGGCCTCACTGCCTGGAGTATATAAGGTAGCTATATCCTTAAGCCAGGGTATCCTTAAGTTTTTTTTTAAACTCTCCAGCTGATTCTAGATTTCAGGAAAACGTAACTATACCATGGAAGGAAGTCCAGGGTGAACGTGCTCCCCCCGTGTCTACCACAGAACATGGAACTCTCCAAGTGGAACCACCCAGCTGAAACTGGACATCTGCCACCACCACCGCCCCATCCTCTGACTCAGCATGAAAAGTGACAGAGGGAATATCAATATATGCAACTGTTTTAAGAATAAAAATAGAATTCACAGTCTTACTCTGAGAGTGTTATTACTTACATATTTCTTTTAAAGTTACTTTAATAATTATGTGGCTTAACAGTATAACAGTAAAAATTATACGATTTTCTGGTTTTAAACATGTTTTATGTTTAAACATATTTTTATTAAACAATTTTACTTTCTGGATTTGTTTAAAAGAATCCATACTAGCCAGAATGTTTTATTTGCAAATAGCAACATTTTGTTTGTGCAGATGTTACTGTCATGCTACAAAAAGTAGATCCAGAGTTTTTAGTTTATGAATCAAAGCTATTAAGCAATTGGCAGCTTTTTGGAAAACAACAGCTTTGTTAAGTAGATTATTCCATTTATTTTCACGGAAATATTTTAATTCTTCATTTCTATAAAATTTTATCCTTATAAGATGCCAACATATAACTATTTTATGAAACAGTAACACTAATTTAGAAGAAAAAAATTGATATAAAGAAAATGTTATGTCTTTATATAAGAACTAGTTTTCTTTTAATTATATCCTTTTAATGTTTGCATTTTTTACTTCTAAAATTGAATATTAAAAGCTAATTTTAAAACAAAAAACTTAAGTAGCACCCAAAGAAATGTAAAATATTTATAATAATTATGGCGGAGGATCAATAAAAAAGAAGGCTACAAAAAAGATCAAAGGATATTAACAAGCAATTAACAAAAGAAAACATGAATGGGCAATAAACATTTAGAAATCAAAATAAATACAAAACTGAACTAAGACATTTCCCGCCCCCCAACTCTCATCAAATTCCCTTAGTATAACCAGCATGAAGATATGGTTGCTCTCATATGCTCCCAGAGTACAAATTTTACAGCCCTTCTGGAAAGCAATCTGCAACATGCGTCAAAAGCCTTAAAAATGTACCTATCTTCAGGTAGAATAAATTTACTAAATTAGGTGAATTTACGACCAAATATGCCTAAATTGTAATATTTTCTTATTTACTAAATATTTAAAGGAAAAATTATCCAAGGACAAGAGCAGTGACTACCTAAAACTTTTAAAATGTGCTGTTACTGTTTTCATGAAACATTCAGATCTGGAAAAGAAGGTCCTCCAGCCTCTGAATATACAGACACCAGAACATACCGTCCCAGGGTTGGTAACAATCATGCCTTTGCATTCTTCTGCATATTTCTGCCACTCCAGCTCCTCCCACTGAAGCATATTGGCAATCTCCTCCTCAGGCACCAGGGCTTTGCTGCACCTTAACAAGTACAGGAGAATCTGGTGCATGGACAGCACTTCCTTTCCTCCATCTTGGGTGGGAATGGGAGTGGAGAGAAGGGGAAAAATAAGGCTACTCAACTTACAGCAAATCAACAACTGAATAAGGAAAAAAACAAGACAATGGAGGAAAAAGAGCACATACAAAAAGGTAATGTAAAATTTACACTGTTTAACCAGGTGCCAAATAATATGAAAGCCATTTGTTTCATTGATGAACAGTGCTCATAAACCATCTCATTTACTAAATTGGCAACAACAACATTATAAATGATAAAAGGCTCCATTTGTGAGGTATGAATATAAAAAAGGTGCCTATCTAAATAAATTTAAAGCCACCTAGCATAAATAACCATAGTTTATAATATACAGAACCATGTTAGGTCTTAAATATTTTATCATTCTTTCTGAGGTAACAGATGAAAGCTCTTTAGAAGTGATGTTACTGTCTTAAGGAAATTCTAAGCTTTTGTGAGATATTTATGGATGTCTTCAATAAGCTGTTGTTGCATTATGGTCTAATTTTTTGGTGCTAATGTGCTGCACCTGCCATGATGAACAGAGCTAAAGAGCCTGTGCTAATATCATGGAAGATCATTATGGAGTTAGTACATGGAAAAAAAACCAAGTGCTCTGAGGCCTACAGAAGCATATAGCACCAAGTACAGGGGATAAAAATAACAAAGGGCATCATTCAAGTACCTTGGAAAAAGCCAATTAATCTAGTATTTGATGAACTAAAGACATCCACTTCATTTGGGCATTAATGTGGGGTCCACAGGCTTCTGCCTTCTCTTTGGACTTAACTTCTGGACCAACATGGGCAACCATTTTATATCTCTTTTCTTTGCCTACACCCAACCAAACAAAGGACAAGAGCCCTGAAGAGGACAATCATTACCCTCTCCCAGGTTATGAGATAGGCTATGAACAGTAGTACAGGACCAAACACTTCAGGGAGAAAGAAAGGGACAAAGAGCACAAGATGGCAGCAATGGGATGGCACAAAAGAGAGTGTCCTCCTTGGTCAGAGGAATTAGTGGCACCCAGTTTGAGTCTGGTGCACTAAACAAGTTTAATGTGAATTGCTGTGGGCTAAGAACTTAAACAAGACTGCATGTCTGAGAGAAAAGAGAGAAAATATCAACATTTCTGTGTGAGCTGTGTTCCTCCATCTGAGATGTTACTCTGGAACTAGACCACATTGCTGTTCTACAGCCAATATATATGTAGGCATGCATTCACTCATTCATCCAAATATTCATTCATTCAACAAATATTTATTGAGTGCCTTTTATGTAACAGCCACCGTTCTAGGCCCTGAGAACACAGCAATGATGGAAACAGCCAAAGCCTTGCCTTCCTGAAGCTTCTACTGCAGTAGAAAGAGACAATATAAAAGAGCTACATAAAAGATCAGGTTGAGGTGAGTGCTACAAAGAAGAATCAAACAGGACAAGGAACTAGAGTTGTATCTAAAAGGATGGATAAGAAAGGAATCTTCTAAGAGGTTTCACGTAGGCAAAACTTGAAAGGAGCAAGGGAGGCTACCATGCAGCAGTCTGGAAGAGGAGAAGAAAGAGCAAATGCCCTAAGGTGGAGTGGAACTGTTGTGCCTAGGAACTGCAAAGAGGCCACTGTGGATGGTGTGAAGTCAGAAGAATGTGAGAGAGGCAGCAGGGAAGTCAGATCTTACAAAGCTTTACCGCTCATTAAGAGCTCTGGAGTTGACTCTGAGATGGGAGCATGTTTTTCACCATATGTGCCATGCACTGTGAGTGGTCCCATGTCAGTATCACTAGGGAAAAAAATGCCACAAGCTCTAGGCGCTCAGGAAGCACATAGGCTAATAATGATTGATCACAATGGTTCCTAAATGAATCTTTGTAGATAACACTCAGAAAATAAAGTTCTTTTAATCAAAGTTCTAAAGACACTGTGCTTCTAAAAAATAATAATGATTGTCCAAGAAGTGACAAAGTCACAAAATACATCAACCCACATTAAGATATGTTATATCTACTAATTCGTAGCAGTGACTTTTTTTTATGCCTCATTACAAAGCAACTGCCTTAAATGCAAAAGTCATCAGTAATAAGCTAACTTCCATAGTGTTATGGACTCAATGTTTGTGTTCCCCCAAATTTCATATATTAAAGTCCTTTTTTTTTCTTTTTTCTTTTTGATTCAGGGTCTCTGTCATCCAGGCTGGAGTGCAGTGATGCCATCACGGCTCATCGCAGCCTCAACCTCCTGGGCTCAGGCAATCCTCCCATCTCAGCATCCCAAGTAGCTGGGACTACAGGCTTGTGCCACCAGGCCTGGCTACTTTTTTAATTTTTTTGTAGAGACAGGGTCTAATTATGTTGCCCAGGCTGTTCTCCAATTCCTGGGATCAAATGGCCCTCCCACCTTAGCCTCCCAAAGTGCTGGGATTACAGTGTGAGCCACGGCACCCAGCCATATATTAAAATCTTAACCCCCAGTATGATGATATTAGGAGGTGGGGCCTTCAGAGGTAATAAGGTCATGAAGGTAGAGCCCTCATAAATGGGATTAGTGCCCTTACAAGAAACATGAAAGAGCTTGCTTCCTCTCTCTTTTATCCACCAGGTGAGGATATAAGAAGATGGCTGGCTGTGAAACAGTAAGAGGACCTTCATCAACAACCCAACCACGATGATGCCCTGATCTCAGACTACCAGCCTCCAGGACTGTGAGAAATAAGTGTTTGTTGTCTAAGCCACCAATCTATAATGTTTTTGTTAGTACAGTTCAATCGAAGACACATAGCTAGGGGCATATTTCTCCAAGTCAGTCTCAAAACACATTTCCACCTGGGCATGGTGGCTCACGCCTGTAATCCCAGCACTTTGAGGGGCCAAGGTGAGCAGACTGCTTGAGCTCAGGAGTTCAAGGCTAGCCTGGGCAGCATGGCAAAACCCCTCTCTACAAAAAAATACAAAAATTAGCCAGGCATGGTGGTACACACTGGTGGTCCCAGCTGCTCAGGAGGCTGAGGTGGGAGGATCACCTGAGCCCTGAAGGTTGAGGCTGCAGTGAGCCGTAACTGTGCCACTTCACTCCAACCTGGAGAACAAAGTAAGACCCTGTCTCAAAAAATAAAATAAAATAATAAAAACACATTCCAATCCACCTGCTTGTGACATGTGTTCCTCAATCAGTAATGTTCCTCTCTTTGCTAAGGAGCCCAGCAAACCCACAATACCTGTCTCTCAGTCTGAGTCCATGATAATCACCAATTTTCTAAGGGGACTGAGGTGAACAGGTGGATGAGAAAATTCTAATGCCAGAATACGTTGTCTATACACTTCACATGCATACACACAGAACAGCAGGAATAAAGGAAACCTAGAGAACCTTGGAAAGAACTGCCACACTAACTAGGTTCACTAGGAACTAAGGAAAGAAGAAAATAGTTTTTGGCTTATAATGCCTATACTTGGTGAGATTACTTAAGAGTACCAGGGACTTTAAGGACACAATAGGGGTCTAAAATACCGTAAGAAGGAGCAGAATGTTGCTTTGTGTAAGAATTAGAAAAAAGATTCATATTTTCATGGAGGGAGAGGAGGATGACGGAGGGAGTAAATATACACAGGTCCAGGTATATAAAACAGCACTACAATCTCCACACATACATTTACAGCTGCCTGACTCCATGGCACTTCAGATAAAAGGGAAATGGACTGGGGAGAGCAAATTTAATGTGAAAAGACTTTTAAAAGAGCTAGTGGGAGAGAGGAATACTTAAGACTACAAACCAAGACTCACTTAAAGGCTTCATTTCTGTAGAAAATGATTAGTATAGATACTGTCCAATTTAGGAAAGGCACAACTAGATTAAGAAATAAGGCCATTGGCCGGGTGGGGTAGCTCACGCCTGTAATCCCAGCACTTTGGGAGGCCAAGGTGGGTGGATCACCTGAGGTCAGGAGTTCGAGACCACCCTGGCCAACGTGGCAAAACCCTGTCTCTATTAAAAATACAAAAATCAGCCAGTCATGGTGGCAGACTCCTGTAATCCCAGCTACTCAGGAGGCTGGGGCAGGAGAATCGCTTGAATCTGGGAGGCAGGGATTGCTGTAAGCCGAGACTGTGCCACTGCACTCCAGCCTGAGTGACAGGGTGAGACTCTCTATCAAAGAAAGAAAGAAAGAAGATCACAAGGTGCTTATAAGAATGCCAGTTATCCACCTTCTTATTTAGGTACAACGCTAATGATGAGGCAGAAGCGAGTCACATAGCAGCATAGAAACAAGACATAATTAAAAATATACATATACACACATCAGGTGCAAAGTTAACAACACTGAAGGAGAAACCACAAATCCATGTTGAAATCTGCTAAATATTTTAAATGGCAACTAAACCTTAAAGAGATTTTATTTACCACTGTAAAAAAGTAGAAACTCAGGGCAGATAACCTGAGGTGAAAGGTATCTCAAGGAAGGGGGATTGAGACTCTGCTCCCTGTCTGGTTTTGGGGCTCGATTTCCATGGAAAGGTAAGAGGAGATCCATAAATTAGAGACTCCTGCCAGAGCCCACAGGGCATGGGCTATATCTCTCACACCCAGCCTGGCAAAAAGACACTCCATAAACATTTGTGGAATGACTTTCTAAAGCAGACTAATAACTTGGCCACTCGCACTCAGGCTGCCATGAATTCACTAATGTTAATGAATTGGCTCTTTTGGTTTGTCTGCCTTGCCACTTGTTTATGTTGGGGATTTATGGAGCCATGTCACTGAGGGCTAGGAAGTAATTTTTATCTTGTTGGCTGAAATAAATAGGACATGATATAAATGAGAAATGAGAGCGGGTAAGCTAAGGTTAGCAGGAATTCCGCCAACTCTGGGACTGGAACTGTGACAACAGCTCATTATTCGGGAAGAACTGGAGTTTGTGTTTCAGGGAATGAATCTGGACAGTCATTAATGAACTGACAGACTTTATAAACTGTTTCTTAGAGACCCAATTCTCTCAGTTTATATTGCTTGATTATTTATATGGTTATTTGGGGAGGGGGTAATTTGTTAGAGAATCTGTATTAAGAATATGGCTGCTTATAAGAGTATTTCTCAACTGTTAGTACTCAACTTTAAGAAATACAAAAATATTATCCCCTTTCTCTACACTGACAGTAACTGTATGACTGCGTTTCTGTGTCTTCTGGATATTCCTGCTGAGACATCCTAATAATCTTATTTTCTAAAATACGTATTAACAAGTCTTTTCTAAATTTTCCAAATGTATATTAAGTTGTGGTACTAATAGATGGTTTTGCAAACTACACTTGCCTCCTGGAAATTTTGCAATACTCTCCCACCTCCTGGCCCCCTGCCAGCCACACCTGAGAACTACTGCTCCAGATGGGGCAATTTCAAAGAATCAATTTTCTAGACAGTCAATTTGCAAAACTGATTCAGGATTTGCAATGCTTTACTAGGGCAGTAATATAAGCAATGAGTAGGCTTTCCCCTAAGTGTGATCTCACTATCTTGAATCACGACCTACCTTTGCCCCAGTTACACTCAGAATAAAACCTTATACTCAGTCTAGTTCATATCAACTATTTTGCGACCAAAGGTAGAGAGTGGGATAGGAAAGAAACAAAAATTTGAGAAAAAATTTTAAATCTCAATAAACTGATTGCTCTATGATTTGGTTTCTGGTAAACTGGTCAACATTGAATAATCCTTGGTTTAAACTATCAAGCTTACTTTTGGGTAAAGTTGTATAAAGCAACTGGGACAGCTATCTTCAAAAGGGATAAACTGAAGAATTAGAGAAATATGATGATGACTTATAAAACTTGAATTTTCAGTTAGATATTATAATAAACTGACATAAACAAAAAGCAAGTCAGAATGAGAAAACCATAAAATACCTGAAAAATGCGGAAAGTTACTCATTCTCAAAGAAGTTCAAGAAACATGCAAATAGTAACATCAGACTTTTCGCTTATCAGATGGACTAAACCAGGAATGTCCAATCTTTCAGCTTCCCTGGGCCACAGTGGAAGAATTGTCTTGGGCCACACATAAAATACACTGACACTAACGACAGCTGATGAGATTAAAAAGAAAAATCCAAAAAAAACTCAAAATGTTTTACGAAAGTTTACGAATTTGTGATGGGCCACATTCAAAGCCGTCCTGGGCCATATGTGGCCCATGGGCTGTGGGTTGGACAAGCTTGGACTAAACTGTAAAAGACTAGTAACATCCTGGCCAGGTGTGATGGCTCACGCCTTTAATCCTAGCACTTTAGGAGGCTGAGGCGGGCAGACCTGAGGTCAGGAGTTCGAGACCAGCCTGACCAACATGGCAAACCCCTGTCTCTACTAAAAATACAAAAATTAGCCAGGCATGGTGGCAGGTCCCTGTAATCTCAGCAACTTGGGAGGCTGAGGCAAGAGAATCGCTTGAACCCGGGAGGCAGAGGTTGCAGTGAGCCGAGATGGCACCACCGCACTCCACCCTGGGTGAGAAGAGTGAGACTCTGTCTCAAAAAAAAGACTAGTAACATCCAGTATTGGCAGGTGTATAGAAAAAGAGTACTTTCTGTTGGTCAGAAAGAGTACTGTTGGTCAGAACTACAAATTGGTATGTCCTTTCTAGAGAAAACTTGGCCAACATCATTCTGAATTTAAAATGTACATACTATCTTAACACATAATTTCACTACTAGAACTCTACCTTACAGAAACAAACAAATGCAACAGGATAGACACAGACTATTTCTGAAGCATTTATACAAAATGGGGAAACAATGGAGAACTCCAGAATATTTGTCACCATAGGAATTATAAACAAATTAATGTCCATCCATACTATAAAATGCTAAGTATGCATCAAAGAATGAAGCAAAGCATTTACAGTACAGAGAATGCCTGAAGTATCTGAGTTTAAAAAAAAAAGGAAGTTGTGTAACATATTGTTATTCCACTTGAAGAAAAAAAGCATAATTCTCCTTAAAGCAGTTAAAACAATACAAATCAAGCCATTTACAGCATTTACCCATTTTCACATGTTCAGAAGGAAGTGTTCACTGTTTTTACTTTACATACTTTTGTATTGTTTGTATACACACACATACACACAGAGTCAACTCAATCAAAAGCAAAAGCAACACTTCAATTTTCTAAAGAAAGAAATTGTTCTTTTCAATAAATGGTGCTGGGTCAATTGGATACCCACGTTGAAAATACTGAGTTTTGACCCATATCTCATACGAATTGTGAAAACAAATTCAAGACTGATTACAGCTCTGAAAGTGAAGAAAATATAAGTGAGTATCTTGACTTTAGGGTAGGCGAAAATTTCATAAATATGATACAAAAAGCTCTAATCATAAAGGAATATATATCTATAAATTGGACTACATAAAAATTAAGAATTTCTATTCAACAAAAATCATCAAGAAGATCAAAAAGCAATCTACAGAGAAGGTATTAGATATATATATATTCATGACATTTATATTCATGTTCTATATTCACTATATATAACATATATTCACTATATATCTGTATCTGTATATTTGAATAGCATATGTACGTTCACCAAAGACATGTACGTGTTGTTTAGTGAGCATATATACATATTTTTCTGTTACATATATACCATACCAGGTGGAATTCTGGCTGTGTGTATATTAAGCTTTGTAGACACTTTCAGTTCTCCAAAGTGACTGTACTGTTTTACCTTCTCATTAACAGTGTATGAAAATTCAAGTTATTTCACATTCTCACCACTTGGCATTTATTTTTTCTTTGTCAATTTAGCCATTCTGATGTGTGTTCAGAAGTATCACATTGTGATTTTAATTTGCATTCTCCTAATGACTAATAAAATGGAGCACTATTTCATATATTTATTAGGTACCTAGATAGTGTTTTTTTTAAAGTGCTCATTCAAGTCTTTTGCCCGTTTTTCTATTGGCAATGTCAGTATATATATATATATATATATATATACTGAAAATACTCAAATGTCCATTAATCATAGATAGGTTTATTTTAATTTAGTCATCCCATATAATACTATATAGTAGTGAGAATGAGCCAACTACAGTTAAGTGCAACAGGATATGATTCTGAAATACATTAAACAAAAGACAGAAGCAAAACAGAATATAAAATTCTAGTTTTTATAGTTCAAAAACAGGTAAAACTAATACATGGTGTTTCAAGTCAGAATAGCGGTTACCCTTGAGGGTCTCAGCAGCGACTGGAAAGGGGTCCGAAGGGGGTTCTTGGAAGCTACTAATCTTGATCTGGGTGCTGGGTGGATGGTCATATTCACTTTGTAAAAACTCACTAAGGTCCTATATTCATGATCCATGCACTTTTCAGTATTTATGTTATAGTTCAACCAAAAGTTTACTTTATAAAAATGAGAGATAATACCAAAGACTATTTGAAAAGCACACTCACTAGTAACCAAAAACATGAATACTTAGATAAGGCATTATTATGACCAATTAAATAAAATCAGTAAACAAGCATTTACTGCGTCCCTGCTATGTGCCATGAAGTATGTTAGCACTAGTGATACAACAAGACAGACAAATGTTTACTCTTCAGCCTCATGGAACTCACCACTGAAATTTTTTAAAAGGAAGAAAGAAAGGAGAGAAGGAAGATGGGAAAGGCAAAATGCTAAAAATGAATAATAATGCATTTTTCATGGCAGCACAAACTGATGTTATTCTTTTGACAAGAAATTTGGCACTATATATCACAATCTTTAAAAATATCCATCTGCTCAATGAATTATTAAAAAATAGATGCAAATCATATACTAGTAGATGACAACTACGTAAAAAAAACCCTTCTGCACAGAAAAAAATGAAAATATATATCAAAATGTTTTTTTTTAATTCACCATTTTCTAAAAGATCTTTAACAAAGTCACATTATGAATAACAAATCAACCGTAATTTCCTATCTAATACCAAAATGCATTTTATACATCAGGTATTTTTCTGTATCCTTCGGGGTCTTCTTAGTATGTATATTTTCAAAGGGGAGTCTAATGAAAAGGTAAACCCTGTTTAAAAACAAATCAATAGACCTTTTTCTTTATGACAACCTAAATGTTATCCCCACATAGTTACGTGAGAGTTGAAATCTCACAAAGTAAATATCCAACAGCAGATTTTTCTTTAAGGTGATTTTAAAACTGCCCACTTTCTCTCAGACATCTGTTTGGTCATAAAACGCCTACAGGAAAGTAGATATAGAAAGGAAAAGGCTTTTCAGCAAATTCACTCTAACACCATTTTCTAATAAGTTTACTGTTGAAGCTCCATTCTAAAATCAAAAGATTCATTCACCAGAAGAGAAGAAACGGCATCTCAATAAAACAAAACCAGATATAAAAAGGAGAAAAGCCTTTGAATGCATTTCTAAACAAAATAAACATGAACAGTAATACTAAAAATCTGAGTAATGCTAACCTAAAATAAACTAAGCCATTTTGACTGCCTGGACTGAGGAAAGAGTATCAGGAAAAAATCTTGAGAAAAATCTAAACCAGACAGAGTAGACAAGAAACTAAAGCCACACAAGAGGAGTCAAAGAGACAGGAGGAAAGTAAGGAGCACCCAGGCACCAGAGCAGGGAAGAGACTAACACTGAGGCACATGCTCTGCACTTGGTCTGTAGGAGGCTGCCTCTGGCATCGGCAGCTACAGTGGGCTAGGGACAGTTAGAGAGGGTCTGGCACTGAAGCAAAACTTGGCTGTGAATGGACAAGGGCACTGGAGGAAGCCAGACTCCGACAGGCTCACTGCAGGGCTCTCAGGCATGAGGGAGACAAGGGCTCCTGCCCAAGGGAGACAGGGGCTTCTGCCCATGGGAAGACAGGAGGCATAAGGAGGACAGCACAAACACAGCACTGAAATTCTTTAACTGCTGATATTGGGTGGAAAGGTTACACGAAGAAAAGCTCCCCAACCAAGATTATAGACCACAGATTTATAGCAGCAGCTATGTTTTACTCTTCAGTATTACTGAGTGGCCCATATATAGAAGAAAAGGCAAGCAGTTGGATTGATGACATTAACTCGGAGATGATGGCCATACAGGCAGCTAAGACAGCTAGAACTGACAGGGTAAACATCAGAGCACAGGACCTGGTGGGGAAGGCAAAGGAAAGTAGCCATACATAAGGAGAAGAGGGAAGATCCAAGTAGATGCAAAGGCAATAGGGACATGAGAGGCTAGACTGAAGGATGTCACCAGAAAGTGAGATAATGGAGTCAAATTCTAGGGAGAAATTAATGTAGGTTGGTGGCATGGTCCAAGGTTTTATCTTAAGATTAAGCGGCTGAGTGGTGACAATCCTTACAGTAGAAAAAGTCAAATAATTATATAGCTCAGGGTAGAATGGTAAGTGAAGTTCACCAGGCTGGTAACAGAACCTTGTGGAGAGAGGAAACTGTAAGCCAGGTTTCACAGCATTTGATAAAGCAGGTAATTGACTAGGAAATAAATAAAGAAGGAGTGGGAATAGGGTGCCAGAAGCCTCAAGGAGAAAGATTTGCAAACAAAAAGGCAACCAAAAGATTTCATTAAAAATACTTTTTTTTTTTTTTTAATTTTTAGAGATAGGGCCTTGCCATGTTGCTCAAGCTGGTCTCAAACCCTCACTGGGCTCAAGCGATCCTTCCTTCTCAGCCTCCCAAATAGCTGAGACTATAGGTACATGTCACTAAACTGACTCCAAGCATTTTTAAAAACACTAAATATAATGCCAAATATTACAGGTGGATTCTTTTTAAAAAATTAGAAAACAGTTAAAATATTGCTTTAAAAAACTGTCATATATTTCCCTATATTTTATTGGGAGAAAAAATTATTTTATACCTTTTTTTCACTGTAAAATGAATTCAAGCACATGTCAAAAGATAAGAAAAAATCACTATAATCCTACTACCTTAATGTAACTATTATTACAGTAATTTTTTCAGCAGTTATAATCATATTGCATTTAAATTTTTTTATTGTTTTCCAATTAGCCATATGCATTTTTTAAGCCACAATCATTTCTCCACATTAACACACCCGCATGATATTTTGTCAAGTAGATTTCTAAAATTTATAAATCTGTTCTTCCATTGTTCATCTAATTTGGACTACCATAATTTATGCAGGGATATAAATCCACATGTATAATTTTACATTTCCGTGCCTAACCTGAGAAGTAGATAATTAACAGTATCGAAGGTGGGAAAGTTGTCCCTGAAGACTGAAAGGAAAATGGCAAGCTTATTTTCAGATGCACTATCTCACCAGGTCACTGACAAGCCAGAAGATTTACCTGGAAGAAATCTTACAAAACGTGGCATGAAATGAAATCTTGGGCAGCAGGGAGGGCTGTCTTCAAACAAAGGACCTGAAGCAAACAAATGAGAAAAAAAAAAAAAAAAGAAAACTCAGTCTTAAAAAACAAGCACTGCAACTTAATTTCTAAGATTTATGATAACCACAAAAACTACCACCAGAAGTAGAGGCATAAAAATTACCACCACCTCCTGCCACTCCTCCTCAGTGGCTAAATCAATCATTGGTAACTGCCACAAGCACCCAAGGAAGACTGCAATGAGGAGACTACAGGAAGGCAAGAAGAGGATGAAAGCCCCAAGTAGCAAATACATACAGTAAAATTATTTTTAAAATTCAAAACTATCAAGACTTATTATAATTGAATTACTGCATGATATAATGTGACTATGTGTTCATTCTTTCCCATTTTAATCACTACACTAAAAAAAAAATGTTGAGAAATGCTATCAGTTTGAAAAGCCATTCACCAATAAATAAGTAACTGTTTGCTAGAATACGGATACTTCCAACCGCTGGGCGCAGTGGCTCACGCCTGTAATCCCAGCACTTTGGGAGGCCGAGGCAGGCGGATCACGAGGTCAGGATATCGAGACCAACCTGGCTAACACAGAGAAATCCCGTCTCTACTAAAAATACAAAAAAAAATTAGCCGGGCGTAGTGGTGGGCGCCTGTAGTCCCAGCTACTCGGGAGGCTGAGGCAGGAGAATGGCGTGAACCCGGGAAGCGGAGCTTGCAGTGAGCCGAGATTGCGCCACTGCAGTCCGCAGTCCGGCCTGGGCGACAGAGCGAGACTCCGTCTCAAAAAAAAAAAAAAAAAAAAAAAAAAAAGAATACGGATACTTCCAAAAAAGTAAGCTACTATCCAAGAACCAAGCATCAAGTCTTTGAATCTATCTAGTTCACTCTAAGTGTCTGCGTGTGTGCATGTGTGTGTTTTAATGACTAACCAAAGTTTTGCATCTTAGAAGATTTATTACAGCAAAGTTTACTAGATTTAAAATATTAACTAATGGTAATTTCCCAGGTACACATATATCAAGGTAGCTACACATAATAACTGGTACCATCTTCAAGCCGCTACCAGCTAATAATAAGCCCTGTCAAACTGTATAAAGTAAAATCCATAGAAACTTATTCATGTCAAATGATAACAAGCATTCCTGTGAATAACACTTTTCTCTGGGTATTTAAAAAATAAGAGAAATTTCAACTATCTCCCTACAACTTTTATAAGAGTTTTCACATATACCATAATGTTCTTCCATAAACACTACTCTCTTCTTTAAATCCTATTACTTACCTTTAAGATTCCAGTCATATAATTCCAAAATATCTCTGAATAGGAACAGTGAAAAGAGTTCAAGCCCTTTCACACAAAAATTCTGAAAAATAAACCAAAATTAAATTACTGTAGTTTGGCAAAATATACATTAACTGAAGGTTCAACTTGTTCTTGTCAAGTGTCTTTAAAAGTGTCTGTTAAAACTATACTAAGACCATATAGTTTCCTGAAGAGTTTGGCCACTGATCGCTAGTTTCAGATGGAAATGAAATAGACAATAATGCCACTAGGATTCCTTAATGTCAACTTAGCCCTTCTCAGTATACAAATAAAATAAGAAATTCAAAAAGTAAAGTCTCACTTATATTAATATATTTTTCTAATTCAATTATAAACTGTGTCAGAATCTTCTGAGGATGTTTTGTTAATTCAGATTATACATATGCACCTGATAGGCTTGTCCCCCACCCCCGCCCCATACATCCAGCATAATTGTCATGGAGTTACCAAAAAACAGAGGTCCTGTGTACCCAAAAAGTTCAAAAAGTAATGAATGCAAATAAAGGGCTAAGAAAATTATACAACTCTGCACCAAAATTTCTCCTGTAAACAAGCTAAACAGATATATTTGCAAGTGAGACTTATCTCATAATTCTTCCTCCTACTTGTTTTGCTCGGAGTTCATAAATCACCCTGCGTGAGATCACGCCAGAAGTCATAAACTTTTACAATAGCAAATGAAGGCATATGACCTTAAAAACCAAAAGGAAGTTAAAAAAAAAAAAAAACCCTTCTAAAGCAGGAGAATGAAGGGGTGGTTCTTTTTCTTTAATTCTTTTTGAAAGGAAGGTACAATAAACAACACTTGCTCAGAATGAAACAGGTGCCAACTAGGCACACATGTGATGCCGATCAATTTCCCCCTCCACACTCCCTGCCCATGACAGAGCTGTCCCATTAAACAAGGTTTGCAAGCAGAGCCAGGGGCTCCGGAAATTGACCCTGACTCCAACACAATGTTAAGTGCACAAGCTTGTTTGCTGTCTAGTTGTTATTTCTTAGTATGATTTGTTGACACCACTAAATTCAAGATCAGACTATGAATCATTCTGAGATTCACATTAATCTTCCTTTGGAATTTTAAATCTCTTGCATATATTGAGATAAATCTGCTGTTGAGCACTCGCAATGAAAAACAATTAGGAAAAATATGTAAATATATGGGAAGAAAAATGAACCAAGCATTGATCTTGTCATTGGAGATAACGAATAAGATTATTACAACAGCTATCAGATTGTTTCACTATTCCAATTTCCCCTCTGATAATGGCCAGTAACCAAAATCTGTCCCCTACGTAAAAGAAACTAGAAACAGATGTAAAGTTAATATCAGCAGACGTAACACAAGGAGAAAGGGGTATAAAAACAGGTCAACAAGTTGAAAATTGGCCTGAATTTTAACCTTGATACTAGAGCTACATTTCACTGACTCTTTCAACAGTGAATATGATACTTTAGAGATATTCCTGGCAAAAGCCAGATCTGGCCAAGTTCAATGCTTTAAAATAGTAGTATGGAACAAGCAAAAGAGCAAACTACATCAAACCACACACAATCTTTTCCCTTACCTCCGGCATCATCTCTTCAATGAAATGAATCGTGTAGTCTATGTTGAATCTAATTACTTTACACAGTGGAATCTGCAATAAAAAGAAGTGAGGTTCAGTTCCCCAACGTCTCCCTGCAGGCTCATATTATACACGTTTGTTACCTGACCCAAAAGGCCATGAACCAAATGAGAAGGCTTCACCTTCATCTCAGCGGCTAACAACACTGCACATGAAGCTTGACCACAACTGCTGGATTTTAATGACAAGAACCCAGCTGGCCTGGCCTCGCCAAGAAACCTGCATAATGTGGTGCTTAATTAACAGTATTAGCAGCAGCAACACAAACATGACAAGAACCCATTAAAACCACAAGTATCACCTCTAAAGAATTAATAAAACCATAACCATAAACATTTCTGTTTCTCAAGTTTTTAAAATATTTTAGAATCTCTGGCTCCTTAGGCAGATCAGGGATAGTAGGGTGATAACTCATCAATTATGGATTCATAGGTCACTGAAAACACCCAATTCATGCTGCCCATCTGGCTCTTAAGCAAAGGCAATTGTGGTAATAAATATAATAATAACAAATGATAATAAAAATAATAATAGCTAACATTTTTTGAGCCAGGCAGTGTCCCAAATGCTTCACAATATTCATTCATGTAACCATCACAACATCCCTATAACATGGGTTTGGCTACCATGTCCACTGAACAGTGCAGGAAGCTAAGGCAGAAGAGTCATCAGGTACCATGCCTAAGATAACAGGTAGCTTGGTGAACTGCGAAGTCTTTCTCTAGACTCCAGCTCTTAGCCACTAGAGTATACCCCTCTCATTACCTGTTCTAATACTCAAGATACATGTGAAAATGAAGGAAGGCTCAGCATAAAATAAATCCACATCTATCTTACTTTACCAATGTATCATCAGACAATTGCCTACTGCCTACACATAACAGGTTTTCCGTAAATATATTTTTGAATGAATTAAAGAATGAAAAAGGGAGGGAGATTACTGCAGAGAATTGGCTGGCTAGCTGGGGAAAATAACAGACCCAGAAGTCCCAGAGACGCGTTAACTGAGTTTTTCTGGCTGCTTAATCTGTCCATAAGATGATTTTATACAGATGTAATCATTTTCATAAACCACAGCAATCAGAAAGAAACAAATTTTAATTCTATCAGTGAAAGGGATGGTAAGAAAAACAGAAAAATAGTCTTATAATGCCATCTACTGGAAATCCTTTTCTCAGATACAAAGTTTAGTTCTTGGGGGCTTTTCCTTTTTATTCTAAAGAATAGTGGTTAATTTGAGTGAAATTCATAATAGCCATTATCATTTTTAAGTTCTACTTTGTTCTTATAATCATTTAAAAATATTTAAGAGTTACAAAATTTTGCATGATTCAATGTATTTTTAAAATACCTATTCTTTGCTAACAACTATATTAGGTTCATAGGTACTCTAAAATAAGCTACGGGTCCTATCTTAAGAGGTAAAGATGTGTAAGAAGAAAGGCATGTAAGTAAATACAAAAAGAATACAATGCAATGTAACTTCTAAGTTCAATTAAAAAACAAACAAGCAACAAAAAAAGTATAAAGTATAAAAGAACCAAAGAGGAGGTAACATATGAGTTGTCTTCAAAGATGAGGAGGGGCCGGGCACGGTGGCTTATGCCTGTAATCCTAGCACTTTGGGAGGCTGAGCAGCGTGGATCAACTGAGTTCAGGAGTTCAAGAACAGCCTGGCCAACATGGTGAAACCCCGTCTCTACTAAAAATACAAAAATTAGCTGGGCGTGGTGGCGTCTATAATCCCAGCTACTTGGGAGGCTGAGGCAGAAGAATCACTTGAACCCGGGAGTTGGAGGTTGCAGTGAACCAAGATCATGCCACTTCACTCCAGCCTGGGCAAAAGAGCAAAACTCTATCACCAAAAAAAAAAAAAAAAAAAAAAGATGGGGAGGAATTTTCCAGGTCATCTAGAAAAAGTTGAGGCAGAGCAGGTGTTTAGCTTCTAGAAAAATGGAGGAAAGGGAGCTGAGGAAAGAAGTAGTAATTTCACAGTTCAGATAGAAGTGCGTGGAGAGAGAGAGATGCCAGATGATCTAGAGAGGAAAATATGAACTCTATTATGTAGCCCTTACAAACCATGTTAAGGTCAGGGCTTATGGATATATGGCAACGAGAAATCATTCAAGTACTTTAAGTTACAGATTATCATCATTTACATTTCAGATGAGACACTGTGGAAACAGTGTGGGAATGGCTTGTAAGGGAACAAAGAAGACCAGACTGAAGTCTAATGCAATAGTCCAGGAGCCAAATGAAGGGAAGACTGGAAAGGAAGAGAAAAATTTTAAACACAGGAGATATTACTGAAATATACAGTGACCATTCTGATGTGGGAGGAAGAGTGAAGAAAGAATTGAGGATCATTTCTGGGTTTCTGGCGTAAGTGACCAACTAGGTCACTTAATTCAGGAGGGTGTCCCCTTAGTACCTCAAATTCAATATGCAGGGAAGATGACGAGTCTAGTTTCACACAGGTTGAGGGTAAAGTATCTGAGGAAACATCGAGGAGGTTCATTTCAAAAGGCAATCTAAAATGTGAGAGTGGAGTATTAATACAGAGGTACATGTCACAGCTATTAATATTGATCTGGTGGGGATCAGAATATGCATGGGTGGAAATGAACTACTCAGAGAGTAAACAGGAGAGAAAACAACCAGAGCTGTTGGGAATTCTCAAGAGATAGGCAGAAAGCAAATGTGCAAACTTTCTTCCTTGCTATCATAGGAAAAAGCACTCTGCTAGATGATTTATGCACGTACAGTCCTTTCTCCATTTCATTTTAAGTAAAATCACTTCTTGGAATTCCTTCTCTGACCTCTTCTCTTTGTATATACTTTATTTTCTTTTGGGCTTCCATCCATACCACCAGAGCCCTTCTCAGACACACAAATTTGGAAAGGCAGGATCTCCTCATCTATTCAAACTGTAATCTCTCTCTAAGTGTCAAGAAGAGCTTGTTATTTTGCTACACAATGGTCAACCAAGAAACTGTGTAACTTCAAAGATCACCAAAATACCTCCCAACAAATGCCATCAAATAATATAAATGACTACCATCATGTTTGAATACTTAAAAGAACATCCTATACTGACTTATACTCCTATCTCACCCTAGCAAAAAAACTCAAAAAACTAAAAAACTCTCCAAACCTCCATCTTCTAACTCTACTACTTCCACACACTGATTGACCAAATCCAGGAGTCAGCGAGTCCACTGCAAATGGGAAGCCAACTAAAGTGGGAGGGAAATGATCCAGGGGTTCTCCTGTGCTTTTGAGAATACGACAAAATACGGTGTAACTCATACATATACCTTACATTTTTTTTCTTTTTCTTTTTTTGACGCGGAGTTTCGCTCTTGTCGCCCAGGCTGGAGTGCGGTGACGCGATCTTGACTCACTGCAAACTCCGCCTCTTGGGTTCAAGCAATTCTGCCTCAGCCTCCCGAGTAGCTGGGATTACAGGTGCCCGCCACCACACCCAGCTAATTTGTGTATTTTTGGTAGAGACAGGGTTTCACTATATTGGCCAGGCTGGTCTCAAACTCCTGACCTCAGGTGATCTGCCCGCCTCAGCCTCCCAAAGTGCTGGGATTACAGGTGTAAGTCACTGCACCTGGCCCTTTTCCTTTTTTTTTTTTTTTTTAAGAGACAGGGTCTAGCTCTGTCAACCAAGCTGGAGTTCAGTGGGGCAATCAGCTCACTGCAGCTTCAAATTCCTGGGCTGAAGTGATCCTCCCGCATTAGCTTCCAGAGTAGCTGGGACTACAGACAGGCATTACCACACCCAGCTAATATTTTTATTTTTTTGTAGAGATGAGGTCCCCCTAAGTTGCCCAGGCCGTCTTGAACTCCTGGCCTCAAGCAATTCCCTTGCCTTAGTGCCAGGATTACAGGTGTGAGCCACTGCACCTGGCAAATACACATATCTTTAAAACTTCAGATAAGTTGTCAGAGCTCTTAACATCAGGTATTACAATAACAAATGTACTACATAAAAAGGTAAAATTCTCCCAGAATGCTCTATACTCAGCCAACAAGGCTTTCAATCCACTTCAATTCAAGACCTTAAGAGAACTTATAGAACTAGATTTGGTGGAGATTCTGTCATTACCATCATTTGCATGACATGCTTACTGACATTCTCTCTCTAGCAAGAAAAGGAATCAGATTGGTAAAGCAATTTAACAATTCTTTTCCTTAGGAGGCTATTTCAAATTCAAGAGGCCTTTGATGGATCTAATTCCTATGAACTGCACAACAGTCAGCTTAAAACTCTATTTTTATCAACATCTCTAATACAAATGATAGGGTTTGTCATAGAATAAAGTTCTCACCGAGAACTTGAACATTTACATAAAATATATGCTGAAGCCAGGAATTTTTTCTGTCCTTTTGTTTTATAATGACAGTAACGACTGTGACTAATTTAGCAACAGTGGCCTCTCAGGCCAAACCTTGTGCTGGGGGATGTTTTTAAAAATGATGTTTTCTACTCACTTTTGCTGTAAACCTAAAACTACTATTTTTTTTAAAAAAGTCCACATTTTAAAAAAATTATGTCTGATTCTCACTAAAACCCCAAGCATTGCTATCATTAATGAAGTTCAAAGAATTCACTTGTCCAAGGTTAAAAAAAAAAAAAAAAGGATTCAAAGAAAGATTCAAACCCAGCTCTGTCTGAAATCCTTTCCAAAGAGAGAGGTGCCAGTATTTATTATGTGCCAAACACCATGGTAAACACTTTTCATGTGCCATCTTATTTATTTTTCACAAAAGCCAATGAGATTGTTCCCACTAATACCCTAATCTTACAGATGAGAAAGCCAAAGCTTATAAAGATTGAAATGTCAAATCACAGAGCTATCACTAATTTTAAACCCTGGTCTCTCTAAAGCCACACTGCTATCCTTCTTTGTTTAAGGTGATCCTAAAAGTCAAAATAAGATGTATATTACTTCTAGGGAATCAAGAAATAAGAGGAAGAATAGTTTTAAGTATTTTCACGCTAACTAAATTCTGTGTATTTATAAGCCCTCTGTGGGGAAAAAAGAGACAGGCAGTAGATGGTGGGGGGTGGAGAGTAATCAACTCTAAGGCTATGAGATTCGGTGTAACAAAGGGTTTCAAAGTTTGTGACACTTGAAAAAAAAAAATGCAAAGAAATCATGAAAATTCAGAAACCTCTTAGTACCTTTCCATAAAGATTATTTAAGAATGGCCTAATACTATTGCTTTTCTATATTTATTTATTTATTTGAGACATAGTTTCACTCTTCTGCCCAGGCTGGAGTGCAGCAGCATGATCTCGGCTCACTGAAACTTCTGCCTCCCAGGTTCAAATGATTCTTGTGCCTCAACCTCTCAAGTAGCTGGGTTTACAGACGCACACCACCATGCCCAGCTAATTTTGTATTTTTAGTAGAGACGGGGTTTCGCCATGTTGGCCAAGCTGGTCTTGAACTCCTGACCTCAAGTGATCTGCCTACCTCGACCTCCCAAAGTGCTGGGATTACAGGCGTGAGCCACCGCACCCAGCCCATATTATTGCTTTTCTACATTAGTGAACAGATGGTCCCCCCGAAGAAAAATGTAATATATATTATGAAATGATTTTATTTTTACATTACAATGTAATCATCTTCTCAAAGAAAATTCTCTAGGATAAAAAATACTGTGAAATAAAGAAAATCTCATTAGGAAAACAATTTGTCCTAAATTAGCATCACTGCTATGGAATCATATCTACTTACATAGAAAAAAAGAATGACAAAAAGGGCTAAGCTAAGGCAAAGATTTGAGTCTTAACTGTACTCTCCAATGGAACAGAATTTCATCTGTGAAGTAAACAGTACTAAAATAATTTTTCAAATTGCAGATGTAATTTCACGTAACCAAACCAGAAGAGGTTAAAGAACATTCTATTTGATGTGGATATACAATAGCTACAATTCAGTAAGTTCTACAACAGCATCTGTACTGGGTCAAGTACACTGCCACACATCTGTTCCTGTGCCACTGCCAGCCAATTCACTCTACATCCAACTGCAATATGAAGTAAGAAAGACAATTCCTGGGACTGTGAGCATGGAGATGGAAAGATTTTGACTCATGGATCAGGAACTTCCATTTGAACCAATTACCAACAAAGCAGACTTAATACCTGTATAAAAATATCATGAATCCATATGTCAAAGTGTCTTGAAGACATATTCCTGGGATTCAAAAGCAGAAAATCTATTTCATGAATTCAGGCTCCAAACGTTCTGAATAAGCTCTGTTTCTTTTGCTCAGAGACTAAACAATGGCTTCTCCTTAAAACTTTCTTTTGAAGGACAACCAACCCAAAATAGCTTTAACACATTACTCCACAGTTTATCCTCCTTTTCCAATCTTTCACACTCTCAAAATGTTACTCTGACACTTGTTTACTTACACCATTTAATGCAGACCGAACCCGTGACTCATTAGCACAGATGTCACAATGCCACCTGATGCACTGCTGCAGACTTCCTGCAGCTCATTTACAATACAGAGGGATGCAGAGGAAATGTTTCTTAGGAGGCAGATGACAGGAAATGTTTTGACTTTTGGAAAGAAGGGATGAAGGAGGTACAAGGAAAGAGAAAAGCAGCCAACTGGCACATACTTACATTGGTCAGGGGGGCATGTGCAAACATAGAAAATCCTTCAAAGATATACTCGTGATCATCGTATTCTATAACAGTTGGCCTGTCAGTCTAAAAGCAAACAGAAACACGAACCCCAAATTAAATAAATGACATGAGTTGCATATGCAGAAATCCATCAGGACAGAAAGTAACCAATAGAACATAAGGACTTCCTTTCAGACACCAGGGAGAACTTTATACAAAGTTTAATTTTACATGAAATTATCCGGCTTCAGATAGTAAGTATAATATTTACGTACTTAGACAATGAATGATGTAATATTATGGGTGCCATAAATAAATAAAAGGCTATATTAAGCTTCATTTTCTGGGAACTTGTTTATTTAATCTCACAATACTACCAGTTCTGTTCTTAATGAACTATGTTTCTGAACTAACAGAAGTCCTAACAGGAGCAAGGTAATAACACAGCTGACTCAAATGCAAAGTGGAAAAAGACTCAGCATCATAAAGTGGAGACTAGCAACAGCCTAGAAGTCTCTCAAAGGCCTCTTGGTGCCAGAAGGTCAACCCCTCATAGCTCTATTCCCAGCCTCTCCAAGAAGTCAACCAACCAAACACTGCAACAAATCAATTCCCACACAAGTTCAAAGGCCTTAATTCCCTGAAAATTGGATTTGTAACTAAATAATACATATATCAATCTAAGCATGAAGCCCTCTATTCCTTATGCCATTCTTATAACCCACCATTGTGTGTGTGTGTGTGTGTGTGTGTGTGTGTGTGTGTGTGTGTGTGTTTGAGATGAAGTCTCACTCTCTTCCCCAGGCTGGAGTGCAGTGGCATGATCTTGGCTCACTACAGACTCTGCCTCCCAGCTTCCAACAATTATCGTGCCTCAGCCTCCTAAGTAGCTGGGATTACAGGCGTGCACCACTATGCCAGGCTAATTTTTGTATTTTAGTAGAGATGGGGTTCCACCATCCCTACTAGGCTGGTCTCAAACTCCTGACTTCAGGTGATCCACTCGCCTCGGCCTCCCAAAGTGCTGGGATTACAGGCATGAGCCACCAGGCCCAGCCATTTTTAACCTTAAATGCTAAATATGGCAGTAATTATTAAGACTGATGACCTATAAGACATATTTCTAACACAGATATTAGATTTCATTCGTTTAAACATTATCTATTAAGAACAACTTGGAAAGAGGGGGAGCAAAAGAATATCGAAATATCTATTATTTGTTTTGCCAATATTATTGTTAATTTATATTTGAAAAACTTCACAAAGATGGTCTAAATTAAATAAAAGGAAAAGAAAGCCAGGCATAGTGGCACATGCCTGTAATCCCAGCTACTTGGGAGGGTGAGGCAAGAGGATCACTTGAGACCGGAGTTCAAATTCAGCCTGGGCAACAAAGTGAGATCTCACCTCTGAAAAAAGAAAAAAATAATGAGCAAAAATGGTACAGCCACTTTGGAAACAGTTTGGCATTTCTTCAAAAAAAAATTTTTTTTTTTGAGACAGTCTCACACTGTCGCCCAGGCTGGAGTAAAGTGGTGCGATCTCGGCTCTGCCTCCTGGGTTCACGCCATTCTCCTGCCTCAGCCTCCCGAGTAGCTGGGACTACAGGTGCCCGCCACCATGCCCGGCTAATTTTTTGTATTTTTAGTAGAGATGGGGTTTCACCGTGTTAGCCAGGACGGTCTCGATCTCCTGACCTTGTGATCTGCCCACCTCGGCCTCCCAAAGTGCTGGTATTACAGGCGTGAGCCACCGCGCCCGGCCACCATTCACTAATTTTCAAGAAATGTGGAAGTGTTCTATATTTTCTTCCCACTCCATAGCTCCAACATTGTTGGCTATTATGAATTTGGCTATTAAGTGATGCCAACAATATTTAATGAAAAAAAGATATAGCAGTATAGTGAAGAGGAAGCTGAAAGAAACGTCATCGTGAGAAAGGCCAATTTGTCAACATAAAAATAAAATATTTTTCAAAGTAAGAACATTTGAGAACAGAATCAATAACTTTAGCCTATTCACATTTTACTCTATTTACATTTTAAATGATATGCATGTGATTCTTTAGAAACTTACTAAAAAGTTCGTAGGCGGGGAGACTGTGATCCGGTAGTGGAAAAGTCTGCCAGCATTGTTGGTCATAGGACGACAGGGCTTGATGGCCTGAGGGGAAAAAAACGAAAATCAGTTTACAAGTAAAGCAAGAGTACTTTTACTTAAAAATATATTGTATTTCCTAGATTCACATCTAACAAAACAGGTTTTATGTCTGTTCCTTCACAGACTGGTAGGAAAGAACAGTATTGGCTTTGCCATACCTAGACCAATAAAAAAGGGCTGGCCAGTCTCCAGCTCTCAGCCGCTTCCTCAGGTGCTGGTGAAGCAAGGATGACCAATAAGGCCGCAAATGTCTGAGGTTTTGGGGCCTCCAAAATACCATGAACTTGGTAAATGAGCAATTATCATCCATGAGGGTACCAGAGGGACACCCACTGGACTGCTAGTACACATAGGTGGCCTTGATGAAGACTTGGTGTTCTTCCATCTGGGTCGGTGGGTGAGCAGGCCACGTCAGTTGTAAGGAGGGTCTGAAGGAACTCATGAGGCTTGCCGGAGATGGGCCCATTTGGGAGTCCCCTTTATTGCAGCTGCCAGTAGAAGTAGCTCTGCCCTTGTTGCAGACAGCTGGACAGGGTCTTGTCCTGTGGGTGATGGGCCTGGGGAGGCCAAGGAGAGCGATGCCAGGTGTCTGAACCTCTGGCTACAAGGTGCCAAGTTGGGGCTGGGAGAGGTGTGAGCTGCAGCTGGAAACACTTGGTTGGGTGGTGGTTGTGTCTTGGCATTTTCCAGCATGGCAAGGGCCCACAGAGCCTGATTAACTTCGGAGACCAAGAGAGCTTGTTTGGCCTGTGATGGGACTCACCTTAAAAACAACTGTAAAGTAGGGCCAGGCACAGTGGTTCATGCCTGTAATCATAGCACTTTAGGAGGCCAAGGTGGGAGGATTGCTTAAGCCCAGGAGTTCAAGACCAGCCTGGGCAACAAGGCAAAACCCTGTCTTTACAAAAATTAGCCTGGTGTGGTGGTGCATGCCTGTGGTCCCAGCTACTCAGGAGGTTGAGGCAGGAGATCACTTGAGCCCAGGAGGCAGAAGTTCCAGTGAGCCAAGATTGCACAACTGCACTCCAGCCTGGGTGACAGAGGGAGACCTTGTCTCAAAACAAAAACAAAAAGAAAACCATAAACATCTGGCTGCAAGGTGGCCTATACAGGGCTCTCCCAGCGGTGCCCCAGTCCCATGGAGGTGGCAGCTGCATAAACCCACTGAAACATGCTTAAATGTTCCTTCCTGAACTTTACACCAGCTACTTTCAGCCCTTGATGGGGACGTTCATGCTGAGGTGTGCTATTCTCCAAGCCATAAACAGCCACTGCAGCAGAGGACAGGGACAGCTTATGGCTGCCTGCTCTATGCCCACAGCCCCATCAAGTTGTGCTCCCTGGATAACCTTGACTGGGTGTTGAAGTCATGAGAGATCTTACCATCTTTGGAGATAGCTACCGACTGTTACATTTTTCAGTCTGTGAGTTACAGTCCAGTTCCTGTGTGATACACACAGTACAGCCAGTGACAACTTTCTCACTGAGTCCCTGCATCAGGTCTTTGAGGAAGCTCTAAATTTCTGGCCTTGACAAAGGGTAAACCTATTTGCAGACTTCCATGGTGTCTGGGGCATGCCTCCTCATCTGAGCAGGTTGTGGAGGTGACAGCCACTGTCCTAACCATGACCCAGGTGGTGACTGGTAATGCCTGTAGTGCAACCAATGGTAACCCCGTGCACTCGGGATCATCATTCCACAGCTTGAAGGCCTACGGATCAGCCAGGCCAAGTGATGCGACTCTGAGCTGAGCCCATGTGACTGGGGTACGTGGCACCCAGCAGGCATCTGAGGGTAGAGCACATCCCTGGAGAAGCTGCGCAGTCCCATCAGGAGTGCAGAGAGGATAATGTGCCCTTCAGTGATTGTACAGACTTGCAGGGGATCATCTTCTAATTCCCCCACTGGCAGACAACAACAGAGAGGCTTTCTGCAGATAAACCTGACCTAAGACTTCCTGGCCTATGGTGTCACAATCCCAGGATCCTTCAGGCCAAGATGCTCCTCTGGCACAGCAAGGGCTGGAGACACGCCAGCCGGCAGTCAACTCTTGAAGCCAAGGGCATCCCTGACATCCAGACAGTCCTCCTCCACTTGGGAGCCTGTCCCCCCTTACTATGGGCCTGGAAGGATCTTAAGAATAATTTTGGCATGTGCCTGGTGGCAATTTCCATAACAGAGGTACAAAGTGCACACAGAAGGTAGCAATTGGCCAGAAAGCAGAATAAAAACTGCCAGTCCCACTGTGGAACAGTCCATAGGGCTCACCCAGTAGCTGGATCAGAGATAGCTCCCATTCACTCTCTCATGATTCTCTCATAGAAATGAGTGCCATTACTCACCTGCTTATGCAAATCCCATCACCATCCCCAGCTGTCGTGTTGGTGGCTGGGGTGTTTTGAGTGGACCTAATTAACCAGCTCTTTCAGGAGGGACTTCTCCCTTTCCATCTGATTCTCCTCAAAGATAAGTCTTAGTCACCAACTGATGCTCAAGCAGTTTATTCTGCTTATTCTCTTACAAGACGAACAGCAGACGCAGGCCAGATATAGCCAGGGACTTAGATGACCAAGTCACCAGGAGGGTCTTCATCCAGAGACCATTCTCAAGTTTGGAGGATCCTTCTCCTTTGCTTATACCTGTATTCAGTCCAGGTCAGTTACCAGGTGTCTCTTTTCTAAAAGGAGTTTAAACTATTCTTGTAAGGGGAAACTTTGTTTTAAGACTTATGAAAGCTGCATCTGTGCCTAGGTGGCCTTGTCTCCTGGAAATCTCCAGGCTAGGTTGTAGACTGCTGACACAGGCTGACACGGACAACACTGCTGACATGGAGTATCAGCCCTGTGAGACACCTGAATGAAGTTATGGCTACCCTTAATCTTACAGCCACAATATGCCACTTACAGTATACTCCAGAGGGGGTTCAGACTACAAGATTTAAGGATCTTTCTAGATCTAGAATCCTATGACCATCTTCCTTTTACTTGTAAAATAACACAATAACTGACCTTTGGTTATACTTATGAATAAACTGAAAAAAAAAGTGGGGAAATTAATCTGAGAACTAACAGCAGTGAGTGTTAATAGGAAATTTAAAAAGCTAGAAGGAATAAATATGCTGAGTAAAAATCGAAAAGGTCAGAAATGAAGAAAGCATGAGAGGTGGTGGAACAGTATATGCATGGATCTTAAGACGGGAAAAGGCTGGCCAGGCACGGTGGCTCATGCCTGTAATCCCAGCACTTTGGGAGGCCAAGGTGGGCAGATCGCCTGAGGTCGGGAGTTCAAGACCAGCCTGACCAACATGGAGAAACCCCATCTCTACTAAAAATACAAAATTAGCCAGGCGTGGTGATGCACGCCTGCAATCCCAGCTACTTGGGAGGCTGAGGCAGGAGAATCACTTGAACCCGGGAGGTGGAGATTGCGGTGAGCCGAAATCACACCATTTCACTCCAGCCCGGGCAACAAGACAAAACTCTGTATCAAAAAAAAAAAAGACGAGAAAAGGCAAACAAAGCCAGCACAAGAAGTGTGCTGTGACAGCATCAGTTGTGATGGCATCATTGGGTGCACCTGTGATAGACATGGGGCTGTGCCACGCAGACCCACGTTCAAGGAGGGACTTGCTGCCTGGCTGTGGAGGGCACAGACAGCAAGGAGCTTCCAGCTATAAGCTCCTTCAGGATCTCTCTCCACTGCAGATCTCCATCCTCTGACCTCAGGCACGGTCCACATCAGGTACTGAGCAAGGCAGAGGTATAAAGGCCCAGCCATTTCAGCCCAACTCAAACGGGCAATATGCATTCCACAGATCACCCCCAGGCTGAATGCAGCTTTGGTGGGCCTCACTCACAGTTCAGCCAATCCTTCTGTCCAATCCTGCTTCCACCCTCTTCCTTTCACAGGTGTTGATTCCTAATAAACATCATGCACCCAAAACTCCATCTTAGCATCTGCTTCTAGAGAACCCAAGATGAGGCTGTTGGTACTAGGAGTGACCCAATAAAACAGCAAATAAGATGGTGTTTTGGAGCTCAATCGCCTCTCAACAAGCAATGAAGATGCCATCACTGGTGGTAAGTGGAACACAGACAGCCCCTGGCACCAGATGGCAGGGCAACTAAACTTTAAAGATGGTGAATTAGAAGCTGTACACCGGAAGCAAGCCAAACACCCAGGTGTTTAAGACTGTGGAGAAAATGATAGCTATAAGAACAATGGCTATGATCCTTCAGGGATGGATGGCTGTCGCTAAGCACCAGTGATGCTCTACCATAGTCCCCAAACCTTAGTCTGCCCAGAAATCACCTGGAGGGCTGGTTAAATCTCAGACTGCTTGTTCCCCACTCCCAGTTTCTGATTCAGTGGCTGGGATGGGGTAAGAATCTGCCTTTCTAACAAGTTCCCAGGTGAAGCTTTATGAGTCTCAGTTGGGAGCCTTCACTTAGAGAACCACTACACTACAGAAGTATAACAGCAGAGGAGGAGAAAAGACTATTAGAAACCAGATGTGAAAGCCAGAAGAAACTCTCACTACCTACAGTGGGAGGTCACAGCAAGGCAGGACCAAGCCTAAGGCTTACCTGTGAGAGGGGCCAAGCCTCAAAGAAAATTAGCCACAGTCAGGGCCCAGGAAACCTGAAATGGGGACATTTATGTTTTGACTCCCCAGATTCCTCTAAATCATCTGACTGCAGAGATGGCACATCCCTCCCAATTAAGAGCAACCACTCACTTGTACCAGAAGACAATGGAAGAACCTGCAAGGCAACACTATCCCCCTTCACACACCCCTCAACCAGTCTCCCCTCCTGGCCAATACCTATAATTGGGGTCATTTCAGGGCCCCAACTGGGGAGGTGCTGGAAGGAAACAGATTATATTTCAAAAGAATTGCAGGAACTAACTAGCATGTGGCAACAGCCAGAGAAGTCTGCAGAGGACCTGATGATGAGAGCTTTGATCAACAGGGCCAGAACATAAAATTGTTTAGGGAAGAGTAGATTGACCTGGGGCACTCAGGATACAACACCACCAGGGTATGTTGAGAACTCCCTACCAGCATGGCTCCTAAAAGCATGAAGAAGCAACGGCCCACGCTGAGCAAAGCTGAAATACCGGAATTGCCGTGGTAGACAGTGGAGGAAGGAATTCAAGGACTCAAGGAAGTTAGAATGGATAAAGTATCTACAGCTGGAAAATATGCCAAATAATCATGTTGCATGGGAAGCCCCAGAGGACACACCAAAACAAATGTGCAGGTGACAGGAGCACAAACATCATCAGGAAGATCAGTGGTAGCCTCCTCTGCAGGCCAGGGCTGACTACAAAAGTGGTCAGAGAGCAGAGCTCACCAGCAGTAATAGGGATGACAGAATCCTGAAACAAGAGATGCCAGGTGATAGGACTAAGTGCTGGAAGCCAGGCCAAAGTAGCAGCCAAAGGGGTCTGACCCACAAAGAGTCATGGAAATAGTTAATAGAACATGGTGTCCTTCGGTACAAAATAAGTGGGTAACCAGTAAGAGTACTACTTAGTTTGTACGAACATAAGAAACCAAGAATGGATAACCAAGACACTGAAGGCAGGTGATTCCAATAAATAGTCACACTATTCCTTGCCCAGTTCCAGACGTGATCATGTTTTTTGGACTGAAATCCACCGACTGAAGAGGTGGCCAGATCCCAGGAGGAAGGATCCTGTAACAAAATAACAGCCCTGTCATTCCCCAAAGGGGCTTATGGCCATTTACCTGGGGAGCTGTACACTGGGAAAAGAGGAATAGCAGACAGTTCAAGCCATGTTAGATGCAGTATCTGAATCATCATTGATACTTGGAGACTGGATACATCACTGTGGTGCCCCAGTTAGAGTAGAGAATATGAGGCCAAGGTAATAAATGGATCTTGGTCAAGGTCTGACTTACAGTGGGTCTACTGAATCACAGATCTACCCAGTGGTCCTTCCCCTGGTCCTTGAATGTACACTAGAATTGACATTCTTGGCAGACCCAACGTGCTACTCAACACTGGGTCCTTGACATGTGGAATAAGAGCTATCCTAATGGGAAAGCCAAGCAGAAACGAAATTACCACCACCCCCGTCAACCCAGGCATCAAAACCAATATTGCACTGTGGGGATGGAAGAGGTAAGTGCCACCCTTAAGGATCTGAAGGATATAGGGGAGATGGTACCGGTCCTATCTCCAATTAATTCACCTGTCTGGCCCCTGAAGACCTGAAGGATGACTGCAAACTACCACAAACTTAACCAAGCAGGAACTCTGATTGTAGCTGCCGGGCCAGGTGTTGTAGTTTAGCTAGAGCAGATATAAAGTACATGGCAACTGATTTGGTGAATGGGTTATTTTCTATCCCAATCAGAAATGAGGATCAGAATGGTTCACAGACATTTATAGTTATAGTTTTGCCCCAGTGCTCCCACCCACTCATAATACCAAAGAGCTCCCGACGGTCGGGGCATGCTGTAGAACCTCACACTGCTCCATTACACCTCTGACATTACGATGATCAGGCTAGAGACCTTGGTAAAATGCATGCACCGCAGTGGATGTGAGATAAACCCTACAAAGATTCAGGGGCCTGCCGCAGCCACACAATTTTTAGGAGTCCAGTGGTCTGGGGAATGCCAAGACATCCCCTCCAAAGTAAAAGACAATTATTGCATCTTCCACCTCCTACAATGAAGAAAGCACAACACCTAAGTGGGCCTTTTCAGGCTCAGGAGGCAAAAGAATGCACATTTAGAAACATTGTTCCAACCTGCTTACACAGTGGCACAAACAGCATCAACAGCTGCCCGCACTGAGGACAGCCCATGTGAGAAATGGCCTCAGCTGTTCCAGGCTAGAGTACAAGCAGCCCTGCTGCTGGGGCCATATGTTTCGGCAGATCCTATAATGTTGGTGGGAAAAGTTGCCAAAAGGAATCTGTTGCAGGCCACATTGGGAGAATCACAATGCTGGTCCCTGACGTTCTGAAGCAAGACCTGCCATCTATAGTGAAGAATTATGTGCCTTTGAAAAAATACTCCAGATGTGCTACTGGGCCCTGATAGATATGTAAGGCCTGGCCAAGAGATACCAGATACACATGTGGCCAGAACCACCCATCATAGGCTAAATTCTGTCAATCCCACCAGGCAATACAGCATCAGCAACAATCCATCATAAGGCAGGAGTGGTACTGCCAGAGTCAAGCATACCCAGGAGCCAAGAGCACAAACAAGCTGCCTGGGCAGATGGCCCGGATCCCCACAGCTCCACCACTGTTGCACCAGCTCCCCTCCCTCAGCTGATGACTAAGGATGTATGGATGAAAGCAGAGGAAAAAGCCCAAGCTTGGTTTACAAATGGGTCAGTTGGCAAGAGTGGCTGAACCGAAAACAGATGGCACTACAGCCTCACTCTGGGATGGCTCTGAGAGATAGCGCTGTGGGGAAATCTCTCCCAGCGGGTGGAGTTTCAGGCAGTGTACCTGGTCATCCACTTTGTGTGGAAAGAGAAGTGGCCTGAAGTTAGAATATAGATGGACTCCTGGTCAGAAGCAAGTGACCATGCTTGCTGGTCAGGGGCCTAGAAGAAAAAAGATTGGAAGATGATGGATGAGAAGGTCTTGGGGTAGAGACTTGAAGGTGCACAAATGGAAGGGAGCATGACGAGCTCTATCTCACACATGGAGGTCCATCAGACAGCAGCCACCATGGAAGAGGTACCAGGGTACCAAGCAGACAAAATGACTGGGGCAGTTGGTGTCAGCCACCCTCTGTCCTTAGCCACCCCAGAGCAACAGGAGGGGCACATGAATGAAGTGACCACAGTAGCAGAGAGGAGGCTTCACATGAGCCCAACAGCATGGATCCCGCTTATCAAGGCTAAGCTATATAATTAAGCTAACTTCCACTGCCAAACATCCAACTAGCCAGATACAATGACTCATGCTGAGCCCCCAAAATGGGACCATTCCTCCAGGAGACCAAACTGTCACCTGCCTTTCCTGCCTACAGGTCCCTAGCTGGCACCACTGCCCATCTAGTCTCCCTTCAAGGAAGGGCCTGCTGTCCAAATGTGCACTGTGTAGTCAGCACACAGCCTGTAGCTATTGGCTCCTTCAGGGTCAACCTCAGCTGCAGAGCCCCCTCTCCCAAGGTTGTGCCCTTCCTGGGGTACTTTGCTCTGGGGACTGAGAGAGATGGGGTTATGACAGCCATTCCAGCACAACACACAAAAATTCTGACAAGCCAGGCCTGATCAGACCCACATCACAGGTGAATAGTTCCCACCTCTGCTCTTTTCCTGTCACAGGTGTTGATCCCTCGTCAACATCTCAGAGCTCCCAACCTGAGGCATGTGCACAAACGCTCACAAGATGCCACCTTGTCCCACAATTCCTCGCTACACTTGCCAACTTTCAAAGACAAATGAGCAGAAGTGATGCAAGTATTTCAAATTATCAGGCACCATCTCATAGTCTTTATTCCCATTATTGTTGAGCCCTCAAACAAGTTTTAAATAGAAATTAAGGTTTTACATATACTATGTTTAAATACAATGCACTGAATTATAAAGTGAGGAGCTTGGGATTAATAAAAATAGCTTATAAAAATAAAAGATAAAGGGAACAAATGAGGGACAATAATTGAAAGGGATAGTTATATATGACTCTGCAATGTAAAAGTGTTCTACCTATTCAGTTAAACTTATTAGAGGGTCCCTGATAAACCAAGGGCAGAGACGCAGGTAAAATAGTCAATATATATTCAGTTTGGTGGAAAGGACAGACTAACAGAGAGAGAAGACATGCACTTCAAAGCACTTTACTAAGAGCGTCGCTCCAGGGCCATTCATAGCCACTTATGATGAAACATAAAACTATAATATGTGCAGCTGAAGAATACTTGAAATGGGAAACCATATCAAACACACCATGCCTATTTTAAATAATAAAACGACTAAAACTTTTGTTAAAGTTTCCTTGAGAACATTCCCCACTGCGCTCCCAAAACCCAAGTGCTTTCCTCTGCAATTATCAGTAAGAGACTATTAGGGAATATGAAGAGAATTTTGATGGTATTATTTCATTTATGGGGGAAAGAACAGCAACAACATCTGTCTACTTCTGGCTTCTCAGCATTTACAAACATAATAACCCAAACCAGTTACCTCTTCTCCAGGATAAATGCTGTGCCTAATTCCTGTGCGTCTTGCCTTTGCGCTGCATTTGCAGAGTGGTCCATCATTCATCTGTCAGAAACACAATGTAATTCGTTTTTATTGGAGGGAAAAATCCACACCATGCACGGTGATGCCTCCGAAAATGCGTGGGTTTTAATGTCATGAGCGCTGAAGCTCTGAGAGGCTGTCACGGTTAGAAGATTAAACGGATGTTCCAAAACCAATAAAGCTGCAAACTGTCTATATTGTCTGATAAAGGGAAACCGTGTGACAACACCACATTCCTGAGTTATTTGTGCAGCCAAGCAGAAAATATCAATGTCAGCACACTGTTTGCCCCCATCTTCTTCTACCAATTCCCAGGACACTTTTGTTTCCCTATTTCTTATCTCAAGAAAAATGACTCTTTCACAAAAGCAAATTTTATATCCTGGAGGAACACATAGAGTGTTTTGAAGGTGACCTGCGGATTCAATGTTTCAAAAAGAGAAACTGTAAGGTACCTCACTAGCAGAGAGAAGAAAATGCTACTAAAGCCAGAAGAACTTCCCACACTGCTCAGGTTAGATTACATCTCTTTCTCTGAATTTGTTTTAGTGCCACGAACTCCGCCCACAAGGCTCCATAGGCAAGCAATTCTTCAAAACCTCTGGAACGGATGAGTGCTAAGCACGGGGATGATAAAGAGCACCGGGTCCGTGTGCTCAATGAATATCTGTTCTAGACAGGAGAACAACATATATATGATGTGCTTCATAATTTAAAAGAAAAAAAAATCACTTAAAAGTAGGTAATGCTGGGGCGTCAAACAGATGAGATGGACAAGAAAACAAAATGGCTGCTCCACAAGAGGCACCAGCATGCATGAGAAAAGGAGAGAAGGCAGAAGGTCCACATCATGCTCTGGGCCACAAGACCCGTCTAAATAAAATGGACCATTTATGTGGGGGAAAAGACCAAAAGAAGCAGAACTAAGATCAAAATCTGAAGGGCCTCACAAGCCAGGTTCATGAGTTCCTCTGGTATAGATGGTAATACTGAATCAAAAACAAGACCAGAGCTCAGATAGGGAAAATGAATTTCCATTTCCCTTTTTTTGTAATAATTTAAAAATATAGGCTGGTCAGAGTGTAATGGATTTTACAAGTAATTGATCACAGCCAGTTACAGATTTCTTCGTTTCTTCTCCACTCCCACTGCTTCTTCACTTGACTAGCCTTAAAAGAAAAAATATACGTATACATATATACACACACATATTTCTTTAAAGTTATGGAGATTTATAACTCATTATGTCCAATTAAAATATAAAAGTCAATAAGACTTTTTGAAAAAAAAAGTATTAAAGTAAAAAGCTATACCTTTCTTTAGCCTCTTGGGAAATCTAAAGATCCAGGTGGTACAGCAGAGGAATAATATCGCTACCAAAAAGAAATATTATGTTAAGATATTATCTAAAGTAACAGCTGGCAAATAAGAGACGTAACAGGATTTCATCAAAAGTTGTAACACAGCTGTGCGCAGTGGCACACGCCTGTAATCCCAGCACTTTGGGATGCTGAGGCGGACGGATCACCTGAGGTCAAGAGTTCAAGACCAGCCTGGCCAACATGGCAAAACCCCATCTCTACTAAAAAATACAAAAATTAACTGGGCATGGTGGTGGGCGCCTGTAATCCCAGCTACTCATGAGGCTGAGGCAGGGAGAATTGCTTGAACCAGATATGCAGAGCTTGCAGCGAGCTGAGATTGTACCACGGCACTCCAGCCTGGGCGACAGAGTGAGACCCCGTCTCAAAAAAAAAAAAAAACTTATAACACACTCCTAAGGCCAGGTGCAATAGCTCATGCCTGTAATCCCAGCACTTTGGGAGGCCGAGGCAGGCAGATCACTTGAGGTCAGGAGTTCGAGAACAGCCTAGCCAACAGGGTGAAACCTCATCTCTACTAAAAATACAAAAATTAGCTGGGCGTGGTGGTGCAAGCCTGTAGTCACAGCCACTGGGGAGGCTAAGGCAGGAGAATCGCTTGAACCTGGGAGGTGGAAGTTGCAGTGAGCTGAGATTACACCACTGCACTCCAACTCCAGCCTGGGCAACAGAGCAGGAGTTTTTTTGAGACTCCGTCTCAAAAAAAAAAAAGACAAAAAAAAAGTTATAACACACTCTTAATGCCAGTCATGACTTGTTGTGATGAAAAATATAAAAAATTAACTTAGTGTTCACGGATCTCCAGGGAAGCAGAGACATCCTACATGCTTGCCTTTTACCAAGGTCTGGGATCCTACATATTCAGCCCTTCACAAGGCTCAACTATACAGAGGACACAAAACCAATAACACTAAACAGCATTAGAAAGACTGTTTACAAAGCACTGTTGAATTTCTGATAGAAACAGGTATCCACGGAAATCAGTGTAGAGGCTTCTTGCGAAACAGGAAACAACAGTCAAGTAAAAAGACTAGAGGGCCAGGCGCAGTGGCTCATGCCCGTAATCCCAACACTTTGGGAGGCTGAGGCAGGAGGACTGCTTGAGCCTAGGAGTTTGAGACCAGCCTGGGCAACATAGCGAGACCTCATCTCTACAAATAATTTTTTAAAACTACCTAGGCAGGCCAGGCGCAGTGGCTCACACCTGTAATCCCAGCACTTTGGAAGGCTGAGCCAGGTGGATCACCTGAGGTCGGGAGTTCGAGACCAGCCTGATCAACATGGAGAAACCCTATCTCTACTAAAAATACAAAATTGGCCAGGCGTGGAGGCGCATGCCTATACTCCCAGCTACTCAGGAGGCTGAGGCAGGAGAATCACTTGAACCCAGGAGGCAGAGGTTGCAGTGAGCCAAGATCGCCATTGCACTCAAGCCTAGGCAATAAGAGCGAAACTCTGTCTCAAAAAAAAAAAAAAAACTAGCCAGGCATAGTGGGACGCCCCTATAGTCCTAGATACTTGGGAGGCTGAAGCAGGTTTGGCCTGGGAAGTCAAGGTTCCAGTGAGCCGTTATTGCGCCAGTGCACTCCAGCCGGGGCAACAGTGTGAGACCAGGTCTCAAAAAAAACAAAAAAACAAAAAAACCCATATATGGAGGAAGTTTATTTTACGGGGGACAAAAAATGTTCTAAAATTCAATTGTAGGGATAGTTGTGCAACCCCATGAATATACTAAAAAATGCTGGATTATAAATTTGAAGTACAATTGTATCATATGTAAATTATAACTCAACAAAGCTGTTTAAAAAGAAAACCAAGTTTTAAAATGCATTGGCAGTTCTGCAAACATTTCTGCTCAATTCCAAAGAGTAAAAGGAACACACAAAATACATTTCTGCCAGACGTTCTATAAAAAAAAGATGGATAGCTGTCATCTAACAAGAACCAGGAGAAAAGCATTTTAATTAATATAGAATGTTATAAATTTACTCACAAAATATAAATTTTAAATTATCTTTTTACAGATATGCCTTAGCTTCCTAACTTTACATGCATTAAAGATATAATTTTTGTATGTATTATATATCTGTGTGACACAAATCTTTTTTAACAATGCTAATTTTATTATGTATTACTTCATATTAAGACAGTAATTAAAAATAAAAATAATTATGTCCACCTATTATGTTTTTAGCTCAAACATGCTTAACAAGGAAGAGAACTTGTGACTGTTACCAACTAAAAAAAAGAAATCTTATAGGACTTATTTACTATTTTGCAGCAAGATACCTTCCAGGTGAACTACTTCTAAAAAGACCTCCAAGTTCTCTCTCCTCATCCTACCATGTGTCTCCTTCCATCTACTGCAATTTAATGAGGCAGGGCCATTACTCCTCTCCCCAACATGGAATTTACAAACATCATCAAAAATGATTCAAGGGACAGCTGCTCTGGTGCTTATGCTTTGGAACTAACCTGAAGCTGAAAAGAAATAGCTCTGAAGGACAAAACCCTGACAGTAAAATTCAGTTTCAATACTAGGCAACATGTATCTTCTGAGCCCAGAGCAATAACCGTTATGTCTGGGTTTGCAACCTTCACAGCAAGGGCATAAAAACACGCACCTGGCCTGGATCGTTGTACCAAAGTTCATCATGAAGTCGGTCAGGGTGGGCCTTTTTGCGTTTGATTTCTGCAATAACGTCAAAAACTTCAGAGTCTGAGCTGCTAGAACAGGTGCTGTCCTCATCAGACTCACACTCGGATTCACTGGAACTCTCTAACAGGGGTTGGGAGAAAAATACAGAAATTGATGGAATTAACAAACTGGTTTTTTTTTTTCCCTGAGTTGGAGTCTCGCTCTGTCACCCAGGCTGGAGTGCAGTGCGCGATCTCAGCTCACTGCAAACTCCACCTCCCGAGTTCAAGTGATTCTCCTGCCTTAGCCTCCCGAGTAGCTGGGATTACAGGCGCCTGCCACCACACCCAGCTATTTTTTGTGTTTTTAGTAGAGACAGGATTTTGCCATGTTGACCAGGCTGGTCTCGAACTCCTGACCTCAGGTGAAACACCCGTCTCGGCCTCCTAAAGTGCTGGGATTATAGGCATGAGCCACCGCACCCGGCTGACAAACTGGTTTTTGTGGAGGCTTCCAAATGACCTAAACCTCTAAAGGTAAGAAGAGTTCTTTATTCTTCTAGAAAATACTTAAAGGCCTACTCTACACCAAATACTCTACTAAGCAACACCATAAAAAAAAAATATAGCCCATAATGCTAAGTCACAATCTAGTTGGGGAAGCAAAGAAAATAAAGATCTTTAGAGAGAAAGTAAGACTTGATGAGCAATGTCAGATAAAATGAAAAACCATAGTAGTAGTACGTAGTTTAACACTTAAGCTATGTAATGATCCATAAAAGGGCAGTTTCACTGGGATCCAGAAAGGCTGGTGATAATTTCAAAGAAGGAGCACATGTGACCCAGGCACTGCAACAGGATGGGAGAAGCATGATAAGGAGGAGAAAAGAAGAAAGGAATGAAGAGGGAGCATCGTAGGCAAAAGCGTGGAGCTAAGAACACAGTGGACTAGCTAGAGCGCGGGCCACACGGAAAAACACTGGGAGGTTAGGGGCTGGGAGTGCTGGGAATGCCACAGCGAAGGCTGGGAATGCAAGACCAAAGACTTGACATTTCTTTTCCCTCAATAACAGCAAGAGAAGGTGTTAGTCCTTAAAGTGACTGAATAAAAACAGACACAGACTTATGCTAACTGAAATATGCCAGTCACAAAAAGACAAATACTACATGATTCCACATATATGAGATGCCTGAGAGTCAAATTCATAGAGGAAGAAAGTAGCATAGTAGTAATAAGGGAACGGGGGAACTGGGGTCTGGGGAGTTATTCCTTAACAGGTCCAGAGTTTCAGTTTTATAAAAGGAAAACAGTTCTGGAGACTGGTTGCAAACAAGGTCATGTTGAACCCTATTGAACTGTACGCTTAAAAATAGTTAAGATGGTAAATTTTGTATTACTTATATTTTACCACAATTTGAAAAAAAAAAAAAACAGACCTAGAAGTTAGATTAATCCTACATAGTGAGATTCCATCTCCACAAAAAGAAAAATAATTAATTTTTAAAATAAATTAATCCTATAAGAGATTAACATAGTAGTAGCATAATGAAATCCAACATGGAGTTGTATTTACATGTACTGCATGAGATAGATGCTACTGTCTACTGTCATCCCTATTTTACAAATGGGAAAAATCTAAGGAGATTAACCTGTGGCCCAAGGTCACATATCAAGTAGGTGGTAGAGCAGGGATTCAAACCCAAGCCATCCAACTCCCAACTCAGGTGTCTTTGCCCAGTATGGATAACTGCCTCTCAGCGTGTGGGATGTAATGGAGGTGGGCAGATAAGAGCTAGAGAGAACATGTAGCTAAATGCACACTGAATGTCTCATCTGTGCATGGCATTCTGTTAGGGGCTAAGGATACAAAGTGATAAAAAGCAATTTCCATTCTCAAAGATCTCACAACCTACTTGGAACCTCAGAACATACACATGAAAAAATAGACCACCTTATGAAAAAGCTATGCAAACTGTCTACACAAGTGGAGAGAAACCTTCAAACAGAGCTGGGGTACAGTCGCTGTTTCCCTCATCAAACCAGGCGCACCTGGCAAAGGAGAGGGCCAAGGAAGGACACCTGTCCTCATGAGAGGCAGGGGGCATGGGCTCCTGCTCTCGGAAAGATGCTGAACTCTTCTGACTGGACAACTCTCCAAGGGGCACCCTTGTTAGCATGCCTTGCAAATGAGATCGCTGCTGTATTCTGCCAAATGAACTAAGGAAAAATACGATCAAAAAGAAGGAAGTTCTACTGCTATGTATCTTACTGACTGTAATTAAGAAAAATAAAATGAAAAAGAAGAAATCTCAATGTGGGACTCTCAAGGGTATTTCCCCAAAATTTAGGAATGAAGCTATAATCGCAAGGGTCTCAGGCTAGTTAGTGACTCTGACTCACCTAAATCTTCATCGAGCTTCGTCTTTGGAGGTTCCCACGGAGGCCGAGCAGCTTTGGCCTTTTCTTGCCTGCTCCCCAACTCCTCCTCAAATTTGTCATATAAGTCACGAAGCCTACTCGTTCCAACCACTGTAGAATCTCCCTTTTAAAAATAAAGGATCAATATTAGGAACTATATCAATAACGATCATATCAAAGATATGTAAGATCTCACAGGTAATCAAAGCATTTTTAACAGCAAGATGCTATTTTTCAACCCTAAATTTAACAAACATTTAAAAACAAAATGCTCAAGTACTGGCAATCATACTCTGAATCAAACACACACTTATCGCTGACACAGTCTTCAGGTAAATGTGCCTTGCCAACATTCAGAAACATTAGAACAGGCCAGGCGTGCTGGCTCACGCCTGTAATCCTAGCAACTTTGGGAGGCAGAGGCAGGAGGATTGCTCGAGGCCAGGAGTTCAAGACCAGCCTGGGCAACATAGCAAGACCCCACCTCTATGAAAAAGAAAAAAATTAGCCAGGTGGTGTGTGCCTGTGCTACCTGGGAGGCTAAGGCAGGAGAACTGTTTGAGCCCAAGAGTTGGAGGATGCAGTGAGCTATGACTATGACTGTGCCACTATACTCTAGCCTGGGTGACATAGAGAGACCTCATCTAAAAAAAAAAAAACAGAAAAGAAACATTAGAACAGTTCATCTATGCCCTATTAATATGACATTTTTTAAAAAATCATGACCCTCAGAGAATCATGACAACTGACATCAAATACCCTCATAGGGAATGTACACTTCCTACTGAAAATCACTGATAACCTATCTTCTCCTATATCAATCCATCGAGCAATAAGAAATATCCTATATATCCCCTCTCTCTCTCTCTCACACACACGCACACACACACACACACACTCTCATGCCTTAAACACGAGGACATAAACATGCACACACTCTCTCTCACACACACACAAACACATACCACAAACACGGGACTCTGCAACAGATTCCTAGAGAAAATTTTCCACTTTTCCTCACTCAATTTCCAGGTTGAAAATCACTTTACATCTCCACACTCTGACTTAGTAGCCTTAAAATGTAAAAACCAGACCTGTCAAATGTAAAATTAAGGCAAATCATAAAATCTGGTACCCAGAAGAGGGGATAATTCAGGCCCCATCTCATTGTTGGGAGTGGCGATGCCGGTATAGCTTTGACATTCTCACCACCTTCTCTGCACCACACAGACGACAAAACTCAAAGGCAAATGTCAGCCTTTTGAGTTTATCAGTCTTCCTCCTACACTGGAGTTTTAATATACTCATAACGATGTAATAAAAAACAACCAGCCCTGCCTGTTTAAACTCCCTGAACTTCAGTGTCTTCATCTTTATTGTTTTAAGAATAATAACACCTATGGCAGCCATTCTTCCCTTCTTCCTAATAGAAGCAGGATTCTGTAAGATTTGGAGAAGAGAACTCCTGATCTCTGGGAAGGTAGGCTGAGCCACCAGCCCCTCCCAAAGATGTCCATGTCCTAATCCCCAGAAATTAAATATATATGTTAACTTACATGGCAAAAAGGATTTGCAGCTGGGTGGACCCAATCTTAGAACAGGAATCCTTAAAATCAGGGAACCTTTGCCAACAGGGGTCAGAGATACAACAGAAAAAGAGGCAAGAGATATTCAAAACACGAGAAGGACTCGACCACCATTGCTGGCTTCGAAGACAGAGGAAGGGATCCACAAGTCAAGGAATGCACATGGCCTGGAGGAACCAAGAAGTGCCCACACCTGACAGCCAACAAGGACACAAGGTCCTCTGTCCTCCAGACACAAGCAACTGAACTCTGCCAGCAACCTGAATGAGCAAGAAAACAGATTTTCTCCAGAGCCTCCATAAAGGAGCACAGACCTGCTGACATCCTGATGGAGCCAGTGAGGCCCATGCTGGACTTCTGACCTCCCAAGCTGTGAGATGACAAATGTGTGCGGTTTCAAGCCATGCCATTTGTGGAACTCTGTCATGGCAGTAAGGAAAAATGAATCCCTGGGGTAGGCATGTCACATGGCTCTGGTAAAGGGATGGAAGGGGAGTCAAGGGATGAAAGGAGAGCTCGGGCAAGACACTAGAAGAATGCTCACCCAACATGCCCTCTGCATCCTGCGTGTGAGGATGCGGGTGTGTAAGGACCTGAGGCCTGCTAGTCCTGCATCATCCTGCAACTGTGGAAGATGCTCAGGAAGACAGCAGGGCCTGCCATCACTGAGCCACTCAGTGAACACCAGCCATGGCCTCCCTCCAGGTACCTTATTATGAGAAGAACAAACCCAGCTTGTTTAAGTCCCACTTAGTCAGGTGTTATTACTCCTAGCAGCATTTCTAACGGACAGAACCACCTTCTTGCCAGGGGTGTTTTCAGGGTCAACTAAGACAACATGAGAAGCATGGAATAACATTCAGGCACCGTAAAGTGCACAGTATGTGAGCTTTCCCTTCCCTGTACCACATCAACTATGACTTAAAAGCCTGCTCTAATTTATCAAATAAAATATCACACCACTATGAGAGACTTCTCAAATCCTTTGTTTCCAAAAACACAGAAATCTCCTTTCAAGCTCCCCACAGATACGAGTCCAAATAGAAGCTATTTTCACAAAATTCCAAATAACACAACTCTCTCTTATCTCTTATCTAATCCCATACACTAAATCTAACATCTGCAACTTTTCATGCCCGAAATCTGCACGAGTTCATTAATTAAATGAATGAGATGTCCACTCATTCATTTAATCAATGAACATTACAACATGCCTACTCTGTGGCAAATATGCCTAACAGGATGGAGGCATAACGCCTAGGGGGAAGAGGGGAAGAGAGAGCAAAAAGGTGACAGTGACAGAAAATAAAATGGAGATGGAAGAAAGAAAAGAGAAGTGAGCATGTAGAAATAGTGGTGGAGTCTGTCATGGCAATGAGCACGCCGGCTGTAGCACCACAGGCGCCCCGGCCCTGGCAGCATGTGCTCTAGGAGTCCTCCCTCCAGCCCATTAAGGGTGACAATGGCTCTCCCTTTCTGCAAAACTAGCCAATATGCATGGGCAACTTCGTAGGGTTGGTGCTCTTTTGGTCAAGGATACACTTCGAAGAGACAAACTCAAATTCTTCCTTATTTTTCATTTTGGAGAAAACACACACACACACACACACACACACACACACATACACATACACACTACAAACTGCATAAACTAGTTACATGTGAAAGCTTATGAAACCACCAGTACTGAGACTACCAGTATCATTAAAAATGTAGAATAGGCTGGGCACAGTGGCTCACACCTGTAATCCCAGCACTTTGGGAGGCCAAGGCAGGAGGATTGCTTGAGCTCAGGAGTTCGAGACCAGAGTGGGCAACATAGTATGACCTCATCTCTACTAAAAAATAAAAAAAAATTAGCCAGTCATGGTGGCACGTGCCCCGTAGTTCCAGCTACTCAGGAGGCTGAAGTGGGAGAATCACTTGAGCCTGGAAGATCAAGGCTGCAGTGAGCCACGATGGTGCCACTGCACTCCAGCCTGGGTGACAGAGCGAGACCCTGTCTCAAAAATAAATAAATAAAAATGCATTATAAAAAGATATTTTAATTAACCTACTGCACTCTTGGCTTTTAGCTTTTTAAAACGGCTTTTGTCTGTAACAGTGATTCTCAACTGGGGGTGATCTTTTCCCCCCAGGGGACATTTGGCAATATTTGAAGACATTTTCGGTAACCACAACTGGGGAGGGGTACTACTGGCATCTAACAGGTAGAGCCCAGAGATGCCGCTAAACATCCTACAATGCATAGGGCAGTCCCCACAATCAAGAATTTATCCAGCCCCAAAGGCCAATAGTGACAACGCCGAGAAGCCCTAGTCTACAGCTTGTCTGCTACTTCAGACCTACCACCTGATCCATGGGGTCACTGGAGTAGTAGTTTTCTGAATGAGTGCATCGAATCCACACAGGCTTAAGAAGTTCTTCTTCTTCCTCCTCATTCTTGTCAGGCATGGTCTCCTCGGGCTCTTTTTCCTTGATTGAGGTATAGTTCTTGTCTTTGCCAGAACTCTGGTTGTCACTCCAACGGTCTTTTTCTTCCTCCCAACGAGCTCTCTTCTTCTCCCTACTTGGGGAGCGACTTCAAAAGAGGGCAAAGGAGGTTAATTATTAAAAATACTCTTCCACTGTAAAAACTATTCTATTTCACCTATTTGGTGCATTTTTCACCTAAAATATGAATACCATGCCAAATCACCGTGTGTACTTTTGTTAAACCAGTGACTCCCAAATACCAGTCTGGTGGCATCAGAATCACCTGAAGTTTACTTGTTTAAAAATACAAATTCCCAGGCCCCACCCCAGATCTACTTACTGATTCACAATCTCCAGGGGTGGGGCCCAAGAATCTGTATTTTTAATAATCTCCCCAGGTAATTCTGGTGTGCATCCAGCAGGTTCAGGAACAACCGATAAACCGTAACTCCTAAAAGAAAAAGATATTTGCAAAATGTTTGGAAATGTCCACATATGGACAATTTCAGCAATGAGAATACCAGTTTTGAATCCTCCACATCTGTCTTTGCCAGGAAAAAAAGATTTTAAGACTTCACAAAACAGGGTCTCAATATGGCCATAAATTTGGCCTGAGGACTATAATTATAATCCGAGAGTGAACCACTTATGTCATCCCTAACTGTCTCTGGAACCCCAGTCTTGGGCATTACTACTTGGTGAACCAACACTTTGCCTAATGTTGGTCCTCACAGATATTAATATTAACTCAGTCAATAAAGAAAGATGAAAAAACAACTCCATCTCCCTGACTTCCTGGGGCTTGAAATCTGCAAAGACCCATCCTATGGATGTACTTGGAGGGAAAAACCTATAGGGTCAGCTGGGCGTGGTGGCTCACATCTGTAATCCCAGCACTTTGGAAGGCCGAGGCGGGAGGATCACTTAAGCCCAGGGGTTCCAGACCAGCCTGGGTAACATGGTGAAACCCTGTCTCTACAAGAAATACAAAAATTAGCCAGGCATGTTGGTGCACACCTGTAGTCCCAGCTACTCAGGAGGCTGAGGTGGGAGGATCACGTGAGCCTGGAAGGCTGAGGCTGCAGTGAGCTATGATTGCACCACGCACTCCAGCCTGGGCAACAGAGCAAAATGCTGTCTCAAAACAACAATAACAACAAAACCTACAGGGTAGATTTTAATTTAAGCCCAAGAAATTTAGGTAGAACACAGAGACCTTGAGAATCCAGCTAAGTAGAAAAACTGCTTTGTAAGATCACCTGGTAGCCTTCACAGCTCCACTAACAAAGTTACTACTATCCATGTAAGTTTACATCCAGATCAAAGTAATAAGTATTCTCATTAACTCTACCACTAACTTGTAATTTTCTAACAGGGAAAGTCTGTATGTATATATATGTGTGTAGGTATGTATACTTTGGGAGGATTAGAAAGATTATACATATTATTTATATAACTTCCAGACATTACAATACGCATCATTAGTTTTGTTACCAGAAAAATTACTGTCAATGTATGTTCGCTGTAGAAAAAATAAAGCACAAACATAAAAACCACACATAACACCACTCAGAGAAAATCACTATATTTCATAAATGTTTTAATGTTATAGCCTGACCTTCTCATTCAGTAGTAAATCAGGAACACCTATTTCAATAATTATATATTTGGAGCATTTTTAATAGGTACATTATTATTCTTTTATATGTATATACCATAATTTAACAAAACTAATAATAGTCATTTAGGTTAACATTTACTTCTCTTCCACCATAAACAATGCTATCATGAACACATTTGTGTTCTTTGCACACTTGTCAGATTCTTTCCCAAATGCATACTTTTTAAGGCTTCTCTCTAGTTAGGCAGTACTCGTTTAGACTACCATCAAAACCACATAAGAGTTCCCATTTCCACACATCCTGTCACTATGGTTATTTTTAATCTTTGCCATTCTGATGAAACAGTATTTTCATATAATTTAATTTGAAGTATTTTATCAATATTGAAATGAATATGTTTCATGCTTAAGTCTTTTGTGAACATTCTGGTCACAGGCTATGCAAATTTTTTAAAATTATGATTAGAGTCTTTAATTGGTTGAAACAGTTTTCATTAAGATAACTGTCCTCCCTCTGTCATATGCATTGTAACCGTTTCCAGTTTCTTGCTTTGAAATCTGTTTGCTGCTACATACAACTTTTATAAAGTCAAATCTAGAGATCTTTTTATGCTTCCTGCCTTAGTATGCTTGGAAGCCATTTCCTATCCCAAGGTTAAAAAAAGATTTTATATTTTCATCAGTTACTTTTAACACAATTTTTAATTCTCTCTCTCCAAGGTGTAAGGCAGAAATCTAATCTCAATTTTTCCTCCAAATGGCTCACCAATTGCCAGTTTCTCCTCTGATTTGAAAAAAACATATTCTTTATCACATGTAACTTTACATATTTATTAGATGTACGTAATACATATTCTTGAATGTTGCTCTGTAGTTGTTTCAATGATCTATTTAACCTATATCAAATTTTTAAAATTATTATATATTTCCAGAACCTTTAATACTTCCAGAGTAAGTATCCTTGCATTACTATTTTTCTTCATTATCCTAACTTCTATCCCAAGGAAAAATTAAAGAGTCATTATGAAGTCCTAAAGCCAGTACTTAGGGTCAGGTATGGTGGCTCATGCCTGTAATCCTAGCACTTTGGGAGGCCGGGGTAGGAGGATCACTTGAGGCCAGTCGTTCAAAGACGAACCTGGGCAACATAGCGAGATCCCCATCTCTTTTTACATTTTTAATAACTAAAAAAAAAAGAAAAAGTACTTTAACTGAAGTTACGTTAAAATTATAGATTACAGTCATATGTCACTAACAACAACAGAGATATAGTCTAAGAAATGAGTCCTTAGGTGATTTCATCACTGTACAAACATCACAGTGTGCCTACACAAACTTAGATGGTATAGCCTACTACACACCTCGGACAGGCGGTATAGCCTGTTGCTACTAGGCTACAAACCTGTACAACATGTGACTGCACTGAATGCTGTGGGCAACTGTAACACAGTGGTAAATATTTATGTAACTAGACATATTTGAACATAGAAAAGGTCCAGTAAAAAAATAAGGTATTATAATCTTTGGGACCAACATTGTATACAGTCTGTCACTGAAATGCCATGTGGTACGTGACTATATTGTGAAGAAAACTGGTATTTTTACGACATGGTCATCCACTACGGGAAAAGGACATACCTTCCTTTTATTACATCACCTTCTTTGTCATCAGCTACATTTTATAGTTTTCTTCCCATTGGTCCTATGCATTACAAGATGCTTAAATTATTTGTTAATAACTTTCCATAGTGAATTTTAATTTGTCTTTGCATTACATTTTCTAACCAGGTAGTCCTTTTTACTTAAAAGGCTGTTAAAATACTGTCAGGTAATAACGGCAACTCTTAGCTCCTAGGGACTCTTTTTGGTTTGTTTTGGTGCTTACTCTGAGGCTGGCACCCTGCTAAGCACTTTACTGACATTTCACATTTAATCCTGACAGCAAGCCTAGGAGGCAGATATTAACATCCCCTACAAAGGAGGCAACAGCTTTGAAAATCAGTCACTTGCCTAATACGATAAAGCTAAAAGTGGTAGTTAAATGCTAATATGGTTGATACAGACATTTCATCATGTTCTAAAAAGAAATTCCACCAAATGTTTTATTGCCAAGAAACACAGGCAAAAGACATCCTCACCCATCCTTTTAAGCAGGCGTTGTGAATGATGTAATGAATGGTCAGGGTCAGTTGTTGTGAACATCAGTTAATATTTTTTTTAACACTTTGAGAAGGGCATTTCAACACAGAAACAAAAGATCTTTTTTAGGTAAGTGTCTCAGGCACTCCAAAATTCAAAATCCAAACTCCCAATGTTTCTTCTTACCAATATGCCACAGTGCAAACTGGTAAATTTTCCCCCTCACAGTATTTCCATTTCTAATTTTTATTTTCTGCTGCGTTAGTCAGAACTTACAGAATTCAAGTCTACCTTCTCTGCAAGCTACCAGGCATTAGAGAAGAAACCATTAAACCGAGGCTATTTCCAGCACTTATACATTAAAAATCATCCACCTCAAATAGGTCCTCAATGATGTCCACTGACACAATACTCTGGCTTTTCTCCTGTCTCCTCTCCTCCTCCTCAGGCCCTCTTGTCATCTTTCCTAATTAATCCCATCTAACCCATGGCATTTCATCCTTCCTAATTAATCTCATCTAATCCAGAGCAACATGTAAGTGTCCTATCAAACGCACTTACAGCACTTAACTTTCCTTTTCCTATTAAGTGGGGGCCTTTGTTAATGCCTATATCACCCATACCAGTACAATACCCGGGACACACAAAAACACCATGTTTTTAATTACCATGTTGATTGTATCACAAGGATATTCAGTAACAACGATAAGCAATGGGGCCTCCTTGCCTTTTTTCAAATTTGTATGGGAAAGGCCTGCAGGTTTCAACACCACATTTGACTCTTTGGGGATGGTATCCATCAGGTTCATCGTGAGCTACCATTCTTCATCATGTTAAAGACAACTGTTAATATTTCTAGTTTACTAGTTTTTACTCACATATGGATGCTGATTTTAGTTTAAATACCTAAAAGGTAAGTACTGAGATAACCCTACAGATTTTGACACATACAATACAGATTTTCTAATATTAACTTTTCTATCCATGCAGTCTTGGAATAAACTCTATCTGTTATTTTAACAAACTACTGAAAACATTTGCTAATATCCTAATTCGTGTTTTTATATCCATATTTGTAAGAGAGATTGCTGTGTCGTTTTTGTGTCATTTTTTTTCCCTTGGTTAGGTTTTGCCATCTGGTTTTTCCTGCTACTACAGAATGAGCTGAGCTTTCCTTCCATCTTTTTTTAGTGTTCAAGACCACTTTAAAGCTTTTTTTAGAGGTGGTGCAAAGTAAGCTTTTTCCATTTTTCGAGTTATTGACCTATTAAAGTTTTCTGCTTCTTGTGTGAAATTATTTTTGTTTTCTTAGAAATCAACCCATCACATTCAAGTTAATTTTTTAAACGGTTTTAAATTTTTTAATTTCTTTTCATTCCTGTAACAATACACTTTCTCAAACCTAATGTTATGTAGATTTTTCTTTTATTTCCCACTTTAAAAATTGTATTTGCATTTACTTACAATATAGTTATATCACTGTAGTTCTATTTCCATTTCATTAATTTATCTTTAAATCCCTTTTTCTGCTTTTCTTAAGCTCCACCAATTTCTATAGCCAAGTGCTCAGATAATAATTATATACATAGTTACCATTTATTTGGCACTTACTTCAGGCCCAGTTCTAAGTGTTTGACATGCATTATCTCAATGACCCCTTATCACTCAAGAAGGTACATATAACTGTCCTTATTTTACAAACGAAGACACTGATAACTTTGCCCAGTAATAAAATTGGGAGAGCTAATAACTGACCCCGAATCTGTCAGATTCTAGAGTGCTGTTCTTCATTACCATCATATTAATGTAAGACCACAAAATTTTACTTCGGGATATAGAATTGATTACACCCTTTAAGTTTTGGGTGATAGCAATCTCAATGTCATTTTCTAATGAAAATATGACTGCAGTTTTGCTCTTTTTTTCTGAAACATGTAAATTTAAGAGCATAATTATGAATTTCCAAGGTTTTTTAAAATGATTAATGTATAGTTTTATAGCACTGTGGTCAGAAAAAGTGGTCTGTATAATTTCTAATTTTTGGAAATTTATCAAGATTTTCCTTGTGCATAATCAATGCATCTTGAAAGTAAAGTCTTTTAAATTACAGTCTGCTTTAGCTTTTCACAGGTCATCTTGGACAGACTCTGAGGCCATTATGAAGACTTGGCTGTTGCTCCATACAAGCACAAAATCTGAATTCAAGGAGATAATCCTATGACTTCTTTCAGTGTCAACTCCTTGCTTACCTTCCAGATCTCTTATACTCTTTTTTGTAGGACCTTTCCAGAGATGGTGATCTTCGGTTGTCTCGATGCCTGTGTCTCTCCCGTTCTCGCTCTCTTAAAGGAATTAATACACAGAGCTGTTTTCAACAGAAAGACTCAAAAACACCATCTCTTTTCACTGAATTCATCTTGTAAATAAATGGACCACATCTAGGAATTTTTCAGGCACTGTTCACTGGGGGACATTTTTATGCCTTCTTAATTTATTAGAGGATAAAGGAGCTTTTCACTTTACAGAAGTTAACTAACTTGGAGAATTTTTGCAGTTTTCTTTAAAGAAAGAAGTCATACATGATGCTACGCAATAATGGGAATTTTATCCTAATCTTCCCTTAAAACCTTGCAATCAGCCAATCCTTGGTTATTTAACCTAGAGGGAAAACTCTAAAGAACTCCACATCCTATTGATTTCTAAAAAATGCTCTATTTTACCTATCAAATAAATGTAAATTATAAAGCTTTTATAGTGAAAATTAGGACAAGGTTCTATAATGAAAGAGCTCTTAATGCTTATGGCTTATAGGCTTGAGTTGTAGATCTAGCTATCACTAACCTGCCATGAGGCCATGACTAAGTCACTTGAATGCTATTTTTCATCTGGAAAAAAAACTAAATAGAGATGTTGGGCTTACTTAATGTAAAAAAAAATAGATGAGGAATTTTTAAAACCTTCCAATGTAAAACTGGGGTTTAATAATATTAATAGCTTTTGAGCCTATTTAACAATGAGGACCTAGAAGAGAAATCTGAACTCTAGTGTGTCTGAATCAGAACTACAAGTCTAAAGGAAGTAACCTTCCAATCTTAGAACAGGAAAAATAAAATGCTATATTAACCTGAGTCCAGAAAGAAGACCATTAAAATGTTTGAACTCAAAAATATCCCCCAACCTATCACCAAACAGAAATGTCAATACATTGAAAATAGAACTTACAAAACTGACAGAGATCGGTGAGTGCTTAGGTATTAAAATAGAAATTGCTTTCCACTTAAAGATTCCCCTGTTCTAAAGGAAGACTCCTTTGAATAATGTTTCTGATATATATACAATCCTCAGATATATACCAGCTATCCCAAATAAAGCAGCCAGAGATTTGGATTCTACATTCTTCATCTCATACACTTCTAAAATCAGAGTTTACATTTGGGCAGTAAATCTTAGTTATTGTATAGAAATTAGTGAACCATGCCACATGTCAAAGATATATGTAATTTGTAATGGCACGGCTGTTGAAAAAAATAATTGCGTACATTTCCAAATAAAAACTCTAATTAGAGGATATTTCTAATATATTTTTTTTTACCATATAGCCAATAGAATTTTGCATTTAAGAATAACACTTCTAATGATGACTGGTACCTCTGAGTGGGTAGGACTTGAAAAGACCAATTTGGATATAAATCACATTAGTAACACTATTAAGACAAATTCTTTTAAAGCAAGAAAAGCTATGTTTGTGTTACTTTTCCCAAGATTCTTCCTTGTTTGCAAACATTAAGATATTCCTTAGGTACATTAGGGTAGTTCTCCAGTAGCTACACATTTACTGTCACAAGGTCAGCCATGAGAATTCTTGCGTGGTAGCACTCCCTAGCTAGGTGAAGCCCAGGGCACACATCCTTACCACTCTGCTCAACAGTGTGCTTGGTGCACTACATCTGCCTGTAGCAATTTCTTTCCTTATCCCTGGAGTAACTTTCATTTTTCATGACAACAAATACATATATCCACTTTTTCACAGACCTTTTCTAAAAACAGTCCACCCTAAGACAATCTTGCAATTGTTATTCAACCACATTTTGGAGGCAGAGAAAAATAGGGAACACAGAATTTGTAAAAGGATAGATTCACTTACCCCAAGAAGCAGGGGAGGGGCAACAAGAAAACAGACTATAGAATTTGCATAAACTTAACACAATGCAAATTTATGAAGTTTCAGTTTTCCAAATATACTTCTAGAAGTTATATTAGGACTTCATGTGCTCCATGTTTGTTTCACAGAAGCATGCCATATAAGACAGATGACTGACATTCCACCTAATTAATATCCCAAAGGGAGCCAATTATAATGTAGCTATGCCACTAGGCAGCTCCAGAGCAAATGCCCCAAGCACATTATAAAACAACTCGAATATAAATAAAGCCCGTTTTAGAAAGATATAGATCCTCATAGTAAAGGAGTGTGGTTTAGGATAAATCAGGTTAGAAGTAATTCTTACGACACTTGATTTTACTGAGATCCGCAATTCACAGGACATCTGAGTTTCTTCAAACAAATACATAACTCCAAGTTGAAGCCTTGATGGAAAAATTTAGGATTTACAGCAGAGCCCTGACAACTCCTCTAATTATAGCATATCAAAACAGAGGCGGAAATACAACACTATCTAGAATGTTTGCTGCAAAATGTTTTCCCAGAAGCAAAATTATTAACAATTACTTTAGAGTCTGAAGAAAACTATTTACAAACTATTTACTCTTTCCAGTTAACATTTGCACTATAAAACTGTAACATTAACTATCACATGCCAGCCAGGAGCGGTGGCTCACACATGTAATCCCAGCACTTTAGGAGGCTGAGGCAGGCAGATCACCTGAGGTCAGGAGTTCGAGACCAGCCTGACCAACATGGTGAAACCCCATCTCTACTAAAAATACAAAAATTAGCCGGGCTTGGTGGCAGGTGCCTGTAATCCCAGCTACTCAGGAGGCTGAGACAGGAGAATCGCTTGAACCCGGGAGGCAGAGGTTGCAGTGAGCCGAGATCGCGCCATCACACTCCAGCCTGGGGAACAAAAGCAAAACTTTGTCTCCAAAAAAAAAAAAAAAAAAACAACAAAAAAAAAACTATCACATGCCTATGCCTTTGCCAACTAGTCCATCACAGAATATTGACCAGAAACAGTAGTTCATGCTGAAAAGATTTTTAAAGTCTACCAACTCTCACTCAGCTTTGGCCCACCAGAAATGAGTCATCCCTACAAGTAACACATTCCCTTCTATCTTCTACCAGGCCACCAGGGAGAGGCAACAAAGCATTTTCCTTCTGAACCTTCTGAGCACTAATCCCTCTCTTCAGTGCAGAGAATGACCACTATCATTTAATTTACTGGCAAAATGTTCAGTCAGAACCAAATTGATAGAGCCATGAGAAAAATGTGGAAACAGATGTGAACTGGTTCCTAAATCAGCTGCAGAGCAACAAGAACCAAGACCAGCTCTCTGCAAACCCAGAGTGAAGTGACTTGGTCTGGGGAGCTCAAACACTTTTAGCACAAAAGTTCCACAAGACAACGAAGGTAAGTACACTACTGGGGAAAGAAAGAGAAGCACCGTAATTAGCTTGACAACAGAAGATCTCAAATCTTCATCAGTGTAAGGGTTCACTGAGGCATAAATAAACATTAGCACAATTGATATGTGTCTTTTATTTTTCCATATAAACCAATGGTTCTCAGGCTTTTGGGATAACAGACTCACACCCTCCTTCTTTGAGAACCTGATGTAAGTTTCCTTCTAGAAAAACACACACACAAAAAAGTTGCATATAACTTCAGAGTATTTCTGTAAGCCCAGCTAGAATCCCAGTTTTAGAAATGCCTCCTTGAAACATTATTTCTCTCATATTTATACCTATTTGATCTTTTGAAAAAAGAAATGTAATATAGAATGAAACAGTATTTTTAAAATACAACTTTCTTCAGTAAGAATCCATTTCAATGCAACAAAATCAGATTAAAAGCAATTTTAGGCCAGGCATGGTGGCTCACATCTGTAATCCCAACACTTAAGGAGGCCGAGGTGAGTGGATCACTTGAGTTCAGGAGGTCAAGACCAGCCTGGCCAACATGGTAAAACCCCGTCTCTACTAAAAATACAAAAATTAGGCCAGGCGCAGTGGCTCACACCTGTAATCCCAGCACTTTGGGAGGCCGAGGGGGGCTGATCACCTGAGGTCAGGAGTTCGAGACTAGCCTGCCTAACATGGCAAAACCCCGTCTCTACTAAAAATACAAAAAGTAGCTGGGCGTGGTGGTGCACGCCTGTAATCCCAGCTACTCAGGAGGCTGAGGCAGGAGAATCACTTGAACCCAGAGGCAGAGGTTGTAGTGAGCCGAGACTGCGCCACTGCACTCCAGCCTAGGCAACAAAGCAAGACTTCATCTCAAAAAAAAAAAAAAAAAAAAAAAAATTAGCCGAGTGTGGTCACGTGCACCTGTAATCCCAGCTACTTGGGAGGCTGAGGTGAGAGAATTGCTTGAACCCAGGAGGTGGAGGTTGCAGTGAGCTGAGATCTCGCCATTGCACTCCTGCCTGGGCAACATAGCGAGATTCTGTCACAAAAAAAAAAAAAAAAAAAAAAAAAGATATTTTGAAAACTAACTTTCATAATGTGTAAATAATCTTACTTCGTTTTACAAAGAAACCAACCAAGAAGGCAACAATGTACAATAAATTTCTACTTATCCTAAAACTCAGAAAGTCCTTCCTGTTAACTAATTTGATTCTTTATTAACACGCAGATCGCCAGTTCCAAAAAAACTCAAATGCTATAACCTGATATGATGATCACATTGAACATAATTTAATCTATGATAACACAAAAAATACAAGATCTTTCATCTCATGGGATCATCATTAAAATGTCAACTGTATTATGCAGAGTAAAAGTCTTATATTCACTGAAATGAATCTACACTGATATATTTGGAATGCTTTTTAAAAGCAATTTTTTTCTGACATCAACTTATTTGTCAGTTGTTTCTTCCTCTTGAAAACAGAGTCCAAAATGTGCTTCCTTTCCTTACATAAATCAAGATGCCCTACTGGATCCTTTTGGTTTGGTTGTCATAAATGGAGAATGACCGTGCCTGGGCCTCTGCAGTTCATTAAAGAACTACACACAAGCGGTTTACCTGCTCCGTTCGTAGCTGCGGTGGCGAGATGGTGTTCTCCCTCGGTCATAATCAGATCTGTACCGGCTGTCTTGTCTTCTCCTGTCGGGACTGCGGCCTCGCTCCCGCCGATCCAGGGACCGATGCCTCTCACCTCGCCCATGACTGTGATCTCGGTGCCTGTGGTCATCATAGTGTTTCAGCCTTTCTGGGGACCTTCTCTCACTGGGAGCCTTTGGGAGTGGGTATGGAGGGAGATGTCTGAAATGAGGACTACTGCTGTTATTAGCACTGGGCAGGAAAGAACTAGGGTTGTTCTGGAAACTATTAAAACTGGGAGGTGGGAAGTTGTGGTGAGAATAGCCCGGAGGGTACTGATAATTAACCTGCTGCGGCATGACTGGAGGGGGCGGGGGATGAGGCATGGAGGGAGGGGGCATCATGAAGGGGAAAGTGCCTTGTCCAGGAGGTGCCCCAGGGACTGGGGGGTTATTAGGACAAGGCATTGGTGGTGGCATGGGAGGAAAACAAGGAGGAACTGGGAAGGGGTGCCTCATCTGGTGGTTGGGGAAAGGCGGCCTGATTGGGCAGGGGGGAAGAGGGCCTTGCGCTGACGGAGGCATGGGTGGGGGGAAGGGTACAAAGTCTGGTCGTGGAGGGAGAAAATTGGGGGCTGGAGAGTTTGAGAAAGTGGTGGAAGGGGCACTTGGAGGTTCATATTGATATTGCACAGGAGGCTGCTGAGGGTGAAGCAGCCTCAGATTTTGGGGCCTAAAGGATGGTGCTGAGGGTCTGGCTCCATGTCCTCCTCGTCCTCGGGGACACCCTCGTCCCGGGTGGAACGACATTCTGTGACTTCATGGCAGAAAAGAAAAAGGGAAAAGTTTTTTTAAAAAATAATTCTTACTATGTAAACAGGGTTTCATAAATGCCTGACCATCTTGATGAGCAACTCAAAGACCCCCTAGTCAAGCCACTGGAATAGGCCACCCATTTAATACTGGGTTCCTGCTAACATCTGAAACCCTCATGCTCAATAAACTCCTCTTCCCCTTTCTTGGCCACCCAGCCCACTGCCATGTTTAGTCCCTGGACCGACCATTCCTTAAAGCTGCTCCACTTCCAAAATGACCAATTCAACATCCCATTGTTCACCATTTGCTGTCATGCCTTTGCTCAAGTTCCCCTCTGATCTTGACCTCACAAGATCAAGGGGGCTTGCCTCCCCAGCCCCCACTCCCATCTCCAAATGCAGATTTGGGATTACCACCCCCCCTCTGCAATCCTCCACCTCTCCCTGATACCAGACCCTTCACATCAGCATTTGAAAGTGCTCAGGTCTATTCCAACATAAAGTACTTTCCTTGGCCTCCAGGTCTCCCTTGACTTTGCCCCTTCTTTGTCCTCCCCTTTACAGTCAAATGACCTGAAAACGTTGCTACAGACCGAATGTTTGTGTCCATCCCAAAATTCCTGCTGATGAAATCATAACGCTGATGTGATGCTATATGGAAGTGGGGACTCTGAGAGGTAATTATGATGGGATTAGTACCCTTATGAAGAGAGAAAGAGAAAAGAAATCCCTGCCACCCACCCCTTACCAGGTGAGACTACAACAAGAAGGCAGCCACCTGCAAGGCAGGAGGAGGGCATGCATCAGAAACCTGGCTGTGCTGGTACCCTGATCTCAGACTGCCAGCCTCCAGAACTGTGAGAAATAAATGTTTACTGTTTAAGTTACCCAGTCTATAGCATTTAGTCATGGCAGCCCAAGCTAAGACAAAAGTGTATATACTTCTAACTCACTCTAATCCGACTTCAGCTTCCACCACCTCTCCAATAAGTGACATGATCAGTGCCCACCTTGTCTTGAAAACCAAAGGTCATTTTCAATCACCTTGCTTGATCTCTGTGCAGCAATCAGTCCAGTTGCCTCCCCAGCCCCCACCCCCATGGATGCGTTTCTTGGCTTCCTGACATGATGCCTTCACTGTGGCCTTCCTACTTCTCTGGCTGTTCCTCCTGGCAGTCTCCCATACCAGCTTCTTCTCTGCTAGGGGGCCTTTAACCGTCTGGTATTCCTCAGGGGTCTAGCCCAGGCACTCTGCTCACTCTCTCTTCCAAAGTGATGCTACTCACCTGCACTGCTTCAATTGACATCAATCTGTCAGAAACTCCCAAGTTACACCTTTAGCCCACAACTTCTGAGCTCCAGACCCACACTGCCAATTACCAACCCCATCTCTCTCCTTGAGTGTCTCACTGACCTGGACCAACAAATTCAACATAACATATGCTAAAAGGAATTAATGACCTTGCCCTCCAAGACAAACATTTGCTCTTTTCCTAGTATTTCCTATCTCAATAAATGACACCATTAATAGTCCTTAAGACATGTAACAGGGAATCATCTGACTTGTCCTCCCTCACCCCCCATCCTTAGCTAAAAATTTACTTTAAAATTGCTGTCACTTATATGGCAACTATCCCTTAATAAAAAATAAACAAAAAATCCAATTGTTTCTGCTTCATAAATATTTCCTGAATTCATCTACTTCACATCATCACCTCTTACATGGCTATTATAATAATATCCTTGCTGGCCTTTCTACAACCACTGTCACTGACCCTAGGGCTTTGTTAGGTTCCTTGCTCTCACAACACTCTGTGCTGCTTCTTAGCAGGTCCTACAATAATTACAATCCACCTTCTAAGGACCTAATTCCACCTTTAATGTCTGCCTGCACCTCGGAACTGCAAGCGCTGTCAGGGCAGCGCTCTGGGATTTCTATTAACTGTTCTGGTCTGGCTTCCCAGCCCTGGGCATGGCCCTCTATTGTATTGTGCCCACTGTTGAAAGAATGAGCACATTATCCCCTCTCCCCATGTATCTAAATCCTTTCCACCCTCTATAGCCCAGCACCAATGTCTGCTCCTCTCTCGGTTCTCCCAAACTATTGCCATTCCCATCACGGCACTCACCATGTGTTTCCCTGCATCATGATGTTCCGCCTGGATATGTCACATCTTCCACAGAGAATATAAGCTCTAAAAAACAGAAAGAATAAAACAGACATAAACATGTTTCCCAAACTGCCAATGCTACAAAATATTTCTGCAATTACCATAACACTAATTTTGTAGTTTCCAATACACTTAGCCTACAAACAAAATTAAAAGCATGTTGAACTGTGTTAAAGTTTCCAACTAAATTTTTAATGTCCTTAAATTTTAAAATGTCATTATTACTAGTTTTGCCAACTCAAAACTATCAGCAGCTAAAAAGACTTATAGGCATAGATCATCTCTAATTTGTTAAAAGACTTGGGAAAAATATCATTTCCCCTCTCCCCCTTCATACTCTCGTTTCCTTCATGGTAAAAACAGGTAGGCATAGGCCGGGCATGGTAGTTCACGCCTGTAATCCCAGCACTTTGGGAGGTCGAGGCAGGTGGATCACGAGGGCAGGAGGTGGAGACCATCCTGGCTAACACAGTGAAATCCTGTCTCTACTAAAAATACAAAAACTTAGCCGGGCGTGGTGGTGGGCGCCTGTAGTCCCAGCTACTCGGGAGGCTGAGGCAGGAGAATGACATGAACCTGGGAGGCAGAGCTTGCAGTGAGCCGAGATGGCGCCACTGCATTCCAGCCTGGGCGACAGTCTCAAAAAAACAAACAAAAAAAAAAAAACAAAAAAAAAAACAAACCATGTAGGCATAGACCAAACACAAAAATCACAGTGAGACCAGCATTCAAATTCAAACATAACCAGAATCTTGTTAACACACCAGTTAATGATTCTTAATTTTCATTCTCAGTTCCTCCCACATAAAAACACTGTAAACATGAATGATTTTCCAAATACTTGAACTTCAGCAAAACATTTTTTAAAAACTCACATAAATATTGAGTACAAAAAGCTGTAACATAGAAACATTTTCTGAAAGTCTTTCTAAAAGTCTCATCAATAGAACTTTACTATGTAGACTTTCAAATGGCTCATGAAAATAATTTCAGATTATGCTAGCAGTCAGTGTGCTTAATAAATAATAGGCACCAAATAATATCTGATTTTTTTTTTAAGACACAAAGTCTACTCTGTCCCTAAGCTGGAGTGCAGTGGTGCAATCATAGCTCACTGCTGTCTCTTACTCCTGGGCTCAAGCAATCCTCTCACCTCAGCCTCCAAAATAGCTGGAACTACAGGCGTGAGTCACTGCGCCTGACTCCTTATTACTATTATCCAGTCCAGTACCCTCATGATAAACCTGGGGCCCGGACAGGTGCTCCTGCCACCATAGGCTACTCACTGCCAACAGAATCAAGTTCAACCTCTGTGCTTGGCATTTAAGGCTCTATTGACTCTGGACCCAGGCTTGTTCTCCAGTACCTTCCCCAGAAAGACCCTACTACCCCATGTTTTCCCAACAGATTACCATTCGAGTACAAAGAACCAGCTAGTTCTTTGCTCCCGTTCTCCTCTCTAAAATCTCCCACCCTAGGCAGAGGTTGCAGTGAGTTCAGATCGCGCCATTGCACTCCAGCCTGGGCAACAAGAGCGAAACTCTAGCTCAAAAAAAAAAAAAAAAAAAAATCTCCCAACGTATGAATCTGCCCAGTGATTTTCTATCCATCTATCAATCTTAAATGCCACCTCCTCTATGAAGCCCTTCCTGATTCCCTTAGGTAATCCCATTCCCTCTAGACTTAGTCTATACTTAATCCTTTTACAGCACTTACCAGAGACTGCCTCATATCATAGTGAAGTATGCACACGTCTAACTCTTCCACTAGATTATCAGCTCCTTGATGATATGGGTTGATTCACAGTCATTTCTGTATCCTTCACATCCCCGGGAAAAGCAACCTACACACAGTAGGTGGTCAATAAATGTTTACTCTCTCACCAATAGTATGTTTCCATGTTGCTACTGTACATTTCCCTTCCATGTACCTCCGCAACAGAAAGCAGGCCTTTTCACTGAGTCATGCAATATTTAATGAGCCCATAAATGGGAAGCACTGTCCCAGGCCCTGTAGACTCAGAGATAATAAGACACACAGCCTGTAGGATTCAAGGAACTCAGAACCCACGTACAAGTAAGTGTTTTAAAAATACAAAATAATGCAATAAACACACAAAAAAGAGGTATGTGCAGGGCTTAGGGGAACACAAAGGTGTGTGCCGCACCTAGAGGTGGGCAAAAGTCAGGGTCACGAACACTCTTGTACAGTGTGTAACAAGAGCTGAACATTCACTGCCAGATCCTCATGGATGTTTCAGTAGTTAGAAAATCTAAAAATACTAATCATGAAATTGACCTATTGAAGGCATAGTCCGGCTGTGTTGTGGATGCAGACTTTAATTCAAAAGTCAAGGAATTCACTGCACCTGGAAAAGTAACTCTCTTTTCTCCGTCTGTCTCTTCTCGGTTGCGGTTTGGAAACAGAGACACTGAAGGAGCTGTCTTGAATAGTTAACACGGCCAGAACGTCAGTGCATGTAAAAAGAATTTTAAAGTGTGACTACATTTTTATTGAGAACTCCCTCTTTCCCCAGGTGGATCTGCAGGGCAGTCACCTTCATCCTGATCCATAACTGCACATTTACTGTTTGCATCTCCCGCCAGACGGTACGCCCCACGAGGCAGGCGCTGAGCTCAGGATCTCACTCCCCTCCGAGAGCCGGGCGGCCCCAGGCCTGGACCATAGTGTGTGCTCCACAAATGAATGAAAGGTCTCCTTTTTCACTTCCACTTATTTGCGGGATCCAGGCCTAGCGTCGCTCTTTTGCCCTTAGCTGCAGATCTGAAGTGGGGCTGCCCGACCCCAATTCCCGGACGCTTTTCACCCCAGCCCCGGAGACTCCAGCCCCGTTTAAATCCTGACACTCGGAAACTCTCTTCTAACACTTGCAAGGTACCCCTTTTACCTATAAAAGGCTCTCGGGCCGCGAGATCGCCGTCAGAGCAAAGCCAGGCTACTACCGCAGGTACCAAGACAGTGGCACCGCCCGCGCCTCCGGAACAGGAAACCGAGGGAATTAAAAAGCAAACCTGAGAAAGCTGGGCCAAGGGAGGGAAAACTCTTCAGCCCACCGCAGGGCCTTGTGCGCGGTGATTGGCGCGTCAACGAAAGCGATGGACGTCTAGACCAATCGTCAGCAAAAGACCCTTTGGAGCCCGCGCCCCCTCCCCCTACGTCCTCCAATCCGAAAACGCAACCGGGTGAGGGAGCGCTTCCGCCCGGAGAGAGCTGGCCGGGATGAGGCGCCGGCTTTCCCGGGTCTTCTCCAGCTGCCACCGCTTTACTGCAAAACTGACGGGCGCAAAAACATGAGTGACTCCGCGGGAGGGCGCGCTGGTCTCCGGCGTTACCCCAAGCTCCCAGTGTGGGTGGTGGAGGATCATCAGGAGGTGAGCGGACGGCAACAGGGCTCTGGGGCAGAATCAGCGGAAGCCCTGACGCTCAGAGGGCCAAGCAGAGGGCGCAACCTTAGCATCGGAGGCCAGAGAGTTAACCAGAGTTAAACTGCCCTATTCCGTTGCTGTGGAGAGGACCCCAAAACAGCTAACTAGGAAGAATGAGAACTGACATTTATGGGCGCTTCCTACGAGTCGGGGCAACTTATTTACCTCGGTTTGCCCCCAAATCCCAGAACCAAACAAAAGGTGGCATCGGGATTCGAAACCGGACAGTCTGGCTGCAGAGCCCTGTGTTCTTAACCTGCAGTTAACTCTGGCTTCCAAGTATCTCCTGGAATCGCCACCACAGCCCTGCTGTTTAGATGGGAGGCTTTATGCTTGGAACGTGGGCTCTGATCTGAAATGGGGACAGTAATCGTAGGACTCACAGGGCTCTTAGGAGTATTATTGTGTGCATACTGTGTTTAAAAATCTTTTTTTTTTCTTTTTTGAGACGGAGTCTCTCTCTGTTACCCAGACTGGAGTGCAGTGGCGCGATCTCGGCTCACTGCAACCTCCGCCTCCTGGGTTCGAGCGATTCTTCTGTCTCAGCCTCCTGAGTAGCTGGGATCACAGGCACGCATCACCGTACCCAGCTAATTTTTGTATTTTTAGTAGAGACGGGGCTTCGCCACGTTAGCCAGGATGGTCTGAAAGTCTGACCTCACGTGATCGGCCCCCGCCGGCCTCCCAAAGTGCTGGGATTGCAGGCGTGAGCTACTGCGCACGGCCCATATTGCGTAAAAAAAAAAAAAAATTTAACACGGTGCCCTGCATAGATAAACACTAAAAGGGGTTTCCATGTTTATGGCCGTGCTGATTTACAGTAGCCAAATTGGTGTCTTAATCTAGACTTTTCCAAGTCAACAAAGGAGGCCCATGGATCTAATAAATATGTTTTAAAGTAGCATCAGTAGGCTTGGGATGGGAGGCAGTTCTCTGGACGTTAAAAAAGAAGAGGGATTTACTGTTGGTGACAGCTAATAGGAGAGGAAGATAGGTTTCTCAGGACCTGGATATAGTGTCTATGACCTTGAGAGAATGAGAAAGCCTAGGTTAGACGGTGCTTTCAAATTAGGTATTAAACCTAGAATTAGAGAAGATGTAAGAGGAGAAATGGCCTTTATAGACCACCTAGCCCAACCCCACCATTCTAAGTGTACCAAAAAGACCCTAACCAGCCTGGACAGCAGAGCGAAATCCCATCTCTACAAAAATAGAAGTGAAAAAATTAGCTGGGCGTAGTGGTGCGTGCCTGTAATCCCAGCTACTCAGGAGACTGAGGTGGGAGGATCGTGTGAACCCAGGAGTCCAAGGCTGCAGTGAGCCATGATCACACCACTGCTTTCCAGGCTGGGCAACTGACAAGCCCCTATCCCTTTTTAAAGGAAAAAAAAGAATACTTTGAGACCTAGGGTACCTTGAACACCTAGTTAATGTTAGAACAGGCATTAAGCGGTAGTTTGTTCCTGAGCCCCAGTCCTGGTCTGTTTCCCCACATGACCTGTTGAGTTCAAGGGGGCAGCAGGAAGGCCGCTGGAGATGCAGGTTGGAAGTTCTGAGGACAAAGTAATGCTTGAGATTATCATCTGCACCATCTACAGTAAACAAATTTTATGTTTTTCCACTTTACAGCAACATAGTATGCTTTCAATTATGTGCATTATTTAGCATTGTTTTTCAGTCTGCAGTTGAGTGTGTGCTCATGGTTTCAGTGTTAATTCTTATTGTGTGCCTGTGTCTTTTACAGGTTCTACCCTTTATATACCGGGCCATAGGCTCAAAGCATCTTCCTGCCAGTAATGTAAGTTTTTTACATTTCGACTCACATCCAGACCTCCTTATTCCTGTGAATATGCCAGCAGACACCGTGTTTGATAAGGAAACACTCTTTGGGTAATATGTGATTTTATTTATGGTCTTTTGTGTTTGAAGTACAATTTGCAGTAGATAATAAGCAATTATAGGAAATAGACTTTGCTAAACTCATGGGTTTGGGGGTTTTTTGTTTGTCTTTTTGTCTTTTTCATTTTATTTAGAACAAGTGTTGACAACTTTCTTAAAGAGCCAGATTAGCAAATATTTTAGGTTTGCTGGCTATATGGTCTCTGTTGCAACTATTAATCTTTGCCTTTGTAGTGTGAAAGCAATCACAAGCACTGTGTAAACAAATGACAGTAGCTGTGTTCCAATAAAGCTTTATTTACAAGCTGGGCATGGTGGATGAGCCTGTAGTCCCAGCTACTCAGGAAGCTAAGGTGGGAAGATCACTTGAGGCCAGCAGTTCCAGGCTGTGATCAAAGCCTGTGGATAGCTGCTGCACTCCAGACTGGGCAACATAACCAGACCCCATCTCTTAAAAGAAACAAACCAAAAAAACTTTGTTTACAAAAACAGCCTAGCCAATGTTTAATCCTTTTAATATTTGCCTTTATAGAGACCATTGGATTCTCACGTCTATTTCTGCATTTAGTCCATTGCCATATGCTGTTTTGGTTGAAATATATGATGAAGATTCAGGCTTTCACAGGCATGTAATTGGAAAAGGAAAGAATATTTTGATAGCCTTTTTAGATAATTGTGAATATTCTTTGATAGTGCGCCAAAACTTGAAAAGTAGTAGTTTATTAAAGCTTATTTGAAATGTAGAATTCAGCAATTCAGTATCAAGTGTGAATAACCATAGTTTCTTGACCACTCCTTTCAAGATAAATGGTGTTCACCTCAAAGTTCAATCACAAGTGCTTTTCCTTGAGACAACTGTTATGCTTCAAACTATGTAGCAGGAGAGCTTTCTGTGCATTTCTCATTTTGCCACACATAATATTTAAAAATGTATACTCAGGATGGAAATTTAATAAAATCAAGATGTTCTCGAATGACACTTTTATATTTATTTATTTATTTATTTTGGCAGTGGTTGGTAATGAAGAATATAGTAACTACTAACAGTTTGGTGCTGCTGCCTTAATTAATGTTGGAACATCAACCCACCAGTGCCTTTGCACCATCTTTGCAAATGTCAGTAAATGAAAACAGGAAATAATGCCTTAGTATTTTCATGAAAATAGTTTTGTAATAGTGATGTCCCTGAAAAAGTCTCAGGAACCACTCTAGGGACCACACTTTGAGACCTGTGGTCTTAAAATGTTGTGGATAAAATTACACTTGGGAAAAAATAAAAATAAAAGTTTTAATGTTGTCTCTATGTTTCTTTTCCAGAGAATTAAGTATTGAAAATTGGATTATGCCTGCAGTTTATGCTGGCCATTTTTCACATGTAATATGGTTTCATCCCACATGGGCTCAGCAGATCAGAGAGGGCAGACACCACTTTTTAGTAGGCAAAGACACTTCTACCACAACAATCAGGTAATTTCCTCATATTTGTGAATATGGAAGTGATTGAATGTTTCTATCTTATTTTGGATTCCTATAATAACTTCATAAGTCTCTGCACACAAATAGGGTCAGATTAAGCCTCGACTTCTCCAAAGAGTTCTCAAAACACGAAGAACAAACTTTTAAGTCTCTTGATATTCTTCATGTACCATTTATATTTAGTTGCTGGTCAAATTAGATTTTGAATGTGATCATTATCCTCCGGAATTTGGGCTTCATTGGTGATTAACTCCTTAAGCCATTGAAGTATCTTATAGATTTATACATTCAGTAGTACATTTTACTGTTTCCTGTCAGTATAACTGTTGTCTGCTGAATTTGCCGCAGTGGCTCACGCCTGTAATCCCAGCACTTTGGGAGGCCGAGGTGGGCAGAAGACGAGGTCAAGAGATCGAGATCATCCTGGCTAACATGGTGAAACACCGTCTCTACTAAAAATACAAAAACAAATTAGCCGGGCGTGGTGGCAGGCGCCTGTAGTCCCAGCTACTCAGGAGGCTGAGGCAGGAGAATGGCGTGAACCCAGGAGACAGAGCTTGCAGTGAGCTGAGATCGTGCCACTGTACTCCAGCCTGGGCAACAGAGTGAGACTCTGTCTCAAAAACAAAACAAAAAACAAACAAACAAAAAAACAGTAATTAGCAGTGAAAGGGCAAAATTATCTCACTTTGATTTTTTTATAAATCCAACTGCTGAATAAGTAGATTTGGGGCTTTAATTTTCTTTATAATATAATTAGTTTCAGATAAGTACTTAATCTAAAGTAAATTACAGTATCCTCTGACTTGAGATAAATATGCAACTGTTTTTATTGTATAAGCTATTTAACAATGTTTTGTGTATCTTGTGATACTATAATACTTTCAGAAATATCAATATGTTCTTGACTTTAAAATTCTCTTGTGATGGGATAAATATTTTAAACAGTATAGCCATAACTTTCTAGAACCTTAAGGATAATGGAGTGAAATGGTAATACGTTGAAAATCAGATAGTCTTCCTCATTGAAAATGATACTTTATTTCTAATTTATTCTTAATGATACAATTAACTTTTGTAGTATATAATCTTGTCGTTTGCACAAATAGCTTTGTTGTGATATATGAAAATTGTATTTATTTCAGATATAATTCAAAAGAAATAATTAAGACTCAGCATATAAATATTGTACATACTACTGGTATATGTGAAATAGTAGTAGGGTTTTTATTGAGTACTTCAGTGAGTAGGCCTGATTTAACCTACAAAATCAAATAATTTTCAGCAATCTGACACAGACATTTGAAACTCCACGTGTGATTAACAATTTTGGAAGATTTTGATTCATGACTTTGGTTAATCCTGCAAGTAAAAATGTATGGAAGAGACACATATACATGTTGGTGTGCAGTTTGACAAATACTTGCATGTTTGTATGATAGGAACATGGGAGAACTGCTGTTATTAAAAAGAATATTAATTTAGGTTGGGGGATACAGCTTCATCTTAGGGTTGTACAGTTTTAATAAGCTTGGACATTAGTTTTACTATGTCATTAATCTATTTTTGGAAAATAGCTTTTACAGTTTATAGCTGTGTATGCTGGGAGAGGTCAAGTGGGAAATAAATATTAACCATGATTTTAGGTGGGTAAGGCATGCCTCTAGAAGAAGTATTTGGCTTCACTGTTTGAAGTATTTACCAAGTCACCTTTCATACTGAGAATATTATGGTTATATAGAAATTAACAAAGCTCTAAAATATGTCAGGGGGAGTTTCTATTAAGAGAAATTATTTCCAGATGAAATTTTTCTCTTCAATGATTTTTTGGATAAAGATTCAGCTGGTATGAGAGAGAACAAAGGAACACTGGCTTAAACAAGAGAGTTTATTCTTATATTAGAATTCACTGTACACAGTCCAGGCCTATGTGGCAGCTCTAGAGTTTGGGGAACCCTAGTTCCTTCTACCTTTTTGCACCACCGTCTCTAGAATATTGCCCCTGTCCTTATAGTCCAGGGTGGCTTGCCACCTCTGTGTTCATATGCCAGTCAGCAGGGAACAGGAGAACAAAGCTCTGCATGCTTTTCTTCCATTCACAACCACCGGCCTTAATTTAATCACATGGCCACACCAGGCTGCAAGGCAGACTGAAATGTAGTCTTTATATGGGGCAGCTGTGTGTCCAGCTAAGAATTTGAGGAATGCTATTTCTACAGAAGAACAGGAAGTATAAATACTAGAGACTGCTCTCAGTTTTTGTCAAATAGGTCCGTTCTTATATTTCTGCCATACCATAGTGAAATGTCAACTGATTTGCCCATTCTTCTTAAAAATCGTTTTTTCCTCTGATTCAGGGTTACAAGTACAGATCATTATTTCCTAAGTGATGGTCTGTATGTACCTGAAGACCAGCTAGAGAACCAAAAACCTTTACAATTGGATGTAATTATGGTAAAACCTTATAAACTCTGTAACAATCAAGAAGAAAACGATGCAGTGTCTTCTGCTAAGAAACCAAAGCTAGCCCTGGAAGATTCGGAAAACACTGCCTCTACTAACTGTGACTCTTCTTCAGAAGGACTGGAAAAGGACACAGCAACACAGAGAAGTGACCAGACTTGCCTAGAACCATCATGTTCATGTTCTTCTGAAAATCAGGAATGCCAGACTGCTGCCAGCACTGGGGAAATTCTGGAAATTTTGAAGAAAGGGAAGGCATTTGTTTTAGATATTGACTTGGATTTTTTTTCAGTCAAGAATCCCTTCAAAGAAATGTTCACTCAGGTAAATAATTGTGTTTTTAACACATAGATCTTGAGAATTGTATGGCTTTTCTCTAGATGAGGAACCAGCAAACTCTTTAAACAGCCAGCTAGCAATTATTTTAGGCTTTGGGGTTCACATTCTCTACTAATACCCTTTTCTGTTGTTTTCTAAACCTTTTAAAGTTGTATATACCATTCTTAACTTGAGGGCCATACACAAACAGGCTATAGGCTGTGGATTGCCAACTCCTGCTCTAGATAGTATTCATTATTTTGCATTTATTAATTGGGGTAATGTATACATGGGTGATGGATAAAAATTAAGTCATACAGTACAGGTATATACAGTCAGCCCTCTGTATCCGTGGGTTCTGTATTCCTGGATTTAACCAGCCACAGATAGGAAATATTCAGAAAAAATAAAAAACAACTAGAAATAACAATACAAGAGTAAAAAATAATACAAATAAAAAACAATACAGTATAACAACTATTTACATAGGATTTACACTGTATTAGATACCACAAGTAATTTAGAGATGACTTAAAGTATATGAGAGGGTATGCATATGTTATATGCAAATACTACACTATTTTATGTCAGGGACTTGAGCATCCACAGATTTTGGTATCCACAGGAGGTCCCAGAACCAATCCCCCACGGATACCAAGGGACAAGTGTACATTGAAAAACAGCACTCTCTTATCCCCATTCCCTCAGTTCTTTGCTTCAGAAACAAATACTGTGATCAGTTTCTTGTGTATCTTTCCAGCGATATTCTATATATAAATCCTGTGTAACAGATTATTCCTTAAACAGTGATGTGCCTGATTACTCACCTAAATATTTGTAATAAATATTTGTAATGAAAGTTTCTAGAAGGTTACATAAGGAATTCAGTGGCAGTTATTCCTTTTAGAGTGCTATTAGGAAACCTGGGAACACAAGGATTTGTATAGCCTAAATACCCTTTGGTACAATGGACTTTTTAAAAAGCATATATTAAACTTTATTATTTAGTAGCAATTTTTTAAATATCATTAGGAAAGACAGATGTTCATCTTTTTTTTTTTCTTAAGAGCATGTTCAGGCTGGGCATGGTGGCTCATGCGTATAATCCCAGCACTTTGGGAGGCCAAAGCAGGAGGACCACTTGAGCCAAGGAGTTTGAGAACAGCGTAGGCAACGTAGCAAGACCCCATCTCTATTAAAAAAAAATTTTTTTTTTAATTTAGCCAGGCATAGTGGCACGTGCCTGTGGTCCAGCTACTCAGGAGGCTGAGATGGGAGGATCACTTGAGCCTGGGAGGTCAAGGCTGCAGTGAGTCGTGATCGCACCCCTGCACTCCAGCCTGGGTGACAGCGAGACCCCATCTCATAAAAAAGAAGCATGTTCAAAAGTTAGGGGAGTTAAGTTCTGTTGTTAACTCTACTGCTTATTAGCTATATGATCTTAGGAAAATTACTTAACCTTTCCGACCCATAGTTTCTTCAAGTATCAAATCAGAATAATAATCATACCCAACTCAGGATTGTTATAATGAATAAAGCACTGAAGATATGCCACAACATTGTGCTTAATGAATTTTAGCCCTTGGGTATAACCTTTTCCTGAGAATACTCCTAAATAGGATTACTGGGGCCAGGTGTACCCACCTATATAATGGATCCATGTAGCTGTGCTAAACAAGGGGAAACATTATCCTACAAAGTTTGTATAGCAAGCCTCTTTCTCCCCTTGTGTGGTGCCTCCTGACCGAGGTTCTATGTCTTTGACATTCTACCTCCAGTATTGCCTTTGTACTTCAGAGATCTCTTCTGTTGTTAGAGAAATGGCTGCAAAGTGAACATAGGGAGTTCTTTGTTGTTGTTATTAAAGATATGTATATTTCCTGTAAACAGCTAAGTCTGTTTAGATCCTAGGACATGGCATTTATATAGCAGAATATTATTTAAAATATTTTCATCTCGTGACCCATTAGCCACCAAGTATGCTTCCTTAGGTAATTTTTACATAGTAGTACCATGCCCAGCTGGATAGAGTTGCCTTGAAGAAGTGATATTTACAATAAAACAAAATTTTACAATATTTACAATAAAATTATTACAATAAAAATCTAAAGTATACATTTTGCCTGATTCTCCCATACATACCTTTAAATAATTATCTAAGATGTTCTTGTATCACAAGGAAGGTTGTCTCTTCCTTAAAGCATATCATTAAAAAATTTTAACTTTTTTTTTTCTGGTATGTGGATTTTTTGTTTTGTTTTCCAGGAAGAGTACAAAATCTTACAAGAGCTGTACCAATTTAAGAAACCTGGCACCAACCTAACAGAGGTATCCTCCATTTGTTTCTTTGGGGTTTTATTCATTTATCATATAACTAATAATATCTTGCAAATTACCACAGTGATCTCAAAGACTGCTCAAAGTGTGTGTGTGTGTGTGTGTGTGTGTGTGTGTGTGTGTGTGTGTATTGGCGAAGCCCATGGTTAGTACTTGAAAATTATGTTTTAACTAATAGAGCCAAGTTTTTTTTGTAATGGGATGTTGCTTGTTTTTTGAAAGAATAACTATATAATCTCAGCTTTTCAATGTATTTAAAGGAAGATTTGGTAGATATTGTTGATACTCGAATTCATCAATTAGAGGATTTAGAAGCCACTTTCGCTGATTTGTGTGATGGTGATGATGAAGAAACGGTACAGAGATGGGCTTCAAACCCTGGGTAAGACTCTCAAACATTTTTTTCCCCCAACTCTACTAACTTTCAGTCCTAGATATGTTCCTAAATTTGCAAGATACATTGCTTTTAAAAAAGTAGTATTCAGCTACTTGGGACACTGAGGCAGGAGAGGACCACTTGAGGCCAGGAGTTCCAGACCAGCCTGGGTAATGTAACAAGACCCTGTCTCTAAAAAAAGGTTTTTTAATTAGCCAGATATGGTGGCACCTACCTGTAGCCACTACAGCCACTGCTCCCAGCTACTTGGGAGGCTGAAGTGGGAGGATTGCTTGGGCCAAGGAGTTTGAGGCTGTAGTGGGCTGTGATCATGCCACTGCACTCTACCCTGGGTGACAGAGACTTGTCTCAAAAAAGAGAGAAAAAAAAGAATTAGTATTAAATTTCAACACATTTACTAACAATAGTAGACATTATTGAGTGTTTTCTGTGTACCCTTTATCTAAGATTTTTCCTTGCCTTATCTCATGTACTCCTTACAACAGTCTTATGGTTTTATTATTATTATGTCAATTTTATAGATGAGGAAACCAAGGTTAAGTAAATTGCCCCAAGTCACATAGTAAGTGGGCATGTTTTTAGTCTTTGTATGGTAGCTGCCCCTAAATATGAGATACTATACAAGGTCTTAAAGAGAATTAAAGATGAGTAGTACATAGGCATTCCCTGTTCTAAGTAGAGTAAGAAAGAAATACTAACCTAACAACAGAAAAGTAAATTACTTGACAAGTAAATTACAATGCAAAAATTTGGCTGGGCGTGGTGGCTCACGCCTGTAATCCCAGCACTTTGGGAGGCTGAGGCGGGCGGATCATGAGGTTAGGAGATCGAGACCATCCTGGCCAACACGGAGAAACCCAGTCTCTACTAAAAATACCAAAAAAAAAAAAAAATTAGCCGGGCATAGTGGTGGGCGCCTGTAGTCCCAGCTACTCGGGAGACTGAGGCAGGAAAATGGCGTGAATCCGGGAGGCGGAGCTTGCAGTGAGCCGAGATTGCATCACTGCACTCCAGCCTGTGGAGACTGGACTTTTTCTGAGACTCCGTCTCAAAAAAAAAAAGCGAAAACTTAGCTTCTTTTAAGGAAAACCCAAACACAAGTGGAAGGGTATTTTCAATCTCTTGACGTGAAGGAGCAGTATTTGAAGGCTAGATTCTCCATCAGGTAATTTATTTGACTGGCTGTTCATATCACCTTGAAAGAATGGAGAGAGAAGTTCTTTTTGAGTGAAAGCCTTTGGTATTGAAGCTGGAGTGAAAGAATATTGACATAAATATTACAGTGATTTTTCTCTAAAATAATTCTTAAATCATGTAATCTCAAACAGCCAGAAAACTAAAATAAAACCATCAGACAAACTTTTTGTCCCCATGAGCATAGGAAAACCAGAACTAGCTTATTTTAAAACTAATCTCCCACGAACTGTCATATTATTCTCTCTGGTGTAAACAAAAGAAAATCAGTTGTAAGGTAGCAAGATAAAACGGGAAATTAGAATCAATAGTACTTTAGGCCAGAACATGAACAGCCACTAAGATTTGTCATGTTTTGGTTATTAAAAATAATTCAGCAGATCTCTAGAAGAATATGGAAAAAGCTGAAACAGTGGTTGCCTCTGGGGAGAGGAATTCTATGGCTAAATGATGAAGTATATGAGTGAGAAATTACTTCTTTTGCTATGTGCACGTATTATCTATTCAAAATACTCATTGTAATTTTTACTTAAAATATTCAGAAACATCCCTAAAATGTAAACATCATAAAGCTTTAATTATTGACACTAACAAAGCAGTGATGTGGAAGAATAATTCACAGTAATATTAATCACATCAGTAAGTATTGATTAGGCACTTTAACATCAGTTAATGGCCGGGCGTGGTGGCTCACCTCTGTAATCTGAGCACTTTGGGAGGCCAAGGTGGGCAGATCGCCTGAGCTCAGGAGTTCGAGACCAGCCTGGGTGACATGGTGAAATCCTGTCTCTACAAAAAAATACAAAAAATTAGCCAGGCATGGTGGCATGCACCTGCGGCCCCAGCTACTTGGGAGGCTGAGGTGGGAGGATCACTTGAGCCTGGGAGGTCAAGGCTGCAGTGAGCTGAGATCGCACCACTGCTCTCCAGCCTGGGTGACAGAGGGAGACCCTGTCTCAAAAAAAGAAAGAAAAAAAAATCAGTTAATGCTTTTTCCTCTTCAGTATAGGGTTCTAAAATGATTCCCTGTTTTTTGAAATGATAGAAGAGGGAGATAGAAAAATAAGTCACAGGACAGGAGTCTTCCTAGAAATACTGAAAAATACCTATTATTTTGTTATTTCATGAAGTCTCAAGCTAAGTTTAAAACTTCAACAACAACAAAATAGGCCTGGAAACCTTGGAATCCTAAGTCCAGCCCACAGACTTCCACTGAAACCCACTCTGCCTACTGAGCATGCCCAGTTAGCTCCTCATCACCAGCAGAGAGTTCTATCACAGACTTGAAAATATGATGAGACTGCAACAGTAGTGAGTTTAGACTGTGCTTGGTATTGAAGGGAGAAAAAAAATAGCATAAAGGAAAAGTAGATGACACTGAAAGAAAAGTCTCCCCAAACCAACCATGACCCTAAAGAGCCAGACCCTCGGCATGGAGGCTTCGCTATGTCTAGGGAAGTGAGGTGGGTGTTTAGGGTCCAGAAGCCTAGAAAATGTCATTAATTAAAAGGAAAAAGTAACAGGACAAGTGGGCAAGCAGGCAGGCCTCCATGCCTCCTTTTTTCTTTCTTTTTTTACTCCCAGCAAATTCGTGAATATTTGTGGAGGAGGAATTAAAACACTAGAAGCATTAGCCAATCAGAGCTTCCAAAAGGTCCACCTAAACTTAATACCTTAAAAGCATCAATGTGGCCGGGCGCGATGGCTCACGCCTGTAATCCCAGCACTTTGGGAGGCCAAGGCGGGCGGATCATGAGGTCAGGAGATCGAAACCATCCTGGCTAACACGGTGAAACCCCGTCTCTACTAAAAAATAAAAAAAATTAGCCGGGCGTGGTGGCGGGCACCTGTAGTCCCAGCTACTTGGGAGGCTGAGGCAGGAGAATGGCGTGAACCTGGAAGGCGGAGCTTGCAGTGAGCCGAGATCGTGCCACTGCACTCCAGCCTGGGCAACAGAGTGAGACTCTTGTCTCAAAAAAAAAAAAAATGCATCAATGTTATATCAGATGATGTAGGATTTTTCCGATTATAATTGTATTTACTGGCTAGGCCTGGGTTCACACCTGTAAAATCCCAACACTTGGGAGGCTAAGGTGGAAGGCTTACTTGAGGCCAAGAGTTAAGACCAGTCTGGGCAACATAGCAAGACCCTATCTCTACAAAAAGATTTTAAAATTAGTTGGGTGTGGTGGTGTTCACTTATAGTCCCAGCTACTCGGGAGGCTGAAGTGGGAGATTCCTTAAGCCCAGGAGTTCGAGGCTGCAGTGAGCCATGATCACACCACTGCCCTGTAGCCTGGGTGGTAGTGAGATCCTGTCTCAATAGTAATAATAATTGTATATACAAATAAACGTGTCCTTAATTTTTTTTTTTTTTTTTTAGCTTTCAGGAAACAGCCTTTTTTCATCACAGTGTGCTAAAAACACTTAGTTTTCTTGCTAATCAAAATAATTTTTTTTTTTTTTGAGACAGTTTCACTCTTGTCACCCTGGCTGGAGTGCAATGGTGCGGCCTCAGCTCACTGCAAACTCCGCCTCCTGGGTTCAAGCAATTCTCCTGCCTCAGCCTCCCGAATAGCTGGGATTACAGGCATGCACCACCACACCTGGCTAATTTTGTATTTTTAGTCGAGACAGGGTTTCACCACATTGGCCAGGCTGGTCTCGAACTCCTGACTTCAAGTGATCCGCCCGCCTCGGCCTCCCAAAGTGCTGGGATTATAGGCATGAGCCACCGCACCTGGCCTCAAAATAATTTTTAAAGTCAGTAGAACTTCCCATTTTTGAAGAAGAAATCTCATTTTCTTGAATGCTCACTTTTAGTCTTTAACACAATGTGTAATCTTTTGGGTAAGAAAACAGGAAACATTTATTTCTTAATATTTTAAGATATTTGAACAGCTTTATCTTTTATTTCCCAAGTGCCATATGAAGCATGTTATTATGGTAAATGTTAGTATAATGTATAATTTGCTATTATCATTTTAGTTGTGGTGGTTGTGATGTTTAATTGAGTGGGATGGCTTTTTTCCAGAATGGAATCACTAGTTCCCCTTGTACAGAGTTTGAAAAAACGGATGGAAGTACCAGACTATGAAATGGTAAATATTTTATATTAATGTGTAAAATTGACCCTTTGTAAAGACAATTTTCTGGGTAGAAGAATTTCCTTTTTGTTAAAGTGGTTCGTTTTTGTTTGTGTTCCTGTGAAGTCTGAAACAATTATTAAGAAAAGAAATGAGTGAAAAAAATACATACGTTGAAACAGAATACTGTTTTCCTGGAAAAGTCTTCCAGGAAAAACTTTTTTTTCTCAATTTTATGTATGAAGCAAAAGTCCTGTGTGTTTTTTGTAATTTTGTCTGTGGTCGGATCTCTCTTCACCAGACAAAAGAAAAGTACACAATTTCTAAAATGGTCCATTTTTTATTGATGAGTATTTATACTGCCTTCTGCCTTCCTTCTTTTCCTCCCTATTTAAAAACTTTTCCGTTTGTAAAAACCACAAGACAAAGAAAAAAGAGAGAGCTGTGACTAGCACATTTTAAATGTGTTAGCTGTTTGTCAACAGGTATCTGAATGCTATGGCCAAAGATACTTTTAGTCATAATTTATTTGTATATCATTTTGCAGTCTTTGAAGCATATATTTTCCCATTTGACCTGGTACTTGAGATGAGAAAGCTATAGCTTAAAATGTTCAAGTGACTTTTCTCAGATTTGATGCCAGGGCTAAGACTTCCAAGTCTCCTTCCTCTTAGTGTGGTCTTTCTCTTACTTCAGTAAGCTGGGTTTGCATATTTTATTTACTTATGGAATACAGTCAGACCACTGTGTTTGACTAAAGTTGAAGTATTGATTTAAGTATTGATTGAATTTATAAGAATTTGCTGGTACTCTTTAAAATAAGAGATGTCTATTTTCACACTGCTGATAAAGACATACCTGAGACTGGGCAATTTACAAAAGAGATTTAATGGACTTACAGTTCCATATGATTGGGGAGACCTCATAGTCATGGCGGAAGGTGAAAGGCAGGTCTCACATGGTGGCAGACAAGAGAGAGAGCTTGTGCAGGGAGACTTTTGTTTTTAAAACTGTGAGATCTCGTGAGACTCATTCACTATCATGAGAACAGCACAGGAAAGACCCACCCCTACAATTCAATCACCTCCCATCGGCTTCCTCCCACTACATGTGGGAATTGTGGGGGTTACAATTCAAGATGAGATTTGGATGGGGACACAGCCACACCATATCATTCCATCCTTAGCCCCTCCCAAATCTCCTGTTCTCGAATTTCAAAACCAATCCTGCCTTCCCAACAGTCCCTCAAAGTCTTAACTTATTTCAGCATTAACTCAAAAGTCCACAGTCCAACATCTCATCTGAGACAAGGCAAGTCCCTTCCACCTATGAGCCTGTAAAATCAAAAGCAAGTTAGTTACTTCCTAGATACAATGGATGTACAAGAATTGGGTAAATACAACCGTTCTAAATGGGAGGAATTGGCCCAAAGGGGCAGTGCAAGTCTGAAGTCCATCAGGGCAGTCAAATCTTAAAGCTCCAAAACGATCGTCTTTGACTCCATGTCTCACATCCAGGTCACGCTGATGCAAGAGGTGGGTTCGCATTGTCTTGGGCAGTTCTGCCCCTGTGGCTTTGCGGGATACAACCTCCCTCCTGGCTGTTTTCATGAGCTGGTGTTGAGTGTCTGCAGCTTTTCCAGGCACACAGTACAAGCTGTCAGTGGATCTACCATTCTGGGATCTGGAGGACGGACAGTGGCCCTCTTCTCACAGCTCCACTAGGCAGTGCCCCTAGGGACTCTCAGTGGGGATCCGACCCCACATTTCCCTTCCACACTGCCCTAGCAGGGGTTCTCCATGAGGGGCCTGCCCCTGCAGCAAACTTCTGCCTGGGCATCCAGGTGTTTCCATACATCTTCTGAAATCTGGGCAGAGGTTCCCAAACCTCAATTCTTGACTTCTGTGCACTCACAGGCTTGATCAACACCACAAGGAAGCTGCCAAGGCCATCCTCTGAAACCACAGCCCGAGCTCTATGTTGGCCCCTTTTAGCCATGGCTGGAATGGCTGAGACACAGGACACCAAGTCCCTAGGCTGTACACAGCACTGGGACCCTGGGCCCTGCCCATGGAACAATTTTTTCCTCCTAAATCTTCAGGCCTGTGATGGGAGGGGCTACCGCAAAGGTCTCTGACATGCCCCAGATACATTTTCCCTATTGTCTTGGGGATTAACATTTGGCTCCTCGTTACTTATGCAAATTTCTGCAGCCAGCTTGAATTTCTCCTCAAAAAATGGAATTTTCTTTTCTTTAACATTGTCAGGCTGCAAATTTTCCAAACTTTTATGCCCTGTTTCTCTCTTAAAACTGAATGCCTTGGCCAGGCACAGTGGTTCACGCCTATAATCCCAGCACTTTGGGAGGCCAAGGCTGGCGGATCATTTGAGGCCAGGAGTTCAAGACCAACCTGGCCAACATGTTGAAACCCCGTCTCTACTAAAAATACAAAACTTAGCTGGGTGTGGCAGTGCACACCTGTAATCCTAGCTACTCAGGAGGTTAAGGCAGAGAATCGCTTGAACCTGAGAGGCAAAGGCTGCAGTGAGCCGAGATGGTACCACTGCACTCCAGCTTGGGTGACAGAGCGAGACTCCATTTCAAAAAAAAAAAAAACTGGATGCCTTTAACAGCACCCATGTCACCTCTTGAATGCTTTGCTGCTTGGCAGTTTCTTCCACCAGATATGCTAAATCATCTCTCAACTTCAAAGTTCCACACATCTCTAGGGCAGGGGCAAAATGCCACCAGTCTCTTTGCTAAAATATAACAAGAGTCACCTTTGTTCCAGTTCCCAGCAAGTTCTTCATCTCCATCTGAGACCACCTCAGCCTGGATTTCATTGTCCATGTCATTATCAGCATTTTGGTCCAAGCCATTCAACAAGTCTCTAGGAAGTTCCAAACTGTCCAACATTTCCCTGCCTTCTTCTGAGCCCTCCAAACTGTTCCAACCTCTGCCAGTTCCAAAGTTGCTTCCACATTTTCAGGTATCTTTTCAACAGTGCTCCACTCTACTGGTACCAATTTACTGTATTAGTCTGTTTTCACGCTGCTGATAAAGACATACCCAAGACTGGGCAATTTACAAAAGAAAGAGATTTAATGGACTTAGTGTTCCACATGATTGGAGAGGCCTCACAATCATGGCAGAAGGTGAAAGGCACATCTCACATGGCAGCAGACAAGAAGAGAGAGCTTGTGCAGCGAGACTTGTGTTTTTAAAACCATCAGATCTCCAGCCGGGCATAGTGGCTCACATCTGTAATCCCAGCATTTTGGGAGGCCGAAGCGAGCAGATCACCTGAGATCGGGAGTTCGAGACCAGCCTGACCAGCATGGAGAAACCCCATCTCTATGAAAAACACAAAATTAGCCGGGCGTGGTGGCGCATCCCTGTAATCCCAGCTACTCGGGAGGCTGAGGCAAGAGAATCGCTTGAACCCAGGAGGTGGAGTTTGCAGTGAGCCAAGATCATGCCATTGTACTCCAGCCTGGGCAAAAAGAGTGAAACTCTGTCTCAAAAAAAGTAAATAAATAAAACTGTCAGATCTCCTGATACTCATTCGCTATCATGAGAACAGTGCAGGAAAGACCCACCCCCACAGTCACCTCCCACCAGGTTTCTCCCATGACACATGGAAATTGTGGGAGTTACAATTCAAGGTGAGATTTGGGTGGAGATACAGCCAAACCATATAATGAGCAAAGCAAAAGAATATTTTGGTGAAACCTAAGCAAATCCAAGACTTAAACTTTTTTGTTTAACTTTTTTTTTTTTCCCCTGGGAGCATATATTCAAATTGCCCTGAATAAACACTTCCAAGACTTACACTTTTTAAAAATGGTAATTAAGAAGATCGTTATAAGATACTTAAGGTTTGAAAATGTTTTGAGGCCAGGAGCAGTGGCTCATACCTGTAATCCCAGCACTTTGGGAGGCCAAGGCAGGTAAATCGCTTGAGCCCAGGAATTTGAGACCAGCCTGGGCAACATGGCAAAACCCCATCTCTACAAAAAATACAAAAATTAGCCAGGTGTGGTGGTGCACACCTGTAGTCCCAGCTACTTGAGAGGCTGAGGCAGGAGGATTGCTTGAGCCTGGGTGGTTACAATGAGTTGAGATCCTGCCATTGGACTCCAGCCTGGGCAACAGAGTGAGACTTTGTGTCAAATTTAAAAAGAGAAAGAAAATGCTTTGAATTCATACAATATTATCAAATATGTCTGCAGGCAGGTCTGCTTTAATCATTACATTGCATCTGGGTTTTTTTCGTTGGGTGGGTTTGATGTTTTTTGGGGGGCAGGGAATGGCTAGGGCTCAGTCACAGATTATGTAATCCATTATGATATGCCCTACAGCTGCAGAGATAGAACGCTAAATAGTTTTATCATTTTGGCAAAATGAACATCCAGAATTCATCCTTTTATCACACTGACTGATCATTGCCAGTTAAATTGTTGATGTGTATCCAAAGCCTCCAATAAAATATTTGATTAGTGTGTTTTTTCATACTTTGCACTTGCGTACTCTAGGCAAAACTATGACATAGTTAAGTTCCAGTTTTCAAAACATTAAAGTTAAGGTTGCAGAATGGTAGCATGTGAGCCACTTCTAACTTTCAGGCAAGTTTAGTGTAGTGCTAAGACTAGAACATATTCCATTCAAATTTAAAACACATAGGTAGATAGCAGTAGCTTATGGTTATACATAAAGGATACACAAGAAAACAGTTTGGTTAAATAAGGTAGGATAAATATTTTCTCTTGTATCCTCTCAAAGCTTTGAATGTAGTACTAGGTGCACATATTAATATTTAAAAAGTAAGTAAAATAATGTGTTAAAAATGAGATAAGAATATGTACAATTTTTTTTTTTCTTTTTGAGACGGAGTTTCGCTCTTGTTGCCCAGGCTGGAGTGCAATGGCACGATCTTGGCTCACTGTAACCTCTGCCTCCCGTGTTCAAGTGATTCTCCTGCCTTAGCAGGAGAAGCTGGGATTATAGGCATGTGCCACCACGCCCGGCTAATTTTGTATTTTTAGTAGAGACGGGGTTTCTCCATGTTGGTCAGGCTGGTCTCCAACTCCCGACCTCAGGTGATCCGCCTGTCTCAGCCTCCCAAAGTGCTGGGATTACAGGCATGAGCTACCACGCCTGGCCTCAACTTTTTAGAATCTAGATGAAATGGATAATTTGATAGAAAATGTGAATTACCAAAATTGACCCAAGCCCAATGAAGTAGTTAAAGAATTATTCTAAAAAGAGGCATCTGGCCCAGACAGGCATATAGGCGAGTTCTACCAACACTTCAGAGAGCAGATAACTTTTATGACATAGAAACTGTTAAGGAAAAAATAATCCCAATGCATAAAAATATTAAAAATTAAAAGTTTTTCATATTTAAGGTGTTGGATATCCCAGTTACCCTGATTTGATCTTTATATGCTATTATGAATCACATGTACCCTGAAAATATGCACATCTTTTATGTATCAATAAAAGTAAAGATTTGTCAATAAGGCCATTAATGATTAAAGAAGCTTATAAAAACAACTGTCATACAGTGTAATTTTTAATTGTCTTATTTTCAGGTTCACCAGGCTGGTTTAACCTGCGATTATTCAGAACTTCCTCACCATATCAGCACAGAACAAGAAATAGAGTGTCTTATTCAATCTGTGCATTATTTGCTGAAAAATTTACCAAATCCTACTCTTGTGACAATTGCAAGGTAAGTGTGTTCAGCAGAATAATGGCAAATCAGAGATGTGCACATCCTAATCTCTGGAACCTGTGAATATGTTACATTATATGGCAAAAGGAAATTCGCAGTGTGATTAACTCAAGGATTTTGAGATGAGATTATCCTGGATTTATCAGGTGGGCCCAGTGTAATCACAAGGGTCATTAGAAGAGAAAGGCAGGAGGGTCAGAATCAGAGAGAGTGATTCGAAAATTCTACACTTCGGGCTTTGAAGGTGGAGGCCACAAGCTAAGGAACACAGGCAGCCTTTAGAAGCTAGAAAAGGCCAGGGGACAGATTATCCCTGGGATCTTACAAAAAGAATGCAGCCCTGTCAGCACCTTTATTTTAGGACTTCTGACCTCCAAAACTATATAATAAATTAGTGTTGCTTTAAGCTACTAAGTTTGTGGTGATTTTTTATAGCAGCAGTAGGAAACTAATACAATCTCTGTAGGTAAATAACCTGGTCACTAGAGCGTAAAATGAGTTTATCAGTGGTCTTACAGATTATCTCTTTAGGTTTGAAATACTTGTACTAAGGAGTAGGCCAGATAACTAATTCCAGTTCTTCTATAAAGATTTCTGTGCTGCTCTTCTCACTCTGTCCTCTAGAAGGCTTTATTCACCCTTATCCGGAACCAGGAGACACTGGTTAATCCAGTTGTAACTGGCAGCAGCATTGTAACTGCCCAGTGCAACTCAGGTTGCAGTTGGTAAGTTCTGGAAAGACTCCCAAAATACAGATATCTGCCCCAACCTACTTTGCTCTTTTCTGCTTCCTACTGCCTAGGAAAGTAAATCCAACACCAGCACATCGCCACATTTCATTTTGGACCAAGCCATGGATCCTTTATAATTTTGTAGTTAACAAATCATTTTTAGAAATAGGATCCTTTTATCAGTTGGAAAACCTCGACCCTCATCATTTCTAGCCCTAGCACACACATAATAAAAGATGTTCCATCGCTAAGATAATAAGCCCCTGTATTCCCAAGCAACATCTCACTTTCAGGCAAACAATGGTCTAGCAATCAAGCATTAAGGCACACACCGCATGTCACCTTGCACAGGTTAATCTCTTTCAGATTTCTTTAAAGGGATAGTAATTGTGCCTATTTCATAGAGTTGCTGTGAAAATTAAAGAACATAATTTATGTAAGGTGACTAACATGGGGTAAACCTTCACTAGCTTTCAATTGATATTAATCCAAAGTTCAGCACACCTTAATTTCTGTTTTACATTGAAATGAACACATGCAGCTTTTCCTCACAGTATGATTTTATCCTATGTGTATTTTTCTTCTTTCTCTTTCTGTTGGTTCTAGGTCAAGTCTGGATGATTACTGTCCTTCTGACCAAGTTGACACTATTCAAGAAAAGGTCCTCAATATGCTACGTGCCCTCTATGGAAATCTAGACCTCCAAGTGTATGCAGCAGAGTCTCCTCCATCTTGAAACAAACAAAACATTAGGCTCCTGTTGTATCTTGGTTTAGTAACAGGCCCTTAATTAACTTATTTGTACATGAGTCTTCCAGAGAACACTGTTTTATATTAACTTTCAGTTGAAATCTTTCAGATATTTTGAATCTCTGAACAACCATTGTCAGTTGTGAATGATGGTAAATTTTTTGGCATCAAGTCTCATAACCCCAACTGATAGAACTGTTGCTTATCTGTCTTCCTTAAGTATTTTTTAGGGTTTTGTTTTTTTTTTTGTTTGTTTGTTTGTTTGTCTTCACTTTTCCCCCAGGTCTGTTGAGCTGTATGAGATTCATTCATACTTCATTTATTCATTCAACTAATATTTGTTGAACACTTACATGTACCAGACATTATTAAGTGCTGGGTATATGGTAATGAACAGAATAGACAAGGCCCCTGCCCTTTTAGGGGAGACAGATGAGAAGTAAATTACGGGTTATGAGAAATGTTATGAAGGAAAGGACAACAACAGACATGTCTTAGTACTTAGGGTATCATGGCTTTATAGGAAAGTAACATTCTCTATCTTTTTTTTTTTTTTTAATTTTATAAAAATAGAGATGGGGTCTCACCATGTTACCCAGGCTGGTCTCAAACTCCTGGGCACAAGCAATCCACCTGCCTTCGCCTCCCGAAGTGCTGGGATTACAGATGTAAGTCACTACCCCAGCCAGAAACTAACATTCTCAAAAGCTACTACCAAAAAAACCCCACAAATTTGCCAATCCATGAAAGTATCATAGGAAGTCTACCTTTCCAAGGAATTTGGCATTGTGGCCCTGCTCTTGCCAAATGCTCTCCAGCATTGTTGGTATCAAGGTGGTCTGGTTGAGTAAACTTGACCAAACAAAAATTAACTGTTTTTTGCTTTTCTGTTTTTGTTTTGCTGATCAAAAAAGCCCTTCAGGGTCTCTTGTGCATCCAGGAGGTCATTGTAGATATCAATAATATAGTGCCTAAGTGCCACTTTATTGCCAAGTCTAGATTGATACTTTTTTCAGATAAACCAGCTTTTTATGTAAAGAGTAAGGGAAAAAGTTAAATCTTTAATTCTGACCTGCCATAAATACCCAAAGATATAAACTGTCTTCCACCACCCCCCTCATAACTAAGACATCCTTCCTGAGTCACTCTTAATCATGAAACTTGATTTTCTCAATTGGCCAGTCTTCTGATCTTTAGTATCTCTTTAGTTCAGTAATTTTTACCTACCTACTTGATTTATTTTCCTTTAAAAGGTGAAATGACATTTAAAGAAAAACAAACACCCATCATTCCTCAGTCCCAACACAGCAGTTCTTTTCACTCTTGCTTGTAACTTTCAGGCCTTACCCACATGTGTTCCTATAGAGTTGCATGTAGCTAAAATTATAGTGTGCTGCCTAACTTTGTGCTAATAACGAAGGACACACATTATCATTGCCTCACAGTGGATGGCACCTGACCCCATTTTTCCAAGGATTCTATTTTCCAGTGAATTTTTGTCACCGAGTTAATTTCCCAAGTCTGATAGCATGAATGCTTATTTGTGCTGTGAAAAGCAGAGCAGCCTGACTCAGCTTTCCATTTTCATAGGATAATATGTGCCAAAAAAGGTTTATTTTCTTGGTAAAATCAGAATTGTAGAATTGTGCTATTTTTAATTTTTAAAATTTTTGGTTAGAGCTTATAGACATTACTTTTATGATTATTTTGCGTGCTAAATAAGTTAAAGGGTATGTTTTGAACTATAGCACTAATTAATGTGTGTGATCCTAGTATGTTGATAGCTTTGATTTTGTGAGTGGTTTACTAGTCATTTATTATGATTCCCATGAACTCTGATATGATTCATTGTGGTTTTAACTCAGGTTGAATAAAAGCATCCATTTCTTTTATAGGAAGGTTTGTTTAATTCTCATGTTCTGTGATCATCTCTTTGAGAATAAAATTCAGTCCCTAATAGTTGAAAAGAATCAACTTAGTAAATTATGTCTTGCACATTCCAAATAGGAAGGTATTTACTTTATCAAGATGTGTTTCATTTGTGTTCTGAGTACCAGTGAGGGGATACCGTGGTACAGTGTTTTGAATTGTGTACTAATATCATTAAAGCATGGGATTTTAGTGGCTTTTTAAAAAATGTGACTTAAGTGTAAGCGTAGACTTTAACTTAATAAGTTGTGTATTTCCTAGTATCTACGGGGAAAAAATTTAAGTCCAGCCTTTCATAATAACCTTTTGACTGTCAATTTTAGATCTCTTTAGAAACATTTCCTATAGTTGGCCATGCGCGGTGGCTCACGCCTGTAATCCCAGCACTTTGGGAGACCGAGGTGGGCGGATCACGAGGTTAGGAGATCGAGACCATACTGGTTAACACGGTGAAACCCCGTCTCCACCAAAAATACAAAAAAAAAAAAAATTCTCCAGGCGTGTAGGCAAGCACCCGTAGTCCCAGCTACTCCGGAGGCTGAGGCAGGAGAATGGCGGAAGCCCAGGAGGCGGAGCTTGCAGTGAGCCAAGATCGCACCACTGCACTCCAGCCTGGGCGACGGAGACAGACTCTGTCTCCAAAAAAAAAAAAGAAAGAAATATTTCCTATAGGCACGGGTCTTTATGTGTTCTAGCTTCTCAAGGAGCTCTTAGTCAATGTCCTTCACACTTTTTTTTTTTTTTTTTTTTTTTGAGGTAGGGTCTCGCTGTGTTGCCCAGGCTGGAATGCGGTAGTGTGATCTTGGCTCAGTGCAGCTTCAACCTCCTGGGCTCAAGCGATCCTCCTACCTCAGCCTCCCAAGTAGCTGGGACTACAGGTGTGTGCCACCATGCTAGGCTTTTTATTATTATTATTTTGTAGACATGAAGTCTCACTATGTTGCTCAGGCTGGTCCCAAACTCCTGGGCTCAAGCAATCCTCCTGCCTCAGCCTCCCGAAGTGCTGGGATAACAGGCGTGAGCCACCATGCCTGGCCTCCTTCACTCTTTTTATGATAATCTCTCCTAGTCTTGACTTTGTTTTCGCAGCAGTGGCCCTGGCTTGCTGGTAGTAAATTCATCATACTGCCAGTAGTTTATAGTCAGTGGTGTGTTTCTCAGTACAAGATTCTCTCATTCACCATACATCTCAAGAGAGAGCACTTCAGTGAAACTTCAGGAGTTTTTGTTTGACATCTTTCAGAAATGCTTGACATACAGTCTTGCCTTCTCAAAGTATAGTGATACTTTGCTGAGAATCAGCATTTTTTATTGTAATTTTTTTTTTTTTTTTTTGAGACGGAGTCTCACTCTGTCGCCAGGTTGGAGTGAAGTGGTGCAATCTCGGCTCAGTGCAAGCTCCGCCTCCCGGGTTCATGCAATTCTGCCTCAGCCTCCCAAGTAGCTGGGACTACAGGTGCATGCCACCACGCCCGGCTAATTTTTGGATTTTTAGTAGAGACAGGGTTTCACCATGTTGGCCAGGATGGTCTCGATCTCTTGACTTCGTGATCCACCCGCCTCAGCCTCCCAAAGTGCTAGGATTACAGGCGTCAGCCACTGTGCCCGGCCTATTGTAAACATTTAAGATGTACGACATGATGTTTTGATATACATAGTAAAAAGGTTACTATAGTAAATCAACATATCCACTTCTCACATAGTTGCCCTTTGTGTGTGTGTGTGTATATGTTTATGTGTGATAAGAGCACCTAAAATCTCTTAGTAAAATCCTGAGTGAACTGCAGCATTATTAACTGTAGTCCTCTAGGCTTGCTCATCTTGGCTGTCAGCCACTTTGCATTCTTTGACCTACATTACCCATTTTCTCCTCTCCACTGCCTGTTGGAACCAGTGTTTTATTCTGTAGCTCTGTACGTTTGACTCTTTTTTTAGGCTTCACATGAAAGTGAGGGTCAGTTTTATAAACACTCATTGTCCTGCTCTGCTGTGTCGACTTCAGTGGTAGCACTTTTGTTGCAGTTGCAGTGCTTGTTTCTGCACTAATTGGTCTTAGGCTGCCTCTTGCTTTTGCAGTTCTAGCTGCACCCTGGGATTCCAGACATCAGCACCATCCTTTCCCTTTATTCTCATTTGCATTCACAAATGAAGTTATAATAACTAAGGAGATTCCCACAAACCTTGGTTCTTAGAATACAGTTCTCTGAACAGTGAACATTCTGGTCACTCACTAGGAGGGTCTATCTTAACATTGCAAATTAGTAAATTGGCATTCTATACATTAATATCTTGTCAGTTTGATTCCTGTAATTCAGAAACAGGAGTTCTGTGATGGAGGCTAAAACAAGGCTGAGATGGCACATTTTTACTTTCTTGGAGGGCCTTCATTGAATAGTCAGCCAGCCTCCAACTACAGCATCTCTACCATTTTGCTAACTTCAAACGTTCCTTGACAGCAAGCAGAGCTCTGAAGCCTGTCAGCTATTAGCACTATTTAGAAGCCCCTGTGGCCGGGCGCGGTGGCTCACGCCTGTAATCCCAGCACTTTGGCAGACCGAGGCGGGCGGATCACGAGGTCAGGAGATCCAGACCATCCAGGCTAACATGGTGAAACCCCGTCTCTACTAAAAATACAAAAAAATTAGCCGGGCGTGGTGGCGGGTGCCTGTAGTCCCAGCTACTCAGGAGGCTGAGGCAGGAGAATGGCGCGAACCCGGGAGGCGGAGCTTGCAGTGAGTCGAGATCGCGCCACTGCCCTCCAGCCTGGGCGACAGCGAGACTCCATCTCAAAAAAAAAAAAAGCCCCTGCACCCCATTTGAGGTGACTCATGCCAAAATTGAGCTGAGTGAGAAGTTCCATGACTGAATGCAGGAGAACGTGGTAAGAATGTGGGTTCCAGGGGCCAACCACCTGACTCCAGTGTTCCCTTCCCCATGTGTGAGCTCTGTGACCTCTCTTAAGCCTCAGCTCCCCTTTTACAAGAAGAGAACTTAACTCAGCCAGGCGCGGTGTCTCACGCCTGTAATCCCAGCACTTTGGGAGGCTGAGGCAGGCAGATCACGAGGTCAGGAGTTCGAGAACAGCCTGGCCAACATAGTGAAACCCCATCTCTACTAAAAATACAAAAAAATTGGCCGGGCATGGTAGCGGGCACCTGTAATCCTAGCTACTCAGGAGGCTGAGGCAGGAGAATCGCTTGAACCCAGGAGGCAGAGGTTGCAGCGAGCCGAGATCGCGCCATTGCACTCTGGCCTGGGTGACAGAGCGAGACTCCGTCTCAAAAAAAAAAAAAAAAAAGAACTTAACTCCTCAGGACATTATGAAGAAAAATACATATAAAGCCCTCAGCACTGGAATCATTTAGTAAACATTGGCTGTTGTTTCCAAACTCAGCCCAAATGAGAATATCCTGTGGTGGCTGCTCCAGTCTCGGCTGCTCTTCTCATAATTCTCCAAATACTGATTATTTTCAACCGCCTATCAGCCCCCATCATATATCTGTGAATAACAGAATTTCAAGGTTAGAGGTCTATTCAAAAAAGGTGGGTTCTTGCCCATAAGGAAGGAAGAGATCACTTTAGGCAGTTACTGATAATTTAAAACTTTTGTCTTTCAGTTGGTGCAAGCATTCATTTATTCACAATTTTAAATCTTATACTCTCGTGCAATTACAAGGGTCAAAGAAGTCAAAGCTTGCTCCAGCTTCTTTATACTTTCCCTTCTGCATGCTTGCAGATAAAACTCAGATTTGTGATGCCAAATTTTTGATGTAGACAGTGTTTGGAAGTTGCTACCCCTGGACTTACGAATTGCCTTCATAGAATCTAGGGTTATCCTCACCATTTTTGGTACAGCTGATTTACAGGCAACTTGAAATAACAACAACAAATCCCTCATGAATCAGCCGAAGCGTGACAGGGAGGTGGGGTAAAGTGGGTACCTCCACCCAGTTCACCAGTATTTCCCAAACCACTCCCAAGCATTTCCTTCACCTGGGCCTCAGCCTGACCAAAGATGAACCTCAGCTTATTGAGTGGTAAGGAAAATGGGATCATTAGAGAAAGGGGGAATGCCTTTGTCAGCTTGGCTTAATAAGATCACAACCCATCAGCTGACGCTGATGACTCAAGGAGGGAGGCTGAAGTCAGGGTTAGCGCTAGGCCCAAAGGCCAGCTTTTTGGGCAAATTACTCTGAGAACTGCACAGCCACACCATCTGCCCTCTGCAGCATTGCCCCATCTGGAGCAGGTATAATGAGGGGCAGCATCATCACAAAGTGGCACCTGAAGTATTGGTGGCTTTGGAATCAGTCTAAGTCCAAGTATTTCCTCTGCCCGTTACAAGTTGTATAAAGTTGGACAACTTAAAGTGTCAGAGTCCCTTGATTTAGGCACGATTCAAGGCCCAGCTTGCGTTCCTACAGGACAACTATGCTCTGTCAATGCACTTCAGTGAGCTATTTCTGCCCTCCCCATCTGTCCATGAGCTCCTTGAGTGCATCCTTATACATTTTTGTTGCTCCAGTCTCTGGCATGGTCCCTGTCACACCATAAGGCCTCTAAACATGTATAATGAATTAATAAATACTGAAAAATTGTGATGGTCACTGGAGGCTCGGTGGTGATAAGCCTTATTATCTGCTCTATATTATACATCCTATTATGAACATGCCGTCTTTGAGAGCACATTAAACAAATGCATTAATGCAAGGATGAACACTTACCAAGGATTAAGTGTACTGAATACAAGAATCCAGAACAGCTAAAAGAAAAATACTTGTAATATAATGATTGTGTCCATAGAACAACTGTGTTATAAACAAAAGAAGTCCAAGGCAAATTGTGTTATTTTCCCAGTAGTTTTGTGATCTGTTTTGTGTTCTTACGGTAAGGCCTGATAAGAACCATGTTCCACAATGCATGTGTAAGCATGACCTAAAAATACATATAGTTTAAATTCCTGCCTAACATTCAAAATCTAACATTTGATATATCCAAAAACTGTATGAACTTTTGATCCCTAAATATATATTGTTTTGCCATTAAAGGAGTGACAGTTATTCTCACTTCTGATACTTACTTCCATTTCGAGGTAACTTCTGTTACAGTCCTGCCTTGCTCTGCCCTTTTACTCCTTCCTGAGTGAGGAAAAATGAAAGAAGAGAATTACAAGATGCCTTCTTATAGAAATATATGTTCTGTTTTGCCTTTCCATGCCTTTGGTTTGTAAGGACGGGCTCCATGGGAGAGGCTTACAGTTGTCCCATGCTGCCAGTGGATGACAAAGTCTGTCTCAATGCAGTGTTAAGAAGCTAGCTGTTGCCACAGACATAAGCCATGTTCTCTAATATCAGTTTCATCAGTAATAGTGATATATCCATCTGCCTGAAGGCCTGCGCCTATTTCTGAGTTAGTAGAAACAGGAGAGAATGGTGATGTTTCTTGTGCTTCCTCAAACCCCAGCTCAACAGTGCTTGCTCGTTAAATAGTATGGACAGTTTATAAAATAGCAGCTCTTTGGAATTCTAATCAAAAAGGAGGGCAACTCTGACCATTGTGAATTAACCTAGAACAACATGCCTTCTCTGAATGCAGTCTGTTTTTCTGCTATACAGTGTAAACATTTTTAAACTTAAGATTTGTTTTGCTTTTAGACGTTTTTCTTGGATGTCCGACTGGTCATTTCATTTTTATTTGACATCATGCTAAAACAGGTAACACAGCATCCTTGTAGGCTTCCTGTATAAGCAACAGCCAGTTATAAAATATTATAGAAAAAAGATCCTATTTATAATACCATAACTTCAAAAAAAACTATTAGTAAACAAAATAAAAAATTATTACCACCTATACAAATAAAACTTTATAATATTACTAAAGAATAAAAATGAAGACATGACCATCTATGAAGAGAATAATAGTGCTTATATAAGACGATTCAATATTATAAAGGTGTCACTGCTTCTTATATCAAATTCTAATGTTTATAATTTCCATAAACATACCAAAGGAGGTTTTATTTTAACCAGTGAAGCTGATTCTAACATTCATACGGAAAAATGATCATGCAAGGAGAACCCAAAAAAATTGTGAAAAACGAATGAAGTTATTAACTCCTACTAAGTACTAAAATACATTATGAAACTATGTAAATTAAAACAGCATAGTATGGGCATATGAGCAGAGAAACTGACGAATGAAACAGAATAAGGTCCAGAAATAGACCTATATTAGAGTAAGGACATCTGATTTAATAAAAAGTAACTAATGTCTCATACAAAGTGCAAGTTTATTTCTCATTTTCATGAAGTCCAGAATGTGTTTCTGCTCAGCAGACTTTCCTCTTCACAAGGATTCTGGACTCAGGCTCTTTGCATCTTTGGCTTTCCCATCCTTAACATGTGGTTTTCAAGGTTTTCTTAGAGAATATCTCTAATCCACCTAGCAAGAAGGCAAAGAGGATGGGGCATCTTTTGGGAGGCTTTTATCTGCCAGGCCTATCAGTTCCTAACTGCAGGAAACCTGGGAAACGTAACCGGTTGTATGCCCAGATGGAAGAAAGAGCAGGTTTGGAGAACACCTAGCTTTCTCTCCCACAAGACCCAAGTACATACGGAATTTGGTATACAATCCAGGTGGCATTTTATATCAGTGGGGAAAGATGAGTTAGGAAGTTGCATTCCCAATTTACTCCTTACAACAAATTAATTACAATTGAATCAAATTTTAATAAAGTGAAAAAGAAAAGAAGGAAGGAAACTTTCTAGATCACAGGAGAAAAGGAAAGATTCTTAATAAATAAGCATGCTTGGTTTTTTGTTTGTTTGAGACAAGATTTCACTCTGTCACCCAGGCTGGAGTGGTGTCATCATCACAGCTCACTGCAGCCTCCACCTCCCAGGCTCAAGCAATCCTTGCATCTCGGCCTCCCAAGTAGCTGGGATCGCAGGTGCGTGCCACCACACCCAGCTAATTTTTTTTTTTTTTTTTTTTTTTTGTAGAGATGGGGTCTCACTGTGTTCCCCAAGCTGGTCTCTAACTCCTGGGCTCAACTGAACCTCCCACCTTAGCCTCCTAAAATGCTGGGATTACAGGCATTAACCACCAGAGCCAGCATGTTTTTTTCTTTTCTTTTTTTTTCTTTTGTTTTTTGAAGATTCAAATGAATATGGGATTCAAGATTGTGTAGCATGACCATTCCAGGTTTCACAGTCCTACTGCTTCCCTTTCTGGGCCCTGAAGTTAACATAGGACATCTGCCCTGGCTGTGAATTTGGCATCCGTTGCAGTGCTGACATTTTTATGATTATATTCTGAGTCTAATATGCATCATACTCTGCACTCCTGCAACAAGAGATGAGGATCTAATTAAAGTTGGCCATGAAAGCCTTTGGCTTTCATAGCATGCCCTGAGTTGATAATTGGCTTACCTGCTGTTCTCTGTGCTATTCTCTTCAAGGACTCCAGAAAAGTTTACAAAAGTCAGCCACCTCCACAATCCTTCCCTAGCCGAGTGCTTCCCCTTCTGCCTGTACCTCATCCTAAACAATCATTGGTGAAATTCTTAGTAAACATGCTAAGCCATGGGCTATCACTTCCCCCACTTAGACCAGCAGTGAGGTTCTTGTTGCTCCTGACCGGGGCATGAGCAAATTCTCATATCCCATTCTGAGGGTCTCCTTTATAGGACCAGCTCTAGTACCATCCGTCTTAGTTTAGGTTTCCCCAAAAGCAGACATTAAGGCAAGGATCTGGGTGAATGTAGTTTATTTGAGAGGTGATAGCAAGAAGTGAAGGAGTGGGGAAATGAGATAAGGAAGGTAGCAAAGTGATTAAAGGATGTACTAACAAGATTACTGCTTTAGCCAACAAGAGCTCAATTTCACTAGGATCCCCAGAAGAATTGGCAGGAACATGCTTCAGAATTGCCTGCTGAGACATGGGAATTTTGCACATTTATCCGTTGGTTCTCTTTCCTCTTTGGTTGAGGGTTGTCTCTGAGAAGCTGATAGGCTGTTAATTCCCAGCCACCCTGGGAAGCCCACCCTTGGATGGGCTAAGCAAGTTCCTGTGACACCTCAAAATGACTCAGGAAAAGAAGCAGAAAGATACAGACACATATTGGATGCTGTCAGGATGGGCAGTAACCATCCTCTGCAGGTAAACTTGGAAGGGAGATGGAAATACTGGATGGGACATCTGCAGCATCTGCTATAGCAAGAATTGAGAGGCCATTTCTGTATTCCTTTCTGGCAGTTTTAAACCGAGTGTGTTCCTGAAGGTGTGGGAAAACAAGCATGCTGATATATTATTGTTAAAAATACATATTGGTACAGCCTCCAGAGGGCACTTTGGTGGTAGCTATTAACATTGAAGTATACTGCATACACTTTTAAATTCAGATTTTAGGAATTTCACTTCTAGGAATTTATCCTGCAGATACTTGTGCAAAGACTGACACCACCTTTGCAAAGATTCTGACAATGAGAGAAACGTGACATGCCTGGCTCCGTCTTGCTTCTAGCCTCACAGGCTGTTTTTGCTCATTCCTGAGTGTAGGCCAAGCTAACCATGAGAGGAATTTAGTTTACAGCTTAACTTGGAAGCAAGGATGATAATAGTCCCTCCCTACAACTAACCTCCTCCTTGCTCAGGGACCAAAAACTAATGAAAGGCCACGAAATTAGCATTATGGGAGGGGACAGAATTCTGCTAAAATGTGGGCATAGTTTTTATAATCCCCTACTGCTCAGGAGTCGTGTGGCCAGAGGTCACAAGGTTTGTGACTTCCTCAATTGCTCCTATAGATAACAACACTATTGTAGAACCCAAGACTGGCTTTTTTTTTTTTTTTTTTTTGAGATGGAGCGAGCTCTGTCGCCTAGGCTGAAGTACAGTAGCACAATCTCAGCTCACTGCAACCTCCACCTCCTAGGTTCAAGCAATTCTCCTGCCTTAGCCTCCCAAGTAGCTGGGATTACAGGTACCTGCTACCACACCCAACTAATTTTTATATTTTTAGTAGAAATGGAGTTTCATCATATTGGCCAGGCTGGTCTCGAACTCCTGACCTCAGGTGATCCACCTGCCTCAGCCTCCCAAAGTGCTAAGATTACAGGCATGAGCCACTGCACCCGGCCCCAAGACTGGTCTTTTGAGATGCTTTTCAGACTTTTGCATTCTGGCAACTGACCCCATCCAGACTCGTGACCTATGACTCAACCAGTCCTGTGGCCCCACACCCAGAAGAAGGCTCAGTGCAAAAGGACCATTTTCCACACCCCTATGATTGCATCCCCAACCAATCAGTAGCATCCATTCCCTAGTTCCCTGCCCATCAAAGTATCTCTCAAAAACCCTAATCTTCAAGCCTTTGAGGACACCGATTTGAGTGATAACTCCAGTTCTTCTGCTTAGCTGCATTAGTCTGGTCTCACATTGCTATGAAGAAATACCCAAGACTGGGTAGTTTATAAAGAAAAGAGGTTTAATTGACTCACAGTTCTGCATGACTGGGAAGGCCTCAGTAAACTTACAATCATAGTGGAAGACAAAGGGGAAGAAAGGCACCTTTTTCAAAGGGCGGCAGGAAGAAGTACCAAGAAAAGGGGCGGAAGCCCCTTATAAAACCATCAGGTCTTGTGAGAACTCACTCACTATCACAAGAACAGCATGGGGGTAACAGCCCCCATGATTCAATTACCTCCCACTGGGTCCCTCCCACAACACGTGGGGATGATGGGAACTACAATTCAAGATGAGATTTGGGTGGGGACACAGCCAAGCTATGTCATTCTGCCCCTGGCCCCTCCTAAATCTCATCTCCTCACATTTCAAAACACAATTATGCAGCCGGGCACGGTGGCTCATATCTGTAATCCCAGCATTTTGGGAGGCCAAGGCAGGTGGATCACCTGAGGTCAGGAGTTCAAGACCAGCCTGGCTAAATGGTGAAACCCCATTTCTACTAAAAATACAAAAATCAGCTGGGTGTGGTGGCACATGCCTGTAATCCCAGCTACTCAGGAGGCTGAGGCAGGAGAATTGCTTGAACCCAAGAGGTGGAGTTTGCAGTGAGCCAAGACTGCACCACTGCACTCCAGCCCGGGTGACAGAGGGAAACTCTGTCTCAAACACACACACACACACATACACACACACACACACACACACACAATTATGCCTTTCCAACAGTCCCCCAAAGTCTTAGCTCATTCCAGCATTAACCCAAAAATCCAAGTTCAAAGTCTCACCCAAGACAAGGCAAGTCCCTTCCACCTTTGAGCCTGTAAAATTGAAAACAAGTTAATTACTTCCTAGATAAAATGGGGGTACAGGCATTGGGTAAATATACCCATTCCAAATGGGATAAATTGTCCAAAACAAAGGGGCTACAGGCCCCATGCAAGTCTGAAATCCAACGAGGCAGTAATTAAAGCTCTGAAAAAATCTCCTTTGACTCCATGTCTCCTATCCAGGTCATGCTGATGCAAGAGGTGGGCTCCCATGGCCTTGGGCAGCTCTGTCCCTGTGGCTTTGCAGAGTACAGCTCCCCTCCTGGCTGCTTTCATCGGCTGGCATTGATTATCTGTGGCTTTTCCAGGTGCTCAGTACAAGCTGTTGGTGGATCTACCACTCTGGGGTCTGGAAGACAGTGGCCCTCTTCTCTCAGCTCCAGTAGGCAGTGCTCCAGTGGGGACTCTGTGTTGGGGAGCCAACCCCACATTTCCTTTCTGCACTGCCCTAGCAGAGGTTCTCCATGGAGGCTCCATCCCTGCAGCAAACTTCTGCCTGGATATCCAGGCATTTCCATACATCCTCTGAAATCTAGGCAGAGGTTCCTAAACCTCAATTTTTGACTTCTGTGCACCCGCAGGCCCAACACCACATGTAAGCCACCAAGGCTTGGGGCTTGCACCCTCCAAAGCAATGGCATGAGCTGTACATTGGCCCCTTTTAGCCACAGCTGGAGCTAAAGCAGCTGGGATGCAGGGCACCATGTCCTGAGGCTACACAGAGCAGGGGGGCCCTGGCCCAGGCCTACAACACAATTTTTCCCTCCTAGGCCGCTGGGCCTGTGATGAGAGGGCTGCCACAAAGATCTCTGACCTGCCCTGGAGACATTTCCTGCATTGTCTTTGCTATTAACATTCAGCTCCTCATTACTTATGCAAATTTCTGCAGCCTGCTTGAATTTCTCCCCAGAAAATGTGTTTTTCTTCTCTATCGCATCTTCAGGCTGCAAACTTTCCAAACTTTTATGCTCTGTTTCCTCTTGAATGTTTTGCTGCTTAGAAATTTCTTCTATCAGATACCCTAAATTATCTCTCTCAAGTTCAAAGTTCCACAGATCTCTAGGGTAGGGGCAAAATGCCACCAGTCTCTTTGCCAAAGCATAGCAAGAGTCACCTTTGCTGCAGTTCCCAATAAGTTCATCATCTCTATCTGAGACCACCTCAGCCTGGACTTCATTGTCCACATCACTATCAACATTTTGGTCAAAACCATTCAACAAGTCTAGGAAGTTCCAAACTTACCCACATTTTCCTGTCTTCTGAGCCCTCCAAACTGTTCCAACCTCTGCCTGTTACCCAGTTCCAAATTCACTTCCCCATTTTTGAGTATCTTTATAGCAGCACCCTACTCTCTTCTGTATTAGTCCATTCTCACACTGCTATGAAGAAATACTTGAGACTGCGTAATTTATAAAGAAAAGAAGTTTAATTGGCTCACAGTTCCGCATGGCTGGGAAGGCCTCAGGAAACTTACAACCATGGTGGAAGGCGATAGAGGAGAAGGCACCTTCTTCACAGGGCAGCAGGATGGAGAAGTGCTGAGCAAAAGGGGAAAAGCCCCTTATAAAACCATCAGATTTCATGAGAACTCACTCACTATCATGAGAACAGCATGAGGGTAATCACCTCCATGTTTCAATACCTCCCACTGGGTCCCTCCCATGATATGTGGGGATTATGGGAACTACAATTCAAGATGAGATTTGGGTGGAGACACAGGCAAACCATATCATTGGCCTTGCATTAAACTTTCTTTACTGCAGTACCACAGTCTCAGTGAATTGCATTTGTCTGTGCAGCAGGCAGGAAGAACCCATCAGGCAATTGCAAGACTTTTATACAAGGATTTTCATTGTGACAGTAAAAGACTGGGGAGGAAGGTCTTTCAACAGGGACTGGTTAAGTTATCAGACATCCATATGGTGGTACCCTTACCACCACAGAAGGGGGCTCCTCTCTGTGTACTGATATTGAAAATTCCACCAGGAGGAAGAGAAAATATAAAATGATTAATAGTATATACAGGATGCCACTATGTATTTTCTTTTTCTTTTTTTTTCTTTTTTGTGTGTTCTAGGAGGCAAGGATGTATTTTATTTTTCTTATAACTTTTCTGTCATTCCTAGGGATTTGAGATAAGAGGGGGAGGCTCCAGGGTATGATTAATCTACCACATGATAGATTATGAAACTAATATGATGAAAACTTACAAATAACAACAAAGTTCAACAAGGTGGCTTAGATAGCAGATGGACATTCATAAATTAGTAGTTTTGTGATACACCAGTGATATGGTTTGGCTGTGTCCCCACCCAAATCGCATCTCGAATTGTAGTTCCCATAATCCCCGTGTGTCATAGGAGGGACCCAGGTAGTTGTCATAGGAGGTAATTGAATCATGGGGGTGGTTATCCTCATGCTGTTCTTATGATAGTGAGTTCTCATGAGATCTGATGGTAAGGGGCTTAAGAGTGCCCTTTGCTCAGCACTCACTCTGTCCTGTCATCCTGTAAAGAAGGTGCCTGCTTCTCCTTTGCTTTCTGCCATGATTGTAAGTTTCCCAAGGCCTCCCCAACAATGTGAGACCGTGAGTCAATTAAACCTCTTTCTTTTATAAAATACCCAGTCTCAGGTATTTCTCCATGGCAGTGTGAAAACAGACTAATACAAATAGCAATAGATGGAAAATGTAATGGAAAAGAATTCACAACAGAACCTAAATAATAAATATAGAAGATCTTTACAAGGAAAAATGTAAACTTTATGAGATGTAGAAGAAATCCAAAATTAAGAACATTATTGGTTATAGACGATAAATTTCAGTATTTTAACATGCCAAGCTGGGTGCAGGGGCTCATGCCTATAATCCCAGCACTTTGGGAGGCCAAGGCAGAAGGATCACTTGCGCCCAGGAGTTTGAGACCAGCTTGGGTAACATGGTGAGACCCTTTCTCTACAAAAAATACAAAAATTAGGCCGGGTGTGGTGGCTCACGCCTGTGATCCCAGCATTTTGGGAGGCCGAGGCAGGTGGATCACTTTGAGGTCAGGAATTCAAGACCAGCCTGGCCAACATGGTGAAACCCCATCTCTAATAAAAATACAAAATTAGCTCGGCATGGTGGCACACACCTGTAATCCCAGCTACTCAGGAGGCTGAGGCAAGAGAATCATTTGAAACTGGGTGGCAGAGGTTGCAGTGAGCCAAGATCATGCCATTGCACTCCAGCCTGGGCAACAAGAGTGAAACTCCATCTCAAAAAAAAAAAAAAAATTAGCTGGGTGTGGTGGTGCATGCTTGTAGTCCCAGCTACTGGAGAGCTTGAGGTGGGAGGATCACTTGAACCTGGGTGGTGGAAGTTGCAGTGAGCAGAGATCATGCCACTGTACTCCAGCCTAAGCAAAAGAGAGAGACTGTCCAAAAAAAAAAAAAAAAAAAGCCAGCTCTCTGCAAGTTGATATGTAAAATGTAATCCCCAAAATAACCCAACAGTCTTTAGCATACAATTTGGCTAGCTAATTCAAGAATTCATAAGTAAGGCTAGAAGTGTATGCGTGTATGCATAGCTTAGACAATTTTAGGAGGAAAAAATGGGAGAAACTTGCCCTGGCAGATATCAAAGCATGTGTTTAATATTGTTTAAAATGTCATATTGATGCATGAATAAACAGACAAAATTAATGAAACACAATGAAGACTTCAGAAAAAGGTTTCCACATACATAGGAATTTAATATCTAATAAAGGTTGAAATTTATCAGTGGTGAAAGGCTGGACTACTCAAGAAATAGTATTGGGAGAATTGGCCATGCATTTAGAGAAAAAAAGGTTGGTCTCTAACTCACACTTAATAAAAATCAATTGCATATGGATTATATATCTCAGTAAGATTATAAAAGTATTATATAAAAACATAGGAGACTGTGTTTATGACTCTGGGGCAGAAAAGCCTGAATTAAGGAAAGTTGCAAGGGAAGAGATTTGCATAACCATGTCTAAATTTAAACCTTCTGTAAAAACCTAAAGGCATAAGCAAACTTAAAATATAAGTATTAAAAAAAGTGCAAACTAGAAATAAATATAACATATAACAAAAAATTTTAATTTGGATATATATAAGAATAAGACAACTCAGCAGAAAAATGAACAGACAAGGTGAACTGTCAAGTCACAGAAGAGAAAATATAAATGATCAGTAAACAAAGAAATAAATTTTATTCTCCCTAGTCATGTACAGACATGTAAATTAAAGTAAGATGTAACTTCTCACCATATAACTGGCAAAGCATTAAAAAATGTTGGTAATACTAATCAAGAATGTGGAGAAATGGTACTTTCCTACTAAAACTGGAATAAATTACTTCAGCTTCTCTGAAAAGCAACTTGGCAGTAACTCAAAATAGTAACTATTCTCAGTGACCCAGTGATTCCATTTCTCAGTATCTATCCTATGGAAATACACAAATATGTATTTGAGGTGGCATGCACAAAGATTTTTTTCTGTATAGTTTGTAGTTGAAAAAAAGTGGACAATAACCTGAACATTTACCAATACATAATATAGCAAAGTTTAGAATGTGTTCAATAGCATTGCATTTATGAAAATATAAAGACCTCAAAAACTATATTATATGTTTGTACAGGTACTTACATACACAAGTGTTGGGGCTCAGAAACTGATGCCCCAAAGTATGGTGCTTCGGCATGCTGAGTGCTTTTCACTAAAGGAAAATCAAGGTCTGTCTCCCCTCCTTCCCTCCCGAAGCGCCAGAGTATGGCTTTCTCTGAAGTTGCTCTAGAAGGAATACAATTGTGAGTCCCTCCCTATAATCTCATTGAACAGGGAAGATTAACTCACAGGAAAGGAGCCTAAACACAGGCCTAAAGTATTCTTTCGAAGACTGCTACCTGGAAGACTATCTGCATTACAAGAAAACCTCTGCCAGACATTTTCAACCTTAACCTTCCATAATTTGATGCCACCTCCCCGCCCCTGGAAACCCCAAACTACTATTTCTTTCTGTAGCCCAAAATGCTATTTAAGCTTCAGCCATCTGGTCCTTCTTTGAGTCTCATAGTTTGTGGGACTCCCATGCATATGCACATAATCAATCTGTACGCCTTTTCTCCTGTTGATCTGTCTACTGTCCAATTTATTCCAGAGACTAAAATTATCAAACCTTCAGAGGGTGGAAATAAAGTTCCCTTTGCCCCTGAACATAATTTTATATATATATATATATATATATATATATATATATATATATATACACACACATATATATATACACACACACACACACACATACATACACACACACACACAGACACACACACATATTATTTTATTTTATTTAACTTTATTTTATTTTTTGAGATAGGGTCTTACTCTGTCACCCAGGCTGGAGAGCAGTGGCACGACCTACAGCCTCAACCTCTCTGGGCTCAGGTGATCCTCCCACCTCAGCCTCCCAGATTGCTGGGACTGCAGGGGCAGGCCCCCATCCCTGGCTACTTTTTTATTTCTGTATTTTGTAGAGATGGGGTTTCACCATGTTGCCAGGCTGGTCTTGAAATCTCGGGTTCAAGCATCTGCCCACCTCAGTCTCTGAAAGTGCTGGGGTTACAGGCATGAGCCACGGCACCCATCTTATATACATGTATATATATATTTTTTATTTTAAAGGATATTCACTGTTCAGGGTGATAGCCACTAACTGTATGTAGCTATTTTCATTTACACTCAAATTAATTTAAATTTAATTTAAAATTCAGCTCCTGGTCTCACTAGCCATAATTCAAGTGCTCAGTATCCACACATGGCCTGTGGCCACTGTATTGGGCAGTACAGACATAAAGCCCTTCCAGTATTTCAGAATATTCTATTGAATGCTGATCTCAACTCTTAGTAAAAATCTATAATCTTCCTTATCAAAGAGGGCTCCATAAACCTGGAGCATCAGCATCACCTGAGCACTGGTTAGAAAGACAGAATTGCAAGCCCCTCCCAAACTTACTAAAACCAAAGTCTACATTTCAACAAGATCCTTGGGTAATCTGTATGCACATTAAGGTTTAAAAGCACTGCACTAGCATCATCCTCATGAGCTTTGAGAAGCTCCTTTAGCAGTCGATCCTCTTTTGCACCTGGCGAAGACTTTCCAGAGACAAAGAATCTGGCCATCACCCACTGCTTATCAAGCAGTAGCATCCTGGTTTGAATTTGCTCAATTATATGAGTTTGAACAACTTTGCATGCTTTGTAGGATGGAATTGATAAAAAGGAGGTAAAGAAATTCACACAGATTTACTAATTATTCCTAGAAGATGGCTTCACAATTGCAAGATATTATAAATAAGCCATTCACAGAGATCGCTGAAAGGAGAAACAGTAAGTGGTTGTTTTGTAGATAATGAGCGATATATGAGTACTTGGCTCAGAACAAAATTTCCAGCAATATCATCACATACAAATTTGTACTCTCTTGAAAATTTAGATGGACTTGAAGATGATGGCCTCTTGAAATGTGTTAAAAGACTCAAAAAGTGATGATGAAACTACTGATAACAGGCATTTCTGCTACTAAACAGCTTTCTATAAAAGACTTATCTTCTGCAAACTTGCACACTAAAAATAACAGGGCTTATGGGGGAAAAGTGTTGAAGCAGGCCACTCAAAGCCTATACAGTTTTATAATGAGAATTCTTTAAAAGCAGAACCCTGTAAGAAATACTAGCATAATAATAAGCAACACAGTAAACTCTTAATAGAAAAATACTACAGTAAGTATAGAATCTTACCTTTAAAAAAAAAGAGCTGAAAGTAGCTTGATGGAAGAATGTGTAGTAAGGAATTGGGGCTTCTGGGATGTACAACAAAAACAAAATGCACAAAGATGGTGGAAACAGTATTTTGCACAGCCGACACAGAGCATGTGACCGAAATGAGCAAACAGGAAGAAGAGGGTGTGAAAAAATGCAAAGTATGAAAGAGTTAACTATGCCGGGCGCGGTGGCTCACGCCTGTAATCCCAGGCACTTTGGGAGGCTGAGGCGGGCGGATTGCCTGAGCTCAGGAGTTCGCGACTAGCCTGGGCAACATGGTGAAACCCTCGTCTCTACTAAAATACAAATAATTAGCTGGGCGTGGTAGCGGGTGCCTGTAATCCCAGCTACTCGGGAGGCTGATGCAGGAGAATCGCTTGAACCCGGGAGGCGGAGGCTGTGGTGAACAAAGATCGTTCCATTGCACTACAGCCTGGGCAACAAAAGTGAACTCAGTCTCAAAAAGAAAAAAGAAAAAAAGAAAAAAAGAGTCACTATAGCATGCTACCCTTCATGTAAAAAAGAAGTGGGGGTGGGGGTGGGGGTGGGAGGAGCCAGGCACGGTGGCTCAGGCCTGTAATCCTAGAGATTTGGGAGCCCAGGCAGGAGGATTTCTTGAGCCCGGGAGTTCAACGCCAACCTGGGCAATGTAGTAAGACCCAATCTCTCTAAAAAAAAAAAGGAAAACAAAAATGAAGAAGGGAGTATAAGAGAACAGATTTCTTATTTGTGCAAAAAATATACAGAAACATAAACTAAAGAGATTGTTTACCTACAGGGTATGGGTAGCAAAGGGGTGAAAAATGGAGAAATTCGAAAGGAGTTACAGAGAAGGGAAGGAAGTAGTAATGACTGAACAAATTAAATATACTACAAGTGACTCATGACCATACAGAAGGGGATGGGGAAGAAAATAATTAAGTAACTTTGAAAAACAGTATTTTGCCTGGATACTGAAAAGCTAATGGCAAAATGAACTATTTACAAATACTGTACTTGGCTGGCCGTGGTGGCTTACACCTGTAATCCCAGCACTTTGGGAGGCCGAAGTGGGTGGATCACCTGAGGTCAGGAGTTCGAGACCAGCCTGGCCAACATAGTGAAACCCTGTCTCTACTAAAAACACAAAAATTAGCCAGGTGTGGTGGCACACGGCTATAGTCCCAGTTATTTGGGAGGCTGAGGCAGGAGAATTGCTTGAATCCGGGAGGTGAAGGTTGCAGTGAGCCGAGATTGCGCCACTGCACTCCAACCTGGGCGACAGAGCAAGACTCCGTATCAAAAAAAAAAAAAAAAACCACAAAAATTGTACACTAGTTAGTAAATTAATTTATCATAGGGCTATGGATTAGCAATTCAATAAATACTCTGTGTATATACTAGCATTGAATAAATAAATGAACATTATATATAAGAGCCATGTGTCTCTCAAACAAATAAGTTACAAGGAGGGAAAGGGAGATGGCTAGAAAGAGCCTTGTGTTAAACTGGAATCAGATATATCAGTATTACGATCATTTTTTTTTACATTTTGTATTTATTATTTTTATAAAGATGGGGTCTTGCTATGTGCCCAAGCTGGTCTCGAACTCCTGGCCTCAAGCAATCCTCCCACTGAGGCAGGACTGGTAGTCAAGGAATTGACCACGTTCTCGGGACAAACAACCATGGTGAGCATACAGTCAACACAGTAAGCCTCAGCATTTGCACTGGGCTCACTCAAGCAAAGCTGTCTTCAGCAGGGACTTTCCCTTCTAGAGCGCATGCATATTTGGATTTTACCCATCCTCAAACTGACCCTTTGCTCATTATAACAGTAAAAAAACACACCCCGGGTGGAGATTTAAGATGCTAATGAGACATGCAACATATGAACAAGCATGTACAGTTACTGCGCACATGCACCCAGAGGACCCCCTAGTACATGCTTACTAGCAACACCTCTTTCCAACTCCTTATGAATAATCATGGGAGACTCCCATAAAGTAGTCTCCCTAGCGCCAGTGCCTGCTGTCTCATCCTTATGAGCAGCCCGCCCTGAATCCTCTCTCTCGGTGTACTGCCTATTCTGTACCTAACTTTCAAAATATTCTTTTTCTTTTGCAATAAATGACTCTATGCTGCACTTCTTTTGCTGTGTGTCTCTTGCTTAAATTCTTTTAAACGAAGAAGACAAGAACCAAGTTATCACATCAGCTATCAACACCACTTCGGCCTCCTAAAGTGCTGGGATTATAGGCATGAATCATTGTGCCCAGTCCAAAATAATTGTTTTTAATATATCAAATATACACATACACACACCTTTACATTTAGATGTGTGTATATGTATGAGTTAGTATACATACATAAATGTCCTAGCTCTGTCTGCTAAGAGTGCCTAAAGGCAATGGTACTCCAATGGCTATAAGCATACCTAGATCCTAGGTCATGAGCTCCAAACACCATTCTCCTGTGAAAGGAACCAAGTCTCCTTTGCAAAATGCAAAATGAGCCTGGAATAGGTTATTGCACTAGAAAATAAGGAGGTGCTTGAAAGGATGGAAGCATGTTGAGAAGACACAGGAACTAATGTGAAGGAGAGCTCTCAATGGACAAAGCTGGAACAACTGGCGCAACCAAATTAAAATAGTATTGGATTTTAGCTCAGAATAAAATAAATTTCCATGAGTCCACACTGATACAAATAAGTGATTGAATAAATAAATAAATGGGAGAAACAGGGTATTTATTCCTTACAAATAATTCTAATTTTAAAACATAGAAGGAATAATAGAAATACAAAATTACTAGGCAGACACCACCATAATTGTTGCAGGCATGATTCATCTGATGGATGCTAAAATCGGTCATGAATATTGGAGGAGAAACAGGATATTTCACAGTATCAAAGTATCTCTCTGAGATATTTATCATTTACAGAAGACATTTCGTGCAGAACGTTATTGAGAAACCACAGTAACCAAATTATCAAGGTTAACATCACCAGTAATGAGTCTCATTGATGTCATTGTGTGCTGACATGACACAACATCACTTCTGGGGTAATCTTACCAAAAATGCATAATCTCAATCTAATCATGAGAAATCATCAGAGGAATCCAAATTGAGACATTCTGCAAAGTAATCATTAGGTCATGAAAGACAAGGAAAGACTGAGGAACTCTCACCGATTGGAGGAGACTAAGGAGATGCATGATTTAGCAACATGGGATCCTGGATTGGATCCTGAAACAGACAAGGGGCTTTAAGGGAGGAAACTGGTGATATGTAAAGTCTGGTTAATAGTATGGTACCAATGTTATTTTCTGGTTTTGATAATTGTGTAAGTTAAAATTGGAAGAAGCTGGGAGAAAGGCATATGTGAACTCTTTGTGCTATTTTTGCAATAATTCGGAAAATTATTTCAAAAGGAAAAAGGAGGGCATGGAGAGAAAGTGCACTGGTTTCAATACTGTACTCCTTTGTATTTGGGGTATTCAGCTGTGCTCATGTGCTTGCATCCTGCTGCTCTTTCTTGACAGCACAAAATATTACATGCTGGGCAATTTTGCAGATGAACCAATATAGTTTCCACAGCATACTGACCTAATTTCTCTACTTTCAATCTCATAGGAGCTAATCCACCTTAAATAACTGTAGATCACAAGGTCAGGAGATCGAGACCATCCTGGCTAACATGGTGAAACCCCGTCTCTACTAAAAATACAAAAAAGTTAGCTGGGCGTGGTGGCGGGTGCCTGTAGTCCCAGGTACTCAGGAGGCTGAGGCAGGAGAATGGCATGAACCCGGGAGGCAGAGGTTGCAGTGAGCCGAGATCGCACCACTGCACTCCAGGCTGGGCGACAGAGCAAGACTCCGTCTCAAAAATAAATAAATAAATAAATAAAAGAATATATAAATAGCTCCTACAACTCAACAACAAAAAAGAAACAATTCAAAAATGGGCAAATGTCTTGAATAGACGTCTCTATATAACTGGCCAATAAATACATGAAAATATGCTCAGCCTCATAAATCATTAGGGAAATGCAAGTCAAAACTACAATGAGATATAACTTCAAACACATTAGGATGGCTATTATCAAAAAAGCAGAAAATGAGGAGTGTTGGCAAGAATATGAAGAAACTGGAACTTTCATGAATTACTGATGGGAATGTAAAATGGTACAGCTTCTGTGCAAAAAAGTCTGGCAGCTTCTCAAAAAGTTAAACATGGAATTACCATATGGTCCAGCAATTCTACTCTTACATATATACCCGAAAGAATTGAAGCATTATTCACAATATTCAGAATGTGGAAACAAACCAAGTGTCCATCACAGATGAATGAATGAATAAAATGTGGTGTGTGTGTGTGTGTATATATATATATATATATATATATATATGATGGGATATTATTCAGCCACAAGAAGGAATTAAATTCTGATAGGCTACAACATGGATGAACTGTAAAAGCATATGCTAAGTGAAATAAGCCAAACACAAAAGGACAAATATTGTATGAAGTACCTATAATATGAGGTACCTATAATAGGTATATGATATGGTTTGGCTGTGTCCCCACCCAAATCTGATCTTGAATTGTAGCTCCCATAATTCCCACGTATCATGGGAGGGACCCAATGGGACGTAATGGAATCATGGGGGTGGGTTTTTACTGCTGTTCTCATGATAATGAGTAAGTCTTATGAAATCTGATGGTTTTATAAATGGGAGTTCCCAAGCACACTCTCTCTCACCTGCTGCCGTGTCTTTGCAGACATATCTTTGCTCCTCCTTTGCCTTCCGCATGATTGTGAGGCCTCCCCAGCCATGTGGAACTGCAAGCCGATTAAACCTCTTTCCTTTATAAATTACCCAGTCTCGGGTATGTCTTTATTAGCAGCATGAAAACACTAATGAGGTACCTATAGTAGGCAAATTGATAGAGTCAGAAAGTAGATAAAGCCTAGCGGGGGGCTGTGGGGAGTGAGCAATGGGAAGTTATTGTTTAATGAGTATAGAATTTCTGTTTGGAATGATTTAAAAATTCCAGAAATCTGCCAGGCACAGTGGCCCATGCCTGTAATCCTGGCACTTTGGAAGGCAGAGATGGGTGGATCACCTGAGGTCAGGAGTTCGAGATCAGCCTGGCCAACATGGTATAACCCCGTCTCTACTGAAAACACAAAAATTAGCCAGGTGTGGTGGCACACGACTGTAATCACAGCTATTCCGGAGGCTGAGACAGGAGAATCACTTGAACCCGGGAGGCAGAGGCTGCAGTGAGCAGAGATCACACCACTGCACTCCAGCCTGGGTGACAAAGCAAGACTCTGTCTCAAAGAAAAAAAAACAAGTTCCAGAAATGGGGAGTGGCGATGGTTGCATGGCATTGTGAATGTACTTAATGCCACTGAATTGTACACTTAAAAATGGCTAAAATGGTACATGCTGTGTTTATATAGAGTATAAATATGTGTGTGTTTTTATATAGTAACACTATAATTTGATTTAAAGCACATATGTATAATCATAGTAATAGTAATTATAAGTTGGTATTTGTCTGTTTTGTCCACATCCCCCAAAGTCTATACATTCTCGTGTCCAAAAAACATTTTAGGGAACCTATTATGGGGAAAATGAGGGATCTCCCAGATAGTGTCTGTCTTATCTATGAGCGTGCAGGGGTTTGTGGATGATGACAAATAGAAGAAAGGGGAAGAGGGTGCTGGCCTCTCCATAACTGAAAGAAGATCATCCTTTTTGCCCTGCCTAGGAAAAAGGACACTGCCATGGGAGACTTTGAGAATGCTCCAGAAAAGAGGGAAAGCATACATTCCCAAGCTCAAACAGAAGGAGGGGAGATCACCACAAAGCCTGCGGCAGTAACTTTATGCTGATAAACGTGACAAATCAGACGAAAGGAGTTTCTTGAAAAACACAATTTACCAAACTGATGCAAAAAAAAAAATTGAAAATCTGAATATATTAATTTTAAAAGTTGAATTGAGAATTGAAAGCCATCCCTCAAAGAAAACTGAAGACCCAGATGGTTTCCCTTGGGAATTCTCCCAAACATTTAAGGAAGAAATAATACTAATCTTACACAAACTCCTTTTTTTTTTTTTTTTTTTTTTTTTTGAGACAGAGTCTCCTTCTGTCACCCAGGCTGGAATGCAGTGGCGCAATCTTGGCTCACTGCAACCTCCGCTTCCCAGGTTCAAGCAATTCTCCTGCCTCAGTCTCCTTACAGGCGTAAGCCACGCTCCCGGCCACAGACTCCTTTAGAAAATAGTTTCTGGGCCAGGCCCAGTGGCTCACACCTGTAATCCCAGCAGTTTGGGAAGCTGAAGTGGGAGGATTGCTTGAGCCCAGGAGGTCAAGGCTGCAGTGAGCCATGATCACGCTACTGCACTCCAGCCTGGGCAACAGAGTGAGACCCTGTCTGAAAACAGAGAGAGAGAGAGGAAGAAGAAGAAGAAGAAGGAGAAGGAGAAGGAGAAGGAGAAGGAGAAGGAGAAGGAGGAGAAGGAGAAGGAGGAGGAGAAAGAGAAGAAGGAGAGAGAAAGAAAGGAAGAAAGGAAGGAAGGAGAAAGGAAGAGAGAGAGAGAAAGAGAGAAAGAAGGAAAGAAAGAAAAGAAAGAAAGAAAAGGAAGGGAGGAAGGAAGGAAGAAAGAAAGAAAGAAAGAAAGAAAGAAAGAAAGAAAGAAAGAAAGAAAGAAAGAAAGAAAGGTGGGAGGGAGGCAGGGAGGGAGGGAGGGAGGGAGGGGAAGGGAAGGGAAAATAGAGTGTTGAAAGGAGCAATACATGAAAAGGAAGGATAATACATTGTGACTAAGTGGGGTTTACTTTAGGGATGCAAAGTTGCTTTAACACTTGAAAATCAATTGTTGCTATTTGTCACACTAACAGAATAAAGGAGAAAAATCATATGATCATCTCAATAAATGCAACAAAATGCCTGTGACAAAATTCAATAATAGCCATCATGATTTAAAAATGAAAATCTCTTAGTAAACTAAGACCAGAAGGGAACTTCTTGATAAAAGTCATCTAGGAAAAAACCTAAAGATAATAGCATACTTAATGGTGAAATATTGACTACCTTTCCCTTATGGCTGTGAACAAAGCAAGAATGTTCACTTTCCCCACCGTTATTCAATATTATACTGGAGGTCTTACCAGTGTAAAAAGGTAAGAAAAATAAAGTCATACATATTGGAAAGGAATAAATAAAACCATTACCATTTTTTTCTTTTCTTTTTTTAATTTTCCAAAGGGCCAGGTAGGCATTACCTTTTTTTTTTTTTTTTTTTTTTTTTTTTTTTGAGACGGAGTTTCGTTATGTCGCCCAGGCTGGAGTGCAATGGCTCGATCTCGGCTCACTGCAAGCTCCGCCTCCCGGGTTCACGCCATTCTCCTGCCTCAACCTCCGGAGTAGCTGGGACTACAGGCGCCCACCACCACGCCTGGCTAATTTTTTTGTATTTTTTAGTAGAGATGGGGTTTCACCGTGTTAGCCAGGATGGTCTCGATCTCCTGAGCTTGTGATCCACCCGCTTCAGCCTCCCAAAAGTGCTGGGATTACAGGTGTAAGCCACCACGCCCAGCCGGCATTACCATTTTTAAAAGCATTAAAATTTACGAAATACTTAGGAAAAACTTTAACAAAAGACATGTAAAACCTCTACAATGAAAACTATATAACACATACTGCCAAGACTTAAGCTAGCAATTTAATGACTGCTATTTATTAAAATACTTTAATAATTTTAATTATTAAATATTTAATTAAATTATTTTAAATAATTATTGTTATACTTATTGTTAATTACTAAATTTATTAATTAAAATTATTAAATTTTAATTAATACATAACTTTAAGGAGGTTCTTGGAGGTAATGTTTTCATGAAGGCTTCCTCAAACTGGAGAAAAGCCTTACATAGGTCCTGGAAAGACTCTCTTTACTACTATCAGCACTATTAACAGTTGCTAAAGCATTTTTATAACAGAAATAATTGAATACTCAATTATTATTAATAGTTGAATATTCTAAAATGATTCAATTACTTTGAATAATTCAATTCTCTTTTTTCTCATTCTACCTAGATAATACTGATGTCCCCTTACCATAGCCCCTTATATATGACATTCCAGAAAAGGCAGGGCAGCACTATTGAAAATCCAAGCGCTTTTTCTGGCTGATTTTCCATTGAAGTTAGATGGGCATACACTGCCTACATTCACAGAAAAGAGAAGGACAGTGTTTATCATCCTCACTCTGAAGGCCACTTCAGGAGCAACCCATTCAAATCTCCTGGGTATGGAGGGTCACTCTTGCTCTTGCTGGCCAATGACCAATATATGCAGGGTGTTCACCTGCTACTGTGATGAAGAGGTACAGGTAAAAAACAGACCCCCGTTATCTTCCTCTTTTCTCCTTCTTTATCCCCTTCAGAGGTCCCTATTTTTCCATTTTTGTGAGCTTCATTCTAACTAGTTTGCAGATAAAACCATTTTGCCCAGTAAACAAACAAACAAACAAACAAAACCTTCTACTTGTATGTTTCGTGTACTATCAAGCAGTATTTGGGCTTACACCTGTCTTTGTCAACTTGAATTAATTTAAGATCAACATTTTTTAATATTTAGTTTGGGTTTTTCTAGCTAAGATTAGTAAAGAAAGCATAAATAAAAATTCACTGTGGGGATTTTTAAACCCTTGGTTAATTTTACAGGCATTGGCAGAAGCAATGTTTCTCTTCCTGTTCATCGATTCCAAGTTACAAATAGGGACAGAGAAACAGTTTAATGTCTTTCCCATTTAACTGAAACTTAAAAAGTAGCATATTTGCCTCCAGAAAAAACTAATGGACTCTATGATAGGCAAAAAATGTCTTTTCCCCAAAGAGGGCCTCATCCAAATCTCCAAAACCTGTGAATAGGTTATGTTATAGGGCAAGGGAGAATTAAGTTTGCAGATGCAACTAAGAAATCCACTGACGACCAGGTGCAGTGGCTTATGCCTATAATCCCAGCACTCTGGGAGGCCAAGGAGGGAGGATTGCTTGAGCTCAGGAGTTTGAGACCAACCTGGCAACACAGCAAGACCCCCATCTCTGTTAAAAGAAAAAAAATCCACTGACTTTGAGATGGGGAGAGTAGCCTGGATCATCCAGGTGGGCCCAGAGGTAGCGTCAGAGGGGGTGCATCATGGAAAAGACTCAGCAGTCATCACTGGCTCTGAAGACAGTAGGGGACTGCCCGCCAAAGAATTCAGGCAGCCTCTAGATGGTAGAAAGGGGAAAGACATGGATCCTCCTCTACGGCCTTTAGAAGGAACAGAGCCCTGCTGACACCTTGATTTTAGAGACCCATTATGAACATATGACCCTAGAATTGTAAAGTAATAAACTTGTATTGCATTAAACCACCAAGTTAGTGATAATTTTTTACAGCAGCAATAGGAAACTAATACAGAATCTTTGTTCCTTAACAGGTGCATGCCACCACACCTGGCTAATATATTTTAAGTTCTAATCTTTAATTGTGGGAATATCTTCTTTTAATTAGGGAATTTCAAGTTTAAAAGAGTAAAGCACTGTCCTGCTTTCTGTTTCTATGGATTTGCCTGTCTGGACATCCCATAAGTGGAATCATACCAGAAAAAAAAAAAGTATTCTTTTTTCTTTGCTAAATAACGTAATTAAATAGTTTGGACACCAGGTGGCCCTAGACTACCAGATTTATCAAAGGAGCGCTTTTCAGTTTTATGATCTTAACATATTACTATAAAGGCAATGATGCAATTTTCTTTTAATAAGAAGAATGTTAAAAAACATCCCATTACATATGCATCTAAGTTTTTTGACTATTGTTGGTCAGTCACTTAAATTAGTCTTGACAAATCTTTAAGTTGGTTTCTGACAATTGTTGTGTGTGTGTGTGTGTGTTTTTAATCTAGAAAGATGAACTAAAACTGAATAGGTGTCACTAGAATATGACACAAGGGTAAGAACTTTTTTGGTTCCCAGTGCCTTGAATGCTGACAGCATCCCATAGCCTGCACCCGATAAATAACAGTTGAATGAAAGAATAGCTCATGTCCAGTTTGCACATATAAATTTGTTTCTGAATAATCTGGAACTTGAAGAACATCCTTTTGTCCAAGAATTTTTAATTTAGCACTATTCATAGAGCACTCATTTCTTTAAATGTGCTTGCAATGCATTCTCTTTTATGCTAGAAATGAACAGCCATTCCTCATTACATGATTACGTGCAGTCCGCCCTGCCCCCGACCCAGGTGTTTCCAGTTCTAACCCAACACCCCTAGGCTTCCTACTCTCCTCCCAGTGTCTGTGAGTGATCTTGGGGGAGAGTGTGGTCAGGTCCACAGTGGACCAGAAGTCACCCACCTCCCTGGATGCAGGGGCTTGCACAGTACCTACCTGTGCCCTGGGGTACTTTGTGCCCCTCTGCATTAAGCCCTCTCCTGTTGCCTGTCACGCCCTCCAAGCCAAAGTGAAAAAGTGTCCGCTTCAGAGACTTCTTCCCAGTTGCAGGGATGGAAAAATAATTTTCTCTCTACCCTTAATAGGTCTTAATTGGGACTACCTCTAACAAAAGAGAGATTAACATGAGAAAAACAAACAGTTTATTACCGTATATGCCTCATGTATATTTGGGAGGAAACTCTGAGAAATGTGTCAATATTTAGAGTGGATCTCAAAAGAAGCATTTAAACTTCAAGCTTAAATATCATCATTCCGGGAAAAAAAGAAAGAAGGGTTTGGGGAAAGGTCTGGAAAACACCATAAAACGAAGGTAAGGTTTTTTGTGCAGATTTAAATGTAAGCCTTCTCCATTGGTTATGAGTCTCTACTGATTTACTCTTCCTTTTTCCCTGGTGCAGAGAGAGACACTGTTACAAATGGAGACTGCCTTTAAAGATGTAAATTTTTTTTTTAAAGGGTAACTTTTCAGAAATACTCCTGTGTCTGCACTTTCTCAAAATAACCAGCTCAAAATAAGCAACATGCCAAGGAGGCATATTTTGGGGTGGCATATTCTGGTCTCTTACAGTCATATTTGGTGTGGTACGTTCTGAGCCCCAACGCAATGTACTCTGTCTCCAGATATCTTGTAAATTCTGATTCCTTCATAGGAATCAGTTCTCGCTGTGTTCAAATTGTTTTATATTTAGTTGTGTACAGTGTGTACAGTGGCACCAGATTATAATTTCTGTAGATAAAGGGTAATACTTTATCCTTTTTTATATTCCCAGTACCAAGCCAATATTGGGAATAAATAGGAGGAAAAGAGAGGAGAGGAGAAAGGAAAAAGGAAAAAGGAAAGGAGGAAGGAAAGGAAAGGAAAGGAAAGGAAGGGAAAGGGAAAGGGGAGGGAGAGAAGGCTGTCGTATCATCAGACTCAGACTGCAGATGGGTAAAATAACTGCTGCTGATTTCTTAACATTTAAATATGGGTGTGTGGCCAGGTGTGATGGCTCACACCTGAAATCCCAGCACTTTGGGAGGCTGAGGCAGGCAGACCACCTGAAGTCAGGAGTTCAAGGCCAGCCTGGCCAATGTGGAGAAGCCCCGTCTCTACTAAAAATACAAAAATTAGCCAGGCACGGTGCCTGTAATCCCAGCTTCTCAGGAGGCTGAGGCACAAGAATTGCTTGAACCCAGGAGGTGGAGGTTGCAGTGAGCCAAGATCGCGCCACTGCACTCCAGCCTGGGCACCAGAGCGAGACTCCATCTCAAAGAAATAAAAAATATATATATGTGTATGTGCATATATGTTTAATCCAGGAAAAGCATAAACAGAATTACATTTATCATTTCGATATAATTTCCATTTGCAAACTCTTGGATGGTAAATATAATGAGACCTAAAATTAATGCTGCCTTTCCTCTTTAAAAAAGATAAGGAAGGAATTTGAATGCAAATTGTAATATTTTTCTTCAAAGGGGAATGATTTGCCACTCTTTAATTTGATAAAGTTCTTTATGCTTCAAATACATATCCAGGCTTTAAATATTAATAAACCTCAGAAAGCAGAAATAAAATCCTTAACCCTTCATGAATTAATTACCACAATTTAAAAACTCCAGTTTTACAAAGCATATCACAAAGTGCAAAATGGCTTTGCCAAATCATGTCTTCTTTGTGGTAATAACTCATATGATTAAATAAAATTTTACATGTGTTAAACTGAACATTAATGCTATAATTCAAAATTCTGATTTTGTGATATTGTATAATTTCAACTATAAAGTTTTGCATCATATAAAATAACTGTAATTATTATTTTTAATCAACTTTTATTTTTTATCAAAGTGCTATACTTGAATAGTATGAAAAATCAAAGATTGATCAATGCGGTGGCTCACGCCTGTAATCCCAGCACTTTGGGAGGCCAAGGTGGGCAGATCACCTGAAGTCAGGAGTTCGAGACCAGCCTGGCCAATATGGCGAAACCCCATCTCTACTAAAAATACAAAAATTAGCCGGGCGTGGTGGTGTGCACCTGTAATCCCAGCTACTCTGGAGGCTGAGGCAGAAGAATCACTTGAACCCAGGAGGTGGAGGTTGCAGTGAGCCGAGATCGTGCCACTGCACTCCAGCCTGGGTGATAGAGTGAGACTCTGTCTCAAAAAAAATCAAAGATTACGAAAACTGATTTTTACAAAATAGCCCCTTCTCTTCACTATCCTACTGCCACCATTCACCAGTAACTAATTTCAATTTTTGTAAGTTGTTTTCACTGATTTTACTTTTTTATTTCTAAGTAATGTGTACATACTGTTGTTGTCTCTTGGTTCATCTCAGTAGACATATCCATTGATTTCCAGTTAGGAGTAATGAGGATTTTAGCTTACTTATATCTTTTCTTTTCCTTTCACCACCTTCCCCAAAAAATAAAATCTCAAATATCTATTATTTATTTATTTGTATTTTATTTACTTATTTTTTGAGACAGAGTCTTGCTCTGTCACCCAGGCTGGAGTGCAGTGGCACAATCTCGGCTCACTGCAACCTCTGCCTCCCAGGTTCAAGTGATTCTTATGCTTCAGCCTCCTCAGTAGCTGGGATTACAGACATGTGCCACCATGCCCAGCTAATTTTTGTATTTTTAGTAAAGGCAGGGTTTTGCCATAATGGTCAGGTTGGTCTCGAACTCATGACCTCAAGTGATGCACCTGCCTCAGCCTCCCAAAGTGCTGGGATTACAAGCATAAGCCATTGCGCCTGGCCAAAATCTCAAATATCTGTAAAATTTATATTCAGTGTTTTTATAATTTTTTCTATGTATATGTAGTATGCAGTTTACTTCTGAGCCTAGTAGCATGATTATATATCCTTCCTTATGCAACTTGGTTTTTTCTGGGGTTAATGATTGCCTAATTTAAAGACAGTTTCTTAATTTTCTTTGGACAGCTGACTATTTCCACACCCTCAACAGCTCTGTAAAATGATTTTCAATTAAACTTTATACAAAACATGTCAGATAATTAAAGAATTACATCACTGTCTGCCCTGCTTCAGTTCCAGACTCTTCCTAGTGCCCCCATGTTCCTATTCCAATCTGGATGGTTCCACTGTGGGTTTGTTGCTTAATTGTTGTATTGGAACTTCCATTTCCCATCACCTGGGAAATTCTTTTTGCCTCTCTTGGATCCTCTGTTTCTTCAATCCCATGTATTCCAAAATCCCAGTATCTTCCTCTTAATTTAGTTTTTTTTATGTGTGACAGTGTGTGTGTGTGTGTGTGTGTGTGAGTGTATGTGCATATATGTGAATGCTTGGACACATCCTTAAACAGCTTTCTAAGAAAGGCGATTGGGAGTGTCAACCTTAAATAATGAGATTCAGAAAATATGATGAAGAGCAGAGTTTGTTTGAATGCAAGGCTTAAGGATGACCACCCGGGAACACTGACTCCAAACTAACAGGATCAGCATTCCGGAGTGGAGAAGTTAAGGTTTCACTAATACATGCAGAGACAGAGAAATTTTAGCAGATTACATTTTCCTTAAAAGACCAGTGCATGCATTACAGTGATTTGATTGGTTATGGATTGTTACATTCCAAGGCAGATTACTTTATACTCTGTGAGAAGGAGTAGTGAGAGGGTCTTTTCTCTGGTGATATTTAATCTTCCTAATTATTTACAGAAGAAAAAAGGCAGAAGTTGCAGCTGCATGCGGCATGACTCAGGCCACATAGCCACATTCCTCTCAAGGCTCAGAATAATTTAAAGTTCCAACAGCTTTAAGTTTGAATTGTTTAATTTCACATTTCCCTCTTTTCATCGATCTTTTGAAGAAACCATCATAGATGATGGTTTTGGTTCCTTTTAAGTTCAGGAGCTTAGTCCTGTGTTGCTGGGTGGGCTCATTCCTAGAGTGTCATATCCCATGGCAGGAGGAATTTGTCAGGCAATAAAACTGTTGGGGTGGCGGGGCAGTGGCTCATGCCTGTAATCCCAGCACTGTGGGAGGCTGAGGTGGGTAGATCACCTGAGGTCAGGAGTTCGAGACTGGCCTGGCCAACATGGCAAAACCTCGTCTCTACTAAAAATATAAAAATTAGCCAGGTGTGGTGGCGTGCGCCTGTAATCTCAGGTACTCAGGAGTCTGAAGCAGGAGAATCACTTGAACTGGGGAGGCAGAGATTGCAGTGAGTCGAGATTGCGCCACTGCAGTCCAGCCCAGGAGACAGAGTGAGACTCCATCTCAAAAACAACAACAACAACAAAACTGTTGGGGTGTAGGCTGAATTTAAAGCAACATGAAGGAAGTGATTTTGTGACCTGAGTCAGGCTACATAGTTGCATATTCAATTAATGCAATTCTTTGAGCAACCATTATTTTAGTTTTTTCAGTTGTATGTTGACTCCATTGCAAACAAATGCCACAGAAGTAATACAGACAAAAACAGAACAAAACACAACAAATGCTTATAATTCCAAGAACGCATAAGAGCTTCTGTGGCAAAGTTCCCCAAGATCTAAACCTGCTTCTTGGCCAATCATTTAGAGTGGGTGTAGGATCTTAAAGTTTAGTTATTTAGGTTTTCATGTCAGCCATTAATTTAATGATGTTATCTGATTCTTCCAGAACAGAAACACAACACTTCGTCTTTATGATAACATGGGTTCCCCGTGTATTATCACAGGGGATACAGTGAGTATCTTTAAAGCCATATGGTTCTGTAATGCAGCCTTTCTTTTTTTTTTTTGAAACAGTCTCATTCTCTTGCCCAGGCTGGAGTACAGTGGTGCAATTTCAGCTCACTGCAACCTCCACCTCCCAGGCTCAAACAATTCTCCTGCCTCAGCCTCCTGAGTAGCTGGGACTACAGGCGCACGCCACCACACCCAGCTAATTTTTGTATTTTTAGTAGAGACAGGGTTTCACCATGTTGGCCAGGCTGGTCTGGAATTCCTGGCCTCAAGTGACTCGCCCACCTCAGTCTACCAAAGTGCTGGGATTTGAAGTGGTGTTGTTTTCCTGGGATAATACGGGAGGTTTGTTGTCCGATAACCATGGAAAACTAGGACGCACACACACAAAGAGTGAAGTTAAGAGTGGAGGTTCAATAGGCGAAAGAGAGAATAGCTCTCTCTTCTGCAGACAGAGGGATCCTGAATGGGTTTCTGCTACCACCATGAAAATGCAGAAGGATTTATAGATGGGTTTGAGGAGGCGGTGTCTGATTTACATAGGGCACGAAAGATAGGCCAGGCCATTGCGCCATTTGCATGGCACACAAAGAACTGGTTAGGACTAGGTGTGATGTTTGCATAACACCCTGATGAAGCTGGCTGCCCCACCCTAATCTTTTATGATGCAGATGGGTTCTCTACCCAGCCATTGCCATGTTGCCTACCTTTTTTTTTTTTCCTTTTTTTTTTTTTTTGAGACAGAGTCTGGCTCTGTCACCCAGGCTGGAGAGCAGTGGCATGATCTCGGCTCACTGCAAGCTCCACCTCCCGGGTTCATGCCATTCTCCTGCCTCAGCCTCCCGAGTAGCTGGGACTACAGGCGCCTGCCACCACGCCTGGCTAATTTTTTGCATTTTTAATAGAGACCGGGTTTCACCATGTTAGCCAGAATGGTCTTGATCTCCTGACCTTGTGATCCACCCACCTCGGCCTTCCAAAGTGCTGGGATTACAGGCATGAGCCACCGCGCCACGCTTTGTTGCCTACCTTTTTACTATACACGTGGTGACAAAGAAAAGGAAAGATGGGGCCTCCATGTTGAACATACCTGGCTGCCAGGTAGCCCTTTTCTATTGGCACAGCTGGCCGGCATTCTCCTGTGCAAGCTTCCAGCTTGCTTATCTGTGTCTGCAGCTTGATTTTTTCAGGCTGCTCTTTGTTAGAAAAGAAATAATTTTGTGGCTGCTTTTTGTTAAAAGGGAAATTCCACCAAGAACTCTGTTGCCCTTACTATCTAAATAATTTCTTTCTACCTCCTGTTTCAGGGTTACAGGCATGAGCCACTGCACCTGAACAATGCAGCCTTTCTCATAAGAGAAACTTTATTGTTTAATAACAAGATAATCATGAAACTATCATTTAATGTCTTTTTTGTGTAATTGGTTAAGGCCTTTACATGCCAAAGGACCTCTTCAATACCCCATTGTGGCAGAAAGATGGAAGCTAATTGATCATACCAATGAAATACAGAACAAACCCAATAAGATTATAAATGAAGAAGATTTGCAGGCTTTGTAATTTACAAGACTGTAAATTATGCAATCTTGTGCCCAGGCATAATGCAAAGAACACTGCTCTAATCATCCTGGGAGTAACCATGGCCATAGTTTGATGCCACATAGTCAAGATGTCCAGTTTGGAGCTAGCCAGTGTTGGAAATAAATGCTCAGTGCTGCAAAGAATCAGCCCTCCGGCAAAAAGCTTTCTCAGCAAGTGAATTTACCTCTGCAGAAAGGTGTCACTTGCGCCTGGCATGGTCACAAGAGCACACTGAGTGGGATAGGGCAGGGGTTTTTATCTCTAACGCAGCAGCTCCTGTAGCTGTGTCCTTTCCCCACTGACTGGAGTCAGACCACACTATCTAAGCTGACCCGGTTGGCTACTGTTTAAAATTGAACAGGGCTAATTAGGTGGGAAGGGAGAGGCTGTTTGTTACAGTACAAGGCATGTTTGGTCATGTTAGGGCACAGTAAAGGTGGAAGGATGTTTTGGTGGGAAGGACAATTGCAGAATGGGTAGTTGAGGGGATAGATGTGAATTACAGATTAGGGCTGGCGGGAAGGTTATTTACCATAACTAGGGGCAAGGAGAGGTACAAAGAATGAGGAAATTAGGCTTGAAAATAGAGAACAAGGAGCAAGGAAGCTGAACAAGCTGACTCTTTGAAGAGGAACTTACTGTATATAACACCAGTAAATACCTGTGCCCCTTCAGTGGCGTGTCAATCAATACTGTGTAATATAATGGTGTGGATGCACTGTTCCTTGAGTATCCATCCCATATCTCTTGTACTACTGGGCTGTGTATCCTTGGTGTAATTCTTTCATTCTCAACATTTAGGGGCAAGCTGACTGAGCTGACTGAATAGGGAGTAAGCCAGATAAAACCATCCCAAATTTGCGTTATACTTTCTTGAAATTGAGTTGTCTTACCTCTCATTTTGAGCAGTACCAGCAATAAAGCTAATGAACTGGCCTCTTTTTCTGAAAAGCCTTCCTATGTCCCTATGTCCTTTGCTCCTTTGCTTTTAGTGTTTTGTTTTGTTTTGTTTTGTTTTGTTTTGTTTTAAGACAGAGTCTGGCTCTGTCACCCAGGCTGGAGTGCAGTGGTGTAATCTCCTCTCACTGCAACCTCCACCTCCTGGGTTCAAGCAATTATCCTACCTCAGCCTCTGGAGTAGCTAGGATTACAGGCATGCACGACCACACCTGGCTAATTTTTTTTTCTTTCTATATTTTCAGTGGAGATGGGGTTTCACCATGTTGGCCAGGCTAGTCCCGAACTCCTGACTTCAAGTGATGTGCCTGCCTCAGCCTCCTATAAAATATTATTAAAAAGGCCCGGACATAGTGGCTCATGCCTGTAATCCCAGCACTTTGGGAGGCCAAGGTGGGCGGATCACTTGAGGTCAGGAGTTTGAGACCAGCCTGGCCAACATGGTGAAACCCTGTCTCTACTAAAAATACAAAAATTAGCCGAGTGTGCTGGTGGCCGCCTGTAGACTGAGCCCAGGAGATGGAGGTTTCAGTGAGCCAAGATCATGCCACTGCACTCCAGCCTGGGCGACAGAGTGAGACTACTTCTCAAAAAAAAAAAAAAAAAAATTATTGGCCGGGCACGGTGGCTCACACCTGTAATCCCAGCACTTTGGGAGGCCGAGGCAGGCAGATCACCTGAGGTCAGGAGTTTGAGACCAGCCTGGCCAACCTGGTGAAACCCTGTCTCTACTAAAAATACAAAAATTATCCAGGTGTGGTGGAACGTGCCTGTAATCCCAGCTACTCAGGAGGCTGAGGCACAAGAATCGCTTGAGCATGGGAGGCAGAAGTTGCAGTGAGACAAGATCGCGCCATTGCACTCCAGCCTGGGAGACAAGAACAAAACTCTGTCTCAAAAAAAAAAATTTATTAAAAGGCCAGTGATACTTATCATTTCTAGTCATGCTAGTGTTAAGCACCAATGAGTATTCTTGAGAAATACAGATATATTTCTTTCTTTCTTTTTCTTGCTCTGTTGCCCAGGCTGGAGTGCAGTGGCATGATCTTGGCTGACTGCAGCCTCTGGTTCCCAGATTCAAGAAATTCTCCTGCCTCAGCCACCTGTGTAGTGGGGATTATAGGCACCTGCCACCATGCCCAGCTAATTTTTGTGGATATATTTCTGACATTCTATCCAATTTTGTTCTTGGAAAGGAGATATCCACCATGTTAAGCCAAAACCACCAGAAAAGGGCATAAGACCACACACCCAACAAGTGTTTTCTGTAATCCATTTGCGTTGTCCTGAGCCTACTCCAAGAAGAGGTTTGCTTCATGGACAATAGCTTGTGACAGTAGCAGCAAAACATAAGAACTAGGAATGAAAAGAAAGAAATTTGATAGGTGGGGCACAGTGGCTCACACCTGTAATCCTAGCACTTTGGGAGGCCAAGACAGGCAGATTACGAGGTCAGGAGTTCGAGACCAGCCTGGCCAACATGGCGAAACCCTGTCTCTAATAATAATACAAAAATTAGCTGGGCATGGTGGTGGGTGCCTGTAGTCCCAGGTACTCAGGAGACTGAGGCAGAAGAATTGCTTGAACCTGGGAGGCAGAGGTTGCAGCGAGCCGAGATCGTGCCACCAAACTCCAGCCTGGGTGACAGAGTGAGACTCCATCTCGAAAAAAAAAAAAAAAAAGAAAGAAAAAAAAGAAAGAAAGAAATTTGGTGAGAACTTGCAAGTGAACACCTTCTCCATCTATTAGTCATCATTAACATTAAACATTTTCCGGCAGTAAATGAGTTTAATAAAATTAAATATTCATTTAGAGATACGGGCCTTGTCCAGTGTCTTGGGAAAGCTGACTACCTCAGATGTCATCTTTTTCTTGTTCTTGTTGGTTCTGGAGAATTTCCATTTTAGCTCACTGGTTTGAGATGAAGTCCAAATTGGCAAAATGGCTTTCTTTACATGGTGATGTATATCCAGGAATCATTGGTTGGCACAAGAATTTTTGGGGCACCTGATAAGATTCCTTCCACCTCGATTGGTAAGAGTCCTTTAAAAGTAGCGTTTCCAATCAACAAAATCTCCTGGTTGAAGTCCATGGTCCTTGCGTTTTTTTGTCTCCTGGGAGCTCAGTGTGGAAAGAGTCTTTTACTAACTTACAGTTTTTAGTTAGCTGCCTTATAAGGCTACTGCAATAATAGAACATATCCCCTTTTAATATCATAGATTCACGGTTTCCTAGAGACAATTTAATAGGTGTGACTGTAATAATTTCAAATGGAGACAACTGACATTTACCAAAAAGGGTCAATCTTAGGTTAAGCAAAGCCAATGGAAGAGCTTTTGGCCAAAGGAATTTCTCTGTTTTTTTTTTTTTTTTAGATGGAGTTTTGCTCTCGTTGCCCAGGCTGGAGTGCAATGGCATGAACTCGGCTCACCGCAACCTCTGCCTCCAAAGTTCAAGCAATTCTCCTGCCTCAGCCTGCCAAGTAGCTGGGATTACAGGCATGCGCTCCCACGCCCAGCTAATTTTGTATTTTTAGTAGAGATGGGGTTTCTCCATGTTGATCAGGCTGGTCTCGAACTCCCGACCTCAGGTGATCCGCTCGCCTCGGCCTCCCAAAGTGCTGGGATTACAGGCATGAACCACTGCACCCGGCCTTGGCCAAAGGAATTTTTAAAACCTCGGTTAATTTTTGCCAGTTGAGTTTTGGTGATTCTGTGTGTGCATTTCCCTGTCCCAGGTGACTGGGGGTGATAGGCACAATGGAAACATTGGAGAATGAGCAAGATTTTACATGCTGACTGGATTATTTGTCCAGTAAAATGAGCACATCTGTCCACTGTCACTGTGAAGTTGTAAAGGGACTACCCATGTTGCGATAATTTTTTTCTAAAAGAATTTTACTTATCACAAAGGCTGTTGCTCTTCTGCATAGAAATACTTCCACCCTACGACAAAACATACAAACCGTTACTAGAACCTACTTATATTCTTGTAATGGTGGTAGCTGAATAAAATCTAGTTGCCATACCTCAATTAGGCTTTCTGGTAAAGGAAAATGACCCGGAGAACTATGTAAAGGTTTCCCTGGATTATGTTTTGGACAGATGTGGCAGCAATTATATATCTTATGAGCAACAGTTGGAGATTTCTAATAATCTTGTTTCTCTCAAGCAATCATCTTATCAGGGCTCCAATGAGTTAAATCATGCACATGAGTTAAGAAAGATAACTGTAATTTGGTTGGAAGCATAAGTAGACCATTTGGTCCATATCATAGCCCAGTCTCAGAGAAGTACATTCCCCCTTTACTTACCCAATTTTCTTGTTCTGTTTTTGGAGCTTTGGATTGAGCTAATTTTATATCAAAATCAAGTGCTTTCTTAAAAGCTAAAATGGGTTTTCTTGTTCAGATGCGCTTAGTACAGCCCTTTTTGCTGTACTATCTGCTAATTGATTTCCTTTGCTTTATGAAATATTTGACTTTGAATGGCATGGAAACTTGACAAAGGGTAATAATTTGGGCAATAATATAGCTTCCAATAATTCTGAAATAAGGTGTCTATTTTTTGTGGACTGACCAGAAGAGGTTAAAAATCATCTTTATTTCCATAGCATTCCAAAGTAATGAGCTACTCTAAAAGCCTATCAGCTATTTGTATATATATATATTAGCAGTTGTTCCTTTTGCCAATTGACAGGTTTTAATTAATGCTATTAACTTTGCTTTTTGAGCTGAGGTCTCTCCTGGAAGATAAGCATTTTCTATTTCCTCAGTCAAGGATACTATAGCATCACCTGCATGGTAAATTTCAGATCTACCCTTTAAGTAAGATCCATCCGCAAACCAAATAACATCAGCATTAGTAAGGAGGGTTTCTTGCAGGTCCATCCTAGGAGAGGAGCTGGTTGGTTAAGATTATGCAATCATGGTGTTTCATCTGAAGGCAGGGGCAGTTGAATTTAGAAAAATTTAGACTTTTACATCTGGAGATTGATTGGGGAGCAGAAAGAAGAACTTTTTATGAGAAGCCAGTCTACTAACTGAATAGTGTTAAATGTGGTGCAAGTTGAGAAGTGCTTCCACAGAATGTGGAATGAAGACTGAGGGGAGATCCTATCACTGTTTGTTTGGTCGCTGTAGGGACAGTAGCGGTTATTGCTGTCATGCAAGGTTGCAGTTCTTTAGCTGCGGGGTCCAGTTGTTGACTATAGTATCCTACAAGTCTATTTTGATCTCCATGTTTTTGAGTCAGAATGCCTAAGGCAGTTCATGAACAAACAATGAAAATGAAATGTTACAATTCAGATAACCTAACACTGGGGCATCTATAAGACTCTTAAATTTCTTCCAGTGTTAGCCAGGGGTGGTGGCTCACCCCTGTAATCCCAGCACCCGAGGTCAGGAGTTTGAGACCAGCCTGGCCAACATGGTGAAACCCCATCTGTACTAAAAATACAAAAATTAGCCAGGTGTGGTGGCATGCACTTGTAATCCCAACTACCTGGGAGGCTGAAGCAGGAGAATCACTTGAATCCAGGAGGTGGAGGCTGCAGTGAGCTGAGATCACATCACTGCCCTCCAGCCTGGGCAACAGCAAGACTCTGTCTCAAAAAAAAACAAAAATTTCCAATGTGAACTGATTTTCCTCTGTTCATTCCAGGGGATCTAGTTTACCTTATTTAAAAAGAGTATATAAAGGTTGAGTTTTTAAGGAGAAGTTTGGAATTCAGTTTCCTCAGTATCCTGTTAACTCCCAAAATTCTCTCAGTTGTTTCTTAGTTTTGGGGGTAGGGAAGGCCAATATTCCTTTTATTCTTTTTTTTTTTTTTTTTTTTTTGAGAAGGAGTCTCACTCTGTCACCCAGGCTGGAGTGCAGTGGCGCAATCTCAGCTCACTGCAACCTCCGCCCCCTGGGTGCAAGCCTCAGCCTCCCGAGTAGTTGGGATTACAGGTGCCTGCCACCACGCTCAGCTAATTTTTGTATTTTTAGTAGAGACAGGGTTTCACCATCTTGGCCAGGCTGAGTCTTGAACTCCTGACCTCGTGATCCACCTGCCTCGGCCTCCCAAAGTGCTGGAATTACAGGTGTGAGCCAACGCACCCAGCCCAATATTCCTTTTATTCTAGCTGAATTGATAAAGAGGCTTTCCTTTGATATTAGGTAACTTAAATATCTTACTTGTTTTTGACAGAATTGAAGTTTTTTCTTTGAGGCTTTGTGTTCCTTTGAAACTAATCATTGTAATAAATAAATTCCATCCTCTATGGAGGTTTGTTTATCTCCTGAGCAGAGAAGTAAATTGTCTCCATACTGTATCAAGGTGCATTTCTTAAGGAAGTCAACATCTGAAAGGTCTGCTATTAATATTTATGAAAAATAAGTTGTACTCTCAGTATATCCCTGAGGCATAACTGTTCATGTGTATTGTCTATCTTCCCAAGTGAAGGTAAAGAGAAATTGATTATCTTTATCCACAGGAATGCTGAAGAATGAGCTACATAGGTCTCTTACAGTAAAGAACACACCTTCAGTTGAGATGGCAGTCAACACGTATGCAGGTTTGGTAACCATTGGATGTGAGGAATTACTATGTTATTAATTGCCCTCAGATTCTGTGCAAATCTCCACCCTCTACTGTTTGGAGTATGAGCTTCTATAAAAAATAATCAACCCTCTTTTCATATAATCCAATAGGTCTTATCCCTTCCTATGCCTCTGATCTTGGAGAATATTGTTTAAGGTTTGGAAAAGGTTTTGATGGATTTATTTGAATTTTAATTGGGGCAGCTAAGATAATTTTTCCAATATTGGTGGAGAATTTTGACCACAATTGATCAAGTACTAGTTTTAATCTTTAAAAAAAACTTTTATTAATATAAAATATGGAACATTTCATGAATTTGCATATCATCTTCATGCAGGGGCCATGCTAATCTTCGCTGTCATCCCAATTTTATTATATGAGCTGCTGAAGGAAGCACTCAAGTACTATTTTTAACAGCTCTTGTTACATAATTCTTCATTATTTAACAATCTACTTTCCTTCATGACAATATTAATTGCTAGTTGTGATTTAAAAGCATCAGAATTTGAGAAAATTTTGGACCTAATAATTCTATTTTATCTTCTAATTCTAAATACATCCCCACCTCCTTTTCGTTTGAGATGGAATCTTGCTCTGTCACCAGGCTGGAGTGCAGTGGCACGATCTCAGCTCACTGCAACCTCCCCTTCCCAGGTTCAAGCGATTTTTCTGCCTCAGCCTCCTGAGTAGCTGGGATTACAGGCGCATGCCACCACGTCTGGCTAATTTTTGTATTTTTAGTAGAGACAGGGTTTCACCACGTTGTCCAGGACTGTCTCAATCTCCTGACCTCATGATTTGCCAGCCTCAGCCTCCCAAAGTGCTGGGAGTACAGGCATGAGTCACCGGACCCGGCCTCCCCCCTTTTGAAAGAAAGATATGTGAGTATTATATAACTCTAGGAAATCTCTCCCTATCAGACGGTTGGAGGCTGAGGGGGCAGAGAGGAAGACATGTTAGGTTCCCTCTAGGGGAGCTAACTGAAAAACTATAGGTTGAAATTGATATAGTGATACAGGAGTATTTGTTTCACCCATGATTTGTATTGGTTTTTTACTCTGAGGAATGTAACCTCGTAATAAGGTGAGATATATCACTGATAATGTAGCCACAGTGTCATTAAGAGTTTGTGTTTGGTCTCCATTTAAATTAATTCTAACCTTCCCTAAGGTATTTATAAGGAGGTAAGAAAAGGTCCATTTGGTTTCCTCAGAGCATCCTTATTCTTTTTCTTTGACCTGTTGCTGTCATTTCCATTTTAGTTTTCTACAATCCATTTTGAAATATTCAGGCTTTTTGCAGTAATTGCAAAGCAGGGGATTGGGTCAGTTTGGGAACTTTTTAGGCTGTTTAGGGGTTACAAATTGGTTGGACAATTGTTTTAATTGTAAACTCGTGATCTTATTTGCTTTTCCTCCCTGCTTAACTTCCCTTTCCTTTTATTTCTGGGTTAGGGTACAGGACATTTGATCAGCAAAATTAACTAGATCATGAGTTTGAGAGGTACCCCAAATAGGGCATTGTCTTTTTGTTATAACTGCCAATTCTTCACCTAATCCACTTACAAAGCTTGAGTTAAGGAGAATATCATTTTGGTGATTAGTATAACTTTCTTCTGATAAGCCTGAATATTATTTAAATGTTTTTCAAATTTTTCATAGTATGACATTACGGCCTTATCAATATTTTATTTGCATTGTTGTATTTTGTTCCAATCTTTAGAAACCAAAGGGAATAGTGGCTAGTAAAACTTTGGCGGTATTGCAGACCCATTCATGATCCTCTAAAGGATTTCTCCAACTTGCCTTTGCTATCTAATCTTCGGCTTTAATTTCTTTTTTTTTTTTTTTTTTTTGAGACGGAGTCTTGCTTTGTCACCCAGGCTGGAGTGCAGTGGAGCGATCTCTGCTCACTGGAAGCTCTGCCTCCCAGGTTCACACCATTCTCCTGCCTCAGCCTCCTGAGTAGCTGAGACTACAGGCGTCCACGACCACGCCCGGCTAATTTTTTGTATTTTTAGTAGAGACAGGGTTTCATCATGTTAGCCAGGATGGTCTCGATCTCCTGACCTCGTGAACCACCTGCCTCAGCCTCCCAAAGTGCTGGGATTACAGGCGTGAGCCACATGCCCAGCCTGGCTTTACTTTGTAACACTAAATGTGAACCAACTGAAATAAATCAGAAAATCTAGGATTATAAGTGTGAATGTTTAATTCAAATTCTCTAGCAAATTGTGCTCACTTCGGCAGCACATATACAAATTCTCTAGCAAATTAACCAGGCATCGTGGTGCATGCCTGTAATCCCAGCTACTTGGTAGGTTGAGGTGGGAGGATCATTTGAGCCCAGGAGGTGGAGGTTGCAGTGAAGCGAGATTACACCACTGCACTCCAGCCTGAGTGACACAGCAAGACCCTGTCTCAAAAACAAAACAAATTCTCTAGCAAATCCAGTAGCGGTCCTGAAGAGGATCCAGGAATTCTTTAAACCAAGGCAGATTCTCCTCTACTAGACATAGGGTATTCCCAAAATGGAGTCAGAACAGCAGAAGGAGGAGGCAGAGGTGAAGGAAGGAAGGAAGGGAGGAAGGGAGGAAAGGAGGAAAGGAGGAAAGGAAGAGGGAAGGAGGGAGGGAGGGGTGAGGAGAGAGGGAAGGTAAGTCCAAACAAAGAAGTTTTGACAAAAGAGAAAGAAGAGCTGAAGAAGGAGAAATTTCAGCAGTCTTTTTCAATTTAAAAATTGTTTTAGGGCCGGGTGCGGTGGCTCACGCCTATAATCCCAGCACTTTGGGAGGCCGAGGCGGGCTGATCACAAGGTCAGGAGATCGAGACTATCCTGGCTAACACGGTGAAACCCCATCTCTACTAAAAAATACAAAAAATTTAGCCGGGCGCGGTGGCGGGCACCTGTAGTCCCAGCTACTTGGGAGGCTGAGGCAGGAGAATGGCGGGAACCCGGGAGGCAGAGTTTGTTTGCAGTGAGCAGAGATCACGCCACTGCACTCCAGTCTGGGCAACAGAGCGAGACTCCGTCTCAAAAAAAAAAAATTGTTTTAGGCACTTTTGTTTTCTTCTTGCAAAGAAATGATTTTATCAGAACCTCTTTTGAAGCTTCCAAGTACCACTGAAAATCAATCTGCCAGTTGCTTTATTTTATTTTAGTGCCAGCTTTTTCTAATTGAGTGTGCAAACTAGGTTAGGTACTTAAAAGTTACCCCCATTTGGCCATTATAATTTGGCTCATTTGGTCATTGTGAGTTATGTGAGACCATTTTTCTAAATATTTGCATATAAAAGTGCCATAAATATTAAAAATGAATCTAGCTGATGTTTCTAAGGGTGGATCTCTCCATAAGGAAGAAGACTCAGTTTTAGAAGTATGATTGCTCAGAATTTAGACTTTACTTTTGAATGACCAAAAAGACCTAGTGGGAGGTGTTTTGGATTGAGTGTGCTGATTGTGGGAATAGCTCTTCAAAGTATCACCCTGGAGTCAGTTCTTCTCGTTTATGTGTCTTGGTGGTCCCAAGAGACTTGAGTGCTTAAGGCACTAGGTGATCAACTTGTATGTGTGCTCACAGGATTAAGCAAAGTTCCCCATATATTCTTCTGAAGGGATTCCCTTTAGAACAGTTTATGTCATGAGCGATAAGCTCCAACACTCCCTCAAGACCTTACTCACTAAAGGTGCCTTTTGGCTGGGAAAGACAATGTCTCTTATCCTCAGGACTTATCTTGTCCTCATAGAGAGCCTTTTGTAATATTGTCACTCAAAAAAAAAAAAAAAAGCTTAGATTTGTCAATTGAACCAAGCTTCAGAATCTGACCAGCTCTAAAGTTTATAAAATTTTCGCTTAAGCCACAGAGATTCACTTCCTCTTTTCAGAGAGAAACTGTTTTCTCCCTAACCAAAATTTGGTACAAGAGAAAAGGTTGGAAAACTCCAAGCAGTAGTTCCAAATAAAACCTTAAGCTCAGAGAAAAGTGAAAATCACAAATCTGCAATTATCAGAATCTCTAGAGAATAACAAACCAAACTCCTACCTTGTTGTAGAACTTCAGTTCCAACCCCATTGAGTTAGGAATGTGTGTAATGCAAATAAAGTCTGCATCCTCAACCAATCCAGGAGAACTCAAACTTGAAAGGGGCCTTACCAGAGATTTGCATAGCCTGTGAAGTCAGGAAAATGAAAATCATTTGTGCTGGTACCAAGGCTCAAGTTGTTGACAAAGCGATGAGGATTGCTGAAGTTCTGCTTCAAGTCCCATCATGGTCGCCAAAATGTCAACCTTAAGTAATGAGATACAGAAAATATAAATTTGTACATAGTCTATTCAAACACAAGCCTTGAGGATGGCCGCACGGGAACCAGTGACTACAAACAAACAAGGTCAGAATTCCAAAGTGGAGAAGTTAAGGTTTCAGGCCAGGCGCGGTGGCTCAAGCCTGTAATCCCAGCACTTTGGGACGCCGAGGCGGGTGGATCATGAGGTCAAGAGATCGAGACCATCCTGTCCAACATGGTGAAAGCCCATCTCTACTAAAAATACAAAAATTAGCCTAGTGTGGTGGCATGCACTAGTAGTCCCAGCTACTTGGGAGGCTGAGGCAGGAGAATCACTTGAACCTGGGAGGTGGAGGTTGCAGTGAGCTAAGATCGCGCCACTGAACTCCATCCAGCCTGGCGACAGAGCAAGACTCTGTCTCAAAAAAAAAAAAAAAAAAAAAGTTAAGGTTTCACTTATATAGGCAGAAACAGAGAAATTTTAGCAGATTACAGCATTTTCCTTACAAGACCGTTCCGTATATGAGAGCAATTTGATTGGTTACAGATTGCTACATCCCAAGGAAGATTACTCTATTGCTCCATGAGGGAGGTAGTGATCTGAGGGGGTCTCATGTCTGAGGCCATTTGGTCTTCTTAATCATTTACAAGAAAACAAGGCAGAAGTTGCAGCTGCATGCTGCGTGACTCAGACTACATAGCCACCCTCCACTTGAAGCTCAGAATAATTCAAATGTCCAACAGCTTTAAGTTTGAATTATTTAATTTCACAGGAGGTACATTTTTTGAAGACTTGTATGTGTAAAAATGTCTCTTTTCTACCCTTTTACTTGATAGCAAATTTGGCTAAATATGTAATTCTTGGTTAAACAAAAAATAACTTTCCCTTGGAAATTTGAAGGTATATCTCCATTATCTTCTACCTTCTATTTCCATGAGAAGTTTGATGCCATTCTTATTCACAATCTTCTATTCATTAGTTTTCTGTCTCCACTCTATTTCTCCACTCCTACCAGAGCTTTTAGAGACTTCTGTTTATCCCTAGGGTTTGAAATTTTGTAATAATAAGTCCTTTGTTGTCACTGGTTTATGTTATTTGATGGGAATTTTTTTTTTTTTTTTTTTTTTGAGACGGCGTCTCACTCTGTCACCAAGGCTGGAGTGCAGTGGCATGAGGATGGCCCATGGCAGCTTCGATCTCTTGGGCTCAGGTGATTCGTCTACCTCAGCCTCCCGGGTAGCTGGGACTACAGGAATGTGCCACCACGCCTAGCTAAGTTTTTGTATTTTTTGTAGAGACAGGGTTTCACTATGTTGCCCAGGCTGGTCTCGAACTCCTGTGCTCAAGCAATCCTCCTGCCTTGGCTTCCCAAAGTGCTGGGATTACAGGCGTGAGCCATCGTGCCTGGCCTTGTGGGATATTTGTTTGTTTGTTCATTTGTCTTTTACTCATTGGGCTAGATACCAAAAAGTTCTTTTTGAGAAAAGGCTCATGTTCTTCAGCTCTGAAAAATTCTCTTACGTTATTTTATTAATACTTTTCTCCACCAGTCTTTTCTGTTCTCTTTCTGGCACTCCTATTAATTAGTTGTCAGGCTTCCTGGATTGAGCATCTAATTTCTTATGTTTTCTCTCTTATTGTCCAATTATTTGCCACTTTGCTCTGGTTTTGGATTCCCTAACTATACCCTCTACTTTACTATTGAGATTTTCATTTCTGCCGTCTAATTTTTATTTTCCTGATGTTTTTGTTGTTGTTATTTGAATACTCTTAAGTTCATTTATATTTGAGAATGGGACACAGAAAAGCTGAGAGCTGGCCGGGCGCGGTGGCTCACGCCTGTAATCCCAGCACTTTGGGAGGCCGAGGCGGGCGGATCACGAGGTTAGGAGATCAAGACCATCCTGGCTAACATGGTGAAGCCCTGTCTCTGCTAAAAATACAGAAGAATTGGCTGGGCTTGGTGGCGGGCGCCTGTGGTCCCGGCTACTCGGGAGGCTGAGGCGGGAGAGTGGCATGAACCCGGGAAGTGGAGCCGAGATCGTGCCACTGCACTCCAGCCTGGGCGACAGAGCAAGACTCTGTCTCAAAAAAAAAAAAAAAAAAAAAAAAAAAAAAAAGCTGAGAGCTGTGTTTGTGAACAAGTGTGTCGAGAGTGATCAGGTGTGGGCAATGACCATTATCTCAGGGAACTCCCAAAGGCCAAAATGTGGAGGTCTTTTCTCTATGACTATTTAATTTCTCTAGAGGAGGAACCTGTAATTTCTTGCCTACCTGGTAGATAACCTTGCTGCTGTCCTTCTGAGAGAGGAAGAGAGAGTTGGGGTAGAGATGGGAAGAATAATAGTCTTGTTTCTTCTTGATCATCCTACAGCAAAGAAGAAAAAGTGACAAGCCACAATAACAAACCTAGACTTCCCAATTATCTGTTCAATACCTCGCTTTAAAAAATATGTACATTTGTACAGATAATCAGGGACACTAGATATCTGTTTTTACATCAGTTCTGTTTTCAGCCCCACTTCTTACTCTTGTCCACCAATGCATGTCCACTCTTTGCTCCCAAAGTTCTTCAGGGTTCTATCACTCAAATAATCTTCCTTTTTGCCCATAATTTCCTCTGGAAACCCTTTAAGATATGCCTACCTCTCACTCTACATCAACAACCACTCCTTTGGTGTTCATCAACTGATAGCCCTTCTACCCTTTATATCATCATTTGGGCTTACATATTTTCCTTTCATTAGCTGTCATTACAGAGGAGTCTCAAAAGAGACAAAAAATAAACAAGTGGATCAACTATTTTTCATCAAAAATATTTAGAAACAATAAGATCTTTTTGTAGAGGGTCATAGCGTGTTTTTTGTTTTTGTTTTTTGAGACAGAGTCTCACTCTGTCTCCCAGGCTGGAGTGCAGTGGCACAATCTTGGCTCACTGCCACCTTTGTCTCCTGGGTTCAAGCAATTCTCCTGCCTCATCCTCCCGAGTAGCTGGGACTACAGTCATGTGCCATCAAACCCGGCTAATTTTTTTTGTATTTTTAGTAGAGACATGGTTTCACCATGTTGGTCAGGCTCATCTCAGACTCCTGACCTCAAATGATCTGCCCGCCTTGGCCTCCCAAAGTGCTGGGATTATAAGCATGAGCCACCGCGCCCATAGTGTCTTAAGTGTCTTAAGCCCATAGTGTCTTAAGATTGCAGTCAAAGAGAAATACTTTAACGAAAGCAATATTCTGTATGAAAGCATATATGCTAAGTTATTCATTCTGGCTTTACTACCTGCTAGTTATATGATTTGGAGCAAATTATTGGATCTCTCAAGAGCCTCAGTTTCCTCCACTTTAAAACGCAATTCATAACACCTCAAGTATTGTCAAGAGTTATGAGCACATATAATATGTTCAGTCAATATAAGTTCCCTTTTTGCTTTGAAATGAACAAGTAAAAGATGACAAGGAGTGATAAAGCTCATCAAGACTGGACTTCTTTGGTAAAAGCAAAGCTCAAAAGAGTAGGTTGATGACCACTTTACTGAGTGACATCTTACTAGGGGGTCCATTGCAAAGAAAAGAGCATTTTCTTTTTGATGGGTTTTACTCAATTGTTTTCTTGTTAAGTGTTGCCTTTTAAAACCACACTGTTCCTTTCTCTTCCTCAAGCCATTTTCTCCCCTCTTTTTTCTGCTTCACTAGTCTTACTTGTTTGAAATAAAGAGAGATGAAGTGTGTCAGCCATGATCCCAGCAGAAAGCAGGCTTCACTTCAACTAGTTCCAAAGACAGGACTTTAGTAAGGGAATTTTTTTCAGAGATATGGATAAAGGAACCAACAAAGGTTATGGAGACACCCAGAGGCTAGCAAGCAAGGGTAGCCATGACCACATGAAGGGCAAAGGAGACAGCGGGGAGGAAATAGAATTCCTGGAGTCTGGTGAGAGCTGGAGATGGGAAGGTGCCATCCAGCAGAATCGATAGTTGTGGAGAGGTGTCACTACTATCAGAGGCCTAACACCAAAACAGAGAGGAAGAGGGGAACAAATAACCCATATGTTTCTCTTCTCCCACCTTCTGATCTCCTGCTAGGGTATCCCATTGGCTACTGGAAGCCAGTTGTCAAGAAAGCCTGGGATGCTGGGCACAGTGGCTCACGCCTGTAATCCCAGTACTTTGGGAGGCTGAGGTGGGCGGATCACCTGAGGTCAGGAGTTAAGACTAGCCTGGACAACATGGTGAAACCCTGTCTCTATTAAAAATACAAAAATTAGCCAGGCGTGGTGGTGGGCACCTGTAATCCCAGCTACTCGGGAGGCTGAGGCAAGAGAATCACTTGAATCTGGCAGGCGGAGGTTGCAGTGAGCTGAGATCATACCACTGCACTCCAGCCAGGGTGACAGGAGCGAGACTCTGTCTCAAAAAAAAAAAAAAAGAAAGAAAGAAAGAAAAGAAAGCCTGGGAGATATCCTCTCAGGGCCCTGAGCAGAGCTGAGAGAGCCTCTGCAGGGGACAAAAGGAGAATATCGGTATATGAAGATTCTAAAAATATCTGTTGCATTACTTGGGGGGGAATCAAGAAGTGTGAAAAGCCTAAACATTCTCAGTAATATAAAGTGGTTGAAATAGAAAACGTTAAGCCATCTTATGAAGAAAAAAATTATTCACTTTACCTTTGATGCCTGTCATATGTAGAAATAGATTAGAACAGAAATGCAGGAATTTCCATTTAGCAAATAATATTGTTTCATATTGCATGTTTCATGCCTTAAGGTGACTCCTAATTTATCACCTCAGTGAGGGAACCAACTGCCACTCAGGGAAAAAAACTCAAGAGCAAAGGAGTCAGCTCTGCCTTAGTGGAACAGACCAGGTTAAGGTGTCAAGCAACTGTTTCTATGAGCGCAATTTCAGGAAATGTCTCAGCCCTGTCGTGGATGTCTCTAAGGGTTTGTTTAAAAATTCAAATGCCATTGATTTATCTATTGTATGCTGAGAAATCCACTGTGCCTTCAGTCACAAATTCTAGATGATGCTTAGTTTAACTTGCTCCTGGAAGTGAGACAATTTATTCCTTGTATTTTACTTAAAGCCTAATGGTATGCCAGGCTGCTTTCCCCTTTATTGACACAAAAGATCTATTATAATATTTTATCTAAAAAGTATGCCCCGCTTTAAAAAGCTGTGGCTAACATTTTGGTGCACTGTATCCAGTAAAACTATCTGTCAAACAGTGTGTCCTCTTTCAAGCTAGTGGTGTTTTGTTTTTGTTTTTTAACCAGGAATCAATAGATGGGACACAGAGGCTGGGAAACTCCAAAAATTGATTGCAAAATGTTTGGCATGCATGCAGTTTTTCTGGGAAAAAAGCTATTGTTCCCATAAATACTCAAACACTATGCCTTCCTCTGCTTCTAAATCAATGAGCACTCCTCTATCAAGTTTTCCTCAGCCGATGACCTGTGTACCTTTTATTTCATTATTTTGGCTTATATACTTTTCATTCATTAGCTGTCATTACAGAGGAATCTCAAGAGAGAGGAAAGATACACAAATGTGATCAGCTCTTTTTAATGTTAAGAACCATGGCTGAATATAAATATATTGAAGGAAAACATGGGTGAAGGATGAGAAACTAGAAAAAGCTTTTTTTTTTTTTTCCGCAAAATGGGAATAAAATATGTAACAAAGATACCCTTCCTGACAGTCTTATTGGCTGGCCTTACAGTACTTTATGTAAGAGAGTTTGGAGTATAAGAAAATAGCCAGGTGTGGTGGCTCACGCCTGTAATCCCAGGACTTTGGGAGGCTGAGGTGGGCAGATCACTTGAGGTCAAGAGTTCAAGACCAGTCTGGCCAACATGGAGAAACTCCGTCTCTACTAAAAATACAAAATTAACCGGGCGTGGTGGTGCATGCCTGTAATCCCAGCTACTTGGGAGGGCGAGGCAGGAGAATCACTTGAACCTGGGAGGTGGAGGTTGCAGTGAGCAGAAATCATGCCACTGCACTCCTTGGCAGCAAGAGCAAAATTCCATCTCTAAATAAATAAAATAAAAAGTGAGACAACATTTTTGCTGAAAATAATGATTTGTCCCTGAACAGGAGTAGTCTCATGATTCTGGATTATAACCCATTCTCCTTTTGAGACTTCCATCATATTTATTCAGGGGTTTTACATGATGGTTGGGTGATATTCCTCACCCTGACGAGATAACTCTAGGCAGTCCCATTGATGAAACAGTTCGTATACCTAGGAATAGTGCATTGATATAAAGCAATTGCTTTCTGCTTTGGCAGGTATTATATAGACATGGAATAAGAAAGGGATCTCAAACTCAAATGCCTATTGGGAAGCGGGGCCCTTATGAGGTAGGCAAGTAGTATTGAATTAAAGAATTTATGCTGCATCTGAAGGGGGCAGCCTTTACTCAACACCATTTTTTTTTTGGGATAAAAAATTACAATGTGCAGAAGTTGGCATCTAATTCAAAACATTTTACAACACTGTGTGGGATGAACATATGTTTTGAGGGTGTGTTTGGCCCAAGGGCTGCTGGTTTGGGTCTCTGGTGTAAAGTAGTTGTTCCCAAGCCTGGCTGCAGATCAGAATCATCTGTGGAGCTTAAAAAACACAGATGCCCAGTCCCCTCCCCAGACTTGCTGAATAGAATCTCTGGGGGTGAGGCTGAGGCACAGCCAAGATTAAGACTCACAAAAGCAAAGAACCGGTGGATGAAACAGCATTTACCATCATTAAAACTATAAAACTTAAAAATGATCTCAGTAAGGCCAGGCACGGTGGCTCACGCCTGTAATCCCAGCACTTTGGGAGGCTGAGGCAGGCGGATCACCTGAGGTCGGGAGTTTGAGACCAGCCTGACCAACATGGAGAAACCCCGTCTCTACTAAAAATACAAAATTAACCGGGCATGGTGGTGCATGCCTGTAATCCCAGCTACTTGGGAGGGTGAGGCAGGAGAATTGCTTGAACCCAGGAGGCAGAGGTTGTGGTGAGCCAAGATCATGCCATTGCACTCTAGCCTGGGCAACAAGAGCGAAACTCTGTCTCAAAAAAAAAAAAAAAGATCTCAGTAAGGGAAGTCGGAAGACAAGTGAACAAACTGTCCCATGGAAGAGAAAAAATGGTGAAGGACTATAGGAATGCCTTTAAACATTTTCCTGTTTCAAATTTTGTTTTTCTCATCCTATTTTTATAGAGCTATGCTTTCCAATATTGGAAGGCACTAGCCACATTTGGCTACTTAAATTTAAATACAATTTAAAGTTCAGTCCTTAGTTGCACTAGCCACATTTCAAGTGCTAAGTAGCCACATGTGGCTCGTGGCTCCTGTACTGGACACAGGTATAGAGATTATATATGAATATCAAGAGAACTTTATAGACCTTTTAAGCCATTCTTGTGGGACTCTGATATTTCAAGGTCTGCTAATTTTTTTTTTGTTTTTTTGCTTTTGTTTTTTGTGGTTTTTTTTTTTTTTGTCTGAGACAGGGTCTTGTTCTGTTGTCCAAGCCGCAGTGCAGTGGTGCCATCTCAGCTCACTGCAACCTCTGCCTTCTGGGTTCAAGCGATTATTGTGCCTCAGCCACTCTAGTGTCTGGTAGCTGGGATTACAGGTGTGCACCACTACACCTGGCTAATTTTTGTATTTTTTTTCAGTAGAGATAGGGTTTCACTGTGTTGGCCAGGTTGGTCTCAAACTTCTGGCCTCAAGCAATCTACCTGTCTCAGCCTCCAAAAGTGCTGGGATTACAGGCGTGAACAACTGCACTTGGCCAAGAACTGGTAATTATTAATACAGAATACAACATTTCTAAAGTTCACAAGGATTTTTCCCCTTAGAAGCAGTAATGCTGGCTGGGCAGGCACAGTGGCTCACATCTATAATCCCAGAACTTCCGGAGGCTGAGGCAGGAGGATTGCTTGGGCCCAGGAGTTCTGGGCTGCGGTGAGCTATGATTGCGCCACTGCACTCCAGCGTCAGCAACACAGGGAGACCCTGTGTTTAAAAAAAAAAAAAAAGAAGAAGAATGCCTCATTTAATGCAAATTAATTAGTAAACGTGGAGATATTTTTAAAGTAAAAAAAGGATTTGTGCAATCACTGGATAAATATTTACCCAGTGCTTTCTAAATGCCAATCACTCTGCTTTTTGTATTTTGATTCATGGAATCAAGGTTAAAAATTGGCTTGGGCAGCTTCCAAGGGATATTCCCAGGTATGCATATTACCCTAGTTTTTGGTCTACATTTCCCCTTTAATTACATGGAATTTCCCTTAATACAATAGCTATAATTAGGTTAAAACATGTTGTTTGGTGTATGTAAAGTAACCTAATGGTTAAAAGGAAGGTGAGAAAAGCAGCAATGGCTAACAGCAAAGAAGTGTTCTCTTCGTCAAAAAGTGCACCTTTCCTAGTGATGAGTTTTGATCTGACCATGGCTAGATGTAGATGTGACTCTCCTCTACCCAGCAGTGACCTTCTAACACCATCTAACTAGAGTAGCATTCCACACAGCCATTAGTCACAGCCAATGCATATATCTGACTCCTATTCAAACTATATTCTGGAGGATAACAATCTATAAAGATAGACAAGACAGGTAGAGCCCTAAAGTTAAGGGCTTCAGGCCTTGGGGTTAAGTGTACACTTTTAAATTTGTACAAAAATCTGGATTCTTGGGAAGCAGAGCATCTTAAATTTAAAAGAAGACTTTAAAGTACAAAAAGAAATCATAAAATGATATAGGAGAAAACACCATTGGATAATAAGAACCGCTTAATATAATACATCTTTATGGAGATCCTGATTAAGGTAAGACCAAGATGAGTGAGAAATAGCTGCAGGGCACAGGATAGGAGTAAGGGTGATGCTGCACGGTGGCTCACACCTGTAATCGCAGCACTTTGGGAGGCCAAGGCAGGCGGATCACATGAGGCCAGGAGTTCGAGAGCAGCCTAGGCAACATGGCAAAACCTCGTCTCTACTAAAAATACAAAAATTAGCCAGGCGTGGTGGTGGGCGCCTGTAATCCCAGCTACTCAGGAGGCTGAGGCAGGAGAATCGCTTGAACCTGGGAGGTGGAGATTGCAGTGAGCTGAGATCGCACCACTGTACTCCAGCCTGGGGGACAGAGAGAGACTCTGTCTCAAAGAAAAAAAAAAAAGAAAATGGAATGGCTTGGTGCCTGGGAGTCTTCTCTAGTCATGAACTGTTAATAAATTCCTCAGGGACATATGGACTAAATTTTAAAATGGCCTAACAAGTTAATGTATTTTTTGTCGGTGGTATAAATTTCATTGAATATTTTATAGTCTCTATGTGGCTCTTAGGATCATGATAAAGGCTGAGGCTGCTTCTGGGATGCAGTTAATACTGGAGTCCTTATGTCTGACATGGTTATGTGTCTCTGATAGTGTCAAGGTGTCATTACTAAGGAACTTAATTCTGGAGTTTTGCTGCTAGTCTCCTTTTATATTAGAAACTTTGGTTCTCTAATCTTATTTGAAGTATGAGCTACTTTTTTTTTTTTTTTTGCGACAGAGTCTTGCTCTATTGCCCAGGCTAGAGTGCAGTGGCGCGATTTCAGCTCACTGCAACTTCCGCCTCTCAGGTTCAAGTGATTCTCCTGTCTCAGCCTCCCGAGTAGCTGGAATTACAGGCGTGTGCCACCACGCCCCGCTAAGTTTTTGTACTTTAGTAGAGACAGGGTTTCACCGTGTTGCCCAGACTGGTCTCAAACTCCTGACCTCAGGCAATCCACCCGCCTTGGTCTCCCAAAGTGCTAGGATTATAGGCGTGAGCCACTGTGCCTGGCTTTTTTTTTTTTTTTTTTTTTTTTGGTAATGTCAGCCAGATCTATGGGTTCACCATCATCAATGAATGACTTGCACAAAATAAGTACCATCGTCACTTGCATCTCTCTCATAAACACATGTGCTTACATCTATCTGCATTTATAATTTATATGACACACCAGGTTCGGTGTTAGGTGATGGGGGAAAATATCCACAAAGTACAGACCCTCTCTTGAGGATTTCATATTCTTAAAGGGGAATCCTATGTGTGAACAGATAATTACAATATGAGGAGGTACAACATTGAGGGGATGACATAAATACACATAGGTGGAGATTGTGGAAAATAAGTCCTCTTTGACTTGATGTTGAGTTTGCAACAGAGATAAAGAGCAACAAGAATAGGGGGTATTTTGGTGTATGTTCAGTCTAAGGCTGCACAATCCTGGTTTAAATCTTGGTCATCATCCTGGATTGAAATGGCCCTTAAACCTCCTGCACATAGACTGAAACCAGCTGAAGGAAGAACCTGAAATAAGGCCAGGAGAGAACTAAGTAGTGAATGGGAACTAAAGTCTTAAAACCCAGAAATGTCAGAGATATAAAACACCAAATAGGTGAGCCTATCATTTTGGCTAGACAAGAGAGGGTGATACTGGCAATGTGGAGTGGCACATGGCAAAGGAGGACTGTCAGGAGCAGTTCCGTGGACTTGTCTTTTGAAATAGCAAGTGGGGAGCTGACTGGTTTATTGTGAGGAGCAGTGACATGGAATGGCACAAAATGCAGCTAGATCCATTGAGCAAGTTTACACAAATATAATTCAAGAAACAGAAGCAAAACCCTGGGTTTTGGCTAAATTGCTAAGTGACATTATTCATGTTAGGTAAACTTGGCCATGGGTGAATAGTCATGTTTGTATCCATAGTATGAAAACCAGTGCTATTGGCTGGGCACGGTAGCTCACGCCTGTAATCCCAACACTTTGGGAGGCCAAGGTGGGTGGATCACAAGGTCAGGAGTTCATGACCAGGCTGGCCAAGATGGTGAAACCCCATCTCTACTAAAAATACAAAAAAATTAGCAGGGCGTGGTGGCCGGCGCCTGTAATCCCAGCTACTCGGGGGGCTGAGGCAGAGAATTGCTTGAACCCGGGAGGCGGAGGTTGCAGTGAGCTGAGATCACACCACTGCACTCCAGCCTGGGTGACAAGTCGAGACTCCCTCTCAGAAACAAACAAATAAACAATAAGCCAAACATAAAACCAGTGCTATCAGCTGTAATTATAAAATATGGGTGAGGTAAGAAGCTTAAATAATTTTTTTTTTTTTTTTTTTGAGATGGAATCTTTCCCTTTCGCCCAGGCTGGAGTGAAGTAGTGCGACCTCGGCTCACTGTAACCTCTGCTTCCAGGGTTCAAGCAATTCTTCTGCCTCGGACTCCCGAGGAGCTGGGATTACAGGCACCCACCACCACCCCTGGCTAATTTTTTAATTTTTAATAGAGACAGGGTTTTGCCATGTTAGCGAGGCTGGTCTCCAATTCCTGACCTCAGGTGATCCGCCTACCTTAGACTCCCAAAGAGCTGGGATTACAGGTGTGAGCCACTGCACCCGGCCTTAAACAAATCTTTACTAACTGAGAATATCCTAAGTCCTTTACTTTTTCTCAGCTGGACAGCAAGAACTCTTGCTAGGAACTGTTTGTTCCCTGAGTGGTCTTGTCCCTGCCACAGTTCATCTAGTGTTATCACGTTGTCTAGGATTGAGAGTTCTCAAAGGTAGAACTTGTCTTTCACATGTAGCACTAAGCTTTAAATATCCCCAGACAAGGCATGTGAATCCTGTTATCTGTTTTTCTGCCCAGTATTCAACCAGCATGCCCTGGTACCACATTTAGGCTAGGTGTGTTTTGATGGCTGGGTGTACTCGCTGTACCAATTGTTGAATATTTTGAATATAGTAAGTCCTCATATAATGTAGTTGCTAGGTTCTTAGAAACTGCAACTTTAAGTGAAATGATGAATAATGAAACTAATTTTACCCTAGGCTAATTGATATAAACAAGAATTAAGTTGCTACGACATATTTCTGGTAACAAAAACATTACCAAATTTCTTTTTTTAAGACGGCGTCTCATTCTGTTGCCCAGGCTGGAGTGCAGTGGCATGATCACGGCTCACTGCAGCCTCAACCTTCTGGGCTCAGGTGATTCTCCCATTTCAGCCTCCAGAGTAGATAGGACTACAGGCTCACACAGCCACATCTGGCTAATTTTTTAGTTTTTTGTAGAGATAAGGTCTCACTGTGCTGCCCAGGTTGGTCTCAAACTCCTGCCCTCAAGCGATCCTCTCTCCTCTGCCTCCCAAAGTATTGGGATTACAAGAGTAAGCCACTGCCCAGGTTGGTCTCAAACTCCTGCCCTCAAGCGATCCTCTCTCCTCTGCCTCCCAAAGTATTGGGATTACAAGAGTAAGCCACTGCACCAGGCCCAAACGTCTAAAAAAAGACCAAAACACTTCTAATTTTAAATACTGAAATAAATGTGAGCTATACAAACATTTAAGAAAGATGATAAAAACAAGTAAGATCATCGCTTATTCCAGTTTGGGGTCACAGGTGGCTAGAGCATCTCCCGGCAGCTCAGGGTCCAAGAGGAGCACCAGCCTGGATAGGACGCCATCCCATCACAGGGCTCACTCACACCTACATCCTGACTGGGACCATCTAGACATGCCAGTTCACTCACTTTCACAACTGTCAGATGTGGGGGAAACCGGAGTACCCGGAGAAAAGTCACACAGACATGGGGAGAACGTGCAAACTCCAGACAGACAGTGGCCTCAACCAGGAATCCATTTTTCTTCTTATGGACATTATAATGAAACAACGTTGAATGAAATAACATTATTTGAAGACCTGCTGTATTCACCTCACTGTATTAAGAATAGGTAGGGATGTATATGATATGGAAGAATAAAATAAGGCAACTACTGTTTTGTTTTGCGTTTTTTTTTTTTTTTTTTTTTGAGACAGAGTCTCACTGTGTCACCCAGGCTGGAGTGCAGTAGCACGATCTCAGCTCTCTGCAACCTCTGCTTCCTGGATTCATGCAATTCTCCTGCCTCAGCCTCCCAAGTAGCTGGAATTATAGCCGTGCACTACCATTCCTGGGTAATTTTTTGTATTTTTTGTACAGATGGGGTTTCACCGTGTTGGCCAGACTGGTCTCAAACTCCTTACCCCAAATGATCTGCCTGTCTTGGCCTCCCAAAGTGCTGGGATTACAGGCGTGAGCCACCATGCCCGGCCAGCAACTGCTTTTAACAGATACACTTAAATTTGTACTTTCAACTTGACAAACTTTAAAATAATTTTCTTGGATGAGTCCTTTTCAGAATATTTTAAAAACAACTTTAAATTTTTTTCCTTCAGATATTTCTGGAAGGAAAAGATTCATTTGGATAAGTTGTGGCCTGATGGTTAAGAAGAAATGATTTATAGTATTTAAAGTTGTAAGGCCGGGCACTGTGGCTCATGCCTATAATCCCAGCACTTTGGGAGGCCGAGGCGGGTGGATCACCTGAGGTTGGGAGTTTGAGACCAGGCTGACCAACATGGAGAAACCCCGTCTCTACTAAAAAATACAAAATTAGCCGGGCATGGTGGTGCACACCTGTAATCCCAGCTACTCAGGAGGCTGAGACAGGAGAATCGCTTGAACCCAGCGGGTGGAAGTTGCGGTGAGCCGAGATTGCGCCATCGCACTCCAGTCTGGACGACAAGAGTGAAACTCTGTCTCAAAAAAAAAAAGAAATAAAGTTGTACTTGTTTTAAATCTCATGTTGTTAGATCATGGTCGGATCATGTTGTTAGGAACTGCAAACACCTTTCTTTTGAGCTGCACCCTATGCCCCAGAGATGGAAAATAGATCACACACTGTGACAGTGTTAAGTCACCCCTAAATATAAGCACTAAAACAAAACAACACTGAAAGAGCTAAAAATGTGTAATTTTTCATCTTTGTGCTGAGGCAGACATATTTGTGGCTGAGAGAAAATGTAAGAAGATACCCTTATTCAGTCTGTAAGTTCAGCTCTCTGCTAACTCAGGTGAAAATCTACCATGAGGATCTGTACTCCTCATGCTTGCTATCTGAGGAAGTAAGCATGAATTCCCATTACGAGAGGGGCAAGAAGAGAGATAATTTGGCACGGGTGTGGTGGCTCCAAATTCCCAGCAATTTTTGAGGCTGAAGTGGGAGGAATACTTAAGCTTAGGCATTTGGGACCACCCTGGGCAATATAGTGAGACTTCATCTCTACAAGAAATTAAAAAATTAGCTGAGTGTGGTGGCCCCCCAAAGTGCTGGGATTACAGGTGTGAGCCACCGTGCCTGGCCCTTTACCCTCTTTTTATAGATAAGGAACCTATGACTCATGGAGGCTGAGGGATTTTACTCATGGCCACACATTCAATGTGCAGCTGAGGACAGATCCAGGACCCCAGCTCTCCATAGTTCTACAATGTTCCATGGAAGTGAGCAATAAGGAAGTCCAACCCCAAGGTCCATTAGGTAACATGGCTGGTTCTGTACTGGATCTGTGGCTACTGCCATGGCAGCCAACTGAGCTACCCTTTGGTATGGAAGAGTTTCATGCTTGCATCTCAGGCTATTCTCTGCCCTCTTGCAGAGTCAGGACTTACACTGTCTTAGTATATGCCCCCTAGTTTCTAGCACAGTGCCTGGCACATACAAGGCACCTGACAGGTGTTTGAGTAAAGACCTTGAAATGTTGCCAGGGCATAAAAGAGAGAGCTGGCCTTGCTACTGAGCTCACACAATCCAGGCCTCAGCTGTTGGCACTCTATGGGTTGACCCACATTTTGCCAGCTCAAGACGTCTCCTTCCTTGGACATTGGGGCAGGAGGCAGAGTTGCTTTCCTTTTTAACCAGAGGAGAGTAATTGTGACTGGTCTCATCACTGCCCAAGTACTGGCAGCCACGCAGGAAATGAAGGAAGTCCACTGAGTAAGTTTCCATTCATTTGGAAATTTGGCTTTGTTTACTCAGTCCCAAGGGCCTTACTGTAAATGTAAGATGAGAGAGCAAGGTCTCCAGAAGTTCCTCCATTTACAGTGGGCTGCTTGTGTGTGCGTTTATGGATGGGCCTGGGAGTCAGACATCCCCCTCTGTCTTTTGGGAGAGCCCACCCTGGAGGCTGTGGGAGTGTCTGCAACACCAGCTCTGCCAAATGAATTCAGCGAGGGATACCGCATTTACGGAAAGAGCTCGCAGAAGCAGGGAGAATTCCCCATTCTATGTCACATCAAACTTCACTTTTTAATTTGCTGCTCTACATTGCTACCTAGTCCTAGACCACTAACTGCCAAGCTGTCGCAATAAAATATGCCTGTACCATTAACCCAGTTTTGCCCTGTATAAGCCGGAAGTTACTCTGGGAGAAAAGTTGAAACATGGGCCAAATTCCAAGTTGCTAAGAGTGCTTAGGCAGTCTCTAGCTTCAAGATGGTATCTCTGACACACACACCTCTTACGTGACATCAATAATTCTTTTTAAAAACTGTTTTAAGTCTGCTGTGGTAGTGTGTGCCTGTAGGCAATCAAAGCTCACTGCACCCTCGAACTTTTGGGCTCAAGCGCTCCTGCCTCAGCCTCCCAAGTAGCTGGGACTAGGTGTGCACCACCACACCCAGCATTTTTTTTTTTTTTTTTTTTTTTGAGACAGGGTCTCTCCATGTTGCTCAGGCTGGTCTCAAACTCCTGGCCTCAAGCAATCCTTTCCAAAGTGGTCTCCCAAAGTGCTGGGATTATAGGCGTGAGCCATTGCAACCACACAGTTTTTTTTTTTAAGGGCTAAATGTTTATTTTATTTTTTTTTTTTTATTTTTTTTTATTATACTTTAAGTTCTGGGGTACATGTGCACAACGTGCAGGTTTGTTACATAGGTATACATGTGCCATGTTGGTATGCTATACCCATCAACTCATCATTTACATTAGGTATTTCTCCTAATTCCATTCCTCTGCTAGCCCCCCACCCCCCAACAGGCCTCGGTGTGTGATGTTCCTGGCCCTGCGTCCATGTGTTCTCATTGTTCAACTCCCACTTATGAGTGAGAACATGTGGTGTTAGGCTTTTTCTTCTTGTGTTACTTTGCTGAGAATGATGGTTTCCAGTTTCATCCATGTCCCTGCAAAGGACAGGAACTCATCCTTTTTATGGCTGCATAGTATTCCACGGTGTATATGTGCCACATTTTCTTTATCCAGTCTATCATTGATGGGCATTTGGGTTGGTTCCAAGACTTTGCTATTTTGAACAGTGCTGCAGTAAACATATGTGTGTATGCATGTGTCTTTATAGTAGAATGATTTCTAATCCTTTGGGTATATACCCAGTAATGGGATTGCTGGGTCAAATCTTACTTCTAGTTCTAGATCCTTGAAGAATCACTGTCTTCCACAATGGTTGAACTAGTTTACACTCCCAACAGTGTAAAAGTGTTCCTATTTCTCCACATCCTCTCCAGCATCTGTTGTTTCCTGACTTTTTAATGATCACCATTCTAACTGGTGTGAGATGGTATCTCATTGTGGTTTTGATTTGCATTTCTCTGATGGCCAGTGATGATGAGCATTTTTTCATGTGTCTGTTGGCTGCATAAATGTCTTCTTTTGAGAAGTATCTGTTCATATCCTTCACCCATTTTTTGTTGGGGTTGTTTGTTTTGTTTTTTCTTGTAAATTTGTTTAAGTTCTTTGTAGATTCTGGATATTAGCCCTTTGTCAGATGGATAGATTGCAAAAATTTTCTCCCATTCTGTAGGTTGCCTGTTAACTCTAATGATGGTTTCTTTCACTGTGCAGAAGCTCTTTAGTTTAATTAGATCCCATTTGTCTATTTTGGCTTTTGTTGCCATTGCTTTTGGTGTTTTAGTCATGAAGTCTTTGCCCATCCCTATGTCCTGAATGGTATTGCCTAGGTTTTCTTCTAAGGTTTTTATAGTTTTAGGTCTAACATATAAGTCTTTAATCCATCTTGAGTTAATTTTTGTATAAGGTGTAAGGAAGGGATCCAGTTTCAGCTTTCTGCATATGGCTAGTCAGTTTTCCCAACACCATTTATTAAATAGGGGATCCTTTCCCCATTGCTCGTTTTTGTCAGGTTTGTTGAAAGATCAGATGGTTGTAGATGTGTAGTGTTATTTCTGAGGCCTCTGTTCTGTTCCATTGGTCTATATATCTGTTTTGGTACCAGTACCATGCTGTTTTGGTTACTGTAGCCTTGTAGTATAGTTTGAAGTAAGGTAGCGTGATGCCTCCAGCTTTGTTCTTTTTGCTTAGGATTATCTTGGCTATGCAGGTTCTTTTTTGGTTCCATATGAAGTTTAAAGTAGTTTTTTCCAATTCTGTGAAGAAATTCAGTGGTAGCTTGATGGGGTTAGCATTGAATCTATAAATTACTTTGGTATTTTATAGTATGGTCATTTTCACAATATTGATTCCTCCTATCCATGAGCATGGAATGTTCTTCCATTTGTTTGTGTCCTCTTTTATTTCCTCAAGCAGTGGTTTGTAGTTCTCCTTGAAGAGGTCCTTCACATCCCTTGTAAGTTGGATTCCTAGGTATTTTATTCTCCTTGTAGCAGTTGTGAATGGGAGTTCACTCATGATTTGGCTCTCTGTTTGTCTGTTAATGGTGTATAGGAATGCTTGTGATTTTTGCACATAGATTTTGTATCCTGAGACTTTGCTGAAGTTGCCTATCAGCTTAAGGAGATTTTGGACTGAGACGATGGGGTTTTCTAAATGTACAATCATGTCATCTGCAAATAGAGACAATTTGACTTCCTAATTTTTTAATAATAAAAAATTATTTTTGTTGTTGCAGCATTACCATTTGTATCTTCAAACTACAACAGTTCTTAGCAACTACTAGCAGCTCACAATGATTGGCTTGAGCATTCTAGCACGAGTCATTGTTTTTCCTCTTCTTTTCCTCTCAAATCCCCACTGGAACTCTTCAGTGGATTCTATGGGCATGGAAAGCCTTTTGAAGGACTGCTAGAAAATAGATAAGTGGAAGGAGAAATTATGCTTAAAAAAAATCTCAGGCTGGGCGTGGTGGCTCACGCCTGTAATCCCAGCACTTTGGGAGGCCGAGGCGGGCAGATCACCTGAGGTCAGGAGTTTGAGACCATCCTGGCGAACATGGTGAAACCCCGTCTCTACTAAAAATACAAAAAATTAGCCGAGCGTGGTGGCGGGTGCCTGTAGTCCCAGCTACTCAGGAGGCTGAGGCAGGAGAATGGCGTGAACCCGGGAGGCGGAGCTTGCAGTGAGTGGAGATGGTGCCACTGCACTCCAGCCTGGGCAACAGAGCGAGACTCTGTCTCAAAAAAAAAAAAAAAAAAAAATCTCACTGTGCTTATCTTAATTTCTGGATCAGTAGATTTCCTTCAGGGAGCTTTGATTTTTAATTAATAGCAAAAGCATGAGCCTTGGTCAAGACCCCAGGTGCACATATAAACCACTGTGGGAAGATCCTGTGAAAATCACTGTCATTTGAACATTGTAAGGCACCTAGCCACAAAAACACAACAACAAACCCCAGTGCGTTGTGAAAGCCAGGAAGCCCTGCCTTGTGATGTGGGCAGAGTGAGATGTGGCGTTAGCGTGTGCCCCTGGGTCGCGCAGCCCCTACAACATTAGTGAAACTGGCTGGCTGTCTACATCTGTAATTGCACTAAAAGGCCATTAGCCTAGGCTGCTTCCAGTATTCCTCTCTCTAGGCAGCTATACCAGAGAGTAGGAGCAAGGAAAACTCAAGGTTATTTCTTGAAAACAAAACAAAACAATGAAAAACTGGGATTATTGTGACAGGCTGGGCTTTACCTATTGGTCTGGGTCGGTAGTTGTGGGGAAGATACTCATAGGATAACAAGCTGTTCCCAGGCATGGGGCTGGCAAAGAGGCTGGACTCATCTTTGAATATCTCACAGGGAAAATACACAGGGGTCCTCTCATCCCAGCAAGGAGTGTGAGATGCCCTCGTTTCCAGCCATGGGAAACCAGAGTGACAGGCAGGGCACCTTGTGTTGTCAACTCCTGATGCCTCCTCCAGTCGGGAGCCACAGGGAGCTGGCGCAGGGCTTAGGCTGTTCACAGCAGCACCTTGTTCTGAGTTCGGAAGAGCTGTGGAGCTCTTTGTTTTTTGGGTGCCTCTGAGGAGTTGCCCACACCTAGCAGAATTCCTCAGAGGCTCGGGAGAGAAAAAGGAACTCTGTTCTGTGCCCAGGGTCTGTGGCTTTGGTTTACTGAACCACCTGACCTAGCTCACACTTGATCTTCCTCCCAACTTCAATCCCCTGTTCCCCTGGGCGATCCAGCTACAGCATTTGCTTCCCCACCTCCTTGCTCAGAGGCTGCCCTCCCCTCCCTTCTCTGCTCATGGCAGCCTATCTCCTCCTGTTGTTTGACCTCAGCACCACCCCGCCCCCGCCCCGCTTTCATGCAGTCATTTCTTTTCTCAGAGTTTTCACACCCTGTGAAGAGCCTCTGGGTCCTGCCTCTCTCTGGCCCCTGTTTGCGCTCTTCTATTCTTATTAAAAGTTGATTCTCTGCGGGGCACGGTGGCTCATGCCTGTAATCCCAGCACTTTGGGAGGCCAAGGCAGGCGAATCACTTGAGATCAGGAGTTTGAGACCAGCCTGGCCAACATAGTGAAACCCTGTCTCTACTAAAAATGCAAAAAATTAGCCAGGCATGGTGGTGGGTGCCTGTAGTCCCAGCTACTCAGGAGGCTGAGGCAGGAGAATCGCTTGAACCCGGGAGGCGGAGGTTGCAGCGAGCCGAGATCCATCTCAAAATAATAAATAAAAAGTTGATTCTTACAAAGTCAGCACAGTTGTCACTTGATTCTACTCGGATGCCTCTCTAGGTGCTAGAAACTGCTTTTTTCACATGTGGGCAAGTACAGAGGATTTGTGCCACTTGGCTTCCTGTGCCAACCTAACATGGCTGCCCAGGTAGGTAGCAACAGGTCTTGGCCAAAGATATACAATGGAAGCTGCCTAAGGCTGTGCATAACCTTTGTTTTTTTGTTTTGTTTTGTTTTGCTTTGTTTTGAGACAGAGTCTTGTTCTGTTGCCCAGGCTGGAGCGCAGTGGTGCCATCTTGGCTCACTGCAACCTCTGCCTCCCGGGTTCATGCGATACTCCTGCCTCAGCCTCCCGAGTAGCTGGGATTACAGGCGTGCACCACCATGCCTGGCTGATTTTTGTATTTTTAGTAGAGACGGGGTTTTACCATGTTGGCCAGGCTGGTCTCGAACTCCTGACCTCAAATGATCCACCTGCCTCGGCTTCCCAAAGTGCTGGGATTATAGGTGTGAGCCACCGCACCTGGCCTGTGTATAACCTTTGGCTCAGGAATGATTAAAGATGGGAAATCCCCTCCTAGTAAGCTGGGAGTTCTGGGATGGATTCAGCTACTAGAGAGATAGACGTTCACCTTGGCGTTATTCCTTCCCAGCCCACAGCCCAACTCTGCCAGGCCGCTGGGAAGCTTCAGGTGGAGGTGGGACATAGTGATGCCAGGCTGGATCTTTCTTCCTTTGGCAGAATGAAGTGGCTAATCACACACATAGAGGGAGGGGAACTTTTAATTGGGAACTGAAGATCAAAATGACCAAGGACCCAGTGTCAGTGAGGCCAGGAAGTCCATGTAGAGAGAAAACACCAAGAGCGGCTGGGAAAAAGTGGGCCTTCATGGCAGGTGGTAGAGATGGTAAATGGAGAAGGGAGTGTGTCCTGAGCTGAGCCCTCTAAGAAGTGGACTCTGAGATGGAGATTTGCATGTGGTAAGTTGATCAGGGAGTGCTGCTGGGATCAACATCCGTGGAAGGTGGGGAAGGAAGCAGAACTGGGCAGAGGGAGGAGTTGGTCTGTGATGCGGTCTCAGCAGAGGTCTCAGCTAACCTTCCGGGGAACTCAGAAGCTGGGATAACTCTGGGACAACTCTTCCTGAGCTAGGGCAGGCAGGGGCCTGGATCTCTATTGTGCCTTAGGAAGCGGGGTGTGTCCTTGGGCAAGGCAGCTCTTTTTAGCTAAGGTAATTCCCACAGAGGGCTGACACCTGAGCGTTATCCCTGAAAAGCGAGATCACAGAAAGCAGTGCATGGCAGTATTCACTGCACTGTGGAACCTGAGGACTAGCGGCCAGGACACTCAGAAAAAGGAACTCTCTAGAAGCACTGTAAAGAATTAACAAAGAGGCCAGGCACGGTGTCTCACGCCTGTAATCCCAGCACTTTGGGAGGCTGAGGCAGGCAGATCACTTAAGGTCAGGAGTTTGAGACCAGCCTGGCCAATGTGGTGAAACCCTGGCTCCACTAAAAATACAAAAATTAGCCCGGGTGCGGTGGCTCACACTTGTAATCCCAGCACTTTGGGAGGCCGAGGCGGGTGGATCACCTGAGGTCAGGAGTTCGAGACCAGCCTGGCCAACATGGCGAAACCCCGTCTCTACTAAAAATACAAAAATTAGCCAGGCGTGATGGTGGGCACCTGTAATCCCAGCTACTCAGAAGACTTGAACCAGGGAGGCAGAGGTTGCAGTGAGCCAAGATCGTGCCATTGCACTCCAGCCTAGGCAACAAGAGTGAAACTCCATCTCAAACAAATAAAAATAAAAACAAAAATTAGCTGGGCGTGGTGGTGCACGCACCTGTAATCCCAGCTACTCAGGAGGCTGAGGCACGAGAATTGCTTGAACCCAAGAGGCAGCAGCTGCAGTGAGAGTGAGCTGAGATCATGCCACTGCACTGTGACCTGGGCAACAGAGCAAGATTCCGTCTCAAAAACAAACAAATAAGAGAGTTTAGAGAACCGTGGGGGCCAGAAAGGTCTTCCCCACCCTGTCTCTCTGTGTCTTGTTTTCCTTGGTAATGGAAGCAATGGCAATATGGTTAGAAGGAGAGTGGCCTGCCAGGATTTTAGCTTGCCTGGGATCAACAGACAGTTTTTGACTTCATAATACGCAGGGAGTCACTCCCTGCTGTCCAGGTTCCTGACATTGGGTTTTCTTGTATGACATCTTTGTATGACATCTCTCAAACTGTCAATACCACAGGTTACTAGAAGATTGCCAGTTTTCTATTGTTTAGAGGGCCATTTTGGGATAAAGATGAGTCTGAATGAATTCTTTTACCACCCAGCTTCCATGTGCCAGGATGTGCATGTGAAGAAAATGCCCTGTTTTATCTCTCTGTCTGTCTCCAAAGTAACCTCCCAACATCACCTGTGATCAGGATCAGGGCTGGACTGGTAACTTTTCATAGTGCACTTTAATAATTGATATCACAGGGCCGGGCGTGGTGGCTCATGCCTGTAATCCTAGCACTATGGGAGGCTGAGGTGGGTGGATCAGGAGGTCAGGAGTTCAAGACCAGCCTGGCTAAGATGGTGAAACCCCGTCTCTACTAAAAATACAAAAATTAGCTGCGTGTGGTGGCGCGTGCCTGTAATCCCAGCTACTTGGGAGACTGAGGCAGGAGAAGCGCTTGAACCCGGGAGGCGGAGTTTGCAGTGAGCCGAGATTGCGCCACTGCACTCCAACCTGGGCAACAAGAGTGAAACTCTGTCTCCTCAACAACAACAACAACAACAAAAGACATTCCAGGGTGCCTTGGCCTCACAAAGGGCATGTAACTTGTTTTGGGTGACTTAGAGGTAATGGAAACAAAGGGAAGTCCTTCTTTGGGACAGAAATAGTGCAGTGGTTAAGAGCATGGACTTGAGGGTCTGGTTTCTGAGGCTGGAATAGAGCAATTAAAGTCAAGCCATTTAAGATGGATTAAAATTTCAAGTGAGGCTTTTTTCTTTTAATGAAAAATGAAGCTATAAATTATAAAAATAACATTTCATCTCATCCAGTAGAACACAGATTATAATTGCAACTATGTGCTCATTCTTAGAATGAATAAAAATAAATCTCATGTGGATTTTTTGGCATAATTTTTAAACTAAAATTATACGATAGCATGATACAACAGCCTTCACTTTGTCTATGATTTTCTAGCAGAAAGTTCTTGGCAAACATTAGAGAGCATCATTCATTTTTCCAAGGATCTCTCATAATTTTTCGACATTTAAATCATTGTTTTTTTGGAAACCCACAGCCTGTTACCATCCTTGTTGATTTCTCTTCTCTAAAAGTGAACTGTTTTACCTAGTTTGTTAATGTTTTTTTTCATGCATTTCTAGCAATACTTCAATGCTTTTATCAACTTCCTAGACTTCCACATCTTTGGAAGTAATTGCAAAGATACTTTGTAATCAATTTGCATTTTATTTGCATTGCATTGTTTTTCTACTTTTTATTTTGAAGTAGTTTTAGACTTACAGAAACCCGCAAAAACAGTACAGTTCCTGTATACTCTTTTCCCAGATGCCCTAAATGGTAACAATTTTCATAACCAGAGAACAATGATCAAGCCCAGGACATTAACACTGGCACATAATTTTTTTTTTTTTTTTGAAACAGAGTCTCACTCCATTGCCCAGGCTGAAGTGCAGTGGCACAATCTCGGCTCACCACCTCCCAGGCGCAAACAATCCCCCCATGCCAGCCGCATGTTACCATGCCTGGCTAATTTTTTGTAGAGATGAATTCTCACTATATTGCACAGGCTGGTCTCGAACTCCTGGACTCAAGCAATCCTCCCACCTTAGCCTCCCAACCTGCTAGGATGTAAGCATGAGCCATTGCGCCTGGCCACTGGTACATAATTTTTATCTGAACTACAGGCCTTATTTGAATCACATCCATTGTGACACTAACATGCTTTTTCTGTTTCAAGATCCAATCCAGGATCCCACGTTGTGTTGAGTTTTGTCTCCTTGTCTCTCTCAATCTGTGACAGCTCCCCAGGCCTTCCTTATCCTTCCTGACTTTGGCATTTTGGAAGACTACGGGCCAGTTGTTTTGTACACTGTCTCTCCATGTGGGTATTTCTGAAATGTTCCCATGACTAGACTGAGGTGACAGATTTTTTGTAAGACCACAGAAGTGATGTGTCCTTCTCTGTGCATCCTGTCTGGAGGCACGTGGTGTTGCTATGTTTTACCATTGATGAGGTTAACTGTCTGCTGGGTTTCTCCACTGTAAAGTTACTGTTTTTCTCTTTGTAATTAATGAATATCTTGAGAAAGATACTTTGAGAGTATAAAGTAGGTACGTATCCTATTTTTCCTTAAATTTTCATTCTCTAATTAATAAATGTAAAGGTAATGAGGGAAATAGAACATGCCAGACACCACAGTAATAATTGTTGCTTGTAATGCATGGGTGGACCTTGGATGCAACAGTTATTACCATGGTGTTTGACAAATGGTGGTTTTCTATCCATTTCCCTCATTCCTTCTACATTGTTTTGTTGTTGGTGTTTGTTTTGTTTTCTTTTGTTTAGAGACAGGGTGTCACTCTGTCACTCAGGCTGGAGTGCAGTGGCATAATCATAGCTTACTGCAGTCTCAAACTCCTGGGCTTAAGTGATCCTCCCACCTTAGCCTCCCAAGTAGCTAAGACTACAGGTGTGTGTCACCACCCTGGCTAATTTTTCATTTTTTTGTAGAGACAGGCTATGTTGTTCAGGCTAGTACTGAACTGGGCTCAAACAATCCTCCTGCCTTGGCCTCCCAAGGCAAGAGGCCTGCTGGGATTATAGGATTGAGCCACTCTGCCCAGCCTTCTACATTATGTTCATTGAAATTTGGATTTTGAAGACTTAGTACAAAAAATGAATGTAAAATAGCTTATTAATAATTTTATATTGATTGCATATTTAAATGCCAGTTTTTAAGGTGTGTTTGGTTAAGCAAAATATATTACTAAAATTAATGATCATGCCACTGCACTCCAGCCTGGGCAATGGAGCCAGACCCTGTCTCTAAAAAAATTAAATTAGGTTTCCTTGTTTCTTTTTACTGTTTATAATGTGGCTACTAGAAAACTCAGAATTACATCTGTAGCCCAAATTTGTGGCTCGCATTATATTTCTATAGGACAGCACTGTTCTAAGGACTTGGATAGTGAACTCTTGTGCCTATTTCATAGGACTATTGTGAGAATTAAATGTGAATTTTATATAAAGTATTTGGCATAGTGCCTAGAACATAATAAATGCTCAATAAAAATTAGCAATTAGTACTAAGATATGAAAGGACAGCCACTCTTAAGGACTCTTGACTGTTCTCTGGGGAACCAAAGTGTTTTCATTAAGAATATCAGATGATCAGGACTACCCTAAGAGGAGGATTGCTGAAGACACTGAGCTCCTCCTCAGACCTGGAGGCCTTGTGTTGTAGTTGAAAGCCAGTGAGTGGCTGGGCACTGTGGCTCACACCTGTAATCCCAGCACTTTGCGAGGCCGAGGTTTGCGGATCACTTGAGGCCAGGAGTTCGAGACCAGTCTGGCCATCATGGCGAAACCCCGTCTCTACTGAAAACACAAAAATTAGCTGGGTGTGGTGGCCCACACCTGTAATCCCAGCTGAGGCTGAGGCAGGAGAATCACTTGAACCCAGGAGGCAGAGGTTGCAGTGAGCCAAGATGGCACCACTGCACTCCAGCCTGGGCAACAGAGTGAGACTCCATCTCAAAAAAAAAAAAAAAAAGGAAAAAGAAAAAGAAAAGAAAGAGAGAAAGAAAGCCAGTAGAGAAAAACCAAAACTTGCTTATAGAAAGCTGGGTGGGTCATTGATTTGAAATGGGAAATTGAAGAAGAGGACAGAGGGAAGAGCACACAGTAATTCAGCCTGTTAGGAGTGCAAAGATGCATTTGCTCGTGGGACGGATGCCTAAGTGAAAAGACCTTTGTGTATGATGGATGGGGAATCACACTAGGCCTTCAGTCAGCAGTGAGGGATGTCTGCTTAAAAGGCCTCTCTTCACTGCATCAGGCCTGTAGGTAAGGCCACCTGGTGCTTCACCTTATTCTTTGGGCATAACTGATTAGCTGCCAGGCTGAGGCCATGGACCAGAATGTGCTTTTCCAATTATCAGCATCCAGTTATATTCTTTTCCTGATGACAGCGAAGACACAAGCCAAATTCCCTTGATCTAATAATTGGCAGTGCTAGCACAGAGGATCTGTTATTTCATCCCAGAAGTTATTTGGGCTACAGCCAAAAAATGTTAAAAAAAAAACTGATCAACATTCCAGATAAGTCTATCTAAAGATACATGAATAATTACTAAAATCACTATGTTACTGAATGACTTACACAGTCTTTACCACATACTAGGCATGTTCAAAGTGCTTTCCTTATAATAAATCATTTAATCTTCATGTCAACCCTATGAGGTAGACATGATCATCATTCCTATTTTACAGATAAGAAAACAGAGGCACAGAGAGGTTACATTACTTTTCCAAGATCACACAGCTAGTTGCTAGCCGACTTAGAATTCAAATACAGGCAGTCTGGCTTTAGAGTCCATGCCCTTAATTACAACTCATACTGCCTCTGTGTGGGACCTACCCCCTGCCTAATAAAGGAGATATAACAACATTAGTTTTGCATTTGAGGTTCTTAAATTGAGGCTTGTGGAGATTTTTGCTCACCTTAATGGGTGATTGCTCACCTTTCTGCCAATGGGTAGAACTCCATTTTTTCAGAGAGGGAAATTGAGATACACAATAGAGTGATGGGTTGTCTGTGATTTGCCTGAAGCCTTGGACAGTTGCTTTTAAGACAGAGAATTGATTCGTTGGGAGGATAGAGGACCTTCCACACTGGCTGTCTCTTGGCTCTAAAGAGTGAATCGGTTCAGCTGGGTGGATATGTCTCTCTCTAGTTCTTTGGCTGTCTGTGTTTTGTGTGTTATCATTTGCTAAAGATATGACAATGTGCTCTTTGCTTGGGTTTGCAGCTAGGAGACCTAGGTGTGTTTTCCCACTTCCCCCAGGAACGCAGCCAGAAAAAGCAATGACATCCAGGAGCCATCTGGGAATGCTTCCCAGACCTGCTCTAAATTGGGGCACAGAGCCAGCTGCACACTCCTGAGCTCTGAGCTTTGGAGTTCACCTGGATTAGACTCACTGCAGAGGGCTTTATCATCAAGGATGATTTATCTGGGGTCCCAGCTCTCCAGCTTTTGGTGGGTGGTCCTTTTAGAGGGAAGTAGCCATGATGTAGCTCTGAGCTCAGTGGGTAGGGTTCGGAGAGGAGGAGCAGCTCCGACTTTGCCACTGCCAGCCTCTGGAAGCATGGGTTCATGCCTCAGATTGCTTCCAGACTCCTTTGGCCTACTGAGAAATGGGAATAATGGCACCTAACCTCATGTGACATTAACTAAGCTTGCAGACGTACTCAGACTACCAGAGAGATCTACAGAAGCAGCAAGCGCCTCTTGAAATATTTTCATTATATTTATTTAGGTGATGGAATTGTATGAGTCAGGGTTCTATCTGAGAACAGTGTGCACACTTAAGCCGGGATAATTGAAGAGTTTAATTGGCAAAGGTGTGGACAAATTAGGAGAAATCAAAGCGATAATGGAGCCTGCCACATCTAGCGAGGGCAGGGAGCTGTAACTCCCACAGGCTAGCACAAGCAAGAGGAAGGAGTACCTGCAGAGGGAGGGCCCGGGAGAGTGGCAGGTTAAGGAGCCTCCCGGTAGGAGCTATGACCTTAGGTAGTGGGGCAGTCACTGTCAACCTGCAGCCCAGAGTGGGGGAGAGGTGGGAGAAGATTAATATTTTCTCCTTGCTCTCCTTCCTCCAATCTCTCGCCGGTGGTACCCATTGGTCAAACCCAACCAGAAGGCAGATGTCAAAGGAACATAACAGGATGTCAGCCTCCTAGGACATACAGCAGGGTAGAGAATAGAGGGCTAGCAGAAACCACTCCACAGAAGAGCCACGCGTTATTATGATTTTAGGCTCCTGGGCTTGGATACTTTTTTTTAAGGTCTCACACTATGAAAAGCCAATTATGCCTGTTATAGATGGCCAAAGAGAAGAAATCAATTGAAGAACAACTCACACTCTGTGTTACAAGAATAAAATGCATTATTGGTCCTCAGTTTTTTGCCAAATCAAGAAATCCAGAAGTAATTCGAAGTCAGGGCATCATCATCATCATTGTCATTAAAAATATAAATGTTCTCTACTTTTGCCAGGACTAAGCAATTAACTAAATTGAATGTGTATATTTCCTCCCATTATCCTCACCACAACCCTATAATGTTATTGCCAATCATCCATTTATTCAATAAATATTTTCTGAGTATCTGTCTTGTGCCAGGCTGTGTGTCAGGTACTGAAGATTACTTTTCTGAATCAGATAAACAAAGATTTTTCTATCATGAAGTCTTCAGTCTAACCACACAAGCAAGTATTAAACAAATCATTTCAAAAAATTAAGAGCATTTGAGATAAGAGCTTTAAAATAAAAGTGCAAGCCAGGAATGGTGACTCTCATCTATAATCCCAGCACTTTCGGTGGCCAAGGTGGTGGATCACTTGAGCCCAGGAGTTCGTGACCAGCCTGGGCAACATGGTGAAAACCCTGTCTCTACAAAAAACACAAAAATTAGCCGGGCGTGGTGGTGTGTGCCTGTAGTCCCAGCAACTTGGGAGGCTGAGGTGGGAGGATCACTTGAGCCCAGCCAGTCAAGATTGCAGTGAGCCATGATCATGCCACTGCACTCCAGCCTAGACAACAGAGTAAGACCCCTGTCTCTAAATAAATAAATAATAAAAGTTCATGCCCAAGGCAGTGGCTCACACCTGTAATCCCAGTACTTTGGGAGGCCAATATGAGGATTGCTTGAGCCCAAGAGCTCAAGACCAGCCTGGATGACATAGTGAGACCCAGTCTCTATAAAAAAAATTTTAAAAGAAATTAACTGGGTGTGGTGATGTGTGCCTGTAGTTCTAGCTACTTGGGATAATGAGTCAGGGGAATCCCTTGAGCCTAGGAGTTCAAGGCTGCAGTGAGCTATGACTGTGCCACTGCACTCCAGCCTAAGACCCTGCCTGTAAAATAAATAAACAAATAGGCCGGGCACGGTAGCTCACACCTGTAATCCCAGCACTTTGGGAGGCCAAGGCAGTAGGATCACCTGAGGTCGGGAGTTCGAGACCAGCCTGACCAACATGGAGAAACCCCATCTCTACTAAAAATACAAAATTAGCCAGGCGTGGTGGCGCACACCTGTAATCCCAGCTACTCGGGAGGCTGAGGCAGGAGAATTGCTTAAACCTGGGAGGCAGAGGTTGCGGTGAGCCGAGATCGTGTCATTGCACTCCAGCCTGGGCAACAAGAGTGAAACTCCGTCTCAAAATAGATAAATAAATAAAAATGAAATAGAAGTACGTAGTGCTCTGAAACAGGGCACCTAACCTAATCTGAGAGAAATAGAAGGCTTCCTGGAGGAAGTGAGGTTTAACCAGGGTCCTAAAGACTAAGTAGGAATTGGATGAGGGACAAGTGAGAAAGAAAAAAGAGCCTCCAAGGCAAAAGAAACAAAGTATTCCCAGTTCTGTGGTGTGGAAGAGCACAGTGCACTGGAGGGATGGAAAGGCAGACAGCACTCTAGCACTGTTGGACTAGGCGAGCAAGGAGTATACATACAAGCTGAGGGTGGAGAGGTAGACACAGGGCTACTCATGTGGAGCCTTGCAGGCTGGACTAGGGACACTGCATTTTATCCCGAGCGTGATGTTTGTGCTCTGATGAGTTTCCGAGGATGGTGATAAGACGTTTTAAAAAGATGTGTGAGAACAGAGTACAAGGTTTGGTGCACGATGCATTCAGGACGTTCTTGCAACTTCTCCTGTAAAGGAAAAGCTAGTAAATATTTTCAGCTTTATGGGCCTCATGGACTCTGTTGCAACTACTCAACTCTGCTCTTAGAGTGCATGCAGCCATAGACAGTCCATAAATGAATGAGCACAGCTACATTCCAATAAAACTTGTTTGCTGGCCCAGTGCGGTGGCTCACTCCTGTTATCATAGCACTTTGGGAGGCCGAGGCAGGCAGATCACCTGAGGTCAGGGGTCTGAGACCAGCCTGGCCAATATGGTGAAACCCCGTCTCTACTAAAAATACAAAAATTAGCTGGGCATGGTGATGCAGGCCTGTAATCCCAGCTACCTGGGAGGCTGAGGGAGGAGAATCACTGGAACCTGGGAGGCGGAGGCTGCAGTGAGCCGAGATAGCGCCACTGTACTCCAGCCTGGGTGACAAAACGAGACCCCATCTCAAAAACAAACAAACAAACAAACAAAAAAAAACTTGTTTGCTGGAAAAAAAAAGCTTTGTTTTGAAACAAAAATTAAAGAAAAAACTTTCATTTATAGCAGAAGTTCACCAACCTCTGCTGTAAATAAAAGATGAAGGTAGCTTGGACCAGAGAGGTTTAACCAGCAAGTACTTGAGAAAGAACTGATAGGATGCACTTTTTGGATATGAGACGTGAGGGACACTGAGACTTTTGGTTTGGACAGCTCGGAGTATTAGGACCCTCTTTACTGGAATGGCTAACAATAAGGGATAGATTTTGGGGGGGAAAGTTCATGAATTCAGTTTGTACTTCAGTAGTTTGAAGCATCTGTGGAATATCTAAGTGGAGAGATGCCATCTCCAGGAAGGAATAGGGAGGTGGTCGCTTGAGCCCGGGAGGCAGAGGTTGCAGTAAGCCAAGATCACGTTGTTGCACGCCAGCCTAGGTGACAGAGTGAGACTCCATCTCAAAAACAAACAAACAAAAAAACAAGGGAGGTGGGTGCTTATTCAGGGAATACCTACTAACCTGGAGGTAGAAAGTTAAGGGGTTCCTATCTGATAACTTTTATCTGGGCATTTTAAAATAAGGTCATCTTCAGTTAAGAAGAGGGTAGTAAAAAGGTAATACAAGAGGAGTCAGAAATTTTACACTATGCAGAAGGTTTGATATACTTATTGCATACATGGGGGAATGGGTTGATTAGAGAAATGGTTCCTGGACATTGTTGAGAGCCAGTTGAGATAGGCAACCAGGAATTCACCATTTACCCAGGTACATATTTTTTTTCCATCAGTGCTTTAACTTCAAGGTACAAGCCCAGGGAGGGCAGGTTTCATCCTGGATTGCAGTTCTCCAAGTAGATGCAACCAAAGCACAAGAGAATTTAGATAAGAAAGTGATGGAAATGAGAGGCCATGGAATATATGGGCATGGGAGTCCCTCACACCACTCCTGACCTTGAGTTATAAGGTAATGTGTATTGTGATCAAATAAACAGACTAACTAGAGAGAGCTGCAGGGGAGGCCATGTCTTCATTGAAGGATGAAGATCTAGAGATGGGAAGGAAGAGGAAATGGGTACGTGTTAATTACAGCGAGGGAGTGCTAGTTGGTGCAGGGGTTTGGGAGGCAGTGAGGGAGAGGAAACTGCATCAAGGTCGAGACAGAGCATTATGGGGATGAGAACAAGGCAGACGGTGCAGAAGCAAGGCGTACAGCAGGCATGGACCAATGAAAACATTTTCAATGTCTCTTGGAGGCTGCTGAGCACTCCGCCTACCAGCACTCCATTGAGGTGTAGAAATTAGAAAGCATGTGTACAGTGCTGCCAGACCTGCCTCTGCGAATCATCTGTGCAGTGTTGACAGCTGCGTGTTGCTCGGTGGCCTGTATGTGGTCATTCACGAGGGAAGGAGGGAGGTGGGCAGGGCAGGCAGCCGCAGCATGGCATCATGGGGTTCTGTGTCTGGATCCAGCCTGCCCAAGGTCAAGCCCACAGTCACTGGCAAAGCCCAGGCTGATCTCTGTGCTGTCAATCACTATTGCTATGCTCCCCTCTGCTGATCAGCGCCCAGACCTTTCAGGATGTCTTCTGCATTCTAAGTGCTCTGTCAGAGAACCAGGACCAGGGATAGGGTTATGCAAGAGAGGAAGCTAGGGAAAATTTGAAGGACAGTGAGATGGAAGGAATAAGTTCCAGTATTTGACAGCAGGGTAGAGAAATTATAGTTAACAATAATTTATTGTGTATTTCAAAATAGCTACAATAATTATGTTGTTCTCAACATAAAGAAAAGAGAAATGTTTGCAGTGATCGATATCCCATTTACCCTGATTTGATCATTACACATTGCACACAGGTATGAAAATATGACGTGTACCCCCCAAGTATATACAACTATGATATATCAATTTTAAAAAATGTTAAGAAGGCATTCATTCTCAGTGTTGTGCACCCACTCTCAGGGCTGACTCTGAAAGTGGGTGCCTCCTTAAATTTTGTGCCCTAGCACCTCTCTTGCCTTGCCCTGGTTCTGACCCAGCAAAGAACTGTAATATGAAGTGGTGTCTATGGGACTATTCACTTTGATTTTACATAAAGGTTTGTCAATTAACAATTCCAGGAAAAAAAGTACCTTTTTTTTTAGTAGATTGTGAGCCCTTGTTAGAAAAAAAAAATTATGTGTCTAGAATAATTCTCAAACTTTGCTATATGCCATTCCACATTACTGCATTTTCTGTGGACTCTCTTGATCTCTAAAAGCACTATCTTTCAGATTCATGCAGAGATACAATATTGATAAGCCCCATGACATCCTGACTGATAGTACACATCACATAAGACTTTAATAAGAAAAACATCATTCTTTGAGGAGCATTTGGAATTTATCATAAGGAATTAATTTATAAGTCTGCTACCTTTATTGGAGAATATTTCCTCTACCAGGGCATAAAGCAGAGATACATGTGCACCCTTCAATGACAGGGAACAGGAATGACATTAGTCCTTGAAGTCAGTCTCCATCTTCAGAGCCCACTGTCCTGAGACGTGGCATCTTGACTGTGAAAACCAGGCATTGGATATTATGCAAGAGATAGAATTAGCATGGCCAAAATGATGGGCAGAAAGAAAGGTCACCTGATCCCACAGGGTCTTTCTTCGCCACCTTTCTAAAATACATGCTGTGTCCCCATGAAGAGTGCTTCCTAGGCAAGCCACAGAACCAACCTGGGCAACGTGATTCCTACGATGTCTCCTTTGGGCTCTAGAATTCTGGGATCTTGTCATCTTCGGAGTGGCCTTCATTCTCTGGTTTCTCCTTTCTTTATTTCCAGGTGGTCTGATTAGGTAAATTACAATAGCAAATTATTTAAAAGCAGTTTGGGCTATTTGCCTGGTTGATAAGCACACAGGAAAGCAGAAAAGATGATTCACACAAAAAATCAACAAATAGAGAAAATGGGCATTGCAACATTTTTTGTGGCATTCTGTTAACTAGAAATGAGAGTGACCCTGTGACTTAAATAAAGGCCAACCAAGAGCACTATTGGCTAGGTTTTTTTCAAGAAATAGCTCAATTGGGAGACCATTCCAATGGGCAATTAGAGAGGAGGTGGTTGTCAGCATTTACTAAAACCAAAATAATAATAAACATTCCTATATATCTTCAAATGGACAAAGACTTTGCTTTTACCAAATCTGGCTTTTTCAAGTCTCCTCTAGCATTTTCCCCAAGGTTGCACTTTCTGTGGATTTCATTGACCGGTGCTCTTGAGTACAGCAGAGATGTAAAATGCATTTCTTGTTTGGCTCACTAATTCATACTTCATGCAAATAACTTGTGAATGATGATTTATCAATGGCCTCATCAACCACACTTGGTAATTCTTGCTGTACATTGAGATGAAATGTAAACCATCTTATTCATGTACATTTTAGGACAAATTGTCATTCCAAGAGCTGTTGCTCTCACATTCTCTCATTTGAAGAGACCTTTAAATTTTTCCAAAGTACTTTCCCATTTATGATCTTGCTGTGGACCCAAGATCGTAATAGACTTTTAGAGATAGGTATTATTACAGAAAGGTGCCCAATGTTACTCAAATTTTACTGTGTTATTGTGATTGGTCACAGAACACAGCACTGGGTCTCTGTTGCTTTTTGGGCTGGGTATCATTAAGCTGACTTTTAGTTCCATGTTCATGTTAGCTCTACCAATAAAGGCAGGTGCTAAGAGAGGTAAAAAGATACAAAGAGGAGTGAAGAAGTACAATTTTAAAAAAATTTTAAAAATGGCAGGGTGTGGTGGCTCACGTCTGTAGTCCCAGCACTTTGGAAAGCCAAGGCAGGAGGATTGCTTGAGTCCAAGAGTTCAAGACCAGCCTTGGCAACATAGTGAGATCCCTTCTCTACAAATAATAAAAAATTAGCTAAGAGTGGTGGGATGCACCTGCAGTCCCAACTACTTGGGCGGCTGAGGTGGGAGGATCGCTTGAGCCTGGGAGGTTGAGGCTGCAGTGAGCCATGATCATGCCACTGCACTCCAGCCTGGGTGACAGAGTAAGAACCTGTCTCAAAAAACAAACAAACCAACAACAACAAAAAAAAACCCAAAGAAAATGGAATAGATACATAAGAAATATAATTTATTTTTATAATTACTTTTTTTGAGATTATTCAGTGGAAAATATCTGGAAGTAGAAGTATCTGATGAAGGAGTAAAAATAGCATGTGATTGACTTAAAATAATCCCTTTCCATAAGTAAGTAATGCAGAACAGAACAAGAATGATCAGCAGGGGAGATAGGAATTAGGGATGAGAATGTGTTGTGCAAATAGCTTACCTAAATCCTGTGGTCTACAAATTTGGATACACGGTGATTTGACTGAATTCTAACATCCAGGGAACAGGGAATGGGGGAGAACCCAAGCTTCCCAACTTTGCGGGGGGCACTACTGTGCCTGGGTGACAGAAGCTGCAAGCCCCAAGAAGACTCAGTGCCATGTCCTGTCTCTTGTGTAAACCAAAATAAAGACAAAGGCCAAGTATAAAACAAAACCTATGTGTGTGTATAACTAAAACAGCTCTCTTTAGATATACTGATAGCAGAGTACTGGTTATGCTAATCAAAACTGAACCTCTGTCTTTCTATCTTTTTTTTTAGTAGGTTTGTTTTGCTAGTGTCTTTTTTTTTTTGAGATGGAGTCTTGCTGTGTCTCCCAGGCTGGAGGGCAGTGGTGCGATCTTGGCTCACTGCAACCTCTGCCTCTCAGGTTCAAGCGATTCTCCTATCTCAGTCTCCTGAGTAGCTGGGATTACAGGCACCTGCCACCACACCCAGCTAATTTTTATATTTTTAGTAGAGATGAGGTTTCGCCATGTTGGCCAGGCTGGTCTTGAACTCCTGACCTCAGGTGATCCACTCAGCTCGGCCTCTCAAAGTGCTGGGATTACAGGCGTGAGCCACCACGCCAGGCCTGTCTTGCTGGTGTCTTAATGTGTGTTAAGCAAGTAAACTCAAAGGTAAATCAAATCCCACCACAGTCCAAAAGAATCTACTTGGATAAACACTACACTCTACCCTATTGCAAAATGATTGAATCATCTATATAAATTGTGAAAGTCATACGTGGTCTGTAGTTACTAGTTTGTAATTCAGTTTTTTCTGCCAAAAATTGTATAAAAAAATTACCGTGGCAACCAATGCTTCAATAGTACAAATGGAAGGCTGAGAGACAAAGATATAAAATAATGGGTTGGCTTGTAAGGGGAAGCCCAGGAGAAAATTACAAATTCTTCACGTGCAGTATTATTAGACCACACTGGAAACAATAAAACACATTTGCATAAAATCCAACGTCACGCTCATGGATACAGTGAAACTCATTTTCAATGTACGTGGATGAAAAGTGCTTACTTAAACCTTTCCCCTAAATATATATTTTAAGACAGTATGGGCTGGGTGCAGTGGCTCACGCCTGTAATCCCAGCACTTTGGGAGGCCGAGGCAGGCGGATCACCTGAGGTCAGGAGTTTGAGACCAGCCTGGCCAACATGGTGGAACCCTGTCTCTACTAAAAATACAAAAATTAGCTGGGGGTGGTGGTGGGCACCTGTAATCCCAAGTACTCAGGAGGCTGAGGCAGGAGAATCACTTGAACCCAGGAGGCAGAGGTTGCAGGGAGCCAAGATCGCGCCATTGCACTCCAGCCTGGGCAAAAAGAGCGACACTTCATCTCAAAAAAAAAAAAAAAGAAAGAAAGAAAGAAAAAGAAAAAAACCAGTATGCATCAAATGCAGGTCCTTTTTTGTGTTTTGGCTAAATAAAATATTTCATCTGAGACGGGATAAATATTACAACATTTTTATCAATGTTTAAAATAAAGTCTTATCTCTACAGTACTATGACCAAGTACTGGAATGTGACCTTGGGCACCCTCTCAGCTGTCATGTCACTCTACTTCAGTGTTTCTCCAAGTTATCCTGTGTGGGCCACCCAAATTACAATCACTGGGGTTCTGGTTAAGGGGCATCCAGGGGCTCCCCAAAGACCAAGTATATAGTGATCTCAGGGGGTGAGTCTGGAGTTTTTTAAATTTTCAAACTTCTGGGAATCCTTAAGTGTAGTCCAGACTGAGATCCACTGACTTAATGTTTTACTACCATCGTCACTCATTTGTTCTTTTTCTTTGAGACGGAGTCTTGCTCTGACTCCCAGAGAGGAGTACAGTGGCGTGATCTTGGCTTACTGCAAACTTCACCTCCCAGGCTCAAGCAATTCTCCTGCCTCAGCCTCCCCAGTAGCTGGGATTACAGGCGCCCGCTATCATGCCCAGCTAACTTTTGCATTTTTAGCAGAAGCTGGGTTTCACCCTGTTGGCCAGGCTGGTCTCGAACTCCTGACCTCAAGTGATCCGCCCCTCTCGGCCTTCCAAAGTGCTGGGATTACAGGCATGAGCCAGGGCACTTGGCCTCATTTGTTCTTTTTAAGCCCCTTTCTTGGCCAGGAGATGGCTCGTTCTAGCGTGAGGTCATGAATGGAAGAGTTAGTGGCCAGGAATTTGTGGAAGAAAGAAAAAAGGGTAATTCGCTAGGTAAACAGGAAGCTAGAATCTGTTTTGGAGATAAAATGAACCCACAGAGGCTGGGAGGAGAAAGGGAATTGAGCCAGTTGTTGACTAAGGCTACTTCTCCTCCCTTGAAATTTACTTGGAAGAGCAGCTGAGGCGGAAAGATGGAAAGCAGTCTTTTCAAGAGTTGGTAAGCAAACCTCCAGTTTTAGTTTCAGCTGCCTGGTCTGTAGATTTTTCTTCATAGAGGGAGAAAGCTCAGAAGTAAACCACATGGCACTGCAATCCATGAGAATCTACTTGGACTCACCTAAACCACGCTACATTCTGTCACTGATATAGCTTGGGATCACACATTTTTTCTTTGTTTATCATTTTAATCTTCCTTTGCTCTGAAGTCTTAGATATTCTATATACAGCCTCCTCCTCCTCCACATCACATATATTATGAGCACTAAATTAAAATGGCAACTTTGATAGAAATACTAATCTGTGACTAAATGTTTAACAAGGGGGCAAAAAGGATTTACATTTTGATCTTCAAACATTGGAAAATAAATGCCCTCAGTTGTCAGCTTTCCAAATTGACAAGACTGCAAGGGCAAAACAAAATTTCCATGCATTTGATTGACCTCTGTGAATTGAGCTATTATTAGCAGATAAGAACTTGCCAAAAATATCTGGAAAATATCAGCTGAAAAGTGATTGAAACGAAGTATTTAAAGCAGGTCAGCAGGGCCATGTCTGAAGGAGACAGATTATAAAATACATCTGTATATATTGTATTTATACATAATATATGCCACATATAACATACATGTATATACCTAACAATTCATTTTAATTCAGCAAATATTTATTGAGTGGCTATTGGGTCGGACACCATGCCACCCTAGGCTTTGGGAACACAAACAATAAGCTTTAAGTTCTCTTACCTCCAAGAACTCACAAGCTAGAAATATGTGAGACAAAACGCCATAATTCCTACAACATAATACACCTGACAAGGGTTAGATGAGCAATTTGCATAAAGTGCTACCATTGCAGCAATTAACAAGGCAGAGGAAACGTGATGTTTGTTCTGATGATCAGAGAAGCCTTTCCAGTAGAGATGACATTTACCTCCTTGGGATTTCAGCAGACACAGGAGAGTGAGAATGTCACTCTGGCAGAGGAAACAGAATTTACAGATTAGGAGTACATGGCTGGAATGAAAGAGTTGGGGATGGAGTGGATAAGAAATAGCAGTGACTACAGTTTGAGTGATACATTTATTTGCATATTCATTGATTCAGCAAACTTTTCATTGGTGCTGAGGGAGGTAGGCCCAAGGTATGTGCTGGGTACAGAGGCTGAGAAAACACGGGACAGAGTGGTGGAAGATGGGCCTGGGATTGTGGAAAAAACAGAAAGCACCAGCCCTGTTTGATCCTTCTAGAAGGATTTTTTTGTAGTGTCCCAATGATACCTTTCATTGATAATGGTTACCATTTCATTGAGCACCTCCTAAGTGCTGTGCTGAATAGCTGTGTTACTGCTAGTTCCAGCAATCCTGCATGGTAGGTGTTTTCTCTATTTACACATAGGAAGAGAAGCTCTGAGTGCCTGAGTGCCCAGCTTGTCATATACGATGCTTGGATTTGTGCAAGCATTGATCTCAATGGCCTGGTAATTATAAAAGCTGAAGAACAGCTGAAATCAAGAACTTCTCCACCCCAGCCCCTGAGGACAATACCACCTCCAAATGCCTTGGGCCCACTCTGGTCTCTGGTGTGGTGGGACAGCGCTGTCCGGTCTGCGCAGGTGATTTATGTCTGCCTGCTTTTCGGAGAGGCCAGAGTTTATTGCCTTGCTGGGCAGAACTGCAGCTGGGGCCTGCCCTGTCCCATCCCCATCCCCCCGAAAGCAAAGATTTCCAATTACTGTTCTGTAGAAAATGTCAAAAGCATTATTCAACTATTCATTATCCCAGGTTTTGCAATTTTTCATATGTTTTTACTCTTATCTGCCAGCACTTGAAAAAGACCAGCTTTTTCCTCTTAAGAGAGCTTAATTTGCAGAGCTGTGCAGTCTTCCTATTATGTTCTTATCATCCTCTCCCTTTGGTAGGCAGAATGACAAGGATGACAAAAAAAGAACCAAAAATATTTGAAGGCCTTCCTGAAAATCCACCGGAATGAAGGATCCCAAAAGCCTGAGGCTCGGTTCCTCGAGTGACCTGGACGGGAGCCAAGGGCGGCTGGCATTAGCTCTCACAGTCCACTCGGCAGGAGCTCGTGGCTAGTGCTCATGGGACCAAAACCACCACCCCAGGGCCATGGGATTCCCCCCCAGGGGCTTAACTGGGGGATTAAGCAGCTCTGAGGTGCCAAGAGGTCCCCTCTCCCCGAAATCCTCGTACCAGTGCTAAATTACCTTTGGTATCCCAAGGACCAGAGGCTAAGGGTAGCTTGGGGTGAGTGGTTAGCTCTTCCCCCATCTCCTGTGGCCCCTCCGCCCCATTCTTTGATAAGGTAACTGACATTTTTCTCTTTGCTGTGTAAAGTGCTATGCAGAGGCAACTTCACGTCCCCTAGCTCGCTCTGTTCCACCTAGATGGCGCCCTAAGCCCCGCCTGTATGGAGATTCGGAGCAGCCATCTCCCTGGATGCCTTCCTCCCACGATCCCCAGGTTTCTGAAGCGGGCGCACCAGGACTCCTGGCTCACCCAGAGAGACGCCTTGCCCGCGGCGGGGCTCGCTCGGGGAAATCCCCGCCCACCTTGTTATTCCTGCAGGGGAATCCCCGCCCCCCGTCCCTGTCACTCGGGGAAGGGAGTTCCCGCCCCTCGAATCAACCAGGGGGAGGGAATCCCCGCCCATCCTGGAGGCTCGGCGGATCCCCTGCGCAGCGAGGCGAGGAGCGGACCCCAGCGCCGGTGCGTGCCGGCCCCGGGCAGCGGGACGCGGCGGGGCGGCGGCTGCAGGCAGCCGAGGAGCCGCAGGCCGAACCCAAGGCACCGGGATTGCGCCTCCCGCGGCTGCCGGCGAACCGCGGCTCTGCAGCTCGGGGCAGGCGCGGCGGCGGCACCGGTGGTGGCCGCGGTGGCGGCAGCTGCGCGGGGACCCGCCGGGCGGCGCCTGGGTCTGGACGCGCGAGGAAGCCGCGGGAGCCTCGGCCAAGCCGCGAGCAGGTGAAGCGACCGTCCCGCTGCAGCCGGGACGCGCGGCTCCGGGTGGGCAGGGGATGGGGGAGGCCCGGCACCCCCGAGACCGTGTGTGCCCAGGAAAGTTTAGCTACAAATCCGGGTGCGGGAATCCCAGCCCTGGCAGGGCGGGGAGTGAGGACGCCGAACCGGGGTCCCACGTTGGGCGGCGCAAACTCCTCTAGCATCCGGCCGGGGACGGGGAGGGCGCAGCCCAGGGGAGGGGGCTAGACAGAGCGGGACCGAGACAGCGGGACAACCGGAGACGCACTGCCGGGGGTACTCAAGACAGGGCCGGGACCTCCTGCTCGGGCGCGCATCCCGGGTCCCCATCCCTGGGCCGTCTTCTGGTCCCTTCCTCCGACAGGAGTGGAGGTACTCAGGTACTCCGGCCTCAGGTAATGTCTTGGGGACCATCCTCCCTCGGGCTTGTTTCATCTCTCAACCCCCGCCTCTTTGCCCAGATGAGACGTTAGACGCGGGGCGAGGGAATGCAGGGGGCGCGCAAAGATCAAGGGCATCTTAGGGCCGGTTATTGGCGTCTGCCGGGGAGATGGGGAACATAGTGATAGGGAAATCCTGCTCTCTCTCTGAAGTCGAGTTTCTCCTAAAATCTGGTTTCTCCCTCCCTCTGTTCCTCTCTCCCTCCCTCGGGTTTGCGTTTGTGTTTTAAGTCTTTGAGCTGCCTGTGGTCCCCGCTATTTGGAAAATCCATTAAAGCGCAAGGCTGAATTCAGCAGCAGGAGGGTCCAGGACCCCTGGCAGGAGTTTGCCAGAAGCTGTCCTCGGCAGCCCAAATCTATGCAGAGACCTTGATAAGGGACACTGGAGTGGGAAGAGGACAAGGTCTGGCATGGGCTGGTCGCAGAGACTGGAATGGCAGGCACGAGGGCATTCCAGAGCTCCAGACCTGCCCTGGGACTGGCCGTTGGGCAGTGTTGGGGGATGGAGCTGAGTCTGAGTCTGTCCCCTGCAGCTGGCCTAACCTCTTGCCTCCACCAAAGGTAGGGTAGGTGGATATGTTTGCCTTGACAAATCGCAATGAAACTACTGGAAGTGGTTGCTGAGTGGCTGCAGTAAGTGATGCCCTGATCTGTCCTTGCAGAGAGACCCCCTGGACCTTCAGGGCCTGTTCTCCAGTGGGGTCTCTGAACACTGGAGGGCTTTAGGGGCCTGGCATCTCTACTGGGCCAGCTTTTGTGGGTTGTGACTTCTGGGTGGTGGCCAGATAGGTACAGGTTGGCAGGTGTGAAGTGGGAGTGCTGCTTGTGGGGGCAGAAGAGAATGTCTCAGAACACACCCCTGGCTGTAGGTGGTGGTTCTGGCTTCATGAATTCCTTCTTCCATTAGGATGGGCCCAGAGCTTCTGCTCCTATAATAACCACCTAGTTGTGTGAGTGAGTGTGTGTGTTGCGGGGGTTAGGTGTAGGAGTAGGGGGGTGGCAGGTGCTAGGAGAGGAAAAATCAGAACCATGTAAAGTATATAAATGTACCTACCTTGACATAGTTAATATGCTCCTGGAAAAATATTGAATTATACTTTAAATCTATCGCTGAAATTGATTTTGCATGTACTTTATGGCAGTTTACTATTTAAGGAAACTTATGATAATTTCTCTGTTCATTTCAATCATTTTATTTTTGGAATACCTGTGGTTTGCTGTGCTGGAGGCTGAGGAGGCTTCGAGGTTCCAGGATATGCTTAGATGAAAGATGCTCCCTCGCTGCTGTCAGTTTGTCAGTTTCTGTCCAGCAGGAGAAGGGAGAGAAGCCTGCTAAGCACTATGGTGCAGACCAGTGCACATGCTGCATGTAGTAGACGCCATGTGTTTATTGGATGAAGGAGTGAAGAGATAATTAAGTGAGTAAAGTACCTGAAGAGTGGTCCAAATAAAACATTTTGGGAGTATGGAGGAAAAAGAAGTCACTTTTGCCAGAGAGGATCTGAAAGGCTTTGTGGAGGAGCTCTTAGGTAGAAGTCGAGAGGTTGATCCTGAGTTAGGACTCAGTGCTAAGGACTCAGAGGAACTAAGGACTCAGAGGAACTAAGGACTCAGAGGAACTTAGTTCTCCAGATAGTAGGGAGATGTGTGAGATATTTTTTTTTTTTGAGACTGGGTCTCATTGTTGCCCAGACTCAAGCAATCCTCCCACCTCAGCCTCCTGAGTAACTGGGATCACAGGTGTGTGTTACCACAACCAGATAATTTTTGTGTTTTTTGTGGAGATGGGTTTCACCATGTTGCTTATGCTGGTCTCGAACTCCTGGGCTCAAGTGATCCTGGTGTCTTGGTCTCCCAACGTGCTGGAATTAGAGGCATGAGTCACTGCGCCCAACCTGGCCCCTCGTTCTGCTCCTACACAACCCTTTAGCACACTCACCATGCTGCCCTGGGTGTGTTTCTTTAGGGCCTTATTTTTTTCATACCCAGATAAGGCCTGGAACAGTTGCTAATCAACTTCCTCAGGTTAGACAGGAAAAGAGGCAGAGGGAACACCCCAGACCCCACTACCCCCGGCTGATCATACTGTAGGGTGTTGTGGAAACCCTCTCCCAGAGGCTCCAGGCCTGGTGAGCTGAACAAGATAACACAGAGCTGTGGATACCCCCTTGCCTTTGATCATGTGGGCCTAAGTGACTCGGACCATGGTGGTGGGGGCATCTCTGTTGGAAGGTCTCTCCTACTGCACCATCCACAAGGGGACAAATTCCAAAGATGAACCCACAAAAGGTCAGGAGCAAATCCAAAGAGAGGCTGAATCTCTTTAAGAAGACAGACTTAGAGACTCAAGTTTTCAGCTTCTTTCTTCTGCCCTCAGACACATCCCCGCAGCACCAGGGAGGATGCTGAGGTCAGAGTTGAGTTTCAAGGACAGGAAGAGCTATGCAGACAAGCCCATGAGAGAGGTTAGCAGACAAGTGGAGAGGCAGGGATGTCTCAGAGACGCCCATCCCCAGAAGGATGATAGGAAAAGGCCACTGATAGAACAGTGTCTGCAAGGGGTGTTCATGAAGCCAGGCTGCAAGGGAAGAAGGAGACAATGATTGCCAAGACAGTGAAACTGCAGGTATAGACACTGGATCCAGAAGTGTGCTGTTTGAAAATAATCCACAGTATTTTGAGGAGGTTGTAGCATTGAAGGAGGGTTTATTCATGAGAGTCCCTCCATTCTCCCTCCCAGGCATGTTTGGTAAACAAAAGAGATGTGGGAGAGAGTAGAGAAGCTAGATCAGGGGTGTTTGGGCTGGAAGAGGTGAGCAAGTGCAGGGAAAGAACAATCCTGGCATCTGCCTTCTCTGGAAGGCCAGAGGGAAGCAGAGGTTGGTGAGGCCCTGGAGAGAATGAGGAAAACAGGGGAGGCATTTGCTGAGACCTGGGGTCACTTCGTGAAGCTGGGGCCTGGAGGAAAGGGCTGCGGTACTGCTGCCTGCCAGGGGAAGCAAACCCGGCACCTGGCACCAGTGGAGGCAGCCAGGAGGGAAAGGAAGGACTCCTGAGTTGGGGTCAGAGGCTTTGGCTGGAATCCTAGCAGTGCAGAGAACTTCCTGCTGGGCCAGATGATTAGAAATGTTGAAGCCTCCATTTGCTCATGTATAAAATTGATGCAGTCGCTACTTCACAGGGTTGTTCTTAGGAGGAATCGAAAGAGGTACTAAGGTGTGTTTGGAAGGCCCTCCATGACCGCATCTGCTGTATAGGGGGTCCTTTCGAACAGTGTGTCCAGAAATGCATAAACCTCTCACCAAAGTCAGTGAGAGCCCAGTGGAATGGAGAAGGCAGGAGTTTTTAGCAGACTTGCCTGAAGCTTTCTTTCAGCTGTGGATGAAAAGTTTTGGACTACTCTGAGCAGTTGGGTCTCCCTGTTTGCACCTTGACAAATCCTTCAAGATTTCTGCCTTTTAATCCATTGGCTTGTTGCAGTGCTGCGTCTAAATTTAATGTCCCTCTCTTTTGCAAAGATCCAGTTACCAGGTGCAAGGCAGGAAGAGGCTGGACAGTCTCCTCTGTCCTCCATGGTTTGGAAGGGCATCATGCACTCACACTCGGTAACACCTGCATTTGAGGAAGCTAAGGCCCAGAAAAACAGAGAACTTGCCCCATTAGACAACCAGAACTAGAGTCACAAAACACAGTTGCTTGATCTGGGGAACTCTTGTCTTTCAATAGCAGTGGTGTTGGCCAAGATGCAGGTGGCTGAGGAAGAATTAAAAATCTGCAATCCCCCTTGGTTTTATTAATGGGTCTTTGATTATAGTTGAAAAGATGAAAAAACAGTCTCACTTATTAGTGAAGCGGGAAAGAAAAGGAGCATTTGACTTACTAAACACTAAGTAGATATGTGCCAAATTAAATGAAATTGGGGAAAATGTGAATAATTTTTTTTTTTTTTGAGACAGGGTCTCACTCTGTCACCCAGGCTGCAGTGGCATGACCACGGCTCACAGCAGCCTTGACCTCCCCGGCTCCAGTGATCCTTCCACCTCAGCCTCCCAAGTAGCTGGGAAGCTGGGACTACAGACACCACCGCACCTGGCTAATTTATTATTTTTTAAAAATTTTTTGTAGAGATGGGGTTTTACCATGTTGCCCAGGCTGGTATCAAACTCCTGGGCTCAAGCGATCCACCCACCTCAGCCTCCCAAAGTGCTGGGATTATAGGCATTGAAGAATGTTTTTTAAGGAAATTAAAGTATAGAATTATCTGGAAAATTTTCTGAAATTATTCCTTATTTTCCAACCGGATGGTCTATGTCTAGATTTGGACCTATGCATCGGTTGCATATAAAAGGATAGATCTTTTTATGGTATCTAGAAATTTGACAATCTTGATCTCCTATTATCCATACTTTAGAAATAGAGAAAAGATGGAATTGGAAAAGAATACATTTCCCATGGGTTCTAGCGGGGAGTGTTTGAAGCCAGGTAGGTCATCTGATTCAGTCTGATTGTCTGAGAGCTAAAGAGTTCTGCCTTCTATTTACAAATGTGTTCAAGAAGACACTGGGAGCATTTACAATTTGAAAACTTAATAGTTGAAGAGGCCTTTTGTGGTCTGATAAGGCGGCTGAGCCGAGAGATGGTTTGTTAAGACACTAAGCATGCGGAGAAGACACATTTGTCTTTTAAGCCTCTCCAGCTCCAGGAAGAGGCCTACCCCCGGCCGTGGCTTCTCTCCAATGCCAGTAGTGTGTTCACCCCACACTCTTGATGGGGCCAGCAAACAGTCTCCATTCTGAAAGTTCTGGCTGCTCCATGCATGCATTCCCTACCAGAATGCGTTCTGAGTGAATAATGAGTGGTCTATGAACTTCCAGAAAATCAGAAACTTAAGATTCTCAACTCTCTTTATGAAGCCATTGAATGAAACCAGATAGCATTGAACACCTGGTTGACAAAGTTATTCTTGGATTATATGTTTTTATATACAGTGTTTCTGGGGCTCATCAAGCCCTCTAGGTAGGAGGCCTGAAGAGGTTTTGGAGAAGCAGCATTGGGGGAACCGACTTCACAGCACAGAGGATTAATTTTGCACACACAATTGTTGCGAGCTCTGAATGAAATAATAGCAAGGAGATGGGGGAAGTTTTGTTGTCTTTTAAGTCTAAGAAGCAGCCTGAAATGCCTAGATATCCACAGGAGGATTTAAAAAATCACAAATTCTTAAGGATCTGCAAGTCCTTGAAAGGGCATTATCCAATCTCTTGCCTTCAGGGAGGAATAAACTTAGCTCATTCCAGTTAAGGATCTATGGTTTTAACAGCTTCCTGAGGAAGGGGCGTCCATGGCATATTTGGCCCTTAACACAGTGATGCCCCAGACTGGTTCTTTGAGGTGTTTTAGCAGGAGTCGAAATGGATTTCAGAGGGGTTACTCTTGGTCTCTTTTTTTTTTTTTTTTTTTTTGAGACGGAGTCTTGCTCTGTCGCCCTGCCTGGAGTGCAGTGGCGCGATCTTGGCTCACTGCAACCTCTGCCTCCCAGGTTCAAGTGATTCTCCTCCCTCAGCCTCCTGAGTAGCTGGGACTACAGGTGCGTGCCACCACACCCAGCTAATTTTTGTATTTTTAGTAGAGACGTGGTTTCACCATGTTGGCCAGGATGGTCTTGATCTCTTGATCTTGTGATCCGCCTGCCTTGGCCTCCCGAGGTGCTGAGATTACAGGCGTGAGCCGCTGTGCCCGGCTGGTCTCATTTTTACCAACACTTGGACACCTCTAGTACTTGGCTTTACAAGCCCTAGACTTTATCATCCAAGTTAACACAACAGACCCTGTTGTCCTGGCCTCAGGACAGCCATCATCCTGCTTGGCTAAAAATAAAGGCAGCACTCATATAGTGTAGAATTAGTATTCCTACCGTGAGCAGGGGCACGCTTTGTGCTGTGGCTACCCCAAAGTCAATTCCCTGGCTGGGACCTGCCAGCTCAGGCAGTGGGAGTTGTACTGGGAGGAGGGTGGGAGAGATGGTAAGTTTGGATCTCAGTGTACTCAGTAGGGGGAAGGGGGTGGGGAACTGGGCTGCCTTACATGGGAGGCCTCCGGGCATCCCCAGGCAGCTGGTGGGAGGAGAGAGGGTGTCAGGGAGCTTTGCACTGCGGGGGGGCCTTCTCACTACTGTCACTCCTAGGGAGATCTCAGGATACCTAGGCGGAAGAAAATAAACACCAACTCTTTTGTCCCTTTCACCAAAGGCCAGCATGTTTCCGATGCCTGTCTAAGGTGAACCTGGCTTGTCCTGTTTACACGTCCTGGGATGTTACTGTAATTCCAGTATTCCAGAAGACTCTGTTTCTGGAGACTGGAGAGGCAAGTGTATTTTGGGGTAGCCATAATATCTTGGGTTGGTGGGTACAAGTTTGAACACCTAGTAATGCCCCTTACCCCTGAGGAATTCCAGGGACTGAGCCACCACAAATGTCTTCAGGAACCTGACCCCTCCACGTCATGAACACTAAGTAGCTCCTGACACTGCTTATGTTTGCTTGCAGGTGATCAAATGGAATCATACACTCTCTCCAAGAGCACGAAGGTTTCTTTTTCTTTTTCTGTTTAATAAAGCAAGATGTCAATAAACTCTACATTTTTGTGTGTTGGCCAATGGACACTTATAAAATGTCTGATTTCAGCTGTGTTTTCAGTTGAACACCCCCCACCACCCGCCCAACACCCTCTTTCTGGCACAGTGTGTTTTATGGAGATTTGGGTAAAACTAGATTGTGCTATATGGGTCTCCTGATGAAGAGAATTCACTTCCAAGGCTAAAGCAGCCATGCAAATATTATTACAAAACCACTCAGCATACAAAATTGGCATAGCTTTCCTCCACAGTTTGCCACTGCCCACTCTCCACTCCTACCCCGCCCTGGCCACCTTAATTCCCAGTATCATTAGGCCGAAAGAAGGGACAGCTGTCTCCAGAAAATGTGCTCCGAGTGTCCCCATCAGCGTGGATTCCCAAGAGAGAGCAGGCAGTGAGATGGCACAAGGAGAGGAAGGTACTGGAAAGAATTGCATTAACTCCTCTCTGGACTTACTGCTCATCTTTAAAAACCTAAGCAGATGTCAGGCTTATTGATTTCTTTATTGGTGGCAGCTGTGGAGCTGCAGTCCACTATTTTTGGCACCTGGGAGATGCACACGGCCCCTGAGCACACTTCCCGCCTTCTGATCCCTCACCTGCTCAGCTTCCCAGGCTCCGTCTTTATCTTGAGGATCTCTGAAGACTGCCTCTTCCCCTGTACTCTTCAGGATCCAGTACAATGCCTAGTACATGGGTAAAAATTAAAATTATTTGAATGTTCACTATTTGGCAGGCACTGTTCTAGACACTTGCCACATACAGCTCATTCAGTTCTCATAATCTGATGAGGTACATACTGTTATTACCCCATATTCATTTCCTGGGGCTGCCGTCAGAAATTAGCACAAACTTGTTGTCTTAAAACAACTGAAATTTATCCTCTCACAGTATCCTCTTCACAGGTCCGAAGTCTGAAATCAAGGTGTTGACAGGGCCGTGCTCCTTCTGGAAGCTCTAGGGGAGAATCCTTCCCTGCCTCTTGCAGCTTCTGGGAGCTGTGGACATTCCTTGCACTGCTTCAGCCCAGTCTATGCCTTTGTCTTCACGTTGCTTTGTCTGTGTGTCTGTGTCTTCTCTCTTGTCTGCATGTCTCTACTTTGTGTGTCTCATTTATAAGGACATTTGTCATTGGAGTTAGGGCTACCCAAATAATTCAGGATGATTCCAACTTGAGATTTTTAATTTAATTACATCTGCAGAGACACTTTTGCCAAATGAGGACACATTTGCAGGTTTTGGGATGTGGGTATATCTTTTGGGGAGCTACTATTCAACACAGTACAACCCCTTTTGTGATGGAAAAATGGTGATACATTGTGGTTACGGAATTCTCTGAGGTTGCACAGCCAGGAGTTGGTAGAATTGGAATTTACACACAGCAGCCTGGCTCTAGAGCTTGCATATGGACCACTACTCTCTTTTGCCTTTTAGTAAATGTGCTCCGTGATTGTTCACGGTATGAATGGAGGGCAGCATGGCTGGGGAAATAGATGGATGAAAAGATGCTGGTAACAGTAGTTGGCCAACATTCTCCTTCTCAATGTACTGAAAATAGTAACAACAACTGATATTCATTGTTTTATGCTCTTGACCTGGGACTCGTCCTTGGATCCTCTTTTTTGGCTATTCTAGGGAGAGCTCAACTATCTCGAGGCATTGCCTACCATTTATGCACTTCTGCCTTCCAAATTTATGTCCATAGCCTTGATTTCTCTGCTGTGTTCCAGACTCATGTGCCCCACTGCCCCCTTACCATTCCAGTGGGGGCGTTATAGGGATCTCTAACCTAACACAACAAAATGCAATCCTTGATATGTCTCTTTCAAGCTAGTTCTTTCCTTCTCCTCCTCCCGTCTCAGTAAATGGCACCACCATCCACCCAAAGGCTCATTCCCAAAACTAGAAACCACTCTTCATTCTCTTTTCCCGACACTCTGTATCCAAATCCAGGAATAAGTCCTGTTGGCCCCACCTCCAGCCTCCACCTTGTTCTCCCGCCTCCACAGCAGCCGCCCTTGTTAAAATCACTGCCATCTCACCCCTGGACCCATGCTGCAGTCATCTTCTAACCGGGCCACCTGAGGACACCCTTGACCCCAGTCCTTTTCCTCCGAGCAGCCAGAGGGGTCTTTTATTTTTTTAAGACTTTTTTTTTTTTAATATAGCAATTTTAGGTTCACAGCCAAATTGAGAAGAAATTACAGAGATTTCCTGTATACCTCTTGCCCCTACACATGCAGAGCCTCCACTCTCATCAACATCCTTCACCACATAGTTCATTTGTTACAGTCGATGAACCTGTGTTGGAACATCGTTATCCCTCGAGTCCATAGTTTACCTTAGGGGTTCACTCTTACATTCTATGGGTTTGGATAAATGTATAATGTCATGGGTTTGGATAATGTGTAATGTCATGTATCCACCATTATATTATATGAGTAGTTTCACTGGCCTAAAAATCTTCTGTGCTCTGACTCCTATTCATCCCTCCTGCCCCCCAACCCAGAGGGGTTTTTTTGTTTGTTTTTTTAAGAGATGGGGTCTCACTGTGTCGTGCAGGCTGGTCTCAAACTCCTGGGCCCAAGCGGTCCACCCGCTTTGGCCTCCCAGAGTTCTGGGATTACAGACATGAGCCACTGTGCCCGGCCAGAGGGGTCGTTTAAAAACACAAGTCGTATCACTCCCTGGCTTAAAACTGGACATTTCTCGTTGCCATTTCAGTGTGATTCAGGCTCCTTGCCCCAGTCCACCTCTCCTATGACTCCTTCTCTTAGCACTCATTGCCCTCACTCCATGCCTGACATGCTGTACTTCTTTCAGTTTTGGAACACACCAAGTTCCGTCCCATATCAGAGCTCTTTTTCTGCTTGGAAACATCTTCCCCCAGATCTTCACAAGAACATATGATCTAACAGGAAACAGGACCACCCCCAGGTACTCTATCACATGACTCCTGTTTGAAATAAAATATTTGATTTATTCATTTATTATCTGTCTTAGCTGTTGGATCATACGCTCCATTAAAGCAAAGAACTAGTTTGTGTATCTCACATGCTGAAAATAGTTCCTATTTCTGCCTTTCCTTTAAGGTTTCAAGGAAGAGGGTTTAAAATATCAAGTCTCGGCTGGGCGCGGCAGCGCATGCCTGTAATCCCAGCACTCTGGGAGGCCAAGGCAGGCAGATCACGAGGTCAGGAGTCCAAGACCAGACCAGCCTGGTCAATATGGTGAAACCGCGTCTCTACTAAAAATATAAAAATTAGCCAGGCATGGTGGCGCGCGCCTATAGTCCCAGCTACTCAGGAGGCTGAGGCAGGAGAACCGCTTGAACCCGGGAGGCGGAGGTTGCAGTAAGCCGAGATCACACCACTGCACTCCAGCCTGGGCGACAGAGTGAGACTCCGTCTCAAAAAAAAAAAAAAAAAAAAAAAAAAATTAAGTCTCAGGGCAAATCGGAAAAAATCTTGAGCCTCAAAGTAGAGAAAAAGAAATGATATTCTTAGTGTCTCAAGATTAAGTCCCAGGCCAACTAGAGAAATAGTACATTGGGAATCTGAGTGAGTATATTTCTTCCCTCTGTTAATAATCTGAGTGAGTATATTTCTTCCCTGTGTTAACAATCTGTGTCCTGGGTTTATGAGCAGGAAAATGAATTATCCAATAGACACTCAATAAATGTCTGTTGAACAAGTCAAGCACTTAAAGCATTTCAGGCACTGTTCCCAGTTATCCTTATTTTTCAGATGAGGAAACAGAGGCTTGGAAAGGCTAAGTGACTTGACTGAGGTTGCATATCTATTAAGAGTTGGAGCAAGAATTTGAATCCAGATCTCTCTGTCTACTAAGCCCCTATTCCCAACCACGATTCCATACAGAATCTCTGAGAAGCAGGAACTGCCTGGGATCCCTAAAGTCTCTACAGAGCCCTGAGTTTACTAATTCATTTTCCCGCTCATAAACCCAGGACACAGATTGTTAACACACAGGGAAGAAATATACTCACCCAGATTCCCAGTGTACTACTTCTCTGAAAAGTTGGCCTGGGACTTAATCTTGAGAAGCTAAGAAGTTCATTTCTCTTCTTCTCCACTTTAGGAGTTTCAGGCTCAAGACTTTTTCTGATCTTTCTTGCAACTTGATGGTTTAAACCCTCTTCTTTGAACCCTTAAAGGGAAGGCAGAGATGACCAGGTTGAGTCCTTATATGCAAAGGTAGAATTTTTCTGTAATCAGAAAAAGCTCTGAGGTCTTCCTCCTCCTGATGTTCCTTACACATGAAGACTTTTATGTAGTTTGGTCTTTTCGGCCTCCGCGTTTCTTCCTAGCTGATAAGAGCCCTAGGGTGAGAGCATGGACTCCATTTTCAGATTGGCTATTAGCGAGAACCTCTCCATTGAGTCTTGCTAAAAGACTGGTCCATTTCTTGGTCACTAGCTTTGAGCCAGTCATGAAAGAAGACAAAGGACAGGTTCTTGCCAGGTGTAGGGCTCAAAGTTTGCAGACTAGGGAGAATGAGAAATCACCTATTCATCTCTTTCCCTGTTGTTGGACCTCCTTTTAAAAATAACTTCTATCTTGAGAATTACATCAGCATCCCGTAAGTAAACTTGGACAAAATACTACTATTTCGGGCAAACAGTAATTGTGAGGATGTCCAAGACCCGTAACTGTAGGTTGGGCTTTTATTCATAGAAAGGTCTATAGTGGCTAATTTTTAGTGTATCTGGCAAATATAGCTGCTCTCCTGCAGAAAGGTAGAACTCTGGCCATTTGATGTATCATGCACTTCACCTCTGCTGTCATGAGTGGGATTTGCTATGGTAACCAGAACTTTGCCCGAGGATTGTGCATGTAAGGTGTCACTCATTGGTAGTACTCTTTATTTTTAGCATAAACCAAAGAGGAGCTGCTCATTGTTCCTGCTAACATGCAGGTGGGTAGTCACAGTGGAGCCTGGGAAGAATTGTATGTGCTGTTCTCATGGGGAATGTCACCACCCACCACAGTTCTCATTTGTTGGAGCAAGATGTGCTTCTGGATTTCCGTTGGTTAAAATCTGTGCTGAAAGTTGTGCGCTAGGATAGTTGGACTTGCTTTATTTATTTATTTATTTATTTTTTTGAGATAAGATCTCCCTCTGTTGCCCAGGCTGGAGTGCAGTGGCATGATCTCGGCTCACTGCAGCCTCAACCTCCCAGGCTCAAGTGATTCTCCCACCTCAGCCTCCTGAGTAGCTGGGACTATAGTATGCACCACCATGCCTGGCTAATTTTTTTGTTTGTTTGTTTTTGTTTGTTTGTTTGTTTTGAGATGGTGTCTTGCTCTGTCACCCAGGCTGGAGTGTAGTGATGCAATCTTGGCTCACTGGAACTTCCACCCTCTCTGGGTTCAAGCAATTTTCCTGTCTCAGCCTCCTGAATAGCTGGGATTATAGGTGCGCACCACCATGCCCGGCTAATTTTTGTATTTTTTTTTTTTTTTTTTAGTAGAGACAGGGTTTCACCATGTTGGCCAGGCTGGTCTCGAACTCCCGACCTTGTGATCCGCTCGCCTTGGCCTCCCAAGATGTTAGGATAATAGGCATGAGCCACTGCGTCTGGCCTGGGTTTTTTTTTGTTTTTTGTTTGTTTGTTTGTTTGTTTGTTTTAGAGACAGTGTCTTGCCATGTTACCCAGGCTGGTCTTGAACTCCTGAGCTCAAGTGATCCTTCCGCCTTGGCTTCCCAAAGTGACAGGATTACAGGTGTGAGCCACCGCCCTGGGTCTGGACTTGATATTTTAAATAACTCTTTCTCAACTGCTCCTCCCCATCTTCATCTTAGCATAGCATGTAAGGTTTGCCAACAATGGCGGTCCTGCAGATAGGAGATGGGTGCTTTCCATAAAGCCACTGGAAACTATGAAAGCTCAGCAAACATTTGAAGGAGGTAGTATTATCTTCTCAACATGACACTCATTTCTTTCCGAGTGCTTATACTTTGTCCTCACTGCCCCCAAATCAACTTTTTTCCTTTTTTCATCCAACTAATGTTTATTTAGCACATGCCACATAGAGAAAAGATATATATACTTCATATTCTCAGTACAGGGAATAAAAATAAAATTCAGTTTGCCTTGAATTATCAATTGCATCAAATTGTTTGGCTGTCTTCCGGACCAGAGGGAGGAAAAATGGTGAAAACATTGCTTCAAGAACATAGTGGCCAGGCGCAGTGGCTCACGCCTGTAATCCCAGCACTTTGGGAGGCCAAGGCAGGCGGATCACTTGAGGTCAGGAGTTCGAGACCAGCCTGGCCAACATGGTGAAACCCCACTTCTGCTAAAAATACAGAAAAGTAGCTGGGCATGGTGGTACACGCCTGTAGTCTCAGCTGCTTGGGAGGCTGAGGTGGGAGAATCGCTTGAACCTGGGAGGCGGAGGTTTCAGTGAGCCGAGATCGTGCCATTGAATGCCACCCTGGGTGACAGAGTGAGACTTCATCTCAAAAAAAAAGACCAAAAAACAAACAAAAAAACACGGTGAGCCTCCTGAACCTCACTTTTGCTGGTGACTTGGAACTGGCTGGGATCTCCCGTGGCATATTTGCTGATAGATATGTATATCTAGGACCGAGTGAATCTGGAGCCATGTAACACTGTACTCCATCACCTGTGAGTTTGGTTGAGGATGCAAACTAGTCCAAAGTGAAGCTGCAGTTCTTTTATCAGTTGATATCAGCTGTGGGGCAGAAACACTAGACTGGAAGGTTCTTCCAGGCACAGACTATATCCTGTTTGATGCTGTGACTCAAGTACCTAGTGCAGTGCGTGTACTATAATAGGCCCTTCATGAAGGTTTTTTAATGAGTGAGATTAGCATCAGATTGGCACGTCTGGGTGGGAGAGAAGAACCTGGGTTATACGTCAGGTCCTACTTATAAGGAATCCATGAAGATCCCCATAGTCTGAAATAGTCCTGTCCTTCAAAAACATATAATCTAATGTGAGAGGGAGGACCTCTGAGGCAGCGCTAGTTATGACTTAGGATGTATGGGAAGATGAATCTTCTGATGAAAGCATCTTAAGAATTATCCTAACATCACCAGTTTTCTTTTCAAATGGAAAGATTTCACTTTACACACTGATCATTTTAGATGATTTCATAAACTGTCACACGTGCAGCCCAATTCATTCATTCAGTAAATCAGATCTTTATTTGACACCTACTATGTGGTACCCCCTTAGATTCTAGTAGGGAAGACAGACATTCAGTATATGTTTTTTGTTTGTTTGTTTGAGACAGAGTCTCACTCTGTCACTCAGGCTGGAGTGCAGTGGCGCGATCTCAGCTCACTGCAACCTCCACCTCCCAGGTTCAAGCGATTCTCCTGCCTCAGCCTCCCGAGTAGCTGGGATTACAGGCGCCCGCCACCACACTCAGCTAATTTTTTATATTTTTAGTAGAGACGGGGTTTCACCGTGTTAGCCAGTATGGTCTCGATCTCCTGACCTTGTGATACGCCCACGTTGGCCTCCCAAAGTGCTGGGATTACAGGCGTGGGCCACCGCGCCTGGCCCCAATATATGTTTTAAGCTGAGTCCAGAACATGACCCCATAGAGAAGTGGTTCTCCACGCCAATGCACATTAGAAACTGCTCCTATCGTTGTTGTGAATGACATCCATGCCAAGGATCAATTCTGAGCCTTTTACTTGATCCCTCAAAGCATTTGACACACACACAGGTCATCCCTCCCTTATCATTGAAACACTCCTTACCTTGGCTCTCTGGATACCACACTCTTCAGGTGTTCCTCCTGGTGCCGCAGGAGCATTCCTTCCTAGGTTTCTAGGCTGCCTCCTCTTCCTCCTGACCTCTTAATAATGCTGGAGGGCCCAGGACTCAATGGTTGCACTTCCTGTCTTTTCTCTCTGTGATTCCTGTCTGCGATGTCTGTCATCCTGATGGCTTTAAATGTTATCCGTAAGCCGAGAACTCCCACCGATCTTATCTCCATCCTGTACTCCTTGCATGTATAATTATCTACTTGACCCTCCTGCTGAAGGGTCATCTCAAACTTTAACATCTGAAACTGAATTCTGATTCCCACCCTGCCCCTTCCAGATGCTTCATCTCTTGTTCGCTCTTTAAAAATCATTCTTTAGAATACAGGCATTGCTCCTCACTTCTCCCCTCATGGAAGCTACACTCATCTCTCAATTGGGCTATTTTAGGAATCTCCCAGTTGCTGTTGTTCCCTTTCCTCCTCATAGTCTATTCTCAACAGAGCAGGCAGAAAGATTCTAGTAACATGGAAATCATATCCTGTCAGTTCTCTGCCCAAACCTTCCCAGGAGCTTCCCATCTCACTCAGAGGAAAAGTAAAACTCATTACATAGCCCACCAGACCCTTGGTGGGTTCTCCCCTCCCCTTGCCCTTCCTGTTCTGATTTCATCTCTTGCATCTGTCCCAGGGCCATTGCACCTGCTATTCCCTCTGCCTGGAATGCTCTTCCTTCATGTAGCAGACTCTCCCTCACTTCCTTCAGGTCTGATTCAAATGTCACCATCAGTGGAGTCTTCCGTGCTACCCTACACTAGCCCATGGCTTCATATCCCTCTTCTCAGCTTTATTTTCTCCATTGCACATTATCAGATTTTTGTTTTGTTTTTGTTTTTGTTTTGAGACAGAGTCTCACTCTGTCACCCAGGCTGGAGTGCAGTGGCGCAATCTCAGCTCACTGCAACCTCTGCCTCCCGGGTTCAAGCGATTCTCCTGCCTCAGCCTCCTGAGTAGCTGAGATTACAGATGCACACCACCACGCCCAGCTAATTTTCTGTATTTTTAGTAGAGACGGGGTTTCACCATGTTGGTCAGGCTGGTCTTGAACTCCTGACCTCATGATCTGCCCTCCTGGCCTCCCAAAGCGCGGGGATTACAGGCACGAGCCACTGCGCCCGGCCTAGTTTTTTAATATATCATATATTTTACTGACGTAATTTGCTTCTCTGCCTGCTTCTCGCCATTACCATGTAAAATCTATGAGGGTATTTTTTTTTTTTTAGAAGGTGGTGTCTATTTGGTTCATTGATGTATCATCAACACTTAGAACAATACTTGGCTTATAGCAGGCACTCAGAAAATACTTGTCGAGAAAGTGAATCAGAATCATTGGTATTTTTCATTTAAACACTGATGCCCCAGGGAGGGTGATTTAATTGGTATGAGGTATAGCCCAAGCACTGGTATTTTTTGAAGACTCCCCAGGTGATTCTAAAGTGAAGCCAGCATTGCAAACCACTGCCTTCCAGATCTGAACTCTGTTGTTTTTCTCCTTTTAAGGACTTTGCCTCTGTGGCATATGTTGTTGCATTCTTAGAAAATCCATTAGTCTCAAAACTTAAATTGCAGTGGATGGTAGAAAGGAAGTTTGTGTTGTGTGTGATAGCATATTAGGGTTTAAATTGGATCATCTCATTAGAGTGGTTGGAGTGGACATTCTTCCATTTATGAAACCTAGGCTGAACTTCGATGCACAGGCATAGACCCCATGCTGCAGAGTCGAGTGTGTTCTTTGTTAATTTCCCAGTTGAGCATCCGACTTTTGTCTCTACGTTCAAAGAGAGAGAGGGGGTTTGAATCTGGCTAATTATAAACTTCATTTGCTCAAATGGGCTATGCGCATGTATTCCATACTCCCACCCAGAATGTTCACCTGCCCACCTGCCCACTACTTAAATTCTGTCCATCTCTGAATGCCCAGGGAAAGTCTCATTCCCTTTGAAAAGCCTTCCCCGCCTTCCCTGGCTGGCAGCCTCCCCCGGAACACCTGGCATTTTTACTTGCTACCTAGCACATGTTGCTTTGTTGGTGAACCTTTTGATGGAGGTGTCTTCTTTTTTCCCTTCCCTCCCAGACTCAGCTGGAACCTCTCCAAGGGCACTCAGCCATCTCTTTCACCTCTCTGTGTCCCCAGCAGCAGTCAGTAAAGGGATGTTGATGGATTGGTTCGACTATTCTTGTTTAATGTATTGACAGCGTCTAAGCACCATTGCCGAGGGGAAGGGATGTCACTCAGCGTAAACACCTTGGCATCGTCCCCTCTGGTTTATCGCTGATCTGTAGCATTCTCATTTTATGATTTTTTAAAGCAACTGAATACTTAGCTTTTAAGATTTAAAATCCCAAGGTTTCAGTACCATGTTTGAAAATGATGTATTCAAGAAAGCTCAGATACAATCTCTTTTGGCTTTGTTTTCTAAATCAGATTCAAAGTAATAAAATTTTAACTGCCTTTTAGGGGCTCTAAGAGGAAGCTCCAAGACAGAGCAAAGGGGCTGCTTTATAGGGCCCCTCTCTCTCCATTAGAAGTAGTGGCTTTTCTATTGTAGTCTTATTATCAAGTTGACATTCTTCACCTCAACAGCCTGGGAGATCAGGTAACCCGATACACTGGAGAAGGAGGAGGGTTTAGAAATGAAGTTCTTAACATCTTTGTGGCTCTTTGTAGCCCTCAGCTCGGGGGTGGAGGGAGTGATGTCATACTGAGACAGGAAATGTCATAAAGCTGGAAAATGTCATAAACCGATCTCCATCTGGTCGTAGATGTACAAGAAACAGCAAAGAAAAGCACATTGTGTTTTTATCCAAAGGGGATAAGGTTACTAGACCTGTACATCATGGGAAAGCTGTTGATGTAGCCTATCTGGCCTTTTCAGCAAGGTGTTTGGATGGTCCTGTGCAATGTCTTTGAGGGCAAGATGGTGCTATGTGGACTGGACAGTAGCAGCATGTGGTGATTTGCAGCTGACCCTTGAATGCCTGGACAGTGGATGGCGGACAGGTGTTCATCCAGAGAGAAAGTTCCAGAGTGAGTCCTGCACAGCTCTACCGTTGGCTTTATCCTGCTCCTGTTCAACATTTTTATCAACGATTTGAATACAGACGTGGATGACATATTTATCCCATTTGCTTATGACCCAGATCTGGGAAACACAGTGACCTCATTTCACACCAGAATCAGAATCTAAATAGGCTTACAGGAAAGGCCAAGCCTTGCAAAAGTCAGCCAAGGGGCTCAAGTGAAGGTCCTGCACTTGAATCTGAAAAAAACCACCTGCATTTTTTATGGGATGGTCAGGAGCCTGTTTTAACAGCAGCCTTTGTGTAAAACATGGAGGCAGGTCATGAGACCGTGTGATCCATGTGCATCAGCACTGGGATGTGACTCTGAAATAAGAGCAAATTCCAGGTTTGAGGAGGCCAGGGACAGAGTGTTGACCTCGGCGCTAGTCCTGCACATCTTGACTATTGTGTGCTGCTCCCGGCAACACCCGCAAAGGAGGCATTAGTAGAAGAGATGTACAGGAAAGATAATAGCTGCCTTCCAAGTCCTACTCTTTCCAGCCCATACCCCTAGGAACCATCGCTTTATCTGCTTCTTTGCCAATACTCTAACCGTCCTATCTTTTTTCCTTTAGTTGCCCCCACCCAACAAATTCTCTACACAAAATAAGTTCAACCACTGGCATTTTCTGCCCCTATGTGCTAGCTGCTAAGCATTTCTATGAAAGAAAAAATAATCACCCAGCTGTTTGGATTGGTGCAATCGCAGAATAATGGTCTCTAAGCTCATCAGATCCACAGGCTGGCAGACAGGTGGACGGACAGTCTTCAGGGCCCCAGTCACCCCAGGGTCTATTCTAACTCTTCCCCTCCCCTTCAAACTTTGACCTCCCTGTCTCCTCCCTCCCTCTCAGCAAGGAATCTTCATATTTTCTTCACAGAGGATGATCAGCGGAAACTCCGTTCATCCTGTTCCCTCACTTACAAAGGATCTATTTCCACCTCCAGCCTGCGCTCTTTCCTTCCTGCTTCTGAGAAAATTTCCCTCCTTTTATCAAAGATTTCCCCAGGAGCTCAGGAGCGTGTCTCCTCTCTTGCCTGTAACGATCATATTTGATCAGTATACTTTCTTTTCTGCCGTTAACCTCTCTGTGTCTGTGTTTCCTCTCCACCATGTTTAAACCTCCCCCTTCTTTAACTAATACCTCTTTGTCTTTATATCCTTAACAACCCCATGATTTGAAAATTTGGTCTATGTGGGCTGTTTTCACTTTTTTTTTTTTTTGAGACGGAGTCTCACTCTGTCGCCCAGGCTGGAGTGCAGTGGCGCAGTCTCGTCTCACTGCAACCTCTGCCTCCTGGGTTCAAGCGATTCTCCTGTCCCAGCCTCCTGAGTAGCTGGGATTACAGGCACACGCCACCACGCCCAGCTAAGTTTTTGTATCTTTAGTAGAGACGGGGTTTCACCATGTTGGCCAGGCTGGTCTTGAATTCCTGACCTCGTGATCCGCCCGCCTCATCATCCCAAAGTGCTGGGATTACAGGCGTGAGCCACCACGCCTGGCCTGTTTTCACTTCTTAAATCTCTCATTAATTCCACAATGGATGGTGTAGTTTGATTTTGCTCCCAGTTCTTCCTTGAAATGCCCTCGCCGTGTTCACCCGTGGTCCTCTTCCCCTGCCTCCCAGTGAATCTTTTCCATACTGACTTTGGTTGGCACTGCTCTTTTATGAAACTCTATTCTCCTGGCTTCTCTGACACCACTTCTCAGACACTGCTTTTCTCCTACCTCTTTAAATAATACTTAATCTCAGTCTCTCTGAGCTCCTCTCCATGGAGCCCTTTAATTTACTTTTGCAAAACCTTTATTCTCCCTCTACTTTTTTGATTGGTTTCATACTTTGCCTCTTAAACAAAGGTTCTCATCTCACCCTCTGGCAATTTGAGCCACATCTTCAACTTCAGTCACCACCTATGTACTGATCACTTCCAGATCTGTACCTTTAGACCCAACCCTCCTCCTGAGCACTGACTCACACATCCAAGTGTCTACCCGCCATCTCCATCTGGTTGACCCTCAGCTACTCCAGAGTAACAATGTCCCAAGCCAAGCTCACCATTTTCCCCATATAAACCTCTTCCTCTGCTCCCCAGCTTGGTCAGTGTCACCCCCACTCAACTAGCCCCCGAGACAAGACACTCAGACTCATCCCTCACCTCTCTATGGCTCTGTATACTTGTACATGGGGAGTTTGCAACCACTATCCATTGGATAAACTATTTCAGTGGCTTTTCTTGTATAGGACTGCTAAGACTTATTCTCATTTCTGGTCTGGAAGCCAGAATAAGGGCCAAAGCATTGAAGTTAAGGGAAAGACATACAGCCCTATGCTGGGCAAATTTTTCTATCTGTTGTACCTGTCTCCAACTGGTGTGGAGTGCCTTGGGAGGTTGTAAGTTTCCTTTTCCTGCGGCAGAGGTTGGAGGACCGATGTTACAAGATTGAGCTGGGTGGCTTCAAATGCTGATACCAACTTTGAGGTTTAATTCAGCAGCTAATAAGCCCATCCTGCATACTTTGTCGACATCATTTCATTTAAGCTCCCTAATAGATTATTAGCCCTATCGAATTGAGAAGAACCAAAAGCTCAGAGGATCAGGTAATTTTCCTAAGGTGACCCAGCTGGGTAGTCAGACTTTTAAAGGAGACCTGGTGTCCCCACAGTCCACTGTTTTTGGTAAGCCACTGCTTTCCACTTGGTGTTACAGACAAATTTCAATTCAATAGATTGGAATCATCTGCATATCCTCATTGGCACAATTCAACCTTTAGGGATAATAGAAAGGAGCAATTCTTTGATTCATAGATTAAATAAATTTGGAGCCCAAGTTCTCCTTAAATATGTCCCCATATCTATTGGCATGTTATTCTTCCTCTCCATTTCTATGGATACTTTATTGTTATAACAAGTAATTCTTTTAAAAATTTTTTTATAAAAAAATTTTTTAGAGATGGGGTCTGTGTTAGTCCATTCTCACACTGCTATGAAGAAATACCTGAGATTGGGTAATTTATAAAGGAAAGAGGTTTAATTGACTCTCAGTTCCGCATGGCTGGGAAGGCCTCAGGAAATTTACAATCAAGGCAGAAGGGGAAGCAAACATGTCCTTCTTCACAAGGTGGCAGGAGAGAGAAGTGCCGAGCAAAGAGGGGAAAGCCCCTTATAAAACTAACAGCTCTTGAGAGAACTCACTCACTATCATGAGAACAGCAGCATGGGGGTAACTGCTGCCATGATTAAATTACCTCCCACTGAGTCCCTCCCATGACACATGGGGATTATGGGAACTACAATTCAAGATGAGATTTGGGTGGGGACAAAGCTAAACCATATCAGAGTCTCTGCTGCCCAGGCTGGAGTGCAATGGTGTGATTATAGCTCACTACAGCTTTAAACTCTTGAGCTCAAGCAGTCCTCCCCCCTCAGCCTCCTGAGTAGCTTAGACTAACTACAGGCATGTGTCACTATGCCCAGTGAATTTTTTGTTTTGTTTTGTTTTGTGGAGATGGGGTCTTGCTATATTGTCCAGCCTGGTCTTGAACTCCTGGCCTCAAATGATCATCCCACCTTGACCTCCCAAAGTGCTGGGATAACAGGCATGAGCCACTGTGACGGGCCTATAAGAAGTAATTCTTGTATCCAAGTGCAATTTTCTTCATAAGCCACCACCTCCAGTTTGCAGAGGCTTGGAAAGAAACAAATGAGAAAGGGTTAGCTCTTCCATTTGCTTAGTATGGCTTTTAATTAAATGCAGGTCCTGGCTTCGGAGGTTCTGAGCTGCTGCTAAAATAGCAGCCTGTTGTGTGGCTCATGCTGAGGAGGTCAGTCCTGGGTTTTATTTTACAAACTCAACAGAAAAGATGTCATACATTACAGGGGAATTGGCTTGAGGTATAGGAAGAATATGTAAGCAAATATTTACCTTATTTTAACTTTTGCCTCTGACACATTGTCCCGGTAGGAAGCAGAGGACTGATTAAAACAGCAGATACGCATCAAAACAGGGAGGAATCAGCTTGGGACAGTCACCAGGTGGGAGGAAAGGAGTCCAAGGGGACAGCCGAGCCAAGAATCTGAAACCCAAGCTGTAGAGACTCAACTTGCAGATAACCTGTGAGTGGTTATTTTTATAGCACCCATTAGCTGACACTCTTGAAACACTAAGGAGAACTTATCCTCTCTTCTCCTCTTACACGCTCTAAAGTATGTGATCACTTTTCCATCTTGCACCTGATCCTAACTTTGTTACGTGACTATTCAGAGAGTTTCTTAGCCTTTGGGCTTGAGGATTAGGGACAGTTTGAGTAAATGAAATCCAGCAATAATCCCCAAGGCTAAAGATAGATAGAAATAAGTAGTTCCTCCCTTGGTTTTTTTTTTTTTTCTTTTTTTTTCATCAGAGATATTCAGGGGCAAAAAGGTAAATGTCGTAACTGTACAAGGTGCAGGCAGGGGAAGATGATGGGAGAGTGAAAAGACTCCTGGGTGGCCCAGACACCAACACTCTCAGCTGTAGTCCAGACACGTCATCCTGGGTGAGGTAGCTGGCCTCTTGAGGTCCTAGTTTCCTCACCCTTAGAAGGAAGCAGTTGCAGTTAATAATTCCTAAAGTCGGCTGGGCGTGGTGGCTCACCTCTATAATCCTAGCACTTTAGGAGTCTGAGGTGGGCAGATCACCTGAGGTTAGGAGTTCGTGACCAGCCTGGCCAACATGGTGAAACCCCGTCTCTACTAAAAATACAAAAATTAGCTGGGCGTGGTGGTGCATGCCTATAATCCCAGCTATTTGGGAGTCTGAGGAAGGAGAATCACTTGAACCCGGGAGGCAGAGGTTGCAGTGGGCTGACATCACGCCATTGCACTCTAGCCTGGGCGACAAGGATGAAACTCCATCTCAAATAAATAAATAAATAAATAATTCCTAAAGCCTCTTTTATCTGTAAAAGAAGAAAACGTCCTGACACACAGTTGGAGCTCCAGAATCCACATGCTGCCTGTCTTAGTCCTTTTGGGCCACTATAACAAAAATTCCATAAACTCAGTGGCTTATAAATAAAATACAAAATAAAATTTATTTCTTGCAGCTCCAGAGGCTGGAAAGTCTGAGATCAAGGCACCAGCAGATTTGGAGTCTGGGATGGGTTTGCTCCCAGGCAGGGATGGTGCCTTCTAGCTGCATCCTCACATGGGGCAAGAGGCAAGGCAGCTCTCTTGGATCCCCTTTCTTTTTTTGAGACGGAGTCTGGCTCTGTAGCCCAGGATGGAGTGCAGTGGCGCAATCTCAGCTCACTGCATGCTCCGCCTCCCAGGTTCACGCCATTCTCCTGCCTCAGCCTCCCGGGTAGCTGGGACTACAGGCGCCCACCACCACGCCCAGCTAATTTTTTTGCATTTTTAGTAGAGACGGGGTTTCACCGTGTTAGCCAGGATGGTCTTGATCTCCTGACCTTGTGATCCACCCGCTGTGGCCTCCCAAAGTGCTGGGATTACAGGTGTGAGCCACCTCACCTGGCCAAGGCCCCACCTTCTAATGCTATCACTATGGAGGTTAGGATTTCAGCATATGAATTTGGGGTTGCAGGGTGGGACACGGACATTCAGGCCACGGCACCACCTCTCACATGAAAACAATCATCCCTTTCCTGCCCCTCACTACTAAAGATCCATTCACGTCCACAATGCCTTGGACCTCACTTTCTGTCTTAGATGAACAAATTGATCTAAATTAAGCTACCCATAAAAAATATCCTGTTTCTGTTAGGAATAAGTTCCATTAATAGTAAAAGACTTGCAAGGCATGAAAAATTCAGTTTCCCTTCCACTGATGATGATTTCTTCCTCCAACTTTAGAGATTGTCTATTCTAATCTTGTATGTTATAAATGAACAAATCTCAACCCAGAGAGCTGAGGTGGCTTTCTAAGGGTCACACAGTGAAGACCGTTTGGTAGGACTTTTCCCCACTGCCCCAAATGGCAAGATACAGGTACTTGGCATTCAGTGTTTAAAAGGTAATTATAGAACTACTTTTAAACAGGAGGTTGTTTTACCTTGGCATTTTTTTAAGAAAAAAAAATAAACAAGTGTACTAGATTTGTCCTTTTAAGCCAGTTTAAGAAGCGTGCCTTCTCTGTGCTGTTGAAATTGGCAGGCCCACATCTTGCAGACAGACTGTTCTGGTCTACTTGGTTAGTTGTTATCCCAAATGCAAATCTGACTCACGGGTGAGATCATGAGAAATCTGGGCTATTTTTCTTGATGACTTTTTCTTTCCTCTTCCAATTTTCTTTTGCGGTATTTGGCTCCGTGTGATACCCATGCTGGGGAACAGAACCTTGAAAGGGTTGTTCCTAGGATGGTCACTGCTGTCGTATGAATCACAAGACAGCTGGGGCAGGCTTGGCCCTGAACCGTTTGTGGCTTTGGTGTGGAAGTTTAGGGTGTGTGTGTGTGTGTGTGTGTATGCGGGCACAAGTGTGTGCTTGCACATGTATCTGTGTGTGAGTGTGATGGCGTATGGCAAAGTAAGAAGATTACTGCTTACTAGGATTTGAGCCCTTTTTCTAACCAATGGACTATTTTTATTCAACAAATGTTCACTTAATATCCAGCTTTTACTAGGCGGTGATGATATAGAGGGGTCTCTTACTGTCTAGAGAACATTATCTACAATTGAATAAGTAAATATTACCTAGCCTGTGTATTAGGGTAATGATAGTTGCTATTGCTGTGACAATTAAACCTCCAAGTTTTGTTTTGTTTTGTTTTTTTGAGATGGGGGTCTTGCTGTGTTGCCTAGGCTGGTCTTGAACTCCTGGTCTCAAGCAGTCCTCCCACCTCAGCCTCCTGAGTAGTCAGGATTACCGACACGCACCACCGCACCCAGCTGAAACCTCCAAGTTTTAACGGCTTAACATAACAAAAAATCATTTCTCTCTCACAAACAGCCTAGTGCAGGGCTCAAATCCCAGGAAGCAGAAATCTTATACAGGCCAGGGCCATCACACTCATACACAGACACATGCGCATGCATGCATACACACACACACACACACACACACACAGGCGCATGCATGCGTACACACACATACACACACACAGAAATACATGCACACACACACTAAATTTCTACACCAAAGCCACAAATGGTTCACAGCCAAACCTGCCCCGGCTGTCTTGTGATTCATACGACGGCAGAGACCATCCTAGGAACAACCGTTTCAAGGTTCTGTTCCCCAGCATGGGTGTCATACAGAGCCGAAAACCACAAAAGAAAATTGGAAGAGGAAAGAAAAAGTCCTCAAGAAAAATAGCCCAGATTTCTCATGATCTCACTCATCCTTGGTCAGCAGGTGGCTCTCCTCCACATGGTGATTCAGGGACTCAGATTCTCTCCATCTTGTGTCCCCACCAATGTCCTAGGGCTGCGAGTACTCTGCCCCCAACTGGTGGAAGGGAGGAGATGGTGGCGAGAAGGTGCATCTACTTCTGAAGTGCCTTGGGTTGGAGTGAAACACCTCACGTCCTCTCACATCTCATTAGCAAGAACTAACCAAATAGCCCTGCTCAGATGCAAAGGGAGCTGGAAAAGGTAGCCCGCAAGGAGTCTACACTATGAAGGGGGAATATATGGAATTGTGGTGTTTGCCTGCTATTTCTGCTACTGTCTGATAAGTACTTTACTGCAGGGGGTGCACTTGGGATACCACCCAGGCGGGTAAGAGAGGCACCTAACCTGGATTTGGTGCGGGGAGTCATCACACATTGTTCCTTATTTCCCCTCTTCTCCTCCTGAGCTTGATTTCACCTCTCCAGCCTGCCTCTTCCCCGTGTGTATCTCTCACACCATTGCACCTGCTCTTTCCTGTCCCTGGAATTTTTCTCCCACTTCACCTTGCCCTTCCTGTGGCTAGTGCAGTATTCCATCAGGGACAAGCGTGGAAAGCATTCCCCCAAGAAGCCTTTCCTGGACCCACAAATTCAGCTTGTGTTCTGGTCTTTTATGGAGGCAAAGAAAGGCGATTTTTATTTATTGGGGTTTGAAAGCTGATACGGTTTGGCTCTGTGTCCCCACCCAAATCTCATCTCAAATCGTAATCCCTATGTGTCCAGGGAGGTACCTGGGGGCAGGTGATTGGATCATGGGGGCGGTTTCCCCCATGCTGTTCTTGTGATAGTGAGGGAGTTCTCATGAGATCCGATGGTTTAAAAGTGTTTGGAAGTTCCCCCTCCCCCCCCTCCCTTTCCTGCTGCCTTGTGAAAAGGTTCCTGCTTGCTCTTCACCTTCTGCCATGATTGTAAGTTTCCTGAGGCCTTCCCAGCCACGCGGAACTGTGAACTAATTAAAGCTGTTCTCTTTATAAATTGCCCAGTCTCAGGTAGTTCTTTGTATCAGTGTGAAAAAAGACTAATCCAAGAGCCCATGAAAAGGCATGTCTGCTAATCAGATGGAAGTTTTACACACATAAACTTCAGCCTCTAGAGAAAAGAGAGGCAGGGGAGCCATAAGGTGATAGGGAAGTGAGGACGGGACCTCATTCATTCACACGTTCAATTTTCCAATAGCTTAGAGGGGAGAACTCCAGCCCTTTGGAGGTGGAGAGGCAGCGTGGGCTCCCAGATCACATCAGTTCAGGAACCTACATTTCTACAAGTGGGTTTTATGAGTTGTTTCTGAGGGTTTATTTCTAGGGAATAAATGGTACAAATTTTCAAATGCCAGTTGAGGAGTGGGACATCGAGATCGAGGCAGGGCCCTTCCTAGGGAAACATCCTCTTTGACCAGGGAGGAGAAGGACATGGTTATCCAGCCAGCCTCAGTCTTGGAGCAGAAGGTGGAGGGAAAGTAGACTCCTCTAGGGTCAGAACAATCATGGAATGCATCTTCCAGTTCCAACAGCCCCAGGATCTTGTAAAGGAGCATGGGGTTTTAATTTTTAAATACGAGAAATGAGCATATTTCTCCTGCAGCCGAGCTTATCTCCTTATTAAAAAAATATTTTCTTACTAATTATTTCTGATGATCTCAAGGGAAAGCGCCTTTTGCGATTATTTTGACAAGTTCATACATGCAAGGGGCTTGCTGATCCTGCATTTACAAGGCGATGGTTGCTTCTACTGTTTAGGTTACCATTAGAGTTCCCTAAAAATAGAACCATGAGCTGGGTGCTCAGAAACAAACTTGGCAGAATGGTTTAGGAAGGGGACTGAGCTAACCCCATTGGGACAGAATACAGTCGGTTTCTCTTATTCTACGCTCCAGTCTGAAAGCATGGTTTTCTGAGGCCACGCGCTGGGCCTGTATACCATAAGAGAGTAATTTCACTGTGAGCGTAATGATAAATGCAGAAACTGAAGGCAAAATATCCAAGATATGGGGTCCGTCTTTAAGATCAGATAGACCAGTTCTTGATTAGCAGCCATTCAGGAACCCTCAGACTCTCAGCCTGTGGGTGGTCCTCAGTGTTTCTTGTGACTTCTTAGCCCAAGCCCAAACATTCACTCATTCACCAAATATTGATAGAGTACCTGCTGTGTGCCAGCCAGGCGCGGTGGCTCACGCCTGTAATCCCAGCACTTTGGGAGGCCGAGGTGGGCGGATCACGAGGTCAGGAGATCGAGACCATCCTGGCTAACACGGTGAAACCCCGTCTCTACTAAAAATACAAAAAACTAGCTGGGCGTGGTGGTGGGCGCCTGTAGTCCCAGCTACTCAGGAGGCTGAGGCAGGAGAATGGCTTGAACCCAGGAGACGGAGCTTGCAGTGAGCTGAGATCGCGCCACTGCACTCTAACCTGAGTGACAGAGCAAGACTCCGTCTCAAAAAAAAAAAAAAAAAAAAAAGAGTACCTGCTGCCTGCTGTGTGCCTGGTCCCCTTCTTCTAGACACTAGGGATACAGGGGTGAGTGAGACACTCAAAACGCCTAGCCTACTCAGCACCCACATTCTAGGAGGTGGGAGGACAGACACGAAACAGAAACCAGAGAATGTGCAATAAAACTTCAGGTGGAACTAGGTGCTTCCGGAAGAAAAATGAGGCAGGTTAAGGGACTACGGAGGGATGGAGGGGACCTTGCTGGATAGTGGGGGCTGGGAAGGCTGCTCTGAGAAAGTGACAATGAGGAGAGGCCTGAGCTATAAGAATGAATCAGGCAGGCACAGATTCCAGGGCAGGAGGGCCACCAAGAAGGAACAGCCAGTGCAAGGGCCCTGAGCAGGGAAAGCAGCAGTGCCCACGGTGATGGAATGGGACGTGCCTTTACCTGGACTCCCCTTCATTGCAGCGATCCTGCCCCTCAACAGCTCACTCCTGAAGGCGTAGTCATGGGCTCCCTGACCCCTGCTCACCAGAAGGCAGGAGGCAGTGGGGCAATGTTGCTGGGCCCTGCTCAGGAAGGTAGAGGGGAAGTCTGCAGAGAACAAACTGCCTTTTTTTTTTCCTTTTTTTTTTTTTTTTTTTTTTTTGAGATGGAATCTCGATCTCTCGCCCAGGCTGGAGTGCAGTGGCGTGATTTCGGCTCACTGCAACCTCCATCTCCTGAGTTCAAGCGATTCTCCTGCCTCAGCCTCCCAAGTAGCTGGGACTACAGGCGCCCACCACTACGCCCGGCTACTTTTTGTATTTTTAGTAAAGACGGGGGTTTCACCATATTGGCCAGGCTGGTCTTGAACTCCTGACTTTGTGATCTGCCCACCTCTGCCTTCCAAAGTACTGGGATTACAGGCGTGGGCCGCTGCACTTGGCCCAAACTGCCTTTTTTCATTGTGTTGGTGAATGCGTGCAGAGATGGAGGTCTGCTTTCCAATCTTACAGGAATTTGCTTTTCGGTGAAAAGGAAGGAATTGATGAACACAAACAGCCTTGTGGCCCCTGTTCAGAGAAAGCCAATGGAAGTTGGTGGAAGACCAAACCACTCCTTTCTGTTCCTTAGAACCACGGGGCTGCCCACCACCGGGCAAGTGTCTGGCTTGTGAGAGTGTTCTGACTTTTCTGCAGAGAACTTCAGGTCTCATTGTCCCATAGAGCAACTTTGACCATTGCCCAAATAAATCCTTGGATCTGGCTGGTTAACAGCAGCTCTGTTGCTAATAAATCCTTTGAAATCTTTTGCCTTGTGTTTTTCATGACATATTTGCATGTCAGGATCATTTGGGTTTTGGAGTTGCGGTCTCCTGCTGTTCCTAACGTCATAAACGGATAGTAATAACCCAGGAGGGGATTATGTTTTGGGGTTGCAAGTAGATGAGCTTTAAAAACATTAATCTTATTTGTGGGCAAATATGGCTAATGATAGACTAGGGAAAACAAAATAATTCAAAATCTGCAATGAATGCTTGGTTATTTCCAAAGGGCCTGCTTTTTAATGAAGTGCAGTAAATAATGAAGAATAAGAGGGGAAAAAATGTAGAAACAGCATCCCAGGAGTTTCTTGGTGGTGTTGTTTTTGTTGTTTTAATAAAAATTAAAATAGACAAACCAAGGCAAGGGAGTAGCATTGACCTCCACTCCCAAGTGGGGCTGGGGCTGGACCTCAGGGCTGGATCCTATCTGTGGGTCACTGGTAAAAGCAAACCTCCATTACTGGGGTTCTCTGCGATGGGTGACTTTGCCCCAGGGGACACTGGCAATGTCTGGAGACATTTTTGGTGTCCCTGGGGGTGCTAAACATCTAACAGTGCACAGGACGTCCTCTCTTAACAAATAATTATCCAGGCCATGCGTGTTGCTTTATGCCTGTAATCCCACCTGTCTGGGAGACCCAGGAGGGAGGAACACTTGAGGCCAGGACCAGCCTGGGCAGCATAGCAAGACCACCTCTACAAAAAAATTTTAAAAATTAGGCAGGGGTAGTTGCATGCATCTGTAGTCCCAGCCACTTGGGAGGCTGAGGCAGGAGGATCACTGGAGCCCAGGAGTTTGAGGCTGCAGTGAGCTATGATTGTGCCTCTACGCTCCAGCCTGGGTGACAGAGTGAGACCCTGTCTCAAAAAAAAAAAAAAAAAAAAAATAAGATCTATCCAGCCCCTAATGTCAATGGTAGGGAGAAACTCTGCTTCCTGGCTGCCCCCTGTCCTGGCCTCATCTCCCGTGTGGATTGGCTCTTGCCACACTTTCCTGGGAGTTATTTCATCTCAAAGTGAAGCCTGCAAGGGGCCTTAACATTATCTAATACTAAGTTTTACTGATAGGACTTGCAGGACTTCACATAGATTGAATGGCTTTCCAAAGTTCACAGTAACAGAGGTGGGATCAATCAACAGGAAAAATTATTAGGAGCATTTGTAAAAGAAGAGGCTTTACAGGCTTTTTACATTCTACTCTTGGATGCTTACTTTGCTGATGCTTACAAGAACTGTTTGTTGAGTGTCTGTTACCATCTATCTGCTCTGCTACCATCTATCACCCGAAGAAACATGAAGGCTGTCTTAAATGGGCCGTAAAATAATAATAATAGTAATAATAATGTTGAGAACATTTGCTGAGTGTTTACTCTGAGCCAGGACTATACTAAACCTTTTAATAAATCCTGGATCTCATTAAATCCTCTCCACGACCCTGCAAGCAGGCACTATTAATGTTCCCATTTTACAGGTGATAAAACTGAAACGCAAGGAGCTTAGGAAGCAGCGGGTGAGGAATCTGAGCCTTGCTCTTCTGGATTGCAGAGCGGGCACTCCTAACTGCTAAGCTCACCCCTTTTCCTCCCTGATGCTTAGCAATTCAGTTGTTCCTGTAGTTAGGAGGCATTGTTTTCAGGGTGTTTGAACCTAAACTCAAGGAGAAGAAATGTACATACATCCTTCTGGCTCACACTGCTCAGGCCATCAGTGGGGTTTTTGCCAGTGTTTTGGTTGCTGCTGGTTTTGGATTTTTCAGTCATATCAGGACTTTAGTTTGACTTCCACAAATACTTTTGGTGAAGATTTACTGTGCCCAGGAGGTAGCTAAACATTGGGGGTTCAGCACTGAGCAAAATACTTGTCTTAGTTTGCGTTTATTTTATTTTATTTTATTTTATGAGATGGAGTCTCGCCCTGTCGCCCAGGCTGGAGTGCAGTGGCGCGATCTCAGCTCACTGCAACCTCCGCCTCCCGGGTTCAAACGATGCTCCTGCCTCAGCCTCCCGAGTAGCTGGGATTACAGGCACCCGCCACCACGCCCGGCTAATTTTTTAAATGTATTTTTTAGTAGAGACGGGGTTTCACCATGTTGGTCATGCTGGTGTCGAATTCCTGACCTCGTGATCCGCCCGCCTCAGCCTCCCAAAGTGCTGGGATTACAGACGTGAGCCACCGCGCCCGGCCAGTTTGCGTTTCTTTTAAAGCAGACCTTGAGATGAGGATTTGGGGTAGGAAGTTTGCTTGGGTACAGAAATGAGGAGGAAGAGGGAGGTAACAGAAAAGGGAGAGAGCTGACAAAGGGTGTGCTCATGAGGCAACTGCGGTGACAGCCAGGGCTCAAGCCCTCTGTGGATCGCTAAGAGTCTATGTGGAACACATCTCAGAATTGCCCCACCAAGACCCCTGGACTCAGGGTTACCTATCAACTCCCACCCTTATTCCTTCATTGGGTGCAGGTTGCTTTTGGGGGCACGATTCCTTGGTACCTCCCAGGCCTGAGAGCACCCCCAGGGAGAGAGGCAGAACTGTCCTTAGGTGATCCAGGCAGGGTGGCTTGGGAGCTAGGACCACGATGTCTGCTACAATCCATTCCTACTCTCGAGGAACTCTCAGTCCTGTGGGCCAGGAGGATTCACAGAAGTCAGTCACAGTACAGTCAGACAATGGGAAGATAAGTGCAAGGAATGGAGTACAACCAAAAAGAGATGATGATTTCATCAGGGGCATTAAGGAGGGCTTTCCAGAGGAGGTGACATAGAAAGGGTAAGAGCAGATTGAAAATAGTTCCCTGTTATCAACGTCTTCCTTATTCTCACTGCTAGGGCATAGTGTGTGTAACGCTGTGTCCATGGTTGCTGGCATTTGTTGTCTGAGAGCTTTGAAGGCTTCTTTTCCTGTGCAATGTCATGTCAGGACACTCCTGTGGTCAGCATCAGGACTGGGAGCTGGCGTGCTGTGCTCATAGCAGCGGCACAACCTCTAAGCCATTGTCCTTGAAGTTGTGTCTCGAAGAGCCTGGTGCCAGTCCCACGGCCCCCCACATGCACTAGTGCGGCCCTCCTTCACATTCAGATCATGGTTGCTCCTGCTGTGAAATCTTGGGCAAGTGGCCAGCCTGGCTGAGCCTGAGTTTCCTGATGACTATCCAAGGCCAGGCACCCGCGGCCTCCACTAATGCTTCTCAATGCAAAATTCGAGAAACCAGAAAGCCTGCATGCAGATCACATGGAGAGCTCGTTCAACACCGATTCCTGGGGCCCACCCCTGCAAAGGCTCTGAGTCTGTAGTTATGCGGTCAGGTCTGAAGCTTTGCATTTAAAGGGCTTGCCTCTCTGCTGAAGCTGCTGGTCTGCAGTCCTCACCTGGAGGGGTGGAGCTCTAGGACCTCTCCTCAGTTCTCTCCTGGATGTTTTCACCTAGATCAGGGGATTCTCAGCATTAGCAATTCTGATGCCTGAGGATGGATAATTGTTGTGGGAGCTGCCCATGGACAGTAGGAGGTTTAGCAGCATCCTTGACCTCTACCCACTAGGTGCCATTAGCACCTCCCAATAGTGATGACCAAAAATGTCTCCAGACATTGCCAGGCATACCCTAGGAGGCAAAATCACTCCACCTCGAGAACGACTGTCCTAGATGTTCTGGAATACTGCTTCTCAGACTTGAATGTATGTAGGAATCACCTGGGGGTCTTGTTAAAATGCAGATTCCAATCGGTAAGTCTGGGGAGGGGCCTGAGAGTCTGCATTTCTGTTGCCCTCCTCGCCAAAGCTGCTACAGCCAATTGGTGGGTCACCCTCTGAGGAGCAGCAATCTACACTCCAGTGGGTGGTATGCTTTGGCTGGACCCAAAGGCTCAAAGGTGTACCTGCCAGTGTGGGATTTGGCCAGTCCCTCTAGTTCCCTCTGATTCCCCCAGGCTAATGGAATCCATGGCTGCTGCTTCTCTTCCCCTGCCAACCCCACCTCCAGCCCAGGGCCTCCTGCCCCACTTGTCCAGGGAGAAGCTAGCCTTCCTTTCAAAAGCGACAGGAAGTCAGTGTTCCTTCAGGGTGCATAAGGATCTCTCGGGCCCTCTCAGTACCCAAATAACCCACTTTGGAGTCTAGTATTTTTTCTTTACTCAGAATTTCTAAAGAGGAAAATAGGAGGAAGGGCACCTTCCTTATGGACAGTGACAGGCACAGGTCTGCCAACCTGAAATTCTAGGAGGTTTAGAGGAAATTGTCTCTGTGCAGTAGGGTGAGCAGGTGGTTCTCAGAGACAAAGAAGAAGCAATTATGGAACATGAAGGGCCTAAGGCATATGGGGTTGGACAGAGCGGGGGCTCCCTTTACATAACACTGAACCCCAGGAATTATTCTGATAACGAAACACTTTGTAGACTTCTAGAAATGCTGTCACTTTGCCCATTGTTATTTTTAGCCATTGTTTCCTTATTGGGAATAGGAAACATTCTTAGGAGACCTTTTTTCCATGGTTTAGTGAGAAGGTTTGAGATACTACGGGGAAAGAAAAGTGGCTACTGCCCTGTAGAGCTCCTGTACGGAAGGTACTCAGGTGTGAGGAAAGGGGAAGGGGCAGCTGACCTCTAAAAGTCAGTGGCAGGGCTCCCCTGGGACATCTCAGGTGGGAACGTGGGCTCTTTTCCAGAGCGACACGCTTCCCTCTGACCACTGGTTCTGTGGGGCTGTGAGGACAGGCCCGCCCTGCACAGGACAGTTCTGTACTCTGCACAATACAGAGTGAGTATGTATGTGTTGATGTGAGGGAGTCTTCCCCATTTCATGTTTGTATGGGGGAATGCACTGCGAGCTCCAAAATGCCAGCTGTTACTTTGGGACAAGTCACCTGCCTGGACCTGGGATGCCATGTTTGATAAGTCCTACCTAGAACAAGAGGTTATGGCTCCTTGGTTTTCCCATAGGAAGGGTGTGTGTGCATGAGGTGAGTTGGGGAAAGATTGGTGTGGGATAGAGCAGATGGGGATTAGTTAGTGCTACAAACTGAATGATTTTGTCCCCCAACTTTATATGTTGGAACCTCAGTCATCAATGGGATGGTATTACGAGCTGGGGACTCTGGGAGGTAATTAGGTCTCGAAGATAGAGCCCTCACAATGGGATTACTCCCCTTATAAGAAGAGATACTAGGCAGGGTGCAGTGGCTCACACCTGTAATCCCAGCACTCTGGGAGGCAGAGGCAGGTGGATCATCTGAGGTCAGGAGTTCAAGACCAGCCTGGCCAACATGGTGAAACCTTGTCTCTACTAAAAATACAAAAATTAGCTGGGTGTGGTGGTGCACACCTGTAATCCCAGCTACTCGGGAGGCTGAGGCAGGAGAATCACTTGAACCCGGGAGGCAGAGTTTGCAGTGAGCTGAGATCACGCCACTGTACTCCAGCCTGGGCAACAGAGCAAGACTCCGTATCAAAAAAAAGAGAAAAGAGTTACCAGAGAGCTTGGTTCCTCTCTCTCTTCACCATTGAGGTCATAACCAGGAGGAGAGCCCTCAACAAGAACTGAATCTGCCTGAGCCTTGATATTGGACTTCCCAGCCTCCAGAACCATGAGAAATACATTTCGGTTGTTGATAAGCCACCCAGTCTACAGTACTTTGTGATAGCAGCCCAAGTGGACTAAGCCAGTCAGGAAGATGGCTTAGACCAACAGGCTTCAAATACAGTCTGTGAAAAGACAGGTACCGGTCAGCAGTGAAGTTTCAGTCTAGTGAGAAATGAGAAAAATCGAGTCAAGAGAGTGACTAATGAGTAAGCTAATTACTCACTTTAAAGAACAGAGCTTTATGCTACACTTATGGCCTTTCTCCTTTGGAGGAACTTGAACTGTCTTGTCATTAATGAGAGTATGGTGTTTCTCAATGATATTTATTTAGTATCTTTATTAGCCAAAACCAAAAACACTTAGAAATAGTTTGGTTCCAAAAATAATTTGTAAAATGTTTATTGGCCTGTGAAAGCCAGATGTCTAGAAACCGCTGAATTGGGCAATTAGAACAGTGAAGGCGCAAGATGAGAGCAGTCTGGTCTTGGGTGGTGGCTGTAGGAGGGGAGGGAGGACAAGATAGAATTTTGTGGCTGACTGGATGCCTCTGAATCTGGGCGACTGAGAGTGATGATGGGACCTTTTATGGAAATGTGTAAGTTGGAGAGGGAACAAGTCTGGGGACAAATGAAACACTTGGGAGTCATAAAACATGAATGGCTGCTCTTTGTGGCGGGTATGGTACTGTGAGCTCTATTTTCCATTATTTCATGTAATCAATGTGACCGCCCTTCCAGGTGGGGGCTGTTGTTGCCTCGGTGTTACAAATGAGGGCAGAGAGAAGGAGAGGCACATTGTCCTCTGACCCAGGGGGGTGGAGGACTCAAGTGTGGGACTGTGGGATCACGAAGCCCCAGAAGGCACCAGATCCCTGTTCTGTGCTAACCACCCTGTATGTGGGAACCGGGTGCTGTGGAGTGGATGGGATCTGAGGAGAGAGGATGGAAAGGATGAGAACAGAGCTTAGAGTAAGAAAATATTTGGCTGGGGGACCCAGAAACCCTCAGATCCTGTCTCCTATCAGCCAATCCTCTAAAAGATGATAGATAACAGGGTCCACAGAGGGCATTGGCTGGCAAGTGGGACCATTTATTTCTGGGCACTTTTGCTCTCATTGTGCAGCTCTTTGCGTCAGTGTTGGAGGTAGGCTGAAGCCCCAAAGCTGGTAGGCTCGTGGGCTCCTTCTCCCCGCTCCCACCCATTTTCCAAGTCTGCCCTGAGTTCTGGATCTTACAGTAGGAAGGAAAGGCTGTGCTGGCCATGCCCACCAGCAGGAAGCAAAGCTTGTGGAAAGGCCTTTGGTAAGATGGCCTCAGCTGCCCAGCTCAGGGCTGCTCAGGCCCTGTCTGCGTTGGCTGCCAATCCTATCAAAGGGATAATAATAATAATAGTAGCAATGATTTTGATCTAGGCATTGTACTAAGCACTTTGCATGGAATAGAAAAAATGCTCCAAGAAAGAAACAAGCCAGAAAAGCAGTTGTTCCAGAATAGGTGCCCTTTCCACTAAGGCCTTGCACTCCAGAATCACGTGGCCCAATCGATGTCTTACATTCTATCAGTCCTTATCAGCATTCTTATCCCTTGAAGGACTTTTTTATTTTTTTATTTTTAGACGGGCTCCCACTCTGTCACCCAGACTGGAGTGCAATGGAGTGATCTTGGCTCACAGCAACGTCCACCTCCTGGGCTCAAGTGATCCTCCAACCTCGGCCTTGCAAGTAGCTGGGATGGGACTATGGGCACGCACCACCATGCCCAGCTAATTTTTCTATTTTTGGTAGAGACACTGTTCTACCATGTGGCCCCGGCTAGCCTCAAACTCCTGGGCTCAAGCAATCTGCCCTCTTAGGCCTCCCAAAGTGTTGGGATTACAGGCGTGAGCCACCGTGCCCAGCCTCCTTGAAGAACTTTGAATTCCTTACCCATAAAAACTTAGTTGAGCGCTCTATGTGTTCCCAATTCATCACAGGAAAGGAAAATGCCTATTTTATACTCTTAAGTTTATCCTTTGAACAAACATTGGACTGGCCATGAGTTAGCCTTAAGCTTTTTTCATTCATTCATTCATTTATTCATGTATTTATTTATTCATTTAACAAGAGCTCATTAATCACTCAGTGTAAATCCACAGCGCAGAGGGTGAAATAAACAAAAGTGTCCAGTATGATCCCTGTATTTCAAGCACTCATAGGTCTTAACCTACTTGAAAAGACAGAATGCACAGGATTCAATGGACAGCACTCTTGTTCTGACACATACACCGAAGGCCTCAGAGGTCAGAAGGAGTGACAAGTGGACGAGAGGGACTGAGAGAGGCAGCATGCACTTGAAATAGACTTGAAGGCCAGAGAGATTGGGGTATGATGGAGATTGTGGGGAGGGCAGGAAGAGACATTGTAGGAAGATGAGCAGAAATATAACAGCAAAAGAAAGGGACTTGTAGAACAATTTCTTTGCTTTCTCTTTTTTTTTTTTTTTTGAGACAGAGTCTCGCTCTGTCACCCATGGCATGATCTTGGTTCACTGTAACCTCCGCCTCCTGGGTCCAAGCGATTCTCCCTCCCTCAGCCTCCCGAGTAGCTGGGATTACAGGCATCCACCACCACGCCCTGCTAATTTTTGTATTTTTAGTAGAGACAGGGTTCACCATGTTGGCCAGGCTGGTCTCCAGCTCCTGATGTCAGGTGATCTGCCCGCCTCGGCCTCCCAAAGTGCTGGGATTACAGGTGTGAGCTACCACGGCCGGCCCTGTAGAACAATTTCAAGTGACTCGTCTAAGGCATACGGCTTCCCCAGAGGAGATTTTTAAAAAGGGGGGTTTGGCTTTGAGGACTGCTTTCCCCAAGGCCAGAGACATGGCGGATCCTATTCCTTCCCCTGCCAGGTGACTTAACTCACTCCCTTGTTGTAGGCCTTTGTGTCCCCTCGATAGGGTCAGCCCTATGAAAAAAGGATGAATCTACCTAGGAGCAAGGCCCTGCTTGGGGAAAAACAACCAAAATGAAAAGTGGTTCATGGCTGATAAGAGCTGAAAGCTTTGAAAGCTTCAGTTGCCAGGAAGGGTTGCATTACTGTCAAGCCGAGGCGGTGGGGAATGACAGCGGATTATTGTGTCCTGCCCTCCCTAGCCTTGCACTGGGTTTCAGGGGAGCTTCTGGGACAAAACCATTCGAGAGTGAGACCCTGTCTCTAAAAAAAATTTTTATTTGTTTAAAAAGGAGGTATATCCGGCCGGGCGCAGTGGCTCACGCCTGTAATCCCGGCACTTTGGGAGGCCGAGGCGGGCGGATCACGAGGTCAGGAGATCGAGACCATCCTGGCTAGCACGGTGAAACCCCGTCTCTACTAAAAATACAAAAAATTAGCCGGGCGTGGTGGCGGGCGCCTGTGGTCCCAGCTGCTTGGGAGGCTGAGGCAGGAGAATGGCGTGAACCCCGGAGGCGGAGCTTGCAGTGAGCCGAGATTGCGCCACTGCACTCCAGCCTGGGCGACAGAGCGAGACTCCGTCTTAAAAAAAAAAAAAAAAAAAAAAAAAAAAGGAGGTATATCCATGTGATGGAGTACTATTTAGTGATAAAAAGAAATGAGCTATTGACACATGCAACAATGTGGATGAATCTCAGGATCATTATGCTGAGTGAAAGAAGCAAGACAAAAAAGAGTACATACGGCATAAATGCACTTATATATAATAAAATTCTAGAAAAGGCACGCTGATCTTTAGGGGTAGAAAGCAGACCAACGTTTAGGGGGTCGAATGGGGATGGTAGGACAGCAGCAGAGGAGGAAGGGGGGAGGACCAAGGGAAGGGAGGGACTTTGGGGGCTAATGAGTATGTCCGTTATCTTAGTTGTAAAGATGGTTTCATGGATAATGATGGTTTTATATATAACCATATGTAAAGATGGTTTCATAGGTTAAAAGTTAGCAAACCTGTATGCTTTAAATATGTGTGGTTTATTACATGTCAATTATACATCAGTAAAGGTCTTTATAAGGACTCCAGACATGGGGGACAGATGGTCAGCGAGCATTTCCCTAGGGCAGGCCTTGTGTGTTGCAGGTTGGATTCCTGGGGAAGCCAGCTTCTAGTGAGAATACCCTGGAGGAAGCTCCTGGCCAGTACCCATGTGATGAGACCAGCTGCAGTGCATCCGCCAAGGACTCAGCCTACTCCCACTCACCCCAGAGCTCTGGGCTAGCACAGCCCTTGAGAGTTGTGATCTGAGATCCAAGGCTCTATGTCCCTACGTTGGAAGCAGCAGCCGCTGAGGGGAATTCCCTGAGAGAGCTGGCACCTGAGAGCCTTGTGGTGCTACTTCTGGAGCCTGGGGACAGTCAGTTCTGGTGGGGGACGTCTGGAGCCTGGGGACAGTCAGTTCTCAGGGACAGCTGGAGCCTGGGGACAGTCAGTTCTGGTGGGGGACGTCTGGAGCCTGGGGACGTCAGTCTCTAGGGTGATTCATCACAGCACCCCCTACAGCCTGGGTGTTTTCAGTGGAATTTCTTAATTAATTTATTTATTTATGAGACAGGGTTTCTCTCTGTCGCCCAGGTTGGAGTACAGTGGCACAATCTCGGCTCACTGCCTCCTGGGCCCAAGCCATCTTCCCACCTCAGCCTCTCGAGTGTCTGGGACTATAGGTGCTCGCCACCACACCTGGCTAATTTTTGTATTTTTTGTAGAGACAGGATTTCACTATGTTGGCCAGGCTGGTCTTGAACTCCTAGCCTCAAGCAATCTGCCCACCTTGGCCTCCCGAAGTGCTGGGATTACAGACAACAGCCACCATGCCCAGCCTATATTTCTTTTTTTTCCCCCCTTTTTAATTATGTCAAAGGGAAAAATAGCTAGGGTCCCACCTCATTAGGTAATTCTCCCCACTCAACTACTTTTTTTCTTTTAGACACTTCGTGATGTCAAAAAAATTTTCCCTGCCGGACTATTTGGGGAAGGGCGGTATGGGCAGGATAGTGGCCTCTGACTACAGAGCCCCCCTCCACTGAACTGACCAAGGAGAAAGGCTCTCTGTTTTGTGGGAGACACTTCTCAGGGTGTTATCTTCATAGTAAGATGAATTGACAGGTGCCTGTTCTTTTCCCTGCCCTTGACTGAAAGATCCATGCTGGATTGGCACAGATTCCAGGCTTCCTTATGGAAAGCAAAATATTCTTTCGCTTTTGCGAAGCAGCTTCTGCATAAAAATATTTCCAGTAGCTTATGTTTTCAAAAGGTTCCCTCTCCAAAGCTGAGGATTTTAAAAAGTGGGTTGAAAGGCGTGGTCTCTGAGGAGGACACTGAGTTTCCCTGCAGGTATCTTGTGGGGCATTGTGATCTGAAAAGATGCTTCTTGTTGTACTGTGTTGTGGTGTGTTGTGTTGAGTTGCATTTTTTATTTTTGTTTTATTTTTATTTATTTTCGAGACAGGGTCTTGCTGTTGCCCAGGCTGGAGTGCAGTGGTGCCATCTTGGCTTACTGCAACCTCAACCTCCCAAGTTCAAGTGATTCTCCTGCCTCAGCCTCCCTAGTAGCTGGGATTACAGATGTGCACCACCACGCCCGGCTAAGTTTTGTCTTTTTTTAGTAGAGACAGGGTTTTGCCATGCTGGCCAGGCTGGTCCCAAACTCCTGACCTCAAGTGATCTTCCAGCCTCAGCCTCCCAAAAGTGCTGGGATTACAGGCATGAGCCACCATGCCTGGCCTGAATATCAGATTTTTGAAGGTTCCCCCTGGAGGTTAAGTTTCTTAGATCCTGTAGTATTGAGACTATGTAAACCTAGGGTTATTAAACTCACCTTCCAAGTGTCTGTGGAATGCCTAAACTTACATAAAAGCACACAGTTTGTAGAATTTTGTCAAATCTTCGAACACCACAGTCCTCAAAATGTTTAGCTCCAAAAGGTTTAAATGCATCTTCTAGAGCATTTTTCTTGGATATCTGATATGGAATTATTTTATATTTATAATGCCTCGCATTCATGAAATGATTGAGAAGTCTTGTCAAGTCCTCACTCATTCATTTGCTCTTTAATTCATTCATGGATGGAGTAGGTGTCACCAGAAAACTGAATGGACGGTGGGCTCGGGGAGGACAAGGCCCTCGGCTGATTGTCACAAGGATCTGCCTGGGTCCTAGGGGACAAGTCTGATGGTGACTCTAAGCTTCCCTTCACAGAAAGGCTCTTGTCAGATGGAAGGATGGAGCCGGTGGGGAAATGGCAAACTTTTGCTTGGTAGACATTGCAAAAGAAAGACTTCCATCCATCTATCTGATCAGAGAGGAAATTAGAAGGGTTCTGGGCTCAAATAAAATTTCCGAGACCAACTGCTAATGAGAGGTGAGGATGGCTGGCTGTGGGATTCAGCCTCCTAAGATTTGAGGAGGAACTTCGCACTTGGGAAGCCAATTTAAAAAAAAAATACTCCTCATTTATGCCAGCCTCAGGAAGCTAAGTCTTCCTCTGCTGCCTTGAGGGGCTGGAATCGACCTGCATGTGGCTCCCGTTTCTGTGGCCAGACCCTGGTGGTGAACACATTTCAGGCAGCCAGAAACAGGCTTGTTGTGGCTCTGCAGCCAGACCTGCCAGCCTTCTCGTCAGGACGTGCGAGCTTAATTATTCCACTGCCCTCTGGAAATGATGCCGGCTTGTCCTTGAAATCCCTGACCGGGCGCCAGGCCCTGCTGGATTTGTAGATGCTTCCTGTTGTGGGTGCACGGAACCTCTGCCCAGCCCAGCAGCTTTTTCCCTGCAGCTCTGAGAGATGCCTGCCCCACAGCAACGGCCGCAGATCTAGCTTGTGCTTCCCTATACGGCCTTGCCCCTCGGACAATTGCTGACTGTGGACACCCATTCTGGGGACTGGCCAGATCTGAATTCCTTCCCAAGATCCCCCCACCTACCCCCACCCAACTTTCTTGTCCTCAAGTCAACACCTGTAAAATAATTCCCACCATATATGCAAATAATTTTGCTTTTTCCATGAATGGAGACCATTGCCAGATATCACTAAATGCTTCTGAATATGGGGCTGCAACTTGGATGGAAAATTACTGTTTTTTTCTTTCAACATGTAATGAACATTAAAGGCTTATGACTGTTGATTCATCAATACTTATAACATGTTTTATTTGTTTTTGTTTTTACTTTGTTTTGTTGAGACAGAGTCTCACCTTGTTGTCCTGGCTGGAGTCCAGTGGCACAATCTCGGCTCACTGCAACCCCCGCCTCCCAGGTTCAAGCAATTCTCATGCCTCAGCTTCCCGAGCAGCTGGGATTACAGGCATGTGTCACCATACCCAGCTAATTCTTTGTATTTTTAGTAGAGACGAGGTTTCGCCATGTTGGTCTGGCTGGTCTTGAACTCCTGACCTCAAGTAATCCACCAACCTCGGCCTCTCAAAGTGCTAGGATTACAGGCGTGAGCCTATACATATGTATAGGTTCCTCATATACATATACACATTATATATGTATAATATAATATATATAATATGTGCGTATGTGTCTATGTCTATCTTCCTGTCAACACCTCTCCTACCATATTGGATCACAAAATGCTATGTGGAAGAGTTTTCGAAACTATAAAACTTCTCAAAAGTTAGTTCTTATAATAAAAAGTTTACCTTAAGACAAGTTAAATGAGAGTTTGAAGATACTGACAAGCTGATTTTAGCAACTGTGTTTGCTCTCAGGGCATGTGATGCTTTTGGTGACCATAGAGACTCCATTTAAATACCCCCAGCTCCCTTGAGCTAGTTTCTCCTAAGAAAGGAATAATACGTTTAAAAGAAGGAATGCTGGAGAGGAGTTTACTCCAACTAAATATATTGTAGTGGCATAGCTTAGATTCCTTACCAGAAGCGGAAAATGCATAGTATAGGACCAAAAGAGGGCTGTAATTTTTTTTGGAACATCGCATTCTTTCTTCTCCCTAAGACGCATAGATAGATATAATTATATGATTGGAAAATTAGACCCAAGTGGCGAGTTTAAAGGAACTGGGGCTGGTTAAACTAGAGGCGAGAGCGAGGGTAGCAATGATGGTCTGAAGCAGCTGCTGTGTGTTTCCTGGAGGACCCACGGGGAGGGGGAGAGCTACTACACAAGCTTCGCAGAGGGGCTTAGGCAGGGGTCAGTGTTTGAATTGGACACTCTCGTGTCTGTGGTCTGTTTTAAGTTTGGGTGTGCAAGGCCAATATGAACAGTTTTCTTTCTTTCAAGTCCGTGGTTAGGGCAAACTGTCCCCCGGGAGAATGTCGGTGCCTTAGTTGATAGCTTTGTGTTTCCGGAAGCCTGGCTTCCAATAAAGGTGGTTAATTGGGAGAAGTGGAATGGTACATTCTTGCTTTCCAATTAAGAACAAGGCTTCATTACAACAAATAAGGCCAGCACAATCCAATACTATTAACTTTGTATTTAAATAAGAGTGTAATTTTAAAGGTTAAAGAAATGTGAAAATAAGCACTAATCCCCATTTAAAGTTCTTAATAATGGTTTAATTGAACTCTGTTAATTTTCTCCTCCAAGATTAAATAGAACTAGCGCATTCTCAGTCTTTCGGCTGTGTGTGTGTGTGTGTGTGTGTGTGTGTGTGTGTGTGTGTGTGTGTGTACATGGTTTACACATTTTGGGATTTCAGGACAGCTAACCCTCAAAAGCCCTGCAGGTGAATTTTTACGTAGACCAAGACGCTCCATTTCCACCACAAGCTACCTTGTACCTTTTGTATCCTCCACCCCTCCCTTTCCCCTGACTTTCCAGCCATAAGCTTACGCAGAAAGACCCCTTCTCCCGATCATGGGGAGTGTGCACACCAGCTGTGTGAACCCCGTGACACTCTCACCGCCCCCAAGTCAGATGGGAGTCATTTTTCTCTGGACCTGACCAGTACTCTGACTTTATCTCTTTGAGGCCATCTCCCCCTGACCCCTGCCATCTGGTGTTTGCTAGTAATTTGCATTCGGCCCTTAAGTTTTGCTCATTAAACACCCTCCTTGGCAGCTCTGTGGCTCCCCTGCAACTTTTACAGCTTGGCTTTGGGTACAGGCTGCTTCCAACAGAGCCTGAAGGTACAAAATCTCAGTGAGATCAGAATGTTAAAAAAAAAAAAAAAAAAGAAAGAAAGAAAAGAAAACGAATTAGAAAAGAAGGTCATAAGATTGTCCTGTAGATTTAAAGTGATTTGTCCACAGTCTTAGTGGGGATGTGGGATCATATTCTTTGAAGTTTTATTTTCTAGTAATATTTGTAAGGGTGCTTTAAAAAAATACATTCCAAGAAGTATAAAGAAAACAAAAAGGTGACCCATAATTTCACCGTTCAAATAGTCCCTACTGGTTTTTTTAAATGGAAAATATGTACATGGTTACAAAATTCAAACTACTTTGGGAATGATAAAAGATGAAAATCAAAAGACTTTGTACATGGACACTCATACATTTACATAGAAGGATAATAAAGCACAAGAAGTTCTGTTTGCTAATTTTTCACATAACGTGCCTGGGAGATAGTTTGATATCAGCTCATAAAGGTTTCCTGCATTTTTTGTATCCTCTGCAAAGTAGTCTGTCTTATGGACGTTTGATAATTTATTTAACCAGTCTGCTGTTGAGGCAGGCTTTGCTTGTTTCTAATTTTTTACTGCAAAGAGTCTGCAGCGGACATCCTTGTACCTACATCCCAGGAAATTCTCGTATGTATATCTGTTGAATAAATTAATCCAAGTAGTAGGATTACTGGAACAAAGTCAATATGTATTTTAAATTTGATACCCAGTGCCATATTGTCCCTAAGAAAGGTTGCACAAATTTACACTCCCACCAAGAGTGTGGGAGAGCCATTTGCCACATAGACTCACCAGTATTTTTTTTTTAATTTTTGATCCATTTGGAAGTTATTTGGGAACTTGAGTGTTTTTCCCCAAAAGCAAAGGCAATTGCCTCAACACCAGTTATCAAAGGATCCCTACAGATCTATTTTCCCTGTAGATCTGAAATGCTGTCTTCATTGTATCTTTTGCTGATGCCCCCGTACAAATTTACAGGTGAGCTCCATCCTCCTGTAGCAGCCACCTGCCTACTGACAGTCCTACTTGGGTGTCTGATAGGTGTCTCAAGTGATGGATGGATATGACAGTAGAGTCCTTGATTTACTGTCCCATGGCCCCTGCTCATCTTCTCTTTCTTGATTGATGGTGCCATCATCTACCCAGTTACTTTGACCAAAGCAATGGGAGTCATCCTGGATTCCTTTCTTTTTCTCCACTTCTAAGCCATCAGTATACTGGCACTGTGTTAAAGCCATATTTCAAACCAGACCACTTGTCACCATTCCTGTCACTTCTACCTCTTTTATCCCAACATCACCTCTTGGGTAGACCATTGCAAACTGGAAGTGCATTTCCAGAATATTCTTGTTGGTATAGAACCCTCTGTCTACATAGTAGCTAGAGCAGTTTTTTTTTTTTTTAGATGTTAAACAGATACATCGCTCTGCAAACTAAAACCCTTTAAAGTGTTTTCCATCTCAATTAGAATAGAATTCATAGTCCTCACCAGCCACTGCAAGGTTTATATAATCTAGCCCCTGCCTATCTTCCTTGCCTCTTCTCTGTTACCCACAACCTGCTTTTTGTTTCGTGATGTGTGAACTCATTTCAACCTTAGGGTCTTGCTCTTGCCTCTTCCTTTGCCTAGAATGCTTTTCCCTTGTCCTAGATCATCTGTGTTATGCTAGTTTTTAGGTCTCAACTCATGTCACCCCCGTTGCCCTTTATCTCATTGTCTTGCTTTATTTTCTCTAAAACACTTGGCACTATGTAGATGTTCTTATTTATTTACTTATTTAAGGGTAGAATCTTTATCTGTTTTGCTTGGTGCCAATTATTCAACATGTTGAATAGTGCCTGGCACCTAGCAGGCACTGGAGCCTATTTCTGGAATTTCATGTTGCACCATTGCCCTCTCTGTTTGTTCTCCATTACTAAATTCCTTTCATTATTGTAGCTTTATAAGTTTCAATGCTTGTAAGAGCAGGCGTTCTCTGCCCTACCCGCTTGACCCCCTTCTCTTTCCTAATTTTGCTGGCTATTATGGTTATTTTTCCAGAGGAGCTTTCTAAAAATACTCCTTGTTGGTATTTTAATTGGGTTTACATTGAGTTTATAGATTAATTTGAAGTAAAAAAAAAATCATTGAACCTTTTTATTTAAAAGCAAGCTAGACTTTTCTCTTAACATTTTCTTCCAGTTCCTCAACAGGTTTTTTAAAAGAACTTTGTAATATGGAAAACTGAGAACATACACAAAAGTTGTGAAAAGAGTAAAATGAACCTTCTTGTATCTATCACACAGCTTCTACACCATCAGCCCATGCTGCCTCGTCCGCATGCATACCCACTACCCTTCGCATTTATTTTATTATTATTATTTTTTGAGACAGGGTCTTACTCTGTCGCCCAGGCTGGAGTGCAATGGTGTTTTCTCAGCTCACTGCAACCTCTGCCTCCTGGGCTGAAGCATTCCTCCCACCTTAGCCTTCCGAGTAGCTGGGACTTCAGATGTGCACCACCATGCCTGGCTAATTTTTGTATTTTTTGTAAAAACGAGGTTTCACCATGTTGCCAAGGCTGGTCTCAAACTCCTGGGATCAAGCAATCCACCTGCCTTGGCTTCCCACAGTGGGATTACAGGTGTGAGTCACCGCACCCAGCCCATATTATTTTCAAACAAATCCCAGACATCGTCATTTATCTGTCAGTGTTTTTACTATGTATTTATGAAAGATGAAGACTTTTAAAAAATAGCCATAAGGTCAGGTGCAGTGGCTCACACCTGTAATCCCAGCACTTTGGGAGGCCAAGGTGGGCGGATCACAGGTCAGGAGTTCGAGATCAGCCTGGCCAACATGGTGAAACCCTGTCTCTAATAAAAATACAAAAATCAGCCAGGTATGGTCCCAGCTACCCTACTACCCTACCCTACTACCCAGGTAGTAGTCCCAGCTACTCGGGAGGCTGAGGCAGGAGAATCACTTGAACCTGGGAGGCAGAGGTTGCAGTGAGCCGAGATTGTGCCACTGTACTCTAGCCTGGGCGACAGAGCGAGTCTCCGTCTCAAAAAAAAAAATAGCCATAATACCATTATAATACAAAAATTTCATATTTCTTCATTGATAGTTTTTAAGTTATTTTCTAATAGGTTAGGCATGTTTCTTATTGAATATCTATATACATATTTTAATATATAAAAAAAGTTTTCTTTTTTTTTTCTTTCTGAGACGGAGTCTCACTCTGTTGCCCAGGCTGGAGGGCAATGGCGTGATCTTGGCTCACTGCAACCTCCACCTCCAGGTTCAAGCGATTCTCCTGCCACAGCCTTCCAGGTAGCTGGGATTACAGGCACCCACCACCACACCTGGCTGAATTTTTTTGTATTTTTAGTAGAGACAGGGTTTCGCCATGTTGGCCAGGCTAGTCTCGAACTCCTGACCTCTAGTCATCCGCCTGCCTCGGCCTCCCAAAGTGCTGGGATTACAGGCGTGAGCCACCGTGCCTGGCCAATATATATATTTCTTACCGAATATCCATATATCAAAGTTTTGATGTATCTATGTATCAAATCTTTTACAATATTTTTAGTTTCTATTGAAAATAGGGATATGGTTTTCCATTATATTTTTCAAACTTATTTTTGCATATATTACAATTAACTGTTTTCATATGTTAATTTCATAATCTGCTACCTTATTGAATTGTCTTTGTTTCTAGACTTTCCTAGGCTTTTCATACCTCTTTGGAGGGTTCTGGAACAAGGTTGGCAAGTGCCTAACCACTCGGAATCTCTGCTCACCTGCCATGCGTGCAGGGCTGTGGAGTTGGTGCTGTGAGCCTAAAGAGGACCCCAACGAGGCTGTTATAGACACCAGAGGGAATTTTATTCATCTGGGGTGGGACATAAAAAGAGGCAAAATGATACACTCATAGATATAAAAAAAGTTCATCAGTAAATCCAAGCTACATAAACAAGTTTCCAGAAAGAATTTCAGAGTATGGGAGTGTTCATACCAAAGTCAGGTTAATCAGTAAAGGCTCCCAGGAGCTGATGGACCAAGTCTGGCAGAGAAATGCAAGAGTGTATATGAGTCCACTCAGGCTTCCATAACAAAACACATTTCTGCCAAGTTCTCTGCCACTTTATTATCTATTTTTAAAAAATAAACCCATAGTACCTAAAAAATTACAGATGCACTTTGCCATGTTATGACAAACATGGCCTTTCCTCCAGTTTCCAGTAACATAGTTCTGATTTCTGTCTGAGACCTCACCAGAATGATCTTTAACATCCATATTGATGTTATTCAGTTTACGTCGATCTAGGCTTTTTCTAGCATGCACCTCCAAACTCTTCTAGCCTCTGCCCATTACTACCCAGTTCCAAAACTGCTTCCATATATTTTGGTATCTGTTACAGCAGCACCCCACTTCTTGGTACCAAAATCTATATTGATTTGTTATGCCATAACAAAATACCATAGACTGAGTGTCTTAAATAACAGAAAAGTATTTTGTCATAGTTCTGGAGGCTGGACATCTGAGATCAGTGTGCCAACACGGCCGGGTTCTAGCGAGGGCCTTCTCGGTTTGCCACCTTCTCTTCTCACTGTGTCCTCACGTGGCAGAGAGAGCGCGCTGATGTCTCTTCCTCTTCCTATGAGGGCACTAGTTCTATTGGATCAGGGTCCCACTCTCATGACCTCATTTAACCTTAATCACCTTCTTCTTGTCCCTGCCTCCAGTGCAGTCACATGGTGGGTTAGGGCTTAAGCATATGAATTCCAGGGGACACAGTTCAGGCCATAGCAATATTTAACCTTGGAACACAATTTCCTATTGGAAATCCTCAGGGCCTGAGCTGTTTTAGAACTCAGCTTTTTTTGAATCTTTAGAAAGGTCAAGCAGTATATATACTGTGTTACGTAACATATCCAGTGGGGTCTAGTGTAGCACCTCGCAAATAAATTAATATCTCAGCAGCCAAAAGTGGAACTATTACAAGAGTAGGATAAATAAAGATGATAAATGGCCTCAGGGTGGTTGAGATCAGGCAAAGTTTTGCTGTCAGATGTCTTACAAAAGAAAAAAAAAACTCAGTTGTCAAAGCTTTTTGGATCTGGAGTTGCAGATAGAAACTGTGGACCTATGAAAGTAAAGGCCCTGGTGAGACTAACCAAGTCCTCTGAGGAGTTCTTAAAGAGATAAATAGGGCTGGTCCACTTCTTTTCAGATTGGCTTCCACTGAATTAGTTGACCCAGGCTTTACAGTCTCCAGCTGTAAGCACGAAGAGCAAACCAGCACCTTGGCTTCTTATTGCTCCTTATCATTCTTTCCCCCTCTGTGGCAAAACCCACGGGGTCAGGTGCTGAGCTTCCAACCCATTGTCCTACGAGGTGACTCAGGGTAGGTGACGGATATGGTGCAGGCTGCACACACACGTGAGCACATGTGCACACACACATATCTGGGTCCTGGGGTGCTGAGGGGATTGCTCACCAGGCTGTCTTCTCACTCCAGAAAGCTGAGGAGAACCACCTTGGAGGTGCTGATTACCTCCTGCGTCCCCTCCCTTCCTTTTCTCCTCAATGAAGAGTGAATGAATATACTGCAGAGTTGACTTAATATTTGCTCTGCTTGAGAGCATTGGGTTTCCCCAAGCAGGGGGTGGTCAGCCAGGTCACAACAGGCCAAAACGACTCTTTTGGTTTTTGTTTCCTTTCCAGGCTCCCCTGGGGGTAATTAGCATTTCCCAAGCAGCAGCATCAAGGATGTTGCCCTGTATATGGAGGCTGGCCAAGAGCTGGGAGCTCAATGGCCTAGCATCTGTGGGATTCAGGATGGACTTGTCCAGACCCTATTTCCAGATGAAGCCACATGTATCCACAAGGTTTTTTGTTTTCTTGTTTTTTGGGGGGTTTTTATTTAGATAGAGTTTCGCTCTTGTCACTCAGGCTGGAGGGCAGTGGAGTGATCTTGACTCGCTACAACCTCCACCTCCTGGGTTCAGGCAGTTCTCCTGCCTCAGCCTCCTGAGTAGCTGGGATTACAGGCACTTGCCAGCATGCCTGGCTAATGTTTGTGTGTGTGTGTGTGTGTGTGTGTATACATATATACATATATATACATACATATACATATACACATACATACATATACACATATATATACATATACATATATATATATATATATTTTTTTTTTTTTTTTTTTTAAGTCGAGACGGGGTTTCACCACATTGGCCAGGCTGGTCTCAAACTCCTGACCTCAGGAGATCTGCCCGCCTTGGCCTCCAAAGTGCTGAGATTACAGGTGTGAGCCACCACGCCCAGCCTGCCCACAAGGTATTGCTGTACGAGCAAAACTATGTGTTAAGTCAACTAGCCCTTCATATGTATGTGATATGTCTAATAAGTTAAGAATATTGGTGTTAGATTTAGTCCCTAAAGTTCCAGCCATTTGGTCTGGATTCTACTGAGGCTTGTCATGGCTGATTGTATCCTTAGAGTCCTGGGTGGAGCTAACCCTGACCTTTAAGATTCTCTTCTCTGTTCCCAAAGAGGGTTCAAGACTCTTCTCTGGTGCACTGCCCTCTGGGCCAGGGAAACTTCTGGAAGGTTATGATGTTCTCCTTGTGAATCCAGTTTCCCATAATTTCTGTTCAAAAAGAAGGCAAAAGTACTCTGATATTTTTCTGCTCTGATAGTCAATGCTGAAGGGTCTCTGGGTGGGGTCTTGGCTTCAAAGTCCTTCCTTAGGAAGGAGAAAGAGAAATTCCCATAGGCCCATGTGAGCTATCTGGCGCTGGCAAACTCATCAAAACCGCTACTTGGGTCATTTGAAACGGCGTGTCCTGTCCCCACAGTTACTCATTCCCTGACTTTTACAAAGAGCCAAGTCTCAGAGACAAGTCTGGTAAAAAGATCATTTGGGATCAAAAGCAAGATCAACTCCTATGTGCAAATCCCTAAGGTGGTTGCAAATAAGGGAGACACTGTCAAAGTGCTTTTTGGTCTTCTACTTGGAGATAGCACCCTTAGAGGGTTGCATTTCTTCTGGGTCCAAACCACCCTGGCCAATTCCTCACTAAACTTCGGTTTGCTCCTCTGTTAAGTGAAAACAACTTGTGGAGTTGTTGGACAGCCTTGCCAAGTGTCTGGTGCCTGGAATGTGCTGTGCATGCTCAGGATGTGCTTAGGAAGGGCCATGGCAGATGACGAGGATGATGGTCAGGATGGTGTCCTGGGCATTTGTGTCCTGGAGCTGCAATGACAAATTTCCATAAACTGGGCGACTTCAACCAACAGACATCTGTTTCCCAGTTCTGGAGGCCCAAAGTCTAAAATAAAAGCTTTAGCAGAGACACGCTGCTTTTGAGACTGTCTTTGCATCTTCCAGCTCTGGTGGCCATCCCTGTTCCTTAGCTGTGGCCAGATCACTCTAGTGTCTGCCTCTGCGGCCATGTTGCCCCTCCTCTTCTCTGTATCTTCTCCTCTTTGTATCTCCATGTATCCTCCCTCTGCCTGTCTCCTAAGAATCCGTGTCATTCATTGCATTTAGGGCCCGCCTGGATAATCCAGGACAAGCACCTCCTTTCAAGATTCTGAAGCACATTTGCAAAAACTTTTTCCAAATAATGTAACATTCACAGGTTCTGGGAATTAGGATGCAAACATATTTTTTTGGGGGGCCACTGTCCAGCCCACTACACTCAGTGAATGCTACCCATGATGATGATGATGATGACCATGATGCCACTGCCAATACCAACACAAAGCAGTAAAAAGTACGGGCGAGTCTAGCAGGAGTGTAGGGCATGGACAGCAGTGGCACCACAGAGGAGCCTAGGCTCTGGCCTTGTGTCCAGAATTGGTGGGTTCTTGGTCTCACTGACTTCAAGAATGAAGCCGCGGACCCTCATGGTGAGTGTTACAGTTCTTAAAGTTGGCATGTCCTGAGTTTGTTCCTTCTGACGTTCGGATGCATTCGGAGTTTCTTCCTTCTGGTGGGTTCGTGGTGTCGCTGGCTCAGGAGTGAAGCTGCAGACCTTCGCGGTGAGTGTTACAGCTCTTAAGGCGGCGCGTCTGGAGTTGTTCGTTCCTCCCGGTGGGCTCGTGGTCTCGCTGGCTTCAGGAGTGAAGCTGCAGACCTTCGCGGTGAGTGTTACAGCTCATAAAGGCAGTGTGGACCCAAAGAGTGAGCAGTAGCAAGATTTATTGCACAGAGCGAAAGAACAAAGCTCCCGTAGAGTGGAAGGGGGCCCGAACAGGTTGCCACTGCTGGCTGGGGCAGCCTGCTTTTATTCTCTTACCTGGCGCCACCTGCTTTTATTCTCTTATCTGGCGCCACCTGCTTTTATTCTCTTATCTGGCGCCACCTGCTTTTATTCTCTTATCTGGCGCCACCTGCTTTTATTCTCTTATCTGGCGCCACCTGCTTTTATTCTCTTATCTGGCCCCTGCTGATTGGTAGAGCCCAGTGGTCTGTTTTGACAGGGCACTGATTGGAGCATTTACAATCCCTGAGCTAGACACAAAGGTTCTCCATGTCCCCATCAGATTAGCTAGATACAGAGTGTTGACACAAAGGTTCTCCAAGGCCCCACCAGAGTACTAGATAGGGAATGTGGATTGGTGCATTCACAAACCCTGAGCTAGACACAGGGTGCTGATTGGTGTGTTTACAAACCTTGAGCTAGATACAGAGTGCTGATTGGTGTATTTAGAATCCCTTAGCTAGACATAAAGGTTCTCCACGTCCCCACCAGACTCAGGAGCCCAGCTGGCTTCACCCAGTGGATCCCACACCAGGGCTGCAGGTGGAGCTGCCTGCCAGTCCTGTGCCCTGCACCCGCATTCCTCAGCCCTTGGGTGGTCGATGGGACTGGGCGCAGTGGAGCACGGGGTGGCGCTCATTGGGGAGGCTCGGGTGGCACAGGAGCCCACGGAGTGGAGGGGAGGCTCAGGCATGGCGGGCTGCAGGTCCCGAGCCCTGCTCGCGGGAAGGCAGCTAAGGCCCGGCGAGAAATTGAGCACAGCAGCTGCTGGCCCAGGTGCTAAGCTTCTCACTGCCCGGGGCCGGTGGGGCCGGCCGGGCGAGTGCGGGGTCCGCGGAGCCTACGCCCACTCGGAACTTGCGCTGGCCCGCAAGCACCGGGCGCGGCCCCGGTTCCCGCCCGCGCCTCTCCCTCCAAACCTCCCTGAAAGCTGAGGGAGCTAGCTCCGGCCTTGGCCAGCCCAGAAAGGGGCTCCCACAGTGTAGCGGCGGGCTGAAGGGCTCCTCAAGTGCCGCCAAAGTGGGAGCCCAGGCAGAGGAGGTGCCGAGAGCGAGCGAGGGCTGTGAGGGCTGCCAGCAGGCTGTCACCTCTCAGCCTGACTCATTTTCCAACCCTTCCCTTGCCTTCTGGACAGTCCCCTGCTTCCCTAGCTCTGACATCCTCATGACCTTCTGTCTCCAGCATTGTCAGGCCCTTGGACCAGCTCACGGCAGCCAGGACACAGAGGCATTGTGCCATTCCTAGGCCAGCTGAGGGACGTGGACAGTGTGAGGGCTCAAGCATGATGATATTTCCAACAGGCCTTCTTGTACATGCAGGGCAGGCCAGGGCCCGTTGCCAGCACCTGAGAGGAGCTGTGATGCAGCTCATGATCCAGTGATCGCATCCAACTGGCTGCCGGCTGCTGTCCAGGCCTCCGGGAGGACCCGCAGCCTCTGTCCGGGTCAGGGGAATCGGCGTCTTTCCCAGACCACCATGAGGGCCGGCGTTCCTGCTCAGCTGTGAATGCTGCTGTTGTTATGGCTGCTGCTTGGCTTAGGTTAAGCGGCTTGTTTGTTTTCTAACTTCAGGCTGGGAAGAGGGAGCGTTTGGATCTGGCAAGGACCTTGGTGTGCAAAGTGAAGTCCCTGATTGGAAGGACGCAGCCTGGCAGGGGCCTGCTGCGCTGCTCATGATTGGATGTGAGGTTTCTGGGGCCTCTGCAAGCTCGGAGCTAAGAGTGGTGAAGAGTCTGGGTGTGGGGGTGGGAGGACAGGGAAAAGAGGACAGTCTGGGGGTGGGGGCAGGAGGATAGTGGGAAAGCACTTTTTTTTTTTTTTTTTTTGAGACGGAGTCTCACTCTGTTGCCCAGGCTGAAGTGCAGTGGTACGATCTCGGCTCACTGCAACCTCCGCCTCCCGGATTTAAGCGATTCTTCGGTCTCAGCCTCCTGAGTAGCTGGGACTACAGGTGTGCACCACCACACCAGGCTAATTTCTGTATTTTTAGTAAAGACGGGGTGTCATCATATTGGCCAGGCTGGTCCGGAACTCCTGACCTCGTGATCTGCCCACCTCGGCCTTCCAAAGTGCTGGGATTATAGGCGTGAGCTACCGCGCCTGGCCGAAAAGCACTTTTTTTTTTCTGTCTCCTTCAGTGATGAAGCTTTGGGGCTGTACAGTCTCCTGTCATCCCCAGCAGGGAGCTCAGAGTCAAGCCCAAAGTGTCTGTGTGCACTCGTGGCTTCCAGAGATCAGCTTGAAGCCAGGAGTTACTTTGTTAGCAAAGTTTAGATGTAACTGGGAGGAAATTGCTCTCCAGTTCGCTGGCATATTCCCCATATGTAGTTAATGAAGGGACCGTCAGTCTCTATTCAGGAGCTGGGAGACTTGGATTCTAGTGCCAGCTCTGCCCTTATGGTCAGAAAACTTTGAGGAAGTTGCTTAAATGCTGAATTTCAGATTTCTCACCTGGAAAATGAGACATGAGAGAACTAACTCCTTCCTGCTTCCCAGGCTGAGGAGGAGCAAAAGGGATTTCATATGTCAAAGCCCTTTTTGAAATGGATCATCATTAACTGCGTCATAACTGCCCAGGATTGAATATTGTTTTTAAAGACAATGGTAGAATGTACGCCACTCCTAAATAAAATGCTTCGTAATCATGTTAGCATTTAGAATGTCAGGAACAAAACAGTGCTTGTAGGCCGGGTGCGGTGGCAATCCCAGCACTTTGGGAGGCCATGGTGGGCAGATCACTTGAGGCCAGGAGTTCCAAGACCAGCCTGGCCAACATGGTGAAACCCCATCTCTACTAAAAATACAAAAATTAGCCGGGCGTGGTGGCCAGTGCCTGTAATCCCAGCTACTTGGGAGGCTGAGGTGGGAGAATCATTTGAACCCAAGAGGCGGAGGTTGCAGTGAGCCAAGATTGCGTCACTGTACTGTAGCCTGGGCAACAGAGTGAGACTCCATCTCAAAAAACAAACAAAAAAACAAAAAACAATGCTTGCAGAATGTTAAAAGCTGGAAACAACCACAGGTTTGGCTGTCTTCAGCCATAGGGTGTCTTGGCTTTACATGAGCTCTTTGTGGGTAGTGATTGTATCTCTACATTTTCTCGTGTTTTTGAATCCACACTACCTGGTGTGTAGGAGATGCTTCACGAGATGCTGAAGCCTCAGCACCTGTGAGGAAGGAGGCCTTGGAGAGGAAATGGGACTGGGCACTCCAGGTATGCACTGTGGCTGCGTCTTTCCCCAAACACACTCTGTCCTTCCAGTCCCTATACAGGCTGGGCCTTGGCCTAGATTGCCTTTACAATAAATGCCTTTTTTTTTTTTCATATGTTACATCCTGGATTTTATTTTATTTTATTTATTTATTTTTTTTTTGTGAAAGCAAGTTTATTAAGAAAGTAAAGGAATAGGCTGGGTGCAGTGGCTCACGCCTGTAATCCCAGCACTTTGTGAGGCCAAGGTGGGCGGATCAACTGAGATTAGGACTTCGAGACCAGCCTGACCAATATGGTGACACCTCGTCTCTACTGAAAATACAAAAATTAGCCAGGCGTGGTGGCGTGTGCCTATAATCTCAGCTACTCAGGAGGCTGCGGCAGGAGAATTGCTTGAACCCAGGAGGCGGAGGTTGCAGTGAGCCGAGATCGCACCACTGCACTCCAGCCTGGGTGACAGAGCGAGACTCCGTCTCCAAATTAAAAAAAAAAAAGAAAGTAAAGGAATAAAGAACGGCTACTCCATAGGCAGAGCAGCCCATCCTGCTGATTCTTCCAAGTCCACCTTGAATACTGTGTCTTCAGAGAAACATTTTGGTCTGCCCGTTCCTGGGTGCCCCCGGCTCAGGGCTGCTGAGGAGATCTAGATTTTGGGGGCTGCCAAAACCTCAGTCATCAAAGTCAATGATATTTTGATGCCACATTTCAAAAAATAAAAATTAATGCCAGAAAATCTAGGTTGAACTGAATATTTATGTTTGAAATCAAGACAGAATCTGACCTCACACTTGTACAGCTCAGTTTCACTTACTTCAGTGTAATCCCAGTCCTGTTCTCAAATCCAGTTTTTATTGAAAATATTGACAGTTTGTTCATCATGCATTTTTGTACTAACTTGGATTTTGTCAAAAGCTGCATTGAAATATGAGTCGTCCTGAAGACTGAGTTTTCTGATGCTCCTGAAATTTTGTGCCCAAGGCCCTCTCAGCTCCCTTCTTGGTGCACACCACCTTAGGGGCTGGCTTATTTACAGGGCGTCCTTCCGCTGCACCATGAACCCCCAGGCAGGGGCAGCCTCTTTTTATTTGGGTGTAATAAAGATCTGATTGGGTCTCCTTGGTCAGCCTTTGTTCTCACCTGCCTTCTATCTTGAGAGCAGAATGTAGCACTTCCATGGTTCCTACCCAGTTCAACTTCAGAAGCCTTTGGGGAAGGGTGTCTGTTTTTCTGAAGACATGGCGAGGGAGACAGAGGTGCATAACGTCTTCAAAATTCTACCTTAGGCATCTTTTGATTCTCTTCCCCAAAGTTCTCCTCTTTTGCCAGCTGTCTTATCTTTTTTTCACCCTTCTCTATTTCCATAGCCTCTTTAAGACTTCCAGCATTCCAGTGCCCCCCTCAGCTTGTACACCCACTGAGCAAAACAAATGCCCCACCACTATTACTCCTTAAGATTTCCTCGAGCATTGGTGGTGATGGGAATAGTGAGAGAAAGGTCCCAGTTAATCATACAGCATGTGGATGGGATGTAACATCTGCACCTAGAGGGGTTCAATCAGTGACTGATGAATGAATGAATGAGTGAGCGAATGAATGAAACAACAAAGTCTGGGTGCAGGAAAGGGGGTTTTACTATGGGAGGAGTTCTTCCACACCTTTTTTTGTTTTGAGAGATAGGGTCTCACTCTGTCCCCCAGGTTGTAGTGCAGTGGCACAATCATAGCTTACTGCAGCCTCAGACTCCTGGCTCAAGCAATTCTCCTGCTTCAGCCTCTTCAGCTGGGACTACAGGCACACACCACCACACTCAGCTAATGGTTTGTTTTTTTTGTAGAGATGGGGGTAGAGGTCTCACGCTATTGCCAGGCTGATCTCAAACTCCTGGCCTCAAGTGATCTACAAGTCTTGGCCTCCCAAAGTGTTGGGATTACGGTGTGAGCCACTGTGCCTGGCCACCTCTCCTTAATTGAGCTGAAAATACGCTTCACAAGAGACTTGAGGGGCTTCGGCAAGTTGCAATGGTTCTCTCCCTTGCTGTCTTTCAAAAAGGATACATTTCCCTAGAAACCTGTCCTTTGGCCACACAGTGAAGTCTCTTAACCTCAACCCCTTTCTCCTCTTTACAATTTCCAACTCTAGGCCCTTCTCCCCTACAAGCACTGACCAATAGGGACAGCTTTAGGTACGCTGAATGAGCCTCCATCCTATGTTGGAGAGACAGTCATCGTTCAGTTCACCTCTCAAAGGCTTTAGTGGTTCTGCTTGTTCATCTGAAGGTTCCAGGGTCATTGCAGCCTCCTTGAATCCCAGGCCACAGAGTTCTGAGTTTCCACTGCCAGAGACTTCAGAACAGGACGGGATGTTACAATTTAATTGTGCTCATAGGGGCATAACTCGCCTGGGGGCCAGCCTGCTCTCAGCCTGAGAAAGGCCAGAGAAACTGGTCCTTTATTAAGTATAATATGGGCCTTATGCCTGTTTTCAGACCATAGAAGCATTCACTGTAGAAAGTTTAGAAAATAGGAAAGAACACAGCTGAGCGTGGCGGCTCACACCTGTAATCCCAGGACTTTGGGAGGCCAAGGTGGGTGGATCACCAGAGGTCAGGAGTTTGAGACCAGCCTGGCCAACATGGTGAAACCCCGTCTCTACTAAAAATACAAAAATTAGCCAGGCGTGGTGGCGGGCACCTGTAATTCCAGCTACTCAGAAGGCTTAGGCATGAGAATCACTTGAACCCTGGAAGCAGAGGTTGCAGTCAGCTGAGATCGTGCCACTGCACTCCAGCCTGGGTAACAGAGTGAGACTCCATCTCCAAATAAAAAAGAGAAAGAAAAAGAAAATCGGAAAGAACATAAAGAAGATTTAAAAATCACCTGGAATCTTGCCCCTGGAGATAACCACTTACTGTTGACATGTCCTCATGTTCTCTTTTAGACTTTCTTCTGTGTCTCTTTGCAGAAAATAGTGATTTCCAAAGTGAGGAGGAGCCCACTGCCCAATCTGTTCCTCTGGCCCTGAACCAGCAGGGCAGGGGCAGAGGACATTGGCACGAAGCCCCTCCAGCTGCTCCATGGTACCAGGAGACCTCTGAGATTACTGTGCTCAGTAATACAACCTCCCTTCAAGCCAAGAAGCCACGAGACCTTTGGGTCTGGTTGGGATGCCCTGGCAGTGGCTGAGCGCCTCTGGGCTGCAGTCCAGAAAGCAAGTCTCTACCTCCTTCCTTATTTCTTTATTATTATTATTATTATCATTTTTTATCATTTTTTTTTAGACAGAGTCTCTCTCTGTCACCAGGCTGGAGTGCAGTGGCGCGATCTTGGCTCGCTGCAACCTTCATCTCCCAGGTTCAAGTGATTCTTCTGCCTCAGCCTCCCAAGTAGCTGGGACTACAGTTGCGTGCCACCGCACCCAGCTAATTTTTTTTTTGTATTTTTTAGTAGAGACGGGGTTTCACCATGTTGGCCAGGACGGTCTCGATCTCTTGACCTCATGATCCTGCCTCAGCCTCCCAAAGTGCTGAGATTACAGGCGTGAGCCACCGCACCCGGCCCCTTCCTTATTTCTTAGATTGAATCTCACCCAGCAGGAGCTGCCTGAGTGCATTGTGAATACGAATTTTACTAGGTTCTGCCTCTGTTCTGGCAATATTGAAAAAGAGAAGGCCGGGTGCGGTGGCTCACGCCTGTAATCCCAGCACTTTGGGAGGCCGAGGTGGGCGGATCACGAGGTCAAGAGATCAAGACCATCCTGGTTAACACGGTGAAACCCCATCTCTACTAAAAAATACAAAAAAAAATTAGCCAGGCGTGGTAGCGGGCGCCTGTAGTCCCAGCTACTCGGGAGGCTGAGGCAGGAGAATGGCGGGAACCCAGGAGGTGGAGCTTGCAGTGAGCCGAGATTGTGCCACTGCACTCCAGCCTGGGCGACAGAGCGAGACTCTGTCTCAAAAAAAAAAAAAAAGAAAAAGAGAAGGCTGGGTGGAACCAGCGCTGAATGTCCGCAAAGTGCTAAATGTTTTACATACATCATTCCATTTACTCCTCATCACAATATCATGATGTGTGTTATTATTTTCCTTATATTATAAATGAGGACGCCAAGGCCCAGGAATTAAGTAGGTGGCCCCAAGGTTACACGAGGAAGTACCTGCACAAGGAAGTACCTGCAGATTCGGGCGGCAGCCTGAGGTCATCTGCCTTCAGAGCCACCTGGTTTGTGACCCCATCCGTCTTCCCTGCTGTGGTTTGTGGCAGGGCTGGAATGGCAGGCAGAGGATGTGTCTTTGCCTAGAGTATTTTCTATTCCGTCAGCAGTGGAGAAGATCTGACCCTGGCCATGAACCTGCTTTGGGGTTTGGTATTGTTGTGCGTGGACAAGGCTGCTAGTTTTCCTCCATTTGTTAAACAGATATTTGTAATACGCTGCAAGCCCTGAGCTGCCATTAGGGATAGGGAGTCTAGTATTTGTGAAGACCCTGTCTTCACTGATTTTATATTCTGGTAGGGAAGAAAGACACGTACCCAACCCGTCCCGTTCATTGTGGTAAGTGCAGTGGTGCAGGGTACTGGGGCAGGGAAAAAGAGGAGCATCTAAATCAGAAAAATCTCAAGAAGGTGGTGGGCGAGGGGTGGGCTAAGGAATGGCTTCCCAGAGGAAGGAATTTTTGAGCTGAATGTTGAAGGCAGAGGCACGAAGCAGCACAGACTGTTCAGGAAAGTACCTGTGGTTCATTATGGCTAAAATTGAGGCTAGGAGTGAGAGGCAAAGACATGGTCTGGGGAGCTCAGAAGTGCCAGATTAGAAAGGAGGTTGAGGCCAGGCATGGTGGCTCATGCCTGTAATCCCAGCGCTTTGGGAGGCTGAAGCAGGTGGATCACTTGAGCCCAGGAGTTCGAGATCAGCCTGGGCAACATGGCAAAACCCCATCTCTAACTTGTTTATTTATTTGTTTTATTATTATTATTTTTTGAGACAGAGTCTCATTCTGTCACCCAGACTGGAGTGTAGTGGTGTGATCTTGGCTCACTGCAATCTCCACCTCCCGGGTTCAAGCAGTTCTCATGCCTCAGCCTCCTGAGTAGCTGGGATTCCAGGCATACTACCATGCCTGGCTGTTTTTTTTTGTTTGTTTTTTTTTTGTTTTTTTTTTGGTATTTTAGTAGAGATAGGGTTTCACCATGTTGGCCAGGCTGGTCTCAAACTCCTGGTATTACAGGCATGAGCCACCGCACTTGGCCCTCTATTTTATTTAAAAAGAAAAGAAGAAAGGAGGTTGGGAGATTTAACTAAAGAGTCTGAATGCCATCCTGAAAGCTTGGGGAACCCTTGAAGAATCTTAAGGATCAGCTCTGTGAGTTAGAAGGACCACACTTTGGCTTCAAGAGTGGAAGCCAGCCTGGAGTGGGACAGATGGAGACAGGAGTCTGTTGCAGTGCACAGGTGATTTGGCTCGAATGAGAGCCAGGCAGAGGCCGTGGGAATGGATTGGGGGACACGAGATGTGAGAGAGATTGGGAGGAGGACACCATATGATGAGAAGGCAAGTTAGGCCTAGAGGGAGTAGAAGAGGAAGAAAGCCAAGATGATAATGCCTGATTTCGGGGCCAGGAGTGTATGGTGGGGCCTTTCAGGAGGCAGGAGGGAGGAGAGACAGAGGTGGAGGCTGAGGAGGAGGTGGGGTGAGGAAAGGGCTGGCCAGCAGTTGGTGGAGGATGAGCTTGGGATGCGTGTGTTAAAGAGATGATTTCCAGTGGTTGATGAGGAGTTGGAGGTCTTTGCTTTCATCCCCTCTCCCTTTGTTCCCTTCCTATATCCCTGCTTCCTTTCTCCTCCACCCATGTCCTGCTTAGGTGGCCCCTGTCTCATCCTTGTGTGCAGTTTGTTCAGGCCAGGGTTGCCGCATTCCCTGCAAGGCCCTGCCTGCTAAGATCCCCAACATCCCTGTGAAAGAAAGTCTTATAGCCTTTCCCTTTTGCAGATACAGAAACTGAGGCATGGAAAAATGTTAAGCTGTTTGATAATAGTTTCCCAGTGAGGGAAGGGTGAAGCCATTACATGGCTGAGGAGGAAAAGGGAAGAAGGATAGGACATTTTAAGGTGACCAGCTCATCCTAGTTTGTCAGGACTGCCATGGCATTAGCATAGGAGGGTCCCACATCCCAGGAAACCTTTCAGACCTGGGTAGACCAGGAGACTTGGTGACCTTAGCTTGGGAGGGGAAAAAGAAGGGAGTTCTTCCGAATGTCAGGAGCTAGACGTCTCTGAAAGTGGGCTCCCATCTCCTGGGGGGCTGTCTTCTTCCCAGTCCCTCTGTCCGTAGGACACAGTCATCAGCTGAAGGACAGGCTGCCTCTGGCTGTGCCCAAGGGGGGACAGGTGTGCTTCCAGTGCTGGAGCCACTTGCCGTCTGACACCTGAGTCTCCATTCTCCAGGGTTGAGCTGTTGTACAGACCCAGTGCTGAGCACACAGCGGATCCTCCATGAATATTTGTTCCATGGCTAAAATCTGAATTTTATATGGAAAGGGGGCAGGCCTGGAAAATATATATATATTTTTTTTTGAGGCAGAGTCTCGCTCTATTACCCAGGCTGGGGTGCAGTAGCGCAGTCTCAGCCCACTGCAACCTCCACCTCCTGGGTTCAAGTTGTCCTCCCACCTCAGCCCCCTAAATAGCCGGGCTTCCATGCGTGTGCCACCATGCCCAGCTAATTTTTTTGTATTTTTTGTAAAGACATGCCATGTTGCCCGCGCTGGTCTTGAACTCCTGAACTCAATTGATCTACCCACCTCAGCCTCCCAAAGTGCTCGGATTACAGGTGTGAGCCACTGCGCCTGGCTGAGAAGTCCTTTTTCCTGACCTATTCAATGGGAGACGTCTAGCTATACACACAGGTGTCTTTTTGCTCACTATCCCTTCCACATCCTAAAGCCTTCTTCCTGTCTTATTTAGAAAACCCACTGCCTGTTCTAATCCACTACCTCTAATCTCCCGAAGCCCCACACTGTGCATGGGGCGACCAGTCCCCGAGGCAGCTTTGATGCCACACATTTGCATCTGGGAACGCAACTCTGGTTTTCTCTCACATTCGGAAACCATGGGGATAATGAGCAGATGTTTCCCTAATAACGAGAAGATGTGCAGGCGCCGACACACGAGAATAGTTTCCAGTCCGTAAGTTAATTAGCAAGCTGGGGAGCCCAGATAAATAGAGCTTTCTGTTTCCTTTCCTGGAGTCTAAAATATCTGATCTGGAGGTTCCCTCCCTGCTTTCCCCTCCACCTCAGACATCAGGATTTGAGGGGAAACAATTAAATGCCTGATAATCTGTGTGCATGGAACTGGCTTCTAAGCAGCCACATGGCCTGTGTTCCTGAAGAAACTGCCGCTTATAGATACACAGTCAGTTCTCAGTGATTTGCTGGCTGTCTCTCTATCCCCAACATCCCCAACCCTGGCTCATTTGTTCTTCATATTTACTTTCTCATGGGCTCATGGCAGCACTCTTGGGAGTAGAGAGGGGGTGAGAGTTATGGAGTTTTATGTGCCAAGCCCTTTGTTAGTGGCATTTTTTTTCTTTGTCTCATATAATCTTTAAGCCATCCCATGAGGGAGGCATCATTGTTTTCCTTTGCTGTGCAGATGGCAAAACTAAGTCTTAGACAAGTTAAACTACTATAGCTGTTAAGCGGTGAAAGAGATTTAAAGCTGGGTTTGACATAGCAGGGCTCAAGTTCCCTACCTTCGGCCTTGGACCTGAGAGTTCAACCAGTCCGATTCTCCCTTTATTTTAAAGGTGCCCATACAGTTCCCAAGGACATGCATTGACGATGATGGATCTAAGGGCAGAAGTCGGCCTTCCAGACCTCAGGTTCCACTTTGCCCACTCTGCGGTTCCTTCCCCCTACCCTGCCTTTAAAAAGTCTGCCCTACTGATCTTCTCTCTTTTCTTTGCAAAATGGTTAAGAATAGGAAAGGTTAGTGTTTTCAAGCAGGTTAAACAGTCTCTAGAAGTCGGAGAGATAGGCCAAGATTATCTCGAAATTTCTTCCAGCCAGAAGACCCAGTGTTTCTTTGTAAAACATATAATACTCAGCATTTGAGACTCAGAGTCGAATGAGTGTGTTCCCTGGTTGATAGTGTGTTTACTGACTACCAGTGGCTGTTGCTAACAGTCCTTTGAAACAAGAGACATGTGTTTTTAATAGAATTGCAAGTTTTATGCCTTGTTAAAAATACTGCCATGGCTGCTGGCTGGGGGAATCAGGGAGCTATGAATTCCATCTTCAGTCTGCCGGGGCAGGGGAGAGGGCCTGACTGAGGATGGCCTCTGCCCTCACATTTGCTTTCCTTCCTGTGGCCCTCCCTGTTTGTTCTTGGGAATGACCACTGGTCACCAGCTGGTCTTCTCAGCTCCACTCATACATAGAAGAGCACTGGGCTTCATGCTCTCTGAATGGGAAGAACAAAGCACTTGTTTTTATTTTCAGAGAAGCTTTTGCCTTAATTGTAAAGAGCGGCCATTAGATTTTGTGGAAAGCCTGAATTACAGAGTGCTTTAGGGAAACCAACCCAAATGCCCATTGATGGTAGACTGGATAAAGAAAATGTGGCACATATACACCATAGAATACTATGCAGCCATAAAAAAGAATGAGTTCATGCCCTTGGCAGGGACATGGATGAAGCTGGAAACCATCATTCTCAGCAAGCTAACACAGGAACAGAAAACCAAACACCGCATGTTCTCACTAATAAGTGGGAGTTAAACAATGAGAACACATGGACACAGGGAGGGGAACATCACACACCGGGACCTGTCGGGGGGTCGGGGGGAAGGGGAGGGAGAGCATTAGGACAAATACCTAACGCATGCGGGGCTTAAACCTAGATGACGGGTTGATGGGTGCAGCAAACCCATGGCACATGCATGCCGATGTAATAAACCTGCACGTTCTGCACATGTATCCCAGAACTTTAATTAAAAAAAGAAAAAGAAATGTGTCCCTCTGACTTAAGGGAATACTTTCTGCATGCTAGGACCTGGGGTAAAAGCCAGACCCCAAGCAGGATAACTGGTCATTCTCACATTGCCCAATGCAGCGCCTGTCCCCAAAGTGATGCCTAGAGGTCCTTATTTGACTTCAGCTTTCAACACAGTATGTGTTCTTTTTTCCTGATTGTAAAAGAAATCACTGTATAAACATAAAGTAAATTTTCATAAATAATTTTACCCCCATAGATACTGCTCAATTTCTTTCCTTTTTCTCTCTCTCTCTCCTCTCTCTCTCTCTTTCTCTCTCTTTCTCTCTCTCTCTCTCTCTTTCTTTCCTTTCTTTCCTTCCTTCCCTTCCTTCCCTTCCTTCTTTCCTTCCTTTCTTTCTTGATCTTGCTGTATCACCCAGGCTGGAGTGCAGTGGCACGATCATAGATCATTGCAACCTCAACCTTCCAGGCTCAAGCAGTCCTCCCTCCTTAGCCTCCTTGGTAGCTGAGACTACAGGAATGCACTGTCATGTCCAGCTAATTTTTGTATTTTTGGTAGAGACAGGGTTTCACCATGTTGCCTAGGCTGGTTTCAAACTCTTGGGCTCAAGCGATCTGCCAACCTCAGCCTCCCAAAGTGCCAAGATTACAGGCATGAGCCACTGCATCGGGCCAATACTGTTCATTTCTAAGACATTTCTTCTAAATCTTTTTCTCCTGTGTGTATGTATATATGTAAATAGAATGTCTATAACACTGGAATCATAGTCTACATTTCATATACTGCCTTTCCCACAACAAACAGCACACTGTGTGTACCTTCTCATTTCAGTAAGGACCCTTCAAAATGTGTTTCTTTAAAATAATAAGTGCATCCATCCAGTGGACACGCCACAGTTGACTTAACTAGTGCTCTTTTCATCAAATATTTTGACTGCAGATTTTTCCTATTATAGAAAATACTGTAATATTCTTGCCCTTTGCTCTGAATTACATGAAATGTTTCTTTTGTTGGAACTATCATTGCCTTTTTCCCCATGCTAAATGATGAATGTGTTCTAGCAATGGAAATCAAATTCCCTTTTACATGCAGAACTCCCCTCACCTAAATTAAGAAAACTGGTATTGTTTGGCAAAGAGGGCCAGATCTTAAAAATAAAATAGAGAGTAAGAATCAAAGAATGCACATTACTTCGGCTCTTACAGAAACCTGGATTATATTGTGCAAATTACGAATATTGGCTGGGTGCGGTGGCTCACGCTTATAATCCCAACACTTTGGAAGGCCGAGGTGGGCGGGTCATTTGAGGCTGGAAGTTCGAGACCAACCTGGCCAACGTGGTAAAACCCCGTCTCTACTAAAAATACAAAAATTAGCCAGGTGTGGTGGCATATGCCTGTAGTCCCAGCTACTTGGGAGGCTGAGGCAGGAGAATCAGTGGAACTCAGGAGGCGAAGGTTGCAGTGAGCCGAGACTGTGCCACTGCAATCCAGCCTGGGCGACAGAGTGAGACTCCATCTCAAAAAATACATGTATACACACACACACACACACACACACACACACACACATACACACTCACACTCACTCTACTGGCTCTGTTCCCTCCAGAAGTTTACCGTCTACTCCCAAGGAAGCCTGATACACACACGGGACAGAATTAGAGAATAATTTATGAAAGACGATAACAGGGTGTCAACATGCTGGATGAATTTGTACTAAGAAGATAGAAAACGAAGAGAAAATCCTTGCATTTTCTGGTGCCATTAAAGACTCCTAGAAAGAGATAGAATTTGAGGTTGGTCTTAAATATCTAGGATTTAAAAAGACAGAAAACTACCTTGTATTGAGCTCCTACAATGTGCTTGGTATTTTATACATATCATCTAATTTATTTCTTACAGTAACTCCATCTAATTATTGTTAAAGGCAATTAGACCCTTACGAAAAATATACAGTACCATAAGTTATAGATTTGTATAATAAAATAAGATTGGAAATACTGTCAAATACAATATGACTGAAATAGACACAGGACAATAAATATTTTAGAAATGGAAGAAATCAGGGCAAAGAGAAAGTATGAACAAGAAGAATAGGATAGGAAGAATGTAAACTCTATGAGAGGGGCCGGGCATGGTGGCTTACGCCTATAATCCCAGCACTTTGGGAGGCTGAGTTGGGTGGATCACCTGAGGTGAGGAGTTCAAGACCAGCCTGGCCAACATGGCGAAACCCTATCTCTACTGAAAAATACAAAATTTACCTGGGCGTGGTGGTGGGTGCCTGTAATCCCAGGTACTCAGGAGGCTGAGGCAGGGAGAACTGCTTGAACCTGGGAGGCGGAGGTTGCAGTGAGCCAAGATTATACCACTGTACTTCAGCCTGGGCCACAGAGCGAGACTCCATCTCAAAATAACAACACCACCACCAAAAATCCTCTATAAGGGGAAGGATTATTTGCTGGTTTTATTCACTGATGGATCCCACACAACTGGATTAACGGCTGAATGTAGTAGGTATTCAATAAATATTTGTTGAATGAATGAATGAGGTGGCCAAGATGTTGGCTGTATGGTCCTGTGTACATTGCTAGTGGCCAGATGTAGTTTTGACTCTGAGCTTCCTTGTAGACAAAGCACATGGAGTAATAGGTTCAGCAAAGACCTCAGTTTACGAATAAGGAACAGGTTTAGCAGGCAGTGGGGACAGGTTTTGGCCAGGTTACATCTGGGAGAGATGGGGATCTATTGAAGGGGGCAGGACTGGTATGGGCAGTAGGGGCTGGTGTGCAGGGGAGGCGGAGAAGCACAGTTCAGCAGGTAGGCATGTGGTGAGTGGGGAGGAGCCTCTTGACTGGGGCCAGGAGCACGGTGAGCAGCTACCAGAGAGAGCCTGGGCAGAGTTATTTAAAAGCAAAAGCAGGCCGGATGCAGTGGCTCACACCTGTTATCCCAGCACTTTGGGAGGCTGAGGCAGGTGGATCATGAGGTCAGGAGATCGAGACCATCCTAGCCAACATGGTGAAACCCCGTCTCTATTACAAATACAAAAATTAGCTGGGTGTGATGGCGGGCGCCTGTAATCCCAGCTACTTGGGAGGCTGAGGCAGGAGAATCGCTTGAACCTGGGAGGTGGAGGTTGCAGTGAGCTGAGATCGTGCCACTGCACTCCAGCCTGGCAACAGAGCGAGATTCCATCTCAAAAAAAAAAAAAAAAAAGCAATCCTGTCATTTCCTTCCTAGACCTATAACCTCTGTTTTGAACTCAATTATACCTGCCCCTCTACAAATTCATGTGTTGAAGCCTTAACCCCCAGCATGACCATGTTTGGAGGTAGGGCTTTTAAGGAGGTAATTAAAGTTAAATGAGATCTTAAGGGTGGGGCCCTCATCCAGTAAGACTGGTGTCCTTCAAGAAAGCAAACACCACATGTTCTCACTCATAGGTGGGAATTGAACAATGAGAACACTTGGACACAGGAAGGGGGACATCACTCACCGGGGCCTGTCATGGGGTGGGGGGAGGGGGGAGGGATAGCATTAGGAGATATACCTAATGTAAATGACGAGTTAATGGGTGCAGCACACCAACATGGCACATGTATACATATGTAACAAACCTGCATGTTGTGCACGTGTACCCTAGAACTTAAAGTTTAATAAATAAATTAATTAATTAATTAATTAATTAAATAAAAAATAAAAAAGGACTGGTGTCCTTAGAAGAAGAGGTAGAGAAACCAGTGCTTGCTCTCTTTCTGCTCACGCACAGAAGAAAGGCACAGCAGGAAGTGACAAGCCAGGAGGAGCCGCCTCACCAGAAGCTAGCCCTGGCAGCACCTTTATCTTGGACTTTAAGCCTTCAGGACTATGGAGGAAGTAAATTTCTGCAACAAGTCACCCAGTCTGCAGTATTTCATTATGGCTAATATGAGTAATACAGTCTGTATAGAAAGATAGAGCCACACCCACGTGGAGCTACTGCAAAAGTGAACTTGCTTTTTTTATCGGGGCCTCACTCTGTTGCCCAGGCTGCAGTGCAGTGATGCAGTCATACTTCACTGTAGCATCAACTCCTGTGTTCAAGTGATCCTCCTGTCTCAGCCTCCTGAGTAGCTGAGACTACAGGCACCCACCACCATGACCAGGTAATTTTTGTATTATTTTTAGAGACAAGAGTTTCCCTATGTTGCCCAGGCTGGTCTCGAACTCCTGGCCTCAAGTGATCCTTCCGCCTCAGCCTCCCAAAATGCTGGGATTACAGGCATGAGCCACCATGCCCAGCCAGGATGTTCAGTTTTAGAAGAGACTTGAAACAACCAATTCTGAGATGCTCCTTTTCCGTCCCAAAATATATGAGAGCTGTCTTACTCCCACCTTGATAGTAACAGCAGCTCCCGGGCCCTCATTCTCAAGAGATACGTAATAATACTAGGTTGGGGGAGGCAGGAAGGGCATACCCATGTAGTTGAACCAATCAAGTCCAGTCTCTTCAATTTTGGTCTGGCGTTTTCACTGTATCTTTTGCAGCCTATTTATCTAAGTCCCTGGCCCTTTCTGGCCCTTCCCTGCCCGCCTCTGAGCACATATATGACTCACCCACAATTATAAATTAAAATTGGACATCACGGGAATAGATGGTGGGGGGACAGCAGTGGTCACTGCATACCCCTCATTTACAGCATCTGGTCCCAACCATAAATGGCCCATGGGAAACCAGTGTCCTAGAAGAGGGGCCACGTGGCAGGAGCCTGGCCGTTTGTTTTTCTTTAGCTGTCTTCTGGGCTTAAATTATGCTTATTCTTTTTCAACTGACTTCTGTAGCCCCCAAAGCTCTTTCTTTCTTTTTTCACTTTGCATCCACTGAAGATCCTCCAAAGGTCTCAGAGTTATTTCAAGGAGAAATTGATGCTTCTGTTTTGTCCTAAGAGGAAATGCTATTTCTGAAAATCATGATTTATTTGTAAAGTTGGGCCACCATGTACATTATGCACTGACCAATTCAGGGAAGTAAAATTCACCCAGTCTACATCATGAATGGAGCCCTCTAGAATTGTGCAACACGATGGTCTGAGACTAGACTTTCACATGGTATTGGGCCAAAGTCAATTTGGGGTCACCTTCAGCTCAGAACTAACTGTGTGCTTTTCTGATAACCCATTAAGGGAAGCCCAGTATGTTGTCTTTTCTTTGCAACTTGGATCTTGATGGCCTGGGTAGTCCTCAGCAAATGTGTTTTGTTTTTTTTTTTTTTTTAATTTTTTTAGATGGAGTCTCACTCTGTCGCCCAGGCTGGAGAGGAGTGGTGTAGTCTTGGCTCACTGCAACCTCCGCCTCCCGGGTTCAAGCGATTCTCCTGCCTCAGCCTCCCGAGTAGCTGGGATTACAGGCACGCACCACCACGCCTGGCTAATTTTTGTATTTTTAGTAGAGACGGGGTTTCACCATGTTGGCCAGGCTGGTTTCGAACTGCTGTCCTCATGATCCGCCCACCTCAGCCTTCCAAAGTGCTGGGATTACAGGCATAAGCCACCACACCTGGCCTTCAGCAGTTATTTTTAAAGATTATAATAATAAGGCCAGTTGCTGTGGCTTAGCACTTTGGGAGGCTGAGGCAGGAGGATTGCTTGAGCTCAGGAGTTCAAGACCAGCTTGGGCAACGAAATGAGACCCCCATCTCTACAGAAAAGCAAAAAATCAGCTGGGCATGGTGGTGCATGCCTGTGATCCCAGCTACATGGAGGCTGAGGCAGGAGGATAGTTTGAGCCCAGGAGGTCAAGGCTACAGTGAGCCTTATGGCACTGCACTGCAGCCTGGGTGACAGACTAAGACCCTGTCTCAGGAAAAAAAATAAAATAAAAGGTGAGAGAAAAGGTGAGAGCTAGGGTTTGTCCTGGGCCAATTTTCTCTTCAGCACAACTTAAATGATAGGGAAATGTGGGTTCAAAAGAAGCACCTCCCCCGACAACTCTAGGGCTTTGCCTTTACCAAGCTTCCTTCAGTATCTTTTCCAAGGCCATTAAGTCATGTCGGCTGGGTGCGATGGCCCACGCCTGTAATCCCAACACTTTGGGAGGCCAAGGCAGGTGTGTCATCTGAGGCCAGGAGTTCAAGACCAACCTGGCCAACATGGTGAAACCCTGTCTCTACTAAAAATACACACATTAACCTGGCATGGTGGCACACGCCTGTAATCCCAGCTACTCGGGAGGCTGAGGCAGGAAAATCGCTTGAACCTGGGAGGCAGAGATTGCAGTGAGCCAAGATCACGCCACTGCACTTCAGCCTGGGCAACAGAGTGAGACTCCATCTCAAAAAAAAGAAAGTCACATCAACACATTTCTCTAAAAACTGGTTGAAAAGGAGCCACTTTTGGAGAGTGTGCACAGGGGAGCGGCTGCTCGCCCCTGACTCTGTTCCTATGTTGGGGAGGAGATTTGGGGCTAAATGTTGAAAAGTGAAGAACCTGTGAAGGAAGTGGCTTAGAGGTAAAAGGGAATTCAAAGAAAAATAACTGGTCCACGAAATTTGGTTTGAAAAATGCATGTAAAGAGCATGAACTACTCGAACTCCCTTTTTGGTTGCTGGACTGTATTTCTGTGATCCCAGTAGCACTCTGAGACTGTCACATGGGTGACAGTTTTGCGTATTTGACATGAATTACACTAGTGAATGATGTGGAGGTAAGTTTAAGTAAATTAGTGCAGGTTTGTGGTATTAAATAAAGTTTCAATAAATCAGCGTCATTATTAGTGCAAAATCCATGCGGAACATGGATTTTGGAGTTGGCTGAACTTCTATCCAAATTCCGGCTCTGCAGCTTACTGGTCACCTTGAGCTTGTTTCTGGCTTCTTTGACCCCTAGTTTCCTCATCTATAAGGAATAGAGATATGGCCAGGCGTGGTGGCTCATGCCTGTAATCTCAGCACTTCGGGAGGCCGAGGCGGGTGGATCACCTCAGGTTAGGAGTTTGAGACCAGCCTGGCCAACATGGTGAAACCCTGTCTCTACTAAAAATACAAAATTAGCTGGATGTGGTGGCACATGCCTGTAATCCTAGCTACTCAGAGGCTGAGGCAGGAGAATCGCTTGAACCTGGGAGGTGGAGGTTGCAGTGAGCCGGGATCGCGCCATTGCACTCCAGCCTGGGCGACAAGAGCAAAACTCCGTCTTGAAAAAAAAAAAAAAAAGAGTAGAGATATGAGAGGCTACCTCATTAGGTTGTTATGGGAATTAAAGGTGATAACCTATTTGCAAAGCACCTAGTACAGTGTCTGGCAGGGAGGAAGGCTTCATTTAAAATAAAACGTACATGTTGTAAAAAGAAAAAAGACACACACAAAAAAGTATATGTTGCAACAATTTCCATTCACGCCTTGTGACAGTAACTGTTGTTTGAGGACCTCTTCCCAGCTGCCGAGTCTCTCTGGGATGCCTCCAAGCCTTAGCATTCAAGCTGGGGTCAGACAGCTAAAGGCATTTCTAGACACCAGGGTCCACGCCAGATGTTCATCATGGATGGATATTGGTCAAGGGATCTGGACTGCCCTTTTTCCTAAGACAAAACCAGCAAGGCTCATTCCTAATGGCTTTGCACCAGAATTTGCAGTCCAACCTAATTAAAGGGCAGAGGGTCCATGTGCACACTACTAAACCAGAACATGTACTGTGCCCCGAGCTACTGTGTGTATGTGTGACAGGGGATGGGAAGGAAAGTTAAAAACAGAGGAAAGGGTCTCTTTGCTCTTGCCTAGGGTGAGCTTTTCAGTGAACTCCTGCATAAAGACCCCAAAGCATAAGCAAGTCTATGCTTGACTGCACATGTGGCTTAAGCCAAGGGGACTTTAAAGGACACGCACAAGCTGGAGCGTGTGCAAAAGAAGCATTTCCCTGGAGCTGTCAGTGCAGAGAGGTGGAGGGAGGTAGCAGTCACTCCTGAACTGTGACTCAGGGTGGGTGTTTGCTGCAGTCTCCACCCACTTCCTCTGTGACCCTGAACTAGCCACGCTTCATCGACAAGCCTCAGTTTCCTCATCTATAAAATGAGCCAGATGGAACCTGTGAAGTGTAGGGCCATGGCAAACTTCAGCAGGACAAGCCCCTCCCCGATCCACGATTGCCCGTGGCTGGAGCAGGGCGAGGGTTATCTGCAGCAGGCCTGCAGGCTTGTCTTTGTAAATCTGAACCAGTCACTGGCTGCAGCTCTCGAAGTCACCAGCCTCAGAAGGAGGGGGAGTTTGCCCTTTGTATTCCTTAAAAATAGAATAACAAATAGACAACACTTGGAATCTTTGAGTCTGGAAGTCAGTAATTAACTTGAGTTCTTGAGAAATTGTACATGTCAGCTTAAAGGAGGGAAATTGGTGGTGAGCTGAGGCCCAGGCTGTGGGTGATCAGAAGTGTGGCGTCTTGGTCCAGGATGCAGGTCCCTGATTCGGGTTGGACGTGGTAAGGCCAGGGTACTTATAGGGATCAGGGTAAGAACCCAGAGCCCTGAGGAGCACTTGTAGTTGCCTTGGAGTGGGTCCCGTGAACAGATCATCCTGGTTATCTGTTGCTGCAGTAGAACCCATGCCAAACTCAGCGGCTGAAGAGAACAGTTATTTTATTGCTTATGATTATTTGGGCCAGGAATTTGGGGAGAATTTGGTGGGGCAGTTCCCTGCCTCACACGGCGTTGACTCGGATTCAGCTCATGTCTGGGCTGGTCGAGAAGCCCTAGGAATGTTTTGCTCTTGGGTCAGAGACCTTGGCAATGAAGAGCTGGACGACTGGGTTCAGCTGGGGCACTGGGATGGCTGGGCCTGCCTCTCTCTCTCTCTCTCTCTCTCTCTCTCTCCCCCTCTCTCCCTCTCCCTATAGTCACAGGGCCTCTCCTTTTCCATCCAGTCTCTCCAGGTGGTCTCTTGAGTGGGGTCACTAGATTTCTTACATGGCAGCTCATGGCTCCCCAGAGAGAGTAAGCAAAGCTGCTAATTCTTCTAAAGGTTAGGACCCACATGGCACGGTGCATTTTTGCCATATTCCATTGGCCGAGCAGTCACAGAGCAGCTCGGATTGAAAGGAGTGGAGGAATACACTTTACCTCTCAACAGGGAAGTGACGTGTGCACAGAAAAGCGCAGGAATTGAAGGCAGCTGTCTTCAGGGGTAAAGCTGGAAAAGGATTTGGAGCCTGGGGTCGCGTTAAGGGCAATGGAGGGTAATGATGCCAGAGGGTCTTTGCGTGTGCAAGGGTGTCAGCCTAACTGTGCCAGAAGATCAAAACTCCTGACTGCAGGAGTGAGATGTACCCAACATGAGCCTTCTTTGTTCCTTGCATTCTGTAGTAAATAATTCTGACCCGGTGATCTGCTAACTCTGACTATGGCTGCCTGGACCACAGTGTTGAGAAGGATTCTGAGACTTTGTCAAGCTTCAGTGCCATAATGTATTGGTCATGTTTCTCTTGGGTATGGAATTGAAGAGTGGCCTTGTGTCATTTAGATTTATTCCATACCTGGGTCTGACCATGCTCTGGTCTCACCAGAAGGGAGACAGGTATATTCATTGGTCTCAACATTTGCCATGTGTTTTCCCAAATGCCCTGTTTGCAGGGCTGGCTTCCTTCTCAGCGACTGCCTGCAGCCTGCCTGGCCTTAGAGGTCTGCCTCCTTCTCTACGCTCTGCTGGACGACCCTAGCTTCTGGATTTCTATAACCTTGGGCTAAGTGATTTTCCACCATGAGATACTACTGTGCATTGTTAATTATCTTTTCATCTGCATACTAATTATTCCCAGTTAGGCTGCTTGATCATTGAAATCAAGAATACATCTTGGTATCTGCTATGGTTTGGATATTTGAGCCCTGCAAATCTCATGTTGAAATCTGATCCCTAACGTTGGGCCTAACTGGAGGTGTTGGGGTCATGCAGGTACATCCGTCATGAATGGCTTGGTGCTGTCCTTGTGGTAATGAGTGAGTTCTTCCTCTATTAGTTCCTGTGGGAGCTGATTGTTAAAAAGAGCCTGGCACCTCCCTCCCCTCCTAAGTAGCTGGGACTACAGGCGTGTGCCACCACACACAGCTAATTTTGTATTTTTAATAGAGACAGGGTTTCACCATGTTGGCTAGGCTGGTCTCAAACACCTGACCTCAGGTGATCCACCTGCCTTGGCCTCCCAAAGCGCTGGGATTACAGGTGTGAGCCACCACGCATGGCCACTCCACTTTCCATTTTACCATGAGCAGAAGCATCTTGAGATGCTCACCAGATGCAGATGCCAGCACCATGCTTCTTGTACAGCCTGCAGAACCATGGGCCAAATAAACATCTTTTCTTTATAAATCACCCAGCCTCAGGTATTCCTTTATAGCATCACAAATGGACTAAGATGGTATCCATCCTTCTGATACTCAGTAAGTACACTGGCATTTCTCTTTAATCACAGTGACTAAAGACAAGCATCAGGAGAAGATTTGAACCTATTGAATTTGTCTTTCCCTGCAAACAGGCATCAGTGATGGAAATAGGTTTGTAGCCACTAGGTTGGCTCAGTAAGTTTTTCCAGGAAAGTTTGCCTGGATTGGACATAAGGGTGGCCAGCTAGGGCTGAAGCAGAACTGTGGGTCAGGTACCCCCAGAGGCTGGTTCTGATTGAGGTTGTCAGGCAACCAGGGCTGATGCATGAGTGATTCCTAATGCTGTATCTGTGGGTTCCGCTTGTGTCTCGGCTTCCACAGTCCTTGTTGTTTGAATGATCATGTAGATGCTTCTATCAATATTCTGGTAGATGGATGGGGGATGTTTAAAGACTCCAGAAAGGGAAATAGTGTCATTGAGGAGGTAGGAGAAACTTTTGGAGGTGTTATGGGAATGGGAACAGGTGATCAAGCATCCCTGTTATGCAACCTCATACCGTCCAAGGAAAGGTTTTGTTTCTTTGTGTTGCTGGAGAGCTAATGTTTATCCGGTGCTTATAATCCCATATCTGCAACTCAAAACTGAGAAAGTGGATTTGGCAGAATTCCTTTGAGTCATGTACTGCTCTATTTGAGTTCATCTGTTTGGGCATATAAAGTCCCTAGAGACAAATGTGAAGAAACAGACACATAATTTATGTTACTTTATTTCTAAGAAATAAAATGCCTGGGGCCAGGCGCAGTTGCTCACGCCTGTAATCCTAGTACTTTGGGAGGCTGAGACGGGCAGATTACGAGGTCAGGAGATTGAGACCATCCTGGTTAACACGGTGAAACCCCGTCTCTACTAAAAGTACAAAAAAATTAGCCAGGAGTGGTGGTGGGCGCCTGTAGTCTCAGCTACTCGGGAGGCTGAGGCAGGAGAATGGAGTGAACCCTGGAGGCGGAGCTTACAGTGAGCCGAGATCTCGCCACTGCACTCCAGCCTAGGCAACAGAGCGACACTCTGTCTAAAAAAAAAAAAAAAAGAAAGAAAGAAAATGCCTGGTTCTGTGGAACCTGGGTTGGTCCATGGGTTGATAGGGCAAGGTGGGAAAAGTCAACATCTTCATTTTGGGCAGGACTCTTAGATATCTGATTTCTGTCTGTTCCTCTCCGGTCTCTGGTAGAGAGGGCTTTGTAGTAGAGAGGGCTTTATACAAGAAGTTTCTTGAAGAAACTAATTCTTCAAGATTAGATTGGTTCTTCCCTGGAGACAAACACACATGGCTGACATACCTGGGAAGGTTCATAGGTTTTTGGATGCCCCATGGGAAAGTCATGCTTCTTTCTGGTCCAGTGATTCTATGGGTCATCCAGCATCCCCACTGAGTTTCCTTGTGCACATCCCGGAACCAAATAAATCAGGATCTATTTTGTGATCATTAAGATACAGAGGCAATTAATGTTATTTATGACATACTAGAAGCTGGATGACATCTTAAAGTAAATTCAGAATCATCAAAGGAAGATAAAATTGTATGTGGCTCAGCCACAATGTCAGATGAATTAATTTTATTGACTTTTTGGTAGCTGGTCCCCTAAAAGTTGTTCACTAGAAAAGCCACTTAGTCACAGACTCCATTTTACCAATTGCTAAGAACAACAGCAGTAACAAGTATAATTTGTTGAGCATTCAAGTATAATTTGTTGATACCAGCCACTGTGCCACATGCTTTGTGTACCCACGATCTCATTTCATCATTCTGGACTAACGGGAGTTTCTGATGCCACCATTAAGAAATAAATACCATAAAAGAGCTGATTCCTTCATCTCTTTGTTTGTTTACATGGCTTTTGTGAAGTCATTCCTGAAAAGGTTGATTCTTGACGTTGATGTAGCAAATGTTGACTGAATCTTCCTGCATTCTCTCAGCCCGTGCAAAGCTCTACAGGGTATATGGAGAAGGCCCCTCTTCTGCTATTTCTTTGCTCTTCATTCTTGCCCCAAATCCATGATCTCACAGTAGATTAGGGACTGCCTATATGTGAATTTGGCCCATCTTCTCCCAAAACTAGCTTTCTCTCTCACTTCCATTCAATTTCAACATAATGACAGATAGAACCAACGCCTCTTTTCTCTCTTTTGAAGAGGATGTACTTTGCACTGCTTGGAAGGAATGAGTTGTTAATTTACAGTTACTGAATGCTTATTCACATTCAGCCATCTGTTTTAAAATGTACCCGGGATCTGTTTTAATCAGGTATGGTAAGAGACACAGACATGGAAATGGCTATCATGAAGAAAGAAGCTTATACTCACAGATCCTTAGAAACAGAGGCCCAGAATGCCACACGGGGCCACACCTGGACACACTGGGTCAGGAGGCAGAAGGAAATTGAGGGGAAAGTGTGGGGAAATGTCTTTATTGTGGTTTTTGAGGCAAGGAATGGGCAAGGCAGGGTAAGCAGGTTTAGAATTGGCAGTTTGTTGTAGGCCAGGCGCGGTGGTTCACACCTGTAATGCCAGCACTTTGGGAGGCCAAGGCGGGCTGATCACTTGAGGTCAGGAGTTCGAGACTAGCCTGGCCAACATGGTGAAACCCTGTCTCTACTAAAAATACAAAAATTAGCCGGGTGTGGTGGTGGGCACCTGTAGTCCCAGCTACTCGGGAGCCTGAGGCAGGACAGTTGCTTGAATCCAGGAGGTAGAGGTTGCAGTGAGCTGAGATTGTGCCACTGCACTCCAGGCTGGGTGACAGAGGGTGACTCAGTCTCGGAAAAATATAAAAAATAGAATTGGCAAGTTTGAATAATTTTAGTGGCCTTTGGGGTGCAGGGGCTGTCCCTAGTGGTTTAATACCTGGCCCTGGATGATTAGGGCAGGGGGCCCTGTGTGAGAGTTCAAAGAGGTTGTTGGGGTGGGGTGGCGGTGAGAGGGGATAGGAAGGCCTCTTGATTGATCGGTTAACATATGAAAGGTGTACAAAGGTAAGTGGTTTTTTATCTCTAAGAATTGGCTAGCTCTAGAAGAGGAAGTCTCTCCCCAGTCAACAAGGCCCCAGATGCCAAAACATTAAGAATAAAGAAAATTAAAAAAAAGAGTCAATAGATCATCCTTTAAAATATTTATCCAAGAGACAGCGTGTATTGAGTGCCCGTTGTGTCTGGCCTTTGCGAGTCTAGACCCAGTGTGGTATTGGAGCTAGTCCTGGGTGTGTGGAGGCCCTCAGTTAATGTTTGTTCCATAAGTGCTGAATGAATGCTTCAAACTTGTGACTGGAATACATAGATGTGCCTAAATCGCTGTCTCTGCCCTCAAGGAGAATGCAGTCTAGCCTGGGAAAGAGATGCATACATATATTTATTATAACACAATCATTGCCCTATTAAAAGCCACAGTCATGTCCAAACCTACTTGTCCTAGGGTCTTTGCTACCAGAGAAAGGTGCCAGTAGCTTACCTGGCCACTTAAGCCAGAACTTGAGTGACCTTAGCACCTCGCTTGTCCCTGCCTCCCTCCCCCTTAACCTCCCCAGCCTTCAAGTTTGGTGCATTCTACCTTGTGAAGCTGTCCCTGAATTTGTCTCTTCTCCATCTCCACTGACAGTAATGAGAGATGCCATGTGGCTGTCCTCCACCAGCCCCTCCTAGAGGCCTGGTTAGAGTGGGACGTCCCCATTCCGTTGTCCTCTGTGCCACGCAGAGCCTGAGCACTAACTCAGAGCAGCTGTCACCAGCTGCTGGTGGGCATCTGGGAGGGGACAGTGCAGGAGGGAAGGCGGGAGCCCTTCCGGGGGCTTTGCCACCCAGGGAGTCTTGCTTCAGATGCTCTGTCGTCCCTGGAAACCACTGTCTCTGGAAGGAGCCTGGAGCCAGCACAAGTCCCAGGGACAAATTTGTGGTAGACAGTTTGGCTCGGCCCCTCCCAGCTCCTCTTTGCCTCTTTTCCTCGCCTCTCCTTCTCCTAATTTCCCTTGGGGCCTTCTGAAGGGGTCTGGTTTGACAGTCCTGTCAGCTCCTCCCTATAACTCATTCTTGCATTAATGGAATTTAAAGGTCACTCTTTTCGCTGGTTTTGGTGCTGTAAAAGAGCAGAGGAAGGAAGGTAAGACGCTAAGGAGGGCAGGATGCGTGTGTCAAGGAGTGACTTCCCAGTGGGGTTGGTGAGTTGGGAATCTGCTGATTTATGGAGGACAACCCTGTGTGTTTCCCAGTGCAGGGCTGTAATTTGATCTTCCATCTTCCCAGCCCAGGGTGTGGAGAATAAACTGAGGCAAGAGGCAGATGGGCCTGGGGGAAGAAGGTTTGGTAGCCAGAAGCTCCAGTCCAGGTTGCATGGTCTGAGTCTGCAGGCTCCAATTTGAGGCTGGGAGGCCTGAAAGAAAGGCATCTTAGTCTGCCTGGGCTGCCATAACAAAGTACCACAGGCCGTGTGGCTGAACAACAGACATTTATTATCCCACAGTTCTGGAGGTTGGAAGTCCAAGATCAAGGTGTTGGCAGGTTTGGTTTCTTCTGAGGCCTGTTTCCTTGTCTTGCAGATGGCCACCTTCTTGCTGTGTCTGCTTCTGTGCTTACGCATCCCTGGTATCTCTCTCTGTGTCCTAATCTCCTCTTCTTATAAAGCCACTAGTTAGGTTGGATTAGGGCCCACTGTAACAGCCTCATTTTTTTTTTTTTTTTTTTTTTTTTGAGATGGAGTCTTGCTCTGTCTCCAGGCTGGAGTGCAGTAGCACGATCTCGGCTCACTGCAACCTCCACCTCTTGGGTTCAAGTCATTCTCCTGTCTCAGCCTCCCGAGTAGCTGGAATTACAGGCGCATGCCACCACACCCAGGTAATTTTTTGTATTTTAGTTAGAGACAGGGTTTCACCACGTTAGCCAGGATGGTCTCCATCTCCTGACCTTGTGATCCGTCTGCCTTGGCCTCCCAAAGTACTGGGATTACAGGTGTGAGCCACAGCACCCTGCCTAACCGCCTCATGTTAACTCAGTGACCTCTTTAAAGACACTATCTCTAAATACAGTCACATTCTGAGGTACTAGAAGTTAGTTTCAACATATGAATTTGTGGCAGGGGTCACAATTCAGCTTGTAACAAAAGGGTAGCACGGTGTTAGGAAGGCCTTTGAATTGGTGTTCTCACAAATATTCAGGTGGCCAATAATTTGTGAGTCAATGGTGTCTATTCAATAAAATGTTGAGTCATTGGATTCCACTATATGATCTAGGAGCAACTTTACTAGCGGAAAATAGGATGCTGTGTGAAGTGTGCAATCTATTAGGTAAAATTCCAGCAAACAGAATGGGCACAGAAAAGGGGAAAACTGTGGAACTAAGCAGACTAGAGGTTTTGAGTTTTTGCTATAATACTTGCTTACTTGCACAATTATTTTTTCATCCACTGAACTTGCCGACAAAACAGTAGCAGGTGCCAGAGTTTTAAAGTTTCTGAGTGACAGCTTGAAACTGACAAAACTCCTTGTACTAAATAAATTATTTCTATATATTTGGAAAAACTCACTATTATTCAGTTTTAGCAATAGAAACATCACTAGTATTCCAAAGGAACATAGTTGGAGAATCATTAAGGGAAGCAAAATCCCTGTGTCTTCTCTAATTAGAAGATTTAGGGAACAAATAGTACTTTTCAATGATTACTGAAAGAAAGAGGACTTGAGAAGCTAATCATTTACAGTCTAGCTTCTCCATCCATTTTTTTTTCATTTAGTCATTTAATCAGCAATAATTGATTGAGGCCCTTGAATATGCATAACATTTTGCTAGAGACTAGTGATAGAGAAGTAAATGAAACTCGATCTCTGCCTTGAGGACCTCAGTTACCAGTTAAGAATTTTAGTTGCAAAACACAGAATCAACTCTAGTTGGTTTAAGCAAAGAGGTTATTTATTAAAGCAGCTCCAGCAGAGGCAGAATTGGCCTGGAAGCAAAGCAGCCAGTCCAGGCAATGCGCTGCCCCAGTGGAGATCTTTCACTCATATCAGTGCCCTGGCACCAATGCTGGATGCTGAGTACAAGACACTACTTTAACCTGCTCAGCTGTTGTCTCCTGAAGTTGGGTGTCTGTAACTGCCTTTGACAAAATGGCTTCCAGAAGACAATTGCTTCTCCACCTCTCTCTCTTCTAATTGGCAGAGCCCAGATCACGTGTCTACATCTTAGCTGCAAGGGCAGCTGGGAAAGCAAGTTTCTGGCATCTGCCTTAAAGATGTGCAGAATCAGAAGAAGGGAACTTCTGCAAATAGAATGTGGAAAGGCAATGAGTAACCAAAAAGCATAGCAGGTATCCATTCTAAGCTCCCAGTCTAATGGAATAAACAGACATACATTCAGAAACATCACAACATAGTGAAAAAAATGCTATACTCGAGGTATGCTTATGTCATGATGATATAGGGAAACTTCCCCTTTGCCTCTGAAGATTCACTGCAAATCAGCTGACAAAGGGCAGATTAATAGGAGGAAAAGAATACAAATTTATTTCACCATAGTTTTATGTGACACGGGAGCCTTCAGAATGAAGACCCAAAGATACAGGGGAAAGTGTCCATTTTCATGCTTAGGTTTAACAAAGTTTGGACCGCCATGAAGAAATATGATTGGACAAAAAGCATATGATCTAGCATGAATTGACTGAGTGGGGAAACCTAGCAAGTCCTATCTGTGTAACTTCTACTTGGCCTCTCTGTGCAGTGTTCTTTCCTCCTGGGGATGGGGCAGGACCCTCTCTGGAAGGGGAGTCTTATGACCTACAATCAAACAAGATAGGTCAGATAGTTTCTTTATGGACAGTTTTTACACAAAGGTTGGGGAGAAGGTGGGAGTTAGGGTAATATTTTTAGGTTTTATGGCTGGCTTTGAAGAATAGGGGTTCTGGTTTCTATGAACCACCTTGGGGAAAAGTCATTCTAGTTTCTGTGGGTAGCCTTGGGCTGGTGGGGGAAAACGAGAGAGGCAGAGACAACAAGGCAGGAGGAGGTTGGAGTGCGCTGCTTCCTATGCTTTCATTTTGGGTTATTTTCTGAGCCCCAACAGTGAAGACCAGTAAGGGAGTTGTTAACAGACTGGCGTGGTCAGGGAAGGCTTCCTGGAGGAGGTGATGGATGACTGAGCACATCCTGATGGATGAAGCAAGAGAGGAGCAGCTTAGAGTTAAATAAGAACAAGGACCCTCACTGTCTGACTTTAAGGTGCCTCCACAGTGAGTATGCCAGATTAGGAAAATGGAAACAGATGAAGCCAGAAGAAAAGATAGATTGGAGAGAACCCGTGTGAGAACTGCCTGGAAAGTGCTCAGGCCCTCCCCTCATAGGGCTGTCCACATAGTTGGCTTTGCTTGTGTCCTTCTCACTCCCAACTCTGTTTTCTTCAGATGTCCTAACAGGTTAGGGCTTCCAGTAGGAAATATACAGTGCCTTTTCAGAGGGGCTTTTTAGAAATGCAAAGCCTGACACCAAATAACTGCCTCTTTTTTTTTTTTTTTTTTTTTAGAAAAAGTATTAGGAAACTAATAAGGAAAGGAAAGGATAAAGTGAAACGTACAAGTCGCTCCATAACTAGCATGTATATATTTATGGGCTATCTTTAAAAAAGTAACCAACCTCAAATGCAATTAAATTATGCCTAATGCTTTGCAATTTTTTTCTGCCTTCCCTATCTTAGATTCTTAAAAAAAATGAGGCTTAGCTGTCTCAAAAAAAAAAATGAGTCTTAGCAGTGCCTTGCAGTTGTGTTTGGTCAATAAATATTTATTAATAATGAGGAGGCTGAGAATGAGGATATTTTAATGGCGGAGATCGGTTTACAGAGCTGGTATATGGGACTCTACTTCCCCCTAAATCTGTTTCTCCTCTGGATTTCCTCATCTCCATAAATTGCATCCCTTAGTAATTGGCTTAACTCAGACACATAGCCCAGCCTTCGTTCCTCCCTCTCTCACCCCACAAGCTATCCATCAGCAAGCCCTGTCTGCTCGAGCTCAACATCATCTTGAATGTCTTCTTCTCCCCAGGTGCACTGCTTCCATCCCCAAGCAAGGCTGCTCCCTCCAGCCTAGACAACCTCACATTGCTTTTCTCTAGACCGTTCTCACTGTAGCCAAATATTTCACAACAAAAATGTCTCTTTTGCATAAAACTTTCCAGTGCTGGTTTCCCATTGCTCTTAGACAAAATTCAAGGCCTTGCATGAGGCAGCCCCTCACCACACCGCACACTCTGCTCCTCCCTCTCACCTTGGCTGGCTGGCCACACTAACCTTCAAGCCATTCCTCAAGCACGCCCTTGGGTTCCTGGCTCAGGAGCTCTCCCACTGCCTGGACGGACAGCCTGCCCCCTCCCCTGGAACCCTCCCACCCTCTCCACTCTGTACAGCTGATTTCTTCTTATCTTTTATGTTTTTCCCCTTCATTTTGTTTTTATTACAGCATGTTTTCTTAATTTACAGCAAGCAGAAAATAAGCTGGGTCTTGTTTTGATCCAAACATTGATGTTTTAAAAGTTGTACACAAGATTTGTTAAAAAGAACATATAAAAATGCCTTTTTAGAAGCTTCTGCAAGAAAGAAAATACAAAGTTTAACCCCACAACTTTCCTCTTTGCTAGAACTGCAAACTACTGCTACAGTTTTTTGTGGGTTGTTTTTTTGTTGTTTTTTTTTTGAGACAGAATCTCATTCTGTTGCCCAGGCTGGAATGCTGTGGCGCAATCTCAGCTCACTGCAACCTCTGCCTCCCGGGCTCAAGCGATTCTCCTGCTCAGCTGCCCAAGTAGCTGGGATTACAGGTGCCCACCACCACACCTGGCTAATTCTTGTATTTTTAGTAGGGATGGGTTTCACCATGTTGTCCAGGCTGGTCGTGAACTCCTGACCTCAGGTGATCCACCCTCCTCAACCTCCCAAAGTGCTGGGATTACAGGCGTGAGACACCGTGCCTGGCCCACTGCCACAGTTTTAAATAGACTTTTTGTTGTTTAAACTATACATCCAGGAAAATCTAAAGAAACGTGCATATAAATGATTGCATAGCAGAACATGAACATTAACTGAAAACAGTAAAGAAATGAAAGTTAGAAATACTCTCAAATATACAAAGATTCTAGAGTCAATCCTTTAAACACATTCCGCAAACAGTATTTAAAAACCATTGTTTTGTTCTTTACAGGCGAAGCCTAGATTACTAACACCAAAACTGAAAAAAATAATCCTTTAAAAAGAATCATTTCTCCATGATAATTCTTACTTATTTCTGTAAGCAAGCAATCTGAGATTTTTTAAGATGCTAGTTTTTTGTTTTGTTTTTTTTTTCTGGAATGAGATTGGACATGTCAAGTCACTTTTGTCCCCAAAACAATCTTTCAGAGAAATACTAGAAATTATCAATGGTTAAAGGTATTACTTGTTTATTTTTAGTCAGGTATTACACTGATAACCAAAAACTCAAAAGATGTGACTCTTGCTTAAAACTGACTGATCCTTTTTCCAAAATTATTTTAAATTTCATAGCACCACAGAATCACCTAGAGTGAGAGTGTTGTCTTTCAACTTGCCTCTTATTTTATTATTATTATTATTTTTATTATTTTTTGAGACGAAGTCTCGCTCTTGTCACCCAGGCTGGAGTGCAATGGCGCGATCTTGGCTCAGTGCAACCTCCGCCTCCCCAGTTCAAGTGATTCTCCTGCCTCAGCCTCCCGAGCAGCTGGGATTACAGGCGCCCACCACCACGCCTGGCTAATTTTTGTATTTTTAGTAGAGACGGGGTTTCACCATGTTGGCCAGGCTGGTCTCGAACTCCTGATCTCAGGCGATCCGCCCACCTCGACCTCCCAAAGTGCTGGGATTACAGGTGTTAGCCACCGTGCCCAGCCCTCAACTTGCCTCTTTTTGAATAAACTGAGGTGTGAAAGGCAAGCCTCTCTCATGAAGAGGCAGGAAATTTTGATATAAATGCACAGGCCAAGTGCTGTAAACATCAAAATTTCAATTCTTTTACACAGTGCACACACACACACAGAACCTACTTTGAAACAATTTACTTGCTTCTAACAGCTGTAAAAAAACTAAGCAATATTATGGTCAACAATACTCCTTAAACTTTAGCGTAACTTCATAGGAACATTATTTTCCCCTTACAATCCTTTTGGCCATCATCAACCTGCTCAAATTTTAAGGTGAGCTTTTGTGATGTTTTCTATGTTCCAAATCTTCATGGGAACCAGAAAAAAGTCATGAAGTCTCCATGTTTCAGTCAAAGACTCCATCTCCCTAAAAGGCCGGGCGCAGTGGCTCACGCCTGTAATCCCAGCACTTTGGGAGGCCGAGATGGGCGGATCACCTGAGGTTGGGAATTCGAGACCAGCTGACCAACATGGAGAAACCCCGTCTCTACTAAAAATACAAAAATTGGCTGGCCATGGTGGCGCATACCTGTAATCCCAGCTACTCTGAAGACTGAGGCAGGAGAATCGCTTGAACCCGGGAGGTGGAGTTTGCAGTGAGCCGAGATCGTGCCATTGCACTCCAGCCTGGGCAACAAGAGTGAAATTCCGTCTCAAAAAAAAAAAAAAAAAAAAAAAACTCCCTGAAAATACTGTGTAACCCAGTTGGCATCATTCCCCAAGACAGTGGGGTTAACAAAAAAACAAATCCACGCTGCATCATAAATAATGATCATGGGCCTAGACATCTTGACAAGACATAAAGGTCCACCCTGAACCTAAATGCATCTGGCCAGTCAGTGTTGTACTGTGGCTACCACCTCACTTTTGTATCATTCTGTCTTATTAGCAAGCTACATTTCTAGGTTAGCGGTTCTACCAAATATGAATATGAAAGTTTATTTTTAATAAGACAGTGTTGCAAATTATGGTCAACTAACATCTTTTCACCAAATACTTCAAGCATAAAACATGAGAATTTTTATAGAAATATACAGAGACACCACAAATTGGTAGCTGTCCATGACATTAAACAAACTGGACTCCTAAGAGTGGCTTCTCAGCCAGGCACGGTGGCTCACATCTGTAATCCCAGCATTCTGGGGGGCTAAGGCGGATGGATCACCTGTGGTCAAGAGTTCGAGACCAGCCTGACCAACATGGAGAAACCCCATCTCTACTAAAAATACAACAAAAAAAAATTAGCCAGGCGTGGTGGCACACGCCTGTAATCCCAGCTACTTGGGAGGCTGAGGCAGGAGAATCACTTGAACCCGAGAGGCGGAGGTTGTGGTGAGCCAAGATCATGCCATTGCACTCCAGCCTGGGGGACGAGAGCAAAACTCCATCTCAAAAAAAAAAAAAAAAAAAAGAGTGGCTTCTCAACAGCATATTGTTTTAATTATAACCATTGCCTGATACAGGGAAAACTAACAAGTGTTTTTTAAGCATCATTGCAACATTGTATTCCTGATAATTTAAGTAAATAAAACTATGAGTAAATGAATGATCCATGTCTAAAAATGATCATGGTTTATACTACCAGGGGCCACTGGACTTAGGACTAGTCCAAGACCTTGATCTAGATTTTGACCTAGACCTAGACTATGATCTTGACTGAGATTTGGATCTAGGTGGTCCTTTTTTCCTTGATTCCTTTTCATATCTTGAGCCAGACTTGTAATGTGCTTTGGAATCTGTTTTTAGAGATGCCTCTAGTTTTGGTATGAGATGCAGGCCTGCAACGTGATTTAGCCTTCATTTCTTTCTTGGGCTGGGACTTGGACCGTGATCTTGATTTGGATTTAGATCTTGAAAAAGATCCACTTTGGTGTTTGAATCTCTCATTGCCGGAATGGCTTCTGCTACGCCGTGGTCTTCCAGTTGGTCTTTTTCTAGGACTATACAATCTCTTCTCACAGGGCCGTTCCTCCAGCTGCCTGGGTCTCCACTCTCTGCCGCATGCGTAACAGATGATGAAATAGGCAGTCTTGGATACTCCTGGGTCTTCCCTGCAGATGCATAATGGAGTAGAAAGCGTGCTGAACCGAGAAGGCAGGAGCACAGCTCTGGAGCCCTACTGCCTCCCCTTGGCTGTGTAACTTGGGGAAACTCACTCCGTCCTGAGCCTGCCTTTCCTTATCTGTAGATTGTGAGGAGAAGTGCCTGCTCTGAGTTAACTTCCAGGGCCAGGGAGTGATGCTTGCACATGCCGTTGCCACCTTTTTATGCGTACAGTAGTAGTATATTACCCAGCATGGGCCGGGCGCGGTGGCTCACGCCTATAATCCCACCGCTTTGGGAGGCCAAGGCAGGCAGATCACCTGAGGTCAGGAGTTCAAGACCAGCCTGGCCATCATGGTGAAACCCTGTCTCTCCTAAAAATACAAAAATTAGCTGGGTGTGGTGATGCATGCTTGTAATCCCAGCTACTCAGGAGGCTGAGGCAGGAGAATCACTTGAACCCAAGAGGTGGACGTTGCAGTAAGCCAAGATTGTGCCATTGCACTTCAGCCTGGGAGACAAGAGCGAAACTCCATCTCCAAAAAAAAGTATATTACCCAGCACGCGTAGGTTTCATTTGGGAAGAGGAGGATCAACTTGAAGATGAGAAACCCAGATCAAAGTTGCCTGGACAAAGTTTTTGTACCCCTCAGCAGATCTGGGAGGATTGCAGGAGGACAGAGGGTGGGCAGGGCCGGCCTGGGCTTAGACCTGGGGAAGACCATCCTATTTGAGGCTTTGACCTGTACACTCCACTGTGTTCTAGAGCACAAGTTTGGCCCAGAAAGCTATCTACCATTCAGATAGTAAGGAGCTGTAATAGGCCGTTGTCCCATTGCTATAAAGAAATACCTAAGACCGGGTAAATTATAAAGAAAAGAGGTTTAATTGCCTTGTAGTTCTGCAGGCTTTACAGGAAGCATGGTGCCAACATCTGCTCAGCTTCTGGGGGGCCTCAGGGAGGCCTTTACTCATGGCAGAAGGTGAAGCGGAAGCAGGCACTTCACATGGCAGGAGCATGCGAGAGAGAGAAAGGGTGGGGGTGCCACACAATTTTAAACGACCAGATCTTGCAAGAAGAGCTCACTCACTATCACGAAGACAGCACCAAGCCATGAGCGATCCACCCCCACCGTCCAAACACCTCCCACCAGGCCCCACCTCCAGCGCTGGGGATTACATTTTAATATGAGATTTCAGCAGGAACAAATATCCAAGCTATCTGAAGAGCCAAGTGAGAAATTCCTTGCCAAGAATAGGCATGAGCTTGATGGCTGCTTGACTTGGACTGTATTTCTTCATCTTGGTGAGATGCCTTTTGGGCCACTGTGAGAGTGGGGTTGGTTGAAATTCTTCTTTCCTCCAATACTACCTCCCACTGCAAATATACCAGCCTGCATATAATGAAGCTGGGCTCTTGCTATAAGGTCACATGGCCGGGCGCGGTGGCTCACGCCTGTAATCCCAGCACTTTGGGAGGCCGAGGCGGGCGCATCACCTGAGTTGAGACCAGCCATGGTCAACATGGTGAAACCATGTCTCTACTAAAAATACAAACAATTAGCCGGACATGGTGGTGGGCACCTGTAATCCCAGCTCCTCAGGAGGCTGAGGCAGGAGAATCGTTTGAGCCCGGGAGGCAGAGGTTGCAGTGAGCCGAGATCGTGCCATTGCACTCCAACCTGGGCAACAAGTAGCAAAGCTCAATCTCAAAAAAAAAAAAAAAAGAAAGGCCGGGCGCGGTGGCTTCACCTGTAAACCCAACACTTCCGGAGGCCGAGGCGGGCGGATCACGAGGTCAGGAGATGCGAGACCGTCTTGGCTAACACGGTGAAACCCCGTCTCTACTAAAAATACAAAAAATTTTGCCGGGTGTGGTGTGGGCCCCTGTAGTCCCAGCTACTCAGGAGGCTGAGGCAGGAGAATGGTGTGAATCCAGGAGGCAGAGCTTGCAGTGAGCCAAGATCGCACCACTGCACTCCAGCCTGGGCCACAGAGCCAGACTCTGTCTCAAAAAAAAAAAAAAAAAAAGATCAGGCAGAAGACCGTCGCTGACCACCTATGGGCATGTGCTATAGTTGCAAAGAAGTCGAAAATTTCTTCTCTGATTCTAAAGCATGATTTCTCAGCATTATTGACATTTTGGGTGGGGTGATTCTTTGTTTGGCTGGGGTGAGGGACTTGGCAGCATCTTCTGGCCTCTATGCACTAGATGCCAATAGCACAGCACTCCCCCATGTCCCCATTACACAGACACACATGACCACTGAGTATGTCTCCAGATATTGCCAAATGTCCCCCTGGGAGCAAAATCACACACACACCCCTTGAGAAATGCTGCCCTAAGGAGAGTATTTTTCTCTACTTACATGTATTCCTGTGAATAAATCCTTGTTACATTAAAAAAAAGAATTTGGAAGAGGAGAAAAGGAGAAGGAGTGGCGTATTTTAAGCTGAATGTAAAACCCAAATGCTCTTATGCAAGTCATCTGGCTGTCTAGATGTTGAAGGGCACTTGATTTTGGATGCTCCTTGCGAGTGCTAATGGTGGTGGGGCAAAGATGATAGTGACCACATTCGATCTGATGCTTCGTTATAGCTTTGATCTAGCCTAGGAAAATTCAGAGAGTTACATGCTTCTTGGTTGCACAGATTTGTTTACCCACGGACATTTGTTGCAATGGCCATGAAATGATATTTCATTTATAAAATGACTAAGAGAGTTGTTGGGAGGATTGAAATGATGTATGCAACAAAGTTGGCGTCCTATTCATAGCTATTTTATGCATCATTATTGATTAATTTCTATTCCATGTGGTATTTTTATTATACCTATTATGCAATGTGCATCTTGTTTATTTTATTTTATTTTATTTGAGACAGAGTCTCTCTCTCTCTCTGTCACCTAGGCCGGAGTGCAGTGGCACAATCACAACTCACTGCAACCTGTGCCTCCTGGGTTCAGGCGATTCTTGTGCCTCAGCCACCAGAGTAGCTGGGATTACAGGCTGAGCCACCGCGCCCGGCCGCAATGTGCATCTTCTATGGTCTATTAGTATATGTATTAATCAAATGAGATACATAGCCTTACATGAAAGTGATCGAAATCTTTTTTTTTTTTTTTTTTTTTGAGACAGAGTTTCAGTCTTGTTGCCCAGGCTGGAGTGCAATGGTGCGATCTCGGCTAACTGCAACCTCCGCCTCCTGGATTCAGGCAGTTCTTAGCCTCCCGAGTAGCTGGGATTACAGGTGCCCGCCACTACACCCGGCTAATTTTTGTATTTTTAGTAGCGACGGGGTTTCACCATGTTGGTTAGGCTGGTCTCAAACTCCTGACCTCAGGTGATCCACCCGCCTCGGCCTCCCAAAGTGCTGGGATTACAGGCATGAGCCACCGTGCCCGGCCGAGAGATAGAAATCTTACATGATCCTCACAATCACCCTGCAAAATAGGTGGCACCATGCCCACTTTACAGATGGAAAAGTGAGATTTGGAAAGACTTAGTATGTTGCTCAGATCACACTGCCTGTATAGGGTGGGAATGGTGTTTGAACTCAGAGTGTTCTACTTTCTAGACCTGCCTTTTTTCTACTACCCTGGAAGGAATGTGAGGTTAGGAGTTAGAGGACTGTCCTTAGCTTTTTTTGTCCATCCACCAACTTCAGAACAATCTTTTTACCTGAGGGTTGTTTTTACAAAATGAGTGTATCTGTTTATGATATACATGACTTTTCTACCCAAAGAACTGACAGACTCCAAGAGGACAGAGAGTGTATCTTGTGATTCTTTGTATCTCAAGAGTCATACCTAGAGTTACTTCTGTTGTTTTGTTTTGTTTTGTTTTGTTTTGTTTTGAGACTGAATCTTGCTCTGTCACCCAGGCTGGAGGGCAGTGGTGCGATCTCGGCTAACTGCAACCTCTGTCTCCTGGGTTCAAGCAATTCTCCTGTCTCGGCCTTCTGAGTAGCTGGGATTACAGGCACATGCCACCACGCCCAGCTAATTTTTGTATTTTTAGTAGAGACAGGGTTTCGCCATGTTGGCCAGGCTGGTCTTGAACTCCTGACCTCAGGTGATCTGCCTGACTCAGCCTCCCAAAGTGCTGGGATTACAGGTGTGAGCCACTGCGCCCAGCCCAGAGTTAGTTATTAATAACTATTTGCTGTTTAATTTTCCTGACTCCTATGTACTTCTAGCAAGATTTAGTGTTTGAGGAGTAAAAACTCTTCGTGCTTCTTAAGGGGTGGAAATTCTGTCTTGTAGGTAGGTTAGCTCCAGGAGTGAATGATTTCTTGTTGCCCTCTAATTTTAGAGCCCATGAGGAGCAGCTGTTAAAACAGTACTTGAGTCAGTATTGCCACATCATGCACACATCAATTACTATTTCCACAGGACCTAACTGTATTGTCTATGAGAGGCAGAGTACATGTGATTTTGCAAGGAATTGTATCTCTGTTAAGATGGGCCACAGGAGAGGGTCGGCCCTCCAGCCTCCACTCCGCCATAAGGACAAGTCAGCCAAGGAATAAATAAATACTCCAGGAAACCAAGCCACCAGGAGTTTGTGTGTGTGTGTGTGTGTGTGTGTGTGTGTGTGTGTGGTGTGTGTGTGTGTGTGTAAGGGAGTTGGGGTGGAGGAGAAATCTCTACTAGGTGAATAGCTACAGAGTCCTCCCACACAACAGACCTAGGGGATCAGTATTTTCAGGACGGTCTTGGAATGAGTCTCAAAATGAGAAAGTCACCAGCTTTATCATGAGATGGATGGTGAAATTATTTACATTTTAAAACATTTGATACATTATTGGTTTAAGAGGAAAAAGAAGCTTTGATTCAAGGAATCAAAGGGTGGATATTTGGGTGATAGTTCTCTTGGCCAAGCCAGTTGCTGAATCTGCCTAAATGAAATAATTGATTTTGAGGCCTTTAAATATTATTGTGTCTTCTCAAGGTTGTATGTGTCATAATTGGTCCAAAATGAATTTCTTTGCTTAATTTCTAGTTAAAGCGAAAATACTTCTCATGCCTCTGTTTGAGCTCCCAAGGTATTTGCAAGCCTAAATTGCTTGGCCTTTTGACTTGCAAGTGGTTAATTTATTTCTACCTCTCCTGTTTCCAGCCTGCAGTTTGGGTATTCAGAGGCTAAAGAGCCTTTTCAGGGTGTCTGGTATTTTTGTTGATGTTGTTTTGCTTTGTTTTACATTTCCAAATCCAGGAAACGGCTGTGGTTAAGAGGTTAAGAGGCCCAGAATGATAGGGCTCCCATATTTACCAGGCAACCATGGTACCCAGCGCAGCACAGAGCCTGCTTACTCAGGATTGGTTTTATTTATATTTTTTTAAATTGAGGTAAAATTAACCATTTTAAAGTGTACAATTCAGTGGCATTTAGTATGTCCGCAATGTTGTGCAACTGTCTGTGTAATTCCAAAACATTTTCATCATCCCTCAAAAGAGACCCTGTATCCATTAAGCGGTCACTCGCTATTGGCCCCTCTGCAGCTCTTGGCAACCACTAAGCTGAACCCTGTGTCTATGGATATAACTCTTCGGGATGGTTTATATAAGTGAAATAATACAACCTTCTGTGTATTATTCCACTTATATGTATTCTGTGACCTTCTGTGTCTGGCTTCTTACGCTTAGCATAATGTTGTCGTCTGTGTTGTAGCACGTATCCCAACCTTCATTTCTTTATATGGCCAAATAGTATTCTATCATGTGGATGCACCACATTTTGTGTATCCATTCATCTGTTGATGAACATTTGGGCTGTTTCTACCTTTTGACTACTGTCAACACTGTTTTGTTACTATGAACATCCATGCTGAGTATTTGTTTGAATAACTTATCAGTTCATTGGGGCATATACTTAAGAGTGGAATTGCTCAGTCATATGGTTATTCTGTGTTTACCTTTTTGAGGGCTCAGCGTTGGTTTCAGTGGTTTAGCTCCTGGGCTGCCATTAGGGCCATTAGAGGAGCTTTGCTAGGATCATGAAATCTGAGCATTAGAAAGAACCTTAAAAATCATGTAATCTGTCTTCTCACCCATCACAGGAAGTCTGTCTGGAACAAACCTTGTAGAGGCCCCTCATCCTCTACATGCGTAATTCTGGAGCAGAGGAGGGGCGCCTTACCTCCCAAGCCTGGCTATCCTGTCTATAGCTAGCCTGACCTGATGGCTTGCCCTAGTTCTGCCCTACAGAGAAGCTTTTTTAAACCTGGAATCCATGGACTCTTAGGGCTTATCCACAGATGAGCTTCAGTGTGGAGAGGTGGGGTAAGAGTTTGTAACTTTCATTACTGAGGGGTCCCTGACCACATTTTGAGGTGACTCAATGATGTCATCTCTTTGTCCTATCCATGAGCTTTTTGCAGGTTTGCTAGCAAACTGTTGCCTGATTGATGGTTGTTCTCTGCTCACCTTTGACCTCAGATGCAAAGACCGGCACAGGGAGATGTTTTCTCAAATGCCCACCTCTAAGAGGATGGAGCCCAGGCCAGAAGGCTGAGCAGAAGGAGGTGGGAGGCCAAAAAACATGGCAGGTCCCTCACATGGGCCCCACTGCCTGTGAACTTGGCCACCTGTGGTTTACTGCAGATGCTTGAAAGAATTTGCTATCTAAGAGATTGTTTCCTTGGAGAAGGCCATTTCTAAGAGAGCTGAGAAGGTCCTTGAAAGTTCCATAATTTATGATGTTCATAGAGTAGGGAAAATATCAGGAGCAGCTTTTTATTTTTATTTTACTTTTTGAGACAGAGCCTCACTCTGTCACCCAGACTGGAGTGGAGTGGTATGATCTCAGCTCACTGCAATCTCTGCCTCCTAGGTTCAAGCAATTCTCCTGCCTTAGCCTCCTGAGGAGCTGGGATTACAGGCAGGAGCCACCACGCTCCGCTAATTTTTGTATTTTTAGTAGAGACAGGGTTTCGCCATGTTGGCCAGACTGATCTTGAACTTCTGACCTCAGGTGATGCGCCTGCCTCGGCCTCCCAAAGTGCTAGGATTATAGGCGTGAGCCACCGCGCCCGGCCGGGAGCAGCTTTTTAAATAAACTTTTTATTGAATTATAATATGCACACAGAAAAGGGCACAATCACAATATAGTACAAGCCGTGATTCCATTTATGTGAAGTATCAGAACAGGCCAAACTTACCTGTGCTGTTAGAATTCGGGGTGGGTTACCTTCCAGTGGATAGTGCCTGGAAGGGAGTACAGGGGCTGCCCTGGGGTGCTGGTGATGTTCCAATTCTTGATGGGAACAACGCTTTGTGATTTAACAGAATTTCAAACCGTATTTAGCATGCATCAAACTGAGGATGAAAAAATCCTGGGGGTTCAAATGGTTGACAGCTAAGGCTTGTGCTTTGGGGATATCTTTCGTTTCTGTCTTTCTGGCATCTTTCCCCCGTTCTCTTGCTTTGGAGCTCATTCTTTCTCACTCTCAATCCACGTGCTGCGTGTGGTCTGACCCACACTCTGGTCCCAGGAGCAGGCAGAAAACTCAGGGACTGGCTAAGTGATAGGCACATGATCCAAGTCAGACAATGAGTCTATTCTGGGACTTTTTCTGGAACCAGTGTGAAAGAGGCACATGCTCTCAGCTGGGGTTTCCAAGCTGGTACGATAGAAGCTTTGCCTTCTGGTGGCCGTCTTTACTCCCATGTGCAGAGTGCCAACTGGGAACGAAGCCAGTACATTCAGAAAAGTCGCGATTCCTGGTGACAGTATATGCAGATCCAGCTGTGTTGAGAGCTATCGCCGTTCCTGTAATGCAGGAAGATCCAAACTGTTTTCTCCTACTATCCTCTCACTCAACACAACACAGAACACTTCTGTAACCAGATATGGGGATTTCTTCATACACATGAATTCTCCAGTGGGCACCAACTAGGTGTCTTGCAATTTAATTCAATTCTGACACTGTCTACCTGGAGTTACCATCAGACCTCACAGGTTAAGCGCACAGTCTCCCAAAGACTTTTCCCATTTCAGATACCAATATGAAGTCCCAGGTTTTCGCCAGTACTTCTGACTGACCAGCTGTAAAATCAGAATTTCCAAAACCCCCTTCTTGGGTTCCATAATTTGCTGCAATGGCTCACAGAACTCAGGGAAATACTTATGTTTACAGTTTATTGTCCAGTGAAAGATAGGATAAAGGATACAGATGAACAGCCAGATGAAGAGATGCATAGGGCGAGGTATGGGGGAAAGGGTGCAGGACTTCCATACCCTCTCGGGGTGTTCCACTCTCCTAAAAAAACCTCTGAATGTTCAGCAATCTGGAAGTACTCCAGACCCTGTCATTTTGTTGTTGTTGTTGTTTTGTTTTGTTTTTTGAGATGGAGTCTCGCTCTGTCTCCCAGGCTGGAGTGCAGTGATGTGATCTCAGCTTACTGCAGCCTCTGCCTCCCGGGTTCAAGCGATTCTCCTGCCTCAGCCCCTTGAGTAGCTGGGATTACGGGCACCCGCCACCACACCCAGCTAATTTTGTATTTTTAGTAGGGACAGGGTTTCACCATGTTGGCCAGGCTGGTCTCGAACTCGTGACCTCAGGTGATCCACCCACCTCAGCCTCCCAAAGTGCTGGGATTACAGGCATGAACCACCATGCCTAGCCCATTTTGGGTTTTTATAGAGGCCTCATTATGAGGCTTGATTGACCTTTGGCTTCATTGACCATTGGTGACCAACTCCAGCTTCAGCCCCTCTCCCCTCCCCAGAGTTTGGGAAATGGGGCTGAAAGTACCCAATCACGAGATTGGTTTCCCTGAAAACCAGCCCCCATCCTACAGCTATCCAGGAGCCCTCAGCCACCAGTCATCTCATTAGCATAAGAAAAAACATTTATCATTTCAGAGACTTCAAGCGTTTTAGGAGCTATGCCAGCAACGAAGAGCAAATATGTATTTCTCATTGTAAATGACAATATCACAATTCCTCGAGGATTTTTTGTTTACATGCATCAGTAAATTCCTTTGTCTGTCTCTGCCCTTCAGAATGGTTGCTATCCCTTGGCTTCAAGGTTCTGACTACATAAAGAGATTCATTTCTCGGTCAGGTCAGTTGGAACTGCTAATATACTTGCCCAGCGTTGAACCCTCCACTGCATCTCTCAGCCTCTTCATGAGCCGTGGAGCGTGGATATGATGGCAGCTCAAGATTGGTGGGAGAGTGCAGGAGAAGGGGAGGGCTTCAGAAGTAGCTGGTGGGTTGGAGGGATGAGCTGAAGGGGCTGGTTCTGAAATTGTGTTCGCACAGCTCACGCACTATTTTTGCCTAGTGTGTTTATTTGGGATGGTGTGGTGGGGGCACTTCGTGCTGTCACTGGGTCACTGCTGCCTCCTATTCTCCTGGTAGTTGGATCTCGATGCTTTTTTAAAATCTGTAAGATAAAAGTGTAAGAGATGAGAGTATGTAGCTTGATGGGAGCTTACCATCTGGTAAAGCTAACCAAGAAGAGCCCAATAATGACCTTCCATGACCCATTTGTAAACTCTGTATTTTAAAATATTCCAGGCTGGGTGCAGTGGCTCATGCCTGTAATCCCAGCACTTTGGGAGGCCAAGGTGGGGTGGATCACCTGAGGTCAGGAGTTCGAGACCAGCTTGGCAAACATGGCGAAACCCCATCTCTACTAAAAATACAAAAATTAGCCTGATATGCACCCGGGCTCAGTGGCTCACCCCTGTAATCCCAGCACATTGGGAGGCCAAGGCGGGCAGATCACGAGGTCAAGAGATCGAGATCATCCTGGCCAACATGGTGAAACCCCGTCTCTACTAAAAATACAAAAATTAGCTGGGCACGGTAGCATGCGCCTGTAGTCCCAGCTACTCGGGAGGCTGAGGCAAGAGAATTGCTTGAACCCGGAAGGCAGAGGTTGCAGTGAGCCAATATCGCACCACTGCACTCCAGCCTGCGGGATAGAGTGAGAATCTGTCTTAAAAAACAAAACAAAACAAAAAAAACTCCAAATTATATAGAGCACAAAGGAATTCTAAGGTGACAGTTTTCAGAATACAGCTGTTAAGGTGGTCCTATCTGGGGGCAGAGGGATGCAGTAAATAAAAATCATCTAAAACGGAGGTAATGCTAACAGTATCTTGTGTTTTGCTATGCAGTTTTCAGCTATTCACTGGGTGGAAAATATTCTTCAATAAAATATTTGATGACTTGAGGCAACTTTGTCAGTAAACATAAAAAAGAATATCATTAAAATAATCAATAGGCTTCCTTATTTTTGGCTTATCTTCCTGTCACTGCTCGCGTTCTGCCTGGAAGTCTGCACAGGGCTCGTGGGTGCTACGGCAGTGTATGAGGATCTGTTACAGGCTCGGCTGTGAAAGCCACTCAATAAGGACCTGTTGGCTTGACCTAGTTTGATGCAGGTTTTCTGCACTGAATCCACAAGTCTACCAACAGCCCATAATCTTGTTTCAATTTATCATTCTACCTTCTTGACCCATTTGCCCACGCTAATGTGAACAAAGAAAACATTTCACTAAATCTACAGGAATAAATATTTTAGATCTTAAAACTGTTTATGCAGATGGAACTACATATTCTTATAATACTGAAAAGTTTAGAGATGAGCACTGGTTAATTGCCTTATTTTATTGGCGAGGGGAAGTGGCTTGCCAAATCAGTGGCAGAATAAGGTTAGACCTCAGATCTATGGTGCTGCCTAACCTGAAGGTATGGCCACTGATAGTGTGGATATTTGTCCCAGCCCAAATCCCCAATGTTGGAGGTGGGGCCTGCTGGGAGGTGTTTGGATCATGGGGGCAGATCTATCATGAATGACTTGGGCCATCTCCTTGGTGATAAGTGAGCTCTCACTCGGAGTTCACACAGGATCTGAGATCTGGTGGTTTAAATGTGTGTGGCACCTCCCCCCAATTCTCTTTCCCTTACTCCCATTTTCACCATGGGACGTGCTTGCTCCCACTTCGCCTTCCACCATGAGGCCTCCCCAGAAGCAGATGCCAGCACTATGCTTCCTATACAGCCTGCAGAATCATGAGCCAATTAAACCTCTTTTCTTTATAAGTTACCCAGACTCAAGTATTTCTTTATAGCAATGCAAGAATGACCTAATATGCCCACTTACACCTTAGCACTGGGGTGGATGCAGCCATTTTATGGAATGTCAGAGCAGTCTACTTCTTTTTTTTTTTTTTTTTTTTTTTTTGAGATGGAGTCTCGCTGTCTCCCAGGCTGGAGTGCAGTGGCGCCATCTCGGCTCACTGCAAGCTCCGCCTCTCAGGTTCACGCCATTCTCCTGCCTCAGCCTCCTGAGTAGCTGGGACTACAGGCGCCCACCACCACGCCCAGCTAATTTGTTGTATTTTTAGTAGAGATGGGGTTTCACCGTGTTAGCCAGGATGGTCTTGATCTCCTGACCTCGTGATCCGCCCGCCTTGGCCTCCCAAAGTGCTGGGATTACAGGCGTGAGCTACCGCGCCCGGCCAGAGCAGTCTACTTCTTATAGGGAAAGGATCTGAGGCCAGTCCTGCTACTGTACAGCGTTCACACTAATGTACATATCCTCAAGAGATGCTAAATGGGGACCAGAATGGCCATAGGTCATTCAATAACTTCACTTTTAGCTGTTGTTACAAATTCCTCCTCCTGTATGTGGCTTATCGGAGTGGCTAAAATAATGCAGATGTCCTCTTGAGGTTTCATCTCCTTTCTTCTCCTTCCTCTGGTGGGGAGGCTGGAGAGCAGTAGTATCCAGAAGGAAAATGTGCCAATAATTTCTAGCTGGATAAATCTGCTTTAAAACTGTATCATGACTACTTAGAATGAAATAAGCACTTGTTCCGGGCTCTTTATAGAGCAGGTGTCCTGCACAGTGCTTATGTGGATTATTTCATTAATTCTCATAAGAACCGTATGAAACAGACATTGCTACTAGCCCTACTTTTCTGATGAGGAAACTGAGGCTCAGAGATGTGAAGTAACCTGCTCAGGGCCACCCAGGTCTGCCTAAGTGCAAGCTTCAATCACCATGGAAGACAACAGACCTGAAGGGTAGCAGTGAAAATTACATTTTTGGAATGTTCGAGAGATCACAAGATATGAAATCTACAATGTATTCAGATCATGGGAATTTTTCCCAGAATCGTTTCGTTCCAGAGAGCTGAGAAAATGATAGCGCACCTCACCACACATGGAGTCCTCAGCTTTAACCTCAGACTTTCTCACAACTGCCCAGTCTGATAACGGAAATTCTTCACCTGCAGTGAGTGGAAATCTTGATGATCCTTGGAGGGGCTTCTGGGTGGCCAGCCGTGTATTGTTGCTTGGTTGTGCTTTTAGGGTTGTCTGGCTTGTGTGGGTGCTGGGTTTGTCGGTGCAGAGAGCACAGCTGGTTCCAGGCTGGCTTCAGAAGGCTGCAGGCAGATTCCTGGGGAGAGGGTGACACTATAGCGCCAGTTCTTCTTACAGCCTTGTTCTGCACTTTCTAAAAATATTCCTGACAAACAGCTAATGGGCATTTTGGCCATTCTATTGCCAAACTATTGCTGCCATTTCAAATGGAATGCTTCTCCTTCAAGCCTGTTCATCTTGACTTATATGATGGGGATAGATTCATCCGTTTCATGGGACTTCACAACAGCCCACTCACCAGAGGCTCTTTGAAAACAATCAAGTGCATTTTTGCCTCTTTTAGAAAATGTTGCATGTTTATTTCTAGTCAAAAATAAATGAAATGAAATGAAATGAAATAAAAGCTTCATTGGGAAGAACACAGCTGCAGTTATTGCCTAAGTATCGTTTAGCGATACACAAGGAGAGGGAGCCCCATCTCTTTAGAAAAGTGGTTGTTTCTGAAGTTAAGGAAGACTAAGGGGCAAATACAGGATTTTTAAATATATATAGATTTTTTTTTTTTTCAGACACAGTCTTGCTCTGTCGCTCAGGCTGGAGTGCAGTGGCACCATCTCCGCTCACTGCAACCTCCGCTTCCTGGGTTGAAGCAATTCTCCTGCCTCAGCCTCCTGAGTAGCTGGGACTACAGGTGTGTGCCACCATACCTGACTAATTTTTGTATTTTTAGTAGTGATGGGGTTTCACCATGTTGGCCAGGCTGGTCTTGAACTCCTGACCTCAAGTGATCCACCCACCTTGGCCTCCCAATGTGCTGGGATTACAGGCGTGAGCCACCACACCGGGCCAAATATGCACAATTTTAATGTAAGTGGCTACTGCCTTTTTTGGAAGGCATGTGTGCAATATGTGCAAAGAGTCTCAAAATGCATGCCCTGTCAACACATGATTCGTTGTCTTTAAATACATCCTGCAGAACTAATAGGAAATAAAGACAATTTTTTATTCATCAGAGCATCATTTATGGTAGCAAAAAAAAATGGGCCATAACCTAAATTCTCAACAATAGAATTAGCAGAATAAATTATGTTGATCCATTTGTTGTAGTATTATATAGTTATTAAAATGTCAGTCTTTGAAGAATGATAATTATATGATAAAATGTTTAAGATAAAAGAAGGGAAGATATGAGGAGACTTCAAAAAGTTAGCAGAAAATGGGATTAAAAGATAAAAATAAAAAAAAGATAAACTTTATTTCCCAACAGGAACTCCATCAAATTCAAGACACTATTGTAAGCCATGATACCAGCCATTTAATTCCTCCCTAAAGAGCTGAAGGTCTTGGATATTTAACCATGTCACAGCTTTTCAGTGTATTATCAAATGAAGAAACATGGATGCCCTCTAAAGGTATTTTTAAGATTAGGAAACAAGAAGTCAGAAGGAGCCAAATCAGAACTGTAGGGTGGATGCCTAATGATTTTCCATTGAAACTCTCACAAAATTGCCCTTCTTTGATGAGAGGAAAGAAGAGGAGCATTATTGTGGTGATGAAGGACTCTGGTGAAGCTTTCCTGGGTGGTTTTGTGCTAAAGCTTTGGCCAACTTTCTCAAAATACTCTCATAGTAAGCAGATGTTATTGTTCTTTGGCCTTTCAGAAAGTTAACAAACAAATGCCTGGAACATCCCAAAAATCTGTTCCCATCTTTTCTCTTGACCCATCTGCTTTTGCTTTGGCTGGACCACTTCCACCTCTCGGTAGCCATTGCTTTGATTGTGCTTTGTCTTCAGGATTGTACTGGTAAAGCCATGTTTCTTCTCCTGTTGCGATTCTTCAAAGAAATGCTTCAGGATCTTGATCCTACATGTGTAAAATTTCCATTGAAAATTCTGCTGTTGGCTGGGTGCGGTGGCTCAAGCCTGTAATCCCAGCACTTTGGGAGGCCGAGGCGGGCAGATCACAAGGTTAGGAGATCGAGACCATCCTGGCTAACATGGTGAAACCCCATCTCTACTAAAAATCAAAAAAAAAAAATTAGCTGGGCATGGTGGCAGGCGCCTGTAGTCCCAGCTACTCAGGAGGCTGAGGCATGAGAATGGCGTGAACCCGGGAGGCGGAGCTTGCAGTGAGCCGAGATCTTGCCACTGCACTCCAGCCTGGGTGACAGAGCAAGACTCCGTCTCAAAAAAAAAAAAAAAAAAAAAAAAAAAAAAAAAATCTGCTGTTGTCTGCAGCTGACCTGGGCTTAAGGGTTTTGGTACCCACTGACTGGAGAGTTTGCTCAACTTTAATTTTTCAGTCAGAGCTGTATAAGCTGAACCAATTGAGAAGTCTATGATCTTGGCTATTGTTTGTGGTGTTAACTCTTGGTCCTCTTCAATTAGGGCAAGAACAAGATGAATTTTTTCCCTTGCAAATTGGTGTGCATGGTTCACCACTGCAGGCTTCATCTTCAGCATTGTTTCATCCCTTCTTAAAAATGAGTTATCTATTTGTAAACTGCTCATTTCTTTGGGGCATTGTCCTCGTAAACTTTTGTAAAGCATCAATGATTTCACCATTCTTCCACTCAAGCTTTACCATGAATTAGATGTTTGTTCTTATTTCAACTTTAGCAGAACTCATGTTTCTAACAGGGTTTTTCAAACTGATGTCTTATCCTTCTTAGTGCCTCAAACTACATCCTGTTCAGACATGTTTTAACATGCTAGTAGAAGTCTATTTGGGGGCAAAAAATTGTTTGAAATCCATGCATAATTTTTAATAATATACATCTCCCATGTACTTTTTGAAGACCCCTTGTACAAGCTTTAAAATTGCACTTATAGTCAGATCTTGTACAATAGTGTGTACACACACACACACACACACACACACACTTCAGAAAAAGATTGAAGAAATAACTCAAAATTGTGGTGGTTTCTGGTTGGTGAGATTGTGGGTGACTTTATTTTCTTTATGCATTTCTCTATTTCCCCCAATTTTTGGCAATGAAAATTGATTCAGTTTAAAGCCAAGATTTTTTTTTTTTTTTAAAAAGGCTCCTCCCAGAATTTTTTTTTAGACGTTTGTTACTTGTGCATCCATAGCTCCATGGTGAATTAGAACCTGAAGCCTGCAAGATCACAGCAGGTCTGAGTTCTAGTCTGTGCAATAAACAAGGGACTGGACTCTAGTAAAATACAAGTAAAAGCTGAACTTGGAGTCAGAATACCAGAGTTCTCATCCAAACTTCCCTCTCTTACTAGCTGAGAGCCTTGGGGAAACCATTATGTACTCTGAGTTCCTCTCATTGCCAAGTCTCTTGGAAGAGGAATGGACCCACCACTGCCAGTTCTAGGCAAAACTGTGAAGCAGCCAAACACTTGTGCCTTTGCTTCTGTCTTGGTGTTTGTTCTCCCTGCACAGGGCTCCCCAACCCCCCCGTGCATACTCTCATGCTGCCTGCAACTCTCTCCTACTGAAAACTGCTCTTTGGAAAGAATCTGGTTCATTCCTTCAAACACATATTCATAAGTACAAGGTGCATTGACTAGTGAAATCTTAACCCAGGACCCTGCCTAGAGATGGCTTCATTTTCTAGGGAAAAGGAAACAACCTGTAAATCAAAGGGCAGCCTTTCCTCCAGAAAACTGCATAGTGGAGGTCTCTGACCAATGTGGTGGAACTAAAGTCCAGCCTTGATTGCTTCCCCACTTTGGGGACTTTGAATTGAGGCCCTCTTCTTATGAATAGGTACAGGAAAGTCAATTATCTTTTCTAAATGGGACTTAACCCTGTCATTGCAGTCTTCTATTACATTAGTCTTCTAATCCTTCATGGATTCTGTAGCCACACATAAGAAGTCATCCTACTTTCTTCACGGGGTTATTGCGAAAAGTGAAACAACACAGGTGAAATAATTCTTGGCAAAGTGTAAGGTAAAGGTTGCCTCTTGGAAGCACGTGGGCTGAGCTTGATGTGGATGGTTTTGTTGAGTTTGCACAGTGGTTACTTTTTATTTTTTATTAAAGACTGAAATGGTTGTAAATATTTGAAAATTAAGAGATATTATGTTTGAAAGTGTGACTTTTTTTTTTTTTTTTCATTTCCCCGGGCCCTGACATTCTGGCATGGCTCTAATCTGTTGGAGCCCAGTTGGAGCCCATCACTATTAGGGGAACCCAACCCTCAGCAACCCCCTCCCCCAACTCCCCCCCTCCCCACCCCATTCCCCCACCACTGTTTCTACCCCAGGGGATGGTGGTCTTGAACAGCTGAGGCTGTGGATTCAGAGCTTCCTGCCCTGAGTCTCTGCTCTAGCATTTGCTGGTTGTTTGACTTTGGCCAACCTAGTAAACTTGCAGAGCCATAACTTGCTAGGGCCTCTGTTTCTTCATCTGTAAAGTGGAATAATATTCGTGTCTTCCCAGAGGACTGTAGCAAGGACTAGGAAAAATGCTTGTGATACACTTAGAACAAGCCCTGGTACACAAAGGGCTTTGATCAGTTACCTGCTTGGTCTCTAAAAGCATTTGGCTTACCAACTACTGCTGGAAGATGTGAATTAAATGAAGATTATTGTTTCTTCTGTTTGTCAACCTAGTACTTTTTCTGCTATGTGTTATTTGGTAGTGCTAGATAGAAAATTGAGCTTCTAAGTGAATTCAGAAACTTTTCCAAATATTCTTTCTGATTAGCCAGTCCATCTTCACCTTTGGAGGATGTTATATGAATAGCATTAGTACTCTTTTCCCCTGCTGAATTCTGCCATACATACATTGATTTTGACCTACTCTGAATCTCTTTAGTGTTGAGTATGTCATGTATTTTCATATTAGGTTATATTCTTTTTTCTTTTTTTTTTTTTTGATACAGGGTCTTACTCTGCTGCCCAGGCTGGAGTGCAGTGGCACAATCATGGCTCACTGAAGCCTCAACCTTCCCGGGCTCAGGTGATCCTCCAGCCTCAGCATCCCCAATGGCTGGGATTACAGGCATGCGCCACCATGCCCGGCCAATCTTTGTATTTTTTTGTAGAGATAGGTATTCGCCATGTTGCCCAGGGCTCAAGCGATCCACCCATCTCGGCCTCCCAAAGTGCTGGGACTACAGACGTGAGCCACTGTGCCTGGCCTATATTCTACTGCTTGTCGTTGCTTGTATTTTCTTTTCTGGTACAGTGGAAGTCTGTCATATTTTTATGCTATTGTATCTTGCATGATGCCTAGCATATTGAAAATAATAAATAAATTGCTCATGGAATGAATAGTTTAAATCATCGCTAGAAATAGGGGAATGGCTCTTTTGAAGGCAGGCCTATGGCATCCAGGTTCTTTTAGGACAAATCTTTCACCTGTTCCTTCATCCTTCAGTTCATCCATTCATTCGTCCATCTATCCCCAGCAACCACTGAGAGGGTGCCCACTCTCTGTCAGATTCTCAGCTAGGATATTGGTGCCTCAGATATGAAAGAAATGGAAGAAACATGCCCCACGGAAGAAACTGAAAGACCAGGTATGCATGATGTGTAGTTTGCTAATCCAGACAATGACTGTGCATTTTGAGAGGCTAGTAGGTGAGAAAATGAAATAAAGAATTCTAGACTCAGCTAATTGGCTCAGGCGGCATCAAATATAGAGTTTTCTGTCCTAGTCTTTCCTTTTCTTCCCTTTAATTGTGCCTGTTTGTAACCAAAGCACAAGTAACTTCTTACTAATGTGGTAAGAGCTTTATACAGGGCTGATCTGCAAAGCAGAACTGGTTTGTCTGGAACTTTCTGAGGTGGTTACTTTCTAAAGAGTTTATAGGTGGAATCTTTTTCTTGGCATCATTGAACCATGAAGTCTGGTCCTTTTAAGGTCTATGGCTTGGTTGTTGATTTAACCCTGCTCTGATGTTGTTTCCATTTCTAAATCACACTCATGTACTGAAAATTATATCGGTTCCTTGAAATTGGGCAGAGTTGTTAGTTTGGCTTTTTTCAAAACTAGGGTGGGACTTTGCCTTGCGTATATTTACTGGCCACTAACAAAGAAGGGTCAGGAGCAGGTCTGTCACATCCTTACTAGGTAAAAAAAGTCCGTTCTTTCACAGCTGGTATCCAAGAGAGGGTCTTAATTCACTTCCAAAAAAAAGAAGGAAAAGAAAAAAGAAAACGAGTTGTTTAAAGTGCCTTTTGATATTGATATCATTTGAAAGAATTATATAATCTTTTTTGACATGTATTCTCCAATATTAGCTCGATTTGAATTCTGAAAAAAAAAAGAAGAAAGATTTTTCCCCTTCATGGTTGAACAGGAAAGAATCTCACTGTAAAAACACTGTATTCTCTTTCTCCTTTTTTGCATGCATAATTATTGAGTCCAAGGATATAGTCAAATTATTTCAGAAGGTTTTAGTGAACAACTGAATAGCTTAATCATGCTAAAAAGAATTTTCCCTCTGCTAGGATAAGAAGCTCTGTGTGGCCAGGTGCAGTGGCTGACGCCTGTAATCCTAGCACTTTGGGAAGCTGAGGCGGGCGGATCTTGAGGTCAGGAGATTGAGACCATCCTGGCTAACATGGTGAAACCCCGCCTCTACTAAAAATACAAAAAAAAATTAGCCGGGCGTGGTGGTGGGCACCTGTAATCCCAGCTACTCAGGAGGCTGAGGCAGGAGAATGGCATGAACCTGGGAGGCGGAGCTTGCAGTGAGCCGAGATCGCGCCATTGCACTCCAGCCTGGGCGACAGAGGGAGACTCCGTCTCAAAAAAAATAAATAAATAAATAAATAAAATAAAAAATAAACACCAAGTGTCCCTGAGATACCCACTGCCTTCTCTCTTGTGTCTCAGTGCCTTCTTTTTAATGTTTAGTTTTTAAGCAATATTTTTCATATTAATAAAGAAATTTGTGTTTATTGTAGAAAAAATAGACTATGTGGATGGACCCAAAGGGGTATAAAGACCAATAACACCACCATCCAGATAAAAACACTGGTCACACCTCTTCGTATGTGTGGGTACGTGTGTGTAGAGAGTTTTAGTTCCGTTTATTTTGTACATTGTTTTATCCCCAGCATCTAGAATAGTGTCTGATACACAGTAGGTGCTCAATAAGTATTTTTTGATAAAAATAAATGGATTCAAGTGGATGTGGGAAGTCTTTGTCCTCCAAGAAGCTCTCACACACGCCCTGGAGAGACATCCTTGCCCAGGTCTCACTAACTGTGAAGCCCAAATCACCTTCGCTCATGCTTTCACGCTCCCTCTCACCTTTCAATACCAACATGCTCATTAGAGTCGTCCATTTTTGCAAAAAGCATTCCATTAGCCTTTTAGCCTTCCTGTTTTAGCATCTTCCCCTCTTTGGAGGTGAAGACTTCTTTGTAAGGTCAAATTTCTTCTATTTCTAGTTGTATTAGGTCACTGCGTCCTATCTTAGTGAATGTTCAGTGATCATCTTGTCATTTTGTGGTAAGGTGTTTCCTAACTCATGTAAATGATTTTTTTTTTTTTTTTTGCTAATATTAAGAAATAATGGGTCTGTTCTAGGAAGCAGAATGTTAAATTTCAGCAGAATTGGTCTGAATTGTGCCTTCTACTATAGCCAGAATCTGAGAGGGACACAAAATAACCTAGCGAAACTTGATCCATAGAGCCAAGTGGAGGGCCTAGCATTATAGCAAGCCACTGCATAGATTGTTTCTGAGAGCAGCAGAAGCAACCAAGTATAGGGCTCTAAATAGAACTGTGGAGCTCTAGCTGGTTTGGTCTGATTGGAAGTCAGAGACTGTTGGTTGGATTCTGGGCATCCTGGGCAGAAGTCACTGCCAATCCCTAAAGAAATGAGAGAATAATCTTGGCTTTGGCCAAGACAAATGCCCAGGTTCAACCAGGGCAGCATTTTTATGGCTCTGCCTTCATGGCCTCAGGAAGTTGAAGTCCTTTTGAGTAGCTTCCTGAACAGATGAGGTATAGACCAGCGAGGGCAAATCAATGTCAATTTTTGCATTGACTCCTTTTCTTGGCTGTCTGAATTATTTTGAGAAGATTCTATGGCTTTGTCTAGGATCAGCAGGAAACAGAGCTGTGATCCATTAACAATGTCCATCGTGGGTGCAGAAGTGGGAGTGGATTGGTGTGCCAACTGTTTGTCATTCTTGGTATACACAAGGGATTGTGCTCAAAAATAGAATTTTAAATCATCGCCCTGGCAAAAATATGTTACAAAGGGCACGGTGACCAGTGATTTTTCATAAAATTAGGATACTTGAGAGTAAAAGGGGTGCTATTATCCAAGGACAACAGGAGCAAACAAGTACCTATGACACTTGGTTCATTGCAAATAATCCTCAAATGGAAAGGTGTTCTGTGTGTCCTCACCCCGAGTTTCAGAGGCCACTTGGGCAAGGCTTTTCCACTGTGCTCTGCACTCTTTCCAGGGAACCCTTTGATTTCTTCCCAAAGAGGAGGAAAGATTTATTTCCTTACCCATCACTAGGTTCGTGGCAGGAGTCCCTGTAACGAAAGACAGGTTAACAAGAGAAAAGCATACAGTTTTATTTCATATAAGTTTTGTAGGTCATGCGCTGGGCGTGGTGGCTCACGCCTGTAATCTCAGCACTTTGGGAGGCTGAGGCGTTGGGGAGCATGAGGTCAGGAGTTCGAGACCAGCCTGACCAACATAGTAAAACCCCGTCTCTACTGAAAATACAAAAATTAGCTGGGTGTGGTGGCGGATGCCTGTAATCCCAGCTACTCGGGAGGCTGAGGCAGGAGAATCGTTTGAACCTGGGAGGCAGAGGTTGCAGTGAGCCAAGATGGCACCATTGCACTCCAGCCTGGGTGACAGAGCAAGACTCCATCTCAAAATAAATAATTTTTTTAAAAGTTTTACAGGTCATGAGAGCCTTTGGAAATGAAGACCCAAAGAAATAGTAAACGTGTAAGTTTTTTGTGCTTGGCTTTCGTGAAGCATGGATAGTCATGGAGAAATAGAATTGGACAAAGGGGGTATGATCTAATGGTAGGAAATGGAGCGGAGGGAACCTAGCAAGGCCTATTTGTTCAGATTCTTCTCTGTGTCCCTGTGTCTTCAGTGATAGGATGCTCCTTTCCTCTGAATGTAGGGACAGCAAGGAGAAGTTAAGAGTGGCCTCCCTGCTTCTGCTGTTTTTTCAGGTGACAAGGTGCTGTGTTTTGGGGTAGTGTGTCCTGAATACCATCAGTCTCAACTCGCCAATCTGACAGTGAGTGACCCAAGCATCCACCTCCTTTTGTCCTCCATGTTTGTGTGAAGGAGTTCACAGTAAGAGTTCCATGGCTTGGGGGCTCTGGCCAGCTTCCCGGGCATGTCCAACACTGACTTCTGCTCCGCCTGGTGGCAGAACCATCCAATCCTTGTACCGTGCTCAAGGAGTTGTTTTCCAAATGCCCAGGTCGCCTTCCCACTCCCTGTGGTGTGAATTGCTGTGCCACTGGACCTCAGAGAGCTAGCTCCCCAATACTCCAGCCCCATAATCCTGCCCCAGGAACCTGCCAGCCAGCATTCTGTACCACATGGCAGAGTGCTCAAGCATGGCCCATAGACCTGTTGACGGAGCATGAGAGTTGGGATTCCCAAGGTATGTGATTGTTTTTTCTCTGTTAAAACTCTGGATCTACTTGTGTTCCCAAGAAGGTCCTCATTCCTTAGATTACCATGAAAAAGTTCAGGCTATGTGGAACTGAAGTCACAAATTTAAAATGATACCATGGGTGGCTGGCCCTTGCCAGCAAAGGTACATTCTGGAAATGTCTAGTTGGCTGTCTTCCTGGTTCATGTGTTGGCCTTGCTCAGACAAGCCACTCGAGAGTGCTAGCTCCATTTCCCAGACTGAGCAACAAGATATTTGATCAGACAAATAATATCCTTGACCTACCACGACATATTCATTTTTTTGTTTTGCTGTTGTTGTCACATCTATTTGCCAACAGGAGATGAGAGCGTTGGAGTCAGAAGCCTTGGATTCTAGACCCGACTTGCTCACAAATTATTTGTATGACTATGGACATGTCATTTCCCCAGCCACTCCCCATTCTTCATCTGTAAAGTGGCTGGGGGAACCAAATCAGTGGTCATCAAGCTGTTTCAGAGACAATATCCCCCTTTCAAAACATAGCACATAATTCCAACAGCCCAAACCCAAGCTGCTCTCATTGAACCTTCAGGCTCCTCTTCAGAGAAGGCAGGATGGGTCTTTCTGACGCCCCCAGCAGCAGAAGCTGTGGGGTTTCTCTCCTGCTGCCTGCCTTCTGGCCATCCTTCTGGGAAAGGCTGTTCCCTGCATGTAGGCATTCCTGGCAAGGGGTGGGTGGGAAAATTAAAAGGAGATGAAATTTAAATCTCTCCAGTTTGCTGCTTGTCAGCAGCTCTGATCACACGCTTGGTTGGGGTGGAGTTTGAAACCAAAGACTCGGAAAAGGTTTTAGGTTATCTGTGCATTTGCAGTTCCAGGTGTGAGGTTATCTTCACATTGCAATGACAGATTTTAGGTTACCTGGGCATTGCAATTCCAGTGGGGCTGGGCTTGTTGCACCTGGGAGTGTGTGATGTGGGTGGATTGCCCTGTTCTGTGTCTCTGCCTAGCACTGGTCCTCCAGAGCACTGGTTCTCAGGCCTGGAGTAGCACTGGAATAACCCTGACCTTGGAGTTCTCCAGTCCCTTGTCAGCACTCACTAAAATTAGGAGCAGCCCTAAGCTAGCAAGATCAAAGAACTTCATTAACTCTCTATTTCATGGGGGGGGGCCTTAATTTGTATTCACTTCTTACATTTTGCAATACTGTGAGGTAGGGCTTATTGTTTTAAAGTTGTTTCCCTGCTTATCTGTCTCCTGGTAGCATTGAACATGCCTTGAGAGGCAGGAAGGATATTTCACCTGTGCATCTTTTGCCCTAGATCAGTGACACAGCATAGGCCCACAGATACTTGTTTGTTTTCCATGCCTTGTATTGGTGAGTAAATAAGAAAATGAAGCTCAGAGGGGTTAAGTGATTAGCATGGCAGTAAATCTGGGGTAGACGTCTGTCTCCATTGTGCCTAGCTGATTCAAGAGTGCAGAAGGTCACTGTGTGATTTTTTTTTTTTTTTTTTGAGATGGAGTTTTGCTCTTTCACCCAGGCTGGAGTGCAGTGGCATGATCTCAGCTCACTGCAACCTCAGCCTTCCAGGTTCAAGTGATTCTCCTGCCTCAGCTTCCCGAGTAGCTGGGATTACGGGCGCCCGCCACCATGCCTGGCTAATTTTTGTATTTTCAGTAGAGACAGCGTTTCACCATGTTGGCCAGGCTGGTCTCGAACTCCTGACCTTGTGATCTGCCTGCCTTGGCCTCCCAAAGTGCTGGGATTACAGGCATGAGCCTCCGCACCCGGCTGTGACGGTGTGATTGTACTGTCTTCACCTTCCTGGTGCTCAGCTGCACTCCATTATGCTCTCCCCAAGTGTTCCTGGGTTGCTCCACAGGCTTTTCCCATCCCACAGGACCACTCCTTCCCCCAGGTGAGCCGCGCGTGGCTTCCCCTTCCCGGTGAGGCTCTCAGTGGGGATAAGGAGAAAGACAGTGTTCCTTAGAAAACTGGCATCCCGCCATGATGTTGTTTATCTTTGGGCTTGCAGGGTCCTCTGTACAGTGGCTCCGAAACCTGGGGCCATCCAGGACTGCGGAATCAGGATTTCTGGAGATGCAAATGATTTTTTAAACAATCAGCCCTTTGAAGCCCACAGCAGCTTATCCTGCCCTTCTTGTCCAACTTCATCATCATCTGCCAGGAATCCCCAGGAACTGACTTTAGGGTCACATGGGCCAGTTTGCCATCTCTAGCGCCTGCCATGCCAAATCCTACGCTTCCAGTCATGGCTTTTCTCCACTTGAGAAAGTCCTCACTCTTGTCCGACTTGATCTCCACCACCAGTGGCCTTTGGAGCCCATTGTGTCCCCCAGCTCCCTCTTGCCTGCTTCAGCTCCCCTGTACATCCTCCTTTCTGAGTTCTGTTAGCTCCTTTGGGCAGGGCCCTACAGATTAGCTCTTATTTCAGTCATGCAGTAAATAGCAAGCAGTTGTCATGTACCGAACGCTCACCAGATGCAGGAACGCTACAGCGAACAAAACAAACAGGAACCCTGTCCCCGTGGAGGTAGAGGAGAGGAGACAAAGCATGAACACAATGTGCAAGTGCATGTGTAACACGAGGGTCCGCCAAGGATGGGTGCCGCGAGGGTGAGGAGTGTGGTCCTGAGGGGCGCCGCTCCAGGGAGGATATTTGGGAAGGTCCGAGTGGGTGCTGTGACGGGCAGATCCACGGATAGTTTCAGGCAGAGGGAACAGCAACTGCAAAGGGCCTGAGGCAGGGGCACTTTTCCTGTATTCAAGACAGAGCAAGGGGCCACTGTTCCTGGTGCATTCCCACCAGTGAGAGGGGCTGCCGGGCACTTGGCAGGCGCTCAGTAAATACCTGATTGACTGTGGCTGGAGTGGAGTGAGTAGGGTGGGTTGTGGGGAAGAAGTAGTCAGGGGTAATGTTACGCAGCACTTTGAAAGCCACGGTGAAGACTTCAGATTTCATGCTAGGTATGAAGGGATGCCATTTGGTGGTTTTGAGTAAGAGAAGCATGGGCCAGGCACGGTGGCTCATACCTGTAATCCTAGCACTTTGGGAGGCCAAGGCAGGTGGATCACCTGAGGTCAGGAGTTTGAGACCAGCCTGGCCAATGTGGTGAAACCCTGTCTCTACTAAAAATACAAAAGTACCTGGGCGTGGTGGCACGCGCCTGTAGTCTCAGCTACTCGGAGGCCGAAGCAGGAGAATCGTTTGAACCCGGGAGGCGGAGATTGCAGTGAGCCAAGATCACACCATTGCACTCCGGCCTGGGTGACAAGAGCGAAAGTACATCTCCAAAAAAAAAAAAAAAGAGAGTGGCATGATTAAATTGACCGTTTCTCCAGTGTGGAGAATAGGCGATGGGGGTTAGAGCAGGAGCAAGGAGATCAGTTAAGAGGCCCTTGCAGGGGACCTTGCAATTAAGAGGTCTAGGTGGGAAATGATGGGGGCTTGTGCTATGATGACAGCAATGAAGCCAATGAAAAGACTTTGGACCCACGATGCATTTTGAAGGTGAGAGACTGGGTTTTGAGGATGGATAAGGTGGGGAGCCAAGTCTGAACTCTAAGGCTTTTATATCAGGAATTGCGTGGAAAGATGATGGTAAGCCCATGTGTTTGCTAATTTCCTGCTTGTAAGTTTCCTTTGGATGAAAGCAGGATCCATGCCTCATAATGAGGTATACCCCTAGCAGGGACCTGGGTCCCAGCTGGTGCTGCATTAAATACCGGGGACATGAGCAGCCAGGACTGTGGATCGGTAACACTGAGCCTGCCCCCCAGTTCCTTGGCATCAGCATCCTGGGAGAGGTGGTTTGGGTGCTCTTGAGGCATGAGATTTTTGTGAGGGTGGCCTTTCTGCATCACTCAGCTGTCATCAGGTAGTTAAGATGCCGCCTCTGCCTCTTTGAAGCTGGGCTGGGGGAGGAGGTGGGAACAGAATCCAGAAGTTCAACTGCCTAACTCCTCCCTTTCCAAGTTTAACCATCTTTGAGGGAGGATTTCTCACTGTTCCCTGCACCCCAATGCTTCTCTGCCTTTGTACATACTCTCCTCATTTTCTCTCGAGCAGATTTCTCTCTCTCTCTTTGTATTTTTTGTTTGTTTGTTTTATTGTTTTGGGTTTGTTTTTTTTTTTTTTTTTCTGAGACAAGGTCTTGCTTTATCAATCACTTAGGCTGGAGTGCAGTGGTGTAGTCATAGCTCACTTCAACCTCGACCTCCTGGACTCAAGTGATCCTCCTACCTCAACCTCCCAAGTAGCCAGGAGTACAGGTATGTGCCACCATGCCCGGCTAGTTTTTAAAATTTTTTTGTTGAGGCTGGGCACGGTGGCTCATGCCTGTAATCCCAGCGCTTTGGGAGGCCAGGGCAGGCGAATCACCTGAGGTCAAGAGTTCAAGACCAGGCTGGCCAACATGGTGAAATCCCATCTCTACTAAAAATACAAAAATTAGCCAGACGTGGTGGTGGACACCTGTAGTCGCAGCTACTCGGGAGGCTGAGGCAGGAGAATCTCTTGAACCTGGGAGGCAGAGGTTTCAGTGAGCTGAGATCGTGCCACTGCACTCCAGCCTGGGCAACACAGGGTCACTCTGTCTCAAAAATAAATAAATAAATAAAATAAAATAGGCGTTTTTTTTTCCCCCCCAGAGATGGAGTCTCCTTATGTTGCTCAGGCTGGTCTCGAACTCCTGAGCTCAACTGATGCTGATACCTCAGCCTTCCAAAGTGCTGGGATTATAGGCATGAGCCACCATGCTTGTCCTTGAGCAGGTTTCTCTTGATTTTCTTATTTACTTGTCAAGATATCACCCCTTCTTTGAAGCCTGTTTCAAATACTATTTCTTAGATATGGTTTTCCTGATGTCTCAGCCAGATGTGGTTGCTTCCTCCTCTGAACCCCATAGTGGTTGGTGCCTTTCTTATGCCAACATCTTCTCAACGATCATACCCAGTCTTCTGAGCTGAAATGCTCACAGTGAAAGCCATGGGCCTTAGTTATCCTTGAACCCCTCCTCCAAGGCCAGCACAGCCTCTTGACCCTAGTAGGCACTTGATGATTATTATTTGAATTAAAATGGACTTTCCTTATGATTGGTATTTTCAGCAGCTGCTGTAGGACACTTGTCTCCTGAAGGAAATTTTGATTAGAAATCAAATAATTAAATGTCTATGAGGTATCAGGTGGATAACATAAATAAATGAAGTGAGATAAATATAAGAAAAATTTTTATAGAGGTACCATTGTAAGACAGATTTCACTTTCTTCATAACGCTCTTTAAGCAAAAGCACAAGACAAAAGCATACGTGCATGATGAGGGGCACGGATGCAGGTTTTCTATGCCAGGAGGCAATAGGGAGTGGTGGAGACTGGGGTAAATAAGAGAGCCTGTGCCCCATTCATTCATCTAAAGTTGCCAGCAGGGCGGATCACTTTAGGTCACGAGTTCAAGACCAGCCTAGCCAACATGGCAAAACCCTATCTCTACAAATACAAAAATTAGCTGGGCATAGTGGCACGCACCTGTAGTCTCAGCTACTCAGGAGGCTGAGGCACAAGAATTGCTTGAATCCAGGGAGGTGGAGGTTGCAGTGGGCTGAGGTTGCACTACTGCATTCCAGCCTGGGCAACAGAGTGAGACTCTGTCTCAAATAAATAAATAAATAAACAAACAAACAAACAAACAGCGAAGTTTGGCTCCAGATAACCCACAGTATTGCTGGATAATAGATTTTTCGAGAGAGGCTGCAAATTAAGTCTTTTTGCGTGGACATCCTGATTTCTAGATGTTAGCAAGTGATTCCATTCTTTTCTTTTCAGGCAGCATCACTGGGAAAGCCCTGTTACCAGTTTGAGACCTCACAGAGGTGTTAGGCCTTCTCCCGCTGAGGAAGATAAATAAACTTATTTCAAAATCTCCAGGACATCTAGATGCTTCTCCTACAAGGAGGATGTCTGCATCTTGTTTTTATTCTCCAGCATTAGCATCCCATTGTTCTGCTTCCCTCTGAGTAAGAACCCCAGGGTTACTATCATTATTGTAAGCCCGAATCCCAGCTTCATGTGGCATAAATGCTTCTCTAGTTTGCCTTGAACTCTGTATCACAGGCTTTTTCTTTTCCTCCAGGAGTGGTTTAAATGGAGGCTGCAGCCTTCTGTAAAGTATAATTGAGTTTAAATTGTAGGTTTAATAATAATGATGTTGGGCTCAACGTGGTGCCTTGCAGCCTCTGCCTGCAGCCCTTGGCAACCAGTCACTCATTGATCCTCGCGCCCTCTTCAGGAGGGGACAGCTGAGGGACCTGTGCACCCCCACCCCATCCTGATATGGAACCACAGGGATGAGAGATCAGATGCCCCCCTGTAGCCATGGGCCGTCGGAGGAGAGGGCGGATGATGGGCATCCCTTTGTGCCCCAGGCATGAAGGGTCTGAGGCTGAATTTTCGAGGCTCTCGGTTGTCTTTTTCCTCTCCTTCACCTTTGGGTCTCCCCACGGCTCATTAGGGATTCTATTGGAAGAGACGCAAGGAACTCAAATTCCACAATTTGGTTTCTGTGGAGAAGGTTTAATTAGGAGGGTGTATTAACTTAATTGGCTATCATCAGGCTTCCAGCTTCTTTGTGTATTTTAAGTAATTTTCTCTCCTTTTTTCTTACAGCCAGTAGAGCATGCCTTTAAAAGATTAAGTCTTTTCTTTGGTCTCCTTGAGTAAAAAAAGCTCTGGTTCAGAAGTCAGAGAGCCTGAATTTTGATTGTGACTCTTTCTGGAAAGATCTGTGTATACTTAGATCAGATACTCACTCACTTCTCCTGGCCTCATTTCCACACTGGCTAGATAAGTAGGTTAAATTACAGGACCACGAAAGTCCCTTCCGGTGCTTGCAATGCATAACCTAAGTGTTTCTGTGAAATGACATGAAACTCCTCCTAGAACAACATTTGGTGTGTTTCAAAAGTCAATAAAAATACCAATCTACATATGTTATACAACAGACTAACTGAGGCTTGGACAAGTGAGGGCTTGTTCAGCAAAAACTCAACATTGATGTTATAAAAAGCGCAGAGAAGGATGTTGATGTTGTGTGATGTGGGGCATCCTGCTTGAAAATTACAGGCAGCACAGGCAATGACAGGGCAGCAGCAACCCGTGGCCGACTGATGGCCGCCTTGTGTAGGTTTCCCAGGGTCCACCCTCTGGACAAACCGCAGATGCTCAGAACTCGTGGTCTGGTTCCCCACCGATGACAAACAGCTCCTAATTTTGCTGGTTTCTGAGCTGCCTTTGCTTCGACCCCTGTTTCTGGATGTTTTTTTGTTTCTGTTATGGATGGGAGCAAATTATAACATGGGAAGAATGGGTAGGGGTAAAAACAGAAACATTAAGCCTGAAGAGGTTTCTTTGGGCTTGGAAGTCGGCAATGGCCATTTTAACCGGCATTTCGGGGTGGGGGGCGGTGGCGCTTGCACAGTTTGAAGGTAGTTGGCGTAGGATATCCCATTTTGTACAAATGTCACCTACAACAAAGCTAATCAGATGGCTGTATTCTGCTTCTCTCTCTCCTCGAATGAGTACGCTTTGTTCCTGGAGGCTCCAACTCCACGCATCAGTAAACGTTAGCTATCTAGATCACTTAATTTTTTTTTAATCTTTAGGTGGTGTGTCTTTTTTTTTTTTTTTGCAGCTTTTGTTTCCTCAAAGTAAACATCTTTAAAAAGGACTGAATCTAACATAAGTAATAGATTCATTGATAAGGGAAAACATGCCCCTCTTTTCCTGAAACAAAATTTGCTCATCTCTCTGTGAAATGGAATAAAAGCTTCTAAATGGCAGCTATTAACAGCTGATGAACGTGGCCTGGCTGGGCTATGTCATGAGTGGGCAGGAGAGAGGAGGAGCGGGGCCAAGCAGCGGAGTAAAAGGCTATGTATTTACTGCTCTTAAGAGTTAGACGTGGCCTTGGCAATAGACAACAGCCCTCATTGACTCCAACTCCTAGTGTTATTGGGTCTCGGTATTTGCTACAGAAAACTGCCTTCAGATGTCTTTAAAAGGCTTGAAAATGTGCTGACCACTGATGTGTGAAGGGCTGCAATTTAGACCTCCAGAAATGCCTGGCCTGTAGAGGAATGGGACACCCGAAAGGTCAGTCATGATGAGGAAGGCAAGGACAGCACTCAGAAAGGATGGAACGGGGAAACGCAGAAGCCCCGGCCCCTCCAGGACCCGGGGGTGCCTGTGCCTGGCTCCAGGTCATGCACTCACCTCTAACATAAGAGATGCTTGAGATGCGGCCTGGAGTGAAGGTGGCTTAGAAAACGTCAGACTTTTCCTAAAGGCCAGTGTGCACTCAGAGAAAGATCCAGAAGCTGTCTTCTCTCTGAGGATAAGGACCATTTCTAGTTTGTTCAGCACCACATTCCCAGCACTACCAATGCGTATTCTTATTCATTCATATTTGTGAGTAATTAAATAAAAGGAAGGGATAGAGGAGCTTGGCAAGACCTCCTAGCAGCACTCATCAGCCATGTCCTTGGGCCCACAAGAAGTCCTGTGGCCACTGTGGGCCTGTGGCTGGGGGAGCTATGGGGACACTCTAGTGCTTGGTGGATACCAGACCTCCTCTGGATACTCAGAGCAGAAAGAGAATGGATTATAGGATCCTGGGCACCCCACAGAGTGAACAGGGGGATGAACATAGGAGCTGGGTAAAGGTGGTGGCAGTGTGACAGCTGGGACCCTGGCAGAGATGGTCTGGGCGACACTGTGCTGGCTCAGTATCCACAGCCCTGCCAGGCACCACTGGACACCTGCACTGCCTTACATGTGGGGAAGGCCCAATTTCTTCTAAGTTGGCCCTGCTGGGCGCCATGCAAAAGACACACAAGCCCTAGGGCAGGCATTGGAAGAGACAGTGCTATGAGGAATCCAGTTAATTAAGCAAATATGAATAAAGAAACAAAGCAAAAACACCACTATATACATTTTGGAATTTAATTTTGTGTCCACAGTTGGCCAGGGCCTGTAGTTACAGCATATTAAGAATATGTGGCTGGGTCGGGCGGTTCATGCCTGTAATCCCAGCACTTTGGGAGGATGCAGTGGGAGGATCACGTGAGGCCAGGAGTTTGAGACCAGTCTAAGCAACATAGCAAGACCCTGTCTCTACAAAACATTTTTAAAAATTAGCTGGGCATGGTGGTGCATGCCTATAATCCCAGCTACTCAGGAGGCCGAGACAGGAGGATTGCTTGAGCCCAGGAGCTCCAGGCTGCAGTGAGCTATGACCGCACTACTGCACTCCAAACTGGATGACAGATGAGTCCTCTTCTCATTTAAAACAAACAAACAAATAAAAGGCCAGGCACGGTGGCTCACGCCGGTAATCCCAGCACTTTGGGAGGCCGAGGCGAGCAGATCATGAGGTCAGGAGATCAAGACCATCCTGGCTAACACGGTGAAACCCCATCTCTAAGAAAAATACAAAAAAATTAGCCGGGCGTGGTGGCGGACACCTGTAGTCCCAGCTACTCAAGAGGCTGAGGCAGGAGAATGGCATAAACCTGAGAGGCGGAGCTTGCAGTGAGCCGAGATTGCGCCAGTGCACTCCAGCCTGGGAGACAGAGCGAGACTCTGCCTCAAAAAAAAAAAAAAGAATATGTGAATGGAAGTGCTCAGTGGCTAGTGTGGCTAATTGGCTGAGGTGACGCTGGCTAATTGGCTGAGGTGACGCTCCTGAATAGCTCAGCACATTCTTAAAGAGTCTTAAGTGAAAGAGAATGGTCACAGGTGGTTTTGTTATGGGCTCAGGACAAGTCAAAACACTGGAGACACCTTCCCTGTCCAGGCTGTCATTTGCCACCTGTGAGGTCAACACCAACTCTATCCCCTTCCCTCCCCGCAAAGCCACCCGCACCAGCTGTGCTGGGCTATTGTTTTTCTGTGGGCCCAGCCCAGCTTCATGCCCTATAAAGTGCTCTGGCTTCTGAGGGTGAATTAACTCTTGTTTTTATTGCACTGTTAATTCCAGCTCTTGTCTGTCTCCCTAATTCATTCCACATGTCTGGTCCCTTCTGCCCACAGCAGTCCCTGCCCAGGCCGGGGCTCATCTGTTTTGTACGTCTCGCCTGACAGGCGCTGGCAGCTCCGTCCAAGAGCTCCCAGGGTTTTTCAGGTGCCTCTCTCAGGGCATGCCTCCTCCTGCCCTGGACCGCACTGGATTCTAAACTTTTCAAGAGCCTGGACCTTAACTCATTTGTATTTTGTGTCTTCTCTGAGCCTGATACTTAGCAGGGGCTCAACAAATCTTGTTCAGTCCATGAATGCTTCAAAGCACCTTGGAAGTCGTGCCCAGTGACTGCTGGAAAGAGTGCCGATGGCACTGGAGATGGAATGAGGGTTGGGCAGCCTTACAGGCCAGGGAGGTGCCTCCATGAAGGGCGCCCCAGAGCTCAGCAGATGCATGTGGGGCCTGGAAATGGACCACAAAGGAGCACGTCCAGGCCCTACCCTGGGGGACAGACAGCACATGTGGTGTGGGCGCAGGTTCTAGGCTGAAAGCACTAAGAGGGGAGGAGGGACATGACTGGGCCGATGGGCCCCGGAAGATTCTACTCTCACGCTCGGGCCCTACACATGCCTGCCTGGTACAAACCCTTAATCATGCATTACCTTCAAGCAGGAAGGGACTTAGAAATGCCTCTGATTTTGAGTTTCCCAAGATGTGTTCCTTGGAAGAGTCCTCCTCCCTCCCTTTCCTCCATCCTCATCTTAACCTGGCCCCTTCCATCTTCATTCTCCAGAGTTTGAAGGGTGGAGAAAGCACCCCAGGTGGGTAGATGTGTCCATTTCAGAATCTACCCATTTCCTCCCAAAGTATGGAAAGTGTATGGCCTCTGCTTTGAAAGCAAAATGGTAGAGCAAAAAAAGTGTTAGAGAAAGCATCCTGCTGTTCCGCACCCGCCTCCACATGCGTTCCCTGGCTACACTGTGTTCCTGGTCCTGCTTGGCTGTGTTTCCCACTCCCTCCTCCTCTTCCACCTCCATTTCCAACAGGTCCTCACACTGGATGAGCCATTAGCTCTGCCCCAATTTTAACCCCATAAGCAAGACTCTTAGAACCCAGGAGTGGTGAGCTCCCCCACGCCAGCACTTCTCATCATCGGCCCCCACCTCCCCTTGCCGTGCCCACCCCCTCCTCCACCTCCTCCCATTGTTGTTATTTCTGGGAGCTGGGGAGGAACAGCGTGAACTAGCTACTGCAGGATTGAAGTGTATTGTGACCACCCTGCTCAGAACCACAGAGTGTTTGTAAAAGGATGCATTTGAACAGCTGGTAGTGCACACACACCCGGCTCTTCGAGGCTTCGGGGGGAGTGCAGTTTCCTAGTATGAAATTAAAAGATAAGTTCTTTACTCTTTCATCCTAAATTTTGCTTTAGCCTGATTTGCTGGCGCTGTAGTCAGAGGCCAACATGTGGCCCATGGAACATTGTTAGGTGATTCTCCAAAAGTGGGAGGTGGGAATGGTTTGGGAAAACACAGATACACATACCCAAAACCTCCTTGCCAAGGGACTTCTCAGAACTATTTTTTTTTTTTTTTTTTTGAGACTCACTCCGTTGCCCAGGCTGGAGTGCAGTGGTGTGATCTCAGCTGAGATCAGCTCACTGCAACCTCTGCCTCCCAGGTTCAAGCGATTCTCCTGCATCAGCCTCCTGAGTAGCTGGGATTACAGATGCATGCCACCACTCCTGGTCAATTTTTGTATTTTTAGTAGAGACGGGTTTCACCATGTTGGCCAGGCTGGTCTCAAACTCCTGACCTCAGGCGATCCTCTCACCTCGGCCTCCCAAAGCGTTGGGATTACAGGCATGAGCCACTGCGCCTGGCCTCAGAACTCTTAATAGGGTGTGTTTGGTAAGAGCAAAGACTGTGTCTTTGTCATTCATTCTGATGCCTTCAGATAAAAGATCATCAAAAATGAATACATGTATTATGAATTTCCAAAAGGAGATATGGTTTACACAGCATCTTCCAACCTCAGGACTCTGCATTTGCAGAGCAGCTCAGGGGTGCAGCTTCAGGTTCTGCTCCCGGTAAAGCAGATGGGAGGAGGAGTGGGGAGTGTTTGCTGGCACCTCTTTAAGGAAGCAGACCCAGAGTGGGAGGAGAGTTGTCCTTAATTAATAAAGTGGCCATTGCGTTGATGGCTCTTATGTTGAACTCAGGCACAATTGCATTAAAACACATATTTACTGAGCATCTACAGGGCACTCAGCATGATTCTCAGGAAATGTGCTGACAGCATGCTAGGTGCTTGAACAACAATGAACCAAACATAGTTTCTGGCATGAAATAATTTCAGGAGTTGCATGAAACTAAGCCTAGAGGAATAATCAGAAAACAATTCAAGGCAGTATAAAATTGTGAGCATAGGTGTACAGTGCCAACAGTAAGCACCATGAACTATAAAAATAAGGAAGAAATTAGACATGCCTAGGTTATCATGGAGATCTTTGGGAGAAAGTGGGATTCGAGGTAGATTTCAAAGAATGGTATGGGTGTGGATTGTAGAGCAATAGAAAGGCAGCATCCTCAGGGAGAGATCTTTATGTTGTCCACTCATGTATCCTAAGCACTTAGTCCCCAGCACAGAGTCACTGCAATAAATATTTGTTAAGTGAGAGGCCAGGCGTGGTGGCTTATGCCTGTAATCCCAGCACTTTGAGAGGCCAAGTCGGGCGGATCGCTTGAAACCAGGAGTTCAAGACCAGTCTAGCCAACATGGTGAAACCCCCATCTCTATGACAAATACAAAATTAGCCAGATGCGGTGGTGTATGCCTGTAATCCCAGCTACTTGGGAGGCTGAGGTGGGAGAATTGCTTGAGCCCACGAGGCAGAGGTTGCAGTGACCCGAGATCACGCCACTGCACTCCAGCCTGGGCGATGAGAGCGAGACCCTGTCTCAAAAAAATAATAAATAAATAAATAAGCAAACATTTGTTGAGTGGAAGAGTAGAGGAGGGAGGAAGAGCATTCTAGAAGTCAACAGTCAGGCGGAAGCTCTAGGTGGGAATGTGTTCACTCCGTGTGGGGAGGGGCACATAGTAGGGGTGGTGGTGACGGGAGTGGTGCTGTGTAAGAGCTGTAGGTTGGAAAGGTGGGGGTTGAACTGTAAAGAGTCTTGAATATCAGGATGGAAAATTCAAATGCGATGTTGTAGGTTCTTCATTTAGGGAGATAACATGGGAAAGCAACCACAGTGAAAAGTCACCCAAACGGAAAAATAACAAGGGCAGCAGCGTTTTAGTCTGGAATATTAGTTTGGTGACTGACTGCAGGATGAGAGAAAGGGAGGATCCAGATTCTTCCAAATGGGATGGTAGCAGCGGGAGTAGAGAAATAAAAAGATAACGTGAGAAATGTTCCAAAGCAAAGACATAGGGCTTGGGGGATAAAGGAAAAGGAGAAAGTTAAAAGTAAAGACGACACTAAGAAATTTGAATAATTAGGAGAATGTTGGTATTCTCGGGGGAAAAAAAATGAGACTGTATTATAGTCCAGTCTCACATTGCTATGAGGAAATACCTGAGACTGGGTAATTTATAAAGAAAAGAAGGTTAGGCCAGGCACAGTGGCTCATGCCTATAACCCCAGCACTTTGGGAGGCCAAGGTGGGCGGATCACCTGAGATTGGGAGTTCAAGACCAGCCTGGCCAACATGGTGAAAGCCCATGTCTACTAAAAATACAAAAAGTAGCTGGGCATGGTAGTGGGTGCCTGTAATCCCAGCTACTTGAGAGGCTGAGACAGGAGAATCGCTTGAACCCAGAAGGTGGAGGTTGCAGTGAGCCAAGATCACACCGCTGCACTCCAGCCTGGGTGACAGAGCAAAACTACATCTCAAAAAAAAAAAAAAAGAGGGTTAATTGGCTCACAGTTCCGTAGGCTGTACAGGAAGCATAATGCTGGCGTCTGGGAGGGACCACAGAAAACTTACAATTATGGCGGAGGGTGAAGGAGAAGCCAGCACCTCACATGGCTAATGCAGGAGGAAGGGTGGGGAAGGTGCCACACACTTTTAAACAACCAGATCTGGTGAGAACTCACTCTGCAGTACCAAGGAGGAAATGGTGCTAAACCATTCATGCGAACTCCACCCTCTTGGTCTAATCCCCTCCTACCAGGCTCCACCTCCAACACTGGGGATTATAATTCAACATGAGATTTGGGCTGGGACACAGATCCAAACCATATCATCAGTTTACCTTCCAAAAGGTCAGAAACCACAGCTGAGATACGGGCACTTGGTTTTGTTTGTTGTTGTTGTTGTTGTTGTTGTTTTGAGACCAAGTTTCACTCTTGTAGCCCAGGCTGGAGTGAGTGCAATGGCACGATTTCAGCTCACTACAACCTCCACCTCCTGGGTTCAAGCGATTCTCCTTCCTCAGCCTCCCAAGTAGCTGGGATTACAGGCATGAGCCACCACGCTCGCCTACTTTTTGTATTTTTGGTAGAGATGGGGTTTCACCATGTTGGTCAGGCTAGTCTCAAACTCCTAACCTCAGGTGATCCGCCTGCCTCAGCCTCCCAAAGTGCTGGGATTACAGGCATGAGTCACCACTCCTGGCTCCTATGGGCACTTCTTATGCTAGCACAGGCCTTGCCTTCCCTTCAGTGTGACTGTTTGACACTTGAAGCAGTTCACAGCTGTGCATCAACTTCCATGGAAGCCATGTGTCATGGCGGCTGTTGAGTACAGTGGGCTGAGTGCAATAATTGGCCATAAATCAAAGCTCATTAGATGGAACCATTAAGTAATCTGAGGATTGGGGAGGGAGGATATTGTAAATTGGGAGTTGGATTTGAGAGGTAATCCAGTCTGCTGTCTCTAGTGTCCTTCCCCTGTGGAGTGCTGCCTTCCGCTGTTTCAACTTGGCCTGACATTTATAGGCATTTTTGGCCCCTTCTTCTGCCCCCGACCCCTCCACCACACACTTCCCCTCAGCAATGAGCAAACTGGGAATCACTGGACTTGAAATCAAGGTGGAGCTCAGTAGAGTGGTTAATTAAGAATGTGATTTTTTAAAGCACTTTAGGGAGTTACTAGAAATCGGAAATGCCTTTTTCGTTTGATTAAGAGTTACTGGTTTGTGAGGGCAGTGACTGAGATGTCATTATCTGTGTTTTTGGAAGCTGCAGGGCTCTGAGTCTAGCCCTCAGGAGCTCTTAGCATCAGTGAACCTTGCCAGCATCAGCAGGCCCCCAGCTCCTGCCCACAGAGCACCTCCCTGCCAGGGGCCACAGTCCCTAGGGCCTCCGGTATCAGGCGGTCAGGATGACAGTATCCTAAGAAAACCCTTTCCCCTAGCCAGTCCCCAGCATGCGGCACACTGTCTACCTCAGCCATGAGCCTCTGTCCTTGCGTGTGTGCAGTTTCTTGTTTAGAACAGACCCACAAGAAATAAAGAAACTCATGAACCTCAACAAAATAACCACCTACCGCAAGGACAGAATGATGTTTACGAGCCACAATGGAAGGAAGGAACCACTTTGGCAAATTCATCACTGGAATTTGAATGATGCGTATGTGTTCTTACATATAATTTGAAGTTGAGAACGTGGAACATTGAGAAGAAGAGACTGAGAGGTTGTGACGTCATCAAGAAAGCAGAAGAGGTAGCCCCAGACCCTCTTTCCTGGCATGGAGACAGTGACTCAGCACCATGCAGACCAGTTCTCTTTGTGAAAAATCCAGAAACCAGAGGCTCCTATACCTCAGGTGAGCGCTTCACCAGCCTCATCAAAGCTGGTCATCTGACATCAAGCTGGAAATGGCCAACTGCAAGCAGTCTTCAAAGGATCTGAAAATACAAAGAATTTGAAAGTAAAGGAGAGGAGGGAGCCCTCTGATTAAAAAAAAAAAAAAAAAAGTCATAGTGTAGACCTTTAATCTCTGAGAGTAGTGAGCTCGGGCTCTGACTTGACTGAAGGCACCAAAATAGCTAAGCCCAGAAGGTTATTTATTATATACGAATGGGATGGTCTGGCCGTGGAATTCCTCTGGAAGACAAGCTGCAGAACTGCAGGAGAGGGCACCTGCTGCCCGTCACGGATGTCCACCCAATCCTGCTCAGGAGGAACTCGGGGACTCAGGGAACCTGAAACTTTTTACACGCTTCCATCCACACTCATTCCCTTCACGGCATCAGCCCATCATTTCTCATGATAAAGTAAAGCATGATTCTGACCCCTCAAAGTAAAAGAGATGGAATTTTCCTTCCTTCAGATGTGAAAACAATTTGGAAGCTCCAGATGATAGTCTTTCTAGAGGGATTCAGAGTGCTAATTTCCTGTTTTCGTCCTTCACGCCCCTTCATCTTTACTTTTCCTCTCAAACCTTCAGGAATCAGGGATAGAAAATAAACCCTTAGAGGATTTGCCTCTAGATCAGATGTCCAAAAACTCTCCTGGAACTTCTGGAATATTTGCCTCTAAGAAGTAGGGCAACCTCGAGTCAAAGCCCCTCCTGCCCTCCTGTACACATTAAAGATTTGAACAACAAACAAAACTTTCTTCATCTTCTTTAGGAGTGTTCGGGAAATCTGATGGCAGAAAGGACTTTTGTTTCCTCTTCTAGGAATTCTCTCCTCCCTGAAAAAAAGTTTTCCCATGTCAGTATTTTCCAATGTCCACTTCATGCTGTCTCAGACTCATGTTCTGGGTCTTCCTCCTCTTCCCGTTTTTCATCATGTGTTCCTTTGGCAAATGCCCTGATGCCCAGTTTTCCTGAATCGCCTTGGCAAGGTTGTTACCATTGCTTCAGAATTGCCCAAAGGGGCCGGGCACAGTGGCTCACACCTGTTATCCCAGCACTTTGGGAGGCCAAGATAGGCGGATCATTTGAGGTCAGGAGTTCGAGACCGGCCTGGCCAACACGGAAAAACCCTGTATCTACTAAAAATACAAAAACTCTCTGGGCGTGGTGGTACATGCTTGTAATCCCAGCTACTCGGGAGGCTAAGGCACGAGAATTGCTTGAACCCGGGAGGTGGAGTTTGCAGTGAGCCGAGATCACGCTACTGCACTCCAGCCTGGGCCACAGAGCAAGACTGCGTCTCAAGAAAAAAAAAAAAAGAATTACCCAAAGGAAGAGGACAGAGACTAAATTGGGGTTCTCAGGCCCATTGCTGATGGCACTCTCTCCTGGAGCCCCCTCTCTAGTTATAACCCAGACCTCATCCACTGCCACATCAGAGGACCACTGGCATTCCTTCAACACCACTGCTAATGGTAACCAGATTGTCAGAGCTCTGGAGAGGAAACTACATGTACTCCTCGCTGGAGGATGCTCTTCCTCCCTCCCAGAACATCGGTGACCACACTTCCCTCTAGTTTGCAGCCTCAACCTTCAACTTGAAGCCCAAAAGCTACCATTGGGAAAGGACTGCTTATTGTTTTAAGTGAAGGATTTTGAAGATGGTAACTTAACTTCTAAAACTTCTAATGAAGATAAAAATCAATTTCCTGCCCGCCCCTGTTCTCTCTCTCTTTCTGTCTTCCTCTGGCTCTATTATCTGAAAAATGTAGCTCGGGAAAATATGGCTCTGGGGAATAATGGAAGTGAGAAAGCTGTGTAGCCTGAGCTGAAAAGCAATTAGTTGTCCCCAAACCATCTCCAAACTAGCAGAGGCGCATCCCTGAGGCCGGAAGACATCACTGTGATTTAGTTCTGTGTTGGTCAGTTTGCTGACAGCATGCTGTGTGTCCTGGGGCCCCATGAAAAGTGGTCACCACTTCCCTAGCTGGATGGGACCTTTGCAGGGCCTCAAGAGTCAATGGGTAAGAAAGAAGACCAAGGTAGACGAATCTTTGAATATGTGGCTAGTCGTGAGCTGCTGCTTAGATTTTAAAATGGTAAATTAAGATTCTGAGACCAGGCGTGGTGGCTCATGCTTGTAATCCTAGCACTTTGGGAGACTGAGGCAGGTGGATCACTTGAACCAAGGGTTCAAGGGTTCAAGACCAGCCTGGGCAACATGGCAAAACCCTATCTCTACAAAAAATTACAAAAATTAGCTGGGCATGGTGGTGCACACCTGTAGTCCCAGCTACTCAGGGGGCTGGGGTGGAAGAATTACCTGAGCCCAGGAGGCTGAGGCTGCAGTGAGCAGTGATCAGGGTATTGCACTCCAGCCTAGGCAACAGAGTGAGACCCTGTCTCAAAACAAACAAACAAACAAAAATTCTGCCTGATTGGTTTTTGCTGGACACTGCTTTATGTCAGGAAAAAACAAACAAAAGTATTCCCTTTATAGTATTGTTTTCTACAGTGTGAAACTCAGATGTCCATATTTGAAGATGCTAATATAAAAAAAGAAGTCCATGGTCAAATAAGTTTCTTTTTTATTATTGTATTCATTTTATCTTATTTTATTTTTTGAGATGGTGTCTCACTCTGCCGCCTAGGCTGGAGTGCAGTGGTGCGGGATCATGGCTCACTACAACCTTGACCTCTATAGCCTCAGATGATCCTCCCACCTCAGCCCCATCATCCCCGAGTAGGTGGGACTACAAGTGTATGCCACCATCCCTGCATAATTTTTTTGAATTTTTAGTAGAGATGGGGTTTCACCATGTTGCCTAGGCTGGCCTCTAACTCTTGGGCTTAAGACATCTGCCCGCCTCAGCCTCCCAAAGTGCTGGGATTACAGGTGTGAGCCACAGCACCCAACCTACATAAGATTCATAAGTTCTTTTTTAAACCTTAAGCAGAATTTTTTTTTTTTTTTGAGACAGAGTTTCGCTCTTGTCTCCCAGGCTGGAGTGCAATGGCGCATCTCAGCTCACTGCAACCTCTGCCTCCTGGGTTCAAGTGATTCTCCTGCCTCAGCCTCCTGAGTAGCTGCAATTAAAGTGCCCACCACACACCCAGCTAATTTTTATATTTTTAGTAGAGACTGGGTTTCATCATGTTGGGCAGGCTGTTCTCCAACTCCTGACCTCAGGTGATCCACCCACCTGCCTCCCAAAGTGCTGGGGGATTACAGGTGTGAGCAACTGCACCCAGCCTTTTTTTTTTTTTTTTTTTGAGACAGAGTCTCACTGTGTCTCAGTGGAGACTGGAGTGCAGTGGCGAGATCTTGGCTCACTGCAACCTCTGCCCTCTGGGTTCAAGCGATTCTCCTGCCGTAGCCTCCCGAGTAGCTGGGATTACAGGTGCCCGCCACCATGCCCAGCTAATTTTTGTATTTTTCGTAGAGACGGGGTTTCACCCTGTTGGCCAGGCTGGGCTCCAACTCCTGAACTCAAGTGATCCACCCACCTCGGCCTCCCAAAGTGCTGGGATTACAGGCGTGAGCCACCACGCCCAACCCCTTAAACAGCTTTTAACCATACAGGACTTCTCAGAGACTTCAACAGGAATGATGCCTTGAAGAAGACCATGTGGTAGACGGCAGTTCTCAGATGTGTCTGCCAATGGTCACCCGTTTCAGGAAGGCAGCTCTTGGAACTGTTTTTCAGTATCACATGTTTTGCTGCTGTATACCTGTTCCTCATTTCCAAGACCTTCATTTTTCTGTTGATGTTTCAAACCAGATGACTCATATCTTGTAGTCATTTCTCCTTTACAGGATGATTTTTGAGGTAATTGACCCATTTCTGACCACATTTTATAAAAGATCAGTCCGTCAACGTAAGATGGAGACTATGTAAAGTTTTCAGATGGCCATCTCCTCTGCAATATTGATGGGGCCTGCAGACTTGAAGCAATTGCCCAGGCCCCTCAGTTTCCATGCATGGCCTCCTTTGAGCCTGAGAACAAGGTTCCTGGCCTGTCCCTAGTCTCTCCTTGATCCATACTCCTTAAAAGGATTTATTCAGGCCTCTTCTGCCAACTGCTATTTAGTCATTTTCACTTTGTCCAATTTTGAATTGGCCTATTCCTTGCCAAATATTTTTTGGTAACATACTTGAAAGCAAAGTGATAAATTGGGAACAACCAGATCATTCCTTTGGAACAGTGTCTTTTTTACCAGCCAGGCTTTCCACCTGTGAGGTCAGCTCTTCCTTCCAGGATTGTCACCACATCTAGAGGCTTGGCCCAGCCAATGGCAAGAGGATGAGAGGCACCAACTACACAGAACTGGGACCTGGAGTTAGGTCTCTCCAGTGAGGTGGGGTAGGCAAAGTCTCACGTCAAAGAGGTTTAGCAACAGCACGCTGTGGTTCAGGCAAACAGTTGGCACCAGAGTCTCCAAAGGCTGGGAACTCCGTGAAAGGCAGGCGAGCAGGCAGCTTGCAACACACTCCAGCCATCAGCCCAAGGGACAGGGCGATATTCTGGATGCTGCAGTGGGAACTAGAGATAGATGAGGCTTCAGGGATTAGAACCGAGACAAAAGGCCAGGCTCAGTGGCTCATGTCTGTAATCCCAGCACTTTGGGAGCCTGAGGTGGGTGGATCACAAGGTCAGGAGTTTGAGACTAGCCTGGCCAACATAGTGAAACCCCGTCTCTACTAAAAATACAAAAAATTAGCTGGGCATGGTGGCACGTACCTGTAGTCCCAGCTACTTGGGAGGCTGAAGCAAGAGAATTGCTTGAACCCAGGAGGCGGAGGTTGCAGTGAGCCAATATTGTGCCACTGCACTCCAGCTGGGCAACAGAGCGAGACTCTGTCTCAAAAAAAAAAAAAAAAAACTGAGACACAAGATCAGGACTTCAGCAGTGATGAGGCTGAACTGATGCCTGGTCGAAGGGTATGACATTGAGCAGCTCTTCAGTGATCCCTGCCTCATGTCATGATTGCACCAGAGATTTCTAGCGGCACTGGAGCAGGGACAGCGGTGGAGGGGTAAGGGGATCACATGTAGGAATAGGGACAGGCAGAGGCTGAGAACCAATAGCGCTCCAACTTCGCTGTGGTAATACTGGGAATCCTTGTCTTTCTCATCACCCTCACAAATTTCCTAAAGGTGGGGACAATGTCTGTTTCCATCACCTGCATGTTGCCCATGCTGCCCCCAGGTGTCAGTAAATTCGTCCAGAATGAATGAGTGAATGAACTGAACTACTTAACAGCAGTGGGGATGGAATTCGGTTTGCAGGGGAGACGATGCTCAGGACGCTGGAGATCCACATCCCTGCATTGCCGAGGGCAGATGCAGCCGGAGAGCCCCACTGGGACACAGTGATTTTTCCAGACCCTTCAAGCCATGTGGCTTGTGTGTAGGTCCGTACTGACCAGATAGCCCGAAGGTGGCATGAAGCTGAACAAACCTGGATCGAAGCAAATGCAGTTGGATCCCAAGGTTGCAAGTCTGTTTCTGTTTTGAGCAATTTGTCTGGTAAACATTTAGCAGGACCTGTTTCACCTCACTGAGGATAAAAGAGAAGCTTTGGCTCAAAATCCTAGTGCCAGAATTTCTGGCCAGCAGGGACATTTCTAAAGTCACCAAGCAAATGTTTCCCGATTACGAATTGTAATTTGGGATTTCAATGTCGGGAAAAGGACAGCAGATCAGACGTTTTAAAAATGCACAGCCTCCAAGGTAAAAATAGTGGAGGAAAGTCAAGACCAGCTGAATTTTGCCTAAAAGAGCCCGGTTTCCTCCTAAGCTAGGTGCTTGGCTTTTATTTTTAAATTGTTTCTCCTGATACTTTGAAACGCTGTTGTGTTCTGAGTCACTGAAGAGTTGGAAGAAGTCAATTAATTTTTAATGCAAAATGCAGAATTTGGAAGTGCCTGAGTGGGTTTTGGAGGGTGGCAGGGTTCCAGGCCGAGGCCACAGAGTCTAGAGTTACAGGACTTGGGTTGTGGTGAGGAACTTCAGAGTCACTTAGCTCATCAACACCATCTTGATGGTATTCTTGTTGATGAAAACTTTCAGACTAAATGCTAATTACTTTCAAGAGGTGGAATCTGGATTTTGTTATTGTTTTGTTTTGTTTTTTTCTTGTGCTAGGTCAAAGTGTCTTATGAGTCCCCAAGTGAAGTCTTTGTAACTCATCTGTCCTCTTCGGTCATCTCACCAACACTTAGATTCTCTGGCAGCCTGAGGCAGACTCTTCTTTTCCGAAAGATGAAAAGCATGTCACTGGAAATATTAGTCAGGCTGAAGAAAAAGCTTTGTGAGTTCTGCATAATCACAAAGAAAGGGAAAGTAGGTCACATTTGGAGCTTGTTCTGTTTGTGGAGGAAAAATAAAAGAGGATGAAGAAGAAAATGTCAGATAATTTAGTTCTACCACAGCTTCTTAAGCCAAACCGATGGTGTCAGAGTTTTGAGATCTGACACCATCCTCACACACTCGGGTCTCCCACAGGTTTAAAGAAAATCTCCCAGGGCTGGGCTCAGAGATACTGCCAGACAACGGGAACTGACGGAACCAATTGAATAGGATTCCCCATATGTGCTTCAGAGAGAATTCATTTGCAGCTGAATGGCAGGCTTTTGGATTGGAAGAGAGTATTTGGAGGGCTTGTCTGAGGTTGCAGAATTCATCCTGAGTAGCTGCCATCCCAGGTCACCCCTGAGTCACCCCCAGTTTCCAGTTCATTGGCTGCCATTGGCTGTCAGTGGGGTCAGGAATTATTAACAGGACTACAATACTCCGGGGACCCAGAGTATGTTCTAATTCCGTTGGTCTTTAGGGTTGTGAGATTTCCTGGTCCAGGCCAGATTCCTGGAAGGAGATGCTACTAGCAAGCTATGGCCACCCCAGAATAGCCTGATGTAAATGGAAACCAGCGGCTGGGAGAGCTCTACACACTGGGGTTCAGAGGGATGCTTTATGTGCAAAGCACCAAACCAGGGCAGTTTCTCTGCTGTGGCTCCAGCTCTCTTAGAGCCTCAAATTTAGAAAAAAAAAAATCAAGATGCCATGAATGGCCTCAGCTCTAGGTCTTATCTTCTGTCTTTTTACTTTTTTTTTCCCTTCTATTTTTCATTTAAGTGCCCCTCAGGTTTTGCAGGAGTTGTAGTCTTGAAAATGTGTGTGCTTTTTTTGCTAAAGAAGCATGTATGGTTGAATCATTAGGGAAGCTTGCTATTTATGGAAAGACTACCGTGATGCAATTTATGAAGGGAAAATCCTTTGGATGTGCAAATAAGCATGATTTAATGAAACTGCCCCAGGATGAGCTTTGAGTCTAATGTATTTGCTGTTTATAAATTGGGAACCTCTGTGACAACAGATATAGTTCTGCTACTTTCTATTTGACAAAACAGGAAATCAAGAGTGATACAGGGACTGTCTGTGACTATTTTAATATTCATGTAACTATTCAGAGCTAGGGGAGATCTCAGTCTGTGTGGATGTTGCAGTATACTTTGGTATTTATCTTGTGCATGCTACCTGTCATCCCTAAGCTTATCATCAGCACCATTAGTAACACTGAGTCAGTGCCTACTATGCATGGGGCACTGGGTTTATTAAAGTCTATTACATCCTGGGCTGATGGGAGTGTTTTCGAAGTTTTCAGGGCCACCAAGATCTATGTAGATTTGCATTGTGTGTGCACTGTGTAGATTTGTGTGGTTGGGGGAGACAGAGGGTATGGAGTTAAGATGAGGTCTGGCAGGTCTGCTGTTGGATTGGCCAGGGTCCAGGAACAGGAGGTCTAACTCAAAAAGGAGGCCAGTGTAGGTACTGAAGCCCAGACCCAAATTGAAAACAATCACTTACTCATCAGCAAGAACAAGAACAGTGTGATAGACCAGAAGGACAGGAAGATTGCATGAGGCCAAGGTTAACTGCCTGGCAAGTTAAAGGACGGTTGATGCAAGAGTGATTGGGTGTGGTTAGTAAAGGACAGTTGACGCAAGAGTGATTGGATGTAGTTAGTGGGCAGGCCTGGCTCCTTCACTCACTGCCTGGGTGACTTTTCCCTTCTTAGGCCTCAATTTTTTTAACCTATTAAATGAGATAATTAGATTAGATGAGAGATTTTCAAATATACTACTTTTTAGGCACTGGAACCCTTTCTTAAACTAAGATTTTTGATATGGAATCACAATGTGTAAATCAATGAAGGTGGAGAAGCCCCATCTGGTTGGTGTGGGGGTGGGGAGAGGAGCAGGATTGGGCATGATGGATATAGTGAGTTCTAAATTTCTCTTCAAACAATCAGTATGTCAGAATGTTCAGTTCTTTGTCCTCCATTTTGAAGTTTAACTTCCTCGTAGTTTGAGTAAACAACCTTTTCCACCAGTTTTAATCAGTAGTTCACATCTGTTTCCCGGGTCACCAGCTCCATCCTAACTCATCCTGGTCACCTGCTCTGACCTAAGTCACCTTCAGTTACCTGTTCTATAACCGTCTTTCCTGCCAAACTGCTCACCCCGCCACTCTGGGTCATACCCTTGCTCTCTTTAAAATAGCCAATAGGAATTAGCTTAGACTGTGTGGTCCAACCCTAGCCAACAGGAGAACAACACAGCAGTAGGGGCTACCTGCATCAGGAATAAGAACCCCTTCCCCTCTGTTGTTCAGGTGTGCTCTCGCCATTGCCCCATCCGCGAGTTGCACCCTTCTGTGGAAGTAAAATTGCCTTCCTGAGAAAATTCTTTGAGTGCTAGTTCTCCTTTTTGGCACCAAGGAACAAGCATTTGTTTCTAACTGGCACCTCAACTCCAACCACTTGGCCCCTGTCTTACGGATCTAGGTGGTTCCTTGACCTTCCAGACGCAACATTAGAATATACTAGAATGGATAAATTTTAAATTTCTATCTTAAAAGTTTGGTCAACAAGACTTTGGAATCAGTGCTGCCTTTTTATTTTCATGGTTTCCTAGACATTTGTGCCTGGAGGGCACCTCCTGTTTTTAGAAGAATTACATCTGCACAGAATCAGGCCTTTCCATCAATCACAGACCAACCAGAAGTTTCTGCAGCTCAACTGAGTAACTGGAGCAAGGAGACCATTGATTGAAGCTGGACTATATGGTATAGACACACGTGTTGCTCACTGTCTGCTTGAGAAGGTTCCATGGAGTGTCAGAAAGCCCCTCCTGTCCCGGCTTTCTCATGTTCATGTGAGACAGAGGACTTTGGAGGCAACATGTAGTTCTTGAGAGTCACAGTCTATGGGATTAGGAAGTGAAAGCCATTGAGAAGCAACATGTCTGTAACACCAACATTCACCCGACAGTCAAAAGTCGTTGGTACAGGGAGCATGTAGGAAGTAGGAAAAAACAAGATAGAATTTTATTTACTTTCCTGCAGAGACCATAAACTGGTTCCAAAACCAAGTCAACTTGGGGCTAGTAGCCCCTTTCCTTTACTCAAAAAAGCTCCTAGACTTATTTAATCATGAGACAATGGGAGCTCAAGTTTCATTCTAACTATTCAGCAAGAAATTTGGGGTCTTATGATGTATTCAATATAGTCTAGTGAAAGGCAGACGCGGTGGCTCATGCCTGTAATCCCAGCCCTTTGGGAGGCCAAGGCTGGTGGAACACTTGAGGTCAGGAGCCCGAGACCAGCCTGGCCAACATGGCAAAACCCTGTCTCTACTAAAAATACAAAAAAAAAAAAAAAAATTAGTGAAGCATGGTGGCGCATGTCTATAGTCCCAGCTACTTGGAGGCTGAGGCAGGAGAATCGCTTGAATCCAAGAGGCAGAGGTTACAGTGAACCAAGGCCATGCCACAGCGCTGCAGCTTAGGTGACAGAGCAAGACTCTGTCTCAAAAAATATTTATTTAGATATATTGATTTATCTACCTAGAAAGAGAGAGAGACAGAGAGAGGGAGACAGTCTAGTGGAAAAAAAGCCTGAAATTCAGTATTAATACCTGGATTATTGTCCCAGCTCAGCTCCTGGCTGTGTGACTTTAGACAAGTCACTTGGGCTCTCTGGGACCGTGTTTACATATTTGTTAAATTGGGAGAGCACCCAATCATGGCAAGGATACAGTGAGATCATAGATGGAAGAGTGTTGAGAGTGATCTACCCGCTTTACAGACATCAGGAATAGCTAGCATGCAGCTGGTGAAAACCGATGTCGACACCTAGAGGAATGGTGTTCCAGCCACAGAGTCCCAGGGTGACCTGGGCAGTGACTCCTATTCTCCCCAGCTGTTCATCCCTCCTTTGTTAAATCACCAATAACAGCTTTATGCCCAGAGCAGAGGTCCAGAAGCCAGCTCACCCCAGCCCTAAGCCTGGTGTGGGCTGAGCTGGGGCTGTGTCTTCCTGGAGCCTGGCATCTGCTCACCCGTTCTTATTTCCCAGAGTTCTACTTGACCTGTGGGTAGGTGGGTAGTTCAGATTTGAGCACCACCCTACACAGAGGGTAAAAACCTGGGAGGCCAGGGCAGGAGTAGATAAAAGAAAGATGAGGAAAGGTGTGAATCAGAGCTCAGAAGGGAAAGAAACCACCCCCTTTGCCAAAAAGTTGATCATTGTGCAGAGAATACAGGTTCACTGTAGAAAAAAGAAAACAAAGAAGATAAAAACTACTTGTTAGTGGCTAGGTGTGGTGGCTCATACCTGTAATCACAGCACTTTGGGAGACTGAGGCAGGCAGATCACGTGAGGTCAGGAGTTCGAGACCAGCCTGACCAACATGGTGAAACCCTATCTCGACTAAAAATACAAAAAAAGTAGCCGGGTGTGGTGGTGCACGCCTGTAATCCCAGCTATTTGGGAGGCTGAGGTAGGAGAATCGCTTGAACCTGGGAGGCAGAGGTTGCAGTGAGCCAAGATCACACCACCTTTGCACTCCAGCCTGTGAAACAAGAGCAAAACTCCCTCTCAAAAAAAAAACAAAAACCAAAAAACTGCTTGTTAGTCTTACCACCCAGAATGAAAACAGTTAGTGTTTTAATGTTTTAGCTATTTTACTTCCTGACTTTTTACACATACACCAATGTGTATATAAATAGAACTTTAAAAATGGAAAGGGATCATACTCCTTAGTGTGCTGTTAAATGTTTAACAAATGGCTGGCAGGGAGGGGCCATCCTGATTTGTAGCATTTGCCAATTTCTGTGGTGTAAACACTCCCACCATGGCTGGTTTCAAAGTATCAACATGATGTCAACCAGCTTGCAAACTTCCTGAAATTTTAACAATCAGCTCTTGGGAAACATCGAGAGCCAACTCCAGCAGGCTGCCAACTACATTTTGTTTTCTAATTAGCCTTTCTTCCTCACGCTATAGTACAAACGTCTTCATGCCTAAACTTTTCAAAAGTTGTCTTTCTCAAATTACTTATTTGAGTCAAAATTGTTTTCCTTTGGGAATCTGGAACCGATTGTAAATACTGTCCTCTAGTTAGAATTTGCCTGTTTCTCATGTTCCATAGATCCTTGTCTGAGTGGGGAGTGGATCCACACTTTTTTATTAGGTGGCTGGAATAGAGATGTAATTGAAAAAAAAAAAAAGATTAATGTGATGCTGCAGAAGCATGTGGCGGCTTGGCAGTTCATTATCTGAGGACGGATTTGACGTAATAGAGACAATTTTCTCCTTTGCAGCTCCTTCTCCTTGGCCCAGCCAGCTCAGTTCTATACTTGTCACTCATTTCCCTTGGCCTTTCTGATGGAAATTTGTCCCTACTCCAGTCTGCCTGATGAGAGTAGGGCTGCAACTGTTTGGCCCAAGTCAAACCTCATAATCAGATCCATGTTTTCCTTGTTGAATGGGAGCTTTGGGAAATTGGAAGGGGAAGAGGGAGTGGAGAGCTGCACTCACAGAGCGTGTGTGTGTGTGTGTGTGTGTGTGTGTGTGTGTGTGTGTGTAGTCATCTCCCACTTGGCTCCAGGGTAACGTGTTGGCCTTCCAACGCTGGTGGACTGTTAGATCTGTGCTGAGAGCCTAGTAGGTGGAAAAACTTGGTGCCAAAGGTCTCCCACACTGGGCTTTTAATTGCTTTAAAAGAGGCTGAGCTTTGTGAGCTTCCGGTAACAAACCTGGCTCTCCCGGGCCCTGTGGATTTAGATGGGGAGTTTTTGACTAAGGCTTCATGAGTGTGGCCAGCATGCGTTAGGTGGACATGGGGGAGGGGCAGTCCACTGTCACAGTAAGAAGGAAAGCCTTGGCCATTCCCACTAGGTCTGAAGCTAGCCAATGGAACAGAAAGGCAAGAAGTCTGGTTTGGAGTCCTGACAAGAGTGCCAAGCTCAGATTCCTGGAGTGTAAGAGGCAAAGGACAAGGCCTGTGTGAATAAGGGGCCTTCACTGGCGGAGCCCCTAGGTCTCTGCCGTTCCCTAGGTCATCTTGGACTCCTCCTCTTCTCTATCCCCTTCCCCACTAACCTCATTCCAAGTGGTCACCAAGACCAGTTAACTGTGCCTCTGAAATTGTCCAAGATGCCAGCCCCTTCCCCCACCATCCCATTGCCACTCCCCTATCCAGGCAGTCACTGGATCCCATCTGAGCTATGAGGAACAGTCCTCCAACTGCCTCCCTGCCCTGTGGTCTCACTCAGTGCACAGACATCCTTTCGGGTCCCTACCCTACTCCCCATACATTGTGTTTTTATTTTATTTATTTATTTATTTATTTATTTATTTATTTATTTATTCATTTTTAGTAGAGACAGGTTACTTATGTTGGCCAGGCTGGTCTCGAACTCCTGACCTCGTGATCTGCCTGCTTCATCCTCCCAAAGTGCTGAGATTACAGGCATGAACCACCACGCCTGGCCTTATTTTTTATTTTATTTATTTATTTATTTATTTATTTATTTATTTATTTTGAGACGGAGTCTTGCTCTGTCGCCCAGGCTGGAGTGCAGTAGTGCAGTCTTGGCTCACTGTAACCTCCACCTCCTAGGTTCAAGCTATTCTCCTGCCTCAGCTTCCCGAGTAGCTGGGACTGCAGATGCACGCCACCCTACCCTGCTTGGTTAATTTTTTTTTTGTATTCTTGGTAGAGACAGGGTTTCACCATGTTGGCCAGGCTGGTCTTGAATCCCTGGTCTCAGGTGATCTGCCTGCCTTGGCCTCCCAAAATGCTAGTGAGGGGTGACAACGTGCTGGCGGCCCTCACTCACTCTCAGCACCTCCTCGGCCTCAGGCGTTCGCTCTGGCCACACTTGAGGAGCCCTTCAGCCCACCGCTGCACTGTGGGAGCCCCTCTCTGGGCTGGCCGAGCCTGGAGCCGGCTCCCTCTGCTTGCTGGGAGGTGTGGAGGGAGAGGTGCGGCCAGGAACCGGGGCTGTGCACTGGCGCTCGCGGGGCAGCGTGAGTTCCGGGTGGGCACGGGCTCGGCAGGCCCGCACTCGGAGTGGCTGGCAGGTGCCACTGGCCCCGGGCAGTGAGGGGCTTAGCACCCAGGCCAGCAGCTGCAGAGGGGGCGCCAGGTCCCCCAGCACTGCTGGCCCGCCCGCACTGTGCTTGAATTCTCGCCAGGCCTCAGCCGCCTCCCTGCGGTGCAGGGCTCCGAACCTGCAGCCCGCCATGCCTGAGCCCCCCTCCCCTCGCCCCACCCCACCCCGTGGGCTCCCACGTGTCCGGAGCCTCCCCGACGGGCGCCGCCCCCTGCTCCGTGGCGCCTGGGCCCATCGACCATCCAAGGGCTGAGGGGTGCAGGTGCGTGGCATGGGACTGGCGGGCAGCTCTGCCCTTATGGCCCCCACGCGGGATCCACTAGATGAAGCCAGCTGGGCTCCTGAGTCAGGTGGGGACTTGGAGAACTTTTATGCCTAGCCAGAGGATTGTATATGCACCAATCAGCACTCTGTGTCTAGCTCAGGGTTTGTGGATGCACCAATCGGCACTCTGTATCTAGCTAATCTGGTGGGGACTTGGAGAACTTTTATGTCTAGCTAAAGGATTGTAAATGCACCAATCAACACTCTGTGTCTAGCTTGGGGTTGGTGGATGCACCAATCAGCACTCTGTATCTAGCTAATCTGGTGGGGACTTGGAGAACTTTTATGTCTAGCTAAAGGATTGTAAATTCACCAATCAACACTCTGTGTCTAGCTAAAGGTTTATAAACACACCAATCAGTGCTCTGTGTCTAGCTAATCTGGTGGGGACTTGGAGAACTTTTATGTCTAGCTGTAGGATTATAAATGTACCAGTGAGCACTCTGTGTCTAGCTCGGGGATTGTAAACGCACCAATCAGCATTCTGTGTCTAGCTAAAGGTTTGTAAATGCACCAATCAGTGCTCTGTGTCTAGCTAATCTAGTGGGGACTTGGGGAACTTTTACGTCTAGCTGGAGGATTGTAAATACACCAATCAGCACTCTGTGTCTAGCTCAGGGATTGTAAACACACCAGTGAGCACCCTGTCAAAACGGACCAATCAGCTCTCTGTAAAATGGACCATTCAGCAGGATGTGGGTGGGGCCAGGTAAGGGAATAAAAGCAGGTTGTCCCAGCCAGCAGTGGCAAGAGGCTCGGGTCCCCTTCCACACTGTGGAAGCTTTGTTCTTTCGCTCTTTGTAATAAATCTTGCTGCTGCTCACTCTTTGGGTCTGCACTGCCTTTATGAGCTGTAACACTCACCGCGAAGGTCTGCAGCTTCACTCCTGAGGCCAGCGAGACCAGGAACCCACTGGGAGGAATGAACAACTCTGGACGGGAGGAACGAACAACTCCAGATGTGCCGCCTTAAGAGCTGTAACACTCACCATGAAGGTCTGCAGCTTCACTCCTGAAGCCAGCGAGACCATGAACCCACCAGCAGGAAGAAACTCCGAACACGTCCGAACGTCAGAAGGAACAAATTCCGGACATACCGTCTTTAGGAACTTTAACACTCACCGGGAGGGTCCGCGGCTTCATTGTTGAAGTCAGTGAGACCAAGAACCCACCAATTCCGGACACACTGGGATTACAGGTGTGAGCCACCGCACCCAGCCACATGGTGTTTTTAAATCAGTAAAGTAATAAATGTTCACAAGCATTTAGAAGATCTAGATATTTAAAGGTGAAAAACCACTCATAGATCTCCTTTCCTGAGATGAAAACCGTCATTTTAGTGAATATCCTTCAAAGACTTTGCATATCAATTTCATTTTTAAAAATGAAAACAAAACTACTTTGTAACCTACTTTCTCCTCACATATTATGGCAAACATTTTCTCATATACTTTTCTAAAATGAAACCACAAATCTGGTTATATCTCTCTCTTGCTTAAAAAAAATTAAACCACCAATAACCAAAACCCATTACCTATGTGACAGAAGTCAAACTCCATGTGCACTCTGCCCCAAACTACACCTGTACACTAACTCCCAGCCCCACCACTGCACACACCCTGCACTGCGCACACCCTCCACACCAGCCCTCCTTGCCTGTTGCATCAACATACCACCTGCATGTTTACCTTCAGGATTCCACAGGACTGGGCTTGTGTAAATGACTTCTATCACCCCCAATTCCACCTAGTGAATTCTGCCATCCTTTAACGTTATTTATGTAGCTGTCCCTAGGAAAATTGTGAATCTCTTTTTTTTTTTTTTTTTTTTGAGATGGAGTCTTGCTGGTCGCCCAGGCTGGAGTGCAGTGGCGCAATCTCGGCTCCCTGCAAGCTCCACCTCCCGGATCACGCCATTCTCCTGCCTCAGCCTCCCGAGTAGCTGGGACTACAGGCGCCCGCCACCACGCCCGGCTAACTTTTTGTATTTTTAGTAGAGACGGGGTTTCACCATGTTAGCCAGGATGGTCTCGATCTCCTGACCTCGTGATCCGCCTGCCTCGGCCTCCCAAAGTGCTGGGATTGCAGGTGTGAGCCACCGCGCCCGGCCAAAAATTGGGAATCTCTTGAAGCCAAAAACAGAACCTGTTCAGTTTGTATTTTTAGCAATTTGTGGTAATGCCTGGCACGGGGTAGTGGGCACTCAGTAAATATTTAGGGAATGAATTGGCCTCAGTTTGGTATGCCTGTTCTCATCTCCTTGGCAGCTTCACGTGTTCGTTTTTATTAGTGTCCATGATTAATCTGTATTGTATTTTCTTGCCCACTTTGGCTGTGTTTCTGTCTTGCTGTGCTGGAATAAGCACTCCTGAACTGGAGCCATTCACTGCTTTAGTTGTGTCTTCGCTAGAGGATTGAAGACGTCGCCAGTTTCTGGTGGCTTTACTGTACCCCTTAGAAGCCCTGAGAAGCAAGCTCACTTTTCCAGAGTCAATAGTCCAGAGTCAAGCCTCCAGCCCTCTTCTGAAGAGTTGACTTAATGGGTTTATGGAACTGCATGAAATGGGAGAAGCAGCATTGGTAGAAAGTTTGCAGAGTGGGAGTTCTACCCTTGGAGCCTGGGGACGAGCTCAATAGTCACTGGAGGGGAAGGCGGCAGGAAAAGTCAAGCACGTGAGAGTGGGGTGGGGGGTGGAGTCGGCACAGGAATCTATCCATGGGCTGTGGGATTCTGCGCCTTAAGGATGCCGGGGGGGCTTCAGCCTCTGCCTTTGCTTGTGTTCCAAAGTTAAGTTCACAAGGCAGTTCAAACACCTTGTGCTTTTTCTTGTGGTTCTGAGAATGTTTAAATATGGAGGTTTTGCCAGAAGGAGGAGTAAGTTTATTTTTGATATTTCATCAACGAACATTAAAGTAGAGCATTTTTATTCGAAGTCAAAGAAAAGCGAAAGCCAGTGTCTATAGAGAAATAATGATGAGCACATTTCTGCCCTCTGGGATAGAAATAAAGACAGGTAGATCCACTTTTATTGCTGCGAATCTCAGAAGTTTAAATTTGCATGTCTGTCTTAGACATTTCCTTTTAATATACAGCTCCAAGCACAGAAGCACACATATAACAGGATGTTTTCAAGAGGCTGGTTACAAAAACCCACCCCAAACCGGCTTCAGCAGGAAGGATATTCAGTGGTTCCGCGGTGTCCTCAGGGTCCCAATCTCATTTTCCCTCTCACTCTGTGATCCCCAGGATTAAGCTTCATTTAGGCTGGAGCAGGGTAGCAGCAGCAGTTCCAGGCGTGTCACTGAGAGCTGATAACATCCAGAGGAAGAAGAGAGACTATCACATCTCAGCACTTTGTCTTAGGAGCAAGGCAACATTCTCCAGAAGATTCTAGAAGGCGTCACCTCATGTCTCATTTCCCAGTGTTGGGTCACCTGCTCATTCCTGAAACCCTGCTGCAAGGGGAGGATGTCACTTACACCACCGATCAGTTAGGCCCTTCTTTAAAGCTGAGGCCCCTGATGGGTGGAGGAGGATGGTTGAATCCTTACACAAAAACTGGGATTCAGGCTGAGCCCAGTGGCTCACACCTGTAATCCCAGCACTTTGGGAGACTGAAGTGGGCAGATCACTTGAGGTCAGGAGTTCAAGGCCAGCCTGGCCAACGTGGTAAAACCCTGTCTCTACTAAAAATACAAAAATTAGCTGGGTGTGGTGGTGCACGTCTGTAATCCCAGCTACTCATGAGGCTGAGGCAGGAGAATCGCTTGAACCCAGGAGTTGGAGGTTGCAGTGAGCTGAGATTGTGCCACTGCACTCCAGCCTGGGCGACAGAGCCAGACTCCATCTCAAAAAAGCAACAACAACAACAAACAAAAACCCAGGCTTCTGTTAGGGGGTAAAAAGGGAGGAAGTGGTGGGTATACAGTGCACAGTGTTCTCCATAGGCCATTGTGAGCATCTCTTAGAAGTGGTCGCCAACTCTATACTTCAATGTGTTAGCTGCTTAAATTCATTCAAATAAAGTCTTACCCAGAAGCATAAGCAAATGAAACTAATAGAATCAGAGCAGCTGTGTTTAAATGCTGTACGTAGTCCTAGGATCATGATTTGAAAATCACTGGTGGATTACTTCTTGTAATTACTTCAAACATTTTTCTATTTCTGACCTTTTCTTTCTGTTCCTGATCTTCTTTCATCCTTATAACACAGTTGTATAATGTGAGACAGACGTCTCATTTTGTCAGTGCCTATTTCAGGAGGTCAGTTGGCCAGAGGGGACTACTATTTACAGGGTTTGGGCGAATAGAGGCATTTAGGGAAGGCAGCTGGGCTGTGAGGAGCAGATTTGGGCATATGAGACCAGAGCCTGAGATAACAGGGGGGCCAGGAAGAGAAGTTCCTCCAAGTCAGGTGATGAGCTGTGATCCCAGGTCTGACTCATTCACTCTATGCCGGCACAGTGTGGGTGGCCGTGGCCCATGGGTGCTATCTGCATTCAGGAAGAAGTGAAAGGCCTGTTGAGGCAGGGTAGGGGTGCCGGCTGGGATTCCATATGTCACAAAGGCAGACAGACATGCAGGTCACAGACTCTGAGAGCTTCATTTTGGGGTGGGGTAGAGTAGGGTTGCCATATAAAATACCAGACAGTTTAATTTGAATTTCAGATAAACAATGAATAATATTTTAGTATAAATATGTCCCAACTATTACATGGGACATACCTACATTAAGATATACTACAATATTTGGAGCATACTTATATTAAAACATTATTTCTTGTTTTCAGAAATTCATTTTTAACTGGGAGCTATACATTCTTATTTGCTGAATCTTACAACCCTACATGGGTGGGAAATGAGGAGTCTCCGGAGACATTAGGATGTTAAAATTAACCTTCTTCCTGTGGTCCCAGTCTCAGTCATGCAGGAGTTGGCACCTCTTGTTCTAATTGATCAATAGTTTCCAGGACCATGTTATACCAGTTACCCAAAACACTCATTACAAGTACAGGTATCTGCTCGCTACCACCACCCCCAGGTCTTGGGAATCAGAATCTCTAAGGATTGGATCTGGATCTAGCGTATCTTTAAGAAGCCCAGATGATTCTGGGGTTCAGGCTGGCTTGGAAAGACCACTTTAGATTTTTTTTTTTTTTTTTTTTTTTTGAGAAAGAGTGTTGCGCTATCACCCAGGCTGGAGTGAAGTGGCACGATCTCGGCTTACCACAATCTCTGCCTCCCAGGTTCAAGCAACTCTCCTGCCTCAGCCTCCCGAGTAGCTGTGATTACAGGTGCCCGCCACCACACCCGGGTAATTTTTGTATTTTTAGTAGAGACGGGGTTTCACCATGTTGGCCAGGCTGCTTTTGAACTCCTGATCTCAAGTGATCAGCCTGCCTCAGCCCCACAAAGTGCTGGGATTACAGGCGTGAGCCACCGTGCCTGGCCACCACTTTAAATTTTAAGTTCCCAAAGGTGAGGACTTTTATTTAAAGTTGGTTTAAACTTTATTTTAGATGAAGTTGGTTTAAACTTTATTTTAGATAAAGTTGGTTTAAACTTGATTTATTGCACTCAATAAATATTTGCTGGATGAATGAATGATTTCTGCCTGAGGAGTCATTCCTCACTGGCTTAACCAGTGTTTATCTTGTGGAACTTGGGAACACCAGAAGCATGCACGCGTCTTTCTTTCCATTTTTTTTTCTGGTCTTAAGACTCGTGGGAAAGGACTTGGGTGGAAGGTGTCATGGAGAGAGCCTTGGAGAACACGGGAGGGAAGGATGAGGACAGGACTGGGCAGGAGAGCACCTGAGCTTGCCAGGCAGGGGGCTAGAGCATCCGCATCGGGGAAGGAGGCCAAGTTTTTAATCACCTCCTCAGGCGAGAAGACTTGAGATTTCAAGTTGAGAACAAGTCTTCGGTTATTTTCACATAGTTTCTTTAGTGTCTCACTTGGCACAGTCTGCGTGCTCAGCATCACAAAGAGATTGATACTGAACTTGGAGTCGTCCAACCAGGGTGCTTAAAGTATGTTGGAAATGCTTCAGTGGAACCTGGTGGGTGGCAGGTAATGGCCATTTTGCTAATCTTGGTAATTCCCCAGATCGGCAGCGTGCCTGAGAGTGTCTATTTCCTATAGCACCTCCCTCTGAGGCCTCAGCAATGGAAACATTAGACTCCTGTCCTAAATGTACCCAACCGTCTACATTTCCCCTGTGGAGATGTGCCCTTGTGCCTATGTTGTCTCTAATACAAAGAAGTTTTATTTTTTTCCCGCTTCCAATTTCCTGGAGAAAGGCTTTGCTTAATGGATGAGAACCTGCCTTCCAATCTGCAGGGAGTTTTTGCCGAGTGACGTCATGGACACATAGTGCTCTGACTGTCACTGAGTCTCCGGTCCCCTCTCAATCTGTTCCCTCATCTGTGGCACTGGGACGCTGCCACAGGGCCTCAGGGCTCTGGGAAATGCAGGAGCTGTCTGGAAATTCAGAGCATAAGGCTCCTCGGTAGGGCTCCAGGTCAAGAGTGGAAAAAAGAACATGAAATCCCGGCTTTGCTTGTGACTTTAGTTCTGTCCCTCCCGTCCTCACCTCCTGCAGGCATTCACAGACACCATTCTGAGCGCATCAAAACTGCCTGTGAGTGCCCCACATGGCCACTTTGCTAGCTCCTGTAGTTACACTAAATCCAGAGGTGTCCTCGGGACCTGGGGCAATAGTGAGGTCCCTTCTTCGCAGCCCCGAACTTAGACATAAGGAAGTCAAGTTTTTATTTTGAGAATTAAACTAGTAAATACAACATACAGGGTTGGATAGCCAGTCTCCAAGTTTCCAAGGTAAGACATTGTCCTTGAATGCACGTAGAAAACAAACATCAAATCACAGTGATCTTGTGGAGGATGGACTGAAATCGGATTGTGCTTGTAATTCAGAGATCAGAAATCATTACTTATTGATGTCATAATGTGCACTTTGGAGAAAGTGGGTATGAATAGAAGGGGGGTGGTCAGTGCAAAACAGGGACAAAAACTCTAAGAGTAAGAAGTTAGTGATGCCTGAGGCTAGGCGTGGTGGCTCACGCCTGTAATCCCAGCACTTTGGGAGACCAAGGCAGGTGGATCACGAGGTCAGGAGTTCAAGACCAGCCTGGCCAATATGGTGAAACCCTGTCTCTACTAAAAATACAAAAATTAGCCAGGCGTGGTGGCACATGCCTGTAATCCCAGCTACTCGGGAGGCTGAGGCAGAAGAATCGCTTGAACCCGGGAGGTGGAGGTTGCAGTGAGCCGAGATTGCACCACTGCACTCCAGCTTGGGCGACACAGCGAGATGCCGTCTCAAAAAAAAAAAAGGTAGTCATGACTTTTCTAATGTTTTCTAGTAGTGGGGAGTCTTGGCTAAGTAGACAATTTCCTTTGCAAAGCCTCAACTACAGTGTGGGAGAGGGAGTGCCTGAAGCTACCTGAGCTAGAGCCCTTCCTGTACTCACCTGGGTCTCCTTAGTCCAAGTTTGCCTTTGCAGCATCCTGCCTTCAGGGTAAGCATGCATTGATTACGTGGATGCAAACATCCTGCCCACTTAGTAATTGTCTTTCCAATTGAAAATGAATGAATGAGCTTTCTTGCTGGTAACTGTATGTTTACACATGAGAAATAGATGCCCTTGCAATGTGCTGACAGAATTCATGTTTCCGAGCCTTAGAACCTGAAGACATGGATGGTAGGAAGTTCACCAAGGTCAGGGTCACCTTGTGGCACCTCCCTGGCAGTGACCTTTCCCAGCCCATATATATATGTCATATATATTATATATTTATATATATAAATATATATTTCCCATATATATGTCATATATATTATATATATATACATACATATATAAATATATTGAGACAGGGTCTCACTCTGTCACCCAGGCTGGAGTGCGGTGGTATGAGCATATCTCTCACTGCAGCCTTAAACTACTGGGCTCAAGAGATCCTGCCATGTCAGCCTCCCGGGTAGCTGGAACCACAGGTGTGCAGCACCAGACCCAGCTAATTTTTCAATCTTTTCTAGACACAGGGTCTCGCCATGTTGCCCCGGCTGCTCTTGAATTCCTGGGCTCAAGTGATCCTCCTGCCTCAGCCTCCCAAAGTGCTAGGATTACAGGCATGAGCTACTGCACCCTGCCCAGCCCTGTCTTTTAACTGTGCACATGCCCCTACCACAGCAGGATCTAGAGTGACGGTGGATCCAACCTCATCATTTCCCCAGACCTCGCCCCAAGGTTCGGTGGTTTTCGTCCTAGTTCCTCTCCATTTATGCTATCTCACGTCTTCTTACAGTCGCTCCACATCACTTCTCTCCCACCCTATTAAGGGCCATGATGGCACATGAGTAGCAAAGGGGTCATGGAGGGACTCGGGGTTAGTATATTCGCCTACCTCCTCCGAAATCTTTCCTTCTGAATTCTGAGTTCCTGACTGAAAGAGGTCAGCTGAGGATTCTTGTTCCTCTCACTCCCATGGACTTTGACTTTCCTTCTCATTGTCTGAGGCCTTTCCCACAGCAAGGCCTGGGAAATGGGGGAGCTTCTCAGTTGACATAAGGTTGAACCTTTGTGCTCCGTGATCTTTTGGTTTCCTCTGAGAATTCATTCTCTGCATCAGGCACTCCAGCCCTAGCTCCTGCAAGCAAGCAGGCGAGCAGTCCAGGGAAGGGAGAGGGTGGAGCTCAGTCTCCGCACAGTTTAGGCTCTTGCCAAATTCAAGAGGCTGTGGGGCCTCAGTGGAAACCCCAGATTTCCTATTGTACCCCACCCCCCAGGCAAGTTCTTCCCCACTTCTTGAAACCTTGGTTCTATTGCTGTTCCAAAGAGCTTTTATTCAGTAGGATATATTTCTTCTTGTATTCTGGAAAAGCTGGGATAAGGTTATAAGCACATAAATATAAAACCACCCCTGGGGCTCCTCTCCTCCTTTGTCTTGGCAGATACTCAAAGTCTGATAAAGCAATTTAGCCTATCTCCTCTGCAGTTCAAAACTTCCATGGTTGTGTATATGCTTCCTAATGAGGCCAGCTACTTCATCCCTGCCTCGCTAACTTAGCTCCAAGATTTGGGGGGGTGTAGGGGGAATGCCAGAGCTGGAAAGAAACTTAGTAAAACCACCTCATTTGGCAGGTAAGGAAACTGAGGCTCAGAGATTTTACATGACTTGCCTGGGGCCGTACAGCTAGCTAGTGGCAGAGTGTATTACTGGCTCTTATAAATATTTGAATCATTGTTAATTAATGATGAGGTCAGATCCTGAGTAGTTACATGCTAAGAATTTAAATACAGTAAATAGATTATGTACTCAAAAGTCTAAACACCAGAAGCATCTAACAGCACACTTGGTATGAAAGGATTTGTAAAATATCTATCCTGTTTTTAAAAAAAATCACTCTGGTGTAATTAAAGAATATGTGATAATGCTATATGTGGATGATGTGATCTACTGGGTTGTGAATGAGTGGGTTGGTAGTATCATGGCTGCCCGATCCATACCACATGGACAGGATGATCAGAAGGTAATGGGCAGTCACAGTGACCTCATGGCTCTCTTGCTGCTAACACAGAAGCCCTGACTGTTCTCAGTCAATTACCTATTCAGTAGATAGCAACTGTTTCAAAGCATTGAACTGCCATTGTACAAATATGCACATTGCCTCGTAAATGCCCTCTTTCCTCAATTAGTATGCTCTTTTAGAATTGAGATATCTAAACTCTAGAAATATTATTAACCCAGAACTGGCCAAATCCTGACATCCTGAGTAAACAGTCTTAAACCGCAGAGCTCACAGTTGAAGCCACAGCAAATATATTTTAGAAGTAGGTAGGGAACAGAAATAACTTCTAATATTCATTAGGGTTTTTTGGCCTTCAATATTCATGAGTCTACCTGCAATTTCTACTCATTCCCATTTTTATATGGACAGATAGTCCATAGGACATATAATATCTTCAGGTAATAGAGTCTCAAAATAGCTGCCAGGTTATCCTTTTCCATTTCATTCATTTTTTTTTTCTTTTTCCTATTCTTCAAAGGTCATCAAACCCAGAAATTGAAGGATCTTGGGCCTGCCTTGATGTTCATTTCTCTCATCTATAAAATTGAAGGCTGGAGGAGGTAATCCCTGAGGTTCCTTCTAGGTTCTTACCTTCTATAATTTATTAATATATGGAAACACCTCTCTCATCCCCTAAAACCTCAGCATTGACCTTGGAAAGCCTCACTTCTCAGAATCCATCCTATGCTCCCAAGTGCACCTTCCATGGGTCTTTACGCATTTTATTGTTGCTGTTTATTTTATGGTCTCTTTCTCCAGTGGACCGCAGCCTCCACAGGCTGTTCATCTTTTCTTTTCTAGCCTAGCGCAGTGCCTGGCAGAATCAACCCTTGTTGCATAAAAGGATAGATCAAATTCTCTGCCTCATACGCACAGCCCTTCATCTAGTGTAGAGTCAGCCATGTAGGCAGATACAAATTAGCTCTCCCAGGCCGGGCGCCGTGGTTCATGCCTATAATCCCAGCACTTTGGGAGGCCAAGGCGGGTGGATCACCTGAGGTCAGGAGTTCCAGACCAGCCCGGCCAATATGGTGAAACCCTCTCTCTACTAAAAATACAAAAATTAGCTGGGCATGATAGTGGGTGCCTGTAATCCCAGCTACTCAGGAGGCTGAGGCAGGAGAATTGATTGAACCCAGGAGGTGGAGGTTGCAGTGAGCTGATATCGTGCCATTGTACTCCAGCCTGGGCAACAAGAGTAAAACTTCGTCTCAAAAATAAAAAAGGCCGGGCACAGTGGCTCACGCCTGTAATCCCAGCACTTTGGGAGGCCAAGGCGGGCGGATCACGAGTTCAGGAGATCGAGACCATCCTGGCTAACATGGTGAAACCCCGTCTCTACTAAAAATACAAAAAATTAGCCGGGTGTGGTGGCGGGCGCCTGTAGTCCCAGCTGCTCGGGGAAGCTGAGGCAGGAGAATGGCGTGAACCTGGGAGGCGGAGAGTGCAGTGAGCCGAGATCGTGCCACTGCACTCCAGCCTGGGTGACAAAGTGAGACTCTGTCTCAAAATAAATAAATAAATTAAATAAATAAAATAAAATTAGCTCTCCCAAAACCTAAGCTGACTTAAGGGAGTCTCAGTAGTTTGTATTTGCACTGTTTCTCAATCAGTTGTATGTTTGTGTGAGACACCTGGGACTGCACAACTATGCTAATGTATCACTGGTTAAGTTTATGTGTGCTTTCACCTTTTTAAGGGGCAGACACATGCTCTGTATTTTTTGGCAACCCTCAAATCGAGGCAGGAACTCAGTAATAACTGCTAACTGGAAAAGTAGCAGGACTGAAGTTGAAGGACTCAGGATTATGTTCAGGGCCTTGAATCTGAGGGTGAAAAGTGAATGAAAGCAATATATTCACTAAGGATTTTATTCAGCTATAACAGAATATCTAATTAACAGGGCTTAGACAAGATAGGTGCCTGTTTTTCTCTCATGTAATAAGAAGTCTGGAGGTAGGATGTCTGGGGCTGGTATAGCTGCTCAAGGTCACAAGATGGTTGCTAAAGCTCCAGCCATCACATATGCATTCTAAGCAAGAAAAAGGAAAAAGAGACCCTATATGAAAGGAGCCTCCCTGGATGCCTCTCCCAAAAACTTCATGAGCCAGGACTGTATCTTATGTCCACTCCTCTCTGAAGGTGCATTAAGAAATGGCTTTTTGGCTGGGCACTTGCTCCTCGAACATAGGTGGGTTTCTGTTAGTAAGGAAAAAGCGAGCAGGATACTCTGTAGGGAACTAGAATTCTCTGCCACAGTCCCCTTCTTTGGTTACTGAGACATACCCTTCTTTCCATTCAAGGCATAGGCCAAGGGAGGTGGCACCCAAGCCTCATCCAGGTAGCATTTCCAGACTAGAGCCCCAGACTTCTGGGTGTTATGTGGTCTTCTCCATCAGTGCTAGATAGGGCTCCTTGTGAGCAATCTTTGGTACCCCCAAAATACAATACTGGAAAAGGTATAAAATAAGTACAATAAAAACTTCCGGGCTGGGCGTGGTGGCTCATGCCTATAACGCCAGCACTTTGGGAGGCCGAGGCATCCGAGTCAGGAGTTTGAGACCAGCCTGGCCAACGTGGTGAAACCCCATCTCTACTAAAAATACAAAACTAGCCGGGTGTGGTGGCGGGCGCCTGTAATCCCAGCTGCTTGGGAGGCTGAGGCAAGAAAATCACTTGAACCTGGAAGGTGGAGGTTGCAGTGAGCTGAGATTGCACCACTGCATTCCAGTGTGGGCAACAAGAGCGAAACTCCTTCTCCAAACAACAAAAAAAAATTCCATTTATAAAAGAAGAGATGGAAAATATCGTGGTCACTGTCCATAGCTATGACCAAATCCTTCTGGCCAAGAATAGCAAGGGTCCTCACTCTGGCCACCCCTTGCTCTGGTGGAAGGAACTCCTTGTTTATGGCCTTCCATGGCCCTTGCCTCTTACTGGGAGGTCTTTTTTGTTTGTTTGTTTGTTTGAGATGGAGTCTCGCTCTGTCACCAGGCTGGAGTGCAGTGGTGCAATCTCGGCTCACTGCAACCTCCACCTCCTGAGTCTCCTGCCTCAGCCTCCCGAGTAGCTAGGACTACAGGCACCCGCCACCATGCCCAGCTAATTTTTGTATTTTTAGTAGAGACAGGGTTTCACCACGTTGGCCAGGATTGTCTCAGTCTCTTGACCTCAGGTGATCCTCCCACCTCGGCCTCCCAAAGTGCTGGGATTACAGGCGTGAGCCACCGCTCCTGGCCCCGGGAGGTCATTCTTCATTCACTGTCCACCATGGCCACTTTTGTGATGGGCACAGGAAGGACACCTTTTCTGGGGGCTGAACATTTTTTGAAGCCTTACTTGTTGGTGTCAGTTGCAGGTGAGAAAGAGGGAGAGGAAGAGTTGCAAGGTTGCTGTAGAGATTTAAGCATCCCAGGCTGTTGTGGACCAGGGCTGGAGTTTTTTTTAAGGTATCTAGTCTGTGTGTTTCTGGTCAATTCCTTATGATTTGAATCCTTTACTTTTTAACTTAGAATCCGCACCTATCTCTCTAATTTTTTTTTTTTTTTTTTTTTTTTTGAGACAGAGTCTCGCTCTTTCGCTCAGGCCGGACTGCAGTGGCACGATCTCGGCTCACTGCAAGCTCCGCCTCCTGGGTTCATGCCATTCTCCTGCCTCAGCCTCCTGAATAGCTGGGATTACAGGCACCCACCACCGCACCCAGCTAATTTTTTGTATTTTTAGTAGAGACGGGATTTCACCGTGTTAGCCAAGATGGTCTTGATCTCCTGACCTCGTGATCCGCCCGCGTCGGCCTCCCAAAGTGCTGGGATTACAGGCATGAGCCACCGCGCCCAGCCTGAATTTTAACTTAATGTATGCTACTTAATGTATGCTGCTGAGAACAGTTGAAACCGTGGTTTCTGCTGGGTAATCACATTTTTGCCAGCAGACTTACAAACTCCGGCTAGTAGGACACCACTTATCTGCTTCTGATAAAGCTGATTTTTGTAACCCTGCAAGGGTCCATAATGTGGGCTTCCCAGGCAATTTAGATTGCAGACTCAATGTCAAGAGGGCCTTTCTAAGCAAAGTGATAGTTCTCTTTATCTCTGATTGCTTACTGAGTTGGGGAGCTGTAGACTTTGCTGAGAGTGAAAAAGCACCTATTGGCCAGGCGCAGTGGCTCACGCCTGTAATCCCAGCACTTTGGGAGGCCGACGCGGGCAGATCACCTGAGGTCAGGAGTTCGAGACCAGCCTGACCAACATGGAGAAACCCCGCCTCTACTAAAAATACAAAATTAGCCAAGTGTGGTGGCGCATGCCTGTAATCCCAGCTACTTGGGAGGCTAAGGCAGGAGAATTGCTTGAACCCAAGAGGTGGAGGCTATGGTGAGCCGAGATCGTGCCATTGCACTCCAGCCTGGGCAACAAGAGAGAAACTCCGTCTCAAAAAAAAAAAAAAAAAAAAAAAAGGTTAAAAAAGAAAAAGCACCTACCAATATTCTAAATTTTTCTTACCATTTTTCCTAGCTCCACAACCTCAGTCAACATGTAAATGACTTTGCAACATTCAGCAGTAGGCAATTTGACCAGATACTTCACATTGAACAGCTAGGGTCAACACTTTCCAGTCCGCAACTTTCAAGTCCTTAACGTCTGCTTCCTGACCCCTCCTGCTCATCCAATTCCACATTATAGGTTCTGTTACTTTCAGTTCCCCCAACTTCCAGGCACTGAATTCTGTGTTTGGGGTGTAATTCAGATAATTGGTTGGACTGGTAAAAATCCACATAACAGCGACTTAACGACACAGGGGTTTATTTTTCCTCTAATTTCTGCTCTTCCCTAAAGGAATGTTGGTGTAACCCTACCCAACAATTTCCACTTTCATCCCATTGGCCAGAACTATGTTGTATAGCTATCCATACCTGCAAGAGAGACTGCATTTTAGTTTAATTCATTGCCACTCCCAACAAAATAAAGGAAGAGAGAATGAATATCAGGTAGAGAGCCACACGCTTCTGACACAAACTACATGTTTATCATATGAGGCCCATCCGTGGCTGAGGAGCAGGGACCACCAGGCTGGGTGCTGGCCTGGTTAAGTCAGGTATAGTTCAGGGGGGCAAGGTCATCAGAAGCAGGCAGGCAGCAGGCTGATGTACAAGGAGCAAGGCCAAGTCCAATGGGTCTGGGTTCTAGTTCTGGCTCTGTTACTTATGAACTGTGAGACCTTGGGTATGTTAGTTCGCCACTTTGATTCTATTATTATGGTTTGTTTTGTTTTGTTTTTTTAGACAGAGTCTCACTCTGTGGCCCAGGCTGGAGTGCAGTGGCACAGTCTCAGCTCACTGCAACCTCTGCCTCCGGAGTTCAAGCAATTCTCATGCCCCAGCCTCCCGAAGAAGCTGGGATTACAGGTGCATGCCACCATGCCCAGCTAATTTTGTATTTTAGTGGAGACGGGGTTTCACCGTGTTGCCCAGGCTGATCTCGAGTTTCTGACCTCAGGTGATCCGCCCACCTCAGCTTCCCAAAGTGCTGGGATTACAGGCATGAGCCACTGCACCCAACCTTTGATTCCATTATTTATCTGGGCCTATAAAAGGGGGAATACTAACAGTGTCTCCCTGCAGCACCACTGTAGCAGTTAAATAAGGTAATCCATGGAAGGTGCTTATTTAATTTAATTTTATTATTATTATTATATTTGAGACAGACTCTCATTCTGTCTTGCCCAGGCTGGAGTGCAGTGGTGTGATCTCAGGTCACTGCAGCCTCCACCTCCCCGGTTCAAGCAATTCTCCTGCCTCAGCCTCCCTAGTAGCTGGGATTACAGGTGTGCGCCTCCACAACCAGCTAATTTTGTATTTTTAGTAGAGATGGGGTTTCACCATGTTGGCCAGGCTGCTCTCGAACTCCTGACCTCAGGTGATCCGCCCACCTTGGCCTCCCAAAGTGCTGGGATTACAGGCGTGAGCCACTGGGGCCCGGCCAAAGGTGCTTATTTAGAACAGTGTCTCACACACAGTTATGCTCAGAAAACATTAGCCAATGTTGATAAAATAGGGCCAGACATCCTTGTTTTATAAGGTGGTTGTGAGGATTGTGGGGTGGGGGGTGGGGGAACAGAAGAAGAAAACAAGGAAGCTCCTAGCAGAGTGGGGGCACTTCCCCCTCATTTCTTCTGTAGCTACATCTTTCCTCTTTCATCCTCGGGCAGCCAGGCAAGTCTTTACCCCAGGGCCTTTGCACCTGCAGTTCCCTCTGCCCAGAACAACCTTCCCACAGATATTCTTGTGGCTCAGTGTCTCACTTCATTCAGGACTTGTTATTGAGCAAGAGAGGCTGACTGCCCCATGCACTAGAAAAGCTTTATAATGGCTGGATGCAGTGGCTCATACCTGTAATCCCAGCACTTTGGGAGGCTGAGGCGGGCGAATCACTTGAGATCAGGAGTTCGAGACCAGCCTGGCCAACATGACAAAACCCCATCTCTACTAAAAATACAAAAAATTAGCTGGGCATGGTGGCCTGCGCCTGTAAGCGCAGCTACTTGGGAGACTGAGGCTGAGAATCGCTTGAAACCGGGAGGCGGAGGTTGCAGTGAGCCCAGATCGCGCCATTGCACTCCAGCATGGGCAACAGAGTGAAACTGTCTCAAAAAATTTTTAAAAAGCTTTATATTGAAAGTTGAAGGAAACGGGAGGTCTGGAAAGTCCCTTGGGCACGCACAGTTGTCTCTTCGTGCTAACTCATGGGTCATGTGTGCAAATTTGGGCGGAGTTAGTATGAAATGTGGAAATTCAGGCTGTGATTTCAGCGTGCTCATTCTGTGCAAACTCCAGGTGGCCATATTAGTTTGAAGCAATTTCAGCCAGTTCTTACAGCTCATGTGCAGGGAGTTTTAGTTTTCAGCAAGTTACTAATTTAAAAAAAAAATCTGTCATCCTACCAACACAAAAATTTCTGTTATTGGTTTCTTTAATTCTTTGGGGCACAATTTCAATCTCTCAAATGTCACCTTCTCGCTATCCTCTGACATTACCATAGTTACCATCACAGTACTGTCACCATCTGACGTCATAGTGTTTTGCATTTGTTTAATAATTCACCATCTTCAGAACACAGGCTTCAAGAAGCTTTCTGGGACATTGTTTTGTTCAGGACCCAGCACATGATAGACACTCAATCAACATTTGTTGAATGAATTAATAGTAGATATTTAATCATAGTTGGTTTCTTTCTTTCTTTTTTTTTTTTTTTTTTTTTTGAGATGGAGGAGTCTTGCTCTGTCGCCCAGGCTGGAGTGCAGTGGCACGATCTCGGCTCACTGCAAGCTCCGCCTCCCGGGTTCACACCATTCTCCTGCCTCAGCCTCCCGAGTAGCTGGGACTACGGGCGCCCACCACCACTCCCGGCTAATTTTTTGTATTTTGTTTAGTAGAGATCAGGGGTTTCACCATGTTGGACAGGCTGCTCTCAAACTCCTGACCTCAGGTGATCTGCCCGCCTGGGCCTCCCAAAGTTCTGGGATTACAGGTATGAACCACTACGCCCAGCCCATAGTTGGTTTCTTTTAAAAAATTTTTTTTTATTTTTAATTTTTGTGGGTACATAGCAGGTGTTTACAAAGTTAGTTTCCTTTTAAAATGATAGCATTTTCTAAAAGTGAGAAGAGCATAGGAAGATTAGGTGAAGGTCGAAGAACTTGGAATTTAGCAGAGGTCAGAATAGGAGAACGTCTAGAATCCAGGACATCTGGAAGGGAGAGCTAGTACATGACAGCCCGGTGTGAATCTGATTTTAAGGCAAGGTCTAGATAAACCAGAGGATCCTTTTATACCCCCAGCCACGTTAAGGATCTAGGCTCTGAATTTCGGGTGACCCTAGGCCTATAGAAGATGATTAGCTTCAGTTAGTTCATTGGTTCTCAACCCTTTTATTGTCCTCACATCCCTGCCTGGAGAAAGATTAAATTTAACTTCTCTGTAACATGAGAAAATAAATACTAAGGAATAAGATTTTGTTGGGTAGGATCGAGCTTTGGTAGGAGGAGGAGGATCTGCTAACCATTAGAGCATCTAAGACTTTTTTTGCCTCCCTCAACTAATTTTCACCCCCTTGTGAGTAAAGTCACCTACTGAGAATGCATGGCTTAGCTGAGACAGGATCCAAGAAAGTTGGTAGATTTTAACACCATATCAGTAAATTATCTCAGTAACAGAAGCATTTATTTTGAATGCTAAGGCTAGCAGCTTCAAGCGATTCAAAATTAATTTAAATTATCACAGCTATTTGCTTGAGATGGCAATCTAATTGGAGAATTATTTATGATACACAAAAATGGACTGGGCTGTTGCAGTGAACCTCCATGTCCAAAAATTGTGCTCACTGTTGAGATGGATTGATCTTCAGGATGGGAAGCTTGTAGGCCTTTGCACAGACTAGCCATCCAGGGAGGTCAGTATTTCTAACTGCAGATTTCTGTTCTGTATCTTCCCTGAGTCAATGTTTTGCACACTGGAGTGTTTTATTGGATCTTGTGGAACAACCACACTTTTCATAGCATTGCAACATCTCTGTCTTTTCTTACGCCCTGAATCATCTCAAATCATCGCGAGTGGATATTGATGCTTCTACTTCCCTTGTTTATAGAAAAATCCCAGGCAAATGGGTTGATAGAATAAAGGACTGGAAGGATTACTGGAAAGCCCTCAATTATAGGTATGGGATTGAAAGGCTGTGTAGCCCATGGACACCTAAGAATAAGACTAAGTGTCTTTGAGGGTGTCCGTGTATTTCCAACAATTTTTCCTCTTCTGAAAACTGCTTCCCTGTCCATCCCTCCCACCCTCTTCTAGGGCCTGAGGGTGGGCTCTCAGTGGCCCTGTTGCTATCCTGTGGCCCCACCCTCTTGGCCAACAGTGATTGGACATCAGATCCGAGCTGAGCCAATCAGCTTCACTAACTTCCAAAGTAGTAATTAACAACTCGAGTTGCAAAGAGTGGAAAACAACTCAAGGTAAAGTTTATTTTCATTTAAAGTTTTGTTTAGGTTCATTTTGCTTTACCTTTTTTCTTTCATTTTAAAGTCGTCAAAATTTTACAATGTAATTTATTGTAAGGATCGATGCTGTCTTTCTGGTTAGGGCGAGGGCAGCAATGCAGCCCCGTCCAGGATGGCGGAAAGTGAGGACGGGAAAGCTGTGGGGAACCCAGGGGCGCTCTCTCCCGGTCCTGCGCTTCTGCCCGCCACCGATCAACTTCTCTATTTCTTAGCAGGATGACTTTCTTTGCTACTCAATCCCCACAGGAGATAGAATCGTTCAAAAGTTCGTTAGTTCAAAAGCTATGACTCCTGCCACAGGGTAGAAACTAGGACTCTTTCAGAGTCGCAGTACTGAGGTCTCGGGGAAGAACCCTGATTGTCCCAGCGTGGGTGAGATGTCAAGCTCTGGACCATCCCCACGAAACGGAAGGGGAGCGGGAGAGGTGTTATCGCAGACCTATTACACACTAATTTCCGTTTATTTATGTATCTCCCCACTAGACTATGAATTCCTACAGGGCAAGGAATTTGCCTTATTGCTGGTATACAACCAGTGCCAAGTTCAAGGACTTGATAAATGTTCGATAAATACTTGCTGAATGAATCAAATGAGTGCAAATCGACACCAGGAAAACATTTCCTACTACTCTTCAGTTTGGTTTTCCTCAATCAGACTTATTTAAAGAGCATCTTGACCAAGATATTTACGGGGTTTTTTTTGTTTGTTTTTTGTTTTTTTGTTTTTTTTTTTGAGACGGAGTCTGGCTCTGTCGCCCAGGCTGGAGTGCAGTGGCGAGATCTCGGCTCACTGCAAGCTCCGCTTCCCGGGTTCACGCCATTCTCCTGCCTCAGCCTCCCGAGTAGCTGGCACCACAGGCGCCCGCCACCACACCCAGCTAATTTTTTTTTTTTTTTTTTTTTTTTTTTTTTAGTAGAGACGGGCTTTCACTGTGTTAGCCAGGATGGTCTTGATCTCCTGACCTTGTGATCCGCCCGCCTCGGCCTCCCAAAGTGCTGGGATTACAGGCGTGAGCCACTGTGCCCAGCCTGATATTTACTGTTTTTATATGTATGGAGCCATCTCAACTGTGACTAACATCCTGAATCACAGGCTGTTAAAATTGTAATGTAAAGGATCTTTTAAAATGTCTTATAAATTATTAGGAGTCTACGATGTGGTAGGTGCTGTGCTGGAGTAGTGAATATATTGATGAATAAGACAGTGATCAGCCTGGCCAACAGAGTGAAACCCTGTCTGGGATTACACACGCCTGGGATTACAGGCGCCTGCCACCACACCGAGCTAATTTTTGTATTTTTAGTAGAGATGGGGTTTCACCATGTTGGCCAGACTGGTCTCGAACTCCTGACCTTGCGATCCTCCCGCCTAACCCTCCCAAAGTGCTGGGATTACAGGTGTGAGCCACCGCGCCCAGCCTTGCATTTCTTTTTAACAACCATGTGATTATATAGATGATATTTGCTAAGCTTTTGATTTATTTGGAACCAATTAATAGCTGGCACTCAAGTTCTTTGGAAACGCAAAGCACGCTATATTGGAAATTTCTTTTTGGTTACTGAGTAATAAGGTCATTTATTATTGACATGGCTTCTGACACCTCTCCCATGCATTATTGTTCCTTGTTAAATCACTTCCTGAGAAGGCTGGAGAATGTTTTCCACGTTGGATGGCACGGTTTATATTGATTTTCTCTGGGAGAAAGTGAAGTTCAGAGAAGAGCGTGAAAGGGATCACTTTTCTATGTTTATGGAGAATGGAGGTGAAATTTTTCTTTGGTGGAGAAGGCGAGTTGGCAGTAGAATTGAATTAACCTTTCACTGGGGACTTAATATGTACCAGGCACCGTGCAGAATTCAGAGGGAGTGTGAGGCTTTAGCTCTGGTGGGAGCCGCTGGCCCTGCTGTCTGCTGACTGGTGTCACCACTGTATTCAATGTGTTTAAAAGCAAGGCAAAGAAGGCACCTGTCTTCTCGCCCAGGCATTTGGAGAAACATTCCTCTGGAGGGGATGGCTTTTAGGTTGGCCTGAAAATAAGTCAGTTTTAACCATTTACCAAAGGAAATGTAGAGATGATACTAAAACCTGGGCTGCAAAGAGCCAGACTTCCCTCTGAATCTACAGGATGGCGAAGTTTAGGAATGGTGTTGCCCTGGGACGGAGGCGGGATCTCTCCATGGTGTTGATCGGATCTTTCTTCTCTGGGTAGTGTTGTCAGAACAGATTTCTGGAATGGAGAGCCTTCCTGTGTGTACAGCTGGGCTGACCAAGGCAAATCAACATAGATTTTCTTTTTTTAGGAGTGTAAGATTTTAAATATATGCAGATCCTTCCACAGCCTTCCACAGGGTCTTGTCACACAGCCTCCTGGTTGGGTGTGAGTTTGATAGTATGTTGGTGAGGGTTGTCTTGGCCAAGTCATCTGGTTTCTCTGCTGATCCAGGAAACTTCCTGGAGAAGGCCAGTGTTCCAGAGGCGTCTGTCTGAGAGAAGGGAGTGTCCATACAGCATGGAGGTAGCCACACGGGGGAATGGGGAAGCGTTAGGTTCTGGGTTTGTGCTTGGTGCCTGGAAAGTACACATGGTCCTTCTGTAACACAGGAGGCTATGTTTTCTAGGTGAGAAGGCTCACTGTTGTAACTGGAGCTTTTTGTGTTTTCCTCTTCCTCTCCCAGGTGTGAATGAGCCCAGGGAAGGACACACGGCCACTGCTGGAGGGATCCTCCATTCCTGTGTCATTTGCATGGGTCCTGCTGTGAAATGAACCTGGCAGGGACTTGTTAGACACTTCCTTCCTTCCCTCATTGAGCACTCCAGTGCCATTGTTCCACAGTTGTTCTAATTGGGTCCTAGCTTCCTCCTGCCAAGGCAAACAGCATAGTCTCGAGTAGGTGTCCCTAGGCTCATCTGCCAGCCTGAACATGAACACAGGCAAAGCTGATGATGGCCAGGGACCCCAGGGGACGTGGGGCCCTGTGGGGTCTGGCCCCCAGGAGCAAGACCTCTGATGATGCTGGTGTCTGGGAGTGAGCACCATGCCCATCACCCAGGACAATGCCGTGCTGCACCTGCCCCTCCTCTACCAGTGGCTGCAGAACAGCCTGCAGGAAGGTGGGGATGGGCCGGAGCAGCGGCTCTGCCAGGCGGCCATCCAGAAGCTGCAGGAGTACATCCAGCTGAACTTTGCTGTGGATGAGAGTACGGTCCCACCTGATCACAGCCCCCCCGAAATGGAGATCTGTACTGTGTACCTCACCAAGGAGCTGGGGGACACAGAGACTGTGGGCCTGAGTTTTGGGAACATCCCTGTTTTCGGGGACTATGGTGAAAAGCGCAGGGGGGGCAAGAAGAGGAAAACCCACCAGGGTCCTGTGCTGGATGTGGGCTGCATCTGGGTGACAGAGCTGAGGAAGAACAGCCCAGCAGGGAAGAGTGGGAAGGTCCGACTGCGGGATGAGATCCTCTCACTGAATGGGCAGCTGATGGTTGGAGTTGATGTCAGTGGGGCCAGGTAAGTAGGGGGAATGCCTGCTGGCACAGGGGCTGGACACGGGAACCTGGTGGTTCCCAGATCTGCAGCTGCAGAGGTTTATGAATCCTGCCAATAAGAAGCTGATGGCATAAGAAATGTCTCATTTAAACCCCCTCATCCATTCAACGCAGCATCACATCTTCAACTGGAGCACCAAAGGTTGGGTCTTGGATGTGTTTTCATCTGCCTATCCCATATCACCTTAGTCCCAGCAACCGTGAGGCTCCCAGACTCACAGTCCAGAAGCCCCACCCTGGAAGATCCACTTTGATCTTATCTGAATGCATTGAATACTCTCGAGCATATTTCTGTTTTCTACCCACACGGCCACCCACCACCATATTAAGTTATTGGACTGTCTTGGTGTTTCCCAGGTGAATCAGGGAACAAGACCCCAAGGGCCCCAAGACCGTTCTCAGGTTCAGTGATTAACTAGGACTCACAAACTCAGAAAAGCAGTCATATTTCTAGTTTCAGTTCATTACACCGAAAGGACACAGATAAACATCAGCAAATGTAAAAGACACAGAGAGTAGAGTCCGTGGAGACCAGGCACAAGCTTCCAGTTGTCTCTCCCAGTGGAGTTGTGCAGACGGTGCTCAGTTCTCCCAGCAATGATGTTTGACGCCAACCAGGGACACTCACTCAAATCTTGGTGTCCAAGGTTTTTTCTTGGGGGTGGGTCATGTAAACATGGAGTACCTGTGTGGCTGAGCTTAGCTACTCCTCTCCAGTCCCTCCAGAGGTCAAACTAATGCCACATGACCCAAGTCTTCTACCATTAAGTCACATTCTTAGCATAAACTCTCTGGCAAGGCCAAACACCCCCAGGTATACAAAGACACTCTTGTCAAGCAGGATATTCTGAGGGGTTAGATCTTATCTCCCAGGAGCCAGTCCTTTCTTTGGAATGCACATGGTCTCAATACCCCACCCCTGGTGAGTTAACCCTTCACTACACATCAGGGTTTTAATGATAGGTATATAGGAAAGAGACTGGGAAAGAGAATTTGAGGATATTCTGAGTGAGATCCATGAATTTTGTCAAGCTTTCAGGGGCTCCTGGGAGTAAGGCTCCTATGTCCTAGAAGGAGAGAATCATGGAGAGAAGGCCACCTTGAGAAACGTAGTGACCTTTGGATGATGGAGACAGCTCACCCAAGGAGACTCTGCAAGGAGAGAACCAGAGCAGAAATACCTTGACCTTAATCTTCATCCTCCCTCCAGTGTCAGAGCCTCCCATCAGTGGAAACCAGCCAGGGGCAGGGGAGTCCATTGATTTGTCTATATGTGTCAGTGCCCTGGTGCAAAGTGCAGGGTGGAGAAGAATGGAGATTGGATGTGGAGGGTCAACAAGCAGTCATTGGGCACATACAACATGGTCCAAATTCAAATGATCCAGTACATGGAAAGGAAGTAGCACAGAGCTGGCTCACAGGTGTGAGGACTTATGCAGTAGACACTCTCACCAGTATTTCCTTTGGTTTGCCCCTTCAACTGCAGAGATGCTTTTAGCCAATGGCTAGGTGCCTGACTGGCCGTTACTGGGAAAAGCCACTCATTTTCAAGGAGGGATGAAATGATTTTATTTGGGATTAGAGATTGTTCTCAGAAAAGGAGCAACGCTGACCACCACCAGGCTCAAGATGCTGCAGGGAGCTGAAAAAGTGACTCAGCTTCCTGGAGGCTGGGTCCAGGGTTAGAAGTGGGGATTGCCATGGAGCTGGAGATAGTTCTTTGAAAGTGGTCCCTAAGAGCCCCTACCGTTTGCAGCTATCTGGTTGGAAAGAAGCTGATTTGGATAGAGAGGTAGAAGGAAGATCAGGGAGGGGACATCCAGCAGGAGGACGAAGTAGTCAGGAGCTCCAGCTCCAGAACAGATAACTGGGGCTGCCTCCTTGGGTTCCCTTTACTAGCTGGTTGATCTTGGGAAAATTGTACCTCTTAGCCTCAGATGCCCCATGTGTGAAATGGGAATCATAAGACTGTTGATGCCAATAACTAAATGATTAAATAGTACATATAAAGGGCTCAGCACTATGTCTAGTAAGTAGTAGTCTATATGTATTAATATCATCATTACTACCATAATGGAGAGTGTTTGGGAGGTTGCTGGAGTCTTTAGGAGGCAAAGTTTTCTTTCCCAGCCTCTAAGAACCTATCTACCCCTGGGATGAGATGACTTTCCAGCTACCAATGGAGGATTCCTTGATATTTTCATTTACTTGTTGGGGGAGTGACAGGATGATGCCCAGTTTTGCAAAGAAAGATTAAGAGGAATAGAAGGTGATGGGCCAGGGTCATGACAGAAGGTGGAACATAGAACTGGAATCTTTATTGAAGCTCTGAAGAAGGATCACATGTGGTGTGATGGAGGGAGCAGTGGACTGGGTTTGGGATTCCAGGTTCTCTCCAAGGTCTTCTAGCAACTAGCTTTGGGACCCTAGGTAAGTTTGTTGGGATGGTGGTATTGGGGTGGGAGGGAGGTTCACTGTAGCTGCCTATGCTAAAATACTAGGGGTGAATCTGTGAGACACTTTTTTATCTATCTGAGCTAGTGTTATTGTTCCAGAAGCCCATAGAGGTTTAGTGGTGTTCCTGGGATGCCGCAGTGATAACTGGCAGAGCCGAGGCTCAGGCTCCGTCTCTGACTCCCAGCCAAATGTCCTATTCGGTGCAACACTCCACTTATGGGCACTCCGAAAGAAATGCTTGGATGGGTGTGACCTCTTGGTATCTGGACTCAAATAGCTGAAGCTGAGGAGCTTAGGAAATAGGAATAGGAGAAAATGTCAGGGAATAGACCAGTGGGATTCGTTAATTGTTACAACTGGCTGTTCTATAACATACCTGAGATTTGTTTTAATCAGATATGGTAAAAGATGTACACATGAGCCGTGCGCCGTGGCTCACGCCTGTAATCCCAGCACTTTGGGAGGCCGAGGCGGGCAGATCACAAGGTCAGGAGATCGGGACCATCGTGGCTAACATGGTGAAACCCCGTGTCTACTAAAAACACAAAAAATTAGCCGGGCGTGGTGGCGGGTGCCTGTAGTCCCAGCTACTTGGGAGGCTGAGGCAGGAGAATGGCCTGAACCCAGGAGGCGGAGCTTGCAGTGAGCCGAGATTGCGCCACTGCACTCCAGCCTGGGCGACAGAGCAAGACTCTGTCTCAAAAAAAAAAAAAAAAAAAAAAGACGCGCACACATGGAAATGGCTGTCACGAAGTCTCAGATCTGTAGAAACAGGAGGCACGCCACACCACATAGGGCTACACAGGGAAGTGCAGGGGTCAGTGAGGAGGCAGAGAAGAGAGAGGAGAGCATGGCCCAGAGCCTTTATTTTATTTTATTTTATTTTTTTTTTTTGCAGACAGCGTCTTACTCTTATCACCCAGGCTGGAGTGCAGAGCCACAGTCATAGCTCACTGCAGCCTTGAACTCCTGGGCTCAAAGGATCCTCCCACCTTAGCTTCTCTAGTAACTGTGTCTGCAGGTGTGCACCACTGCATCTGGCTTTTTTTTTTTTTTTTTTTTTTGTAGAGATGGTATCTTACTATGTTGCCCAGGCTGGTCTCAAACTCCTGGCCTCAAGTGATCCTCCCACCTCATCCTCCAAAAGTGTTAGGATTACAGGTGTGAGTCACTGCACCCATGGGGCTCCATAGGCTTTATTGAGGTTTTCATGGGAAGGAACAGAGGAGGCAGGGTAGGTGGCTGAGTGTGCTTAGGATTGGATAGTTTGAATAATTTCAGTAGGCTCCGGACTATATGGTCCTTAGTTGTCCCGGTGTCTGGCCCTGGAGTGATTTGAGGCAGGGAGAATATTGGCTTGGTGTGTGAGTTTGATAAAGGAGATAATTGGGTATGGCTCTGGGTTGGTTGGTTTGTATGTTAAAGCTCTACTCACAAGGGAGTCCTTTGCTATCTTTAGGAATCAGCCACCCCTGGGAGGGGCAGCCTGTCGATGTTCAAGACTCCAAATCTCAGAGCATCAAGAATACAGAAAATAGGGGCAAGGTAGCTGACGCCTGTAATTTCAGCACTTTGGGAGGCCGAGATGGCAAGATTGCTTGAGCCCAGGGGTTCAAGACCAGCCTGGGCAACATGGCAAGTCCCCATCTCTATAAAAAAATTTTTTTTAATTAGCTGGGCATGGTGGTGCACACCTGTAGTCCCAGCTACTCGAGAGGCTGAGGTGGGAGGATTGCTTAAGCCCAGGAGGTCGATCGAGGCTGCAGTGAGCCATGTTTGCACCACTGTACTCTAGCCTGGGCAACACAGCAAGACCCTGCGTCCAAAAAAAAAAAAAAGATACAGAAAATAAGAACATATAATGAAAACGCTGGGCTTCTGGAAACCTTTCACAGCTGAGGAAGTAAAATCTTGTTTAGTGGTCAGCAGTCATGACTTTGAAGTTCCTTTCTGTGTTGAAGCAGCCGTGTGTGTGCTAGACGATGAAAAGCCAGGTGAAAGAGGGTGTATCCTGAAGCCACTGAGATGTAGTGGTAGGAGAAAGGGAAGGCCAACACCTATTACTTGGTCTTCATGAAAGAGAGCTTGAAATTGAATCAAGTAATGAGGCAAGGAATCCTCAAGTCCTGTGCTCCTATTGCCTTATAACAATCAAGGAGTTAACAAGACAGACTAGCTTGATTTTTCACTCCCTACTTCTCTTGAATAATTACAAGAAGTACCATTTATTGAGCAGTTTCTACCGTAGAGGATGTCTGCCAGCCACTGTCTCATTTAATAGCGACCACAATTCCATAAAGGACAGCCTTTGATGAGAAACCTTGGCTGAATATCACTTCCCCACGGTCACCTAAGTAAGAGGCAAAATTAGATTTGAACCCAAGTCCTTCTGGCTCCATTGTCTGTATTCCTAACCACTGCATTGTACGACCTCAACTTCTGCACCAGATCTGTACTTTGGTCCTTGTGCGATACTACCTCAACTTCTGCACCAGATCTGTACTTTGGTCCTTGTGCGATCTGATGCATAATTTCATGGATGGTTTACATCTTCACAAAATACCTCCTCAGTATAATCACAGACACCAGGGAAGAAAATGACTTATGAAGAACAAACTATAAGGTTTCTTTTCTACCTGCCCAAACTGACAAGGAAAACAAGCCCCCTGCCTCATCTTGTACAAGGAAGCCCGGTCAGGCGTGGTGGCTCATGCCTATAATCCCAGCACTTTGGGAGGCCGAGGCGGGTTGGTCAGCTGAAGTCAGGAGTTTGAGACCAGCCTGGCCAACATGGCGAAACCCTGCCTCTACTACAAATACAAAAAATTAGCCAGGTGTGGTGATGCATGCCTGTAATCCCAGCTACTCGGGAGGCTTAGGCAGGAGAATCACTTGAACCCAGGAGGTGGATGTTGCAGTGAGCCTAGATTGTGCCGCCATTGCACTCCAGCCTGGGCAACAGAGCAAGACTCTGTCTCAAAATAAATAAAATAAAAGGAAGCCCAATTGTAATATAGACTCCTTTTGGCAAACTTAGCTCTAGCCAGAGCTTTGGGACTAGAAGCACTTTGCAATTTAGGTAGTAGGGAGTTGAAAGTGTTTTGAATGTTCTCAAGTGTTCCTTTTCAGTCTTTGTGACTGACTGTTTCCTTCAGTGCTAAATTTTCCCACCTACCTATGTGAGTTTTGTCTTAAAAAGTGGTAAGTAGAAATTAGAGTTCTGGACAGACCCCAGTGTACCCCTCTGCCTCCCAGCAAATGGTTCCTCGGTTGATGGTTGCCTGTTCACTCTTAATTGTAAGCAGTGGGTTTCAGGGGTCAACACACCAACTTACCTGCCAGCGTGATAAATGGTCCACACTAGCATATACAGCTGTCGTATGAAGGACTCTCTTGCAATCTCTTCTGCTCCCTGTCAGGAGTTTGATTTTGAATTCAAAACTACCTTAGATGATGTTATGGGTTGAATTATGTCCCCCCAAAATTCATCTGTTGAAGTCCTAGCCCCCAGAATATGACCTTATTTAGAAATAGGATCATTGCAGGAATAATTAGTTAAGATGAGGTCCTAGTGGAGTAGGTTGGCCCCTATTCCAGGATAACTGTTGTCTTTATAAAAAGGGCAAATTCGGTCACAGACTCAACACAGGAGTAACACCATGTGTGATTGGAGTTATGCTGCTGAAAGCCAAGGAACGACCAGAAGCTGGGAGAGAGGCTTGGTACAAACCCTTTCCTAGCCTCTCCAAACTAGGGGAGCTTGGCTCTGCTGACACCTTGAGCTCCAGCGTCTCACCTCTAAAACCGTGACACAGTAAATCCCTGTTGCTTAAGCCTCCTGGTTTGTGGTCGCCCTAGAAAACTACTAGTACAGGTGACATTTTGTCCCTGTCACCTTATAGGAGTCCATTTTTCGGATGATTTCCTCCCCGACACTGGACACTTTAGAGCACTGTGGATGTTTTTTGATGAGGACACTCTGAGAACCATGTGTGTGTTAACTGTGAAAGGAGCAGTTACAGTATGTGGAAGATGAGGTCATGATTTGCTTACTTCAAAAATTAGTTTAGGGTCGATTTGGAATGTCCATCCTTTGAGAAAGAACAAAAAATTCAAGGCCATGGGTTTGACAGAACTTCTGTACCCCAGACCCGCTTTAGAGCCTAAACCTGTGACTGCCTCCAAATTACAGACCCCGTTCCTGATTCCTACCTTTTCACTGGCTGGCACTCCTGATGCCTAGTAATCCTAGGAAGCCTTCATTCTTTTGAGTGTTAGCAGCTTTGTCCTGGTGGGAACTTCTAGAGAACTTTCTGGGAAGGGGAGTATTCATGGTGTTTGATGTCACCTGCCCCATCTTGAAGGCACAGCTGATAACTCATGGAGGAAAGTTTTTGTTTGTGAGCTCCATCACATCCACTCTGGGGACTTTCTGGAATGTTCTACTTACTTGTTTGGTGCAGGGAGAACTGGGAAGGTTTTCTAGATTCATTCCTACAAAGGAATACTTTGTAACGCCAGTCACTTCCTAGCTTTCTATAAGTAAACCAGATCTGTTCCCTAAGGACAGATTGTTCCAAATTGGTCGCAAAATATGGAATTAATTAAAACAAAACCCACACACCAAAACAGAAACAAATGTCTTTTCTGAAAAGTAAAAGTCTTTTCGCTTAAAACGCATTTTTGCAGAATGTAAACTTTGGGCGTCTTTGTTTTTTTTTTTTTTTTTTTTAAGACGGAGTTTCACTCTTGTTGCCCAGGCTGGAGTGCAACGGCGCGATCTCGACTCACTGCAACCTCCACCTCCCGGGTTTAAGTGATTCTGCTGCCTCAGCCTCTTGAGTAGCTGGGATTACAAGTGCCTGCCATTATGCCTGGCTAATTTTTTGTATTTTTAGTAGAGACGGGGTTTCACCATGTTGGCCAGACTGGTCTTGAACCTCTGACCTCAGGTGATCCACCCATCTCAGCCTCCCAAAGTGCTGGGATTACAGGCATGAGCCACTGCACCCGGCCATCTTTGTACAGTAATAAACGTGAGCAGAGCACAGTGCAAAGAATGCGGGCCTCGGAGAGAGGTGTGTCAGGCTTTTGGACCTACTTAGTGGGTGTGTGATGGGGGCAGGTGACCTCAGCCACAGGCTGTTGCTGCTACTTCCCTAAAGGGGTTGTTGAGTGGATGACAGATGATTTACCTAATGTACTGAATACAGCATCTGGCACATGGTAGCTGTTCAGCCAGAGGTAACTTGTAACACCCCACCCAGTCAGCCTCAGGCAACGTGGACCCAGAGCACAGCATGCATCTGAGAAAAGCCCTTTGAGTTTGAGGGAGAGAGAAGAGCCTCAAACTCTGCCTGTTCACTCCACAGGGAAGACAAAGAATAATCTTTGGTCCAGACACTGGGGTCCATTCCAATATTGAGCGAGTGGCGTGGCATGGGGACCCCCATTTGGAAGGGATGCTGGCGGATGCAAGAACCGGGTCCCGGAGCCTGCAGGGCCTGACAGCACCTTTGAGTTCCGGGAGTGTGAGAAGTCTGTGTGGTCCTAGAAGAGGGGCCAGGATGCTGGGCTGGCAGGAGGGGGCTGGGGGGCTCAGGGCGACAGGCCAATTGGTACGGAAGTATGACATGCTGTGAGGACCAGTGGAATGTCAGCCCTGGTCAGAAGTCACCTTCAGCACAGTACCCGCTGCCTTGAACTTGCATGTAAAATTAAATTTAGGGTTGTTGCAAGCTTAGGCTCTGGTTACCCATGGCAACCTTGAGTTCTGTCTGCATTATAGCAGATTTTAAACAGTGTCAAGAGGCTGCTAGAAGGTGTTACTTGGAAAAATGACTGCAGGTAGTGATGTAGGTAGGAGATGGTAGAGAGAAAGAATTGCCAATTGTAGCTTGATACTGTAGTCTCTGGGGCCATTTAGCATAAGGGTCCTGCCTACCTGAATATGCTCAAAGGTGCCTGACGCTCTGTGCAGGACTGGATATATAGTAAGAGGTCGTCATCACCATGACTTAGAGACATTAAGGAAAGGTGAAATTATACTCAGCTTGCTGTTTAAAAAGCCAGAGAAGCATGTAATACACTTTAGAAAGATTTCCCTTACCGGTTAAAACGAAAACAAGTTTCAGCATTTAAAATTCAATTATGTGGAAAACCTGCCATGTGGAACAGCCCATTCCCCAAGGATGAAGTGTAAGTGAAGCATTACGGACTGTTTGTTCGTGACCCGCTTCATTCCTTTCAGACTGCTGTCTCCACGTGCTGTTTCACTCCAGGACTTGGTTTCTGGAAGGTATCCCAGGGTTCATCCAAGTCCTGTTTTCTCACTCTACCAAGGTGGAAACTGAGGCTTCAGGAGGTGGTTTCCTGGGGTCAAGTATCATCTTAGAGAAGAGTGACGCCTAGAATTCATGCACTCTGACTCAAATTCTAGAATGTTTTCTTTAACATCATAAATAACAACTAATGAGGCTGGGCATAGTGGCTCATGCCTGTAATGCCAGCACTTGGGGAGGCTGAGGCGGGTGGATCACTTGAGGTCAGGAGTTTGAGACCAGCCTGGCCAACATAGTGAAACCCCATCTCTACTAGAAATACAAAAAATTAGCTGGGCATGGTGGCACACACACCTGTAGTTCCTGCTACTCAGGAGGCTGAGGCAGGAGAATCGCTTGAACTGGGAGGCGGAGGTTGCAGTGAGCCGAGATCACACCACTGCACTCCAGCCTGGGCAACAGAGCAAGACTCCATCTCAAAAAAAAAAAAATAATAAAAATAACTAATGAAATTAGGATGGTTTTTTAACAGTTTATTATTTACATAAAAACATAGAAAATCTATGTTTTTACCTGTTCTGAAAATGGATAGTTACATCTAGAACCTTCCATCTCAACAAGAGTGTAGCTTATAGCTGCCTCCTAAGAGTGTGGCGATGGCCATTGGAGAGGACAGTGGGAGCTTGCTTTCCTCACCTCTTGGGAGTGCCATCTGACAAGCTGTGAGGATCTGAGGGCCGTCGCCTGCCATCTTGTGGTTGAAATCCAGCACAGTGAGAGAAAGTGCTGGGAGCCCCAGTCCAGTTTATTATTCACAGGCTGTGTGTGTTTCACCGCCGTGCTGTTTGGCTGATGTTTTCAGCCTTCAGAGCTCTCTCTTGAATGGCAACATCTGAGCTATCCTCTCCTGTCTGTGACTGGTGTTTTTTCCTGTGGCCCTGGGAGGTGCCCCATTCGAGTCCCTTCACACACACAGCCTCGGCCCTCAGGAGTCGCACTAATGAATGAGGAGCTGATCTGAGAAATCCGCCTGTGCTCAGCTCTTCGTGATGGATGACAGAGGGGAGTTATTCGTCCCCAGTTTCTCTAACTCTGTTCTGGAATCAGAAGCCTTTTAAGGAAAGCGTGAGCAGCAAGACAATTTCCAACACTACAATGGCCAGTGGGGTGAGTTCTTTCAGAAAACTGGCAAACTTGGCCACACCCTCCGTCGCAGCCCACAGATCATTGTTGAAAGCCACATGCACAGCTGCTTTTCAGGGTCCACTTGTTTTTATGAGGGAAGAGATTCCATAAAAAGAGCGACTTTCCATCATTTAAAGAGGATTGAGGTTTCAGAGCCAGATCCAGAGATGCTCTTTAATTTTATCCCAGTGACCTGCTCCTCCTCTGGTACCCTGGTCACAACCTTTCTGAATGGGGGCAGCACAGCCCCTGGGTGATTAACTTGAGCCATGGAAGATGGAAAACCCAAATACCTACATAAGACACTCGCTTTTAAACTCTTAGCACTACTTTCGGGAATTGTAATGGTAATTGTAAACCATACAGAGAAGAAAGATAAAAGCATCTTAGTGTGGTTATAGTGTTACTGGTCCAACTTCATACCCGTCTATCTATAGGCACCCCTGGGCCATTTTCAGCAATCCTGACTTCTACTTTATCTTTTCTGTCCGGGTACTAAATACGTTATGAACATTTTTATTCTCTCGTTTTGAGCACCATATGCCCTCAAAATGACTTTTTCTTTTCTTCTCCAGAGATTTTTTTTTTTTTTTTTGAGACGGAGTCTTACTCTGTCGCCCAGGCTGGAGTGCAGTGGCGCGATCTCCGCTCACTGCAACCTCCGCCTCCCGGGTTCATGCAATTCTCCTGCCTCAGCCTCCCGAGTAGCTGGGACTACAGGTGCCCACCACCACGCCTCACTAAATTTTTGTATATTTTTTAGTAGAGACGGGGTTTCACTGTGTTACCCAGGATGGTCTGGATCTCCTGACCTTGTGATCCGCCCACCTTGGCCTCCCAAAGTGCTGGGATTACAGGCTTGAGCCACCACGACCAGCCGCCTCCAGAGATTTTTGAACTTCAGGCTTTGGCACCTGTTTTGGCCCTTGGCCCTTTCTTAGTTACTGTGGAAGCAGAGGCAGGTAACCAACTGCAATGAGTAGGTGAGCCGTTCCTATGAACTTCACTCCCATTCCACCTGGGTTTGCCAAGTACAGAAATGAACAGACTTGCACTTGCATCTTCTGGTGTTGGAGGGCACCAATATCAAAAGGTGACCTCTTGCTGGAGGACAACAATATCTGCTATTTAAGGACCCAAATATATAACTCTTGTACAATGTAAAATGAAACAAAGCTTGTAAACAGTTATATAGATTTCTTCATGGGATTCTTCTTTGAGATGTGATCTTTCTCCAAAGATTTTGAGGATGAGAGTTTGTTTAAAATGTTCTGAAGCTCTGATACTAGTGGCCTTTTCATTTTTTATTTTTTTGAGACAGAGTCTCGCTGTCGCCTAGGCTGGACAGAGCACAATGGCACGATCTTGGTTGGCTCAATGCAACCTCCGCCTCCCGGCTTCAAGCAATTCTTCTGCCTCCAGCTCTGAAGCAGCTGGGACTACAGGTGCACACCATGCCCGGCTAATTTTTTGTATTTTAAGTAAAGACAGGGCTTCACCATGTTGGCCAGGCTGGTCTCGAACTCTTGACCTCAAGTGATCCACCCACCTCGGCCTCCCAAAGTGCTGGTGTTACAGACCTGGCCTTACTAGTGGCTTTTTTGATAACTTGGAATAACAATGTTGAATTATATGGAGCAACAATGTTGAATTGTATGGATCTCTTATCTTTGAGTCACAGAAACTTGGATGCCAGGGCTGCAGTGATGGTGTAATAGCTGACTCATCCCTCAGGGCTCTTTGTTCACCAAAGGAAAGATGATTCTATCATTTGCAATGTCTCTTTGACTTAAATTTAGCCATGTCCTTTTGGGGAGGAAGGCTGGGCTAGTTCCATAGCTGAAGTGCATGTCTCCCCAGCCCTTAGGCTGGACTATAAGGTTGATCAGTTTAAATGGGGCTGGGATTTATTAAGAAATTTTGACCTTGGGATCACAAATGTATCTTCACAAATATTCCTGAAAGGAGGCCTGAACTATTATGGGGTCGAGGGGAGTGGATAGCCTTAAATTTTCAAGCTCTAGCCAGGCAGGGTGGCTCATGCCTGTAATCTCAGCACTTTTGGAGGCCAAGGCAGGTGGATCACTTGAGGTCAGGAGTTGGAGACCAACCTGGCCAACACGGTGAAACCCCATCTCTACTAAAAATACAAAATTTAGCCAGGCGTGGTGGTGCGTGCCTGTAATCCCAGCTACTTGGGAGGCTGAGGCAGGAAAATTGCTTGAACCCAAGAGGTGGAAGTTGCAGTGAGCTGAGATCGTGCCACTGCACTCCAGTCTGGGCAAGAGAGTGAGACTCTGTCTCAAAAATAAATAAATAAATAAATAAATAAATAAATAAATAAATAAATAAAAATTCAAGCTCTGTTAAGTACATGTCTCTGTTAAATTCCATGGCAAGTCTGGGTTTTTCCCTGACTCAAGGGTTTTATTTAGTCCAGATATCCACTCCTGTGAAGTCCTCATCTGAACCAGTGTAATGGGCAGAAAGAACTTACATAGAAGTCACCAGAAAATGGTTCATGCTCTAGAATGGTGGTTGCTAAGGTGAGAAGCCTGAAAAGATCCATGCGTAAGAGGAAAAATTATCAGTATCCCAAGAAATTTTTTATCTTTAAAAAAAATTGAGTTTGACCAATAATTTAGATATGGATTGACACTGGCTTCCTTGTTCAATCGAATGTCAGAGAGTCCCATTTTCTGTGTAGTCCATGACATATGCTGAGGGAAGGGGAGAAGGTCCACAAAGGCCCCCTCACTGGTTGATATACAACCCTCTTTTTTTTTTCTGTCCCCCAGGCTGAAGTGCAGTCACACAATCAAAGCTCACTGCAGCCTTGAACTCCTGGGCTCAAGCAATCCACCTATCTCAGCCTCTCAAGTAGCTGAGACTACAGGTGTGAACCATGGTGCCTGGCCTGTTTAATCCACTTTGGGCTTATGTCAAGGGACTGGAGTTTATGTAGGCTCACCTGATGAAGTGGGTTTATGGATTAAATTATTTTGTTTTAACTGAGTTAACCTTTACCAAATGGGCAGAAAAACTAAAGAAATTTCTTATTTTTATTTTTAATATACAGAGATGAGGGTCTCACTATGTTGTCCAGGCTGTTCTCAAATTCTTGGCCTCAAGGGATCCTCCTATCCCAGCCTCCCGAAGTGCTGGTATTACAGGAGTGAGCCACTGCTCCTGGCCTAAAAATACTACAATTAATGCAGGTGTAAGCAAACAATAAGAAATGACTGGGTTAACACTTTTCTTCCTGCTACCATGTGCTAGTTATGAAGTAAAACAGTGACAATCTATGTAGACTGAGAAGTCAGACAAAAACATAAAATTCATCAGGGGACTATGTGAAATATAAACTTACAACCACTAGCATTAAAGAAAAACCTCATCCTAAGCATAGATTGTGCCTTACGGTAATACTTGACGACATCAGACCATTATAATTAGCAAGATATTTAAAATCTAAGTATTCACGGCCAGGTGCGGTGGCTCACGCCTGTAATGCCAGCACTTTGGGAGGCCAAGGCAGGTGGATCACGAGGTCAGGAGATGGAGACCATCCTGGCTAACACGGTGAAACCCCGTCTCTACTAAAAATACAAAAAATTAGCCGGGCATGGTGGCAGGCGTCTATAGTCCCAGCTACTCGGGAGGCTGAGGCAGGAGAATGGCGTGAACCCGGGAGGTGGAGCTTGCAGTGAGGGGAGATTGCACCACTGTACTCCAGCCTGGGCGACAGAGCGAGACTCCGTCTCAAAAAAAAAAAAAAAAAAAAAAAAAATCTAAATATTCACAACGTGAATACAAATAGTTTAAAATGTTTTAGCAGTGTTTAAAATTACGTATTACTAAATCTAGTCCAGGATTTTAGCAAACTGAATATTTAAGAGCCTGTTTTGAGGGTTTTTAAAAACATAATTGCTTAAGGTAAAAAGCTACATACCAGTAGAAAAACAGCCTTCCTGATGTGGTCAAAATAGCTAAAATAATACATGGAAAACAATATAGCTGCAAAATAAAACGCACGGTTTTGTCAGCAAATTCCGATGCACAGATCCACAGATGTGGAAGATGCACAGAAATATTGCTGAAGTTTCAAAGAAAGAGTGTAGTGGGGGAGATCTGCTGTGCAGTTGGACTTAAGTACTGCTGTTTCACACATGTTCCAATTAAGAGTATTTGCTTGATTCTGGCCAGGCACGGTGGCTCATGCCTATAATCCGAGCACTTTGGGAGGCCAAGGTGGGCAGATCACTTGAGCCCAAGAGTTTGATAACAGCCAAGTCAACGTGGTGAAACCCCATCTCTATTTTTGTAAAAACTTTTTTAAATAAAAAAGATTTTTAAAAAAGAATATTTGCTTGTGTCTGTTTCAATAATGAAATAGACCTATTTATTTGTGAGGTCACTAAAAGAAAGAGGTACCAGAAAAGATGTATTTTTCACAATTCAATGCCTTTGTTAGTTAAAACAATGGTTTATGGGAAAATTATATCAGGTAACAGTAGCTTTAACTAGAATAAAAAGGAATTCAGGATATCCCAATTACACTGATTTGAGTTTTACAAATTATATGTTGATGAAAAGAGTCAAACTTTGTAAAATATTTAGAGTTTTATTCTGAGCCAAATATGAGTGACCAAGGCCTGAGACATAATCTCAAAAGGTCCTGAAAACATGTACCCAAGGTAGGTAGGTTACAGCCTGATTTTACACCTTTTAAGGGGACAGAAGTTACAAGCAGACACCAATCAACTTGGGGACAGCCTTCCAGGTCAAAGGTGGATTCAAAGATTTTCTGATTGACAATTGGTTGAAAGAGTTATTATCTAAAGACATGGAATTAGCCCTGGTGTCGTGGCTTACACGTGTAATCCCAGGACTTTGGGAGGCCAAGGCAGGTGGATCACCTGAGGTCAGGAGTTCGAGACCAGCCAGGCCAACATGGTGAAACCTCGTCTCTACTAAAAAAAAACAGCCAAGCGAGGTGGTGGGTGCCTGTAATCCCAGCAACTTGGGAGACTGAGGCACAAGAATCGCTTGAACCTGGGAGTCAGAGGTTGCAGTGAGCCAAGATTGTGCCACTGCACTCCTGCCTGGGTGACAGCGAGACTCCATCTAAAAAAAAAAGAAAGAAGGAAAGAAAAAAAGACCTGGAATCAATAGAAAGGAGCGTATGGGTTAAGATAGGCGGTTGTGCAGGCCAAAGTTCTTCCTATGTAGAAGAAGCCTCCAGGTAGCAGGCTTCGGAGAGAATAGATGGCAAGGCCGGGGGCGGTGGCTCATGCCTATAATCCCTACACTTCAGGAGGCTAAAGTGGGTGGATCACCTGAGATCAGGAGTTTGAGACCAGCCTGGCCAACATGATGAAACCCCATCTCTACTAAAAATACAAGAAAATGAACTGGATGTGGTGGCAGGCACCTATAATCCCAGCTACTCAGGAGGCTGAGGCGAGAGAATCACTTGAACCCAGGAGGCAGAGGTTTCAGTGAGCTAAGATCGCGCCACTGCACTCCAGCCTAGGCAACAAGAGCAAAACTCTGTCTCAAAAAAAAAAAAAAAAAAAAAAAAAGAATAGGTGGCAGATGTCTCATCAGACTGTAAAAGGTGCTAGACTCTTAGTTAAATCTCTCCTGGATCAGCAAAAGACCTGGGAAAGGAAGGGGATCCTGTATAGAATGTAGATTTTCCCCACAAGAGACAGCTTTGCAGGGCTGTTTCAAAATATGTCAAAGAGATATATTTTGGAATAAAATGCTTCAATTTCTTTCAGTGCCTGCTGTCTGTCATGTGATGCTATACTAGAGTCAGGTCAGCATCTGGTGTCTCACTGCTACAAAGAGTCTGTTTTGTCTGTCTTGAAGTCTCTATCTTAATGTTAACGCTGGTCTGTTGTGCCTGAATTCCTAAGGGAAGAGAATATAATGAGGCATGTCCTGCGCCTTTTTGCCTGTCATGGCCTGAACCAGTTTCTCAGGTTTACTTTGGAATCCCCTTGACCAAGAAGCAGGGTTCACTTAGTCAGTTGGAGGGCTTAGAATTTTATTTTCGGTTTACATATGAATGTATTAAATAATCACATGAACCCTGAAAATTTTGTAAAAACTTAAATGTGTAAATAAATTTTTTTTTTAAATTTAGGTAAGGTTACAAAAATAGGCCAAGAGCATGAAATTTATTCAGCCATTTCATCCTCTTGGCCTATTTCAGGGAATGATGATGAAAATATCTTACTACATAGAGGTTTGATGTTTATTTCTAAACAAAGCATTTATTAGAGTAATAGAACTTAAACATGACTGGGATTGGGCCGGGCGCAGTGGCTCATGCCTGTAATCCCAACATTTTGGGAGGCTGAGGTAGGCAGATCACGAGGTCAGGAGATCAAGACCATCCTGGCTAACACAGTGAAACCCTGTCTCTACTAAAAATACAAAAAATTAGCTGGGCATGGTGGCAGGCGCCTGTAGTCCCAGCTACTCGGGAGGCTGAGGCAGGAGAATGGCATGAACCCGGGAGGCGGAGCTTGCAGTGAGCCGAGATCGCGCCACTGCACTCCAGCCTGGGCGACAGAGCGAGACTCCATCTCAAAAAAAAAAAAAAAGATGACTGGGATTTTTCTTCTACGAAAAAGACAAGTGATTCAAATTTGAGGACCTTATCTCTGAAGCCAAGTACAGTAGTTCCCAGTGGCCTCCCTGGAGGCTATTTTTGCAAGGACAAACATGTCTCTCCAAGGTAAAGATGGTGTTGTAACAATAAATAAGAAAATAACTACTTTTCGAAAGAAAGTCATGCTATGCAAAGGGCATTTTCAAGATGGATATTAGGAAATGTTTCCATAGTGATATGACTTTTCTTTTTTTTTACAAAAATGTTAACATTTGCCAACAAAAAGTTTCAGATGCATCTTTAAAATCTTGAGAACAAAATTTTATATTTTTAAATCTTCCAAAGAATTTTAGAGGAGCTATATGTTAAAAACTATTAAAAGTACAGTAGCTTCAGAGTTTGCAAGAAAAATTTGACAAAATCAATGCACAATTTCAACCAAAACCAAAGCACAGGTGGTGGATAGGGTTGGAAAATGACTATTATGATTGATTAAATCATAATCAATGCCACTAACATATTTCTTCCATTTGAATCTATGTATCCTTGTGAGGTATCTTCAGCTATGGCAGCTGTTAAAAGCAGCATCCAGGCTGGGCGCCATGGCTCACGCCTGTAATCCCAGCACTTTGGGAGGCCGAGGCAGACGGATCACGAGGTTAGGAGATCGAGACCATCCTGGCTAGCAGGGTGAAACCCCGTGTCTACTAAAAATACAAAAAAACATTAGCCGGGCATGGTGACGGGTGCCTGTAGTCCCAGCTACTCAAGAGGCTGAGGCAGGAGAATGGCGTGAACCCAGGAGGTGGAGCTTGCGGTGAGCCGAGATCGCGCCACTGCACTCCAGCCTGGGCGACAGAGTGAGACTCCGTCTCAAAAAAAAAAAAAAAAAGCAACATCCAACCTGGTGTGGTGGCTCACACCTGTAATCCCAGCACTTTGGGAGGCTGAGGTGGGCAGATTACTTGAGGTCAGGAGTTCAAGAACAGCCTGGCCAACGTGGTGAAACCCTGTCTCTACTAAAAATGCAAAAATTAGCCGGCCGTGGTGGTGGATCCCTGTAATCCCAGCTACTTGGGAGGCTGAGGTGGGAGGATCCCTTGAATCCAGAGGCAGAGGCTGCAGTGAGCTGCGACTGCACCACTGCACTCCAGCCTGGGCAACAGAGCAAGACTCCATCTCAGAAAAAAAAAAAGTAGCACCCATTTGTTATGAAATTACTTGAAGCTATACTTCTGGCTTATCACATCCCAAAATGTTAAACCAAGTTTTTGAAAATCTTGAAGTATATTTAACTACATAGCTTTTAAAATATTAAGCACTTCAGGTTAAATATATTTATCCATCTATCTATCTATCTATATATTTTTTGAGACAGAGTCTCACTGTCTCACCCAGGCTGGAATGCAGTGGTGCAATCTCGGCTCACTGCAGCCTCTGCCTCCCGGGTTCAAGCAACTATCCTGCCTCAGCCTCCCAGGTAGCTGGGACTACTGGCACACACCACCAAGTCTGGCTAATTTTTGTATTTTTGGTAGAGACAGGATTTCACCATGTTCGTAAGGCTGGCCTTTAATTCATGACCTCAGGTGATCCGCCTGCCTTGGCCTCCCGAAGTACTGGGATTACTGGCATGAGCCACTGCACCTGGCCAATTTTTTTTTTTTTTTTTTTTTTTAGACAAGGTCTGTGTCTGTCACTCAAGCTGGAGTGCAATGGCACGATCACGGCTCACCGCAGCCTCAACTTCCCGGACTCAGGTGATCCTCCCACCTCAGCCTCACGAGTAGCTGGGACTACAGGTGCGTGTCACAAGGCCTGGCTAATGTTTTGTGTTTTTTTTTAGAGATGGGGTTTCGCTATGTTACCAAGGCTGGTGTTGAACTCCTGGGCTCAAGCAATCCACCTTCCTCAGCCTTCCAAAGTGTTGCGATTATAGGCGTGAGCCACCACACCCAGCCTCTCAATTTTCGTTTTTTACTGACAGGCATGAAAAATCAAAATTTCGAAAGTAGTCATCTCACAAGTAGAGAGTTTAGCCCTGTCCTCCTAGGGAAGGTGTCTCTTTTGAGATCTACAGGATCTAGATGTCTCTCATCCACCCTGTGCCTGCCACCCATCCTCCCCAGAGAACTGGTTTTCTTTGGGATCTGCAAACCAGACCTTCTAACTTCACCCTAGTTTCTCCTCTCTTGTTCTCTAGGTCTGACCCTTGAGTTCCCAAGGAGAGGAGTCAGTGTGTCCTGGCCAGCTACCCTACCAGGCACAGATGCACTGGCACCTCTTGCTGACTGCTTGCTCCCTGGACCATTTGCAAGCTCTCTGTGGCTCGTTCTTCTCCTGTTTATTCATTTTAGAACAACATATTTATAATTCTATCACTTAATTCCTCAGATACCCCGTCTCTCCTCCCACACTAATTTTTATTTATTTCAATGGCAACATTAAAACAGCATTTTAAAGAAAAGAACAACTTGTGATTCGCCTACACTAATTCTCCATTAATTTAATTTTTTTATGTTAAGATCTAGTCTGTGACCATGTGCCTACAGCTCTATCATGCTAACTCAACAGATATAATTTTTTGTTTCCTTCTAATCTATGTTCATTTGCAATATATATATTTTCAGACTGCCTTTGTTGATTCTTTTCATTGGAAAAGATTGTTTTACCATGTGCATGAGATAGAATGGAAGGACAGTGAGTGAAAAGTTTCCTCAGTTCAGACCTCCATTCTTTTGTCACTACAACCAGCTATACCCTGAGCCTCACTCTGTTACCAGTATCTTTCCAAGGATTCTCTAAGCATCTACAAGTACTCTGTTAATGTCTTTTTTACACAATGGGGCACATGGTCCACACTATTCTGAATCTTAACCTTCTTAAAAAATCTTAAAAACCCATCTTAGCACTTGTTTCAAATCAGAACATGTCACTTTGTCTCTCATTCTTTTTAACAGCTGTATAGTATCCCACTGGAGGTTCCTCATGTGATTTATTTGATCAGTGACCAACTGGTGGGTGTTTTTACTGTATAGTCTTTTTTGCTGTGTCCAGAATTCTGGGCTGGGTGTGGTGGCCCACACTTGTAATCCCAGCACTTTGTGAGGCTGAGGTGGGTGGATCACCTGAGGTCAGGAGTTGAAGACCAGCCTGACTAATATGGTAAAACCCCGTCTCTACTAAAAATACAAAAATTAGCTGCGAGTGGTGATGTACACCTGTAATCCCAGCTACTCAGGAGGCTGAGACAGGAGAGTCGTTCGAACCTGGGAGGCTGAGGTTGCAGTGAGCCGAGATCATGCCACTGCACTCCAGCCTGGGGGACAGAGCAAGACTCTGTCTCAAAAAAAAAAAAAAAAAGAATTCTGCAATACATTTTATGTTCATATGTCTGTGTATATGTATGAGTATATGTAATGGATACATTCGTAGAAGTGGGATCCTCAAATGAATCACATTTTAAATGTGTTACTCCTATTGCAAATTGCTTTCCCCAAGAGATTATACTAGTTTGTATCCCCAGTGACAATATACAAAAGTGCTGTTTTTCTCGCAGCTTCACAAACACCACAGGAATTACTTTGAATCATACTACGTGCAGAATTCTCTATTATCCTTTTCTTACCCACACAATGGGTGGGTTCAGTCACTTGACAGGTGACAGCCTGATGATGACAGTGAAGGAGGATTTGGCAAGGGATTTTATTCCTTGCAACAAGTCAAGTAAGGAGAATACCAGGGATAGCTCCCAATGCGGTGCCTCCCCAAGCTGGGGGCTGGGTCCGGTAATGAGGTGTAACCTGATTGGATCTTGCAATGAGGTGATGCTGGGATACTTGATATGACTGGATGTGGCCATGGGGTAATGCCAGAGCTCAATCTGATTGGATTCTGGATCCTGCCATACAGTGTCCCCTTCTTAATTCCATCCCACTCCTCAGCCCAAGCACTTAGGTTCTTCCTGTGGTTGCAGGCTTGGTTCATCTAGGCATGCTGAGGTCACATGACTTGAGGGACCATGGCAAACGAAAAACAGCTCTCCATGTTTTTACATAAAAGTGGAACCAGATTGGTCTGGTGTGACTACACTTTTTCACTTAACACATTTGAACACGTTCCTCCTTATTAAGTGGTCTTGATAGGTATAATCATCACTGATAATTTAGGTAAGCATGTTCTTTCTGTCCTTGCCAGTCTGTCAGTGTTAACACGGCATTTATTTTTTTTTAACTTTTTTTTAATTTTTATTTTTTCATCCTTGGGCAAGGGCCATGCTAATCTTCTCTGTATCGTTCCAATTTTAGTATATGTGCTGCTTAAAATGCTTGTGATCTTGACTATTTTTTTTCCTTTTGAACCATCCTTTTAGGACAAATTTCATGGAGTGAAGGTATTAAATCAAAGGACATTTTTGCCAAATTGTTTTATACAAATTATTTTACCAAATTACACCCCTACCAATAATGTATGAATGCCAGAGTGCCAGAAGCATTTCCAGGTTGGGTATTATAATTTAAATTTATGTTTTCTTAATTGAAATATGGCTCATTTTGTAGTTTTAATTTGCACTTATTTGATCAGGAAGTTTGGCCATTTTGCCCTAATTTTTTTTTTTCTATTTTATTTTACTTGTCATCTAAACAATCTATTCATGTCCTTTGTCCATTATCTCTTGGGGCCCTCATCTGCAGCACTGGATATGCATTTAAATATTATAGATCTTAATCTTTTTACCCCATGTGGTTAAAATTCTCCTTAATCTTTTAAATGTTGTTATTACTATATGGAAGTTTTAACTGTCTCTGAGGCAAGTCTGATTTTTTTCTTTTATAATCATCTTTTCACTTCTTCAGATCTTAGGATGATGTCATTTTCCCAAAGACCCACAACTCTCTTCTACCAATTTTAGTGATTACATTTTTAAATTTATCTTTAAAATTTAAATTTAAATTTAATGGGCATTTATTTTGATGGAAATTATAAATCTAATTTTTTGTAAATTACTATCTGATTATCTAAATACCATGTAATCATTAATTTTTCTCAGTTTGTGAGGTTTGAGTTATTATTATTATTTTTTTTTTTTGAGATGGAGTCTCACTCTGTCGCAAGGCTGAAGTGCAATGGCGCGATCTTGGCTCACTGCAACCTCCGTCTCCCAGGTTCAAGTGATTTTCCTGCCTCAGCCTCCTGAGTAGCTGGGACTACAGGCGTGCACCACCACACTCAGCTAATTTTTGTATTTTTAGTAGAGACGGGGTTTCACCATGTTGGCCAGGATGGTCTCGATCTTTTGACCTCGTGATCTACCCGCCTCGGCCTCCCAAAGTGCTGGGGTTACAGGCGTGAGCCACTGTGCCCGGCCATGATTTTTTTTTATTACACTTTAAGTTCTGGGATATGGGTGCAGAATGTGTAGATTTGTTACATAGGTATACATGTGTCATTGTGGTTTGCTGCGCCCATCAAGCCGTCATCTAGGTTTTAAGCCCCACATGCATTAGCTATTTGTCCTATGCTCTCCCTCCCCTTACCCCCATCCCCCAATAGGCCCCAGTGTGTGATGTTCTCCTCCCTGTGTCCGTGTGTTCTCATTGTTCAACTCCCACTTATGAGTGAGAACATGCGGTGTTTGGTTTTCTGTTTCTGTGTTAGTTTGCTGAGAATGATGGTTTCTAGTTTCATCCATGTCCCTGCAAAGGACATGAACTCATCGTTTTTTATGGCTGCATAGTATTCCGTGGTGTATATGTGCCACATTTTCTTTATCCAGTCTATCATTGATGGGCATTTGGGCTGGTTCCAAGTCTTTGCTATTGTAAATAGTGCTGCAATAAACATATGTGTACATGTGTCTTTATAGTAGAATGAGTTATAATCCTTTGGGTATATACCCAGTAATGGGATGATTTATTATGATTTATATGTGTACATACACAAACTTTTTTTCACGCAATCTTTTTTTTTTTTTTTTTTTTTTTGAGAGAGCGTCTCACTTTGTCACCCAGGCTGGAGTGCAGTGGCATGATCTCAGCTCACTGCAACGTCTTGTGCTCAAGTGATCCTCCCACCTCAGCCCCCCAAGTAGCTAGGACTACAGGTGCACACCACCACACCTGGCTAATTTTTTTATAGTTTTTTTTTTCCCAAATCAATAGGTCTTTTATTGCATCATTTAAATATCACATATAGGTCTTAGGAAGCATCCGGCATCTTGTTTCTGTAGCTGGACAACTCTTAGATCTTATTAATCAGCCTCCTGAATGGTTCGTTTTTTCAGAGACATAGATACCATCCAAAAATTTCCTGATATCCTTGTTTTTAACCTTGTGGCTTGCTGAATCAAAGCCACTGAATTTGAAACAAGCTCAATGTCATTTCCTTCAAGGATTAATTCATCTTTCTGAGTTTGAGATACTGAACAAGGAACACCTGGCCTCATCCAAATCCTGCAGATGTATTTTTCACCCAAGAAATTTCAGATTTCAACAGAAGACCAATTCTCCTGGATAATGATGTTGATGGGGAAGTGCACATACACAGACCTCATCTTGTAACGGAAGCCCAGTGTGACACCCTTGATCATGTTCTGTGCATAACTACAAATAGTCTGAACGGTGGCCAGCTCCTTTCTGTTACCCCACCATTTGTCAACCCGGGGCCTCTTTTTTTTCTTTCCGAGAAGACTGAGTTCTACGTTGATGTGATTGAAGTCCCTCCGCAGGGTTCCTCTGGGGCCCTTCACAATAACTGTGCATCCCTTTAGAGTAATATTGACATTTTCTGGAATGTTGACAGTCTGATTGCTGAGAATGGTCTTCATTCTCGCAGTAGACGTGGCAAAAAAAAAAAAAAAAAAAAAAAAAAAAGCAAGCATCTTTTGTGGCTCACGCCTGTAATCCCAGCACTTTGGGAGGCCAAGGCAGGTAGATCACGAGGTCAGGAGATCAAGACCAGCTGGGCCAAGGCATGGTGAAACCTGTCTTTACTAAAAATAGAAAAAAATTAGCTTGGTATGGTGGCGTGCACCTGTAATCCCAACTACTTGGGAGGCTGAGGCACAAGAATCATTTGGACCCAGGAGGCGGAGGTTGCAGTGAGCCAAGATCGCGCCATTGCACTCCATCCTGGGAGACAGAGTGAGACTCTGTCTCAAAACACAAACAAGCAAAACAAACAAAGCAGAAAGTTTGGCCGGTAACAGAAGTAACACTCAGAAAAATACTCCAGCTGACCTAGAGGAAAGCAAATAACCTCCACTGTCAACTGCAGATGGAGAAGTGCAACCTCTAGGAACTGAAAGCAGTCCCTGATTGGCAACTCACAGGAAAAAGATACCTCAGGCCTACAACCACAAAGAATTGAACTCTGCCATCAAGCGGTGAGCTTGGAAGATATAGGAGCAGGAAAACCACCTCCATCCTCTTACGGTCCTGAGAATTGAGATAAGATAGATTACAGGAAAAAAGCATACACATTTCTTTACAGATGTTTTACAGGAGTCCTCCTAAAATAATGAAGACCCAAAGAAGCAGTTATTGTCAGTTTCTTCCATTCTGGATTGGACGCAATAGTAAACTGTGAACATGTGTAAGGCGAAGGGGCTTGCACTAGGATAGTAAATAGGGTAGGAAAATAGCTAGGAAGAGAAAGGCTTGTTTGTACAGAATTTCCTTGACCTCAACTTTCTCGTCCTTGATGGCAAGGATGTTGCATCTTACTAGTATAGGGAGGGCGTCTTTCACATGGGAATTTAATCTTCTGATTTTAAGAAACAGCATGAAGGTCAAAGTGATCTTTTTGCACCTGCTGTTTTTCAAGTGCCTTTAACTTAAATAATCAGTATTCCAGGATAGCATATTTTAACTCCTTCAAAAAGGTCCCTGAGCCCCAGATGAGATTGTTGGCAGCTCCAGTCAACACAAGCCCAGCCATGCCATAGCTGTATTCTTACCTACAGAACCGTGAGCTAATAAATGGGTATTGCTCCAAAGCTTCTACATTTGTGGTAATTTGTTACGTAGCAATAGAAAACAAATATAATGGCAACATGCAATTTAGTACTTGATCCCTCTCCTGTCATTTACTCATTGTTTTGCATGTATAAATCTTGCCTTCCTTAACCAGATTATAACCTCCCTGAGAACCAGACCAAATTTGATGTTTTTTCTGCATAGCCAAATTATCTACCATGCCATAGGGGCTACACTGGGAGGAAGGTGGGGTGAGTGTTTAACATCCTGGCTTTAGAATCAGCCTGCCTTGATCCTTTTGTAGTTCGTGAGTATGATGACTGGGTGTTCACGGCCGTGTGTGAGATGTGCCACCCTCAAACCTTGTTGCAATGTCAGTGCATTACCTGTCTAACCTGAAAAAAAAAAAAAAGAATCAGACTGTCTTGGCTTAAATCTTGGCTTAAACTTTCTAAGCTTTAGTTCCCTCATTTTAAAATGGGAATAAAATGCGTTAGGAAAATTATGGAAAGATACACAAACATTGTTATCAGCAGTTACTTCAGAGGGAACGATTGCAGGATCAAATATCATAGGAGGTTTTTAGGATTAAATGAAATGATGCTTAGAAAGTTCTTAGGACAGTGCATGGCACATGGTAAAGCTCTATTAATACTAGCTCCGTGTTTGTAGAAAAACAGACCCTTTGACATGCTCGCCCTTCCTGCAGTTCCATATGTGCTAAATTTGTTTAGTATCACATGACACTGGCCCTGTCTCCCTACACACGCCCACGCATCCCCACCTCCACCTCCTGGCCACCCACCAGGGATAGATAGACTAAACCCAGCCATTAGACTTGACTGACAACCAGTTTAATCTCCTGAAAATCTGGAATCAAGCCAGTGAGAGACCACGCTGCTTTGCTGTGTGGGATGAGCTGGAACACCAAACGGAACCACATCTGGATTCATGTCCAGAAAGAGTCAGAGCCACATGCCCGTACTACAGTTACAGAATGGCAGACGTCAAGAGGAAGCTGGTTTCTTTAGAGGAACACAGAGTGGACATGCAGAAAAGGACAGGGATGAAAGACAGTGTCCCCAGAAAAAGGGATGGGACAGTACCTTCCAGGGGCTGGCAGTTTCCAGCACCAGTTCCCACAGTGCCTAGCTGGACTTGTTTCCCCAAGATCTCCATGTCCTCATAAGTGTCCTTTGCAAACAAATAAGCCCTAGCCAAAGAAAGGCTGCTGTGGGTGACAAATCAGACAGTCGGTCATGTTCTAATACATCCTGGGACACCGGGCTCTGGTGCTGACTCCACATCAATGTACAAGACAATTAAATGGTATTTGTAGTCTTTTTCCAGACCTTTTTTCAACTGTCAGCACAGTTGAATTCCCAGTGGCCTCTGGAGGGCACTATTCAGTTAAGTTTATTCCACGGTAGTGAGCACTACACCAGCAGAGCATTTAAGGAAAAGGTGTTTGAAATAATAGTTACCATTTCCTGAGTACCAACAACATGCTAACCACGGTGCTGCTTGCTTTACGTATATTGTATCTTAAACAATCACAACGGCTGTTTCCATCCAGCAATTGGAGATTGTTTTCGAGCATGGTTACTTGTTTCCACAGGCATGCTATTAACAGGTGTCAAGCAAAAGGAAAGCTTTTTTTTTTTCCTCTTTTAATGAACAGGAAGACTGAGTTTACAGCTCCTGATGCGAACCAGTTCAAGTTCAGTTGCCCCTCAATGTACTCCTTTTTAATTAGAAAAACAACAAATGTAGCACCATTGCAACACAGAGGGGAAAAGATATTTGGTACGGGGGTATAAATATCTGGGTCCCTCTTCTCTCTCAAGGTGAGGCAAAATGTTTCCTGTCTCCTGCCTTTTATCCATGCCCCCAAGATAATCGTGTTGGTTTCATGCCCGGCTGTGGGCTGCTAGGGAGTGGGAGCTGCTCCACAGGGAAGAAGTTTTTGTTCTCTACCTTGCTCAATGCCACCGTGGTGGGGAGGGTAGGAGTGAGGCTCCAAACCTTTTCAGGTAACAGTTCCCTGCAAAGTCTGAAAACAACCACTGACCTGTCTCCCTTTTATTTTTTACAAGATATTTGAGGCCAGCCACGGTGGTTCATGTCTGTAATCTCAGCACTTTGGGAAGCCGAGGCGGGTGGATCATTTGAGGTCAGGAGTTCAAGACCAGCCTGACCAACATGGTGAAACCCTGTCTCTACTAAAAATACAAAAAAAATTAGCCAGCTGTGGTGGCACGCACCTGTATTCCCAGCTACTTGGGAGGCTGAGGCAGGAGAATCACTTGAACTCGGAAGGCAGAGGTTGCAGTGAGCCGAGATCACGCCACTGCACTCCAGCCCGGGTGACAGAACAAGACTCTGTCTCAAAAAAAAAAAAAAGATATATGAAACCTGTTTATTCGATATTATCAATGTAAATTAAAACATTTATCAGATATTACCCAAATGAGCCACATGCATTAGGTATATGCTTCTCATTTACTTCTTACAACATCCCTATGAGGTAAGAGGCGAGTATTATTACCTGCATTCACAGATGAGGAAATATAGGCTGAGAAAGATTGGATAAACCCATCTATTAAGAGACAGAGCCTGGAATCGAGCCGGGGTGACCTGCCTCCAAGACCTGAGTCTTTTTTTGCTGGGATGCTCTGTCAATTGCTACCCATATGCCAAATAGTGTGTCTGTCCCTATAGACAGCACGTCCATTCCCCAGAAAGGAGCGTAACCTTCCTGTAGGCAGCAACAATTCTGTAAGTGGCATCCTGGCCAGGGAACCTTGCTCTTTATTCATGAGGTCACTGTCTTGCCACTTCCCCACTATGGAGGGGTGAACCGGGAATCAGAAAATCTGGGTTCTGAACACTTTCTTAATCTATATTTATTCATTTAAGGATATTTACTGACCACCTACTGTTTCAGCTCTGGAACTGCATATTGGGGAAATACTCTTCTATAAAACATATAAAGTCCCTGGTTTTCTGGGGCCTTTATCCGTGCCTTGGAAAACTGACTTATCCTTGTAGGCGTAATTGTGATTAATAACGATATGAAGGAATTTTTAAAGTAAGCTTTCTTGTTATATAATAGCTTTCCTGAGGCTGGGTGTGGTGGCTCATGCCTGTAATCCCAACACCTTGGGAGGCTGAGGTGGGTGGATCACTTGAGATCAGGAGTTCGAGACTAGCCTGGCCAACATGGTAACACCCCGTCTCTACTAAAAATACAAAAATTAGCTGGGTATGGTGGCATGCGCCTGTAATCTCAGCTACTCAGGAGGCTGAGGCAGGAGAATTGCTTGAACTGAGAGGCAGAGGTTGCAGTGAGCTGAGATCACGCCACTGCACTCCAGCCTGGGTGATAGAGCAAGACTCTGTCTCAAAAAAAATAAATAAATAAAAAAATAAAAATAATTTTAAAATGGCTTTACTGAGATGTTCACCTACTATAAAATTTATCCTTTAAAATGTACAATTGAGTGGTTTTATAGATTCACAGCATTGAATATCACCAATATCTAATTTTAGGACGTTTTTATCCTTCCAAAAAGAAGACACATACCTATTACAGGGATTCTCCATACTCCGCTTCTCCAAGCCCCTGGAAACCTACTTTCTGTTCCTATAGATTTACCTATTCCAGATATTTCAGTACATGGTCTTCTGTACTGAAAGTGTAATGACTTCAGTGCTCATCTGTGTTTCAGTATGATTCAGAACTTTACTTTGTTATATTGCCAAATAGTATTCCATATGTTTAACCACATTTGTTTAACCATCCATCCATTTGTGGACATTTGGGTCATTTCCACTTTTTGACTATTATGAATCATGCTGTGAACATTGGTGTACAAGCTTTTGTGTGAGTATGTTTTCAGTTCTGTTGGATATATATGTAAGAATGGAATTGATGATGATATAGTAACTCTATGTGTAACTTTTTGAGAAATCTCCAAATTGTTTCTCAGGACTATTTTACATCCCCACCAGCAGTGTATAAGGGTTCTAATTTCTCCACATTCCTGCCAACACTTGTGACCTGTCTTTATGAGACCAGCCATCCTAGTGGGTGTGAAGCTGTATCTCACTGTGACTTTGATTTGTATTCTCTAATGATTAATCATGTTGAACACCTTTTCATGTGTTTTTGAACCTTTGTATATCTTTGGAGAGATGTCTATTTATTTTATTTTTTAAGACAGGGTCTTCCGCTGCCACCCAGCCTGGAGTGCAGTGGCATGAGTGCAGTGCAGAGGCTCACTGTAGCCTCAACCTCCTGGGCTCCAGCAATCCTCCCACCTTATTCTCCTGAATAGCCAGGACTACAGGCATACGCCACTACACCTGGCTAATTTTGTAAAAAATTTTTTTGTAGAGACAGGGTCTTGCTGTGTTTCCCATACTGGTCTCAAACTCCTGGCCTCAAGCCATCTTCATGCCTCAGCCTTAGAAAGCACTAGGATTATAAGCATGAGCCACCATGCCCAGCTAGAAATATCTATTTTAATTCTTTACCCACTTTTACATTGAGTTGTAAGAATTCTTTATATAGCCTAGATACAAGTTCCTTAGCAGATATATGATTTGCAGATATTTTCTCAGGCAGCTGCACATATTAAACAATTGCCATGGATTGTTTTCAACAAATAACCTAGGGACAAGGCTACTTTTGCAGCATCAGCTCTGAATCAAGTCAAGTAAGGAGAAACCTTGAAAATGGAGCCTTTCAGAGAGCTGTTGGACAGGTCAAGTAATAACAATTCTGTGAAGATAGAGTTTTTGGGGGCTTCCAAACTTGTTCTGCCTCAGTGGCTGCTAGTGATGTTTCAAGCTTTTGGCTAACTTCCAGAGTTCTGAAAAAGTTGATTTTGGTCATTTTTTCTAGTGTTTTTGTTACTCTTATAGAGGTGTGGATTTTTGGAGGTCTTTATTTTTATCATTCCAGAAGGGCTTTTTCCAGTAAACTTATCTTTGAAATACGATATACGTAAAGGCACATATCAAAAGTATTCAGCTTAGTGAATTTTTTTTTTTTTTGAGACAGTCTTGCTCTGTTGCCAAGGCTGGAGTGCAGTGGCATGATCTCAGCTCACTGCAACCTCTACCTCCCAGGTGCAAGCTATTCTCCTGTCTCAGCAGAGTAGATGGGATTGCAGGCACCACACCTCGCTAATTTTTGTATTTTTAGTAAAAACAGGGTTTCACCATGTTGGCATGGCTGGTCTCAAACTCCTGACCTCAGATGATCCACCCGCCTCGGCCTCCCAAAGTGCCAGGATTACAGGCATGAACCACCACACCCAGCCCAGCTTAGTGAATTTTTATATTAACCATCACCCAAACTGAGAAACAGAACTTAACTAGTATGTCAGAGCCCTCCTTCTTACCTCTTACCAGTTACTAACCCCCCTTTACCAAAGTAAAGTGGTATCCAATAGCTGTAAGAACTTTCCTATCTATGGCTGGGTGTGGTGGCTCATGCCTGTAATTCCAGCACTTTCGGAAGCCAAGGTGAGTGGATCACTTGAGGTCAGGAGTTCAACCTGGCCAACATGGTGAAACCCTGTCTGTACTAAAAATACAAAAAATTAGCCGAGTGTGGTGGTAGGTGCCTGTAATCCCAGCTGCTCTGGAGGCTGAGGCAAGAGGGTCGCTTGAACCTAGGAGTCAGAGGTTGCAGTGAACCAAGATCATGCCACTGCACTGTAGCCTGGGTGACAGAGCGAGACTCCATCTCAAAGAAACAAGAAACAAAAAACTTTCTTGTCTAGTACCATTCTGATTTTTTCCAACTGTTTCATTCTACTTGTTCACATTTTCCCTCCAAACCACTCCCTTAATACATTTAATCCAATGGCTTTTTTTTTTTTTTTGAGACGAAGTTTCGCTCTGCCGCCCAGGCTGGAGTGCAGTGGAGCGATCTCGGCTCACTGCAAGCTCCGCCTCCCGGGTTCACGCCATTCTCCTGCCTCAGCCTCCCGAGTAGCTGGGACTACAGGCGCCCACCACCACGCCCAGCTAATTTTTTTTTTTTTTTTTGTATTTTTAGTAGAGACGGGGTTTCACCGTGTTAGCCAGGATGGTCTTGATCTCCTGACCTCGTGATCTGCCCGTCTTGGCCTCCCAAAGTGCTGGGATTACAGGCGTGAGCCACTGCACCTGGCTCTGATGGCATTTTTAACTTGTATGTTTTATTTTTTTAATATTCAACTTTTAAAAAATTATGAACTAGCCTATTTGGGACATCCATTTGTTTCTGTCAAGCTCCTCCTGCCTCCCCAGATTCCTCTGTCATCACAGCCATTTCCCTATCAGTAAGCCAGGCCCTGGAGTATTGGCTGTTAATTCTCCTCTATCCCTTTTTCCCAGACTTGCAGACACCCTTGATCATCCACATAAAAAGGGAAGCTGAGATGTCTTCAGGATAAAGTTACATGTTTTTTCATGAGACTTCTGCACAGTGTCCAAACACTCTGATCTGTACAGATAGAAAGGACACTTCTTGAGAGTCTTTTGGGAGAAGCCTTATCCTGCAATTCTGATTTCTTTGCTTTTCCTGACCAAGGCTTCTCAGGCTAATTCAGAGGCATTGTGGCACAGCTCAGACAGCAAGCAGTGACATTCTGAAGTTGCTTCTTCTGAGGAATTCACCCAGTGGGAAAGCAAGGGAGGATGGAAGACTTCTTGGGCAGTTTACGAAGTGTGGAGACCCAGTTCCCTGTTAGTGCTTTTCCTTATCAGAGATCATTACCTGGTAGAAAAGGAGATGTTCTGATGGAGGATTAAGCTAGATATAGTAAGTCACAGTGATATGGACATTTGAAAGTAATTGCTTGGGAAATGTAAAGAGGTCACAGTGGTTGAACTTAATGGTACAAAGAATAACCATGGGGCCAGGGGCAGTGGCTCACGCCTGTAATCCCAGCACTTTGGGAGGCTGAGGCAGTGGATCACGAAGTCAAGAAATCGAGACCATCGTGGCCAACATGGTGAAACCCCATCTCTACTAAAAATACAAAAATTGGCCGGGTGCAGTGGTTCACACCTGTAATCCCAGCACTTTGGGAGGCCGAGGCGGGTGGATCACGAGGTCAAGAGATCAAGACCATCCTGGCCAACATGGTGAAACCCCGTCTCCACTAAAAATACAAAAATTGGCCGGCTGTGGTGGCTCACGCCTATAATCCCAGCACTTTGGGAGGCCGAGGCGGGTGGTTCACAAGGTCAAGATATCAAGACCATCCTGGCTAACATGGTGAAACCCCGTCTCTACTAAAAAATACAAAAATTAGCTGGGCATGGTGGTGTGTGCCTGTAGTCCCAGCTACTTGGGAGGCTGAGGCAGGAGAATTGCTTGAACCTGGGAGGCGGAGGTTGCAGTGAGCCGAGATTGCGCCACTGCACTCCAGCTTGGCGACAGAGCAAGACTCCATCTCAGAAAAAAAAAAAAAAAATTAGCTGGGCGTGGTGGCGCTCACCTGTAGTCCCAGCTACTCAAGAGGCTAAGGCAGGAGAATCACTTGTACCTGGGAGGTGGAGGTTGCAGTGAGCCAAGATTGCCCCACTGCACTCCAGCCTGGGTGACAGAGTGAGACTGTTTCAAAAAAAAAAAAAAAAAAAAAAAGAATAACGATGGGGTGGGGAAAAGTATAAATGGAGTGAAAATTTTGGGCAAAGATAAGTGACTCAAAGTAACTAATAAAATGATTAAAAATCAATTCTGACTTTTAGTAGGTTTTTGTTTTGTTTTTTGTTTGTTTGTTTTAGAGATGGAGTCTCACTATGTTGCCCACGCTGGTCTCCAACTTGTAGACTCAAGTGATCCTCCCACCTTGGCCTCCCAAAGTGTTTGGATTACAGGCATGAGCCTGGCGTGATTCCATTTATGTAAGGGTCCTAGAATAGTCAAATTCATAGAAACAGAAAATGAAATGGAAGTTACCAGAGGTCGGGAGAAGGGACGAATGGAGAGTTATTAGTGGATGTAAAGTTTCAGCCTGGTGTGATGAAAAAGCCCTGGAGACGGGTAGTGGTGATGGTTGCACAACAACATGAATGTATTTATTGACACTCAACTGTACACTTGAAAATCATTCAAAAGGGTGCTTGCTTAAAATAATTAAAAAGGGTGCTTGCTTTGGCATCACCTATACTAAAATTGGAACAATACAGAGAAGATGAACATGGCTCCTGCTCAAGGATTTTTAAAAATAATAAAAATGGGTCGGGCGCGGTGGCTCATGCCATTAATCCCAGCACTTTTGGGGGACCCAGGCAGGCAGATCACCTGAGGTGAGGAATTTGAGACCAGTCTGGCCAACACGGTGAAACCCCGTCTCTACTGAAAATACAAAAATAAGCCAGGCACGGTGGCGGGCGCCTGTAAACCCAGCTACTCAGGAGGCTGAGGCAGGAGAATCACTTGAGCCCAGGAGGCGGAGGTTGCAGTGAGCCGAGATCGCGCCACTGCACTCCAGCCTGGGTGACAGAGCGAGACTCTGTCTCAAAAAAAATTAAAATGGTCAATTTTATTTTATGTATATTTTACCACAGTAAAAAGATGTGCAGTTAAGTACAAACCTAGTGTGTGAGGAAAAGTTTGGGGTCACAGGTGGCCAAGGCCTTGGGGAACACATTGGTGTCTTTAAGGAGGTTTTCCCTCGTTCCACAAGTCCCATGAGCAGGCCTGACCAACCCACTGCCACAGTGTCATTAACACTGTTAGCACAGTCGGTAGCCACTGTCTGTGCCTGGTTGATTAATAAGAAAGTACTTAGCTTCCTTCCAAAACTCTGGAAAAATGAGACAAATGTCATTAAAAGGTTAAGACACTTGTTGCTAATATCTTAAAAGTGGCCACTAGAAACAAAGGTGGAGGCTGGGCCTGGTGACTCATGCCTGTAATCCCGGTGCTTTGGGAGGCTGAGGTAGGCAGATTGCTTGAGTCCAGGAGTTTGAGAAAGCCTGGGAGACATGGCAAAACCACGTCTCTACAAAAAATACAAAAATTAGCCAGATGTAGTGGCACATGCCTGTAGTCCCAGCTACTGAGGAAGCTAAGGCAGGAGGATTACTTGAGTCTGGAAGGCAGAGGTTGCAGTGAACTGAGATGGTGCCACTGCACTGTAGCCTGGGCAACAGAGTGAGACCCTGTCTCAAAAAAAAAAGAAAAAAAAAAAAAAAAAGAATGGCCTTGATCTCCTGAGCTCGTAATCCGCCCACCTTGGCCTCCCAAAGTGCTGGGATTACAGGCATGAGCCAGTTGCAGTGAGCCGAGATTGCGCCATTGCACTCCAGCCTGGGCAACAAAATGAGACCCTGTCTCAAAAAAAAAAAAAAAGAAAAGAAAAGAAAAAAGAAACAAACAAAGGTGGAGATGGAAATGTGAATCCATTTCAATTACCTGGGCCCTCTAGAGACCTCTGTAAAACCTTTAGGGCAGAGCTTTCTACCGTTTATCCTGAAGGCTGAGACAATCTGGTGACAACCTCAACTGGGACCTTGAGAGCAGCAGTGACCTAGGCTCCGACTCCCCTGGTGGGGACTATGGCCATGGTGACATCATGAGGCTTCCTTGGCCCATCAACCTGTACCCTGTGCCTGCTGGGCAGTGCAGGGTGGTTGAGAGGCCAGGTTAGCCACCAGGATGCCACCATGCCAGAGATGAGGGATGCCTCAGAGGAGAAAGTTCTATGGGGTGTCCACTCTTCCTCCTCTGATGCAGAATTTGATGCAATGGCTGGACATTTATAGGCCATTTTCTTGGATGATGAATTCTGTTTAATACAAAGGAACTTCAAGAACAAGAAGCACTGGAAGCTAAGCCAGGTTTTGTTGCCAAGAGGAGGAAACAACCAAAAAGGGTTCCCCTACCCTCTGACTCCTTCTTTAAGGGACCCCACAGCTCAACAAGCCTGTGTCCAGTTGGAGCACCTGCCCTGCTCTCCTCCACTGCTAGCTGACCGCCAATTCCAGGTTTGAAGATATGGAACAGGATATGCCCATATTCTCCATTTTTAACTAATAACCCTTTTAGTGAAGAGCTTCTGCCTGAAGAGGGTTCCTGGAAATTAATATGGTTGATTTCATGACAACTAGACATCAGCTTAAAGATGAAGTGGCAAAAAGTTTCTTGAATTTATGAACACTCTTCCCCCCAAAATTTGAACTATGCAACAGAAATAGAAGATAGAGAAAAGGATCTAAACTGTTGCTTAACAGTGAAAGTCTTTGCACATACCTTTCTGCTACCCAGCAAATTTTGTTTGGTGCTCATTCCTGGGGAAGTTTTTTCATTTTGGTATTTCAAGCCCCACAGGTGGTAGATGACCTCAGCTTGTGGAGGAAAAAAAAAATCAGTGATTAGGGAACATACCTTTAAGAGATTTATCTTACTTGGAGCATTGCACACCGGGGCCTGTTGTGGGGTGGGGGGAAGGGGGAGGGATGGCATTGGGAGATATACCTAATGCAAATGACAAGTTGATGGGTGCAGCACACCAACATGGCACATGTATACATATGTAACAAACCTGCATGTTGTGCACATGTACCCTAGAACATAAAGTATAATAAAAATATATATATTTGTATATATATAACTAGATATATATATAAAATCTCTTTATATATATGTAAAGAGATTTATCTCATTTGATCTTTAGTTGGTCTAAATAAGGAGTGATCAAAAAGCAAGAAACATGAACTCTTCAGGAATATTTGCTTTTGAGAAATATGTGCTAGTGTTTCAAAACTTTGATAGCCTCGTGAAGTGGATTCACCTCTTAGATGATTTTGAGGCAAAGAAAAAACATTCTGTATGTTAGAGGAAGACACTTCAAATCACTGCTGTGCTGACTTCTTCTCGTGTACATAATCCAAAGGTAGTGGAGCTGAAAGGTGGTCACTGATGTGTGGGCATCATTGAGATGAGATCACTGCAAGTTATTATCCCTCGAATATCTTCCACACCTTTCTTCTATGTGCTGTGCTGTTCTATTTAATGTTTTCAAAAGTGTTTCTTTTAGGGCCAGGAGCAGTGGCTCACACCTGTAATCTCAGCACTTGGGAGGCCGACGCAGGTGAATCACTTGAGGTCAGGAGTTCGAGACCAGCCTGGCCAACATGATGAAACCTGTCTTTACTAAAAATACAAAATTAGCCAGGCGTGGTGGCGGACACCTGTAATTCCAGCTACTTAGGAGGCTGAGGCAGGAGAATCGCTTGAACCTGGGAAGCAGAGATTGCAGTGAGCCAAGATCGCGCCACTGCACTCCAGCCTGGGCAACAATAGTGACACTCCATCTCAAAAAAAAAAAAAATGTATCTTTTAGCTTCAAGGACCCTGCCTTACTGACCAAGAAGATAAGAATTCATCTAGGGACAGTTACATGAACTCATCTTCTCAGTCTTGATTTCTAGAGCTGATGTTTAACTTTTCATCAATTGGACTGAGAAAATGAGATCTTCATTGTCTTGGGTAGGGTCAGCATCTCTAACTAGCACAGCACCTAACACCTAGTGAAAACTCAACAAATGTTTGTTGAGTGACATAAGCGTTCCTTCTGAAAATGCACGTCTTGGGTTTGTGTATCTTCTTTCACTGGTCCTGAATCAGTCCTATTATTTCCAGCAGGCTCATCACTCATTGACAATGTAGTCATAAACCCTTGTGGGTCTCAATTTGGAATGTCCATGATTGTCCACCTAAAAATAAATAGAAGTATTATGTGTTAAGTGCTTTTTAAATCTGCTATGTTTGCAAAAAGGATTCTGCGTTGGTGCTCCCAATTTACCAGTCTGACTTAGATGTTTTGAAATAGAGTGAAATGTATCTTTATTAAAAAACAGCACAGTAATGGTATTTGTGTAAGCTTGTTTCAATGTTTTCTCTATAAACCAATAGTAATTTTATTGGCTTTTTTTTTTTTTTTTGAGACAGAGTCTTGATCTGTGGCCCAGGCTGGAGTGCAGTGGAGTGGCATGATCTTGGCTCACTGCAACCTCCACCTCCAGGGTTCAGGCAATTCTCTTGCCTCAGCCTCCCAAGTAGCTGGGATTACAGATGTGCACCACCACACCTGGCTAATTTTTGTATTGTAAAGACGGGGTTTTGCTGTGTTGGTCAGGCTGATTTCAAACTCCTGACCTCAAGTGAGCCACCTGCCTCGGCCTCCCAAAGTGCTAGGATTATAGGTGTGAGCCACTGCGCCTTGCCAATTTTATTGTTTTTGAGGGAAAAATCCATGATTTTTACAAATGTCCCCAACTTGATCTAAATCCTCCTTTCTTTTACAACCTCTCCTAGAGATGATGCTCTAATGACAAAAGCAGAGAGGTAGGCAAAGGTTTTTTATGATTCCCTCTAGAAATTTTGTTTAGAAAAGGGTACGTCATCTGTCCAGGATTAGTAAAATAAATTATGTAGGCTGGGCGAGGTGGTTTATGCCTGTAATCCCAGGACTTTGGGAGGCCCAGGTGGGTGGATCACCTGAGGTCAGGAGTTCAAGACCAGCCTGGCCAACATGATGAAACCCAGTCTCTACAAAAATACAAAAATTAGCTGGGCATGATGGTGGGTGCCTGTAATCCCAGCTACTCTGGAGGCTGAGATGAGAGAATTGTTTAAATCCAGGAGGTGGAGGTTGCAGTGAGCCAAGATCACGCCATTGCATTCCAGCCTGGGCAACTGAGCGAGACTGTCTTAAAAGAAAGAAAGAAAGAAAGAAAGAAAGAAAGAAAGAAATTAAAAATAAATAAATAAATCATGTAGACTAATCCACTTCTGGAAGAAGAGGAAAGGTGTACTTGAGTTAATTCCTGCTGTGTAATAAGATTCTATATTGAATTCTCAATGAGAATATCAGCCTGGATCCCTCCCCACAAAATGCAGACTCTCCACACCTGTGCTGTGCATTCTTGAAGGTGAACTAGTCTCATACACACACTTTGCTGACGAGAAGCTCCAAGCCCAGTAGGTGAAGAGACTCCCTTTGGGTACCAGGGGGAGCAGAGTCACGACAAGCAGCTAGGCCTCTGGACTTGCTGGAGCCTTCTTGCCAGGGAACAGCAAACTCCCACCTGCCAGCTGAGAATGGTTTTATATTTTTAAACGATCATAAAGAATATGAGGCCAGGCACAGTGGCTCATGCCTGTAGTCCCAGCACTTTGGGAGGCCGAGGTGGGCAGATCATTTGAGGTCAGGAGTTTGAGACCAGCCTGGCCAACCTGGTGAAACCCTGTTTCTACTAAAAATACAAAAAATTACCCAGGCATGGTGGTCCATGCCTGTAATCCGAGCTACTCGGGAGGCTGAGGCAGGAGAATCACTTGAACTTGGGAGGCAGAGGTTGCAGTGAGCCGAGATTGTGTCACTGTACTCCAGCCTGGGTGACAAGAGTGAGACTCCATCTCAAAAAAATAAAAATTAGCCGGGCATGATGGTGTGTGCCTGTAGTGCCAGCTGCTTGTGAGGCTGAGTTGTGAGGATCACCTGAGCCCAATAGGTAGAGGCTGCAGTGAGCTGAGATCGCACCACTGCCCTTTGGCCTGGGTGAGTGACACAGTGAGACCTTGTCTCAAAAATAAAAAGCAAAAAGTAAATGAAGTAAGACTAAAGAAACTAAGATGAACAGCTAAAAAAGAGCAAGAAAATGTATATACACATGGTATCTGTAAAGTTTGGAAACAGGTAAAATACACAAAATTCTGTGAGATCTTCAATCTGTAAAAAATAAAATTATATTAAAAATTATATCCTGTGTTTATACTTTATGGACCCCAGGGTCCACTGTTGGAGTGCAGTGGCATGATCTCAGCTCACTGTAACCTCCGCCTCCAGGGTTCAAGCAATTCTCCCACCTCAGCCTCCCAAGTAGCTGGAATTACAGGTGCCCTCCATCACACCCAGCTAATTTTTGTATTTTTATTAGAGATGGGGTTTTGCCCTGTTGGCCAGGCTGGTCTTGAAGTCCTGACCTCAAATGATCTGCCTGCCTCAGCCTCCCAAAGTGCTGGGATTACAGGCATGAGCCACCATACCCCAGCAAGGTATATTTTAATCCCCAGAAATCCATGGAGCTAGAAATGCTCCTCAAAGAGATCCATATAATCACGTGGCTCAGCAGCACAAACAGCCTCTCATCTCTGGAATCACAGTCTAAAAGATTTTGATAATTAACCTTCGTTTTCTACTTTGAGAAAGAAACTCACCCAAATTCAAACAGGTAAACAGTCATGTCAATTTGCAGGTGAGTTTTCAAAAGCTGATCTGGAGGCATTGTTCTGTGAAAATAAATTAAATAGAACAAAGGCTAGGCAAACAAGTCATCGTTATTTTCTTCACAAGGCCATGGTTTTCAGTGGTAGTTTTTCATTGACTTAGTAGAGTAGGCTGATATCCATATAAATGTAACTCTAAAACCTCCCTGCCACTCTCACGTTATAGCACAGTCAGGGCATCTAGGCAAGCCACGGAGAATTCCAGGTCTGGGGCATTCCCAAGAGGCCAGGTCTGTGAACACATTCTGGACACCTGGCTTAGCTGACCTCCACATCAATCCTGTTGTGAGAGTTTCTTCATCTTCATCATCTGAAGTCTCTCTAATGGGTTGGGAGAGAGGGCTCAGCCTCTGCATCCCCTATTCTCCCATGTGGCATCTCAGCACGTGTCCCTCCTGCCCTCCAGATCATCTGTCCTGCAGGGACCCCAGAAGCTCTCACCAGAAAGAGATTTGGGTGCCTGTTCTGCGTACAGGTTGCCCTCTCCTGCCATCCCTGCATTGTTGTTAACTGCAGAAAGACAGGAAAAGGTCATCGCTTTTGAGTTCCTTCAGTTTGCTTTCAATTCTTTTACTCCCCTCCAGAGGTCATCTTTGAAGACAAGTTTTGTTGACAGGGGGTGCAAAATCTTAATTTATCTTTGTAGTGCTCCTTGAAGAAGACTTCGGAGTTCAAAGCAAACAGTAAGAAGAATGTTTGCTTTAGTGATATTTATCATTTTATCCTCTGTAATGACCACAGAAGAGAAAGGAGTTTGCACATAAGTTATAAATAATCATGTCAAGGGAAAATGTGGTAAAAGAAAAAAAAACAGATTTTAAGAACTCATTGGTGTTATTATAGAATAAATAACTGGCAAATATTTGGTTCATGAGCACATTTAAGGTTTAGAACTGAGATCTGCCTAAGAGACAGAAACCTGAGGTTTTAGGTAGAAGGGAGATGGAATATAATCTTTATTTTCAAGAAGCTTGGGCTGGACATGGTGGCCCACGACTGTAATCCCAGCACTTTGGTAGGCTGAGGTGGGCAGATCGCTTGAGCATTACAGGTTCAAGACCAGTCTGAGCAACATGGCAAAACCCCATGATGTGGTTTGGCTCTGTCCCCACCCAAATCTCATCTTGAATTGCAGTTCCTATAATCCCCATGCGGAGTGGGAGGGACCTGGTTGGAGGTAATTGAATAATGGGGGCAGTTAACCTCATGCTGCTGTTCTCATGACAGTGAGTTCTCACAAGATCTGATGGTTTTACAAGGGGCTTTTCCCTCTTTGCTCAGCACTTCTCCTTCCTGCCATCATGTGAAGAAGGACACGTTTGCTTCCCCTTCTGCCATGATTGTTAAGTTTCCTGTGGCCTCCCCAGCCACGTGGAACTGTGAGCCAATTAAACCTCTTCCCTTTATAAACTACCCAGTCCCAGGCAGTTCTTTAAAGCAGCAGAGAATGGACTAGTAAACCCTGTATCTACCAAAAAATACAGAAATTAGCCAGGCATGGTGGCATGCACCTGTACTCCCAGCTACTCAGAATGCTGAGGTGTGAGGATCACCTGAGCCCAGGGAAGCAGGCAGCTTGAGACTGCGGTGAGCCGTGATCATGCCAATGCACTCGAGCCTGGGTGAGACCCTGTTTCAAAACAAAACAAAACAAAACAAAACAAAACAAAAAAACCACCTCATTTTATTCTGAAGGTTTCTTTGACTGGGGGGGAAGAAACCTGAAAGTTTAATTACAATGGGCCTTGCAAATGCTATTTATATCTCCTATCCCCCACACTCATTCAAAGAGTAGTCATTTTCATTATATATATATATATATATATATATATATATATATATATATATATATATATATTTGTTTATAGTCCAGAGGTCTTTTTTTTTTTAACAGTAGCTATTTTGCCATGAATTCATAGGGAATGGGTTCCAGCAGCTCAGGCTCCTTCCCACTGGTTCTCACAAAATGTGCTTCTCTGCGTGGAGCAGGCTGGCACTTCAGTTGAACCCAGGTACCTTTCTGATAGGCTTCTTTCTTTTTCTGATCATTTTCCTCACGCGTTTCAGGAAGCTGTCTTGGCTCTTAGAGTGCTTAATGTGCTCAATATGCACATTAATTCTCTTGGCAAGAATCTTGCCCTTAACTTGTTTGTTTACAACAATGCCAACAGCATGCTGGGGAACATTGTAGACTCTTCCCGTTTTGCCATGGTGACACCTGTGGGGCGTTCCTTTTTGAACAGTACCCATTCCCTTGATGTCTACAATATCACCTTTCTTATAGATTCACATATACATGGACAAAGGAATAACTCCATGTTTTCTTAAAGGCCTGGAGAACATACTGGGTGTCTCTCCTCTTTCTCTTTGTGTTTCTCATTTTGGCGAATTACTGGAGGATGGCGGTTCCACTCATTATATTTTTGAAGCCTCATTTTGGTTTACGTTTTAAAGTATGTTATCAAAAGGAAAAACATTTAAATTATAAAAGCACTACTACTGAGTTCAGTAAGGCATAAAGAAGAAAGTAAATATTACTTGTCATCCCATCATCCAGTGGTGGGATATTACTAATATCTGGTCTATTTTGTCCTGAACTTTCTCTGTGCACATGTGTACACACACACACACACACACATAAACACACACATCTACAAGAATGCGTGGGCTACACACATCTGTGGGTATGAACTTAATGAGTCCTGATTCTACCACTTACCAAATGTGTGACCTTGGGTTATTTCTTAACCCCACTAAGCCAGGCTTTCCCTAACTGTAAAATGGAATTAAGAACAATACTCAGCCAGGCATGGTGGCTCACACTTGAAATCCCAGCACTTTGGGAGGCCCAGGTGGGCAGATCACGAGATCAAGAGATCGAGACCATCCTGGCTAACATGGTGAAACCCCGTCTCAACTGAAAATACAAAAATTAGCCAGACATGGTGGCGGGCGCCTGTAGTCCCAGCTACTCTGGAGGTTGAGACAGGAGAATCACTTGAATCCAGGAGGCGGAGGTTGCAGTGAGCCAAAATTGCACCACTGCACTCCAGCCTGGCGACAGAGTGAGACTTGTCTCAAAAAAAAAGAACAATACCTGGCTAGGTGCGGTGGCTCACACCTGTAATCCCAGCACTTTAGGAGGCTGAGGCAGGCCGATCATGAGGTCAGGAGTTCGAGACCAGCCTAGCCAATATGGTGAAACCCCATCTCTACTAAAAATACAAAAATTAGCCAGGTATGGTGGCGCATGCCTGTAGTCCCAGCTACTCGGGAGGCTGAGGCAGGAGAATCGCTTGAACCTGGGAGGTGGAGGTTGCAGTAAGCCGAGATCATGCCATTGCACTCCAGCCTGGGTAACAGAGCAAGACTCCATCTCAAAAAAAAAAAGAATAATACCTAACTCCTAAGGCGATGAAAGATTAAATGAGGATCTGCATGTGAAGGCTTATTACAAGTACTGACACCCCATGAACACTTAATGAAGGTGAGCCGTTAATTTGTAACTTTCTCTTGTCACTTTAAAAACACATATAGCTTGATAAGCCTTTTTGTAGCTTTGAAAAACTACCAGTTCTCCTCCATTTCATCCCTGTCTTAGCGGGGATTTGCATATATTTGAACTCTTCAAGTTAGAATCCTGAACCTACAATTACAGTCATTGTTAATATAATGTTTATGCACACTTACAGTTATGTGCCAGTTCATTCTAGCTCACAACACCTCTGCGAGGTAATTGTCATTATCCCCAGTTACAGACGAGAGAATCCAGGCTGGTAAAGGAGGGCTGAGATCTAAATCCAGGCCTCCTGGCTCCACGGCTCTGTTCTTCTCACCCGGCCGCTCATTCTGACACAGCCCATCCCCAGTCAACCACACAGCCTTCCAAAGGCACTGGGTTAAGTCTGAAAGCAGTTTCCTGGCTCGAATCTGGCTGGTTCCTAATAGAGCAACTGCTATCTGCTAGGCAGGGAAGGCCCCTGGACCAGAAGTCAAGAAACCTGGGTTCCTGGAAGTTCCCATATCCTTTTCACAGTTTCATTGCTTGCGGAGTGGGTAAAATAATATCTATCATTCCTTCTTTGTGGGATGAAGTGATAGCCAGATAAAAGTGATGATAATACTAACAATGTGACAGGAGTTTAAGAAGTTATAGAAGTCTTTTGTGACTATGTACTGATACTTTTATGACTAATTACTAATACTTTCATTACTAGTTACTATAAACCAATAATAATGAAAGTTTTTGTTTTTTTACCACCCATGTTTTTTGTTGTTGTTGTTTTGTTTTTTCTTTTTTCTTTTTTGAGATGGAGTTTTGCTTTTGTTGCCCAGGCTGGAGTGCAATGGTGCGATCTTGGCTCACTGCCACCTCTGCCTCCTGGGTTCAAGTGATTCTCCTGTCTCAGCCTCCCGAGTAGCTGCGATTACAGGCATGCACCACCACACCCGGCTAATTTTGTATTTTTAGTAGAAACAGGGTTTCACCACGTTGGTCAGGCTGGTCTCGAACTCCTGACCTCAGGTGATCCACCCGCCTTGGCCTCCCAAAATGCTGGGATTATAGGCGTGAGCTACCGTGCCCAGCCTATCACCCTTGTTTTTAATGACATTCTTCATGACTCTGGTAATTCAAAGTGTTTTCCCACCCTGGGCATATTAACAACAACTTTTTCTTTCTTTTTTTTTTTTTTAGATGGAGTCTTGCTGTGTCACCCAGGCTGGAGTGCAGTGGCACAATTTCGGCTCACTGCAACCTCCACCTCCTGAGTTCAAGCAGCTCTCTGCCTCAGCCTCCCAAGTAGCTGGGATTACAGGTTCCCGCCACAATGTCTGGCTAATTTTTGTATTTTTTAGTAGAGATGGGGTTTCACCATGTTGGCCAGGCTGGTCTCAAATTCCTGACCTCAAGTGTCCGCCTGCCTTAGCCTCCCTAAGTGCTGGGGATTACAGGCATGAGCCACCACGTCCAGTCATTAACAACTTTTTCTTGATATCATCATGTCCTTCATTCCACATTAACCAGCCTGCCCGAGTTTCCACCAGATCTTGCTTGCTACCCTGATTCCGAGTCTCCCCCACACTGCTCCATGTGTAAACTGGAAAGTAGTCCTAACAGGGTCACAGCTCCCCTTCATACCCTTTCCCCGCAGACTGCATTTATAAATGGGCTAAACTCCACCCTCCTTGGGGTTAAAGTGAGGTGGGCCCTTTGTACAGCGCCACATGTAAACAACGTGGCTTTTGAGATGTCCCCTAAAGCCTGGAGAGGAAGCCACGTTTTTCATTTGTGAGAAAATTATTCAAGGTTCTATCTGGTCCTTTGCTTTTCCCAACTAGGAGGTTTTTCAGCTGATGGAGAATGGTGGTGGACCAGATAAGATCAGAACTGAGGCTGGAGTCCTAAAGTTGCTTTTCTGGAGGATTTCCTAGAGTTGGAGAACATGGAATAATTAGGAAGGGGCATCTGATCCTTGAGGTCAATTTGGAAGAATTGAGGGAGCTACCTACCCTCAATTCAGTGTTTCCTGAATGTGGTTCATTGACTTGTAAAGAGGAGACATTTTGATATATCATTGTAAGAGAGCAAGTCAAGGTGAAACACTCAATTGAATGGTAATTGCTTGGGAAGAGAAGAAGGGTCAAAGTGGTTGAACTTAATGATGCAAAAAGAATGATCATGAGAAGATAATTATAAATGGAGTGAGAGATGTTAGGCAAAGGTGAGGGACTTCAAGTCAGCTATAAAGAAAATGATTAGAAACCTATTCTTGGAAGCAGATGTCCATCAGAGTGAGAAACAGAGACCATAAAGGAATATCTTCAAGCTTCTCGATTTTTAACAATGTGCATATGTTTTGTTTTCCATATATTTACGTATTACTGAGTATAGAAATGATTTTTGTCAAGACCAAGTGGTAAGGACTTGGTTGTTATAAAATAAGATTGTCAGATTTAGCAAATGAAAAATTCCATGTGATTTTTGGGATCTACTTAGAGTAAAATAATTACTCATTTTTCATCTGTGATTCAAATTTAACTGGGTCGCCTATATTTTATCTGGCAGTGTTAGTATAAACCTGTGTAAGGAAAGGCACCAGCCCCTGCTAGATGAAGGTTTGCTGGGGAAAGGAACAGTCTCTGGGATACTATCCAGCTTCAACTCTCCTTTATAGAAGGCCCTTCATGGTAACACAGCACTCACTATTATAAAACCATCTGGCAGGGCTGGGTGTGGGCCCCGCCTAGAGGTGAGCAATGGCTGTAATTGATTTTCTGCTTCTGAGTTTACGTTGCCCAATGCCCAGTTCTCAGGGATAGGTCAAAGCAGAAGACCTCTGTGAGTGGGAACAAGTTTCTTTAAACAAGAAACAAGTTTCTTTTATCATATACAACTGAGCACAAATTATTCATGTTTTCGAGACTGTGAAAGGTAGAAATGGAAGAAGATATTGTTACCACGTCAGAAGAATGGGAGATGAGAAGAATTCTTTCTCTCTCTCCGTCAGATGCCAGTAAGCAATCGGACTATCAAACATCTCCAGACATTGCCAAATGTCCCTGCGGGGATAGGGGAAGGGTGTGTAAAATACCTGATTGAGAATCACTGGCTTACAATATCAGGCATCATCCTAGACACTCAGCCTCTCCTCCTCAACAAGCCTTTAAGGTAGACGGTTTAAATATAAGGACAGGAAATGTCAAATGACTTACCCAGAATCTCACGGATAATCATTATGGGATTTGAACTTTAAACCTAGGTCTTTCTTATTCCACTACGTCTCCACACTGCCATATAACACACAGTTCCAACACCAAAGGAACTTCAGAGCTATCTGGAGAGGTGTGATGTGAACCAAGTAAGTTTCAGTGTGTTCCCTGGAGAATGAGTGATGTGAGCACTCAGAAGAGAGAGCTAACAGTGGGAGGGAAGTCAGGGAACGTGTCCTGCACAGATTAGAATGTTCTTTGCATATTTGTGGGCAAACAGTGAGTTTGTGCAGAGAAGTGGCAGGAAGTAAGATCCGGACAGATAGCATTGGGTAGCAATTAAGAGTAAGCACTGGTTCCAGGTAGACTCTCAGATCCAGCTCCTCTACTTATTAGTTGTGTGACCATGAGCTACTTAGATAATCTTGTCCAGTTTCATTGCCTGTAAAATGGGTTGCTGTAATAATAGTACATATTCTAAGATTGTAATAGGGATTTAATGACCTAATACATAAAAGGCTTACAACAGGTCTTGGCATCCTGTATGTGTTCAATACATGCTAGCTACTTAGTACTTGGTTCTGTTGGACTTCAAATAGAGTTTAGAATCTATATTGTAAATAATGGCAGCTTTTGAATCAAGACCTGCAAAGATGTTCCAGAGGCACCACAATCCCCCTTCCTGTGTGCACTGGAAGATCACAAATTAGTATATCTTTGGATCAGAAACCATTCTCCGGTTCCATGAACTGTTCTGTTCCTGGGGAACTATGTCAAATGGTTCAGCCCCTCTGTGGTGGCTTTGGGTTTGAAGCATTTTGTTTGTTTGGTTGGTTGGTTTTTTTCTTTGAGACGGAGTCTCACTCTGTTGCCCAGGCTTGAGTGCAGTGGCGCAATCTCGCCTCACTGCAACCTCCGCATCCCGGGTTCAAGTGATTCTCCTGCCTCAGCCTCCCGAGTAGCTGGGATTACAGGCGTGCACCACTGCACCCAGCTAATTTTTTGTATTTTTAGTAGAGACAAGGTTTCACCATGTTGGCCAGGCTGGTCTTGAACTCCTGACTTCAGGTGATCTGCCCACCTCGGCCTCCCAAAGTGCTGGGATTAGAGGCGTGAGCCACCACGCCTGGCCAGGTTTGAAGCATTGAGGACATCTTCCCAACAGAGCTGCGAAGAGGGAAAGAGACATGGGCATCTGTTCAGACGTCATTCACTCATCCATCCATTCAATCAACATTTACTGAATACCTTTTTAATTCTGGGCATCATGTTTCCATTAACTACATCTGGAACACCAATAAGTCACCACCCCGTCTGTGTGTCAGCTGAAAGTTGATTGGATAGAATTGTCATTGTTTAGTTTCAGGACAATTCAAAGTTATATTTGTGGATTGTGTCAGAATCCTGAGGTTTCTTCTCATGCTTTGCTTGGTGCCACTGCTGGGCCTTGTGTTTGTGGAGAGCTGGTGGCCCTGGATGTGGTCGGGGATCTTCTCCTGGGAATTTCCGCTTTCTTCCTTTCTTCAGCTTTTTACAGCTGCATAAGGTTTAGATCTGTTAGCAAACACTTGTATAATTATGCCCCTCTCTGTTTACAGATTTAGGATAAATTGTCCTAATGGGAAAATATCTGTCCTTTAGAGTAATTTGGATCAAGGCTTTTTATTTTTTGTTTGTGTCTGGTTCACTTGCCTTTCTAAAAATCATTTTGCTGTCTGTTTCACTCATGAATCATCTATTGTTGATATACAACAGCACTCAATAAACCTCGTTAAAAATCTTGTCTTGATCTAAAAGTAGTTGACATTGGGGAAATATGTGACCCATCCATATGCTGTCTCATAGATACTGAATTGAAGGAAACATTGGATTATTGTAAGGCTCTTTGGGGACATCTGATAAGAAGCCCACAGAAATGACAAGCCAGAGGTCTGTGCTGAGCTGTGACATGAGTCTCTGTTCTGTAGGGTGGGGTTTGTTAAAGTTGTCAGGAATAAGGCCTACTTTAAAAGATACAAAATGAAATTTAGAAGACGACAAGAGGGTAAAACCGATTACTATGCTAAGAAACGCTTGGTGATAGAGGATAAAAATAAGTACAACACACCCAAATACAGGATGAGAGTTCGCGTAACAGAGATATCATTTGTCAGATTGCGTATGCCCATGTAGAAGGGGATATGATAGTCTGCACAGCTTATGCACACACTGCCAAAATTTGGTGTGAAGGTTGGCTGACAAATTCTGCTGCAGCATATTGTACTGGCCTGCTGCTGGCTCGGAGGCTTTTCAGTAGGTTTGGCATGGGCAAGATCTAGGAATGCCAAGTGGTGGTGACTGGAGATGAATACAATGTGGAAAGCATTGATGGCCAGCCCGGTGCCTTTACCTGCTATTTGGATGCAGGCCTTGCCAGAACTACCACTGACAATACAGTTTTGGAGGCCCTGAAGGAAGCTGTGAATGGAGGCTTGTCTATCCCTTGCAGTACCAGACGATTCCCTGGTTATGATTCTGAAAGCAAGGAACTTAATGCAGAAGTTAATGCATTGGAAGCACATCACGTGTCAGAATGTTGCAGATTACATGCGTTACCTAATGGAAGATGAAGATGCTTACCAGAAACCATTCTCTCAATACATAAAGAACAGCATAACTCCAGACATGATGGGGATGTATAAGAAGGCTCATGCTGCTATGCAAGAGAATCCAATCTATGAGAAGAAGCCTAAGAAAGAAGTTGAAAAGCAGAGGTGGAACTATCCCAAAATGTCCCTTGCCCAGAAGAAAGATCAGGTAGCTCAAAAGTAGGCAAGCTTCCTCAGAGCTCAGGAGCGGGCTACTAAGACCTAAACCAAACAATTTTCTATGAAGATTTTTCAGATAAAGACAATCAACTTATTTACTAAGCAGCTGAAGAAAAGGAAACAGGAAATGACCGACCAGAGCCTTGACCACCATGCTGGAAAACCTCATTTCAGTTCATGTGTCTTAAGGCATCACAGTCAAGAAGCATTTGTATTCATTCATTCCACAGTCAAACCTACTATATGCAAAGTTAGATTACAGCTGAATAATTAAATGTATAAAGGTGAACCTTGATTTGAATTCTTCAGCTTTGTGGGAGATAGCAATGCACCCTCCCTATCAGAAAGTGAACTTGGGGCCTGGCGCCGTGGCTCACGCCTGTAATCCCAGCACTTTGGGAGGCTGAGGTGGGCAGATCACCTGAGGTCAGGAGTTTGAGACCAGCCTGGCCAACATGGTGAAACCCCGTCTCTACTAAAAATACAAAAACCAGCCAGGTGTGGTGGTGGGCACCTGTAATCCCAGCTACTCAGGAGGCTGTGGCAGGAGAATTGCTTGAACCCGGGAGGCAGAGGTTGCAGTGAGCCAAGATCGTGCCATTGCACTCCAGCCTGGGCGACAGAGTGAGACTGTCAAAAAAAAAGAAAAAAGAAAATGGGCCGGGCACGGTGGCTCACACCTGTAATCCCAGCACTTTGGGAGGTCTAGGTGGGCAGATCACGAGATCAGGAGATTGAGAACATCCTGGCTAACACGGTGAAACCCCGTCTCTACTAAAAATACAAAAAATTAGCCAGGCGTGGTGGCAGGCGCCTGTAGTCCCAGGTACTAGGGAGGCTGAGGCAGGAGAATGGCGTGAACCCAGGAGGTGGAGCTTGCAGTGAGCCGAGATCTTGCCACTGCACTCCAGCCTGGGCGACAGAGCGAGACTCCATCTCAGAAAATGAACTTGGTCCTTCCTTTCCTCTGTTTTGCTGGGAAAAGATGATTATTTCCCCAGGCAATGTAAACCTGTGTACAGCTTGCTTTTCAGTCAGTTTGGCCAATAAGCATGAATGCTTCTTTTTGCAGTGTTTCCTCCCTCTGAATAGCTAAAAATACCTAATGATAAGAGGCAGTGGTGTAATGATTACGCACACCCTTTTGAGTCAGACCAAATGGGTTTGAATTAGGACTCCAGCATTTATTAGCCGTGTTACTTAACCTCTTTGTGACTCAGTTTCCTTGTGTTAGAATAAGACTAATAATTATACCCACTTCACAGGGCTACTGCAAAAAAATGAGATAATCTAAATAAAGTACTTAGCACAGTGCCCAATATAATTATAGTAAGAGCTTAATAAGTCATAGCTATTATTATCATTATCATCATCAACTAATTATTTAAACACATTAAAAAGCAATACGTCCCGTACACAGAACAGGAGCGAAGCTATGAAATACACTTACCAGGCTGGGCGAGGTGGCTCACGCCTGTAATCCTAGCACTTTGGGAGGCGGAGGTGGGTGGATTACTTGAGGTCAGGAGTTCGAGATCTGCCTGACCAACATGGTGAAACTCTGTCTCTATTAAAAATACAAAAATTAGCCAGGTGTGGTGGCGTGCGCCTGTAATCCCAGCTACTATGGAGGCTGAGGCAGGAGAATTGCTTGAACCCGGGAGGCAGAGGTTGCAGTAAGCCGAGATTGCGCCACTGCCCTCCAACTTGGGTGATGGAGTGAGACTCCATCTCTCTCTCTCTCTCTCTCATATATATATACATATATATATATATATACACATATATATATATACATATATATATATACATATATATATATACACATATATATATATACATATATATATATACACATATATATATATACATATATATATATACACATATATATATATACACACACACGTATATACTCATATATACACGTATATATATATACGTGTATATATAAGTATATATATGTGTATATATAAGTATATATACGTGTATATATAAGTATATATACGTGTATATATGTGTGTGTATATATATAAGTATATATGTGTATATATGTATATATAAGTATATATATAAGTATATATGTATATATAAGTATATATGTGTATATATATAAGTATATATATATATATATACACACACACACACACACATATATATACTTATCATCTAGTTAATGTCCACAGTTGGGCATATTTTTAGCGATGCCCATCCCAATAAGGAAAACAAAGGTCCGATGTTTTGAGAGAACATTACATTCTCATGGCACCTTGTTTGTGAGTTAGGGAACACAGGGGTTCAGGATCTTTACTCCCACATATGATGGAATAACAGTGGAACGCTATAGTTCTAGAAGGGAATAGAAGGCGTTTTCTAGCCTCACTTCTGCTTAAACATGCAAAACTATCACTTAGGATGGAGTCTGATAGATGGAGATTGCACAGTGTTATCAGATGAGACTATTCTAAGGTGAAGTCAGTTACCATTAGCATTAAGCAAGTCGTCTTTACATTGTACCCAAATTCTTTTTTTTTTTTTTTTTTTTGAGACGGAGTCTTGCTCTTTCACCCAGGCTGGAGTACAGTGGCGCCATCTCGTCTCACTGCAACCTCCGCCTCCTGGGTTCAAGCGATTCTTCTGTCTCAGCCTCCCGAGTAGCTGGGACTACAGGTGCATGCCACCATGCCTGGCTAATTTTTTGTATTTTTAGTAGAGACGGAGTTTCGCCGTGTTAGCCAGGATGGTCTTGATCTCCTGACCTCGTGTTCCACCCGCCTTGGTCTTCCAAAGTGCTAGGATTACAGGTGTGAGCCACTGTGCCTGGCCTCCCAAATTCTAAAGTTGTATTTTGAGTCTCTTACCTCTTATGTCCTCTGTAGAGATGATGAACAGCTGGTCGGTATCCTCTTTATAATAACCCTTCAAGTAGGAAAAGGCTGTTAAGTTTGCCTTTAGGCACTTTTTTTTCACTCTAGACTAAACAACTCCAAATCCTTTAACTTCCCCTCATAAGTTCTATTTTCTGTCTCTTTAATCATTTAGGTTCTCCTTTGGAACCTTTCCAGTGTCTCCACATCTTCCTTAAAATAAGAGGCATCAGATTGGACATACCCCCACCCCCCACAACCCACCAGTAAGAGTCTGTCTGCTGTCAAATTCTTTATTATGGGGTAGGGAGAAGGGGGGCACTTCCTTTTCCTGTCAAACTCCCACCAGCGTGAATTCACCCCAGCACTGCATTGCCTATTTCTTATCAGTGCAATATGCAGATTCCTATTAAATGCATGATCTGCTGTGATCCTCACCTCTTTGTCAGTTTTTCTTGAATCTAGACATTAAGCCCCATTTGTGCCTGTCATTTTGATCATCACCCCTGAGGATACCACTTTGAAATCAGCCATCATGCTGAACTCTAAACTGTTTTTAATGAACCATTTCCTTAATGTGTGGAAGCTACTTTGGATTCTGTTAACGTATCAGCAGTTCCCACTCAAATTAATGTTATTTGTAGACTCTGGGTATGCATATAGCAATTTCAAGTATTATTTAAACCAGACCCAAGACAAAATCGTAGACCACATGCTAAGCACCCCTTTGTTTACTGGGCCATTGATCTCTTTTCCAGTCAGCAGTGAAACCTCAGTTAGGGAAAAGACGCACCAGATCATATCTTTCTGGCCTGCTGATGAGAATGGCATATGGATGCAAAAGCTTTCCTGAAATTAAGGTATTAGGCAGATGTGGTCACATTTTTTTTTTTCCCCTGAGATAGAGTCTTGCTCTCTTGCCCAGGCTGAAGTGCAGTGGTGGGATCTCGGCTCACTGCAACCTCCGCCTCCTGGGTTGAAGTGATTCTCGTGCCTCAGCCTCCTGAGTAGCTGGGATTACAAGTACCCACCACCACACCTGGCTAATTTTTATGTTTTCAGTAGAGACGGGGTTTCACCATGTTGGGCAGGCTGGTCTTGAGCTCCTGACCTCGTGATCCGCCTGCCTCGGCCTCCCAAAGTGCTGGAATCACAGGCGTGAGCCACCGTGTCTGCCGTGTGGTCCCATTTTCAATTCCCAGCACTTACGTGCCCCAGACTGAGCTGAGGCAACAAAGATGAGGATGGGGGCAGAATATTTCTTTGCATTATACTTAAAACCATACATTTATTTTTATTATTTATTTATTTTATTTATTTTTGAGACTGAGCATTGCTGTGTCGCCCAGGCTGGAGTGCAGTGGCGCAGTCCGGGCTCACTGCAACCTCTACCTCCTGGGTTCAAGCTATTCTCTTTCCTCAGCCTCCCAAGTAGAGTAGCTGGGACCACAGGCGCGTGCCATCACGCCTGGCTGATTTTTGTATTTTTAATAGAGATGGGGTTTCACCATGTTGGCCAGGCTGCTCTCAAACTTCTGACCTCAAGTGATCCAACTACCTTGGCCTCCCAAAGTGCTAGGATTACAGGCATGAGCCACCACGTGCCTGGACTTTATTATGTATTTATTTTATGTTTTTGAGTTGGAGTCTCACTCTGTAGCCCAGGCTGGAGTGCAGTGATGGGATCTCGGCTCACTGCAACCTCTGCCTTCCGGGTTTAAGCAATTCTCCTGCCTCAGCCTCCCAAGTAGCTGGGATTACAGGTGCCCACCACCACACTCAGCTAATTTTTGTATTTTTAGCAGAGATGGGGTTTCACCATGTTGGTCAGGCTGGTCTCGAACTCCTGACCAAAAGTGATCCACCCACCTCGACCTCCCAAAGTGTTGGGATTACAGGCGTGAGCCACTGCGCCTGGCCCATACATTTACTTTAAACAGCATTGATGTACACATCATCAATTATGTACCTGGATTGAAGGAGTGGAGAAAGAAGCTAAAACATTGGGAAACTGTTGTGGAAAAAACACTCAGAAAGGAAGCAAAGGAGCACTTCTCAAATTATTATTAGAAAATTATTCAATTTGAACTTAATTCCCATAAAACTTATAGGATGCTAATGAAAGACTACCACTTCCTGGCAGAAGAGTGGGAAAAGGGAAGGGGGTGGAGCCAGCATTCACTGAGACCCTTATAATATGTGTAAGCCAGACACTTTGTGTTAGAGAATTCTAATACCCTTGGTTTTTTCTGAAATCATCAGCCTAATTTGCTTTGACCCAGGAATTGCGATGTTTGGAGGACTGGTCTACAAAGCTTGTTCTCACTGGGCACATGTAGTGTTCTCCTAAACTCCATGAGGTATTGTTGGTTGCAGTACCCAAAACTTCTTGAAATAAATCTTATCCTGGGGTTCTGTTTCCTTTTGGTTCTTCCGAAGGAGGAATACCATGACCTGACACTCCTTGCCTGTTTCTGGGTTGGCTGTTGTGCCCACCTGAATGAAGCAACTAGGGGTAATTCCAGGACTGGTAATGATGATAATTATTTACTATGTGCTCTGGGGCTGCTTCTGAGAGTGGGCAGATTTCCAGCCCAGGCTTGACATGGGTTGGCCCCTCCTGGGCTTTAATTACCCATTCCGGTGGCAGTAATGGTACTGGAATTGAAGCTTTCTTTTGCCTCCTCCATTATAATTAATTGCTTCGAATTCCACCAGATCTGTCCGTTGCAAAGCTCATTTACTTTTAGGGGCTGCTGGATGCCCACAACCAGAGCTTAGAGCCAGAGGGGTGGAGTGGGACTGGGGTGTGACTTAACCTGAACCCCAAGGAGTGGAGTGTGTGCCTGCCTGTGCAAGTCCCGGGAGGGAGGCCCAGGGCTTGAGTGAGTTTGTTTGCACTGAGATTGGTGCCATCAACCTCAGGAGCTCTCCATTCCTCTAGCTCAGGTCCCTGGGAGCTCCACCCTGGGTGCCTTTTGAAGCCAGGTGAAATGTGTTTTGAGCAGACGTTCCATAAAGGCTTGAGGTTTGGCACCAGTGACGCTTTTACTTTTCAACAAGTGTCAGGAGTGGAAAAATGGAAGAGAATACAGCTGAAGTTTTGAAAAGCAATGAAATGTGGGGTGACTCCCCCTCCCGCTGCCAGCCCCCCTCCCCTGCTTTAAGAAAAGCAAACACTCTTTTCCTGTCTTATTTGTGTTCCCATTAATTTAAGACAGGAAGCCTCAGTGGGTGTGATGTAAACAATTCGGCCTCGTGGGTCGGGCTTCCTCATCAGTTTGCAGCTGGAGCGATGGCTGCAGGGCCCAGGCCCACTCAGGCCTCCTGGGGGAGGGCTTGTTGACTGAACCCCACAGAAGGTGGGAGGGGTAGGGGAGCGGGAGAAGGTATAAAGGAAATGCTTCAGTCGTGCAGTCACCGGCGATTGTAATTCAGCGGTGTTAACTTTGGTTACTCCAGCCGAAAGGCTCTGACCGGGGATTTCTGGAAAGTTCCCTGACATCCTGCCCCATACGATGGTTGTGATTTTAGCTGGGGGCTCCACCCCTGTAAGAACTCAGGCTGCCGCGGATTATGAAACGGAGTGGTCATGAAGTGAATTGATGTGGGAAGGTGGAGCTTCTTGCAATGGCTCGGAGGGAGAACTTTTGGTGCAAACGAGGGTCTAGGGTAGGGCGCTTTTTCCTCTAACCTGCTCCAGGTTTGCCCCAGGAAGCTCCTGAGCCCTCGGTGTAAACAAAGGTGTCTGGATGAGAAGCCCCAAACTCCCTGAAATCCTCCCCAGGGCGGTTTCCTTTTCCCGGCGAGGGGAGTGACCGGGGAGGGGATCTTGGAATGCCGTGGGGTTTTGACAAGTGAGCAGGGGAGTGGCGAGCCGAGTTTAGGATTGCATTACAGGCTTTTCCTAACCTCCTCCACCGCGGCGCGGAGGGAGGAGGGGGGGGTCCTCCCACAGACCTGGAGCCGGCGGAGAGCAGCCTTCGGGAAGTCCTGCAGGAGCCGCGTTCCAGGAGGGCAGCTGGCAGCCGCCCCAGGCCCCCGGGCCGCCTGCAGGTGATTAGGCTAATGAGCTGCCCCGGGGGCGCGGAGACCGGCCTGGCGAGCGGATTACCCGGCGCCCAGCTGCTGCCGGCGGAGACTCCCAGGAGCTCCGGAGAGGAACCCTCCGAAGGTGACTTCAGAACTGGAGGTAGGAAATCGGCTTCTCAGGCGAAAGCCTCAGGTTTTCTGATCTGATCCAGGTCGGGTGCAGACTGGGGCTGAATCCACAAATGTGGAGATTTAGCCACAGCCTCGGAGGCGCGGAGCGGCCACCTAAGCGTCTGCCCTTCTCGTCTCCCGGATCACTGGGGTGTGTTGTTTTTAAAGTGGGGGATTTGCGTGTTGAGAGACGGTTTGTGTTCCTCGGGAGGAGTAAGTGACTTGGAGCTGGTTTGTCAATGGCTGGACGGAAGGAGGCGCCCCGGCTGTGTGTGACGGGCAGGGAAGGGGTGCCCAGAGGGGACAGGTAATAGGGGGTTCCGGAGCCACGGCGGTTTCAGAACCTTGGGGCCTGTGCCGTTGAAGCCCCGGTAGGGGCGGGGGGCATGGCAGCAGCCCGGGAAATCTGTCATACTGTCCCCCATCCCTCGCTAGCAGCAGAATGACTGAGACGGAGCAAAGCTGCTTTCTCTACCCGCGGGAACTGTGGATGATTTCACAAGAAGTCGTGATGGCATTTGGAGACAGATCTTTGCCCCCAAATTACTAAACAGCCTGCTTGGACAACAGCCCCACCACTGATTCCCAAAATGTTTTGATCATAGGATCCACAAATCAAAGATATTTAAAGATGCAGGATGTTTGGAAAGAGAATGGCATTTTCTGTCCTGTAGCTCCTCTCTACTAGGTAGTTGATAAACACCAGAAGTGAAATGAAGTCAGTCTTGTCTCATGAGATGGAGGGAAAGAAGGCGGTAACTACAGCTGTCATCCTGGGAACCATGTCTGGGAGAAAAAGACTGTGAATGTAAACAGTAAACAAATGCTTTTCATAGAAATAGGCCAGGCTGAGTTTGGTATCATAAGGGGATATAATAAACTCTAAATAATATAGACATATCTTTAAATACATACAAAATAATATTTTCAGAGTTTGCACTCTTACACTGTTTTGTAACTCTCAATTCAACTTTGCAGGTGAATTGCAAGGGCCTCATCTCGTCCCCAGCTGCTAATCTGGCCATTGAATGCTAACCTGTAGGCCTCCGTGGCTCCTTTTGCTGAGATGTTAATGGAGTTGAGAGGATACGGGACCCACCCACAGTTAATCCAGGATCTTCAGTCAAACCCAAGGCCCCTGGGTGCAGCTGCAGGACTCACAGACAGGATGGCCTCTGGGGAAAGAGGCCTGTGTCAGGTCTTAAGGAAGAAAAAGAGTTCTCAGAGCGGGCCACAAACAAAAGAAACAAGAAAGGGAAAGTGATGGGGTTCGGAATCGAAGTGAATTTAAGGCTTATCTGGGCCCTCACCCTCTCTGAGCCTGCATTGCTGGGTGTAATTGCCAGCCTCCCTCTTATCTAGAGTGAAGGAAAGATGGTCTAAGAGCAGCAAAGTCACCAAACTGCCTTTCTGCCTCCTCACGTCCCTAAATTTCCCAGCGGCGCACCTGGCACGTAGTAGCGCTTCCCTTGAGCCTCTGTTCCTGCTAATCTCTGTCACACTTAGGGATGGTGTCGTTGAAGAGAATGGTGAGTCCATTGCACTGTTTCCTGGGACATCAAGGTCGCTTACCTGCTCTCCCCTTTTGCCTTCTTCATCGTCTTCTGTTTCCCAGAGGTTTGGCCAAGTGCTTGTTGCTCTGCCCTCCAGAGGGTGGGTGCTTCCTGATTTTACTGGATTTTCATTCCGGAATCAGACTTATAGCGTGAGCTTCCCTCCTTATCAAAACTATATATATATATATATATATATATATAACTTTAAAAAGTCAAATATGTCTACAAGGCTTATAACTAGGGACAGTACTCACTCACCTTACCTCTTACCAACTTCCAGTTCTTTGTCTTTTCTAGAGGCGTGGTCTTGTTATGTTGCCCTGGCTGGTCTCAAACTCTTGGGCTGCCTCAGCAAACCTCCTGCCTCAGCCTCCCAAAGTGCTGGGATCATAGGCGTGAGTCACCACACTCAGCCTCAACTTCCACTTCTGTGCCCCAGAGACAACCATTTTCAACTCTTTGCACTTATTTCTAGTTAGCAAGTACATACTGCCCACTGGGTCCCTCCCTCATGAGAACTCTGTCCTCCTCCGCTTGCCGCTCTTGAGGCCAGTTGCACATCCATCATTGTGGGGTCTCCTCTCACTGTTATTATGAGAATTTATTTTGCTGATTTCTCATGTAGCATCCCGTGTGTTTTAGACCCCATGTCTTCCTTTTTCTTTACATTCTTTTGCTGGTAAAATACACCTTCCAGAAGTTCCTGAGAAAGAGGACATGGGAGGCAAGTTTTTTGAGATCCTCCAAGGTTGACATAGGTTGCATGGAGTAGGAACTCTAGGTTGGAAATCCCTTTCTCTCAGAAGTTAGAAAGCATTGCTTTTCTAGATTTCAGAATTGCCATTGAGATGTGTGGTGTCATTCTAAAGGCTTATGCTTTGAATGGATATCCCCTCCTGAAAGTTCTTAGGATTTCCTCGTCATCCTCTAATATTCTCTCTGTTGTCATGAAGTTTCATTGTAAGACTTGGTGTGAGTCTTTTCCCATCCATTTTACTAGGCTTCCAGTGGGCTTTCTCAATCTAGAAACTCTGCCCTTCCATTCTGAACAGTTTGCTAGAGTTTTGTTGGTTTCGTGTGTGTGTATTTTTATTTTTATTTATTTATTTTGGAGATGGAGTCTCGTTGTCACCCAGGCTGGAGTGCAGTGGTGCGATCTCAGCTCACTGCAACCCCTGTCTCCCGGGTTCAAGTGATTCTCCTGCCTCACACCCCGAGTAATTCGGACTACAGGCATGCACCACCACACCCAGCTAATTTTTGTATTTTTAGTAGAGACGGGATTTCACTGTGTTGGCTAGGCTGGTCTCGAACTCCTGAACTCAGGTGATCTGCCCGTCTTGGCCTCCCACAGTGCTAGGATTACAGGTGTGAGCCACCGCACCTGGCCTTTTTTTGTGTGTTTTTAGTAGAGGCGGGGTTTCACCATGTTGGCCAGGCTGGTCTCGAACTCCTGACTTCAGGTGATCCGCCCATCTTGGCCTCCCAAAGTGCTGGGATTATAGGCATGAGCCACCGTGCCCAGCCAGTTTCCTAGAGTTTAAAAACAAAAAAATTCCTTCCTTCTCCTCTGGGACACCCAGTTAATTGGAAGGAGACCCGCATGGATTGACTCTCGAATTTTCTTACTTAAACCTCCTTTGCAAAAATTAGTACAGCTATGATAGTGAAAGAGATGTGATCTGACTCCATCTTGCTTCTAACCTCCAGGTTGTCCTGATTCATTCCTGAGTGTAGGCCAAACTAACTTTGGGAGGAACTTAGTTTATAGTTTAACTTTGAAACAAAGATGATTACAGCCCTTTCCCAAAACAAATCTCCTTATTGCCTGGGGACCAGACTGCCTTTGTAGGACTAACAAATTAGCCATAAGATTTGCAGCTTGATAACATCACTATTGTAGAACCTAAGGTTGGCCTTTTGAGATGTCTTTTCAGGTTTTTGCATTTCTCTTTTCCTTCCTTCATCCCTCCCTCCCTCCCTTCCTCCCTTCCTCTTTATGAGATGGAGTCTCCCTCTGTTGCCCAGGCTGGAGTGTAGTGGCATGATTTCAACTCACTGCAACCTCTGCCTCCCGGGTTCAAGTGATTCTTGTGCCTCAGCCTCCCAAGTAGCTGGGACCACAGGCATGCATCACCTTGCCCAGCTAATTTTTGTATCTTTAGTAGAGTCGGGGTTTCACCATGTTGCCCAGGCTGGCCTTGAACTCCTGACCTGAAGTGATCCGCCTCAGCCTCCCAAAGTGCTGGGATTACAGATGTGAGCCCCCGAGCCCAGCCAAGGTTTTTGCATTTCTGACAACTAGTGGCTTCACCTAGACCTGCCAAGTGGTCCTGTGGCCCCACCCAGAAGTGGACTCAGCATGAGGACCATTTTCCACACCCCTATGATTGAATCCCCAACCAATCAGCAGCACCCATTCCCTAGCCACTCCCTCCCCCAAACTATCCTTAAAAAAACATAGCCTTCAAATTTTCAGAGAGACTGATTTGAGTCATAAAACCCCCCATTCTCTTGGCTGGCTCTGTGTCAATTAAACCTTCTCTATTGCAATTCCCCTGTCTTGATAAATTGGCTCTATCTGGGCAGCAGGCAAAATGAACCTGTTGGGTGGTTACATTACCCTTTTTCTTATACTTTCTATCTCCTTTTAAAAAAAACATTTCTACTTCCTGGGAAATTTCCTCATTTTTGTCTTCCAACCCATATGTTCAGTTTTTATGTCTGTCATCATATTTGTAATTCCCAAGAAAGCCTTAAAAATATCTGAAATTTTCTTTTTATAACCTCCTGTTACTGTTTCTTGGATGAAAAGCTTCTCAATTCTCTGTAGATCTCAATTACAGCTATCTTTGAAGCATTTCTCTACTCCCTGCACTCTTTGTTTCCTCTGATTGCTAGTTTTTTGTTTGTTTGTTTGCTTTTGGTTTTTAATCACTTCCACATTAAAGGCTTTCTTCAAATGTCTGATGATCCTTGACTGATCACTCACTAAAAAGCTAACTGGAAGGTCTACATAGATGAAATATACCCAAGAATAGTTCCTTCTTACTAAGAAGGAGGCATAGAACAATGTCTCAGAATCTAGAACAATGCCTGGCACACACTAACCTTTCCATACATGTAATATTTGCTGAGTAACTGAATGACATACACTCTTGCTGGGGCCCCGGGTAGTTGCCAGTATTAAAAGCTCTCAGGTGATTGAAATCTGCGGCTAGCACAGAGGACCTCTGCTGTAGGATTAGCTCATTGGTGGTTTCATTGGAGGATTCACACCTGATAGTGGAAAGTCTTTGTTCTCTGGAGAAACTGGGTGAAGAGAAATCCCCTACACTGAGGGGAGTTGGTTGGCTGCAGTGTTCTGGGAACCAGATGAGAAGGAGACTTGAAGTCTAACTATTTGGTATGATGACTGTCTTATTCACCTGTTTTTTCGCCCCTGCCTCAGCTATACCTGGTGTCACTGAGTCCAGAGTTGCCGAGACACAGCAGAGCACACAGATTGCAGAATTTCAGCCTTCACTTGGTACCTAGGGCCAAGGTGATTTAGGGTCCCTTCCGCCTCAGTGCATGTTGCCCCCAATTCCAGAGGCGCTCTAGGGCATAAATCCCAAACTGGCTTTCCACACTGCTGTGCTAGGTTTTCACTTTCTCCCACCTGCTAAGTTACCACTAGTTTGTCTACATTCCAGCTTCCAAAATTGTGTTGCAATCATTGTTTCTCCTGTTCTCTGTATCTTTGAGAGGCTAGCAATCCTCCCTTTACCCTCACTCATGTCAGACCATTGTGTTTACTGGCAAATGAGTCTCCCTGCCTGATGTCCCAACTTTGCCCCAGAACCCTCCTCTCAGTTTCTCCTTCTGTTGCAGGTGCCCACTCGGGGCCACATTTCAGGTAGGCTACATCGAACTTTCATCTCAGCAGTAGTCATTAAAAACCAGCCGCTGAAGAATGGTGGCTGTTGGTCATTCCTGTTGGCATGGTAGCGTCTTCTTCATTGGATCATTATGCTGCTGCTTCTGTACGGAGTATTGGGCAGAAGGCATTTCTGAACATATTTGATGCTATGACTTATCAGGGTTCTGTCTGTGTGGATAACTGTACAGCACATTAACTTTGAAATATGTCCATTTCCTTCTTTGGCCCTCAGTAGCAGCCCATTGCGTGGTGGTGTGGTCAGGTGGACATGGAAGCATTGTTCTCTGAGATGATTAGCCCATTCAGGTCACATATCTCCATTCCATGCCCCAGAGACAAGCATAGGAAAGAGCTCGCTATCAAAGGCTAAGCAATAAAGAGTAAAGGAAAGTCTGTCGTGGAGTTTCTAGGGAAGGTATGCCCACTACCAAGAAAAAGACGCAAAATAGATGGCCCTTTTGCTTTCTCCCTGTGTTGCTGTGTAAACTGGCATAGGCATCTTGTCTCCAGCCTTAGGATGCAGCCACTGTGCAGGAGAGAGTAAGTAGCAGGTCCCAGAGAAGCACAGCTCAGAGCCCCACCCTTCCTCTGCACTTCCTGGCATGTGAGATGATTAATTTTCTCCCTGTTTAAGCCACTTTGAGTCAGGGTTTGATATCATTTGCTGCCAAAGTGATACAGGTGGAGATTTATTTATGCATCGCTTATCTCCAAAAAGAGTTGAGGCAGACCGTGGGCTCACTCAGATTTGAGCTGCCCGATTCCTCTTCTGATTCTCATTCTGATTCCAAGTAGAATTCCTCTCTACTCTATTTTCTAGGCAGATGAAAGTAATTTTATTCTTTCTTCCAACTTCAAAGGAAGGAATAACTATTGAGACATTTGGGGAAAAGGGGGAGTTCCTTGCTTTGGAGATTGCCGGCTGAACCCAGGGAGCAAACATCCTGGGCTGTCACTGAAGTGAGGACTGCTTTTAAATGACACAGCACTGAAGACACTTCATGCTTCTGCTTGTGAAAAGCCAAGCACTAGTTTTCACTCCCTCCTAGGACTGTGGAGGCTGAAAGGTCTGCCTGCAGACTTGGTATGGTTTCTTCCGTCTTCCACCCTTTGTGCCTCCCAGACTTTGGGAAGTTTTGAAGATGAAACAAGCTCCGGAAGTGCTTGGTGGTGTCAGGAAGACCAGAATACAGGAGAAAGTACCCTGTTTGTTCCTGTATTTTCCGGTCTGACTCAAGTAGCAATGATGTACTCTATTTTTATGAATGGAAGGCCTTCAAAGCCTGTTCTATACTATATAAATGTATGCCTTATACTATATAGTTCATCATTATATCCTGAACACCCTACACCATCTGTGATATACAATTGGTATTCAAACATTATTGTGAATGAACAACACAAGGATTGCTCATGTTAATAGACTCAATGTTTTTTTTTTGGGTTTTTTTTTTTTTTTTTTTTTTGAGATGGAGTCTCGCTCTGTTGCCTAGGCTGGAGTGCAGTGGCACAATCTCAGCTCACCCCAACATCCACCCCAGGGTTCCAACGATTCTCCTGCCTCAGCCTCCCAAGTAGCTGAGACTACAGGTGTGCTCCACCACACCCGGCTAATTTTTTTATTTTTAGTAGAGATGGGTTTTGCCATGTTGGCCAGGCTGGTCTCAAACTCCTGACCTCAGATGATCCACCCGTCTCGGCCTCCCAAAGTGCTGGAATTACAGGCATGAGCCACCATGCCAGGCCCAGACTCATTAATTTTAATGGCAGCATATTTTCCCATTGAGTTGAAGGACCATAATTTGCACACCTATATCCCCAGGACTGGACATTTAAGTAGTATGGGCTAGAATATCTGAGACATGCGGTCATTAATTGGGAGACAACCATGGCACCTTTTCTTTTCTTTTTTTTTTTTTTTGAGAAGGAGTTTCACTCTGATCCCCAGGCTGGAGTGCAGTAGTGCAATCTTGGCTCACTGCAACCTCTGCCTCCCAGGTTCAAGCAATTCTCCTACCTCAGCCTCCATAGTAGCTGGGATTACAGGCATGTGCCACCAGACCCAGCTAATTTTTATATTTTTTTTCCAAGATGGAGTGTTGCTCTTTCGCCCAGGCTGGAGTGCAGTGGCCTGATCTCGGCTCATTGCAACCTCTGCCTCCCGGGTTCAGTGATTCTTCTGCCTCAGCCTCCTAAGTAGCTGGGATTACAGGCACGCGCCGCTACGCCCAGCTAATTTTTTTGTATTTTTGATAGAGACAGGGTTTCACCATGTTGGCCAGGCTGGTCTCAAACTCCTGAGCTTGTGATCTGCCTGCCTCGGCCTCCCAAGGCGTGGCAATCCCACGCCTGCTGGGATTACAGGCGTGAGCCATGGCGCCCAGCCAATTTTGATTTTTATTTTTTAGTAGAGACGGAGTTTCACCATGTTGGTCAGGCTGGTCTCGAACTCCTGACTGCAAGTGATTCTGCCTGCCTCGACCTCCCAAAGTGCTGGGCTTACAGCCATGAGCCACTGCGCCCGGCCATGAGACCTTTTTTTTGACTGTTCTGTTTCTTCTCCATCTTCTTGACCCCTAACCTTCTCAGAGGCCCTAATCATCCCAGTTCCAGATTGCCATTGCCAGCAGCCGAACTCAGCACAAAAGTAGATGGCATTTTGGAAGCACTGATATTTTTGTAGCTTTTCCCAGGGGTTCCTGTTAAGCATTAGTTGGCAGGGAATTGCCACTTGAAATGTGCATCCCTGAAGTGGTGCCTGCCTAGCGTGGTTTTCCAGGTGGTTTCTTCTCACATGTCTTATTACACTTTTGAATCTAGAGATTATATACCTGTCTCTTCGATTTGTTAGGACTTTCTGCTGACCTCTGAGATGCTTGTTTTAATTGCCAACTGATAGAAAATGTAAGTGGAAAAATGCATTAGGGTGCAAAGTTTGGAGTTGGTTTTATCTCTGGAAATTGGTGAGCTTGTGGGGATAGGGGATGACGGAAAACTGTTAGAGACAATTTTGTCTGGTTAGTGGGCTGTTGTCTTAACAGTTTCACTTGTCAGTCCCTCTGTAAGTATACCATTCCTTAGACAATATAAGCATTCCGTGGAAGTTTACACATAAAGAAATTTCTGTTTTTGTAACTTACATCTGAGATATGCTAGAAGACCTTGATGTTTCCATTTAGATTAATCCTATGGTGAAGACCTTTTGTAGAACAAATAATTTTTTAAAAAAAGTCATAAGACATTTGTCCCAAATACATAACAGATATATATATGCATGTGAGCGTAACTTACAGTTGTGTATGTGTTGTCATTTCTTCCCCCGCCCCCAATTCATTCTCTTTCTTCCTCTGTACTAAGAGGATTGTGTCTGTGAACTGCAGCATCTGGACTCCTTGCTTTTTCTGTTTCTGGTTGGGTTCAGCCAATGGGAGGCACTGGCAGGGGATCAGAGGAGGAGGAAAGAGCATCTGGGTATTTATCTCCCTAGCAGTCCCCCTAACCTTGCTGGGCTTCTGACGATGGCTGATTTCTTCTAAGCGCTTGAGGCACTTTCCTAGCTCCAGCTCCTGCATAGTCTGATAATGCTGCTTCCTTCCCATGCTCTTCAGACCTAGAGGTCCTAGCAGTTTCCCTTCTGTTGTTGCTAGCCCCAGGGTGCTGCACTCTGCCTGTCTCCGGTCTGCACCTCTGTAAACAGTCCCTGCCTAAAACAGTCTCCAGCGAAACCTTTTTTAGTGTGCCTTCTGTTTCCTGCTGGACTCTGACTGATAGTCTATGTCCATTTCTTTCTCATATATAATCTTAATTGTCATGCTTGGCTCTAAAATGCCAGTTACGTTTACTACATCTGAATTTGAATTGCATCCTTTTTTTTTTTTGGAGACGGAGTTTCGCTCTTGTCGCCCAGGCTGGAGTGCAATGGCACAATCTCAGCTCACTGCAACCTCTGCCTCCCAGGTTCAAGTGATTCTCCTGCATCAGCCTCCCGAGTAGCTGGGATTACAGGCATGAACCACCACGCCTGGCTAATTTTTGTATTAGTAGACACAGGGTTTCACCATATTGGCCAGGCTGGTCTCAAACTCCTGACCTCAGGTGATCTCACCTCAGACTACCAAAGTGCTGGGATTATAGGCATGAGCCACAGTGCCCAGTCGAATTGTATCTTGTATGAGATTTGTCTTTTTTTTTTTTTTTTTTTTTTTTTTTGAGACGGAGTCTCGCTCTGTCGCCCAGGCTAGTGTGCAGTGGCGTAATCTCGGCTCACTTCAAGCTCCGCCTCCTGGGTTCATGCTGTTCTCCTGCCTCAGCCCCCCGAGTAGCTGGGACTACAGGCGCCCGCCACCACGCCTGGCTAATTTTTGTATTTTTAGTAGAGACGGGGTTTCACCTTGTTAGCCAGGATGGTCTCGATCTCCTGACCTCGTGATCCGCCCGCCTCAGCCTCCCAAAGTGCTGGGATTACAGGCGTGAACCATCGCGCCCAGCTGAGATTTGTCATCTTATTCTTGTGTCTATTCTGTCCTTTTCCAATAGATTATGAGTCCTGGGGGAGGAGGAAAATGATTCAGCCTTCTCCCTCCAATGTCTTACACTGTTTAACATAGAGGTTACAACAATTGGCAACTCTTTTTTGTTGTTGTTTTTGTTTTGTTTTGTTTTTGGCTTTTTTTGAGACAAGGTCTTGCTCTTTGTCCCAGGCTGGTGTGCAGTGGCGCCATCACAGCTCACTGCAGCCTCGACCTCTCAGGCCCAAGTGATCCTGCCACCTGAACCTCCCAAGTAGTTGGGACCACAGGTGTACACCACCTCACCCAGCTCATTTTTATTTTTTTGTAGAGATGGGGTCTCCCTGTGTTGCCCAGGCTGGTCATGAACTCCTAGGCTCAAACAATCCTCCTGCCTCAGGTTCCCAAAGTGCTGGGATTACAGGTGTTAGCCTGTAATCTGTGTCTACTGGCAACTTTTTTTTTTTTTTTTTTTTTTTTTTTTTTGAGATGGAGTCTTGCTCTGTGGCCCAGGCTGGAGTTCAGTGGCGCAATCTCGTCTCACTGCAAGCTCCGCCTCCCGGGTGCCCCATTCTCCTGCCTCAGCCTCCCAAGTAGCTGAGATTACAGGCGCCCACCACCACGCCCGGCTAATTTTTTGTATTTTTAGTAGAGGCTGGGTTTCACCGTGTTAGCCAGGATGGTCTCGATCTCCTGACCTCGTGATCTGCCCGCCTCGCCCTCCCAAAATGCTGGGATTACAGGCGTGAGCCACCGCACCTGCCCTTTTTTTTTTTTTTAATCCCCTGGGTTTACCAGGATGGCAACTCTTGTTTTTGTTTTTGTCTTGTTTTGTTCTTGATTTTGGTTTTTTTTTGAGATAGGGTCTCACTGTTGCCCAGGCTGGAGTACAGTGGCACAATGAGAGCTCACTGCAACCTCCGCCTCTCTGGCTCAAGCAGTTCTCCCACCTCAGCCTCACGAGCTGGGACTGCAGGCGGGGGCCGTCACACCTGGCTAATTTTTGTCTTTTTTATGAAGATGGGGTTTTGCCATGTTGTCCAGGCTTGTTTCGAACTCCTGAACTCAAGCAGTCGGCCTGCCTCGGCCTCTGAAATTGTTGGGATTACAGGCATGAGCCACCGCACCCAGCCTCAGGATGGCAACTCTTGAAGTAGAATAATAACATACATATCAAAGCCCTGTGTGTGTTTCCTGTTAGTGCTGTTGGCAGTGCCTTCTAGTAGTGCTGCAGCTGAGCTCAGACTCTTAATTCCTGCTGTCGGCCCGGGCATCTGAGGGCAGAGAGAGGGTGGGTATGACCCCCTGCAGAAGGTGGTGATGGCGTCTGGGAGGATTCGTGCCCTCACAGCTGCTTAGGAGCCTCCCCGACGATACTCTCCCACCACCCTTAAAGGCATCATACCACAAGTGTGCAAATTATTTTTTAAAAAAGAAGAGAAAGGGAAGACAGAAAGCTGCTGACCCTGCCAGCTGACCTCATGTTGGCCATGCTGTCCTGTGGGAGAGGCACCTGTTTCTGTTGCTGTGTTCTTGGGACCCAACGTTTTGGATTCTAGTCTGTATGCGGGTATCATATCTGTGACTATTAGTGAATTTTCATAACTTTGATTTGTGTCCTTATCAGTGTCAGTTCATTCGTGCAGTAAGCAATTACTGAGTGCCAGTTACAGGCAACACACTGCTAGCAATTAGCTGTCATGTTTTTCAGAGTCAGGGGTTCCTTAAGGAACTGAAATAATAGAATTTTCTAGCTAGAAGGGATCTCAGAGCATGTCTAATCCAGCTTCATCCTTCGAAGGTGAAGTTCAGCCCAAAAGGTTCAGGGCTTTGTCTGGAGCACAGTAAATGCCGTGGATGGTAGCAGACCTCCATGCCTTGACTCTGCCTGGAGTTCTTTCCTCATTTTGCTCTGGTTACACCACCTGGTCGTTTCCTGGGTGCTTTCTGGTGCAACTAACCTCCACCAGGTATCCTTTAAAAAGCTTCTCTGCTGCTCTTTATTGCTTCCCTCTGGCTGCAAATGCAAACCAGAAAGTCATGCTCTTGAGCTCATAAAAAAACCTAATGGGATGCAGACAGCAGATTCCAACCTAGACTTCAGCGCAGCCCCAGTGTATACAGTTGGGGGCTATCCAGACCAGCCCACTGCTGCTCTGGAGCATCTCTCCACCTTTAAACTTCAGAGCAGCATTTTATGTGGGTATATGAGGTGCTGGGGTTGGGCTGGGTGAGTTAGTTAAAAGTTGTGTGGTTTTTGGAGCCAGAGCCTCAGCCTCATCTGCAGAAGAAGTGGTTTCCTTCAGGCCAGGTGAGGGCTGCTGGCAGAGCCTTTCTCTGGGAGGCCTTTGCTGCTACACGGAGATCGGTGCTGCTTCTGGTTTGGCCCTTCACGGGTCTATATTTAGTTCAAGGACCAGGGTATCAGGTGTTCCCTACAAAATCAAAATATTTTGGCTCCACTAAATCTACAGCTTCAAGTTGGATTCAGATGGACAAGAAAAAGCCTTTCCTTAATGAAGAGACGCAAAGCAAATTAGACTGCCTGAGAGCAAGCTGAGGTCTGTGTGTGATGAGGTGAATCCTAGTTACTGAGTGTTCCGCCCTCCACGTGTTATATTCTTCTACATATGTGTGTCAGCCAGAGTCCTGATAAATCCCTACCCGTAACTATCAGACAAAGGTTCAGGAAGATTAGGGAAAGGAAGGCAGCAGGTGTGGGGTGGGGCGGGGAGGGGCGGGGCAGAGCAGGGCAGGGGGAGCTGGTGACCTTTACTGAGTGCCTGCTATTTGTCAGGATTTGTGCTGGGAGTTTTAACTGGGGGATCTCACACCTAGATAACTGAGGGTTATCATTTTGCAGATCTGGGCCTGAGGCTCAGAAGGGCCTTGACATACCCTGTGTTGCATAGGTAAGTGGTATGTCACATGGTCACCTCTGTCTGACCCCACACACAAACCATCTCAGTGAAGGAATATTGTTCTAAAAGCAGCTGTTGGCCGGGCGCGGTGGCTCATGCCTGTAATCCCAGCACTTTGGGAGGCTGAGGTGGGTGGATCACGAGGGTCAGCAGTTCAAGGCCAGCCTAGCCAACATGGTGAAACCCTGTCTCTACTAAAACTACAAAAATTAGCTGGGTGTGCTGGCGTGTGCCTTTAATCTCAGCTACTCAGGAGGCTGAGGCAGGAGAATCGCTTGGGCCTGGGAGGTGGAGGTTGCAGTAAGCCAAGATCGCGCCACCTGCACTCCAGCCTGGACGACAGAGCGAGACTCCATCTCAAAATAAATAAATAAATGCAGCTGTCCCGCGTGAGTTTGGGAAAAGCTAGTTAGCATACCTGTCTTGCTTTTCTCAACAATAAAGCAAGGATAAAGTTTGTCACTCCCTCATAGGTTCATGGTGAGGATGGAGTGGGTGAGGGACTGCGCGTAGTGTTCATTACTATGCCGACCGTGGATGCCCTTAATAAAACTTAACTCCTGGGCCCCTTGTTCTGGGTTTGCTGCTGCTGCTTTTTCTAATGGGTTTTGTCACTTTGGAGCCAATTGTTAACATTCTTGAATTACTTTGCTCATTCATAAAATGAGGCTTGCGTTAAAGGTGAGTTTTTTTGTTTGTTTTTGAGACAGAGTCTTGCTCTTTCACCCAGGCTGGAGTGCAGTGGCACGATGTCAGCTCACTGGAACCACCGCCTCCCGGGTTCAAGCAGATTTTCCTGCCTCAGCCTCCAGAGTAGCTGGAACTACAGGCGTGCGCCACCACTCCTGGCTAATTTTTGTATTTTTAGCAGAGATGAGGCTTTGCCATGTTGCACAGGCTGGTCTTGAACTCCTGGCCTCAAATGATCTGCCTGCTTCGGCCTCCCAAAGTTCTGGGATTACAGACATGAGCCACCATACCCAGCCAAAGGTCAGTTTTCTTAATGGAGAAAATCCCAAAGAGAAAGAGGCAAATCCCCATCTTTCATGTTGTAACTATCAAAGTTCCAGACATGCTTTGTCTGTATCTTCCTTCAGGACAAATCCATTTACTTCTACTGGTGAGAGGCTGGACTTGGTCAGCTGTGCGGGAGGAACCTGTGCTGTCTGTAGGTAAATTCCAGCCACGCTCCTCAGCCCTCACCGCTTGGGCTTCCTCTTCTTCCTGACTCACTGTCCCTGTGACGTGTGTTCATCAGCACAGTCCATCTCTTTTTTTCTGCCTCCCCCACCCCTTGGAACAGAAATGTATTGGCTGCATACAAAAATTAGCCGGGCGTGGTGGCGGGCGCCTGTAGTCCCAGCTACTTGGGAGGCTGAGGCAGGAGAATGGCCGTGAACCTGGGAGGCGGAGGTTGCAGTGAGCCAAGATCACGCCACTGCACTCCAGCCTGGGCGACAGAGCGAGACTCTGTCTCAAAAGAAAAAAAAAACAAAAGAAAAAAGAAATGTATTGACTGCGATGAGCACCTTTTATAGCTTGGAATATTGTCCATTGTCCTTTCCACTTCAGTCACTGAAATAGGTAGTGACGGGGACTCCCTTGAAGATCCCAAGGTATTACGCCTTTCTTCAGGATGTTCCAGAAAATTCTCCGTCTCTTACAGCCCTCTCTGGCTCTTATTGCTATTGGCAGTGCCTTCTAGCAGTGCTGCAGCCGAGCTCACAGTCTTAATTCCTGCTGTCGGCTCGGGCATCTGAGGGCAGAGAGAGGGGTGGGTCTGACCCCCTGTAGAAGGTGGTGATGGCGTCTGGGAGGATTCGTGCCCTCACAGCTGCTCAGGAGCCTCTCCGGCGATACTCTCCCACCACCCTTAAAGGCATCATACCACAAGTGTGCAAATTATTTTTTAAAAAAGAAGAGAAAGGGAAGACAGAAAGCCACTGACCCTGCCAGCTGACCTCATCATGTTGGCCATGCTGTCCTGTGGGAGAGGCACCTGTTTCTGTGTTCTTGGGACCCAACACTTTGGATTCCTCCGGAGTTCCCTAGCTCTAGCTTGGGGAATTCTACTCAGGACTTAGTACCATACCGTCTGAGTCACCTGCTGAGGGAAAAGGGCATTTGAGAGAAAATGTGGAAAATAAGTTATATAGCTTACCACATATGCCCACATATAAGGTGTAGAGTCCACCCCGGCCCCTGCAAAAAGTTATCAGAAATGAGACAGTTGCCTTATATTTAAGTCTCTATAAATTTTCTCACACTGTGGGAGCGTCTTGCAATTATTTTGTTTTGAATGAAGTATTATTTAGAGAACACACATTACCTTGAAATGACCTCAGTCAGTGCTGGTTTGGATGCTTTAGAGGTCAGCTAAGGAAATCATATTTTTAAAAAGGAAGAGGGTGGTTTAAAAAATCTAGTAATATCCCAGAGCATCTGACCTCACAGTAGCAAGTGTCAGGTTTCTTTGTAAACAAGTCTTTTTTAAAGATCATTTAAAAATGGAACAAGTTGGCCAGGCGTGGTGGCTCACGCGTATAATCCCAGCACTTTGGGAGGGCGAGGTGGGTGGATCACCTGAGGTCAGGAGTTCGAGACCAGCCTGGCCAACATGGTGAAACCCCCATTTCTACTAAAAATACAAAAATTAGCCGGGCATGGTGGTGGGCACCTGTAATCCCAGCTACTCAGGAGGCTGAGGCAGGAGAATTGCTTGAACCCAGGAGGTGGAGGTTGCAGTGAGTGGAAATCACACCACTGCACTCCAGCCTATGCGACAGATCGAGACTCTGTCTCAAAAAAAAAAAAAAAAAGGAACAAGTTAAGAACCTTATTCAAATAACTTAGATCAAAGTGAAGAAGATATGTTCTGGAAAACTCAAAATGTAGCTGTAATCACAGGAAGTGGTGTAAAAATGCCAATGCCACTGTAGACTTTAAATAAATGTTTTCTTAAAGTGTGAGAGCGAGAGTTGGGAAGAAACCAGAAATCTTTCTAAGTTAGCATTAATTTATATAATGTTTACATATTCATGTATATAATATACAAGTGTATATGCGTTACTCTTAATACCTTAGATCTTAAGTGTATCATATTTTAATATTGTAAATGGGATATTTGCATCTAATAATATAGATTCTTTCATTCACATTTATCTAATCAAATTGCCCCCAAAACGTTTTCAGCTGTCACCTAATTGGGATAGTAGAGGATCACCTGTATTTGGAATAGCCTTTTGATCTAATGGAGAAGTCTTTAATTCGCCCCAATTTTATAGAAAGTGCATGTCAAGAAGTATTTTAATAATATATATTGTCATCTTGAATCATTGCTTCCATACCTTCATTCTCGTTTCTTGCTTGAGCTTTTTTTGTTGTTGAGACAGTCTCGCTCTGTCATCCAGGCTGGAGTGCGGTGACATGATCTCGGCTCAGTGCAACGTCCGCCTCCTGGGTCAAGTGATTCTCCTGCCTCAGCCTCCTGAGTAGCTGGGATTACAGGCGTGTGCCACCATGCCCGGCTAATTTTTGTATTTTTAGTAGACTGGGTTTCGCCATGTTGGCCAGGCTGGTCTTGAACTCCTGACCTCAAGTGATCCACCTGCCTCAGCCTCCCAAAGTGCTGGGATTACAGGCATGAGCCACTGTGCCTGGCCCGTACTTGAGCTTTCATCATTTGCAACAGTCAAGCCAAAATAAAATGAACATAAATACAGGGTTTTTTGTTTGTATTTGTTTTTGTTTTTGTTTTGAATCAGAGTCTTGCTCTGTCACCCAGGCTGGAGTGCAGTGGTGCGAACACAGCTCATGGCAGCCTCAACCTCCTGGGCTCAAGTTATCAACCCTCCTCGGTCTCCTAAAGTGTTGGGATTACAGGTGTGAGCCACCATGCCTGGCTAAAAAAGCAGAATATTAAAATGACTCAAATATATTTTCTTTGAAATCAAGGGATCTACACTAGGAAAAGGGGTACCAACTTATCTTTGGGAGTCACTTCATATCAGGGCATGTGTGGTATTTGGAGTTGTGTTGAGCAGATTAAGGTGAGTGGTGTGTGTGTGTGTGTGTGTGTGTGTGTAACCAGCCCACCTGAGGCTGCTGACAACTTGTGGGCAAAGCAGAGAGCCCAGCCATAGAAGGTGGTAGGGCAGTCTAGAGAGTGCTCCATCTCAGGGTCGGTCAACTTGAGGTTTTGGTGAAACAAACACGGAGAATTTCCCTGGGGAAAAATCATGGGTACAGGAAGGACACAGGTCACTTCTCTAGCTCTTCTTCATCTGCCTCCATGGGAGTGTGGACATGCATTCCCTAGAAAGCATCTTGCCAATAAGTAGTCACAGGCAGACAGGGAGATTGCCACTAGGAAACACACATCCAACAAGAGGCCACCTGGCTGAAGAAGTTTATCTTTTCATGAGATACACTTTCCTTGAAAACAAACACAATATATGTTTAGACCCACTGTGTCTATGTTAACTGGCCTGTCATTGCTCCTTCCTCCCCCAAGGCAGGCTTTTCTGCCCTTTACATTGTTACGAACATTGTATTTATTGTAGCCATTTAGTTGTGGAGAAACCATGGCTGCCCCCAAACTTGAAACATCGGCATATTAGTCAGGGTTCTACAGAGAAACAGAACTGAGAGGATATATATGCACACACATACAGACATATATCTACATACGTGTGTGTATGTGTGTGTGTACAGTCATGCACTGAATAATAACGTTTCAGTAACCAGTGGATTGCATATACGATGATGGTCCCATATGACTATAATGGAACATATACAAAAAAACCTGCTAATGGCACTTGATATTGGCGTTGCAGGACTAGTAGGGGAGATGATTGATAGTAATGGTGCTGAGACATTTGGTTTTCCATATGAAAAAATATATAAATAATCTAGTTTTGTGTAAGTACACTGCGTGATTTTTACACAATGACAATTACTTGACGACACATTTCTCAGAACATATCCCTATCATTAAGCAAAGCATGACTACATATGTATATATGTGTGTACATATATATATGTATATAGAGAGATCCTGAGAGCAATTGAGATTTAAGAAATTTGGTCACAGATCCTAGCACTTTGGGAGACTGAGGCAGGAGAATTGCTTGAGCCAGGAGTTTGAGAACCAGCCTGGGCAACATAATGAGACCCCATCTCTACAAAAAATTTAAAAATTAGCTGGGCATGGTAGCATGTGCCTGTAGTCGCAGCTACTCAGGAGGCTGAGGTAGGAGGATTACCTGAGCCCAGGAGGTGAAGGCTGCAGTGAGTCATGATAGAGCCACTGCTGTACTCCAGTTTGGGTGACAGAGTGAAGCCTTGTCTCACCAAAAGAAAAAAAAAAAATTGGTTCACAGCTCACATGATTGTGGAGGATGACAAGTCCCAAATCTGCAGGGCCAGCTAGAAGATTGAAAATTCTTTTTATTTATTTATTTATTTATTTATTTATTTATTTATTTATTTATTTAATAAAGCCAGGGTCTTGCTATGTTGCCCAGGCTGGTTTCAAATTCCTGGGCTCAAAGCGATCCGCCTGCCTTGGCCTCCCAAAGTGCTGGGATTACAGGCATGAGCCACTGCACCCGGCCAGAAATTCTGATAAGAGCTGACATTGCAGTCTTGAGTCTTTTTTTTTTGACAGAGTTCCGCTCTTGTTGCCCAGGCTGGAGTGCAATGGTGTGATCTCGGCTCACGGCAACCTCCACCTCCCAGGTTCAAGCCATTCTCCTGCCTTAGCCTCCTGAGTAGCTGGGAGTACAGGCATGCATCACCATGCCCAGCTAAGTTTGTATTTTTAGTAGAGATGGGGTTTCTCTGTGTTGGTCAGACTGGTTGAACTCCTAACCTCAGGTGACCCGCCCACTTTGGCCTTCCAAAGTGCTGGGATTACAGGCGTGAGCCACTGTGCCTGGGTGCAGTCTTTGAGTCTTAATTGGGTGCAGGCCAGGCAGGCTGGATACTCAGGCAGGGTTTCTACATGGTAGTCTTGAGGGGACAATTCCATCTGCTTCAAGAAACCTCAATCTTTTCTGTTAAGGTCTTCAGCTAATTGGATGAAGCCCACTCACATTATGGACTCAGAGTTTACTGGTTTAAATATTAATCACTGCTAAAAAATACCTTCACAGTGACATCTAGATTGCTGCTTGACCAAACAACTTGGGCACTATAGCCTGGCCACATTGGCACATAAAAATCAATCATCACAGGTGAGATCAGTAACCATTTATTTGTCTGCCCTGTTTATGTTACGTGTTTTGAAGCAAGGATGGGATTATAAATAAAATACTGAAAGTTGATGAAGAAATACTAGATTTAACATATGCATTTTTAGAATTCTTTTCAAAACTTGAAAGAGAAAATGCAGCCAGGTGTGGTGGCTCACACCTGTAATCCCAGCACTTTGGGAGGCCAGGGCAGGTGGATCACCTGAGGTTGGGAGTTCAAGACCAGCCTGGCCAACATGGTGAAACCCCATCTCTACTAAAAGTAAAAAAATTAGTCGGGTGTGGTGGCACATGCCTATAGTCCCAGCTACTTGGAAGGCTGAGGCAGGAGAATTGCTTGAACCAAGAAGGCAGAGGTTGCAGTGAGCTGAGATCGTGCCACTACACTCCAGTCTGGGCAGCAGAACACGACTCTATCTTAAAAAAAAAAAAAAAAGATAAAATGCAAAACAGAATCTAGCAAACATCTATATGTCTGCCACTCAGATTTAATGGTCATGAATATTTTGTCATATTTGCTTTTAGTCTTTGTTTAAACAACAACAACAACAAAATTATAACAGAAGTCCCCTTTAACCCTGGGAAACCCCAGCTCCATTCCATTCCAGTTTAGTGCATATCCTTCCAGTCTAAGTTTTGATGTTTAAATGCTATGTACTGTTTATAGATAAGCATGTGCATTTTTATGTGTATTTTAGTTGACATAAATAGTATTAATGTATCACGTCTTGCTTTTTATGCTGCTTATTTTTTCCTTTTGAGATCTGGCCATGTCCATGGAGTCATTCATTTTAACTGCCTTTGCTGTTTTGTTTTAAGAAAATTCTCTACATCCTCTATATCTTTCTTCCAGTAATTTTTCATATTTAGGGCTTTTTTGGCTTTCATGTGGAAAATATATAATTAGATCTTCCCTCTGAAGGGAAAAACAAATTTAAGATGAATTAAAAATATATTTCAAGGCCAGGCATGGTGGCTTATGCCTGTAATCCCAGCACTTTGGGAGGCCGAGGCAGACCGATCACTTGAGGCCAGGATTTCGAGACCAGCCTGGCCAACATGGCGAAACCCTGTCTCTACTAAAAATACAAAAAAATTAGCTGGGCGTGGTCGCTCATGCCTGTAATCCTGGCGACTTAGGAGGCTGAGATGGGAGAATTGCTTGAACCTGGGAGGTGGAGGTTGCAGTGAGCCGAGATCACACTACTGCACTCCAGCCTAGGTGACAGAGTGAGACCCTGTTCAAAAAAAAAAAAAATATATATATATATTTTAAAAATATATGTTTAAATATATACAAATTTAATATATTTTTAAAATATAAGCATATAAATTTAATATATATTTAAATATAATCTATTTGGGATTATATATATACACACACCCCAAATCAATTAAAAATCCAGTGCAGTGATTAACATGGTCTTGCCTCACATATATAGTCCCTAAAAATATATAGGTCAGTGTTACGGTTCTTTATTCTCTTCTGATAATTTGTCTATTCCTGCATCAATGTTATGCTAATTACTATAGTTATCTAATGTGTTTTAATATTTGATAGAATGAGTCCATCCTTTCATACTCCTTTTTCACAGTTGTCTTATTCTCAGTTCTTCCCCTATAAACATTAAAATATTTTTCAAGTTTCCTAAAAATTCTTGTTGAGAGACTTACTGGAATTTCACTGAAGTTATTAATTGGGAAATATTGACATCTTTAAAATGTTGTCTTCTCTTCTCCATAAATAAGGTTTATCACTTCATTAATCCAAATATTCTTTTGTATCCTTCAATAAAGTTTTATGATTTCTTATTAAAGTTTCTTTTAGACTTGTGTCTATGTACTTTCTAGTTTTGGTTACTATACCAGCCAGTGTTTTTTCTTAGTATTGCATTCTCTATTTGGTTATTGCTAGTGTAAAGGAATGCGCTTGATTTTTGAATTTGAATTTTTTTTCTTTTTTTTTTTTTTAAAGACAGTCTCACTCTATTGCCCAGGCTGGAGTGCAGTGGTGTGATTTCAGCTCATTGCAACCTCTGCCTCTTGGGTTCAAGCGACTCTCCTGCCTCAGCCTCCCAAGTACCTGGTGTTATAGGTGCATGCCCTCATGCCTGGCTAATTTTTGTGTTTTTAGTAGAGACAGGGTTTCACCATGTTGGTCAGGCTGGTCTCAAACTCCTGACTTCAAGTGATCCACCCACCTCGGCTTCCCCAGTGCTGAGATTACAGGCGCGAGCCACCGTACCTGGCCTGAATTTGGGTTTTTGTTTCCAGTGATCTTGCAGCATCCTCCTATTCTAATTGTTTGGAGGTTGGTCTTGATAATTAAATGTAATCAACTGTCTGCAGGTCTTCAATACTATTTTGAAATATAAACTCTGTAATTACAATGTCATCCACAATTACATAAATTTCCCTGAGTATAATATAACACAGGGCATTGACTCTGGAGTCAGGCTATGTGCCAAGCGACATAAAGATGAAAGCAATGGAGCCCCAGTTCTGGGTGGTGACCAGGTATGGCCTCAAATTCACTCCTTAAAAAATTTCAGTGTCTGTGCAGCTTTTCAAACCACTGGGTTCTGAGACTGCCCAGGTTCTAGCATTTTCACATTTGCATGCCTTGGAAACTATCTGTGCCTCAGGTTTATCTATAAAATGGGGATATTAAAATATCTACTCATGGGAGGTTGTGATGATTCAATGAGTTACTGCATGTGTCCTGCCTGGTTTAAGCTGCTGATAAATGATGATTGTTACTCTATAATAGCATTACTGCATTTTAAAATTTCAGCTGTGTTAAACCTTCTGAGTAGCATAGGATTATTAACAGTTTAGATTCATTAGTACTTTATCAGAAAGTTGTTTTTTTGTTTGTTTGTTTGTTTGTTTTGAGATGGGTTCTCTCTCTGTCACCCAGGCTGGAGTGCAGCGGTGCAATCTCGGCTTACTGCAACCTTGGTCTCTCGGGCTCAAGCGATTCTCCCACTTCAGCCTCCCAAGTAGCTGGGACCACAGGTGCATACCACCACGCTGAGCTAATATTTTTTGGATTTTTGGTAGAGATGGGATCTTGCTGCATTGCCCAGGCTGGACTTGAACTCCTGAGCTCAAGTTATCTGTCTCCCTCGGCCTCTCAAAGTGATAGGATTACAGGCATGAGACACCATGCCTGGCCCAGAAAGTCAGTCTTTTCTCTTTCATAATTTGTTTTAAAATGCTGTACTTTGTTCATTGTCATATCACTTCTGGTAAGGTCACGCCTGGTATCCCTAATGCAGGTCAAAAGGAAAATTGCTTCACAGAAATTTGCTTGAGAAACTTTGCTGAAAGGTCTATTTATTTATTTATTTATTTATTTATTTTGAGACAGAGTTTTGCTCTTTTTGCCCAGGCTGAAATGCAGTGGCATGATCTTGGCTCACTGCAACCTCTCCCTCCCGGGTTCAAGTGATTATCCTACCTCACCCTCCCGAGCAGCTGGGATTACAGGTGCACACCATCGCACCTGGCTAATTTTGTATTTTTAGTAGAGATGGGGTTTCACCATATTGGCCAGGCTGGTCTCGAACTGCTGACTTCAGGTGATCCACCCACCTTGGCCTCCCAAAGTGCTGGGATTACAGGCGTGAGCCACCACGCCTGGACTATTTTTGTTTATGAAGGTATCTTACAACTCTGTATTAATTAGGTCTAGTCCTAGTATTTTCATAGAGTGATAAATCAGAATGCAGAGATTTGAAGTGGTTTGCATTTTATTTTTTGAGACAAGGAGAAAAATACCATGACTGTAATTGATAAGCTCAACAAGCACCCTAGCACCTCACATGCTCAGATTGCTTATGGTTGGTGGTAACTGAAATGTGTGACAGATAGCAGAGCAAGCCTGGGAGCGCTATCCTGGGCCACTTCATCCACTGGAGATGCCCTCTGCTCCATGCCTTCCCCAGGGGCTTTTTTCTTGGTCCCTGACAACTGGATCCATCCCTTCCCAGTGCTCCCATCAACCAGCCTATTTTACTAGAATGTGCCTTTAAAAGCACTATTCTCTTTTTCTGAACTTCAGAAGAACATAGACAAGCCCAAGACCATGAATGGCATAGCTTGCTCTGAAGTTTCTGGGCCTCTTGCTTAGAGGGACCACAAATGAAGGATACCTGGAGAAGAGCATGGACACGTACAGGTCCTTTTCTTTGGTGGTCAGATGACCTCGGCTTTTTTTTTTTTTTTTTTTTTTTTGAGACGGAGTCTCGCTGTCGCCCAGGCTGGAGTGCAGTGGCGCGATCTCGGCTCACTGCAGGCTCCGCCCCCCGGGGTTCACGCCATTCTCCTGCCTCAGCCTCCTGAGTAGCTGGGACTACAGGCGCCCGCCACCTCGCCCAGCTAATTTTTTTGTATTTTTAGTAGAGACGGGGTTTCACTGTGTTAGCCAGGATGGTCTCGATCTCCTGACTTCGTGATCCGCCTGCCTCGGCCTCCCAAAGTGCTGGGATTACAGGCGTGAGCCACCGCGCCGGGCCGACCTCGGCTTATTTTGCAATTTGTTAGAAAATGGCTAACCCAGTGTTTAAATATCTGTTATTGTCTACCCTTCCTCCATTAGCTAACTAACTGCATAGACACGGCACTGTCCAACCATGTAGGTGGATCAGCAGTTGGACCAGGACATTGATATGGTCATTCACTGGGGGTGGCCACCCGTTTATATTCTAATTACTGTCAGTGGTGGAATGCTTAAATGGATGTTAAGAATGGACGTTTCTCGGGCCGGGCACGGTGGCTCACGTCTGTAATCCCAGCACTTTGGGAGGCCGAGGCGGGCGGATCACGAGGTCAAGAGATCGAGACCATCCTGGCTAACACGGTGAAATCCTGTCTCTACTAAAAATAGAAAAAATTAGCCGGGCGTGGTGGCGGGCGCCTGTAGTCCCACCTACTTGGGAGACTGAGCCTGGAGAATGGCGTGAACCTGGGAGGCCGAGCTTGCAGTGAGCATAGATCGTGCCATTGCACTCCAGCCTGGGCGACAGAGCGAGACTCTGTCTCAAAAAGGAAAAAAAAAAAAAAAATGGACGTTTCTCTTCAGGTATGACCCCAGCAAGTTGTCACACACACTATTTTTTTTTAGAGAATAAAGGCTAAGATTGAGAGTAACTGTAAGTTATTCTGATAGCTGTTTGCTGAGTCTCCTTTTAGCAGGATTTGCAGAGCATCTAGCATTCTTATGAATGGTCAAATCGGTTTCAGCAAGAGGCAAACTCAGTTTGTCCGCTGGTTGGTGTTTCGTGCCTACATTTCTATTGCCTTGTCCTTCCTTTTTCTTTCCTGTGCAGCAGCCTTCAGAGATTTATAAGGATTGGAGAATTTTTTCCCTTCCAAGGCAGATTTTAAAACGTTTTCTTCTTAGCTTTTCTCATTATCTTCAGGGTCTTTGTTAGATAGAGGAAAAAATGTTTATTTCTGGAATTGAAAAAAAAAGTGCCTTCAGTGACCAAACTGACCTGTGATTTAATCACTAGATCTGATTTTGGCTCTGCTAAACTGCTTACAGTTTTCTTAGCAATACCTGCCTTTTTTTTTTTTTTTTTTTAACACGGATTCTTGCTCTTGTTGCCCAGGTTGGAGTGCAATGGCACGATCTCAGCTCACCACAACCTCCGCCTCCCAGGTTCAAGCAATTCTCCTGCCTCAGCCTCCCAAGTAGCTGGGATGACAGGCGCCCACCACCACCACCACGCCTGGCTACTTTTTGTATTTTTTTTTAGTAGAGATGGGGTTTCACCATGTTGGCCAAGCTGGCCTTGAACTCCTCACCTCGTGATCCACCCACCTTGGCCTCCCAAAGTGCTTGGGATTACAGGCGTGAGCCACTGCACCCGGCCAATACCTGCCTTTAAAAGACGAGAGCAATGATGGACATTTTGTTTTATGCTTTATATGAAACTCCATTAAGATTTTTCAAATTTGGCTAATTTGAAGACACAGATGATTAAATTATTATTCAAATCCTTGAGGGCATATCAAGATTCCATGCCACGTGGATTGCCCATGTCTCAACATTCTGCTGTATATAGGGCATTTCATCGCTGCTTCAATAGTCCTCTGTATGAATGGATAGAAGTAAGCTCGTTCAAAATTCTATGAACAGAATGTTTTCTCTTTCTTGCTTTTCCAGAGTTGGCTTTAGCTTTTATCCTCATTTGCAGAGATCAAAATCTGATCTGCAGGAACCCTATTTTGATTGGCTGTTGGGCATTCATAGCTCTGTACTAAATACCAATGTATGAAATAGTTATTGTTCCCTGGAGTGGTGGGTCTGGGCCAGAACACATTCTTTTTGATTTCAAGGGGGCCAAATGGAAGCTGTAAATATCCTGGCAGCCAAGTCGGGTAAACATGAGCTCTTATAACCTCAGACACAGAGTAGAAAGGTAGCTTTCTTTTTTTTTTCTTTTTTTTTTTTTTTTTTTTTTTTTTTGAGATGAAGTCTCGCTCTTGTCACCCAGGCTGGAGTGCAATGGTGCAATCTCGGCGCACTGCAACCTCCGCCTCCCAGGTTCAAGCGATTCTCCTGCCTCAGCCTCCCGAGTAGCTGGGATTACAGGCGCCTACCACCATGCCCGGCTAATTTCTGTATTTTTAGTAGAGACGGGGTTTCACCACGTTGGCCAGCCTGGTCTCGAACTCCTGACCTTGTGATACGCCCGCCTAGGCCTCCCAAAATGCTGGGATTACAGGCATATGCCACCACGCCTGGCTGAAAGGTAGCTTTCTGGCTATGGTTTAGAACTGGGATCTCTGATCAGCAGGTTGGCATTTAACTGAAAGCTGTTCATAAATCTTTTTCTCTGTGGTCTAGGAGTTCTAAGACCTACATCTAATAGTTGCCATTATGATTGGATTTGACTTGCTTTGTAAATTAGGGTTAGTCTCCCAGGAATGTGTTTTTAATGACACTGACTTGTCTCATCCCATTTCCATATATATGTGTGTGTGTGTGTGTGTGTGTGTGTGTGTGTGTGTGTGTGTATATATTTTTTTTTTTTTTGAGATGGAGTTTTGCTCTTATTGCCCAGGCTGGAGTTGGAGTGCAATGGTGCGATCTCAGCTCACTGCAACCTCTGCCTCCCAGATTTAAGCCATTCTCCTGCCTCAGCCTCCCCAGTAGCTGGCACTACAGGCCCATGCTACCATGCCTGGCAAATTTTATTGTATTTAGTAGAGACGGGGTTTCACCATGTTGGCCAGACTGGTCTCAAACTCCTGACCTCAGGCGATCCACCCACCTCAGCTTCCCAGAGTGCTGGAATTACAGGCGTGAGCCACTGTGCCGGGGCATGCATATACATAATACAATACACACACATATATATATACACACACATTTTTTTTTGAGATGGTGTCTCACTCTGTCACTCAGGCTGGAGTGCAGTGGCACGATCTCAGCTCACTGCATCTCCGCCTCCTGGGTTTAAGTGATTCTCCTGCCTCAGCCTCCCGAGTAGCTGGGACTACACGCATGCATCACCATGCCTGGCTAATTCCTTTGGTACTTTTTAGTAGAGACGGGGTTTCTCCACGTTGGCCAGGCTGGTCTCGAACTCCTGACCTCAAGTGATCCACCCACCTCGGTCTCCCAAAGTGCTGGGATTACAGGTGAGAGCCACTGTGCCCAGCCCCATTTCCTTATATTTAATAGTGCTTAGTTTGACTCCATCCCGTTATTCTGGGTGTGTAAAAACCCATCCTAAAAGTTGACAGCTTAATGGACCATCATAACTGATAAACTCTAGTGATTCCATTTGTGTGGCATTACGCTAAGCCACATGCATACATCGACACTAATCCTTTCCACTGTTATGAAGCATAAGGCCTATTGCTGTGTCCTCTTAACAGAGGAGGAAGCTCAGACTTAGATCCCATAAGTGGCTCACCTCCTTAAGTTCCCACAGTTGGAGTTAGAAGAATAGCAGGCAAGAGAAAAGGACCTCAGACCAAAACACAACTGATCGAGGCTGCCCCATCTCTCCTGGGATTTTTATAAAGGGCCCCTCAAGTACCAAATTCCTGTAAAACACAGGGATAATAATTAGAAGCCTGGACAGTTCCATAAAGAAGGGGAGAGGGAGGAGAGGGTGTTTTCAGCAGTATTGCTCTCACTTATTCCATGTGGATTATTATCCAGACCCTGAGATTTCTGCCTGCCTTCCACTTTTCAGACCATTCACGAATGGACCAGCTATTCTAGCAAAGGTTACATTAATAAATGCAGTTGAAATTTTTAAAAATAAGTAAATTGGATCATTTTAGGCTTGCTTTTAGCTGTAGTGAATAGTTTTGGAGGTAATGGTTGAAGTTATTTAGCAAATATTTATTGAAACCTACAATTTAAAAGGCCCAGGTCTGGGCCAGATACAGTGGCTCACATCTAAAATCCCAGCACTTTGGGAGGCCGAGGTGGGCGGATCACTTGAGGCCAGGAGTTGGAGACCAGCCTAGCCAACATGGTGAAAGCCAGTCTCCGCTAAAAATAACAAAAGTTAGCTGAGCCTGATTGTGAGTGTCTGTAATCCCAGCTACATGGGAGGCTGAGGCACGAGAATCGCTTGAACCCTGGAGGCAGAGGTTGCAGTGAGCCAAGATCCTGCCACTGCATTCCATCCTGGGTGACAGACTCTGTCTCAAAAAAAAAAAAAAAAAAAAAAAAAGGCCCAGGGGGCATAAGAAAGAAGGACAGATAAGAATTCCCTGCTCTCAGGGAGCTTATATTGTGATGGGGAGAGACAGGAAGTTAATGCATTAATAACTAGACAGTCATGATAAATATTCATTAAAATGAGTTTTGAGTGAAATTATGAGTTTATTAGCATGCTACCTTTTTTTTTTTTTTTTTTTTTTGAGATGGAGTCTCACTCTGTCGCCCAGGCTGGAGTGCAGTGGCACAATCTCAGCTCACTTTAGCTTCTGCCTACTGGGTTCAAACGATTCTCCTGCCTCAGCCTCCTGAGTAGCTGGGATTACAGGTGTGTACCACCAGGCCGGTTTAGTTTTTGTATTTTTAGTAGAGATGGGGTTTTGCCAAGTTGGCCAGGCTGGTCTCAAACTCCTGACCTCAGGTAATCTGCCCACCTCGACCTCCCAGAGAGCTGGGACTACAGGCATGAGCCACCGTGTCTGGCCAGCATGCTACTTTTTCTTTGAAAGAAAAGTACATGAATCAGATGCTAAGTTGCTGAGTTTTGTTTTCAGATCAAATTTGAATTAACCAATCCTCTGTAATTTTTTTTTTTTTTTTTGAGACAGATTCTCACTCTGTCACCCAGGCTGGAGTGCAGTGGCTTAATCTCGGCTCATTGCAACTTCCACCTCTCATGCCTCAGCCTTTTGAGTAGCTGGGATTACAGGTGCCTGCCACCATGCGGGGCTAATTTTTGTATTTTTAGTAGGGGTGAGGTTTCGCTGTGTTGGCCAGGATGGTCTGGAACTCCTGGCTTCAACCGATCTGCCTATCTCACCTCCCAAAGTGCTGAGATTACAGGCGTGGGCCACAGTGCCTGGCCCTATTCTCTATAATTTAAATCCTGTGTTAAGGCCGGGCGCGGTGGCTCCCGCATGTTATCCCAGCACTTTGGGAGGCCGAAGAGGACAGATCACCTGAGGTCAGGAGCTTGAGTCCAGCCTGGCCAATGTGGTGAAATCCCATCTGTACTAAAAATACAAAAATTAGCTGGGTGTGGTAGCAGGTGCCTGTAATCCCAACTACTCAGGAGGCTGAGGCCGGAGAATCGCTTGAACCCAGGAGGCTGAGGTTGCAGTGAGCTGAGATTGCTCCATTGCACTCCAGCTTGGGCAACAGAGCGAGACTCCATCTCAAAAATAACTGCATGCATGCATACATACATACATACATACATACATACATCCTGGGTTGGGTTCACAGACACGTAACAGAGACCTTAGGTCTGGCCGATCTTGTTTCTGTTAGGAGGCCTTAGGCTTATCCCTCTGGTGGCTTTTATCCTAGATTTCTTCATTTGTTACATGAGGGAATTGGACTGAATCTGTGGTTTCAAATTCTGCTCTTAGAAGCTCTGAGAAACACTTTGGAATCAAGATAGAGGAATTGGTGAGACCCTAGGATGCCCATTCAGCCTCAGCCAGGGCAGGTCTGCTGTTGTCTGCTGTTTGGGATTCCACTGCACTCCAGAAAGGATTCTACTGTTGACAACAATTTGGACGTCATTGTATTGTGTTTTTTTTTGTTTTGAAGCAGAGTCTTGCTCTGTCACCCAGGCTGGAGTGCAATGGCGCGATCTCGGCTCACTGCAACCTCCATCTCCCAGGTTTAGGCGATTCTCCTGCCTCAGGCTGTCAAGTACTGGGACTACAAGTGCCCGCCACCATTCCTGGCTAATTTTTGTGTTTTTAGTACAGATGGGGTTTTGCCATCCACCACCACTCCTGGCTAATTTTTTTATTTTTAGTAGAGATAGAGTTTTGCCATGTTGGCCAGGCTGGTTTCAAACTCTTGGCCTCAAATGATCCACCCACCTCAGCCTCCCAAAGTGCTGGGATTATAGGTATGAGCCACTGTGCCTGGCCGGCCACTATATTGTTAATAGGAAGCTACCACATTGTTTGTGGGACGATGCCATAAGTAAAGTTTTAAAGTGATAGACCAAGAGAAACGTACAAAACAGAATAGATGATGGATTAAGTGAATACATAAAAATGTGTAAGTTAATGAGTAAAATACCCAGAAGAAAAACGGGTGGAGTGTATGAAATGGCAACTCCCAGAAGAAAAAGTGCAAACGGCAAAAAAAAAAAAAAAGAAAAAGAAAAAAATGCTTGAGCTGTTAGGTAATCAGAGAAATGCCAATCAAAGCAGTGGGATTTTTTTTTTTAATACTACTCTTTACTATCCAATTTAGACAATGTTAGAATTAAGGTTAGGCTTAGGTAAAAAATTAAGAATGATAGAAGCAAGCAGGGTAGAGTTCGGGTCTTTGTATACTGTCAGAGTGAGACACGTCACAGGTATTTTGTCATCTGTTAAAATTGTACATATTCTTTGACCCAGAAATTGTACTTCTAGAATTGTGTTCTAAAGAAGTACTTGCATCTGAACACATATTCACTCCAGAAGTGTTTGAAATGGGGACAAATGAAAACTAAACATTTATCAAAAGAATGAATAAAATATGTAAGTCCACATTACAGAATACTATGTGGCAATTTCAAAGAAGGAAGTGCATTTTTTTATATGGATGTAGTGATCTCTAAAACATCTCTCCCTAATCAGCCACAAATGTAAAAAAAGAAAAATAATAAAACATATCACTAAGGAAAGAGAAACATAGTATAGCATAAGTACACTATGTAGCCATTAAGTCAAGTGATGATTTTTTTTCTATACGAATATAGCATTAGATAAATGCTGTGTCCAGAAGGTTGACATGAAAACCAGAAAACAGCAATTATCTTGGGAAAAGAGAGTAGAATTAGGGAGGAGATTAAGCATTATCCGTATAGTTTGTTTTTGGTTTTTTTGTTTGTTGTTTTTGAGTTAGTTTTTTGGTTTTTTTTTTTAAAATAATTTCTCTTTTTCTCCAGGCTGGAGTGCAGTGGCTCACTGCAGCCTCTGCCTCCCGGGTTCAAGTGATTCTCCTGCATCAGCCTCCCAAGTAGCTGGGATTACAGGCACCCACCACCACACCTGGCTAATTTTGTATTTTTAGTAGAGACAGGGTTTCACCATGTTGGCCAGGCTGGTCTGTAACTCCTGACCTTAGTTGATCCGCCTGTCTTGGCCTCCCAAAGTGCTGAGGTTACAGGCGTGAGCCACTGTGCCCAGCCATTGTCTATACAGTTTGAATAACACACTGAAAAAACAGATCAGTGCATATCTTCCACAATTAACAATGCATTTGTTTAGAGCATGTTGCTGCATTGGGTGAACTCTCAGGCTGGCAGCGACTCCAAGCTTTGGTTGAGTTTGCTAGTGCCAAGTTGTTTATGTGCCTCCCCTTGGCCCCTTCCTTCCCTGCCACTCCTTCTTCCTCCCAGCTTGCTGAGCTTGCTGCCCGGACTCCCTTCCTCTCTCCTCTCTCCTCTCTGCTGAGGTTCTGCCCGCTGGAGAAATTCCTCCCTTTGCCCCTCCACCCTTCTGAGAACTGTGGGTTGTCAGGAGACCAGGAAACTCCCTGATGGAAACTGCTTTTGTGAAGGATGCTGAGATGTGTGGGCCCTCAGCCACGGCCCAGGGTGGAATTGAGGTCTTATTGGAGGACCCAGTGACTGTTACAGGTAGAGCCCAGAGGCACTTCTGCATCAGGTAGATTCTGCACTTGTCTCTGTCTCTTTTTTTTTTTTTGAGACGGAGTCTTGCTCTGTCGCTCAGGCTGGAGTGCAGTGGTGCGATCTCGGCTCACTGCAAACTCCGCCTCCCGGGTTCACGCCATTCTCCTGCCTCAGCCTCCCGAGTAGCTGGCACTACAGGCGCCTGCCACCACACCCAGCTATTTTTTTGTATTTTTAGTAGAGACGGGGTTTCACCACATTGGCCAGGCTGGTCTTAAACTCCTGACCTCAGGTGATCCGCCTGCCTCGGCCTCCTGAAGTGCTGGAATTGTAGGCGTGAGCCACCACGCCTGGTCTCTGTACTTATCTCTTGAATGCCGCCTGGGTGCAAGAACCAGTGCCAGGCTGTGCCATGCATAGTTGGACTGGGCTGTTCCTTCTGTGCTTGCTTCCTTAATGTTTGCTATGGGCTGGGCTCATTCTTACTGTGGATTTCTGTATGTTGACCAGTTCAATGAGTTCTGAAAATCCTACAACGTAGTGGATATTTTTAAGTACACACTTGGTAGGCTCTAGGGGAAAAGCAGATTTTACACACGCACACACAAACACACATACACACACAAAATCGATATGTAGTGTGAATGGAGAGGCAGTGACAGAGTGGGAATTGTGTTAGGAAAGTGACTCTTGCTTCAGAAATGCTTGGAGCACTTTTGGTGTCCTGGGTCACCCTCTCTGGAAGGACTTTGGGTGTCAGTGGAGAGACCACATTCGGAGCCTGAGAGTGGTGTGCACTTTCATCCACAGGCTTAATTTTGTTTCATTTTGCTTTTTGAGATGGAGAAAGCAGTGTTGAGGATGGAGGAGAGCTAGGAGGTTGGCAGCTTTTCCAATAGGAACCATTTTTACAGCAGAGAAGTGCCATTCCTGAGATCTGCAGAGTCTGCTTCTCTCCTCTCACTGTCCTGATTATCAATTGTCCGTTGTTCTGTTGGAACAATAGGGCTGATTTTTCTGTAGGAATCTGACAAAATTTCGCATAGCTGTACAGAGAACTGCCAGTTAGGGGGACAGTGTCAAGAATGACACAGGCTCAAATACTGAGGGTTGCCTGTGCATGCCCTGTGTCTCAAAACTGTCCTACGCTTTGCTTTCAGTCATCAGTTTTATGTGCGGGGGAGGGGGGGAACAGCACTTTTTCTAAAGGAAAAATAAAATGGATTGGTCTGTGGGGGGACAGTTACACATAGCTTTGAAAGGCTGCTTAGCCGAAGAGTGGCGAGAGTCGGGGAGGGAGTGGGAGTTGTTCAGCATTGTTAACTTCCAACATACGATGGGCATTTGGGCACATCAGAGGGATACAACCCTATTTTTCGAGCCTGGGTTCCAGGGGTGCAGCTGTTTTGGGCCATTTACAGCAGTGGAATTTGGATGGCGCAGATATTGCCCATAGAAGCTTTGCCTGCCTGCCTTCCTTTCTTGTTTTGTTTCCTTTTCTTTTTCTTTTTTATTTTCTCTTCTTTCCTCTTTTCTTCTCTTCTCTTTTCTCTTTCCTTCCTTCCTTCCCTTCCTTCCCTCCCTCTGTCACCCAGGCTGGAGTGCAGTGCTATGATCTCAGCTCACTGCAACTTCCGCCTACTGGGTTCAAGTAATTCTCCTGCCTCAGCCTCCTGAGTAGCTGGGATTACAGGCGTGCCGCCATGCTTGGCTTAATTTTTGTATTTGTAGTAGAGATGGGGTTTCACCATGTTGGCCAGGCTGGTCTCAAACTCCTGACCTCAGGTGATCTGCCTGCCTCCGCCTCCCAAAGTGCTGGGATTACAGGTGTGAGCCACCGCACCCGGCCCCATTGAAGGTTTTCTAAAAAGAAAATGGGATTGGATTGGTCAGGGCTACGTACTCCGATTTGTGAGGCAGTGGTGTCTTTGTAGGCTTGGCTGTTAATGAGGTGGTTTATACTCTACAAGGCATGTGAAATTATTTGAGGGAGAGAGGAGAATGTGTTTTTCTAACCCTTACTATGTCCTAAACACAGAGGGTAATCAATAACCAACTGTTGAGGATGTAGTTTTTCTTAACACTAAATCATTCCCTGAGAGAAGTCCGTAAGCTTGACTGATTTTAACTGCCTGTGAGTTGGAAATCTTTGATAAATGCTCTGAGGGATAGGAAGTCAGTCTGGGATGATACAGGGCATGGGATCTCACCATCGGGAGAGTGGTCCCATTCGATAATGGGAAAAACTCATGTTGGATGGAATGGAAATGTTCCCAGTCAAGATACCCTCATGCCCAGAGCCAGGAGAAACTTTAGACCAACCTCCGTCGGCTTCAGTTTCTCCTTCCTCAGTTTCTTGATGCTCCTCCCCGAGCCCCCTCCCCTATCACGTATGTTTTGCGGGTTGTTCTGTTGTTTGTCTTTGAAAAGATTGATTTATACATTTGTACAGAAAATCCCAGAGCCTTTTCCTCTTAATGCTATAAAGTTGCTATTTAATGAGGCGTTTGGAAGGCCACCCAGCCACTTGAAATCTGAAGTGTCACGCTGAGGGATTGTTACCAAGAAGTATTTACATTGGAGCCGTGGTTTTAGCTCTCTTTTGGCAATTGATTAATTTAGTGCGAGAGCCAATAAATCCCTGGACAGATGAGGAACAGATTGGAGGGGAGGAGCTTCTGTTTCGGCCTTTTCTTTTGGAATGCTTTTAACACTTGGCCAGGGGAGGACTGTGTCCTTTTGTTTTGTTAAATAGTTCAAGTTGGCCATTTTCTGGTGCTGTTCAGAAAGGCCTGTCAGGCCAACAGGAGGGAAGTGATTGGTTGTCCTGGACCCTGGCTTTGCACAGACCTCACACTCCTGTTGAGAAAATGTTTGAAATGCATTCTCTTAAAAGTAGGACTGTGTAAATAATAGATTAGGTCTGAAAGGGCCATCTGAGTATAAAGGCAGTGGGAGCCAAGGGGGAAAAGCCCTTTACTCGCCAACACTTGCTTTAAGTGTCATCTTTCTAGAATTTGAAAGAGGGCCTGGTGGTGGCCTTACTGTGTCCGAGTAAGGGACTCCTCTTCTTGGAGGCATTAAGACACACGGGGGCCGGGTGCAGTGGCTCACGCTTGTAATCCCAATACTTCTGGGAGGCTGAGGTGGGCAGATCTTTTGAGGTCAGGAGTTCGAGACCAGCTTGGCCAACATGGTGAAACCCCCGTCTCTACTAAATGTACAAAAATTAGCCGGGTGTGGTAGTGCACACCTTGTAATCTCAGCTACTCGGGAGATTGAGGCAGGAGAATTGCTTGAACCCGGGGGGGCAGAGGTTGCAGTGAGCCCAGATAGTGTCACTGCACTCCAGCCTGGGCGACAGAGTGAGACACTGTCCCCCCTCCAAAAGCAAAAACAAACACCCCCCCACCCCCACCAAAACAAACAAACAAAACCGTAAGAAACATTGCCCTCCTGAGCATTGACAAGGCTGGGTTGTTCTTTTTTGTGATTTTTTTTTTTTTTTTTTTGTGGAGAGAAATCCAAGAGAAGCTGTGGAGCAGCACTGTCCAATAAAACTTAATGGGCGATGGCGGTGTTCTTTCTGTGAGGTGGCCAATACGGCAGCCACTAGCCACGTGTGAAATGTGACGCACATGACCCAAGAATTGAATTTTTCATTTTAATTAGGTTTAAATAGCAGCATGTGGTGAGGGTGTATGGTATTGGACAGCGCAGTTCTGTGGTGGCTTTTTAATACTTTTGCAAAATAACTCTTTAACCCCCTTTGATTTTCACAGCCTGCTCACAAGGGACAGAGGTTTGGTAGAGGGTCGATTCCCGGTAGGGAAAAATGAAGAAACCAAATGAATGGTTCAGATCGTGGACTAATAAAAACAGCCGAGCCGGGCCTAGAGCCAGGGCCCCTTCTTCCCTGACTCCAGCCCCTCAGAACCCAGCTTTAGATGTTAATTGCTAGTACTACTTAGCAGGGGACCCCAACCACAAAGAGAAGGCTGGCTTAACATCTGGAATCTTGGCTGTGGGCTGTGTATTTAATCTTCTCCTTTTAAATCAAACAGGCTTAATGAGTGGCGAGAGTTGGGAAGTCCCTGTGGGCCCCTAAATCCAAGGAGGAGTTTCTCTGGAACCAGAGGAAACAGGCCAGACAGGTGGAAACAGTAACTCCCCTCCCTCTTGGCCGCCTTTGCATGGCCCTGTCTGTGGCAATTAGAAGCAGAGAAGGACCTGTGGAGACTTGTGGTCCTAGTCTATCTTTCATACCCTGTAAAAAGGCCAGACCCCAGGACAAATGGCATCCACTTGGATAATTCCGATGCTGTCAGTGCGTCTGGCAACCGTATTAACACGCCCCTTGCCGCACCGTATCAACCAGAACCCTGAGCTGAGTGCCTTAATTGGCTCCAGCTCCAACCTCACCTTCTCATTCTCGCTGCTTCCTCTCATCCTGGAGGATTGTAAGCAAAGCTCAGGGGTTTTTCCTTTTTTTTTTTTTTTTTTTTTTTTTTTGAGACGGAGTCTCGCTCTGTCGCCCAGGCTGGAGTGCAATGGCGCGATCTCGGCTCACTGCCATCTCAGCCTCCTGGATTCAAGTGATTCTCCTGCCTCAGCCTCCTGAGTAGCTGGGGCTATAGACATGTGCCACCATGCCCGGCTAATTTTTGTATTTTTATTTTTATTTATTTTTTGAGACAAAGTTTCATTCTTGTTGCCCAGGCTGGAATGCAGTGGCATGGTCTCGGCTCACCGCAACTTCGCCTCCCAGGTTCAAGTGATTCTCCTCCCTCAGCCTCCCTTACAGCTGGGATTATAGGCATGTGCCACCACGCCCAGCTAATTTTGTATTTTTAGTAGAGACGAGGTTTCTCCATGTTGGTCAGGCTGATCTCGAACTCCTGATCTCAGGTGATCCGCCCGCCTCTGCCTCCCAAAGTGTTGGGATTACAGGCATGAGCCACCATGCCCGGCCGGTTTTTCCATTTCTAAGGGCACTGGAGAAGTGGCATTGTGGGCAGGGTACTGAGCCACCGAGGCAGGGAGGTCCAGGGTGGAATGGTGAATGCTCACCAACGCTGTCAATCCGAGCAGAGCTTTCCCCACTGCTCCCAATACATTTTAGCCATTGCCAGCCTCACCCTGTGCCCAGATCATGCCAGTGTGCTCAGTGGAGCCAAGGAGAGTGAAGACTGATACTGTTACCAAAGGGTTAATGAGATAGTTAGGAAATCTGCTGTGACAAATCCAAGCTACCTCTACCAGTCATGCCTTCTTTTTTTTTGCGGGGGGACAGGGTCTCACCCTGTTGCCCAGGCTGGACTGCAGTAGTGCGATCATAGCTCACTGCAGCTTCAACCTCCCAGGCTCTGACAATCCTTCTGCCTCAGCCTCCTGAGTAGCTGTGACCACAGGTGTGCACCACCATGCCTGGCTAATTTTTTTTATTTTTTGTAGAGATGTCTCATAATGATGCCCAGGCTGGCCTTGAACTCCTGGGGTTCAAGCATTTCTCCTGCCTCAGCCTCCCAAAGTGCTGGGATTACAGGCATGAGACACTGTGCCTGGCCCCAAACTCTTAACAAAACTAATTTCTGGATTACCTTCTCCTCAAGGTCTATCTACCCAGCTCCCTAATGTACCTATTGCTCTGCTGACCAGCAATAACCACAGCAGGTCAAAGGACATGATCTTAAAAATAAGACTCATAAACCAAGAGCAAGATGTATTTACTGTTTACTGACAGGGTGATCATAGGATTTATTGCACACACAGGGCACCTCTGAGAGTGAAGGAGAGCACTGATAATTAGGCTGGGATAACCAGTTTAAACCAGGATGATCCAAGAACAACAGGGCAGGTTGGGCATCTACTGTGTGCCAGGCTGTGCCTGAGTTTGGGGTACACAGGTGTAGTGGGCCTAGTTTCTTTTGTGGCGGGGGTGGTGTAGGGGAGTCTTGCCCTGTCACCCAGGCTGGAGTGCAGTGGCGAGACCACAGCTCACTGCAGCCTCGACATCCCGGACTCAAGTGATCCTCCCACCTCATCCTCCCGAGTAGCTAGGTCAACAGGTGTGCACCACCACACCCGGCTAATTTTTTGTATTGTGGGTGGGCGGGGGGGGTCTCACTATGTTGCTAAGGCTGGTTTTGAACTTCTGGGCTCCAGCAGTCCTCCTGCCTCGGCCTCCTAAAGTGCTGGGATTACAGGTGTGTGCCACTGTGCCCAGCTGGGCCTAGTTTCTTATGGAGCTCACAGCCTGACGGTGGAGACAGGTGTGTAGACACACGCAGTGCTACAGCATGGGTGCTGAAACAGGTGTGAACAAAGTGTGGCGTGGGAGGAGCAATGGAGAGGGCAAGGGAGGGTTTTCCTAGAGGGAAGCAGACAAAAACTAAGCTTTTCTTTTTCCTGTCTTGGCTTATTTCTCCAAGAAAGAATATTTTTTTGGATAATCTTGAAACTATTAAACTTGTACCCACTGACCAGGACCTTTCGCCCTTGCCCTTGTGAGGGTTGTTTGTGTAGGCCTTGGCAGAATCACATCTTGGTGAAGACCATAGATAGCAGCAGTCCTTGAGACCATCCTGTCCCCACGTTACTGCTTAGCCTGCCATTGATTGTGGTTCGCATTTAAAAACAAAAACCTGGCTGGGCGCGGTGGCTCGTGCCTGTAATCTCAGCACTTTGGGAGACCAAGGTGGGCGGATTGCTTGACCCCAGGAGTTCAAGACCAGCCTGGGCAACATGGTGAAAACCCGTCTCTACAAAAAACAAAAATTAGCCACACGTGGTGGTCCACACTTGTAGTCCCAGCTACTCAGGAGGGCTGAGGCACGAGAATCACTTGAACCTGGGAGGCAGAGGTTACAGTGAGCTGAGATTGCATCACTGCAGTCCAGCCTGGGTGACAGAGCGAGACTCTGTCTCAAAACAAACAAAAAGACAAAAAAAACAGGTGGATAATGAATTTCCATGAGTATAAAGAGATTTTCCGGTGGAATAAATGTAGCGATCAGCTATGTCTAAGTCTGTCTTAAAGTATAAATCACCTTGTGTAGGCTCTTATTCTATTCTTCTTATACTGGGGACTGTTTAGTTTCTCAGCAGGGATTGTGTATGTATGTGTCTGTGTGCTACAGTTACTAAAAATTTCAGACTAGTTAGAAAAAATTGGCTTAGACATTTGTTCACATGAAGTTGTACAGAAATTCCTGGGTTTGGTCTGATAATCAGCACATTTATTTATTTATTTATTTATTTATTTATTTTGAGACGGAGTTTCACTCTTGTAGCCCAGGCTGAAGTGCAATGGTGCAATCTTGGCTCACTGCAACCTCCACCTCCCGGGTTCAAGTGATTCTCCTGCCTCACCTTCCCGAGTAGCTGGGATTACAGGCATGCGCCACCACGCCCAGCTTTTTTTTTTTTTTTTTTTTTTTTTTGGATTTTTATTAGAGACAGGGTTTCACCATGTTGGCTAGGCTGGTCTTGAACTCCTGACCACAGGTGATCCACTCATCTCAGCCTCCCAAAGTGCTGGGGTTACAGACGTGAGCCACCGTGCTCGGCCAGCACATTGCATTTTAAGGGTGCTCTATATTAGTGGAATTTGCACTGAAGTTTCGACCAAAAGACATTTAGTCTTCAACCTTTCATTCCCCTAAGCTCTGGCCACAGCTGCAGCTGCAGCTGCATCTGGTGTACTCTTGAATGGACTGGAAGCCTGGCACGGTGGGGTGTAGGATTTCAACAGTGGTCTCAGTCCAGATTTTCCTGCTGTGGGCTGAGTGACATCAAGGAGATAGGGCCGTTCTTGATGTTTTTTTCCCTTCCAGCTTTTATGTATTGCACTAATTTAAGATCAGAATTACTTTAAAAAAATAATCTTTAAAGGGAAAATTCTCTTCAATCCCACCACTCAGTACATACCAAGTATATTTTGCTTTTCCAAGCGCTTCCAGACCCCTGTCCGCATGTACACTTATAACATGGTTATAATTAGCGTGTGTCCTGACTTCATTTTATTCTGGTTTTTCTATAGTCTAAAATTAAGTTTGGGGTGAGCTGGTGTGACCTGAAGGGTTGAAAGATAATGTCGTAAGTATGGCTGTATCCTCAGCCCAATGCTGCACGAGGGAAATGCCCCAGAAGGGGAACCAAAGGGTTGTTCAAGTGCTAGACAGTTATTCTGGAGTTTGTTACCTCATTTTCTCAATCTTGTCCCAGTCTTGCTCTCCTTTCCCTTTCCCTTCCCTTCCCTTCCCTTGATGGAGTCTCACCCCATGGCCCAGGCTGGAGTTGCCATAGCATGATCTCGGCTCACCGCAACCTCCGCCTCCTGGGTTCAGCTGATTGTTCTGCCTCAGCCTCCCGAGTAGCTGGGATTACAGGCACCCGCCACCACGCCCACCTAATTTTTGTATTTTTAGTAGAGACGGGATTTCACCATGTTGGCCAGGCTGGTCTCAAACTCCTAACCTCGTGATCTGCCCTCCTCGGCCTCCCAAAGTGCTAGGATTACAGGCGTGAGCCACCGTGCCTGGCCGCCCTTTCTTTCTTTTGCCAAGTGCAATGGACTGAATGTTTTTGTCCCCCTACAGTCCATTTGTTGAAATCCTAACCCTGAAGGTTGAGGGTATCAGGAGGTGGGGCTTTTTGGAGGCACTTAGGTTGGAGGGTAGAGCTCTCATGAATGGGATGAGTGCCATTATGAATGAGGCCTGAGAAAGACTCCTTATCTCCTCTGTCATGTGAGGATACAGCTGGAAGACAGCCATCTATGAATGACCTCTCACCAGGTACTGCCAGTACCTTGATCTTGGCCTTCCTGGCCCCAGAACTGTGAGAAATACATTTCTACTGTTCATAAGCTACCCAGCCTATGATATTTTGTGATAGCAGCCCAGATGGAAGAAGATACCAAGATACTTTTAGCTCACTGACATGTCTTCTGTTGGGATTTGTCAGAAAGAGGATCTTCTCATTTGGCTGAGCTGATAGAGTGACTTTAAATTCTGCCCAGAGCCTTACATGAACATATTGTAAATCCCCTTCCTCGTTTTTTCACTCAGCCACAAAATACACATACCTCCCTCATGAAGGCGCCTCTACCTTTTCCCTTCCTCCCTCTGTCTGCTCCCACCCCTTCCAAAAGACAGTGTTATTATGTTGATGCCTGAGCAGCGTAGCCTTTTCCCCACCCTGCCTCTGTCCTTTCTTCATGGCTGTAGATAATAGGTGCCATGTTTCAGCCTCTGTTGGGGAACTGGCTTTACTAAGCTCCAGCGATGTGCCAGGGCTTTTTCATACATTCTCACTGTAACCCCCCCAGCCACACTATGCAATAGCGATTTGTTCCACTTTGCCCATGTGGAAGCTGCAGGTTGGAATTTTAAGAATTGTGCCCAAGGACACAGACTTGGGAACAGTAGGATCCAGAGCTGGCTGACTTCAGATCCTGGCATTCTCCATTGGACCATGCTTGCACGTGACCCTCTCTGACACCTCCCAGGTATTGTGACGGAAAGGTAAAAAATAAATACACTACTCTAGGCATGTAACTGTGAGGTGGGGTAGAGACTTGAGAGTCCATGTCAGCTGGTTTCTTGGGGGTAACTGCTGGCAGAGTTAGCTCATCCTAGGTGACTTTATTGCCTCATCAGATTCCTATTTGATACTCTCGTGTGTGTGTGTGTGTGTGTGTGTGTGTGTGTGTGTGTGTGTGTATGTGTGTGTGTGAAATATCCACCTACCTAGGGTCACAGTTTAGTGCCTAGGTCTTGGGCTCACCCACCTCAGCAATGTTTTAAACCTTGGACTTTACCCAGCTCCTTTCCCCAGATAGAATTCATCCGCTCAGAAAAAGTTTAGTGAACTGCTGCTATGTGCCAAGCCCTGTGCTAAGGGCTGGATATTAAATCCAGAGAGACTGTTAAACAGGTTAAAGTTCTGTTTCTCAAACAAGGGTTTCTGAGTCTTTAGAGATACATACGAATTTTTAAAATTGTGTGTGTTACAATAATCTTATTTTACTGGCTGAGTGCTATGGCTCATGGCTGTAATCACAGCACTTCACCAGAGGCCAAGGTGGGAATATTGCTTGAGTTCAGGAGTTCGAGACCAGCTCTGGCAACATAGACCCAGTCTCTACAAAAAAATTTAAAAATTAGCCAGGCATGGTGCCATGCACCTGTGGTTCCAGCTACTTGGGAGGCTGAGGTGGGAGGATTGCTTGAGCCTGGGAGGTCAAGGCTGCAGTGAGCCATGATTGTGCCATTGCACTCCAGCCTAGGTGACAGACTCTGTCTCAAAAACCAGTTACAAAGAAAACTTCTTTTATAGCAATACTTTACAGCTGAAAGCGCAATAAAATCATTTTATTTTCTTAAATGTTACTCAAATGAGATCTCTGGATGTAGGGTGGGGATCTGGTGAGTTTTTTTTTTTCTTTAAAATGTGTCTATACATCACTCGTGAAAAATAAAAGGTTAAACTATTTTTTTTCCTGCTGCAGAAACATATTTATATTTAAAAATACTTTTTGAATTAGCACCTAAATCAGTGAACTAACTCAAATCTTGAAATTTAGGGCACCAGGAGTATGTCAGGCTGATGGGGAAGATATTCCTGAGAAAGTAAACCTCGAGTATCTCTTACCACAGTGTGAAAATTGTGTTCTGCTCCTAGAGTCTGTGGACAGCCTGGACTGGTTTTCATCTTCTCTGTGGAACTTAACTAGCCAGCCAGTATGATCCCTTTGTCCTCTCAGCCCTCAGAGTGTTGTACACACCTCTGTTATTCCCTGTGTTGTCTGATGTTCAAATATAAGTCGCAAGTGATGTGTGTTCGGAAGAATCACTGGCCGAAGTTGCACTTGAGATCCCAGTTGTCACTGGAGTTGAATCTCTCTGTCCCCCAGCATCACTGAGTGCTTCCTATTGATGTGAAAATATTCTCTTTTTCTGGGGATAGGGCAGAAAAAGAAGTAGCATGCAGAAAGTTTCCAACAACCAACAAATCAGTCTAGTTAAGTACAGAAGAGACGCATATGAAACATGAAACATGCAGATGATATAAGGTCTCATTTTGTTTGACTGTTGGCTTTTTTTTTTTGAGACGGAGTCTGTCTCTGTTGTCCAGGCTGGGGTGCAGTGGTGAAATCTCAGCTCACTGCAACCTCTACCTCCCAGGTTCAAGCAATTCTCCTGCCTCAGCCTCCTGAGTAGCTGGGATTACAGGTGCCTGCCATCACATCTGGCTAATTTTTTTGTATTTTTATTTTTTGGCTGGGTTTCACCGTGTTGGCCAGCCTGGTCTCAAAACTCCTGACCTCAGGTGATCTGACCACCTTGGCCTCCCAAAGTGCTGGGATTACAGGCATGAGCCACCGCACCCAGCCAGTTTTGTGTATCTTTTCTCTCCCCGTCTAGAGGGTGGACACTCATCATTTGTCTCCTCCCTGGAGCCAACTATATTACAGGCATTTTGTTTAGTGATGAACTCATATGAATTATACCAAAAGTACAGAGTATGGTCGGATCCAGAGCTGGCTTGCTTCAAATCTGTTAGACCATTCTTGCCTCTGTAGGATTATCTGCTTCTACCACTTTATCAGGTAACTGCACATAATAAATGGCCAGTGATAAAAGTGGATATACAGCTGTAAAGCTAGGCTTCAGGACATTAGGAAGGAGCACTGGTAGATTAGGCTCCTCCAGCCAGTTGCCAGGGACGGACAAAGGACAAGAGATGGCTTAAATAAAATGCTGACACGCCCAGGGCACTCCTGTTGCAGCTGTTGAGTGAAAGTGAGTGCTTCAGGGATTTGGTGCAGAAAGCTTTTCTGACAGCTGCTCTACTGCCTTTTCCTTTGAAGGCAGCTTCCCACCTTCCACCCCTGATTGTCTGTAAGCTCTGGACTGGCTGTCCTTAGAGGCGCAGTACCACTGGTGTGCGTTGTTTGGTGTGAACTGTGCTCCCCTGTCACATGGCAAAGTGATGCTTGCACATAGTGTGTGGATGCTGAGAGCTTCCTGAGCCAACCCTTTTCCAGCCAAACCTTTCCTAGCTCTGGGGGGCAGTTTCCTTCAAATATGTGGGAACTCACCAGACAGGTCATCCAGGACGGCTTTGGGATCCTTCTTAAGGATAGATGGAGCCTCTCTTCTTTTTTTTTTTTTTTTTTGTTTTTTTTCTTTGTTTGTTTGAGACGGAGTCTCGCTCTGTCACCCAGGCTGGAGTGCAGTGGCGATCTCGGCTCACTGCAAGCTCCACCTCCTGGGTACACGCCATTCTCCTGCCTCAGCCTCCCGAGTAGCTGGGACTATAGGCGCCCGCCACCACCCCCAGCTATTTTTTTTGTATTTTAGTATAGACGGGGTTTCACCATGTTAGCCAGGATGGTTTCAATCTCCTGACCTCATGATCTGCCTGCCTCGGCCTCCCAAAGTGCTGGGATTACAGGTGTGAACCACCGCGCCTGGCCTCTTTGTTTGTTTGTTTTGAGATGGAGTTTTGCTCTGTCGCCCAGGCTGGAGCGCAGTGGCATGATCCTGGCATGATCACAGCAACATCCGCCTCCTGGGTTCAAGTGATTCTCCTACCTCAGCCTCCCACATAGCTGGGATTACAGGCACGTGTTACCATGCCCAGCTAGTTTTTTTGTATTTTTAGTAGAGATGGGGTTTCACCATGTTGACCAGGCTGGTCTCGAACGCCTGACCGCAAGTGATCCGCCCACCTCATCCTCCCAAACTGCTGGGATTACAGGCATGAGCCAGTGCGCCGGGCTGGAGCCTCTCTTTTCACAAGGGAAAGCTCTGGACTTCTAGCATTGTCCTGGAAGGTGAGCTTCCTGCTGACAGCACAGTCTCAGTATTGGCACCTTCTGTCTTCTGTGATTTGGCTTCAAGGATGTGGTGTCCCATCACAGCTCTACCATGTGTGTTAGCTGTGTGGCCTTGGATGAGTTACTTATTTTCACTGAATGTGTTTACTATGATCGAATGTTTATGTGCCCCCTAATTCATATGTTGAAATCCTAACCCTCAAGGTGGTGGTATTGGGAAGTGGGGCCTTTTGGGAGCTGATTAGGTCATCAAATCATCATCAAATTAGAGCCCTCATGAATGGGATTAGTGCCTTCATAAAAGAGGCCCAAGAGAGCTCATTTGCCCCTTCTACCATGTAAGGACGCAGTCAGAAGACACCATCTGTGAACCAGAAAGTGACTGTTGACACTCAACCCGCCGGGGCCTTGATCTTGGGCTTGCCAGCCTCCAGAATAAATTTCTGTTATTTATAAGCCACCTAGTTTATAGTGTTACGGCAGCTTGAACAGACTAAGGTGTTTTTCTGTCAATTGAGAAGAATAACACTGAGATTTGTTGCCGGACTAGAATGGAAGAATGCATATAGAGGCGCTGACATAATGCCTGGCAGGTGGCACACAGCAAATGACGTAGTGAACGGTGTCACCAGGATTTTGAGAATGGCAGAGGGTGAGCATTGGGGTGGATGGTGGTGTATCCTCACATGTATCCCCTCTGGTTCCTTCTCTCAGTTGGAGATTCCAGGGAGGTGTAGGTAGCGCTGTGTACCAGCTTTCCGTAGTCCTGGGGTTGTGTCAGGCAGTCAAGAAACACTTGTAAATAGATGTGATCTTGGCTGAATCTGTTAATGGATTTGCTGACTGTTATCCTTACTATATAGAAAGCTATTTACATGTAGACCAAATTGTGAAGAGCTCACTGTTGATGGCTGATGAAAGTCAGCCAGCCTTCCTTACCTGAAGGGGATAGGGGAGGGACTTCGGGCCTGGAACAAGGATCAGCTCCAGGCTGCCCGAGGCTAGGTTTTCTTAAGAAGGGAAAAGGGGTCATGTCAAAGGCTCCTGCAGGATCTGGCCAGTCCTTCCCACACTCTGCTTGGGTCCTGTTGTTGAGCATCTGTCTGCCTTGACCTGAGGAAGCAAGGCCCTGCCGAGAGGCAATGAGCCTGGGGACCATAATTAGGTGATTTCATGTAAAATGCTCTTCAGTTATTTCTTGGGAGGCTGAAGATAGAAAAATATGCGAGCCTCCAGAAGTCCTGAAGCCATCTCTAGATTATCACCCCGAGGAACAGCTAGTTTTCCTTCCTTGAATTTTTGTTTATCTGTGTAATAGACTTGCTTGTTAGTTGTTGCCAGGCCCCAAGGTTTCTGTGGGTGTGTGTGATGAGGAGGAGGAAAACCCCATCGAAAATGCTTAAAGGATTTTGCTGATAAATTTTCTACTAAAAGTGAGTTTCCTAAATCTTCCCGGACAAATACTTACAACTCATTAAGAAATAACTTAATTTTTCTGGTTTTCTCTGAACACTAGTGTGTTGCCAGTTTAGAAAAGGGGAAGGGGAGTTGGAGGCAAGAGCTGACCTTTCTAAGAACTTTCTATTATACTTGCCAAGCATTTTAAATACACATTTAGGCTAACAGCTATAAAAACAGGTGACTTTGGCCGGGCATGGTGGCTCATGCCTGTAATCCCAGCACTTTGGGAGGCTGAGGCGGGCAGTTCACTTAAGGTCAGGAGTTTGAGACCAGCGTGAACAACATGGTGAAACTCCATCTCTACTAAAAATACAAAAATTAGCCAGGCGTGGTGGCATGTGCCTGTAATCCCACCTACCCAGGAGGCTGAGGCGCAAGAATCGCTTAAACCTGGGAGGTGGAGGTTGCAGTGAGCCAAGATCATGCCACTGCACTCCAGCCTGGGTGACAGAGCGAGACTGTCTCAAAAAAAAAAAAAAAGAAGAAGAAAGGTGACTTTAAGTTAGCTTTTGTGAATCTTGATTGTTGTCTGTTTCAAATTGGAGAAATGAATACTTCCCCTCAAACAATTTTCAGTACCTTTGTGAGGGGACATACACTGCTGGGGAGTCCACACACTTACATCTGTCCTCCTAGGAGGTTTTTTTAAAAAACGGTTTTATTGAGATTACATTATTACACATTTAATGCATTTAAAATTTACAATAAATAGTTTTTAAGTAAATTCAAGCAGATCTGTAGACATCACATTATCTACTTTTAGAACATTTTAATCACCCCTAAAAGAAACCCTCCATCCATTAGCAGTCACTCCTCACTTCCCCTACAAACTCCTCAGCCCCTGTCAACCACTCTTTGATTTGCTATCTCTATAAATTTCCTTTTCTGGACACTTCATGTAAATGAAATCTATGTGGTCTTTTGTGACTGGCTTCTTTCACTTAGCACATTTTCAGTGTTCATACACATGTGACATCTGTCACTACTTTGTTTCTTTTTATCACCAAATGGTAGTCCAATGTTATCTATTCACCAGGTGATCGATATTGGGGTTGTTTTCACATTTTGGCTATCGTAAATAATACTGCTACGAACATTCATGTACGAGATTTGTGTGGACATAATGTTTTCGTTTCTCATGGGTATATACCTAAGAGTGGAATTGCTGGGTCATATGGTAATTCCATGTTTAACATTTTGAAGAACTGCTAAACTTTTCCAACGTTACTGCACAATTTTACATTCCTACCAACAATGCATGAGGGTTTCAGTTTCTGTACATCCTCACCAACACTTGTTGTTATGTCCTTTTAAAAAATTATAGCCAATCTAGTGTGTATAAAGTGGTATCTCACTGTGGTTTTGGTTTGCGTTTCCCTGATGACTAATGATGTTGCACATCTTTTCCTGGGTTTGTTGTCCATTTTTGTATATCTTCTTTGGAGAAACATCTATTCAGATCTTTAGCCTGTTACTCAGTTGGATTGTCTGCTTATTATTGAATTGTTAAAGGGTTTGATTTGGATACTTTTTTTTCTTTTTTTTTTTTTCAGACAGATTCTCATTCTGTCGCCCAGGCTGGAAGGCAGGGGTGCAATTTCAGCTCACTGCAACCTCCTCCTCCCAGGTTTGAGCAATTCTCCAGCCTCAGCCTCCCGAGTAGCTGGGATTACAGGCATGCACCACCATGCCTGCTAATTTTTGTATTTTTAGTACATGGCCAACATGGTGAAACCCCGTCTCTACTAAAAAAAATAAATACAAAAATTAGCCGGGTGCAGTGGCACGTGCCTGTAATCCCAGCTACTCGGGAGGCTGACATAGGAGAATCGCTTGAACCTAGGAGGCGGAGGTTGCAGTGAGCCAGATCACGCCACTGCACTCCAGCCTGGATGACAGTGAGACTCCATCTCAAACAAACAAACAAAAACTTAAAATTTTATTAAGGGCTTTATTTCTTTGCATGTCAATTTCTCATTGTTCCAGCACCATTTATGAAAAAGATGGAAAGAAATGTTCTGCAAATAATATATATGATAAGGGATTTGCATGCAGGAGGGAAAAAAAAAAGTCCTACAACTTGAAAGTAAAAATTACATTTTGGGAGGCGGAGGTGGGTGGATCACCTGAGGTCAGGAGTTCGAGACCAGCCTGACCAACATGGTGAAACCCTGTCTTTCCTATATACAAAAAATTAGCCGGGCGTGGTACTGCATGCCTGTAATCCCGTCTACTTGGGAGGCTGAGGCGGGAAAATCGCTTGAACCCGGGAGGCAGAGGTTCCAGTGAGCTGAGATCACACCACTGCACTCCAGCCTGGGCAACAAAGTGAGACTCCATCTCAAAAAAAAATAAAATTAAAATTAAAATAAAAAAATATTATTATGTAATCTAGGGGTAGAAAGAATAGGAAAGGTCGGGCATGGTGGCTGACACCTATAATCCAAACACTTTGGGAGGCCATGGTGGGAAGATTGCTTGAGCCCAGGAGTTTGAGACCGACCTGGGCAACATAGTGAGACCCTGTCTCTACTAAAAATACAAAAAATTAGCTGGGCAGGGTGGCACATGCCTGTAGCCCCAGCTACCCAGGAAGCTGAGATGGGAGAATCACCTGAGCCTGAGAGATGATGCAGTGAGCCAAGATCACGCCACTGTACTCTAGCCTGTGCAATAAGAGTGAGACCCTGTCTCAAAAAAAAAAAAAAAAAAAGAAAGAAAAAAGAAAAAGAAAGGAAAAGTCATTGTAAATTAGTGAAAAACATTTTTTGTTTTTGTTTTTTTCTTTTTGAGACGGAATTTTGTTTTTGTTGCCCAGGCTGGAGTGTAATGGCGTGATCTCTGCTTACTGCAACCTCTGCCTCCTGGGTTCACGCAATTCTTCTGCCTCAGCCTCCCGAGTAGCTGGGATTACAGGTGCCCGCCACCATGCGCAGGAAATTTTTGTATTTTTAGTAGAGACGGGGTTTCACGGTGTTGGTCAGGCTGGTCTCTAACTCCTGACCTCAGGTGATCTGCCTGTCTCAGCCTCCCAAAGTGCCAAAGTGCTGGGATTACAGGCATGAGCCATTGCACCCAGCCACTTTTTTTTTTTTTTTTTAGTATTTTAAAGCAGTGTATTTCTTTCAACTGTATGTGTTTCAATTAGCCAAAATACAAACAAAACCAAACCAGCAAAATAACCAATAAGTCTTTATCATGAGATTTATTCAACATTAAGTTATGCCACTTCTTATAAGCTCAATTAATAAGAACTTACTACATCTACAAATTACAAGTTGCTGAAGGTTAACATAGTGAAATCAGCCACAAATGTTAAAAATCAAGGAAAAGTTTATTTAGTCAACAGTCATTCAATAAACAAACATTTAATGAGCACTTGCTGTGGGCGAGGCTGGTCATGGATGAAGCCAAGAAAATAGATCTCTTATCTTCCCAGGGCCTTTTAAATGAACCAGTATTTATAAACATTCCAATACATTGCCTGAGAAAACAATTAATATTGCTATTATCATAACTTAGATGCTGAGATGTGAAAACTTGAGTCACTGGAAATCAATACTTGTTAATATGTCTTTTATTTATTTATTTTTTTGAGACAGAGTCTCGCTCTGTCGCGCAGGCTGGAGTGCAGTGGCACGATCTCGGCTCACTGCAAGCTCCGCCTCCTGGGTTCACACCATTCTCCTCCCTCAGCCTCCCAAGTAGCTGGGACTACAGGCGCCCACCACCACACCCAGCTAATTTTTTTGTATTTTTAGTAGGGATTACAGGCATGAGCCACTGCGCCCGGCCAATATGTCTTTTTTAAAAATTAGTAGTGATGGTGAATATTATTGGAAAGGTACAGATACAGAATTCTGGGCGCAATTACATCGAATAAGGCTGAGGTTATAATTAAGCATTAGGAAAAAAGCAGCACATCTAAATGTTGCTGCTTGTGTTTCAAATTCGCCTATAAAATTATGCAAGTGAGTCTACTTTTACCAGAGGGAGTGAATTTGTGTGTGTGTGTGTTTTGTTCTTTTGCTTTTTGGAGACAGAGTCTTGCTCTGTCACCCAGGCCGGAGTGCAGTGGCCCGATCTTAGCCCACTGCAACCTCCGTCTCCTGGGTTCAAGCAATTCTCCTACCTCAGCCTCTGGAGTAGCTGGGATTACAGGCACTCACCACCACGCCCGGCTAATTTTTTGTATTTTTTTTTCTTTCTTAGTAGAGAGGAGGTTTCACCATGTTGGCCAGGCTGGTCTCAAACTCCTGGCCTCAGGTGATCCACCGCCCTCCTCAGCCTCCCAAAGTGCTGGGATTACAGGCGTGAGCCACCGCACTTGGCCAAATTTGTGTTTTGATCAGTGTCCCTTTCTTCTTTTTTAGTGGTTGAAGCAATGCATAGCAAACCTTTCTACTGCCTTGCAGGTGTTCTAGTTTAAGCTGAAGTGGTTTGATAGTCTCTTTTTCCCCTTCTCTACCTGCAACCTGAGGATGCTGGGGTTGCTTTTCTTCCTCTTCTAAGCCAGTTAGTGTAATCTTCCTCCGTGTTCTTGGCCTGCATTTTTCCCCTCTGGGGTGGAGTTCAGTTTACCACTGGAAGATGTTCACATTTTCCAACCCAGCAGACCCCTGGTCAAACATTAAATATAGCTTCATGCTAGCTCTGTGTATCTTCTTGGTCAGGAAAGTATTTTCTCACTACAGAGTTAACCTTCCCGCTAAGAACTTCCCAGAGTAAGAGTGGATTTATTCAGGTATTGGGTACCTTCTGAGGATATGGATTTCTGTCAACACTGATTTATAACTTTTCATTTTGAAAGGCTTGAAACAACCCATTCAGAGCCTGGAGGCCATGGCTCATGTGCTAGAAGCTGATAACTTTTGTTATTGGACTTTGGACGGGTAGGGAGTTTGCTTATTGTTATCATCTTTCCTTGGTAGAGTGCACTTACACATCACTATTTTATATCAGCTCCCCTCCCCCATTCTTGCCTAACTTCAGTGGTGGTTCTTGGTTTTTAAGTGTGTGTATGTGTTGCTAAGAGTGAAATTGAGGTTATTTTATTTTTATTTATTTTTATTTTTATTATTATTTTTTTGAGACAGAGTCTCGCTCTGTTGCCCAGGCTGGAGTGCAGTGGCACCGTCTCGGCTTACTACAAGCTCTGCCTCCCGGGTTCATGTCATTCTCCCGCCTCAGCCTCCCGAGTAGCTGGGACTACAGGTGCGTGCCACCACACCTGGCCTGAAATTGAAGTAATTTTAACTGAGATACCACACAAGTAAAATATACTTCATGTTACCGATGTCCAAATGTTCGCTGATTTTGTTGTTGTTGTTGTTGTTGTTTTTGAGATGGGGTCTCACCCTGTTGCAGAGGCTGGAGTGCAGTGGTAACCCTGACCTCCCCAGGCTCAGGTGATCCTCCCACCTCAGTTTTTGTATTTTTGGTAGAGACGGGGTTTCGCCATGTTACCCAGACTAGTCTTGAACTCCTGGGCTCAAGCAATCAGCCCGTCTCAGCCTCCCATAGTGTGAGGATTACAGGTGTCAGCCACCATGCGCGGCCTTAGTTTGGTTTTTATCAATGATGTAGGAAATCTATTAAGAGACTATTTATAGCCGGGTGCAGTGGCTCACCCCTGTAATCCTCACACTTTGGGAAGCTGAGGCGGGCAGATCATCTGAGGTCAGGAGTTCCAGACCTGCCTGGCCAACATGGTGAAACCCCGTCTCTACTAAAAATACAAAAATTAGCCGGGCATGGTGGCACGTGCCTGTAGTCCCAGCTGGTTGGGAGGATAAGGCAGGAGAATAGCTTGAACCCAGCAGGCGGAAGTTCCAGTGGGCCAAAAGTGTGCCACTGCACTCCAGCCTGGGCAACAGAGCAAGACTCTGTCTCAAAAAAAAGAAAAAACAAAAGAGACTACTTACAATATCTAGAATAGAATATTTGAACATATTTTCCACCTTTGGATGGGCTCATATCCAATAAGAATTAGATTAAAGCTTATGTCTAAACTTTGAAAGTTGTATTATCCATCTAATTCTGGGTAGAATGCTTGGTTAGCCCAAGCTGATAATTGAGAACTGAGAAAAAGATCAACACAAAGGGATTTGTCTTGTTATAGTGGATGATTGTTTTGTTGACAGTTTGGTTATGATGACTTCTTAATGTTTTAAGTGGCCATACTCCTTACCTGTCTTTGTGCAGGGTGCCATGATAAAATACTGCATGGCTGAAATGATAGACATTTATTTTCTCACAGTTCTGGAGGCTGGAAAGACGAAAGTACCAGCAGCATGGTTGGTTTCTGGTGAGGGCTCTCTTCCTGGGTTGTAGATGGCTGTCTTCTCACTGTGTCTTCACATGGCAGGGAAAGCAAGGAAGCAAGCTGTCTGGCATCTCTTCTTATAAGGGTACTAATCCCTTCATGGGGTCCCTTCCTTGACCTCACTGAAACCTAATTACCTCCCGAAGCCCTTATCACATTGGGGATTAGGGCTCTAACATGTGTATTTTGAGAGGGGACACAGTTCATAGTATTAGTCATAAATGACATAAAAGCTCTGGTTAATACACCCATCTGGGTTATTGTGCCTTTCCTTCAAGAGACCCACTAATAGCTACATGTAGTGGATTATCAGGCTGAATTCATCCATCTATTTCCCATGAAATACAGATGAGAGAGGACACTGTGAAATACAATATTTTATATGTTTAATGTTTCATGCCTTATGAAGAAAGTCTTGCTATTTTAGTTGGATTTTATTCCTTAATCCCCACCCCCCACTCCCAGTTACGTGAAGGCATAAGAAAAGGATCTCCCAATTAAATGAAGGCATAAGAAAAGGATCAGGTGGCTGGGCCCGGTGGCTTATGCCTGTAATCCCAGCACTGTGGGAGGCTGAGGCGGGCAGATTACGAAGTCAGGAGTTCGAGACCAGCCTGGCCAATATGGTGAAACCCCGTCTTTACTAAAAATACAAAAATTAGCCAGGCATGGTGGTGGATGCCTGTAATCCCAGCTACTCAGGAGGCCGAGGCAGGAGAATTGCTTGAACCCGGGAGGCGGAGGCTTCAGTGAGCCGAGATCCTGCCATTGCACTCTAGCCTGGGTGACAGAGCCAGGCTCCGTCTCAAAAAAAAAAAAAAAAAAAAAAAAAAGAAAGAAAAGGATCAGGTAGTAAATAGAATCGAATAACATCTTTATCCATGTTGGAGATTTTATGTATATTTAAAATGCACAAAGATAGTCTACATTTCCCTCTATTTTCTTTTATTTTTGGTTTGATCCTTTTTTTGTTTGAAATTTAAGCAAGGCCCCGCCCCCGCTCCCCATGAGCGCAGCTCCAAGCTCCGGGCTCCTAGAAGGCAGCGCCACTGGTCGTCTCCCTTTAGCTGCCATCGGCCGCCATCATGATTATCTACTGGGACCTTGTCAGCCATGATCAGGTGTGTTCACGAGATCCGGGAGATCTCAGACTGGCTGTGCGTGGAAGTGGAGGCGAAGATGGTCTGTAGGAGAGAGGGTAACACTGATGACTCGCTCATTGGTGGAAATGCCTCCGCTGAAGGCCCCGAGGGCGAGGGCACGGAAAGCACAGTAATGGCTGGTGTTGATACTGTCATGAACCATCACTTTCAGGAAACTAGCTTCACCAGAGAAGCCTACAAGAAATACATCAAAGGTTACGTGATATCAAAGACAAACTTGAAGAACAGAGACCAGAAAGAGTAAAACCTTTTATGACAGGGGCTGCAGAGCCCCTTGCAATCATGTCAAGCACATCCTTAGTAATTTCAAAAACGACCAGTTCTGGCCGGGCGTGGTGGCTCACGCCTATAATCCCAGCACTTTGGGAGGCTGAGGCGGGAGGATCACTTGAGCTCAGGAGTTTGAGACCAGCCTTGGCAACATAGTGAGACCCTGTCCCTACCAAAAATACAGAAAATTAGCTGGCTGTGGTTGGTGCACACCTGTAATCCCAGCTACTTGGGAGGCTGAGGTGGGAGAATTGCTGAACCCGGGAGGCGGAGGCTGCAATGAGCTGAGATTACTGCACTCCAGCCTGGGTAACAGAGCAAGACTCTGTCTCAAAACAAACAAAAAGCTACCAGTTCTTTCTGTATTGGGGAAACCATGAATCCAGGTGGCATGGTTGCTTTACTGGACTACTGGAAGGATGGTGTGACTCCATATGTGATTTTCTTTGAGGATGATTTAGAAATGGGAAAATGTTAACAAATTTGGCAGTTGCTTTGGATGTATCACCTGTCATCGTAACTGACTGCAGCTTGTCATCCACACAACAACAGGACTTAAGAAAATGGGAATGATGTCATCTTGAGCTCTTCATTTATTTCGACCATGCTTTATTTGGAATGGAGGCATTGTTTTAAGAAAAGCACGTCATGTAGTTTGTCTAAAAATAAAATGCATTTAAACTCAACAAATCTAAGCAAAAGAGATCATAAGGGCATTAATTTGGGGAGCAGGGACATGTGGTTAAGATGCTTTTTGATAACAGTTTGAATTTTCTACGCTGATTAAAAAAAGAGAAGAACATTTTCTTTTACCGCATACAGTAGAATATAAACCCCATACATAATAAACAAGAGCTACAAAAAGGTTTTTGGCCAACATTAATATACACGAAATACTATATTTAGTATACTAAAAGGATAACAATTCAGTTTACTACTAATAATACAGTGATATACATGAAATAGTCATGTATAGCTCTAATATTCACATATATAATTAAAATCACATTTAAAATTTAAATGACATTAATTTTGAATATTCCTTTTCCCACTCATATAGTTTATGAAGCAAATTTATTCAAATAATCAGAGCCAAATTTTGAGTCAGCTGAGTCAGTTTTAAGGGTGTATTGCGTTCCATCTTTATTATTTGAAAGACTGTAATATTTATATTCATGTACGGTGCTGTCACTGGACATTTTATCCAAGACCACAAGTATTCATATAACCCTGCCACAGTTCCTCCATACCTTCATCCCTTCATCCTATAATTGAAAATAGCTTACGTTTATGGATGCGTTTACTACGTGCCAAATACTGTCATCGGTGCCTTACATGTATTAACTCGTTTATGCAGAGAAATCTGTGAGATTGATACCTTATCTCACTTTATTCAGGGAACTAAGGTTCAGAAAGGTCAAATAACTTACCTATGCGCTCAAAGTCACATAGTTCATGAAAGGCAGAGTCAAGATTCAAACCCAGCTGTGGAGCTCCAGAGTTCCTGCATTTTTTTTTTTTTTTTTTTGGAGACTTAGTCTTGCTCTGTCGCCCAGGCTGGAGTACAATGGTGTGACCTGGCCTCACTGCAACCTCTGCCTCCTAGGTTCAAGCGATTCTCATGACTCAGCCTCCCAAGCATCTGGGATTACAGATGCCCCACCACCATGCCTGGCTAATTTTTATTTTTTCTTTTCCTTTCTTTTTTTTTTTTTTGAGACAGAGTCTCACTCTGTCAACTGGGCTGGAGTGCAGTTGCGCAAATTCCGCCTCCTGGGTTCAAGCGATTCTCTTGCCTCAGCCTCCTGAGTAACTGGGATTACAGGCACTCACCACTACCCCAAACTAATTTTTTTGTATTTTTAGTAGAGATGGGGTTTCACCATGTTGGCCAGGCTAGTCTCGGACTCCTGACCTCGTGATTCACCCACCTCGGCCTCCCAAAGTGTTGGGATTACAAGCATGAGCTACCACACCCAGCCTTTTTTTTTTTGTATTTTTAGTAGAGACAGGGTTTCACCATGTTGGCCAGGCTGGTCTCGAACTCCTGACCTCAAGCTATCCATCTGCCTCAGGCTCCCAAAGTGCCGGGATTACAGGCATGAGCCACCACGCCCAGCCAGTTCCTGCTTTTAACCGCCATGCTACTCTGCTACAAGAAAATATAGCACTTAAAATGGTGAGATTATCTCCCCTAGGCATAATTTTTAAATTTAATATTAAATTGATTTCCCCCCTTTATTTTAAACCAGTTCTGTTTAAGCATCTAAAATTCCCATTGATATGAGATAATTGTGTCTTCTCCCAATAGTAATTTGTCATCCAAATTAATATAATTGAAAGAGGTTCATAATATAATTTGTACAGACTCAAATATGTAACAACTTCCTCTTTTATAATAATGTTAGAGAAGAGAAAATATAACCTTATATTTTGACATGTATGGTATGTAAGCCAAATCAATTTGTGATGATTTGATGGGATAGTTACACTATTTCTGAAACAACTGCTGGTCACTAGGCACTGTACTAGGCTGTTGACATATTACCTATTTTCTCTGAAACTCTATAAGGAAAGTAGCATTGTTCTAGTTTTGTAGATGAATCAATTCAGGCTCAGATAATATGAGAAACTTGTCCAGCACAATACAGAGCCTGGGGCAGTAGAGTTGAGACTCACCCTTTGTGGAGCCATCGCTAAAGCTTCTGTTCTGTGGATGCCACCATGTGGCTTCACTGGGCATACAGAACTGGGTTCAGAAGCCCCTGACTTGGAGCACGTGGCCACTGCATCGCCCCTGTCAGCTGACTCCTACAGTCCTTCCCGCTTCCTTTCGTTTCTCTGTTTTCTTGCCGAGTCTGGCAGGACTTCTGGCTGCAAACAACAGAAATTCCTGTAGCTAGTTTAAGCAGAAAGGGATGTGTTAACGGTTGTTGGTTAGGTGGTTCACAGAAGTTCTGGGAAGAACCAAGAATCAGGCTTGGATGTGATGGAGCCAGGAAAAGAGCCAAACCATACCATGAGTCTGTTCTAGCAGAAAAATCATGCTGCCTCCGCTGGCTGCTGAGTCCCCAGGAGCTGAGGGGATGAATGCCAGGACTGCGCTTCTCTTCTGCCATGCTCCTCAGAAGGCCTGGATCACAATGGGTGACCCTTGCCGCCTCTGTCACTCACACTGCATCCAGGTTATACTGGGATGCTTCTGATTGGTAGAAATAAGCTCACACGCCTGCAACTCTGGCTGCAATGGGGTATGGTTGTTTCACATTTTCTGCTAAATGGGGATTGAGTGAATCAGTCTACAGTGTCTGCCGTACTTAATCCACCCTGGCCCCGGCCCCAGCCCCAGCCCCAGCCTTGGCTCTACTACACAAAAGACCAGACAGTGTCTTAGTCCATTTGGTCTACTATAACAAATACCATAAATGAGACGGCTTATAAGTAACAAACTTATTTCCCATAGTCTAGAGGCTGGGAAGTCCAAGATCCAGGTATTAGCTGATTCAGTGTCTGGTGAGGGTCTGCTTTCTGGTTCATAGACGGTGCCTTCTTGCTGGGTCTTCATATGGTGGAAGAGGCCAGGCAGTTCTCTAGGGTATCTTTCATAAGGACACTAATCCCACTCATGAGCGCTCCTCTTTCATGACCTTATCGCTTCCCAAAGGCCCCACCTCCTAATATCATACCTTGGAGGCTGAGATGGGCCTCCCAAAATTTGTATGCTAAAATCCTAACCCCCAAGGGGGTTCCTCCAATTTTGGAGGAACACAAAGATTCAGACCATAGCAGATGGGTGTCCCATTTGTGCCTCATTCTCTAGTGCTTTGGTGGATACAGACTGAATTGATTGACATTTCTGTGCTTGTCTAAGTGTAACCAAACCCCGCAATTGACACGCTAGAGAAGGTTCGCCTTGTTCTGTTTCTCCTCCTGTAGCCGATATGGCTAACAGTGGGACTAACGTGAGGGTCCAAAATGAAAAAACAGCTCAACCACTCAAAGGAAACCCACTCCATGGAGGTGTCTCTCTAGCATGATGGTACTTTCTGAAATTATGTTTTGTTTTAGTGGAGGAAGGCTTTCTTCTGAAGTCTGGTATACTATTTGGAGTTCATAGGGTGAGGAACATAACCTTCCATTCCCACGTTTCTCTCTGAAGTTCGGGCTTTCATCTGCTGGGTCCCACATGCTGAGTGCAAGGATAACAAATGTACCCAGTGAACAAAAGTTTAGCGTCTTTTTTTATATGAAAAACATTGCATCCTTCTTTTAGGGTACAGGTTTTCAGTTGCCTTTGAGAAAAGCATCACATGTAGGCCCAAGATCTGAAAATAAAGGAGACTTGAAGAAAATACTGTTGATTAGAAGAATAGTATCAGGCCAGATGTGGTGGCTCATGCTTGTAATCCCAGCACTTTGGAAGGCTGAGGCGGGTGGATTGCTTGAGGTCAGGAGTTCAAGACCAGCCTGGCCAATATGGCAAAACCCTGGGCGTGGTGGCACATGCCTGTAGTCCCAGCCACTCAGGAGGCTGAGGCACAACAATTGCTTGAACCTGGGAGGTAGAGGTTGCAGTGAGCTGAGATCATGCCCCTGCACTCCAGCCTGGACGACAGAGTGAAACTTCCTTGGGGAAAAAAAAAAAAAGAATAGTATCAAAGGGAAAGAAACACAAAGCTAAGATTTAGCCCATGGTCTGCATTACTGAGGACTTCAGGCAAATTGAATTCATATCTCTGATTAATTATCTAGTTTGTACAATTGAAAAATACGAAGGCTAAGACCCTAAGAGTTACTATATGAAATGTACAAACTCTGGATGCAGTGTCTGATTCATACTATTATAATGTTAACTTCTGGGCATTTCTAGAAGCCATGAACCTACTGGGTGGGGCTGTTCGTCATGGCTCTTGCTGCCAGTGTGGGTTTCTGTCTTTCTTAGTGTGGTAATCGCATGGATAGTTGAAATCATCAGGTGAATAAGCAGGTCAAAGTTGAAGGGGGAAAAACCAAATCTGTTTCTTTAACACCATTGTTCACTATGGCCGGGGTTTAGAGCTTACACAATATTAGAAGTAGAGTCGTGAAGGATTTTAGTTTGCATTTTTCTGGTAATCTTGAAGTCTTGATTTTGCCAGAGGCTTGCAATTTATGTATTAATTTTCCTTCAGGTTCATTTAGCAGCAAGCGGAGGAACATTTGCATTTTAACTGTGTCATTCTCCAACCTCTCCCCTACCCCCAGCACACACTCTCTACTGCTAAAAGCTAGAGCCAGATGTCACTCCCTGCCTCTGGGTGACAGGAATGTCAGTGTCTGTAACTCTTCAGTGGCTACCAACCCAACTACAGTGTGCCCCAATGAACTTTTCCAGTGCCATGTGATCCCAGAATTAAACAGCTAATGAAATTCTCTGCTCAAGTGGCACATGCCTACACGGCTCCAAAACATTAAAACTTGGAGGTTTTTTCAAAATTAAAATGACTAAATAAAGTTTATTGCATTGTCATTCCAGTAAGTCATACTCAAGATTCTGATCCTGGCCGGGCGCGGTGGCTCACGCCCGTAATCCCAATACTTTGGGGGGCTGAGGCGGGTGGATCACGAGGTCAGGAGTTCAAGACCAGCCTGGCCAAGACAGTGAAACCCCGTCTCTACTAAAAATACAAAAATCAGCCAGGCATGGTGGTGGGCACCTTAATCTCAGCTACTCGGGAGGCTGAGGCAGAGAATTGCTTGAACCCAGGAGGCGGAGGTTGCAGTGAGCCGAGATTGCACCACTGCACTCCAGCCTGGGTGACAGAGTGAGACTCCATCTCAAAAACAGAAAAAAAAGATTCTGATCCTAACACAGGGATCTCATTTTGAAAAGGAAAAATTTAGGAGTAGATAGAACATGTCTCAGAGGACAACTTTGAAACTTTCAGAGGACAGATGTCAATGTGAGAAAGGGTACTCCAATGAAATCTGGTGCCATTGCTAGTGCCATTTTCTTAGATGATGAAACGGAGACAATAATTCAGTGACAAAGACTGTTTTTGTTCCAGGTGGTGTTCTATTGAAATTGAGGCTATGCTGTGTATAGGACCACTTCTTAACACAGAATTGACATAGAAAGCTGGTGAAGCAAACCTAAATTCAGGCTTAGCAGCCGCAGTAATTCTGACATGTGCTCATACAGGAGTGGAGGTAGCATGAAATATTTACAGTGAGCCTGGCGGGGACTAGTGTATACAGAGGTTAAGTTCAGCAAAATGTAGGGGGTGGGGAAAGCCTGAAGTGGTGAAAACGTGTACCTAGTTGTCCCTGTGAGAGAGGCAAAGTTTTGGAGTTGAATTCCTATTTCTTTTAGAAGCTGTAGGGGGTCTTCATTGGATACCGTTACTTTCTAAACAGAGTATGTTGGGTGTTTCCAGAACTGTGCAATGCTGCAAAGGAATACTGGGACCAGATGCCACCTACCCTCCTGATGCCTACTTTCCAATTGGAGAAGCATCCCTCACTTGAAATCCCCACGTTATTAGATTGCCGCTGTGACATCCAGGCAAAAAAATGATGAGCCCGTGGCATCTACACTTGGCCCTTCCTATCAGATTCAGCCTCGTGGCCCCCAGATTCTGCTCATTCCTCAGTTAACCAGTTATGGACCTTCTGTGCTAGGGGCTGTTCTCCACAGAGACAGCAAACCCTGAGGCCAGGAGTCTCCTCTATTCCTTGCTACTTGTCCTCTGGGCTCTTGACTGAAAGAACCATCTTTGTCTTGCGTCCAGACATTTCAGCCTAGAAGCAGGCAAACTCTCCAGGAAAGCCCTGCTGTGTCCCCAGGAGAAGGGCATTTCTGGGTTTGGGAGAAAACACCCTGAAGGCGGGCAAGCTTACCATTTGCTCTATATACAGGCCAGAGAGTTTCAAAGACCCAGGGCCCAGGATGTGAGAGAAGGGAATTCTGATTTGTGTGTATGTGTTAATTTTTTTTTCAAACACTTAACTCTTCGTAGAGACAAATATTACTCTTTTCAGGTCTGTTTTTGAAAAACAGATGAAAGGACCAGTAGTATGTAGACAGGTTAATATCCACTTGGCCTTTCTATCTGAGCCCAGTCTTGATTTCATTCTGTCCATGGGGAAAAACTTCCTTTTTACAGTGTACCTACAGAGCGGAGCTTTGTTCCGAAATCTTTTATTGGGAGCCTTTTGTTTTTAAGAATTTATTGGAGATTGGCTTGGCAGGGACTCCAAGTGTCAGCTTATATGTGTGTTGGGGGGACAGTGGGAGAGAGAATGTTGGATAGGGGCCCCATATGTGTTCCTGATGATTGTAGGTGCTCATAAAGTCTAAAGACTGAATCTGTAGAGGGTAAACAACTGTTTTTTGTTTGTTTTGTTTTGTTTTTAACGCTGGAATTTATTTTTCCATCTTGTTTTTTCTCCCAGACATTTTCTAGCTGCAGAACACTGTGTTTACAAAATAAAAAGCCTTCATCATTAGTCCATCCTGGAAGAAGGCATTGGTGTCTGTGTTGGTGGCTTTGGTTGCCCTGCCCGGAGCAGGCTCATCTCCCTCGGTGTCATTCAGAGACAGTTGGCTGTATCCAAGGGTTGCCTTCCCTACTTCAGTTGCATTGCGTAGAGCAGGCTCAACCCCTCCAGGGGAGGGTGCCCTTGCGTACCCACAGTCAGGTGTAGAGGCCTGGTTCTACTCCCACTGGGTCCCCGATTGCCCTTGAGCAAGGGTTGAATGACAGTGCCTGTTCATCTTTTTGTTGCCTCATACCCGGAGCGCTGGCTGTCCCAGCCCAGCAAGTGAGGCCAGGTGAGTTAGGTGTGGTGTTCTTATGCCTTCTGGCACCTTCTGATGTCCCAATTCAGGTGCATCTATTTTTAGATTGGGCTTGCCCTGGCTCGAGTGTCACTTTTGCAAGACTGTGACGTTGCACGTGTTCAGCTGTTTTCTTCATGGATCCCTGGGTGTTCCTGATTCTCTTTGGAGGCCTTGTGCTCTGCATAGAGCCAGTACAAAACCTCCTTGCATAGCTGTTCCTGGGCAAGGGCATTTCATCTAGCTAGAGGTAAAAATTAGTGTCCAGATGCCTGGGGAAGGGAGGGGGCTTACAGGCTTGATGGGACAGTTCACTTGAGTGAGTGTGAGCCTCCTACCAGCATCCTTCTGGTTTTAGTGAGAGCCCTGTGCTAACTGTCATCATGACAGGCCCAGTTTGTGTGAAACTGTTTATAAACTCCATAAAACCATGTGCAAATGTGGGGAACTTAGGCTGGCATGAGTGGAAGGAGGTTGATGAGGGACAGGCACTACCTCTTAAACAAGGGTGGGGACACAGTATCTTGCCACACAAGATGGAGGAAACCAGATGGAGCTGGCAAGGAAAACAGGGTGAGCCAGTTGAAGTGTTTAGTGGCCACATTCAGGAGTTTGCACTGGATCCAGAAAACCCTTGGGAGCCACAGGATTGGGACGATTATTGCATCTGACACTTGTCAGAGAATATTGTAAACTTGTGGCCAAGGAGAGTTAAGAAGGAAATAAAAAGTGAGATCTGGATGGGTGCAGTGGCTCACGTCTATAATCCCAGCACTTTGGGAGGCCAAGGTGGGAGGATTGCTTGAGGCCAGCCTGGGCAACATGGCAAAACCCTGTTGCTACAAAAAATACAGAACTTACCCTGCCATGGGTGCCTGCAGTCCCAGCTACTGAGGAGGCTGAGGCAGGAGCATCACTTGAGCCCAGGAGGTTGAGGCTGCAGTGAGCCATGTTCACACCACTGCACTCCAGCTTGGGTGACAGAGTGAGACCCTTTCTCAAAAATAAACATTAAATATCCCTTTCCATTGAAGGATGTATAGAAATAAAGAAATTCTGGAAGGATTTCCCAAGAGCTCAGAGTAGAGGTGCCTGTGAGACTTGTATTAGTCTGTTCTCACACTACTCTAAAGACATACCTGAAGCTGGGTAATTTATAAAGAAAAGAGGTTTAATTGGCCCACAGTTCTGCAGGCTGTACAGGCTTCTGGTTTTTTTATTTTTATTTTTTAGAGACAGAGTCTTCGCTCTGTCGCCCAGGCTGGAGTGCAATGGCGCGATCTCGGCTCACTGCAGCCTCTGCCTCCCAGGTTCAATCAATTCTGTCTCAGCCTCCTGAGTAGATGGGACTACAGGCGTGTGCCCCTACACCCAGCTAATTTTGTATTTTTAGTAGAGATGGAGTTTCACCAAGTTGGCCAGGCTGGTCTCAAACTCGTGACCTCAGGTGAGCCACCGTGCCCGGCCAGGCTTCTGCTTCTGGGGAGGCCTCAGGACACTTACAGTCATGGCAGAAGGTGAAGGGGAAGCAGGCACATCTTAAATGGCCGGAACAGGAGCCAGAGAGCAAGGGGAGAGGTGCCTCACACTTTTAAACAACCAGATTTCATGAGAACTCACTATCATGAGAAGAGCAAGGGGGAGATCCACCCCCATGATCCTGTCACCTCCCACCAGGTCCCTCCTCCAACAATGGGGATTAAAATTTACATAAGATTTGGGCGGGGACACAAATCCAAACCATATCAAGACTGAAGAGGAGTCCCTTGGGGAAAGGAAAGGCACTGAGCTGGGTGAAAGGTCACTGGCATGTTCCATTGGAAATGTCAATTCCTTACATATGACACAGAACCAACTAGGGTGAACAGAGTTCCTGGGATTGAAAAGTGAAGATAGAGAAAGAACCATCTGGAAATCATTCATGGGCATCATTTTGGGCATTTCAGAATTCTCCTTTGAGGTTTATTATAGTCAGCAAATGGAAAGGACAGAAAAAGACACCTGGTGTTCTGACTGTCTCAGGGATAACCTTTCTTTTTAAGTAGTATGGTTAATCATGCTAGTTTAAGCTTCTCTTTTGATTTTTAGGGTAGCCTTAATCATTACAATTCTTTTATCTTCCATTAGACTTGGCTCATCCCTAGCCAGGAAATAATTTGGAAAATAAAAAAGATGAAGGTTACAGTGCTCCTGAGGAGGGAAGTGCAGTTCCCTCCTGAGTGGACCCCCAAGATCTCATTGATGGCACCGGCACTTAGCCAGCAAGATGACCAGGAGGCTTTTCTGTGCTACTCCAAGAGTGGGTGTTTTGTGTAGCTTTTCCAGGGGAATCCTGGGTGGCATGTGGTTCCTGGCTTCCTGCTCTTGTCAAGTAACTAGTGGCCTGATTGGAGCTGGCAGCCCCTTTGGGAACCGCTGAGTGCTGACTTCTGAGTCTTTCACCACGGCTGTGCACTGAGCTCTCTGTTTTCATTTCCCACTTTCCCCTTTGTCACTTTCAATTACACCAGGACAAGCTATGTATAATTTGGTTAGTGATGTAAATAAGCCAAAACAGCAGAAAGATTGAAATGTGAAGAAACTGGTGGAGGAGTGAGTAGGTTTTACTGGAGAGTCGCTGTAACCACAGCTTGACAAATGCCCACTGTGGCCGGCACTGAGATGATCTAAAGCACTGTCTCTTGATTTTAGCAAAACCTCTGCAGCTACATTGCACATTTTCATATGAGGAAACTGAGGCATTGAAAGATTCAGTTATTATTCATATGGCTAGTGAGCAGGAATGCTAAGTTTAGCCCCATAGTTGTTTAACTGAAGCTCATTGTCTTGTCTTTTTTTTTTTTTTGAGACGGAGTCTCGCCTAGGCTAGAGTGCGGCGGTACGATCTTGGCTCACTGCACCCTCTGTCTCCCAGGTTCAAGCGATTCTCCTGCCTCAGCCTCCCTAGTAGCTAGGATTACAGGCACACGCCACCACGCCCAGCTAATTTTTGTATTTTTGGTAGAGACAGGGTTTCACCATGTTGGCCAGGCTGGTCTCAAACTCCTGACCTCAGGTGATCTGCCTGCCTCGGCAACCCAGAGTGCTGGGATTCAGGTGTGAGCCACAGCGCCCGGCCGTCTCTCTCTTAAGACTTAATTTTTTTAGAGCAGTTTTAAGTTCAAAGCAAAATTGATAAAGAAAAAAAAAAGGAAAAAAAAAAAGGCCAGGCACAGTGGCTCACACCTGTAATCCGGGTTATCGGGGAGAATGAGACAGGAAGATCACTTGAGGCCAGGAGTTTGAGACCAGCCACCTGGGAAATATAGTAAAACCTGTCTCTAAAAAACAATTTTTTTTTTTATGAACCAGGCGTGGTGGTGTGTGCCTGTAGTTTCGGCTGCCTGGGAGGATGAGGCAGGAGGACTGCTTGAGCCAAGGTCTTTGAGGCTGCAGTGAGCTATGACTGTGCCACTGCATTCTGGCCTGGGTGACAGAGCAAGACCTAGCCTTTTAAGTTTTTTCTGGCCAGGGGTTTTGGGAGGCTAAAGTGGCCTTCTTGAGCTCAGTAGTTCGAGACCAGCCTGGGCAACGTGACAAAACCACGTCTCTACCAGAAATACAAAAGTTAGCCAGGCATAGTGGCACGCACCTATAATCCCAGCTACTCGGGGGGCTAAGGTGGGAGAATTGCTGGATCCCAGGAAGTTGAGGCTATAGTGGGCTATGAGCGCGCCACTGCACTCCAGCCTTGGTAACAGAGTGAGACCCGGTTTCAAAAATAAATAAAAATAAATAAATAAATAATTTTTTCTGAGCGAAAGATAGAGATTTCCTATATATCTCCTTTTCCCACACATGTACAGCCTCCCCCATGATCAACGCCCCCCCCCCCCACTGGGGTGGTGCATTTGTTAAAATTGATGAACCTCCATTGACATCTTATAATCACCCAATGTCCACAGTGTACATTAGGGTTCGCTCTTGGTGTTATATATTTAAAAAAAAAAAAAAAAAAGTCCAGGCACTCTGGCTTACACCTGTAATCTGGGCTATAGGGAAGACTGAGACAGGAAGATCACTTGAGGCCAGGAATTTGAGACCAGCCTGGGAAATATAGTAAAACCTGTCTCTAAAAAACAATTTTTTTTTTAAACGAACCAGGCGTGGTGGTGTGTATAATGACACACCAAATGTATAATGACATGTATCCATCATTATCATACAGAGAAGTTTCACTGCCCTAAAAATCCTCTGTGCCCATTTTTCCCTTTTTCCCTCCAACACTTGGCACCCAGGGATCTTCTTACTGTCTCCATAATTTTGCCGTTTCCAGAATGTCATATAGTTGGAATCATACCACAGATGGCCCCTTCAGATTGGCTGCTTTCACTTAGTAACATGCCTTTAAGTTTCCTTCATGTCTTCGTTCCTTAGTAGCTCATTTCTTTTCAGTGTCATGTAATACTCCGTTGTCTGCGTGTGCCGCGGTTTATCTAGTCACTTACTCAAGGACATCTTGGTCATTTCCAAGTTTTGGCAATTATGAATGAAGCTGCTGTAAACATCTGTGTGCTCACTGTCTTTTCACAAAACATTCTGTCCCCCTTAAGAGGTTTCATGGAGGACTCACTTAGATCCTCTGTGACAAACGGGACATGGTCAAAGCCTGGTGCCAGAGAAGAAAGAACATAGGATTTGTTATCAGGCAGATCTGATTTGGTTGGGAATTTGAATCCCAACTCTCCTCCATCTGTGATTTAAAATCCTCAATATTCTCTGCCATTAATGTACAGTGCTCTATGAAGCATTTAGCCTTCTGTGGGCACGCTGAAATTCATGTGTGAACTATGCTCAAATGGTTGTACAGGTAAAAAAAAACTTGAAGCTCTTAAGGCCGGGTGCAGTGGCTCACGCCTGTAATCCCAGCACTTCGGGAGGCCAAGGCAAGTGGATCACTTGAGCTTAGGAGTTCGAGACCAGCCTAGGCAGCATAGTGAAACCCTGTCTCTTCCAAAAATACAAAAAAAAAAATTAGCTGGGTGTGCTGGTCTGCCCCTGCGGTCCCGGGTACTCAGGAGGCTGAGGCAGGAGGATCGCTTGAGCTTGTGAGGCAGAAGTTGCAGTGAACCAAGATTGTGCCACTGCACTCCCACCTGGGTGACAGAGTGAGACCCCATCTCAAAAAAAAAATTTTTTTTTTGAAGCTCTTGAGCCGAATATCTTTTCTTACAGAGTCTGATATTCTTGCTACTTAGATTATGAAGGCTTTTTGCAAACTTTTTTTCATAGGTCATAGAAAATTTAAGCTTTAGTTGGTCAGTGCTGGGAGGATTACACTTTCTTAGTTAAATACAAACCAGAGAGGCTTTGCCCTAGTGCCCGCCCTCCTCTGAGGTACTAGAAGTACTAGAAGTTCCACACTTTGGCTGTTGTTGTTACTACCAGAATTTGCATTGTTACAGGCCAGCCAGCCACATTCTTGTGTCTTTTGTTTTCAAACTGTTTTAGATAGAGTTTAAGACCTGGAAGTCACCATTGCCTGATTCCCATGGGAAATCTCCTCCAATTATTTAGAGAAAATTCTTCTTGTGGGAAAAAAAAGGGGAAACAAATAACTGATTGTTTAGAGGCTCATAGAAAGAAATTTCCATATATGACCCAACTTCCTTGCCAATGTTTCGGAAAGCTGTGGTTTTGTGAGTCAAGTTCCTACTACCACAGAATGGACGTAATTCCAAGAGAGGATTCTTCATGGTAAAGATGAGAAATACCTTGAAAGTACAGCTCTGAGCCCAAACATGTCATTGAGCGTAATGTGGTTTTTGATAGATTTCTTCCCTCCACAGGCTACGCTCTTAATCTTCCCCACTTGAATAAGAAAGACTTATATGTATATTTTTTTTATCATAATGGAGACTTAGTAAGCTTAAGGGTCTGTTTTTTGTTTTTGTTTTGTTTTTAAGAGGAATTATTTTGAGATCTGGAAATTACACCCTGAATGCAGTAAATTTTTAAAACTGAGCATCACTGGGAACTGAACGTTGCTACTGTTAAGCTTATGGAAGAGCAGAGGGAGACAAGGAAGGAAGGGGTTGATTAGCCACGGTAACTACTCTGAAAGACACACCTTTCCAGTTCAAAGAAGCTTCACTAGCCTTTTGTTTTGTTTTGTTTTTTGAGATGGAGTCTTACTCTGTCTACCAGGCTGGAGGGCAGTGGCTTGATCTGGGTTTGCTGTAACCTCTGCCCCGCCCCCCCCTCCGGGCTCAAGTGACTCTCCTGCCTCAGCCTCCTGAGTAGCTGGGACCGTAGGCATGCACCTCCAGGCCCAGCCGATTTTTGTATTTTTAGTTAGACATGGGATTTTACCATGTTGGCCAGGCTGGTCTTGAACTCCTGACCTCTAGCAATCCACCCACCTTGACCTCGCAAAGTGCTGGCATTATAGCCCCTGAGCCACCACGCCCAGCTCTTCACTAGCCCTTCAAAAATGCGCTTGCAGGCCGGGCGTGGTGGCTCATGCCTGAAATCCCAGCACTTTGGGAGGCCGAGGCAGGTGGATCACCTGAGGTCAGGAGTTCAAGACCAGCCTGGCCAACATGGTGAAACCCCCGTCTATACTAAAAATGCAAAAAATTAGCCAGGCTTGGTGGTGGGCACCTGTAATCCCAGCTACTCAGGGGGCAGAGGTTGCAGTGAGCTGAGATCGTGCCATTGCACTCCAGCCTGGGCAACAAGAGTGAAACTCCATCTCAATAAATAAATAGATAAGTAAAAATAAAAATAACTTCTCCCTTTCGGATTCCCGATGCGGTGGTTGCTGTAAGGGGTCCTCCCTGTGCCACACGGCCATCGCCATGGTGAAGCTGAGCAAAGAGGCCAAGCAGAGACTGCAGCAGCTCTTCAACGGGGGCCAGTTTGCCATCCACTTGGGCTTTATCCCTCTTGTGATTTACCTGGGATTTAAGAGGGGTGCAGATCCTGGAATGTCTGAACCAACTGTTCTGAGCCTACTTTGGGGATAAAGGATTATTTGGTCTTCTGGATTTGGAGGCAATCAGTGGACAGCATGAAAGATGTGTGCTCTGGCTCGGATAAGAGATGGGACATCATTCAGTCACTAGTTGGATGGCACAAGGCTCTTCACAGATGAACCTGTAGCAGAGTGGAACTTGTACTAACTTATGATAGAATGTATCAGAATAAATGTTTTTAACAATGTTAAAAAAATAAAAATAAAATACACTTGCAGTAAGTCACAGTGGCATGGGGTATTTGTTGAATGCACACTCTGTACAGGTGCCTGGACAAGCACAACATCAGTGACTGCCCTTGACCACTTCGGCACACTGGTGAGAGTCAAGCTTCAAGCTTATTCCCCTGTCAAATGAGAAGAACACTAGAGTCGTGTCTCCTGCTTCTGACCCACCTGGGCTGCACCTCCACACTCGGTGGCGTTAAGATGCACCACACTCAGGGGAGTCATTAGGGAGGAAACAGCCACATCGCCTTGAGTTTCTGAAAACCAAATGAATGGCAGTGCTTTCACTGACAATGACAATTCAGTGCAGTAAAGATAAAATACAAAGAGTTGGAGCTTCCAAACTCTCCCCACAGTTCCAAGCTCTCCCCACAGTCTTAGTGGAATTGCGATGGGCCTTTGGTCTGCTGGTCCAGTTAATATGCTCCAAGTAGCATAGGCAGCAGTCTGAACCCAAACCCACTTGGCTGCCGTCCTTCCCAGAATGCCTGTTCCGCAAGCCTGCCATTTGGCTTGTTCTCCCTGCTGTGCGGTGCCAATTAGGTGGACTGTGCTAGAATGTAATTGTCTCCAGGTACAGCTACTGTGAGGAGTAGCCCACTTTCCTTTTGTCCATGATGGGGAGAAGCTTGGAACTTGGGCCAATGTCAAGAGTAAGAAACCAGCTTTGAGGCTTTCCTGAAGACGCACTTCTTCTGAAAAATCGCTCCTGATTCCCCCAGCCCATGGTGATAGGTCCCTGTGGAAACGCTGGAGTCCTCACTGCCTTTATCCATCACTTCACGTTTGGCGTGTGTTGCCTCGTAGTGGTGGGAATCTTTTCATCTGGATACTCTTCATCTTCCCAGCAAGTTTATGTGGCGCATGTGCTTAGAGGAGACGCTTGTTAATTATTTGTCTGATTCTGGTCTTGAGACGTAGCCAATCTCATGGACACCAGCAGGATCATACCCCAAAGATTTAGAGAAATATCTTTAGGGATTCTTAGCAAAATTGATTTCTTAGAGCTCCCAGAGCCTTGAGGCATTAGACAGAATTCTTGAGCTGAAATTGGCTGGTGATATTGGCCCAGAAAATTCCTTATTCCTTCTGCCTAGTAGAGTGTGTGTTGTCACCAACACTTGGAGCCTGTGCCTGAGGGTCTTCATGTTTGTGGCAGGATTCCTGGGAATAAGTTCAAGTCCTGGTGGAGCTGGATTGAGTTTCCAAAACCAAAATTGTCTCCATTTCTGTGAAGAAAGAAACTACCCCTAACTCAAAGGATTGATTGGACTGACAAGCCAGGCTGGAAAATTGGGACTGAACAGTTATCTATGTCCTGCAATGACCGGCAGGAGGGCCTAAGGGGCTAAGGAGGCACAAATGCCTTTAAGTGAGGCCATGGAAAGTCATCCTAAGTAAAAAGAACAAAGTCAGAAGCATCACATTACCTGCCTTCAGACTATACATAAGTCTATAATAACTAAAACAGCACGGTACTGGTACGAAAACAGGCACACAAACCAATGGAACAAAATAGAGAACCCAGAAATAAAGCCACACATCTATAGCCGTCTGATCTTCCACAAAGTTAACAAAAAAAAAATGAGGAAAGGACTGTCTGTTTAATAAATGGTGCTGGGATATCTGGTTAGCCATATGCAGAAGAATGAAACTGGACCCCTACCTTTTACCATCTTCAAAAATTAACTCATCATGGACTAAAGATTTAAATGTAAGACCTCAAACAGTAAGAATCCTAGAAGAAAACCTAGGAAACATCATTCTGGACATCGGCCTTGGAAAAGAATTGATGGCTAAGTCCTCAAAAGCAGACACAACAAAAACAAAAATTGACAAGTAAGACCTAAGTAAAGAGCTTTTGCACAGCAAAAGAAATTATCCACAGAGTAAACAGACAACCCACGGAATGGGATAAAATATTTGCAAACTCTGTTTCCAACAAAGGTCTAATACTAGAATCTATAAGAAACTTAAACTAGCCAACAAGCAAAAAAAAAAAAGATAACCCATTTACAAAGTGGGCCAAAGACAGGAAAAGACATTTCTCAGGGAAGACATACAAGTGGCCAGCAAACATGAAAAAATGCTCAACATTGCTTATCACCAGAAAAGTGCAAATTAAAACCACCATGAGATACCATCTCACACCAATGGCAGTTATTTATGAAGTCAAGTGCCTCATGCCTATAATCCTAGCATTTTTTGGAGGCTGAGGTGGGAGGATCATTTGAGGCCAAGAGTTCAAGACCAGCCTAGGAAACGCATAGCAAGACCCTGTCTCGACAGAAAGTAAAAAAAATTAGCCAGGCATAGTGGCATGTTCCTATAATCCAGCTACTTAGGAAGCTGTGGCAGGGGATCCCTTGAGCCCAGGAGTTTGAAGCTGAAGAGAGCTATGATTGTGCCACTGTGCCCCAGCCTGGGCAACGGAGCAAGACCCTGTCACTTAAAAAAAAAAAAAAATTAAAAGCCAGGCCAGGCATGATGGCTCACGCCTGTAATCCCAGCACTTTGGAAGGCTGAGGCGGGCGGATCACCTGAGGTCAGGAGTTCGAGACCAGCGGCCAACATGGCAAAACCCCATCTCTACTAAAAATACAAAATTAGCCAGGCGTGGTGGTGCAAGCCTGTACTCCCGGCTACTCCAGAGGCTGAGGCAGGAGAATTGCTTGGACCCGGGAGGCAGGGGTTGCAGTGAGCCGAGATGGCACCACTGCACTCCAGCCTGGGCAACAAGGTAGAAACTGCATCTGAAAAAAAAAAAAAAAAAAAGAAAATTAAAAGCTAAAAAATAACAGACGCTGGGGAGGCTTTGGAGAAAAGTGAATGCTTATACACTGTTGGTGTGAATGTAAGTTAGTTTGACCACTGTGGAAAGCTGTTTGGAGATTTCTCAAAGAACTTAAAACAGAACTACCATTCAACCCAGCAATTCTATACTAGGTATATACCTGAAAGAAAACAAATCATCCTGTCAAAAAGACACATGCACTTGTATGTTCATCTCAGCACTAGTCACAATGGCAAAGCCATGGAATGAACCTATGTGCCCATTAATGCTAGATTGGATAAACAAAGTGTGATATATATATACACCATGAAATACGACACAGTCATAAAAAAAATGAAATCATGTCTTTTGCAGCAACATGGACGCGGCTGGAGGCCATCATCCTAAGCAAATTAACACAGGAACAGAAAACTAAATACCGCATATTATTCTCACAAGTGGGAGCTAAACATTGGGTATTCATAGACATAAATATGGCAACAATAGATGCTGGAGACTACTAGAGGGGGTCAGGGCCCAGGGTTGAAAAACGTAACTATTGGGTACCATGCTTAGTACCTGGGTGACAGGATCAGTTGTACTCTATACCTCAGCATCATACAATATACCCAGGTAACCAACCGGCATATATACCCCTGGATCTAAAACAAAAGTAGAAATTTTAAAAAATTAAATGTAAAATAATAAAACATAGTACCATGTTGCATCATGGGAGAGAAAAAAAGTGAGGGCAGGGCTGGTCCAGCTCTTTCTGGTAGAATGTGTCTGATTGTTTGGTAGTCATAAAAACCTTCTGCTACTTTCTTTTTTGGGTGTTTTTTTGTTTGTTTGTTTGTTTGAGACAGTGTCTCACTCTGTCACCCAGGCTGGAGTGCAGTGGCACTATCTCGCTCACTGCAGCCTTCGCCTCCCAGGCTCAAGTGATTCTCCTGCTTCAGCCTCCCGAGTAGCTGGGATTACAGGTGCCTGCTACCACACCCAGCTAATTTTTGTATTTTTTAGTAGAGACGGGGTTTCACCATGTTGGCCAGGCTGGTCTTAAACTCCTGAGCTCAGGTGGTCCACCTGCCTTAGCCTCCCAAAGTGCTGGGATTACAAGCATGATCCACCGCACCTGGCCTCCTGCTACTTTGAAGTTAGACTCTCCTTGCCCGAAGTGACTGGCCCTTTTCCATCTAGCTCCAGAAGATCTATGCTTATCTTTTTCAATGGACCTAATAGTCATTAATGGACCTTGATTCTATAAACTAGCCAGAGGTGACCCATGGGCCTAAGAGATGTGTGTCCTTGTCTAGGACCCAAGTCACTGGGCCACACCGACATGCACTTGCTCTCCAGCTATACCCCCATTTCACAGGGTGACTCATTGCCTTCCTCCATCTTCACCAAGATGGCTCCTTCTTGAAGAAAACCAGGCCATTTCAGTATGCCTACCCTCACTGAGAATATGTAAGGAGGAAAGAACAGGTCTCTGCCTGAGGGATGGGGACTGAGTTAGGATGAGCTGGGACTTCTCTGCACACAAATGGAAGTTTAAACTGAGATGGCCCTCTGCTGAAGGGGAGTGCAAATCAGACAGCCAAGGAGAGTGCTTGAGTATTTCACAAAGTCTTCAAAGCACTGCTTCCCTAAATATTAAAATATTTCACTATAAAAAGATGGGGTGGGAACCATTTGATAAAGTAAGATTTGGTCACACCAGTTAAAGGAATAGCTAGTAAACACTTCTGCTGACCTCAGGTGATCCACCTGCCTTGGCCTCTCAAGGTGCTGGTAAATACTTCTCAAACCCATTTGACCACAGAGTTAAGGAGCATTCTTTCATAGAGCATCTCCTTCTTTCATAGAGCATTTCCCAAAATATAGAATGTATTTTTGGAAAAACTAGATTAAGGTCATTAGAAAAATTACAAAGAATTTTTTTTTTTTGAGTCAGAGTCTTGCTCTGTCATCCAGGCTGGAGTGCAATGGCTCGATCTTGGCTCACTGCAACCTCCGCCTCCCAGGTTCAAGGGGTTCTCCTGCCTCAGCCTCCTGAGTAGCTGGGATTACAGGCATGTGCCACCACACCTGGCTAATTTTTGTATTTTTAGTAGAGATGGGGTTTCACCATGTTGGCCAAGCTGGTCTTGAACTCCTGACCCCAGATGATCCACCTCGACTTCCCAAAGTGTTGGGATTACAGGCCTGAGCCACGATGCCGGGCCAAGAAAAGAACCCTTGAAAAGAAAATTCAGAAGCACAGGAAAACTTTATCAAGGATCTGAGTTGAGAGTTTTGCCCTATGTTTCCATTTACTTACCAGAACTTAGGAGTATGCTGGACTCTGAAAGGAGATATAAGAGGGAATATTAAGGATCTAAGTTGAGAGTTTTGCCCTATTTTTCCATTTACTTACTAGAACTTAGGAGTATGCTGGGCTCTGAAAGGAGATTTAAGAGGGAACTTTTCAATGAATATTGATCCATACTTGCAATGAAATAAGTACCAGAAACAAACTGTCCCCCACCCTTGCTTGGGAGCCTCGTAGAAGCTGTGACCCATCCACCTGCTGCATGGCTGTGCTCAGCGTCGTGGAGTTTTGAATCTGAATGCTTTAGAAAGGGCATGTTGGCTCCAGACTCAGCGTCTGCTGTTGATTTTGTCCAACCTGCTTCTCTGATTCATTTAATTTTCTGCCCCCTGTCAGCATTTATGCTTGCAGCCCATAGAATGAAAGCAATCATGGTAATAATAAATGCAGTATAACCTTCTAAGAACCTGTGTCATGCTGTGTGCTACAGATCATTCTTTGTGGGAGGACTGTCTTGCATACCATCAAATGTTTAGCTGCATCTCTGGCCTCTGCCACTAGATGCCAGCAGCAATGCCCCACCCATCCTAGTTGTGACAGTTTAAAATATCTGCGGACAGTGCTAAATGTCTCCTGTGGGGCAATATCTTCCCCAGTTGAGAACCACTGGCATATGTGAAAGCACAGATACATGAAAAAGAGCAGTGGAAGGCCAGGCGCAGTGGCTCACGCCTGTAATCCCAGCACTTTGGGAGGCTGAGGCGGGTGGATCACCTGAGGTCGGGAGTTTGAAACCAGCCTGGCCAACACAGTGAAACCCCGTCTCTACAGAAAATACAGAAAAATCAGCCGGGTGTGGTGCTGGACATGTGTAATCCCAGCTACTCGGGAGGCTGAAAAAAAAAAGCAGCGGCTAGCATGACTATCTGTGGGTTTCATGATGCAGGCATTGATATAGTTTGCATGTTTGTCCCCTCCAAGTCTCCTGTTGAAATGGGATTTCCAACGCTGGGGGCTGGGGCCTGGTAGGAGGTGACTGGATCATGGGGGAGGATCCCCCGTGAATGGCTGAGCTCCAACCCTTTGGTGATAAGTGAGTTCTTGCTTAGTTAATGCGAGGTCAGGTTGTGCAAAGGTCTGGGACCTCTCCCCTCTAGCTCTCCTCGTGCCATGTGAAGTGCCTGCTTCTGCTCCCTTTTTGCCTTCTGCCACGAGTGAAAGCATTCTGAGGCCTCCCGAGAAGCCAGGCAGGTACAGGTACCATGCTTCCTGTACAACCTGCAGAACAGTGTGCCAGTTAAACCTCTTTTCTTTGTACATTACCCAGTCTCAGGTATTCTTTTTTTTTTTTTTTTTTTTTTTTTTTTGGAGACAGTCTCGCTCTGTCGCCCAGGCTGGGGTGCAGTGGCATGATCTCCGCTTACTGCAAGCTCTGCCTCCCGGGTTCACGCCATTCTCCTGCCTCAGTCTCCCAAGTAGCTGGGACTACACCACGCCCGGCTAATTTTTTTGTATTTTTAGTAGAGTTTCATGGGGTTTCACCATGTTAGCCAGGATGGTCTCGATCTCCTGACCTCGTGATCCGCCCGCCTCGGCCTCCCAAAGTGCTGGGATTACAGGCGTGAGCCACCGCGTCCGGCCAGGTATTTCCCTATAGTGACACAAAAGCCTGAATAACACAGGAATAGATGAAGAATGGTCTCAAATACGCATCAAGGTGTTTAGGCGTTATCCTTTGGACAACGAGAAATTATTTGAGTGTTTCAAGCAGATGTTATGTATTTGCCACTGGATACCTCTGTGTGCAGGATATACTTTAGGGGTAGACAACTGAGGAGGTGAGAGTAGTCTAGAGTCAAGGCCCTAAGGTGTGACTCAGTACAGCAGAAGGGGACCTCAAACTTGGCATGCCCTAAAAAACCCACTATGCGACCAGACGCGGTGGCTCAGGCCTGTAATCCCAGTACTTTGGGAGGCCAAGGCTAGTGGATCACTTGAGGTCAGGAGTGAGAGAGACTGAAGAAGTGGAGTTGACAGGACCTACCAGCAAGGGTGGAGGGGAGAGAGGAGCCAAGGGCGACTCAGTTGTGCTTCAGTGACAGGGAACTCATTGGCATGAGTTGGAAGAGGAGATACAGGAGGGGGAACCTGTCTGAGGGAGAGCATAATGGGATTGTTTATTTGAGGCAGGGTCTCACTCTTTTGCCCAGGCTGGGGTATAGTGGCGCGATCTCAGCTCACTGCAACCTCTGCCTCCTGGGTTCAAGCAATTCTCCTGTCTCAGCCTCTTGAGTAGCTGGGATTACAGGCACGTACCACCACACCTGGCTAATTTTTGTATTTTTAGTAGAGATGGGGTTTCACCATGTTGGCCAGGCTGGTTTCGAACGCCTGACATCAAGTGATCCACCTGCCTCAGCCTCCTGAGTAGCTGGGATGACAGGCGTACACCACTATGCCTGGCTAATTTTTGTATTTTTAGTAGAGACGGGGTTTCACCATGTTGGCCAGACTGGTTTCGAACTCCTGACATCAAGTGATCCACCTGCCTTGACCTCCCAAAGTACTGGAATTACAGGCGTGAGGCGCTGTGCCTGGCCGCATAGTAGATTTTTTAGGGCAGGCTGAGTTTGAGGTGGCTGCAGGACACCCAGCTGCAGCTGGGCAGGAGTTGAGGGTCTGAGCTCAGAAGAGAGATGGAGATTGAGGAGCTGGTGGCTCTTACTTGGTTGCTGTAGCTATGGAAGTAGATGGGATAATCCAGGTGACAGGAGGGAGGAACGAAGAAGCTGGTACCCCTCCAAGGCCCACCCTGGCCTGGCAGGAGGAATGAGACTGAAAAGGGGGCCAGAGAGCTGGAGGCAGCTCTGTCCACTAGAGGCTTATGGCTCATGGGACAGATTTGACAGCTAAGAAACAGATCTGTATACAATGAAGGCCCCAGAGCATGATGGTGTCAGTGTATGCTGCCGGCGTTGTGTGAGTTGAGGGTGTGTGAACTCCAGGAGGGCTGGATGGGAGGGGAGGGGTGGGCCACAGCCGCACGGAGCTTTCTCAGGTGTGATTCTGAACCCTTTCCATTAATGGCAGAAGTTGGAAGGGAGCTGCCTCCCCAAATTTGCAGGCCAAGGTCCTCCCCGCTTGCACAATTGGCAGGGTGTTCCCCATCAGTGCTGACATTATCATCTCCCATCAAGGGGCAGGAAAACAAACCTTGTTTGCTTTCATAACTTTCTGTGTGTGATTTTTGACTGGGGGATGGGAAAAGGGGAGAAGGAAATGTTAGTGCTTCCTGTTGTTTTTAAGACCATTTATGAATTGCATTTTATGGTCTTTTCATTTTGTGACATCAAGCATATGAAGCATGATAGCCATAGAACTGGCCAATGAGAAAATGTAAAGAAAACCAAACCGGGTGCAGTGGCTCATGCCTGTAATCCTTGTACTTTAGGAGGCCGAGGCAGGCAGATCACCTGAGGTCAGGAGTTCGAGACCAGCCTGGCCAACATGGTGAAACTCCGTCTCTACTAAAAATACAAAAATTAGCTAGGCGTGGTGGCGTGTGCCTGTAATCCCAGGTACCCGGGAGGCTGAGGCAGGAGAATCGCTGGAACCCAGGAGGCGGAGGCTGCAGTGAGCCAAGATTGCACCACTGCACTCCAGCCTGGGCGACAGAGCAAGACTCTGCCTCAAAAAAAGAAAGAAAGAAAGAAAGAAAGAAAGAAAATCCAGGCTCCATTGACTTCACACACTTAATATAAAAGTTCTCATTTTAATAAATTTAAATGTATAGTTTTGTGGCATTAAGTACATTCACACTGTTGTGTAACCATCACCACTATCCATCTCCAGAAGGCTTTTCCTCTTGCAAAACTGAAACTCTGGATCCATTAAGCAGTAACTTCCCATTCCTCCTCTCCCCAGCCCCTGGCAACCACCATTCTACTTTCTGTCTCTGTGAATTTTACTATTCTGAGTGCCTCATACGATTAAAATCATATAGGGTTTGTCCTTTTATAACTGGCTTATTTCACTTAGCATAGTGTCCTTTTTTTTTTTTTCTTGTTTTTAAGACAGAGTTTCGCTCTTGTTGCCCAGGCTGGAGTGCTATGGTGCAATCTCGGCTCACTGCAACCTCTGCCTCCAGGGTTCAAGTGATTCTCATGCCTCATCCTCCCGAGTAGCTGGGATTACAGATGTGTGCCACCACGCCTGGCCAATTTTTGTATTTTTAGTAGAGACGGGGTTTCACCATGTTGGCCAGGCTGGTCTCGAACTCCTGACCTCAAGTGATCCACCCACCTCGGTCTCCCAAAGTGCTAGGATTACAGGCCATGAGCCACTGCGCCCGGCCAGCATAGTTTCTTTTCAAAACTCATCCAAGTAGTAGCATGTGTCAGAATTTCCTTCCTTTTTACGGCTGAATAGTATTCCATTGTACATATGTATCACATTTTCTGTATCCATTCATCCATCAGTGGATGCTTAGATGGCTTCCACCTTTTGGTTATTGAGTGGACAGTGCTGCTACAAATATCGAGGGTGTGAATATCCATTCGTGTGTCTGCTTTCGGTTCTTGGGTTTATACCTGGGGTGTCCCTTGGCTTTTGCTGTATGATCGACTCCTGCTGGGGATTTCTGGGATTGCCCTCTTTGTTACCTTTCTGTTTTAGCTTCTGGGAGAATCTTAGGTGTGTCCCTAGGCTGGGCTTTGTGACCCGCTGGACAGCCATTACTGAGCCCCTGCCTACAAAGATCCACACCTTGTCCCCTTGGCACCATCTTAGAGTTTGAATCAGGAAGATTTACGTTGTAACCTCAGTACTTCCACTAATGTGCCCTGTGATGTTGGAAAGCTTCCTCATGTTCCTGTGGGCCTCTGTTTCCACACGAACGCAATGAGAAAGTAGAACTCAGTGATCTTCAGGGTCCCTCCCGGGTGATGGACAGTGAGTGCACAGTGGTCTCCTAAGCCCAGTGACCAAGGAACCAAGGTGGACACGAAGAAGGCAGAGCCCCAGATGCCTGTCATGGATAATGCAATTCAGAAACTTGGGTCGGTTAGGTGGCTTGTGTACTTGCTGAATTCTGGTGTATGCTACGTGGCTCGTTTTGTGAGTAAATGTAGCAGTAATTCCCCTTAAAGCAAAACTATATGTTATATATTATCCACCCTTCGTTGAGAGAATGGGACAAAGAGAGGCAGGATAACTGGTTTTACCATAGATTTTTGGCAGATGTCACCAACTAATACTGTCAGGAATATTTTATAGGCAAATTTTACCTCTTGTTAGGACTGCAGTTTGGTCACAGGCCAAGGCAATTTTAATCTTTTTCCCTCACTTCTTTTAAAAGAAAAAAAAGCTAAAGAGCAGACTTCCTTCTCCTTAGCTTGAACTGTGAGCAGGAGTCCACGCTTTCCTGAACTAGGAAGGTGAGTTCCAGGAAGTTACCCACACGATCAACTTTCAGGCCTCTTGAATGCACACAAAAAATGTGGACTTGCCTGGGGCTCCCTGCTGGTGTTTGGAGACTAGGAACTAATCCTCCCATTAGTTCTTTCTCTGCCGCACCAGGGAAACATCATATATACTAGTGACTTTCTGTCTTCTTTATCTCATCAGTAAAAGGCGGATCCTGTTTTTGTTTTCAAGAATGTGTTAGGGTATTGGGATGGCTAGAATCCATTTGGAGCACATGAGAAAATGTATAGCATTTTCTGTTTAGGAGACATTTGAACCATCTAATTAAAAAAAAAAAAAAAAAAAGACTTAAGTCCGGATACTAGACCACCAGTTTTTTAATACATGGAAAATTTAGAAGCAATTTCAAAAATGTCTCACTGTGACTGGAACTAGGTTATGTCAATACAAGGCTCCTAGGGGAAAAATTTATACTGGATAAAACTCTAAAATAAATGAATATACTAAAAAACACCAAAAATCTGGCCAGCAGTGGTGGCTCACACCTGTAATCCCAGAACTTTGGGAGGCCGAGATGGGCAGATCACTTGAGACCAGGAGTTTGAGACCAGCTTGACCAACATGGTGAAACCCCATCTCTACTAAAAATACAAAAAATATCTGGGCATGGTGGCGGGCGCCTGTAATCCCAGCTACTCCAGGAGGTTGAGGCAGGAGAATCTCTTGAACCCGGAAGATGGAGGTTGCAGTGGGCCGAGATTACTCCACTGCACTCCCACCTGGGCAACAGAGCCAGACCCTGTCTCAAAAAAAAAAAAAGAAAGAAAATAGAATGGCTGCAAGAAGTAAACAGAGGATGTTTGCTCCTATTTTGTTCCTTACAAGTATAGCTAACAAAGGACCTTGTGAGTATTGGAATAATAAAATGTCATTCCCATTTAAGTTGCACATGTACATTTTTATACCTGCACCAAAGGTTTTTGGAATCTTTGTCTCTGGCTGTTGGATCATGAAAGACCCCTTTGGCTTCAGCTGTAAAACAAGGCAAATTTTACCCATAATAGAAACTACTATATATGTGTGTTGGTTTAGGGAAGCCTATTTTTTAACATTCTATTTCCTGATAAAACCTTAGAAAAATCATATTGTGTTTAAAAGTTGAGGATTTTTTCAGCAACTCAAGGGCTGACTGATAATTTCTGGTTTTGCTAGTACTTGTCTACAATGGAAGTTGGAAGCTTAGTCGGAGTAGAAAAGTTGTAAATTTGGTGTCATCAAGACAAATGGCTTTTATTTCCCAACAGACTTCTTTATAAAATAATTTAACCCCTTGATTTTTGTTTGCATTTGGATGCAATTTAAAAAAAAATCTGGCCCTTTAATAAGTGCAAGACAGATTAAATGTATTGTGAAATATCAGGTCACTGAGTGGAAAGTTTCTTCACTGATCATCCTAGCTTCACATTTTTAGTTATGTGAAGTACACATTTTGATAGTATTTTGGTTTTCTCCTGCCTGAAATCTTCAGTCCTCCTCCCTGGCAGTCTGTAGAATGAAGCAGCTGTGGTCCGTGGCCAAGTGTGCGTCCTTTGGTGATGGAAGAGCTGATCTGCAGATACCTGCAGGAGGAAGCCATGCATGATGTCTGCTGGGATATGATTTCCCCCCATACTCCTGGAAAATTAGAACCGTTTATAGCAGCCTGGTTCCAATACACTGGCAGGGCAAGGATTGGCTCCTTCTCTTACAAACACAGCGTGGCTGGATGCATTCATAAATGAAAAATGATCTGAGTGCTGTGGGTGGGTGGGGCTCTGGAGCTCAGGAGGTGAAGCCGGGAGGAGAGAGAGAGAATCTGCTCCTCAGCTCCACAGAGCATGGGGAGCTGGCAGGAAGTTGGAGCACGCATGGCGCAGCTTGTATTTTTGTTGATAGTTAATAACCCAGGACTTTAAAGACCTGAATGGAGAAGGGAAGTGAAGCACAACCAACTTTGGAGTCTGTCCCATTCCAGAGGCTGCTGAAGCACAGCAGAGCACGCTCACCTGACCAGCTCATAAAGCAGGTAGGACGGGAGACCTGAGTGGTGAAGAGAATCACATTTTCTCTCTGAACACAACTTACAGGTCTTCCAAGGGTTTATTATTTTTTAATTATATGAGAGATGAGCAGGTAATAATAACATAAAAGACTCAGCTTGAATTGTGCTGATATCTGCCCAAGCAAGAGTTCTCTCAGTTACTAGTGTGATGACCAAATGACAGTTTTATTCTGAGAGTTGCTTTAAAAAAAAAAAAAGAAAAAAAGCATGCAGCATTGAAGCTTTTTTAATTTAAACTCATTTAAAAATTGGCAGATGATAAATGAACTGCAGACACTGTGTTTTAGAACAAATACTTTGAAGGGAGTCAACCAGAAACCGATTTTCAGGCTTGACTGTGGCTCCATTTTCATATTTCAGAGCCAACGAGGTGCTCACTAATTTTTGCTGGCTTTTGTAAGAAAGGAGGTGGATGTATAACAGCTGTGAAATATCCAGAAATTGACTGGGATCCAGAGTGAAGCCCGAATGCACTAATGTTTTCTCCATTAAGGCAGGCTGCCTCTGCTCGGCTTCTAAGTCAAGGGATTGGAAAGCAGTGTGAAAGTGAAGTGTGAATCCTGAATATTTGTCATGGAGTGGGGGGAGTGCAGAGGGTTGGAAACTGTCACAGTGACGTTTCACACTCAGAAGTAGAAAATAAATGGGGAGGACCATGGGTGGCAGCCACATGCAAGGATAATTTTAAAACTGATTTTTGATTCCCATGATTGTAGCCGAGTCTCAGGGTGTTCCTTCCGTTGTCAAGGTTTGGGGCTTGTGATAAGAGAAGTAGAACAGAATAAAGATCATCTCCAGCCCCAGGTTCTGAATCATTTCTAGGCCTTGCTTCTCCTGGGCACTGGGATGATCTGACATGTTTTCCCTCACTAATGAAGTGGCCAGGGTGTTGGGGGATTGGGCTAACATGGAGGAGGTTGGATAGAAATGGTGCGTGTGGTCAGCCTGAGAAGAACGTCAGAGGTAGGTGGAGAATTTTGTTTCGGTAGAATAGCCCAGCCTGAATCCTGGAACTGTTTGCGTTGAGGTTTGGAGAATGCCCCGTAGCCACAGGGGTGTGTCTGAAAAGGCAAAATTGGGAGCTGCTTGGGTTACTGCTTACTGCCTGGCTGGCATCCTCATGCTGTGGTCATCCTCATGCCGTGGTGGCCACGTTTTGTGGCTTTGCATTTTAGTCCTGGAGGGCTGGGGGATGGCTGTGTTTAGTCAAGCAAGCCCACACATCATTGCTAGTCTCTCTTTCCGTGTGATTTCTCAGCATTACACAGCTAGCCTTCTATGGGAGGAGGAACGGCACCTCCTGTGGTCTTTTAGAAAACTTTTTCACCCCATGTTCCTACCGTCGCCACCCCAACTCTTGTCCTTTCTTGCCTACTGTTCACCTGTTGTGTGTGTCCCCTTTGTCTCCCATCCTTCAGACTGATCTGTCCCAGGTGCTATCTGCAGTGACTTAGAAGCTGTGTTGGGGACAGGTTCCTTCCCAGGGTTCCTGCTGGAAGCGGTGTTCAGCAAGCTATGGCCCTTAGGCAAATCCAGACTGCCCTAGCCTGTTTTTGTATGGCCTGGGAGCTAAGAATGTGTTTTATGTTTTGAAGAGTTGAAGAAACAAAGAAGAATATAGGACAGAGATAGTGACCCACAAAGCCTATCCGATCTTTAGAAAAAAACATTTGCTGGTTTGCTGGTTGGTCTGTTGATTTCCGCCCCCATTTAGAGACAGAGTTTCACTCTGTTGGCCAGATTGGTGTCAAACTTTTGACCTCAAGTGATCTGCCCACCTCGGCCTCCCAAAGTGCTAGGATTACAGGTGTGAGCCACTGCTCCCAGCACTCCACCTTGACCTGTTGATTTTTTAATATCATTGGTGAATAATGTGATCAGTGGGTTGATGCAGCAAGTTAAGCCCTCAGCAATTTGAATGGGCTCTTGTTTGGGAAACTGATTTTAGTTTCTTAGTCTGTATTGGTGCCATCGCCTCCAAATGGGTAGATTCAGGAGTTAGGAAGTTGAAGCTTTTCTGCAGGGTCCCAACAATAGTAAAGAAATATTAGATGAACTATGTGCCTGTGGTTGGATTTTCACCCTCTTTCCTGGTTTATGAACCTGCTGGAAAAGACACCTATGAGTCCAGCCATGTATTGACTGTGTGCCCTACTGGAAGAACCCATTGGGGACCAAAACTCTGGTAATTCACACAAGTCATTCACTTCTTTCTCTTTTGCATACTGAATGCTGGCTAGACTTCCACAATCTGAGAGCATTTGGTGTTGCCACTTTGGAAAAAAAAAAGATGTTTTTTGCAATTATAAAAAAAAGACAGCTGAATACCATGTTTTCTCATATTTAGAACAATGTTTCTTTATTGCCCTCTAAGAAAGCTTACTGTAGGCCCTCCAACCTTACCTCTGAACATGCAGTGCTCCTCTACCCAGCACAGTATTTCATTGTTATGTCATTTCTAATAAAGGAAGAGGAAAATCTGGTGACCTTGTTCATGTTTAACTTGTGTCGAAACTTCAGGCCTCGGTATGGAGCCATCTTGTGTAAGTAGCTTTTTGTCCATTGCAGAAACACAGGAAAGCATCTCACAGGAGATTGTTGTTTACTACCGGGACATTTCAACCATCTTTCCTCCTATATTTGGAAATTGGATGTTGTCAGTAGAGAAGAATGGGGGTGGGGCCCAGTTTGACAAAACAAGTGAGGAAGGATGAAAATATGAAAAGTATGGCGCCCCACCAGAGGTAGGGCCTGGAAAACAAGATGGCGCCTGTACGCTTGATGAGCCAGGTTGTCAGAGCTGGGAGGGGTGGGTCCTTTAATCTACCATGGGAGCTGGGCAGCACTTTCGTATTTAGAAAAGGGGTTGGCTCTGAATTTAGAGATTAAGCAACCTGCTGTTCCTGTATGCACTGGAATTTCAGACACAGTCAGAAACCTGATTTGCGTAACTGCTGAAACTCAACTGGAAACCAACCAGACTGAGGTCTGGACTCCCCAGGCCAAGGGGCAGTTAGGAATCAGCACGTGAGAAAATGTATTAGGCTTGCCCAAGAGGGAGTGGTGCTGTGTGGCCAGATGCAGTGAGGCGGGCTGTGGGGTGAAGGGTTGGCTTTGGGTTCCCAGAAGGCTCAGGCTGGAGGGTGAGTAACCTCTTCCTCTGCATGGGTAGGCAGTGTGTGTCAGAATTCTAAAACTACCTGGTACCACATGGTAGCACGTGGGACCTTTTTGCTTCTGAGCCATGCAACCAAGCTGGCTCCTAAAGAGACAGAAACCACCAAAGTCTAGTCACTTTGGCGTGCAAGCCATGAGCAGCCCTTAACAAGCCAACTCATCTATACAATGTTGTGAGGGCTGAGTGTCCAGCCCAAAGCTGAAGCATCTGTCATCTCCCTTTGGCTATGGAAACAAGGCTGGAATCAGACATCTATTTATCATTTTTTTCCTTATGGTGAATAGAATCAAAGACCAAGCCAGACGTCTGCATATATGCACAAAGTGTATAAACCTAGAGGAGAGGAACAGCCAGACAAAATAAAAGTTATGATTCTGAATTCAAGAAAACTTGTGACCATGTCTATAAAAGGGAATCAATAATTTCGTGGCTCAGTGGCCAGCAGAGGATTCCTTTCTGTGGCTTTGTGTTTACATACAAGCTGTGCCCCTCTTAAGAGCTTTTGTAGGTGATATAGTCTCTCACTTCCAAACATGAGTTCTTCACATTACCTACGGTGGCACTGGGGGTGGAGCACAAGGTCCCTCATGCCATGGAGATCCCGACTGGAGCCCTGCCTTTCCTTGGTGACGGGGGAACAAGATAGCAACATTCTCCCTCCATGGACATGGCAACTGTTCCTTGCAGCAGGGCATACCCCTTTGTGACTTCTTCTGTTGTCTTTGCTGTCCCTTGTAGGCCCATCTGCCCAGATTGCCTTCGTTAAGCACATGGGTGCCTCACTGGATAGCCACACTGTGACTCCACAGATGGCCTCAGCAGGGCACATTGTCAGCCCTGCACCATGAGGTCCCTGTACCACGAGTCAGGCCATGACAGCTGTTGACTTGGGACTCTAGATCTGCCTTCCCTTTCTTTCAGGATCTCTTCCTGTAGAATCAACCCAACTATATTTTACATGCAGCAGAGGAACTTGGTCCTTAAAGAGACCAAAAGTGACTCATTGGTAGAAGAGAAGGATCACCCTATAGTCTGTATTTTTGGTAATTTTGAGGTTTGGGGGTTGTCAGGTAGCCTAAAGCCACATACACCCAGACCATCTCTTTGCCTTTCTCATTTCAACACTTCCCAAATTAGAAGATGGAAACCAAGTTGGAAATTGGCAGAGGAAGGTGAATCTGAGGAAGGCACGAAGTGGCCCTTGAGAATCCGTTTGGTAAAAAGTCTCTATTTCAGTGAGACACCTGAGACCGCAGGGGCAGAACATCAGTGCAGATGACTCCCAGTGAAGGGCAGATAAATGTTCTTGTGTTTATGTATTGTGTTTTTCCAAGGCTTGCCCTTTTAACAAAAACTTAAAATTCTTACAAACTCTCCTTCCCATCCCCATGCCCCCCCACCAAAAAAAAAGTGGTTCTGCAGTGAACAATTTAGATTTCCACACAAATCATAACAAAAATAGAAGACCACAAGCCATGAGGTGAGTGGCAGGAGATCCAAGGGTAGTGGAGCTGGTCTTCATTTGAATGGCACAAATCCCAGAATTCATCATGGTGCTCTTTAATGGAATAGCAACCTTTTGCTCTTGCCTTTTGCACCAACATTTCTGACCCTTTGGCAAAAGTGTTCATATTTTCTCTTGCTGGCCACTTCCACCAGCAAGAGGAGGATCTGCTTTCCAAGGAGCCCCATCTTTGAGTTGCCAAATTCCACCTTCGCCATGAGTTTGCAACACTTTGACTTCAGTTCCCAGACGACTGCCCATGGGATAGAGGCTTGACTTTTGGCAGTAAGCTGCTGGCTTTGGAAAATATCAAAGATATTTTATTGTAACAGATGCAAGACAGTTTTGGCAGGGGAGCAATAAAGACCTGGAGGGGAAACAGAAAATTACATCTAAGTGCTGCAGGAAAGAAGGTGGCAAAAATAAAGGATGCAGTTTGGATTTGTAAAGCTAAGTCCTTTGCACAATCTGTTTTACAGGCTAGAACTTGCTTGACTTCAGTTTATCCCTCAAGTGAGTCAAGGAATGTTAGAATGAAATGCTGAAGCTGTGAAATGTACGTACTTGGGGACAACTTGGCGTTTGAGGATGTTATTGGGGTCCCACTGGCCCATCCAAACTTTGTGTGATGAAAATCCTGCTGTTTTCATACTGCTGAGACATTAGATGCTCTTATGCCTGTGTCTAATTAGACATTTGTAACGAGTTTGTTAGGGTAATAGAAATTTAACTTCTCATCTTAAAAGTGAATGGATTCAGCCATTTCAGTAGAAGAAACATCAGTCTTCGCTATAGTCTCTGGTGGCTTCATTCATTACATTTGTTGCCACTGGGATTTCAAAATGGGGATAGAATCTGCTGTCAGTTTTAGTATGTGTTTTGTTTTTTAATTCTGTGGGTTCTTCATCTACTCCAGAAACAACCTCTGGGTCACTCTAAAACCTAAGCAGTCTTGAAGCCAGGATCTCAAACCTTGCAAGTTAGTCACTATTCTAGGCCACATCACAGTGAATGATATAGCACTGATTTTTAAAATCGTTTTTACTCTGTGATTTACTATGATAGACTCTTGTTATCCACAGATTGACTCTGAAATCTGTGAGGTTTCCTCTGCTTTCAACCTATTTTCTTTTTTATGGCCGTATCTAACATGATTAGCCCTGGAACCAAGATAGGTGGAGAACTAGGTCAAGATGATAATGCAACTGACTAGTCTTAGAATGTTCAGACTGCAAGGTTTAGAGATGTATTTTTTGGGTGACCAAACCTAGATAAAGAGAAGCTAAGTGTGAGTGCTATCCTTTGTGTGCTTATGGGCATGTGTGTGTGTGTGTGTGTGTCAGGGAGGGAGAAATGTAATTATTTCATGGCACTCACATGGACCTGGAGACATGGCTCTTTTTGAGCAAAACTTTTTTTTAAAGATACAAAGTTTCACTCTATTGCCCAAACTGGCATGCAGTGGTTCGATCCTAACTTGCTGTAACCTTGAACACCTGGGCTCAAGTAATCCTCCCGCCTCAGCTTCGCAATGTACTGAGATTATAGGCGTGAGCCACTGCACCCGGCCAAACAAAACTCTTTATGTAAGACTGCGTCTCAGTTTGTAGATCTGCCTTCTCTTTTGTAAACATGTGGTCCAAACACATTCACATGGTTTGTTTTTGTTAGAGAAATGCCTCATGGTGTCGTGACTACTTTTCGGTGAGAGTTCAAACCAGTGTCAGATGAACTCCCCAAGGTTGATGTGCTCAGTTCCATTTTGCTTTCATGGCACTTGGGTTGATGTGAGGGGAAAATAGCCTACAGAACAGTCTAAGATGCTTCGGATGTGTAGTTTTGAAATACAGAGACAAGGCCGGGCACGGTGACTCACGCCTGTAATCCCAGCACTTTGGGAGCCCAAGGCGGGTGGATCACCTGAGGTCAGGAGTTCGAGACCAGCCTGGCCAACATGGTGAAATCCCGTCTCTACCAAAAATACAAAAATCAGCTGGGCGTGGTGGCACGTGCCTGTAATCCCAGCTACTCCTGAGGCTGAGGCAGGAGAATCTCTTGAACATGGGAGGCGGTGGTTGCAGTGAGTCGAGATTGTGCCACTGCACTCCAGCCTGGGCAACAGAGCAAGACTGTGTCTCCAAAAAAAAAAAAATCAGAGACAAAATCGATTTTGGCTTTTCCTGAAAATGGATCTTATTTTGAGAACCACAGTTGACACGGCTGTGGGAAGTGTTGCTTATTCTTGGCAAGAAAACTACCCTGAAAAGGTGCTTATGATCCAGGAGACAGAAGCCTGCCCTAGGCACTCTGGCAGAGCTGGGGGAACCGTTCAGAACTCAGCATCAGTAGTTTGTAGTAAATCCACATTGGTATGGTAGGACCCACCCAGATGAAGAAGGCGCATCCTAAAAAGCGGGGTTATTTTAGTTACCCTGTGTAATGGTATTCAGAATGTAACATGGGAATGTACATTCGGAATGTAATATTTCTGCTTCAGAAATATTTAGAACCCAACCTAGAGGGTTTAATCCAAAGGACGTATTAAACACTTGCGTGCTTAGCTACGTAGAAGCCACAAGACACAAAGAAGCCGACGAGGCAAATGCAGTCGCTATCAGAGAAGGAAGTGATTTGACCAGCTTGTCCTCAAACTAAATCAGACAGAGAGACAGACAGATATAGGGCACAACACTCTCTTTATTCCTTTTGCGCAGGATCTTTAAACATCTGTCTATCTTAACCTGGATTCTATTAGTAGATTTCAGAGGGACTGTGAACCTAGAAGGGAAGAAAACTGAACTGTAGCTCAAATTTGGTATTTCCTTCAATAATGGATGTAGGCAACAAAGGACAGTAGTATTAGCAGTCCTTATGTCTTTGTCACCAGCACAAATGATATTCATTATTTGTAGCAGATAAATCCCAATATCATCTACAGTCATTACTACTTTGAGAATATGTCAGTTAGTCTGTTTAGCAACTATGTTGCTAGATCTTTGAATTCAGTGTAACAAGCACATGCAGGTTACTACATTACAAATCTTTAAACATTTAGGGTATTGTTTTTCCAGATAATTGGTTTTCTTTGTAATCCTATGCATTTTATACATTTAAAATATAATTTTTGAAACTTTACCAGGTAGCCAGAGAGTCTATGGCACAAAATAATGAGAGAAGGAAGAAAAGGAACCCTGTCTTAAGGGCTACCATTTGATATTTACTTAGATCTTCATTTACTGGGGAAAAAATAAGAGCCCAGGACAGCGTGGTATGTTCTAGCCTCTCCCCAGGTGACTGGGGGATCTTGATAAAATGCTGTAGGCCTGGAGTGGGGCCTGAGACCTCTGCTTTTCTAACAAATTCAAACAAATTCAGAATAGCCAGGCTGTAGCCTACAGCAATTCAGATAAGAACCTCTGTTTTCCAAACTCACTTCCTATAATTTTGATAAATCTTAGTTGTAGGTAGCTTAAGTATTCCAACATGTGGTTGTGAGAAGAGATGTTCCAGGAGAGGAAATGTGGGAAAATCCCAGAAGACAGACTTCGCCTGCTTCCAAGTGTGTATGTTGCCTCCTTTAGATCCCAGAGTAACTGCCCTGTTGGGGTGTTAATTAGGTGGAAGCTCAGGCTCTGGGAGAGGCTGCCAAGGTGGAGGGTGGGGTGGCAGCGTGTGCACGTGTGTCCCCAGGTGACTCTCTCATGGTGTGCATTCCCTGGGAAGCAGCTGCAGCTGCGCCTTGGAGGGGCCGCTTCCTGGCCTCATGGCCCATGTGCACCAGGTGAGCTGTGAGCTGAGCCGTGCGCAGCAGCTGCTTGCCTGTAGCCAATTACCTCAGCCCTGCTGGGTGCAGAAGAGGGCAGATTACCATCTGATCCCATACATGTGTGCGGACCAGATGCTCTGCGCTCAGGAGGATTGTGTATATGGCTTTCTTCTTTCCAGAAGGGAGATTTATTAAGTGTGTCATTGGATGATGCAAGTTGTATATCTTTGTAAGATTTTCATGGATGTTTGCAAGTGAGAGAAAGGTCCTTTGGCAGAGTATCAGGGAGTAAAAATGTCCCTGTACTTCCGCAGCCCAAGCAGCTCCAGAACCCCGAGATCTGACCGACTATGCCCTAATGGTGTGCTTTTGGCCTTGGTCAAACCACTTATGTCACAGGCCAACTGGTGGCTTCACAGGGTGGCGCTTATAAACAGAAATCCAATTTTGTGTGTTTATCAGAGGTTGTCAGCGGCCTGGAAACTGACTCATGCTAATCAAATTCCCAGGAGACTGGCATTGAGCATTCCAAAGCCAGGTTATTGATTCCTAGTGAAGGAGGGATTCTTCCACTGGCCAAAGATGTTATTGCCATCTCTTGTTTGTTTCTGCTATCTCGGTCCTATCTTCTGGGGAGAGAGGTGGTTGACTATGAGAACATCATGTGGAATATGTCTTAAGGAATGTTCTAGGATTCTAGATACAGCGTCCCCGTTAATGTAGAGGGCTGAACCACACCAAAATTCTGTCTTTGGGTTTGGCTTTACTAGATTCCCTTGAGAAACTCTCCCTCAACCCTGTTTTTCCCCCTTGTTCTCTTCCCTATGGGAACCCCCTAGGGTGTTCTGCCGCAGCTTTCATAGTTTCAGACTCTACCTGCCTGAGACCACATCGTCTTCCCTGGCTTGGATCCAGGTGCTTCCTGGGTCTCCTCCCCCAGGAAGAGTCTTTAAGGAGATGGGCATTAGGATGGGGACAGGTGCACAGCCATTATAGGGTGATCCTTACTATTTCTGCTATTCCTACTCTTCCTTTTTTCCTCTTTCTATTTCTACTCTTGAGGTAAACTCTCTGTAGCCCCAAGAGTGTTCATCTTAGCCTTGAGGAAGCACAGGTGGCACCTCATGACTGGAAGAATTCTCCCTGGCAAACATGCTGTTTTATTTTCATTTGTTTTTGTTTCTCTTTTTGAGATGGAGTCTCCCTCTGTCACCCAGGCTGGAGTGCAGTGGCACGATCCCGGCGCACTGCAACCTCTGCCTCTCAGGTTCAAGGGATTCTCCTGCCTCAACCTCTTGAGTAGCTAGGACTACAGGCGTGCGCCACCACACCTGGTTAATTCTTGCATTTTTAGTAGAGATGGGGTTTCACCATGTTGGCCAGACTGGCCTTGAACTCCTGACCTCAAGTGCTCTGCCTGCCTCGGCCTCCCAAAGTTCTGGGATTATAGACGTGAGTCACTGCGCCTGGCCAAACATGCTATTTTATACCAGTCTCTGCAGGAAGAGTCCCTATTAATTATCTGTGTTCTTGGTTCCCAAAATCTATTGTGTGAACCTGACTGCATCTCATGAGGCATTTCAGGAAATACAGATTGTTGGGCCCTCCGGCGGGTCTGGGTGGGGTCTAGAGTCATATTTGTAAAACATTCCTTGGGAATAGAGGAATTCCTTGGATTGTGCTCCCCGCCGCCATGTCAGAATGTTTTTATGGCACTGCTGTCCTACCACCAGTGAGTGATAGATGATTAGGAGGTCCCTTATTTATACTTGTTTGCTTAAATCTTTACCGAACAACTGTCATTTTACAAAGCAGTCCTTTTTTTCTTCAAAGGAAAGGCTCCATAGATTATTCTTTTTGTTTCGTTTTGTTTTTTGTTAAGAAACGGTATCGCTCTGTTGCCCAGGTTGGAGTGCACTGGTGCAATGATAGCTCACTGTAACCTTGAACTTCTGGGCTCAAGCAATCCTCCCACCTTATTTTCATTTGTTTCCCAAGTAGCTGCGAGTACAGATACACACCACCACTGGCTAGTTTTTAAAAATATTTTTTGTAGAGACATGGGTCTTAACGACATTGCCCAGGCTGGTTTTGAACTCCTGGCCTCAAGAGATCCTCTCACTTCTCCCTCCCAAAGTGTTGGGATTACAAGCATGGGCCACCATTTCCGGCTAAGATGGTTCTTTTGATCAGTCAAATTTGGAAACCACCACTGTAGACCTGGTATCCCAGACTCAGAGCCCTGATTTTATGGATGAGGAAACTAAGGCCTCAAGAAAGAACGGGCTAACTGGTATCAAGGGTGCCCCTCGGTTTAGAGGGACAATATACAAAGGTACATTGGATCTACAAAGACCAGAGTCTACAAAGACCAGGTTCTATGTGTACTCTCTGGTTGTTGATGAAATCCACTATTCTAAGCCCCGGGGGCCTTGTTTCTGGGCTGTCGCGTTAGAATGGCCATGATGAAATGCCCATGTATGCAGGGTACAGAAACAAATTTAACCTGAGCATCCTTTCTCAGTTCTAGACTAAAACTTGAGTGACGTCAACCATCCTGATGCTTCCACAGCTGACAGGCCCCTGGAATGCCCCAGGTGCCCCGCCTCTTCAGTAAACCATTTCATCCTTCAGTGCCTCAACTTCACCGTCTATAAAATAAAGATAAATCTATCTGTGCTACCTCCCTTACAAAGTTGATATGAAAATCAAATGAAACATAAGCCAGGTGTGGTGGCTCATTCCTGTAATCCCAGCAGTTTGGGAAGCTGAAGCAGTTAGATTGCTTGAGCCCAGGAATTCAAGACCAGCTTAAAAATTTTTTAAAAATGCAAAAATTAGCTGGGCGTGGTGGCACAAGCCTGTGGTCCCAGCTACTCAGGAGGTTGGGGCTGGAAAATCGCTTAAACCTGGGAGGTGGAGGTTGCAGTGAGCCAAGTTGGCACCACTGCATTCCAGCCTGGAGGATAGAGTGTGACCTGGTCTATGCGTCTGTTGGTGGGGGGTGGTGGATGGGGACAGTGAGAGAGAGAAAGAGAGAGAGAAGTAGGGGAGGGAAAGAGAGGGAAGGAAGGCCAAGCGAACAATGTATGTGAAGGGCTTTGGGAAAGAAAGTGCCAAGCATTATATAAACTTTAAGGGTGGTCTCATTATCATCATCCCTATTATATATTATCTCCAGAGATTTTACATGTCTGCTGAGTGGCTCCAAACAGAATCAGTACAGGTGGAAGAAATACTTTATTATAACCCAATGAAAGGTTACTTGGGAGGAGTCAGGATTTCCATAGAAGTACATCACTTCTGAATTTCCTGAAGTAGCTCTAATGGCCCATTAGTGAATCATTTCACACCCTCTGCCCTTTTTGTGGTGGCTTTCCAGCTATGCTCCAGAGTTCGGAGTTGTTTGGGCGAGCAAGCTGGGACATGTAAGTCAGAGGATGTTTTTTTGTCTGCTCAGGGGCGAGGGCTGTCTTTGATACCTCTGCTGCTGCCGTAGATGGTGCAGATGCTCCAAGATTTGTCATTTTGAGAATGGCAGGCTTTTCGACCTTGTTTTCCAGACTAGATTAAGAACCAGACAGATTTTAATATCTGTAAAGAGTTTCTGCAACTGTTCCAGCAAAGAGATATCCCTAGAACAGATAAAGCTTTCTTTTCCTCCCCTGGAAATGATAGAGCTTGAGAACAACAGAACTCAGTCTGTGGTATAATAATTAACCTTAATGATCTTAAGTACCAACGAGGTCTCCATAGAGTTGCTTAAAGAAAACATACAGATTTGCAGACATAAGGTATAAAAAGAGAAAAATAAAATACGAGAAATTCTAATAAAAGGAGTATGTGATTTAATGATATGATGTAAATGGCCTGTGCTTCCTGGAGGGTACTTCTGGCTCTGAGGTCATGTGATTCTGTAACAGTCCCAGCTTTGAATGGTTGGGTGGAGTAGGTGAGAGAACCACTTATATATATAAATTGTTTTAGGCTGGGTGTGGTGGCTCATGCCTGTAATCCCAGCACTTTGGGAGGCCAAGGAGGGTGGATCGCCTGAGGTTAGGAGTTGAAGACCAGCCTGGCCAACATGGTGAAACCCTATCTTTACTAAAAATACAAAAATTAGCTGGGAGTAGTGGCAAGCGCCTGTAATCCCAGCTACTCGGAGGCTGAGGCAGGAGAATTGCTTGAACCCAGGAGGCGGAGGTTGCACTGAGCTGAGATGGAGCCACTGCCCTTCTGCCTGGGTGACAGAGTGAGACTCTGTCTCAAAAAAAAAAAAAAAAAAAAAAAAAATAGTGTTCCTGGCTGGCTTCTTCTCACCCCCACTCCCATCCCTAGATTTATTATTACAGAATCTTGGAGCAGTAGAAGGAAGATAGAGAATCTCATTTTTTTTTTAAGTTCTTCACGTGCAACCAACGTTAGGAAGTATGCAACTTTCTAAGAACTTCATCCTCATGTGTGACCCAAGGACAATGTAAAATAGCACTTCAAACCCCAGTTCCCCAAATTCATGCACTTCTAACAACTGGAGTTTGAGATATGCAACAGAAAACAATTCTGGCTCATTTAAGCAGGAAAGAAATTTAGTGACAGAATTTTGGAAAGCTCACAGATACCAAATATCTTCTGCCCTTTAATCTTTTTCTCATTGGTACTAGTTCTGTTACCTGTGGCACCCTGAAGTGGTCTACCCCATTCTTCTTGTTCATATATTTTTTGTATGAAACCATCATATCCTATCCCATACCCCATCCTCCACCCAGATTGTGTTCTTCGGGGTTAAGCACCTTAGTCTCTTCAGCTGCTCATCGTAAGATAGCATTGCCATTTTTAGCTTTTTTTTTTTTTTTTTTTAACAAGACGGAATCTTGCTCTGTCGCTCAGGCTGGAGTGTGGTGGTGCGATCTCAGCTCACTGCAACCTCTGCCTCCCGGGTTCAAGCAATTATCCTGCCTCAGCCTCCCAAGTAGCTGGGATTACAGGCATGCGCTACCACACCAGCTAATTTTTTTTTTTTTTTTTTAATTTTTAGTAGAGATGGCGTTTCACCATGTTGGCCAGGCTGGTCTCAAACTCCTGACCTTGTGATCCTCCCACCTTGGCCTCCCAAAGTGCTGGGATTACAGGCGTGAGCCACCATGCCCGGCTGCCATTTTTAAATTTTAATGCCAGAACTGCATCAGATTCTCTATATGCAGTCTTATCCAGAAGAGGCTTATTACCTCCTCCGGTGATGTGGACAGTTGACTTCTCTTAATGCAGTCAAAGATTGCAGTGCCTTTGTAGTTGGCTCTGTCATGAACTTAAGTTGACCATCTATGAGACCCCATAGGTTGTGCCTGAAACTATGTAGACTTGTTCAGAATATCCTGTGGGATCAGATTCTGATCCACGAGCCTGGGCCCATGATCCTGGCACTAGCATTCTACGCTGTTAACTTGGTTTGCTTGAGAGAATCTCCCCATGGCCCTGTGGAAGGACTGAGAAGGTGAGTTGTAGATTGCTGGAAAAATGAAAAGCTCTAACCAATGAGGAAGGCTGGATTTTATATACTTTATTTTCATTAAGTGGATCCTCATTCCTAAGCAAATAACTGACGTGCTCTTGTTGGATAGAAGATGGTATGGGAAGACAGGGTGAGGATTGGTTTGCATTTTGAGTTGAGTATTTTTTTATTATTATTAAGTCAGGTTTATTGAGATATAATTTGTTTACTCTTCATCATGATAAATTTTCCCCAATTCCAGAAGAAATTAAATGGAGTTACATTCACAGTACAAAATTGAGATATTATACTAAAGTAAGAAGCTAAAGGAAGACCTCTTTAGTTGTACCAGTCTGTAAATTGTGGCAAACACAAGTCTTGTGAATTACCACCACACTCAAGACAGAGAACCATTTCCTCACCCTTGAAAGTATCCCCCATAGTCATCTTTTTCCTAATCCCCAGTCTCTGGCAACCATGATATATACTCTCTTCCTATTTTGCCTTTTTCAGGATGTCATATAAATGGAATCTTAGTCTGCTTGGATGTCTATTAAAAAATACCTTAGACTGGGTTGTTGATAAACAACAGAAATTTATTGCTCACAGTTCTGGAGGCTGCAAAGTCCAAGATCAAGGCACCGGCAGATTCAGTGTCTGGTGTGGGTCCTGTTCCTCATAGATGGCACCTTCTTGCTGTACCTGCACATGGTGGAAGGGGCAGATAAGCTCCCTCAGGCTTGTTCTTTCTTTTCTTTTCTTTTTTGAGATCCAGTCTCACTCTGTCTCCCAAACTGGAGAGCAGTGGCGCCATCACAGCTCACTGCAGTCTCAACCTCCCGTGCTCAAGTGATCCTCCCACCCACAGCCTCCCTGGTAGCCGGGATTACACGTGTACAGCACCACACCCAGCTAATTTTTAAATTTTTTTAAGAAACAGGGTCTCACTTTGTTGCCCAGAATGAACTCAAACTCCTGGGTTCCAGTGATCCTCCTGCCTCAGCCTCTCAAAATAGTGGATCTACAGGGTTGAGCCACTGCACCTGGCCTTCAGGCTTCTTATGTAAGGGTTCTACTCTCATTCACGAGGTTCTCTAATCTCATGGCCTAATGACCTCTCAAAGGCTCGACCTCTTAATACTATCACATTGGGGATTAAGTTTCAACATAAGAATTTGGGGAGACACAAACATTGAGTCCACAGCAGAATCATACAGTTTGTAGCTATTTGAATCTTCTTTCACTTAGCATAATGGATTGAGTCATCCATGTTGTTTCATGTTTCAGTAATCCATTCCTTTTAATTGCTGAATAGTATTCCTTTGTATACATGTGCCACAGTTGGTTTATCTGTTTGCTCTTAGAACGTGCTGTTACATCAGGTAGAAGTTCGCGTAGTGTCTCATGAAAGAGAGGTTTTGTGCCCTTTCTCTCAGAAAAATACGGTGAATTGGACAAAGAAACTTTTGCTCTTGTATGTGATCACTGCATTCCAGTCATGCTAGATTGTCATCTCCTAAAGCTTTGGAAAAAAAGTATGAAAAGTAAAGTATTTGAAAAAGAGTATGTATGTTTTCTTTTTCTTTGCCCGCAAGCGTCAGCACTAGATTTTTGTCTATTTTTTGTTTTTGTCTTAGATTTTTGTCTATTTTGAATACAGATCTTATTTCTCTCTCTCATTACACTTTGAAACAGGTTTAAACCTTTTTGGGTTTTGTTCTGTTTAAAGAAAGATCTGGTCAGTATCTCTAAAGAAAATCTGTCACTATTTTATGTCTTTATTAAATTGTAATTATTACATAAATAGGGATGCCAGAATTAAACTCTTTTTAAGTACTGTTTTCAGTTTAAAGTTGGACTTGTTCCACTGTCTGTGGTCATAATTTTGAGATATCCATGCCAAGAGATACATCATAAACACTGCATTCTGAAATGCAGGTTAGAGTGGAGAAAGGGATATCATAGCAGACAGTGATTTGAAATAATTATGTGATGGGAATGTCTGAATTTGTAATCTCTGTATCCCTTTGATTTATGATCTGGTAAAAGTAACATTAGAAGAAAATCTTGGATTTCAGAACCTCAGTTGAAAACTTTTGGGATGCTGATTACAGCATAAAAATGTACTTTAAAGATTCAAAAGTGACCACTGGGGCTGGCTAAGTGAATTATTTGTTTGCTTATTAATGGGGCCAACCTTAACTTATTGCATTCTTAAGTAAAGAACAGTAGCTCAGATTATGTATCTACAACCATAGTTCCTGTAGCTAATAAATGGACCCTGCAGACATTCTTTTAAGGACACCAGATTCTACTGTCTTCCTTTCCTATCTATAAATAAATACAGTTTCCATCAAATCTGAAAAAGAATTTATTTGGAACTTGAACAAATCAACTAAAATTCATATAAAAGAGGGGAAAGTGAGTGAATAAGAAATATTTGAAAAATAAGAATAGCAGCCCAGGCACGGTGGCTCATGCCTGTAATCCCAGCACTTTGGGAGGCCAAGGCAGGTGGATCACCTGAGGTCAGGAATTAGAGACCAGCCTGGCCAACATGGTGAAACCCTGTCTCTACTAAAATACAAAATTAGCCAGGTGTGGTGGTGCACACCTGTAGTCCCAGCTACTTGGTAGGCAGAGACAGGAGAATTGCTTGAACCTGGGAGGCAGAGGCTGCAGTGAGTCATGATCGTGCCACTGTACTCCAGCATGGGCAAGACAGAGTGAGACTCCATCTCAAAAAAAAAAAAAAAAAAGAAAGAAAAATAAGAATAAAGAGGGGTTCTCACCAGACAGCAAACTGTACTTTAAAGTTCTAGTAATTAAAAGAGTGTGGCATAGGAACTGACACACAGATCAGTGGAACAGAATAGGGAATCCCAAATTGGCCCATATGGGACAGGAAATTTTATATATGGAGAGGAAGTATTTCAAAAGCAGAAGATGAAAGACAGTCTGTTTAGTAAATTGTATTGAAATAATTGCCTAAAACTTTGGGAAAAAAGTATAAAGTTAAATCCTACACACAAAATTCCAGATGAGATAAAAATAGCTAAACATAAAATCTGTGAAAATATTAGAAGAAAATAGGATATTTTTATTATCTAGAGTGGCTAAGCCTCCTGAAGTAAGACTATCAGTGCAGGAAGTCATAAAGGAAAAGATAAACTAAACCGATGTGTGCTAATACATCACAAAAAATAAAAGTTGAGACCTGGCATGGTGGCTCTCACTTGTAATCCCTACACTTTAGGAGACCAAGATGAGAGGATTGCTTGAGCCCAGGAGTTCAAGATCAGCCTGGGCAACATAGCAAGACCCTGTCTCTTAAAAAAAAAATTTTTTTTTTTTTTTGAGACAGTCTCAATCTGTTGCCAGGCTGGAGTGCAGTGGCACAATCTCGGCTCACCGCAACCTCTGCCTCCCAGGTTGAAGCAATTCTGCCTCAGCCTCCCGAGTAGCTGGGACTACAGGCATGTGCCACCATACCCAGCTAATTTTTGTATTTTTAGTAGAGATGGGTTTCACCATGTTGGCCAGGGTGGTCTTGATCTCTTGACCTCATCATCCGCCCACCTCGGCCTCCCAAAGTGCTGGGATTACAGGTGTGAGCCATCGCACCTGGCTAAAAAAATTTGTTTTTAATTAGCCAGGCATGGTGTCTCTAGGTTATAGTCCTAGCTGCTCTGGAGGCGGAGACAGAAGGATCACTTGAGTTCAGGAGTTCAAGGTTATAGTGTGATATGATCGTGCCACTGCCTTCCAGCCTGGGCAACAGAGTGAGACACTGTCCCTGTCTCTTAAAAAAAAAAAGTGACAGGAATGGTTTTGCGAGTGGTGTGAAGGAGTAACTTGGACATTTTACTCAGTCTGCTTCTCCACCACATGAGTTTTGTTTTTTGTTTTTTACAAGAATGTATTTACAAATTGCATGATTGCATGATTTCCTCAACGTTCTTGCCGTAGTACATAAACCATGGTTAACACTCATAAATTATAGAAGCTATTATTATTTTTAAACTGCTTTCCTCACAGTGATTCATATTTAGAAAATGTGTCTCCATGTCTAAATGTGTTTTTGTAAAATTTTCTTATGGTTTGAATAGCATTGCCAATTTGTTGTTGTGGTTGATACCCTGCTTTTTTCTGCCATTCCTCATTACTGCTCAGTGCAGAGGGTAAAAGATTTAATTATATTATTAAATGCATTGTGACTATTGGCTTTGGAAGAGTCAGGGACACGAGGTTACAAAAGTACCATGAACCCTCTTCAAGGTGTACACAGTCTTGTTTGACATTATGTTCCCATAAAAACCACTAAGAGGGGCTGGGCACAGTGACTCACACCTGTAATCCTACCACTTTGGGAGACCGAGGCAGGCGGATCACGAGGTCAGGAGATCGAGACCATCCTGGCTAACATGGTGAAACCCCGTCTCTACTAAAAATACAAAGAAAAACAAAATTAGCCGGGCGTGGTGGTGCATGCCTGTAATCCTAGCTGCTCGGGAAGCTGGGGCAGGAGAATCGCTTGAAACCCGGGAGGCGAAGGTTGCAGTGAGCCGAGATCGCGCCATTGCACTCCAGCCTGGGGGACAGAGAGAGACTCTGTCTCAAAAAAAACAACCACTAGGGAACAATTTGAGAAAGTTTTCTCTCAAGTGCCAAATTGAGTGTAATCATATCCCCGCCGGGGTTGAGCACTGGAGCATCCCCAAGCCCCGTACCCTGTGGAACGTCTAGAGAGGACCTGTCTCTAGGAGCTGGGAAGAAATGGACCAAGGAGCCGAGAATGGTATACAGATGTTTCTGAGAACTTTCCCTGTCTTCTTTCTTTTTTGGAACAGGCTTCTTTCTAGCTGAGCCTATGCGCTGACATTGGGATGATTCACATGTGACCCTCTAGAATGCTAGATTAGAAGGTTGGCAAGAAAAGAAGGATGTTGGTTGGCCTCCATCTTTGGTGGGTTTTTTTTTTTGTTTTGTTTTGTTTTTTCGAGACGAAGTCTTGCTCTGTCTCCCAGGCTGCAGTGCAGTGGCATGATCTCGGCTCACTGCATCTTCTGCCTCCCAGATTCCAGCAATTCTCCTGCCTCAGCCTCCTGGGTAGCTGGGATTACAGGCATGCACCACCACGCCCAGCTAATTTTTGTATTTTTAGTAGAGACGGGGTTTTACCATGTTGGCCAGGCTGGTCTTGAACTCCCGACCTCAGGTGATCTGCCCCACCTCGGCCTCCCAAAGTGCTGGGATTACAGGCGTCAGCCACCATGCCCGGCCCTTTGTGTTGTTTCCTAGTCTCTCATTTATCTTTCCCTGACCTTTATGATTTTCTTCCTTCTGCTAACTTTGGGCTCTGTTCTTTTTTTTTTTTTTTTTTTCTTCTCTAGTTCTTTCAGATCAAAAGTTAGGTTATTTGCAGTCTTAATTTTTTCTTAATTTAGGCACTTATTGCTATAAACTTGCCTCTTAGAACTGCTTTTGCTGTGTCGAAGTTTGGGTATGTTGGGTTTCCATTTTCACTTTTCTCAAGATATTTTTAAAATTTCCTTTTTGATTCTTTGACCCATTGATTGTTCAGGAATGTATTAATTTCCACATATTTGTGAGTTTTTCCATTTTCTTCCTATTATTTGTAGTTTTATACCATTGTGGTTGGAAGAGATACTTGATGTGACTTCAGTCTTCATAAATTGTTAAGACTTCCTTTGTAGCCCAACATATCTATCCTGGAGAATGTCCCATGTGCACATGAAAAAACTGTATTCTGCTGCTGTTGGATGGAATGTTCTAGATATTTGTCTGTTAGGTCCCTTGCTCTATAGTACTGTTCAAGTCCACTGTTTGCTTATTGATTTTGTCAGAATGATCTATCCATTGTTCAAAGTGGGGTATTGAAGTCTCCTACTGTACTGCTGCTTATTTCTTTCTTCCGTTCCGTTAATATTTGCTTTATATGTTTCGGTGCACCAATGTTGGGTGAAAAACAACAGAAAAGATCAATGAAACTAAGAGTTTTTTTTTTTTTTTTGAAAAGATAAAGTTTAGCTAGACTACCTAAACATTGAGAGGAAACTCAAAATCATAATGAAAGAGGAGATGTTAGTCCCAGCTACTCGGGAGGCTGAGGCAGGAGAATGGCGTGAACCCGGGAGACAGAGCTTGCAGCGAGCCGAGATCTCACCACTGCACTCCAGCCTGGGCGACAGAGTGAGACTCTGTCTCAAAAAAAAAAAAATAAATAAAATAAATAAATAAATATAAATAAATAAAATAAAAATACAAAAATTAGCCGGGTGTGGTGGCACATGCCTGTAGTCACAGCTATTCGGGAGGCTGAGGCAGAAGAATCGCTTGAACCAGGGAGGCGGAGGTGGCAGTGAGCCAAGATTGCGCCACTGCACTCCAGCCTGGGCAACAGAGCAAGACTCCATCTCAAAAAAAAAAAAAAAAAAAAAAAAAAAGGGACAAAGAGGAAACTGATTTCCTCCCAAAGCTTAGGTTCCTTTAAGCAACCTGCGTGAAGCATGGATAGATGACTTTGACATCTCCATTAGGTTTGCCTTTTATTTTTATTTCTTTTTTTAGAGATGGGGTCTTTCTCTGTCACCCAGGCTAAAGTGCAGTGACACGATCATACCTCGCTGTAGCCTCGAACTCCTGTAACATCTTAGTTTTTACTATACCTATAGGAGATCACTGGTTAAGACAAAAGGTATAAGGGACACTGATGAGTCAAATTAATTAGGTGCAAAACAGTTCTGATTCTCTATGTTCTCAAGATGATCTTCACCAGCCTGGAACTCCTGGGCTAAGGGTTTCCTTTCACCTCAGCCTCCTGAGTAGTTGGAACTACGGGCATGAGCCACCATGCCTGGCTCTGTTTACCTTTTTAAAAAATAATCTCTGCAGTGTGTTTAGTGAGGAGACCAGCTGAAATGACAGCACACTTAATGCCTATTGGCTCCTTTCCCCAGGAGGACATCGCCAGTCACGCAGTGGTTCAAGCTCTAGGAATTTAATCTAGCACAAGAGCCCACACTCGGTCAGGAGGTTGCACATCACAGACCAGTGCCTGGGGTGTTACGGGGCTGACCAGGGTAACATTCATACATGAACGAGTCAACTTAACACGCATTACCGAAAATCAGAAAATAATTGCTTAAACATTTTCCCTCTGAAATAGAAAGGTTTGAGAATCAGAAGCCGGTACTAAGTGGGAGAACAGTGGATGTTATGACCCAGATATCCAGGTCATCCCTCAGGTGATCAACTCTAGCCTCTGGAGACCAGGGGGTTGCCCATTATATGGCCTTAAGTGGTTTCTCCAGCTTGGTATCATAACATCTTGGTTTATTATTCCCGTAAGAGAACCATTGGTTAGGACAAAAGGCTTCATGGACACTGATGATTCAAATTAATGAGCATAACAGTGATGATTCTCTGTGTTCTCCTCAAGATGACTTCCACCAGACCTTCAAGTTGGAGTCATCCGATCAAAATATTTATACAGGAGCAATCTCTTGTTGTTCTGTCCAATGTAACTGCTGTTTGTTGAGGTAAAGGCTATTCATCCTTGCAGTATATACATTGAGGCAGTGTGATTACAAGTCACAGCTGGAAATCTCTTTCATCTTGCCACCTAGACACCAAACATCATAATTTTAAAAACAAACCCAGAAATTTTATACCATTTAAATCCAAAATTTACAAATGTCCGAGAATTAAAGCAGCAGGGCTTCCATATTATTCATGTCATAACACATAGGTAATTTTTCTTAGAATTTTAAAAATGTACACATTTAATATGTTTAAGTGATATATATTTACATTTTAGTAGCTCATCTTTGGTCTTACGTATTAATCTGAAGTAAATGAAATGGCAGGCATCATTTGTGAAATAGAGGAAATTATCTTGATATTTTTGTTTGCTTTTTGTTTTTTTTTTTTGAGACGGAGTCTCACTCTTTTGCCCAGGCTGGAGTGCAGTGGTGCAGTCTCAGGTCACTGCAACCTCTGCCTCCTGGGTTCAAGCGATTCTCCTGTCTCAGCCTCCTGAGTAGCTGGGATTACAGGTGCCTGCCACTGCGCCTAGCTAATTTTTGTATTTTTAGTAGAGATGGGGTTTCATCATGTTGGCCAGGCTGGTGTCGAACTCCTGACCTCAAGTGATCCACCTGCCTCAGCCTCCCCAAAGTGCCGGGATTACAGGTGTGAGCCACCACAGCTGGCTTATCTTGATATTGTTAAGGACTGTACTGCATTTTATTTATTATTAGTTTTAAAGACAAGTTTTAAAGTACTCCACCCCGCCCCCGTCATAGGATCTTGCTCTTTCACCCAGGCTGGAGAGCAGTGGTGCAATCACAGCTCACTGCAGCCTCGACCTCCTAGGCTCAAGCAATCCTCCCACCTCAGCCTTCCAAGTAGCTGGTGCTACAGATGGATGCCACAGCACCCAGCTAATTTTTTAAATAACATCTTTTGTATAGATGGTGATCTCATTTTGTAGCCCAGCCTCTTCTCAAACTCCTGACCTCAAGCGATCCTCCTGCCTTGGCCTCCCAAAATGCTGGGATTACAGGCGTGAGCCACCCGGCCTTTAAAGCACTCGATTGATTGATTGATTGAGATGGAGTCTCGCTCTGTCACCCAGGCTGGAGTGCAGTGGCGTGATCTCAGCTCTCTGCAACCTCCGCCTCCCAGGTTGAAGAGATTCTTCTGCCTTAGCCTCCCAAGTAGCTGGGACTACAAGCGTGTGCCACCATGCCCGGCTAATTTTTGTATTTTTAGTAGCAACAGGGTTTCACCATATTGGCCAGGCTGGTCTTCAACTACTGACCTTGTGATCCGCCCTCCTCAGCCTCCCAAAGTGCTGGGATTACAGGCATGAGCCACTGCGCCTGGCAAAGCACTTTAATATATATATTTATATATATATATAAAATAATATATTAACTTAAAATGACTTTGTTATATAATCATGCAATATGTTATTTTTAACAGGTCTTAGGGTTGTACAAGACCACTTATTGTGAAAAGTTTGTTTGTTTTTGAGACAGAGTCTCACTCTGTTGTCCAGGCTGGAGTGCAGTGGCATGATCTCAGCTCACTGCAACCTCCTTCTCTTGGGTTCAAGCAGTTCTTCTACCTCAGCCTCCCAAGTACCTGGGATTACAGGCATGCACCACCACTCCCAGTTAATTTTTGTATTTTTAGTAGAGACAAGGTTTCACCATGTTGGCCACGAACTCCTGACCTCAGGAGATCTTCCCACCTCGACCTCTCAAAGTGCTGGGATTACGGGCATGAGCCACTGCACCTGGCCTGTTGTGAAAGTTCAAGAGTCAATAAAGCTTGGAAAAATCTAAAGCGAGGGAAGAAGCCTATGTTACCTTTCTAGGACAGCCATAGCAAACCACCACAAATTGGATGGCTTAAAACAATACAAAGTATTCTCTGACAGTTCTAGAGACTTGAAGTCTGAAGTCAAGTGGTCAGCAAGGTTGGTTCCTTATGGAGGCTTTGAGGGAGAAACCCACTTGGCCATACCTCTCTCTCAGTTTCTAGTGGTTGGAGGCATTCCTGGCATTTCTCGGCTGGTAGACACATCCCTCAGTCTCTACCTCCATCTTCACATCACCTTTTTCTATCTCTGCCTGTCCTTTTCTCTTATCAAGACACACTCATTGGATTTAGGGGCTGCCCTAATCCAGGATGATCTCCTCTTGATCCTTAACTAATTATATCTTCAAAGACCCTGTTTCCAAACAAGGTCACATTCTGAGGTTTCAGGTGGACAGGAATTTTAGGAGGGGTGCTGTTCAACCTAGATGCTTGCTTGCTTTCTTTTCTTTCCTTCCTTCCTTTTCTTTCCTTCCTTTCCTTCCTTCTTTCCTTCCTTCTTTCTTTTTGACGAAGTTTCACTCTTGTTGCCCAGGCTGGAGTGCCATGGCGCGATCTCGGCTCACCACAACCTCCACCCCCCAGGTTCAAGAAGATTCTTCTGCCTCAGCCTCCTGAGTAGCTGGGATTACAGGATTACACCACTACACCACGCCCGGCTAATTTTGTATTTTCAGTAGACACAGTTGGTCAGGCTGGTCTCGAACTCCTGACCTCAGGTGGTCTGCCGCCTCGGCCTTCCAAAATGCTGGGATTACAGGCATGATCCACGGTGCCCGGCCAACCCAGATGCTTTCTACTCCTCCATTTCCAGTTGGAGGCAGAGTTAGAATTCATAGTCCTAACCCACTCTCCTCTCTCCTCCACCTAGATCCTGTGCCTTCACCTCCTCCCAGCTTAGCTAACTCCTGCTGGACCACGAACCACTGCCACTTCCTAAGGAAAACCTTGCTATCCACATCTACCCCCAAAGCAAGCCAGTCCCCCTTTTATAAGCTTCTGAAGTAACCCGTGCTTCTGTTGAAGCATTCTTCATATAATTAGTGTTGTTTTTTTCATTTACGTAATGTAAATTTATATTATATATTTTGTACATTCTATTTAATATTTTATGCTATGTAATATTTTATATAAAGTATAATTTTGTTAACAAATGTGTATAATTCTTTTAATGAATTACATATTGACTGTAAACTCTGTGAGGGTGTAGGGACCGACTGACTTATTCATTGCTTTGTACCAGCACTGAGCCCAATGCCATCACTCAATTTTTGAACCATATTCTCTTTATAACATCACTTTAATTTTTCAGAGAAAATCTGCTCCTCAGCACAAGACTGACCCCCTTCTAGGTCTGCTATTGACTGCCTTATCAGGAATTCCCCTTTTGGGGATGCAGGCTGGGGGAGTTATGTGTTTTCTTTATTCAGCCTTCATGTCCCACAAAGCAGGGAAAAGATCAATGGTTGGATTTTGTGTTGTCTGAGGGATGTCTACATTGCCTTGAAATCTGAGGCAGGGCATTTAAAATACAGCTCCTTTGCCTGTAATCCCAGCGCTTTGGGAGGCCGAGGCTGGCAGTTCACTTTGAGACCAGGCGTTTGAGGGCAGCTGGGGAAACATGGCGAAACTCCGTCTCTACAAAAAAAAAAAAAAAAATTAGCCAGGCATGATGGTGTGCACCTGTAGTCTCAGCTACTAGGGAAGCTGAAGTGAGAGGATCCCTTGAGCTCAGGAGGTCGAGGCTGCAGTGAGCTGTGATCACACCATACACTCCAACCTGGGCAACAGAGTGAAATCCTGTCTCAAAAAATAAAATACAATACAGCTTCATTCATTGATCCTATTGAGATTTAAGAAAAGAATAGCATAAGGAAGCTCACTTTTCTTATTTGTTCTTCCTCTCAGTTGCTTTGTTTTGTTTGTTTGTTTTTTTGAGACGATGTCTTGCTCTGTCGCCCAGGCTGGAGTGTGGTGGCGCAATCTCGGCTCACTGCAGTCTCTGCCTCCGGTTTCAAGGGATTCTCCTGCCTCAGCCTCCTAACTAGCTGGGATTATAGGCATCCACCACCACGCCTGGCTAATTTCTGTATTTTTAGTAGAGACAAAGTTTCACTATGTTGGCTAGGCTGCGCCCACCTTGGCCTCCCAGATTCTGGGATTACAGGCAGGAACCACCAAGCCTAGTCTCAGCTGCTTTTTTTTACCCTTTCCCTCCCACCTTCTATCCACCACCCTGGCTCCAGGTAGAGAGAGAATTGGGTCATCTAAATTTTAAAAACAAATTTTCTTTAGACAGGGTATCAATAGTCTCTGATTTGGAACTTTAGCCATATGAAAGGGCCTTGTAAGGGTCCTTTAGACTTAGCCACACATTTGTTTTTTGAAGATGTTCCCAATGAAATTGGACCTTATAAACTTTGTGCCTGATGATTTAAAGAACCCCCTTTTTCAGCTCTTCTCTTAAGAAATAGTGTTGACATTTTCCACAGATCTGCTTGTGTATCTTAACTTCTCTTTCCTTTAAGTCATTTCTGACTTTTAGCAGTCTTTCCTTTAACTCCTCTCCTTTTGCTCAAACCCAAAGTACCTGGAGGCCGTCCCTTTTGAGAACAGGTGGTGCCAATACGTAAATCCTTTAGGGAAGTTGGACAGGAAGGGAAAATAAATAAATCTCACCTGACACTCTCAGCAGGCCTGAAGAGCTTGTCTCAGAGGGCGGCAACGAGTCTCTTAGGAGGAAATGTCTGCAGAGAGTCAGGGTGTGAAGTGTTAATAGCAAGAACCCCGTGGTTGAGTGGTGCTCTGCCCTTGGCAGTGCAGTGTCCTGGGCCTCCCCTGGAACCTATTTTGAGCCTGTTAAGCATCTGGTGAATTGTGTATCTCAAGTCCTGAACTGGGACTGCTGCCACCCGCATAAAGCTCCAATCTGCACGGAGAAGGAGTGTGGTTTGCACCCCAGCCTGGGGAGCTAGAACAAGTTGGGATGCCCCTGTATCTGTGAAGAGTATTTGTGAGTCTCAAGGGAACAGTGCCACAAGGGAAAACTCTCTTATCAAGGTTTCCTCCCTACCCCACCCAGAGATTTAAGGAACTCCTCTGTTCAAATGCTTTTGTTTCTGTCCCCTTCCAGATTCTTCCAGATCACACTCTTCCCGGTGTGAAGTTCAAGAAATAATTTTTCTCGGTGTTTGTTTTTCCATGCAGGCCCTGGCTTTGATTTTGCTTTTGGATGCTTTCCGTTTTCTCTAAATAGGAGGGTTCCAAGTCTAGTGTGTGCTGTCTGCCTGTTATTTCCTGCTGAGAACACTTGGTAATGAAGTGAGTTCCTAGTACTCTAAAACATGTTTGTGGCTCAAAAGCCCATACCTGCTCATACCTCTGAAGTCAGGCCAGACAAGAGCAGAGGCCCCAGCTATTCATGCTGTGGGCATTTTCTCCCAGAGCTGGACTTTGATGTCTGCAGAGACCTTCTCTTGACATTTAAAAACCATCACAATGTTGACTGACTAATGGCATTGTAATATGTTTAAACATTTAATATTACCACAACAGAGCTTTTGAAACTCCTGCCTCAGGAAAGGGAAAAACTTGATTTTTTCCTTTTAAAGGAGGCAGATGAGCCAAAAGGAAGGGCTTTTGCCCAAATATTTGTGACAAATGGAGGGAAGATAAGAAAGCAGCTTTTCTGACCGGTAGGCCAGAACAGGGTGGGTGCTGGGAGAGGCGGGGGCTGTGCACACACACACACGTACATCTGATTTATTCGTGGTAGTTGCTTGTGTCCGTGGGAGCAGCCTAGCCTGCATGTTTTACAGAATATTCAGGGGTCAGCTGATCCCGCAGCCTCGCTGGGATGGGCAGCCTCCCAGGCTCCACCTTGAGTCTTGGGGCAATTCCAGGACCTCTGGGATCATCCTCGGAGTTCAGGTCAGGCCAGAAGGCGTTCTGTTTTCCTGGGAGTTAAGAGTCAGACTCCAGCTGATGGACCGGGAAGCAAAACAAGAGTCCAACATTGGTCTGTATTTTGAAAAACATCTGTCTCATCTCTCTCTGGCAGAAGAGCGTGGCTTGCAGTTAGCCCCACTCTGTGCTTAGGGTCTATACTAGCTCAATCCCCCAATGCCCAGCACCCAGGCATGCCCACACACACCCCCATCCTTCTCAATGCCATGATGTAGGCCCACCCAGCCCTCACAATACGTCTTTGCCTCAAGGGGCCAGCAGGGGCTCTGCCTCTAGGGTACATTTGCCCCAGCTTTCCAGCCCTCGAGTTTTAGAGTCCATTTCTGACTCTCTGCCTGTTCATGTGAACTTGATTTTTCCAGAGATACTTTTTTTCCAGACATGGCTACAGTTCCTTTTGTCCCACTCCTACCACAGAACGTGTTTGGACCCACCACCCTGTGTGAGTTCACTTTTCAGGGCTTCCAGCCTGGACAGTCACAGCAGACCAGTTTAACTAGTTGACCTCTGATTACTCAGAACATTTCTGACTGAGAAAGGAACTAACGGTAATTGGTATTTACTGTGTGGCAGGTGGGAATCCCACCATCTGAGTCCATTATCCCATTGAAGCCTCCTGTAGGTAGATGAGCCTGAGGGACTCATCTCTGAAGTTATATGGCTTTTCCAAGGGCCCAAATGGCAGTGCTGAGACCTGAACAAAGGATAATCTTGCACCAGATAGTTAATATTCAGATGAATTTGGATAAAGCTTTTTAGGTATTAGGGACAGAGAGTCCTAATCGGAAGGGGCCTTTTTTTGTTGTTTTTTTCCCACTACCAGCCCACAGATTGAACAGAAATCTTTGTGGATGCCTTTCATCCAACCTGGCTTCCCAAATATGCCTCCACCATCTTCTTTTACATCAGATTAGCTAAGTCCTGTCCATTCCTGACCAGCCTGTTTTGACGACTGTTACTTCCCACCATCTCCTTTTTGGGAAATATTTGGTTGGTACAAAACTAATTGCGGTTTTTGCCTTTTTTTTATTTTTATTTTTTGAGGCGGAGTCTCGCTCTGTCGCCCAGGCTGGAGGGCAGCGGCGCGATCTCGGCTCACTGCAAGCTCCGCCTCCCGGGTTCACGCCATTCTCCTGCCTCAGCCTCCCGAGGAGCTGGGACTACAGGCACCCGCCACCACGCCCGGCTAATTTTTTTGTATTTTTAGTAGAGACGGGGTTTACACTGTACCGTGTTAGCCAGGATGGTCTCGATCTCCTGACCTCGTGATCCGCCCACCTCCGCTTCCCAAAATGCTGGGATTACAGGCATGAGCCACCGCGCCCGGCCAGTTTTTTTGCCATTTTAATGGCACCAACCTAATACTGATAGGGCTCCGATGAGTGGAGCAACACCAGGTTCTTCCTCTCCAGTCAAATTAGATAAAACGACACGGACACACGTGGAGTGGTTTTAAGGAGTGGTAGAGAGTTTAATAAGCAAGAAAGAAAAGAGAAAGCAGAAGGAAGAGGCTCTCCCATACAGAGACGGAGGAGAGCTCCAAAGCCAAAAGAAGAGACCCCCAAGTGGGGTGGAAACCAGCCAGGTATGTGTAGAGGCTGGAGGAGGCAGTGTCTGATTTGCATAGGGCACAGGGGATTGGTTTGACCAGACATGTCATTCATGTAACCTGCAAAAACATTGGCCCTCTCACCCTAGCCTTTTAATATGCAAATACAGGGCACCATGATGTTCTACACACGGGGGGATATGTTGCCAGGCACGTGTGGGGCAAGGGCAAGAAGACAACAGTGAGAATCGCCATGTTTGGGTAGACCCAGTTTCTAATGGCCTGTATTTGCATATCAAAGGTTACCGGCTCTAAGAGCTAGGGCTTTACAAGAAACTGCTTTCTGGAGCTGCTTTAAAAATGGAAACTTCGGCTGGGCGCAGTGGTTCACTCCTGTAATCCTAGCACTTTGGGAGGCCAGGGCACGTGGATCACCTGAGGTCAGGAGTTCAAGACCAGCCTGACCAACATGGCGAAACCCCATCTCTACTAAAAAATACAAAAAATTAGCCAGGCATGGTGGCACACACACCTATAATACCAGCTACTCGGGAGACTGAGACAGGAGAATCACTTGAACCCAAGAGGCAGAGGTTGCGGTGAGCCTGGATCGCACCATTGCACTCCAGCCTGGGCAAGAGTGAAACTCCGTCTCCAAAAAAAAACACCAACCAAAACACTTAAAATGCAATCCTTTATCAAGTTAAAGTGGGGCAAGTCCTCCTTGGGTTGTTTGAAGCTGCAGCCCTTCTCCTCATCCAAACCTGGTCATGATGAGCAGCATTAGGATGGGACTTTGGCATAGGGAATCCCAAGGTCATGGTAAGGGTTTTTGTTTTGTTTTTTGGGAATCAGACAGAGGCAGAGTTGAATCCCAGCTCTACTGTTTTCAGCTTTCTGACCTTGGGCGAGTTAATCTCTTTAAACCTCAGTTTTCTTACCTTTAAAAGACAGATTATGAATTCTACCTTGGTAGGGTTGTTTTAGATTGAAATGAGCTGATGTGTGTGTGCAGTTAACACAGTACACAGACTATAGGTACTGTAGTTAATATTGTACCTCCCCCCATGTCTTTTATAAAACCCACGTTAGTTTTTGGAACTCCTAAAATAAACATACCATTAAAAGCAAGCTTTGCATTTTCAACATTTGTGTTTGTGCATCCAACAATTTAGGGTTTCCTTAATGCTTCACTTACCATTATTTTTAAATTAAATCCCAGTAGATAAATTCAAATGCCTCTGCATTTTCCTGTCTGAATATAACTGAGAACCAGGGGTCGCAGAGAGATTGAACCCATCACAGTTTCAGTTGTCAACAGACCCATGAAGAGTGCACTGATCAGAATCCAAGACTTAAAAGTTGCTCTGTCAACATCTGTAAAGACATGGCTTATCCGTTTTTCTAGGCCAGGGTTCTGTTGGTTTAGTTTTCTTGTAATCAAAGTCCTATAAACCAAGAGGAAAAATTCGAAAGAATTGTGAAGACAGATGAACAACAGGGAAAATATCCGACTAACTTGGCTTCTAAGGAGTATCCTTTGCTTGGGGAGGAAGGTCACAGAACTTAGCAAGCCAGTCTGCATGAGCCATCGTAGATTAGGGGACTTGCCGGCCCCACCAGCCTGCCTGCCACAGAGCCTCTGAAAAGAAAGAGAAAATCAGATCTTCAAAAATGCTCCGTACACTGTAGAGAAGAGATTCAGGAGAACAGTGCGTGACCTTAGCCAGAACATGTTGATGGGGATAGTCATTTTTGCAATTTCTTGAATATCTTTTCTCTGCTGGTTTCAAAATTGTGAAGTAAATTCAGAAAAGAAGCCCACTATTTTGATGGAAGCTGTTTTGACATAAGTGAAACCAGGCTTGGCACAAGGTGGAAGCAGGCTCTGGCCCAGGGAATGGAGCGGACGCTGGGAAGAATTGAGGCAAGCTGGGGAAATTGTTTCAAGATGGAGCTGGATCCACTTGAAAGGGAAGGGAACTGGAGGGTACAGACATGCCGTCAATGTTTGAATTTGTGTGTGAGGAGCATCAAGTGCCTTCTGAGATACATGGACCCACGGGAATCTGCCTTCTTTTAGAGTCACCTCTGAGGAAGGTAAGGAGAGTGGCCGCCTTTTGGATGCTGCACTATGCGGGCTTGAGGATTACTTACTGGCCCGTTGTGACCTGTTGGATTTGGCTGGTTTGGAGAAAGTCAGGCAGAAATGGCAAATGTGCCAGCAGCTCTCACAGTGGAGGAACATGGGAGATGTGGCAGGGGCAGTGTGCAACTCAGCCCTTAGATCATCTTTGACACACTTTTCAGGGTGTGGTGGCCTTGAGGTTAGAAGATACATCAGACATAATCTCTGAGATACGGTCTGCCCTCAGTTATCCCTGGGCGTTGATAGTAGCCTCTTCCAAGGCAAGGCTAAGGGCACTGCTATGTGTAGGAAAGCACAGGAATTGCCACGGGCAGTGCACCTGGCAGGGCTGAAGACTTGGGGAGGAGGATGCCCTGGATTTTCTGTTTTTCAGCCCTGGGCAATCTTCAGCTCTGAAGGACAAGTCATAGCAAAGCCCCCTGTGATAGGAAATACATGTTTTTGGCTGGTCCAGGGAGCAGGGCACAGGGGAGGTTTGGAAGCTTATTAGCACATGAGCTGGGCCAAGAAAGTAGAGAGATTTGGACACAAATACATAGAGAAAGTAAAAAATAAAATGCAGTTGATATGATTGCATGGTAACATGAATATATTAGCATACACAACTGCTATAGACTGAATGGTCTCTCCACCCGGAATCGACATATTGAAATCTAATCCCCCATGCAAAAGTATTTGGAGGTGAGGCCTTGGGGAGGTGATTAGATCATGAGGGTGGTGCCTTCATGAATGGGATTAGTGCACTTATAAAAGAGACTTCAGTTCGTGACCAGCCTGGCCAACATGGTGAAACCCCATCTCTACTAAAAATACGAAAATTAGCCAGGCGTGGTGGTGCATGTCTGTAATCCCATCTACTCGGGTGGTTGAGGTAGGAGAATGGCTTGAACCCGAGAGGCAGAGGTTGCAGTGAGCCGAGATCGCACCACTGTGCTCCAGCCTGGGCGACAGAGTGAGACTGTGTCTCAAAAACAAAAAACAAGCTGGGCACGGTGGCTCACGCCTATAATCCCAGCACTTTGGGAGGCTGAGGTGGGTGGATCTCCTGAGGTTGGGAATTCGAGACCAGCCTGACCAACGTGGAGAAACCCTGTCTCTACTAAAAATACAAAATTAGCTAGGCATGGTGGCGTATGCCTGTAATCCCAGCTACTAGGGAGGTTGAGGCAGGAAAATTGCTTGAACCCAGGAGGCGGGGAGGTTGGGGTGAGCCGAGATTGCACCACTGCACTCTAACCTGGGCAACAAGAGCGAAATTCTGTCTCAAAAAACAAACAAACAAACAAAAAAAACAACCAGACTCCAGAGAGCTCCTTTACTTCATCCACCATATGAAGACAAAACACAAAGGCGCCATCAGTGAAATGGGAAGTGGCCCTCACCACACGTCAAGTCTGCTGCACCTTGATCTTGAACTTTCAGCCTCCGGAACTGTGAGAAATAAATTTCCGTTGTTAATAAGCTACCCAGCCTACAGTAATTGTTACAGCAGCCTGGATAGATAAAAACGAAAACATGTCATATACTATTACTTTAGCAGTGTTTGGAGCTTTTGTTAATGAGGAAAGACTTGGTTGCATGATGACAAAGTGGAGTTGATTTGTGACGTTGGAATGGTGGGAATAATGTGGAGAGGATGCTTTGGAGGTGGAAGGGGCCACCAGGGGATTCATGGCCTAAACTAAATGGAATGGTAGATACTCACTGGACTGATGTGAGGGGAAGGGATGTGTGAGATGCTAGCGGGACTATGAGATCTGTCTCTTCAGGGTAATGGGGCATGTTAGGAAAGTGAGAAGGAAAGTGAGAAAGATAACACCAAAAGGACATGTTCAGCCAGGCACGATGGCTCATGCCTGTAATCTCAGCACTTTGAGAGGCTGAGGTGGGCAGATCGCTTGAGCTCAGGAGTTCGAGACCAGCCTGGGCAACATGGTGAAACCCTGTCTCTACCAAAAATACAAAAAATTAGCTATTGCATAGTGGTGCACACCTGTAGTCCCAGCTACTCAGGAGGCTGAGGTGGGGGAATGGCTTGAGCCTGGGAGGCAGAGGTTGCAGTGAGCTGAGATTACACGACTGTACTCCAGGCTGGGTGACAGAGCAAGGCCCCCTCTCCAAAAAAAAAAAAAAAAAAAAAAAAAACAATGGATATGTTCTCACAAATTGAGATTTTGTAGGGGGTAAGTGGCTCTAGAGATAGAAAGTGGTGGCTGGGATTAGAATGGGCATTAACTGTGAAGTGGGCATGAGGGATCTTATTAGAGTGATGAAAATGTCCTAAACTGATTTATGGTGATGGTCACACAACTTGGTAAATTTCCTAAAAATCACTGAATTATACCTTTGAAACAGATGAATTATATATGTTGGATATGCCTCAGTAAAGTCATCTTTTAAAGAGTCTCTTTTTTTGTTTTTAATGGATCTTTTCATGGACCAGCATTTTTTTGTGGTGCCGCCACTGTGCTGGTGCATGAGGGTGCACAGACTAAATAGTTTATTTATTTATTTATTTATTTTTTGAGACGGAGTTTCGCTCTTGTTGCCCAGGCTGGAGTGCAGTGGTGTGATCTCGGCTCACCGCAACTTCCGCCTCCCGGGTTCAAGCAGTTCTCCTGCCTCAGCCTCCCGAGTAGCTGGGATTATAGGCATGCACCACCACCCCTGGCTAATTTTGTATTTTTAGTGGAGACAGGGTTTCTCCATGTTGAGGCTGGTCTCGAACTCCTGACCTCAGGTGATCCGCCCACCTCGGCCTCCCAAAGTGCTGGGATTACAGACGTGAGCCACCGCGCCCGGCCCGACTAAATAGTTTTACAAAGGGCAAAAATAGGCAATTCTCAAGACAAATGACTACTAAGAATTTTGACCTCAGTAGTCATCACTGACTTGTGGATTTGAAGTAAAGTGAGGTAGATTTTGGTTATTAGACTGGCAAGGATTATAAAGAGCGACAAGAGTGACAAGATTGTAAAGAGTCAGAAGAGCACAGTGGCTCCCGCTGGTAATCCCAGCACTTAGGGAAGCTAAGGTGAGCAGATCACTTGAGGTCAGGAATTCGAGACCAGCCTGGCCAACGTGAAGAAACCTTGTCTCTACTAAAAATACAAAAATTAACCGGGCATGATGGTGGGTGCCTATAATCCCAGCTACTCCAAAGGCTGAGGCAGGAGAATTGCTTGAACCTGGGAGGTGGAAGATGCAGTGAGCCGATATCACGCCACTGCACTCCAGCCTGGGTGACAGAGTGAGACTCCACCTCAAAAATAAATAATTAAAAAAAAAAGAGTGACAATATTCAGGAACACATGGGTTCTCTAAGACACCACTGATGGGATTCTAAATTGTCACCCTCTTGCTAAAGGAAAGATTGGCAGTACATATGAAAGAATTTGAATGTGCTTATGATCCAGTAAGACCTTTGACCTAGGAAATCCCCCTAAAGGTATTTATCTTCAGGAGACTTCACCATCAACATGCTGACACTTTGCACACTTTTATCTTCGGACCAGTCTGCTGCTCCCAAATCCATTCAGATATCCAGCTGCCTCACAACTACCACATGAGCACCTCAAACTCAAGGTGTCCAGAACTTCTGAATAGATCTATGCATTCAGAATAGGTCAGATAGACCCTTCCCCAGAAAGCTGCTCTACAGCCTCAGGTGATGACTGCTCACTCCATCCTTTCAGGTGCTCAGATACCTAGACACCACCTGTCTCAGTCCATTTGTGCTGCTATAACAAAAATACCACAGATTGGGTGATTCATGAAAACAGAAACTTATTTCTCACAGTTCTGGAGGCTGGGAAGCCCAAGATCAAGGCACCAGCAAGCTTGGTGTCTAGTAAGGGTGTGGGCTCTGCTTCCAAGATAGCACCTTGTTGCTCCATCCTCCAGAGGGGATAAACGCTGTGTCCTCTTACAGTAGGAAGAATGGAAGAGCAGAAAAGGCCTTGCTAGTTCTTCCAGTCCTTTTATTAGGTAGCTAATCCCATTCACGAGGCCTCTGGCCCCATGATATAATTACATCCTAAATGCCTCACCTCTTAATGCTATCACATTGGGATTTAAGTTCCAACACTGGGATTTTGGAGGGACACATACACTAAAACCATAGTACCATCTCGACTCCTCACATCCCATATCCAATCAAAAAGCAAAAGCTGTTGTCTCTAGCTTCATAATTGATGATGATTTTGGCCATTTCTTACCATTTTCACTGCTATTCTACAGTGAGCCACCTTTTCCCTCACTGGAATTCCTGTAGATGTTATTCTCTCTGGTCTCTGCTTCTAACCTATTCCCAACACAGAAACAAAGGGGTCATATTAAAACATAATACATTTCACATTCCTCCTCTGCTCAAAACTCAGTGGCTCCCCATTTGCACAAAGGTCTTTAACAACAGCCTAGAAGTCTTTGCATAAATGGGTCTCTGTTACCTCTCCTAACTTAACTCCTATTACTCCTCACTCACTACTTTTCAGCCACAAAGGCCTCCTTGCTGTTTCTCCAACACAGCAGGTATGATTCCAGTTTACCACTTTTACACTGGCTGTTCCCTCTGTCTGGAACATTCTTCTCCCAGGTAGCTGCACGGCCAACTCTTTGCCTTCTTCAAGTCTTTATTCAATGTATTCTTCCCAGTGGGGCTACTCTAACTGCAGAATTTAAAATTTCAACCTGACTTCCAACCCTTTGCATGCTGGAACCTTTGTAGCCTGTTCAGTGTTTCGTTGAGGGTTTCACTCCCATTGCCCAGGCTGGAGTGCAATGGCGCAGTCTTGGTTCACTACAGCCTCTGCCTCCCAGGATCAAGCGATTCTCTAGCCTCAGCCTCCCAAGTAGCTAGGACCAGAGGTGCACACAACTGCACCTGCCTAATTTTTGTATTTTTTATAGACATGGGGTCTCACCATGTTGCCTAGGCTGATCTTGAACTCCTGAGTTCAAATGATCCACCCGCCTCAGTCTCCCCAAGTGCTGGGATTACAGATGTGAGCCACAGCACCCAGCCTTTTCAGTGTTTTCTATTTCTTGTAGCCCATCTCACTTTCTAACACACCTTATAGATGGATGCTTACTTTAATAGGTGTATCATGTCTGTTTGCCCCACTAGATTGTAAGCTCCACAAAGACAGGAATCTTGGTTCACTTCTGTGTCCTCAAATGCCTATAACAGTGCCTGGCTTGTAGTAGTTATTCAGTAACTATTTGAATGAATAATGAGTGAGTGAATTTGTAATGAACAACTAGTAATTTTATGAACAAAAATAGCATCATGTCAAGAGGAAGAAAAGTGAAATGAGTTCCTACATATGTGTTCTGATGTTCCTCAGTTCCCTGATGAGGTGAGACTGACTCAATCATGTACAGCAAAGTCTGACTCCCACCACTCCCTGTTGTACCACCCCTCCAGGAAAATGTGGCAAACCTCATCAAGATAAGTTGTGTGGTAGAGCTGTGTGTCTAGAGTTCTAATTTGATTGTGTATAGACTGCAGGTAAATCTTAGAGAATTATAAGGAACCTTGATCCACTCACAGTAATTTAATAAAGAAATGCAATCACTGGCAAATAGAAGCCTAGAGATTCTCTCTCTTTTTAGGGCCAGTATCTCTGCAGTACGTTTTATAAAATCAGTTCTCATTGTTGATCAAGAATTTTCTGCTTCATTTAGCTTCTGAGTTCCTATTTCCAACAGGTGTATGGGTGCTGTAAAACGCTTTTATTGATTCATAAAGAAAGGAGGTGCATGAAAACCTTTGAGGAAACCAAATCTTCATGTAAGCTTACGTGATAGAAAGGCCATACTGTTATTCCCTTCCTGTGATGCTTTATGGGAGTTGAAATGTGCAGTGCATCATATTGGTGGAGTTACTTTGTTGTAAGAGTGTAAATTTAAGTCATTCATGATAGTTCGAGATGTGAACTTTCAAGATCAATATGAAAGTGAAACTTTGTTGCATGGAGATCAAAATAATTTTTTTCATTGATCATATCATTTAGCTGCTTTTTATCTGGTGTTTTCTGTAGTTCTCCCTCTTCGTACTCCTTAAATCTAGGAGCTCTTAGCAGTAAACAGAAAAAGAACTACCTCTGCTTCAGCACAGAGGGATATTGCAGCTAATGGTCCAATGAGTGCCAAGAGGTGGAATTTAACCAGGGAAAGGTGGAGGATGGACACTTAATGCTGATTGACACAAATGTAGCTGCTGCCTTAGAAGCTGGTATCCTGAATTTAGTTAGAGTGTTATGCAATCATAGAGTAAAATATCTATCTCTTTCTTACTCCTCTTAATATAATTCTACCTCTGTTCTCTCTTAAAGAGAAGTTTATTTTCAGCTGGACTCAGTGACTCATGCCTGTAATCCCAGAACTTTGGGAGGCCGAGGCAGGAGAATCACTTGAGGCTAGGAGTTTGAGACCAGCCTGGGCAACATAGCAAGACCCCATTTCTATCATACAAAAAATAAACTAGCTGGGAGTGGTGGCCTGCGCCTATAGTCACAGCCACTTGGGAGGCTGAGGCAGGAGGATCACTTGAACCCAAGAGTTCAAGACTGCAATGAGGTTTGTTTTGTTTTGTTTCATTTTGTTTTGAGACAGAGTCTCACTCCGTCACCCAGGCTGGAATGTAGTGGTGCCATCTTGGCGCTCTGCAGTGTCCACTTCCAGGGCTCAAGCAATTCTCCTGTTTCAGCCTCCCAAGTAGCTGGGATTACAGGCACCCGCTACCACGCCCAGCTAATTTTTGTATTTTTAGTAGAGATGGGGTTTCACCATGTTGACCGGGCTGGTCTCTAACTCCCGACCTCAGGTGATCTGCCCACCTTGGCCTCCAAAAGTGCTGGGATTACAGGCTTGAGCCACCGCACCCAGCTGGCTGCAGTGAGTTATGCTTGCAGCACTGCATTTCAGGCTGGGCGACAGAGTGAGATCTTGTCTCACAAAAAAGAAAAAAGAAAAAAAAAATTATTTTCAATATTGGTTTGAGTTTTAAGATGCGTATTGGTTTATATTAATCATTGGTATCAAGAATAGAATGTCATTGAGCTCCTTTTACAGGCTTAATGTTGGGGAAAAGACCAATTATAAACTGACTTATTTTGTGTATTTTCCCATTATACATCGAGAACTATGGTTTTACTCGTAAGCTACCAAGCTAATGCACCAGAGTTTTATGGATGTCGGCAGAAGACAGACTCCTGGCTCAAAGATGAAAAACGTTCATTACTGACAGAAATAGCAGTATCCAGAGTATCAGCATATTTGCACTGGCTTCCTAAGCCCCAGTTCCTTCAGGGCAGTATGGACCTCTGTCTTGGTGTATAGATGAGTGTGACTTAAATTCCACTGCTAAACTATGTGGTGTCTGGGTGCAGTGGCTCACACCTGTAATGCCAGCACTTTGGGAGGCCAAGGCAGGAGGATTGCTTGAGCCTGGGAGGTTGAGGCTGCAGTGAGCCATGATTGTGCTACTGCATTCCAGGGACATAGTGAGACCGTGTCTCAGAAACAAACAATAAACTATGTAATGGTAACAAGATTTGGTAGTTGATAATTTGAATTGGGCGTGAATGACTAATAATGTATCATTGGTCAGAAAAAAATCTCGAATAAATATTTACCCTAATTATTTCTTCACTCAGCGTGTGTCTCCCAATTTAAATTTTGTGATAACAATAATTAAATGTACACATTTTGTAATGAAGAAGACATATTTGTTTATTTGTATTCTGTATTAGTTTTTCACGCTGCTAATAAAGACACACCCGAGACTGGGTGATTTATAGAGGAAAGAAGTTTAATGGGCTTACAGTTCCATGTGGCTGAGGAGGCCTCACAATCATGGTAGAAGGCAAATGAGGAGCAAAGTCACATCTTACATGGCAGCAGGCAAGAGAGCATGTGCAGGGGAATTTCCCTTTATAAAACCATCGGATCTCGTGAGACTTACTCACTCTCACGAGAACAGCACGGGAAACACCCACTGCTATGATTCAGTTACCTCCCACCAGGTCCCTCCCATGACATGTGGCAATTATGGGAGCTACAATTCAAGATGAGATTTGGGTGGGCACCCAGCCAAACCATATCATATTCCCTGCTCTAGATTCCAGATAAGGGAGAGGAGGGAGGCGGTGCTCAGCCCCAGCCATTTATGCTGAGTAGAGGAGGTGAGAAGTAGTTGGTAGTGACTTCCTCAGTCTCTTCCTTCAGCGAGCAGTTGGAGTGCACTGTTCTAGTCACATCTATTCCTAGGCCTAGACTCTGACCTGTTTTCAAAGTCTCATATGCCTAAGCCCTGGCTTGCTCTCTCTCCCTTTCTTTATTAGCAAAGAAATCGATTATCTTCAGGAAAGGTATTATGAGCACACTGAAGGTATCAGTCACTTTTTTTTTATTTATTTTTTTTTTTTTTGAGACAAGGTCTTACTCTGTAACCAAGGGTGGAGTGAGGTGGCAGAGTCATGGCTCACTGCAGCCTCGACCTCCTAGGCTCAAGCGATCTTCCCGCCTCAGGCTCCCAAGTAGCTGGGAGTACAGGTGTGCACCACCACACCTGTTAATTTTTTGTAGAGATGGAGTCTCACTATGCTGCTCAGGCTGGGATATCAGCCACTCTTACTAGACAGTATTCAGCCAAAAAAATTCCACCTTGAGTCCCCTAAGGACAATTTGACTCTGTCTAGGGAGGCTTTTGGAATCTGTGAGGAAATTCAGTGTAGTAGGGAGGCGATACCTGAGAGAGAGTGCCCTTGGCAACCTGGGTCCCATCCCTCTTATGGAGCTGTCCAAACTTGCCCCCATTTCTCAGCTAGGACTTCCCTGGGAAATTAATCTGTATAGATTTAACACTTCCTCTCAACCAGTTGTTCTCTGGGAACCTGTAGATTTACAGCATCAGACAGTTCTCTGAGTTAATTAGGCTTAGCAGGTTTTCAAAAGACCACAAACAGCTTTGTAGCCTCCCATTACTTCTTAGGGGAGGGAAAATCCTGGGCACAAACAATTAATTGCTCTCCGTCCATCCTGTGTGTCCAACAAGGTGACTATTAGCAGCTAGTACTGTCCTATAAACTCAGACCCTGTCATAATAACTCATCTGTAAACATCCCCTTGTGGTTGGTGTTTATTCTCCTGTTGTCTGTGTAGGGACCTGACATACTCAGATGAAGTAAGAGTGCCTGCTTTGGTGAAAAGTCTTCAGAATTCTCTTGTGTTTATGGCATTGTAGTACAAGCCAGTGCCCAGTGGTGGTGATACAAGTTACTTTGTTTTTTTGTTTCTTTCTTTTCCTTTTTTTCTTCTTTCTTTTTTTTTTTTTTTTTTTTTGTGACAGAGTCTCCCTCGGTTGCCCAGGCTGGAGTGCCCTGGTGCCATCTTGGCTCACTGCAACCTCCGATTCCCAGGTTCAAGCGATTCTCCTGCCTCAGCCTCCTGAGCAGCTGGGATTACAGGCACGTGCTACCACGCCCGGCTAATTTTTGTATTTTTAGTAGAGACGGGGTTTCAGCACGTTGGTCAGGCTGGTCTCGAACTCCTGACCCCATGATCCACCCGCCTTGGCCTCCTGAAGTGCTGGAATTACATGCGTGAGCCAACGCGCCTGGCCAGTTTTGTTTTTTTTTTTTTAAAGTAGAGACAGCTTCCTGCCATGTTGCCCAGGCTGGTCTTGAACGCCTGGGCTCAAGCGACCCTCCTACCGTGGCCTCCAAAAGCTCTGAGATTGTAGGTGTCAGCCACAGCGTCTGGCCCCAAGTTACTTTGAATTGCACACATAGACATCCATGGTTCAGCTTGGCAGTACCCGCCATGGGTTCACACTATGTGACAGGCATTAATAATTGATGGCTGAATGCCCAGGATGATTTTCAGAGGTACCTGGAAATTGTTTCTTCCAAAGGTTTTGGCAAAACAGTCAAATATCAAAACTATACAGCTGCCTCAAGCCCTCTTTTAATAGAATCCCGGCATAGATAAATTGTGTATGTCTTCAGCTTTCTGACATCTCCCTGTATTTGGCCCTCTCTTATCTATTTTCTTGTCTTTCTTGGTCTTTAAACTCCAGGCAGCTTTATTCCTCCAGCTGTTCTAAGCCCCCACCCTCACCCGCCAACCTCTTCCCAGGACTCCCACCCTTGGAGAGCCCAGACTCCAGAATTATGATAGAGCATCAAGGAACAGAGGAGTTGCTCAAAACTTTCTTTGAGATAAGGCACCTTTTGCGGGAAAAGGAGGAGGACGTGATGTGTCCAGAATAGGCCTGGTGAGGTAAAGAACTACAACTGGCCAGACGCAGTGCCTCGCTCCTGTAATTCCAGCACTTTGGGAGGCTGAGGCGGGCGGATCACTTGAGGCCAGGAGTTCGAGACCAGCCTGGCCAACATGGCAAAACCCTGTCTCTACTGAAAATACAAAAAATTAGGCAGGCATGGTAGCGTGCACCCGTAATCCCAGCTACTTGGGAGGCTGAGGCAGGAGAATCACTTGAACCTGGGAGGTGGAGGCTGCAGTGAGCTGAAATCACACCACTGCACTCCAGCCTGGGCAACAGAGTGAGACTGTGTCTCTTAAAGAGAACTACAATAGATTTCAGAGGGAAAGTTCTAGGCTAAAACTCAGAACCGCATTTCTGGATACTGTGGTCTTTCCATTTGTCTTAAAGTCATCCTGCAAAGGTCAAAGTCAAATAAATCTTAATTGAATTAATAATTTTGCATGCCAGAGGAAAATTGCAAATTAAAAAAATATGTGATGGAGAAGCATCTGAAAGACTAACCATACCTGTTTATGGAGAGGAAGCCTTCTGTTTTTCTAGAGGACATGATTGTATTCCATTTCTTTCTCAAATACTGACTTCAGAGTTTACTGTAATGATTCTAATGCTGGGTAAGGATCCTACTGAACAGAAAAAGGGACTTGAATGTATGAAATAGTCAGAAGGGGTTGGAAAAGTTACATAAATCATTTAAATACACATGGATGGAGAATGCGGAGGCCTCATGTTGAAGGTGGTTTAAAGAATTCTAAGAATGGCCAGGCATGGTGGCTCACGCCTGTAATCCTAGAACTTTGGGAGGCCGAGGTGGGCGGATCACGAGGTCAGGAGATCGAGACCATCCTGGCTAACATGGTGAAACCCCGTCTCTACTAAAAGTACAATTAGCCAGGTGTGGTGGCAGGTGCCTGTAATCCCAGCTGTTCAGGAGGCTGAGGCAGGAGAATGGTGTGAACCCGGGAGGCGGAGTTGGCAGTGAGCCAAGATTGCACCGCTGCCCTCTAGCCTGGGCGACAGAGCGAGACTCCATCTCAAAAAAAAAAAAAAGAATTCTAAGAAAATACCCCCTATTTAAAGTCTCTCACCAGCTTGCTGCAGCATCCGTAATTCATTCATTGCCCTTTGTCTGCAGGAAGACCTTAGAAAATTCAGTGTCCAGGAAGGAATAAAATAACCTGTCATACAGTTTCTTTAAGGTGACAGGGTCTTATTTATTGCCAGGAAGCTGGAGAGGACAGGGAGATGGTGCTGAACTCAAGATAAACTCCTCTTGGCTTTGTCATTTTGCCAAGAATGGACCCTGCAGAAGAAGTAAAATACTGTCTCAGTCACAGGCACCTTCCAAGTTTCTTGGAACTTCCATGAGAGTACAGGGGAGAAAGATATCTAAGTTCTTATACTCTGAATCAATAGGCCAGACTTTTTGGTACTGAAAAGGTCTCTGCATACCACTCATCGTGTTGTTTAGAGATTTAACGTATTTAATAAAAAGTAGATTCCCAAAAAGCAATTTTAAATGAATTTTGTCTCCGAGCTAAATCTTTTTCAGGATGATCGTAAATGTTTCAGAGGCCTAAGACAACTTGGAGATAAAATGAATATTTCTGGCCAAGAGTGGTAGCTCACGCCTGTAATCCCAGCACTTTGGGAGCCTGAGGTGGGTGGATCACCTGAGGTCAGGAGTTCCAGACCAGCCTGTCCACCATGGACAACATGGTGAAACCCCATCTCTACTAAGATACAAAAAAATTAGCCGGGCATGGTGGTGGGCACCTGTAATTCTAGCTACTCGGGAGGGTGAGGCAGGAGAACCCCTTGAACCCAGGAGCTGGAGGTTGCAGTGAGCTGAGATTGTGCCACTGCACTCCAGCCTGGGCAACAGAGTGAGACTCTGTCTCAAAAAAAAAAAAAAAAAATCATTTTTTCCAGGTTTATGTTTTGTGCTGTGCACCAGATCAATACTGTTGGGATGACTTGCTCCTCTTATCCCCAGAATTCTTCCTGGGAAACTAGTGTTCACAATTATTAGAATGTGAAAACAAATGAGATGATCCATTTTAACACCCTCACTTTACAGATGAGGAAACTAAAGTGCAGGGTTGACCGTGACTTAAAAAGAATTGCACAGTGGGCAGAGCATAGGCTTTGGAATCAGGCAGGTTTGGATCTGCTGCTCAGTAGTGATGTGAACTTGGGCAAGCTGATTGATATTTCCAAGCTGCAGTTTCATCTTCTGTTAAGACCGTTCTTAGGTAAATAGTGTCTATGAGGCACCTACTCAAAGAATGAACTCAAAATTTGCCCATAATAATACTGTATTCACTAGGAACACAAAATTTGCCCAATAATACTATGTTCACTGTTTTTTAAAAACCGAGACATATTCACATAACAGAAAATTCACCATTTTAAAGTGTACATTTCAGTGAGTTTTAGTGCTGGGTTGGGCAACCGTCACCACTAATTCCAGAACATTTCCTTCACCCCCACAAAACCCTGGATCTATTAGCAGTGAGTCCCAATTCCCCTCTCCCCCAGCTCCTGGCAAGCACTAATCTTTCTGTCTCTATGGATTTGCCTGTTCTGGACATGTCATATAATGGAATCATGTAGCTTTTTGTGGTCTGACTTCTTTCACTTTGCATAATGTTTCCAGGTTTCACCCATGTTGTAGCATATAATTTATTCCTTTTTTACTGACAAAGAATATTCCATTATATGGATATATCAACAGTTGTTTATCTGTTCATCAGTTGATGGAATGGAAGACCCAGCTGTCAGGTGTGATGGAAAACTGTTGCCATTGTTTTAATGTTAGGTCAAAGCCAGAATGAGGACTTGGGCATCCCACTCTCAATCTAGTCTTGTGTTTATGCCCTGCACTGATTTGTTGACATCTGAGCACATGTATTTAAATAGTAGTGCTTTTCTGAAAGAAAATCTTACAACCTGGCTACCTACTTTTAGGATTTTATACCTCTCCAAGGATTTTTCCAGTATGGAAAAAATGTTTACAATGCAAAGAAATGAAATCTATACGTTATAGAAAAATTGTGCTGAGAGACAGGTTCAATTTTTATTTTTGAGACTAGTGGATGGTGTTTGTTTGTTTGTTTGTTTGAGATGGAGTCTTGCTCTGTCGCCCAGGCTGGAGTGCAGTGGCGCGATCTCAGCTCACTGCAACCTCTGCCTTTCGGGTTCAAGCGATTCTCGTGCCTCAATTTTCTGAGTAGCTGAGACTACAGCCGCGCACCACCATGCCTGTGGTTAACTTTTGTATTTTTAGTAGAGACGAGGTTTCACCATGTTGGCCAGGCTGTTCTGGAACTCCTGACCTCAGGTTATCCTCCTGCCTCGGCCTCCCAAAATGCAAGGATTACAGGCATGAGCCACCGCACCTGGCCTAGTGGATGGTCTTAATGCCTCTTTGTCCCTCTGTATTTTGCACGGTGACCTGGCGTCTGTACAGTATCTTTTATCTGCCTGTTTTTGTACATGTAAGTTTACTACCATGGTTTCTAGCCTGGGATCAAAGAAGGTTTGGTTGATGTTTGAGTCATGAGTACCCCCCACCTTTTTTGTTGTTGTTGTTCACTTTATTCTATGGCAAAAATTCAGAATTATTCTCTCCTTTAATTAGACAGTCACTGTCATTCCATTAACGTGACCATTAGGTATGGGGAATATATGCCTTTGGGCCAGAATTTAGTGCATTTCAAGCACATCTGGTCACCTCTCCTTCCCGCTCCCTTGCCTGCTACCTAAGTGAAAGCTCACTATGAGATGAGAGGAGGACTTTGATGATCTGGCCTCCTTCCAATGTAATGTAATGACTGCCCCAGCTCTCAGGTCTGATTTCCCTGCTGACAAGATCCCAGAAGGCATGTTAATGTCTGTTTACCTGCAGTCATCATTTCTTCAGAGGCAGCATTGCATGTAGCCCCAGGCTTTTGCTGCGTGAGCATAAGAAGTCCAGAAGCAGATCTGATTTGTGAAGGATTTGGTTGTTGACACTTTTGCTTGGGAACGAGTGATGTGTAGAATGTGGCAAGATTCCAGTGGAGAAGGCGTTGTCCTGGGTTCATCAGGGATTTGTGCTGCTTTATCTTAGGTAGCATGAGTGGAGGGTCCAGCCCAGCCTGGTTTCCTGACTTTGCACAAGGGTTTTCTTTGCCCAAGCTTTGATGATCCGGTCCCGAATACCCCTAATTACTCATTTCATTTGATGTTGTATTTTCTTATCGTTCTTTAAGATCTGGAGCAGTTATCATGTCATGCTTCACATACCTTATCTCCTTTGTATTACTTCCTGCTTCTAAATACCTGCCAGCCCTCACATATATGAAAAAGCGACTGACCCTGACCCCTCTCCATGCTGAGCGTCCTTTATTCCTCCGACTGTTCCTGGTTGACACAGTCTCCAACAGCCTTTTGTCCTGGTCCTTCTTTGTCTATGTGTTTTCCACATTGTCAGTGATCCTCCTAATGTGATGTCCAGACTGGAAATGACACTCCATGTGTGCTGTGATCAGCCTAAACTGGGACTGTTACCAAGGCGTGAGCCTGATCCTCATTCAACACAGTGTACTGTTGCCACCAGTGCCTACTTAGCCAGTTGCCTGTTTGTTTTGTTTTGTGTTTTTGGAGACAGGGTCTCACTCTGTCACCCAGGCTGGAATGCAGTGGCGTGATCTCGGTTCACTGCAGCCTCTGTCTCCCAGGCCCAAGTGATCCTCCCACCTCAGCCTCCCGAGTAGCTGGGATTACAGGCAGGGACCACCACACCGGACTAATTTTTGTATTTTTAATAGAGACGGGGTTTCGCTATGTTACCCAAGCTGGTCTCAAACCCCTGGACTCAAGTGGTCTGCCCACTTGGCCTCCCAAAGCGCTGGATTACAGGTGTGAGCCACTGCACCCAGCCATCAGTTGGCTTTTAATACCAGTCATTACCTGTTACCCCTACTCAGTGAGGCATAGGCTCCCATTGTTGTGCTGTTGATTATTTGCTCCTAAGAGCAGAACTTTATACTTCCCCTAATCCACTCTATCCATTCTTTACCCTGGGGACTCATAGTTTTATTCCATTGGAACTATATGGATGGGAGCCTAGCATAATTCCGATGCAAGAAATGGTTGGAGTGAAGAAGAATTTTATTTTTTAATGATATGTTAGCATTGGCTCTGTTCCTAGAAAAATCCTTCTCCAACTCCTGATCCTACGGTACTTAAATTAGTCATTTCTAGTTCATGGGGTTTTGTGTTTGTTTTGGGAGTTTGGGGGTAATTGTTTGTATCAATTATTACATAGATGAAAAGAATGAATTGGGTGTTGAATCTCTTTAGGAAGCTCAATACCTCAGTCCATCGGCCAACTGGTCGTCACTTGGGTGGACCCTTGAACGCGTCTGTCTGCTGTGCTGTCTAGGAAGGGTGTGTGGGGTTCTAACTGGCACCTCTCTGTCTGTTGCAGTTACCTGGCTGAGCAGTGCTGGAATGGCGGCTTTATCTACCTGATCATGCTGCGTCGCTTTAAGCACAAAGCCCACTCCACTTATAATGGCAACAGTAGCAACAGCTCTGAACCAGGAGAAACACCTACCTTGGAGCTGGGTGACCGAACTGCGAAAAAGGGGAAACGAACCAGAAAGTTTGGGGTCATCTCCAGGCCTCCTGCCAACAAGGCCCCTGAAGAATCCAAGGGCAGCGCTGGCTGTGAGGTGTCCAGTGACCCCAGCACTGAGCTGGAGAACGGCCCTGACCCTGAACTTGGAAACGGCCATGTCTTTCAGCTAGAAAATGGCCCAGATTCTCTCAAGGAGGTGGCTGGACCCCATCTAGAGAGGTCAGAAGTGGACAGAGGGACAGAGCATAGAATTCCAAAGACAGATGCTCCTCTGACCACAAGCAATGACAAACGCCGCTTCTCAAAAGGTGGGAAGACGGACTTCCAATCGAGTGACTGCCTGGCACGGGTAAGGTTTGGTTTGATTATGGAACCAGAATTTTATTTATCGTGTGTGTTTGTTTGTTTTTGCAGCCCAGCCCATGCGGGAAATACAAGCTGGGCTCAGAACCAGAATTTTGAAAGAAATATTGTTTGAAGTTGCTTTTAAGGTTTAAAAAATATACCTAAGATGACCTCGCATTGAGAAGCCAACAAATGCATTAAGAAAAGTGATCAGAGGAGAATGACAAAAAAGCTCCAGTCATTTTATCCTACTTAAATAAAGAGCTAGTCAAGTGATCCTAAGTGGAAAACTCAAGCCTTCTGTGTTAAAATTTGAGTCATGTGAGGTCCAGATAAAGTACTTCACTGCATCGTTATTTATCGCTGCTGTCACCAGTGGAATCGCTGCTGCAAGGCCAAGAATTCCTGATGGCAGCTGACACCACAAACATCTAAGCCTCAGTATTACACAGGAAGGGTATTCAATACACAGGGAAGCATCTGCTTTTATTTTTAGCAGTTCAAAATTAGTGATGTTTTCATGGGATCACGTTATTACATTGCTGAGTTCTAGGGAAGTTTGGAAGCTTGACAACAATCTCTGATACTATGAAATCCAGCTGTGAGGGTCAAAGTTGGTTACCACACCTGCTTTGCCTTTAGGTGTATTCTGAATGATAAGGGGTAAGCTTCTAGCCTCAAATGGTCTCCCTCATTATAACCAACATTCTGTCCTATGAGAATTGCATTTCTTTAGGGTAGACATGTTCATTCCAAGAATCTTCTTAGATATTCCTGCAGGCTCCATTTGAAACGATAAACTGCCTACGTGGATGCTGACTGGTTTCTTCTCTGACTCAGGAGATGCCCCTTAGGGATGAAAGAGAAAGTTATAAAGATCAAAATGGGCGTAGGAGTATCAAGTTGAGGCCAGGCGCGGCAGCTTGTGACTGTAGTCCCAGCAGCTTGTGACTGTAGTCCCAGCATCTTGGGAGGCTAAGGATGGTAGATCACTTGAGCTCAGGAGTGTGAGACCAACCTGGGCAACATGGTGGAACCCTGTCTCTACCAAAAATACAAAAAATTAGCTGGGGGCCTGAGTGAGAGGATCGCTTGAGTCTGGGAGGTGGAGGTTACAGTGAGCCAAGATTCTACCACTGCTCTTCATCCTGGGTGACAGAGCAATACCCTGTCTCAAAACAAGAAAAGAAGTATCAAGTTGAGTTTTGTCTGCTGAGAAATGGTGCCCTGGGGGTAAGTGTGATTTCTGCCATTATAGCCAAATGTACAATGGGTTGAAAAGAATTACAATAGCCCCTCTCTCAAGAGATTATGTTCCTTCATTTGAGGAGCTGGGTGATCTTCATAAAGTTGGACACAGAGAAGGCATTATTTGTAAATAGAATGTATGAATAAGAAAAAAGTTGATGTCTCCATCAATGATTTGCTACTAATTTTATAAGTTCCCCCAAAAAGGATTAAGGACAAAAAAAAAAAAGATTATAATATACACCTCTTCCAAATTAAGGGCAGTGAAAATATTATAATGTGTTTCTTATCAGTGCATACCCTATCTTGATAGGATTTCTTCCCTAATGATTAGATTGTGCATACACAGAAAGCCTAATGTGAACAAAATAAGGTTGTGGGTATTGGCTCCCTTAATCATTTGAAGGTTTAAGGCACCAGGAGAAGGTTGAATCTCACATATAGTCCCAAGAATAGGCCTTCATTTGACCTAGGACACAGTGGAAATAATTTGGAATGATTTTAAAACAAAGGGCCAGGTGCAGGGGCTCAGGCCTGTAATCCCAGCACTGTGGGAGGCCCAGGCAAGTAGATAACTTAATGCCAGGAGTTCAAGACCAGCCTGGCCAACATAGCAAAACCAAAAATACTAAAAATACAAAACTTAGGTGGGCATGGTTGCACATGCCTGTAATCCTAGCTACTCAGGAGGCTGAGGCACAAGAATCACTTGAACCTGGCAGGTGGAGGTTGCCGTGAGCCAGGAATCGCACCACCACCCTTCATCCTGGTCAACAGAGTGAGACTGTCTCAAAAACAAACAAAAGCTAAACTTTTAAGAGATTACTCATCCTCTGCTTACCTTAATTAAACGTAATAATACTATTAATAATAAATTTAATTAAAATTGAACTTCTGGCCGGGCGCAGTGGCTCACGCCTGTAATCCCAGCACTTTGGGAGGCCAAGGTGGGTGGATCACCTGAGGTCAGGAGTTCGAGACCAGCCTCAACATGGAGAAACCCCGTCTCTACTAAAAATACAAAACTAGCCGGGCATGGTGGTGCATGCCTGTAATCCCAGCTACTCGGGAGGCTGAGGTAGGAGAATTGCTTGAACCTGGGAGGCGGAGGTTGCGGTGAGCCAAGATCGCGCCATTGCACTCCAGCTTGGGCAACAAGAGCGAAACTCTTGTCTCAAAAAAAAAAAAAAAAAAAAAATTGAACTTCTGGAGTCGCTATTTGAAGACTACACATATCACAGTTCCTTTGCGTTGTTTTTATGCTCAAGGTCAAACATCCTATGAGGTGTAAATGAAAGAGTGAAAACAACCAAACTGATCCATTGCCTTTAGGGCATTTTTTTTAAAAAGCCGCATGCCTATAGAAAGGGGAGACTTGCCATCTGGAATTTGCATTCTTTGTAACTGTTTATAATTCATATTCTGATTTTTGGCCCCGGGTCATACTTTTTGTCTTGGTAAATCAGAATGGACCACACATTTTCTCAGCCTCGAATATTTTAGCACCCTTTTCAACCATAAAATTATCTTTATTAGGTGCATTTGCCCAGGATTGATAGGGTTGGCAAAAAGTAGATTTTCACAGCTTTCCCCCACATTCTGATGGCACCAAAATTGGAACCAATAGACCTTCATACAAGATTGTTTAAGTTCTTGGGATTTTTATTTTTAGTCCAGGACAGAGATCAAGGTCTTGCTAAAATGGAATTTCGAGAAAAACAGAAAATGCCTATTTACCTCTTAAGCCTTTGCGGGGGGCGGGGGGGAATTTCATTCCATTTGAATAATGGGAGATTAAACATGTCAGTATTTTTCCATTTCTGTCTTTATAATGATTTAATATAGCTGCAAAAACTTAATAAATGACAAAAGAGCTCATAATCATTCAGAACATTTTTGTTTGTCAGGTACTTCTTTTTCATAGACTGTTACTTGTTCTAAGACAATGTTACATTAAAATAAACCCTCAGTCTTTCCTTTTCCATCCAGTTCCCTCTTAACAGAGCAACAGGAAATATATTTTCTTTAAACAAATTTTTCTTTTTAAAAAATGGTATTTTCTATAAAACATTAACTCACAATAATACATATATAAGCAGATGACTATTTAAAAAGACAAAGTTGGGTTTGTCCTCTAAAACAATCTCCTAGGACATAGACAAACTATTTTAGGCATGAGTTCAAAGTTCCTCATTATCTTCTTAGCAAAGATCTTTACTACTCTGAGAGTTTTTGCGAGTCTGCTTATATAGAATGTAATGTATTTTTGTAATGCTACATGTTGAAAATGAATACAACCAAATGTAGTCACATAGCAAAAAAAGAACCCTACCACTTGCCAAGCAGACAAGTTTATTCATGACTGGCATGGGTATGTCTATGGGTACATTTGTGGTCTTTCCCTAGGAATCGTAATCTACCCTGTACACTACCAGACCCTTTTCCTATGCCTCCTCTGTAAGTGGTTCAGCAGAGACCTCATGCAGGCTTCCTGGATCTGCATCTGCAGAAACGAGTAGAAAACTCAGAAGGAGCATCACACTCAGAACATCTCCCTGATGAGCCCTCACGTTTGCATCAGAGGCAGCCTGAGGATGGTCCTTTTCCAGGAAGCCCCCTTGGTCACTGGGTGAACTCACATTGTCCTACATGGTAACATCTCCCAAGTCTGTGTCTGAGCCCTCAGCTCTCTCCTGAGCCCCTGAGTTTTGTGCCAACTGCCTGCAGGATGTCTCCATCTTGGATATATTTCACATCATGCCTAAAACTCAGCACATCATTTTCCCATACCGCTGAACCCACTCCAGTGCTCCAGGTCTCCCCATCCCCAAAGTTTGCCCAAGCTGGAAGTTTGATGAGATTCATTGGGGGTGACCAACCATCCTGGTTTGTCCAGAACTTCCCCTGGTTTCTCACTGAAAATCCTGGGAAACCCTCCGTCCTAGGGAGAGTGGGACAGCTGGTCATCTTGGAGTCACCTGAAGCACTGCCCACTGCCTTCTGCCATGTCTGGTCAATCACCAAGTCCCCTCAACTGTAGCTCCTTTTGAAATCCTGCAGCTCAACCTGCCTCTCTCTTTACTCCCATAACTTCAGGTCAGGGCTAGGCTGCTTTCATTTTGCCCCCTGGGCTGTCACAGTACTCCCCTACCCGGGACATCGCCCCACTCCTATCCCATTCATCCACTGTCCCAACTGCCACCAGAGGGACCTTTCTAAACAGCACATCTCATTACTCACACACATACACATAGGTGCACAACATACATGTGCATGCACACACACGCACACTGTAGCTGAAACCCGTTTGGTGGGTCCACTTTGCCTTCGTGGTTGTTACCAAACACATTGGGATGTCATTTGAGGCCCTTTATTATCTGATTCCTGGTTAACTGTCTGCCTCCATCTCTCACTGCTTTCTTTTTTTCTTTTTTACCTTTACCAGTTTATTATATAATAAAGAATACAGATGAAGAATTACATAAGGCGAGGTCCAGAGGGTTCCCAGCACAGGAGCTTCTGTCCTTGTGGAGATGGGGGTGGGGGGGGTGCATCACCCTCCTGGCATGTGGATGTATTCACCCTCCTGGCATGTGGATGTATTCACCATCCTGGAAGCTCTCCAAACCTCATACTCTAGGGATTTGTATGAAGGCTTCATCCTGAAGGCATGATCATTTGTTAACTCAAAATCCAGCATTTCTCCCCTGACTCCAGAAGATGGGGGTAGGGCAGAAAGTTGCAAGCTTCTCATGGCCTGTCCTTTCTGGTAACTAACCCCCGTCTGGAAGCTATCCCTGATATCCAGTTTCTTATTCCCTGATTTGGAGTGAATTCACTGCAAGCTTTTTCAAAGACCATACTTAGTGTCACCTCTGAGCCTTTGCGAGTGCTCCGCTCACTACCTGGTTTCTTCTCCCCTCTCCCACGTCGCTTAGCTTCTACCTTTCCTAGGGGACCAAGCCTCAAGACACCCTCCTGTAGGAGGTCTCTGTGACATTCCTGCCGCCTGCTCTGTCATTAGCCATCTCCTCTTCGGTCTCCTGCGGTACCCTCTGCTGGTCTTCATTCATGCCCGAGCCCGACGTATTCCAATTACCATTTGGCTCATCGTGTCCCCAGTAGACTTTAAGAGCAAAGCCTTTGATTTTTTAAAAATGTTTTATATATTTGGGGGATGGAGGTGCAGATTTCTTCAACACATATATTACGTAGTGATGAAGTTCAGGCTTTAACGTGCCCATCACCTGAATAGTGAACATTTTTCTTGATAGATAATTTTTTAGCTCTCACCCTGCTTCCCCGTTTTCCAGTCTCCAGTGTCTGTTATTCCACTCTGCACGGACAGCCATTGTTCACCTCCCACTTATGAGTGAGAACATGGAGTATTTGACTTTGTGTCCTGAGTTATTTCACTGAAGGTAATGGCCTTTGGTTCCATCCATGTTGCTGCAAAAGACATGATTTAATTCTGTTTTATGGCTGAGGAGTATTCTGTGGTATATACCACATTTTCTTTTCTTTTTTTTTTTTTTTTTTTGAGACGAAGTCTCACTCCGTCACCCAGGCTGGAGTGCAGTGGCGCGATCTTGGCTCGCTGCAGCCTCTGCCTCCTGGGTTCAAGCAATTCTCCTGCCTCAGCCTCCCAAATAGCTGGGACTATAGGCACACGCCACCATGTCCAGCTAATTTTTTGTATTTTTAGTAGAGAGGGGGTTTTACCATGTTGGCCAGGCTGGCCTCGAGCTCCTGACCTCTAGTGATCTGCCTGCCTCGGCCTCCCAAAGTGCCGGGATTACAGGCATGAGCCACCACACCTGGCCTGGTGTATACCACATTTTCTTTATCCAGTCAGCCATTGATAGACACTTAGGTTGATTCTGTATCTTTGCTATTGTGAATAGTGCAGGGCGGGGCCTTCTTTGTCTTTGTTTCCCGTCTTAGCTCAGTGCCTTGTAGGTATTTATTAATCAAGGCCCCAAGAATACTAGTCCTGGGAGATGGGACCCTGAAGTTCCTGCCTCAGTTCTGCCATCCCCAGCACTGTGGCCTTCAGGTTGCTGCGGCCTTTCTCTGGCCTTCTGTTTTCTCACCTATAAACTGAGCATTTTGGTCTGATGACTAAGGGACTTCCAGCTCTGACATTATGCTCACCCATTTCTTACTGATCATTCTGAATAAGAAGGGGTAAGCAAACGGTTTCAGAAAAGGTTTGCAACTAGCGCCGGAGTATTTACGGCAGCAAGATTCTGGTTGGATTGTGTCTTCTCACATATGGGGCAAAGTTGCTGTTATAAAGTTTTATTTTTGGTTCCAGCAGTAATGAGGTCATTTAAATGCTGTGAGACAGCTCCCTTTAATGTACCGCTCCTGTTTTGGTAAATAAATCCCTTCGTTGGCTTCAGTGAAGGGATACATGTGTGAACTCACGCAGTAATTGGCAGTTTACAGGAAAGGGTAACACTCCAACAACATTAGTGCAGAAGTCCATAGCATCCAGTTTTTCAGGGTTTGGCTTTTTCTCAATAGGCTGACAAAGTCTTGTTGCCCTTTAAGCTAATGTAAAAGAAAACAAATGCCCAAACCATCTGTCTAGACAGGGTCTGTTGCAGAACTCGGTCTCTCCAACTGGACCAGGGTTCACACAATGAACACTGGCAAACAGACAGATCTCCCATCTGTGTGAGCTTCTTAACCTCAGTCGCAAGGACCATCATGGAACTGTAAGATTAGCGGATAAACATTCTATATTTGTTCATTCAGTGCTATTTATGGGATATTATAATGTGGTAGACACTGTTCTAATTGCTAGAGAACTAGTTGGTAAACAAGACAGACAAGGTTCTTATCTCACAGCATTTATAGCATACCACAAACAATAAATAAGCAAATCCACAAATCACAGTGTCAGAAGCTGATGAGTCAATGAAATAAAACAGGGTGAAGTGAAAGCTGGCCGGGCAGTGTCATGGGCAGGGGGCTGGTTGATGTTGGGTGTCAGAGCAGGAAGATCTCAGTAAAGAGGCGATGTTTGAGCTGAGGATTGAGTGTCAGAAAAGGGCAGCCCTGCATAATCCGGGGCAGAATGTTCCCAGGGAAGAACCAGCAAAGCATCTGCCCTCAGGCAGGAATGACAGAGTGTTCCATGAGAAAGACACTGGGCACCAGGAGATGATTCAGGAGGTGTGGGCAGGGCTGGTTACAGAGGTTCGCATATGCCACCTTGGAGTTTGAACCTTATTCTCGGTCCTGTGGGAAGTTGTTGGAGGGCTTATGCTGAGTGCATCACAGCCTATGTTTTTTAAACCTTCCCCTTGGATGTTTGATGGAGGATAATGGATTGTAGGAGGTGAAATTTAAAAGGGAGACCAAACTGGAGGCTATTGTGGTCACCCAAGCTAAAGATGCTGGTCACTTTGACGGGGGAGGTTAGGGAGAGGAGAAGGCCAAAGTCGGTGGATCTGGCATCTATTTCGGAAGTAGACTCTACAGATGGTGCTCGTGGTTCAGATGTGGGAGATTAAACAGAAGGAATCAAAGATACTTCACGGACTTTTGGCTTGTGGATCATCTTTAGCCTGAGTAGAGGATAATGCTGTTTGCATTGAGATGGGAAAGCCAGGAGTAAGAGAGGAAAAAAGTCCAGTTTTGATTGTACTAAGGTGTATATCAGATACCCAAGTGGAATTGTTAAGGAGGCAGTTGGAAATATCCTTAATATCGTTATATTTAAGTTGGCCTGTTAGATTTTGGCCAGTACAAGTTTTAGCCTAGTAAATATCAGACACTGATTTATTTTTTACTGAACGTTGCTGTAGGCAAATACCTTTAAAACTGACAATTGTGGGCCCGGCACGGTGGCTCACGCCTGTAATCTCAGCACTTTGGGAGGCCGAGGTGGGCAGATCACCAGTGGTCAGGAGTTCAAGACCAGCCTGGCCAATATGGTGAAACCTTGTCTCTGCTAATAATACAAAAATTAGCTGAGTGGATGTGGTGGTGTGCACCTGTAATCCCAGCTACTCGGGAGGCTGAGGCAGGAGAATCACTTGAACCCAGGAGGCAGAGGTTGCAGTGAGCCAAGATTGTGCCATTGCACTTCAGCCTAGGTGACAGAGTGAGACCCTGTCTCGAAAGAAAAAAACAAAACAACAACAAAAAAAACTGCTAACATTTACTTCTTGTTGCTTGTGTCTTCCTTTGTAGTCCTCTGAACTCCCTTCATTAGATGATCAGAAATTCCAAGGTGAGGAAACTTGCATTAATTTCTTTGGACACTCCCCTCCTATCTCCTACTTTCAATTAAAAAAAAATTATGTTATCGGATAAAAGTGAAAAAGAAGGTCTGTTTCTTGAGTAGTGTAGTTGGGGGCTGTATTACAGATTAGTGATTTCTGCCCTCTGAAGCCAGTTTTATTTGTTAAGTGTTTTGCATGACTTTATTTTTAACGAGTTTTGTGGTTTGGGGCTGGGGGCAGGCAAGTGGAGTGGAAATGTGGGTGCTCTTGATGGAAAGTGTCTTGAACTCTTCTGTCAGTATATATATATATACATTTGAGCTGATATTGTATTCCCATGAACATCGTTTTGCATGTTTCTTGTCACATGTCCTACTTCTAAAAGTATTTAAAAATTAGAAAGGAATGTACCTAGTATTGTCACATCCTTTGTTAACCATACTTACATGTTTTGTTTAACAAAGAGGAGGGGAAAAGGAGAAAAGAATGGTGGTGTAAACTAGTAAGGGGGATGGATAGGTTTTTACTAATTTGCGCTAAAACCCAAATAGATTTTCTTATTTCTGGACTCTAAGAATGGTCCTTGTTGCTCTTGGGAAAGAGGTTCACAGCTTTTCTGTCCTGGGGGAGGAAGAAACACTCATCTTCTAGACCCCAGCAGCCAGAGCATATCTTCCACGGAAAAAAACAGCCAGCATCCTTCTCTCAAGTGTGCCTCTTCCATGGAAAAAAAAAAAAAAAGCCACCATCCTACTCTCGCGTGTGCCGTGAGGCCGCCACAGGGCTGCTCCCTATGCTGGCGTGGGAGGCCCAGAAAGCCAGGACAACATCCAGTCAGCACATCCCTGATTCTGTTCTTTTCAATGGTATCCACTAGGCCATCGGGCCCCATTGGAAGTGTTGAAAGTTGCCATCTTGGTGGTTGCACTGCTCCTCAAGGATGGCTTTTTGGAAGTAGTAGAGCCATGAGAGACTTCGAAGGCCAGGGAGGATGTTTCTGAATGGGGAAGGGAAAGGTGTTCCAGAGGTCAGAGGCAGCAAACCAAAAACCATAGAGTCCAAAATGAGGTGATTGGATGAAATAGAGATCATTGACAAGTTCATGAACTACTGTGGTAAGCCAGTGACTTCTGAAGTTACATTTGGCCAGACAGGCTTCATTTGACTGTGGTCAGGGGATGGAGGAGACAGTTGGCACCAGCGTCTGTTCCTGGGATAGCGGAGCCCCACCGAACAGCACGCTACCCGAAGGAGTGTGGGATCCAACAGGTCTCTGTCTGCTAATAATTTCCCCAGACATTCCTATTGCTGCACATCAATGACTGCCCAACATCTGTTTTTTTTACTGTTGCATAAAGTTTCATTTCAGTTTCTGACTGTGTATTTCAGATTTTCTAAATGCCACACATTCTTTCTCCTTTGCAAGCAGCTTGAACAGGCAGGTTGCCTATTTCTAGGGGGATGGTGGCTTTGTCCATGTTGTACCTTAACGGTTCCATTGGACTTTTCATGATGGATGTTAAAAGCAGATGGCTTTTGTTTCATATGTTGTTTCATATATCATATGTCATTTGTTTCATATGAAGATGGCTTTTGTTTCATATGTCTTGTGACTCAGGCCCATATAGCTAGGGCTAAAAAGAGCTACAGGGGTGAGTCTGAAGTGAGACCCCAAAGTAAATCACTTTGGAAAGTTTTGCTTTCATTTCTCTAAATAGCTAAGGACTTGGGGGAAGTCAACAGTTTTGCAGTGAGCATATGTGTGTGTCCTTGGAGTGAAGTAAGGAGACAAGCAGAGGATAAACCAAGGTGGAAAAGCTATCAGCAATCAGATGGCTTAGAGACATTGATTAGTTTATTTATTTATTTATTGTTTTTGTTTTTTTTGTTTGTTGGGGGGATGGAGTCTCACTGTGTCACCCAGGATGGAGCACAGTGGTGTGATCTCGGCTCACTGCAACCTCCACCTTCTGGGTTCAAGCGATTCTCCTGCCTCAGCCTCCTGAGTATCTGGGATTATAGGTGCCCACCACCACGCCTGGCTAATTTTTTTATATTTTTAGTAGAGATGTTGGACAGGCTGGTCTTGAACTCCTGACCTCTGGTGATCCCCCCACCTTGGCCTCCTCAAAGTGCTGGGATTACAGGCATGAGCCACCACGCCCAGCCTGTTTTTTGTTTTTTTTTTAAAGATTTTTATAGGGGTTGAAGCATTTCTTAAATGTATTTAGGGAACGTGCAGCCCAGTGTCTGTGGCAGTGGGTATCAAATTCATCAATTAATTTTTTGTTTTGGTTTCTCTACCAAACGTCTCATTTATATGTTTTAAGGAAGTTTGAGATTCAATTCAATATGGTGTTTTTTGTTTTTTTGGTGATGGAGTCTTGCTTTGTCTGGAGTGCAGTGGCACCATCTTGGCCCACTACAACCTCCACCTCCTAGGTTCAAGTGGTTCTCCTCCCTCAGCCTCCTGAGTAGCTGGGATTACAGGCACTTGCCATGATGCCCAGCTAATTTGTTGTATTTTTTGTAGAGACGGGGTTTCACCATGCTGGCCAGGCTGGTCTCAAACTCCTGACCTCAGGTGATCCACCTGCCTCGGCCTCTCAAAGTGCTGGGATTACAGGCATGAGCCAAAGCACCTGGCCCTCAATATGGTGTTTTTAACATAAATATGCTTATATGTGTATATATAAGTAATATAGTTACCTATCAACATTTATTTACTGGGTGTTGTACTGCCACCTATTTGCACAAATGTCTCATTTAATTCTAAGAACAAACCTGGAAATACTAAATTCCCAATTTGGAGGCAAGGAAACTGAGACTTTTAAGCATTAGGTGGCTTTCATAAGTTATAAATGGCAGAGCTAGGTTCCAACTAGTTGAAGTCTCCTGGCACCAAGACCTGAGCTTTGCCTTCCTTTCATCTTTGTTAATTAGTAGCTGTGCAGAAGTCAAAGGCCCCCAGAAATAGCCAGTGTTGACGTGCACAGTGGCATCCGGGTTTCAGGCAGAAGCAGCTTCACCTAACAGGACCCTGTTCAGGAAATTTAATCACTTTGCTATGCTGCCCATAGCATAGTCATTAGCCACAGGTGGCTCTTGAAATTTAACTAGAATTCAATTCAGTTACAAATTTCAGTTCCCCAGTTGCCACTAGCCACATCGCAAGCACTCAATAGCCACCTGTGGCTGGTGGCTCCGTCTTGGATGGCTCAAATATAGAACATTTCCATGATCACAGAAAGTTCTATTGGACAGCACTGCCAGCCAGAGACTTGGGTCCAATCGGCAGAATTCTTTTCTCCTGTGATAATCTGTGATATCTGTGGACAAGTGATGGATATTCGGCCAGACGTGACAGCTCCGTTCTCCTGTGTCAATGCCGTGTGTCTGTCAACCTCCTTCATGGTGTGCTCACTTTTTCTTCCAAGGAGGAAGTTGGCCGAATATGGAAGATGGAGCTGCTCAAAGAATCGGATGGGCTGGGAATTCAGGTTAGTGGAGGCCGAGGATCAAAGCGCTCACCTCACGCTATCGTTGTCACTCAAGTGAAGGAAGGAGGTGCCGCTCACAGGTGACTAGATAACTCTCCCCTCTCCCCCATCCCTCTGCCTCCTCTCCTTCCCTCTCCCTCCCCACTGGTGCAGGTGCTCTTCCACTTGTTCAAAGCCCTGGCGATTATAGTTCATAAAGATTATGCTGGAGCACAGGAGGAAACCAGGCAAGAGTGGTTCGAATTGAACACACCTCTGAGCACAGGAAGTGGCTAACTGCAGAAGATATTGCAAGATCTTCTAAAACAAGGAGAGAGTGGATCTCTTTATAGTGCAGCTTTAGTTTCAAGTGAATGTTACGTATCCTAACTTGCTGAGATGATATGAGGCTACTTATTGAGAATATGCTGCTGAGTAGAACACCGCATTCCTAAGATCTTAACTCCCGTAAGACTTGACGAATGACCCGGGAAAGTGATTGGTTTTCAGTCCGACCACAGTTCATGCACTGGGGCTCCACTTGTCAGGTCTATCAGGATTTCAGGCATACTTAGATATATGTATCTCTGTCGTGCAGATGTGGAAGGGAAATTAAGTAAATGTGAATTTTTCTCCTTGCGATCTGAAAACAATTCATACCTCAAAACTTCTTTTGTAGGCCAGGCGCAGTAGCTCACGCCTGTAATCCCAATACTTTGGGAGGCCAAAGCAGGAGGATTGCTTGAGCCCAGGATTTTAAGACCAGCCTGGGCAACATGGTGAGACCTGGTGTTTACAAAAAATAAAAATTAAAAAATAGCAGCTGGGTGCGCCTGTAATGTGGGTGCTCTGGGAGGCTGAGGCGGATCACCTGAGATCAGGAGTTCCAGACCAGCCTGGCCAACAGGTGAAACCCCATCTCCACTAAACTTACAAAGACGTGAGCCAGGTGTGATGGCTTGTGCCTGTAGTCCCAGGTACTTGGGAGGCTGAGGCACGAGAATGGGTTGAACCTAGGTTGTGGAGATTGCAGTGAGCCAAGATCGCATCACTGCACTCCAGCCTGGGCAACAGAGTGAGACTTCGTCTCGATTAAAAAATAAAATAGAACAAAATAGCTGGTCATGGTGGCACACTTCTGTAGTCCTAGCTACTCAGGAGACTCAGGTGGGAGGATCACTTGAGCCCGGGAGATCGAAGCTGCAGTGTGAGCCATCACTGTGCCAGTGTACGCCAGTCTGGGTGACAGAGCAAGAGACTCTGTCTCAAAAAAACAAACAAAAACTTATTTTTTAATCTGAACAATGATCTGGAAGTAGGAAGAGGAATGGTGTTTAGCTAGAGCATGTGCAAAACAGTTTATTTTGAGTAAGAAGGATGTAGCTGTCCCAAAATGTCAGGCAGGCTCTTGACTGCTAGCTAATTGCTTCCATGCACATAGGGTGTCTACTATTTGCAAGGCCTGCTGGGGCGTGTACGTATGTTGTATGCCCACACATATACAGTAGGCATATAAAAGGAGAGTTTCGTTGATAAGCGAGTTGATCATCTTTTATCTAGTCCGGAACTTGGTGTTCAGCTCAGGTACCCTGATTCTAAGAGGGGTGTGGCAAACCAGACTGGTACTGGCCTGCCCAAGCTTGAGAGGGGACACAGAAGGATATCACATGAGGTACAGTTGAAGGAGCTGGAGATAGTCTGAAGAATGGAAAACTAAGAAGAGGACCAGGGCACAAACCAGCAAAGTCTTTTATGCTCATCAGTTCTTTTATTACAGAATAGGATGCTAATCACTAAAGTAGAGATAAGATTAACTGCAATTGTTAGTTGTCTGGGTGGTAGTAATTATTGAAGGATTAAGACCTTAGGTGGTTTTTACTCCAAAGAGCATTACTTAACTTCCAAAATGACATATGTTTTGAGGAGCTCCTGTCAGATAGACAGTTTCCCATTAATCATAGGTCTTAAGTTCTAGTCTTCCTTTAACAAGTTGGCCATTAGGAAATTCCTGTGCCCAGAGATAAACTTACAAAGAACTGTTCTTGTCTATTTTCCATCTGAGCCATTTCTATTGGGTCTCATCCTTTTCATTTCATTCTTAGCCTGGAGTTGTGTGTGTGTGTCTCTTTGAGCCTCTGGGCTATACGATTCACAAGCGGGGCATTTTAGTTAGTAACAGGAGATGAGAGAAATGAAAGAGGGAAATAGGAAAAGGGAGTGGGGATGGTCTTTTTTTCTTTTTTGAGGTGAAGTCTCGCTCTGTTGCCTAGGCTGAAGTGCAGTGGCGCGATCTCGGCTCACCACAACCTCCGCCTCCCAGGTTCAAGTGATTTTTCTGCCTCCACCTCCCAAGTAGCTGGGACTACAGGCGCTTGCCACCATACCCGGCTAATTTTTGTATTTTTAGTAGAGACGGGGTTTCACTGTGTTGGCCAGGCTGGTCTTGAACTCCTGACCTCGTGATCCATCCATCTCAGCCTCCCAAGGGATGGAGATGGTCTTGATGGCATTCTGAATTAGTAAGCCCAGGACACTGGTCTGAACCATTGTGTTCTTGATTCCTCAATCCCTCTCCTCCCATAGGAAACAGCTCCTGAGTGGCCCACCCACACAGCTCCTGAGATTCCAGCTTGTTTCTTCTGTGGTCTTCCCATTCCCCTTCTCCCACCATTCCAAACAACTAGTGGGGCCCTTAGCATTTCTCTGCTTCAGGAATTTTTGAAGGACAGAAACAGAGACTATCAGAATTCTCTGGTGTCTCCTGTCTCCTGTTAAAGCCCAAATTCATAGAAAAGACAATGGCACATGCCCTAGAGGAAGGAGACAGAAAGTGAGAGAAAAGCTGTTGAAGGAAGGAAAGGGGAGGGAAGGATGGAAAGAGAGAAGTCAGTTGATTCATTGAAAGAAAGCCAGGGGAGAGCCTAGAGACTGGAGACAAACGGAGCTTCTGGGCGTGTCGGAGGCGTGCATGTGTTTCATGGCAGCACCCTAGGTGCTGATGTGAACCTTTAGAACAGAGAAGTCCAATCTTTTGGCTTCCCTGGGCCACATTGGAAGAGGAAGAATTGTCTTGGGCTACACATAAACTACATTAACACTAACGATAGCTGATGAGCTTAAAAAACATCACCAAAAAATCTCATCATGTTTTAAGAAAGTTTACCAATTTGTGTTGGGCCATGTTCAAAGCCATCCTGGGCCACATGCAGGCCACAGGTTGGCCAAGCTTGGTCTAGAGGATGCGGTGGGATCCGAGGCTCGAGGTCCCTCTGCCTCACCAGCTTTCCTATCCCACATTCAGCCATGTCTGGCTCCTTTGGGATCCTGGGAGATCAGAGCACTGGAGGCTCTGGTGGAATCCACAGAACTGTTGACTCACCACGATTGAAGGGGCCTGTCCAGTGCTCTGGCACAGTGTGCCATGCCAAGCCCTGACCCTCCCTAGGGGAGGCAGTCCCCATGACACCTGAGTCTCTTGCCAGCCCAATGGGAAGAAAGTTGAGTCAGGCATAATTTAATTTAAGGGAAAGAAACAGAAAATGTTTGTGTACACCGTGTTTGTAGCCCAGGTCTGATACCTGCAGTGACAGCAGTTTAGGCAGTTTATTTGTTCTTTTCCTTTCTTAATTGCTTTTTTTTGGGGGGGGCGGGTGGCGGGATTTGTTTTTTTTTTTTGTTTGTTTGTTTTGATTCGTCCTTCTGTACATGAAGCTTGGCTGGAGAGACTCAAGGATGAAAAAGAAGCAGAAACCAGGCCTGGTGGCACGCACTTGTAGTCCTAGGTACTCAGGAGGCTGAGGCAGGAGGATCACTTGAGCCCAGGAGTTCCAGGCTGCAGTGAGCCAGGATTGTGCCACTCCACTCCGGCCTGGATGACAGAGCAAGACTCTGTCTCAAAAACAAACACACACAAAAAAACATACTTTAAAAAAAAGAAAACAAGGTGCCGAGAGTGAGAGACTTTACCCTCTGGGACCTGTAACTCTGTTGGGAGATAGAGACACGTGTAGTGTAGTGTGAATCACAGGTGCCCCAGAGGACATCTGGTCAGGGTCACATCCCTGGGAAGAGAGGAGTGCAGTGCATTAGGTAAGGAATGCAGGTGGGCTTAGGATACCTCTGCTGTTTCTGAGCTTAGCTCAGTGACTCAGTCATCAGGGCAGGATGGCAGGGAGGATTAAGAAACGAATGACTCGACTCTCCTCAAACCTTGGGGTCTTGGTTCCTCTATCAACATCTCCACCTGGATGGGAGTTTCACTGACATTGATGCCAGGTAGGCCGGTGACCTTAATGTGCATATTGCTGAGCCACTGCCTGAAATCATGGAGGGAATCCTCTGATGGGAATCTGGACACATGAATAAACAATCGCATCCCCAACTGCCTCTGGCCATCACAGTATCCTCTTTAGCCCAATCTTAACCGTCCCTCCTCACAACCCTCCCTAGCTCCAGAAAATGGCCCTTCTCAGGCCCAGAATGTCTTGACAAGGGATCTTTTTCCCATCTCCCTTTCCTCAGGGATGGCAGGCTGTCCTTAGGAGATGAGCTGCTGGTAATCAATGGTCATTTACTGGTCGGGCTCTCCCACGAGGAAGCAGTGGCCATTCTTCGCTCCGCCACGGGAATGGTGCAGCTTGTGGTGGCCAGCAAGGTAGGTCGTGTTTGTTTTTTGGTACTCGTAATGGTGGCAGTGGTGAGTTGGGGTTGAGCCCCACCTCCCATGCCACACACACACACAAAGACATGTGTGCACTTGTACGTTTGCCTTGGGCTATTGAAACAGCCTTGCTTCCACAGGGCAACGCTATATGGAGACCCTTAGCTGAAGTGCAGTTAGTTACTTGGCTTTCCTTAAGAAGTTTGTTTTTGTTTTTGTTTTTGTTTTTGTTTTTGTTTTTGTTTTTTTTGAGACGGAGTTTCACTCTTGTTGCCTAGTCTGGAGTGCAATGGCGCAATCTCGGCTCACCGCAACCTCCACCTTCCGGATTCAAGCAGTTCTCCTGCCTCAGCCTCCCAAGTAGCTAGGATTACAGCCACATGCCATCACACCCGGCTAATTTTGTATTTTTTATAGAGATGGGGTTTCTCCATGTTGGTCAGGCTGGTCTCAAACTCCTGACCTCAGGTGATGCACCTGCCTCAGCTTCCCAAAGTGCTGGGATTACAGGCGTGAGCCACCATGCCTGGCCCTTTAAGAGTTTTTATAGGTATATGTTAGGGCAGGTGTCCCCAGCCCCTGGGCTGTGGATGGGCACTGGTCCATGGCCTGTTAGGAGCTGGGCTGCGCAGCAGTAGGTGAGTGGCCTGTGAGACAGCGTTACCTCCTGAGAGCTCCGCCTCCTGTCAGATCAGCGGCGGCACTGGACTCTCATAGGAATGCGAGCCCTATTGTGAACCGCACACGCAACAGATCTAGGTTGCACGCGTCTTATGAGAATCTAATGCCTGATCATCTGAGGTGGGACAGTTTCATACCAAAACCATCCCTCTTGCCCCTACCATCCTTGGAAAAATTGTCTTCCATGAAACTGGTCTCTGGTGCCAAAAAGGTCAGGGACTGCAGTGTTAGGGGATGGAAAGGAAAGAACAGAGCTAAAGAAAAGGTAAGAATGGTAAGGAAGGACAATGTAGAGAGAGCGGCAGCTCTTCCAGGAGGAGCTGAAGAGGAGACTTGGAAGCCTGGGCAGCTGGAAAGGGAAGAGAGGCTCAGGGGCCGCCGAGGGCAGCCTGTGGCTTCTGCTCTCACTTGTGGCCTCTTGAGTGTTGGAGCTGGAGGAGGCGCTGTGAATCCTGTTTGCCCAGCCAATTTACAAATGAGACAGTGAGGCAGAGCTTCCGTGGCCACTACCGTCTTGCAGAGGCCATGATGCCATCAGCAGCGCCAGGACCCGGGCCCTAACGCCCAGCCCAGTGTCTGTCCCCTGTCTCCCTGCCGCCTCTTCTCCACGGGTCCTCCACAGGTCCTGACGCCCCAGGCAGGCCAGAGCTTCTTTCACACCCACCCTAGAGTGCATTAATATAGTGCCCAATTCTGAGCCTCAGCATCTCCTTCTTAAAGCACTGGCTAGTCTGCAGGACTTCACAACTGTGGTAAGAAAGAGGAGGCGTTGACCTCTGGTGTGTCTGAGCTGTGAGCCGATGTGCTGTTGATGAGACTAGGGCAGCGTCTATGTGGCCTGGTGAGAAAGAGGAGGCAGTGACCTCTCGTGTGTCTTAGCTGTAGGCCGATGTGCTGTTGATGAGACTAGGGCAGAGGCTATGTGACCGAGGAACTGGTGAAGTGGAGCCATGAAGCTTTATTCCAATTCCAGCCGGGAAGGACAGGATGAGGCCACACCCTCTTAGCCCTGTGCAGCATGACGCTCTTGCTAATATGGGGAATCCTTTTTCCATGATCTCTGTTGTTATTTCAAACCTGGCGTCATAGGTCTCTTTATATTTTCCCCCTTGAATTGCAAGATCGATTGCTGATTTTCGGAGTATTGAACAAATAGATTAGAAGAACATTTTGGGCTATCCAAAAAATCTGCTTTCCTTTCTTTACACCTTTTACCCCAAACCCTTGACCTAGACTCTCAGACTTCCAAAGAGAATCTATCTACAGAGTTCTGGTGAAGACTTGGCAGGAAGAGGGGGCGTCTGAGTCCCTGGAGGTAGGCGTTGAGACCACTGTCCATTCATAGGTCCTTTCTTCCTCTTCCAGAGGTACCAAGGGACACCTTGGGGTGTCTCTTGAGTCCATCGCGCTCCCTGCATGTCTTCACCCAGAGCGTCTGCCTGTGGGCTGTCTGTAGCCCCTCGCCGGAAATGGGGCGGCAGAACAAACCCCGGGATTCTCTCTGTCAGCTGGTGAATTCCACAAGGAGGGAAATGCTGCAAGAGAAGGAGAAACTAGTTCATTGTTTTGCCAGATGAAGTGGGAGCCTGAAAGCATCTTTGGGTCTTATACACACACACACCTCACACATACCACACACACACACCACACACACACCAACACACACCAACACACCACCAACACACACACCCCACATACTACACACACACACCACACACACACCAACACACACCACACACACCACCAACACACACACCCCACACACCAACACACACACCCCACACACCAACACACACACCCCACACACCACACACACCAACACACAACCACACACACCACCAACACAACCACCAACACACACCACACATACATACCAACACACACCACACACCAACACACACACACCCCACATACCACACACACACCACACACACCAACACACACCCCCACCACACACACACCACACACACCTCACACACCACGAACACACACACACCACACACACACCAACACACACACACCACACACACCCCACACACCAACACACACACCACACACCACATACCACATGCATACCATACACACACTACACACACCACACACACATCACACACCCACACACCAACATACACTCCACACACACACCCCACAAACACACCACGCGCCACACACACACCACACACACACCACACACCACCAACACACACACCACACACCATACACCACACACACACTACACACACCACACACATCACACACCCACACACCAACATATACCTTCACACACACACCACACACACACCACATGCCACACACACACCACACACACACCACAGCAAACACCACACCACACACACCCCACACACACACCCCCACCACACCACACACACACCACACACCACACCACACACACACCACACACACACCCACACACACCACACACACACTCCTCCACACACACACCCCCCCCACACACACCCTACACACTCCCCCCAACACACACCCACCCCCCCCACACCACACTACACACACACCACATCATAAACAAACACCACACATACACACACACGCACACACACACACAGAGGCATGTGTCTGCAGAGAACGCGTGTTTCATTTGCACAGCCCACCTCCTCAAAATCGTGTGCTGAAGAACATGGGTTTCTGCACGAGCATTCCACCATGTACTGCTAAACCTGCATTTCTTGTGCTGACTTCCTTCTCTTGTTAGTTTTTTTGTTTTTGTTTTTGTTTTTTGTTTTTGTTTTTTGAGACGGAGTCTCACTCCTGTCACCCAGGCTGGAGTGCAATGATGTGATCTTGGCTTACTGCAACCTCTGCGTCCCGAGTTCAAGCGATTCTCCTGCCTCAGCCTCCCAAGTAGCTGGGATTACAGGTGCCCACCACCACGTCTGGCTAATTTTCGTACTTTTAGTAGAGACGGGGTTTCGCCATGTTGGCCAGGCTGGTCTTAAACTCCTGACCTCAGGTGATCCACCCACCTTGGCCTCCCAAAGTGCTGGGATTGCAGGCATGAGCCACTGCATCCAGCCTCTCCTGCTAGTTTGGAAAATGGGGAAGGGGATGGCTTTTCTTTGTCAAGTCGTTATCCAGAAACACAAAACGTAAGATTAAAAAAAAAAAAGGTGGGGGGGCCACTTATGGGTAAAGCAAATAATGAAGGGGCTTTGAAAACTTGGAAAACTGGTTCCTCGATGATGCCTGCTCCCTGTGAGACACACCAACTTAAAGGAAGAAAGCACGCTGCATGTACCAGGTGCCCACAGGGTGCCAGGTGGTTTTAGTTCTTTTTATTCAGTGAATGGTATTAAGTTCCAAGTGGTTGGACTGGGCATGGTGGCTCATGCCTGTAATCCCAGCAATTTGGGAGGCTAAGGAGGAGGATTTCTTGAGTCTAGGAGTTCAAAACCATCCTGGGCAAAATAGTGAGACCTCTTCTCTACAAAAATAAAAAACAAAAAATTAGCCATGCATGGTAGCACACACCTGTAATCCGTGCTACTTGGGAGGCTGAAGCAAGAAGATTGCTTGAGTTTAGCAGGTCAAGGCTGCAGTGAGCCGTGGCCATGCCACTACACTCCAGCCTGGGTGACAGAGCAAGACCCTGTCTCAAAAAACAAAAACAAACAAATCCCAGTGGTTAATTAACTTGCCCTGAGGTCACACAGCAGTAGAAACCAGAATCAGGTTTTAGCCTGAGTCCACCAGACTTCAGAGTTCAAGCTGCTTCTCGTGCACCAAGCTGCCTTTATGCAAATAAAATATAAAGAACACTAGAGCCAATGGTATTAGAAAAAGATAATGTGTTCCTGCTAGAGGCTTTGACTTTTAGGGACGCTTGCTTGGGTCCTCGTGGGGCTGAGTAGCATTCCAGAACCAAAGGATGGGTGTCCATCCAAGTTCTCAATCCATTGGCCCTTGGGCATCTGTACTGAGCTGTGGTGCTGAAGCTGACCCAGGCCTCAGAAGAGTGAGGCCTTTCTCTTCTTCCAATACACTCCATTTTACAATTAGGCACTAAACTGCTACAGCAGCTGCCTGCTGCTCCTAAACTTCATCTACACCATCCAAGGTCCTCATCCACATAGGAGAAAAAAGATAGCAGCCTTCATGTGCCTCTTGACATGTTTCTCTTCTTTATCCAACAAGAGCAAGTAATCCACAAGCTTCCTTGCTGTCTTCACACTTGAAGAGGGAGGGGAGAGCTTTTGACTTGCTGAATATAAAGAAAAACAAAAATGTAAACTATTCTTATTATGGATAATAGTCACCTTGTTGCAAAACTTTAAGGCATTGTTTTGGAAATACAGCAGTTACTTTCTTGTGGAGAGGATGCCTTATGTTTCCACACAAATAAATTATTTGCTTATAGTAGGAGCTTAGGAAGTTTTTATTGAATGAATAAACTCAGAATATACAAGTTAGTTTTGATATGCCTGGAAGCAACATATATCAGTACAGATCTCTTGCTCGCTTTTTTGCTTTTTTCACTCTTGGTTTTTATTAACAAGTAATATATATGTATTGTATCAAATGTAGACAACCCAAAAAAAAAAAACAGAGAAGAAGAAGATGATGAAATTCTCATAATACCACCAATAGTACTTACTATCCATTAACTGGAGTGTCCTTCCAGCTGGGAACATCTGTATGTGTGTGCAACATGTACATACATGTTTTCTGTAAAATGGAGTCAAATACAAGGAAACGGCATATATACCCTGGAGGCAGTCCCACCTGGACTTAAATCGAGCACAGCCCTTTAAAAGCTGCATGTCCTGGCCAAGTTGTTACCTCTCCTAATTCTCCATTTTCTTCCCTGTACAGTGAGAATCAGTAACTACCTTATGAGGATGATGTTAGGAGAATTAAATGAGATATCAAGGGGGCAGGTGCAGTGGCTCACACCTGTAATCCCAGCAATTTGGGAGGCCAAGGTGGGCAGATCACTTGAGGTCAGGATTCGAGACCAGCCTGCCCAACATGGTGAAACCCTGTCTCTACTAAAAACACAAAAATTAGCCAGGCATGGTGGCGTGCACCTGTAATCCCAGCTACTAGGGAGGCTGAGGCAGGAGAATCGCTTGAACCCAGGAGGCAGAGGTTGCAGTGAGCTGAGATCGCGCCACTGCACTCCAGCCTGGGTGACAGAGTGAGACTCCACTTCAAAAAAAAAAAAAAAAGATATCAAGGGCCCTGAGCAGTGTAGCTGGTTATAGCAAGAACTGGATAAATGTTTGCCTTATGGTTATCACAGTTTATTACCTTTAGCTTATTATTACATACATTATTAATATAGTTATTACATATTACTTTAACCTGCTTTTTCACTGAGTAGCATACTGTAAGAATCTTTCCATGTTAGGAAGTACAATTTTTTTTTTTTTTTTTTGAGACAGGGACTTGCATTTTTGCCCAGGCTGGAATTGAGTGGTGTAATCATATAGCTCTCTGCAGCCTGAAACCTGAGGCTCAAGTGATCCTCCCATCTTAGCATCCCAAGTAACTGGGACTACAGACACGTGCCACCATACATGGCTACTGTTCGTTTGTTTGAGACAGATTTAAACAATTTTTTGTAGAGGCAATCTCTCTCTGTGTTGCTCAGGCTGGTCTCAAACTCCTGCCCTCAAGCGATCTGCCTACCTAGGACTCCCAAGGTAATGGGATTACAGGCATGAACCACTGCCAGGCTCAACACCTTTTTTTTTTTTTTTTTTTTTTTCCTGAGACAGAGTCTCGCTCTGTCACCCAGACTGCAGTGCGGTGGTACAATCTTGGCTCACTGCGACCTCCGCCTCCTAGGTTCAAGCTATTCTTCTGCCTCAGCCTCCTGAGTGGCTGGGACCATAGGCACGTGCCACCGCATCTGGCTAATGTTTATATTTTTAGTAGAGACGGGATTTCACTATGTTAGCCATGCTGGTCTTTTTTTTTTTTTTTTTTTTTTTTTTGAGACGGAGTCTCGCTCTGTCTCCCAGGCTGGAGTGCAGTGGCGCCATCTCAGCTCACTACAAGCTCCGCCTCCCAGGCTTACGCCATTCTCCTGCCTCAGCCTCCTGAGTAGCAGGGACTACAGGCGCCCGCCACCACGCCCGGCTAATTTTTTTTGTATTTTTTAGTAGAGACGGGGTTTCACTGTGTTAGCTAGGATGGTCTCAATCTCCTGACCTCGTGATCCACCCGCTTTGGCCTCCCAAAGTGCTGGGATTACAGGCTTGAGCCACCGCGCCCGGCCTGCCATGCTGGTCTTAACCTCTTGGCCTCAACTGATCCACCCGCCACAGCCTCCCAAAGTGCTGGGATTACGGGTATGAGCCACTACACCCAGCCCCAGCACCATCTTTAATGGTCGCAGAGTAGTCTATCCTGTATCTGCTATGCCTTTACTTCACAGTTGGGATTTAAAAAAAAAAAAAAAACACTCTTTTCGGTTAATCTAGCAGAAGTAGAATTGACATCACAGAAGAGGACTGAACTCACTTTTTTTTCCCTTTCCTTAGATAAGGCCTAACAATATAGGATTCACAATTACTGATTCAAATTATCTTCAGGTACTTTGAAGGTGGAACCAACGTGAAACTAGTAACAAACATCACTGTCGCTAGATGCCAGCTTGCTAATATTCAGTAACATCCATTGTTTAAGATGGGTTTCATTCATTTATTTTTTGGTCCTCTTTTCTGTTAACCCTCACGCAATGTGATTAAATATGATTAAGACGTTCTGTGTGTTTCCTTCCTTGTGGAAATGGCCAACGCAAAGGACTGAGAGAACAGGTAGCTCTTCTTGCTCTCTTTCTAGAGCCATGGATTCGCTCTAGAGCCCCAGCCCCCTCCCTGGCCCCTGGCCCTCATGTGCTGCGGCATTTCCCCGGAGGGCTCTGGCTCCTGTGTGGTCCGCATTTGCAGCAAGGCCTTCATGATCTCACCTGCGTCTTACAGCCTACTCTAGCCTTAACCTGTACATAAGATCAAAGGGCTGTGTGTTGGCGATGCCCCTTCAGAATCTTATCCAAATGGAGTCTGGGCCGGGCGCGGTCCCTCATGCCTGTAATCCCAACACTTCGGGAGGCTGAGATGGGAGGACTACTTGAGGCCAGGAGTTCGAGACCAGCCTGGTCAACATAGCGAGACCCCATCTCTATAAAATAATAAAAATAAATAAATAAATAAATAAATAAATAAATAAATGGAGTCTTATTCCATGTATTTTTGTTGACCTTTAAAAGTTGTTCAAGGACTGCCTTCATTGAAAAAGACCTTATCTGACATTTTGATTCAACAATCTAATCTCTTTTGTTTCTTTTTTTTTTTTTTTTCTTTTTTTTGGAGATGGAGTTTTGCTGTTGTTGCCCAGGCTACAGTCTCAGCTGACTGCAACTTCCGCCTTCCGGGTTCGAGGGATTCTTGTGCCTCAGTCCCCCAAGTAGCTGGGATTACAGTTGCCCGCCCACCACACCTGGCTAATTTTTGTATTTTTAGTAGAGACGGATGGGGTTTCACCATGTTGGCCAGGCTGGTCTTGAACTCCTGACCTCAGGTGATCCACCCGCCTCGGCCTCCCAAGTGCTAGGATTACAGGCATGAGCCACTGCGCCCAGCCAGTTGAATCTCTTTCTAATGAGCATATGCTAGGGAAATGAGCACAGGAGCAGGAAGGAGGAGATCATGGATATGTGAGCTCTGGGCTAGGCCTGGGGACACAGCAGTGAATGGAAATGGTGTTAGGTGGGAGCAATTCTCAGACACGCAGGGGAGATATACAAGTAGACACACTGCAAGGGGATGAAAGCAGTAGTCAAAGACTTTAGAGAAGAAAGGAGAGGCAAATGGAGTGGCTCCTGAGATGACCCAGGTGGGCTTTCGGAAGGAGAGGTGTTCAAGCCTTGCCCGCGTGGGCCTCAGTCGTGAAAGGAAGGGTGGTCCCAGCAGAGGGAGCTGCTGGCGGAAAAGGCAGTGGGCAAGGAAGAGTCCAAAGGGTTTGGAAGGCAGTATGGCATCAGAGTGGGTTGGTGGGGAGACAGGAGGAGGGGGATGAGTTTGGAGAGTGGGGCAGAAGCAGCTCTAAAAGATACTGATCTAGCCGGGCTCGGTGGCTCATGCCTGTAATCTCAGCACTTTGGGAAGCCAAGGCAGGCAGATCACGAGGTCAGGGGTTCGAGACCAGCCTGGCCAACATAGTGAAAACCCCGTCTCTACTGAAAATACAAAAATTAGCCAGGCATGGTGGCGTGTGCCTGTAGTCTCAGCTACTTGGGAGTTGAGGTGGGAGAATCGCTTGAACTGGGGAGGTGGAGGTTGTGGTGAGCTGAGATTGTGCCACTGCACTCCAGCCTGGGCAACAGAGCGAGACTCTTGTCTCAAAAAAATAAAAATTAAAATTAAAAAATCAATAAAAAAAAGATGCTGACCTCTTTAGACAGCATCCTGAAAGCAGTCCAGGGGAGGCCAGCAGAGGATCTTGGGCCAGGTGCGGTGACTCACTCCTGTAATCCCAGCACTTTGGGAAGCCACAGCAGGAGAATGGCTTGAGCCCAGGAGTTCGAGACCAGCCTGGGCAACATAGTGAGACCTTGTGTCTACAAAATAAAAAATTTTAATTAGCCAGGCATGGTGGTGCATGCCCTGTACTTCCAGCTACTCATGAGGCTGAGGCAGGAGGGCCACTTGAGCCCAGAGGTTTGAGGTTGCAGTGAGCTATGATTGCACCACTGCACTCAGCCTGGGTGACAGAATGAGACCTTGTCTATTAAAAAAAAAAATGATTGTTTTATAAAGGGATCTTAAATTCAGGGAGCTTGGATTGCCCATAGAAACACTGAGCTAAAGGCTGGGTGTGGTGGCTCACGCCTGTAATCCCAGCATTTTGGGAGGCTGAGGCAGGTAGATCACTTGAGGTCAGCAGTTCGAGACCAGCCTGACCAACACGGTGAAACCCCATCTCTATTAAAAATACAATGCCAGGTGTGGTGGCTCATGCCTGTATTCCCAGCTACTTGGGAGGCTGATGCAGGAGAATCACTTGAACCCGGGAGGCGGAGGTTGCAATGAGCCGAGATCACGCCACTGCACTCCAGCCTGGGCAACAGAGCAAGACTGTCTCAAAAAAAAGAAAAAAGAAAAAAAAGAAACAGCTAAGAATCATACATTCTCTGTGGGGAAAAAATGGATTTGGGTTTAAATTGGGTCCACACCCCTGGCCTTTGAGGTAACCTTGCAGACACAGAACATTTACTCCATGTAGTCTTTGGTTTGGGAGCATGTAGCTTGACTGTGCCAGGTTGCCTTCAAGAACTGCTTGGTTCTGGGGAGTAATTCATGGATGGGCCTTTAATTGTGTCCCCATAGGAAAACTCCGCAGAGGACCTCCTCAGGTTAACATCTAAGAGCTTGCCAGATCTGACCAGCTCGGTAGAAGATGTGTCCTCCTGGACTGATAACGAAGACCAGGAGGCAGACGGGGAAGAGGACGAAGGAACCAGCTCTTCTGTCCAGAGAGCAGTAAGTGGCTCTGTGCTCCTGGCTTTCTGTTGGAATTACTTTTTTCTGAAGTCCTGGGCGCCAGGATTAGGGGATAAATGCTTGAGATAGTATGATAGAGACCATGATGGGAAAAGACACCAGTGCATTCTTTCTATGTTTTTCTCGGAATCTCTGAGAAAAATCTGTGAGGGTGATATTTTTCCTTTAAGGAAAAAAAATGAAATGGTAAACAAGATAAGCAACCCAGGGGGCTGGGCACAGTGGCTTACACCTGTAATGCCAGCACTTTTGGAGGCTGAGGCAGGTGGATCACCTGAGGTCAGGAGTTCAAGACCAGCCTGGCCAACATGATGAAACCTAGTCTCTACTAAAAATACAAAAATTAGCCAGGCATGGTGGTGCATGCCTGTAATTCCAGCTACTCAGGAGGCTGAGGCAAGAGAATCGTCTTGAGCCCAGGAGGCAGAGGTTGCAGTGAGCTGAGATCTCGCCACTGCACTCAAGCCTGGGCTACAGAGCGAGACTCCCTCTCCAAAAACCTCTCAAAAAAAAAAAAAACAACAACAACAACAACAACTGGATATTGAGTTCAGTGCATATATTAATTTCTAGAATGCTTTATAATATATACAAGGATTTTGCTGCTATGCCTTGCTGGTGTGTTTGACAACTACTATTAGTGAATTTAAACTTGGATGGAGAGATTTCTGGTTCAAAGTGGAATGTTAAAATAACACAAAAAGGCTAGGTGCTGTGGCTCATGCCTGTAACCCCAGCACCTTGGGAGGCCAAGGTGGGTGGATTGCTTGAGCTCAGGAGTCGGAGACCAGCCTGGCCAACATGACGAAACCCCATCTTTACAAAAAATACAAAAAAAAAAAAAAATTAGCCAGGTGTGGTGGGGCATGCCTGTAGTCTCAGCTACTCAGGAGGCTGAGGCAGGAGGATCACTTGAGCCTGAGAGGTCAAGCCTTCAGTGAGCTGTGATCATGCCACTGCTCTCCAACCTGGGCTACAGAGCAAGACCCTGTCTCAAAAAATAGTAATAATATAAGGCTCTGTGGTCTCTTCTTTGCGTCCCAAATCTGAAAGATGTGTCATTTTTAGTGTGAACTCTTATTAGCCCTTGTTCCCCATCTAAACAGCTGTGGGGTGGGTGGGTGCCCTCTCTCTGCCCCTTGGAGCCCCTTCCTCCTTCCCACTCTCCTGAACCTAGGCAGCATAGGTAAGCACTGGAAAATCAGCTTTGCTTAGAATAAGGCCTTAGAAGATGAAAGATGCATCTCATTTACCACAGTAAGCTATATTTAAAGGGGGAAAAGTTGCTTTTCGTCTTCCTTTTTGTTCCTGGAAACCTAGGGCTACCAAGCATGGTTGTGCAGGTTGTGGACTGCACAAAGGTGTCACTTGTAAGGGTGTACCATTCACATCATAAACATCATAAGCTTTTAGATTTATTATAACCGTTTTCTGAAGGATGGCAGTATAGGGGCTCCCTGTGCTCTGTGCTGGCACGGCAGTTACCCTCTGCTCCTTGTTTTCCATGGTTACAAGAAGGGAAATGATGTGGCGGTACAACAGCAGACTTCAGCTCCAGCACAGCTCCAGCATTCTGACCTTTCCTTACTGTATATCCTTCACTAGCAACTCTCCAGCCCAGGGGGTTCCTCATTGCTCTCGTCCCCTCCTGTTCCCACAGTCTAGAGGGCTCATCCCTACTGAGCAGGATCTCATTGCTCAGCAGTTGTGCCCGGAGACATCTCAGCCAGCTTTCAGTGGAAAGCTAAGTAAGCCCTGGGTCTGCGGCGAGGACAGCCCTGCAGCACGTCTGCACCCCCTCTGCTGAGCCTCCAAGCCATTGACGGAGCATAACAGCTCTTTGTAGAGAGCTTACAAGCACGCATATTTTTTAAAAAATTATTTTTTTTTGTTTTTTAGAGACGGAGTCTTGCTCTGTCGCCCAGACTGTAGTGCAGTGGCGTGATCTTGGCTTGCTGCAACCTCTGTCTCCCGGGTTCTAGCAATTCTCCTGCCTCAGCCTCCCGAGTAGCTGGGACTACAGACGCACGCCACCGCGCTTGGCTAATTTTTTGTATTTTCATTAGTAGAGACGAGGTTTCACTGTGTTGCCCAGGCTGGTCTCGAACTCCTGAGCTCAGGCAATCCACCTGCCTCAGCCTCCCAAAGTGCTAGGATTACAAGCGTGAGCCACCGCACCTGGCCCAAAAAAATTTCTTCAGTCATACTCTCCTGCAAAAAAACTGCAAGGAATTATTTAATTCAAACTTCATATACTAAATACTAGTATATGAAGCTCTAATAAATAACCTATTACATATATTAAATATATTACATGTTATATAATGTATTTTTATTTAAGTTATTATTTAAACTTACAATTTAAATAAATTTATTATAATTCTAATGACTACATATAATTTAAATTATGCATAATTCATATGAGTTTTTCCGAGTATAAAAGTAATGTTTTACTATGTAAATGTTTTTGACCAAAAAAATCCTAGAGACAGGATAAATCACCAACAATTCTGTATTCAAAGATAGCCATCTATAACATTTTGCTGTGGCTTTCTAATTTTTTTTCTTTAAGCATATTTGTATTTTTAATTGACCTTATATTAACATGCTTATGAAACGCTATGGTCTTAATGACATAATCATGAATGTATCCCTATGTCATTAAAGGGTCTTCTGAAACATGATTTATAATGGTTAATATTCCTTAACATGAAAGTGCCGTAATTTGTTTCACCAATGTACTTCACATTTTGTATTCAAATTTTTTTAAATGTAATTTCGTATAGAACATCTTTGCTCCTATATCTCTCTGTGTTATCTTTTTTTTTTTTTTTTGACATTTCCTTACATGGCTTATAGCAGTAAAATTGCTTAGTCAAAGGTTTTTTTCTGGGGAGATTATAGTAATTTACACTTGTAGGATAGGCCAGTTCCCACCATCACCAAAAACATTATCTTTAGAAAAGTTTACCAATTAATCACACATTGTTTTATGAGTTTATTACTGTAGTTTCTTCAAGGGAATGTCAATGCATTTTGTCATAACACACTAGATTTGGGAAGCTTTGTGTTGCCTTTAAGGGGAAGCTAAGCCTCTCGGCAGTATTTCACCACCGTTGTACCTGTTGTCCTGGCTCTATTTCTGGGTTTCTCCGTCATGCCACCAGAAGCTCTTAATACACTGATCCTAAGCCCATTATCTTCGGTGGAGAAACCAGCACTGATCCTACTTTGACAATTCTCCTTCCCTTGTGCACCAGACGGGACACCACCTCCGCCTCCCTCCCCTTCTGCTCCACCCCCATCACAAGGCACTCACGGAGGAGGTGGAACCGGGCTTCATGCCTGGCCATCACCAAAGCCTCAACACCCATCATTTCTCAGCCCTCTCTTGAGTTCTCGTTGCAGCCCAGGGGAACCAGGCCTGAGACAGAGCCCTGCAGGGGGCAGGAAGTGTGGGCAGCCAGGAGAGGACATTTTCCAGGCTTCACAGTCTACCAGGGTCGGCCCTGCTGTGCCTTATAAAGGTGCTGAACTACTGAAAAAATGTTCTTTCTTTTTTAGTTATATGTTCACAATCTATGATTCTTTGTTTCAGCGTTTTTAAAAATGAAAGGACCACTTAAAGAAATGTGGTACTGTTTTAATCACCTGAGTTACAAAAAGCCTTTTAGTTCACAGATGATGATGATGAAACCTGCCGCCAAATTCTAGCCAGACATGGACTGTTTTTGCACCTGTATGTCGTCGTGTACTCCGAGCACTTAAGCTGAGCAAATGCAATACAAATGCTGAGGATCTGCCATGCGTCCCCTTATGATTTATTTTTAATGGCTACAATAAAGAGCAATGAGATTTTCCTCTCAGAAAGCTCCATCCATGCTTAGAATAAAACCATATGGTGAATATCAAGTTTAAGGAGTAGAAGCCAGTGAAAAAGAGAATGGGAACAGGATGGTGAAACCCCACAATCATTTGCATAATTGTCAGTCATCTCAGTGGGGTCTGGCTTCAGTGACAGGGCTCGCCGTCTGCCACGACTCACCCCCACTGTCACCACCACCACAAGATTAAAGACTGCCAGTTTGGTCTCAGAAATATCAAAGTCTAGCCCTTCCCCCATACCACCCATGGCCCTGTTCTACCTGATTGGCAGTTCTTCTCCGAATCTCTCTTCATTTTCTGCTCTGCAATGACAATTTCTTTTTTTTTTTTTTTTTTTTTTTTTTTTGAGATGGAGTTTCACTCTGTCACCAGGCTGGAGTGCAGTGGCGCAATCTCTGCTCACTGCAACCTCCACCTCCAGGGTTTAAGCGATTCTTCCGCCTCAGTCTCCTGGGGACTATAGGCATGTGCCACCATGCCCACCTAATTTTTGTATTTTTAGTAGAGAACGGGGTTCCACCATGTTGGCCAGGATAGTCTCAATCTCTCTCTTTTTTTTTTTTTTTTTTTTGAGACGGAGTCTCACTCTGTCGCCCAGGCTGGAGTGTAGTGGCGCAATCTCGGTTCACTGCAACCTCCGCCTCCTGGGTTCAAGCAATTCTCCTGCCTCAGCCTCCTGAGTAGCTGGCACTACAGGCACCCGCCACCACACCCAGCTGATTTTTGTATTTTTAGTAGAGATAGGGTTTCACCATGTTGGCCAGGCTGGTCTTGAACTCCTGACCTCAGGTGATCTGCCCGCTTCAGCCTCCCAAAGTGCTGGGATTACAGTCGGTAGCCACCGCACCTAGCCCGACAATTTCTTTTTTTCTAGAGACAGGGTCTTGCTCTGGCGGTACCCAGGCTGAAGTGCAGTGGTGTGATCATAGCTCACTGTAACCTCAAACTCCTGGGCTCAAGCAATCCTCCCACCTCAGCCTCCTGAGTAGCTGGGAGTACAGGTGCACGCCACCGCAGCCTGCTAATTTTTTAAGTACTTTTTTTGTAGGGATGGGGCGTCACTATGTTGCCCAGCCTGGTTTCAAACTCCTGGCCTCAAGCGATCCTCCCACCTCGGCCTCCCAGATAGCTGGGATTACAGAAGTGAGCCACCTCGCCTGGCCATGCAGTGACAATATTTTAAATGAGAATCTGGCATGTCGCTTAAATGTTTACGATCTCCAATAAAATGAGTGGCACATGCATTGTGATTATTGGCTATTCAAAAAAGGTTTGTGTCCTTTCTCAAGTGTAAATAATGTCTTTGAAAAAGAAAGAGATTTTTCATGAGAAAAATCTATTTTCTAGCCTTCTGAGAGAGAAACTTTAAATTGAAGAGAAGAGGAAGAGTTTCAGTATAATAGGGTGTGAAATGGGTGATACTTATTAAGTTGGAGCCTGTCTCCCTTTTTATATTTTTAACAAAGAAAAAAAAATGGAAGTAATGGTTGTCTTTGCCAAATCTGCAATTGTAAAGCTCAGCTCGGAAGAGTTTGTTTAGCACATCAATCAGGAGACCCGTATCCGGCTTCCGTTGCCATCAAGCAAATCAGTTCTAACATTTTTGGAATCACAAGTTTGGAAAAATCTTGGAGAACTTTTGGGCGATTCAGGTTTTAGAAGGAATAAGGGACCTGTTTCTTACAAGGAAAGAAGAGCAAAGCAGGACCTTCCGATTCTGTGAGTCTGATATGGGTGTTTGATTCTTCGTTGGTGGAACTGCCAGGGGTATGGGAGCCTGAAAGCCAGTATCCTCGAGTGTAGAAATGAGGCCTGTGGAAAGAAAGGAGAGGACCTCTTGTGTTTTATTTGGACTGAATAATTGATCAAATGTCCGCTCTAAATGTTTCCAAATGTGTCCGGGCAGTAAGGACTTCTGTTACAGCATCTGAATGTATCATTTTTGGTTGATTCGTGGTGTCCTAGATGGGAAACTCTCTCTTGTTTCGGGGTTGACCTGGTTTTTTCTGGCAAATTGAACTTAGAGTCTAATACAAAGAACAATGAATACCAAGGGTGTAAACCTGTGATTAGCATTAAAACAGAAAGACACGGAGTCTGACTGGAAGGCAGATCTTCGGAGTAGTACTGTTAATCCTGAAAGACACCAGCATGGAGCTCTGCATCTATGGGGAGCGCATGTTCTTCCCCTGAGGCCTTGAGGATAGAGGGTTACCACTTAGGCTGCTTCTATGGGCAGTGTGGGCTGAGCTCACAGTCTCTCTGAGCCCAGGGCAATCACAGCAGCCTCTGCTTATGGATTCCCCACTCTGCCCCTGGGTCAAGAACAGTCTGCCCTTCTCTTTGGACTTCCACTTGCTATTTATGTAACTTCAGGATTCACCTCTTCCAGGAAGTCTTCCCAGAGCCATACATCCTACCTGCCTGGGCCCCCAGCATGCAGTGTGCCCTATGTTGTCTTCCCTGGCCCTTAATTCAGATCGTAGTGACATTGTTATTCAAGTGACAGCTCATTTAATGTCATCCTCCATGAGGTGGAGGCTCCATGGGGGCAGGGCCCCTGTCAGGTTTGCTCACTTGCGTCTCCCAGGTCCTCACTGTCACTGTGTGTGTATGGAGATACATGGATGGTTGGACAGATGTGCAGATGGGGGATGGTTGGTGTACCCTCTCACCATCCCGCAATGCCCCCTGCATACCTCTCGTCGTAAGCTTTGGTCGCCTTCCACTGTCTTGCCCAGCATACCATGAATTTAAAATGGCCTGGGCCGGGCACAGTGGCTCACACCTGTAACCCCAGCACTTTGGAAGGCCTAGGCAGGAGGATCACTTGAGGTCAGGAGTTCAAGATCAGCCTGGCCAATACGGCAAAACTCCATCTCTACTAAAAATACAAAAAAATTAGCCAGGTGTGGTGGCTCACGCCTGTAATCCCATCTATGAGGGAGACTGAGGCACAAGAATCGCTTGAACCCCGGAGGCAGACGTGGCAGTGAGCCGAGATGGGTGCCACTGCACTCCAGCCTGAGTGACAGAGCCAGACCCTGTCTCAAAAAAAAAAAAAAAATTAGAAAAAAATAGTTTAAAATGGCCTTGGCACATAGTGGACATTTGTTTCTGTCCCCAAATGAGAGAAAGTCTCTCTGCTATGCCCTTCTGGGAATTTCTCTCTGGGATAAGAATATCAGTGATTTAGACATCATTTTTTGAAGTGTAACAATGGGAGAACACAGTGTCCCTTCCCTTAAAATAGGATATTTGTGGTAGCATCTCATTAACAGATAAGTAGATTTCTTCCTTTTTGTTTGGTTAAGGTTAGAAACCTGCAAGCAGCTACAGGGAATTTAGGACTTGGTTTTTTAATGAATCAGCAGCAAAAACAAAGGATTAAACATCCCAGGGGGAGTTGGTGAAGAAATAAGTGGGATATAAGTGAAAAGACCAAAAAGGCACCAGGGCAAAGAGCCCAGAACTGTGAGTGTCAGAGATGTGGGTTGTGGTAAACAACCATAAAGTGTCAGAACTGCAGGGAACCTTGGGGAGTAACTGGTCCCAACCTCGCATTTTATAAGCTGGAGATCTACAATGAGAGGGAAGACCGCAGGGCTCCACTGATAGCAAACTTGTTCCCCTGGAAAAGTCACATTATAGCTCAAGGCAGCTGTGAGGGGAAAAAAAGAGCCAGGACAAAGAGATGAATGCAGTGCTAGGAGTTCACAGACTGTACCGAAATGCAGAAGGATCACTGTTTATGCAAAAGCATGAATGGGCGCAGGGAGCTTCCACACTCCTGCATCCGGCTCATGTGCACTCTGGAGAGGCCTCCTTGGCAGGTCTGAGTGGAGTAGGGCCCAGGAGTCTGTGTTTCTGGTGATTCTGAAGCTCAGTGAGATTATAAAAAGTGAAAGTGGCAAGGCTTCTAAGAGTCTCCCAGCTAGGGGCTGGGCGATGCCCAGGGACCTCTGTGTGCACGGCGTTGAGACAAAGGGAGGTTTTAGGCCCCCAACTGTCTCCCTATTTTCTGCAGTTCAGGGACAGAGGGAGTGAGGCCAAGGTGTTTGTGGTGCTCGTGGGAAACTTAGAAGCACAGATCCCCCAACCTGCTCCGGATCCTCATGAGCACAGACTGGCTTGCACATCATTGTTCTCATTGCCTTCCCAGACACCAGTTCCTGTTATATAGACCAGAGCTGCTGATGCAGAAACTGCCTCATTCTCGGCACCAACCCGCAGCAGGCGGCCACACATGCCAATCCACAGCTCCCTGAGTTGTGCATTTTCTCCCCACTGTCCCAAACTGAACTTCTCTCTCTCCCCAACCTCAGCCCGGGACTTCCCAAGTAGGTCTCAGTTCACTTAGACGTTCCTTAAGCAACACTTCAGCTGGCACAGGACGTATAAAAGGTTGCTTGAAACTCAATGCCTTATGTCGGATTGCCAGAGCAAGATAGGAAAGACGAGACTGCAATGATTGCTGGTCTGAGAAAATAAGATTTACATTTGGGGGTGGTTTTTGTTTGGTTTGGTTTTATATTTAAGAAGATGAAGTGATTATTTAAGTGGGTGGAGGAAGAAAGGAGATAAGAGTAGTTACTTGGGCGAGATGAATTGCCTGGAAAACTGCTGAAGTTTGAATCCTGTGGCACACTCTCAGGGGCCTGTTCCAACTGGCTACCTGGCCTTGCTGCATTTTTATCTAAGGAGTTTGCAGTTCTCTAAGTAAACAGCTCATGTCATTTGCATAGAAAAGCTTTTTTTTTTTTTTTTTTTTGAGACAGGGTCTCACTCTGTTGCCCAGTCTGGAGTGCAATGGCACAATTATGGCTCACTGCAGCCTTGACTTCCTGGGCTCAAGAGATCCTCCCACCTCAGCCTCCTGAGTAGCTAGGATTACAGTTGCATGCCACCATGCCCAGCTAATTTCTTTGTATATTTTGTAGAGACGGGGTCTCCCTATGTTTTCTAGGCTGGTCTCAAACTCCTGGGCTCAAGCAATCCTCCCGTCTCAGCCTCCCAAAGTACTGGGATTGCAGGCGTGAGCCACGTTTCCCAGCCAGAAAAGCAAATATTGTATTTCACATGGATCCTCAAAGAGCAGTGGTCTCCATAATAGAATAGGCACACCCAGAGGAGAAGCCAGATGATCCCTTGGGGTGTGGAAGGAAAATAGTAGAATGTATGTAGGTCTTACCGTGTTTTAGATTGTTTTGTTTTATGTCTACGTTAGGCGTGCTTGATGGCTTCTCAGCCTAGAAAGACTGACATCATAGCATGGAGCATTAGGAAATACAGTTAAAAAAATTTCCTTAGTATGCAATCAACTTTATTATCGTTCTTTGGATTTGAAAAATTCTTTCAGATTTCAATGAAAATAAAATATGAATCATTGGAGCATATAATAAAGTTTCTTGGCCCTGAAGTTAATTTCTTTTATGAACATAATATGTAGAAGTCATGTAATGACTTTCTCACGGGAGGTAAGTTTCTTCCTGTCTTTGCGCATTTCATTAGTGTTCCAAGAAGGCTTCTCACCCCTGTTCCAAATTTTCCTCTTATTTGTACCACTCCTATTTGGTTAATTTCAGTTTATATGTCCTTAAGGGGTTTATGTCTGTGGTCCACAAGCTGAAATGTAAAGTAGAATATATATATATACACACATATATATATATTTTTTTAATTTAATTTTTTTTTTTTGAGACAGAGTCATCCTCTGTCACCCAGACTGGAGTACAGTGGCACAATCTCAGCTCACTGCAACCTCCACCTCCATGCCTAGCTAATTTTTGTATTTTTAGTGGAGACAAGGTTTCACCATGTTGACCAAGCTGGTCTCAAACTCCTGACCTCGTGATCCGCCTGCCTTGACCTCCCAAAGTGCTGGGATTACAGGCGTGAGCCACCACCATGCCCAGCCAAAATAGAATATATTAAGACTCAAAGGAAGATGGCTGTTCAGAAATGAAACTGAAATAAAAATTTCTTCTGCCATAGACAAAATTATGGCAATAACCACACGAAGTGGGAACAGGGTAACGTGGCTCATTTTTGCATCATGTATCTCAGGATAACTCTGTTTATGAGCTTCGCTGAGCCTCTAAGGTAACAAAAATCCTTGAGATGTGTCTTCTGAGACTGTAATGTAGATAATGTTGCTGCACTGTCAGAATCTTACTCTTAAGAGGAACAGGAGATCCTCACTTAGTTTCAGTTTCAGTTATTGTGCTGGATTATAGGCAAATGACAAAATGATCTTTTTTTTTTTCTTTTTTTTTTGAGACAGAGTCTCACTGTCACCCAGGCTGGAGTGCAGTGGCGCGATCTCGGCTCACTGCAACCTCTGCCTCCCAGGTTCAAGCGATTCTCCTGCCTCAGCCTCCCAAGTAGCTGGGACTATAGGTGCACACCACCATTCCTGGCTAATTTTTTGTATTTTTAGTAGAAACAGTGTTTCACCATGTTGGCCAGGCTGGTCTTGAACTCCTAACCTCAAGTGATCTGCCCACCTCAGCCTCCCAAAGTGCTGGGATTACAGGAGTGAGCCACTGCACCTGGCCAACAAAATGATCTTCGACGATGCATAGATGAGTTAGATAAATGGGCATTGGGTGCCGGGGGGAAAAAAACCCCACCTTACTTAAAGACTTCATGTGCATTGAAGACTTGGAATTTTTTTTTTTTTTTTTTACATTTTCCTCTTTTTAGCCACATCTTATGCAACATGGTAGCACACAGCCTGAGAAATAAAGCAAAATACAAGAGGTCAGAAGTTCCCCTGTGGAATCCAGGGCAGAAATTTCACAAAGAAATGGAGCGATTTAGGACAAACTCCTCACCCCACCCCCTACCGTTACTGTTTGCTTGCCTTGATTTTTTTTTTAATTGTTGTTGTTTTTGAGACAGCCTCGCTCTGTCACCCAGGCTGGAGTGCTGTGGCATGATCTCGGCTCACTGCAACCTCTGCCTCCCGGGTTTAAGCAATTCTCTTGTCTCAGCCTCCTGATTTCAAGCAATTCTCATGCCTCAGCCTCCCGAGTAGCTGGGATTACAGGCACCTGCCACCATGCCTGGGTGATTTTTGTATTTTTTAGTAGAGATGGGGTTTCACCATGTTGGCCAGGCTGGTCTTTAATTCCTGACCTCAAGTGATCCACCTGCCTCAGCCCCCCAAAGTGCTGGGATTATAGGCATGAGCCACCGCATCTGGCCTCCTGACAGAGACTTTCTAACTCCTCCACGCCTTCAGTAGTCTCTCCTTTCTCTGATTGCCAGTCTTACCTGTTTCTCACATTTTAGCACTTAAAATCAGAACGTCAGCTCCCGGTTTGTTAATGGGCAGGTGTTTTCCAAAATTTGTTGGTAAAGCTTTTGTTTGGATATTCAAATTTATTTCCCCTTGAAACAAATATATCTACTTAGTAAATATCTGTGGAATTATCTTTTAAGCTATGAGTAGCAAAAAAGGTGGCCTTTGTGTCACCCACTTACCCCTCCTCTTTAGCTCCTGGGGCAGACATCTGGAATTCTTCCTAGCACTCTTCCTGCTGATACCAGATACAACTGCAGTAGTTCATAACATGACCCTGCAGGTGCCCACAACCAAGGCATTGTACGAATCAATGCTGGATGACGGCCAGCCTGACATCTCCGTCCACACTCAGCACTGTGCTGGGTGCTTTGGGGATACAGAGATGGCAGACCCAGTCTTGTTTCTTCTCTCATGGTATTTTTTATATTCCATAATGAATTATGATTATTTCTGTACTTGTCTTCTTCTTTTTTCGTTTTGTTTTTTTGTTTTTTTGTTTTTTGTTTTTTTTTGGAGTTGGGGGATGGAGTCTCACTGTTGCCCAGGCTGGAGTGCAGTGGCATGATCTCTGCTCAGTGCAACCTCTACCTCCCGGGTTCAAGCAATTCTCCTGCCTCAGCCTCCCAAGTAGCTGGGACTACAGGCGCACACCGCCACTCACAGCTAATTTTTTTTTTTTTTTGTATTTTAGTAGAGATGGGGTTTCACCATGTTGCCCAGGCTGATCTCGAACTCCTGAGCTCAGGCAATCTGCCTGCCTCGGCCTCCCAAAGTGCTGGGATTATAGGTATGAGCCCCCGCACCCAGCCATTTCTGTACTTTTCATAGTCCCCTTTTCAGCATAATGAATCCTCAAGGAGCCATGTGCAATACTGACCTAGAGAAGAGATCTGATTCCTTCTGGGGATCAGTAGGGGTTCAATGGATGGGTGGCATTTGACTATTCCATAGGACTTCCACAGGAACACCTGCAGAAACTGATGACATTCTGGAACAGAAAAATAACATGTACAGTGGTCCTCAAATAGGAAATTTTGAAGTCTGTCCAGAAATCCACAAAGTCTATTGAGCAAAATGTTCAGCCCATGCTTCTAGTTTCAGACTATGGAATTTTGACTTCTTTTGCAAGGAAAGTGACTCACTGATGGCTTTTCAGTTGAGTGACAGGGTCAGAGTTTTTAAGATTACTCAAGCAGCGTGGCAGAGGAGGAGTGGGATTGAAGAAAGGCAGGATGGAGGTGAAAAGATGGATTTGGAGGCCTTTGCTGTACCTAGTCCCATTGAGAGGTAACCAGAGCCTGTGCTGCAGGAGTGATGGTCATGAGGATGGAGAGGCGGGAAGCCGTGTGAGTGACAGGCAATGGGAGGTCACCTGCCAGTCGGGGTGCTGGCTTCTGGGAGCAAGGGCCCCTTGGCATGGAGGGAGAGGATGAAAAGTTTCCTTCCCTTTTTTCCTGAAGGCAGGGCTGGCCCTATGCAATATTTTGAATGGGTTTCTATTTGCCTTTGAACCCTCATGTCATCCCCTCCTGCTCACTTGATGCCGGCTGTCTTTACAGGCCCCCGGAGCCCAGAGCTTTCATCCTGGTCTGAACTCTCCACTGAGGTCCCCACCGTCTCCCCTCCCAGACAGCCTCTCCTTCCTCCTTCTCCAAGCCACGTTCTCTCATTGCACCACCACCAACAACCCAAAAGACCAAAAAACAAACCAACCTTTTCCATTTTTCCAAGCAGTGTGTTTGTTAGGAAAGCAATCTGACTTAAAACCTATTTAAACAGTGGTAAGTGATTCTGGGACACTTAGCAAAGTATGTACATTTTAAACAGAGAATCCTTCTTAAAGAGTTTATCTGTATCATTTAAAAATGAAATTTAAGATAAAATTACACAGAATCCTGGATGACAAGGTTGCTTTTAGAGGAGATACCATGCTAGCTTCTTGCCTAAGATGTCTCTCTCTGTCACTTCCTTCCCTTTCACTTACTAAGTCATATTTTCTGAAAATTCTCAAGTCTTCATAACGACTCTGGGTACAGATGGCAGTGGGGAGATGGGTAGGGCTAGAGTATGAACTATTCCTAGACCGTAGCCCCCCTTATCCAGAGTTTTGCTTCCTGCAGTTTCATTTACCCACAGTAAACCTCTATCAGAAAATATAACTCCAGAAACAAACAATTCGTAAGTTTTAAATTGTGTGCCATTCTGACGAGAGTGGTGAAATCTCATGCTGTCTTGCTCTGTCCCGCCTGGGACGTGAATCACCCCTTCATCCAGTTTATCTACACCATCTACACTACCTGCCCGTTAGTCACTACGTAGCCAGCTCCATGATCAGATCAACTATTGTGGTATCACGGTTCTTGTGATCAAGCAGTTGTATTCTGCTTCATGATTGCCCCGTAGTGCAAGCAATGATGCTGGCAATGCAGATAAGCCAAAGAGAAGCCATACAGGGCTTCCTTTTGGTGGAAAGTTTCTTGAGGAAGGAAGGAAAAGTCATATGCTGAGGTTGCAAGATCTATGGTAAGAATGAATCTTCTATCCTTGAAACTGTGAAGAAGGAAAAAGAATTTTGTGCTAGTTTTGCCATCATCCCTCAAGCCGCAAAAGTTACAGCCACAGTGCATAAGCGCTTAGCTAAGATGGAAAAGGCATTAGATTTGTGGGTGGAAGACGTGAACAGAAACATGTTCCAATTAACGGGGCCGGGCATGGTGGCTCATCCCTGTAATCCCAGTACTTCGGGAGGCCAAGGCGGGCAGATTACCTGAGGTCAGGAGTTTGAGACCAATATGGCCAACATGGCGAAACCTCGTCTCTACTAAAACTACAAAAATTAGCTGGGTGTGGTGGTGCACTCCTGTTATCCCAGCTATTCAGGAGGCTGAGGCAGGAGAATCGCATGAATCCGGGAGGTGGAGGTTGCAGTGAGCCAAGATTGTGCTATTGAACTCCAGCCTAGGCGACAGGGCAAGACTTCATCTCAAAAAAAAAAAGAAAGAAAAAAAAGAAAAGGAAAGAAAGAAACGTGGGGTTTGGCACATATGCCCCATGGATGGGGGCTCCGTTGTAGATGAGGAGTTACAACTGAAGGACCACATAATAAGCATTTCAGGCTTTGCTAGCCAAACAGTCTTTGTTTCAACTGCTCACCTCTGCCTTTGTACTTTGAAAGCAGCCATAAACAATAAATAAATGGGCATGACTGTGTTCCAGTAAAACTTGACAAAAACAAGTGCTGGGCCAGATTTGGCCCCCAGGCATGTTGGCTGAGCCCTGCTGTAGGTGATCATTTGTGAGCCTGGAACAGCCTCTCTTTTTGCTCCTTCCTGTGGGCTCACCAGCATCTCAGCTTTCCCAACAGATTATCTTAAAGAAGCGCCTGCCCTTAGAAATATATGTCAGCAAAGCCCATGAACTCAACACTATTCCTAGAAAGAAAGGAAGGAAAAAGAAGGAAGGAAAGAAGCAGCAAGGAGCTCATATTGATCTGGGGAAGGCAGCGGAAGGCCAGAGAGTGCTGCCTGGAACTTAACAGTGAGCCCTGGCCGGGTGCGGTGGCTCACATCTGTAATCCCAGCACTTTGGGAGGCTGAGGAGGGCGGATCACCTGAGGTCAGGAGTTCAAGACCAGCCTGACCAACATGGAGAAACCCTGTCTCTACTAAAAATACAAAATTAGCCGAGCGTGGTGGCACATGCCTGTAATCCCAGCTACATGGGAGGCTGAGGCAGGAGAATCACTTGAACCCGGGAGGTGGAGGTTGTGGTGAGCCAAGATCGCGCCATTGCACTCCAGCCTGGACAACAAGAGTGAAACTCTGTCACAAAACAAACAAACAAACAAACAAACAAACAAAAAACAACTAGTGAGCCCAAATGTAACCATGATGCTTTTTTTTTTTTTTTTTTTTTTTTTTTTGGAAACAGTCTCACTCTTGTCACCCAGGCTGGAGGGCAGTGGCATGATCTCGGCTCACTACAACCTCCACCTCCCGTTTCAAGTGATTCTCTTGCCTCAGCCTCCCTAGTAGCTGGGATTACAGGTGCCCTCCACAATGCCCAGCTAATTTTTGTGTTTTTAGTAGACACAAGATTTCACTATGTTGCCCAGGCTGGTCTCAACCCCTGACCTCAAGTGATCCACCTGCCTCAGTCTCCCAGAGTGCTGGGACTGCAGGCGTGAGCCAACAAGCCCAGGCCACGATGTCTTACTTTTCACCTAAAACCTGCCTAAATGGCATGCCCAGTTAAAACAATCTTTTTCTGTTACAATAATCCATGTAAGAGTATGACACATTTTCTGAAAGATTTGTCTAAAAAAGAGCCTGGTATGTTTACTGTTGCTGCTGAATTGGATTTGACTCTGCTGCTGTATCAGGGCCCCTTCTGACAATTCACCTCTTGCTTCCTTTCCTGCTAATTGTCCTGTTGACTACTATTTTTTTTTTTTTTTGGTAACAGTGTCTGGCTCTGTCACCCAGCCTAGAGTGCAGTGGCACAATCTTGGCTCACTACAACCTCCATCTTCTGGGCTCAAGCTATTCTTCCACCTCAGCCTCCCAAGTAGCTGAGACTACAGGCATGTGCCACCACACCCAGCTAGATTTTGTATTTTTTGTAGAGACGGGGTCTTGTGATGTTGCCCAGGCTGGTCTTGAACTCCTGGGCTCAAAGCAATCCGCCCGCCTCCGCCTCCCAAAGTGCTGAGATGACAGGCGTGAGCAACTGCGCCCAGCCTTGTGTACTTCTTAGGGCTCTTTTACATGCCTTTCTTTTTTTAACAGCCTTCCCACCACTACCTTTTACATGTCTTGAGATTTTCCTGTATGCATGTGTATGCGTGCACGTGCACGCACGCACACACACACACACACCTGATTTTGTCATTCTGGTGTTTAAAGCATATCATAGTCCTACTTCCAGAAATACATCCAATGCAATGAACCTGGTAGCCAACACTGCTGAGAAATGACCCAAGGGTCTACCTTGAGTAGCCAGCCCCCAAATCCAAAGAATAGCTCCAGACCCCATAGTTTTCTCACCCACTAGGTCATGGGACCATGGCAAGAGTGAGAGAGTTCCACTTCCCAGAGGATGCCTGTTATTACCTTACCTCAATTTGAAATCTGTACTAAGGTTGAACACATGCATTCTCCTCCTTGACCTCCACATCCCCTGTTGTTTCCTTTTTTTGTTGTTTTTGTTTTTTGTTTTTGTTTTGAGACAGAGTCTCGCTCTGTCGCCCAGGCTGGAGTGCAGTGGCACGATCTCGGCTCACTGCAGTCTCTGCCTCCCGGGCTCAAGCAATTCTCCTGCCTCAGCCTCCTGAGTAACTGGGATTACAGGTGTGTGCCACCACGCCCGGCTGATTTTTTGTACTTTTAGTAGAGACGGGGTTTCACCATGTTGGCCAGGCTGGTCTTGAACTCCTGACCTCAGGTGCTCCACCCGCCTCGGCCTCCCAAAGTGCTGGAATTACAGGCGTGAGCCACCATGCCTGGCCCCCCTGTTATTTTCAAAGAGCTGAGAGTTACTAGAGGACACTAGCCTCTCTTGGGAACATGACACATACAAACCCACTGCAAGAGGGTCAGTTACAAGCTAATGACTGATTACATTCCTGTGCCCTTAAAGGTGATTACCTCAACTTTCTAAGGAACCAAGAGATCTCTTTAAATTTCAACGCATAAAAATAATCACTCTCAATGTGTGTTAAGCCCATTCAAATTGTTTGGGGGTGATGAATGGGAGGAAGCTGGAAATGGGCTTAGCTAGAACAAGGGCAGTATTAATTCATTTGCGGAGCCACAGCCTGAGCGTCGCAGTGGGCATCAGTTGCGGCTCCCCCCACTCCCAGCTGCATCTGACAACCTCTGATCTATGCACACATGCCCGGCGTGTACCAGAGCACGCCCAGGGTTGACGAGTTTGACTTTGTGGTGTTGCTGTTTTCCTCTTTAGTTCTGAGTTACTCTCTTGATTGGAAAGCAGCGGGTCGAGTGTAGCAGTAGATTCCTGTTTTAATTTCTACACGTAACTTGCAGGCTTCTTGCTACTTTGTGCTGATTTATTGTTGTCCTGATTCCCATTTTCTGAATGGTTATTCATTCCCAGCCCAGGCCTCTCTGATGACCATCTGGTTCTCCTTCGGTCACTCAAACATCTGCCCCAGAGACTTGGAAAATGAGCTTCCTTTGGCAACCTAAAAATAATCTTAGTGTGACTGAAGCCTGAAAGGGAAATCGCTGCGTTCCACTGTCCTATGGACACTGACCGGGGAATGAGCCAACAGAGCTTCCTGGGGATTTGGAGCTTAGATGTCTTCTGTCACATCTGCAGATTTTTTCTTTTTTTTTCAAGTCTTGGGAACCATAAAAACATGGTGAGAACTGGGTGCAACCAGTCCTGAAGTTTTCTTTGGGACTAGGCAAGCTTGCACAAAGGAAACAGCTGGAGATAAAAGCCACGCTTTGCATGGTTTGTTCGTAAGGCTGCAAGAGCTGGCTGAGAAAGACAGCGGATACTCAGGATTGCGACATGCTATTAGTCACAGTGTGTTCCAGGAGAGCTCACAAATGCTTTGAAACAGTTACAGGATATTTCTAAGGATATTTAGCTTGGACCTAAGAGGCCTGTCTCATGGGCAATGATGGTTTGCCCCCCACCCCTAGAAGACGAAATTTGCCAGAAACTAAAACTCAGTCCCTGTGGTATTTCTCATCCAAAATTATTTCTAGCCACATTGTCTAGTGCAACTTTTCAGAGGTTCTGCAATGATATAAAATGTCAACATAATAATGTTCAAATAAATTAAATGCCCTTGTAGGTCATAATCCAAAGATCTTAAAATCTAAAGTAATTAACATCTCAACTTAAATTTCCTTGACTTTTTGTGTTTAAAAAAAACCAAAGCCCTTAATGGCCTCCTTTGATCTCTCCTATTTCTTATTTTGCTCCTTCTATTTTTTTTTTTTGTTTTTTTTGTTTTTTTTTTTTTTTGAGACAGAGTCTCGCTCTTGTTGCCCAGGCTGGAGTGCAGTGGCACAACCTTGGCTCACTGCAACCTCTGCCTCCCGGATTCAAGGAATTCTCCTGCCTTAGCCTCCCGAGTAGCTGGGATTATAGACATGTGCCACCACACCCAGCTAATTTTTGTATTTTTAGTAGAGACGGGGTTTCACCAGGTTGGCCAGGCTGGTCTGGAACTCCTGACCTCAAGTGATCCGCCTGCCTTGGCCTCCCAAATTGCTGGGATTGCAGGCGTGAGTCACCGCGCCCAGCCATTATTTTGCTCATTCTTAGTTAAGGAGATCCTTGGTGCTGGATGCTGGAAAAAGATTGTGTTTTTCAGCATCTGCAGCCTGGGCTGTTTTCCACAGGAATAAATACAGTTTTTTCCAGCTCCAAGAAGACTGAATTCATTCAACAGCAAGTCTCTCATGTGCTTTACTTTTTAGTGATATGCAAATAAAAAAAAGTAAGTGGACCCTCAATAGTATCAAAACATTGTCCCCACGCCCTTAACATTTAGAAAGATGACCCAAACCCCAGTCCCTAGACAGTTGTCCTAGGCAAGATTTTGTTCTTGGGACCTTATTTAAATTTGCCAAAGGTAGTATCAAGAACTGTAAAAAAAAAAAAAAAAAAAAAAAAGCTTTTCCACTATAGTTTCATGGATGCTGGCAGGAGACTTGAGATTCCTGAGTCAGAGACAAATGACTTTTTATTACTCATGGCACAGCAACTAGATTTTAGCTTCCCTAATCCCAGTTTTTAGGATTTAACCCCAGTTTATTTAGGGCTTTATGTTCACATCATTTCCCCTTTCCCCTGCAAGTCCTGTGGCGGTGACACAGGCTCGGGGGTGTGCACATGCAGTGGATTTGCATCACAGCTGAGGATCCCTCACCATAGGCAACCTCAGTCTTTTATGATGGGCTAGAAGCAGACCTGACCAACCTTTGCACCAGAGGAAGGAACCTGTCCCTTCCTCCTGAGACACTATCTAACTTTCAAGGCTGTTCACTCTACAAACATCCCTGGAAAGACAGATAATTCCATGTAACAACAGCCTCTGTCTCTGTTTGCACGCCATGCAGAAATGCAAGAGACCCAGGGAGAATTACCTCCCAATAGGGCAGACCAGAGAGACTCAGTAATATCAAGAAAAGGCAGGTTGATGAGGAAAAGATTCTTGGCTTCTCTTAAAGATGCCAGTCAGTCTGACAGTTGTCTGGAGTTCACGACCATGAACTTAAAGCCAATTGGCAGGAATCTTCCTCCCAACTGGAGTTGGAGGGAAATCAACCCGGTCCTACTTCAAGTGCTTTCTGTGTGTATTCAGTAGCTTCTTGACTGGCATTTTCACTTTGACATAAAAGTAAAGGGCTTCATGGCGTGCTGCATTGGGTGTAGATGGTGCCTCTGATGGAGCTCTACCTTCTTAAAAGCAGGAATGTTCAGTCAGTCCTGGGCCACATTTTCCATTTCCACTGCCTCTTGGCATGGAAGTGCTTAGACTGAAGAAAGCTTCATCTCTCCTTCCACATTTGTTGAGCTGGAAAAACACCCTCCGCAGATTCATGATCCAGACCTTCTGTTGATGATTCTAGAGCTTGTGCCCCTAATGAGCTAGTAAGGGCTAATACCTCTGCCGCCTCTTCCTTGGGATTAGTTTTTTCTCAGGTTTTGAGTGTCCCAGGGATCACGTGGCATTGCTTTCTCCTACATATTTTGGGGCAGTAATTGGATATGTCTGTAGTGATTCATATCCTTCCCCTTTGGGAAAGACTTAATTGAGTTTCCTTTTTACCTGCTGCTTAAATTAGTTCCATTTCTTCTTTATAGGTTTGCATGCTGAATTTGGGTGTTTTTTAAAAAGTATTTCTACTGTTTCTTTGTTTCTGACTCAGACCTTTTTTCCTAACATACTAATCTAGATAATATACAGGGTCCATCACTGTGAAAGAGATGAAATCAATGACTCTTCTATTTAGTGAAATATCCATTGTTCAAATGCATGCTGACCACCACTGGCTCTGCGTTAGCTAATTCCACCTAGGAAATGTTCTCCTATCAGGCCAGCATCAAGTTCTAGCCTATTCTCCTCCTGCCAGGCCCCACCCCCTTGGTATTTCTCATATTTACTCCCTTTAGAGTCCCTCATTTCATGCATTTCTCGGCCCACTTTCATCAGAGCAATGACCGATAACTGTGTTCTGTTAGAATTTACTGAGGATTTTTTTCATTCTTCTCGGTCTTCCCTGCAGTTTTGCCTTCAAGTCTGTCCGCATATGCTGATCTCTCTTGGGAGAGCTGTCCCAGATTATCCTTCCAAAGCTCTTCCTCTGCAGTCTTAAAATCATTTGTCTCATGTTTTCTGGGCCTGGAATTCCACTCTCTTCCCTGTGGTTTTGACTCTCAGGTAGCTTTCTTCAGGTCCCAGTCACCCCCACTAATTTAGGAATAACGTAGCATCTCCCTACTTTTGTGACAGACCCTTTAAGATAGGAACCGTCAAGAGTCTTTTCCATACATCACTGTGCTCTGGGACTTCACAATCCCAGTTACTCATCAGACTCTGGAGTCTGTTGTCTAAGATCTCTTTTAAGGAAGTATCCCTTTTTCTCTAGTTAGTCATCATGTATTTCTTTATTTTCTCTTTTCCACTACGCCTATTCTGATCAGGGACCAGAGCATGTTTTCAAATCCTCCTTGTTCTTGTGCGCAAACCTGATTTCTAAAAACTGAGCATTTCAGGCACATGCCTTTAAAAATGGCTTCTTAGCTGTGAGTTTTGCAGTAATTTTATTAAAGGGCTTTTTTCCCCATCTTCAAAGAAGATGGCATGTCTTTGGATCTCCATTGGTTTCTCTTTATTCTTTAATGAAATCTGCCACTTTCCATAGGTATGAAGTTGAAATGTATATCTCTGCAGTCTAGAGCTACAGTCTATGTAATCATCAAATCTGGAGGCACCCTGAGACCTGGGGGGAGAAAGCTTGGGCCTTTTTATTTCTTTAATTTCGACTAAACCTTACCTATATTCTTATGATACACATTAGGTACTCCACAGTGAATTTCTTTTTAACCCTCATGATAACCCTGTAAGACAATTGCAAGGTATTTTTAACTCTTTAAACATAAATACGATTGTTCCTATTTCACATAATGAAAAAACTGCCTTGGATATCAATGATCAATATGTTACAGGCACAATCCGTGCTGCTGCCTATGGCACATGTAAATTGCATTATACTCTGCATACACCTCCTGTGCTTATAGTTTATACATTGAGCAGAACAAGTTTCCATAAATCACTGATTAAAATATGTATACTCTGAATAGGGAGCAACATGACAGTCACCCTTATTTGTTGGCTGGTGGGCTACTCAGGTACAGCTGAGAAGCTTTCATTTCTTCTCTTCTTCATTTCTGAAGTAAACGTGGGGGAGAGCAGGAAGAACTGGGAAGTCGCAGCTTAGTTCCGTGTCCAGTTCCACTGGAGGCTGGTTCTGTTGGCCCAGGGCAGTGGTGAATTCCAGAGGCCCAGGCCCTGTTCCTCTTCCATGAGCCTGGTCTCTGTGTTCTTTGTTAGCTTTCCTGCTGATTCTGATGCACCTCAAAGTTTCCCTAGGCCATTCTCAGCCCCTGAGAATCTGCCTCGGAATCAGACCTGTGTAAATCAGTGGCCACGTCGGTCACTTTCACTCTCTCGGTCGTTCCTTGGGCCACTGCTTCCGCCTTCATGCCCACTTCCAGAGGTCCTCTTCTGGCAACTTCTGAGCTTTGGGGGAGTTCTCTGTGTGAACGTTCAGCCTTCTCCAGTCCACACTTAGGATTCAGCTTTCTCAAGTCAGATCCATTGCCACGTGGTTGTCAGCTTGCTGGTTTCCAGAATTTGTTGCTTTTGTCTTCTGTTTTCTTTATCCTTGTAAATTATGTCTGTCTTTTCCTAAAAAAAATTTTCCCTGTCATGTTAGTGTGGTTTCAAAGGGAAATCAGGAGAAATCTGCCACCTTTAGTCAGAAACCTATGTTATTTAATTCCCAAATGCAGGCCCATTTTTCAGATGAGGACACTGACGTTCAAAGAGGTTGACTGACGTGCCTAAACTGCAGTAAAATGGTATAATCAGGATTTGTGCCCAGGTAGCTGGCCGGATTCTCAACCACTCTGCCCCACTACCTCTCTACAAAATCAGATGCTAAAGATGCTTCTTCATTGAGTGCTGTGTATGTTACAGGTGTGGAAAATGATGCAAACAGGAAGGCTCTACCATGGAAATTGGCAAATTCTATGAGACTCCATTAATATAATGGGATTGTTTTGTACTACACTTGATGTTAGCCAAGAGGCCGAGAAGCAATAATGGCATTGTTTTGTAACACATGAATTAGAAACTGCTCATGAATAATAGATTTTATCAACTGTTTCGCTGAACTGAAGGCCTTCCAGGAGAACATTTTGCAAATTTCGTTTCAGAACAGCTAAAATGACATCATTTCCAGAACAGTTTGCTCTGTGCATTGGGAACAAAACCACACACAGAAAAGGGACTCTCTTAGAGTGTGGACATTTTCAGACAATAGTCAAAGTGTAATCAAAATTGCATTTTATATTGCTACTTCCTGACATAATCTGGAATGAATGTGTCTAAGCAACCCACTTCCTGTTCAGTGAGTTACAAGTCGTCTAATATCACAACAAACTCAACGAAAAAACAGTTTTTTGTTATAAGAGGAAACAGTTCCATTTAAATTCATTCCCCACTGCTAACCCTTTCAGTGGGTTCTGAAATAAGATGTCACTCCTTCCTTGCTCAACAGCAAGAGCTCTCTGCTTGCAACTCTTTGAGATATCTCTAGGTCCATTCTTACTGGCTCTAGCTACAGGCATTAGGTAGCCACATACACCATCTCTCTTTTTTTTTTTTTTGAGACAGAGCCTCGCTCTTTTGCCCAGGCTGGAATGCAGTGGCGCGATCTCGGCTCACTGCAACCTCTGCCTCCTGGTTTCAAGCAATCCTCCTTCCTCAGCCTCCCAAGTAGCTTGGACTACAGGCACTCACCACCACACCCGGCTAATTTTTGTATTTTAGTAGAGATGGGGTTTCGCCATGTTGGCCAGGCTGGTCTTGAACTCCTGGCCTCAAGAAATCTGCCCACCTCGGCCTTCCAGAGTGCTGGGATTACAGGTGTGAACCACCACGTCTGGCTCACATATACCATCTTTAGCATAAGATTTCTTTGACATAAAAAACCTACTGGCATTTTGTAGATCATAGAAACTGAATCTGTCTATCATGACCAGAAACCTTTCAGGCAGGCTCCTTTCCTTCTCAGGTGCTCAGAAGTGCTTGTATCATCTCCAAAATGTCTCTGATCCTATGAAAACCTGGGGCTGTGTTGGGAAAATAAAGGAGAAGACAGATGCAGAAAACTTCCTAAGTCCAGAAACAATAGGCTGGCATGGTTTTCCTTGCTCGGCATGAGCATCTCAGACAGACTTTCCAACGTTTGGGACCTTGGCCACTGTGTAATAAGCTACCCATTTAGTAGGCACCAAAGGCGGTAATGTCTTACAAGCCAGGGAATCCCTTACTCTGAAGGTCGATAGCCTGGGTCAGGTGGTATTATCAGAAGGAACCAGGAATTTTTTTTTTTTTTTTTTTTTTGACACAGAGTCTCGCTCTGTCACCCAGGCTGGAGTGCAGTGGCGCAATCTCAGCTCGCTGGAACCTCTGCCTCCCAGGCTCGAGCTATTCTTGTGCCTTAGCCTTCAGAGTAGCTGGGATTATACAGGCACGTGCCACTATGCACAGCTAATTTTTGTATTCTTTGTAGAAGTGGGGTTTCACCATGTTGGCCGGGCTGGTCTTGAACTCCTGGCCTCAAGTGATCCACCCGTCTCCGCTTCCCAAAGTGATTACAGACGTGAGCCATCACGCCCAGCTGGAACCAGGAATTTAACTCACTCTCTGGTAATTGCTGTTCACAGTCTGGAGACAGTATGGAAAGAACCTGGAGACAGGTTCTTTGCATAAAGTTTTTAAGTCAAGCAAAGGGGAGGCTCTAAGGCTTTTCTCTAGATTCTTCCATTTGTATGTGGCCCAGAGCTCAGGATGTCTCAGAGATGGCTCTTTCTTCTCTGTGTACATATTGATGTCAGGATTTGGGGTTGGGAAAGACATCCCTCCAGGGAATCTCTAAAATCACCCTCAAGATTCTGTTCCTGCTTTTTCTTCACAATTTAAACCTGAACACCTGCCAGTTCCTGATAAGGTAATATGAATGCAACAGATTTATTACCTTTGTTTTGTATGTCAGAATTAATTTGTTTTCTCAATGCCCCTTTCTCAATTTTGCCTACGTTTCCTCATTCTCAGACCTTTTTATTCCTGTTTCTAACCCAGAAAGATACTTGAACTTGAGGAGGAAGAGGGAATCTTCCAAACTTTACATATTGTATACAGAATTTGTATATAAACAATTATTTCTTAAAAGAGATTACCTACGTAATTACTCTAACTGCTTACTTTATACGTTTTTATGTATTGAATTTTTTTTTTTCTTTTTTGAGATGGAGTCTAGCTCTGTCACCTAGGATGGAGTGCAGTGGCGTGATCTCGGCTCACTGCAACCTGCGCCTCCCAGGTTCAAGTGATTCTCCAGCCTTAGCCTCCCAAGTAGCTGGGATTACAGGTGTGTGCTACCACACCCAGCTAGTTTTTGTATTTTTAGTAAAGACAGGGTTTCACCATGTTGGCTAGGCTGGTCTTGAACTCCTGACCTCAGGTGAATTTTTTTTTAAGAGAAAGAAAGGGTCTTGCGATGTTGCCCAGGCTGCTGATGTTGACCTCCTGGGCTCAAGTGATCCTCCTGTCTCACCCTCCTGAATAGCTGGGACTACAGGCACCCGCCACTGTACCCAGCTATATACTGAATTTAATATACAACATATAATTTTCATTACCTGTTAATTTGAGGGTGAGAAGTGACACTATAATTACATCACCTTTTGATAACTGGTAAGAGAAAATGCAAATCAAGAAGCTTTTGAATACATACAAAAAGCACTTTAAGTAGGACCAGGTTGATTTCTCCCAACCCCAATTGGGAGGAAGATTCCTGCCAGTTGAGTTTAACTTCATAGTCATGAACTCCAGACAACTGTCAGGCTGAATGGCATCTTTAAGAGAAGCCAGGAATCTTTTCATCATCAACCTTTGTTTTGTTTTGTTTTGTTTGTTTGTTTGTTTTGAGACAGAGTCTCGCTCTGTCGCCCAGGCTGGAGTGCAGTAGCGTGATCTCGGCTCACTGCAACGTCTGCCTCACGAGTTCAATCAGTTCTCCTGCCTCAGCCTCTCGAGTAGCTGGGACTACAGGCACCCGCCACCATGCCCGGCTAATTTCACACCCGGCTAATTTTTTGTATTTTTAGTAGAGACGGGGTTTCACTGTTTTAGCCATTAGCCAGGATGGTCTCGATCTCCTGACCTCGTGATCCGCCCACCTCTGCCTCCGGGCATGAGCCACTGCACCCGGCCTCATCAACCTTTCTTTACTTGATACCTTATATGCCTTTTTAAGTATGTATATCTTACTTAGTGAGAATATTACCTATTTTAATATAAGACTGTTTTCCTCTAGAACCTCAAAGGAAAATAAAATTTCAAATGGGAAGATTTATTGTTTGATGTATCTCAAAAGTCTTGTACATGTAAATTTACCCCACAATTTTTTATAAACACTCTGAAGTGCATGTGTCTCATTTTCTTCTCTAGTAAATGGGGGTTTTGTTTTGTTTTTAGCATGTTGGGTTTCTCTAGGATGGAGGACCCAGTGAGCCTTGGGATCAGACTTTGTGTATCACCTCCTGGGGTCACACAACTTCCAGATGTGTGGGCTGACCTCATGTCGACGCCTCCAGGGTGCCTGGGGCTGAGCTTGATTCCAGGAGCCGTCTGATCAATACTCACTCCGGAGCATAGCACACAGAACATTTGGTTGACTAAAATGTATAGCTGCCATAAAATCAAATTTTTACTGTATTTTAGAAACCTTAGAACTGGGTTTGAATTTCTGGTTTAATATTTGTTGCAACTTGCATTGTGGGAAAAAGCACTGGCCTACAGGTCAAGAGACCTGGGCTTGCGTTGTAGCTTTGTCGTTGACCACTGGGAGACCACCTGGGTAACTGACCAACAAGTGTCCTCAGGTGTAGGATGGAAGACGAAGTGGCCCTGGGGGCCCTGGTTCCATGCTGCGCAGTGAGACGTGTGCTGAGGAGGACTGGGGGCCCCTGGTTCCATGCTGGGCGGTGAGACGCGTGCTGAGGAGGAATTGGCCAATGCAAGGCGTTGCGAATGCAGCTTATCTGAAGGGCTGTGCTTTGATCCCGTGGTCCTTCTTCTCACATAACACCTGTATTGCTGCTCCTTGAGCCTTGAGATAACATTGTGGAGGGGGACAGCATAAGTCATCGCAGGGCTGGGCTCTCCCATCAGCTCTGTGCTTTCTGCATTTCAGATGCCTGGGACAGATGAACCCCAAGATGTGTGCGGTGCTGAGGAATCCAAGGGGAACTTGGAAAGTCCCAAACAGGGCAGCAATAAAATCAAGCTCAAGAGTCGCCTTTCAGGTAGGTGGGGGCTCTACCTGATGCAGCCTGTCTAGGATGAGTTTTCAGCCTCAGGAGCAGGGAGATGAAGCCATTGCCGGGATGAGCTCCCGTCTTCCTTAAAACCTCAAAATCATTTTTACCTTGGATGGTGCATATCCCAGGCATAACAACTGCATTTAGCCTCCTGCCTGTGTGAATTTCATTTTTTTTGAGTCATAACAAAGTGGATGTCAACATTCCTGTGTGTCTCTGTGTCCTGAAACATGACTGTCTTATGTTTGGTTCGTTTACTTCGATCAGATTTCACATGATCCTTTCAATGTGGAGTTAATATCAAATCTGCATTTCAATAAGCAGGAGAAAGATGGGATGGAGTTGCAGCTTTTGGAGCAAATAGACTCTATCTCCTGGGCATTTCCTTACGGCAGCTGGCCTGGGCCCAGAGAGAGAAAGTCAGCATTGAAAGCAATGGCTCTGTGCAGGAGGCACCTTAGAACTTTTGTGTATCATTATGAAAGGCATTTTTTTTTTTTCTGAGATGGAGTCTTGCTCTGTCACCCAGGCTAAAGTGCAGTGGCATGATCTCGGCTCACTACAACCTCCGCCTCCCGGGTTCAAGCAATTCTCCTGCCTCAAACTCCCGAGTAGCTGGGATTACAAGCGCCCGCCACCGTGCCTGGCTAATTTTTTTGCATTTTTAGTGGAGACAAGGTTTCACCATGTTGGCCAGGCTGGTCTTGAACTCCTGACCTTGTGATCCGCCCGCCTCAGCTTCCCAAAGTGCTGGGATTATAGGCGTGAGCCACCGTGCCTGGCAAAAGGCATTTTTTAGGCACATGATGGGTCTTTTCCTCCATTAAAAAAAAAAAAAAAAAAAGTAAAAATAGTATTTTATGGCTGTGTTGGTATAAAGATACAGCTGGAGGCCGGGCGCGGTGGCTCACACCTGTAATCCCAACACTTGGGAGGCTGAGGCAGGCAGATCACGAGGTCAGGAGATCAAGGCTATCCTGGCCAACATGGTGAAACCCCGTCTCTACTAAAATACACACACACACAAAAATTAGCTGGGTGTGGTGGCGTACACCTGTATTCCCAGCTACTTGGGAGACTGAGGCAGGGGAATCACTTGAACCTAGGAGGCTGAGGTTGCAGTGAGGCCAGATCACACCACTGTACTCCAGCCTGGCAACAGAGCAAGACTCCTCTCAAAATAACAAAAAACAAAAAAACAAAAGATACAGCTGGATTCATTAGTGTCTATTCATTACTATTACGTTTATTTTTTTTTCTGCTTATTTAAAAAGATATTTAAAAGGAAACACTTTTATGGGTCCCTGAAGGTGGCATGGGCCCTCAGCACTGTGCCTGCTGGCTTAGTGGGAAAGTCAGCCGTGGCTCCCCCTACAACAGTCATCTGGTATGGCAGGAAAAGCAAGAGTTTTGAAGCCTGGCAGAACTAGGTTTAGCCCTCAGCTCCTGAGTTACCTTGTGACTGTAGGCTAATGATTTAATCTCCCTGAACTTCCACTCCCTCACCTGAAAAAAGAGGAGAACACCCTGACTTTGAAAGGCTGAGCAGATTTTTAAGAAATGCACATTAAAGCATTTAGCACAATGTGTAGTACGTTAACGTTCAAAAAACATTCACGTCCCCTTCCGGCCACCCAGATTGGTGGAGAGGGCATGCCCGCACTGCTCCAAGTTTATTCTCAGAAAGATGGCAGGTTTAAGACGGTGAAATACCTGTTTTTAAGAAAACATCCTCTCTCTCCCCCTCTCCCCCTCTCCCTCTCTCCTTTCTACGGTCTCCCTCTCTTGCCGAGCCTGGACTGTACTGCCATGATCTCGGCTCGCTGCAACCTCCCTGCCTCAGGCTCCCGTGATTCTTCTGCCTCGGCCTGCCGAGTGCCTGGGATTCCAGGCACTGCGCCCCCACTCCTGATTGGTTTTTGTATTTTTGGTGGAGACGGGGTTTCGCCGCGTTGACCGGGCTGGTCTCCAGCTCCTGGCCTCAGGTGATCTGCCCGCCTCGGCCTCCCCAGGTGCTGGGATTGCAGACGGAGTCTCGCTCACTCAATGCTCAATGTTGCCCAGGCTGGAATGCAGTGGCGTAATCTCAGCTCGCTACAACCTCCACCTCCCAGCCGCCTGCCTTGGCCTCCCAAAGTGCTAAGATTACAGCCTCTGCCCGCCCGCCACCCCGTCTTAAGAAGTGAGCAGCGTCTCTGCCTGGCCACCCATCGTCTGGGATGTGAGGAGCCCCTCTGCCCGGCCACCCCGTCTGGGAAGTGAGGAGCACCTCTGCCCGGCCGCCAACCTGTCTAGGAAGTGAGCCTCTGCCTGGCCGCCCATCGTCTGGGATGTGAGGAGCGCCTCTGCCCGGCCGCCCCGTCTGGGAAGTGAGGAGTGCCTCTGCCCGGCCGCCACCCCGTCTAGGAAGTGAGGAGCGTCTCTGCCGGACTGCCCATCGTCTGGGATGTGAGGAGCGCCTCTGCCTGGCCGCCCCATCTGGGAAGTGAGGAGCGCCTCTGCCCGGCTGCCCCATCTGGGAGGAAGTGAGGAGCGCCTCTGCCCGGCGGCCCCATCTGGGAGGAAGTGAGGAGCGCCTCTGCCCAGCTGCCCGAATGGGAAGTGAGGAGCGCCACTGCCTGGCCGCCCCATCTGGGAAATGAGGAGCGCCTCTGCCTGGCCGCCCAGTCTAGGAGGAAGTGAGGAGTGCCTCTGCCCGGCCGCCCCATCTGGGAGATGAGGAGCGCTTCTGCCCTGCCACCCCATCTGGGAAATGAGGAGCACCTCTGCCTGGCCGCCCAGTCTAGGAGGAAGTGAGGAGTGCCTCTGCCCGGCTGCCCCATCTGGGAGATGAGGAGCGCTTCTGCCCTGCCGCCCCATCTGGGAAGTGAGGAGAGCCTCTGCCCGGCTGCCCCGTCTGGGATGTGAGGAGCGCCTCTGCACGGCCACCACCCCGTCTGGGAAGTGGGGGGCGCCTCTGCCCAGCTGCCCTGTCTAGGAAGTGAGGAGCCCCTCTGCCTGGCCGCCCCGTCTAGGAAGTGAGGAGTGCGTCTGCCCGGCCGCCACCCTGTCTAGGAAGTGAGGAGCGTCTCTGCCGGACTGCCCATCGTCTGCGATGTGAGGAGCGCCTCTGCCCTGCCGCCCCATCTGGGAAATGGGGAGCGCCTCTGCCCGGCTGCCCCGTCTGGGAGATGAGGAGCGCCTCTGCCCGGCTGCCCCGTCTGGGAGATGAGGAGCGCCTCTGCCCTGCCACCCCATCTGGGAAATGGGGAGCGCCTCTGCCCGGCCGCCCCGTCTGGGAGGAAGTGAGGAGCACCTCCGCCTGGCTGCCACCCCATCTGGGAAGTGGGGAGAGCCTCTGCCTGGCTGCCCTGTCTAGGAAGTGAGAAGCGCCTCTGCCCAGCCGCCCCGTCTGGGAGGAAGTGAGGAGTGCCTCTGCCCGGCCGCCACCCCGTCTGGGAAGTGGGGAGCACCTCTGCCCAGCCGCCCTGTCTAGGAAGCGAGGAGCGCCTCTGCCCGGCCGCCCCGTCTGGGAAGTGAAGAGCGCCTCTGCCTGGCCGCCCTGTCTGGGATGTGAGGAGCACCTCTGCCCGGCTGCCACCCCATCTGGGAAATGGGGAGCGCCTCTGCCTGGCCACCCCGTCTGGGAGGTGAGGGGCGTCTCTGCCCGGCCGCCCCGTCTGGGAGGTGAGGGGCGCCTCTGCCCAGCAGCCGCCCCGTCTGGGAAGTGGGGAGCGCCTCTGTCCGGCCGCCCCATCTAGGAAGCGGGGAGCGCCTCTGCCCGGCCGCCCCGTCTGGGAAGTGGGGAGCGCCTCTGCCCGGCCGCCCCGTCTGGGAAGTGGGGAGCGCCTCTGCCCGGCCGCCCCGTCTGGGAGGTGGGGAGCGCCTCTGCCCGGCCGCCCATCGTCTGGGAAGCGAGGAGCGCCTCTGCCTGGCCGCCCCGTCTGGGAAGTGAGGAGCATCTCTGCCCGGCTGCCCCATCTGGGAGGTGTACCCAACAGCTCCGAAGAGACAGCGACCATCGAGAACGGGCCATGATGACGATGGCAGTTTTGTCATCAAGAAAAGGGGGAAACGTGGGGAAAAGAGAGATCAGATTTTTACTGTGTCTGTGTAGAAAGAAGTAGACATAGGAGACTCCATTTTGTTCTGTACTAAGAAAAATTCTTCTGCCTTGGGATGCTGTTAATCTTTAACCTTACCCCCAACCCCGTGCTCTCTGAAACATGTGCTGTGTCAACTCAGGGTTAAATGGATTAAGGGCGGTGCAAGATGTGCTTTGTTGTTAAACAAATGCTTGAAGGCAGCATGCTCGTTAAGAGTCATCACCACTCCCTAATCTCAAGTACCCAGGGACACAAACACTGCGGAAGGCCACAGGGACCTCTGCCTAGGAAAACCAGAGACCTTTGTTCACGTGTTTATCTGCTGACCTTCTCTCCACTATTATCCTGTGACCCTGCCACATCCCCCTCTCCGAGAAACACCCAAGAATAATCAATAAATACTAAAACAACAACAACAACAACAACAACAACAAAACTATAGGTAAATAAATTTGAAAAAGAAAGCAAAAAAAAAAAAAAAAAACATCAATTGCCGGGCTCGGTGGCTCACGCCTGTAATCCCAGCACTTTGGGAGGCCGAGGTGGGCGGCTCACGAGGTCAGGAGATCGAGACCATCCTGGCTAACACGGTGAAACCCTCAGGAGATCGAGACCATCCTGGCTAACACGGTGAAACCCTGTCTCTACTAAAAATACAAAAACAAAAAAATTAGCTGGGCATGGTGGCAGGCACCTATAATCCCAGCTACTCGGGAGGCTGAGGCAGGAGAATGGCATGAATCCAGGAGGCGGAGCTTGCAGTGAGCCGAGATTGCACCACTGCACTCCAGCCTGGGCGACAGAGTGAGACTCTGTCTAAAAAAAAAAAAAACATCTGGCCGGGCATGGTGGCTCACGCCTGTAATCCCAGCACTTTGGGAGGCCGAGGCGGGTGGATCACCTGAGGTCAGGAGTTCGAGACGAGCCTGGTCAACATGGCAAAACCCCATCTCTACTAAAAATACAAAAAAAAAAAAAAAATTAGTTGGGTGTGGTGGCATGCGCCTATAATCCCAGCTACTCGGGAACCTGAGGCAGGAGAATCACTTGAACCCAGGAGGCAGAGGTTGCAGTGAACCAAGATTGCGCCACTGCTTTCCAGCTGGGCAACAGAGCCAGACTCCATCTTAAAAAGAAAAAGAAAAAAAAGAATGTGATTGACAGAATGAGTTATTTTGTGCTCATGACTCAGAATAATTAGGCGGTGTTACGCTTGAACGAGTTACAACATGGATTGGGGACCGAAAGGAGTGGTGATGACCAGAGGCTGAAAAGGAGAAGTCTGAAGGGAGCCGGTGACCAGCCCCTTCCAGCCCTGAGGAAGAACAAAGAGAAAGTCATTTAAGGCCTTTGTGTTTGGGGCGAGGGAGTCACAAGGGCACAGAGGAGGCCTTCCTGTTGTCCATCTTGGCAGAGTTGTTCAGGACCTTATAAAGGGCTCCCAGGGAGGTGCCCAGAACTCTGAGGAAATACAGGGGCCTCTGAAACCAGCGAGGTCACATTCCTCATTTTATGGATGAGACCAGAGAAGTTCAGAGAATCCCAAAGGTCACTCAGTCAATGCCGGGAAAAAGATCTGCCTCCCAGACAGAATTCTCCTTCCCTGCCCTTTGGCTTCTGGGGAATCTTGAAAAGAATTCTATTCCAGGGAATCTTGAAAAGAATTCTGTTCTCCGATCTGGGGCTTTATCAATACAGATATGGGGAGGGGGCGCTGGAGGGCCTCCCAGATGTGTGATACTCTGACTCTGCTCCTACTACTTAATTCAGAACAAGTGGCATATTTGGCTGAGTAGCTATTCCAGGGCTGGCCACTGTTTGCCACAAATGGATGCCACCCTCTCCTCCTGTGTCCTTCCCAGACATTCAAGGCCACAACAAGGAAACGTAGCATGGAGGAGGAAGCATATGCAGGAATCCAGCAGAACAGGGTCGGTTCCCACATCCACCACCTCTGGTTACATGACCTGGGTCAGGTGACTTTCTTGGATCTCAGTTTCTTTATCCGTAAAATGAGGGTTATGTTCTGTATTTATTTTGCCAATAAACATGAGTGCCTTCTAGGTGCTGTGCCTTGTTGAAAGGTTGCTTTGGAAGAATGCATATGGCACTACCACTCCATGGTGTGGCAGCAAAAAGCCCTCGCCATGAGGCGGCTGCCACTGTTATTACCACTGTCATTTTCTTTTTCTTTTTCTTTTTGAGATGGAATTTTGTTCTTGTCTCCCAGGCTGGAGCACGGTGGTGTGATCTCAGCTCACCACAACCTCCGCCTCCCAGGTACAAGTGATTCTCGCGCCTCAGCCTCTTGAGTAGCTGAGACTACACGCGCAGGCTACCACGCCTGGCTAATTTTGTATTTTTAGTAGAGACGGGGTTTCACTGCGTTGGCCAGGCTGGTCTCAAACTCCTGACCTAAAGTGATCCACCTGCCTTGGCCTCCCAAAGTGCTGGGATATCAGATGTGAGCCACCGTGCACGACCTAACCACTCTCATCATTAATATTATGTTCATTGTCATTTTTATTTTCATTCTTATTGTTCTCCTTCCATCTCAAGAGAGGAAGAATGGGTTTGAATGGGTTCAGACAGGAAGGCCTTCTAGGCTGGGCTTGGTGGCTCATGCCTATAATCCCAGCACTTTGGGAGGCTGAGGTGGGCGGATCACCTGAGGTCAGGAGTTCGAGACCAGCCTGGCCAACACGGTGAAACCTCATCTCTACTAAAAATACAAAAATCAGCTGGGCATGGCGGCAGGTACCTGTAATTGCAGCTACTCGGGAGGCTGAGACAGGAGAATCGCTTGAACCCAGGAAGCGGAGGTTTCAGTGAGCTGATATTGTGCCACTGCACTGCAGCCCGGGCAACACCAGCAGAACTCCGTCTTAAAAAAAACCAGAAGGCCTTCTAAAGAGCTTATAGTCCCAGTGGGAGGTAGTACACACATACACACAGTGACGGGCACCATGAGGCACATACGAGAGGTACAGGGAGTGGAAGTCTGTCTGGATCTCAAGGATGCAAGATAAAGAGAGGCAGTATGCTGGGGGAATTTGGTAGACTGGAAGCAGGGGACAGCGGTCTAGACTTAGGACAAAATGAATGAGAGATGCTTAGGGATAATGGGAAAAAAATTAATTCAATACGTTTTTGGCAGCTGCTTTTCCTCCCCAGCCACTTGAAAAAGCCAAGAGACTCTGACAGTCGCAATGCTTCAGTCCAACAGAGTTTGTCAGAGTCATTAGGGAAACGGACATAGCAGAATTTTTGGGTGGGAGATGATGGTGCAGGGAAAGTTGGGTAAAACTTCACGTGATATTTACATGCTCCGCAGTTTTGGAAAGAAGAGGACAGATCTCTCCTTTGACAAGCATCAGGATAGATCAGCGAATAGAGTGGATAGTGGAAGATAAGTCTGGAAAAGTAATTTAGAGACACATTAAAGAGGCTTAAGGAATTGGGCTTTGATTCAGTGCTGTGAAATATGTTCATTCTAAAGATATTTACATGCAGATTTTTAATGTGATCAGCTCTTAATTTGTCCTGTAAACTTGGATATTTAGTTCATGTTTTCTTAAAATGAATCACTCTGGTATCCACATATCAGCATAGATGCTACTGTATGTGGTTTCTCTTCTGTTGATGACAAGTGCCTCCCTGTCAGCTCAAAAGGAATTTTCTACTAATAAATCTTTTTCAGATGAGTAAGCATGCCAAGAGAGATTAATCTGGTCCTGAGTTAGTATTAAGTCATGAATTATTAAAGAGCTCCTGTAGAGGTTCCAACTCTTTCCACTAAGGTTTTGCCCAGACTGGCTCCAAAATGGCTAAAGCAACATCATCTCTCATTTCATGGAACATTTTTCTGATATTCTAACCTGGGTTTTCCTTACTTCATACCCCTTTTTTGTCAGCAGAGTTTCCTTTTAATTTTGGTACTTTCAGTTTATCTATGTTAATATCTTAGATTTGTGATCTTTCTTTTTTTTTTTTTCCCAAGACGGAATCTTGCTCTGTTGCCCAGGCTGGAGTGCGGTGGCGTGATCTCAACTCACTGCAACCTCCCCTTCTGGATTCAAGCGATTCTCATGCCTCAGCCTCCCGTGTAGCTGGGACTACAGGCACATATACCACCACGCCCAGCTGTTTTTTTTTTTTGTATTTTTAGTAGAGATAGGGTTTCACCATGTTGGCCAGGATGGTCTCGATCTCATGACCTTGTGATCCACCTGCCTCAGCCTCCCAAAGTGCTAGGATTATAGGTGTGAGTCACCGCGCCCAGCCTATGATCTTTTTAAGAACAAAATTTGTCTTGATTGCAAATCAATTTCATATGTTTAAAAACCTGTATCACAAAATAAATATTTAACTTTAAAAAAAAAACAAACCTTTAATGGCATTCATTGCCATATGACTGTATCAGCTTTCTTCCCACTTTCTATCACTTTTAATAACTCATCAATACTTTTTAAAACAATAATCTTGTTTTATTCAGTGCAAAACTTTCAGAGTAATATTTAGGTAAATTGAAATTTTAGGTAATCAGATGAAACATTACCTAGTCTAGGTGATGAACTTGATATATGAGGAATCTGTATATACACACAAACACATATGTATATACATGTACACACGCAGATAGGTATTGTATATCATATAAACATTGTAATATGATTATAGCTATATTCATATGTAGTTGATACATCACTTAAGATTAATGTCCCTTAAATTATTTTAAAATAACATAATATAGACTAGGTATTGATAAAGTCTTTAAAATTGTTACTATAGAAGTTTTGTTTTTGTTTTTGTTTTTTTGAGACAGTCTCTCACAGTGTAACCCAAGCTGAAGTGCAGTGTTGCGATCTCAGGTCACTGCAACCTCAGCCTCCTGGGTTCAAGCAATTCTCTGGCCTCAGCCTCCTGAGTAGCTGGGACTACAGGTGCACCCCACCACACCTAGCTAATTTTTTGTATTTTAATAGAGATAGGGTTTCACCATGTTGCCCAGTGCAGTCTCGAATTCCTGAGCTCAGGCGATCGGCCCACCTCGGCCTCTCAAAGTGCTGGGATTACAGGCATGAGCCACCGCACCCAGCCTAAATTGTTACTATAGAAGTATCTTTAAAAGAACACAAAATTTTAAACCATGAAGTTTTTAAAAAGACGTACTGTACTACATTAAAATTTTGAACTGTTTTTTCAAAATATACATTAAGACAGTGAACAGGCAAAGCGTAGACACGGAGAAGATATTTACAATCCATAGATCCCATAAAAGACCCTTATTCAAATTACATTAAAAATTTGAAAAAATGGGCCAGGCGCAATGGCTCATGCCTGTAATCCCAGCATTTTGGGAGGCCAAGGCAGGTAGACCACCTGAAGTTAGGAGTTCAAGACCAGCCTGGCCAACATGGTGAAACCCCATCTCTACTAAAAATAAAAAAATTAGCTGGGCGTGGTGGCGTGCACCTGTAATCCCAGCTACTCGGGAAACTGAGGCAGGAGAATCACTTGAACCTGGGAGGTGGAGGTTGCAGTGAGCAAATTGCGCCACTGCACTCCAGCCTGGGCAACAGAGAGACTCCATCTCAAAAAAATAAAAAGAAAACACCAATAAATAAATAAATAAATAAAAATGCCTATAAATCGATAAGAAAGACATCCAATTTTAAAATGGGCAAAAGACTTGTTCAGGCACTTTACAACTTTACGAAAGGAACACAGCCAATGAATGTATGAAAAGAATCTTGATCTCGTTAGTCATCAGTGAAATGCAATTTAAAAAAAACAAATGAATACCGTCATATTTTCCAGAATAGCCAAAATTAAAGACTGACACTGCCCAGTGTGACAAAGATGTGGAGATTCTAGAACTTCCCTGTGCTGGTGAAACAGCATGGGTAAAGCTGGACAGATGCTTGTAGTGTAGCCCAGAGACTCCACTCCTAGGTGATATCTAATGACATGTGAGAGAATATTTAGTAATGGGATATTCTAGATCAAGGTTCAGCAAGCTCTAGTCCACAGCTTTGTTTGTAGGGCTCACAAGCTAGAAATGCTTTCTACATTTTTAGTGGGTTGTTAAGAAAAAGAAGAAGAAAAAGAATACGCAACAAAGGCCATTTGTGGCCCACAAAACCTAAAAACATGGCAAAAAGCTTGCCAACTCTTTACCAAAAGAAGTGAACATACCAAAAAGTGTTGCCAAAAATCTTTGCTGACCCTTGTTCTAGATCTAAAACTGGAGACACAAGCCAAATGTCCACCAACAATAGAATGGATAAGTAAATTGTGGTATGTTTAGACAACAGAATGTGTTTAGACAACGGAATAGCCTACAGAATGGGGATGAACAGGCTATTGGCATGCAATACCGTGGTTGAATCTCATAAACAAATGCTAAGAACAGGAGCCAGACAAAAAGCATGTGTTGTGTGTATTCATTGATGTAAAATTAAAAACAGATAAAAGTAATCTGTAATGTTAAAAGCTGGGATAATGGTTACCCTTGGGTGAAGGATGGTTAGTAGCACAAAGGGTGTTTTTGAGGTTCTGGTTAATATTCTGCTTCTTGATCTAGGTTTTGGTTATGGGTATATGAAATTTCATTGAACTGTGTATTTATGAGTTGTGCACATTTCTGTAAGTTGTTATACTTTAATCAAAAGTTTATTTTAAAAGTCGTGCCTATACTTGGAAAAAAAACATCTGCACCAACAATGAAACTATACCAATCACAAAATGATATTCCTCCATCATCAGGAAAAATTCTAATAGCCTTCTCACTATTCCCTTATCCACCAGAGCTACATCTTATTGGGAACACACATTTACATTGCCCCTCATCTAATCTGGTCATTTCAAAAACTGGCAGTTTTTTCGTAGCCTGACACTAATGGCTTCAGCACGTAACTAGCTTATGCAGAGATTGCTATTAGGATGGGCTAGGCTCTGTGCTTTGAGTGTATTGGACGCTAGGCTTCTCAAAACCATGAAGGTGGGTGTAAATACAATGAGTTTATGCCTCTGGATGTGCTTACGATTCTTTTTGTCCCATATCAAACTATGTTTTCTCCTCTGTTTTCTCAAGGGGGTGTACACCGCCTTGAGTCAGTTGAAGAATATAACGAGCTGATGGTGCGGAATGGGGACCCCCGGATCCGGATGTTGGAGGTCTCCCGAGATGGCCGGAAACACTCCCTCCCGCAGCTGCTGGACTCTTCCAGTGCCTCACAGGTCCGACCAGGGCTGTGGATCTTTTCAAAGACCATAAGGGCTTACATGTTAAGAAGAACTGCCCATCCATACAGGCCAGGAGTGTCTGGGGCTAGAGAAGTGGGATAGAGAGAGACAGCAGGCAAAGTGAGGTCTACCCAGAGAGGCTACAAAGAAGTCAGCCTAATACTTGAAAATAGTGGGGGGAAAATCCCTCATTGGATCTCAAAATGTTCATCTCCTTCCTACTGTGTGTTTTGGAACCTAGAGGTGCTTTCAATTGCCAGGAGACGATGGCGTCTCATAGTCTGTGGTGAACCAGCACTGCTCGATTAATAGGAGCAGCCTGTATCAGTGTAACAACTGTGGGTGGGTATGGGCACATGTATGAGAGAGGGAGTGTGCGTGTGTGCCTGTACATGCATCCATGGCTCACCTGGAGTCCTACCTGTTACACAGTAATGACTCAAGCAGCCAAGGTCATGGGGGGCTGTAGAGGGGGGCTGCACTAGCTGCTCAAGTTGATGTTACAGAACCTGCTCCCGTCTGAGATCCGGACTCCACAGCCCTGCATGAGGGCCGCTCCTCCATCTCAGCATCCTCAACCTGGTAGAAACCGGTCAGGTGGTCTCCTAACCAAGGCTAAGGCAGGCTCAGTCCCTGAGAAACCTGTGGGGTATTCTTTGAGTCCTGGCACCACTAACCAAGGGGCTCAAGAGGAACCGTTAGCAGCTTGTCCCCAGCCCTATGATGAAGCAGAGATAGAGGACGGGCGTGGCAGCAACGACCTCCACACATGCTTGGAAAGCTGTAGAGGGTAGAGTTCTAAAGGACCTGGGTCAGGGCATCTGAGGCAGGCCCTTACTTTTGGTGTGTTATGACCCATTTACAGATGGAGCAACTGAATCTCAAAGGGGTTAAGTATTTTGCCCAAGGTGATATGCCAGAACCTCTGTAAAGCTTTAAAGGTGCTCGAATCAGTCAATTATGTGTCAGGATAAAGTATTTCTGTTGCTTCCGATGCCCTTTATCTGACCAGGAGAATAACAAGTGCCCATGTTTCAGGGACAATTGCTCATCAGCCCATTTTGGGTTGAATTCACCCAAAGGCAACTTGAGGGGCATTGGGGCATTGAGTAAAAGCAGAGAAAAAACTGGCATGGGACCAGTCAAACTTGTCCAGGCCCAGGACTGCGACCTGCTCAGAATGGTCCTGTTGGACCCACAGAGTCAGGGGAGATCAGAACATTGGAAGATGGCCTGTCAGTCGTTCTATTTTTTATTTTTTGAGACTGAGTCTCACTCTGTTGCCCAGGCTAGAGTTCAGTGGTGCGACCTTGGCTCACTGCAACCTCCACTTCCCGGGATCAAGCAGTTCTGCCTCAGCCTCTCAAGTACCTGGGATTACAGGTGTGTGCCACCACACCCAGCTCATTTTTGTATTTTTAGTAGAGACGGGGTTTCATCATGTTGGCCAGGCTGGTCTCAAACTCCTGACCTCAAGTGATCCACCTGCCTCGGCCTCCCAAAGTGCTGGGATTACAGGCGTGAGCCACCGTGCCCGGCCTTGTCAGGCTGTGTGAAAGATGAGAGAGGGTTTACAGCCATCATGGCCACAGATCGAGCGTTGAGGTAATTTCTTAACTGACCTGCTGAGGAAACCCGACAGCATTTGTAGCCCAGAAACATCCATTTTTAACCACACTTCAGGGATCGGGAAGCCCAGGCCAGGGTAGAAAGTTTGAAAGGAGAGTTTTTCCCTCTCTTTTCAAGAAAACTGTCCTTTCTTTTGTCTCCTCTTTTTATTTTCTGCCCTTTTTCTCCCAGGATTCATCTTTCTTTTTTCTTTGTCTCTCTCCCTCCACTATAAAGTATTATCTACAACCAGGATCATGCCCGTAATCCCAGCACTTTGGGAGGCCAAGGTGAGAGAATTGCCTGAGCCCAAGTTCAAGACCAGCCTGGGCAACATGGCAAGACCTTATCTTTACGAAAACAAATTTTTTAATTAGCTGGGTATGGTCGTGCATACCTGTGTTCCCAGTTACTTGGGAGGCTGAGGTGGGAGGATCGCTTGAGCCCAGGAGGTCAAGACTGCAGTGAGCTGTGATCACGCCACTGAATTCCAGCCTAGGTGATAGAGTGAGAGACTCTGTCTTAAATAAACAAATAAAATAAATAAATAAGTATTATCTAGATTTGACCTCTCCAGTAAAACTTTCAGCAATGATGGAGATGTTTTTTATTTGTATCGTCCAATATGGTAGCCGTATATGTCTACTGAGCACATGAAAAGTGGCTAGTGGGGGGTGTATTTTTAATTTTAATTAATTTTAATATAGATACCTACAGGTGGCAAGTGGCTACCATGTTAGACAGCACGGGTCTAGAAAGTTCAAGGAGATCCTGGAAACTCTCTGAGAGGTTGGTGAAGCCTACAGGCCTTTGGTTCCTTCTGGTTCCCAAAAGAGAGATGGAGTGAAGTACTGCTGAAGATGGTGACCAGAGAAAGAGTTCCCTTAGGAGTTCACACACAAACCTCCGTATTCAAGGACTGAAAAACCCAGGCGATGTTTGGCCATCACTGCAATGGTTTCATTAAAAGGGCAGTAACCTTGCCAAGCCCACATCATTTTTTTTAATGATTGAAAGTCTGGGAGGCCAACATTGTTGGCAGATATTTTGTAAAACCGCAAAAAAGAAATAATAATAATTGTTCTAAGCTGCCAAAAATACAAAAATATCACTGGGGACATCTAATTTTTGTGTTTGAATGTAGTATACACAGAGATTCAGGATAAAACTGTTTTGCGATGTCTCTTTTCTCATATTAAACATAAAGTGATTTTTTTGGCTTAGGTAGAATATCTGCATCAGTGAAGAAGTTTATTATTCTAAGAAGAATAGCAAGGAGCAAGATTATAGAAGTGCTTTGGTGATAGAGTCATTTGATCTCTTTATGTTCTAAGGAGCGCAGCCTGCTTACACGCGTGTATATTATGGGTGATGGACACAAAAAAGGGGTGAGATTGGAGCTGCTGCGTGTCAGGAAGGGAAAGTGTGGCTCATTATGGGAAAATACTTTATTTTCCAAATGTGAGAGATGAGAACTGAAGCTGCTGCCGTCTCTCAGCGGGATGTTTTATGTGGAATAACAGTTGTCTGGGTTTGTGGTTTGGGTTTTATAAGAAACAAGGGCTTGCTGAGTTTTTGATCGAGTGAGTTAGGCTTAAAATGGCAAGATACTTTCTAACCATGATGGTGAACTTGGGATGGAGGCAGGGGTGACTACCAAGGGAAAGCCCGACCACAGGTGGTCATCCTGTATCACTGAGGCCTCTTGTTTCTGCTTCCTGACTCCATTCCAGATGTAGAATCTGTGGAATGAGGTCAAGGAAAGAGCAACACAAGGTGCTTAAGATCCCCAAGCAGTTCTTTATGTGGGGGAAGAAGTCATGGCAATCTGTTGTAGTAGGGGCTATTCTTCCGATAGTTTTTTTGAGACGGAGTCTCACTCTGTTGCCCAGGCTGGAGTGCAGTGGCACAATCTCTGCTCACTGCAACCTCCACCTCCCAGGTTCAAGCGATTGTCCTGCCTCAGCCTCCTGAGTAGCTGGGACTGCAGGCATCCACCACCACACCCAGCTAATTTTTGTATTTTTATTAGAGCCGGGGTTTCACCACGTTGGCTAGGCTGGTCTCAAACTCCTGACCTCAGGTGACCCACCTGCCTTGGCCTCCCAAAGTGCTGGGATTACAGGCATGAGCCACGGTGCCCAGCACCTGCGATAGTATTTATAGGAAACTTTTTTAAGTCACTGAACCAGAGAGAAATGTCTAGTACTGAAGACATCTAAGATTTTCAAAGTCTGAGTGTATTTTTCTGCCAGATACCACAATAGAACAAATGAGAGTAATCTCTGACCTTGCCGTGTGCTGACTTTTAGGAATACCACATTGTGAAGAAGTCTACCCGCTCCTTAAGCACGACTCAGGTGGAATCTCCTTGGAGGCTCATTCGGCCATCCGTCATCTCGATCATTGGGTTGTACAAAGAAAAAGGCAAGGTGAGCTCTTTTCTGCAGACTGTTCTGCCTTCTGGGTGAATCTTAGCACACATTTTTTGTTTTATTTTATTTTATTTGTTTTTGTGTTTTTGTTTTTAGAAACAGGTTCTTGCTCTGTTGCCCAGGCCGGAGTGCAGTGGTGCAATCATGGCTCACTGCAGTCTTAAACTCCTGGGCTCAAGCAGTGCTCCCACCTCGACTTCCCAAAGCACTGAGATTATAGGCATGAGCCATTGCACCCAGCCACACATGTTCTTTAAATGGTTACTTTTTATTTGTCTTTACATGAAATGAAAAGTAACAGGTATAAAGAAGGACCGCTAAAGTGGCCTCTGTATGGATTCAAGTGGATTCCCTGGCATTCTGTACCATAGGTCTCAGTGTGAGATGGCCATGCCCTCTTTGCTCCTACGATGTAAGGAGTCACCAGCACTTGGCTGCTAGGGCCAGAACCAAGGGTGCAATGAATGACCCTCAACTTTTACCTCCAGTGAAAGAAAAGCAGAGCCTGCAGCTTCAGGGAGTACCCTTGGTTATCCTTTTGAATGAATTTCATGGCGTTGCCATTATCATAAAGGAAATGATATGAATAACTTGACATTACACAAAAATCAAAATATTCATTTTGATATTATACAAAATGGAAAGACTAAAACAAAAGAAAACAAATGTGGCACCTGCATGTAAGTGGGAAATGACTCTTAAGAGCTATTTAGTGGATCCATATGAAATTGCCATTTGTGGAGGTCAAAGATTGTCAAATATTGGCAATTTGGTATGTTTCTGCCTAAAACTTTTTCCCTTAATGTAATGCATGGCTAGTGCAGCGTAAATAGATCGGAGGAGGGGAATAAGGAAGAGAACACAAACTTGAGTTTGCAGCTAGTTGCTTAGTTTAACTCCAGGCCTGGTTAGGGAGGGCACTTCAGTTAAATACTACAATGGGACAGATGCCTTCAGTTAAATACTACAATGGGAAAGATGCCCTCAGTTAAATACCACACTGTCAACCTGGACTCTCATCTGCTTCGGATCTAGGGCCTTGGCTTTAGTATTGCTGGAGGTCGAGACTGCATTCGTGGACAGATGGGGATTTTTGTCAAGACCATCTTCCCAAATGGATCAGCTGCAGAGGACGGAAGACTTAAAGAAGGTAGGGGAAAGCCTCTTGTATCCTCAGTGACAGTGACTTTGATCCCATGAGAATCTGCCTCTTCACAAGATGTGAGTGAATGCCACAGTACCTAGTAGACCTCGGCGGAATCTGCCTGGCATAGTCAGTGTAACCTGAGCTTCACTTTCCCTAGTTGTAAACTTGGAATATTAACACCTGCCTTGAAGAGTCGTTGTCAGGATTACATGAGATAATATGTGGAAAGTGGCTTAATACTTCTGTTGGGGTCTTTAGTGTCTATCTTGTCAACTTGGTCTGATCATGTTCCTTTCCCTGAAAATTTTGAGAGTTTGGGGTCCATTCTTACCTTAGGGCTGGTGTGGAAGCAGAGCGCCTGGTCATTAGTGGATATTTAATATCTTGCTACAGAAATCAACCACCACATAGTCTGGTTCCTAAATGAACATCTTTTTTTTTTTTTTTTTTTTTTTTTTAATGAGACAGGGTCTCAATCTATCACCCAGGCTGGAGTGCAGTGGCATGATCATGGCTCACTGCAGCCTCAACCCCCTGGGCTCAGGTGATCCTCCCACCTCAGCTTCGTGAGTAGCTGGGACTATAGGTGCACACCGTCATGCCTGGCTAATTTTTGTATATTTTTGTAGAGACGAGGTTCCACCATGTTGCCCAGGCTGGTCTCAAACACCTGGGTTCAAGTGATTCGCCCACCTCAACCTCACAAAGTGCTAGGATTACAGGCATGAGCCACTGTGTCTGGCCCTAAATGAACATCTTTTAATTCTCAATAGCACCTGCCATTTTGCCATATGCGAATATACTAGACAAGTGCTTCTGAATGCAAATTAAAGTAATATTGAGGTGCCAAGTTCTACCTTGCAAATAATTTTTTTAATGTTTAAATATATCATTTTATAGTGCTTTAAACACTTAAAAAGCAATTCCACATATTCAATTATTTCACTAACTGCCTTGCAAACTTGTCAAATTGGCATTTTGGAGTGACCATCTTAGAAACAGAAAAGTGACACTCAGAAATGTTAAGTGACTAGAAACTTGTCCCATCCTTAGTAAAGAGCAGAAGTGAAATTTAAACCCAGCTTTGTGATTCCAAGTTCAATTCACTTTCCCACCTTACTTGAGAAAATAAAATATAAATAGGCCAAAGTTTCCTTTCTGTACAGACACAATAGCTGCTTTTGATAGAATATCTAGAATAGATATACATATCTTTATATTTTCTGTGAAATGTTTATCTGGATTAAGATTATATACTTTTTATAAAGAAGAATTGCCCAGAAGTTCTGAACACACACACAGGTATATACATATATATATTTATTTTATTGTACTTTAAGAGGCAGGGTCTTGCTCTGTCATCCAGGCTGGAGTGCAGTGGTGTGATCATAGTTCACTGCAGCCTCAAACTCCTGGGCACAAGGGATCCTCCTGCCTAAGCTTCCCAAGTAGCCAGGACCACAGGTGTGCACCACTGTGCCCAGCTAAATTTTTTTTTAAGAGATGGAGTCTCACTATGTTACCCAGGCTGATCTCGAACTCCTGGCCTCAAGTGAATGTCCCACCTCTGCCTCCCAAAGTGCTAGGATTACAGGCCTAAGCTACAGCACCTAGCCTGCACATATTTTAAATAGCATTCACCAGAGCATGAATCCCGATTTTTTCCTCTCACTTATTAATATACTTCCTTCTTGAAATATTTAAAGTAGAATATTTTTAGTTATCTTCAAAAATGCTGTGACTGTTCAGTTCAATTGACCTAAACTTCAGGTGCTTTTGTGTTATACGGGTTCTTTTTTTGGAACTGATGAGAATGAATTGGAATCTCCTATTTTTTAGGCAGAGCAACCATCGAACCCTGTATGCTAACAATAAGACATGACCAGGCTTCATTCTCCCACGGCAGAATATTTATTTCTGTCTCTTAGAGGAAGGGTTAACTCCCAGGTGGTGTTTGTGTTGAGTTTTAGAACAATATAAAATTCTAACAGAGCATTTTTATAATGGATGTGCCATGTGTTCACTTAATTGAAACTCATCCTGCAAGGCTGGTAAAATGGAGCAAAACGGGGAAAAAAAATCAATAGTTAAGAAAGGTTAATAGCACTTGATTCTCCTAAATAGCGTTTTTTCATATGTGTTCATTTACAAGAAACGTAAGTCATTGGAATGGATTTCAACCTGTTGAGTGATACTTCTTTAAAAAACTTTGCATACATTTTAAGAGTGCGAGTAATCATTTTAATATTTGCTCCTTTTCCCCTATGGAAACAACCTAAAAACATCCACCTCCTCACCTAATTGAGTAATTGGTTATGCCAGATTTTTAAACAGAGATTACTTCACTTATTTTATAGCTTCTATAATTGCATTAAGGGGAAGCCACATAACAAATGCATGGGGCACAGCTACATTTTTGTAACTCATCTACAGGATTCCTTGAATTGTGCACACAGTGTGCTCCTGGGATTGGCTGTCTGCGAGAGGTGACAATGTGTGTTCTTATGCTGCTTTGCACTTTCTTATAGGCGTACAGAGTCCCTCTTCTCTACAGCAATGCTGTGCAAAGTTCATCTGTTCTTCTCTCTGGGGCATCTTTGTAGTGTTTTTGATGAACTGTTATTCCAAAAAAGCAGGCCATGTCACAAGAGTGCAAACCAGAAACGAGCTCTGATAAGTCAACAGGATGTCCAAGTTCTTTTATATTCCTAGCAGACGCTATCAACAGCTTGAAAAACGACCTGACTGTGCCGCCTTAGAGTTAAAAATAATAGGAGAGCTGGGGCAGGGGGCCATGTGCGAGCATATTCCTGCACATGCCTGGCAAATTAACATGACCCTGCAGTCATCTCTGAGATAGAAGCTTATAGTAAACTTGCCAGCTTACTGACAGAGAACCTGGAACTGCATCAGCAAGATTATTTTTGGGCCGGGAGCAGTAGCTCACACCTGTAATCCCCGCACTTTGGGAAGCCGAGGCGGGCAGATCACTCAAGGCCAGGAGTTCAAGACCAGCCTGGCCAACATGGTGAAACCCTGTCTCTACTAAAGATACAAAAAAAAATTAGCCATATATGGTGGCGTGCACCTGTATTCCCAGCTATTCAGGAGGCTGAGGCATGAGAATAGTTTGAACCTGGGAGGCAGAGGTTGTAGTGAGCTGAGGTCACGCCACCGCACTCTAGCCTGGGTGACTGAGCCAGAGCAATACTCTGTTTCAAAAAAAAATTTTTTTTTAGTAAAAAAAAGACTGTTTCTGGGCTGCCATTGCTCAGTAATATTTTAGCAAGTTTTTGTTATCATTAAAGCCATTTTCCATACACCATGCTGATTCTCTGTGCTTGGGGAACTTGTCTTTCTACAAATATAGGAGTGACTTCTCAAATGTTGTATGTGTTCATGCCTCATTGCCAGTGGGTTTAAGTTTTTAAACAATGACTATGAGGAACGCCTTTGAACTAGATTTCTGCAGTTTGATTTCGAAACATAGGACATCTGTTGTCAAACTTGGCAATGGCTAAAAAAATAAGATTTTCATGCTTCCCATAGTTATTTTAATTGAAGATTGAAATACAGAATTACTGCAAAAGAATATGTGTTGTCATTAATTGTCCCATTTTGTGACATTCCTGGGAGCTAAGCTAAACAATAAAAGTTATTTTATGTGGTAGTAAATCAGGGACCATATGGTATCCCAAAATAAGTCTGACTGAGCAGTTAAATTCCAGGAAATTAAAGGCTAATGTTAATGTAATTCTCACATTTGATCACTAGGGGATGAAATCCTAGATGTAAATGGAATACCAATAAAGGGCTTGACATTTCAAGAAGCCATTCATACCTTTAAGGTAACAACATTCTTATTGATCTCCTTTATCCTATTTTCCTTTCTTTATTTCCTTCTGGCTTGGGTTTGGTGAGTTGTTTTTTTTTTTTAACCCTTTGATATAAGGACATTCCAAATGTTTCAGCCCACCTTTCCTCACTGTTTTCTCAGCAAATCCGGAGTGGATTATTTGTTTTAACGGTACGCACAAAGTTGGTGAGCCCCAGCCTCACACCCTGCTCGACACCCACACACATGAGCAGATCCGCCTCCCCGAACTTCAATACCAGTGGGGGAGCCTCAGCGGGAGGTTCCGATGAAGGCAGTTCTTCATCCCTGGGTCGGAAGACCCCTGGGCCCAAGGACAGGATCGTCATGGAAGTAACACTCAACAAAGGTGATAGCAGCTATTCCTTACCTTTGTCTCATTTCTTGAATAACATTTTGGAATCTGTTGTTAGCTTAATTCTTCCTTGTTGTTCTATGAATTATTCCTTTGGTACAATCTTCTATCAACAACACGTGGTCTCTGCATGGGACAGTGAGGTCAGGTAGAGAGATGTTAGTCACTTTAGTCAAAGTGAAGGGAAGTTACCAGTAGCATGGAGCTCTCTAAGCTCTCCCCATGAATCACTGTGGGTCAGAGGCTTGTGTTTAAAAAAAAAAAAAAAAAAATCACTGGCCAGGCACAGTGGCTCATGTCTGTAATCCTAGCACTTTGGGAAGCCGAGGCAGGTAGATCACCTGAGGTCAGGAGTTTGAGACCAGCCTCCCCAACATGGCGAAACCCCGTTTCTACTAAAAATAAAAAAAAAAAATTAGCTGGGCGTGGTGGCAAGCGCCTGTAATCCCAGCTACTCGGGAGGCTGAGGCAAGACAATCGCTCGAACCCGGGAGGCAGAGGTTGCAGTGAGCCGAGATCGTGCCACTGCACTCTAGCCTGGGCAACAAGAGCAAAACTCCGTCTCAAAAAAAAAAAAAAAAAAATTCACCGGTGAGCTTAAGTCTGGGGCTAATATAAAATTTTAAAGAACAAAAGATTATAGTTAAGTGTACAGTTAACACTAGTAACTAGAATTCATGCGTGATCACCAAATCTTACTGCTTTTCATCCCTGTTTCTTTTTCCTCCCCACCTACTCTAGAAACATGATGGAAGATTAAACAACCAAGAGATTATGTGTTAAAAAGAAAAGCAAAAGAAAGCTTGAGTTTGTGTACCTAGAATAAAAACGTTACTTATAGCCTGCCTATTTCTAAAAACAGATGTGAGGAGGTTAGTTAGACTAAGCAGAGAGTTGACCGTCGGATAATTCAGTCCGTAACTAGCTCCCAGGTTAGCCATGGGCTCATTCTATTAACAGCAGTGGCAAGTGTTGACAAGGAAAAGCTGGATTTACATTCTGAGTCTGGACCAGAAATAAATGGTTATTGGTCTGAATAGATATTAATTCTGTTTCAAATCAGTTACACATTTTTTCTAGTGATTGTGTAATTTTTGTTTTTATTTTCTTTGAATGGTGCCTCTCACAGAGCCAAGAGTTGGATTAGGCATTGGTGCCTGCTGCTTGGCTCTGGAAAACAGTCCTCCTGGCATCTACATTCACAGCCTTGCTCCAGGATCAGTGGCCAAGATGGAGAGCAACCTGAGGTTTGTTGTTTGCCTGATAGTGTAAGGTTCTGGAGTGTTCATAAATATGAAATATACACGTGTGATATTTGTTCTATTACTTCCCTTTGAGGGATGTTGAAGCTTTGAATTCTTTCCAAGAACGTAGCCAAGACTACAATTAATAGCATCTCCAAAAATGTAAATGTTAATATAAATGAAATTTGGTTGAATTTGAGAACTCTAGATCTTGGCTTCCCTGCTTATTTTGTTCTATTTGGTCTCAGAAGTCCAGTTTCAGAAACTTGACAAGATACAACTCTATACAGATATCTATGATTAGCTCAATATTTTCTTTCATTTTATATTCACATATATAAAATTCATATGAAATACTGGAACTGCTGAAATGGTTCAGAATCACTTGATGCCAAACAGTCCTGAAATTGTGCCCTTGAATAGGAGGCATTTCTTATTAAGTATTCTCTCAAACTTTTCCTGTCATTTTCATTCCTTGTTGAATGGCCATGTCTAGGTGTCTACTTACTGAAGTCACTGAGTGTCTGATTTCTTAATCCAGATAGTTGAGTTGTAACATGGGCGTTCTGTTTACACAAGAAATATCTAGGTGTTCTATTATATAGAAATTGCAGTGAGTCAGTGCCCACCTAAACGTCACAAGAATGTACGTGTATTGCACAAAGCACCCTGTGCTAACAGTTTCATCTTTCTGCCCTGTAAACTTCCAAGTCCTTTAGTGGTTAAGGGATTGTCAAAATGGCATTCATTGAGGTTGCCATTTTGGGGCCCTGTTAATAGCTTATATTATGTTTTTAGTTAATCATTAGAGTAAATTTCCATATGAAAAAAAATTTAGCAAATCATCCAAAGTACATTAAAGAAAATATACTTTTAGAACCCAAGGAAAAAAATCCTTTAATGACATCCCAAGATGATGTTTCTTTCTTGAATGATTCCATATGTCTGGAGCCTGCCAAATGAACATTCTTCAAATCCCATATAAAGAGTCTTTGTTCTCTCCTACTGACTTCTCTCCCTGTAATTTCCAGTCAAAATGGGCAACTTGTCCCCAATTTCTCATTTGTTCAAATTTGAAACGTTTTTACAAATTGTTGGGTAACCTTTGAGCCTCAGCTATTTCCTCCTTAAGTTATATTATAATAATCATTTCAAGATGGTAGGAAGAGAGAACTGCTGGTGGTCGAGGGGTTCTGTCATGTGATGGTTGACAGTCAGACGGACCCGAGTTAGTTCAACAGTGTGTGACATCTGGGTGACCCCTCTGAGCCTGTGTTCCTATCTGCACAATGGGAATAATTTTACTTACTCAAAGCTTTGTTATACAGCATGCTTTGTACAGTGCCTGGCATATAGTATATGCTCAAAATATGGTAGGTTTCATCATTGTCCTTATTATCAATTTTATTTGACTTTGCTGTTTCTGAAAATGCCAGTAAATATGCATAATGACCTTTGCCCACTTAAAATCGAATGTGTTTTTATGAATGTGTTGCATTTTTACATGTATGCCAACGGGAAAAGATATGAGCTTCTTTAAAGTATTCAGAAAAGATTTCATATTATAAACCTCTCCTAGCAAGAAGGCTATTTTAGCTTTAAGAAGCTGGCTGCTAACACAGAGTGTGGATTCTGTTGCCCTCCCTAGCCGCGGGGATCAAATCCTGGAAGTGAACTCCGTCAACGTCCGCCATGCTGCTTTAAGCAAAGTCCACGCCATCTTGAGTAAATGCCCTCCAGGACCCGTTCGCCTTGTCATCGGCCGGCACCCTAATCCAAAGGTGAGGTGGTCCACCCTCTTCTGAACGTGGGAAGATGATACACCTTCCTAGGATATCGTATACTCTTTGGTGAGATGGTTTTCCCAGCTGGGGATAGGCAGGCAACCTACGGGTGGTTCATGTGGGAAATGAATCTCTAATCTGGACTTTGTCTTCACAGTCTTAGAAAATCTTACTAGAACATTTTGACAATGTTATCTGGTAAATTTGAAACTTGTCTGGTGGGAGGTAAGAATGCTGTGTTCTGAGTACTGGCTTTTTGAGCTCTGGTGAGATACTTAACCTCTTTGGGTTTTTGCAACAACAGAATCTGCAAGCCTTGGACTGGACGATCTCTATGACCCTGTCAGTTTCAAGATAAGAAGGCTTTTCTTACCACATCTTTTGTTGGGCCATATGTTGGGAATTCTCTCATCTTTAAGTTTAATGTTGAATGATTAATTTATTTTTAAAACAGTTTCAGTGAATTTTAAACTTTGTTCAATTAAGAAATGAGGGCCAGGCTTGATGACTCACACTGGTAATCCTAGCACTTTGGGAGGCCGAAGCAGGAGGATCACTTGAGCTCAGAAGTTTGAAACCAGCCTGGGCAACATAGTGAGACTTCATCTTTATTTTTTTTAAATAAGAAATAAAAAGAAATGAGAAAGTGTCAAGATAAGTATAAAAATAAATTGTTCATAATAGTTGGAAAGAAAACTATTTAGAATTTAACTTAAACTTGGGTAATATACTTAATTAATTTAAATTGTTTCTGTGTTTCCATAGAATTTCTAGAGTAGAAAGTTTTTCAGTTTACTTTAAAAATATTTTTTTAAATAGAGATGGGGTCTTGCTGTGTTGCCCAGGCTATTCTCAAACTCCTGGGCTCAAGCAATCAATCCACTTCGGGCTGGGATTAAAGGTGTGAGCCACCATGCCCCACGTTAGATACTTTTAAAGGACAAATAAATGTCTTCACATTTGTGGAGGAATGTTTCCTTCTTAATGTTCATTTAACTGTTGAGTCAGAAAAATACCTGTTTATCTTATCAAATGATTATCTTGAAATTCAAATAAATGAAAATAAGATGAAATCTGGCTTTGCAGACCAAATGCTTATTTGCAAATGTTACTTTGTAGATTTTGCTTCCATCAAAGTTGGGGAAAAAATAAAGCCCAGCATTTCAAATAAACTATAATGGAAAAGTTATTTGTTAAGTTTATGCAAAATTATGAAGGATACTATTTTTCTGATAGATCAAGTCCTCAAGACTAAATTTTTTTTTTTTTTTTTTGAGACAGGGTCTCCCTCTGTCACCCAGGCTGGAGTGCAATGGCACAATCATGGCTCACTGCAACCTCGACTTCCCGGGTTCCAGCGATCCTCCCACCTCAGCCTCCAGAGTAGCTGGGACCATGGGTGCGTGCCAATACACCTGGCTAATTTTTACATTTTTGGTAGAGATGGGGTTTCACCATGTTGCCCAGGCTGGTCTCGAACTCCTGAGCTCAAGGCATCCACACACCTTGGCCTCCCAAAGTGCTGGAATTATAGGCACGAGCCACCGTGCCCGGCCAAGACTAAATTTTTAAATTCATGCCAGGATCCTTTTCATTAACTACTCACACAATTGTTCTGTAATCTACCTAAGCAGCATAAATATGTATTGAAATTCTCCTGACCATGACATTTAACGTGCATTCACATTTTCCAATACTGGTTTTGCTTGTTCCTCTAACGACACATTCTGAAAGTGGGAGTTCTTTCTTTGGTTTATCTAATACAGATGGCTCCACGGGAGACCAGAGGAACCACATGGGGCCTTGAGCCAACGGACATAGTATGTCACTGCAGCTCCTTACATTTTATCATTGTAAAGATACCCATATAGTCTTCTGTTGAGAATGAAATATTATTATTATTATTATTATTATTATTATTATTTGAGACGGAGTCTAGCTCTATAGCCCGGGCTGGGGTGCAGTTTCGTGATCTCGGCTCACTGCAACCTCTGCCTCCTGGGTTCAAGTGATTCTCCCGCCTCAGCCTTCTGAGTAGGTGGGATTACAGGCATGCGCCACCATGCCCAGCTAATTTTTGCATTTTTAGTAGAGACGGGGTTTCACCATGTTGGCCAGGCTGGTCTCAAACTCCTGACCTCAAGTGATCCTCCCACTGGATGATGGGATTATAGATGTGAGCCACCACGCCCGGTCTGAGAATGATTTATTAAATGACTCTTTCTTACTTACAAGTTTTACTTGGAAGGAAAGAGAGAAGATCCTTCAGGTCTAATGTTAGCTGCTTAGCCTGGGTACCACCAGCCCATGTGAACCTGGTATTGAACAGGAGGCAGAGGCACCAAGGAGGCCCTGGGGGTGAATTGGGATGGGTGTGGAGGTTGTGAAGCAGGCAGGCAGGCTGCCAGGCATCAACAGACGGACTATCCTTCCCTGTCTCCCTCCAGCCAGGGCGATTCAGATCATCTATTCTCATCCTATATCAAATTCATTACCTAAACATTTATTGAGCTTCTACTGGGTGCCAGGCAGTGCCAACATACCAGGGATACACAATTAATTAGAATGTATCTCAAGAAACTTGCAGCCTACTCTGAACCTGAAGTTCACGGGACCTTTACCAGGACATTACGAACTACACAAATGTGGGAATAGATTTGCAATTGTGGACGGAATCAATAGCTTCTATCAAATTCTCAGTCATTCATGACCCCAAGAATGTTAAGCATTTTGTTAGAGTGTGAGGATGTTACTGTTGTTAGACTGATGAAAGACAAGACCCAATTTAAAGAGTGGCTCCTCCTCTGTCTAAGCCAACCTTGACCTGAGCAGAGTACTTCTGTAATTAAGGCCTAAGAGCCCACTAATTTTTTTCTCAGCATCAGCGTCACACTCTTGGACCCATACGGAAGTTGCAGATAATCATGGTCCCTACATTGTTGGACTTGGCTGTTATTTGGTTATATCTCTTCTATACTTGTACAGTTGCCTTTAACTTTTTGAAGCTAACCATAGGACACTTCAGCAAGCTCAACTCAACCCAATTTTTTTTTGTTTGTTTTTGGACGCACAGAGGAAAAGAAGGAACCAACTCAATTCACTTTTTTTTTTTTCTCTTTTTTGAGACAAAGTCTCTCTCAGTTGCCCAGGCTGGAGTGCAGTGGTGCAGTCTCAGCTCACAGCAACCTCTGCCTCCCAGGTTCAAGTGATTCTCCTGCCTCAGCCTCCCGAGTAGCTGGGATTATAGGCGGGCGCTGCCACGCTCAACTAATCTTTTGTATTTTTAGTAGAGATGGGGTTTCACCATGTTGGCTAGGCTGGTCTCGAACTCCTAACCTCAAGTGATCCACCTGCCTTGGCCTCCCAAAGTGCTGGGATTACTAGCATGAGCCACCACGCCCGGCCTCAATCCACTTTTAACACTATTTTTTATTCTTTTGAGCGCTTGTTGTAAAAGTCTTTTTAAATTAGCTTACCTCTAATGTTGTGGTTAAGTTGTATTTAAGAAAATTTAGCTTTTCCTTTCAGCAACTCAAAATGTTCACTAAGGGCGGGTGCGGTCGCTCACATCTGTAGTCCTAGCACTTTGGGAGGCCAAGGTGGGTGGATCACTTGAGGTCAGGAGTTTGAGACCAGCCTGGCCAACATAGCAAAACCACGTCTCTACTAAAAATACAAAAATTAGCCGGGTGTGCTGGCGGCTGCCTGTAATCCCAGGTACTCAGGAGGCTGTGGCACGAGAATCACTTGAACCCAGGAGATGGAGGTTGCAGTGAGCCAGGATCGTGCCACTGCACACCAGCCTGGGTGACAGAGCAAGACTTTGTCTCAAAAAAGTAAAGAAATAAAATCAAAGTGTTCATTAAGAATATTACCTCTTGGCCGGGTGCAGTGGCTCATGCCTGTAATCCTAGCACTTTAGGAGGCCGAGGTGGGCAGATCACTTGAGGTCAGGAGTTCGAGACCAGCCTGGCCAACATGGCAAAACCCTGTATCTACCAATAATACAAAAATTAGCCAGTGTAGTGGTGCATACCTGTAATCCTAGCTACTCCAGTGCTGAGGAAGGAGAAATCACTTGTACCTGCGAGGTGGAGGTTGCAGTGAGCCAAGATTGTGCCACTGCACTCCAGCCTGGGCCACACAGCGAGACTTTGTCTCAAAAAACAAACAAAAAAAATACTTCTTACCCATGCCTGTCATATGGGCATACCTTGGTATTCCTTGTAGTGTTGCTTAATTACATCCTAAATGTTCCCAGGCTACTGTGCTTGATGGACTGGTACACCACTTTAAGAGTAAGAAGTCTATGCCAAGAGACCTTGTGGGTCCCTCTATGTGCCATATCCGAGATTTCTTGGTGGCATCAATTTAGACACTCAGTGATGTTCATTTGTGGTCCTTGTCCTCCCCAGGATAAATTAGTGCTATCAAGCTATGGCTCTATGTCTTGATCTGGGGATGTGATGTCAACAACAGTGCTGGGACAAAATTGCCGTTAGACTAATGCAAAGGCAACTCTGCTTTTCTTCAGATTGTGTTCCCTATATGCATCCTCAGAAAGGTCTTGCATCCAGAGTTTTTTGAATAAATAATATAAAACCAGGCCGGGCTCTGTGGCTCACGCCTGTAATCCCAGCACTTTGGGAGGCCAAGGCGGGTGGATCGCCTGCGATCAGGAGTTCTAGACCAGTCTGGCCAACATGGGTAAAACCCTGTCTCTACTAAAAATATAAAAATTAGCTGGGCGTGGTGGCAGGCGCCTGTAATCCCAGCTACTCGGGGCCGAGGCAGGAGAATCGCTTGAACCTGGGAGGCGGAGGTTGCAGTGAGCCGAGATCGCACCATCACACTCCAGCCTGGGGGACAAAAGCAAGACTTGGTCTAAATCAATCAATCAATCAATCAATCAATCCAAGTACCAGCTGGGCGCAGTAGCTCACATGTGTAATCCGAGCACTTTGCAAGGCCAAGGCAGGTGGATCATTTGAGGTCAGGAATTCGAGACCACCCAGACCAACATGGTGAAACCCCATCTCTACTAAAAATACAAAAAAAATTGTCAGGTGTGGTGGTACATGCCTATAATCCCAGCTACTCGGGAGGCTGAGGCAGGAGAATTGCTTGAACCTGGGAGGTAGAGGTTGCAGTAAGCTAAGATCACGCCACTGCACTCCAGCCTGGGCAACAGAGCGAGACTCTATCTCAAGTCAATCAATCAGTCACTCAATCCAATCAAACCAACCAAGTCCTGCTTCCACCTTTTTCTGTTTTTTCCTCCTTGTCACCTCCCATTTTTCTCCTTTCTATTCTGTGGTTCTGACATCTTCACTTAAAATCTGTTCTCTTTTGTTTCACTGCTGGCTCTCTTTGCCTGAAGGTTGCATCTAAAGCAGTTCTCAGCTCCTTCCTCCAGAATCTCCCGTTGGAGTCTACCACCCACATCACCTCCTTTCACCTCGGGAAGCAGTCCAGTAACCTCTGGCTGCCCTAATTCATCCGTCAGCAATGTTACAGAAAACTGAGTTTTCAGTGGTTTGCAGTCATTGGCTTCAAGGCATGTCTGACTTCAAAATAACAGCATAACATGGGTCATGATTTGTTCAGAGGTCTAGTTCATCTCAGCTCCAAAACTCCTGCCTATTTTGCCAATACAATCAAACATCCAAATGGCATTTCAGCGCAAAGCATCATATCTGGTGGCCGCCATGCCATTGACCATACAGGTTCATCCATGTTTCTAGCCACAATAAAATGGTCGTCTGTGATAGTGTTGGAGCTATGTCCGGCATTTGGTTAAATGCCAGTGTTTGTTTGACTGGATTTCATGTTTCTTCCTAGGTAAACGTGGTGTTCTTAGTTGTAACCTCATGCTGTATTTTTCTTTTGGTTAAGATTCCATTTTATGTTTAATGTATTTTTGTACCACTTAGCCCAGCATTTCATGCCAATGGTACATTTTGATACTGAATGTATGTGCTTGCTTAGTTTTCTTGTTATTCCAAGAGAAATACCACAAGGATTTCTTTTCTTCTGTTTCTCATAATGTCTGGAGCGGTTGCTGCCCAGTTGGGTTACTTAAGCCTTCCAGGTCTAGTCAGGCTGAGATTTGGACTTGCTGGGATAGCAGCTTCTAACTTATGTTAAGTGGAAGAAAGTAATAGAAGTCCATTTTTCTCCTAGTCAAAAAAAACAATTGCAAATGTTGAAAGTCTAGTATTAAGAAAAACAGCAACCACTCTTTAAGCTGATATTTTCCCTGACTCATTTATATAAAATTATTCTCTACTATGTGGAGGGGGGTGTGTGTGTAAGTATATATGCCTGAGTGCATGTATGTGTACATGTTTTATTTCCTGTGAAGCCTACCGTAAAGCATTACATAAAGGCCACAATGTCATCATAATTTGCCTGTTATGATAAAATATAATGCTGAATTCTATATAGAAATATTTATTAAGACAAATTGCCATGCTTATCCAAACATTGCTTATGCCAAATATTATTTTAGTACATAAAATTACCATTCTAAGTTTTAAATACTCCTACCTTTAAAAAAGAAACTCCACATTTTCTTACTATTTTAATCAATATATTTCAGTATATATCAGGCTTTTTAAAAAAATCTTCCCATGAATAATGACAGTTATGGATAACAACAGAAAAACATCCATGAATCTGCCATGATACTAATAAATATAGAAGGAATAGAAAACTTATAGAAGCACTGTTTTGAAAGCTTCATAGTCATACTTGATTTAAGCAATAATAGTCAATGATGCCAAAACCATGGGGTACAAATATATTGGAGAGCGGGATATTTACATAGTCTCAAACTGTTTCTTCACAGATTACTCATTAATGACTGAAAAAAATTCCAGTGGAGAAATCTGGCAAATTCCATCCCTAATCAAGAGATCAAAGTTATCACCGATTATAAGACACATTGACCCTTAGTGCCTCTGAATGCACTGAGAAGGAAATCATTCTTGTACTTTTTCTGCCAAAAAAAAAAATGCGTAATCTGAATCTAAGCATGAGGAAACTATCAGACAGATCCTAATTGAAGGTTTGGATTGGCCTGGTTTCTTCCAAGATATCAGTGCCATGAAAGACCAAGGAAGATTCGGGAGCTGTTTCAGATTAAAGGAGACTAAAGACATACAACAACTAGATCCTGGATTGCCAAAAACAATTTTCGTAATAAAACATCACTATGCAAAGAAGTTGATCCATGGCAGCCTGCTACAGGTCCACAGCAAGATGTGCTTGCACCAAAATGTAAACATTGTGTCACCATGCACACTATTACATAGTTCAGCTGACATTTTTTCCTTAGCATGATGATTTTGATGAAGCCGTATGCTAATTTGCATTGTGGAGTTAAGTTCTTATCTCATCACAGGCTGGCATTAAACTTTCTGTGAGCTAGTCCCAGACTACAGACACACTTTGAGTAGTACTTGCAAAGGACACTATTAGAAAAGTACTGTCAGTATGCAGTATTTAGTCAAACTGGAATATGAAATCTATGTTACACAGTCATCAATGTTGCATTTCCTGAATTTGACAATAGTATCATGGTTATTTAAAAGAATGTCTTTGTTTCTAAGAGACCCATGCTGAAATATTTATGGGTAAGGGGTCACGATGTCTGCAACTTACTCACAAATGGTTTAGCAAAAAGCTGTAATTCTGTGTGCGTGTGTGTGTATGTGTCTGTGTAGGGAGGACATGCATGTAAATGTGGCAAAATGTTAAAAATTAGTGATTCTAGGTGAAAAGTATACTACTCTTGCACTACTCTTACATGTTTTATGTAGGTTTAAAATTGCTTAAAAAGAATTAGGCCGGACGCGGTGGCTCACACCTGTAATCCCAGCACTTTGGGGGGCCGAGGTGGGTGGACCACAAGGTCAGGAGTTCAAGACCAGCCTGACCAATATACTGAAACCCTGTCTCTACTAAAAATACAAAAATTAGCCAGGCGTGGTGGTGCGCGCCTATAGTCCCAGCTACTTGGGAGGCTGAGGCAGGAGAATCACTTGAACCTGGGAGGCGGAGGTTGCAGCGAGCCAAGATCAAGACGCTGCACTCCAGCTTGGGTAACAGAGAGACTCTGTCTCAAAAAAAAAAAAAAAAAAAAATTGAAGTGAGTTTTCCGGAGAGGCAGATATCAGCTGTGTTGTTGGTAATCATAGCACTGAATGCTTTGCTTAATGAACTTGGGCACCAGTTGAAAAGTCTTGTTATGTGTGTGTTGCTGGACTTCTTACATGCTCTGAGTTACAGCTTCGGAGGATGGTCATAATCCTTGGCCCTGTGGTTTGCCTCTTTATCTGCACTTGACTCTGACTCTGGTCCTAGGTACTTTCATTGGGAGAAATAAATAAATAAAACCATCTAATCTTTGCTTTCTGCTGAAAATCAGGTTTCCGAGCAGGAAATGGATGAAGTCATAGCACGCAGCACTTATCAGGAGAGCAAAGAGGCCAATTCCTCTCCTGGCTTAGGTACTGTAATCTCACATTTTCATTCAACATTCAGAAGAGTTTCTCATTAAGTTCACCCACAGGCACTCCCCAGTGCAGTATTATTGGATTCTTGGTAATTATCAGGTTTGGCAAAAGTAGCTGTCAAAGACAGTCTATGCTTTCTCTTGGCTGTTAGTTTTGATTTCTGCAGTTATTTAATGTGCTTCATTAAAGATCTAATCATGCATGCTTCTTATAGTACTTACAAATAATTTGCAAAGGTAAGTTAGAAGTGTTGCATGTATATATGCTTGATTCATTCAAAATGCTAAAGATGAAAGGGAAACGATACCCAGAATTTCAGTAGTTTGGTAGATGCAGAGTATTATCTACCAAAAAGCCTGAGATTTCTTTACATGAATTAAAAAGTTTCCATTCAAAAGGGTAATAGAGGTAGCAAAAATCATGATTTCGCTCAAGTGGAAAACTTCAGGCAGAGAAGGCTTGAGATAGTAGGAATTTCATATGAATTTAAAATATGAAACATATCAAGTCTTAAAAATAAAGTTTCCTTTAGCATGGAAGCCTAAAGGGACTCTTCACACATTTCTGAGCTTGAGATTATACTGACGTTCAGATTGCTACCTGGGAGGAAAAGGAACTGAGACATAAGTTATTAGTTGTCAGAGGAAAAGGAAAGCATAGGGTTTTTTGGCAATCATGAAATACCCTGATTATTTACATTCATAATTAATACATTTGAAGTGGACATAGCCATCATAGGCTTTCTATTCAACCAGTTCATCATCCCGACCTGCCTGAAAGCTGTGCTCTCATAATCCCAGCATTTCCACTTGATCATTTATAAAGAGTTTATTAAGCTGTAATCCTCATGCCCAAAGTCCCTTCTGCTTCATGGCATATAGTTTAAATCCTGAGCCTTTTCACCCTACAGTTAAAAACTAAAATAGATATTCAGTCATCTTCTCAGTTCTTTCATGAGTTTCTTGGGTGATGTTCATTTGTTCATTCATAATTCAATCCATTCAGCAATTATCACCGAACACTTAGTAGATATGAAGTACAATGTCCAGCTCCATGGAGCCGGGCGCCATGGCTCACGCCTATAATCCCGGCACTTTGGGAGGCCAAGGCGGGCAGATCACCTGAAGTCTGGAGTTCGAGACCAGCCTGACCAACATGGAGAAACCCCATCTCTGCTAAAAATACGAAAGTAGCCGGATGTGGTGGCGCATGCCTGTAATCCCAGCTACCCGGGAGGCTGAGACAGGAGAGGTTTCAGTGAGCCGAGATCATGCCATTGCACTCCAGCCTGGGCAACAAGAGTCCAACTCCGTCTGAAAATAAATATCCAGCTCCGTGGGGTCAGATCAGTCAACATTTCTGCTCTGTAGATTGAAGAAGGGAGACAAGACACATCCACTCATACATTATATGATGTACATGAAAGTTGATGTGTGGGTAGGATAAAACACTTTGGAAATTCAGAAGAAATTACTTCTAACTGGGATCATCATGCAGGTAGTAGCATCTGAGTTAGGGCTTGAAGCATCATGGCAGATGGGATGGGGATGAGGATCAGGTACGCAGGTAGACTGCATGCACGTCTAACCCTGTGCATGCAGCCCGTCATCAAGCAAAGGGAGTTTTGTTTACTGTGTTTGCCGCCTCCTTTTCTAGTTAAGGATGTGAGCCTATTTGTGACTTGAGCTTTATTGTTTTGACAATATGGTGAATTTTCCCTCCAACAGGTACCCCCTTGAAGAGTCCCTCTCTTGCAAAAAAGGTGAGTCAAGGTGAACTGCTACCTGCCTCCCTCAGCTGGACCACAAACTAATTCCTGGAGCCCACAAGTCAAGCCGGAGGGCCCAGTCCCTGTTTCTGCCCATGAGTCATTTTTGCCACTTTATACAGGAAATCGCAACAATGCTCATTTGAGAATAGATGCAAAAATGTGTGTTTCTTTTGCTAAACACTTATCCAGGAAAAGAACAGAGCAACAAAATAAAAGAACTGAACTACAGTTTGCAAAATAAGTTTTCAAACTGCTCCATAATAAAGCAGCGTGAGTCAGGACTTGGGGCTTTAAGGAGGCCACGCAATCTTCCTCAGCTAGGCTCTTGCTGAGTCTCAGTGCGTCAGGGTGCAGGATTCAAACTCCCCTGGTTTTTGTTCACCATTTGGCTAGACTGGTTGGCTTGAATCACATTTGTCTTTCCCATCGCATCCCCCCAGTGTTTTTCCTGGGATGGCTGATGTGTTGCTGCTGTGGCTTTTCCGATCATTGCCAAAAATTTAGCCAAAAACAAAAAGTCTCTAAAAACATTGTCTGGCAGCAGTCACCTTTTTATTTATTAGTTGTCAATTTAGCCGTTCTGAGGTACATGGAGGTTGGTGTTTACTATCACAGCTATTTCAAGTGACCGTTGATTAGAACGAAGTGTTCTTGGAAAGATAGGACGTAATAACCCTTGAAAGTCTGCTTCTGCTGTGTTTTCTTAGTTATCGGATGTTTTCTTCTTCAACAGGACTCCCTTATTTCTGAATCTGAACTCTCCCAGTACTTTGCCCACGATGTCCCTGGCCCCTTGTCAGACTTCATGGTGGCCGGTTCTGAGGACGAGGATCACCCGGGAAGTGGCTGCAGCACGTCGGAGGAGGGCAGCCTGCCTCCCAGCACCTCCAGTAAGCAGGGGTGCCCCAGAGGGCCTGGGCTCTGCATTCCAGTCAGCAGTGACTGGTTTCCACCTCTGTGCTGGCGGCTACAATGGTTTAGCTACCCTGGCGCTGTAATACGAGAAAAGAGCTGGAGACCAGGCCGGGCGCGGTGGCTCACGCCTGTAATCCTAGCACTTGGGGAGGCCGAGGCGGGGGGATCACTTGAGGTTAGGAGTTCAAGACCAGCCTGGCTAACATGGTGAAACCCCATCTCTACTAAAAATACAAAAATTAGCCAGGCGTGGTGGCACGCGCCTGTAATCCCAGCTACTTGGGAGGCTGAGTGGGGAGAATTGCTTGAACCTGGGAGACAGAGGTTGCAGTGAGCTGAGATCGCACCATTAGACAATGCTGTACCCTGAGAGTTTACTCTTGGAAAATGCAGCCACTGTTAGTGACTGGCCACTCAGTTACTCAGTAAATGGGCTGGATACACATTCTATAGTCAGGGGTGGATGGTGGCTAAACCAGACCTCCTTTCAATGCCCTTTACATAATGTAGTCTTGAATTTTATGGCATCAAATCAGGATGGGCAACCTGATGCCCTTACATTTTAGGGAATCCAGCCAGATTCCAGGTCCCTTCCCTCACCAGGCCCTAGCTTCATTCTTTGTAGAAGGCTGTAAATTAAAGATTAAGAACTCATAAGAGACATATTATCAAAAGGTTTTTTTTTTAATCTCATTGATATATCAATTTGAGATAATATGAGATGATAATCTGATATGATCCATACCGATTTCTCAGACTTCTTTCTGCTGGTGAGGTTTCCTCTTAATTTCTAACATCTGAAGAAGAAAATCCCCTTGTTTTAGGAGAGGCAGGCGACGACCACTCTGACTCATTCGGAGCTATCAATGAGTTTGCTCTGTTCTTATAGAAACATTTCAAGGTGCAAACGTGTAATTTTTCACTGCATTTAACAAGATATAAAAATCGTTGCAGATTCAGGTTGGCATTGTTCTAGAGTATCTTTAAGACATAGGACAGTTCATGCTGCAAAAGCACTCACGTGCCTGTCAATCAAGCCTCCCTTTCTGCAGATGAAGGAAGGACCTCAAGGGGCCAAGAAGGCAGCCCAGGTGTGTGGGACATGTCATCAGTCCCCAGGCATCCTTCTATGGAGGAATTCTCAGCAGCATTTAGGTTAAACCCTAACAATGTGTTAGATAATCATGGAGGTGGAAGTATTAAGTTTCTGTCTTCCAACAGCACACGTTTGAGTTAATCCAGAGGTTGGGGTTTAAGAAAAGGGCGGGGGGGGTAGGTCAGTAGGGAAAAGAGAAAGATAGCCCGCCTATCTACTCCATATAGCCTCCAGGAAGCCATGTTGCCTAGGCCTTGTGTCCAGTGGCTGAGGCTGTGTGTCTGGTGTTAGTGAATGTGGAAATGCTTATGTGTAATGATGGGGTCAGATGATAAGACAGGGCCAAGTGGGAAGCTCAATTTCACTTGACTTTTCTGTCCCCACCTCCACCAGCTCACAAGGAGCCTGGAAAACCCAGAGCCAACAGCCTCGTGACTCTTGGGAGCCATCGGGCTTCTGGGCTCTTCCACAAGCAGGTGACAGTTGCCAGACAAGCCAGTCTCCCCGGAAGCCCACAGGCCCTCCGAAACCCTCTCCTCCGCCAGAGGAAGGTAGGCTGCTACGATGCCAACGATGCCAGTGATGAGGAAGAGTTTGACAGAGAAGGGGACTGCATTTCACTCCCAGGGGCCCTCCCGGGTCCCATCAGGCCTCTGTCAGAGGATGACCCGAGGCGTGTCTCAATTTCCTCTTCCAAGGGCATGGACGTCCACAACCAAGAGGAACGACCCCGGAAAACACTGGTGAGCAAGGCCATCTCGGCACCTCTTCTTGGTAGCTCAGTGGACTTAGAGGAGAGTATCCCAGAGGGCATGGTGGATGCTGCGTCCTATGCAGCCAACCTCACGGACTCTGCAGAGGCCCCCAAGGGGAGCCCTGGAAGCTGGTGGAAGAAGGAACTGTCAGGATCAAGTAGCGCACCCAAATTGGAATACACAGTCCGTACAGACACCCAGAGTCCGACGAACACTGGGAGCCCCAGTTCCCCCCAGCAGAAAAGTGAAGGCCTGGGCTCCAGGCACAGACCAGTGGCCAGGGTAAGCCCCCACTGCAAGAGATCCGAGGCTGAGGCCAAGCCCAGTGGCTCACAGACAGTGAACCTGACTGGCAGAGCCAATGATCCATGCGATCTGGACTCGAGAGTCCAGGCCACTTCTGTCAAAGTGACTGTCGCTGGCTTTCAGCCAGGTGGAGCTGTGGAGAAGGTAACTGACTTTCTCTTAGTTACTTGGAATGGAAGTGCATGAATATGTGTGAGTGAAGATGGAGTCTGTTGTAAAGCATGGGTAAGCTGCCAGTGGGAAAGGATGATGGCTGGAGAATTATCTTTCAACAGAGTCAGTCACTTAAATACCTGGACTGCTTGGAAGCCTTTTTTTTTTTTTTCTTGGAGATGGAGTTTCGCTCTGTCACCCAGGCGGGAGTGCAGTGGCGCAATCTCAGCTCACTGCAACCTCCGCCTCCCAGGTTCAAGCGATTGTCCTGTCTCAGCCTCCCGAGGAGCTGGGACTACAGGCGCACACCACCACGCCTGGCTAATTTTTGTATTTTTTAGTAGAGACAGGGTTTCACCATATTGGTCAGGCTGGTCTCGAACTCCTGGCCTCAGGTGATCCACCTGCCTCGGCCTCCTGAAGTGCTGGGATTACAAGCGTGAGCCACCGCACCCAGCCTAGGGAGCTTATTAATGTATCAGCAGGTTAGTCATGAGATCATTTGGCCAGAAGATACTATAGAATCTCTGTCTTACCTGTACACAGCACCTGTGGCTAATGATGGAAAGGCAGTGTGGCACAGGGAAAGTAAAACCATGGGCCTGGCATGAGCTCCACTGCTGACTAGTTGGCACTGGTCGAGTTACAACTTGGGCAAGTTATTAAACATTTCTGAGCTTAGTTCTCTGGGCTGGTGCTCTCTGCCTTGGTCATCTCACAGAGCTGGAGGGACCATCAAATATATGTTAACAGTGATTCCCTCCAGCTGATAAGGTTATGAGTGATCCTTATATTTTTCCAAATTTCTACATTGGTTATATATAATTATAGCCACTCATAACCTTGCTGTGGTATCATATGGAATAACAGGAATGCATTCACTTAGAAATTGATAATGTACCACATTAAATGCAAGTTAATATTGGTTATGTTACTACTTGGTTACGAGTATGTTAGAATATCAAATTGTTCATTTTTAAAAATGTTCAATATACCTCTACTTTATCAAGGAGACAGTACGAGAAATCAATGTTGTTTATAATCTCCTTAACATAAATAACTTCTCTCTCTCTCTCGCTGAACAAAGAATCTGAGATGACTTATAAAGCCATATTATTATAGATGTGTGTTCAAGTGGTTTATATAAACATATATGTCAATAGACCTGGAAAATGCTAAGTCATAAAAACTATACCAGGCAAAAGTCGTTTTTTTAACCTTATTTTTGTTTTAATAGAAATGCACATCTTTTTTCCTTCTCCTCAAATATCATATTTTACCTCCAACCACTACCTGTGTTTTAAAATATAATGTTTGGCCATTGGGTAAATTTCTTCTTTTAAAAAGCATCGGCCGGGCACAGTGGCTCACGCCTGTAATCCCAGCACTTTGGGATGCTGAGGCAGGTGGATCACCTGAGGTCAGGAATTAGAGACCAGCCTGGCCAACATGGCAAAACCCCGTCTCTACTGAAAATACAAAAATCAGTCAGGTGTGGTGGTGTGCACCTGTAATCCCAGCTACTCGGGAGTCTGAGGCAGGAGAATCTCTTGAACTCGGGAGGTGGTGGTTGCAGTGAGCTGAGATCGTGCCACTGTACTCCAGCCTGGGTGACAGAGCAAGACTCGGTCTCAAGAAAAAAAAAAAAAAAAAAAAACAAATCACAAGTTTTGGATAACTGTATAAAGGCAAATTAGGGTTTTTATTCATAATAATTTATATCTATTAAAATAAGAGTTTTGTAATTCTAAGTTAATACTCTCAGAATGAACTTTTGAGCAGCATTTGAAACTTGTACAAGACTAATTTTTCTCATAAAAATTTTAGTTACAAAATTTGATTTTATTTATATCTGAGAAAGAAAATAGAATGGATTGCTATAAAGTATATGTCCTCAAATATTGGAAGAAAAAACCTTCCTCTTTTGGTACGTGAGTTAAATTCTGTTTTTATTTACTACTTGATTTAAATTGAAGTGAAATTCATATAACATGAAATTAACCATTTTGAAATGTACAAGTCAATGGCACTTAGTACATTCAGAATGCAATATGACCCACCACCTCTGTCTAGTTCTGAAACTCCTCTACTGTTTTTATGTTACATTTGTGTTACTAATAAATAGAAAATTAACTGAGTTAAACTCTATCTAGGTTTCCCTCAGCTGGTAACTGACATTTTATGAAAAGATTTCTTACCAAAGCTGCTGAAAGACATATTATCCCTTTCACCTCTGTGCTCTGCTGCCACCTTTGGGCCACTTTATCACTCACAATGGATAAATTTCACATGAAGCTGATTTAACTGTTAGTTTTAGAATTTCATTGCATTGAATGTTAGGTAGAAGAAGAGAAAGTAATGGACACTTAGCCAAAGTGAAGTCTTGAAATATGAAATGTCAATTTTGTTTATCCAGATTCGTTCATTCCCTCACTACCAAACTAAGGAGTTAGTGTTATAGTCTTGGATATCTCTATGCAATATAATAACAATACCTTACATCTGTCTAGCCTTATATGTGCTGTTTTTATAACTGTTCTCATTTAATCGTCTTCTTTTAAGCTCTATGAGTAAGACTGGGAATGTTTTATGCCCATTTTAGAGTTGAAAAAAATGGAGGCTTGGGGAAGAATGATATGACCATTTAATTCCTAGCAGACCTTAAACCCACAATCTGGATCTGCTGGCTCCTAGTCCAGGGCCCCTTTGCCTTTTCCTGAACTAGCTCTGCTCTCTATATATGATCTCATCTTACGGTGCAGAAAGCCTGAAAGTTATTTCAAGTGGCTTGTGGTTGTCATTGTGCCAGGAATCTCTGGGAAAGCTGACCACTGGAGATGCTTGTGTCTCTACCAGCTGTGAACTAGCCAGTGCTCTGTCCCATCTGGATGCCAGCCACCTCACAGAGAACCTGCCCAAAGCTGCATCAGAGCTGGGGCAACAACCCATGACTGGTAAGATTATTTTCCCATTTGTTAATCTTAAAGTAGGTGGGGAGATACCCTAATGAAAGCATTATACAGGCCAGGCGCAGTGGCTTACACCTGTAATCCCAGCACTCTGGGAGGCCGAGGTGGGCGGACCACTTGAGGTCAGGAGTTTGAGACCAGCCTGGCCAACATGGTGAAACCCCATCTCTACTAAAAATACAAAAATTAGCCGGGCGTGGTGGTGCGCACCTTTAATCCCAGCTACTTGGGAGGCTGAGGCAGGAGAATCGCTTGAACTGGGTAGGCGGAGGTTGCAGTGAGCCAAGGTGGCACCATTGCACTGCAGCCTGGGCAACAAGAGCAAGACTCTGTCAAAAAAAAAAGAAAAAAGAAAGAAAGGAAATTGATATTTTTAAGGAGAAAAATCTTTTACACAAATTAACATTTAAATACTGCCTGCATTTAGCACCTTTACTATATCATTGTGCCTAAACTCATCGTTTTCATGCCATGTTGAACACATCCATTTTCAGTCAGTTGACCCTTTTTACCCTTTTGTGACACCAACAAGACATGAGATGAATCAAAAGGACTTCCCACCCATCAAAATCACAGCACTCTGCCTACGTGAAATCAAATGCACTGAGAAATGGCAACAAAAACCTCCACAAAGGACAAGTGAAATGATACTGAAAAACCACACATAAGTGTTGATGAGAGATTAAGTAACATCGTGGAGGCAGAAGTTATCTCAGTATTTATTTAGGTGCCAGGTGCAGTGGCTCATGCCTGTAATCCCAGCACTTTGGGAAGCTGAGGCAAGTAGATCATGAGGTCAGGAGTTTAAGACCAGCCTGGCCAACATGGTGAAACCCCATCTCTACTAAAAAGACAAAAAAATTAGCTGGGCATGGTGGAGCACGCTTATAATCCCAGCTACTCAGGAGGCTGAGGCAGTAGAATTGCTTGAACCCGGGAGGTGGAGGTTGCAGTGAGCCAAGATCATGCCATTGCACTCCAGCCTGGGCTATACAGTGAAACTGTGTCTCAAAAATTAAAAAAAAAAAAAAAAAAAAAGGAAATTAGTTAGATGTGGTGGCATGTGGCTATACTTTGGAGGCTAAGACCAGGAGGGTTACTTGAACCTAGGAGTTTGAGACTGCAGTGAGCTATGATCACGCCACTACACTCCAGCCTGGGTGACAGAACTAGACCCAATCTCTGGGAAAAAAAAAAAAGTGTGGGGTGTGTATGTGTGTATGTAAAATTTGGCTACCCATCATCTAGTAGTTGAACAAAATAATATTGTAAAACATGATTTTTAAAAATCAACTGAATTAAGTGACTTTGCTTCCTTGTTAGTGGAGACCTTTATTGAAATTTTGGATTCTGGTGGGGCGCGGTGGCTCATCATGCCTGTAATCCCAGCACTTTGGGATGCCAAGGGGGGGCCGATCACTTGAGGTCAGGAGTTCAAGACCAGCCTGGCCAACATAGTGAAATCTCGCCTCTACTAAACATAAAAAAATTAGCGGGTGTTGTGGTGCATGCCTGTAATCCTAGCTTCTCAGGAGGCTGAGACACGAGAATTGCTTGAACCCAGGAGGCAGAGGTTGCAGTGAGCTGAGATTGTGCCATTGCACTCCAGCCTGGGGGACAGAGTGAGACTCTGTCTCAAAAAAAAAACAAAAAAAAAACAAAAAAAAAAAAGGAAATCTGGATTCTAAACTTGCACTCTGTGGGTAGGGGACACTCTTCTCAGTGGCTGGTGATGACTGTGATCCCACTTGTCGAGCTCTGTGGGAGTCCCGGCAGTCCTCCGCAACTGTCGGCTGGTTGTTACTGTCTCAGCGCCTGCCTTCTGATTGGTTAGCAAACTACGGTGGTAGACAGAAAAAAGATAGCCTTCCTTTTTAGGGCTGTCCTACAAAATAAAAATGTGGGCCGGGTGCCGTGGCTCACACCTGTAATCCCAGCACTTTGGGAGGCTGAGGTGGGTGGATCCCCCGAGGTCAGGAGTTCGAGACCAGCCTGGCCAACATGGTGAAACCCAGTCTCTACTAAAAATACAAAACAAAATTAGCTGGGCATGTTGGCGGGCGCCTGTAATCCCAGCTACTTGGGAGGCTGAGGCAGGAGAATCGTTTAAACCCAGGAGGCAGAGGTTGCAGTGAGCCGAGATCGAGCCATTGCACTCCAGCCTGGGCAAAAAGAGCGAGACTCCGTCTCAGAAAAAAAAAGAAAAAAGTGAAACCCCAGAATATCTATCCCATACCCTGATGGCTACTCACAGAAAAAATACAGGCCCCTGATGTCTCTGTTCTGTGATCCGAGGCTCTTTGTTCCTTTGTTAGTGATGAGGCTGTTACTGTGGGTTCTGGTTTCTCTTTCGGGTTCACATTCACTTGCTGGACAAACACTAACAAGCATTTTTTTGTTAGCAATTTGACTTTACTGCAAAGAGTGTTAAAAAGGGTTCTATTTGGCCGGGCGCAGTGGCTCACACCTGTAATCCCAGCACTTTGGGAGGCCAAGACGGACGGATCACAAGGTCAGGAGATCGAGACCATCCTGGCTAACACAGTGAAACCCCATCTCTACTAAAAATACAAAAAATTAGCCAGACGTGGTGGTGGGCACCTGTAGTCCCAACTACTCAGGAAGCTGAGGCAGGAGAATGGTGTGAACCCGGGAGGTGGAGCTTGCAGCGAGCTGAGATCACACCACTGCACTCCAGCCTGGGCAACAGAGCGAGACTCCATCTCAAAAAAAAAAAAAAAAAAAAAAAGTGGGGGGTGAGGGGTTTCTATTTGAGGGAGATGAAGTTACATTGAGGCAGCCTTCAATGTCACCTTTCAAAGTAAGGCTTCATTTGAGGCCAGTATCTTCATACATTTTAAGAGTGCATGTTCTACATAATGGTCCTCTGGAAGTTTTCTTGGAATCCAGATTTGCTTTGGAATAGAAGAGGGACAGCAAAGGGTTGGTTTTTTTCACTAAACCAACATTTCCTATTTGCAACCTCATGCAGTACATTCTTTCCTTTCTTGCCACTGAGGAATTTCTTATTCTAGGTAGGCCAGTTTTTGTCAATACTGAGGTTTTCATCAGTGTTAGAAAATGTAGTACATATACACTATGGAATACTATGCAGCCATAAAAAGGAATGAGATCATGTCCTTTGCAGGGACAAGAATGGAGCTGGAAGCCATTATCCTCAGCAAACTAACACAGAAACAGAAAACCAAACACCACATGTTCTTACTTATAAGTGGGAGCTAAACAATGAGAACACATGGACACAGGGAAGGGAACATCACACACTGGAGCCTGTTGCGGATGGGGTGGTGGGGGGAGGGAGAGCATCAGGATCAATAGCTAATGCATGCAGGGCTTAATACCTAGGTCACGGGTTGATAGGTGCAGCAAACCACCATGGCACACATTTCCCTGTGTAACAAACCTGCGCATCCTGCACATGTATCCCAGAACTTAAAAAAAAAAAAAAATACCGCGGGTTTGTACCTTAAGTAAGTGGGTTGCTGCATGTCAAGTTCTCTTGTGTTATAGTGTAGAGAGAATTTCGTCTCCCAGCCCCGTACTCCCTGGAGCTCTGTGCACCTCTGTGACTGTACTGACCCCGGTGGGTGCAGATGTTTGGATGCTTTTCTGCCTTGCCCTCTCTGGATTTCCCATAGATAATGAGCCTTGAGAAAGGTGCAGCTATGTGTCCCTTACACCCACTGAGCAGCCAGGAATGCTAGACCAGGAACTGATTATATTTAACAGGCAATGATATATGTGCTATATTTAGTTAACATGTCAAAACATAATATATTAGTTACCATTTAATTCTTTAAGGGTCCTCGTCAGGATTGATCGAGTTGCAGTGACACACTGGCACCCTCAAGGGCTTTTGGGGTGTATCTGAAATACCCGATTACCGGATCTCTAAAAGATTTTAGAGCTTCTGTCTCCTTTTGTTTAGGTATTTCTCTCTCCTTCCCAATGAAAAGGCTATCTGTGACCAGTTGGTCCTGCTGAGTACTTGAGTGCTCGTAGCAGTTCTTCTTCCAGTGTTATTACAAATAGCTGCTTTCCAGTATGTAAGAAGGATGTTCTTCAAAACATGTCTTTGTTTTGTTTTGTTTTGTTTTGTGGCGGAGTCTTGCTCTGTTGCCCAGGCTGGAGTGCAGTGGTGTGATCTTGGCTCACTGTACGCTCTGCCTCCCAGGTTCATGCCATTCTCCTGCCTCAGCCTCCTGAGTAGCTGGGACTACAGGCGTCCGCCACCACGCCCAGCTGATTTTTTTGTATTTTTAGTAGAGATGGGGTTTCACCGTGTTAGGATGGTCTCAATCTCCTGAACTCGTGATCTGCCCACCTCGGCCTCCCGAAGTGCTGGGATTACAGGCGTGAGCCACCGCGCCTGGCATATCTTTGTTTTTTTTTTTTTTGAGACAGAGTCTCCCTCTGTCACCCAGGCTGGAGTGCAATGGCGCGATCTTGGCTCACTGCAACCTCTGCCTCCAGAGTTGAAGCAATTCTCCTGCCTCAGCCTCCTGAGTAGCTTGGATTACAGGCGCCCACCACCACGCTCGGCCAATTTTTGTGTTTTTAGTAGAGACGGCGATTCACTATGTTGGCCAGGCTGGTCTCGAACTCCTGACCTCAAGTGATCCACCCACCTCAGCCTCCCAAAGTGCTGGGATTACAGGCATAAGCCGCTGCGCCTAGCCAAAACATATCTTTTTTAAAACTGAAATATCCAAAAATGCATAAGTGATCAAAGAAGGAATACCTTATCATTAAAAAAAAATCCAAAATGACCCGTACACTGCACGGTGGTTAAGCACACAGGGGCATACGCAGGCTGCCAGGGCTCAGATCTGAGCCCCAACATTTGACCAGGGAAGGGACCTTGGATTAGTCACTGTTGTCCTAAGTTACACACCTCATGGGGTTGTTGAGGAAGAATCAATGACATTTTCATGTGTAGCATTTGGAACACAATCTGGTACCTAATATGTTGAATAAGTTATATTACGTGTGTGTATGTGATTTTCCTAAGAGAAACATATATGTGTGTATATATCTGCCTAGTATATGATACACAGTAAGATACGTGTGTGTGTATGTATGTGTGTATGTATACCTACACACATGATTTTCCTAAGAAAGTTTTAGAAACTTTAGAAACACAGGAGCAAATGGCCGACCAAGATGTGTTGATTGTGAGGTCTGATTTTAGAGCCATTTAGCTTTCTGGCAGCAATTGACTCTGTCTGTTAAATGGTGGCTCTTGGAAACCAGAACGAGAGGAGGTGGTAGCTGTTGGAAAAGCTGTCAAAGCTGTTGTGAGAAACTGAAGCAGTGTGGGGAATCCAGGCCCCCTGTTTGTCACTAAATGTTTAACTCTGTTATGAACGGGATACATGTTTATTCTAGAAACTTAAGAAATTACAATTGAGAGGGAAGTTTTGAAAGATAGCATAAAAATCAGCTAAGCCCAAGTGAAAAACCTCTGTTAATATTTTGGTCTGTATCATTTGAGTCTTGTGCGTATATGGGTGTGAATAAATATATAGTCCTGTGCTTTTTTTGTCTTTTTGCCAAAAAAAAAAAAAAAATCCACTGTGGTAGTCACCAGTACCTAACAACCTTTTTAAACCTCATACATCCACACGAAATAATATTTGAGCAGCCTGCTGGCATCAGTAAGACTGCTCCTCAGCCCATGGGCCTGACCTAGCAGGCTGTCCCTCGCACTGACCACTCTGCTGTCAGCACACCCATAGCCTACTCTAGGAAACCGCACTGCTATCCTGCAGGCTCTTCTACACCCGACATCACCTGGAGAGGCTGCTGGGCCTTCCACCCCACGGATGTGCTGTAACGAGTCAACCTTCCTCCCATGATTGGGCATTTCGAACGTTTCCAGAGAAAAGGTTGTCTTGAAAGGTGACAACCAAAGGCTGCCTCAGTGTAACCTCGTCTCCCTCAGATGAAGACCTTTTAAGTTACAGACTTTGCAATAAAGTCAAATTGCTAACATGAATTGCCTGTTTAGGTTTATTCAGTGAGCGAATATGAAATTTGTTTATTTTTGAGACGGATTCTTGCTCTGTCGCTCAGGCTGGATGGAGTACAGTGGCTCGATCTCGGCTCACTGCAACCTCCGCCTCCCAGGTTCAGGCAGTTCTCCTGCCTCAGCCTCCCAAGCAGCTGGGATTACAGACGTGCACCACCACACCTGGCTAATTTTTGTATTTTTAGTAGAGATGGGATTTCCCCATGTTGGCCAGGCTGGTTTCGAACTCCTGACCTCAAGTGATCTGCCTGGCCTCAGCATCCCAAAGTGCTGGGATTACAGGCATGAGCCACCGCCCACGGCCTGAATATGAAATTTAAAAACAGAGTTTAAATCCCCTCCTTTTGTGTCATTGCTACTCCCCACCACCACCCGCACTACCGCCCATATTTGCTGTCACCAGAAGCAGGAACATTATGCTTAAGGGGAAGTTCAAAAAAGGTTGAGCAGAGAAGGAGAAGAGCACGTGGCTTTGAGTCTTGGCAGGCCCCTGGCCTTCCACAGTGGGCCTGGAAAGCTAGTAGCTAGTACGGTCTCCATGGGGATCTCGACGATCCAACCTTTTGATTGCCAAGGGCTCTCCACACAGAGGCCACATAGTCAGGGTTTAGGCAGTAGCATGGGCTGTGGAGCCAGCTTCCTGGGGCGACCGCTGGCTCTGCCACCTGTGAACTCTGACCTCAGACACATTGCTTAACCACGCTGTTTCTCCGTCCTCATCCTTCCAATGCAGATGGTCACAGGACATACCTCAGTGTTAGGAGGAAAATTAAATGTGTACAAAACTCTTAGCACAGTGTTAACTCCTTAATTATTGGAAAACCTCTTAGCACAGGGCTGAGTCCTAATAATTAGTTCTTAATTATTCACATAGCAAGGTCAGCAGGTTAAAAAAATGCAATTAAGATGATTTTATGTGAGAGCTGTGGAACGAACATAATATTTGGGGAAGAGTTGGTTTGACTTAATTCTCAAACCAAGAGCTTTCATGGAACTTCATTTTTCACTCCAACCTCAGACCCATAGTTCCTAAGAAAATAGCTTTGTTCTTTCTGATGCCAGATTTTTTTTCCCTGTTGCAAGATGCTGTGTGTCTGAGGTGGAAGATTAGCCCAAGACTATGCAGGGCCTTATGAACAGGCACTTTCAGGAGTGAGTGGCTGTTGGAACCCACCTCCTAGATGACTTCCCACTGTCCACTGGCACACATCCCCTTGCCCTGCCACCTCCAAGATTTCAGGCTCTTTCTTGCTTCTCTGCTTTCATTCTGTTGCCTTTTTTTTTTTTTTTTTTTTTTTTTTGAGACAGAGTCTTGCTCTGTTGCCCAGGCTTGAAGGCAGTGGTGCAATCTCAGCTCACTGACCTCTACCTCCTGGGTTCAAGCGAATCTCGTGCCTCAGCCTCCCAAGTAGCTGGGATTACAGGTGCATGCCACCATGCCTGGTTAATTTTTGTATTTTTCGTAGAGATAGGGTTTCACCATGTTGGCCAAGCTGGTCTCAAACTCCTGACAAGTGATCCACCTGCCTTGGCCTCCCAAAGTGCTGGGATTACAGGCGTGATCCACCGTGCCCAGCTGCCTTTTTTTTTTTTTAATTGACACATAATTGTACATACTTATGGAGCACAAAGTGGTACTTCAGTACATATATACATTGTGCAATGATTAAATCAGGGTAATTAGCATATCCATCACATCAAATGTATCATGTCTTTGTGGTAGGAACATCCCAAATTCTCTCTTCTAGCTATTTCAATAAATGCAATACCTTATTATTATTTTTTTTTTTTGAGACGGAGTCTTGCTCTGTTACTCAGGCTGGAATACAATGGCATGATCTTGGCTCACTGCAACTCCACCTCCCAGGTTCAAGCGATTCTCCTGCCTCAGCCTCACAAGTAGCTGGGATTACAGGCGTGTGCCACCACACTCAGCTAATTTTTGTATTTTTAGTAGAGACGGGAATTTCACCATGTTGGCCAGGCTGGTCTCGAACTCTTGACCTCAGGTGATCCACCCGCCTTGGCCTCCCAAAGTGCTGGGATTACAGGCGTGAGCCACCATGCCCAGCCCTGTTTTTGTTGTGTTGTTGTTGTTTTGTTTTGTCTTTTGTTTTTTTTACACTCAAACTGCCTTGGCTATTCAGAGTCCTTTGTGGTTCCATGCACATTTTACAACTGTTTTTTTTTTTTCTATTTCTGTAAAAAATGTCATTGGAATTTTGGTAGGAATTGTACCGAATCTATAGATGACTTTGGGTAGTATGGACATTTTAACGGTACTCTTCCATTGTCTTCCTTACCTTCCTCCTCCTCACTCTCTGGCCAAACTCCCCTTGTCAGCCCCATTCATGTCCCCACCTCCTCTGTCAAGTCTTCCTGGGATAATCTGGCTTCTCACTCTCCCACTCCTCTGAATTCGTCAAGACAGCCAGAGCTCGGTGTAGACCTGTATCCCAGCTTTCGTATTCTGTATGTTTTCCCTAGTTAGCCTCAGCCCCTGCACTAAAAAGGAAGCCTCTTGAGCTCGGCACTTGGACTGTTTTACACTGAAGTACATCATTCACATCCCCCAGTGTGAGCCAAACCCACACACCACTGGCCAGATACTGGGACTGAGAGGTCCATGAGGGCCCTGCTGCATCCACGCAGGAGTAGGGAACCAAATAGAACAAGAGCCTGACGCTTGCGGCTTTGCCATCAGAGGGTGAATGGCATAAAGAGACCCAAGTGTGCAATGATTAAATCAGGGTAATCAGCATATCCATCACATCAAATGTATCATTTCTTTGTGGTAGGAACATCTGCCATCATAGAAATACCAAAAGAGAGAAAAATGGGCAGATGTAAATGTTTCTTCTGCCGGCTAATCTGAGTTCTCTTAGAGCGTCTAAAGCAGGGTGGTATTTGTTAGATGTGGGTACTCTATAATTTTAGAGAGAAAACCAGGAAGACAAGAAGGGCCTCCATTTAGGCCACAGAACGCCGTTTTGTTGTTGTTGTTGTTGTTGTTGTTTTCTGAGACGGAGTTTCGCTCTTTTTGCCCAGGCTGCAGTGCAATGGCACATTCTCGGCTCACTGCAACCTCCACCTCCCAGGTTCAAGCAATTCTCCTGCCTCAGCCTCCCAAGTAGCTGGGATTACAGGTGCCCACCCCCATGCCCAGCTAATTTTTTTTTTTTTTTTTTTTTTTTTAGTAGAGATGGGGTTTCACCATGTTGGCCAGGCTGGTCTCGAACTCCTGACCTCAGGTGATCCACCCGCCTCCGCCTCCCAAAGTGCTGGGATTACAAGCATGCGCCACCACGCCCAGCTTTCTGAAAAAGAAAAAAATATTTGAGGTTGTTTATAATTTTCTAGTTTTTAATAATTGAGGGGCTGCTTTCTTATATTATCCCTTTTATCTCCCCTACAACCTCTCCTGTGTATGTACCTTCTGTTTACGTTCCCCACGTAGAACTGGACAGCTCCTCAGACCTCATCTCTTCCCCAGGGAAGAAGGGGGCCGCTCATCCTGACCCCAGCAAGACCTCTGTAGACACAGGGCAAGTCAGTCGGCCAGAGAATCCCAGCCAGCCTGCATCGCCCAGGGTCACCAAGTGCAAGGCCAGGTCTCCAGTCAGGCTCCCCCATGAGGGCAGCCCCTCCCCGGGGGAGAAAGCAGCGGCTCCCCCTGACTACAGCAAGACTCGATCAGCATCGGAAACCAGCACACCCCACAATACCAGGAGGGTGGCTGCCCTCAGGGGAGCGGGACCTGGAGCAGAGGGAATGACACCAGCTGGTGCTGTCCTGCCAGGAGACCCCCTCACATCCCAGGAGCAGAGACAGGGAGCTCCAGGTAACCACAGTAAGGCTCTGGAAATGACAGGAATCCATGCACCTGAAAGCTCCCAGGAGCCTTCCCTGCTGGAGGGAGCAGATTCTGTGTCCTCAAGGGCACCGCAGGCCAGCCTCTCCATGCTGCCATCCACTGACAACACCAAAGAAGCATGTGGCCATGTCTCGGGGCACTGCTGCCCAGGGGGGAGTAGAGAGAGCCCTGTGACGGACATTGACAGCTTCATCAAGGAGCTGGATGCTTCTGCAGCAAGGTCTCCGTCTTCCCAGACGGGGGACAGTGGCTCTCAGGAGGGCAGTGCTCAGGGCCACCCACCAGCCGGGGCTGGAGGTGGGAGCTCCTGCCGTGCCGAACCAGTCCCGGGGGGCCAGACCTCCTCCCCGAGGAGGGCCTGGGCTGCTGGTGCCCCCGCCTACCCACAATGGGCCTCCCAGCCTTCGGTTTTAGATTCAATTAATCCCGACAAACATTTTACTGTGAACAAAAACTTTCTGAGCAACTACTCTAGAAATTTTAGCAGTTTTCATGAAGACAGCACCTCCCTATCAGGCCTGGGTGACAGCACGGAGCCGTCTCTGTCATCCATGTATGGCGATGCTGAGGATTCTTCTTCTGACCCTGAGTCACTCACTGAAGCCCCACGAGCTTCTGCCAGGGACGGCTGGTCCCCTCCTCGTTCCCGTGTGTCTTTGCACAAGGAAGATCCTTCGGAGTCAGAAGAGGAACAGATTGAGATTTGTTCCACACGTGGCTGCCCCAATCCACCCTCGAGTCCTGCTCATCTTCCCACCCAGGCTGCCATCTGTCCTGCCTCAGCCAAAGTTCTGTCATTAAAATACAGCACTCCGAGAGAGTCGGTGGCCAGTCCCCGTGAGAAGGCCGCCTGCTTGCCAGGCTCATACACTTCAGGCCCAGACTCTTCCCAGCCATCATCACTCTTGGAGATGAGCTCTCAGGAGCATGAAACTCATGCGGACATAAGCACTTCACAGAACCACAGGCCCTCGTGTGCAGAAGAAACCACAGAAGTCACCAGCGCTAGCTCAGCCATGGAAAACAGTCCGCTGTCTAAAGTAGCCAGGCATTTTCACAGTCCGCCCATCATTCTCAGCTCCCCCAACATGGTAAATGGCTTGGAACATGACCTGCTAGATGACGAAACCCTGAATCAATACGAAACAAGCATTAATGCAGCTGCCAGTCTGTCCTCCTTCAGTGTGGATGTCCCTAAGAATGGAGAATCTGTTTTGGAAAACCTCCACATCTCTGAAAGTCAAGACCTGGATGACTTGCTACAGAAACCAAAAATGATCGCTAGGAGGCCCATCATGGCCTGGTTTAAAGAAATAAATAAACATAACCAAGGCACACATTTGAGGAGCAAAACCGAGAAGGAACAACCTCTAATGCCTGCCAGAAGTCCCGACTCCAAGATTCAGATGGTGAGTTCAAGCCAAAAAAAGGGCGTTACTGTGCCTCATAGCCCTCCTCAGCCGAAAACAAACCTGGAAAATAAGGACCTGTCTAAGAAGAGTCCGGCAGAAATGCTTCTGACTAATGGTCAGAAGGCAAAGTGTGGTCCGAAGCTGAAGAGGCTCAGCCTCAAGGGCAAGGCCAAAGTCAACTCTGAGGCCCCTGCTGCGAATGCTGTGAAGGCTGGGGGGACGGACCACAGGAAACCCTTGATCTCACCCCAGACCTCCCACAAAACACTTTCTAAGGCAGTGTCACAGCGGCTCCATGTAGCCGACCACGAGGACCCTGACAGAAACACCACAGCTGCCCCCAGGTCCCCCCAGTGTGTGCTGGAAAGCAAGCCACCTCTTGCCACCTCTGGGCCACTGAAACCCTCAGTGTCTGACACGAGCATCAGGACATTTGTCTCGCCCCTGACCTCTCCCAAGCCTGTTCCTGAGCAAGGCATGTGGAGCAGGTTCCACATGGCTGTCCTCTCTGAACCCGACAGAGGTTGCCCAACCACCCCTAAATCTCCTAAGTGTAGAGCAGAGGGCAGGGCGCCCCGTGCTGACTCCGGGCCGGTGAGTCCGGCAGCGTCTAGGAACGGCATGTCCGTGGCAGGGAACAGACAGAGTGAGCCGCGCCTGGCCAGCCATGTGGCAGCAGACACAGCCCAACCCAGGCCGACTGGCGAAAAAGGAGGCAACATAATGGCCAGCGATCGCCTCGAAAGAACAAACCAGCTGAAAATCGTGGAGATTTCTGCTGAAGCAGTGTCAGAGACTGTATGTGGTAACAAGCCAGCTGAAAGCGACAGACGGGGAGGGTGCTTGGCCCAGGGCAACTGTCAGGAGAAGAGTGAAATCAGGCTCTATCGCCAGGTCGCAGAATCATCCACAAGTCATCCATCCTCACTCCCATCTCATGCCTCCCAGGCAGAGCAGGAAATGTCACGATCATTCAGCATGGCAAAACTGGCGTCCTCCTCCTCCTCCCTTCAAACAGCCATTAGAAAGGCAGAATACTCCCAGGGAAAATCAAGCCTGATGTCAGACTCCCGAGGGGTGCCCAGAAACAGCATTCCAGGGGGCCCCTCGGGGGAGGACCATCTCTACTTCACCCCAAGGCCAGCGACCAGGACCTACTCCATGCCAGCCCAGTTCTCAAGCCATTTTGGACGGGAGGGTCACCCCCCACACAGCCTGGGTCGCTCTCGGGACAGCCAGGTCCCTGTGACAAGCAGTGTTGTCCCCGAGGCAAAGGCATCCAGAGGTGGTCTTCCCAGCCTGGCTAATGGACAGGGCATATATAGTGTAAAGCCGCTGCTGGACACATCGAGGAATCTTCCAGCCACAGATGAAGGGGATATCATTTCAGTCCAGGAGACGAGCTGCCTAGTCACAGACAAAATCAAAGTCACCAGACGACACTACTGCTATGAGCAGAACTGGCCCCATGAATCTACCTCATTTTTCTCTGTGAAGCAGCGGATCAAGTCTTTTGAGAACCTGGCCAATGCTGACCGGCCTGTAGCCAAGTCCGGGGCTTCCCCATTTTTGTCGGTGAGCTCCAAGCCTCCCATTGGGAGGCGGTCTTCCGGCAGCATTGTTTCCGGGAGCCTGGGCCACCCAGGTGACGCAGCAGCAAGGTTGTTGAGACGCAGCTTGAGTTCCTGCAGCGAAAACCAAAGCGAAGCCGGCACCCTCCTGCCCCAGATGGCCAAGTCTCCCTCAATCATGACACTGACCATCTCTCGGCAGAACCCACCAGAGACCAGTAGCAAGGGCTCTGATTCGGAACTAAAGAAATCACTTGGTCCTTTGGGAATTCCCACCCCAACGATGACCCTGGCTTCTCCTGTTAAGAGGAACAAGTCCTCGGTACGCCACACGCAGCCCTCGCCCGTGTCCCGCTCCAAGCTCCAGGAGCTGAGAGCCTTGAGCATGCCTGACCTTGACAAGCTCTGCAGCGAGGATTACTCAGCAGGGCCGAGCGCCGTGCTCTTCAAAACTGAGCTGGAGATCACCCCCAGGAGGTCACCTGGCCCTCCTGCTGGAGGCGTTTCGTGTCCCGAGAAGGGCGGGAACAGGGCCTGTCCAGGAGGAAGTGGCCCTAAAACCAGTGCTGCTGAGACACCCAGTTCAGCCAGTGATACGGGTGAAGCTGCCCAGGATCTGCCTTTTAGAAGAAGCTGGTCAGTTAAGTAAGTATCTGCCCACTACTTTTATTTCAGATAAACTTGTTTCATTTTGGAATAGTTTTAGATTTATAGAAAAGTTGCAAAGATAATGCAGAGTTCCCACTTACTTTTTTTTTTTTTTTTTTTTTTTGAGATGGAGCATCGCTCTGTCGCCCAGGCTGGAGTGCAATGGCGCGATCTCGGCTCACTGCAACCTCTGCCTCCCGGGTTCAAGCGATTCTCCTGCCTCAGCCTCCTGAGTAGCTGGGATTACAGGCGTGCACCACCACACCTGGCTAATTTTTGTATTTTTAATAGAGACGGGGTTTCACCATGTTGGTCAGGCTGGTCTCAAACTCCTAACCTTGTGATCCGCCTGCCTCGGCCTCCCAAAGTGCCGGGATTACAGGTGTGAGCCACTGCACCCGGCCACTTCTTACCCACTCTTCCTAATGTTCACATCTCTCATAACCACGGTCCATTCGTCAAAAGTAAGAAATTAATGTTGGAGCAATACCATTAACTACAGACTTCATTCAGATTTTGCTGAATAAATTCTGCTAATATCGTTTTTCTGTCCCAGGATCCAGGATACTACATTCCATTTTAGTGCCCTTGGTTTTTAATATCACTGCTGGAAAAATAAAAGTGCCTGCAGGGAAACATGTTTACCAAAGTGTCGCTCTGAGGAGAGGCTTCTAGAGGACATGGCACTTAAGCAAAAGCAACATGAGAGGGGCATGCAGAGGAAGAGAGAGCACAGCACGGGGGAATTTGGACTTTGGAGGTGGCTGGAGTTAAACGGAGAATTTCTAACATATTTAAAAATATTTCACTTGAGGCCAGCCGTGGTGGCTCACACCTGTAATCCCAGCACTTTAGGAGGCTGAGCCGGGCAGATCACTTAAGGTGAGGAGTTCAAGACCAGCCTGGCCAACATGGTGAAACCCCATCTCTACTAAAAATACAAAAATTAGCTGGGGATGGTGGCAGGCGCCTGTAATCCCACCTACTTGGGAGGCTGAGGCAGGAGAATCGCTTGAACCCAGGAGGCTGATGTTGCAGTGAGCTGAGATCGCGTCACTGCACTCCAGCCTGGGCAACAGAGTAAGACTCAATCTCGAAAAAAAAAAAAAAAAAGCCAGGCCCAGTGGCTCAGGCCTATAGTCCCAGCACTTTGGGAGACCAAGGCAGGCGGATCACTTGAGGTCAGGAGTTCAAGACCAGCCTGGCCAATATGGTGAAACCCTATCTCTACTAAAAATAAAAAATTAGCCAGGCGTGGTGGCAGGTGCCTGTGATCCCAACTACTCGGGAGGCTGAGGCACGAGAATAGCTTGAACCCAGGAGGTAGAGGTTGCAGTGAGCTGAGATCGTGCCACTGCACTCCAGCCTGGGTGACAGAGCTAGACTCCATCTCAATAAAAATAAAAATATTTCACTTGAACATATGTATTGAATATTTTAAAACATGTCAGAAGTGTCCTGTTAAGCTCCAGCATTGGTCCCATAACTTCTTGAGGGGATCTCTGAATTCATAGCAGTTCCCCTTGCCATTGGCAGTGAATGACATTTCTGTTCAGCACTCAGGATTTATTCTTCCATTAGTTTGGAATGGAAGTTTTGACCAAAAGAGAGCAGAAAATACCTGTTCTCTTTTGTATAGTAGAAAGGAGATCATTTTAAATGCATTCTTATAAAATGAAGAAATTGCTTTTTTCTTTAATGTTCTTCAAATATATTTATATTATTTAGTTTGGATCAACTTCTAGTCTCAGCGGGGGACCAGCAAAGATTACAGTCTGTTTTATCGTCAGTGGGATCGAAATCTACCATCCTAACTCTCATTCAGGAAGCGAAAGCACAATCAGAGGTGAGTGAAACACAGAAAGCTCAGGAACATGAATTGCGGCCGCGTGAGTGCCCAGGTATGTGCTGCCTGCCCAGACAGCCGAGGAGAGCCCGCCCCGAGTCCTGGAGAGGGAGGACTGCCTTGGGTTGCGAGTTTCACAGCTCAGTCTGACTTTGGCCTCACGTGCTGCTAGCCAGCTTCAGAAGCTAGACCTTGTCTTGAATGTTCAGGTGCCAGATGGGTGTCACTGCTGTTTTCATCCCCCAAGTAGCAACTAGTTACCATTCTCCTAACTCCTATGTGTGGAGTTTGTTTGCAGAGAGTCCTCAAAGCAGAGCTAGTCATCTCGGAAATACCTCTCGCCACCTAACTGTGGACATAAACTAGTCAAGGGAGCCACCTGCTGGTGAGAGAAGAGTTACATTGGTGTAGTCCCGCCGTTGCCCTGAAATATGGTGGACCCCTGAACAACATGAGGGTTGGGGCACTGACCTTCGAGCAGTGGAAAATCCACATATAACTTTTAACTCTCCCAAAAACTTAACTACTAACAACCTACTGTTGACCGGAAACCTTACTGATAACATAAACAGTCAATTAACACAAGTTTTGTCAGTTATATGTATTATATACTGTCTTCTTACAACAACGTAAGTTAGAGATAATAGAACGTTATTAAGAAAATCCTAAGAGGCCAGGTGCAGTGGCTTACACCTGTAATCTCAGAACTTTGGGAGGCCAAGGCGGGCAGATCACTTGAGGTCAGGAGTTCAAGACCAGCCTGGCCAATATGGTGAAACCCTGTCTCTACTAAAAATACAAAAATTAGCTGGACATGGTGGTGGGTGCCTGTAGTCTCAGCGACTCAGGAGGCTAAGGCGAGAGGATTGCTTGAACTTAGGAGGCAGAGGTTGACATGAGCTAAGATTGCACCACTGCATTCCAGCCTGGGTGACAGAGCAAGACTTCATCTCAATTAAAAAAAAAAAGTCATAAGAGAAAGTGTATTTACTATTCATTAAGTGGAAGTGGTTCATCATAAAGGGCTTCATCCTTGTCATCTTCACACTGAGTAGCCTGAGAAGGAGGGAGGGGTTGGTCTTGCTGCCTCAAGGATAAAGAGGCTGAAGAAACCCTGAGTGTGAGTGGACCTGTACAGTTTGAGCCTGTGTTGTTCAAATGTCACCTGTAGAAGAGCATCTGAACCCTGGAGTACAAGGAATTACAAATAAAATCTTTCAGTAAATCAGTTGTGACAATAAACATTGACAGAAGAAACCACAGGTTCACATCTAGGATACTAATCTGAAGATCAATTTCTTGGGGCTATACGTAGAGATTTGAACCCTAATGAATGAATATTTTCTATTTAGAGAAATAAATATGAATGTTTCTTTAGTGGTAGTATACCTGGGTCACTGAAGTCATCTAAGAATGCTGTTCCAGAAATTCAAATATAGAGGGGCTGTGTGGTTTCTCAGCCAACAGCCAGCCTTGGCACCTAGTAAGGAGTTGGCCAGGAGGCGAGGAGAGAGGTTGGAATAAAGGAGACCAGTCCCTTCAGGTTCCACTCCCTTCTGATTCTCAGCCGCTGATTTGGGTCTGTGCAGTTAAGACATGCCTTGACAGGAGGATCATCTGAGGCCAGGAGTTCGAGACCAGCCTCATCAACATAGTGAGACCCCTCATCTCTCAAAAAAAAAAAAAAAAGATTAAATTTAAAAAATTAGCCAGGCGTGGTGGTATATGCCTGTAGTCCTACCTACATGGGAATCTGAAGCAGGAGAATCACTTGGGTCCAGTAGTTTGAGGCTCAGTGAGCTATGATCGTGCCAGCGCACTCCAGCCTGGGTGACAGAGCAAGACCCTGTCTCTGAAAGAAAAACAAAATGTCTTGAGATGCTAAGCACTTCCGCTTTCAGTAAAAGGGAATAGCCCCTCATCTCTCTTCCTCCTCCCACTTGTTATTACAATAAGGAAGGATTTCATGTGTGAAAGTCTCATTCTGAGACCACCAGTCAAGGGGGCACAGGTGGGGTCACACGTTGCCAGGCCCCCTTTACCCCAGACATTTTAGTGTTAGATGAAATGTCAGAGGAGAAGACCAGACTGTCCAGCCAACCACAAGCAAGATGTACATCTTCAGGAACCTCAAACAAAGTATGGCCAGCATGCCACAGTGCTGCCCGAGGGTGGCTTATTCTAGGGCCTTCCTCACCCCCTACTACTCACGCTCACCACGAGGCAGGGTTGTGGTTTGGTTTGAAGATCATTCCTACATATCAGAACACGGCGTTCTTTTCCCTTTATTTTCTCACTGTCTTCAGAGAGGAGCGTTGAGCAGGGCTATCCTTACTCTGCCATCCTCAGTCTAGAAGCTTCCTGCCTTGCTTTTTCCAATGAGTATGGTTTGCAGGTACTAAAAATAGAACTGCACAAAACTATTTTCTGTGTCCTTGGCAGTGCTGTGAGAGATTCGAGGCTTCGAGGCTGAAAACAAACCCTGGCCTCCTGACTTCAACACACCCAAACCTTGGAGAGCTCTTGATGGTTGATCTGGCCGCCCTGAGACTGTGCTGAGGCTCTCAGAGGCAAAATTTGGCGCAATAGTCAGCTTCTAGCATATCTGTGTCCTTAAACACCACTGGAAAAAAATGTGAATACATTGAAATTTTTGTGATTTAACTTGTCCTGGAATGCAGGAGGGCCTCATTTTCTTTTTTTTTTTCCTTCTCCTTTTTTTTTTTCTTTTCTTGAGATGGAGTCTCGCTCTGTTGCCCAGGCTGGAGTGCAGTGGCGTGATCTCGGCTCACTGCAAGCTCCACCTCCTGGGTTCACGCCATTCTCCTGCCTCAGCCTCCCGAGTAGCTGGGACTACTGGTGCCCGCCACCATGCCCGGCTTTTTTTTTTTTTTTTTTTTAGTAGAGACGGGGTTTCACCGTGTTAGCCAGGATGGGCTCCATCTCCTGACCATGTGAACCACCTGCCTCCGCCTCCCAAAGTGCTGGGATTACAGGCGTGAGCCACCGCACCCGGCGTAGGAGGCCTCATTTTCAAATATTGTCTCTTTGCTCCCATAAGACATTGAAATATCTGAGAAGTGTTCCTATTTTCAGCACCACATTACCTCCTAGAAGCTGGACAAAGACCATTTACTGGGTCCCGTATTCCCATTTTTGTTTGGAAAGCTTAGTCAACCTCTTTCTCCCCATCAATCCGTGTGTGAGCATACATATGGTTGAAGGTGCCCATGAAGTCAACCTCCCAACTCCCCCAAAAGTTCTGCGGGACAGTCTAGGTTTTGGTTTGAGTGAACTTTGGGGGTTTTTTGAGACAGAGCCTCACTCCATCACCCAGGCTGGAGTGCAACTGGCATGATCTCCACTCACTGCAACCTCTGCCCGCTGGGTTCAAGCGATTCTCCTGCCTCAGCCTCCCAAGTAGCTGGAATTACAGGTGTCCGCCACCACGCCCGGCTAATTTTTGTATTTTTCAGTAGAGACGGGGTTTCGCCATGTTGACTAGGCTGGTCTCGAACTCCTGACCTCAGGTGATCCGCCCGCCTTGGCCTCCCAAAGCACTGGGATTACAGGCGTGAGCCACTGCGCCTAGCCATGCTATTTTTTTGGCATCAGTTAATTAATTGTACCTGAAATCCAATGATGGGGAGGGAGATGTAGAAAACATGGCCTTGATATGCTCTTATCCTGCCTCTTGCCACTGACGCTTATCTTTCTGCTGTTGCTAGGACTGGCTTTGCTAAATTGTAGACTTAAAGAATTACAGAATAAAGGATTCCCATCATGATCAAATTATGTACTATGATTTTTTTTTTTTTTTTTTTTTTTTGAGACAAGGTCTCACTCTGTCAACCAGGCTGAAGTGCAGTGGCGTGATCATGGCTCACTGCAGCCGTGACCTTCCGGGCTTAGGTAATCCTCCCACCTCAGCCTCTTGAGTAGCTGGGACTACAAGTGTGCAACACCACACCTGGCTGATTTTTGTAGAGACAGGGTTTTGCCACATTGCCCAGGCTGGACTCGAACTCTTGGGCTCAAGAGATCCGCCCCCTTGGCTTCCCAGAGTGTTGGGATTACAGGCGTGAGCCACCATGCCTGGCTGAGAGCCAAAGAACCTTTAGGGCCTGTGGTGAAAAGCCCCTCCAAGAGGACTGACATCAGAGCTTCCTTACTCCTGGCCCAAGGGGATATGTTTTTCTTTCTTAATTTTTTGCAGCTGTAGCTCAAAGGATAATTTTTGTTTGTTTTCACTAGAATGAAGAAGATGTTTGCTTCATAGTCTTGAATAGAAAAGAAGGCTCAGGTCTGGGATTCAGTGTGGCAGGAGGGACAGATGTGGAGCCAAAATCAATCACGGTAAGTGACAGAGTCATTAGGCTCTCAGGAAAATCCCCCCTCAAGCAGCCTCAGAATGTGATCAGGGCACAAATTCCAATCAGCGGGTTCAGAGATTGCTGGATTTCATTCCCAGCTACCAACATAAAAAGGGAGAAGTGGGAGAAGTAGTACGTAAGGTTTTCGTTGACAAAAGACAAGCATTTTTAACACAGAGCTGACATGTATAGGCCATTTCCAATCCCTATAAACACAATTCGCTATAGCCTTATAATTTACCTCCATATTTTAAGCAGTAGAAAACATTAGAATCAACTGGCCAAACTTGTGTTTATACAATTACTCCCGTCTCAAAAAGTCACTCAAAATTTTACATCATTCAAAAGCCTTCAGGACCATCCAGAGGGTCACCTTCACTGCACGAGCCCAGGCCTCATTCATCTTCGTATTCCCATTGCCTCCTGGATGCCAGGCCCATGTCAGACACTAAAAAGGAGTTAAAAAAAAATGTGTGGAGACACTGGCATTGACATTTGTGTTCCATCCCCCGCACTGAATGTATGTTTTTTTTTATAAAGCAAGTGTCTACCTTAGAAAGTTCCTTTACTACAAGACCCGGCACGGTGGCTCACGCCTGTAATCCCAGCACTTTGGGAGGTCGAGGCGGGTGGATCACCTGAGGTCAGGAGTTTGAGACCAGCATGGCCAACATGGTGAAACCCTGTCCGTCTCTCCTAACAATACAAAAATTAACTTGGCATAGTGGTGTGTGCCTATAATCCCAGCTACTCAGGAGGCTGAGGCAGGAGAATCGCTTGAACCCGGGAGGCTGAGATTGCACCACTGTACTCCAGCCTGGGTGACACAGCGAGACTCCCTCTCAAAAAATAAAAATAAAAAAGGAAGGTTCCTTTACTACAGATACGCAGTTAGTTACTATCTCCCTTTTACCGGAAATCGTAAGTGGATCTGGTTTTTGTTCCCTTTTCCTTTCCTCATCCCAGGTCCACAGGGTGTTTTCTCAGGGGGCGGCTTCTCAGGAAGGGACTATGAACCGAGGGGATTTCCTTCTGTCAGTCAACGGCGCCTCACTGGCTGGCTTAGCCCACGGGAATGTCCTGAAGGTTCTGCACCAGGCACAGCTGCACAAAGATGCCCTCGTGGTCATCAAGAAAGGGATGGATCAGCCCAGGCCCTCTGCCCGGCAGGAGCCTCCCACAGCCAATGGGAAGGGTTTGCTGTCCAGAAAGACCATCCCCCTGGAGCCTGGCATTGGTAAGATGATCATTTCAACAACCAGCAGGCTGTGAGCTACTGCAGAAAGAGGAGATTCTGGTTGAACATGAAGGAAAATAACAGCTAACTAACTTCTAGATCTGAAAAATTAAATGTAGCGAAGTCTAGTGTGTTTGGATGCTGCTTACAAAAGCAGTGTTACAAATAAATTAGAAAAAAATTAGAAAATTAGAAAAATCCCCCCAGTAGTTCAAGCTGTACTGTGGAAGATTTAAAATGACTGCAGAACAGTTTCCCTAAGTGTCCTAAGAAGGAATCTCTTACATTCACAGCCTCTTGTTAGGACTGGTAAGGAAAACAGGAAACTACGTGACGGGGCGAGCAGTGTTGAAGGAGAAATTCCAGAACTAAGATTTATCCTTGGGAAACAGCAAGGTTGTATTCTTTCCTGGTTTAGAAGAAAAGAAGGAAATGAGGGGGCAAGAGTATTTTGTGTCTGAAAACAGAAATTGCAGCCTTAGTCAACCAAGAAGAACTCACTGGAAGAGGTTTAGAAACAGATTTTCTACGTTCCGTCCATATTCAGAGCCTCAGAACCACGTGCAGCGTCTGTTTCTGCAGTGCGAGCTGTTTAATGCCCTGTTAAGTACTGCAGATGTCTGGAGTGCCGTGCATCTTGGCATTCAGGGGTGACGTCTTTTTTTATTCGAGAGGGCAAAGCAGAGGGTATGGGTTAGGCAGTGCCTTCTGGGAGGGGCCTTTTGTTCCTTCTCCACATCTCTCCCTGATAAGGGTAGCTGGATTCCTTTCTACAACTTGGCTTCCTTGTGGCCTGAGCTGTTTGTAGTCCTTGCTGAAAATGGCTCCGATTCCATTTAACAAATGAGAAACACTTCTTGTCCAGATGCCTCCATGGTCCCCAGTCTTCCTTCTGTGTCATTTCACTTTCCCTCTTCCAGAGGGCTGAGGCCCTCCTCAATACAGGGAAACACCTTGGTCATCAGATCTTGTCATGCTTGCCTTTGCCCCAAAACTGTCTCGACCACTTGGTGGACTTTCAGTGGGATCCTTGTAAACTGTCAAAGGAAACCACTTCATCCTCACAGCTGCCAGTTTTTAAGCCTCGTGAACTCAGATCTGGATGGTCCTTCTGTCATTTATAATCAATCACTCAGTATTCCTGCAGCAACTTCAGGGCCTCTGGTCTTGAAGCAGACCCTGCAGAGCAATCAATCAAACGCTGAGCGCCTGGAGGGCTTAACCTCGCTCAGTTTCCTGTTCTTCAGTCTCCCTAACCCAGGTCTACCCGGTCCTATGCAGTTATATTCCTTACCATACACTGACAGCGTCCAGCTGGGGGCCCGGTGCAGTAAGCTGCACAGTAGAGATGCTGGGACGCTTTTAAATTCCTGATGCCCAGGAAATTCCCAGCTTAATTAAATCAGAAATGCCGCAGTGGGGGCCAGACACCGTTTCACGTTCCCAGGTGACTCCAGTATGCAGCCAGACTCGAGCCACTGCAATAGACCCATTTTCCTGTTGAAAAATCATGCTCCCCCCAGTGTTAGTAAATGTCCTTCAGACCCTGTGGAGTGGCCTTCTTTAAACCACGACAATGGACTGGCCTTTATGTCCAAAGGAGACAATGCTAGCTTGGCTTCAGCCCTAGTGAACAGTGAACAGAGGAAGCAGGCAGTTTAATCCATCCGTGGTCCTTCCTCTGCCTCCCAATTAACTAAGTGTGCCTTTGCAGTCAACTCTGACGTCCTTGGCTGGTAGGCAGGCAAGGGAGGGAAGTACAAGGCAAGTTTACAATCCTGATTCAAACCAGCCCACTATCCCGAAACCAGCACACAGAGCCGGCATCACCATGGAAACACATTTCCTCACAGTGGAGCAAGATGCCAGTAGAGGCAGCGAGTGTGTTTGTGAAGACAGCCATAGCCAGGGGCAGGGTTTCCCTTTGCAGGAGCAGGAGTGGCAGGAGCGGGGAGGCAGGAAGCTCTCTGGGTTCCTGGGGGCTTTGGAGTCCATTCTAACAGTCTCACATGAGACTGGGCATTTTGGTGCTGCCAAGTCTTGGTACCAGAGGATGATCTGCTGCTGCCATTAGCAGCCAGGGTTGGCAGAAAATCAAATTTGGAGTCCCCAAGTGTGACTTCAGTCCTCACTGAGAAGTGCACAGCCGGTGTGGGGGGCTTAACAAGAGCACTTTGCTTTCTGGGGATTTCTGCTTGGGCATAAAAGCATTTGCCAATGCTTGCAGAAAACACAGAACAAAGGATGCAAGTACAGCAGCAACACAGCCAGGAGGGCAGCCCCAGAATTGGGAGGCCAACAGTGCTACTGGGCTCAAGTGCTGTTATAAGTAAGTAAGTGCCCCAGGGTAGATGGGACTTGAGTGTGCCAGAAGTACATGGGGCTGGAGGCGATGCATCCTGGGGGACTTGGACATGTGGCATGATGAACAACCCTGTCATTTTCATCTTGGTGCACGCTGCGGCTGCAGGGAGAAGTGTGGCTGTACACGATGCTCTGTGTGTTGAAGTGCTGAAGACCTCGGCTGGGCTGGGACTGAGTCTGGATGGGGGAAAATCATCGGTGACGGGAGATGGGCCCTTGGTCATTAAAAGAGTGTACAAAGGTAATGTTCTAGACAACTCAGTCAGCCTTCTCTCACCTGTCATTTTTCCATGGATGTCTCAATGAAAAAAATGCCTTCCATTTAGAAATCAAAAAACCTAAACTGTTTTTAATGCTTTGTGACATACAAGGTTTATTCTGTATGGACATGTATTAACTCATGCCATCCACGTGGCAACTCTATTGGGTGGGTGTCATCATTATCCCTATTTTACAAAAGGAGAAACTGAGGCACGTAGGGTCACACAGCTGTAAGTGGCAGAACCAGGCTCCAGCCCAGGCAGTCTGGCCCCAGAGCATCTGTCCCTGACCCCTGTACTGCAGCAGTTCCTTACTCCGGGCCCCTCTCTCTGATGTGAACACACCACACTAAGTAACATCACTAGACTTGCCAGTCAGGAGTACTTAATACTGGCCAAGATCTCATTGACTTAAAATACTACACTTGTAAATGCTAGACTGCAAGAAAGGAATACAGTCCAAGCATAGCCTTTGTGGGAAAAAAAAGATGGGGGATAGATATTATTGAAATGCTTGGTAAATATCCATCTCTTTATCAACTTGCATAATTCATTTTTTGGTCTTGGGCGGTTTTTCAAAATCTTATATTAACTCATAATTGTACTAATAATATTAACAGTATAATTGTATGAACAATATTGATATGTAATTATACTTGCAAATAGATCAGAAACCCATTTAAAGTTACAGTATGTAACAGAGTAAGTAGGTCAGCAAATAACAAGGTCAATTCTTCTTAGCTAAGGATTGTTGTTTCTTTAAATGACCATCTAGTTAATGACCTTGAGATATTTCTACAATTGCATAGTAATCCCAAAACCTCTCTCCACTCTTGACCTATAGTGTTAATAGGAAAAAATACTTTTAAAAATGTATAGTTACACTTAAAAAAAAACCCCTCTATGGATCAAAAGTGGAAATGAAGCCTCTGTGGTAAGCAGCGCTGCATCCTTGGGGCCCAGAGGAAGCGGAGGATGACAGAGAAATGTGCACTGCAGGCTGGGGCCCACCCAGGAGCAGGGGCGCTGCAGACTCAGTGCCCACCCAGGAGCAGGGGCTCAGCACCCCTGTGGGCAGCCAGAGCGAAGCATCTCGTGATGCAGAGGCCTGGGACCTGCTCTTTTGCCAGTAAACTGTGGTCACAACAGGTCTGCGTTACTCGAGTGGCAGCCAGGATAGGCTGCCTGCTCCCAACGCCCGGAGCAAGCAGAAGACAGGCATAAATCAGGAGTCAGGTCTCTGTTATGTGTGAACCTATGGTACCAGGGTGAAGAGAAAACCTCAGACTCATCAAGTTAACTGTTCAAGTTGACAGAGCAGCAGAAGGAGGAGAACTAGGCTCAGGCAAGCATGTGGCAACTCGACTATAAGAGCCCTCACAACAGAAAGCTCTCAGACGAAGGGTACAGGGCAACATCCATTGCCAGCAGACCCGAAAAACAGGACACCCCATTCATGACAGAGGCAGGAATGTTACCCATGAAACAGGACCGAAGAGGGTATTCAGAAGGAGCAAGCAAATATGTAAAAAAAACAAAATGCAAGCTGGGTGTGGTAGCGCATGCCTGTAGTCTCAGCTCCTTGCACTGCTTGAGCCCCAGGAGTTCAATACCAGCCTCAACAGCAGAGCAAGACCCTGCTTCTTTAAAAGTAAAAACTAAATGCACATACACCCTCATTAGTGAAAATGGAGTTAAATGTATTTTTAAATTAATGAGTAAAAGTAAAAAATAGACTAAATCCATGTGAAGATAGATAGAATTTGTAAAAACAGAACAGAAGAAACCATTAAAAAATGCAGTATAGGGAAATAAAGAGATGACTACAAAAAGGTAATGAAAGAGTTCCAGAAGGAAAAAACAGAATGAGAGGAAATATTTGCAGAAATCATGACTAAGAATTTTCCAGAAGTGAAAAAATGACAGGACTATGCAGACTGAAAAACTCATCAAGGGGCAAAACAATCTGAATGTATTTATTTAAAACAAACAAACAAACAAAAAACAAGCCTTGTTAGGCAGAGTGGTGCACACCTGTGATCCCAGCTACTTAGGAGGCTGAGGCAGAAGGATCGCTTCAGCCCTGGACTTGGAGGCTGCAGTGAGCAGGACTGCACCATTGCACTCCAGCCTGGATGACAGAGTAGGACCCTGTCTCCAAAAAAAATAAAATTCAAACCTTGATATAATAAAGTTTCAGAATATAAAGAAGAAAATCTAGAAAGCCAAGAGAAAATTCTAGTTTGCTCACTGCATACAACAATCAGAGTGGCGGCATCAATGCCTGAAGCCAGCAACACCTTCAGAGGACTGAGGGAAAATGTCCATCACCTGAAAACCCAGCACCCAGCTAACCTGTCATTCAATAGGGTAGCTAAAATGGAGGTATTTTAAGACACTCCTGAGGGGAGCGGGAGTGGCCGCCTTCGTGGTTGGTCACAGGACACGTAGCCTCTGCAGTCCAAAGGGACACAACCCAAAAAAGCGTGTGAGCCTGCGAACCGAAGGACCAGGGCAGACGCTGACTAAAGCAGCACATCGGCTGGGGAAGCCAGGCTTCGGGACCCCACACTAGAAGAAGCCACAGGAGAGATGACATCCTTCAGATCTGCCTCCAGCAAAGCAAGAATATGACGTCCTGGACAACTTCTCAGCCTTTGTCTCTAGCATCTGGCCACAAATCTGTGAAAACTGCTATGGAAATGGATAGAGAAGAAGAAAATTGTCAGTCCCACAGACTAGCGCTTTAGATGCTCTCGTGTGCAAGCCTGTGGTTTTGTTCTTGGGGAAAGCCATTCAAGTATTTCTGAGTATGATACGGCAGATCCCACCTTTGGAAACTAGTGAGACTAAAGATGTCATTATCTGGCCGGGCATGGTGGCTCATGCTTGTAATCCCGGCACTTTGGGAGGCTAAGGCAGGCGAATCACTTGAGGTCAGGATTCACCTTATCTCGTATTTCATATTTACAAATTTCATGAGTACAGGTTTTCTGTTCATTTTGTTTTCCTGTGTCTTTAAGCTCAAGCATTAGAAAACAATATAGCAAGACTGATTTCTTTGAGTAAGGTTATTACAGAACAAGCATTTGAATAATAAAGAATTTTTTTTTTTTTAACAGGGTCTAGCTCTGTCACCCAGGCTGGAGTGCAGTGTCACAATCTCTGCTCACTGCAATCTCTGCCTCCCAGGTTCAAGTGAATCTGGTGTCTCAGCCTCCTAAGCAGCCCAAGGTGGGTGGACCACCTGAGGTCAGGAGTTAGAGACCAGCCTGGCCAACATGGTGAAACCCCGTCTCTACTAAAAATATGTTAGCTGGGCATTGTGGTGCATGCCTGTAATCCCAGCTACTCAGGAGGCTGAGGCAGGAGAGTCACTTGAACCCAGGAGGCGGAGGTTGCAGTGAGCCAGGACCACACCACTGCACTCCAGCCTGGGGTCAGAGAAGGCTCCATCTAAAAAAAAAAAAAAAAAAAAAAAAAAAAAACATATAAAATGTTCATTATATGGCAAAATTTATAAGCAAATTCAAAAGTAAGTGATTAGAAGATATTTACAATATATTTAATAAACAAAGGGTTGATATCCAGAATAGGCAGGGTACCGTGGCTCACACCTGTAATCCCAGCACTTTGGAGACCAAGGTGGGCAGATCACTTGAGCCCAGGAGTTCAAGACCGGTCTGGGCCACATGACGAGACTCCACCTCTACAAAAAATACAGAAATTACTCGGGTGTGGCGGCACGCACCTATAGTCCCAGCTACTCAGGAGCTGAGGTGGGAGAATCATTTGAGCCCAGGAGGTCGAGGCTGTGGTGAGCCATGGTTGTGCCACAGCACTCCAGCCTGGGTGACAGAGGGAGACCTTGTCTCAAAAAAAAACAATCAATCAATCAATCAATCAATCCAGAATATATGAAGAACTATATAATTCAGTAAGAAAAATACAAGAGAGAAAGTTTGGGTAAAGAAAGCAATAGCAAATGGACAGAAGTTAAAACCTAGGTGGCCAAGAAACACAGGAAGATGCTCAAACTTAAATGTATTGGATGAAAATTAGAAATATTATAAATCATTCTTTTAATCTATCAAGTTGGCCAAAAATAAAAAATCTCATACTATGATGTGTTGGCAAGGATGTGGAGAAAGGAAAACACATTTTTTTTCTCGTGCAAGTATCTACTGGTTAATCTTTAAGGAAAATTTTAGCAGTGCTTACGAAAATGGAAGCTATGAAACAATTTAAATTTCTATCTGTAGCAGAATAAAATATATTCATCTAAAGGAAAGCTAAATAGCAGTTGAAAAAATAAATTACACCTCTCTCTATATACTAACTGGGACCGGCTCAAAAACAGTGTTGAATGAAAAAAAGCCAAATGCAGATTGTGCACTGTGTGACACCAATTCATGGTAAGCATAAGGAACCTAAGAATGTGTTCAACAAAAGCTATGCAAGACCTTTTTGGGAAAAAGCATAAAAGCTTTCTAAAGGACAATTTTAAAAAATCTATGAGTAAATGGAGAGAGAGACATATCCTGCTCAAATCTGTTAAGATTCAGTTTGGCCTCATGTAATAGGAAATCCAAAATAGCAGTGGTTTAAACGAGAGAATTTATTTCTCTCTTGTGTAAAAAGTCCAAAAGCTGGCAAACCTCTGCTTTGTACAACACTGAATGTTTCCTAAAGGAGCAGTCCCCAAGCTTTTTGGCACCAGGGACTGGTTTTGTGGAAGACAATTTTTCCATGGTGAGGGTTTGGGTGGGGGATGGTTTCAGGATGATTCAGGTGCATTACATTTATTGTATACTTTATTTCTGTTATTACATTTTAATATATAATGAAATAATTATACAACTCACCATCACGTAGAATCTGTGGGAGCCCTGAGCTTGTTTTCTTGCAACCAGGCATCCCATCTGGGGGTGATGGGAGACAATGACAGATCATCAGGCATTAGATTCTCATAAGGAACATGCAACCTAGATCCCTCGCATATGCAGTTCACAATAGGGTTCACACTCACGTGAGAATCTAATGCTGCTGCTGATCTGACAGGAGGCAGAGCTCAGGTGGTAGTGTGAGTGACGGTGAGAGGCTGTGAACAGAGGAAGCTTTGCTCACTCACCCACTGCTCACCTGCTGTGCAGCCCTCCTGCCACCAGTCTGTGGCCCAAGGGTTGAGGACCCCTGTCCTAGAAGACTTTCCTCTACTTCATCTCATTCAGTCCTTCTAACAACCTAGTAAGATAACAAGACAGATATCATCATCACCATTTTGCAGATGAGAAAACTGGAGTTTGGAGAAATCTGTAACTTGCCTGAAGTCACAGATTTGAGACCAAACCCAGTCTGATTGCTCCTTCAGTGTGCGTCAGGCTGTTCTGGTTGCCTGGAACCTCCCATGTCCTGAAGCCCAGGTGAACACTCACAAAATTCTTTTGTTTCACATAACCTGAAGGCCTTCGGTTAATATGCTAGAATAGGACATTGGGTACTAAGTTAACACAAATATAATTGGTTCTTTGGTCCTTCCAAAAATGTATCTATCTCAAGAAAAGCAAGGACTAGGGACCAAATCATTTTCCTGGGGCCCACTACAGGGCTGATATTGGTGAGGTCTCTCTTCTAATGTAACTAACTGCCTCTATCATTTACCACAGAAAATGTTTTTGTCCTTGTGTGGGCTGGATTTCTTCCAAGCTGTATTTTTATCACATAATATTTATTTCAATAATTTCAATAACGACTTTCAGTAATTTAGGATGAAATCGATACATCTGCTCAGTCTTTTGAGGTCTAATCAAAATTTCTGAGAAAATTTTTTTCACACTTGGGACTTTTTCTTTCAATGCCATTTTTTTTCCATAAGATGCCTCCATAGCTGGTGTACCTTTAGAAGTATATGTGTGAGAACGTAAATGGAGGGTTTACACTTGCATTTTTTTCAAAGCTCATACAAAGCTAGACAAAGCTATAATGTGAACATGCTAAACTCTGTAAGTAAGTAGTCCCCATGGTCACTAATGAGCACATAATCACTGATTCTCAGAACTTGCATATATCAGCCAGAATCTGTTAACAATTAGAAGCTGACAGCCTGGGCAACATGGCAAGACCCCATCTCTACCAAAAATATAAAAAAAAAAGCTGTGCATGGTGGTGTATGCCTGTGGTAGCAGCTACTCTGAAGGCTGAGGTGAGAGGATCGCTTGAGCCCAGTGAGGCGGAGGCTGCAGCGAGCCAAAACTGTACCACTGCACTCCAGCCTGGGTGACAGTGTGAGGCCGTCTCAACAACAACAAAAAAAGTTGAACCTGCTTTTCTGTGTTTACTGGCTGTTTGGAGTTCAGCTGTTGATTTCCTTACCCCAACTTTATTTTGTGTTATTCTTGTTGACTTGTAGCTCTTTAGTCTGGATGTTAACCATTTGTTGATTAAATACATAGAGAGTATCTTCCCCTTGTCAGTTTATTTTTATCTTACAGATTATGTTTGGAGGGGCGGCAGGAGGGCTAGAGTTGCACTGTTTTCTGTAGACCAGTTTACTTTTATGGATATATGCTTTTTGTGTTCTAAGAAATATTTCTCTATTCAATAATATATTATTTAGATATTTTTATCACTTAAAAGTTTTTAGTTTACTTAGGATTTTTGAATACTATGAAACTGCCAAGCTATTAATTATTCTGTGTTTATTCTCGTAGGTGGTGCGGCTGAACAAGCTGGAATAATAGAAGCTGGAGATGAAATTCTTGCTATTAATGGGAAACCTCTGGTTGGGCTCATGCACTTTGATGCCTGGAATATTATGAAGTCTGTCCCAGAAGGACCTGTGCAGTTATTAATTAGAAAGCATAGGAATTCTTCATGAATTTTAACAAGAATCATTTTCTCAGTTCTCTTCTTTCTTTAGCAAATCAGAGTGACTTCTTTAAACCACAGGTTGTTGAAATGGCCAACACTGGTACAGACACGGACTATAAAAATCTCCAAGCTTGTGCTTACACATGAAGCCTGACTTAACTGTATGTGCAACAGCAATGAAATTAACTCCAGAAGCCTTCCACCTGCGTCACCCAGGCCGGGAGGGTTCCTTCGTTCCAGTGCCTGTCCCCTACCTTTATGTTATGTTTACTGATGGGGATACAAGATGTGACACACCCTTCTTTATTTGAAACAAACAAACATTTAGCTAGACCTTTGCTTCCTTCTTGCCAGCTCTCCCAACATACCCAATCCTGGTGATCAGGGAACTAAAAGTCTGAGGGGGACACAAATGTCACACCTAAGAGGACAATCAATCATTTTGTATGATTTTGTAAGTAAATGACAGAATGCTTTTAGGCACATTCAATGGAAGGAGGAGATGTAGGTCTGTATATGTTACCCTGAAAAGAGAATAAGACTTACTTAAAAAAATGAATTATGACCTGTTAGGCTGAGCTCAGGAATTGTCCAAAAAGGAAAAAGCAAAATAATTAATTGAGAGTATTTTTTAGTGAGTGTAATGTATAATGTACGTATGCAAAGTTCAACTCAATAGGTTATTGATCACCATGAAGTATTGATCATTTTCTATCTCAAAAGTGTAAGCCATAAGGCTGTTTTACAGAATAGCACTTCTGATAAGCTGTATTAAATAGCCATGAGCTTCACTGCTTAGAGGGAGCAGAAAGGTCAACATCTAAAAGCACCTTACAACTAGTTTTTGAACCTGTCTTGATAAGTGCTTGAATTCAAGACTGGTCAGTCCAAGAGCAGACAAAAATATCACAAGTCAGTCAGTCACTGGGTTTCCATTTCTGAATTTTATGCACTCCAACCATGAATTTAAACTAAATTTTTAGAAATCAAGTATCTTTCTAAGTGTCCTTGGATTTATAGACAATGTATGTACAATCCAAATAGAGGAGCTTAATGGAATCCTTTTAGGAGACTGGTTGGTTTTTTTCCCTCTTTCCCAACATGTTTAAGAAATGTAACATTCTAAGTATTGGATCTCTTTTCTTGACCTAGTATAATGACAACTGCAGTGACTTAAGTTTTTGCTGTTTTCGTTTTCCCGCTTTGCAATTTCCTCCTTTTGCCAAAAATGTTTTCCTACAGAAGACTGTCGTGACTCACGCTACTTGGGAAACTCACTCTGGCCACTCCTCCTCTGGTGGCATGAGCTGCTTCCCAGTAGCTATTCCGATTGGATATTCCGTTCGTCGTCACATAGCTGGCTTTTCTCTCCTCATGATGTACCTTATTTTCTTAGGTAAATAATTCCAAACTCTCATCGGGTCATAAAGAGGAGGAGAAACAGGGTGAGTCAAGGTAAAGGAGCAGAAATGTAGTTACAAGCCAGGTCGTCTTCAGTGGCACAAACCAACCCGTTGAGCCCTGACAACATGAGTGGAGAGTGCATTTGCCATACCTGTGTGCATGACACTAAGATTTTATGTTGGAGATACTTCTTTAAATAACCTACAGCTTGGGTCTATGGCTGTGACCCCCAGATTCATGGAGGGGCTTTAGCCATCAGCTTTGTACATCATCATTTTTCTGAATGACCAATCCCACTAAACATCTTTGAAGTCGGCCTAGAGAGGTCCTTCAGATGAGAGAGAAATAGCTGGCTTGTCTGAGTCCAGATTTCTCATCAACTGGCAATACAAAGGAAAATATGGTACAGGAGTTAGTTAGAAAGGTCTTATTGATTTTACTTCTACTTTTCACTACAGTTACAGGTAGAATACTGTAGGAAGTCAGTGCAAGGTGCATGCTTGATTGATAGATATTGATTGATTGTTTTTCAGTCTCTGGGGTCAGTTTTGTGGTTTCTGCTTTCTTGCCTAAATCAAAGACTATTTCAAGTCAACAACACTGAAAACTGCTTTTCGCCTCCACTCTTACAGCTGTGCCTAATAATAATTAATTAATAAACGCACAGCCCTATGTGAACAGACAGGAATTTCTTGTGCAATGTGGAGCAAATGGAATGGTCTCCTTCCGCAAGTCTTTTTAATCCTCATATCTGGAGTACAAGGGTAGACCTCTGGCTTACCACATACACTATGCTAAAGTCATCAGCCACTGCTACTACATCTTGCCAGAAGGTTTCCCTCGCCAACAAACAGTTGAAATTTAAGGGAAGAAGCAAAAGCTAAACTGTCTTTGACCCTAAGATAGATAGAAAGCTATTTATTTGTCTTCAGTGTTCAAGGCATGACTAGTATTTCTAATTAGCCTAATAAATTCCCACACTTTCTGAAGTGAACACTAATGGTATTGTCCTACTAAAACTGTCATTGTTTCTTTTTTTTTAACTGGTCAGTCATTCACAATAAGCTATGAGGGTAAATAAATATGTGTTATAACAAGTAAACCGTAGTTGCAAGAATATACCATGAAGATTAAAGTAGGCTGGGTTTCATTTCCATCTTCCCACACATCTCATTGAATTTGATGGTTGACTTAATTGGCACCATAACTTTGTATGATATTATACATTAACCTTTATTTATGTAAAGTAAAATGCCTTATATATTAAAGAGTAAGTGCAATAATATGAAATAGCCTGTACATTTTAAAAATGTTGTCACCAAGTTATATAAATCCACATCTCTGTAAACAACCTTTTTTAAGTAATTTTAAAAAAAATAAACACTCTGCTTACTACTTGATTTTTTTTTTCTCTTTTGGCTGTTTGTTTGTTAATAATAGAGTAATATTGAGATGAGAAATGTTTATTGTCACCTAAATGCATCAGAGGTACAAAGGCAATAGAACTCAAATTAGCCACCCTTTTCCAGGCCACACTCACAATCTTGACACAATCCAAAACTTTTCCACCTCTAAATCTTTCTTACAATTGAACATCCTACTCTTTTACCACACGCTCCCAGCCTCCTGGTCACTTCCTCCCACGTCTTCACTTTCAAAAAGCCCTTGACAGTTTTCTCCCTATCAGAACTCCACCCTTCCATTCCCTTCTCAGACCAGAACCCTAGCGTAGCACAGCAAACTCTGCCCAGCCCACAGGCTTAGATCCCTTGCCCCACTGTTGTGTCTTACCAGGCGATTCTGGACCCTTCCAAATAGCCAGCATCTTGGTTCCTATAACCGTATTCCTAGAGGAAAATCCCACAACTAGACAGAACGCTGCTGCTGTAAATTCACAGTTTCCAGCCTTAACTGGACCCTCGCTGCCACTCAGCACTTGTTTCCTTGTCAGTTTTTCCTCTCATTTTTCACAATAATGTTCTTTTTCTCAAAAACCCTACCCATTCACCTTCCCCCTCCTACTTGGATGATCTGGGATCCTACCTCACAGAGCTCAATAAAAAGCATCTACTTGGCCAGGCGTGGCGGCCCATGCCTGTAATCCCAGCACTTTTTGGGAGGCTGAGACAGGCGGATCACGAGGTCAGGAGATTGAGACCACCCTGGCTAACACGGTGAAACCCCGTCTCTACTAAAAATACAAAAAAAAAAAAAAAAAAAAAAATTAGCCGGGCGTCATGGCGGGCACCTGTAGTCCCAGCTACTTGGGAGGCTGAGGCAGGAGAATGGCGTGAACCCTGGAGGCGGAGCTTGCAGTGAGCAGAGATCGTGCCACTGCACTCCAGCCTAGGCGACACAGCGAGACTCCATCTCAAAAAAAAAGCATCTACTTTATTTAGGTGCCCTGGTTTTAAGATGGAGATACCAACCTACAGTAACGCAAGGAAAAAGGCAAGATGGCCTCTTGCAGGAATCTCAGAACAGGACCCAGCATGTGACCTGGCCTCAGACGGGAGGAACTCTGCTTCACCTAGCACCCTCCCCACTTCAGGTCTGTTTCTGCTGGTCACAGCATCCTAATCCCCAGTCCTTACCGGTTCTTTACCTAGAAATCTCCTGTGAAAGCCATTTGTCATCATTTTGGCCCCATTCAATACCACAGAGTTTCTCTGGACGTAACAAGCTGTTGCCTGCCTGATTTTCTATATACTTCCCAAAATTGAAATTCTGATTGGTTCCCTGCCCCTACTTGGGTAGAGCTTTTTCCTAGGAGACAGAGTGCTTGTTTGCATAATTCCCCTCCTCGAAACCCAATGAAATGAACAAATACAGAGGGAAACTCTGGTAGTTTTAAAATGGAAATAGCCACAAACCCATTATATGAAATGGAAAACTACATACCATGTGTAAGATGTAAAACCAGGCTGGGCACGGTGGCTCACTCCTGTAATCCCAGTAGTTTGGGAGGCCAAGGCAGGAGGATCACTTGAGGTCAGGGGTGGCAGGCCAGATTTGAGGGGAGCCCCCACCAAACAGGAACCTGCAGTTAACTGATTCAGTAAGAGATTAGCTGCCCCAGCTCGCCCTCACCCCATAAATGCCATGGCCACCATCACTCCACACAGCCTCCTGATCCCTTCAAAACAGCTGGGTATCTCAAAGATTAAAATCAGCTAGTCCCCAACTTCCTTCTCTTGTCCTAAGAGACGATTTGAACAATGCTTAAACACAGAGAGCTATAAAGGATCCACCACTGATCAATCTTGGGCAAATGGCAGGCTTAGTAGAATTCACTTATCCCCACTGAACAATCAAATTCAGCAAGGGTCCTACTTACGAATTCAGAACAGGTGAAGAGAAGGGAGGAGAATACAAGGAGTGAAATACAATTATGCAAAAGGCAGATAAAAATATAATTTGGAGGCCGGACGCGGTGGCTCACGCCTGTAATCCCAGCACTTTGGGAGGCCGAGGCGGGTGGATCACGAGGTCAAGAGATCGAGACCATCCTGGCCAACATGGTGAAACCCGTCTCTACTAAAAATACAAAAATTAGCTGGGCATGGTGGCACGTGCCTGTAGTCCCAGCTACTCAGGAGGCTGAGGCAGGAAAATCACTTGAACCTGGGAGGCGGAGCTTGCAGTGAGCTGAGATCACGCCACTGCACTCCAGACTGGTGACAGAGCAAGACTCTGTCTCAAAAAAAAAAAAAAAAGAAGTAAATATATAATTTGGAAGATGACTCGGGAAAATTCTAAATATAAACTGTTTTGTACTCTCAATGTACTTAAGTAAACGTGGCTTCTAAGCAGCACAAGTTCAAAAGAGCAGTAAGAAAACTTAATGAGATTAATACAGATCTGGTAGAAGTAAAACTAAAACAATCACCTTACCAAACCAAAGCCACATTAGAAGCAACAAGTCAAATAAAATTGTAGACATCTAAGTGACATTGAAGATGAACTTGAAAAATCCTGATTAAATGTTAGCCAATAGAATTCTGCAGTACATTAAAGAAAATATGCACAATTGATGTTAATTCCAGGAATATGTGAACACTTTGAAATTAAGAATCTATAGATGTAGTATGTTACATTAACAGGACAAAAGAGAAAAAGAATCTTCATGAAAGATGTCCAGAGGCCAGGTGCAGTGGCTCACACCTGTAACCCCAGCACTTTGAGAGGCCGAGGCGGGTGGATCACCTGAGGTCAGGAGTTTGAGACCAGCCTGGCCAACATGGTGAAACCCCCATCTCTACTAAAAATACAAAAATCAGCAGGGCGTGGTGGCATGCGCCTGTAATCCCAGCTAATCGGGAGGCTGAGGCAGGAGAATCGCTTGAACCCGAGAAGTGGAGGTTGCAGTGAGCCGAAATCGTGCCACTGCATTCCAGCCTGGGTGATGAGCGAAGCTCTGTCTGAATGAATGGATGATGTCAACAGACACTAAAGCCTACATCATGCTCTAATGGAGGAACTCCAGAAACATTCCCATTCGTCAGGAATACACATGCACAGGATGCTCAAAAGTATGATTGTTGAAAAGCAATGTTCTGGAGGTATAAGCCAATATAACTAGGTAACATTTTATTTTATTTTTTGTAGAGACAGGGCCTCTCTATGTTGCTGGTCTTGAACTCCTCTCAGGTGATCTTCCCACCTCAGCCTCCCAAAGTGCTGGGATTACAGGTGTGAGCCACTGTACCAGGCCCAATTATGTAAAATTCTTAAAAACAGCTATAAATAACAAAAGCAAAAGTATTATGATTTGCACATGACAAAACTTGGGTACATATAAACACAAAAGTTCCAATTGAAAAACTATTAAAATAGTAAAATTCAGTATGGTGGCCACAAAAATTAACATTCACCAAAACAACAGCTTTTTTCTTTTTTTCTTTTGAGACGGAGTCTCGCTCTGTCGCCCAGGCTGGAGTGCAGTGGCGCCATCTCGGCTCACTGCAAGCTCTGCCTCCCAGGTTCACACCATTCTCCTGCCTCAGCCTCCTGAGTAGCTGGGACTACAAGTGCCTGCCACCACGCCCTACTAATTTTTTGTATTTTTAGTAGAGACAGGGTTTCACCATGTTAGCCAGGATGGTCTCAATCTCCCGACCTCGTGATACAACTGCCTTGGCCTCCCAGAGTGCTGGGATTACAGGAGTGAGCCAACGTGCCCGGCCAGCTTTTTTTTTTTTTTTTTGAGATGGACTCTCACTCTTGTTGCCCAGGCTGGAGTTCAGTGGCGCGATCTCAGCTCACTGCAACCTCCACCTTATGGGTTCATGCCATTCTCCTGCCTCGGCCTCCCAAGTAGCTGGGACTACAGGCACATGCCACCACACCCAGATAATTTTTGTATTTTTAGTAGAGACGGGGTTTCACCATGTTGGCCAGGATGGTCTCGATCTCCTGACCTTGTGATCCGCCCACCTCGGCCTTCCAAAGTGCTGGGATTACAGGCGTGAGCCACCACCAGCTCTTCTATAAATAATAACCAGTTAGAATATACCATGGGAGAAATACTCTATTATGAATGCCAGCAACTGAAAATATAAATTTATTCTTAGCAAGAACTGGCCAAGACCTAAAAATATTATAAAACTCTATTAAGGGATGTAAGAGATAACTAAAAAAAGGGGGGTAAATATATGTATAGCTTCTTGGACAGGATGACTCAATACTATAAAGATCTCAATTCTCCCCAAGCTAATTTATAAGTCCAATCATAATCTCAAATTCTTTAACCTGACAAAATTATCCTAAAGTTCATCTGGTAGGATAAACACACAAAAATAGCCACAAGAAATTTGAAAAGACAGAGTAAGAGGGGAACTAGTATTAAAATATTATCAGAAAGCTGTAATAATTAAAATGTTGGCTCCTCTACTATAGAACTAGACAGACAAACCACTAGAACACAGACCCAAATATATAGTAATTCCAAATTCAAAAAAAAGGGGCATTTTAAATCAGCAGCAACAAAGCAAAAACAAAACACCACACACACCGATTATTCAATATATTCAATAACTGGTGTTGAGAAAATTGGCTAGGTATTTTGGAGAGAGGAAAAAGCTAGTCCATTTGCAACAAAATCCCTGACATCAAAATAAAATTCCAGAAGGGTCAAAGATTTAAAAGCAAGAAAGGAAACAAAAACAAAAACAATCCCAAAAAACCTAAATATATTCCTTTAATCATAAAGTGAATAAGCTCTTCTAAGCATGAAGCTAAATTCAGAATCTACAAAGCAATAGACTCACAATTTAACCAGACTATATACAAACTAAAAACTACCGGGGGCTATCCCAGTGGATTCAAGCAAGATGCCAGGAACACTGGCATAGTTTTCTATTCTCCCCATATCCCCACTAACACACCCGGGAAACACACAACACACACACACACACACACACACACACAGTTAATATAGAAAAACACAGTAAACATCCACAATAAAACTAGATACAAAGGTATCCCCACAAACTCCAAAATATACAAGTGTGTGGGGGAAATGCCACCACCACCACCAAGACCAATTTGAAATCACCATCTGTACAAGAGAAGTAGAAGGAAGCAACACAGCATGTGATGGCCCCATGACCTCGCAAAATCACCAGGAAAGCTCAGTGGACCAGCAGGACAGCAGCAGCTGGGCGTGGAAGAGTTTTCATCTTCTCCTAGTGGGCAAGTGTGTGAAGTCCATGATGAAGGAGGAAAGGGCTGATGCGGGCTATGAACTCTCAAAACCCCATGCTAAGGAGAAACTATGGGAAATAGAATCCAAACTGAGCAGGACAAGAGCAAGGATAAAAAATAAGATTCAGTTAAAAGTATATGAGGGGAGCAGATACAGGTCTTTTCACTCCACAAAACAGAAGAGGGAGAGGCTAAAGTTAAGCTACTCCAACTCAAGTCTTTCTCTTCTAAAAGAACAGGAAAGGCAATTTCATGTAAGAAGGAGTAACAGCAGATAATCTTGGGTTAGATCCCATACAAAGTAGTTATAAGAAAAAAGAGGCTGAGTGCAATGGCTCACACCTGTAATCCCAGCACTTTGCGAGGCTGAGGCAGGTGGATTGCTTAAGTCCAGGAGTTCAAGACTAGCCTGGGTAACATGGCGAGACCCCTTCTCTACAAGAAATACCAAAAAATTAGCCAGGCTTGGTGGTGCATGCCTATGGTCCCAACTACTCAAGAGGCTGAGGTGGGAGGATCGCTGGAACCTAGGAAGTCAAGCCTGCAGTGGGCCATGATTGTGCCACACTACTACACTGCAGCCTGGGCAACAGAGTGAGACCCCATCTCAAAAAAAAAAAAAAAAAAAAAGTATAAGGAACAAATATAATCCCTACAGACAACAAAAGCACACCAGAAAGCTATGCCCACAAAACCAGTGAGAACTATAACTCAGTACCTAAGAATGAGCTAAAATAAAATATATCAAGAAAATGACCTGGAATATGAATAATATAAACCGAAACCAGAAAGACTCAGAAATCAGGTATTAAAACTCAGGAAAAAAAATCTAAGATAATTTCAGAAAAGATGAGTCATGTGGAAAGATCATTTCCAGTGAATAAACCACAATAATGCCTTCAGAGAAAGAGAAGAGAAAAAGGGGACAAATGTTTAAACATCAGTAAGAAATAGAGGAAAAAACCCCAGCAAAACACAAAGATGGAAAATGAGTCCCTCAAAAGGAAAACCTGAACAAGTGAACAGAAGACTAAATATTTTAATTTTCCTGAAATTGAGAATTAAAAAATGGTCAACACTACATGTTGAAAGATCACACCATGTACTTGGGAATACTGATCCAGAACAACCAAGACAAAAACACACTCTAGTAACATTGGAAAAATACCGGAGAGAAAATATCCCATGAGCATCCAGGCAAAAACAGCAAGGCAATTATGAGAGAAAGAAAATCATTATCATATTATAATCCTAGTATTGTTTGACAGCAATGCTTTATGCTAAGAACATACTTTGGTTACCCAAAGAAAATGTGACTTAAGAATTTTATTGGCCGGGCACAGTGGCTCACACCTGTAATCCCAGCATTTTGGGAGGCCGAGGCAGGCGGATCACAAAGTCAGGCGTTCAAGACCAGCCTGGCCAACATGGTAAAACATGGTCTCTACTAAAAATACAAAAATTACCCGGGCGTGGTGGCGCATGTCTGTAATCCCAGCTACTTAGAGGCTGAGGCGGGGGAATCGCTTGAACCTGGGAGGCAGAGGTTGCAGTGAGCCGAGATCGCGCCACTGCACTCCAGCCTGGGCGACAGAGTGAGACTCCCAACTCAAAAAAAAAGAATTTTATCCAGACATACTGACTTTCAAATAAAAGGCTGCAGATAAACTGCCATCAGCATACAAAAATTCAGGACTATTATTCTCACAAACCCTTTCTGAAGAATCCAACAACAAATGAGCAAGGCAATCAAAATGATGGCCAGGCAGTGACACTGGGAATGGTGATGAGCACTAAATAGGTATTTACCTGAAGAGCTGAGACTAAAGGAAGGGTTAAAAGGAAAAGATTAAAGTATATAATGACTACATGTTCTTACAATGTAGATGTAGCCCAACTACAAAAAGGGTGGTGGCGGAGGTGAACGGAGCAAGCATATAAAAAAGTCTTATTAAAAACTCATTTTTAAGTAATCAAATTGTTGGTATAGTGCTAATACTATTATTTTGAGAATGTCTTATGTGGAAGCAAATGAATAACTATGTGATATTTTATTGTCAGTAATTTCCATCATTCTTGATATAGAAAAGTAGAAGACAGAAAAACCCTATAAATTGTAAATTTGAATCTGAGGGTTGAGTGGGGTGGCTCACACCTAAAATCCCGGCACTTTGGGAAGCTAAGACAGGAGGATCACTTGAGGCCAGGAGTTCAAGAACAGCCTGGGCAATATAGTGAGACTCAATCTCTACAAAAAATTTAAAAATTAGCCACGCATGGTGTCACATGCTTGTAGTCCTAGCTACTTGGGAGGCTGAGGCAGGAGGATCACTTGAGCCCAGGAGTTTGAGACTGCAACGAGCCATGATCAGGCCACTGCACTCTAGCCTGGGCAACAGAGTGAGATCTTGTTCTCAAAAAAATAAATAAATACATTTCCATCTGAATTGTCAATGTAAAATCATAAGGCACTTTATTTTTCATTTTTTATTGTGGCAAAATATACATGGAGTTTACCATCTTAACTTTTTTTTTTTTTAAGATAGTCTTGCTCTGTCACCCAGGCTGGAGTGCAGTGGCGCAATCTCGGCTCACTGCAACCTCTGCCTCCCAGGTTCAAGCAATTCTCTGCCTCAGCCTCCCGAGTAGCTGGGATTACAGGCACCCGCCACCATGCCCAGCTAATTTTTGTATTTTTAGTAGAGACGGGGTTTCACCATCTTGGCCAGGCTGGTCTTGAACTGCTGACTTTGTGATCCACCCGCCTCAACCTCTCAAAGTGCTGGGATTACAGGCATGAGCCACTGCGCACGGCCCATCTTAACCATTTTTTAAGTACACAGTTCAGTGACATTAAGTCTACTGACATTGTGTAATCACCACCATCCATCCCTGCAACTTTTTGTTTGTTTTTTGAGACGGAGTCTTGCCCTGTCACCCAGGCTAGAGCGCAATGGTGCAATGTCAGCTCACTGCAACCTCCACCTCCCGGGTTCTAGCAATTCTCCTGCCTCAGCCTTCCAAGTAGCTGGAATTACAGGCACCCACCACCACACCCGGCTAATTTTTGTATTTTCAGTAGAGATGGGGTTTTACCACGTTGGTCAGGCTGGTCTTGAACTCCTGACCTGAGGTGATCCACTCACCTCGGCCTCCCAAAGTGCTGGGATTACAGGCGTAAGCCACCACACCCAGCCCCATCCCTGCCACTTTAACTTCCCGCACTGAAACTCTGTGAGGTACTTTTCATAAACACATACATACACCACACAAACACACATAAGATTTTCCCCCAGAAGCAATGACCAAGGCAGTAGTAACAAGTATTCTGAAAGCCCAAATTACGGTCTCGAAGTACCATTTCATGCTAAAAGAAACATGGCTTGTTGGAAAAATAGATGATTCCAGATACAGGGTAGGAAATATACAAAATGAACCTGAAACATCTGAGCCATACCAGGAAGTTATCAAAGACTACTAAAACTATCAAAAGGACTCCAGATCCTTGAAGAGAGTTCCACTGGCCAAAGATAGGGCATTTTGAGCATTAATAGGGCTAATAACTGTAGACCAAAACACATAAAAGAATGATTATTCCATTACACTAAGTGAAATAAGGCACAAAAAAGACAAAAAAAAAAAGATCTCGCTTATATGTGTAATCTAAAAAAGCCAATCTCATAGAAAAAGAGTAGAAAAATGGTTACTAGAAACTGACGGGAAGGGGAGAGATAGGGAAACAAACGTTGTTCAAAGGATACAAAGTCTCAGACTAGAGGAATCAAGTTTTAGTGATCTATTGCATTGCATGGTGACAACAGTTAATAATGTATTGTGTTTCAAAATTGCTAAAAAGGACTATTTTTAGTATTCTTACCACAAAAATATAAGTTGGTAAGGTGATGGTTATTTTAATAAGCTTGACTGAATCTCCAATGTGTACAAAGACTAAAACATTACATTATACCCATAAATATACACAATTATTATTTGTCAATTTAAACAGAATGTGTTTCCATAAGTTCATAATACTTTAAAAATTAAAGTTATTTTTGGAGGGTGCCATGGAATCAGCTGTATTTTGAAAATAGGTAAATAAACTGTAAGAATTATTCTACCTTCCCTCTATGAATTATAGTAAAACGTAATGTAGATAACACGTCTCTTTATAGAAATATTCTAGCTAAAAAAAAAAAATAATAATGAGGGCCAGGCGCCGTGGCTCAAGCCTGTAATCCCAGCACTTTGGGAGGCTGAGGCAGGAGGATCACAAGGTCAGGAGTTTGAGACCAGCCTGGCCAATATGGTGAAACCCTGTCTCTACTAAAAACACAAAAATAGAAAAATAACCGGGCATGGTGGCAGGCGCCCGTAATCCCAGCTACTCGGGAGGCTGAGGCATAAGAATTGCTTGAACCCAGGAGGCGGAGGTTGTATTGAGCCAGAGATCACGCCACTGCACTCCAATCTGGGCGACACAGTGAGACTCTGACTCAAAAAAAAAAGAAAAAGAAATAATTGCCGGGTGCGGTGGCTCACGCCTGTAATCCCAGTAATCCCAGCATTTTGGGAGGCCGAGGCGGGCAGATCACAAGGTCAGGAGATCGAGACCATCCTAACATGGTGAAACCCCATCTCTACTAAAAATACCAAAAAATTAGCCGGGCATGGTGGCAGGCACCTGTAGTCCCAGCTACTCGGGAGGCTGAGGCAGGAGAATGGCGTGAATCTGGGAGGCAGGGAGGCAGAGCTTGCAGTGAGCTGAGATCGGGCCACTGCACTCCAGCCTGGGCAACAGAGCGAGATTCCATCTCAAAAAAAAAAAAAAAAAAAGAATTATTAAAATATCACATTGCAACCCCAATAAATAAGAATTGAAAAGCAAGGCTGCTAACATCACAAAAGGAAAATATGAGACATTATGTGCCTCCTGGTGGAAGCATACACCACCACTGATTAGTGTTGCCTACACAAACAAACCTGAATCTAAGCTTCTAGAGCCAATTACCAATTCTTGGGAAATGCAGTGTAGAAGTCAAACACCTTAAATCACACCTTGTGGAAACCATCAACAAAATCCAAACCTTGGAAAACTCTGCAGGACAAATGATCCAATTTCATCAACAAATATTTTGCAAAGGAAAAACAAGAGAGAGATGGGGGAAGAACCTACAGATTCAAAAAAAACTTAAAAGACATATCAAATGAAACAAAACAATACAATTAAAGATTCACACTGGGTCAGGACAGTACTTACTCTTATGAAGACTGTAATTGGGAGAAAGACTTGAACAGCTTCAGGGTATAGCTGGCAAGGTTCTATCTCCTGACCTGGGTAATGGCTGTAAACATGGGTGCCTTAAATTAATTAATGTAAATATTTGAGATTTTCCATTTATATTTTAATCATAAAAACTTTTAATGAAATGCTTATATACATATTCTTAACCTAGACATTTCGACTTTTTCCATTTTTAAATTTGATCATACCCTCCCAAAGTTAATATATATCAAATCTGACCACCAGACATCTCTTTAGAAGAAGGATCTCCACAAATTGCATGCTCAAGCACTGCACCTTACACTTTTCTGAATGTTAAAGAAAGCAAAAGCAAAACTTACCATCTGCCAGCTCCCAAGACTGGGAAAACAACTGCATCATAGGCTTAAGTCCTCGTGAATCAGTACATAAAAAGATCAATGCCCTTCAGAAAAATGAATAAAGAACACGAACAGGTAATTCACAGGAAAAATACAAATTACCAAAAGGCAGTAAATGATAACCCCTCAATAATGAACATAGACTAGGAGTGATGATATCCTCCACAGAGGGGTCCCCAACCCCCAGGCCACGGACCAGTAATGGTGGTCTGTTAAGAACCAAGCCACACAGCAGAAGGTGAGCAGCAGGCAAGCGAGCAATACCACCTGAGCTCCACCTCCTGTCAGATCAGCAGCCACATTAGATTCTCATAGGAACTCGAACCCTATTGTGCACCTAATCTAACTAATGCTTGATGATCTGAGGTGGAACAGTTTCATCCTGAAACCACCCCCCAAACCCCAGGTCCATGGAAAAACTGTCTGCCACAAAACTGGTCCCTGATGCCAAAAAGGTTGGCGACCACTGCTCTGCAGTATTGGCTAGGGTATAGGAAAACCAGCATTCACCTTACTGTCAGAAGTGTAAGTTACCATAAAGCTTAGAAATCAATTTGGCTTTATCTTTTACATTTTCAAGGTATATTATTTGAGCAAATCCATTTCTATTAAATCCTTCTAGAGAAATGAGAAATAAAGACATAAAAAAGTATGCTACAATAGTGTAATAATGTAAAATATGAGAATCATCTAAATGTCCATTAATGGGAGATTTAACTAAGCTATACAACAAAGCCATTCAAAAGAATGATGTGTACTTACCCTGAAATCTCTCCACAACATAAAGTTGTGCAAAAAGTGCAAAAAGTAAAATGCACATCAGTGTATAAGGTAGCCACACTACACCAATTGTTCTATCAGGAGTAAATATCTATATAATTCTGGGCTGAGAAAGTATGACTACCGGCTTAACTAAACCATGTTACCGTCCATACCCCTTTGAAGGATAGCCCGCAAGGTCATGAATATTAATACCACCACTTTACTGATGCTGTTACAGAATATATGACATTTGTGCAGAATTTACAACAGTCAAGCATATCATCCTGGGACCCAATGGGCTGAGATGAATTGGAACTACCTCAGTTTGTCAGTCATCTTAATCTGGACAAAAGTGAAATGGAGCAGTATTATCTCACAATATATAAGTTAATACAAGATAGAGAAGCCACAGAGTTGGAAATTAAACTTCATAAATACCTCACATAAACTTGCAACTGCTGGGTGGGAGTAGCCACACCTGGCAGCCATGGGCCCTTGACAGTATCAGGCTAGGTGTCACTACTTACTGGTCGGTCCCATGTGTCACTGAACCATTCAGGCCCTAGCCCCTTTCTCTTTCTTTTGGGAGATAACCAAATTCAACGGTTTACTACACTTAGAAAGAGTATTGTACCTATCTGTTCACAAACAGTAAGAACGGCTGAGTGGTGGAACGAGTCAGAGATCATTGGTCAACCTTGCTTCAGGAGGCCAGGGACTTTCCTGGTCATTAGACAATTCTGCTTTGAGAACACACAGAACTGGTCAACTTTTTCATCCCCAAAAGATAATTTATGCAAGTTATACCAAGATATTAGAATAGAGATGTTCTTTAATCTTTTTATTTTGCAATGCCATGAGAGTATTTTGCATGCCTATTCTGTCTCTGTCAGGGAAAGGAAGTGCCCAATTAAGAAAGAAACAATTGTAGCTGAATGCCATCACTGTTCCTCAATCGCCTTAGCATTAAAAGCTCGAACAGTTAGTAGATAATGTGACACTGAGCGAATTCTCCTCTGAGATTGTTCTTCACAAAGTGAAGATAGTAACTGGAATTTGGGGAGGTAAAAATGAGATATAAAATAGCATGCGCTTAGTAAGCTTCTGTTAGTACATTGTACCAATCAGGTTATTTTAAGGAACACTCAGCCAATTACAAAACATATGAAGCCACCAAAAAAGAAACAGCAACTACTACTTCTCTACACAATAGATATCTATGTAAAGGCTTTTAATCAAAGTGGCATAAACCCGTGGAAGTACTGCTCTTAACACAGACAATACTTATTTCCATGGAGTCACATCATTCCTGCTTTCAAGAGGACTGAAAGCAACAATATTCCATAGGACAAAGAGTTCTTGATAACACCACTACAACCCCCCCGAGATTTTACTACTCTTCTCCTCCTCTGGAAATAGAAACACACTGAAGCTGGGGCCGCACACAGGTAGAGCTAAGTGTGCACTCTGGTCTAATGCAAACACTGACAGAAGTTCAGGTGAGGTCCTTTTCCCCCTTGCTTGGGAATACTGATGCTGCTGATGAAGTGAATACCTCAGAAATCTATTACCTCACCTCTAACATCTTCTCAAGTGAAAAACAGGAACTTTTCACTCGATAAGAAATTCCAGTATACTGGTATCAGTTTCCCAATATCTACTTTATGGGAAGACACTTTAATAGTTCCTACATGTAGTTACCACCAGCAGTATCATTTTTGAAGGTAAAGAAGGTTACTCCAATGGATAGAAAAATCTGTCTTTTTTCCATGCATTAAAACTGGGGCCTTGACCAGCCCCGTTTTTGCAAATAAAGTTTTATTGGAACACAGTCTAACCTATTTATTTGTATTATCTATAACAGTTTTCATTCAGTAAAGTTCAGTAGTTGCAACTGACACAGCTGGCGGCTCACAAAGCCTAAAATATCTACTATCTGGCCCTTTAAGAAACCCAAGCCCTGCATTAAAATATTACAATGCTACAGTAAGTAACATTTCATTTGAAAGAAAACTAAATGAGAATACAAAAACACAAATGACATGCTTGCTCTGATTCAGGCACTTTCAAGATCATTGTTTATTTATTACTTCAGATAAAAAGATAGTATACATATTAGGGAATCCCTTAAAATTCAACTCTAGAGTTATACACCATCTAGTACTTTTGCAATGAATGTTAACAACAACAAAAAAAATCTCTAAACACCTGAAAGCCCCACTATTAACATGGACTATGGTAATAAAAAATTTTGACATTTAATTTGTTCAACATATAGTATTTACATTATGAAACCAATGGTGATGATACAATAAAGTGATAAAGAAATAGTAAAAATAAACTTTAAAAAGCAAAGGTTTATAGTCTGACAATGCTAATTATCCTAATTGTATATAAAAAATTAAAACATAGAGCTTTCTGTTACAAAATTCTTAATCCTCTGGGTTGTAATCATTACTTGCTACCAATTTACATGCAACATCTGCTAGGACTGACATTTGATTTTTTTCCCCAAGAATGTGTGAGTAGATAAATGACATTTCAGAGCAGATATTAATTTACTTGTGGACAGAAAAAGAAACTCAAGATTGGTACTGGTCACAAGCCTCTTCCCAATAGAAATTATAAAAACAGTAAGATAAAATTTAAAAAAAATCTAACAAGGGGATGCATAGGCAAAGAGTACCATAAATGGCACAGCTCAAAAAATCCCAGGACCAATCAGACACACATCTTTTCTCTCTCCTTCAGCGACAAGAGGTCGATTTTGCCATCAAATAACCATGATTGAAGCAAGCGAGGGGCACCAGGTGTACAACTGATTAGATCTTGCAAAATACTAAGATGGGAGCAGGGGTGGCCAGAAGAAGGGGTAATTTATATATAATTCAAACTATATACAGCATAAATGGAATGCAGCCCATCCCAAACTGGCTCTGTGAAACAATTGGACCTTTATAGTTAAAATTATAACAAGTGTAATAATACAATAGATTTACATGGGAAGCAAAATCCAAGGGACATTTTATATTAAGTATTTACTGTGCTGTTTCAATTTAAAAATAATTTTGCTAAGTATACATCTCAACTGAAGTCTATGTAAAAAATGTCCTAATAGATACAGATATTTACCTTTGGTGAGTTGAAGGCCTTTTTGTGACTTCTGTCTGAACTGTAGGCAGAATGCTAGATGTACATGCACATATGGAGAAACTCAAGCTGAGGTCATCCAAAAGCTGTGCGTATGAGGAGGCTGGAGGTACTTTGAAAGTCAAAGTAGACCAGAAACCCAAAACAGGTAACAGTGAGGATGGCAACAGGGAATGGAATGCCAATATGGCAGTAAAACTTTTTTTAAAAACAGAAAGAGGAAGGCCTCTCGTACCAGCAGAATCCTGTACACGTACAAAAAAGAAAAAGCCACCCACCATTTTGTAAAACAGAAGCCAATTATAGTGTGGGAAAGTACAAATTACAGAAAACCAGAAGTCAACAGAAGAAAAACTACTGGTTTACTTGAGAGAAAGGAGAATGGTTCACCCCGAGCAGAGTTACTTGGTGAACGCCGCCACCACCGCCCACAGAACCTCATTGGTGTTGGCCTTCAGACATTCCACTTCAGGGTCTAAGTCGAGAAGCTGCCGCACTCTCTTGGTAGCCAAATCATACTGCTCGTCCAGAAGAGGAGCAAAAGCATTCTCCAGGACGTCCGAGGCATGAGCCAGGTAAATGAGGGCCAGCAAGCGCCTGTCCATGCGGTGAGGGTCATTCACCCATTTGTCAAGAACGGCTTCCTGTACTTTCTTGATGAGGCGCTGCTTAATGTTGTTATTGGTGAGGGGATGTGTTGTCATGTCAAAAAGTAGGAAGTTCTGTTTCTCTGTTGTCAATACACCCTTTTCCACCAGGTTTTTAGCTAATCGTTCCCGTACATTTCTTAACTGATAATGCAATTTTAATGGATTCCATGTCTCACCTAAACAAAAGATTTCAGAAGTTAGAAATGATGAGTATTATCTGCTAATTTTGCAAAAATTTTGTACTATTAAACAGTAAAATCTGATTTTGCCCCAAGAAAAACAGAAGAAAATCTGCCATGTTTTTCTCCCTAACTAGACCATGAACCCCTTAAGCCTAGCCAGACCTTTGGATTCTAAGCACCCAGCACATCCTCAGCCACAGGAGTCACTCAGACGACTAAACTGCAAGCAGTCTTCAGACCAGAGTCAGTAACCCTTAGTCTTATGTGGAAATGAGCCAAATATTATGTTTGAGCTTCCTTCCAGCTGAAGTCAAAAAGCAGCCAATAGCCAAATAAGTTTTCTATTAAACACCAGTCTGCAACTAATAGACTAAAAAAAAAAGCTTCCTGATTAATATGTTATTCCTGAAACTGCTACACATATACAGCCTATAGAGGTAGGAAAGCCTGTTTAGGCCATGCTATTATTTGATAACAATATAAAGCTAATTCTGGAAGGATACAAATTTTCACAATTTTAACCTTGCCATCCATACATATTTCCTTTTGAGAGAGAAATATTTAAAATAAAACCAAACGATTTTTCACTAAAGTGGGTTCTTCTTTATAGAAAACTGGAAGGAAATACACCAAAATATTAATCTTACTTATCTTTGGGATTATGTGTGCTCAACTTTTTTTGTGCTTTCTGCATTTTCCAAATGATCTCCAATGAACATGCAACTATTTTTATACTTAAAAAAACTATATTTTTCTAAATTAGAATATGTTAAAGATCAACCACAGGCATCTTTTTTAAATGCAAACGTTGTAAGGTCGAGATTTTCTAATACTGAGAGAAAACCTTCAGCCACACTGTCCATTACAGGAGCCATTACCCACATAGAGCTATTTAAATTAATTTAAAAATTCATCTCTTCAGTGGCACTAGCCACATTTCACGTATACAATAGTGACGTATGGCCAGTGGCTACACCCCACAGGAACAGAACATTTTCATCATCAAAGAAAGTTCTAGCGGACTATCTTAAAATTTTAAGTTGCTGTCTTAAAATATATTACCATTCAACTGGACAGAGACACAATTATTTTCCTATACTTAATACTAAACAACATAGGCCTATGATGAAGTAATCATTCCTAAAGCTGCCCTCTCATTGTAATTAGAAATCTCCATAAAATATACGAAAAAACTGTTTTCAGACACTAGTCAAAAGCAGCCCAGAACTGTGACACTTGAGTGCAGCCTATGTGAGCCTGACAACTGCCTAAGCTTACCACCTAGAGGCACGTCCCAGGCAGCAGAGCAGGCAGGAAGAACCCAAGCAGAGCACAGCAGTCCCATCACGTTAAGGCAGCAGAGATCAGAGTTCAGGGTAGCTAAGGCAGCTGCAGTGTGCAAAGCAGACTACTGGAGAAGGGGGACCTACACAGATAAAGAGGTCTAGAAATCTGCAAGGTGTTCCTTGAGTCTTGGGCTGAAAGCTAAAGCTACATGTGTTAGGGTGAGAAATTCCACAAAGCTAGGCAAAGAACACCTACCAGAAAGTGAACAATTCTAAGAGTTCAGTAGAGCTGGGAAAAATGTGATTGCCAACTAGCCAGAGAGCAAAAGCCTCACTAAAAACCAGGACATTCAGAAGGAATACTAGAAAATTCACATCTTAGTAGTAGGGCTAAACCAGTCCTAGAGTATAGACCACCCTAGACATGCCCTAATAAAGATTAAAAGCGGCCAGGCGCGGTGGCTCAAACCTGTAATCCCAGCACTGTGGGTAGCCCAGACGGGTGGATCACCTGAGGTCAGGAGTTCGAGACTAGCCTGGCCAACATGGTGAAACCCCATCTCTTCTACAACTGCAAAAAATTAGCCGGGCATCGTGGCAGTTGCCTGTAATCTCAGCTACTCGGACGGCTGAGGCAGGAGAATCATTTAAACCGGGGGAGGGCAGAGGTTGCAGTGAGCCGAGATCGTGCCATTGCTCTCCAACCTAGGCAACAAGAGTGAAACTCCATCTCACAATTTAAAAACAAAAACAAAAAATTAAAAACAAGTTGATCCACAAGTAACTTAGCTGCCTACCAAGACAAAATTCAACACTCTTTAAAGAAAGACCATAAAATTCATCACTTAACATTCACACTGTCCAGCATCGAAGTTAAAAAAAAAAAAAAATCACTAAACTTGCAAAGCAGCAAAAAAGTGACCTAAAACTAGGGGTAAGGGGGGAGTCAACAGAAACAGTCCCAGCCTGGGCAACATGGTGAAATCCCGTCTCTACAAAAAATACAAAAGTTAGCCGGGGCCAGGCATGGCGGGTTACGCTTGTAATCCCAGCACTTTGGGAAGCCAAGATGGTGAAACCCTGTCTCTACTAAAAATACAAAAATTAGCCAGGCATGGTAGCAGGTGGCTGTAATCCCAGCTACTCGGGAGGCTGAGGCAGGAGAATCGCTTGAACCCGGGAGGCGGAGGTTGCAGTGAGCCGAGATTGCACCACTGCACTCTAGCCTGGGTGACAAGCACAAGACTGTCTCAAAAACAAAAACAAAAAAACCCCCAAAAAACAAAACCAAAAAAACCCTAGTGTCCTAGTGCAAGTCATCTTAATCTATTTCTCCATTTACTCATCTATAAAGTGAAAGTAACAAATTTATCAAGCTCATAGGGCTATTACGAGGATTAAATATCAAGTTCTTAGAACGAAGCCTAACACATGGTAAGCTCTCAGTAAATGTTAGCTATTATTTGCCCATGTGCAGAATAAACATTCTGGCAGAATTTATAGTATTTATAATGTTCTAAGAATCCTGTTAGGTACTGAGAATACAAACATTAGGATATACTTCTAACCCTGTAGGAATTTAAAATCAAGTGAAAATAACATTCATAATATATTACATATTAGAACTAACTATACTGGCCAGAAGAAAATGGGAATAGGGCCATAAGAACAAAATGAACAAAGTGCCTAGAGGAGTAAGAAATGACTCTGGTTTAATGTTATGGGGTATTTCATAGGAAAGTTATAGAAAAAAAGAATCTTCAAGCTAAATCTCGAAATCCAGCAGGATTCACCACATCCTACGAAAGGGAGAGAAGCCTGAATTCCAGGCAAAAGAAACAACAAAGTACATAGGCAGCAGAATAGAATAAGCCCTGGAGTAGAGGCACACATCTTTCAAAAGTGTGTAACTTCCACCCTTTTTTTTTTTTGAGACGGAGTCTCACTCTGTCGCCCAGGCTGGAGTGCGGTGGTGTGATCAGGGCTCACTGCAAGCTCCGCCTCCTGGGTTCACGTCATTCTCCTGCCTCACCCTCCCAAGTAGCTGGGACTACAGGCACCTGCCACCATGCCCAGCTAATTTTTTGTATTTTTAGTAGAGATGGGGTTTCACCGTGTTAGCCAGGATGGTCTCGATCTCCTGACATCGTGATCCACCCACCTGGGCCTCCCAAAATGCTGGGATTACAGGCATGAGCCACCGCACCCAGCCACTTCCATTTTTTTATAATTGTGTAAACCCAATGTCCCACCAATAAATAACTGCTGCATCTTTCACTAGTATGAGTTTTGCTTTTTCTAATGTCAATGGCAGGTGTTAGGCAGCCTAAGACACTAGGCTGGAATTGGGTAACTATTGTGTTAAACGACTTAGGGAAATTTAAACTAATGCAACATAAAATAATAAACAGCCAAACTTACATAAAAGCCTATTTAAAAAACTACAGTTCAATCCTAAGATTAATTAATTATGTAAAGAATAATTTGTTGTTATCAAAGAAGTATTATCCCCTATCAACTCTAATTTGGTATCACTGACTTAATATGTTTATGTTGTCACAAAACCTAAGTATAGCAGAATAAATGACTCCCAAGCTATCCATTTTTATTTTACCTTCCCAAGTCAAATAGGAAGGAATTCTATACTCCAGAGACATCTTAGCCAAACAACATCTACTGCCAAACAACAGAGGGGAAAAAAAAGTCAAGAAACGAATTATTCTGAGAGATCTACAGTTAAACTTCTCTTTGCAGCTTTCCACTCCCCACCCAAAAAAAACACCCCCTCCCCTATACACACATCCCTCTAATGCTGTTCTACAATATTTTTTTTTCTCATGGGAATTAAGTGGGATTAATAGTTTATGACTACTGTCTCTTATACTGAACTTATGCTAAGGTTTATCCTCACCTTATCCTTAGTTAAAACTTACATATTGCAACCAGTGGAAATACATGCTTAGTAAATTTTACAGAAGTTCCTGTGGAAATTTCCCAATTCCAAAGTATACTAACTTACAGTTTAATGTTTCTACTAAAAATTAGAAGAGCCTAAACACAGACCACCTTCAAATAAAGTATTCCACTTATGACTGGCCCTTCCTACTGGCAATCATTTCTGACTCAAAGGAAGCAATAAAAAGGGACCCAGCTATCATCTTCTCTTGTAGCAATTCCCTGGGAAGAGGGTAAACCCCGTGTGCTCACTCCAACAAATAGACGGTTATTCAGATCTCCTCAAGTATTAGAGAAAAATAAAGAAATCTCACGAGCAGAAGGCTAAAACTGTGAGGAAATATCCCAAATGTTGTTTAATAGTATTTGTGGTATAGAAAAAAGGCACAAAGTAATAACCAAGTGGTCAAAGTATCTTGGTATTCTGGAATTTCTGCCTTTTATTTTCGAAGAACTAAGCTAAATCAAAAGAATAAAGTCACACCTGAGTTTAGCGTAAGTAAGACATCAGTATAAGTGGGATAGGAAGACAATAGATGGATTTCTGAGGAGAAGATGCAATAAAAGTTTAGCTTCTAAAGATTTAGCTACTTCAATTTTTAAAAGTGAATACTTTTTAAATACTTTGAAATAAATGCTTGATAAATGAATAGTTCTTGAATTCTAGATTAAAAGACGTTACTGCGATCCATGCTGTTAGTCCTCAGTCCCTAAATTATTCACCATATATGTGAAAAGACTTTACAAGTTATACAAGCAAATTTAAAATGTAATGAATCTATTCATAGTTTACTTTTTTTGGTAAAGGAAATTGTGAGAAGTAAATACGGAGAGGAAAAGTTCTTCAAAGATTATTCATGTCCACTGCCCAACAATCACTTTGGTGGAGAATGACATGCTGACAGGTACCTAAATCATTTCACTGCAAAGAACACTTATCTTCCTTGACATCATCTTACAAAACTAAAAGCAGCTTTGGCCATAAATTTGGCAGTGTAGTGATTCCTTGTGACCAAACTGATCAACCATGCCTTAAGATTTCAGAAGCTAAAAACTATTCTTAAACAGTAGTCTTAGCCTGGGCAACATGATGAAACCCCATCTCTACAAAAAAATACAAAAATTAGCTGGGCGTGGTGGCACATGCCTGTAGTCCCAGCTACTTGGGAGGCTAAGGCAGGAGGATCAACTGAGCCTGGGAGGTCAAGACTGCAGTGAGCTGTGACTGCACCACTGCACTACAGCCTGGGTGATGGCGAGACTTTGTCCCAAAGACAAAACAAAACAAACAAAATACGTAGTCTCTCGACTTGCCTCAAACTTATGTATACTAATTTTAAATTATTAGAAAATGTTTAAAATTTATCAAGAGTTTTAACATGTATACATGTACAGTATAAATAATAATAAAATGAGCCCCTGGGTATCCTCCACCCCAGGTAAAGAAACTGTTCTTTATTAAAACATTCCTTGGCTTCACGGCAAGGAATCCCTCTGAACAAGTATATTTCTTTCTTTGCATCTCATTCTTACCCTTCAAAGGCCTAATCTAAGCTCCACTTCCTCTTGTAACTACTAAAGTTCCCAAGGATTTTTCTTTTCTCTGAACTACTGAACTTTCAGAGAACCATACTGTCAAACTCTCATCTGTTCTATCAAATTATTAGATGTATAAAACTGTTCCCCAAATGGATTTTAAGATTCTTTCAGTCTGAGAGCACATTTTAAATTTCATAGCACATATGTCATTATTGGTGCAATAACTGGTGTTTGATACCACATATTATATTGAAGCAACAGAAAATTTTTAAAAATCTAAAAATCAGCAAGCTAGCCAAAGAACTGTATGCTTAAAAATGGTAAAAATGGTAAAAGTTACATTATATATATTTTACTACAATTAAAAAATCAGCAAGCTGGTATCTTGATACTTTCAATTAGGTGGGAAATAGATATTTTTTATTTTCTTCTTTTTACATGTTATTTGCCAGGAGATTTTTTTTAATTTTTTTAACTTTAAAAAAAGTCCTTTTTCCTCCTTCTCCCACTCTGGATTCCCTTCCTTTATTCTGAAGCAGCAGCATTCCCAATGTATGTCAAGAGCAAGCAACTCAAGTGCTACAGGCAATGTTCTGGCATCAACAGCCAATCTAAAACTCACAGGACATTGTTTTTTAAAAAACCTTGCTAAGTATTAGTTTCACATTTTACCCAAATTTCTAATCCAAACAGACAGTGCTTTACAAAATCCTAACTGTGTTTACATACTTGTGAGAAAAGCTTTTAGACTTCTCATCTTTTCACTGCTTAATCAAGTGGGGACAGTGCAACAGCAGCCATAGGTGAGAACCAAGTTCAGTTAGCATTTATATTGATAAGCTTCATTTACAAAATGTTACTTAACAGGTTAAGTGTAAGATGCATTTCAGTAACAGGAAAGTGAAGGCAAAGCCCACTCTACATTCCATAAAAAGAATCTTTAACACTGTAACACATCTAACAAAAAAAGTCACCACAACTTTGAGAAACCCTTCTTTTGGTCAGCTGGGAACCAAATTACAAATTCTAATTTGCAACACCAGAAGCAGTCATGGGCCAACACTGGCAGCACAACATGAGAAAGATCCAAAGACTGGTTAAGCCAGTGCTCTGAAAACAATGTACAAAATGATCCATCACAGTATAAACGTTATTAGCAGTTCTATTTCTATTTTAAAACATTATGTTTACTAATATTTAACATATAGAGTTGACATTAATGCCCTGAGTCTCTGTTAGATGGCTGCATGTCACTGACAGGCATACATGGGAGGCTAACTCAGACAGCATTGACAATGTGATGGGTATTTGTGATGATTAAGTGAATTTGCTGATAATATAATCTAGTTTTAACCAAACAAGCCCTCATCAAATGGGCAAAGCAATTTTAAAAGATTCTTGCAAAAGAAATTACAACTGAAGACAACTCTAATAAGCATAAAGGGGGGAAAGTATAAGTCAGAGTTACTCTCAATGAGATAAAAAGGAAAATTATCAGAGGTAGAAGAGGGTTATCCAACAAAAATGCAAATTTATCAAGAATACGTTTACGTTCTTACCAATAAGAAAAAATAATGAACCTTGCCTTAAGTGTAAAGTGCCCATTATTGCCGTTAGCTAAAAATGGAGTGTATGTACTTAATTTTTAAATAAACAAATAAATATAGACTGAGCATGGTGATTCATGCTTATAGTCCCAGGGCTTTAGGAAGCCTTGATGAAGCACCACTGGAGGCCAGGAGCTCAAGACCAGCCTGAGCAACACAGCAAGGTCCTATCTCTACAAAAAATTTTTTTTCTTGAGACGGGGTCTCACTCTGTCACCCAGGTTGGAGTGCAGTGGCATGATCTTGGCTCACTGCAACCTCCGTCTCCTAGGCTCAAGCGATCCTCCCACCTCAGCTTTCCAAGTAGCTGGGACCACAGGCATGTGCCACTATGTCTGGCTAATTCTTTTGTGTTTTTTGGTAGAAACAGGGTTTCACCAGGTTGCCCAGGCTGGTCTTGAACTCCTGAGCTCAGGAGATTCACCCGCCTCAGCCTCCCAAAGTACTGGGATTACAGTAATGAGCCACCATGCCTGGCCAAAAAATAAAATAAAAAAAAAAAAAAAAAACTCAGCGAGGCATGGTGGCACACACCTGTAGTCTTAGCTACTCCAGAGGCTGAGGCAGAGGCTGTGGATCACTTGAGTCCAGGACTTAGTTCAAGGTTATAGTGAGTTAGGATCATGCCACTGCACTCCAGCCTGGGCAACAGAGTGAGACCCTGTCTCTTAAAAAGAAAAATATTTATGTATACATATAAATAAAATCAGCTGGTCCAAGTACAGCAGTTATTTACAGCTAACTGATCACAAGTTAGATTTTTTTGTTCCCTCCCACTCCCACTGTTTCACTTGACTAGTCCCCCAACCCCTAAAAAAACCTCTTTTACTGACAGAAGAATAATCCAATAGGACTTTTATAAATTCTGCTTATCTGTAAGAAAACTCACATCATGTTAATACACAAATAACTTTAATATAAACGTCACAGTCCTCCATGCTATCAGCCAAACTTTTCACGTTCTCCTCCCTAAGGTTGCACTTCCCTGTCTCCTTGAAGTTAGGGGAGATTGTGTGATTTGCTCTGATCAATGAAACATGAACCACATGTCATTTCTAAGCAGAAACTTAAGAGCCAGAGTGATGTGCTATGGTATTCCTCCTTTTATTATAGTGACTGATACTGCTCCAGGTGGCAGTGGCTCCATCTGCCTGGCTGCCAGAGTGAGGATGAGGTAGCCTGTGACTGACTTACAGCCTGAATGAGAAATAAATGGTTGTTTTAAGCAACTGAGGTTTTGGGGTTTGTTACCACCACAGCTTAACCTAGCCTATCCAGATTAAGGTAGCATGTGGTAATTTTGATAAAGAACATGGGAGCTCTAAGAGTATTATCTTCGCATTCTATATCTGTTCAGTATTGTTAAAGAGAATGAAATTTTATAAAAACCATTACTTCCCCACTCTATGACTGATAACTTTCAAGTTTGCCTAAATAACTAAACAAGCTTCTGGCTATTTTGTGTAGGTTCCTTTCAAAAGGATTTAAACTTCGCAATCTTTTAAACAGAAGTTGGTTTTTGGTTTATTCACAGCAGCTTACCACTAAGTAATTCAATCCAGTTCTGGACCGTTTCTGGAGGCTGAGTTTCCTTAACATGCTTCAGAGCTTCATCAAGAAGAACATCCCCTGTTGGAGCATCTGACTTACAGATTACCTAAAAAGAAAGCAAAAAGAATGAAAGGATCCACGAATGCCTTTTCTGAGTTGATCTCATTAAATGAAAAACAAACAATTATATAAATAATTCATTATGCTTAAAGCCTCAAGCTTTCATGTAGTATCAAAGTTCAGATTTTAAATTACTTTTATGTTAAGGAAATCCAATATTTAACCTAACCAGATTAGATATAATAATGAATGAAAATTGGCTAGACTCAGTAGCTCATGCCTGAATCCCAGGGGGAGGCTGAGGCAAGCAGATCACTTGAAGCCAGGAATTCGATACCAGCCCGGCCCACATGGCAAAACCCTGTCTCTACTAAAAATACAAAAATTAGCCAGGTGTGGTGGTGCACGCCTGTAATCCCAGCTACTCGGGTAGCTGAGGTGGGAGAATCATTTGAACCCAGGAGGCAGAGGCTGCAGGAAGCCAAGATCACGCCGCTGCACTCCACCCTGGACGAAAGAGTGAGACTATCTCAAAGAGAAAAGAAAAGCAAGCTACTGGCCGGGCATGGTGGCTCACTCCTGTAATCCCAGCACCTTGGGAGGCCGAGGCGGGTGGATCACCTGAGGTCAGGAGTTCAAGACCAGCCTGGCCAAAATGATGAAACCCCATCTCTACTAAAAATACAAACAATTAGCTGGGCGTGGTGGCAGGTGCCTGTAATCCCAGCTACTCTGGAGGCTGAGGCAGGAGAATTGCTTGAACCCAGGAGGCAGAGGTTGCAGCGGGCCGAGATTGTGCCACTGCATTCCAGACTGGGCAACAAGAGCAAAACTCCGACTTAAAAAAAAAAAAAAAAGCTACTGTGCAATAATTAGTAAAGCAACATACTAGGACAGTTTATACTCACTGACTCATCACCGAACCTTGGACTATGTGATCCAGAAATTCATTTAAGCATTATTATTAGTCCCAGAAATAAGACTAAATTATATTTAAGAATTCAGTACAGGCTGAACGTCCCTAATCCGAAAATCCGAACTCCTTCAAAATCTGAAACTTTTTGAGCACCAACATGCATCCATTGGAACATTCTGGATTTTAAATTTTGAAGTCAGGAATGCTTAAGTATAATACAAATATTCCAAAATCCAGAAAATTCCAAAATCTTAAACATTTCTGTTACCAAGCATTTCAGATATAGGATACTCAATCTTATATTATAAAGGTGGTATTTCACATCAGTGAAGAAACAAATTTTTAAACAAATGTCATTAAAACTTGCTAACAAATTATAGAGGTAAGAAAGGTTTCTTGGTTTCTTTTTTTTCTTTTTTGGAAATGGAGTTTTGCTCATCACCCAGGCTGGAGTGCAGTGGCGCAATCTCGGCTCACTGCAAACCTCTGCCCTCCCCGGTACAAGCAATTCTCCTGCCTCAGCCTTCCAAGTAGCTGGAATAACAGGTGTGTGCCACCACGCCTGGCTAATTTTGTATTTTTAGTAAAGATGGGGTTTCTCCATGTTGGTCAGGCTGGTCTCAAACTCCCGACCTCAGGTAATCCACCCACCTCGGCCTCCCAAAGTGCTGGGATGACAGGAATGATCCACTGCACCTGGCCCTGAAAGGTTTCTTTTAAAATTGTCCCGACTAGCAGAAAGCTTAAAGAAATTATCAATAGCGTTGATTACATAAATTTTTTAAATACTGCAACTTTTTTTTAAAAAAAGCTACACTGAGGCTGGATGCAGTGGCTCACTCCTATAATCCCAGCACTTTGGGAGGCCAAGGCGGGTGGATCACCTGAGGTCAAGAGTTTGAGACCAGCCTGGCCAACATGGTGAAACCCGGTCTCTACTAATAATACAAAAATTAGCCAGGTGTGGTGGCGCATGCCTGTAAACCCAGCTACTTGGGAGGCTGAGGCAGGAGAATTGCTTGAACCCAGGAGGTGGAGGCTGCAGTGAGCTGAGATCGCACCTTTGCACTCCAGCCTGGGCGACAAGAGCAAAAATCTGTTTCCAAACAGAAAGCTACATTGAGATATAGAATCCATTTTAAAAGTGGAAAAATCCAGAGGGAGAGATGGGAGGGAAAATGTTACACCGCTGTAGACAAGTATTAGAACCCTATAGCCTTCATTCACGTTGTTGGCTAAGCTATAAGTTTCTAGTTAAAATTCCATAATATCAAAATTAAATCCATTGTATTGTATTATTTTATAATGTTAGCTATTTAAATGTCATAAAATTTAACATTACGGTTTTTTTTGTTTTTTTTTTTTGAGATGGAGTCTCACTCTGTTGCCCAGCCTAGAGTGCAATGGCGTGATCTCAGCTCACTGCAACCTCCGCCTCCAGGGTTCAAGCAATTCTCCTGCCTCAGACTCCCAAATAGCTGGGATTACAGGTGCACACCACCGCATCCGGGTAATTTTTGTATTTTTAGTAGAGACAGGGTTTCATCAAGTTGGGCAGGCTGGTCTTGAACTCCTGACCTTGTGATCTGTCCACCTCGGCCTCCCAAAGTGCTGGGATTGCAAGCATGAGCCATCGTGCCCCACCAATTTAACATCACTTTTAAAATGCTGAGAGTCCTCTCTTAAACTTGTCCTCAAAGTGTCCTTTACTTTGTCAATCTTATAAAAAATTAAAAATATATACATACAGTATCTATCTCTGTGACATCATGACCAGCAGAAATATAAAAACCACAGTACAAGTCACAAATCTATTCTTCAATTTTATTTTATTTTATTATTATTATACTTTAAGTTTTAGGGTACATGTGTACAACGTGCAGGTTTGTTACGTATATATACATGAGCCATGTTGGTGTGCTGCACCCATTAACTCGTCATTTAGCATTAGGTATATCTCCTAATGCTATCCCTCCCCGCTCTTAAATTTTCTAGTAGTTATATTTTAAAAGAAAAAAAGGCAAAATTAATTTTAATATTTTGATTTAACCAAATACAACCAAAATATTAACATGTAATAAGTATTTTTAAATTGAGGTACTTAATATATTTTTCCATACTAAGACCAAAAATCCAGTGTATCCAGTGTATGTTTTTACTAACACCATGTGTCAATGTGCAGTAGCCAAACTTCAAGTGCTTAAGTGTCTGGCTCATAGATGTATGTAGCTAGTAGCTACCATATTGAACATACAGATCATTTTCATCATCAAAGTTCCATCAAACAGTGCTATTCTAGACCATGCTTTCAGTGAAGGGTGAGAGAGCACAAGAAAATAAAGAAAGCAGAGCCTCAGGAGAAAAAGTTACATCTAAATATGGTGGCCATTGCCACCACTTCTTACGTCCCACTCATTCTTTATATTTATTGCAATTTGGCCTCAAAGCTCGCCCACGCACATCCGTTTGCAACGGATCTTATGTCAGGGACACCAGAGCCTGGGTATAGTGAATCACTTTTTCTTATGAAGTTCTGTCCTCTAAATCTTTCTGAAATGTTTCACTTTTCTCCATCATCTTGCCAATATAGTCGGCCTTCCATATCTATAGATTCAACCAATTGAGGATCAAAAATATCCAGGAAAAATAATACAAATTTTAAAATGCAGTATAACAATTGTTTATACAGCATTTACATTGTATTAGGTATTGTAAGTAATCTGGGGGTGACATAAAGTATAGAAGAGGATGTGCATAGGTTATATGCAAACACTACAACATTTTATATAAGAAACTTGAGCATCCAGATTTTGATATTTGAGGGGAGTCCTAGAACCAATCGCCCACAGATACTGAGGAACAACTATATTCTAGTCTGCCTAATCTGGCTGTTTTTCACTTGGATTAATTTAAGCCTCTTAACTAATTTCCCTAAACAAGTTTTAGCCTTTTCAATCCATTCTCCTCACTGATCTTTCTAACAGACAAATCTTACCATGGCATTCCACTGCTTCTGCTTACAACTTTTCAATGACTCGAGTTAGTTCTAAATTCCTTTCAAAAATTCAGTAGTAAGTGTGGTTCACAAATAAATATGTTCTATCCAAACATATCATTTTTATTTAGCTTCTTTTTTTGGGGGGACGGGAACCATTCCTAAATATAAACAGACAATCACGGATAACGTGAAAGAAAGCTTCCAACACAGAAGAGATCAAAAAGAGAAAATAAGAACTCTGAAGAAACAGATATAATACAGATAAAGGAAATTTTCAAAAGAGGTGTGATACCCTCAGAAATCTAAAAGAAGGTATTACATCCATAAAACAAACTACGATTTTTAAAAAGGAAGCTCATGGAAATCAAAAACAGGAGAGTCACAATAAAATCTCAACAGAAAGGTTAGAAGACAACTCTTTAAGAGTAGCCAAGAAGTCCGTATCCAATTTACAGAGTTCTAGAAAAAGAGGGCAAAAGATATCAGAAATACAAGTTTTCAAAACCAAAATATACACATTTCTAGACTGAAAAAATTAATGCATAATGAATTTAAAATGACCCACATTAAGGCATATCGTACAATTTCAGAAAACCAACAAGGATAACAGAAGATCCCAAATGCTTCTAGAGGAAAAAAAAAAAATAAGATTGAAAAAACAGAAGGAGGCCCGGCACAGTGGCTCACGTCTGTAATCCCAGCTCTTTGGGAGGACAAGGCACGAGGATCACTTGAACCCAAGCGTTCAAGACCAGCCTGGGCAATAAAGTAAGACCTTATCTCTAACAAAAATAAAACAACAAAAAAAATTAGCCAGGAGGCTGGGCACAGTGGCTTACGCCTATAATCCCAGCACTTTGGGAGGCAGGTGGATCATTTGGGGTCAGGAGTTCAATACCAGCCTGACCAATATGGTGAAACCCCATCTCTACTAAACATATAAAAAAAAAAAAAATTAGCCGGGTGTGGTGGTGCATGCCTGTAGTCCCAGCTACTAGGGAGGCTGAGGCAGGAGAATCGCTTGAGGCTGATAGGGAGGCGGAGGTTACAGTGAGCTGAGATGGCACCAACTGCACTCCAGCCTGGGTGATAGAGTGACACTCAGTCTCAGAAAAAAAAAAAAAAAATTAGCCAGACATGGTGGCATATACCTATGTAGTCCCAGCTACTTGGAAAGCAGAGGTTGCAGTGAACCAAGATCATACCAACCACCCTCCTGCCCAGGCAATGGAGTGAGACTCTGTCTCCAAAAAAAAAAAAAAAAAGGAAAAGAAAATCAGAAGGGCACCAGACTTTACCGCAACTCTGTATACTAGAAAACAGTGGGCTGGGCATGATAGCTCACGCCTGTAATCCTTGCACTTTGGGAGGCCCAAGGCGAGCGGATCACTTGAGCCCAGGAGTTCGAGAGCAGCCCAGGCAACATAGCAAAACCCCATCTCTACAAAACATACAAAAATTAGCTGGGTGTGGCAGCACACGCCTGTAGTACCAGCTACTTGGGAGGCTGAGGCACGTAAATCACTTGAACCAGGGAAGCAGAGGTTGCAGTGAGCCGAGATCACGCCACTGCACTCCAGCCTGGGTGACAGAGCAAGACTCAGTCTCAAAAAAAAAAAAAAAAAAGATACATGAATGGTGTTCTTTCCTACAGAACTATTATTCTCTATAGCTTATTAATCAAGATGCATTCCGCTCTGATCTAAAACTTTTAGATTCATTAGGACACTGATTTAGGAAAAAAACTAGTTTTGAAACACCATGCTCAAGAAACACAACAACAAACTGGAAGAAAAACAGTATTAAATATTTGAGATTGAGGTTGAAGTTAAATTTCTAAAAACTAGCCAATATTACCTCTATTAAGAGAAGCACCTACACAGACCTTCAACAGACAGGTATCTGAAAAGTATTCATAATCTGATGAAAAGATCAATAGCCTATGCGTAAATTGCACAATAACACTTCTGAGTTTTTAATGTCAAGTCTTTCAAAATTATGGCTTTTAAAAGCTGCAAATGACTCTCCCTCTCCCTCTCCCTCTCCCCACGGTCTCCCTCCTCTCCCTCTCTTTCCACGGTCTCCCTCTGATGCCGAGCCAAAGCTGGACGGTACTGCTGCCATCTCGGCTCACTGCAACCTCCCTGCCTGATTCTCCTGCCTCAGCTAGCCGAGTGCCTGCGATTGCAGGCGCGCGCCGCCACGCCTGACTGGTTTTCGTATTTTTTTGGTGGAGACGGGGATTCGCTGTGTTGGCCGGGCTGGTCTCCAGCTCCTAACCGCGAGTGATCCGCCAGCCTCGGCCTCCCGAGGTGCCGGGATTGCAGACGGAGTCTCGTTCACTCAGTGCTCAAAATGGTGCCCAGGCTGGAGCGCAGTGGCGTGATCTCGGCTCGCTACAACCTCCACCTCCCAGCAGCCTGCCTTGGCCTCCCAAAGTGCCGAGACTGCAGCCTCTGCCCGGCCGCCACCCCGTCTGGGAAGTGAGGAGCGTCTCCGCCTGGCTGCCCATCGTCTGGGATGTGAGGAGCCCCTCTGCCTGGCTGCCCAGTCTGGAAAGTGAGGAGCGTCTCTGCCCGGCCGCCATCCCATCTAGGAAGTGAGGAGCGCCTCTTCCCGGCCGCCATCACATCTGGGAAGTGAGGAGCGTCTCTGCCCGGCCGCCCATCGTCTGAGATGCGGGGAGCACCTCTGCCCTGCCGCCCCGTCCGGGATGTGAGGAGCATCTCTGCCCGGACGCCCCGTCTGAGAAATGAGGAGACCCTCTGCCTGGCAACCGCCCCGTCTGAGAAGTGAGGAGCCCCTCCGCCCGGCAGCCGCCCCGTCTGAGAAGTGAGGAGCCCCTCCGCCCAGCAGCCACCCCGTCCGGGAAGTGAGGAGCGTCTCCGCCCGGCAGCCACCTCGTCCGGGAGGGAGGTGGGGGGGTCAGCCCCCCACCCAGCCAGCCGCCCCGTCCGGGAGGTGAGGGGCGCCTCTGCCCGGCCGCCCCTACTGGGAAGTGAGGAGCCACTCTGCCCGGCCAGCCGCCCTGTCCGGGAGGGAGGTGGGGGGGTCAGCCCCCTGCCCGGCCAGCCGCCCCGTCCGGGAGGGAGGTGGGGGGGTCAGCCCCCAAGCCCGGCCAGCCGCCCCGTCCGGGAGGGAGGTGGGGGGATCAGCCCCCCGCCTGGCCAGCCGCCCCGTCCGGGAGGTGAGGGGCGCCTCTGCCCGGCCGCCCCTACTGGGAAGTGAGGAGCCCCTCTGTCCGGCCAGCTGCCCCGTCCAGGAGGGAGGTGGGGGGGGTCAGCCCCCCGCCCGGCCAGCCGCCCCGTCCGGGAGGTGAGGGGCGCCTCTGCCCGGCCGCGCCTACTGGGAAGTGAGGAGCCCCTCTGCCCGGCCACCACCCCGTCTGGGAGGTGTACCCAACAGCTCACTGAGAACGGGCCATGATGACAAGGGCGGTTTTGTGGAATAGAAAGTGGGGAAAGGTGGGGAAAAGATTGAGAAATCGGATGGTTGCCGTGTCTGTGTAGAAAGAGGTAGACATGGGAGACTTTTCATTTTGTTCTACACTAAGAAAAATTCTTCTGCCTTGGGATCCTGTTGATCGGTGACCTTAAACCCAACCCTGTGCTCTCTGAAACATGTGCTGTATCCACTCAGGGTTGAATGGATTAAGGGCGGTGCAAGATGTGCTTTGTTAAACAGATGCTTGAAGGCAGCATGCTCCTTAAGAGTCATCACCACTCCCTAATCTCAAGTACCCAGGGACACAAACACTGCGGAAGGCCGCAGGGTCCTCTGCCTAGGAAAACCAGAGACCTTTGTTCACTTGTTTATCTGCTGACCTTCCCTCCACTATTGTCCTGTGACCCTGCCAAATCCCCCTCTGCGAGAAACACCCAAGAATGATCAATAAAAAATAATAATAATAAAATAAAATTAAAAATAAATAAATAAATAAAAGCTGCAAATGAAGTCTAGAATCTTTCTGAATTTGTAAGATCCAGTGGCCGGTTACCTTAACAATCAATTACATTACTCATTGTAGGTGAAAGAACCAGGAAACCAAGAATGCAAAAAAGATATGGAAATACAATTGAAGAAAGACAACTTTAATATCAACTTCCACTTTAATTTTTGAAGGCTACTAGTAAAAACATACATTTTAAGCAGTACAACCTCTTTAAAAAGAATGTTACTCAGCACTCCTCTTACCTTTCTTGTTAATAGACTTTTACGTCTCATTCCACAAGCCTCTAGTTGTAACCTTCCTCTCAATGCTAATTCAATTAACATACAGCCACGTAATCCAGATGATATACAGTCATTCCAAAATGATGTGTAACCCTATTAAAAAAAGAAGAAGAAATAAAACAAAATAGCTAATTTACCTTGAATTCAGAGTAAAAAACAGAAATATTATCAGCCAAAGTCATATTTGGTGCCTTTTACCTTTCCTGTCTTTCTATAATAATATACTGAAAAAATACAATTAACATAAATTACTAATCGAGAATTTTCGGGGGCTTATCTTTCCACCACTTATTCTTACATACAAACAACAAATAACTTTAGAGGTCATAAGTTTAGAAACATAACTCACATTTCACCAAGCTGTGTGTTTATTAGGTTCTTTCAGAACCCTGCAAACTCCAAGGAATACTCAGTTAACCCCAGATTATAGTGATTTATTTATGTGGACAAGTTAAGAAGCTCAGGCAAAGACAACCTAGCCAAGTTAGCTTCACAGAGAATTAGAATACCATTCATTTATTGCTGTTTAGGATAAAACCACAAGGTTAATCCGAGCACTTTGGGAGGCTGAGCCAAGACGATGGCTTGAGCCCAGGAGTTTGAGACCAGACTGGACAACATAGTGAGATCCTGTTTCTACCAAAAAAAATTAATTAGCTAGGTGTGGTGCTGCACACCTGTAGTCGCAGCTACCCAGGAAGCTAAGGCAGGAGGACCACTGTGTCCAAGAGTTCAAGGCTACAGTGAGCAATAATTACACCAACACACTGCAGCCTGGGCAAAACAGTGCGACATTGTCTCTTAAATACACACACTGTTAATTTTGTAAGAAGATATTAGAAAAACACACATGCGCCCACAAACAAATGGATGGCTATAGGCCTAAAATTCTCAATAATAAACAGTATAACAATCAGATTGGCCCCAAGAGAGAATGTAAGGGCAGCATCCACAGTGGAAGAACGGCCAGACATAAGGAGGTTGATAGACATCTAGAGATCTGGGATACTGGTCAAGCAGGCATCACCAGATGAGGTCAGGACACTTTAACAGCAAACAACTGGGGTTGTTCAAATTATAAAGCCACAAATCTTGCCAGCAGGATTGCCAGCTATCAATTTAAGATACCCAGTTCTCATGAGACAGCAGAAGCTATAAATAACTCTCATTAAGGCTCAGAACAGGGTAACACAATTTTGGTAGGAGAACAGGCCAACTGAATCTCTAAAGAATGGAGGGCCCAGGATTAGGAAGGCCTGGCCCTCACCTCTGGCACTTTTCCAAGGTCAATCCTGGCACTTTGTCAGGCCAGAGTAGTGAGCTTGTGTTTCAGAAGATGACTGACCATTGAGGTCCATCAAACTTCATTTTTGATACAAGGAGTTAAATTCGCCTCACCAAGCTACCACTTCTGAGAATGTGACCTTTGGGAAAATAACAATTTAAAGGAGGCACAAGCGGATAAACAAAAACATCAGTGTTAAGAGATCAATTTAAATGTGAGGTGTAAGTAGCAGACACTGACTGGATTTTAGGGAGTCACTTTAAACTTAGGGTCGGGGCCTGATCAAATGAAGATTACCAGAGATTTAGCAAAGTGGCTAATAATACCAGTACTTTATAGAGGTTAGGTAAAATGCGTGGCTTCTGTGTCCATGAAATTAAAGCCCTAGGAAGCCTGAGAATGAATTCCACATGAAATTAAAGTTACAGATATCTGGCTTTGACTGGCCTGGACATATAGACAGAGTTCCTAAATGAGCCTCTACAAACTGTAAACAACAGAGAACACCTCATAAAGCAATAATGGACGTGAACAGCCCTACAGCCTGCAAACTCCAGCTGAACAGTACCTGGAGGCTTACATTTGACAGCAGAGAACTAAAATATGTCTCAATCTCAATTGCTCCTAGAGTAATGGCATACCCAGAGATATTAGCAAAATGGGGTCTTTAGTAACAGACTTCAGAGATCTAAATTTAGTGAATGGCTTTAGGCATCATCGCTGAAAGACACATGCTTAAACAGAATTGGATTCACATGGGAAAGTAGATGAATGGGAACGGACAGTTCTGTACCACAGCTTCTGGGACTCGTCAGCAATATTCCAAAGATAAATGAAGCCAACAAAGACACACCAAACAACAGAAAAGTACAGTATGTTGATACCCTCCTGCTAAAATCCATGTCATAAAAGCAGGATCAAAAATTAACCATAGGGTGGCCAGGCGCAGTGACATACACCTGTAATCCCAGCACTTCGGGAGGCAGAGGCAAGCAGATTGCTTGAGCCCAGGAATTCCAGACCCCTGGGCAACATGGTGAAACCCCATCTCTACAAAAAATACAAAAATTAGCCGGGCATGGTGGCACCCGTCTGTGGTCCCAGCTACTTGGAAGGCTGAGGTGGGAGAATCACCTGAGCTCAGGAACTTGAGGCTGCAGTGAGCCATGATCATGCCACTGCACTCCAGCCTGGATGACAGGAGTAAGACCCTATCTCAAAAAAAAAAAAAAGATAAAATATGTGGGGAAGGTTAGTAACTGGCAGCATCAAGCAGCTTATGACTGTAGTCATAATTAGTTCCTATGTTCTAAAATATAAGGATGGGAGAGGACAGAGACACCCCAAGTAGGCTGGGCCATACACTACCAGACCTCCATCTGCCTGATTCCCTTTATTCTTTCAAGTGGCTCAATTTGAATGGTAGAAAAGGGTATTGTTTATTAAGTCCCCTAAAACTGCCAACACTGAGAAGAGTTCTCACCATTCCAGTTAAGAGCTACTGTTCTGCTCTCAACTGCCTACTTACCCAGAAGCTTTTTGTTAAGAAGGAACTCAAAAGGTTGGTAACCCAAAATGAAATGTAATAAAAATATTTTGTATAAAGATCATAACAGGGATATAACCGGAAGTATAAGATTTTCCTTATATGTTATTAAAAACATTTACAACATGGGAAAATGCTCATAATATATATTCTACATGAGAAACAGATAAAAAATTATATTATCTAAAGCAGAGTGTCCAATCTTTTGGCTTCCCTGGGCCATACTGGAAGAATTATTATCTTGGCCCACACATAAAATATACTAACACTAATGACAGCTGATGAGCTAAAGAAAACAAAAAAAAAAACCTCATGTTTTAACAAAGTTTACAAATTTGTGCTGGACCAGATTCAAAGCCGTAGGCCACCTGCGGCCCACAGGCCACGGGTTGGACAAGCTTGATCTAAAGTGTAATCTTATTTTGAAGTTACATAAATATTAATACGTATGTATATCATAGGTTTGTATTTACAAAAAAACTTATAAATGTTCACATCCTTTGACACAATTCTTATGGGCCTTTAGTTAGAAAATACTGTGCACAAAAATATATGTACAAATATATTGATCACATCATTATCATAGTAAAACACAAAAACAATCTAAAAGCAAAAAAAAGGGAATAAACTCAGCACTTCCCAAACTTTCCTGACCTTGAAGCATTTTAATTTACAGTATACTTTTAACAGCCTACAGAATATTACAATTCTATGAAAATCAGTTTTAAAAATCCTGGTGCAGGAGGCGGAGGCTGCAGTGAGCCGAGATTGCACCACTGCACTCTAGCCTGGTGACAGAGCAAGACTTCATCTCAAACAAAAAAAAAAAGAAAAGAAATCCTGGTGCAGAGGTTATTACAAAACATGAAAAATTATTATGAAATCGTGTGTGTGTGTGTAGAGAGACAGAAAATAGTCCCATTTTTTAGGGAGATTAGAAGAAAAGTTTTAGCAGCAGTAATGTCTGGTGATTATGGTGATCTTTATTTTCTTTAGGCTTTTCTGTATATAGTAAAGGAAAACTCGTGGCAAGGAGATAAGTAAGGTTTTCCTTACTGATCAACTATAGTTATAGTTGTTCAAGCTTAAAAGGCAATAGTTATGATAGTGGCAGTAATTTGACAGAGGCAAAACACTAGAAGAACTAAAAACTCTCCATGAAAATAACTATGAACCACAAAGTAAAACATATTTGTGAAGTAGTAAAGAACTGTGCTCAAGAGCCCAGACCGCACAAACACCTGGCGATTCAAATCAACTCCAGCTCTACCACATACTATATAGTTAAATTTCTGAGACTAGTTTTCTTCATATAAAACAAGTTGTGAAGATTAAATAATATATATAAAGCACAACCCCTGGCAATTAGTAATTACTTAATTATGTACAATTAGAATGGAATGGGGATGGAGGACTGCAAACTCAGTTACTTAGAAAGTACAAAGAACATGACTGAATAAAGAGACCCAGGTGTGGATTGCAGCAAGCTGGACAATGTCCTCTTCCATCTATCTGGGGAAGACAGCTTAGCCCTTATCAACTGTTGCCATGTAAAATGTGGGCCTGCTCTTGCCACATCTTTTTCAAGAGGGCAGAAACGTCCGTTTCTATATATTACTTCCATCTTTGAAAGGATTACAACTCAAGTTTTACTAAACAAAACATATCTGGCAAACCAGTTTGCAACCGCTAAACATTTTACAAAACATACTACGTTATATGAATGTTCAGTTACTAGTAGTCTGTATAGGCATAAAGTACTCAAAATAGTTTCATTTTGTTTTTATGTACAAAATATTTCAAAATGAAATCACTAAAAACACTATATTTTCTATATAAGGTTGAATTCTGGTGTGACCAATGTTTTGGAAATGGCTTTCTAATAGAAATATAGGCCAGGTCCACATGGTGGCTCACGCCTGTAATCCCAGCACTTTGGGAGGCCAAGGTGGGCAGATCACGATGTCAGGAGATCGAGACCATCCTGGCTAACACGGTGAAACCCCATCTCTACTAAAAATATAAAAAATTAGCTGGGCGTGGTGGTGGGCACCTGTAGTCCCAGCTACTCGGGAGGCTGAGGCAGGAGAATAACGTGACCCCAGGAGGCGGAGCTTGCAGTGAGGCGAGATCGCGCCAATGCACTCCAGCCTGGGCAAGAGAGCAAGACTCTGTCTCAAAAAAAATAAAAAATACAAAATACAAAATTACCCAGGCGTGGTGGCGCATGCCTGTAATCCCAGCTACTCAGGAGGTTGAGGCAGGAGAACTGCTTGAACCTGGGAGGCAGAGGTTGCAGTAAGCTGAGATCGCACCACTGCACCCCAGCCTGGGCAACAAGAGCGAAACTCCATCTCAAAAAAAAAGAAAAAAAGAAAGGTGATTGTACTTGCCAAATCTAAATGGACCAGGATGAACAAATTAAGTCTCCCTCCTGAGTATCTGAACTTGCCATACTGAATCAGTTATATGGGCATGGCACTGGAGCTGTACTGGCTGTGTGGATTCAGAAGCTACTGGCCATTGGGTACAAATGCAGAGAATGAAGGTAACAGAAAGGAAAACAGAAGACAAATGCAGAGTAGAAATGAGAGAGGATGCAATGTGAGGCAAACCAAGACATACAGAGACAGAGAGGCAGACAGGCACATACACGGAATAGCATGTTTGTTGTTTTAACCTGCTATGTTTTGTTATGCAGTAAGATAATTAATACAGTGGGTGCCCAGGGCTGGCAAAATGGGAAAAGGGAGAGGTAATGGCTAAAGGGGATGAGCTTTCTTTTGGAAGTGATAAAAATATTCTAAAATTGATTATGGTGGTGGTTGTACAAATCTGAAAACCTTGAATTGTACACTTCAAATGACAATTATATGGCATATGAATCATATCTCAGAGCTGTTACAAAAAAACATTCTATAAAGTCACTTCTGAAATCTTACATGAAATTTTGATTATGTCAAAAATTAAGAATCAAAAAGTTCTTGACAAAAATAACTAATCAAGAGAATGAAGGTGACTTCAGGTAAAAGCAGATTAAAAAGACTAGACAAGAAAAGGTATCTACAGATATAAGAACTGTTAAAGAAGTAGTAAGGCTGGGCACTGTGGCTCACGCCTGTAATCTCAGCACTTTAAGAGGCCGAGGCGGGCAGATCACCTGAGGTCACGAGTTCAAGACCAGCCTGGCCAAGGCGGCAAAACCCCATCTCTACTAAAAATACAAAAATTAGCCAGGTGTGGTGGCTCATGCCTGTAATAGCAGCTACTCGGGAGGCTGAGGCAGGAGAATCGCTAGATCCTGGGAGGCAGAGGCTGCAGTGAGCCACTGCACTTCAGCCTGGGCAAAAGAGTGAAACTGTCTCAAGAAAAAAAAAAAAAGTAGTAAAACTGCATTTGCTGGTGATATTGTTGGATATTTAGAAAAACTCATAAGAGTAAATGGAAAAATTACTATAGATAGGAGTTTAGTAAAGTAGCCAGATTATATAAAATTAAACACCAGTTGTCATATACAAACAAAATACACATGTTAAAATACTAAAAAGTTAAAATATAATTGAAAAGACCTTTACAACAGCAACAAAAAGAACAAAAAATACCATGGCAAAACCTATATGAAAAGTTTAAAGTCTCTTGAAAGACTTAAAAATAGACTTGAATAATAGAAAGATATTTCATTCTTATATACAAAGTCTCAGCATTATTATTAGTTCTTCCTAAGTTAATAAATGTAATATCCCAATAAAAATAGCAACAGATTTTCCCTGGAGCTATACAAGTTACAAATAAAAGTTCCTAAAGAAAAAAAAAAAAAATAGCCAGGAAAACTTGGGGAGATAGCAACATATGTAGGGAACAGAAATGAAAGCTGTCCTACTAGATACTAAAATAGATTTAAAAGTCTCTAAAATTAAAATGATGTCACACTGGCACATGAATAGACAGACCAACAGAATAAATTCCAGAAACAAACCCAAGAACATACTGAAATCAAATACAGATTGAGTATCCCTTATCCAAAATGCTTGTGACTGGAAATGTTATGGAGTTAAGATTTTTTTTCACATTTTGGAATATTTGCATTATACCCAAATCCGAAAATCTGAAATCCAAAATGCTCCAATGAGCATTTTCTTTGATTCTCACGCTGGTGCTGAAAAAGTTTTAGATACTAGAGCATTTACAATTTCAGATTTTCGAAATTGGGATTCTCAATCTGTACACGATAAAAATGTCATCACAAATCAATGTAACATGGAAAGATGAACATTTTAAACAAACGTGTTGGGACAACCAGATAGTCATTAGGAAAAACATAATTGGATCAATTCCTTATTATACATCAATATAAATTCCAGATGGATCAGAGGCTGAAATGTAAAGTGAAATAACGTAAGTACTAGAAGACAAAATAAGAGTGAAAACCTTTATAATCTGGGAGTGAAAGAAAAAACTTCCCAGCTATTCTCAAAATCTAGGAGCAATAAAAGAGACTACCCATTTTTTTGGTAAAGTTTGCAGGGTAAAAATCATAGCAAAGTCACTTATATCACAGATAAATCTCTAGTATACAATTAGTTCCTAAAAATAAAGTTGCTTTTTTTTTTTTTTTTAATATTTTGAGGCCAGGCACAGTGGCTTACACCCGTAATCCCAGCACTTTGGGAGGCAAAGGCAGGGGGATCACCTAGGCCAGGAGTTTCAGACCAGCCTGGTAACACAGCGAGAGCTGTCTCTACAAAAAATGTTTTAAAATTAGCTGGGTGCGATAGCACATGCCTGTAGACCTAGCTACTCGGGAGGACTTGAGCCTGGGAGGTTGAGGCTGCAATGAGCTATAATTGCACTTACGCACTCTAACCGGGTGACAAAGCAAGATCCTGTCTCAAAAAAATATATATTTTGAAATATTCAATTTTTTAAAAGGTAACAGATGATGAAGTTCACAGAAGAAATGGAAACTGCTAAAACATACCAAAAGATGCTTTGTCATTCATAATAAAAATATACATTTAAAATACATGAGACCTTAACAGCAAAAAGAAACCCACCTAATTCAAAAAAAGGCAAAACATGTATATACAAACCATGAATTTGGATAAATATAGTATATGCATACAAGAAAACAGTATTCAGTCTTAAAAATTAAAATTCTGATACACAGATCTATGTAAAATTCTGATACATAGCTACAAAACATGGATGAACTCTGAAGACATTATGCTAAGTGAAATTAGCCAGTCATGAAAAGACAAAATACTCTATGGTTCCACATATATGGGGTACCTAGAATAGTCAAATTCATAGAGACAGTGGTTCCCAGGGACTGTGGAGAGAAGGAAATAGTAGCTATTGTTTAATGGATAGAGTTTCGGTATGAAATGATGGAGAAGTTCTGGAGAGGGATAGTGGTGATGACGGCACAGTGTGAATCTACTTAATGCCACTAAACTGTACCACTTAAAAATGTTTTAAATGGTACACTTGATGTTATGCATATTTTACCTTTTTTTTTTTCTTTTTGAGACAGAGTCTCACTCTGTTGCCCAGGCTGGAGTGCAGTGGCACAATCTCAGCTCATTGCAACCTCCACCTCCCAGGTTCAAGTAATTCTCCTGCCTCAGCCTCCCAAGTAGCTGGGACTACAGGCGTGCGCCACCATGCCCGGCTAATTATTCTATTTTTAGTACAGATGGGGTTTCACTACGTTGGCCAAGCTGGTCTCGAACTCCTGACCGCGTGATCCGCCCACCTCAGCCTCCCAAAGTGCTGGGATTACAGGTATGAGCCACCGCGCCTGCCCCCCCCAGCCTTTTTTTTTTTTTTTAAACTACATGAAATCATGCTTACCTATCAGACCGGCAAAAATCCAAAAGCTTGGCCGGGTGCAGTGGCTCACACCTGTAATCCCAGCACTTCGGGAGGCGAGGCGGGCGGATCACTTGAGGTCAGGAGTTCGAGACCAGCCTGGCCAACGTGGCAAAATGCTGTCTCTACTAAAAATACAAAAATTAGCTGGGCGTGGTTGCATGTGCCTGTAATCCCAGCTATTAAGGAGGCTGAGGCAGGAGAATCGCTTGAACTCAGGAAGCCAAGGTTGCAGTGAACCAGGATCACACCACTGCACTCCCACCTGGGCAAGAGAGTGAGACTCAGTCTCAAAAAAAAAACAAAAACAAAAACAAAAAAAAAACCCAAAAGCTTGACAGCATAGTTGGCAAAAATGAGGGAAACAGGCATTCTCATAACTATGATGGGAATGTCAAAATGACACCACTTTTACTGAGGGAAATTTGGGGATCTAGAAAAATCACACATAGATTTACCCTTTAACTTGACAATTCTACTTCTAAGGAATCCACTATGAAGAAACAGCCCCATAAATATGCAACAGTATATGCATATGGTTATTGTGATATTATCTGTAGGAGCAAAAGTTTGGAAACAACCCATAAATCCATCAATAAGGGACTGGATGAATATACAAAGATATATCTACCACATAATGGAATACTACAGAACCATAAAATATTTCTAAGTAATAGTGATAGAGAACAATCTTTAGAATATAACATGTAAAAAGCAAGGTGCACACAGTGTATGTAGTCCATTACCTTGTATATGAAGGAGAGGAGCAATGATATGAATATACGTATAGTTTTGCTAACAAAATATCAGAAAGATAAACTCTAACTTTTCAAGAACTACTAATGGGGGAAGGAAAGAATGAGGTAGAAGAAAGATGGAAATGAGACTTTTGAATATAACTTGCAATATAATTATATGCACTGAAAACAGAAAAAAAAAAAAAACTCCTGAAGAATGAAAACAACCGTATACTACTTAGTGATAGAGCCACAAAGAAAAGCTATTTTAACTTTAGAATACAGTATTTTGACTGCACATTCTTAATAAAAATACTACAAAGAAATTGTAAGCCAAACTCAAGTCAATTAGTAGTAATGTTGACATTTTTATTTTGAAACTGTTTTAATACAAGCGGTAAGCCAATGCAAATATTTGAAGAACCAAAATTTTCAGTAAGAAAAAAGATAAATATAAAACCCAGTAAGTTAAATAAAAATCTATAATGTTAAACTTGAACCAAAAACCACGTAAACAGATTTTTTTTCCTCTAAAATGTTTGCTAGCTCTGTCCCTTGAGGAAAATATATCCTATCTCTGTATACGAAAGAGTCCTACAAGCAGTAACAACTCAGTAACACTGAGTACACCCAGTGTACTCACACCAGAGTGTGGTCCATTCCCCACCAGATGGAAAACAGGATTCCTTGAAGGAATGACTGATTATAAGTCTGAAACAGGAAATGTACGAGTTGAGTCCAGGACATTGTGTTGGCCTTGCCAAAAAGCAAGAAATTATCAAAGGTTAATAACCTGTATCACAAAGAACACTGAAACCAACTTAGAAAATAACTCCCATAGGCTAAAAGTGAGACAATTTAAACATCAAGAAGAGTAATTAATATAAGTGAATGAAACACAATGAATATATATAAAACCGCAAGTCATAATTTTAAAAAAGAAAAGAGCCCATACCTCACTAGATACCACTGGAAGTAGCTAAGGCACAAACTCCTAACCCAAAACTTAGTAATTAAAATGAAATTAAGTGTTTATCCTGCCTTTTAAGTGCATAAAATGCACAGGATTATAAAGGAAACCAAATCAGTCATCAAAATATTAAAAATGAATTTGTGATATATGTGCTTTATTAGCAGATTAAACAAGTTCTAGTGGCAGATCTAATAACTATTATAATTCCAATGTAGTAGTGAGCAAAGACAGTATTCTGAGATATCTGCAATAACTGTGATGTGATATGAAAGTATCTCTGGTCTCTCTAGTGGTGACAAACTCACAGATACTATTAATACTTCTTTGGCTTGTGGCCTACAATTATAGTTGATGTAGATGTTAACTTTCAGGTATAGGTCACTAAAAATAAATTAATTTTTCCCCTCTCAAATGTTTCCTGAATTCTACAGTGACCCCAAGCTAAGAATCCCTAAATTAGATGAAAAGTAGGGGAAATTTCCAACAGGCAGATAGGTCTGTCACCAAATGAACTCACTGGTCTTCAAATTCTAAAACCAGACACTGGATGACTCCTGATGCAATGAACATGAAAACACATAGGATTATCTAAGAAGTCATCTTGGCTGGGTGCAGTGGCTCACACCTGTAATCCCAGTACTTTGGGAGGCCAAGGCGGGCAGATCACGAGGTCAGGAGTTCGAGACCAGCCTGGCCAACAGGGTGAAACCCTGTCACTACTAAAAATACAAAAATTAGCCAGGCGTGGTGGCATGCGCCTGTAATCCCAGCTACTTGGTAGGCCAAGACAGAAGAATCACTTGAACCCAAGAGACAAAGGTTGCAGTGGACAGAGGTTACAGTGACCCAAGATCGCACCACTGCAATCCCGCCTGGGCGACAGAGCAAGACTCTGTCTCAAAAAAAAAAAAAAATTAACGTTCTAAAATGTATTATGGTGATGGATACACAACTCTAAATACACTAAAAGTCACTGCATTGTTACCTTTTACTTTGTTTTTTTAAAGACAGGGTTTCATTCTGTCACCCAGGCTAGAGTGCAGTGGCTTGATCATAGCTCACTGCAACCTTGAACTGCTGGGCTGAAATGATCTGCCCACCTCAGCCTCCTGAGTAGCTGAGACTATAAGCAGGCACCAGCACACTCGGCTTTTTATTTTTATTTTTTTAGCAATGGGATCTCACTACGTTGTCCAGGCTAGTCTCAAATTCCTGGCTTTAAGCAATCCTCCTGCCTTGGTCTCCTCCAAAGTGCTAGGATTACAGGCATGTAATCCTGGATTGTACTGTTTAAATAAGTGAATTGTCAATTAAATCTCAATAAAGCTGTTACCAAAAAAACTAAGCCAAAAACTCCCCTTAAGCATTTCAAATGACTAAAGAAAGCCCTCAGCTTTCTGATTTTTTTAATTAGCAAAAGAGTAAGGCTATAGACTACATGTTTGTGTCCCCCCAAAACTCTCATGTTAAGATTCTAGCCGGAAGCGGTGGCTCATGCCTATAATCTCAGCACTTTGGGAGGCCGAGGCAGGCAGATCACCTGAGGTCGGGAGTTTGAGACCAGCCTGACCAACATGGAGAAACCCTGTCTCTACTAAAAATATAAAATTAGTGGGGCATGGTGGCGCATGCCTGTAATCCCAGCTACTTGGGAGGCTGAGGCAGGAGAACTGCTTGAACCCAGGAGGCGGAGGTTGCCGTGAACCAACATTGAGCCACTGCACTCCAGCCGGGCAACAAGAGTGAAACACTGTCTCAAAAAAAAAAAAAAAAAAAAAAAAAAAAAAAAAAAAAAGATTCTAACCCCCAACAGGGTCTCTGGAAGGTCATTAAGTCATGAAGGCAGAAGCCTCATGAATGCAATTAGTGCCCTTATAAAAGAGGCCCCAGAGAGTCCCTATGCCCTTCTGCCATGTGAGGATGCAATGAGAAGACAACCAGGAAGCAGGCCCTCACCAATTTCTTGTTCTTGAACTTCCCAGACTCCAGAACTGTGAGAAATAAATTCCTGTTGTTAGCTGGGCACAGTAGCTCATGCCTGTAATCCCAGCACTTTGGGAGGCTGAGGTGGGCGGATCGCCTGAGGTCAGGAGTTTGAGACTAGCCTGGTGGTCTCAGCCATGATAAAACCCTGTCTCTAGTAAAAATAGAAAATGAGCCAGGTATGGTAGTGTGCACCTGTAATCCCAGCTACTTGGGAGGCTGAGGCAAGAGAATCACTTGAACCTGGGAGGCAGCGGTTGCAGTGAATGGAGACTGCGCCACTGCACTCCAGCCTGGGTGACAGAGCGAGATTCTGTCTCAAAAAAAAAAAAAATCTGTTGTTTATAAGTCACACTGTCTATTGTGGTAGTCCCAACCTTTTTGGTGCCAGGGACTGGTTTCAGGAAAGACAATTTTTTCCACGGACTGGAGCGGCGGGGGGGATGGTTTTGGGATGAGCCTGTTCCACCTCAGATCCTATCGGGCATTAGTTAAAATTCTCATAAGGATCGCCTACCTTAGATCCCTCATCACATGCGCAGCTCATAACAGGGTTCATACTCCTATGAGAATCTAATGGCTGCTGCTGATCTGACAGGAGGCGGAGCTCAGGCAGTAATGCTCGCTTGCCCGCCCCTCACCTCCTGCTGTGCAACCTAGTTCCTAACAGGCCACAGACCAGTACCGGTCCATAGCCCGGAGATTAGAGATCCTTGGTCTATGGTATTTTACAGCAGCCCAAATAAACTAAGACAGATAACAAAACCAGTAAAGTAACTAAATAATGATTGGATTTGGGTGCCATCCACATGTGTAAGTTACTGGTAGTAATCAAGTTATGATTACGTTTTAAAAGTTCCCTTTTAAGCAATTTGTAACACAGAATGTATTTTTTCACAGAAGTAACAGCCAGGGCCCTCAGGGCCTCTATTCTCATGGTCTTCACTCAAAACCAGGGATCTTATCTGCCACTCCCTGGGAACTTGGACATCAGCATCCTTAAACCCACAACCTTTTGATGAGAACCAAATCCAACTCGGAAATTCAATCCACAAGTAACTTTTCATCATCCTTATGGGGATTCCAATCCTCAGCCTTCCTCCCTTTTTCCCACCAGTCTCCTCCGTTCTTTCCCTCATCCCCACCCAGCACAATAAGTTACTGTGCACATACCATGTGCAAAGCACTGTTCTGAGTACTAAGTACTGTGGGAGCTCATTTCAACCTTCGCAACAACCTTCTGAACTAAGTGCTATTATTATCAATCCCAATTCAAAGATGGGCAAACAACGCCAGAGTACACTACCTTCAACTACACCCTTACTAGTTTCCTAAACACATCCATTGTTTCCCACTGCATTCAACTAGCAAAACTCCAGCCCCGGATCAATCCAACTGTCACTTTTTCCATATCTGTACCTGTGTTTCTGAACTGCTGATGTAAAAAAATATTGAAATCTCAGTATATAAATGTACTGTCTCCAACTTAAACTAAACCTTTAATGATACTGGGGTTGGGCATAGTGGCTCACGCCTCTAATCCCAGCACTTTGGGAGGCTAAGGCGGGTGGATCACTTAAGGTCAGCAGATTTGAGACCAGCCTGACCAATATAGTGAAACCCCATCGCTACTAAAAATACAAAATTAGCCGGGCATGGTGGTGCATGCCTGTAATCCCAGCTACTTGGGAGGCTAAGGCAGAAGAATCGCTTGAACCCAGGAGGAGGAGGTTGCAGTGAGCCGAGATCACGCCATTGTACTCCAGCCTGGGTAACAAGAGCTAAACTCTGTCTCAAAATAAATAAATAAATAAATAAATAAATAAATAAATAAATAAAATACACACACACACACACACACACACACACACACACACACTGGGCAAAATCAGCTTTAAACTCTGTCTCAAAATAAATAAATAAATAAATAAATAAATAAATAAATAAAATACACACACACACACACACACACACACACACACACACACACACGGCAAAATCAGTTTCCCTACTCAGAGCTCTTACCACTCTCCATATCAGATATTTCAAAACCCCATTCTCCCCAAACCTCTAAAGCTCAGCTCATTTTCAGCAGATTACTTCACAAAAACAAACCAACTCAATAAACTCAATTTCATACATACCCACTCTTTTGTCTCGTTACAGTGCAGTCTGCCTAAAGCTAATCCTACCCATTCTCTCCTACTTCCCTTTGTTCACAACTCCTGCCCTCCTAAAATACCTTAAATCTCTAACATGTATACTAGCACCTGCCTATTGGCCTTCAAATATTCTCACAGTTACCATCATACAAGAGACAGACCCGGACCAACCCTGCCCTATCTCCTTTCCATTCACAGCAGACTCGAAGGTATCATCAGCAAGTCCATCTCCACTACTCCTCACTCTTCCTCCTGCTGGCTCCACAATCCCCCTCTTCTGGCAGCTCCTGCTCGGGCTCTTTGTCAGGTTACTCTTCTGCTGCCTATTCCTCCAACGGAGTGCTCTTGGCCACTTACACAGACTTCTCAGGTACTCTCACTTATTTTCAAAAAAAATTCAAATAGAAATACATGACAGAAAATTAAAAGTCTCTACTTTCTCTTCCGCTTCCATCCCTCACACATTCCCTCTTCAAGATACTCTCCATTAACATTTGGAATGTATCCTTCCAAATCCTTTTTTAAAGTGCACACAGTCATACTCTGCCATACACTGAGTATCTATGCTGTTAAAACTGTGTTAAGCATTCAGTGTACATTCTTTCTAATTCTTAGGAAACCTTGTAAAGTAGGTGCTATTCTTCCAATTTCACAAGATAATGGAACTGAGGCTCAGAGGACCTGCCACGCACTGAGTGGCAAAGCAGGGAATGAAATTGGTCTGCCTGGCTCCAAAGCCCTGGCTCCTTTTCTGTCTTGCCTTCCAAGACCTGTTTATTTAATGCATGATCTAGGTGTGCTTCCTTTCAGCCCCCTGAAACAGAAGAGGGTACAGGTTGAGTATCCCTGTACTTGGGACCCGAAGTGTTTCAGATTCTAGATTTGGAATATTTGCAAATACATAATGAGATACCTTAGGGATGGGACCTAAGTCTAAATACAAAATTCATTTGTGTTTCACATATACCTTATACACATAGCCAAATGTAATTTTACACAATATTTTAAATAGTTCTGAGCATGAAACAAAGTGTGCCAGGTATGGAATCTTCCACTTGTGATATCATGTCAGCACTGAAAAGGTTTCAAATTTTGGAACCATTTCAAATTTCAGATTTTCAGACTGGGGTGCTTGACTGGTATCACTTTTTTCTTTCCACACCTGCCACTGATCACTTCACAGCAGAGAGCACAAAACAAAGTGTGAGCAGACACTCCCTCTCAAGCAAATGAATTTTTAAGGGTTTTTCACTAGTGGTTTTTTAAAGTATATTTAACAGCATCTTGTTAGTAAGACCTAAATATAAGCTACAGTCTTTATTCTTCTGTAAGAAACACGAAGGTTTTAATACAAGAGAATAACATTTCAGTTTGCAAAGCCATTTATAAATTATCATCTAGGTTCTACAATTACCTAGTAAAATATCATCACCTTTTTACATTTGAAAAATCTGAGGTTTAGAGAAAGTAAGAAATATGACTACATTCACACTCTAGAGCAGTGATACCTCGAGCCCCAGAGCTGTGACTCTAGATACAGCACTTTTACTACTGCATCATACTGTGGGTAAGTATTTTAAGTTGAGGACATTTTGACAAGTCCTATGTAAGTTTTATATCAAGTCACTATAACATTTATTAGATACTGGCCTCTGCATTATTTTCTAAAAGCAGAAAATCATTCCCACTTGGGAGGCTGAGGCATAATGCTGCATAAAGCAAAAACTGTAATTATTTAAATTCTCAAAATAGACTGAGGTGGGAGGATCACTTGAGCCCAGGAGTTCAAGGCTGCAGTAAGCTATGATTATACAACTGCACTCTAGCCTGGGTGACAGAATGAGACTCTGGGGAAAAAAAAATTATTGGAAGTAATAAATTTCTATTTGTTTAATATACATTTTTATTATTAAAATAGAGACAGGGTATTGCTGTGTTGCCCAGGCTGGTCTCGAACTCCTGGACTCAGGCAATCCTCCTATCTTGGTCTCCCAAAGTGCTGGGATTACAGGCATGAGCCATCATACCCAGCTGGAAGTAATATATTTCAAGAATAATTTTAACTCAATAAACTCTACTGAGTGCCAAGACATTACTAAACAGAGGTGATAAAGATGACTAATATACAAAGGCATAGAATGAAAAGGAAGAAATAATAATTACAATTTCAATGTGATTATCATAATACTGATATAAATAAAATGGTGTCCCCTCACTCATTCTAAAGACAAACACTTGTGCAATACTAGGCATTGTGCTAGATGCTAGAGATACAATGGTAGGCAAAAAGGATGTGAGAGCAACTAAGAAGTTAGATTAAGGTGAAGAGTCTCACTAGGCAGTAAGAAATAACTAAGAATTGGCTGCTAGGTAGAAAAAGGCAGAGCCTTACATATAAGGATCCACTAACACAAACATGAAGACCTAAAAAAGTAATCATGGGCCAGGCGCGGTGGCTCACGCCTGTAATCCCAGCACTTTGGGAGGCCAAGGCGGGCGGACCACGAGGTCAGGAGATCGAGACCATCCTGGCTAACACAGTGAAACCCCGTCGCTACTAAAAATACAAAAAATTAGCCAGGCGTGGTGGCGGGTGCCTGTAGTCCCAGCTACTCGGGAGGCTGAGGCAGGAGAATGGCGTGAACCTGGGAGGCGGAGCCTGCAGTGAGCCGAGATCGCGCCACTGCACTCCAGCCTGGGTGACAGAGCGAGACTCCGTCTCAAAAAAAAAAAAAAAAAAAAAAAAAAATTGGGTGGCATCAAAAAGATAAGGTGAGGCTGGGCCCGGTGGTTCACATCTGTAATCCCAGCACTTTGGGAGGACGAGGAGGGAGGATCACTTGAGCCCAGGAATTTGAGACCAACTTGGGCAACACAGCAAAACCCCATCTCTACAAAAAATACAAAAAGTAGCCAGGTATAGTGGCGCACGCCTGTAGTCCCGGCTACTTGGAAGGCTGAGGTGGGAGGATCACCTGAGCCCAGCAAGTTTGAGGCTGCAGTGAGCAGAGATCACACCACTGGACTCCACCCTGGGTGACAGAGCATACCTTGTCTCAAAAAAAAAAAACCAAAGCTGAGGAAAAAAAAAAAAAAAACCAAAGCTGAGAATATGGAAAGGTGGAGAGAACTGCTGACCACAAGGGCTGGAAGAGGTCAAGGCCTTTTGAGTTTTCTGATTTGGAGCATCAAGGCGTAATGAAACTTAATATTTATTGTGCACCAACTATCAGGCACTTTACATGTGCTATTTTATTTAATTGTGACTGGAGTCATTTTGGAGGCTTGGAGGCTACTGATACGTCTGGAGGCTAAGCAGTATCTGGAAAAGAGGAATCATGGAACCAATCCCAAGGATTCTTTAAGGAAGACTCTGGGCTTGACCTAAAAATCAGAAGTCGGGCCAGGCACGGTGGCTCACGCCTGTAATCCCAGCACTTTGGGAGGCAGAGGCGGGCGGACCACGAGGTCAGGAGATCAAAACCATCCTGGCTAACACGGTGAGACCCCGCCTCTACTAAAAATACAAAAAATTAGCAGGGCATGGTGACGGGCGCCTGTAGTCCTAGCTACTCGGGAGGCTGAGGCAGGAGAATGGCGTGAACCCGGGAGGCAGAGCTTGCAGTGAGCCGAGATCGCACAACTGCACTCCAGCCTGGGCGACAGAGCGAGACTCCGTCTCAAAAAAGAAAAATAAATAAATAAAAAATAAAAAAATAAAAATCAGAAGTCAAGTGGTACTTCAAGTTTCCAAATTTCCCAAACCAGTTTTGCCAGGAATTACAAAAAGGAAACTGACCAGAGGTTCAGAACAAAGGTAGAGATAAATACACCTACTATGTGCCCATAAAAATTAAAATTTTTAAGGCCAGGCGTGGTGGCTCACGCCTGTAATCCCAGCACTTTGGGAGGCCAAGGTGGGCGGATCACGAGGTCAGGAGATAGAGACCATCCTGGCTAACACGATGAAACCCCGTCTCAACTAAAAATACAAAAATTTAGCCAGGCGTGGTGGCAGGCGCCTGTAGTCCCAGCTACTCAGGAGGCTGAGGCAGGAGAATGGCATGAACCCGGGAGGCGGAGCTTGCGGTGAGCAGAGATTGGGCCACTGCACTCCAGCCTAGGCAACAGAGCAAGACTCCGTCTCAAAAAAAAAAAAAATTAAAATTTTTAAAAAAATACACGCATAGATGAGCATCTGAATTTGAGTAAAACGTTCAGTAAGCCCAGCATATAAAGTGCAAGAGAATCAAGAAATAGTAAAAATAATGGAAATATTAAATACTTGTCACTTGTCAAGACCACTATAAACTTTAACTTACTTCTCTAGGCTAGGTAATTACCCATTTGCATTTGTTCAGCACCATGTGGTTTTCAAAGCACTCACATATGCCAACACATTGGATCCCTACAACTTAGAGGCTTTCGGACAGAACACAAAAGTAGGCCCATGGCCGGGCGCGGTGGCTCACGCCTGTAATCCCAGCACTTTGGGAGGCAGAGGCGGGCGGATCACGAGGTCAGGAGATCAAGATTATACTGGCTAACACAGTGAAACCCCGTCTCTACCAAAAATACAAAAAATTAGCCGGGTGTGGTGGCAGGCGCCTGTAGTCCCAGCTACTCGGGAGGCTGAGGCAGGAGAATGGCGTGAACCCGGGAGGCAGAGCTTGCAGTGAGCCAAGATTGCACCACTGCACTCCAGCCTGGGTGACAGAGCGAGACTCCGTCTCAAAAATAAAAAATAAAAAAGTAGGCCCATTTTGCCCAGGAGAAAACTAAGGTTCTAAAATTCAAAATATTTATTCTAATTCTTTCAACTACTCAAGGGCAAGGCTAGGTGTCAAGAACACAGCAGTCTTGCAGGTCCTGATCCAAAGCATCCTCCCTATGTACATCCTTACTGCACCTAACACATACTCCCATAAAAGTTAGTAACTCAGAAGAGGCAGGCAGGATAAAGTTAATAATTCACTTTATTGAAATCATTCGCAAATCTGTCTTCTATGCAGACTGAATGCTCCTTAAAAGCAAAAAATTTTTCTTTGTGGCCGGGGGCACAGCGGCTCACATCTGTGATCCCAGCACTTTGGGAGGCCAGGAGTTCAAGACCAGCTTGGCCAACATGGTGAAACCCCGTCTTTACTAAAAGTACAAAAATTAGCTGGGCATGGTGGCATGTGCCTGTAATCCCAGCTACTTGGGAGGCTGAGACACAAGGATTGCTTGAACCCAGGAGGAGGAGGTTGCATGAGCCAAGATCATGCCACTGCACTCCAGTCTGGCGACAGAGCATGACTTGGTCTCAAAAATATATACATATATATATATATTTTTTTTCTTTGTAACCCCAGCATCTGGCAAAGGGAATGAATGGCACAGAGAAGCTGTTCAATACTTGGATTAAACGGAACATATAAATACTAAATAACCTCTAATTTCACTTTAGCTACACAACATGGTATAGACAAAAATTAAATGGTATACTCCATTCAGTGACTGAACTGAAATTTAAGTTCTTAAGTGTTATTTCTGAGGTTATTTTGTTAATACGGTATAAACTGTTTAGCATTTCCATTTAAGAAACTGGAACTAGAAAATGAAACCAGAGTAAAAATAACCATTAGCAACTTTTACATACAGTTTCTTAATTTCTAATCTGTCCCAGAAGGTAGTGGTGGAATACAAAGTTTGCCTATATATTATCAATAAAAATAACTTTTACCTTAAAACTTTAACTCATAAGTTCCTACACGCAGTTCAGTATGCTAAAATTGTTCCTCTTCCTACTGAACTACAAGCCAAATTCTATTGCAATAAAAATTCCTATCAGAGAAAAAGATTTCTAAACCTCAACTAAGCACAAGCTTATAATTTTCCATAGTGACTTATTTCAATGTTTCTCACCCTTTATTTCATCACTGTTCCCTTAAGAAGTACTTCCAGATTTTTTCCTCATTATCTTCTCCCCCATGAAATTTTAATATGATGGAATATACATATTTGTTTGTACACTGTAAGTGTGCCTTTTTATACATAAGAGGAGTAAGATTCTTTTTTTTTTTTTGAGACGGAGTCTCACTCTGTTGCCCAGGCTGGAGTGCAGTGGCGCGATATGGGCTCACTGCAAGCTCCGCCTCCCGGGTTCACGCCATTCTCCTGCCTCAGCCTCCCGAGTAGCTGGGACTACAGGAGCCCGCCAGCACGCCAAGCTAATTTCTTTGTATTTTTTTAGTACAGACAGGCTTTCACCATGTTAGCCAGGATGGTCTCCATCTCCTGACCTCGTGATCCACCCGCCTCAACTCCCAAAGTGTTGGGATTACAGGGGTGAGCTACCGCGCCCGGCCAAGAGTACGATTCTTTCACTACCACGCCCAGAACCAAGTTTCACTCCCTTGGCAATGACATTACCACACTGGGAATACATAATTTACTTAATAAAGCCAGTAATCTACTTAATTAATACAGTAAATGTATTAAGTAAATTTATTTAATAAGTAAATTTACTTTAATAAATAATATTAGCTTACTTAATAAGGTAAATTATGTATTCTTTTTTTTTTTTTTTTTTTGAGATAGTCTTGCTCTGTTGCCCAGGCTGGAGTGCAGTGGCATGATCTTAGCTCACTGTAACCTCCACCTCCTGGGTTCATGTGATTCTCCTGCCTCAGCCTCCCGAGTAGCTGGGATTTCAGGTGCATACCACCCTGCCTGGCTAATTTTTGTATTTTTAGTAGAGATGGAGTTTCACCATGTTGGCCAGGCTGGTCGCTAACTCCCTGCCTCAGGTAATCCCCTTGCCTCAGCCTCCCAAAGTGCTGGGATTATAGGCATGAGCCACCACACCTGCCAGGGTTAGGTAAATTATGTATTCTTAATGTGAGTAATGTCATTGTACTGAGTGACTGCCAAATGCCAGCCTGAAATATATGACATCAAAAAATTATAGAACAGGCCAGGCAGGGTGGCTCATGTCTGTAATCCCAGCACTTTGGGAGGCCAACGTGGGTGGATCACATGAGGTCATGAGTTTGAGACCAGCCTGGCCAACATGGCGAAACCTTGTCTCTACTAAAAATACAAAAAGTACCCCTGTGTGGTGGTGAGTGCCTGTAATCCCAGCTACTCAGAAGGTTGAGGCAGGAGAATCGCTTGAACCCAGGAGGCAGAGGTTGAAGTGAGCATAGATTGCACCACTGCACTCCAGCCTGGGTAACAGAGCAAGACTCTGTCTCAGAAGAGAAAAAAAAAAAATTCTAGAACAGCAACATAATTTAGTTTTGTAGTTTACTATATGAGCTTTGACACACAGAACTAAAATGAATGAACTTGAAGACAGACATGTTCTTCAGTGAATTTGTACTTAGTAAAGGGCCTCTCACAGAGCATGTGCTCAGTAAACATTTGATGAATGGATGAAAACTGTTAGAATCCTAGATGTGTGGTAATCCTAGATTAGAAGCAGTTATGCTGCTTCTAAATGTCATTTAGCAAGATGAGAACCTCTAGACAGGCCACAGAAATGTGGACTTCGTATCTCAAATCACTTAAAATTCAACTCGCTACAACCCTGGAAACCTGGAATTTTCTGTAGTTAATTTTCAGGAAGGAAAAAGAAAAGACGAAAACCTTAAGCTAAAACAAACAGTTCCTGTTTGGTAATTTTTAACCTTCCTGATTCACTAAATGCTTTGAGTATCTAATGAAAGTTCTGTCCTCTTTCCCCAAGAAAACACACAACTGCAGAGAATTCACAAAGTTTCTCAGCTCTGTTCACTCCAATTTAAGAACTTCTCCATTAAAGGAATATGTAAATCAAATACAATGCATTAAGTTTAAAAATAAGTAAATTTTTTTGTTGTTGTTTAAAATGTTATTCTTAAAAGTGACCAGAAACATCCTTGTTGGCAATACACTGTACTTTAATATTAGTTGTGTTTTTGCAGATGAGAGGTTTACCAAACGGGAAGAGAAATAGCCTATGTTCTAAATATATTTGTAATACCTAAGTCAAAAACCTCAAAATGTACTAGATTACATTGTAATACTGTACAATGCTATTAAAACAGGTTGCAGTCTTCCCAGCTTTGATAAGAGAAACCTGAAGCCAAAAACATCAATTTCAAAATGAAGCCAGGTTTCCACTTTTGGCACTTGTCAGGACACTTACTAAAAAGCAGCAGCATGGCCGGGCACAGTGGCTCATGCCCAGACCTTTGGGAAGGCGAGGTGGGCGGATCACTTGAGGTCAAGAGTTCGAGACCAGCCTGGCCAACATGGTGAAACCCCATCTCTACTAAAAATACAAAAATTAGCTGGGCATGGTGGCAGGCGCCTGTAATCCTAGCTACTTGGGAGGCTGAGGCAGGAGAATCACTTGAACCCAGGAGGCGGAGTTGCAGTGGGCCAAGACGGTGCCATTGCACTTCAGCCCGAGTGATAAAAGCAAGACTCCATCTTAAAAAAAAAAAAAAAGCAGGAGGAGGACAAGCACTGTCTTTTTGTGCTGCTTCAAAGGGAGACTCACAACATGAAGATAAATCCTCTAAACAAAGACTACAGCATAGTTTTATACTATTTAATCTGATTAATGGCAGTAGAAAAGTTATGCTGTTAGAAGGGGGGGGGAGTTTGCAAAGACATAAAAAAGTGTACAGCCAAAAGCTTAACATTATGTACCAGAACAAGCATAATGCCTGATGCCTCCAGGGTATTTAAGATTTACATGTAAGATGATATTATAAAAGTGTATTTCTTTAAATATCAAAAAAATCCCCCAAATATTTCAAAATCTATCAAAATAACTTCAAAATACAATTCTTTTGTTTTGTTTTGTCTTTTGAGATGGAGTTCCACTCTTGTCGCCCAGGCTGGAGTGCAGTGGCGCAATCTTGGCTCACTGCAACCTCCGCCTCTCAGGTTCAAGTGATTCTCCTGCCTCAGCCTCCCGAGTAGCTGGGATTACAGGTGCTCGCCACCATGTCTGGCTAATTTTTATATTTTTAATAGAGACAGGGGTTCACCATGTTGGCCAGGCTTGTCTTGAACTCCTGACCTCAGGTGATCCATCCACCTCGGCTTCCCAAAGTACTGGGATTACAGGTGTGAGCCACCGCACCCAGCCTTCAAAATACAATTCTAAAACGTAATTCAAATGCTCCATACAAGAACTCTCAGGTAGTCCAAAATTAACAAATATCAAATATTAGTATAACTTATGAGATGAGTTAGTGAATATTTTGACCATATTGTAAAAGAATCCCAAAGCACTAAAAAGTAATTTCAACAGTATAAAATCTTGTTGAAAAGGTATAATAAGCAGACCAGGCGTGGTGGCTCACACCTGTAATCCCAGAACTTTGGGAGGCCAAGGCGGGAAGATTGCTTGAGGCCAGGAGTTCGAGACTAGGCAACATAGTGAGACCACGTCTCTACAAAAAAAAATTTTTTTTTTTAATTAGCTGGGCATGATAGGGTGCGCCTATAGTCCCAGCTATTCAGGAGACTGAGGAGGGAGGATTGCTTGAGTTCAGGAGGTCGAGGTTGCAATGAGCCATGATCACACCACCACACTCCAGTCTGGAAGACAAAGCTAGGCCCTGTCTCAAAAGAAAAAAAGTACAATCAAATAGTTTAATGAACTTCAAAAGTAATTTCTGAGATCCTGTATATCTCATACCTGTGTTTAAACACCTGAAAAAAATAGATAAAAATTCAAAACTTCAAAAAATATGAAGGAAATATCATTTGTCTTAGAAACAACGAAAATTCATTAAAAACTCAGAAGCCTTTATTATATTTTAAATTACTAAAACTCAGCACATCTGGAAATTCTGAATACTTGTTGACTGAATTTCTGATTTACAGATTTGATATGTAGAGATGGTGGACATCACCACACGTATAGAAAGGAAAACAATTTTTGTTAAGTTATACATCTTCATCACTATTATACTTCAAAGTAGTGACCTTGGGAACCTTATTCCAAAAATGGAAAACATCTTTGGAGCCTGTGTAAAAGCCACACAAAAGTCAGTTCTATCATTTTGGTTAATCTTAAGTATTTTACCCCATTACATATTATTTACCTCAAGTACCTACTTATTTTTCAAGACATAGAGTTAAGTTACTGTATTACAGTTCTTGTCTACAAGCATTAGAAACATTAGTAACTGACTCTGGCTATCTTTAAAAAGCAACTTTACTGGAAGGCTGTTGAAACTCACAACACTGAAAGATGACTGGAAAATCAGACTGGAAAAAAACAGTGCCAACAGACCAGAGAAAGCAGCTCAAAGAACCATGCCAAAGAACAGTCTGATCCACACGCTGACATGACTCTGGAAAGGTCTCCAAAAAACCCTACAGCTCGTTATTCTCTCAAGATCCAAAGCCCTGAAAGAAAACATATGATTGGACAAGTCTGGCTGCATGACAAAACAGCAGGGGAATAATATGCTTCAAGAGTGCATCCTAGAGCCGGTCGCAGTAATCCCAACACTTTGGGAGGCTGAGGCGGGAGGATCACTTGAGGCCAGGAGTTCGAGGCTGCAGTGAGCTATGATCTCGCCACTGTACTCTAGCCTGGCGACACAGCACAATCTGTCTTAAAACAAAAACCAAAAAACACAACAACAAAAAAAAAAACAGGTGCGGTGGCTCATGCCTCTAATACCTGCACTTTGGGAGACTGAAGCGGGAGGATCACTTGATCCCAGGAGTTCAAGACCAGCCTGAGCCATGTGGTGAAATCCCTGTCTTTATAAAAAAAAAATTTTTTTTTAATTAGCTGGGCATGGTGGTGTGTGCCTGTGGTCCTAGCTCCTCGGGAAGCTGAGGCAGGAGGATCACTTTAGCCCAAGAGGTTGAGGCTGCAGTGAGCCAAGATCGCACCACTGCACTCCAGCCTGGGTGACAAAGAAAGACCCTGTCTCAAAAACAGGCAACACACTATGGGGAAACCCTAAAGTAATACAAAATAAAGCGAAGACCTGGGGAGGAGTTAATAAACATCCACAGCAGTACAATCAGAACCATCATATGGAATGACTACTTTTCCATTATACATGAAAACACTGAAGCTCAGAAGGCTTAAATTATATGTAAAAGCCAAAGAATACACTTTGGACAGGACTATAGAGCCTCTCTCTGCTTCTGCTGTTCCATAGGCATACTCCAAATTATACTTGGCCACTGAAAATAATTAAATCTAACCTTAAAAGACTAAGATTTGCCACCAATGAAGACATTCAAACATATATGACACCAGTTATTTGTGGTAATTCTCAATAAAGCATCCTGAAAATATTCTATGGAAAGCATCTATAGAATAAACACACACAGGGAAAGGAAAATACCTGGCACTTTTGCTGTCCCTCCCCCTCAAACACTGGGTCAATTAAAGAAATACTGCTAATTACTTGGCAGTTGAATTTAGGTGTAAACTATCTGCCATCCTTACTGTGGTCTTTAAAGAGTTACTTAAATACTTATGCACTGATTCTCTGCCCAAGTGAGCATGAAAATCTTCTGAGGGGACTAGCCATCCCTGTTTTATAAAAGCAAAAAACAAATATCATTGGTTAAAAAAAAAAAATCTGAAATGTGTAAAGAAAAAAAAAAAAATCAATCACAATGACTTTAGACTCACTCCTAACAGGTAATCTGAAGCCAGACCATCTGCTTATTCAAAAACTGAACCTTCTGTTCAGCAAAAAAGAGAGGGAGACTTGACTCAGAATATGTCAAAGTAATTTTTTAAATATTATAGATTATAAACATGTTAAAAATAAATTGGTAAGACAATAAGAACAAAGGACAATCTCACACGATATGGATGAATCTCACATTGAACAAAAAGCAGACACAAAGTACAAAAAACTAGGCAAAATTAATCTATGCTGAATTCTAATATTAAGCCAGTGGTTACCCCTGAGGAATGGGTAGTGACTGGAAAGATACTCAAGTGGAGGGCTAGGGCTTCTGTTTCTTGCTCTAGGTACTGGTTTAACAAGTATATTCACATAAGGTTATTAGCTCACATATATAAAATATTTCCAACATTAATGATTTGCTTAAATGTAAAGTTTAGCTTTTAAAGTTCTTAGGAGAATCCAGACATTAAAAAGATAAATGCTGAAGTAAAAATCAGTTAAAGCAATGAGTTAGCATAAACGCCTGGGCTCAGGGTAAGACAGCAATTCCTGCCTCCTAAAAAGAGTACTATAGGTTAAAAACATGGTGGCGAGCCTCCCAAGGGAAAAACATACCAACAGATAAGTTGACAGGGCTGGTTATTAGAGTGTAAAGACATGATGAGTTGGCTTGATGGCATGCACCTTGTATTCCCAGCTACTCAGGGCGGATCACTTGAGCCCAGGAGTTTGAGTGCAGCCTGGGCAACATCTTGAGACCTCCATCTCTTAAAAAAAAAAATTTTAAAGATGTGATGAAAGGAAAAAATATATAGGCTAATCCCTAAAACCAAAACCTAAAGCAATACAAAATCCCAGTAGTCTCAACCCCACCCCTCAACTCTCTGGACTTGCCTAAAAAAAAAGAGAAAAAATTTCCCCATGTGGTTGCTGAAATCAGGAAGAAATGCTCACAATAAGCTAGCAAGCATCTGGACCTTAGCCATGACTAGCAAAGTATAATGAGTGACTCTTGATGCAAAATAAACAGAACACATGGTTTCAATTACCCGCCAAATAACTTTAAATTGTTTAAATTATGTGAGTATGGTTAAACTTCAACAAATTATTTAGATTATCTTCTTAAGACCCAATCACCGAAAAACAGCATGTTAATATGCTTCACCTTAAACATTTAGAGCAAGGGTGTCCAACCTTTTGGCTTCCCTGGGCCACACTGGAAGAACTGTCTTGGGCCATATATAAAATACACTAACACTAGCAATAGCTGATGAGCTTTAAAAAAAAAAAATTGCAAAAAAAATTTCATAATGTTTTAAGAAAATTTACCAATTTATGTTGGGCCGCATTTAAAGCCATCCTGGGCCACATTTGGCCCGCGGGTTGGAAAAGCTTGATTTAGAGTAACATGTACTTGAAAAAACAAATAGGTATTTCCTCACTATAATTTCTCAGTGTGACTCAGAACACCAAAAGCTTATTTTTTAGTTTTTTTTTTTTCAGGTTTTTGTTTTCCACCGAGTTTTATCCACACGGAAAACTCTCAAAAACTATAAACCAAAATGTTCACTCAGGAATATGTTTTAATTTTGCTTTTCTTTTTTTTTGTATTTTCTAAAATGTCTATAATAATGTTATTTTTGTCCAAAAAGAAAAATGTTTATGGCCGGGCGTGGTGGCTCAAACCTGTAATCTCAGCACTTTGGGAGGCCGAGGCAAGTGGATCACTTGAGGTCAGGAGTTCAAAAGCAGCCTGACAAACATGGTGAAACCCCGTCTCTACTAAAAATAAAAACATTAGCAGGGCGTGGTGGTGCATGCCTGTAATCCCAGCTACTTGGGAGGCTGAGGCAGGAGAATCGCTTGAACCCGGGAGGGGGAGGTTGCAGTGAGCCCAGATGGCGCCACTGCACTCCAGGCCTGGGCGACAGAGCGAGATTCCGTCTAAAAAAAGAAAAAAAAAAAGACAAATGTTTATAATCAAGATTTCCAATTTTGAAACCTAAAGTTGAATATTTTCTAAAAATTACATTACTAGGACGCTATACCCCTAGTTTACTTTTTCATCCAAAGAACAAGGAACTGCACATACAGCCTGCTTTATCATCACAACTCAATAATTAAACAGGTACAGCAGCCCTTTCACAGCCAGAGGAACATCAACTTTTTTCAAGGTTACTGTTATTAAAACCTGAGAAATGGGAAACCAAGATATGGCAAATGCCCCAGACGTATCTATCAAGCTAACCGTTAGTTCATTAGATTTCTAAATAAGAAAGGTCCATAAACGGTCCATATAAAACTCGCCTATATCTAGTAAGTTTCAGTGACCAAGAAAGATTACGTTGTTTTGTAAGACTTTTTTTTTTTTTTTGCCCACCTTCCTGAATTTGGAAAACTTTCTTAAAATCAGGCCTGGGCGCGGTGGCTCAAGCTTGTAATTTCAGCACTTTGGGAGGCCGAGGCAGGCGGATCACTAGGTCAAGAGATCGAGACCATCCTGGCCAACATGGTGAAACCCCGTCTCTACTAAAGGTATGAAAATTAGCTGGGCATGGCGGCGCACGTCTGTAGTCCCGGCTACTCGGGAGGCTGAGGCAGGAAAATCGCTTGAACCCGGGAGGCGGAGTTTGCAGTGAGTGGAGATCGCGCCACTGCACTCCAGCCTGGGCGACAAACTGAGGCTCCGTCTCAAAAACAAAACAAAACAAAAACACAAAATTAGCCGGGCATGGTGGCGCATGCCTGCCTCAGGAGGCTGAGGCAGGAGAATCGCTTGAACCCGGGAGGCGGAGATTTCGGTAAGCCGAGATCGCGGCATTGCACTCCAGCCTGGGCAACAAGAGCGAAACTCCGTCTCCACATAAATAAATAATCATTTTTGTAGGCAAATATAACAAATACAGCAAAACGTCATAGAATCTAGAAAGAGTATATATGCATATGTATCTATCACTTTTTCAACTTTTCTGTGTGTGAAAATTTTGGACACTGAAGTGAAAATAAACGCTTTCAAAGTCAGAATACAAAGAATTATCTATTGCAACTTCAACCCACCTGAAGCTTTGAGGCCTCTGATCAACTCACAAACCTACATTTCAAGCACTCGATGAAAAAGCCCTTTCTTAAGACGGCAAGACTTTGAGATTCATCAACTGATAAAATATAAAAGCGATACTAAAAATAATCTCTCACCTAATGTAAGTTCACCTAGAAAGTCATTTACCAGGAGGTTTCATGAGAAACTTAACTTAACTTTACTCAGTAAAAGAGCTTTTCCCTCTATTACCACTTCGCCTACGTTTTTCGTAATTCCCAACAGTAAGCTTTAACTGAAGAAGAAGAAAAAAAAAACATCCCCAGCAAGCAGATCCGGGCACCCCTCCCAGGTCCTAAAGCCTGCAAAAACCCAAAGAGTTCGTGGCGCTGGTGGCTCCAGCTGTTAGTTTCCCGGGCAGTCTCCGGGTTGGATTTGCACCCTGGGGTCTACACGGGTTAAAAACGCGGAAAAAAGGCGACGAAGAAATACAAACTGCCAGGGTGTCGAAATGAAAGGAGCGACTGTGAAAGGGGTAAGGAAAAATCCAAGCCATCTCTACGGGGAGGATCCAGAAAGCACCAGCCGCGCCAGGGGGTCAACCAACTCCGACACCGCTCGGCGTCAGCTGGGCGCCACCAGGCGCGGACTTCGGAGCGAGGGCAGGTGCGCGGGCCGGAAGCCTCGGGCGCTCACCTGGCACCTACCTGGAGCTCACCTGGCGCCCGGGCCCCGCGCCGCCGCCCCCCGCCCAGCCCGCCGCGCCCGCACCTCGCGGTCCTTGAGGCCCAGCAGGAGCACTTCCTCCATCAGGGTCAGCCGCGTTTCCTTGGAGTCGCCCTTGTCGTCGTCGTCCTGCTCGTCGCGGCGGCTCTGCGCGTCGTCCTCGCTGCTGCCGGCGCCGCCGCCCGCCGCCCGCTCCTTGTCGGCGGCGTTGCGGGAGGCCTCGGTGCGCCGCTGCACCAGGCCGGAGCTGCGCTGGGTCAGCGAGGTCATGGCTCCCGCCGAGGCGCCGAGCCGGGCCGAGAGGGTCGCAGGACCGACCGGGTCGCCCTCCTCCTCCCCGCGCGGCCTCCGATCCGGGTTTCCGTGTTAAATCCGGACGCCGGGGCGACGTCCGTCGGCAGCAGGGCCGGGGGCAGTCATGAGGAAACAGGTCAGGGCGAAGCGGGCTGGCCGGGCGTCGGCGGGGCAGGAGAGGAGCGCCTTCCTGCCTGTGGCCGCAGTCCCCGAAACACCCCGAGCTCCAAGGCGGAGGCGGCGGCGGCGCCTTTCCAATATGGCGGCCCCGGCTGACGTCACCGGAGGATGTGGCAGAGTCGGCGCGGGAGAGCTGGGCCGGGAGGCGCCGGAAGCGGCGGCCGGGGATCCGCTGCCACTGCAGCCTACACCCTTCCCGGCCCTCGGTGCTTGTCTTTTCTTTGGCGTTCCTGCGCCCCCTGACCCGCGGTCCTGCAGTCCTGCTCCCGTGACGTGCCCTCCCTCCTTCCGTTCCCCGTTTCCCCTTCACTACCCAGGGCTGGAGCCTGAACCTGGCGGGGCCCCCCGTGAATGGAAGAGCCTGGGCCACGCGAAGGTGGACCCCACTCAGCCTCCAGCCGTGCCCTCCACGCCCCAGACACCGCCGTCTTCGGAGGCGACTCCGCGGTCGTGTGGACGGGGTCCCATTTGGACTCCGGGGTCTGCAGGATCGGCAGGAAGGACTTTGCTCTCTGCTGCTGGGCGGGGAGGGGTACGCTATCTGCCGGGACTCCCTAACCCTTTAGAAGGAGCAAGTGCGTCCAAATGGTTTGAAAGTGGACCTTTATTGTTTTCCAGGAGTAAGAAGATAGAACAGTTGACCAGTTTTGTTTGTAAAACTTCTTTCCTTGCCTCGGACTTGTGCTATAAAGTGACCAGGGCGTAGTGAGTACAGTTAGTACCGCACACGTTAGCACGCTCGACCTTAACGATCTTTTTATAGAGACAATAAACCTGCAGCGTTTCATGCCACGTCTTTGTACGCATCGGATGTCTCTCCGTGTAGTTACTAGGTGAAATCCTCTTGGCGTGCGCAAATTAGGTTAAAAAAATAGCTGTCAAACCTGAGACAGGAGTTGGAGGAGTAGAGGGTGGCGCTTGTTAAGTGAAACATTTAACCAGGAATGGTATTGTGTGCCATCCTGTATTAAACAATGTATGGACAGAGTGGAACAACAGCAAAGCAAAAAATAAAAATTTTTTAAAAAAAGTGATCATGGGCTGTGGCTAAAGAGTGCTTTAGATGGATTCTTCTCTTCCACAAATCCATTATCCAGAACTGCTGCTGCCTACCATCCCATGCCCTGGAAAGTGACAGTGCTAAATGAAGGGAAGAGAGGGTCCAGGGGGCACACCAAGTAGACCTTCCCTTTTTCCCACCTGTCTTGGTGAAGGTCGATTTCACCTCAACCAATTTCTCCCATTCACACCCTCTTTTTTTTTTTTTTTTTTTTTTTTTTGAGACGGAGTCTTGCTCTGTTGCCCAGGCTGGGGTGCAGTGGCACAATCTCGGCTCACTGCAAGCTCTGCCTCCCGGGTTCACGCCATTCTCCTGCCTCAGCCTCCTGAGTAGCTGGACTACAGGCGCCCGCCACCACGCCTGGCTAATTTTTTGTATTTTTAGTGGAGACGGGGTTTCACCGTGTTAGCCAGGATGGTCTCGATCACCTGACCTCGTGATCCGCCGGCCTTGGCCTCCCAAAGTGCTGGGATTACAGGCGTGAGCCACCGCGCCAGCCCACACCCTCTTTGGACCTTTTTTCTTCATCTTTTCTGATTTTACCAAATGTTGTAGCTTGAAATATTTCTTTGTAAAATAAATGTAATTAATTTATTATGTGAAAAAAGTTAATCAGGAGTAGTGGCCCACATCTGTAGTCCCAGGTCTTCGGGAGGCTGAGGCAGGAGAACCGCTTGAGCCCAGAATTTGAGGCTGCCATGAGGGTGATCGTGCCACTGCACACCAGCCTGAGAGACAGAGCAAGACCCTGTCTCAAAAAAAAAAAAAAAAAATTGGCTGGGCGCGTTGGCTCACGCCTGTAATCCTAGCACTTTGGAAGGCCAAGGCGGACGGATCAGGAGGTCAGGAGATCGAGACCATCCTGGCTAACACGGTGAAACCCCGTCTCTACTAAAAATACAAAAAATTAGCCGGGCGTGGTGGCGGGCCCCTGTAGTCCCAGCTACTCGGGAGGCTGAGGCAGGAGAATGGCGTGAACCCCGGAGGCGGAGCTTGCAGTGAGCAGAGATTGCGCCACTGCACTCCAGCCTGGGTGACAGAGCGAGACTCCGTCTCAAAAAAAAAAAAAAATTACTTGACTAATATAGTCAAGTATGTAGTTCAAAGAGTACAAAGATATGTGTAGTGAAAATCTCCCTCCCAGCTCTGCCCCTGTTCACCCAGTTGTTCTCCTTTCTCTCCTGAAGGTTTTAATGCCAACAAATCCTCTGATACTCCTCCCCTCAAAATGTGAAGCCTAATTTCCCTCCCCCTGAGTGTGGGCCAGACTTAGTGACTCTCTTGAAATGAATAGAATGTGGCCAACATGACTGTGTGGCACTTCTCAGGTCATGAAAGTCTATGCAGCTTTTTTCCTCCCCAGCTGCCCTCCACCCCCAGCCATCATGATGGGTGGGGGTGGAGGGCAGCTGGGGAAGAAGTGAGGGAGGAAGGAAGGAGATATTTTAAAAACAGGAAGAGGAAGAAAGGATATTTTAGGAAGGAAAAAAGAAGGAATTTTAGGAATGAGAATATTCCTAATTACAACAATGAGTGTTACTTTTTAAAAAATTTTTATTTATTTATTTATTTATTTTTGAGACAGAGTCTCATTCTGTCGCCCAGGCTGGAGTGCAGTGGCGTGATCTCGGCTCACTGCAACCTCCACCTCCAGGTTCAAGCAATTCCCCTGCCTCAGCCTGCCGAGTAGCTGGGATTACAGGCACATGCCACCACGCCCAGCTAATTTATTTATTTATTTATTTATTTATTTTTTTGAGACGGAGTTTTGTTGCCCAGGCTGGAGTGCAATGGCGCAATCTCGGCTCACCGCAACCTCTGCCTCCCAGGTTCAAGCGATTCTCCTGCCTCAGCCTCCCGAGTAACTGGGATTACAGGCATGTGTCACCACGCCTGGCTAATTTTGTATTTTTAGTAGAGACGGGGTTTCTCCATGTTGGTCAGGCTGGTCTCGAACTCCTGACCTCAGGTGATCTGCCCGCCTCGGCCTCCCAAAGTGCTGGGATTACAGGCGTGAGCCACCGCGCCTGGCACGCCCAGCTAATTTTTTTGTATTTTTAGTAGAGACGGGGTTTCACCATGTTGGCCAGACTGGTCTTGAACTCCTGACCTCAGGCAATCCAGCAGCCTCGGCCTCCCAAAGTGCCGGGATTACAGGCATGAGCCACCGCGCCTGGCCTTGATTGTTTGTTTATTGCCTGCTGAGATGTGCCAGGCGCGGTCTCCAGCAACCCCCACCAGGACCCTGCAGGTTAGGTGCTGCTGCTGTGCTGACCAGCTCCACATGGACTGCAACCATCTCATGCAGTGCGGTCTGGCAGCACCTCCATGCCTACCTACAAGTGTGGGAGAGTAAGCACTTCAAGCAGGTGGATAACAGGACCCCTTTCTTTCCTCACATGAACTGTCCTGAGATCGTTTATACAACTTCTCAGTAGCATTTAGCTCCAGCAAGCTCAACGACCCCTTCACTCCTCGCTTCCCTCCACTAGCTTCTGCTCCCAGCTGTTGCACTCCCTAATAAAGCACAAAAGACTTTGTCTTAGGCCCTGCTTCCTAGGGAACACAGATTAAGATGCCCATTTTACCTATGAAGAAACAGTTCAGAGAAGTTAAGTAATCTGCCCAACTTAACACTTCTGGAAAATCACAGACCTGGATTAGAACCCTGGTCCTTAATTCAGTATCAAACAAGTATATTTCTACATGTTTGCTGCATGCCAGGCATTGTCATAAGCAATAAAGATACAATACTAAGCCAAAAGAGACATAGCCATACTTTTCATGAAACTGACAGTTTAATGAAGGGCACAGATATTAAGCAAATCCTGATGCTAATTAATGTAGAAATGTAGAAATGCTTTGAAAGAAGGAATACAGTCCTATGAGATCATGTACTGTCATATATGTGAGAAACCTAAGTTTTTATCTGGGACTCAAAGCTGCTCTGAAGAAGTCATAAGCCAAAGAATGAACTGAAGTTAACCAAGTTGGAGGTAGAGGACATTCCTGAGAGGAAATATGCAAAGGCCCTGTAGCAAAAGACAGATCATGGGATGGAGGAGAACCAAGTAGAAGAGTTTTTACCTGGGCTGAGGGAGGGAGTGATGGCAAAAGCAATAGTTACAGACAAGGTCCAAATCATACAGTGCTGTCCATTTTAAGGCCATTTTAAGATTTGGGTCTTTTTTTTTTAGACAGGGTCTCGCTCTGTTGCCCAGGCTGGAGTGCAGTGGCGCAATTTTGGCTCTGCCTCCTGGGTTCAAGCGATCCTCCCACCTCAGCCTCCCAAGTAGCTGAGACTACAGGTGCATGCCACCACACTGCTGATTTTTGTTTTTTTGTGTGTTGTTTTTTTCTGTAGAGACAGGGTTTCACCATGTTGCCCAGGTCTTGAACTCTTGGGCTCAAGCGATCCGCCCGCCCTGACCTCCCGAAGTGCAGGGATTACAGGTGTGAGCCATCGTGCCTGGCCAAAATCTGGTCTTTATCCAACCAAACTCAATGGGAAGCTATCAAGGGTACTTTTAAATGCCCTCCGTGGGGGAAGAGGAGATGGGTGGGTGAGAGATGTTACCAGATTTGCATTTTGAAAAGCTTGCAGGATATACCCAAGGCATGGATATAGGATACAGAAGCAGCTCATTTTTGCAGTAGTCCTACAGAACCTGATGGTAAGTTCGACCACAATAGTGGAAGAAGAAAGGGTGGTAAGTGAATGTATTCAAGAGATAGTTAGTAAGTTAAACTGACACAACTCAATGAAAGACTGACTACGGAGTGTTGGGGCATAAAGGAGCGGAGATGTCGAGGATTACTCCCACTTCTGGCTTGTGTAGGAGAGGATGATATAGGGATCGCTGGGCAATGACCAGGTTTGCGTGAGTTTATTTCAGTTAAGCTTTTAAGAAGTATATAAAACTTCCAAGAGAATTTGTTGTGTAGGTAGTTCTATGTACAGAGTCTTTCTGGGTTTTTTTTATTGTTGTTTTTTGGTTTTGATTTTGCTTTGAGATGGAGTCTTGCTCTGTCACCATGCTGGAGTGCAGTGGCACGATCTTGGCTCGATGCAACCTCTGCCTCCTGGGTTCAAGTGATTCTCCTGCCTCAGCCTCCTGAGTAGCTGGGACTACAGGCACGCGCCACCACGCCCAGCTAATTTTTGTATTTTTAGTAGAGGTGGGATTTCACCATGTTGGCCAGGATGGTCTCAATCTCTTGACCTCGTGATCCACCTGCCTCGGCCTCTCAAAGTGCTGGGATTACAAGTGTGAGCCATCACACCCGGCCCAGAGTCTTTCTGTTTTAACCCAATAAAAATTTCAAAATGCCTAGAAAATGAAAGGCACCAGAAGAAAACTATGGGTAAATTCTTTTGTAATCAAGGAGAGAAGAAGCCTTTATTATCATGACTCAAAATCTGATTTTTAAAAATTTGAAATAAATTCACAGGAATTGCAAAATTAGTGCAGAGAGAGCTTGTATACCCTTAGTTTCCCCCAGTAGTAACATGTAACTATAGCACTATCAAAACCAGGAAATTAATATTGGTATGATCCACAGACATTATTCAGATTTCATGGGTTTTATGTGCATTGATTTATGTGTGTGTCATTCTATGCAATTGTACTACATGTAGATTTGTGTCAATACCACCACAATCAACATATAAAAATAAGCCAGGCATGGTGGCACACAACTGTAATTCCGGCACTTTGGGAGGCTGAAGCAGGAGGATTGCTTGAGCCCAGGAGTTGGAGACCAGCCTGGTCAACATAGCGAGACCCCGTCCCTACGGACTTTTTAAAAAAAATTAGCCAGGCATGGTGGCGATGCCTGTAGTCCCAGCTACCTGGAAGGCTGAGGCAAGAGGATCACTTGAGCCCAGGAATTTGAGGCTACAGTAAGCTCTGACTGTGCCACTGCTCTCCAGCCTAGGTCACAGAGTAATATCCTGTCTCTAAAAAACATAATAAACAAATAAAAAAAGATATAAAATTGTTCCATCATCACAGAGATCCCTCATGTTGCCCCTTTACAGTCATGGCAGCTCCAGCCCCTCTCCCGACTCTATCTCCGACTCCTGGCAACCACTACTTTGTTCTCCATCTATAATTTTGTCATTTGAGAATGTTATATAAATGGAATCATACATTATGAAGCCTTTTGAGATTTGCTTTTTTCACTCTGCATAATTCCCTTGAGATCTGTCCAAATTGCATACACCAATAGTTTGTTCCTTTTTATTGCTGAGTGGTAATTCATGGTACTCAGGTACCATATTTGTTTAACCATGGATCCATTGAAGGACTTTCCGGTTGTTTCCAATTTGGGGCTATCACAAATAAAACTGCGATGAACGTTCATGTACATGTTTTTATTTGTTTGTTGTTGTTGTTGTTGTTTTGAGACTGAGTCTTGCTCTGTCACTCAGGCCGGAGTGCAGTGGCACGATCTCAGCTCACCGCACCCTCCGCTTCCCGGGTTCAAGCAATTCTCTTGCCTCAGCCTGCCGAGTAGCTAGGATTACAGGCACGTGCCACCATGCCTTGCTAATTTTTGTGTTTTTAGTAGAGATGGGGTTTCACCATGTTGACCAGGCTGGTCTCGAACTCCTGACCTCAAGTGATTCGCCTACTCAGTCTCCCAAAGTGGTGGGATAACAGGCGTGAGCCACTGCGCCTGGCCTATGTTTTTATTTGGATGTAGTTTTCATTTCTCTGAGATGAACACCCAGGAGTGCAATTGGATCATATGGTAATTATATGTGTTTAATTTGTTTGTTTGTTTGTTTTAAGAAACTGAGATCCAGTCTGTACCTGGATCTAAAACAGAGAAAAAAAAAGGAAACTGGGAAATTGTTTTCCAGAGTGGCTGCATCATTTTACATTTCCACACTAGCTTTATTCTGAAACACAGCAGCATTATTGAACTAACTAGCAAATCTTCCAGAGGCTTTCAACAATCTTCTTTTTAAAAAAATCTGCTGCAAATATTTATTAAGCATGTATATATTCCAGAGAAGGCTGTAAATGTTTTCAGGTTGCTATGGTTTGAATATTTGTGCCTCCAAAACTCATGTTGAAATGTAAGCCCCAATGTAGTAGTATTGAGAGGTACAGCTTTTAAGAGGTGACTGGGTCATGATGGTTCTGCCCTCATGAATGGATTAATCCATTTACAGATTAATGGATTAATGGGTTATCATGGGAGTGGGACTGGTGACTTTGTAACAAGGGGAAGAGAGACCTAAGCTAGGAGTACTGTAATTAGCCCATTTTATGAAAAGAGAAACAGGCACGGAAAGATTCAAGATTTTGCCCAGGGTTACACAGCCTGGCTCTGGAGTCCATGTTCTTAACCAGGACCTGATAATAACTTAATGATTTTAGGGCCAAAACAACTACACAATGAGGTCCTTGTGGTAAAAGACATAAAAGTCTGAGGCAAATACAAAGACTAAATTTTATTTTATTTTTGAGTAAGTAATAAATTCATGTACTTCAAAATCAAAACAGATAAAAGGCCTGTACAGAGAAGTTCTACATTGGCCCATGTCCGTTGATTGTAGCCTTAATTTTAAGATAGTCCCATGATTCTTATCCCCGGCATTTACATTTTTCTCTAGTCCCTTCTTCCTGAGTGTGGGCAGAACTTCTGTCTTGCTTTTAACTAATAGAATGTGGCAAAAGGTGAAAGAATGTTGCAGATGTAATTAAGTCCCCTAATAGGTGGGGCACGATGGCTCTCGCCTGTAATCCCAGCACTTTGGGAGGTCAAGCCTGGCGGATCACGAGGTCAGGAGATTGAGACCATCCTGGGTAACACGGTGAAACCTCATCTCTACTAAAAATACAAAAAATTAGCCGGGCGTGGTGGCAGGTGCCTGTAGTCCCAGCTACTAGGAAGGCTGAGGCAGGAGAATGGCGTGAACCTGGGAGGCAGAGCTTGCAGTGAGCTGAGATCGCACCACTGCACTCCGGCCTGGGTGACAGAGCTAGACTCCATCTCAAAAAAAAAAGGCCCCTAATAAATTCATATTGAGTTCATCAAAAGAGAAACTCTCCTGGGTGCTATAGTTTGAATGTTTGTCCCCTCCGAGTCTCATGTTGAAAATTTGATTTCTGGCTGGGCACGGTGGCTCATGCCTATAATCCCAGCACTTTGGGAGGCTGAGGTGGGCAGATCACTTGAGCCCAGGAGTTCAAGACCAGCCTGGGCAACATGGTGAAACCCTCTCTCTACCAAAAAATCAAAAAATTAGTGAGGCATGGTGGTGTGTGCCTGTAGTTCCAGCTACTTGGGAGGCTGAGATGGGAGGATCACCCGAGCTCAGGGACATCAAGGTTGCAGTGAGCCATAATCATTCCACTGCAGTCCACTCCAGCCTGGGCAACAGAGTGAGATCCTGTCTCAAAAAAAAAAAAAAAAAGAAGAAAGAAAAGAAATTTGAAATTTGATCCTCAATGTTGGAGGATCAAACAGAGGGCCTAAGGCCCTCTGTGTCGGGGGCAGAGCAAGTGAGTTCTCATTCTGTTAGTGCCTGTGAGACCTGGTTGCTAAAAACAGCCTGACACCTCCCCTCTCACTCGCTCTTGCTTCCTCTCTCACCACGTGATTTCTGCAGACACCAACTCCCCTTTGCTTTCCACTATGAATGGAAGCAGCCTGAGGACTTCATCAGATGCGTGGTCTTCCTGCCAGCAGAATCAGTCATGAGCCAAATAAACCTTTTTTTTATAAATTACCCAGTCTCAGGTGTTCCCTTATAGCAACACAAAATGAACTAAGACATTAAATGAGCCTGACATAATGAGCCTGACATAATCGGGTGGACCCTTAAAAGAGGCTCTAACCCTTCCCTAACAAGGGAGACTTGAGTCAGCTGAGATGCTCTTCTGATGGCCTTCAAGAAGAAAACAGCCATGTGTGAACTGCCTATGGAGAAAGGTGGCCTCTAAGAGCTAATGGTCTCCTCTTATAATCACAAGCATCCGAAATCTGCCAACAACGTGATGAGCTTGGAAGAAAACCCTTAGGTCAAGATGAGAGTGTAACCCAGCCAACACCTTGATTACAACCTCGTGAGACCCTAAGCAGAGGGCCCAATAAGCCATGCCAAACTCTGTCCTGTGGAAGTGAGATCATAAACATATGTTGTTTTAAGCCACTGAACTTATAGCAATTTGTTATGCCACAAATACAAGTAAGTTGAAAATAAAAAGATGGTAAAAAACAGCAGCCACAAAATACCTGGAGTGACTATACTAATATCAAACAAAGTAGACTTTAAAACAACAAAAAATAGTTAAGAGAAATACATGCTCACATTATGGGTTTTTTGTTTGTTTGTTTGTTTTTTGAGACAGAGTCACTCTGTTGCCCAGGCTGGAGCGCAGTAGCGTGATCTCGGCTTACTGCAAGCTACGCCTCCCAGGTTCATGCCATTCTCCTGCTTCAGCCTCCTGAGTAGCTGGGATTACAGGCGCCCACCACCACGCCCGGCTAATTTTTTGTATTTTTAGTAGAAACAGGGTTTCACTGTGTTAGCCAGGATGGTCTCGATCTCCTGACCTAGTGATCCGCCCGCCTCGGCCTCCCAAAATGCTAGGATTACAGGCGTGAAACACCGCGCCCGGCCTCACATTATGGTTAATTGGTTTTGAACAAAGGTACCAAGACAATTGAATGGGGGAAAGAATAGTCTTTGCAACAAACAAGGTCAGGGAGAACTATTTATCCACATACAAAAGAATAAAGTTGAATACCTACCTCATACTATATACAAAAATTGACTCAAAATGGATCAAAGATCTAAATGTAAGGGTTAAAAATATAAAACACACAGAAGAAAACATAGGTGTAAATCTGCATGATCTTGAATTAGCTATGGTTTCTTTTCTTTCTTTCTTTTTTTGTTGTTGTTGTTGTTGAGATAGAGCCTCGTTCTGCCACCCAAGCTAGAGTGCAGTGACGCGATCTCGGCTTGCTGCAACCTCCTTCTCCCAGGTTCAAGTGATTCTCGTGCCTCAGCCTCCTGAGTAGCTAGGATTACAGGCACATGCCACCACACCTGGCTAATTTTTGTATTTTTAGTAGAGATAAGGGTTTCGCTATGTTGACCAGTCTGGTCTCAAACTCCTGACCTCAAGTGATCCACCCATCTCGGCCTCCCAAAGTGCTGGGATTACAGATATGAGCCACTGCGCCTGGCCTAGCTATGGTTTCTTAGCTATGACACTAAAAACACAAGCAACAGGAGAAAAAAAGAGATAAATCTGACATCATTAAAAGAACTCCATCAAGGCTGGACGTGGTGGCTCACGCCTGTAATCCCAGCACTTTGGGAGGCCAAGGTGGGTGGATCACGAGGTCAGGAGTTCAAGACCAGCCTGGCCAAGATGGTGAAACCCTGCCTTTACTAAAACTACAAAAATAAGCTGGGTGTGGTGGCGGGAGCCTATAATCCCAGCTACTCAGGAGGCTGAGGTAGAGACTTGCTTGAACCCGGGAGGCGGAGGTTGCAGCGAGCTGCGATCATGCCACTGCACTTTAGCCTGGGCGACAGAGTGAGACTCCGTTTCAAAAAAAAAAAAAGAACTCCATCAAGAAAATGTACTTTAGGGCCAGGTGCGGTGGCTCACACCTGTAATCCCAGCACTTTGGGAGGCCAAGGTGGGCAGATCACTCGAGGTCAGGGGTTTGAGACCAGCCTGTCCAAAATGGTGAAACCCCGTCTGTACTGTAAATACAAAAAGTAGCTGGGCATGGTGGTACATGCCTGTAATCCCACCTATTCAGGAGGCTGAGGCAGGAGAATCACTTGAACCTGGGAGGTGGAGGTTGCAGTGAGCCAAGACTGTGCCATTGCACTCCAGCCTGGGCGACAGAGCAAGACTCTGTCTCAAAAAAAAAAAAAAAAAAAAGGAAGAAAGAAAGAAAATGTACTTCAAAGGATATCCTCAAGAAAATGAAAAGACAGCCCATGTAATGGCAAAAACTTTATAAATCATATGTTTGATAAAGGACTTTGTTATGGTTTGCATGTTTGTCCACTCCAAATCCCATGTTAAAATTTGATTCCCAGTGTTGGAGGTGGGGTCTGGTGGGAGGCCATTGGATCACAGGGGGCTGATCCCTCACAAATGGTTCAGCACCATTCCCTTGGTGATAAGTGTGCTCCTGCTCAGTTAGTTCATGAGAGATATGTTGTTTAAAAAAGTCTGGGACCGGCCGGGCGTGGTGGCTCACGCCTGTAATCCCAGCACTTTGGGAGGCCGAGGCGGGTGGATCATGAGGTCAGGAGATCGAGACCATCCTGGCTAACAAGGTGAAACCCCGTCTCTACTAAAAATACAAAAAATTAGCCGGGCGCGGTGGTGGGCGCCTGTAGTCCCAGCTACTCGGGAGGCTGAGGCAGGAGAATGGCGTGAACCCGGGAAGCGGAGCTTGCAGTGAGCCGAGATTGCGCCACTGCAGTCCGCAGTCCGGCCTGGGCGACAGAGCGAGACTCCGTCTCAAAAAAAAAAAAAAAAAAAAAAAAAAAGTCTGGGACCTCCCCCTTCTCCCTCCCCTGCTCCCACTTGCACCATGTGATACTTTGGCTACCCCCTTCACCTTCCACCATGATTGTAAGCTTCCTGAGGTCCTCACCAAAAGTCCGGCAGATGTCGGTGCCATGCTTGTACAGCCTGCAGAACTGTGAGCCAGTAAAACCTCTTTTCTTTATAAATTACCCAGCCTCAGGTATTTCCTTTTTTCTTTTTCTTTTGTCTTGTTTTGAGACAGGGTCTTGCTTTGTTGCCTAAGCTGGAGTGCAGAGGCACAATCTCAGCTCACTGCAGCCTCTACCTCCTAGACTAAACCTATCCTCCCACCTTAGCCTCCCAAGTAGCTGGGATTACAGGCGTGAGCCACCACACCCAGCCTGTATTTTAGGTATTTCTTTATAGCAATGCAAAAAATGGCCTAATACAGATTTGAATCTGTAATATATAACGAGCTCTCACAGGCTGGGTAAGGTGCCTGTAATCTCAACACTTTGTGAGGCTGGGGTGGAAGGATTGCTTAAGGTCAGGAATTCCAGACCAGCCTAGGCAACATAGTGAAACCCCATCTCTGCAAAAAATACAAAGAGGAAACAAACTTCAATGAAATATAATAAAAAAGGAAAGGATTGGGAGCTATTGCCTTCTCCAGGAGACCCAGACCTACCACCTTCAGTGAAGACCCTGGCCTTGAAGTCAGGCAGCATCTCTTCCCCCTAAAAACAGGAAGCCATCAAAAAGGGGGGGTGAAGTGGGGTGCAGTGGCTCATGCCTGTAATCCTAGCACTTTGGGAGTCTGAGGCAGGTGGATCACTTGAGCCCAGGAGTTCGAGACCAGCCTGGGCAACATGGCAAAACCCCGTCTCTACAAAAAATACAAAAATGAGCTGGACATGGTGGTGTGTGCCTGTAATCCCAGCTACTTGGGAGTCTGAGGTGGGAGGATCATCAGAGCCCAGGAGGTGGAGGTTGCAGTGAGCAAATGCCACTGCATTCCAGCCTGGGCAACAGAATGAGACTGAGTCCCTGTCTCAAAAAAAAGAGAGAACTCCCACAATTCAATAATATAAACACAACTCAATTTAAAAGTAGGCACTGAAAGTTATAAAGCATTAATGAATGATTTATTTATTTATTTATTTTTGAGATGGAGTCTCACTCTGTCACCCAGGCTGGAGTGCAGTGGCGCGATCTCGGCTCACTGCAAACTCCACCTCCAGAGTTCAAGCAATTCTTCTGCCTCAGCCTCCCGAGTAGCTGGGACTACAGGCGTGCACCACCACGCCCCTGGCTAATTTTTGTATTTTTAGTAAAGACAGGGTTTCACCATATTGGCCAGGCTGGTCTCAAACTCCTGACCTTGTGATCCACCTGCCTCAGCCTCCCAAAGTGCTGGGATTACAGGTATGAGCCACCACGCCTGGCCAATTTTTTTTTTTTTTTTGAGTCTTGCTCTTTTGCCCAGGCTGGAGTGCTATGGCGCAATCTTGGCTCACTGCAACTTTCGCCTCCCAGGTTCAAGCAATTCTTTTGCCTCAGTCTCCTGAGTAGCTGGGATTACAGGCATGCACTGCCACACCCGGCTAATTTTTGTATTTTTAGGAGAGAGGGGTTTTTTGCCATGTTGGCCAGGCTAGTCTCGAACTCCTGGCCTCAAGCAATCCGCCAGCCTGGGCCTCCCAAAGTTCTGGGATTACATACCTGAGCCACTGTGCCTGGCCCTGTTAATGAAATTAAAGACACAGATAAATGGAAAGACATTAGATGTTTACAGATTGGAAAAATTAATATTGTTAAAATATCCATAATACCCAAAGTGATCTACAGATTCAATACAATCTTTATCCAAGTCCCAACATAATTGTTTATAGAAATGGAAAAAACAATTCTAAAATTCATATGGGGCCAAAAGTACCTCTCAAAAAACCCCAAATAGCCAAAGCAACCCTGAACATGAAGAAAAAAGCTGGAGGTATCACACTTTCTGATTTCAAGTATATTACAAAGCTACAGTAATTAAAACAGTATGGTACTGACATAAAAACAGACATAAACCAATAACAAAGTAAGAGAGTCCAAAAATAAATCTGTGTATTTATAGTCAACTGATCTTTATCAAGGGTGCCAAGAATACACAATAGAGATAGGATGGTGTTTTAAATAAATGTTGTTGGGAAAAACTAGATAACCACATGGAAAAAAATTAAATTAGACCTTTATCTCACACCATATACAAAAATCAACTCAAAATGAATTAAAGACTTAGGAACTGAATTCTGTACTTTATAGGGGTTAATCACATGGTATGTAAATTACATTTTAATCTATTATTAACAATAATTATGCATCTTTGGATTAGGTTTGGTTAGGAGTATGTCCCAAGATAATATATTATTGAGTAAAAAAGATTTAGACTAAAAATATATTTTCTGTAATATGTGCTTTTCATTTTTAGGTTATAACGTTTTGAACAAGATTTGCTCGTAGGGAGGTGAAAGAAACAAACATACTTTCAGGATAATAAACTATACATTTTTAGCCAATAAGTTTGTACAATGATTTAAAATTTGAGAGAAATACAGAACATGATGTTTTTATTTACCTTCATTGAGCATTATAGAGAGGAAACGAATATCAAAGGAATACACAGACTAGATAAACTAAAAAAATTATTTTAGTTATTTGTTTACATAGCAGTCTGTCACACAAATTCCAGAATTATATAGTTTAAGGAACCCTCAAGAGATCAAACAGTTCACAACTCTGAAACTTTTCTAACTGCCTATTCATTATTCCTAGAAATCTAGAGACAAGATTTCATGATTTTACTAGGTAAATTTTAAGTCTTTCTACCATGATCATCAAGAAGTCTTCTAGGCTGGGCACAGTGGCTCATGCCTGTAATCCCAACACTTTGGGAGGCCGAGGTGGGCGGATCACGAGGTCAGCAGTTCAAGACCAACCTGGCAAAATGGTGAAACCCCGTCTCTACCACAAATACAAAAATTAGCCAGGCATAGTGGCGGGCACCTGTAATCCCAGCTACCTGGGAGGCTGAGGCAGGAGAATCTCTTGAATCCAGAAGGCAGAGGTTGCAGTGAGCTGAGACGGTGCCATTGCACTCCAGCCTGGGCCACAGAGCAAGACTCCATCTCCAAAAAACAAAAAGAAGTCTTATAAACTTCTAAGCTACATCCTTAATTATTAGTTTCTATAACACAGAATATGGAGTGCAATTGACCCAAAGAAAGATCAGGGATCTCCCAACTTATTAGTAAGGGTCTCTCCTGTGATCCAGAAGTTTTAGCCAAAGCTATCTTCTGGAAGTTTAATTCAGGTTTATGTATGATCCTCTACCTTCTGTTGTACTTGACAACCCCTTTTTCTCGGCTCAGTGGAAATGGAAATGGAATTGCTTATTCATTGTTATCTGGAAAAATCTCCTAGCTTATGTATACACTTTTATTTCATTTTATTTATTTATTTTATTTTATTTGAAACGAAGTCTCGCTCTGTTGCCCAGGCTGGAGTGTAGTGGCGTTATCTTGGCTCATTGCAACCTCCGCCTCCCAGGTTCAAGCAATTCTCCCACCTCAGCCTCCTGAGTAGCTAGGATTATAGGCGTGCAACGCCACACCTGGCTAATTTTTTGTATTTTTAGTAGAGACAGGGTTTCACCATGTTAGCCAGGCTGGTTTCAAACTCCTGACCTCAGGTGATCCACCCGCCTCGGCCTCCCAAAGTGCTGGGATTACAGGCGTGAGCCACCACGCCCTGTATATACATTTAATTCGTTTTCTGCCTCACGTTCCCTAAGTAAATTATCCTCAGTTCCTTGAGTCAGCTTCGAAAATCAATGCTCTCTTGTCCTGGATTTTAAATAAATCAGAGTGTGATAACAAAGAAATGACCTTCTAAAGCTGTAGAATGCCTTTGTCTTCCGTGCGGTGCCTCACGCCTGTAATCCCAGCACTTTGCGAGGCCGAGGCGGGCGGATCACGAGGTCAGGAGATGGAGATCATCCTGGCTAACATGGTGAAACGCCGTGTCTACTAAAAATACTAAAAATTAGCCGGGCGTGGTGGCGGGCGCCTGTAGTCCCAGCTACTTGGGAGGCTGAGGCAGGAGAATGCCGTGAACCCGGGAGGCGGAGCTTGTGGTGAGTCGAGATCGGGCCATCGCGTTCCAGCCTGGGTGACAGAGCAAGACTCTGTCTCAAAAAAAAGAAAAAAAAGAAAAAAAAAAAGAATGCCTTTGTCTTTTCACAAAGCAAACATTTTTCTTCTACGAATAAAGGTTGCTTTCCTTTAAAAGGATTGAATGCTGAAGCATCCCGAGCAGCTACATTAGTTTCCTGTGTTATGTAACAAATAGCATATGTTTCTAATCTCGCCATGTCTGTGGGCCAGGAGTCCAGGCACAGCGTAGCTGGACCCTCAGCCGTGCAAGTCAGGAGCTGCATACCAGATGTCAGCTGAGTTGCATCTCATTTGAAGGCTCCACTGGGAGAGAGCTGGCTTCAGAGCTTGCTTTGGATTGGCAGAATTCATTTCCTTGTAGAGGGGTTGTGTTTCTTGTTGACTATTGGCTGGAGGCTGCACTCAGCTTCTAGAGGCTTCCCATAGTGTTTTGCCATGTGGGCTTCTTCAACATGGCCGCCGACTCAAGCCGGCAAGGAGAATCCCTAGTGTGAATCTGCTGGCACAATGGAGTTTCAGATAACGCAATAAAATCACAGGAATGACATCTCATCACTGTTGCTGTATTCTGTGGGTTAGAAACCTGTCATCCCATACTCAAGAAGAGTGAACGCCAGAAGGCAGGTATCATTAACAGGGGTCACCCTAGGGTCTACCCACTAGAGCAGCCTTTAATCCTTTCTGTATGGAGATGGAGAGTATGTGATTAAACATATTAATGAACAAAAGCAAACCTATCTTTCATTATTTATTTTACGTTTTTTTTTTTGAGACAGAGTCTCGCCCTGTCACCCAGGCTGGAGTGCAGTGGTGTGATCTCGGCTCACTGCAACCTCTGCCTCCCAGGTTCAAGCGATTCTCCTGCCTCAGCCTCCTGAGCAGCTGGGATTATAGGCACGTGCCACCACGCCTGGCTAACTTTTGAATTTTTAGTAGAGACCAGGTTTCACCATGTTGGCCAGGCCTGTCTTGAACTCCTGACCTCAAATGACCTGCCCACCCTGGCCTCTCAAAGTGCTGGGATTATAGGCGTAAGCCACCACGCCCGGCCTTCATTATTTTACATTATCTTTTTCTCTATTCATAGCTCCTCCCCAAAACAGTTTTATAATTATTTATTGCAGTATAACAAACCATCCCCTCAAATAAAACAGCAACTATTTTATTTGCTTCTTAGGCTGTGGTTCAGCAATTTGGCTGCGCTTATTCCTATGGTCTCTCATGGGGTCACTCATATGACTGTAGTCAAACTGCAGCTTGACTTGAGCTAGTTGGTTTGATGTGGCCTCACTCACAGGTATGGGAATTGGTGTTGGCTATAATCTATGCCACATGTCTTCAGCAGGATGACCCAGTCTTTTTCAAATGGCATCTGGCTTCCAAGAGGAAGAGAAGATGCAGGGTTCAGAAGTGATACAGTATTACTTGTGCCACATTCTATTGGTCAAAGTAAGCCCAAGTTACCCCCAGATTCAATGAGTGGACAAATAGATGCCATCTCTTTTCCTTTCTAGAATTATGCAAAGTTCAAACCTGAGAGCACTTTGATTTACCCTATAACTATCACAAAATATTATTCTTCGTATACAAAATGATATACTAACTGGTTAGAAATATAATGGTATTTAATGTTTATCATTGTTAAAAGTAGTTCATTAATCTTTGCTTATGTACAGTCACCTGTTATTTATGGATGTCTTTGCATATTAGTGTTAAATATTGCTAGATTTATTCTTTTTTTGCTTTTTTTTTTGGAGACAGAGTGTTGCTCTGTCACCCCAGCAGGAGTGCAGTGCTGTGATCTCGGCTCACTGTAACTTCCGCCTCCTGGGTTCAAGTGATTCTCGTGCCTCAGCCTCCTGAGCAGCTGGGATTACAGGCATGTGCCACCATGCCCAGCTAATTTTTGTATTTTTAGTAGAGACAGGGTTTCGCCATGTTGGCCAGGCTGGTCTCTAACTCCTGACCTCAGGTGATCCACCTGCCTCAGCCTCCCAAAGTGCTGGGATTACAGGCGTAAGCCACTGCGACTGGCCCATTTCTGCAATTAGATTGACAAGTTTGGCTCATAGCATGTTTTGCAAGTTTTGACTACACCGTGTAGACAAAAGTATGGATAAAACAGAACTGTTACATATTGCTGGTAGAAGTGCAAAATGGAGAGCAATTTGATAATATCTACCAAAATTACGAATGCATTTACCTTTTGAACTAACAATCTCACTTCTGTGAGTTTATCTTCCAGACTGATCTGAAAGTGTATGAGATGACATATCAACATGATTGTTGTAGCATTGTTTATAGACATAAAAGATTGAAAATAACCCAAAGGTTCATCAATAGAAGACTGGTTAAATAAACTGTAGAACATCCACACAATGGAAGACCATGAACACTGAAAATGAATGAGAAAGCTTTCTCTGTGCTAACGTGGAACAATCTCTAGCATATATTGCATAGAAAAAGACAAAAAGCAGAACAGTTTCTATAATGTGCTGCCTTTTGTGTAAGAATGAGGGGAACAAAAGAGTACATATTCACATTTGTTTATGTATATCTTTTTTTTTTGAGATGGAATCTTGCTCTGTCACCCAGGCTGGAGTGCAGTGGTGTGATCTCGGCTCACTGCAACCTCTGCCTCCTGGATTCAAGCAATTCTCCTGCCTCAGTCTCCCAAGTAGCTGGGATTACAGGCATGTGCCACCACGCCTGGCTACTTTTTTTGTATTTTTAGTAGAGACGAGGTTTCACCATATTGGCCAGGCTGGTCTCGAACTCCTGACCTTGTGATCCACCCACCTTGACCTCCCAAAGTGCTGGGATTACAGGCGTGAGCCACCGCGCCCGGCCTATATATACATTTTTTAAAATCTTGGAAAGACACAAAAGAAACTAACAAAAGGAACTGCAAGATATGAGAGTAAGAATAGGGACGCAGTAATGGACATGTAGAAGGTGTATTACTTTGTTCCAAGCAGCATGAATTTTTAAAAATCTACACATCTATATATTTTTATTTATATTCAAATTCAAATTTACTTTTTTTTTTGTTTGGTTTTTTGGTTTTTTGTTTTTGTTTTTTTAGACGGAGTCTCGCTCTGTTGCCAGGCTGGAGTGCAGTGGCGTGATCTCAGCTCACTGCAACCTCCGCCTCCCGAGTTCAAGCGATTCTTCTCCCTCAGCCTCCCGAGTAGCTGGGACTACAGGTGCATGCCACCATGTCCAGATAATTTTTGTATTTTTAGTAGAGACGGGGTTTCACCATGTTGGCCAGGACAGTCTGGATCTCTTGACCTCGTGATCCTCCCACCTCAGCCTCCCAAAGTGCTGGGATTACAGGCGTGAGCCACTGCACCCGGCCTTAAATTTACTGTTTCAAAATATCAGCTGTTGATATTTAATTCACTATTTAAATTGTACAAATAGTTTTTAGTATACTCACAAACTTGTGCGACCATCACCATAATCAATTTTAGAACATTTTCATCATTCCCTCCCCAAAAATGCCTACCCGCTGGCATTCATCTCCCATTGCCCCTCACCTCGGTCCTCCAGCAGTAGGCAAACATTAATCTACTTTCTGTCTCTGTCGATTTGCCTGTTTCCCTGCTCTGTGGGTGTGGGTTCCTCTTTTCTTCTCCATGCACACATTTAATCTATTTCCTCACTTACCGCCACCTCTGCTCACTGTGGCCCGGTGCCAATCCAAACATCTCCCTCTCCAACTGTTACCATACTTTATTTAGCTTTGTTCCCATAAATGCTCTACGTCAGTAATGAGTGGCTCTCTGCCAGCTGCCCATGGCCACTGTCCCTAGCCACCGTGGAATTTCCTAAGCAGTTTTCTGCTCCTAAAGAAGCCAGCACGGCTCACTCTGTGCCTCTGCTTTACCTGCCACAGGGCAGAGGAGCGCCTCTCAAGGTATATCACCAGGACAGCAGACTTTCTGGTCTCCCCTCATCTCCTGCTCAACTTTAAAAGATACGATCGTTTTATTACTTTGCATTTATATAGCCCCCTTTCTGGAAGCTCTTCAGCCCCCAATGGCACTTTTTACAACACTCTCCTGAGGGTTGCCACGACAGTACTCCTTCCACACTTGTTCCCACTCTGTCACCTTCTCAGTGCCAACACCTTTCCCCATCAATTCACTAAGAAAATTCAGAAAGTATTCCAAACGAATTTTTTTTTTATTATACTTTAAGTTTTAGGGTACATGTGCACAACGTGCAGGTTAGTTACATATGTATACATGTGCCAAACGAATTTGTAACTGAATAGTGAGAGCTCTTCTGAATAGAGTATATTTAAACCATAAGAAAAAGCAGCAGGGTTTTACCAAAATACGATTTACTAAAAATGTAAAATATGATTTCAACTGAATTTTTTCTTCCTACCAATAGGATAAGATGAGGATGCAGCAAAGTTATTCTAATAGATGACATAGTTATGTACATAACAATCGTAATTACTACAATATCTTATTTTACTCAAAATCCCAGTAAAATTTTACCTTGCACCACTTAATAAATAAATAGGATCATGCGACATAATTAACTATCTCTTTCCCTCTCTTATGAAAGAGAAGGTTTAAATAAGTCAAAATGTCAAATAACTAATAAATAACCTTAACTTGACATTGAATTTGGTTGGTTTTTTGAAGAGTTTCTTCTTGATTAGTTAGGCTAAAAAATTGTGTTGTTGCTGTTTTTTGCATTTACTTTTGAAGGCAAGTATTTCTGGGTTTCGGAAAAATTCATTTTCAACCAAACTATAGAAGATCTGATGGACAAGGCCGGGTGCGGTGGCTCACGCCTGTAATCCTAGCACTTTGGGAGGCTGAGGTTAGTGGATCACGAGGTCAGGAGATCGAGACCATCCTGGCTAATACCGTGAAACCCCATCTCTACTAAAAAGTACAAAAAATTAGCGGGGCGTGGTGGCGGGCGCCTGTGGTCCCAGCTACTCGGGAGGCTGAGGGAGGAGAATGGCGTGAACCCAGGAGGCAGAGCTTGCAGTGAGCCGAGATCGCGCCACTGCACTCCAGCCTGGGTGACAGAGCGAGACTCCGTCTCAAAAAAAAAAAAAAAGAAAAGAAAAAGAAAAATACTCAGGTTAACACAGCAGTAATGAAGAGGAGACAGGATATCTGCTCTCAAGAGCCAGGAGAGAACCCCCCTCCTGTCAGGTTAGGGGAAAAAAAATCAAACTAGTTAAGTGACCTAAGTGTGAATTTGAGGATTTGTCACGGAAATCATCTCTTGGTTTCTTAGCTCTTGAAGGAGGATGGGATGGAGTCAGATGCCAAGGAGCTATTCACACAAGGAGTTCAGCAAATCATCATAAATTCAGTCTTCTTGTCTTCAAGAGGGATTGAACGCATCAAACGATCTCTCAAAAGCTACTCAAGTATACAAGCTCAGAGACTGAAGTACATTTTAAAAGTTACTCAAGTAACCTGAGCACATTCTTATAAAAGGTTCAAACAAGAATCAATTCTAGGCCAGGCACCGTGGCTCACGCCTGCAATCCCAGCACTTTGGGAGGCCAAGGTGGGTGGATCACCTGAGGTCAGGAGTTTGAGACCAGCCTGGCCAACATGGTGAAATCCTGTCTCTAATAAAAATACAAAAATTATCCAGGCATGGTGGTGTATGCCTGTAATCCCAGCTACTTGGGAGGCTGAGGCAGGATAATCACTTGAACCCAGGAGGTGGAGGTTGCAGTGAGCCGAGATCATGCCACTGCACTCCAACCTGGGTAACAGAGTGAGACTTCGTCTCAGAAAAAAAAAAAAAAAAAGAGAATGAATTCTAGAGAGCAAAATATATATCACCTTTTATCCTCATTGCCATGTCCACTCCTTCCCCCAGAGTAACCAGGACTGGAGTTTGGTGCCCAGTCTTCCCACCTCCGTTCTGCACATTTACATGCGTACACCTACACATATATCATAGAGATTTTTAGTGTAAAACGATCATGCCATATACATTGTTCTACAAGTTGCTTTTTCCACTTAACTATGTATTGGGGATCTCCTCCTATCAGTTCATTTACCTCTACATCAGTCTTTTTTGGTGTAAATTTAAGGAGTACAAATACAATTCTGTTACATGGATATATGGCATATACCTCACTCTTTTTAGTGGCTGAAATGTATTCCACAGTATAGATAAACAACTTAATCAGTTCTGTTGCGATGGACATTTAACTTATGTCAAAATGTTCACTATTCCAGTGGTTCTGCCATAAACACCCTTTTACAAACAACTGCATGCTGAGTGTTTCTATAAGATACATTCCATGTTATTAATTAAACATGAATTGAACAAAGCAGCTTATGTTGTGTTTGTTTGTTTGTTTGTTTGTTTTGAGACAGGGTCTCACTCTGCCACCCAGGCTGGTGTGCAATGGCGTGATCTTGGCTCTCACAGCAACCTCTGCCTCCTGGGCTCAAACGATCCTCCTGCTTCATCCTCCCGAGTACCAGGGACTATAGGCATGCACCACCATCCCTGGCTCATCTTTGCATTTTTTTGTAGAGATGGAGTTTCACCATGTTGCCCAGGCTGGTCTCGAACTTCTGGACTCAAGCGATTCACCTGCCTTGGCCTCTTAAAGTGCTGGGATTACAGGTGTGAGCCACTGCGCTCAGCCACAGCTTATGTCTTGATTTCCCCAACTGACATGAAACATACTCTCTGACATCCTTTTTTCCTTTGCCTTTAACTGTTTCTTTTTTTTTTCTTTTTTTGGAGATGGAGTCTTGCTCTGTCTCCCAGGCTGGAGTGCAATGGCACTATCTCGGCTCATTGCAACCTCCACCTCCCGGGTTCAAGCGATTCTCCTGCCTTAGCTTCCTGAGTAGTTGGGATTACAGGCGCCCGCCACCACGCCCAGCTAACTTTTTTGTATTTTTAGTAGACACAGGGTTTCACCATGTTGGTCAGGCTGGTCTCAAACTCCTGACCTCAGGTGATCCGCCCACCTCGTCCTCCCAAAGTGCTGGGATTACAGGTGTGAGCCAACACTCCCAGCCTCCTTTAACTGTTTCTTTAGTGACTTCTCCTAAGGAACTTTAGAATGGCTACTCACTAAGGAAACAGAATACCCTAGTGGCAGGAAAATTAAGATTCCGAAGCTGAGGTTAAGTAAGACCTAGAATTTGAGACGAGCAATTGGAAAGCAATTTCACTCTCCCAAAGAGTTTCTTAATGAAAGTGGCCTTGAAATAGGTTTACCATTCTTGGTAACTCTACTATTTTTAGTTCCTTGGGTAAAGTTAATACTCGGTTATATTATAGGCTTTTAAAATAAAAGAAGGCCAGGCGGGGTGGCTCACGCCTGTAACCCCAGCACTTTGGGAGGCTGAGGCAGGCTGATCTGAGGTCGCGAGTTCAAGACCAGCCTGGCCAACATGGTGAAACCCTGCCTGTACTAAAAATAACAAAAATTAGCCAGGCGTGGTGGCAGGCTTCTGTTATCCCAGCTGCTCGGGAGGCTGAGGCAGGAGAATTGCTTGAACCAGGGAAGCAGAGGTTGCAGAGAGCTGAGATGGTGCCACTGCACTCCAGCCTGGGCGACAGAGCGAGACTCCATCTCAAAAAAATAAAAAATAAAAAATAAAATAAAAAAATGAAAGAAAGGAAGGCTTATAACACAAATGTAGAAAGTTTCCATTAGAATTAGTCATCTCTCACTATAGACAGCCACCCTGGAGACAACATGGAAGCATCATTGATTCTTTTTTTTTTTTCTTGAGACGAAGTTTTGCTGTTGTCGCCCAGGCTGGAGTGCAGTGACGTGATCCCAGCTCACTGCAACCTCCACCTCCCAGGTTCAAGCGATTCTCCTGCCTCAGCCTCCCGAGTAGCTGGGTTTACAGGTGCATGCCACCATGCCCGGCTAATTTTTGTATTTTTAGTAGAGACGGGATGTCACCATGTTGGCCAGGCTGGTCTTGAACTCCGGACCTCAGATGATTCAACTGCCTCGGCCTCCAAAAGTGCTGGGATTACAGGCGTGAGCCACCACGCCCGGCCCATCATTGATTCTTTTATCCTATTAGCCTCTGCTAATACATTTTGCCTGATTATACTAATGGGTACCTCATGACCTGGAAATTTTAATATCTTTTCCAAAGGTCGTTACCCACTTTGAGGTAATATAGCCTTAGCTAAGTCTGAAATCATAGCTCTTTTCAGCCTTTTGGTCTGTCCTGTCAGTTTTATTTTTATTTATTTATTTGTCTCAGTAAAAGGGGAAAGGGGAGAAATGAGTAGGTTTGCTTTCTGCAAAGGCCAGATCACTGGGCAAAGAGGAACATAAATGTCAGATGGGCCTTACACACTGAATTGTATTGCACCTGACATGTTAGTAAAACAGTGGCAATTCTTCCAGCTACATCAAAGACACACCCACCAGTCTGAGATGTGCTCCCACTCTTAACCAAGCTCTTAAGGGGCTGGGGTGTCAATTCTATTCCAGTTACCACTGACCTGACATCTCCCACTTGTTCCTCATGAGAAAAGTTTATTTTCTTTCTTTTGGAGATGGAGTATCCCTCTGTCACCCAGGCTAGAGTGCACTGGTGCAAACTTGGCTCACTGCAACCTCCGCCTCCCCCGGTACAAGCAATTCTCCTGCCTCAGCCTCCGGAGTAGCTGGGACTACAAGCATGCGCTACCATGCCCGGCTAATGTTTTTTGTATTTTTAGTAGACACGGGGGTTTCACCATGTTGGCCAGGCTGGTTTTGAACTCCTGAGCTCAGGCAATCCACCCGCCTCAGCCTCCCAAAATACTAGGATTACAGGCGTGAGCCACCACGCCCAGACAAAAAGTTTCTTTTCAATGGTGGTTTGTGTGTTCATTGACAGGCATCTTTCAGATTGCCTAACTTCAAAAATAAAAGAATGTTTTTGGTTTGCAATAGAAAAATAAGCCTATAAAGGCTATTAGAATTTGAACTAAGAGTTGAACCTTAAGACAGGGATGATATGAAATTACGATCTAGAAAGATGAGATTGAAGAGATCAGTTCTTTGGCTGATGGGATTTAAATGACTGAAATAGACAAGATGAAGTACCAGTGTCCAGCCCCCGTGGTCTCTCCACTGTGCTATTTCATCAGGAGTAAAGTAGGGAGAGTAACAAAGTGGCGTGATGGAAGCAGGGAGGTCCCTCCATCTTTCATTTCTGAAACTTATTACCATCCTTTACTTCCCTCCCTGTCCCCTTCCATGAAACATGCTCATAACACTCCACAATTATCACTTTTGTTTTTCTCCTACCCCAGGTAAATTATTTCCATGGAAGTAGCTCAGTTATGTGCGTGTGTGTGTGTGTGTGTGTGTTTACAGGTGGTTATTAGGACTTACAATTCTACCAGTGGTATAGAGAGTTTTAGTTGCTCGCCATTCTTTTTTTTTTTTTTTTTTTTTTTTGAGAAGGAGTCTCACTCTGTCGCCAGGCTGGAGTGCAGGGGCACGATCTCGGCTCACTGCAACCTCTGCCTCCTAGGTTCAAGCAATTCTCCTTCCTCAGCCTCCCAAGTAGCTGGGATTACAGGCACCCGCCACCAGGCCCGGCTAATTTTTGTATATTTAGTAGAGATAGGGTTTCACCGTTTTGGCCAGGCTGGTCTCGAACTCCTGACCTCAGGTGATCCGCCCGCCTTGGCCTCCCAAAGTGCTGGGATTACAGGTGTGAGCCACCGCGCCCAGCCGTTGCTCTCCATTCTTGCCGACAACTGGTATTGCTGGCTAAACATGTTTTACATATTTGTGTAAATATATAAAATATGTGGAGTGTTATGAGCATGTTTCATGGAAACATGAAGGCACTGTCTCATTGTGGTTTTAATTTTCATTTCCTTGATGATTAATAATGTTGAGCACATTTTCTTTGCTTATAAATATGCATACATTTTTAACCCAGCAATTACATTTCTGGGACTTTACCCAGAAGAAATACACACACACACACACACACACACACACACACACACACACAGAGAAACTGGGAATATCCAACAATTGTATTTTGGTGAAATATATTATTTTTGGTGCATTCATACTGGGAAGTATTACAGTTGCCTAATGATGACCATCACCATTAATATCTCAAGGTGGTTAACTCTAAGTGATAGAACAACAAGTGATTTTTAATATGTTCTTAGCTTTTATTTTCTGAATTTTTCATAGTGATTATATATTGCTTTTATATTCAGAAGAAATGGCAAGGGATACTTCTACTTTATTTTGGAACAAATGAAAAATACAATCTTAACCTGACAGAATACCAACAATTCAATCATGAGCAATGTTTTTTGGGGGTCAATGAGTTCCTCATTTAAAATGCAAGAGGTGTGCCCATGTCTTTCTAAGTCCTATTCTATCTTTAAAAAAAATTGGGACTCCTTGGAAGAATGGCTGGATACGGGGCTGGGGCAGGAAAAGCACAAGGTTAGCCAGGAACACAGGAACATTCTGATATGCCAGAAAGTAAGAAAGTGAGAAGGAAGGAAGGAAGAAGCAAGGAAGGGAGGGAGGGAGGGAGGGGAGGGGAGGGGAGTGGAGTTGGGAGGGGGGAAGGAGGGAAGGGGAGGGGAGGGGAGGAGAAGGAAGGGGAAGGGAAGGAAAATATCGGGACATGTCAAAAGGACAAGAGCTAGTTTGAAGGAGAAGGAGAGCCCGCTGGCCAAGTCTGGGATAATTTTGAGCTAAAAATAAATCAGGACAGTAAAGGATTACAACTTATTGAATAAAACATTAATCATCAGGCCAGGCGCGGTGACTCACACCTGTAATCCCAGCACTTTGGGAGGCCGAGGCGGGTGGATCACGAGGTCAGGAGTTCAAGACTAACCTGACCAGCACCGTGAAATCCCATCTCTGCTAAAAAAAATACAAAAAAATTAGCCGGGCGTGGTGACACATGCCTGTAATCCCAGCTACTTCGGAGGCTGAGGCAGAAGAATCGCTTGAACCCAGGAGGCAGAGGTTGCACTGAGCCGAGAACGCGCCACTGCACTCCAGCCTGGCAACAGAGCGAGACTCCGTCTCAAAAAAAAAAAAAAAAAATTAATCATCAATTCAGGCAGCTGATAAGTAGGTAAATAAATAGATGGAGGTAGTAAGGGAGGGCTTTCCTTATAGTGAGATGTACATTAGATTGATACATGTGGAGGGAGGGATGGAGTTGAAAAATCACTGTTTTGCTATCATCAAAGCAAAAAATTGGGCAAGAAATAGCATTGATTGCTAAATCTAGGGAGATAAAGTCTGATGAAAGACAGGATATTTAGTCAGTCCTAACGTGGCTCTCCACAGATTACTTATTAGTTGCAAAAGAAAAATAGTAACTTATCAGTGAAGAAACTGGACAATACTGGGATCAGGTGACTAAAATTAACCCAGGGACAGATTGACACACTGTGCCTCCAGGTACCCTGAAAAGAATATAACATCACTTTTTTCATAGTTTGGCAGGGGACCAAAAACCTGAATTAAGTCACGAGGAAACACCAGGCAAGCCCAACTGAAGAACATTCTATAAAACAACCGATTTGTGTTCTTTAAATATATCAATGTCATGAAAGAGAAAGAAATTCTGAAGAACCATTCCAGATTAAAGAAGATTAGAGAAACATGACCCCTTCAGGCATATATGTGATCCTTGGTTGAAACTTGGACTGGGGGGATGCTGTAAAGAACTTTATTGGTATAATTGACAAAATTGGAATATGGATTATAGAGTAGGTGAAAGTACGTATCAAGGTTAAATTTTCTGATTTGATAATTGTATTTGGATTATGTAAGAAACTATATTTGTTCTTAGGAACTACACATTGAAGTATTAAGAGTATAATAAAGGCATGATCTTTATAACCTCAAATGGTTTGGAAAAAATAAATACAGAGGGAGGGAAGAAGAGAGAATAATTAAACAAATGTGGCAAAATGTAAAAAAGTTGGTTAATCTGGACTGGGCGCGGTGGCTCATGCCTGTAATCCCAGCACTTTAGGAGGTCAATGCAGGTAGATCACGAGGTCAGGAGATTGAGACCATCCTGGCTAACATGGTGAAACCCCGTCTCTACTAAAAATACAAAAACAAAGTTAGCCAGGCGTGGTGGCGAGCACCTGTAGTCCCAGCTATTCGGGAGGCTGAGGTGAGAGAGTGGTGTGAACCCTTGAGGCAGAGCTTGCAGTGAGCGGAGATTGTGCCACTGCACTCCAGCCTGGGCGACAGAGCGAGACTCCATCTCAAAAAAAAAAAAAAAAAAAATTTGGTTAATCTGAATCATGGCTATATGAGAGTTCTCTATTATTTTTGCAACTTTTCTTTACGTTTGGAATTATTCAAAATCATGCCCGGCCTAAAATTTAATTTTTATTTGCTCCCAACCATTTGATTTTGCCCTCCAAAGAGCAGCTACACTTATGACTAAGACTTTTTGTTTTATTTCATGAACACCAATGTTAGTTCAAGAGAAATCATTCCAGTAGATGAGATCAGTTGTTGGGTGGAAATGTGTGTTTAGAAATACTGATGATACTTTAGGGAAATATCCACCCAGCATTGCACCAAGTCCACACATGGTCCAAATAGAACTAGGGAAGAAATCCTAATCTGAATTTTTTAACCTCTTATATAATGAACATTTCATGGTATAATTTATGGTTTTCCAACCACATTTCAGCTTGTATGACTAAGTAAAGCCTGCCAGTTTATTATCCAGAATACAAAGTTAGGTGTGCAAAAACATAATCTTGTGTGTCTATAATTAGACTTTATTTATTTATTTTTCTTTTTTTGAGATAGAGTCTGGCTCTGTCACCCAGGCTGGAGTGCAATGGCAAGATCTCGGCTTTGCAGCCTCCGCCTCCTGGGTTCAAGCAATTCTCCCACCTCAGCCTCCAGAGCAGTTGAGACTACAGGCACACTACACCATGCTCAGCTAATTTTTGTATTTTTAGTAGAGATGGGGTTTCACCATGTTGGCCAGGTTGGTCTCGAACTCCCAACCTCAAGTGATCCACCCGCCTCGGCCTCCTAAAGTGCTGGGATTATAGGCATGAGCCACCGCACCCAGCCTTTAATTTCTATCTAAAGCCTTCACTCTGCTTTTGTATGAAAACTTAATTTTAGTCAATTTGGGTGAAACTGTCAATTCAGGATGTTTTCAGTCATTTCCGGGTTTTCCCACTTCTTTCTAGCGTCCCATATAGGCTTTAAGGGGAGATCCTCTTAAACCATACTAAGACGTGGCATGAGAAAGGAGCTTTGTAGTGAATTCCTATAATTTTACTTTGCATTCATTTTGAACACAAGTGGACTTCCCCATACCAGAGGCAAGGTTTAGTCACCCTTGACACAGTTTCCCATTTTCTTTTTTTTTTTTGAGACAGAGGCTCGTTCTGTCACCCAGGCTGGAGTGCAGTGGCCTGATCTCAGGTCACTACAAGCTCTGCCTCCCGGGTTCATGCCATTCTCCTGCCTCAGCCTCCCAAGTAGCTGGTACTACAGGCGCCCACCACCATGCCCGGCTAACTTTTTTTGTATTTTTTAGTAGAGACAGGGTTTCACCGTGTTAGCCAGGATGGCCTCGATCTCCTGACCTCGTGATCTGCCCGCCTCGGCTTCCCAAAGTGCTGGGATTACAGGCGTGAGCCACTGCGCCCGGCCAGTTTCCCATTTTCTGCCTCTGCCCAGTTCCTCAATGCAATGGATCCAGATGTCTGCCTTATGCAACCACTACCTGGTGACCACTCCCTCCCAGGGACAACAGGATACAACCCACTTCATTGGTCCCACTGATCCCCGCACTGCACTTTGTACATATGCTGCAGTCCCATTGTGACTCCGGAGATCTGCCACCTGCTTGCTGTTAACCTGCCAGGTAGAACTCCCTGCAGGAAACTCACCTGAGGAACATCCTGGAGCCCAAACCCACAGGTTTCTCTGTCTGTCTATTGCTCCCCACTTGTTGATGGAGCGCACATGTCCCAAGATAGCACCCTCCTTCCATTAGCCCTGTGTGTGAGGCAGTCACCCGCTTCCCTCTGGGATCTGTAAGTCATAAACTACTTCTGTTATTTCATATGTTTCATTGAGATGTCGCTTTTACATCTCACCTAACTGCCACGCAGAACCCAGCTCCTTTCCCGGCCAGGGCTCTCCTAGGGAGTGGTGGTCTTGGCAGGAATAAACTGGACAGAGGTCAGACAAGAGCCGCAAGTGTGTCTGCCAGGATAAACAAGTCTATCCTGTGAGAGGGACAGCTGATAGAGAGTTGGACACAGGCATCAGGTCAGCTGCTAAAATTGAGAGGAGTCCCCTAAAAGGCACATCATAAACATCGTGATCAAATCTCCTGAAGACCTGTCAGGGCTCGGCTAGTTTACAGCCACTCTCTGGAGGAAGACCTCAGGACCAGATGAGAGAAAAGTAGAAGGCGGCTCTCTCCTGGCCTTTGCGGTTGCGTGTCCCCGTCCTGCACAAGACCCTTTGGATTCCTTGACCCTCTCTCCGCTCCTCCAGACCACTCTTGGGGGTATGGAAACCATCATCTTGCTCTTCTCCCCTGCCACTCTAGACCACCTCGGACTTCTCTTATGATATGCCCCCCGGCCCTGCCACCCCATCATCTACCCTACCAGCCCTTTCCATGGTGTGTGGGGAATTCTACGAAATGTGCTCTTTTGGGGGCTACCAATGGGGAGTGAGACATAGGTCTCCTCTACTCAGATTCCCAAGTCAACATTATGGGTTGCAGGGCAGGAATGCTGACATTCCTCTGCACATATTCAGGGGACTCAGGGGCAGTCCCAGGGAGCAAGGGGCTCTGCCTCTGCCCTGCTCTCCACAGACTCTTCTTCCCAGAGGAGCTTTAGTAAAGGGAGGTGGGGGAAAGGGAACAAGGAGTCCTTCAGGGCCCTGCTCTGCTCTTAATACTTGCAGTGCCTTATGCTGAGCTCACGCCTGTAATCTCAGCACTTTGGGAGGCCGAGGTGGGTGGATCACCTGAGGTCAGGAGTTCAAGACCAGCCTAGCCAACATGGAGAAATCCCATCTCTATTAAAAATACAAAAATTAGCCAGGCATGGTGGGCACCTGTACTCCCAGTTACTTGGGAGGCTGAGGCAGGAGGATCGCTTGAACCCAGGAGGTGGAGGTTGCAGTGGAGCCGAGATGACTCCACTGCACTCCAGCCTGTGCAACAGAGTGAGACTCCATCTTAAAAACAAAACAAAGCAAAACAAAACAAAAAATACTTGTAGTGTCTTTTATGATGGTGTACAAATTAAAAGCATTACACAGGAAAGAAATCACATCCATTAACTTTTTTTTTTTTTTTTTTTTTTTGAGACAGAATCTTGCTTTGTTGCCCAGGCTGGAGTGCAACGGCATGATCTCCACTCACTGCAACCTCCGCCTCCTGGGTTCAAGCAATTCTCCTACCTCAGCCTCCGAAGTAGCTAGGATTACAGCTGTCTGCCACCATGCCCTGCTAAACTTTTTTGTATATTTAGTAAAGACTGGTTTTACCATGTTGGCCAGGCTGGTCTTGAACTCCTGACCTCAGGTGACCTACCCATCTTGGCCTCCCAAAGTGCTGGGATTACAGGCATGAGCCACTGTCCCTGGCCACATTAACTATTTAAAATACCCATGACTGAGTTTTTCCAAAGTTGGAATCAGAGGAAGCACGGTTTCTCTTCTGTGTAAACTTTAAGGTGTTAGTCTGTCCAGCACTTGGAAGGGAGGGTGTTTGCTACATGAACTTTCACCGCATGGTGCAGTGTTCCTAGGGTAGATTCTGCAAACTGGTTCACCCAGTGTGCCTCTCTGACCTTCTCCTAACATGCAGCTAACCTCATAGCACTAACTGTATGCTGCACACTATTTTGTTTGAAGCTTTTTTTTTTTTGACACAGGGTCTCACTCTGTTGCACAGGCTGGAGTGCAGGGGTGCAATCACAGCTCGCTGCAGCCTCTGCCTCCCGGGTTCAAGCAATCCTCCCACCTCAACCTCCTGAGTAGCTGGAACTATAGGCGTGTGCCACCACGCCCAGCTAATTTTTTGAATTTTTTGTAGAGGCAAGGTTTTGCCACGTTGCCCAGGCTAACTTTAAATGTATTAATTCATGTTATCCTCATAAAATCCCTATGAGGTACATACCACTATTATCCCCATTCTCCAGATGGAGAAACTGAGGTAAAGAGAGATTAATTAATTTCCCAGAGTTATAGTTAGAAAGTCACAAAGCCAGGATTGGAACCTAGGTAGTCTGGGGTCCGAGTTTATGCTATTGATAACTACAATATGCTACTATGATCAAAAACATCTGTGTTAGCTGAAAATGGAGGAAATCCATTTTTCCTAAACAATTACAGATATAGGCTCAGAATCTTTTTTTTTTTTTAAGGCAGAATCTCACTCTGTCACCCATGCCGAGTGCAGTGGTGTGATCATGCCGCACTGCAAACTCAACCTCCCTGGGCTGAAGCCTCCCACATAGCTGGAAATAACTACAGGCCAGCTAATATTTTATTTTTTGTACAGACGGGTCTCACTATGTTGGCCGGGATGATCTTGAACTCCTAGACTCCAATGATCCTCCCGCCTCAGTCTCCCAAAGTGCTGGGATTATAGGCGTGAGCCACCATGCCTAGTGACTCATATTTTATTTAACAATTCTGTTGACAGAACAAAAATAATTTTCAATGCACACCCATTTCCTTAAAAAGAACCTTGTTTCCAAAAGAATCATGAAAAATAAAATAAAAATAGATTACATTCTGTATTAGGAAACCCTTGGTGATCTACTAAGGACTGTGGCAAAATTACCTGCCACCAGATGTGTAGGCACAGCTCTGCTAGATCTTTCCACTTTAAATTTCGCTTTCAGCTTAGTCTCCAGCTCAGCAAGAAGTAACCTTCCTTCATGAAATTTACATCTTCTCAACGTGAGGCGGCTGCTGACTAAGTGTTTTAGCCAACTGTTCTACATAACAAATTACCCCCCAAATTTAGTAGTTTAAAACAACCAAACAATTTTTATGATCTCACAGTTTCTGTGGGACAGTTTTTGTAAGGCGGGATGGCCTAACCAGATCCTCTGGCTCCAGATCTCTTACAAAACGGCAGTCAAGGTTTGGTGTGGGGCTGTAGACCAGGTTTCTGGCTCACTGTTCAAATGGGGGAGGATCCATTTCTGAGCTCATTCGTGCGGCCATTGGGAGGCCTGAGGCCCTCAATGGCTGTCAGCCGGAGACATCACTTTCATGCCACATTGACTTCTCCATAGGGCAGCTCTACAAAATGACAGCTTCCCTTTCTCAAACCAAGGGCTCCACAAAAGGGAAAGAGGTATCACAGTCTTCTGTGATCTAATCACTTGCGCCATGTCCTGTTTGTTGGAAGCAAGTGACTAGGTTCACCCATACACAAGGAGAGAAGATTACACAGCCATGAACCCTGGGAGCCATGTTAGAGGCTGTCTGCCCTACCGAGTAATTTTTTTCTTCCTGTTAATTAGCATTTTTGGAGCAGCCGCCTGCCTTGGCCTCCCAAAGTGCCGAGATTGCAGCCTCTGCCCGGCCGCCACCGCGTCTGGGAAGTGAGGAGTGTCTCTGCCTGGCCGCCCATCGTCTGGGATGTGAGGAGCCCCTCTGCCTGGCTGCCCAGTCTGGAAAGTGAGGAGCGTCTCCGCCCGGCCGCCATCCCATCTAGGAAGTGAGGAGCGCCTCTTCCCAGCCGCCATCACATCTAGGAAGTGAGGAGCGTCTCTGCCCGGCCGCCCATCGTCTGAGATGTGGGGAGCGCCTCTGCCCCGCCGCCCCATCTGGGATGTGAGGAGCGCCTCTGCCCTGCCGAGACCCCGTCTGGGAGGTGAGGAGTGTCTCTGCCCGGCCGCCCCGTCTGAGAAGTGAGGAGACCCTCTGCCTGGCAACCACCCCGTCTGAGAAGTGAGGAGCCCCTCCGCCCGGCAGCTGCCCCGTCTGAGAAGTGAGGAGCCTCTCCGCCCGGCAGCCACCCCATCTGGGAAGTGAGGAGCGTCTCCGCCCGGCAGCCACCCCGTCCGGGAGGGAGGTGGGGGGGGGTCAGCCCCCCGCCCGGCCAGCCGCCCCATCCGGGAGGGAGGTGGGGGGGTCAGCCCCCCGCCCGGCCAGCCGTGCCGTCCGGGAGGGAGGTGGGGGGGTCAGCCCCCCGCCCGGCCAGCCGCCCCGTCCGGGAGGTGAGGGGCGCCTCTGCCCGGCCGCCCCTACTGGGAAGTGAGGAGCCCCTCAGCCCGGCCAGCCACCCCGTCCGGGAGGGAGATGGGGGGGTCAGCCCCCCCACCCGGCCAGCCGCCCCGTCCGGGAGGGAGGTGGGGGGGTCAGCCCCCCGCCTGGCCAGCCGCCCCGTCCGGGAGGGAGGTGGGGGGGTCAGCCCTCCGCCCGGCCAGCCGCCCCGTCTGGGAGGTGAGGGGCGCCTCTGCCCGGCCGCCCCTACTGGGAAGTGAGGAGCCCCTCTGCCCGGCCAGCCGACCCGTCCGGGAGGGAGGTGGGGGTGTCGGCCCCCTGCCCGGCCAGCCGCCCCGTCCGGGAGGGAGGTGGGGGGGTCGGCTCCCCACCCGGCCAGCCGCCCCGTCCGGGAGGGAGGTGGTGGGGGGTCAGCCCCCCTGCCCGGCCAGCCGCCCCGTCCGGGAGGTGAGGGGCGCCTCTGCCCGGCCGCCCCTACTGGGAAGTGAGGAGCCCCTCTGCCCGGCCAGCCGCCCGGTCCGGGAGGGAGGTGGGGGTGTCGGCCCCCCGCCCGGCCAGCCGCCCGTCCGGGAGGGAGGTGGGGGGGGGGTCAGCCCCCCTGCCCGGCCAGCCGCCCCGTCCGGGAGGTGAGGGGCGCCTCTGCCCGGCCGCCCCTACTGGGAAGTGAGGAGCCGCTCTGCCCGGCCAGCCGCCCCGTCCGGGAGGGAGGTGGTGGGGGGGTCAGCCCCCCCGCCCGGCCAGCCGCCCCGTCTGGGAGGTGAGGGGCGCCTCTGCCCGGCCGCCCCTACTGGGAAGTGAGGAGCCCTTCTGCCCGGCCACCACCCCGTCTGGGAGGTGTGCCCAACAGCTCATTGAGAACGGGCCATGATGACAATGGCGGCTTTGTGGAATAGAAAGGCGGGAAAGGTGGGGAAAAGATTGAGAAATCGGATGGTTGCCGTGTCTGTGTAGAAAGAAGTAGACATGGGAGACTTTTCATTTTGTTCTGCACTAAGAAAAATTCCTCTGCCTTGGGATCCTGTTGATCTGTGACCTTACCCCCAACCCTGTGCTCTCTGAAACATGTGCTGTGTCCACTCAGGGTTAAATGGATTAAGGGCGGTGCAAGATGTGCTTGGTTAAACAGATGCTTGAAGGCAGCATGCTCGTTAAGAGTCATCACCAATCCCTAATCTCAAGTAATCAGGGACACAAACACTGTGGAAGGCCGCAGGGTCCTCTGCCTAGGAAAACCAGAGACCTTTGTTCACTTGTTTATCTGCTGACCTTCCCTCCACTATTGTCCCATGACCCTGCCAAATCCCCCTCTGTGAGAAACACCCAAGAATTATCAATAAAAAAATAAATTAAAAAAAAAAAAAATTAGCATTTTTGCCATCCTGGTTTGTTTTTTCTTTGATGCAGGGTCTTGCTCTGTTGCCCAGCTGGAGTGCAGGGGCGTGATCACAGCTTACTGCAGCCTTGACCTCCCGGGCTCAAGCAATCCTCCTGCCTCAGCCTCCTGAGTAGCTGGTTCTGTAGGCATGCACCACTTTGCCCAGCTATTTTTTAAATTTTTTGTAGAGATGAGATCTCCCTGTGTTGCCCAGACTGGTCTCAAACTCCCGGGTCAGGTGATCCTCCTCCCTTGACCTCTGAAAGTTCTGGGATTACAGGTGTGAGCCACCACGCCTGGTCTCCATCCTGTTGTAATAAAATGTTATAATAAAAAGAAACCCCATCTCTACTAAAAATACATACGTGGAGGTATGTGTTCAGGTATTTGGACTCCCAGATGAACAATCTGTAACATTTGGAGGTAGGAGGCTCCCTTTGTTTGGAATATGCCTACCCCCCTCCGGTATACCTTTGCCCTGCCTATGATCTGTGAGTTAGAGTTAATTATGCATGAAAAGAGACTGAAGAGACTCAGTGGGTGTCCAGGTCTAGGAAATGCAGCTGAATAGAGCAGCAGTGCTGTGGGACCACCAGGTCCACTGTGCTTCCAAGACTTTGTTCTGAATAGTCTTGGGGCCCAAGCTCGGTGTGGAGAGGGTGAATGAAGGATGGGTGGTTTGGGCAGGGGAGAAGAAATGCACTTGGCACGAAAACTGCTGAGAGGACATTCCGTGAACCCCCTGGGGGGGGTGGCTTGGCAAGTCATTTCACCCCTCTGGGCTTGAGTTTATCCTCTCTAAAATGACATGGTTGAAGAAGATACTCTCTACATTTTGTGACTAGTAGAGAGAATTTGTGAGACCACTAATTAAGAATGAGTGTATTATCCAGCCTGGCCAACATGGTGGAAACCTATCTCTACTAAAAATAGAAAAATTAGCCAGGCATGGTGGTGCACAACTGTAATCCCAGCTACCCGGGAGGCTGAGGCAGGAGGATCACTTGAACCCAGGAGGTGGAGGTTGCAGTGAGCTGAGATCGAGCCACTGCACTCCAGCCTGGGTGACAGGGAGAGACTCCATCTCAAAAAAAAAAAAAAAGTATGAGTTTAGGTGTTTAAAAATGAGAGGTAGAAATAAATGCTGATTTACAATGTTATACACAATTTATAAGATTTTAAAGATTTTTTTTCTAATTTTGATAAAGTTCCATGTTGTTGTGAAGACTATTGCTTTGTAAATAGTGTGGGGGGTACGTGTGTGTGTGTGGACAGTACATGTACTCTTCTGTACACACACGCACATGCACACCACACATGATTACCATGGAAGCCGCCATGTCAGTGCGCCATGATTCTGCCCGTGTGCAGGTGACTGCCTCAGGGCTGTGTACTTATCCCAGCTGAGACACTCTCAATCCTTACTCTGGAGATTTAGATCTGAAAGTCCCAGGGTTATAAATTTTTAAGTCAGGGGCTTTAGGATGCACATTTTCCCTCACTTGGACCAGAGAAAACTGATCCAGAGAGAAAGTGGGGAGGAAACAGAGTAAACAAACTGAGAGGAGCCCCTGAGATGGAGAAAGAACGTAGGCAGCATTTGCATTTCTGGTTCCAGTAACTGGGGAGGCCCTGCTATTTCCTGTCATTGAGTTTCTGAGATAGAACAGGATCCTTATGACAACTTCCCCCTTTGGTTAAAGCACAATCAATTTGGGTTTCTCTCTTTCGCAACCAAAGGGAAAAAAATCAATAGCTAACTCACAAGTTCATTGTAGGGAAAAAGTTCAATTAAAAAATATATAAAGAGGCCGAGTGTGGTGGCACATGCCAGTAATCCCAGCACTTTGGGAGGCTGAGGCGAGTGGATCACTTGAGGTCAGGAGTTTGAGACCAGCCTGGCCAACATGGAGAACCCCATCTCTACTAAAAATACAAAAATTAGCTGGGTGTGGTGGCAGGTGCCTGTAGTCCCAGCTACTCAGGAAGCTGCAACAGAAGAATAGCTTGAAACCGGGAGTCAGAGGTTGCAGTGGGCTGAGATTAAGCCACTGCACTCCAGCCTGGGTGACAGAGCGAGACTCCAACTCAAATAAATAAATATATATATATATATATATAACCCCAAATATATGAACATCTAATGTGTCAATAAAAATAAAATAATATATAAAAAGGAGAAAAAAATGACCAATAAATCCATTGCTTTGAGATAACTTATCTTAACATTTGGGAATGTTTTCCTGCTACTTTTCCATGCATTTATGTAAATTAAACTAGAATTTTGACTTTTTTTTTTTTTTTTTTTTTGGAGACAGAGTCTCACTCTGTGGCCCAGGCTGGAGTGCTGGAGTGCAGTGGCATGATCTCGGCTCACTGCAACCTCCACCTCCCGAGTTCAAGCAATTCTCCTCCCTCAGCCTCCCAAGTAGCTGGGACTACAGGTGCCCACCACCAGGCCTGGCTAATTTTTTGTATTTTTAGTAGAGACAGGGTTTCACTGTGTTGCCCAGGCTGGTCTTGAACTCCTGAGCTCAGGCAATCCACCCGCCTCGGCCTCCCAACGTGCTAGGATTGCAGGTGTGAGCCACAGCATCCGGCCATGATTTTTAAATTCATACTTTTTTCACTGAATATATTGTGGCAAGACATACTATTTGATTGCACAACAGGGTGACTATAGCCAATAATAACTTAATCGCACATTTTTAAATGAGTCTAATTGGATTGTTTGTAACACAAAGGATAACTGTTTGAGGGGATGGATAGCCCATTCTCCATGATGTGCTTATTTCACATTGCATGCCTGTATCAGAACATCTCAGCCGTGTGCGGTGGCTCATGCCTGTAATCCCAGCACTTTGGGAAGCCGAGGTGGGTGAATCACGAGGTCAGGAGATGGAGACCATGCTGGCTAACACGGTGAAACCCTGTCTCTACTAAAAATACAAAAAATTAGTTGGGCGTGGTGGTGGGCACCTGTAGTCCCAGCTACTCTGGAGGCTGAGGCAGGAGAATCACTTGAACTCGGGAGGTGGAGCTTGCAGTGAGCAGAGATCGCATCACTGCACTCCAGCCTGGGCAACAGAGTGAGACTCTGTCTCAAAAAAAAAAAAAAAGAAAAAAAAGAATATCTCATGTACTCCACAAATATATATACCTACTGTGTACCCACAAACATTTTTTAATGTAAAAAAAAGAAAATATTATGGACATTTTCTTATGTCAGTTAATATACCTCACAATATGATTTTTTTATTATTTTATTTTTATTTTTTTTTACAGTCTCACACTATTGCCTGGGCTGGAGTGCAATGGCACAATCTCAGCTCACTGCAACCTCTGCCTCCTGGGTTCAAGCGATTCTCCTGCCTCAACCTCCCAAGTAGCTGGGATTACAGGTGCCCACCACTACGCCTGGCTTATTTTTTGTATTTTTTAGCAGAGATGGGGTTTCACTATGTTGGCCAGGCTGGTCTCGAACTCCTGACCTTGTGATCCACCCACCTTGGCCTCCCAAAGTGCTGGGATTACAGGCGTGAGCCACTGCGCCTGGCCCACAATATAATTATTATGATTATGACGATTTGTGTTTATGAGATTTTTGTAAATGTATTCTTGTAGTATGAGTGCAAAGACAAATTCAGTTTGATTTGATCTATTTCTGAGAATAAGATCTGTGATGTAATTAATAGGAAAGAAAAAATGGCTAACATGGAGGGGCGATATTGATTTCTACTAAATGAGATAAAGAATAAAGTATTTGCATAATGTAATTTCCTTGAAAACTGATCATTGATAAAAGCCACTCTTTCTTTCTCCTTTACCATTTACCCAAACACAAGGAAGTAGTTCTAGAAATAAAAATAGTTTTTAGAAAAAAAAGTCAACGTTTACTAAGCACTCCCTATGACCAACATTGTACTATGCACCTTTCATGGACTGCTTTTTAAAATACTCAAGTAATTATATGTAATATCTAGTCAAAAAATGGGTATTTCAAATTCCCCTCTTGATACTTACTGCAAGAGAAACGACATCAATATAAGTTTTGCTGGCCAGGTGCATAGCTAGACTATACCTATAGTCCTAGCTACTCAGGAGGCCAAGGTGGGAGGATTGCTTGAGCCCAGGATTTTGAATCCACCCTGGCCAACATGACAAGACCCTATCTCTTAAAATGAATAAATAAACAAATAAATAAAATAGGGGTACTCAATAGATAAAATATTTATTTATTTATTTTTAATGGTTTAATGTTTAATGATAATCATTGTTTTGCCATGGGGTAACTAGACATGACTGGCAGTTTATATAAATAACCCATAATTAGTCCACTTCAGTACAAACCAAATAATCAGTTTCTCTCTTTTCTTTTTGTGAATTTTCCTGGGTCATATTGACAATTTTTCCTAATACTACACACTGTTTCATCTTTGTCTTTTTCATGCATGCTTCATTGACACATATAAAATTAAATGTCTGCATCTTGAAGGTCCCAACAGTTAGTTCTTTGGTTCCCAAATCTTTTGTTTGTTTATTATTGTTATTATTTTACTTTAAGTTCTGGGATATATGTGCAGAATGTGCAGGTTTGTTACATAGGTACACATGTGCCATGGTGGTTTGCTGCACCTAACAACCCATCATCTAGGTTTTAAGCCCCGCATGTATTAGGTATTTGTCCTAATGCTCTTCCTCCCGTTGCCCCCAACCTCCAACAGGCCCCAGTGTATGATGTTCCCCTCCCTGTGTCCATGTGTTCTCATTGTTCAACTCCCACTTATGAGTGAGAACATGACATGGTATTTGGTTTTCTGTTCCTGTGTTAGTTTTTTGAGAATTATGGTTTCCAGCTTTATCCAAGTCTCTGCAAAGGAGATGATCTCATTCTTTTTCATGGCTGCATAGTATTCCATGGTGTATATGTGCCACATTTTCTTTATCCAGTCTATCATGATAGGCATTTGGGTTAGTTCTAAGTCTTTGCTATTATAAATAGTGCTGCAATAAACTAGATACAATATTTATAATAAAACTAGTATTATGTTAATATAAAAGTTGAGATAAAGTACAAGGTCAAAGCCAAGGTCTGATTACATTGCTTTACCATGAGACCCCCTTCACTTCCCTGAAAACTGATGCTGAACAATGCACCATAGCTTCTATCCTTGGGTTCCTTTCTCAAGCTTTTTCTAATCATTGCTTTTCTTATGTGGAAGCAGGCAGGGGCCTAGTGATGAAGGGTCCTATTAGGCTGGGACCTGAGGGGCTGAGGAGTCACATTTATCCTAAGGGCAACTAGAGGCCTTAAAGAATTGTATGTAAGTGGCATGATCTGGTTGGCATTTTAGAAAGATTCTGGCTGCAAAGTGGGGCTCAGATTGGAGAGAAACAGGAAGGATGCAATCAGAGAAGTTGATAGAGGAGTCCAGGTGACAGCACAGGACGGCAGGGCGCAGGGTGGTGACAGTGGGATGGAGAGAAGTGGAAGGACTCAAGACAGGCAGCAGGTGGACTCAGTGGACCTTGGGGGTCAATTAGGGCTAGGGAGTGAGGGGAAACAAGACATCTAGAATAGTTCCCAGATCTCTAGTTTAGACAACTGAGCAAACGGCACACACATTTTATAAGACACAGAGTTCTGAAGGAGAAGCCAGTTTGGAGAGAATAAAATGAGTTTAATTTTGGATGTGTTGAGTTTGCAGTGCTTTTAGACATTTGAGTCTTGTGATATGGGTCGAAGCAGGAGATGAGATTTGTTGGTCATCTGTGTATAGGCAGGAGGTAAGAATTTAGAGGTCATTTGTGCACACGAGGTAATGAAGGCCACCTCCCCCAGGAAGAGGGTTAAGAGTGAACACAGCCAGGCGGGGTGGCTCACGCCTGTAATCCCAGCACTTTGGGAGGCTGAGGCAGGTGGATCACCTGAGGTTGGGGGGAGTTCAAGACCAGCCTGACCAACATGGAGAAACCCTGTCTCTACTAAAAATACAAAATTAGCTGGGTGTGGTGGCGCATCCCTGTAATCCCAGCTACTTGGGAGGCTGAGGCAAGAGAATCACTTGAACCTGGGGGGCAAAGGTTGCGGTGACCTGAGATGGCACCACTGCACTACAGCCTGGGCAACAAGAGCGAAACTCTGTCTCAAAAAAAAAAAAATAAATAAAGAGTGAACAGAGACCGACGGAGGGCAGGAGAAAGACCATTCTCCCAGGGAGGCCGAGAAGGAGCAGCCAAAGGGACGGAAAGGAAACCAGGAAGTACAAGATCATGGAGATCAGGAGAAGAGAGGCGTTCAAGAAGGCAGTGGCCCACAGAGCTGGCCACAGAGGGAGCCAAGCTGGGTCTGACAGACGTTGACAGGAGCCTTCCCGTGTCTATTCTCTTCTTCCTGGTTTGTCACACTCAGTTCTAATTGACAGAAAAGCTGAGAACTTGTCCTGAACACTGTCCTTTGGGTTTGGTGGCCTGGAGTGGACTGACAAGTGAGTGTGACATGGGGCAGTGAAAACCCAAATGAAGGTGACTGTTTAAGGCACCCCCAGCCCGTGGCCTATTAGGGACTGGGCTGCACAGCAGGAGGTGAGGGGAGGGTGATGGAGCATTACTGCCTGAGCTCCGCCTCCTGTCGGATCAGCAGCAGCATTAGATTCTCTTAGGAGCGGGAACCCTATTGTCAACTGTGCATGCGAGGGATCTAGGTTGCACGCTCCTTATGAGAATCTTAACTAATGATTCTCTGATGATCTGAGGTGGAACAGTTTCATCCTGAAACCATCCAACCCAACCCCTGCTCCTCCTTGGTCTGTGGAAATATTGTCTTCTGAGAAATCAGTCTGTGGTGCCAGAAAGGTTGGGGACCACTGCTTTAAGGAGTTTGGCTGGCCAGGCGCAATGGTGCGTGTCTGTAGTCCCACCTACTCAGGAGGCTGGGAAGATCCCTTGAGCCCAAGAGTTCAAGTACAGCCTGGGCAACATAGCAAGACCCCATCTCTAAAAATAAACACATAAAAATATTATTATTATTATTTTTTGAGATGGAGTTTCACTCTCATTGCCCAGGCTTGAGTGCAGTGACGCAATCTTGGCTCACTGTAACCTCCACCCACTAGGTTCAAGCAATTCTCCTGCCTCAGCCTCCCACGTAGCTGAGATTACAGGCATGCACCACTAAACCTGGCTAATTTTGTATTTTTAGTGGAGACAGGGTTTCACCATGTTGGCCAGGCTGGTCTCGAACTCCGGACCTCAAGTGATCCACCAGCCTCAGCCTCCCAAAGTGCTGGGATTACAGGCATGAGGCACTGCATCTGGCTAGATTATTCTTAAAATAAATAAATAAATAAATAAATAATAAGTCTGTCAGGCTGATAAAGACAGGGAATAGGGGTGGGGAGTGTAGCTTGAAGAGGAAGGTAGGATCCAGGCATTCATTTTGTTTTGAGATAGGCTAGACCAGGGCACATTGAACGGGCGGGGTCTGTAGAGACCAAAGGACTGGGAGACAGAACATAATAGAAAGCAAAAGGTTCCTGAGGGATAATGGAGGGGGGGATTGGGAGGGTGGGGGGCACAGGTATAGGGCCTGGGTGTGGGGAGAAGGAGGCCGAGACTTCCCCCGGAACAGGTGGGACTGCGGGAGAATGGTGGGCCATGGGGCCATGGAGCCTGGACTGGTGCGGAGAGAGGAGCAGGAGACACAGCCTCCCTTGACAGTGCTCGGTTAGATCCGCAGGGCTCGGGAGGAGTTTCTTTCCTATCCTCTTTATTAATAAAACTGCCCTTTTATCTATTTTTTATTGGTTTTTATTTTGGGAGACAGGGTTTTGCTTTGTCCCCCAGGCTGGAGTGCAGTGGTGCGATCTCTGTGCACTGCAGCCTCGATCTCCTGGACTCAAGCAGTCCTCCCACCTCACAGTTCCCGGAGTAGCTGGGACTACAGGCCTGCACCACCACACCCAGCTAATTTTGTTTTTGTTTTTGTAGCGATGGGGGTCCCGCTATGTTGCCTAGGCTGGTCTCGAACTCCTGGCCTTCGTCAATCCTCCCCACTCGGCCTCTCAAAGTGCTGGAATTACAGGCATGAGCCACCATGCCCAGCCCAAACTGCCCTTTTTATCTCTGGTGATGGCTCTATCCACAAATATTAAAGATGATTTTTTATAATAATATAACAAATCTCGAACCTAATGGTTTAAATTCAACCTCCTGAATTAGCTTCTTCAGCATGTATTTACTGAGTGAAAAGTAGACAGCAGGGCTACCACGCCGGGGCAATCACTTCTGTGTCCTACAGTAGGTCCCTAGTTAAAATGAGTATTTGGCCAGCAGCCAAAATGGAAAGAGAGGCCTCAAAGAAACTTGCAGCTGCGGGACAACTTCTCTCTCCCCAGCCTGTCCTTTCTGAGAGCCACGAATACCTTCAACCACCTGATTTAAGTAGAGGAATACCCAAAAAGGCGAGCCGTTGGGGCCTAACCACAGAACTACATCTCTGAACAGAGCAGCCATGGCTGTCGCGCTGGAATTCACGCGTCTAAGCTGCTCTTTGTCTTGACAATTTGGCTTCTTTCTGCTTGAGTCAGTCCAGAATAAGTTCTCCTTGTGCCTAGAACACACTGAGCCCTTATTCCCTGGCATGTGCTATGTTATTACGAAGAAAACCAGCAAGTTTTGAATCTGCTCGCACAGTAGAACTATGCATCAAACTGGTTATGCAAAAGGCAGGGAAGGGTATGTGTTACGTTACATTTTTCTTACCACCTGCCATAAACAGAGGCTGTTTAATTTCTTGGCTTTTCACTCATTTTTTTTAAAAAAATCACGAAACATTTCTTTCCTGAATAGTGTTCTGCAGTGTGAACGATTTTGGGCGGGGGGTGCACATTTGAGAATGTTACTGTACTTCAAAGGCTTGGCAGGACTTCTTGAACTGAGATGAATGGAGAGGTGCTCTGTATATTCAAGGCACTGTGTGGGTTTTTTTTTTTTAATTTTATAAAAACTCCACATTAAGGATTGAATCACATAATCATCTAGTTAGTTTTGCCATTTCCTGTGAGGCAAGGGGCGGTGTGGGTCAAATCTTCAAGAGTTCTGGAAAATCAGCCCCATACCCAGAAGCCCCAAGACAGGATGAAACTCGATTCCCTGGTAGAAATAGGAAGGGCAATTTAGACATGGCCCCCAGGCTTTGCGAATCTAAAAATTATTCCCCTTCGTAAAGGGGAGGCACAGGCAGGACTGGGGAGAAATCAGGCAGTTTCTGTTGAGGTAGGAGGGAGCTGAAAGCATTAGTGAGGAATGGGCTTGAGACAAGACTGTCACAATTCCCTGCACGTGCCCTTTGAGAAGCTATGGAAAAATGCACTAGAGGCTGGGCGCGGGGGCTCACGCCTGTGATCCCAGCCCTTTGGGAGGCCGAGGAGGGGGCTATTGCTTGACCTCAGGAGTTCAAGACCAGCCTGGGCAACATGGTGAAACCCTGTCTCTACCAAAAATACTAAAACGAGCCAGGCGTGCTGGTGCGCGCCTGTAGTCCCAGCTATTCAGGAGGCTGAGGTAGGAGGATCGCTGGAGCCTGGGAAGTTGAGGCTGCAGTGAGCCCTGATTGTACCACTGCAATCCAGCCTGGGTGCCAGAGCAAAAAAATAAATAAAAATAAAAATAAATAAATAAATAAATAAATGTATTAGAACTCCACCTCAATTCAGAGCAATTTCCATGAGACAATGCAGACTGAGAAAAGCAAGATAAAGAGATGTGGTGTAAACAATATCCCAGTCCCACCTCAAATTCATATGTTTAATTTGAACCACATGAAAATGTCATTTTTGTAGTAAAGAGTGGTCAAATGTTGGCAGTGTCGTATTGGTTCAAAATGGTTAAATGTTGGGAATCTAATATATATATATATATATATATTTTTTTTTTTTGGAAGTGGAGTCTCGCTGTGTTGCCCAGGCTGGAGTGCAGTGGTGCAATCCTGGCTCACTGCAACTGAGTAGCTGGGACTGCAGGAAGGCACGCACCACCACGCCTGGCTAATTTTTTTTTTTTTTTTTTGAGACAGAGTCTCACTCTGTCACCCAGGCTGGAGTGCAGTGGCACCATATTGGCTCACTGCAACCTCCGTCTCCTGGGTTCAAGCAATTCTCCTGCTTCAGCCTCCGGAGTAGCTGGGATTAAAGACACCCACCACCACGCCCGGCTAATCTTTTTATATTTTTAGTAGAGACGGGGTTTCACCATGTTGGCCAGGCTGATCTCAAACTCCTGACTTCAGGTTATCCACCCGCCTCAGCCTCCCAAGGTGCTGGGATTACAGACGAGAGCCATTGCGCGCGGCCCCTAATTTTTTTTTATTTTTTATTTTTTGAGACAAGTCTCACTCTGTCGCCCAGGCTGGAGTGCAGTGATGCAATCTCGGCTCACTGCAAGCTCTGCCACCATTCTCCTGCCTCAGCCTCAGCTGGGACTACAGGCGGCTGCCACCACACCCGGCTAATTTTTTTGTATTTTTTAGTAGCGACGGGGTTTCACCGTATTAGGCAGGATGGTCTCGATCTCCTGACCTCGTGATCCGCCCGCCTAGGCCTCCCAAAGTGCTGGGATTACAGGCGTGAGCCACTGTGTACGACCTGTATTTTTTAGTAGAGGTGGGGTTTTGCCATGTTGGCCAGGTTGGTCTCAAACTGCCAACCTCAAGTGATCCACCTGCCTTGGCCTCCCAAAGTGCTGGGATTACAGGCATGAGCCACTGTAATCCCTTTCAAAATAAACAGGTAAGAAACTGTAGCTGCCTCAGAGAAGAAGAGGGAGACTATTACTTAGAATTTGTGGAAACCGAAAATTATCAGCCCCACATTTAAAAATTCTGCCTTGACTGAAAAAATGATAGCCTGTTGACACAATTGCTTTAAAAATACAAGGCCCTGAACTAGCCATGATACTATTTTTTTTTTTGTTTTGAGACGGAATTTTTTTTTTTTTGACAGCTCATTGCCCAGGCTGGAGTGCAGTGGCACGATCTTAGCTCACTGCAACCTCCGCCTCCCAGATTCAAGCGATTCTCCTGTCTCAGCCTCCCAAGTAGCTAGGATTATAGGTACCCACCACCATGCCCGGCTAATTTTTGTATTTTTTGTGGATACAGGGTTTCACCATGTTGGCCAGGTTGGTCTCAAACTCCTGTCCTCAGGTGATCTGCCTGCCTCAGCCTCCCAAAGTGCTGGGATTACAGTTGTGAGCCACCGCGCCTGGCTGTTTTCTTATTTTGATGTACCACCCCCTTGAATGAGCAGCTAAATATTTGGGCATTACTGCATGTTGCAGAGGCCTGGCCCCTGGGTGGGGGATTGTTACACAGTGTGCTTGGCTAGGCTAGACCAAGCCAGCCAGGTGCCTGGCTTGGCGGCTTTGTCAGAGATGCTGTCCCCAAACTGCTGTGGCAGGAAGGCTGTCCATCTCCCAGCAGACCCTATGGACTGCAGTAGGCGGTCCCTTGCCCACATCTCTGGCAGTCCCTGCACACACCAACAGATTCCCAGGAGCAACCCGCCCTCAACTAGTGGGGAGAGGAGTTGTTGTCAGTACCCCAGCTTCCTCACTCTTCTGTGGGACTATTCCAAACATGCTCCACATGGTCTCTCGGGAGTCCCCAGGGGGCTGGCCCCAGTTGCCCACAGTAATCACTCGTTCCTTACTGTATCTGTTATTCTTTGTTTTCCCTTTCTCCGTTCCCCATCATTTCACAGTGGTACCTGGGAACACTGCCCAGATAAACCACTTGCACCCAAATCCTTGATCCAGAGCCTGCTTCTGGGGGAATCCAAACTAACACATATAGACCTCAGGCAAAGAGCTCCTAGGCAGCAGCCATGGTGGACAGAAGGCCACCAGCAGAATTCATATGCCCTGGGCTCCCGCACAGCTCTAAGGAATGAGCAAGGAGGCCCCCAGATATAACCATGAATATCCAGTAAATCAACTATAATGTAATTATGATAGAATTTCCAGTAAATCTGGTAGGATGTCATAGATTGACCTAAGTCAACTTGGCCATTCGGCAATGGTGATGTCCTTCTGGTGTCAGTAGCTTCTGGCAGTTAGAGGCAGGCAGAGCTATAGCTCCCTGCTTCCATCACCACCACCTCCCCAGCAGTGGTGTTTTACAATGACAGCGGGAGCCTTGGACTTTTGTTAACAGCCCAAAATTTCCGCCTTTTTGCTGTAGGCCCGAGTGATTGCTGCCAAAATGGGCAAATTCATGAAACCTGGGAAGGTGGTGCTTGTCCTGGCTGGAGGCTACGCTGGACGCAAAGCCATCATTGTGAAGAACAATGATGATGGCACCTCAGATAGCCCCTTCAGCCATGCTCTGGTGGCTGGAATTGACCGCTATCCCCTCAAAGTGACAGCTGCCATGGGCAAGAAGAAGATCTCCAAGAGGTCAAAGATCAAGTCTTTTGTGAAAGTTTATAACTACAATCACCTAATGGCCACAAGGTATTCTGTGGGTATCTTATTCCCTTAGACAAAACTGTCATCAATAAGGATGTCTTTAGAGACCCTGCTCTTAAACGCAAGGCCCCACGAGAAGCCAAGGTCAAGTTTGAAGAGAGATATAAGACAGGCAAGAACAAGTGGTTCTTCCAGAAGCTGCGGTTTTAGATGCTTTGTTTTGGTCATTAAAAATTCAAAAGAAAAAAAAATAGTCGTATTTCCTGTTCTTAGACTTTGTGGAGGATTCCCACTCTGTGTCCTCAGGCCTCCACACAATACCTTGCATGAAAGTTTTACTCTTAAGTTAGATACAGGCTGGGCGTGGTGGCTCACACCTGTAATCCTAGCACTTTGGAAGGCTGAGGCAGGTGGATCACTTGAGCCCAGGAGTTACAGACCAGCCTGGGCAATATGGCAAAACCCTGTCTCTACTAAAAATACAAAAATTAGCCGGGCACAGTAGCACGCCCCTGTAGTCCCAGCCACCAGGGAGGCTGAGGTGGGAGGATCACTTGAGCCTGGGAGGCGGAGGTTGCAGTGAGCCATGACTGTGCCACTGCACTCCAGCCTGGGTGACAGAGTAAGACCCTGTTTCAAAACAAAAACAAAAAGATGCTACGAGACAGCAGGACCAGCTAACCCTGCAGTCCGTCTGGTGATGTGGAGGGTTTTTAGGCCTCGTTCTCTGCTCTGATGTGTTTATACTGCTGGGCCTGATGGATTTGTATATCCTCTAGGTGTGAAAGTGAGGCCTCTTTGACATTTCTAGCCAACCACATACCTCAAGTACCCACTCATTGCACCTTTGAAAGATGATTTTTAACATTCCATGTGCTGTTCAACAAACCTTCTGGGATAGATTTTGAAAACATTTGAAGTGCTTATGTAGCCACCTTTGGAACCTGGGTTCCTGTTTAGGATACTTCAAATGTTAATTGTTCCTGGGGTGCAGATTAAGTTTAAACACACACACACACACGCACACACACACACACATCCCTCTGTTTACATGATGTATGTAAATGACCACACACATAGATAATAATAGCTCCATGTATTGAATATTTACATTATAATAGACACTTATCCTTAAACCTCCAACTCTCCAGTGAGGTGGGTTCTGGGCATGGTGCCATTTTACTGATGAGGAAACAGAGATGGAGGGATGTTATCCTAGTTTGTAAGCTGCAAAGCAGGGATTCAGACTCAGGCAGTCTGGCTTCAGAGAGCCAGAACCAGGCACGGTGGCTCATACCTCCAAACCCACCACTCTTGGAGGACAAGGCAGGAGGATCACTCAAGCTCAGAAGTTCAAGACCGGCCTGGGCAACATAGTGAGATTCCATTTCTACAAAATGGAAGTCAAGGCTGTAGTGAGCTGTGGTCACGCCACTGCACACCAGCCTTGGCAACAGAATGAGATCCTGTCTCAAAAAAAAAAAATTTTTTTTTTTTTTTGGCCAGGCGCGGTGGCTCACGCCTGTAATCCCAGCACTTTGGGAGGCCGAGGTGGGCGGATCACGAGGTCAGGAGATCGAGACCATCCTGGCTAACACGGTGAAACCCCGTCTCTACTAAAAATACCAAAAAAAAAAAAAAATTAGCCGGGCCTGGTGGTGGGCGCCTGTAATCCCAGTTAGTTGGGAGGCTGAGGTGGGAGAATTGCTTGAACCCGGGAGGCAGAGGTTGCAGTGAGCCAAGATCGTGCCACTGCACTCCAGCCTGGGCGACAGAGCAAGACTCTGTCTCAAAAAAAAAAAAAAAAAAAAAAAGATATACAATGCTACCATCTACCATCACTCCAGAACATTCCCTTGTGCACCTTCCCAGTCCACCCCTGCCCCACCCCCACCAATCTCTACTGCTTCCCCCCACCCCACCCCCATCAGCTGGGGAGAGAGGAGAGGTCTTTTCCATCCTCTCCTGGAGGCTACTGCAGTAGCATTCCAAGCAGAGTCCTCAGGGTCAGTCCAGGGATGAAATGCCATCCATCTGCATTCTTTTCCTTCCCAGGAATGGCATGCACTTGTGCCCTTTCAGTGCTGGGGATGAGTAAGCACAACATTCACTGGGCCCCAGACTTCTGCGAAGACAATTTGAAAAGTCCTCCATTCAGGATTTCATAAAAACATTCAGGTCCAGACAGCCCTTTATGAAACTGGCTAGCAAAATGGAAGTTTTTAAAAAACAAGTCCAAAAAGCTTACTGTGTGTGAACCTACAGATTATATATTGAAAAAAGCTTACTGTGCATATTTTCATATAGTAACACACTTTATATCCTTTAATTGCTAAGGGCAGACAGTGTAATAGGGGATTTAAAAAGAAAAGAACCTGGGTCTGAACCACAAAACAGGCTGAGATGTCTGTTTTCAGACATAAAGCCACTCAAATTACTTTTCAACACATGATATTTAAAACACTGATTTTGCACTACCCACAGCTAGCCTGGTTATCAACAAACTCAAGTGTAGGCACTTGGACACATCCCTGGTTACACTGGAACCCACGGTACAAACAGGGTCTTGCCTCTCCCACCCTCATGCTAGTACTTTTCAGGGTGTTGTATGTGTGTGTGGAAGGTGGACCCAATAAGGCCATGCATCTCTATAGCTCTTGTCTCTGCAGCAGGGCAGGGGCATCCTGCGTGCTCAGCCCCAAATTGTCCTGCCCCAGGGACACATTTATAAATAATCTAGAGCCACAGTGGGACACAAGCCCAGCACACGACCACAGGAAGGGCTCAGAAAACAGGCTTGCTTTATTCATTTATTTATTTATTTTGAGACAGAGTCGCTCTGTCGCCCAGGCTCGAGTGCAGTGGTGTGATCTCTGCTCACTGCAAGCTCCGCCTCCCAGGTTCATGCTATTCTCTTGCCTCAGCCTCCCAAGTAGCTGGGATTTCAGGCGCCCACCACCACGCATGGCTAATTTTTTTGTATTTTTAGTAGAGACGGGGTTTCACCATGTTAGCCAGGATGGTCTTGATCTCCTGACCTTGTGATCAGCCTCCCAAAGTGCTGGATTACAGGTGTGAGCCACTGCGCCTGGCCAGAAAACAGGCTATAGACAGGCCCCCCTCTGCCTCCAACTCCCTTAATGATAGGGGACGTGAAGGCACAGGGGCTAGTTCCCAACAGGAGCCGACCCCCCACCCTGTTTCACACTGGACGGAGAACATTCCACTCTTTACTCCCCAAGTCCCTCCATGCCCTCACCTGGACATCAAGGAACAAGCAAAATCAAGAGTGAGAGACAGCTAAGTCCACCAAAAGTACAAGAGCTAAACAAATGTGGAAAATAAGACGAGAAGCTGCTAAACTCTACGGTCACAACTACTACTTGGGAATTTAATACAAACACCAAAGAAGCAAAACATCTGAAAAGCACGTGGCATCCATGAGAGCTTATTAAATTCCAGGGGTGTCTCAGAGCTAGCTTTCTGGACATAGTGTGCTGGCCAGATAGGAAAGGGGGATGGGGACAAGCAGCAGAGTGGGAAGCCTCCTCTGTAGGTAGGAAAGGTCAAAGAAATATGAGCCTTGTTTCTCAGAACATACAAAGTGCTATGTCTCAATCTAGTTAAGTATTAAAACGAATTAGAAACAAATCCTACTCTCATAAGCCATCTTACCCTGTGCTCGCTCACTTAACCTCTCTGAAAGCAAAAACAAAGCCTTTTTCTATCTTTCATGGTTTAAATGTACTCAGATCTCTTCCAGCAATTTTTATTCCAGAGTAACAGAATTCTAATTTTACAGATCCCCACAAAAAGCAGAGAGGTAATAATATTTAATTTCAGGGTTAAAAACTCTTTTCTTTTAATCACCCTATCCCCACCCTATTTTTTCTTCAGCATTTTATCATCACCTGGGATTTTTTTTTCTTTTCAGACAGAGCCCTCCTCTGTTGCCCAGGCTGGAGTGCCGTGGTGCTATCTTGGCTCACTGCAACCTCCACCTCTCAGGTTCAAGCGATTCTCCTGCCTCATCCTCCCAAGTAGCTGGGATCACAGGCATGCGCCACCACACCCAGCTAATTTTGTATTTTTAGTAGAGACAGGGTTTCACCACGTTGCCAGGCTGGTCTTGAACTCCCGACACTTCAGGTGATCCGCCCGCCTCGGCCTCCCAAAGTGCTGGTATTACAGGCGTGAGCCACAGTGTCAGCTAGATTTTTTATTATTTTTACCTTAGATTCAGAGGGTACATGTGCAGGTTTATTACATGGGTATATTGCGTGATGCTGAAGTTTGGGCTTCAATTGAACCCATCACTCAAATGGTGAACACAGTACCCAATAGGTGGTTTTTCAACCCTTCCCTGACTCCCTCCCCATTTTGAGTCCCGTGTCTGTTGTTCTTATCTTTACGTCCAATACCCAATGTTTAGCTCCCACTTATGAGAACATTCAGTATTTGGTTTTCTGTTTCTGCATTAATTCACTTAGGATAATGGACTCCAGCTGCATCCATGTTGCCGCAAAGGACGTGATTCCATTCTTTTTTATAGCTGTATAGTATCCCATGGTGTATATGTACCACATTTTCCTGATCCAATCCATCACTGATGGGCACCTGGGTTGATTCCATGTCTTTGCTATTGTGAATAGTGCTGTGATATACATGTAACTGCAAATCACCTATTATAAATATTTGTTTGGTTATCGGTTCCCACCACCAAACCTCCCTGTGCCCCACAAGAACGCAAACTGCACTCTTCCCTGCTGTCCCCACTGGCCCTGCCAAGTACCCAGTACATGCTCAATATTTCCTGAAAGAATGAAACGGATTACTCCATGTGTTATACCAACCACACCAAGTACAGTATTGCTTGTAAATTGTGCTTTAATTTCTGCAATCAGATATGATGCAGTGAGATACAAGTATAAACTTTCATTGTGCATCCAGAAAATAAAAAGCACAAGTATACAGGTTTAGCTCAACAGCTTATTCCCTTATAAAGAAAAAAAAAGTTTTGAATTAAAGCTAGTTTATCTTCAGTGTAAAAACTTGGAGGTATAAACAAACTCAAGATATTATATACAGTAAATTAATTTACATTTCCAAACTTGCACAGTACAGCATTTTAAACAAAGTAAATGGTCTCATTTCAGCTCTCACTGTTAAGCATAATCCACATCCCAATCTCAGATAAAAATTTCACAATATATAAATCCATTGAGAATTCTGTACACAAATACGAGTTATAGAAATCTGATTTCAAATATAAATACAAAAATTGTCATGACCTTACACGTTACAACAGCTTATTTTTCTATTGTAATTTTAAAAAATCATAGAAAAATATGTCAATGCACATTCAACTGCTATGACAAAGGCCATGACCTTGTGCCTTTAAACCATACTTTGTAGAGTGTAAAGCATCACACCGGGCATTTTTGGAATGAAAATTACAAAGCCTGAAGAGGCTACTGTATAAATATTCACGTTATAACGTGGTAACAAAAATAGCTCCATAGCATATTTGGGAGGCAATGGGGCAGAGAAGGAAGTGGAGGTTAGTGCTAATTTAAGAAGGCCTATAGAATGTATGTGAAGGTAGCTAAGGAACTAGTTAGTGTATTTTAAAATCCCTATTGCAAGCCTAACACTGACCTCGCTAGTAACTCTTAAGGCAATCAAGACGGAACATGTGTTTGGCCCCCAGATGCACGAATCCTGCCCTCCCCTCAACCTTTGTTCATCCTAACAGACCAACCTGGCTCCTGCATTAATATGGAGTGGGGAGAACAGCAAAACAATTCACTGTATGTACAAAAGACAATTCAGTGCAAACCTAGAAACTTCTCTTAGTCAATAGTTTCCAATTTTCTGAGACGAGGTCTTGCTCCATCACCCAGGCCGGAGTGCAGTGGCACGATCTTAGCTCACTGCAAACTCCACCTCCCAGGCTCACGGGATCCTCCCACCTCAGCCTCCCGAGTAGCTGGGACTACAGGCATGCACCACCACACCCAGCTAATTTTTGTATTTTTAGTAGAGACAGGGTTTTGCCATGTTGCCCCGGCTGGTCTCGAACTCCTGGGCTCAAGCAATTCGCCCACCTGAGCCTCCCAAAGTGCTGGGATTACAGGCGTGAGCCACCACACCCGGCCTCAAATTTTCTTATTGCCCTTGAGCAACTGAAAGTTTTTCCGAACATGTAACATTCAAATTGGGATCCATACTGAAGAGCAAATATATGTAAAAGGCGAACATTCAATTTAAAACATTCTAATGAGTTTTGTTTTTTTCCTCTTTTATGCGATTTGACAGGGTTCCACTGAGAACAAAAAAATCTGCTCCTTACAAAGTATACTTTCCTGCATTAAAAAAAATATATATCATATATATGATATATATATCATATATATGTGATATATATATATCATATATATATCATATATATGTGATATATATATATATATCATATATATGATATATATATATCACATATATATCATATATATATCATTTAGACAGCAGATCCAAGAAGGTGACCAGGCATAGTCAAGTTTCTTCTATGGCTTTTAAAATCACTGAGGTATCATATGATAATCATCACTTCTGATATTTATGTTTAAGCTGCTTTCCTATGAAAGCCACATTCAAAAGTGACCCAATCCCATCAGTCCATAAAGGTAAAAGAATGTGAGGAACTCGGCTCAGGGGTTGCGGCAGAAAACTGCAATCACAAGTGCTCCAAAGCTTCAGCAGGCAAGTAGAAAAAGGCGAAGCGATTTGTTCCAAACAAGGAGAGACTCCAGAGGAATGGACGCTCCTCAGGAAGGATCTCAGGCAAAGAAACAGATCCCCGCAGCGTAACCAAGAGGTTTGGCAGTGAGACACTGGGACTACACGCACCAAGGCAGGGAGTGCAGAGGGACAGCGGCGAGTGGTGTGGAGCAGGCGGAGGAAGACCTGGGGCTGGCAGCACAGAAAAGAGGGTGGTGGCTGGCTAGCCCCCACCCACAGGCAAAGTGACACGGTCTGTGAAGAAGGGAGGGTGGTCTGAAGCATCAGGATGGATGACACCAGTGGAACTTCCCAGGTGTTTTACAGGCAAGGGGGCGTAGAAAGAAAAAAATGTGATGGTTTAAGTAAATGCCACACATCTTAATACCTCTATCTGAATCTTCAACTCCCCATACAAATACATAAAGCTGAACTTGCTTCTATAATTGAGATGGGTTACACAGAAACTTACTATTCCCAATGACTGGATAAATTATCTTGGCACAAAGAGGATCTGAAGAAAGTATCAAGTCCAAGAATATCTTACTGAAGCCCTTTCTGGTAGTAAACTGGCCATTGTGGGCTCTGTATAATACTTAGGCATCAGAAAACGGCCACAACCCTATTACGGGTCAAGTAATAATTCCTTCCAATTAGTAATACTACAGATGCGGTTTTAATTGCATAGTCTTTTAGAATCATGAAAAATAATGAGAGCCACCTCTTTTCCCGAAGGCCCAGGTTTATTCTAACGGAGTGCCGGGCTAAGGACCCAGCCAGCATGAGCTGTAGCGTGACACAAATCCAGGGATCAGCTGTCCCAATCTCCCACATTCCTCTTTCACAATCACTCAACAAACAGGTCACACATCCCCTAGGTCCACGAACTCATCTTCTCGTTTGGCCAAATCGTCTTCATCTCCCAAAGCTTTCCAGCCACTGGTGGGTAAGACGGGCTTAGAGGAATGTCGCTGGAGCAGAGCGAAAGGAAACAAAGACGAGAGGCGGGCAGAGTTCCTCAGCAGGCAGGGGGCCTCAGCCTGGGGGGCCTGCTGGCTGTGGTGTCTCTCGTCGATCTTCTCTTGTAAACTCTGGACTTCCTCCATCATTTCCAAGAGTTTGCTCAGAGTGGCCACTTGGCCACCACCTAGGATTTGGGCTTCTGGAATCCAACGTAGGTAGCGCTGGGCCCAGACTTTGATTTCGGGCCCCTCGATATGCGGTAACAACAAACCATGGTAGTCAGTGGACTTGCTATGCCAGCTGTCATAGAACTCTCGAAAGTTGTCTTGGAGCTCATCAGAAGAATTAATAAGTTTGCTAATTCTCTTGCCCAGAAGGTTTTTAATTAAATGATCTGTTTCTTCCCTGAAAAATCCTCTTTTGGGAGATGACTTAGATTGTGTAAGTGGCAAAGAAAGTTGTCGTTGATGCTTTGAGAGAAAACACAAATAAAAATCACTGGTTAACATAACAGGCACAGTTAACAGCTGTTACCATAACAAAAAGAGCATAACCCTGCTTTAACAAGTTCCAAGAGACATCAGTGTTGCCATGTGAATGCACACTCATTAACACGCTGTGACATCCAGAGGTGGGGTATTCCTGTGTATTGCCATGGTGCACACTGTACCAGAAACAAATGGGGAAGCAGGTGCACGTGGCAGCTGTGCAGAAAGGCATGCTGGGACACAGAGAAAGGAGCTTTTGGTGCCCTCCTCCTCTGTCACAGGGGCACCACAGGACACAAAGCACTTCTGAAAAAGCTGTTTAACTTAAGATAGTTTAATGATTTAGGGGAACTTGTGGGTCAGGCCCATTCATGTTCTAAAGGGAAAAAGATGTTTCTTCTTTGAGAACTTTAAGGCTGTTAACCACTACAATCTTCTGAACAACTGCAAGGAGGCACTGCTAACTACCAGAAGATACTATCACATGGGTGAAATAGCAGCTTATCAGGCATCCAGTGGGAGTTTAAGCCGAAGTCATAAAGATTCTTTTAGATACAGAAAACAGGCAGGTGAGAGCAAAGAAATGTGATGAGCCAGCTAAGCTGACCAGACTTGTCTGGCAACCTGCATGGAGTAGAAAATGGGAGAGCATTTTCACATTTTCATATTTCCCCCCTTGGTCATTCTCTCTGTGGCCAGAGCAGAGTATTATATTTGGGGGTGCACTGAGAAAGGGTTTTGAGGCTGGGCGCAGTAGCTCATGCCTGTAATCCTAGCACTTTGGGAGACCGAGGCGGGCAGATCACCTGAGGCCAGGAGTTCAAGACCAACCTCAACCTGGCCAAAATGGCAAAACCCCATCTCCACTAAAAATAGAAAAAATTAGCAGGGTGTGGTGGTGGGCACCCGAGGCTGAGGGAGGAGAATTGCTTGAACCCAGGAGGCAGAGGCTGCAGTGAGCCGAGATCACGCCGTTGCACTCCAGCCTGGGCAATGACAGCAAAACTCTGGCTCGCAAAAAAAAAAAAAAAAAAAGGGTTGTAAAAGATGGATGTGGTCGGAAGGTCATGAGGGTTCCCCAGTGCCCAAAGCAGAAGTAAAAACATGTGGGGAGAAGCTGTTTGTCCAGCTCTTTTGCTACTGTTCATTTGAAGTAAGAAGAGATAACAACTTAATTTTCAGGTTCACTCTAAAACTCTCTAACATATTTCCATCAATGGTTCTTCCTTGTAAAAAGATATTCTTTATTGTAAAGAAAATTATTTCCTTATTATGAAATATGGAATAACAATAAAAATATTAAAAAGAAAACAAAACCATCCACAAGACCACAGCTCGGAGGTGACCAGGATTTGACTTTCCATCCAGGGTCAGGAAAGATGAAGGCCAGGATTCAGTGGCCTCTCTTTTTCTCCATCGTGAAGATGTGTCAGGCAGGGCAGGGACTACACTGAACCACCACCCAGTGCTTCCTGCCTGCTCGGTTCTGTGCTCAGTACTCACATTCACTGAGCACCTCATTCTCAAAGTCACTATTATTGCCCCACTTTACAAGCAAGGAAACTAAGGCACAGAGGTAAGCAATCTGCCGAAGGCACTGCTGCTCAGTGCCAAAGGTGGTTCAAATAGTCTGGCTCCAGAGCCTGGGCTCTCTACTGAGCTCTCCTTGGTCCTGGAAGCCCCCTTCTCTCTATCTCCTAAGCAAAGGGAGCACTCAAGACCAGCTGACATGCCAGCAGCTCTGCAGGCCAAAGCCTGGCCCGGGCCTGCGGCTGACACCGAGGCTGCACACTGGAATGGGTCCCCCCCACCGTGTGGCATTTGCACGGCAGCACCACATGCTGCTCAGCCCCTGCTTCCTCAGAGTCTCTGCAGAACTTCCCCCAGGCCACCAGGCCGCTCAACACATTGCTCCACCTGATATCTGGTCTTCTTACCCAAAGGCTTCAAGGTTTCTTGTCGCCCCCGTCCCAACTGTGATTTAGCTAGTGCAACCTGAAATTCTCCACCCCTTCAGCTCAGTCCTTTCCCACCTGCCAACTCCTGGAGCTTAGGCTGTCTGTCCCTATCTCCCAAGGAAAAGAGATGATTAGAAAAGCTAGGTCTGAGGAGAGAAATGAAATCCATTATTGGAAGGGGGAGCCTTAGGTTCCTCCCGTAACACAACAGACGTTGTCCTCGCTGTCTCTGAGGTCCCCTGCCACTCTGGCACAGGGCAGTTTCTCTGGTGCCAATCCAGCTCTCATGAGAATGTGCATGCAGCCACCAGGGGGCACAACACACTGAAGAAAAACCAATTTCTGGCCAAGCTGTTCTGGGGCTCAGGGCAATTCTGGTTAAACTGGCAGAAGAGGCTCAGCCAGAAAGGGGAAACTCCACCCTGGGCCTGCGGCCCCTAAAAGGGCAAAGTGGCCATTCTGAGTCGTTCAGCAGCCAACATCGTCTCTGCTGGCCGTGGCTCACCCAGGTCCCCAGTCCTCTTTAGAATGGAACCAACTCTGACACCAGAAAGGGCCAGGCTTTCTGAAGCCCTCCAGATCAGGCAGGATAAGGATGGCATGGAGAAGGCAGTGACACACATCGACTTAGACTTACCATCACTGCTCTCTCCTTTGTGGACTCTGTGGGGGAGAAATTCTGGGCCTGGAGACAGAGCTAGGAAATGTCAGTTAAATAATTCATCAGTTAGGGAACTTTGGGATTATCAACTAAAATGACTTTCTGACATTTGTGGCTCATAGCATAGGTCAGCAAACTGGCCACCCCTCCGGCCAAATCTGGCCTGGCGCCTGTTCTCGTAAACACTGGAACACAGCTATGCCTACTTGTTCACCTACTAAGGCTCCTTTTTTTTTTTTCAAGTAAAGGAATAAAGAATGGCTACTCCAAGGGCAGAGCAGACTAAGGCTTCTTTTGTACTACAACAGTAGAGGGGTAGTTGTGACAGAGACTTTGCAGCCCTTGACAGAGTTTTGCAACCTGTGGTTTACAGGCACAGCTCATTAAGAAAAGTCTTACTATTTATTATAATAAATGAACTGGTATCGGCCAAGTAAAACCCACACAATCAATGTTCCTTTTACTCTACTAACACACACACACACACAAACACACACACACACACACACACACAGGCAGGACAAGAGGCACGATTCCATGGAGTATGACCAGGGTGGCAGCATCCACAGTGACATCTGGCAAATGGCCCTGTTGTACCAGGGCAAAGGTGATTTGCTGAAAGCAAAGGATTCTAATGGCCCTTGACAATTTGACCATCACAAGTCTCAACTCTGCAGACTGCTTCGAGGGGTAGAAAATGCTGGCAGACAGAATCCGTAAGTACCTTTTATCATTACATGCACGGGGTCTGGGCAGCTGAAGGGGGTTTAGACATGTGGACATCTTACTTTGAAGCGCATTCCTTTCCGTTGGCCTTTGTCCAGTTTTGGCTTTTCCACATAAAGAGGGTTTTTGAGCAATGTCTGGGCTTTGGGTTCAAACTGCACCGACCAATCCCACACGGTGAGCAGATTCAAAGGCTTGCTTTGTGTATCCTGGCCTTCTCTACCCTGCCAAAACAAGCACAGGTCATGCTGTTTTCCAGGGAGGGCTGAGGAAGGCAAACACATACTTCTGGACACAGGCACCAGGAAGCATGCTCCTGCTCTGCCCTGAGAATGAATAATCATGGGCATTTAAGGCTGAGGCTACCTGTGGTTATTCACTACAAGCTTTTGGTGTGGGAGGAGGGCAAGAACAAGGACACTTCCTTTCCAGCAGTCTACACGCCAGCCGCTGTGCTGGGTGCTTCCACAGCCTCGCGAGGCAACTGTTGTTTTTCCAATTTTACATTTGAGGAAACCAAGGCTCAGAAAACTGAACTGCCCAAGGTCACAAAGCTGGTGAGTCACAAGGCTGAGCTCTGAAAGCAGGGCTGTTGCTCCTACTTCACTGGGGGATTTGGTAATCCTCCCAGCTCAAGCAAAGCCTGTAGCCCTCAGGAGGCTGCTCAGAAGCACTGAGATTATCTAATTGGGGGCACAGTCCAGGAAGGGCCAAAAGGGTTAAGATGGAAGGAAAAGGCTAGCTTCCCTGATCTGCTGGTCCCCATTCTCTTCACAGAGGAGTTCCAGGCATCAGGCAAAATCGGAGGACATCTGGTCTAACTGTCTTTCAAATGGACAGCTTTGAATTTTGCTTAATTCCCCAGCTTCAACACTTGCTTCCAGTTCCAATATTTACCATGTGACCACGAGTGAGTTACTTATCCTTTTTTTGCCTCAGCTTCCTCCAGGATAATAAAAATGCATATGCCATAGGGTGCTGTAAGGAGTAAGTATTAATACCTAAGAAGCTCTTAGACCAATGCTTGGTATGTAGTTAGTGTTCAATATCTTTTTTAAAATATGGAACGTCTCATGAGTTTGCATGTCATCCTCTCGCAGGGGCCATGCTAATCTTCTCTGTATTATTCCAACTTTGTTTAGTGTATGTGCTGCCAAGTGAGCACCATTTTATTTGTAGCATCAGTATTACTGCATCCTACTTGTGAGAAGAAGCCTCTTTAATACACAGGTTCCTAAGAGGGACTCTTACCATGTTAGTATCTTTTTGATGAGGTGAATTGAAGAAGAAGGTGCTAAAAATAGGTATATACAGGCTATCTGACAAAACAGTCAGGTAAGTCTCTGTGAATTCAAATGCCGGGGGATGCTGGTGCACCAGCTGCCAGACACAATCTAGGAAAAGCAGGAACACAGGAACCTGCATGAAAACAAGATACGTTACTTGGTGGGCAGAGCCCAGAGCAAGCCATCCTGAGTTCAGGGGGCAGCCACCTCAACAGCTGTGGAATAAGCACTTCTGAGGACTTCATTCTCTGGGAAACACAGAATACTCCATACCATCCCAAGTGAGAAATATGCTCAACTGAAATCACATGCTTGCGATTTACATGCCTATCTGTGTCAAAGACATTTCAAAGACGAAATATGTAAAAACCTCATTATGGATCAGTGTTACAGATGAGCATCTGCAATTGATTCTGATAATAGAAAACACTAACTTAGAACCCCAATTAAGCAAAATATTATCTCCTCCAAAAAAATTCCATTCTTCCATTAGTAGTACTGTATTACCAAACAATGTACTTAATTATGAGTGCTACTTTGAATTTTGTCAATGAAAAGTTACGGGGGGTGGGAGGGAACTTCTATTCCCCACCTGCCCACACACTAACTGACAGGGTTTGATCTTGGAGACCAACGTGGAAGGAGAAGCCTCCTGTCCACCCCGCAGTGAGGGCCCAGAAGACAACGGGGATGGGAGACAAGGGAGAAGCAGTGAAAGTGAGTTTCAAAATGTTTTCAAAATGCATCTTTACAAATCCACAAGCCTCATTTATTAGCTCCCAGAGGCGAGCCCTTGATGAGCAGGGAGAGTAGTTTCTAGTGTGCTTTATCATTTAGAAAGCGCTTATCCTCCCTGATTAACCAGTGATCCTGCCAGGGGGCTAAGAGAAGCTATGTTAGTCTCTCCCTTACAAAGGAGGAAAGGGAAGATTGGAGATGCCTGGAGGCCGGTCCCCAGGGTCTCACACAGGGCTCATGTTTCTTTTCAATTTTCCTTCAAAACTCCAATATGTCCATGTTGAGATGCTAAGAAACATTTGTACAGCAACTTTATTTCACACTTCATTTTATGCATAATATCATTAAATAGAGTGGAAAATATTTGAACTGCAATGTATAGGCAGGGCAATAGGCTCAGAAAATACAAGTGACTTCTCCAAGGGCTGGGTGAACAGCAGCAGATCAGGTCTCTTCTTAGACCTCAGACTCTTTCCCCATTAGACATGGTGCCTGCCAGTCCCCCTTTTCTCAAGATATACAAAAACATATGGGTAGGCGCAGTGGCTCATGTGTGTATTTCCAGCACTTTGAGAGGCTGAGGCAGATGGATCGCCTGAGCCCGGGAGTTTGAGACCAACCTGGGCAACATGGCAAAACCCATCTCTGCAAAAAATACAAAAATTAGCTAGGCATGGTAGTGTACACCTATAGTCCCAGCTACTCAGAAGGCTGAGGCAGGAGGATTGCTTGAGCCCAGGGGGTTGAAACTGCAGTAAGCCATGACTGTGCAACTGTATTCCAGCCTGGGCAACAGAGAGAGACCATGTCTCAAAAACAAAACAAGGCCAGGCGCTGTGGCTCACGCTTGTAATCCCAGCATTTTGGGAGGCTGACATGGGTGAATCACCTGAGGTCAAGAGTTCGATACCTGACCAACATGGTGAAACCCTGTCTCTACTAAAAATACAAAATTAGCCGGGAATGGAGGGGAATGCCTGTAATCCCAGCTACTTAAGAGGCTGAGGCAGGAGAATCACTTGAACCCAGGAAGAGGAGGTGGCAATGAGCCAAGATTGTGCCATTGCACTCCAGCCTGGGCAACACGAGCGAAACTCCTTCTCCAAAAAAAAAAAAAGAAAAGAAAAGAAAAGAAAAAAAACAACCATACTCGTCTCCACAAAGTATCAGCTCTCTCTGCCTCCCATGTTATGTAAATGCCATCAACCTTTCAAATTAGTTTCTTCAAGTCCCTTCCAGGACTGAAAGATGTGATTTCTATTCAGCTCAATGGGACACAGATAAGTACAGGCCAGGCCTGAAAGAAACCATCTTGCTCAGTGAGAGAGACCTGGATCACCCAAGGAACCTGCCAAGCCCTTACGATCAGGAGCCATGGCTCTGTGTGCCCACAGCATTCTGTGTCAAGCTGTTCTGTACCACAGACAGACATGCTGACTACCTGGAGTATGAAAAACCACAAGTAACACTGCTAGCATACGTCAGCGCTGCAGGTGAGTTGATTAAAGAAAGTTTGTGTGTTTTCATTTTTCCTTCCAACAATCATCAATAAGGCAGCCAAGGGAGTGTGTACAGCTGTCATCTAGACATGTACACCACAATCTGGGGGACTCATTTTCACCAGGTGACCTAAAATGCTAACTCTCCTGTGCCTGAACTTGGAGGTCCAGGCCTGGAGCGATTAGTCCAGACAGAAGCAGAAGAGGCTATGGGGACATTCCCACCCACGCTACCACTAAGGCCCTGGTAACAGATGGCATTAACATAACCCTGTGCTTTCTTCTTTTTTTTTTGGAGATGGAGTCTCATTCTGTCACCCAGGCTGGAATGCAGTGGCACAATCTTGGCTCACTGCAACCTCTGCCTCCCGGGTTTAAGTGATTCTCCTGCCTCAGCCTCCCAAGTAGCTGGGACTACAGGCATGTGCCACCACACCCGGCTAATTTTTTGTATTTTTAGTAGAGACGGGGTTTCACCGTGTTAGCCAGGATGGTGTCGACCTCCTGACCTTGTGACCCACCTGCCTTGGCCTCCCAAAGTCCTGGGATTACAGGTGGGAGCCACCGTGCCTGGCCCCTGTGCTTTATTTCAAAAAGGTTTATGTGCAAGGAAAATTGACTCTGAATGGCCAGGTGTGGCGGCTCATGCCTGTAATCCCAGCACTTTGGGAGGCTGAGGCAGGTGGGTCACTTGAGGTCAGGAGTTCAAGACCAGCCTGGCCAACATGGCGAAACCCCATCTCTACTAAAAATACAAAAAATTCGCCAGGCATGGTAGCGCACACCTGTAATGCCAATTACTAGGGAGGCTGAGGCAGGAGATAAGCTTAAACCCAGGAGGCAGAGGCTGCAGTGAGCTGAGACTGCACCACTGCACTCTAGCCTGTGCAACAGAGCAAGACTCCGTCTCAAAAAAAAAAAAAAAAAAAAAAAAATTGACTCTGAAAATCTGAAATCATTCAGTTCCAAAATCTAAAACTTTATTTATTTTGAGATAGGGTCTCACTGTCACTCAGGCTGGAGTGCAGTGGCACAATCATGGCTCACTGCAGCTTTGACCTCCCAGGCTCAAGCAATCCTCTCACCTCACCTTCCCTGGTAACTGGGACTGTAGTCAGGCATCACCATGCCCAGTTTATTTTATTTTATTTTTATTTTTGGTAGAGATGAGGTCTGTCTATGTTGCCCAGGCTGGTTTCAAACTCCTGTTCTCCCAAAGTGCTGGGATTACAGGTGCAAACCACCATGCCAGGCCTCCAATTTTTGGATTAAGGATGCTCAACCAGTAATGGAATGCAAATATTCCAAAATCCAAAACAATTTGAAATCTGAAACACTTCTGGTCCCATGACTTTCAGATAAGGGATGCTCAACCTATATTTTCTGTAGAAAACCTGCACCCTGAATATCTTTTTATTGCAAAGACTAATTTTGTAGAAAAGGTAGGAGTCTCCCTCACTGAGTTACTTTATATTTAAGTCTTATTAATAAATATTATTCCCACTGTGAAATATGTATACACCCTTGGTGTACACAATTTAGAAAACTCTGAACATACTTGTTAATATCTCTTTCCTCTGGGAAAGGTTTCACTATTATTTAAAGTATCCAAAGTCATCACACAATGAAACGATCCTAGTTTTCTTAACAAACCTGTTTGGCTTACACTTTGCAAGCAGCAATCCTACTACATCTGATGACAGGTATTAAATAAGAGATTCAGTAGTTCTCCCTATGACGGAAACAGTCTGCAGTGAGGGAACTCACCTCCTCTTTGTCGTTCTGGCGGAGATGGTTGCAGCGATCCAAGAAACAGTGGCCACCCATGACCCACTCCTTTTGGATGAGGCTCTGGAAACCAATTCTGGTTCTGCAGTGGGGGTCCATCATCAGTTGCACCAGAGAGGAAATGAGACAGCAGAGGTCGGATGCATTCTCCTCTAGGAGAGGCCCCAGCAGCAGTGCAAAGAGGAAGGAGGGCATAAAATGTTAAAAAGTTTCAGAATGCTCTCACTTGCACAGTTAAAAGTAGGATTCCCAACACCAAGGTCTACTATTAACAGTCATGTTCTTATTCCCTAAAGGCAAGGGCCAATAACAAAGGGTTATGTTTTCAGACTGAGACATGAACTGCTCTAGCATGTCTAGTACAGGTTCTGGCATACGCTGGTACTAAATGTGGATTTGCATACTGAATAAATAAATGCAGCACTGCAAAGCTACTTTCAGCTTGTGGGGGTCTAGGTGTGCCACACAGAGACAGGAGAATCACCCACATAATGATGACCTGCCAGGCTCCGCAGGCCAAGACTAAAGCTCTTCCCTCCTAGGGTGTGGAAGCCTCCGTCACTGAACTCCTCCTGGGGTGTGGACGCCTCCGTCACTGAACTCACTATTTCATGGCTCAGCTGCTTCTCAAACTCACCTCAGACATCCCTTCCTCCACTCCTAAGTCCTCCACTAACTCTACTTTGGAGAAAGTTTAATATTTCTTGACTGTAGCAAAATTATTTCTATTTTCAGCTCTAAGGCTCTGTCCTTTTCTGTTTGAGGGGCACAGAGGTGCCTGCTTCTCCTGCCTATCCTAGGAGACAAACTCTCCTTGGTCTACTTCTACATGCCCACCTGCCATGCACTTTCCAAAACTCATTTGATGAAAAGTCCACTCACATACTTGTTTAACATTCATGACTTAGAGCAAAAGAACCACATATCTTTATCCGTGCATTTGTCTTAAGAGTTTTAAGATCCTAAAAGTCAGGGTCTACATCCCCATAGTTTCCCTTTCACAAAAATAGGTGCAACTCGAGTTGTTTTTAAAAAATGTCCATGAGGAGGATGGTGCTAGTATCATTGGTGTTAGAGAAACTTAAGAATGAATTGTAGGCCGGGCGCGGTGGCTCATGCCTGTAATCCCAGCACTTTGGGAGGCCGAGGCGGGTGGATCACGATGTCAGGAGTTCGAGACCAGTCTGACCAACATGGTGAAACCCCGTCTCTACTAAAAATACAAAAATTAGCTGGGCATGGTGGTGCACGCCTGTAATCCCAGCTACTCAGGAGGCTGAGGCAGAAGAATCGCTTGAACCAGGGAGACAGAGGTTGCCGTGAGCTGAGATCGCACCATTGCACTCCAGCCTGGACAACAGAGGGAGACTCCGTCTCAAAAAAAAAAAAAAAAAGGAATGAATTGTAACTAGGGAGGTGCTCATATTGTGATAACTCTTTCATCCTGACCCCTATAATCACAGAGCACTATGGGTCCAAGCTTACACTTCTCCCTCCAGGAAACAAGCCTCAACTATGGGATGACATGGGTTACAGAGAAACAGATTTTCATTTTTGTCTTCTAGTGCTATCAATTTTCAAAACAAGTTTCTTTTTGGAGACAGAGTCTCACTCTGTCACCCAGGCTGGAGTGCAGCGGCACAATCTTGGCTCACTGCAACCTCTGCCTCCCAGATTAAAGCAATTCTTGTGCCTCAGCCTCCCGAGTAGCCAGGACTACAGGCACACAGGACCAAGCCCGACTAATTTTTGCATTATTAGTAGAGACAGGGTTTCGTCATGTTGGCCAGGCTGGTCTCCAACTCCTGGCCCCAAGTGATCTGCCTGCCTTGGCCTCCCAAAATTCTGGGATTACAGGTGTGAGCCACCGTGTCCAGCCACAAGTTTCATTTTTAAGGAACTCTTTCTTCTTGGATCTGAAGGGTGTTAATGATACTCCTGTGGGTAATGGAATGAAGGACTAAAAGAGATTTCCAAGGTGAGACAATTCAGTAGTCCATCCAGGAGTGAAGGATTTCTCAGTTCTATCAGTCAAAGATTCAAATTTCACTCTATGCAACTCTGTGATTAATGTGTTCTGGCCCTGAGTCCTTCCGTTTCTTAGACCTCCAATCTTTATCCCTCCCCCTTTTCACTAGTTGCTCAGTACTCAAATAATGCTCTGTTCTGTCACGGCTGGTTAGGTCTTTTTCAATAGCACACTTAAGGCAACTCTCTCATTAGGTTGCAAACTTCTTGAAGGCGGAACAGAGCCCTGCACATGGCAGAGGCTCAATAAATGTATTCAAATCTAAGTCGGTCAGCCAATATCAGATGGACAGAAGCCACAGAAAGATACATTTTCCAGGCTGCCCTTAGAACCCAGGGCCAACAGTTACAGAGTTTCAGAGAATGATAAAAGCTTGGGGGTATAAAGCATGAGACAATCTACTTAATTTATAGTGTGGGGCTAAACGAAACATAGTATTTCTAAACAGCAGGTAATATTTTAGCTCATATGTAACTAGTTACAGCACCAATCTTCCTTGCATGGTGGTTCACACTTGCTTTCGCACATTCTGAATGTTTGCATCATGTACAGCGAGTTAAGCCCACTGAGGAAAAGGAACTCACAGGCCACCAAGTTTCTATGGTAACTGAATAAAGTTGTCAACCACAAAGATATAAAAATAACAACCAAGTCATCCATGGATCTCTTTATATAAGAGGGATTCTAAAAAGATTTTAAATTTAACCAAGCTCAGTTAATATAAAACAAAATCCAAAACATTAAGAAATGTGAGCTTTGGTAAAGATACCAACAATTCCTTTGTGGACTGTGAATAGGTCTGCCAAGTGCAAAGTGAAAGAATTTTGTTTTAAACTCTAACACTGAAATCCAAGGCAAAGGATTCCAAGGTTAGGGAGAAAGGAATAGGAAGGATTTCTACACTAACTCACTCCTTTTGTTTCCAAATACATAAAGCTACATATACAAAAATTGAATCTCAAGTGAAGGAAAATGGAAATCATCCTTTGTGCTTCCTATATATTACCTAAAAGAAGAACATTCATGTTTTGTGCTTCCATACATTCTGTAATCTCTATTGCTTTTTTCAGGCAACGTCTGAATAGGAAAGAGACAAGAAAAAGGGGCATTAGTTCATGAGCTTGGTAACACAAACACTACGTAGTTGAGAGAGAGTCTGACTTGATCTTCAGTCTTCTCTCTTATTTTTTTTTTTTCCACGCTAAAATCCTCTAGAAAAGAAACGAACTTCCATTTACATTATTTAGATACTGGGATATATTCCTGCCCATTAGAAACTGAAAATTTTCAGGAGGGAATCCTAAAGTTGATGTGAAAATGCTCCTAGGTAATTTCTAAACTAGACATTCTTATTAAAAACTCACGCCTGAGTCTGCTGGTGAGCAAGATTCATAAAAATCCATACCTGGAGAATGTGAGACATGTCCAGATTGCTTTACTTAAGGTGACCTGCTGAATGTATCAGAATGGCTAAAAAGCTCCAATATGCTCAGAAATCCTTTTTGTCTCTCTCTACACGTTATTCCCTTTGCGACTGTTGCCGCTATTCCCAGCTTTGACTTGTATAACTGGGGGCCTTCACATCTGTTGTCTTCTGCTTGCAGACGTGTCCTCTCCTACCCCCCAGCCACCTTCCCTTCCCACACCCCGACTCTTCATCTGGCTAGAGATGCTCACCCTTCTCTGCCCACCCCACACAAAGAAGGGTTCTTTGCTTCCATAACATTTATCCCTGTCTGCCATTATATATTCAAATTATGAGACGTGTAGCAGGATGTCTGGAGCACAGTTCAGTGTCTGGAGGGCCAAGGCTCCTTTCCGCAGTACTCACTTCAGAATGGAGGGAGAATGTGTGTGAGGCAGTAGGAAGCATTGCTCTCCCTCCTGAAATGTAGCCTAGCATTAGAGCTACTCTGTCATCCTGATCATCATTTCTGTTTTGCACCTTTCTCTGCCATATCCTCTATTTAATGGCAACAGAGAAGAGCTATTCAATATAGAAAGTAGGAAAGGCAATATAACTGTTTTCTGGAACTCTCAACCTAACTCCCAAACCAAAAATAACTGACATTAATCATGGTTTTTAAAAACACAGATAATATATGCGTAAGACACAAGATTAAAAAAGGTATTCAGTGAAAAGTCAGTATCACTCCTGTTCTCACCCTCAGTTTCCTCCCTGGAGGCCAGCACTGCTGCCTCAATAATAATTCTGGGTTGTCACACTCTTTCTGTGTTTTTTCAATGCCTTGTCTGTAGAGTACATCTCCTTGTAAGCAGGTGGCATGTTCATAAATTCCTATCAAATGTGCACAGAAATAAGTAGCAAATATAAAATCTAGCTGTAGAACATGTGATCTAAGAATATTTAACTGTCAAATATCAAACAGTTAAATTATTTGTCGGTTTGATCTACTACCCTGAGTTATACAATTACAAAATTCATGAGTAAAACAATGGTTTGAAATACCTGATTATGTCAAGCCAGCTGCTACTTTCCAACAGAGAAAACCATTTTATATCTGTGTCCCAAAATTCAGTACTGTTATCTGAAAAAAGAAAAAGGAGTAAAGACGTCAGGTCATTGTTCACTGACATACTTGCCACAAAAATCCTGTGCTCCTCAACTGTGTCATTCAGATTAACAGTCCTGACTCAAACTGCAGAATCCAGGCACAGGACTCTATTTTGAGTAAGGGTCATTTCAAAACTTCAGCTGAAATGGTTTCTGAGCTGTAGGCCCCTAGAAGATTGTGGTGGTCAAAAAGAGATCTTTATTGCTGAAATAAGAAATTCCTACAATGCATACACAAAGCCATGGTTCATCCTGTAGGTCGACAGAGAGTAACATGCTTTAGGCAGAAATAGTTGACATCCAGGCTGTTAATTCTAGAAGTGGAAAATGCAACTGGATCCATCCTGATGCCACGGAAGCCTAAGGGTCAGGCTTAACTTTCATTAGAATCTCAATGCACAAGTTCGTCCACCCAGCATACCATGACATGACTCCTCCTACATGCCTTATAAAACAGAGAACCTTAAATCTTACAGAAATCCAATATATTTAAAAGCTGCAAACTCAGGCTGGGTGCTGTGGCTCATGCCTATAATCCCAGCACTATAATCCCAGAAGCAGGAAGATCACTTGAGGCCAGGAGTTTGAGGCTGCAGTGAGCTATGGTGGCGCCACTGCACCCTAGCCTTGGCAACAGAGTGAGACCCTGTTTCTAAAAAATGAAAAGAAAAAAAAAAAAAAAGGCCAGATGTGGTGGCTCACGCCTGTAATCCCTGCACTTTGGGAGGCGGAGGTGGGCGCGTCACCTGAGGTCAGAAGTTTGAGACCAGCCTGACCAACACAGAGAAACCCCGTCTCTACTAAAATACAAAAAAATTAGCTGGGGGTGGTGGCCCATGCCTGTAATCCCAGCCACTTGGGAGGCTGAGGCAGGAGAATTGCTTGAACCAGGGTGGCGGAGGTTACAGTGAGCTAAGATCGCACCATTGCACTCCAGCCTGGGCAACAAGAACAGAACTCCATCTCAAGAAAAAAAGAAAAAAAAAGTTGCAAACTCAAATCAATAAAAGACAGATATCCCTGAAAGTCCTGAGTGACTGAAATAAAACTAGAATGAGTGTCCTTGATTAAATAGTAAACATGTATTGTAATGTTTTAGTTTGAGTTAAGAGTCATACATTGCTGTTTCCCCTGCAAGAATATAAGCTCTTGGTGTTATATTTCTCTTTATCACCAACGACTAGCATAGTTAATATATACAAGGGGACTTCAAAAAGTATGTGAAAACATGGAATTAAAAGATGAAAATAAAAAATATAAACTTTATTTCTCAACATAAGCTCCATCAAGTTTAAGACACTCTCAACCCCCTCTAAAGAACTGAGGGTCCTGGGAATTTAACCATGTCATTGCAGTCTATTTTACATTATTAACTGAAAAAAAAAAATGTGTTCCCTTCAAGGATTTTTGTGTTTTTTTTGAGATGGAGTTTTGCTCTTGTCACCCAGGCTGGAGCGCAATGTGCAATGGCACAATCTCAGCTCACTGCAACCTCTGCCTCCCGGGTTCAAGCGATTCTTCTGTCTCAGCCTCCGGAGTAGCTGGCATTACAGGTGCCCACCACCATGCCTGGCTAATTTTTGTATTTTTAGTAGAGATGGGGTTTCACCATGTTGGCTAGGCTGGTCTTGAATTCCTGACCTCTGGTGATCCGCCCACCTCGGCCTCCCAAAGTGCTGCAATTATACACGTGAGCTACTACGCCCAGCCCCCTTTAAGGATTTTTTAAGATTAGAAAATGAAGTCAGAAGAAGCCAAATCAGACTTTTAAGGTAGATGCCTAATGAGTTCCCATCAAAACTCTTGCAAAATTGCCCTTGTTTGATAGGAGGAATGAGCAGTAGAGAAGGACCCTCTGATGAAGTCTTCCTGGGCATTTTTCTACAAAAGCGTTGGCCAACTTTCTTAAAACACTCTTATGGCTGGGCATGGTGGCTCATGCCTATAATCCCAGCACTTTGGGAGGCCGAGGAGGGTAGATCACTTGAGGTAAGGAGTTCAAGACCAGTCTGGCCAACATAGTGAAACCTTGCCTCTACTAAAAATACAAATATTAGCCGGGTGTGGTGGTGCACACCTGTAATTCCAGCTACTCAAGAGGCTGAGGCACAAGAATCACTTGAACCCAGGAGGTGGAGGTTGCAGTGAGCCAAGATCACACCACTGCACTCCAGCCTGGGCAACAGAGTGAGAATTTGTCTCAGAAAAAAAAAAACCTCTCATAAGCAGATGTTTTTGTGCTTTGGTCAGAAAAGTCAACAAGCAAAATGGCTGGAGCATCACAAAAAACTGTTGCCATGACCTTTGCTCTTGACATATCTGCTTTTGCCCTGGCTGGACCACTTCCACCTCTCGGTAGCCATTGCTTTGATTGTATTTTGTCTTCAGGATTGTACTGGCAAAGCCATGTTTCTTCTCCTGTTACAATTCTTCAAAGAAATGCTTCAGGATTTTGATCCCACTTATTTAAAATTTCTGTTGAAAGCTCTGCTCTCATCTGAAGCTGATCTGGGCACAATGGTTTCGGTGCCTATTGAGTAGACAGTTTTTTTTTTTTTTGAGATGGAGTCTTGCTCTGTCACCCAAGCTGGAGAGCAGTAGCGTGATCTTGGCTCACAGCAACCTCCACCTCTCGGGTTCATTTTCCTGCCTCAGCCCCTCCAAGTAGCTGGGATTACAGGCACCCACCACTACGTCCAGCTAATTTTTGTATTTTTAGCAGAGATGGGTTTCGCCATGTTAGCCGGGCTGGTCTCAAATTCCTGAACTCAAGTTATCCGCCCGTCTCAGCCTCCCAAAGTGCTGGATTACAGGCATGAGCCACTGCGCCCAGCAAGTAGGTTTGCTCAACTTTATCCTTTCAGTCAGAATTGTGTAGGCTGAACCAACTGAGATGTCTATGGAGTTGACTATTGTTTCTTCTGCTGTCGGTCCTCTTCAATTAGGGCAGAAACAAGATTAATTTTTTCCTCGCAAATTAACGTGGACAGTTTGCCACTGCAGGCTTTATCTTCAACATCATCTGCTCCTTCTTAAAAATGAGTTGTCCATTTGTAAACTGCTGATTTCTTTGGGGCACTGTCCCCGTAAACGTTTTCTAAAGCATCAATAATTTCACCATTCTTCCACCCAAGCTTCACCATAAATTCAATATTTGTTTTTGCTTCAATTTCAGCAGAATTCATGTTGCTCTAATAGGGCCTGTTTTCAAACTAATTTCTTACCCTTCTTAGCTCCTCAAACCAGATCCTGCTCAGGCATGTTATAGTAAGTTAGTATGAGTTATTTTGGGGTAAAAAAGTTTTGGAATTCATGTGTAGTTTTTTCATAATATACATTTTCCATGAACTTTTTGAAGACCCCTTGTTCAATGGAAACTCAATAAATGTCACTGAACGAATCCCAAAACAGTTAAGAATTTGCTAGGCTAAAAAGTCCAAGTTAGTCCAGGCAGCGGCTCATGCCTATAATCCCAGCACTTTGCAAGGCCAAAGTGGGAGGATTGCTTGAGCCCCGGAGTTCAAGATCAGTCTGGGCAACATGATGGGACTCTGTCTCTACAAAAAATGCAAAAATTAGCCAGGTGAGGAGGTGTGTGCCTGTAATCCCAGCTACTTGGGAGGCAGAGGTGGGAGGATCACTTGAGCCTGGGAGTTTTAAGGTTGCAGTGAGCTGTGATCATGCCACTGCACTCCAGTCTGGATGACAGAGGTGACACCCTGTCTCAAAAAACAATGTCCAAGTTAGGAAAAGTTATCTATAGGCATGACAAATCTCAGAGCGTAAAGACTCATTCCAGAATGAAGAGAATCAATGAGTGACTGAGCAGTGTTAAATATGAGGCACCAGTAGGCAGCCTGGGCAGGAAAATGGGGGTAGCTGGGACAGGCATATTTCATTTTCTACTTTGTACATTTCTGGTAGAACTTTTAATATTGTTAGAAACTGTATATTCCCAATCAGGGGAAAAAATTAAAGTATTTCCACTTTGGGAAAAAGTCTACAGAGGAAAACGAACATTATTCACTTTATAAATTACTGCAAGTCAACAAATATAAATACTACATAGTTCAAAAACTTTTAAAGGAAGAAACCAAAATGCTCACCACTGGGCAAATGGTATGCTGAGGAAGGGGAGAAGAGGAGGGTGGCCGTGTGATCACTGCCACAATAAGGAGGCGGGGAGGGAAAGCCTGGAGAGAGATGGAGAGGGAAGTGTGGTAATGGCAGCCAGACCCCTGGCTCCATGACATCACAGCCCTGGGCTCTGCGTACTAACGTAAGGAACCCAGGGAAAAGGCACCAACTTTCACCTGATCTGCATGGCATGTCTTTCCCCATATAACACAAAAGTTTTTGCTCAGTATTCTTCTCACCTATCAGAAATAGCTGTTTAAATTTAGAGTATGCAGTCTGGATTTCCTGCAGGGACAGGAAGTTGCTTGACAGGTCTTCCGTTTTAACAATTTCATAGGGTGGCCTGTGGATGGTCTTGTAAATTCTAGGTATCAAAAAGGAATATGAGATTAGAAGAGCAAACTCAAATTTTGCTTAAGGATTTACTACGTGCCACAATCTGTGTTAAGGGCTCAGTAGGCATTCTCCCATTTAATCTTCACCTACCAGGCAATTGCTGCAGGACTCCTGTTCCCAGTCAATGGGTGTGGAAATGGAGGTGCATAAAGTAAAACTGCCTGGCCCAAGATCATCCAATTTATAAACTGATAGAACCATGATTTGGACCAAGGCAATGTAACTCTGAGTCTATTCCTTCTTTTTTGTTTTAAATTCATCTACTTTGGGTTTTTTTTGCTTTGTTTTGTTTAATTTGAAACATGTAGAAAGTAGAATAGTATTGTGACATGTACCATGACCTAAATTTGACAACTGTTAACATTACAGACATCATGTCACCTCCCCACTGAAGACTTTAGCGTGCACCTCTAAAAACGACGCAGGTGACACTCTTAATTATTATGTTATACTGACTCCTTTCAAATTAACTCAAAATGATCACTGTTAAGTTGTATTCCCCTAGCATTAAGCTACCAGTAGGTAAACAGAAATAGACATACTACTAAGAGCTGTTCCCTGCTTCTTGGAAAACAAGAACTGAACAAGAACAAAATGTAGAACTAGTACTGACCCATCTAAGAAGCTCTTTTGGATTTGTAAAATGCCGTCATCCTGTTCTTTGGGCAGTGCTGACATTTTCAAAAGGGCACTTCCATTGTGGCAGGACCAACACCATATCTGTAGAAACAAATAAAGCTTTACCAGATACAATAAACACAACCCAACAGGGGACACATAAGCTTAGCATTTAAATGCATACAGGGAAATCTGTAACTTCAGTATGAAATGGCTGGACATACTTAACTTTATTAAGCCTGGGAGTATTTAGTCACAATGAAAAAGAATGATTTAGTTTTAAAAAATAAAACAGGTCTAGGTAGTCAGACACAGACTTATGGTCTAACATATACCTTTTGACTTATCATCAGCTGGTAACCCAGATGATGACAACAACAACATTATTATTATTAGGATAGTAGCTATCATTCAAGTGCAGCTTATTACATGTCAGGTATTTTACATGAATTAACTCATTTAATTGTTATGGTAACTCTCTGTGATGGGTATGATTATTTATCCCCCTTAACAGCAAGAAACTGAGGCTTGGAGAGATGGAAGGACTTTCCCAAGTTGTACAAAAGTAGCTGCAGTGTGACTCTAAAGGCTGTGTTGTATATGGATGGCAAAAAGGGGGCAACTCTCATTAGAGAAAATCCACACTAGGAAGAATGGAATGTTGGCTATTTGACATAACTGAATTCAAGACTTGTGACATGCAAGGCACCACATTAGGTTGTGAGAGGGCACAAAGATACTAAGATACTGTGTCTACCTTCAGAGCTTCGTTTCAAAAGGGAAATAAGCTTAGGAATATAAAATAAGGTAGAATGTATTATATAACTGAAGAAAGAAATTTCAAGGCACAACAAAAACAAGGCAAGGAGAAAGAAGTCACACGAGTGACCAACAGTGGCAGGTGAGGCTGTTTAGGCTTTCTTCTGCTTTGGCAATAGGTTAAGGTGTTCAGGCTTTTTTCAGGTTACAGTGGGGGGTTTTGTTTGTTTTTCAGGAACAAAAGGAGATTACAACTGATCTTGGGGCAAAGTAATCTGCCAGTGGAAGCTAGAATGGAGAAGAAAGACAGACTGGTTGGACGGGTGAGTACAGTTGTGGACTTTGAGTCCTGCATAAAGGCCTGGCTAAGTGCTTGAGAGTGGCTAAGGTCCAGCCCTTGCTTTGCTGACCAAGCCATTGGCCTGGGCTCAAAGATAAACCTGGAGGAAAGACCTTTTATAATTCGGCTTCCCAGAGGGAGCACCTTTTTGCCATTCATCTGCCAGGTATAAACCATGTGTTGGATATGCTAGCAGTGGCGTAGACCGAGAGTTAGAGATCGGCATGACAATCCAGGTGATATTGTGCACTACACTTAGAAAATCACAAAGGGGAACTGGTTCGGGATTTCTGGGGAAGGTGATGGAATCAGCACATATTGGGTGTCTAGCATCAACAGGACCTCCATGTGGAGATATTCAGGAGGCCCCTAAAATGAGAGGAAAACAGGCCTGGCACTCTAGAAATGGGAGCTGATGGTCTGCTGCAGTGGGGGAGCTGATGAGCCCAGCCAGAGAGCAAGGACAGAGTGACACAGAACTGCTTTAGGAACTGCTGTAAACAGCAACAACTCCTTTCTTGGGGCCAAGCCACACTTTAAGATTCATGATGAGGTGGAAGTGTTAGAACGTAAGATAATCAAAGGGCCCTTTGCTGTTCTTGCATTCCCTTTCTCAATGCCATGCTAAGCGATGTGCAGAAACCACCATACAGTTTTCAGCTCTCTGCCTAAGGTGGTGAAATTTTGGTGCCCAGGCAATTGTGCCCCCCTTAGTTGGCGCAGCTCACTTGGATAAAGGGGGAGATACTCTTAGCCATGACTGGATGGTGAGTTCTAAGAAACTAAGTGTTCTTAACCCTTTTTATCTCCTCTTCTGGAGCAGAAGGGCAGAAAGCATAGTCCCTTGGTGATATCCAACTATAACTCATTTTCCATCTGGGGCACATGTAATAACTCCTAATCATAACTGTCTCATCTCATCTGAGGCGTGAAGGGCCAACTCCCTTACTATTCTCTGCGTGAAACAGTAAATAGAAAAAAACAAAGTTCCTGGTCAAAGAGGCTTCTCACAGAAATTTAGCAAAAAGTCTTCTGTTGCTGCAATTTCTCTCTGGGAACTGTGAGGGCCAGAATTCTTAGTATGAGTGACTTCATAGGCAAGAATCACAGTTTGTTAATCTTATTTGTTTTTTTAAAAAAAGGATTACTCATTATTCGGTACATTTTAAGGTCCCTCTCTTTTTTTTTTTTTTTTTTTGAGACGGAGTCTCGCTCTGTCGCCCAGGCTGGAGTGCAGTGGCGGGATCTCGGCTCACTGCAAGCTCCGCCTCCCGGGTTCACGCCATTCTCCTGCCTCAGCCTCCCGAGTAGCTGGGACTACAGGCGCCCGCCACTACGCCCGGCTAATTTTTTGTATTTTTAGTAGAGACGGGGTTTCACCGTTTTACCTCGTGATCCGCCCGCCTCGGCCTCCCAAAGTGCTGGGATTAAGGTCCCTCTCTTAATAGAGTCAAAAACAGAGCTTTAATAGAACATCTACAGTCTGAGGCAGAAGGCAGCATAAGCAGGAAAGGACCATGAAGGAGGTCAGCAGGCCAAGGGAGTACAATGTTTCCAAGGCCAGGACAGGAACTTAAAAGACAATGTCATCAGAGTCAAACACTGCAGTCATGTAGGGAACTGGGGCTGCACACGACGTAAGGACTTCTGGGAGGGAAATGTCCACAGTGTGTGGGGAGTAGAAGTCATGTTACAAGAAGAAATGGTAGAGAAAACAAGTATAGACTCTTTAAATATACTTGGCAGTACAGGAAGAACAAGACAGCCGCTTGACTACGAAGGAAGTGCCTCAGGTTAAGGGAGACAGAAGGATGTCTTCAAAAACAGACATAGCAGAATAGACTTGGGAAAGGCAACCATAGAAGAGGGAAGGCCCATGGAACGGGACTCCAAACAAGGCAATCAAGAGCCCAGAGACCCAGATTCTGTATGAAGGAAACGGGAGCCCAGAGAGAAACAACAGGAGGCTGAGTAGAAGGAAGCTGAGGGAGTTCTTGTCGCTGTCCTGGATCCCACTGGACTAGGGAAAAGGTCGTCACTGGGAGTCAAGAATGATACAAAAAACTTAAAGGGATGAAAACCTGTTCACGCAGAGAACAATGATATAGGAACCAAAAAGAGTTAAATAGCATACTGCTGGGCGGGACAAAGCATCACCAGTGGTTTTCACGGTCCGTTAAGCACAGTTTGCTGTTTGGTTTGAATAATCCATAACAATATTCATTTGTCCCAGAGGAAAAAAAAGATACTCAGGGTTGAAGAACAGCGGCCAAAGCCTTTAGAATAGCGGCAAGGACATGAATAAACTGACCAATTATACAGGTCTTCCTTGAAAAGAAGTGAAGGCAGGGAAGAACAGACTGGGTGAAAAGCCAGGGTAGACAGCATGGAGATGTGGAAATGTTCTGGAACAAACTGTGGTAATGTTTGCACAACACTGAGAATATACTAAATGTCACTATGGGAAGTTTTATGTTATGTGTATTTTACCACAATTTTTAAAGATTCTGTGAATGAAATGAAAGATTGACTGTTCATAATCTAGCCCCAAACTATCTCTTCAATCTTAGCTTCCTATGCACCTACTGCAAATTACCTGTTACTATTGATTTGAGTGCTTATATGCCAGGTCCTAGAGAAAATGTATGTACATGCAATCTTGCAGATCAGTGGTTCTCAAACTTTTTGATCTTAGACCCCTTCATGTTCTTAAAAATTACTGAGGACCCTGAAGAGCTTGTGTCTACATAAGCTATAGCTATTGATATTTACCACATTAGAAATTAAAACTGAGAAACTTTTAAATACTAATTCATTTTAAAACAATAATTACCAATTACCTGTTACTGTAAATAATATTTTCCACCCAAAAACACATAGGAAGATAAACGGCTTTGTTTTATGTTTTTGCAAATCTCTTAAATATCTGGTTTAAGAGAAAACAGTTTGATGTTCTTATCTCTTAACAACAAAAATAAGCACAGAGAATAAGTGTAAATATGAGTAGGTTCAATAGGAATGAGAGAAAGAAGAACAAGGTAAAGACAAAGCCAGAGAGGGGCTTACGGACACTCACATCAACTAGTTGTCACATTTTCTGTAAGTCTCTTAAGAGTCAGAGAAGACACATGCTAAACAGAAAACAGTCCAGATCACCTAAAGCAGGGGTTTTCAACCTGCATTTTGTGCCCCCACCCCACCCACGAGGGGACATTTGGCAATACCTGGACATATTTGTTGGTTGTCACAACTCACGGGATAGGGGTGCTACTGGCACCTCAGAAAATGCTACTGGCAGTGCTGATGCTATATATTCTACAATAACAGCCCCCCACAACAAAGAATTATCTGGCCTAAAATGTCAATAGTGCCTAGGTTAAGAAAGCCTGTCTTAAAGAAAATGAAAAACAAGAGGCTATAGTGGTACTGTGTACATTTAAAAGGATTGGGTATTCTAGGTTAAGGTACATAATTTCACCGATTCCAAATATAAAATAAATTACCTTTTAATTTGCTTAAGGCCATTTCTGGTGATCTAAATGTTCCAGTCAAATGAAAATTTTATGTTAAAAGAAAAGAGAGGGAGAAAGAGAGAGAGAGATTGAGGGCTCTATGTTTCCCGGGTAGATGTATAAATTCCATCTTGTGTAATACTTTTTTGCTGTTCATTCACACAAACTCCACTGTAACTTTTGGGACGTATAAATATGGGAAGAACTAATGAAGTGAGAACACGTTCTCACAGTTTTCTTTTCTTTTCTTTCTGAGACAGAGTCTTACTCTGTTGCCCAGGCTACAGTGCAGTGGCACGATCACAGTTCACTGCAGCTTCGAACTCCTGGCTCAAGGGATCCTCCCACCTCAGACGCCAGAGTAGCTGGGACTATGGGCATGTGCCACCTTACCAGGCTAATTTTAAAAAATTTTTTGTAGAGATGGAGTCTCGCTTTGTCGCCCAGGCTGATCTCAAACTCCCGGGTTCAAGCGATCTGCCTGCCTCGGTCTCCCAACGTGCTGGGATTATAGGCGTGAGCCACTACGCCCTGCATTTCCCACAGTTTCTATCAAAGTAATGCCTCAGGCTCCTCACTCGAATCTTATCAGAATATTTGCTACTTCTCAGGCCCAAGGCCTGGCTAGAATGCAGAGTATCTACATTTCATATACTGCAGGGATGGAGAAGCAGCCTATTCCTACATATGTGAACAGTTCACCTCTGTTTCTTCCCACAGAGCATATCCTCTTTTCCAGACCCCTCTATGAAAGACTGAAAGATAGAGACTCTCATTTTCATTCCTCTAAAGCATCCGTTTTCGAAGTGTAGTATACACTACGCTGGGAGGTCTCAAGATCCTTTCAGGTGGTCTGAGAGGCCACAGCTATTTTCATAATAACGCTAAGATATAATTTGTCATATGTACCGTGGTGACTTTTGGTACAAAAGCAGTGGTGGTAAAATTGCTGGTGACAGTACCAATCAAGGCAGGGCCACCCAACTGTACTGATGCTCACTGTATTCTTCACTGCCACACCAGCAGAAAATAAAAAGTTTCCCTTCAGAATGTCCTTAATAAAGAGCTAAAAATTATGAATTTTATTCATTGTGACCAACTCTGTCCCCAAAACATGCTTTTAAACATCTGAATCAGTGGCATATATTTAGAAATTAGGAAAACTCACATAAAGATCTGTATCTAGGCCAGGCATGGTGGCTCTCAACACTTTGGGAGGCCGAGGCGGGTGGATCACCTGAGGCCTGGAGTTTGAGACCAGCCTGGTCAACATGGCGAAACCCCGTCTCTACTAAAAACACAAAAAATTAGCTGGGCCTGGTGGTGGGTGCCTCTAATCCCAGTTACTCGGGAGGCTGAGGCAGGAGAATTGCTTGAACTTGGGAGGCAGAGGCTGCAGTGAGCAGAGATTGGGCCATTGCACTCCAGCCTGGGCAACAAGAGCAAAACTCCGTCTAAAAAAAACAAAAATAAAAACAAAACAAAACAAAAATCTGTATCTATGGCTTCTCCTGAAAAATCAGGACATCTGGCAACACTTGGCTCATATTCCCATGTGGCATATACTGCCTAGCACTGAAGAGATGTCCCCCTAGACCAGGCGGAGGGCCTCTGGTTCACCACAAGGTCATACTCATTACCTGCTTGGACTCCATGGGCTTCTGGGCACGTGACCCTGCTTAACCATACCTCCACCCATATGGGAGTGACCCTTTTGGTGAACCAGCTGTGCACACAGCACAGCACTTATTTATAATTCTCATTCCTTACTAAATACCCTGCAGGCCTGGCAATTCCCAACCACCAATTAGAAACCGGAGTAACTGCCAGAGTCTTGCTTTCTTTGATCAGTGACACATTAAATATGGCTCCAATCCCACTCTATTCTGTGAAAACTAAGCAGCACTCCATGTTGTCTCTGGGAGAAAACACCACCATGCCCATACAAAGATTAACAGTGTGGGCCAAAAAGAAGCTTAAATCCTACTACCCTTGGCGTGCTTTGGCTCAGGTTCAAAATGACTTAGTGTTAAACCGGGCTTGCTTTCAACACCAGACAGATCTATGATCCTCTTAAAGCTCTGTTCATGTCTCTTCTAAAAACTCAAGTGCATTTGTGAAAACTTTAGAACTCTGTCCCAATGACCTTTAACAGACTCTTCTAGGGAGTCCCTAAGATATTTCTGGATTGTTCTTGGACTGAAAACAAACTCTAGAACAAAAGCCAAGGGCTTTCAGTAGGATCATTTTGCCAGGATAGACCAATGCACAACCCACACCTTTCAGGGTTCCCAGATGCACTTACTGGTATGCCATGACCCTGAAAGCGCTGCACATTCTCTTCAGGAAGAGGGGTGGGGACAACAAAGTATGCTGGCAATCTAGAAGAAAGAAATGTCATCAAGTTTTAGTACAACACTTAATTCACAAAATATGAAAGCTCAACTTCAATGGATACGATGAATACAAGCAGAGTGTTAAGCAGATGGGACCATATTTCCCTGTTCAGAACCAGCTCAGAGGAACTGCTGCTTTCGGTGTGGCGTGAAGTACTCTGGACAAATCAGTGGGGAATCTAAGTTCAAACTGTGGCTCTGCCTGCAATTCTGTACAACCCCAGGTAAGTTATTCTACCTCTCTGGGTCTGTTTCCTCTTTCAAAAATGAGGGGATAGGAAAATATGATACCTAAAAGCATCGAATTCTGAAATTGGGAGTATTGTTCTCATATAGTAGCCATATAAGCACCTGTGTTGTTTTCAGTTAAACTAATAGGAAAAACAGTAATTATGAGGTTTGCTGCCCAGACATTTTATCAAGTGCTCTGACAAGAACATTTAAGTGCTACTGTGTACCAACCACTGTTCTAATTACTTAACACCTCTTATCTAATATACTTACCAATAAGTACTGAACATTACTTATCGATTTAATCTTCCCAACAATTCTATGAGATATGTAATATTATTTCCATCTTACAGATAAAGAAACTGAGACACTATTCTGCTAAGACTCTTCCCTGGTTACACAACTAGTTAGCACACAGTGCAGCTGGGACCTGAACCCAAGCATTGGGACTTCAACTTCTATAGGAGAAAATTTAGTCTCTAAAAAGAACAAACTTGTTAAGTAGTAGGACATGGTAGAATGAAAGATCAAAATTACTTGGGGACATCATCTCTCAGGCAGCAGATGTAGGTTTCTGTTAACAAGAAAACTGCCTAAGTTTCTATCACTGTGAAGCTATAAGAATCTGTAAGCATCTTTCCCTCAAAGAGCTTGAAATAAAGCCTCACAAGAAATAAGGTGCTTATGGTGTTAAGTTACAATGGAAAATAATCAATGGCATTTGTATGCATGCTGCATGTGTGATGTAGATCAGTTCATAGGAGATGGGGCAACAAATAAATATCACCATGGGGATGTGATCATCAAAACCCAGGCTGTGGAAAACTGTCAGTCAAGTTTCTTCAACATATTGCAAGAAAAATATGATGGCTTGAAAATCTATAGATGAAGCAATTTAACAAACCTACCAATCTCATTTAATCTTGATTACTTTTAAAAAAAGATTAAAAAGATGACAGAGAAAGGGTTTAAAAATTTGTAAGACACGGCTGGACGCAGTGGCTCACACCTGTAATCCAGCACTTTGGGAGGCTGAGGCATGGTGGCACACGCCTATAATCCCAACACTTTGGGGGGCCAAGGTGGGAGGGCTGCTTGAGGCCAGGAGCTTGAGACTAGCCTTGGCAACATAGTGAGACCCCATCTCCACAAAAAAATTAAAAAAAATTAGCTGGACGAAGTGGCACACACCTGTAGTCCCAGCTACTTGGGAGGATCACTTGAGCCTCCAGGAATTCAAGGCTGCAATGAGCCATCACTGTGCTACTGCACTTAAGCCTGGGTGACCCTGTCTTTAAAAAATTAAAATTAAAACAAGATAATCCAAGAGAGGGTGAAGCAGGTGGGGGTATAGAGAAAACAAAATTGGCCATCAGTTGATAACTGTTGAGTCTGGGTATTTTAGGGTAAATGGGAATTCATCATATCTTCTTTCCTTTTATACTACTTGAAATTTTGCATTTAAAAAATCATCAGCCGGGCATGGTGGCTCACACCTATAATCCCAGAACTTTGGGAGGCTGAGGTGGGTGTATCATGAGGCGAGGAGTTTGAGACCAGTCTGGCCAAGATGGTGAAACCTTGAATCTACTAAAAATACAAAAGTTAGCTGGGCATGGTGGCGGGTGCCTGTAATCCCAGCTACTCGAGAGGCTGAAGCAGAGGAATCGCTGAACCTGTGAGGTGGAGCTTGCAGTGAGCCAAGATTGCGCCACTCTACTCTAGCCTGGGCAACAGAGCAAAACTCTGTCTCAAAAAAACAAACAAACAAACAAACAAACAAACAACAACAAAAAACTTGGACTGGGCATGGTAGCTCACATTGTAATATCACCTGAGTTCAGGAGTTCAAGACCAGCCTGGGCAACACGGCAAAATCCCCCTCGCTACTAAAAATATAAAAATACAAATATAAATAAAATGTAGATATAAGTTTTTTGTAGTCATATAAAATATAAAAAATTGAGCCGAGCATAGTGGCGGGCACCTATGGTCCCAGCTACTCAGGAGACTGAGGTGGAAGAATCGCTTGAGCCCAGGGGGTAGAGGTTGCAGTGAGCAGAGATCGTGCCACTGCACTCCAGCCTGGGTGACACAGTGAGACCCTGTCTCAAAAAAAAAAATGCAAAACCAAAAAATCTTAAAAGTAATTAATGAAGAAAAAGTTCCAATAAGATTGTGATAGAAAACCAGGTTTGGAAACTAATGGTCACTAAGACACTTCAAACCATCAAAACTGTGAAGAATGTTTGCCTTCTGAAGTTCTGAAGTACTTGAAATATTTTCTTATAAGTCTGACTGAATGGGTGACTGGTAAGGCATCCCTTTTTCAGGTGTAGTCATTGAAGTAAAAACCTCTCCGCAGATCAACTGCTCTTAAACTCAGGCTGCTCATTCAAATCAAGTGGGAAGATTAAAAGATTACCAATGTCCAGGCTCCATCCAAGAACTATTAAATCAGAAGCTTAAAAGCTCTCCAGGTAAGCAGTTGGGATGAACACTGTTGTTCCAGAAGATCCTGCTACTCACAGTTTCAGCAGCATGACCTGGAAGCTGATGAGGACTGCAGACGCTCTAGCCTCCCCCAACCTACTGAGTCAGATTCTGAATATTAGACAAGAGCCTCCAGCGATTAGACACACATTAAATGGAGACGCACTGCTCTAGATGGTAGCTTACAAACAGGCCACTGTTTCTCAACCTTTTCAGGACAGTCATCTGTGCAGTTGTTTAAACCAGATCCTGAGCTCCTTCCTCAGTGGCTCATGCTATAAAGCTGGACTGGGGCCCCATGGTTTTAAAAAATTTCCATGTCTTCCCCAACTAGTGAGGTTGAATATTTTACACTGTTAGTTCATCGGTGAGTTTTCTTATAGATGGTCTTTCACAAAAAAAAAAAAAAAAAAAAAAGTCAGAACCAAATGTATTGGCAAATATCCCATCCATCACCGAGCAGAGAAGGCTGTACAGAGACGAAGAGCACTGCAGTCAGTGAGAGGTGTGGAGGGTGTCCTCTCCTGACCACTTAATTCCAGGTGGATTCCATGGAGTCCCCACTGTGACATTCCCATTGGACACAAGCAATCAATCCTCCCTCCTTGGAAAGCAGTCATTTCAGTCATTAAGATGAGCTTAGAACACAAAGTAAACAGTTCCTGCAAATACCAGATGACTTTACTCATGGAAAATTGTGTATCTACTCAGGCACAACCTCCCAGAACAGCAATGTCTTCCTGTGCCAGCAACAGCTCCTAGGTCCCTCTGTGTGGTACACACTCCACAGGGCCACATACCATCCTATGCGTTTACAGGGAAGTGGGATGGGAGAAAGGTTTGTTAGGAGGAGAATGAAAAAGAGAAGGAAGAGACCTGTGGTACCAGAATAGCCAGCTCTGACCTTGTGGGAAAGTGAAGTAGACAGTTCCTTGTTCTTACCCAAACTGACGCAGGTCCCCCTCTAAATACAAATGGGGCTTTTCCTTCTGTCTCCTATTTATTGAGCTCCTCTTAGAAGCCAGCCACCGTGTTACACTGAGGACATAACAATGGGCAAAAACAGCATCCTTTAACTTCACAGAGCTGTAGGTTGCAGAAACTCACATTAACCAAATGATGATACAAAATAACAACAAACTTGCCATTGCAGGAAGCGCTGTGAAGAGGGGCAGACAGTGCAATGAAAACTCACAAGGACACCTGACTTAGCCTTGGGAAAGCTTGCAACTTAAGTGGTACCTGGGGCTGGGCATAGTGGCTCAAGCCTGTAATCCCAGCACTTTGGGAGGCTGAGGCAGGCGGATCACTTGAGGTCAGGAGTTCAAGACCAGCCTGGCCAACATGGTGAAACCCCGTCTCTACCAAAAATACAAAAATTAGCTGGGCGTGGTGGCGCATGCCTGTAATCCCAGATACTTGGGAGGCTGAGGCAGGAGAATCGCTTGAACCTGGGAGGCGGAGGTTGCAGTGAGCCGAGATCACACCACTGCACTCCAGCCTGGGTGACAGAGTGAGACTCAGTCTCCCAAAAAAAAAAAAAAAAAAAGCGGTACCTGGGGTAAGATCCGACTGATGAAGTGGAGTTAATTATACTTGTGCAGCTAGAAGCAAAAAGGACTTCCAGACAGGAGCCTGTGGGTAAGACCTGTGGCAGGGAGGTCAGTATGGCCAGAGGGGTGGGACACAAAGCTGCAGTCAAACCATGAAGGGCCTTGAGAGTGCTTGTTGAGGGCTCTGTTCTATACCAAGAACAGCGGGAAGCCACTGAAGCCAGGGACAAGTGCCATGAGATGCATGTGGAGTAGCCTGCTTGGCATGCGACATGGAGAATGGATGCTGGGGCACCAGTGGATGGGGGAGACCACGGAGCAGCGACTACAGTGGTCTGGAGTGAAACAAACCACAGCTTTTCCTGTATATTTCTGACATGCTAACACCTATGCAAATGCCAACTGATTAGTATGTGGCAGGATTTTTTTTAAAAACAATTCTGGGAACTTATGTTAGTATCAACATCTTATTACAAACTATCATCTCCTAGGAGCAGGGGTTTCTAACTTCTTTCTGAGCAAGAGCTAGCTTTATCCTTTCAAGCTTTAAAACCAGGAAAGAGAAAAGAACAGGGTGTGGCTGACAATGAGGTTCTTGGTGGGGGTCAGGACCCTGGCAGGCCCTTCCCCACTGCCACCACAGCTCACACTGTGAAGGCACTGCAGGGCGGGGGGGAGGGGGACCAGTGGCAGCAACCTGATAAATACTGAGAGTGATCAGAATCAAAACTGATTACTGAAGAGGCCTATCAGAACCATGATACAAAGAGCTCTACAAAAATACAAAGTTGTATGAATCTGTTAGCAGGGTGTTAGGGAGTATGTTCCAAAATGATAACATTCAAGTTTCTGAAAACAGATTATACAGTCATGCTTTAAAAATGTAGGTCAGCCAGGCGCAGTGGCTCACGCGTGTAATCCCAGCACTTTGGGAGGCTGAGGCAGGCAGATCACTTGAGGTCAGGAGTTCAAGACCAGCCTGGCCAACATTGTGAAACCCCATCTCTACTAAAAATACAAAAATTAGTGGGGCGTGGTGGCAGGCGCCTGTAATCCCAGCTACTCAAGAGGCTGAGGCAGGAGAATCACTTGAACCCAGGAGGCAGAGGTTGCGGTGAGCCGAGATAGCACCACTGCACTTCAGCCTGGGTGACAGAGTGAGACTCAGTCTCAAAAAAACATGTAGGTCAGATCATGTCTGCTTCTACTCAGCCTCCCTCTCACTGTCCTCCCATCAAAGTCTCTGGGCCCATCATCTCCCACTCCTCTCCCTAGCTTGCTCCTCCCCCATCCCTGGGCACCTTGCTGTTCCTCCCCCAGGCCTTTGCTCTTACTCCTCCCTCCACCTGGAATGCTCCTCCCTCGGGTGTCCTCTGACTCAAGCTTTCACTTCCTTTACGACTATGCTTACAAGCCACCATGCAAAACCTTACTTCCACCATGTAAAACCTTCCTGACCAACCCTCCCACCATCACCTCCAGCACTCCCTAACCATGTGCTGGATCTGATTTTCTCCATAGCACTTATCTATTAACATGCTATAATTTACTTCTTTATTCTACCATCATCTTCCTCCCTCCAGAATGATAGCTCCAAGAGGGCAGAGGTTTTCAGGTGCCCTGTTGACTGCTGCCATCTCTAATAGCTAGGACACTGCCAAGCAAATGGAAGGCAGTCAAAAATTTTTGGTGAATGAATAAAAGAAGTGCTCAATAAAAGGGAAGAAAAAGGCCGGGCGCAATGGCTCACACCTGTAATCCCAGCACTTTGGGAGGCCGAGGCGGGCAGATCACAAGGTCAGGAGATCAAGACCATCCTGGCTAACAGGGTGAAACCCTGTCTCTACTAAAAACACAAAAAATTAGCCAGGCGTGGCGGCAGGTGCCTGTAGTCCAAGCTACTCAGGAGGCTGAGGCAGGAGAATGGCGTGAACCCAGGAGGCGGAGCTTACAGTGGACCGAGATCACGCCACTGCACTCCAGCCTGGGGGACAGAGAGAGACCCCATCTTAAAATGAATAATAAATAAGTACATAATAAAAAGCTAGTATTGATGTGGAGGAAGAAACTCTCATACACTGTTGGTAGGAATATAAAATGGAACAGTCTCTGTGAAAAAGTCTGTGAGTGCCTCAAAAGGGTAAACACAAATTTCCACAGGATCTGGCAGTCCACTTCTAGGTAATATACCCAAGAAAAATAAAAACATACATCTACACAAAAATTTATAATTGAATGTTCATATCAATATTATTCATGGCCAGGCATGATGGCTCATGCCTGTAATCCTAGAAGTTTGGAAGGCCGAGGTGAGAGGATCGCTTGAGCCCAGGAGTTCAAAACCAGCCTGGGCAACATGGTGAAACCCCATCTCTACAAAAAGCAGAAAAATTAGACAGGCATGGTGGTGCACGCCTGTGGTCCCAGCTACTCAGGAGGCTGAGGTGGGAGAATCACTTGAGCCGAGACGGAGGTTGCAGTGAGCCGAGATGGCACCACTGCACTCCAGCATGGTGCAGCATAGGTGTCGGAGCAAGACCCTGTCTCAAACAAAAACAAAAACAAAAACAAAAAACCAAAAAACATTATTCAAAGAGCCAAAAAGTGAAAATAATCCAATAGTCCATCAACTAATAGATGGATAAATTAAATGTGCTATATCCACATTATGGAACATTACTTGGCAATAAAAAAGAATGAGATTCTGATACAAGCTGCAAAATAAACAGACTTTGAAAACATCATGCTAAGTGAAAGAACCAAGTCATAAAAGATCACATATGATATGATTCCATTTATATGAAATGTTCACAACAGGCAAGTCTATAGTGATAGAAAGTAGATTAGTGGTTGTCTAGGACTGGGGAAGAAAGAGAGGTATTCGGGGAAAATGGGGAGTGACAGCCAATGGGTATGGAGTTTCTTTTTGGGAGGATGAAAATGTTCTAAATTGACTGTGGTGATGACTGCACAACCCTGTGAATATACTAAAAAACACTGTACACTTTTAATGGGTGAATTGTACAGCATGTGCCCAGCATGGAAAGCTTACCTCTCACAGACTTTATAGCCTTCGTTGACACTCACTGCTTTGTACTTCATGTTGCCTTTGGTCCGTTCCAGTTCCCAACACCAGTCCTTAAGTGTGTCAAACATTACGGTATGGTTCTTGGGATCAGTGACTAAGAGAACAAAATGTAAAAGACAATAAAATCTTTCCATGAAGCACTGGTGCTTTTATTATGTGAAAGTCCCTCCTTAGGTTTTGGTTTCCTCCACTAAGCCCATTTTTATCCAAGCAGAATGAATTGATTGCTTAATCCTAACCTTGTTCCATTTTTTGTCATTAATCCAAAATTATGACTGAGTCTCTTTTTTTTTTTTTTTTGAGATGGAGTCTTGCTCTACTGCCCCTGCTGGAGTGCAGTGGCCAGTGGTGCCATCTTGGCTTACTGCAACCTCCGCCTGCCAGGTTAAAGTGATTCTCCCGCCTTAGCCTCATGAGTAGCTGGGACTACAGGAACGCACCACCACATATGGCTAATTTTTGTATTTTTAGTAGAGACGGGGTTTCACCATGTTGGCCAGGTTGGCCTCAAACTCCTGACCTCAAGTGATCCACCTGCCTCAGGTGCCCAAAGTGCTGGGATTACAGGAGTGAGCCATCGCGCCAGGCCAGCTGTCTTTTTACATTGTAGGAACTGAGTTCCATTCCTTGGAAAAGTAATTTATAGCTCCATTTCTAGTCATCTGACCATGAGTTAATTTATATAACACAAAAAGATCATGTGAAGCACTAAAAGACAGGCTTGGCACAAATGCTAAAGTGACAAAATATTTTTAGCCCTGCCAATGTGTGCATAAGACGGCCAACTAATTTGAATAGTATCTCAGGATCTTCAATGTAAATCCTCCTTCAGTTTGAAGATGCACTGCTTGTAAGAGGATTTGTCTAGTGTGACAACCGGTTCCTGAAGGCCATAAACAGATGATGGCCATGGTGAGGATCAGGGCCTGCTAGCCAAGGCTGAATCATGGTTATGGGTACATACTTCTATCCCCAACCCGGCCCTGCCACTACCTGCTAGGACAAAATGCCCTGGAGCACCGCTCTTGCAGCCTAGCAGATGTGTCCTTGGTCTTCTCCCAAGCCACAGCACTGCTTGCCGGGTATTTATACATATACCACAATAGTCTTGAGTATATACACAAATTCTATCACAAATAGTTCAAGTCTTTGCACATCTAAAAAACCAAGCCTTCTGGGAAAAACGAAGGGTTTACAAAAACTACCCCAGCTCCTTTTCATAAAACCAGATCATAGCAAAAATAAGAATAATGATGATGATAATAGTGCTTATATAGCACTTACTAGGTACCAGGTACTGTTCTGAGCATATTACTTTTTTTTTTTTTTTGAGACGGAGTCTCGCTCTTTCGCCCAGGCTGGAGTGCAGCGGCGTGATCTCAGCTCACTGCAACCTCTGCCTCCCAGGTTCAAGCGATTCTCCTGCCTCGGCCTCCTGAATAGCTGGGATTATAGGCACCCACCAACACGCCTGGCTAATTTTTGTATTTTTAGTAGAGACGGGGTTTCACCATTTTGGCCAGGCTGGTCTTGAACTCCTGACCTCATGATCCACCCACCTCGGCCTCCCAAAGTGCTGGGATTACAGGTATGCAACACCACACCCAGCCTATATTACATTTTATTAACTCAATCCTCACAACCCTATAGAATAGATAATACAATAGGTAAGATCATTTCCTCCATTTTACAGATATAGCACAGAAAGGTCAAGTAACTTGCCTACGTCACAAAGCTAGGCAATGATGGAACTGGGATTCAAACCCAGGAAACTATAAAAGAAATTTCCATAAAGTTCTAATCCTGCCCCTCCAAACCCCACCAAAAAAAAAAAAATCCCCATGGATATAAGGTAGTAACAACATTCCCATTTACCACAGTAGGCCATCTTCTAGGCAATGCAAGGAAGTCCTTCCCTAAAATGCCATGTCATAAACATTTAGGACCTTCCAACCAAAACACATTTGTGAATTATGAAGCCAGGGAATAATTAAAGGTATTCAAATTGCGAAACACCCACCTCTACAAACCCCTATTCAATGAAAAAGCTATTTGGTCAATTAGCATCTACGAGTTATAACCTTTACTTCTCAAAACAAATGAGGGCTGGAAGGAAGTAGAAGAAGAGTGGAATTAAACCAGAATAAAAGATGCTATTAATACATATCCTGGGCCTCTGGCACAAAAAGCCACCAGAAGGTAATGAAACTGCCAAGGTCGATCAAGGTAAGGGTTTTGGCATGCTAATCCACATATGTTGGCAGGCCGAGAAAGTGTCCTATGCTGGGTACAGAACAAAAATCAGGATACAAGGAAAATCAGAATTCCTGAAAATAGATATGATTTTGCAAATGTGCACTCAATAAATGTTTATACAAATTATAGCAATCAACAAGTCATATTTGTATATGTCATATTGCCACAAACTCTAAGACAGCACCCAGTTAATCAGCACTTGTATATATAGTTGCAGTAAAAATCTGTCATTCACAAAGATAAACTGAATGAATTAAGGGATAAATTTTATGTTCAACCTAATATTACTGGGAAGTGTATTTTATGTCAGTGTAATTCTCTAAGCATAATCTGTCCTCAATAATATGCAGTTTTACTCTTAATTAATTCCCAATTAATGACTGCACCTTATGTGCCACCCACTAACAATTTATAATTCTCACAAGACTTATTGCTGCTATTTTTAAAATAAGAAAGCAGAGGTTTTCTTATTTTAACAGAGTTAAGTGTCATCCCCAGGATCACACAGCTGGAAAACAGCAAGGCCAGGATTTGAACACAGGTCAAATGGACACCAAAATCTATCTATACCTTTTCTATGAAATCACCATAGCTCCCAAAATGCAGCATGCTCTCTGAGATAGCCACATCTCTATACACGCCAATCCCTCTGCCCAAAATACTCCTTTAAGCCTACCAGATGCTCCACTATCTGCTAAGGCCCAGACTTTTCCCCTCGATAGTCCACCCTCCCCCAGAGGGTGGGCGCCTCCACAGAGGACACATCACTCAGCTTCCTCTCCTATATGACTTTACGTTTTTGTTTTGTTTTGTTTTGTTTTTTAACTTTACGCTTCTTGAGGGCAAGGATTTAGTCCTGTTTATCTCCATATACCCACAGAACCCGGCTTACAGCAAGCAGTCAATACATATTTACTAAAAGAATGGATAGTGACAAAGCAACTCTGCCTTCCAGAAAGCCTTATGACAAAGCCTTGTGTGCTTTTTAAAAGAAACTGCTAGGCTGGGCACGGTGGCTCATGCCTGTAATCCCAGCACTTTGGGAGGCCAAGGCGGGCAGATCACTTCAGGTCAGGAGTTCGAAATCAGCCTGGCCAACATAGTGAAACCCTGTCTCTACCAAAAATACAAAAATTAGCCACATGTGGTGGCATGCGCCTGTAATCCTAGCTAATCAGGAGGCTGAGGCAGGAGAATCACTTAAACCCAGGAGGTGGAGGTTGCAGTGAGCCGAGATCCCGCCACTGCACTCCAGCCTGGGTAACAGTGTGAGAGTCGTCTCAAAAAAAAAAAACAACCAACAACAACAAAAAAAAACTGCCACTTCCCTGACAAAAAGTACATAGGACTCAGGATCACTAAACATCAGCTTCATGTTAAGAGTAATGGATGGAGCCGGGCGAGCTGGCTCATACCTGTAATCCCAGCACTTTGGGAGGCCAAGGCAGGAGGATCACGAGATCAGGAGTTAGAGACCAGCCTGGCCAACATGGTGAAACCCCGTCTCTACTAAAAATACAAAAAAATTAGCTGGGCATGGTGGCGCACACCTGTAATCCCAGCTACTCAGGAGGCTGAGGCAGGAGAATTGCTTGAACCTGGGAGGCAGAAGTTGCAGTGAGCCAAGATCACGCCAGTGCACTCTAGCCTGGGCAACAGAGCAAGACCCTGTCTTGAAGAAAAATAAAAGAGTAACGGACGGGCCCTTGAACCTGTAATCCCATCACTTTGGGAGGCCGAGGCCGTGGATCACCTGAGGTAAGGAGTTCAAGAGCAGCCTGGCCAACATGGTAAAACCCCGTCTCTACTAAAAATACAAAAATTAGCCGGGCGTGGTGGTGTGTGCTTGTAATCCCAGCTCCTCGGGAGGCTAAGGTGGGAGAATTGCTTGAACCCGGAAGGTGGAGGTTGCAGTGAGCCAAGATCGTGCCACTGCACTCCAGCCTGGGCGACAGTGGGAGACTCCATCTCAGAAAAAAAAAAAAAAAAAAAGAGTAATGGACAGAACCAAGTGAACAGACTGAGGTGAAAGAACAAGAGGAAGAAAACAGACATCTGTGAAAACATGTCCAATGCTAGGCATTGTTAATGGCTAATTCAGATGACCAGTTTTGTTCTTAAAAGATTGCTCTCTTTTTCACCAAACTGAATGAAAAACATTTGGAACTTCAAGTTTTGTCTTACTAAATTAGTTGCTGGATGTGCTCTTCTTATGTATAACTGTCCCATTTCCCCTAAAATATTTGCTATAAAGTATGCTCTGGTTGTTTAAAAACTTTCTAGAATGCAAGAAATTCTCTATGGTCTTATGAAATAAAATCAAGCATATTTAAACAGAAAAACCCAGGGACAAACATGGTTATTTTAAACTTTTCTCAATTTTGTTTCCCTATAGTCTCACATTCCTAGTTATAATATATTAATCTTATTTTTCCTTTTCTTTTTTTTGAGACGGAGTCTCATTCTATTGCCAGGCCGGAGTGCAGTGGTGCGATCTCGGCTCACTGCAACCTCCATCTCCCAGGTTCAAGCGATTCTCCTGCCTCAGCCTCTCAAGTACCTGGGATTACAAGCATGCGCCACCATGCCCAGCTAATTTTTGTATTTTTAGTACAGACAGGGTTTCACCAGGTTGCCAGGATGGTCTTGATCGCCTGACCTCGTGATCCACCCACCTCGGCTTCCTGAAGTGCTGGGATCACAGGCATGAGCAACTGTATCTGGACCTTGATCTTATCTTTCATAAAACGCAACCAATCAAACAATCCCTTGCAAAAAGCAAGCAAACAAACCTAAAAGAAGGTAAACAAAGATCACAGGAAGCCTGGCCCAGTGGCTCACACCTGTAATCCCAGCACTTTGGGAGGCCGAGGTGGATGGATCACTTGAGGTCAGGAGTTTGGAACCAGCCTGACCAACATGGAGAAACCTCATCTCTACCAAAAATACAAAAATTAGTCAGGCATGGTGGTGGGCACCTGTAATCCCAGTTATTCAGGAGGCTGAGGCATGAGAATTGCTTGAACCCGGGAGGCGGAAATTGCAGTGGGCCAAAATCATGCCATTGCACTTCAGCCTGGGCTACAAAGCGAGACTCCATCTTTAAAAAAAAAAAAAAAAGATCACAGGAAAGAAAATGTAGATATCTAAATGAATCACTCAAGCAAGGGGTGACCAATTGGTAGAGGAGACAGGAAAAAACAAAACAACCCATAGATGTGTTCTCCCCCACTGGCTTCAGGTGGGAATTGGAAGGCTTCTGCTTACCCTCAAATTAGAACCCAGAAGATATTTACCTGTATTGTTTTGTGCAGCAGTCGCATAGGAAAACAGAAATAATCGTTTAAGCAGTTTAGGAGCCTGGGTATGATGAATTATGCCACTGACAATCTAAAAAAGAATCGAACAATGGATATAGTTATGGTTTTGACAGATAAACACTAACAAAGACAAGAGTCAAGGTGTCTAAGTTCTTAGTCATGCCAAAGGGGTTCCAATGGACAACATATTAATTCTCATTTGAGATCTGTATCTATGACATTAGCTTTTTGGAATAATGGCAAATCAACAGGATGCTAACCATTTTGTGAGGTTTTCTTTCTTTTTTAAAAATTTTTATTATTTTTAACTTTTTTTTTTTTCTGAGACAGCTCTCTCTGCTGCCCAGGCTGCAGTGCAGTGGCATGATCTTGGCTCACTGCAACCTTTGCCTCCTGGGTTCAAGCGATTCTCCTGCCTCAGCCTCCAGAGTAGCTGGGATTACAGGCCTGCATCATCACGCCTGACTAATCTTTGTATTTCTAGTAGAGACGGGGTTTCGCTATGTTGGCCAGGCTGGTCTTGAACTCCTGACCTCAACTGATCTACCTGCCTCAGCCTCCCAAAGTGCTGGAATTACAGGCATGAACCATCCTGCCCAGCCTATTATTATTATTATTATTGTTATTGAGACAGAGTTTCACTCTTGTTGTTCATTGCAACCTCCACCTCCTGGGTTTAAGTGATTCTCCTACCTCAGCCTCCTGAGTAGCTGCGATTATAGGCATGCGCCACCACGCCCGGCTAATTTTTTGTATTTTTAGTAGAGACAGGGTTTCGCCATGTTGGTCAGGCTGGTCTCGAACTCCTGACCTCAGGTGATCCACCCACCTCGGCCTCCCAAAGTGCTGAGATTGCAGGCATTGGCCACCGTGCCCAGCCCAGTGTGTCAGGTTTTCTAAGAACTCTGAATTTCTAGGGAAAATTTTAAAACATAGTCTAATTTCTCAAAAGCAAAGTGCTAAAAAACGTAAGTGCCACATTAAGTCAGATACTCCAAAACTCTGACATGTCAAAGACTTACAGCTGATATTGGATTATAACCAAGACACAGCTGTTCTGATCCATTGTTGAGGCCTTTAGGATCTTCTTATGGAAGATAAGGGAAAGAAATCAATCTATCACGCTGTTTCGTGTGAAACTAAAGTATATTTGGTTAAGTGACTAAAACCATTGTTCAAATTGAAGTTTCTGCCTTCTCAGGAAATTTTCTATATCTATACTCTTTTGTTGCTCAGAATAGATATCAGTTATGTTTATTATTCTAACTGAACTACCACACTACTTAAAGGAAATTAAGGAGTTACCACTAAGTGTGCAAACTCACTGCAGCCAAGACAGTATACATGAACAGGCCTCCTGATAGGTTTCCCCTGATGTATTTATACCATCAGAGGGAAAAGTCTGAGATCAATATCTTAGTAAGAGAAATCTTGGATACCACTGGACTTCAGCCGGGGTGACAGAGTGAGACTCGGTCTCAAAAAAAAAAGAAAAAAAAATCTTGGAAATTACAACAAACATCAAATTGATACAACCACTTTCTGAGTTCACCTAGTTGCATATCTCAACTTGCTGTGGCGACCAGGAGATTATGTTTATTTAGTCTCTAAAAGCATGTCTGATTATTTGGCTTTGCTCATCTGACCTGTGTACTTCCTCCTTTCCATGCACAACTACTACCTCCCAGAGGTAAACTCATTTACTCATAGAAGTTGGAATTCTCCAACACTACTGTCTTTTGGAAAGACTGTCAGAGGTGGGAGAATAGGGATAAACTTTTAGCTGTCTCATCCTTTCTTCATTTTCCCCTACCGCCTACTGACCTGGTTTACCACCTCCCACCATTTAGTGGCTCCAGGAATAAAAACATTATGAATTGAAGTATTAAAGGTAGCATGTGCCAAGATGATACACACGCATGCTTTATCAAATTACTTTTCACGTTCTAATCAAAGAATATGGGATTACAACCAATTTCAAGTTCACAGAGTGAAAGCCTCCCCTCAACCTTCATGCAACGTAAGCAAAAACTAGAGCTAGTGGGGAAAACCTGATGGGAAATAAAACCTAAAAACACATGCAACTAGTTACCCTTTTGACTTCCTCTTCCTTTGTGTACCTCAGACAAAACTGGAACACTCGAAGGTCTTTGCAGTGGATGATGAGCTTCTCAGGGTATTTCTTCAGTTGTCCAAAGAGAGTTTTCTTTTTCTCATCAAACACTACAGATCAGCAATGAAATCAGGAAGGGAAATTATGTTACACAGCAATAAGTGAATGCTAAAGAAATGAAGTAGATGATCAACTTCTAGGGATACTTCCCAAGAATGAGAGGAAAGGTGCTGCCTGACTTTTAAGTGACTGCCAAAGGAAGCCCAATCTCTTCCAGCAGGGGCCCTGGCTCTCTGAGAGCAGTCAGCGTGCTTCACTCCTCTGGAGTAAGCACAAGAACAGACTGGCCACTGTTGGCAGAACTGATTCCAGTGGCCCAAAGAAAACCCACTCTGAAAGTTGAGCTTATAAAAGATGAAAGGGAAATGACTAGAGACATGCTTTCATGACAGTCAACTCCTGGGTTTACAGCTAGGACCCCTGCTGAGACCCCCTACTGTCCCAGAATGTGGACCCACTCAGCACCTAGTAGTCTGGAGAACATCATAAATGATCACTGAATGATTTCTGAAGATGCCCCGAATACAAAAACATTCGGAAGTGGAACAGAGAGAGGCTTGGCAGGAGAGGCTTGTTTAGTCAGCAGAAAAGACATCTTAATGCAATACAACAGACCTTTTTATCAGAGCAGCCTATAAAGTAAAACCTACACAGCTAACTCTGATATCAAAAAGTCTGATCAACATCTAGCATATAATGGTGTCGTGTGAAGTATTAAAAAGAACAGGTTCCAAGTTCAGGTCCAAACTCCTCTAGCTAAGTGACCTTATATAAACCACTTTACATCTCAATTTTAGCATCTATAAAACAGATTTAAACAAGATGATATATGTGAAAAAATTTTTAAAAATTATAAATGGTCATAAAAATATTATTATCATTATCACCTATACTCTCAAAGGTTGCCAACACCCCAGGGAAAAACAGATACTTACCTCCATAAATCTGATCAACACAGTGGAGTGTAATGTCATTTTCTCCTATAACCTTATTCTTAAATTGAGTTTCCTAGAAGATTCAAAAGGAAACAACTGTGACTCCTCTGCATACTGTTAGACATTTATAGGCAGAGTAAATCACCATTCTCTACTTGGATATTAAGAAAAATGGGGGGCCGGGTGCAGTGGCTCACACCTGTAATCCCAGCACTTTGGGAGGCCGACGCGGGCGGATCACGAGGTCAGGAGATCGAGACCATCTTGCCTAACACGGTGAAACCCCATCTCTACTAAAAATACAAAAAATTAGCCAGGCTTGGTGGTGGGCGCCTGTAGTCCCAGCTACTCGGGAGGCTGAGGCAGGAGAATGGCGTGAAACCAGGAGGTGGAGCTTGCAGCCAGCCGAGATCGCACCACTGCACTTCAGCCTGGGTGACAGAACGAGACTCTGTCTCAAAAATAAATAAATAAATAAATAAAAATAAATGGGGAAATGCAGCGACATTCCTAAAAAAGGGACGATGAAGTATGTGAGAAAAGCTCCTGAGATTCATTCTGAGACAGGGTTTAGTTCTGTCACTCAGGCTAGGCTGGAGTGCAGTGGGGCAATCTTGGCTCACTGCAACCTCCACCTCTCAGGCTCAAGCTAACTTTGCACCTCAGCCTCCTGAGTAGCTGGGACTACAGGCACACTCCACCACTCCTAGCTAATTTTTGTGTTTTTTTAGAGACATGATTTCCACATGTTGCCCAGGCTGGTTTTGAACTCCTGAGCTCAAGCAATCCACCTGCCTCAGCCTCCCAAAGTGCTGAGATTACAGGTAAGAGCCACCGCGCGTGGTCCAGAACATGCCATTTCTGGGCCCCTCCTAGGCAAACCCACCATGCCACACACAATCACTTTGAGAAGTGTGGGGAAGTTATGTACAGGTTAACATTTCTCCACACAAATGTGAACAGGGGATTGACAGAGCTACCTGAAGTCAGCTTCAGGAAGAACAAGAGATTCAAGTTTCTGGTGAATGCTCTCTTTGTACAGGACTATGAACCAAGCCCAAGGCCAGATGGAAGAGGCAGTACTGGTGCTGCTGTTTAAAAAACAAGGGTGATCTGGGACAGTTGGCACATTGGGGCCAGGATGTGCCTTGGTTGGGTTTCCACTAACATATGGTGCTCTCCTAGTGGTATGGGCAGTTCTCTCCTTACCTGATTGCTCATTCTTCATGAATAGGAACAAATTTCACAAGGCTACTGCTACTAGGTTCAGATTAAACATAAGGTGAGCCGGGTGAGGCGGCTCATGTCTGTAATCCCAGCACTTTGAGAGGCCAAAGCGGGTGGATTTCTTGAGCTCAGAACTTCGAGACCAGCATGGGCAACATGGCAAAACCCTGCCTCTACCAAAAATAACAAAATTAGCCAGGCGTGAATGTCACACGCCTATGGTCCTAGCTACTCAGGAGGCTGAGGTGGGAGGATTACTGGAGCCACGACTACGCCACAGCACTCCAACCTGAATGACAGAGTGAGACTCTGTCTCAAAAACAATTAAAAATAAAAAACAAAACAAAAACAGAGTGAACCCAAATTCAAAGGCTGCATTCACCATCGGTTTCATTACTGAACTCAGTTCCTGGGTTTAAGGAAGAGCTTAGTATAGAGAAAACGTGGGGAACTAGTATATTTGGAAGATGTTATTCCAGTGAGTGATATATATTGCACTGAAATACAGAAGAAAATTGAAAGTTGACACATGAGGTCAAAAGTAAGCCAGTATGACATGAGGCACGGGTGAGAAATTTCTTAACGGTCCTGCCACGGAAAGGAGACCCTGAACGACAGAGAGCAGGCCAGTGATGAGAAGGACTCCGTCCTTTGTGTGTATTTATGTGGGATGGTGGGGAGGGTGGGGATGATGGGAAGTGGAGTAACTGAGTAGCTGGGGGAAAAAAGACAACAGAGCTATTTTACAACTGTGCTATTCCCCCCAAACTTCACCAAATGCAGTTCATACATTCAGGATTTCTGTCCTTTGTGTTTATGTGTGTTAGGGGGTAGAGTAACTGAGAAGCTGGGAAAAAAAGACAACGGAACCACAACCACACTGTTGCCCACAAACTCTGCCAAATGCAGCCCATACATACATCATTATCCAATGCAGATTCATCATCACCCAAGAAGGCAATCTTGAAGTCTGTGCAGACAAGCCTCCCATAGACCCCATGCTGACAGGAATCTTCCTGGACATACTTCAGTACTGTGCTGGCTTCACAAAGCAGCTGTTCACCTGGTAGAAACCAAAACAGGTCCTCCTTAGAGTTCTCAGGGAACATACGATATGCAAACACTAAAGGCTTTCCAGCCCTATTTACATAAGGACAAACATACAATACAACACAGGGCTTTAGAACTTTACACTTTTCAGCATGGCAGGAGCTGCAAAAACATAAGAGAGAAGATGCGGCAGAGTGGAAACCACCAAGAAGTGAAATTGAAATGGCTCAGATACACCTCTGTGCAGGACATTTCTCTATCTTCTCACTGGGAATAATGGAAATTTCCAAATAGGTACTAATGATCTGAGCTGCACTTTCACGCAGAAATCTTAGTGTTTTCATTACTTTGACCCAAGCAGATGTTCCATAGAAGCAATACCCTAAGTGAACACAGATGGGCTTGCCCCAGTCTGCCCTAAAAAAACGCAGATCCCAAGCCCACTTTCCTGTGAGAGGGGGCAGCTTCTAATACTGGAAGTGCTGAGAGAGAGTGACAGTGCCTCCCTGGCCATGGGACTTCCAGGCAGCTTCCATAGATCCAGGAGGTGTTGCCGCCTTCCACAGCATGACCACCCTCGTTCTGGCTCCACGCTGGGAAAACAGAGGTCAGAGGTTTGTGGGGAAAAAACGTGTTTCCTCTCTTTCTTAGTTAAGCGTATTTCCTTTCAATGCGTCACCTCTCCTCCTCCATCTGCAGCACCCAGCCGACGTGAGAAGCTGCAGCCCCTGGAGACAGAAAGTATCCCTCCTTGCAGTCAAAAAGATGAGGATTAGGGAATAGGTCAGTATTCTCTGCCATCTGGAAGCAGAGGAGCTCACGGGGGCAGGCAAAAGAGAAGACTATGGGGGAAATGAAAAACTAAGTATAAATGTTTTGCAACAACAACAAAAAAAACCCAAAGGATTTTTCTTCTCATGCAACAGATAACCATCTTCTCCTTGGAATCTCCCACTTGATAGCTCCTTCAAGGTCTTTAAATTTACTTTTTGGCTCAAAATTTATTTAGTCTACCTTCAATATGAAAACGAACAGTTTCAGACACTCAGAAGGGACAAATATTATGGTGCTGTTCTCTCATCTTTCAAGGGGTTAATTACCTCTGGCTGAAACACTAAGGAAATACCGGAAGATGGCTCAGTCACTAGGTCAGCCTCTCAAGAGATCACAGTTTGAAGGAAATAATGAAGACAGGGCCTCATTAGGGTTTAAAATAGTCCCAGAAAAAGTGTCTCTGCCAAGTCCATGGGGGAAGACATGTAAGCAAGGCTTCCTGTGCTTTCACCTCCCAATACTTTTAATGGTGAAATACTTTTAATGGTGAGGCTCTCCCCAAGACCAGGCCAGCCCCGTCCCATGCTCATGTACTAGCGACCAGAAATTAGCATGCACTAGCTAATACAACATTCCTGGTGAGGCCCTCTGCAAACATGGCATGTTGTGCCATAATCAGCTGGTTTATACCAGATCACAGAGTCTAGAAGCACAAGAGTTGGGAGCTAGAAATGATCTTTGTCTAGTTTGTGAAACTAGGCTCAGAGAAGTTAACTGTGAACTCACCGCTGCACACCCACACCTAGATGAGACTGTGAAGTAATTCAGGAGGGGGGAGAATATGCATAATGCTAAGCTAAAAATAAAATTTCTGAATCTATAACACCAAGAAGAGAAAAACAAGAGGAGATAAGGTTTAAGTCATCACTATAGAAAAAAAGCCTTTGACATTTAAAAACATCAAAAAAAGTTATAGAATTCTTTTACCAAATAACGTGGATCAGTCAGAAACTTGCACAGATTTATATCCCCTCAATAAACTGGAATAAAATAAAAAGCAACAGAATAAAGCCTGTATTGTTTTGGGGAAATGTACCTTAAAGAACTTATTTTAAAAAAGCTATTTTGAATTAAGAAAAAGAAAGTAGAAAAAGAATTAAATACATGGATCACAGAATATCCCATATATGGAGAGGATACACCACCAAGTAGTTACTACTCCTGAACATGGAAATGACTAAAACTTAACTTAAGCTAAAGTCACTGTCCTCTACCTCAAAAATATTTAACCAATCCAGGCTCCTTCGCAATGACTGCAGGGCGAAGTGCTGGCAGCCCCAAGGCTGGTAAACCCCAGCATCCCCAGTACACGTGCTCACATGCACAAGTGGGTATGGACTGAGAGGTAAAGCCACCCACCAATGGTTGCCTTGGGAGGCCATAGCAGTTGAATTGTTTTCCTCAATTCCCTACAGATTGGGGATCAGCATACTGGAAGAGGCCATTAGAATGGCCTGAAAAAGTCCTCATTTGCTTGTGAAAGCAGTGAGAACATTCCAGGTTTATTTTCATCAGTTTGGGGGAAGAGGAAACAAGAAAAATTCTTTGCAGATGTTGTAATACTCAGACCCAGGTGTGTAGTTATTGAACTACAAACCTTGATATGTTTTTTCAATTCATTACTGTTATATGTGAGAAGATGAAAACAAAGGAGTTTAAATATAGCAAGGCTAGGGATGATGTAATTTATCATTGGCTTTGCCTTGCATAGGAGTTACTATGCTAACATGACAGTTACCTGGCAACAAGTGAAGAGTTACTTCCTTCTCTGTTACTTCCTTTTCGTTTGTGTGAATTTCCTAAAAGAGAAGAGCAAAGGATATTTTTCTTTGTTTAAGGGTTTAAAATGAATAACATTAAGCCATGCTTTCAGAATACACACTAAAATATCACATACCCTCAGGAGCTTTTCGTTTATGTTACAAGCTACTTTTTTTTTTTTTTTTTTTTTTTTTTTTTTTGAGATGGAGTCTCACTCTGTTGCCAGGCTGGAGTGCAGTGGCACGATCTCAGCTCACTGCAACCTCTGCCTCCCAGGTTCAAGTGATTCTCCTGTCTCAGCCTCCCAAGTAGCTGGGACTACAGGCGTGTGCCACCACGCCCAGCTAATTGTTTGTATTTTTAGTAGAGATGGGGTTTCACCTTGTTGGTCAGGATAGTCTTGATCTCTTGACCTTGTGATCTGCCCGCGTCAGCCTCCCAAAGTGCTGGGATTACAGGCGTGAGCCACCATGCCTGGCCCAAGCTAGATACTTTTTAAAAACAGGAAGTGTTCTAACTAAAGGAAGACAGAAAACTCCAAGTTATGGATATTTAATGTATTAAACTAATTATTTAGGACTGATAACTAGTAGCTGTCCCAAGTAGAGGGGGTGAGGTGGGCACTCCTTATCTCTCCTTATCTAAGGAACAACTTGAAGTGTCACATAGCAAAGCAAGGCTGCTCAAACACAGAATCTGAAATAAAAGAGATGGCCCAGCGTGGTGGCTCACACCTGTAATTCCAGCACTTTGGGTGGCCGAGATGGGCAGATAACTTGAGGTCAGGAGTTCGAAACCAGCCTGGCCAACATGGCAAAACCCCGTCTCTACTAAAAATACAAAAATTAGCCAGGCATGGTAGTGAGTGCCTGTAATCCCAGCTACTTGGGAGGCTAGGGCAGGAGAAACACTTTAATTCGGGAGGCAGAGGCTGCAGTGAGCCGAGATTATGCCACTGCACTCCAGCCTGGGTAACAGTGGGACTCTGTCTCAAAAAAAAAAGAAAAAGAAAGAAAGAAAAGAGACAACACGCCACAGCATGATCCCCTCTCCTTCCAGTGAGGATCAAGGGTTGAAAGCAAAAGATGATGTGTTCTTGAAAGAATATGGACACATAAATAAGGCCCAAAGGTAAGAATAGGAAAACATGAATGTATCAAGTCAGTATTGATCCAGCTAATCTACAGCACACCAGGGCTCAGTAAAGAGAGCTGGGACATTCTTTGTCCATTCAAAGTTACCTAAAACCACAAGACAGTGCCAAGGGATACAGTCATTTCTAACAGAGAATCAAGGCCAGTTTCTGGGTCACTGCTTCTCAGTAAAAATATATTCAAATGCCTCTACTTGGGGCTCAGTATTTATGGGATATTCAAAGATAATTAATTACAAACATGAATGAATGAATAGACCAAAGCAATGATCATATATGGCTGTTAACATAACAAAGAGAGGCACCATGGGCCTCCTAATAAAGTGTGCCACACCATCCAGGAAGTGTTCTTGCCAAAATATCTAACCTCAGTCTCCTTGAACTTCCACAGCAATCAGCCAATGTATCAGAAACACTGGGACAGAGAAACATGTCAAATAATACAGTGGGGATATAATCAGTCAAATTCTGACTGTGAAAAATTCTACAAGACACAACCAGTTTTGTCAACAAATAAAATCAGATTTTTTTTTTTCTTTGGTAGAAGGCCCTGGGTGGGAAATTTTCTGAATTTGTTAATTCAGACTGAAATATGGCATTAGAAGAAACTTGGGTACAGCCTATCTTGAGGCTGAAGAAGAATGTTAGGGCTTTTCCTGAGAACTCATTTTTGAGCATGGTATAAATTGGAGGTGACTAAGATGCCAGTAAACCAAGTCCCTCTGAGGCAGTGTGGTCAGATCACGTGGGAAGCTTGTTATCTAAACACTCTCTGGCACCCATAAGCCTGCGGACTTATAGTGCAGGGATGCAGGCTGGCTCTCTGATTTTGTAAAAAGCTCCCCAGATGATTCTGATGTACTGGTCTGGGGCTTAAGCAAGAGGAACTATTCCTGCATGTTAAAAGCTACGACTGTTTTGGTAATTTAAAAATTCTTGGCCAGGTGTGGTGGCTCACGCCTGTAATCCCAGCACTTTGGGAGGCCGAGGTGGACGGATCACCTGAGGTCAGGAGTTCCAGACCAGCCTGACCAACATGGAGAAACCCCGTCTCTACTAAAAATACAAAATTAGCCGGGGTGTTGGTGCATGCCTGTAATCCCAGCTACTCGGGAGGCTGAGGCAGGAGAATCACTTGAACCCGAGAGGCAGAGGTTGCAGTGAGCCGAGATTGTGCCTTTGCACTCCGGCCTGGGCAACAAGAGCGAAACTCTGTCTCAAAAAAAAAAAAAAAAAAAAAAAAAAAAAAAAAAAAAAAGTAAGTTATGGCTGGGCACAGCAACTCACACCTACAATCCCAACACTTTGGGAGGCCGAGGTGGGAGGACTGCTTGAGCCCAGGAATTTGAGACGGGCTTAGGAAACAGAGTGAGACTCATCTCTACAAAACAAACAAACAAAAAAATTAAAAAATCATCCAGGTATGGTAGTACACACCTGAAGTCCCAGGTACCTGGGAGGCTGAGGTGAAAAGATCACTTGAGGCCAGGAGGTCAAGGCTGCAGTGAGCCATGACTGCACCACTGCATTCCAGCCTGAGAAACAGAGCAAAACCGTGTCTCAAAAAAAAAAGTTACTAACCAAGGATCTGCAAGCTCCATTGAACTCAGAGCCTACATTCTTCGCTGCTATGTACCAATTCTAACAAACATGGTCTCCAGTTTCCCATTGCAAAAGAGAAAATCAATGTAGCATCCATTGCTTGTAAAGGAAACTCTTACCACAAAACTGATCAGAACAAATAAGAAAAATTCCGTTAGGAGAACTACTTCACATTCAAGGATCTGCCACACACAGCAGCATTCCCCAAACTTTTGGAGCTAGGTGTTGGTTTCACGGAAGACAATTTTTCCACGGACCTGGCAGGGGGGCAGGGGATGATTTTGGGATGAAACTGTTCTACCTCAGGTCATTAGACATTACTTAGATTCTCATAGGGAGCGTGCAACCTGGATCTCTTGCATGTGCAGTTCACAATAGGGTTCATGCTCCTATAAGAATCTAATGCCGCCACTGATCCCACAGGAGGTGGAACTCAGGAGGTAATCCTTGCTGCCCCCTACTCCTACATTCAACTCCTGCAGTGCTGGCACAGACTAGTACCAGTCCGCAGTCTAGGGGCTGGGGACATACAGGACAAAAGCACATGGATGTTAAAGTCAACTACCACTCTTGAGGACTTGCTGAGAGGCAGCCTGGTGGTATTTACTTCACTGGTTCTTGAAAAGTCAATTCTTTGGACTCTTACCAAGTTCACATTCAGAGTGCACATCATCTCAAATGTGTGATGATCCTGGGGCACCTTAGGAGAGGTAGAAAAAGGGTAGGGCCCTGCCAGAAAGATCTTGAAAAGAACTAGGGTGTGTGGGGGTACAATGAAGCTCTCATAGGTCAAAATGCTTATAAATGCTCCTATCAGCTTTAAATCAAAAACTGAAATTGTTGTTCTCAGATTAATTTTATCCAGCCAGAGGGACAAACTCTAAGAAGCAACATCTCTAAAGGTTCCAAAACAATTTCTTTCCATTGCATTTGACACAGTGCTAAAAGGACATAACACAGACATTTCATTTCCTAAAAGCTGCCCTACTTTTCTAGAATGAACACTTAATACTCATTTTTTTCCAGCTAAGTAGAAAATCTGAGGGAGAAAAATGAATTTGCATCTACATATTAGGTAGGTATCCATGTATATCTTAAAACAAAATTTTTTTAAGTAGAAAGTTGTATTTTTTATACAGCATAGTACTAATAATTTAAGTTTTTGTCTTTCTCTATGTTTCTCCAATATTTTCTCTGTGCATGTACTAAAAACAGAAAGAATACCGACCTGGGGCCACAGTCCAAATATGGCTCTGGCATCCACAGATGTGACTTTGGTCTTGTCATTTAAACTGACTGAGTGTCAGTTTCAGTTTCCTCCGATATACTAAAATGGAAACAATACTACCTAGTATGAGAGCTTTAAGAGATACATACATAACTTCGGTGACACAGGTACTTGGTCATGTAATTTGTTATAGTTGTTGGGGGTAGCAGGATCTGTGCTTCTGCTTGATTTCCTTTCATGAGTAAACAAAGAGTAGGGGAATTATTCAAGAATCTCTCGGCAGGGTGTGGTGGCTCACACCAGTAATCACAGCACTTTGGGAGGCTGAGGTGGGTGGATCACTTGAGGCCAGGAGTTTGAGAACAGCCTGGCCAACATGGTAAAACCACGTCTCTACTGAAAATACAAAAATTGGCAGGATGCGGCAGCATGTGCCTGTAATCCCAGCTACTCGGGAGGCTGAGGCACGAAAATAGCTTGAACCCGGGAGGTGGAGGTTGCAGTGAGCTGAGATCGTGCCACTGCACTCCAGCCTGGGCAACAGAAGGAGACTCTATCATTAAAAAAAAAAAAAAAACAAAAAAAACTGTTACATGAGACTAGTAACTTCTACTTTTCTCCCAATCTTGTTTCCCATATTAAACTAAATTGACTCTACTCAGGCTCACAATTCTTTTTTCTGTGGATCAGGAATTCCTGAAATTAGCAACACTGAAGTTGGCCCTAAATCTGTAAGACTTTAACTACATTAGGAATATCTGAAGCCAGGGTAAAGGAAATAGCATTTTTCTATTAATAGGATTTATCTTCTAGCAGCACACCATGATTTATGTCTGGTCATTATGCATCTTATCTTTTGCAATAGAAAGCACTTTGAACCCTCTGCAAGACCAAAAAAGTAGACCAATGGCTTTCTTAAGAAACCACATCTGGGCCGGGCGTGGTGGCTCATGCCTGTAATCCCAGCACTCTGGGAGGCTGGGGCGGGTGGATCACAAAGTCAGGAGTTCGAGACCAGCCTGACCAACGTGCTGAAACCCCGTCTCTACTGAAAATATAAAAATTAGCCAGGCATGGTGATGCATGCCTATAATCCCAGCTACTCAGGAGGCTGAGGCAGGAGAGTCACTTGAACCTGGGAGGTGGAGGCTGCAGTGAGCTGAGATCATACCATTGCACTCCAGCCTGGGAGACAGTGCGAGACTCCGTCTCAAAAAAAAAAAAAAGAGACCACATCCGAGAGGAAGGACCTGCTTGGGCATGCACACACAAAAAAGCTTTCTCAGCTACTAATTTTGTTGACAGTAGATCAAGTTGCTAAAAGGTGGTAACAAATTGAGAATAGAAACCTATATAACCACTGGAGCACTGGAATTTAAGGTGCCACACTGTACTCAATCATCACGAGCATCAGGCTGGGTGCGGTGGCTCATGCCTGTAATCCTGGCACTTTGGGAGGGCGAGGCGGACGGATCACGAGGTCAGGAGATCGAGATCATCCTGGCTAACATGGTGAAACCCCGTCTCTACTAAAAATACAAAAAATTAGCTGGTGAAACCCCGTCTCTACTAACAATACCAAAAATTAGCCAGGTGTGGTGGCGGGTGCCTGTAGTCCAGCTACTCTGGAGGCTGAGGCAGGAGAATGGCGTGAGCCCGGGAGGCGGGGCTTACAGTGAGCCGAGATTGTGCCACTGCACTCCAGCCTGGGCGACAGAGCAAGACTCCATCTAAAATAAATAAATAAATAAATAAATAAATAAATAAATAAATAAATAAAATAAAAAATAAAAATCATCATGAGTATCTAATCCTTTCTGGTTAACACTTCAAAAAAATTATAAATATACACTATGCAAGTCTTACAGATAATCAACTCAGGTAAAAAACAAATAACCATCATCACCACTATCAACTGCTTCCCCCCTCAAACAAAAATCCAAACCAGTCCCAAGAAGAGAAATAACCTAGAGGACTCCAAAAAATCAGGGTATACAAATAAGAATCATAAAGAAATCCTTGCCTCAAAAATAAGTTTAATTGGAGTTTTTCTTTGAATTTGATTTTCACAAGTTACCTGTTTGGGTGGGTAGGAAGGACGGAACGGAGAGTATTCACTGGCAATGTCTGTAGTCTCTTCATCCCTATATTTCACAATCGCTTTTTGAACTCCACAAGAAAAACAAAGAAAGAACTGACAAATATGGAGCTAATATATTTCAATATTCTTAAGAGAAAACGGATTTACCATTCTTTGCTTGTTGATCACAGGAGAATGAACATAGCTGAATGAAGGAGAGCAGAGGTGGATACCAACAAGGTACGAGAGCACCCGTATCTGGATGTGCTGAGTCCTACATGTGGATCTTGGAGTGGGTTCCCCTGAAATTCCCCTATGTGCATCCTACTCCTAACCATGCTGTATTCTGAATGTGTATAAGCTGTTGTTTTCATTGGCAAATTTGTTGGGTGAGTGATTAAAGGCTGTCCAAACTTTACAATTGAATGAGTAAATATAATCTCTTTCTTAGTGGCATTACAAATTACTACACTGTGACCAAGAGTCACTTGTGGACTGTAGACATCACAGATGTCCAATCTGTGAACGCCAAAGTCTACTGTTCCTTTTTCCAAAGTGGGTACAGGGCCAGCCCTTACTGAGGTTGAGAAGTGAATAATAACAAACATTTCTTGGGCTCTAAGTGCCAGCTACTGTCTAAAAAGCTTTGTATTTATTTATTAACTCATTTAATCCTCACAGCAAACCTTTGCAATAGAGTTATTATACCCATGATTGTCTCCATTTTACAGATGAAGACACCCTGCTAGTATGTGGCACAGGTGAAAGTCAAACCCTGTGCGCAGTCTGCGTTCCTGGCCCAGTCTGCATTCTTATTCAATGCCACACTGTCATGTGGAAAGAAGGAATGAAAGGAAAAAGGAAAAACAAGGCAGAATGATCAGTGAAGTACCTGCTAGATCCACCTGAAACCAGGTAAAAGCGAGCAACACAAAGTGACCAGGGAAAGCCTCGAATGAGAGTTATAGAGAGGCCAAGGGAAGCTAAAGGGAAAACAACAACAAAAGACACCTACACCCAACCTAAGTGACACTGGCCAGCTGCATGGAGAAGAACCTTGAGGCTCCTCAACACCTACTGAAAGTGTTACCTCTTATGACTCACTCCACTGGGTCCTCTGAGGCATGAGTCTCTAATTTTCAAGCCAACTGACTCAAGAGTTCAATGGGACTCCAGGAAAGGCTCTAACCATGAATAACACTGGTATGTATGCCTGAGCAATTCTTGCTTCCTTTCAAGAGTATATAATCTTGGCCAGGCGCGGTGGCTTATGCCTGTAATCACAGCACTGTTGGAGGCCAAGGTGGATGGACCGGATCACTTGAGCTTAAGAATTCGAGACTAGCCTGGGCAACATGGCCAAACCCCATTTCCACAAAAAAAAATTTTTTTTTTTTTTAATTAGCCAGGCATGGTGGCATGTGCCTGTAGTCCCAGTTACTCAGAAGGCTGGGGCGGGAGAATCACCTCAGCCTGGGAGGTCAAGGCTGCAGTGAGCTATGATTGCACCACTGTACTCCAGCCTGGGTGACAGAACAAGACCCTGTCTCAAAAAAAAAAAAAAAAAAAAAGAATAGAAAAGAAACAATAGCTAGGCTTAGCCACTAATATGGATGGCATCACCAAATGCTCTACTCATATTGCAATATACTGAAAAACGGAGGATTCCTCTAAAGCTTAATGGAAAGACTATTACTTGTGAAGCCTTTTCAGAGAGAGCAGTAGATAGGCCCAGCACATCCCAGGATCTAACAGCCAATTCAATCAGCATCCAGTGAGAGCTGCCTGTGTACTATCCCTATTCTTTGGGGTGGTGGGAGCTTCTTAAACCATAAACTAGTTTTACAGAAGGGTCTAGAGTTGCCCTTAAGCCTCTGCGCCTTTAACTCTGACACTCCCTACCAACTACCTAGTTAGTAGATGTTGACAACCTTACTTCTGCAGCTGTGAAACACGAGGTAACATTCCTCACTTATTCCACTAACTATCATGTTCAATGTGCAGCAAAAAGGTAGAAAAGGTATAGTTCTTTAATACTCAAGCAGAACTGGTTCTACTGGTTAGGCTGACAGACTTTTCTTAAAAAACTAACTCTGAAAATTATGGAAATTTTCAACAAATGCATCAGTTAAAAATGGTCTTTGTGCTTTGTATACCACCTCTTGCTGCTCCATTTGAATTTGAACAAAGCTTGCCATTATGGCACAAAGGAAAGGCAAAAACTGCTGGCACCAGGATCACAGCACGTCCAGGTTTTCTAAACTAGAATATCTCAGTGGGGCTTAAATTCAATTAGAACAGAAGCATGGGCCAGGCACAGTGGCTCACGCCTGTAATCCCAGCACTTTGGGAGGCCGAGGTAGGTGGATCACTTGAGGTCAGGAGTTTGAGACCAGCCTGGCCAACATGGTGAAACCCCGTCTCTACTAAAAATACAAAAATTAGCCGGGTGTGGTGGCACACACCAGTAATCCCAGCTACTTGGGAGGCTGAGGCAGGAGAATTCCTTGAACCTGGGAGACGGAGGTTGCAGTGAGCCAAGAATGTGCCACTGCACTTCAGCCTGGGTGACAGAGCGAGATTCCATTTCAAAAAAAAAAAAAAAAAGAGGGAACAGAAGCATGACAGCCTCAAGTGATCCTTCTGCCTTGGCCTCCCAAAGTGCTGGGATTATAGGTGTGAGCCCCCTGCCCCGCCACTGTTAATTCCTTACTTCAACATTTACTCCAATGTTATGGCTACTTTTTATTTGTTTATTTTATTTTTTAAAAAAAGATGAAGACATGAAAAATAAGTCTTCCAGTTTCCGCAAGTTTTCCCCTACAGTTCAAAAGAAACTGGCTACATCTGTTCTGGATCCCACTGCGAGTATCAGCAATTCCCAGAACCCACAGCTGTGTCTACCCCCACATTATCTAAGAACCTCACCCATGCTGAGCCAGAAGCACTCCCATTCTGGCAATGTCTAGGCCAGACAAGAGATGAGAATTTGAGAACTGCCACCCATTCTTTAGCAAGCTTATGGCCCAAAGGAGACACACCTGCTGGAACCCATATCACACAGCTGGTCTAGCATCAAAAAAGTTGCCAACCTAATCGCTTCTCAGAACTATGTTTCTGAGGAGTGGCCCAAAATCACAGGTCTCCAATGGGCCTGAGTCAATATTTAAGTTGTGTATCTGGTTACTCAGAGTTGCAAAATGACCCATCTCTAATATATACCAATTCATTTCAACAAATAGCTCCTGAACATGTTAAGTACCAAACGCTAAGGATAAAATGATGAATAAGGCCAGGCACAGTGGCTCATGTCTATAATCCCAGCACTCTGGGAGGCCCAAGGCAAGTGGTTCACTTGAGCCCAAGTTCGAGACAAGCTTGGGCAACATGACGAAGCCCTGTTTCTATAAAAAATATAAAAATTAGCAGGGCATGGTGGCATGTACCTGTAGTCCCAGCTACTCAGGAGGCTGAGGTAGGTGGATCACCTTGAACCTCAGGAGGTGGAGGCTGCAGTGAGCTGTGATTATGCCACTGCACTCCAGTGTGGGTGACAGTAAGATTCTGTCTCCAAAAAATAAATAATAAAATGATGAATAAGAATTGACTTTTATTAGCCAGGCGTGGTGGCATGCACTTATCCCAGCTACTCAGGAGGCTGACATGGGAGGATTGGTTGAAAGTTGAGGCTGCAGGGAGCCATGACTGTGCCACTGTACTCCAGCCTGGGCGACAAAGTGAGACCCTGTCTCAAAAAAAAAAAAGGATTGACTTTTGCCCTCACGAAATTCAGATGACAAAAAATAACTAGAATACTAAGTAATGAGTGCTGTAAGTACCAGAAGGCTACAAAAGATTCTGTCTCTACACATCATCTCATTTATTATTCAGAGCTTAGTTAACTACTATTATTGTTTCATTTTAGAGATGAGGAAAATGAGAGTAAGCCAGGTTAAAAGAAATGGGTCTCAAGCCTTTACCTGAAAGGCTTTACCTGACAAGGGTTTATCTGACGAGGGTTGTACTCTCAACCACAATCCAACCTGCCTCCCCTGGCCGACCATGCCTCCTCCTTCTGGGCACTGCTCCTCTCGAGTTCACATGCTCTTTTATTCACTGAATGATCATCTCTTATGCACCTGCTCTCTTCCACGCACAGCAAACACAGGAATGAACACAACACACAGCACCTAAGTCCTCAGAGAACACAGGAGTCTGACAGCCTTGGTAGAAATGTGCTATATGTTAGAGGAAATACAGGGTACAATGGGAACACTTAGAAACACTGAACTGCATTCAGAAAGGGTCAAAGAAGACTGCTGCACTCAGCAAGTGTTATTTATACTGAGACCTGAAAATGAGCAGAAATTAGTTCCAGGCAGAATGGCCATGTGATGGTTAATACTGAGTGTCAACTTGATTAAAGGATGCAAAATATTGATCTTGGGTGTGGCTGTGAGTGTTGCCAAAGGAGATTAACATTTGAGTCAGTGGGCTGGGAAAGGCAGACCCAGCCTTAATCTGGTGGACCAATCTAATCAGCTACCAGTGAATATAAGGCAGGCAGAAAAACATGAAAAGGTGAGACTGGCCTAGCCTCGCAGCCTACATCTTTCTCCTGTGCTGGATGTTTCCTGGCCTCAAACATCAGACTCCAAGTTCTTCAGTTTTGAGACTTTGACAGGCTCTCCTTGCTCCTCAAGCTTGCAGACAGACTACTGTGGGAACTTGTGATCATGTAATTTAATATTTAATAAACTCCCCTTTATATATATACACATACATACATACATCCTGTTAGTTCTGTCCATCTAGGAACCCTAATACGGATTTTGGTACCAGGAGTGGTTCTAGAGGAACAGAATAGTAAGGATGGCATTCTTTCATTTGTCGTGGGGTTTCTGGAGTTGGCTGCTTAATATGATTAGACCCAAAAATGCTAAGGCCTCCACTGATAATGGAAGTAGAGAACACTGATAGTCCTTGGCATGAACTGTTTAGAAAGTTATGCAAAACAAACACATTTGACACTCCTGATTCATCGCTCATGAGAGGCAAGGAGTTTAGTGACTCTATACATAATACCTTTGACCATATGTGGAGAACCAAGGGACATAATGAAGCTGGTTGGTTGCTCCTAAGTTCAGTGGACAAAGTGATGAATGAAAATGACGAACTCAGGGATTCTACCTCCTGGGTAGAATCTCCCTTCAGAAGCAGACACCGAGCCTCAAATCTGCTAAGACTGTCCTGAGTGAGAGTCTTATCTCTGGCAGAGAAAGAGCTGAAATTGTGGAAAAACAGATACAAGCTCTTATCATGTGAGTGGCTGACCTGCAACAAAAGGTGCATGCACAGCCTCGCCAGGTGTCTTTTGTTAAAGTGAAGGCATTCATGGGAAAAGAATGGGACCCTGCAACTTGGAATGGGAACGTGTGGGAGGACCCTGATGAAGCTGGGGACACTGAGCTTGTAAACTCTGATGAACTTTTTTTGCCAGAAGGAACAGCTTCCCCATCCCCAGTAGTGGCAACATCCCCTCCCTAACCCATACTGCCATCAGCCTTTCCACCTTTGTCTGAGATAAACTCTGCACTGCCTGAGGCAACACTGATGGCCTCCCCTGAGGCAGCTGCCAGGCAAGATAATGTTGATTCTCCTCAGGAGTCACCCCCAACACCCCTGTTTGCTTCTAGACCTATAACTGGACTAAAGTCCCAGCAGGTGAGGTGAGGTTGAGACTGTGGCACGTGATGAGGTGCGCTACACTTGAAAAGAACTGCTTGAGTTCTCTAATTTATATAAACAGAAATCTGGAGAATAGGCATGGGAATGGATATTAAGGGTATAGGATAATGGTAGAAGGAACATAGAGTTGGATCAGGCTAAATTTATTGATTTGAGCCCACTAAGTAGGGACTCTGCTTTTAATGTTGCAGCTCGGGGAGTTAAAAAAGGTTCTAATAGTTTATGTGCTTGGTTAGCTGAAATATGGATTAAAAGATGGCCCACTATGAGTGAGCTGGAAATGCCTGATCTCCCTTGGTTTAATGTAGAGTAAGGGATCCAAAGGCTTAGGGAGATTGGGATGGTGGAGTGGATTAGGCACTTTAGACCTACTCATCCCAGCTGGGAGGGTCCAGAAGATATATCCTTGACCAATGCTTTGCAAAACAGATTTGTGAGGGCAGCATCTGCATCTTTGAAGAGCCCTGTAATTGCTTGTCTCTGTATGTCAAATCTAACAGTGGGAACTGCAATCACTCAACTACAAAATTTAAATACAATGGGAATAACTGGATCCCTAGGTGGCAGGGGCCAAGTGGCGGCACTCAACTGTCAAAGACAAGGTGTTCGTAGCTACTGTAATGGATGGTAGAGACAAAGCAGCAATCAGAATAGTCTGACTCACGTAGAGCTCTGGCATTGGCTAATTAATCATGCTGTTCCTAGAAGTGAAACTGATAGGAAGCCTACTGCATTCCTACTTAATTTATATAAACAGAAAACTTCCAGGTCTAATGCACAAAAGACTAGTTTGAATTATAAAAACAGAGAATCACGGCCCCTCAATCAATTTCCAGACTTGAGCCAGTTTACAGACCCAGAACCCCTTGAAGGAAGGGGAGGCCGGGTCCCCTTGAGGAAGGACCCCACCACATTACCAACAATTTACGCAGTGGATCTTTCTCTCATCCTTCCCCAAGGAGACCTCTGACATTCTACCAGGGTAAGTGTGCACTGGGGAAAGGGAAATGATCAGACATTTGGACTAATGGACACTGGTTCTGAGCTGACAATGATTCCGGGGTACCCAAAGTGTCACTGTGGTCCTCCAGTTAAAGTAGGGGCTTATGGAGGTCAGGTAATTAATGCAGTTTTAGCTCAGGTCTGACTTACAGTGGGTCCAGTGGGCCCCCAGACTCATCCTGTTATTTCCCCAGTGGCAGAATGCATAATTGGCATAGACATACTTAGCAACTGGCAGAACCCCCACATTCGTTCCCTAACTGGTAGGGTGAGGGCTATTATGGTGGAAAAGGCTAAACAGAAGCCGTTAGAGCTGCCTCTACCTAGAAAAATAGTAAATCGAAAACAGTATCACAACCCTGGAGGGACTGCAGAGATTAATGCCACCATCAAGGACTTGAAAGACGCAGGGGTAGTGATTCCCACATCCCTGTTCAACTCTCCTATTTGGCCTGTGCAGAAGATGGATCTTGCAGAATGACAGTGGATTCTCATAAGCCTAACCAAGAGGTGACTCCAGTTGCAGCTGCTGTACCAAATGTGGTTTCATTGCTTTAGCAAATTAACACATCTCCTGGTACCTGGTATACAGCCATTGACTTGGCAAATGGCTTTTTCTCCATTCCTGTCCATGAGGCCCACCAGAAGCAATTTGCCTTCAGCTGGCAAGACCAACAATATACCTTCACTGTCCTACCTCAGGGACATATCAACTCTCTGGCTTTGTGTCATAATCTTATTTGAAGAGACCTTGATCGCTTTTTGCTTCCACAAGGTATCACACTGGTCCATTACATTGATGACATTATCCAAGAAGTAACAAACACAATGGACTTATTGGTGAGACATTTTCATGTCAGAGGATGGGAACTAAATCCAACTAAAATTTAGGGAACTTCTACCTCAGTAAAATTTTTAGGGGTTCGGTGGTGTGCGGCCTGTTGAGATACTCCTTCTAAGATGAAGGATAAGTTGCTACATTTGGCCCCTCCTACAACCAAGAAAGAGGCACAATGCCTAGTGGGCCTATTTGGATTTTGGAGGCAACATATTCTTCGTTTGAGTGTGTTACTCCAGCCCATTTATTGAGTGACCCATTTATTGAGTGGGGTCCAGAAAAGGAGATGGCTCTGTAACAAGTCCAGGCTGCTTTGCAAGCTGCTCTGCCACTTGGGCCACAAAACCTAGCTGATCCAATAGTGCTTGAGGTGTCAGTGGCAGATAGGGATGCCATTTGGAGCCTTTGGCAGGCCCCCATAGGTGAATCACAGTGGAGGCCTCCAGGATTTTGGAGCAAGGCCCTGCCATCTTCTGCAGATAACGACTCTCCTTTTGAAAGACAGCTCTTGGCCCGTTACTGGGCTTTGGTAGAAACTGAATGTTTGACTATGGGTCAAGTCACCATGCGACCTGAACTGCCCATCATGAATTGGGCACTTTCTGACCATCTAGCCATACAGTGGGTCGTGCACAGCAACATTCCATCATCAAATGGAAGTGGTATACACATGACTGGGCTCGAGCAGATCTTGAAGGCACAAGTTACATGAGGAAGTGGCTCAAATGCCCATGGTCTCCACACCTGCCACCGTACCTTCTGTTCCCCAGCCTGCACCGATGACCTCATGGGGAGTTCCCTATGATCAGATGACAGGAAGAGAAAACTAGGGCCTGGTTCACAGATGGTTCTGCAAGACATGCAGGCACCACCAAAAGTGGACAGCTGTAGCACTACAGATCCTTTCTAGGACATCCCTGAAGGACAGCAGTGAAGGGAAACCTTCCCAGTGGGCAGAACTTTGAGCAGTGCACCTGGTTGTGCATTTTGCATGGAAAGAGAAATGGCCAGATGTCCGATTATATACTGATTCATAGGCTGTAGCCAATGGTTTGGCTGGATGTTCAGGGACTTGGAAGAAGCATGATTGGAAAATTGGTGACAAAGAAATTTGGGGAAGAGTTATATGGATGGTCCTCTCTGAGTGGTCAAAAACTGTGAAGATATTTATATCTTCATGTGAGTGCTCAGCAATGGGTGACCTCAGCAGAGGAGCATTTTAATAATCAAGTAGATAGGGTGACCCGTTCTGTGGACACCACTCAGACTCTTCCCCCAGCCACCTCTGTCATCACACAATGGGCCCATAAACGAAATGGCCATGGTGGCAGGGATGGAGGTTACGCATCAGCTCAGCAACATGGACTTCCACTCACCAAGGCTGACCTGGCTACGGCCACTGTTGAGTGCCCAGTTTGCCAGCAGCAGTGACCAACACTGAGCCCTCGATATGGCACCATTCCTCAGGGCGATCAGCCAGCTACCTGGTGGCTGGTTGATTATATTGGACCTCTTCTATCATTGAAAGGGCAGAGGTTTGTCTTCACTGCAATACACACTCTGGATATGGGTTTGCCTATCCTGCACACAATGCTTCTGCCAAGACTACCATCCATGGACTCACGGAATGCCTTATCCACCATCATGGTATTCCACACAGCATTGCCTCTGACCAAGGCACTCTCTTTGCGGCTAAAGAAGTGCGGCAGTGGGTTCGTACTCATGGAATTCACTGGTCTTACCATGTTCCCTATCATCCTGAAGCAGCTGGATTGACAGAATGGTGTAATAGCCTTTTGAAGTCACAATTACAATGCCAGCTAGGTGACAATAATTTGCAGGGCTGGGGCAAAGTTCTCTAGAAGGCCATGTATGCTCTGAATCAGCGTTCAATACATGGTACTGTTTCTCCCATAGCCAGGATTCACGGGTCCAGGAATTAAAGGGTGGAAGTGGAAGTGGCACCACTCACCATCACCCCTAGTGATCCACTAGCAAAATTTTTGCCTCCTGTTCCTGCAACATTATCTTCTGCTGGTCTAGAGGTCTTAGTTCCAGAGGGAGGAACGCTGCCACCAGGAGACACAACAATTCCATTAAACTGGAAGTTAAGATTGCTACCCGGACACTTTGGGCCCCTCCTACCTTTAAGTCAATAGGCTAAGAAGGGAGTTACAGTGTTGGCCGGGGTGACTGACCTGGACTATCAAAATGAAAACAGTCTACTCTCCATAATGGAGGTAAGGAAGAGTATGCATGGAATACAGGAGATCCATTAGGGCGTCTCTTAGTATTACCATGCCCTGCAATTAAGGTCAATGGGAAACGACAACAGCCCAGTCCAGGCAGGACTACAAATGGTCCAGACCCCTCAGGAATAAAGGTTTGGGTCACTCCACTAGGGAAAAAAAACCACGACCTGCTGAGGTGTTTGCTGAAGGCAAAGGGAATACAGAATAAGTAGTAGAAGAAGGCAGTCATCAATACCAGCTACGACCACGTGACCAGCTGCAGAAATGAGAACTGTAATTGTCATGAGTATTTCCTCCTTCTTTTGTTAAAAACATGTTTGTGCATATATACATGTTTTATTTCCTTTTCCTTTATCATATAAGATTTATTGACTTCATATCAGCATTTAAGTATTGTTAACTTTATGTAATGGTATTTGGGTTGGGGATTGGTGAGTTTCCAGTTGTATGAAGGATAGTTGTGTTATGTTAGGCGTAATTATGACCTTACTATTGTCTTTATTTGAAGATTATGTGTGATCTCAGGAGATGTGTATGGGTTCAAGTTGACAAGGGGTGGACTTGTGATGGTTAATACTGAGTGTCAACTTGATTGAATTGAAGGATACAAAATATTGATCCTGGGTGTGGTTGTGAGGGTGTTGCCAAAGGAAATTGACATTTGAGTCAGTGGGCTGGGAAAGGCAGACCCATTCTTAATCTGGTGGGCACAGTCTAATCAGCTACCAGTGAATATAAAGCAGGCAAAAAAAAGGTGAAAAGGCGAGACTGGCCTATCCTCCCAGCCTACATCTTTCTCCCATGCTGGATGCTTCGTGCCCTGAAACATCAGACGCCAAGTTCTTCAGTTTTGAGACTCTGACTGGCTCTCCTTGCTCCTCAGACTTGCAGACAGCCTGTTGTGGGACCCTGTGATCATGTAAGTTAATACTTAATAAACTCCAGATATATATAGGAGATATATATCCTATTAGTTCTATCCCTCTAGGGAATCCTAATACAGGCTAACACTCACTTTCTCGGGCTCTTCTTGGTCAAGTCTCCCTTCTGGGCAGGGTCCTCTTACTTCCTCACAAACCCTGTGTTCCCTGGATGAGCTCTCTCACTCAAAGGTGTTTCAACAGTATAGGCTGATGATCCCCAAGTGGTACTTCACTCCAGATCTGCCTTCAGAGCTGTAGGCCTGGACACCTCAACAGCCTCCTGGCCACCTGCACCAGAATGTCCCTCATATCCTTCAAATTGACATTTCAAAATCAGCTCATCGCCACCCCTTGCCAAATCTAATGCTCTGAGCTCTGGTTCAGGACCAGCCATCCAGCTGGCCACACCAGAAACCTGAGAGTCACTCTTACCTACTCCCTGCCTCTCACAGCCTGTGCTCTGCTCCATATTGCCCACGTCTATCCATTCCTGTTGTCGCTCTGACTTTGGGCCACCATCATTTCCTAGCTCGCATGCTCCCGACTGCCAGTCGCACTGCCTCCAACTGGCCCCTACTGCATCCTCTGGGACCACCCAACCCACTGTCTCCACTCCTGTCCATCCAACTCACTGTCAAATCCACTGTCCACACAGTTCAGGTCCTGTGAGGCTTTCTGTGGTCAAAACTCTCTCCATCAGAACACTGAGGTGCCCCTTTGCTAGATACCCAAACCACACTCTGTATATGCCTCCAGAACAGCACTTTTCCTTTTTTCCTTTTTTTTTTTAAAGACAGAGTCTCCCTCTATCCCCCATGCAGGAGTTCAGTGGCACAATCTTGGCTCACTGCAACTTCTGCCTCCCAGGTTCAAAAGAGTCTCATTCCTCAGCCTCCTTAGTAGCTGGGATTACTGGTGCCCACCATCACATCTGGTTAATTTTTTTTTTTAGTAGAGACAGGGTTTCACCACGTTGGCTAGGCTGGTCTTGAACTCCTTACCTCCAGTAATCTGCCCACCTTGGCCTCCCAAAGTGCTGAGATTACAGGTGTGAGCCACCGCACCTGGCCAAGCATAGCACTTTTCACGCTGAACTGCAAGAGTCTCTTACCTTGTCTGTCTTGCCAACCAATGATACAAACTGAGGGCTGAGGCTGTACCTTTATGGATTTTTAGCCTCAACTTCTAGCATATAATTCCTGACAAGACAGTAAATTGTCAGTAAGTCTGCTGAAAGAATGGACACATGAAAACATACATAGAGACAATAATTCTTGATCCGGATAATATTCTTCAATCCTATGCATAGCTCTTGTGAAATTAACAAAATTGCTCTATTAAAAATTCCTACCTAAGTGTATTAGTGCCAAGTATCACCGAACTATTGTCACATTCTTCCCTTAGCTGGCTTCCAGAAACACATTCTGGTCTCACTAATAGAGTAGGGGCATAGCCAAGGTCAGACTTTTAATTTGGAGCTTTCTCACTGAGAATACAGACTAAAGACTGAATGAATCCATCTACTATCCAGCTGTAGGAAGCTAAAAACCAAAACAGGATTTGTTTCCTGAAGCTGATTCCCAAGGCTGCTGGTACCCCACTCCTGGCCAGAAGGCTTGGCTCCCTCCGAGCAGGCCTGACTAGCAGGCTCATTCCCCATGCTTCTGAAAGCATGACAGGAGGCAGCTTTGCTGCTGACCACAGCTCTATTCCACTAGCTATATACTTTCGGCAGTTACAAGCAACAATTACTCTGACAACAAACCAAGAGAACAGCATCTGAAGCCAGGGAGGCAGACATGCAGTAAGAGGCTAACTGACAACGTCTGGTCTCAAGGTAACAAACCACATACACAAATTCAACCTGGTACCTGGTCTTTCAGTATTCTGCTGTTTACGCGTTATGCAAATCAGTTCTCAGCCCTAAAATGGACAAGCTGAGTATTCTTAATCCAAACATGACACTCAAGGGATTTTGGATTTTCAGATTAGAAATACTCAACCTGTATTCATTTCAGAGGGCTACTTGGAAACTCAACAGAGCATTTCAGACTACGAATCTATTATCCACAATGATATATGCCTAAATTAAACACATAAAAATATGTCATAGGAGTTTACTATGTCCACTTTCAATGTCCTATGTCACTTATCTTGACAACAATCTGTATGGTATTTTCATCCCCACTTTACAGATAAGGCCAATGAAGCACTAAGGGTTTAAATAATAAACCCAGGTTCACAGAACTAAATAGATGGTAAAGCCAGAACTCAGTATCAATTCTGACACCAAGCTTACACTTTTGAACTTTAAACTCTGTCTTTGTAAAAGCTTTATTAAGGCTGGGCATGGTGGCTCATTCCTGTAATCCCAGCATTTTGGGAGGCCAAGGCGGGCAGATCACCTGATGTTAGGAGTTCGAGACCGGCCTGGCCAATATGGTGAAACCCCATCTCTACTAAAAATACAAAAAAAAAGTTAGCCGGGCATGGTGGCACATGCCTGAAATCCCAGCTACTAGGGAGGCTGAGGCAGGAGAATTGCTTGAACCCAGGAGGTGGAGATTGCAGTTAGCTGAGATCACGCCATTGCATTCCAGCCTGGACGATGAGGCAAGACTCTGTCTCAAAAAAAAAAACAAACACTTTATTAAGATATAATTGAGGTCAGACACAGTGGCTAACGTCTGTAATCCCAACACTTTGGGAGGCCGAGGGTGGGAGGATCTCTTGAGCCCAGGAGTTCGAGATCAGCCTGGGTAACATAGTGAGACCTTGTTTTTACAAAAAATGAACAAAATTACCTGGGCATGTTGTGTGTACCTGTAGTCCCAGCTACTTGGGAGGCTAAGGCAGGAAGATTGCTTCAGCCCAGGAGGTTGAGGCTGGAGTGAGCTGAGATCACACCACTGCATTCCAGTCTGGGCAACAGAGCAAGACCTTGTCTCCAAAAAAAGAAACGAGAAAAAAAAAGGTGTAATTGGCTGGGCATGGCGATTTACACTTTGCCTGTAATCCCAGTACTTTGGAAGGGTGAGGTGGTGGGGGAGTGGGGATTGCTTGAGGCCAGGAGTTTGAGACTAGCCTGGGCAACACAGTGAAACCTGTCCCTACCAAAAAAAAACTTAGGAACAGTAACACGTGCCTGTAGTCTCAGCTACTCAGTAGGCTGAGGTGGGAGGATCCCTTGAGCCCAGGAGTTGAAGGTTGCAGTGAGCTATGATCATGTTACTGCACTCCAGCCTGGGTAACAGAGGAAAACATTCTCTTTAAAAAAAAAAAAAAAAAGTGGCCGGGCGCGGTGGCTCACGCCTGTAATCCCAGCACTTTGGGAGGCCAAGGTGGGCGGACCACAAGGTCAGGAGATCGAAACCATCCTGGCTAACATGGTGAAACCCCGTCTCTACTAAAAAATACAAAAAATTAGCTGGGCGTGATGGCGGGCGCCTGTAGTCCCAGCTACTTGGGAGGCTGAGGCAGGAGAATGGTGTGAACCTGGGAGGCGGAGCTTGCAGTGAGCCGAGATCGCGCCACTGCACTCCAGCCTGGGTGACAGAGCGAGACTCCGTCTAAAAAAAAAAAAAAAAAGATATAATTTACCAACCATGTAATTCACCAAAGTATTTAATATAATGTTTAACAATATAAAGTGTTGAAATGGTATTCAGTATATTCATAGTTGTACAATCATCACCACAATCAATTTTAGATCATTTTCATCATCCCAAAAGGAATATTCTAAGGCAAAGCACCTCATACCAAAGCTGACCTGTTATTCCCCACTCAATCCCTCTGTTTACATTGTACCTCTAACCCTAGGCAACCACAAATCTTCAACTTTTTTCCTATTACAAAGTAATACCTACAAATGTTCTTTCAGTTGTAACAAGTCTCCAGGGCAGGGGAACAGGCAATGACCTTGGACAATTCATTACCCCCAACAGCTAAGCAATACTTATTCACTTGGCCATTCTAAATCCTTTTCTTCACATTTAGACCCTGCTTTTTTCCTGACCTCAGGTTTTTTTTTTTTTTTTGAAGGAAGAGAGTATCTGCTCATTAAGATGCAAACTAAATTCCTCACTCTGTTTTGACAGCTCATCATTTCTTGAAGTGCAGTGAAAGCATTACTCATTTATGATTCTTAGCAAGGATCACTCTCACCAGGCATTCACTAGGCCTTTAAACAATCCCAATACCTCATTAAACTCTCCCTATTAAAGAAAGAAATAAATAAAACTTACATTAGAAAATAAATGTTAGGACCCAAATACCAGTATAAGCCTCAGATCCCACAGACCTGATCTCACCAAACAGTTAACTGGCTTGATTCTCTTATTATCGGTGAACCACACCCAAAGACGGTTGGCAAGCTTGATGGGATAAGGACCTGCCTCAGGAAGCAAAAGGTCACAAAGAAAAGAAATGGCTAGAGGCAGAGGCCTCCCAAATCCAAGCTAATGCTCCTTCAACAGAACCAGAAGCAGGCAGGATCTTGGCTGTGCCTTGAAAGCTAGTTAGGATTTGGATCAGTGGAAGGGGCAAGAAGCGTGGAGGGCTCTTAAATGGGAAGATGACAACATGAAGGCCGCGTTCAGCAGAAGGCTGGCTGTGGTGTGTGGGCATCTGGGGGTGGTGCAGACGGGGAGCAGTGGGAAGTGGAGAGGCCAGTCAAGCTCTTGTGGTAGGTGGTTGCATGCACCAGGAGATGCTAGACAGAAGGTGGCCATGGAAACACAGACGGATCACCACAGAGGGCCCCACAAAGGGCACAGTGGGGGCTGTGATTGGTTGGGCATATGAGTGATTAGGGAAAGAAGGGTGCTGTTGGCAGAAGCTGGGAAGGCTCACTTGAAAGGAGAGAGAAGCCAAGCTGAATTGCAGGTATCAAGCTCTGGACTTAACATACTGCCCAAACCCCAAGTCCTCCTAGAAGCCCTTGAGACAGATGAAGATACTGTTACAGGACAGAAAGGAAATCCATGAAACGACTCACTGAAAAAGAAAACTGTGCAGGAAGGGAGGCCCTCCAGGTAGACTGTAAAGGTACCCATGGTGGGTATGGCAGTCCTATAAGAGGGACAGCATGCCTGGCTCCAGACACACACTTAGAGTGCCAGAGAAGAACAATGCTGAGGCCAGGCGCAGTGGCTCACGCCTGTAATCCCAGCACTTTGGGAGGCAGAGGCGGGCGGATCATGAGGTCAGGAGATCGAGATCATCCTGGCTAACACAGTGAAACCCCGTCTCTACTAAAAATACAAAAAAAAAAATTAGCTGGGCGTGGTGGCAGGCGTCTGTAGTCCCAGCTACTCTGGAGGCTGAGGCAGGAGAATGGCACGAACCCGGGAGGCGGAGCTTGCAGTGAGCCGAGATCGCGCCACTGCACTCCAGCCTAGGCGACAGAGCGAGACTCCATCTCAAAAAAAAAAAAAAAAAAAGAACAATGCTGGAAAGAAATGAGGTCAAGTCTTGCCACAATCAGGACCTGCACTGGTGGCCCAAAGAACACACACATGAATGCGCACACACACACACATACACATACACACACACGCACACACACACACATACCTGCAGCTTCTGGGGTGGTGAGGAATAATAGCAACTAAATAACATTTAATAAATGTTCACTACCTGCTAGGTACTGTGTAAACAGCTTTCCACAGATTGCATCACTTAAGACTAACAGCAACCTTACGGGCTTTTATTTTATTCCCATTTCACAGATCAGAAAACTGAGGCTCAGAGAAGTTAAACACCCAGCCCAAATTCACCATTAGCAAGTAGGAAGCCCTGTGTGACACCAAAGCCATGCTCTTAACTACCACATTATACTGAAAGTAAAGATTGTTGTGCTGGGATATGTACAAGTGCCAGAAAAAAGGTGTCAGGTGGCAGTTATGGGGCTGTCACTGCTTTATGATTTAAGCTAACGGATGTGACTGACAGCAGCTGCAGAGACACATGGCATTGCCATCTGTGCCTCCCCTTCTACCACCGCCTCCAAAACTGCTCTATAAACATTAAGTTAGGGGAAGAGCTGGGAGAAGTTAAAAGGCTTGGAGCAGGAAGAAGGCAAGAGGAACCAGGGACAGATGAGAGGTGCCCACAGGCTCACTAAGGGCCAGACTGATCTATGGTACAGCAGCATGTCACAGAAAGAAGGAATCCTCATAGAATCTTGGAGATACTCCTGCAGGTCCGAGCAGCGACCCTTGGATTCTATTCCTCAAGACTTCTCTCTCACCATCACACATGTGTGCACACACCTTACATAAGAGATGGGGAAAGATGTCACCCAGTCCTAACACAGCTATGAGCCTTTCACACCCCTCTTGCCTGCTTGCTACATTATCCCCCTCCTCCCCACACCAAATCCCGCTTTAATGTCGACCTTTCCAAGTCCTACACAGCTTTTGCATAAGACCAGATGCTGCCTTGGGTTCTGCAGTGGGTCTTGCTCTGTGCCCCCAGAGCACTTGGGCATGCCTCCCTCATAAGTAGGCAGCTCCGACCTCTGTGCAGAGAACTCTGGTGACCAGCCATCTCCCCAAGAGAAGGTGAAGCTCCTGAGTGCACAGACTGTTTCTTTGCATTCCTAATTTTAATAGTGCTTAGCAAATGGTAGATACATAAAAATGTTGCTTAAATAACAAATCTTCCAGTTCAAGTTATTAATAATAACAGCACCTAGCAGTTGTTGAGTATCTGCCATGTGTCAAGTCCTTAGCTGGGTTTATATGGTTTATTTCTTCTCATCCTCTAAATCAGCCTGCAGGGAAGACACCTATTCACGTTACAGGTAAGAAAAGGAAGTCTCGGATAGGTGAAGTTACATGTCTAAGGTCACCACCAAGTGGCTGAGCCTGGATCAGAACTTTGCAAAATCAAAGTCTCTTCCACAATGCTATGGCACCTTGTTTCCATCCCCAGACTCCTACTGTGGTTGGTTTATTCCTCAGTTGCTCCTCTGTAACAGGACCAGACACAGAGACAGCCACACCCTCACCACACTGAGGGCCTCTCTCATGCACCCCAGAGCTCCCATACCCCCTCTCTGTCTGCCACCCAGATTACATCTGCCATACTTACTGCGCTCCTCAGGTACTACTTATAGGTACATCAGGTTCTTCCTGTCACCCTTTTAGCATAGATCATCTTTATTCAGCAGGTAGCAGAAAGTGATCATTAAAACAAAAAGAGAAAAAGCAGCCACTTCTCTTCTCCAGAACGTAAAGCTGCATAAAGAGATTTGTAGGGGCCAGGCACAGTGGCTCACACCTCTAATCCCAGCACTCTGGGAGGCCAAGACGGGTAAATCACCTGAGGTCAGAAGTTCAAGATTAGCTTGGCCAACATGGTGAAACCCCATCTCTACTAAAAATACAAAAATTAGCCGGGTGTGGTGGCATGCGCCTGTAGTCCCAACTACTCAGAAGGCTGAGGCAGGAGAATCGCTTGAGCCTGGGAGGTGGAGGATGCAGTGAGCCGAGATCTCGCCACTGCACTGCAGCTGGGTAACAGAGCAAGACTCCATCTCAAAAAAAGAAAGAAAAAGATTTGTAGGGCAAGTGAACTTGAAGCTAAACTAGGCAAGCTGGGGTGGGGCTGGGGGCTGCAGACAGATGACAGGTAGGTAGGTAGGTAAAGAGTGAAAAAAGAGGGGCCAAGAGAATACATTTGGGCATCAAAGGAGAAGGCACAAAGTATAAACACTGAGGCCAGCCCAGGAGTCCCTCAGAGATAAAACAGGGGTACTTGCTGATGCCAAACAACTCATCCCTGGGATCTGAACCCCAGATTCCCTTCTTTAACTAGCAAGATACCCAATACCACAGACTGACTGACCCCCTAGGGAAAGTGCTATTCCCAGTGGTTTGCATAGACAGGAGGCAAATATTCACGGGGAGACCAAGAGTGAAAGAGAATCATTACTTCTTCCAAGGACAGGGACACATTGGGAAGTTGATCTCAAGGGATTCAATTTTATGTTTGGAGGAACATAGATTTTTTTATTTGAAAAACAGGACTCATTCACTTCAAGTGTTCTCAAATACTTCAATACTCTTAGCAAAGGCTGGGCGCAGTGGCTCATGCCTGTAATCCCAGCACTTTGGGGGGCCGAGGTGGGTGGATCACCTGAGGGTAGGAGTTTGAGACCAGTCTGGCCAACATGGCGAAACCCTGTCTCTACTAAAAATACAAAAATTAACCGGGCATGGTGGCACACCCCTGTAACCCTAGCTACTCAGGAGGCTGAGATACCACAAGAATCGCTTGAAACTGGGAGGCAGAGATTGTGCCACAGCACTCCAGCCTGGGTGACAGAGACTACTCCATCTCAAAAAATAATAATAAAAATAAAAATAAACAAAAAATAAAAAACAAACAAAAAAACTCTTAGCAAAAGCAAAAAAACAAAAACAAAAACAAAAAACAAAAAACATTGTCTGAAACAGGAGCTGGCAATCTGTCACAAGAGGAAGGTCATCTTCAACATATTTCATCACTGTGGCCAGGGCTTCCCTTGCCCCCACTTATACATAAGCCCTATCTTACGGCTGAAATCCCTCCCTTCCCAAAACAACTGAGGTTTTGCATGCCACCTCTGAAAGCCTGTGCACCAGCCAGGCCTATAGGAAATGAAGGACAGGGTACGAGAGGGAAAAGTGATGGCTATTATTTTAGGAAAAGCATTTAAATATGAAATCAAAACAGCATGGTTTTACAACTGCCTTTGAAATAAAGAGAGTATTAGTTTCAGAGACAATTTGATTTTATTTATGCTAGTTATGATTTTACTTGATTTGATTTACTCATATCTTAAATGAACCACTAAAGAGATGTGATAAATGGACAAAATTTAACCTTTGAAGAGAGACCATTAGAAATTAGGAAAGAGGGGCTGGGTACGGTGGCTCACGCCTGTAATCCCAGCACTTTGGGAAGCCGAGGTGGGTAGATCACAAGGTCAGGAGTTCGAGACCAGCCTGACCAACATGGTGAAACCCCGTCTCCACCAAAAATACAAAAATTAGCCAGGCATGGTGGCACGAGCCTGTAATCCCAGCTACTTGGGAGGCTGAGGCAGGCGAATCGCTTGAACCCGGCAGGCGGAGGTTGCAGTGAGCCAAGATCATGCCAATGCACTCTGCACTCCAGCCCAGGCGACAGAGCAAGACTCCGTATAAAAAAAAAAAAAAAATTAGGGAAGAGGGAAGAAAAATAAGTCCACACAATGAAACTAGCAAAATGTCAAAGGCCAAATGTTAATAATGAAAAAAGTCAATAACTAAGTGTTCTCATTACATTGGAATTTTAAATATAACCAAATCATTCGCAAATGTATAAAGGAACAAGGAAAAGAAACTTTTAGAGATAGCAAAAAATTTTCTAAGAAAGAGTTACCACACAAGGAACTTTCCTGGCATGACAACATGGCAACAATCACAACAAAATACTCCCCTTTTATTAATACCTTAGCTGGGAAAGATTTATGCACTCTTAAGATTAATGATTAAGCACTTTCTGAAGCCATCCAAGTGGCTCTGACGAAACTTCTGAATAACAACAATAATGGCCCACATCTCTTAAAGGTTAACTACATCTAAGTATCCTGTGCTAGGGGCTTTACATGCATAATGGCATTTGATATTAATAAATGTTCATACATGTCTATTATATAACATGGACATATCATTATTCCCATTTTCGAGGTAGAAATATAACTGAAGCTTAAAGGAACTGGCATTACAGCTAGTATGAAGAGCTACTGACAAGCTCTTGCTTTCCTTAGAGTTGCGATACGGGAGGTAAGCAAAGGGGAATAAAGGAAGGGTGAGGCCCTGAGGCCTTTCCATCTCTCCCAGCACTGTACTCCCCCCCAGAATCCCTCTCTATTTCCACCTCCCCTATTCCTCCTCCCAAAGCCAACAGGAGATTAGAGATTAAAAGAATTATTTCAGTTCAATCCTGCCTCCCAATCTCAAGAGGTTTATTTCAAATGATTCATTTTGAAAGCTTAGAAGACGTTTACATAGCACTCATCCATCATAAACTTGATTCAGTGAGAATAAACTCATGGTGCTAGGCTGAGACAACTTTGGCTTATCAATGTTGCTGAATTTGTAGTTGATCAAAACTCCATCTACCAGGGATGTCTACCACTGCTTTTTTATAAACCTCATGTAGGCCCCCACAGGTGGCTACCGTGGGCATCATCCTAACAAAGCCAAGATCTCAGCTTGAGCCCTTTTCAGAACCTGCATGTTCTCTTGTCAATGGCTACAAACTCACTGCCCTCTTTGCCATCTCAAAAAAAAAAAAAAAAAAAAAAAACCACAACACATCAGAAGTCACAAGCACAACTTGATGAGAAACTGAGAGTGGGTATTTACTGGAAAAACTTAACCTATATAATCTACCAATATGGATCAAGCATAATATCTTCACACATGACAACCACATGTAGGCTATAAATTTTTACACAATTACAAATGCAACCATAGGCCGGGCGCAGTAGCTCACGCCTGTAATCCCAGCACTTTGGGAGCCGAGGCGGGCGGATCACAAGGTCAGGAGATCAAGACCATCCCGACTAACACAGTGAAACCCTGTCTCTACTAAAAATGCAAAAATCAGCCAGGCGTGGTGGCACGTGCCTGTAGTCCCAGCTACTCGGGAGGCTGAGGCAGGAGAATCGCTTGAACCCAGGAGGCAGAGGTTGCAGTGAGCCAAGATCGCGCCATTACACCTCAGCCTGGGAGACAGAGTGAGACTCCGTCTCCAAAAAAAAAAAGAAAAGAAAAGAAATGCAACCATATGAGATACACACTCACGAACAAAACACAGACATACTTATAAATGGAATCATTGCTTTGGTTAAGGTACCATCATTGGCACTTTTATTTTTCTAACTTCCAAACTCTGCAACTTTACTATATTGTCTTTATCATAATAAGGTATACATTTTTTTGTAGCAATAGGAAGTTTTTTAGCCCTTATGATAATGGAATTTTCTCCAAAGCACACCATCACATAGGGTGGTTTAATGTGGAAGAACACCCAACATCCTGTTTAAGATGTTTAGAGAAAGATCCAGAACTTTAAACTTCTAAGTGTGGGGTCCCCACAGCCTAAAATTCTGATGGTAGCCCTGATTTTAACGTTCGAGCTAGAAGTAGGGTGCAGAAGTATGTGCTCTTAGACAGTGGCTGTCCATGTGGCAGCTGTTTGATCAGGCTGCAGGAAGTGCTGCTTGACAGAGCCTCATGATGCTTTCTGAGGCTCCATCTGCAGAAGTTGTGTGGTGTTGGATAAGACTCAGGGAGATGCTGCAGGAAGCACGGGCAGGAGAGAAAAAGCAGAAGCTTTGGACAGATCATCGGGCTAAAGCCACAGCTAAGAAAGTGACCATCTCTGGAGAGACCTTTAATGTCTTCTGATGGCCTACCAATGACCTCCACGCTCAAAGAGAAAATTCTGCAATTAAGAAATTAGCTGGGTGAGTTCTGGGAGATTTTAAAAAATTAGTTGAGAATGGAGAAAAGGCTATGAATTCTTTCTTTTTTTTTGAGACGGGGTCTTGCTCTGTCGCCCAGGCTGGAATGCAGTGGCGCGATCTTGGCTCACTGCAACCTCTGCCTCCTCGGTTCAAGAGATTCTCCTGCCTCAGCCTCCTGAGTAGCTGGAATTACAGGCGTTCGCTACCACGCCCGGCTAATTTTTGTATTTTTAGTAGAGATGGGGTTTCACCATATTGGCCAGGCTGGTCTCAAACTCCTGACCTTGTGATCCACCCACCTCGGCCTCCCAAAGTGATGAGACTACGTGTGAGCCACCGCTCCTGGCCAGGTTATGAATTCTTAAAAAAAGAAGGCAAAGGATCTAGACTTTGTTTTTAAAGTTATCTTTACCGCTAGGACTAAGGCAGGAGGTCTGTTTAAGACAAGCCAATCTCTTCTTGTTATCATCTATCCGCCAAAGACATCAAAGTTAGTGGTCCAATAAAAATCATCCCAATAATTTCATCTTTTCTGCAAACTGATGTATCCCCACTCAATACCTAGAACAATATCTGGGATACCGCGGCCGGGCGCGATGGCTCACGCCTGTAATCCCAGCACTTTGGGAGGCCAAGGCAGGTGGATCACCTGAGGTTGGGAGTTCGAGACCAGCCTGACCAACGTGGAGAAATCCTGTCTCTACTAAAAATACAAAATTAGCAGAGTGTAGTGGTGCATGCCTCTAATCCCAGCTACTCGGGAGGCTGAGGCAGGAGAATTGCTTGAACCCGGGAGGCGGAGGCTGTGGTGAGCCGAGATTGCGCCATTGCACTCCAGCCTGGGCAACAAGAGTGAAACTCCGTCTCAAAAAAAAAAAAAAATCTGGGATACCGCAAGTGCTGAGTAAATATGTGCTGAACTAATTAATTCTATCTTTCAAAAACACCAGCTCTAGAGATGAAAACAACCAAGAGATCCCTGTATCTGCTCAGCAGTTACCTGGTTGACAATCTAGCAAAAGCCAAAAAAGAAATTGCTACTAGAGAACACTACTAAGGAAGTACTCTAGTGTACAAAGGCTAATCATGATATAAGCATGTTTCACTAGTAATATTCCTTACATTCATAAATGTAAGAATAAGAGAATGGGCCCCGAGATCAGACTGCTCTAGTTTAAACCCTGGGACAAACTCCATGACCCTAAACAAGGTACTCAACTTCTGAGTCTCAGTTTCCATATCTAAAAACAAAAAAGATGGGTAATAATAGTATTCCCTTCATGAAACTTGTTGAAAGGGGAAAATGAGATATGCGTAGTTCCTGGAACACAGAAGTGCCTAATAAATACTAGTAATTATTCATTTTCATTTTGTATATACCCACAGTCATATCTCTGGGAAGACTACAGGATCATATATTCACTTCTCCTGACCAAAAGAAATGGCCTTAAATAAGAACTAGGCAACAGAATACATTTTTTCCTGAGGGATAAATGAAAAAATAAAAAAATAGCTATTAACACCATATATATATATTTTTTACTCTTCTCAATCTTCATCTCTCTTGACTTTTCTTCCCACATGTAAATAAAACCTTTCCTGAGCTCATGTGACCCTGGTTTAGCACTGGCACTGCTGGCTAGTAGGAGAGAGTTTTTATCTCTGTTCTGCAATAACACTGTGTCCGTGGGCAAGATATTAAACTTTACAGGGCCTCAGTTTGCACATCTGTATGATGGAGGATGAGTATAATGGAGGCAGAGTATATTATCTTTAAATTCTCTTCCAAAGCTAAAAATCCACAAATAAGTGCCCGTTAACTATTATTAGTTCATTCAGGTCAAACACTGACCTAAACTCTTAGAAAGTATATTTTAGCCCTTGTACCCACAAAATGGGTACAAGTACAGCCACCCTCTGAAAGCTAAATTTTGCCTGGCCAGTTTCAAAGGTCTAATTTTAATGACATTGTGGGATAGCAACTGACATGGAAAGATGTTTACAATATACATTTTTGGTGAAAAAGGCAGATTACAAAATATGATCAGCAATATTAATCCCAATTTGGTTAAAATATATATATACCTACACATATATCTGCTTGAAGTGTACAGAATACACTCCGAGTTGTTTATGTTTATAATCGTTCTTTAAAAAATGTTTTCGCTTATCTGTACCTTTATTTTTCTACAAAGAATGCTTATGGCTTCTGAAATAATTCAAACAGGTGTTTTATTTAACAAGAAAGATGGATTTGGTACCCAAACTATAACCATATCCCTCCCTAGAGCAGAGCTCAGCACCCAGCAGGTCCCCCGACAGAGGCACCGACATCCTTTGCACCCTGTGTCTGGGGCTGGGCTGGGGTGGGGGTGCTGCGATGTTTTTAGGTACCAGCCATCAGGTACCATCAAGATGGCCCCAGATCCCTCCCTCCTATTCATCTCAACTTTCAGAGCCATCAGCTGCCCACTTAACTAGCTTTACCAACATGTAATCCCCTGAGCAGAGTTTTCAAAACATAATCAAAGGTCCAAAATTATGGTCCTATATACAAAATTATGGTTTTAACTGTCACATTCACTGATTTAGAATAATCAAGGATAGAAGAATCCATTTTACTCTGGCAGCAATCCAATTTTAAAAGTCAGAGTTAACTACTCGTCCTCATTTTACGCTGTCCGATGCCAGTCCTTTCTGATCATGAGGAAAAAAAAATAAGCTCACCGTGTTTAAAAGCATAATCTTAAAATACTTTATCCAGTTAAGCACTTTTGTTTCCACCACAAAGTGCTGACTCTTGACAGATTCTCTGGCATACTGAAGGCCACCACTGCTGAACCTATCTGATTAGCCAAGAACAAGCTTATCACCAGGTACAGGTATCATTACATCATAAGGTATAAAGGTTGTTCTGGCAGCTCAGTCATCTACCAACAAACAGGTGTCTAAGAAACTGAGATTTCCCAGCTACCAAAACCCATATGAAGAAATAAGCAACAGTTGGCTGGGTGGGGTGGCTCACGCCTGTAATCCCAGCACTTTGGTTGGCCAAGGTGGGCGGGTCACGAGGTCAGGAGTTCGAGACCAGCCTGGCCAATATGGTGAAACCCCATCTCTACTAAAAATACAAACATTAGCTGGGTGTGGTGGTGCACGCCTGTAGTCCCAGCTACTCAGGAGGCTGAGGCAGGAGAATCGCCTGAACCTGGGAGGCGGAGGTTGCAGTGAGCCAAGTTCATGCCACTGCACTCCAGCCTGGGTGACAGAACGAGGCTCCATCTCAAAAAAAAAAAGAAAGAAGCAACAGCATGACATACACCAAGGCAGTTCAGAGAAAGGCAACATGAGGGAAAGCAGTGTAGGAAATAGGAGAGAACAGTTCAGAAGAGTGTCCTGAGGAACTCCTCCCACTGGGTAAGCCAAGAGAAGGTTACCAGACCCAGGGCTCTCAGAAGCACATAAGCCATGCCTCGATGTTGCTCACCTGCATTTCCCGTAATATGATTACCTGGCAAAACCTATATACTTAAAAATACATTGCCTTCTCACCCCTTCCTACCTTTATCTTCTTTTTTTTTTTGAGATGGAGTCTCACTCTGTCGCCAGGCTGAAATGCAGTGGCGTGATCTTGGCTCACTGCAACCTCTGCCTCCTGGGTTCAAGGGATTCTCCTGCCTGAGCCTCCCGAGTAACTGGGACTAACTACAGGCACACACCACCACGCCCAGGTAATTTTTGTATTTTTAGTAGAGACGGGGTTTCACCATGTTGGCCAGGATAGTCTGGATCTCTTGGCCTCATGATCCACCCACCTCGGCCTCCCAAAGTGCTGGGATTACAGGCGTGAGCCACCACGCCCGGCCTTACCCTTATCTTTTAAAAAACCATCCACAATTTAGGACAGAGCCTTATCCTCTGTTACAAAACATGTTTAGAGTCAGACTACAACAACGAGGCATAGTGTCTGCACAGCATTATTTTAATGCAAGAAAACAAAGCTGCCAACTATAAGGATCTGAAAAATGTGACCACTTCAGGCTTATTTTAGACTGAACCACTCCCCTTCCCTAATTATCCCTCAAAGGAAATACATCAGGCACTGTGGGCAAAGAGGGAAACATGTCTAATTACAACATGTGCACTTGGTGGACGAAGAATTTGAACATTCTTGAACTCTGGCCACATTTCAGAAGACTTTCCACTTGTAGTTTAATTTCCCTGAAGAGAAAAGTTTAAAGATCAGTTGCACTTCAACCAGGGTTCTATCAAAAAAAGACATAAAGAATACCCGACAAGCATAGGCAACCAAAGCAAAAATGGACAAATGGGATCACATCAAGTTAAAAAGCTTCCTCACAGCAAAGGAAACTATCAACAAAATGAAGAGATAACCCACTGAATGAGAGAAAATATTTACAAACCATCTATCTGACAGGGGATAACAAGAATATGTAAGAAGCTCAAACAACTCAATAGGAAAAAATCTAATAATCCACCTAAAAATGGAGACAAGATCTGAAAGACATTTCTCAAAAGAAGATATACAAATGGCAAAAAAAGGTACATGAAAACGTGCTTAACATCATTGATCACCAGAGAAATACAAATCAAAACTACAATGAGTGCTCGCTTCAGCATCACATATACTAAAATTGGAAGGACACAGAGAAGATTAGCATGGCCCCTGCGCAAGGATGACATGCAAATTCGTGAAGCGTTTCATATTTTTAACAAACCCTTAAATGTTAAAAAAAAAAAGTATGAGATATCATCTCATCCCAGTTAAAATGGCTTATATCCAAAAAAGATAAGCAATAACAAATGCTAGTAAGGATGTGGAGAGAAGGGAACCTTCATACGCTGTTGGTGGGAACGTAAATCAATACAACCACTGTGGAGAACAGTACGGAGGTTCCTCAAAAACTAAAAATAGAGCCACCATATGATCCGGCAAGCCCACTGCTAGGTATACACCCAAAAGAAAGGAAATCAGGGCCAGGCACGGTGGCTTACGCCTACAATCCCAGCACTTTGGGAGGCTGAGGCAGGAGGATTGCTTGAGCCCAGGAGTTTGAGAGCAGCCTGGGCAAAGACAGCAAGACATCACCTCTACTAAAAATTTTAAAATTAGCCAGGTGCTCTGGCATGCACCTGTAGTCCCAGCTACTTGGGAAAATGGCTTGAGTACAGGAGGTGGAGGCTACAGTGAGCTGTGATCACGCCACTGTACTTCAACCTAAGCGACAAAGCAAGATCCTGTCTCTAAAAAAGGAAGAAAGGAAATCAGTACATGGAAGAGAAATCTGCACTCCCATGTTTATTACAACACTATTCACCACAGCCAAGATTTGGAAGCAACCAAAGTGTCCATCATCAACAAATGAATAGATAAAGAAAATGTGGTACATACACACGAGTACTATTCAGCCATAAAAAAGAATAAGATCCTGTCATTTGTAACAATGAACAGAACTGGAGGTCATTATGTTAAGTGAACTACGCCAGGCGCAGAAAGACAAACTTTGCACGTCCTCACTTATTTGTGGGAGCTAAAAATTAAAACATTTGAACTCATGGAGACAGAATGATGGTTACCAAAAGCTGGGAAGGGTAGCAGGGGAAAGGGAAGTGGGGATGTTTAATGGGTACAAAAACACAGTTAGAATAAGATCTAGTAAGTGATAGCACAACAGGGTGACTACAGTCAACAATAATTGTATATTTTATAATAACTTAAAGAGTATAATTGGATAGTGTGTAACACAAAGGAAGGATAAATGCTTGCAGTGATGGATACCCCATTCATGCATTGTATGCCTGTATCCAAAGATTTCTTTCTTTTTTTTTTTTTTGAGATGGAGTCTCGCTCTGTCGCCCAAGCTGTAGTGCAGTGGCGCGATCTCGGCTCACTGCAACCTCTGCCTCCTGGGTTCAAGCGATTCTCCTGCCTCAGCCTCCCAAGTAGCTGGGATTACAGGTGCGCACCACCATGCCTGGCTAATTTTAGGGTTTCACCATGTTGGCCAGGCTGGTCTCCAACTTCTGACCTCAGGTGATCCACCCACCTCAGCCGGCCCAAAGTGCTGGGATTACAGGTGTCAGCCACCATGCCCAGCCCAAATATTTCATGTATCCCATTAAATATATACACCTACTATACCCACAAAAATTTTTTAAATGTTTAAATGTTTTAAAAAGACACAAAGAGAAATTGACCACATTGCTTAAATGTGATACCACAAGGGAAGCCCGCTGAAACTTTAAGATGACCCTGACTCCACATCAAGTGCTAACAGAGGAAATGGTTTGTATTTTACAACTAGGACTAAAAATAAGACCCATTTTAAGAGCACTTTCCCCTGGAGAAAACACACATATCTTGAATTTAAAGATACATATGCAAATGCCTCAGGCCCCAGGTGGTCTTTACGGAAGCAGTCCCTGATCAGATCTCTCATCCACAGCCCACGTGCTTCTGCATTACAGAGGTGGGAAGACATCTGCAACAAATTTGGCGGTGCTTCTGCACTTCTGCTGGAGAGAAGGGCAGAAAAAAACCTTTACAGATGCAAAACAAGAAGGCTTCTCATTAGGCATTTGGATTAAGAACTATTGCTCAAGAAGCCCTGAGCAAGGCCTACAAGTTCTGATCTCTCTAACCTCCTCTCCTATGACTGTCCCCCTTGTCCATGGGCCTCTGCCATGCTGGCTTCCTTGACGCTCCGCCAACCCTTCAGACACACTCCCACCTCACGACCTTCCCGGGGGCTGTTCCCTCTACCTGGACGACTCTTCTCTCAGACCTCTCGTATCTTCAAGTCTCGGCTCAAATGCCACCTTTGCGAGGAGGAAAAAGATTTCTTTTCTTTCCCATGATATTTATCACCTCCTACTACACCGTATAATTTACTTAATTATCTATAATTCACCCCGTTTCTCCTTTCCCCCTCAAATAAGCTCCAGGAATGCAGAGATCTCTGTCCTGTTCACTGATGTCTATCACAAGCACTTAGTGCCTGACACACAGTAGGAGCTCGAGAAGTATTTTCTGAATGAATGAACAAATTTCTTGACCTGAAGATTCAGAAGAGTAAGAAGTGGGTGGAAAGGATGATGGTGAGGGGATGAGGAGAAAGAAGCGACAGCGGAGAATTCCCAAGGGAGAGACAAGCAGAGACTGGCTGAGGCCAGGCCGACCCCCTTTTCTCCCCGCAGCGCTGACGGGAGGCGGACGTAGGTGCAGGGCATCCCGCCAGCCGCACCCGAGGCACTCAGACGCAGGCAGCGGAGGCCGGCGGGCTTCTGGGCTCACTGAGAAAGTCCAGAGGCAGGACGGACCCACGCGGGCTCCGAGCAGGCCCCGTTGGGGGCTCCGACCCACGGCCCTACCCCTCCCAGCAGTGCCCACAACCCCAGGTCCTCTCCAGAATCCCCAGGGGCGTTCCGGGCCGCAATCCCTTCTCGGCTCGGGCCCCTCCACCAGCCTCCAGCGCTCGGGCCCTGCGCTCAGGCACCTGCCTGCCTGCGCCGGGGTCCCCATTCCGGCCCGCGCGGAGGCCCCAGCGCGCTCCTGCGGCCTCAGCCCGCCTGGCTGCCCCGTCGCCCGGCACAAGGGCAGGAAGCGCTCCGCGGCGCTCCCCGCTGCAAGGAAGGGGCTCCCGGCGCCCCTCGCCCCGGCCGCCCCTGCCCGACGCCCCGCCTGCGCGGCGCCCCCTCACCTCAGGGCGTACGTACGACACGAAGGAGGGCTTGGGGGCCTTGGTGCCGCCGCCACCGCCGACTACTCCTTTCCCCAGCATACCGCCGCCCTGGGAAGCAGCGACGCGCGGACGCAGAGGCGGCGGCTCGGGCTCCAGCTGGGGCAGCAGCGGCGGCCACCAGCACTAGCGGCTGGGGCTCCGCCCATCCCCAAGGCCGCGACCGCCGCGATGCCGCCCGCATCCGGCTCCGCCGCTGACACCGCTCGCCCCGCCCAGGCCCGTGGGCCCCGCCCATCCCGTGCGCGGGCCCAGAGAGCCGGGAGACCGCAACTGGAGGCCACGCCCCCCCATCACGTCAGGAGAGTTTGACCCGCCGAGATTCACCACCTTCCTGCGGCAGAGCCCGCCCTCATGCTTTCTCTGATTGGCCCGAGGCGCTGCCGGCCGAACCCCGCTCCCAACCCATTCTTGAGTGCACTTGGAGAGATGTTTCCTCCAACCAATCCAGAGAGCGTTCTCTCCGGACTTTCCAACGATTGGATGGCGAGGATAAAACCGTCGTCCAATGATCCTGCAGTCACCAAGTTGTCGTTAGCAGGGGTTCACGGCAGTCGTTTTCTTCCGTTTGCTTGTGTCTTTGGAATAAAACGTCCAAAAATGGGATGTATGGAATCTTGCTATAGGAGTTCCCAACTTACAGCGATGACGTTCAAGGTTTTTTATTTTATTATTATTTACTTTTGAGACGGAGTTTTGCTCTTGTCGCCCAGGCTGGAGTGCAATGGCGCGATCTCTGCTCATTGCAACCTCCGTCTCCCAGGTTCAAGCGATTCTCTTGCCTCAGCCTCCTGAGTAGCTGGGATTACAGGCGCCCGCCACTATATCCAGCTAATTTTGTGTGTGTGTGTGTGTGTGTGTGTGTGTGTCGTTCTGTCGCCCAGGCTTGAGTGCAATGGCGTAGTATAGGCTCACTGCAACCTCTGCCTCCCAGGTTCAAGCGATTCTCCTGCCTCAGCCTCCCGAGTAGCTGGGATTATAGGCGCCTGCCATCACACCCGGCTAATTTTTGTATTTTTAGTAGAGACGGGGTTTCACCATGTTGGCCAGGCTAGTCTCAAACCCCTAACCTCGTGATCCGCCCGCCTCAGCCTCCCAAAGTGTTGGGATTAGAGGCATGAGCCACCGCGCCATGCCGCTAATTTTTGTATTTTTAATGGAGACGGGGGTTTCACCATGTTGGCCAGGCTGGTCTCAAACTCCTGACTTCAGATGATCCACCCGCTTCGGCCTCCCGAAGTGCTGGGATTACAGGCGTGAGCCACCGCGCCCGACCTCAAGGTTTATTATTTTAAATGTAAACAAAAATGAGACAAACGATGACTCACGCCTCTAATCCCAGCACTTTGGGAGGCCGAGGCGGGTGGATCATCTGAAGTCAGGAGTTTGAGACCAGCCTGGCCAACATGGAGAAACCCTATCTCTACTAAAAATACAAAAATTAGCCTGGTGTGGTGGCGGGCGCCTGTAATCCCAGCTACTCGGGAGGCTGAGGCACGAGAATCGCTTGAACCAAGGTTGCAGTGAGCCAGGATCGCGCCACTGCACTCCAGCCTGGGTGGCAGAGCAAGACTGTGTCTCAAACAGAAAAAAAAAAGTGTCAAATCAAGTGTTAACAAGGCAGTGAGGAATAAGTTTGAGCGTTTGATAATAAAAGACTTTGTCAACTTCATTTTTCCAAACCTTTCCCTTCTTTGTGTTTCCAACAGGAAGAATATCAAGAGCCCTTAAGAGACTTCTATTTACTCTACGAAGTTATTGATAAAACCCTCATTTTTTAGTCAAGATTGCAAAGAAAATTCATTTCAGTTCTACATTTGGTGCCAAGCGTTGTTAGTTGCAGATAAATAAGATAGAATCCAGCTCTTAAGAAATTCAATCTAGTGGAAAAAAACATAAATATTTGCAGTTAATTTTTTAGGCGTCAGGCACTGTGCTAAGTACTCTCATTGGTGACCTTGATTTTTACCCTCTTAATCTCCATGTGCTCCCCCTTCCCAAATACACTCCAAGTAAATATAAAATCTTAGTGAAAACAAATGTGCTTGCTTTTGCAAACATAGTTTCAACGCAAGTCCTGCAGCTCCGTTTCCAGCTAGATTGCCACCTGTAAGCCAATATTTGGTATAGCTGTGCTGCAGCCGCCTCTGAGTTTCCTTATCCCAGTTTCCAGGTGACAAAACAGAGATGCAAGTAATTTGCCCAGGTCTCACAACTAGTCACTGAGAGAGCTGGGATTTCAACCCGGGTTTGTCTCATTCGAAATCCCAAGTTCTTAACATTATAATTATACAAATTAGAAAGGAGCACAATGAAAGTGTGGTCAATTCTATTTGGGGAGTCCAAGTTGAGGCCATCCTTACAAGGTTGAGAAGAATTCTGCACAAAAATAGAGTTATAACTAAGCATTAATCAGGCTGCAGTTCGGCCTGCTTCTTTGTATTAATAACTTCAGGTAACACTAGGTACTGACCATTTGCATCCCTGTTGTTTCAATAGGTAGGATTTCTGGCTCTGGAATCATAAGGGTTTTATTTAAGAATTGCTTAGGCAGATCCTACGTTCCAGCAGAACAGCCGACATCAACCAGTTTAAAGACCGCCCCCGCCCCAACACACACACACACACACACACACACACACCCACACACACACAGGAACCGAATCAGTGCGAGAATACAATTTCTTCATCTCTCTGTCTCATGACTTTACCCTGCACTTTTCAACCAATTGATGATCTCCACACTTTGGTCCACTTCAAAACCCTTAAATACCCTAGCCCCAGGCAGGGTGCAGTAGCTCACACCTGTAATCCCAGCACTTTTAAAGGCCAAAGTAGGAGGCTCACTTGAGTTCAGGAGTTCAAGACCAGCCCAGACAATATAGTGAGGCCCTGTCTCTATGAAACATTAAAAAATTAGTCAGGCATGGTGGTGCAAGCCTGTAGTACAAGGTACTCAGGAGGTTGAGGTGGAAAGATTGTTTGAGCCCAGGAGTTTGAGGTTACAGTGAACTGATAGGTCACTGCACTCCAGCCTAGGTGACAAAGCAAAATCCTGTCTCAAAAACCATCCCCCCGCAAAAAAACCCTAGCCCCAAACTCCTTGACTCCTCAGGGAGATGAATTTGAGGTTTCCTCCTGTCTCCTCATCCAGCAGCCCTACAATTAAACCTCTTTCACTGCTGTAACCTGGTGCCTTGGTGTATTGACTTGTCCAGTGCATTGGGCAACAAACCTATTATAGTTACAAAGTAAGGCTTCATAAAAAAAGATATTCTTCATGGGAGTGTTAAAGAATACTTTTCTTTGTCAAGACTAATATCATTATATTTTGCAGCAGTCTTCACTTTTCGAAGTAGAATGGCAGGGCAGATTTTTAGACACTGAGAAAATGTTTCCTTTCTTACTTTTCAAAGTATTTTGAATTTCCATGACCTTTCACCATAGTTGTTAGTAAATGTGACTATGTCCAAGGCTGGCTTCTTTGGACATGAAACTAGTGCAGTCACACAGAATCTCATACTTAAGAAGGCTTGGAGGCCGGGTGCAGTGGGATTACACCTGTAATCTCAGCACTTTGGGAGGTCAAAGCAGGCAGATCACTTGAGTCCAGGAGTTTGAAGCCAGACCGGGCAACATAGGGAGACTCAGTCTCTACAAAAAATACAAAGAATTAGCCTGGCATGGTGGTGTGCACCTGTAGTCCCAATCTCAGCTACTTGGATGGCTGAGGTGGGAGGATCACTTGAGCCCTGGAGGCAGCAGTGACCCATGATTATGCCACTCACTCCAGCCTGGGTGACAGAGCAAGACCCTGTCTCAAAAAAAAAAAAAAAAAAAAAAAAAAGAACGGGGGGCGAGGGACTTAGGGTTTAATCCTTTGTAGTTTCGGTTGCCCAGGCTGGAGTGCAGTGGCCTGATTTCAGCTCACTGCAACCTCTGCCACCTGGGTTCAAGAGATTCTCCTGCCTCAGCCTCCTGAGTAGCTGGGATTACAGGTGCCTGCCACTGTGCCTGGCTAATTTTTGTATTTTTAGTAGAGACGGGATTGCACCATCTCGGCCAGGCTGGTCTTGAACTTCTGACCTCGTGATCCACCCACCTCAGCCTCCCAAAGTGCTGGGATTTCAGGTGTGAGCCACTGCACCTGGCCGGCCTTGAGCTTCTTAGTAATTTTATCTTTGAGTTTGTGTTTTAAGTGAAGGTTAATGGTTGATGAGCAATGGGGCACACACAAGGGGTCTTGGCGCCTCAGCTCATGCACAGCCTCACTTCCCAGCCCTGCCTCTATCCTCCTGGGTGCCTGCTACCCCACTGCACTGTGGTTCTGCCTAGCCAACTCCACACTGCTGCCCACTTCTACCCAGGGCAGCAACCAGGTCTCATTGCCCAGAGGTGTGGGCGGGTGGAATTTCCTGTGCTGCCGTCACCATCCATCCTCCCGGTGGGTGCCTGGGCACTGTCTCACAGAGGATCAGGGTGAGGCACAGCTCCCTGACCCTCTCTGGTGTCTCCGGGTTAAGGCGGCAGCTGTCTCTGCCCTAGGTTGGCAGTGCCTCAGTGACTGGCAGGGGCTTCCGCCCACCCCCATCAAGGTACCAAATATGGCCTGGGTGGCAGAGGCAGCCATCCCTTAGGGCTCACCCATCCACTATGAGAAGGGGAGTTGACTTCCCCACCCCCTGGCCAGAGCCCCACATTCTCATTTTGTGCTTGACCCTGCAAATGATGCAGCCAGCCCAGCCTATTCCCTGTCTTATCTCTGTGTCTTTGGGCAAAGAACTTCCTCTCTCTGTGCCTCTATTTCCTCACCTCAAAATGAGGGTGACAACAACAATAATAACTACTTCACGGTGGTTAGGGGACTGTATTAGGTTCTCTAGAGGGACAGAACTAATGTGATATATATATATATATATATATATATATATATATATACGTGTATATATATAATACACGAGTATTAACTCGTGAGTTAATACTTAGTAATTATATATAAAGGGCGTTTATTAAGTATTAACTCACATGATCACAAGGTTCCACAATAGGCCGTCTTGCAGGCTGAGGAGCAAGGAGAGCCAGTCGGAGCTCCAAAACTGAAGAACTTGGAGTCTGATGTTCGAGGGCAGGAGGCATCCCGCAAGGGAGAAGGATGTACGCTGGGAGGTTAGGCCAGTCTCTCTTTTCACATTTTTCTGCCTGCTTATATGCTAGCTGCGCTGGCAGCTAACTAGATTTCGCCCATCCAGATTAAGGGTGGGTCTGCCTTTCCCAGCCCACTGACTCAAATGTTATCTCCTTTGGTAACACCCCCAAGACACACCCAGGATCAATACTTTGTATTCTTCAATCCAGTCAAGTTGACACTCAGTGTTAACCATCACAGGGACTGTTCGGAAGATTAAACAAGTTGATTCAGGTGATGTCTGGTACACAGCAAGAACTAAATAGGTGATAGCTATCCTCTGTATGATCTCACCAAGTAGAACGTAACTTACTCAGTTTCAGGGATTATAGAAGGAAAAGCAAAGTGACTCCTCCCTGCTAATTAACTATGGGACTTGGTTAAAGAAAGAAGTTTGATTGTTTGTTTGTCTTTAACTTCTGGCCCAAACCTTGGACTAGATTTCTAATTTCACAGTTTTGTTCGTTTGTTTGGTTTTTTTTCTTGAGACGGAGTCTCACTCTGTCGCCCAGGCTGGAGTGCAGTGGCACAATCTCTGCTCACTGCAAGCTCCGCCTCCCAGCTTCACGCCATTCTCCTGCCTCAGCCTCCCGAGTAGCTGGGACTACAGGTGCCCACCACCACGACCGGCTAATTTTTGGTATTTTTAGTAGAGACAGGGTTTCACCGTGTTAGCCAGGATGATCTCAACCTCCTGACCTCATGATCCACCTGCCTCGGCCTCCCAAAGTGCTGGAATTACAGGCATGAGCCACTATACCCAGCCTGTTTTTGTTTTTGAGACAAGGTCTTACTCTATTGCCCCAGCTAGAGTGCAGTGGTACGATCATGGCTCACTGCAGCATCAGCCTCCTGGGCTCAGGTAAAGATCCTCCCGTCTCAGTCTCTCAAGTAGCTGGGACTACAGGCACATGCCACCACGCCCAGCTAATTTTTTTTTTTGTTTTGTTTTTTTATAGAGATGAGGTCTCACTATGTTGCCCAGGCTGGTCTCAAACTCCTGGACTCAAGTGATCCTCTTGCCTCTGTCTTGCAAAGTGCTGGGATTACAGGTGTAAGCCACCATGCCCAGCCCTAGATTTCAAATTTCTAGTTCACGACACCAAATTTCCCATCTTTCAAATCATCCTGTGTTATATAATTACTTTATCCTGACTTTCAACATCCATTTGTGGTCAGGTTAGTTTGCAATGTGATGATTCTGATAACTTGACGCTATTATGAGATCCTCGGGCGTGTTGCTTTTCTGGCCAGAAGCCTCTGTGGCTGGTAGCACCTTTGCCTGAGTTTGGTTCGGGTCCCCTGGGCCCACTCATCCTGGCAGGCTGTTCAAGGCCTGCATTACCAGCCTCGATCCCCCGCCTTCAAAAAGACTGGAGAGGAGTGGCTAGGGGTGTGTGAGTGAGCGAGCACGGGATCCAGCCACTGTGCACAGTCAGGCATGCTGGCTGCTGCAGTGGGGCAGGTGGCTCCAGGTGCCAGCTCACTGTGAGGCTGCAGCTGAACCAGGTGCACTGCAAGCAGCTTCCATAGCTAGCACCAGGGAATGCGGCGGTGCCTGGAAGCTTGGAGGCTCCGGGAACCACTGGCCCCAAAGCAGGAGTCACAGCCCTGGCTTGGGTATCTCCCAGGTCTAGGCTCCCTGCAGGGCCACAGCTCTTCTCTCCTTCTCTCTTCTCTCCTCCTTGTGGCCCACAATATGGTAAGGGGCATGGTTCAGCCCTGTTTGTGTTACAGCTATTTTAGCGCCACCATTTGGCAGGTCCCAGGTTCTTGTCCTGCATCCGGGAAGAATGAGGTACGCAGACAAGTGGAGGGTGAGCAAGACGAAGAGAAGCTTTATTGAGCAATAAAATAGCTCAGAGGAGATCCACAGTGGGCAGCTCCTCTCCATAGTCAGGGTGTCCCGATGAGTGTTTAGCTCTCAGCAGACAGGGCAGCTCTTCTCTGCTGTGCAGGTCGTCCTGATGAGTGTCCAGCTGTCAGCAGAGAGAATAGCTTCTCTCTGCAGCTGGTCACCCCGTCATTTTCCATCATTTCTCCATCCTCTGCTGGAGTCTGGCTGAGTCCGGGGATTTTTATGGGCCTCAAAGGAGAGGAAGTGCATGCTGACTGGTCCATGGTAGGCCATGGGCAGGCCCAGGAAAAAGTACCACAAGTTCCCCCTGTGGTCCAGGGGCCTGGTGGCCTGGCCCCCAGACTTCAGGCCCTCCCTGGTTTGAAGGTGGGACTTCACCAGGGTCCACCCCCTTCTGCCCAGGAGCCTGCCTGCCTCCTGCTGCTGTTCATGGCGCCCAGGCTATTCATGCCAAGGGGCACCTGCAGGCCAGTGCTGGGCCTGTTCTCAGCACTTCCTTGGCCTCTTTCCCATGCTTGTCAGTACCCAAAGTCTGGAGGGGGCCGAGGTGGCAGAGGGCTGGTGTGTCAGTGCTGCTTCAAGAGTGTGCACACCCAACGGGGCTGTGACAGCACCCATGGTCAGCCTCAACTCCACCCCATGATCAGAGGGTGTGCCAACAACAGGAAGAGGCCAGGAAGCAGGAGCAGACACCTGCACGGGAAAAGGGGGCCTTCTTGGGCCCGCCAAAAGTGCAGAGATGCCTGGGTCCGCAGCCGCAACCTGGGTGGCTGCAGCCACTCCTGGGAGGGTGGGGCTCCTGCCTGCTTCTGGCTCCTGCTAGCTCCCTATAGTGCAGCACCACCCCGGGCCCAGCTCTGCCTTAGGGCCCCTCTCTGCCCGCCCCTCTGTACCCGACCATGCTGCTCCCCAGCCAGTGGGCAGCAGGCTGTGGCACGGGTGGGTGCTCCTAGGGGTGGGCTCTGGGAACCATCTGCCTCCTTCCCACACCCTCGCCACAGTGGTGGCAGGTGAGAGTGGCAACACGGGGCCAGGAGCCAGAGCAGTGGAGGCTCCGAGCCTGGGAGTGGGTTCTGCCTGGCTGTTTGAGGGTGGGGGAGTGCAGTCGGCTGCCTCAGGGACACAGGGGTCCTGCCACTCTCACAGCCACTCCTGCCGCCACTGCCTGTAATGCCCCCAGTCCCAGCCGGTGTGATGGCAGTGGCTGCTCCAGATGGCCCGCTGCTGCCATCAACACTACTACTAGATCCATATACTTCCAGAAAACTATAGCTAACAAGTGAGGAAAGTTTTTAAAGACTGAAAGGCCAGCTGCTTTGCTATGGTCTGAATGTGTCCTTCCCAAAATTGATTTGTTGGAATTTAATTGCCAATATGATAGCATTAAGAGGTGGGCCTGGCCCAGCACAGTGGCTCACACCTGTAATCCCAGCACTTTGGGAGGCCGAGGCAGGCGGATCACCTGAGGTCAGGAGTTTGAGACCAGCCTGGCCAACCCAAAAATACAAAAATTAGCTGGGCGTGGTGGCAGGCGCCTGTAATCCCAGCTACTAGGGAGGCTGAGGCAGGAGAATCGCTTGAACCCGGGAGGCAGAGGTTGCAGTGAGCTGAGATAGCGCCACTGCACTCCAGCCTGGGCGACAAGAGTGAAACTCTGTCTCAATAAAAAAAAAAAAAAAAAAAAGAGCTGGGCCTTTAGGAGGTGATTAAATCATGATGGCAGAGCCCTCAGGGATGGGATTCATGCCATTATAGAAGAGGACCCAGAGGGTTGCCTTGCCTTCAGTCATGTGAGGACACAGCAAGAAGGCACCAGCTTGAAGTGTTACCAAAATGCCAGGGGTTTGGTCTAGGTTCTGTTGCTTGGAGCACAGAAAGTCAATCACTAAGACGTGAGTATTGCCAGGGAAGAAGGCTTTTTCAGGTGCTGCAGCCGAGGAGATGGGAGATCAGTCTCAAATCCATGTCCCTGACCAACTAAAATTAGGGGCTTATATAGTGGGGAAAAAAATGTGACCACGTGTGGGAAAACAGGAATTAGGGAGGGGTAAGAAAGAGAAGTTGGTTAAGAGGAAGCAAGTGGTCAGTTAGGCAATCATGACAGGTGAGGAGTTTGGCATCTCATTGTCCAGAGGTGGTGATCTGGTAAGTTTCAGTTCCTTGTTACTCTCTGGGAGGACTGATGGTTGGTTTCCTGAGAAAGGAACTCAGATAAGACAAATATAACTTTCTCAAGTTTTAAGACTGGGAGGATGTGGCCATGCTGTGGCTCAGGCCTGTAATCCCAGCACTTGGGGAGGCTGAGGCAGGCAGATCCCTTGAGCCCAGGAGTTTGAGACCAGCCCGAACAACGTGGCACAACCCCTTCTCTAGAAAAATACAAAAAATAGCCAGGCATGGTGGCACACACCTGTAGTCCTGGCTACTCCGGAGGCTGAGGTGGGAGGATCACTTGAGCCTGAGAGATCAAGGCTGCAATGAGCCATGATCGTGCCACTGCACTTCAGCACTTCAGCCTTCAGCCTAGGCAACAGAGAGATACCGTGTCTCAAAAAAAAAAAAAAAAAAAAAAAAAAACAGACTGAGAAGATCAATTTCTATGTTTATTCAAAGAAACCATAAACATCAGTTTTATAGGACATTTGGGCCAGTTTCAGAAGCAGAGCAGCCCTTACCAGACACCAAATCTGCTGGCGCCTTGATCTTGGAGTTTCAGCTTCCAGAACAATGGGAAATAAATTTCTTTTCTTTTTTTTTTTGAGACGGCGTCTCTCTCTCTCTCGCCAGGCTGGAGTGCAGTGGCACCATCTCAGCTCACTGCAACCTCCACCTCCAGGGTTCAAGCGATTCTCCTGTCTCAGCCTTCGGAGTAGCTGGGATTACAGGCACGTGCCACCACGCCCGGCTAATTTTTGTATTTTTAGTAGAGACGGGGTTTCACCATGTTGGCCAGGATGGTCTCAAACTCCTGACCTCAAGTGATCCACCCGCCTCAGCCTCCCAAAGTGTTGGGATTACAGGCGTGAGCCACTGCGCCCGGCCAATAAATTTCTAATATATCTAATATTTATAAATTCCCAGTCGAAGGCATTTTGGTAGAGCAGTAGGAATGAACTAAGGCATGCTGGTGAGGGCTCCACTCCAGGCCTGTGCCCATGGACGTAGGTAAGGAGAGGCATTTCTGTTTTTGTGCCCAAATGTTGCATTTCCCAAGACCACCCTGGCCACCACGCCCCCATCCTGTGCCTATAAAAACCCCAAGACCCTAGTGAGCATGCACATAAGTGGATGAACATCGGCCGGGCGTGGCGGCCTGTGCCTGTAATCCCAGCACTTTCGGAGGCCCAGGCGGGCAGATCACAAGGTCAGGAGATCCGACCAGTCTGGCCAATGTGGTGAAACCCCGACTTTACTAAAAATACAAAAAAAAATTTAGCCGGGCATGGTGGCCGGCGCCTGTAGTCCCAGCTGTTCGGGATGCTGAGGCAGGAGAATAGCTTGAACCCGGGAGGCGGAGGTTGCAGTGAGCCGAGATCACGCCACTGCACTCCAGCCTGGACCACTGAGCGAGACTCTTGTCTCAAAAAAAGAAAGAAAAAAAAAAGGCGCTGGATATGAGAGGAACACACCAGCGGAAGACATAGGCGGCTGGACGCTGAGAGGAACGCATTGGCGTAAGAGCACGCCGACAGACACCGGCAAGCCAGCAAGCCATCAACCAGCAGAATGAGGCGGAGTTTGGCAGAGGCGGTCAGAGGAGAGGCCAGGCCACTGAGTGGCTGACTCCAGGGAAAACCACCTTTCCACTCCATCCCCTTCTGGGTCCCCCATCTTCTGAGAGCTATTTCCACTCAATAAAACCTTGCGCTCATTCTCCAAGCCTACGTGTGATCTGATTCTTCTGGTACACCAAGGCAAGAAACCCCAGGATACAGAAAGCCCTCTGTCTTCGCGGTAAGGCAGAGGGTCTAATTGAGCTGACTACACAAGCCACTTATGGATGGCTAAACTAAAGGAGCTCCCTGTAACACATGCCCACTAGGGCTTCAGGAGCTGTAAGCATTCAGCCCTAGGCACTGTCGTGGGGTCGGAGCCCCACAGCCTGCCCATCTGCATGCTCCCCCTAGGGGTTTGAGCAGTGGGGCACCAAAGAGACAGCCACACCCCCATCGCACGCCCTTCGAGGGAGACAAGGGAACTTTCCCATTTCACTTCCAGAATCAGTTTTGATGCAGTGATGAAAACCCACGCTTTTTTTTTCTTTTTTCTTTTTCTTTTTCTCCTTCTTTTTTTTTTATTTGAGAGGGAGTCTTGCTCTGTCGCCCAGGCTGGAGTGTGGCAGCGCGATCTCAATCTCCGCTAACTACTACCGCTGCTTCCCGGGTTTAAGCCATTCCCCTGCCTCAGCCTCCTGAGTAGCCGAGATTACAGGCATGCGCCACCACGCCCCCCTAATTTTTGTATTTTTAGTAGAGACGAGGTTTCACTACATTGTCCAGGCTGGTCTTGAACTCCTGACTTCAAGTGTTCCACCTGCTTCAGCCTTCCAAGGTGCTGGGATTACAGGCATGAGCCACCGCGCCTGGCTCCCACACTTTCTTTACAGAGCAGAAAGGGGGCCAGGCGCGGTGGCTCACGCCTGTAATCCCAGCACTTTGGGAGGCCGACGCAGGCGGATCACGACATCAGGAGATCGAGACCATCCTGGCTAACACGATGAAACCCTGTCTCTACTAAAAATACCAAAAATTAGCCGGGCTTGGTGGCGGGCGCCTGTAGTCCCAGCTACTCGGGAGGCTGAGGCAGGAGAATGGCGTGAACCCGGGAAGCGGAGCTTGCAGTGAGCCGAGATCGTGCCACTGCCCTCCAGCCTGGGCGACAGAGTAAGACTCCGTCTCACAAAAAAAAAGAAAGAAAGAAAAACAGAAATGGAATGAGTACAGAGGACAAACTGAGATCTGCTTCCATCTTGCTTTTTATTTATTTATTTATATTTTTTTCCATCTTGCTTTTAAGGTTCTCCAGCTATCAGCATATTTTTACTTGGTCTTTAGGGTGTGGGGTCAAATCTCCTTGGGAGAGTCTCCCAACTGATTGACAAATTCCTGTATGCTGAGGTCAAATAATTTTCCATCTATTCATAAACACGGATGGAAGCCCCTGGACTTTGAAATATTTTACTTTACAGAAAATACTTCATGAACATTTCTTTCTCTTAATGCTTCCCTAAGCTTTCTTGGAGAATTATAAATAGGAACAAATCTTAGCTCACGTAGAAATGTATGCCAGACCAAAGGCAGCTCCATTTCTTCCCACAGACAACTGAAACTGACAGGCAGCAGCACACTCCCAGCTGTGGCGAGGAGCATTTTACTGTGGCAGATGGTTGAAGCATAGCCAGTTGCATTTCCTCCTCTTGGGAGTCACTTGAAGCAGCCTATTTGTGTGTCTTACTCATATGTATCTAACAGGTGCTTAGCACATAGCAGGAATTTAATAAATATTTTCACCTGAGTGAGTGAAATGGCATTCATTAGATGAAACGCAGAGAGGCCAGTGACTGACTCAGCACAGAAGCAAGAATTAAAACTCTAGGTAGGTGTGATGGCTCACACCTGTAATCCCAGCACTTTGGGAGACTGAGGCGGATGGATCACCTGAGGTCAGGAGTTCAAGACCAGCCTGACCAATATGGAGAAACCCTGTCTCTACTAAAAATACAAAAATTAGCCAGGCGTGGTAGCTCATGCCTGTAATCCCAGCTAGTCGGGAGGCTGAGACAGGAGAATCACTTGAATTTGGGAGGTGGAGGTTGTGGTGAGCCGAGATTGTGCCATTGCACTCCAGCCTGGGCAACAAGAGCGAAACTCCATCTCAAAAAAAAAAAAAAAAAAAAAAAAACCAGAAACCAAAACTCTAGCACCCTGGTTAGACCTGCAGTTTTCTTTTCTTTTAATTTTTATAGAGAGAGGGTTTCAGCATGTTGGCCAGGCTAGTCTCAAACTCCTAGGCTCAAGCAATCTGTTGGCCTTGGCTTCCCAAAGTGTTGAGATCACAGGCGTGAGCCACTGCACCGGGCCTCCTGCCTGCACTTTTAAGTGGATACAAACTAGGACCTGTTTTTATGTATATATAATTTGTATATATATTCAAGGACTAAAATGCCTCTTGCCAAAATTCACCTTTAGCAAATGGTCTGGTGTCTGCAGACTTCTCTCTTCTTTCACTGGAACTAGAAAATTTCTTAGCCTCTTACTGCAACAAAGGGTCTTTCAGCCCTCCTGTGAAGATGGTGAGGAGCAGACCTGGATGAAAAAGCATTTGGATTGTTCTTAATCTTGTGGTGTCATAATATGAGGGCCTGCTGGGAAGACTTTGTGGTGATTTATTGATTTTTGTTTGTTTGCTTTCATTTTTTTGCTGTTTCAAAAAATACACAACCTAAGCTGGTCGCATGGTGGGAGACTTGAGGAGCCTACTCTTTGTGATCTGTATTCTGCCTTCTTCAAAGCACAAGTTAATGACCTGGTTGGTTTATTCATCAAGTAGGGGTTACCAGTGGTCACTGTGACTCACCTCTTAGCCTCTCCTAATAAGACTGGAAGTTCTCAAGAGCAGGGATGGTCTCCTTTATCACGAGCACCTAACCAACCACTGACACTACAATATTAAGTGAGTCCTCAGTGAGGACTGCAGAAATGAGGACTCTCATCCATTAGGGTGTGAGTGTCAACTGATGGGACAAGAGGAAAGGTAATTTTGCAATGTACATCAAAAATTGTCTCACGGCCTGGTGCAGTGGCTCATGCCTGTAATACCAGCAATTCAGGAGGCCAAGGTTGAGGGGAACACTTGAGGTCAGGAGTTTGAGACCAGCCTGGACAACATAAAAATTAGCCAGGTATGATGGTGTGTGCCTGTAATCCCAGGTACTTGGAAGGCTGAGGCAGGAGAATTGCTTGAACCCAGGAGGCTGAGGTTGTAGTGAGCTGAGATTGGGCCACTGCACTCCAGCCTGGGTGACAGAGCAAGACTCTGTCTCCAAAATAAATAAATAAATAAACCATCTCAGGGCTTTGACTTCTAAAAGTTTAGCCTACAGATATACATGTGTAAAGGTTGTAAAGTTTCATGGTTGGAGGCAGATATTCTGGACTCAGACTGCCTAGGTTCAAGTCCTGCCTCCACCAGTTACTAAATATGTGACCCTTAATGATGCATTTATCTTCTTGGACCTCAATTTTCTCACCTATAAAAGTGGTTGTGAGGATGATAATGGGAACTACCTCACAGGATTGAATGAGTTAATAAATATAACGTGTTTAGAGTGTTGACATATATTATATGAAAGCCAAGATACAGTGAGTGATTAAAGCAAGGGGCAGAGCAGTATGCATCTGTAAAAACGGGTGGATTATAGACTACATGTATCTCTTTTTTTCTTTTTCTTTTTCTTTTTTTTTTTTGAGACAGAGTCTAACTCTGTTGCCCAGGCTGGAGTGCAATGGCACGATCTTGGCTCACTGCAAACTCCACCTCCCGGGTTCAAATGATTCTCCTGTTTCAGCTTCTGAGTAGCTGGAATTACAGGCACATGCCGCCATGCCCAGCTAATTTTTGTATTTTTCAGTAGAGACAGGGTTTCACCATGTTGGCCAGGCTGGTCTTGAACTCCCAACCTCAGGTGATCCTCCCCCCTCGGCCTCCCACAGTGGTACCTATCTCTTTATATTTGCATAGAACGTCTTTGGATATATACAAAGGGAACTATAACATTCATTGCTTTTAGAAAGGGAAATTGGGGCCAGGCGTGGTGGCTTACACCTGTAATCCCAGCACTTTGGGAGACCGAGGTGGGCAGATCACGAGGTCAGGAGATTGAGACCACCCCAGCTAACACAGTGAAACCCCGTCTCACTACAAATACAAAAAATTAGCCAGGCGTGGTGGCGGGCGCCTGTAGTCCCAGCTACTCGGGAGGCTGAGGCAGGAGAATGGTATGAACCCAGGAGGCAGAGCTTGCAATGAGCCGAGATCGCGCCACTGCACTCCAGCCTGGGTGACAGAGTGAGACTCCATCTCAAAAAAAAAAAAAAAAAAGAAAAGAAAGGGAAACTGGGCCAGCCACGGCGGCTCATGCCTGTAGTCCCAACACTTTGGGAGGCTGAGGTGGGTGGATCGCTTGAGCTCAGAAGTTCAAGACTAGTCTGGGCAACATTGTGAAACCCTATCTCTACAAAAAATACAAAAATTAGCCTGGCGTGGTGGCACATGCCTGTAGTCCTAGCTACTTGGGAGGCTGGGGCAGGAGGATTGCTTGAGCCCAGGAGGTGGAGGTTGCAATGAACTTAGATCACACTACTGCACTCCAGCCTGGGTGACGGAGTAGGCCTCTCTCTCAAAACAAACAAACAAACAAACAAACAAACAAACAAACAAACAAAAGGAAACTGGGTGTTTGGAGAAATTATTGGAAAAAAAATGCCCTTTTTAAACTTTTGGATTTTGAGCCATGAGAATTATTTCCTAGCCCCAACAGTAAATAAATTAATTTTTTTTGCTGTCTCAGTGTAGCTTTTTTTAACTGAGGTGAAAGTTGTATAAGATAATATTAGCCATTTTATAGTAGGAATTAAAATAATCTAAATTTTAACATTAAAACATGAGCCTTTACCAAGAACTTTACCATTTTCTGTTTCTGCCTGTCTTGGCGTGGGTCGCCAAGTCATCCCATCCAAATGTCTACTCTCAGTGCTACCAGCTCTTTTAATATCTTCCTTAGAGACTGTTGGAAGTGGTCTAGAGTTAGACTCTTTCTGAATTCTTTTTTTTTTTTGGAGACAGAGCCTTGCTCTGTTGCCCAGGTTAGAGTGCAGTGGCGTGTTCTCGGCTCACTGCAACCTCCGCCTCCCAGGTTTAAGCGATCCTCCCACCTCAGCCTCCCAGGTAGCTGGGATTACAGATGTGTACCACCATACCTGGCTAATTTTTGTATTTTTAGTAGACACAGGGTTTCGCCATGTTGGCCAGGCTGGTCTCGAACTCCTGGCCTCAAGCTATCCACCCGCCACAGCCTCCCAAAGTGCTGGGATTACAGGCATGAGCCACCACGCCCTGCCCTCTTTCTGAATTCTTTTTTTTTTTTTTTTTTTTTTTTTTGAGATGGAGTCTTGTTCTGTCACCCAGGCTGGAGTGCAGTGGCGTGATCTCGGCTCACTGCAACCTCTGCCTCCCTGGTTCAAGCGATTCTCCTGCCTCAGCCTCCCGAGTAGCTGGGATTACAGGCACTCGCCATCATGCCTGACTAATTTTTGTATTTTTGTAGAGATGGGGTTTTACCATTTTGGCTAGGCTGATCTTGAACTCCTGACCTCAGGTGATCCGCCTGGCTCGGCCTCCCAAAGTGCTGGGATTACAGGCCTGAGCCACCATGCCCGGCCTCTTTCTGAATTCTTAAGCATCTAGAATCTGTTTGCTATCTTAGTCTGTCCACGTGAATATGTCTCGGATTGACTGGTATAGGTCCGTGTCTTTTCTTCTTGAGAGCTACTGCGAGCTCCTCACGGTCAAAGTCCCCTCCTGCGCTCCCCAATATGCCCTGTTCCCAAAGTGCCGTCCTCAGTGCTTTGAGTAGATCAGCAGATGGACAGAAAAGCCTTCAGGACTTGACTGAACCATGGGAGCCGCGGGGACGAGGACACTGTGCCCTCTACAGGACGATTTCAAAAGTGGTGGCAAGAAAGGTATTCTCAGCACAGACTGGGAAATTCTCCCACGTAGCTGCACAGCATAAAGGAAAATGACAAAGGAGGCTGGGCCTGGTCCTTCCCTGCCCTCTGTCACCAGGCCTCCTCTGGGCACACTTACTGGGCCCACAACCACATCAGGCATGGAGTGGAAACTCGGCTTGAGCTGCAGGCCACCTGGGCGCTATAGAACTGTAACTCCCAGGGCTGGGAGAAAACTCATTTTGAAGGTGGGGTCACAGGGCCCAGAGAAGTAAAACAACTCGCCCAGGATCACAGTGCTGGTCAGTGCCACCCTGACACTTACTCCGACCATGTAACTTCTGAACCTTGATTCTAAGCCAAGTGGTCTGATGTAGGCAACTGAATGTGGTTATTTCTGAGCTTTTTCTTTGTCAATCCAGGCCTTATGAGCCAGTCACAGTTCATTTCCAGCTCCTCTCTCTGTTTTCCTCCCTCTCCCCTTTGGGCTGAATTGAAGGCTCTAGGAGTGCGCAGAGCCTCTATTTGGGATGGGATGGGTGGGGTTGCCCATCTCCCTGACTTGGGTCCCAGGGCTGGGCTTGTCCATTCCTTGGCAGGGAAGGTGCTTGGCTTGGAGGGTGCTAACTCAGGCCTGCCATCACTCCTTCCTGCTCCCGTGCAGCTCGCTGCTTCCTCAGAGATGCAGCTAAGTCCTTTCTCACCCTTTGGCTGGCTTATGCCATGTCCTTGAACCGGTGTGCTCATTTCCTCTGCTGGGCGGCCTCCCAGTTGCACCTTGGCTCTCTCTCCTAATTACTTGCTGTGTCTCACTTGAGGGCCGTGGAAAACTTGGGAGACATAGAGACAAGCTCTGCAGCACCTGGAAAGACCATGGCTCCATTTCAACCACTCCATACCATGCGTATGCATGTGTGTGTGTGTGTGCATGCAAGTATGTGTGTGCGTGCGTGTGTGGCAGGGTCGAGGGAGTTGGTCAGGAGGTCCATCAGCTACAAAACTCTCAGACAGAGGTGCAGGACTCAGGCCCCTTCTTCTCTCATATCCCCCAAATGACAGGCAAACTGTGGGGAGGTGATAAGTGGAATGACACTACCTCCTTCTCCCTGCGCTCTTTCCAGACCTGTCTCTCTCCTGGCTCAGAGCCCTCATGGTGCGTGTATGTGTATGTGTGCCTGGTCATGTTGGGAGGGAAGAGAGTTGGGATGTAGGAGAGGGAAGTAGCAGCTAGAAAAACCTGTTGTGCTCCCCATTTAAATTTCTCTTGACTCATTCCAGGATAATAGAGGTCAAGTTCAGGCATCTGACTTAGGGATGATCTCCATCCAGGAGGGAGGAATGAAGAAGCTTGTTGATGTCTCAAATTATTAAGATTGACACAATTAAATGCTTTACATGTCATTCAATCAAACAAAGGCTGCGCATCACAAATAAAAATAATGTGTTCTTCTGGATTTTATCTGAGATCAAAGCATGAAGTTTAGATCTGAGAATTTCTGGCTGGGCTGAGCTGATCAGGGAAGGGTGAGAACAACCAGGCTGTCTGTTCTTCAAGTTGAAGGAAGATGACACTGAGACAATCTTCTCTTCCTTCCAAATTTTGTTCAGGGCTGAATAGGGTTTGAAAACCTGGAAGAAGAATGAGAAGACGCCTCTTTTCCGCAGAGGAGGGCTGCTGGTGTTTGGAGCCTAATGATCTTAGAAAGAAGGAAGCTGTTGCTGACTTAGGGGTTGGGAGAACCTTCTCAAATAAAAACAGGCCAGGCGTGCCTCCCTGCTGGGATACTGGATCTTTGCTTAAAGTGCAGTTAGACCTGTTTTGGGCTTGGCTAACCGTTCCTACTCACTGAAGAGCTGAAGGGCTTATTGTTCAGGTGGCTGTAAAAGAACCCGGAGGTTGTGAAAGGCCCACTGTTTAATATTTGTAAAGGTCATCTGCCTCAAGGTTAAAATGTAATCAAACAATTTTTTTAAAAATCCTTTTTGTCCAAAGGTAAAAAAGAGAACATAAGGAATAGAAATTGTTAAGCTGCAAAGAAACATCTCTGTATTTTATAGACTAACTTTTCTGCTTGGGCGTTGTTCATGATCAGCCATTTCCCTGTCCCCCTACCTCCCTCCAGAACACTGGAGTCTATTCACCATTCATTCACCTGGCCTCTGGAACGGGTTCTGAGAGCAGCCAAGTACAGCACCAAACAAGGCAACCTCAGACACTGCAAATATCTTACACACGTTTAAGTTGTCTGAAAAGAAGTTTTATGGCTTAGCTGAACTGGGAGCCAGAAAGGGGGCGGGGAGCGGGAGGAGTCCATTTATTTTCTCACCTCATGTGAGACGACATCAACTGAAAAGAAAATGACAAGAGAAACTCAGTTTGGAACAACGTAGGGGCAGAGAAGTAATCCATTCATTTTTAGAAAGCTCTGTTCTCCTTTTTTACTGGTCTCTTCATGTCACCAAGACAACACCTTTCCCCATCCCAGAGGAAAGACTCTGTCACACTCGGTCAGAGAAGAAGCATCTCACAAAGGTCTGTGAGGCTGAACTCAGAAAAAAAGCAGGACATGCATATATGTGGGGAGGTGAGAGCAAGGACTTTGCTCTGGAGGTTACTGTTGGTTATAACACAGGGAGAAGTCAAAGACAAGACAAGAAGGACGGGTTGGAGCCACAGTTGATGGGGCTTTGAATACCATGCTAAAAAGTTTGCAATTTATCCTTAAGCATGTTGCAATTTATCCTTAGGATAAGTTTTACGCCTTTTAAATTTAAAGTTTATGTTATATTTTATTTTGAGACAATGTCTCACTATGTTGCCCAGGCTGGTCTTGAACTCCTGGCCTCAAGCCATCCTTCTGCCTCAACCTTCCGAATGGCTGGGACTTACAGGCATGCACTACTGTGCCCAGCTTACAGCTTTAAAAAAAAGAGAATTATTAAGTCATCATTATTTAAGAATTATTAATTAATTCACTATTAAGTAGGAAAAATAATTACAGAAATCCTAGAAACTAGATATTAGCAATTTTAATCAAATAGAAATCAAAATCCCAAAGAAAACAAGCCATAATCATACTACACAGGGTAAACACAAGAACATTTTGGGGAAGAGTGGTCTATATGTATATTCATGTCTATTCAAACAAAAAAGAATAATGATTTACACCTGTTTTTTTGTTTGGTTGTTTGTTTGTTTGTTTTGAGATGGAGTCTGGCTCTGTCATCCAGGCTGGAGTGCAGTGGTGCGAGCTTGGCTCACTGCAACCTCTGCCTCCCAGGTTCAAGCAATTCTCCTGCCTCAGCCTCCCGAGTAGCTGGGATTACAAGTGTGTGCCACCACGCCCGGCTAATTTTTTTATTTTTAATAGAGACGGGGTTTCGCCATGTTGGCCAGTCTGATCTTAAACTCCTGACCTCAAGCGATCCACCCACCTCGGCCTCCCAAAGTGTTGGGATTACAGGCGCGAGCCACCGCGCCCAGCCTACACCTGGTTTTATGACCTGATTTTTTTTCATCAAACATTATAAAGTAGATTTCTTCATGTGTTATTCGCCTACATAGTTATTTCGTCTTTTCCTGACCTAACATTCCTGAGGAGTTGACACATCTCATGAGTAACAGGGATTGAAAAAGGAATGATATTTAAAAATGAGGCACTCCCCTTTAATTAATTAATTAATTAATATATATACAGGGCCTCACTCTGTCATCCAGGCTGGAGTTTAGTGGTACAATCATGGCTCACTGCAGCCCCGACTTCTCGGGCTCAAGGGATCCTCACACCTCAGTCCCCCAGTAACCAGGACTATATGTTCATAAACCCATGCCCAGATAACTTTTAAAATTTTTGAAGAGATGACATCTCACTGTGCCCCCAGGCTGGTCTCAAACTCCTGGGCTCAAGCGATCCTCCTGCCTTAGTCTCCCAAAGTGCTGGGATTACAGGTGTGAGCCACCACACCCAGCCAGCACTCTCCTTTTGACTTACTGGTCTATATATTAATTTAGATGATTGGGCTGTATTTCATTAAAGTCCTTATGGGACAATTTCAATTGTTTTTAATGTTGCACACTTGCCAATAATGCTTCAGTATATATATATATATATATACACACACACATGAATTTATAATTCTGTACACTTTTAAAAGAAAAACTTCAGCAGAATTAAATTTAAAAGAGTTTAATTGAGCAAAAAACAATTTGCGAATTGGACAGCTCCCAGAATTACAGTGGATTCAGAGAGATTCCAGCACAGCCAAATGGTGGAAAAAGATTTATAGACAATAAAAGGGAAATGATGCACAGAAATGGACAGTGAAGTATAGAAACAGCTGGACTGGGCTGGGCACGGTGGCTCACGCCTGTAATCCCAGCACTTTGGGAGGCCGAGGCGGGCGGATCACAAGGTCAGGAGATCGAGACCATCCTGGCTAACACGGTGAAACCCCGTCTCTACTAAAAAATACAAAAAATTAGTGGGGTGTGGTGGCGGGCACCTGGAGTCCCAGCTACTTGGGAGGCTGAGGCAGGAGAATGGCATGAACCCGGAAGACGGAGCTTGCAGTGAACGGAGATCGCGCCACTGCACTCCGGCCTGGGTGACAGAGCGAGACTCCGCCTCAAAAAAAAAAAAAAAAACCAAAACCAAACAAACAAAAAAACAGCTGGAATGGTTACAGGTTGGCGTTTGTCCTATTTGAACACAGTCTGAACATGCAGCAGTCTATGAGTGGTTGAAGTATGGCCACTGGGATTGGCCAAGACTCAGCTATTGTTATAAGCGCTCATGCTCCTGAATTAGGTTTTCAATCTTGTCTATTAAGCTAGGTTACAGTACATCTGCAAGGACTCAAATATAGAAGAATGGAGTCCTTCTCGGGCCATATTTAGTTTGCTTTAACAATTCCCTCCTTTTGGTCATTTTCTCAATTTTAAAAGATTGACTAAAACTTTAGTCATTGATGTCACTATCACCATCATAAATGTATTTATTTGATTTTGAAACCCACTGGGAAACAGAACAGTGAGTTTTGCAAAGGTAGGAGCAAGGACTGAGTAGAGGGTATCTACCTATGTTGGAAGGTCCCATTTTTAGAAGAAAAACAAAACCTGGTGTGTTCTGGTTTAGTGTTTATGTGTTTCCTTAAAATTTTAGTTTGATTATGTCACGTTTAGCATGAGTGACTCCACTTTTGTTTAGTTTGGTCTGTTTGGGGTCTAGTATATGAGTTCAGTCCAAAACAATGGCCTCCCATAATTTTGTTTAAAAATTCCCCCTTTTTGGTCAGGTTCTCACTTAGGTGAGCGTGTGACCACAATTTAGGGCCTTAGCGTCACTCTCAGTTACTACCATTTTGCATTTCTGATCTCAGTATGTCATTCATAGGTTATAGTGTCCTCATGGCCGTATACTTCTTTCAGTTTTTGTCATTCCAGTTGAAGAGAGACAATTTGACATTTTAGAGATGGCTGTATGTAAACATTTAAAGCCTCTGAGAGAATACAGTGTACCAGGGAGACTATTATTATGACTATTGGGAGGATAATACCAAGAGTTTGGAGTATGTTCTTTATTCAGGGTCTCTATAAATGAAACCAGCTAAAATCAAATAGATCGAAGAATGAGTTACATGAAGAGTCTACTCGCTTAAGTGGTCTTTTCATTAATTCCCTACAACTGAATTTTGATAATTTACATTTGATGTATTTCTCTATAGGCCACAAGTGCCAGTAGCTGTACAGATACTTTTCTGTTTAGTCAATTCTACAATTTAGCATAATTTTTACGAGAGAGTTTAAAGTCTGTTGGGTAACTATAGTCTTTACAGTAGAACTCGTTATAGAGCCTATCATAAGGGATAGATTTCTAATCATTGTTTCTTTTATTCCAAACCGTGGGAAAAGAACCTAACAAATGATGTATTTTTAGGAGAGTGAAGGCCTCTTGGCAATGTTATCTTTAACCGATGATGTGGATTAAGAGGAATGAATCAATGTTCTGTTTCTGACTGATTATGAGGCAACGTATGTACCATTAAAGTTTTTCACCTACCTTGGGTCTTTATCTTTTATCTGTCAAGGTATAAGGTTATCTGTGTATAAGGCTGGCTGTAAAATCATTTACAAATAAATGTATATCCCATAAGTGTGCATAACATCCCCTTTTCATCTCTATTGTTTATAGAGGCATAAATAAGGAAAAAGTATTCAAAGATAAGAGTCTCATGATAGTGGAAGTCTTGATCTGTGATCTTGGGAAAAGTTGTTCACATCAAGGATTTCATCTTTTTCTGGGGATAAATTTCCCTGGTTAGTTTTACCTTCAGGGTTCTAATGGGTGTACAGTTCCAAGAGTGTGGAGGGACTCTTCTCAGTTGTAAGATTATAAACTCAAAGTTCAAGGTCTTGAAGTTTTGTTGCAGTGTGGATGGTGTCAATGAAAAGAGTCTAACTCTGTAAAATATTTGAGAAGATTTATTCTGAGCCAAATATGAGTGACCATGGCCTGTGCACAGCCCTCAGGAGGTCCTGAGAACATGTACCCAAGGTGGTCGGGGAGCAGCTTGGTTTCATACATTTTAGGGAGGCATAGAGACATCAGTTAAATACATTTAAGAAATACATTGGTTTGATCCAGAAAGGTGGGACAACTCAAAGCGGGGGGCTTCCAGGCTATAGGTAAATTTAAACATTTTCTGGTTAACAACTGGTCGAGTTTGTCTAAAGACCTAGGATCAATAGAAAATAAACGTTCAGGTTAAGATAAAAGATTGTGAAGACCAAGGTTCTTTTGAAGTCTTATAGTGGCTGCCCTTAGAGACAATAGATGACAAGTGTTGCCTATTCAGATCTTTAAAAGGTGCTAGACTTTCAGTTAATCTCTTTAGGATTGGGAGAGCCTGGAAGAAAAAAATCTAGCTATATTAATAGAGATTCTTTACAGATGCAAATTTTCCCCCACAAAGGACAGCTTTTCAGGGCCATTTCAAGATATGGCAAAGAAACATGTTTTGGGGTACAATATTTTGATTTTCTTCTTTGTCTTGTAATGCCAGAGTCAGGTTGGAAAGTAAGTCATGAATATAGGGTTAAATAAAACCCATCTGATGAGAATTTATGGTTTGTAGGGCATGACTCCTCAGACCCCTTGGATAAGAATTTGGGCAAGATAAAAAAATTAGAGCTTAGTCTTCAATGGCAAGTAGGGTCTTTCTTGCAATCTTTGGGTTCTAGATTGTGAAGGAGTTGATTGTCCTCAGTGAATCATAAAAAGTTTTCTTTACCTGGTGAAAATATACTGTGGCATAATAATTTAGTGTTATAACATCAGTCCTCTTGTATGGGAAAGGTTTTATATAATCAGAAAACATGTATTGAAAATGATGATTTAATGAAATCTCTTTATAAACGTTTAAATGACCCATCAGGTAGTTGAGTGTACCTGAAGCTTTGACTGTCTTCACAGGAATATGCGTTTGACAAACCAAACATTGGTTATAAACTATTTTAGCAATTTATAAGTTACCACACCAATATATTTAATTTGGATTATTTAATCTTTTCCATGATGAGTCATGGAATGCATAACTTTTAGTAACAAAAGTTTTAAGAACTCAGGAAAGACAAGGTGGGCTTCTTGGTTCTCCATAAGTCCATGTTTAATTAATATTAGACTTAGGTCTTCTTGAATACCAGTTGTTTTTCTAAATTAGGTGCATAGTACTGATAACTGATGGATTATCATGGGTAATTTGACTTAGACCATGGAGTTTATTGAATTGTATATTTAAGTGATTTCAGTATCAGTTGATTTACCATGAAAATCTGGTAAAGTATTTTCTTGGTATTCAATTAATTTTTGTCTATTTAGGTTAGTAGTTTTATAAACCAGTCAGTCTTTTCATCAAACCGGGAATTCTTCCCCAGTTTAAATGATATGATTCTAAAGTTATTAGAAACCTGTACTTAAGAGTGTTTTTAGGGTCCTTTTTATCTTTTCTTGAATCTCCTAAAAGACACCATATTCTGGGATTTTGTGTGTTTGTAAAGTTTTCAGAAACTGCATCAGTATTAAGCAATTAACTGTGGAAATGACTTTAGATAGTTATAGTTAAAGACACAATTGAGGCCGGGTGTGGTGGCTCAAACCTGTAATCCCAGCACTTTGGGAGGCCGAGGCGGGCGGATCACGAGGTCAGGAGATCGAGACCATCCTGGCTAACACGGTGAAACCCTATCTCTACTAAAAAATACAAAAAATTAGCTGGGTGTGGTGGCAGGCACCTGTAGTCCCAGCTACTCAGGAGGCTGAGGCAGGAGAATGGCATGAACCCAGGAGGCGGAGCTTGCAGTGAGCCAAGATCGCGCCACTGCACACCAGCCTGGGCGACAGAGCGAGACTCCGTCTTAAAAAAAAGAAAAAAAAAAAAGACACAATTGACAAGGAAATTTGGTTATTTCTGTGGTCTATGATGACTTAACATAATAACTAATTATGATTGATAGCATATACTCAGACACATTAGAATTTTAGAAATCCCATACAATTTTGGAACATATGTTAATATTGTTCATTAAAACATAACCTGAAGAAGGTTAAACATTATTTTTATTTTGACAATGTTTCCCATGTAACTTCGTAGGTTAAATAATCCTGTTTACCTTTCTTTTGGATGTCTTGGGGCCCTCTGTAGTATCCCAAAGTTAGAGGTTAGATAAGACAATTTTGAAGCTGCAATTTGATTTGAGGGAGTCTGTTAAAGATGTTAAAGGTTTAAAACACTTTATATTATGCTTAACCAGTTTGACCATGAGGTGAGATTTTTATAAACCTTTTATAACCCTTTACAATGTTTGTGAAAGATTTTTTTGAGATGGAGTTTTGCTTTTGTTGCCCAGGCTGGAGTGCAATGGTGCAATCTGGGCTCACTACAACCTCCGCCTCCCAGGTTCAAGAGATTCTTCTGCCTCAGCCTCCCGAGTAGCTGGGATTACAGGCATGTGCCACTGTGCCCAGCTAATTTTGTATTTTTAGTAGAGATGGGGTTTCTCCACATTGGTCAGGCTGGTCTCGAACTCCCAGCCTCAGGTGATCTGCCTGTCTTGGCCTCCCAAAGTGCTGGGATTACAGGCATGAGCCATTGCACCCAGCTGAGTAAATCAGGTTTTTAAGAAAACCCTGTTGTGTTTTTTTTTCGATGTTCAATTTATGGAAAACCAAATAATAACCCTTTAAATTTAGCCAGTATGTTCACACACACATTTTTTTTTTGAGACAGAGTCTTGCTCTGTTGCCCAGGCTGGAGTGCAGTGGCGTGATCGCAGCTCACTGCAAGCTCTGCCTCCCGGATTCATGCCATTCTTCTGCCTCAGCCACCTGAGTAGCTGGGACTACTGGCAGCTACCACTATGCTCAGCTAATTTTTTGTATTTTTAGTAGAGATGGGGTTTCACCATGTTAGCCAGGATGATCTCAATCTCCTGACCTCGTGATCCACCCACCTCCGCCTCCCAAACTGCTGGGATTACAGGCGTGAGCCACCGCGCCTGGCTGCACACAGAATTTTTTTTACAAGATTAATTTTTCCACAATTTGCTTCAACTTTTAGATTTATGTTATCTAATTTAAAAATCTTTTCATCCTTTAAATCAGGCAAAAATTTACATTCTCATGCCTTTTTATAATCTTTTATGAAAAACATATTTTACTTTCCTCTCACACCTTGTGCATGAACCTATTTCTCCAGTCTCAATTACATGTTTTATTGGTAACTCTTAACAACTTTTACTTTTGGTGGACAAATTTCCTTTCATGAATCCTTTCACGACTTACACAGACCATCTATGACATGTTTGGACTTTGACTTGTCCTGAACATCTCTGTTTTTAAATAACCAGTTATTTTATTTTAGGACAATAATTTACTATACAAGGTCTTTCTTATATAAAATCTCTTTTCTTTATAACCTTCTTCGTATAGTTAGGGAGCACTGTTAATTCCACATGTTTGCAGGCCTTATGTAGAATCTAACACTCCAAAATAAATTGAACAATTTTTAAAAGTCAAGGAAGCAGTTTATGACCTTAAAGAATTTAGTAAAGCTAATATCCAATCTGTATAATTTAGATCAAATGTTTTTATTTTGTCAATAATCTTTAAAGCTGTTTTTATTTCCCAAAGAGCACTAAAGTTGTGTGAACTAAAAGACATTATAGTTTTTATTTTTTTCAAAATATTTGATTTACGTACTTACTTTTCTTTAAGGCAATTAATTAGAGCTCTTTCATATAAACATTATACACACAACACATATATAACTACACAGACAGAAGAAGATTAAGTAGCTGTAATATTTTTTCATTTACATTTTTAAGTTTCTTAATTGGATTACTGGCTTTTGGGTAGAGTCCTTGGAAGAAACAGCTACGAAAGCATGTAGTTTCTATGGCCTAATAAGTAGGCACAGATGGAGGGCAAAAACAAATCCCCAAAATTAAGGGTCTCTTTTTTTTTTTTTGAGATGGAGTCTCACTCTGTCGCCTGGGCTAGAGTGCAGTGGCGCAATCTCAGCTCACTGCAACCTCTGCCTCCTGGGTACAAGCATTTCTCCTGACTCAGTCTCCCAAGTAGCTGGCATTACAGGTGCCCACGACTATACCCAGATAAATGTTTTGTATTTTTAGTAGAGATGGGGTTTCACCATGTTGGTCAGGTTGGTCTCGAACTCCTGACCTCATGATTCTCCCACCTTAGCCTCCCAACATGCTGGTATTACAGGTGTGAGCCACTGTGCCCAGCCAAGGGTCTCATTTTCATATTGTATCCTGGATCCCCCTACAAAGCGAAATGCTATTGGAGAAGACAGTGTAATGTTACTACTATGTATTTCATTATATGGCAACCTAAAGCCAATCAATCCATTTTGTAATTAGTCCATCTCCCATGAGAGTCTCATTCTCACTGGGGGTGGAGACATCTCCATACTTCTCAGGTGGCCAAGAGTATGTTTCTCTGATACAAATGTGTAGAGCTGAGTGTTTCCCCATAACTGTCATTAGACACCCCTAAAAATATATTTGCTACCTAGTTATTACACACCAAATCTCTTTTATAATGTAAAGTAATTTCTGATAACCCCAAAAGTAAAAAATGTCAGATAATGTAATACAAAACAGACCAGAGACTTAGATTTTGAAAGGAGTCTATCCACTTTCAATTTTGGGGATTTCATGAAGAAAACAGGTTTTTCCAAAAACTGGATCTCTAGCATCTCCTGTTTTTCCCAAAGGGTCTCAGGCTGTTAGGGCTTGAATATCTGTTTTTAATTAAGCTGACTTTTAACAATAGTGCTCTTTTTAAAAAATCCTTTTAAATTTCTTTTAAATTACCCTACTTTAGCCAGGTCAAATGGCCAATATTTCTGACTTTTAAACTTTACCAAGTAACCTTACAGGTGTTCTGAGAAAGGAAAATTCAAGATGGTTACAGAAGGGGAAGACAATCAACAAATGGTAATGGTTATGCAGATATTAAACAAGAAAGGACTTATTTTCTAAGTCAGGAATTGAACCTGGGCTGTCACTATGAAAGGACAAAATCTTAGTTACTGAGTTACAGCACTGGGTGGTTTATATTGCCCTTTCCGGAAGGAGTCTAGAGTAGTTAATTTTGAGCTTGTAAAGGCTTTTAACTACTTAAGGTAATTTTTAGAGTTAACTATGACATGAACTTTAAAATTCTTCTTCCTTGGAAGGCGGAGACCAAGAGAAAGTACCGCCATGTTCTCACAAAGTCAAATTCCCGAGGACATAAAACAAGATGGAGACCTCATCCAGTTTTCTTGTTTGTTTATTTCAGTAAAGTTTGTTATTAACCAGTTTGTTGAGCCATCTTGAGCAGCGGGCTTATGGGGTTTTAAGCCCATGTTCTATCCTAAACAACTCCTCTTGGCTGGACGCGGTGGCTCACGCCTGTAATCCCAGCACTTTGGGAGGCCAAGGCGGGTGGATCATGAGGTCAGGAGTTCAAGACCAGCCTGGCCAAGATGGTGAAACCCCATCTCTACTAAAAATACAAAAATTACAGCGCACCTGTTATCCCAGCTACTCGGGAGGCTGAGGCAGGAGAATCGCTTGAACCTGCGGGGGGGCGGAGGTTGCAGGGAGCTGAGATCGCGCCACTGCACTCCAGCCTGGGTGACAGAGCGAGGCTCCATCTTGGAAAAAAAAAAAAAAAAGAACTCCTCTTTATGACAGAACGATATAGGAAGACACATAAAGCTTACCAGATTGGCTATAGTTCAAGAGTAGCCTCATAAATCCTTTTTTCATTAATCAAAACTTCACAGGAGATAATGATTTTTATCATTCATTCAACCAGTTTGTACAGGGAGAGAGAGGCAGCAGTCTGACTGGTAAGAAATTTTTACTCTTTTGCTGACATGTCGGGCTTCCGGGTTCCCTTTCCCCAAGTGGCCCTAGTGACCTGCTGGCTGCACCACGGCCCTGGGGGCCAAGCTGCAACACAAAGGAAAATAATATTTTTTCTGTCTCATGGAACCACAGGCAAAAGCCTCTCAATTTTGCAAGTTGCCACCCAAGTGGCTGCATGGAGGCATCAAATATTAAACTGGCAAGGCTCTGTCATCTTTAACCCATTTTTAACCAAAAGGGACTTTACTGAGCGGAGGGCCTCTAACCCAGTGCCATTCTTTACTCGGGTAAAATGTACCCCATTACTTATTCAAAGTCAGTCAGTTGGTGCTGCAGTCTATTTCCTTTAGATGGGGATAGTAACTAAGTTAAAAGGTTAGCAGATTTTAATTTTTGGGAGTCCTCATTTTTAAATGTACTTCAGTCTGTCGTGGTTCATTCAGAATGTTCCACTGTAAGTTACCTTTAGTAAGATTTCATCATTTCTGTAAGACTATGCTGTTTTCTGTGTTTAACGTGTAAGTTGGAAGGAGCTCAGTTTTCCAGAAATTAAGGATCCCACCTTTACCTAAAATATTGGCTTTACTCTCAGGTGCCCTTGATTAACTCAGTCAATGATTTTTTTTTTTTTTGCTACCTGAGCATATAAGAAAAATGAAACAAAGGGGTAGAACGCAAACATCCCCGTGAATTTTTAAAAGTCAAATCTTACACCCCCTGTAATATTACCATTTACCACCAGTTTCTTTCTGATTCAGTCAGTTGTAAGAGGCATCTCACTGGATCCAAGCCAAGTAATTATCCACTTCTGGTACCATCTGTTAAAAGAAAAAATTCAGCCAAATTAAATTTAAGGGAGTTTAATTGAGCAATGAATGATTCACGAATCGAGCAGCCCCCAGAATCACAGCAGATTCAGAGAGACTCCAGCACAGCCAAGTGGTGGAAGAAGATTTATAGACAAAAATGGGAAGTGACACCTATGGGTGATGGGACTAGGCATGTGCAGGTTCATGGGACATAGAGAACCTTTTTCTTCCCAAAGGGGGAAACTTGAGAGCTAATGGGATGCTGGAGAAGATCTCTTTGCTAGTGACAAGTGGCTGTCTGACTTTTGATTCAGCGTTGCTGCAGAGGGTGGGTGTTTCTCTGACCTTGCCTTCCCCACCCTGCGGCAGGCAATGCTTTTTTCCCTTTCTCTATTTTTTCTATTACTGAGGGCAATTGTCTGCTCTTTGATCTTGCCCAGAGACCACATGCTGAAATTCCTGGTCAGAAGGTCATTTCACCCCACTCTGAGTGGCTTGAGTTTGTAACCATGTGGCAGCACTTTCTTTTGGTCTCTGCCATTCAGTGGACCACAAATTTGGAATTCATGTCATAGTAAGCTCTAAAGATTATCTTGAGCAGTTAAAAGTCATTGCAAGCTCAAAATTGGCTGCTCTAAGCCCCTTCTGGGAAGAGCAATGGCAACTGCCCAATGCTGTAACCTGTGAGGTTACTTTTGGTAAAATTCAAAAGCCAGAAATATTGGCAGTGTAGCCTGGCTAAAGTCAGGCAATAAGAGATTTAAGAGGACTTTTTTTTTTTAAGAGCTCTATGGATAAAAGTCAGCTTATTCAAGCTGTAACAGTCTGGGACTCCTTGGGAAAAACAGAGGAGGTGCTACAGACCCTGTTTTGAGAAAAACATCTGTTTTCCTCATGAAATCCCGGGAATTAGAAGTGAATAGATCCTTCTCAAAATCTAAGGCTCTGTTCTGTTTTGCTTTGCATTATCTGTCGTTTTTTATTTTGGGGGGTATCAGAAATTATTTTACATTATGAGAGTGCTTTGATATGTAATAGCTAGGTAGGAAATATACTTTGGGGATGGCTAATGGCAGTTATGGGAGGATACTCAGCTCTTTGTACGTTTGGATTAGAGAAGCATGCTGTTGGCCACCTGGAAGGTAGGGCAATATCCCAACCCCAACACTGAGAGATAAGACTCCCATGGGGAATGGGCTAACTGGCTTCAGATTGTTTTGCAATGAAATGTAAGTTGCCAGGCATGGTGGCTCACGCCTGTTAATTATAGCACTTTGGGAAGCCAAGGCAGGCAGATTGCTTGAGGTCAAGAGCTGGAGACCAGCCTGGCCAACATGGTAAAACGCCATCTCTACTAAAAATACAAAAATTAGCCAGGCATGGTAGTGCGTTCCTGTAATCTCAGTTACTAAGGCATGAGAATTGCTTGAACCTGGGAGGTGGAGGTTGCAGTGAGCCGAAGTTGTGCCACTGCACTCCAGCCTGGGCGACAGAGTGAGACTCAAAGAAATGCACGGTAAAATCTTTGCATTGTCTTGTTCTGTTGCGTTTCTCTTTTGGGGATCCAGGATTCAGTATAAAAATGGGACCCTTCATTTTGGGGGTCTGTTTTTGTCTTCCAGCTGTGCCTGTCATAGAAACTGTATGCTTTCCTGGCCTTTCCCTCCAAGGGCTCTACCCTGAAGCCCATAATCCAATTAAGAAACTGGCAAATGAGGCTGGGTGAGGTGGCTTATACCTGTAATTCTAGCACTTTGGGAGGCCAAGGCAGGTGGATCATTTAAGGCCAGGAGTTTGAGACCAGCCTGGCCAACGTGGTGAAACCTTGTCTCTACTAAAAATACAGAAAATTGGCTGGGCCTGGTGGCTCATGCCTATAATCCTAGCACTTTGGGAGGCTGAGGCGGGGGCAGGTCACGAGGTCAGGAGATTGAGACCAGCCTGGCCAACATGGTGAAACCCCATCTCTACTAAAAATACAAAAATTAGCTGGGCGTAGTGGCGCATGCCTGTAGTCCCAGCTACTTGGGAGGCTAAGGCAGGAGAATTGCTTGAACCTGGGAGGTGGAGGTTGCAGTGAGCTGAGATCGCACTACTGCTTTCCAGCCTGGAGACAGAGCAGGACTCTGTCTCAAAAAAAAAAACAAAAAAATTTAGCTGGGCGTGGTGGCAAGCGCCTGTAATTCCGGCTGCTCAGGAGATTGAGGCGTGAGAATCGCTTGAAGTTGGGAGGTGGAGGTTGCAGTGAGCTGAGATGGTGCCACTGCACTCCAGCCTAGGGACAGAGCAAGACTCTGTCTCGAAAAAAAAAAAAAAAAAAAAAAAGTCAAGCTCAGTGGCTCACACCTGTAATCCCAGCTCTTTGGGTGGCCAAGGCGGGCAGATCATGAGGTCAAAAGATCAAGACCATCCTGGCCAACATGGTGAAACCCGTCTCTACTAAAAATACAAGAATTAGCTGGGCGTGTTGGCACTTGCCTGTAATCCCAGCTACTCAAGAGGCTGAGACAGGAGAATCGCTTGAACCTGGGAGGTGGAAGTTGCAGTAAGCCAAGATCGTGCCATTGCACTCCAGCCTGGTGACAAAGTGAGACTCCGTCTCAAAAAAAAAAGAAACTGGCAAATGAAAAATCTTACAACTACTGGATCTTCTTCTCTCTACCTATTTATATGTGCTGTGTGTGATGTTTATATATGAAAGAGCTGATTAATTGGCTTATAAAATAAGAAGAGCTTAATTCAAATATTTCGTCAGAAAAGTAAAAGGTGCAATGTCTTTTAGTTCATGTGACTTAAGTAATTTTTGGGAAGTAAAAACAGTTTTACATGCAAGGTGTGTAAGAAAAGTGAAATGTGTTTTTGGTAAAATATCTATCTATATCTATCTATCTATCTATCTATCTATCTATCTATCTATCATCTATCTATCTATCATCTATCTATCATCTATCTATCTATATCTATCTATATATATATTTTTTGAGACTGAGTCTCGCTGTGTCAGCCAGGCCCAGGCTGGAGTGCAGTGGCGTGATCTCTGCTCACTGCAAGCTCCGCCTCCCGGGTTCACGCCATTCTCCTGCCTCAGCCTCCCGAGTAGCTGGGACTACAGGTGCCTGCCACCACGCCTGGCTAATTTTTTGTATTTTTAGTAGAGATGGGGTTTCACCGTGTTAGCCAGGATGGTCTTGATCTCCTGACCTCATGATCTGCCTGCTTCAGCCTCCCAAAGTGCTGGGATTATAGGCATGAGCCACTGCACCCACCCCAAGTAAAATATTTTAAGAAGGCATGGGAATGTGGGGTTTTTTTTTTTGCTTAAAGGGTTAAATGATTGTTTCAAGTTAGGATAAATCTGAAGGTTTGTGAAAAATTAATGTTTTTTTTTGTTTTTTGTTTTTTGTTTGTTTGTTTTTTGAGACAGAGTTTCACTCTTGTTGCCCAGGCTGGAGTACAATGGCGTGATCTTGGCTCACCGCAACCTCTGCCTCCCGGGTTCAAGAGATTCTCCTGTCTCAGCCTCCTGAGTAGCTGGGATTACAGGTGCCCACCGCCACGCCCAGCTAATTTTTTTCTATTTTTAGTAAAGACGGGGTTTTGCCATGTTGGCCAAGCTAGTCTCGAACTCCTGACCTCAGTTGATCCGCCTGCCTCGGCCTCCCAAAGTGCTGGGATTACAGGCATGAGCCCCTGCACCCAGCCAAGGTTTTATTAAGAATTGGGTTTAACATTAATAGTACATTAATGCAAAGCTGAAACTGGTTTATTTGGTATAAAAATCATATAGGAAGCATTGCCAAATATGAAATGGTGGCTTTCTTTGCACTATATTTGTATAAATACATTATTGGTATGTGTTCCAAAATTATGGGAAACTCCTATAATTCTGATATGACATAGTGTATGTTATTAATAATTATAATTGTTATGTAAAATTATTGTGTACCATAGAGGTAACCAAAATTCCTAATCCATTGTGGCTTAAATAATGGCTGGTCTAAGAGTTTTTGTCATCCACAGACTATTGTTGTTTTGTTTTAATCCTCTTCAAAAGGTGGTGTATAATTAGCTGTAGGACTTTGACAAGTGCTGTTGAATGCAGGTTCCTGACAACTTTGAAGACTGTTACACTAGAATAGAGGAAAAAACTTTCAGGACTCTCATGGAGAGTTGAAATGTTCATGAATATCAACAGGAGTTAACTTCAAGGACTGAACTAATGGAAGACTGAAGTAATCTTTTTTGACCTTTTGCTTAAAATATTGCTAATCCTTTGTTTTGTTTTTCGGAGTCAAGACAACTTTTCTTTTGAGCTATTTACAGCTTTTAACAATTGAGTAAAGTATATTCCCATGAACAAAATTTGGAGTATATTTGTTTTCTCTCTACCTGATTTATCTTTTCAAAAAAGCTTATTTTTGCAAGCAAATCGGTCTTAGTATGATTTGTCTTTAGTAAAAATGGAAGACTGGAAAGAGAAAAAAATCAGGTTTCAAGAACAATGGTACACCTGTGATTAGATTCTAGTCTCATCAGTATTTTTTAAGTTTTTTTTTATTCTGCAATTTAGACCGACTGCTTATTCCTGTGAACCAACCAGTGATCTTTGGCTACAGCTTAGAAGAAACAAGAGAGATGGATGGGTACTGTGAAAAAAGTCTGGATAAGTATTCTAATTCTAGGCACATATTGGAATCAGCTGGCAACCCTGTATCAGCTTGGTTCCAACAGTTGCCCAGTTCATGGAAAGTCTTCTATTTAGTTTACTTGGGATAATTTTACTTATTTTGCTTTACTGTTGTGGAATATATTGCTGTTGTACTCTTTGTGTAGGAATGCAGGATAAGCTTACTGAATGTTTTCTTAAATTGAACACTTATTAATCTTCTAGATATTACCTTTTGTTGGAACTCAAAGTTATGAATGGCCCTCACCATACTGATGCTTTCTTACTGAGTGCCTCTCTACCACAAATACAAGAGACCCTAATTTGTTAACCAGGAATATCATTGCCCTTACTCACCCTGAAGAAGTTACAGAAGATGGATCTTTGTCCCTCTAGAACTCAGGATTAAGGGTTTTCTTATAAAAGGCAGGGGGAAAATATGTCAGAGGCATTCAAACCAGAGCAACTCCATCTTGAATAGAAGCTGGGTAAAATAAGGCTATGGGCCTATGGGCCTGCATTTTCAGGAGGTTAGGTATTTGTAGTCACAGGAAGAGATAGGAGGTTGGCACAAGATACAGGTAACAAAGACTTTGCTGATAAAACAGCATGCAGTAAAGAAGCTGGCCAAATCCTACCAAAACAAAGATGGTGATGAAAGTGACCTTTGGTCATCCTCACTGCTCATTATACATTAATTATAATGCATTAACGTGCTTAAAGACACTCCTACCAGCACCATGACAGTTTACAAATGCCATGGCAATGTCAGGAAGTTGCCCTACATGGTCTAAAAATGGGAGAAACCCTCAGTTCCAGGAATTGCCCACCCCTTTCCCAGAAAACTCATAAATAATCCACCCTTTGTTTAGCATATAATCAAGAAGTAACAATAAGTATAAGCAGTTGAGCAGCCCAGGCTGCTGCTCTGCCTATGGAGTAGCCATTCTTTATCCCTTTACTTTCCTAATAAACTTGTTTTCACCTTACTCTATGGACTTGCCCTGAATTCTTTCTCATGTGAGATCCAAGAAATTGGGACCCCTTTCCAGTAACAATACAATTAGAAATTTTGTCATCTAGAAATATCTTATTTTCCTTTTAGCTCATCTATGTTTTCTTCTTCTTCAACTCCCAATGCCCTTTCTTCTACCTCTTTCTCTTAGTCCAGAGAGCAGACAGGATGACAGGCAGGCTACTCCAACGTGACTGAGATTTTCAGAAGGTAATGGATTTGGTCTCTCCAATGAAAGGATGGATTTTCTTAAGGCTGTAGCTTGCTTAAATTTCAGGCCTTCTTCCTGATATTTCTTTTGAAAAAAATCAGTGAAGAAAGTGCAAGTGTTTCTCTGTGGCTGTCTGTTACATTAAGTAGAGGAGCATTAAATATCCTAATGTATAGGAAATACCTGATTACAGAATTTAAAAATTTAGAATGGAAAATAACTAGAGATTGTTCCCAAACTTAACAGATACGGTTCCATGTTAAAGTTGGAAGAATACATAGGTAAAATGTCTGGGGTCTGAGATATAATAAAATCAAATGCCAACAGGGCTAGCCTGGTAGACAAATAGGAAATGATGGAGGCTGTGGTAAACTGTTCAGAACAGGTTATGTCTAAAATTTATCTTCTAAAGGGAGTGGCCCCTACTCTCAGCTTTAGCTAATTGTTACCATGTAGAAACACAAGCCCTGTGTCATCAAGTTTTCTCATTTTTCTTTTTCTTTTTTTGAGATGGAGTCTTGCTCTGTTGCCCAGGCTGGAGTGCAGTGGCATGATCTTGGCTCACTGCAACCTCCACCTCCTAGGTTCAAGAGATTCTCTTCCCTCAGCATCCCAAGTAGCTGGGCCTACAGGCATGCACCACCACACTGGCTAAGTTTTGTATTTTCAGTAGAGACAGGGTTTCACCATGTTGGCCAGGCTGTTCTCGAACTCCTGACCTCAGGTGATCTGCCCACTGGGGCCTCCCAAAGTGTTGGCATTACAGGCGTGAGCCACTGTACTCAGCCTGAACTCTTAATCTTCATGTATTTTTAGAGTAATCAGTTCCTACAATCAATTTAATCTTTTCATACTTTTATTCCGTATTTGATTAAATTTTATGAAATTTAATCAATTTCATACTTTTATTCCATAGGTTGCTTCCTTTTTTTAGAAAAAGGCTTTCACATTAGGTTTGTTGCTAAACTGAATAGTCCTTTCCAAACTAAAGACCCAATTTCTTTAATATTAAATAGCATGTCTCACTTGGGATTATATTAGAATGAGGTGAATATATTAGCTTTGTATTTAACATAGAATCAGCTTAATTAATGTTAAAAAATATTTTTCAGGCCAGGCGCGGTGGTTCACACCTGTAATCCCAGCACTTCGGGAGGCCAAGGCCGGCAGATCACTTGAGGTCAGGAAATGGAGAGCAGCTTAGACAACATGGTGAAACTCTGTCTCTACTAAAAATACAAAAATTAGCCAGGTGTGGTGGCACTTGCCTGTAATTCCAGCTACTCGGGAGGCTGAAGCAGAATGGCTTGAACCTGGGAGGTAGAGGTTGCAGGGAGCCATGATTGTGCCACTGCACTCCAGCTTGGGGGACAGAGCAAAACTCTGTCTCAAAAAAAAAAAAAAAAAAAAAAAATTCAGGCTTTAAGTTAGTAATATAACTGTTTCATATTTCCAGATTTTATTTTACACCCAATATTATTACACTAAGCAAGATAAAGGAAGACTAAAATTACCGAGACTACAGGTAATCAATAAAATTCACCGGGGCCTGTTGTGGGGTGGGGGGAGGGGGGAGGGATAGCATTAGGAGATATACCTAATGTTAAATGACGAGTTAATGGGTGCAGCACACCAACATGGCACATGTATATATATGTAACAAACCTGCATGTTGTGCACATGTACCGTAAAACTTGAAGTATCAAAAAAAAATTCCTTAGGGAATGGGGATATTACGATTTGCTTAATATTCCGATTAACATACTGATAACTATATATACACGATTTGGCTGATGACAAAATACACTTAATACTAAATTTAAAATATAGTTTAGTTTTGCATTGTATAGTACATTATGGTCACTGCTATAAAGCATTTATTAAAGCATGATCCACAATTTGTATCAGAACCATGTACATTTTTTGTTTGTTTGTTTTAGACGGAGTCTCGCCCTGTTGCCCAGGCTGGAGTGCAGTGGTGCGATCTTGGCTCACTGCAACCTCCACCTCCTGGGTTCAAGTGATTCTCCTGCCTCAGCTTTCCGAGTAGCTGGCATTACTGGTGCGCGCCACCATGCCTGGCTAATTTTTCTATCTTTAGTAGAGATGGGGTTTCACCATGTTGGTCAGGCTGGTCTCGAACTCCTGACCTCGTGACCTGCCCGCCTCAGCCTCCCAAACTGTTGGGATTACAAGCGTGAGCCACCGCTCCCTGGCTTTTTTTTTTTTTTTTTTTTTGAGACAGAGTCTTGCTGTCACCCAGGCTGGAGTGCAGTGGCACGATCTTGGCTTACTGCAAGCTCCACTTCCTGGGTTCACACCGTTCTCCTGCCTCAGCCTCCCGAGTAGCTGGGATTACAGGCTCCCACCACCATGCCTGGCTAATTTTTGTATTTTTAGTAGAGAGGGGGTTTCATCATATTGGCCAGACTGGTCTCAAACTCCTGACCTCAGGAGACCCACCTGCCTCAGTTTCCCAAAGTGTTGATTATAGGCATCAGCCACCGTGCCCAGCTTTTTTTTTTTTTTTTGAGATGGATTTTTGCTCGTCACCCAGGCTGGAGTGCAATGGCGTAGTCTCCCAGATAAAATTTAAGAAAAACAAAAAATCTAATTTGGAATGATCCTATAGTGATTGTTAAAAATGCAGTTTCTCTATGTGTACTGATACATAATAACCTCCAAGACTCCAAGATACCTTAAATAAAAAGCAGCAAGGTGTAGATCATACACGGTATGCTATCATTTTTGTAAAGAACAAACACGATGCATCCATTCATGCTAACACATACAGTGATCATCTGTGGAAGGACACACAAAGAGCTGACACTATCTCTTGGAAGGGAAGTAACATAATTGGAAGGCAAGGTAAAGGAGAATACTTGTTTTATGCTATGTATCACTTTATACCTGTCAACTTTTTTTATATCATGTGTATGAACCACCCATTCAAGTAAATTACCTAATATAAAGTCATCTTAAATTGCAGATTCTCAGGCTTTTCTGGCCTATCTCAATAAGAATCTTTGCAGTTAGGATTTAGAACTCTTAACTTTTTAGAACAGGGTTTTGCCACGTTGCCCAGGCTAGTCTTGAACTCCTGGGCTCAAGGAATCTGCCTGCCTTGGCCTCCCAAACTGTTAGGATTACAGACATGAGCCACCATGCCTGGCCGGAAATCTTAACTTTTAGAATGTTCCTCAGATGACTCATGAACAGTCAAGTTTCAGACCACTGCTATGAACATTATCATCTTTGTATGACCTATATTCGTCCTTTTTTTTGTTGTTTTTTTTGAGACGGAGTTTTGCTCTTGTTGCCCAGGCTGGAGTGCAATGGCATGATCTCAGCTCACTGCAACCTCCGCCTCTTGGTTTTAAGCCATTCTCCTGCCTCAGCCTCCTGAGTAGCTGGGATTACAGGTGTGCACCACCACGCCCGGCTAATTTTTTGTATCTTTAGTAGAGACGGGGTTTCACCATGGCCAGGCTGGACTTGAACTTCTGACCTCAGGTGATCTGCCCGCCTCGGCCTCCTAGAGTGCTGGGATTACAGGCGTGAGCCACTGTGCCTGGCCAGTATTTGTCCTTTACTGGGAAATTTTTTTTTTAATAAAACGGCTCTGTCAAATTCAAAAAATGGTGGCTCCTCTAAAGGAACTGCTTATAAATTCATAACATAATAATGTAATGACCATGCAAAAACAAGACTTCTGCTTTTTTTCAGTAAGCAGAAAAATTATTTACAATATTGTTGACTTAAAAAAATCAGGCCAGCCTGTAATCCCAGCACTTTGGAAGAACAAGGCAGGTGGATCACTTGAGGCCAGGAGTTCACAAGGCCAGCCTGGCCAACATGGCAAAACCCTGTCACTATTAAAAATACAAAAATTAGCTGGGCGTGGTGGTGCACGTCTGTAATACCAGCTACTCGGGAGGCCGAGGCACGAGAATTACTTGAACCTGAAAGGCAGAGGTTGCAGTGAGCCAAGATAGCGCCACTGAACTCCAGCCTGGGTGACAACAGCGAGACTGTCTCAAACAACAACAAAAAAATCAGGCCAGGTGTGGTGGCTCATGCCTGTAAACCCAGTGCTTTAGGAGGCCGAGGTGGGTAAGGACTGCTTGAGACCACAAGTTTGAGACCAGCCTGGGCAATACAGCAAGGCCTCCATCTCTACAAAAAAAGAGCTGGGTGTAGTGACGCACACCTCTAGACCTAGCTACTTGAGAGGCTTAAGCGGGAGAATTGCTTAAGCTCAGGGGTTCGAGGCTGCTGTGACTATGATCGTGCTACTGCACCCCAGCCTGGGGGACAGAGCGTGACCCTGTCTCAAAAAGCAAAACAACCAAACAAAAGAACTGTCAGAGGATACTAAGGAATATTCAATCCAAGTTACTCTTTCATATAACTAATGTGGGTCTAGCCACAGCTATGAAAACAAGCTATGTAGAAAATACAGAAATAATTGTTTTAGTAAAAAACTTAAATGGTACCAATTGCATTTTTGGATGAAGACACTCAAACCAAATGCAAAATTTTGGTCCCAGATGGGCTGAAAACATCTTTAGTACATAATTGGAGGGTGAAGGAAGCAGCCTGGCAAAGTGCTGACCATGAACTTTGAAACTGTCACTTAAACAGTGACATAAGGTGTATAATCTTCATTTAGCCATTCTGGGCTCGTTTCCTCATCGAAAAAATATGATGTATACTACCTACAATTCACTTACGATAGTTTTAAATGGGAAAGTACATAAAAAGACCTAGCATGGCGCCCAGAATCAACGTGTAGTAAAGGTCAGTTCCCCTCCTTTTTTTTTTAAAGACAGGCTCTCACTCTGTCACTCAGGCTGGAGTGCAGTGGTGTGATCTCACTGCAGCCTTGACCTCCCAGGCTCAAGCAATCCTCCTGCCTCAGCCTCCCGAGTAGCTGAGACTACAGGCACGTTCTACCATGCTCAGCCAATATTTTTGTATTTTTAGTAAAGACGGGGTTTCGTCATGTTGCCCAGGCTGGTCTCAAACTCCTAAGCTCAAGCAGATCTGCCTGCCTCGGGCTCCAAAAGTGTTAGGATTACAGGCGTGAGCCATTGTGCCAGGCCAGCATTCTTCCAAGAGAATTGTTGAGGAACGAAATTCTAAAGGAGAGTAAAATGAGGCCCAGAGAAATTTACAAAGGGAAAAAAAGCCTTGTCCAAGTTAAACAGACAGTACAGGTTGAGCATATCTTAGCTGAAATGCTTGGGACCAGAAGTGTTTTGGATTGTGGAATATTTCTATCAGTTGAGTATCCCTAATCTGAAAATCTGAAATGGTCCAATGAGCATTTCCTTTGAATGTCATGTAGGCCCTCAAAAAGTTTCAGATTTTGACAATTTTCAGATTTTTAGATTAGATAATCTGTGTGTGATGAATCTGGGAGAAAAGTCTGAGTCTCCTGTTCTATTTCCCCTGTGGTCTCCTACAGTTTCCTGGCCCTCTAAGACTTTGGGGGAAGATTCTGACCCTCTAAGACTTTGGGGGTAGATTCTGACCCTAGAAAGAAATTAAGCCAATATAGTATTGAATTACAAAATTTTCTGAAAATTATGTGCTTAGACAACAAACATTTGTCAGGAATAACAAGATGCAGTACTCAATAAATTTGAATATGATTTTACTGAAGCATACATCATTTCAAAGCAAAAGTAGTTTATGTTGTCAATTCTAACATATAATACATTTAAGTCATTATATGAATTTCATTTTTTGTGTATTTCACTGTAGTGCTGTGACAACAAAATGACATCTGTGTACCAGAGCATACATATATCAACAGTAAGATGTAATTTTTCATTACATCACTGCTAGAATATTTAGCTTTGTGTAGGAGACATAAGCAGGTAAGATGGCCACACCAAATAATTTTCTGTTTTTTTCCTTAGATAATTTTTTATCAGTAATACTTTATCAACCTCACTGTTAACAGAACTGTAAATTATCTGGGTGATGGGGTGTGTGGAGAAGATCATCTGTGTTATACTGTAATAGTTGCTAGAGTAATCTCACACACACCAATAAGGAACTGTCACCATAATTAAGGGCTAGTTACTGTTGTTAGTTGTACAATGATGAAGTTCTTTTGAAAATATTGGTTAGCCCACTTATATGTGAAAAATGCCCTTTCCACTTATACACAAGAAAAAAATATTCAGAAAGTTATTTTTGGCCTTGCTATGTCAAAAAGTCAACTGTACAAAGATCTACGTGTTAAACCTAAAATTATGATTTTAAAAGTCTATTAAAAACAAGAATGTCATGCATTTTTATTATCAATTATGCAGAGGCTTTAAAACTGTTGCAAGACCATATAGTATATATTAGCTTTTATACTGCTAATGCACAACTAACAGCAAACTTGATTAGATTAACAGAACTCTGTCTTAATTACACCTTTATATATCACACTAGAGACAAATGCCACAAGATCTGCAGAAACATTCAGTTCTGAGCACTCGAATGGCAGGATAACTTTTTGTGTTGTAATCCTTCACATATAGAAAAACAAACTCTGCAGTCTCACGTTACAAAAAAACGTACTGCTGTAAAATATTAAGAAGGGGTAAAGGATACCATCTATAACAAAGTAACTTACAACTAGTGTCAAAAAGCAAACAAAACCTCTAAATTAAAATATCAAAATACACAGAGCAACTGAAGCACACATCCTGCATTAAATACAGTGAAGATTTAATAAGACAATGCACTAGTTAATAAAAGACACAAAAATAGGGGGGGAAGCTAGGGCAACCAGAAAATAAAATAAAAATAATGGGAAAAAATCGGAACTACTGTTTTCCCCCTAGTCGGAGCACATTTTTTTTTTTGGGTGTCTTTCCATTCAAATAATACCTAACACTGTACATTTTTTAATATCATAGAAAAACTTGGTTCTTCCATGAAATCCTTTAAATTCTTGATAAATTTTTCAATGTAGACATTATTATGAATGAAAAACAGCCAACAAATGGGCATCTGTTTTTTTAACACTGAAGATTTACAGACACTTTTTAAAAGTTATCATAATCTTTTTTGTCTTTTTTCCCCTCAGCTTCAAATCCATCAACTCCATCACTATCTCTTCTTCGTTTCCTGTTGTTGTGGATGTTAAAACGTTGGCTCATTTGCGGTAATGGATCCATGCCTAGAACTTTGTGTATCTGGCGGAATGCAAGGAGTCTCAATGCAAACTGCAACAAAGAGAGTCAGAATTTTGAGTTAATTGAAAAACCCCAAGTAGTAATACTTACTACATTTACCTCCCTCCAAATGCAACCTAAAAAAGCATGTGTAATGAAAGAAACATTTAAAGGAATTACTTTCACAACTGAAATAATCTGTATGTTCTCATGTTTTTATTTCCTAGCTTTTCTGTGTGCATGCCATTTTGTTATCTTAAACATTAAGTAAAAAAAAAACCAAAAAACTTTAACACACACACAAAATTACAAAAATTATGAGAAGTGACATCAAAGAAACAAGCAGGATGTTGAAAACAAAGAAAAATGGGAGCTACCTGCTTTAACAGAATGGTTGCTGATGGCTTTCCTAGGCATTTGGTAGACAGTATGTAACTTAAGAACTGTAATTATACTCATGTGGATGTACCAAACTTATTTACCTAATTTTCTACTGGTAAACACTAGGCTGGTTTCAGTATTTTTGTTTTGTTTTGTTTTTTGAGACAGAGTCTCGCTCTGTTGCCCAGGCTGGAGTGCAGTGGTGCGAGCTTGGCTCACTGCAAGCTCCGCCTCCCGGGTTCACGCCATTCTCCTGCCTCAGCCTCCCAAGTAGCTGGGACTACAGGTGCCCGCCACCACGCCTGGCTAATTTTTTTTTTTTTGTATTTTTAGTAGAGACGGGGTTTCACTGTGTTAGCCAGGATTGTCTCGATCTCCTGACCTCGTGATCCGCCCGCCTCGGCCTCCCAAAGTTCTGGGATTACAGGCGTGAGCCACTGCGCCCGGCCTCCAAGTATTTTTATTACTGTATTACAATGAATGCTTGTTTTAAGATGTTTCTGTGCACTTAATGTGACAAGTTCTGGAGAAAGAACTTTTATTAATCAGTGGGACCGCTGAACATATAAAAGTGATGAGTACTAACAAATGAAGCTCCCCAAAATTTATACTGATTAATATATCCACTAGTAATATGTATGCAAGTCTGCTTCCCCCTTCTGGATACTATAAACAGAAAAATATTCTCACAAGTATGATGGGCAAAACAGTATCTAATTGTTATTTACAACATTTTTGAGACATGGTCTTACTCTGTTGCCCAGGCTGGAGTGCAGTGGTGCCATCACAACTCACTGCAACCTCGACCTCCCTGGGCTCAGATCTCACTCAGCCTCCCGAGTAGCCAGGAACACAGGCTCACACCAACACACCTGGCTCATTTTTCTATTTTCTGTAGAGACGGGGTATTTTCGCCATGTTGCCCAGGCTGGTCTTGAACTCTGCTCACCTGCTAGGATTACAGGCTTGAGCTATCATGACTGGCTATAACTTGTATTTATTTATTTATTTTTTGAGACAGAGTCTTGCTCTGTTGCCCAGGTTGGAGTGCAGTGGCGCGATCTCAGCTTACTGCAACCTCCGCCTCTAGGGTTCAAGTGATTCTCCTGCCTCAGCCTCCAAAGCAGCTGGGATCACAGGTGCATACCACCACGCCAGGCTAACTTTTGTATTTTTAGTAGAGATGGGGTTTCACCATGTTGGCCAGGCTGGTCTTGAACTCCTGACCTCCGGAGATCTGCCTGCCTTGGCCTCCCGAAGTGCTGGGATTACAGGTGTGGGCCACCAGGGCCAGCCAACTTGTATTTTTTAATCAATCAGTGAGGTGCAGCATATTTTTGCTGGCTCATTTCCCTAAGTTTAAAGATACCATATGAAATTTCCAATAATATCCTTCATGACTTCCTGTATTTACAGCCTTCTTAAAAAGATCTTGCCTATGTAAAAATTATATTTTTCTTAATACTTTGATAATTTATGTGTGGCTCCTTAAGTCAGCTGGCATTTACTTGTATGTATGTATAGCTTAATTTTTTCCTTAGATGATTAGCCAGTTATCTCAATACCACTTTGCTGATGATTCATCTTTTTCCACTGATTTGAAGCATCAGGTCTGTCATACATTAATTCCCTTATATCTAATGGTCTACTTCAAGGTTCTTCCATTCCAAAGGTTTATCTGTCTACTTCTGTGCCATAACTACAGTTTAAATTTCTGTTGGTTTATAGGATGTTTTGATATCTGGTAGAGTTGAACTTTTCTTAGCAATTCTCTTGTATTTCCAATTCCAAATGAAAATTAAAATTGGCTGAATGTGATGGCTCATGCCTGTAATCTCAGCACTCTGGAAGGCCAAGGTGGAAGGATCGCTTAAGTCAGGAGTTTGAGACCAGCCTGGCCAACATGGTGTAACCCCATCTCTACTAAAAATAGAAAAATTAGCCGGGTGTGGTGGCATGCACCTGTAGTCCCAGCTACTTTGGAGGCTGAGGCAGGAGTATCGCTTGAACCCGGGAGGCACAGGTTGCAGTGAGCCAAAATTGTGCCATTGCAATCCAGCCTGGGTGACAGAGAGAGACTGTCTCAAAAAATAAAAAAAGAAAATTTAAGGCCGGGCGCGGTGGCGCAAGCCTGTAATCCTAGCACTTTGGGAGGCCTAGACTGGCGCATCACGAGGTCAGGAGATCCAGACCATCCTGGCTAACACGGTGAAACCCCGTCTCTACTAAAAATACAAAAAATTAGCCGGGCTTGGTGGCGGGTGCCTATAGTCCCAGCTACTCGGGAGGCAGAGGCAGAATGGCATGAACCCCGGAGGCGGCTGCACTCCAGCCTGGGCGACACGGCGAGACTCCGTCTCAAAGAAAAAAAAAAATTTAAATCAATTTTTAAAGTTCTATCCTCTTCTCCCTCTGAAATTTTAATTAACTTTTTTTTTAAATTAAAAAAAAAAGGGGAGGGGGGAAGTTCAGACCAAATGTTAATTAATCGTCTTGGCTGAAGGGCATATCGAACTATCAGCAGAACTGAGAGCCAAAAAGAGCCTACTGTTTTCCAAGATAAGGGAAGGGAAGGCAAACTTTGGCACTGAATCATATCATCTTATCTTGTGCTTTTACTTCATTTTTCTTTTATTAAAATTTATTAAAATCTATTAAAATTCTAAAGCTTAGCCGGGCATGGTGGCTAAGCACTTTGGGAGGTGGAGGTGGGAAGATCACTTGAGCCCAGCCTGGGAAACATAAGGAGACCCTGTCTCTACAAATAATTAGCTGGGCATGGTGTCGCACATCTGTGGTTCCAACTACTTGCAAGGCTAAGGCAGGATTGTGTGAGACGGGGAGGTTGAGGCTGCAGTGGGCCCAGATGGTGCCACTGCACTCCAGCCTGTGTGACAGTGAAACCGTCTCAAAAAAACAAAAAAATAAAACCAAAAAACCCCTAAAGCAAGTCTGTCCAATCCGTGGCCCTCAGTGTTGAATGTGGCCCAATACAAATTCATAAACTTTCTTAAAACATTATGAGATTTTTTTGCGATTTTTTTTTTTCTTTTTAGCCCATCAACTATCATTAGTGTCAGTGTATTTTATGCATGGCCCAACACAATTCTTCTTTCAATGTGGCCCAGGGAAGCCAAAAGACTGGATACCCCTGCCCTAAAGCTTAAAGATATGCTAATATCTATTTAATGGGTTGTTTACTTTCAGCCAGAAGAATGTGGCATTCACTGTGCAATCTTAAAAATGTACTGATACTGTAGCTGGTTTTCAATGAGTCTAAGTTGCTCCCTAACAGCAGCCAATGCCAAAAGATTCCTTCCTTAGAACACAAAAAAATGTGCATCAGTATAGAAACATTGTGTATGACTGAAATCACTATGATTAGGAAAGAAAATCCTTGACCGGGTGCGGTGGCTCACGCCTGTAATCCCAGCACTTTGGGAGACCAAGGTGGGTGGACCACGAGGTCAGGAGTTCGACACCAGCCTGGCCAACATGGTGAAACCCCGTCTCTACTAAAAATACAAAAAGTAGCCGGGGGGTGGTGGCACATGCCTGTAATCCCAGCTACTCAGGAGGCTGAGGCAGGAAAATCGCTTGAACTCAGGAGGCGGAGGTGAGCTGAGATTGCGCCTTTGCACTCCAGCCTGGGTGACAGAGCGAGACTCCGTCTTAAGGAAAAAAAAAAAAAAAGAAAGAAAAATTCCTTGTTACTTCATGAATAAAAATAAACTTTCACTACATGACCATGTGTATGTAAGAATATCTTTGGCACCAATTTCAAAAGATTTCTTAAAATCTTGAAACTAGGGGGACTTCAGAGACATGATTTAATCTATCCCTCCATTTCTAGGGATATACCCACTTAACCTAATTCAAGGAAATTTTACAGTCACTTGATTAAACAGCAACTTTCTCTACATAGTTATAGCCTTCAATGTAACTGGACTCTTTTTCTGGTAAAATTCACATACCTTTAAAATATACACCTTTAAAATGTAAAATTCAGAAGTTTTCAGAATACTTACAAAGTTACTCAACTATCACTATTATCTTATCCTAGAACATTTTCATTACCCTAAGTGGAAACCCCAAGCCCAACAGCAGTTACTCCCCAACCCCTCTATCCTTAGGCCCTGAGAACTACCACTGCCTATTATGAATATTTCATATAAACGAGATAATTAGGATAAAGTTTTTAAGGTTCATTCACATCATAGCATGTGTCAGTACTTTCTTTTAATGTCTGGCTGAATAATATTCTAACGTATGACTGTATTTGTTTATTCACCCATTCATCAATTGATGGACATTTAGGTTGTTGCTACTTTTTGACTATCACACATAATGCTGTTTTGAATATTTGTGTACAAGTTTTTGTGGGGACATATTTTTTTCAATTCTCTTAAGTATATATCTAGATATCAAAGAGTTGCTGAGGCATACAGCAATCCATGTTTAACTTACTGAGGAGCTGCTAACCTGTTTCTCTTTTCCTTTTTTTAAGCGATGAGGTCTTGCTATGTTGCTCAAACTGGTAATGCACTCCTGGGCTCAAGAGATCCTCCCACCTCGGCCTCGCAAACTGTTCGGATTACAGGCATGAGCCATTGCTCACTGAACCCTCAACTTCCTGGGCTTAAGTGATCCTCCCACCTCAAGCCACCTGAGTAGCTGCGATTACAGGTGCACGCCACCATGCCCAGAGCTAATTAAAAAAATTTTTTATAGAGATAAGGTTATGCTATGTTGCCAGGTCGTTCTTGAACTCATGGGCTCAACCAATCCTCTTGCCTCAGCCTCCCAAAGTCTTGAGATTACAGGCGTGAGCCACTGTGCCTGGCTCTAACCTGTTTTTCAAAGTGACTGCTGTTCACACTATTTTAAATCCCTGCTCTGATTTTGAGATAAAGGATAGTTACTGGTTTAGTCATCCACATGGGAATTTATTGCTCCAAAACTTTTCCCCCAAGTTAGATAATTCTAGTTGCTAAGAATTTTGGCTCATACACCTGCTTTGAAAATCCTGAAAGTCTCAAAGTCATCTGTAGTCAGGACTTGATACAGCATTCTACTTCATCTACAATTATTAGGGACTTTTGCCAGTACCGTTTCTCTACTTCACTTAAGTTATAAGACTGTTAACTTCCCAGGTGAGAACTAGGAAGATTTATCATCATAATATACTAATTCTTTATTCAGAGAGACTTATAAAAGGTCCTTCCTAAAGATAACATAATAGTGTTTTCTTCTACATTAACAGAAAATATCAAAAGATATCTCATATATAATAATGAATATTTATACATTTTTACCACAGAGATATTCTTACTAAGCATCAGCCTATTCTTTTTTTTTTTTTTTTTTGAGATGGAGTCTCACTCTGTTGCCCAGGCTAGAGTGCAATGGTGCGATTTCGGCTCACTGCAACCTGTGCCTCCTGGGTTTAAGCGATTCTCGTGCCTTAGTCTCCCAAGTAGCCTGGACTACAGGCACTCACATGCCACCACGCCCGGCTAATTCTTTTATTTTTAGTAGACACAGGGTTTTGCCACGTTGGTCTCAAACTCCTGACCTCAGGTGGCCCGCCCGCCTTGACCTCCTTAAGTGCTGGGATTACAGGTGGAAGCCACTGCACCCGGCCCAGCCTATGCTAATATTTTATGAGTTTCTAAATGAAGGAATACTCCAGTAAGTAAAACCAATATAGCATTTGAGGTTTGAGTGAGCACCCTATAATCTCTTGTTCTGCATGTGGTTTGTAGGTACTTCTAAGGTCTGACAAGAAGAGAAAATTCTACCATATTACTGGCAATTATTTAGCAGCAAACTAAATTTGAAGATTGATACAAATCATTCCCAAAGACATTTTGGAATTTTAATCATCATCGAGGATTAAAGGTTTATTTTATAATCCATTTGCTTCTTGGGAAGGGATGATTAACCCTATAAATTTTGCCTGTTTATTAAAGGTATGTTAAACTATGTACGCCTACCTATAGGAAGGAATTTTAATAAATGACAAAGGCTGTATCTGGCAGAAGCAACTTGAAAAGGATCACTGGAGAAAAGACATATAGTGGCATACAAGAATAAAGGTAGACACTGTGGAAGGAAATATGGAATCATTCCAGAGACAAAGGAAGGAAGAGGGACATTAACATGGGCGCTACAGGCCACCGAAAAACTAACCGAAATTGACACTGGTACTTCAGATTTCACCAGTTATATATGCACTAATTTATGTGTGCATGTGTGTATAGCTCTATGCAATTTTATCACACATGCCGCCTTATGTCATGTAACTACCATCACAATCAAGATGGGTAACTGTTCTGTTGCCAAAAGACCCCCTTTAGAGCCATGCCATTCCTTCTTCCTATCCTTAAACACTCCTAGGAAACACTAATCTGTTTTCCTCCTCATCCAAGTATTACGTCATGAGTGCTACATAAATGCATTGTATATTGTGTAACTCGTTCACTTTTATTAAGAACACTTCTAAATGTTCTCCTAAACGTCCTCTTAAAACCAGACCACTTTCTTTAAGGTCACATTTTTAGAAAAGTAAGCATTCTTCTTAATGATGAATTTTGTTAGTTTTCAAGTGTTTCCTTTTGAATTTCTTTTCCCTTAAATTTATAACTAATTCCTTTAAGTACTAAAGGGAGAAAGAACAGACACTTAAGGCAACTATCTTCTTCCCTAGAATATAAAATGAAAGAAATAAAAACAGCGAATGCATAAGAATTTGGTCATATTTTGAGTCTGTAAGATATCCATAATATTCTATTACTACTCTCTCTCCCCCAATACCATTTCTGGCCTAACAATTTACTTTGATCCTGACATCTTTCAAATTCCAAATTATTCAAGATAACCAATCAAGATCTTAAATCCAACAACTCCCAAGCATCTTAGAGTGAATTACTGTTCATAGCTAGTATGCTTTTTTCCCCTACTCAGCACATTTCTGGAATCAACAAAGGGAAGCTGTACCAATCTTAGGTTGATTTTTTTCCATTCATTCATTAGGTTCAATGTTTTTTCTTTTTCATAATTATTCAATAGGGTTAATAAGATGATAATACTAGCTAACATTTAAGATCCTTCCATATACCAGGTGTTAAGATGGTTACACATATTAACTCATTTAATCTTCTCAACAATCCTGTTTGAGACAGATACTGCTTTTATATCCATATTACAGATGAGATGGCAGAGTTGGTAGTCAAATCCAGGGAGTCTGTCTCCAGAGCCCACATTTTTATTTACTTTATTTGACAGTGGCAGGAAAGGTTAAATTATAACAATAATGACCATAAACACCACAGCAAATTACTTTTGTACAACCAGAGGACATAAGAATTTCTGCTGATCTTGATACATAACCTATTACCCAGATTTAATGAGACACTGAAAATATTGCTGTATTTTTATAATATACAATACACTTACTTAGAAATGCCCATATAATTAAATAATAAAATTTTAAACTCTATTAGTGAAATCTAGTTTTGGGCAAGCTATTTTAATATCCTTTCTAGGGGCTTGCTTACTACAGAAGCAGAAGAACGAATATTATATAGTGACTTATAATATTCCTTAAGACAATAACAGAAAAATAAAACCTTAATGGAGTAACCCAATAGGGCTCTGAATTTAGGAATACCAGTACCTGTGCACTGGATGTGATGTCTTCACGCTGCTGGTCAGTCATTGTTGCCAAGGTATCAAAGGGATCCTTTTCACAAGGATCCAGAAGTCCAGGACTACCTACAGCAATCACCACAGGGAGAGGAAATTATTAGCATTGTCCACTTATAAAAAAAATTATTCAACCAGCAAATGAGTAAACTTCATTTTACTTCATTAAAAACAAAGTAAGAGTTACCTTTAAGAATAATCCCTGAAGAAATGCATTCAAAAACTCTTCTCAGTGCATCCCCAGGGCTCTGAGGGCTAGAAGCACTGCTGATTGCTTTCTCTACTAGTAACTCCATAGCCTAAAAATACAACATAAAAATGTGTTTAACAGCTTACCAAAGGAATTACTCATTTTCAAACTAAAATTTTAAAGACTGAAAAAATTTTAAAGACTGAAAAAGCTACATAGAACAAGTCACAAAAACAGAAAATAAATATTACATATAATATAAAAACATTCAAAATTAAGGAATAGGCCGGGCACAGTGGCTCACGTCTGTAATCCAAACACTTTGGGAGGCAGATTGCCTGAGTTCAGGGGTTAAAGACCAGCCTGGGCAAGATGGCAAAACCCCGTCTCTACAAAAAAAACCCCAAAAAACCAAAAATTAGCTGGATGTGGTGGCACATGCTGGTGGCCCCAGCTACTTGGGGGACTGAGGCGGGAGGATCGCTTGAGCCTGGGATCGTTTACTGGCTGCAGTAAGCTGAGATTGCGCCATTGCACTCTAGCACCCTGAGTGATGGAGTGAGACCATCTTTCTTCACAAACAAAAAAACAAAAAAAACAAAACAAAAACCCAATGCAGGGAGTGGTGTTTTGAAGGGTCTCATGATAAAAATTTGTATTTAGATTTTTAAAAATTGAGATATAATTCACATGTAAGATTCACCCTTTTAAACTGTACAATTCAGTAGTTTTTAGTATATTCACAAAGTTGTTCAATAATCACCATTACCTAATTCCAGAACATTTTCATGATCTCCAAAAGAAACCACATAGCCACTAGTAGTCATTCTCCATTCTCCCTTTCTTTTAGCCCTTGGCAACCCCTAAATCACTTCCAGTTTCTACAGATTTGCCTACTATGGACGTTTTATACAAATGGAATCATGTAATACGTGGCTCTGTGTTTGACTTCTCTCACTTAGCATAATATTTAAGGCTTATCCATGTTGTAGCTTTTACTTAAAAGTTTAAATGAGACTACCAACAGCAATTCAAAGAAACTAGTTTGGAACCACTATGAAATCCTTAAGATGATAATGAAAGCTGAAAAGACATTAGTGAGAATCCATACTTTTGGCTATACACTAAAAAAGCTCATGGACTTATTTATCAGAAGTAAAAACTGCGTCAACCTATTCACTCCAAGGCCATTTCTCAGAATCTCTTTACATTTTAAGAGATGAGAATTTAAAGAAATAGCGCACATTAACAACTATGAAAAATAAATGATAGCTTCCAGCACGATTGGAAAAAACCTGAAAATAATGAATATTAATAGTGATAAATGTAAGTCACAATTAAAAAAATTAAGACAGCTCAGTTTATTCCGTTGAAGAATGCAGGAAGATGTTCAAGATTCTTTTTTATTTTGAGAAAGGGTCTTGTTCTGTCACCCAGGCTAGAATGCAGTGGCATGACCATGGCTCACTGCAGCCTCAAGCTCTTGGGCTCAAGTGATCCTCCCACCTCAGCTCAGGATCACTTGAGCCCAAGAGCTTGAGGTTGCAGTGAGCTGTGGTCGTGCCGCTGTACGACTGGGACAACAGGCGCAGCCACCATGCCTGGCTAATTTTTGTAGAGATGGGGTCTCACTATGCTGTCCAGGCTGGTTTTGAACTCCTGGACTCATGTAAACCAACTGCCTTGGCCTCCCAAAGCCTTGGGATTACAGGCATCACAGCAACAGCCCCTCAAGACATTTTTCATTTTTTACGGATTTTCATTTTAAAGTTAAGTTTTAATATTTTAAGGGACAAGCTTCAGTCATCTAGAAAACTCTATGTGTATGTATGGAATATGCATGTGTATGGAATATTTTAAGATGCGAAAAGACTTGAGACCCTTGAGGATAAGGTCAGTGTTACTCATCTTGAACCCACTTGCCTAGTACAAGTAGCCAGAATTTTGTAAATACTTAGTAAATGATGACATGGAATGATTTTGGAAAGAATGTGAGAATAATCCTGACAATTCAGTGATAAAATAAACCAAGAGTAATAATTAGCAAAATATTGATGTTGTGATTAAAACACAAAATTGAAGTCATAAAATACGTAACTTTCGATAAATGCCTCAAATTTTTACTGAGTACTTTTAGCAAATGTTATGAGAAAAGTGAGCATTAAGTAATCAGCTACAGTTCAGGTACGTCAAGACATAAAAATGTGTTTCAAGTAACTCAAAGCTTTTTCAAAATCTGTTTATTGATTGGCTTTAAGAATCAGGCATTTCTGATTTATACCAGCAGGTAAAAGCAGAAATTAATTAAAAGTCAAGAAAGAAATCAATTATTTATGGAACACAAAAAAGTCAATACACTTAAACACACACAATAAAACTAATCAACTACCTCTGACACCATTTACTGTGAACTAAGCAATTAAAACATATTAATTTTCTAAAGAACATAGCTATTCTCCAAGCACATGTCTACAGTTAAAAGAGCAATGAAAATAGAAGAATATAATTCAAAAGTAAAAAGATAATATCAAAAATAAATAGAATCAAATTAAGGATTACAACACTTCAGGTTTTGATGTAAAGGGTCTTGGAGGCTATAATTATATAAGAGAATAACTTATTAAGAATTATTATAACTGGAGATGGAAAAAGCTCCCCATATTAAATGATTAAAAAAATCAAGGATTGTAATATTTGCTTTAAAAGATTTTTTAATTTTTTTTTTTTTTTTTACAGACAGGCCCTCGCTATGTTGCCAGGATGGAGTGCAGTAGTTATTCGCAGGCACGATCATAGCACACTGCAGCCGAGCTTGAACTCCTGGGCTCAAGTAATCATACCTCAGTTTCCCCAGTAGCTGAGACTACAAGTGAATGCCACTGCACTCCACTGTAATATTTGCTTTTTATTTATTTTTTGAGAGACAGGGTCTTGCTCTGTTTCCTAGACTGGAAAGCAGTGGTGTGATTATAACTGACTGTAGCAGGCTGGGTGTGGTGGTTCACGTCTGTAATCCCAGCACTTTGGGAGGTCAAGGTGGGTGGATCACCTGACGTGAGGAGTTTGAGACCAGCCTGCCCAACATGGCGAAATCCTGTCTCTACCAAAAACACAAAAAATTAGCCGGGTGTGGTGGCAGGTGCCTGTAATCTCAGCTACTCAGGAGGCTGAGGCAGGAGAATCACTTGAACCTGGGAGGCGGAGGTTGCGGTGAGCTGAGATCACGCCACTGCACTCCAGCCTGGGCGACAAGAGTGAAACTCCATCTCAAAAATAATAAATAAATAAATAAATAAAGTAAATAAATAAATAAATAAATAAATAACTCACTGTAGCCTTGACCTCCCAGGCTCAAGTGATTGACCTCAGCCTCCTGAGTAGCTGGCACTACAGAACCCACTACCATGCTTGGCTAATTTTTATTTTTAGTAGAGATGAGGTCTTGCTATGTTGCCTGAGCTGGTCTTGAACTCCTGGGCTCAAGTGATCTTTCCATCTTCGTGTCCCAAAGTGATGAGATTACAGGCCAAAGTGATGAGATTACAGGCGTGAGCCACTGGACCCAGCCTTATTTGCTTTTTAAAAACACTCATGAAGTGTATTTTTTCCCATCCCATCTCCAGTTATAATAAGAGTAACTCTTAGTAAGTGGCAGGCACCATGCTAAATGATCACTTATATGCATAATTTAATTCAAGATGGAAAAAAAATCCCATAAATTTAAGAAGCTAAAAATAGTTTTGTCCAAGGTCATGTAGCTAGGTGATAAAGCTGAGATTTGAACCCAGGTCTTTCTGAAATCAAAATAATGCTTTTTTTTTTCTTCTTTCCCTTATGTTTTCTTTCCTACTATGTTTCAATAAGTATCTTTCATCAATGGGTGATCCAGAGAGAAAACATTAACTAGTTTCCATGAATATTAGTTTCTAGCTCTGGTAGAGACAAAGACCTATGTAAAACAAATAAAACAAAGCCACCTGATGAGATTTCAGTAACACAGGCACTTTCACTGGTGGGAGTGTAAACCAGTAAAATCTTCCTTTAAAGCACAAATGGCAAACTGCATCAAAACTTTTTTCCCCCCCCAACAAGAGACGGAGTTTCACTCTTGTTGTCCAGGCTGCAATGGCGTGATCTCAGCTCACCGCAACCTCCACCTCCCAGGTTCAAGCGGTTCTCTTGCCTCCGCCTCCCAAGTAGCTGGGATTATGGGCATGAGCCACCACGCCCAGCTAATTTTGTATTTTTAGTAGAGATGGGAGTTTCTCCATATCGGTCAGGCTGGTCTTGAACTCTTGACCTCAGGTAATCTGCCCATCTCAGCCTCCCAAAGTGCTAAGATTACAGGTGTGAGCCATTGCACCTGGCCACAAATTTTTAAAAGACACACATTAATTAGCCCAGCAATGGCAGTACTAAGATTTACAATAGGGCTATTACTACATAAGAAAAGCACAAAAAATATTCTGCCCAGCTCTTAATTTGTAACAGACTGGAAACAATCTCTAGCACTAGGAGTTCTGGCTAAATAACAGTAGTAGCAGTTATCCTCTTCATTATAGCTACCACTTACTGAGTGCTTATCCTCGCTAAGTGATGCTCTAAGTCTTCACATATATTAACCAATTCTAACCATTATAATCACATTCTGAAGGTAGATATGACTATCATTCCCATTTTACAAATTAAGATGTTTATGCTCTTAAAATAGGATTTTATGAATACCACAACAATGGGCAATTGTACATACAAAAGCCACTTACATAGTCCAGTTGACATGGATCACTATTGACACATGCACAACAGACTTTGATTTGTAAGCCCATTTGCAGGTTGTTGCATTTTTGTAATATATTTACTCACAGCACTTTATTTTATATGGTGAAATGTATGAAAGTCTTAATAAAAATGGTCATGTCTTGCAGGGAAAAGATTTACTTACAGCTTTTAGTGATTTAGGGGTGTGCATACAGTTAAATAGATGATTTTTGTTAAGGGGTATCTAAATGTTGAGTTAGTTCATGTACCGTTTGCTGTTTTTTTTGTAAGCTGAGACTGTTTGTTCTTTGCCCTGAGATGTCAGTGTCCTATCATTTTAGAACTCTTTGTTGGTTCTATCAGCAACAGCCGGGAGAACTTTTAGTACAAACCACCACCACTAAAATCTGTATTACTTACAAATACCTCTGAAAGCCAGTAAAATACGTGAAAAGAAATGTTAACGTATTTCAACTGTTATTTGGGCAGGAAGAATAATTATAGCAGTTTTCTTCACCTTTCTTTGAGAATGATTCCTTTACATTTGATATATCATTCTTTAAAACAAAACAAAACAAAACAAAACAAAACAAAAAACTGGTCAGGAATGGTGGCTCACGCCTATAATCCCAGCACTTCTGGAGGCCAAGTTGGGAGGATCCCTTGGATCCAGGAGTTTCAGACCAGGCTGGGCAAGATAGTGAGACCTTATCTCTACAAAAAATTAAAAAAAAAAATGTAACCAGGCATGGTAGCATGCACCTACAGTCCTATGTACGTGGGAGGCTGAGTTAGGAGAATCGCTTAAGCCTGGGAAGTCGAGGCTGCAGTGAGTCATGATCATGCCACTGCACTCCAGCCCGAGTGACAGAGTGAAACTCTGTCTTAAAAAAGATAACATGAAACATTTTAAAACGAATGATTCAGCAGCATTATTATACTATGTTGTCCATATCAAGTTCCAAAACATCTCCATTACCGCAAAGTAAACCCCCTTACCCATTAAGCAACTTATCCCTATTTCCATAGAGACATGCACTCTGTCTCTATGGATTTATATATTCTTGATATTTCATATAAATGGAATCACACAACATGTGACCTTTTGAGCCTGGATTCTTGCACTTAGCATACTGTTTTCAACATTAATCAATACAGTGGCAGATTTTTTTTTTTTTTTTTTTTTTGAGATAGGGTCTCACGATGTGCCCAGGCTGGCCTCAAAATCCTGGGCTCAAGAGATCCTCTTGCCTCAGTCTCTTGAGTACCTGGGACTACAGGAATGGGCCACTGTGCCCAGCACAATAACAGATTTTTTTGCTGAAATACTCATCATAGGACACTGTCTAGAAATAAAATATATAATAACATTGTGTGTTGTGGGGGGAGAGAGAGAGAGAGAGAGAGAGAGAGAGAGAGAGAGAGAGAGACAGACAGACAGACAGGCAGGCAGACAGACAGACAGACAGACATGGTCTTGCCCTGTCGCCCAGGGTGAAGTGCAGTGGTGCAATCACAGCTCACTGCAGCCTCAACCTCCTGGGCTCAAGTGATTCTCTGACCTCAGCCTCCTGAGTAGCTGGGACTACAGGTGTGCGCCATCTCATCCAGCTAATTTTTAAGTTTGTCTTTTGTAGACATAGGGTCTTGCTATACAAATAAGGCTGGTTTTGAACTCCTGGCCTCAAGTGACCTTCCCACCTTGGCTTCCTAAAGTGCTGGGATTACAGGTAGGAGCCATTGTGCTAGGTCTATAATAAACATTAAAAAAATTACATGCCTTTTATAAGTTACTGCAGTTATACTATTCTAAAGGTTTAGATAGCACACAGCAATTCTGATATCAGACCAACATTACAACAGAACTCTACCTATATTTTATTTCATCACCATGGATTCATGACAGAAGAACAACTAATTTGAAGGCAGAACACCATTTTCAATCCTCATTGCAGTGGCAAAGGAAAGGCCACAAAAGCAGGCATTGTTACTTAAGGATTTGTTCAAAGTAATCTGAATGCTAAATAAAATTAAACATAATACAGTTCATAAGAATTTCAAATTTATTTGATAACAGAAAAAAAGTTACTCCTGTTTATGACAATAGCACAGACAGAAACTGAAGATCTCTTGCCTCCAAAACATGATTAAGAAATATATTAGGGCCAGGCATGTTGGCTCATGCCTATAATCCCAGCACTTCGGAAGACCGTGGCAAGAGGATCGCTTGAGCCCAGGAGTTCGAGACCAGCTGGGGCAACATAGTGAGATCTCATCTCTATTAAAAATAAAGACATTAGTCAGGTATGGTGGCATGTGCCTATCATCACAGGCACTAGGAAGGTTCAGGCAGAAGGAATGCTTGAGCCCAGGAGTTCAAAGCTGCAGTGAGCCAGGGCTGCTCCATCGCCCTCCAGTTTAGATGACAGAGCAGGACCCTGTCTCAAAAACAAATGATAGAATATACACACTACTGCATTTCAGGAAAAAATGTAATAGCTTGAATCAAACAGAGGAAAAGGCCAGTGACAGAGAACATTCCTTAAGAACAGAGTGTTTACCCTGCTTAAGCTTGGCTCTCCAGAGATGAGGGTGGGGATGACAGCTGATTCAACAAATCCCAAAAACTTCACCAATAACTTTCAATTTGGAGAAAGGTAAAATGAATCACATTATAAGCAGTTTCAGAAGAAATTTTCCTAAACGTAAAAACTCCATCTGACCATCTTCTATCTCACCAGAAAAAAGAAAAACACTAGAATTTGCTATCCTGAAGACTTTGAAAACCAGGAAAGAACAGAAGCAATCAGGAAATCAGGAAAGAGCAGAAAAATGGTAATCATTCACATCTAACTATTTCCAATAATAAATGCATTTGGCTAAAATGCAGATAAAAGAAAAAATAAAGGTAAGATCTTCCAAAGGAATTAGAGGTAGGGAAAAAAAAAAAAACTTCATAGAGCCCCAAATTAGCTTCACATACCCAAATGCTCTCTTGGTTCAGGGGAATATAAATTGTTAGTGAAAGGAAATGGTAAAATAGGTTCAGGAAACAAATGGAGCAAATCCTGCAAAGACAAAAGCTCTAGGAGTCCATTCTTGGATTGAAACCTGAAACTGAAGGGGTGGCAATAAAATCCATCACATTTGGAGTGCCATAGTATATTTGATGAAGACACAGGAGAGTGTAGCCTACATTTGCTAACAAGGCTGCAGGTAGCCAAATCCTACTCCTTTTCATAAGCAATCCTCCAATCATATCTCACAGGGGAAGGAAAAGAAGAGTTATCAAAAAAGGTGAGAATAGATTTGCATGACATCTTTGTACTTGTGTGGAACATAGCATGAAAACTAGTGATAAAAATATATTCTGTAGGGACTTTGGGTGATAGTCACAGGTCAATGTAGGTTCATTAATTGTAACAAACATACTACTCTAGTGTCGGGGAGGCTGTGTATGTGTGAGGGCAGGGGATATGTGGGAACTCTATATGGTTGACCCTTGAAAAACGTGAGTTTGAACTGCACAGATCCACTTATATGGGAGTTATCTTCCATCTCTGCCACCAGAGACAGCAACATCAATCTTCCTTCCTCACCCTTAGCCTATTCAATAAGAAGCTGAGGGCTGGGCACAGTGGCTCACACCTACAATCCAAGCACTTTGGGAGGCCGAGGGGAGCAGATCACTTGAGGCCAAGAGCTCGAGACTAACCTGGCCAACATGGTGAAACTCCGTCTCTACTAAAAATACAAAAATTATCCAGACATGGTGGCGCGCGCGCTTGTAATCCCAGTTACTTGAAAGGCTGAGGCAGGAAAATCTCTTGAACCCAGGAGGTGGAGGTTACAGTGAGTTGAGATCACACCACTGCACTCTAGTCTGGGCGACACAGCAAGACTTGGTCTCAAAAAAACAAACAAAACAAACAAAAAAAGGAACAAAATGACTGAAGTTAAAAAATTAAGAGGTATACATTATACCTTGTTGAGAGCAGATCTCTTCTTTTAAATAACCATAGTTAATAAAAATTGAACATATATTAGGCAACAAAAAAACCCTTTAAATTCCAAAAATTGCAAATAGCAGACTACATTTTTCGAATCACGATGCCATAAAAACTAAATTATTATTTACCAAAACAAAAGTAACCCTCCTTCAACTGTGCAGAATATAAAAATTCCCTTGGCTGGGTGCCGTGGCTCACGCCTGTAATCCCAGCACTTTGGGAGGCTGAGGCAGGTGGATCATGAGATGAGGAGTTCAAGACCAGCCTGGCCAACATGGTGAAAACCCATCTCTACTAAAAATACAAAAATTAGTCAGGCGTGGTGGTGCATGCCTGTAATCCCAGCTACTCAGGATGCTAACACAGGAGAATTGCTTGAACCTGGGAGGTGGAGGTTGCAGTGACCCCAGGTTGAGCCACTGCACTCCAGCATGGGTGACAGAGCAACACTCTGTCTCGGGGAAAGGGTGGGGAAATAAAATTCCCTCAAAACTACTGTTGGTTTAAAGATAGTATGAAAACAAATTACAAAGCATTACCTATGCAGCCAAAACTCTTGTGTTCGTCTTTAAACTGCAGCTTTAAAACCTCTGTAACTACAGAATAAATCAATGAATCAAGCATCTAACTCAAGAAATTTGTAAAATAATAACAGAAAACCCCAAGGAAAATAAATATAGAAAGGTAAAATCATAAGGTAATAAGTTATTAATGAGGATTACAATAGAGCTGATTTTGAAGAGACAAAAAAGCAATAAAACAGATAAACCACTGCCTGAAGAATACAATACTAGGAGCGAATTTTAAATGTCAAAATACTGACATTTTGGTGTTTTTTTTTAAAGTACCAAAATACTAATGTATTTGTTGTTATATGTAAATGATTTCAAAGATCAGCCAGCAGCTTTTTTCACTTTTGACTTTCTTCACAATCATTTTCCCTGCCATGGCCAATGCTCCTTCAATTCCTTTGACCTGTGCATTCTCTTTTCTTCTCAGTTCTTACGGCTCTCTACCCTCAAAGAAGAACACACCCTGTGAAGTGCATGGGTGACTCTCTCAAAGAAGGCCTGGGTAGGACCAATCTGCAGTGCTGAAAATCCAGACTGCAAGAGTGGCCCAGATGCAGTGGTCTTGAGAGTCTATTCATACAAGTAACAACGTGGACTTACTACAACAGAGATAGCTTCAAGGACACCCTGGGTGGGTAGAGGGGACCAAAGTTTAAGAAAGCAGGAAGCAGGATCATGATGTACAATGCTTGTATTTCCATACATTTTTAAAATTTGGGACAGGCACGGTGGCTCACGCCTGTAATCCCAGCAACTTGTGAGGCCAAGGTGGGCGGATCACTTGAGGTCAGGAGTTCTAGACTACCCTGGCCAACATGATGAAACTCTGTCTCTACTAAAAATACAATCAGCCAGGCGTGGTGGTGCATGCCTGTAATCCTAGCTACTCGGGAGGCTGAGGCAGGAGAATCGCTTGAACCTGGGAGATGGAGGTTGCAGTGAGCCAAGAAAGCACTGCTGCACTCCAGGCTGGGGTACAGAGCGAGACTCCATTTCAAAAATAAATAATTAAATAAATAAATAAATAAATAAAATTTGAAGCTATACAATGCCTACAAATTATTGTATTTAAAATCTATTAAGAATCTAATAAATTCCAAACACCTAAATACTGAAACACCCACATTATTATTTTGCTCCCATCTGGCAAATACTTTACTGGCTAGTCTAATCAATGACACAAGGAAGAATTAAAAGCAAACAAACAAACAAACAAGCAAAAAAAAATCCTAAAATAGCATAACTCTATTGAATGGGTTGATTTTTTTAAAGGAAATATAAATTGCCAAAATTAACCACCAGAGAGAGACTAATTACAATAGGAGAAATTGAGAAAACACTATTCCCTTAAAAGGAATTGGGAAGTGATGATGTCACATAAATTTTTATAAACTGACAAGAAACAAAGTTTTGATGCTACTAAAACTGCTTCAGAGTTTAAACAAAGAAAAGCTTCCAAATTATTTTTACAGAGTTAGTGATCACTGCTTCTAAATTTGACAAAGAGCACAGAAACAAAACATAAAAAATTTGTTTCACGTCACTGAGAAATTCTTAAACAAACTATTGGCAAGCAGAACTTAAGAGTTCATTACAACACTATTCTCATATGTATGAAGAATCATTCCCAGAATGCAAAGGTAGCTCAAAATGAAGAAATCTATTTACACAGTATTAAAAGGTTGAAGGAGAAAAACTATACATTCATGTTAATAAGACTTAAAAAATTGATGAAAGTTCAACTTCCGTTACTGATTCAAAAATTACTTAAACTGGAAAAAGATTGATAATTCAACATGACAAGTAAATATCTCAAATAAAAGGCTATATACCGTCATGCTTAATACAGTTTATAGACCAGAAACATTTTTAATACAATCAGTAACGTATCATACATGTCAAGCAGTATTTCTTTTATTCCGTATTTGTTACTCTAGAATTATCTTTTAATTAAAATAGAAAAACAAGTATTGGAAAGAAGGCAAAATATCATTTGTAGATATGTCTCAAAGAAAAAAAAAGAGATAAGGTCTCATTCTGTCACCCAGGCTGGAGTGCCATGGCACAATCATGGCTCACTGTAGACTTGACCTGGGCTCAATAGATCTTCCCACTTCAGTCTCTCCAGTAGCTGAAACCACAAGCACATGCCACCATGCCGGGCTAATTTTTCTATCTTTTCTAGAGAAAGGGTTTCACCATGTTGCCCAAGCTGGTCTCCAACTCCGGGACTCAAGCGATCCTCCTGCCTCGGGCCTCTCAAATAATGGGATTACAGGCATGAGCCACTAGACCATGACCGGTTGATCTTTCATCTATCGATTTATAGTTTTTAAATTAGTTTTTTTTTTTTTTGAGACGGAGTCTCACTATGTCGCCCAGGCTGGAGTACAGTGGCACGATCTCGGCTCACTGCAACCTCCGCCCTGAGTTCAAGTGATTCTCCTGCCTCAGCCTCCCGAGTAGCTGGGATTATAGGCGTCTGCCACCAAGCCTGGCTAATTTTTTGTGTTTTTAGTAGAGATGGGGTTTCACCACCTTGGCCAGGCTGGTCTTGAACTCCTTGACCTTGTGATCCACCCGCCTCGGCCTCCTAAAGTGCTGGGATTACAGGCATGAGCCACCATGCCCAGTTTTAAATTAGTTTTTAAGTAATGCACATGTATAATTTATCCTGGTAAAAATTAAACATTACAGGTCTCTATACTAGTCATCTCTTCCTCTCACTCCTCAGAAATAATCACTACTGTAAATTAGAATATATCCTACCAAAAATTTTGTTATGTATTTAAATTTACATATACATATCTATAGAAAATAAAATTCGATGAAAAAAAAGCTCTAAAACAAAGGAGATGTGCCAGGCACAGTGGCTCATGCCTATAATCCCAGCATTTTGGGAGGCCAAGGCGGGTGGATCACAAGGTCAGGAGTTTGAAACCAGCTTGGCCAATATGGTGAAACCCCGTTTCTACTAAAATATACAAAAATTAGCCAGGTGTGGTGGCGCATGCCTGTAGTGTGTAGTGAGCTGAGATAGCCGTACTGTACTACAGCTGCCACTGCACTCCAGCCTGGGCGACAGAGCGAGACTCTGTGTCAAAAAAAAAGAAAAAAAAAAGAAAGCAGGTGTGAACTAATTTGTCAAAATACAAAATCCAGAAATGATAAAAAAAATTAATGAATCAAAATTTAATGCCAGGTACAGTGGGGCTCAGGCCTATAATCCCAGCAGTTTGGGAGGCCAAGGAGGGCAGATCACCCAAGGTTAGCAGTTTGAGACCAACATGATGAAACCCCATCTCTACCAAAAATACAAATTATTAGCAGGGCGTGGTGGCCCCTGCCTGTAATCCCAGCTACTTGGAAAACGGAGGCAGGAGAATCGCTTGAACCCGGGAGGCAAAGGCTGCAGTGAGCTGAGATCATGCCACTACACTCCAGCCTGGGCGACAAGCTGTCTGAAAAAAAACCCCTGTCTCTACTAAAAATACAAAAAATTTAGCCGGGCGTGGTGGCAGGCGCCTGTAGTCCCAGCTACTCGGAGGCTGAGGAAGGAGAATGGCAAGAACCTGGGAGGCGGAGCTTGCAGTGAGCCAAGATCGTGCCACTGCACTCCAGCCTGGGCAACAGAGCAAGACTCCATCTGAAAAAAAAAAAAAAAAAAAAAAAAAGTGGTAACTTTCCTTCTCTTTCTTTATTTCTCTTTCTCTCTCTCTCTCTCTCTCCTCTCTCTCTTTCTTTCGAGACAGAATCTTGCTCTGTTGCCAGGCTGGAGTGCAGTGGCGTGATCTCGGCTCACTGCAACCTCTGCCTCCCAGGTTCAAGCGATTCTCCTGCCTCAGCCTCCTGAGTAGCTGGGATTACAGGTGTGCATGTTGGTCAGGGCAGTCTTGATCTTCTGACCTTGTGATCCACCCGCCTCGGCCTCCCAAAGTGCTGGAATTACAGGCGTGAGCCACCGTGCCCGGCAAAATGTGGTAACTTTCATATAGCAAAAATCATCATAAAGCTGAAAAGTAGATGAAAAACTGGAGAACACAATTTCCAACACAGGTAAAGGCCAATTATTGTAAAAAGAATTACTATAATAAAATGATGAATAAGAAACTGGCAGTTAAGAAAAAAACAATTACAAATGCCAACCATTATGCAATTAAAGAAATACAAAAAATTAGATAGCATATATATATATTTTTGAGATGAAGTCTCACTCTGTCACCCAGACTAGAGATAGTGGCACAATCTCGGCTCACTGCAACCTCCACCTCCCGGGTTCAAGTGATTCTCCTCTCCTGCCTCAGCCTCCCGAGTAGCTTGGATTACAGGTGCCCGCCACCATGCCCAGCTAATTGTTGTATTATTAGTAGAGACGAGGTTTCACTATGTTGGCCAGGCTGGTCTCGAACTCCTGACCTCAGTGATCCGCCCGCCTCGGCCTCCCAAAGTGTTGGGATTACAGGCATGAGCCACTGTGCTTGGCGAATACCATATTTTGCCTATCATATTGTTAACTATTAAGAAGTGTGATAATATCCCAGAACTATGACAGTGTAAAGAATATAATTAGTCTAATAGTTTTTTTGAAATTTTCAATGACCCAACCTTCTGGTGAACAATTAGTACATGTTCTTTAACCTTGATATTTCAGCCCTAGCAATTTATTCCGCCCTCAAAAGCTTGACAACAATATATACAATGAGGTATAATAAGGATTTAATAGCAAAAGATTGTAAACCTAAATGTCTATCAAATGAATGTAAGTTAAATAAAATACGGCATGTCCATAGAAAGAATGCAGATGTGACTGCCTTTTCAAAGAACTCTAAGATGAGATTTGTTAAGAAAGTTTTAAATTGTACAGTTTTAAACTGTGATAGCAAGGCCATGCTTTTGTTAAAAAAGATTAAAAAAAAAGAACTAAGGTAATCTTGCCTATTAACTCTCATTAATTAAACTCTGGAGTCAATAGGTTGTTTTATTTTTTGATGAATCCCTGTCTATCTGAATCCTTGCTCTTCAGGAATCAAAGTTTCAAACAGTAATGTACATAAAGATAGAAACATATACTGTATATAGGTATAATTTTTTTCTCCTAGAAGAAATCACAGCAGATTGTTAAGATAATCTGCCTTTAAATAAGAAGGCTTTTGGTTATTTTGTAGCTTTCTGCGTTACTGAATCTCCTATTTTTTTTGTATTATTTTTGAATAATATGTATTTCTGAATTTTTACAGTTCCCAACCACATACATTATTTTAAAAAATGTCCCTGCATAAGGAGATTAACAGTTCTTCAAAGTCTTCTTTATACATTTGTATATTATATGTAAAAGCCAACTAATAAATGCTGTAATATTAAAAAAAAAACACTGTGAAAACAGCAAAAAGAAAAAAACACACAAAGAGAAACATCAATGAAAATTCTTTAATTAGTCACATCTGAGAAAATTAAACATTCTAAGACTCCCCCAGGATTTTTCATCAGAAAAGAAAAACTATATTTAGTAAATGCAAATAAGGCTGATAATTACATGTAAACTGAGAGGATAAAAGCTGCAGAATTATTTCCTACATGTTTTTACACCATACAGTTACGTACTACTTACCCAGCTTGGAAAATCAGACCAAGTTGGAACTCGCTGACAGAGGTCTCGAAGAATGCGTATGATAATCACACAGGACTGCAGACCATTAGCTCTAGCCTTGAGAGCAACATAAAAACCAATTGAATTAATCTTAGAAATACTGAATATATCCCTTGATGAAAAAAAGTTAAAATACCACCGTTCAATGGAAGCTCAGATAAAAACAAAAACAATCACACTTAAAATTGGATTCAATGAGCTGCCATTTACAGCAGTATTTTATGCCAGGGTTAGTATTTAAAAGCTGGTATTTAGGTCAAAGTAAACAGATTATACAAGAATAATATTTCTTGATCCCCTGTGAACCTTGACCTGTGTTCATTTAAAACAGTAAACTTAAAAAAAAAAAGTCTGCCTACATTAGAAATAAAAGAAAAAGTAAAGAGCTAAAAAGTTTGTCTAGGGACTGAAAGGTTAAGGAAATCTGTTTGGTTTCCCTTCTGTGCCTTTGCATGACTGCAAAGTCACTAAACCAAACAGCTGCTTCCTCACCTTTCACTCCCTACACTTATTAACTTAGAGAAAGAGGGGGAAAAAAATCTTAAAACTATACACAAAGCTTTAAACACATATTCCATTATTTAAAGCAAAGTTAATCTGCAGCCTTATGGAATATAATATATATACACAAACATGTGATGTTCCTAAACAAGTCAACTTTAAATATAGCCACTAAAAATAAAAAATAAAAAAACCCCAACTACAAAACACTCCCCAAACCTAAGTTCATTGTCAAATTAATAATAACTGCAATATGCAGATCATCATACCCAGCTTTCTATGTTAACATATTTTCTGATATTTAATTTAAAATAGTATTGCTTGGGCAGTCTTTTGAAATGTTTAAGCACAGTTAAACATGTTGTACTGAACTACTTCTCTCATAAGGCTACAAGAAAAAAGTAAAATGATGTTCCGAACCTGGAACCACTTAGCGTGGCGTAGAGCAGCCAGAGCGTCAAGGCATTTTTGCCTGTCCAAGACGTCCGGTGGGTCTTTCACCATACCCGAGGTTACATCTAAAATGGATTGAATTGGCAAAATGCAGTGAGGAATGGGTGTTTGACCAGGTGAGCAAGACACTTCCTTAAGGTAGCATCAGTGTCACATGAGCCATTTGAGAGCTTGTTGGCACTTTAATATATCCACGGAGTTATTTTCAATAAATTTACATAATCCAATATGAGGAACAAAAGGTTAACTTATTAATTTAGTAATATAATAAACAATTTCTGGAAATATAAACCCTACCCACCAAAACGAAATCCGAAGGAAAGATTACTGGACACAGTGCACTAGCACAAAGACAACAAGACAAGAGGGAACACAAAAATCCACCTTAATGAGTATGTACAATAAACTACTGAGTTTGTTCAGTACTCTAAATGGTCGTAAGTTATTCTGGAGCTAATATAACAAAGAACTGATGATAAATATAGAATGCTCAATATAGTTACAGTTATAGGAAAAAAATGAAGAACCCAAAACAGGCATTTCTTTTTTTTTTTTTTTTTTTTTTGAGACGGAGTGTCACTCTGTCCCCCAGGCTGGAGTGCACGATCTCAGATCACTGCAACCTCGGCCTCCTGGGTTCAAGCGATTCTCCTGTCTCAGCCTCCCAAGTAGCTGGGATTACAGGTGTGCACCACCACACCAGGCTAATTTTTTGTATTTTTAGTAGAGACGAAGTTTCACCATGTTGGCCAGGCTGGTTTTTAACTCCTGACCTCAAGTGATACACCCGCCTCGGCCTCCCAAAGTGCTAGGATTACAGGCGTGAGCCACTGCGCCCGGCCCAAAACAGGCATTTCTAAAAGTTTAATGCTCTCCCTTCCGCATGAAAATTTTAGTTATCAGAGAGTATGAAATGCCCTTTAAAATTTAAAGTTCCCATAAAGTATTTCAAAAAATGATAAAAGAGAAACAATAGGCAAGCAGAACAGCGAATAGGAACTAGTATGGTTAAACAGAATTAAGAGTGGAAAAGATGCTGATCCTGTGACGATAGATGTGTAGGGTCTTTAAGCTGATTAAAACATAAATGAGCTACACAAAACTTGAGAATATATGAAACTAAACCAGGACAAGAAGTTAACTTTACATTAATATATCATTCATAAAAGTAGACAAAGGGCTATCTTTATATCCATCTAAACATCTGTAAAATGTGTATATTAACAGCAAATCTGCTAATCAAGCTATTAGTAAGCAAATGGCAATTATTCCAATCTAATTCACAGCTCTCAGTGATTTAAATAGTATGAATATTTTCTCAATATAGAAAAATTATATAATCTATTAAATATAATAGTCCTTTGGAAATTATGGGGCATTTAGAATACAGTTTAATAATCGAATATATAAAATGAATATGGACGAAAAAATACATGATAAAAGTATGAAAAAGTTAATTATCTTAAGAGTACTAGCTGCAGTTCTGGTCAAGTTACTCATATCTCATAAGCATTCAGATATCTTAAAGGATAACTTGTTCTTATTTTGAGTAGATGACATATAAAAAACATATTTTGAAACTGATAGAGAATTCTATTCTCTAAGGTTTCTTTTTCTTAGTTTTTTACTCCTCGAGTAATCAGATGGACACAGATTCTTCAGAAGACACATTTAGAGGAAAGACAGATAATCAAGGAAAACTGTGTGACATTTTGAGAATAAATACTAAAAGAGGAATTTGGTGCTAAAAAGAAGTTATCAAGACAAAAATATTAGTTCTCTCAAAACTTATAAGACCAACTATTGAACCTAGAAATAACCTGAACATAAGAAATGAACTATTCTGTCAGGAATAGATAAAGAAAAGGGACACAAGAGACAGCTAACTATGAAGTTTTAAAAAAGAAAAAAGGGCCAGGTGCAGTGGCTCATGCCTGTAATCCTAGCACTTTGGGAGGCTGAGGCAGGTGGATCATCTGAGGTAGGGAGTTCGAGACCAGCCCGGCCAACATGGTGAAACTCCATTCCTACTCAAAAATACAAAAATTAGCTGGGTGTCGTGGCACATGCCTGTGGTCCCAGCTCCTCAGCTACTTGGGAGGCTGAGGCATGAGAATTGCTTGAACCTGGGAGGTGGAGGTTGCAGTGAGCCGAGATTGTGCTGCTGCACTCCAGCCTGGGTGACAGAGTGACTGTCTCAAAAACAAAGCAAAACAAAACCAAACCCCTCACACACACAAAAAAGAAAAAGCTGACTTCCCCAAAGCAGTATTATAACATGCTAAAGAACCTCTTTCTATGTCCCTTATTTACTTACATTTGCTAAAGCTAGAATGCAAATAGGTGACAATGTGCAATCTCTAAAATGTTTCTAAATTTCTAATGTTAATTCACAATTTTATTTCCTCCGATATGCAAGAAAATTTTGTTTTGCACATAAGCATTCATAACTTTGGAAATTGTAATTCATGATATAAATTCAAAGATGCCAAGACACCTATTGCAATTTTTTTTTCTTTGAGATGGAGTTTCACTCTTGTCGCCCAGGCCAGAGTGCAATGGCATGATCTCGGCTCACTGCAACCTACACCTTCTGGGTTCAAGCAATTCTCCTGCCTCAGCCTCCCAAGTAGCTGGGATTATAGGCACTCACCACCACGCCCAGCTAATACCTATTGCAATTTAAAAACAAATTACAGCTATAAGTAGAAAATTTTTGTTAAATTTAGTGTGGATTTTTGTACCCATTTTCTATTTCAAGTAGATTAACCCCTTATATTCTGCTAAAATCATACTTGTTGCCTAACACCCAGTTAACAAAGCAAAAAAAAATCAGTTAATTTATAAAAACAAAATGCTAATTCTTATTCTATGTGAATGTATTTCATAGATTTTAAGGGGTTAATCACCAATTAGAAGACATGCTGTGTCCACACTATTTTAAGATTAAACGTTAATGGGAATATATTAATTCAAATTAACATGGTCATGTAAAATATATAACCCACTCAACCATTTAAAAACTAGTGTGAACACTGCTCAATTCTAGAAGAGACAAAGACAAAACAAACAAAACAGCCACACAAAGGACAATAAATGCCAGGCTCTGCATCCAAAATCCCTCCTTTATCAAATGGCAGATGTGACACTGAGCTTTTGAAAACCTTGGTCAAAAATCCTTCCGATGTCTTGGCAGCAACCCCTGACAGGATCAATCCCCTCTGCTAGAAGGCTTTGGACCGGGCCTGATAAGCTACAGGTGGGAAAAAACACACAAAATACTTAACTTGCTGCAGAAAAGATTCTGTAGCAAGGGTTAGAGCATTCTGAACATTTCAAGCTTAAAGTCAATTAAATGTTTACTTAATGTTTAACTGTCAAACACAGTATCATAAAACAGATCTGTCATGTGTTTAACAGTTATTTGGACAATGTAATCATTTCCTTTATTAATTAATTTTTGGTATTAAAAAGGACCATTATGCATTAAAGAGACTACCACACAATGCGCAAGTAGTAACTCTCATGATTTACAATTGTTCTTCCGGCAAAGCCTTCCTTAACCCCTGTACTAACTCCCCAAAGCAAGCTATAGGCTTTAAATGATTTTAAGACACAGAGCACTGGGAGCTGCAGTGAGAGAGAATACATACCGTTATTCTGCAGCAAGAAAGAAGCAATCTTCATAATGAAGCTAAAGACATGGTTTACTGCAGTTATCTGCAGCAAGGAACACTATCAGTGTTTCTACACTTTGGCACATCCAACTTTTCAGCTCAGTGTCTTGAAGCAAAATCTTTCCATTTTGGACTGACCATTTTCCTCATCATAATATTTATGAAATTCAGAACAATAATTCTAACTCAAGTCTGGGTCAGACAAAAATATAATTTTGTTTCCTTTAGAAGGGATAGGTTATCAAATAATTTACTGCAAATATGACACTATTCACTTTAGACTTTTACAACATAATAAAATGGCTTGATACTGTATAAATTTAATTAAGTCTAAATATAACTGAACAAAATGTATTCTGAAATAAAGTTAAATGGTTATCATTTTACACTAAATACAGCAACATTTATAATGTATCATATTAGTTTTATCAAATCCCATATGCTGTATATGACCTGACCAGATTGACTCAGGAACTGTTTCTCCAGCAACACCCATGGCCAGACCTTGAGTAGAAACTCACGTTCACATAAGAAAACCCTTTACACAAAACTCATTTAAGATGCAAAGCTTAAGATATAAATATCATCTGATTATGGTATACATGCAAAGTATGTAAAATTAGACATAGCTCCCAATGACATTTTTGGTAAAATGTTCTTTTCCTGGGTTGTGAAAAGCCCAGTGTCTTAAAAAATTGCTTTGTTATAAGCAAACAAATTTAAAGAAACAGTAATTGAGAGACTACTGATGCTATTTTATACAAATGAATTTTAATATTAAGTATGTAGTACCCTCTTCCTCCTCAACCTGTATCACAAAGAAATATTAGTGTAGACTGTTATTCCATACTCAACAAGATGTATAAAAACATGAAAGGAAACAAAGTAAATTTTATCTGACCCATAAAACAACAGAACCAACATACTGCAGACACTGATCATGCTTTTCAGCTTAAAAGCTTTTGAAGCTTTGAAAATGTTACAGAATAGTCCCTAAAGCAACATTGCTGGCACCAGCAGGATTTCATATTCTATAGTTGTAAATTAAGTTTAAAAACCCTGAATTGTGCTGTGACTCACTATCTACATTTACACAGTTTATTTTTCAGTATCTTAAGTGTGATATTAGGGTCAAATGTCCAAATCCTCCTGCTTTAGGATGTTCTGCATTTATGAAAGTGCTCCAAGCCAAAGAGCAACCTCAGAGAACTAGAAATATTTACCACAGGACAAGCCAAATCCATTATTATATATATATGTATAAAAATGCCTCTTAAAAATGTGTTACGAATACTTAGCCAATTTTGTTTGTGAAAACTCTTGTCTTTTTTGTAAGACAAGGCAAGAGCAAAAACTTCTTAATCCAACTTAAAGTTGTGTCCCCCTAGTCACTAGCAACATTTTAAAACCATTTTTTCATGCATTGACTATGCCAGTAAAAATAATTTTGAAGTTTTTTTTCCAGAAATCTGAGGTTAGCAAGAAAAGAAAGAAATCAAGAAAATCAATCATACCATAGTGTTTTATATAAAAATACATCACTAAAAAGAGCATTTACTCTGTGGGAAATTATCTTAGGCAAAACCGGTTGCTAAATAAGTCAAATCTATCAAATTCACGTGTAATGCCAGCATGTTGCCTTCTAGGGCTTAATGCCATCTTAAAGAGTAGATAAATGAAAAAAAAAGTTAATAGAAAGTAGAAAGTTTAATGGCTTTCCAACCTCCTTCCCTCATGTTCTCTTCTCGAATAATTGGAGATGTCAGTGTGATAGTGACTTGCATTTTGGGTTCCACACATGAATTCAAAATTATTGCCGCTTCAGATACAGCACATTTTATGTCATACTTCTCAGGGCTTATAACCTGTGTAATGAAGATGATAAGAAACAAATTGGATCTGTTGTATTAACAAACAAAAGCACTTTCATTATGGCTCTTTCACTCTCTTACTACCCTAACCATTCTATATGAGGACCAGATTATATACTGCTCCTTCTAGGAAGCCCTGCCGTACATGCCAGTATTATTAGTCTTACTCCCTACTTTCAGAATTCTGTGTTGAACTAATATTTACCATTGTTTGTATTGTGAGTTATTTGTACATAGGTCTATCTCTCTTAGATAATAAATTCTTGGATAAAAGAAACACTGCCATATTTATAACATATATTTGCATAATTTGAATGAAGCTAAAATAGCTACCTGACCTTAATAGGAGCTACAATTTATTCCCATATTGTACATTTTCTGTGAAATACACATTTTATCAGGGAGCAGAAAGTCTCAGTCAATATCCAGAAAAACCAGGATTTGCTGTAATTTGGTAGACAGGTAATAAGCTCCATTTTATACGAACAAATGAAGACTCTACAGAAACTACATACAGTATTTCCAGTATAGTATCTAGGTTTAAATCCTAGCTCTGATACTTTACAGTGATGCGATGATAGACAAATTATTTAACTATCCTGCACCTATTTCTGTAAGATGGAGAAAATAATTGTACCTAACCTATAGGGTGGCTGGAAGATTAAATGAATCAACTATATAAAGCACTTACTATAGTATAAATTAACTATAAATTAATTTTATTTCACTTGCTTATCCACTTATATAGGTGGGTTTGAAGAGTATTCCACTTTTAGCTTAACTGGTTGTTAGTTATTTAGTTATGATATATTCCTTGGTTTGCAGTTTTACTAAGCACCACAATTAGGATCAAGATGTTTCTCGCAAATTCTATGATTCTTCCAAGGCTTCCAAACCTTTTATTTTCCCCCTTCATTGCCCTAGCAGCCTCAACAGGAGTAAGAAGTAAACACACAACACAGCCAATTCTCCTGGCTCCCGATAATTAAAAAAAAAGACTCATCTACAATAAAAAATTTCCCATCTGGAATAATGGTAATATAAAACAAGCAACAGTAAGTGCAGAGTTGTCAGTTTTAAGTTTAATAGTGTGCTTCATTGTCCCTTTTGTCATCAGTTGCTCTGCTACAGTAAGGTACTGTTCTAATTCACTACTGTAGAATACATGTTACCAATGAAAGCTGATTCCTTGAATTTAGAATGCTTTATTAAATTGCTAGTTTTATACCCTCAATTATGAAAGGAATCACTATTTTAAATCTCAGTCATTCTGACAAGCTAATATATAAAATTTTTATAAATTTAAGCTTAAAAAAAGTTTGTTTTTGTAGGACCCAAATAAAATACTCTATTAGTTTTGCATTGCCATGTTTTGCTGGATGGAGACGAGAAGTATTTCCTACCATTATAAACATGTAGAAAACTGAAAATATTCACAATAAAACTGGGGAAATTAAAATCAGAAACACTATTTTAGTTACTACATTTTATTAAAAGCATTAAACTAAATAGGCAAGAGATTCATGAATTAAAAAAATTTAACCTTGCTACACATGGGATTTTTTTTTTAAAAAATCACTTTGTCCTAACAACTGCCTTCTTATGATTCAAGTCTTGGAAAAAGAACAAGAGAAGGAAGGCATATGCTGCAATTTTACATTTTTAAATAAATCAGCAAGATGGCTTCATGCCAAATATAATCACTATAAAACCTAAAAAAGATGAAGTAGAAAATAGTTTCATCAGTTTGCACAATCAAACAAAAAAACTCAATACAGAAAGTCAAGCCAAAATTTTAAAGGCTGGCTTAGGTTTAAACCGAAGCACAGTCAGTCCCGCCAAAAACTTCTGAACCAGACAAGGGGTAAAAATGAACATTTCCATAATACTTACAGCAAGCTGTTTGGGTAGGTTTTCTGCAATACGGCTTAATAATGTCTTTGAAGGTTTCTCTGAGCACAGCAAAACAAGGTTGACATTTCTATCTCCTCGGAGAAGTAATCCTTTTGCCAATACTCCCACTCGCAAAACTCCTTTCAAAGCTCTGCAGTAAAATAAAATTATATTATGATATTTCTCTGCTTAACCAGAAGCATGATATTCTGTAAACATACAATAGTAAGTGAAATAACTTTTGTGCCATTAAAATTTCCATCAACCGCAGTAGAAAGACATCCAGCATTTTTAGAACTATACTTCATTTAAGCAATGTGGATAAAAAAAAAAAATAATAAAGAGCTAAGTTCTTTACAGAAAGACAACTGCAAAGCAATGGACATTAACACTTCTGTTTCTTATTTCACAAGTCAGAATAATAGGAGTTATGTTTAATGTAATACAAAAATATTTCCAAATGGTAAAAGGAAAATAAAAAGTTACAGCTAATAATGCAAACTTGACATAAAGACATTACTAAAGCTTAGGCTTAATCATGCTTTACAGTCAGTGCTTTAAGGAAATAGTTATTAAAACAAAGACTGAGTGTGGGGCAGAAGCAACAAACAAATAAGAACAGAAAAACAGCAGCTGAGTACAACTGTAAAACTATAATGGCTGCTTTGAAATAGACTCAAAATAGTTTATATAAACTTAAAATGAGTACAATTACGAGGTTAGACACTACATGTGTCCGTGGAACTTGTGTATTTCTATTTTTGCAAGCAGCTGCAGAATACATGAAATATCGAACACAGGCATGGTTAAAACACATAGAACTCACACCAGAGTTACCAGTCATAAGCTATATTTCAAATGTAAGAAGTCCACATAAGAAAAACCAAAATTACACATGGTAAATAACTTTCAAAACACACCTGTCTTTACCTCCCTCTTTCTTATCATCTCCCTCTTTGTTCTTGTTCTTCTCATGTTCAGACAAACTGTCTGAAACGAGTTTTAAAGCACGTTCAGTAATAGAAACAATTTTCTGAACTGCCTGTAACTCCTCTTCAGTTGGATAAATGGTGGCATGTTTTGTCATTACATAACGGTCATCAGATGAGTCAGGACGACGTAAGGGCTACAGAGAAACAAAGTTGCTCAATTTAAAAAAAAGTTTCCTGAGCAAAAGCAAATTATATTTTTCAACTATACATATTTGTTGTATCTTTTCAATAAGAAAGCCTTTATCTTCTTTTTTCCATTTCAGTAAAAACGAAAATGCAAACTATGGAAAGTTATACCATCAAGACTATATGTATGTATGCATGCATGCATGCATGTACACCCACTTTGCCTCAAAACAAGTAACATTTCTAATACATATAAACCTAAAGCTATGAAAATGCTCTTTACTCAACCTTAGAAACCAGTGATTCTGAAACTTTCTTTGCTTTCAGTAATTCAAGTCTTACAACTGCCAACCCTCTGAGCAAAGATAAATGAGAGAACAGGTTAAGGAAGAGAAGTCTACTTTTTTCTTGTAACTGCTCTATAGAGAAACAAATCTTGTTTTTGGTAGACTGAACTTACACAAGATGTCCCTTTTACCCAGCTTCTGCATCTCTCAAGATGCAGATTTTTCCTATAGTCTTAATAACACATCAACTCTGGGGCTTATCTTAAAACCATTTTATCTACCCCTTATCTTTCACTCAATTTAGAAGTAGTAGGTTTTGGATGGTCAAAACTGGAAGAAGGAAAAAAGATTCTAAGCCACTGGTAATGGAAAAATAAGAATAAATTTCTTTCTATTAAAAAAAAATTTTTATAGACACTGGGTCTCACCATGTTGCCCAGGCTAGTCTTGAACTTCTAGCACCAAGCCATCCTTTCACCTTGGTCTTCCTAAAGTACTGGGATTATAGGCATGAGCCACTGCACCCAGACCAGTAAGAATAAATCTAAATACAAAGCAGTTGCCTTCAACATCAGTTGTTTCTGACAGGTATAGAGGCTCATGCCTGTGTACCGGCTACTCGGGAAGCTGAGGCTTCGGTGAGCTATGATCATGCCACTGCACTCCAAAGGAAAAATAAGAAAAGAAACAAGAAAAAAAATTAGTTGTTCCTGCTCATGTAAGGAAAACCAAAGGCAAGAGTCTCATGTGAAAGAACAGTTGGCATAAAAAGCTCCGTTCCCGTTTAGCATATACCGAAAATAAGAAAGATTCCCAGAAATTCTATGAGGTCCTTATACAGAAGACACAGGAAACATATTCCCTTCCTATAAAAAATGGAGGAAAGATTCTAAATCAGATTAAAAACTTGTATCAAGCTGGGTGAGGTGGCTCATGCCTATAATCCCAGCATTTTGGGAGGCCCAGGCGGACGGATCTCCTGAAGTCAGGAGTTCAAGACCAGCCTGGCCAACGTGGCGAAACTCTATCTCTACTAATAATACAAAAATTAGCCAAGTGTGTTGGTGAGCACCTGTAATCCCAGTTACTTGGAAAGCTGAGGCAGGAGAATTGCTTGAACCTGGGAAGCGCACGTTACGTGCAGTGAGCCGAGATCACGCCACTGCACTCCAGCCTGGGCGACAGAGCAAGACTCTGTCTCAAAAAAACTACCAAGATTACAAGATTATTAAGTCTAAACATTAGCCCCTCCAAAATTGTTTTCTTCTAATGCTGAACCAGTCAAACTTTCACCCCTTGTATCACCAACGTGGACACTCACTGCAGGCCCCTGAGGCTGAGGAGGCATGCCTGGTCGGACTCCCAGAAGGCCTAATGGGCCTGGAGGACCATGAGGATAACCTCCATCTGGCATTCGGCGGCGATCATCCCAATGATGTTGTTCTTCCTCCATTCTCCTCCAGTACATGTCCTCTTCATAACGTCTGAAACATAAAGAATGACATTATAAGCATATGAGGAAAAATACAGCCCAAGAACTTGCATCAATAGTGACATAAAAAGCAATAAAAAACCCCACCAACATCAGCCTAGCTAAAATTTCTTCCCAAATGTATCTGATTTTCCATGTTTGCTTTCATTGCGAAGTAAATGAAAGAGAAAAGAGCATGAAAAGCAGAAAATTTCAGCCTGAGGAAAAAGTAAAAAGAACAGGCATCAGAAACCTCAGTTTCTTACCTCTCTCCTGCTTTAAGTATGAATTAGAAACCCAATGCCACCTAAAGGAGGCAGGCCAACACTGTGAGTAAATGACCTGAAGTGCACAGATCAACATTTGGGAATTTTCTTCATGTCCTCAAAGAAACATGCTCTTTCCTATGTCTCTACTATGAAGAAAAACAGTGCAAGGCAGTGATAAATGGCAAGTCATAGTCAGTCTTACTGTTGGGGACACATTAAGGGTGTTGGGAATTATGGTAAAGAACTTGTCCTGGCTAGAGATAACAGCTGCTGCAACTCAGCTCCTATTAATTGTTGCCATAAGGGAATACAATAGTCCCCACCATTCTCATCGCCGTGGTTTCAGTTACCTATGGTCAACCACAGTATACAAATATAGAAAAGAACGTTCCAGAAAGAAACAATTCGTAAGTTTTAAATCTTGTGCAATTTTGAGCAGTGTGATGAAATCTTGCGCTGTCCAGCTCCATCCCACCTATGAATCATCCCTTTGTCCAGCATGTCCACACAGTATACACCCTACTAGCCTATTAGTTGCTTAGTAACTAACACCGTTATCAGATGGAAAACATATAGCATATACAGGGTTTGGTACAACCTGCGATTTTAGGTATCCACTGGTGGTCTTGTAACGTAACCCCCTTGGACAAGGAGGGACTACTGCACAGGCTGTGTTGCTGAGGTCATCAGGATTTTTGTGAAACTTCACGGTTGCTGGTTCAGATTACAAAATACTATGCATACCAAATATAACACCTCTGAGCTGAACTCAGAATGTGGGCAGCTAGTGTACAGCCTCTGCTTTACTGACCAACATATGCGAAATCTACTCTTTTTTTTTTTTTTTTTTTACCATCTCCTCCCCTCTGCCCTCCCAGTTCTTTCCTCATTTTCAACTTCAAACTAGGATACCAATAATTCCCAAGGGAAACCATGTGTCTACAGCAAATTCTGTTAACAATTAGGTTAAGGTTTTACTAATGTCATCTGTTAACATATAAGAAAGAAGTGCGCTTCCTGACTACCATTACAGAAACTACCAATTTCCTCAGGTTGGGAATAAGCAGTGCTTTTTTTTCCCTTAAATTGGCAGAGTCCCACTCTGTCACCCATTGCAGTGGCCTTGACCTCCCATGATCAGGTGATCCTCCCACCTCAGCCCCCCAAGCAGATGGGAATACAGGTGTGCACCACCACGCCCAGCTAATTTTCGTATTTTTTGTAGAGATGGGGTCTTGTCATGTTGCCTAGGCTGGTCTCAAACTCCTGGGCTCAACTGATTGCCCGCCTTGGCCTCCCAAAGTGCTGGGATTACAGGCAGTGTGTCACCGTGCCCAGCCAGCAGTGCTTTTTAGGATTAACCAACTAGGGACTGATAGAAACCATTCTTCTATCTATGTTATTTAGGCTTTGAGGAAAAAATGAATAAAAACAGCTTAAACGTTCTGGAAAATCCTGTTCGTTTCAGTTTCTAATAGTTTACTGTTGTTGCTAACAACGTTTAAGTCAAATAAGGGCAGGGACCTTTATCCATTGTTTACCAATTTGTGCTCACTACCTAATACAGTTCCTGGCACACTGTGGATGCTTAATAGTTGGTATTATCAGTGAAAGAGGAAAGCACTGTATAATCTAGCTATAGAAGAGAATTCCCAATATGTTACAAAGGCAGAAACTTCATAAAGGACATAACTGATAAATGTGTAAAAATTAAAACCAACACATACATAATAGTAAAAACTATTTAAAGGTAACCCATAAAAAGGATTATTAATAATAACAACGTAAGAAACGTCTGTACAAATCAACACATAAGAAAAAACAAGCAATTTACCACAAAAGAAGTATAAATAGCCAAACATGAAAACAATTCAAACTGAAACAAAATGGCTATCACATTTAATTGGTAGAGATTTTATTAAGCTGTAGCAGGGGTTCTCCAGGTGCAATTCAGGGACACCAAGTGGTCCCGGAGACCCTTTCAGGAGATCCATGGGGTCAAAATTATTTTCACAATAAGGCCAGTCGTGGTGGCTCATACATGTAATTCCAGCACTTTGGGAGACCGAGGCGGGCAGATCACTTGAGGCCAGGAGTTTGAGACCAGCCTGGTCAACCTGGTGAAAGCCCATCCCTACTAAAAATGCAAAAATTAGCCAGGCGTGATGGCAGGTGCCTGTAATCCCAACTACTTGGGAGGCTGAGGCAAGAGAATCACTTAAACTCAGGAGGTGGAGAGTGCAGTGAGCCAAGATCGTGCCATTGCACTCCAGCCTCGGCAACACAGTGAGACTCTGTTTAAAAAAAAAAATTATTTTCATAATAAATACTAAAGACACTTACTTGCTCTTTCATTCTAAATGTACAGTGAAATTATCCAGAGGCAACATGTGTTATTCACCACATATGAACACAAAAGCAAACATGAGAATCTTGCTGCCTTCTGTTAAAACCAGACATTAAAGAGATGTACAAAAATGTAAAATAGCATAACTTTTCCCACTATTCTGTGGAATAATTTTTTTACTGTATTTTATTGATTAAATATATCGTGTAATATTTTAACAAATATACATGTAACCATATTTCAAAAAATAATTAAAATGTCATTTTAAAATGAATTAACAAATATTTAAATTTCTTAGTTTTAAATTTTTTTTTTTTTTTGAGACGGAGTTTTGTTCTTGTTGCCCAGGCTGGAGTATAATGGCGCGATCTCGCCTCACCGCAACCTCCTCTTCCCGGGTTCAAGCAATTCTCCTGCCTCAGCCTCCTGAGTAGCCGGAATTACAGGCATGCGCCACCACGCCGGCTAATTTTGTATTTTTAGTAGAGATGGGAATTTCTCCATGTTGGTCAGGCTGGTCTTGAATCCCGACCTCAGGTGATCCACCCACCTCAGCCTCCCAAAGTGTTGGGATTACAGGTATGAGCAACTGTGCCCGGCCAGTTTTAATTTTTAATACAGTAAGTCTTGACAGGTATAACCCACATAAGGACTCTTTGGAGTCCTTGATAATTGAGGATAAAGGATCCTGAGACCAAAAAGTTTGAGAACCACTGAGTTATGCTATCCAGTATAGGCAGACATGTGAGCATCCTTCAAACATTTCCATTTCCCATATTCTATTATTAGCAACTAACGATAATGTATGCAGTAATATCGCCTCAATAGGTTCACATACTTGGTGAAAGAAACAAAAAAGTGCCTCAAGGAGGGTCAAGATATTAATAACTATAATAAGGAAACACTGGAAACTACCTAAATATCTAAACAATAACAACAAGGATTGGTTATGAAGAAAATTTTACATATGCACAAAAATTACTATGTCCTCATGAAAAACAAAATAATCCGAATTTAGTTTTTAAAGTTGAAGGTATGTAAATGAAAAAAGTGGATTATGAAAATACGTGTATGGTATGTTTCTGCTAAAACTGTATTTTAAAAGTTATACAAAAATATTCACAGCAGCAATACTCATAATAGTCAAAATGTGGAAACAAGTTGCATGTCCATCAACTAATGAACGAATAAACAAAATGTGGTACATAAGGATGTATTATTCAGTATTATTTAGTCATAAAAGACAATGGAATACTGAAACATGTTACAATCTGGATGAACCATGAAAACACGCTAAGTGAACGATGCCAGACACAAAAGACCATAGACTGTAGTAAGTTGATGCAAAAATAATCGCGGTTTATACCAAATGAATTTATTAATTCAAATCGTCATCTGGCACAAACCGCGATTACTTTTGCATTAACCTAATATGACTCCATTTATATGAAATCTCTAGAATAGGCAAATCTATAGAGACAGAAAGGTTAGAGGTTGTCCAGGGCTGGGGCTGGGGGAGATACTAGGTATGTGGGACACATGGGGAATTATTGTTAATGGGTACGTGATTTCTTTTGAGGGTGATGAACTGTTCTAAATTGATTGTGGTGATTGTTACACAACTCTGTCACTGTATAAGTTTAGAAGATATGTTATATTTCAATAAAACTTAACATTTGTATCTTTATATATATATAAACAAATATTTGAAATATGTTTTCTCAATTCTCCTTCCCTGTAGCCACTAAAGTTTCTTTATGGACATTATTAACATGTAGAATCTATCAAATCTTATACTTCTATCAGGAAATGTATGTCTATTTTGCTTGTTTGAAACCGAGGCACTTATTTATAATATGAAACTATTTCTTCATATGTTTAATTTATAAAAGATGCCACTTAAACATATAACTCTAATACCAAGGCCACAGTAAAATATTAGTATAGCCAGTAACAATTTTAATGCATGTCTTTCCTAGACCTAGGATCTTCCTCAAGAGTGAAAATTGGAAGTAAATAAATCTGGATTGCTTTGAATGGGAGTCACATGCTCAGAATGGCTAAGTTTTTAAGAAAGGCTGAACCACTTACCAGGCTATTAAAAGTTAAAGATATTACCTCATTTCCATTCTCCAACGCTCCTCTTCTTCTCGTCTTCGCCAGTACTCCTCCTTCTGCATTTGCTTCCTCATTTTCTCTTCTTGAATCTTTCTTGCTCGAATACTAGGCTTTACTTCTACTTGCAAATCTGGATTTACTTTTTTCTATTAATATAAATAAGACATTTAAAAAACAGCAGCCCCAAAACAATCTACATGTATTTTTAATCATACAATTACACTTATTCTTTAATCACGGAGGCTTTTAGTTGCAAGTTTCCCACTAGAGAGTAAAATCAATATAATTAAGGTAAATCAGAGAAAAGATTCAAAATACATTAATAAAAATTATGTAAAAAGTATGTAACTTAGTGCTGACCAACAAAAAGTCATGAAATCCTTAGAAAAACTAATGGATATTTAATTTTACTTTACATTTGACCCTTGAACAACAGGGGTTTGAAGTATATGAATACACTTACATCTATGCTGCTGAGTTTCTTCTCCCTCTGCCACCCCTGAGAGAGTAAGACCAACCCCTCCTCTTCTTCCTCAGCCTACTCAACTTGAAGATGATGAGGATGAAGACCTTTATATGATGACCCACTTCCACTTAATGAATAGTAAATATTTTGATTTTCATATTTTCTCAATAATATTTTCTCTTCTCTAGCTTACTTTATTCTAAGAATACAGTATATATGAGATACATGACATACCAAAAATGTGTTAACATAAAAATAACTGTTTATGTTATCAGTAAGGCTTCTGGTCATTAGTAGGCTTTTAGAAGTTTTTAGGGAGTCAAAAGTTATAAGCAGCCTGGAGTCCCAGCACTTTGGGAGGCCAAGGAAGGCAGATCACTTGAGGCCAGGAGTTTCAGACTAGCCCGGCCAACATGGTGAAACGTTCTCTAGAAAAATACAAAAGCTAGCCAGGCATGGTGGCACATGCCTGTAGTCCCAGTTACTTGGGAGGCTGCGGTGGGAGGATCACTGGAGCCCGGGAGGTTGCAGTGAGCCATGTTCATGTCATCGTACTCCAGCCTGGGCAACAGAGCAAGGCCCTATCTCAAAAAAAAAAAAAAGGCAGGCAAATTTTTGACTGCGTGAGGGGCCCCTGACCTCCATGTTGTTCAAGGGTCAACTGTAACTGTTTATAAACAGATGACTCTAAATGTCTATGTTGGGGTTAAAAAGTTTCTTTACATATTTAAGTACTACCCTTTTACACTGTTTTAATTTTCACCTCCTCCGTGTTTAAAACAGAAAACATGGATCTAGTACATCAATCTAGCCTAGTTAAAAACTTCAAATACAGGCCAGGCACGGTGGCTCACGCATGTAATCCCAGCACTTTGGGAGGCCAAGGAGGGCGGATCATGAGGTCAGGAGTTCAGGCCAACCTGGCCAACATGGTGAAACCCCATCTCTACTAAAAATACAAAAATTAGCTGGGCATGGGGGTGCATGCCTGTAATCCCAGCTACTCGGGAGGCGGAGACAGGAGAAATGCCTGAACAGGGACCCAGGAAGCAGAGGCTGCAGTGAGCCGAGATCATGCCACTGCACTCCAGCCTTGGCTACAGAGCGAGACTCCATCTCATTAAAAAAAAAAACTTCAAATACAATATCTGATTTATCTTAACATTTGAAGTGTATTCAGTGAAGAATTCCTACGCTAAGATAAGTGAAGGGATTTTCCAACATATCAACTCATCTCAAAGTTCATTTTGGTGGGAATTCTACCAGATAAAGAAGGTGGATAAATAGTTGAGACTTTTTTCAAACATTTTATGTGAATTAATTATCTTTACATGATTGCTTGGTCCAGGCAATGCTTCAGTTTTTGCCACAATTACTAAAACTGATGAGAATGTTATTCTTCTTTATTTTAAAAATGGATAAATAAAAACCAAACATCCATCTGAGTCTACCAACATGACATGCTAATCTTAGAATGGGACATCATGGACTTGGCAAGCTGTGTTTAGATGCTTTCTTTTACATAAAGAATGCTCTGGGTGTTTTTGTTTTTGTTTTTTGTTTTAAAGAAGGTAATAGCTGAAATTTTACTCACTTTATATTGAAGTCTGTGTCTTCGCCCTTTTAAGTGCATCTCCTTAGCATTGGGATCATTAAAGCTGCACTCGCATAATTTACAATGGAACCGAATTACTTTTCCTTCATCATTTCGTACCTTGGTGTGGAAAAAAAATTCAAGAATCATCATAGTTGAAGATTATATCATTCATAAACCCCCACATATTATTTGATGAAGTTGTACACAGTTAGAAAGAAGTGGCAATGTCTATTACATTTTTTTTTTCCCCAGGACAGAGTCTTGCTCTGTCGCCCATGCTGGAGTGCAGTGGTTTGAACTCAGCTCACTACAACCTCAGCCTCCTGGGTTCAAGCGATTCTCCCGCCTCAGCCACCCAAGTAGCTGGGATTAAAGGTATGTAACACCACCACGACCGGCTAATTTGTTTTTTGTATTTTTAGTAGAGACAGGGTTTCACCATGTTGGCCAGGCTGGTCTCAAACTCCTTGTGATCCGCCCACCTTGGCCTCCCAAAGTGCTGGGATTACAGGCATGAGCCACTGCGCCTGGCCTATTACTTTTTAAAAGGATAGAAACTGTAGAAATGGGAATGAAAAGTTGGAATTTTAGCATGCAAGATGTGATAGCATGTGTTTGCTCTTGTATCTTTTTTTTTTTTTTTTTTTTTTTTTTGAGATGGAGTCTTGCTCTGTCGCTCAGGCTGGAGTGCAGTGGTGCGATCTCGGCTCACTGCCAGCTCCGCCTCCTGGGTTCACACCATTCTCCTGCCTCAGCCTTCCGAGTAGCTGGGACTACAGGTGCCCACCACCACGCCCAGCTAATTTTGTATTTTTAGTAGAGATGGGGGTTTCACCGTGTTAGCCAGGATGGTCTTGATCTCCTGACCTCGTGATCCGCCCGCCTCGGCCTCCCAAAGTGCTAGGATTACAGGCGTGAGCCACCATGCCTGGCCACTATCTTTCAATTTAATATTTTTGTATGTATGTAAGCATTTAGATTTAAATGTAGCTAGATGTCTTAAATTTTCTAATAGTTACTGAATAATTGCTGCTGGCCAAGTATTGTTCTTGAAAATGAAGATAACGACGAATAATAGCATTATTTTGGTATACAAAATTTCTCAAAGCTCAAGGTTTTATAATATGTAACTTTATGGAAAATTAAGATGAAATTTTTTCTAACTGAACAGTTATAGGAGGACAAGTAAACTTGAGTCTTACTATGAAGTCTATTATGAATACTGAGTTCAAATTGTCCAAGCTTTAAGATAGGTTCTGAATGTAATTCTCTGAAGTTTAGGATTAAACAGTATCATCAAAAATTGGGTGTTCTGGTTGAGAGCTTTTTTTGAGATAATCAAATCTTACTCCTTTAAGAGATGAAACTTAAAAGTCAGAATTATTTCTGAACTAATTATAAATTCCATAACCCAGCTATCCACCTTGTAAACAAAGAATTCAATACACAATTTTTCTTTTTCTTGTTTTCTTTTCTTTTTTGTGAGACAGAGTCTCACTCTATTGCCCAGGCTGGAGTACAGTTGTGTGATCTCGGCTCACTGCAACCTCCACCTCCCAGGTTCAAGTGATTGTGCCTCAGCGTCCCGAGTAGCTGGGATTACAAGTGTGCGCAACTACTGGCCTTGAACTTCTGGCCTCAAGTGATTCACCCACCTCGGCCTCCCAAAGTGCTGCAATTACAGGCGTGAGCCACTGTGCCTGGCCATCCATAGATAATTTTTCTTGATAGGAAAAATGATGCAAGAACAAATATTTATTTAAAACCTACTAGGCTAGGCGCAGTGTCTCACGCCTGTAATCACAGCACTTTGGAAGGCCGAGGCAGGCAGATCATGAGGTCAGGAGTTCGAGACCAGCCTGGCCAACATAGTGAAACCCCATCTACTAAAAAAAATACAAAAATCAGCTGGGGGTGGTGGCATGCACCTGTAATCCCAGCTACTTGGGAGGCTGAGGCAGAAGAATTGCTTGAACCCAGGAGGCAGAGGTTGCAGTGAGCCAAGACTGTGTCACTACACTCCAGCCTGGGTGGCAGAATAAGACTCTGTCTCAAACAAAAACAAAAACAAAAACAAAAACAAAAACAAAAACTCTCCTAGATGCTAGACACCATGCTAGGTACTTTATTTCATCTACTCTTCACAACTTTGTTAGGGAATATCCCAATTTTATAGATATCGACACTGAAGCTCAAAAAACATATATGCTCTAAAGTCAAAGTAAATAGTAGTCATATGCCACTGTATGTCTTTCTGCTAACAGCAGGTATTTATCCAGTCCCCTCTGATATCCCTTCACTCCTTTATTTTACTGAGTTTACTTTACCTGTAAAACAGCAACAGTCTTCTACTCCACTTGAGAAACCAAATGAATATATTCTGTTAAATCAGCAAACTTAATTTTATCACAAAACTGACTATTCAAAAATAAATATATTGGTTCTCTTTATCAACATTTTTGCTGCTCAGAACTTTTAAAGTTTTATGATAGTTGAAGGATGTATTACAAGAATGCTTGCTAGTAAATAGAAAGTTACTTTGCACACCACAGTGGCAATACACAGGGAAAATAATATAAAAGTTAGCAAAAAAAAAATCATTATGATGTCACTTAGGCAGGCTTAAAGGACATGCTTTCTTATAACAAAGATTCCTTTAATATTCTTTAAGTAAGCTAAATCTAAAATACAATTAAGTATATTTAATTTTACACGTAACATATGCTCGTAATGCACTTCTTCCCTTTATCCAATTTCACAGCAATGGTATTCTCAAATCAATTACCTCTTCCACATAATCATGGCCCACTGGCTGCACATCACTCTGTAAAGCAGCAAGAGATGCAGGTGTGACTGGTTCTGACACTGTGTCTTGCTTTACTTCAGGAATCTGCACAGCAGAAGTGACAGGAGTACTTTTAACACATTCGGTTCCTTTTATGTCTTCTGCTTTATTTCCTGTTGACTGCAGCTTATTACCACCTAGAAAAGTATCAAAAAGTTAAAAAAAATTTTATTTTTGTATAAATATATATACCTGATAAGACGAAAACTTCAGATAAAGTTCTTTTCTGCTAATAGTCAAACTCCTAACTGACATACAACAGATGAGAATTTTGAAGAACTACATAAACTACTTGGCTTTTTTACCCTATTAGTGAAATACGTTTCTGAATTTTTCTCTTTTCCATCTTGGAACACCCAACACCCTCCTCATCCCCCCTCAAAGTGAATAGCAAGTACCTGAAATGGTAAGGACTAAGCCTAATTGATGTTTGTAGCCCTAGTTTCTTGGCAAGTGACTGAAATGAGTAGTATTTGTTCCTTAAAAACTGCTAACTTCCAGTTGGGTGTGATGGCTTATGCCCTATGATCCCAGCACTGTGGGAGGCAGAGGTGGGAGGATCACTTGAGCCCAGGAGTTTGAGCCTAGAAGTTTGAGACCAGCCGGGGGAACATGGCAAAACCTGGTCACTACAAAAATTAGCTGGATGTGATGGTGCATGCCTGCAGTCCTAGCTACTTGTGGGGCTGAGGTGGAAGGACTGCTTGAGCCTAAGAGGTAGAGGCTGCAGTGAGCTGAGATCGCACCACTGCACTCCAGGCCTGGTCAGACCCTGTCTCCCAAAAAAGTTGGGGGTAACATCTAGGTCATGCCCTACAATTTAGAAAAATTAAAAAAAGTTAAGTTCAATGATTAGGTCTCTCTGCAAACTTAGTCCAAACAAAGTTTCCCACCAGGGAAGGAAACAGAACCAATTTAGGTTTTATCACTGTTTATTTCCTTTAACTTATTTACAAAAGATTTTCTATTATTGTTCTAAACTGAAAGTATGAAGAACCTCAGAAACTGATGTAGAAGTGACTATAAATAATAGCTTTCATTTTTATCATCAATTAAACTTAACACTTCAACTAACTGTCCAAGAGAATAGCATGTTAATTGTGAATCTCCTACTTTTAAACTTTTCTTTCAAAAATATTCTTAAGTATCTACAACAATCTGGATACGGCGCTAAGTTCTGGTAATACAGTAAAGAGAAGACAATGTAGCTGCCTTTCAAGTGTCCAATTTATGGGAAGATACAAATAACGATAATACAATGTGATAAGCACTATAAGAAGTATGGACTGAATATTGCGGAAATTTAGAAGGAGCCACCACCCTTTAACATGATCCAGTAAGGAAAGGTTTCACAAAGGGTGTGACACTTGAACTGGGATTTGAAAGAATATGAACTGGTCAGAAAGAAAAGAATGACGTTTAAAAAGAAAAAAATAGCATGTACATAAAAGCACAGCAACATGGTGTGAAAAAGGCTATGGTAAACTCAAGGAAGAGCCAGTAATTCAATATGAATTACTACACAGGTAGCATGGATGAGTTATGAGGCTGGAAAGGTAGGCATGGGTCAGGTAATGATGGGCCTTATATGACAAATGAGGACTACAGATTTTATCCTATTGCAGTGGAAGGCTGCTGAGCAGAAGACTAACACAATAGATATGTATTTTAATGAAATAAGAGTGTGGAGAATATGTTGAGATTGGGTACAGTAAGAAATAAAGCTCCAAGGAAGAGACTTTTAAGGCCTAAAAAAGGGCAATGGCAACGAAGAAGTTTTTGTAGAAATATTATAGAGATAGAAACAAGACTAGGTAAACAGCTGGAGAAGGCAATAAAAACAAAGAAATAATGTTAGTGGATTTTCCACTTCAGAAATCTGCAATTTTATGACATTATTTCATGGTACTCTTCTCATGAATTAATGGGTTAGAATGAGACACATTGGGAGGCATCCACACCGCCATATAAAAGATGTCCAGGGAATATTTAAAATGTGGCTGTCCAACTCAGGTGGGGGTTTTGAATTTACCAGAAAGATTTTAAAAGTCACTGCCCACATGGGAATGAATGAGACCACCCATTAATAGAGGCGGACAGTGAGACGAGGGCCAGGGTTATAATCTTAGTAACACTACCATTTAATGAACACATAGGCAGGAGAACCAATAAGGAAAACTGAGAAAGGGGTGGATGGACACATAATTGAGAGACAGAGATGTATCTTAAGCCTAAAGGTGTAGCAGTCAACTGTGTCAAGTATTAGGAGAGTCAATAGGATGAAACTGAAAACTGGCCACTGGATTGGCAATTAGGTCTTTGGTGACTACTGAAAGCAGCTTCAGAAAAAGGCAGAGTAGAAACACTATAGCAGACTGAGGATTGGGTAGGAAGTACAGACGTAGAGAAAAAATCAGGGCCATGCGTTGTGGTGCATGCTTATAACCCAAGCACTTTGGAAGTTGAGGCAGGCAGCTCACCTGAGCTCAGGAGAATTCGAGATCAGTCTGGGCAATGTGGTGAAACCCCATCTCTACCAAAAAAAAGAAAAAAAAAAAAAAACTGGCTGTGTGTGATGGAGCACAGCTATAGTCCCAGCTACTCAGGAGACTGAGGTGGGCGGATCGCTTGAGCCCTGGAAATTGAGGCTGCAGTGAGCCAAGATCGTGCTACTGCACTCCAGCCTCGGTGACAGAGTGGGGCTCTGTCTCAAAAATGAAAAAAAAAAAAACAAAAAAAACCAATCAGGTTACCTTAAGATTAGAGAAATGGGAAAAGGGTCTTTGTGTGTGCAGATCTTTTTTTTTTAAATGACTAGAGGAAGACACAGATATATCTGTATGGCTGAAGGGAAGAAACCAGTAGACGATGGAATAAAAATTAAAAATACACACACACTAGGCAGATATGTGAAGAAACAAGGTCCCAGAGAGAAGGGAGGAGGCAGGTCCAAGAACACAGGGAGAAGGGTTAGTGCTGCAATGGAGAAGAAACAACACTTTGACAGAGTCAGCAGGGACAGAGAATATCAGTACTTGCCAACAAAATTTATTTTGGGGGTAGATGTTTTCTTGGCAGCCATATTTGTAGGCACTGCTGATACTTTAGTGTTAGATGTGCTATTAAGAGACGAGTTTCCTGTAGTCGTAAGACCCTTCATTGAAGACGTTGCAACTGATGACGTATTCACAGTACAATTGTTTGCTGCAATGCTTGAAGGAGAGGCAGTCGGCTTTGAAGCAGATACAGCTGTTGAAGAAGTAGCTTGGCTAACAACATTTGGTTCTGTTGATGGAATGGGTTTACCAAGTTTTGTGTGTAACTTAACCACCTATAAAACAAAAGCACACTTATTTGTCAGGAAACTCAAATAGATTTTGAAAAGTCTGCCTGGAACATTATAAAATGAAAATCTAAACCATGCTTTTCTTTGTTGTATTTTTTCTGCTATATGTTTTTGTATATACACACATATACAAAACTCATTACTTTCAAGATAATCTCTGTGAAGCAAATATGCATACATATTCCATCTACTATTAGGTGAGGAAACTGAGGTAGAGAAAGATGAACAGACTTGGCTACATTAAAAATGATCACATGACAATTCCCAGTTAGTGAAATAAATGGTTTAGTTCAATTTAAAGACAGGTCTCCAGTCTTTCCCTCTTTTAGCAATGATTATTTGATGTCACCTTTATGTATTATTAGCACATAAGCAAGGCTTATAATGCACTTAAAAGTTTTCGAACTTTGAAGTTACCTTTACCTAACCCCCTTTGAAAAAGTAAAAGATAACAGAATCAAGGCATAAGGGTGTGTGGGAAAAAAACACCTACTTTCTGATGCTTAGCACCACGAATGTGGGCAGCATACGCATCTGCTCCTGTACAAGACACATCGCAGAGCTCACAACGTAGCTGATTTTGAGTCCCACGAGTAGAACTGTTGCTGCTGCTGGTATTTTGTGAGGCTTTCAATGCAGCTTCTTTTTTTTTATGTTTCTGTCCTTCTAAATGTTCTTTATAAGTCTGTTTCAAATAAAAAGGAAACATTTTGCTTCACTAATTTTCTTTACACATTAAGATTATTCAATTCTCAAGAAATCTCTAATACTCATCTAAAAATGAGACCAAAACAAACTTTTTAAGTTGAAAAAGGGCATGTGGCATTCGTTACATATGTGACATATCTATGGTTCTCTGTATCTTGTTTATCAAGAATATTATCTAACACTGAGTTACAAAGTACTTTCATATATAGCCATAATATAAGGCAATGGCTTTCAGTTTTAAAAATTTTATCTTTTGTTGCTTATATAAATGTTGGACAGAGAATAATAGACAGTGATCATTCCATAAAGAAATTATATTTAGTTACAGGGTTAAGATGAGGCGGGGGAGATGTGCCTATACCATTAGAAGAAAGAAAAAGTTACTGTATGGTGGAACAAGATTCTTTACAAACAGCTATGTTTATAAAACTGACTTTTCTAATTCAGAATACATTTTGACATAGAATCTGTATTAGAATCCATGGCCCTTAAATGAATGCTTATTTAAAATACATGAGGGCCAATATGGTATATACTTGCAAGCAAAAATAGTATTATAGTTACATTAGCCAATAAATAGTGAAATTACATATTAAAAATCATTGTGAATGCACATGATTGAGGAAGGCTGTTAATTAATACGAGAGGATATTAGTAAGAACAACTGGACAGTTTTGTGAGTAGGACCAAATGGTTCCTCTGTTACTCTTTTTTTGAGATGGGTCTCACTCTGTTACCCAGGCTTCAGTGCGGTGGCACAATCTTGGGTCACCGCAATCTCCACCTCCCAGGCTCATGTGATCCTCCCACCTTAGACTCCTGAGTAGCTGGGACCACAGGTGCCTGCCACCATGCGTAGCTCATTTTTCATATTTTTGGTAAAGATGGGATTTGGCCATGTTGCCCAGGCTGGTCTCAAACTCTCTTTTTAAAAACTGCCTCTTAAAAGACAGTTGTAAACTGACAAATAATTAGCATACAATTATATGTTCATCATACAATTCAGAGCTGGATGGGACTTTCCTTTCATTATCTGCAGTGGCCTGAAATAGCTCCACCAAGCAGTCTGAGCCTCAATTATTTAGGGCAAGTCCTGTTATAGAAAAGTGAGGAAATAAAAGCCCAAAGAAGTTAAGGTCTCTAAATTGCCCAAGGTTATATAGCTAGTGGCAGAGCCAGGACTGCAATCTTGGCCCCCAAAAGCTGAATCAACTTACTCTTTTCCTTCTTATGTACGCATCTAGAACTCTAACTCAATCTCAATGATATTTTTCGCTAAGGCTCATTAACCACCCCCTTAAGGTACTGACACTGACTTGCAGAAATACCTGTGGCCTGTTCTTTTTGTTAACCACCCAGCACAGCAAAAATAGCCAGCCTTATATGCACTCATTCCACATGCTGCTGTTAATCTATCACCCAAGCGTCACGCTGTATACTTTCATATAAGCCAGGTAATCAATAAATTTCTTATGTCCAAGTCTGGCACTCATGACACTAACCCCTCTGAACAGTCAACATAGAGTAGGAAATGCTCCTTAAATACTAAGACCGCCCATCATTCTTGTTCGCTTTCATGTTTACTCCAGGTCCCTGCAAACATTTCCTACCTGTGCCACACCTGCCTCCCGTCACCTCCTGCCAACCAAGCAATCCACAACAAAACTATTTCCTGCCATACTCAAAACAGGGGAAAAGAGGGTTTTATATATCTAGCCACATATATTAAAATGTTCTGTAATTTGGTATAACTCAGGGAATGTTAGAAACTGAAAATACCCCCCAAAATTCAGAAGTAGAGAAAACTAATCCAGTAAAGTAAACGTGTTACACAGGTAGGGCAAATGAGAGATGGATATAACTTGGAGAAGCTAGTAGAGAGTCAAAATTGGTTGTTTCCAAATAACATGCCTTTTATCTGCCAAGCTGTTTATCAAATTTTAATATAAAAAGTTGACACTCTTAAGCATAATAATAAGGCTGGGAGTTGAATCCATTAATTTTAATAAATAGAATCATGTCATAATCACCCGTTTTAATGTTTAGCAACCAGAAACAATACAATACCGAAAAAGGAATAAGGGTTTTACATTTACATGCCTCACTAATTGGTATTTTTGAAAAAGACACTTCTTTACACCTTCCTTGTTCCCGAAGTTCCTACTCCCCTTATGAGATTACAGAAATAACTAACATACTATAAAGTATATATCAAAGTCAGTCTCATTAGAAATGCAATCCTGAAAATTATAGATTATCAGTAACCTGCTATATTAAGTTAAAGAATTTTGAATAAAGGCTTTGGCAAGTAAGTTACAGATGCTAAAAACACAACGAAATAAAAATTCAATCTTACCCAAGTCGCAATTAATTTGACTACAAAATTTTAAAACTAAATTTAAGTTTTAAAGAACAAAGTCTCTTTCCGGAAAAAAAAGCTCAATTTGCCTATTTATCATTTACAGTCACAATCATCTTTACAGTTTTTTTTTCCCTGAAAATTCTCATGCCACAATACAAGTAACTTAAAAAATGCACTGGCTAAAAGCTAACAGGAAAAAATGTAAACCTCTTTTAGTAGGCTCAGGAGTTAGAATACCAACTACACTTAATAACCACTGAAGACTCAAGGTAAAACATACAACGTAAGTACCTGTGGTCCAGCACAGCTGATCTTACAAACATCACAATAGTGAATCTGTGGTGGTTTGGGAGGCTGTTTTGGTTTCAGTTGTTTATTTTGGAATGGTGCTTTTTTAGTAAAGGTGGTCCCTGTCCAGGCAGCTGTTGCAGCAGCAGCAGCAGCTGCTGCTGCTGCCTGCTTCTGTTGCTGCTGCTGCTGTTGATAGTAGGAAGATGCAGCTGAATACACTGCTGCTTCATAACCTGAATAAGACGTACCTTACAAATAAAAATCAAACAAAAATTATGTTACATACTTATAGAAGGACAAGTTAAAATTTACAAATTTAAATTAAATTAATCCTGCCAATAAAGATAGATTTACATGTGCATATTTACAAACGTATATCTCACAGAACCAGAAAAAAGCTTATTTTCCTTCTAAGAAAGTCATCAACTAGTATTTACTCAATATATGCCAGGTGTTATAGAGGTATAAAGACAGTGTAAAATTTGGTCCCTGCCTTGAAGAACCTTATAGTTTAATTGGAGAGATGTGATAGTGTGTTTGACAAACTTGTCTGTTTATAGAATCTGCTAATATGTCCCCAAATAAAATCCTGTGAACAAAATTTAGGAAGTGTTGGATTTGAGGAAGAATCTGAAGTAGGATACTAGATAGGAAAAACAAAAACTCATGAAAGTAAGATTTGACATGCTTGGTAGCTAAGAGGACAAAAGAGATAAAAGAAGAGGAAAACATACAAATGTGACACTAAAATCTGGAGCCCCAGTGATCAACTGATGGGCTGTGCAACTGCTAGAATCAAGAAGCTGACAGATGCTAGTCTGGGGAGGCAAGGTAAATAAAGTTTAGCAGAAGTTTGTGATGTGGAACTGAAGTTCAGATGAAAATATAGAACAACTGTTAAAGATTTAGGAATTAGGGACCAATACATTGGTTCTCATCTTCCAAAAGATGAAAAAGCATTGTGTTTTCTGGTTAAATGTATGAATTCTACCCATTTCCATTGTTCAGAGACTCCAGTGAATAAGTACATTATGCAAGCTGTTTATATAATATATACATGTTGCTTATGTTCAGTGATTTACAGATTTTTAATCTGTGAACGTGGAGACGGGGTTTCGCCACGTTGCCTAGGCCAGACACAGACACAGCCTTGTATCTGTTTTCCTACAATGCTTTTTATAAGAAATGTACATTTGTTTGCCAGTAGTTATAGGAGAATTTAAGATGCCCTTTAACAGAGTTCCAGAATCTTTAGCCCACCTTTCAGTGCATGCTTTATTTTTATAACTAAGTAGTAAGTTATAACTAAACTTGCCTTTTATTAGTTTTACACTACCTATGTGCAAGTAGAGATTATTTTATGAATATTAAGCTTAACTTGGTGATTTTTATGGTTAAATTTGATCAGTGTTTAAAGGATACTGCAATTTCTAAACCTAATTTTTCTCATATTTAAGGATAGTGATACTTACCTTATAGATCTGTTCTAAAAACTACACTGTGTCTGGCATACTGCTTCCTGTATTGTGAACGTTTGATTAAAAAAAAAAAAAAAAAAAAAAAACTAGAAGAACTATTCTTTCAGCACTGTTGGCCTCTGTTGTCCTTATTCTGCTTCATATTTTCTTAATAGATAATTCATAAAGTTACATTTCTGTGGCATTTGTATAGTTTCTATATAGAAGAACTGAAGTCATTTGGAAAATATCTGTTATAAAGATATTATGTAAAAATCATGATCCTACTTGGTAATAAATCTAAAAACATCTTCATTATTGGTAACTGGACAATTTTATGGCATTTCTCTACAGTAAAATTTAAACTATACATGTTTTTGCCTGTAAGCTTGAAAACATTTGGCTGTGAGCTTGTGTTCTTTTATCACATTCGTAAGTAATAGAGGACGTTTGTAGGACTGCCCAGTAGAGTTTATTAGTTTATAGAAATTTTGTTTTAAGCAATTATCTCAACTGTTTTCTCAATTTTATCTGATCATATACATGCTTTATCACTGATATACAGCTACCTGTTTCTATTTTCATTTCAGATGTTTTCTTGTCTATTATCACACTTTCTATCTTAAAACTTTATATACTATAGTAGCCTAACATAAAAGTCTAAGAAGGCTTTTCTCAAAAGTTGCCTGACTACTTTTCTCCTGGATATGTCTGGTTTTCCACGCATTTTAGCTCTCACCATTCCAATTTATTTTTCCTTCCCTATGTGTACAGACATATTGGAGTTAGGGGGTCCTAAGTCTTTCAGTATTGCAGTCTGCATTTGAGAGACCAAAAAGTTTAATTCTCTGTAAGCAGTTCTTCTGTGCTTTTCTGTCAACTAGGAATCTCTCTCAAGCTTTATATCACTCTTTGCCCATCCATTACCACTTACAGGAATAAGGAAATTTAACTGAAATATGGTGAATAGGCAGTCTACCAAATTTCCAGAGATCTTAGTCTAGAAATGGTCAGTTTACCAGTTTTCAGGTAGGCTTATAAGTAAAATCCACAGCTTTCAAATTTAAAACGTTCTCTTAAATACATTAAATTATCTCTGGATTACTTACAATACCTAATACCATGTAAGTGCTATATAAATGGTTGTTAAGCTGTACTGAGTTTTGTATTATATTTTCTATTCTCCACCGCCCCACCCCCCCATTTTTTTTTTTGCCCAGGCTGGGGTGCAGTGGCGCAATCTCGACTCACTGCAACCTCTGCCTCCCAGGTTCAACCGATTCTTGTACCTCAGCCTCCCAAGTAGCTGGGATTACAGGCGTGTACCACCATACCTGGCTCATTTTTGTATTTTTAGTAGAGACGGGGTTTTACCATGGTGGCCAGGGTGGTCTGAAACTCCTGACTTCAGGTTACCCACCTACCTCGGCCTCTCCAAGTGCTGGGATTACAGGCATGAGCCACCGCACCTGCATCCGAATATTTTCAGTTCATGGTTGATTGAATCCATGGTTGCTGAACCGATGGATACAGAGAGTGACTATATTATAATCTGTTACTCTCATTTCTCTCTTTGAGGCTCACATGGTTTTAAATTTGCCCAATGGGATCCGCTCAAACCAGCTTAGCCAAGCGTGGTGGTGTGCCTGTAGTCCCAGCTACTCAGGAGGCTGAGGCTGCAGTAAACCATGATGATAGTGCCACTACACTCCAGCCTGGGTGACAGAATGAGACCCTGTTTCAAAGAAAAAGAAAAAAAGAAATCTGTGTCTATAAATTAAGTAAAAGCACAGTTTTTGAAAACTAAAATAGTTTCACTTAAAAAGTACTTTTACTAGGTCAGGCTCGTGGAACACTTGAGCTCAGGAGTTCAAGACCAGCCTAGGCAGTGTGGTGAAACCCCATCTCAACTAAAAATACAAAAAATTAGCCCGGTGTGGTGGCATGCACCGAGGCAGGATGGATCATTTGAGCGCAGAAGGTGGAGGTTGCAGTGAGCTGGGATTGTGCCACTCTACTCCAAGCCTGGGTGACACAGCAAGACACTGTCTCCAAAAAAAAAAAAAAAAAAAAAAAAAATGTACTTTCATTATCAAGGCCAGGCGTGGTGGCTCACATCTGTAATCCCAACACTTTGAGAGGCGGAGGTGGGCAGATTGCTTGAGCTCAGGAGTTCGAGACCAGCCTGTGCAACATGGCAAAACCCCATCTATACAAAAAATACAAAAATAAAAAATTAGCCAGGCATGGTGGCTCACGTCTGTAGTCCCAGCTACCTGGGAGGCTGAGGTGGGAGGATCTCTTGAGGTGGAGGTTGCAGTGAGCTGAGATGGTGCCACTGCACTCCAGCCTGGGTGATGGAATGAGACCTAGTCTCAAAAAAAAAATTAATTAGTAAGCTATGATATTAGAAGAGCTGGCATATAGCTTTTAAATGTATGATACCAGAAACAAAAAAAATTAACATTTCAGTAGTAAATTCATCATGCTACAAGTCATCATTTGGTAGGTAGCAATACTCTAGAACTCATTTTACTAAGATAAAGAGAACAGCTGACCAAAATTGTAGCTGCCAAAAATTGCAGATAAAGAACTCAGAAGCCTTAACAATGGTTTCTCTGATTTGGCAACTCTGGACTGTGTATCACATAGTCTTTAAAAAACAGATACTTTATAACTGTTCCAGAACTAGAAATTTATCCTAGGGAAACAAGTGGGCAAATGTACAAATCTTTACATGTAAGGATGTTCTACCTAGTGCTGTTTCCAGTTTCTGTCTCATATACAACTAAATGTCCTCAAATACACACTTTAAAACATAGTACATCCATACAATAAAATACTTTGTGGCCATTAGAATGGTTTCTAAATACCACTGGCATTTATAAGAAATCATGGCTCCTGTGTGACATGGCTGACCGTGACTCTAGGGCAGGGAAAGCTCAAAGTGTATCTGTAATAACTTTCAGTGGCAAAGAGGAAAGATGTGTTCAAAGACGAATGAGAATATGTCAAAAAGACTCAGGAGCTGGTTTGAGCAGATCTCACTGGGCAAATTTAAAACTGTGTGAGCCTCAAAGAGAGAAATGAGAGTAACAGATTATAATATAGTCGCTCTCTGTATCCATCGGTTCAGCAACCATGGATTCAATCAACCATGAACTGAAAATATTCGGAGGCAGGTGCGGTGGCTCATGCCTGTAATCTCAGCACTTGGAGAGGCCGAGGTAGGTGGGTAACCTGAAGTCAGGAGTTTCAGACCAGCTTGGCCACCATGGTAAAACCCCGTCTCTACTAAAAATACAAAAATGAGCCAGGTATGGTGGTACACGCCTGTAACCCCAGCTACTTGGGAGGCTGAGGTACAAGAATCGGTTGAACCTGGGAGGCAGAGGTTGCAGTGAGTCGAGATTGCGCCACTGCACCCCAGCCTGGGCAACAGAGTGAGATGCTGTCTCAAAAAAAAAAAAAAAAATTGAGGGGGGGCGGGGAATAGAAAATATAATACAAAACTCAGTACAGCTTAACAACCATTTATATATAGCACTTACATGGTATTAGGTACTGTAAGTAATCTAGAGATAATTTAACATATTTAAGAGGATGTACGTAGGTTAAAGGCAAATATTATGTCATTTTATATATGTGACTTGAGCATCCACAAATTTTGGTATCAATGGGGGCCCTGGAACCAATCTCCCATGGATAGCAGGGATGACTGTACATTGAATAAAAATGAGTAAGTTCATAGTAATAACAAAAAAAGAAGTGGAAGGAGGGAACTCTAGAGAAGAATGCCTAAGGATCAATGTGAAAGGATTTTGCAACTACCACTGTAGAAATTCATTCAGTTTTCAAAGGATCTACCACCACAGGGTGAAAGACAGTTGAGCAACAGGCCCACAGAGTACTTGTTCATTATAAAGGAAAAAGGTATCTTTATAATGGAGAGATCTGATAGGCACAGCTTTAACCAGTAAAGCCAGCATCAATAGGAATAAACAAACATTACTTATTACATGCTTCTGATGTGATGAAATGGAAGGCTGGTCAAGTAATTTTCTTGTCTAAAAAGTTACCTGAATCTAAACATAAATCATCAGATAAATCCAGATATGGGACATTCTACAAGACAACTGGCCTGAACACTTCAAAAATATCACTATCATGAGAGACAAGATAAAAATAAGGAACTGTTCTACATTAAAGCAAACTAACAAAGAATGGCAACCAAATACAATCCATGATCCTTGACTAGATTCTCAATTTCAAAAACAAAGCACAAGCACAAACATACATACACCAAATACATACAAAGCCCAGCCATTAAATACATTTTTGGACAACTGGACAAATTTATGTATTAGATAGTATAGTATCCATGTTCAATTCCTTTTCATAATGTTGCCATTGTGGCTACATAAAAGAATGTCCTTATTCTTGGGAAATACCTTCTGAAGAATTCAGGGCAAAGTACCATGTCATCTACAACTTGTAAAGCATATTGCTTATAAACTTATATTGCTGAGCCATTTGAAAATAGCCTTTAAGAGAAAGGAGAGATAAAGCAAATTTGAAAAATTATTAATAATTGGTGAACCTAGGTGAATGGCATAAAAAATAGTTCTTGGAACTATTTTTTTCCACTTTTCTGGAGAATTAAAATTTTCTGGGGCGGGCACGGTGGCTCATGCCTGTATTGTAATCCCAGCACTCTGGGAGGCCAAGGTGGGCGGATCACTTGAGGTTAGGAGTTCGAGACCAGCCTGCCAACATGGCGAAACCCTGTCTCTACTAAAAATACAAAAATTAGCCAGGCGTGGTGGCGCACGCTTGTAGTCCCGGCTACTTGGGAGGCTGAGGCAGGAGAATCGCTTAAACCCAAGAGGCAGAGGTTGCAGTGAGCCAAGCTGGTACCACTGCACTCCAGCCGAGGCGACAGAGTGAGACTCTTTTAATCTCAAAAAAAACAAAACAAAACAAAACAAAAAACAAAACAAAACAAAACAAAAAAAACCTGATATAAAAAGTTGGGAAAAAACATTAATCAGAGGTATATATCTATACTTAGTGACACGAAAGGCAATCACAGTAACAATAAAGCAGTTTACAGAATAGCACGTATAAGACAAATGCATTTTTATAAACCGTATTTACACATGTATATTCCATGGAAGAAAAGTAGACAGAGACGTGCACTAAAATGTTAATGACAATTAGTGTCTAGGAGTAGAAATCTAGTGGTTTAACTTTTTTTCTCTTTCTAAAAAAATAGTTTCTAATTTATAAATAATAATATATTACTCATGTAAATAAAAATTATCTTCATACTGTATAGACAACCAGAGAAAGAGAAAGGAAAGGAAGCACATATAAGAGAGAAACAATGAACAGGAAAAGCTACTCTGGTACTTCCTATTTTGTTGAAGCTAATGTGGACATTTAAAAAAAATGTGACTAATCAGATTTCATTGTAATATAATCCTAGTTACAATTATAGCTAGTCAACCAAATAGGGAGAGACAGTAAAGTCCTATCTATCTTAAATGACAGATCTAGGAATCATAAATTCAGTATTTTCTTGAGATCTTAACAAAAGATTTCTTTCCTAAATAAGGAATCTCCTGTACTATGCCTTTAATAGATTATAAAATGTCTTTCTACCATCATTCATACTGGTGAATGATGAGCAGGTCCTCATCATTCACCACTCCAGCCAGAGTTCTCAGATGTTAATGTCTCCTCATTCAATTCATTTCCACCTGGTTGTCCGGTTAACTTACAAATCTGCTCACACCGCTCCATTTCTTAATATAGCCTCTGCAGCTCCCTTTCTGCCCACAAGATAAAGACACACACCATAGCAGAGCACACATGGCTTTACATACTCTGGCACTTCTAGCCTCATCTACTGACATTTACCCCATGTATCCTGTATTCCAGCCACAATGAACTGCAGTTCTCAAACACTCCGTGCATTCCTAATTCATCATTGTATCCCTAGCACCCTAGAGTAAGAGATAAGAAATCTCTGAGAAATAAAAGAGTGTCATTCACAGCATATCTTCTGGGAGGAATACAAAAGCTGAGTCTCTACAAAAAAGGCAATGTGTGATCTTAATCACTGTGAAAATGCAAACTTCCTCAGCTAGAAATTGGCAACAGCAGTGGACACAAAAAGGTTTTAGCCATTGTACCTCTCTGGGAGAAATATATAATTATTTAAGGAAAATAAAGGTACTCTGTTCTTCCAAAAAAGGTGTGTTACATAACCACCATCTTATGGATGTTTAGAAAGGGCTACCCAACATTTCCATGATGAACTATTTCTGATAATAAATAGCTCTTCGAGAGCCAAAATAAACAGAAATAATTTGTCTGTGGTATTCCCTGAGTATTAACCTTGAGTTTTCAATTTCATTTGGAAAAGCAGGAAAGTAAACAATCCTGTAGAAAACTCGGTGTTACTTCCTTTAATTGCAATGCTAAGCCCAAGACTCATAATGAGCCTTAAAACCCCCAAGAACATATTATATTCTTCTAAGATCTTCTCCTCCCCACGCCCCCAAAAAAGCATACAATTTACAGAACAGTCACATTATGTACCTATATTTATGTCTATCAATTAATTTAATTCCTATTATTGGGAGTAAGGTAATTTCAAAGACAATCAAGATAGTTTCTACTAAGTCTCTTCCTAATTTGTTTACTCATTTAAACACAGTTTATCAGTCTTACCAGAATATGTAACTGCTGTGGTACTGTAAGTAGCACTCTGAGTATAGGATGGCACCACAGTAGCCGCAGCTGCTACTGGCTGTACGGTGGAGGATACAGGATAGATGGAGAAAGTAGTGGTAGCTGGACTTGGTGTGGCTGGTTTTATGGCTGTCACTTGTCGAGTTTGCTGGGCTTGAGTATACTGAGTTGCACCTTGGCTGTAACCTGCTTTGGGGGCTGAAGTAGGAAAGAGACATCAGAAAATTAGAAGAGTAAGCCACTATAGTTACTGTACCAGTATCCTTAAAAAGCTGGAAAGAATAGGTACAAACATCATTAACTATAAATTTTATGCCAGCAATTTCTCCTTAGCAAAAGGCATAAAACTCTTATTACCAATATGAATAGAATATACAAATAAATATACTATCTTCTGCCAAATGCTTTCTATGTATTTCCAAAATGATTATTTTGGCAAAACTTACAACTAACTGAAATAGCAGTGCTACCACTAAACAAACTTTTCTGAAAAGGAGTGTGTGTGTGTGTGTGTGTGTGTGTGTGTGCGCGCGCGCGCGCGCGCACTAGTCAGTCTACTTCAGTTAGGCTTAATATTGGAAACAGGACAGAATGAGTTACAATGTACATATTTCAATTCACAGTAAAAACTTCAATGTTTAATCATATGAAACTTGTTCATATACCATTCATTGCATTTTAACTGATTTTTCCATAGTGAACTACAATCTAACAAGGTACTACATAATTTTTCAAATGTCAATAACTTGAATGCAGCTATTCTTAAATGGCTGCCACTGATGTCTGTCAACTTCTTTGCTGCCTCTGACATACTCAAAACAATGTATATTTTGAAAGAGTCTTAGAAGCCTTATGACTAAATTAATAATCACTTGTAAATGATCACTAAAGCACATAAATGTTATTTCTGAAAAAGGCCCAAAATCACGGGGCCAAGCTCATTTTTTGTTCAGTTAAGTAAAAGTACATTAGAACTTTTATCTTTTTTTTTTTTGAGACAGGGTCCCACTCTGTTGCCCAGGCTGAAGTATGATGGTGTGATCATGGCTCACTGCAACCTCAAACTCCTGGACTCAAGTGATCCTCCCACCTCAGCCACTCAAGTAGAACTTATCTGCTTATGAAATTTGATCCATGTAACACAAAAAGATAATACTTTACAGAGATGAGACTAATATCCAAGAGCTAAACAACTTACACAAGTCACAGCAATACCAGAGTTAGACTAAATCAAGATCTTCTCTTAGATAATTTAGCACTCAAGCACAACCTAAGCTTGGTAATTAAACAGGAAGTTTACTATAAATTATTATACACGGAAATCAATAGAGAAGAGACCACAAGGCTGGGCATGGTGGCTCACGCCTGTAATCCCAGCACTTTGGGAGGCCGAAGCGGGCAGATCACCTGAGGTTAGGAGTTCAAGGCCAGCCCAACCAACATGGAGAAACCCTGTCTCTACTAAAAATACAGAATTAGCTGGGCATGGTGGCGCATGCCTGTAATCCCAGCTACTTGAGAGGCTGAGGCAGGAGAATCGCTTGAATCCAGGAGGTGGAGGTTGCGGTGAGCCAAGATTGCACCATTGCACTCCAGCCTGGGCGACAAGAGTGAAACTCCGTCTCAAAAAAAAAAAAAAGAGAAGAGACCACAGGAATAGTCAGATAGTCACTATAATTCAAAACATGTTAAAACCACTTTTAAGGGACTCATAAAATCTTACAACTAGAAGGGGCCCTACTGAAATTTGGGTCAACTACCTCATTTACAGGTAAGAGAACAGAGATAAGAGAGGTAAAAAATCACTTGCCCACATTAGCAATAAAGCCAGTACTGGAAGCCAATTCTACTCTCTTACAATCCAACGCTCTACCCACACCCTCACACCCTTCAAAAATAATTAAAGGAAGTGCCCATTTTTTTTCTTTTTTTTTTTATTATACTTTAAGTTCTAGGGTACATGTGCACAACATGCAGGTTTGTTACATATGTATACATGTGTCATGTTAGTGTGCTGCACCCATTAACTTGTCATTTACATTAGGTGTATCTCCTAGTGCTTTCCCTCCCCCCACCCCAAGAACTGCCCACTTTTCAAAAGCTTTGTTTTAAAAATTATCAAGTCTCTCTCTAAAAAAAAAAAAATCCATCTTTTAAAGTCTGTAAATATACAGGTTTCTTTGCAAACGAAATGCTTCCTAGATTTGAACCATTCTACATACTGTATTTAACATGATTGGTGGCTGATAACAGAACCAACTGTCATTAGCGATCAGAGAAAGATTAATTAAAAATATGGGCCCATTAAAGGGTCTCCACTGGTTACAAAGGCTGTTTGTTGGCAGTATCATATGTTCTGGGCATTTCTGGCAAAGATAAAAATGTGTTCAGAAGTTATCATCACAGGTTCTTTTGCACAGCTTATTTCAGCAGGAATGGACTGTGGGCTGAAAGTCCAGAAATGGAGTACATTTCCAGGAGAGAAAGGCATGATTATGAATTGTGACTCCAAGGCATTTAGTAGGACAGGTCTAGAACCTGCCTCCTAAGATGATGTGATATGAGTTTAGATGGACTCAAAAGCTTATCTTCATTAAACGCAGTAAGTCATATACTTCAATAGTTTACAAAGAAACTCTGTAGGTTAAGAAAACCCACCTGTCTGATAGTAAGTTTCAGCAACAGAAGGCTGAGGTTGGGCAGCGGCAGCTACAGCAGCAGCAGTTGCTGTTGGTTGTTGGTAGTATTGCTTACTATCATAAGCTACAGCAGGAGCTGTGGACCTTACATATGAGTATGAATCCTAAAGAAAAGGAATGAAAGAAAATCTTGCTATGAGACAAGTGGAAGGAAAAAAATACTTACTGTATAGAAGTGCAATAAAGGAAAACAAAACACTAAATACGTAGTTTCATGACAGACCTAAACATAAAAGAATCAAATTAAATACACAGAAGATTCATTTTGTACTTCATTAAAATAATATCAAGGCTGGGTGCGGTGGCTCACGCCTGTAATCCCAGCACTTTGGGAGGCCAAGCCGGGCGGATCATGAGGTAAGCAGATAAAGACCATCCTGGCTAACACGGTGAGACCCCGTCTCTACTAAAAATACAAAAAATTAGCCGGGCATGGTGGCAGGCACCTGTAGTCCCAGCTACTCGGGAGGCTGAGGCAGGAGAATGGCATGAACCCGGGAGGCGGAGGTTGCAGTGAGCCAAGATTGCGCCACTGCACTCCAGCCTGGGCGACAGAGAGAGATTCTGCCTCAAAAAAAAAAAAGAAAAAAAAAAAATCAAAAGCATTTCAAGCAGCATGTTGAACTTTTACAATCAGAACAATCACCAAAACATTTCTAAATAATACTTAAGTAAAAATTAATTTTATTAAAAAAGTCACAGAAGTTTTGCCTTAAAGATGGATCCTACAATATTACAAAAGAACACTTGTGTTACTAAACTTTGTAATTGCTCCTTTTCAGTATTTCTTTTTCAAGAAAGATCAAGGTGAGCTGAGTGAATTCTGGCAGTCCATGAAGTAAAGAGGGGTAGAAAGGTATGTAGGTGAAATGGCTGAAGTAGCAGGTAGGGCCCAGAAAACACTGGGTTTCACAGACACTATTAAAAACAACAAAATTTATTATATTCTGTCTCTGGGCATAAATAATCACACCTCAAAAGGAATTTCATTTAGTAACCTGCCTAAAATTAATAGCAAATACTAATATTGTTGATTTACATTTCAATTTTTTACTGCATAAATTTCTATGCTTTAGAAAGAATATAGCAAAACCAGGGAAAGTTCAGAAGGACCAAAGTTTAAAAAACAGATCCTAAAAGCAAATAAGCAAAAAAACAGATTAAAGAAATTAGGACCAAATTTAATTTAAATAAGCAAGTAGTAATCTAGCACTGTTTTCAAACATAATAAGGAGAATGTAGAATTCCTATAAGACTGAGTAAGAGGCAACTGGATGAATAAGGGCATGATCAATTTTTGTTATAATATGTATTAAAAAAGAACATCTTGACAGGATAAATGTAAAGGGGACAGAATTTCCACCTTTGCTAAGTTTCAAGAAGAAAATATGTAATATGTTTGTCCTGCTCTCAAAATATTCTCAAAATAGGAGACATACCTGTGTTCCAGATGAATAATGCTCTAGTACAAACAAGGGAAGTCTTTTCTATGTCTTCAGTTAAAACAATAACAAACAAACAAACTTGGGGTAAACAATGAAATATTTAACTAGCAATTAATGTGAAAGTTTTTAACAGACAGCTATAAATAATAGAGTCAAATGGACGGGGGGTGAGAGGAAGGATTATTAATACAAAGCTCATTGCAAGGAATTTTTTTTTTTCTTGAGACAGGGTCTCGCTCTGTCACCCAGGCTGGAATGCAATGGCATAATCCTGGCTCACTGCAGCCTCTGCCTCCTGGATTCAAGTGATTCTCGTGCCTCAGCCTCCTGAGTAGCTGGGACTACAGGTGCGCACCACTGCACCCAGCTAATTTTTGTATTTTTAGCAGAGACGGGGTTTCGCCATGTTGGACACGCTGGTCTTGAACTCCTGACCTCAGGTGATCCACCCACCTTGGCCTCTCAAAGTGCTGGGATTACAGGCATGAGCCACCGCGCCCAGCCGGCAAGGAACCTTAATGGTTGGTATGTCCCAAACTACCAAGGAATACTCATTTACTTTTCTCTATCAGTACATGTGTATTTTGGAAGCCCCAAGTTTGAGAAGCAATGGCTAGGGCATTACATTATACACTGAAGACAAAGAAACCCGCACATTCAGGCTACCAAAACTAGTAGTTTTCTTACCTGGTAGTTTTGTGTAGTAGCTGGGGGTGGTGGTGGTGGTGCTTCTTGTTGCCTCTGAGTATAACCATAGTCAGTTGCTGTGTGTGCAGTGGGGTAGCCTCCATAAGCAGCAGCTGTTGCAGCAGCTGCAACAGCTACTGGAGCAGGCCTGGCAACTGCAACTGTGGCGGCTGCTGGTGCATAGGCAGCAGTAACTGTGTGAGCAGCTACTGGAGCCTGATGGACAGTGTAGCTAGCAACTGTAGTTGGATGAGAATAGGCTACACCCGAAGCTGGCTGCTGGCTACATTGTGGAGTACAAGAATAAATATAATACAATTTTAATATCCAGGAGTTAACCAACTTCAATTAAAAGCTATTCAACTGAAATAAAAAGCACATTTTCAAGTAATTTAATGACGGACCACAAAAGGTCAAGTACTTGAACTCAATAAACTTCCTATTCAATATCATATTTATTACTGTTCTGTAATTTTCATTCTTTTTTTTTTAAATTTTCATTCTTTAATCTCAATACATTATATAGTCACACGTTTCAGATCATAGATTGTATCACATAACAGGAATTAAAAACTAGGATAAAAAACAGTATTAGGAAGAAAAGAAAAAACTGACCAAATTAGGAACTTTAGTGTTAGTTACATGTGAAGTTCTTTATTATGTTGTACAGTTTTACAAATCTCTACAAAGAAACCATAAGAAAAATATTCTATTCTAGCCCAATTACAGAAAGAAATTTAAGGTAGAAACTACTGACCAGCTGATTAAAAAATACTTCTGTTGCTTTAGGACAGTTGGTATTCAACTGGGGGAATTTTTCCCCCAGGGGACATATGGCCATATCTGCATATATTTTTGATGACCAAACTGCAGAGGAGGTGGTGATATGTGAGCTACTGGCATCCAGTGGATAGAGGCCAGGGATGCTGTTACAAATCCTACAATGCACAGGACAGCCGTGCATAACAAAGAATTATTTAAAGTATGTCAATAGTGCTGAGGGTTGAGAAGTTCTGTTCCAGGGTACAAAACCTACAATGGAATATCTATTATTTTAGATACATTTTCCAGCTTACAGGGAGCATTTCATTATACAAAGTTACTTTTAAATATATAATAGCATGTTTTGTAAAAGAAGACACAAATCAGATGCTTTGCAATTAAAAACATTTAAACCTCAAAGAGACAAAAACATTTTCCAAAACAGCAATCAAATGAATTTCTAGCTAAAGTTCTTACAGGAATATGTTTATTTTAACTTTTAAACTGAAAGCCTATATCACTAAAACCAAAGGCCTACAGATGTTAGCATATAAAAGTGTATTTCTTGTTCTAGGTTTTCTGAATAATACACTCAATTCCACAAGGTAAAGCCACATTACTAAGGCAGAAACACCTACTAAAAAAAGAAGAGCCCCAACAGTTATTTAGCTGATAGGTTTTAGCTGACCACATTTTAGTATGAGCCAACAACTAAGAATAGCTAAGAGAAAGAAAAAAAAAATGTTGAAGCTGCACTAATTAACTCAGTCTCTGATTAATGGTCTATAGTACAAGGTATTCTGTACTGGTGTGCATAGTAACATAGAAATATAGTATAGAATTAAATTAAAATTTGGGGCTATCATATTTTAACTGTATTAGGGAAAACACTGATAAACTAGGAAGTTCATATTAGATTGTAAGATTCCAAAGGGAATCAATGTGAAGGTCAGAGATATGGGTTTTAATTTCATATAAAAAGGGGAGGACACCTGGAGAAATTCAGTCTAGAAAAGGTGACAGATGCCTTCTAATAGAAGACACTTACTCCATGCTGCTCCAGAGAACAGAACTAGAACCAATAGTTGGAAGTTACAGGGTGGCAGATTTCAGTCCAATATGAAAAAGAAAACAAAAAACAAAAAACAAAAAAAACTTAGAACAGAGTCCAAAGAAACTCATAGAATTTCTATCTGGATGAGGTTTCCATATTTTGATATAAAACTAACATTTTCTACATATATGCCAATATGACAGGAAAAGTTTACATTAAAACAGTGAAAAACTTGTTTGGGAATAACATTTTCTAGGAACAACTCCATATCTGTAAGAAAATGCCAGTAACAGGTCATACTTTTCCAAAATTCCTGGAACTGAAAAAAAAGATACTATTTAAAATACAAATACAACAGGTCTGTGAAACTTGTATTTAACATTTACTAACAGGATAAGATTAAATACATCCAGACTAAACCACCTAAGAGTAATTTTGGTTATATAAAAGACTGTTTCTATTCATCCCACTGCTCCTTATCTAGTATTTGTCCCCAAAACATGTCCTATTAGACAAAAAGCAGGTGGGAATAGGATGGGAATGTTGAGTCAACCAGGAAGCCAATTTAACTTATACTGCCTCTGATCGTCACCCTAAATGTCCATGAGACTCAAGAAGGAATGACCATATGTTCTGGTTAATGCCTACTGCCGGTGTAATTATTACTTTTAGTACTTTTCACTCTCCTACATGTCTCAGTTTGAACAATAAATTATACAGTCACCAGTCCCAGGAAAAGATGAAATATGAAAAAGATGCCAGCAGATTTAGCAATTGCTATTTACACATCCCTGGCATTGTCTAACTCTGCTCTGTATAGCCAGGTCTCTAACCATCATCTGGACTGGAACCATATCTTCTACCAAAAGCATGAGGAAGGCTGGGCATGGTGGCTCACACCAGTAATCCCAGCACTTTGGGAGGCCAAGGCAGCAGGACTGCTTGAAGTCAGGAGTTTGAGACCAGCCTGGGCAACGTAGAAAGACCACATCTCTACAGAAAATTTTTTAAAAATTAGCCACACATGGTAGTGTGTGCCTGTAGTCCCAGCTAGTCAGGAGGCTGAGGTGGGAGGATCGCTTGAGCAGAGGAGGTTGAGGCTACGGTGAACCATGATTGTGCCACTGCACTCCAGCCTGGATGACAGAGTAAAACCTGTCTCAAAAAAAAAAAAAAAAAAAAAAAAGGAAGCCAAGAAACACTTCAAGCATCAGACATAAATGGAAGAGTACTTTCCCTGAGGAGAAACAGGAAAAGAAAGCACGTAAGCAATTATTACAGAGTACACACACTCTATATTCTTACTCAAGAAATGGCCAGCTCCTTACCTACTTATCAACAACAACAAAAAGTGAGCCAGGGACTCACTACAAAAAATAAGACTTTCAAGACTTCCAGGCAATCTTACTGCTTAAAAAAATAACAGTCAAGCTGGGCACGGAATACCTGTAATCCCAGCACTTTGGGAGGCCAAGAAGGCTGGATCTTGAGTTTGAGACCAGACTTGGCAACATAGTGAGACTCCATCACTACAAAAAACACAAAAATTAGCCGCGTGTCGTGGCATGCATCTGTAGTCTCAGGTATTTGGGTGGCTGAGACAGGAGGATCACTTGAGCCCAGGAGGCAGAGGTTGCAGTGAGCTGAGATCATACCACTGCAAGCCTGAGCAACAGAGTGAGACCCCTGTCTCAAAAAAAATTTTTTTTAAATTTAAAAAAATTTTTAAAAAATGAACAGACAACACAAATCACCACATGTCTGAAGAAAGCCTACTATAAACTGCAAAACAAGTAAGAATGACCATGTGGGAAATGAACATATGAAGGCCACAGATGAGAATTTTCAAAAACTCTAATTTGTATCTATAAAACAAGAACTTTATACTACCTAGAAGAGAAGATAAAGTTGAGAAATAGACAAGATAAATATATGAAAAATACAAAAGAAAGGATAAGTCTAGAAGGCCCAATGTCCTGCCTGAAGGAATGACAGAAAAGAAAAAAGATCAAAAAAATTAAGAAATAAAATTTCCCACTCCTGACGTGAACCACGTTTTCAAATTCAAAAAGCTCACAGAGAGCAAAACAGAGTGAAAAAAACAAACCTAGAGACATAGCATTTTACTTTTCAAGACAAAAAGATCCTGTCTCCAGAGAGGGAAAAACTGGGCACCTGCAACTAAATGAAAACTAGACTTCTTACTGGTAACACTAAAGCAAGAAGATAAGGTATTATCTTCAAAATTCAAGGGAAAATGATTACTAATGTAGAATTTTGTACCCAGCCAAACTATGGAGGCAGAATAAAGATTTTTTAACCACTCAAGGATGGAAGGAGTTTACCTACTACAACCTTTTCTTAGGAAGCTACATGAAGATATATTCCAGCTAAAACAAAAAGTAAACCAAGAAAACATGGGATCCTGCAAACAGATGAAAGCCTAGGTCAGCAGCTGTGGTGGCAGCAGGCCCAGAGAGAAGTGAGTATAGATTGGAATTAGGGGAAGGACAGAAGCCTCTCAGAGAAAGATATCCAGAAAAACAGAGGACTCGGCACAGAGCCAGTAGACAGGGAGCCTAGACAAATTTTAAGAAATGACAACATGATTAAGAAAAAAAGGTAGGCTGGGCGTGGTGGCTCACGCCTGTAATCCCAGCACTTTGGGAGGCCGAGGTGGGTGGATCACGAGGTCAGGAGATAGAGACCACGGTGAAAGCCCGTCTCTATTAAAAATACAAAACATTAGCTGGGCGCAGTGGCGGGCACCTGTAGTCCCGGCTACTCGGGAGGTTGAGTCAGGAGAATGGCGTGAGCCCAGAAGGCGGAGCTTGCAGTGAGCCGAGATCGCGCGCCACTGCAGTCTCACCTGGGTGAAAGAGCGAGACTCCGTCTCAAAAAAAAAAAAAAAAGAAAAAGAAAAAAGGTAATGAATGAATTCAGGAAATGTAAACTGCTCAAGAAAGGCATGATCCCAATAAAAGACTTTATAGGTGAGCAATCAGTATGGTATAAAAGAGGAAAAAATCCATTTGAACTTGAGCCTAGGAAGATTTTCTAATAAGCGGTACAGGATTGTAAAATGGAACACATTAGAAATCATAATCATAGAATGGTACTAGGCTCCACAATAAATACTATTGATAAGATAAAACAGTTTTTGCTTTAAAGTTTTAGAATCAATCTAAATTAGAGAAGATAAACTATGATTACAGAATATAATGTAAACGTTATCATAAATAAGAGTATACATTAAGTTTGGGGAGTGAAGTAGGGAAAGAGAAGGAGTGAAACACAAGAGTTTCAAGAATTTTTAAAAACTACAGAGTACTCATATACTGTCTAGCTTTGATGGAACTAGAAATGGAGTATACTCTCTAAATTAACAGAAATAGTCTGAATTTGGGAAGAGGAGAAATGAGAAGAGAGCATATGCAATACAGTCCTAAACTGTGATTGTAGGAAATAAAAATATATGCATAAAGTTGATAAGTTACAAAATAGCAAAAGAGGAATACTATTCAGTGATGTGGAGCTTAGCACCAAAAGAAATAAAACCAGAATGCTTTAAAGGTCTCTGGGGAGTTTTTAATTTGTATACAACAGTGGTTCTCAATGTGATCCAGGGACTCCCCTAAGGGTTCCTGAGACCCTTTCAGGAGGTCCACACAAGGTTGTTCTCTTTTTAATTACACACTGGTGTGAGGCCAGGCTGCCTTCATATATTTTAATCCAAATAATTTACTGCAACAGTCTGAATGCAAAAGCAAATTTTAGAATATTCTTAATTTAAGACATTAAAAAGATTTGTAAAAATGTAAAACAATGCCTCTCATCTCACTGTTTTTGAAACTAATTTTTCATAAGCATATTTTTGGTTAATGTGTAATACTTTTACTCTTTCTTTTTGAGTCGGAGTCTCACTCTGTTGCCCAGGCTGGAGTGCAGTGGCACAATCTCGGCTCACTGCAACCTCCGCCTCCTAGGTCAAGCAGTTTTCCCTGCCTCAGCCACCCGAGTAGCTGGGATTACAGGCAGCTGCCACCTTCTGGCTAATTTTTGTATTTTTAGTAGAGACACGGTTTCACCATGTTGGCCAGGCTGGTCTCAAACTCCTGACCTCAGGTGATCCACCCGCCTTGGCCTCCCAAAGTGCTGGGATTACAGGCATGAGCCACCGTGCCCAGCCTAATTCTAATATAGTAAATACCAATATAACCCAAATAAACAAAAACTCTGGGGTTCTGAATAATTAGAAGTGCTACAGGAATCCTGAAACCCAAAAGTTTGAGAATCTTCATTTCATGATGCAGACCATTAACTTGAGTCTGTAATGGTTATTCACCATTTATTTCCTTGGTCTCTATTTATTATCCCTTTATGCAAAAAGTTTCTGTCACGCAACAGGAAAATGAAATTGCTTAATTCATTAATAAAAACTACTAATTACAGTAAAATAAGGTTTATAATTAATAGAAACCTAGCAGAAAATTGTTTAATCTAAACCCAAGATATGAAATCACTAGTAAGTGGCAGAGTAAAAGCCAGAACCTAAGCAGTGTGGCCCCAGTGTGTATGTGCTCTTAACCATCACATCTACTCTCTACAACATTTGTGTTTTCTTTAACAGTTTAAAATACGGTGACAAGTTCAACATATAAATCAATGTAATACACATTAATAAAATGGAAGACAAAACCCAAGCGATCATCTCAATAGCATTTGACAAGAGTCAACATCCTTTTATGATTAAAAAAAGAAAAAAAAAAACCTCAACCAACTAGGAATTGAAGGAAATAACCTCAATATAATAAAAACTATGAAAAGCCCATAGCTAACCTCACACTCGATGACACACTGAAAGCTTTTCCTCTAAGATCAGGAAGAAGACAAAGCTGCATGCTTTTACTGCTTCTATTCAACACAGTACTTAAGTTCCAGCCAAAGCAATATGGCAGGAAAAATAAAAGGCATCCAAATTAGGCCAGGTGCTGGTGGCTCACACCTGTAATCACAGCACTTTGGGAGGCCAAGGCAGGTGGATCACTTCAGCCCAGGAGTTCGAGACCAGCCTGGCCAACACAGTGAAACCCTGTCTCTAATAAAACTACAATAAATTAGCCATACATGCTGGCATGTGCCTGTAGCCCCAGCTACTTGGGAGGCTGAAGCACGGGAATTGCTTGAAAACCCAGGGGGCGGAGGTTGCAGTGAGCTGAGATTGTGCCACGGCACTCCAGCCTGGATGACAAAGAAACACTCTTTCTGAAAAAAAAAAAAAAGCATCCTAATTGAAAAAGATCAAGCCATCTGTTCACAGATGACATCATTTTATACATGGAAAACACTAAACACTCCACAAAAAACTGTTAGAACTAATAAAGGAAATAAGCAAAGTTACAGGATACAAAAATCAGTTGCATTCCTATATGTTAACAATAAACAGGCAATTAAGAAAACAATTCCACTTACAATAGCGTCAAAAAGAATAAAAAACTCGGGCCAGGCACTGTGGCTGGCTCAAGCCTGTAATCCTAGCACTTTCAGAGGCTAAGCTGGGAGGACAATATAGTGAGACCTCATCTGTACGAAAAATACAAAAAACAATTAGTGGCGCATGATGACACGTGCATGTAGTCCCAGCTACTTGGGTGGCTGGGATCACCTGAGCCCAGGAGGTCAGGGCTGCAGGTGGCCGTGATCGTGCCAGTCTGGGCAACACAGCAAGACTCTGTCTCAAAAAAAAAAAAAAAAAAAAAAGGAAAAGAAAAGAAAACAACCTTACGAATAAACCTAGCCAAGAAGGTGAAAAACGTGTGTATTAAAAACTACAAAACACTGCTGAAAGATTTAAAGACACAAATAAATGGAAAGACATCCCATGTTCACGGATTAGAAGGCAAACTATTGTTAAGATGTTAATACTACCCAAAGTGATCTAAAAATTCAGTGAAATTCCTATAAAAATCCCAGTGATTTTTTTTTGCCAGAAAAGAAATCTATCCTAAAATTCCTGTGGAATCTCAAGAGATCCCTAATAGCAAAACAACCTTAAAATATTAGAACAAAGTTGGAAGTCTCACACTTGCTAATTTCAAACTATGATAATCAAAACAGTATAGTGCTGGCATACAGACATATAGACCAATGAAATAGAATAGAGGACCCAGATATATAGCCTTGCATATACAGTCAAATAATTTTTGACAAGGATGCCAAGACCATTCAGTGCGTTGTCTTCTCAACAAATGGTGTTAGGAAAACTGGATATCCACACGAAAAGGAAAAAAGCTGGAGCTTCACCTTACAAAATATACAAAAATTAACTCAAAATGGATGAAAGATCTAAATGTAACAGCTAAAACTATACAACTCTTAGTAGAAAACACAAAGGAAAAAAGCTTCATGACATGAAATTTGGCAATGATTTATTGGATGTGACATCAAAAGCACAGGCAAAAAATTAGACAAATGAGACTACACCAAAATTAAAAACCTCTGTGTGGCTGAGTGCAGCGACTCTGTGTGGCACTGTGGGAGGCCGAGGTGGGCAGATCACCTGAAGTCAGGAGTTCGAGACCAGTCTGGCCAACATGGTGAAACCCTGTCTCTACTAAAAATACAAAAATTAGCCAGGCGTGGTGGCACATGCCTGTAGTCCCAGCTACTCAGGGGGCTGAGGCAGGAGAATCGCTTGAACCAAGGAGGCGGAGGTTGCAGTGAGCCGAGATCATGCCACTGCACTCCAGCCTGGACAACAGAGAGAGTCTGTCTCAAAAAAAAAGAAATTAGTCTAGCCTGTAGGTACATGCCTATAGTCCCAGCTACTCAAGAGGCTGAGACAGGAGGATCACTTGAGCCTAGGAGGAGTTCGAGACTTCAGTGAGCTGTGACTGCACCACTACACTTCAACCTGAGTGAAGAGGAAGACTCTGTCTAAAAACAAACAATTATAGTACGTTTAGCAGTTGGTTGACTTACATCATCCTACAAATACCTTTTATGAGGCAGTAACAAGAGAAGTCACAGAGCAGCACCAGTCTGCCTACCACACTTTGAGTAGTATAAAAGCAGAGCGTCCCACCAGATGTTGGTGTTAGTTCTCAGGGAGAATGCACAGTGCATGAGTGGCCTGAGGGAGGCCCCGATTCTGTTGCCTGCAGCTGCAATATCCCTTATTCAAGGCTCCAATCTCTCAGCTTACACAGCAAGCTACTGCACAAATATCACTTTCCGTGTTAGCAGAGACATGGAAGAATTGGAAAGCAACAGCTCACAACTTTGGGGCTACCAAACGAACCACCACAGTAGGTGAATTAGAAAAAAGTCTTCTTACATCTTTTTTTTTTTTTTTTTTTTTTTTTTTTGAGACGGAGTCTTGCTCTGTCGCCCAGGCTGGAGTGCAGTGGCGTGATCTCGGCTAGCTGCAAGCTCCACCTCCCGGGTTCACGCCATTCTCCTGCCTCAGCCTCCCGAGTAGCTGGGACTACAGGAGCCCGCCACCACGCCCGGCTAATTTTTTTGTGTTTTTAGTAGAGACGGGGTTTCACCGTGTTAGCCAGGATGGTCTCGATCTCCTGACCTCGTGATCTGCCCGGCTTGGCCTCCCAAAGCGCTGGGATTACAGGCTTGAGCCACTGCGTCTGGCCTCTTCTTCCATCTTTTAAGGGAGAACTGTAAGGAAACTTTTTCCTATATCAGTCTTGCTCTGGGTAAAGAAGAGAAAAGACTTTCCTGACAGTTCTTAGGCACAAGACATGGTGAAACCCTGTCTCCACTAAAAAATACAAAAATTAGCCAGGTGTGGGTAAAGAAGAGAAAATACTTTCCTGACAGTTCTTAGGCACAAGACAGTCTTCCCCTAGGTTTGGACTCTAGAATTCACATTATCTGACCAGGCAAATTCCCAACCAAGAAGTTAGTTTAATTCAGACTGACTATCTATTATCTGAAATGCATGGGACCAGAAGTTTCCGATTTTGGAATATTTGCATTACACTTACCTGTTGAGCAAGCCTAACCCGAAAATACTTAACCTCTGTAACTCAAGGCTGACAGTGCTTCCAGGTCACACAAAACACATATTCTTCTGTAAATGCTGCAAATAACATTCCAACAAACAGGAAACCTCAATCAAAAAAATCTTAAGAGGCCAGGCGCAGTAGCTCATGCTTGTAATCCTGGCATTTTGGGAGGTCAAAGGGGGAGAATCACTTGAGGCTAGGAGTTTGACACTAGGCTGGGTAATAAAGGGAGGCCCTGCCTTTAAAAAAAAATTTTTTTTTGTTTTAATTAGCCAGGTATGGTGGGGTCCTGAAGGCTGAGGCAGGAGGACTGCTTGAACCCAGGAGGTTGAGGCTGCTGTGAGCTACAACTGCACCACCGCAATCCTGGGTGATGTTGCCTGGGATGTAGCCTGGGTGACAGAGTGAGACCCTATTTCAAAAAAAAAAAAAAAAAAAAAATCACGATAAAACCCAAGGGAAATACACTAATATAAGCAAAAGTGTACAGAATTAAAAGAAAAAAATTTTTTTGAGACCACAGGCATTAGAATTATTGGATACAAAATGTTTAAGCACACTTGAAGTAAAAGAGATTGTCAAAACTAAGACTAAGGAACAAGATGGGTCAAAAACAACCAAATGAACTTTTAAAACTAAATCATCTGACAAATTTATAGTCAGGAACTCAGAAAGGTTATTGCATAACTAATTAAACATGGCTGGCAATAAACTGGTGAATGAGAAAATTATCTGTAAAAATTACCCAGAATGCACAGAGAGAGAGGAAGAGATGAAAAACATTAAAGAGATTAAAATACTTGGAAGATAAAATAAAAAGTGGTTAACTTACATCTAATTGGAATTACAAATGGAGAGAAAGACTAGGAAAGAATATAGAAAAAAAATGTCAAGAGATTCCCTAAAATTAATGAAAGATAACAATGTTCAGATTCAGGAGTCCCAAGAAACCCTAGTAAAGAAGAATTCACAGTAAGATATATCTAAGTGAAACTGTAAACATGAAAGATAAAGAAAAACTCTTATGAGCAGCCAGAGGGAAAAAACTGCCTACAGAGATTAAGTGATGACTACTCAAGGAGGTAGAATCAAAGATATTTTAAGATGAAGAAAAAAAACCCAAAAAACTCTCAGGCTGATTGTGGTGCCTCACACCTGTAATCCCAGCACTTTGGGAGGCTATTGCAGGCAGATCTCTTGAGTCCAGGAGTTTGAGACCAGCCTGGGCATCACAGTGAAACTCTGTCTCTACTAAAAAATACAAAAATTAGCCAGGCATGGTGGCGTGCCTGTAATCCTAGCTACTCAGGGGGCTGAGGTGGGAGGACTGCTTGAGCCCGGGAGGTTGAAGGTGCAGTGAGCTGAAATTGCACCACTGCACTCCAGCCTGGGCAACACAGTGAGACCCTGTCTCAAAAAACGAAAGCAAGAGGAAAACCTGTTTTTTTAGACCCACGCTAATGGAAATTCTCAAAGATTTACTTTAGAAAGAATAAAAATGATCTCAGAATGAATGAATGTTGAGCAAAAAGAGTGGTAAATATGAAGGTAAACTTAAATAATCATTGACCATATAAAACAAGTAATTGTGTCCAACAGTAATTGGTCACGGGGTTAAAAAAATCTGAGCTATCATATAACAAGAACACAAAATCAGGAGGACTGATCAAGTTTAAAATATTTTAAGTCTATTGGTTAGGGGAATAAAACTAATGACTAACTTTAGACTAAGTGAAATATTCATGTTAAATTTCTAGAGGAACCACTACCAGGTGGAAACAGAATATTGTATTTCTGCAGTTATAAAGAATGAAGTGGGAAAAATCTAAAGAAAACATAGACAGCTTCTGTTATTCACATTAAATGTGCTTTTCGTACCTTAGAAAACATACTGTGTGTGTGCATGTTTCAATTTTGGGTAAAACAGCAAAGTAATTGATAGATACAACATTTCTTTCTCTTTCATGGCACATGAAACACAATCTGACCTTCCCTTTAGTCCAAGTTTAATGCTCAACAGTGTTGGACTTTTCTAGGACAAATTGTGGCATTTTATGTATCTACGAAACTACTGACATTTAAATGTCTTTAAATTAGATATAACATTGAAAAAAAAAAAAAAAAGACAAACTTCCTCACAGAATCACCCCAAAGACAAAGCAACTTTATTCTTTTTGTTTTGTTTTTGTTTTTTAACCCAACAGGGTTTACTGTTTCCCAGTAAGTGCAGTGGCAAGATCATGGCTCACTGCAGACTAGACTCAGATGATCTTCCCACCTCAGCCTCCCGAGTAGCAGCTGAGACTACGCATGTGTGCCAGCATGCCCAGCTATTTTTTTTTTTTTTTGGACACAGGGTCTCACTTTGTCACCCAGGCTGGAGTGCAGTGGTATAAGCGTGGCTCACTGCAGCCTCAACCTCCCAGGTTCAAGCGATCCACCCACCTCAGCCTCCTGAGTAGCTGGGACCACAGAAACCTGCCACCAAACCCGGGTAATTGTTCGCAGAGATGCTGGTCTCGCTATGTTGAGCTGGGGATGTTGAGGGTACAGTGAACTTTGATTGCGCCACTGCAAGTTTGTGCATCAAAGTTGAACAGTTAGTTGTATTTAGAGAACACAGTCCATATACCTTTCAGGGCAATACGGAATAAAAAATTGGGTTTACTATAATGTAGGTAATAGCTCACTAAATGTGAGGTGATGGCCCATTGTGGTTTTGATTTGCATTTCTATGGTAGTCAGTGATGTTGAGCGTCTTTTCATACGCTTTTTGGCCATTTGTATGTCATTTTTGGTAAAGTTTCTATTTAAGTCTTCTGCCAATTTTTAAATTGGATTATTTGACTTTTGTTGAGTTTTAAGAGTTCTTTATATATAGCTGGTCTCAAACTCCTGAGGTCAAGTAATCCTCTCCCCTCAGCCTCCCAAAGTGTTGGGATTACAGGTGTGAGCCACAGCACCTGGCTATTCCTTATTCTTGATGTTGTAATGTCATGCTCCCATTATCTTTGCAATGTTATTATAATAATAATTTTATTACCATAGATTTTAGAAGAAATTTAAATTTAGGTTCCATTTCTTCTTTTTATTTTTTTCACTCTGTCACCCAGGAAGGAGTGCAGTGGTGCAATCACAGCTCACTGCACCCTCAACATCCCCAGCTCACGTGATCCTCCTACCTCAGTCTTCTAAGTAGCTGGGACCACAGGTGTACTCCACCATGCCTGGCTAATTGTTTTTTTTTTTTTTAAACAGAGATGAGGTCTTGCTATGCTACCCAGGCTGGTCTCAAACTCAGCTTCAAGTGATCCTCCCGCTTCAGCCTCCCAAAGTGCAGGGATTATAGACATGAACCACTGTGCCCTGCCGCTTGATTTCTTCTTAAACACTAGAATAAGACAGCTTATCCTACAATTCCTACCAACTCACTAGAATGGTGTAGACCACAGGGGAGCGAGGTGGTTAAATGTCGTATGAAAATTGTTAATTTTCTTGTAATCTTTAACTCACCAGGAAAGACAGCTATCACCATTTCCCATCTGCGTCCACTGGATCTTTTAAATTATTTTAATTTTAGTCATTTAACAAATAATTTCCATTAAAATAAGGGATAATGAAAAAGAATGATTAGAAACTTCTATAAATAAGAATTACAGTAATTAAAAAATTATAGTAAACCCGAATTTTTATTCCATATTGCCCTGACTTCAAAGGTATATGGACCATGTTCTCTAAACACAGCTAACTGCTCAATTTTGATGCACAAACTTGGAACATGCCCACCTCACAAATGCTGACTCCAGATTTGAAATATATCTCTAACAAGTTCTATCTGGTTCATCATTACTTCTGGTTCTTCTTCCTGCACTTGCAGGGTCAAAATACAATCCATAAAAATTTTTTCTGAAATGTCTGATGGCTCCTATTTTGTTAAAGAGATGGCCATCTTCTTTACTCCCTACCTGCAAAACATTTTCAATTTTAGATTTGGAATGTTTAATCTAATAACTCATTTCTACACCAACTACTTTTTTCCAATCACTTTTATATAAAGCATCTGTTTTCAGCATTTGTCCACTAATGAACCATATCAAGTATATTTTAGTGCACAAACTTCACAAAAGATGAAAGAATTCACCAGGCACGGTGGCTCAGGCCTGTAATCCCTGCACTTTGGGAGGCCAAGGCAGGCGGATCGCTTGAATCCAGGAGCTTGAGACCAACCTGGGCAACATGGCAAAAACCCCATCTCTACAAAAATAAGCTGGGCACGGTGGCACATGCCTGTAGTCCCACTTAGGAGGCTGAGGAGGGAGGATCACCTGTGCCTGGGAGGCAGAGGTTTGCAGTGAGCCAAGATTGTGCCACTGCACTCCAGCGTGGGCTAGAGTTCGAAACCCTTGCCTCAAAACAACAACAAAAAGGTGAAAGAATTCTGCCAAGTATCTGCTTAGCAAAATAGGATATTCTGGTTCTCCTCACAGAATATTATAAAACGAAGTCCCTTCTAGTGAATGACTAACTGAATGAGAATGGCATATTTCCTTTTTAATCCTTAGAAATGTATTATGTATTGATTCTTCAGTTTGAAAAATTCATGTAGGACATTATCAGCTGAAGACTTGTAGCCTGAGATTTTCTGCTTATACAATTTCAACATTATCATTGGTCTAGAGCGGTGCTTTTTGCATTCATCTTATGATCTATCTGATAATTGGGAAACATTTTCCTGTGTCAACTTTCTTCTCCTTTGCTGGTATGGGCAGAGAATGAACAATTTTGCATTCTCAACTGTGTTGAAGGAAAACTAAAAGCCAACTATGAAGTTAGTGTCTCTACTTTCTTTTCTAGCTTTTTGAAAGAAGATATGATACTTGGGCAATGCAATATCATCTAGTTATTTCACTACTGTACCACCCTTGTAGGTGATTCCAACATTCTTCCATTTTCCAATTATATTAGTCTTTAACATAGTTGGGAATACGTGATAGAGGAAATAATTCACAGAATGATAAAACAGCAAAATGTTTAAGATCCCATGATGTAAATCTTGCTAGATAGGATGAATTTTATTCCATTTTGAAAAATAAGGGAAATGTTTTCTTTGCTCTTTGGAAGGCCTCTAAGAAATAAAAGTCATGGAATGTCAATCCTTGTAACTAGAACTACTCAAAAAAGAAACTCACTATTGATTGGGTACAATAAACCCTGAAGGATACCATAAATTAATTAAAATGAAGTACTCTGTAACTTTTTCTTTCTTTCTTTTTTAAAGACAGGGTTTCACTCTGTCACCCAGGCTGGAGTGCAGTGGCTCAATCAAGGCTCACTGCAGCCTTGACCTCCCCAGGCTCCGGTGATCCTCCCACCTCAGCCTCTCGAGGAGCAGGGACCACAGGTGTATACCATGATGGGGGGTTAATTTTTGTAGAGGCAAGTGGATTGCTTCAGGTCAGGCTGGTGACCTCAATTCCTGGGCTCAAGGAATCCACCCACATCAGCCTCCCAAAATGCTGGGATTACAGGCATGAACCACAACACCCGACCTCTGTAACTTTTTATACTCACGAAAAATAAATCCTTCATCATTTCTCAAATGTATTAACACTTCTTCAAGGAAAGGTATGAATATTCACACTGAGTGAGATGGGAAAAAAGCTAACCTTCTGTCAATTCAGTTTTTACTGTCAAGCTTTTACAAGCTTACTACGAATATTTTCGGAAGTGTGTGAATTTCGTAAATGTGGGTGAAACATTACAGACTTCTAAATATAAAACTAGGATAACCAGATATTCTGATAGTAACTTAAACAGAAGAGTGTTATGATTAAATTTACATTTCATAGAGACCATTATGCTTATAGTATAAAACGGTTTGGGAATGGGCAGGATTGGGGAAGTAAGAGAAGCTATAAAGCCACTTTCATAAATCACAGCACTCTTTGCTCTCATCTACATGGTTATTGTTTAAACAGTTTTATTGTTTTTCCCATCAAAAAGGGTCATATTTCTTCAAGCCTATTTTCAAAGACATGCCTTGCCCATTTAATGCTGACTACCATACTAGTAGTGTATTTTATACTATAGCTTTTCCCAGAAATATGAATTCAAAAAATTTATTTTCATTTGATTGATTTCAACCACAGTGCTTCCCAATACTTTAAGCCCATGTGACCTCTGGAGCTCTTAAGTATCTATGTGAACACTAGACTACAAACTTATTTTAAGCAAAATTTTATGCTATTTTTTTCTGTAGCTCCAAGTGATCAGATTCTAGTTTCCTTATAAAGGCTACTCATTAAAATTACACCAGTAACTTGATAACTGTACTAAATCCCTAATCCAGCAACTCTAAAGCTGACGACCTTGCTATCATCTTTTGGTTTTCATGACCCTAAATTCTCCTGGCTCTCTGTTCACACAGTATTTCTTTCTTTCCCTGGTCCTACCTTAAAGTTGGTAACCACAGTTGTATTCTTTTTTTTTTTTTTTTTTTTTTTTTTGAGATGGAGTCTCGCTCTGTCGCCCAGGCTGGAGTGCAGTGGCGCGATCTCGGCTCACTGCAAGCTCCGCCTCCTGGGTTCACACCATTCTCCTGCCTCGGCCTCCCGAGTAGCTGGGACTACAGGCGCCCACCACCACGCCCGGCTGATTTTTTTTTTTATTTTTAGTAGACACGTGGTTTCACCGTGTTAGCCAGGATGGTCTCGATCTCCTGACCTTGTGATCTGCCCGCCTCAGCCTCCCAAAGTGCTGGTAATACAGGCGTGAGCCACCGTGCCTGGCCCCATAGTTGTATTCTTTATTTTTCTATAAATAATTTAAAACATGTCTACTGAATGCTTGATATATGCCAGGCACTGTACTTTCTCTAGTTTCATCCATATTCACCAGCCACCTACTGAATAATGGCTAACATTGATAGAGATATAATATATGCCAGATACTGTTCTGAACACTTCACAAATAATGTTTTCTTTTCTTCATTTTATTAATAATACAGAGTCTCACTTTGCTGTTCACGCTAGTCTCAAAATCCTGGGATTAAAATCCTCCAGCCTAGGCCTACCAAAGTGCTAGGGTTACAGGTGTGAGTCACTGCCAGGTCCACCTTACAAATAATAGTGAATCCTCGAAACAACACAATGGAGAATGTAAAAACCTCCTGGGATACTGATAATGTTCTGTTTTTGTTTTTAATTTAAGTGCAAGTTACACAGGTACACTCGGTTTATGACATTTCATTTTCTCTTACATGTGCAGTTTTCCTATGAGGCAAAGAAAATATTATCTTCAATTTATAGATAAAAAAACTAACAACAGACTGTTTGCCCAAGGTCACATGGCAGGTAATAGGAGGAGCCAGATTCAGCTTAGGTAGTCTGACTTCAGAGCCAACCCAGTCTCTATTATATCATGCAATCCAGATATTTGTCTTGGCTCAATACTTTTCCTTTGTCTAAAATGACCTTCCCTTGATTTTCAGAATGAAAGAACACGAAGTCTACCTCAAACTCCATAGTCAAAATCCTCCAATTTCCCATTTTAGTATTTCATTAAAACTTAATTATAATGGCATAGTTATTTGTAGACTCATCTGTCTCCACCCTCATGCCCCAGAAGTGTAAACTCCCTGAAAGCAGGGACTATGCATATTGTAGATGCTCATAAAATATTAAATAAGTGAATTATTCCCTACAAATGCACTTTAATATAAAGTGTATACAAGACTAATATTCAAATAAAACAAAAAAAAACCCAAAGTTTATTTCATTCATTTTATCTCTGTATGAATAAAAGCTGTACTGTACATGGCTTTCATGAAATACTAAGAAATGATATACTCAGAACAATCACTCTAATCCTGTATTCTGACAGAGTGGTGTCATGGACAATTAATAGTCAAGCAACCTTTAATAAGTAGACTAAAGATCCATCCAAATAATACTAACATACTTCATCAATTACAACATTTATAAGCCTGAATGGTCTTCTGATTAACCTGATGATCTATGTCTCTGAGTAAAAATGTAGCTGATTTTTTTTTTAACAAATACATCTATTTAAACAGACATATATTAGATATATACTCTAATCCAACTGCTTATATAAGCATGTCTATCTCTGGGATCTCTATTTTAACTCAATAATCTGTCTATCCCTGTACCAATACCACATTTTTCTATTAATAATATTTTGGTATCTGATATTACAAGTCCTTCCTTATCATTTCTGCAAGACTTTCATGATATTTTTAGCTGAACACTCTCCTCACTATATACATTAAAATCCCTTTATCAAGTTATACCAAAAATCCTATGAGATTTTTATTGGAGTAATGCTAAATATATATAGGAGATAATAATTTGATGGCATTGGTTTTTCACTCATGAACACAGTCCATCTTTGTCATCTTTTATGACTTTTTTATCCTATTGTATTTTCTCTTCAAAGTGTTTTGAATACTTCATTTGTTTTATTCCTGCTTACTTAATAGATTTGGTGGCTATACATAAACAGGACTTATTTGAAATTTAATAATCTAATTCAATATTGATGAAACAAGAATGCTACTGATTTTATCTGAAAATTTTTTTTTTTTTTTTTTTTTTTTTTTGAGACGGAGTTTCACTCTTGTCGCCCAGGCTGGAGTGCAATGGCGCGATCTTGGCTCACCGCAACCTCCACCTCCTGGATTCAAGCTATTCTCCTGCCTCAGCCTCCCGAGTAGCTGGGATTACAGGCATGCACCACCACGCCTGGCTAATTTTGTAGTTTTAGTAGAGACGGGGTTTCTCCATGTTGGTCAGGCTGGTCTCGAATTCCCAACCTCAAGTGATCTGCCCACCTCGGCCTCCCAAAGTGCAGGGATTACAGGCATGAGCCACCGCTCCCGGCCTTTGCCTGATCATAGATCCAGAAAACTTGCTGTACTCTTATTACTTCTCATATTCTTGCCTGACAAGCATAACAATCATGTTACCTGTAAATAGAAACTTTCCTTCTTTCTCTATTAGTAATGAGGACTCCAAATGTTTTAAAACATTTTACTGTGAGATTATGAAACTCTCTATATAAATATATGATAGATATTAACCAAGGAATCCTTCTAAAACCCTTATAATATTATTACTTAAATCTCTACAGGAAACAGCATTGATAGGAATGCCTATTGATAATCAGGCACTAGGCTAGAAAATTTTATATTTAAACTTCACCTCAAGGCAAGTCAGGTGAGGAAACCAAGTCTTAGAGAAGCTGATACTTGGCCAGGGTGCCTGAAGGGATGGAGCTGGGATTCAAACTCTATATAGTTCCAAAGTTATGTCCTTTTGTTCATAGTGTACTATAAGGCAGTTTACAAAAGCATACTCAAGCAGATACCTATTCTATACAGGGATATTCTGGCTCACCCTACTCTATTAAGACTAATAGCCATTTTATCATCAGTGTAATAGCAACAATCCTTTTGGAATGAAAATTATCTTATTTCAAGCTTATCCATGCAGTGTACATCCTAAGGTCTCTGATTCAACAATGGAAGGATTGATGTTATTAGTCGTTGCAATATTTCTTTTTCTTGTAAAGCCAGTAAATTTCCATCACCAAGGTTGGTTTCAAAAACCTGTTCACCTGGTTTTTTTACTTTCTCAGTGTTTAATCCTTTTCTACCTTACTAGTGTTACTTTTATTCTTTCCTGAATTCAAGACACAATATTCTTAACACTACTTTCAAATAAAAAGTAAAAAAGAGAAAGGAAAAAAGGAAAACTCATTAGCTTATCAGCCTATCCAAGCTACTGTTACCCTACCCGAGTTATCTCATCCTTTAGGAACGGAAGTCCCTAAGACATCTCAAAATCATTAGATGAGATGCCTTCTTTTGACTGGCAGATGCTTAAGGTACAGCAATAGTCAAAATCCACTTACTGCTATGTCCAAGGTTTTTCTAAAGTATAAATAAAGAAAAAGTGGCTGTTTACAACTCTCAATGAGGCTGGGCGTAGTGGCTCACACCTGTAATCCCAGCACCTTGGAAGCCCATTGCAGGAGGATCACTTGAGCTCAGGGGTTCAAGGCTGCAGTGAGCTATGATCACCACTACACTGCAGCCTGGGTGAGAGAGCGAGACCATGTCTTTAAAAAAAAAAAAAAAAAAAAAAAAGCCTCAAAGAAATGGTTATGTCTCATTAATTGTGGGATATAATGGGATTATTTTATAACGTTTATTACATATGCTTTTATAAATGTATATGCCACGAATTCTCCTCAAAAACTGAAGAATTCCTATCAGAACTTCTCTATCTTTGACAATGAAGAAGTTAAAAAAAATGATTTTTGATCCTATGAAACTATTAGGAAGTTTTTTCTACTGAGAATTACCTTTCCTCATATTCTTTGCTATCCTAAAGTCCTTAGAACTGTCATAATAGTTCTCTCCGCAAGATTTATTTAAAAATAAAACTAGATTTATGTAAGTGCATTTCCTCAAACAAAAAAGGTACTCTACTCTTAACAGGTTATCTACCTAACCAAGTTCCCTTTTGGCCATGAAGCCATCCTTACATTTTCACCATGTCTGAAATCTGCTTTATCCTGTGCACCCTCAAATTAACATGCTATCAGAAACGTACACATGTAAACACATACAAACGAATACTTAACTGACATTATTTACTTGACTTAAAAAAATGCAAAACAAGGTTGGGCGCGGTGGCTCATGCCTGTAATCCCAGCACTTTTGGAGGCTGAGGCGGGCGGAGGACCGGAGTTCGGGAGTTTGAGACCAGCCTGGCCAACATGGTGAAACTCGTCTGTACTAAAAATACAAAAACTAGCCAGGCGTGGTGGCACACGCCTGTAATCCCAGCTACTCAGGAGGCTGAGGCAGGAGAATCACTTGAACCCGAGAGGCAGAGGTTGCAGTGAGCCAAGATCGTGCCATTGCACTCCAGCCTGGGTGACAGAAGGAGACTCTGTCTCAAAAACAAAAAAAAAAACAAAAAATACAAAACAGGAAAAAAAAAATTCCATAGTTTATGGGACTTAGAACACAAGACTGAGAAACGCTTACCACAAAATTGTCTAATATGCATGAACACAAATGAAAAATGTGGTAACTAATCTACAAGTTACTAGTAGCCATACTTGACAAATTCATTATTACAGGTCTTTACATCTTAAAGAATCTGATCTTTAGTGTGCCATTATGAATCTCAAATATTAACAAGCTAAAAAGTCTAAATCTAAAATAAATTTAATCAAATATCTTACAGAACTGTAATCAAGAAAACTAAGAGCTGGAATTACTTTTATTGTATTTTATTTTGAGACGGAGTCTGTCTCTGTTGCCCAGCCAGAGTGTAATCGCGCGATCTTGGCTCACTGCAACCTCCACCTCCCCGGTTCAAGCGATTCTCCTGCCTCAGCCTCCAGAGTAGCTGGGATTACAGGTGCCCGCCACCATGCCCAGCTAACTTTTGTATTTTTAGTAGTAGAGACCGGGTTTCGCCATGTTGGTCAGGCTGATCTCATACCCCTGACCTCAGGTGATACACCCGCCTTAGCCTCCCAATGTGCTGGGATTACAGGCGTGAGCCACCACGCCTGGCCTCTGGAATTACATTTAGGTGTAGGATGTTTACTTTATCTGTATTCAATGATAGGTGAAGCAATTCAATCACATCATTCACACATAAATACAGTCATCCCTCCATATAAGCAGGGGATTGGTTCCAGGACCGCTACGTATACAAAAATCCATACATAAAGTCCCACAGTAGGCCCTGTGGAACCTGCGAATACAAAAAGTTGGCCCTCCATGAATACTCTATTTTCTATCCAAATTTGATTGGAAAAAAAAAAAAACTGCATATGTTTTCAGGCGTGAACTGTACTTAAGATTTTCCTGAGTTTGAGATCTTCAAATTTGAAAAAATATTAGTAAAGTAGACCTTGGTCTTCCATCTCTAAAAGTTCCATTATAATTATTTCCAGCCAGGAAGAAAAATTAGCATCACCACCACACTTTTTGCATGTGCTTTTGTTATTAATGTTATTCATTCATCTTCCTTGCCAAAATTCCCAGTATTATTGGGCCTGATTTCTTGCCATTAAATGCAAACACTTTTCATGTACTATGTTTATATACAAGGCCTTATGTACAAGAGTGCCTAAGTTTTAGCAATATAAGTAATGTCAAAAGACTAGTCTTTTCTCATCAGATGTACACTTAATCAATTTAGTAACCTGGATTGTTGTTACAGTTTAAACTTTTCAGTTTCAAGGCCAAAAAAAAAATTATTAGAAACAGAAATTCTGTCACAGTTCCCTATACTGGGATAAAACAATCACATAAATATTTTATCAAAAAATTATTAATTATCTTTAAATCAGCATTTCCTTTCTTCATTTCTATCTGTAGGTCTGCATTTAGGAAAAACATTTCAGAAGTGCCACAAAGAACCCACCACTTTACAGTAAATAAAGTTAGTAATTCAACAAATCTTATCACTCAGCCCATATGAGGAAAACAGAAAAAACCTGAGTAAAACAAGTAAAATTTTAATGGTTAAACACAATCTTTTCTAGACGGAATACTAGTAATTGCCAGCAGATTTATGGCACAGATGCTGATTAGCTATCTCTTCTGAGAAAAAGATGGTTTTTTCCTCTCCTTGAAAATTATTAGCCCTACTAAAATCTCAGAATTCACTATATAATTAGTCCACGTAACCAAAAACCACTTGTACCCCAAAAAGCTGTTGAATTTTTTAAAAGTCCTAAAAAGTTTTATCAAAGTAGCTGAAACTTTTTTTGTCTAATTATCAAAAATTATAAGCAAACGATTTGCTAATACTTGAAATGCCCCCAAGATTTTGCTGTAATAATTTGTCATCTCAGTGCTTTTTCTGGAATGCAGGCCTCATGAAAAAACACTTGTAAAATGCCACATGGCATTCAACAATTAGTAAAATCTAGTTTCACCAATATGATGCACATTTATACATTTTGACATCTCTTAATGGAGTCTTAAGCAGTGTCTTAACTGGCAGCATTTTTTTTTAGTGCTACATACAATAATGGTACCTTTTACAACAAATGGCATCTTAGGATGCCATGGAAAACAGTAACTTGGTTTCTCAAAACCACAAGTTTCAGCCCAAAAAGATAGTTTGCCCAGCATCTCATTTTACAGATGATGAACATGAAAACCCAACTATATGATGTTCCCAACGTCATAAAATCAAGAGCAAAAGAGGCCAGGTGTGGTGGCTCATGCCGGTAATCCTAGCACTCTGGGAGGCCGAGGCAGGACTCTGCCCAGGAGTTCGAGATCAGCCTGGGCAACATAGGTCCTTTCTCTCTAAGAAAAATTATTTATTCAAAAAAAAAAAATCAAGAGCAAAAGAGACTGAACTCGGGTCTTCTGGCTCCCAATGATGCCCTTTCCATTAAACACCGTGCCTCCTGAAGTAAATCAAATGAAAAAAACTGCCTGGGTTTAACCAACATCTAACATACATAAAAAGCATATCACGCAGGAGCCGTGTGCGCTTATGGCCTGAATCAAAAGTCTCAGATTGACTCAAAAGTAACAATTTAACAATCCACTGTTGTGTTTGTCTTTGGTAAGATGTATAATGAACTACAGACTTCAGAAATGAGAGCTTCCCTTAAAGCAGGGATTTCATCCGGTGCATTACAATGACTCAGTACAATCTCACTTGCATCTTCTTCCCTCCCCACCATTCCCCGCAGGGGAAAGACCCCCGCAAGGAGAATGACAGGCCCACCTGGGGCCTAAACTCCATAGCTCAAACAAGGCTGGGCACTCATTTATCAGCACTAGAAACTTCGCACATCTTTTCCAGTCTAAGAACTACACAATTTACAGGTGGTTGGTATGTGAATCTCTCTCCTTGCAGGAAAAACTAAAGGAACCCGATGAACACAGTGACACCCGCAGTTTGTCAGCAGGACTCGCTAGCGATGGAGCGTCTGGGGAAGAAGCCCCACGGCGGAGGAAAAGGTACCCGAGACAACGACACGTTATCTGGGCTCCGGGGGTTGAAGCACCAGGCGACGACGCAGAGAGGCGTCGCACGAGAAGCCAGTGGACCTGCGACACGGCACTCCCCGTGAGGTCCCTTCAGCCACCCTCTCCATCCCCCAAGTGGGAAGAAGATGGGAGGTGGGGGCTGGACGCGCGGAGGCGGGGACTGGGGGGCCTGCCGGGCGGCGGTGGCGGCTCCGCTCGGCGGCCGCAGGAGGCCATTTTAGTTAAGGGGCCGCTGAAGGGCCCTGAGGCCTCCACGTCCCTACACCTCCGCCGTCTCTACCTCCCCCCTACTGGGGGCCGCTCCCCGCCGCGGGCCGGGCCGGGCCGGGCAAGGCGGGGCGGGGCGGGGCGGGGCGGGAGAGGCCGCCGGGCTGGGCCGGGCCAGGCCTGCAGCGGGCCGGGGCTCTGGGATGGCTGGGGACGGGCGCGGGGGCGTCGCATCGACAGGATCCGGACCGAGGGGAGAGCAAGGGGCGAACAGAGAGAAGGCAGGATGCCGTTACCTATATTGGGCCGCAGCCGCCGCCGCCGCCGCCCCGCTGTGGGTGAATCCAAAGTAGTTGCCGGTCGCCATTTTGGCATCTTCCCCCAGCCGGCTGGGCACTGCGGCGGGCACGAAGAGTCGGGTCCCATGGCGGGACAAGAGACACAGAGGAGCCGAGACGCCGAGGGAGGGCAGGGAGAGAAAGAGAGAGGCGCCGTGAGAGCAGCCCTGGCGGGGCCCAGGCCGCGGCCGCGCCGCCTCCCCCTCCCGCCTCGCACTCCCTCACTCACTCGCACGCCCGGGTGGCGGCCGCCGCCTCCTCCCCGGAGCCTGCCCCAACCCCCGCGGCTCCCCGCTGCCCGGGGCCAGGGAGGGGGCCGGGCAGAGGCCTCGCGGGCCACATTAGACTCACCATAGGTGAAAGAAACTACAGGGCATATGGGAATCATGGGCTCGGGCTGCTGCTGCTGAACTCTGAACTCTCACCCGCTGCCTCCCTCCTCTGCCCCGCTCCTCCTCAGCGGAGAACAGACCGCCGCCTCCGACCGCACTGCGCAGGCGCGCCTGTGCTCGGCATCCTGGGAGCTGTAGTCCCCGCCGTCTTCGCGGCTCCCCCGGGCGCGTGCCGGGGCCTCGGCGGTGCGGGCGCGGGGAAGCCCGCGGGGGAAGAGGGGCCTGGCCTTCTCCGAAGTGGTGGTGACGCCGCGCGGCCGCGGGGCGACGGGGGCGTGTGCCAGAAGCGCCTCGCCTGTCCTCTGGGGAGTCGGGGAGCGTGACCAGAGAGAGTGACGTCTGTTCGCCTTTTTCTTTGCTTTCCACTGGCTTCCTTAACTTTTGCATGTGCACTTATTCCCTGCCTCCCTGTCTTCCTCGCTCATTAATTTTTCATTGGAATTCGAGCTGGGCAATTTAGGATTTTTCCTTATTTCCTGCTTTCCCGCAGCTTTTCCCCAACCTCTGAAGTGCGGAGGGAGGGAGAAGGAGAGGAGAGAAATAGAAAAAGGATGGAGAGTGCTTTTCTGTTGGACTAAAAGCACACCCTAAACATCCCTCCCGGACATACCTCTTGCTATACCCTTTCCTCGACCTGCACCCACTCCCTGAGCCATCCGGCGTATATCGGTCACCCAGCAGGGTGTCAGGCAGTGTTGTAGGTGCTGGAGATACGGCAGAGAACAAAACAAAGTCCCTGTTCCCGTGGAGTTTACGTTCTAGGAGCGGGTATATGTCAGCCAACAGCCGGTAGCCAAAACACAGAAATTCTGTCTGATGGTGACTGGAGCTTCAAGCATAAATAAAGCAGAGTAAGGAAAATAAGGGTAAGGGAGGTGCTATTTCATGTAGAGTGTGGTTAGGGAGACCACTTGAAGGAAGGAAGGACAGGCCTGGGAGATGCCTGCAGGAAGAGCAGCAAGTGGAAGGGTCCAGATGAAGGAATGAATGTTCAAGAGCAAGAAGATCAGTCTGGCTGGAGTCAAGTGAGAGGGAGACCAGATCACGTGCCAGATCTTTAGTGGTAAGGACAGAACAGTACTTGCCCCCATGTAAGCATTTCCTCTTTCCCTCTGTTTCCTCGCTTTCTTCCCTTTAGTTTCTCAGTTCGTTTTCAACCATTCTCTTTCCTCTTCCAGTCCCTCTTCTGATCGTCTAGTTTCTCTGGCCTTATGTTTCGTGTCTTCCATCAAGTACATATGTACTGCCTGCATTTCACCTCTTCCTTACCTTCTCCATGCCCATCCCCCAGACTCCCTGCTCCTCATCTCTCCTCATTGTTGGATATGAACATTAAAAGGAAATGCTGGCCGGGCGCGGTGGCTCACGCCTGTAATCCCAACACTTTGGGCGGCCGAGGCGGGTGGATCACGAGGTGAGGTCAGTGGCCAACATGGTGAAACCCCGTCTCAAAAAAAAAGAAAAAAAAAAAAAGCCGGGCGTGGTGGCGGGCGCCTGTAGTCCCAGCCACTCAGAAGGCTGAGGCAGGAGAATCGCTTGAACCCTGGAAGCAGAGGTTGCAGTGAGCCGAGATCGCGCCCCTGGACTCCAGCCTGAGCGACAGAGCGAGACTCCGTCTTAAAAAAAAAAAAAAAAAGGAAAGGAAAAAAAAGAAATGCAAAGGGTGAATCAGAACCCACCCATGAAATTCAGGGCTTTGTCCTACTTTCTTGTGCCAGAGCAGAAACAATGCCTCAATTCTTTTTTGTGCCAACCTTGCTCCCCACGCCTCCTACAAAAGTACAGGCTCTCAGAACCTGTCTGATTTGTCCTGTTACTCATTTCAGAAAGAGAAAATGTAGAACCTTGGAGAAAAGTTAAGTGTCATTATTTTTGAGAATACTGATGTTTTCCCAGGCAAAAGTTATTTGTGCCCCAAGGATGTTGCTAGGAAGAAATACCTCCTACACATAGGACATTAGAACTGTATTTTAAAGGTATTTTGCCTTGAACTTCATTGAGCAGTCAAGCTTCAAGACACTGACTGTAACTGCTTTGATGAACCGGCTCTATTAGTTACTAGGCTATTTGAATAAAACTGGAGGAGAAAAGACAGGTGTTGATTACTTGCCTAAAAAGAGTCTGTGTAGGCCAGTTTTATGCTTGTTTGCTTGGCAGGCCTTTGGAGGCCGGCGTGCTACTGGCACACCCCAATGAGCAAGCACATAACTAGAAAGAGGAAGACGGGGCCTCTCCCCTGGTTCTTAGGGGTCAAAGTAGGTGTGGCAGTAGTGAAAATTATTTACAACAGCACTCTCAAAGATGCAGCCTGTAGGAACAACCTTTCAGTATCGCACCTACTTGCCCTTGACTTGGGCTCCTTTAAGGAAGGAGTTTTGGAGGGTCTTGAATATTTTTCCTGGGCATCTAGTAGTGGAGTAACCTGAACATGTTATTTAACCTATCTGAACCCATACGGCAAGAATAACAATAACATCTTCCTGATGGGACTCTGGTGGGGTTTAAATGAGGCAGCATTTATGTAAGACATCTAGTTTTTTTTGTTTTGAGATAGGGTTTCACTCTGTCGCCCAGGCTAAGTGCAGTGTTGTGATCTCAGCTCAATGCAGCCCCAACCTCCTGGGCTCAAGCAATCCTCCCACCTCAGCCTCCTGAGTAGCTGGGACTACAGGCACATGCCACCATGCCCAGCTAATTTTTGTATTTTTTGTAGAGATGGAGTTTTGCCACATTGCCCAGGCTGGTCTCCAATTCCTGAGCTCAGGCGATCTGCTCATTTCGGCCTCCCAAAGTGCTGGGATTACTGGTGAGAGTGAGCCACCATGCCTGGCCTAACGCCTAGCTTTTTCATGTAAAAAGACTAGGCTAGATGATTGTCAGTTCTTTATTTTTATTTATTTATTTGAGACAAAGTCTTGCTTTGTCACCCACGCTGGAGTGCAATGGCGCGATCTCAGCTCACTACAAACTCCGCCTCTCAAGATCAAGCAATTCTCCTGCCTCAGTCTCCCAAGTAGCTGGGACTACAGGCATGCGCCACCACACCCAGCTAATTTTTGTATGTTTAGTAGAGAAGGGTTTCACCATGTTGGCCAGGCTGTTCTCAAAGTCCTGACCTCAAGTGATCCACCCACTTGGCCTCCCAAAGTGCTGGGATTACAGGCGTGTGCCACTGTGCCAGGCCGATTGTCAGTCTTTTAAAATCAACCTTCTAATAAGTGAATGCATTGTGCAAATCACACCTACAAGTCAAAAGTAGGTGGCTCTGCCCTGGAAGAGTTTATGTTCTAGAGTACCCGGTCTAGGCAACATGGCTGTACGTAGTCTTCTGGGTCAACAATTAAAGATGAAATACTTGACCAGAAGCAACCAATTATAATAGGGATTGTCATCCTTCATGTCCAGAACTGGTTTGGTATGCAAATCTGATCAAATCCTCTGTGCTTTCATCTCTCAGGATAAAGCAAATTCTTCCATGTGGCCCACGAGACTCTGTGGCCTGGCCCACCTGCCTTTTCAGCATCTTCCTCCTTATTCACTCTATCCCAGCTATCTTGGCCTCCTGTTCACCATGCTCCCTCCCACCAGGGGGCTTTGCATGTTCTCCCTGCCTAGAATGTTCTCCCTTCTTCCCTTTACCTGGTTTACCCTCATGCTTGGGGATCGCAACTCATTCAACCCCTCGTGACCTTGATGGGTCAAACCCTTGCTATGCTCTCAGAGCACCAGACATCTCTTCTTAGTTGCCCTTGTCACAGTTGCAATCTTATACTTATTGTGTGATTATATGATTAATATATATTTCTCTCTCGCATCAAACTATAAGCTTCACGAGGGCAGGTTGCCAGTATTGGGTGCCTGTTGGTAGGCACCCAATAAGTACTTATGGAATGAATGAACCACGCTGTGCACAGTTTAATCTTTCTTTCATGATTCAGAAGGTAGTTCAAGAACCTGTAGTGCCTCAGGGTCATAATTATGAACCTCAATTAGGATCTGAAGGTAAAAGAGGAAATGTCATTGGCAGTCAATTAGCCACAAGGTAGAGCTAGCCTGACAAAGCCAGCCCCTAAACTCACCAAAAATAAATCTATAATAGTTGTCTTCCGTCACACCTTTGAGTCAAGGTGTGGTATCCTGAAAGACCTTGATAAAATACGGATAAATTAGCCAGAAAGGACATCATACTAGCTACTCTATACCAAGAGGAGTATAGTGAGGTGAATAAGAGCAAGGACTCTAAAGCTGGACACACCTGGCTTCAAATCCCAGCTCTGTCACTTTCTGCTCTGTGACCTCAGCCACAATCTCTCTGCTTCATTTTTCTTCCTCCTCTGTAAATAGAGAGGTAAAAGTAGTATCTTCATCAGGGGATTGTTGGTAGGGGTTAAAGACTTCCTAGATGTAAAGCTCTTAGATCAGTGCCTGGCTCACTGTAAGCACATTTTCATCATCTCATAATAAATCCTGTACCCATTAGCAGTCACTCCCCATTTCTACCTCCTTCCAATGCCTAACAACCACAAAATTACTTTGTGTCTCTATGGATTTGTCTATCCTGGACATATAAATGGAATCATACAATAATGTGGCCTTTTGTGTCTGGCTTCTTTCACTTAGCATAATGTTTTCAAATTTCATCGTCCATTGTTTGGATATACCACATTTTATTTATTCATTCATAAGTTGATGGATGTTTGGGATGCTTCCATTATTGGGCTATTATGAATAACATCACTATGAACACTGATATGCAAGTTTTTGTGTGGACAGATGTTTTCAATTCTCCTGAGTATATCCCTAGGAGTGGAATTGCTGGTATACCTTTTTTCCCCCAAACTCTCTGAATAGCTGAAATTCTTTTCCTCTCTACAACCACTACTCTAGTTCATCTCTTGCCCAAGCCGACTTCAACAGCCCACTAATTGGTCTCTCTTCCCAGTAATCTAATCCTCTCAAATCTGTCCTCTACACAATGATCAAGGATCTAAGATTAAAAAAATAAATAAATAGGGCTGGGCGTGGTGGCTCATGCCTGTAATCCCCGCGCTCTGGGAGGCTGAGGAGGGTGGATCACCTGAGGTCAGGAGTTCAAGACCAGCCTGGCCAACATGGTGAAACCTCATCTCTACTAAAAATACTAAAATTAGCCTGGCATGGTGGCGCACACCTGTAATCCCAGCTACTCGGGAGGTTGAGGCAGGAGAATTGCTCCAACCCAGGAGGCAGAGGTTGCAGTGAGCCAAGATCGCGCCACTGCACTCCAGCCTGGGCAACAGAGTGAGACTCTGTAACAACAACAACAAAAAAAGTAGTAGTAATAACAGTGTACATTATAATGCATTGTCTCATTTATTCTTTACAAAAACCTACAAGGTAGGTACTATCATGATTATCCCATTTAGAGATAGTAAAAGTGAGTTCATAAGGGTGATAAGTGGCAAACGCAGGATTTAAACTATACCTACCTGTTTCCAGAATGCCTGACCTCTGCGACATACTGCTTCCCTGAAACACATCTGAACATGTCATTACCCTGCTAAAAATCTCGTAAAGATTCACACTTGCCTAAAGTAAGAACACGTCCTATTACTGGTGGGTCACTAGAGTCACCTTTGTGTTTCCAGTTTTAGTGCACATGGCTATTTTTCATTTATGAACTCCTAGAGCACTTACATTATTGGCTCTTTAATTATTTCATTCCAGGGCATCCTATAGTTCCCATTTTGTAACACTCATCAGACTGGTCATTTCTTACTCAATATCTCTCTTCCCCCAGGAAAGAACATGAACTCCACAGGGTCAGGAACCATGTCTGTTTTATCTGCCAATGAATTTCCAATGCCTAGAGCCATTCCGGCCGAGCATGGTGGCTCATGCCTGTAATCCCAGCACTTTGGGAAGCCGAGACGGGCAGATCACTTGAGCTCAGGAGTTCGAGACCAGCCTGGGCAACATAGTGAAACCCTGTCTCTACAGAAAATACAAAAACTAGCTGGTCATGGTGGCATGCACCTGTAGTCCCAGCTACAGGAGGCTGAGGTAAGAGGATCCCTTGAGTCTGGGAGGTGGAGGTTGGAGTGAGCCGAGATCATGCCACTACACTCCAGCCTGAGTGACAGCGTGAGATGCTGTCTCAAAAAATAAAATATTAAAAAGAGAGAACCATTCCAAGAACACAGTATGCACTTAATAAATATTTTGGGGATGAATGAAATTAGTCTTGTGTCCATTTTTTGAGGGTAATGGTTTTATGATATAGGTCTTTAATATCTTTCTTCCCCCTCCCCCAAGTACCATCTGACATGGTACCAGCCACAAATGCAGATGCCAACCTATTTTAGTCCTTGCAGCTCCCTTGACATTCTAGAAAATGCTATTTGCTACCAAGCTTGAACCCCCAACACCAATGTTATAAGGGTTTCTTTGTGTCAGTAACATATTCATAGGAACCTGAAGAACCTACAGGACTCAAGGCAGCCATAGGAGTCGCTGTTTAGCAGCTTGGAGAAGAGTCTCAGCCACACTGTGACCTGATTTAGAGCTTGATATGATTATCAATGGGAGATGCTGAAGGACATATTGGTTTAAAGCCCACACTCTAGATCAACACTGTCCAATAGAACTTTCTTCAAAGATAGAAATGTTCTCTCTCTGCACTGTGCAATATGGTAACCACTGGCCACATGTGGCTATTGAACACTTGAAATGGGGCTAGTATGACAGCAACTACATTTTAATTTAATTTAATTTTAAAAACCCTAGTTTAAAAACCGCTAGTACATGGCTAGCGGCTACTATATTGGATAGTATAGTACCAGAGTCAGATGACCTATGTTCAAATCCTGGTTTTACTACTTACTGACAATATGACTTTGGCGAATTTACTTAACCTTCTCATGCCCTGGTCTCATCTACAAAACAGAAAAAATAATAATAGTACTAACCTCATAATTTGACATGAGGATTAAAAAACTAAATACATATTTTGTACATGAGCCCATCAGGCTAGCACTAAGGTGGCTGGGGAAAAAGGCTGACTGTTGCTAGGCGTGTCAGCTGTAATCCCAATGCTTTGGGAGGCCGAGGAGGGTGGATCGCTTGAGCCCAGGGGTTCAAGACCAGCCTGGGCAACAGAGTGAGACCCTGTCTCTATTTAAAATAAAATTGTTTTTAAAAGGCTGACTGCGGCCAGGCATGGTGGCTCATGCCTGTATTCCTAGCACTTTGCGAGGCCAAGGTGGGCAGATCACTTGAGGCCAGGAGTTGGAGACCAACCTGACCAATATGGTGAAACCCCATCTCTACCAAAAATACTAAAAATTTGCCAGGCATGGAGGCACATGCCTGTAATCCCAGCTACTTGGGAGGCTGAGGCACGAGAATTGCTTGAACCCAGGAGGCAGAGGTTGCAGTGAGCAGAGATTGCGCCACTGCACTCCAGCCTGGGCGACAGAGCGAGACTCCGTCTCAAAAAAAAAAAAAAAATAAAATAAAAAAATAAAAATAAAAATAAAAAATAAAAAAGGCCAGCTTTATGCAGCAGCAACATCATAGACAATGGGGTTTATCTGAAGTGCGATTATTGCTAATTGAGAAAAAAAATAAAGGCTGACTGCCATCTATAAAACAAGTCATCGGCCCACCTGATTGATGAAGTGCCCCCTCCACTGGGAACACTCTCTGATGGGCATTTACATGGTATATCAGTTTCTTATCGCTGCTGCAAAAGATCACCACAGAATTCCTGGCTTAAAACTACACGTTTATTATCTTACAATTCTGTAGTTTAGAAGCCTCACTGTGCTAAAATCAAATTGGCAACAGGGGCCGGGCATGGTGACTCACTGTAATCACAGCACTTTGGGAAGCTGAGGTGGGTGGGGTGGATCACTTGAGGTCAGGAGTTCAAGACCAGCCCTGACCAACATGAAGAAACCCCGTCTCTACTAAAAGTACAAAAATTAGCCAGGCATGGTGGTGGGTGCCTGTAATCCCAGCTACTCAGGAGGCTGAGGCAAGGAGAATCGCTTGAACCCGAGAAGTGAGGCTGCAGTGGGCCGAGATTGTGCCACTGAACTCTAGCCTGGGCGACAGAGTGTGACTCCATCTCAAAAAAACAAACAAACAAAACAAATTGCCCCCAGGGATGCATGTTTGTCTGTTTGTTTTTTCCAGCTTATAGAGGTTGCCTACATTCCTTGGCTCATGAACTCTTTTTTATTTATTTATTTTTTATTTTATTTTATTTTATTTTGAGATGGACTATTGCTCTGTTGCCCAGGCTGGAGTGCAGTGGCGCAATCTCTGCTCACTGCAACTTCAAGCGATTCTCCTACCTCTGCCTCCTGAGTAGCTGGGATTACAGGTGCCTGCCACCAAGCCCGGTTAATTTTTTGTATTTTTAGTAGAGACAGGGTTTCACCATGTTGGTCAGGCTGGTCTTGAACTCCTGACCTCAGGTAATCCACCCGCCTTGGCCTCCCAAAGTGCTGGGATTACAGGTGTGAGCCACCGTGCCCAGCCATGAACTGTTCTTTAAAGCTAGCAGTATAGCCTCTTCAAATCTCTCTCTGATTCTGACACTCCTGTCTTCTTCTTATAAGGATCCTTATGGCCAGGCACTGTGGCTCATGCCTGTAATCCTAGCACTTTGGGAGGCTGAGGCGGGAGGATCACTTAAACCCAGGAGTTCAAGACCAGCCAGAGCAACATAACGAGATCTCGCCTCTACAAAAAATAAAAAATTAGCCTGGCATGGTGGCATGCGCCTGTGGTCCCAGCTACGTGGGAGACTGAGGTGGGAAGATTGCTTGAGCCTAGGAGTTTGAGACTGCAGTGAGCTGTGATTGCATCAACTGCACTCCTATCTGGGTGACAGAGGGAGACCATGTCTTGGAAAAAAAGAAAAACGAGAAAAAAAAAGGATCCTTGTGATTGCATTGGGTCCACCTGGATAATCTAGGATACTCTTCCCGGCTCAAATCCTTAATCACATCTGCGAAGTTCCTTCTGCCATGTAAGATGACATATTCTTAGGTTTGAGGGCCTAAGATATATGGGACATAGCTCTACATTCTGTGACCATTCTGAAAGGTCCATTCATGTACTTTCCACCCTCCAGATCTTATTGTCACAATTTTCTAGCCTAATTCTTTCCCAGGTCCTGATCAGCTAACAACCCACCAGCCAGTCCCCATTTATAAGTACAGATCCATACTCAGCCTACCTGTATTTACACATGAAGTAGATAATAAAGTGTCCTCCCCTAACCCGGTCCTTTACCACTATATTTCAGGGCCCCCTTGAGTGGAGCAGTAAGGCAGCAGTTTTCTAATTTCAGCTCGTACCAACATGCCATGCAGATTGGTCAATGATGCAGGTCCTTGATTCCTCCTTGTCTGCCTCTTTCATTAACTGGCCACAGGGAACTCCCTATGAGGGCGTAAGGACGGCTGGAGGAAGGTACCAGGAGCAGGTACTGTGGGCTTCTGGGCCACCTGCTTGTGATAGTTCATGGTGCCTTCTGGGCTGTTTCAGCCTGGTCTCATACATGATCGCTTCTATTTGGAATGCTACTGTGCATGTTTAATTATATGATTTGATGGATCATGAGTTAACTACCCTTCATGAATACTCAGTTCATGATGGGCAGTTTTCATAGGCACACGGGGTCCCAGATTCAGGTGTTAAGTCTCTACAAGGGCTCAGGAGCCTCTTAAAAGCTACTTTTCAGGTAGAAGAATACTCGTTGGCAGACATGGTCCTCCAATTCTAAAACCTTAGGGATTTGTGTTTGATTTTCCTGTTGGGGCTTGCTAGGGGCTACATATAGCATTTTCGGCTGACACAGACATTTCCAGGACCACTGTATCCTTCGGTTATAAAGCCCAGCTACAGGGAAGCTGGGATAACAGCCTGGACTTGCTTCAGAGTCTTTGCTTAACTGACTACACTCAAAATCAGTAGCCTTATGAGTTGCCCACTAAGTGGATTAGAGCAGCATGCCCAAATGTGGTCCATATTACCTCAAAAATCCAAAGATCAGAGGGAGGGGAGAGACGAAATTTTTTTTTTTTGAGATGGAGTTTAGCTCTTGTTGCCCAGGCTGGAGTGTGATGGTGCAATTTCGGCTCACTGCAACCCCCATCTCCCAGGTTCAAGCTATTCTCCTGCCTCAGCCTCAGCCTCCCAAGTAGCTGGGATTACAGGCATGCGTCACCATGCCCAGCTAATTTTTGTAGTTTTGGTAGAGATGAAGTTTCGCCATGTTGACAGGCTGGTCTCGCATTCCTGACCTCAGGTGATCCACCAGCCTCAGCCTCCGCCTCCCAAACTGCTGGTATTACAGGCATGAGCCACTGTGCCCAGCTGAAGGATTTTTTAAAAATCCAAAGATGTCCACCAAGCCCTGTGCCTTGAGGCAATAAGGCGTGCAGATGTGGGCCCTCAGAAGAGGCATTGGCTTATAAGGCAGCTGTCCCAAAATGCAGCATTAAAGGGCTTTTGTGCAGGGAAGGCTGGCTCTGCAACCAAGGGTGGTGTGGGGGACTTGGGTTCAGAGTTCTTAGCCTTGATTATCTCTTCCCATAGGTCCCATCCCATCCCATGTCTCAAGGTTCCACCCTTTCCCCACTGGTGTCCTAGACTTAAACACTTATCAACATTCAGCTTTTAATTAGTGCTGAAACTCTGCAGCTCTTACCATTAACCGTTAGGCCCTAAAAAGTTGGTCTTCAGCCATTCTTTCCCTGTGACCTCATAGGAGATGGGGGACTTCGTCAAAACTGCCACTGAAGATTTCTGAATGACCACGTATTTTCTCAGTTGGAGTCAGTTGATTTCCCAATGCCTTGTCCTACCCCTTCGCTTCATCTCATGCCATGCACCAGTCATATATGAGAAACCGTGATACCATCGCATGCCTGGCAGTATTCATGTTCCTGTTCCCCTGGGTAAGGTGAAGTGCCATGCACTCCTTAAATATGTGTGCAAACCAATTTATTTTTCCATTTCTTCTTCCTTAGCCACTCCTGGGGTACTAATCAGGACCCCAAAAGGAAACAGAAGGTATATTCAAATTGGGCAATTTGGCCTAAACTATCAAGGGAAGGGATAAGTTGAGGAACTCGAGAGAGCTGTGTGGAGAAGGCCACCAGACAGGAGCTGTTGACCTGGAAGGGAGGGAGACAGGAGACAACAAATACCTCAAGCTGACTATCCTCTCTCTCTCTCTCTCTGATCTGCCAGGGCTCCAAATTGCCCAACCTTAACAAGAAGCGTCTGTAATGCATACAATTCAGCCTCCCAGGACACAGAGAAGGGTGGAGAATGGTGGAGAGTGGATTTTGAGGAGCAAATAAATAGAAGTTTTTTTACCTAAAGATATCATAAGAGTTAAACTTGTTTTGAGACCTAGACTTATTTTTCACTTATTTTGTGAACATCTTCAATTGCATATTTCTCTCAGGCACCCCAAAATCAACATAAGCAAAACATAACTACTCTGGCCTTTCAAACCCTCTTCTCTTCTTAAGCCCCCAACTTTATATGGCACTATTTTTCATTTAGGCAGCTAGTCCAGAAATCTGGGAATTATACTTCTTTTTTCCCCTTTTTTTTTTTTTGTGGAGACAGGGTCAGTCTTTGTCACTCAGGCTGGAGTGGAGTGCAGTGCAGTGGTGTGAACATGACTCCCCGCAGCCTTGACTTCCCAGAGTCGAGCCATCCTCCCATCTCAGCCTCCCAAGTAGCTGGGACCACAGGTGCAACCACCATGCTCGGCTAATTTTTTAATTTTTTTGTAGAGACAGGGTCTCCCTATGTTGTCCAGGCTGGTCTCAAACTCCTGGGCTCAAGTGATCCTCCTACCTCGACCTCCCAAAGTGATGGGATTACAGGCGTGAGCCCCATGCTTGCACTTTGAAATCATCCTTGATCCCTCCCTCATATTCTGCATCTCTTTGGTCAACATTCTACAAATATCTTTCAGCTTCATTTCTTCTCCCTCATTTTCCTACCGGTTGTCAGTTAAAGCTGTCATCGTTTCTTGTCTGAATATGTCAACAACCTCTTAACTCATCTTACTTCCCTCACCCTTTTAAATGACAATCTCCCATACCACCAGAGTGATTTTCCTGAACTTCAGATGTGAATCCGGATAGATCTCCTCTTTGTTGATAAACCTTCAGCACCCTTAACCCTGAGGATAAAATCCAAGCTTCTTAGGATGTTACCCAGAACCCTTGCAATCTGGTTCCTATGTCCTCCTAAAGCCTCATCTGCTAAGCTACCAATGTGTACTCTGTTGTCCAGCCATACAAGACACTTGACATTTTCCAAATGTGTCTTGTTTTTCTACATCTTTGTGACTTCCCACATATTTCCTCCTTTTGTGTCTTCTGTTCATTCCTTTCTGCCTGCCAGGTAAGTGACACTTCCTTTATAAGAGTCAGCTCACATCTTCTCTGGGAAGCCAAAGTTGAAAACCACCAACCTGGGGTCCTCTAGAAATGCATGAATGAGTATTTAGAACATAATTGGAAGATGCGGAGTATTATATTAATGTGCAAACATAAGGCTTTATTATGTAGCTACTCATAGAGCTAAGTACAGTATTTAATTGAATCTAATATGCTGTAGATTGTAAAGGCAGCCAAGAAGAAAACTCTGCCAATAATAATTGTGAGACACCCATTGATTATAAGATACATCCCAAGTTCAGAAATATTAAAATGTGAAAAAAGCACACCTTAGAATAAGCAAAATCAGGTACCACCTAGTCTACACTTTCATTATTTACATAAGGAATCAGGTCTAGAGATGTAAGTGACTTGCTTAAGGTCACATAGCTCCTTAGTGGCAGTGCCACATCAAGACATACCTGATTTCCAGTCCAAAGCCATTTCATTTCATCATATATATTTATTATTGATGATCAGTGTGAGTAATAACAACTCCCAAATTGGTAAAATAAACTTAAATTAAGTGCCCTTATTCCTCTTTATGTCAGGAATAGCAGAAAAAATAGATGCTGGTTCTTTAATGCCTGCACCCTGCCTTCCCCCAACACCACCAAAACCAAGTAAAAATATAAGGATCTTTCATTAATGACTGTGGAAATTAGCTTGTGAAATAGTTTGGATGTTTGTCCCCTCAAAATCTCATGTGGAAATGTAATCCCCAATGTTGGAGGTTGTATTAGTCTGTTTTCACACTGCTATAAAGAACTGCCTGAGATTGGGTAATTTATAAAGGAAAGAGGTTTAATATACTCACAGTTCTGCATGGCTGGGGAGGCTTCAGGAAACTTACAATCATGGTGGAAGGCGAAGGGGAAGCAAGGCACAGCTTACATGGTGACAGGAGAGAGACAGCAGGAGAAACTGCCACTTTTAAACCATCAGATTTTCTGGGAACTCACTCACTATCATGAGAACGGCATGGGGAAAACCACCCCCATGATCCAATCACCTCCCACCAGGTCCCTCCATCAACATGTGGGGAACTAAAGATGAGGTTTGACTGGGGACACAGAGCCAAACCATATCATTCCACCTCTGGTCCTTCTCAAATCTCATATCCTTTTCACATTTCAAAACCAGTCATACCTTCCCAACAGTCCCCCAAAGTCTTAACTCATTCCAGCATTAACCCAAAAGTCAAAGTCCAAAGTCTCATCTGAGACAAGGCAAGTCTTTTCCACCTATGAGCCTGTAAAACAAAAAACAAGTTAGCTACTTCCTAGAGACAATGGGGGCACAGGCATTGGGTAAATGTTCCTGTTCCAAATGGGAGAAATTGGCCAAAACAAAGGGGCCACAGGCCCCATACGATTCCAAAACCCAATGGGGCAGTCATAAAATCTTAAAGCTCTGAAATGATCTCCTTTGGCTTCATGTCTCACATCCAGGACACCCTGATGCAAGGGGTAGGCTCCCAAAGTCTTGGGCAGCTCTGCAGGGTATAGCCCCTGTGGCTGCTTTCATGGGCTGGCATTGTGTGCCTGCAGCTTTTCCAGGTGTACAGTGCAAGCTTTGGTGGATCTACCATTCTGGGGTCTGCAGGATGGTAGCTCTCTCCTCACAGCTCCAGTAGGCAGTGCCCCAGTGGGGACTTTATGTGGGGGCTCCAATCCCACATTTTCCCTCTGCATTGCCCTAGTAGAGGTCCTCCATGAAGGCTTCACCCCTGCAGCAGACGTCTGCCTGGACATCCAGACATTTCCATAAATCCTCTGAAATGTAGGCAGCGGCTGCCAAGCCTCAGCTCTTGATTTCTGCAGGCCCGCAGGCCCAATACCATGTGGAAGCTGCCAAGGCTTGGAGCTTGTACCCTCTGAAGCAATAGCCCAAGCTGTACCTTGATCCCTTTTAGCCACAGCTAGAGCTGGAGCAGCTAGGACACAGGGCACCAAGTCCTGAGTCTGCACAGAGCAGCGGGACCAAGCTCTGGCCCAAGAAACCATTTTTCCCTCCTAAGCTTCCAGGCATGTGATGGGAGGGGCTGTTATGAAGGTCTCTGACATGCCCTGGAGACATTTTTTCCCATTGTCTTGGCTATTAACATTCAGCTCCTCCTTGCTTATGCAAATTTCTGCAGCCGGCTTGAATTTCTTCCCAGAAAAATGGGTTTTTCTTTTCTACCATATGGTCATGCTGCAAATTTTCCAAACATTTATGCTCTGCTTCCCTTTTAAACATAAGTTTCAGTTTCAGATAAACTCTTTGTGAACACACACGACTGAATGCTTTCAGAATCAGCCAGGTTACCTCTTGAATGCTTTGATGCTTAAAAATTCTTCTGCCAGATACCCTAAATTGGTGGGGAGTGGTGGCTCACACCTGTAATCCCAGCACTTTGGGAGGCTGAAGTGGGTGGATCACTTGAGGTCAGGAGTTCAAGACCAGTCTGACCAACAAGGTGAAACCCTATCTCTACTAAAAATACAAAAAATTAGTAGGGTGGAGTGATGGGTGCCCGTAATTCCAGCTACTCAGGAGGCTGAGACAGGAGAATCGTTTGAACCTGAGAGTCAGAGGTTGCAGTGAGCTGAGATCATACCATTGCACTGCAGCCTGGGCAGCAAGAGCAAAACCCCATCTCAAAAAAAAAAAAAAGAAAAAAGAAATTTCTTCTGCCAGATACCCTAATCATCTCTCTTAAGTTCAAAGTTTCATAGATCTTGGCTGGGCATGGTGGCTTATGCCTGTAATCCCAGCAATTTGGGAGGCTGAGGCAGGTGGATCACTTGAGGCCAGGAGTTTGATACATGGCAAAACACTGTCTTTACTAAAAATTTAAAAAATTAGCCAAGTGTGGTGGTGCACGCCTGTAATCCCAGCTACGCGGGAGGCTGAGGCAGGAGAATAGCTTGAACCTGGGAAGCTGAGTGTGCAGTTAGCTGAGATTGCACCACTGTGCTCCAGCCTGGGCAACAGAGCAAGACTCTGTCTCAAAACAAAACAAAACAAAACAATGTTCCACAGACCTCTAGGGAAGGGGCAAAATGCCACCAGTCCCTTTGCTAAAGCAGAGGAAGAGTGACCTTTGCTCCAGTTCCCAATAAGTTTCTCGTCTCCATCTGAGACCACCTCAGCCTGGACTTCCATATCACTATCAGTATTTTGGTCAAAACCATTCAATAAGTCTCTAGGACATTACAAACTTTCCCGCATCTTCTTCTCTTCTTCCAAGCCCTCCAAACTGTTCCAACCTCTGCCTCTTACCCAGTTCCAAAGTCGCTTCCACATTTTCAGGTTATTATAAAGATAGCAGTACCGTGCTATCCCAGTACCAATTTTCTGTATTAGTTCATTTTCGTTCTGCTATAAAGAACTGTCTGAGAGTGGGTAATTTATAAAGGAAAGAGGGTTAATTGACTCACAGTTCCACATGGCTAGAGAGGCCTCAGAAAACTTAAAATCATGGCGGAAGGGGAAGGGGAAGCAAGGCATGTCTTACATGTAGCAGGACAGAGAGAAAGAGCAGGGGAAACTACTTTTAAACCATCAGATCTCATGATAACTCCCTCACTATCAGGAGAACATCATAGGGGAAACTGCCCCATGATTTAATCACCTCCCACCAGGTTCCCCCTGACACATTGGGATTACAATTCAAGATGAGGTTTGGGTGGGGACATCGAGCCAAACCATATCAGAGGTGGAGCCTGGTGGGAGGTGTTTGGGTCATGGGGACAGATCCTTCATGAGTGGCTTGGTACTGTCCTCACAATGGTGAGTTATCACAAAATCTGGTTGTTTAAAACTGTGTGGTACCTCCCTGCTCTCTCTTTTGCTCCTGCTTTTGCTGTGTGACATGCCTGCTCCCCCTTTGCCTTCCACCATGATTGAAAGCTTCCTGATGTCCTTACCAGAAGCAAGTGCCAGCACCACACTTGTTGTACAGCCCGCAGAACCATCAGCCAGTTAAACCTCTTTTCTTTATAAATGACCTAGGCTTAGGTATTTCTTTATAGCAACATAGGAATGGCCTAATACGGCCTGCATACACAGACACGCACATGTGCACATGCACACGTGTGTGCCTGTGCTCACAAACACACTCAAGCCAGGGAAGGCCCTACAAAAGGTACAGTCCATGTAGGGAAACGAACGCATCTTCTTGAGAGATTGTTGGCACTACTTGAGAGATTCTTCAGCTGTAAGAAGTCCTTTTGTAGGGGGCTACATTTCTAGTCCTAAGTTCCAAGTGTTTGGGTCATGTTATCCATTCAAGCTGAGATCTGGATTAAAACCCAGTCATACCCATCTGGGGAAGGCTTTAACTGCCTTCTGTTGTCTGTAGCCATCTCCATTTACTTCCCAGCTTTTACAGAAGAAGTCGCATACATTCCTCTCCCGACTGATCCAGGCTCTCTAATCTTCACTGAATTGCCCAGAAAAGATGCCCCTTTCCTTAAGTCCATGTCATCAGAGCGAACTAAATCACAATTACAAGCTTCCATGCATGCAAAAGCAACAAGACCAAGGAGAGGTGCCAACATTCCCCACTGTTACTGGAAAAGGGCCCACATGGTGGCTTTCAGTCATTTTACTATGCTCCCATAAAGGCACCTTTCTTCTTTCTTCATTAGTTCTGATTTCTACAACATAAGATCATATTAGGATTTCTAAAGGGCAGAATATTATAGGCTTTTGAAAATTTTTAACTGTTAGAGACTCTCTAAATCCAGTGATTCTCCAAATTCCTAATAATAAGAGTCACCTAGAGATTCTTCCAATTATACAAATTCCTAAATCCCACTGCGTTTTCACTAAATCAGAATCCCAGGGCCTTTGGTTGGAGAAATCATATGTTAAACAAGTCCTCCCAAATGAGTCTTACCAGCAAGTAAGTTTGGGAAACGTTCTGCCCAGCCTCATAATTCTAAGGATGAGGACGCTGAAGCCCAGTTTTTGTCCCCTCTAAAACTCATGTGTTGGAAGCTTAATCCCCAAGGCAACAGTATAGGGATGTAGGGCCTAATTGGAGGTGTTTAAGCCCCCCTGAGGGGTCCACCCTCATAAATAGATTAATGCCACTTGTGAGGACACAGTTTCTCTTTGTACGCTGCCTTCCACCATGTGATGGCGCAGCAAGAAGCCCCTCACCAGATGCCAGCACCTTGATCTTGGACTTCCCAGCATCCAGAACTGTGAGCCAATAAATTTCTGCTCATTATAATAAATTAGCCAGTTTGTGATATTCTGTTATAACAGTACAAAATAGACTAAGACACCTAAAGAAGTTGAATAACTTATTGAAGATACCTGTGTTTACGCTTGTGTAAGTACAGACTGCTTCTGGAGGGACTGTGCCTGTCTTAGGGGAAACAGCCTGGAGAACTGTGAATCTAAGAGGTAAAAAAAGACTTTATTTTTTCATTATATGCCCTTTTGTGATGGTTAGGGAAACATTTTCCCCATATGATGAATAATTTTTCAATAAAAACCTAGTTCTGAGTACATCTGATTTGCATACGTCTTAGAAATATAGTCATTGTACCCTAGCTTCCCCCACTCCCACCTACCTTGAATCTGCTTTCTAGCTGTCAGACAGCCCCCTCATTTCCCTTTCCTCTGCCTACTCCAGACTCCTCCACTTGTGCACAGTCAGCCCTGCTTTACTCCAGCTGCCCTGACTGGGCTGAAGGGAAGGAACACTTGAAGAACCTCTTCTTCTACCAGGAGGGGCATGGAGTGAATCATCCTCTGTATGAGGCAGAGCCCCAGAGCTGACTGCTGGGCTAGGCTGTGACTCAACCAAGGCCTTTCTCCTTGGTGCCACCAATTCCACTAAGTGGCACCCAACCTTGAGTACATTCAGACATGATGTGGAACAGGAATTCTGTGCTGGGGTGGCCATACTCCCACCTTTGTAGTTTCACATAGCAACTTCTCAAAGTCATGTAGACAAGCTTCTTTATGACACGGTGTTAGAAAAAAACATTTAAATATCTAAATACAAAAGTGTGGAACAAGTGGAACTGTCATTACTAGGGTGGGAGTGCCAATTGTTTCAACTACTTTCGAAAACTGTTTGGCAGAGTCTATTAAAGCTCAGCAGTGCATACTTATACAATCCAGCAATTCTATTCTCGGATCTATCTCAGAAATGTGTATATATGTTTACCAAAGGATAAGTACACAAATATTCATGGGAGCAACTATTCCTATTAGTCCAAAATTGGAAACTACCAAAGTGTTCATTGACATGGTTTGGCTCTGTGTCCTCAACCAAATCTCATCTCAAATTGTAATCCCCATGTATCGAGGGAGCGACCTGGTGGGAGGTGACTGGATCATGGGGTGGTTTCCCCCATGCTGTTCTTGTGATAGTGAGGGAGTTCTCACCAGATCTGATGGTTTTAAAAGTGGCAGTTTACCTCTGAGCTCTCTCTCTCTCCTGCAACCTTGTAAAGAAGGTGCTTGCTTCCTGTTGATTTCTGCCATAATTGTACGTTTCCTGAGGCCTCCCCCACCGTGTGGAATTGTAAGTCAATTAAACCTCTTTTGTTTTTAAATTACCCAGTCTCAGGTAGCATCTTTTTTTTTTTTTTTTTAAGACAGAGCCTCTTTGCCCAGGCTGGAGTGCAGTGGCGCGATCTCGGCTCACTACAACCTCCGCCTCCCAGGTTTAGGCAATTCTCCTGTCTCAGCCTCCTGAGCAGCTGGGATTACGGGCGTGCACCACCACACCAAGCTAATTTTTGTATTTTTGTTAGAGACAGGGTTTCACCACGTTGGCCAGGCTGGTCTCGAACTTCTGACCTCAAGTGACCCGCTGGCCTTGGTCTCCCTGAGATTACAGGCGTGAGCCACTGTGCCTGGCCTCAGGTAGTATCTTTATAGCAGTGTGAAAATAGTTTAATACATTTATCAATAGTCAAATGAATAAGCTATATCCTCTTCATAAAATAGAATATTATTGGCAACGAAAATGAATGAATTACTGTTACATGCAACAGCATGGATGATTCTTGCAAATATAATGTTTGGCCAAAAAAAAATAGCCAGACGTAAGTAAAAATTATGTATGGTTATTTACATGAGGTTCTAGTTAAGCAAAATTAATCTCTATTGTTTTAAGTCAGGATAGTGGGTGGGAAGTGGCTGGGAAGGGGATGATAGTATTAGGGTCCAACCAAGGAGATGGTATAACATTTAATTTATAAATGTATAAATTGAGTAAGAAATGGGTAATTTATAGAAATTCATTAAATGGCTACTCATGATTTGTATATTTATCTGTATGTATGTTTACTTCAACCTAAAGCTTACTTAAAAAGAAATAGCCCCGGCCAGCCACGGTGGCTTATGCCTGTAATCCCAGCACTTTGGGAGCCTGAGGCAGGTGGATCACTTGAGGTCAGGAGTTCAAGACCAGCCTGGCCAACAAGGTGAAACCCCATCTCTACTAAAAATATAAAAATTAACCAGCCATGATGGCAGGCACCTGTAATCCCAGTTATTTGGGAGGCTGAGGCAAGAGAATTGCTTGAACCCAGGAGGCGGAGGTTATGGTGAGCCGAGATCGCGCCACTGCACCCCAGCCTGGGAGACAGAGAAACAGAGTGAGACTCCATCTCAAAAAAAACACATGGGGTTTCTGCATGTTGGTCAGGCTGGTCTCAAACTTCCGACCTCAGGTGATCTGCCTGCCTTGGCCTCCCAAAGTGCTGGGATTACAGGCGTGAGCCACTGCGCCCGGCTGAAGAAGGCTCTTAATTACCTAGTGATGATGCGATTTTTTTGAAGTGGTAAAACAATCTGTGCTAAAAGTGATAAACAGAGCACAGTACAACCACCCTTCCATTTATACAATAATGACATCCCTTTAAAATCTAGAGTATGTTAAAACTAGGTAAAAATATTTTGTGTTTATATGTCAAAGCAGACTTAGATTCTAGGTTCAGATTGTTAAAAATGTATCTTACTTATACATGAATGTCCATTTTGATATTATAAAGTCGTGGTGGATGTAGGACAATCCAATGTCTTACAAGACTGTCCTGCACATTGTAGGATGTCTAACACTCATGGCCCCTGACCATCAAATGCTAGTAGTCTCTCTGTGACAACCAAAAATAACACCACAAATTTCCAACATTCCTCTAGGAGGTGCTGTCACTTTGATCAAGAACCATCAATATAGAGGATAACTTCCAGGCTGTAAGCCATTTATGTTTGCATTCATGAAACCCTAGATGATCCATGGCCATCAAGGTAATTTGATGGGCTTGATAATTTGAGCCAACTCTCTCACGTCTTCAAGGCCTCTCTACTCATTGTACTATAGATCTGTTCCAAATTAGGCTCCCTGGAGTCTCAGCTTAATGAACATTTGGATGTTCTGTGGTTGGTGACTGACCTCAAGAGTCTATCAGAAGATGTGGGTAATGTTCCTGGACAAACAGGTGGAAATTATGCCTGAATGTTTCAAACTATATTCCTATCTCTGCATTGAGATTTCACTTCCTTTATAAATAAGACTCCTCAGATGTTCTAGAGCAGGGCCAGGCACAGTAGCTCACACCTGTAATCCCAGCACTTTGGGAGTCCAAGGTGGGAGGATCTCCTGAGGTCAGGAGTTCAAGACCGGCCTGGAGAAACCCCATCTCTATTAAAAATACAAAAATTAGCTGGGCGTGGTGGTGCGTGCCTGTAATCTCAGTGACTGGGGAGGCTGAGGCAGGAGAATCACATGAACCCAGGAGGTGGAGGTTGCAGTGAGCTGAGATTGCACTACTGCACTCCAGCCTGGGTGAGTTAGATTCCATCTGGAAAAAAAAAAAAAAAAAAAAAAGGGCCAGGCGTGGTGGCTCACGCTTGTAATCCCAGCACTTGGGAGGCTGAGGCAGGAGAATCGGCTTGAACCTGGGAGGCGGAGATTGGGGTGAGCTGAGATCGCGCCATTGCACTCCAGCCTGGGCAACGAGAGCGAAACTCCGTCTCAAAAAGAAAAAAAAAGAAAAAAAGATGTTCTAGAGCAGAGGGCTCCATTGATTTCTCAATTTGTACAATCAAGGGTTGGAATCCATGCTGGACATTATTGTCCACTAAATACTGGAGACCTTGTACCTCATCTTCTGTCATGGGATATAGCTAACATTTGAGTGATTATTATATGCTAGGCTATATACTAACCCAGTGCTATGCATTTTATAGGAGTTATTTAATTCTCAGAACAACCTTACAAGGTAGGTACTATTATTATTCCTAAAACGTGGCAAATAGACTTTGTGTTTGTTTGTCAATGCTGACTTGGATTCTAGGCTCAGACCATGATAAACACACATTTGGTGTTTATAAGGTTTTGGCCGGGTGCTGCGGCTTACACCTGTAATCCCAGCACTTTGGGAGGCCGAGGTGGGTGGATCACCTGAGGTCAGGAGTTCGAGACCAGCCTGGTCAACATGGTGAAACCCTATCTCTATTAAAAATACAGAAAATTAGCTAGGTATGGTGGTGGGTTCCTGTAATCTCAGCTACTTGGGAGGCTGAGGCAGGAGAATCGCTTGAACCCGGGATGTGGAGGTTGCAGTGAGCCGAGATTGCACCACTGCATTCCAGCCTGGGCGACAAGAGCGAAACTCTGTCTCATGGCGGCGTGGGGGGGAGGTTTTCATGAGGAAATTGAGGCACAGAGCAGTTAACTAACATTCTCAGGGTCACATAGTTAATAAGCTAAAGAGCCAGGATTTGAACCCAGGCCTCTGATTCTAAAACTGGAGTTTTTAACCATTTAGGGCATTCTGCCTCCAATGTAGGAGGACACACTTGCCAAGAAGCTGTATCTTGGGCCTAGAGAAATGGTATAGCCTTACGTTGGATAAATACCTTTTGGCAATCAGCCTGCCTAGGAGAAGTCTGGTGCATTCCTATATCAGTGAGGTTGCATTTAGCTTCAAATAGTAATAGAAAGCTGACTAGTAAGGCTGAACAATAAGAACATTTATTACTTATTCAATGTGAAGCCCCAAGGTTGGTTGAATGGCTCACTAATATTGTTAAGCACTCTCAGCCTCACAATCATCAGGATATTAGCTTTTCTTCTTCTCATGTGTTACCTCTTTGCCATGAGATGGCTGCTGCAGTTCCAATTGCACAAGAGAAAGGAAGGAGCAAGGAGCAGAGGAAAAAGGACTTTTAATGGCTTTTTATCCCTAGCCAACTTTCTTTTGGGTTTCATTGACTATAACTGATTGACATGCCTACTCCTAAACCTGTTGTTGGAAAAGGGGAATGGTAGGTAATATGATGATTGCCTTAGACAAATCACTATTTATCCCTGGGGTTCTGTTGCCAGGGGTTTCAACCATTACCAAATTAGGGTGCTGTTAGGAAAGAAAGGGGATGGCTATGGTCTTAGCTTGTGCTGCCATAACAAAGCCCCATAGACTGAGTGGCTTAAACGATAGACATTTATTTTCTCACAGTTCTAGAGGTTGAAAAGTTCAAGATCAAGGCCTGATGGGGTTCCATTTTTGGTTAAGGCTCTAGATCCCTAATTACATCTAAAAGGCTCCATGTGCAATTATCATCACATCTGGGATTAGGGCTTCAACATATGAATTGTAGTGGACACAAATATTCAGTCCATAACAGCTGCCAAGTAGGCAATAAAACAACATCTGCCATTTATTCGTGGGGTGATTCGGTAGTCTCAGCTTGGGTAGCAACCTGGGAATTATGTTGGTTGCAAGAGACACGAAAGATATGCTTACGATAATCTTAGTAATGGTGAAATCACATGTCACTAGTCACCCAGACCTGAGAGCCAGACGTTCCCCCCACATGCTCCCTCAGAGATCTCCAGAGCTTGAGATTCCTGATTAATGGGCTCTGTCCACAAAAGGTGTCCTTGATCATCTCAGACATTATGGGGCAGGCCGAGTATGGGTAGGGCGTTGCTTCTGTCATAACAAGACTTGGTTTATTTCAAATAATCTAAAATCTGTGAAGATATATTAGAGCCTATTGGCAGGTTCCTGAGTACCCCATGCATGCAACCTTTGTCTGCCTATGCCCAGTGTCTCCAGCATGAATGACTTCATGGCTACCCATGTTGCCCAATTTCTAAGCAAAGCCTTAGGATGGGTGTTTCAAGTCTTCTGCACAAAGGAAGTAAATATGACGAATTAAGTTTTACCAATAGTAATTTATGTACTTACTCCTTTGATATCCCAATAGGTCTTTCTTTCCAGCACCTTCACCCGAAACAGCTGGAGCTGAGCCATCCACTTTTCTGAGGGTATAAAAATTAGGGACCTTTGGTTGCAAGAAATGGAAACCAATTCTGGCTGATGTGATAAACAGGAGATTTTAGGGGAGACCATAGAGAGCCTAGACTCAGTGGGAATGCTGGGAGATCAGGCTTGGAATTGGGCAGGAACAAAGTCAGCTCTTCAGGGTGAGAAAGCAGGACCTGGAGGAACAGTCTGGACAGACACCATTGCCTAATGAACGAATGCCAATCATTGTCACTTCAATTCTCTGCAGAATATTCAAACTAGAGACATGATCAATTTCAGGTAGATTGTAGATTTAAATGTGAAAGGAAGATCAATAAAGCCTTTAGAGGAAGACTGAGCAGAGACCCTTTGGGCCAGAGAGAGCAGGGCAAGATGTCAAACACAAGCCAGGCCTGTGGACCGGAGGACTCCTGGCCCAGACCAGGAATGGGAAACAGAGGTAGAACCTAGAGGTTTGGAGGGTGGCACGTTCCTGTGGCTTAGGGTTTTGAGAAGCTCAAGCATAGCAGACATTACGCCCCCAGCAACCTGACTGATTCCAGACCCCTACTGTGGTGCCTCAGGTGTGCCTATTGCACCTCCCTTCTTGTTCAAGGTCAGTTCAGCCTGCCAAGAAAGGACCTCAGGGCCCACAGCTGAGCAGGGAACAGGCAAGGGTTTATGCATCTCTTCTCCCAGTGAAGGTGCCCAACTAACTGGGTGTAATGGATAAGGAACCAGCCCGGGGGCTTAGCAGTGTGGAAATCCAGTGCTCCCAGGGAAGCTACCTGAAAAGGTGCAATGCACAGCCACAAGACCAAGAGGCTGCAATTCAGGGCCACTGATGACTGCAACAGCTCCACAGGGTATAGAGCAGTGGAAACAGAGACTTTTGCTTTGTATATATTTTAATAAAAAACAACAACTACTGTTGTGCCAAGTCTGTTCTAATCACTGTACACGTGCCATCTTATTTAATCCTCGTAAGAACTCCATTATGGGAGTTACTATTACTATCTCCATTTTACAGATGAGGAAACTAACACACAGAAAGTTTAAGGCACTTGCCCAAGGTAACACAGCTATTTAAAGAGACAGAGCTGGGATTTAAATGTTGGCAATTTAAATGTTGGCATTACCTCTCATATAAGCCAGACAGATAAACACAGACCCTGAAGCAGACTCTTTGAGCAAGGGCTCACAATCAAAAAGGCAACAGAAGTGAAGGAGACAGATACAGGCACATTGTATGGGTGGAGAGCAGGAGGGCGCGTCAAAGAGTCAGGGTGTGAGCACATGATTATGTGGAGACACGATTTTGTACAGCCTTCATTTATCTTGAACTTTCCTTTTGGAGGTGTCATGTAGGAATTCTAACATCAGGCTGTTAATGAGAATCATAGACTCCTTCAGAATCCCACAGTGAACTTGCACAGAAAATCCTTCTTCTTTTTTTTTTTTTCTTTTTTGAGACAGAGTCTTGCTCTTGTTGCCCTGGCTGGAGTGCAATGCCATGATCTCAGCACACTGCAACCTCCGCCTCCTGGGTTCAAGCGATTCTCCTGCCTCAGCCTCCCAGGTAGCTGGGATTACAGGCACCTGCCACCGTGCTCAGCTAATTTTTGTATTTTTAGTAGAGATGGGGTTTCACCATGTTGGCCAGGCTGGTCTCAAACTCCTGACCTCAGGTGATCCACCCGTCTCAGCCTCCCAAAGTGCTGGGATTACAGGCGTGAGCCATCACGCCCGGCCCAGCAAATCATTCTTAAAAAAATTTGATTTTATTGTGGTAAGAACACAACATGAGATCTACTCTCTTTAACAAATTGTTAAGTGTACAATACAGTTAACTATAAGGAAAAGATTGTGTGGCAGGTTCTGTAGAACTTATTCACCTTGCTTAACTGAAACTTTCTGTTTGTTGATTAGCAACTCCTTACTTCCCTTCTCCCAGCCCCTGGCAACCACCATTCCACTCTTTGATTCTATGAATTTGACTATTTAAAAATACCACTGCAGTGGAATCATGCAGTATTTGTCCTTCTGTGACTGACTTAATTTCACTTAGCATAATATCCTCAAGTTTCATTCATGTTGTAACATATTGCAGGATTTCCTCCTTATTTTAAAGGCTAAATGATAATCCATTGTATGTTTGTTTGTTTGTTTGCTTGTTTTTTGAGACAGTCTTGCCCTGTCACCCAGGCTGGACTGCAGTGGCGCGCTCGCTGCTCATTGCAGCCTCCGCCCCCAGGTTCAAGCGATTCTCACGCCTCAGCCTCCCAAGCAGCTGAGGTTACGGGTGTGTGCCACCATGCCGGGCTAATTTTTTTATTTTTAGTAGAGACGGGTTTTCGCCATGTTGGTCAGGCTGGTCTCGAACTCCTGACCTCAAATGATCCACCCACCTCGGCCTCCCAAAATGCTGGGATTACAGGCGTGAGCCACCGTGCCCAGCCTGTATGTACCCTTTACTGTTCAAAACAAGGGTTAAAAGTGGTGGGATTGAGGCCAGGGGAGGCCTGGATGTGGTTACGTTTTAAAAACTAATCTTAGCCAGGCATGATGGTACATGTCTGTAGTCCCAGCTACTTGGGAGCTGAGGCAGGAGGATTGTTTGAGCCCAGGAATTCAAGACCTGCCAGGACAATATAGCCAGATCTTCTTCTAAAAACAAACAAATAAAACCAAAAATACCTAGTCTTTTAGAGAAACATACTCACATATTCATGGATGAAATGATGTCATGTCTGAAATTTACTTCGAAATAGTTTGGGAGGAGAAGAAGTGGGTGAGGGTTTGGTTGGGGCAGGATTGTCCCATGGATTGATGGATTGATGGTTTTGGAGGTTAGATAATGAATATGGGGTGGGGCACTTATCGTACCATTTGGTCTACTTTTGTGTAAGTTATACATTCTCCATAATTGGAAAGATTTTAAAAACTAAGATATGGCAGCACAGTTTGATTGCAAGTGACCATATCTACCCTAGCAACCATGAAAGAATTATTTTAAAAACTTAGTAGTTTGCTTAAAAGATAAGTTGAAAATTTTAAATGCTAACAAATCTTCATCCCAATTTTGCTCTTCCCACACAACATAAGTGACTTCCTGGCCACAGAACTTATGTGAAACCATGTACAACACAAAGCGAATTATCAGTTTACTTGGAGTCTCTGCCTGTAACTCAGCCCTGACTTGGCTGTGTTTCTTTAGAGCTGAAGCCTCAGTTGAGACTCCTTGCTGCAGAAACAGGGGCCAGACACCAGGGCCCATGCAAAAACTGGAGGGGGTCACCAAGACCCTTGAGGCCTCTGCTCCCAAGAACATGGGTCCCCTGTTACATCCAAAGGGAGAACCACCCACATGTCTGAAGGCATCTTCTAGATGGAGGATTCTAAACACACCGGAATGCCTCAGAATCTGTTCTCAGCTCCTTCTCTTCTCTTGCTACACTTTCTTCCTTGAGAATTCATCCTGGTTCACAGCTTCAAATTTATCTAAAAGCTAATGATTCCCAGGTTTATACTGCCAGCCTGGACTGTCCCTTGACTGCCACCAACTGGCATATCCAGCTGTCCTCACAACATTCTTACATAAATGACAGTGGGGGATCTGTGTTACCATGTGAAACAGGCTGGGGGGATGATTGCCAGAGCCACTCCCACTTTAGTCTGCCCATCCCAGGAAGTTATTCTTGATTCTTTTCTTCACCTATCACCTCCAATTGCTCAGCAAGTCCTGTTGATTCTACCTTCAAACTATACCCAAAATCTGACTACGTCTTACCACCTCTACCACCACCACTTCATCCAAACCACTGGTATCTCCCATCTAAGCTATTGCAGTAACCTTCTAACTGGTCTTGCTGCCTCCTCCTTCATCCCCTGTATCAGTGTAGATTAGATTTTAAATATATTCATCAGATCACAAGCCGCCTCTAAGAAAACTCAAATTCCTGCCAGGCACAGTGGCTCCTGCCTGTAATCTTAGCTATTTGGGAGGCTGAGGTAGGAGGATTGCTTGAGGCCAAGAGTTCAAGACCAGCCAAGGCAACATAATGAAACCCTGTCTCTAAAACCAGAAAACAAAAAAACAAAAATTATCCAGGTGTGGTGGTGTGTGCCTGTAGTCCCAGCTACTGAGGAAGCTGAGATGGGAGGATTGCTTGAGCCTGGAAGGTCGAGGCTGCAGTGAGCCTTGATCCTTGATCATGCCACTATACTCCAGCCTGGGTGACAGAGTGAGACTTTGTCTCCAGAAAAAAAAAAAAAAAAGAGAGAGACCTTGTCTCGACAGAAAAAGTATCTGGGTGTGGTGGCACACACCTGTAAGCCCAGCTACTTGGGAGGCCAGAGTGAGAGAATTACTTGAGCCCAGGATTTGGAGGCTGCAGTGAGTTATGATGGCACCACTGCACTCTAGCCTGGGTGTGATAGAGTAAGACTCTATTTCTAAAAAAAAGAAAAAAAAAAGAAAGGAAGAAAAATCAAAAACAAAACAAGGCCAGGAGCAGTGGCTCACATCTGTAATCCCAGCACTTTGGGAGGTTGAGGTTGGGGGATTGCTTGAGGCCAGGAATTCAAGACCAGCCTGGCCAACATGGTGAAACCCTGTCTCTATTAAAAATACAAAAATTAGCCAGGCGTGGTGACGCACATCTGTAATCCCAGCTGCCTGGGAGACTGAGGTAGGAGGATTGTTTAAACCTGGGAGGCAGAGGTTGCAGTGAGCCAAGATCACACCACGGCAGTCCAGCCTGGGTAACAGAGTGACACTCTGTCTCATAAAATAAAATAAAAACAAAACAAAACTCAAATTCCTTACGTGGCGGACAGGCCCCTACGTGAGCTGGCCCCTGGCCACCCGCTGCTTCCGACTCCTGTTGGCTCCTTCTCCTCCAGTCACTGGCATTCATGATGGTCTGTGACTTTTACTCCAGTCTCAGGATCCTTGTGTTTGTTCTTCCTATTGTAGTTTGTTCTTTCTTCATACTTCTTATGGTGTGTTCCGTCCCTTAATCAGGGGGATGGTGGGGTCCTTGGATTCAGGTGTCTACTTAGGGTTTTCTACGTAGGTTCTCAGAGACATTCTCCCGCTGCTGTACGTAAAAGAGGCCTTTTTCCATGGTTTACGTTATTTATTTATTTATCTTTTTGAGGTGGAGTTTTGCTCTTTTGTCCAGGCTGGAGTGGACAATCTGGGGTCACTGCAACCTCCGCCTTCCAGTTTCAAGTGATTCTCCTGCCTCAGTCTCCCGAGTAGCTGGGACTACAGGGGCCCGCCACTATGCCTGGCTGATGTTTTGTGTTTTTAGTAGAGACAGGGTTTCACCATGTTGGCCAGGATGGTCTCAACCTCCTGACCTCGTGATCCTCCCTCCTAGGCCTCCCAAAGTGCTGGGATTACAGGTGTGAGCCACCGCATCTGGCTACCTTACATTTTAAAATAACCCTTATCACTACTGAAAATGATGTCTTTATATGTCTATCTCCTTATTTTCTGTTTCCTTACTCTCCTCCCAGGAACATAAACTTCATGAGGGCAAGGACTTTGCCTCCTTCACTTTTGTGTCTCTGGTGCTTAGCTCCGTATTTGAATATTTGTTGGATGAATGGATAATGACTATTCCAGGACTCGCTTGATACAGAACTATCTTCTCTAGAGAATGGAAAGGTAAACGTATCATTTACCAGCCACTTATCTTAAGTAGAGTCCCAGAGTGTAGGCTTATGCCATGGAGCTCATGTGAATTTCCACTTGGGCCATCTGGGATTCTTTTCTCAAAAGAGCCTGATGCCTGGTGCAGGGGCCGGTCAGCTGGCCTGGAGGGATATAACCCACATTTACCTTTCTCCTCCTGGCAGTATTCTAGAATACCTCACTCACTGCAGCAAGGGAGCTTTCTCTCCTGGGTCGGTAGGGGATATGGTTTGAATGTAGCCCTGAGGAGCGTCTCAAATGATCTTTGGCCCAGTTGTCTTGTGTCAGTCTCCTGGGGAGAAGGATCATTTACTGAAGTGAAAAACGAATCAGTCAAGCTTGAGAGCTGTAGATAACAGCACAGGGAGCTGTGTTTTATGGCCTCAAAGAGTTTAACCCAGATTGGAAAAAGGTATTTCACTCCAGCAGCAACAGAGGGGAGCTGTACCTTGCCTCTGACTCCAGAGAAACGGGACATGTCACAGGGGTGACCAACAGGGCACCAGCCACAGCAGGGAGGGTGGAAACTTGGGCAGCAAGAGTCACAGTTAATGCCTGGTGAGGAGTGACCATTGGAGTGACGTGGAGCTGCACGGTAAGCACTGGGGACGTGCCAAAGAAGGAGGCTGGGTCAGTCAGGTTTTACTGCAATGATTCTACTTGAAAAACACACTGAATTTCAGCGACTTACAACATCAACACCACATTTATGTATCTCACCTATAGGTGTTCAGGTCAGCTGTGGTGGTTCTGCTTCAGGCTGTGGATCCAGATCACGTCTGCCCCACACGGCTCTCACGCTGGGACCAGCAGCTTCTCTTGGCAGCTAGCAGAGGTTTGAGAAGGCAGCCCAGACCATGCAAACTCATTGAAAACCTCTGCTCGGGTGACATCCTTTAATATTTCATTGGCAAGACCCAGCGCAGTGGCTCACACCTGTAATCCCAGCACTTTGGTGGGCCGAGGAGGGCGGATCACCTGAGGTCAGGAGTTCAAGACCAGCCTAGACAACATGGCGAAAACTCATCTGTACTAAAAAATACAAAAATTAGCTGGGCTTGGTGGTGGGCGCCTGTAATCTCAGCTACTTGGGATGCTGAGGCAGGAGAATTGCTTGAACCCAGGAGTCAGAGGTTGCAGTGAGCCGAGATCATTCCACTGTACTCTAGCCTGGGTGACAAAGTGAGACTTTGCCAAAAAAAAAAAAAAAAAAAAAATTCCATTGGCAAACAAATCACATAGTCAAGACTAGCATCAGTGGGTTATGAAAATGTGCTCTGTGGACTCCAGTGGGGGACCCTGCAAAGTCTGGGGCAAAGGCTGTGGATGCTGAATTCTGTTACAGGGAGGGAGTGAAAAATTGAGAGTAGTAATCCAGTCTCCCACGGGGCCCATCACGGCTGTTTGGAGGCACACATGAGTTACCATGGCGACATCTTGAATGAGAAGGGAGAAACTCAATGGTAAGGGCAAGAAGCAGAAGATTGTTCCTTTGTTCCTATTACTTTGATACATATTCCTTGATTTGCACCTTCCAGGCTAAAATTTTGAGCCTCCTTGATTTTTACCTTCAGGCTAAATTTGAGCCTTTGGAAGCTCAAATTACAGGACCATGAACATCTCTCCCTGGCAGGAAGCAACAAGGCTGAGAACTCGAGCAGAGAGCTTGTAACCTGTAGGGCCACACACCTCTGCAGTGAAATGCAGCACCCGGGCCTGACATGAGACTAGAAGGCACCTGTCTTTTTCAGGTTTGTTTAAAATTAAAGATGAGGCCTGGCATGGTGGTTCATGCCTGTAATCCCAGAACTTTGGGAGTACAAGGCAGGAGGATCACTTGAACCCAAGAGTTCAGACCAGCCTGGGCAACAGGTGAGACCCCGTCTCTATTTTTAAAAATTACAGATAAGATTAGATCTTCCTTGCTCTGCATTTTTGAGCTTGGTTCTGTGGTGACTTATTTTCATGTCTAAGAATTTGGGTAACACTTAGTTTATCCAATATTGTGGGGAATGAAGATTACACATAACTGATACTTCCTTTGAATGGAAATTTGTCCCTTCAAGTAGCACAGCACAGTGTTTTTATTTTAAGCACTTAAAAAAAAATCAAAATTAGGCTGGGTGCAGTGACTCACACCTGTAATCCCAGCACTTTGGGAGGCCAAGGTGGGTGGATCACTTGAGGTCAGGAGTTTGAGACCAGCCTGACCAACATGGTGAAAACCGGTCTCCACAAAAAATACAAAATTAGCCGAGTGGGTGGCGTATGCCTGTAATCCCAGGTACCTGGGAGGCTGAGGCAGGAGAATCGCTTGAACCCAGGAGGCGGAGGTTGCATTGACCCGAGATCGCGCCATTCCACTCCAGCCTGGGCAACAAGAGCGAAGCTCTGTCTCAAAAAAAAAAAAAATCAAAATTGTTCTAAAATATATAATTTATTACCCGTCTTAAAAATCAAAGAGTCAGGTGGGTGTGGTGGCTCACGCCTGTAATCCCAGCACTTTGGGAGTCCAAGGCGGGAGGATCACCTAAGGTCAGGAGTTCAGACTAGCCTGGCCAACATGGTGAAACCCGGTCACTACTAAAAATAGATAAATAGCTGGGCATGGTGGCAGGTGCCTGTAATCCCAGCTATTCAGGAGGCTGAGGCTGGAGAATCACTTGAACCTCGGAGGCAGAGGTTGCAGTGAGCTGAGATTGTGCCACTGCGCTCCAGCCTGGGTGACAGAGTGAGAGTCTGTCTAAAAAAAAAAAAAAAAAAAAAAAAAAAAATTCAGAGGGTCTTGGATGTAATTTAATCTTTTCTAAAAGACTCAGAATATTTGTCTATGTCTACTCTTATGCAACACAATAGTTTCTCCTTTCCTGTTTATGTGTGCTCTTTGCTATCACTCCTTTAGAAAGAGTCTTTAAGGAAGAGATTAGAAAAGGGAATTATCTTGTTATTACCAGATCAGGAAGATTACCCTGGACTCAGGGAAATCTAATCAGATTTAGAAAGATACAATCTCAACAGATCAAAGGGATTCCCCAGAAGGAGCCAGGTCCAGGAAACTATTGAGAACGGTGCTCTTTAATCTTTAGATGGAGAATCCATAATGAACAACTGGGGAATCACATATGAACATTGGGATAGATTTAGAAGGTCAGGATGGAGTATTTTTTTTTTCTTTTTTTTAGAGAGACAGGATCTGTCTCTGTTGCCCAGGGTGGAGTGCAGTGGGACAATCATAGCTCACTGCAGCCTCAAACTCCTGGGCTCAAGTGACCGTCCTGCCTCAGCCTCCCCAGTAGCTAAGACAATAGGCATGTGCCCCCACACCTAGCTAATTTTTGTATTTTTTTTTTTAGAAACAGGGTCTCACTGTGTTGCTCAGGCTGGTCTCGAACTCCTGGGCTCAAGCAATCCTCCTGCCTTGGCCTCCCAAAATGCTGGGATTACAGGCGTAAGCCACCACCCACAACCAGGATGGAGTATTATTAAGCCTTTAAAAGGAAGGAAATTCTGACACATGCTACTACATAGATGAGCTTTGAAGACATTATGCTAAATACAGTAAGCCAGACACAAAAGGACAGATACTGTATGATTCCACCTATATGTGGTACCTAGAGTAGTCAAAGTCATAGAGACAGAGAATAGGCCGGGTGCAGTGGCTCACGACAGTAATCCCAGCACTTTGGGAGGCTGAGGCGAGCAGACCCCTTGAGGTCAGGAGTTTGAGACGAGCCCAGCCAACATGGTGAAACCCTGCCTCTATTAAAAATACAAAAACTAGGCAGGTGTGGTGGTGGGTACCTATAATCCCAGCTACTTGGGAGGGTGAGGTGGGAGAATCGCTTGAACCCAGGAGGCAGAGGTTACAGTGAGCCGAGATCATGCCACTGCACTCCAGCCTGGGCAACAGAGCAAAAACTCCATCTCAAAAAAAAAAAAAAAAGACAGAGTAGCATGGTGGTTGACAGAGGCCGCAGCAGAGGGAAGGGGAGATGAAGAGTTGTTGTTTAATGTGCACAGAGTTTGTTTGGGATGATTGAAAAGTTTTGAAGATGGATGGTGGTGATGGTTGCACAACAACATGAATGGGCCGGGCATGATGGCTCATACCTCTAATCCCAGCACCTTGGGAGACCAAGAGGGAAGATTCCTTGAGCCCAGGAGTTTGAGACCAGCCTGGACAACATGGTGAGACCCTGTTTCTACAAAGAAATACAAAACTTAGTCCAGCCTGCTGGTGTGACTGTAGCCCAAGCTACTCAGGAGGGCTTTGGTGGGAGGATTGCTTGGGTCCAGGAGGTCCAGGCTGCAATGAGCTATGATTGTGGCACTGCACTCCAGCCTGGAGGACAGAGCAAGACCCTGTCTCAAAATCAAAAAGCACAAACCAAAAACAATATGAATGTACTTAATGCCACGGAAGTGTACACTTAAAAATGGTTAAAATATTAATTTTTATGTGCATTTTACCATAATAAAAAAATCAGAAAAATAAACCTCCACATAACCAGAACATTACTGGGGGAATATTATTGGCTATAGGTGGAAAACGGTCTGGCCCTGAGGGAACATGCCTGAAATATACACAGAATTTAGAGGAGGCCTAGGGAAGATGAAACATTAAAGGTGAGCCAGAGAGAACGATAATAAATCATGTTAGGCTTTGTTAAATATTTTGAATAGAGAATACCTACCCCTAGAATGTAATTACTTGATGCAGGAACATATTAGAATTTATTTGTTTGTAGTTTGTTTGAAAATGAACACTTTCGGAAAACCAGAACTCACTGATTTTATGTCTCTCTCTCTGGGACCCCCCAAAATAAATTGCAGAGGATTATTTTAGAAAGGTAAACATCTGGGCCAGAAAGCAAAAGGTAGGTGGAGGTGAAAGCACTCAGAACTGGTGAACCAGTTAGAGAAGAGAGTGAACCAACATAAGTAGCTGGCAAAACTGCCTAAAATCTTCCCGGAGGGACATGGGAGCCACAGGAGGATTTGGAGCCCCAAAGGCACATCATTCCACTATGCAGAAAAAGACATGGCAGAAGAAAGTAATTCAAGACCTGAAATTCAAATATGGGGACTGAAAAATGTGAAAAAGGGAAGAAAGCCTAGGATTTGTGGAAGAACAGATGGCAGAGATGCAGGCCTTCCGTGGGGCTCTAGGATCACGAGAGATGCTTCAGTTCACAGTCGGCCGGGAGTGATTCCAGCTGAAACAAATGTGGGGGAAACAGGCAGATTTCAAAGGCCCAGGGTGGTTTCCAGTGAACATTGGTGGTGAGAATGGCTTTCCTGGGGCATTCTGTGAAATCTCAGCCTTGCATAGGCCTGAACAATTCTACTGCAAGAGGAGCTCAGGGCTAAAAGGGTCTGCTTAGGAGAGCATGTGGAGGCTATGTCACTAGACAGAGAACTGAGTGACCAGGAACACAAGGGGGAAATTGAAATTAAGAAGTTTGGCCAGGCGTGGTGGCTCACAACTGTAATCCCAGCACTTTGGGAGGCCAAGGCGGGCAGATCACCTGAGGTCAGGAGTTCGAGACCAGGCTGACTAACATGGTGAAACCCTGTCTCTATTAAAAATACAAAAATTAGCTTGGCATGGTGGTGGGCACCTGTAATCCCAGCTACCCGGGAGGCTGAGGCAGGAGAGTCACTTCAACTTGGGGGGCAGAGATTGCAGCGAGCTGAGATTGCACCACTGCTCTCCAGCCTGGGAAACAGAGGGAGACTCTGTCTCAAAAAGGAAAAAAATAAAAAGTTTGAAATCAACTGGATGGCGAAGAAGGGAACACCAAATAAACATAGTGACCTTTTTTTTTTTTTTTTTGAGACAGTGTCTCACACTGTCACCCGGGCTGAAGTGCACTGGTGCAATTTCAGCTCACTGCAACCTCCACTTCCCAGGTTCAAGCGATTCTCTTGTCTCAGCTTCCCAAGTAACCGGGACTACAGGCACATATCGCCATGCCCAGCTAACTTTTTGTATTTTTAATAGTGACAGGGTTTCACCATGTTGGCCAGGTTGGTCTTGAACTCCTGACCTCAAGCGATCTGCCCACCTCGGCCTCCCAAAGTGCTGAGATTACAGGTGTGAACCAACTGTGCCTGACCTAAATAAACATAGTGACTTTGCAAGAAGGCAGGAATGTCTCAAATGCCACCCTCCAAAGGAGAAGCCATTTTTCTTCTAGATATATTACATGTCTGGTTCTCCAATTCACCTGTTGGTGGGAGTTCTTCCCAATGTGGTTTTTCAGGTTATGATCTCCAGATAGCTGACAAGGAATAACCAGCTTTCTTGTAGGGCTGGGAATAAAAGGATTTCTCTACCTAGTCTCCTTCTTTCAGATGCCACGGTCTGGATCTTTGGTAATCATACGTTTCTAGATTAAGTTTTATATATGTAGAAACATCATGGTGTGTGTGTGGGGGTAGGATTTGGGATTGCTTGAGTTTCCAAATACGGTAGGTATGGGACTGGTGCTATGACAATCTTGTGAATCCTATTTATTTTGGAGTCTTTTTTTAAAATTTAATTTAATTTTTATTTATTTATTTATTTATTTATTTATTTATTTATTTATTTGAGACAGAGTCTCGCTCTGTTGCCCAGGCTGGAGTGCAGTGGCGAGATCTTGGCTCACTGCAAGCTCTGCCTCCCGGGTTCATTCCATTCTCCTGTCTCAGCCTCCCGAGTAGCTGGGACTACAGGTGCCCACAACCACGCCCAGCTAATTTTTTGTATTTTTAGTATAGACGGCATTTCACCATGTTGGCCAGGATGGTCTCATCTCCTGACCTCGTGATCTGCCTGCCTCGGCCTCCCAAAGTGCTAGGATTACAGGCATGAGCCGCCGTGCCTGGCCCTTTGGAGTCTTTAAAAGAGAGGAACGTAGAGTCTTGTTAAACAAATTCAGTGTCTGAGGTCTTAAAATAACTACAGTCATTCCAGTGGACATCAGCGAGAAAGCATTTTGCTGAAATACGTTGACTCTATCAGATGCAAGTTGGAGAACCCTCAGGCGGAAGCTGAGCATAGTAAGAAATTGGAGAGGAAGAGTTTTGGATTTTATCTAAATATTTTTGACACTTAATCCTTTAAATTTTAATTTATAAAGGTAAGGGAATTCAATTTTTGGACTTAATAATTTTTCTCTGGGATAGTCATATAGGAAGGGGAGTATACTCAGATCTTTATGTTGTAGATATTAGCATTTTTTATTGTGGTAAAATATGTTACATATGTAATATAAAATGTATCATTTTAAGCATACAAGTTTAGCAGCATTAAGTACATTCATGTTGCTGTGTGTATTAGTGAGTATTCTCTAGAGAAACAGAGCCAATAGGACATGTATCATTGTGATGCTTAATTTGAGGTGTCAACTTGACTGGATTAAGGAATACTAAGAACTGGGTGCGGTGGCTCAATCCTGTAATCCCAGCGCTTTGGGAGGCTGAGGTGTTTGGATCACTTGAGGCCAGGAGTTCGAGACCAGCCTGGCCAACATGGGGAAACCTGTTTCTATTAAAAACACAAAAATTAGCCAGGCATGGTGGTGTGTGCCTGTAATCCCAGCTACTTGGAAGGTTGAGGCATGAGAATTGCTTGAACCCAAGAGGCAGAGGTTTCAGTGAGCCAAGATCGCTCCATTGCACTCCAGCCTGGGTGACAGAGCAACACTCTATCTCAAAAAAAAAAAAAAAGCCTGGTAAAGTATTATATTTTGGGGTGTGTCTGTGATGGTGTTTCAAGAGGAGATTAGCAATGTGAGTCTGAGTGGACAAGGTGGGGAAGATCTGCCTTCAGTGTGAGCAGGCACCATCCAACCTGCTGGGGGCCCAGAGAGAACAAAAACAGAGAGAAAGACAAGTATGTTGAACTATCTCCTGGAGCTGGGACATACCCTTCCTCTCCTGCCTTTGGACAACAACTGTTTTCAGGCCTTTGGCCTCTGCCAGTTACACCACTAGCTTCTCTGGTTCTGGGCCACTCTACCAGCATCCCAGGGTCCCCAGCTTGCAGATGGCCTGTTGTGGTGCTTCCCAGCCTCCATAATCATGTAAGCCAACCCCCCCTAATAAGTTCCCTCTCATGTATATATTTATCTCCTATTGGTCTGTCTCCCTGTAGAACTCTGACTAACACAATCATAGATAAAGAGTTAGATAGATAGATAGATAGATAGATAGGTAGGTAGCTAGGTAGATAGAGCCAAGAAGTCCCACGATCTGCTATCTGCAAGCTGGAGAACGAGAAAAGTGAGTGGTGTAATTCAGTCCAAGTCCAAAGGTCTGAGAATGCATGGGAGTCCAAATGCCTGAGAACCAGGTGCAGTGATGTTGGCAGAAGATGAATGTCTCAGCTTAAGCAGAAAAAGTGAACTCACTTTTCCTCTTGCTTTTTGTTTTTTTCAGGCCCTCAACAAATTGGATGATGCCCACCCACACTTGGGAGAGCCAATTGCATTCCCAACTCACCAGTTGGGAATCTCTTCCAGAAACACCCTCACAGACCCAGACATAAATAATGTCACCCAGTTATCTGGGCATCCTTTAGCGCAGAGTCAAGTTGACACGTAAAATTAACCATCACACCGTGCAACCATCACCACCATCTCCAGAACTTTTTTCCTCTTTCCAAATTGAAATTCCATGACCATTAAATGATAACTTCTCCTTCCTCCTCTCCCCAGCCTGCCCTTGGCAGTGAACACTCTACTTACTGTCTCCATGAATTTGACTATCCTAGGTACCTCATGTAAGTGGAATCATACAGTATTTGTCCTTTGGCATCTGGCTTATTAGTACTTAGTATAATGTCTTCAAAGCTCATCCATGTAGTAGAATTTGTCAGAATTTCCATCTCTTTTAAGGCTGAATAATATTCCATTGTATGCATAAACTTCATTTTGTTTATTCATTCATCTATCAATAAACATTAGCATTGTTTCCACCTTTTGGCTATTGCAAATAATGTTGCTATAAACATGTGCATACAAGGCCAGACATGGTGACTGAAGCCTGTAATCCCAGTGCTTTGGGAGGCCAAAGTGGGTGGATCACTTGAGCTCAGGAGTTAGAGACCAGCCTGGGCAACATGGCATAAACACGTCTCTACAAAAACTACAAAAAATTAGCTGAATGTGGTGGCGTGCACCTGTAGTCCCAGCTACTCATGAGGCTGAGGTGGGAGGATCACGTGAGTTCAGAGAGTTGAGACTGGAGTGAGCCAAGATCATGCCACTGCACTCTAGTTTGCGCGACGGGAGTGAAACTCTGTCTAAAAAGAAAAATCTGAATCAATGCTTTTAATTCTTTTGAGTATATACATGGAAGTGAAATTGGTAGAGCATGTGGTAATTCCATTTTTAATTTTTTTTTTTTTGAGACAGAGTCTCACTCTGTCATCAGGCTGGAGTGCAGTGGCGCAATCTCGGCTCACTGCAACCTCCACTTCCTGAGTTCAAGTGATTCTCCTGCCTCAGCCTCCTGAGTAGCTGGGACTACAGGTGCAAGCCGCCACGTCTAGCTATTTTTTTTTTTTTTTTTTTGTATTTTAGTAGAGACAGGATTTCACCACGTTGCCCAGGCTGGTCTCGAACTGCTGAGCTCAGGCAATCCACCTGCCTCGGCCTCCCAAAGTGCTAGGATTACAGGTGCGAGCCACCGCACCTGGCCAGTAATTCCATTTTTAATTTTTTGAGGAGCCCAGACTCTTTTCCATTTTAGCTGCACCATTTTACATTCCTACCAGAAGTTGGAAATGCACAAGGTTTCCAACTTCTCCACATACTTGTCAATATATATTCTGATTGTTGTTTGTTTTTTAAGTAGCCATCCTAATGGGTGTGAGGTGCTATCTCATCAAGATTTTGATTTGCAGTTCCCTGAAGATTAGTGAGTGATGTTAAGCATTTTTTTCATGTCCTTATTGGCTTCTGTATATCTTCTTCTTTTTTTTGTTGGAGACCGAGTCTCGCTCTATCTCCCAGGCTGGAGTTCAGTGGCAGGATTACTGCAGCCTCTGCCTCCTGGGTTCAAACAATTATCATGCCTCAGCCTTCTGAGTAGCTGGGATTATAGGTGTGTGTCACCACACCCAGCTAATTTTTGTATTGTTAGTAGAGATGAGGTTTTGCTAGGTTGGCCAGGCTGGTCTTGAACTCCTGGCCTCAAGTGATCCACCTGCTCGGCCTCCCAAATTGCTGGGATTACAGTTGTGAGACACCTTGCCCAACCCTGTATATCCACTTCAGAAAAAGGTCTATTGAAGTCCTTTGTCTTTTTTTTTTTTTTTTTTTTTTTGAGACAGGGTCTTTCTCTGTTACCCAAGCTGGAGTGCAGTGGCACAAATATGGTTCACTGCAGCCCTGATCTCCTGGTCTCCTGGGCTCAAGAAATCCTCCTACCTCAACCTCCCACGTAGCTGGGCCTATAGGCGCCTGTTACCACACCTGGCTAATATTTTATTTTTTTGTAGAAACGGGGTCTCACCACATTGCCCAGGATGATCTCAAACTCCTGGGCTCAAGTGATCCTCTTGCCTTGGCCTCCCAAAGTGCTGGGATTACAGGTGTGAGCCACCGCACCTGGCCTCCTGTGTTACATTTATTTATTTATTTTTTGCATGATCTCGGCTCACTGCAAGCTCCACGTCCTAGGTTCACACCATTTTCCTGCCTCAGGCTCCCAAGTAGCTGGGACTACAAGTGCCCGCCACCACGCCTGGCTAATTTTTTGTATTTTTAGTAGAGGCGGGGTTTCACTGTGTTAACCAGGATGGTCTCGATCTCCTGACCTTGTGATCCTCCTGCCTCAGCCTCCCAGAGTGCTGGGATTTGGTCCATTTTTTAATCAGGTGTTTGTTCTTTTGCTATTGAGTTGTAGGAGTTCCTTACATATTGTAGGTATTAATCTCTTATCAGATAGATGATTTATAAGTATTTTCTCCCATCCCATATATTACCTTTTCACTTTGTTAATTGAGACCCTTGATGTACAGAAGTTTTTAAGTTTGATATACTCCCTTTTGTTGATTTTTCCTTTCATTACCTGTGCTTTTTTTTTTTTTTTTTTTTTTTTTTTTGAGAAAGAGTTTTGCTCTTGTTGCCCAGGCTAGAGTGCAATGGTGTGATCTCAGCTCACCGCAACCTCCACCTCCCAGGTTTAAGCGATCCTCCCACCTCAGTCTCCTGAGTAGTTAGGACTACAGGCACGTGCCTCCATGCCCAGCTAATTTTTGTATTTTTAGTAGAGATGGGGTTTCACCATGTTGGCCAGGCTGGTCTCAAACTCCTGACTTTAGGTGATCTACCCGTCTCAGCCCCGCAAAGTGCTGGGATTATAGGCATGAGCCACCCCGCCCGGCCCCTGTGCTTCTGATGTCATATCCAAGAAATCATTGCCAAATTCAATGTCATGAAGCTTTCCCCCTGTGTTTTCTACTAAGAGCTGTATAGTTTTATCTGTTACACTTAGAGCTTTGGTCCATTTTGAGTTAATTTTTGTGTATGGTGTTAGGGAAGGCTCCAACTTCAATCTTTTGCATATGGATATCCAGTTTTCCAGCACCATTTGTTGAGAAGACTGTCCCTTTCCCATTGAATGGTCTTCCCATCCTTGTTGTAAACCATTTGATTATATTAATGTATGTAAGGGCTTACAGTTTATTTTAATTCTTTTTTTTTTTTTTTTTTTGAGACAGGGTCTCACTCTGTCACCCAGGCTGGAGTAAAGTGGTATGATCTCAGCTCATTGCAACCTCTGTTTCCCAGGTTCAAGTGATTCTCCCATCTCAGCCTCCCGAATAGCTGAGACTACCAGCACACGCCATCATACCCAGCTAATTTTTGTATTTTTAGTAGAGACGAGGTTTCATCATGTTGGCCAGGCTGGTCTTGAACTCCTGACCTCAAGTGATCCGGCCACCTTGGCCTCCCAAAGTGCTGGGATTACAGGTGTGAGCCACCGCACCCGGCCAGGGCTTACAGTTTATATCTGTGCTCTCTATTCTATTCTGTTGGTCTATATGTCTCTCTTTGTGCCAGTACCACACTGTCTTGATTACTGTAGCAGCGATTACTATCATTTAAAATCAGAAAGTTTGATACCTCCAACTTCATTCTTCTATTTTAAGGTTGTTTTGGCCATTCGGGGTTTTCTGAGAGTCCATAGGGATTTTAGGATGGATTTTTCTTTTCCTGAAAAATAAACAAACAAGGAAACAAACAGTATTGGGCTTTTGATAAGGATTGCATTGAGTCTGTAGATCATTTTGGGTATATTGACATTTTAACAATATTAAGTCTTCCAATCCATGAGATGTCTTCCTACTTATTTATGTCTAAATCTAAATCTTTCAGCAACATTTTGTAGGTTTTTTTTGTTTGTTTTTGTTTTTTTTTTTTTGGGACAGATTTTTGCTCTTATTGCCCAGGCTGGAGTGCAATGGCACGATCTCAGCTTACCGCAACCTCCTCCTCCCGTGTTCAAGCGATTCTCCTGCCTCAGCCTCCTGAGTAGCTGGGATTACAGGCATGTGCCACCATACCTGGCTAATTTTGTATTTTTTAGTAGAGATGGGGTTTCTCTATGTTGGTCAGGCTGGTCTGGAACTCCTGACCTTAGGTGATCCACCCGCCTCAGTCTCCCATAGTACTGGGATTACAGGAGTGAGCCACTGCACGGGCCTTGTTTCGTTTTTTTGAGACAAGGTCTGGCTGGAGTGCAGTGACACCATCTTTGCTCACTGGTGGCTTACAGGCATGAGCCACCATGCCCAGCTGTAGTTTTCAATATACAAGTGCTTCATCTCTTTGGTTAAGTTTTTTCCTAAGTATTTTATTCTTTGTGATGCTATTGTAAGTGAAATTATTTTAATTTTTTTTGGATTGTTTATTGTTAATGTACAGGAATGCAACTGATTTTTGTATGTCGATTTTGTATCCTGCAATGTTGCTGATTTTATTAGTTCTGTTTTTTTGTAGAGTGTTTATCATTTTCTAAGTGTAAGATTATATCATCTGTGAACAGATGCCTTCATCCTTTCCAATTTGGATGGCTTTTATTTCTTTTTCCTGCCTAATTGGTCCGGTAGAACTTCCAGTACTCTACTGAACAGAAGTGGTGAAAACATGCATCCTTGTCTTGTTCCTGATCTTAGAAGAAAAGTTTTCAGTCTTTCACTATTTAATATGATGCCAGGTGTGAGTTTTTCATATATGGGCTATATTGTGTTAGGTATTGCATTTTTGAAAGGAGTAGCTTTTTGCGGTCATTTTATTTAATTGTATAACCTTTAGTGAGTTACATTGGACAATATGACCGGGCATGTTTTTGATGGGAAACAGAATATGGAGCACATTTTTGGCTTAGGTAATATCATGGTCTGGAAGTTAATGGGCTGCTCTAACCCATATTAGAGTCTGCTGAGGCCAAAATATAAACTGTCCGCGAGACAGATCTACAAAAGAGCAGTGGCTGGTATTGAGGGAATAGATTCATGAATGTAGAAGCCAGGAACGTTCTGGTACATGCCTGATCTCTTCTCCCAGGAGGAAGGGGGAGTTAGCTGTGCTCTGGCAGATTTTTGAGCTGAAAGGGTTGCACGACTGAAAATCTGGAAAATGTTTAGGGGAATCTCCATTTCCCTGGCCTCAGTTATATTCTAGAGTAACACTCCTGTTCTCTCTCCCACTCCTTATCCACTCACTCATCTCTATGAGAAGAGGACTAATTTGCTTGATTGGTGACTTAAGTACAAGGGCCTGGGCACCTTTGCTCAGTTCTTTCCCTGCCGTCTTCCACGATGTTTGCTTGGAGATCATTCTGGCCTTTGCCCTGCTCTGTGGCAAGCTCTGAAGCCTGTTTCACACACATGTTGGATGTCCAGGGATGCCTGTGGCCCAACAGGTAAGTCTGTATTTGTTCAGGGGTAAAATATTGGCAAGTCCTTCTAGATGCACCCTTAAACTATGTTTTCCCATCAGCTTGTTAACAACACTGTCAGCTTTTGATTTATATCTGTCTGCCTCCATTTTCTTATTCCTCCATTGATTCCAGACTTAGGAAAGGCAGAAAAAAGTATTATTTTGGCTTTCTAAGCACTATGGAGTAGTATGCAGCAGTTAAAGAGAAATAAGTAGGCCAGGCGCTGTGGCTCATTCCTATAATCCCAGCATTTTGGTAGGCCGAGGTGGGTGGATCACTTGAGGTTAGGAGTTCAAGACCAGCCTGGCCAACATGGTGAAACCTCATCTCTACTAAAAACACAAAAAATTTAGCAGAGCATGGTGGCATGTGCCTGTGATCCCAGCTACTCGGGAGGCTAAGGCAGGAGAATTGCTTGAACCCGGGAGGCAGATGTTTCATTGAGCCAAGATCATGCCATTGCACTCCAGCCTTGGCAGCAGAGTGAGACTCCATCTGAAAAAGAAAAAAAAGAACTAAATGGCTTCAGAGAAATGTACATGGAAAGGTTTATTGATAAAACATATCTTATTGTTAATTTAAAAAGTCAAGCTGTAAGCTGGGCATGGTGACTCCTGCCTGTAATTGCAGCAGTTTAGGAGGCTGAGGCAGGAGGATTGCTTGAGCCCAGAAGGTCAAGGCTGCAGTGAGCCATGATCATGCCTCAGCACTTTAGCCTGAATGACAGAGCATGATCCTGTTTAAAATATATATATATATTTATATATATTTATATATAAAGAAAAAAATCAAGCTGTAAAAGAAAAAGAAGACAGATATAATATCATCCTATTTATGCTAATAAAAAGCTCCACAAACAATAAAACTCAATATTTCTCTAGTACATTTATGTATGTGAAAACATATAGAAAGTTCAGGAATAACAATGGCTTCTGTATGTTGGATTTGAATTTTTAAAACAGTAGAATATGTCTCTGTAATTTACAGTTAAAAATGAAAAAATCATGTGTGTGAGTAGAGTGTCTGACTAATGGATAGCCCCTTTTGAAGGTTCTGAGGTCTTTTTCTATTATTTTCAGGTTATGAGTTGTGAGATTTTCCCTGATTGGGATTGTAGGAGAGGAGGGATGGATATGCCAGCCACGTGGAACCCAGGGCTGCAGGGTGAATGAAAGCTCCTGCCCTGGGAGCAGATTCTGGGATCCATAATGAGGGCTGAGTGTTGGGCTAGAAAAGCAGACCCCGCATAGGATTGGGGAAGCTGGGCAGGCAGGATTGGGATTGAAGTTTGGGTGCCAGGCTGAATTTGGGAGTTGATTTTTTTTTTTTTTTTTTTTTTTGTATTTTAGTAGAGACGGGGTTTCACCATTTTGCCGAGGCTGGTCCTGAACTCCTGAGCTCAGGCAATCCGCCTGCCTCGGCTTCCCAAAGTGCTATGATTACAGGCGTGAGCCACCGGGCCTGGCCGGGGCTTGATTTTTATTCACTGCTTTCTGTGACATGCACCGGTGGGTTGACTGGGTTTAATGTATAGAATTGGGCCAGAAAGAACTGTGCTTTTAAGCACAGCTGCTCAATGTCTGCATTTGTGAAGTATCAAAGTACCCAACTAATGTTTGACATGCATAGACTAAATCTGGGGATGCCACCAGAGCGAGGACACTATTACCTGTCACACAGTCCTGCTGCAGCTTCTTTACCTCACACGGTCCTGCTGCAGCTTCGAGGAGGACTCTGCACCTGCAGATCCTTAAAAAAGCTCTGTCTGGGTGTCCAATGGAAGAGCGGTGAAATGCAAGAATATAACAACTCTCAATTTTCTATCGTCCTTTACCTCCACCACGAGAGGGCGCATGGATTTCGGTCAGAGAAGTGACTTGGGCCTGGGCAGGAGGCCAGGCTGGGATAATTACTTCCAGGTGTGGGGGGCTCTGTGCCTCTTCCCAGAGGCCATAGAAATGAACCCTTCAATTGGCCAAATAGATTATGTCATTTTGACTATTGATTCTCCCCTACGGCTGCTGGTTCTAACCCAAGTTTATAACAGTCACTGCGTTAACAATTGCGTTTAACTCTTGATTGTCCTAGCTTTCATTTGATAATTCTTTGAGCTGGCTGCTGCTTCTTTCTTATGTGTTTACTTTCAGGCCACATCATCAGCCTTCTGCAAATATGGCAAAAACTGAGTGGGAGAGGAGGGTATCATTTGTCCTCAGTTTTGTCACTAAAGACTACATCACAAAAAAGGCCCATCCCTTTGTAAACAGAAAGAAAAGAGAAAAATGGCACAGAAATTCCTAGAAGCAGCATTCCATCTTTTGTTTGTTGGTTTCATTTGTTTCGTTTTGAGGTTGTGAGCAGATGGCCCAGCTGCATCAATAACAGAGTCAGAGCTTACTAGAAAAGAGCGGAGATTTAAGAGAGTGGGTGATGCTAATAGCTCACCCCATCTCCCTTTGCACTATTTCTCCAAGTAAAGACTGCCTCCTGCCTGCATCTGAGCTGCTTGTAAAAATGCAGCTTTCTGGCCTGCATCCCAACCTAAGGAATCAGAATCTGGAATCCTGAATCTGCATTTTTAATAAGTTCCCTAGTTGATTTCTTTATTCTTTTTTTTTTTCTTTTTTGAGGCAGGGTCTCACTCTGTTGCCCAGGCTGGAGTACAGTGGCATGATCCCAGCTCAGCTAAACTCTGCCTCCTGGGCTCAAGTGATCCTCCCACCTCAGCCTCCCAGTAGCTGGAATTACAGGTGTGCGCCACCATGCCCGGCTAATTTTTGTATTTTTAGTAGAGACGGGGTTTCACCTTGTTGCCCAGGCTGGTCTCAAACTCCTGGCCTCCAGTGAACCACCTGCCTTGGCCTCCCAAAGTGCTGGGATTACAGACATGAGCCACCACACGTGGTCCCCTAGTTGATTTCTTATGGCTATACATTACATTTGAGATTAGAGGTAAGCCTCCTGGGGCGAGGCAAGAGGGGAGATGTGACACCCAGGGATAATATTTCTGCACCAGGATTCAGGCAGGACCTTACCCCGAGACAAAGGTCACATAGCCCAGGAAGCTGCCCTGTGGAAAACAAAGCAGCCAGTAGCTGGGCCTGAGGATGGACAGGAGAGGCTGTGAAGCTACAGAAGCCGGATTCAGCCCCACTGGGAGCTACAGAAGCTGGACTCAGCCCCACTGGGAGCTACAGAAGCTGGACTCAGCCCCACTGGGAGCTACAGAAGCTGGACTCAGCCCCACTGGGAGCTACAGAAGCTGGACTCAGCACTGCTGGGAGCCATCTAGATGGAGAAATGGAAACTCTGGAAGAGAATCTGAGGATTCCCTGCTCTTTGCCACTTAGAAACACCCAGAAACCCCAAGTGCAATGCCCAACAGTGTTGATTCTATCTGCAGAGCACCTCTGAAAAATTACTTTCCATAGTGCGGGAAAACTCCTTAGTCGCACTTCCTAGAGTTTCACCAAATACAGCTTGATTCGTGTGGGATTTTTGTTTTGTTTTTAGATCTTCTTTTTAAGTGCAAATCCCCTTGGGAAAATGGAGCTCTTGTTCAGACCTTGGAGAAGATTTGCTTATTACCTCTCATTACATAGTTATGATCTTTTACCCTAAGAAGCAAATGAAACATTTTTGTTGAATTCAGAAAAAGAGGTAATTTTAGAGCCCAGGGAAGCTTAAGGGGTAGAAGAATGGGGATAGAATATTAATTCCACGCCAGATGTGGTGGCTCATGCCTGTAATCCCAGCACTTTGGGAGGCCGAGACAGGAGGAACACTTCAGCCTGTTAACAGTGGCGTAATGGTGGGGGTCTGCAGCAACCTCAATTCTTGCCTCCCCAGAAGACAAAATTTGACCAAGGGGCATAAGGCAGAAGGAGAGACTGAGGCAAGTGTTAGAGCAGGAGTGAAAGTTTATTAAAAAGCTTTAGAGCAGGAATGAAAGGAAGGAAAGTACACTTGGAAGAGGGTCAAGCAGGGGACTTCAGGGATCAAATACGTGGTTTGACCTTTTGACTTGGGGTTTTATATGTTGGCATACTTCTGGGGTCTTGCGTTACTTCTCCCCTGATTCTTCCTTTGGGGTGGGCTGTCCGCATGTGCAGCGGCCTGCCAGCACTTGGTAGGGGCTGCATGCACAGTGTGTTTACTGGAATTGTACACGTGCTCACTTTGTGTCTCTATCTGTATCTCTCTTCATGTCTCTCTCTGTCTCTGCATCCATCTATCTATCTATCTATCTATCTATCTATCTATCTATCTATCTATCTATCTATCTATCTATCTACACATATGTATCTCCAGCCTGGGGAATATAGTAAAATCCTATCTCAAAAAAAAACAATGAACATGATGAGAGAGAGACAGAGTTGCAGAGACAGAGAGAGACATGAAGAGAGATACAGAGAGAAACAGAGACGCAAAGGGAGAGGGACAGAGACAGAGGCAGAGACCTTATTGGCTCACGCCAATGTCAGGGCTGGCGAGTCTGAAATCTGCAGGGCAGGATGACAGGCTGGAAACCCAGGGAAGAGTTGATGTAGCCATAGTCCAAAGACAGTCTGGGGGCTGAATTTCTTCCGCAGGATACCTCAGTCTTTTTCTCTTAATGCTTTTAACTGACTGGATGAGGCTCACCCACATTATGGGGAGTAATCTGTTTTACTCAAAGTCTACAGATTTAAATGTTAAGGAAGGCATCCAAATGCCTTCACAACATTGATTTGGGGAGGCAAAGGTAATAAATATGAAATAAAGCAAAAGAAATTGAACAAGGACAAAATACCTTCACAGCAACATCTAGACTGATGTTTGACCAAAAACTAGGTACCATGGCCTTGCCAAGTTGACACATAAAATTAACTATCACAGGCTCTTAATCTTCAACCTGGACAGGACACATCTGACTTCTGCTCATGGGTCATTGACTAAAGTATATCACATGGCCACATCTAACTTCAAGGGGGCAGAGAAATGCAAATCCTACCATCTACCCAGAAGGAGAAGAGTCAGAACATTTGTGAACAGCCCTAATGTCCACCATAATCCTCATTTCACTAAGGCAGTGCAAGCACATTCTGAGTCAATTTGGCATCCCTTTCTTTCCCTGGGTTCCATCTATGGAGGTGGTAGGAGGACTCACATATGCCATGGCAGTAGATGATTCCTGGACCTGGTTCATTATCTATTCAGGTTGGCATGTCTTGAGACATCCATCTGTTTGCGGTTGTCTGCCTACCCCATTTCAGTTTACAGGGCTCCATGAGAGCCAGCCGCTGTTGTGGGTATATAAGCACCTTTCTGGAACAAGCAGGAATTATACTGTTCTTCCTGGGCCATCCTAGGACACAATAAATTATTTGAGGTTGGGGTGGTGGAGACTGCTAGTTGCCCCCAATGTCTGTTCTCTTCTTCTCTAGATATTATTATTACTTTTTTAGAGACAGGCTCTTGCTATGTTGCCCAGGCTGGACTCGAACTCCTGGGCTCAAGGGATCCTCCTGCCTCAGTCTTCCAAGTAGCTTGGATTACAGGTATACACCACTGTGCCTGGCTCAGAACACTCAATTTTTAGCTGGGCACACATCCAGAATAATGAATACAATTCCCAGACTTCTTTGCAGCTTGGTGGAGTCACGAGTCTAGAGTCTGGTCACTGGGATATAGGCGGTGGAGAATATATATATATAAAAATCATCCATTATGGGGCCTTAAAGGCCGAGAGTGGGCTTTTCTTCCTTATTTTCTTCTTCCTACTGTCTGGAGCATGGATGAGATGACTGGACTATGGGCAGTCATTTTGGAGAATGAGGAGACTTTGGGAATGGAGGTCATACATAGTGAAGCAAAACTTGGAAGGAGTGCTATAGCAACCCTCGATCACCAATCTGTCATGTGAAAGGCAAATTTACTTCCTACTTGTTTAAGCCACGTGCTTGATTTTCTGTCACTTGCCGAATGTAATGTAATTATAGCAAAGCAAGAATTTCTGCACCTGGCTGAGCGCGGTGGCTCATGCCTGTAATCCCAGCACTTTGGGAGGCAGAGGCGCGTAGATTGCCTGAGGCCAGGAGTTCGAGATCATCCTGGCCAACATGTCGAAACCCTGTCTCTACTAAAAATACAACAAATTGGCCGGGCGCAGTGGCTCACGCCTGTAATCCCAGCACTTTGGGAGGCCGAGATGGGCGGATCACAAAGTAAGGAGTTCAGGACCAGCCTGGCCAATGTGGTGAAACCCCGTTTCTACTAAAAACACAAAAAAATTAGCTGGGCGTGGTGGCGGACACCTGTAGTCCCAGCTACTCAGGAGGCTGAGGCAGGAAAATGTCTTGAACCCGGGAGGTGGAGGTTACAGTGAGCCGAGATCATGCCACTGCACTCCAGCCTGGGTGACAGAGCGAGACTCCATCTCAAAAAAAAAAAAAAGAAAAAAAAATTAGCCAGGCATGGTGGTGCGCACCTGTAATCCCAACTACTCAGGAGGCTGAGGCACGAGAATCTCGTGAACCCAGGAGGTGGATGTTGCAGTGAGCTGAGATCGTGCCACTGCACTCCAGCCAGGGCGACAGAGTGAGACTGTCTCAAAAAAAAAAAAAAAAAAAAAAGAATTTCCACACGTGGTAGGAGATAGATCCCTGAGCACTGATTAGGCCTCTCCCTTACTGAGTGGTATAAAAGGCAGTGAATCCATAGCTCCCGACCACCCTGCACGTTCCCACCTCTATGGCTACACCTCAGAGAGGAGCTAAGGATGCATCCCCTCACCTACTTGAATCCTCGTGTATATCTTTGGCACTCTGTTTGCCGGCTCAGATGCCAACTGAAGAGAAAGTAGTCCTGAGGTGTCTACAGCTTGTCATTCATGTCACTCTTTGACCCTGCCCTGGACTTTGATGAAATGACTTGTCTTTATTTAGGTTCCCGCTGAAGTATCCTGAAATGAGGGTTTGAGTGCAAGTATGAATCGCTGATTCAGGAGATAATTGCAGGAAACTCCAATAGGGAATGGAGAATAAGATGGGGAGGTAAGGGAAGCCAGTAAAGTGTGCAGGTGAGTGAGCAAGCACCTTTCTCCCATGGGCAGCTGGAGCTCACTCCTGGGGAAAGCACTGGGAGTTGGGCAGGGTGTGCCTCAGAATGATTGCGAGCATCATCCTTCCTGAGGATCGAGGACGTTGAGATCCATAACCACCAACTCTTTGTTGGCCAAAGGTTGCTTCTACAGGCGTTCACCCTCCAGCACTTCAGGATTGCCCCAGCTGCAGGCCAAGCAGCTTCCTGTGGCCAGAAAAGAGTCTTCAAGAGGATTTGTGGGTGTCAGATGTGAGCCGCCTTCAGAGTGTAGCCTTGAGTGTCAGGGGGATCTGGGCAGGGCACTCATCCATGCCGGTTCTCCTCTAATTTATTCTCCAGTGTGAAATCAATGTGATTAGGGCCGGCGTGGTGGCTCACGCCTGTAATCCCAGCACTTTGGGAGGCCAAGGCGGGTGGATCACGAGGTCAGGAGTTCAAGACTAGCCTGGCCAACATGGTGAAACCCCGTCTCCACTAAAAATACAAAAATTAGCTGGGCATGGTGGTGCAGTTCTGTAACCCCAGCTACTTGGGAGGCTGAGGCCAGAGAATTGCTTGAACTGGGGACCAGGAGGCTGAGGTTGCAGTGAGTCAAGATGGCACCTCTGCAATCCAGCCTGGGCTACAGAGCGAGACTCCGTCTCAAAAAAAAAAAAAAAAAAAATCAATGTGATTTGAGAAGGGGAAGAAAATCTCTCCTTCAAGAAGGAAATTCACTTTACATAAAGTGAAAAACGAAATAACTACTTAGAACTTCTGTTTTCCAGGTTCCGTACAGTAGGTTCTTTGCCGGGACTAGCTACATAATTTTCAGGGCTCAGTGCAAAATAAAAAGATTTGGGCCCTTATTCGAAAATTATTAAGAATTTCAAGATATTGACTGTAAAATGTTAACTAAGTGCAGGGCCCTTCTCTGTACAGAAATGTGCAACTGTGCAGGTCACACACCCATGAAACCTACTGGACTCCTGCTCTGGAGAATTGATAATACCTTGTAAATTGTAGGGTTCTTTGGAGGATCTGTTAGTCCCAGCTCAGTTTCCATCTTGGATCTTATGTTTCTCCCGTCGGCTTTCTTTCATAGATTTTATTCTCCCTCTGATTTCTGACACTGAAAATCCAAGATTAGAGCTCTCTCAAAAGTGCCTCAGAGCCCGTCTTCCTGTTTTTGACATGAAACAGCCACTTTCCTGGATTAACTTCATGCTAGATGAAGTCATGCAATATGGTTAGTGTGGAAGACAGGGTTTTGTTGTTGTTGTTTTAAATTTGTTAGCTGTAATGAACTCATATGCTGCTCCATAGGTCCCCGGCTGTCCTTTTTTTGTCTTCTGAGTTTTGTTCCGCCTTAGTCTAGGGGTTGAGGAAGCTGTTTAGGTCAGGCCCACAGAAATTCTGGCCATGGGCTACTGCATGGTCCAAGTGAGAAATAATGGCAACTGGGATGGGGAAGAAGCCTTGGAGATAGAAAAGGGCTGATTCAAGAGAGAGGGAAAATGTACAATCAATAGGAGTAGGTTGAATTGAATAAGAGAAACAAGGGTATCAAGGATTTCCAGCTTGAATAGAACATTGTTCCTCTTGTTCATGTGCTGGATCAATGTTTAATGAATTTCCCCCATGTACCAGGCACTGTTAGACTGTTTCAGATATTTAACCCCTTCCCCCTTCATCACTATTGTTATTATTTTTGAGACAACGTCTCACTCTGTCACCCATTCTGGAGTGCAGTGGCGCGATCTCAGCTCACTGCAACCTCTGCTTCTCGGGTTCAAGTGATTCTCCTGCCTCAGTCTCCCAAGTAGCTGGGATTACAGGCATGCACCACCATGCCCAGGCTAATTTTTTTACTTTTAGTAGAGACGGGGGTTTCACCACGTTGGCCACACTGGTCTCGAACTCCTGACCTCAAGTGACCTGCCCACCTCTGCCTCACAAAGTGCTGGGATTACAGGCATGAGCCACTGCACCCGGCCTGATCAGGTGATGGATCTTAAGACTCTCCCATGAGAGGGCTCCCACCCTATACCATGGGGGAAAGAATGTTGATGTCATGAAGCTTCTGTAAAAACCCAAGAGGACATGGATCAGTGAACTTCCGGGTAGCTGAGCTCCTGGAGGTTCCTGGAGGGTGGCGCTTAGGGAGGACATGGAAACTCTGCGCCGCTTCCCTAATATCTCACCCTGTGCATCTCTTCTCGTGTATCCTTTACTATATCCTTAATAATAAACCAGTAAATGTGTTTCCCTGAGTTCTATAAGCCGCTCCAGCAAATTTATTGAACCCATATAGGGGGGTCATGGGAACCCCAACTTGAAGCTGGTCAGTAAGAGGTTCTGGAGGGCCGACCTTGCAACTGGTGTGTGTTAGTGGGGGTTCAGGAGGCAGTCTTAGGGACTGAGTCCTCAGCTTGTGGGATCTGACACCATCTCTGGGCAGACACGGTTGGAACTGAATGAGAAGACCCTCCCTGGTGTCCGTTGCTTGGTGTGTGGGGAAAAAGCCCCATATATTTGGTCACAGAAATCTTCTGTGTTGATGATTGTTGTGGTGTGAGAGTAGAGGAAAAACATGGTTTCAGGAGAGTTTTTCCCTACACAGTTTGATACACTGAACGTCCCTAATTTTGGTGAACACCCTTAAAATTAGTGCTTTTGGGGGAAGAAGGGACTAGATTGATGAGTTTTTCAAGGAATAAAGAGAAGAAAAGAAGCTTAAGAAGCTTTTTCTTGGCCGAGCATGGTGGTCCCATGCCTGTAATCCCATCATTCTGGGAGGCAGAAGGATTCCTTGAGGCTAGGAGTTTGAGACCAGCCTAGCCAACAAAGCGAGACTGCCGCCTGCCTCCAATCTCTACAGCAAAAAAAAAAATTAGTGGGGTATGGTGGCGTGTGCCTGTAGTCCTAGCTAATTGGGAGGTTGCGGTGGGAAGAGTGCTTGAGCCCAGGAGTTTGAGGCTGCAGTGAGCTGTGATTGCATCACTGTATTCCCACCTGGGTGACATGATGAGACCCCCGTCTCAAAAACAAACAGGCTGGGCGTGGCGGCTCACACCTGTAATCTCAGCACTTTGGGAAGCCAAAGCAGGTGGATCACTTGAGGTCAGGGGTTCAAACCAGCCTGGCCAACATGGTAAAACCCCATCCCTACTAAAAATACAAAAATTAGCTGGGTGTGGTGGCACGCACCTGTATTCCTAGCTACTGGGGAGGCTGAGGCATGAGAATGTCTTGAACCTGGGAGACAGAGGTTGCAGTGAGCCGAGATTGCACCATGCACTCCAGCCAGGGCAACAGAGTGATACTCCATCTCAAACAAACAAACAACAACAACAACAAGAATCTTTTATTCATGGAACCCAATAGAAAAGGTGGAGAGACATAAAAAAAAAAATTAAATTCTACAGAGGTATCCACCTATGCCTGTGCCCAGTCTGTCATCCAGCAGTTTGGTTTCAGTGTTTAGTGATTACCTCTGTGTGTCTAAATACTATGTTTACACTGCTTGCTATTTCCTGGTTTATCATCTTTAGACATTATCTCTTGACTTCCTCTTGTGAAAGATAAGGATTTAACTTGCTCACAAAGATAAGGATTTAACTTGCTCACACTCCTGTCCCAGTAAAGCTATATCATTATTTTTAGTTCCTCTACTGGTTTCTAACATTAAGTAATGGACTGGAATCTCTCTTGTTCTAGTGATTTCAAGGAGTATCTTCTTCTCCCTTTATTGAAAGCAAAAAAAAAGCTTGCCTTTCCCTTCAACACAACTGTCCATCTTTTACTTCCCAATTTCCGACATCTGTCATTTCACTTTCACCTCGTCAGGCTGATAAACTTTACATTCTGTTCTGTATCCACAGTTGACTCCACCATGCTTTGCCTGTAGAGCTGGATTCTAAAAGGCGAACATCTCCAGGGGAGGATGGGAGTGGGGATCGAGGTTTGGGGGTTTCTCTGAGAGAGGGCCTGACCTGAAGAGGCCACCTGGACAGGAATAAGGGGCTTTTCCTTAAAGGGTTTTGTTCAAGAACCCAGGAACTGGGTGGGAGCTGAGTCATTATCTGCAGATCAGTGGTCTTCACTGGTCCTTATCTGCCCCCAGGGGCTCAGCTGGCTCTGCTTCCCACTGACATCCCTTGAGAATGATCTCTTTAATAGTAGCCAGCATCTCCTTCAATGTCAGTGCAATCTGGTGACTCCCGTCCATCTCCAAACCTTTGCTCAACCCCTATATTACTTTTCCTATAAGGTTAACCCACACTTCATAACACCCTGTGACTTCAATAAACCCCAGAAAAGGAAGCTGTAACCTGGAACTCATGGGGTGGAATCCCCCTACATTGGTCTTGGAGCTTGAGAGGGTGGAAAGGTACCAGCTTATGACTCCCCATCCACCCACGCAGGATTGGAGCAGTGGCTCTCTAGACATTTGTCCCTCTGACACAGACCTTTCTTTCTTTTTCTTTCTTTCTTTCTTTTTTTTTTTTTTGAGACAGAGTCTTGCTCTGTCACTCAGCTGGAGGGTAGTGGCACCATCTCGGCTCATTGCAACATTCTAGGTTCAAGCAATTCTTCTGCCTCAGCCTCCTGAGAAGCTGGGATTACAGGCACCTGCCACAATGCCCAGCTAATTTTTGTATTTTCTTAGCAGAGATGAGGTTTCACCTTGTTGGTCAGGCTGGTTTCCAACTCCTGAAACCTCAAGTGATCTACCTGCCTCAGCCTCCTTAAGTGTTGGGATTACAGGCGTGAGCCACTGTGCCCGGCCCACAGATCTTTCACTGAACTCTTTTTTTCCACCTCACTTCACCAACTGCCTCTCATACCTACAGAATTTTGGGAGGCCTTTCTCCTGGTATTGGACATGTTTTATGGCAGCTTTTGGCCAGATAATCTTTTAAAGATTGTTTGCTTAGCAGACCTCTTTGGAAGCTAGAGATATGTCTCCCTTCGGGTCAGAGTTCAGTTTTGTTTCCTGACTACTGTTGTTGTAGGAAAAGGGGTCCTTGGGAAGTTTTCATTTTTTAAAGCATCTCTGGAAAAGTTTCTAGTAAAGCCCTGGCTGTTAGAGCCAGGCCAGCAACCTTTGATATGCAAATGCAAGCCATTAGAAACTGGGTCCACCCAAGCATGGAGATTCCCTTGGCCTTCTTACCCTTTTTCGACATGTTTCTGGCAACACGGCCTCCCCAACATATCCCCACGTGTATAGAACACCTTGGTGCCCTATATTTGCATATTAAAAGGCTAGGGTGGGAGGGCCAGCTTTTTCTCGGGCTAGGTGAATGACATGCCTAGTCAAACCAATCCCCTGAGCCCTATGCAAATCAAACACCGCCTCCTCCAGCCACTGCACATATACCTGGCTGGTATCCGTGGCAGGTAGAGACCTCCTCTTTTGGCTTTGGAGCCCCCCTCCCCCTGTCTCTGTATGCGGGAGCTTCTTTCCTTCTGTCGTCTCCCTTCCTTCTTGCCTATTAAACTCTCCACTCCTTAAAACCACTCCACGTGTGTCCATGTAGTTTCATCTAAACCGACATGAGGACCAAGAACTCTGGTGTTCCTCCACTCTTTAGAGCCCTATCACTGTGATAAAGATAGTGTCCCCTGGGCACGGTGGCTCACGCCTGTAATCCCAACACTTTGGGAGGCAGAGGCAGGTGGATCACCTGAGTTCAGCAGCTTGAGACCAACCTGGCCAACATGGTGAAACCCCATCTGTACTAAAAATACAAAAATTAGCCAGGCGGTGGTGAGAGCCTGTAGTCCCAGCTACTGGGGAGGTTAAGGCAGGAGAATGGCGTGAACCCGGGAGGCGGAGCTTGCAGTGAGCCGAGATCTTCCTACTGCACTCCAGCCTGGGCGACAGAGCAAGACTCTGGCTCAAAAAAAAAAAAAAAAAAAAAAAAAAGATAGTGCCTTCCGCTGGGGCAAAGTTGGGGCAGGTGTGCTAGCGGTTCCCTTGGAAAACTGGGGGTTTCATGAACTCAGTGTTCCTCAGGGGCAGTATTCACCTGGCCAGCACTGGTATTGCCCCATGAGGCTTGGGGGCCAGCAGAACTGATGCGAACATTGGGGTCATGCTGCCTGCTGTGCTCTGAGTAGTAAATGACATCTATCTGGGAAAGTGGGGCAAATCAGCGGACCCAGCAGCTGCTATTTGGGGACGGCTTGGCCGCTTGACGTAGACTCTCTGAGGGGCTGCCCACTTTCTTCCCTGGGTCGGGCACATCCTGTATTTTAAAGGTGGGGACACCCTCCACTCTCAGGCCTCTGAAACCCTTAGCTGTTGACACCTCCTTTGCGTTCTCCTCCTTTACGGTCATTTTAATGAGGCATCAGGTGGTGGGAGTGGTAATTATTCATGTGTGTGCCCAGATTACCTAGTTGAAACGGAGCTCGTTTGCATTTCAATATACTAAAGAAACATATCCAGAGAGAACTTTTTGAGATTTTCAGCAGCTTTGTAAACAGAATACAACATTCAATAGTAAGTTGCAAAGCATAACGCATTGTAAAAAGGGACATTTTTGCTGATTCCAGAATTTCTCTCTCCTGCATAGCTTCTCAGATTTACGCCACAGGGATCAGCAGGATCTTTTAAAGATCAGAGGCTGAGTGGTGTTTTTCAGAGGCTGCGAAAAGCAGGGAGCAGGGAGACATGATGTGCTTGCTCCACTGCAAATCTGAGATTGTGACTGCAGATTGGTTTGCAGAACGTCATTCCATGAATTCCCATATGCAGGGGCTGGACAGCAGAAACCTATGAGTACTAGACTCCTTTGCAGTTAGGCTTCCTCAGGAGACCGCTACTCCACCAGAACACCCACTGGGTGAGACTTCAAGGTAGAAGTGTGAGACCCTGGCTGAGGGTGTGACCCTGGCTGAGGGCTCGAAGGTTGCATCTTCTGAAAAGCACCCCTAGGGGAGGTTTTTGTTTTTTTCTGAAACAGGTGTGGTGAAGTTTCTATTGTTTCATATCTGATTTCATGGGTATGGTTATGGTTAACCTGTACAGCATCTTTGTATTAATTAGAAAAAGACACCTAATTTTGCCTGAAGCACCTCAATTCCATCTGTAAAATACATGCACTCCTTGTATTTTAAAGGCAGCGACTTCTTCCACTCTCAGGCCTCTGAAGTCCCTTACCTGTTGATACCTCCCTTCCGTTCTAATACATCAATCATTAGTATACCAGTATATTAGAATAAGACTCCATCTGCTGGAAATTGTAAGATGTCTACAATGTGACTACCATGCGCTGGGATTATAAAGAGAATCCTGGTCAGAGATGCTAAGAGGCACGTGGTGGCAATAGTGAGGTTCTTGTTAGAAGAACCTACCAGGGTGGTTCCCTAGTTCAAAGCTGGTCCCCTAGTCCTCTCAGAAATGCATTAGCAGGCTGGGCGTGGTGGCTCACATCTGTAATGCCAGCACTTTGGGAGGCAGAGGCAGGCAGATCACTTGAGGTCAGGAGTTCGAGACCAGCCTGGCCAACATGGTGAAACCCGTTTCTACTAAAAATACAAAAATTAGCCGGGTGTGGTGGCACACACCTGTAATCCCAGCTATTGAGGAGGCGGATGCAGATGAATTGCTTGAACCCAGGAGGCAGAGGTTGCAGTGAGTCAAGATTATGCCACTGTACTCCAGCCTGTGCAGTGAGTCAAGATTATGCCACTGTACTCCAGCCTGGGCAACAGAGCGATACTCCGTCTCAAAAAAAAAAAAAAAAAAAAAAGCATTAGGTCACCTAATCCCCTTTAATTAATCTCTTTGTGTTTAAATTAGTTAGAGAGGGTTCTTCTCTGCCACTAATAATCCTGATCAATACAGACACAAAAGACAGAGAAAGTAGAAGCAGTGACAGGGGCCAAGGGAGAAGAAAACCAAATGAGTCTTGGGGTCTGTAGGAAGAAAAGAAGGGTTCCATTGGAAGAAACCAAGAAATAGAGAAGTCAGCTTCCACTTAACTGATGAGAAGACAGAGTGAGTTCCTTGAAAAGGACTCGTAGTATTCACAGGTAGGGGAGTTTTACAGGTTCAATAGAGGAGAAGAAGTACATTCACTTGAGAAATACATTTAATAGAGAATTTAGAAATCAGCAAAATATCCTTTTTATGGTACATTGTGCTTTGCAATTTACTAGTCAAATGCTTTTAAAATAACTAAATATATAATCCCATAGGTTTCCCCCTGTGATGGGAGAGAAGTAGTTGTCTGATCCATGGCACACATGGATTTGCTGATGGAGTACAGACACTGAGTCTGAAAGGATGTCCGTGAGAGAGTCCACAAAGCAGCTGGAGATTTGTGGGTGGTCCTGAGACAGGAATAATACAGGATAGTCACAGGAGGATAAAAATTCCAGACAGCAGTTTCACAGGACTAAAGGCTATGGGCTGAAAAGACTTTGCAAAACCATGGTGTGGGCCGGGCGTGCTGGCTCACGCCTGTAATCCCAGCGCTTTGGGAGGCCGAGGTGGATGGATCACGAGGTTAGGAGTTCAAGACCAGCCTGGCCAACATAGTGAAACCCCGTCTCTACTAAAATACAAAAATTAGCTGGGCATGGTGGTGCATGCCTGTATTCCCAGCTACTCCGGAGGCTGAGGCAGGAGAATTGCTTGAACCCGGGAGGTGGAGGTTGCAGTGAGCCAAGATCGCGCCACTGCACTCCAGCTTGGACAATAGAGTGAGACTTTGTCTCAAAAAAAAAAAAAAGAAAGAAAAAGAAAAACCACGTTGTGGGCCATGCTGGCTAAGATAGGCTGGATCTGGCCGGGCACGGTGGCTCACGCCTGTGGTCCCAGCGCTTTGAGAGGCTGAGGCCGGTGGATCACGAGGTCAAGAGCTCAAGACCAGCCTGGCCAACATGGTGAAAGCCCGTCTCTACTAAAAATACAAAAACTGGCAGGGCATGGTGGTGCATGCTTGTAGTTTCAGCTACTCGGGAGGCTGAGGCAGGAGAATCGCTTGAACCCGGCAGGCAGAGGTTGCAGTGAGCCGAGATCATGCCACTGCAATCCAGCCTGGGTGACAGAGTGAGACTCTGTCTCAAAAAAAAAAAAAAAAATAGACTGGATCCAACATGGTGCTGGATCTGACCTAGGTGCCTCCTAGGACCTCATTATGCACTCATTAGCATACTCAACACACTCCCACCAGTGCCATGACAGTTCCGGGAACACCTGTATTTGGTGTAAAAATGGGTAGCATGACAATTCTGAGAAATGATCACCTTTTTCCAGGAATCTTCATGAATATTCCACTCTTTGGTTAAGAAATCCATAAAGACAGAAATGCTAAATCCCATCACAGCACTCTCTTGAGTATGCATGCACTCTTTTTTTCTGGTGTGTGTACTTTCCCTTTGCAATAAATCTCTGTACTTTCACAATTTTCTGACTTGTCGTTGAATTCATTCTCACGATGGCATCAGGAGCCTGGACACCGGCTGGGGTTAAGGTCCCACTGACATTTAGAGACCTTCCCTAGCCCACCAGTATCAATCTCTGCCCCATTTTACCAGCTTCCCTCTTGGTTTTCCTCTCTGGTGTGGAAAACCTCAGTTTAGAACTGTTTGAGCCAGATTGCTTCTTCTTCCTTTGCTATCCACCTTTTAGCTATTTTATTATTTTGCAAACTGCTGGTAAAAGCTACGGGGAGGAAGGGACTACATCCTTGATTTGGTCATTGATTTAAAGACTGTATCTCCTTATACAGCTGGCATCATCTTCTACTTGCAGATGGAAAATACGCAGGCCCCGTGAAAGACAGCAAAGAAACATCTTGCCTTCCCCGTCTCTCCCCCTTGGATTCCTGATCTCTACCTCTTACGGGGCTCTGCCTTCTCTTAACCCCTTGCCCTTTTCCTCAATTTAAATTGTCTGTCCCTCAGCTTCATCCCATTCTCTCCTGGATAGATCCAGGGCTTTGAGCCAGGAGAGTGCTGGAAAAAGAGGGCCTGCTCTCAGGGAGCCGCGGAGGGAGGGATCCAAACATTGGACACTTCCCAGCTTCACACATTTTTAGGTTATTATGTTAAGAAGCCTGTCTGCCTCATTTTGTTATTCTAGTCTATTTCGCATTCAACCCCAGGAGGAGGAAGGGTAAAGGAGAAAAAAAAATCCTTCCTGCCACAAATAAAATGTAGCAGATGTTAGCTGATGATTACAAAAAGACAGTAAAGCAGGCCAAGAAACCATGGGAGGGAGGGGGTGGACCACAGCAGAGGGCGGGGGAGTGGGTGTTCGTGGAGCTGAATGTTCAGGGCAGATGCTCTGGAGGATTAAATTACACCGAGAGTGAGGCTGCTGGTGCCGTCCCTCAGCCCTGCTCTGTAGCGCTGGGAGCTATTTCAAGCCAGTGAGAAAGAGAGTCTGCACTATTTGTCTTTAGGAGGTGCTTTATTTCCTTCCCTGTTTTGGAAAATGATACCTAGCTCTGCATGCATGTGGGTGCCTTTTTTAATGAAGTGCTACTCAAGGACTCAAAAGAAGGAACAGTGGCAGATGGGGCATCTGTGGGTTTTGCCTCTTCTGCAGCCATTCCCCCCTCCTCTGGTAACAGCACTATGATTTGGTGGCGGGGAAGGGCTGGGGGTGCATCTTTTTCACTGTAAGTCCCTGTGGTTCAGGTGAGACTGATTCCATCCTGCCCAATGCCCCTGCTCCAAGCTGGGCACTTACGCCAGCCTAAGCCATTGATTGCCCTGGAATGTTCATGTGACTTAAGTTAGGATGAGGAGAGTCAGCTCCAGGACTTTTGCTGACACTGTTGTGAAAGAGGGGCTTTCTGCTGCGAATGCCAAGTGGATGGTATGCAAGTCTGGAGCTGTTCCTGGCTTGTTCTGTGAAAACTTACTGGAGAATGAAGCCAATTAGAAGAGATGCATTTGAGCAATGAAGAAAGAAGTTTCCTGAGGACATTGAGCATCTGGATCCAGCTGCAGCTGAAACTGATCCTACCCTAGGACTTTGCAGGTATATGTGGCTGTAAGTCTTCCCCCACCTCTTTATTCTCACCACTTTGCATTTGGGTTTCTGTCCCTCACACCTAATACAAGTGCCTTCAGAAAGCCCGGGAGGCTTGTCCAGGTCACTGTGCTGGGCAGAACAAAATGAGGGCAGCTATCTATCATTGCCTCGATGCTGCTCTTGCTGTGGATGAAGCCTGGAGGCTTATTTCCAGGTCATGTTTGACTCTGAGTACACAGCTGCCTCTGAGAAAGATTGCCAGGCAGGAGTCAGCAGCCAGAACTCAGCTCAACAATCGTGTTCAGTTCTGTGTTATTGTACAGCAGTGCTCTCCAAGGACACCCTTGAATAGAAATGAATGCACATAAAGGTCCAACATGCATTCAGGAAGCCAGAGTCTCCACTTGTGCCCATATGCAAAGGAATCATTGTTCTCAGACCCCCTGGTAGAGACAGCTCTCAGCTCACTGACATGAACTGATGTGAAAATGTTCTTTAAGTGGAAAGCAGCAGGAAGCAGCTGTTAAGGAGGTGGGCACTTAGAAAGGAGAGACCACTTTACCATTTATCCATTTGTCCAGCATACATTGATTGACCGCCTTCTATTGTGTTAGGGACAGAAATGCTAATAAAAGACAAAGTTCGTGCCCTCAGGAAGCATGCAGTTGAGTCAGGGAGTCAGCAAGAAAATCAACTGGTAAATAAATGTAATCATGATAATTTAAACGGAAATAATAGGAGAGTGCCATCTACCCAACAGCATAACTCTCTTCTTAGTTTGTAGAATCTGGATTTTATTCTAAAAGGCAGGATGCTCAGGTCCCTCCCCCAGGCTCAGGATTAACTATGATACATCTAAGCCAGTGATTCCAAATTTTGGCTTGCATGAGTCACATGGAGGGCTTGTTAAAACCAGGAATCCTGGGCCCCACTCCCAGAGTTTCTGATTCAGTAGGTCTAAGTGAAGCCTAAGAATTTGCATTTTTTTTTGTTGAGACAGAATCTCACTCTGTGATCTTGGCTCACTGCAACCTCTGCCTCCTGGGTTCAAGCAGTTCTCTTGCCTCAGCCTCTCAAGTAGCTGGGACTACAGGCATGCATCACCATGCCCAGCTAATTTTTGCATTTTTAGTAGAGATGGGGTTTCACCATGTTGGCCAGGGCTGGTCTTGAACTCCTGGACTCAAATGATCCACCTGCCTCGGCCTCCCACCCTGCTGGGATTACATGTGTAAGCCACCCTGCGTGCCCAAGAATTTGCATTTCTAACAAGTTCCCAAGTGACGCTGTTGCTGCTGGCCTGAAGATCACTAATCACAATCAAGCACAATCATCTGGTTTACCCCTTCTAGTATTTGGTTTAGGGTTAGGCACATGACCAAATTCTGGCTGATTAAATGAAAGGAAAAGTCAATGAAGTTTTAGGACAACTGTTTGCTTCTTGGTAAAATGTAAGATGGAAAGGAGGCCTATCTTTTCATCCCATCCTGGGTTCCAGAACTTTATCCTTAGTTCAGCTAAAACTGGGTTCTTGTCACACAACTAAGAAAGATTAGGCTTGTGGACACATAGAAGGGTGAGGAAAATGGAATTTATTGGGCAAAAAGGAAAAAGAAAGAAAAACTCTCAGCAAAGTGAGAGGGGGTCTTGCCAACAACCTCCCCCCTCACAGACTGAATCCCGGGTTACCACACAGGCACTGAAGAGGCCAGACTCTTCCCCCCTGCAAATGGTGTGAACTTCCCAAGGCTCCACCCGATCCTCCCAGTGCACAAGCAGGCATTATTCAGAATCAGCTGGGAAAGAGCAGGCTTCATTTGCGACCAGCAGACCGGTTTTTCAGCCTTCAGGCTGTTTTAGGCTTGAAGGCAGGGTTTCACTTGGGACTCTTGGCTGTCTTCTGTCTCTATCACCTGAAATGAGGTTATGTGGGGAGCTGCTGTTTAGAGCTACTGATATCATGTGATGATGTGCACTTGGCCAAGAGGCTTGCAAAAATCCTGATCCAGACCCCTGACATTGTTGAGGAGCTGAGCAAACCCTGGAACCACCCACCTCCGACTCTTTGTTGTGGAGAAATTAAATGTTGTTATTCCCGTTTTCCATCAGAGCTGGAAGTATCCCAACTGATTCAGAGGGCTATCAGTCTGAGGCTGAGTAGGATGGAGTATCAGGAAAGGCTTCCAAGAGGAAGTAGACTCACTCTTCTCCAGCTCTTCAGTGAGAACTATTCCCGTTTGTGCTTTGGCAAAATGACAAATGATGACACCCCATAGACTCACTTTGTAGACTAACTTTTGAATTGCCTGAATGAGGAATTTTAAATTTATGAATGTCAAGGGTTTATTTCATGTGTAAATAACTGTGTTGGAATGGAGATTGAGAAAACCATTAATTTTTTCTGTGGCGAAGTCCAGGAAAAATTTGTGAAGGAGGGCTGGGAGGGCCTGGCATGGTGGCTCATGCCTGTAATCCCAGCACTTTGGGAGGCCGAGACGGGCAGACCATTTGAGGTCAGAAACTTGAGACCAGCCTGGCCGACATGGTGAAACCCCATCTCTACTAAAATACAAAAATTAGCTGTGCGTGGTGATGCACGCTTGTAATCCCAGCTACTTGGGAGGCTGAGGCAGGAGAATCGCTTGAACCGGGGAGGAGGAGGTTGCAGTGAGCCGAGATCACACCACTGCGCTCCAGCCTAAGCGACAGAGCAAGACTTTGTCTCAAAAAAAAAAAAAAAACAACTTTGTGAGGGAGATGACATTGGGCCAGGCTACTGAGAGCTGATGGCACGGGTTGGGGAGTAATGTAGTGCTGGAATCTAGCAAAGTGTGTGGTGTATAATAAATACCCGTATGTTTCCAGGGCTTACCTAACCTTAAGAATATATCATCCAGAGGAAATGGCATGAACAGCAGCCCGAAGGCATGACAGTTTGGTGTCTCTGGCTATGAGTACACAGCTTGGTATGGTGATCTAGAGGTAGTATGGGTTAGACTGAGCCATGATATGAAAAAAGCAGGGAAGCATTGGAGTAGATTAAATTGGAAACCAAAATCACGGTTCTCAGTTGGGTTAACAACAACAGCAAATCCCAATCCTCAAAGACTTCTGAAACTCGGAAGGTGGTTGAGTTTCAAGAGGGTTGCCCAAGAAGAACTCTTGCCCAACAAGGGTTGGGTTGCCTCTCCTCTGCCTAAGGAGGCAGTCCTTCCCTTGGAGTAGGAATTGCTTCATGACCTGCTTCTCATTTTGCTATGCCACTAACCTAAATCCAAATACAACATGGCCTGGGGTGGAGCAGGGTGGGATTGAGCAGGATGTGAAATGACCAAGGATATGATAATAGAAAATGATCATTTGTGCAGCATGCTGGGTTAAATATGAGATTGCTTAGAGCTGGGAGTGGGCAGCCCAGGGGTTCCATTCACCCAGAACACAACCACAACAATGAGAACACTATTGCTACATATCTGTAACCTGTTGCTTATTTACATTTTCAAAAGCCCTGATGATGTTTCTAAGAATGAATTTCGAGGATGTATAAACAAGGCTCGTGGAATATAATTTTAGCTTGTGCTAGATTTAGTGATGTGGGTATAGTTATGCATTAGAGAAGACAGGAAGATCATTTCTGTTTGTGAAAATTGCCTTCAAAATAATTTAAAACAATGTTCATTAAAACAAGTTAGAAAGGTATAAGAAAGAAAATTAAATCACCTGAAATCTCATTACGTTGATAATACCTTAATAATTGTTCTAAGTTTGCTGCAGTTGGCTGATGTAGCCATGGATCCACTGCTGGTCCACTCGCGATAATAGGGAAAGGCCAGAAATAGCTTGGCATGACAGAGAGCAGTGGATCTCAGGCTGTGCGTAGTGGCTCATGCCTGTAATCCCAGCACTTTGGGAGGCCAGGGCAGGCAGATCACTTGAGGCCAGGAATTTGAGACCAGCCTGGGCAATATGGTGGAACCCCGTCTCTACAAAAATTAGCTGGTCATGGTGGCACGTGCTTGTAATCCCAGCTACTCGGGAGGCTGAGGCAGGAGAATTGCTTGAGCCCAGGAAGGGGAGATTGCAGTGAGCTGTGATTGCACCACTGCACTCCAGCCTGGTGACAGAGCAAGACCCTGTCTCAGAGAAAATGTTTAAAAAGGGAGCAGTGGATCTCAAACTGGCTGCACATCAAAATCTCCCGGGTGAGTTTAAAAAACACTGGTGTCTGAGCAATTTAGTCAGAATCTCTGAAAGTATAGGGCATATAGGCATCAGTGTGGTGTTTTTTGGGTTTGTTTTGTTTTTGTAGTTTGGGGGTGTGTGTGTGTGTGTGTGTGTGTGTGTGTGTGTGAGTGAGACAGGGTCTCACTCTGTTGCCCAGACTGGAGTGCAGTGGTGTGATCCTGGCTCACTGCATCCTCTGGCCCCCTGTGCTCAAGTGATCCTCACACCCTAGCCTCCTGAGTGGCTGGGACCACAGGTGCACACCACAATGCCAGCTATTTTTTTTTGTCTTTTTAGTAGAGACAGGGTCTTGCCATGTTGCCATGTTGCCCAGGCTGGTCTCCAACTCCTGAACTCAAGCAATCCTCCAACTTTGGCCTCCCAAAGTATTGGGATTATAGGTGTGAGCCACTGTGCCAGGCTGGCATCAGTGTTTTTTAAGCTTCTAGGTGATTCTAATAGGCAGACTGAGTTGGGAACAACTGATGTAAACAGAAGAATTCTAAAACGTTAGGAGACAGTTCTGGATTGGCTTTTTCAAGCCTGCTGTGTCAATCAGGAGTCCAGTCCAAAAAACATAAACCATTCTAGATATTTCAAGCAGAAAGGGATTGAATGCAGGGGACTGGTTACAAAGGTTTTGTAAGGGCTGGAGTTGCAAAATGGAGACATGGGTTTATCTAGAGATAAGGGACCTGCCACCACTTGGGGCTGACACCTGTGGGTTCACACTCACTGCTAAGCTGCTCCAGATGACAAGTGGCCTGAGTAGGAGCTGTCACTGCTGCCACGATTGGAACTGGCATTCTGCTACAGCAATTGGCATTTTTTGTCTGCAATTGGCTGCTTCTGTCAGAGCCAGAGAAGGCTAGGGGTCATCTTCTTCCTACCTTCTATCTCCCTTCAATGGCAGAACCTATCTATCCAGTACCCAGCTGGTGAAGGAGTTTGGGAAATATAATATTCTAATGGCTCCAAAAAATACACAGAAGGATATGGGAAGGGGGATATGAGGGCCGAATATCAATCAATCAATATCTTAATGTCCATCAATATCTGACATGCATTTCTTGCCCACTTACCCGCTGACTGCATCTCCTTCACAGAGCTTGGAAGACTCTTCCCTCACTGGGCTTTGAAATTGAAGAGCCCATCTTTACCAAATACCGACATATGTGGGTGCCATGGCAGGAGATAAAGATGGGGCATTTGGGCCAGAGGTGGTTTGTTGAGGGCTGGCGTGTCTTAGGTGTTCTGTTTCATTACTCTTATGTCACTATATAAAATTATCTTCATTTTGCAGATGAGGAAACTGGGGCTCAGAGGGACAAAGGACAAGATCCCATAGTTCAGAAGGGGCAGGGTGTAATTGACACTGTTCGCCTGACTACAAATTCAGTTCTCACACCGTTGCACCACACTGCCTGCCAGGGTCCCAACCCCAGAGGGCGAGGCCACCAGCACCAGGCCTCCTCAGGGAGCAGCTTTATGGAATGGGTGTGGGAAAGGAAGCCTGGGGGCAGGGGATCCTGCCTGTCACAGCTCTCACAATCTCCTAAGCTCTTCTTGCCTGTGGGTGCCAGGACTGACACCAGAAATCCCCTGTGGCCTTCCTGTCTCCCCTGCAGAGGATCATAGGCATACGTCCTGTCTCATCACCCCCACTCTTTCTGGCCTGGCCCACATGCCCCTGCTTCTTAGAGAGTCATGGCAGTCTGGACGTCAATGTGGGCAGAGCTTGAGGACACTCTAGGTGCAGCTGGTTTGGGCCGGCAGGTGAGATGAGGGGCCTGGGAGGATGTCCCTGCTTCTCACAATTCCTGGGGAGAGAACAGAGCAGGAGGGCAGACTTTGGGCGAGCTCTCACCATCGTGGACTTGGCTGAGCCAGCAGCCTGCTGCACTCTTCTCCGCCCACAGTGGCCTCATTGTTTCCAGCGGCCAGGCAGTTTGGAGGAGGTCCCTCGGCCACTCCTAGCCCCCTAAATAGGGGCCAGCTTATCAGAAACATATCAGAAGTCTGCAGGCTAGAATTGTTGGTAGAAAAATGCCAAAGTTGAAACTTGTTTTCTATTATCAGCAGGTATCTGGGAGTGAACTGTGGCAGAGTACAAGTGATGCCAATTATTTAACGACTGGAGGCAACATGGGCACGGTTACATTAGGCTCTAGGGCAGGCTTGGGAAAAATATTTGACAAGGGTCTGATCCTCCAAGATCTCTGCTATGGCATCCGTGGTAATGAGATCATCAGATGACCTGTGCAGGTTTTCTGTGACGTGAATAACTAACCCAAACCAAACAAAGCTTTGGTTTGGTGAATAGAGGCCTGATTTGAACCACCGTAGTAGACATAGCTTATCTTCCAATTCATAGGCCTGAGATTGGTAACAGAACCAGATGCACAGAATGGAAAGGACACCAAATGCCTACAAGGAAGGACCCATGTAACACCTCAGTTACATACTTGAAACTTCCTTCTTGCTCAAAGGAACTATTTACCTGGATAGCTGTGTACGGGGGCAAGAGAGAGACATAAACCTTTCAGGGAGTAGCGAATATTGGCTCTGAACTTACATGAGATACATAAATGTATTGTAGTTCCTGATTGCAGTGGGTCTAATGGTCATCAGGTGGTAAGTAGGATTTTAACCTGGGTCTATTTATAAAAAGCCCCGTAATTATTTCTCCAGATCCTGAATACAGCACAGAGTTGGACTGGTAGGTCCCCATAGTGGCTCTCTGACACACACAGTAAGAATGACTGTGGTTGGAAGAGCCAAGTGGGAACCACTGAAGTTTCTTCTCCCTACCAGAATAATAAATCAAAACCAATACCACACCTCCAGGGGAATCACAAAGATTAGCCCCATAGTTAAAGATTTTGAAACAGCAGCTAAGTTCCTCAGAATGGCCCGTATGAGGATAGATGGATTCTGGAAACCACAGTGGATTAAGGAAGCCTAATTAGTTGATAACTCCTCCCACAGTGACAGGCCAAGACATAGTCTCCCGTTTGGAGCATATTAACACAGGCCCTGGCACCAGCAACTGATCTAGCAAGTGTATTTTCTTACCCATTCTGATAAAGGGTATTCCAGAAATAGTTAGCTTTCACCTAGTAGAAATATATACTTTTACCATGCTGCCTCAGGGATATATTGAGTCCGTCCGGTAGGGATCTTGACCATCTCACCAACCCACAAGACACAAGGCTGGTCTACATTGAATATAGCACACATATAAGGCCTGGGAAATAAGAAGTAACCGGTATCACAGATGTTGATCTAGATATCTTAGACCCATATGTGCTAGCAGGTGAGAAATAAATCCTATGAAAATACAAGGACTTGCTACCTCAGTTAATCTTCTGGGGGAGGGTTGGACGCCATGGCTCATGCCTGTAATCCCAGTGTTTGGGGAGGCCAAGGTGGGAGAGTCACTTGAAACTAGGAATTTGAGACTAGCCTGGGCAACATAATGAGACCCTGTCTCCACAAAAAATTTAAATATTGGCTGGATGTGGTGGTGCACACCTGTACTTCTAGCTACTTAGGAGGCTGAGGTGGGAGAGTCACTAGATCTGGAGAATTCAAGGTTACAGTGAGCAGTGATTGCACCATTGCACTCCAGGCTGGGTGACAGAACAAGACCCTGTCTCTAAAAACAGGAAGAAAAATAAACTTTAGGAGAGGACCTAGTGGAGTGGACTGAAATATCGATAGATAATCCTCTCCAATTGATAGGGCTCCTTGCATATTAGAGGTAACAGAGAACACATTTGGTTGCCTTGCTTCAACCCATTGACCTGGTGAACTCAGATATGCCAGCCTTATTTGGGTACAGAACAAGAGAAGCCTCTCTAGCTCATCCAGACTGCAGAAGAAGAGGAGGTACCAATTGGTACCTGCTGTATGACCCAGGAGATACAACGATGGTCCAAATGTTTGAGGGAGATAAGTCCTCAGTTAAGGAACTCACTTCACAAGGAAAGTAAAAGACAATGAGATATCATGCTAACAGTTAACTAGTTTTATCATGTACTTAGGAACTTGAAGCATCTGATACCTAGAAGGAAATACAGGTACAGGATTTGGCGGTGGTGCCTTTCAAAGTTTTACCTAATTACTAAATTATAAAATGTTTGCTTCCCATGTATGCAACTCTGGGCTTTGCTGTCTTGTTTATTTTGCTCTCTTATTTATTTATTTATTTACTTTACTTTTATTTTATTTTATTTTTTGAGACGGAGCCTCTTTCTGTCACCCGAGCTGGAGTGCAGTGGTGCAATCTCAGCTCACTGGAATCTCCGCCTCCCAGGTTCAAGTGATTCTCCTGCTTCAGCCTCCTGAGTAGCTGGGATTACAGGCATGCGCCACCACACCTAGCCTATTTATTTATTTTTAATTTTTAAAAACTCTTGTTAAAAAATAGAGATGTGGTCTCACTACATTGCCCAGGCTGCTCTCCAACTCCTAGGCTCAAGCGATCCTTCACCTTGGCCTCTCAAAATGCTGGGATTACAGGGGTGAGCCACCATGCTCAGCTAGTGGTCTTACTCTCTAAGGGAGGAATACTTCCCATAGGGGACACAATAATGGTTTCTATCCTAGCCATAAGCAGGCAAAAAAGGGTAATGGTGTCGGCTGGGGTGAATGACACTGTGAAAAGGGAAATGAGGTTGCTGCCACACGATGGGAGTAGGGGTGTACACAAGAAACCAGCAATTCATCAGGAATTGCTCCTTGTTTTATTATTTATGTCCATGCCCAGCAGTTGTGGTCAGTGGAAGCTTATTTCAACCTTTCATTGGCAGGTGCACCAAAGCTGAGATCATTTAGAAATGCAAAGTTGGGCAGAAAAATTGCCATCTATTTGAGGTGCTGGCCAGCATTCAGGGGGACAGGAAATTGGATAATGGAGGAGAGAACACGTAATTATTAGTGGTGGTCTAGTGACCAGATAGAGTGTTTCCTTCTAAGTGTCTACTTCTTCAATAAGTTGATGTATAAATATAAATATCACACATATACACACACATGTGTGTATGTACATTCTTGAATAATAAAGTGGTGTTTTTTTTTCTCCTTTGACCACCCTGTTCAGACCAGGGAACACGGGTATACCATGGGTCTCAGGAGAAAGCCAGAAATGGACAGAGTAGACTCAGCTTCCAATTGTAGAGCTGAGAGTTTAACCTAAGATGGAAAACTTGAAAGGATTTGCAAATGGCAGGAATCCTTTTTTCCTGAGTCTTTCTCTCCCCAACTAGGAAAAATCCTTCAAGTCAAGAAGAATAAAGCAGTTGAAGAGTTAGGAAGAGTATAAGGGCCATACAGTACGCCCCCAACTCTCATTGTCAATGGGCCTGGGTGATAAGAACCCCTCTTTATGTCCGCAGATCTAAGAGCAACATGAGCTTCTGCTTTGCGTCTCATCTAGAATTTATTTATTTATTTATTTATTATTATTATACTTTAAGTTTTAGGGTACATGTGCACAATGTGCAGGTTAGTTACATATGTATACATGTGCCATGCTGGTGAGCTGCACCCACTAACTCGTCATCTAGCATTAGGTGTATCTCCCAATGCTATCCCTCCCCCCTACCCCCACCCCACAACAGTCCCCAGAGTGTGATGTTCCCCTTCCTGTGTCCATGTGTTCTCATTGTTCAATTCCCACCTATGAGTGAGAATATGCGGTGTTTGGTTCTTTGTTCTTGCGATAGTTTACTGAGAATGATGATTTCCAATTTCATCCATGTCCCTACAAAGGACATGAACTCATCATTTTTTATGGCTGCATAGTATTCCATGGTGTATATGTGCCACATTTTCTTAATCCAGTCTATCATTGCTGGACATTTGGGTTGGTTCCAAGTCTTTGCTATTGTGAATAATGCCACAATAAACATACGTGTGCATGTGTCTTTATAGCAGCATGATTTATAGTCCTTTGGGTATATACTCAGTAATGGGATGGCTGGGTCAAATGGTATTTCTAGTTTTAGATCCCTGAGGAATCGCCACACTGACTTCCACAATGGTTGAACTAGTTTACAGTCCCACCAACAGTGTAAAAGTGTTCCTATTTCTCCACATCCTCTCCAGCACCTGTTGTTTCCTGACTTTTTAATGATCGCCATTCTAACTGGTGTGAGATGGTATCTCATCGTGGTTTTGATTTGCATTTCTCTGATGGCCAGTGATGGTGAGCATTTTTTCATGTGTTTTTTGGCTGCATAAATGTCTTCTTTTGAGAAGTGTCTGTTCATGTCCTTTGCCCACTTTTTGATGGGGTTGTTTGTTTTTTTCTTGTAAATTTGTTGGAGTTCATTGTAGATTCTGGATATTAGCCCTTTGTCAGATGAGTAGGTTGCGAAAATTTTCTCCCATTTTGTAGGTTGCCTGTTCACTCTGATGGTAGTTTCTTTTGCTGTGCAGAAGCTCTTTAGTTTAATGAGATCCCATTTGTCAATTTTGGCTTTTGTTGCCATTGCTTTTGGTGTTTTAGACATGAAGTCCTTGCCCATGCCTATGTCCTGAATGGTAATGCCTAGGTTTTCTTCTAGGGTTTTTATGGTTTTAGGTCCAACGTTTAAGTCTTTAATCCATCTTGAATTGATTTTTGTATAAGGTATAAGGAAGGGATCCAGTTTCAGCTTTCTACATATGGCTAGCCAGTTTTCCCAGCACCATTTATTAAATAGGGAATCCTTTCCCCATTGCTTGTTTTTCTCAGGTTTGTCAAAGATCATCTAGAATTTTAAGAAGGTGGCAGACTGGCAGATGTGACCCACGACCACATGAGGAGAACAGAAGAGATGGTGGCATCATGAGACTAGTTGGAGACAGTCAGGAATTATCCCTTAAGTTTCCTGCGACTCCCAAGTGGTAAAGGAGAGCCGAAGGTTCCCGTGGGCCATGAGAGAGGGAAGGAGTATGGCTGAGAGGAATTGGTTATGGTGCATGAATTTATACTGGGAGAACTGGGCATGCTTAGGTTTTTTTATTATTATTGTTTAGATAATCAATGTGAAAACATTCTTTCTATACAGAGTTTTGATGTTTTTTATTTTTTAGGACACTGTATTTTTGAAAGTAGGGTTTGAAGAGAATTTTATTATAGGTAACCCCACTGATAAAATGAAGTCAATCTATCAGTTAATAAATAAAAATTCCAATAATATGATTTTCATTATTTTAGTAATTCCTTTCTTTTTTCTTTTTCTTTTTTTGAGATGGTGTTTTGCTCTTATTGCCCAGGCTGGTGTGCAGTGGCACGATGTCAGCTTACTGCAACCTCTGCCTCCCGGGTTCGAGTGATTCTCCTGCCTCAGGCTCCTGAGTAGCTGGGATTACAGGTGTCTGCCACCACGCTTGGCTAATTTTTTGCATTTTTAGTAGAGATGGGGTTTCACCAAGTTGGTCAGGATGGTCTTGAATTCCTGACCTCAGGTGATCCACCCACTTCGGCCTCCCAAAATGCTAGGATTACAGGTGTGAGCCACAGTGCCTGGCCCGTACCTCCTTTCATTCAAAAGTTTTCTGGTTTGGATGATAAATTAGTCACCCCAACTATATGGGACCTGGAAAGGGAGCAGATAAAACAATTTTTGTTATTCTTGTCCCTTCATCCACCTCAAAGTCATAAAAGATTGAGTTGAAGATCAAAAAGTCTGGAAACGATGTCTGAGTATGGTGGCTCATGCCTATAATCCCAATACTTTGGGAGGCCAAGGTGGGAGGATTGCCTCAGCCCAGGAGTTCAAGATGAGCCTGGACAGTGAGACCCTGTCTCTACAAAAATTAAAAAATTAGCTGAGCATGGTGGGGCGAGCCTGTGGTCCCAGCTACTCAGGAGGCTGAGGTGGGAAGATTGCTTGAGCCCGGGAGGTTGAGGCTGCTGAGTCAAGATCGTACCACTGCACTCCAGTCCGGGTGACAGGGAGCAAGACCCTGTCTAAAAAAAAAAAAAAAAAAAAAAAAAAAAAAGATTGGAGAGAAAGAATTTCTTTGGAGAGAGTGGTTAATGTGCCATGCTTACAAGAGAACTATCTAAAAAGCTTGACAAAGGTCCCCTGTCCTAGCCTACTACAGTTTGAAAAATCCCAGGGCAAAACCACAGTTGGTGATGCCTTTCAGCTGGCTTTAAAAAGGAGGCTAGGATCCAGAATATATAAATAACTCTAACAATTCAACAACCAAAGCACAAAATACGCAGTTTAAAAATAGGCAAAAGGGGATAACCAAAGCAATCCTAGACAAAAAGAACAAAGCTAGAGGCATCACACTACCCAAATTCAAACTATAAGGCTACAGAAGTTAAAATAGCATGGCACTGGCACAAAAACAGGTGCATAGACCAATGGATAGAGAACCCAGAAATAAAGCCACACATCTACAACCATATGATCTCCGACAAAGTTGACAATAACAAGCAATGTGGAAGGAACTCCCTATTCAATAAATGGTGCTGGGATAACTGACTAGCCATTTGCAGAAGAATCAAACTGGATTCCTGCCTTTCACCATATACAAAAATTAACACACGATGGATTGAAGTCTTAAATGTAAGACCTAAAACTTTACAAATTCTAGAAGAAAACCTAGGAAATACTATTCTGGACATTGGCCTTGGCAAAAAGTTTATAATGAAGTGCCCAAAAGCAATTGCAACAAAAAAATTGACAAGTGGAGCCTAATTAAAATAAAGAATTTCTGCATAGCAAAACAAACAAACAAACAAACAAAAACTATCAACAGACTAAACAGCCAACCTACAGAATGGGAGAAAATATTTGCAAACTATGCATCCAACAAAGGTCTGATATCCAGAATCTATAAGGAACTTAATTCAACAAGCAAAAAACAAGCAACCTCATTAAAAAATGGTCAAAGGACATGAACAGACCCTTCTCAAAATATGATATACATGCAGCCAACAAATATATGAAAAAATGCTCAACATCACTAATCATTAAAGAAATACAAATCAAAACCACAATTAGATACCATCTCACATCACTCAGAATGGCTATTAAAAAGTCAAAAAATGACAGATGTTGCCAAGGTTGTATAGAAAAGGGAATGCTTATACACTGTTGCTGGGAATGTAAATTAGTTCAGTCCCCATGGAAAAGGGTTTGGAGATTTCTCAACTTAAAACAGGACTACCATTCAACTTGGCAATCCTATTACTGGGTATATACCCAAAGGAAAGTAAGTCATTCTACCAAAAAGGCATGTGCACTCATAAGTTTATCACAGCACTTTCACCATAGCAAAGACAAGGAATCGACCTAGGTGCCAATGAATGGTGGACTAGATAAAGAAAATGTGGTACATATACACCACGGAATACTACACAGCCATAAAAAAGAATGAAATCACATCCTTTGCAGTAACATGGATGCAGGTGGAGGCCATTATCTTAAGTGAATTAATGCAGGAACAGAAAACCAAACACCACATGTTCTAACTTATAAGTGGGCGCTAAATATTGAGCACACAAATACATAAGAAGGGAACAATGACACTGGGGACAGAGTGAGATCTTGTCTCAAAATTAATTTATTTTTATTTTTTTTTTGAGACAAGATTTCACTCTGTCACCCAGGTTGGAGTACAGTGGCACAATCACAGCTCAATGCAGCCTCAATTTCCAGGGCGCAAGTGATCCTCCCAACTCAGCCTCCTGAGTAGCTGGGATTACAGGCATGTGCCACCACACCTGGCTAAATAAAAAAAAAAAAATTTTTTTTTTGCAGAGTTGGAGTCTCACTAAGTTGCCCTGGCTGTTCTCAAATTCTTGGACAAAAGCGATCCTCCTTCCCTGGCCTCCCAAATTGCTGGGATCATAGGCATGAGCTGCCTTGACCACTGACACTGGAGGCTACTAGAAAAGGGAGGATGGAAGAAGGGCGAGGGTTGAAAAACTGCCTATGCTCACTACCTGGGTGATGGAATCATTTGTACACCAAACCTCAGTGACACACAATTTACCCATGTAACAAACCTGGACGTGTACCCCCTGATCAAAAATAGAAGTTGAAAAAAAATGGGCAAAGGATTTGAATAGACTTTCTCTAAAGAAGATACACAAGCGACTAATAAGTACATGAACAGCTGCTCAACATCATCCGGTAGTTTAGGAAAATGGAAATCAAAGCCTCAGTGAAATACTGTTTCATGCTTGCTAGATGGGTAAAATAACAAAGAGACAAAATAGGAAGCACTGGCCAGGATATGGAGAAATCAGAAACCCTCATACATTGCTGATGGGATTGTAAAACGGTGCAGCCACTTTGGAAAACAGTTTGGCAGTTCCTCAAAAATTTAAACATAGAGTCACCTTATGACCAGGCAATTGTGCTCCTATGTATATGCCCAAGAGAAATGAAAACATATGTCCATACGAAAACTTGCACATGAATGCTTATAGAAGCATTATTCATAATAGCCAACAAATGGAAACAACCCAAATGTCCATCAATAAACAAACATAAATAAACAAAATGTGGTATCTCCAAACAATGGAATATTTTCAGTCATAAAAAGGAATGATATACTGATTCATGCTACAGTGTGGATGAACCTTGAAAACATAATGCTAAGTTAAAGAAGGCAGACACAAAAGACCACATCTTGTACAGTTGCACTTATGTGAAATGTCCAGAATAAGAAAATTCATAGCAACAGGAAGTAGATTGGGGGTTTCCAGAGGTTAGAAGAAGGAGGGAATGCAGAATGATTGCTAATGGGTCAGGGGTTTCTTTTTGGAGTGATGAAAATATTTGAAATTAGAGAGAGGGGATGGTTACGCAACCTTGTGAATATGTTAACACCCATGGAATGTGCTTCAGTGGCGAATTTTATGATACGTGCATTAAATGTCAATAAAGTTGTCATTGAAAAAAAAAAGGTTGCGAGGCTGCCTTAGAAGCAGCTGCACTCCCCAAGCAGTGGGTCTAAGGTGCTTATTTTCTGGGACCAGAGGTGAAAACTGATGTATGAATTCTGACCTGGCATCATTTAAAAAGAGATTTTGCCTGGCACTGTGGGGTGTGACTATAGTCCTGGCTACTTGGGAGGCTGAGGCGGGAGGATTACTTGAGCCCAGGAGTTGGAGGCTGCAGCGAGCTATGATCACACCTATGAATAGCCACTGCACTCCAACTTAGGCAACATAGCAAGACCCTGTCTTTAAAAAAGAGAAAAAGAGATCTTGCCCAAGAGGACTGCCTGAGAGTACGATGGGACACAACAGAGAGACAGTCCGTGTGGAGACGGCCACCCCATGCTAAGGTTGCCAAGGGTGATGAATGACAAACCAAAGCAGAGGCCATTCCCCAACTCCAAGTGAAGAGGAGCAGTCAGACAGCTTCCTGGCCAGCCCATCGGAGTAACCAGGAGAGAAGCATCAGCTCAAATCATTTAACATGTTCAGAGAAACTCCAAGCCTGGAGGGTCAGAAGTCCCAGAAAGTGCGGGCTGTGGAGGAGAGGCTCCCAGAGGAAAAAGAGAAGCAGACAATCACCCTCTCCTTGACTGCATGCTTCTGCCTTGAGCAGGCCACGCTGAGGCAAGTTGACATAAAGTCAAGAGTTCCGATGATTATACTGCATGAGACATATTAATTTATAACATTAGTTTTTCTTGTGGCTGAAAGCAATCAGAATATTTTCTTTCTTATCTTTTTTTTTTGAGATGGAGTTTTGCTCTTGTTGCCCAGGCTGGAGTGCAATGGCGCGATCTCGGCTCACTGCAACCTCCACCTCCCAGGCTCAGATGATTTTCCTGCCCCAGCCTCCCGACTAGCTGGGATTACAGGTACGAGCCACCATGCCTGGCTAATTTTTGTATTTTTAGTAGAGACGGGGTTTCACCATCTTGGCCAGGCTGGTCCTGAACTCCTGGCCTTAAGTGATCTGCCTGCCCTGACCTCCCAAAGTGCTGGGATTATAGGAGTGAGCCACCACGCCTGGCCGCGATCGGAATATTTTTTAACTCTTAGAATTAATGAAAAACTATGGGGTTTGCCCAGGTTTCATACATACATGGGTAAGAACTAGCACCACAGAACATCCATCCGGTGCCTACTCCTCAACACAGATGTAATCTGAATAAATCACTGCAGAGAGCGGTAAGTCCTATGATGAAACAATAGTTCAGATGAGAGATGAAGATGTGAAATCAAGTATATGAGGAAAAGGGGAAAACTTAGGTTTAAAAATCGACGAATTTGGCCAGGCATAGTGGCTCATGGGAGCCTGAGGCGGGAGGATTGCTTAAGCTTAGGAGTTTGAGGCCAGCCTGGGCACAGGGCAAAACCCCGTCTCTACAAAAAATACAAAAAATAGCCAGTTGTGGGAGAGTTAGCGGCCTCCGGTGTGGGAAGGCCACGGAGCCGGGCCGGAGACATGGCCCGGGGGCCCGGCCAGCTAGGCAGGCCTCGCCCCGATACGGTCGCCATGCCCAAGAGAGGAAAGCGACTCAAGTTCTGGGCCCACGACGCCTGCTCTGGACAAGTGACTGAGGTGGATTACGCCAACTCGGATCCAGCGGTCGTGAGGTCTGGATGAGTCAAGAAAGCCTTAGCCAACGCTGTTCAGCAGGAAGTAAAATCTCTTTGTGGCTTGGAAGCCTCTCAGGTTCCTGCAGAGGAAGCTCTTTCTGGGGCTGGTGAGCCCTGTGACATCATCGACAGCGGTGATGAGACGATGCCCAGGAGGAAAGCATCTGTGAGAGAACTGTCTCCAGAAAAAAGAAAAGCAAGAGGCACAAAGAAGAACTGGACGGGGCTGGAGGAGAAGAGTATCCCATGGATATTTGGCTATTGCTGGCCTCCTATATCTGTCCTGAGGACATTGTGAATTTTTCCCTGATTTGTAAGAATGCTCGGACTGTCACTTGCACTGCTGCCTTTTGGACAAGGTTGTACCGAAGGCACTACACGCTGGATGCTTCCCTGCCTTTGCGTCTGCGACCAGAGTCAATGGAGAAGCTGCGCTGTCTCCGGGCTTGTGTGATCCGATCTCTGTACCATATATGTATGAGCCATTTGCTGCTCCAATCTCCAAGAATCCAAGCACCCCCAGCACATTAAAGAATTCCAAATGCTTACTTTTCTGGTGCAGAAATATTGTTGGGAACAGACAGGAACCAATGTGGAAATTCAACTTCAAGTTAAAAAAACAGGTTAAAGAGCAAGTGTACAGGAGGATTGCAGCCCCCTGTTCAGTACGAAGATGTTCATACCAATCCACACCGGGACTGCTGCCTACTGCAGGCCACCACCCTCAATTTCATCTTCATTCCGATTGTCATGAGAATGATATTTACTCTCTTTACTATCAATGTGAGCAAGGACATACGGCATCATTGAGTGAGACTGGTGTTTCAAGATTCCCCTGTCCATGGTGGTCGGAAACTGTGCAGTGAACAGGGTGTGCAAGTCATCCTGGACCCAGTGCACAGCTTTCGGCTCTTTGACTGATGGCACCCTCAGTACCCATTCTCCCTGAGAGCGTAGTTACTGCTTCCCATCCCTTGGGGGCAGCCCCGATTCTAGTCCATTAGTAATCAGATTCCAGTTTGGACAGGGCGGCTGGATTATATATCTGGTTAGTAATGTACATGCTCTTCAGGTTCTAGGGCTCCTGTTAGGGGAGGGAGAAATGTTGAATCAAGAGGGAAAACAACTACTATGATTTATAAACATATTTTAATGTAAAAATTTGCATTAAAAAAATAGCCAGTTGTGGTGTCGTGTGCCTGTAGTCCCAGCTATTTGGGAGGCTGAGGTGGGAGGATTGTTTGAGTCTGGGAGGACCAGGCTGCAGTGAGCCGAGATCGCCCCAGTGTACTCTGGCCTAGGCAGCAGAGTGAGATCCTGTCTCAAAGAAAGAAAGAAAAAAATGGACAAATTTGAGCAGCAGATTAGATGTGGGAAGTAACAAAGAAGGAGACATCAGAGATGACTTTAAGTGTCTAATTTGGGAGATCAGGTGACTGATTGTCATTAACAGCTGAAGGAAGGAGGGAGGAGCAGATATTGGTGGAGGAAAGGAAGATACAAAGTTTTTTTTTTTTTTTTTTTTGAGACGGAGTCTCGCTCTGTTGCCCAGACTGGAATGCAGTGGTGCGATCTAAGCTCACTGCAAGCTCCGCCTCCCGGGTTCACAACATTCTCCTGCCTCAGCCTCCTGAGTAGCTGGGACTACAGGCACCCGCCACCACGCCTGGCTAATTTTTTGTACTTTTAGTAGAGACGGGGTTTCACTGTGTCAGCCAGGATGGTCTCCATCTCCTGAACTTGTGATCCGCCTGCCTCGGCCTCCTAAAGTGCTGGGATTACAGGCATGAGCCACTGCGCCTGGCCCCTCAAAGTTTTGTTTTGGACATGCTGAGTTTGAGGTGCATGTGTCACAGAAGGGTCAGAAGCCAGGAAACAGTTGGAAGTGCAGCCTAGAGCTCAGGTGACAATTCGGGTGGAATAGCTTTTTAAATTTTCAGGACATTGGCCAGGTGTGGTGGCTCACGCCTGTAATCTCAGCACTTTGGGAGGCTGAGGCAAGCGGATCACCTGAGGTCAGGAGTTTGAAACCAGCCTGGCCAACATGACGAAACCCCGACTCTCCTAAATATACAAAAATTAGCCGGGTGCGGTGGCGGTCACCTGCAATCCCAGCTACTCAGGAGGCTGAGGCAGGTGAATTGCTTCAACCTGGGAGACGGAAGTTGCAGTGAGCCGAGATTGAGCCACTGCACTCCAGCCTGGGCAACAGAACAAGACTCCATCTCAAGAAAATAAATAAATAAACAAACAAATAAATAAATTTTCAGGACATGGATAGCAAGGGAAGCACAAAGCTAGATAAAATCACATAGGGAGAAAGAGCATAGGGTGAGAAAAGGGCTTGAGAATGAATCAACATTTAATGGTTAGTGGAAGGTGCCAAGGCAACTATAAAGGAGAAGGTAGAAAGATCTAGAGAAAAAGAGAACATGTAATCACACAATCAATACAAGAAATGAGTGAGGATGTCTGAGCCACACAACCACTCCTTTCAGTAGTACAAACAAAATAAATATTGGTGATGGCGGATCCAATAGTAATAAGGTGCTGTTTTTCATAACATGTTAGCTAACACTCTTGACCAACTGATAAGGAATGTTGCCTGAGCAAATGGTGAACTTGCAGCTTACCTTTGCCTGGTGATTCCTTGAAATGTGTGACTTGAACTTGCAAGGTAATTGGATCGGGTTCGGCTTTGGACCATCGTTCGGAATGAAGTGAACTGTTGACTTCTGGATCATTTATAAGATCCCAAATACCTTAACATGGTGCAGAAGGCCCTTCCTGCTGTGGCCCCTGACTCTTTTCTAATCTTATCTCTCACTGTTTCCCTTGCTCATCCTACCCTTCAAGCAATCCAATTACTTGAATATGCCAAGTGCTCCCTCACGCCTGCATGGCTTTCACTATGCTGTTTCTTCAGCTTGGAATACCAGTCTCTGGTCTAAAACCCTTTGCCAACTTCCCCTAGTCTTGGAATCATTTCAAATCTAATTGTGCGCAACACTATCTTTACCTACTGATGAAGGGAAACAACCTCACAATAGAGCTTCACACTACTTAAACTCCCCGTGAGAGAAAGAGTTAAAATCTTAGCGAAACCCCAGCTTTTTACAATTTTGCTGGACACTGTGTCCTATTTGATATGCATGCTATCAGCCCATTTGACCAAAGCCAGATTTTTTTTTTTTGAGATGGAGTCTGGCTCTGTCACCCAGGCTGGAGTGCAATGGCATGATCTCAGCTCACTGCAACCTCTACCTCCCGGGTTCAAGTGATTCTCGTGCCTCAGCCTCCTGAGTAGTTGGGATTACAGGTGCGCGCCACCACTCCCATCTGATTTTTTTGTATTTTTAGTAAAGACGGGGTTTTGCCATGTTGCCCTGGCTGGTCTCGAACTCCTGACCTCAGGTGATCCACCCACCTTGGCCTCCCAAAGTGCTGGGATTACAAGCGTGAGTCACCATGCCCCACCTGAAGCCAGACTTTTGAACTTACTCACTTCTAATCGTGTTTCTCCCTATTTGTGAAATAACATGAAATCCTTCTCCACGCCGGGCGCGGTGGCTCACGCCTGTAATCCCTGCATTTTGGGAGGCCAAGGCGGGCGGATCACGAGGTCAGGAGATCGAGACCATCCTGTCTAACACGGTGAAACCCCGTCTCTACTAAAAATATAAAAAATTAGCCGGGCGTGGTGGTGGGCGCCTGTAGTCCCAGCTACTAGGAGGCTGAGGCAGGAGAATGGCGTGAACCCGGGAGGCAGAGCTTGCAGTGAGCTGAGATCATGCCATTGCACTCCAGCCTGGGCAATAGAGGGAGACTCTGTCAAAAAAAAAAAAAAAAAGAAATCCTTCTTCCCTACCTCAGTTTCATGAAAACCTTCCCCTTCTTCACCTGTATATCACAAAATCCCTCCTCCCCTGAGTGTCACAAGACAGTTCTCAGCCAGGATTTTTTTTTTTTTGGTCAGCCAGGATTGAAAAAAAAAAAAAAAAGAAGTAAAAGAATGCTTGTCACATGACCTCTGTTGTTTCTTCCTTAAAATTCATAACCTCAGTCTAATCATGAGAAAACATCAGAAAAATCCAAATTGAGAAATAGTCTACAAAATACCTGGCACTCTTCAAGAGTGCCAAGGTCGAGAAAAACAAGGAAAGACTGTGAAACTGTCACAGATTAAAGGGGACTAAAGAGATATGACAAATGATGCAATGTGGTATCCTGGAACAGAGAAAAGAATATAGTGGAAAAACTGGAGAAATTGGAAGAATCTGAGTTTAGTGGAATAGTTAATAGTATTGTACCAGGATCAATCTTTTATTTTTGAGAAACGTACTGTACCATGGTATGTAAGATGTTAACATTAAGAAAGCTAAAAGAAAGCCGATAATCTGACGTATTAAAATAACTAAGGTGTGGCTGGGCATGGTGGTTCACGCCTATAATCCTAGCACTTTGGGAGGCCAAGGTGGGCAGATTGCTTGAGCCTAGGAGTTCAAGACCAGCTTAGGTAAAATGGTGAAATCCCCACTCTACAAAAAATACAAAAATTTAGCCAGGCTGGGTGGTGTGTGTCTGTAGTCCCAGCTACCCAGGAGGCTGAGGTGGGAGGACCACCTGAGTCCAGGAGGTCAAGGATGCAGTGAGCCATGTTTGAGCCACTGTACTCCAGCCTGGGTGACAGAGTGAGACCCTGTCTCAAAAATAAAATAATATAATATAATAAAATAATTAAGACGTGAAGGTCACCCGGCTTTTAGGTGGTGATCAGCCCCCTTCTTTCTTCCTTAGTTCTTGGTAATGACAAGTCCTGACATTAAAAATCTAATTTCCACACTACCTCTTTGACTATATCTCAGGCCATCTTGCCTTTCATGGATCCCACCCTCATCATCTGGCCTTCTAGTTCCCAGGACAATCTGAAGCTGGCTCCACTGCAGGGTCCTTGTGCTTGCTGTTTCCCTCTTCTTGGAACCTTTCCCCGCTCCCTCTTTGTAGAGCTGGCTTCTGTCTTTCAAGTCTCAGCTTCATGTCACCTTCTCAGAGAGGCCTGCTGTGACTACCTACCCCAATAATCTCTGTCACAGCACTTTTTGTATTTTTCTTCATTTCGCTAAGCATAGTCTACAATTTATTGATGTATTTGCAATCTTTCTCCCTTCAGAATGTTTGCTGTATGAGGGCAGAGACCAGGTCTATCTTGTTCTCTGTAATATCTACTGTCTCCGTGTTTTCCCATTTTTTTTTTTTGAGACAGGGTGACAAACTGAGACCATTTGCAGTAGTGTGAACATGGCTCACTGCAGTCTCGACCTCTGGGGCTCAAGTGATCCTCCCTGCCTCAGCCCTCCAAGTAGCTGGGACTACAGATGGGTGCCAACATCAAGTAGCTGGGACTACAGATGGGCGCCACCATGCTAGGCTATTTTTTTGTGTATATGTGTGTGTATATATATAGAATATATATTCTATATATTCTGTATATAGATATAAATATATATTATATATATAAATCTATGTTTTATATATATATGTGTATATATATATATATATTTTTTTTTTTTTGTAGAGATGAAGTTTTGCCATTGTTGCCCAGGCTTCCCTCAACATTTATATGTTGAACTCCTAACCCCTAGTGTGATGATATTAGGAGATGTGGGTCTTTGGGAATTGATTAGATCTTGAGGGTAGTACATTCATAAATAGAATTAGTGCCCTTATAAAAGAAGCTCCAGAGAACTCCCTTGCCCCTTTTGCCTTGTGAGGCCTTCTGTGAAACAGTAAGTAGGCTCTCACCAGATACCAAACATGCCAGTGTTGTAATCTTGAACTTCCCAACCACCAGAACTGTTAGAAATAAATTTCTATTGTTTATAAACTACCCAGTCTATGGTATTCTTGTTCTAGCAGCCTAAACAGACGAAGATGCCTATAATAGTTGTTCAATAGGCCGGGCGCGGTGGCTCACGCCTGTAATCCCAGCACTTTGGGAGGCTGAGGCAGGTGGATCATTTGAGGTCAGGAGTTCGTGACCAGCCTGGCCAACATGGTGAAACCCCATCTCTACTAAAAATACAAAAATTAGCTGGGCGTGGTGGTGGGTACCTGTAATCCCAGCTACTCAGGACGCTGAGGCAGGAGAATTGCTTGAACCGGGACCTGGGAGGTGGAGGTTGCAGTGAGCTGAGATCGTACCACTGCACTCCAGCCTGGGCGACAGGACTAGACTCCATCTCAAAAAAAAAAAAAAAAAGTTGTTCAATAAATATTTGTTAAATGAGTGCCAAAGGATAATTTTCTTTTTTTTCTTTCCTTTTTTTTTTTTAGGCTAAGTCTCCCTCTAAGAGTAAAAAACATGCTGCCATCAAATATATAGTGAGCATGTGTCAAATATCAATCTAACTCATTTAATGAAGAGACCAGAAAGATAATAAATCTGGTTGAAGGAGAATTCAAGGAACAGAGGTTTGTATAGCAGAAAAGACATGCTGAAATAAGTTAGCTAGGTTAAAGGGAAATCTAGTTTATGTCCTACAGGTTAATAAACTATAATCTTTAGGATTGTCTTTTCTGTAGAATAGGAATCATTTGGGTCTCTAACAGACAAAAACCTACAAGTTAACACGTAACTTCATAGAATCTGGACCCTAATGATAATAATTAACAAGTCAAACAAAGGTACATTCTCCAGATGAATAACACTTGGGTGGACCTGTTCGGACAATGCTCCAGCATGACAGTGAAAGGACATACAATTATCTTTTTGCCTTAATTCTAAGATTAGGACATTAAAAAAAATAGAAGACTAAAAAATATAGAATGAATGTACAAGTGCTCCAACTGAAGTTTGGAAAGGGGAGGTCAGTCTGTTGGGGGGCAAGGCACAGGGGCATCTGCTTCATCAGGTCTTCCCCCAAAGCCATCATCACTGGATCCAGCATTCATTCTTTGAGAGCCAGCCAATGTTTCATTTTCTCTGTGAAGTCTGTCTAGATTTTCCTCTCACTCCCTATCAGGCAAACTGAGGTGGACAAACCTTGTTTTCAAGATGGTGATTGTGGCCTGGCACAGTCGCTCAAGCCTGTAATCCCAGCACTTTGGGAAGCTGAGGTGGGAGGATCGCTTGAGCCCAGGACTTCAAGACCACCCTGGGCAACACAGTGAGATCCTGTCTCTGCAAAAAATACAAAAAGTCTGGGCCGGGCACAATGGCTTATGCTTGTAATCCCAGCACTTTGGGAGGCTGAGGTCAGGAGTTCAAGACCAGCCTGGCCAAATGGCGAACCCCCCACCCCCACCCCTCCGTCTCTACTAAAAAACCAAAAATCAGCCAGGCTTGGTGGTGCACACCTGTAGTCCCAGCTACTAGGGAGGCTGAAGCACAAGAATCACTTGAACCCAGGAGGTAGAGGTTGCAATGAGCCAAGATTGCGCCACTGCACTCCAGCCTGGGCAATAGAGCAAGACTCTGTCTCAAAACAACAACAAAAACAACAACAACCAAAATTCACCATGCATGGTTGGCATGCGCCTGTGGTCCCAGCTACTTGGGAGGCTGAGGTGGGAGGATGGCTTGAGTCCAGGAGGCTGAGGCTGCAGTGAGCCGAGATCGCACCACTGGACTGCAGCCTAGGTGGCAGAGCGAGACCCTATCTCAAAAATAAAAAAGATGATGATTGCTGTCAAGTCCCTAGATTTTTTTCCTGTGACTTGCTTATCCCTGGTTTGAGCCAAGACACTCTATTACCCTTGTTCCCCTTACTTCCCAGACCCTATTTTTGTCTGTGGATTATACATGAGAGCCCATGTGAGGATTCCCACAAATAATTGAGATGGGGTGTGAAGGAGAATTTGAAAGTGAGAGCCCAGTTTTTTTCTTTTTTTCTTTTTTTTTGAGATGGAGTCTCGCTCTGTTGCCCAGGCTGGAGTGCAGTGGAGCGATGTCGCCTCACTGCAACCTCCGCCTCCTGGGTTCAAGCGATTCTTCCGCCTCAGCCTCCTGAGTAGCTGGGACTACAGGCACACACCACCGCGCCTGGCTAATTTTTGTATTTTTAGTAGAGACGGGGTTTCACCATATTGGCCAGGCTGGTCTCGAACTCCTGACCTCGTGATCTGCCCGCCTCAGGCTCCCAAAGTCCTGGGATTACAGGCATGAGCCACCACGCCCAGCAAGAGCCCAGTTTTTACAAACAACAGATGAGTGCTAGGGGGCAGGACAACGCAAGTATGAAATGAGACCAGCTAATGAGACCAGCTGCACGCTGGTTATACAAGTATCAGAGCTGCTTTGTCCCTTGGTCCCATGAGATACTACTCTATAAAACATGCCCAAAAGCCAGCCTCACATGTCTTTTTCTAGTTTATTTATTTATTTTTGAGACAAGGTGTCGCTCTGTTGTCCAGCCATTGTATTCCGACTCACGGCAGCCTCGACCTCCTGGGCTCAAGTGATGTAGTTGGGACTACAGGCACACACTACCACACCTGGCTAATTTTTGTATTTTTAGTAGAGACGAGTCTCACTATGTTGCCAAGGCTGGTCTTGAACTGCTGAACCCAAGTGACCCTCCCACCTCTGCATCCCAAAGTGTCTAGTTTCAGAACTTACTTTATTCAGAGGTGTAGCTATCTTTGGGACCAAAACTGTGAGCACTGAACCAGCGACTGGCTTGAGAAGAAAGCATTTCCAAGGCAAATAATAATCCAAGCTGAAAACAGTCCTCTTAGTGCACCAGAAGGGACCTTTTGGCAAGTGGCATCTTGCCAGAAAATTAACTCAAAACAAATCCCTAACAGCTCAGAGATGGTGGAGGGGAATTTCAGAAACAGTCAGCAGGGCAGGGCCATGCAACTGCTTACAGGAATTGCCTCACTCACACTTTGATGTTGATTCTCTGCAGAGCTTCCGCTGCTTCAAAACGGCGTGCAGGAGTCAGAGACATTACATCAGGAAGATACTGCAGAGATATTCTACTCCATCTCATTCATTGTACAGGTGAGGAATCCAAGGGTCAGAGATTTTAAGGAATTTGTCCAAAATCACAGAGTGGAGAACTGTGAGTAGAACTCAGATCGCTTGTTGCCTAATTCAGGTGTTTTCAACCCCTTATAAATAAGCCAGGGAGGTGTGGCACCCACATGATTTGCTTTCTGGCTGATGTATCTCTATTCCTAACGCAGAGCTCAGGCATCAATCGGTAAACATGAGGAAGAGATAGATGCGGCTCTATCTATCTAGTGTATGGGAGCAGCATGTGACATTGTGATGAGATGTGTCAGCACAGGCACAATTTAAAGCAGTGCCATGGCAACCGGCATTCACTCTGGCTCCAGATAGCACCGTGAACTACAGGGTGTAGTTGAAAATGGCTTCTCACCTAGGGAGTGGAATGTTCCAGCCTCTGTTTCCTGCAGTGAGTGACTCTAAAATCTACCAAGCAATGTAGCAACGAGACTGGTTCAGATTATTTACCAAGGGTTGGGGGTTTTCAGCGTAACTCACAGGAGAAATAAACTTGGCAGCCTTGGGAATCCCCAAGAATTACTGTGACTATCTGCAGAGCAGTAGGGTTTTGCTTTCTCTTAGAGCAATGCATTCTTTCAGTGTCTTCCCGGAGAACTAATACTTCAAAGAGGTGCCCTGGGCACGAGGGGAAGGTAATGGAGAAGGGCACCACCATTTGTTTCTTATATATTGCAGAATCTGCTGCTACCCTCCCCACAAATTCTTTTTTTTTTTTTTTTTGAGACAGGGTCTCATTCTGTCACCCAGGCTGGAGTACAGTGGCACGATCATGACTCACTGCAGCCTCGACATCCTGGGTTCAAGTGATGCTCCCATCTCAGCCTCTCGAGTAGCTGGGACTACAGGTGTGTGCCACCACACCCAGCTAGTTTTTGTATTTTTAGTAGGGATATTGCCCAGGCTGTTGGCCAGGCTGGTCTTGAACTCCTGGGCTCAAGCAATCCACTCGCCTCAGCCTCCCAAAGTGCTGGGATTACAGCCTTGAACCACCACACTCGGCCCCCACAAATTCTTAAACCATGGCCGTAGACCAGAGGAGATCTGGAATGAGTTAAGTTTCATCAGTAGGGTTGAGTATTAGGGTCATTTGTCCTGAGATGCTAAAGCCTCCTTGATTTTAACTTAAATGCTCATATCATCGTTCCTGAAACAGAACTGAAACAGAGACCACCTATGGTCTCCAGTATGTACATGCTCTTTTATTTTTATTTTTGTGTTTCTAATTGTGCACGTTTGACTAAAGACTTCCAGCTTCCCTGACAAGTAGGTGTAGCCAGATGACCAAGTTCTGACCGTTGCACTATGAATGGAAGTGGTGCAGCTTTCTGGGGTGTGCCCTGTCTTTGGGCCTCCCCCTCTTTTCTTGGTTGGCTTGCAGTTGTATTGGTGGCAAGTCATCTTGGACCATGAGGATGAGGACAACCCCCCAGGAATGGCAGAGCAATAAGATATACTCATATAAAAATATTGCTACTTATTTTATCACTACTAAAAAAAAGAAAGTGAGAGGTATCCAATATGCTAAATAAAGAAGACTACTTCTGAGTAAAATTCTCAAAGCAGACCTGCACTACCAGTCCTCCTTTAAAAAAAAAGGTTGGGGGGCTGGGCGTGGTGGTTCACACCTGTAATCCCAGCACTTTGGGAGGCCGAGGCAGGAAGATCACCTGAGGTCAGGAGTTCAAGACCAGCCTGGCCAACATGGTGAAACCCCGTCTCTACAAAAATTAGCCAGGCATGATGGTGGGTGCCTGTAATTCCAGCTACTTGGGAGGCTGAGGCAGGAGAATCGCTTGAACCGGAGAGGCAGACGTTGTAGTGAGCCGAGATCGCACCTTTGCACTCTAGCCTGGGTGACAAGAATGAGACTCCGTCTCAAAAAAAAAAAAAAAATTCTTCCTATGTTAGCAGCTGAACCAATATCCTAACTAATAATAGCTCCACTAAAACTGCCGCCAGTCATGTTAAAAGTATGATTTAGGATGCATGGGACTACAAGTAACAAACAACAAGCCTTGCTAAAAGTAGCTTATAAAATTCGGAGTTTAAAAAATGATGCCATTTTACAAGAAATCAAGAGGAAACGTGTTCCCTGGGTTGGTTCAGTTTTAGGTTGTTGTATTAATTTCCTACTGCTACTATGATAAATTACCAGAAACTTGGCTTAAAACAACACAACTTTATTCTTTTATAGTTCTGGAGGCTGGAGTCTAAAATCAGTTTCACTGGACTAAAGTCAGTTGGCAGGGCTGTTTTTTTTTCTGGGAGCTCTAGGGAAGTTCTGTTTTCTTGCATTTTTTAGTTTCTGGAGGCTGTCTGCATTCCTTGGCTCGTGACTCCTTCCTCAAATCACTCCAACCTCTGGCTTCCATCATCTCCTCCCCTATTTCTGTTGTCAAATCTCCCTTTGCTTCCCTCTCATGAGGACACTTGTGATTACATTTAGGGTCCACCCAGATAATTCAGGATAATCTCACCCCAAGATCCTTAACTTTATCAAATCTATAAGGTAAAATTGATGGGTTCCAGGGCTTAGCATATGGATATCAGCCTACCAAAGTTGAGAAAAGGTTTTCATTTTCCTGCTCTGCCGTTCTAATGTTTTGGTGCCATCTCCCTTCATGGTTTTAAAATCACTTTGGACCAAGGTGGGCAGATCACCTGATGTCAGAGGTTTGAGACCAGCTTGGCCAACATGGTGAAACCCTGCATCTACTAAAAATGCAAAAATTAGCTGGGCACTGTGGTGGCTGCCTGTAATCCCAGCTACTCGGGAGGCTGAGGCAGGAGAATTGCTTGAACCTGGGAGGTGGAGCTTGCAGTGAGCCGAGATCACGCCACTGCACTCCAGCCTGGGCGACAGAGCGAGACTCCGTCTCTGAAAAAAAAAAAAAAAAATCACTTTGGAGCTCCCAAGCATTACATCCTCACCAGGCCATGTCCAGGCCAGGAAGGGAGGGGTGTTCCCATCCCGCATCTTTTAGGTATTAACGGAGATGTGCTTTGCCAAAAGTTCCCAGCGGAAGCCACGTCCGGTCCCGTCAGTCAAGAGTGAGTCAGCTGCCTGTGCTCTGCCTGCACGCTGAACTGAGAGTTTGGGTGTCCGGCAGTTTCAACGTCGGCATCACAGTGTCAGTGCTCCCACCAAGAGGCTGAATGACTGCTAGGGAGGCAACAACTCACTTTTATTTATTTATTTATTTTGTAGAGACGGGAGTCTCACCATGTTGTCCAGGCTGGTCTCGAACTCCTGAGCTCAAGCAATCTGCCCACCTTGGCCTCCCAAAGTGCTGGGATTACAGGCATGAGCCACTGTGCCAAGCCTAACAACTCACTTTTGAAAGTCCCGCAGGAGATTCCACAGGCACGAGTGACTCCAAAGAGCCCTTGTTTTCTAGCAGCCACAGAAAGCATGTGTGAGGCCAGGCATGGTGGCTCACGCCTGTAATCCCAGCACTTTGGAAGGCTGAGGTGGGCGGCTCACCTGAGATCAGGAGTTCGAGACCAGCCTGAGCAACATGAAGAATCCCCGTCTCTACTGAAAATACAATATTAGCTGGGCGTGGTGGTGTGCATGTGTAATCCCAGCTACTTGGGAGCTGAGGCAGGAGAGTCACTTGAACCCGGGAGGCAGAGGTTGCAGTGAGCTGAGATTGTGCCATTGCACTTCAGCCTGGGCAACAAGAGTGAAACTCTGTCTCAAAAAAAAAAAAGAAAAAAGATAAAAAGCGTGTGTGATGAGAAGATCTGGGGGCTAGGGTGGTGGTGTGGTAATGGGGTGATTTAAAAAAACCTTTTGACTGGAGATCTAGAATTCGAACTAAGCCAGGAACACATCCTCATCTATAGTGCTTCCAGGGCATCCATGTGACAGTTTGAATTGTATTCCCTCAAAATGAATATGTTGAAGTCCTAATCCCCAGTACCTCAGAATGTGATCTTTGCAGAGGTCATCAGATCACTAGGGTGGGCCTTTGTCCCATATGCCTGGTGTCCTTATAAAAAGGGGAATTTGGAGACAGACAGGTACACAGGGAGACTGTCATCTGAACACGAAGATGGCCATCTATAAGCCAAGGAGAGAGACCTCGACAGATCCTTCCCTCATAGCCCTTAGATGGAACCAACACTCCTGATATTTTGATTTTGGACTTCTAACCTCCAGAACTATGAAACAAGAAGTTCTGGGCTGGGTGCAGCCTGACCAACATAGTGAAACCTCCCTCTACTAAAAATACAAAAAATTAGCCAGGCGTGGTCGTGGGTGCCTGTAATCCCAGCTACTCGGGAGGCTGAGGCAGGAGAATCTCTTGAACCTAGGCAGCAGAGGTTGCAGTGAGCCGAGACCATGTCATTGCACTCCAGCTTGGGCAATAAGAGTGAAACTCCATCTCAAAAAAAAAAAACAAACAAAAAAAACAGTTCCTTTTGTTTAGGCCAGGGGCCCTCAACCCCAGAGCCATAGAACAGTACCATAGGCCAGTTAGGAACTGGGCTGCACTGCAGGAGGTGAGCAGTGGGCAAGCGAACACTACTGCCTGAGCTCCGCCTCCTGTCAGATCAGAGCTGGCATTAGATTCTCATAAAAGCACAAACCCTATTGTGAGCTGCGCATGTGAGGGATCTAGGTTGTGGGCTCCTTATGAGACTCTAATGCCTGATGATCTGTCACTGTCTCCCATCATCCCCAGATGGGACTGTCTAGTTGCAGGAAAACAAGCTCAGGGCTCCCACGGATTCTACATTATGGTGAGTTGTATAATTATTTCATTAAATATTACAATGTTATAATAATAGAAATAAAGTGCACAATAAATGTAATGTGCTTGAATCATCCTGAAACTGCCCCCCCCCTTCCCTGCTGCCCCCGATCCGGGTCCATGGAAAAATTGTCTCCCATGAAACTTGTCCCCCTGGTGCCAAAAATGTTGGGGACCACTGGTTTAGGCCACCCGGTTTGCAGTACTTTGTTAGAGTGGCCCTGGCAAACTTAAAAACCCTGACTTTCTCACTTCTCTTGCACCCTCCAAGGTACCAGCCCCATGCTCCTACCCAGTATGCACCTGGCTCTCCCTTGTGTTTCCTGATCTCCAGGTGGTCTCTTTGCAGTGTTTTGAAAGCTCTTTTGATAGTATCTCTTTCTTGTCATGAAGCCTCCTGGATTCCACAGAGAAAATGTGCTCTCCACTGTTGTGTCTGGGCAGAAAACCCCCATAATTATTAAATCCATTCCCTACAACATTATATGGGGTTTTATAAGTCATTCATAAACATACAATATTTTAATTCTGCTGCCATATGTTTTGTATAAATAGTCATGTTTATTTACAAAAGAATGTTCTATTTAGCTGTCAACCCATGGATGGCAGAAAAAATGTTTCATATTTGTGTGTGTGTGTGTGTGTGTGTGTGCGTGTTTAAAGCACCAAACATAATATCCAATGATTTTTGTTATGACACACATGTTCTTTCAGGATAGTGTGTGATAATCAAGTTGTGCTTTTATTTATTCAACTGACATTTGAATCACTTTCCCTGTACCTAACTATCCCACCATGGGCTGTCGTTACTAATCTGAATTTAAAGAGGTCCCTGGTGTCAAGGAGAGCCTGGCTGATTGTGAGAGAGGCAGACAATACAAGTGAAGAAATAGTGTAGCTATGATGGAGACATGAGATAGTGGGATGACTCACAGTGATGCTTTATGAAACCCAAGGGCCACAAAGCTTCAGGAAGTAGGGAAGCAGGAAATGAACTACCAGGATGCAGACTTGCTCTTCATCCCTCATTTTCCCATTTCACACTTTCTTTTTTTTCTTTTTTTGAGACAGAATCTCACTCTGTCACCCAGGCTGGAGTGTAGTGGTGTGATCTTGGCTCACTGCAACCTCTGCCTCCTGGGTTAAAGCGATTCTCCTGCCTCAGCCTCTTGAGTAGCTGCAACTATAGGCACGCGTGGCCGCACCCAGCTAATTTTTTTATTTTTAGTAGAGATGAGGTTTCACCATGTTGGCCAGGCTTGTCTCGAACTCCTGACCTCAAGCGATCCTCCTGCCTCTGCCTGCCAAAGTGCTGGGATTACAGGTGTGAGCCACCGCACCTGGCCCCATTTCACACCTTCTTCCCTCTGTGGCTTCTCTCTATTTCTAGGGAGAAACATGACAGAAGTCAGCTGCTCTAGAATCAACAGACTCCTCTCCAGTTGGCATCCCACCATACAGCGGTGGCGTCATACGTTCATACATATGCTGCAGCCAAAGGGGGAGGCTCATCAACCCAGGAGGCACCCACAGGTGCCTCTCAGAGGTGATGAAAGAGGAAGTGGGGGCAGGCAGAGGTAATGGTTGTAATTTGAGTCACTTCTGTTAACTGTACCCACTTTTAGACAGCTTAATCCACTTTGACTCTGGAAAAGTGTGAACAGAAACCTTGCTGGGTTTGGAGGAGAGACAGCCTCCCACTGCTCTTCCCAGGGGAGTCCTGGAACAGGCTGCCGTGGAGGCTCAGGGCAGGCCTGGAGATGTGGCGCTGGTTCAAGGCCAGACCCGGCTGTGTCAAATTTGGATGGACTAGGAAAAGTTCCTGTACAGAAATAACAGAGACTGGAGATTATGTGTGGGAATTATTCTACTCTTATCCTGAGTATGTCTGTACTTCAATCCTGGTGCTCACTTCAAGAAAGAGGAGGATGGGGTTGCCGTTGCTCTCAAGAAAGAGGAGGATGGGGTTGCCATTGCTCTAGCAGACTACTGTTACTCCCAGAAGCTCACTTAAAGGTTCCATTTCCATAACCAATTACAGAGCAAATGCTTTTTCATAGGAATTGGTCTTTGCGGGGTTGACATTTCAGGTTGCAAAGACCCCGAAGCTTTAGGAAAGCTGAACTTTGCCGTTGAGAAATTTAGGAGGGTAGAAATTGCAACACTATCTTAGCTGCAATTAGCTGGCATTTCTGCCAAGCGCTAATACATATTTCACCCTAACTTCCAGTGAAGGACGACATTGATAAGAATATTTGGGGAGTAGCTGTGAAAGTTCATCTGGTTTTAATAGGGAAACATTGTCCTTTTCTCTGCTGATTGGAGAGCAGGTCAGGCATGAAACTGGCCTCACCCAGGAAAGACTCACATGGTTCATTCTCTCTCCAGGAATGGTAGGGAAAGCACGTGTTTTGAAACACTGGGTTTTCCCTGGCCCGGGAGAAAGTGGATCAAAAGAATCGCTGTTTTCTCCGCTGTTGTTTGGGTTCTCTAGTTTGAAAGGGTCATGGTGGTGTCTCCTGATGGGCCATTAAAGGCAATGTTGAGGAGAATAGAGAAAATACATGAAGAAAGAATAAGGAAAATTGGACATTTGGTAGAAAAGCCCAGGATTCTCTGGAGAAACGTTGGAGGTAGTGCCGAGAGAGTCTGCTGCACCAGAGGTGCCCCACCAGGGGCCCCACCAGGGGACTCTTTAAAAGAATGTTCTTGAGCTAAATTCCTGCCAACCTTCCCATGTAGCTGGTGCAATTTTCACTCCATATTCTGCTTTCTTTATTTTCTACCGCAACTGAATTCTGAGTTCCTAATCCACTGGGACTCACACTTAATAGCCTGTCTATCTACTGGCATTTGTTTGCATTGTACAAGTACAACCAAAGGCTATAGGCTTTTGGGAGCCACAGTCAGGAAGAAGTCTATCTGTCTGTCTCTCTGTTCTTTAGACTTCAGTCTTCTTACACCCTTTCCAAATGGCAACGGGCACAAAATGGCCTATCTGCTGGAAGTGGGCAATGAGCAAAAGAGACACATACATGGAAACAATGAGTTAAGAATTTAAAATATTATTCTGCACACACGTAAGTGGGAACTTCATGTCCTCTGTTCAGAAGTAAAGCAGTTGGAACCTCTGGAATCAGAATCATCTGTGCATTTGCTAAAAATATAGATTCTTGTGCCCTACCCAAATTCTGCACCCGAAAATTCTGATTCTGCCTGAATCAGAATCTTTCCAGGCAATTCTTATGTGCATCAAAGCTTGAGAGTTGCCTAGACGCAGCCTCAGCTGAACCATCTACTGTGTTTTAATACTGAGTTGTGCTTGTTCTCAAGCTGGTTCAGAGCACTTTAATGTGCATTCAAATCATGCTGAGGTCTTGTTAAGTTAGGTGGTGGGACGTGAGATTCTGCATGTCTAACAAACGCTTGGGTGATGCTGCCACTGCTGGTTGGAGGACCACCCCTTGGGTGGCAAAGTGCTAGAGAGACTATTTTTATTTCCTTTGCACTCCTGTGAGGCCATCTTGAGGCTTCTCAAGTCCCTGGGGCCAGTGATTTGCTTGCACTGGGATTGGAGATTGCTGCACCCTCATGGGTACTGTGCTTTGTTGACTGGGCTCTATCTCATGCTCATCCAGATTTACCCTGCCTTCCTGCTTCCCCTTCCATCTCCTCAGCCAACACCCCTATTCCCACCCTCACTCTTCTACCCCCACTCTGCCTAAGGGGCAGCCCTGCTGCCATAGCCTGGTCTTCCTCACACTGTGGGTCTACTCTGACTATAGATACATAATTGAATATCTTTAGATAATCTTCAGATTTGCTAGTATGATAAAGTCCTTCTTCCTCCTAGGAGAAAAGGGGAAGTGGGACTCGAAGCAAGCATGTAAAATTGAGTCAGGAGTTCTTTTTTCTCTTTAGGGCCACCATCAGTGGGTGGCCCCAGTGTAATGGAATGGAGTGGAAGATGTTACCATTTCCTACACTGTCCTTGACCTTGAAAGAAGAACTGAATCTATGGGACCTACTGCCACTTTCTATAGGTGGAGGGGAAAGGGGAACCCCGTTGCATGGCATAAGCTTATCCCTCAAGTCCTTGGTGAGCGGGGGTTGGGGGTAAGAGGGAAGAATTACAGGGTGTTAGAAGTGGTGAGATTCTTTTCTCCAGTCATGGAGAACTTCTGATATTCAATCCAGAATGGCTTTAATTGCTACTAGTTAACAATAAGAAAGAAGGTCTACAGTTGAGGTCTAGGGAAAGACTGGCTTGTAGTGCTCCTCAGGCTTGCAGTCACATTGAAAAGTCTAATGGTGGCCAGGCGCGGTTGCTCATGCCTGTAATCCCAGCACTTTAGAAGGCCGAGGTGGGCAGATCACCTGAGGTCAGGAGTTCGAGACCAGTCTTGCCAGCATGGTGAAACCCTGTCGCTACTAAAAATACAAAAATTTGCTGGGCATGGTGGTGGGTGCCTGTAATCCCAGCTACTTGGGAGGCTGAGGCAGGAGAATTGCTTGAACCCGGAAGGCGGAGGTTGCAGTGAGCGGAGATTGTGCCACTGCAGTCACATGAGATTGTGCCACTGCGGCAGAGCGAGACTCTGTCTCAGAAAAAAAGAAAAGAAAAGAAAAGAAAAGTCTAATGGTTAGAGTGAAGCCAGCCATAGCCAGTGGACTGTCATGACAATAGATACAGATAAAAATTCCAGACTGTACAGTTGTTGACTGTGGCTCTGGGCCAGAGTAAGATCTCTTAGGCCTGGGAAAGTAACCATAGATGTCACTGGCCCTGAGGCCAAGCAGAGCCAGTACCTCTCAGAGCAGTGGCTTGCAAACTAGGGTCTGCAGAAAGCTCTTTCAGCATCACCGGGGGAGATTCATAACAGCAATGCCAACACCCACCCTGAAGAGTCTGATTCAGCAGGGCCTCATGAGCTATATTTAAAAAATATATTATATGGGCAATTTAACAGTAAGTTAAATTGCAAGTTTTGACTTTGTCGGGTTTACGAAGCAATGCCTTAGCACAATGGTTTCCCAAATTTTTAGCAGAGAAAAATTTATTAACTAGAAAAATATTTATTGAACAATTACTGTATGCCATGTATTGTTGTAAGCCCTGGACAAAAAGTGGTAAATAAGACTGACGAGGTGGCTGGGCACCTGCAATCCCAGCACTTTGGGAGGCTGAGATGGGCAGGTCACTTGAGGTTAGGTATTTGAGACCAGCCTGGCCAACATGGTGAAACCCCCATCTCTACTAAAAATACAAAAATTAGCTGGGCATGGTGGCGTGCGCCTGTAGTCCCAGCTACTCGGGAGGCTGAGGCACGAGAATTGCTTAAACCCTGGAGGCGGAGGTTGCAGTGAGCCAAGATTGCACCACTGCTCTCCAGCCTGGGTGATAGAGCAAAACTCTGTCTCCAAAAAAAAAGAAAAGAAAATGACTGACAAGGTTTCCACTGAACTCTAAGACAGATAAAAATGAGGAGCGGATTTTTCAGGAATGTTAAACACTCATTGTTTAGAAGAAAATACTGTTTGTTGTTGAACCCCTGAAGTACCATCAGGTTCTGTGATGCACAGTTTGAGAACTGCTTTCTTGGGAAGGAGCTTAGAGCAATAAAACTATAAGATGGCAGAAGGAATGTCCAACACAGTGGGGTTCAAATGACAAACCTGGAAGCCTTTTCCACTTCCTCGTTGATAAAGTGGAGACAATGACATCTACCTCAAGTCTTACTGTGAGTAAGAAAAGAACTGAACACATACATTGTGGAGCTCAATGTTGGGTGTGCAGCTGGACCCTGCTGCATTTTTGTTCTCTTTCGTCTGTCTTTGCTTGGGAACAGGTCACTTCACTTTGATTGGGAGTAAGTTTGAGGAGAAAACAAGACATTCCTGGAAGCGTGTTGCCACTTGAGGCTCAGGTGGGATAACGAGGAGCACAAAAGGCAGAAGCCAAGAAAAGGCCCCACCATGCCACAGCCAAAAGCAACCACAGATGTAAAATGGCACAGTGGATCTGGCAGTTCTCCTTAAAACGTTAAACACAGAGTCACCATATGACTCATCAGTTCCGCTGCTATGTATATACCCAAGAGAACTGAAAACGTATGTCTGCACAAAAACCTGTACATGAAAGTTCAAAGAAGCGTTATTCATAATAGCCAGAAAGTGGAAACAACCCAAATCTCCCTTAACCAACGAATGGATAAGCAAAATATGGTATACCCATACAGTGGAATATTATTCAGCCAAAAAAAGAAATGAAGTGCTGACACACACAACAGCATGGGTGAACCACGAGAACATTATGCCAAGAAAGAGGCCAGACATGAAAGACCACATATTATAGAATTCCTTTATATGAAATGTCCAGAATAGGAAAATCTATAGAAACAGAAATTAGGCCAGGTGCAGTGGCTCATGCCTGCAATCCCAACACTTTGGGAGGCTGAGGCGGGTGGATCACCTGAGGTCAGGAGTTCAAGACCAGCCTGGCCAACATGGCGAAAGCTTGTCTCTACCAAAAATACAAATATTAGTCGGGCGTGGAGATGTGTGCCTGTAGTCCCATCTACTCAGGAGGCTGAGGCAGGAGAATGGCTTGAACCCAGAGGCGGAGGTTGCAGTGAGCCGAGATCGTGCCACTGCATTCCAGCTTGGCCACAGAGCGAGAGTCTGTCTCAAAAAAAAAAAAAAAAAAAAAAAAAAGAAACAGAAATTAGATTAGTAGTGTCAAGGCACCAGGAGAAGTAGGAAATGGGATGACTGCTAATGCACATGGAATTTCTTTTTGAGGTGATAGTGGTGATAGCGCTACAATCTTGTGAATATGCTGAAAGTCACTGAATTGGACACTTCAAAAGGGTGAATTTTATGGTACATAGATTCTCTCTCTCTCTGTCTCTGTTTTTTTTTTTTTTTGTTTTGTTTTTTTTTGAGACAGTCTCACTCTGCCGCCCAGGCTAGAGTGCGGTGGCGTGATCTCTGCTCACTGCAACCTCCACCTCCTGGGTTCAAGGGATTCTCATGCCTCAACCTACTGAGTAGCTGGGATTACAGGCACTTGCTACCACACCTGGCTAATTTTTCTAATTTTAGTAGAGACAGGGTTTCACCATATTGGCAAGGCTGGTCTTGAACTCCTGACCTCTAGTGATCCACCCACCTTGGCCTCCCAAAGTGCTGGGATTTACAGGTGTGAGCCACCGCACCCAGCCCATATCTCAATTTTTAAAAAGAAAAGAAAGAAGCAACCACATAGAATGAAGCCAACCAGTGATCCGTGGATAAGCACTAAGAAAATGCTCAAAGCCTGTCATGACTCTGATAGAACCCACAGGAGAGGGCAGAAAGAATATCCAATATAGTGGGCTTCAGATGACAAACCTGGTCAGGTTTGAGACTCTGCCTTTCCTTGCTGGGGCTTGAAGAATTTACCAGTTTCTCAGAAAAGATAGGCAATGAACAAAACTACGCCTGATATGCTTCTAATCATCATTATTTTCAGTGCCACGTGAATTGTTTACATATGCTTATATTTCTGCTATAATGATGGTTTGGTAAGTTCTTTTTCTTTTCTTTTTTCTTTTTTTTTTTGAGACAGGGTCTCACTTTGTCACCCAGGCTGGGGTACAGTGGCACCATTATAGCTCACTTCAGCCTCAACTTCCTGGGCTCAAGCGATCCACACATCTCAGCCTCCTGAGTAGCTGGGGCTATAGGTGTGTGCATGCCACCATACCCCGCTAATTTTTAAAAAATTTTTGTAGAGATGAGGTCTCACTATGTTGCCCAGGCTGGTATTGAACTCCTGGGCTCAAGTGATCCTCCTGCCTTGGCTTCCCTAAGTGTTGGGATTACAGGCATGAGCCACCGTGCCTGGTCAGGTAAGTTTCAAATATTTCAATTTTTTCCCCCCAAGACTCGGTTCTAGAAGGTCCATTTAGGCTATTCAAAATACAGCTCTAGGTCCTTGTGCAATGTGGGCTGATGATCTTGGGGGACTAGAAATGCCCTGCACATTAGCCCCCGGACAACCAGCACAGTCGCCTTGACTGGGCAGAGCTTCTTTTTTTTTTTTTTTTTTCCGAGACGGAGTTTGCTTTGTTGCCCATGCTGGAGTGCAATGGTGCGATCTCGGCTCACAGCAACCTCTGCCTCCTGAGTTCAAGCAATTCTCCTGCCTCAGCCTCCCGAGTAGCTGGGATTACAGGCATGTGCCACCATGCCTGGCTAATTTTGTATTTTGAGTAGAGACAGAATTTCTCCATGTTGATCAGGCTGGTCTCGAACTCCCGACCTCAGGTGATCCACCCGCCTTGGCCTCCCAAAGTGCTGGGATTACAGGCATGAGCCACCACTCCCAGCCTTGGGCAGAGCTTCTTGAATAAGTCTTACAGGCTCCTCTAGGGTGGGTGAGAAAGGTATTTTTGGGAGAAGCCACTTGAAATTTACATGCTGTGCAAAAATGTGTTATGGGGACAGAAGGTGTTTTTAAGCTGAAAAGTTTGAATCATTGGTGGGAATAAAGGCCTGCCAGTGAATTGTGGTTCCACTTTCAGCCTCGTCACTGCCTTCGGGTTTTCTCCTGTGAATGGTTCTGACAATGTGCCATTTTACAGAACGTGTCTCTGTTGCTTCCGAGCTGCCACATATGCTCTGCTGCACATTTGGGACAACCACATCAGGTTTTAAAAACTAATTAAAAAAAACCAAAACTTTTCAAGTTTGCCTTTAGCATTTTGCAGCGAGGTTGCTCACCAGCTGTTTGTTTATACTCTCTGGTGATTGTTTTTGCACATTATCCATGCATAGCATGCAATTACACCATTATAATGGCAAGTAGTAAACTGAATTCCCTGTAGGGCGTTTCTAGGGGAAGAGATGTGCTGCCTGTAGCCCGAATGCCCTAAAGAGACTGTATAGTTAGATAATCCTGTGGCTCCAGATAAGCGTGGGTCCTACGGTAAGTTGCAAAAGCCTAGGGCTTTTTGCAGCCCTTGGCAGGTGTTTCGTAGCAAATCTCAAAGTTTCGTGGTCACTCAGGACAACCTCCTTTCTGCTGAGATCGACACTGAATTAAAACAAGCCCAATGATCTGTTTATAATTTAGAACCTCATTTGTTCTTTTTTTTTTTTTTTTTTTTTTTTTTGAGACAGAGTCACTCTGTCTCCCAGGCTGGAGTGCAGTGGCACTATCTTGGTTAACTGCAACCTCCACCTCCTGGATTCAAGCGATTCTTGTGCTTCAGCTTCGCAAGTAGCTGGGATTATACATGTGAGCCACCACACATGGCTAGTTTTTGTGTGCTTTAGTAGAGACCGGGTTTCACCATGTTGAGCAGGCTGGTCTCGAACTTCTGACAGGTGATCCGCCTGCCTCAGCCTCCCAAAGTGCTGGGATTTTAGGTGTGAGCCACCGCGCCTGGCCTTTGTTCATTTTTTATGATAGCTTTATTGAGATATAATTCATACCTAATAAAAGTTATGATAAAAGTTACCCCCCCTTTTTTTTTGAGACAGAGTATCACTCCTGTCACCCAGGCTGGAGTGCAGTGGTGCAATCATAGCTCACTGCAGCCTTGACTTCCCAGGCTCAGGTGATCCTCCCGCCTCAGTCTCCTGAGTAGCTGGGACTACTGGAGAGCGCCACTACATGCAGGTAATTTTTTGTATTTTTGTGGAGACATGGTTTTGCCATATTGCCCAGGCTGGTCTTGAACTCCTGGGCTCAAGCGACCTGCCTGCCTTGGCCTCCCAAAAGTGCTCGGATTACAGGCGTGAGCCACTGTGCCCAGCCAAAAGTTAACCTTTTAAATTATAGGCATACCTTTTTTTACTGTGCTTTGCAGATACTGTGTTTGTTTTTTACAAATTGAAGGTTTGTGGCAACAAACCTTGGAGAAAGTCTATCAATGCCACTTTTCTAAACAATGTGTTTTTTTGTTTTTTGTTTTTTGTTTTTTTTTGAGACCGAGTCTTACTCTGTCACCCAGGCTGGAGTGTAGTGGTGTGATCTCGGCTAACTGCAACCTCTGCCTTCCAGTTTCAAGTGAACCTTCCACCTCAGCCTTCTGAGTAGCTGGGACCACAGACAATTATCCATGCCACCATGTTCAGATAATTTTTTGTATTTTTTGTAGAGATGGGATTTTGCCATGTTGCTCAGGCTGGCCTTGAATTCCTGAGCTTAAGAGATCCACCCGTTTGGGCCTCTCAGAGTGCTAAGACTACAGGTGTGAGCCACTGTGCTCAGCCCTGGCTAATTTTATTTTTTTTTTGTAGAGATATTATCTAGATGCTATGTTGTCTAGGCTGGTCTTGAACTCCTGGCCTCAAGTGATCCTTTTGCCTCATCCTCCCAAAGTGCCGGCATTACAGGTGTGAGCCATTGCACTCGGCCAATAAATTTTCAATGTAGATGAAACAGCCACCTAGGACTTTCATAGCTAGAGAGAAGTCAATGTCTGGCCTCAAAGCTTCCAAGGACAGGGTGGCCCTCTTATTAGGGGCTAATGTGGCTGCTGATTTCAAGATGAAGCCAATGCTCATTTATCATTCCAAAAATCCCAAGGTCTTTAAGATTTATGCTACATCTACTCTGCCCATGCTCAGACAAAGTCTGAGTGACAGAATATTTGTTTATAGCATAGTTTACTGAATATTTTAAGTGCACTATTGAGACCTACTGTTCAGACAGAAAGATTTCTTTCAAAATATTATTGCTTATTGACAATGTGCCTAGTCACTCAAAAGCTCTGATGGAGAAGTACAAGGAGATTAATGTTTTCATGCCTGCTAACAAAATATCCATTCTGTAGGCCATGGATCAAGGAATAATTTCAACTTTTGAGTCTCATTATTTAAGAAACACATTTTCTAAGGCTATAGCTGCCATAGGTGGTAATTCCTCTGATGGATCTGGGCAAAGTAAATTGAAAACTTTCTGAAAAGAATTCACCATCGTAGATGCTATTAAGAATGTAACAATTCTTTTAGCTACCACATAGAGATTAAGATTAGAAAAAGAGGCTTCTGGCTGGGTACAGTGGTTCACACCTGTAATATTAGCAGTTTGGGTGGCTGAGGTGGGAGGATTGCTTGAGCTCAGCCTGAGCCACATAGTGAGAACCTGTCTCTACTAGAAATTGAAACAATCAACTGGACATGGTGGTGCATGCCTGTAGTCCCAGCTACTCAGGAGGCTGAGGTGGGAGAATTGCTTGAGCCTGGGAGGTCAAGGCTGCAGTGAGCTGTGATTGTGCCATTGCACTCCAGCCTGAGCAACAGAGTGAGACCCCATCTCAAAAAAATTCATGATTCATGAGAGGAGGTCAAAATAGCTACATTAACTATGGAAGAAGGTGATTCCAATCCTTACAGATGACGTTGAGCGGTTCAGGGCTTTAGTGGAGAAAGTCACTACAGATGTGGTAGAAATAGCAAGAGCCTGAAGATGTGACTGAATTGCTGCAATCTCATGATAAAACTTGAACAGACGAGGAGTTTTTCCTTCTCCTTCTCCTTCTCCTTCTTCTCCTTCTCCTGAGCCACTGCACATGGCCTGGAGTTGCTTCTTATGAATGTGCAAAGACAGTGGTTTCTTGCAGTGGCATCTACTCTTGGTAAAGATGCTGTGAACATTGTTGAAATCACAACAAAGAATTTAGAACACCACAGAAATTTAGTTGATAAAGCAGCAGCCAGGCTTGAGTGACTCCAATTTTGAAAGAAGTTCTACTGTGGGTAAAATCAAACAGCATCACATGCTACAGAAAAATCTTCCATGAAAGGACTAATCAATATGACAAACTTCATATTGTCTTACTTAAAAAAAATTGCCACAGCCACCACAACCATCAGGGGCCACCACCCTGATCAATCAGAAGCCATCAGCATCAAGGCAGGACCCTCCACCTACAAAAAGATTATGACTTGCTGAAGGCTCAGAAGATTGTTAGCATTTTTAGCAATAAACTATTATTATTATTTTGAGATGGAGTCTCACTCTGTCACAGAGGCTGGAGTGCAGTGGTACGATCTTGGCTCACTGCAACCTCTGCCTCCTGGGTTCCAGCAATCCTCCTGTCTTAGCCTCACGAGTTGCTGCGATTACATGCATGTGCCACTATGCCCGGCTAATTTTTGTATTTTCAGTAGAAACAGGGTTTCATCACGTTGGCCAGGCTGGTCTCAAACCCCTGACCTCATGCGATCTGCCCGTCTCGGCCCCCCAAAGTGCTTCGATTACAGGCATGAGCCACTGTGCCCAGCCAACAATAAATTACTTTTAAATTAATGTATGTACATTGTTTTTAAAGACAAAATGCTATTCCATACTTAATAGACTACAGTATAGTATAGACGTAACTTTCATGTGTAGTGGGAAATAATTTTGGTTTTTTTTTGAGACAGGGTCTCACTCTGTCGCCCAGGGTGTAATGCGGTGGCACGATCTTGGCTTACTGCAACCTCCACCTCCTGGGTTCAAGTGATTCTCTCACCTCAGCCTCCCAAAGAGCTGGGATTGCGGGTGCGTGCCACCATGCCCAGCTAATTTTTGTATTTTTAGTACAGACGGGGTTTCACCATGTTGGCCAGGCTGGTCTCGAACTCCTGACCTCAGGTGATCCGCCTGCCTTGGCCTCCCAAAGTGCTGGGATTACAGGTGTGAGTTATGTGACATGTTTTACTGCAGTATTTGCTTTACTGTAGTGGTCTGTAACTGAACACAAAATATCTCTGAGGTATGCTTTTATACAATTCAGTGATATTTATATATTCATAGAGTTGGCATCATTACTATCTAATTTTAGAATATTTTCATCACCCCAAAAAGATACCTTGTACCCATTAGCACTCATCCCTCATTCCTCCTTCCTCTCAACTCCTGGCAACTACTAAACTACTTTCTGTTTCTATGGGTTTGCCTATTTCTGATATTTCACGTAAATAGAAGAATACAATAGTCGTCTTTTTCATCTGGCTTCTTTCACTTAATCTAATGTTTTCAAGGTTTATTTATGGTATAGCATATGTCAACACATTCATTCATTCCTCTTTATTAAAAAATTTTAATTGTGATAAATACACATAACACAAAATTTGCCATCTTACCCATTTTTAAGTGTACACTTCAGTAGGGTTAAGTACATTCATGCTGTTGTTCAACCAATCTCTAGAACTCTTTTCATCTTGCAAAACTGACACTCTGTACCTATTAAATAACTCCTCAAACCAGCCCCTGTCAACCATGGTACTACTGTCTCTATGATCTATTCTAGGTCCTCGTATAAGCGAAATCATGCATATCTGTCTTTTTGTGACTGGCTTACTTCACTTAGCATTATCTCCTCTAGGTTCCTCCATGTTGTAGCATGTGTTAGAATTTCCTTCCCTTTTAAGGGTAATACTCCATTATATGTATATACCGCAGGTTATCTATTCATCCATCAGTGAACATTCAGATTGCTTCCACCTTTTGGCTACTGGGAATAATGCTGCTATGAACAAGGGTGTACAAATATCTGTTCAAGCCCCTCCTTTCAATTCTTGTTTCATTTTATGTTTTGAGACAGGGTCTCACTCTGTTGCCCAGGCTGTAGTGCAGTGGCACGATCTTGGCTCACTGCAACCTCCACCTCCCGGGTTCAAGTTATCCTCCCACCTCAGCCCCCAGAGTAGCTGGGACTACAGGCATGCACCGCCACACTTGGCTAATTGTTTTTTGTATTTTTAGTACAGAGGGGTTTTGCCATGTTGACCAGGCTGGTGACCTGACCTCAAGTGATCTGCCTGCCTCGGCCTCCCAAAGTGCTGGGATTACAGGTGTGAGCCACCACATCCGGCTCCTCCTTGCAATTCTTTTTTTGGTATATACCCAGAAGTGGAATTGCTGCATCATATGGTAGTTCTATTTTTAACTTTGTGGGGAACTTCCATACTGTTTTCTATAGCAGCTGCACCATTTTGCATTCGCATCAACACAAAGGTTCCAATTTCTTCCAGACGTCTGAACACTTGTTCTTCTCTTCTTTTCTCTTCCCTTCCCTTCCCTTCCCTTCTCTTCTTTTCTCTTCCTTTTCTTTTGGATTATAGCCATCCTAATGTGTGTAGATGGCATTCATTCATTCTTTTTTTTTGCGACATGGTCTCACTCTGTCACCCAGGCTGGAGTGCAGTGGTGCGATTGCAGATCACTGCAGACTTGGCCTCCTGGGCTTAAGCAATCCTCCCACCTCAGCCTCTCGAGTAGCTGGGACTACAGGTGCCTGCCACCATGCCTGGCTAATTTTTGTATTTTTTGTAGAGATGGAGTTTCACCGTGTTGCCCAGGCTGACCTTGAACTCCTAAGCACAAGTGATCCACCTACCTCAGCCTCCCAAAGTGCTGGGATTACTTGCATGAGCCACCGCGCGTGGCCTGGCATTCCTTCATTCTTAATTGACATCTGACCCACTGTGCTCGGTGGGCAAGAGGGTGGGCTATCAGTAAAAGAAACGTGTGAACAAGATATTAGACAGTCCTTGCCTCAATCTTACAATCCATTTAAATCATAATTTGAACTTCAACATTTATTAAGCAATTATCTTGTACCAGGCACTGTGCTGAGTGCTTACTTAACTTGTTCTCTCATTCAGTCCTTTCAACAGCCCTTTGAGTTAGATAGATTGTTGCACCATCTTCCAGGGGAGGAAAGTGCAACACCTCAGTGATTTGCCAAATGTCTTCAGGACAGAGTTGAAAGCCTGGCTGCGTATCTTTCACTCTGAAGCCTGTGTTCTTACTTTCAACAGAGGATGAGATTAGCCCGATCTTGTTAGCCTGACTTGCAGGGTTGGAGTAGCTGGCCTTGGTCTTCACAGATCAGGACAGGGCTTGCCGGGGCCCACATTTGAAATGGTAGTCATCTGCTGTAATACACTTTTACCCCACTAATAGAGCTAGAATAAAATTCGTAAGTAGAAAGGATGAAGAATTCTCACCTGATGCTCTCCATCCTTTCCATTGCTATTTTTACAAGGCCCCCAGGCCTCCAGCTTGTGTCTTAACCAATGTCGTACAGATAGATATGAGGAGAGGTGGGAGACCAGGAGCAGAACGCTGGCCTATGGACAAGTCTGGTTGTTGATTATCCTGATTGCATTGTTGTTTAACGCTTATACTGATTATATATTGTAAAACAGAAATCAAAATGGGGGCTGGGGCTGACCTTTGCCTCTGAGCCAGTGGCCTACAGCCAGCTCAGCAAAACTCATTAAGCCCCATTTCCTGAAATGCTCACTTAAATTATAATGAACTCTTGAAATTTATTTCCTCCTTCAGCATGAATCAACACATTGTAGCCAATCAGCTACAGCCTAAGTAAGCTGCTTGCCCTAAAAGGAAAAGATACTTTAAAATAACCAATGAAAATTAAGCTCTATGAACTTCCTCTTTTACTCTTTATAAGCCTTACTCTATCTAACCTTTACAAGAGGGCCATTCTTATCTCTTGGTTGTGAAGTGCCTATGTGTGAACAGTTTGTTTCTTCCTCGATAAAAAGTTTATATCAGCCGCGTGCAGTGGCTCATACCTGTATTCCTAGCATTTTGGGAAGCTGAGGCAGGATTGTTTTGTGTCCAGAATTGGTGGGTTCTTGGTCTCGCTGACTTCAAGAATGAAGCCGTGGACCCTCGCGGTGAGTGTTACAGTTCTTAAAGATGGTGTGTCTGGAGTTTCTTCCTTCAGATGTTCAGATGTGTCCGGAGTTTCTTCCTTCTGGTGGGTTCGTGATCTCACTGGTTTCAGGAGTGAAGCTGCAGACCTTCTCGGTGAATGTTACAGCTCATAAAGGCGGCGCAGACCCAAAGAGTGAGCAGCAGCAAGATTTATTGTGAAGAGCCAAAGAACAAAGCTTCCACACCGTGGAAGAGGACCTGAACACGTTGCCGCTGCTGGCTCTGGCAGCCTGCTTTTACTCCCTTATCTGACTCCACCCACATCCTGCTGATTGGTCCATTTTACAGAGCTGATTGGTCCATTTTGACAGGGTGCTGATTGGTGCATTTACAAACCTTTAGCTAGACACAGAGTGCTGATTGGTGCATTTACAATCCTTTAGTTAGACAGAAAAGTTCTCCAAGTCCCCACCCAATTAGCTAGACACAGAGTGCTGATTGGTGAGTTTACAATCTTTTAGCTAGACAGAAAAGTTCTCCAAGTCCCCACCTGTCCCAGAAGCTCAGCTGGCTTCACCTGTCACTGGCACTTGCTGCGGGACTCTGCAGCACCCAGCCTGGGCACTCCGGCAGCCCAGAGGGAGCTTGTCCCCTAATTAAGCCCAGCAGGCAGTGGCTGGCCATGCTGAATGTGAGGCCTGCTAAGCCCATGCCCACCCAGAATGTGTGCTGGCCCACAAGCACCGAATGCAGCCCCGGCTCCTGCCCACGCCTCTCCCTCCATACCTACCTGCGAGCAGAGGGAGCCGGCTCTGGCCTTGGCCAGCCCCAGAGAGGGGCTCACAGTGCAGCTGCAGGCTGAAGGGCTCCTCAAGTGTGGCCAGAGTGGACACTGAGGCCGAGGAAGCACCGAGAGTGAGCGAGGGCTGCTGGCATGTTGGCACCTCTCACTTTCCCCTCTAAACAGGACACCCCAACTGCTGTTGGGAATTTGGCTGATGACCACTCTAGCTACTTCCTGCTGGATAGGTGTGAAGAAGGGGCCCTGCAGTTGTAGTGTCCTCCAGAGAGGAGCTCTCTTGGCCAGTGAAAGGGCCAGTGGGTCAGTCCAGGAGTCCTCGGTAGAAGTTGTTAGTTGAACTCATTTGGAGTTCCGTTTGTAAGACCATCTGTAGCTTGATGGCGTCAATTCTAGAGGAAACAAATTTGACAAGGAGGTTAAAAATACAAAGCCCAAAGGCGAGTAACAGCAAGATGGCTGCCACGGGACCTAGAAAGGGGAGAAGCCATGTTGCCCAACTCCAGAGGTTGGTATAAGAATTTGAAAGGCATTGTCTGATTTCAGAAGCCTTTTCCTGTAAATGCCGGGTGGCATCTTGTACTATCCCTGACAGATTAATGTAAAAACAACACTCTTCCCCTAAGAAGGTGCAGAGTCCTCCTTTCTCAGCAGTGAGGAGGTCTAGGCCTCAGCAGTTCTGGAGAGTCGCTGCTGCTAAAGAGTCTTTTTGGGATTGTAGAGTAAGGATAGATTTCGTTATTTCTTGCAAACTGTCTGAAAAATCCTTTGAGAGTGTGTGGTAGTAGGATAATGAAGTAGATAGGCTGGCTATTCCAGTTCCTGTAGCAGTAGCTATTCCTAACCCTATAAGTAGGGGGTATTAGTTGTATGGCTCTGCACTGACGGACTTGAGCTTTGAGGGGTACTGACAAGGTCTGATTTCCTGTGGCAATGTTAATGTTGGGACTTAGAAAGACTAAGATACAGGTGCTGGTCCAGTTAGTGGGAAGGCAGATACAGGTTGACGTTCCACATAAGAAGAATATGCCTTGGCTGGGTAGACAGAAATTTACCCTGGCTTTTAAAGGAATAGGGTACACTTTTTTTTCTTTACTGTTTCTATCTCTCTTTCTTTTTCTTTGACTTCTTCTTTGTCTCTTCCTCTTTCCTTCTCTCTTTGATTTTCTGTCTCTTCCTCTCTGTCTCCATCTCTTTGACTTCCTATTTTTCTCTTTCTCTCTTTTTCTGTCTTTCTCTCTCTCTCTCTGACTTCCTGTCTCTTTCTCTCTTTCCTTTCTGCTGCCTCTGCCAGCTGCTTATGCTGCTGTTCTCCCTTCTTCCCCTTTTTGATGGCTTTGGCAGTGTAAAACTGCCACCTTCTTCAGTTTTTGCACTGTGTGCAGTAACTCCATGATTTCCTTGTGGTATTTAACGGGGGTTCCCAGAGGTTATGAACTCCCTCTCTTTCCATATTGCAGCACGGGCATGTAGGATTAGATAAGCATACTTGCTATCTGTATACACATTTATTCTTTTTCCCTTTCCTGTTTCTAAGACTAAGTGCCACTAGTTCTGCTAACTGGGTACTGGTGCCTGGGGGAAGAGGCTTACTTTCAAGTATGGTTACATCACTAACTATGGCATAACCTGCCCTTCATATCCCATTATCCACAAATCAACTTCCATCGGTATATAGGTTAAGGTCAGGATTAGCTAAGGGGACTTCTAAGAGATCATCTTGGGTGGCATAAGTCTGGACTATAATTCATTGGCAGTCATGCTCAATTGGTTTCCCATCCTCTGGGACAAAAGTGGCAGGGTTGAGGGCCATGCACATATGTATTTGAAGCACTGGTTCCTCAAGGAGTAGTGCCTGGTATCTAAGTAGGTGGTTGTCTGATAGCCATAACTTCCTTTGGCACCTAGTATGCCATTGACATCATGAGTGGTCCAGACAGTGAGATCCTTTCTTTGTATTATCTTGATAGCCTCTGACACTAAGATGGCCACCACTGCAACTACCCATAAACAGTGAGGCTAGCCTTTTGCTACTACATCAGTTTCCTTACTTAGGTATGCCACTGATTGTGGGGTTGTCCCACGAGTCTGACTAAGGACTCCAAGAGCTATCCCTGCTCCCTCTGAGATGTATAAAGAGAAATTTTGTCCTGTGGGAAGGCTTAAAGCTGGAGCTTGTACTAGGGCCTGCTTTATGGTTTTGAAGGCTATTTCTGCCTCTGGTTCCCATTCTACTAGATGAGTATTTGCTCTCTGGGTTTCCTTGATTAGAGTATAGAGGGGCCTGGCTATCTCGCTGTATCTGGGGATCCATAGTCAGCAAAAGCCGGTGATTCCAAGGAACCCCCGCAACTGTTTTAATGTTTTAGGGTGAGGATAAGCCAGTATAGGCTGTATTCGCTCCCTGCTGAGGGCACTGATTCCTCTGGGTAAGATTAGGCCTAGATATTTGACCTGCTGTAGGCAAACCTGGGCCTTCGACCTAGATACCTTGTACCCTTGATTAGCTAGAAAGTTCAAGAGATCTAGAGTAGCCTGCTGGCATGAGGCTTCTGAACTGGTAGCCAAAAGTAAATCATCCACATACTGAAGGACCAGAGTGCCTGGACTTGAGAAGTGGCCTAGATCTTGGGCCAGTGCCTGACCAAACAGGTGAGGGCTATGCCTAAACACCTGGGGCAAGACCTTCCACCTAAGTTGGGATGTGTGGTCTGTGGGATCCTCAAAGGCAAAGAGAAACCAGGAGTCAGAGTGCAGGGGAATACAGAAGAAGGCATCCTTGAGGTCCAGAACAGAGAACCATTTTGCTTCCTCTGGTATTTGAGAGAGCAGGGTATAGGGGTTGGGTACAACTGGATATAGAGGAATTTCTGCCTCATTGATGAGTCTAAGATCTTGCACTAGTCTCCACTAACCGTTTGGTTTTTGTACTCCTAGAATTGGGGTGTTGCAGGGACTGCTGTGTTTCCTTACTAAGCCTTGAGCTTTTAAATGTTTAACAATATCCTGTAAACCTTTATGAGCTTCAGGCCTTAAGGGATACTGCCTTTGATAAGGAAAAGTGGTGGGGCCTTTTAGCCTGATTTGGACTGGGTGGGCATTTTTTACCCTTCCAAATTGTCCTTCCAATGCCCAGACTTCAGGGTTGATTCCCTCCTCAAGAAGGGGACAACAAATAGGTAACTTGTTCCCCATATTCATGTAGATAATAGCTCCAGCCTTGGCTAATATATCCCTCCCTAATAAGGGTGTGGGACTTTCAGGCATAACAAGAAAGGCATGTGAAAATAGCAAAGTCTCCCAATTACAACTGAGGAGGTGGAAGAAATACCTGGTTACAGGCTGTCCCAGGATTCCTCAGATGGTAATGGACCTTAAGGACAGTCGTCCAGGACAGGAGATTAACACTGAGAAGGCCACGCCAACGTCCAGGAGGAAGTCAATTTCCTGGCCCTCAATGGTTAAATGTTCCCAGGGCTCAGTGAGAGTGATGACATGAGCTGGCACTTGCTCCGGGCACCCTCAGTCCTGTTGTTGGATCAGCTGGTTGGGGGCTTCTGACCCAGAGAACCTTTGGCCTCTGGGGCAGTGCACCTTCCAGTGATTGCCTCAGCATAGCGGACATGGACAAAGGGGTGGCTTGTTTCTCACTGGACAATCTTTTTTAAAGTGTCCTAGTAAACCACACTGATAACAAGCCCTACCGGGTGATTGGCCTGCTCCATTTTCTGTCCTCTCTGAACCACCAAAGTTTGTTTGTCTGAGGGCCATGACTAAGGCTGCGGCCTTTCTCTGATCTCGCTTTTCCTTTTGGGCCTGTTCCTCTTGGTCCCTATTATAGAACACCAAGGTTGCCAGGTTTAATAATGTCTCCAAATTTTGTTCAGGGCCCAGGGCTTGCTTTTGGAGCTTTCTCCTGATATCTGTGGCTGATTGGGTAATAAACTTATCTTTTAGAATCAATTGACCCTCGAGTGATTCGGGTGACAGGGGAGTATATTTTCTTAAGGCCTCCTGTAGCCACTCAAGGAAGGCAGAAGGATTTTCTTCCTTTCCCTGAGTTGTGGTGGACATCATTGAATAATTCATGGGCTTTTTCCTAATTCTCCTTAGTCCTTCTAGAACACAAGTCAACAGATGTTTACGACTCCAATCCCCATGATCTCAGTCAAGGTCCCAGTGGGGACCCATACTGCGGATGGCTTGGTAACTGGTAGGGAATTTATCCCTTTCTTTGGCTGTCATTCTATCATTTACTTGGCTAAGATACCAGGCATCTCCAAACTCTCAGGCTGCAGCTAAAGCTGCATTCTTTTCATTAAAGGCCAGGGTTTGATCTAACAGTAGCATGACATCTCTCCAAGCGAGGTCGAAGGTTTGCCTTAGACCCTGTAGGACATCTATGTACCTATCAGGATCATCTGAAAACTTCCCCAGGTCTGCCTTGATCTGCTTTAAATCAGAGAGGGAGAAGGGGACATGTATCCAGGTTGGGCCAAATTCCCCTCCCCCTACAGCTTGCAAGGGACATAACTGATAGCCTGGGGGTTTTTGTGGTCCTTTGGAGATTTCTTTGCTTGTTTCCTTCTGGGCAGGGGAGATTAGAGGACGCTTATCATTAATAAGAAGGGGAGCTATAGGGAGGCTAGGATATGGAGGTATGCTGAGATGTCCTCCTGTGGGAAGTAAATTGCAAGCTTTGCATAGTTGTGTATTCTCCTTCAGTGAAAAGAAAGCTTGGACATAAGGTATTTCACTCCATTTGCGTTCCCTCTTACAGAAAAGGTTAGGCTGCAGGATAGTATTGCAATTTGTACTTCCCTCAGGTGGCCATTTTTCCCCTTCAGAGAGAGAATATTGGGGCCAGGCCATAATGCAGGAAAAAATAAGGTGCCTCTTTTTCAGGGTTTGTGGGTCAAATTGGTCCCATTGGCTTAGGATGCATTTCAAGGGTGAGCCTGTTGATGCCTGAGTGTTTCCCATCTGAAAGACAAAACCGCCTGCGGTTTTGGTTTGTTTTATTTCTCCCCCTGCCCAAGAACCTGCAAGGGTCCCTGGACCCTGCTTATTGGAATAGTTGTGCTCACCCACACAGCAGCAGAAACAACCCCTGCCCAAGAACCCGCAACGGTCCCTGGACCCTGCTGATCGGAATAGTTGTGCTCACTGTCGCAGCAGCAGAAACACTAGTTTTCCTCCCAGACCACAAGGAGGACCGAGGAAGGTCGGATTTAGTGGCCCTTACCAACGCATTCTCGAAAACCTGCACTCTTGCCTGTCCTCCCAGAACACGAAGAGGACTGAGAAAAATCGGATTTAGTGGCCCTTACTGATGCATTCTCGAAAACCTGTTAGAGTCCTAAGCATTCTCCTCTTAGTATTGGGATCTTACCTGCATCCTATAAAGATGTTATGCCCCAAAAATGAAGTGGAGGGCCATACCCTGAGTGAGGGAAGGGATCTCCAGAGTTGGAAGAGTGACACCTTTTGTCCTGACTTATATGAATAGGAAGGCTCCCCATATGAGGCTCCCCATATCCTAGCTTCAGGAATAGCTTTTGTTAGGCCTGCTAGTCTGAGGAGGGATCCTAAAATTCCAGATAGTCCCCGCTATGACGGGGCTTTGGGCAAAAATTATGTCTTTCTGATTGGTGAGCCCGGGTACCTAAGAAGGTAACAGAGTCCTGGAGTTTATACTAGAAGTCATTCTTATAGGAGAAACTAGCACTTTGAGAGGCCGAGGCGGGTGGATCGCTTGAGGCCAGGAGTTCAAGAGGAGCCTAGTCAACATGGTAAAACCCCGTCTCTACAAAAAATACAAAAATTAGCTGGGTGTGGTGGCACATGCCTGTAGTCCCAGCTACTTGGGAGGCTGAGGCGGGAGAATTGCTTGAACTCGGGAGGCAGAGGTTGCAGGGAGCCAAGATCGTGCTGCTGCACTCTAACCTGGGCAACAGAGCGAGATCCTGTCTCAAAAAAAAAAAAAAACAAACAAAAAAACAAAACACACACACACACACACAAAGCACAAAGAACAAAAACCAAACAAAAACAAAAACACCCAACAAAAAATGTTTATGTCAAGTTGAATGAAACCAGAATATGCCATTTCACAATATATCTTTTTGACATAAAAATTATTTTTGATGTAAAGACAATAAGGAGACAGCAAAAGAAGGAAAACTCTATCCTTCCTGTTCTCTGCCTAAAGACAAGATATAAATTCTCCTTTACTGGAGACAGCTCTAAACTCTTAACAGCCCAGGGACAGCACAGAGGAGTCTGCAGACAAAACTCACTCCATTAATTTCCTCCCATTTACTTACCTTTCCACAGTTTTCTGCTGTTGAAAGCCTAGAACTGCTTTCTTTTGTCCTATCATTTCCCCACAATTTTATTGTTCTTTGTTAAAGATGCTTTATAGGCCAGAGTTCTAAGCCAGTGCTTTGAGATACATTTCCTTGAGGCTTCTTCTGTTTGATGTGTGCCATGGGCATTCATAAACTTGTTTACTTTTCTCATGTTAAACTGCCTTTTGTTATAGGTGTCCCAGCTAAGAATTATGTGGGGTTGAGGGAAAAATTGTTTTTTTCTCCCTGGAAAAGTAAAGCTCCCTGAATCTTCCTGTGACTATGTATATATAATAGAAAAGAAATACAGTTTACACACACACACATACACACACACACAATTCTCACTGTGAATATATAAATCGCTGAATTTTCTTTCAACTATATATATAGAAAAGAAATATATGTGTATATACATATATATATACTCCCTGTGAATATATGACCTTTCATTTTAATATATGTATGTATGTGTGTGTGTGTGTGTGTGTGTGTGTGTGTATATATATATATATTTCTTTTTCTCTCTCTGAGCCATTTTCTTCCTTTTTTGGTCAGCAACCACAGAGGCACCCAGAGATAAATCATGCTGGGAATCCCATTTCCCTTCATCAGGATTAGCCTAGGGTAAGTAGTGTGACCCAACTCCAGATGATAAGATAAAAAGGGAAGTCTGTTGTGCACCTGGAAAATATTTTTTTTTCCTGAAGAAAAAAAGTAGAGCCTATCAGGCAAAAGCTTTTTTCCTTATGCTTCTACCTTCCTTCTAGGCATTAGTGTGAAGACAGAGAGCTTGGCATGGTAGCAGCCATGATGTGTAGGCCTAAGGACTTGCTGCAGAGGGGCTGTCAGAGAGGGTCTGTGTCCTTGATGATATCACTGAGCCCCAATCCAGCCCTGGAGCTGCCAGCTTCCAGACTTAAGAAAAAAACAAAAAACATGTTGTTTTTTAGAGCAGTTTTAAATTCACAGCAAAATTGAGAGGACGATACAGAGGTTTCCCATATACCTCCTGCTTCCAAACGTGTTGGAAAGTCAGAGCCCAACTCCAATCCTCCTTAAGCTCTAATGTGGGCTCTTCTGCTGGATCTAGAAACCAAATTGACACAAGGCAGATTAACTAGAGAAAAACATACACATTTTATTAGTTTTACTTGTCCATGGGGATCTTCACAAGAGAGTAAAGTCCAAAGAAGTAGCCAAAGAAAGATGCTTTTATACTTTTATCATAGGTGGCACAAGATCAGATATAACCAGGTCTATGGGCATTTGTGTCTTTCTACAAGGTCGGGTTTTCATCGACACTGTCTCAATCATAGGAGCCATGAGCTACATGGAGTTCCCAAGGAGGCAATTCTCCTAGTACTTTTGTTCACTCAGCAGTTAGAGCTGCATGCACACGGGCTCAAGCCACTCCACCCGTCAGTCAATATTGCAAACCATACATAATGGTACCCTTAATCAATATATAAATGTTACAGATTAAACATTCCACAACAAAGTAGCATTTTACATCAAGAGAACAGGGATAGGAAAAGGATTAACCAACCAGCCCAGGGAGAGTGATATAGACAAAAAGAATATCCTGGTCTGGCCTGGGAGGTCCATAGGTCTTGCAAGGGAGAAACTTTGAAGTGGGCAGAGCCTTTGGCTGGCAGATCCTGGGTGCTTATCACAAGTGACAGCAAGATGGTGTCTTTCTTTTCTTTTATTTTTTTTTGAGACAGAGTTTCACCCTTGTTGCCCAGGCTGGAGTGCAATGGCGCGATCTTGGCTCACCGCAATCTCTGCCTCTTGGCTTCAAGCAATTCTCCTGCCGCAACCTCCCGAATAGCTGGGATTACAGGCATGTGCCACCATGCCCGGTTAATTTTGTATTTTTAGTAGAGACAGGGTTTCTCCACGTTGGTCAGGCTGGTCTTGAACTCCCGACCTCAGGTGATCCGCCTGCTTCAGCCTCCCAAAGTGCTGGGATTACAGGCGTGAGCCACAGCACCTGGCCGGTGGCCTTTTTTTTTTTTTTTTTTTTTTTTTGAGAGAGTCTCACTCTGTTGCCCAGGCTGGAGTGCAGTGGCACGATCTTGGCTCACTATAACCTCTGCTTCCTGGGTTCAAGCAATTCTCCTGCCTCAGCCCCCTGAATATCTCATATAGCTGGGATTACAGGTGCCCGCCACCACATTCAGCTAATTTTTGTATCTTTAGTAGAGATGGGGTTTCACCATGTTGGCCAGGCTGGTCTTGAACTCCTGACCTCAAGTGATCCACCCGTTTCAGCCTCCCAAAGTGCTAGGATTACAGGCATAAGCCACCGTGCCTGGCCAAGACGATGTCTGTTAAGATGGCCATTTCAGGCGGGCGCCTGTAGTCCCAGCTACTCCGGAGGCTGAGGCAGGAGAATGGCGTGAACCCGGGAGGTGGAGCTTGCAGTGAGCTGAGATCGTGCCACTGCTCTCCAGCCTGGGCGACAGAGCCAGACTCTGTCTCAAAAAAAAAAAAAAAAAAAAAAAAGATGGCCATTTCAAGCTGCTGAAGTCCTGCTCTTTTCCTGGACACAGAGTCCTCCAGTAAGGACTGATAGAAGAGTGTGCTTGGTTATGTCCATATTTGGATGGATACAATCTTTATCAATCAGACAAAACATCTAGTCCCTGTCGGCAAAGTGCATTATGAAATGTAAGATGGAGTCTTTTTCTAAGATGGAGTTACTTATGTCAAGGTTGCCCTACACAACTTTTTAGACACAAAACAATAAGTTTGAGAAGAAATAACAGGACAAAGAAAATCAGAAAAATCTGGCTAGGGGCAGTAAATTTTCTAGGGACGTCACTAGGAGATATATTGGGAGGGTGCAAAACTAGTGAAAGATAAGAGTTACTTCATTTAGTACACACATACACACACACACACACATTTAGAGTCTCACTCTCTCACCCAGGCTGGAGTACTGTGGTGCCATCGTAGCTCACTGCATCCTCAGTCCTGGGCTCAAGGGAACCTCCTGCCTAGGACTCCCAAAACGCTGGGATTATAGGCATGGGCCACTGTTCTCAGTCCCTGTCAAGTATATTTATTCAGGTCCATTGCAGTCCCCAGTGCCCACTGTCTGGTAATAAGGCCTATCTTCTTGCCCTGGTGTGGCGAGGGTACCCCTCCCAGAGGAGCCTTTATGGCTTGCTGTATGCAGGAAGAGAAACACCAGCTAGGCTTTTCTGAAACTACAATTCCTCCAATGTTTTCAACATGACATAATCAATATACCAATCCAGCATAATTTGGGATGGCATGTCCTTCACTCCTTCATATGTGTAGCCCCCAGTTATCAACATCCCCTGCCAGAGTGGAACATTTGTTATAATTGATGAATCTACCTTGACACACCATAATCACCCAAAGTCCTCAGTTGACATTAGGGCTCACTCTTGGTGTTGTGCAGTTTATGGGTTTGGACAAACCTATAGTGTCATACAGAGTAGCTTCACTGGCTTGAAAATCCTCTGTGCTCTGCCTAGTCATCCCTCTCTTCCCTGTAACCCCTGGCAACCACTAATCTTCACTGTCTCCATAGTTTCTCCTTTTCCAGAATGTCCAGACTTCTTTTTGTTGCAGATGAATAAAGGTCTACAATGCTTAAGCCACTGTTGGTCAGGAATTCTGTTATTTGCAGCCAAACACATCCTAACTGAATTATGTCCCAACTGGATTTTAAGTTCCTTGAGGCAGAGATACTGTATTTAATTTATTTGTATTTCTCATAATACTATGGAAGATTTTCTTACATAGGGTAGGCACAAGTTTAATAAATGAATGGATAAAAGGATAAATAATAACAATCTAGTCTGAGCATGGTGGCTCATACCTGTAATCCCAGCACTTTGGGAGGCTGGATGGGAGGATCACCTGAAGCCAGGAGTTGAGAGGCTGCAGTGAGCTCTGATTATACTACTGCACTCCAGCCTGGGCAACAGAGCAAGACCCCATCCCTTAAAAAAAAGGCAATCCAAAATACTCTGGCTCCTAAAATATGGGCCAGCTTGGCCATGGATTTGGTGGCCATCCGGTAGTCAGACCCCACATTACAATAGCCTAATGAAACCAACAAATCTTAGAGCTCGAAAGGACTATACAGCTCTGGGTCACTGAGCCCAAACCTCTCATTTTACAAATAAGGAAATAGATACACAGTGCTTAATTGATATTTGTTAGTGACAAATATAGTGCTAGGTCACCCTGTTCCCAGGCTAGTAATCTTTCCATTACATTGTGCTTACTTATCTTGGCTCTTGGTTCCAACCCAGGCTCCTCCATCCCAGAATAGCTCCAGGCTCCCCACATTAGTGCTCCAATATTTGTGGCCTAGGCCTACTTGAGATCTAGGCAACCATTCTGACTTTGAACTACCAGCAAAGGCCAGCAAGTACAAGGGGCTTGTGTAAGCATTGCGGTCATTTGGGAAGGAAATATGGGGATCTAGCAGGAGTTACAGTTTTAGGGCAGACTTGAACAAGATGGCAGCAGAGAGGTAGGTGCAAGGCAGAACTGCCTTCCCGTTTATCAAGTTCAGATCATCTCAGAGAGGCTCCCTAGGGGCAGTTGCCTATATTTCAGCCCTGATTCAGATCCTATTGTACTTGGTAGGTTTTAGGATTGCTCTGATGGTCAATTGTATGTGTCAACTGGGTGAAACACCAGTCTAGATGTTGCTGTGAAGGTATTTTGGATGTGATTAACATTTAAATCAGTAGACTTTGAGTAAAGCAGATTACCCTCCATAGTGTGAGTGGGCCTCATCCAATCAGTTGACAGCCTTAAGAAAAAAGACTGAGATCCCTCAAGGAACAGATAATTTTGCCTGCAAGCAGCCTTGGACTTGAGCTGTAGCATCGACTCTTCCCTGGGTCTCCAGTCTGCTGGTCTGACCTGCAAATGTTGGACTTGCCAGCACCCACAATCTCTCTCTCTCTCTCCACACACACACACACACACACACACACACACACACACACACACGCGCACACACACACACACACACACACACACACACACACACTATATCCTGTTGCTTCTCTTTATTTTTTGGAGAATCCTAACTAACAAAACTACCCTGAAGTCTAAAGATGTATGGCCATTGTACTCCTTATCAGTTGTTAGGGTAGATATTTACAACTGGTGGGGATGACTTTGCCCTCAGACTCTGTCTTACAGGGGACAAACAGGAAGCATGGAAAGAAATACAGTGCACCTTGACAGCACAGTTTAAACAGCACCTGGAATCTTCAACATCCTGCCCTTAAGGAACCTGTTTTAAAGCGGAGTTTTCTTTCCCCATTGTAACTTTATGTCTATTCTATTCATCCTTCTGCTGTGGTTTACTTTTCTCACTCTTATGGGGAAACTGCAAAACAGCTGCCTCCCCAACACCCCAGACTTCTTCACAGGGAGACAGTCAAGGAAATGTTGACATGCCTTGGGAATTAATGGTCCATCTCTGTTCTTTCCCAGAGCTAATCACTGAACCAGCTGTACAGGAGGTATCAGGAGAGGTGCTTTAAGGATGCTCAGAGACCTGGCTTGAAGCAATGAAAAATTGATGTTGCTGAGAGGAGAGAACTGCAGAGCAGCAACTGCAGGCAGAACTAGCATGGGTGGGGATGGGGGCTGGAGGAAGGGGAGAAGGTGGGGATGGCAGGCCTGGGCCTCCTTATAAATAGCAACTTGATTACCTTGACAGCCATAAGATAGGACATAGGGGCTGCAGAGAGGGGTGGTCCTGACAGGCAGTTTCTCTCCATGCAATGTACAATGTGCACCACATTGCACTTCCTCTTTGGTGTCAGAGGTAGTTAAAGGCCTATTATCTATGTGACTACCATGGACACCAGATGCATAAGAAATGATGCTAATCACTTCCCCACCTTGTTGTGAGCATCCATGGAGAGGATGTTGTGTTGAAACACTTGAAGCTGCACCAACGTCCATTTTACTATTATCTTTGGTTCCTAGAAAAAACTAACTCCTTTTTTTCTCTATAAATTACCCAGCCTTAGGTATTCTGTTATAGCAACACTAAACAGACTAAGTATCAAAGTCTAAACAGGAATTTTTTTCTTATTATGATTAAAAACCATATAACTTCTCTTGATAAGGCTGTCCCAGAGAAAAAAGAAAACAGTCTGAAAACACAGGAGAAAAAATGAATCCAGGGTTATTTTATAATTACATTTTAAGCTCATGCTCTCTACAAGGGTTGGGAAGAGGGGCCAGTTTGTATTACTACATACAATAAATGTATATGTATATTGTATATATTATTATATACAATAAAATTATATATAGTATATATATAACTTCATATATAAAAAATATATAATTTCATTTATAGAGCACACATATATATGAACTTTTTAGGTACGTGTAAAGTTCAACACTTTAAAACAATTGTCACCTATCTAATGATCTCCATTGAGATTCCCTGAATTGCAGAGTTAAAAAGATGTAGCTGTTGGTATCATTTTCAGATAAGAAGGGTAGGACGAGGGAGCATCTGCAGGTGAGTTTTTGTGGATGGAGAGGTATAAGGTGTTTTGGAAGTCTCTGTGAGGGGCACAGTGAGCTCCCTGTGTCTCCCCTCCTCCACTAATTTAGGGCTTCCATATAATATATAAAAATCCATTTGTAATCTATTTTTGGTTATTATTCTAGGGTAACAGGAATGATGAGTTACTGTTCTGTGACATGTCATTTTGAAGAATACTATTGCCTTTCTTCTCATTCAGAGTTAACAGGAATTCTATGATGGGAAAGTTACTTTGATGAACTCAGCTGAAGCACTGATAACTCCCCAGAGCTGTGGTTCTCAGTCAGGGACTATTTCTGTTTCCAGGGAACATTTGGCAATATATTGGGACATTTTTTTGGTTGTCACAGTTAGGGCAGAGATATCACTGACATACAGTGGGTTGAGGCCAAGAGTGTTGCCAAACATACTACAATGCAAAGCAGAGTCCCCACTGCCAAAGACTTATCTGACCCCAAATGTAATGTTGTCAGGGTCGATGAACCCTGCACAAGAGCAAATCATCAGTCTTTCAAACCGGCCCCTCTTCCCAACCCTTGTAGGGAACATGAGCTTAAAGGTTAACTTTCAAACATTCCTGGATTCATTTTTTCTCCTGCATTTTCAGATTGTTTTCTTTTTTTCTCTGGGACAGTCTCATCAGGAGAAGTTACATGTTTTCTAGTCATAATAAGAAAAAGCATTCCTGTTTAGACTTTGATGGTTAGTCCATTTAGTGTTGCCATAACAGAACGCTTAAGGCTGGGTAATTTGTAGAGAAAAAAAGGTTTACTTGGTTCATGATTCTGATGGCTGGAAAGTCCAAGATTGGACATCTGCATCTGGTAAGGGCCTCAGGCTGCCTCCACTCATGGTGGAAGGCAAAGGGGAGCAGGTGTTTGCAAAGATCACATGGTGAGAGAGGAAGCAATGGAGAGAAGGTGATATGGTTTGGATGTGTATTCCTGCCCAAATCTCATATTGATACATAATCCCCAGTGTTGGAGGTGGGGCCTGGTGGGAGGTGATTGGATTATGACATGGCTTTCTCATGAATGATTTAGTACCATCCCCCTAGGTACCGTCCTTGTGATAGTGAGTGAACTCTCATGAGATCTGGGCATTTAAAAGTGTGTAGCACCTTCCCTACTCTCTCTCTCCTGCTCTGCCTTTCACCTTCTGCCATGATTGTAAGTTTCCTGAAGCCTCCACAGAAGCCAAGCAGATCCCAGCACCATGCTTCCTGTACAGCCTGCAGAACCATGAGCCAATTAAACCTCTTTTCTTTATAAATTACCCAGTCTCAGGTATTTTTTTATAGCAATGTGAGAATGGACTAATACAGGGTGGGAGGTGCCAGGTTCTTTTTAACAACTGGCTGTCTCCCAAGAAGTAATAGAGCTAGAGTGTAACTCACTCACCCTTGAGGGAGGGCATTAATCTGTTCATGATGGATTCACCCCCATGACCCAAATTCCTCCCACTAGGCCCGACACCACCATATTGGGGATCAAATTCAACGTAACTTTTGGGGGGAAGAAATAAGCCATATCTAAACCATAGCAGATACTTTTAATCCTTATTTCTTTTTCACCTTTTGCTTTGTTTTACCACCAAACTAGCAAAAGAGCCATGCACAGGCAGTCCACAGAATCCAGGTCACACAGGGGTATGAGCAGCAAGGCCTCCTGGGTGCCTCCTGTGTCCTCACAGAGATCTTCTTGAGGTCCCTGCAGGCCTGTTGCAGGGAGGAATCCCCTGGGGTGTGGCCTCCTTTTTAAGACACTTGAACTTTGATGACTTGAAAGTTAACCTAAAGAAGCCGGGCACAGTGGCTCACCCCTGTAATCCCAGTGCTTTGAGAGGCCGAGGTGGGCGGATCACCTGAGTTCAGGAGTTTGAGACCAACCTGGCCAACATGCCAAAACCTTGTCTCTATTAAAACTACAAACAATTAATGGGGCATGGTCGTGGGCACCTACAATCCCAGCTACTGGGGAGGCTGAGGCAAAAGAATCACTTGAACCTGGGAGGCGGAGGTTGCAGTGAGCCAAGATTGTGCCACTGCACTCCAGCCTGGGTGACAGAGCAAAACTCCATCTTAAAAAAGAAAAGAAAGAAAGGAAAGAAAGAAAGAAAGGAAGAAAGAAAGAAAGAAAGAAAGAAAGAAAGAAAGAAAGAAAGAAAGAAAGAAAGGAAGGAAGGCTGGACGCGGTGGCTCACGCCTGTAATCCCAGCACTTTGGGAGGCCGAGGTGGGTGGATCAGAAGGTCAGCAGCTCGTGACCATCCTGGCCAACATGGTGAAACCCCGTCTCTACTAAAAATACAAAAATTAGCTGGGCATGGTGGCGTGTGCTACTCGGGAGGGTGAGGCACGAGAATCGCTTGAACCCAGGAGGTGGAGATTGCAGTGAGCCAAGATCACACCACTGCACTCCAGCCTGGTGACAGAAGGAGACTCCATCTCAAAAAAAAAAAAAAAAAAAGAAATAAAGTTAACCAAAAGCAAAAGCAAATAGTAGGAGACATTCAGCTTTTGTTTGAGTGCTCCCCTGGGTGAAGGGATGCCTTGCTTCATCAAAATGTCTAGACTCAGAAATTAAAATGTCTTCAAGGGCTCATAATAGGAGGAAGATTGATAAATTATACCGCTTAAAATGTCTTTCTTCACATTGTTCAGGGTTTGGTAAACTCCTCAAGACCTCAAGGCCTTGCTTATCTATAAGCTATCCAGAGCTGGGGACTGGGGTGAGAGAAAGTGAGGTGTCTGTTGTGTAAAATTTAAGAAGTAAGGAGACACTTAGGGTGATGCAAGTCCAGGGTCAGTGTGGGCACCAGGCACCTCTCTTGCTTCATCTGAGTACTGATTTTGAGGCTCTCCAAACTTTAAGAGGAGCCAGAGCCGCCTTCTATCACTGGAAAGGACACAGGAGGGTACAAAAGGCTTGGAAGACATTCCCAGGGCCATGAGTAATCTTTTTCTTCTTCTTTTTTTTTGAGACTGAGTCTCACTCTGTTGCAAAGGCTGGAATGCAGTGGCGTGATCTTGGCTCACTGCAACCTCTGCCTCCCAGGTTCAAGCGATTTTCGAGCCTCAGCCTCCTGAGTAGCTGGGATTACAGGCATGTGCCACCACACCAGGCTAATTTTTCTTTTTCTTTTTCTTTTTTTTTTTTTTTGTACTTTTAGTTGAGATGGGGTTTTACCATGTTGGCCAGGCTGGTTTTGAACTCCTGACCTCAAGTGATCTGCCTGCCTCAGCCTCCCAAAGTGCTGGGATTACAGGCATGAGCCACCACGCTTGGCCACCATGAGTAATCTTGAACCACATTTTGTCTAGCTTTGGAGATAAACCCTTACTGGGTCTCTCGGTCTCAAAGTTTCCCCTCAGCTCTGACACAGCCTGTTTGTAGTTTAGGGTTATTTTACTTATTCCCCATGATGTCTGTGTTATCTTTCCATTTCCAGATTGTTTATACTCTTCTTTCAGGCTCTCCAAGTAGTATTTCTCTTTTGGCCTTCTGAATCTTATGTTTCTCAGTTTGCTTGCTCCTTTTTCAAGGCAATTGCCAATGTGGTCATCCTTTTTTTTTTTTTTTTTTCCTTGCACTTAATAATTTCTAACTTACTATTTGTGGTAGGTTGAATAATATGTCAATCAATGGTATCCATGTCCTAATCCCTGGAACCTCTTGATTTTATCCCTATAAAGCAAAATAATTTTTTTGCAGATAGGATTAGGTTAAGAATCTTGAGATGGAGAGTTTATTTTAAATTATCTGGATGAGCACTAAGTGTAATCACAAGTGTCCTTATAAAAAGGAGGAAGAGGGAGATTTCATTATGAAAGTAGGAGATGGGACACAGAAGCAAGAGCTTGGAATGATTCAAGAAAGGGGCCATGAACCAAGGAATGCAGGCAGCCTCCAGAAGTTAAAAAAAGGCAAGGAAACGGATTCTTTTCTAGAGCCTCTAGAAGAAACCAGCCCTGCCAACACCTTGACTTTAGCCCAGTGAAACTGATTTTGGACTTCTGAACTCTGGAAATGTAAAACCCTAAATTATTGTTATTTAAAGCTACTGAGTTTGTGGTAATATGCTACACCAACAATAGGAAACTAATATAATATCTTTATGTCACAGTAAGTAGTGCAAACACATTTCTACACTATATACTCCATGAAGGAGGCAGCATCACCTGGAGTTAACAGTACTGGCTCTGGAGCAGTCAAACCTGGGTGTAAATCCTGGCTGATCCCTGTAGTAGACATTTGTCCGTCTCTGTCTACCCAGGCTTTTGAACTTTCTTCCTGTATGAGGCAGAATGTGTTAGTTGCCTTCCTACTGTTCACTCCTCATTTTCCATTACTAACAGCATCCTAATTTGTACAGAGTGATAAATTTCACCATCTTAGGAATAATCAAATTTTAGTCTGGGCACCGTGGCTCATGCCACGTAGCTTAAACTCCAGCACTTTGGGAGGTCAAGGCGGGAGGATCGCTTGAGCCCAGGAGTTCAAGACCAGCCTCGGCAATGTAGTGAGACCCCATCTCAAAAAAAAAAAATCCTGTTTTTAAAAATAAAAAAATAAAAAAAAATATTTTACAGTCTTCCTTGAAATCACAAGCAGCCACTGAAATAGTTCTTGTCAAGTGTTCATTTCTGGGAGAGACTTCAGAGGGGGCCTAAAAAGGGGTTAATTTGACTGGCATGCACCTTTGTCCTTTGACTTATCCTTCCTTCACAGAATGCCACACGCTAAGGATGGTGGTGTGGAAAGGAAGATATATCTTGGGTCGCTAACGGAATTGTGAGGATGACCTTCTAACTCTGGACTGTATCCTCAGACTTCTTGCTTTGTGAAAAGAATAAGGGCCTAGTTTGGTTAAGCCACTGGTTTTTGTGTTCTCTGTTATGTTAACCTTATAATTCATTATTTCTTTCACTCTAGTGGAATTTCTATTTTTGATTCTAGTATTCTAGTACATTGTACATGTATCTGTCAACAGATTCTAAACTCCCTGAAGGAGACAAATTACCAGTGGACAAGAACACAGCCTCTGGAGTCCAATAGGCCTGGTGCATTCATTAGGGTAAGTGGTGCTAGGTGCTATAACAGATAAACCTCAAATTATTTGTGACTTCACACAATATAACCTTATTTCTTCACTCATATGAAGTCGTTTTTAGTACACATTGCCATTTATGGACATAGGCTCTTACCTTCTCATGATTCTTTGCTGCTTAATCTGGCTAGAGTGGTTTCCTGATGTACACAGTGACAAACTCAGAGAGACACAGCTACTTACTAGATTGAGCTATAAGAAACTGATGACATATGAACATAAATACTGTCTACAAAATGGCAGTTTCACATGATTAAACCTAACTTCACATGTGATTTTGAGCAAGGGACTCTCTAAATCCATTTCTTTAGCTATAAAATGGGGTACCAATACTCATTCCCTCCAAGGAGATTATAAAGATCAAATAAGAGGATGTATGCAAAGAACTTCGCATACAGGCTGACACAGAGTCAGTAACTCAAACAGGTTAGGTATGATTTACCCAATGCCTAGCACAGACTCTCTGGCACATACTAGCTATTCTTTAATTATATATATGCATGTATGTATGTATAAATTGAGATAGAATTCACATACCATAGGCTGGGTGCAGTGGTGCTGTAATCCCAGCACTTCAGGAGGCCAAGGCAGGCGGATCATGAGGTCAAGAGATTGAGACCATCCTGGCCAACATGGTGAAACCCCTACTAAAAATACCAAAATTAGCTGGGCATGGTGGTGTGTGCCTGTAGTCCCAGCTACTCCGGTGGCTGAGGCAGGAGAATCGCTTGAACCCGGGAGGCGGAGGCTGCAGTAAGCCGAGATAGTACCACTGCACTCCAGCCTGACAACACAATGAGACTCCATCTCAAAAACAAAAACAAGTCACACACCATAAAATTCACCCTTTTAAAGTTACAATTCAGTGATTTTTAGTATATTCACAAAGTGATATAGTCATCATCACTGATTCCAGAACATTTTTATCACCACAATCAGAAACCTCATACCTGGCTGGGCGCAGTGGCTCACGCCTTTGGGAGGCCAAGGCAGGTGGATCGCCTGAGGTCAGGAGTTGAGGTCAGGAGTTCGAGACCAGCCTGGCCAACATGGTGAAACCCTGTCTCTACTAAAAATACAAAAAATTAGCCGGGCATGGTGGCGCATGCCTGTAGTCCAAGCTACTCGGGAGGTTGAGGCAGGAGAATCATTTGAACCCAGGAGGCAGAGGTTGCAGTGAGCCAAGATCAAGCCATTGCACTCCAGCCTGAGTGACAGAACAAGACTCTGTCTCACAATAAAAAAAAAGAAACCTCATACCTGATAGCAAGACCTTGTCTCTATTTAAAAAAGAAAAAAGAAAAAAAAGAAAAAAGAAACCTCATACCCATTAGCAGTCACTTTACCTTTCGAATGAATCATCTTTGTTTCAAAATGGCTGGCATAGTACCTTGCTCTTCGAATTCACTCTGTATTTATTGATTCTATTGGCATCTCCTGTAGAGTTGACAAAACATTTCTTGTTTATTCAACAACAATGGATAGTATGTCATTTAATTTGTCATTTAATATGTATGTGTGTGTATGTGTGCACACACACACAGCCCCCCCACATTTATGCTCAGGGAATCAGATTCTCCCACACCAAAATAATAAAATGACAAAAATAATAATAACAATAATATTGTTGATAACAATCCTGGTTGTGCATTTTAAAATGACAGAAGGAGGCTATTGTGATATGATGCCATGGGCTTTCCACCTCTGAGAGAATTCACAAAGGAGGCTGGAAAGAAGCGCTCCAGTTTCTACATTCTCACGTGCAATCACCTTCTTTCTCTCCTTGTTGGCAGTCACTGCAGCTCAGCTTGCTGAAAGAGAAGAAACTGAGCCAGTGTCTAAGAGGGTGCCTCAAAAGTTCCTCGACTGTATTAATCTTTTGATTTTAGAACTTTTATAAATAGCACTACTTTGAACACACGCAAAGAAGGGCAAGTCAAAGTGAAAATAGCCCAGTTCTTCTTCTTAGCTAAGAATGCCTCCTTTCTATACCTATGAGATTGGACAGGATGCATCACTGGGGGACTTTGCTTGATTCTGTTCAGAGTCGCAGCTGTAAAAGCAGGTGCATTTTTTTTTTTTGCCATTTGACATTCTTAAAGAAAAGTCATCCTGGAAAACAACCCAATTTAGTATTTGCATTACTCTGCATGGTTGATGGTTTCAAAAGATTAATGTTTATTTTGGGAACGGTTCATCGTTTTTATCTTTGAAACAGTCAACTTCTCTTTTACACCTGCTGTGGCTACGAGAGCACTGTGCTGGCTTGGGTCCTTCATTAAAAGTGTGAGCCGCTGTCAAGAAGGAGAAAGAAATACTGTGCACTTCACTGAAATATATTACCTTTTTTTTTTCTTTCTTTTTTCTTTTTTTTTTTTTGAGACAGGGTCTCACTCTGTTGCCCAGGCTGGCCAGTGGAGCAATTACAGCTCACTGCAGGCCTTGACCTCCTTGGCTCAAGTCATCCTCCCACCTCAGCCTCCCGAGTAGTTGGGACTACAAGCACATGCCACCATGGCCGGCTAATTTTTCTATTTTTTGTAGAGATGGGGGTTTCACTTTGTTGCTCAGGCTGGTCTCAAACTCCTGGGCTCAAGTGATCCACTCTCCTCTGCCTCCCAAAGTGCTGGGATTACAGGCATGAGCCACCATTCCCAGCCCTATTTCCATTATTTTAACTTCTAATGCCTGAAAATGAATAGATACAAGAAGAAACATTTAAATGGAGATGTAACTAATCCAATGGCAAAACATTAAAAAAAAATTAAAATAAAACTTACTGACCAAAGAAAGAAAGAAAAGTAGAAATTAAAATGTTTCACTATTGGGTTCAATGTACATTATTCAGGTGACAGGTACACTAAAAGCTCAGACTTCACCACTATACAATTCATCTGTGTAGCCAAAAACCACTGAACCCTTACAGCTATTGAATTTTTTTTTTTTTTGAGACGGAGACTTGCTCTGTTGCCTAGGCTGGAGTGTAGTAGTGCGATCTCAACTCACTGCAACCTCTGCCTCCCGGATTCAAGCAATTCTCCTGCCTCAGCCTCCCAAGTAGCTGGGATTACAGGCACACACCACCATGCCCGGCTAATTTTTATATTTTTTTAGTGGAGATGGGGTTTCACTATGTTGGGCAGGCTGGTCTGGAACTCCTGATCTTGTGATCCACCCACCTCGGCCTCCCAAAGTGCTGGGATTACAGGCATGAGCCACTGCGCCTGTCCAAAAAGTTTTTTAAAAAGGTCTGGGGTGGGCCAGCCAACTGGTTACACAGTTGTCTGGGATCCCATGGAATATTTAACCTGACCTCTGATGGGAACAGGAAACTGAGACCCAGGGAGGTAAAATGACTTGCCCTTGCCCTGTTATGGTCAATATCACTGTAGGTCTCTGGACCCAGCTCTTTAGCAACCTTTCCATGCCTCTATGCAGCTCCCCATGTATCAGTTCTCTGAGAGAATGCAGCTTGGGCATCTGTAACTCTTAGGTTGAATTCAGGCAGTTTACCACTTCTCCTTGGCTCATAATGTCTAGGACAGCCTTGAATAGGTTCAGAAATCATGTGGCAACAAAATCCCCCCTTGATATCATGGTATATGGGTTATGTTTGGTATTTGCAAAGCAAACAACTGGGATCAAATTCCAGCACTGCTACTTAGCCGCTGTGTGACACTGGTATCTTTGTGTCCTAAGACTGTAATAAATTGTCACAAGCTTCGTAGTTTAAATCAACAGAAATTTGGCCAGGCATGGTGGCTCATGCCTGTAATTCCAGCACTTTGGGAGGCTGAGGTAGGTGGATCACTTGAGGTCAGGAGTTTGAGACCAGCCTGGCCAACATGGTAAAACCCTGTCTCTACTAAAAATGCAAAAATTAGCCAAGTGTGGTGGCAGACGCCTGTAATCCCAGCTACTTGTGAGGCTGACAGGAGAACTGACTGCTTGAACCTAGGAGGCAGAGATTGCAGTGAGGCGAGATCATGCCACTGAACTCCAGCCTGGGCGACTAGAACAAGATTCTGTCTCAAAAAATCAATCAATCAATCAACAGAAATTTATTATCTTAAAGTTCTGGAGGGTAGAAGTCGAAAATCAAGGCAACGGGAGGGCCATGCTCCTCCTGAAAGCTTTAGGGAAGAGTCCTCCCTTGCCTCTGCCTAGTTTCTGGTGCCTGCCCGCAATCCTTGGTGTTCCTCGGCTTGTAAGATGCATCCAAGTGTCTTTCTGCTTTCTCTGGTAAAGACACAGGTCACTGTATTTGAAGCCCATCCTAATTTAGTATGACTTTGTCATAATGTGATTACATCTGCAAAGACCCTATTTTCAAATGTAGTCACAATCACAGGTACTGGGGTTAGGACTTGGGTAGATTTTTTGAGGGGGGTTACAATTCAACCAACTAACTCAGGTAACTCCCTTCACCAATCTGAGTACAGTTTCTTCCTTTCTATAATGGAATAAAACACCTCTCTCCCAGGCTTAATGTGAATACAATGAGATGACATGCATAAGTGCCCGGAATATAGGAGGTGCTCTGAAGATGCTGCCAACTCCCCCTTGGATTTCTTTGTTCCTAAAGTCAAGCTCAGTGATCGCACATAGTAGATAAGTTTGGCAGTTGATTGATTTTCTAAATCAGAAGTGTAAATGCCCAGTGGACTTTGCACCAAAGGACCCAGAGATCTGGCTATGCATTCTCTAAGTGTCTTTTCACAAGGCAAGACTCTCCCAGTCCCTCTTGGAGAATCACTTTTGAGACACATTTACTAGTTCTACCTGCTTTCTCCTTAAATCACCATGGATAGCAGCATCCTTTCTGCACATCTCGGGTTCTGCTTGGATTTAGCATTAACTCCTTGATAACATGTTATGAGGACAAAATCTCTGCTTTCTGTGTGGAATTGACACAAAGATATTTACACTATTGAATTAAGGCTTCTAATTTGGCTTTATAGGTGAGCTCCTAGTCAGAATACTGAAGAATTAATAAAAATTACATAAATGACCTAAAGAAATGTGAATTCATATAGATTGTTTAAAATGGGCAAGTTTTATTAGAAAACTATCCTATTTAACAGCATCCCTGGTAAATAAGAAAACAAACAAACAAAAATGGCTGGGCGCAGTGGCTCACGCCTGTAATCCCAGCACTTTGGGAGGCCAAGGCGGGCAGATCACCTGAGGTCAGGAGTTCGAGACCAGCCTGGCCAACATGGTGAAACCCCATCTCTACTAAAAATACAAAAAAAAAAAAAAAATTAGCCAGGCGTGGTGGCAGGTGCCTGTAATCCCAGGTACTTGGGAGGCTGAGGCAGGAGAATCACTTGAACTGGGGAGGCAGAGGTTGCAGTGAGCCAAGATCACACTGCTGCATGCACTCCAGCATGGGCGACAGAGAAAGACTCAGACTAAAAAAGAAAAACAAAACAAAACAAAAAACCACCAACCAACCAACCAAACCAAAGCAAACAAAACAAAAAATAGAAGACAGAAAAAAGAAAACTATCCTCCAGAGTAACAGTTCGAATTCATAGAGGAAATATCTCATTTGAAAAAAAAGCTCCAGGTCTTTAGAGAAAATAAATTACTAACCTGATAACATATTTCAGCAGAATCTAATGTGGTAGATGTCTCTAGAAGTTTCTTTAAAGGAAAATTTAGAGCAAGGGCTAAAACAAGAAAGAGCAGAAAACTAAACCAGCAGGGCATAAGAAAGCAGAATTGTTGAGGAATTTGCTTAACAATTATAACAGTTGAAGTTCTTTTAGCGAATAAATTAAAAACTCGTTGGAGAGAAATTATTTACCGATTTCTTTACCTTGCTACTTTCTTCTGTGTGTAGATCCCAGTTTTTCTTGTTGGATGCTATGTCCCGGATGGACTTAGTCAGATATACTTCTGCAAGAGTTTCCATTTTCAGTATTGTCCTATTCAGGGATATAAAGTCAACTATGTCCTAGGTTCTGCCATGATAGAATACACTATTTAACTATTGAAGTCTAGGGCTTGATAATCTAGCAGAAGTCACCGAGGAACAAGAATGTCCATATAAGGGGTTACTAAAAAGCAGACCTTTTAACAAACTGAGATACCAGAATCAATACACCTGTCTTGGTTTGTTAATCATAGTTAAAATTTTGAAACCAAAAGCAACAAGCTGATCTTTCAAACAAGAAATACATTAACTGAAGACACAATGATGTGAAAAGACCACTGTGAAGTACCAGTGGTATGAAAAACTCAGGATGTGATTGAGTAGCATTGTAATCTTGACCCCGGGCTGCTAGTTTCTCTGACAGTTCAGAGGTGAAGAGTCTGCATAACTATGCTAAACTGTAGTACTCTGAAGGTATTGCCAAATTAAATAATTTGGGTTTCTCAGTGCAGGTATCACTCTCTCCTGTGATCTCTGGCTAAGCAGGGCTGTTGGCAGATCAAGTTCTTGTTTCAGTCGAGACCATGATGGTATCTGATTGTCTATTCAGTCACTATACGTAACCCATTGGCTAATACATCTCATGCTATGCTTCCTGCAAGGGGTGTGATGGTCAACCAGCCAGCCTAGTGCTGGGCCCCAGCTAAGAGGTAGATACTTGGATTGGATTTTTCAAATTCTTTTTATTGACTATCACAAGCATAGCAACATAGTATGCATGTTAAGTATTGAGCACTCCAGAAAATTTAACACTTAAATAGACTGTCTTTGTAACAGGTAACACATAACATGTGAAACCAGAACACATAAATGAACTATCCTCCATAGTAGTCTTCTTGGGACATTACATATTTGTTCAAACAGTGATCCCACATTTGCACTCAACATTTTTTCTTTTTTGTATTTGTTACCAGGGCCAATTAGTAATCCATAAAAGGATATCATTTTTATAAATTTCTTAATTACTCATATTACTGATCATGGAACTTAGAAACCTTTTTGCTCTTTACAAATAGAAATTAACTGCAAAAGCTAAAGATTTCTTGTTGCTGGGAGCCTGTAAAAGACTATGCCTCAAGCTCTGACAGCCATTCTCAAAGAGGAATTCTAAAAGTTAACTTTGACCAATGTCAGAGTCATTACAATGTTTTTGCAGCCTCCAAGAAGACGACTTTTGAAGGAGAAAACACTCATTTGAATGTAAGTTACAGCATATTTACTAGAAAGTAATTACACTATTTTATAGCACATTAAATAAGTCAGGTATAGCTAGCAGGAGGAGTTGTGCTATTCACCTACTAAAGACGGTGTACATATATTTGCTATTACAAAATGCGTTCTTCTATAAAAGGTGACACTGCATTTCTAATGAAAGTTGGATCTAAGAATAGCTCCAGTACCAAGTTCAGAAAAGTCACCCTAGGGGAGAAATGCTTAGCAGTTTGTATTTAAATAACTTCCTTAAATATATTGCTGTTACTCATTGCATATGACTTTACACGTAATTCATGTAATTCATATTTATTTATAATTACTTGAGTGAGAAGGAGTATTAAACTTTTGGAATTACATATTCTTAGCTTTTTTAATGTTGTACTATGAAAGTTCATTTTTGACGGTAGATAAAATACAAGGGTCTGTAGCAACTTGTTTGGTGGAAGAAAATTTTAGCGCATGGGTCATAGCGCTGCTATGGGGAGCAAGTTCAGTCCTTCCTTTTCTCCTCTCATCCATATTAAATTGCCCACTTTGGTCTCCAGATGACCAGCATTACCACTATAACTGCTGACAGAGGAATTTCACTCTGTTTGTTTTTGACTGCCATTGTTGGCTTTCTGATCTGGGATTATGTCTCATTGAAGCCAAGCCTACATAACACCAGGTGAACACTGTTGCTGGTTTCTTCCTCTCTGTCTCTAGGCCTAACACTCCAGGGTTTAGCAGGGCAGGAAAGGAAGAAGGAAAATTATTTTTCCCAGCTTCTTCAAAGCCTGTGAAGCAAGGATTTTTTTTTTTTTAAGACAGAGTCTTGCTCTGTCAGCCAGGCTGGAGTGCAGTGGTGTGATCTCAGCTCACAGCAACTTCACCCTCTCTCAGCTCACAGCAACTTCACCCTCTGAGGTTCAGGGGATTCTCCTGCCTCAGCCTCCCAGATAGCTGGGATTACAGGCATGTGCCACCACACCCAGCTAATTTTTGTATTTTTTAGTAGAGATGGGGTTTTGCCGTGTTGGCCAGGCTGGTCTTGAACTCCTGGCCTCAAGTGATCCACCTGCCTCAGCCTCCCAAAGTGCTGGGATTACAGGTGTGAGCCACCGAGCCCCACCCACAAGGCTTTTTATGCCTTAACTTTTTCTCACATCACTGCATCTGATGGATATAACTCACACCCTACAAAGAGTAGGTGCTCCCTGTGTCTCCTCTTGGGGAGAGTGTATATTGCCCCGTCTTAGTCTGCTGTAATAGAAATAACATAGACTGGGTGGCTTAAACAACACTTATTTTATTCAATTGTGGAGGCTGAGAAGTCCAAGATCAAGGTGCCTGCATATCTGGTGAGGGCCCACTTTCTGGTTTGCAGATGACTGCCTTCTTGTTGTATCTTTACATGGCAGAGAACAGAGACAGAATAATTAAGCTCTCTCTTGTCTCTTCTCATAACAGCATGAATCTATTTATGAGGGTTCCACCCTTATGACTAAGTATGCCCCAAAGTCCCCACCTATAATACCATCCCACTGGGATTAAGGGTTCAACATATGAATCTGGGGGAAAACACAAGCATTCAATCCATAACAACCCTCTTACCTTGTACTGTCTCCCTTCCCAGTTCTTCAGACTCACTAAACTGGAGGATGCCCAGGTTTTTGTTTTATTTGTTTTCTCTTTTGCATGTATGATCCACATGGCCCCATCCTAGGTGTTCCTAAAACCTCTAGACATCCAGAGCCACCATATCTTTTAATATCCAAATTGAATGGTTGGTGCTACCATTCCATGTGCCGTGGGACCTCCAGAATTCTTAAGTTTTCCCAAAATAACCTGGAAGGAGTTATGTTCTCCTAGTCATTCACGCTGTGATCTGCTTTCCTGCTTTAGCCTGGAGGTTAAACCAGAGGCGGCTGACCTCCCTAGGTGCCCACCACATCCCTGGCACATAAGCCTGTTCCTCTCCCTTTCTTTCTTGTTTCCTCTTCTTTGTATATTACTGGTATGTCTCTTGTGCTACAAACTCAGGCTCTCAGGAAATGTGACTTTCTTCATTTTCTTATGATTGTGTTTAATGATCACCATTTCACCTAGTGGTAAAAGCTTAATTGTGGCCAATTTCAGGTCAAACTCATAATTTCTCCCTTTCCCCCTTTCTCTCCTAAATTCTGGACAGAGGTGGGGTAGGATTACATGGTGTCAGAGCACTAAGGGTAGTGGTAGAGTCTGGCCCATTTTCCCCATCTGTCCATGACAGCCGCATTAGTCTGTTCTCGCATTGCTATAAAGATTTACCTGAGACTGGGCAACTTATAAAGAAAAGAGGTTTAATTAGTTCATGGTTCCACAGGCTGTGCAGGAAGCATGGCTGGAGAGGCCTCAGGAAACTTACAATCATGGTTGAAGGAGAAGGGGAAGCAGGCACATCCTACGTTGCTGGAGCAGGAGGAAGAGAGACAAGGGGGAGGAGCTACACACTGTTTTTTTTTTTCGTTTGTTTTGTTTTTTAGATGGAGTCTCGCTCTGTCGCCAGGCTGGAGTGCAGTGGCATGATCTCGGCTCACTGCAACCTCCGACTCCCTGGTTCAAGTGATTCTCCTGCCTCAGCCTCCCAAGTAGCTGGGATTACAGGCATGTGCCACCATTCCCAGCTAATTTTTGTAGTTTTAGTAGAGACAGGGTTTCACCATGTTGGCAAGAATGGTCTCGATCTCCTGACCTCGTGATCCACCCTCCTTAGCCTCCCAAAGTGTTGGGATTACAGGCATGAGCCACTGTGCCCGGCCGGTGCTACACACTTCTAAACAACCAGATCTCGTGAGAATTCACTCACTATTACGAGAACAGCAAGAGGGAGATCTGCCCCCAGGATCCAATCACTTCCCACCAGCCCCCTCCTCCAACATTGGGGATTACAACTCAACATGAGATTTGGGCAGGGACACAGATGGAGACCGTATCATTGGCCTTTGCTTAACAGTTCATCTTGTCTGATTCTTGATCCTTCTCACTTCTTCACACTGGTATTTGTTGAGATGTCCTTTGTTACAGCACTCTATGCAAGTTGAGGGTGGTGAGATTTCCTCTTCCTCACTGCAAGTCCTCCCCAGGTCTGCTGGCTGTCACTGACACATCTGTGCCACTCTTGGCCAAAGAGAAAGACATTCCCCTGAATGCTGCAGTACCCTGGGGCATCTCTGAACTCGGTGAGGAAGCCTGAGGTCGGCCATCCTGACACACCACACAGATATCTCTACCCCAACTCTGTGGTGGAGGGAGGGGCGCTTGGGTTGCAGAGGAGCTCGGAGAGCTCGGCTGCCTGGAAAGCAAGGCACCAGTTTGCTTTGCTCTCTCAGATCCCTAAGCCCTCTGGGAATTTGATGCTTCCTTCCTTCCCCAGGGCTGGTGTGGGGACAGACAGCAGAACTACTTCTCTACTCCTTAGACACTGAAGAGGGGCCTCATCTCCTTTCTCTTCTGACTCCTCCCTTTCACAGTTGCAATAATCTCTACAGGCGAGTGGGGTGGGCTAAAAGGAACTATTTTTGTTTGTTTGTTTTTGAGACAGGGTCTCAAAAACACCCAGGCTGTCACCCAGGCTGGAATGAATGCAGTGGCGCACTCATGGCTCACTGCAGCCTCGACCTCTCAGGCTCAAGCAATCCTCCTGCCTCAGCCTCCTGAGTAGCTGAGACTACAGGAACTTACCACTACACCCAGCTGATTTTTTTCTTTTTCTTTTTCTTTTTCTTTTTTTTTTTTTGAGATGGAGTCTGTCTCTGTCACCAGGCTGGAGTGCGGTGGCATGATCTTGACTCACTGCAACCTCTGCCTCCTGGGTTCAAGCGATTCTCCTGCCTCAGCCTCCTGAGTAGCTGGGACTACAGGCACGCACCATCACGCCCAGCTAATTTTTGTATTTTTAGTAGAGACGGGGTTTCACCATGTTGGCCAGGATGGTCTCGATCTCCTGACCTCGTGATCCACCCACCTGGACCTCCCAAAGTGCTGGGATTACAGGCGTGAGCCGCTGTGCCTGGCCCATTTTTTTGTATTTTTTGTAGAGACAGGGTCTCACTATGTTGTCCAGGCTGGTCTGCAACTCCTGGGCTCCAGTGATCCACCCACCTCGGCCTCCCAAATTGCTGGGATTACAGGCAGGATCCACAGCACCCAGCCAGAAAAAAACTTTAATAGCACATTACCTTAAATCTGTAATTTATGCCTGGAATCCTAATAGTTTAAAAAAGTCAAAAGCCAAGAATCTGGTCTGTGTGTTCTGGTCTAACATCCTTCTTCTAGTCAAATGCTGTAGCTGAGAAAACGGGGGATGGGGAAAGAGTGAAGGTCAGAAAGCAGGAAGTGCTAGTAACAAAAGCCACATTGGGTAAGATTTCAAAATAATATCCTGATACTTGAATAAGCCTTTTTCGGAAGCTTTGAAAGAAGTGAGTAACGGAGGGTGTCGACAGCATAAGGCCTTGGAGGGAACCGCATTAACAGTCCCGTGCCATACTCCAGGCCTCCAGGAACTTCTTCCTGGCAGTCTCCTCCTCAAGCTCTGTCCCTTTCATAGTTTGTGAGCTATTTCCCTTCTCAGCCCTACTTCCCAGTCTACCTCCCTTTCTGGGACACCTACAGATTCTCCAAATTCAGCACATTCCTTTTTGTGCCACCCTCTTCTTCCAGACCAAGGCTTGGAGTGGAAAGTGGGAGTTCTTTCACTTTTAAAGATGCCCTCTAGGAATTTGCCTATAAAAGGAGCTATTCCCCACCCCACAATGTACAAATGCATGTGAATTACACCTCCTTCCCATTCTATTATTTGAAAGCAACTGCTGTCTTTTTTTTTTTTTTTTTGAGACGGAGTTTCGCTCTTGTTGCCTAGGCTGGAGTGCAATGGGTGTGATCTAGGCTCAGTGCAGCCTCAGCTCACTGCAACCTCTGCCTCCTGGGTTCAAGCGATTCTCCTTGCCTCAGTCTCCCGAGTAGCTGACATTACAGGTGCCCGCTACCACGCCCGGCTAATTTTTTGTATTTTTAGTAGAGACGGGGTTTCATCAGGTTTGCAGGCTGGTCTCAAACCCCTAACCTCAGGTGATCCACCCGCCTCAGCCTCCCAAAATGCTGGGATTACAGGCATAAGCCACCACGCCTGGCCCCTATTTTGTTTAAAATAAAAAAGTTTCCTTCCTCTTTCATCTATGTAAAAAATTATTTTTGTTTATTTTCTTGAGTTATGTTTACCTTTTAAAAATGGGCAACGCTTAGGATCAAGGATTTTCGATTAGTTTTACAAAGTACCACACCCAGGAAAATTGAGCCAACAAATTTGCATGCAAAGTTTCAGGTCTCCCTACTTCTAAAAATGCATACCTCCTTAACAGCTCTCCACCTCCGACGCTTAGAGAACCGAAACCCAAACCTACAGCAGGCACACTGCCCAGGTTCCCTCAGTGACACAGAAACTGAATGAAAACTTGTTAAAGCAGGAAGGGTTGCAGATGGAGGGGATACCATATTAGTTTAAGTGTACGTGGTTTACCTTGAATATTAAGCATTTCTTTAGCTAGGTGTGGAGCTGCGCAGTGTCCCATGACAATGCATAATGTCAGTGTTTCTTTTCTTTTTTTTTTTGAGACGGAGTTTCACTCTGTCATCCAGGCTGGAGTGCAGTAGTACAATTTCAGCTCACTGCAACCTCCACTTCCCAGGTTCATATGATTCTCCTGTCTTACCCTCCTGAGTAGCTGGGCACACGCCACCACGCCCGCCTAATTTTTGTGTTTTTAGTAGAGACGGGGTTTCACCATATTTGTCAGGCTGGTCTCGAACTCCTGACCTCAGGCGATCCACCCGCCTCGGCCTCCCAAAGTGCTCGGATTACAGGGGTGAGCCACCGCGCCTGATGTCAGTGTTTATTTTCATGGCTTCTTTTATTTCATTATGATGGAGAGTTTCACAACAAACTAAGGGATTAGTTTGTATTTTTGTCAGCATTTAATCCTTTAAAAGTCAGGTAATTCTAGAAAGGGACGTGTGGGGGATGCTTTCACGTTTAGTGTTCAGACTTTGATTCCATCCGCTGTGTTCTTTGCGTCTCAACCCCATTACACATTCCGCTCCCAGCTTTAATGTTTGCAGGGAATATATAACTCTCTTCTCCTATAAGGGTGGGATGGGTGGGAACCACAGGTCTAACTGCTCCATATGTAGATCCAAACACTCCTCCCTTTCTGCAACCCACTGCCCTTCCTTAGCCTCTGTGGCATCTCCGATGTGCAATTCTGAGCTTCGACAGGATTCCATCCTCTACTTTGTAAAATCCCATACCATTCCTCTACCTGAGGCAGGAAAATAGGGTCTGGAGGGAGAGAACATAAGGACAATTCACGCTTCAGCTGTAACAGGAAATATCCTCTCCATAGGGCGTTAACTTTGGTTTCCTCGTCTATAAAATGGAGAGAACAGTCATTTCTGCTTTGGAACATGCTTGTTAGGATGAGTAATGTAAATTGCCTCCTGCAGCGTCTGACACGTAGTGGGTGCTTGATAAATCTTTGTTAATAGATATGCCTTTATATTGATTCTTAGCTGTAGGAAGTATTCATTCAAATACATATTCAAATAATCTTTTAGCTATATTCCTGCTTGTATATGGATTCCTCTTGCCTTCTGTGAACTCCCTTACATCTCCAGGACTTCAATACAGGAATAAGGAGTACTCCAAAGATTTCTTGCACTTTCTGGAATTAAACGCTGTGACTTTAGCTTCCTTCCTTTGGATTTTAGGAGGCAGAGGCATGTATTGAGGTGGGTGAAGTGGGGTAGGAAGACCATTTCTGGGAAAATGGGCCAGAGTATTGATCTTTTTCATTATGACCCCTTCGCTTCATTAGAGTAAACATTTATTGAACAAACGCAAAGCTTGGCGCTTGTCACTCATGTTTTATTGGCGTTTTCCTTTTTTTTAATTTTTTTTTAAGCTATCTCCTACAGGAAGGATATTAGCTCTTTCATTCTCTCAAGGGTCAGATGTAATCTTCCAACATCTGACTTTCGCGTCACCCATTTAGGAAGAGACGCGGTCCCTTTAAGGCCCTGGAAAGGGTCTAAGTGTTGGTTTCTGTGGGGAGGCCACGCCCCATCACGTGACCGCAGCCCCAGCGCGGCGGGGCCGGCGTCTCCTGGCTGCCGTCACTTCCGGTTCTCTGTCAGTCGCGAGCGAACGACCAAGAGGGTGTTCGACTGCTAGAGCCGAGCGAAGCGTGAGTGCGCGGGACCCCCTACCCCTACTCCTCGGGGCCCCCACCCTCCCAGCCGGGCCGTGAGCTGCCTTCGGCCCTCCACTCCTCTCGCCGGCAATGGCCGCGGGAAATGGCGGCTCTGCCTTACCTCCCCCTTCCCCTCGGCGTCCCCGGCCCCCTTCTCCGTTTCTGACTCCACGCCTGACGCGCTGTGGGCCCTTCCGCGGTAGACTCCTGTCCCCGGGGAGCCGAGTCGAGGCGGCGGGCGCTGCGGCCCGGGGCGGTAGATTGAGGGCGGCCGGGGAGTGAGGAGTCGCGGGGAGAGAGTCGCGGCGTCCCCGGGACAATGCGGCGGCGGCCTGCCTAGGTGGGGCGCGTGCGGTTACCTACTCTTCCCCCGCCCCTCGCCCTGAGCGGGGCGCTCTGGAGACTGGGAGAGCGGATGCGGGCGGGAGGGGGCCGGGGGAAGAACGGCTGATGTGCAGGGGGAGGGAACGCTTCGAGAGAAGAAAATGGCGCTTGGTGCAAATCCCGCCCCTTCCCACGCCGTCTTCTCCGCACTTCGCCGCCTCCCACGCCCCCTCCGACCAACCTGTCTCCCCTCGCCCGAGCGGCTGCTAGCCACGGGGTTCTAGCGGCTTGCTGGGGCCGCGCGACCCCTTCCCTGGTCTTGTGCTTGTCACCTTCCTGTTATACCGAAGTCGTGTGCCCTTCAGTCCTGGTTCATTTTCACCTCGTTTTTTTCTGATCTTTCCCTCAATCAGCAAAGGCTGAAGATTTCGTTTCTCTTTTTAAAGTTGCGTTTTGTATAAATTCTACAATAGTGGTTTCAGTATCAGTTACTTGAATTACAAGCTGCTTCTCCCCCCACCCCCACATTGGAACAGGCTCATTAAGGTAAATATATATTTGTTAAAAGTTTAGAGGCTGGTTTTAGTTACCGTTACCTTTCTTCTCCAGTGGACTTCTTTGGGTTGAGTACCAGGTGGTTCTTTGAAAAATTCTTAGGCCCCCAGGCAGTTTTTGATAACAGACGGTAGTTATGATCGACAGTTTCAAAGTGAAAAATTATGTTCAATTTAATTACCTTTTTAAAAAATATCTTTTTGTCGTATTAATTAGCATAAAAAACTTAACTAAATTGATTTTAGAGATGAGGTTGCAAAATGGAGCAGAAACAGGAAAAACGGATAAAACGTGGTCATGAACATTGCTTTTCCCTTCTGAATTTACCCTTGAAGACATTACCAGTTAAAATCAGATTGAGCTTTTTGAATTTAATGGCTAGGATTGGGGTGGCCCACTTCTTTTTCCTTGACCTCCTATTTTGGAACATATGCAATGTCAGTGCTAATGCAAGTTTCATCTAGAGAGCTAGATTATTTATGATTTTTTTTTAAGGAGGAATTTTAAGTCTTTTTTTCTTGTATTAAACAAATACAGTGTGTGATGTGTTTATTAGGCCCTTTAACGCATACAGAAATTAGCTAATTTATGCCTAGTGTTCCATTATTGGAACGCTAAGCATGTGGGAGTTATTTATGTGCTACTGCTCAAGATCATCGCCAAGGTCTGCTTGCATAAATTCAAAAAATTGCAACCTCTGGCATAAATGGGTTAATAGGACCTAATCTCTTCTGAGATGGGGAGAGCAAAAGATATTTTGATAATCAGCGTTTTATGACCTGGTGTTATAAGTGCCTTGAATAGAGGTATCCACGTATCTTGGAATTCCTTGAAATTTGGGGCTTAGGCTTACTGATAGTTTGCTTTCTGCAAACTTGCACTCAGGCACTCAGTAAACACCCACTTGTAAGCAAGGCACTAAGTTATCTATGTCTCTGGGGGGACCTGGGAAGTTACCAGCATGGTAGGAATTTGCGGGAAGGTTTTGCACCTCCCATAAATAGGTTTTGCACCTCCCATAAATAGGTTCTTCAAATTTTAATTATGTTCCAGAGTAGAAAAATCTGTGTAAAATGTAATGAATTGCTGTGAATTGTGTAAGATTTTTTTTTTTTTTTGAGATGGAGTCTTGCTTTGTTGCCCAGGCCGGAGTGCAATGATGTGACCTTGTGTCACTGCAACCTCTGCCTCCGGTGTTGAAGCGATTCTCCTGCCTCAGTCTCCCGAATTGCTGGGACTACAGGTGTGCCACCGTGCCCTGTTAATTTTTGTATTTTTAGTGGAGATAGGGTTTCACCATGTTGGCCAGGCTGGTCTCGAACTCCTGACCTCAGGTGATCCGCCTGCTTTGGCCTCCTAAAGTTTTGGGATTACAGGCGTGAACCATCGTTCCCGGCCTGAATTGCGTATAATTTTGTGTACTCTTGAATTAGTACCTGTCGTTATTTTGGTGATACGGCCAAAAAGTCAAAATATGAATAAAATATTATGTAAAAATTAATTAGATGTCACATTTGCATAGTACAGCTAGTTCCCTGTTGTGTAAATGTTGGGGTCAGTTCCCCATAGTGAATAATTTTACGTTAGTTCCAATCTCGTTGATGAGAAGTCTAAAGCAGTAATAGTAGAATTACATTTCTTCTGGTTTTAATAGTAATTGTTGTCTGCTGCCTTCTTGCAGTTTACCCTACCCATAGTGTGTAATGCCATTAAAACGAAGTATAGAAAGATCCATTGGCCTGGAGAAAGGTTAGAGGTGTAGGAGTGTATGACATTTAGTTCATTGTTCTTACTGGGTTCAGCACATTGCACCCTGCGTGTTATTTGCAACTTAAAAGGGTATAGATTAAAACTTGTGCTCAGTGTAACAACTCAGTACCACAAAAATGGTAGAATGAACCGTGGAACTTGTCCTTGATTTTTTTCTTTGATTGGGGGAGAGCTAAGTTGAAAGTAGTAGAGTACCTTATTAATTATTTTTGTAATGTATTTTTCTTTCAGGATGCCTAAATCAAAGGAACTTGTTTCTTCAAGCTCTTCTGGCAGTGATTCTGACAGTGAGGTTGACAAAAAGGTGACTACTGCTGCACCAAGTCATTTTGGTGATACTCAACAATATTGTCCATATCCCATTCTGAAGGATAGTAAAAGGTGTATTAACATCTTAAAATGAGGATCTAGCTGGGCGCGGTGGCTCATGCCTGTTATCCTACTTCTTTGGGAGGCCGAGGTGGCAGGATTGCTTGAGGCCAAGAGTTCAAGACCAACCAGGCTAACATAGCAAGAACCTGTCTCTTTAAAAAAATAAATAAATAAAAAATAAAAAATAAGAATGTGAATGGGTATTTCTGGAGGTACGGTTGGTCTCTGGACCACTTGACTAGAAGTGCCTAGGATGCTTTTTGCACATTCATACTCATAGGCCCTAAATCAGACTTAACAAGTCTTCTGTTGAGCATCATTAGGAACCCTAAAGTTGCAGAAACACTGCCTTGCATCCTAGGGTCATAGAATTCTAAGTAGGCCAAAGTCACTATTTGCCGTTATTTAGAAATTTACCAGATTTTTTTTTGTAAAATGTTAATTTTTTTTTTTAAAGACAGGGTCTTACTCTCTTGCCGAGGCTGGAGTGTGGTGGCACCATCATGGCTCACTGCAGCCTCGACCTCCTGGTCTCAAGCAGTCCTCCCACCTCTGCCTCCAGAGTAGCTGGGACTACAGGCATCATGCCTGGTTAATTAAAAAAAAAATGTTTTTGTAGGGACCAGGTATTGCTGTGTTGCTAAGGCTGGTCTCAAACTCCTGGCCTCAGGCAATTCTTCTGCCTCAGACTCCCAAAGTGCTGGGATTACAGGTGTGAGCCATCATGAGTGGCCATAAAATGTTAATTTTGACAGTTCTCTTAGTTACTGGTGTTTATTCTGCACATAAGGTTTTCTGAATTTTAGACTTGGTACATTTTTAAGTTTGTACTAAGTTTGTGCTCTGGTCCCTTCCATTTAATTAAATCAGCACGCAGTAAAGCTAACTTGAAACCCATTGACAAGATAGGCTTTTTCTGCATTAGATGACAGCTGCACCGTAATTGGTGAATTTCGCTAAATTGAGCATCTCAGTGGAGCATAACTGAGCGTCTCACTCTGCGGTCAAGTCTTCCGTGCAGAATTGTCTTTTATCGCATAGAACTTTACATATCTGAAGAGATATTTATATCCTAGAAATAGAATAAGTTGGTCGTGTTTTTCCTAATTAGTATATATCCTTTGTAAAATAGTAAGTAATGACTAGCACTGGTAGACCTGTGATTTCCGAAAGTTTATTCAAAAGAAGCAGGCTCCCTATCTTTTTTTTTTCCTCCTGAAGCTTAGCAATTTTAGCTAAAAGAAAAGGGGAGAGCGTATGGGAGATTGGAGAAGTTGCAACCTTAAAGTATAAATATAGAATATAACAACACATGGAAGGGTAAAATAAGGCTTCAAAGACTATACTTGAGTAAATTTCTTAATTTTAAAATTTGCACCCTATATAGTATTTGAGTATGTTGATGTAACACATGTGTATTGAGCTTTTATTTGCCAGACATGCACTATTCCACAGGGAATACTTAGAGCCTGATTTATAGAATAATTGCTTTCTGCATATTGAGCTAACTTTTTGTTTGTCCCAAATAGTAATATTACTCTTGTAAACACTTAACCTTGTATACCACATTTTTCATTTCATGTTTTACATGTATATAATATTTTTCCTAGCTTCATCTAATTTGGTAACATTCAATTAATTTAGTAACATTAAAATATTTATACTATTCCATCAAGAAGGAACATGACTGCCCTCTTCTGTTTGGGTTGGGTATTGTAGTGGTTTTTATGGGTTAGCTCTTTTTGAGAATGCGACTTTCTAATAAGCTTTTAAAATAATGCTGTTTTTAAAACAACGTTGTGATTTTTGAAAGCTAGTCTAACACATAGCTGTCTACAATGATTTTTTTTTTTTTTGTAATGAGGAAGTTCTTGAGTTGCTGGCTGTCAGTGCCCAGTGCAAAATAGCTCTCTAAAGATTTGCCTAATTGTAAATTCCTTTTTTTTTAATTTTTTATTTTGAGATGAAGTTTTGCTTTTGTTGCCCAGGCTGGAGTGTAATGGCGCGATCTCGGCTCACTGCAACCTTCGCGTCCCGGGTTCAAGCGATTCTCCTGCCTCAGCCTTCCGAGTAGCTGGGATTACAGGCGTGTGCCACCACGCCTGGCTAATTTTTTTTTTTTTTTTTTTTTTTGAGATGGAGTATCGCTCTGTTGCCCAGGCTGGAGTGCAATGGCACGATCTCGGCTCACTGCAACCTCAGCCTCCTGGATTCAAGCAGTTCTCTGCCTCAGCCTCCCTAGTAGCTGGGATTATAGGTGCCCACCACCACGCCTGGCTAACTTTTTTTGTATTTTTAGTGGAGATGGGGTTTCACCATGTGGCCAGGCTGGTCTCGAACTCCTGACCTCAAGTGATCCTCCCGCCTCGGACTCCCAAAGTGCTGGGATTACAGGTGTGAGCTACCGCGCCCGGCCCATAAATTCCTTAAGCCAGCATAAATTCCTTTTGGAATAGGCAGGACATAAATAAACATATCCTGGAAATGGAATAAGTTGGTTATATTCTTTTTAATTAGTATATCTGCTTCGTAAAATAAGTAACTGACTAGCCTTAGTAGACTGTGGTTTCCAGGTTTATTCAGAAGTAGCAAGATCCCTCCATTTTTTTTTCTACCAAAGAAATCGTATGTGGGATCCCAAACCACAAAATAACCGTTCCTGTGGTTAATACTACTATAATGCCTGAAGTGTCTTTTGGGATCCTGAGAACAGAGTTTGAAAACATTACTAGACAGAAGGATTGGTTAGATTCATAGTTTTGTTGTTGAGTGAAACTTGCTTATGTATATATTTATGATATTTTGGATGTAGTCTTTTGATTGTTTAAATCTTAAAAAGTAATGGGATCTTTTGACACTGGGGTATGTTTTATTTTTATGTGTGCAAATTTTAACCATATTCTTTTCTAGTTAAAGAGGAAAAAGCAAGTTGCTCCAGAAAAACCTGTAAAGAAACAAAAGACAGGTGAGACTTCGAGAGCCCTGTCATCTTCTAAACAGAGCAGCAGCAGCAGAGATGATAACATGTTTCAGGTAAAGTTGGCTATTTTTTTTTTTTTTTTTTTTGACATGGAGTCATGCTCTGTCACCCAGGCTGGAGTGCAGTGGCGCCATCTCGGCTCACTGCAACCTCAGCCTCCTGAGTTCAAGCAGTTCTCTGCCTCAGCCTCCCGAGTAGCTAGGATTACAGGCATCCGCCACCAGACCTGGCTAATTTTTGTATTTTTAGTAGAGATGGGGTTTCACCATCTTGGCCAGGCTGGTCTTGAACTCCTGACCTTGTGATCCAACTGCCTCAGCCTCCAAAAGTGCTGGGTTTACAGGTGTGAGCCACCATGCCTTGCCAAAGTTGGCTGTTTCTTTAGATTCAGAGGAATTATTATCTGGCTTGATCTGAAGAATGTTAAAAGTACTATGATCTGATAATTGCCTAATATGTATGTTACAATCTTCTTAACTAGGGACATTTATTAAAATAGAACAAACTAGTAAAAGTATTTTGTACGATGCTGGATTATTGTTAAAGTCTCTAAAGTCTAGTTTTGCTGTATTTAAACCAATGCAAATTTAATTGAGAACTGCACATTTTGAAAGCAACTTGGAGGAGGCAGGTCAAGTGTTGGGACAGTAAAGTATGAATAGATTATTATGGGACAGGAAGCAGCAATGTGACATGCCTAATTTTGGCCTGATGAGCAACAGAAAAGGGGAATGGGTTGAATAGATAAAGTGAAGGAAGTTCATTAGAGGGACTTGATGAAATCACCTAGAGAGGACTCGTATAGCTTTTTCTCTTGGGTTTCCTGTCTTGTTTTAGGGAGACTTGACACTGGCATCTTTGTACAAGAAGGATTTGTGAGGAAGGGATGTTGGGGAATAAATGAATGCAGGTGAGATTGCTTAGGTAATTGTAGGCTTTAATCTGTATGTGAGGTGATAAGGGCTTAGATGGTTTTTCCTAAAGAAGAAATTATGCCAATTACAAGATACAGGTTAGGAAGAATGGACCAGAGGAATTAGGCAGTCAGTGAAGATGTGGACTTGATTGTGGATGTGATTGAAAAAAAAAATGGTGTTGCTTCTGTAGCACCTGAAGGGCTTAGTTGGGAAATGTTCATGTGGGATTATCAGCATGGTTGACTAAAGCTGCCTACTGAAGTATTAAACAGAGGAAGAACAGGAAGCAGATGAGGGGATGTCTTGGGTTATATTCAGATAGAGAATGGAAGGAAAAAGAGGATGTAGGTTAAGAGAGAGGGTGAAGGAAAATTAGAAGAGTGCAGTAATGGGAGCAAGAAAAGGATGAGTGTTTCCAGGAGCTATAAGTATTAGTTGAAACCAAAAAGTTGGGTGGAACGAGACTACAATTTTTTTTTTGAGACAGGGTCTCTGCTCTGTCACCCAGGCTGGAGTGCAGTGGTGTGATCTCTGCTCACTGCAACTTCCGCTTCCTGGGCTCAAATGATCCTCCTGCCTCAGCCTCCTGAGTAACTGGGACTACAGGCAATGCTCCATGACGCCTGGCAAATTTTCTTTGTTGTTGGTAGAAACAGTATTGCCCAGGCTGGTCTTGAACTCCTGAGCTCAAGTGATGCGCCCACCTTGGCTTCTGAAAGTGCTGGGATTACAGGCGTGAGCCACCGTGACTGGCCAAGACTGTAGACATTTATATGACTAGAAAGTAAGGCTAACACATGTATATTTTGACCTGTTGATAACTTTGAAAGGTGGAGTGCCAAGATTAAGGTGAGAATGGGAAAATTTAAGTTTTTTTTTTCCTATTGCTTATTTTTGCCTTGTTATACTTCTAGGTAAAAAAGATAGACAAAGTGCAGATGAACTATTTAGTTCAGAACACACATTTTAGAGATTCTGTTCTGTTAAGAGGAGTTTTGTGAAAACTAGATCTAATTTTAGGAATTTTCTCACCAGAAAAACGGAGCTTCATTTCTTAAACCCTCATCTGGAAAGATTCCTAAGCCTCCTAAGGCTGACATTGCACCTTTTGAAAGCCTGCCTCTAGGAGGAACATAGGTCATCTTTTCTTTTTTTTTTTTTTGAGACGGAGTCTCGCTCTGTCACCAGGCTGGAGTGCAGTAGCACGAATCTCGGCTCACTGCAACCTCCGCCTCCTGGGTTCAAGAGATTCTCCTGCCTCAGTCTCCTGAGTAGCTGGGACTACAGGCATGCGCCACCACCCCCAGCCAATTTTTGTATTTTTAGTAGAGACGGGATTTCACCTGGTTGGCCAGGATGGTCTCGATCTCTTGACCTCGCCATCTGCCTGCCTTGGCCTCCCAAAGTGCTGGGATTACAGGTGTGAGCCACGGCGCCCAGCCTAGGCCTTATTTTCAGAGTGGCTTTCATGGATCTAGTAGTGTAGGCATTATGAAATAATATGATACTTAATTTCATTGCCATTACAGCTTGATGTACATCAAACATCAATACATAAGCAGTTCTCTAAATGTATTAAAGAGTTGTACCAAAGAAAAATCAATAGACTTATCTTTTAAAGTCTGAAGTGATTGGGGCAGAATCGTGACTAGAGAGAAGATACTAGAGATGCTTACTTCCTGGTTCCTTCAGCTCTGATTTTGAAGAACTTTCTTCCATAGGGATGTAGTCTACCTGAGGTGACATCTGTGATAGTAAAGAGACTGGAGAATTATCTCATAATTATTTAGTACCTGTGTCTTGAAAGGTCAGAATAGTTGAGGCAGGAAACTTTAATCCATATTTTTCTTCAGAGTTAGGCACAAAGGGTCAGTAATACTGCTTTAGTTTATTTGATGATTTAAGGATACTTGATACTTTTAAATTATTTAATTTAAAATGATTATAACTGGTCATTTTAATCTGGGGCAGGAGTCCATAGAATTGTTTTTTAATTTGAGTTTTCTTTTTTGTGTTTGAAGGAATTATTCATAACCTTTATCACAGGGGTCCCTCCTGCACAGGAGGTGAGCGGTGTGTGAGTGAACATTGCAGCCCGAGCTCTGCCTCCTGTCAGATCAGCAGCGGCATTAGATTCTCATAGGAGCGCGAACCCTATTGTGAACTGCGCATGCAAGGGATCTAGGTTGTGCGTTCCTTATTCCTTATGAGAATCTAATGCCTGATGGTGGGATAATTTTTATCCTGAAACGATCACCTTTCCCCTTCCCTACCTGCTGTGGAAAAATTGTCTTCCGTGAGACTGGTCCCTGGTGCCAAAAAGGTTAGGAACCACTGCTTTATCAGATCTTCAGAGGGGACAGGGAATCAAATTCGTATAAGAATCACAGTTCTTTATGATGTATATGCTATTTTTTGCTGCTAATCTCCAGATTTTGTGGATATAAAATATATTGTCATCTGATTTTATTTTTTTCCAATAAAATGTGATTTCAGTGATCTTTATTTTTTCTATCTTTAAGTAATATATCCCTATACTACTATCTCATCACTTGTTTAATTTTTGCTAATAAGAATTTGTCAGTTTTACTCTTTTTTTCCCCCCAAGGGAGAGGCAGCTGTTGGGCAGATTCCTTTTTTTTTTAAAAAAAAAAATGTTTTTGAGGTATAGTTTATGTCCAATAAAACGCACACATTTAAAAGCATACCTTGATAGGCTGTGGTAAATGTACACGCCTTTGTGGCCAGACCATTTTCATCACCCCAGGAAGTTCCTCTTGGCTTTACAGTCATTGCTCATGTCCTAGGTAATCACTGATCTTATTTCTACCACTATAGATTTATGTTGTCTCTTCTAGAACTTTGTATAAATGGATACATGCAGTCTATTTTTTGTGTCTGGCTTTTGCTCAGTATAATGTGTTGAGATTAGTTCTTGTTGCATATATCAGTAATTTTATTGCTGAGTAGTATTTTGTATGATAATACTACAACTTGTAAATCCATTCACCTTGGGTGGACATTGGGATTGTATCAAGTCTTGGGCTATTAGGAATACAACTGCTGTGAATATTCTTGTACAAGTCATTTTGTGGACATTTTTTCCCTTTTGGGTAAATACCAGATACATTTGCTGAGTCGTAGGGTAAATGTGTAACTGTATAAGACACTGTCAAACCATTTTCCATAGTAGCTGTAGCATTTTACACAGCCATCGGTACTACTTAGGAGATTCCAGTTGCTCCACATCCTCGCTAGATATTGTCAGTCTTTTAAGTTTTTTTCTTTTTAGTTACATTGAATGTATAATGGTAGCTCATGGTGGTTTTACTTTCCATTTCCCTCATGTACATGTCTTAATTCATTGTACATCTTTAGTGTGTTTATTGGTTATTTTTATATCTTTTGTGAAGAGTATCTTTTGGCCACTTAAAATGCCAGGTCATTTGAGTTGTAACACTTTATATATTTTGTCAGATGTAAGTATAATTAATATTTTTTTTAGACTTCAGGGAAACTTTAGTTTTCAAAGCAATCTAGTTCAAAAATGAGTGGAGGTTAACAGAGAGGAAAATATGAAACCAGAGAGAATCAAACAGACAGAATAAGGGGGGACTGGCAGTTGGTCAGGGGCGTCTGTGACAGATCTTCTCTCTCTTGGAAATGAGGTCCTCACGGATTCTGGTCAGTTCATCATTTTCTTCACGTCCACGGTTCTGCTTCTTCCTCAGGCTCTCCTCGAAGGCCAAGACCCCTGTGGCTCCAACTTGAGTGAATATTTTCTTTAGGTTTCTGGTTTACCTTTTTATTTTCTGAAGCATCTTTTTAAAAAAGGCTTTAGTGTGATTGTCTATTCTATCGATTTTTCTCCTTTTTTGCTTAATGCTTATTTTCTGTCCAAGACGTATTTTGCCTACCATGGCCACAAAAATTTTTGCCAGTGTTTTTTCCTAGAAGTTTTATAGTTTTAGTTTTCACATTTAGGTCTATAATTCATGTAGAATTAATTTCTCTGTGTATGATGTAAGATAGAGATTTAGAGTCTTCCCCACCCCAAATGCAGATAGCCTGTTGTTTCAACACCATTTGTTGAAAAGAGTATTCTTATTCCTTTGAATTACCTTGGATTTTACCCCCTCCCCCCAAAAAAATCAGTGAATATATCCAATGCGTGTGTATTTTTTGACTCCGTTGTGTTCCACTGACCTCTTATGTCTGTCTTTACTCCAGTACTGCATTGTCTTCCCTTACTATATTATAGTGAGTCTTGGAAAGTGCTAAGAGACACTTTGTTGAGGAAAGCCTGTTCTTTTCTCTGGAATTTGTAATTTGTGGTAAGCAGATATATAAGATTTTTGAAAAATAATTTTCTGTGAATATTTTTAAGTTCTCAATCTGACTGTGAGTGAGGTGCATTAAAGATGTTATTTGAAGTGAACATGAAAAGGAAAAACTTGGTTGTTATTGACTGGAACTCTGGATTCGTATATTCAGAATGGTTGGTGAAGCAGTGTAGCTAGTTGCATCTGTGGATTCCTCTTGGTTGTAGTTTGTACTGCAAAATATTGCTTCCTAATGATTTTTTTTTTTGCTGGTAAAAACCATAAAAGTATATTCACATTGTTGTGAAACAGATTGCCGAAACTGTTTCATCTTGCAAAACTGAACCTCTGTGGCCATTAAACAACAGTTCCCCTTCTCCCAGCCCTGGTAACCACCATTCTACTTTTTGTTCCTGTGAACTTGACATCATGTAAGTGGAATCATAAAGTATTACCTTTTTCCTTTTTATGACTGGCTTATTTCATTGACGTAGTATGTAACAGGATTTCCTTTTTTAAAAGCTAATTGATATTCCATTGTGTGTCTATTCCACCCCCCCTCTCCCATTTTGTTTATCAGTTCATCTCTGGGTGGATATTTGTGTTGTTTCCACTTCTTGGCTCTTGTGAATAATGCTGCTATGAACATGGGTGTGCAGATGTCTCTTGGAGTCTGTGCTTTCAATTTTTTGGGATATATATTCAGAAGTAGGATTGCTGGATCATATGATAGTTTAAACAGCAATTTCCTTTGGTTGCAGTTTTGATACTGAGAGTAGTACAGTTGACCCTTGAACAATGCAGGGTCAAAATGCAAGGCACCAACCCCTGTGCAGTTGAAAATCTGGTTATAACTTTTGACTTTGTCAAAACTGCTAAGTATAGCCTACTGTTGACTGGTAGCCTTAACAGTAACATAAACAGTTAACATATATTTGTATGTTATATGTATTATATACTGTATTCTTACAATAAAGTAAGCTAGAGAAAAGAAAATATTACTAAGAAAATCATAAGGGAGAAAAATTACATTTTACTGTACTGTATGGTGTTTATCAATAACATTAGTTTACGTTGTCTGTTTATAAGATATGTCATCTGTTAATAAAATATGTCATCTGTTAGAAATTGTAGGCAACCACAGCTGCAGATTTCAGTCCGTGGTACATATCAAGCAATTCAACTTTTTTATTTTTATTTTTATTTTTATTTTTTTGCATTTTAAAATTAAAGACAGGATCTTGCTGTGTTGCCCAGATTGGATTCAAGCTCCTGGGCTCAAGTGATCCTCCGGCCTCAGCCTCCTGAGTAGCTGGGATCATAGGCATGCACCACTGCTTCTGGCAGTTTTTTTCTTGTGATGTCATGCCTTCTCTCTGCTTCTTGGGAGCACTTTCAGCATCACTAGGGGCACTTTGTATAGGACTCATGGTGTTATTTAAAGTTTATGGTATTGCAGTAATCATGATGAAAAATAATGTGAAAACCGTGAGAGATCACTTTTTACTGCAATACGCAATTTGTTGGAGACATGAACTGCTCAGCAGAGATGATTAGCATCACATGGTGTTTTACACAAGGTGTTTTAAGCAGATACTTGTAACATTTGAGTACACTGAGATAACAGGAAGTGGCTATGAAGTTAACACTAGTACACTACTGTAGTTAATTTTATGCAGTTATGAATTAATACTCCATCTTTGTTTACATTTCTCTCTAACTTCATATAATAGATTTGTATGTTTTATGATAGTAAGTGATAAAATAACCTCATATCTAGGTATGTTTTATGCATTCATGACATACCTAACTTTTTCTTAATGTTTTCGTTATTTCTAGGCTATGCAGTTGTTCTGTGAGTTTTTTCAAATTGTCAAGTCTGCAAAAATTTTTCCAGTATATTTATTGAAAAAAATATGCATATAAGTGGGACCTGCACAGTTCAGAGCCATGTTGTTCAAGGGTCAGCAGTAGTCATTTTCATGATTAGATGTAGAGTGAGCATGCAGCAAGTTGTGAATATGAATACAATTGAAACAGATACCACTCTTGAAAGGAGCACCTCTTTTTATGTTTGTTTCTTTTGCAGATTGGGAAAATGAGGTACGTTAGTGTTCGCGATTTTAAAGGCAAAGTGCTAATTGATATTAGAGAATATTGGATGGATCCTGAAGGTGAAATGAAACCAGGAAGAAAAGGTGAGGTCTAATTACTTGAATTTTATTACAGTGTTAGGACTAAACGACAACTTTTCTGAGTAGCTTACTTGAAATGTTGGCAGGACACACGGGGCAAGGAAGAGTCTTACTCAATTGATTCTCTATCTTCTGTAGTTATTTTGGACATGATACTTAACATTTTTTTAATGAGATGTCTTAATACAGCTTTTGGGAATAAAACCCAGAAAAGTAACACCCCTAATATCACTTCAGTTGGCTGCTAATTTACTTGAACAATTTTTAAAAAGGTTTATGCAATTCTGAAGCAGATTAGGCACTATCTGGGAACTTGTAAAATCAGGAATGGAAAATCTTGGTTTACAATGCTTCCTTTTGATTCAGCTCCTAAAAGCTATTCTTTAGGGCATTACTCTTCAAGCGGATCTCTGCTTTCCTTCCATTTGTGCTTCATCCAGTCCCAAGCCTCTTAGCATTGTAGAAACATATTTTGTATAATTCACCAAACAGCTAGAGAAGGTGAGCCAACCTAAATTTGTATATTTGGATTGCTGCTCTAGGTTGACCCTCAGCTAAAGAAAAATGCTTCCTTATTTAGTTTTATTCTGCCTGCCTGTTAGTTTGAAAGGTACCACTTGTTTGCTTCATGCAGTTTTTTTTTTTTTGGTTAAACTCAGCCTCTATATGTGTTTATATGCTTTCATATTTTCTTCAAGTCACTTCTGGATTGGTAATTCACGTACCAGAGTGGCCGATGCCATATTTCTTGTTTATTCTTTTTTTTCAATTTCATGGCCTTCCAGCAGTTTTCTGGGAATACTTTCTGCCAGTTCTTGTTTACTTCTCTGTTTATATGCGTCGGTATTGGAATGCTAGAACGTTAAAGTACAAAATATAGAAAATATAAAATTTCTGTTCATACTTTTACATCTTAAACTGGAAAGACATATCTCACATTTTTTAACCATTTATGTGTTAGGTGATATGCTAAGTTCATTATTCATGTTACTTAATCATTTACAACAACTCTTTGGCGTATAGATGCCATTTTACTGGTGAGGAAACTAAGGCTTACAAGGTGATGTAGTTCTTTTTTAAGGGTCATACACTTAGTGAAAGTGAGGCTGGAATTTTAACCCTGATAGGGTGACCCTAGAGTGCAGTTACCCGGGTATACTCTCTGAGGAGTCCTGTATGAATCACGTCCTGGGAATTTTTCCAAAGTGAAATGAATGCTTCTGGAAGAACTCAGCACAATTGGCTTGAATTCCTGTGGAAATTTTGGGCAAATATTGGAACCAGCTGGAAATATAGTAATGGGGTATCACATGCCAAATCTGGACCTGACCATTTTAGCCTGATAGTTGACGGGTATTAGTAAGATGTGTCTTCAAACCCTTATTTATTCTCATTGGTTACAATAGGTACTATGCAGGATGCACTGTGGAAAGTAAGACTGGATATGAGATTGATAATGCTCAGTAAATTGTGATGATATGTAATTAACAAATGTAAGAGATATGATTTTCAGTATTGTAGCATTGTGTCCAAGTGGCAATTTTTTTTTTTTTTTTAGATGGAGTCTTGCTCTCTTGCCCAGGCTGGAGTGCAGTGGCATGATCTTGGCTCACTGTAACTTCCACCTCCCAGGTTCGAGCAATTCTCCTGTCTCAGCCTCTTGAGTAGCTGGGATTACAGGTGCCCACCACCATGCCCGGCTAATTTTTGTATTTTTAGTAGAGATGGGGTTTCACCATGTTGGGCCAGGCTGGTCTTGAACTCCTGACCTCAAGTGATCCACCCGCCTTGGCCTCCCAAAGTGCTGGGATTACAGGTGTGAGCCACCGCGCCCAGCCTAAAGTGGCAATTTTGATAAAACAGTATTCTAGTTGGAAGTATGAAAATCCTCAACGCTTAAATAGATTTTCACCTTTGAATTTTTAAACTTTGTTTTAGGTATTTCTTTAAATCCAGAACAATGGAGCCAGCTGAAGGAACAGATTTCTGACATTGATGATGCAGTAAGAAAACTGTAAAATTCGAGCCATATAAATAAAACCTGTACTGTTCTAGTTGTTTTAATCTGTCTTTTTACATTGGCTTTTGTTTTCTAAATGTTCTCCAAGCTATTGTATGTTTGGATTGCAGAAGAATTTGTAAGATGAATACTTTTTTTTAATGTGCATTATTAAAAATATTGAGTGAAGCTAATTGTCAACTTTATTAAGGATTACTTTGTCTGCCCACCACCTAGTGTAAAATAAAATCAAGTAATACAATCTTAACTGTTGTGGCCTTTTTTGATCATAAGAGTTGGTACTGTTTAAGGCCAAAAGTAACAGTTTTTATAGATCTTTTAGTTTCAACTCAGCTTTTACAATAAAAAGGATTTGTATTGCATTGAGTTTATAAACTTTTGGTTTGTGAACTTCATATTTGATCTTTTCTCTTCCAATCAAATGTCTAGGCTTGTTTGACTTCCACCCCCAATGGTTTTTCACTCTTTTTATTTACTTCATTTTCCTTTAATAACTTAATCTCTTCATGTTCAGTTTTTACTTCACTCTTTATTCTTTTCTTTGATTATGGTATGCTTATTTGGAAAGTCAGTGAAACTGTCAAAATGTTATCTCAATAAGATACTTATATGAGAACTACAATCACCGAATCTACTGTATTCAATATTAGCAGATCTAATTTGATAAACAACATGGCTTGTGTGAAAACTGAGCAGGTGTTTGTTTACCCATAGTGTTCTGTGTAGTTATTGCTTAGTCTGCAGAAAATAATGACTTAGATGAGATGTCTGACTTGCTTTCACTTATTAAACATGTTCACCATGGGATGATGTCTGTAACATCAGATATTGTTCAACTAGACTAGGATTTAATAAAAATTGTGAAAGCTTACTGGCCTAACATTTTATTTTATAATATTGGGTATGAATTATATGTAGCCAGAGATGTCATTAAGCTTTACTGTTATAGTAGGTAATATGGTTAGTTTGTAGGGAAAAGAGCATATGAGCACATGCTTGTGTATTTTGGCCTTTGCCCCAGTAGAACAGACCAATGGCATTCTAGACTTGATGATACTAAGTTTTAGCAGACACTAGTAAGTGGTTTGTATTTAACCATACTGATGAAGCAGACAGATTGAGGCACAGATTTTAGTGGCTTTGTGGCAATAAATAGGGCATGGTGTGCCTTAGGAAAAGAATGTTTATAAAGGGAATTATAACTGAAATTAAAGGAGGCGGCAGTGAAGAGGAAATAATTCTCTTCTATCTAAATGATATACATATGATATTTTGAGATTTTTATAACAGCAGTGGAACACAATTCTAGGTAGAGTAGAAAAAGGAAAGTTTTAAAGACATATAAAAGATTCTTGTTGACAAATTATTTTTGGTAGCAAATCTCAAATGGTTACCTGCTATTAAGGTCTGCCATATTAGAGTTTTGCACTATTTTGCTACCAAGTTTGATTCATACATCTAAAACATTTTGTAGTTACTTGTCAAGGACTTAATTTGAAAATCATTTGCCAGGCCACATAGTTATCAATTTTTTTTTCTATCAGCTATTCTGTTGTATTTCTAAAACATTTTTTAGATGACTTTTTAAAGTATATTTAGCAGTAACCTTATGAGGTTCAAATTGGTAAATCTCTTGTAATTTAGCCTTCATCGAATAATAGGTACCAGTGTATTAAAAATGTGTATTTTTTGCAGCCCCTTGAACCAGAGTAGGTTCAGAGAAACTCCCAAAGTTTGTACTTTAGACACATCATGCTTGATTGGTAACTTCCCTCCTTTTTTGGGGAACATGTTTGTGTCCTATTAACTTAATTGGATAGATTTTTAAATATTTCTTATTTTTGGCACACGGAAAGGGTAGTTCGAGTACAGAACTTTGATTTTTGGTGTAGATGCAGAGGGAATGATGGGTAAATTTCCTAGGTTTATGTGAATTTAGGGGGTGTATGCATTTTGAAACAATCTACTAACAGATGGTGCTGAAATCTATTACCTACATGTTTTCTAGTTGTTCAGCATTATGTTAATGAAGCCTCCATATAAGGAGTGTTTCTCTGGCACAGTTGGTAAGTTGACTGCTAACTTCATTTAAATGTGTTACTGGATATGCAGTATACTGAAATTATTAATCAGTTTGTGTATAGGAAAAGAGAACTGGGTTAAAAGCAAATTAACTTGTTCTGAAAAGAAAGTATAGATTAATTTTGTTTTCTGTTTAAATTTTATCTCCTTGGTAAAGATTTTTTTTTCCTGGGCAGAAAACTTGGCATTTTTAGGCGTAGATACCTTACCTTACAATGCCAAAATGAATTTAATTCCAGTACTCAGGTTTTTCCCTTTAACAGACTCTATGTGTATCAGGGCTTTCTAATGGGTTTTTCCTCTTCGTTTTTAAAATGTGAGTAGCATTTGACCAATTTCCAGTGCTCTTAGCATTTTACTTAAAGAACAACCACTACAAAAGAAAATCTTTGTAATTTGATTGTCTTTTGCTTTGCTTCATTAATGCCTAAGAACTTAAGAATACTCCTACCTCATTAGCTACTCAAGATGCTGTGACGATCAAATCTATTCTACATAATGCGTTTAGAAACAAAGACTTGGGTGAAAAATGAAATAAGTATATTCTGACTTGGCTATTGAGGGGAAAATTCAGTATTAAGTGTTCCTCACAGGAGATATGTTAGCAGAATACTATAAAAGTTTGAAATTTTTAAAAAGTAAAAGTACTTAAATTTAGGTATCTCTCCTGAAATTCTTTGCAGTTCATTTTTTATGGCAGTTAATCCAGTGAAACACTCAAAAGTTTTTTTTTTTTTAAAAGTGTTTTTCCAGATAAACTGTAGGGTGAACATTCACATAATCACAAATATGTAATTCTGTAATTGTGGAATGCTTGTATGCTTTGTTTTCGTACATCTTCCATGGAGATGTCTGAATATAATACTCCATCTGTGAATATTTTAAATGTTGAAATAAAAGTAAGAAATGTGCCCTTTGTGTTATCCCGGTTTCACAAACCTGAAGGTAAATGGGTAATTTGTCTGTTGAATGAGTTTTATTAATAGAATGCCTTTCTGTGTGAATGCTTTGGAATGTGGATTAGTCTTGGGTCCGTCCTTTCCATCTACCTGATCCAAATGGAAAAATGCAAACACTTAGGTGTACACAGCCTCTTTTTTTTTCTTTCTCCCTTTAAGTGCTTTGTAGTCTAATGATTCCTTCATATACTTGACTGGTGTCATGGACTCCTTTGAAGATTTCAAATTTACATTTTCATTTATGAAGTCCCTATTTTGCCCTTGGTTATTGTTTTTGTTTATATGTTGAGGCCCCATTTCAATTTCTGTTTAGGAATAGAAAGATCCATGGTATATTCACTTAACTGTAAATTTGCTTTTAGTAAAACATAATTCAGCCAGAAGAAGGAAAAAAAGAGTACTTGGAGTTCACACAATTAATCACTGACTTCATAGTTTTGTAGTATGGCTCAAAGGGAGTTACTGGGATAGGAAGGGTATTTGCAAAGTACTAATAAACATTTAAAAAAATTATATGGAATTAGTTACTATATAACAGTTCACCTAATAGTTGTGTCCATTTTAGTAAAAGATCTTGCTACAGCCCGGTGCGGTGGCTCACACCTTTAATCCCAGCACTTTGGGAGGCCAAGGCGGATGGATCACTTGAGGTCAGGAGTTCGAGACCAGCCTGGCCGACATGGTGAAACCCCATCTCTACTAAAATACAAAAATTAGCTGGGTATGCTGGTGAGCACCTGCAATTCCAGCTACAGTGGAGGCTGAGGCAGGAGAATTACTTGCACCCAGGAGGCAGAGGTTGCAGTGAGCCGAGATTGTGCCACTGTACTCCAGCCTGGGCAACAGAGTGAGACTGTCTCAAAAAAAACAAAAAAACAACAAAAAAAGCTTGCTACATGAACAGGACTTTTCTTTGCCCACTTGCTTCATTCACATAAGCCCCTTACAGAGTCCACACCTTCCCAGACCTGCTTTTATAGACATTTTAGTCCTGGATTAATAGTGACCCACTGCCTAAGTGAAATGCTCCTCTTCACTTTTTAGGTTCTTGATAGTTTAAATGGTTTATCCTTCTGCTGGATAACTTACTGCATAGTTAGGAGATAAGATTTATGCCACTTTTTAACTGCTCCTGAATTTCAACTCATTTCAATAGTTGGATAATGTAACCTCCATGGGTAACAGGAAGACTGTATATGTAGTTCAGAAATCAGCTGAAGTTGTCTATGTAGTAACTCACGTATCTTGAAAAGTGATGTGAAAGTTCCAGTTTTGCCTTCCTAAGTAAGCTAAGCCCAAGTCTTTTAAAATGTTATGTATTTATTTTTTGAAGAGACAGGGTCTTTCTGTGTTGCCCAGGCTGGAGTGCAGTGGCTGTTTACAGGTGTGATCCTAGCGCACCATGGCCTTGCACTTGTGGGCCCAGGTGATCCTCCTGCCTTAGCCTTCCTAGCATCTGTACACTGCAGGTGTATACCACTGTGTCTGCCAAGCCCAAGTCTTTTAATAGCTCCTATTCTGAAGGCTTTATTTTTCAAGTATGTAGTTGTTGCAGGAATGGTACAGAAAACTCCCATGTACCCCTCCACTCAGAGACCCCATTCAGATTTTGTGAGTTTCAGTGTCTTTTAGCAAAAGCATGTAACACAGGATCACGTGTCTCATTTGATTCTCTCTTTACTTCAGTTTCCTTCAGCCTGACAGTTCCTTAGTTTTTCCTTGACTTTTACAACTTTGATGTTTCTGAAGATTTGGTAACATGAAGGCCATTGGTGGTGGTGACAAGGGTGGGGAGGGCAGAGGCTGGTTGAGTGAGGAGTGGAGACTGTGTGTAAGTTCATTTGAGCAGCTTGGTTGTGAAGGATAAAGAAAAATAGGATGGTGGCTGTAGAAGGGTGTGGGATCCAGGGCAGAGTGTGATTGAAATTACAGTGTGCAGCATCTGAAGGAAGGTGGTAAGGTTCCTAACTTCTTCGGTATGAATTTAAGTTGACCTTTGGTGTCAGCAATGGTTTCTTTTTTTTTTTTTTTTTTTTTCCTGAGACGGAGTCTTGCTTTGTTTCCCAGGCTGGAGTCAGTGGCGTGATCTCGGCTCACTGCAAGCTCTGCCTCCCAGGTTCACGCCATTCTCCTGCCTCAGCCTCCCGAGTAGCTGGGACTACAGGCGCCCGCCACCGCGCCCAGCTAATTTTTTGTATTTTTAGTAGAGACGGGGTTTCACCATGTTAGCCAGGATGGTCTCGATCTCCTGACCTCGTGATCCGCCCGCCTTGGCCTCCCAAAGTGCTGGGATTAAAGGCTTGAGCCACCACACCCGGCGTCAGCAACAGTTTCAACCACTTCCCACTTTTTTTTTTTTTGGTGACTAAGTGCCACCTGAACCATGAGTACTTCTAGTAATTTTAAAGAAAAATATGAATTACTACTTTTTTTTTTGTTTTTTTTTTGAGACGGAGTCTCGCTTTGTCACCAGGCTGGAGTGCAGTGGCACGATCTCGGCTCACTGCATCCTCCACCTCCCAGGTTCAAGCAATTCTCTGCCTCAGCCTCCTGAGTAGGAGGGATTACAGGCGCCCACACCAGGCCCGGCTAATTTTTTGTACTTTTAGTAGAGATAGGGTTTCACCATCTTGGCCAGTCTGGTCTTGAACTCCTGACCTCGTAATCCACCCGCCTCGGCCTCCCAAAGTGCTGGGATTACAGGTGTGAGCCACAAATTACTTCATTTTAACAGGAATTCGATCACTTGGTTCTCACGCCCCTCTTCTCCACAGCCAAGCTCTCCAAATTGAGACCAGGGCCTAGTCAAACCTTGGGTTTTGGGATCTGGTACCAGTCATGTCTAGCCATGAGCCATTCTCATTTATTGTTTTAAGGTGCATGAGATCTCAGTTCCTTGTTGGAGTCACAGGGCCTGCGCTGGATGGGGAGCCTATAAATGAAGGGAGGAAGTTTAAGACCTCTTTAATCTATTGGAGGAGCCTCGGGAATGGCTCCTAGGCCACAGGGTCGCAGATGGAAATGGCCCCTCTAACTTGAAGAATGTTTGCTTCCTATTTCAGTGACCTTGCACTTGATTTTTTTCCCCCACGTATTTTATCTTTATTTTTTTTGAGAGTCTTGCTCTGTCACCCAGGCTGGAGTACAGTGGCGTGATCTTGGCTCACTGCAACCTCCACCTCCCAGGTTCAAGCGATTCTCATTCCTTAGCCTCCCTAGTAGCTGGGATTACAGGTGCGTGCCACCACACCCGACTAATTTTTGTATTTTTAGTAGAGACGGGATTTCACTGTGTTTGCCAGGCTGGTCTTGAACTTCGGGCTTCAAGCAATCTGCCCGCTTTGGCCTCCCAAAGTGCTGGGATTACAGGCATGAGCCACTGTGCCTGGCCCCCAACGTATTTTATTCTGAAAAATTTCAAACCCAGAGAAAAGTTGAATCAATAGTATAAGGAACACTCATATCCTTCACCTATTATTTTGCAACCTTCTGTCTCTTTTTGCTGAACTGTTTGGAAGTAAATTGTAGAAAGTTAACGTACGCATATGCTGAGCTATTTTTACTTCTGAGCCAAGTGTGTGTGTTTTTTCCATCACCACTTCTCTTACTCCATTTGGGTGTCCTACAATTTAATTCTGATACCATCTACGTGGAGTTAGTGTGTCAGATCCCACAAGTTAAGGGCTCAGTCCCACAAGAAGGCCCCCACTTCAGATGCCAGCCGTAAGTCCATGGTTGTCACTGGTACTTGTGACCAGTAAATTCAGAGGGTTTCCACAATCCCCTTCTCACATTTGATAATTGACTGGAACCATTCACACAACTCAGGAAAGCACTTTATTCACAATTACAGGTTTATTATAAAGGATAAAACTCAGGAACAGCCAAATGGGAGAGATGCCCAGGGCAAGGTATGGGGAAGGGAGATGGAGCTCTGTGCCTTCTCTGGGAGCACCACTCTCCCAGCACCTTACTATGTCACCAACTTAAGTCTCTGAGCCCCATCATTTAGGGTGTTTTTATAGAGATTCCATTACACGTGATTGATTAAATTTTTAGCCATTGGTGATTAACAGTCCTCACTTCCTCACCCATCCCCAGAGGTTGGGAGGTGGAGCTGAAAATTCTAAGCTTCTAATCAAAGTTTCATCTTTCTAGCAACCAGTCCCCATCCTGAAGCTGTCTAGGGGCCCTGCCAAGAGTCCCTCATTTGAACAAAAGATCCTACTATCACTTTTAACTCAAGAAATTAGGTTTTAGGAGCTCTGTGCCAGGAACCAGGGACAAAGACCAAGTATCTCTGATGCCACTTAGGCATACATGTTTACACACATACATACATGTGTATACATCTATACAATTTTTTGGATGAATATTTGAAAGTAAACTGCAGGCATATTTCATTTTAAGTACTTCAATATGTATTTCCTAGGAATGGAAAGATACTTTAACATTTTTTTAATGGAAAATAATCATATTTTGCAAAACAAAATTATGAGTGACATTATTTTACATTTTACCAATCTCTTTAATAGAACATGGCTGGATTCTCCTGTTTGCTTCTGCAGATAATCTTTTGTTTGGGTTGAGGTATGTGAAGAAAATGTGGCCTCACAGAGATGTGTAGTTGGAAAAGGGAGGAATACTTTATTATTTTTTTTTTCTGAGACAGTTTCGCTTTTGTTGCCCAGGCACCATCTGGGCTCACTGCAACCTCCACCTCCCGGGTTCAAGCGATTCTCATACCTCAGCCTGCAAAGTAGGTGAGATTACAGGCGTATGGCACCATGCCCGGCTAATTTTTGTATTTTTAGTAGAGACAGGGTTTCACCATGTTGGCTAGACTGATCTCGAATTCCTGAGCTTAAGTGATCTGCCTGCCTCAGCCACTCAAAGTGCTGGGATTACAGGCATGAGCCACTGTGCCTGGCACAGGAATACTTTAATAGCCTTTCCAGGTAATTGTGGGTATCCTTTGATAACAACCACAAAATTTGACAAGTGGTAGTTTCTTAAAAGTTGTAGTATGTAATTTCCCCTTGAAAACTTGAATTTCATCATTGACAACACATGCTGTCAGTTGTTTTTTTTTGAAGTGATAGGCTCAGTTTGTTTGTTTCTGAGAAATTGTCTGCCAAATCCACAGGTCTGAACAACGACAATTTGTCAATCTTGGAAGTTAAAATGGTGCTCCGTGCAAAGTGCCGCTAGTTCAGTTCACACTCCAAACAGTTCTGCCGGTGCTTTTCCTTGAGACTGCCTTGGAACCTCAATGTGCATTTCCCAAGAGTAAAGACATTCTTCTACCTAGCCTCAATATTATCACAACTTAAAACATCAATAATTTTATCAACTATTCAGTCCGTAGTAAGTTTCCCCAGTTCCCAAAAATGTTCATTTCTTCTCCCAATGCAGTGTCTTGATGAAAATTCATGCTGTTCATTTGGTTATCAGTCTCTTTTAATCTAGAATTATTCCCTACTATTTTGTTTTCCACGACATTGACCTTTTGTAAGAGTCCAGGCCACTTGTAGTATGTCCCATATTCTAGATTTGTCTGTTTCCTCATGGCTCAGTTCAGGTTAAATGTCTTTTGCAAGAATGCTACATAGGAGATGCTGTACCTACCGCACCACACCAGAAGGTACATCAGGCCAGGTTGTTTCACAACTGGTCATGTGAATTTTGATCACTAAGTTATTTAAAATGGTGATTGCCCGTTCTTTTTTTTTTTTTTTTTTTTTTTTTTGAGACAGAGTCTTGCTCTGTCTCCCAGGCTGGAGTGCGGTGGTGCGATCTCGGCTCACTGCAAGCTCCGCCTCCTGGGTTCACGCCATTCTCCTGCCTCAGCCTCCTGAGTAGCTGGGACTACAGGCGCCCACCACCACACCCGGCTACTTTTTTTGTATTTTTAGTAGAGACGGGGTTTCACCATGTTAGCCAGGATGGTCTTGATCTCCTGACCTCGTGATCCGCCCACCTCGGCCTCCCAAAGTGCTGGGATTACAGGTGTGAGCCACCGTGCCCGGCCTTGCCCGTTCTATTTTATTTTATTTATTATCATTATTTTGTGAGACAGAGTTTCACTCTGTCACCCAGGCTGAAGTGCAGTATTGTGATCTCGGCTAACTGTACCGTCTGCCTCCTGGGTTCAAGTGATTCATGTGCCTCAGCCTCCCGAGTAGCTGGGATGACAGGCGTGCACTACCATGCTTGGCTAAATTTTGGCATTTTTAGTAGAGATGGGGTTTTGCCATGTTGACCAGGCTGGTCTTGAACTCCTGGCCTCAAGTGATCCACCTGCCTCGGCCTGCCGAAGTGCTGGGATTACAGGCGTGAGCTACTGTGCCCCCGGCCACAAATAAAAATTTTTTACTCTCAAGGAGCATTCAGTCTATTTCATTCTTTGAAAAGCATGTAAGTTTTGGGAGCCTAGCATGGAAGGGAGTGATGGTTCCAGTGCGTTGGTAGTGGAGACTGCCTTTTGGTCATCTTGGGCTTCTCATGCCATTGAATTAGTAGGGAAATAAGGAGGTGATTGTGGTGTTTGAGTTCATTGATCTTGATTGTCTGAGGGAAATTGGACTGTTTGTTCCTACACAGTGGTGGCAAGGAGAGTGATGTTTGGAAACCAGGGGGTTTACTGGTGACTGTGCTCCCTTAACCAGTTGTCTTGAAGGAAAAACTTCAACCCGTAAATAGAAGACCTCCAAAGACTCACTGTAAGAATGAAGGTTTTGTACTTTTCATCTGGTAAAGAACCCTGGCCCAGCAAAGGTGCTGGAGGAGGCTAACTGGAACTCGGAATGGGCAGAGGGCAAAGGCAGCTAAGATGACCAATACAGACCTCACAGAAGTCAGGATTGTCACAACAGTGTTTTATGTCATTTAAGTGTTTCTCCTCTCTTTTCTCTGAAATAAGTTAAATGAATAACACCAATGCTGGCTAAAGTTTTAGGCTGTGGAGTATGAGAACAACTTGTATTGAAGTAGTAGTTGGTGGAACATTGATCCTGCCCCGTATTGGGAACTCAATCTTTCCACCAGGTGAAGGACAAGAGATGATGCTGAAGGCAAAAGGCTCGGATGGTGCCATATATGTATATATTTTATCTGTTCCCCTAGATATTCCATCTATTCCCCTAGATCCAGTCTTACCCTGCGCTCTGTCCTGGGAGGCTGGGATGTTTGGTTGGGTTTGGTTCATGGTGAAAGGAGAGTTTGGTGGGGTAGGGTCACCTTAGGTTGGCTGTGTTTCTTAAAAACTCCTCTCAAGGTGACTTCCTCTATGTGAGTTTCTTATGGGTTCCAGCAGCTACTCGGTCCCTACAACTTTCAACTGTGGGATGTTTAGTTCCTCTGTTACTACTGGTTACCCTTTTGTTTTCCTAAGCCTTCACTCACACCTTTGTAAATAATATATTTTAATAAATTTTACTCCTTGAATTGGCATAATTCGAGTGTGTCTTTTCAGGTTGGGAGCTTGACTAATAATGGACAAATAAGATTAGCAGAGACAACTATTACGGATTAGGATTAAAAACCTCTGTTACCTAGTTCTGTAGATTAAAGTCAAAGATGAATGTCTTCAAACTTTGTGCAAAAGAACTTCACTTGGTTATTTTTAATGTGTTTGGTCTTTCTTGCCCTATGAGGCCTCTAAAAACAGTCATGGCAGTGACCAGAAACAACTGTTAAAATCATCAACTAGCAAAAAAATCCAAGAAAGAAGGGATCTTCACAGTTTGACCCCCCGATTTAATAGGCAAACTTGTATCTATTCCAAGGCTACATGATCTCTTTGTGTTGTCTCACTACCAAAGATGATCAAGATTATCAGTAGGAACATGAGGTTATTGGCAATAACTAGGGCTACTGCCTATCTCCACGCAGGGATGATTTCCAGTGGCTGCTGTTCCACTGCATTCTCCTTGACAGAGTGGGTATTCATTCCTAGCACGTTCAACCCCAAGCAAAACAAGGTCAGAGTTGGATGGGGAGATTTACAAGTTTTTGAGGACTTGGGCTGACAAACTTGAAGAATGGCCAGAGCAAACTCTCGAGGCAGGTACACAAGTTGGAAATCAGACTTCTAGTCACAAGTGGCAGGCCTGGAAACCTTGACAAGTCATCTCAAGGGATGATGTCGACCTTGGCCGTAGACAGGTCTGCATTCTTGATGTCAACCTTGGCCATAGGTCTGCATTCTTGTGGTCTGCCCTTGGCCATAGACGGGTCTGCATTCTTCTTGCTGTCTGCCCCAGTGGTGCAAAAGTCTTAGAGGGGGAAGAACGTATTGAAAGCTAAAGGCTTTGACAATTTATGTGTTGGTGATAAGCTGGTCTTTGTTAGCACTGTCCTAGTGAGGCTGAAGGAATAAGTTTCTCTGCTGAACTTTCACATAGGTTGTAGCTGTGGCAGGGCTCATCAGGGTTGGATTCTCAGATCTCTTAATGGAAAGCTTTGATATATTTCATGTGTGTTTTTAAATAGCATTCAATGTATGTTTAAATATAGGAGTGTCCTGTGAGTGGCTCCCGGGGAGCAGCCGGAAGTGTTGTACTCGGCTGTCTATTGTGTGTGGGAGAGTCTTTCTGTTGACTGTGGATCTCATATTTATGAGGACTGCATGCAAGGATTGCCTCTCGAGGTCTCGTTTATAGATTGATATCAGCCAGGTATTTTTCAGAATTCTGTTCTGCCATTCCACTGCCCTCCTGATTCTGGGAGATGTGGGCATTGAAAAGACTTTGTAGATTTCCTTTATAATTTGGCCCGGATGTGGTTGGCTCCTGTCACTATTATTGAACAAAGGCTCTCAAATAGTCTTCTTGATATAACAATAGTTGTAACAGCTTTGGTGTTTAGAGATTACTTCTATTCAGCTGGGAAGCCTCCCAACAATAGGCAAAACATGAAAATGTCTTCATTTGTGTAAGTCAACTTCAATTATTTATAGATGTCCCCTACAAAGGAGAGTGAGTTGCCTTCTCTGTGGACTTGATAGATAGGAAAGGTCTGACAATTCTGCCCGTCTACACTGGAAAAGCGCCTTATCACTTATACACTGCCAAGCGCCTTATGACCAGCGTGCCATTGCAAAGATCACGCAACCAGCCAGGAAGAAGATCCTTGGGCGCCACCTAGTGTCCATCTCGGGAATATCAAAGGCGACTGCATTGCTTCTCAAATTGTGGTTATTTCCAATGGGTTGTGGATCACTACTTTTGTTAAATACAAATAAATGATTAGAAAAGCGTATAAAAATACAAAATACAAGTCTGAATGTTTTATTATTAGATTTAGCAATAATATTTTAATAAATCAAAAAACGTGAAGAAAAAGTAAAAACTGCACAATGTTCATTATCAGTATAAACAAAACTAAACAAAGAGTGAAATGGTGGAAATAGCCATTGAAATACCCACATTAAATACCTAGACTAGTTTTGAACAACATGATATATATCAATATTTAGTTTTTAATGTGATAAATGAACTTGTTTCTTGTTAAAACTTAACTAGATTGAGTTGATGACAGTCACAGGGGATAGTGTCTATCTAAACTGTTTCTATGTTTTGTTTTAATAATATGTATAGTAAATAAACCAGCTCACAGGGAAATATTATCAAGGGTGGGGGAAGATACTTTATTTTATTTTTTGAAACAAGGTCTCACTCTGTCACCCAGGCTGGAGTACAGTGGCTTGGTCATAGCTCACTATAGTCTTGAACTCCTAGGCTCAAGTGATTCCCCCACCTCAGCCTCCCAAGTAGCTGGAACTACAGATGCATGCCATCATTGCTTTTTTTTTTTTTGACTTTTTGTAGAGATGGGGGTCTTGCTATGTTACCTGGACAGGTTTTGAGCTCCTGGGCTCAAGCAATTCCCCAGCCTTGGCCTCCCAAAGCGTTAGGATTACAGGTGTGAGCCACCATGCTCAACCAGGATATTAATTTTTAACTTTTATATAAAATAAAGTGAGGCTATATTTTCTAGTATTTTTCTTCAATCCTTCATAAATAGCCAACTCTAACAATTGGCTGAGCATGGCCAATTGGAATGCCATCAGTGAAGTATTTCCAAAAGCACTATTCTAAACACAATCCAAACTTGATTTCTTCAACAGTGGGATTGTGAGTTTACCAGGAACATGAAGAAAGGTTATCTGGCAGTGTTAGTGCACATTTGGTAGCGTTTGTTAGTGTTAGTGTTAGTGCAGGCTAATACTCACTATGTGCATGGAGGCTTCATAGGTCCAGTCGGCGGGCGTGGACTTCAAATAATCTCCACCTCCCGGGTTCAAGCGATTCTCCTGCCTCATCCTCCAGAGTAGCTGGGATTACAGGTGTGTGCCACCTTGCCTGGCTAATTTTTGTATTTTTAGTAGAGATGGGGTTTCGCCATGTCGGCCAGGCTGGTCTCAAACTCCTGGGCTCAAGGGATCCACCTGCCTCAGCCTCCCAAAGTGCTGGGATTACAGGCGTGAGTCACCGCGCCTGGCCAAGTTCTTTTTGTTTTGAAATAACTTCAGACTTTAAAGAAAAGTGTAGAAACAGTACAAAGGATTTCTGTAAGTACTTCACTCAAATTCCTACTTCACTCAAATTGTTAATATCTTATGTAACCACAGTACAATTATCAAATGCAGGAAACTAACATTGATACAATTATCTAATGGTACCAATTTTACAACTGTCCCACCAGTATCCTCATTTTTGGTCTCAGATCCAATCCAGAATCTCCCATTGTGTGTTTTTTTTTTTTTTTTTTTTTTTTTTTTTGAGATGGAGTCTCACTCTGTCGCCCAGGCTGGAGTGAAATGGCAGGATCTCGGCTCACTGCAACCTCCACCTCCAGTTTTCAAGAAATTCTCCTGCCTCAGCCTCCTGAGTAGCTGGGATTACAGGCACTCGCCAATGTGCTCAGCTAATTTTTTGTATTTTTAGTAGAGACGCGGTTTCACCATGTTGGCCAGGCTGGTCTTGAACTCCTGACCTTGTGATCTGCCTGCCTCAGCTTCCCAAAGTGCTGGGATTACAGGCGTGAGCCACTGCGCCCAGCCCTCCATTGTGTGTGTGTGTGTGTGTGTGTGTGTTTTGTCATGTCTCTGTTTCCTCTAAATTGAAGTACTTACTCTTTCTCGACCTTGATATTTTGGAATCATACATGTCATTTATTTTGTAGGATGTCTCTGAGTTTAGGTTGTCTGATGTATGCTGATTAAATTCAGGTTATGCATTTTTGATAGAGATACCATAGAAACGATGTAGGCTTCTCAGTACATCTTATCAGGAGGTACATGATGTTTATTTGTCCTATTACTGGTGACAACTTTGATAGTTTTGCCAAGGTGGTGTCTGCAAGATTTCTCTGGTGTAGTTTTTCAAGGGGAAAGGAGGAACACTGCGATGAGGAACAAACTTTGGTAGAAGGAGAATTTCTGCCCTGCCTCTGGTATTCAAGGTACATGCAAGTGAAGAAAAAACACCAGCCTCAATGAAGGCTGCAGGATCCACGTCCTCAGGGGAGTAAGTTTCAGTTAAAGCAGGAAAGTAAAGGGAACATTCAGAGAAGAAGTTGAGAATACTAGATAATTTGCCTGTGCAGAATCTGATGAAAGAGGGTACGGTGGAAAAAGTGGGAGATTGGGTTAGTTAGCAGGGATCCAGGGTAGTGTGAGGGGTGAGAGACCAAATGACAGATGCCCCAGGAGCTTGGAACACTGGTGGGATTGAGGTGAAAGGGATTATAGGGCTTGATTTCATTAGGCTGATGTCTCTTAATGTTGTTCCTTAAAGAGTGAGAGCAGCGGCATCTATCTTACCTGGAAGCTCATTAGAAATGTAGAATTCAGGCCCTACCTCAGATTTCCTGAAGCAGAATCTATGATTTTAACAAGAACCCCAGGTAATTTGTGGGCATCTTAAAGTTTGAAAAGCACTGTCTTCAGAAAACTGTGAGCAAACAGTTTAAGAAGCAACTGTGCAGCTGGCAGGTTGCTGATGTCAATAGCCTATGCGCCGGTGCTGGGGGTATAGCACCAGTGAGTCAAGCAGTCTGTGGCGCTTGCTTGCTTTCTTTTTTTCTGTTCTTGAGACAGGGTCTCACTCTGGTGCCCAGGTTGGAGTGCAGTGACGCGTTCTTGGCTCACTGCAACCTCTGCTTCCTGGGTTCAAACGATTCTCCTGCGTCAGTCTCCCTAGTAGCTGGGACTATAGGCATGCGCCACCATGCCTGGCTAATTTTGGCATTTTTAGTAGAGATGGGGTTTCACCATGTTGACCAGGCTAGTCTCAAACTCCTGACCTCGGGTGATCTGCCCACCTCGGCCTCCCAAAGCGCTGGGATTACAGGCATGAGCCACCGCGCCCAGCCTGCGACAGCTTTCTGATTCTGTGTTCTTGGCTACAGGAGCAGTAGCTTTCTGATTCTGCATTGCCTGTTGATGAGAGGTAGCAGCCTCCTTGGTGGTTCAGTTGAACAGTGTGGTTTGGCAGTCATTCTTGGAAGCTCAGTCTTTCTTTTAGCCCTTGTAATGATTCTGTGAACTCTATGTACCCACTAACAAATCTCTTTCTATTTTAACCAACTGGATTGGATTCTCTTGTCTGTAACTAAGAACTTGGACAAGAGCGGGTAAGTCACAGCAATATCTCATGGTCAGATGAAGGTGGAAGCAACCTTGGTGTGTGCCCTGGTTCACTGTGGGGTCACTAACGGGACCTCAGACAAAGGAATTTTGAGAGATAGGATGTAGCAAATTCATGGGTGGAGACCACTGGACTCCACTGAGGAACTGCTGTCACTACCCCCAAAAATGTCTTTCTGAGGAATGATCGCTGCACAATGAGGCCTTTTTTACAGTGAGTGACTTGTAGATAGCATGATACCATATTGTATGATTTTCAACATGTAAAGAGTTTGTTACAGAATGCACCAAGAATTAAAAAAAATATGGAATGTCAATAAGAAGGCAATTGAAAACTTGGGTAAAATTATCAGGAGTTGGGAGAGATGTAATGTGCTGTCCACTAGACACAGACATGCCCTGCTCACATCTACCCCCTACAAGAGGAGTCAGGATTCTGACTTCTCACAGCATAATATCTAAATAGAATTTTTAGGATGTATCCTTTTGCACTGGACTTCTTTCATTCAGCATTTTGTGTGTGAGGTCCATCCGTGCTGTTGTGTGTGAGGTCCGTCCGTGCTGTTGTGTGTGAGGTCCGTCCATGCTGTTGTGTGTGAGGTCTGTCCATGCTGTTGTGTGTGGTTATAGCTTGCTCACATTTATTGCTTTAGTATTCCATTGTGGCATTTCTCTGTATATTATGTTTAATGTGGACAATTCTGTCCAAGCCTAGTTCCTCTTATATAGGGTGGGTAAATTCTCCTGGACATTTCCCCCATCTCATTTAGGACCCATTAGTCTTAACTCTCTGAATGATGGTCAGACAGGTGGTTATTGCTTTACCTTCATTTTCCATACACCCGCAGTCCATGTTCTTTGTGGAGAGGAGGGTGTAGTAGGCAGGATCGGCTCTTTGGGGATCAAGTGCAGCCGTTGGTGGGGGTCCTGAGCTTTTATTATTTTCTTTGGAGCCATTGACATGTCCTGCTGGGACTTACTCCACCCAAACATTGCTGGGTGCCAGCCACCCTGATGGGCTTCACCTGTTCCCTCAACTCAACCCAGTTCTCTGGAGGAGACCGGGCAACACTTCTGCCTTCTGCCTCTGGCAAGGCTATGATGGGGGGATCACGGAGGGTTTTCCTTAGAATTTTTCCTTCTGGCCAGGCACAGGACTCATGCCTGTAATCCCAGCACTTTGGGAGGCCAAGGTGGGAAGGATCGCTTGAGCCTAGGAGTTTGAGACCAGCCTGGGCAACATGGTGAAACCCCATCTCTACAAACAAAAATTTTCCTTCTGAATTTTCTGCTTTTTTTTTCCCCCCGGCTGCCATTTTGTTTTAGTTGCCACTGTTGAATATCAGGTATTAAAACATTTAAAATTTTGCATTTCTTCAGGTATTAGAGAACAGAGATTCTGTGATCTTGTTTTCCTCTGCTATCGTTGCCTTTTAATAGCTTTTGCTTTTAGCTGCAGTAGGATGCAAGTGAAAGCAGTTTATAACATGAAATAAACAAAATTGTGGAAACTCATTCTAGTCAAAGATCCTAAGATGGTCATTATTTTGCCAGAGGATGGTAGCAAAGTTACAATCAGACCTTGAGTAAAAATTTTCAGTCTCAACACCCAATATAAACAGACCAAACCAAATGAAAACAAAAAACAAGAACAAACTAGGAAAACAATGAAATGACACCTGTTTATTGAATGATTTTTATCTTTTAATTTCTATTTTTAGAACTCAGTATTATTTACAGAAAAAAGCTATAAAATAAGAATGACCTCTGAAGTTTGATAAAAGTGAATGACTATTAAAACATTCTCTAGGAGTCAAAGGCTCTTTATCAACCTAAATTTCTACCATGTCAGTAGTACTCCCTGTTGGAATTGGAAATGAAATTAATGGCAAACTAACAAATTCACAACATTCTATACATTTTCACAGTGGTATGTCATTTGTCAAATTATGTTACTCAACACATTCTCCAATAGGAGAATACTAGGAAAGATACTAAGATCCAATAATTAAAATACTCTCTTGAGACTATCATGATTAAATTATAAGATACTGGAGTAAAGCGATGACAAGAAGAACCTAAACAAATACTTTATTTTCTTGCTTCCATTTTCACCCCTGTTCGTATTGTTCCAGCATTCCTTCACCTCCTTTTCCAGTGTTGTTGTTGTCCACCCAGTGCTGTTCATTCATTCAACTTCAGTTCATTCACTCATTACTTACCCTTTATTGAGCCTACTATGTGTCAGTCACTGTTCTGGATGCCGGAGAAATAGCAGTGACCAAGACAAATAAGGAGCCTGCTTTAACCTAGCTTGCATTCCAGTGCAGTGCTATCCAACAGGACGTTCTGACAGTGATGATTGTACTGTGCTGTCCAATCTGTATCCACTGCCACATGTGGCTGCTGAACACTTGGAGTGTGGCCAGTGGCCTTTCTACTGGACAGATAAGTTTTGGTGGATGACAAAGACAACAAGCTACTAAACAAATACATGGAAGAATTTTGGAAAATGATAAGTGGTTCAGAGACTTTAGGAGTGGAATTGTTGGGTCATTGTTGGTCATGCTAACTCCATGCTTAATATTTTGTGGAACTGCCAAACTGTTTTCTAAGTTGCTGTACCATTTTACATCCATGTCAGCAGTGTATGTGAGTTCCAATTTTTCTACATCCTCACTTTGAGATTTTCAGAGGATACATCTATTGCCTAAGACCTCATATAACATAGCTTTTAGACATTTTTATGAAACTGAGTCTAAGTTTTGCTATCAATTGACAAGTTCCTGGTGTTTGAATTCCTCTTTGCTATGGACATGAATGCAAAGGCCAGTCCCATATGAAGTCATTCGTCTTATTCTTTAAGGTTTTCCTTCAGGGATGACCAATTCATCATAGAGTTTGGTGAGCAGGGTAGGGAGGGGACACGTCTTTGAGCAAGCTCAAGAGAAGTAAGTCTAGTTGTTTAGAAAGAAAGCAGATCAAAGTTTTAGAACAACATGTCTGGAAGGATTACCTTCTAAGATGTACTTCTCTAGCTCCAGTATTCTCTAATTTATGTAAGAAACTCACAGGTCAACCAATCAAACCTCACAACTGACCAAGGAATTCCTTATTCTTACCTGCTTTTCAGACTGACTTTTTGTTTTAAGACTTATTTTTTTTTTTAGAGTTTTAAGTTCACAGCAAAATTGAGAGGAAGATAAAGATTTCTTATATGTCTCCTGCCCCAACACATACACAGCCTCCCCCATTATCACATCCCCTACCAGAGTGGAGCGTTTGTTATAATCGACGAACCTACCCATTGACACACCAACATCACCCAGAGTCCATGGTTTTCATGAGGGTTTCCTCGTGGTGCCATACATACTGCGGGCTTGGGCAAATGTATAATGACACGTGTCCACCATCATGGTATCACACAGAGTATGTCCACTGCTCCCAAATCCTCTGCACTCCACCTGTTCCTCCCTCGCTTCCCCCCAGAATGACTTTCTATTTGAACATTTGAGACAATGGGAGGTCACTATAGCTTCAGGAGACAATTCTATCTTTGGAAGTCTGTAATTTTCCGAATGACTCTCTATATATTGAGCTGTAGTTTGTTGCTCCATAGAGTCACCTTAGTTTATGCTTTAGGAGCTAAAAAGGAAAGGTCAACTCTTCTTTTCACATGAGGACCTGTCAGGAAACCCACTAGTGCCCTGGAAAAAATCCACCCAAGGTTCTCCAGGAGGCCATGAGGAGGAAGTCTCCCTGCAGGCTGCTCCATTGCCGGCGCATTTCTCCCTACGTCCTCCTATTAGTGACAGTTGTCATGGTCTCCTTTGCCTTATGGGGAGTCATATTCCCCTGCCCCCCCACCCCAGCTTCAATGCTCCTTCTTATGTCCCTTAATTCCCCACAGCACAGCCAAGACCAGAATAATTCCCTGCCACTGTTTGTAAGGTTTTGGTAATCACAGTGATTTGCAGCCAAGTCTTGTGCTTGCTTTTTGGAGGTCTCAGGCGCATTCGAGCCACACAGGCGTCCAAGGAAAGAAGAGGGCATGCGCAATGATTTTATTCCAAACCCACTTCTCTTTCAACATCTGCCTTGCTCCCATCCCTCTCGCAGCTTCTGATTGAGGCCAGCACAGTGTGATCACTTGATCCAAAGGGAGAGGCAGGTGCTGCAGACTCAGGCCACTGTTTCCTCTTGGGCTCAGGGCGGGTAACAGACCTGGGGGTACTGAGGAGGTGGGAGCCTCCTCCCTGTAGCAGACGGCACAGACTGAGGGAGCGAGTCCTCACCAGCCTACCTGCTCCCCCTCTTCTCAGTCCCATTGTAGTTACTTTTTCATATACGTTTTTTCTTGATTTGGCATGGACAAGGTGAAATCCAGTTAGAAACCTGAGCGTAGTTGCTGTTTCCAAAAGGAAAATAAATAATAAACTGAAAAGATGAAGAAGAGAATTGGGTAAAGGAAATATTTATGAATTTTCTTTTTACACGTGTCTGTTTGCAGGTGAAAGCTACATGCTGGGAAGGAGAAGCATGTTACAGCCATGGCATCTCTCAGCAAGCGTTCGCACTCAGCCTGGCCTTTGGCAGGAGCGGACTTGAAAGATTTTTTCTAGGCTTAAAATCCCATAATTCTGTTTCCACAGAACACAATTCCACAAACTCCTCTGGCAACAGAACTTCAATTTCCAAAGTTTCGCAAGTCCTACAGTCAGGAAATTTCATGGAAATCCTAGCAAAATCAGCTGTAATCCATGGTACACTTCCAAGCATGTCCACAGGGCAAGCTCCCCTTAGGGTGCGGGGATGTGCACCGTGAGGAGAGCCAAGTATTAAAGAACATTTCTCTGCATCGATGAACTTAATCAATCTGAATTCTGGAATGTTTTAAGGGAAAGATGAAAACCTCTAAAAATGAAATTCGGGAAGCTGCATGTGCTTTGCTTCACGGTTGCAGGGACTCCCTGAAGTCAGGAACGGGGAGACAGCTCTCAGGGAATTAGGGTGCAGTAGCAGTGCCCACTGGCTAGTACAGATGCCAAGTCTCCACACCAGGGCATTGCGGAGACCCCACCTGCCTTTCCAGACACTAGCGTGTTTCAGAATGCCTCAGAATTCATCCAGACGCCTTCGTGGTGTACTCCTGGTGTTTGCTTTCAGAAATGACTCCATTTTTCACAAGAAGATAGATAGCTTCGTTTACTTGTATAGTGTTGTCTTATAACGTCCTGACCGTGACATAAGCATAGGATTTGAGTTTGGGTTTGAGCCTTGGCTCTGCCACTTGTTGGCAGTGGGGCCATTGTCAAGTTGCTTAGCTTCTCTGAGCTTCAATTTTCTCATTTGTGGAAAAGGGATATTAGTAACAGTATCATTAAGGGAATAAGTGAAGTGAACGATTTATCATGTCTGAGCATATATAGAAGATGCTATGTAAGGGATTATTCTTGCTTTTCTCCTTCTCAGTGGGCCTATGACAATACAGTAAGACAAGTGGGTAATCAAACAAATTCAATATGTGGGATAACCAGCCATATTTCCATATTCGCCAGTGCTCAGGAACTCATCCTCCAAGTCTTCACTGGTTGTAATTTGTTTTATAAATCACCCAGAAGGAGTTGAGAGGAGAGGTTTTGGTTGTATTTTGGGAGCAGAAGGGCACAGTAGGGAAAGAGCTTCTGTTCCAAGCATTTTAATGCAAACACAAGCACCACACAGCTGCTGGAGACCACAGCCCCTTCTCACACGGCGTTGGGAAGCCTTTGAGCCTGCCTTTGGTCTCTGCTCCTCCCTAAGCACTCCACTGTGCCTTTGGGGCTGTTCCCTTTACTGCTATTGCTCCCTGAGGGTCCCTGCCTTCCACTGGCATCCTAATTGGGCTCTGATTCTCTCAGGAAAAGCCTCAAGATCAACTCATACCTTCTTCATAGAAATTCCTTTTGTCTCTTTCTCTCAGGGATTTGCTCTGTTTGCTAGGCCAGTCCATAGAGTACGTATCCGCAGTTGAGCCCAACAAGTGAGAAAGGGCCCATGTATTAGACGTCTCCCAGGAACCCTCTGTGCTTTCCACAAGTGTCCTCCATGATCTCAAATGATTGGAAAGCAAGGTGGCAAGCAAGTAGAGAAGGAAGGCTCTGAAGATCAGTTACTTTGGGTCCTCTTAAATTTCAACATATAAATTACTTCTAGTGATTTTCTGTGCCCTGGGCATTGGGAGTAGAAGAGAGAGGAAAGGAGTTTGGGGAGTTTTGAGTTGTTTGGCTCGATCAGCTTCTCTGCTCAGTAAGATACAGAGTACTGATGGTATGCAAGGACTCCCTAAAGAGCATCTACAATGAAGGTGCCTATTCTGATCCCGAGGAAAATAATAACAGACTAGCATTTGCATGTGGTTAACAAAATCTTTCAATCTTATAATCTCTCATGGTCCAGACCAGAACCGTCCTATAGAACTTTATGTGATCATTTTACATTTAAATTAAAAATTCTGTTTTGTGGTCACAATAGCCACATTTCACGACCTCAGTGACCATGTATGGTTAGTGGCTACCCTACTGGACGCTGCAGGTCCAGACAGCAACTGTGTAAATGTGGGGTGGGCATTCCTGTGCTCACTTGATCTACTAATCAAGCTCTTGGTGAGGCAGGAGAATGGGGTCTGGAAGCGGGGAACATAAGGCGATGCAAGCTGACTTCCTAGAACTAAATCAAATGGAAACACTTCAGCTATGACAGGAAATATCCTTTCCATTTACATAGGGCATACACTGAGTAAATGACTTGTAACTTTACTTCATCCTCTTCATTTACATAGAGTGTACACCAAGTAACCAGTGGAAACCTCTAGAGGGTATTTAAACCCCAGAAAATTCTGTAATGGGGCTCTTGAGCCCCTGTGCTCGGGCAACTCCCACTCTATGGAGTGTACTTTCATTCAATAAATCTCTGCTTTTGTTGCTTCATTCTTTCCTTGCTTTGTTTGTGCATCTTGCCCAATTCTTTGTTCAAGACGCCAAGAACCCAGACACCCTCCACCGGTAACATTGGTGCAGATAAGAGGTCTTGGGCTCATCAGCCTCCAGGAAGCAGACAGGGAAAGAAAAGGAATGAGGTGGCCAGGGAGCTGCAGGAGTGGCAGGGACTGGCTCAAATTGAAGAGGCCATGCCTGGTTTAAGGGGGCAGCTACTGTTCGGCCGTTTGGAAATGCATGCCCAGAGATGCCAGATCTTTCCTTTTTTTGTTTTCTTTTTTTTTTTTTGACATTGATAATGAATTTTTAAAATGTTAACATTATGTAGGCTAATAAAAAAGAACAAAAAACTAAAAACCTAACCACATTGGAGCCCTATAGCCACTGAAGTTCAAATTCTGCAGATGGACCAAACCATTGCACCTAAAACAGCATCTGTGGAATCAGCTTCCATGAAGACAAGGGGATTGTAGGAATATTGGTTGTAGGAGGATAGAACCTGGGTTTGAGTTTCTTCCAGAAATGGGCAGAACAAGTAGACTGTGGTAGGGGTCAAACAAACAAACATACCAAAAATCCTTTTTGTTGTTTATTTTAGGAGTCAAAGTCAAGAGATCTTCAATCTACACACAGGCTGATAGAGAGCAGTGGTAGGGATAGGCCCCCAAGTATGAAGGAGCCCGAATTAGGTACAGGGATTTCCCCAGTGGTCTTACGTTTCAGCGTGTCATCATTTCACGGTTGTGCTATGATTCTTCCACAGGTAAGGAAGAGGAAAATTGTTTCTGTGCTCCAGTGCACAGACAGTTGTTAGTTGCTCCCGAAATTTTCATTGTAAGACCCCAAAATCATAGCATAGGAATACATCTTGAAATAAAAACACAAACATTTCAATAAAAGGAATGGATGAGGGGAAAATGATTTAGTTAGTTACAGAGATGTTGATTATCTTAATGAATAACCATCCTTTTGGTAGGTGATAAAAGTTATTACATATCCAATCCATTGTTCTGACCTACAAAGGCTAGAAACAGTTTTCAACTTATCAGAAGTAAAGATCATTGTACAGAAAGTATCTGTTTTATTAATTCAACACTGTAAACATTTGCCATGTCTTAAAGTTCAAGTCTCTGTAACCTCCTGAGGTCAGGAGTTTGACATCAGCCTGACCAACATGGTGAAACCCTGTCTCTACTAATAATACAAAAATTAGCCAGGCATGGTGGCACTGTAGTCCCAGCTGCTCAGGAGGCTGAGGCAGGAGAATCGCTTGAACCTGGGGGGCGGAGGTTGCAGTTAGTAGAGATAGCACCGTTGCACTCCAGGCTGGGTGACAGAGCAAGACTCTATCTCAAAACAAAAACAAAAACAAAACAAAAAAAATCAAAAATAAAAGTCATAGGATTAAAAATGGAATATGTAGCTTATTGTGTAATACTGTAAGATACCACTGAGGTGTTTACAAATACAAGAATTAAATTCTCGTTCAGAATGCTGATGTTTTCTGGAAAAGGAAATGCTGTTAAACCACAAGCATGCTACCATCTTTCCATCGTGTGGTCCCTTCCCTCTTGGAACCTTGGAGCATGTGCTGTATTTTGTTCAAACTATCACTGTTTGTTGAGATGCCTTTTTTCCCCAGGGTGGTCAGTCTTTGGGAGAACTTGCATTAGTTCGTGGATATTTTAAGTTTTAATGAGCACTCAGCATACAGCAATATTACTCCAGGGGCTGGGGAATTGCTTTCTTTTATTTACATATTACTTATTAGATTTCATTTAGGAAACAGTAGTGTCTGTAAGTAATTATCTCCCACCCCCAATGTTATAAAAAATAATAACCAGGTCCTTCGAAGTTAATGTTAGTAAGACAGTGTCCTGCGGGGAGGAGCAGCTGGATCTCATAGCCTGGTGTTTGTCCCCCAAGGCTCGCGGTCCTGTGGAGGATCTCATGTGCAGTCCTGCCACTGCCTCCACCCTGGGTGGAGTAGGGATGGGAGTGGGGACTATCATTTCCTTTTGAATAAAGCTGATTTAAACAGAGAAGCACGGGTCTTTCACTAATGCCTTAGAGCCCAGCCCAGCCAAGGCTCTGTTATTCAGGAGAGGCTTTCCTCAAAGCTATGGAATGACCAAAGGCAGAGACTTACTGATGGCACCAGGGAGCACAGTAGCCTTTGGACAAATCTTCCCTGTTTATGGTTCACTGGTGAGAGCTTCCTCACTCCTCAGTTCCTGTGATGTTGAAGATACCTGAACCTGCCAAGTTCTAGCCTGAGAGAATGCCTGAGCTCCCTCTCCCTAGTTCCCGTTCTCCGCCTAGCTGGTTACACCAGCTGTGACCACCCACCCCTCTCAGAGTAGGCCATAGTTGGCCATGGAGGCAGAACTCCAGCATGACAAACATGCCAGAATGTCCCTGGACATTTAGTAACATGACAGCCCCTTCCCAGGAGTCATCACTACCTTGTACCATCGATGTGGCTAAGGGGTGAGTCACGTGTGTCTTTCCAGCGTTTGAGATTAAGTATGCTAGGCCCTGTTTGTGGAATACGTAGTTCACGTGTCACCTTTTTATCTGGGCCCTAGGTGATCTTTCCTTTCAACATCAGCCTATTCCCTCTTGCATCCTTCTTCCCACATGACAGACATCCAGTGCCTCCAATAATGACATCAAAAGGGATGAGACTGAAAAACAGATCAGAACTTGCTTGGATAACCTATTTTTCCTAAGCACTAAACAACATTAGACAACATGAAAATCTACCCTAAAACGCCTATAGGCTCACCCATAGTTGCAAGCAATAATGAAAGGTCTAAAAATATTTACACTTAGATATTATGAATATTCAATCTTTGTAACATTTTTTTTTAAATTCTGTTTTCATACTTGCATTTTTATCTACCAAATAAAAATCGATAGAAAATGTTTTAGTTCATGAAAGAGAAACTTGGCCAAAAAAAAAACAAGTTCTCATTAATTTTTGTAAACCAACTGAAGCTATAATTCTCAGCCTCCTGCTGTCACTCTTTACAGCAGGTCCTCAGTCTGAGGTCTGGGGAGACAATGCTGGTTTCCAATCCAGTTCCTGACTCTCAGTGCTCAGGATCTGCTTTGCACATTCCCTTTGAAGAACTTAGACCCACTCTCTGAAAGAGAAAACTACAGAAACACGATAGACGAGACCCCGGGCAAGGCCGAGGTGATGGGAAGGTGCGGGAAAGGCAATGAGTGGGGAGGGGATAGGATACAAAAGGATAGGCCAGGAAGACAGAGGAAGAAAAGCCTGATCAAACAGATAACATTGTTTTATAGGGAGAGGACATTAATCTTGGAGATATACGATAAATCCTTTCATATGTAGTATAAGAACAATGATGACAGCAAAAGCCAGGAAGGCAGACTCAGTTTTTCTTTGAGTGTTTAATTTCCATGGTTCCAGTTTGGTGTATTTGAGCACGATGATAGCTGTGAGCAAAATCTTCTCAATTCACTGATGTCTTGGAATTAAAACAAGCCTCTGCATCATTCTTTCACCCAGTAAGCATTTGTCAAGGTCCACTTGTGAGCATAGTGCACCAGAGAGGTCCTGAGGGATTGAAGAGAGGCAAGTGACGCTCTCCCCGCTCCAAAAGGTTTATGGTCAGGACCTCTGCTGGGATGAACAGTTCCTTGAAGGAGCCCACAGCAGGTGGTTTAGCTTAGTGGCCTTGGTAGGGAGAAGGGCAGCTGTGCAGTTAGGAATGAATTGGGGTTGTGTGTCTTGCAGGACCTGAGCTGCTGGGTGGTTTACAGCTATATGAAATTGTACGTGAAGGGGAAAATATGGCGGTGTGGATTCCTGGCTTCTGCAGGAAATAGCCAGAAAGCAAGTTATTTAGATGACTCAATGAAAACAAGAAATGGAAACTCATGCTTCTTGATTAAATGTGGCTTATTCACAGGGGGATGAGGCAAGGAGAGGAGAGAAAGGGGAGAAAAGCATGCATGTGCACATCAGTGCAAGCACATGAGTCTAAAAGGCAGATGGGATTGCCTGGAAAGGGAAAACCTCAAGGTGAATGCATCAGAATGGCCTGATGATTACAGAAAAGTTCTAACACGATGCCTAATGAATCTACAGTACCTCTCTGGGAAAGACTCAGAGGACTTTGTGAGGTTATGAAATTAATTTGTATTAAGTGTGTATAACACTCTAAAACACATTCCAACCTCAATGATCTCTCTTCTGCTATTAATTTATTCCAGCTCTTACTAAACTATCCATGGGAATCCTCCCATCCCCCGTTTAACAATTCTTTGAATCCTCAGGCTTAGCTAATTCTTATTTGATCTGCAAGGTGGCGGTGTGTAACAGTCAGTAGATGCCACTGTCTAATAGTGAAGGTGTCCACTCAACAAGCTTGTAGGTCAGAAGCTTCAGGTTCCCTTTGATGGATTAGCTCCCTGCTTGGTCGGCTGTGTAAGGTCTCAAGTCTGTGCATAGTATTTACTTAAGTCAGTGATGTAGCCACCTCTCCATTTCAGAGATGACGTTAGTGATGTGATTTGCCCTGGGTCTGTGATCATTGCTTTCACCGGCCTCTGGCTGCAGCACATTGCCTCATGCACTAAGAAGCCACAGTTGCCCTTCAAGGCTGATTCAATGGCATTTCATGGTATCTAACCCTGGCCCACTGCCCTCTGGACTTAGATCTTCAGGTTGTGTCCAAAATCTTAGCTCGGAAGATGGAGACAGGATCAGGTACCACATGGTCTTGAGTGTAGGAGCCAGTCTGAATGTGTCCTGTCACTTGATAGCAGACAGACACTCTTCATCAGCTACTCAGGACTCCAGGCGCCAGGAAGTAAGTTGAGGTCAGGGAGTTTGTTTTATCTACTGATTTGGAAAAATATTTAGCCTCCCTGGAACAGAGATGTACATTCCGTGTGCCTGAAGCCATGAAATTTGGCAAGTCTCATATCAGATACCTAAAACTGTTATGCAACTCAGTCTAATTTACATTGTAAGGCTGCCAGAGGGAACTAGATTTCTCCCTTGGTCTAAACGTCCCCTCTGACAATTCTAAGGGCCCAACAATTGATATCAATCAATCAACAATAATAATAATAATAATAGTAATAATGATATACCTTGCCCATATTTGACCTACAGTTCAAGGCCCATAGCTTTGGATAATCAGAAGTTAGAATTTGGCTCAGAGGGACATGTGAGTGACTTATGCAATACTTTGGCCATTTTACAAATGAAGACAAAGGTGTCTGACAGTGTGAATTAGAATGAAAACATCTCCCAAGCTAGCGTTTCTTCCACAATGGGCTCTTGCTGCAGAAAAGAAAAGCTATCTTTCTTGTCATTTTTCACCAAAGAGGCCATTGCATGTCTGATAATTTTTCTTCAAAATTGTTTCTTTTTATATTTAAATGCTTATTTTTTCCTAGCCGCTAGACCACCAGGGAAAAATTGTTTTCAAAAACCTTAATTCTGCTACTTAATTTTGCATGGTATATGTGAATCTGCAAAGGCAAGCACTTCAAACTGTGCTGTCTGGGGAAATAACACTTGCAATGGAAAGGCAAACTCAAAATCAGTGTGTCTAGCACTTACCTTTCAAATGATTAATGGTAATTGTGGTGTGTGTATGTATATGGGTGCAGAACTGTCAAAGAGCATCCATTTTAGATTAAACAGCTCTGGGTTCAACTTGAGGCTCAGCAAATTCTTCAGTTTTCTTATCTGGATTTTCTGTTCAACACACCAAAGTGTATTCTGTGAAATGTTAGTTTTGCAGAATAGGAAAAAAAGATCACAAGAAAAAAGGAAATCACAGTTAAATAAAAGAAGTTCAACTGGCTTTTTAACCATAGGGTCGCTCAGAGGCTTTAAGATATTAAAATACAATGTGACTCTCAAAGAAGGAACAACATATAAATTAAAATGCAATGAATATCCAAGAGTTTCTCAAACTTACCTGATTATGGACATTTTTTTTTTCATAGAGCCACTCATGAAACTGATGAATTTAGGGAAATCCTACATTCCTCCGGACTTGGGTTGCAAGTAATGAGACCAAACACTAGCTTAGGCAAAAAGAGAAAACCATTTGCTCCGGTCACCAAATCAAAGTCAGGACAAGGGTAGAGATAGCCTCCTGGACAACTGGAGCAGCTGATAATAATTAATATTTATTGTGAGACAACCATGTGCCAGGCACTGTTCAGCATGCTTCTCATGCATTAATTCATTCAATCCTCACAACAGTTCCATGAGCTAAGTACTATCATTATCTTTTACAGAAGAGGAAACTCAGGTTCAAAGAGGTTCAGTTTCCCAAGGTTACCTAGGCAGTCTGACTCTGAGCCCACACTTGGAACCACTGACCTTATGCTTCTCCAGGGACTTAAATGCTGTCAAAGTTTATTTTTCCTGCATGACTCTTGCGTCCTTGGGTCTATTTAATTCTCTTCAACCAGCTTTCCCCATGAGACAGAGACCTGGCTCCCGCCTGTCAGCCTGCCCCCTACCTCCTTCCCGGGAAAGGGCTCCTCTTCCAATTCCTATTAAAAACATTCTGGGCTGGGTGCGGTGGCTGATGCCTATAATCCCAGCAGTTTGGGAGGCCAAAGCAGGTGGATCTTTTGAGGTCAGGAGTTAGAGACCAGCTTCTACTAAAAATACAAAAACAAAAACAAAAACAAAAAATTAGCTGGGCATGGTGGTGCGTGCCTGTAGTCTTAGCTACTCAGGAGGCTGAGGTGGGAGAATTGCTTGATCCTGGAGGCAGAGGTTGCAGTGAGCTGAGATCGCACCACTGTGCTCCTCCAGCCTGGGTGACGGACCGAGACTCCATCTCAAAAAACAACAGAACATTCTGGAGAAGATCTATGATTAGCTCCTGACTTGAGGTCATGTGCCCAATCTTGGGCCAGTCACTAGGGTGGAGGGGCGGGTGGGGTGTTCTCGTCAGCTCAGCTTACATACCATTATTGTGGCCAGGAGAGCAGTGAACTATGATGGCCACTTCCACTATATCAGCATGGTCATAATAGGGTGACCATTATGTGATAGGGGGCACTTCTTTGAAAGAAAGAAGGTATGTTTTCCAGAAGAGGTGGCCAAGGACACTGGTATTCTGAACTGTCACACACCTGGGGATTTTAGAAACCAATGGGATATGTGTGTGGAGCTGCCAGCATGGTTCCTGGCGTTGCAATAGGCTGTTGATTCATCGTGGCTCCTCTTCTATTCAGGTTGCAAAAGAGAAAGATTTTAATGTGCAAATGCTTAACTAAGCAGGCAAAATAAACAGCTAGGAAGGCTGCTTTGTAAAACAAGTCCCACAGTTAAAAAAAGACAGCCAGGTCAAGGTCTAGGTCTGACAGGTCAGGCCAAGCTGGCAGACAAACAAAACAAGATCAGGGAATGGGGTAGCAAGATCCAAATTTATCATAAAGCATAGACTTGTTCAAGGAACAGGCCAGGGTCAACATCAGAGGTCCAATTTGAGTGAGACGGTGTGGGCAGAGGTCCAACCAGGCAGACCGGCCAGCCCACAGCAAGGTCTGGAGGGGCCCACTCGGGCTGGAGTGCAGGATCCCAGCAGGGTAGAGGTTAGGGAGCCATCCTCAGAGGCAGAACAGGGAGACAGAGAACAGTGCCTCAGATTCCAAGATAAGGAAGCAAGTGTGACCAAATTAAGTTAGGAGTTGTCTGTGGAGCCACATGATGCCAGAGAGAATTTCTTCCAAGCCCTAGAAGAGAAATTTAATATGAACAACACATCGATTTACTTCCACCAGCTATACCCACATATCCTAAAGTCAGCAGTGACCACTTGCAGGAATGGGTTGCTGAATCCCAGAGAGGGGCACACGTGGGTACTTGCCATGCTGACAGCTTCAGTTCAGAAGGGCAGTCCTCCTCAGGCCTGTCTTTGTTTCCTCGGCCTCTAGCTTTGTGTTAGCCAGCTCTGTGCGCAGGATCGGTGAGGAATGCTGCCTCCTCGTCTGTGATGATCCACGAGGTGGATCCTCACCCACCTTCACTGTTGTAGTGTCTACTACTACTGCTGTGAAAAAATCGCCACACACCAGTGGCTCAAAACAGTGCACGTTTATTATCTCACCGTTCTAGAGATCAGAAGTCAAAAATGGGTCTCACTGGGCTCACATCAAGGAGCTGGAAAGACACTGTTCCTCCTGGACACCCTTTGCCTGTTTTTATGTTTGTTGGTTTGTTTTTTTGAGACAGGGTCTCGCTGTGTTGTCCAGGCTTGTCGTGAACTCCTGGGCTCAAGCGATCATCCTGCCTCAGCTTCTCAAAGTGCTGGGATTACAGGTGAGAGCCACTGTACCCAGACCCTTTCTCTGCTCTTTCCAGCTTCTAGAGGCATCTGCATTCCTTGGCTTGTGGTGCCTTGCTCCATCTGTGGAGGCAGCAGCACAGCATCTTCCAGTCTGTCCCTGACCTGACTCCCTGCTTTCCTCTTGTAAAGAACCTGATGATTACGTTGGACTGCCCCCTCCCCCATAATGCAGGATAATCGCCTCATCTCTAAGTCCTTAACTTGATTGTACCTGCAAAGTCCCTTCTGCCATGTGAGGAAACATATTCACACGTGTCAAGGATTAGGGTGTGGACATCTTTTGGGGTTCATTAATCAGCCCACCAAAGTTGTCACATTCACCTTTAAACCTCGTTTCCCAGTGCACACATTTCTACAGTTTCCATTGGCCTGTCCCAGATTTTATAAGCACCTGCAGAGGTACCACCGGGATGGGAGCTTGTGTGCCCTGGTGCTACTTACTCTTTGTGGAGGAGGATAGGGATAGAAGGTACTTGCTGTTCCTGAGTGAGGTGGGCTTCTGGAAGAGCTGTTGCGTTTAGTAAGGCCTAATCACGCAGAGAGACCCCCACCATTACCTTTTCCTTTACGAAGACGAGAATCTCTCAGCAGCTTCTGGTTGCGAACTAGTCCTATGTAGCTATTATACTTAAGCAGATTTTATGGAAAAGCAAATGGAACTGATAGGTCTCTTTGGAAAAACTCTCATGCCTGTGCTCCAGAAATAGGCATGATCACAGTCTTTTTTGTAATGGTGAAAAATCACAGACAACTAAAACTTCCCTCAGTAGTAGAATGGACAAAGCAACTGCGGATAAACCTATAGTAACCGCCATAAATGAATTAGAAGTATGTATATTGATATGAAAAAATATCAGGAATATAATGTTAAGTGAAAAAACCCCAAGTTATAAAATCGTATTGTCTGTGGTTATATACATAGGGGGTAAAAGTGTAAAAATATGCCTGGGATGGAAAGACCCCCACTTCAGAGTACTGGGTCCCACTGGACAGGAGGGACAGAATGGGATTGGAGAAGGCCACACAGAGGACAATAGCCCCATTGATAAATTTAAATTTTATTTATTTATTTATTTATTTATTTATTTATTTATTTATTTATTTATTTATTTTTGAGACAGAATCTTGCTCTGTCTCCCAGGCGGGAGTGCAGTGGTGCAATCTCGGCTCACTGCAACCTCCGCCTCCTGGGTCCAAGCGATTCTCCTGCTTCAGCCTCTGGAGTAGCTGGGACTACAGGCACGCGCCACCATGCCCAGCTAATTTTTTGCATTTTTAATAGAGACGGGGTTTCAGGGTTTCACCATGTTGGCCAGGCTGGTCTCGAACTCCTGACCTTGGGTGATCCACCCGCCTCGGCCTCCCAAAGTGCTGTGATTACAGGCATGAGCCACCGCATCCGGCCAATTTCATTTTTTTAACAAAAAAACCGAATTGAATATGGCAAAATGAAAATATTTGTTATGGCTAAATGGTAGGCATCATGTGTTTATTATAGCATTCTCTATATTCTCTGTATAGTTTGAAATATTTAATAATAAAGCAATAATTCATTTAAAATCTAAATATAAGACATACTATAGCTATTTGAACTATTTTTAAAAGCAACTCTTAAAAAAATAATAAAATGTTAAAAGGAATTTCAACTACTCCCATTATAGAGTAGACTCAATACAGAGCCAATTAATGATTTATAATTTTTCAACACTGTATTTTGGCTTTAAAACTGATTTAGCATCCAAAGTTTAAGCTCTTCAATAATTACATAATTAGTAAATTAGTAATTTGCTTACTTGTCTTTTTAAACAGCACAGTCAGTGAGAATGCATTCTCTCATTTTCTTTTTTCTTTTTTTTGAGATGGAGTCTCGCTCTGTCGCCCGGGCTGAAGTGCAGTGGTGCGATCTAGGCTAACTGCAACCTCGGCCTGCTGGGTTCAAGCAATTCTCCTGCCTCAGCCTCCCAAGTAGCTGGGACTACAAGTGTGCACCACCATGCCCGGCTAAATTTTTGTATTTTTAGTAGAGACGGGGTTTCATCACACTGGCCAGGCTTGTCTTGAACTCCTGACCTTGTGATCTGCCCGCCTTGGCCTCCCAAAGTGCTGGGATTACAGGTGTGAGCCACTGCACATGGTCTCATTTTCTTTTTATGCAAAATCCCACTTGAAAAAGGAATAGGGATTTCATACCAACACTAGTTCTTACCACAAACCTCTCTAATATAAGTCCAGCATGAACTTGCTTTAGTAGGATAAAGTCAGCAGTTCAGAATATATATATTTTTTCCTCCTGAGACTTATGCAGCACACATTAATTTTCTCTATGGAACTAGATGGAAAAATATGTTAGTTAAAAATTTTATAATGAATACAGAATTATATCTCTTCACTATGGCAATATTGAATAGTGAATTGAACTTTATGCAAATAATGATATGCGAATCCAACTTCACCAGTTCTACATTTCTGCCTTATACAAAATGTTTCAGGCAAATTTAAAAGTAATTGCCATTTAGAAATTTAATCCAATACCCCGTCCCTTCTTTTATAGTCCCCTCATACTTTGTATACTTACGCTGCAAGTATCATATTGAATTAATTTTTTAGTCTTCCAAAATTGCAAGGATGAAGTTCCTGACACCTTGTAGAGTAAGAAAATTTGTAGATGAAAAACATGACTTTATGGAGTTGAGGGAGTGCAATTAGAAGTGAACAAATAAAAGTCATAGAATTTGTTTTGTTGTTCACAAAGTTAAAGCAATAAAGATAATACATTCAAGGTGGCTGTTAGGCCATACAACTTCTCTGTTTGGAATTTAAAAGGCATCTCTTTCTCTGGGTGGTTACAGCCCCAATTGGACAGGCGCCCCACTGCAGAGCACAACCTGCCTGACCATACGTGGCTCTGAGAAGGATTATTCATAACATTTTACAAATCTTAAAAGAGTAATATGAGTACGATACAAACAATTTAAATTTTCAACCCCTTGCTTGAAATGTTGTAGGATTTCTCTCCTCTGCACTTGCACTAATATGCATGCAGATTTGTTTGGCTTTGATGAGACAACATGTACAGTAAGAGGCATTTTACTTCCTCTGGGTCCGTGTGTCTCTTCAAGTGGGGTCTTCAAATGAGTCTTGACAGTCATTTCTCACACTCGCCCATGGTTTCAAATATGACGCTTCCAACTCAACAGACCCTGGGCAATGGAGGTAGAAGCAGGTGTCTGCTCAGGGCGGTAATCCACAGGGTGGTCAGGCAACAGGAATACAGAGGTGCAGTGGTCAGTTGGTTGTGCAGATAGAAAACAGCCTTGAGTAGAGACAAAATAACTTGACTCTGGTCGTGGTGGCTTGGGCCTGTAATCCCAGCACTTTGGGAGGCCAAGGCAGGAGGATCGTTTGAGCCCAGGAGTTCGAGATCAACCTGAGCAACAAAAAAAAATATATATATAATATATAGATAGATATAGATATAGATATAGACATAGAGTCTCGCTCTGTCGCCCAGGCTGGAGTGCAGTGGCACAATTTCAGCTCACTGCAACCTCTTCCTCCTGGGTTCAAGTGATCCTCCCACCTCAGCCTCCCAAGTAGCTGGGATTACAGACATGCGCCACCATGCCTGGCTAAATTTATTCTATTTTAAGTAGAGATAGGGTTTCACCAGTTGCCCAGGCTGGTCTCAAACTCCTGACCTCAAGTGATCTGTCCTGCCTCGGCCTCCCAAAGTGCTGGGATTACAGGCGTGAGCCACTGTGCCCAGCCCTGTGTCCTAAATACTTTTGCAGTGCCTCCTCATGCAGTCTCATCCTGTCAGCAGTCCCAGGCAACTGGAATTCTGAAACTGAGTGAAGTGTGGCACAGGCAACTTCCTTATAAATGATTTACTTTATTATTTAATTTGCCTCCCAATAATTGGCTAGGATTAGAAAATACCAAAAGGAAAGAGCTACCAGCAAAGCTGGAAATACTTTGTTGAATTTTTTCAGACCATTGACTGTTTTAATCGGTAGAATTGAATTGGTGTTTCTACATGACATATATGTAATGTTTAATCACAAACAGAAAAGTTGTAAGTATAGTACAGATAATGTTTTCCCTTTTTTAAAAAAATTTTATTTTTAGAGACAGGGTCTTGCTCTGTTGCCCAGGCTGGAGAGCAGTGGTGCTATTATAGTTCACTGCAGCCTCAAACTCCTGGGCTCAAGTAATCCTCCTGCCTCAGCCTCCCGAGAAGCTAGGACTATAGGTGTTAGCCATCATGCCTGCTAATTTTTTATTTTCTATTTTTTGTAGAGAGGGGGTCTCCTACATTGCCTGAGCTGATTGTAAATGTATGTGTATTCACCAGAAGGTGAAAGAGCCCTGAATATGTGTATGTGTATTCATGTACATATGCAGCCGGTCCTCCCGTCTCTACCTCCCAAAGTGCTGAGATCACAGGCGTAAGCCAACGTACCTGGCTTTTTTTTTCCCCCTGAGGTTTCTCTTTTATTTATAAGCATTTTGTCGGGAGAGACTTAAAAGTTATGTAAATATCCTGTACTTCATTAAACTTATAATTCATTGACTGTTTTATCCATATGAATATGGGCACCTGTATTTGGGTTACAAACTATTGCTACTACCCTTTGTCTCCATAGTCAGTGTCCCTCTTTCGGCTCCCCATTCAGGCTGGCTCCTGCATCCTTTTGACATGTCCCCTCACTCTCTCTTCTGCACTTGCATTAATACGCATGCAGATTTGTTTGGCTTTGATGAGACAACATATACAGTAAGAGGCATTTTACTTCCACTGTACTCCAGCCTGGGCAACAGAGACAGACCCTGTCTCAAAAAAAAAAAAAAAAAAATTTCTTTCTTTCTTTTTTTTTTTTTTTTTTTTTGAGACGGAGTCTCATTCTGTTGCCCAGGCTGGAGTGCAGTGGTGCGATCTCGGCTCACTGCAAGCTCCGCCTCCCGGGTTCACGCCATTCTCCTGCCTCAGCCTCCCGAGTAGCTGGGACTACAGGCGCCTGCCACCATGCCCAGCTAATTTTTCGTATTTTTAGTAGAGACGGGGTTTCACCATGTTAGCCAGGATGGTGTCGATTTCCTGACCTCGTGATCCACCCGCCTCGGACTCCCAAAGTGTTGGGATTACAGGCGTGAGCCACCGTGCCCGGCCAGATTTCTTGCTTTCTAGCACAAAATGTTCCAGGCTTATCTTATACTTTCCCTGCCCCAACACTGAAATCAGCCATTCCTCAAGAACCCCCTTGTTCCTTCTTTTTTTCAATTCAACTTTTTATTTGGAGATCACTAGATTTGCATGCAGTTGTGAGAAATAGAGATTTCACGTTACCCAGTTAACCCCAATAGTAACATCTTGTAAAATTATAGTGCAACATCACAACCAGGATATTGACATGGACACAGCCAAGGCACAGAATTTTCCCTCTCTACTAGGATCCCTCCTGTTGCCTTTTTATAGCCATACCCACCTTTCTCTCTCCCTCTCTCATCTCCCACCAGAGCCCTGATTACTTTTAGTGGAGAATGGTATTTAGGATTTAAGATTTAGGGACCGGGCGCAGTGGCTCATGCCTGTAATCCCAGCCCTTTGGGAGGCCAAGGCAAGCGGATCACTTGAGGCCAGGAGTTTGAGACCGGCCTGGCCAACAAGGTGAAAACCCATCTCTACTAAAAACACACAATTTAGCTGGGGATGGTGGCAGGCGCCTGTAATCCCAGCTACTCGGGAGTCTGGGGCATGAGAATCACTTGAACCTGGGAGGTGGAGGTTGCAGTGAGCTGAGATCACACTACTGCGCTCCAGCCTGGGTGACAGAGCAAGACTGTCTCAAAAAAAAAAAAAAAAAAAAAAAAATAAATAAATAAATAAATAAATAAATAAATAAAATTCAAGACTTGGGTGTTAGGCGTGCTCACTGCTATTGGGGTGTTGCTGCTCTCAGGCACTTTTAGTGGATAGTTTCTCTTGATTTAATGTATGTGCATGTATATAAGTACATACATATTTACATTGGTTATATCCACCTGTATCTATTGAAAACCAGGATTTCACACCAATACCTCCAATTCCAATCCAACACCATAGGGCTTACTTATTCATTCCTTTACATATTTGTACCTCTCTTCCGCACGAGAAACCTGGCTTCCATTATCTTCACTTTAGCCCTTTGATTAACCCCTCTGCATATAACCAGTCTGCCATGCCTTCCCTTGCGTAGGTGTCCCCCTTGCTCCGAGGGTACTGACACCCCTTGCTGGGCCCCTCCACAAAGACCTCCTTCTTACCCTTGCCCCAGCGTCCCATCTGGCACTTTCCGGCAGGGATATCCTCTGCCTCCTGCTGGGGCTTTGACGCACCTCACTGGCCTGCCCCCGCGTGTGAACGCTGTTCTTGTTGGGCTCTGCACCCTGCTCTGGGCTATCAGGGCTCTTTCGTCTCCTGGTGAAGATGCCTATCTTGTTCTGTGTAGCTTTAGGACTGAATGGTTTGAGAAGAAAAGAGAAGGGAAGGGGAAGAAGAGTTATAGGTACTTTTATTTTTAGAAACATGGTCTCAGCCAGGCATGGTGGCTCACTCCTATAATCCCAGCACTTTAGGAGGCTGAGGCAGGCAGGTTGCTTGAGCTCAGGAGTTTGAGACCAGCCTGGCCAACATGGAGAGACCTTGTCTGTACAAAAAATACAAAAATTAGCCAGGCGTGGTGGCATGCATCTGTAGTCCCAGCTACTCGGGAGGCTGAGGTGGGAGGATGCCTTGAGCCCAGGAGGCAGAGGTTTCAGTGAGCTGAGATTGTGCCACTGTAGTCCAGCCTGGGTGACAGAGCCAGACCCTGTCTCAAACAAAAAACAAAAAACTAAACAAAAACAAGAGACAAGGTCTCATTCTGTCACCCAGACTGGGGTGCATTGGTGTGATCATGGCTCACTACAGCCTCAACCTCCCGGGCTCAAATGATCCTCCCATCTCAGCCTTCCTAGTATCTAGGACTACAGGTTCGTTCCACTACACTCAGCTAATTATTTTTATTTTTGTAGAGATGGGGTCTCCCTATGTTTTCCAGTCTGTTGTTGAACTCCTGGGCTCAAATGACCTTCCTGTGTCAGCCTCCCAAAGTGCTGGGATTATAGGCATTAGCCACTGTGCCTGGCTTATGTGTACTTTTTAATAATAAAAACCCTAACCCCACTAAATAAATGTTGAGCCATTTGAAAAAATAGCGTTAATTTGAAACTGTGCTAAATTGTTGTCCTGCCTGGGGCATCTTTGTGTCACTGCTCAGCCCTGGCTGTCAGACCCTCCTATTTATGTCTCAGTTCCTTCCTTCTGTGCAATCCCCAGGACGTAGGCTCCTCTCAGCTTCCTTCATCTTCCTGGGCTTCACTGCAGAATTCTCCATGATTTACCTTCATTTTCCATTTTTGACTATCCCATTTCCACCACGTTCTTCCTTTTCTAAATATACCTCTCAGGAATGACTTGGGTTTACTGGTATCAGAATTCTCAGGCTTGCCAAAGAGATGGATAGCAGTGAAGGTTTTTTGCTAGAATTTGTTTATTAGGAACTTGTAAGAGAGTTTCTAGACATGTTTATCCTTGAGTCTGGAGCTTTTTCATAATTACTTTTTTTTTTTTTTTTTTTCTGAGACAGAGTCTTACTCTGTTGCCTAGGCTGGAGTGCAGTGGCGTGATCTCGGATCACCACAACCTCCACCTCCTGGGTTCAAGCGATTCTCCTGCCTCAGCCTCCCAAGTAGCTGGGGTTACAGGCGCGTGCCACCACGCCCAACTAATTTTTGTATTTTTAGTAGAGATGGGGTTTCACCATGTTGGCCAGGCTGGTCTCAAACTCCTGACCTCAGGTGATCCTCCCACCTCGGCCTCCCAAAGTGCTGGGATTGCAGGCCTGAGTCACCATGTCCAGACTTGTTTTTTAAGACTTGGCATTCCACCTGGCACATCACAGGCAAGTGATGAATGACATCCAAGGAATGTTGAGTTGTAACAAGTGATCTTGACTAATATTATGCCCCACAACGTTTGAACACCTGCTGAGCTAAAACTGGAAAAAGTGTTGATTCCTCTCTGCTGACTTTTAGTCTGTTGAGTGGCTTGTCCCTTTGTGTGTGGGAACTAGTCACCACTGGCCTTTAGTAATAAAACGTGGAGCAAAGACCCTCTTCTGGAATGGACAGGTGTGAGCTAGGCGATGTGTCTGACTGTGCCCACAGGGGCCATTGCTGTAGACACCATGTGTCATCTTTTCTTTAGCAGAGGTTTTTCTAGGTCCAGATCCAGGCTATGCTGTTCTGTACATCACTGGACACTGGGGCAATGGGTGTCCTTGCTCCCAGATTAGGAGTGCAGACCCCAAGAGTCTGGAGACACACTCAGGTCACAATCTTTTCTTTCCTTATGCTGGAGGGCAGACTGGGCCAAAGAACTCTGCTTGGAGCAAAGGGATCTGGATGAGATTATGGCTGACCACACATGGTGTTATTAAAGACTGAGTAACCCGCTTGGCAAACATATGAACATAGAAATGTGTTCTGATGTCTTTGGGGAATAAGAACAATTCTACAGTCCTGTGGGTGGAGGGAGGAGTTTTCCCTGAAGGGAGTGGAGAATCCAGCCACCAGCCATCCTGAAAAGAGGCTAGATTTGGAGGAGGAGGTCGGGACATAGGAGGTGGGCCTCAGCTTAAGCTGGAAGAAGAGCTTTCTCCTTTCTCTGAGGCCTCAGGTTATGTAGGCCGGGCTGCCTGCCAGAAACCTCCTGCTGCGGTGGGGTGCCCTGGGCCACGAGGCCTTAAGACAGATGGGAACGGACCTAGAACAAGGTGCAGTTTTTTTTTTTTTTTTTGAGACAGAGTCTCGCTCTGTCTCCCAGGCTGGAGTGCAGTGGTGCGATCTCGGCTCACTGCAAGCTCCGCCTCTCGTGTTCACGCCATTCTCCTGCCTCAGCCTACTGAGTAGCTGGGACTACAGGCGCCCGCTACCACTCCCGGCTAATTTTTTTTTTTCATATTTTTAGTAGAGGCGGGGTTTCACTGTGTTAGCCAGGATGGTCTCGATCTCCTGACCTCGTGATCTGCCCACCTGGGCCTCCCAAAGTGCTGGGATTACAGCCGTGACCACCGCGCCTGGCCAAGGTGCAGTATTTTAATGTTTTCTCTATGTTGTATTTCTTTTCCACGATTTCAGAAACACACACACACACACACACACACACACACACACACACACACACGCAATTAAGTTTTATTCTCATCACCTAGAATGGAAAAACAAAACAAAACAAACAAACCCTGAAGCTGTGGTAGATTTAATCATCTGTAAAATAGGAAAAATAGGACATACTACATCGGATTGCTGTGTGAATTGAGTGGGATAGCCCATTTGAGCCTCTTTTCATCTTGCCTAGAGCACTCCATTCCTATCAAACAAAGCCAATTCTTTACTCCATGGTTCTTTATTTTGATAAGCATCCTCATGTGTGTCATGCTGCCTCACAGCATTTTGGTATCTGGTTCATCCAAAATTGTTGTAAAGAAACAATGACATAAAACAAAATGATGAAATGTCAAAGTGGCTGGGCATGGTGGCTCATACCTGTAATCCCAGCACTTTGGGAGGCTGAGGCGGGAGGATCACTTGAGCCCAGGAGTTCAAGACCAGTCCGGGCAACATGGGAAGAACTTGTCTCTACAAAAATTAGCAGGGCGTGGTGGTGCTCACCTGTAGTCCCAGCTACTCGGGAGGCTGAGGTGGGCGGATCTCTTGAGCCCGGGAGGCAGAGGTTACATTGAGCCAAGATTGCATGGCTGCACTCCAGCCTGGGCTACAGAGCGAGATCCTGCCTCAAAACAAACAAACAAATGAACCCCTCCTCAAAACCCCAAGAAACAAATGTCAAAGTGAAAAGAACTTTGGAGATGCTCTAGTTAAGAGGCTAAACTACAGAGTGAGACCCTGTCTCAAAACAAACAAACAAATGAAAACCCCCAAAACCCCAAGAAACGAATGTCAAAGTGAAAAGAACTTTAGAGATGCTCTAGTTTAGTTTCCTAATAGTGCTATGTTGGTTTTCGGATGGGACAATTCTTTGTTGTATGGGACTGTCCTCCCATCACAGGGCATTTAGCAATGGTCAGTTCTCTTAGTTTTTTTTGATGATCAAAAACATCCCGCACATTTCCAAAGGCCCCTGGGAAAGGAGAAAATATTGTTCCTTTTGAGAATCACTAACACCTTCATTTTCACTAGAAGGCAGGCCTAAGAGGTCACATGACTTGCCAAAATGACAGAGTAAATTAAAGAGCTAGAAAAAGAAACCCAGGCCTCCACTCCTGCAGGTGAGTCTTATTATCTTCTATTGAGTTAGAAAGTGAAGACAATGACATGCTTGATGCTTCCTGTAAGACACTCCCTTCACCCCCAACTTTACACTAACAGAGGGTTAATCCATAGATTTCTTGATATTTCCAATATTTTCTAATTTTTTTTCACATAAGGCAGTATAAAAGGTGAGATTGAAAAGTGAGAAGTGATGCAGAAATCTCTAAAAATTTTTGTGTTATCACCCAACTCTTCCTTCACTTTGAACTGTGCAAACACTTTAACTTGCCCAACCCTACATTCTTTGAGTATGACCAACTTCATCAGGGGAGTTTTCATACAAAGATATACAATGTTGGCAGGACATTTTATCCTAAATGTATTACTGTTAAAGGCAAATTCTTTGAATATCTGACTGTAGAAGTTAAGGATAATTACAGTTTGTGTAAAATGAAACTAAACATCGGGAACCACTCTTCATAAACCAAGTATATTAACTAGTTCTCTTAATCTACTTAATGGGAATAATTTTGACCTGTTGAACTAGCACACACAAGACTGCTTTTTCTTATGGGGGTGACATGAGAACTATTCTCTCCTGAAATATTATCAGTGCTGTTTTTTCATGTTTCCAATACACTTGTAAACAAGGAATAACTATAAGTTATTGATTGATAATAATGATAGGGAGTGATTCTACCAGTAAATCTCTCTCATCATAATATACATGGACACCAGATAATTCATAATATGCTAATATTAAACTTTTTGAGATTATTTTAGAAAAATACATGTAAAATTTAAACCTTCTTTCAGAGTTATCTTTATCTCACATATGAAAGCATTTCTTTTCAAACAGCAGTTCTTTTTCCTTTTATTTTAGCTGTCATAATTCTTAATCTAACTCAGCCATAAAATTCAGAATAATTTTTAGAATTTATTTAGAAAGTCAATGCATGTGAAATTTGGTTATGTTGAGTTCATCTTTTTAAGTAAATCAGAATGTCACTTAGCCTTTATGGATCAAAAATATTTCAAAATCAAGTACTGCATTTTACAATTGGTAGAAAGTAAACTTCTCCATCTGTGCCGTTACTCAGAGGAATAGCTAGATAATTATTAGTAATTAATTTTATTAACTTGTTTATATTTATATGATGCATATTTTACAACTGGAGAAATGGTCTGAATCCCAACATCTACCCTATGAACTCAATTTACGTGTTTGGATACCATTTGAGAGTGAAGCTAAATAGGTTAATGTATTCATAGAAATTGGAGGTTTCACCTACTTAATAGCAATTATCAAGAGGCTGTAAGGTATTTTTAAAGAAATGACAGTATGCAAATAGCAAGGGGATAAGAACAATCAGAATGCATATGGAAATTTTACACCAAATATATATCTAGGAATTTATATAAGTGAGTAATTGTAATACCCTTTGAAGGGTTCATCTTAGGAGGCCACACATTGATTCTAAGAATGATGTAATTGCTCTAAACCACTGTTTCTCAAACTGGATGTCATGATCCTTTGGATTTCCAAGGATATCATCTCTGATAACAATGAGTTCTCCATAAGAATGTTTAAAATCTACATTTATATTTTTAAAGAAATCTTAAAAAATTTAATATCAGCATGTTATAGATCATCTGGGTGACCATCTCATAACTGAGCACTGGAAAGGATTTTTATGCCCCTGTTTGCATTTGTGATTCCAATTCACCATCAAATAATACTACTTTATCATGGGCTGATAAGAAAAGAGTAGAGGCCAGGCGCGGTGGCTCATGCCTGTAATCCCAGCACTTTGGGAGGCTGAGGCAGGCGGATCACTTGAGGTCAGGAGTTCGAGACCAGCCTGGCCAACATGGTGAAACCCCATCTCTACTAAAAATACAAAAATTAGCCGGGCATGGTTGTGGGTGCCTGTAATCCCAACTACTCAGGAGGCTGAGGCAGGAGAATCACTTGAACCCGGGAGGCGGAGGTTGCAGTGAGCCGAGATCGCGCCACTGCACTCCAGCCTTGGCAACAGAGCGAGACTCTGTCTCAAAAAGAAAAAAAAATAAATAAAATAAAAGAGCAGAGATATTTTCACACCAAATGGAAGGCCAAGAAAGGACTTGGCTCTGCTTATCCCAAGGTTTTCTAGTAGATTGAAGGGATAACGTGGTGGGAGAATTGAGTCTTCACAACACATGCAATAGCATAGCAGTGCTGAACTCCAAAATACTTGCAACGTAGCAGTTGTACTATATTCACATTGGGAGCAGCAGATCAGTTTCAGAAAAGTATCATTTGTCAAGTTAAACTTATATGGGTAATTTGAATCATAGTGGTTTTGTCATTTCATTTGAATTGCATTAAAATTTATCGTGGATTTATAATTTTATAAGTGCTATAAATCCAAGGATCATTACCCCTGGTTTTATGTTGGTACACACCTAAGTAATCTTGCAGTAAAAAGTATTTTAAGACAACTCTAGAGGGTCCGTGAGAGCTTTTCTTTTAAACATTTTTATTTTTTAAATTAAAAGTGATCCTTTTGATACAACTTCACACTGATCCTTTGTTAACTAAAAAAAGTGATCCTTTTGAGAAACAGTGCTCTGAGCATTTTGGACTGTTTCTTTAGGAATTGCCTCTATAGTGCATCTTTTTGAATGTTTCCAATAGGATAAATCTTGCTCCTCCGATCACGGATGTGTTAAAGCCACTGTAGCAGACATCTTGTATCTGTCTGCCCAGCACCCATGAAACCTTTTGGTTAGTGCCCTTCTGTGTTTCTTTCTGGAATGCAATCTTGGTGGAACTGTCCATCACAGAGCCCCATCCCCTTCATCCCCTATCCCCAGGCCAAGGGCTAGACAGGGGATCCAAATGATGTCAGCCAGACTCTCGCTGGAATTTGAGGCTTGAAGTGGAGTGACACAAGAACTGAAAATAGTTGAAGCTGATTCATCCCAATGGTGGCGGCCCCAAGAGGCTGTCCCATTAGTTCCTGCGACGTCATTCTCTGGTTTTGACTGGATTCTGTCCTTCTCAAGACTGGCTGATCAGTGGTTGCTTTAGTTCTGTGGCCACCATTTACCTTTCAACAAATCCTGTTATTTTTGGTTAATTTAGCCAGAGTTGGTTTCTGTTACATGCAGCCGTTGGCAGAGTCATAAAAAGTAGACATCTGGCAAAAAGGCTTAGTGACAATGCTAGGGAATTTTGTTTGGGGTCACCCAAATATGTGAAACTGAAGTCATAAGAATTAAAAAATATGTGTAGCCATTATTGGGGCTCCTCATCTGGCTGTATTCTGTCAACACTGTTGAAAGAGCTGTGGTGCCTATGGCTTTAGGATCAAATAGAGATGGCTGTCTCACTTACCAGCTAAGCATAACGTTGAGTATGTTACTTGGACTCTCTAAGCCTCAGCTTTGTCATGATTTCCTCGTAATATTGAGGATAATAATGGTATATACCTCATGGTATTGTTGTGAAGATTAAATGAGATAATACACATAAGACACATAGCAAACATTACAAATATAAAGTATTGTTATTATGATTTTGACGTTTGACAGTCATTGAGCTATATGCTGAGGATGCAAAAGTAATAAGAGAAAAGAAATATAAATCACTCATATTTTTCTTGGAAAAATGTTGAATTTGTATGGAAGAAGTATGTTGATATTCTGCTTCAACTGGAATGCAACATCCCCAAGGGAGTGCTTAATTAATAGCTGAGTTGGAGTAGAAAGAGAAGAGAAATTCCTGCTGGCAAAGTAGGGGGAAAGACAGTGTTTGGAAGCCAAGGAATGACAGAGTGGAGATTTTAGGGTGAAAAGTTATATAATATGATCCTTTTGGTTGACGCCACAATATTCGTCAAAGACTACCAAAATTTCACAAAATGATCGTTGTAGTTTGATTTTAAAAATAGAAACTGAGACTAAGTTTTGTACCTTGGTTGCCATGGATACAGAATGGAAAATCCAGCATATGTAAAATGCAAGGAATAGTTGTCATCTGTTATATTTCTGGTGTGCTACGTGGGACTATTGAACTGAGGGACAGCACCCTGTTATTATTTAAGTTGGTTCAATTTATGCTCCGAAAACAGAATCTCAAAGCAGGATTTTGGGATTGGGTTGTGTATATGTTCAAGAACACAGAGGTTATTTCCTTCAGAGGGGTAAGGGGAAAATAGGATGTGGGTAATTCTTGGTACATGGTGGCATCATGATTACTCATATCATCACTGCAAGGTATCAAGCCATGAAGTGCAGATGGAGGGAGAGGTGTGGGAACATCCAGTGGCTATGGGACTTAGTGGCTATGGTGATGGAGTGGTGATGTAAAGACTGTGGAGTCATCTGGCTTCTTTTGACAAACCTAGATGGTACAAGAGGAATGAAAAGCTATGAATGCAAAATTAAGAATACATATAGGGAACCAGAAGGCCCCATGGCAGCGTTGAGGGAATCCTACATCTTTTGTAATTGCAGCATTGATAAAGCTAAGGGGTCAAGGGGGAAACATTTCTGCACCAGTTAAAGGCTAAAACCTGCTATACTTCTTACCCTAGGGTAGAGACACTGGTTGGCTTGATTTAGGCATGAGCCATGGGATGAGGACATTTGGGCAGATATGGACAAAGTTGAGAACTTGGGACCTGTAAATTCCTCTTAACTCTCTCGCTAGCACAGAAACAAACTGTTCTCTGCAAGAAGTCTTTTAAATGGGAACACCTGGCAGTTGCCTCCCATGCTAATGGTACCACTCATCACCTCTAGGCCTATAACAAGAGTTAAAACCCAAAAGAGCCCAGATGGAGAGGTACAAAGCCTGGTGGTTGGAGAGAGAGCCTATGCGCAGAGTTATGACGCTGATCAGTGTTGATGGAAGTTTGGGGAGCATACGTGAGCGTGGATTCTAAAGGTGTTAGACCAAAAAGAACATCATTGAAAGCTCTTTTGCTTAAATTTATTAATGTAGAAGGACTCATTCAGGATTCTGGATTTAATGTGTTGGCTTTAGTTCCTAGGAGTCAAATTAATAGTGTGCTAAATTGGCTGATTAAAATCTGGACTCAGCCATGGTGTGACAGATTATATTTTCCAAAGTACTGCATTTGGAATATACATCCTGGTCCAATGCTTAGTCCTGGGGCTAAGCCAGTTCTGCTTTCTATTGTAATATGGTTTGGAGGATTCTGGATCATTATGATATCCCACAGTTGATAAAATTATGTTAATCAACTTCATGATCAGGAAGTAGCAAACTTCTTTGCTGCCGTAGCAAGACACATGTATGCCACAGGAAGAAAAATAAAAAGAAAGCTTAGGGCCTTGCCATCTTGAGATTTTCTAGAGTCCAGTGATTTGGGTATTTGGGGATATTTCTTCTAAATTGAAAGACAGGTTGTTGTACCTTGCCTTGCTCAGAATGAGGCCCAGAGCTTGGTGAGCCTCTTTGGAATTCGGAGGTACTTATACCCCATTTGGGTTGCTTTGACTCATTTAGCGGGCAGCCCATGAGGTACCAGTTTTGAATGGGGCCTGAAATAAGAAATGGCGCCGCAGCAGGTCCAGGCTATGGTTTCTGCTGCCTGGCCACTTGAGCTTTGGGACCTGGCAAAACTGACAAGAGAAGAAAATATCTTAGGGGAAAGAAACTCTAGTAAAATGAAAGCAAATGATTTTTTTATTTTCTCATTTTAATAAAACAATATAATACTTATTATAGAAACTTTAAAGACACAAGTAAGAAAAAAGAAGAAAATAAATCACCTACAGCCCCACAACCTGTACAACTATGGATCCTATCTTGGTGCATATTCTTCCAGCCTTTTTTTTTTTTTTTAGCAGATGAAGTTCTTTATTGAAAATATTTTCTCTCTCATTTTAAAAATTGTATTTTATTGCGGTGAGAACACTTAACATGAGATCTACTCTCATAACACACTTTTTTTTTTTTCAGATGGAGTCTTGCTCTGTTGCCCAGGCTGGAGTGCAGTGGTGTGATCTTGGCTCACTGCAACCTCCGCCTGCCAGTTCAAGCGATTCTCCTACCTCAGCCTCCTGAGTAGCTGGGATTACCGGCAAGCACCACCACACCTGGCTAATTTTTGTACTTTTAGTAAAGATGGGGTTTCACCATGTTTGCCAGGTTGGTCTCGAACTCCTGACCTCAGGTGATCGGCCTACCTCGGCATCCCAAATTGTTGGGATTACAGGTGTGAGCCACCAAGCCTGACCCTCATAACACACTTCTTTTTTGCAACATATGTTTTTATTACTCAAGGACAACTTGGACTTCACCAATGCCCAGCTTCATGGGGTCATGTAGTGTGACTCATGGATGAACACAAAATCACTGTTAAGCCTGTGCTACAGCCCTGGGCTACTTTTGGACACCCATGAGGACACTCGGTTACGTGAAACCTGACTTGCTTCTAAAGACATGTGACACATGTTTTTTCCCTGAAAATGTTTCCCCTCCCTCTCTGCCATGCTCCCAACTTTCTGCCTTCTTGGAGCTTCTCACTGTGTGGGTAACTAGGTCTTGGGCTTAGCTGGACCTTGGGTAGTGGCCCCTCTGCCACAATCAGTGCCTGAGCCTGAGACTGAGCTTGTGGCCTCCAAAGCCTGACCTGGCTTGGAGCTCATCTGTGGTCCACATGAGCTAGAGTCAATAAGAATGTACTCTTAAAAGTGTGTTAGGAGCCGACGAGAAATAGGGCCATCCTAGCTGCTTATAATTTGGAAAAGTGTGGCCGGGCACAGTGGCTCATGCCTGTAATCCCAGCACTTTGGGAGACCAAGGCAGGAGGATCGCTTGAGCCCAGTAGGTCAAGACCAGACAGGGCAACATGATGAGACCCCGTCTCTACAGATTTTTTTTTTAAACAATTACCCTGCCATGGTAGTGGACACCTGTGGTCCCAGCTACTGGGGAGGCTGAAGTGGGAGTATCATTTATGGTTGGGAGGTCGAGGCTGCAGGGAGTCATGATTGCATCACTGCACTCCAGTCTGGGCAACAGAACAGGACTCTGTTTCAAAAAGAAAAATACTGGGTAAAGTGAAGTATGGCTGTCCCACGGCTCAGTCCTAGCAAGAAGTGAGAATTCTGAGATCCTCCAGAGAGTGGAGCAGCACCCTCCCCTCACCTCAGGCCAGTGTCTTCAGGCTTTACCAGTGACCTGTGAGCCTGGCTTCCACCCCTGAGTGCCACAGACAAGCTCCAAGCCAGGTCAGGCTTCGGAGGCCACAAGCTCAGCCTCAGGCTCAGGCACTGATTGTGGCAGAGGGGCCACTACCCAAGGTCCAGCTGGGCCCAAGACTTAGTTACCCAGACAGTGAGAAGCCCCAAGAAGGCAGAAAGTTGGGAGCATGGCAGAGAGGGAAGGGAAACATTTTCAAGGAAAAAACGTTTCGGTTGGGCGCGGCCACTCACGCCTGTAATCCCAGCACTTTGGGAGGCCGAGGCGGGTGGATCACGAGGTCAGGAAATCGAGACCATCCTGGCTAACACGGTGAAACCTCGTCTCTACTAAAAATACAAAAAAATTAGCCGGGCGTGGTGGCGGGCACCTGTAGTCCCAGCTACTTTGGAGGCTGAGGCAGGAGAATGGCGTGAACCCAGGAGGCGGAGCTTGCAGTGAGCCGAGATCGCGCCACTGCACTCCAGCCTGGGCGATAGAGCCAGACTCCGTCTCAAAAAAGAAAAAACATGTGTCACATGTACTATCCAATCCTATACTTGCTCAAACCTGCCTACTTTGCCTTATTCACTCCTTTCCAAGGAAATGACAATAATAGCTCTGGGCCGTGTTTTCTCCTTTGCTCTTGTCTTCTGAGGACCTCAGTATTTCCCTGTGTGACTCTGCCTTGCATGGCATGACCCCCTTATGTTGGAAAATGTAAATAATAACGTCTTTTTTCAAAGGCATTTGTCCCTGTATCTGTCATATTACCACACCTGATTAAAACAAATCTCAGGTACTTTTATCTCATTTTATTGTTTTATTTTATTATTTTATTTTATTTGAGACAGGGTCTCACTCTGTCACCCACACTGGGGTGTAATGTCACCATTATAGCTCACTGTAGCCTTGAACTCCTGGGCACAGGTGATCCTCCTGCCTCAGCCTCTGAGTAGCTAGAACTATAGGGACATGCCACCACACCCAGCTAATATTTTAATTTAATTTTATTTTTTGTACAGATGAGGTCTCGTTATGTTGCCCAGGCTGGTCTCAAACTCTTGGCCTCAAATGATCCTCCTGTCTTGGCCTCCCAAAGTGCTGGGATTACAGGCATGTGCCCTGGCCCTGGGTACATTTTAGAACACCCTCTTTCTCTCCTTAATCCTAAACATTCTAAAGCTGCCTGGAGTCCCAATTCCATGCCAGTCCTCAGCATGTTTGCCCTGTCCATAGTGACATCCATGCGGGGCTAGTATGCATCTGAGGTTTAAGGATTACTCCAGCCTTGAGGCTCTGTGCATTGTGTGCACAAAGTTTCTTCCATAATACAGAAAGCCCTTTAGGTATTGCGATTTGTGTTTATTTGTCTTGATTTTTAACTGTCTGCATGATTTTTTCTTGTTCAAAAGAATAAAGCAATCCATTATTTTGCTTCACCATCTTTGAATAGCTGCATGAAACCAGAGGCCTTCAGGATTTTATGCGAGGAAAATATGTCTACAGCCACTCCAATGTAAATTTTACACAGTGTGAATCTTTCCCCAAAGCCCAGTAACCAGATGTGTAAAAGATGTGTCAACCAAAGCCTCTGTTTGATATCCGTAACTCTAGCAGCTTAAAAATAACTCCCGTTGATAAATAGAAGAGTGCATGCTCACAATGAGACTATGAAACACAGGGACTCCTAAGAAAATGAGTGATTCTCTAGGAAAGGATAAATCAAACAAATAGAACCCAAGGGACTAAGAGAGTATTAAAAATTATTTTCTGCTAGGCACGGTGGGTCACTCCTGTAATCCCAACAGTTTGAGAGGCTGAGGAGGGCGAATCACCTGAGGTCAGGAGTTCGAGACCAGCTTGGCCAACATGGTGAAACCCCATCTCTACTAAAAATACAAAAATTAGCCTGGTGTGGTGGTGCACCCTTGCAGTCCCAGCTACTCGGGAGGCTGAGGCAGAAAAATCGCTTGAACCTGGGAGGTTGCAGTGAGCTAAGATTGCACCACTGTACTCCAGCCGCAGAGACAGACTCTGTCTCAAAAAACGAAAAAAAAATTTTCCTGCAATTTATTTTTAGTCGTGTTTTTTTAAAATGACTTGCTTGATAAGATGTTAAATTTAGAAGATTAAGTCACAGACTATTACAGAATAATACCTCTACACACTTCAGACTAGGAACAAAATTCCCAAAGTTCTTAATAACATAAGGTATGCTAACATAATAAGATATGTTAAAGTAAGAAATGACAGAATCACAATACCTTGGTTTTGGCTCAACTTCCTTTGTTGGCAAGGAGCCTTCACTTAACTTTCCCGGCCCTCTTTCATCTGTGAAATGAAAGGATTGGACTGGCTGAATTCTTTTAATTCTAAAATGTTAATAATATACTTGGGGTTCTTTCTATGATTACTTCAAGCCCACCTTTAGGGTTTCAAATAGAAAATCCCACTGGTTGGGACTTTTCTTTCTTTTTTTTTGGAGGTGGAGTTTCACTCTTGTTGCCCAGGCTGGAGTGCAACGGCACGATCTCAGCTCACTGCAACCTCCGCCTCCCAAGTTCAAGTGATTCTCCTGCCTCAGCCTCCTGAGTAGCTGGGATTACAGGCATGTGCCACCACCCCCGGCTTGGCCTCCCAAAGTGCCGGGATTACAGGCGTGAGCCACTGTGCCCAGCCAGGACTTTTCTTAATTTATTAGTAGTACCAAACAGTTTTTAATATATGTTAAAACAAAAGTAGGCACTTATATTTTATAACAAAAAAATGAAATAAAAGATAAATGGCAGGCTGAGGTGAGCAGATCACCTGAGGTCAGGGGTTTGAGACCAGTCTGGCCAACATGGTGAAATCCCATCTCGACTAAAAATACAAAAATTAGCTGAGTATGGTGGCGCACATCTGTAATCTCAGCTACTCGGGAGGCTGAGGCAGGAGAATTGTTTGAACCCGGGAGGCAGAGGTTGCAGTGAGCAGAGATCATGCCTTTGCGCTCCAGTGTGGGCAACAGAGTGAGACTGTCTCATTAAAAAAAAAAAAGATAAATGGTTAAAATGAAAAACCTGGACAATGACTTTTCAAAACAAAGAAGGTAGAGAGTATTCAGCAAGGTTATGGAGTCAGGGAGCCCCCCCTGTTTTGTGGTGGTCTTCAATATGGGAGCGGCAGTTTAATCCTAGTTCTGATTGAATCCAAATTTTTTGTTTTGCCTGTGGAATAAGTACTTCCTAGGAATGTGAACTTTAGAGTTAAGTAAGTGGGTTAAAGTCCCAGCCCTGCTACCTACTACCTGTGTGCCTGCAGATAAATTATTAAATGTTTTTCAAAGATTCAGTTTAATTATCTCTAAAATGGAGCTGATAATGCTTGCTTCAGAGAGTTATTATGATGAGATAATGCATGCACAGTATTTAACAGTTCCTTGTACTTAGCAAGTAAGAGCTCAAGAAGTAGTAGTTAATCTTATTATGCTATATTGCCTTCTTGGATCTCAATTCTGTACCCTTGTGATCTTGTAGGAGCAGGAAAACTAAGAGAAAAGTAAAGTATGATTTAAAAATAATATAAATAAACTTGGGGAAGGGGGAAACAGAGTGTCTAGCATAAGATAAAGATGATGTGTTTTGCAGGTGTAGAAAGCAGATCGCAATGGAGATTACAAAGTCAGAGAAATTAACTGTTAAACCAGTATCGGATTGAGAAGGAACATAACATTTTGACTCCCATGAAGCCTGAATGCTGCAGACATGTTGGTAAGCAGAGGGCAGAGGGTGTGATTGTCATTTTGGTGGCATCAGCAGAAAACAGCCAGTGGCTTTATATCCTCCTGATGATGACAAAGATTCTTTGCTCATCCAAACTTTACTAAGACTCCAAACCTTCTCCTAGGCCTGTCTGTACACTTCCTTGCAAAATCCAGTTTTAGCAAAGAACCTGTTAAGTCAGTTACCTACCTTGATGTCTGATCACCCTTGATATCTCATCAGGTTCCGCATCCTCCACCATTCCCCAGGTGCTGTCTGATCACCCTGACCTGTCTTTAGCAAGAATCCTGTTAGGTCAGTTTAGCCAGAATCCCCCGACCCCTGATATTTCCTCTTAGTAATTTTCAATCCCTGACCCCCACACTGCTCCTTGGCCATACATTCCCACTGGTCCATGCTGCATTTGGAGGTGAGCCCAATCTCTCTTCCACACTGCAAATCCCATTGCATTCGTCCTTACACTCATTGCAATTGTCCTGAGTAAACTCTGCTTTATCATACTTTCACAAGTGCCAGTGAATAATCTTCCTTAACAGTGATCCTGGAGAATACAAGAAAATAAAAAAGCCATTAGTTTTGGGATTTTTTTTTTTTTGGCTTGGAGGGGTCATGTGTCTTTATTTTTGTCTTGCAGGAGTCCAGCCCTTCTTTATAAGAGCACCCCAGCCTATGCTACAAGTGTTTCCCATAGCACACAGTCTTGGTGGGAGATGGCACCCACCTCCTACCTTGGAATCCAAAGGGATCCTTTTCTGTCTTCCAGCCTGTACTGACATACAGAGGGAGGCTGCAACTTGGACTCTGAAAACCAGACACATACCTTGGGCTTTGGCTTTTCTGTGAGGGATACAGTGACATGGGGACTGGCTCTTCCAGGGCAGGACTTTGGATGTTCTATTTCCCAGGCCTGGTTGTGAGCTTTCATTTTCCTCCGTTCTTTGAGCCTCCAATATCCTTCCAGTGAAATTCCTTTTTGCTGAAGAGAACCTGTTTAGTTTATTTCCTCTCAGAGGTAGGATCTGAGAAAAGAATTCAGGTGCAGTTAGTTTATCTTAGCTGGAAGAAACAGTGGTTAGGAGAGTGAAGAAGTAAGGTGGGGAGAAAAAGCTAATGTAGGGTGTGTAATCAGAGCTATCACCATGGGCTCCTGAAATGAATCAGAAGAGGGAAATTGTGGGAACATGAGTCTGAAAGTTACATCACTCAAGCAGCATAGGCACTCGGTAGTTATACGTCGACTTCTGTTGGTGCTAGCCTGAGGTCTCATTGTCTAGCCCTCCTGGCTGCCATCAGCACAGGCAGGGTGGCCTGCTGCTTTGAGGAACCGTCCACTCAAACAGATGCAGGTTCTGGCAGTTGACCCTGGGCTGCAACACACAGAGGGGGAAGCCCCTATGATAGGGCTGAGGCACTGACAGTCTCGTCTCCAGGGCCAGAGCCAGTTCCAGTTGAGATCAGGACCAGGACTGAGAAACCAGGGTGGCTGCTAACAGGCCAGTGACCCCAGCTCCAGTGCTGCCTCCCTGACATCTCCACATCTTCCTAATAGTCTCAGCTATGCAGGTGTGCCCCTCTGTCTAGATTTCTGGATGCCAGTGAGAACAGGTCAGCAGCTTGTATGCTGACTGCCAGGGCCTGGGGAGAGAGGAAGGCTCATTGACCTGATTTCCACAGCAGGAGGCAGAGCACTGAATGCCACCTGTATTTGGGAAGGAAGCAGTCAGGGAATAACCCTGACCAATATTCATCACAACCATCACTTTGACATCTCAATTTTCATGCACACCCGTACAATACACCCAAACCAAAAATTCATCTGCCTAACATAAAATTCCTCATGTACCTAAAAATGCACTCTCCCTTATCCCTAAAGAAGAATATTCAAAATCACATTGGTTATTGTATTAGTTTACTTTCATACTGCTATGAAGAAATACCTGAGACTGGGTAATTTATAAAGAAAAAGAGGTTTAATGAACTCACAGTTCCACATGGCCGGGGAGGCCTCCCAATCATGGGAGAAGGCGAAGGAGGAGCAAAGGCACATCTTACATGGTGGCAGGCAAGAGAGCATGTGCAGGGGAACTGCCCTTTATAAAACCATCAGTTCTCATGAGACTTATTCACTGTCATGAGAATAGCACAAGAAAAACCCATCCCCACGATTCAATTACCCCCCTGGACCCCTCCCATGACATGTGGGGATTATGGGAGCTCCAATTCAAGATGAGATTTGGGTGGGGACACAGCCAAATCATATCAGTTATGGTACTAGCTTCTGGATCAGGATTTCTTAATAGGGTCCATTATTTCTCTAAGTCAATAATGATCCAACATAATATTCTACAACTGATGGACCACAATGTAAAGTCATCAGCATAACTCATTCTAAATGTAATAGTGGAGTAAGCAGACAGAAAAAAGGGGAATTGGGTAAACTTTATATAGTGGGCAGAGTGAGATAGAAACATGGGTAGAGATTAGAACCCTCATATCTATACCAAATCAGGAGGCTGTGTATTAGTCTGCATGCTGCTGAAAAAGACATACCTGAGATTGGGTAATTTGTAAAGAAGAGGAGGTTTAGGCTCGGCACAGTGGCTCACGCCTGTAATCCCAGCACTTTGGGAGGCCAAGGTGGGCAGATCACCTGAGGTTAGGAGTTTGAGACCAGCCTGGCCAACATGGTGAAACCCCATCTCTACTAAAAATACAAAAACTTAGCCAGGCATGGTGGCAGGTGCCTGTAATTCCAGCTTCTTGGGAGGCTGAGGCAGGAGAATTGCTTGAACCTGGGAGGCAGAAATTGCAGTGAGCTGAGATCGAATCACTGCACTCCAGCCTGGGTTATAGAGTGAGACTACATCTCAAAAAAAAAAAAAAAAAAAAGAGGTTTAATGAACTCACAGTTCCATGTGGCTCGGGGGGCCTTACAACCATGGTGGAAGGTGAAAGGGATGTCTTACATGGCACAAACAAGAAAGCATGAGACCCAAGCAAAAGGGGAATCCCCTTATTAAATAACCAGATATCATGAGACTTATTTACTACCAGAACAGTGTGGGGGAAACTGCCCCCAGGATTCAATTATCTCCTACTGGGTCCCTCCCAAAACATATGGGAATTATGGGAGCTACAATTCAACATGAGATTTGGGTGGGGATGCAGCCAAACCATATAATTCCTCCCCTAGCCCTTCCCAACTTTTATAGCCTCACATTTCAAAATCAGTCATGCCTTCCCAACAGTCCCCCAAAGTCTTAATTCATTTCAGCATTAACTGAAAAGTCCACAATCCAAAGTCTCACCTGAGCCAAAGCAAGTCCCTTCCACCCATGAGACTGTAAAATCAAAAGCAAGTCAGTTGCTTCCTAGATACAATGGGGTACAGTCATTGGGTAAATATGGCCATTCCAAATGGGAGAAATTGACCAAAACAAAGGGGCTACAGACCCCATGCAAGTCTGAAATCCAGCAGGGCAGTCAAATCTTAAAGCTCCAAAATGATCTCCTTTGACTCCATGTCTCACATCCAGGTCATGCTTAATGCCCATGGTCTTGGGCAGCTCTGCCCCTGTGGCTTTGCAGGGTACAGTCCCCTCTCCTGGCTGCTTTGATGGGCTGGCATTGAGTGTCAGTGGCTTTTCCAGGCACATGATGCAAGCTGTCAGTGGGACTACCATTCTGGGGTCTGGAGGACAGTGGCCGTCTTCTCACAGCTCCACTATGCAGTGCCCCAGTGTGGACTCTGTGTAGGGACTTCAACCCCACATCTCCCTTCCATGCTGCCCTAGCAGAGGTTCTCCATGAGGGCTCCACCCTTGCAGCACGCCTCTGCCTGGACATCCAGGTTTTCCATACATCCTCTGAAATCTAGGTGAAGGTTCCCAAACCTCAATTCTTGACTTCTGTGCACCTGTAGGTTCAACACCATGTGGAAGCTGCCAGGGCTTGGGGCTTGCACCCCTTGGAGCCACAACACTAGCTGTACCTTGGCCCCTTTTAGCCACAGCTAGAGTATCTGGGACACAGGACATCAAGTCCCTGGGCTGCACAGAGCAGGGTGGGGGATCCCTTAGCCCTGACCATAAAGCCATTTTTTCCTCCTAGGACTCTGGGCCTGTGATAGGAGGGGCTTCCACAAAGGTCTCTGACATGCCCTGGAGACATTTTCCCCTTTGTTTTGGTGATTAACATTTGGCCCCTTGTTGCTTATGCAAATTTCTGCAGCCAGCTTGAATTTCTCCTCAGAAAATGGGTTTTTCTTTTCTATTGCATAGTCAGGCTGCAAATTTTCTGAATTTTTATGCTATATTTCCTTTTTAAAACTGAATGCTTTTAACAGCACCCAAGTCAACTCTTGAATGCTTTGCTGCTTAGAAATTTCTTCTGCCAGATATTCTAGATCATTTTCCTCAACTTCAAAGTTCCACAAATCTCTAAGGCAGGGGCAAAATGCCACTAGTCTCTTCGCTAAAATATAGGAAGGGTCACCTTTACTCCAGTTCCCAAGAAGTTCCTCATTTCCATCTGAGAGTACCTCAGCCTAGATTTTATTGTCCATAGCACTATTAGCATTTTGGTCTAAGCCATTCAACAAGTCTAGGAAGTTCCAAACTCCCACATTTTCCTGTCTTCATCTGAGCGTTCCAAACTGTTCCAATCTCTGCCTGTTACCCAGTTCCAAAGTGCTTCCACATTTTCAGGTATCTTCACAGCAGCACCTCACTCTACAGGTACCAATTTACTGTATTAGTCTGTTTTCACACAGCTGATAAAGACATACCTGAGACTGGGTAATTTATAAATAAAAAGAGGGTTAATGAATACACAGTTCCACATGGCTGGGGAGCCCTCACAATCATGGCAGAAGGCAAAAGGGATGTCTTACATGGTGGCAGACAAGAGAGAATGAGAGCCAAGCAAAATGGGAAACCCCTTATAAAATCGTCAGCTCTCACAATACTTATTCACTACCAGAAGAACAGTATGGGGGGAACCACCCCTGTGATTCAATTATATCCCACTGGGTCCCTCACACAACATGTGGGAAGTGTGGAAGCTACAATTCAAGATAAGATTTGGGTGGAGACAAGCCAAACCATCTCAGGCTGTGATTGGGCTTAGGAAACTTCACCATGCCATGGTCCCTTTTTGTCTAGCCAGTGTCTTTACCAACTGATTTGACACAAAATGTTTGATTCATGGAGATCTGAGCCAGATATTGCCAGTGTTCCAGGGGTTCTAATGGTCTCCCCTGTCTTCTTTCAAATGTAATTAATTTATTTCTCAAAGATGGGATCTTGCTATGCTGCCCAGGCTGGTCTTGAACTCCTGGTGATGCAGGAGTTTTTCTCGACCCCTTCATTAGACTTGCTATGAGGGTGCCCCATTTACTTGGCTCACCATGCTCAACCTGTTTTTTTTTCTTTTTTCTTTTTATTTTATTTAAGTTCTGGGATACATGTGCAGAATGTGCAGGTTTGTTACATAGGTATGGGCCATGGTGGTTTGCTGCATCCATCAACCCATCATCTAGGTTTTAAGCAGTGCTTGCATTAGATATTTGTCCTAATACTTTTCCTCCCCTTGTCCCTCACCCTCTGACAGGCCCCCATGTGTGAATGTTCTCCTCCATGTGTTTTCATTGTTCAACTCCCACTTATGAGTGAGAATATGTTGCGTTTGATTTTCTGTTCCTGTGTTAGTTTGCTGAGAATGATGGCTTCCAGGTTCATCCATGTCCCTGCAAAGGACATGAACTCATTCTTTTTTTATGGCTGCGTAGTATTCTATGGCATATATGTGCCACATTTTCTTTATACAATCTATCATTGATGGGCATTTGGGTTGGTTCCAAGTCTTTGCTATTGTAAATAGTGCTTCAATAAACATACATGTGCATGTGTCTTTATAGTAGAATGATTTATAATCCTTTGGGTATATAGCAGTAATGGGATTGCTGGGTCAAACAGTGTTTATGGTTGTAGATACTTGAGGAATTGCCACACTGTCTTCCACAATGGTTGAACTAATTTACACTCCCACCAACAGTGTAAAAGTGTTCCTCTTTCTTCACAGCCTCACCAGCATCTGCCATTTCCTGACATTTTAATAATCACCATTCTAACTGGTGTGAGATGATATCTCATTTTGGTTTTGATTTGCATTTCTCTAATGACCAGTGATGATGAGCTTTTTTCCTAGGTTTGTTGGCTGCATAAATATCTTCTTTTGAGAAGCATCTGTTCATGTCCTTTGCCCACTTCTTGATAGGGTTGTTTGTTTTTTTCTTGTAAATTTGTTTTAAGTTTCTTGTAGATTCTCGATATTAGACCTTTGTCGGAGGGTAGCTTGCAAAATTTTTCTCCCATTCTGTAGGTTGCCCATTCACTCTGATAATAGTTTCTTTTGCTGTGCAGAAACTCTTTAGTTTGATTAGATCCCATTTGTCAATTTTTGCATTTGTTGCAATTGCTTCTGGTGTTTTAGTCACAAGGTCTTTGTCCATGCCTATGTCCTGATGGTATTGCCCAGGTTTTCTTCTAGGGTTTTTATGGTTTTGGGTTTTACATTTAAGTCTTTAATCCATCTTGAGTTAATTTTTGTATAAGGTGTAAGGAAGGGATCCAGTTTCAGTTTTCTGCATATGGCTAGCCAGTTTTCCCAGAACCATTTATTAAATAGGGACTGCTTTCCCCATTCCTTGTTTTTGTTAGGTTTGTTGAAGATCAGATAGTTCTAGATATGTGGTGTTATTTCTGAGGTCTCTGTTCTGTTCCATTGGTCTATATATCTGTTTTGGTACCAGTGCCATGCTGTTTTGGTTACTGTAGCCTTGTAGTATAGTTTGAAGTCAGGTAGCATGATGGCTCCAGCTTCATTCTTTTTGCTTAGGATTGTCTTGGCTATATTGGCTCTTTTTTGGTTCCATATGAAATTTAAAGTAGTTCTTTCTAATTCTGTGAAGAAAGTCACTGGTAGCTTGATAGGAATAGCAATTAATATTTAAGTTACTTTGGGCAGTATGGCCATTTTCACAATATTGACTCTTCCTATCCATGAGCATGGAATGTTTTTCCATTTGTTTATGTCCTCTCTTATTTCCCTGAGTAGTGGTTTGTTGTTCTCCTTGAAAACGTCCTTCACATCCCTTGTAAGTTGTATTCCTAGGTGTTTTATTCTCTTTGTAGCAATTGTGAATGGGAGTTCACTTATGATTTGGCTCTCTGATTGTCTATTGTTGTTGTATAGAAATGCTTGTGATTTTTGCACATTGATTTTGTATCCTGAGACTTTTTTGAAGTTGCTTAAGGAAATTTTGGGCTGAGACAATGGGGTTTTCTAAATATACCATCATGTCATCTGGAAACAGAGATAATTTGACTTCCTCTCTTCCTATTTGAATACCCTTTATTTGTTTCTCTTGCCTGATTGCCCTGGCCAGAACTTCCTATACTGTGTTGAATAGGAGTGGTGAGAGAGGGCATCCTTGTCTTGTGCTGGTTTTCAAAGGGAATGATCCCAGCTTTTGCCTATTCAGTATGATATTGGCTATGGGTTTGACATAAGTAGCTCTTATTATTTTGAGATTTGTTTAATCAGTACCTAGTTTATTGAGAGTTTTTAGCATGAAAGGATATTGAATTTTATCAGAGGACTTTTCTGCATGTATTGAGATAATCATGTGGTTTTTGTCATTGGTTCTGTTTATGTGATGGATTACATTTATTGATTTGTGTATGTGGAACCAGCCTTGTATCCCATGGATAAAGCTGACTTGATTGTTGTGGATAAGCTTTTTGATGCACCATGCTCAACCTCTTGTGGGAGGGAGTGTGTGAGAGAGTGAATGCAGGATCTGGCCAGCCACTTTGGGCACCAGTAGGAGCAGGCTCCATGCAGGCTCTGTGGTGGCACCCATGTGGGGGTGGCTTTGACCCCTGAAACCCAAGAAGGAGTATTACAATGCTGTCTTAGCTCCACCACCTGTGGACAGTGGTGTGTTATGAGCTCAGTGGCCCCTTGCCTCATAGTGTGGAATGGCTGCCCTCCGCCAGCAAGAGCAAAGAGCTGGTGTGACAGCTTTTTTTGGGTACCCACATTTGATAGGTCCCAGGCTCTTGTCCAGCATCCAAGAAGAATGAGGTTGCATGGACACCTGAAGGAAGGTGAAGGTGGAGCAATTTATTTAGTGATGGAGAAGGCTGTCAGTGGAGAGGGGAGCTGGAGAGGGGATGGGATCAGCAGGTAATCTTTCCTAAAGTCTGGCTGTCTCTGGCTGGCTCTTTTTTGAAGTTAAGTCATCTCTCCTCTGAAGTCCAGCTGTCCCTCTGAAGTTATGTTGCCTCTCTCCAGTCAAGCTGGTTATCTTTCTCTACTGACTGAGTCTGAGGTCTTTATAGGCACAGGATGGGGTTGGGGCAGGCCATAGGTAGTTTTGGAAAAGGCAACATTCAATTGTCAAAATGACATTATTCAGAAAGAACCAATTGAGAGAGAGCAGGCAAACAGGGATCGAAGTGTTCACTTTGGGCTGTGGGCTTCAGGCTTTTTAACTTGAAGGTGGGGTTTTGCCCGGGACCTGCCCCTGTCTGCCTAGAGTTTTTTTGCCTCCTTCCTCTATCATTGCCCCCTCTAAAGAGGCACATCTAACTGTCTCTTTTAGAATATGAATGATGACTGATCTTAGCTATTTCCTGCTGACAGGGGGTGTTGTTTTGGGGAAAACAGCAGTCAGATTTCCCTCAGAGGTCTACCTAAGGGTCCCTGGTAAAAGGGAGTCATCATCTGAGGCTCCAATTGCATGACCATTTGAAGTTTAATGGCCTCTAGGCAAGAAGAAACAAGTTTTACAAGTGAAGTATGCATGGATCAAGTATGTGTATTATACAAAGAGGAGTTAGAAGGAAAGAATCTAGTGCCAAAGATTATAGAAATAAGAAGTGAACTATATACTAATCATTCTGAAAACAATATTGTGCCTCAATTTGTTTCATCCTGGTGAATGAAATTAAGCCTTGTATGGGAGCAGTTAAGCTTTAGAAGAAAGATAACTGTTTATGGGAGTACATATTCCCATGGGCGTTCAGGATTAAAGGATCCTTGGTAAAGATACCTCATGGTGAAGAATAGCATGAATGTAAGAACAGCAAGCATAGGCATGACTATAAAGGGGATATTCATGGAAAGTCAATTATTGACACTTATCTTTTGTAATTTTTAGCTTGAGTTCCCAGATTTCTTCACATTAGTACTTTGGGTGCTCTTCTGGGTCGGCAGAGGTAACTCTGTCAGCTTCCCAGGTCTTTACCCAAATATAATGAATCCAAGAATCTATTCCATGACCTTTATTGCTGTAGAAGTAGAAAGGAGTACAGTGTAAGGTCCCTCCCAATCTGGGCCTATAGAGGGAGAAAAGGAAGGAAGTACCTTTACCAGTACTAGGTCCCCTGGGTTGAATAGAGGTGGCCCTAGTTCATGGGATTGGGTCTCTGACAGTTGTTTCAGTTCCTGTTGGAAATGGGCTAAAGAAGTTATGTTTAATCAAATCAGAGGTTTCTTGGTTTAGGAAGAACTCATTGGTGGGAAAATGCTGTCCATACATCATTTCAAAGGGACTCAAACCTAGCTTTGAAGGGGTGAATCTAACATGCAGTATGACTATTGGAAGAAGGGTAGTCCAGGGAAGATGAGTCTCCTGAGACAGTTTCCTGAAGTGCCTTTTGATAATATCATTTGTCTTTTCTACCTTTCCCAAGGATTGTGGTTTCCAAGCACAATAAAGATGGCATTGTATGCCTAGTGCATTTGAGAACCCCTAGGTGACAGCCATCTTGAACGAGGCACCATTATCACTCTGGAGATACTTAGGGAGTTCAAAGTGAGGGATTATCTCATTAATTAGTACTTTTTTCACCTTAGAGGTTTCTCTGACATGGAAATGCTTCTACACAGTTAGTGAAGGTATCCACCCATACTAGGAGGTACTGGGTACCCCACTGTCTTTGGCATATGGGTGAAATTCATTTGCCTGTCTTCCTCCAGGTAACCTCTTGTTCTTTGTGTTCCTGGGGGGAGAAGCCGTCAATTGAGGGGATTTTTTTAAGGCAAGTTTTGCAAGCATTAACGACCTGTTTGACTGTTTGTAGCAGATTTTTACCTGAGAACAATATCTGGGCTAATTGATAGGTTTTATCCTTACCTAAGTGGAAGGCTTGGTGAAGGATTTTAAGAACTTTCCATTGGCTGACAGCTGGTAGATGAAGCTTGCCATTCTCTGATTGCAGCCATCCTGAGGACTGAAAGATGTATCCCTGAGAGGTGGCCATTCTATTTCCACAGGATAATATTGAAGTTTTATTTCTCTGATGGAGTGTTCCCAGATCAGAGGGGCTTCAAGTGGATCAGAAATCTGGGGCCCTCTCACTGCTTATTTAGCTGCTTTGTCTGCTAACCTATTTCCCTGGCTATTTTACCCATCTCTTTTTGGTGGCCCTTACAATGTATTATTGACACTTCCCATGGGAGGAAAACTGAGGATAATAGTCTATTAATTACCTGATGGTATTTAATAGGAGACCCATCAGGTGTGAGGAGGTTCCTGTTTTTCCAGATAGTGGCATGGGCATGGAGGACTAGGATAACATACTTAGAATCAGTATAACTGTTAACAAATGTCCCTTTGCTTAATGCAAAAACACCATGAAGGTAATTAGCTCAGGTAGTTGAGCACTTGTGCCCGAGGAGAGAGATGTGCTCTCAACAATATCATTCAGGGTAACTATTGCATACCCTGCTTTATGGATCCCTCATTCTACAAAAGAACTTCCATCCATAAAAAGAATCCAGTATGGGTTCTCTGAGGGTGTTTCCTTGAGGTCCTCTCTGGCTACATGTGTTTGTACTACTATCTGTTCACAGTCATGTTCAAGCTCCCCAGTTTTCCCTGGGAGGAAGGTGGCTGGGTTTAGGGAGGGACAGGTTCTTTTTTATCTTTTTGAGATGGAGTCTCACTCTGTCACCTAGGCTGGAGTGCAGTGGTGCGAGCTCAGCTCACTGCAACCTCCGCCTCCTGGGTTCAAGCAATTCTCCTGCCTCAACCTCCCAAGTAGCTGGGATTACAGGAGCACACCACTACACCTGGCTAATTTCTTGTATTTTAGTAGAGACGGGGTTTCACCATGTTGCCCAGGCTTGTCGTGAACTCTGAGCTCAGGCAATCCGCCCGCCTCAGCCTCCCAAACTGTTGGGATTACAAGCGTGAGTCACCATGCCCGGCTGAGACAGGTTCTTAATTGGACTGCAGATCCCTCTAAAAGAAGAGCTTGATATCTGCGAGGCAGTTGTCCATTAGCCAGAGACTCCCCTTAGAAAATAGCAGTCCTGCCACATTACGTGTGGTATAAGTGGTTATGTTATTTCCCATGGTTAACTTAGTAGCCTCTGGTACCAGCTACCACTGCAATTACCTGGAGGCAGGCCAGCCATTGTCTAGCTACGAAATCAAACTCCTTACTTAGGTTGCTTACAGGCTGCTGGGTTGGACCTCAGGCCTCAGAACTCCCAGGGCCATTCCTTTCTTCTCTGACATGTAAAGATTAAACATCTTCCATATGGGAAGACTAAGGGCTAGTGCCTGAAGCAAGGCTTGGTTTAGTTGGTCAAAGCCCTTTTTAGCCTCTGGTTCCCAAATTAGAGAGTGAGTTTTAGCTGCCTGAGTCTCATTTATTAGGTGATATAAGGGACAAGCTATTTTACTGTACTCAGGTATCCATAGTCTGCAGAATCCTGTAATGCCAAAGAATCCCTTCAGTTGCTTGAGGGTTTTGGGGAAGGGAAAGGAGGAGATGGGCTTAATCCTTCTTTCACCCAATGCCCTGGTCTCCTTTGACAACACCAAACCTAGGTACTTCCCTGAAATCTAACAGAGCTGAGCTTTAGATTTTGAAACATTATATCCTCTGCTGGCCAGAAAATTAAGAAGAGCCTTACTGTCCTCCTGAGAGATTTCCTCAGGTGAGGAGCAGAAGAGAATGTCATCTATGTTTTGTAAAACTTTAACCTGAGGATAAAAGAACTCAGAGAGGTCTTTGGACAATGCCTGCCCAAACAGATGGGGTCTGTCTTGGAATCTCTGAGGTAACACTGTCCAGGTTAGCTGGGTGGTTTGGTTAGAGGGTTCCTCAAATGCAAACAAATACTGGGAGTCATGGTATAATGGTATGCAGAAAGATGCATCCTTCAGGTCCAGGACTGTGAACAATTTAGTTCCCTCAAGTATTTGAGCTGGCAGGGTATATCGATTGGGAACCACCAGGTGAATTGGAACTACAGCCTCATTAATGAGACAGAGGTTCTGGACAAGTTTCCATTTCCCCTTTGTGTTTTGTTCCCCCAGTATCAGGGTATTACAAAGGCTATTGCAGGGTGTGAGGAGGCCCTGCATCTTCAAGTTATCAATGATGGCTTCTAGTCCTTTCCTAACCTCTGGTTTCAGGGGATATTGTCTCTGGTTAGAAAAGGAGGTGGGATCCTTAAGCTGGATCCCGACTGGTGTAGTGGTTATGGCTTGGCCAATTTTCCCTTGAATTGCCCAAACTTCTGGGTTAATATTGGTCTCCACTAGGGGAAGGAAAAGAGTTTGTCCTGGGGCCATCATGATGGTGGTCCCCATATGGGCCAGAATATCTGTGCCTAACAGAAGAGTTGGGCTTTCAGGCATAATTAGAAAGGCACGGGTGAAAAAGAGGTCTCCCCAACTACAACAAAGGGGTTGTATATTGGGAAAAATATTGGGTTAAAGACCTTCCTGAGAAACCCCTCATTGACGTGCTAAGAGAGGAGGGGGGCCCTGGATTGGAGAGAACTAAGAGACCAGGCCCAGTGTCCAGAAGGAGGTCTACTTTCCTCCCTTCAACTTCCAGAATTACCTGGGGGTCCTGTGTGGTAATGGTGGTCTGGATCACTGGAGCCAGGGAGAGGAGCCCCAGGACCCATCAGTTCTGCTGGACCACTGGGAGACTGGCTCTGGGCCTGGTGACCTGACCTGCTTCTTTGGGGACAGTTCACCCTCCAGTGATCCCCACTGCAGATTGGACAGGGTTGAGGTGGCTTCCTTATGCTATCCGGTCAGCCCTTTTCAAAATGCTCTGGCTTACCACATTTGTAACAGTTAGCAGATGCGTCTCAGGGATTCTGGAGTTTGTGGGCTTGAAAGGAGGCCATTAAGGCATCTGCCTTTATCTTGTGTCTCTTTTCTCTCTCTCAGGCTTCCTCCCTATCTCTGTTATAAAAGACCAAGGTGGCCACTTTCAGGAGGTTCTCTAAAGTACTGTCTGGTCCCGTGGCTTGTTTCTGCAGCTTTCTGCTGATATCAGGGTCTGCTTGAGTAATAAAATGTATCCTTTAAAATTAGTTGTCTCTCGACTGAATTAGGAGATAGAGAGGTGTGCTTTACTAAGGCCTTTCTTACCCTTTCCAGGAAGGCAGCAGTATTCTCATCAAAATCCCTGGTCTCTTATAGATAGTTTGGAGTAGTTGAGAGGTTTAGTTCTGGTCCTTCCTAAGCCCTCCATTATACACACCTGAAAGTGTTTCCTCTTCCATTCTCCCATTCCATCACTGGGATCCCATCTAGGGTCATCCAATGTTACTGCTTCCCTTCCAATTGGATAAGGCTTATACCTTTCCCTGATACTATATGAGATACAAAGCTCATTCCCAAATCTCTCTGCCACTTGCAGAGTGGCCTGCTTCTCAGTGTCAGTCAGGGTTTGATTCAAAAGTAACATAATGTCTTTCCAGTAGAGTTCAAATACTTGGGTTAAATTCTGGGAAGCCTCTATATACCTGTCACGGTCATCTGAAAACTTGCCAAGATCCCCCTTAATTTGCCTTAAGTCTTGTAGAGAGAAGGGGACCTGGACCTTACTGGGACCATATTCACTAGGCATCTGTTACAGGGGCAGGAATGAGACACGGGGCCTGTCTAGAGTGAAGATTTCTAGGATGGGGTGAGAGAGAGAGGGGAACTGGATAGGGAGGAAGAAGAGGACTGGATAGGGAGGATGAGGTAGACCCAGAGGAGCAGGGCCAAAGGGAGTTAGCTTCCCTCCTGGAGGTGCCTCTGGGGTTTGTTTCTTTTGTTCCCTGGGATTGCCCCTTGCAGCCTCTCTTGAGAAGGCAAACAGGATGCCCGGATCAATCCTACAGTGTTGGCAAAGGTCTGGATTACCCTGGAAGGTAAAGAAAGACTGCACATATGGGGTCTCATACCATTTGCCTCATTTTGCATTTACAGGAAAGATCCAGCTGCAGGATGGTGTTGAAATGAATGATTCCTTCCTGAGGCCAAGCCAGTCCTTCCTGCAAATCATAATTTGGCCAAACCTTTGTGCAAAGGGCTATGAGACATTTTTTTTCCTCAGAGTTTGAGGGTCAGAGCAATCCCAATGACTCAGGATACACTCCAGAGGAGTACAGACTGAAGATGGTGAAGATGGTTACCCATCTGAAAGAGAGAGGGAAACAGCTGTCCCTGAGTTCCATTCTCTCAGCAAAAACCCGGGGTGTGTCAGGGAGAGAGAAAAGGGCATTCCCCTTTCGCTTCCATCTTTCCATCCCTGAGTCATGGCGACCCAGATGGGATGCCATCCATGGGTGCCAGTGTGACCTGCACCCATGAAGCAGAAGGGCCTAGAAGGCAGGAGTTATTTACATTTACATTTACCTGCACTGTCTATCCCCCACAGTGTTGGTAACATTTGAGTTCCTTGGGCCTCACTTATGCCATGGTTAATAGTGCGACCTCCATCCATGAACCAGGGGCTTAATCAGCAGGAATTAGTCTGGCCCACCCACGCTGTCTATCTTCCTTAGTTGCCTGCCTTTGGATCCCTCAGATCTAGTTTTCCTTTCTAGGGCTTCAACCTGAAGCTTGGGTTTGAGTTTGCAGGGCTATGTGTTAACTCTTGACAAGGTGGAGAAAAGGAAAAACAAACAAACAAACAAACAAAAAACAGCTTAAGTGCAAGAGGGGGGAAAGGCCTGGGGGAGAAACCTTTTGCTCTATGCAAATGGATTCCTTTAACAGGAAAAGGCTCTTAATCACTGTGTCCTCCTCTTCGTTCAGACTGAGCTGGGCCCCTCTGTCATGGGAGGAAGGATTCCGTGGGAGCGTGTAGGTACGAGGGGGCAGAGAGTGGGCAATGTTGACCAGCCGGTTGCGCAGGGCCCCCAAGACTGCCCTGGAGCCCCTGCCTTGACTGCAGCTCACTCCCACCCGCCATGGTCTTTGGGTGCAGCATGCATGCCGGGGACATGGCCATGCACCCCAGCTGGTAGGGCGGCTGGTGGGGTGAGGAGCTGCCCTCTGCCCATCCGTCTGTCCTGTGCACCTGTGGCTGTTTGGATGGGGAGGCACCTCTAAGAACAGATGGAAATCGAATTGTTCTGAATTGCATAACTGATGGCTGGGCCAAAGACTCATTCTACTTAGTTATATTTCTGCAGTTTACAGCAACAGCCTTAACATTATAAAAGAAGAGATAGGAGCCATTTCAAAACCATGAAAGAAGGAAGTAAAGACACCATAGAAAAGTCTGGGGGTCTTGGCCCATGCCCTAATGGGTGGTCGGGGATGGGAGCCAGTCTAGGGGCTTTCCAGCAACACAGAGGAGTGGCCTCGGCCAGATGCCTTGAATTGCCCCAGGACCTTATCCCGGTCCCACGAGACTGCTAGACCTCCGTGAAGGGAAACAAAGCTAATATTCCTTTCTCCCGAAAGAAAGAGAAGTGGCAGAGTCACATCTTGTCCTCTGTAGCTGTCCCATTTGCCTTTAACTGGCCACTCAGGGAGGTTCGGTGCATCACCTGTCTTCAAGGAAAGTCTGAGGACAAGAAGTCTTGGGAAAAAAGTGAAGAGACAGATCTGCATTTACTCACCCTTCTGATGAATCCCAGGCAAGCCCCCAGATGATGCAGGAGTTTTTCTTGACTCCTTCGTCGGACTTGTGATGGGGGTGCTCCGTTTACTGGCCCCCCCTTGTGCTCAACCTCTTGCAGGAGGGAGTGCTTGAGCCAGCGAGTGTGGGATCCCGCTGGCTGCTTTGCATTCCCTCCCTCAAGAGGTTGAATGCCTCGGGCTGAGTAAATGGTTGCAAGTTCAATGAAGGGATCAAGAAAGACTCCTGCATCGCTGGCCTCAAGTGATCCTCCTGCCTCAGCCTCCCAAAGTGCTAGGATTACAGGCATGAGCCACTGCGCCTGGTCTCTACTATCTTTGCATCACTGGTATGGGGGCAGCAAAACAGGGTTTGGAGGCAGGGAACATAAGGCCGATCCACACTTCAGCTATAACAGGAAATATTCAGCTGGGTGGGGTGGCTCACGCCTGTAATCACAGCACTTTGGGAAGCTGAGGCAGGCAGATAATCTGAGGTCAGGGGTTCGAGACCAGCCTGACCAACGTGGCAAAACCCCATCTCTACTAAAAATACAAAAAATTAGCTGGGTGTGGTTGGTGCTTTTATTCCTAGCTACTCAGGAGGCTGAGGCAGGAGAATCCCTTGAACCTGGGAAGCAGAGATTGCAGTGAGCCAAAATGGAGCCATTGCACTCCAGCCTGGGCGACAAGAGCAAAACTCCATCTCAAATAAATAAATAAAACAGGAAATCTCCTCTCCATAGAACATATAGCAAATAAATGACTTTGTGACTTTACTTCATCCTCTTCATTTACCTAGGACATACCCCAAGTAGAGGGTATTTAAACTCATAAAAACTCTGTAACAGGGCCTTTGAGCCCCTATGCTCAGGCTTGCTCCCACACCATGGAGTGTACTTTCATTTTCAATAAATCCCTTCATTCCTTCCTTGCTTTGTGTGTTTGTCCAATTCTTTTTCAAGATGCCAAGAACCTGGACACCCTCCATCATTAACAGTATGGTCATGTGAGAAGGCATCTGATGGGAGCCTCTGGATTCTCTTCATAGTTCCTTCCTGCTCCTGCTGGGTTTCAGCATACCTAGTTCCCTTTGAGAGTCAGGATCGACCCTTTTCACCAATTTGGAATCCACCTTGGTTTTTGTTTGTCTTCCGACTGGCATGAGGATCCTGAGTATAGCCATCATTGACTGTGGAATCATTCCTTCCTGGGTTCAAAGCCAGTGGAACCCAGAGTCACAGAGATGGGAGCATAAATTTGGAAAGTGGGTCAGTAGGAGTACTAATAAAAGGTGACAATCCAATCTCTGTCCCTTGATTCCAGATCCTTGTATTCTGGCTGTGAGAGCAACAGTTACATATATTCACTGAAACTTGAATAGCTATAGGCCATCCTATATTCTTTAAAACCAGCTGCTTCAGATTAATGGTGAATACACAATAAAAGCTGCAAATCTCAAGGGCATGAGATTATTACCTATCTGTTTTCACTGTAAAATTAATTCCTTGGTCATAAATAATGATGTATGTGATACCATGAAAGTACCTCCATAGATGGTGTAGCTGGCAGAAGCATTGTGGGTAGATTTGGTGAAAATACATCATTACCCAAAGGACGGGGTGGTCCACCTAAGGAATGGGGAGTTTAGGGTTGGTCTCTGCTGCTGGCAAATTTAGTACTTATAATGGCAGTAGTCAAGTCAGTTTTGCTAAGGGAAAATATTTTGTTGAACTCCTGCATAACCTCCACTCCTGCCACCATGCACTTTGTTTTTGAATCCTTTGAATAGCAATGGAGTAGCTGGGGAAGGAAGCAGATAGAGCAGGTCATCTTTCTCATCTGACTAATTAAGCGTTTCCTCCATGGGAGGAAATTTCTGTTAAGCATTCACATGGAACATAAATATTCTCAGACTCTGAGCCCATTCAAAATGTCTATAATAAACTTCTTTCCCAAATCTTTCTGTCTCAATATTCAAATCTTTCCTACCACAACTCTGACAATTGAGTTATACCATTAACATTTTCTCATCACGCCAGTTGATATTAAATTCAGCTGCATGTAACAGAGAAAACTCAAAGTGTGGGATAAACAAAAATAAATTTATTATTTTCTCACATAGAAGAAATATTGAGCTAGGCTATCCAGGGCTGATATTGCCTCATCATATTTAGGGTGTGGTCCTTGTCTTTTGGTTCAATATAGCTTCTAGCACTCCAATCATCATGTTTACCTTCTAACTGGCAGAAAGGAGGAAAGAGGAAAATAGCTAACTTTGATTTCTTTAATAAACCTTTCTGGAAGCTACACACAACATTGCTGTTCAAATCTCATCATTATTCACATTGGCCCACATCAAGCAATGTGCTCAGTTAAAGTCGCTAACAATGAAGAGGACAATAGATCAATAGTTGCCTAACAGGTTTCAGGGACGATTTGGTTTGCCCAGATCTGTTTAGACACTACAAATGCTGTCTCCACCTGATTAAAATCAAATATTCATTATCATTTTCCTAATACAGATCTTTTTCATTCTAGCCAATTGGACATATAGGTGGACACGTAATAGAAATCATCCTCCTTCCCTGTATAAATAAAATATTTCATGATGTCTCCTGTTGGGGTGATCAGACCCAACACCAGGACATAGGGGTGACAAAGTCTGGTGGAGTCAAAGGAATGAGAAAACGAGTTTGAGAGAGAAAGTGGGACCAGGGGGCCATTGTGAGTGTGGAGGCTGTGAAGGCCCCAAGCTCTGGGAGTCCACGCTATTTATTAGTGTTCAAAGAAACAGGTGGTGAGGATGTGGGGGTTGAAAGGAAATGGTGTATCAAGTGAATGAGAAACATATGGCTACTTGAGATAATGGGAGTGCTAGAAGCAAGGAGTCAGCAAGTCTAGCAGACATGCAAGCCCTGCCTCAGCTTCTCTCCCAACACTCAGCTTTTCTCCCAACAGGCTCTGAACTATGTAATTTCTTAGAAATGGAGAATTGCTTTTGGTTTATTGTTTTGGAAGGGAGTAGAAACCACACAGGTTCCTGTTGGTCCTGTCTACTAAAATAAGGAGTAAAATAGGACAAAAATGGTCCTCACTCCTTGTGTCAGGAAGCCAACACAAGTATTCTTGACTTGATTAGGCTATCTATATTTTTAGCAATCATGCGATATTTTAGTGGTCCTGTGTCCAGAATTGGTGGGTTCTTGGTCTCTCTGACTTCAAGAATGAAGCCGTAGACCCTTGCAGTGAGTGTTACAGTTCTTAAAGATGGTGTGTCTGGAGTTTATTCCTTCAGATGTTCAGATGTGTCCAGAGTTTCTTCCTTCTGGTGAGTTCATGGTCTTGCTGACTTCAGGAGTGAAGCTGCAGACCTTCCCGGTGAGTGTTACAGCTCATAAAGGCAGCATGGGCCCAAAGAGTGAGCAGCAGCAAGATTTATTGTGAAGAGTGAAAGAACAAAGCTTCCACAGTGTGGAAGGGAACCCCAGCGGGTTGCTGCTGCTGGCTCAGGTGGCCTGCTTTTATTCCCTTATCTGGTCCCACCCACATCCTGCTGATTGGTCCATTTTACAGAGAGCTGATTGGTCCATTTTGACAGAGTGCTGATTGGTGCATTTACAATCCTTTAGCTAGACACAAAAGTTCTTGAAGTCCCCACCCGATTAGCTAGACACAGAGCGCTGATTGGTGTGTTTACAAACCTTTAGCTAGACACAGAGTGCTCATTGGTGCATTTATAATGCTTTAGCTACACAGAAAGTTCTCCAAGTCCCCACCCATCCCAGAAGCCCAGCTGGCCTCACCTCTCACTAGCACTCACCATGGGACTTTGCGGCACCTAGCTCGTCCCAGACAACCAAAAGGAGAAGAAGAGATGTGAGAAAGAGAAGGAGACCTGCCACCATGGCCAATGACCCCGTGAAGAGGGAATGGCGGTCCATGCACAGGACCCAGCCTCCAATCAATCACAGCAGGTGCCAGCTGGTAGTGCCAAGTGCTGGGCCTGCTGGGCCCATGCCCATTTGGAACCTGCACCAGCCTACAAGTGCCACGTGCCGCCCCGGCTCCCACCCGCACCTCTCCCTCCACACCTCCCTGCAGGAAGAGGGAGCAAGCTCCGGCCTTGGCCAGCCCCAGAGAGGGGCCCCCATAGTGCAGCGGTGGGCTGAAGGGCTCCTCGAGCGCAGCCAGAGAGGACGTCAAGGCTGAGGAGATGCTGAGAGTGAGTGAGGGCTGCTAGCACGTTGTCACCTCTCAATCCCCCCTCTAAACAGGACACCCCAACTGCTGTTGGGAATTTGGCCAATGACCACTCTAGCTACTTCCTGCTGGATAGGGGCAAAGAAGAGGCCCTGCAGTTGTAGGGTCCTCCAGAGGTGAACTCTTTAGGCCAGCAGAAGGGCCAGCAAGTTGGTCCAGCTGTCCTCGGTAGAAGTTGTTAGTTGAGCTCATTTGGGGTTCCATTTGTAAGACCATCTGTAGCATGATGACCTTGATTCTAGAGGAAACAAATTGACAAGAAGGTTAAAAACACAGGGTCCAAAGGCAAGTAACAGCAAGATGGCTGCCACGGGACCTAGAAAGGGGAGAAGGCATGTTGCCCAGCTCCAGAGGTTGGTATAAGAGTTTGAAGGGTGTTGTCTGATTTCAGAAGCCTTTTCCTGTAAATGCCAGGCAGCATCTCATACTGGTTAGTGTAAAAACAACACTCTTCCCCTAAGAAGGTGCAGAGTCCTCCTTTCTCAGCAGTGAGGAGGTATACACCTCAGCAGTTTTGGAGAGTCACTGCTGCCAAAGAGTCTATTTGGGACTGTAGAGTAAGGATAGATTTCATTATTTCTTGCAAACTGTCTGAGAAATCCTTTGAGAGTGTGTGGTAGTAGGATAATGAAGTAGATAAACTGGCTATTCCAGTTCCTGTAGCAGTAGCCATTCCTAACCCTATAAGTAGGGGTATTAGTTGTATGGCTCTGTGCTGATGGACTTGAGCTTTGAGGGGTACTGATAAGGTCTGATTTCCTGGGGCAATGTTAATGTTGGGACTTAGAAAGACTAAGATGCAGGTGTCTGTCCAGTTAGTGGGGAGGCAGATATAGGTCGATGTTCCACATAAGAAGAATATACCGTGGCTGGGTAGACAGAAATTTACCCTGGCTTTTAAAGGAATAGGGTACACTGTTTTTTCTTTATTACTTCTATCTCTCTCTCTCTCTTTGACTCCTTTGTCTCTTCCTCTCTTTTCTTCTCTCTTAAACTTTCTGTCTCTTTCTCTCTTTACTTTCTGTCTCCTTCTCTTTGACTTCCTATCTTTCTCTCTCTCTCTCTTTCTGTCTATTTCTCTCTTTCCTTCTTTGACTTTGTCTCTCTTTTTCTCTCTGCTGGTCTTTCCCTGCTGCCAGCCGCTTATGCTGCTGTTCTCCCTCTCTTTCCCCTTTCTGATGGCTTTGGCAGTGTAAGACTGCCACCTCCTTGGGTTTTTGTCCTCTGGGGCAGTGCACCTTCCAGTGATTGCCTCGGCATAGAGCACATGGATAAGGGGGCGGCTTGTTTCTCATTGGACAATCTTTTTTAAAGTGTCCTTGTAAACCACACGGATAACAAGCCCTACCAGGTGATTGGCCTGCTCCATTTTCTGTTCTTTCTGAACCACCAAGGTTTGTTTGTCTGAGGGCCATGACTAAGCCTACAGTCTTTCTCTGATCTCACTTTTCATTTTGGGCCTGTTCCTCTTGGTCCCTATTATAGAACACTGAGGTTTCCAGGTTTAATAATGCCTCCAGATTTTGTTCAGGGCCCAGGGCTTGCTTTTGGAGCTTTCTCCTGATATCTGTGGCTGATTGGGTAATAAACTTAGCTTTTAGAATCCATTGAACCTTGAGTGATTCGGGTGACAGGGGAGTATATTTTCTTAAGGCCTCCCGTAGCCACTCAAGGAAGGCAGAAGGATTTTCTTCATTTCCCTGAGTTATGGTGGACATCATTGAATAATTCATGGACTTTTTCCTAATTCTCCTTAGTCCTTCTAGAACACAAGTCAACAGATGTTTACGACTCCAATCCCCATGATCTCAGTCAAGGTCCCAGTGGGGACCCATACTGGCGATGGCTTGGTAACTGGTAGGGAATTTATCCCTTTCTTTGGCTGTCATTCTATCATTTACTTGACTAAGATACCAGGCATCTCCAAACTCTCAGGCTGCAGCTAAAGCTGCATTCTTTTCATTAAAGGCCAGGGTTTGATCTAACAGTAGCATGACATCTCTCCAAGTGAGCTCAAAGGTTTGCCCTAGACCCTGTAGGACATCTATGTAACTATCAGTATCATCTGAAAACTTCCCCAGGTCTGCCTTGATCTGCTTTAAATCAGAGAGGGAGAAGGGGACATGTACCTGGGTTGGCCAAATTCCCCTCCCTCTACAGCTTGCAGGGGACATAATGGATAGCCTGGGGGTTTTTGTGGTCCTTTGGTGATTTCCTTGCTTATTTCCTTCTGGGCAGGGGAGATTAGAGGAGGATTATCATTAATAATAAGGGGAGCTATATGGAGGCTAGGATATGGGGGTAAGCTGAGAGGTCCTCCTGTGGAATGTAAATTGCAAGCTTTGCATAGTTGTGTATTCTTCTTCAATGAAAAGAAAGCTTGGACATAATGTATTTCACTCCATTTGCCTTCCATCTTACAGAAAAGGTCAAGTTGTAGGATAGTATTGTAATTTACACTTCCCTCAGGTGGCCATTTTTCCCCATCAGAGAGAGAATATTGGGACCAGGCTGTAGTGCAGAAAATAATGAGCTGCCTGTTTTTCAGGGTTTGTGGGTCAAATTGGTCCCATTGGCTTAGGATGCATTTCAAGGGTGAGCCTGTTGATGCCTGAGTGTTTCCCATCTGAAAGACAAAACCGCCCATGGTTTTGGTTTGTTTTGTTTCTCCCCCCACCCTAGAACCCACAACGGTCCCTGGACCCTGCTGATAGGAATAGTTGCACTCACTGATGCAGCAGCACAAACAACCCCTGCCCAAGAACCTGCAACAGTCCCTGGACCCTGCTGATCGGAATAGTTGCACTCACTGATGCAGCTGCAGAAACAACCCCTGCCCAAGAACCCACAATGGTCCCTGGAGCCTGCTGATCGGAATAGTTGTGCTCACCAATGCAGCAGCAGAAACACTAGTTTTCCTCCCAGACCACAAGGAGGACTGAGGAAGGTCAGATTTAGTGGCCCTTACCAACGCATTCTCGAAAACCTGCACCCTTGCCTGTCCTCCTAGACCACAAAGAGGACTGAGAAAAATTGGATTTAGTGGCCCTTACTGATGCATTCTTGAAAACCTGTTAGAGTCCTAAGCATTCTCCTGTTAGTATTGGGACCTTAACTGTGTCCTATAAAGATGTTATGCCCCAAAAATGAAGTGGAGGGCCATACTCTGAGTGAGGGACCTCCAGAGTTGGAAGAGTGACACCTTTTGTCCTCACTTATGTGAATAGGAAGGATAAAATTTCTGAGGCTCCCCATATCCTAGCTTCAGGAATAGCTTTTGTTAGGCCTGCTAGTCTGAGGAGGGATCCTAAAATTCCAGATAGTCCCCCCTATGACGGGGCTTTGGGCAAAAATTATGTCTTTCTGATTGGTGAGCCTGGGTACCTAAAGAAGGTACAGAGTCCTGGAGTGTATACTAGAAATCATTCTTACAGCAGAAACTAGAAAAGCACCAGAGACAGGGAGTTATTTTTAGAAGCGGGACTAGCCTTGGAGAAGAGAGGCAAGAGGAAGTTTGTCTGGCAGGCATTAGGACCCAGGAGGCAAGCGTTAGGGTAGATAGACTAGATGGGCGAGTCTCACTGGGCAACATGACTTTGAGAGTTCCACTCATGGCCGCAGGGCCAACCAACTTATTGTCAGGACCCCGGAGCTGAACGGCTTTCCTCTCTGTCAAACTTCAGCTCAGCCCAGAAGTACAGGAAAAGTGGAAGCTGGTTCCAGGCAATCCAATGCTCCCAACTCCAAAGAGTCGAGGGTTGTTAGAGAGCCCTTTCCCAGAAAGCCTGACACCCGTGTCTGTAGTCTGGCGGCTGCACTAGTCACTTTTAACTGGCCAACAGGTGCCCAGTATTTAGCCCCCAAATTCTAAGGAAAAATAGGACAGAATAGCAAGTGAAAGGGGTCCGATGGTATCCACTGCTTGGTGATAGGCAATAGTCTCACCACTTGGTGATAGGCAATGGTCTCACTGCTGGGTGATAGGCAATGGTCCCTTCATGGTTGGCAAAATGTGTCCAGAACTGGTGGGTTCTTGGTTTCACTGATTTCAGGAATGAAGCTGCGGACCCTTGCAGTGAGTGTTACAGTTCTTAAAGACAGTGTGTCTGGCGTTTGTTCCTTCAGATGTTCAGACGTGTCCAGAGTTTCTTTCTTCTGGTGGGTTCAGGGTCTCACTGACTTCAGGAGTGAAGTTGCAGACCTTTGTGGTGAATGTTACAGCTCATAAAGGCGGTGTGGACCCAAAGAATGAACAGCAGCAAGATTTATTGTGAAGCGTGAAAGAAAAAAGCTTCCACTGCGTGGAAGGGGACCAGAACTGGTTGCCGCTGCTGGCTCAGGTGGCCTGCTTTAATTCCCTTATCTGGCCCTCCCCACATCCTGCTGATTGGTCCATTTTACAGAGTGCTGATTGCTCTCTTTTACAGAGAGCTGATTGGTCCATTTTGACAGAGTGCTGATTGGTGCGTTTACAAACCTTTAGCTAGACACAGAGTGCTGATTGGTGTGTTTACAATCCCTTAGCTAGACACAAAAGTTCTCTAAGTCCCCACCTCATTAGCTAGACACAGAGTGCTGATTGGAGTGTTTGCAAACCTTTAGCTAGACACAGAGTGCTGATTGGTGCGTTTACAATCCTTTAGCTAGACACAAAAGTTCTCCAAGTCCCCACCGTCCCAGAAGCCCAGCCTTCTTCACCTCTCACTAGCACTCACTGGTGGACTTTGTGGCACCTAGCCCGGGCACTCTGGCAGCCCAGAGGGAGCTTGTCCCAGACAACCAAGAGGAAAAGAGGGGAAGAGAGAAAGAGATGGAGACCTGCCATCGTGGCCAACAACCCCGCGAAGAGGGAATGGCAGTCCATGCATGGGACCCAGCCTCTGATCAAGCCTAGCAGGTGCCAGCTGGCAGTGCTGAGTGCAGAGCCCAATGAACCCATGCTCACTCAGAACTTGCCCAGGCCTGCGAGTGCTGCATGCAGCCCCAGCTCCCACCCGCGCCTCTCCCTCCATACCTCCCTGTGAGCAGAGGGAGCTGGCTCTGGCCTCGGCCAGCCCCAGAGAGGGGCCCCCACAGTGCAGTGGTGGGCTGAAGGGCTCCTTGAGTGCGGCCAGACTGGACACCAAGGCTGAGGAGGCGCCAAGAGTGAGCGAGGGCTGCTACCACATTGTCACCTCTCGGTCCCATTGGACCTCTGGTGAGGTGGATATTGTTAAAAAAAAAAAGTCAATATCATATGTCTTCTGTTATCTCTACTGTGATTGGTAGACTGCATTGATAACCTGGGAGTTCTGGGAGTTGGCGTTACCTTAGAGTCAGCGTACAATAGTTTTCGAAATATTTGGGTACTTTCCTTTTTTTCTAGTGCCAGGTTATACTGATGATTAGCTATAGGCCGCTTTGGAGAAGACTAGGAAGAATCATGGTACCCACTTGTGGTATTACTTTAGGTTTATTCATTCCTTCATGGAACCCAGATTTTTCTTCACTAATCCTTCACTGAGTCTGTGAAGGATTCAGGACTGGAAATTGGGCAAAGTCTTCCTAGTCTTGGGGTATTCTTAGGACTTGGTGTTTTCTTATTCAAATCAAGTAGAACCTCAGCAGTCTGACTTCACATATTTATTCCAGGGACTAAATAATCTATTAAAAATCACCAGAGTTCCATGTGGGTCAGACCATTTTGATTACAATGATGACTCATTGTTTATAATAGCAGGAAGTTGAGGGTGGGGGGTGAGGAAATCAAGGTTTCTAAGATAGAAAACTTAAGGAGGCCCGCACTCCTGGGGTATCAGAAGTGCCAAGCCCTTCTCTTGCACAACCTTGAGAGTGAATGCTTCCTTAAGTTTTGTGTCTTAGGTGCTTTAATGGCCTCACCCTAGACCTGTGTAAGAGTCATCATGTGCTTTGACTTTACCTCTGATTGAATACTGCTTCTTGGACTCCATCATCTCTAACATCTTGGATTCCTTCATCCCCACTGAAATTGAAGAGATAATTTCAATTGCAATCAATTGTGCAATGCGATTGTTTCCCTGGTTGTGTGTGCTGTGCTGCCCAGGCCCTCTCTTTAGGATTGGTAGCTAAGGGCTCTCAGCTGAGTTGCTCACCAGGAACTGCGCTCAGGTGAAGGAAGTCACCTTGCCAAGATCACACCCCTCCCTGGGGGTTAGCCTTCAACATGAAGCTATAAGGGTCTGCACACCATGCCTCAAAGGTGGCCATTCCAGCTCCAGAGCTCTTGGTGGGAACTACATTACAGTTCATCCCTCCCTCTTCCTCATCCTCTTGTTTTCACTCCCCCACACATGTAGAACAAGAGAACATTCACCAATAAACTTCCTACATGTGTATCTCCTCTCAGAGTATGTTTCCTGGAGGACCATATCTAAGGCAGCTTGTGCCAGGTATGGTATGAGGAAACAGATCCTATAATAAGATTTTGGATCAGGATCACCTGCCAGCTGACTGCTACTGAGGACAGCATCCTCTGTGGGAGTGAAACACTGGTAGACCCTGTCATACTGCAGTGGTGCATTCATTAAAACTTTCATGGCTGGTGTACACGATGGGATACCAATAGAAAAGAATCCAGCCATGGACTGCAGAAAAAAATGCAGAGGTAGGGGAAATACCACAGGTGTTTGAGAAGTTTAGGGGAAGTAGTAATTAACTGTGGAACTGAATAGCTATTCTGGGAGGCAATTAATGCAATGGAGTAAGACAATGGAAAACGGAGGCAGGGGGCATGAATCACTAAGGAAAGGCTAAGTGTGAAAGACAGAGGGCATCTCTGGTAGCATAGAAAGACTCCTCCTCAGCTGGAAGGCAGAAAAACCTGAGGGTTGGGCCTAGTGTGTAATTATAAGAATAATATCACTCCAGATGAGGTTGAATTCTCAGTATTAGAAAGTCTGTGACACCAAGATTAGGGTCCTGACTGGAAGGAGTGGTACATTATGACATGGGATGGGAACATCTGGGTCAATGCATTAGAAAATATTGAATCTCCATATCCTTCTGAACCTTCTAAGCCTGCAGAAAAAGCAAACCACTTGCTGTTAAAGGACCTGTGTTCCCTCCTTGCTTGAAGACAATGTAGAAGCCTCTTCCGTGCAAGACAATATGAAGCTCCTGCAGGATCTACCCCTATCTCATATCCCGGCTCCCAGCCTATTAATTAGGGTTTAATCACAATACAACTCAGCTGTGGAGGTGCTGGGTCTGCTAAGGAAGGATAGAGACTCTACCCTGAAGGAACTACAGGATTTCACCAACATGTACTAGCAGCAGCTGGGAGAATGTACATGGCAATGGATCCTGAGACTCTCTGGCTTGAGGGCTAAGAACACCATAGTGGGGAAATCCCTGAAACTCCTTGTCCATTGCTCACTGCCCCAGCCAAAAGAGTATTACATTGTCATAGTAAACAGCACGGATTGGTATCCTAAAGGATGCAGGGGTCATGGATTCCCTAATATCCCCATTTAATTTACAGATTTGGCCACTACGTAAACTCCCTGGAGGATTACAACTTACCAAAACTCAACGAGGTAGTATCTCCCAATGCAGCTGCTGTGTCAGATGTGGGTATCTTCACTAGCAAATGAACAAGGCTGTAAGTACATGGATTGTAGCCATTCTTGTCACGAAGGAGGATCAGAAACAGTTCCTATTCACTAGAGATGGATAACAGTGTACGTTCTTACCTTGAGCCACTTCTCTTTCCACATAAAGTGGGCAAACAGGTGTGTGGTCTAAAGTTCTGTTCATTGTGAATAGTGCCCCTTGCTGTAGTGTTTCAGGGCCACCTCCAGACAGGCAATAGCACAGCAGCTTCCCATTTCCAGCTCTGCACAGCTTCAGCAGCCCGTTATAATGGGCCTTACCATAGGTGTGATCTGAAGGCTAGGGACATGATGTTCCACTTAGAATGTATTTTTCTGCATTACACCAGTGGATTTTTGTCACCTCAAAACTTTGTTTAACGCTGGTCACCATAGTTTAATAGTGGAGCAACTGTTAGAATCATTAAGAACTGCTTGAGCTGGCACATTGAATCCAGACTCTTGGGCTAGGTTATCTGTATCAGTCAGGGTTCAACCAAAGAAATAAAAGATATAAGAGACGTATTGCATGGAGTTAGCTTATATGATTGTGGAGGCTGACAAGGCAAGTCCAAAATCCATAGGGCTGGTCATCAAGAATGGCAGGCTGGAATTTCTGGGTAAGAGGTTTAATTACTTTACACAGGTGGGATTTCTTCTTCCTTAGGAAAGCCTCAGTTCTGCTTTTAAGGCCTTTCAACTGACTTAATCAAGCCCACTCAGATCATCTAGGATTATCTACATTATCTAAAATAATCTCCTTTACTTAGTCAACTGATTATGGATTTTCATTACATCACAAAAAGCTTTTACAGCAGCACTTGGATTAGTTTTGATTGAATAACTGGGAACTATGGCCCAGCCATGTTGATCTATAAAATTGACCACCACAGTACCCATACCATTAAATTTAATCCCACTTAAAAACAAAATCTAAATGTTTTTCTTGTTTGATTGAAAATCCTTAGAATGTATTCTCATGTACATTCCCCAGATTTTTGCTAATGTAAATTAGTTAAGTATATAATTCTTTTGTGTTTAAGTCAGCCTCTTCAAAATTTGACTTTTTAATGGCAGCTTTTGGGAAATCCAGGATCTGACCCTAAATGTAGAAAGAAGTGGCCTGGAATCAAGAAAGGCTCAGTTGGCATGGAGAGTTTGAGGGGCTCCAAGTGCTACAAATCCTCTCATATGCCCCTATTCCTATTCTCAGATTGCCACTATTTACCAATCAATTCCTATCTTTCATATAGGAGACTTTAAAAGGCATTATTTTCAACTCCAGTTGCAACTCAGAAACCAGCAGGCCCAAACTTTGCTTTCCTTCTGGCTACTTCAGAATTAAGAAGCCAGAAGAATTAAGAATCCCTTGGTTTTAGTTTACATCTGAGTGAGAAAGACAAGGATTTGAACTTGTCATTCTATTTTTTTTTTTGTTGGGTCAGGGGGGGCGGATGGAGTCTTGCTCTGTTGCCCAGGTTGGAGTAAAGTGGCGTGATCTCAGCTCACTGCAACCTCCACCTTCTGGGTTCAAGCAATCCTTGTGTCTCAGCCTCCCGAGTAGCTGGGATTACAGGCATGCACCATCACACCTGGCTAATTTTTGTATTTTTAGTAGAGACAGGGTTTCACCATGTTGGCCAGGCTGCTCTTGAACTCCTGACCTGAAGTTATTTGCCTGCCTCAGCCTCCCAAAGTGCTGGGATTACAGGCATGAGCCACTGCACCTGGCCTTGTCATTCTATTTTTAAAGAGAAGTTCAATGCTGTTAGAAGCAGCTATCCCATTTCTACATCTCTGAATTTCTCACATCTTTTATACTCTTTGGAAGCAGGAAGACAGTATCAAAAAGTTTTGCTTCACATGGGCATGTTATTTCAGATGTCCATTGATAATAATTTATTTGGCCATCTTGCTACTATATACTATGAACTTCCAGATTCCTATCATGTGAATATTAATGAGACTTTGACTCATTCTGCCCCAGTTAATCTAGATAACCCCAGTTTTCTCACGTTTTCCTTAGAGTCTATTGCCTACAACACATCTGCTGGTGCCAATTTTTGTTTTGAACGGTATTCTTGGTTGCAAGCCAGGGAAACCAACTCAGGCATCTTAGCCAGAAAAGGAATACTAGGGCCTCATAGAATTGGCAGGATGCTGGAGACCAGGATCAGAAATTGAAACATATAAACCAAGGTAGCTTTGGGAAGTCAGGATGCTGGAAATACAATTGTCTCTTGAAGAACACTCTTCCCAGAATTTAGCTGCTGGGGTTGGCACCTCCCCGCAACTTTTGTTTCCTCTCTTACCATATGTTCTTTGCACACACCAGCTCCTTTTTGCCTTCCACCATGAGTGGAAGCAGGTTGAAGCCCTCACCAGAAGCAAATGCTGACACCATGCTTTTTGTACAGTCTGCAGAACTGGGAGGCAAATAAACCTCTTTTCCTAATAAATTGTCCAGCCTCAGGTATTCCTTTACAGTAACACTACATGGAGTAAGACAGAAGATACGTACTGAGGAGTGGGCTGTTGCTATAAAGGTACCTGAAAATGTGGAAGCATCTTTGGAACTGGGTTGGAAGAGTTTGGAGGGCTCAGGAGAAGATAAAAAAGTGAGGGAAAGTTTGGAACTTTAAGAAGTTCTGGTTAAGAAGACTGGTTAAATGGTTGTGACCAAAATGCTGATAGAAATATAGACAGTAAAGGTCATGCTGATGAGGTCTCAGATGGAAATTAGGAACTTATTGAGAACTGGAGCAAAGGTCACCCTTTTTTCCCCTTAGCAAAGAACTTGGCTGCATTGTGTCCATGCCCTGCAACTTGTGGAAAGCTGAATTGGAGAGTGATGAACTAAGGCATCTGGTGGAAGAAATTTGTAAGCAGTAAAGCATTCAAGAAGTGACATGGCTGCTTTTAACAGCTTATTATCAGATATGAGAGCAAAGGAGTGACCTAAAGTTGGAATTTATAATTAAAAGGGAAGAAGAGCATAAAAATTTGGAAAATTAGCAGCCTAGCCAAGTGTTAAAGAAGGAAAGAGCATTTTCATGGGAGGAATCCAGAGGTGCAGCTGAGATGCCATTTGCTAGAGAGATTTGCATGGCTAAAAGGGAAAAAGTCTCCTACAGCATTTTAGAAATATTTGAGGCAGCCCCTCCCATCACAGGCCCAGAGGCCTAGGAGTACAGAAAGATTTCAGGGGTCAGGCCCCAGCACCACTGCCCTGTGCCACCTCAAGATGCTGTTCCCTGCATGTTGGCCCCTCTGGCTCCAGCTGAGGCTCAAAGGCCCCCAGGTATTGCTTGGGCAGCTGCTTGGGAGGGTGCAGGTAGTAAGCCCTGGTGACTTTGTGACATTAAGTCTGCAGATGTGCAGAATGCAAGAGCGGTAGAGGTGTGGCAGCTCCACCTAGATTTCAGAGGATATATGGGAAGCCTGGGTGCCCACGGAGAAGTCTGCCACAGGGGTAGAGTTCCTGAAGAGAACATTTACTAAGGCAATGCTGAGCAGAAATGTGGGGTTGGAGCCCCCAAAGAGAGTCCCACTAGAGCACTATCTAGTGAAGTCCTGGGAGAATGGCTGGTGCCTTTGAGACCCCAGAATTATGGAGCTACCATCAGTGTGTGCCTTCAGCCTGGAAAAGCCACAGACATTGAACTCCAACCCAGGAGGACAGCCACGTGTGCTGCAATGGGCAAAACATGGGGGCAGGGCTCCCAGAGGCCACAGGAGTCCACCCCTTGCTTCGAGTGTGCTTCAGACAGGGGAGATGGAGTCAAGGGAGATTATTTTGGAGCTTTAAGATTTAATGTCTAACCTGTTACCCCTTTCTTTTGGCTGATTTCTCTCCTTTGGAATGGGAATGTTTACCTAATACCCATGCAGCTATTCTGTCTTGGAAATAAATAACTTGTTTTTGATTTTACAGGCTCACAAGCTGTAAGAAACTTGCCTTAAGTCTCAGATGAGACTTTGGACTTTTGAATTGATGCTGGAACAAGTTAAGGCTTTTGGGGACTATTGGGATGAAATGATTGTATTTTGCAGTGTAAGAAGGACATGAGATTTGAGAAGCCAGAGGTGGAATGCTGTAGTTTGTATATGTTTGTCTCCCAAAACTCATGATTTTTTTTGATAGAAACAATAAGATACTTTTATCTTCAAAGTACTTGATAAATTCACAGAAGAAAATAGTTTCTATATCCACCCATTACAGATTAAGAACAAAAGAGATTGGGAAAAGATCTGTTTAACATTTCTCTATATGATTGGGAAAATATCTAGCTTAACTTCTTTTTAAAAAATTTTTTTAAAATTTAAAATTTCTAATTTTTAAATTTTTAAATTATATTTTAAATTCTGGGGTACACGTGCAGAACGTGCAGTTTTGTTACATAGGTATACACGTGCCCTGGTGGTTTGCTGTATCCATCAACCCATCACCTACATTAGGTATTTCTGCTAATGCTGTCCCACCCCTAGCCCCCCACCCCCTGACAGGCCCTGGTGTGTGATGTTCCCCTCCCTATGTCCATATATTCTCATTGTTCAACTCCCACTTTTGAGTGAGAACATGTGGTGTTTGGTTTTCTGTTCCTGTGATAGTTTGCTGAGAATAATGGTTTCCAGCTTCATCCATGTCCCTGCAAAGGACACGAACTCATCTTTTTTATGGCTGCATAGTATTCCATGGTGGATATGTGCCACATTTTATTTATCCAGTCTATCATTAAATTCAATCTCCAATCTTAGAAGTGGAGTCTAGTGGGAAGTGTTTGGACTTGGGGACAGATCCCTCATGAATGTCTTGGTGCCATCCTCAGAGCAATGAGTGAGTTCTCACTTTGTAAGTTCCCTTGAGAGCTGGTTGTTTAAAAGAGTCTGGCACCTCCTTCCTTTCTTTCTTGCCCTTGCCATGGTGCCTCCTCTCCAGGGAACATCTCTCTCTGCACACACCAGCTTCCTTCCACTGCAGCCATGCATGGAAGCAGCCTTAGGCCCTCACTAGATGCAGATGCTGGCACCATGCTTCTTGTACAGTTTGCAGAACTATAAGCCAATAAACCTCTTTTCTTTATAAATTATCCAGCCATGTAGAGGCTTGTGCTTGTAATCATAGATACATGGGAGGCTGAGGTGGGAGGATTGCTTGAGCTCAGGAGTTCGAGACTAGCCTGGACAACATAGCAAGATCCCTCATCTCTAAAAAAAAATTAGCCAGCTGCAGTGGTGTGTGACTATAACCCCAGTTACTGGGGAGGCTGAGGCAGGAGGGTCTCTTGGGCCCAGGAGTTTGCAGCTACAGCAAGCTATGATCATGCCACCATACTCCAGTCTGGGGGACAGAATGAGATCCCGTCTCTTAAAAAAATTACCCAGCCTCAGGTATTTCTTTATAGCAACACTATATGGACCAAGACAGTGGGGGTTAAAGTGGGACTCAGGGAAAGAGTGAGGGACAGTGATTGGGTGAAACTCAATTGGGTGAAACTCAGATAAGTATTTAAAAGTGAAGTGAAGGTGAGGTTAAGGATGAAGTCAAGGTCAGAAATGGGGTGAGAGTTAGGAATGGGATAAAGGTTAGGAAAGGTGTGAGGGCCAGAAATTGTGTAAGGGTCAGGAATAAAGTGAGAGGCAGGGAAGAGTCATATTACTTATATATCAATGGCATCTTATCATTCTGCACATCAAAAGGTTCACAGCATCTACACAGTTTTGTCAAGTTATGAATCATTCTTAGTTGGGGATGGGCTTGATATGATGCATTGAGATTTGTCACCCATTTCATTCCCTTCTGTGTTCCTCTTACATCACAGTGTTTGGGAAGGCTAAAAATGAAACTCTTCAGATTCCCTTGCTATTAGGGTACTCGATGCATCTTACTTCCTCTTGAGACATTTGGAAAGCAGAAAGGGAGGAAGACCTTTATCCTTGTGGCAGTGGCAGCTGATGTGGGCATGAGTTTTTGAAGGACCCACAGTCATGATTTACAATTCAGCCACCATCTTGGAGAGGAAGGGACAGCTGTGACATTGGCAGTAAGGCTGGATGTTGTGGAAGTAGGTTCCTCATCTTGAAATTGCAGACATGGTGGTGTGACCTTGAGGTCAAAAGTCTAGCTGAGATCTCCAATTCTGCTCCTCCAGTCTTTCCAATCATTTTTTTAAAAAGCTGTAGTGTAAATAGTACATTTTAAACGGTATAATCACCCTATAACTTTTATTTCTGTTTTTTAAAAATAGTGTGCACCTATAATTATAATTAAGTTAATTTAGTGCAGACTGGGAAATATAACAAAAATTAAGCACATTCTCTGGGACTGGTATAATATTAACTCTGGAAATTTGGCACCCATCCCCACCTGCTAGAATTTGCTGGCATGGAAACACATTCCTACTCCTGGCACAGTGCCTAATGCAAAACAGGAGCTCAGTTCATGAGCACTGAACAGATAAATACCAGTAGAAGTAATAAACAGAAGTTTTATACCAAAATAATGTATAAAAATGAGCTTTAAGAAAAATAGGAGTCATGTAAGGAAGTTTGGGAGGGGTATAAAGGGAGTTTAATATTTTAATACAAAGCAACTTCCAATTATTTTTAAGCATCTAAATCTTTGTATTAAGGCCCTTCCTGTTTGAAATAACTATGGTGGTTTCCATTTTCTACAATCTTGAACGACACAGAGGACAGACAACTAATCTGAAGTAAGGAACGACAGAAAGGCTGACAAATTTACTAGGTTTTATAACTTCAATTTTTCAATGCTTGATTATCCCACAAGAGGGCTGATCCACGGCATTGCAACAGCATTGGCTACTGATTTGAAAACTCTTTGATACCTGCATGGGTAGAATATGGAGGACCCCATAAACATTGTTTCCCATTCAGGGTGGGGTGGAGGAGAAATTTGATTTTAGAATCTCTGGACCCCTAGGCTTTTTTTTTTTTTTTTCACACTGGGGGTGAGATGGGGATCTTAGAAAAGAATCACGAGATCAATTTGCACATTCCTTCATGGAAACCAGATAAATGTAGTCTGACTTTATAACAGAGCAAGGATGTCAGGGTGAGGTAGGGACTGAACAGGAAAAAAAGTTAATATTGAGTTAATGTTGATGCCCTTGTAGGTGTGAAGAGGGATTCCAGGAGAATATTTTGTTTTGTTTCTTTTTGTTGTTTCTCAATAGTTTGCTATTCATTGAAGGTGTTTTATAAATGCTAAGCCTAAAGACTCCATAACAAAAAAGCAATGGGATGATTTATACTTGACTTGAAGGAGTATCTATATTTGTTTTTAATATTTTTTAACCACATGGTTAAAAATACTAGTCCTTAGTTGCATCTCTTGCACCCTCAGCCCCATTCCCTAAGGAAAGTTCTAACTCATTTAATTTTTTGGAATGTTTGTGAATTAGGTTAGTGATCAGCTGCAGGTGACCTCATATGAACGTTAACAAGCTATACGCTATCCTATCTGTGGGTGCTTTGCCAGTGTTTATCTTCAGTTTCCCTAATGTTTGATGTCAGCAGAAATAGACATTTTCTTAGCATTCTGCTAATAGATTGTCAGTCAACCTTCCTTTATTTTGAGAGTAACAGGCACAAAATCAGGAATGGGGAAACAATTTAATACCCTCTCAATGAATTTAGCCCAAGTGGAAGTGGGAAACTTGATTTTGTTGATTTAGGGTAACACGATTTTCTCAGAATTCTGTGACACAGTTATTCCAGGATTTAAATCCCACCAGTTAATGATTATGTCCCTTCCCTATTATCTCCTTCCCTTCTTGGAAGGCTAAGCCTTCTTTGCGTGGCAGCATGGCAGAGGGATGTGCTGTGTACGGAACCTGGCCCTGGGGAGGGATGTTCCAGCTGTTCCGGCCTTCTGCCCTTGCTGGCCTCTGCTCCATAGGACTGGGTAGGCCTGGTCTTGTTCTTTACCTCCCTGCATCCCCTGCATCTTTACCTACTCTCTGGATCCCAGGGTTGTCTCAGACATACAGTCCTTGTTCAGCCATTGCCAGCATCTGCCTGTCATTCTGTGAGGCTTCTGCTGGTCTTCCAGCCCTTCCAGCTGTTTCTGCTTCTCTCCTGGGGGCATAGAACACATTCAGTGGCACCTGCATCTCACAGGTGATGGGCAGGCCTCGGCAAGGCTCCCTCATGGCCATCTGCCTGTGCACCTCCCGTGGCCATGGCTGCTCTGCTCCTCAGGTACCAGTTTGGATGGGAGAGTTCTTTCTGAGTGTGCAGTCTCTCTGAATATAACCGGGAAGCTAGGCAGTGACTCTCCTGATCTTTGGGTTTTCCCAAACCTACATGCGGTTTTAGTACGGGCTACCCCCTGACCCCAGGACTCAGAGCCAGGAAGCATCTATGCACCACTTATACCCCCTCCGGATCTCTCTGGTAAAATTTTTTATCCTCTTTTGGATACTCCTACATCTTCAGCATTATTTTCCCAATTTATTTATGGATAGACCCCTGCCTTCCAGCATTTTTCCTTAATATGTAAAGCTGATATTTTAGAATAAAAATAAATTTTCTCTTTTGGGATCCTGGTGTTTGTAAATCAAAAGCATTTTGGTTTTTAGACTATTGACTCTGCTACAGATCTACAAATACCTGCTTAGATTCTCAAAAGTAAAAAACAAGACTGTTCTCTTGGTATTAGCTCTGTTTAGAGCAGAAAACTGTTGCCGCTGTCTGAGTGGTAGGAAACCACCTGGACCATTCTGAAGAGTAGAGCTTAATAGAAAAAAATTATTTTGCTACATGAGATGACTCATTTTACTTTTGGGTATCATCCTTTTAGAAAATCATGTTGATAGAAAATAAGAATTAGAATTATTTTAATGCCTTTCTGGGGGCGGGTGATGAGTGGAAAGCTTTTGTCATCCTTTTTCTATTTCCTTATCCCTCCTTCCTGCCCTCTCCCCCTCCCTCCCTTAGTTTCAAGAGAGGCTAATCAGAATAGTTTTTAAGCAGAGCAGATCGTTTCCCTGAATAAAACAGAGTTCTGTTAATTAAGGACCAAGGGGAGAATGGATGTTGGATGGGCCACTAGGTGTCTCTGCTGCAGATGGCTTCCATGGCTCAGAAGCCCAGCTCAGTGGATGTCCTCCAGCTCCAAAAGCTGACAAAAGCTCAAAGCCCCATTGCTTGTATTTTGTCTGTGCTTTGAGCTTCTCTCCAGTCTCCCTGTGCGGACATCATCCTAGAACCATTACCTTAGTTCTCCCTCCATGTACCATGGGCTGGCTCAAGCCAGAGGAGCCAGATGTTTTTCCGGGCTTGTCCTTGGTTTCAGTTATTGGCTTGGAAGTCATACCTTTTCCTAGGGAACTCTTAGTGAAACTCACCAACTGTCCTTGAGCATGGTAGAATTGTTATTTTGATGGCTCCCTGTAAATCATGTTCCTGGTACTCACACCCTTGTGTAGTGTCTTCCCATATTGGCTGTGGTCTAGGCCATATGACATGCTGTGGCAAAGGGACATCAGCAAATGTCATGCCAAAGGGTTGATGAGCACTTGTGCACTGAGGCTTGTCTTCTTGGAACACTGTACACCACTATTTAAGAAATGCAGTCTACCCTGTTGGAGAAGCCGCATGGATGAGAACTGAGATGTTCCAGCTGACCACCCCGGGTATTCTCCAGACATGTGAGTGTGGCTCTCTTGGACCTTCTTGCTCCAGATAAACTGCCAGATGAGCAGATATTTTAATTCCTTTTTGATAGGCAGTGAGACAGCTCACTGTAACCATGCGAGCTCTCTTAGAGGAGACACTAGAAGAGCTGCCCATCTGAAGTTACCTGCAGAATTCTAAGTAAATAAATGGTTGCTGTTTTAAGATACTAAGTTTTGGGGTGGTTTGCTATGCAGAAATAGAAAACTGAGACATCCTGGATATTGTTCAGAGAAGTTATGGCTTGGGTAAGTGTTATGTGTTGTTCATACCCCTATCTGCAAAGTTGCGGTTTTAGCGAGCACTTGTTTACTTGTTTTTGGACATTAAGCGAGTACTTGTTTTTGGACACTATGCATCAATTTCTTCTACTTTTGGCACAATACTGGGATTTTACTTAGGGAAATCAATTATTCAATGTATCACATGCAGTTCCTTTGGCCACAGTGTTTGGACCAGAAGAGGTGGGTGACCTAATTGAGGACAATTAAAGATCAGATCCAAAACTTATGTTCAAACTCTCGCTTCATCCAGAAGACAGACTCTGAAGTTAGGAAAGATCTCAGGAAACTGGTTCAGCTTTTCTCTTTGGGAATGAAGACACACCTGAAAGGCGTTAGAAACATATTGAATTTGTACTGAAGGAATCCTCCTTGTAGAGCTGATGAGAATGTTAGCTGATGCTGCCATTTTGCAGAGTAATCTGGCTGTACTAAGTAAAATAAAACACATATACCTTTGAGCTAGAAACATGTATCCCAGGAAAATGCTCACGTAAGTCTAAAAGGGGACACCGATGAAGAGCTTCATCAGAGCAGTTTCTACTAACAGGGAAATAGCATAGGTGTCAAAAGCGAGGAGAAGGAATAAGTAAAACATGTTAGCATGTTATGCAGCATGCAAAAGTAATGATGTAGATTTTACACTTACTATTGTTAAGATCTGTCCATGCTATTCTCTGCAAAAATAAGAAATAGCACAATACAATTTCTATATTGGAATAATACATGAATGCACAAGAAAGACTCTTTTTCAGGAAATCAGATCTATTTACAGCATATATTAAACACATTAAGAAGAATCCTATGGAATGAAAGGAATGTGAAGAGAGCAACGAAGGGGCAAAGTAAAATAAGACAAGAACCTTGCAGATTGGAAATGAGAGTGTGCCAAGAATTGAGGATATAGCTAATTAAACATTTTTACTTGAGGTTAAAAAAGAACTCGAAGTGATTCACTAGTACATGAATGATTTGCAAATGAAGAAAATGTGTACACTTATATATACTTAGACATGAGAAATTACCCAAGAAGAAAGGCATTTCCATGTCATAACTCAAGACAACCAAGAGCCTGCCAAACAACAGGATTCAGGTTAAAATAGCTCTTACTATTTCTCCCAGGAAGTTAATTCATAAAGGAACAATAATAAAAAGGCTGACAAGAGAATATTTTTGTAGGATAGATGAGGCACAAAGACGAATATTTAAAGTGAAAGGAGTTACCAACAACTGAATAGGAACAATGTCAGCTTGATGAAATAAACTTCTCCACTAATGTGAGGGCAGAATTTGATGTTACAATATGATTACCAAAAATATGAGAGGGCAAATGTCAAGAATTTTCCTGATGTTTTTCTTATGGCATTCTATTCTATTTTAGTCTCATGCATCAGTTATCCAAGATGTAATACCAACTGGAATGTACTTGCTGGAAAGAAATAAAAAATTGTATCTCACAACATTGCACATCATGGTAATAGAAAATTTCCTCATTACCTTAAATTTCTGTTCCTAGCATAATAAAAGGGAACACACTGATTCTTCTTTAGGCTATTGCATTTTTCTCATTAGCAAGGAAATAATCAAGAATTAAGTATGGATTGGGGGTGGTGGCTCACGCCGGTAATCCTAGCACTTTGGAAGGCCAAGGTGGGATCGTCAGTTGAGCCCAGAAGTTTGAGACCCACCTGGGCCACATAGTGAGACCCCTGTCTCTACAAAAAAATAAAAAAATTAGCCAGGCATGGTGGCATGTGCCTGTAGTCCATCTACTCAGGAGGCTGAGACAGGAGAATCCCTTGATCCTGGGAGGTTGAGGCTGCAGTGAGCGGTGACTGTGCCACTGCACTCCATCCTGGGAACAGAGCAAGACCCTGTCTCAAAAAAAAAAAGGGATCTTTGATCTCTTATATTGTTTGTATAATCAGAAATCTAACATGACTGTATCGGAATGTTCTGAAAATTATGATTTTAGAAATACATACAAATAAATTTGTATATAAATGAGCTAATTTCACTTTGAATTATCTCTTTTTTCCTTTTATTGTTTCGTTCTTTCTCTTGTGAATTCTGTTTCTTTAACTTCTTTAAATTCTTATAAATTCTGTAAACTTTGCATTCTTTGGATTTATCATTGGTAAAATAAAATTTTAAGTGATCACATATTGTTCTTCAGGGAGGGAATGCAGGATTGAAGAAAAAACTCCCTTACGGAGTTTACATTTTAATGGCTTAATGCTGACTAATTTAGAATAGAAAATGTTCAATATTGTGATGTAATATGATCAGAAAAATGATTTTTATAAGGTGTTTTTGAAATTTGGTATATTTTTGTCCTGATAATGTTACTTTTGAACATAGCATATTTGCCTGCTGTAACACGATTGGCTATCACACAGATTTAAATATAACTTGGGCCACATCACATCCTCAAACAAAAGGAATGAATGTCTGATCCAAAAGGTTCAAGCCATAGAGCACCATAGTCCTTGACATACTGTAGATGTTTCAAAGGTTTCTTGAGTTTAATAAGAGCATTAAGCCCTGGGCCGGACATTTTTATAAGCTGAGTATTGAGTACATTAGTACATTCTACTCTTCTCTCATTATTTATAACACCCATGATCCAAAAGTTACATACACTCCCCGCAATGCAATCCTCTCTGTGCCTTCATACAATCTGCTTCCGGCTCTCCTTCGTCCTCAAAGTCCTGCCCCTTGCATAGCCACTTTTATTTTCACCCTTTCTTTTCTCGTTGCCTCTGATGGCTTCCTGTCTTCTCTTGCTCCTTCTAGTTCTCTCCAGCTGGAGGCAGCCTGAGTTTCTGGAGGATACTGAAAGCTGTTAAGGGCACTTGTGGGGTAGCAAACATGAGTCCTACTCTCTTTGTCCCATTATGTAAGAGAAAGAATATTGAACAAGTGCTGGTCTCAAGCTTACTTGGAAATATCTGAAGTTGGGATACCAGGGCCAATATCAAGGTGACTACTAAAAGGGTTCCCCCAGGGAAGCCACTGTTAACAAGCAAACATTATACAGTAAGGTCTGTTGTAATCAGGCAGTAGATAATTCCAAACAAATTACAACATAACAATATTGTCTAGAGTTTTAGATTCATTTGTTGATTCCATAAGCATTTATTGAACACTTACTTGGTGTAAAACTTTTTACCAGGCATTGAAGGGAATGTAATAAAAAGAGCTGCCATTTATTAATTTTCTACTGTATACTAAGCACTTTGCATCTGCTTTTTCTCAACCTTATTGCTACACCAGGATGATATCTGCGTTTTATTTATTTTTATTATTTGTCTAATTTTTAATTTTTGTAGGTACAGAGTAGGTATATATGTTTATGGGGTATGTGAAATATTTTGATACAGGCATACAATGCATAATAATCACATCGGGTGAATGGGATATCCATAACCTCAAGCATTTATCCCTTTGTTTTATTACACACAATCCAATTATACTGTTTTAGTTATTTTAAAATGTACAACAAATTATTGTTGACTGTAGCCACCCTGTGGTGCTATAAAATACTAGATCTTATTCATTTTATCTAAGTATATTTTTTACCCCATTAACCATCCCTATGTTCTCCCTCCCCCACCCTGTCCTTCCCAGTCTCTGGTAATCGTCATTCTATTCTCTGTCTCCATGAGTTCAATTATTTTAATTTTTAGCTCCAACAAATAAGTGAGAATATATTAAGTTTGTCTTTCCGTGCCTGGCTTAGTTCATTTAACATAATGGCTTCCAGTTCCATCCATGTTGTTGCACATGACAGGATCTCATTCTTTATTATGGCTGAATAGTAATCCACTGTGCATATTAACTACATTTTCTTTATCCATTAGTCTGTTGATGGACACTTGGGTTACTTCTCAATCTTCGCTATTGTGAATAGTGCTGCAATAAACATGGGAATGCAGATATCTCTTCAGTGTACTGATTTCCTTTCTTTTGGGTATATACCCAACAGAGGGGTTGCTGGATTTTACGGTAGCTCTATTTTTAGTTTTCTTTTCTTTTTTTTTGAGACGGAGCCTCGCTCTGTCGTCCAGGCTGGAGTGCAGTGGCACGATCTCGGCACACTGCAAGCTCCGCCTGCTGGGTTCACGCCATTCTCCTGCCTCAGCCTCCGGACTAGCTGGGACTACAGGTGCCCGCCACCACGCCCGCCCGGCTAATTTTTTGTACTTTTAGTAGAGACGGAGTTTCACGGTGTTAGTCAGGATGATCTGGATCTCCTGACCTCGTGATCTGTCCGCCTTGGCCTCCCAAAATGCTGGGATTACAGGCGTAAGCCACCACGCCTGGCCCTCTATTTTTAGTTTTTGAGGAACCTCCAACCTGTTCTCCATAGTGGTTATTCTAGTTTACATTCCCACCAACAGTGTACAAGAGTTCCCTTTTCTTCACTTACTCACCAGCATTTGTTATTGCCTGGCTTTTGAATAAAAGCCATTTTAACTGTGGTGAGATGATATCTCATTGTAGTTTTGATTTGCATTTCTCTGGTGATCAATGATGTTGAGCACCTTTTCACATACTTGTTTGCCATTGATATGCCTTCTTTTGAGAAATGTCTATTCAGATCCTCTGCCCATTTTTAAATCACATAATTAGATATTTTCCTATAGAGTTGTTTGAGCTCCTTATATATTATAATTATTAATCCCTTGTCAGATGGATAGTTTGAAAATTTTTTCTCCCATTTTACGGGCTGCCTTCACTTTGTTGGTTGTTTCCTTGGCTGTGCAGAAGCTTTTCAATTTGATGTGATCCAATTCATTCATTTTTTGCTTTGGTTGCTTGTGCTTGTGGGGTATTACTCAAGAAATCTTTGTCCATACCAATGTCCTGGATAGTTTCCCGTGTTTTCTTGTAGCAGTTTCATAGTTTGAGGTCTCAGATTTGATTTTTGTATATAATGAGAGATAGGGTTTTAGTTTTATTATTCTGCATATGGATATCCAGTTTTCCCAGCACCATTTATTGAAAAGGGTGTCCTTTCCCTAATGGATGTTCTTGACCCCTTTTTCAAAAATGAGTTCACTGTAGAGGTATGGATTTGTTTCTGGGTTCTCTATTCTGTTACATTGGTCTCTGTGTCTGTTTTTATGCTAGTACCATGCTGTTTTGGTTACTATAGCTTTACAGTATAACTTAAAGTCAGGTAATGTGATTCTTCCAGCTTTTTTTTTTTCTTTTTGCTTAGGATAGCTTTGGCTATTCCGAGTCTTTTGTGGTTCCATATAAACTTTAGAATTGTTTTTTCTAGGTCTGTGAAGAATGTCATTGGTATTTTGATAGAGATTACATTGAATATGTAGATGGTTTTTGATAGTATGGACATTTAAGAATATTGATTCTTCCAATCCATGAACATGGAATATCTTTCCATTTGTTGTGTCATCTTCAATTTCTTTCATCAGCGTTTCATAGTTTTCATTGAAGAGATCTTTCACTTCTTTGGTTAATTCCTAGGTATTTTATTTTATTTTTAGCTGTTGAAAGCGGGATTACTCTCTTGATTTCTTTTTAAGATTATTCACTGTTGGCATATAGAAATACTACTGATTTTTGTATGTTGATTTTGTATCTTGTAACTTTACTGAATTTATCAGTTACAATACCTTTTGTGGAGTCTTTACATTTTTCCAAATATAAGATCATATCATCTGCAAACAAGAATAATTTGACTTCTTCCATTCCAGTTTAGATGCCCTTTATTTCTTTCTCTTGTCTCCTCTGGCTAAGACTTCCAGTACTATGTTTAATAACAGTGGTGACAGTGTCATGTTCCATATCTTAGAGGAAAGGCTTTCAGGTTTTCCCTATTCAGCATGATACTAGCTGTGGGTTTGTCATATATGGTTTTTATTGTGTTGACATATGTTCCTTCTATACTCAGATTTTTGAGGGCTTTTTAAATTGTGAAGGGATGTTGAATTATATTCAATGCTTTTTCAGCATCAATTGAAATGATCATATGGTTTTTGTCCTTCATTCTGTTGATGTGATGTATTACACTGATTGATTTGCTTATGTTGAACCTTCCTTGTTTCCCTGGAATGAATCCTACTTGGTCACAATAAATGATCCTTTTAATGTGTTATTGAATTTGGTTTGCTATTCTTATATTGAGGATTTCTGCACCAATGTTCGTCAGAGATATTGGCCTGTAGTTTTCTTTCTTTTTTTTTTTTGATATGTCTTTTTCTGGTTTTGGTGTCAGGGTTAACACTGGCTGCATAGAGTGAGTTTGGATGTATTCTTTCCTTCTCGATTTTTCAGAGTAGTTTGAGTAGAATTGGTATTAGTTCTTCTTTAAATGTTTGGTAAAATCCAGCAGTGAAACCATTTGGTTCTGGGCTTTTCTCTGCTGAGAGACTTTTTATTATGGCTTCAACCTTGTTACTTGTTATTGGTCTGTTCAGGTTTTGGATTTCTTCATGGTTCAATCTTGGTAGATTGTATGTGTCTAGGAATTTATCCATTTCTTCTAGATTTTCCAATTTATTGGCATATGGCTGCTTATAGTAGCCTCTAATGATCCTTTGAATTTCTGTGGTATTGATTGTAATGTCTCCTTTTTCATCTCTGATTTTATTTATTCAGGTATTCTCTTTTATTTTTAGTCTTGCTAAAGGTTTGTCGATTTTCTTTATTTTTTCAAAACACCAACTTTTCATTTTGTTCATCTTTTGTATTGTTTTCTTTGTTTCTGTTTCATTTATTTCTGCTCTGATCTTTATTATTTCTTTTCTTCTACCAATTTTGGGTTTGATTTTCTCTTCCTTTTCTAGTTCTTTAAGATACATCATTAGGTTGTTTAATTGAAGTTTTTCTACTTTTTTTTGATGTAGGTGCTTATAGCTATAGACTTTCCTCTTAGTACTGCTTTCACTGTATCCCATGGGTTTTGGTATGTTGTGTTCCATTATCCTTTGTTTCAAGAGATTTAAAAATTTCCTTCTTAATTTCTTCATTAACCCACAGGTCATTAAGGAGCATATTGTTTAATTTTCATGTGTTTATATAGTTTTCAAATTCCCCTTATTTTTTATTTCAAGTTTTATTCCATTGTGGTCAGAGAAGATGCTTGATATAATTTCATTTTTTTTTTGAATTTTTAAAGACTTGTTTCGTGGCTTAACATATGGTCTTTTCTGTGCTGAGGAGAAGAATGAGTATTCTGCAGCCATTGGATGAAATGATCTGTAAATATCTATTAGGTCCATTTGGTCTATAATGCAGGTTAAGTTCAATGTTTCTTTGTCAATATTCTGTCTGGAAGATTTGTCAAAGGCTGAAAGTGGGATGTTGAAGTCTCCACCTATTATTGTATTGGGATCTATCTCTCTCTTTAGCTCTAATAATCTTTGCTTTATACATCTGGGTTCTCCAGAGTTGGGTGCATATATTTGCAATTGTTATATCCTCTTGCTGACTTGACCCCTTTATCATTAGATAATGACCTTGTTTGTCTCTTTTTATAGTTTTTATCTTAAAATCTATTTTGTCTAAGTATAGCTACTCCTGCCCCTTTTTGGTTTCTATTTGCATGGAATATCTTTTCCATCCCTTTATTTTCAGTCTATGTGTGTCTTTAGAGGCAAAGTGTGTTTCTTGTACACAATAGATGGTTGGATCTTGTCTTTTTAAATCCATTCAGCCAGTTTATGTCTTTTGATTGGAAAGTTTAGTCCATTTACATTCAATGTTATTATTGATAAGTAAGGACTTAACTCCTGCCAGTTTGTTATTAGTTTTCTGGTTATTTTGTGGTTTTCTCTTCTTTCATTCCTTCTTGTCTTCCTTTTAGTGAGGGTGATTTTCTGCAATGGTGTGTTTTAATTTCTTGCTTTTTATTTTTTATGTATGTGTTGTATGTTTTTTATTTGAGGTTACTATGATGCTTACAAATAATATAACCCACTTATTTTAGACTGATGGCAACTTAACACTGATTGCATAAACAAACTAACAAACAAGCAAAAAGCAAATGAACAAAAACTCTGCGCTTCATTTTTGTGTTTTTTATTATTTTATTTAACTTTAAATTCTGGGATACAAGTGCAGAACATGTAGGTTTGTTACATAGGTATACGTGTGTCATGGTGGTTTGCTGCACTTATCAAATTAATCCATCATCTAGGTTTTAAGCCCCGAATGCATTAGCTATTTGTCCTAATGCTTTCCCTCCACTCATCCCCTAACCCCCTGACTGGCCCCAATGTGTGCTGTTCACCTCCCTGTGTCCATGTGTTCTTATTGTTTAACTCCCACTTATGATTGAGAACATGCAGTGTTTGGAAAAACTCTGCACTTTAACTTCATCCTCCTGCTTTTTAACTTTTTGTCACTTGTATTTATATTTTCTTGTATTGTGTATGTCTTGAAAAGTTGTTGTAGTTATTATTTTTGATTAGTTTATGTTGTTGTCATTCTACTCGACATGAGTAGTTTACACACCACAATTACAATGTTATAATATTCTGTGCTTTTCTGTGTACCTACTGTTACACAGTAATAGGGAGTTTTGTACCTTCAGATGGTTTCTTATTGCTCATTAATGTCCTTTTCTTTCAGATTGAATCACTCCCTTGAGCATTTCTTGTAGGACAGGTCTGGTATTGATGAAATCCTTAGCTTTTGCACTACTGGGAAAATCTTTAATTTTCTTTCATGTTTGAAGAATATTTTCACCAGATATACTATTCTAGTTTAAAAGTTTTTTCCTTCAGCACTTTAAATATGTTGGGCTACTCTCTCCTGGCCTGTAAGGTTTCTACTGAGATGTTTGCTGCCAGATATATTGGAGCTCCATTGTATGTTATTTGTTTCTTTTTCTCTTGCTACTTTTAGGATCCTTTCTTTAACCTTGACCATTGGGAGTTTCATAATTAAATGTCTCAAGTTCTTTTTTGGGTTAAATCTGCTTGGTGTTCTATAACTTTCTTGTACTTGAATATTGATATCTTTTTCTAGGTTTGGAAAGTTCTCTGTTATTATCCCTTTGAATAAACTTTCTGCTGCGTCACTCTCTCTACCTCCTCTTTAAGGCCAGTAACTCTTGAATTTGCCCCTCTAAGGCTATTTTCTAGATTTGGTAGATGTGCTTCATTGTTTTTTTAAATTCTTTTTTCTTTTTTTTCATTATACTTTGAGTTCTAGGGTACATGCGCACAATGTGCAGGTTTGTTACATAGGTATACATGTGCCATATTGGTTTGCTGCACCCATCAACTCATCATTTACATTAGGTATTTCTCCTAATGCTATCCCTTCCCCAGCCCCCCACCCCCCGACAGGCCCTGGTGTGTGATGTTCCTCGCCCTGTGTCCATGTGTTCTCATTGTTCAATTCCCACCTATGAGTGAGAACATGTGGTGTTTGGTTTTCTGTCCTTGTGATAGTTTGCTGAGAATGATGCTTTCCAGCTTCATCCATGTCCCTGCCAAGGACATGAACTCATCGTTTTTTATGGCTGCATAGTATTCCATGGTGTATATGTGCCACATTTTAATAATCCAGTCTATCATTGATGGACATTTGGATTGGTTCCAAGTCTTTGTTATTGTGAATAGTGCCACAATAAACATACATGTGCATGTGTCTTTATAGTAGCATGATTTATAATCTCCTGGGTATATACCCAGTAATGGGATGGCTGGGTCAAATGGTATTTCTAGTTCTAGATCCTTGAGAAATCGCCACACTGTGTTCCACAATGGTTGAACTAATTTACACTTCCACCAACAGTGTAAAAATGTTCCTCTTTCTCCACATCCTCTCCAGCATCTGTTATTTCCTGACTTTTTAATGATCACCATTCTAACTGGCGCGAGATGGTATCTCATTGTATTTTTGATTTGCATTTCTCTGATGACCACTGATGATGAGCATTTTTTCAAGTGTCTGCTGGCTGTTTTTTTATTATTATTTTTTCTTTTGTTTCCTCTGACTATGTATTTTCAAATATCCTGTCCTCATGTTCACTAGTTTTTTCTTCTGCATGATCACTTCTGCTGTTAAGAGACTCTGATGCATTCTTCAGTAGGTCAATTGCATTTTCAACTCCAGAATTTCTCCTTGATTCTTTTAAATTATTTCAATGTGTTTGTTGAATTTATCTTATAGGACTGTGAATTCCTTCCCTGTGTTATCTTGGATTTCATTGAGCTTCCTCAAAACAGCTATTTTGAATTCTCTGTCTGAAAGATCACGTATCTTTGTCTTCCCAGGATTGATCCTTGTTGCCTTATTTAGTTCATTTGGTGAGGTCATGTTTTCCTAGATGATCTTGATGCTTGTGGGTGTTTGTCAGTGTCTGGGCATTGAAGAGTTAGGCATCTATTGTAGTCTTTGCAGTCTGGGCTTCTTTACACACATCCTTCTTGGGAAGGCTTTCCAGGTATTCAAAGGGACTTGGGTATTGTAATCTAAGTTTTTGGTCACTGCATCTGTATCTGCATTAGGCGGCATCCCAAGCTCAGTCATGCTGTGGCTTTTGCAGACTTATATAGGTACTGCCTTGGTGGTCTTGGATGAGACACGAAAGAGTACTCTGGATTACCAGGCAGAGACTCTTCTTCTCTTCCATTTATTTTCTGCCAAACAAACGGAGTCTCTCTCTCTGTGCTGAGCTGCCTGAAGCCAGGGAATGCTGACATAAGTATCTCTGTTGTGGCCACCACCACTGGGACTGTGCTGGGTCAGATCTGAAGCGAGCATAGCAGTGGGTATTGCCCAAGGTCTGTAGTAACCACTGCCTTGCTACCAGTTAGGTTCACTCAAGGCCCTGAGGCTCTACAATTAACAGGTGGAAAAGCCAGCCAGGCTTGTGTTCTTCTCTTCAGGATGCTGAGTTCCCCCTGCCCCTGGGTAGGTTCAGAGATGCCATCCAGGAGCCAGGGCCTAAAGTTGGAAACCTTAGGATCTACCTGGCGCACTAGTCTACTGCGGCTGAGCTGGTACCCAAGCCACATAACAAATTCTTTTTTTAAATTTTATTATTATTATACTTTAAGTTTTAGGGTACATGTGCACAATGTGCAGGTTAGTTACATATGTATACATGTCCCATGCTGGTGTGCTGCACCCAATAACTCGTCATTTAGCAGTAGGTATATCTCCTAATGCTATCCCTCCCCCCTCCCCCCACCCCACAACAGTCCCCAGAGTGTGATGTTCCCCTTCCTGTGTCCATGTGTTCTCATTGTTCAATTCCCACCTATGAGTGAGAACATGCGGTGTTTGGTTTTTTTTGTCCTTACGATAGTTTACTGAGAATGATGATTTCCAATTTCATCCGTGTCCCTACAAAGGACATGAACTCATCATTTTTTATGGCTGCATAGTATTCCATAGTGTATATGTGCCACATTTTCTTAATCCAGTCTGTCATTGTTGGACATTTGGTTTGGTTCCAAGTCTTTGCTATTGTGAATAGTGCCACAATAAGCATACGTGTGCATGTGTCTTTACAGCAGCATGATTTGTAGTCTTTTGGGTATATACCCAGTAATGGGATGGCTGGGTCAAATTGTATTTCTAGTTCTAGATCCCTGAGGAATCGCCACACTGACTTCCACAATGGTTGAACTAGTTTACAGTCCCACCAACAATGTAAAAGTGTTCCTATTTCTCCACATCCTCTCCAGCACCTGTTGTTTCCTGACTTTTTAATGATTGCCATTCTAACTGGTGTGAGATGGTATCTCATTGTGGTTTTGATTTGCATTTCTCTGATGGCCAGTGATGGTGAGCATTTTTTCAGCCACATGACAAATTCTGTGCCACTATTCCTTTCCCTTTTCATAAGCAAAGGAATCTCTCCATATGGTCATCACCACTTCAGGATTATGATGAGTACTTCCTGGCTACTGCTGATGTTCACTCATGGCCCAAGCACTCTTCAGTTAGCTTGTCATAAATGCTGGGCCTGGGAGTCTCCCTTCAGGGCACTGGGCTCCCCTCTGGCCCAGGGAGTATCCATAAATGCCATCTAATGGCATCTTGGGGTCTCCATTTCCAAGAGCCAAGGCCTGGAACTGGGGACCCCAAAAGCCCGTTTAGTGTTCTATGCCACTGTGGCTGAGCTGGCACTTAAGCTTTGAGACAAAGCCCCCTTTACTATTCCCTTTCCTTTTCTCAAGCAGAAGGAGTCTCTCCCAGTAGTCACCATGGCTGGGAATGTGCTGGGCCACACCTAAAGCCAGCATAGCCCTGGGTTTCACCAAAGGCCCACAGCAAATACTTCCTGGCTATTACTGCTGACTATTCAGGGCCCAAAGGCTCTTTAGACTGCAGGTGATAAATCCTGCCAGGACTGGGTCCTTCCCTTCAAGGCAGCAGGTTCCCTCCTTGCCCAGAATATTTCTAGAAATGTCATCTGGGAGCTAGGGCCTGGAATGGGGGCCTCAGGACTCCTTTTGGTGGCCTATCCTACTGTGGCTGAGCTGGTAGCCAAATTGCAAGACAGTCCTCTTTTCTCTTCCATTTCTTCTCCTCAAGTGGAAGGAAGGAGTCTCTTGTGGAGCTGCAAGCTGCACTGCCTGGGGTTGGGAGAGGGTGGGGTGCAAGCACTGCCTTGGCCATCCTGGCTGGTGTCTCACTAGGTCATGTGTCCCCCACATCCACTGGCTCCACGCCTAGCACAGCACCAGGACTTGCCCACAAATTGCAGTCCCTGTGGCCTAGACTGTCTTTCAAGTTTATTTAGAACCCAAAGCACTTTAGCCCACTGTGGCAAGGCTTGTTGTATCTCAGGTTCCAACCACTAGGATGGATGATTCCCCTTTGGTTAGGGCTAGTGTAAATGCTCCCTTCATGGGCACTGGCTGAGTTCTGCCCAGTATTTCTTTCTGCTGTTAAAAGGCAGCACTGGGTCCCAGTGCAAAGTCCCACAGTCATTGCACTCTGTCTCTCAAGTGCACAGATTCTCTCTCCACACCACATGGCTGCTGCTGGGGGATGGGGGAAGGTTGGCATTGGCAATTCAAGGCTGTCTTTCCTACCCTTTTTTAATGCCCCTTTCAGTGATATGAAATGAAAACCAGGTACTGTGATTTATCATCTGGTTTTTGGTTCTTATGAAGTGTTCTTTTGGCTCTTTGTGTGTGTGTGTGTGTGTGTGTGTGTGTGTGTATAGTTGTTCAATTTGGTGTTCCTGTGGGGACGACAACTGGTGGGGGCTTCTATTTAGCCAGCTTGCTCTGTCTTCCAAATGATATCTCTATTTTAGAAATGAGAAAATTGAGAAAGTGAAGGTTAAACAGGTTAAGTGATAATGCGCAGACATTTTGATGAGGCTTCTAAATGCATGATCTTAACACAGTATACCACCCTGGAGACTGGATCCCAACCCAGACATATTTTCCTGCAAATGGAAATACAATTTGGTGTGATCACAAATCTGAGCAATGTTATGGAAACTGAGATGGGAGAGGAGATCATTTCTGAGGCCATTACAAGAGAGTAAGACCCAATGGCTCTGCAACATGCGCTGGCGTTTGCACATGGCCCAGTGCCCATTTCCTGCACTCCCCAGCCAGGGCAGGAAAGTTTTCTAAAATTTGATTTTATGTATTTGTGTGCTTTCTCAAATCCTTTTTGGAAGAAGGCAGCGTACAACTAAATAAATCCATTAAACATAGTCAGTATTGGTATGCATGAAGTTGAAGTGCATATAAGTGGTCTTCAAAAAGTTTGTGGAATATGTGTATTATGAAAAAAACTATGCATAGATTTCAAAATTATTTTTTAACAAACTTATACTAACTTTTTATGACATGTCTGAATAGGATTCAATTTGAGGCACTATCAGAGCAAAATGAATTCTGCTGAAATTGAAGCAAGGGGAAACATTAAATTTACAGTGAAGCTTGGGTTGAAAAATGCTGAAGTAATTGATGCTTTAAAAAAAGCTTGTGGGGACAATGCCTTAAGGAAATCAGAAGTTTACAAATAGATAACTCATTCTGAGAAAGGACAAGATAATGTTGATAATGAAGCCCACAGTGGCAGACCATCCACATCAAGTTTTGAGAAAAAACAAACTAACCAACCAATCTTGTTTGTGCCTGTATTAGTCTATTCTCACACTGCTATAAAGAAATACCTGAGATTGGGTAATTTATAAAGAAAAGAGGTTTAATTGGCTCACAGTTCTACAGGCTGTACAGGAAGCAGGATGATGGCAGTCTGCTCAGCTTCTGGGGAGACCTCAGGAAACTTACAATCATGGCAGAAGGCAAAGGGGAAGTAGGCATGTCTTACATGGCTAGAGCAGGAGGAAGAGGGATGGGGAGGGGGAGATGCTACACACTTTTAAACAACTAGATTTTATGAGAACTCTATCACCATGACAGCACCAAGGGGGATGGTGTTAAACCATGAGAAACTGCCCCCGTGACCCAATCACCTCCCACCAGTCCCCTTTTCAAATATTGGGGATTACAATTCAACATGAGATTTGGGGAGGGACACAGATTCAAACCATATCAATGGGGAAGACCAGCGATTAACAGCAGAAACAATAATCAACGCCATAGATATCTCAATTGGTTCAGCTTCCACATTTCCAATGGAAAAATTAAAGTTCAGCAAATATTCCAGTCAATGGGTGCCAAAACTGTTGCAGCCAGATTAGTTGAAGACAAAAGCAGAACTTTCAATGGAAATTTTAAACAAGTGAAATATCCCAAAGCATTTATTTGGAGAATTGTCCCTGCCAAATCTCATGCTGAATTGTAATCCCCAATGTCAGTGGCGGGGCCTGGTGGGAGATGTTTGGGTCATGGGGGCGTATCCCTCATGACTTGGTGCTGTCCTTGGCAATAGTGAGTGAATTCTCATGAGATCTGGCTGTTTAAGTGTGTGGCACCTCCCTGCCAACCCTGCACTCTGTCTCAGCATGTGAGGTGCCTGCTCCCCCTTCGCCTTCTGCCATTCTTGTAAGCTTGCTGAGGCCCTCGTCGGAAGCCGAGCAGATTCTGGTGCCATGCTTCTTGTACATCCTGCAGAACCATGAGCTAATTAAACAACTTTTCTTTATAAATTAACCAGTCTCAGTTATTTCCTTATTTCAATGCAAAAATGGCCTAATACACAGGGGGATGAAACACTGCTTTACCAACATGATCCTGAAGACAAACACAATTAAAGCAGTGGCTACCAAGAGGTGGAAGTGGTCAAGAGCCAAGGTTATGGCAATGGTTTCTTGAAATGCTTAAGGCATTTTGCTTGTTGACTTTCTGGAGGATCAAAGAATGGTAACTTTTGTTTATTTTGAGAGTGTTTTGATAAAGTTAGTCAAAACTTTGCCTAGAAATGTCTGGGAAAGTTTCGCCAGAGACTTCTTCCCCACCACGACAATATTCCTGCTCATTTCTGTCATCAAACAAAGGTGATTTTGTGAGAGTTTTGATGGGAAATCATTAGGTATCTACCTTATAGTCCTGATTTGGCTCCTTCTGACTTCTCTTTGTTTCCTGATCTTAAATAAATTTGTAAAGGGCACTCATTTTTTATTTTTTTCAGTTAATAAAGATTGCATTGACATGCTTAAGTTTCCAGGACCCTTGGTTTTTTAGGGATAAACTACATGGTTGGGATCACCACTCAGAAGAGTGTCTTGAACTTGATGAATCTTTTGTTAAGAAATAAAGTTCATATTTTAAATTTTTATCTTTTAATTCCATTTTACATGAACTTTTTGAAGTCCCCATTCACACTCGTTTTTGTGAATATAATAATCTACATAAATTAACTTGTCTATAAATCAATGATATGAGAATTCTTCATATAGCTTGCAAATCTTATGCCAGTATTCAGGTTAAATCACTGACTAGCTATACGTTTTTCAGAAGTCTTTCTAATGTCACTTTGCCTCAGAACATCTTCAAAGAAGTGAAAAAAAGATGGTAGTTGATGGAAATCTAAGAGGATTATAATAAAGAAACAACTCTGTGTTTTCAAAAGAACCCCTTAAGGTCACATTTAGCTGCAGCTTCTGATGAGATTGAATTATAAATTTAATTAGAAAAATATAAAATTACTATTATTTATAGTGCTGGCAAATTAAAATAATAGATTTATATAATAGAAGAAAAAGAGTAAGTTAATAAAGTCCCTGCTAAGGAAAGTAAGAACCTAGAGGCAAAATTTTAATTTAATTTTTTGGCATCCATTGATTTTTTTTCCCCACTTCTTGAATAGTTCACTCTAAAACAGCAACTATATGTAAAGAATGAAATCTCAACACTGATTACATTACAGAAATGTTCTTGAATTATTTGTAATGTTCTTTCATCTTTTCTGCCTCTAGGGGGGAGTGTGTTTTCAACAATTCTGGCCTCAGAAGGTATTTTATTGTGGGCCACAGGCTTCACAGGGGTATTCTCGAATACAACTTTAGGGCTGGCTCAACAAGGGAGAAAAGGACCTCTGAAAATCTAGGTGGGTTCTTAGTTTAGAGGTTGCAGCCAGGATGCCAAGGGAGAAGAGTTGCAGAGACTGTTACAGTTGGTGGTGGAGAAAACTTACTTCTGATAGAATTTCTAATACACTTCAAAGAATCACATGTTAGTTTTCCTATATTAATGCTGTCTTTCCTGGTAGTGAGAAATAACATATAGACAGTAATTTCATTTCATAGAGCTGGAAAATAAACCGTTGAATACTTTATAGAAAACTTGCCACCTTATTGTAGTAGCTTGCCACCTTATTGTAGTAGCTTTAAAAAAAAAAAAAAAAAAAACAACCCAAACAACAAAACATGGTTTGTGGATATTAAGTAAAACATTTCTAAACCTCATAAAAAGTCTATTAGTTTCTGAAATATCCTGTTTAGAGCTAACATTGTCTTTCTTTCAAATGGCTAATTTTCTTTCATTTTGCAGCATTTTCCCATAACTTTCCTTTGGTTTCATTCAACAACTGAAGCCAGAAAGGAAGCACCTAGTAAAAAGGTTACCACTCTTTTGAATGTTAAAAAAATACTTATTTTTCCCCATTTCAGTGTTTTACAGAATTGAAAGAAATAATATTTAAAAATTGAGTCAAATAAATAAGTTATTTCTATTTTTTCCTTTTGATTCATTTTTGTGATTAAAGTGCTGCAAAAATTCTATTACAAAATGTTATTTTTGGGTTTATTGTGCTGTATTAGCCTCCAAACTTAGCTATATATATATATAAAAATTTGATATAAAGAATGTTATTACTTAGAGTAGAAATTAACTTTGTTCCTAACACTTTCACATGATGTAACTGGTGGTCCTTGGTTTACTTTGAATACAATCCCATTTAAAAATATTCTCAGGGGATGAAGAGGTATTTAAGTATATCACTTATACTGTTTGGGCCTTAATTCATCTAGAGAGTAAGGGGTGTCAGGCTGGGTGACTTAAGTCTTCTGGCCTGAAGATTTAGAACTACTTATTTACACAAACTTTCAGTTGGTTGCAAAAATTCTAACTTGATGGAAAGTAAACAAACCCGTAACTTTGAAATCCATACACTTACATTACTTGGTGGGTCTTCCCATAATCTTGTGACTCTTTTCATTTGAAAAGGTTTTTTAAAAACCCTAATTGTTGCTCACTGGAATTCTTAAGGGGTGTTTTGAGCTTCAGCAAAAGCATAACACTGGCTTTTTTTTTTTTTTTAATTCGTTCCGCTGCTTGGTTTGGGGTCTCTTCCCTTCCGCAGCTTGGTCTTGTTGCTGCTCTTGAGTGTGACAAACTGCAAGTCGAGAGCTCTTGTCCAAAAGCTGCGGAGAGGCTACGGGCACTCACCCTTACTTAAGCGCACTGCCCTGCTGTTGAACTGCAGGCGAGGCTAGGTAGCATCTGGGATGGGACAGGCGTTCACACCGGTGCCACTGAAACCCCAGACTCTCCGCATAAACCCACACCACACGCGGCAGAATCATATCGCCATTGGCTGGTGTTCCGCAGACACAGGGCATACCGCAGAGTAATAGGAAACACTGGTTCCTACCACTGTGGCCAGTGGTAGGACTGGGTCTCCGAGGCAGGACCTTTCTTGGAGTCTCGGAACCCCAGCACAGTGCCTGGCAACCAGTTTCGAAATCCATTAAGACCCTTGGAATTCATGATTTAGTTCTTGTTTTGTTGTTGTTCTTTTTCTTTTTTTTTTTTTTTAATCTGTGCTGCCATAAACGCCTGCCCTTCTGCAAATTCAGGAAAGATTTAATTGCTGTGGAGCACTAAATCTCAATTTCCAGTGTGTGTGGATTACCCTGTTTGTGGAATTAAATTTTATACAGATGTCTCTTTTGCTCCTGGTTAGTGGCTCTAATTAAATAAATGGAAATTCTCGCAGGAATTAGAAGCTCCTACTTAACAGTGAAGATTTCGGGATCACAGTGCATAATCTGAATATAAATGACCCAGAAGCTGAAACATTACCCATAATCACATTGACGGTTCCAGAAAGAGCGATAAGGAGAGTGCTGTTAAGGGAGGCGAGCGCTGACGCCAGAAGTTGCCATATCCCCAGAAACCCCAGTTTGCCTTTTCACCGTCGCAAGTGAGAACCAGAGCGCGTTAAAGGCCTCGGAGTAAAAAACGCAGCGTCTGGGACTGCGGCACCCGGGTTGAGTCGGGTGCAAGTTTCTGCCGAAAGAGGGCGTCGGTCTGAGACTAAAAGAAATTTGTGGACACGGACGCCTAGTCAAATGAAAGACCATTTTAACACATTTTCAATGTATTTAAATGTGCGGGACTTAATTGTCAGAATTCTCCCGCCCAGTGTAGCCCGTTCACATTGCAAATGACTTGGCTGCAGTAGGCACAGAAGGTCCAGTTCCATTTTGACCCGCCCCGCCGCGCGGCGGACTCCCGCGATGCTCCTCTGGTCACGGACTTCTCCAGAGCCGCTTCCCTCCGGTCTCCACCGCTGCTGTGGCTATGGCCAGTGGGAGGACTGGGTCTCCGAGGCAGGACCTTTCTTGGAGTCGCGGAACCCCAGCACAGTGCCTCGAGCGCTCCAGAGAAGGAGCGGTTGGATCTTTGAGCACTCAGGTTGGAGGGGAGCGTGTGTCGTACCCGGGGGACCTACCGGGAACGTTTTGGGAAAGACAGTCCCTTTATTTAGGTACCTGGTTTAGCAAACAAAGCCCCGAGGACGCTTTGGGGATGCTTTCCAAGCTTTGTGACACCTCCAGAAGTTGAACCATTCCCTCGCCTTTGGGAGCAACAAGTTTCACTTTCCTGCTCTCAGTGCGCTGACAGAGGGTCCGTGAGCTGGGACACTGTGACCTCGGCACCGCTGCGATTCCAGCGCAAACCTGCGTGGCCCAGGGGGAGGGGGCTGGCGCGGGGCTGAGGAAGGCGGGGTGTAGGTGACGCCCGGGCCAGCCGGGCACACCAGGTCCGCGATGGAGCCATCTGCACTGGGACCTTGGTCCTTGTTCCCTGACCTTGCGCCGAGGGACCAGGAAGGTCAGGTGCTCGCCCCGCGTCGGTGCTTCAGGAGGGAATGTGGCCAGAACGAGAAAGGTGAGAGCAAGCGGCACCTAAGGATTTTTGCACCGAAACCACAATTTCTAGAACCATCCCTTTCCCCCAGTCCTGGTTTTTTTTTTTTTTTGCACGGTGTGTGTGTGTATATGTGTGTGTGTGTGTGTGTGTGTATGTGTGCGTGCGCGCGCGCATTTCTCTACTTTAAAGCACGTTTCCTTTTTTGAAGCCAGGAGCTGGAGAGCGTGGAAAGGGAGAGGCGGTGATCGCACAGGCACGCGGCGTGGTGGGGGCTCTTGCCGGTGCAGACGTGGGCGATTTCAGCTTTAAGGAAAAGGCAGAGGGCCTGCGGGGAGTGGTGGTTAGGGACAGGGGCGCGATGGGTAGTGAAGGGGTGCAGGGAGGAGCCCTGATGTAAGAATGTTAATGAGAGACTCCCCCAGCCCAGCCCCCACATCTCCCCACCCCCACCCACCCCACCCGCTGGAAACACAAGCCCGGCCTCGGCGCGCCATGTGTGGTAACACGCTCAGCCGCTGCCACGCTATTTAAACGCGGGCTATGGATCCAGGAACCGGCGCGAATCAATGAGATCAAATGCGAGGGAGATGCACCGTCAATTACAAACACTTGGACAAGTCTAACTTTTTTTTTCTTCTACAAAAACGCTTTCAAAAGCAACCTTAGCAACGCCCAAATAAGAAGCCACCTCTAAGCAAAATAGTATATGTATAAACGGAGGGCGAATATATACAAGTATATATATATGTATATTACAGACGCACAGGTTTACACCCGGTGAACTTTTTCTTTTTCTTTTTCTTTTTTTTTTAAGAAAAACTAGTGACATTGCAGAGAAGGACGCTTCCTCTCTATCTTTTGGCGCATTAGTGAAGGGGGTATTCTATTTTGTTAAAGCGCCCAAGGGGGCGCAGGGACCTTGGAGAGAAGAGTGGGGAGGAAAGAGGAAGGGTGGGTGGGGGGCAGAGGGCGAGTCGGCGGCGGCGAGGGCAAGCTCTTTCTTGCGGCACGATGCCGTCTCTGCTGGTGCTCACTTTCTCCCCGTGCGTACTACTCGGCTGGGCGTTGCTGGCCGGCGGCACCGGTGGCGGTGGCGTTGGCGGCGGCGGCGGTGGCGCGGGCATAGGCGGCGGACGCCAGGAGAGAGAGGCGCTGCCGCCACAGAAGATCGAGGTGCTGGTGTTACTGCCCCAGGATGACTCGTACTTGTTTTCACTCACCCGGGTGCGGCCGGCCATCGAGTATGCTCTGCGCAGCGTGGAGGGCAACGGGACTGGGAGGCGGCTTCTGCCGCCGGGCACTCGCTTCCAGGTGGCTTACGAGGATTCAGACTGTGGGAACCGTGCGCTCTTCAGCTTGGTGGACCGCGTGGCGGCGGCGCGGGGCGCCAAGCCAGACCTTATCCTGGGGCCAGTGTGCGAGTATGCAGCAGCGCCAGTGGCCCGGCTTGCATCGCACTGGGACCTGCCCATGCTGTCGGCTGGGGCGCTGGCCGCTGGCTTCCAGCACAAGGACTCTGAGTACTCGCACCTCACGCGCGTGGCGCCCGCCTACGCCAAGATGGGCGAGATGATGCTCGCCCTGTTCCGCCACCACCACTGGAGCCGCGCTGCACTGGTCTACAGCGACGACAAGCTGGAGCGGAACTGCTACTTCACCCTCGAGGGGGTCCACGAGGTCTTCCAGGAGGAGGGTTTGCACACGTCCATCTACAGTTTCGACGAGACCAAAGACTTGGATCTGGAAGACATCGTGCGCAATATCCAGGCCAGTGAGAGAGGTGAGCAGGGGCGCGTCCCGGGCCCCGGGCCCTAACCCAACCGCTCTCCGCGGCTCTCCCTGCACACTCGTCCACTCTGCAGACCCCACTCCCCACTGCGGCGCTGAGGTCGGGTGCGCGCGGGCACTCGTTCAGGTATGCGCCGTGTGGCTGCGACAACCTTTGACGACCGCCCATCGCGGTGTACGTAGAGGGTCCCAGGGAGGTGAAGGGGTTGGAGGAGAGGGCGTCTGTAGCTCCTGCGTGCCCAGGTCCAACAGGTGCTGTCAAACACTTCGATGTTTTTTCTTCCCAGTTTCCACTTTGCCAGCGCCGGGCTGGTGATTAGGGGGCGCACTCCCAGTGCCTGGCTCCATCCAGGGTCTGAAGCATCCGAGGCGGAAAGAACTTGTTCCCCAGTCCTTTGCCAGCGTGCGCCCCCACTTAGTGCGGAAGCGTCCGCGGACGCCTCGCAGCGAGGCGTCGCCACTTAGCTCGCCCGCTCTTGGGGTTTCTCTGACTGTTGTTTCCACAGACCCCAGGTTTCTTTTAAAGGCTTGTTGACTCACTCTTCTCATTCCTTTCATTTCCCTTCCAGCCCCTTATAAACGAGCTTCTGTGGTTTCCACCAAAAATGCCCCTGTGTGTCTGAATTCTGGCGACACTCACTTCTCCCAGAGTGTTCTGCAACGCAGTTTCTAATGCGCCCAGAGCTAAGCTTTGCGGGAGTGCCTTTTGAAGAAACGAGCGCTGAACCTTCTTTCCACCTGTCCCCCAAGTTTTCTCCATGGGTCTTTGGGTGTTGGAATAAAACCCAAACTGGACAAAGAGCTCGAGGCTGAGGATGGTGGCTATGGCTTCGGGGAGCGGGGGGACGCGGACGTGTAATCGCCAGTGTGGCCCATTTTACGGTAGGGTAGAATCTGAGGGAAGGCGGACTGAGATGCCGGTATAGCGCCGATCCCTCCTCCCTCTAGTCAGGGATTAGGAGCACTGCGATGAGGGAATCCCGTCTCTGCTCCCCCTTGGCGCTCACGCGCCTGGAATGTGAGTGGTGCAATCCCGGCAAAGCTCCCCGAGACCCCAGTGCCACGCGGATGAGACCGAAGGGGAGCGGAGTTGAGCCAGGCGCCGGGCTAGTCCACAACTTGGCATGGCCGAGCACCTGGGCGCTGGTCGTAGGGGACAGCGCAACCTGAGGCCGAAGGCCCCAGGAACAGGTGAGAGTGGACAGAGAAGCCATCGATAATGGCGCTGCTGTCACCGCCTTGCCATCTTGGCCACCTCGGACTCACCCTTTAGAGCAAAGAGGCGAGAGGTGTTTGACAGTGGGAATGCATGGCCAAATTTTGAGCTCTGGAACTCCAGGCTGTCTGTGCCGAATTCCTACCAGCCAAGCAGGCGGGGCGCAGGCTTTGCCGATTATGAAAAAGGGCACGTGTGTCCAACGGCTGCGGACTTGCCACGCCTGCCACGCCTCGGCAAGGAACCCACATCTACACTCCCAAGTCCCAGTCGCCAGGTTACTGCAGCCTCCACGGGGGTGTCTGCGCCCCGGGCTGCTAAGGCTCCCGGAACCTGCTTCTCCAGTTCTCGGCTTTCGAGGGCTAGGCGCTAGAAGTCAGAGACTTCCCAAGGCCGGCTGGGACTGGGGGTGTGTCCCCCTATGGGCGAGATCCGCGGTTTGCTGACTCGTCCGTAATGTCACTACCCTGTAGATCCCAATGTCAGCGGCTGCCCCGGCGCACGTGGCCTGGGATACAAAACCAAGGGCATGTGTGAGACCAGAGGAGGGCAGATCGCGGCCCCGGGGCCCCTCGCCCTCACAGTGGTGGCTGAGGCCTGGGGCTGGGCGGACAGCAGTGCCCTGGTGGGCCTGGGGACTGGTGCGCCCCGGGCTTCTGAGGACTAGGGCTGCAGTCGGCTGTAAGAATTATTTTTTAATTCCAAAAGCCTCATAGACGTTCCGAAGTCTCTTTGCTTTTTTTTTTTTTTTCCAAGTTTGCATTGAGGGGTGAAAGTTTGCTTAACTGACCTGTATATTTTACAAGTGATAAGGTTAGGATTTTACAATTCTTACTCTAAAAAGTATTTCCAACAGTGACCTGGCAGATATTTAGAAATAGGAAACAAAACAGTTTCTCCTCTAATCGTCCTCCAATCGCCTCTAATCATCCTTCCACCCCGAAATTCCTTACACTCGAGAGAAAAAGTTACTTGATAACAAAGCTCTCTTAGGGGACCTTTTAAAAATACATTGAAGTAACACAGTTACTTTACCGTAAGCACTTAATGTATTAAATAGGGCTTCGGTACATGATTGCAGTGAAGTTTCTGGCTCAGTCACCGGCTGGGGGATCTTGGACTGCTATGAAACCTCTGTACCTCGAGCTCCTTAGGTAAAGTGGGGGTAGTCAGAGCACCCACGTCTTTGGGAAACTGTGAGGGTTACAGAAGCTAACCCAGGAATGCCTGGGAGCACTGCCAGAAGAATATGAAGTGCTCAATAAATGTGCGGTTTCATTGTAGTTATTATTTTATATATGATGATAATCACCTTTACCCCAAGGGTGAGGCCATGCCATGGGAAAGAACCCTGGGCTGAGATGCAGATGCCTCTGGATTTGGCTGGCCTCCTTATGTGAGTTTTCTTCTCTGTGAAACAATGTGTGGGGTGAGAATCAGGCCTCTTCAAACTGATATTCTCACCCAAGTGTGAAAATGCAACTGACAGTATTTTTGCTTTTGAAAATTCCCTATTAAGTATTATGAATTAAAGTAGAGAGAGTTCCTCCCTCTTTTGGTGAGAACATTGGTATTACTTTTTTTTTGGACTTAAGTTTCTCTTTAAAACCAAATCACAAATGTTTGAACAAGTAAAAAACTGACCGTGCCAGCATCTCAAATAATAATGCGACTAAAATTTCACATGGCATACTGTAGAAAGAAAAACAGGGGCATCAATTATTCCTTCATTTTAAGGATTTACCATCTAAGTCAATAATTTAAAATCTTTTTTTTTCCTGTCATGTCTTTCGCTAATGCCACTAAAATAAACAGACCTGAGCCTATATTATTTTTAAAAACAATTATCTTTATTTAAAATAGATTCACTTACACAGCCAGCTACTGCCCTCAATATTCCACACACTTAACAATAAATTTAGTTTTAAAAAGACAGGCTTAGAAATAATTTTTTCAAGCAATACAAGCCAGTAGTTGTTTTGTCGATGCACTTTATATGATGCAGAACTAGAAGTATCCTAACGCAAATGTTTTTATGTGAAGAACTGTAGTTTTATCCTTTTAGTTATTAGTATGTCATTAATCTGGGCCTGCATAATGACTGTACAACATTATACAGTCTGTAGAGATAGAGATAACAGTATTTAATCAATACAAGAAACATTTATTTTTAGAATTAGTCTGGGGTAAATGACCGAGTGGTCAATCAGCAGCATTTTTAAGGAAAGAACCCATGATAAGTGTAAAATAACTAACACAGCAGGGGAAAAAAGGAGCTTTGTAGGCTGCACTGTGGAAATTCTAAAGGCCTTTGGAGTAGATGGAGCTTTATGAACAACAGAAATAAAGATGCAATCTCCATTTTGCAAACAATATCCATTGCTATGGAGTGTAGAAACAGCCAGAGAGAAATCTTTTTTGAAAAAAGTTAGATTTACATTTTACCAAAATTTAGTTCTACAGCTATAGAAAGTGAGAAAACTACACAAGGTTTATGAGGAGAAAAAGGTTCCTGTCTCCTACTCTCCATTTTTCACTCTCAATTCTTGTTAGCTCTTCCTGTAGGTATTGACCTTCATATCTCTTAATAACATGCTACTTTTTTTTTTTTCAGTTTTAGGTCTTATCTGTTGGAATCCCAGTGGAAGAAAATTCTCTTCTTGATCATTCTACTGCCTGTTAACCACACATGCAAGCTTTCTTTCCAGTCATCTTTCCAATATGGTTGTGCCAAAATTTTTCTCAGTAGGCTGAGGCAGGAGGATTGCTTGAGTCCAAGAGTTTGAGGCTATGGATTGCCCTATTTGAATAGCCACTGCATTCCAGCCTGGGCAACATAGCTAGACCCCATCTCTTACACAATATTTTTTAGTTAGTTCAGTATTCAGTATAAATATTATCATTACTTTCTAAATGATATTTAAGGTTAAGTCACATAGGCTTCTATGTTGACATTTCCTTTTTTCCCCCTACCTATTTTCCTTGGAGTTAAAACAGTCTGTTTTTGTTTATTTGCTTAATTTCCTATGGATTTATAATTAAATAATCTTCTAATTCTTTATTTTAAATCTCCTGAGTGTTTTTTTATTATTATACTTTAAGTTCTAGGGTACATGTGCACAACGTGCAGGTTTGATACATAGGTATACATGTGCCATGTTGGTTTGCTGTACCCATCAAGTCATCATTTACATTGGGTATTTCTCCTAATGCTATCCATCCCCCAACCCCCCCACCCCCCACCCCCTGACAGGCCCCGGTGTGTGATGTTTCCCGCCCTGTGTCCAAGTGATCTCATTGTTCAGTTCCCACCTATGAGTGAGAACATGTGGTTTTTGGTTTTCTGTCCTTGCGATAGTTTGCTGAGAATGATGGTTTCCAGCTTCATCCATTTCCCTGCAAAGGACATGAACTCAGCCTTTTTGTGGCTGCATAGTATTCCATGATGTATATGTGCCACATTTTCTTAATCCAGTCTGTCACTGATGGACATTTGAGTTGGTTCCAAGTCTTTCCTATTGTGAATAGTGCCGCAATAAATATACGTGTGCATGTGTCTTTATAGTAGCATGATTTATAATCCTTTGGGTATATACCCAGTAATGGGATTGCTGGGTCAAATGAGAATTCTAGTTCTAGATCCTTGAGGAATTGCCACACTGTCTTCCACAATGGTTGAACTATAATTTACACTCCCACCAACAGTGTAAAAGTGTTCCTATTTCTCCACATCCTCTCCAGCATCTGTTGTTTCCTGACTTTTTAATGATTGCCATTCTAACTGGCATGAGATGGTATCTCATTGTGTTTTTGATTTGTATTTCTCTGATGACCAGTGATGATGAGCATTTTTTCATGTGTCTGTTGGCTGCATAAATGTCTTCCTTTGAGAAGTGTCTGTTCATATCCTTTGCCTACTTTCTGATGGGATTGTTTGTTTTTTTCTTGCAAATTTGTTTGAGTTCTTTGTAGATTCTGGATATTAACTCTTTGTCAGATGGGTAGATTGCAAAAATTTTCTCCCATTCTCTAGGTTGCCTGTTCACTCTGATGGTAGTTTCTTTTGCTGTGCAGAAGCTCTTTAGTTTAATTAGGTCCCATTTATCTATTTTGGCTTTTGTTGCCATTGCCTTTGGTGTTTCAGTCATGAAGTCCTTGCCCATGCCTACGTCCTGAAAGGTATTGCCTAAGTCTTCTTCTAGGGTTTTTTATGGTTTTAGGTTTAACATTTAAGTCTTTAATCCATCTTGAATTAATTTTTGTATAAGGTGTAAGAAAGGGATCTAGTTTCAGCTTTCTACTTATGGCTAGTCAATTTTCCCAGCACCATTTATTAAATAGGGAATTCTTTCCCCATTTCTCATTTCATCAGATGGTTGTAGATGTGTGGCATTGTTTCTGAGGCCTCTGTTCTGTTCCATTGGTCTATATATTTGTTTTGGTACTGGTGCCATGCTGTTTTGGTTACTGTAGCCTTGTAGTATAGTTTGAAGTCAGGTAGCATGATGCCTATAACTTTGTTCTTTATGCTTAGGATTGTCTTGGCAATGCCAGCTCTTTTTTGGTTCCATATGAACTTTAAAGTAGTTTTTTCCAATTCTGTGAAGAAAGTCATTTGTAGCTTGATGGGGATGGCATTGAATCTATAAATTACTTTGGGCAATATGGCCATTTTCATGATATTGATTCTTCCTATCCATGAGCATGGAATATTCTTTCATTTGTTTGTGTCCTATTTTATTTTATTTTATTTTCATTGAGCAGTGGTTTGTAGTTGCTGAAGAGGTCCTTCACATCCCTTGTAAGTTGGATTCCTAGGTATTTTATTCTCTTTGTAGAAATTGTGAATGGGAGTTCACTTATGATTTGGCTCTCTGTTTGTCTGTTAATGTTGTATAGGAATGCTTGTGATTTTTGCACATTGATTTTGTATCCTGAGACTTTGCTGAAGTTGCTTATCAGCTTAAGGAGATTTTGGGCTGAGACAATGGGGTTTTCTAAATATACAGTCATGTCATCTGCAAACAGGGACAATTTGATTTCCTCATTTCCTAATTGAATACCCTTTATTTCTTTCTCCTGCCTGATTGCCCTGGCCAGAACTTCCAACACTATGTTGAATAGGAGTGGTGAGAGAGGGCATCCTTGTCTTGTGCCAGTTTTCAAAGGGAAAAACTGCTTCCAGTTTTTGCCCATTCAGTATGCTATTGGCTATGGGTTTGTCATAAATAGCTCTTAGTATTTTGAGATACATTCCATCAATACCTAGTTTATTGAGAGTTTTTAGCATGAAAGGCTGTTGAATTTTATCGAAGGCCTTTTCTGCATCTATTGAGATAATCATGCAGTTTTTGTTGTTGGTTCTGTTTTTGTGATCAATTACATTTATTGATTTGCGTATGTTGAACCTGCCTTGCATCCCAGTTATTTTCTAGGTATTTTGCACAATTGCCACTCTGGGTTCTTCAACATCTTCCTGGGACTTCCATCACCTCTCTGTTGAGCTAGATCCCTGTGTGTTTCTCTTTTTTCATTATGTTTTTGTTTTGTTGGACCACATCCTCCAAGAGCTTTCTGAGAAAGGATGAATAAGGCCTAAATTTTGAGAGGTTTTGTGATTGAAAAATTTTCATCATACCTTTACACATAGTTATAGTATTCTAGGTTGGAAATAATTTTCCCTCGAATTGTGACAGTATTGCTTTACTGTCTTCTAAATTCTAACATTGCTATTAGAAAGCTGGAATCAGTTTGGATTCTGAACTTATAGTTCATTGCTTTGCTTTCCTGGAAATTTTTAGAATGTTCTCCTCTTCCCTGTGTACTCAATAGGCCTCTTTTATCCAGAAACTCACATCTTTTAATTCTGGGAATACTTCTTAAGTTATTTCTGTGATAATTGTATCCTTTTCATTTTCTCTATTTCCTATTTCTAGGTTTCTTTCTTATTTGGATGCTAGACCTCTTGGATTGATCTTCTACTTTTCTTACCTTCTATTTACCACCTATGTTGTTGTTGTTTTTTTTTTTTTGTAATTCATCTTGTTTGGATATTTCCTTGGCCACTTTTAAAGTTACTGTTGAGTTTTTCATTTTTGGTATCACATTTTCAGTGTGCAGGACATGGCATACTCTGCTTTGCTTCCATGCAGTGATATCCCTCTTTTCCTTCTAAATTTGTAATTAACTGGAAGATGGGTACAGTAACCAGATGGAGAATATGAATATATCCTTATTATTGATAAAAGCAGTTGAACATGGATTTAGATCTATTTCCAAAAGGGCCTGCTTGCTATTACTTCCTCCCAGAATTAGGCAGGAATATCTATTAAATCACATATAGTGCCATTTAGCTGCAAATCTCCCCTGCTAACTCTTGACCATGTGACAAAAGAAGCCCATGATGTGTGCTTTCTGCAAACAGCCACAACCCAAAGAAGAGGGAAGAAAAGACTGAGCCAGCATACTCAGTTTTAGGCTCAACAATCAGACATTTCACTTCTTTTCCTCTTGTTGCGGGTGAGGGGAGTGTAAATGAAAGCACATTGAGAGATGAGAAATGTTAGCACATTAGAGGTTTCTCCCAATGAAAACTTGAGATTTTGGAAATAAGTATCCCCCCAATTCAGGGATACTACCTGGAATGTTTTTGATTCTCTGAATTGACTTCTATAGCTACCTCTTCGCATTTCTCTCTGCTGTTCTTAGAGTGATTGCAAGAACATGATGCAATAGTGAGAAGCCATTTACAGAAGTCACTGTGGGAACCAGATGATGGAGGGTGGCATGGAACATTGAAAGTTCTTTGGCAAGGAGGAGGAAATAGAGTAGAATGAAGAAAAGTCTATACATAAAGTTACAGTTACACCATCATTCCCTCTTTTAGAATTTTAACAATGCGACCCAAAATTAATATTTATATATTAACTATACTGAGATACAACAAAAACTGCCTTAATTAACCTCCACTTATGCAGGTCGCAGGATTAGCTGATGTCCTCTGTTCTCTATAAATCTTATCACCTGTTGGTAGGTGCTGGCAGCTAGTATAGTTCTCCTGAATATGCTGCACACTTCTCATACTTCTTCATATACTTTCTAAGAGTTGTCCACAAATTTGTTGATGCTGGTTGTGCTTATTATGATAAATATGTAATTTAATTAGTTATTATATAAATTGATGAAACATAAGCAGGAAAAGAAAGTTATTTTAATTAAAACTGTTCTAAACCTTTTGATTGTATAAAGGCAAGTTACTAAAAATACTTGCTGTTCAATTAGGCATGAGTGAGACAACCCTAAGAGATTGGGGAGCATCATAAAAATCTAGGATCATGCACTCTGACTACTTTGCAAGTGTCATTAGGTGCTTGCTCCAGTTTGAACTGGAACTGGATGATAATGTGCATTATGTGTTTGGTTCATTCAAGAAAGACAGTGCTCTGCTCATGAACTTGGAAATTAGGGCTTCCTTTTGAATCTTAAATCACATGGCCAACACAAAATGGATAAGATCTAAAATAATCAAAATCTGCTTAGATAGACACAGTGCCACTCTATGTCTCTTTTGCTCAGTCTAAGTGGCTACTAACATTTACAGAAAGAAGGTAGGCTGGGCGTGGTGGCTCATGCCTGTAATCTCAGCACTTTGGGAGGCCCACGGTGGGCCGATCACTTAGCCTGGCCAACATGACAAAACTCTATCTATACAAAAAGAACGAAAATTAGCCGGGTGTGGTAACATGCACCTGTAGTCTCAGTTACTTGGGAGGTGCTGAGGTGGGAGGATCGCTTGAGCCCAGGAGATGGAGGTTGCAGTGAGCTAAGACTGAGCCACTGCACTCTTGTCCGGGTGACAGAGTGAGAGTCTGTCTCCAAACAAATGAACCAGCAAACAAAATAACAACAGAAAAGAAAACAAAGAATGTGTCCATCAGAAGGACTTGGTGGTGGTGGGGTATGTCTTAGTTTGTTTTCTGTTGCTATGACAAAATGCCACAGACTGCATAATTTGTAAAGAAAAGAAGTTTATTTAGCTTATGGTTCTAGAGGCTAGGAAGTCCAAGAGCATGGTGCTGGCATCTTGTGAGGACCTTCTTGCTGTGTCATAACACTATGAAAGGCATCACATGGTGAGAGAGCAAATGTGTGCCAGCTCAGGTCTCTCTTCCTCTTCTTCTAAACTGCCAGTCCCATCTTAGGGGACCCAACCTGGTGACCTTATCTAATCATAAGTATCTACCAAAGGCCCCATCTCCAAATACCACCAACAAATGATTTTGAGCATTAAGTTTTCAACACATGAAATCTGGGGGACACAACCAAACCATAGCAGGAAGAGAGAGAAGGAGATGGGCCGGGAATGTAAAAATAGAAAAAAAAAGTACCACAGAAGCCAATGTTTAGGGAAACTTCAGGCAAAGTTTAGGAAAGCTTGTCCTCTGGTCCTTGGACCCTGGCTGTTTGGTCCTGGACCAGATATATCTCTTAGATGGATGCCTAGGGTCATCAAGTTCTGGTGCCTTTGACATCTGAATCCTCTACTGGCCTCCCTGATTCTGATTTCATCCTTACTTGCATCCTACTGCTTATAATTTGTCTCTCCAGTTAGCATGCTCAGGTATAGGGCATGTTGACACAAATATATTCATAACCATCCTGGACCTCATTGAATTTAAACAGTATGCATTTCAGATTACCTATACATATCTGAGTTAGGTTATTGGAAACTTGCCCCTAAGCAATGACTCTACTCTCTATATGTTGACAGAATCAGGTTCTGCATCTTGGGACTGAGAGCCAGACCCTGGACTATGATCACTTGATCGAAAAATGATGAGGGCTGCTTGGTGGCCAGTCAGCCAGAACTTCCCGGAACCTCCTGGAGACATCCACTCTTGGAATCCACATTCTTCAAACTTGTCCAGCCTCAGTCCCTTGTTGAATGTTTTATGGGACACCCTGGCTCTTTGTTCATTTAAGAGGCTAGAATCAAATCAGAGGTGAAACAAGGGTCTAAATCATAACAAATAATTAGGAGTTTCTTTGAAAACTTTCTTACTGAGGCATCTTGGAATTGATTATTTATTCCAAATGTATACCTATACTTTCAGGCAGAAGCAACACCTACTCCCATACTTGTAGATCTTTAATATTTGTACTGTTTTAAAAACTTTTTCTCTAGAGCTTTTATGCTGTACACCGAGCCCTTTTGGGGTATGAAATGTCAGAGTCATGATCTAACACTGAATTAACGTGCGCAGTAAACTAAATATCAACAAGAACCCAACCTCCATGCAGGTTGCCAAGGCCGCTTTGGCATAGCCTGAAGTTTGTTTTATGTCTTTCAGCACCCATGCTTTTACAAAGAACATACACATCTTGGAGGGCTGGCATGCATCGTGATAATGCGGTTTATAGCACCCAGGTCTCTCCAGGTCTCTCTGCACAGTATGTGTGCAGCAAAACACAGTGGTACCGGTCATGGAGACCTGGGTCTATCAACAGGGATCAAATAGACTGGGTAATGGTCAAGCCCTACTTCATTCTAGGCTGTGTAGCCCTTATGTGGTAGGCAACAATATCCAATTCGAGAGGCTCTCGAGTTGTGTGAAGCCTCTTGAATCCAACAGTGTGGATATAAACTGAGAGAACATGAGAGAGATACCTGGAATCTTACAAACGATTTCTTATGTATGTTGAGACAACCTGAAAATAATGTTTTAAAATTCAAACAGCAGAAAGCTTGTAGCACCCTCTGAATCCTCTGATTTGCTAAGTGAATGTTCTCTCTAAAATCATTAAGTTTGCTTTTTCAGGACAATGCATTTACCATGCTATTAAGTATAAAAAGCAGTTGACAATTTTCACTATCTTATATCCGGCAAATCTGGTGATTTATTTGATGCAGTTTTTTTTAAAAGAACTTTATTTTGAAATAATCTTGCACTTTTGGAAAAGACGTAAGAAAGTATAAAGAACTGGTCTGTAAAAGCTTCATTTAGAGTTTCATCAATTGTTAATATTTTGCCACATTTGATTTATGATTTCAAGTATCTCCCTGTCCCTCTCTCCTCTTCTCCCCTCTTCTCCCCTCCTCTCACCTCCTCTCCTCTCCCCTCCTCTCCCTTCCTTTCTTCTCCTCTTTTCTACCCATCTACCTATCATCTATCAATCAATCAATATATGTGTACATATACATACACACACAGATAATACTTGTTATGAACCATTTGAAAGTACAGAATCATGCTTATTTACCCCTAAACATTCAACTGTGTACTTCCTAAGAACAAGAATGTTTACTTACATAACCACAGCATAATTATGAAAAGTAAGAACTTTAACACAAACAGAATTCTATTATCTAGTGTATGGAACTTGTTCAAATTTTCCACCAGTCATCTTCATAATGCCCTTTATAGCAAAACATTTATGTATATATGTATGTATTTATTTTAAGGTCCAGAATCCAATCCAGCATCACACGTTGCAGTCAGTTGCCTATTCCTTTAAGCCTTGTTCAGTCTAGAATGTCTCTTCAGCCTGTCTTTGTTGTTCATAAAATTGACCATTTTAAAGAGCGTAGGCCGATTTTCTACAGACCATCCCCCAAGTTGGGTTTGTGGCTGCCACCTTCTGATTAGATGTAGGCTGCCTATCTGGACATTTTTGGTCCTCAAAGTGTTATTCCAGGTGTCTCATGAGTCTGTGTTCCCATGGTTGGTGATGTTGGCTTCCATCTCTTGGTTATGGAGGCGTCTGCTAGGTTCCTCCATGGTCCATTTGTAGTTAACAAGTGATTGTGAGGAGATACTTCAGGACCATATAAGTATCCCGTTCCTTGTCAGATGTCCCTTACTGGTGTCAGCATGCTCGAAGTGCTCTGCAAAGGGGTGCCTCATGTGTGTTGTTTGTTCCTCCCCTAGTGGTGATCATGTGTGCGAGCAGTGACACCATCCGGAGCATCATGCTGGTGGCGCACAGGCATGGCATGACCAGTGGAGACTACGCCTTCTTCAACATTGAGCTCTTCAACAGCTCTTCCTATGGTAACTCTGCTTCCACTTTCCCCTCCTCTGCTAGGGTTCCAAGAGAGGTTGTCAGATGCCCATGAATGGTGGGTTGGATAAATAATATGTGGTACATAAACACCATGGAATACTATGCAGCTTTATAAAACAATGGAATCATGTCTTTTGCAGCAACATTAATGGAGCTGGAGGCCATGATCCAAACAAATTAATGCAGGAACAGAAAATCAAACACTGCATGCTCTCACTTACAAGTGGGAGCTAAACATTGAGCAAATACGGACATAAACATGGGAACAATAGACACTGGGGACTTCTAGGGGTGGTGGGGGTGGGTTAAAAAACCCTGTTGGGTACTACGTTCACCACCTGGGTGATGGGATCCATACTCCAAACCCCAGCATCACGCAATATTCCCATGTAACAAATCTGCACATGTACCCGTTGTATCTAGAGTAAAAGTTAAAATAAAAAACAAGAGGGTTGTGAGAAAGATTCAGAAATTTGAGTTATGTCCATAAATGTGATTTCCATAAATGCAATTTTGGAAATTTGTGACTCTGAACACTCCTACAGCTTCTCAAAAATTTCTTGAATTTGCTTCATCTCCAACAATTCAATTGGAGCAAAAAGATATCATGTACCTATGATGTCAAGACACCTGTCTGGGTATGAGCGTAGCCCACTCCTGCACTCCAAATGGTCATAAATCCAGGCCCCAAAGACCTCTTGTCCAGTGCTTTTCCAACTGCACATTGCAATCATCATGATACCATCATGATCAGAATAATTTCAGTGAGATTTGGGCAGAATTTTTAATAGAATGGAATAGACTAGAACATAACACTACTGAATAGGTGAAGTGTGTCACACTTAGCATGTGTATTGTTTTAGAAAGCTTTTACTTTAGTAATATTATTGCACATTTGTGTGTATATGTGCATGTTACACCTATGTTTACAGTGGGTCACAGTGTGAAATAAAATAACTGTTACTGCAAATTGAGGTACAAATCATTTGAAAGCCACTGCTCCCAGTCCCCTCTTTCTTCCAGATTACTGCACCTTAAACCTCTCCTATACAGAAGTTGTGAACCACCAATGTATAGAGTTGAAAGCATTTAATTCCCTATAATGAATCTGGGGAACTTTGCAGGGTTCCTGTCATGGAGGGTGTTTAAGGAGATCATAAAGATAACAGGTACAAGACATTTCTCCCCCAAATGTGGTTAGGGCTCTCTCTGAAGCAGACAGCATCGGGCTACAGAACATTTTCTCAAACGCTGCATGCTGGCTGCTCAGAGCGGAGCAGTTGTAGGGGAAGTGTAAGTGTGTATATCACAAATGGCATGTTTATACTGAGCTTCACTTCCCAGTTCTTGCTGATGAGATATAGTTGGACAGGATCTAAACCTTAAAACATACTCCCCGGTTTCCTGCCCTGATATCCTGGCTTACTGGAGCAGTACATCATTGTGCATATACAGATAATAAAACACGCTTATCATGGAGATAAAGAAAAGTTGATGAAACAAAAGTAGCCACTGCTTCCTGTAGTGGATAAAATTAGAGATTTGAGGCTTGCAAGATAAACACCCTAGTTTGCCCTCCTTCCTGCCATGATGGTCTTTTCCCCTCTGTTTTACACAAGCAGAGTGGTGCTTTCACTTCTTCACTCAAGATCAGAATGTAGTTTTACTATGGGCTGCAGGGTTGAGTTCATTGAAATGGTGGTAGAAACTGGTGAAAATGAAAAACATGTATGCTGAGTTTTGCAAGTTGGCAACTACAAATACAGAGTTTAGAGGCAGTGCATGTGAATTTAGAGGCATGAGGTCTGGCAAGTACCTGATATAAATGTTAGGTACTAGAATTCCTCTTATCCACAGATAAAGCTTTTATTACTTTTCCCTGTTAATTACAATACATGAGTATTGTAGACAATTTAGAAAACATAGAAAAGCACAGGAAAGAAAACAAGTTACCATAATTCTGCCACACAGACAAAAGTACACTGATAATTTTTGGAAGTATGTACATCCTGCCTATTTTATAAATACATGTTTTACAAAAATATTCTTCAATATATTGATCATACTATTTATGGTATGGCTACATGTTCTTTTATAATGTTGATAGTCATCTTTTATAAGTCTTATTTCTCAATATTGATGTTGTTCCCAGCTTTTTGCTATTAAGAACAATGCTGTGTTGAGTGTACATACGCACATACACTTTCTCTCTCACATATTTATACATATATATTATCTGTAAAATAAATTTCTAGAAGTGGAATTGTTGGCTCAAAGGTTATGTGCATTTAATGTTTTGTTTTCTTTTTTTGAGACAGGATCTCACCCTGTTGCCCAGGCTGGAGTACAGAGGCGTGATCTTGGCTCACTGTAGCCTCAACACCATGGGCTCAAGTGATCCTTCTACCTCAGCCTCCTGAGTAGCTGGGACTACAGGCATGTGCCACCATGCCTGGTTACTTTCTCTTATTTTCTTTAGAGACAGGGTTTCATCTTGTTGCCCAGGCTGGGCTCGAACTCCTGGGCTCAAGTGATCTGCCTGCCTCAGCCTCCCAAAATCCAAAGGGACTACAAGCATGAGCTACCATGCTGCCTGCCATTTAGGTTTTGATAGATATTGTCCATTTTTACTTTTGCAGCAAAGTATGTGATTATCTGTTTTCCTGTAGCCTTGTCAAGCCTGTATAATCTTTTACCTTATTTTATTTAATTGAATTTCTTTTTATGTTTATAAGCAAAGTTTTGCAGTTTTCTCATTTATATTGTGCATTATTCTTGCTGAGTTTGTTCTTAGTATTTTATGTTTTTTGGTTGTTATTATGATCATGATCTTTTCCTGTTGTATTTTGGAATGGTATTTATGTAGAGAAGCAATGAGTTCTTGTTTATTTATTTTGCAAGAATTCTACTTATTAAATCCTCTGCTCTAATAGTTTTTATATCATTTCAAATAACAATGACAGTTTTTTTCTCTGTTTTGATAGTTGAACATCCTATTTCTTATTCTTTTCTTATTGCATTGGCAAGAACTTCCAGAATAATATCATATAACAGGGGTGATACTTTAAATTTTGACTTCTGTCATGAAGTAGATGGTAAAGTATCCTTTTATTCCTAGTTTATCAAGTCTGATTTTTAAAATCAGAAATGAATATTGAATAATATCAAATGCATTTGACCTGTTCTCTTAATACATTTTAAAATATTGGGCCACCATGGCATTCTTGGAATCAAGTGTACTTTGTCATGATGATTTTTCAAAAGATATATTGTTGAGTTTAAGTTTTTAGTGTTTTATTTAGGGTTTTGGGTCTATATTCATGAGTGAGATTCAAGAGCAGTTTTTAGCTGGACTGCGGTGGCTCATGCCTTTAATGCTAGCACTTTGGGAGGCTGAGGCAGATGGATTACCTGAGGTCAGGAGTTCAAGACCAGCCTGGCCAACATGGTGAAACCCCGTCTCTACTAAAAATACAAAAATTAGCTGGGCATGGTGGTGTGTGCCTATAATCCCAGCTACTTGGGAGGCTGAGGCACGAGAATTGCTTGAACCTGGGAGGTGGAGGTTGCAGTGAGCTGAGATCTTGCCACTGCACTCCAGCCTGGGCAACAAGAGTGAAACTCTATCTCAGAAAAAAAAAAAAAAAGAGTCTTTTTCTTGGGATAGTATTGCCAGATTTTAATATCAGGTTCTTATTAGCTTTATAGAATTAATTGAGATACTTTCCATTGTTTTCCATGCTCTATAACAATTTTGATACCATAGGAATATTCCTTGAAATAAGAAAACAGCTCAACTCTGTATTTGCACCTAACTTCTTTCTGGAGGTAATTTTTGGACAACTTTAAAAGACCCTTCTATAATGAAATAATTTCAGATATAAAAAACTTGCAAAAAATATAAGTTGAAAATCAATTATTTGAAATTTCTTGGTATTAACGTGCTTCAGATTCCAAGCTTTTATTTGGATTTTGGAATATTTGTGTGTGTGTGTGTGTGTGTGTATATATATATATATATATATATATATATATATATATATGTAAAATGAGACATCTTGGAGATGGGACCCAAGTCTAAACATGAAATCCATTTATGTTCCATATACCTTATAAACATAGCCTAAAGATAATTTTATTTTATTCCCTGAGGATGCTGAATAATATTGTGTGCCTGTGTGTTTTTTTTTTTTTTTGTTTTGTTTTTTTTTTTTGAGACGGAGTCTCGCTCTGTCGCCCAGGCTGGAGTGCAGTGGCGGGATCTCGGCTCACTGCAAGCTCCGCCTCCCGGGTTCACGCCATTCTCCTGCCTCAGCCTCCCAAGTAGCTGGGACTACAGGCGCCCGCCACTACGCCCGGCTAATTTTTTGTATTTTTAGTAGAGTCGGGGTTTCACCGTTTTAGCCCGGATGGTCTCGATCTCCTGACCTCGTGATCCGCCCACCTCGGCCTCCCAAAGTGCTGGGATTACAGGCGTGAGCCACCGAGCCCGGCCTGCCTGTGTTTTGACCTATCACATGAAGTCAGGTGTGGAATTTTTCCACTTGTGGTGTTATGTTGTTATGTTGATGCTCAAAAAGTTTTGGATTTTGGAACATTTTGGATTTCCCACTTTTGGATTAGGAAGCTTAATCTGTATAGAGACTTCGTGTACAGTTATGTGTTGCTTAATGATGAAGATACATTCTGAGAAATGAGTGGTTAGGCAGTTTCATCATTGTATGAACACCATAGGTTTTCATACAAACCTAAATGGCAGATAGCTTACTACACACCTATGCTACATGGTATAGCTTATTGCTCCTAGGCTATAAACCTATACAGCAAGTTACTGTACTGAGTACTGTAGGCAATTATAGCATGATGGTATTTGGGTATCTAAACATAGATTCTATCTAAGTATAGAAAAGGTATAGTAAAAATACAGTTTTATAATATTCTGAGACTGCTGTCATATATGTTGTTTGTCATTGACTGAAATGTTATATGGGGCATGACTGTACATATTTTACCAAGCTTCCTCTAATGTTACCAAATAACCATAGTACAATTATCAAAACAGGGAAATTAACATTGGCACAATATTACTAACTAAACTACAGGCCTATTTGAAATTTACCACTTCTCCTCCTAATGTTCTTTTTCTGTTCCAGGATCCAATCCAGGATCTCACACTGCCATTTAGTTGTTGTGTCTCCTTTATCTCCTCCACTATGTGATAGTTCCTCAGTCTTTCCTTGTCTTTCATGACTTTGACACTTAAAAAAAAAGTTTTCACTATGACCAAGCGGGGTTTATCCCAGGGATGCAAAGTTGGTTGTATATTTGAAAAGCAATCAACTTAATCCATCAAATTAAGGAAGTTAAAAAAAAAAGGTCACATGATCATATCAATAGATACAGAACAAGCTTTTAACAAAATTCAACACTCATTCATGATTTTAAAAATAAAAAATAAAAAATTATAAAACCAGGAACATAGGGGAACCTGCTTAGGTTGACAAAGAACACCTACAAAAACCTCGCAGCTGATATCACAATTAATGGTGAAAGACTGAATGCTTTTCCCATAATACAGGAAACTAAGCAAGGATGTTCACTTTCATTACTCATTCAATTTGCCACTGGGGGTTCTAGCCAGATAAACAGGGCAAGAAATGAAAATAAAAAGCATACAGTTTGGAAAAGAAGAAAAAATCTGCTGTTTTGTGCAGATGTCATGGCTGTCTATGTAGAGAATCCCAAATAATCTAGAAAAATTCCTTAAAGCTAATTAATGAGTTTAGCAAGGTCCCACCATACAGGTTCAACATACAAAAATCACTTGTGTTTCTATATTCTAGCAATGAACATGTAGATGCCAAAATCAACAATATAATATCATTTAGTCAAAAAAGAAATACTTAAAAAATGTAAATTAAAAAATGTCTAAGTTTTTTTGCTGAAAACTACAAAACACTGATGAAACCACTAATGAAAGAAATAAAAAAATCTGTATTAATGAGAGACATACCTTGTTCATGAATTGGAAGACTCAACATGGTAAAGAAGACAATTTTTTCTTACATTGAGGTTAAATAAATATCTTACAAAAATTTCAACAAGATTTTTTTTAGATGTAAGGAAGATTATTCTAACTTTGACACTTTTCATGAGCCCATTATTTTGCAGAATGTCTTTCAATTTGGATTTATCTGGTATTTTTCCACAATGAGATTGAGTTTATGTATTTTGGTGAGAATACTGCAGGCGTGATGTTGTGTCCCTCTCATTGCATAATACCAGTGCGTAAGAAGCCATACTATATGACTTATTGCTGGTGATGTTTGGACAACTTTTTAACACTTCCTTTCCTATGAGTTTAATTTTTCTGCTTCTTGAAAATTCTACTACACAGAGTTATACAGAATGCTCTTATACAACTTACAAAGTATACTTGGGGTTTCTGATTAGATCCTTTATATTTTACCTTTTACGCCATATTTGCTCAGACTTTGTGCTTTGGTGTTTTTCTGCCTGAGAGGCTCTGCCATGAACTAGCTGTTAACTCTAAGAGGTAAGGGTTAAGAGATGGTTAAGAGCTTAATCCTTAACCCTGGCAAAGTAACATAACTCTGCCCTCCCCTGCAAGCCTTAGTTTCTTCAATGAGAATAATAATACTTATCTTATGGCATCAGACTCAGTAATAAATGAGGTGACGTATATAAAATACCTTGCAAACTTCTTGGAATAACTATTTAATAAATGTTAGCTATATTTTATTAGTCCTAGTTTACTTTTACCATTATACCTAATACTTAAAAAATTATGTTAAGTTTATACATTTTTTCTGTGGTGTTAGGTTTATAGATAGATTTAAGGTCACACATTCTGTTATCAGGTTAGCCAATGTTAATATAATATATCCCAAGGACCTCGGTGCATTAGGAATTGCATCTTCATGCACCTAACCAAGACGTCCAGTTGTAGTGATTTTAAACAAATGTAGAGATTTATTCTCTTACCTGAAGCACATCCAGGGGTGGGAAGTTGAGGGCAGGGATGATGACTTCCTAATGTCATCAGGAGTCCAAGCTGGTTCTGTTTTCCTGCTACTCTCAATCTTAGTGCATAAAATCCATTCTCGGCCGGGCGCGGTGGCTCACGCCTGTAATCCCAGCACTTTGGGAGGCCAAGGCGGGTGGATCATGAGGTCAGGAGATCGAGACCATCCTGGCTAACAAGGTGAAACCCCGTCTCTACTAAAAATACAGAAAATTAGCCGGGCACGGTGGCGGGCGCCTGTAGTCCCAGCTACTCGGGAGGCTGAGGCAGGAGAATGGCGTGAACCCGGGAAGCGGAGCTTGCAGTGAGCCGAGATTGCGCCACTGCAGTCCGCAGTCCGGCCTGGGCGACAGAGCGAGACTCCGTCTCAAAAAAAAAAAAAAAAAAAAAAAAAAAAAAATCCATTCTCAAGATCAAAGATGGTGGCTAGAGCTCCAGGGATCGTGTGTTAATTCTAGGCAAGACAAAGAGACAACACAACAGGTAAAAAGAGACCCTCCTGGTTGACATGGTTCTCTGTGAAAGGCTTTCCTGGAAGCCCCACTCATTAACTTCTGCTTACATTTCACTGACTAGCTCTAGTGACAGGGGATATCAGGGAATGTGTGCTTTTAATTGGACTCACTGCTATCCTACATCAATTTAGGAATCTGTTACTGAGGAAGAAGAGAGCATGGATGTAGGAAGGCAACTGTCCATCTTCCACAGACTCTGAAGCACCCTTTTCCTTGGGGTAGAAGCAGTCAACAGAATCACATGGTGGGCAGAGTGACCTAGACCAAGGTTCTGCTATACATCAGTAGTAAAGGGCCTTGTTTGAAACTTTGTGCCCTAATAATCAGATATATATGTTCATGAAAAGTTGTTCAACATCTACCTCTCCCTGGGCCTCTTCACACCAAACCCTATGCTTGTTCTAGGAAAAGACCTCTATTTTATTTTATTATTTATTACTATTTTATTTTATTTTATTTCATTTTTTTGAGACAGAGTTTTGCTCTTGTCACCCAGGCTGAATTGCAGTGGCATGATCTCAGCTCACTGCAACCTCTGCCTCCTATGTTCAAGCAATTCTTCTGCCTCAGCCTCCCGACTAGCTGGGATTACAGGCATGTGCCACCACGCCGGCTTAATTTTTGTATTTTTAGTAGAGATGGGGTTTCACCATATTGGCTAGGCTGGTCTCGAACTCCTGACCTCAGATGATCCGCCTGCCTCGGCCTCCCAAAGTGCTGGGATTACAGACGTGAGCCACCGTGCCCGGCCAAGGCATCTAATTTTAGTCACTACTTACTTGATGTTGGATTGAAAAAAAAACATATTGATAGTGCGTCCATTATTACTAATTACTAGATTGTTTGGTCTTGGTGAGCACTCAAAAAAAGATTCTCAGATTTGCCCAAATTATGTGATTACAGGAGTTCAATGGGTAACATATTATGGGATAATTCAAGTGATTGAAAATAAGACTTAAAACATAGGTTTAAAAAAGTCTAGAAAGAAGATAATATATATTGCCCCATAGAGTTTTTAAAGGCACCGATTGACATTTTTGTCCATTGGCATTACCTACTTAGAAGGTGAGTTAGGTGGTAACTTATCTGGGCGATCCTGTCTAGAACTGCTATTATTGTAGAGCTTCCCTATCTTCCTGAGAACTCAGAGAGCACTAATTAAGATGAGAACAGAAGTATAGTAGAGATTGGTGATGGGCAAAAATTAAATTATTTGACTGGCTAAAAATGGAAAAATAACAGAAAAACCAGGGAGAGATTAGAATTATGTTTTGCCATAAAAGTGATACATGTACATTAAAGTCAATTTGGAACATAGAAAAAAGAAAAAGAATTCTCACATAATTCATCAATCATAACAGCTGCTAAACAGCTTTTGGCACTTCCCCTTTTGATATTTTTTCCTCTTCTACATTTGTTTTTAACGTTTTTGTCAATCACCGCATATGCAGTTTTAAATCTTAGAACACCCAAACTCTGATGAAATGAATGTAGGTTAGGTGGGGTGTTGGTATCTGGAGTCTGGCTTGCATTTGGATATTGTTCCTATCATTTATTAGCTAAACGACTTGGGGCATGTTAATCTCCTTGAGCCTCAATTTCCTCATCTGTAAAATAGGGATTATACTTAAATCTTTTTCAAAGAGTTGTTAGGAGAATTAAAGAAAGAAATACTGCAGGTCGAACAGCCATATGGAGCTGTGCACAGTGGTATCCCCCATTAAGGGGTGCTGTTATTAACAATGGGTGTAATTGGACCAGCCTAGCCATGGCAAGCATGTGACAGTGGGTCGTTTGGAGAGGGTGGGGGTAAGCCAAGGAAGGCAGATATTTTCTCTCCTTAAATGACCACCAGAGCTGAAGAGCCACAGTACTGTGGGGCCAGGCCAGGTGAATGCTTAGCATTCATTTTTTGGACACATTCTGTGATGTCTCAGCCACTCATTCAGGTGATATATATTGAAAATTTACTATGTGCTAGGTCCTTGGTAAGTACTGGGAACTACAGGATGGCACAGTTACCCCAACATGGGTACCCCTTATTGGCTGCAGCTCTTCACCACAGGATCGCTGGGCACAGGGCTTGGTGCTGAGCAGACTACCTTCCTCTTTCATAAATATTCTGTACCCAGTGCAAGCTTGGGTGTTCAATACAGCATTAGAATCCACCACTCCCCTGCAAGTGCTTTCCTCAAGGTCACCAGTGAGCTTCTCATTACCAAATCCATTAGCCTTACCTAAGACCATGCTTCATGCCTCCAAAGCTGTGCCACCCAATGGAACTTTCTGCAATGATGGCTATGTTCTAGTCTGTGCAGCCCAATGTGGTAGCCACTAGCCACATGTGGCATTGAGCACTTTAAATATGACAAGTGTGACTGAAGAGCTGAATTTTTAATTTTAATTACATTTAAATAGTCACACATGTGGCTAGTGGCTCCTCTGTGAGACAGCACCGCTCTAGAGCATTCGATCTTGTTGCCATCCATCCCTTTCTGGTAACCCTGTGCTCTTAGCTTTGGTGACACAGCATTCTTCTGGTTCTCTGTTAGCTCCTCTCTGTTTCCTCTTACTCCTCTTGCCCACTAAAAATAGCATCCCCCCAAAGTGTCTGTGCTCTGCCCTTCTCCCTCTGCTTTCTGCACTGTATTTCATGTCTGGCGAGGCAGCCCCTGGTTTCTAATTTGGAGCCGTGTGGAAATGACACCCAGCACGGTCTCTAGTCCTCACTCCTCTTTTTGGCTTCGGAGTAGCATTTCCACCTCTAGCCTGGTGGTCACTTGGGCATTCTGCAGTCGCCTTGGATTTACCATACCCCTAACTGAAATAATCATTTCCATGTCCTTCTAACCCCTCCTCCTCCATCTGGCTCTGCTGCTTCTTTACTGTTAACCTGTTTTCCTTTTCTCTTTGGCGTCATCTGTGACATGCCTCCCTCTGTGTTGTCCCTCACTCCCTTACTGTTGTACAGTCTTGAGATTCCTCACGCACAGTGCTCTGCCTTTGTTCTCAAGGGCTCTATCTCTTTTTTTTATAATAAAAGTCAATGCTTATTGTTGAAAATTTACTATATTCAGAAAAATACCAAAAAAAAAAAAAAAGGAAAAGAAAACTTGCTCATAATTGTAACATCCCAAGAACCATTTTTAGCTTTTTTGGTGTGACTTCCCACATATAACCTTCCCTAACCTCTTGCCTGGATTACTGCGGCTGTGAACGCTTGGTGTCTCCCCCACCCTAATCCACTGCTATTTCCCAAGGCTGATTCTCATCATATCACTCTTCTGTTCTGCTCATAAATCTCTAGAGGCACCCAGTTGTCTACTGCATTAAGTTTGTCCCCACTGATGGGGCGTCATGCCAAGCCGACCTCTGCTTTCCTAATGCTCAACAGCCCTGATATGGGAAATGTTACTGACACACCACAGTTAGAAATGCCCACAAAAGCAAGAAGTCGTAGTATCAGTTATGGTTGGGAATAGATACCTATTTAGCTTGGCTTAAATTTAATAAGCACTACTATTTCCTTCATTTTTTCTAGGAAGCAAAACTCCAGGCTGAGCTCGGTGGCTCACGCCTGTAATCCCAACACTTTGGGAGGCCGAGGCAGGTGGATCACTTGAGGTCAGGAGTTTGAAACCAGCCTGGCCAACATAGTGAAACCCTGTCCCTACTAAAAATACAAAAATTAGCCGGGTGTGGTGGCGCATGTCTGTAACCCCAGCTACTCGGGAGGCTGAGGCGGGAGAATTGCTTGAACCCTGGAGGCAAAGGTTGCAGTGAGCTGAGATCATGCCACTGCCCTCCAGCCTGGGTGACAGAGAGACACTCTGTCTCAAAAAAAAAAAAAAAAAAGAAAAAAAAAAGGAAAACAAAACTCCAAAGCCGTTACCTTTTAGATTGTGGTAGACAGATTTATTGTATTGGATTTTACTTCTTTGCAAATTAAAAAAAGTTTTTGTCCATTTCGGTCCGTGAGATAGTTGCAGTTTCTAGTCCTATGTGTGTTTTCTAATTACATAACATACAAGTCTGTAGAGTTAAGCATTTCCCTTCCCCTGGAGAGAACTTTTTTCCAGAGCTGAGAAACTCACACCCTCTTTGCCTAAGACATCACCTCTACTGAGTCTTGATACTTTGAGTCAATTAAAAATGAATCAATAACTATTTATTGCATGCCTGCAAGCAATGGGCTCCTCCATTGGACAAAGATGTCCTGAGCATTCTTAGAATTTGGGGTCTTCCTGGCAATGGACTTGGCCCCTTAACAAAGGCCATGCTGTATCTTGGTGATGGAGCATCCAGCTGGTTTTTGCCTGCCTGGTGGCTCACTGGCCCGAGCAGGGGTATGGCTCTGCTCACACTGTGGCCTCCTCAGTGTCTGGGAGGTTTCGTGGGAGAGGAGGAGGACTTTGTCAAGTTTTGCTCGGTGGCCTGAAATTTAATCTTATGCTCATTGAGCACAGATTTAGTTCCTAATGAATTCTGTCCTCAGCTGTGTCTTATTTGTCTTTTAACAGCTCCCTGGCACATGTAAGCAATTAATAAATGGTTGCTATTATTAGGATTATGATTATACAGATGCCTCTGCAAACATTTTCTTTGTCTCTGCCTTTTCTCGGGCTCTAGACTAAGTGCCCAGCTGCCTCCTGGCTGTCAGGCACATTTGCACCTTTGCCTGTGCTGTGATGTAGGCTCAGCCAAGCATGCCTTCCACCCTCCTCCCCTCCTATTAAAATCGTGTTCACACAGTTAGGACCTTTCTAATGCCTCTTCCTCACATGCAGCCTTCCCCGGGTTAGAGCTCATTGCATCTTCCTCTCTACTCTGTGTTGTTTCTTTGTACCCCCCATAGTAAGCTGTGGTCCTACCTGTGATAACTTCAACTGTTTACATGTCACACCCTCAGCCTCTCTCTTGAATGTGGTGGAGACTGTATTTACAATGCTCACCCTGCCAATCTCAGGACCTTGCATAGTTCATAGATGTTTGTCTGATTCACACTGTCATAGAAATTCCAAAGCCACCAGGTCTTTGTTAAACTTCTTCAGGAAGAGTAGAGTGAGTGCCACAAAGTCCTGGCCGTATATCCCAGAGACATTCTCACTGCTTAGCTGTTGGGTTCAAGGCCTCTACCAAGGATGAGGGGGCTTGGGGTAAACAAATGACTTTGGCACTGGACTCCAGCAGGTGGAGTTCCTTGTATTTTCAGAGCTCTCCAGGAATCATAACAATACTTCGTAGAAAAAATAGCTCATTGTCAAAAGTTAGAGGTCCACCTTGCCTTTTGGGGCCCTGTAAGCCACGTTTTCTTGAAAATAAAATAACGAAGAGAAAAATAATTATTCTTATTCATGTAATTTTTTGCTTTTGTAAAAGAGAGACCTGTGAAACACTGGGATACCTAGCTTCTCAATGCATCAGTTTTCTTATCTGTAAAATAAAGAGGCTCATAGTACCCATATCACGGGGTCTTCTGAGGAGTAAATGTTTTTACGCATATAAAGTGCTCAACAAATAGAGCTTTTATTATTATTATTATTATAATATATGTGCTTAATAAATGTTAGCAATTTTTATCTCATTACCACTAATGCACTAATGGACATTGTCTAATAAATAATTTCTATGATGTTGCTAGCATGAGAGAGACACAAATCTTTGAGTTCACCTAAGCTACTGTTCACCCTGAAAAGATTCAAGAAATATCAATAATCTCAAACTTTTATTTTAATAGCACTAACTTTCTTTTTTTAAATTATACTTTAAGTTCTGGGATATATGTACAGAATGTGCAGGTTTGTTACATAGGTATACACATGCCATGGTGGTTTGCTGCACCCATCAACCCGTCATCTACATTAGATATTTCTCCTAATGCTATCCCTTCCCCTGCCCCCCACCCCCTGATAGGCCCTGGTGTGTGATGTTCCCCTCCCTGTGTCTATGTGTTCTCATTGTTCAACTCCCACTTATGAGTAACATCACTAACTGTCTAATAGTTGTGCATATCCATTGTCATGCGTCACTGTGACCTGCCGTCCCACACACACATAACATCAGGTTTATTATACCACACTAGCCACTTGATTCACCTCCACAGTTGATTGTAGGTATTAAAAAAGAAGTATGAATGGCAAGGAATAAAAACTGAGTTCTTTCTCTTACAGTGCTGCAATTTTGGGGGTGGGGCAGGGCTGAAAATTGCAGTTACATGGTTATTACAAGGCAATTACCTCAACAGTACTCTTCTTTCTCGCTCACATTTCAAAGGAACACATGTCCAAAGGGCCTTCTTCTCCTTTAATGGTCTTGACGTTGTCCCATCATACCTAAGTGCAAAACTATGACAATACTTCTCTTCCTGGTTGCCAAAAGTAACATGCGGGGGCGCCTCACAGTTGTGAAGGGAGAATGGCCTCTTTATGGTGGCTGGCTTGGAATTATAAATATTTTTATTTCTTCCATAGGAGATGGCTCATGGAAGAGAGGAGACAAACACGACTTTGAAGCTAAGCAAGCATACTCGTCCCTCCAGACAGTCACTCTACTGAGGACAGTGAAACCTGAGTTTGAGAAGTTTTCCATGGAGGTGAAAAGTTCAGTTGAGAAACAAGGGCTCAATATGGAGGATTACGTAAGTGCCTGATTATGAGCCTAGACCTTTAGCATCCTGAAAACTGTCTTCTAATTAAATCAGAGATGACAGAGTGTCCCATTCTGAGCCATTCAAAAATTCCTAGGTTCAGGTCTGAATGTCACTGTTGCCTTCTGTGTGTGTGTGTGTGTGTTTTTTTTTTTTCCTTTCTGGGTGGTTTTCCTCCTTCCCTCCTCAGTATACCCACTATCATCTCTACCCTTCACTTACACTTTTTCAGCTGCTGCAGGAAGGACAGACAATTGCTTTTTCATGGGCACTTGTGGTGGTGCTGAGTAGAATGTCTGTAGACTTCCATCACGTATTTGACTAAGAGGGTTTTGGGGGAGAAGGAGGATGAAGGGGTGCCAAAGATTTGCATGCCTAATTTTTTCAAAGCTTGGTGGCAGCTGATATTTGGGGTTTTAGGATACATTTTCTTTTGGCAGCCTGGCTTAGCGTTCTGGCTAGTCTGCTTGTGGATGGTGTTGTTGCCTCTTTCTGCTGTAAGTTGCTTCCTACTCACATATTGTAGGGCTTCACATTCCATTAGTGCTGTTGTTACTAGTGCATTTCAAGAGTGGACAAGAGTCAGAACCTCATTTCAGACTGAGGATTAAACAGAGGGATTCATCTAAGAGCTGGCACCGCAGGCAGCTGACCACACCTCATTTGGCATCATTGTTTTGACTGCCTCTGACATGCTTTGCTACATGGCCAACATGCCACTCCTGTAAATCCTTTCTTAGAACAGGATGAGTGATGGGCACCTTGGGCTAGTTGAGTAGGTGTGCTGGTCTTCAAAACTAATCACTCTACAGCATCCCAAATTGAAAAGGAGCACCTTCTTCCTCCTCTTCTTTTTTTTGAGTCAACATTTTGCTCTGTCTCCCAGGTTGGAGTGCAGTGGCGCGATCACGGCTCACTGCAGCCTCAAACTCCTGGGCTCAAGCGATCCTCCAAGTTCAGCCCCCTGAGTAGCTGGTACCAAAGGTACACACCACCATGCCCAGCTAATTAGAAGCACCTTCTTAATGATAGGCATATGGCCTGGATAGTCTCTGCCCAAGTTGGATAATGATCAACTTCATAAGAGATGGCCACTTCCAAACAGGATTTCTCCTAGTTTCTCTACTTGAGGTACCACAGAGTACTGGCATTGGCCTCAGAGCTGCCTTCTGAGTCTAGATCTAGCACTTCTGAGCTGTGGGATCTTGGAAAAATTGCTCAGTTTCCCCGATTCAAATTACTTTTTCCTGTTGGGAGGATTTTGGATTATTTACCTGAAGCATTTAACGCTATCCCTGTCAGAAAGTTAGAAAAAAATAAACTGTACCTCTTTTGTACCATTGTTGCAAGATTATACCTGTCTTTATAGGAATTTGTTATCAAATGACATACAAAGGTTCTTATAAACATTTTATTAATGTTTTAAATGTTACATATACTATATTCACATCATTTAAAATACCTTTTGACTTTTTAAATCAGTGCTGTCTGGTAGTTATACAATGTGACCCAAAAAAGTGAGCCACATATAGAATTTAAAATTTTCTAGTTGACATATTTGAAAAAGTGAAAAAAAAAACCCCAGGTGAAGTTAATTTTAATAATATATTCCAATTAACACAATATAAACATATTTCAACATTTAATCAATTAAAAATTATTAATGAGATTTTAATGTATTTCTTGTACTATGTCTTGGAAATCCAGTGTGATTTTACACTTACAGTGTGCAGAGGCCTTGTTCGAGTGCTCAATGGGCCACACATGACTAGTGGCTACCGTATTGGACAGCGTGTTCTGAATTATGAAAGAAGTAGGGTTTCTGCAACAGAGCCTACGTTTAAGGAAACATGTGATAGTGTTGTCATCATCCAAATCCTTTGTCTCAGAAATATGAAAGAACACAAAGGGTACTGAACTTCCTTCAGTAGTGCTGCTAAATGTAGCCTGGGTCATTATTGAAAACATCAAACTCTTTTACATATGCCACTGTATATTGTTTTACTTTATTAGGTTCATATTAATTTTATGGTTTAAAGACTCAACAGTGGTGCCATGTTGTCTGGTTTCCTCTCACTGGGCAAAAGTTAGTATCCCAGCCAGGAGTGGTGGCTGACGTCTGTAATCCCAGCACTTTGGGAGCCTGAGGCAGGCAATTGCTTGAGCTCAGGAGTTGAAGACCAGCTTGGGCAACATGGTAAAACCTCATCTCTACAAAAAATACAAAAATTAGCCAGGCATGGTGGCATGCACTTGTAGTCCCAGCTACTTGAGAAGCTGAGGTAGGAGGATCACCTGAACCCAGGGAGCTCAAGGCTGCAGTGATCCGTGATTGCACCACTGTGCTCCAGCCTGGGTGGCAGAGTAAGACCCTGTCTCAAAGAAAAAGTTGGCATCCCACTACTGGGTAATTCTTCTTGATTATCTGTTATTCTGTGTTCATAATATTAAATCTTATTTTAATGGTAGTCTAAGCAAAATCTCACTGGAAAGGTATACCTACTACAAAGATTTATAGTACATTCCAAACCTGATAAGAGCACTTTAGAGATTATTTGCAGCCCTAGATTACCATACTGCTTCCCTCTGATGGTGGGCCTATTAAAACTGACTTTATAAATAAATAAAAATTAGAATTTTAAGTAGAAGTTAGAGCTAACTATAATAACTTATTTTAGTTCTGAAGATGTGTCCATCTTTTGTATGTATGTAGGTTTTAGTGGGGCTTTTTCTTTTTTTTTTTGAGATGAGGCCTCCCTGTGTTGCTCTGGCTGCTCCTGGGCTCAAGGGATCCTCCTGCCTTCGACTCTGGAGTAGGTGGGATTACAGGTGCACACCACCACGCCTGGCTGAGTTGGGCTGTTGTGAACACCAGCTGCAGATGTTTATCAAGTTAGGTTAGACGAGTGATCCTGGTAAGTATCATGGGAAGGAACTATGGGAGCCAAAGAGCCAGCACCTGGTGTGGCTGGGTTCGCAGAGACTAGTCTTTGATCTAGTGTGGTGCGGGAGCCTGTAGGAGTCTGGGGTCTTCTCTCTAGACTCAGTCTTTTTGCTTCTCTTATTTGTGCTAATGAGTTGTCTCATCTGCTTACTTAGAACTCCAGTTCATGATGCCCATCATGAGCTCTTCGTTCTCTGCTATCCGTCTTGAATTCAGTGACTTTGGTGGACTCTCTCATTTGTTCTAAAATTTACCATGCATTTTCCAAAGAATCACATGACCTAGGAATAGTGACAGTTTTGTTTCTTTTAAATTCTTCTACTTTTAAGTATGCTTAATTGAAAGTGTACTTAAGAAGCTGGGCACAGTGGTACACGCCTGTAATCCCAGGTACTTGGGAAGCTGAGGTGGGAGAATTGCTTAAGTCCAGGACTTTGAGCCCAGACTGGATAACATATCAAGACCTCACCTCTAAAAAAATAAGTAAATAAGGTAATTTTTTAAAAATATAATTAAGTATATGTATGCTTAATTGAATTTTAGTATTAAATATATTGAATTAAAATTAAGTATAATTAATTAAATTAAAACTTTAAATGGCCTTGGGTGGGATCCCAATATGTATTAAACAGAAGCAGTGATAGTGGGCATCTTAACTTTAATGTAAAGAGCATATAACAGAATTCATATCTGTTCACATCACCACTTAAGCATGATGTTTGCTGTGGGGTTCGGGGGACACTCTTTATTAGACTGTGGCAGTTCCCTTTTCTCTCTTGTTAGTGAAGTTTTTTTCTTTGGCAAAATTATTCCTTCTAATACGATAACTGAAACAAAAATAGCACATCAAGCATCAAGGTTTGTATAATGTAGGTTAAGGAAAATCTTTGGACATAGATTTTTTTACTTTAGGCGTTATGTATTGTATGATACCACTGACTCTATTTCTTATATGTTAGTATTGCATTCATCGTATTACCATGTTGTCAGCATCTTTAAAAAGGTTATGGTCTTCTGAAAATGAAAAATTTGAAACTTTAAAATATTTACAGACTATACTGAAGCATTGAGAGGATAGAGTAACAATGATGTTTTTAGTAAAATTAATGTTTCATATTTATAATTTACCAAATTTTGATGGATTAATGCCATTTTGTTTTGGTAAAATTGATCTCTTCTCTCCTCTATCCATCTCTTGCCCTCTCTCTTTTTAATTGACTTTTTAGTAGAGGTAATTGCACACTTACATGCAGTTTTAAGATGCAATACAGAGAGATTCCTTGTATACGTTTCCCAGTTTCCCGCAATGGTAACATTTTGGAAAATTATAAGATCACAACTAGGATATTGACACGGATGCAATGCAGTCATTATGCTCAGATTTCCCAGTTTTACCTATACTCTTTGTATGTGTGTGTGTGTGTGTATTAAGTTCTATGCAATTTTATTCTGTGTAGATTTGAGTGTTTGAATTTTATCAAATGCGTATTCTTACACATATTGTGATACTCAGTTTTTCTTTATTCTGTTATAAAGTTGTGATGTGAGTTGCATTAGTAGATGTTTCTGATTGTAACCATTTCTGCACTCCTAGAATAACTCAGGACCATCTCAACCTCAAGACTGAATCGTTCTATTTCCCAGTTCATATTTTGGAGAATATACTTATGGTTGAACCTACACATGCCTGCCTAGGTGGAGATTTTCAGGCTGGGTTGTCTCAAATGCTATTAGCAGCCTGTAAATTAGCTTCCCTGAGTCCAGTGTTCACTCCTGTTTCCCTCAGCTTGGGTGCTACATGTGTGTGGTGTGATAGAAAATAGGGTTGTTTAGGGCTAGTCTATCACTGGGGCTGTAAGTGTTGCATATGCTATAATTGTCTAGTTATTAGTACATGTATCTTATGACAGTGTCCCCACTATTCCTATGGGTACTATAATATTAAAAAAATGCATTTGTTCTTTTACTAGTGAACCAAGGGGAAATCTATTCCATTCTGATGCATTTTTTTTTTTTTTTTTTTTTTTTGAGACAGAGTCTTGCTCTGTCGCCAGGCTGGAATGCAGTGGCATAATCCTGGCTCACTGCAACCCCTGCCTCCCGGGTTCAGGTGATTCTCCTGCCTCAGCCTCCCAAGTAGCTGAGATTACAGGCACGTGCCGCCACGCCTGGCTAATTTTTGTATTTTTAGTAGAGATGGGGTTTCACTATGTTGGCCAAGATGGTCTCGATCTCTTGACCTTGTCATCTGCCTGCCTCAGCCTCCCAAAGTGCTGGGATTACAGGCGTGAGCCATCTCGCCCAGCCTGCATCATGTTTTAATGAGGCTCAGTGACCACCACTGGAGGCAGTGCAGCCCAGTGGTTAAATACGCAGGCTTGGGATTTCATAGACCTGGCTGCCTCTTACAATTCTTATCTTGGGCACCTTTCTGAGACTTAGTTCGTTAGTTTACTGGCTATTAAATGGGAATAACAATTTTTGACTGAAAAAGTTGTTCAAATAACTCAAGAATTGTATAAAAATAATATTCACCACAATGCCAGGCATTCATTGGATGGTAAGCATTCATCGGTGCTTACCAATGATGAATACTTACCGTGATGAATACTTGGTAAGCATTCATCGGATGGTAGCTATCATTTCTCTTACTTTTGTTTCTTGTATTCCAGGCTGATACATATGACACTCTTTTGTGCCTACCGCATGCAGTACTCTTACTCATCCTTCAGATTGTAACTCAAACATCACTTCCTCAGGACAGTCTTTCCTGACACCCCAGACTATGTCATGGTGCTCGGTTCCTCTGCATCGCAGCACACCTCTTGGGTTGTAATTACACACCGATGTGTGGGATTTTCTGATTAACCTTTGTCTCTTCTACTGTAAACTCTACAAAAGCAGGAACTACTCTTGTTTCTGCCCACTCTTGCATTCCCCTACTGTGTACATGGCACATAGGAAATGGCCAAAGTACCTATTATTATTATGGTTATTATTTTTGTTATTATTGAATAGAAAGTACGTCAAATCAAACACACTTCCTCTACAGTGGTGGAAACTGAGGCTGAGAAAGGTGGGGTGGCCTTTCCAAATGTAACTAGTATATTGCAGGCAGTACAGTGATGTTGGCTGGTGGTGGAGTCTTATGCTTAGACCTTATTGGGTACACAAAGCGAAGTATTCAGTTTCAATTATACCATGGGAAATAGTGTGGGGATAGTAATGGGGTTTCACAGTGGGGGTTCTGAGGACCATCTGGAGGTCCCCTGAAATCTAAAGTGAGAAGTAAAGCCCTACTGCAGAGGCTCTCAACTGTCAGTGGGGCTCTAGGTATGGCTCAGACAAGTTTTTGCCAAGTACCCGCCTGGCCTTTTCTGGTGGTTTCTATTGGGTTGCCCATATGTACAGTGGCCCTCACTCAAGGGCATCTTAATGGTGGTGCTTGGCCTCTGCCCATGAGCAGTTCCAATTCCAGAGCACTGGTATTTGGTTTTAGAATGCACTGTGTGGTGGCCAAGCCAAGATTAGTTGCATCCCCTGACTCCTGCCTGGGTCAGTGACTTTCTTTTTCCACTACATCAGTCTGACCCTTTTAACAACAATGTACCCCATAAGGGGGCAAACCCATGACCTGAAGATTATGTGTCTCAGGCTCTACACGTGAGCCTGGCAGCAACACAGGCTGAAGTATTTCCTTCCTTTCCCTGCACCCCACCTGCCCAAATACACACTTGTAAGATACCGATTTCTCTTTCCTCTTTCAGACACTTGGCAAAGTCTGGCTAGGACTTCATCTCCTCTTCATCCTCAGTGACCTGGTTTTCCTATTTTTTTCTGAAGTATAAACCATCATTCCTTTGATAATCAGATGCTGTTTATTGAGTGCTCCAGAAATATGAATGTGAGTCTGATCCTGGAAAATGAGTGGTCCCATTTGGGGTGGGATCCTCACCCCCTAAAAATACTTGAGCAGGTACATAAATATCCATGACTGTGAGCTCTGGGGGCCCATGAGAGCTGCATTCTTATGCCAGCATGCACAAAAAACAACATATACCTTAGTGTAAAGCACTCTGACACGCTGGTGATAATCACAGGAGTCTGGACAGTTTATTTTGTAGCAGATCACATGTGGCATATGTGTGAAAATATCCATGTTTCCAGAGAATCGAAATTAAACAGTGAGTTCACTTTGTTCTTTAGTAAGAGGTACCTTTCAAATTCATTCATGTTTTCATGAGCTCGTTAGGTGGATGTTTTCTTGACCTAGGCTGTGTTAACACTTTATAATTATGTACAAAATGTTGTGTGTAAGTGCACGTGTGTATACTTTTGGAGAGAAGGGTCAGCATCCATCATCTGATTCTTAATGGGGGTCAGTGTAGCAAAAAGTAGAAAATTATTGAATTAGACCATGGCTTGTCAGTATTCCATTCACCCAGTTACTGTCCTGAACCCTGTTTATTCACATGGATAGGGTACGACAACATCGTGTATGTCAGGTTGCACTGAAAAATCACTCCCTTGGAAGAAACTGAACAAAGACCTAAATGCTTAAATGCTACCTTATCTTACATGATAAAAACCATTAGTTTTATTTCTGAAATGAAAGATATATTCATTTTTTCATTCTGGACTAGGGAGACAGTTCACTCTTTTCAATTCCCAGTGTTTTTGCATTATGCTTTTAAGAGTAGACTTAAATTTGTCCCTGCTACTATTTCTCATGTTAGACTGAGTCAGTGTGGGAGACAGATTTTCCTCTCAGTCAGCTTATTTGGCTTTTCTGGCCTGTAAATTTCACTTTTGACTTGACCCACTCTCCTGATTTGTGTTTGGCACTTTTGAGACCCATTCACTGACTGTCCCTTTAACAGTTGGTTCTGTCTTTGGGTGAAGTTCACATTCCTTCCCTCATATTGTTGTTGTTTAAGTCAAAATAATACACAACTTTCTAGATCGAAAGGGCCCAATATAATGAATTAAATGATACACAACAAATTAAATGATAAATAATACACAACTTTCTAGATTGAAAGGGCCCAATATAATGAATTAAAAATACATTCATAGTACTAAAGAGTTATAGATAAACATGAATCTTCTTTTCTGCCATTCTCTACTTCTAACTCCCATTTCCCTAGAGACAATCATCATTAATGTTTTATCTGCTTTTCTGCTGTTTCTCTCCACATTTCTAAAATTGATTATCCATATTGCTGTTTTTGATAGTAAAAATTTTGATATTATCTCTTGACTTCCTAAAGTGGAAAAAGATTTAGCTAGCTCTTTTATGTACTCTTTCTCTGCCAGTTCTTCCTTTTCCTTCTACCTTCCTAATACTTTATAACATAGTTTCTGGTTAAAAATACATTCATAAAATAAAATGTGAAGAAAAGCTAAAAAAATTCAGAGCTTTTATTATTATGACCATATAAATATTTATAGTAGAACCATATAGTATTCTACAATTACATATCCTTTCCAGTATAGCTTTTTGTTTCTCTGGCCTTACTAATTGCCTTAGTTTTTTATTTGCTTCTGTGCCTATGTAGTTCTTACTGTTTCATTTTCACTTTCTCTGCCAAACATTTTAGATAATGCTGATTTTTTTAAAACCCTTTATCTTCCTGCTCTAATCTAGAGCAATTTATTTCTCCAATACCACCTGGAAATGTCCTTCAGTTCTCTCTTATATCTCTTTTCTCAGGTATCAGATCTCCTTTTTTCTTAAATTTCCCCGTGGTTTTGAAGAAGAAAGGAGGCATGCATTTTTTTTTTTTTTTTGAGATGGGGTCTCACTCTGTCACCCAGGCTGGAGTGCAGTGGTGCCATCTCAGCTCACTGCAACCTCCACCTCCTGTGCTTAATAGATCCTTCCACCTCAACCTCCTGTGTAGCTAGGACTATAGGCGTGCTTCCATGCCCAGCTTATTTTCGTATTTTTAGTAGAGACAGGGTTTCATCATGTTGCCCAAGCTGGTCTTGAATTGCTGTGCTCAAGCAATCCTCCTACCTCAGCCTCCCACAGTTCTGGGATTACAGGTATGAGCCATCATGCCCGGCAGGAAAATCTTTTGAGACTTTGAGTATCAGAAAACATTTTGTTTTAGTCTTACATTTAATTGACAGTTTGCTGGGTATAAAATTTTCTTTGAATACTAATTTTCCTCAAAATTTTGATGCTATTACTCTGCTGTTTTGTAGCTTTTGGTGTTACCATTCTGATTATTTATATTTTTCATGCTTTCTTTTTCTCCATCTCTAGAAGCTTTTAGTATTTTCTCTGTATTGTTGATTGTATCAGTAAGGATCTAGTCAGGAAAATAGAGCCTATGCCAGGTGATTCAACAGGGATTTAATATGAGGAATTACCTTTAAGATGTAGAAAGAACTGAGATGCCAAATGCAAGAATAATGCAAGCCAGAGATTAGCAACAGCAGAAAGCATTACCACCTGTAGAGCTGGAAGGACCAAGGAAGAGGTAGTTTTCCTAAGACTCCAAAGGTAGGGTTGCCCTGGGAGATAAAAGGATAAATGCAGGTTCTTCTAGAGATGCTGCCCGAGGCAAAGGGAAAGTGGGAGAAATATCCTGGCTTTTTTCTTCTTTCTGGTGCTAGTCTCCCACCAGTGCTTCTTCTTGGCTGAACCAACTAGATGTCAGCTGACAGGGAAAGGGACCTGGAGGAGTAATTTTCATATGATATAGGGCAGAGCAAAGCAGATGAAGGGAGGGGAATGAATTGGAGGGGAATGAAATAGGCAGACAACTGTACTCACTGGTGTTCTGAAATTTCACAATAATATGAGTGTTTTTACATCCTTGTTATGAGCACTTTTTGCTTGCTTTTTCTGGAACTTTAAAATGGGATGTGGCTCTTCTCAGTTGATTCTCTAATTTTCTCTCCTATTTTCCAACTCTTCTTTTTTCTTTTACTTTCTGAGAAATTGACTCAACTTTACCTTCCAGCCTATTTATTGAATTTTTAATTTTTGCTGTCATATTTTTAATTTCCAAGAGCTCTCTCTTGTTTTCTGTGCCCCCCTTTTAAAAGATAGCACCTTGACTTGTTTCCTGTATACAATATTTTATCTTTCTGAGTGCATGCTTTCATCAGTTGTAGAATACACTTTTAAAAAATATTTTAACTTATCCAAAATTGAGATTCATTTTATAATTGGTGGGCTGTTATAATTTAATAAGTAGAATTTTTTTCTTTCTAAGGGCAACTTAGAAAAAAAGGTGCTTCTTACAATTGCAGGTATATTACATTTGTTGAGATAAGGTTTTTTCCTCTGAGAACTAAATCAGAAGGAAAAAAGATTTTTTAAAAAAAATTTTCTTTTACTTTCTGCATAGTGTTTGCCTTTCAAGTTCATTTTTTTCTATTAATTTTGATCTCTTTCTCTTTTATATTATAAACTTTTCCTAAACTTTTGGTAATCCTTAGCTGTTTATATTTAAGGGTGAGCCACTATGGAGCTTTCCAGAAGCTCTGTGTGTATGAGTGGAACTTGTTATAGTGGTGAACTTTACTATAGGGTAATAATGTATCAAGCTTGTTATTCAACGGATTATCCCAAATATGAATATCTGGAAGTTGCTTATCTTAGGTTGTTCAGTTTCACTACAAAATTCCCCTCCAAATTCCTTCTTGAGGGTCATAAGGCTGCCCTATATTCTTGGGGCCCAGGGAGTGAAAGTCTCACCTTTAGGACTGCAGACTTATTACTTAAACCCAATTTTCAGTTTTATGCTTCACCCAATCTTCAGCTATGCCTGGTACCTTCCTGTTCAGATCTTCTTGGCTTCAACATCTTCAGACAATAAAACTAACGCCTTTTGCCTGGATGGGACGGGCACTTTCTTCTCTGTATAAGGTTAGGGAGGAGATCCGACTCAATTTAAGGTTGAAAAATGGGATATTTACATAAAAATAATTATGAGAGCTCCTTATACAGACTTTCAACTAATCTTGCTATTTTCAGTGCCACTGCATCCCCCACCTCCAGAGGTGACAGTGACTCCAATTCTAGAGCCTCTGAACTGGACTGGCTTTGCTTCTTGTTGGAGTTCCCTGCCACCCTTCTGTGTACACTTTGGTTGTAGTTTTTCAGTTCTATTGAGTCAGTTACCTTTTCCGAACTTCCAACATTTTGTTGATATTTCTCACTCTGTCACCCAGGCTGGAGTGCGGTGGCGCGATCTCGGCTCACTGCAACCTCCGCTTCCCAGGGTCAAGCAATTCTCCTGCTTCAGCCTCCCGTGTAGCTGGGACTACACGCGCCGGCTACCACGCATGGCTAATGGCTAATTTTTGGATTTTTAGTAGAGACAGGGTTTCACCATGTCGGTCAGGCTTGTCTCCAACTCCCGACCTCAGGTGATCCGCCCACCTCAGCCTTCCAAAGTGCTGGGATTACAAACGGGAGCCACCCCTCCCGGCTTGTCGATATTTCTTATCTGCTATTTCCTTTCTGTACTCTTTAGACTTGTAGGTTTATGTCTTAAAACATTTATTTATTTCATTTTGGTGGGGATTTTAGAAAGAATCTGTGTTTATATGGCTGTGATTTACCTGAAATCTCTTCTGTAGTACCATGCAAGTGTTCAAAGATGGTGGTGCCATTTTTTGTGGGGTGGAGGTGGGGTGGGGAATAATCTTATCAAAGCAGGGGAAAGAGAGACAGGATGTATTTGAGAGAGCGAGTGAACATATGTTTTGGTCCAAAATGCCCTAGCTCCTTTAGAAATTCCCATTTGGTTATAGTTTCCTTCTAAGGGCTGCTTTTCTTCATTTACTAACTCAGTGCATTCTTTTACCCTTGTGGACATACCTGACTTCTGTGGTTCTTTAAAAGCAACTACAGACAAGCAAAACACACGAATAATAATGCATACCAATTGCTTTGCCAGGTAACAACAAAAAGGGTGGTGTCTTGCAGGTTTGTCATCTTGGTATATGAAGACTGTTGATTTTACTTTATGTCTGGAGCTGTTTCCTCTAACATAGCTCTTTGTTGGCTTTTAAAAATGCGTCTTTCCTACATGGACAGGAACATCATTTAGGGATCCTGTTCCCAGTGTAAGGAGACTTTTAGGTTTTAAAGTAGATTTTAAAAAATTGAGGTGACTCAATTTTAAGGTAAAAACAGGGATATTTACATAAAAAATAATTGGAGATATTTGTGTCCTGGCAGGTTATTTGTAGTTTATCACAGCATAATGTAGCAATTTTATACCCTTTCTACAATCTGTTAAAACTCTTTTGTTGTAAAATGAGAGAGAAAAAGGTGAAAAATATTTGAGGATATAAACTTGTTGAAAGGGCCGCAGTTACCTTCCATTGTACCCTTAGAGAGCAGAGACCATCTCCTCTGAAATGAATCCACTCTGTAGCAATCTCCATTGTTGCAGACAGCATCCTTCTAGTGCCAAAGGAGGGAAGGCAGGGTCCTGACTGTGGCCAAGCCTTGTTCTTGTTTTTGGGGTAGAATTTGGTAAATGCTGTTTTTATTTCTAACCAGGTATTCTGAGCAGGGGGTGATTTTATAACCTTGGATATTTGCTCGTTTGAGGTTAGCAGGCCACCCGTAGCTTGTTTTTTCTCCTTATTTAGATGAAAATTTAACTAATTAAACAAATACCCCAGTAGTAACCAATGCACAGCAGTATTGATAGGGGGGTGGGATGTGTGTTTGGGCATTCCCTCTCTCCCAGGTCTCCCTCTGACACTCAAATATGAAACAAGAGGTTGAGGAGCAGGTGGTTTATCTAGCCAAGGTGTTTGAAAGGGACTGGATTTAAAAAGTAATTGTTTAGAATAGCCCAGACGTCACATGTTGGAAAGTCTAAAATGTTGAAAAACAATGCTCTAATTTCCTTATATGAGGGAGAAGTGTCAGCATTAAAGCTGTTTAAACCAACTTGGGGCTGGGTGTGGTGGCTCACTCCTGTAATCCCAGCACTTTGGGAGGCCAAGCCAGGTGGATCACCTGAGGTCGGGAGTTCAAGACCAGCCTGGCCAACATAGTGAAACCCCGTCTCTACTAAAAATACAAAAAAGTTAGCTGAGTGTGGTGGTGGGTGCCTGTAATTCCAGCTACTCGGGAGGCTGAGGCAGGAGAATCACTTGAACCCAGGAGGTGGAGGTTGCAGTGAGCCAAGATCATACCATTGCAATCCAGCCTGGGCAACAAGAGCGAGACTCCTCCACCTCCAAAAACAAAAACAAAAACAAAAACAAAAACAAAAACAAAAACAGAAAACCAACTTGGATTTTGATACTAGTTTTGCACAGAAGCAGTATGGGAGGTGACGTTATTTGAAAAGTTATCAGATCATCAATAAAATCTTGGCCAGACACTTCCTGCCCTCTTGCCTTGTACAATATCATTTAATTGGAATTGTATACTCCTAGAGAAAAAATTTTAAGCTAATGGGAGAAGCTAATGGGAGAAATAAAATGAAGCTGTATTTGCCGCCCTTCCAGCGAGACTGCAAGGCTGGGCTCTTCTGCTGGAGCTGCATCTGGATAGAAGGAGGCTTTCTCCTCCCCTCCTTCGCCCTCACTCCCTTTCTTTAAAGTCAGCTAGGGAATAATTTGTCCATATAAAAAGGTCCTTTCAGGCACTGGAGGGCTTTGCTAATTGTATTTGAGAGAATAAAGGTAAACTACAAGTTGGCTTTTAACAACAGAAAAATAATGAGTTCGCATGGCAACATGTTTAATAAGATTAGTTTTATTAGGAAAATGTAATCAAGTGGACTGAGGTGTTGCAGGAGGAATGGCTGATTAAAAGCCATTCATTTTCTCTAGCTAAAGAACTATCAGTTGGCTTTCAGAACTCATTTAAATAAAGAGGTATTAAAATCTAAAAAATATACATTACTCCCATTTTCTTGGACTAAAAGGGAAACTTGTTTATTCCTCTAATCTTTACTTAGCTTTAGTTGTGCTAAAGTAGAATATTTGAAGAACTTGGGAATCTCCTGATTAGAGTGTTTTTTGTTTGATCGTAAATAAGTATTTGCTTGCAATTGGCACATATTGGCAGGTATGGATTTATTAATTTCAAAAATACTATTGAAGTGGTACAATCTGAAAATGTGAAGAGCCACAATACCTGTGAAAAAGGTCTTTTCCAAGCAATGAGCTTCATTTTGTCCTTCTGAAAGGTAGTCACTGTTTTTTTTCCATTATGTGTGGTAATGTAATTAATTTCAGTTAGAAAGATGTTTTGCAATAATGGTGACAATATACTTAAATATGCATGACTAAAATAGCAATGCAGCGTGGGAATATGTTTTATAATTGAAATGCTATGCTATTTTCTTTTTTTTTTTTTCCTGTATGAAGGAGAACAGCACTTCAGTTAATTTGGCCAGCTTCTTCACAATTGAAACACAATTTAAATTCTTGTTGGAATAGTCCGATCACTTAAAATATGGACTATAGACACATTACCAGTTCAGCCTGTAGAAAGAACATGTATCAGCTCCAGCAGTTATACCCATCAGTGTAACTGAAGGAGTCTGAGGCAAAACTGTAGAGGATAAAAGCTCAGAATTCCTTTTTTTTTTCTGCCTTTCTCACCCCTTCCAATGCCTCTGAGCACCTCAGGGTCTCAGCATCCTTTTTTTTTTTTTTTTTTTTTTTTTTAACTTGGTGAGGACCTCTAATGCACAAAACATTAGAGGTTCAGTAGAGTAGCTTTACCAGGACATTGCATTTAAAGGAGGAACCTGGAAAAGGAAGGCTTAAAGTAAACAAATTTAAAGGTGATATTTTGCTGTCAGTCACAGGAGATGAGAGTGTTCCTCAAATGCCAGGATTTACTCCTTTGATAAGAGAGCCCTGCTCATGAGACATGTCTTCAGTCAGGCCACTTGATGGCCACATTCACAACTTAAACTCCCTTGCATGAAGTTTTGCATTGCACTAGTAAAGTGGAAGCAATATTACTCTGCACTTTAGATCATTTGACAGGACCCAGAAAGGCATGCTCATGTAGTCAGCCTTCCAGCTTGGAAGAAGAGAGACTGACAGGCCACTGCCAGCTTCCTTGGCCACTGTACTAACCAAGGACTCTGGTGTTTGATGCTGACAGCAGCCACAGTTTTTTAAAGTCTTAGAGCAGAGTTCTGGTTCATAAGGCCTGGCCATTGATGCTGCTATCCATGTGGGTGGATGTGGTGGAGGAGCCCAAGGTAGTGGTTCAATAAATATTAATTGATGGGTATTAAAACAATCGATGACCCAAGGGCATGCCACCTCGTGTGCCAGAGACTTTAATTTGTTAAATGAAGTAAACCACACTGAGTTGCTCTTGGAAGTTATGAAAAATGATTGTAAAGGGTTTTTTTTTTCTTTTTTTAAGCTCAAGCACTTTGAGTGATAGTAGCCAAAGACAATAGTCCCAGCAGCCGAGTGTAGAACCTCCCCATGGCCCTGCAAGCAGTGTGTATGTAGTAACAGTTTTAAGTGATATCCTTTCTGGGGTCCAGCCAATTGTTAAGAGAGAGGAACTAGAATAATATATTGCTGGGGATTCAGCCCTCTTACTGATCATAAAATTTCAAAGGAGCTCAAGCTGTAGGAAATTAGTTTGGATTAGTATTTATCTTCTGATTTTTTTTCTCCTCTGGGGTGAACTTGCTTCTTGTATAAAGATCTTAAAAAATCTGGCCCCACAGACTGTGGGGAGGGGGGTGCAGAGAGGATTATTTTTTGTATAATAAACAATATGACTATTGGCCTGAATTTGAAGACCTTTATTAATTATTTCTTCTACCCAGATATCTCTATGTGGAATAATTACTAAATCACTGGTGTTGGAAAGCTGTGTTTATACCCTATCTTAAAGAGATTTAATTTCTTTTTTTCTTTTGAGACGGAGTCTTGTTCTGTAGCCCAGGCTGGAGGGCAGTGGCGTGATCTCCGCCCACTGCAAGCTCCGCTTCCCAGGTTCACGCCATTCTCCTGCCTCAGCCTCCTGAGTAGCTGGGACTACAGGCGCCCGCCACCACGCCCCGCTAATTTTTTGTATTTTTAGTAGAGATGGGGTTTCACCATGTTAGCCAGGATGTTCTCGATCTCCTGACCTCGTGATCCGTCTGCCTCAGCCTCCCAAAGTGCCGGGATTACAGGCGTGAGCCACCGCGCCCGGCCAAGAGATTTAATTTCTTTGTTAGTCAACAATTCTGTGTGAGATTGACATACCAATTTTCCCACTGTTGCCACACATATTATATTCATTTCGATCTTAGGTTATTTTTCCTTTTCTGTGCTCAGTGGTGACATATATTTATGGTAACTGTATGTTCAAGAATTCCTTGGATTAAACAGATTTCAGATGTGGTTTATTTGACCTCTCAGTGCACATATATTTTTGTTAACCACTTGACTCTCCCTATCAGCACACATATAGTTAAGCCTGAAGATGGTTGGTGATTGAACCCATATATGCACCCTCCAGCACTCCGTGAGCTCCTTCTCTGGGTAAGGTATTGTACTATGTGCTGTGAGGACAATTTAGCACCTGTGTTGGGGTTCCCTGGTGGGTCAAAATAGATGAGTAGATATGAGCCTCTTAAGTGAGGCAAATACAGGGAATCCAAGCTTAGAACTAGAGACGCATTAGACACATTTAAGAAATAGTGAAATAACCCTGCTTGAATGGATGGATTTCTTAGAAGAGTGGTTTGGAAAGATCTGTGTCTTTTTGAAATTTGTTCCTTCCTTGACTGCCAAAACACCATCATCTCCAAGTTCTATACCTACATTGCCGCATCCTTCTTTGTCTTCTTTGATGACAAAGTGTTCTCATTGTTCAATTCCCACCTATGAGTGAGAACATGCGGTGTTTGGTTTTTTGTTCTTGCGATAGTTTGCTGAGAATGATGGTTTCCAACTTCATCCATGTCCCTACAAAGGACATGAACTCATCATTTTTTATGGCTGCATAGTATTCCATGGTGTATATGTGCCACATTTTCTTAATCCAGTCTATCATTGATGGACATTTGGGTTGGTTCCAAGTCTTTGCTATGTGAATAGTGCTGCAATAAACATATGTGTGCATGTGCCTTTATAGCAGCATGATTTATAATCTTTGGGTATATACCCAGTAATGGGATGGCTGGGTCAAATGGTATTTCTAGTTCTAGATCCTTGAGGAATCACTAAACTGTCTTCCACGAATGGTTGAACTAGTTTACAGTCCCACCAACAGTGTAAAAGTGTTCCAGTTTCTCCACATCCTCTCCAGCACCTGTTGTTTCCTGACTTTTTAATGATCACCATTCTAACTGGTGTGAGATGGTATCTCATTGTGGTTTTGATTTGCATTTCTCTGATGGCCAGTGATGATGAGCATTTTTTCATGTGTCTGTTGACTGCATAAATGTCTTCTTTTGAGAAGTGTCTGTTCATATCCTTTGCCTACTTTTTGATGGGGTTGTTTGTTTTTTTCCTGTAAATTTGTTTGAGTTCTTTGTAGATTCCGGATATTAGCCCTTTGTCAGATGAGTAGATTGCAAAAATTTTCTCCCATTCTGTAGGTTGCCTGTTTACTCTGACGGTAGTTTCTTTTGCTGTGCAGAAGCTCTTTAGTTTAATGAGATCCCATTTGTCAATTTTGGCTTTTGTTGCCATTGCTTTTGGTGTTTTAGACATGAACTCCTTGCCCATGCCTATGTCCTGAATGGTATTGCCTAGGTTTTCTTATAGGGTTTTTATGGTTTTAGGTCTAACATTTAAGTCTTTAATCCCTCTTGAATTAATTTTTGTATAAGGTGTAAGGAAGTGATCCAGTTTCAGCTTTCTACATATGGCTAGCCAGTTTTCCCAGCACCATTTATTAAATAGGGAATCCTTTCCCCATTTCTTGTTTTTGTCAGGGTTGTCAAAGATCAGATGGCTGTAGATATGTGGTATTATTTCTGAGGGCTCTGTTCTGTTCCATTGGTCTATATCTCTGTTTTGGTAGCAGTACCATGCTGTTTTGGTTACTGTAGCCTTGTAGTATAGTTTGAAGTCAGGTAGCATGATGCCTCCAGCTTTGTTCTTTTGGCTTAGGATTGTGTTGGCAATGCCAGCTTTTTTCTGGTTCCATATGAACTTTAAAGTAGTTTTTTCCAATTCTGTGATGAAAGTCATTGGTAGCTTGATGGGGAAGGCATTGAATCTATAAATGACCTTGGGCAGTGTGGCCATTTTCACGATATTGATTCTTCCTATCCATGAGCATGGAATGTTCTTCCATTTGTTTGTATCCTCTTTTATTTCATTGAGCAGTGGTTTGTAGTTTTCCTTGAAGAGGTCCTTCACATCCCTTGTAAGTTGGATTCCTAGGTATTTTATTCTCTTTGAAGCAATTGTGAATGGGAGTTCACTCATGATTTGGCTATTTGTCTGTTATTGGTGTATAAGAATGCTTGTGATTTTTGTACATTGATTTTGTATCCTGAGACTTTGCTGAAGTTGCTTATCAACTTAAGGAGATTTTGGGCTGAGATGATGGGTTTTTCTAAATATACAGTCATGTCATCTGCAAACAGGGACAGTTTGACTTCCTCTTTTCCTAATTGAATACCCTTTATTTCTTTCTCCTGCCTGATTGCCCTGGCCAGGACTTCCAACACTACGTTGAATAGGAGTGGTGAGAGAGGGCATCCCTGTCTTGTGCTAGTTTTGAAAGGGAATGCTTCCAGTTTTTGTCCATTCAGTATGATATTGGCTGTGGGTTTGTCATAAATAGCTCTTATTATTTTGAGATATGTCCCATCAATACCTAATTTATTGAGCGTTTTTAGCATGAAGGGCTATTGAATTTTGTCAAAGGCCTTTTCTGCATGTATTGAGATAATCATGTGGTTTTTGTCTTTGGTTCTCTTTATATGATGGATTACGTTTATTGATTTGCGTATGTTGAACCAGTCTTGCATCCCAGGGATGAAGCCCACTTGATCATGGTGGATAAGCTTTTTGATGTGCTGCTGGATTCGGTTTGCCAGTATTTTATTGAGGACTTTTGCATCGATGTTCAGCAGGGATATTGGTCTAAAATTCTCTTTTTTTTGTTGTGCTTCTGCCAGGCTTTGGTATCAGGATGATGCTGGCCTCGTAAAATGAGTTAGGGAGGATTCCCTCTTTTTCTATTGATTGGAATAGTTTCAGAAGGAATGGTACCAGTTCCTCCTTGTACCTCTGGTAGAATTCGGCTGTGAATCCATCTGGTCCTGGACTTTTTTTGGTTGGTAGCCTATTAATTATTGCCTCAATTTCAGAACCTGTTATTGGTCTATTCAGGGATTCAAATTCTTCCTGGTGTAGTCTTCGGAGGGTGTATGTGTCCAGGAATTTATCCATTTCTTCTAGATTTTCTAGTTTATTTGCATAGAGGTGTTTATAGTATTCTCTGATGGTAGTTTGTATTTCTGTGTGATCGGTGGTGATATCCCCTTTATAATTTTTTATTGCGTCTATTTGATTCTTCTGTCTTTTCTTCTTTATTAGTCTTGCTAGTGGTCTATCAATTTTGTTGATCTTGTCAAAAAACTAGCTCCTGGATGCATTGATTTTTTTGAAGGGTTTTTTGTGTCTCTGTCTCCTTCAGTTCTTCTCTGATCTTAGTTATTTCTTGCCTTCTGCTAGCTTTTGAATGTGTTTGCTCTTGCTTCTCTAGTTCTTTTAATTGTGATGTTAGGGTGTCAATTTTAGATCTTTCCTGCTTTCTCTCGTGGGCTTTCAGTGCTATAAATTTCCCTCTACACAGTGCTTTAAATGTGTCCCAAAGATTCTGGTATGTTGTGTCTTTGTTCTCATTGGTTTCAAAGAACATCTTTATTTCTGCCTTCATTTCGTTATGTACCCAGTAGTCATTCAGGAGCAGGTTGTTCAGTTTCCATGTAGTTGAGCAGTTTTGAGTGAGTTTCTTAATCCTGAGTTCTAGTTTGATTGCACTGTGGTCCGAGAGACAGTTTGTTATAATTTCTGTTCTTTTACATTTTCTGAGGAATGCTTTACTTCCAACTATGTGGTCAATTTTGGAATAGGTGTGGTGTGGTGCTGAGAAGAATGCATATTCTGTTGATTTGGGGTGGAGAGTTCTGTAGATGTCTATTAGGTCCGCTTGGTGCAGAGCTGAGTTCAAGTCCTGGATATCCTTGTTAACTTTCTGTCTCGTTGATCTGTCTAATGTTGACAGTGGGGTGTTAAAGTTTCCCATTATTATTGTGTGGGAGTCTAAGTCTCTTTGTAGATCTCTAAGGACTTGCTTTATGAATCTGGGTGTTCCTGTATTGAGTGCATATATATTTAAGATAATTAGCTCTTCTTGTTGAATTGATCCCTTTACCATTATGTAATGGCCTTTTTTTTCTCTTTTGATCTTTGTTGGTTTAAAGTCTGTTTTATCAGAGACTAGGATTGCAACCCCTGCCTTTTTTTGTTTTTCATTTGCTTGCCAGATCTTCCTCCATCCCTTTATTTTGAGCGTATGTGTGTCTCTGCACATGAGATGGGTCTCCTGAATACAGCACACTGATGGGTCTTGACTCTTTATCCAATTTGCCAGTCTGTGTCTTTTAATTGGAGTATTCAGCCCATTTACATTTAAAGTTAGTATAGTTATGTGTGAATTTGATTCTGTCATTATTATGTTAGCTGGTTATTTTGCTCGTTAGTTGATGGCAGTTTCTTCCTAGCATCAGTGGTCCTTACAATTTGGCATGTTTTTGCAGTGGCTGGTAGCAGTTGTTCCTTTCCATGTTTAGTGCTTCCTTCAGGAGCTCTTGTAAGGCAGGCCTGGTGGTGACAAAATCTCTCCGCATTTGCTTGTCTGTAAAGTATTTTATTTCTCCTTCACTTATGAAGCTTAGTTTGGTTGGATATGAAATTCTGGGTTGAAAATTCTTTTCTTTAAGAATGTTGAATATTGGCCCCCACTCTCTTCTGGCTTGTAGCGTTTCTGCTGAGAGATTCGCTGTTAGTCTGATGGGCTTCCCTTTGTGGGTTACCCGACTTTTCTCTGTGGCTGCCCTTAGTAGTTCATTCTTTTTCAAAAAGTTGCTGAGTAATACTATGTTGTTTAAATACGCCATGATTTGTTTATCTATTCTTCTGTTGATGGATGTTTTTTTTTTTCCAGTTTGGAACTATTGTGACCGAAGCTGCAATGAGCATTCTTGAATACGTTTTTTTGCGGACCCATGCTTTCATTTCTGTTGAGTAAACATCCAGGAATGGAATTGCTGAGTCATAGCATAGATGCAAGTTTAACTTTATAAGAAGCTGTCAAAGTAGTATCATTTTACATTCCAACCAGCAATGTATGGAGTTACAGTTGTTCTACAACCTCATTTACACTTGGTGGTGTCAGGTTTTTAATTTTAGCTATTCTGATGGATGTAAAATGCTACCTTGCTGTAGTTTAAATTATATTCTGATGACTAGTGGTTTTGAGCTACTTTTCATGTGCTTGTTGGCTACTTCACTTTTGTGACCGGTCTGCTGAAATACTTTGCTTATTTAAAAATTAGCCTGTCTTTTTATTGTTGTTTGAAAGATTTCTTTTTTATATATTCTGGATATAAGTCAGATATCTGTATAGTGAATATGTTCTCTGTCTTTCACCTGCATTTTAATATTTTAACTGCGCTTTTTGATGAGCAGTGGTTTTTTTTTTTTTAAATTTAGATGTAGTCAGTTTTTTTAATGTTCTGCTTTTTTGGTATCATCTTTAATAAAAATCTGCCAACCCTAAAGTCACAAAGATATTTTCTGGTTTTCTTTCAGAGCTTCATGAAAGTTTTGGCTTTTATATTTAGGTCTGTGATCTGTCTCAAGTGAATTTTTGTATTTGCTGTGAGGTAGGAATCAAGTTTTAGTTTTTTCCCATCTTTTTCTGTTCTGCCACAATGCATTGAAAATGCTTTGTTTCTCCCATTGTCTTGCTCAGGTGCCTTCGTCAAAACTCAAGTGACTATTTTAAGTGCGGTTCTTAGACTCTTTATTCTGTTCCATTTATCTATTTGTCTATTCTTACACCAGTTCTACACTGTCTTGAAAACTGTAGCTTTGTAGCAAATATTCAAATCTGGCAATGTGAGCCCCCTAATTTGTCCTTCTCTTTGAAAAAATTTTGCCTACTGTAAGTTTTTTCCTTTTTATATATAAATCAACTTGTCAATTTGATTTAAGAATCAACTTGTTAGTTTCTAAAAAAAAAAATCCTGGATTTTTGATTTGGATTGTATTGATCTGTACACCAATTTGGGGGAAAACTGACATCTTAAATATACTGAGTCTTTCAATCCATGAACATGAGATACTCCTCCATTTATTTGGGTCTTCTTTATCTCAGCAATGTTTATAGTTTTCTGTGTAAAGATCCTGCACATTTCTGATTTTTAAAAAAAATAATTTTTTGTCTTTTGCTGCTATTGGACACAGAATAAAACAACCATTTCCAATTGTTCATTGCTAGTATATAGAAATACAGTTGATTTTTATATACTGGTGTTTGTTTCTGTTCTTTAGATTGAGATATTTTCTATTGTTATTTCTTCAAGATCACGGACTCTTCTGCTGTCTCTAATCTGCTTTTAAGCCTGTCTAGTGACTATTTCCTTTTTCAATATTGTACTTTTCAGTTCTATAATTTCTATTTTTTTTTAATATAGCTTTCATTTCTCTGCTGAGATTACTCATATGGTAACTCTCTTTGGCTATCTTTTTACTTTTATTTTTATTTTATTTTTAAATTTAGTTTTATTTTTTATTTCTTTAACTCAAAAATATAATTTTTTTTTTCATTATACTTTAAGTTCTGGGATACATATGCAGAATGTGCAGGTTTGTTACATAGGTATACACGTGCCATGGTGATTTGCTGCACTCATCAACCTGTCATCTACATTAGGTATTTCTCCTAATGCTATCCTTCACCTAGCTTCCAATCCCCCAACAGGCCCCGGTGTGTGATATTCCCCTCCCTGTGTCCATGTGTTCTAATTCTTCAACTCCCACTTATGAGTGAGAACATGTGGTGTTTGGTTTTCTGTTCCTGTGTTAGTTTGCTGAGAATGATGCTTCCCAGCTTCATCCATGTCCTGGCAAAGGACATGAACTCATCCTTTTTTTACAGCTGCATAGTATTCCATAGTTTACATGTGCCACATTTTCTTTATCCAGTCTACCAGAGATGGGCATTTGGGTTGGTTCCAAGTCTTTGCTGTTGTGAACAGTGCTGCAATAAACATACATGTGCATGTGTCTTTATAGCAGAATAATTTATAATCCTCTGGGTATATACCCAGTAGTGGGATTGCTAGGTCAAATGGTATTTCTGGTTCTAGATCCTTGAGGAATCACCACACTGTCTTCCACAATGGTTGAACTAATTTACACTCCCACCGACAGTGTAAAGGCATTCCTATTTCTCCACATCCTCTCCAGCATCTGTTGTTTCCTGATTTTTTAATGATCACCATTCTAACTGGCGTGAGGTGGTATCTCATTGTGGTTTTGATTTGCATTTCTCTAATGACCAGTGATGATGAGCTTTTATTCATGTTTGTCAGCCACATAAATGTCTTCTTTTGAAGTGTCTGTTCATATCCTTCTGTCATATCCTTCTGTTTTTAAGTGTCTGTTCATATCCTTCACCTACTTTTTCATGGGGTTGTTTGTTTTTTTCTTGTAAATTTGTTTACGTTCTTTGTAGATTCTGAATATTAGCCCTTTGTCAGATGGATAGATTGCAAAATTTTTCTCCCATTCTGTAGGTTGCCTGTTCACTCTGATGATAGTTTCTTTTGCTGTGCAGAAGGTCTTCAGTTTGATTAGATCCGATTTGTCAATTTTGGCTTTTGTTGCCATTGCTTTTGGTGTTTTTGTCATGAAGTCTTTGCCCATGCCTATGTCCTGAATGGTATTGCCTAGGTTTTCTTCTAGGGTTTTTATAGTTTTAGGTCTTACATTTAAGTCTTTAATCCATCTTGAGTTAATTTTTGTATAAGGTATAAGGAAGGGGTCAAGTTTCAGTTTTCTGCATATGGCTAGCCAGTTTTTCCAACACCATTTATTAACTAGGGAATCCTTTCCCCATTGCTTGTTTTTGTCAGGTTTGTCAAAGATCAGCTGCTTGTAGATGTGTGGTGTTATTTCTGAGGCCTCTGTTCTGTTCCATTGGTCTATATATCTGTTTTGGTACCAGTACCATGCTGTTTTGGTTACTGTAGCCTTGTAGTATAGTTTGAAGTCAGGTAGAGTGATGCCTCCAGCTTTGTTCTTTGCCCATCTTTTATTTTTTATTTATATTTATTTATTTACTTTTTGAGACAGAATCTTGCTCTGTTGCCCAGGCTAGAGTGCAGTGGCAGTGCAGAGCTGCAGTGCAGCTCACTGCAACCTCTGCCTCCTGGGTTCAAACAACTTTCCTGCTTCATTCTCCCTAGTAGCAATGGCCACCTCGCTCAGCTAATTTTTTTTTTTTTTTTTTTAAGAGTCAGGGTTTGATCATGTTGGTCAGGCTCATCTTGAATTTCTGATCTCAAGTGACCTGCCCACCTTGGCCTCCCAAAGTGCTGGGATTACAGACCTGAGCCATTGTGCCCAGCCTCTTTGGCCATCTTTTTGAAAAGTCTCTAAACATATTTATAATAGCTGCTTTAAAACTCATGTCTGCTAATTCCAACATTTATATCATCTCCAGGTCACTTTCTACTCACGATATTTTTCTTGAGTGTAGGTCACCTCTCCAGCCCCCGCATGTCCAGTATGTTTTGATTTTATACTGGATGTTGTGGATATTATGTTATAAAGATTGTATTCAGAGTATTTATTTGAAGTCTTAATTTTTGTTCTAGCAGGTAATTAAATTACTGACTGACGTCCTTGAACTTTTGGAAACTTGGTTTTGGTCTTTCTTAGGGTTGCTCTGTTTTGGTTTTGCTTTTAGTCTTAGAATGAATTGTTAGTCTTTGGACATAGTCTTGACTCCTAACCTGTGGTCCTTTTGTAGGGTTTTCATGGAAAGTCTGAGGCATTCCCCAGTTTCCTCTAGCTTGGTGGGGTTCAAACTCCAAACTCTCTTCCGCACAGAGGGCAGCAGTTCAGATGTTCCTCAGCTTCTCAGCCTACCCTCTTTCTACTGGACTCCTGATGTCTCCTTCGTGCATGTGCAGTTTAGGGATTTACCATGGACAGCAGAAGTTTATGAAAGACTTGGGTGCTCCTTTCTCTGTGGCTCTGTTCTTCCCAGGAATTACCCCCTTGATATCAGCTCTCACCTATCTCTTCTGATCTTTAAAGCCAAGAAGCTTGTGACCTTCTGCTTGAGTGCCAGCTGCCCCCTGCTTCTGGGGCCAGGGGGTACCCTCAAGGGAAAAGCCCTGTCAATTTAGTTTCCAAATAGTGTTGTCTCTTCTTTTGAGGGTCAAATCTCTGCTAGCTACCGTCTGCATTTGGTCAATTTCTAGTGCTTTCAAGTAGTTCTTCAAAAAAAGAATTTGGCCGGGCACGGTGGCTCCTGTCTGTAATCCCAGCACTTTGGGAGGCCGAGGCGGGTGGATCACCTGAGGTCAAAGGTTTGAGATTAGCCTGGCCAACATCGTGAAACCCTGTCTCTACCAAAAATACAAAAGTTAGCCGGGCGTGGTGGCGGGTGCCTGTAGTCCCAGCTACTTGGGAGGCTGAGGCAGGAGAATTGCTTGAACCCAGGAGGTGGAGGTTGCAGTGAGCCGAGATCACGCCACTCCATTCCAGCCTGGGTGACAAGAGTGAGGGTCCATCTCAAAAAAAAAAAAAAAAAAAAAAAAAAAAGAATTTGTCCAGGATATAGAATTATTTTTGGAGAGAGTTAATCTGATACAAACTATGCCACCACTACTGGAATGCTCTTTTTAAAACATAACAATAATTCTACTAATCACACCAAAAAGTTGCCAATGATTCCTTAATTTTACCCAAATGCAGGGAATTAAGTTTCTTGTGAGGGAGATAATATTTAGTTTAGCTTTTTTCTTTTTTTTATAGCAAAGTTGATAGAAAAGCTTTCAAAAAAATGAGTTTACTCATTCCCTGGCTGAGAAGCATATTGTTACTAGGTTGGTGCATTAAAAGTAATGGTAAGTACCGCAATTGCTAATAGTTATAGCGTGAGCATCCCTGTCTTGGTGTTAAAGCCTGGAAGTCTTCCCCTTGGCAGCAGCTGCTGAGCCAGTTTTATGGTAATCTCAGGTATTCAAGACATGGTCAAGAGCAAAGAAGTATGTGACAAAGGCCTCTGAGCAGCTAAAATAGACATATAATCAATTAATTTCATCACAGGGGAATCTTTCAAATCCTCACTTGGAACCTATTTACCCCAATTTTAAGTACAGCTATAACAAGCCTTGTGATTTCTTCCCCTAGCTTATAGAACATTAGTGGGAGTGAGTGAGAGAGGGGATGATGGCATGCTATGGGCAGGCACGATGACAGTGGCAGGAAGTGACTGGTGACAGCAGCATTAACTCCAGTGAGTGCAGTTTCTGTATTTGACGCAGGGCTAGGTCCCAGTGTAACAAAGATACCTGAGGTTTGGCTTGTGCATCAGGGAGCTTGTGCAGTATCGGGAACACAGATGCGCAAAAGTGCAAAATGGACTGGTGAGTGAAACAATAACAAATTTTCACTGAGTGCAGTTATGGAAGGAAGGAGGAATTGGATGGTTCAGAGACGACTTCAGTGAGAAGAAGTTCGCTGGCTCACATAAGGTTGATCTCTGTGTCCGTAGGGGTCTTTGGAGGATACAGATGACACATTGAAAGGGAATCAAACGGAATCTATAAATAAAGGCACTATTTACAAAGCTATGTTTAGGAAAACCTACAAAGGATGGTTAAGAACCCCAGGGCCTGTGAACATGGTGGGAAGCTGTGACCTTCCCTAGACCAGAAGGAGCAAGAGGAGGAAAAGTTACCAGAGCCTGCAAGGCCTGTGGCAGTAGGGGTTGCGGGGGGAACTGCCTGTGGCATCTGGTCTGGGAGAGCAGCCCCTGGCATCCCACCTTTATCTCCTCTGCCCTCTCACCTCCTGCTAATCCAACCGGAAGCCAGAGGATGGCGGGGGTGCCCATTGGTGCTGTGGGTATATATCAGCACAGAGCTGGCTGGAGAAGGGCGGGAAGTGGACTGGAGGAGTAACCTGAGAATATCCAGCAAAGTTGAGTAGAATTTTGTACTCTAGAGGTCCCTAGCAGGAAGGGGACCAGCAGCCAAGGGGAGAAAGCATGGCAGGAAAGAGTGAGGGTCATCAGCTCATGTTCCACTAGTGTGGACGAAAAAATAATATCTGAAAAACACAAGTCTGGTGTCAGCATTGTATAGACAGCAGAATCCCAACCTCAATAGTGGTGGAGGCAACTGGACTGCTCATGATTGTAGCATTACATATGACAGTCAGCATGTTTCTGTTACCAAGACAGCAATGTCTGCGGTTCATTTTAGGAGCATTTCCAATCAAAGGTCTTTAGATTATATAAAAAGTTTTGATACTTAGAGAAATGACATTAAGGAACCTGGAAAATTTGCTTATTTGTAACATCTCTTTTTCCTAATGAGACTGGGTAAATGAAGTTTTACTACATTTATTATTATTATTATTGTTATTTATCAAGGTTATTACTGTAATTATCACTCCAGAACAAAGACCCTTCAAAACCAAAGTCATCTTATTTCATAGTGAGTGCTAGTTGGAAAACATTTAATCAGTAGATCTTTTATTACCTGGTGGAGCTGCTGATGTGTTTAGCTGCTATGTGAGGTAGGACGCTCATCCTTCACGTCTGGCTTATTTAGAGATATCTTTGGTGAGTTCACAACTTAGCAGAAATCCTGATTCACTTGACCTGAGTCAAGCTGTTGTTAGCTGTTGGTTTAAAGACCAGGTTGAGATGAGGGACAATTAGCTTGTTGTCTTACGTACTGTTTTGTCCTTTCTCTTCCATCTTCTGCCCTCTCATTCCCTCTCCAGGTGCAGTTTCTGTTCCTCCCTCACCCTGATGATGGGTTGGAGGTCAACTCAGTCACAGCAACTGAAGGACATTGTCAGTCTTAGTCTTGTGTCATTTGTCTCTCACAGCATACATGCTCACTTGTAGAGCCACCCAAGTATTGGCCAATTAAAAACACAAACTGGAGCACAAAACTGTTTTATCATATTTGCTGGCTGAACAAATGTGTCAATAGGATAAATGTTATAACTGGGCAAGCCAGCTTTAGACTCTTAAAAACTTGCCCACTCAACGTTTTCTTGAGTTTTGACCCCATCCACTGACCAAGATCTCTTTTTCCTGTTCGGAGGTTGGTCAGACTCTCTGTCATAGGATAATAACAGTACCCATCTATGAATGTTTTGTAAGGTGCAACAGAACTCAAGCTATGTTTACATAACTCCTAGCATATAGTAGGTGTTCAATAAAAGTTGGCTATTACAATTATTGCCCAGCAGTGAAGAGAACTGCTTGACTTTGTTTAATTTAGCATTTTGTAAACCTGCTTAACCAAAATACTTCTATTTCTAGAACCATTCATTAACATTTCAAGGAAGGCTACTGTTCTGTGGAATACAGCTTGGGAAACTCTAAATTAAGAATTGGACAAAATTAAACTGTTGGAGTTGGGGTTCTGGATCTTAGCTTAGTCCTCACCACACCTTGAAATTGCTTAAATAAAAACAGGGAAGTTTCATTTTAGGGTATAAAGCAGAAATGAAAAAAAAAAGCCATCCATATAAAAACCTGTATTTTTGTTCATCTCTTCTTTGTAAACACATCTCTAGGTGACTCAAAAAGTTCAAGGGAAGCTGTCCGAAGTTCTCAGGACAAGTTTAAGAGGGTATCATGAAGTCAGAGAAATTAGAATTACATGCTCCTTCTGATTTTGGACGATCAGAAGTAATGAGGCCAGAAATTGGGCCCCTCCTCTTTCCCTGCCTCCACCTCCGTTTGACCTGATCACCCCTCTTCCTGTTTGTATTGCTGCCCGGCACAGTTGCAGGGTGAGTGGGATGCCTGCTCCTGATCCTGCTCCTCTTCCCGCCCTTCTCCTGTTGGGTTTTGGTTTATGCCTTTGCCTACCTCAACTTCGTGCCTTGACAGGACACAGACCTCAGGGAAGAGAGGCCTGCATGTGTCCCGAGCAGTCTTGTGGGGGTTGGGTCACCAGCCTTTCAGAGGCATGTCTGGCTGGCACTGGTGAATCATCAGGGCCTAGGACAAACATCACTCACTTGGTCATCTGAAGGCCAGGAACGATTGTGTCATTATGTATGTGCATTTCTCAACTAAGCCTTCAAGAGGGTGATGGGACGAGAAGCATCTGTATATGACGCATGTGTGACACATCCAAAGGGCAAATATATCATATGACCATATTCCCTGCATGAGCCTTGGGAGAATTTTCAAAAGTCATTCTCACTTACTTGTGCTCCATACCCACCAATTCCAAAAACTGATGCCTACAGAGATCTCCTTGTTGCTTCCCATGAACAAGACCAGCTTTCCTTGCTGAGGTGTGCTTATGCCTCTGGATTCCGTGTGCCAGCTGTGTGACCCTCTGTTGTCCCTGTCATTACAGGAGGTGAATGAGGGCCCTAACTCTACCTAATGATCTTCCTAAGACTGCTTTTGTTTAATGATCCAGTCTGTTCTAGGTCATGAGAGAGAAAACAGTCTGCAGGCAGCCACACCTCAGGAAGGTCCAAGTTAATTTGCCAGCCCAGTGCATTGCTACCAGTTCAGAGCTGAGTCCACGATGGGGACAGTTATTTGGAAAACTTAGGTCAGATCCCACCCTAAGTAAGTTCTAACTTCAGTCGGGGGAGCAAGAAGTATGCCAGAGGGTTCAGAGATGCTTCCACTATGCACAGAGTTGTAGATGAAGACCCCAGCTCTCTCCCTGTGGTGCTTCCTGTCAGTCACCTGCCCTTTGCATTTTCCCAGAGTTCCACTGGGATAAAGGCGCAGATTTTCAGCTTAACTTTCCTCAAGGCTAAAATACGTCATCAAGTGACCAAGTGAGAATTCCATGAAGACAGGCCCACTATAGAACAGGAATTGGGGTCTCTGTCAGTAAGAAAGAGACCTCCCTCTGTTTGGTGCTGAGGAGGCTGTGAGGCTACTTGGTTTATGGCAGTTGCTGCTGTGACCCTAAATTGTACACTTATTTTAATGATTTAAAAGGAAATTGAACAAAAATCGATATTCTATTTTTAAAGTCTAGGTACTGTATTATATTTGTAAAGTGTTCATCAAATGCAGAATGTCCTTTAACCCTCGTGCTATGCACACAGCACTCCCAGACTACTTCCTTCTGCTATCTACCACCTCCAGTGGTCCAGGAGGGCTGGACCAGTTTCAATTCAGGTCAGAGAAGGTGGTCCAGCCATTGTTCACTATGATGAGGGACAAGCCTATGATGGGCCCATCTCTTCTCTTACCTACTTTCCATCCAAATTTCCCTTTCTCTCATCTCCCCTTCAACCAAAATGGGTGGTTAGAAGGCATGTCTTTTGCAAGAGAGTCTTGAGAAATGCTGCCTGGCACCCTTAGTTTCCCTCCTTTGCACTGGGAACCACTGGTCTGTGGTAGGGAAGGTAGAACTACTGTGTGCTATGCTTGTGTTCCCGTGAACACCAAAGGCAAAGCTCCAGGACAGCCTAGCTAAGCATTGAACTCGGTCACTTTCTTCCAGCAGCCTCTATCTGAGAGCTTGACAGGATTTGTCAGTTATCCAGCAACCCCAAGAGCTAGACCACTCTCACTTTACAGAACAGCTGAGGCCGGCAGCGTTCTATGCTGACTTGTTTGGAACACAGGCATTGAGGGATTCATCTAACTATGAATTTGTGTCTCCAGAAAGAAGTGAGAGCGACGTGGCTCGCTGCCACGGTTGGGAGCCAGGCTGTGAGCACCAACTCTTTGTGATCAGTTAGAAGATAAACAGCAGCAACAACAGGATTTCTATTCAGCTCTCCCCATGATAGAGGATCTAAAAAAACACTAATAAATCAATGTGGCTGGCAGGTGCTATCAGAGAGGAAGGCCGGGGCAAAACAGTGTTCTTCCATTCTGGCCAGCTGCAAAGGACAGAAGCAAGAGAATGGAGATGACAGGCCTGGTACAGTGGCTCATGCCTGTGATCCCAGCACTTTGGGAGGCTAAGGTGGGCGGGTCACTTGAGCTCTGGTTTGAGATCAGCCTGGGCAACATGGTGAAACCACATCTCTACAAAAAATACAAAAATTAACCGGGCATGGTGGTGCACACCTGTAATCCCAGCTACTTGTGGGGTTGAGGCAGGAGGAACACTTGAACTGGGTAGGTCAAGGCTGTAGTGAGCTGAGATTGCACCACTGCACTCCAGCCTAGGTGACAAAGTGAGACTCTGTTTCAAAAAAAAAAAGAAAAAGAAAAAGGAATAGAAAGAAAATAGAAATGAAAGGAACGAGAGTTAGCGCCCTCTTGTCATGCTACCTTGTTTTGGCAAGAATGAGTGGAAGATGGTGAATGATTTTCATCTCGTTGAAAGGCCACTTTATTTGATAAACAGCACCAATAATGATTACCCTGGAGCTTGGCTTTCAGCGAGGCCCATGTCATAACTTCGTAACTTGCATGCACAGAGCCCATCTACCTGTTTGTAGGTAGCAGTGGTGCTGTTTGGTGGAGATTGGAAACTGCATTGTTCTCTTCTCCCAGTTTTCTGAGCATCTAGCAGAGGAAATGGCTGCATGTAGGAACTTAATTAAGACTTATGGCTGATGATAGTAAGGAAAGCTTCCTGGCAATAAAGGATGCTAATTACTAGAACAGATTGCTCCGTGGGGAAATCCCAGTTGTTTACCTGTGATAGGTAACAACAGCATAACGACAGCATGACCTGTGTTAGTCAGGACTTGGACTTTGAGGTTCAAGGGTTGTTCTGTCCAGAGGCAGGGGACATACCAGCTGACCTTGTTCCTTTCAGCCTGGAGGGCCAATAGGAAGTGTTCTTAAGCTAACTTCATACATGGTTTTTTTTTTTTCTCCCTTATTTTTTTCTTAATTTGCACGTCGAATTTTCAGTGTCTACAATGTGCTAATGGGCTTTCTTCCCACTAAAAATCGCGTGTAGATGTGAGAATGTTCTTCTCAAGAAAAGCCGGTCTCTGGGGCTTTGCTTCTGGCTTGAGGTCCTGTGGGGTAGGTGTTATGAAACCTCCCCCGCAGTGGGCGGGGTGCCAGCAAACCTCAGCAGGGTCAGCAGCTCTCCTGCTAATTTTGGCAGGAGAGGGAGACACTCAGCCACCCTGAGAAGAGAGAAGGTAAATTTTGCGATCCATTTGCAAATCAAGCTAGAATGTATTTTCAGACCTGGGTGTGTATTCAGGGCCCGTCTATTTCCTTCTACCATTAAACCTGCGAGGACGAAAGTAACTCAAGTTCATTGTTCTCCACCACGTAATCTTTCTTCCTATCCTGGATTGTAGCGGGGGCAGCTCAGAGGGCATGTCAAGAAGGAAGGAAGGGGAAGGGCTATACAGGATATGGTGCTGGGGCACACAGTCAGTGCTTTGGGTGATCAACATCAACGTGGTGGTCCTGGGTTAGGATTTTGAGGATGGGATGGAAGGAGGAGGACGAGAAGGGGATGGGTGATGCCCGGTGGCTGGTGCTTCACAATTTAAACGAGGCCTGTCTTAGGAACCCCAGGAACAAGTAGCTTGCAGGGCACAACCCTTGTACAATAAGAACAGAATGCGGGAAGACTGAGGAGAGCAATGAATGCTCTTTGGGTCCTCAAAGTAAGAAGGGAATTTGATCAGAGCTTTCCGAGGGCACCTGGCATCTCCCATAGGCCATGACTCTGTGATTCTCTGACTTCCCTCTGTAGCTGGCTGGCTTCTGTAAAATTATCAAAGAGAAGATAGACCTCAAACTTAAAAAAAAAAAGTGAACTGAGAATGAAATTACACCGCTACAGTTCACTTATTAAAATTCATCAGCATGAAGACTTTCTCAAGCCATAATGACTTCATGGCCTAAGTGGAAATTTCATATTCCTTTGGAAAATCAAATTGGCATAGCCAAATGAGCAGAAATTATCTTTGACTGGTAGATGTTATTTCTACATTATTTTTCTTTGCCTGAGAAAATAATCACTCTGACACTTAAGCTTGACAGCTAAGAATAAGAGCCAGAATCTATCAGTTTCTTCCACGGTCCCAGGAACTGTTTGGGTGTTTTACATGCACTAGTTCATTTAATCCTCAGAAGAGCTCTCTGAAGTGAGATGGTACTAAACCTCCACTTAACAGATGAGGAAACTGAAGATTAGAGAGATTAAGTAACCTGTCAGCGCCAGGACTGGACTGTGGGTCCAGCCAGCTAACTCCAAACTCTCCTGCAAATCAGCACTCTTTCCCACCCTCCACCTCTTGCAGAGGGTCAGCAGATGACCACTTGAACTGCACTTGTCATACTGGGATGGAATTAAGAGCTTGGTGTTGTGGAATAAAGAGAACTGTCTAGGGCACAAACAACATGAACAGTAGGCTTCTCTCCTACTGAGTGTAAAATGGGCCAATAACATACATGATACCTGTAAGAAAATCACTTTTATTTTGAATACTGGTGTTAATAATTTGAAACTAAGCAGGATCTCTAGGTTAATAATTCTCCATCTCTAGACAATTACAGCAACAAAAGCTAACAGTGAATGCTGATTCTGCCAGACACTATTTGAAGTCTTCTACATTTATTAATTTTTTAAACCTAACGACATCCCCACGAAATAGGTACTGTTAATTTTTCTCATTTTCCAGATGAGGAAACCAGAACACAACTAGGAAGTGGCAGAACTGGAAAGGGGGGGCGAGGATTTTTAACCATTTTTCTAAACTGCTTCTCGGCACTAGCTTTTGGCAAACACGAAATATCTGCTTCCGGGATGCAAACAGGAGTCCCCATCCTAGCTAGGGGTGGGATAAGGTTAAGTAGATCCAGTCACAGAACCGTATCTTGTGAATGTTTGTGTATCTGAACCAGGTGATGCAGAAGGTCAGTTGCAGCTCTCTTCCCACGAGGTTTCCTTCTAGAGATGGGGCGGGTAGCAGGTTTTCCCCACTAAGCCATGCCAGGTGGTCATCTACAGAATGCCCAGTTCATTCTGCATCATTGGCATTTCATCACTGACACTTTTTTCTGAAATGAGAAGGCTTGGATTTTTTGTACTTTTTGTACAGAGTTTTTTTGTAAACCTCTTGGTGTTTCAAGATTCAATTTGCTCATTTCATATCCAATAAATGTTATAATGGGTTTAAATGTGGTATTAGAATTTACCAAAGGTTGCTTTTAATGTAGGTAAGGGGTGAACTAAAGTGATTAGATGCCTACTGAAGACAGTCCAAGTTCCTCAGTGTGGTCTCCAGATTCTCGATGATCTGACTCTCCTTACCTCTCCATCTTGGTGTGACCCTGTTTCTCCTGCTCCCAGCCGAGCAAAACATTTGCACTTCCCAAAATACACCAGGCTGTGAGAATGTGCCCTGACTGTGTGTTTTTGCCCTCACTTGAGAAACATCCCTTCATCTTCATAACTCAGTTCGACTTTTTTTCACTGCTGTTAAGCCCCTCTTGCCCGCCCTTCTCCAACCCATCAGATTGACCACTCCCTTTTTGGTATTTGTACTGTATTCTGAACAGACTTCGAACACAGCACAGACTCCAACACTTTAAAGCCCACATAATATCATGATAGCATTGGCTTCTATTTGTTGAGAAATTGATATGTGCCAGGCATGATAATACCAAACATTTTATTTAATAGAATTCTTGCAATTCCCTCTTGAAGCAGGCACTAGTCTCATGGTCAATATACAGATGAAAAGAACAAAGCTCAAAGAGATGAAGTGACTTCCCCAAGTCCACATGACCAGTGTTTATGTTTATGAAACTTTAAGTTTCCTGAGGGCAAGGGCTAGCTTACTTGAGTCAGGGCTCAACTGGGATATACCAACAGTCCAAGCCTGTTTTCCATTCCTGTCATTGGAGCTTGGCAGGGAGTAGGGATAGGGAGTGGTTAGATGTACTCAAAACACAAATTGGAAAGAGAGACTAAGACATTATTACTAATGGGAGAGAGGACACAAATGCTAGGCAGACAGGCAGAAGTTGCAACATCTACTCTTCTTTGTACCCATAGCACCAGCACTCTAGTAGATATCAACAGTTGCTAAATATAAGTGAATGGATCTCTACTGTTCTTTAGTTATGTTCCATGTTCAGAGCATGAAGAGATCGTGGGGCTGTTGAAGGTGGAGAAGACCTCAAGGGGGAAGCTGAATTCACATAAGCTTGAGATAGAGGCAGATGTGGGGAAGGAGGAGGGGACTTGTCCAAAAGGGACCATTGGCAAAGGTGGGCACACTTGAAATACTTGACCTGGTCAACAGGTACAGTTTTCTTGACTTCTGTACGAGGCTTTCCAAATTCCCCAACTGGGGAAGGGTTTTCCCCTCTGAGCCATGCCAGGAAAGTCATGGCGTGATTCTTGTCAGTACCCCTTCTGCCCACCTCTGCCATGGCTAACAGACCTGAAGTCTAACTTGTTAACGCTTTGGATTGCTCATCTTATTCCTGGCATGAGTCACTTGGTGTTTTGGTTCACCCATCTGGGGTTTTCTTTTCAGGTTAACATGTTTGTTGAAGGATTCCACGATGCCATCCTCCTCTACGTCTTGGCTCTACATGAAGTACTCAGAGCTGGTTACAGCAAAAAGGATGGAGGGAAAATTATACAGCAGACTTGGAACAGAACATTTGAAGGTGGGGATTCCATCTATAAGGCAATTACATGGGGCCAAATGAGCTGCTGCTTTTCTGGTTCTGTATTTCTCAGTTGCAGCTGTGGGGCCTTTCCAGCGTCTTGCTTTTCTCAGCTCTAAAGCAGCCCATCTCATAGGCTTGTTGTACCAATTAAATGAGATAATACACGTGAAAGTGCTTTGAACAAGCCCCACTGAAAGAGGAAAGGCCTTGTCTCCTGATTATTTAGGTAATAGCTCTATGCTTCTTAATATTGCATTGAACACAAGCCTCATGCATGACAGGACAGTTTGTGAAGAGTTCTGTGATGAGTTTTAAAACCAGTATTAATCCCAGATATACATTCATGTGTTCAGACTATGTTGGTTTTTGTGAAACACAGAAAACATTAGCTGTCACAGTTAAACCTGGTGGTTTGAGATGATTAGCAGGTTCAATTGAGGCCTCTGCATTTTTTTTTTTTTTTTGAGACGGAGTTTTTGCTCTTGTTGCCCAGGCTGGAGTTCAGTGGCACGATCTCGGCTCACTGCAACTTCTGCCTACTAGGTTTAAATGATTTACCTGCCTCAGTGTCCTGAGTAGCAGGGATTACAGGCGCCTGCCACCACACCTGGCTAATTTTTGTATTGTTTAGTAGAGACGGGGTTTTACCATGTTGGCCAGGTTGATCTCTAACTCTTGACCTCAGGTGATCCACCCATCTCAGCCTTCCAAAGTGCTTTTATTTTACTTTTAAAATAGTGACTGTTAGTTTTTGCTTTCTTTTTTTTTGAGATGGAGTCTCGCTCTTGTCGCCCAGGCTGGGATGCAATGGAGCAATCTCAGCTCACTGCAACCTCCACCTCCTGGGTTCAAGTGATTCTCGTACCTCAGCCTCCTGAGTAGCTGGGATTACAAGCGTGTGCCATCACGCCTGGCTAATTTTTGTGTTTTTAGTAGAGATGGAGTTTCACCATGTTGGTCAAGCTGGTCTCAAACTCCTGACTGCAGGTGATCCACCCACCTTGGCCTCCCAAGCTTTCTTAATAACAGGGAACTATAGGAAAACAACAAAAAATGACCCATTATCTCATCTCAAGCAACTTCTGTTGGCACTGAAAAATTGTACAAGATAAGACTATGCTTGGCTAGGAAATTTAAACAGTACAAAAATGTGCAAATTGAAAGCTGAAAACTTTCCTTCCCAACCTAGTCCCCTCTCCCCACTGTGTATCACTATTAATGATTTCCTATGATTCTGTGTATAAATATTTTAAGCCTTCTGCCAGCACATATGCATTTGTATATCTTATCTTAAAATTTGTATGAAAGGGGTGATAGTATGAATGCTATTTTTCATCTTAGGTTTTTTACTTGTATGTCAAGTTAAAGAATTTTCCATATGAGAACTCATAGATCCAATGCAGTTTTAAATGACAGTTACATATTTTTCTACTGTATGGCTGTATAGGAATTTCTTTAACCAATCTCCTATTGATGGTCACTTGTAAAATTTTTTTTGCAATTTTTGCTATTATGCAATATGCTATCACAAGCCTCTTGCACATCTTGAAGAATTTTTGTGAGTCCTTCCAACAGGGAACATTGCTACTTGTGGGATTTCTGGGTCCAAAAGTATGTTGGTGCTTTTTAAAGTGCATTAGAAATTGCCAAAAACTTCCAGAAAGTTCTGCTAATCTATATTCTTGCTAACAGTGTATATAAGAGTGCTAGTTTCCTCTCACCTCACCAACACTCAATGAAAATGAACATGAAACTCAATATGGAAGTGATCTCACTGCAGGAGCCTTGCAGATATCAACTCTATATTAATTTATTCATTCAACAAATGTTCATTGAGCACCTACTATGTGCCAGGTGCTGTTCAAGGTGCTGAGGATTCAGCAGTGAACTAAAGACATTTTATGCAATCATTTGAGCTTACATGCCAGTGGGGGGATGAGGCAACAAACAATGAATACAGTATATCTTTCAGAGCTATAAAATAAGGTAGGATAGGGAGCTAGAAAATGCCAGGCAAGGAGGAGTAGGGCTGCTAGTTTAGAGTGGTCAGGGAAGGTCTCTGAGAGTGAAGTTGAGTAGAGACCCGAGGGAAGTGAGGGAAGCTCTGTAGATGTTTAGGAGAGATCACTCCAGAGGGAATGGCAAACGTGGAGATCCTGAGTGCATCTGGGAGACTGTGGAGTGTCCCCAGAGAGAGCAAGATGGCTAATGTGGCTGACACCAAGTTTGACAGGCAGTGTGATAGGTGCCAAAGCCCGAGAGGTAATGGGGCCAGATCATGCGGACCTGCAAGCCTTGCTGAGGTCTTTGGGCTCCACCTGGGTGAGACAGAAAGTCACCTGAGGCTTTTGAGTGACATGATCTGCCTTGCCTGTTTAAAAGGGGTCCTTATGGCTGCTATGTGGAAAATAAACTATATATGCTTATGGGTATCACTTGACAACCGGTAACATAAGGTACAAATTGCTGAACCAGGGTTCAGTGCATCCTAGCCACTAACTAGTAACCTTGTCCTCTGAGCTTCTCTTTCTTCACCTGTATAATAAGGAGGTTGGTCTAGTTAATGACTGACAAGAGCTCTTTCGGTTTTACATTGTGCTTGCTCTTCCTCCTTTGAGCCCTTTAATGCACTGGGGTATGCCTATATCTATTTGTAATCCAACTAGTGACATTTTTCAATGGCAGGAGCAAATATTGACAAGTTTAGATTTGGGGCTCATATTTTTTCAGTTGGGACTCCTGTCCCTTAGTTTGTCCTCAGTTCTTAGAAAGGGCAGGACAGGACAGTAGGGAGAGGTTGAGCTCCAGCTAGAGTTGTCTGGGCAGTATCTATGGTGGCAATTGGTAGATTTCATTTCTCTCTAGTGGATGCCATGTCTTACTCAAAACCAGAGTGAGATCTCCCTTAGCATTAGACAGATTGTAGTTCATGGGTGAGTAGACCTCCAGGATTATCTTGTTTTACCTCTGACTGCTTCAGTTGAGGAGCTAGAATCCAATAGGATAATTCAGGGGGCATATTAGGACAGAGCCAAATTTCCCAGAAGTTTTGCACAATACACTGAGAACCTGGCATCTGTGGACACAACCTTGGTCGGCCACATCCCATTCTTAGCTATTACTCACTACATGGTGTGGTCATTTGTTCTTGGTCTTCTGACAGAGGGACAGGAGCCAGAGTTGGGGGATGCTGGAGGGCGCCACTGAGGGAGGGTGTGAAGGGGAGGGTAGGTGCCAATGATGGCTGGAATGTATTTTGGTTAGAGCCAGGGCATGGGTTAAATTTTCCCATAGGCCATCTTGATGTCTCTATTCTAGGGCCAGGTCTACACAGGCAATATGAAATGAGTCCTGAAACAATCAACTGTGTAGTTCAGTCTACAATTAGAATCTCATTTGTTTAAATGTAAAGATAATTGAAGCCAAGCTAAGTTTTTGGCTTGAATTGCTTGGAGAGCCCATTTTATTTGCTAAACAATGGTCCATTTGAGGGTAGGCCTAAAAAGGTCTCTAAGGTATCTGTATGAAGAAAAACTCAAACCTTCCTAAAATTGAAAACAATTTTAACTTGAATGGTCACCATTAAGTGACCATTAAGTTGTCAAGGGAAAAATACTCTGACTGTGATTTGACAAATTTGGCTTTTATTGCCATGAAACCTGTGATCAACTCTCATTTCAATAAATGGCCTGGGAAGAAGCTGGATTTCCTCTGTGTGAGAGGTCAGAGTGACAAGGTAAATAGGACTGTGGCTTAAACTTTGAGCTCCACTACAGCCAAACAGAAATAGGGTGGAAAGTCTCATTACTTATGTACAGGAAAATTCTACTGTAAGCCTGGAAATCTCACCTTATGTACGATACTCTCAGGTGAAGTCTCACTTTGCTAATTGGCCACGCTGAGGATTCTTACCCCATTTCTTGGCAGAATTGCAATAGCTTAAAGGTATAATGAGGTCTTAAATTACTAGGGCCACCTCATCTTATAAAATACTCTGCAAAATGCTTAGCAGGACACAACATCACAAACATCTCTCAATAGAATGACAAATGGTTTTGGATAGCCAATATACAAATATATTTTAAGCCTATTTATCACTTAAGAGTTTTATAGGCTGTCAAGGATACACAAGTTTATGGTAGGTGTACCCTTTGTAACCAGTCTATTTTAAGAAGACAAAAAAATCAAAGTGAATGGTAGCTTCCATTCTGTTTCTGGTAAAGTAGACCAAAGTCTGGAAAAATCAATGGGCCTTCAAACCACAACCCAAAGGACAGTAAACCCACATACATGCCCTCTCCAAGCCACACTAGAGGTTGGAACTTTCCCTTGGGATCCTTTTTCCCAGACATTCATTTTACTTGAGGAGTCAGTACCTCCAGAGAGAACCAAATCAGAGAACCAAATCAATAGAAATGCCAATTAAGAATTACACTGAACTCTCCCCAGTTGAAAAGGGAATAGCTTTAGTTAATTAAAATGGGGCTGATGTACGCATTCTCTTATTTAGTGAATGAAAATTATGACATAGACATACTTAATATCAGCCGATGATATATTTGCTTTTATTGATTAGTTGCTCTGAGCCACCATTATAGGCCAAAGCAAGTGGATACCCAAGGCCCTCCGTTCTCTGGCCACCCCGTTCCAGCCTTACGTGTCACTGACTCCCTTTGTCCACATGGGCCATCTTCCCAGAAATCTCACAATTCTTCTGGTCTCTTTGGGCCTCTGTGCCTTGGCAGATACACCTAGGCCAGCCTTTCAGCCTCTCTCCCACTTCTTGATTACTGCTTGCCCAATCTTAGACTTCCTCCAACATCCCTATAAAATTCCCACTCTTTCACTGAGTCCTCCCTGATTCTCCAACTTGTTGTGCTGGCTCCTCCTCTGAGTGATGTGGGTACAGTTGGGTCTTCTCTACCAAGAACAATTATAAAATAAATAGTAGTAATAATAGTGACAGTAATAACGACAGTAGATGAAAACAATTAACTTCCCTTAAATGTGCTGAAAGTGCTTTATTTGTTTTGTCTCATTTAATCTTCTCCAAAGCCTCTTGGTAGGGAGGTACTATTATGCCCATTTTACAGTTGTGGAGACTGAGGCTTAGAGGGCTAAGTTCCTTGTCCAAGGTCATGGAGCTATGTAAATGTAAAAACTGGGATTTTAATGCAAGTGGTTAGATTCTGATGTGAACAAGCTAAATCCCCAGTCCAGGCTGCCCCTCTCTAGAGCAGAGAATGTGTTCAATTTATCTTTGCCTCAGCTGCAGCACTAATTCAGTACTAAGCGTCCAGAGAATGTTTGGATAAACAATTAGCGAAGAACTCAACCAAGATAAAGAAGAATAGTTCTTCTTAGCTATTGGCTCCAGTGACCCACAAAGCAGGCCTGCTGCTCTCCTGTGTATTAAAGCAGCCTGGAGAAAAGCACATTCACTGAGTCCTGGGCTGGAATGATTTTTCTATTATAATGTTCATCCAATGATAACGCAAACCCATGACAAATCTATAAATGTACCCCACCTCCACTTCTAACTCTGCGATTAAAAAAAATTAATACAAAACTCTGGGATAAGCATGCTGCTTTCAGGATTAGCCTTAATCTTTTTTCAAACATATCCCCCAAAGAAGATCATTTATTTCTTTTTCTTTTCATTTTTAAATGGAGAAATGTTAAGAATTTAGGAATGCAGACGCAGATGAAATTACAATGTCTTTCCAAAATGCCAACAAAAATGCTCAGAGTCTGATGAGATTCCCTGTGGCATGAGTTTGTTTAAAAAATCCTGCCAATTCATTTTCTTGTTTTTGTTGGCAGACAGAGGTATTTTAAGTAACCAACGTTGAGTTCTTCGCTTCTGGTCCTGTAGGTATCGCCGGGCAGGTGTCCATAGATGCCAACGGAGACCGATATGGGGATTTCTCTGTGATTGCCATGACTGATGTGGAGGCGGGCACCCAGGAGGTGAGCACGTGAGACCTCTGCACCAGTTGCTCCTTCTGCTCGTGGGGACTCTGAGGAATGCATTTGTTCTGGTGGCCAAAGAGCTGTCTCCAATGCAGCTTCCAAATAAAAATGAGTTGAAAAACCTCAACTTTTGATTGAGGGTTCAAGGAAGACTTCAGGAAATGGTTCCTTGTTTATTCTAAATGAGGAAATCCTACCCTTCAAGTGGCCAAGAATCACACCTTAGTCTTGTGGATGAGGGTCATCGGGTAAAATCAGTAAAGTGAAACTTTATTTCCTCCCTTAAGATTTGAGCTTTTCTGAGGGGGAGTGGGAGGGTGGGTGGTTACAAACTCAATGTGTGTTAACATTTCCAAAGATGATGTAGTTTCAGGATAACATCATGAAGGGAAAAGAGGGCCCTGGACACAAAGATGAGTCTTCCGTGCTTGGGAGTGTGAACTCTCTGCCTCAGTTTCCTCAGCTGTAACATGGAAATCATCATGTCTTCCTGGCTGATGTCACATGATTATTGTTAAGGGGAACAGATCAAATGAAACCTAGAAAAGTACTATCTACATTTTAAATTATAAATATACATATACAATTATACAAATATGCAGTTCTTCAGCAAAGAATGCCACTTCCTCTGTTTCCTTGATCGCTGGCTCCCAGGGCATTGCTCCGGTGCCCTTCATGGGACCTGGCATATGGGACTTGCTGTTTTCCTCTTTGTATGTATCAGGTTGGTGCAAAAGTAATGTGGCTTTTGCCATTATTTTTAATTATTTATTTTTAATGACCAAAACCTCAATTACTTTTGCACCAACCTAATAGATGCCTGGCTCTTGTGGGAAGTTCTGAAGCAGCAGGAGTCACCCTCGCTATGTTTAATGAATGATTGTTTTGCCCACTGAGTGGTCTGGGTCTCATCTGTATTTCTGGTTCCCCCTGGGAAAGGTGGGTAGCGACAGTTCATCAGAGTCCATTGTGAGGTTGCAGGGGTGGAGGTGTATAAAGCCCTTGGCAAGTGCTCAGTACACGCCAGTGATTGTTATATTTTGGTGGCGATCTAGACTTCCTCTAGACCTGACATGGCCTGTGAGAACCTGCTGTACCTCTGTCAGGAGAAGGGGAGATGTCACCAGCCACTCGAGAGCCATGCGCTTGTTTTCAGACAAAAGAGAAATGACTTCCAAGAACCTGGGTGGGAAGGCACTTCTAGACTGGGGCTTAGGGAGCTGATCCAACAATCATTTTAACCAGAAACTGAGGGATGACCATGGAATTAAACCATAACAGAATAATGATTTTCCAGGGGCCAGAGGAGCCAATTAAGAGAAACAGAATTCTGCCTGGAAATGGGGGTGCACATAGGGTGGGTTCATCAGAGAGGAGAGTGCAACTCTTGAAGAAATAGTCTGGCAACCGGAAGTGGTGAAACAGGAGGTTCCTGAAAGACGCTCTTTAATTATATGTTGAACAATTGAGGGCTGTGAGGCTGGGTACCTGTCATATGCTTAAATCGGGTATACGGTGGACCCTGGCTGTCCTTCACATGTCCCTGAAAGTAACTTGGGCCTTACAATTGGCTGACGGGGTGGGCTGCTCTGGGACAGATGGGTGGGATAGTGCCTTATCCGATGAACAAAGCAAAAGCCGGGAATTCCGAGATTATTCCTTTTCCACGAGGGGGTAGTGACTGAAGAATCCTAGGGGCAGCACTGACAGGGCTGGGCCTTCAGTGAGTGCAGAGCCCAGGGGACACCACTCTCACCGCTTCCCACATCCTGCTCTGGCACGACCGCTCTTAATGCTCTCTTGAGAGCACCATCAGCGACTTCAAATCTTGACTTGTGAAGTCCCCAGAACACACCATGACCATCAGTGTGGACAACCGAGGAACGTGCCCAATGTACCACGCTTTTCTGAAGCACTTGCTGTCCTTGCCCTGGAGACGGTGATTTGATGAAATGCCCAGAGGCAGCCAGTTTAGATCAGGCTGTACATTTTGGGGAATAGCTGTGGAAGGCTGCGAGCTTTGTGCCTCCTTTGACTTTTTGGTTTGTCTATTTGTTTTTTGCCTCTATATAGGTTATTGGTGATTATTTTGGAAAAGAAGGTCGTTTTGAAATGCGGCCGAATGTCAAATATCCTTGGGGCCCTTTAAAACTGAGAATAGATGAAAACCGAATTGTAGAGCATACAAACAGCTCTCCCTGCAAATCATGTAAGTCTGGAGACTTAATTTGCTATGTATGTCATCACCTCTAACCTCAGTGTAATGTAAGTTTAAAACCCAAGTGTTTCTAGGGCCTTACATTTTGGAATTTTACATTTCTTTCTCTGATGTGGTAAAACGCATGGGAACAGTTCACAAACTGGCATCTTTCAGGTCTTCCTTCCCTTCCAGTCTTCTCTTCCACAATGGTAGAATGTTTCTTCCTATTTTTACATCTCTTACTATAATCTCTTGGCTAGGTCATGTTTCCACTTTTAGAGAAAATCAAAATATCAATTAGTAAATATCACTCCCTTATTCATCTGTCACAGCAAGTCTCGTTCTGATTTTTCAAGTTTGTGGTTACTTTCCAGCTCCTCAGAACCAAAGAGATAACATCCTTTAAACATCTGAACATTTACACATTGGCAAATAAGTGTAAGATGTATTACTTATGAGCAGCTTTGTATATAAGTAGAGAAGCAATTGGATGTTCTCATAAGTAGCTTACAAATAGGAAAGCTGTTAGAAATAATTGTTTTAGAGAATAAGGTAGTGAGGGAGAACAAAGTGAATATAGGTCCTTCAGGAGGCCAGTTGATCATTTTAGGCTAATATATGTGTGCTTTTGAAAATATCTTTTAAACTGTTAGGTATTTATGTCTATGCAATAATTATGGGAAGGAATTAAGGAGGAAGTGTTTTAAGAACACACTGGGGAGACTGGGCCTGTATTTGACATCCCACTGTTGTTACTTGCTGGTTTTGTGACCCTAGGAGTCTTCCTTCAGCTTTTTAAGCCTCAGTTTTCCAATGTGTGAAGAGAAAGAAATGTGCCCACCTAAGCGTTTTGAGGGCTGTTTTGAGGATTACACAAGATAACACATTGAAGGGCCGCGTACTAAACTCTAGATACAAGTTAGCTATTTATCACTTTTATATAACTGGGATACTACTGAACTTGATTGTTTCAAATTGTTATCCACATTTTCCAAAGCTATGTAGGACATTTTGACATGAAACGCTGGCTTTGGTGAGAGAACATCTAAAAACAGAACATTGACCCAATGAATTTTTCATCAAATCTTCTAGCACTTTGAAGTGTCACCATCCATCTGTGAAAATAAGAAGCCCTGGGTCAGTGCCCTGGTCCATCTGGTTGTCTTCTTTGACTTTATTTATTTATTTTGAGATAGTCTTGCTGTCTCACCCAGACTCATGTGCAGTGGTGTGATCCTGGCTCGTTGCAACCTCCACCTTCCAGGTTCAAGTGATTCTCTTGCCTCAGCCTCCTGAGTAGCTGGGATTACAGGTGCCTGCCACCACACCCAGCTGATTTTTGTATTTTTAGTAGAGATAGGGTTTCACCATGTTGACCAGGCTGGTCTCAAACTCCTGACCTCAGGTGATCCACCCACCTTGGCCTCCCAATTCTTTGACTTTAAACTCAAAAGAGAGTGGCTATATCTGAAATCTTCAGTTCCAGTTTTCCTCTGATTCTTGAATTTTCTTCTGTTCTCACTGTGTCCACTCTCTTAATAGTGTTTTTGTTTATCTGGCACTTTCTCAAGTGGTTCTTAAGCTTTGCACTGGGCAAAAACAAACAAACAAAAACATAAAACAAAAAACAAGTGTAGGGTCCCTTAGAAAATATTTCTGAAAAAGGAAAAGTTGCCTCCAATGGGAAATCGAGGAACTTCTTGCAATGAATGAAACTCGAGGCATTTCTAACTGTATCTCCAAATGAACCCTGATTATCCATGCTTCTTTTTCAAGCAGGTGGCCTAGAAGAATCGGCAGTGACAGGAATTGTCGTGGGGGCTTTACTAGGAGCTGGCTTGCTAATGGCCTTCTACTTTTTCAGGTGAGGACGGTTTGTAAAGGTACAATTCACTCTCTTCTGCTGTCTTTGTCATTTGATTTTACATGATTCTCTTTGTGATTTGTCCACATCCCTCTTTCACCCAGGAAGCACGGTGGTTAAAAAATCTCAGCCATTCTTTTGGCAGGACCCCAGGTTTGGTGTGGTCAGTGGTTTAGCATACTGGGTGCCAGGGTCATGGGTTTTGACTACATCTCACAGTGGGACAGAGAGCTGCTGCTGCCCTTTGATCACAGATTTTTTTTTTTTTTTTTTTTTTTTTTTTGAGACGGAGTCTCAGTCCCCCTGTTACCCAGGCTGGAGTGCAGTGGCACGATCTCTGTTCACTGCAACCTCCACCTCCTGGGTTCAAGCAATTCTGCCTCAGCCTCACGAGGAGCTGGGACTACAGGTGCAGACCACCATGGCTGGCTAATTTTTTGTATGTTTATTAGAGATGGGGTTTCACCATGTTGGCCAGGTTGGTCTTGAACTCCTGACCTCCAGTGATCCATCTACCTCGACCTCCCAAAGTGCTGGGATTACAGGTGTGAGCCACTGTGTCTAGCCCTTTGATCACAGATATTCTGACAAGAATTCCTACCACCCACCAAGTGAAGCAGTGGGGAGGGAATCTGGATAAAGGGGGAAATCAACTTCCCCCTTCTCAGGCTTTCTCCAATTCAGAAATAGATGCCTGGGCTCACCTTAAAGAGGAGGAGGGAGCTTTGCGTAGCCCATGCTCTCAGGCTGATCTGTGCTCAGTATCTGGAGAGCCCACATGCTCATTTGCCACTGTGGTTAAGCTCCAAGGCTTGCAAAATTGTAATAATGTACGTGTGTGCACTGGTACTGATTGTTCTGCCCCGTGAGGGTGGCCCATTCCTTTGTAATCTTTGGTGGTTGAGTTTGTGGTTTATTCATAAGTCATTAGAGCAAGGTTTCTTTATTTCTGCATGGGATTGTAACTAGGCATATGTGACCCTTTGTGGGAACAATTGTATTCCTGTTCCTTTGGCCACAGTACATGTAATTTGATCTTTATCAAGGGCATATCCTGGGAATCAGGGAGAACTTCTGTAGCCTAATAGACAAGACCTAACCCCCAAGGCACCCAGGGAAGAAGGGGAAGGCTTGTTCTGTGGTATTTGGGAAAGCATGCCAATTTTCTCTCTTGAATAAGGGCACCATGCCTGGGGGCACACTACTTTAATCTCTGACCAGGGTTTCATATTCTGTCACTTCTCATTTATCAACTGAAACCCAGATGTCCCTTGAGGGCACTCTTTGTAAGAGAAACCATGGTATTTTGTAGCCAAGTTTTATTACCACATTCACTTTCCCTTTACCCAGGAAGAAATACAGAATAACCATTGAGAGGCGAACCCAGCAAGAAGAAAGTAACCTTGGAAAACATCGGGAATTACGGGAAGATTCCATCAGATCCCATTTTTCAGTAGCTTAAAGGAAGCCCCCCACTTTTTTTTTTTCTGCCTGAGATTCTTTAAGGAGATAGACGGGTTGAAAGACATCAATGAAACAGAAGGGGCGTTCTTGAAGAATTCATAATTTTAAGCAGTTAGTAATTTCATTTTAAAATTTCTGTAGAAGCTCAGGAATTATGATTAATCACCATCTGCCTCCAGGCCTTTCATCTCATGACAAACAAATATAATAATGATATCGTGTCACTCTGTTAAATGTTCATACTGTTTCAAGCCCATATGATTAGATTTATGTTTTTAAAATCTGTTGTCTCCATATCTTGATGGCTTTTGGGAGCATTTCACACAAGGATATAAAATGCGGTTTTCTTAAATGAAATGTTTTGTAGCTAGAATAAAATCATTTTTACAAGTACAGCATTCTTGGAAAGAATTTAACACCCAAAAAGGGGAAAATGTAATGAAAAATCTCAAGGTTGGAAATACAGCCTTACTCTCTCTAGAGCTGGAGGACAGGTTTGTGGTTGAGGACTTCTCTGTCCGATGTCTACATTCAGGTTCTGACTTCATATCTTGAAAAAGGATTTCCTCCCTGTCTTTTTCAGTGTCTCATAAACGCTACTCTGGATTGTTGTAAATATTAGTGAGATGGGAGGATTTACAGAAGAAAAGCAAGTCAAAAATATTTCCTTTTTGATGTAAAAAAAAAAAGCCCTATTTCGCACTAACATTTTATTTTACAAGTATTTTAATCTTATATTTTGGTATTAGAAAAATTTGTCTATTTTTTCATTTTGAAGATTAAATGTTGCTTACATTTTAAAAGCATGGGTGAAGTGTACAACAAACCAATAATGATAAAAAATACTTCTCTTTTTCTCCCTGTTTCCCTTTTTCCCTTGGCCACAGCCAAATGCTAATTGCTGCTTTAATTACAGAGATGTGTAAATGTATTCAGATTACAAACTCTACAGGAATACATCAACATTTTAACTCTTTTGCGTTTTTACTGTTTAACTGTTTTAAATGCAAGTTATTTTAGGGTGACACTCCTTCCAGTTCTGGCCAGATCATGAGTTTCAAGATCAAGAGTAAAAAGTTATTAGAATTAAACAGTTTTATAAAGGGAGGCAGCCCTTTTCCCTCAAGAACAACTTTGTTGAGAGTTACTACTTGACAGCAAGCACAGAAATGACAAATTTAAAACTTTTACACATGGCATTTACCAAAATTCCCAGTGATTATTTTGTTTAAAAGAGGGAACCTAAATATCTACTCTATTCCCTTTCAGTTAACTCCACAGAACTTTGTAGGCATCCATGAATACCTGTAATAGTGGGTTAGGTGTGGAGATAAGGAATTTGGACAAAGTTGAGTAAGTTTTTACTGGGTATCTGCTTTGCACCCAGTAGTCTGCAACATGAGTTTAAACTCAGGTTACTACTTTCACTTATACTTTATGGAGAAGATAGACAGTGAGGGAGGAATGGGAAGCTGTCATGAGAGTGCACCGTCTTGGAATTACATAACTGGGGTCTTTCCTCAATAACATTTTGAGCATCTGAAAAATAGTTTAAAAAATTGTCTTAATATCTATTAAAAGGCATGTCTAGTGAGGAAACAGGAGAGTCTGAGCAATCCCTTGGTGGCGATGAAGGTGGTAGTTCACACAAGTAACAGTGGAGGCAAAGGTAAGCGCAAGCTGCCTGTCCCAGATGCTGGCCCATGTGTGAGTGCTTCCCTGGAGAAGTCCGCTTCTGTTGCTCCCACCTGAGTCACAGTTAACAGATTATTTCTGTGTGAGGCACATTTCCCTTCTGTTGTTTAAGAAATGGGAGCTGGGAGGCAGCTGAGAGGGCGTGATAAAAGAATTAAGTGTGATCAACTGAAACAACTATGTTGTAGTTCTCCATGCTGGATGCAAAGGAAAAAGTGTCGAATTCCAAAAAGGATGGAAGAAGAAGGCAAGAAGGGCAAACTCCAGAAGTTCTAGTGCAGGAAGAGAGTTTGAGAAGTAAAATCCAGGCAAGCAAAGCGTTGTACCACTTGGGACTCCCCAAAGTGAAACAGCAAGGAAGGATTGTGTCCATCTTACTTACTTGAATTGGAGAGCTTGTTTCTCTCTCATTTTTATTTTTCAATGATGTTTTCTTTATATTTTAGAGATATTCATTTTCTCTTATCTTGTGCTTGTAAAAAGCATTTACATTTCAAGTCTATGTGCTTATTACAGGGGAAAAATAATCTACCTGGTTGCAGTCTTTGAGTATAAACATTTCTAACCTTTTTAAAACTTCTATAGCAGCCCATTAACACTAACATTTTTAGAGCAAATATATTCTATTTTAACTTCAGGTAGAGGAATAGTCCTAAACTTAATATGATAGCTCTAGATAAGATCTTAGAGATAAGTGAGCATTTAGTATTCTAAAAGTGGCAGAACAAATCATGAGGTTTCTGGATGCTATACCAATTTAAAATCAATTCTTATGTTAATATTGATTGCTTATTTACATGTCAGTCATCTACTTTTTTTCTTTGAAATCTGCATATGGGTTACAAAAACTCTGTTAGGTTTTGAAAATTCCATTAAGTTGGAAACCTTGGTTAAAAATGTAGGTGCCTGGCCCATGGTTACCCTGGATTCAGGTCTCTCATGATTATATTTGGGGATTTACGTTCCTAACTGCTAAGCAACATCTTTGACAACTAGTAATTCATACTCTACTAGTAGTCACATGTCATATAGTAAAATAAATAGGGCTTTAGTTCTTAAGTAATTCTATAGGATTTTACCCTGAAATCCAGGGTGTTCAGATTTCAAAAAGGATAATTTATCAGTATTTTCTCATCCAGTCAAACTTCAGCTGACATTGATACAGGTCAAAATGCGTAGATGCTTTTTGGTGTTGGAAATAAGTGTCTGTCTTATGGTCATCATTGTCTTCTTAGATTTTTGGGTAGGGGGGCCAGGTAGGGGGAGACTCAGAAATAAAAGCGTTCCCCAGATAACTTCAATCTGGAAAGAATTTTTTGTATAGAGTCCATCTCTCCCTCAAGACTGACCACAGGTTTCATGAGAAGGTCCCTGAAAACATCACATTTCTCTGAAGAACCATCAACTTGTCTTTTCTTGAACCACAGGAATGGTTCTACAGACCCTACTATAATTCTTCACATTTCAGAACCCATGTTTAATGGAGGGAAGAGAGAAATGCATGGGAAAAGAACACCTCCTTTTCTCCTTTCTCTTAAATTCAAAGACGTTTGCTTTGGAATGCCCTCACTTCTCCCTATTCACAGGCTTCTAAAATCATTAATTTACTCAAGGCACATGTGCCTTCTTTGCCCCAAATGCATCACTTTCCTTTTAGTTATGGCTGATTTTGGGTGTGTGTGTGTAAGACATGCAGTCAACAATGAGATGAAGGCCATTGCATAGATCTCATGCAGATAGTGATGGATTCAGAAAGTAGGTTCCAGTGGCGTCACTACCTTCTTGTAAGCCAGTATACACTGGCTATTTGTGGAAATCTCTTTGGGAGATCAAATAGAGTATTATGCCACTGTGAGTGTTTATAAACTGGAAGGAACAAGTACCTGTGTTTCTTGGGACACAAAGCACTCAGATCCTGAGTGGATGCAGACATGAGAGTAAATGTCAGCCCAAATTAGGCCCCTCGACCTACAGACATTTCATGGGTTTTATTTAATCACACCCCATGGTTTGGGGCTACATGAGGAAGTTGGTAATGAGCTGAATTTCTTATTCAGTGGAAAAAACTGAAACTGTCTAAAAACACGGGATATATTTTAGAGGCAATTGTGGAAGCGGAGAGAATGAGATGATGGTGTTCAGAGGGACCAGCTTCTTTTTCAGTTGTCTTTAGAACTCAAGAATAATCAATAATTTAGTGCCCCTTCAACAGCCATACTCAGCAAGAAGAATCAGAAGCTTGATCCTCTAACAGAAATAGAAGAGGGTAGCTTTGCCCATTGCCACTGTCTTTACTGCCCCTTCTGCCCCTCCACCCACATCCACATTCAGCATCACTCCAAGGATGTGTCAGCATCTTGCCCATGCAGGTAGAAATTTGTGAGTAGGCCTCCATACTTCCTCGGGGGAAGAAAGAGAAACTAGTGCTGGTTTTAAGAATGTAGCTGGCTTTTCATCAGAACCCTTATGCTAACCTGACCACACTTGCTCTCGGGGAAGTTCAAGCCTGTGATGTGCATAAACTCCAACAAGCCTGGCTTTGGTGTTCAGCATGCACATTCCATAAATATCTCTTGCAGGCATACCCCACAGCTAGACTGCAGGATTAAAATAACTTCCAAAAGGTGCTGGATTGGAGTTTGTTCAAATTTCTCATTAACCACTAATGTTAATTCATACCAAATGCAAAGTATTCTAAACCAGCTGATGCTGTCAGTGTTCAAGTTTTAAGTGACTTCAAACACAATGGAAGTGTTTCAATGGGAGCCAGATCTCATGAGTAAAAATCCATTTTATAATAGCTCTGTGATATATCAGTGGGAGATGATTCATAGGGGAGAGATTTGAACAAGCAGAATTAAGTGTTAGCAAAAATGCTGCATTGCTTTGATTCATGTTTAAAGACCTAAATTTCTATGCACAAGGAATAAAGGGCCTACTTACCAAGTGTAAATCACAACATAGGCTACCAAAATATTTCTTATTTGCTAGGAGAACAAAGCTGTCACGGTGCATGATAGTTGGACAGAGATGGCTAAAAAAGAGGCAAATTCAGATTTGGAAACAGGGTGGCCTCTTCATTATTTATTGCCAAGATCTGAAAATCTTCAACATCTTATAAGACAACAATGAAGTAGCCCCTGAACAGCATGGAGTTGCTGTGAGTTTGTTCGTTGCAGACCTTTGTGTTGGGTCCTGGGAATCTGAGCTTTGTTCCCTGTGCATGGTGGATAATTGAAACCAAGAGGACATGGGATAGACCTTGTGACAGACCAATTCTGTGACCCCTGTCTTCTGGGTCACATTATTCATTGTTGATTTAAATACAGGACTACCAAACAGTACAAATCTATCATGAGTCTGGTAGAAAAGTAAAAGTAAAAGCTGCACACGTTACATACTGTTTATTGTTCTAATGTACAACTAACTATTTGCATATAATGTGATTTAATTTATTGCTGTTTTGTGTAGAAAAGGAGAACTAATGACTGTGGATATAACCCATGTTTTGTATAATATATTTTATTTCTTGTGCGAACTGGTCATTTAAAATATCTACTTCATTTGATGTTTGGATATAAATGTGTATGTGTCCTTGTAAATGTTTCTATCAAGCAAGAATGCCACGTACTCAGAGTATAACAATGTGTTCTCATTAAAAAATACATCCCACGGAAACCTCTTCCTGTTTATAATTCAACCAGCATGCACTGCACATATCCATATTCTTTGAGGGCTTTTGTTCTCCTGGGACTTGTTTAAGTCAAAGAGCAATAGGTGGGTCCGATGAATTGTAATATTTGAATGATACCCATGAAAAAACCCAAGAATTTCTGCCTAGCAAAGGCAAATCGACAGAATTTTAAAATGAGGGGCAAACCTTGAATCAGCTGGTAAGGGAAAGAATCTTCATGAAGAATAACCGTCATCTTGAGTCACTACAGCTCGAGAGCACTTCATGGTTGACTTCATCGACTCATGTTATTAAGTCCTTTGCCACTTTAAAGAGGTCCTAAGTCAATTTTGTCACTTTAAAGACCTCCCCATGTTCCAGCATACTAAGCAGATTAACCAGTCTCCAGCATCTCCAGTTGCCTCTGGGTTGTAGAAAGCTGCTTCACCATCTGGGAAGTTACTAATGATTTATTTTAAGCCCAAGAAACATATAGCAATTCGCATGGTTGGAGCAATGTTCCCCTGATCCTGCTGCTGCTGCCACCACCAATGAGGTCCCCAGGTGACACCACAAATACCACTCAAACTCCCCATGTTTGAGGAGATTCTGCTGACTCGGGGTGGGGTGGGGTAGGGCATGGGGGCATGGCAGGAATGAAGGGTAGAGACAGAAAAGTTCTGGAAAACAAGATTTCCCACTGTGACTTTTCCATCTCCGTTTTGGGAAACATGGCCTCCTTGAATCTTTCCACCATATTCCTACCTCCCCAGTCCCCTCTGAATTTCATTTCATGCATACCCAACATCCCATGATGGGCTAAAGATGCCTCATGACTGGCTCTTGGGGCTGTGCCCACTGAAGAGGCCCTAGGGAGCTCCAAACACCATTGATTTAGAGCTCTGCCCTAATCCTAAATCAGGGGCATCTGGCATTGACTTAAATAGCAACTACTATAGTGGGAGATACCAATGGCCATGTGTCTTTAAAAAAAAAATACTTTTTTTTTTTTTTAGATGGAGTCTAGCTCTGTCGCCCAGACTGGAGTGCAACGGCGCGATCTCGGCTCACTGCAACTCTGCCTCCTGGGTTCAAGTGATTCTCCTGCCTCAGTCCCCTGAGTAGCTGGGATTACAGGTGTGTGCCACCACGCCTGGCTAATTTTTGTATTTTTAGTAGAGATGGGGTTTCGCTATGTTGGTCAGGCTGGTCTTAAACTCCTGACATCAGGTGATACACCCGTCTTGGCCTCCCAAAGTGCTGAGATTATAGGCATGAGCCACCACGCCTGGCCAAAAAATAGCACTTTTATAAACCATCCATTAGCATCAAACTAGAGTCAAGAAAAAAATTCCCTTTGCAGGCCTGTGCAACCCTGATGATCATTAGCTGCTGAAGTTCTTGAGGAGTGGAGAGGAGGAGGAAGATGAGCAGGGCATGATGGGCTATGTGGTTTGTATTAATCCGTCATGCCATTTTCTCACATGCTGCCCCTTCTGTCATTTCCATTTCATAGATGGCGACTCTCTGGAGCCAGACTCCCGGAGTTTCATAGCCTGGCTCCGATCCTTGTGTGAAAATGAGGATAATACCAATTCCAACCTCATGGGGCTACTGTGAGAACTTTACGCTTAGGATTCTGCCTGGCAGGTAGTGAAAGATTCAGTGGAATTACTATTATACTCTCCTGTCTCCTTGGATAAGGAGACAAACCTCTCAGTTGGTAATTTTTGAGGCCTTTAAGGCAAAAGGAATTTCTACTGTTGAAAGCCGGGCAGCCCACATTTCTTTCTTTTCAATTTGGCTTGATGACAAGTTGCCTCGACCTCTTGGAGGATGAGATGAAAGGCAAGAGGTCCCTTTTCTGTACACCGCCCCTCTCTAAAGGGTCCCGATAAGGGCCGAGAAAGGGACAGTGATAGCCACATTGCCTCTGAAGCTTTCAGAGGGCCTGCGCAGCTTTACTCAAATCTGGGTTCCCTCCTTAGAGTGTAGGCGCCAATCCTGGAGCAGTAGGCCATACATGCTGTACCTGCCTTCCACCCCCTGCTTTCTCCCCTGGCTGAGATGGGTCTGGGGACTGCTCTTTGGAGTTCATCACCTCACTGCTGTGATTGGTCAGAGCAGTTCCTGCCATGACATAGAGGACTCGTGTGTCCTAAAGAAGAGCCTCCCACCTCGGTGCCCTCAGCCCCAGGTCTTTCCCGATAATGCTGGCATTTTGTCCTAAATGCAAGAGTAGCACCTCATTAAGGGTGTTGGTGGGCAGGGGATTTCCTAGTGTAGACAAAGGAGGTTTTTATTCCACTGCTACTCCAATGGCTCAAGAGAGACCAGGCATCACACAGGCTGGCAGAGAATGCTGCATTAAAGTGACCTTTATGGACTAGAGGACATGAGGTTCCTGGTACCCACAAGATCCTCCTACTCCCAGTGCTAGCAGCTACAGAGACCAGAATAGAGATGACATCCGCTCTTCTGGAAGGGCCTCTGACAGTTCAGTTCAGAATGAGGATGGAATAAAGCAGATCTGGGAGGCTTACTCTAGGCTGTGTCACCCCCTCCATCCCTTGCACAGTGATCCCTGCTAGGCTCCCTCTGGTGGTGCATAGACTGGTTCTGTGGAATGCTTGAGAAGGACTAGCAGTGCATGAAGAGATAGGTGTTCCCCCAGTGGGAACCTCTTGGTGATATCAAAGATACACTTTCAGGCAAACATCCAGCAAGAGGCTGACTCTCAGTAGAATTTGCCACCTGTCATTTTAACCATATACTACTTTATGACTATTCTCAGCATTTTATTCAGAAGGAAAATGAAGACAGCAGAATGTATGCCATTCTCAATTTGATGACACTAGCTATTTATTGAGAACATTCCACATGGCAAAGTGGGGCTTAGGCACCTTAGATATGTGCAGGTTTTGCACTCTCACAGCACCCCTATGAGCTAGGACTGTGGTTATCCTATTCATCTTAGAAATGTGTAAACTAGGTTGCAGGCAAGATGGCCAAATAGGAAGATCTTTGGTCTGCAGCTCCCAGCAAGATCAACACAGAAGGGGGGTGACTTCTGCATTTCCAACTGAGGTACCCAGTTTATCTCATTGGGACTTGTTGGACAGTGGGTGCAGCTCACAGAGGGTGAGCAGAAGCAGGGTGGGGTGTCGCCTCACCTGGAAAGAGCAAGGGGTCTGGGAACTCCCTCCCCTAGCCAAAGGAAGCTGTGAGGGACTGTGCCATGAGGAATGGTGCATTCCACTCCAGATACTACGCTTTTCCCACAGTCTTTGCAACCCACAGACCAGGAGAGTCCCTCGGGTGCCTATGCCATCAAGACCCTGGGTTTCAAGCACAAAACTGGGCGGCCATTTGGGCAGACACCAAGCTAGCTGCAGGATTTTTTTTTTTAATACCCCAGTGGCACCTGGAATGCCAGCAAGACAAAACTGTTCACTCCCCTGGAAAGGGGGCTGAAGCCAGGGGGCCAAGTGATCTAGCTCAGAGGATCCCACCCCCACAGAGCCCAGCAAGGTAAGATCCACTGGCTTAAAATTCTCTCTGCCAGCATAGCAGTCTAAAGTTGACCTGGGATGCTCGAGCTTGGTGGGGGAAGAGGTGTCCACCATTACTGAGGCTTGAGGGTGGTTTTCCCCTCACAGTGTAAACAAAGCCACCTGGAAGTTCAAACTGGGTGGAGCCCATGGCAGCTCTGCAAAGCCACTGCAGCCTGACTGCCTCTCTAGATTCCTCCTCTCTGGGCAGGGCATCTCTGAAAGAAAAGCAGCAGCTCCAGTTAGGGGCTTATAGATAAAACTCCCATCTCCCTGGGACAAAGCACCTGGGGGATGGGGCAGCTGTTGGTGTAGCTTCAGCAGAATTAAACATTCGGCCTGCTGGCTCTGAAGAGAGCAGTGGATCTCCCAGCACAGTGCTCAAGCTCTCCTAAGGGACAGATTGCTTCCTGAAGTGGGTCCCTGACGCCCATGCCTCCTGACTGGGAGACACCTCCCAGTAGGTATTGACAGACACCTCATACAGGAGAGCTCTGGCAGGCATCTGGTGGGTGCCCCTCAGGGATGAAGCTTCCAGAGGAAGGAAGAGGCAGCAATCTTTGCTGTTCTGCAGCCTCTGCTGGTGATACCCAGGAAAACAGGGTCTGGAGTGGACCTCCAGCAAACTCCAGCAGACCTGTAGCAGAGGGGCCTGTTAGAAGGAAAACTAACAAACAGAAAGGAATTGCATCATCGTCAACAAAAAGGACATCTACACAGAAACCCCATCCAAAGGTCACCAACACCAAAGACCAAAGATAGATAAATCCATGAAGATGAGGAAAAACCAGTGCCAAAAGGCTGAAAATTTAAAAAAAAACCACACATCTCCTCCTCCAAAGGGTTACAACTCCTCACCAGCAAGGGAACAAAACTGGACAGAGAATGAGTTTGATGAATTGACAGAAGTAGGCTTCAGAAGGTGGGTAATAACAAACTCCTCCAAGCTAAAGGAGCATGTTTTAACTCAGTGCAAGGAAGCTAAGAACCTTGAAAAAAGGTTAGAGGAATTGCTAACTAGAATAACCAGTTTAGAGAAGAACATAAATGACCTGATGGAGCTGAAAAACACAGCACGAGACCTTCGTGAAGCATACACAAGTATCAATAGCCAAATCCATCAAGTAAAAGAAAGGATATCAGAGATTGAAGATTAACTTAATGAAATAAAGCGTGAATACAAGATTAGAGGAAAAAGTACAAGAGGGAACGAACAAAGGCCTCCAAGAAATATGGGACTATGTGAAAAGACCAAGCTTACATTTGATTGGTGTACCTGAAAGTGATGAGGAGAATGGAACCAAGTTGGAATGCACTCTTCAGGATATTATCCAGGAGAACTTCTCCAACCTAGCAAGACTGGCCAACATTCAAATTCAGGAAATACAGAGAATGCCACAAAGATACTCCTCGAGAAGAGCAACTCCAAGACATATAACCGTCAGATTCACCAAGGTTGAAATGAAGGAAAAAAAAATGTCAAGGGCAGCCATAGAGAAAGGCCGGGTTACCCACAAAGGGAAGCCCATCAGACTAAGAGTGGATCTCTCTGCAGAAAGCTTATAAGCCAGAAAGAGAGTGGGGGCCAATATTCAACATTCTTAAAGAAAAGAATTTTCAACCCAGAATTTCATATCCAGCCAAACTAAGCTTCATAAGCAAAGGAGAAATAAAATTCTTTACAGACAAGATGAGAGATTTTATCACCACCAGGCCTGCCTTCCAAGAGTTCCTGAAGGAAGTACTAAATATGGAAAGGAAAACCTTGTACCAGCCACTGCAAAAAATACCAAATTGTAAAGACCATCGATGCTATGAAGAAAGTGCATGAAGTAATGGGCAAAATAACCAGCTAGCATCATAAAGACAGGATCAAATTCACACATAACAATATTAACCTTAAATGTAAATAGGCTAAATGCCCCAGTTAAAAGACACAGACTGGCAAATTGGATAAAGAGTTGAGATCCATCAGTGTGCTGTATTCAGAAGACCCATCTTATGTGCAAAGACACACATAGGCTCAAAATAAAGGGATGGAGGAATATTTACCAAACAAATGGAAAGCAAAACAAACAAACAAAAAAAATGAAACCAGGGGTTGCAACCGTAGTCTCTGATAAAACAGACTTTAAACCAACAAAGATCAAAAGAGACAAAGAAGGGCATTACATAACGGTAAAGAGATCAATGCAACAAGAAGAGCTAATTGTCCTAAATATATACACATCTAAAACAGGAGCACCCTAGTTCTTAAAACAAGTCCTTAGAGACCTACGAAAAGACTTAGACTCCCATACAATGGTAGTGGGAGACTTTAACACCACACTGCTAATATTAGACAGATCAATGAGACAGAAAATTAACTAGGATATTCATGACTTGAACTGAGCTCTGGACCAAACAGACCTAACAGACATTTTACAGAACTCTCCACCCCAAATCAATAGAATGTACATTCTTCTCAGCACCACATCTCACTTATTCTAAAATTGACCACATAATTGGAAGTAAAACACTCCTCAGCTAATGCAAAAGAACAGAAGTCATAAAAAACAATCTCTCAGACCACAGTGCAATCAAACTAGAAGTAAGGATTAAGAAACTCACTCAAAATCACACAACTACATGGAAACTGAACAACCTGCTCCTGAATGACGACTGGGTAAATAACGAAATTAAGGCTGAGATAAATAAGTTCTTTGAAACTAATAAGAACAAAGACAGAATGTATCAGACTCTCTGGGACACAGTTAAAGCAGTGTTTAGAGAGAAATTTATAGCACTAAATGCTCACAGAAGAAAGGAGGAAAGATCTAAAATCGACACCATAACATCACAATTAAAAGAACTAGAGAAGCAAGTCCTTTTAAGAGAATAAAATTCAAAAGCAAACAAATTCAAAAGCTAGCAGAAGACAAGAAATAACTAAGATCAGAGCAGAACTGGAGGAGATAGAGACACAAAAAACCCTTCAAAAAATCAATGAATCCAGGAGCTGGTTTTTTGAAAAAATTAACAATATACATAGCCTGCTAGCCAGATTAATAAAGAAGAAAATAGATAAGAATCAAATAGACACTATAAAAAATGATAAAGGGGATATCACCACTGATCCCACAGAAATACAAACCACCATCAGAGAATATTATAAACACCTCTATGCAAATAAACTAGAAAATCTAGCAGAAATGTGTAAATTCCTGGACACATACACCCTCCCAAGACTAAAACAGAAAGAAGTCAAATCCCTGAATACAGCAATAACAAGTTCTGAAATTGAGGCAGTAATTAATAGCCTACTAACCAAAAAAAGCCCAGGACCAGATGGATTTACAGCAGAATTCTACCAGAGGTACAAAGAGGAGCTGAAACTATTCCTTCTGAAACCATTCCTTCTGAAACCATTCCTTCTGAAACTATTCCAAACAATAGAAATAGAGGGACTCCTCCCTAACTCATTTTATGAGGCCAGTGTCATCCTGACACCAAAACCTGGCAAAGACACAACAAAAAAAGAATATTTCAGGCCAATATCCCTGATGAACATCAGTGTGGAAATCCTCAGTAAAATACTGGCAAACTGAATCCAGCAGCACATCAAAAAGCTTATCCACCATGACAAGTCGGCTTCATCTCTGGGATGCAAGTCTGGTTCAACATATGCAAATCAATAATGTAATTCATCACATAAACAGAACCAATGACAAAAACCACATACATGATTATCTCAATAGATGCAGAAAAGGCCTTCAATAAAATTCAACACCCCTTCATGCTAAAAACTCTCAATAAACTAGGTATTGATGGAACATATCTCAAAATAATAAGAGCTATTTCTGACAAACCCACAGCCAATATCATACTGAATGGGCAAAAACTGGAAGCGTTCCTTTTGAAAACCTGCACAAGACAAGGATTCCCTCTCTCACCACTCCTATTCAACATAGTATTGGAGGTTCTGGCCAGGGAAATCAGGCAAGAGAAAGACATAGAGGGTATTCAAATAGGAAAAGAGGAAGTCAAATTGTCTCTGTTTGCAGATGACATGATTGTATATTTAGAAAACCCCATTGTGTCAGCCCAAAATCTCCTTAAGCTGATAAGCAACTTCAGCAAAGTCTCAGGATACAAAATCAATGTGCAAAAATCACAAGCATTCCTATACACCAATAATAGACAGAGAGCCAAATCATGAGTGAACTCCCATTCACAATTGCTATGAAGAGAATACAATACCTAGGAATACAACTTATAAGGGATGTGAAGGACCCCTTCAAGGAGAACTACAAACCACTCTTCAAGGAAATAAGAGAGAACACACACACACACACACACACACACACACACACACACACACACAAAGAAAGAAATAAGAGAGGACACAAACAAATGGTAAAACATTCCATTTGGATAGGAAAAAAACATTCATGGATAGGAAGAATCAATATTGTGAAAATGGCCATACTGCCCAGAGTAATTTATAGATTCAATGCTATCCCCATCAAGCTACCATTGACTTTCTTCACAGAATTAGAAAAAAACGACTTTAAATTTCATAGGGAACCAAAAAAGAGCTCGTATAGCCAAGACAATCCTAAGCAAAAAGAACAAAGCTGGAGGCATCACACTACCTGACTTCAAACTATACTACAAGGCTACAGTAACCAAAACAGCACGGCACTGGTACCAAAACAGAGATATAGACCAATGGAACAGAACATAGGCCCCAGAAATAATGCCACAAATCTACAACCATCTGATCTTCAACAAACCTGACAAAAAGAAGTAATGGGGAAAGGATTCCCTATTTAATAAATGGTGTTGGGAAAACTGGCTAGCCATATGTAGAAAACTGAAACTGAACCCTTTCCATACACCTTATACAAAAATTAACTCAAGATGAATTAAAGACTTAAACATAAGACCTAAAGCCATAAAAACCCTAGAAGAAAACCTAAGCAATACCATGCAGGATATAGGCATGGGCGAAGACTTCATGACCAAAACACTAAAAGCAATGGCAACAAAAGCCAAACTTGACAAATGGGATCTAATTAAACTAAAGAGCTTCTACACAGCAAAAGCAACTAACATCAGAGTGAACAGGCAATCTACGGAATGGATAACATTTCTGCAATCAATTCATCTGATAAAGGGCTAATATCCAGAATCCATGAAGAAGTTAAACAAATTTAAGAGAAAAAAACAACCCCATCAAAATATTGGCAAAGGATATGAACAGACACTTCTCAAAAGAAGACATTTATGTCACTGACAAACATATGAAAAAAGGCTCATCATCACTGGTCATTAGAAAAATGCAAATCAAAACCACAATGAGATAACATCTCAACGCTTTTACACTTGGTGGGAGTGTAAATTAGTTCAACCATTGTGGAAGACAGTATGGTGATTCCTCAAGGATCTAGAACCAGAAATACCATTTGACCCAGCAATCCCATTACTGATAATATACCCAAAGGATTATAAATCATTCTACTATAAAGACACATGCACATATATGTTTATTGTAGCACTGTTCACAATAACAAAGACTTGGAACCAACCCAAATGCCCATCACTGATAGACTCAATAAAGAAAATGTGGCACATATACACCATGGAATACTATGCAGCCTTAAAAAAGGATGAGTTCACGTCCTTTCCGGGAACATCGATGAAGCTGGAAACCATCATTTTCAGCAAACTAACACAGGAACAGAAAACCAAACACCACATGTTCTCACTCATAAGTAGGAGTTGAAGAATGAGAACACATGGACACAGGTAGGGGAACATCACACACTGGGGCCTGTTGGGGGGTGGGGAGCTAGGGGAGGGATAGTGTTAGGAGAAATACCTAATGTAGATGACGGGTTGATGGGTGCAGCAAACAACCATGGCACATGTATACCTATGTAACAAACCTGCACGTTCCGCACATGTATCCCAGAACATAATAAAAAAATTTGATTTATCATAATTTTATTGATCTTTATATGAATTGTTGCTTTTGTAAGTCAAAAAGTGGTCAACCATTGGCAATTTCATATAGTTTGATCTAATATTTTGGAGCTATGTTGCTGATGTTTGTTAGTTCAGGTTTGTTATATTTTCTGATATATTGTGTGATAACCTTTTTTTACTTTAAAGTCTGTTTCATCTGCTATTTATATAGTTAGAGCATCTTTATTTTGATCAGCATTTTAAAAATGTAATCCACCTATCTTTCTTCTGATTAAATTCTATTTGGACTAAAAAAAAAAGAAATAAAAAGAAATGTTTGATGAATTAAAATAAATTGGCCTGGGGGTATTAATTCTAGCAAAGTCAAGGTATTGCGTCTAGTACCTAGTGTCAGGGAGGATGGTTATCTCCATAGCCAGTGTATGATACTGATACATACTGATACATACTGACAACATACCTGAGACTGGGTAACTTATAAAGAAAAAGAGGCTTAATGGACTCATAGTTCCACATGTCTGGGGAGGCCTCACAATCATGGTGGAAAGTGAAGGAGGAGCAAAGGCACGTCTTACATAGTGGGAGGTAAGAAAGTGTGTGCAGAGGAACTGCACTTTTTAAAGCCATCAGATCACAAGAGACTTATTCACTATCGCAAGAACAGCCTGGGAAAATCTGCCACCATGATTTAATTACCTCCCACTGGGTCCCTCCCACAACACATGGGGATTATGGGAGCTGCAACTCAAGATGAGATTTGGGTGGGGACACAGCCAAACCATATCAGTCAGAGAGGTTTTAAAAGGCTTTATGGGATGGTGAAAACAAGTGGAGGTTGGGAGTCAATCAGAGACAGGATCAAGACTTGTTTGTGGGCTCAAGTGTCTTGTTTGGGTGTGTTAGATGAATCATTTAACCCCACGTATAAAATATCAGTATGTTTGTATGTTTTCGCACCTCTCACAGAAATATTGCAGTTACAAAGTAAATGGCATCATCTGGTTCCCCGCTCCCCCCACAATAAAGCTCTACCAACACAAGAAAAAAAAATAAATAAAAGAAAAGAATGTGTAAACTAAGGCACAGAGAAATTAAGTAACTTGCCCAAGGTCTCACAGTTAACTAGTGGCAGAGCTGGGGTTTGGAGTTAGGCTAACAGCTGTAGGCAGTGGCTACACCAAATGGCTCAATCCATTATTCGTCATTTTCAGTCTTCCATAAGTGACTTCCCTTCCTTTTCATCACCTCACACCCATCTCTCCGTCTCCATTTTCACTGCCCCTAAACAAGGCCTTCATCACCTTATATCCAAATGAGAGGAAGCAGCCTTCTAACTCTGCTCCTTCTAAGCTCTCCTCTTTCATGCAACTGCCATCTCATCCTTTCTAAAATACTGCACTGATAATGTTACTCCTGATATAGGAGTTAAGAAGAAATTACTTAGGCAGATAGTAAGGGTATGGGAGTACTTGGTAAGGCTTTTCTTTTTTAATGAAAAGCAACCCCAAATCATTTTCTAACAAAGAGCAGCCTCCAAGCTAGGAGCTTGCAGGGGTGAATGCTGGCAGGAACTAAGGACTAGACCTATTCAGGATGGCGGCTCCATCTTCCCTTCTCTGCCAGCCACGTGTGCTGTAAATGTGCAGAGAAGATGGCACTGATCGACTGGAAAACCATTTGCATAAGAAAATTAGACCAGCCTTCCTCACGCGCTATGTAGAGATGTCATACCTGATTGAACCAATCTATGAGCCCTATGTAAATCAGACACTGCCTTCTCCATCCTGCCTATAAAATCTGCTGTGGTCTGCGGCTTCCCCTCTTTTCGGACATCTCTTTCTCTTTGGCAAGGAGCTGCTCTCTTCCCTCCTTTCTCCTGTCTATTAAACTTTCCACTCTTTAACCCACCCACATGTGTCCATGTCCTGAATTCTTTCTCAGTGCTTGACAATGAACCCCAGGGTATGTACCCCAGACAGTGTAGCAGTTTCACTCCCTTGCTCAAAAACCTTTAAGTACTCCTATTCCCCACAGATCAGGTTCCATATTCTATGCCTGATGTCCAAAGCCCTACAACCTCAGTCTTTCTGTATTGGTTTATTATCATTCACTATTGCTTTGATGCAGTTAAATTGTGCTGCATTTGACTTAACTGAAATTGATTTACTTCCCTGCCCTTTCCTGCCAGAAACTCTCAATTCCCACTGTTCCTCCTGCCTGAAAAATCCTTTGCTTTCTAATTGAGTCCACCCATCTGCAGTTTGAAATCCTATTTCCTCTGTAAGCGTCCCTGCTCCCCCTAACCTGAAATGAACTCTACCTTATTTTGTGTCTCAGGGGCTATGAACGGGTGGTTGGCAGATGCGTTTTGTTTGGGCAACCAGTTTTTAGAAAGAAATTGAATGTGAATGTCTTTGGATGGGGCAAATGCTTTCGATTTGCGAGCCTCCCTACACTCCTGATGTTCTTAAACCCAGCTGTCTTCACAAACTTATTTTAGGGTTTGCAAACCCTGTGTGTACGGCTAATTGGTGAGCTCTTCTCTCTTCTATTGCTACCTTATTTATCCTTTTGACATTATAATTTCCAGGCTGCTGGCCTTCAGAGAATTGACTGACACTGTAGATTTGTCTTTCTCTCTCTTTAGCTCTTTATCAAGTAATAAGTGATTCCAAAACAAAATATTTGCTGTACCAGGGGAATTATTACTTGAAGAAACTATAGCATTTTTGTAATGCTAATATTCCATAATAAGTCTGCATTATGAAATCAGATTTTCTGAAAACTGGCTTATTCTTAAGTGGCTTCCCACAAGAAAGACTCTAAGAGATCATAAATCCCTGCTTTTCTGTTTTCTAGCTTTGTGGCTTCTGCAAACCATAGGACCTTTCTGGGCCTCAGTTTCTGCCTTTGTACAACTGGGAGGATAATAACTCCTTTGTAGGGTTTTCAAGTGGTGACTGATATGCACCAGAAACTCAATAGACTGGAGCCATTAATATTTTCATGAGGTAAACCTTATTTACTTAGTGCCTCAAGTTGCTGGGTTCCTAGTGTTAAGACTGGTCCATAACGGAGGCCCTGGGGGTCTCTTTAGTGTGTGGCTCAGAGCAGGTACATTCTCATCCTCATCCTCATCCTCATTCTGTGTCTGGAGTTGATTTCTTCTGGTGGATTCATGGTCTTGCTGAATTCAAGAATGAAGCCACAGACCTTTGCCGTGAGTGTTACAGCTTTTAAAAGTGGCACGGATCCAAAGAGTGAGCAGCAGCAAAATTTATTGTAAAGAGTGAAAGAACAAAGCTTCCACAGCATGGAAGGGGATCTGAGTGGGTTGCTGCTGCTGGCTGGGGTGGCCAGCTTTTATTCCCTTATTTGTCCCCTCCCATGTTCTGTTTCTGTCCTATCAGAGTGCCCTTTTCTCAATCCTCCCTGCGATTGGCTACTTTTAGACTCCTGCTGATTGGTGCACTTTACAGAGTGCTGATTGGTGCGTTCTACAATCCTCTTGCTAGCTACAGAGCACTGATTGGTGCGTTTTACAATCCTCTTGCTAGCTACAGAGTGCTGATTGGTGCATTTTACAATCCTCTTGCTAGCTACAGAGTGTTGATTTGTGCATTTTACAATCGAAGCTACAGAGTGCTGATTGGTATATTTTACAATCCTCTTGTAAGACAGAAAAGTTTTCCAAGTCCCCACTCGACCCAGGAAGTCTAGCTGGCTTCACCTCTCAATTCCACAGATAAAGACACTGAGGCACACCCAAGGTTGTGGGTGTGAGGGTCCTGGCTGGAGCAAGGATGAGAGCTCATGTGTGTGACACAGACTCTCTTCCACACGCTGGGCTAAGCCCCAGATCTCACACAATCCTCACTGCAACCCACTGAGGCAGGCACTGTCATCATCCCTGAGACAAAGAGTGGTTAAACAACTTGTCCCGGTCACACAGCTAGGAAATGACAGGGCCAGAATATGACAGCAGGGAGTCTGGCAGCAGAGCCCAGGTGCTCCTCCACTCTGATGGCTGCAGTGGTACTGCTGGTGGTCTCCAGGGCGCATGCCTTAAGAATACCTGGAGGACCCTCTAGAGGGTCTGCCACCTTTCACCCCTGTTGCCTGCTGCCCTATCAATCATGATGAGAGGAAAAGAGTGCCTTTACAGCAGAATTGAGGATCACAGTTCAGGGCTTCCCACATTCCCATCTGTAGACTGGTATCAATTCAGAAAGTTTTACCAGTCTGTGCTGAAATAAAGAAAAATTAAGATGAATTAAGATGATGTAGGGAAGTGTTCATAAACATAAACTGATTCAATATTTAAATATCAATTTTTTTTAGACAGTCTTGCTCTGTTGCCCAGGCTGGAGTGCAGTGGTGTGATCTCAGCTCACTGCAACTTCCGCCTTCCTCAGGCTCAAGTATCCTCCAACCTCAGCCTCCTGAGTGGCTGGAACTACAGGCACATGCCACCACACCCAAGTAATTTTTGCTTTTTTTTTTTTTTCTTTGGTGGAGACAGGGTTTTGCCATGTTGCCCAGTCTGGTCTCAAACTCCTGGGTTCAAGTGGTCCTCCCACCTCAGCCTCTCAAGGTGCTGAGATTACAGGTGTGAACCACCAGACCCAGCCTTAAATATCAAATATTAAATATCAATACTTAAAACAATATGTAAAGCTTTTTTCTCACATTATAACTTCATGATTTTGTGTATGAATTGTGAAAATACCTTTTCTGTTAAAAATGATTGTGATAATAGTGGGTTTTTTGTTTTATATTCTTACTTGACAAAATAAAAAGTTGGCAAACTCACATTTTTTTCGACTTGAATGAAATTCATAAAATTTGTGAATCTAGAAACATTGCTTTAGGCTGTTGCTGCATGGAATGATGTCATATCTGCATGCTTACTCATTGTAACATGAGAATGTGTCTTGTCTCCTGGGCATCAGGATTCAGTTTTTCCCTCGTTTCATATCCAGTGACTTAGAGCTATCTGTTCAGTAAATCCTTGCTGGCTGATTCTTCTAAGGGCCACACAAAACCTGTGTCCCAGCCCAGGTTCCTAATAGTGTATCTCTGTCCTTCTGTGAAAGATCTCTCACATTCTGACTATAGTTGAGTGACAAACAAGTCATCCTCAAACCAAAACCGTTGGCAAAACAAACATCTCAGACCACTGCTCTTTCCTTGAAAGGTTTTCAGAGCTGCTTCTCAAATCAAGGCCCCGAGGTTGAAGTTTCAGCTGCATTTACAAGCAGCCTCTGTAGTGAAACAGATCACTACTCACTGGCTTATAACAACAGCAATAATGGGAGTGATAATAATGTGACAACACATTAGAGACGTTTTACTTAGTGGATCCTTCCAAACTGTGAAACTAAAACGTATTTTTCTAACTTTAAGACTTTTCTAAACTTAGCTGCTTTGACTTGAGAGAGAGAGAAAAAAAAAAAAGCCCCTGACTCCAAATCCCTGCATAACAGGGATGCTTTTTGCATTTTATTATCATTTCTACCCACCCAAGATCCTGTATCTTCTCATTCAAGTAAGCCTCAGCTCAAAGCTATTATTATATTTTATTTAAGAATGAATTGGCATTCTCTGGTTCATCTCTCTCATATAAAAGAAATCAACCCACTAGGAGTGTGCTGGAGCTGGCTCAGATTGGCTTGTGAGAACAAATGATTAAATTGTTAGAAATTTTGTGAACTGGTTGGGAACTAAGCCATTCTTGAAAAACAAAATTATAAAAACTTATAATTAAATAAGCTTTATGAAAAGCAAAGGTAATGAATACTCAAAGCACCACTTTCTTTCTTTTTTTTTTTTTTTTAAACTTTTAAGTCCAGGAGTACACGTGCAGATTTGTTACATAGGTAAACTCATGTCACGGGGGTTTGTTGTACAGATTATTTCACCACCGAGATATTAAGTCTAGTACCCATTAGTTATTTTTCCTGATCTTCTCCCTCCTCCCACCCTCCGCCCTCCAATAGGTCTCAATGTGTGTTGTTCCCCTCTATGTGTCCATGTGTTCTCATTACTCAGCTCCCACTTAGGATTAAGAATATGTGGTATTTAGTTTTCTGTTCCTGTGTCAGTTTGCTAAGGATAATGGCTTCCAGCTCCATCCATGTCCTTGCAAAGGACATGATCTTATTCTTTTTTATGGCTGCATAGTATTCCATGATGTATATGTACCACATTTTCTTTATCTAGTCTACCATTGATGGGCATTTTTGTTGATTCCATGTCTTTGCTACTGTGAATACTGCTGCAATGAACATACGCATGCATATGTCTTTATGATAGAATGATTTATATTCCTTTGGGTGTATACCCAGTAATGAGATTGCTGGGTAAAATGGTATTTCTGTTTTTAGATCTTTGAGGAATCACCACACTTTCTTCCACAGTGGTTGAACTAATTTACACTCCTACTAACAGTGTATAAACCTTCCTTTTTCTCTGTAACCTCACCAGCATCAGTTATTTTTTAACTTTTTAATAATAGCCATTCTGACTGGTGTGAGATGGTATCTCATTGTGGTTTTGATTCGCATTTCTCTAATGATCAATGATGTTAAGTTTTTTTTTCATATGCTTATTGGCCACATACATGCCTTCTTTTGAAAAATGTCTGTTCATGTCCTTTGCCCCCTTTTTAATGTTTTTTTTTCTTTTAAATTTGTTAACATTTCTTAGAGATGCTGGTTACTAGACCTTTGTCAGATGTGTAGTTTACAAATATTTTCTTCCATTCTGTAGGTTGTCTCTTTACTCTGTTGATAGTTTCTTTTGCTCTGCAGAAGCTCTTTAGTTTAATCAGATACTATTTGTCAATTTTTGCTTTTGTTGGAATTGCTTCTGGCATCTTCGTGATGAAATCTTTGCCTGTTTCTTTGTCCAGAATGTTATTGCCTAGGTTATCTTCCAGGGATTTTTTTTTTTTAAGTTTTGGGTTTTACTTTTGAGTCTTTAATTCATCTTGAGTTTATTTTTGTACATGCAAAACAGCACTTCCTAATGATTTTTACTACATATTACTATTATCTATGTTGTTGAGGTTATTTATATTTGCCTTTTCATAGGATGGAAATCCTATGTGATGATGGGCTCTGTGCATCTCTTCCCAACTCTGTGTTCCATGATGTCACGTTGGTAGCTTGAAATCAGCCACGGTACAAGTATTTACATCATGGAAATCAACAAATGCTGCAAATCATGACACATTTTCCTCAGACCTGGTTCTTATGTGCTTACCAGGACACCACTGCCTCCCATTCTCTTCTTTCTACTAGGTAGACCCAGAACCCAGCCCATCAATGACACTTCTCTTTCAGAGATAAGGAAATTGATGTTCTATGAAGTTAAATCTCATAGCGGGGAAACTGGCCAACCCAAGGCTTCAAAAATCTAACTAGTGCTCTTTTTTTGCTAGTGAATGAGGACACCTCTGACCCTGAAAAGTATCTTGAATTTTAGGGTGAATTTTCCAGCTTCATAATGGCCCTGGAGAAAGTTCTGTTCTGAGGTCTGCCAGGAGATCAGAGATCTCAATTCCTGAAACAGAAATCCTTAACATAAAAAAATTCTTTTATGGCCTCAGCTGAAAGTCCCAAATTGTTGTCTCACCAGAAACCTGAAGTATTTTAGTGAGGTTTGTGTGTGCATCGTAATTTGGGGGATGGATGGGAAGGGGAGGGGGGACACAAAGGAAGAGAATCACCAGGAATCTGATAAGGGGAAGCTCTGTTATTCAACCTTCCAGGCCTGTTGCCTCCTCCTAAATTTACTGCCTCTACTCCCACACACCACTTACAAATGCATGGCACACATGATGAAGGTGGAAACATAAAATCTATGGAACATAAAAATTCAGTTGTAAACAATTGAAACTGTAGGCCTTCCAAGTAAGACTTCAGTCCATATCCATTTGCAAGATATTATCTCTGTGACATTTGAAATATTGTATTTATAAGGTAGAACCAATCTAAGCACATTTATATTAAAGCAGAGGAATTTTTACAGGCTTCCCCACGAATAATGATTATAATTTCCTAAATGGAATGAAGAATTCAGCATCAGCTTCCACTTTGGAAATCATTTGTGTTAACTATATAAACTTTCAGAGATCAGCTGCTATCTTTTAAAATCTCCTATAGAGCAGTATTTTAATATACTTAATTTTATTCCTATAAAATTTCTAAAAGGAATGTAAAGGTTCATAATAAATTAATGTCTTTTTTTTTCTGTTTTGAGACAGAGTCTCGCTGTATCTCCCAGCTGGAGTGCAGTGGCACAATCCCAGCTCACTGCAACCTCCGCTTCCCAGGTTCAAGCGATTCTCCTGCCCAGCCTCCCGAGTAGCTAGGACTACAGGTGCTCACCACCATGCCCGGCTAATTTTTTTGTATTTTTAGTAGAGATGGGGTTTCACCATGTTGATCAGGCTGGTCTTGAATTCCTGGCCTCAAATGATCCACCTGCCTCGGCCTCCCAAAGTGTTGGCATTACAGGTGTGAGCCACTGTGCCCAGCTCAATAAATTAATGTCTTATCTCATTTTTTTCAGGATATTATTTGCATGGCCCAGCTACTGCCCTCAAAACACTAGTGTTTTCTCTCTTCCTCCCTATTGGCTGAACATGCTCAGTGTCTCCCTAGGCATTACCACTGTGGTTCCAGAATGGTATTTCTGACTCAACACAGATTCTATTTCACACCCAACCTTCTGTCACCTAAAGTTTATCTTCTTTTCTATCTTAGGACCTCAGTCAGGCACACTGTAAATGTTTCCCTTGACAACCACAACATACGGTGTTAATTACAGAGTGTCTAGATGCAATGTTACACTAAATAAAAAAGGGTAGAGAGGCCAGGCACGGTGGCTCATGCCTGTAATCCCAGCACTTTGGGAGGCTGAGGCAGGTGGATCGTGAAGTCAAGAGATCGAGACCATCCTGGCCAACATGGTGAAACCCTGCCTCTACTAAAAATACAAAAATTAGCTGGGCGTGGTGGTGCATGCCTGTAGTCTCAGCTACTCGGGAAGCTGAGGCAGGAGAATCGCTTGAACCAGGGAGGTAGAGGTTGCAGTGAGCTGAGATTGCACCACTGCACTCCAGCCTGGCAACAGAGCGAGACTCCTTCTTAAAAAAAAAAAAAAAAAAAAGGGTAGAGAATGTTCTTCATACCAAGCCATAGACTTGGGTATTCAACTTGCAATGATCCTCTGAATTTTTAAAGTATGAATGATGCTTTCTGATACACAAATAAAGGATTGGGAATAGACAATAAAGAGAAAATGAGAGCAAGCAGGACTTCAGTGGTCCTCTCGAGAGCTGGAAGGTGGTTTAGAAGTTCACATGACTGTCCACTAGATTATCATTACATCCAAACAGGATACTGGGCATTGTAGCGAGCTTACATTGTTTAGTTTAGCACAGATCTTGCAATGAAGAAAAGAGAAGCTCTATGTAGGTTGTCTAGACATATTTTATTATATATTATTGTGCTCATATATCATGTAGAACATACAGAGTCCAGGCATGTCCTAGCTCCATCGAAAGCCACTCTCTAATTCCTTCACTACATTTGGTGAGGAGGATTTGTGATGCAACTTGGACTTCTCACCCTTTGCTTGAAAAGCCCATGGTAACTCAGCTGCACTGGTAGGTCCCCAAGGGCTTCATTCTTTAAATCCCTTTCGAGTATGTGCAGGAGACATTCCTGCAGCCTACTTAGGAAACTATTTCTTGAGGTACAGTCATCACATTTCTGAAAAATTATGGTGGCAGCTGATCCAAAATCTTGGCCTTGAACTCCAGCCAATGTTTTCTTGACTCCAAAGTGTCCTGCCAAAACAAAGTAATTGCACAGCTGACAGAACCTCTCTTGTTACCTCTTAGGAATGCCATAATTTACAGCATGCAATGCCAATGGGGGTCTCCCAGTGAACATACAGCTACTCGGGGTGCATTTCAGCGAATCATCGCAGGGCTAACTGACCTTCTCATATTCACTTTCTGTGGAAAACATGGAATTCCTTATTTGAGGAGAATGAACACCACCAACAAGGAGCTCTGTTTTTATTGTAACCATGTGCTCCTTTCCCCCTGCACTCCCCATCCGGGTACCTACTAGTTTCCTGACTTTACAGCTTGGTGCCGCTTCCTAAGACCTCCAATTCTCCTCCCAGGTACTGGTCCCAGACTTGAAGTAGCCATGATGAAAGCTGTCACCATAGAGATTTGTTAAAGGAAAGACATCATATTTGGCTTTTAAAAATGGCAAACTTCTTCCTTCTAAAAGGAGGAACTGCTTCATTTTTGAAAGAACACTCAGAGCTTGACTGTTCTCTTTAAGGCAAGGTAGGTTCTGGGCTAGGGGTCTCCCAGACTATAGAGTCTAGAATCCATTAGTCTTGGAATGGGGCATGCAGGGAGAGTAGAAGATGTATTTGTAGCCTTTGTGAACCTAGGTGAGTAGAGGAGTAGCCGAAGACCTGTAGGTGACTAAATGCTGCTAAGGCTTGAGGACCCCAAGATTCTCCAGGATCTGTCATTGGAGTCAAGTTACTTAACCTCCTCTTTCTGATAAGGAGAAATGTATGCAGAGAAGCACTGAAGTAAATTTATCTTGTTATTCCTCAGGACCAGCCAATGGGAAGAAAGATCTGGGACTGGTTCTGATGGGGAGGCTGAGAGTCACCCAGGATCACCCAAGAGAGATACTTAGTCGTGGCAAATTTTCCATGAAGCATTTATTCTCTGTTCCTGCAAGGCCGTTAAAGCCCAAGTATTGATTTATGCAAACTGGTCACCTCCCCACTCACTTAGTACCTGGAACAATGGCCCTTTGGCTCCTGCTCTTACTATGCTGGTGTTCATTTAGTTCCTTCTGCATTTCAGACCCCTGGAGCTTTCCCTTAATTTTTTTGTGAGCTCAGCTATGCATTTAAAAGAATGTTCGTTATATTCATCTAGTATTTCTAGCTGTTCTGTAGTGAGCAGTTTCCAGGTAATCATGTCCTCCATGCTGCCAGAGATGAAATTTTTGTGATCTGACGTAATCTGAACAAGATCCACAGCGGATGCCCTTTCTTCATTAGTAGGAAGTGTCAGGTGTTGCCACAGTCCTGCATCAGGGTGTGTGAGTGCAGTGAGTTTTTGCATAGGGTGGTCTGAGGTACTCTTGGGAGGAGCTGTCTGATGGGGGCAGTAGGTGACGTTTTGCTGCAGGGCTCCTGGGTCTGCTGCCGGGATCACCTATCTGAGTCCTGAAACCTCTGTTGGTCACACTTCCCACCTGGGCTCTGATTCATGCCAAGAGTCCACGCTATTGATCTCCATTTCTGAGGCTCAGACCCACTGACTCACCTTGTATTCAGTTCATTGCTGTCATGCGGTTTCTCACTGCCTGATTGTTTTGAACTGTCGCCTTGCTCCAACCTGAAGAACCATGCATATCCATCTTTAGACCCAGGTTTCCCCCTGCCCCAGGTCCAATCCACTCTTGTGTTTTAGCTCCTGGAGTGTAACACTTTCTCTTATTTATCTCCCCAAAATGGACAGGACAAATCATATGAAGATCCTGCCATGAAAGTTCAGGTAGTATATATTCTAAGGAGGAGAGAGTAAGTCTGTGTTGTCAAAAGATGTGGATCTGCCAAGATATTCAGAATTGAGGAGACTTGAAATTAGCAGAAAGGAGGACTTGTACAACTCATTCAGTCGCTCTGATACCCTGAGATTATCACTTTAGCTCTATCTTCAGTAACACACTGAAGCCCCTGTAGCTCTTAAGCTACTGGGAGAGAGAACCTTGACCCCTTAAAACTTTGTATTCCTTCTCCCACCCATTTTTCTGTTGTTTGTGAGGAAGTCCCCCACCCTTTCTCTCTTGATGTGAATTGTCAACAAAAGCATTGGCATTGCTTTTCTTTCTCTCTCTCTCTGCTATATTATGGTAATAGATACATAACATAAAATTTACCATCTTAACCATTTTTCACTGTACAGTTTAGTAGTGTCAAGTATATTTGCATTGTTGTGAAACAAATCTCCAGAATTTTTTGTTTTGCAAATCTGGAATTCTATACCCATTCAACAAATCTCCTTTTTCTTCTCCATCTAGCCCCTGGTAACCACTATTCTACTTTCTGTTTCTATGAATTTGACTGCTTTAGATACTTCATATAAGTGGAATCATAACATGTTTGTCCTTTTGTGTCTGGCTTATTTCATTTAGTATAATGTCCTTAGGATTTATCCATGTTGCAGCATGCAAAAGTATATCCTTCCTTTTTAAGGCTGAATAATATTCCACTGTATGTATATACCACATTTTGTTTATTGATTTATCTGTCAATAGATACTTGGGTTGCTTTCACCTCGGTTATTGTGGATAGTGCTGCTATGAACATAGGCGTGCAAACAATTCTTGGATACCCTACTTTTAATTCTTTTTGATATCTATCCAGAAATGGGAGTCCTAGGTCATATGATAGTTGTATTTTTAATGTTTTCAGGAAGCTTTGTACTGTTTTCCATAGCACTTGCACCATTTTATGATCTTACTGATAGCACACAAGGGTTCCAATTTCTTCACATCCTTGCCAACACTTATTATTTTCTGTTATTATTATTATTTTGTTAGTAGCCATCGTAATGGGTATCAGATGGCAATGTCTTTCTTATACTTCTTTATAAGATTCCTGGAATTATGGATGTTTTGAAAATATTTGATCAGTTAACTTTAGATCACTTAGTTCAACTTTCAAACGCAGATGGAGATTCAAATGATCTTCAAAATGCAAAGCAGTTTTGACAAATTAAGCATTTCCTGATCAAGATTGGAAAACATCCAGAACATTCATGTTTGGTTTTCATCCAAAATTGTCACTTGGTTAACATTCACCACCAAATTCCACCTGATTTCATTACATAAACTTTATAGAGCTCTCCTTACAAGTCTTCTGTGTATTTTGCTAATTATGGAAAGACCATTTCATTTTGGCTTCTGCTTTTCTTCTGTGAGCTCATCATAGGGTCATTGTGTCACAGCTTTTATACTCTTGGATTAGACTAGAGCTACATGAGTCTACTCCCTCCTCATCCTAATTTTGGTCTTTCCTTAAGCTGAAACAGCTGGCTTCTTTTTGAGGTCACAAATGTTACTTTGGCTACCTTTAAGGAATTACCACAAACAACATATTGTTTTCACCCCAAATTACTTTTTTGTTCATCAGATTTTATTTGCAGTTGATATTGAATCAGAACCTGCAGTATTTAGCTTAGCAACCTTGTGCTTCTGTCAACATCATACCATTCCCAAGGAGGGAAAGAGAGACACACCATTGAATATCTCATATTGCCTTTCTATCCAGAGTGACTCTCCTCTAATACATGGCACTAAAATTTTAAAAATCATACTTCTTATATTTCCTTTTATTTCATGATCTCAAGTTAAAGCCCTGCATGCATTCAACACAGCAAAGTACATAGCAAGGAGAGAATGTATGACTCATAATTAGTGAATATTTTATTTTGTTGGGAGATAGCCCAAAGGCAACATGGTGTGCCAATGTATGCTTGACCAAACACAATTAAACATTTTAGTCCAACACAGCTGAATATTTCTGACCTTGCAGCTCATTGGCTGCTGGTGCTTTGTGAATAAATTGGTATGAGATCATCATATGGTTGGCTGTGTCCCCATCCAACTCTCAACTTGAATTTTATCTCCCAGAATTCCCACATATTGTGGGAGGAACCCAGGGGGACGTAATTGAATCATGGGGGCCGTTCTCCGTGCTATTCTCATGATCCTGAATAAGTCTCACAAGATCTGATGGGTTTATCAGGGGTTTCTGCTTTTGCTTCTTCCTCATTTTCTCTTGCTACCACCATGTAAGAAGTGCCTTTCACCTCCCTCTACGATTTTGAGGCCTCCCCAGCCATGTGGAACTCTAAGTCCAATTAAACCTCTTTTTCTTCCCAGCCCTGGGTATATCTTTATCAGCTGCATGAAAACAGACTAATGGAGTAAATTGGTACCAGTGGAGTGGGGCATTGCTGAAAAGATAACCAAAAATGTGGAAGCAACTTTGGAACTGGGTAACAGGTAGAGATTGGAACAGTTAGAATGGCTTAGAAGAAGACATGAAAATGTGGGAAAGTTTGGAACTTCCTAGAGACTTGTTGAATGGCTTTGCCCAAAATGCTGATAGCAATATGGACAATAAAATCCAGGCTGAGGTGGTCTCAGATGGAGACAAAGAACTTGTTGGGAACTGGAGCAAAGGTGACTCTTGTTATGTTTTAGCAAAGAGACTGGTGGCATTTTGCCCCTGCCATACAGATTTGTGGAACTTTGAACTTGAGAGAGATGATTTGGGGTATCTGGTGGAAAAAAATTTCTAAGCAGCAAAGCATTTAAGAGGTGACTTGGGTGCTGTTAAAGCCATTCAGTTTTATAAGGGAAGCAGAGCATAAAAGTTTGGAAAATTTGCAGCCTAACTATGCGATAGAAAAGAAAAAACCCATTTTCTGGGGAGAAATTCAAGCCTGCTGCAGAAATTTGCATAAGTAGCAAGGAGCCTAATGTTAATCCCCAAGACTATGGGGAAAATATCTCCAGGCCATGTCATAGACCTTCATGGCAGTGCCCCCAACACAGGCCCAGAGGCCTAGGAGGAAAAAGTGGTTTTGTGGGCCAGGCCCAGTGTCTTTGTGCTGTGTGCAGCCTAGGGACTTGGTGCCCTGTGTCCCAGCTGCTCCAGCTGTGGCTGAAAGGGGCCAATGTACAGCTCAGGCTGTGACTTCAGAGGGTGCAAGCCCAAGCCTTGGCAGCTTCCATGTGGTGTTGGGCCTGCAAATGCACAGAAGTCAAGAATTGAGGTTTGGAACCTCTGTCTAGATTTCAGAAGTTATGTGGAAATGCCTGAATGCCCAGGCAAAAGTTTGCTGCAGGGGCAGGGCCCTCATGAAGAACCTCTGCTAGGGCAGTGCGGAAGGGAAATGTGGTGTTGGGGCTCCTTCAGAAAGTCACTGGGGCACTGCCTAGTGGAGCTTTGAGAAGAGGGCCACCATCCTCCAGACCCTGGAATGGTAGATAAACTGACAGCTTGCACCATGTGCCTGGGAAAGCTGCAGACAATGCCAGCCCGTGAAAGCAGCCAGGAGGGAGGCTGTACCCCGCAAAGCCACAGGCTCACACTTGACAATGCTTTGCAAAAACACCTTCACTATAATGATGGGACAAAATAAGGGCACTTTGGTAACAGTTTAGTGAGGGACTGATATGGAAAGAAAATGTTTCCTTCATTACTACAACCATGGTGAGCACAAACCAGAAATCTTTAAACAAAATTCAATGACAATAAGAAAGAAGGAAGGAAACTGGGCTTTTGGAGATGTGGATGATCCATCTGGAGCCACCATTTTCAAGGACAACTTGTTAAGTGACATCACTGTTATTGAAACCAGTTGAGTGGGTGATTCTATTATTTGCAGCAAAAAAAAAAAAAAAAAAATTCAAAACCATGCAGCCCATGTGTGGAGTTTAGCCTTTAACAAAAAATGGAGAGCTGCTAAAGTGTTTTAGAAAAAGTATAACATGGTCAGATGTGGGTTAAAAAATCATGCTCCAGGGTGTGGAGATTGGGTTGCAGGGATTTAAGGACTGGACGGAGGAGTAGGGAGAAATTTATTAAAGAGGACCAGGTATGAAGGGGCAGATTATGAGGTAGATCTTGGATGTGTTAAGTGTAAGCTGCTTTTAAGTTTTATTAGTGGAGAGGACAAGAAGTCAGTGAAATATATGGGTCTAGAACTTAGAAGTGAAATCTAGGCTGGAGAGAGATTATGTGTCATGAGAGAGACAGAGAGAGAGAGAGAGAGTTATTGAAGTCATGGATGTGGGTAGATGGGCCTGTGGTTAATCCTTGAGGAGCTTTCCCGCTTAATGGCAGGGTAGAAGAAAGTGTGTCTCCAAAGGAAACAGAATGAAAGGCAATGTAGAGAATCTGAACACACATAGACCTAAAGCAAGTCCATGCATTTCCACTTTAGAACCCATGGGAGAGAGAACTGGACTTGATTTCTCAGCATTCTCCTAATTCTGAGATCCTTGCTTCTAAGATAATTCTAATTGCTCCATATTGTGATATCAATAATAAAACCATTGAATAGTTTTTTGACTCATGCCAATCGCAAATAATCCCTTTTGCCTTTGAACTCATATTGCATATTATCTACATTCGTCTTATGGCATATTCTACCTTGTAATGTGCTGATGGGCAAATATGTCTCATTTATCCTACTAGGTTAGGTGTTCTTAGAGGCCAGGAATTATGTCTTATTTATTTCTCTACTTCTCTTCCCGGACTACTCTCCTTAATTGGCAAAGTGTTTTTGTATACTGTTGGAAATCAATACATTCTTTGGTGAATGAGTGCTTGATAAGTAAGTAAAAATACTTAATGAAATGGCTAAAAACTTTCTTTTGTTGAATTCTTTTTTTTTTTTTTTTGAGACAGAGTCTTGCTGTGTCACCCAGGCTGGAGTGCAATGGCAAAACCTTGCCTCACTGCAACCTCACAGGCAGAGGAATTCTCCCTGGGTCAGCCTCCCGAGTAGCTGGGATTACAGGCGCCTGCCACCACACCCAGCTAATTTTTGTATTTTTAGTAGGGATGGGATTTCGCCATGTTGGCCAAGCTGGTCTGAAATCCTGACCTTAGGTGATCCACCCACCTTGGCCTCCCAAAGTGCTGGGATTACAGGTGTGAGCCACTGTGCCTGGCCTTTTGTTGAATTCTTGAATGTGAACTAGAACATCTGATTGAACTCCAAGGTAAATAAAAAGCCTACCCTGAAGAGATCTAAAGGTCACAGAACATGCCTCTGAAGTCCTCCACCTGGTGAATGTCCAGCTGTCTGTTTCAGGTTGTAAGGTTACTACCAATCACTAACTTCCAGATTTCTGATTAAATCTAATGATTAAAGCACACAGAAGACAAAATAGTCCTTATTTAAATCAGGCATTCTTATGTCTCCCAGAGTTGATCATTTTCCTATCTCCTGTAGCACAGATGTCCCTGGTTGACAATGGTTTGACTTAATGATTTTTTAAGAATGAGACACATTCAGTAGAAACTGTATTTTGAGTACCCATACAGCCATTCGGTTTTTCACTTTCATACAGTGTTCAATTAATCACATGAGATAGTCAACATTTTATTATAAAATAGCCTTTACATTAGATGATTTTGTCCAACTGTAGGTTAATGTAATTGTTCTGAGAGTGTTTAAAGTAGGCTAGGCTAAACTATGATTAGGATAAATATATTAAATGCACATTCATCTTCTGATACTTTCAATTTATGATGGGCTTATTGGGAATTGAGGAGCGTCTGTACTCCCAGATTGCATTCTTCTTTGGCTGAGGAATAAAGCAATGTTGCAGTTGGCCAAAGCAGGCTCCAAAAATGAATTTGACATCACAGATTCGTATAATCTTTAAGATAGCAAATATTATGAGCTTGGTCTTACTATAGTCCAGTTTTGTGACTGTTTTTAACTGATATCCATCCAAAACAACACATTCAACATTCAGCTAAATTAATTACAAAATCAAGGAGTTGGCAAATAATTGGTCCACTATTCCTTTGGGCCAAATGAATAAAGTACCAAGTGGAAGATAAAGCTTAAATTTATTGAAATCTTCTATTTGCTGGACTTTTTAACATAGCTATTTTTTTGATAAGAGAAATAAAGATATACGTACACATGTTTTTTGGTTTTACCTATATATCTCTAAGTAATTAGAATTTGAATGTTATTTGACTATTTATAGTCATTAATTTAAGATTATAAAAAAATTAAATTAAATGATTTCAAATCCCAGATTTTTAAGAAATCTAGATTGGCTCTTCTATTTTTACATATCCAACAGTCCCTCAAAATTCCCTCTTTCTTAAGCCAGCAACCATTAAGTTACTCTTAAACCCACACTAAGTACTATTTAACACAGGGGACAGACAGCCAGATAGGTCTGGTTTTTAGTATCAGTAGTGTCTTTGTTGTGGAAAGATGTCAGTTCCCAAATTCTCACTACACTATACAGACCTGTGTACCTCAGGCAACTTTATAGCTCAAACCCCATTCCTTGGGGACTTATAGCAACTTGTAAATCCATGAGGAATTTTTCAGCAAAGTTCTATTTCTTAGTTTATTCATGGATTAGGCTTGTAAGAGTAGATTCATTCTAAGGCTCTAATGAGCAGGGTTTTTTTTTTTTCACACTGGAAAGAACACTTGCGTCTCTTTTTCCAGCATTCAGCTTATGATGGTTTTAGAATTTATGTTCTCAGTTATATCCCCCATTGACTTTGAAATCTTAGAAAATACTCACCATGGTTCTTTCCAGAATCCAGCACCATTCAAAGCTTTTCTTTATATTGCATTAGAAAACGGAGACCTCAAAATGATTTCGCATGAGTTTGTTGCTATGCTTTACCTCTAAGATCATTGGTTCTGCTCTTCCAACTATCCAGAGGTCAAGACAGCAGTTGAATAACTGAGCAATGTCTATTATTAGGGGTGGTGAAGATAAGAGAATTTTCATGCTAAGTTTCTCATATTAGGCTTTTTAAAGATTTTTTTTATTTTAAAAAAACTAATAGATGCCTTCAGAATAATGTCCATAAGAACAAGCTGGGATGTGCTGAAGGCCCCATTGCCCACTTGGCTGAATATGCCAGCATCATGTCTCTGGCTGGTCTGGTCATTTCATTTCATTGACTTCTATGGGGCTATCAGTTTTTGGGCTCTTTTTACTGTATACTCAAAGTTGATTTTTTCTTGTCTTCAATACTTGCTAATTTCTATTCCACTATTTCCGAGCTTCATTCCTTTCTCTTTCACCTCAGTTCAAATGAATTTCAAGGATATCTCCTTTTTGGACCACGGGACATAAACTCTCTTAGCTGAAAGGTCTCTTAGACTTCCCCAAGTACAATGTTCTCATTTTACAGATGAGAAAATGTAGGCACAGAGAAGGGAAGGGAATTGTCTTAGTTCCTAGGTCTTTGGAGTATGGATTCCATCACCTGCAAAAAGGGGCAATACAATCTGAAGCAGGGATCAGAAAAAAGGCACATGTCTGATCACTTTTTCCCATCACTGGATGAGTTTTCTATTTTATGTAACAAATCATCACAAACATAGCCTGCAAAAACAACATATGTTTACTATCCCACAATTTCTGTGGGTCAGCAGTCTGATCAAGGCTTAGGTGGAGTCTCTGAATTCAGGCTGCAATAATCAAAGTATCAGCCAGGCTGTGTCCTCATCTGGAGGCCTGACTGGAGAAGTTTACACTTCCAAGTTCCTTCAGGTTGTGGCAGCATTTATTTCCTTGTGGCTGTAAAACTGCAAGCCGCAGTTTCCTTCTGGCCACAGACCAGAGGCTGTTTTCAGCTCCTAGAGGTATCCTCACCTGCTTGCCATCTGTACCTCCTAATGTTCCCACTTCTTCAAAGCCTGCAAGAGTGAAACTCTCTATCTAGCAAGATGGAGTCTTATATATCTTAATATAATCATGGGGAAAACATTGCATCACCTTTGCCATATTTTATCAGTTAGAAGCAAGTTACAAGTAGCACCCAAACTCAAGGAGAAGAGATTATATGGGAACATAAATACTAGAACATGAGGATCTTAGGATCTCTGCACCATGACCCCAAACCAGTGATTTACTTGGGCTAACAGGAATAAATTTCAGGCAAACAGAATTTTCACTGTGAATTACTGTTAATTTGCAAATAAGTTTCTAGTCATGTTTCTCAGGGCTCTATCCTCTATGTCATTAATTAATTTTCTCCGTTTTATCAGTGACTCCATGAAGATACAAAAGACAAGTTTTTCAAATTTATGGATGAATCAGAAAGTTAGCAAATAATTTGGATGACACAATTAGGTTCCAATTTTTATTTCCTTGCTAATGTAATGGGGATGCTATTTTTGATGTTTATTAAAATGATTTTTGCATTTGAACTTCCCTGTATGTAACCTTCTTTTCAGCTAGAGGCATCCATTTGCTTTGGGGGAAACTGGAATTATAGCAGTAGAAATGCAAAGAAAAGGCAAAGCCCAGCTTTTAAATTTCAAAATAGAAGTTTTGAGCTCACAGACAGTATTTTGAAAGACAAACTATGGTGAGAAAGGATAGATTTTCTCAACTTTAGCTCTCACCAACATTTTTGATCATTGAGTTTCAATTTAAGTAACAGGGAAGAGGGAATTTAGGTATGATGTCACAGAAGCCTCTGCCATTAAGGAATGAAGGCAAGTTTACCCCTTGGGAACCCAGTGGACTGTGGGAAGAAATAAATGAGATAGAGAGGGTATGGGGGTCAGATGCTAGGGACCTCAGAAACCTTATTCAAGGTCAAAAGTCCAAGGGCTACAGAAATATCCAGATAGGTATATGGAAACCATCATACTGGGGATGATTGGCCTTTGTTCTTAGGTGTAGCCTGAAGAAACTTGCAAACTTCTGGAATTGGCCTTGCAATTGGCTGGGCAGCCATAATTTCCAACATGATGTATCAGGCAGGTAGAGAGATAGACCTGAGATACCACTCCCAGCCTCCTATGATCTGTCTGTGTCATTCTTGGAATCCAGAATTCTCATGTGACCCAGGGAGGGCATGAGGTTCTGAGAGAGTTTGGAGTCAAAACAAAGGTTCATAGAAGAAACATTGAACCTTACCTAAGCCCTGTGATCATGGAAAACGATCGGAGATTAAGAAACCCCCTCAAACTTTGGCGTTCTGGCAAAGGGCTTACTGCAAAGAACCACCCTTCCGTTTAGGACACAGATAAGACTCATGGCTGCCCTCTACTTACCTGTGACATGACTACCCACAGACCCTCCAAATTCCCGTTCTTTGTCTCATAAATGATTAGCCAAATTGCCTGTATTCCACTGATGAACTGGAGCAAGATACTTGTTAATCACACTTTGACTAGGATTCTCTTCTTCCCCCAGGCCTCTGAACTTTGTCCCAGGCTCAACTTGAAGCAGCATGCAGCCCCTCCTAAGAGTAGGCTGCCCTGAGGTAAAATCTTAACTTCTGATCGATCACACCGCCCTTTCATCCCACTTGCCTATGGTTCATTTTAGCCTTGTTTACACCTCTGTAGAAAAGAAAACCCCCTTTTTGCCTAACTCTTTTTTTTTTTCTTTTTTATTTTTTTTAATTTTTTTTTAATTTTTTTTTTATTTTTTTTATTATACTCTAAGTTTTAGGGTACATGTGCACATTGTGCAGGTTAGTTACATATGTATACATGTGCCATGCTGGTGCGCTGCACCCACTAACGTGTCATCTAGCATTAGGTATATCTCCCAATGCTATCCCTCCCCCCTCCCCCGACCCCACCACAGTCCCCAGAGTGTGATATTCCCCTTCCTGTGTCCATGTGATCTCATTGTTCAATTCCCACCTATGAGTGAGAATATGCGGTGTTTGGTTTTTTGTTCTTGCGATAGTTTACTGAGAATGATGGTTTCCAATTTCATCCATGTCCCTACAAAGGACATGAACTCATCATTTTTTATGGCTGCATAGTATTCCATGGTGTATATGTGCCACATTTTCTTAATCCAGTCTATCATTGTTGGACATTTGGGTTGGTTCCAAGTCTTTGCTATTGTGAATAGTGCCGCAATAAACATACGTGTGCATGTGTCTTTATAGCAGCATGATTTATAGTCCTTTGGGTATATACCCAGTAATGGGATGGCTGGGTCAAATGGTATTTCTAGTTCTAGATCCCTGAGGAATCGCCACACTGACTTCCACAATGGTTGAACTAGTTTACAGTCCCACCAACAGTGTAAAAGTGTTCCTATTTCTCCACATCCTCTCCAGCACCTGTTGTTTCCTGACTTTTTAATGATTGCCATTCTAACTGGTGTGAGATGATATCTCATAGTGGTTTTGATTTGCATTTCTCTGATGGCCAGTGATGATGAGCATTTCTTCATGTGTTTTTTGGCTGCATAAATGTCTTCTTTTGAGAAGTGTCTGTTCATGTCCTTCGCCCACTTTTTGATGGGGTTGTTTGTTTTTTTCTTGTAAATTTGTTTGAGTTCATTGTAGATTCTGGATATTAGCCCTTTGTCAGATGAGTAGGTTGCGAAAATTTTCTCCCATGTTGTAGGTTGCCTGTTCACTCTGATGGTAGTTTCTTTTTCTGTGCAGAAGCTCTTGAGTTTAATTAGATCCCATTTGTCAATTTTGGCTTTTGTTGCCATTGCTTTTGGTGTTTTGGACATGAAGTCCTTGCCCACGCCTATGTCCTGAATGGTAATGCCTAGGTTTTCTTCTAGGGTTTTTATGGTTTTAGGTCTAACGTTTAAATCTTTAATCCATCTTGAATTGATTTTTGTATAAGGTGTAAGGAAGGGATCCAGTTTCAGCTTTCTACATATGGCTAGCCAGTTTTCCCAGCACCATTTATTAAATAGGGAATCCTTTCCCCATTGCTTGTTTTTCTCAGGTTTGTCAAAGATCAGATAGTTGTAGACATGCGGCATTATTTCTGAGGGCTCTGTTCTGTTCCATTGATCTATATCTCTGTTTTGGTACCAGTACCATGCTGTTTTGGTTACTGTAGCCTTGTAGTATAGTTTGAAGTCAGGTAGTGTGATGCCTCCAGCTTTGTTCTTTTGGCTTAGGATTGACTTGGCGATGCGGGCTCTTTTTTGGTTCCATATGAACTTTAAAGTAGTTTTTTCCAATTCTGTGAAGAAAGTCATTGGTAGCTTGATGGGGATGGCATTGAATCTGTAAATTACCTTGGGCAGTATGGCCATTTTCACGATATTGATTCTTCCTACCCATGAGCATGGAATGTTCTTCCATTTGTTTGTGTCCTCTTTTATTTCCTTGAGCAGTGGTTTGTAGTTCTCCTTGAAGAGGTCCTTCACATCCCTTGTAAGTTGGATTCCTAGGTATTTTATTCTCTTTGAAGCAATTGTGAATGGGAGTTCACTCATGATTTGGCTCTCTGTTTGTCTGTTGTTGGTGTATAAGAATGCTTGTGATTTTTGTACATTGATTTTGTATCCTGAGACTTTGCTGAAGTTGCTTATCAGCTTAAGGAGATTTTGGGCTGAGACGATGGGGTTGTCTAGATAAACAATCATGTCGTCTGCAAACAGGGACAATTTGACTTCCTCTTTTCCTAATTGAATACCCTTTATTTCCTTCTCCTGCCTGATTGCCCTGGCCAGAACTTCCAACACTATGTTGAATAGGAGCGGTGAGAGAGGGCATCCCTGTCTTGTGCCAGTTTTCAAAGGGACAGCAGTAACCTCTGCAGACTTAAGTGTCCCTGTCTGACAGCTTTGAAGAGAGCAGTGGTTCTCCCAGCACGCAGCTGGAGATCTGAGAACGGGCAGACTGCCTCCTCAAGTGGGTCCCTGACCCCTGACCCCCGAGCAGCCTAACTGGGAGGCACCCCCCAGCAGGGGCACACTGACACCTCACACAGCAGGGTATTCCAACAGACCTGCAGCTGAGGGTCCTGTCTGTTAGAAGGAAAACTAACAACCAGAAAGGACATCTACACCGAAAACCCATCTGTACATCACCATCATCAAAGACCAAAAGTAGATAAAACCACAAAGATGGGGAAAAAACAGAACAGAAAAACTGGAAACTCTAAAACGCAGAGCGCCTCTCCTCCTCCAAAGGAACGCAGTTCCTCACCAGCAACAGAACAAAGCTGGATGGAGAATGATTTTGACGAGCTGAGAGAAGAAGGCTTCAGACGATCAAATTACTCTGAGCTACGGGAGGACATTCAAACCAAAGGCAAAAAAGTTGAAAACTTTGAAAAAAATTTAGAAGAATGTATAACTAGAATAACCAATACAGAGAAGTGCTTAAAGGAGCTGATGGAGCTGAAAACCAAGGCTCGAGAACTACGTGAAGAATGCAGAAGCCTCAGGAGCCGATGCGATCAACTGGAAGAAAGGGTATCAGCAATGGAAGATGAAATGAATGAAATGAAGCGAGAAGGGAAGTTTAGAGAAAAAAGAATAAAAAGAAATGAGCAAAGCCTCCAAGAAATATGGGACTATGTGAAAAGACCAAATCTACGTCTGATTGGTGTACCTGAAAGTGATGTGGAGAATGGAACCAAGTTGGAAAACACTCTGCAGGATATTATCCAGGAGAACTTCCCCAATCTAGCAAGGCAGGCCAACGTTCAGATTCAAGAAATACAGAGAACGCCACAAAGATACTCCTCGAGAAGAGCAACTCCAAGACACATAATTGTCAGATTCACCAAAGTTGAAATGAAGGAAAAAATGTTAAGGGCAGCCAGAGAGAAAGGTCGGGTTACCCTCAAAGGAAAGCCCATCAGACTAACAGCGGATCTCTCGGCAGAAACCCTACAAGCCAGAAGAGAGTGGGGGCCAATATTCAACATTCTTAAAGAAAAGAATTTTCAACCCAGAATTTCATATCCAGCCAAACTAAGCTTCATAAGTGAAGGAGAAATAAAATACTTTATAGACAAGCAAATGCTGAGAGATTTTGTCACCACCAGGCCTGTCCTAAAAGAGCTCCTGAAGGAAGAGCTAAACATGGAAAGGAACAACCGGTACCAGCCGCTGCAAAATCATGCCAAAATGTAAAGACCATCGAGACTAGGAAGAAACTGCATCAACTAATGAGCAAAATCACCAGCTAACATCATAATGACAGGATCAAATTCACACATAACAATATTAACTTTAAATATAAATGGACTAAATTCTGCAATTAAAAGACACAGACTGGCAAGTTGGATAAAGAGTCAAGACCCATCAGTGTGCTGTATTCAGGAAACCCATCTCACGTGCAGAGACACACATAGGCTCAAAATAAAAGGATGGAGGAAGATCTACCAAGCCAATGGAAAACAAAAAAAGGCAGGGGTTGCAATCCTAGTCTCTGATAAAACAGACTTTAAACCAACAAAGATCAAAAGAGACAAAGAAGGCCATTACATAATGGTAAAGGGATCAATTCAACAAGAGGAGCTAACTATCCTAAATATTTATGCACCCAATACAGGAGCACCCAGATTCATAAAGCAAGTCCTGAGTGACCTACAAAGAGACTTAGACGCCCACACATTAATAATGGGAGACTTTAACACCCCACTGTCAACATTAGACAGATCAACGAGACAGAAAGTCAACAAGGATACCCAGGAATTGAACTCAGCTCTGCACCAAGCAGACCTAATAGACATCTACAGAACTCTCCACCCCAAATCAACAGAGTATACATTTTTTTCAGCACCACACCACACCTATTCCAAAATTGACCACATAGTTGGAAGTAAAGCTCTCCTCAGCAAATGTAAAAGAACAGAAATTATAACAAACTATCTCTCAGACCACAGTGCAATCAAACTAGAACTCAGGATTAAGAATCTCACTCAAAGCCACTCAACTCCATGGAAACTGAACAACCTGCTCCTGAATGACTACTGGGTACATAACGAAATGAAGGCAGAAATAAAGATGTTCTTTGAAACCAACGAGAACAAAGACACCACATACCAGAATCTCTGGGACGCATTCAAAGCAGTGTGTAGAGGGAAATTTATAGCACTAAATGCCTACAAGAGAAAGCAGGAAAGATCCAAAATTGACACCCTAACATCACAATTAAAAGAACTAGAAAAGCAAGAGCAAACACATTCAAAAGCTAGCAGAAGGCAAGAAATAACTAAAATCAGAGCAGAACTGAAGGAAATAGAGACACAAAAAACCCTTCAAAAAATCAATGAATCCAGGAGCTGGTTTTTTGAAAGGATCAACAAAATTGATAGACCGCTAGCAAGACTAATAAAGAAAAAAAGAGAGAAGAATCAAATAGACACAATAAAAAATGATAAAGGGGATATCACCACCGATCCCACAGAAATACAAACTACCATCAGAGAATACTACAAACACCTCTACGCAAATAAACTAGAAAATCTAGAAGAAATGGATACATTCCTCGACACATACACTCTCCCAAGACTAAACCAGGAAGAAGTTGAATCTCTGAATAGACCAATAACAGGCTCTGAAATTGTGGCAATAATCAATAGTTTACCAACCAAAAAGAGTCCAGGACCAGATGGATTCACAGCCGAATTCTACCAGAGGTACAAGGAGGAGCTGGTACCATTCCTTCTGAAACTATTCCAATCAATAGAAAAAGAGGGAATCCTCCCTAACTCATTTTATGAGGCCAGCATCATTCTGATACCAAAGCCGGGCAGAGACACAACCAAAAAAGAGAATTTTAGACCAATATCCTTGATGAACATTGATGCAAAAATCCTCAATAAAATACTGGCAAACCGAATCCAGCAGCACATCAAAAAGCTTATCCACCATGATCAAGTGGGCTTCATCCCTGGGATGCAAGGCTGGTTCAATATACGCAAATCAATAAATGTAATCCAGCATATAAACAGAGCCAAAGACAAAAACCACATGATTATCTCAATAGATGCAGAAAAAGCCTTTGACAAAATTCAACAACCCTTCATGCTAAAAACTCTCAATAAATTAGGTATTGATGGGACGTATTTCAAAATAATAAGAGCTATCTATGACAAACCCACAGCCAATATCATACTGAATGGGCAAAAACTGGAAGCATTCCCTTTGAAAACTAACTCTTAAGATACTTGTAGAATGTGTGATCACAGTGCTCTCCCTGTTACCATAGGACACCTTCCCTATTGCAATAGTGCCTTTACTCCTTTTGCAATAATTATTTTGAATGAAGTCTCTTCTTACTAACTCTGGATTTGCTTTTATTTGACAATAGCATATGGTGAGTTTGTGACCAGAGGCAAACGGCCAAGGCCAATGACTCCAGCTGTGAATGCCAGTAGGATGCCCCAAGGCCCAGATGGGGCCCTCTGCACCCCAGGGACAAGACCAGACAAATTGCTCCATGGTATGTAGGCCAGTGGGGATCAGAGGATGATGGTTAGATTTGGAGCTCCTTTGCCACAGATAAGGGGTCTCATCATGCCCTCCTTCAGCCAGTTGATATTTTGGAGAACTGGGGCTGCAGTGCTCCCAAGGACTGACAACTCAGAAGAAATAAACTGTTTCTTCCAGCTTAAAAGTCTTTTTTGAATGTAATATTGTTACAGAAAAGTATGTGTGTGTGTGTGTGTGTGTGTGTGTGTGTGTCTGTTACCAGCAAGGACTTATGAAGCTTATGAGGGTGACTAACTCTGTTAAAAAAAAATAGACAAAAGCCACATTTTCTTAGTGCAGTTGACAGTAGTGTGTGCAAATTTGCCACCAGCTATACTAGAATTACGAATCAAAGAAAACAAGATGATATTTCACAGCAATAAATGTGAAATCTTGCCTTTGGGTTCAAAAACATGTAAGTACAGGATGTGAATATTTGGTTTAGGAACAGCACGGCAATACTCAGGAAGAAAAAATTAGTGGTTGTATTAGTCAGGAATTTTTTGGTTGCCACTTACAAAAATCCAACTGGGATTAGGCAAAAGGGCAAAAAGGGAATTTATTGACTCTCAGAATCCAAGAACAACCAGACTGAGGGAAGGGCAGGGAAGGCTGCTAGGTTTCAGGGATAAATGGGCAAGGGACACAAAAGCCCTGGGTTCTCTCCGTTTCTTGACTGGGCTGGCCTCTCTTTGGGTGGCATTCTCTCTTCTGTGTTTTATTCTCTCTTGCTACAGTCTATCTTTCTGCACAGGGCAGGATTATGGCCCTTAAACGCTTCTGAAGATCATCCCTTCTAACTTTTGCTAGTGGACTTGGAAGAGGCTGGCTCTTTCAGATGCAGCCAGACAAGACCTGAGGAAGAATTCTGATGGGAAACCTGGTAAGGGCTCTCTTTGCAGCCGGGGAGACAGAATCATGTCAAAAAGTGGCAGTTCTCAAGATAGCCATTTAAACATGCTTACAGGGAGGGAGGAAGAGAGAGGGTTGTTTGAAATTTTCAAGAAGTAAAAGGAATTTCTGGATAAATAACTCCATAAGCTCCAAGTATGAGTGGGTAGTCATTGTTAATATGAAGGCAGATGCAGGCTGTGTTTTGCAGAGACACTGGTACAGTGGAGGATACATCCGTGTACATAAAGATTAGGGTGCATCAGGTAGTGCACCTGGGGTTGGGCTTTTGTTTTGGGGGTCATGTTTAGAGGAGATGATAGACCAAATGGAGGTTGTTGTGAGGAAAGCAACTAGACTGGTGGGATAATTCAAACCATTCTATATTATTGCTAATGCTGCTATCTTGGGGAAATCCTCAAAGAACCAGGGACATTTAGACTGGAGAGGAGAAGGTCTGGGGACATAGTAGCTGTCATCAGCAGCTTGTATTCTTTATGAATTTATGAATTAGCATATAGGAGCCTCAGAGCCACAGAATTTTTTATTAGGGAAACCGCTAATAAAACCATCAGATCTCATGAAACTTATTCACTACCATGAGAACAGTATGGGGGAAACTGCCCCCATGATTAAATTATCTCCCACTGGGTCCCTCCCACAGCTCCTGGGAATTATGGGCTACAACTCAAGATGAGATTTGTGTGGGGACACAGCCAAACCATATTAGGATGGTGCTGTTGGAAGGGCTGGCAGAGCTGGGACCTTCTTAGGAAAACGTGATCAAGGTGGAGAAGAAGGGGAAGAGCCTTCCCTGAGTGAGGGAGTGCAGTAAAGGGGAAGAGGTGGCCCAGGTACAGCCTCCTGCTCCTGGTTGCAGCCCTGCAGACCTCACTGTGCTCTGGTGGTGTCCCTTCCATTTCCATGCTTTGATTTCCATTCCTGCCCCAGATATGTGCAGGATTGGAGAGGGCAGCAAGGGACCCCTGGGGGGACTGAGGATGCCTTCAGCCTGGGTTCTCCCCACCTATGTATGGGGACGGGGCAAAGCCCCAGAATCACTGAGGCAACCTATCCTCTTCCTCAGGAACCCTTTACTTGCTCCTGCCTCAGAGCTTCCTGTTCTCATTTCCAGCCCTTCCCTCATCCAACCTGACTTTCTTTCTTTACTGTATATGAGGTGATATTTGTGATGTGAGGTGCAATGTGATCTTCTCCACTTCATAGAGGTATAAATGATGGGCCAGGTGTAATCTGTTACTCATTCAGGGTTCACTTACATTTTAATAAAAGATAACTTTTTTTAACCACAGCAAAGACATCCTCAATGGTAAATTTTAGCCATCTTCAATAAAAAAGGGAGGACTTAGAGAATTTGTGAGAAGGATTCACTTCTGTATCCCCCACCCTCAAGAGTGTTTTTCACATGGTGAGTTGTGTCTTAAGAAATCAATTTTGTGTTTCACAACTAGCATTTTTTAAATAACAAAATACAATTGAATGGAATGAAATAGAACAGACAAAAATATTGAGTTTACAACATATAGCAAGAGTAAGTTATGTTTCATAAAACGTATTTCAGGTAAACATGTGTGTGTGCAACATCATACATGTCATGTTGTAAAATATATTTTTACTGTCAGTTGTAGCCCAAACAAAAGTTTGAAAAATATTGTCTTAAGTTTACCCTCTGGAAAAGTACAATTTGACTTTGATCTGAATGAGTTGGTCTTATTAAAGAATCAAGATGGTGTTGGCTAGACTAGCTTTTGCCTTGTGGTGGGTTCTAAGAATATTTTTATTTTTTCTATGTCCCATATCAGATGAGTGGGAGTCTCTCAGTTTTTCAAGTCCTCTCAGGAAGCAAAACAAAATGAAGTAATAACAATTGCTTCCTACTTACCTAAGCAAATGCTTTTTGCTTGTGATTTCCCCAGGACTGTTACAGGAGATGAAGACTTGATCAGTGTTTCTAAGTACCTTTGAGGATTAGAGTAATCAGTAATGCATATCTGTCATCCATAAAAGCAAATGTGTACTTCCTACTGGACTTTTCCATTTGCTGAAGTCAGGAGAACCAACATGGCTTGTTTGAATTAAATAAGGTCACTGTTCGAAGAATCAATCTTGAGGAAGAGAAGTAAGAGCCAGTAGTAGTATTGCAAAGCATAACCCTGTTCCCAAAGACACGCTGAGCCCTGGAGACTAGGGCATGAGGCAAAGGAGCTGAAGAACGCTCAAAACTGTTCTCAATGATTATTCCATTTTGGGGCAAATGTACATGAAAATGGTAGTACCAGAGAAACAGCTATATGCCAGAAAGCCTGAGCTCTGAAGAGAGGCATGGAGAACTCAATTTCACTAAGTCCAGAGGATGACTAAAAATGCCAAGATAGGCTCAAGGTGAAATAGATCCCACTGGAAGTTCAGAAGGACAGTTTTGAGGGTTTCTACCCCAGGGAAACCACTTAGAATTGTAAACTGGATGTTTACATGATGAAATTGGCCTTGAGCCTGTGCCACCCAGATGCCAAAACAAAACAAAATGAAACAAAAACACCCCAAAACTCAAAACAATTCTTTGGCCAAACTGATAATGAGTAATGATTAACAAAATGTTCTTTTCCTTGGTGAGATGCCTGGAAGAAAGACTCTGTATCTCCTAGGTGGCTTAAAGAAGCCTGTGTGTTCTCATATCCTGGGGAGGTGAAGGCAGAGCTAACGCCTCTCCTACTGGTGAAGTTCCCTGGCTTAGGTGGTTGTTATGGCTCAGGCTGCCTCCTAATCACATTCTGATTATTTTAAAAGTGAAACTTCAGGAAGCAGTGGGCCAGTGAGCAATTCCTCCCATTTCTCAGAGCCCTCAGACTCTGCCAGTCAGCGGCTACCTTCGTGATATAATATTCCCAGAGCTTCAGAACATATCCTTGATGATACACCCCCGAATTCCACATTATTTATCCCCAACTAGAATACAGCACACTGGAAGAAGCCACTTCTAAGCCTTATCCATTCTCTAAATTTTAGTATGGAGGAGTCAAGGGGGAAGGCTGGGAATACCAAATGTTATCAACATTTCTCTCGCACTTGGCCCCAGGCAATTCAAGCTGACTTGTTCATAGTTTAACACATAAATAAGGCTCTATAAAGAAGCAGTGAAATTAAACGTGGCAAGCAGGGTCCCAGTGGCTGCTATTTTAGGAAGATTCCGACCACCCTGATTATCGGGAGGAGGAAGGGTGACGCCGTTGGCGTTGACGACATTGACAGAGAAATGGCAAGCATAACCTTTTAAACAGAGACCTTTGCTTAGAAATGAATGGCCTGTCTCAGATTCTCACAGAGTTACAGGAATTACACCAAATAGGATCCAAGTTTCACTGGAAACGGTTTATGGATCAGAGAAGTATATTTGGGTAGACAGTTGAAGAAAATTCAGTAAAAGCTATAAAATGTAAACGAAGCTTAAGAGGCTGGAGCCTTCCATGAATGCCTGTAAGGAGTCTTTCCTAAGTAGAATTCTTTTGGAAAGGTAATTTTGGATTTCATTTTTCACCGTTTGCAGCCCACTGTGTGCATCTCTCGTGTGCGGGGGTTGAGCGTGCATATTCTAACATCTCTCTTGAAGTTCCATGCTGCTTAGCGGAATGCATGAGTTTCTCAGAAAAAATGTCTGAAGGAAGAAAGGAAAATCTAAAGAGAAAGAAAAGGAAAGGATACAAGGGGGAAAATGGAAGAAAGTAAAAGAAAGAAAAAGAATCAATTCCAAAGAAATTGCCTAGACAACAGAATGCAGACAGAAATAGAGACAGGCTTCATTTATTCTGCTTCATAGCCTGGCTGCAGCCAGGATGCATGTCTGCTTTCTTGTTCTGGAAGCAGGGTAGACCTCGTCTGTCTGGGCCCCGGGGTTATGACCAGGAGTGAGATTCTAGAATGAGCAGTGCACAGAGGGGACTGGCCAGGTGTAGTGATCTTAGAGAGCTAAAAGAAGGAACAAATGAAGAGCGAAAGAGGGAGCCCAGAAAGCATTCTGTGGGAAAGAATCAGGTAAGTGAGTTTATTTCCTATACACACAGCACTGTGCTTTGCAGGTTGTGCAAACTAATAGTAGATAATGAGGTTGGCCTTGGTCCAGGGTAGGCCCTCAATACATACTTGCTGGATGAGTTCAGTTCTGATAAAGGAGTCTAAGGGTGGCAGAGAAGTAGGTGCTAAAAGACTTAAGGGAATAAATGATTTTCAAGCATATTGGAACCATTTAGGTTTCAAGTTGATTTGCCAATTATAAATCACTTTATTTGTTTAGTGAAGTGGATTCCTAAGGATCTTGTTCATAACATGTTTTTTGTTCTTCTGTGATCACCGTATGGACCACTTACTAATTCTAAACTCTTAAATGTTTTCTTCTTGTGACTTGTGACTTGGAGGCCAAGCCAGAGGCGTAACTCCCTGCTGGCAATTGGTTGCTTCTGTAAGGGACCACCCTTTCCCCCTCCTGTTTCCTCACTCCCCACTGCCACCACCCTTGTCACTCAGGAAGGACTGGGACTACCATGGAAAATGTGAATAACTGCTACTGCTTGCTTATTTCACTGAAGACATAGACTTCTATCACTGCCATCACCCAAAATGTGCTTGTAGAAGTCCCTTTCTGGAGTCCCTATCTCACTGTCAGAAGGTCTGCTGACCACAGAAGGAACAGAAGGAAATGAAGGGGAGACCCAGCAACCACATCCTCTAGTTCTGAGTTGGAACTTGGACTGTTTTTATTTCAAAAACATAGTTGCAATTGGTGATGAGATTTCATGGTACTATTGAGTAGTACTCTACTTCAGGCACAAAATGAGTTAAGGAGGCATCTGGGGGTTGGCTTGGAATCTAACCACAATGTTTCTATGGCAAATTGGCTGCTAATTTGCCAATAATCAACTTAGAAAAGACTATCAGAGTCAAGACATATTCACTTAGAACTAACGAAATTGAATGTGGTCTAAAATTTCATATTTCAGATTCTGCAAAAAACTCAGACGGCTCTAACTTGTCTGAATTAGGACCTTCAAATAAAGTCTATTGAATACATCCTATTCAAGCAGCCTTTCCCTCATCACAGGCAGTTTTGCCCATAGGGAATGAGGCAATAAAGTTTAATATTCTGGTGGTACCAACACCTTCATGGTGTTTGTAGAAGGAGCAACCTTGCGCCAAGTGAACAAGAAAAGAGGAAGTTCTCGAACCACTTCCAAAGGTTTGAGGCTGAAGAGCAGATGTCTATGGGCTGCCCAAAAGTCTGCCACATGACCCAATAGTTCTACCACTGCCGAAACCCCAAGTCTACAACTCAGGGTGGTCTGGAAGTGAAGGATTGTTTTCTTGAGAGTGGTTTCAAGAATGTAGCTCCTCACCTAATAAAAGGAATGTGCAATGATTAACTGGGTCTAATATTAGTATCTGCAAAATAAAGAGCAATTGGGCCTGGTATGAAAGAGAACAAACCTTGCACGCACCCATTGCCAGGTAAAATCTGTTCTTTTTCAGTCATAAATCTTTCTTGGATGCCAGAGAAGAATTTCACTTCCGTCAGAAACACCGAGTGAACCAAAGAGAAAGAACATGTTGTTTTGGAGATGAAAGCATATTGAGTTGAGAGCTTTTTCGTTTTTTCTGTCTGTTTCTCTGGCTTCTTTCGAATGATGTCCTTGACTTGGCCATGCCTTACATTGTTTTGCACAAGATAGAGCAGTACTGAGGAAAGGTTGAGATGGGCCATTTGCTTCAAACTTTAGCTTTAGCTAGAGAACTTGCATCTGATGTTGAATCTCACTGTTCTCCAGTGTTGACCATTGGTTAAACATCTTTGGACACCAAACTCTTGACAATTGTGAAGAATAATTAGATTTTAGGAGATGAAGAATAATAGATTTTAGGGTATTCCTCAAGAACACCACTAATCAAGATGCAGAAGTTCAATAGATTTGTTAATCAAATAAGGTTTTCACTCTTGCTGAACCAGAGTTTCAAATTGGTAGAAGCCACTTTACTTATATAATCTAGTTTGTCTTCATGAAACCATTTGATATAGGGCAGTGGTTCTCAAAGTGTGGTCCTCACAACATCAGCATCACCTAAGAACTTACCAGAAATGTATGTCCTTGGGTCTTACCCTGACGTACTGGGCCAGCAATCTGTGTTTTAGTAAGCCCCCAAAATGATTCCAATGCTCACTAAAGTTTGGAAACCACAGGTGTAGGCAGTATTATCACCATATAATTTATTATATGCCATCATGTCATTGATCTTTCCATCATGTCATGGATCTTTCAAGTCTCTTACAGCTAAAGCTTTCAATGGTAAATTCCAGATTTCCAAGGGTCTTCAGTACCACGCATGCAGTAGGCAATCGGTAAATATTTCTTTTTCTCTCTTTTTTTTTTTTTTTTGAGATGGAGTCTCGCTCTGTCGCCCAGGCTGGAGTTCGGTGGCGCGATCTCGGCTCACTTCAAGCTCCGCCTCCTGGGTTCACGCCATTCTTCTTCCTCAGCCTCCCGAGCAGCTGGGACTACAGGCGCCTGCCACCACGCCTGGCTAATTTTTTTGTATTTTAGTAGAGACGGGGTTTCACCGTGTTAGCCAGGATGGTCTTGATCTCCTGACCTCGTGATCCGCCAGCCTCAGCCTCCCAAAGTGCTGGGATTACAGGCGTGAGCCACACTGTGCCCGGCGGTAAATATTTCTCATAAAAGCTGTTTCTCTGATGTAGTAGACATCTCCTTCCCTCTGTCCTTCCCTCCCCACTTCCCTCCCTCCATTCCTCTATTTCTCTCTTCTTTCCTCCCTTCCTTTACCTGCCTTATGTCACTTTAGGGAATATCCTCTTCCCTGTTCCACGTGTTTTAGATGGGGCTGACAATCAAGTGAATCTTATCTCACCTGCCACTTGGTAGCCACTTAATGCAGGCTGACCAATCAAATTGTCCCACTCCCTGGATACAGTGATTGGTCCAAAAATTCTAGCAGGGTTGCTGAAAATATTTGGAGTTGGAGAAGAGTGAGATGAACTCTATGAAGAAGAGACTCTCCCTATTCCCGACTTTGTGAGCATCAAGAAACCAGGTGAACTTGGAGCTTCAGAAGGCACACTGACTTCCACGTGGAGACAGTCTGCCTGGGAATGAAGCCAACATGGAGAAAAGCAAAGTCAAGTGTAGGAGGGAGAGAGGAGCAGGGAGCTGATGTCATCTTTCCAACCCATGGAGTCACCATGCCTTGAAGCCAGAGTCAGCTCTGTGCTTGGACTTCGTATTCAATTCAACGTTCCCTATGAATACCTTAACCTCGGATCTTTGGGGACATCCACATTAATTACTTTATTTTTCCTGATTGCAAAAGTAAGAAATACACATATAAAGTTGAACTTAGTAGAATTACATCATGTAGAAAATCAAAGTCCCTTGTGATCTCTCTCACTTCCTTGAAAATGACTGCATAAACTTGTATATATATTTCTTCAGTTTTTTTCTACCAATATGCTAAGAAATGGGATGTTAATTGAGATTTTTCTTGATGTCTCAGTTTTTTAGAGGCCCATAAAGCCAAGAACAAAATAAGAGATGCCAATATCTACTTTACAGAGTGGAGTTAACAGACCATTTATGCAGAATTTGCAAAATTACTGATCTAGAACTGGGATTGGCCTTATTAGCTCACACAAGAGGCTCTATTAGAAAAGCCTATGAATTCACAAGGAGGTTAACAAGGTCAGTAGAAGCACATCTCTGGAGAACATTTTCAGCATGGTGGGAATAATCCCCATCCTGGGGGTATGGGGACAAGGAGTACTTATCTCTTACCTTAAGCCAAGTAGGGGAGAAGGCTTCACAAAAAATCACTCAGAGGCCCTCATATGCATCTACTGGAATTTGGGAAGTGCAGTGCTTGGTATCTCATTGATTCCTAAAGTCAGCTGCTGTCACCCGCAGAGCAGCAGAAGGAAGAGATGAGACTGAACTCATAATTTGATTTGATTTGACATGATTTCCCTTTTGACTGACTGTCTACCAACTGTTTCCAACTTGGAACCATTGCAAACTATGAAATCATCTGCCCATAGTGCATCTATCTGGTTTGGTTGACATATGGGAAACCTTCCTCTATCACATCCCATCATGCATTTCTCCTCTAAACCCATGAACTCTGTCTTACACTATCCTGAGTCATCGTTCCCCTCCTGTGCCACCTCCTTACAACAAACTCGGGCACAGCACAGACGAGGATGTGATTATTGTGTGAAGTGAATCTGTAAGATGAGCTATGTGTCCAATGACTTCAGTGACAAGTCCACAGACAACGGAAGCAATTTCACAGCAATTTTTAGGTCTATGTTGCAGTTAACATCAGAGCTTTCTGGAACTACAGCTCTTTTTCTGGACACTATAACTATTTTTTCACAAAATAGTTTCTTCTCTTTGTGCCCAAATGAATTCCACTGTGTAAAATTCTTGAGTTCTGCCTATGACATCTTCCCCCACAGAGTCTCCTCTTTCCTGAGCATTGATTTAGCCCCCAGGTTCTACTCTCTTACAAATATTGTAAGAACATTACTTATAACAACCATTTATTAACTTTAATTGGGTGTATTTTTACCACATTATCTCATTTACTACTCATGACATCCCCGTGAGATATTATTGTCTCTATTTTGAAGATGAGGAAATGGAGGCTCAGAGGAGTAGAATGATCTGCTCAGCAAGTTGGAAGTGGAGCCAGGATAAAAATTCAGATTTTCCTGATTTGCAAAGTCTACATCCTTTTCCTTACAACCTCGCCTCCTCAGCTCCCTGCTCTCGGTAGTCACAGAATTACATTCAGTTCCATTAGCTTTAACAATTCCTCTGTTCTGTACTCCACTGCTTCTCTTCAAACTCCTTGGAGTTTATTCAAACTCTTTCAGAAGTTTCTAGCAGTAGAGTTATATTTCAAGTACTTTGACCCCCTGACCCTGGTCAGACGGAGTGCTGCCAGTCTACAAAGGAATTTTGAGGAACAAATTTCTTTAGCTGATCAATTCAACTTAAATATGAGACTTCTGTTCAATTGACTTTTCCACAGAAGTGTTTTCTTTTTTTCTTTTTTTTGTAAAGAAAAAAAATTCCCTCTAAACAGAAAAGAGTCTGAAGTTCCCATTTGTGGGACTGGGGAGCTTTCTAAACACAAGACTTTCTTTTTCCACAGCACTTCAGAAAATGTCAAAAAAATGTTGGTAAATTACTCTTAAAAATCATTGTTTCATTATCACTCTGTATGTCTATAATGTATTTATTTTTTCTCTGCCCATATTATTCTTAGCTACTACCAATTTTAATATAGTATTTGTTCTATCTAATTGTTTTGGTAGCATTTCAGTTAAAAAACAATGATCTTTAATGATATTACTTGCTTTTGGTGTATCCATATCATTTTTTAAAAGTTGACATCACATAATCATGGAAATAAAGAATAAATGTAACATGCATAAAGAGCTATTTTTACTTGTATGTGATTGTCAGAACAGATGCAAGGTGATTTTTTTTTTACATGTGATTTCAAAATTTAAATCTTTCTTAAAAAATGCCCCTTCAAATATATTAGTTTTTAATCTTAATCTGTTTAAATATTAGACTTCCTGGTTTATATATTCACTGAAAGTGGCTTGGATTAACAACATTTATTCTTGGTTTTTGGAAATAAAGACATAATTTCTTAATTTTGTATATCCAAAAACATGAGATGGGAAACAGCATTTATAGTAAATGTTTACGTGCATAACCTTGCTTGACCTTCAAAACAACCCATTGAAATATTATCATTATTTACAGGTTGAGAAGCTGAAGGTCAGAAGGCTCTCATTCTGCAAATATTGATTAATATTTACAGGGCCTATGGGAAGAGGTGTTCAATGGGGCTGTTTGGTCCAACCTGCAGGCTTAAGAGGGATGTTCATTTTGGCTGCTATTCAGTGGAGATTTTGTTCACGGAAACAGGGTCTGTCCTTGTTTCTGATGCCAGCTTCAACCTAGAATTACTCTTCTATCTTTCTCAAAAAGCCACATTGCTGTCATTTCAGAAACTGCGACAGTAACTCAGAGTTACTGTGAGATGGCAAGCTGCAAGGGTTGCCAGATAAAATATAGGACACACAGTTAAATTTGAAACAATGAATCATTTTACAAGTATGTTCCATTCCATATTGGGACATACTTATATTTTAAAAAATTACTTGCTTTTTATCTGAAATTCAATTTTAACCAGGTAGCCTGTATTTTTATTTGCTAAATCTGGCAACCCTACAAGTCGGCTTCCCAGGCAAGAAGCAGTTGGTGGCCTTGCCCAAGCTTTAAGGATAGTGAATCCACTAATAACACCATCGGAGGCAGAAAACTGGAGAGGCTAAAGCTGGACTTAGTTGCTTGGAGTTCATATCCTGGTTCTGCTACTCACTAGATTCCTGCATCTTTCGGAGCTTCAGTTCCCCTCTCTGTAAAATGGAGGCCCACAACAGTCCCTGTTTCCTTAGGATTGTTGTGAGAATTAATGCAATAATCCAGAATGCCTATCACATAGTAAATGCTCAAAAAACTGTTTTTAATGTTGGTATGTTTATATACTGCCAGAGAACATAGTAATGATAATCCTTTGAATTATCCACAATCTATTTATATATATACCTGTATCTGTATCTATAGATATATACACTCTGTCTACATCCATATATATGATTTATGTCAGGGGTTATTTAACTGGACAGGACATGTTTACCTAGTAACTGCATTGTCTGGTGAATCTCTTAAAAATATGTTTCTCTATTTGTAGACAGTTTTGTATTGAGTTGTCTATATTATTGTTATTAGTTTTAACTCTGGTTCACGAAAAAGGAAAGTATATTGCATTCAGTTAAAAATTTTAAAAATATAGTATGTTTAACTTCAGCATGGTTTGGTTATTTCATATTTGCAGACTTTTAATGTATAATGTATTATATACTTTTAATATGTGTATTTGCTGAGTTAGAAACTATTGTTCCAAAACACCCCAAATTTCCTGGATTTCAGTGTTAATTAGGAAATGAAAAGCTGAATAAGACCTAGGGGTTTTACAATTTATTTCAGGGTGGAAGGATGGGGAATAAAACATGCATATAAGCAACCGTGGTACAAAACAGCAAATGATAAAGGCCTTACAATGACTACTGATAAGACATGCCATAGGACTAGAGGTGTTTGGCCAGTTATGATGACAAGTTCTACAATGACAACTGCCACATTGAGCAGTGATAACTTTAAGGTAAGATACTTCCCCATTGAAGTTTAATTTTTCATTTTCTTTTCTTTTCTCTTCTCCTCTCCTTCCCTCCTCTCTCCTTTTTTGATGAATATGGATAGTTACCTTAAGATCAACCCAAAAGGCGACATTTTGAACTAGTGTCACATGATATCACTAAAAAGCATACTTTAATGTTTTAAAAACTTGATGTTTTTAAAAACTGTAAAAATAGCTGGGCATGGTGGTGTGCCCCTGTAGTCCCAGCTACTCTGAAGGCTGAGGCAAGAGGATGGCTTGAGGCCAGGAGTTAGAGACAAGCCTCTGCAACATAGTGAGACACTTTCTCTTTAAAAAAATTTCAAAATAGGCCGGGTGCAGTGGCTCATGCCTGTAATCCCAGCATTTTGGGAGGCTGAGGTGGTGGATCACCTGATGTCAGGAGTTCGAGACCAGCCTGACCAACATGGTGAAAACTTGTCTCTACCAAAAATACAAAAAATTAGCTGGGCCTGGTGGTAGGCGCCTGTTATCCCATCTACTCGGGAGGCTGGGGTAGGAGAATCGCTTGAACCCGGGAGATGGAGGTTGCAGTGAGCCGAGATCGCACCATTGCATTCCAGCCTGGGTGACAAGAGCGAGACTTCGTCTCAAAAAAAAATTGCAAAATATTTCAGACGTACAAAAAGTATATGAAATAATATTTTAAACCAAATTCAAATTGGATTTTTTTTTTTTTTGAGACAGGGTCTCACTCTGTCACCCAGGCTGGAGTGCTGGCGTGATCTCAGCTCACTGCAAGCTCCGCCTCCCAGGTTCATGCCATTCGCCTGTGTCAGCCTCCGAGTAGCTGGGACTACAGGCGCCCGCCACCATGCCTGGCTAATTTTTTGTATTTTTAGTAGAGACGGGGTTTCACCGTGTCAGCCAGGATGGTCTCGATCTCCTGACCTCTGATCCGCCTGCCTCGGCCCCCTAAAATGCTCGGATAACAGGTGTGAGCCACCTCGCCTGGCCTAAAATGGAATTTTTTTATGTTAAATTTTTTTCCCATAAGTGAACAAAACTATTTACCAGCACATAATACTATCCAGTGCCTAAGCAGATGTAGTAAACCCATCCTGTTGGGATTTGTTGGTGGCACTGAAAGTCACCACATGCTTTAGCAAAGTAATCTGTCAGTATGCATCAACAGCCCCAACGATGTTCGTGTCTTTGTCTCAATAATCCTGCATCTGAGCAACTAGTCTAAGAAAACAATAAGGGAAGAGCCAGTTACACACAAATGTAAATGCATGTGAGCATGTGTCCACCTGTTAATCTACAGCTACATGTTTGGTGGGGAAAACTCTTGTAGTTTTTATGCTCACACAATATTTCCTGTATTAGAAGAGACAGAGCTGGCTTTATGGGTGGGCCTAGGTTCCCACACTTAGAAAAGAGTTCCCTACTTGGGGTTTAATGTTCTGTGGTCACTGTCTTGAAAGTCTTTGTAGTTTTCTGTTTGGATTTTCACTTTGTAAGTGAAATCCAATGGGACAATGGAGCATACACAAGGCATGTGGAGCCTTGATTCACTTGTGCCCCTGTCTCTTGCTACCACCATTGGATGGCTTCTCTGCCTCTCTCCCATGAGACAGTCCAGTTATTACTGCTGTTTTCTGCCTGCAGTGAGGGCACAGGCATGGGTGGAGGGAGGCTTGAGGTCAAGTGCATATGCCCCTATATTGCAGTGTTAGTTTCTGGACACCTGTGAAGGTCTCCATTTGCTCTGATGTTCTCTCTTGCACTGAAGGAAATGCAACATTAAGTGACAAATTAAGAAAACAATGGGGCTGGGTGTGGTGGCTCATGCCTGTAATCCTAGCATTTTGGGAGGCCAAGGCAGGAGGATCGTTGGAGCTCAGAAGTTCGAGATCAGCCTGGGCAACATAGCAAGTCCCTGCCTTTACAAAAAATACAAAAATTAGCTGAGCGTGGTGGCTTGTACTGTGGTACTAGTTACTCGGGAGGCTGAGGTCGGAGGATGGCTTGGGCCTAGGAGGTGGAGGTTGCAGTGAGAGGAGTTGCACCACTGCACTCCAGCCTGGGTGACAGAGGGACACCCTGTCTTGAAAAAAAAAAAATACACCTTCTCAGGCCAAAAAAGGAACCACAGAAGAAAGAAGAAGAAAACAACTATTTTCCTCTGCTATTGTGAACAGGGGGCCCAGATTTTTATTTTATACTGGGCTCCATAAATTCTGTAGTTTTCTCTGGAAGAAAAATGCTAGTAGGTGAAATTAGAGGCCTTGGGATTCTAATACAGCTTTACTAAGAAGTTATTCTAGATAAAATGGCACAAAGGCAAACTCATCCCCTAAGCTGCAGGAATCTAGTCAGGAAGGGAGAGAACGTACTCAAAGCCCATGCACTTCCCGTAGGCAGAGCTTATGGCTTTTCCCACACTAGTAAGACAGGATCTTCAACTCTTGGCCTCAAGAATTATTGTCCTTCTAGGGTGTGTGTGTGTTGGGGGGGTGCAGGGTGGATGTGGGTGTTGGTGTAGAAGGGAGGTGTGGCAGTCAGTGCTTCCTGAGTCACTTTCTGCGATATTTCTTGTGGCTTTCTTCTTTGTTTCCTTTTAAATTCTGTTTAAAGAAATCCTCCTATTATTTGTACTAGAGTTTCTGTGTGTGAAGACTAGTTTTTTCAAAGAAAAAAAAAATGAAGGTAGGTTCAGCAATCCAGGCAGACCTATCAATCTTGTCTGTAATTGGGTCTGCCATTGGTAAGTAGCCACTTGGGAGGAAACTGCTCACCCAGGTGGAGTGAATGAACTGTTTCAGGGCCCCGGGCCTCCACAGAGGGCTGCACGGTGGCCTCTTGCCAGACAGTATCCTCGTGGTGCGTCTCAGCTGCAGACTCAGGTTCAGATCAGAGAGCAGTTTGTTCCTCTGGTCATGCAGATAAGCATCTGTTTGCTCTCTCTCTTCCTGCCGTCAGCAGGGTTGGGGTCCCTTTAGAGAGGCATTGCCATTGAAAGGCATGAAGACTTTTGGTGACAGGAATAGGGAAACTGAGTCACCAAGGGCTTTGAGTGCCTTTGTTTGGTGGAGGGAAGAGCAAGTAATAGTAGTTTCATGACATCAAGGTGAAAGCTGATGAGGCAATTCCTCCTTCCAGTCAATTAATCTCTGGACCATTCGAAGCCAACTGTTTATAAAGAAGTGCCAGCTCCATTGGCAGCTTCCCCATAATTGTTCTAAAGAATTGGCATTACTTTTCTTTCCTCTAACATATTCCAAATAATGCTTCGCTACCCATCCAAATCAACAATGTGAGATCGCCTCTTTTATCCATCAGAGGCATTGGAGATAAATAAACTGATAAGGAAGTGGAATTCCTGTATTTATGGTTTTAGATGATTTAACTGAAAGAACATTAAGCTGCCACTTCTTCCTGTTTTTTTAAGAACCCTCTGTTTAAGAGACCAATGACTGGGTTCACATCTTTAGTATTCTGCATACAATTCTTCAGGAGGAAGCCATATTCCTCTTGAATGAATCTCATGGCAAAAAATAGTAGCTCGTAGCTACTATTTGGATGGAATGGCTTGGAATTTTGAAGAAATTTCCCGATGATCTTTATGATATGGGAACTATAGTATGGCTATAATAGAATAAATAATTGATAGCATTATGTAAAACATACTTAGACTTTCTAGGCCGATCAATTAGAAAGAATAGAGAATAATGCCTTCTTCGGGAAAGAACTAAGCTAAAGGAGAGATATTTCTATTTGAGCATAGTAAAGAGTCTAAGAAGGCAAACTCACTAAGATGAAGCCATAATTTAGTTGAGGACAGGTTTGTTGAAAATGTTTTAAAAGCACTCTGTTCCAAATCTCTTAGCAATAATCATCCTGGATTATGGTTTTGTGTTGACTTGTTGATCTGTCCCCTTTGCTTAAGGCCTCTAAGCTTAGTATCTGGAACAGATATAATCCTTTAAGGCTTAGTGAATGAAAGAATGAATGAAAGGACTCATTTCTGTATGTTGTGAGGTATAGAATGAGGAGGGGTGGTCAGGGTGTGGTGATACCCCGAGCAAAGCCCTTGATGTGTTCTTAAAGCTTCTGCCTCAAGCCAAGATGAAAACATTATAGGAGAAAAATGTTTCCTGAAGGGAAGGCTATATTGGCAACACCCAAAATGTCTTAAGCAACATTAAACAACTTACAGCTCCTGATAGATGAGCTAGGAATTTGGAACATATATTCCCTTGGGAAATCAGTCAAAAACGCTGCGTGGCTATAGATTTTAAATCTATAGCAACAGCTCAGACAAATTGAGCCTTTTCTCAACTCTGACCTTCACAGGGCTCCTCCCTGGCCAAAGCTGCTTTTCCCTCCCCTGGTGTTCTCATTTTACTCCCTGGAAGAGAGCAAAATGTTCTGCGTGCAATTTTATCTTTAACTTTCTGTGGCCAATGAAGACAGGCCAAAGGCCCCCCATCCAGGAAAATGGAAGGATCCAGGTGTGTAGCGTCTTCTTTTTCACAGTATCATGTATTTAACACTTCAATCATCTAAATTGAGCAAACTGAAATTGGAGCCTTTGTCTAACTTGGGAAAAATCATGTTTTAAAAAATAAATTCGGTGTGGTTCAAACATAATTAAGCCTGTTAACCAGAATGAAAATTCTGAACGGCTGTCTAAATACACTTGTGAGAAGACGTGGTTGGCTGGAGTGATGCTTGTCCCCAGGCCAACCTGAGGGATGTTCCTGACACACCAGGAACATTTATCAAAGAACAAAATTCATGTCAGGTGTGAACATGTTCAGCTGTCACCTTCAACACTGTAATTAATTTCATCATAGCTCCGGACTGTGTTTTGACACCTGGTTTACTCAGTTTGACAGTTGCTACTGAAGGATCCTAACAGCCTTCTGATTCTTCAGAGGCAGATTAAACTGTCTTATTCCAGTTCATGCATCATGTAGAGAAGAGTATCACTTCTTGGGCTTGACTAATGTAGTGGGGGAACAAAAGGATGAGACTCAGGAGTCCTTTCCTTCTGAGCATCTTAAGTGGGGCTGATTAATACCCATGAAATTGAACAGAATGAAATTATGGCTCCTCCAGAATGGTCAATTCCTCTGAGCTTCCGCTAGTCTGCATGCGGTCTCAACCCACATCTATCCCTCTAGGGCTGAAACTAGATGTATCTCTGGAGGTGGGACAGTTAGTGAACAGATAACTTCGCAATGGATATCCTTCAAAGTAGAGAAGACAGAGCTAAGAAAAAGGCAGAAAGCTGCATGTGCTCATAGTATGCATATGATCCAGATGGTGAGAACTTGAAGCCCCCTTCCCTAATCAGGGCATTCTCTGTCACTGCAAACCCTCTGAAGGAAGTCTGTGTCCTGGAGGGGGGCTTTCTTTCCTTTCCCAGTAGCTTCCCTTTGCCTAAAGTCTAAAGTTCCAGTTCTTTGACACAGCCTTCAAAGTCTCCTTGCAATAATCTTGCTTACTTTTCCAGCTTAATTTCTTGTCTTTCAGTCTCAAACTTTATGCAACAGCAATTCTTCTTTGAGATGCATCATGCCATGGTCAGCCTCTGCCTTTGTTCATAATGCCCATGATTCCTTTGCATGCCACACCTCCTTTGTCTGGCAAATTTCTTCTTTGGCCGTTAAGATTCAAGTCAAGCATCACCTTGTTCAGGAAGTTTCTTTAAGACTTCCAAGACTGGATTAAGTTTTCTTTCTGGGCATCTATAATACATTGCGTTCATCCCCATGGCTGATCTGATGGTATTTTTGTATAATTATCTGTTTCTCCTCCTTCCCCTACATTGAGGGATACTGATTCCCCTCAGAGATGAAGAATATATTCCCTCAGATGCTGGAAGTGCCACTAGAGAGCTATCAGCTCTCAGCCCCTTCAAGGGATTGCCTTTGTTGGAAAGAGCCTTGTGAGCCAAGTCACATCCCCTTTCTGGGGTGGTCAGAATCCAATGATTCATCAACACAGAGGTGAAAAATTTTAGCCCTTAAACCCAGGTAAATTCAGGTCTGAAACCTCATCTAAGCTTCAGAACTCTCTGCAGTGTTGGCTGAGGCATTCATTTAGAGTATATCACATCTCAGCTTCTCCTTGTGGCTAGCGCTGTTTCCTTTCTGCCATTCCATGGGTGTTGATTCTAAGAGCTCCCTAAGAAAACTCCTGATATTGATGTTCATCTCAAAATCAGCTTCCCAGTGTCCTGATGTGGGTCACCCACCTTGGTCTAATCTGACCAACTTGAGAATAGAGACTGTGTCCCATTCATCTTTGTATTTTCACACCCAGCAGACTGCCTAGCTCAGAGCATGCTCTCAATAAACGTTGGTGGTCAGGTTGAATAAATGATAGTCAGAGTGAGAGACGTGTTTATTATTGTTAAAAAAAATGAAGGGGGCAATCAGGTTTCCTCTAGAAGGTGTATAGCTTTATCATCTGATAGCCTCAGCTATTAAACAGAGGAAGAGGCCTGGGCATGGAGTTAACAGATATGGTTCAAGCCCCGCTCTTCCCTCATTAAGTGTGTGTATTGCTGGATCCTAGCAGGAAATAGATGGTACACTCAAATCAGGTGATTTGAAGAGAGTGTAATAAAGGGGCTATTTACAAACTGAAGGCTAGGTTCAGGGAAACCAAGAAGTCATAGTGCAACATTTGGGACTATTGTTGACATTTCTTCCTCTTTTTCTTTCACACTTTGGTTGCCATCTCCAGGCCCAAAGGGGCAAATGGAAGGAGGCCAAGTCTGGGACTCTGAGGGGCTGCCAGAAAGGAACTGTTGTATGCCTAGAGGACTTAAGACGTAGTAGGAAGAGAAGAAAGGAAAAAAATGCCCAGTGTTGACTCTCCACTGCCCTCCTTCTCCCACCAGTGTCTCTCATTGATGAGTCTAGTGAGAAACCAGAAGCCCAGGGAATCCTTGCTGCAATGGGATCAACTTTCTAGGCACAAAGGAGCACAGAAAAAGGGAGAGGGAGAAGGGAGGAGAATGGAGCTTGGGTGGCAAATGGAAGTTACACAGCTCAGGGACCATGAAAAGCTTGAGTGTAAGTGATTTGCCTCCTACCTGGGGAAGGGAGTTCCACCTTGCCTACTGGATATGCTAAATATGTGAAATGTATTGTAAACTGCAAACTGAAATATATGCATTGCATATGGTTTCATTGAAAATATTCACTTCTTATTTCTGAGGATGGGTTTTCATACAACTCAACCCCTTTCCAAATATGGGAAGAGTTGTAGCGAAAAATGTTATTGAGTTAGGAACAGGACATCGCCTCCATGCCTGCCGGCTACACTGCATTTGGATTCACAGGGACCAGGGGTGAAAAGGCCAGCTTTCTTGGTCCTGAACTCGTTCCCTCAAATTTTAGTTGTTCAGTTCATACATAAGCCAGTGACGCATTTTCTTCCCTGAGGGGTTTCAGAATTATGGGCCACTAAATGCTGCTGATACAAACAGTTCAGCATTACTTGAAAGAATGGAGTTACTGGATTTAATTGCTCAATACCCATTTAAAATATAATCTATCTCATAGCTTCTTTAACTCCCACCTTAGCTTCTTACCCATCCAGTGGACCTTGGCAGGATTTCAAATATTCTGGAATAAAGAAAATGTGCCCAGATTCAATATCATTTGGGGAAAATGAACATATAAAAGTAAAATTTATGGTTTTCTAAAACTAACACTTTTTTCAATTAATTTCATTACTTTTAATTTTTGTTCTATTATTTGTATGTATGTGTGTAGATATATGAGACCAAAAAACCTGGAGAGTTTTAATTTCCTGTCTTTCTTTCTCTCTCTCACTTTACTTGTCTTTCCTGACTCATTTCCTTCCTTCTTTCCATCTTTTCTTCCTTCCTTCTATCCTTCCTTCCTTCCTTCCTCCCTCCCTCCCTCCTTCCCCCCTTCCCCCCTTCCTTCCTTCCTTCCTTTCATGCTTCCTTCCTTTCCATCTTCCTTTCACACATTGGTGCATGCATTCCATTAATACATATTTACTGAACACCTTCCACACACCAGACATTCTTCTAGGCAGTAGATACACAGTAGTGAACAAACTGAGAAAAGTTGCTCTTATATTCTCATGGGAAGAAATATACAATAAACAAGATACATGAGTAAAATATATATTATGTTAGATTTTGGCAGTTCCTAGGGAGAAAACTAAACTAAGAAAGAGAAACGGAGAGTAGGATGGCAATTTTTCAAAGGGCGATCAAGGAATGCCTGTATGTAACAATATGGATCTCAGCCAATGTAAAATGAAGTTATGCTAGGAATTACAAACAGGAACAATTTGGGGTTTGAATCCCTTAACTGCATAGACATTTTGGGTAATTGCAGTGAGGTTCTTTGCATCTTGCATTTCTCATCCCTTAAGTAAGAGTGGTGAGGTCGGGGTGGAGGAGGTAGAGTGCTCTTACTAGTGAAACAATCTGTTGTAACATGCACACATAATACTCAAGATCATTCTTGCCTCCCCCTGTTCTTTCCCAGCCTGTCAGCAAATTCTCTTGGCTCTACCATCAACACATTCAGAATCAGACCCCTGCTCCTGCCTCCCCTGTCACTATTTTGGTCTGAGCCACCATGATGTCTCCTCTAGATCATTGCAATAAATACTTACTGATCTCTCAGCTCCTTGCCCTACACAAGTCAGTTAGAGCCAGGCTTCAGGAAGTCAGATTGTGTCACTCCTTTGTTCAAACCCTGCAATGGCTCCCAGTGATGCAGGGGACCCACCAAGTCCTCCTTGGAGTGGCTTTGGAGGTCACTCTGTCTTTGTCTACAGCTCCTGCTTTCCCTCCCTCCTCTCCCACTTCTTCATTCTTTCTTGAGTGTCATTGCATTTTCCTGCCTCTCATGCCTTTGTTTTATCTTCCCCCTGTCTGCAATGCTTTCTCTGGCTCATCCACCTCACTACCTCCCTCAAGTCTTGGCTCAGCTCTCTGCTTCTTATGAAGCCCGTATTAATTCCCCTAACTGAGCTTCTCAACCTCCTCCCTGCACCATCCCTACCCCTGGCCTCCATAGCATGCTCTACTTTCTTCTTATTTCCATAGTGCTTATCCCTTGTACACATCTGATAAAATTTACTACCTAATTTACTCACTGTGTTCATGTTTGTCTCTGCCTGCTGGAAGGTGAACTTCATGAGGTTAGGAGCCTTGTCTGTTTTGTTCACTGATGTGTCCCTGTGCCTGGAACAGTGCCTGGACCACAGTAGGTGCTCAATTAATATTTGTTCAGAAATAATGTCCTCTCATGTGCATGTGCATACTCTACACACACACACACACGCACACCTATGCATATACACTTTTCTTACCTCTTCATTTTCTTTCATGCTGTGTTAGGTCCACAATGCTTTCCTTCACACTCTTTAGTCATATCCTCCTGTTAAGGGATGAATGTTTGTGTCCCCCACAAATACATATGTTGAAGCCCTAAGCCCCTGTGTGGCTGTATTTGGAGATGGGGCTTCCAAGGAAGTAATTAAGGTTAAATGTGGTCATAACGGTGGGGCCCTGATCTGATAAGATTAGTGTCCTTATAAGAAGAGACACCAGAGAGCTTGCTCTATCTTTCTTTCTGTGTGCAGGCACCAAGGAAAAACCAAGAGAACACAGAGAAAGAAGGTAGCCTTCTGTGAGCCAGGAAGAGAGCCCTCACCAGGAACCAAAATGACCAGCAGCACCTTGATCTGGGACTTCCAGCATCCCAAACCGTGAGAAGTTAAATTCCTGTTGTTTAAGCCACATAGTCTGTGGTGTTTTGTTACAGCAGCCTGAGCTAACACATGAACCCATGCTCTTAGACTTACCTTGAATCTCTCTTCCTCTATTAGGTCATTGCCAACTATGCTAGTCCACAGGGACACCGATTATCCAACTTTCTACCAAACTTTTAGATTCCCCACAATTTTTAGAAGCATTGACTTGCCCTCTATTTTGCGTGCGTGTACCTAGTCACCCCAATAAAATATAAGCTGCTGTATGCAGACAGAGGCTGAGACAAATACAAGTCGATGGTGCTAGGTTCCCCTTGGAGAAAGTAACTGCATCTTCTTCTCAGAGTGTTATAGAATTATTTTGTCGCCCAAGGTCACACAAATGGTGTTGAAATAGAATTGGGCTCTATTCTCATAAATCCTAGTCTAGGAGAATAAATAGCAAAAAGGAGAAGAGGAATATTTATTGGGTAACAGCAAGAGGAAGCCAAGAAAGTTAGAGAAAGAGTGACCTTGTGTTAGACAGAGAGGGCACTTGATGGGGAACTAGAGAAGCATGAAAAAGGGGAGAAGATTGGGTGTGTGGATCATTCAGTGAAAGCTGATGAGATGGTTTTGTTTGTTTTGCCTATTTTAAGGTATTTAATCACTATACTTCAGTCTGTTTTATCTAATTTGTACAAATTTATGGAGTACATGTGCATTTTCTGGGGTACATGTGCATTTTTGTTACATGCATTGATTGCATCGTGGTCAAGTCAGGGATTTTTGGTATTTGTCAGGATGTTTTTGAAGTCCAGCTGAATCTGGGTTTGCATATGGCTCTGGAAGCTTGAAAAAATTACCCTTTACCTTCTATCTTAATTTCCTCATCTAAAAAATAAGGACAGCCTTTGCCTCATCAAATGGGCATGAAGATTACATGAGAGAATGTAGCTGAGGCTGAGAGTAGGGGAGTGCATAAGTAAGAGCCTGTGCTACTGCTGCTGTGGGCCAGTGCGGCAGGAGGGTGAGGGTGAGGCCGCAGTAAGAGGGACAGGGATTGGCAGGTTGCTGTCTGCAACGCACTGAAGCAGGAAGGTGAGATGGGAGAGAGCGTGGAGTAAAGCTATCATAATAGGGGAGGAGAAGCATGGGCATGGGTGGGCTATTCCTGTATTAAATTCTTGCAGTGGAGGGAATTAAAGCATAATGGAATGTATTATTCTGTGCTCTGTTCTGTGGCAGAATTTAGCAGAGCCTCAATTCTTTTTTTTTTTTTTAATTGATAAAGTACCATTGTATCTCTGGGTCTTTATCTGTAAGCACTATTGAGTTGTGAATGTTAAAAAGAAATTAGGGTTACAGCCCCAGGGCACCATCTCTGAAGACCTTTGTGCTGTCGAGGAACAACAGGAGCATTGCTCTATAAAGCTCTGTATCTATTTATCATCTCCCCAGGGGCTGTTGTAGCCAAGTCACAGCGAAGACCTTTTAACATCTTCCCTAAAAGCTTTGTGCCCAGTTTGACTAATTCACAGCCCCGCTCTCCCAGCATAGCTTTTTCATCTCTCTTCTCTTTTACTACAGAGGTTCTCAATTAGGCTTTTGCGGAAAGGCTATCAGGAATAGCAGAGATTTTTCAAAGTACACATGCCAGCAGCCTGTCTGAACAGGCTTCAGTCATGGGTTCCTCATTGAGACAGTTGATCACATGCAGGCCTAAACTTTCCTTTTACACCTTGTAGTCACATCTCTGAATCAGTCACCTGTTATTTTATACCTGAGCTTGTGGAAACCTCCTCTTTGAGTCCTCATCGTCAGATCATGTCTCGTCGGTCCTTCATCTAAATTCCTTAATTAATCTCAGGGATTCAGCTGCATTCCATGAAGAATGGGCTTATAGTTTAGCCCTTATATTTTCAAGAGGTAATTGTAAATAACTTTGCAACTATTTTAAAACTTCATTGAAAAAGAACTGCAGATCCACTAGATGACAGGATTCAATCTTCCAACTTTCTGCAGAGGCTAAAATTTATGGGAAAGAACAGGGAATTCGCTTGTGACTCAGCAGTGTGACCAGCACTACTCCCTGGGAAGGGAAGAAGAAATCAATGGACAAGGGACCTGAAGGGACTTGTCAGACCCCAGGACACTCTACCTAGGAGGATAGAGTCATGACCATTTTCCCACTCCCTTTTAGGGAGGTCCCACAGTCCAAGGCATGGCCTAGATATATTGTTTCCAAGGCAAGAAGAACCCTCTGGGGGTATTGAAGAGAATATTCTAAGAATCTTTTAAATCAACAGCTTAGCCTCTTGACCATGAGGAATGTGCCCTCCCCAGGGATGCCTGGAGAAGACGGAATGTGCACCAGCCGCGGAGCCTTACCTCATCCTCCTCCCGTCTCTGCTGGCCTCTGCTCTGTAACGTGATAGCAGGACCTTTGTGCTCTCTGTATCTGCTCTCTGGGAGAAACTGTGAGCTGGACTAACTTGCCTTTCGTTTCATCCATTTCCACCTCCAGTGACACTCTACACCCTTATGCTGCCCCCTAGTTGCTCGAAGAGTATTTTGGGGATAGGCAGTATATCAAAGTTTGCAAACTGATAGACCACTTACAGATGTTTCATCTCGAGTCTTTTTTATTTTTAATTATAGGTACCAACATTTGTAATTCAGGAGATAAAATTCCACATTTCCAGGTTCTCTTGAAAAACAACTCCAAGTTCTAGCCTCAACAGACCACATTTCCTCAGGTCACAAAGCTATCCCTTTTAGTTGGGTCTGGGCTCTTCAGTTTGCATTTGCTACAATCCTTACTCCTCCCTTTTACTTTAAATGGATCTGTTTTACTAGATCATTATGACTATTTTTACCCATGTGCCCATAGATCATTTTCGACCTCCAGTGTAGAGATATGATTAAGCACACAGACATTCATCAGATTTGAACCTCAGCCTTAGTGATGGAGAGAACATTACTTAACACCAGACATCATATTTTTCTCATCTGTGAAATGGGGATAATAATACCTACCTCATAAGTTGTTATGGAATTAGATAATTTCTGCACAGCACCTAAGAATAGTATCTGGCTCATAGAAAACTTCCCATTAAGGACGGCTCTTTCTAATACACCTAATAGGGCACTCCTCTCAAAAGCTGTTCCAGGTGTCATGCACCTTTCCTAACCCCTTCCCTCACTTCTCATCTTCTCTCTGGTTGTTCCCAACTCATAAAAACAATCAATCAAAAATTTTAGTCACTCACTCAAAAATTTGGAATAGAATATCAACTAAGTGCCAGTCAATGTGTTAGGTACGGGGGAAAATAGTGCAGGGGAGATACATCTCTATGAGTAACACAAAGTCTCATGTCTCAAGGAGTTCATGACCTATGGTATAATAATGTTATATGTGATCAGAACTATAATTGAGCTATACATTAGGCCATGGATCACTAAGGAGGGCACAGCAATGAAAACAGTTGTTATAATCACTTGTATTTGTAAGTAGTGTGCTCCTAAACCAGCTCTCCTCCAAAAAAAAACAAAACAAAACAACTCTCTGTCACATTTGTCAATTTCTATAGTGTAAATACTTCTACTATGGCCAGTTTCAAGCTACCAATGGCTCAACGATTGACTCTTGTGGCTCCAGCACACACTGTTTGTACATACCTTTTTTATACAAAGCCCCTTTACAAGCACTCTCCTAGCCATAGCTCTGAGCAGGCACAGCTTGGATTATTGTCTATTTCAGAAAGAGAAACTGAGGCTCAGAGAGTTTTGTGACTGTCCCAAGATCACAGAGATGGTGAATACAGTACCAAAGAACAAGGCTTCTCACTTGACTGCAGCCCTGCCCTGTACAGTGCTCCTTCAACTTTTTGGGACACTGGAGAATTAAAAAAATTTACTACCTATGCACCTTTTGTACAAAGCTACAAGAAGACATGTTTCACTAAAATGTGGGAGTAACTAAGAAAGAGGAAGAATGTGATGCAGGCAATAGGCATCCTGCACAAGAGAAAAGTGCAGGGAATTTCAAGGATGTCATTGGTTTTTTACTAAAAAGTCATCTTATGGGGACAGCCTTGCAATAGGTCTAACGTTCAACAGATTCAGACTGAAGTATGTCAGAGGCCCGGAGGAGAATTTTTTCAAGAAGAAAAATTAAATAAAAGGTTGCAGATGTATTCAGAGGAAATGTACCAAACTGGGAAGAGTTTGGTGGTGAATAACAAGTAGATGCAAAAATAAGCAAATGAAAAGACAGAATAATGATTAACTCTAGGAAAAATCAAAGCAGGACAAATAAGGTAACATCATTGTAGCATAATATAGATCTCAGATTTCAGTAGCATTTACATAGTTAGAATAATGTAAACATTAAATATTGATTTAACCAATATGATGATGTAACCATATTTAGGAGAAGAGGAAGTAAGGGTTTATTCAGGTGGTGGGAGTTGAGGGGTGTGTGTGTGTGTGTGTGTGTGTGTGAACAGTTAAATATTATCACATCTAAAACTAAAAATGAAAAATCAAGGGATAGAATTATGAGCTTACATTTGACTAAATCAAAATGAAAATACTTATATATCAAAAATTTATTGTAGGTAAAGTCAAAGGGCAAGATTGGGAGATAATATGTACAACACATTTAGCAGATAAATAATTTGTTTCTAGATATATAAAGAATTTTACATGTAGCTCACGGATGAGTAGAATCAATATTGTGAAAATGACCATACTGCCAAAAACAATCAACAAATTTAATGCAGTTCCCATCAAAATACCACCATCATTCTTCACAGAACTAGAAAAAACAATTCTAAAATTTATATAGAAACAAAAGAGAGCCCATATAGCCAAAGCAAGACTAAGGCCTTTATTTCATTCCTTTGTGTGTTTAGGTGTGTTGCTGTGCTGACTAGAAATTACAGCATAATGTTAGAGAAATTGTACTAGCAATTAAAATGTCAATTTATGTGAATTTGAAAAAATGCATAAAAATCCTACATGTAAACAAGAAAAAAATACAACTCAAAGAAAAATAAGCAAAAGCTCTGGACAGGAAATACAGAGAAGAGTCACATATGGTCAATACATATATAAAAAGATATTTAGCTTCATTAATGATCAGAGAACTAAAGAAACAATACAATTTTACATTTGTCAGATTGGTAACAATCTAAAAACTTTTTTCATTGTCAATTTTGTACAATTGTAAAAAACACGTAACACACAATTTACTATCTTAAACATTTTGAAGTGTGCAGTTTAGTACTTTAAGTATGTTTTCGTTATTGTGAGCAAATACCCACAACGTTTTCGTCTTGCAGATCTGAAACTCTATACCCATTAAACAAAACCTTCGCTTTACACGCCCCCTGCCCCCGCAATCTGTCCGTGGTAACCGCCATTCTGTTTTCTGTTTCTATGAATTTAACTACTTTAGATTCCTGATATAAAAGGAATCATGCAATATTTGTCCTTTTGTGCTGGCTTATTTCAGTTATCATAATGCCTTCAAGGTTCATCCATTTGTAGCATGTAACAGGATAGCCTTCTTTGGAAGACTGAATAATATCCTAATATATATATTATCTAACATAATATATTATATAACATATAACATAATATATTATATAACATATAATATATTATATAACATATAATATATTATATAACATATAATATATTATATAACATATAATATATTATATAACATATAATATAATATATTATATAACATATAATATAATATATTATATAACATATAATATATTATATAACATATAATATATTATATAACATATAATAGATTATATAACATATAATAGATTATATAACATATAATAGATTATATTATATAACATATAATATAATATATTATATAACATATAATATAATATATTATATAACATATAATATATTATATTATATAACATATAATATATTATATAACATATAATATATTATATTATATACATTATCCTAATATATATACACACATACACATATACATATATGTATATGTATACACACATACACACATACACACACATACACATGTATGTGTATACATATACAAATACAATAGAGAGCTATTTGTATATGTATACACACATACACATATACATATATGTATACACGCATACACATGTACATATATGTATATGCATATGTATACATATAGATGTATACACACATAGATATATATACATACCACATTTTGTTTATTCATTCAACCATTGATGGACATTTGGGTTGTTTTCACCTCTTGGCCATTGTGAATAGTGCTGCTGTAAACAAGGGTATACGTATATCTCTTTGAGATCCTGCTTTCTTTTTTCCTGGATATTTACCCAGAAATAGAATTGCTGGATCATGTGGTAGTTCTACTTTTAATTTTTTAAGGACTCTCCATATTGTTCTCCATACTGGTTGCGCCTTTTTGCAACCCCATTAATAGTGCACAAGGGTTCTAATTTACTCCATGTTCTTGTAAACAATTGTTATTTTTTGATTTTTTTATACTAAGCATCTTAAAGAGTGTGAGGTAATATCTCATTATGGTTTTGATTTACATTTCTCTGATGGTTTGTGATGTTAAGAATCACTTTAGTCTTTAATGGTCATTTGTATATCTTCTTTAGAGAAATGTCTAAGTCTTGTGCTTATTTTTTAATCAGGTTATTTGATTTTTTTGTTGTTGAGTTGTAGAAGTTCTTTATATATTCTGGATACTAACCCTTATCAAGTATATAGTTTGTAAATATTTTTTTCCATTTCATAGGTTGCTTTTTAACCTACTGATTATGTCTTTTGATGCACAAAAGTTGTTAAATGATATTATTTCATTAGTTTATTTTTGCTTTTGTTGCCTGTGTTTTGGTGTCATAGCCAATAAATCACTGCCAACCAAGACCAATGCCATGTAGTTTTTTCTCTATGTTTTCTTTTAGTAGTTTTATAGTTGTAGGTCTTATGTTTAGGTCTTTAATCCATTAAGAATTAATATTTTTATGTGGTATAAAATAAAGTTCAACTTTATTATTTTTTAATGTTGATATAAGTTTTTGCGGTACCATTTATTAAAGAGAATGTCCTTTCCCCATCGTCGAGTAGTTTTGGCACTCTTGTTGAAGACCCTTGGACCATATACATGATGATTTATTTCTGCGCTCTCTATTGCATTTCACTGGTCTATTTTTCTGCCTTTATACCGGTACCACACTGCTCTGATTACTGTAGCATTGGAATATATTTTGAAATCAAGAAGTGTGGGTCATATAACTTTGGGTTTTATTTTTTCAAAATTATTGTCTATTTGGGGTCCCTTAAGCTTCCATCTGAATTTCAGGACAAATTTTTCTATTTCTGAAAAAAAAGGCCACTGGATATTGATAGGAAATGTGCTGGATATGTAGATTGCTTTAGATAGTATGGACATTTTAATATTAAGTCTTTCAATCCATGAACGTGGGATGTCTTTCCATTTATTTGTGACTTCTTCAATTTCTTTCACCAGTGTTTTATGGTTTTCAGTGTACAGATTTTCCACCTATTTGGTTAAGTTTATTCCCAGGCATTTTATTATTTTGACACCGTTGTAAATAGGATTTTTCAAAATTTCCTTTTTAGTTTGGTCATTATTTGTGTATAAATATTACTGATTTTTGTATGTTGATTTTGTATGCTGAAACTTTACTGAATTATTTATTATATCAAATGTGTGTGTTTAATCCTTGGGTTTTTTTTTTTTTTTTTACACATAGGATCATGTCACCTGCAAACAGAGAAAATTTTACTTCTTCTGTTCCAATTTGGGTGTCTTTAATTTCTTTTTCTTGCCTAATTGCTCTGGCTAAGACTTCCAATGCTATGTTGAATAGGAGTGGTGGCAGTGGGCACCCTTGTCTTGTCCTCATTTTAAAGAAAAACTGTCAGTCTTTTACCATTGAGTATAATGTTAGCTGTGAGCTTTTCATAAATGACCTTTATTATGTTGGGTTAGTGTCCTTTTATTCCTTGTTTGTTAAAGATGTTAAATAATGTCATATGATGTCAAAGATGAGGTGAGATTCATTTTTGAAAAGCCTTTCTGGAGAGCAGTTCTGTAGCATCTATTGAAACTGAAAATGTGTATACTTTGTGCCCCAGAAGTTTAACTTGTTGGCATCTACTCTAGTACACACTAGCACTAATGTGCAAGGAAATAAACATGAAAGGTTCATTGAATTATTGTTGTAATAGCAGAAATATTGGCAGCCACAGCAATGGCCATCTGTTTCATTTTATTTTTTAAGTTTAAAAAATAATTTCAACTTTTATTTTAGATTTGGAGGTACATGTGTAGATTTGTTACTTGGGTACGTTGTGTGATGCTGAGGTTTGGAGTATGATTGATCTTGTCACCCAGGTCCTGAGCATAGTAGTTTTTTAACATTTGCCCCCCTCCTTCCTCCTTCTAGTAGTCCTCAGTGTCTGTTGTTGCCATCTTTATGTCCATAAGTACCCATCCTTTGGCTCCCACTTATAAGTGAGTAATTTGGTTTTCTGCCTTAATTTGCTTAGGATAATCGCCTCCAGCTGCATGCATGTTGCTGCAAAGGACATGATTTCATTCTTTTTTACAGCTGCATAGTATTCCATGGTGTATATATACCACACTAAAAAAAAATCCAAACCACCATTAATGGGTACCTAGGCTGATTCCATGTCTTTGCTACTGTGAATAGTGCTACAATGAACATACAAGTTCATGTGCCCATTTGGTAGAAAGATTTATTTTTCTTGGGGTACATACCCAGTAATGGATTTGTTGGGTCAAGTGGTAGTTGTGCTTTAAGTTCTTTGAAATCTTGAAACTGCTGTCCACAGAAGCTGAACTAATTTACATTTCCACCAATAGTGTAAAGTGTTCCTTTTTTTTCCTGCTGCCTCACCAGCATCTGCTGTTTTTTGTATTTTTAATAATAGCCATTCTGACTGGTGTGAGATGGTATCTCATTGTGGCTATTTGATTTACATTCCTTTGATGATTAATGATGTTGAGTATTTTTTCATATGTTTGTTGGTCATTTGTGGTTTTTTTTGAGAAGTGTCTGTTCATGTCTTTTGCCCATTTTTAATGGTTTTTTTTTTGCTTGTTCAATTATTTGAGTTCCTTATAGATTCTGGATATTAGACTTTTGTGGGGCATAGTTTACAAATATTTTCTCCCATTTTGTAGGTTGTCTGTGTACTCTGTGAATAGTTTCTTTTGCTGTGCAGGAAGTCTTTAGTTTAAATAGGTCCCATCTGTCAATTCTTGTTTTTCTTGCTTTTTTTTTTGAGTGCTTAGTCATAAAGTATTTCCCAAGGCTGATGTTCAGAATGATGTTTCTTAGGTTTTCTTCTAGGATTCTTATAGTTTGAGGTCTTGCATTTAAATCTTTAAGCCACCTTGAGTTAATTTTTGTAGGTGCCCACTTTTATTCTTCTGCATATGAATAGCCAGCTATCCCAGCACCATTTATTGAATAGGGAGTCCTTTCCCCATTGTGTACTTTCACTGACTTTATCAAAGATCAGATGACTGTAGATGTGTGGCTTTATTTTTGGGTTCTCTATCCTGTTCCATTCATCTATATATCTGTTTTTGTACCAATATCATGCTGTTTTGGTTACTGTAGCCTCAGCGTATAGTTTGAAGCTGTGTAACGTGAGGCCCCCAGCTTTGTTCTTTTTGCTTAGGATTGCTTTGGCTATTTGGGCTCTTTTATGGTTCTATATAAATTTTGAAATAGTTTTTTCTAGTTCTGTGAAAAATGATGTTTGTAAGTTGATAGGAATACTGTTGAATCTGTAGATCACTTTGGGCAGTAGGGCCATTTTAACAATATTAATTCTTCCAATCCATCAGCATAGAATATTTTTCCATTTGTTTGTGTCATCTCTGATTTCTTTCAGCTGTTTTTTGTAGTTCTTCTTGTAGAGATCTTTCATCTCCTTAGTTAGAGGTATTCCTAGGTGTTTCATTTGTGTGTGTGTGTGTGTGTGTATGTGTGTAGCTATTGTAAATGGGATTGTGTTCTTAATTTGGCTCTCAGCTTGAATGTTATTGGTGAATAGAAACAATAATAATTTTTTATACATTGATTTTGTATCCTAAAACTTTACTGAAGTTATTGAATAGTTCCAGACTCCATGGAGTCTTTAGGGGTTTCCAGGTACAGAATCTTATTGGCAGCAAAGAGAGATAATTTGACTTCTTCTTTTCCTATTTAGATGGCTTTTATTTCTCTCCCTTGCTTGATGGCTGTGGCAAGGATTTCAAGTACTATATTAATAGGAATGATGAGAGTTGGTATTCTCATCTTGTTCCAGTTCTCAAGGGGAATGCTTCCAGCTTTTGCCTGTTCAGTATGATATTTACTGTGGGTTTGTCATAGATGGTTCTTATTATTTTGAGGTATATTCCTTCAATGTCTAGTTTTTTTGAGGGCTTTTATTATGCAGAGATGTTGGGTTTTATCAAAAGTTTTTTCCATGTTTAGTGAGATGATCTTATGTTTTTTTTTTAATTCTGTTTATGTGGCAAATCACATTTATTGATTTGCACATGTTAAAAGAACCTTGCATCCCAGGAATGAAGCCTACTTCAACATGGTGAATTAACTTTTTGATATGATGCTGGATTCAGTTCACTTTTATTTTGTTAAGGATTTTCACATCTCTATTCATCAGGGATATTAGCCTGTAGTTTTCTTTTTTCATTGTGCTTTGCCAGGTTTTGGTATCAGGGTGTTGCTGTCTTTGTAGAATAAGTTAGGGAGGAGTCTTTTCTCCTTGATTATTTGGAATAGTTTTAGTAGGACTGGAACCAGCTGTTTTTTGTACATCTGGCAGAATTCAGCTGTGAATCCATCTGGTCTGGGCTGGGTTTTTTGTTGTTGTTGTTGCTGGTAGGTTTTTTTAATAACTGATTCAATTTTGGAACTCGATATTGGTTTGTTTAGGGTTTTAATTTATTCCTGATTTGATCTTGAGAGTTTGCATGTTTCCAGGAAGTTATCCATTTTTTCTAGATTTTATAGTTTGTGTGCATAGAGGTGTTCGTAATAGTCTCTGAGGATCTTTTGTTATTTCTGTGGGATCAGTTGTAACTTCACCTTTGTCATTCTGATTGTGCTTATTTTGATCTTCTCTCTTTTTCTTTGTTAATCTAGCTAGTGGTTTATAGATCTTTCTTTGTGTGGATTTTTGGGTGTCAATTTCACTCAGTTCTTCTCTGATTTTAGTTATTCCTTTGTGTCTGCTAGCTTTGGTGTTAGTTTGTTCTTTTTTTCTAGTTTGTCTAGGTGTAATGTGAGATTGTTAATATGAGATCTTTCTTTCTGAAGTAGGTGTTTAGCACCATAAACTTTCCTCTTAGGTCTGCCTCTGTTTTCTGTCTGAGATTTTGGTATATTGTGTTTCTGTTTTCATTTATTTCAAACAATTTTTTGATTTCTACCTTAATTTCACTGTTTACCCAAAAGTCATTCAGGAGCAAGTTGCCTAATTTCCATGTAATTGTGTGGTTTTCAGAGAACTTCACGTTGGTTTCTGTTTTTATTCCACTGTGGTCTGACAGTATGGTTGGTATGATTTCAACTTTTTTGAATTTATTGAGACTTGCTTTATGGTTGAGCACATGGTAAATCTTGGAGTTTGTTCTGTGTGCATATGAGAAGAATGAATATTCTATGGGTTGTGGGTGGAGTGTTCTGTTAGGTCCAATTGGTCAAGTGTTGAATTTAAGTTTATAATGTTTTTGTTAGTTTTCTGCCTTGATGATCTGTCTAACGCTGTCTGTGGGATGTTGAAGTTCCTCACTATTATTGTGTATCTGTCTAAGTCTTTTCATAGGTCTAGAAGCACTTGTTTTATGAATCTTGATGCTCCAATATTGGGTGCATATATATTTAGGATAGTTATGTCTTCTTGTTAAATTGAACCCTATATCATTATGTAATGCCTTTCATTGTCCTTTTTTACTGTTGTTGCTTTAACATCTGTTTTATCTGATATAAGAACAGTGACACCTGCTCTTTTTTGTATTCTGTTTGCATAATACCTACTATGAAATATTGTAAGGCTCTTTAAAAGGCAGGAGGCCACTCTCTTTGTTCTAACATACATAGAGCTCTAAGACATTTGTCTGAGTGAAAAAGTTACACTGCTCAAAACCAATGTACATAGTGACAAAATTCACATGTAGGTATAGCTGAGCCTCAGCTTCAACCAAGGTAGCCCATATTATCCATGCATTTTTCCCCATCTAACTCTCTTAATAGTTGTGTGGGGTAAAACATATTATCCTTACTTATTTACAATGAGAAACTGAGCTGAGAGAGGTTAAGTAGCTTAAGTTTACACAACTAGTCAGAGATGACAACTTCAGTTTCACTGCAAAGCCTATACCCCTAACCATTATGATATGTTGACTTTACAATTTACAGAGCTGTATTGTGGTCAAATGAGACAATATATGGGAAAACACTGTAAGACTGTAAAAATGTAGGACACTAAGAAGGGACCATAAAAAAAAAGTTGGCCAGGTGCAGTGGCTCATGCCTGTAATCCCAGCACTTTGGGAGGCTGAGGTGGGATGATCACCTGAGGTCAGGAGTTCAAGACCAGCCTGGCCAATGTGGTGAAACCCTGTCTCTACAAAAATACAAAATTAGCTGGGCATGACAGCGGTTGCCTGTAATTCCAGCTACCTGGGAGGCTGAGGTGGGAGAATTGCTTGAACCCGAGAGGCAGAGGTTGCAGTGAGCCGAGATCATGCCACTGCGCTCCAGCCTGGGCAACAGAGTGAGACTCCATCTCAAAAAAAAAAAAAAAAAAAGGTTGAATCTGTGAGTGAGAATAAAGGAAGTCATTGTACCATTTGAGAAAGTATTTTAACATATTTTTTTCATTGCCTTGTTAAAAATGTGACTCTTTCTAGGTTAAATAATATTTGGGCATTGGGAGCCAACTTAGCACAGTTTTATTTTGGCATTGATATGTGAGATAAGCAGAGGTTAGAATTTTCCTGAAAGATGCAATTACAGTAAGTCTTCACTTAATATCATCCATAGGTTCTTGCCAAACTGTGACTTTAAGTGAAACAACTTAGAACAAACCAATTTCATTTTTCTCTTCTACATGGAATAAAACAAGCTTATTTGAGGATCCTTTTTAGGTCATTTACTTGAAGTTGCAGTTTCCAAGAGCCTATGAATGAGGTTAAATGTGGACTTACTGTAGATGTAGAAGAGAACAGAGCCTGAGGACCAGCATTTGGAATCTGAATCCTTCCCAAAGTAGGGCAATTCTGTTTCTTATTGGTATTAAAATCTCCCTAAGAGATGTGGAGAATATTGAAATAAAAAGCAATTTTGAAAATACTGTATATGCCCCAGAGAAAAGAAATGCATTGGATGCCAATAGCTGAAGGTAGAAGAGAGTGGTAGAAGCATATTTTATTGAATGATTAAAGAGTTTGACTCATACTATAGGATAATTTATTGACGATACTGATAGAGGAATCGATCACAAAATGTGATATTAATAATCTTTCTTTGTATTTTTAAAATTTACTGATCTGGAATTTTGAAATGTAAAAGAATGGACAGATGTAAAAAACTAATTTCTTTGTGATTTCTGTTAACCATTCACTTAGACTTCCAAATGGAACAAAAATGTAAACATACTATTGAACATTTGTGAAGTTCTTACATCTCTTTACCGATCTGCATAAACTTTTCAGAAAAGAAAACTACAATTTCTGTTTTGCCCATGAGAAAATATATTAGACCAACTAAAACAAAATATTACATAGTGATTCATAAATATTGAAGAAAAATTTCTAATCTTAGGAATTACAGAAATGATAATTGGGGGGTATAATCCAGTTAATACATTTGATTAATATATAATTACTGAATAGTAATATTAATTTAGAGACATTCCCTAGGAATAATATAGAAATTTATGTTAGTGTTCTTGTGATTTCCCTACTTTTCTCTCATTCATATAAATCTAAATTTTGAATTTTAAGGATGAATAATCATAACACATATGTTTCTGGTATTCACCCATTTCATTTAGTCATTTATTCACTCATTCATTTAATCCACACCCAAGAGACTAATCCAGCACAGATAATGTGCCAGGCACTGTTCTAGATGTTGAGGATACAGTGGCAAAAAGGTAGAAGAGGACTCTGACCTCACCTAGCTCAGAGTTGATGACACTGGACAATTAAATCATAATGAGCAAAGGTTGTGATGGGACCAGTCTGTGAAACATACAAGTGTGTCATAGAGCTTATTAGAAATACTTGTGAAGAAGACTTAACTTTTGAAATCACACAGGAAGAGGGTTTATACTGTTGCTGGTCATTTATAGGGCGGCCATTTCTCCTGAAGCTAGAACTTGGAAACATCCATAATATTTATATTAGAAGGAAAATTAATCATTTCCCCTAATTCAGGTTGTCTTTTATTTTAAAGGAAGAGAGTTGAGATGGCTGCAGACTTGTGCCATGCTGGCCCAAACTTGTGACACTAACCCAAAATCGAAGAATTTAACATGCTGAAATTAAAATATCCCTGCCCAACACCAAGACTAAAATATCCCTGCCCAATATATGAATTGTTACGTGTGTTTAACACCAGGCAATTGGCATTTAAAAATGAGTTATAAAGGAATCTGGAAAATCCTGTTAAAATTTAACTATCAGTTATGTATCTTTTTTTAAAAAGCTTGTGACTTTACAATTATATTTAACTTGGAGCAAATAGACTCCTTACTTTCTCATCTTAAAAGAAGATAAATGTCTTAACTCTTTTGTGACCAAGTGCAGTGACAAAATACCACATAAATAACTACTGGCTGTCAAAAAAATCAAGTTATACCAATTGCAAAATACTGATAAATAGAAATTGGGTAATGATGAAGGGTTCATTGATTTAATCCTCCAAACTAATTTTGCATAAAATTTAGAACTTCTTTAAATTCAAAATTGGGGAAGAAAACATTAAGACATGGAAAACCATGCAAAGATAAAGATTGTTATACCCTTTCCTTTAAACATGATTATTCTTTTTTATACATGTGTTGGAAATAAATCAGTGTTGTATCTAGGCAGAAGAAAGTAAGACATTGCAGTATTTATGTTCTTCATGTTTTTATCCTCCTATAATAGTCACATTAATCCAAATTTAAAAGATGCCAATAGCTGGGCTTAAGAGACATCATCACACTGAAAAGGTGGACTCTGTTGTAACCACTTATTAAAAACAAACCAAGCCAAACTTGTGGTTTAAAAATTGAGAACAGATGATGCTTAATAAGCATGAAATGCTTTTGGTGTTGCAAACGAGAACCAGGTGTGGAGATAAGCAGCTTGGAGCTGAGCACGGCCACCTACAAGCAGGACTCATCCTCCTCCCAGGGGGTGATGGTTGGTCATCAACTATGTAGCTCATTAACTACACAGCTCGGCCACCGTGTTGTCTTCCTGGGGTGAGATGTACAACCGCAAAGGAAAATAAAACACTGAAAAGTAGAGAATGTGAAGGCTGTCTTTCAAAAAATACATATGTGTTCTGAAATCAAACTACCTAAGAGAAGACAGGGAGGAAATGTATGAATTGTTCAATGGCAAAGCAATTAATAGAACTTCTGGACAAGTGGCTGCTTCTCCCTTATCCAATACCTAACTGCTTTGTCATGACAGAAGTCAAATTATCAGCAAGGTGATTCTGACTTTTACCTTAATAAACCTCCTTGGTGAATCCTGGGGGGAAACTGGGTGACCTCAGGCAAGTAAGTTCATCTCTATGGGTCTCAGTTTTCTCATTTATAAAATGCTGGAGTGGAAACTTATTATGTAAGGTCACTCTCAGCAATAGGACTCTATGGCATTATCTCCGAAATGTGTATATGCAGGGAAACAATTAAAATATTTTTCTATTTCACTCAGATGTTCAGCTTTAGCCAGCAAAACATTCTACATTACTGGCTCTGACTTCAAAGGAGCAAGATAAACAAATATGTTGCCCAAGAAAAAAACCAGTCCTGCTCCTTTCCCCTCTATTCATATAAACTCATTAAAGAAGAGTTCTCTGAGCATGACTATTTCCCAGTTGTTCCACAATGGGTCAATATTAAATTGTCTACACCTGGTTGAGAAACAGTAGAAGGTAGACAGTCTGTGGAGACATGGACTCTGCTCTCAAGGGGCGACAATGCCATGGCCTAGTTGTTGCCAGTTTTCACCAGATGCCAGAGTCATCAGAAGGGCTTATTCAAACATAGATAACTGGGAACCACCTTTAGAGTTTCTAATTCATTGAGTCTGGGGTGGGGACCAGGGATTTGCATTTCTAACAAGTTCCCAGGTGATGCTGATGCTGCTGGTCCAGGACTCTCACTTTAAGAATCATTGCACACTGAATCTAAAGAATCCAGTAATCCAGGTGAACAAACATGACATCGTTATCTCAGCATCATCATCATCATTATTATTTTTTTGTGGCTTAGAACATAGTATTCTGTCAGGCACAATGGAATACGAACAACTTCAAATATGGAGATATCTTTTAAACTATATCCCTACTGTTTTTCTGCATTTGAATAGGACTAAAGGCATTCTGAAGAGGAGCCTATTGACAAGTGATAGTGTTGACATTAAAGATGTATCAGCTGCCACCACCAACTCTGTTCTCAGAATGGACTACACAAGTGGTGGGGCTCCTTGACTACAATCATTAAGAATTTCAAGACAGTAACAATAGAGCATCAAACCAAACATAGGGCCCTGTGTGACTATCTAGGTCACATGTCCCTTAAACTGACCTAACATGTTCTTATCCTATAATTCTAAGGACAAGAGTATAGTTCTGTAAGAACCAGCTGCTAGGAGTCAGAGAGTGGCTTTGAAGGACAGCAGAGAAGACAGGGACAAGCGCGGCTTCCACCTGGGAGTAACTGAGAACATTTGTCATCAATAGCAACAATGAAGTACCTACTGAATTCAGTCCATTGTATCATTCAAAGAGAGTTAATATGCAGCTCTTACCCTATAGGAATTCTTAATTTGTTTAAAAAATATAATATATATTTAAGGAATAATATATTTTAAGCCTCATGAGAACAAGGAAATATCAGTTTTATTTACCATTTTATTCCTAGGATCTAGCATGATGCTTAAACAAAGTTGATGTTCATTATTAAGTAAAGGAGAGAATTTATCTCTAGTGGCTATCCTCTGTCAACGGGCAGGGTATCCAGTTGAAGAATGAGAATTCTCAATACCTAGAATGAGAATGTTTACTGATCCAGGACAGAAAGCAGTGAGTTCCTGTAACATTTTCAGTACTTAACAAATATTTGCTGAATTAAGTTGGATTGAATTGCAGAAGACAACAGCACAGACCAGTGAAGAAAGAACTCATCATCAAAATAAAGAATACAGTCTGAAGCCATAAGACCTGGATTTGAATACCAGTTCTATCAACCTCCATTTGTAAAAGTTAATACCACTGGCCACTTTCCTGGAATCTCACTTTCAATCTTTTGACCTAAAGAAATGAGAAAAGTGAGAGAGTATAATGGTAGCATACCCCAATTTCCTGGACACTTAGTTAATCCTGTTGTTCTACAGAAATACAAAGAGGTGAGGAGAGTCAATTTCAGGCTTTGGTAGTTGGTGAATTCTTCCTGGTATGAGAAGGGCAAAATTAGAGATGCAGAATTTAGCTATGGAGCTGTGAGAGAGTGGAAAAAGATGGAGAATATGGCTCTCGAATTCAAATACTTATACAAGGGCCACTGAAAGTCACATTAACTATTTGGAGCTGTGGCTTGAACAGTACAAGCCCCATCTATAAGTGGTAGTCAGTTGTCACTGAGGGTCCACCATGGCCCAAATCCATACATTTACATGAAATCTCCCAATTTTTAAATGCTGGCAACTAACTTGAAATTAGAAAAACACTATGGTGTTGAGAAAAATGGTGATTGTAGGCAATATCTAGACTCTGGGCTGCCATTTAACCATCTCTGGCTTAGAAGTAGGGATAAGCTTGCAGTGGTTGGGCTAAGATGAAGCCGGGGCAGGGGTGTGGCCAGAGCAGTGAAGAAGAGTCAGAATCCTTGAGTGGCAGGCTCTGTTGGACATCAGAGATCAAAGACAATTTTTTGACACATATTCCACTCATATATTCATTCATTTATTTGACAAAGATTTAGGAGTGTTAAGCAATGTGTACATATAATGAGTGTCTTAGTTGTCTTGGGCTACCACAACAACAGAAATTTATTTCTTAGGGTGCCAGTATGGTCAGGTTCTCAGGAGGGCTCTTTTTCTGGCTTTGTGCTCACTTTACCTTTTCTTTGTGTATGCTGAGAAGAGAGATAAAGAAAGAGGAGAAAGATCTCTGGTGTCTCTTCTTATAAGGGCACTAATCTCATCTGAGGGCCTCATCCTGATGACCTCATCCAACCCTAATTATCTCCCAAAGGTCCCAATTCAAAATACCATCACATTGCACGTTAGTGTTTCAACATGGATGTAACTGGGGGCACAAACATTCAGTCCACTGCAATGGGTAAGATGTGACCCTACTCTAAGGCAATGTTTAGTCTAGATAGGAAGATTATATTATATTTTTATTTGTTTTTGAATCTTTGGTAGAACATGCTATACAAAGCTACAGATAAACCATTGAGAATCCAGGTAAATAATTTCTCTGATGTACTGGGCTAGGAGAAGAAGATATCTGAAAAATCTTTAAGGAGAAGGTGGTTTTTATGACATGTTTCAAGTCTTTAAATTTGAACACAAAGAGATGGGTGGGGATTCTAGACAAGGGGACAATATGAATAAAGACATAAATGTTGAAGGGAAATACTTAATAGGAAACACTGGGAAGTTACATTTGGCTGAACGCAGGATGGCCATTGGCCAGATCCTGGAGTGATTTTAATTTTAGGCTAAAGTGTTTGGATTTTATTGTATGGGTAGTGGGGCCATTGATTTTTGGGTGAGGAGTAATATAATAAAAACCATGTTGTGGGATGATTCATCTGAGTGTAATGCATTGGATGGTGTGGAAGAAAGGGTAAAGAGAGCCATGAAATTCTTAGAGATCCTAGTAATATTCTTGGTGAGAATAATAGATGCTTGACCGGTGTAGTGGCAGAGGTAATGGAGAAGGAAAAAATTACACCAGACATTTAGGTTTCCAGCTGGATTCACTAACAGTCTCATGAAGGGGCAAGGGGAAAAAATAAAGACGACTCTGGGGTTTTGAGACTGGGTAATTAGATGATGCTGGTGACCTAAACACAAACTAGGAATGTAAGATCATGAACAGGCCTGGAAGGGGGCCTGGGGGAGAGTAAGGGTCACATGTGGAATTCTACTGTGTGCATGCTGAGTTTGAGGTACCAGTATGACGGTTAGATTGAACAGAGAAAGAGATAATATTAGATAGGAGAGGCAGGGCCACTGATGTACATTTTGGAGTCATTTACATAGTGGCAATCTATGATATCCTGGTAGGGAATAGAGTGTCCCAAGTGAGACTGGAGGAAGAAGAGAAGATGGCTGATGACCCGATCATACTGATGGGGGAATTCAGTCATTTAGGGACCAAAAGAGGTTGAAGACCAGCAAAAGGGTGGTAGTCAGGGAGATCAGAAAGAATCACGGTGGTGCAGGGTCTCATATGCTTTTGCAAAGAAAGAGTTTCCAGAAAGAGCGCAGGTGATCAATGGTATTGAGTGTTACCAGGACGTCAAGGAGCTTGAGGACTGAGAATTGGCCACTGGGTTTGGCAATGAGAAACTCACTGGTGACTTTTGAGAATAGCATCAGAAGCAGCTGAGTTGCAACATTTTCCCTAAGCTATAAAGAGGTCCTGCTTTGACCGCCTTTCACCCTCACAGGTATGTATATGTGCATTTACATAACAAATCCAATGCACACACACACAATAAATTCAACTCAGTGCAGAAGGAGAATAGACATTCACAAATGCTTTATACAATTTTTCTTGTCATCTTAGGCACAAGGGGCACAAAATGCTCTTGTATTCAGTCTAAAAACTGAATGCTTATATTTAAAACTAGCCAATAAATAGTTAAAAAATTCTTTCAGTTCCATTCCAATTCAGAAGATCTATGCATCTCAAAGGACACAAACTACAGGGCCGAAGCTGCCCTGTAAGTAGGACCCCCTGATTGAACAATCGCTCAGTGAGGAGCCTCTTTTCTGTGAGCTATCTGGCAGCCAGACATGTTTATGAGCTTTTTAAAAAGCCCTGCAAAGGCCTAAAGGCTGAAGGCATACAGAGAAGACATGTATTTACCTTGTAATGCCAATATGGAGATCTCACTCACATCCCAGGCCTTACTTCTATGGGACAGGAAAATTGCAACTGATGATGGTTGCAAATGCCAACAATTGCTGGGATTTTCTGCACCAGGTTTTGTTTTCAAATAGTGCTGAAAGTGTTAATGTACCCAAAAGCTGCCAATTGCAGCCTCAACCTGGATGAACCCTGGGCTGGGAGAGAGGCATTGGAGAGCCTTTTATTCATTTGGTAATTATACAGCAATGGATATTTCACGCATTTTTAGAAATGGAGAGTGGAATGAGGAGAGAAATGCAGGCACTTAGTGCAGGGAAAGCTCTGGTCGCGTGGCTTGGCATCATGGGCACCACGGCAGTCTCTTTGGGGGCAGCCTGTCCAGCCCTGGCCCCGGCTGGCACAGGGTATGAGAAAAAACGAGAGGGCAACCTGGCATTTTCTTATTTGTTTATTTTAACCTCTCAGGCCTGCTGAAAACAACTGGAATCTTCTGAGTTGCTGAAAGCACATAGGCTTCTTTGATGGAGCTCTTGGCCCCTGCCACCCTAAAGCCAAAGGGGCTCATTGATTAAGTTGTCGGGTGACCATGCCCTCTGTGAATTCAGGTCAGGCCAGAGGCAATGAGGCAATGGTTAATAGCTGGCAGGTAACTGTCCCTAATGTAATCTTTACTATAATCTCCAAAGCTGAACATGAAAGAGTATTCCACTGAAATCCAGACTGCAAGTGGGGAAAGATTTTGAGTCTGGGCATTTGCCTGTGTTACTTAAAAAAGGAAATGCTGGGAAAGCAGAGATAGAAAGGTAGAAAGGCATGATTCAACACAGCTGGAGAGAATCCATGCAGATAGCCAAGACAAGGGTCAAAGGGAAATCCAGGGCCTTTTTTGTTTTTCTAATGATGAAGAGGGGCTCAGGCTGGGGGTTGGTGGACTGTGCAGACTAGTTCATACCAGATGCAGGCTACTGATCAGCTTATCTTTGGTGATGGCCCCATGGAATGAGCTGGTGGGCCAGGGACCTCCACTGGACTACCTTTTGTGCTTCTGTTTTTCTTCCAGAAGGAAAGGAGAAGGGGCTTAGAGAATAGGCTGTTAACTTGTGGGCTCAGTAGTTTAGCCTGGCTTTGACTGAGTCCAAGGCATGTGAGGGGTCTACACACTTTAGCTCCCCATGTGTTTTGTGGTTCCTGTTGACAAATTAAACCAAATGTTATAGAAGCTCATCAGGCTCCCAACAAGTTTATTCTAAATTAGATCAGGTTTATTGCTGTTGGGAAAACTCACTGGGCTTGGATTTGGCGGAAATCTGAGAGTTTCAATACCCCCAAGCATTATTGGAAGGTTAGATTTACCGATAATTAGCAATGAGACCCAGACCAAGCTATTTGCCCTTTCTCAATGATAAAGAGCTACTGTATACTGAGCACTTGCTACCTACTGAGGATTGTGCTAAGCACTCTACTGGAATTACCTATGTTTTTCTTTGCAATACTCCAATGACAAAGGTACTTGGTAATCTGCCAGTCCTCTATTTTACAGAAATGGCTAATTGTATGAACTTGAGACTCAATTTCTCTTCCATAATATAAGGGGTTGGAGTAGAATGATTTAAAAAATACCTTCCAATTCTGATATTTATCTGGGGTTTAAGTTGCAGAAGAATATCAACGATTACTTTCTGGAAATTAGAAAGAATCAATTGGGGTGGAGGGAAAAGTGACCTAAACAACTTGAAATCACTTGTAGTAATAAAATCTACCCTGCTATCAAAAGCAATTTCTTACACATCTTTAGTAATTAATGGATTTAACAGTAGACTTTGCCATTGTCTTAGTTTTGTAGGGCTACCACAACAACATATCACAGACTGGGGAGCTTAAAAAACAGAAGTTTATTTTCTCACAGTTTTAGAGGCTGGAAGTGCAAGATCAAAGTGTTGGCAGGTTTGGTTTCTCCTGAGGCCTCTCTCCTTGGATTGAAGACAGCTGCCTTCTCACAAGTCCTCATGTGGGCTTTCCTCTGTGTGCACGCATCCATGTCTTTTCATGTGTCTAGATTTCCTCTTTGATATGGTTTGGCTGTGTCCCTACCCAAAATCTCATCTTAAATAGTAATCGTAACTGTAATCTCCACATGTGGGGGCAGGGGCCTTGTGGGAGGTGATAGAAGTAGTTCCCCCATGCTGTTCTTGTAAGAGTAAGTGAGTTCTCATGAGATCTGATGGTTTTATAAGGGGCTTTTCCCCCACTTCGCTCTGTACTTCTCTCTCCTGCTGCCATGTGAAGAAGGATATGTTTGCTTCCCCTTCCAGCATGACTGTAAGTTTCCTGAGGCCTCCCCAGACATGTGGAACAGTGAGTCAATTAAACCTCTTTTCTTTATAAATTACCCAGTCTTGGATATTTCTTCATAGCAGTGTGAGAATGGACTAATACACTCTTCTTATTAGGACACCAGTCAGATTGGATTAAGGCTCACCCTAATGGCCTCATTTTAACTTAATTACCTCTTTAAAGTCCCTATGCCCAAATATGGTCATATTCTGAGGTACTTGGGGTTAGAGTCCAATGTATAAATTTGGAGGTTGGGACACAATTCAACCCATAACAGACATATCAATCAAAACTGAGTATCAGCAAGTCAGATAGTGTTTTTGTGGTTATTTTACAGGTGAGAAAATTGAAACACAGAAATGTTAAGTAATAAGCTTAAAGTTTCATAGCTAGTAAGTGGCAAGGCTGAGAATGGGACAAAGTTTCCAGACCCAAACCTAGTGGTCCTTGTATAAGACCACACTGCTTCTTGAATATCATTTAGAGAGTCTTCCTTACTCCCTGAATGGCCAAAAAATTTCTTCTCCTAAGTATGAAGTGACAAACTTCTGGCTGTTTAGTGGTCACTTGCAGCTTGGACATTAAGGAAGAAGTTGAATCACATCTGCTTTTCATGAAAAGAATTACCGTTAACACAAAATCCTGATATAACCAGATCAAGAGAATGATACAATTGCAAATTTTCCTCTGAGGTTTATGATACCCTATGTTTTTTGCAAGCATAAAAATATTGTTCCAAAATCATTAAAATTGTATGAATTTTATATGCTAAATATGGCCAAATATATAGCCCAATTCACATCTTGGTTTTTTTGGGGGCTTCTATAAAGGAGAATAACTCAAGGAAAAATTTGTGTGACAATAAGTGGTAGAAGGAGAGGAGACAAAATGCTCAGCAGGAAATATTAGATACTCCCCCCATCCCACCAATATAAGTAGCTTGCAGTATGTTTTAACATTTACAGGAGCCCCTTTGAGAATGTTTTTGCAGAAAAATATGCATACATGTACTAAATTGTGCTGAAAAATGTTGGAGGTTCACAGAGCTCCTAAAGCTCATCCATATGCTTTTGCATTAGGGGAATTTGATGATTTTTTTTTGATTTGCACATAAAATAACTCTGGGAGTAGAAAAAGTATGGTGTGGTGGAAAGATAAGAAAACTTGTTCTACCATTATATTGTATGACCCTCAATGTTTCAGTGTTCAGTTTTCTCACCCATATAAGGAGAAGGGATGACCTCTAAGCCTATACCAATTAAATCTGGCATGAATCTAGATTTCATATATATCAGAGTTGAATATTGCCATTTCTCTAGTAGATGATTGAAGGAGTGTAATAAACTGCTAAATTTTTGTTTTACCACATGTTCCTAGAAGTGAGAGAAGATAAATATTTATAATAAAATACTAAATTAAGTATATTACACTGACAGCTATTTAGGCCTGATTGCTATAAAATTCTAAGCAGACAGCTTTGAGCACCAAGTGGTAACCCTACCCCAGTCCTTCTCATACCACGTAGTTATCCCTTTGAAACAGCTTGAGATTATTACTCTGTATTTCCAATAAGAGAGAAGAGTTTTGCTAGATCCCTTTTGAGGAAAGATAGATCTAGGAACCCTGTATATTTTAGGCCAAGTTTTATCCCGACAAGACTAGGGCACCTGGGTGCAGATCTCTGACGTTGAACCTACTGAGGCCATGGAAGGATTTCTTAGATCTTCTCTTCTTGAACTACTGAATTGTCCTCTTTTCAAGTTCCCCAGAAAACAGCCTTTGAAGTCCACCAAGTACCCAGTATTCTCTACTGAGTCTCAGTTTGACTCACCAAATTGATTCCTGCTGCCTCTCCCAAGCTACAAAATATAGCCTTCTGCCCCTCAGCTATAAAGCCTGCCTACTTTTCTCAGGTGACATGTCTCTCCATCTCCCAAACCCTAGTCTGTTTGTTCTTTAGCATCCCCCAAAGAAATGCCGAAGACTACTGACTCCCATGAATACTTCTCATGTCCTAGATGCTCTGAATCATGTTATGCCAGGTTGCCAAATCACATCAGTTTACACTGCTACCACTGTGATTTGGAAGTAAACCAAATTTACTTAAGATTTAAGAAATGTAAAATTATCTAATCAAAATTTTCAAATAATTAGATAATTTTAAACCTCTGAAAATATTCATCAGCAAGTAAAAGATGTATGAATGTGTGTATATATACATACCTAGGACAAGCTCTGTTAACCAATCCATGTGTCTGTATCACTGTATTAACCTCTGCCTCTTCCCATTGCCTTGGTGAGTCATATTGTCTAAGGCCATAGCTCGTGAATGCCCAAGACTGGCAGGCTGCTTTCTAGTACGCAAGTAACTCCTCTCACTGGCTGAGCTGGTGCCTGCCAAGCAGTCTTCTTAGGTTGATTGTAAATGTTATTGAACTTACACAAGATAAATATTCTATAAATTGATGAAATAGGAGGGTGAAAAGAGAATTACACTATGCAATACTTTAAAAAAATTAAATGAAAATGAACTTGTAAGACAAATGCTATTAAGTCAGTATAGGGAAGACAACTTGGAAAAGATTGGAAAGACTATAAAAATATAGAAGAAATCTGCACTTGTATTTCCACTTTAAAGAAGTTGAAACTAGAAATTACAGATGATGTATTGGGAGGATGGTATGTGCAAGAAAACTGTAGAACTCTAGTTAGAGAATTTATATTTTATGCTTGTATTCTGGATACTACACCTTTATCAAGTAGATGCTTTGCAATGTTTTTGCATCCTGCGGATTGTCTTTTTCTTTTTAAATATTTATTTTGTTTTCTAAATTGATGCACAACGATTGTATATATTTATGGTGTATGTAGTGATGTTTCAATATATAATATGTAGTGATCAGAGCACGTAATTGGCATATCCATCATCTCAAACATTTATCATCTCTTTTTTTGAGACAGAACCTTGTGTTTCCCAGGCTGGAGTGCACTCTGCCTCCTGGTTCAAGCAATTTTCCTGCCTCAGCCTCCCAAGTAGCTGGGATTACAGGCGCCCACCACCACATCCGGCTAATTTTTTGTATTTTTAGTAGAGATGGGGTTTTGCCATGTTGGCCAGGCTGGTCTTGAACTCCTGACCTCAGGTGATCTACCTGCCTCCATCTCCCAAAGTGCTGGGATTACAGGCATGAGCCACTGCACCTGGCCCAAACATTTATCATTTCTTTGTGTTGGGAATATTCAGTATCCTCCTTCTAGCTATTTGAAACTTGATAATATATTATTGTTTACTATAGTCATCTTACAGTGTTATAGAACACCAGAACTTGTTTCTCCTATCTAGCTGTAATTTTGTAAGCTTTAACAAATCTCTTCCCTTCCCTGTACCCTTCCCATCCTCTAGAACAGGTGTCCCCAGCTCCCGGGCTGCAGACTGGTATGGGTCCATGGTCTGCTAGGAACTGGACTGCACAGCAGGAGGTGAGCGGCAGGCCAGTGAGCATTACTGCCTGAGCTCCACCTCCTGCCAGAGCAGCAGAGGCATTAGATTCTCATAGGAGCCACAGACCTCATTACCGCCTGAGCTCTGCCTCCCGTCAGAATAGCAGAGGCATTAAATTCTCATAGGAGCCACAAACCTCTCTGTGAACTGCACATGCGAGGGATCTAGGTTGCGCTCTCCTTATGATAATCGAATGTCTGATGATCTGAGGTGGAACAGTTTCATCCCGAAACCATCCCGCAACCCTTACTCCCATCCCCATCCGCGGAAAAATTGTCTTCCATGAAACTGGTCCCTGGTGCCAAAAAGGTTGAGAACTGCTGCTCTAGAACTCTCTGTTTTGCATTTTACTTCTGTGAGAACTTTCTTTTAGCTTCCACTTATGAGTGAGAACGTGGTGTTTAGCTTTCTGTTTCTGGCTTATTTTACTGAACATAATGTCCTCCAGTTACATCCAGTTGCATCCATGTCTTTTTCATGGCTGTATAGTATTCCATTGTGTGTATATACCACATTTTCTTTAACCATTCATCTGTTCCTGCACACCTAGGTTGATTCTATATCTTGGCTATTGTGAATAGTGCTGCAATAAACATAAGGGTGCAGTAGTCTCTTCAATATACTGATTTTTCTTTTCTTTGGATAAATGCCCAGCAATGGGATTAGTGGATCATATGATAATTGTATTTTTAGTTTTGTTCAGGAACCTCCATACTGTTCTCCATAGTGCTTGTACTAGTTTACACTTCTACCAACAGTGTATAAGAGCTTGCTTTTCTCTGGATCCTCACTAGGCATTTGCCATTTTTTGTCTTTTGGATAATAGTCATCCTAAGTGTGGTGAGATGATATCTCACTGTTGTTTTAATTTACATTTTCCTGATGATTAGTGATGTTGAGCATTTTTTCATATATTTGTTGGCCATAGGTATGTCTTCTTTTGAGAAATGTATGTTGAGATCATTTGCCCATTTTTAAATGGGGTTATTTTGTTTTTTTGTGGTTGTTGCTGAATGGTTGAGTGCCTTGTGTATTTTGGATATCAATTTCCTGTTGGATAAATAATTTGAAAATATTTAATTCCATTCCATAGGTTGTCTTTCACTCTGTTGGTTGTTTCCTTTGCTGTGCAGAATGTTTTTAGTTTGATATGATTCCATTTGTTTATTTTTGCTTTTATTACCTGTGCTTTTGAAGTCTTATTTATAAAATCTTTCCCCAGACAAATGTCCTGAAGAATCTCCCCTATGTTTTCTTATAGCAGTTCCATAGTTTTGGGTCTTACATTTAGATTTTTGATCTATGTTGAGTTGATTTTTGAATAGGGTGAGAGGTGAGGGTCTAGTTTCATTCTTCTGCATATAGATATCCATTTTTCCCAACATCATTTATTGAAGAAGCTGCCTTCTCCCAATTAGTGTTCTTGGCACCTTTGTCAAAAATCACTTGGCTGTAGATACCTGGATCAATTTCTGGGATCTCTATTCTGTTCCACTGGTCTACGTGTCTGTTTTTTATGCCTGTACCATGATGTTTTGGTTACTATAATTTTGTAGTGTATTTTGAAGTTTGGTAGTGTGATGGTGTCTCCAGCTTTATTCGTTTTCCTTAGGATTGCTTTGGCTATTAGGGGTCTTTTGTGGTTCCATACAAATTTCAGGATTTAAAAAAATTTCTGTGAAGAATGTCATTGACATCTATCTATCTATCTATCTATCTATCTATCTATCTATCATCTATCTCTATGTCTATGTCTGTATCTCAGACATAGATATATGTCTCATGTATTAATTGATAGATGAGATACAGACATAGACATATCAAATAGACATCCATTGATAGACAGATATTCTTTAAGAGACAGGGTCTGGCTCCAATCCTAAGCAAAAAGAACAAAGCTGGAGGCATCACGCTACCTGACTTCAAACTATGCTACAAGGCTACAGTAACCAAAACAGCATGGTACTGGTACCAAAACAGATATATAGACCAATGGAACAGAACAGAGGCCTCAGAAATAACATGACACATCTACAACCATCTGATCTTTAACAAACCTGACAAAAGCATTGGGGAAAGGATTCCCTGTTTAATAAATGGTGCTGGGAAAACTGGCTAGCAATATGCAGAAAGGTGAAACTGGATCTCTTCCTTACACCTTATACAAAAATTAACTCAAGATGGATTAAAGACTTAAGTGTAAGAACTAAAACCATAAAAACCCTAGAAGAAAACCTAGGCAATACCATTCAGGACTTAGGCTTGGGCAAAGACTTCATGACTAAAACACCAAAAGCAACGGCAACAAAAGCCAAAATTGACAAATGGGATCTAATTAAAACTAAAGAGCTTCTGCACAGCAAAAGAAACTATCATCAGAGTGAACAGGCAGCCTACAGAATGGGAGAAAATCTTTGCAATCTACCCATCTGACAAAGGGCTAATATCCATAATCTACAAATAACTTAAATAAATTTACAAGAAAAAAACAAACAATCCCATCAAAAAGTGGGCAAAGGATATGAACAGACACTTCTCAAAAGAAGACATTTATGCAGCCAACAGACATAAGAAAAAATGCTCATCATCACTGGTCACTAGAGAAATGTAAATCAAAACCACAATGAGATACCATCTCACGCCAGTTAGAATGGCAATCATTAAAAAGTCAGGAAAAAACAGATGCTGGAGAGGATAAGGAGAAATAGGAAGGCTTTTACACTGTTGGTGGGAGTGTAAATTAGTTCAACCATTGTGGAAGACAGTGTGGCGATTCCTCAAGGATCTAAAACTAGAAATACCATCTGACCCAGCAATCCCAATGCTAGGTATATACCCAAAGGATTATAAATCATGCTACTAAAAGGACACATGCACATGTATGTTTATTGCAGCACTATTCACGATAGCAAAGACTTGGAATCAACCCAAATGTCCATCAATGATAGACTGGATAAACAAAATGTGGCACATATACACCATGGAATATTATGCAGCCATAAAAAAGGATGAGTTCATGTCCTTTGCAGGGATGTGGATGAAGCTGGAAACCATCATTCTCAGCAAAATATCACAAGGACAGAAAACCAAACACCACATGTTCTCACTCATAAGTGGGAGTTGAACAATGAGAACACATGGACATAAGGAGGGGAACATCACACACTGGGGCCTGTTGAGGGGTGGCGGACTGGGGGAAGGATAGCATTAGGAGAAATACCTAATATAAATGACGAGTTGATGGGTGCAGCAAACCAATATGGCACATGTATACCTATGTAACAAACCTGCACGTTGTGCACATGTACCCTAGAACTTAAAGTATAATAATAATAATAATAATAATAATAATAATAATAAAAAGAATTTCTTAAAAAAAAAGAGACGGAGTCTGGCTCTGCTGCTTAGGCTGGACTGCAGTGGCACAATCATAGCTCACTGCAGCCTTGACTCCTGAGCTCAAGCAATCCTCCTGCTTCAGTCTCTCGAGAAGCTAGCACACCACCACACCTACCTAATTAAAAAAATTTTTTTTTAGAGATGAAGTATTGCTATGTTGCTCAGGCTGGTCTTGAATTCTTGGCTTCAAGTGATCCTCCTGCCTCAGCCTCCTGAGTAGCCAGGATTATAGGTGTTAGCTACTGCACCTGATTATTATTGGTGTCTTGATAGTGATTGCAATGAATCTATCACTTGCTTTGGGTAGCATGGTCACTTTAACAATATTGATTCTTCTGTTCCAGGGGCATGAGATGTTTTTCTATTTGTTTCTATCCTCTTCAATCTCTTTCATCAGTGTTTTGTAGTTTTCCTTATAGAGAGGTCTTTTACCTCTTTGCTTAAATTTATTCCTAGGTATTTTATTATTTTGTAGCTATTGTAAATGTGATTGCCTTCTTGATAACTTTTACAGCTACTTTGTTGTTCGTTCATGTGTAGAAACACTACTGATTTTTGTATATCAATTTTTGTATCCTGCAACTTTATTGAATTCAGTTATTGATTCTAGAGGTTTTTTTTTTTTTGGTAGAGTCATTAGGTTTTTCTGTATATAAGATCATGTTATCTGCAAACAGGGACAATTTAACTTCTTCTTTTCCAGTTTGGAAGCTCTTTATTTGTTTCTCTTGCCTAATTGCTCTGGCTCAGACTTCCCATACTATGTTGAATAAGAGTGGTGAGGGTGGGCATCCTTGTGTTGTTCTAGTTGTTAGAGGAAAAGCTTTCAGGCTTTCCCCATTCAGTGTAAGGTTAGTTGTGGATTTGTCATAGATGGCCTTTATTATGTTGAGGTATTTTCCTTCTATACCTAATGTATTGAGAGTTTTTATTCTGAAGGGATGTTGGATTTTAACAAATGCCTTTTTTCTGCGTCTATTGAGACTATTATATGATCTCGCCCTTCATTCTATTGATGTGATGCATGATGTGAATTGATTTGCATATGTTGAATCATCCTTGCATTCTTGAGATAAATCCTACTTGATTATGATGTATCATCTTTTTAATGTGTTGTTGGATTCCTTTTACTAGTATTTAGTTGAAAATTTTTGCATGTATATTCATTAGGAATACCGGACTATAGTTTCATTTTTTTGTTGTGTCCTTGTTTGGTCTTGATATCAGGGTTATCCTGGCCTCATAGAATAAGTTAGAAAGAATGCTCTCTGCTTCAGTTTTTTTTGTTTTGTTTTTTGGAATAGTTTGAGGAAAATTCTTCTCTAAAGTTTTCAGTAGAATTTGATGGTGAAGCCATGTGTTCCTGGACTTTTATTTGTTGGGAGGGCTTTTATTACTGATTCAATCTTGTTACTGGTCTGTTCAGGTTTCCTATTTCTTCTTGGCTCAATCTCGGCAGGTTGTATGTGCCCAGGAATTTATCCGTTTCCTCCAGGTTTTGGAATTTATTGGCACATAGTTACTCGTAGTAGTCTCTAATGATCCTTTGTATTTCTGTGGTATTCACTGTGGTGTCTCATTTTTCACTTCTGATTTTATTTATTTATATCTTCTTTCTCTTTTTTTAAGTCTAGCTAATGACTTGTCAATTTTGTTTCTTTTCAAAAAGCCAACCTTGTTGTTTTGTTGATCTTTTGTATTTTTGTAGTCTCAATTTTATTTCTGCTCGAATCTTTATTGTTTCTTTTATTCTAGTAATTTTGGATTTTGCTTGTTATTGCTTTTCTAGTTTCTTGGATATATCATTAGGTTGTTTATTTAAAATATTTCTAGTTTTTTGATGTAGGCACTTATTGCTATAAACTTTCCTGTTAGTACCGCTTTTGCTGTATCCCATAGGTGTCAGTATGGTATGTTCTGTTTCTATTTCCATTTGTTTCGAGGAATTTTAAAATTTTATTCTTAATTTCTTCTTTTACCCATTGGTCATTCAGGAGCATGTTGTTTAATTTCCACCTATTTGTGTAGTTTCCAATGTTCCTCTTGTTATTAATGTCTAGTTTTATTCCATTGAGGTCAGATAAAATATTTAATATAATTTCAATTAAAAAATTTTAAGACTTGTTTTGTGTCCTAGTATATGGTCAGTCCTGCAGAATGTTTTATATGCTGATGGAAAAAGTGTATTCTTCAGCTGTTGTGTGAAATGTTCTGTAAATGTCTCTTAGGCCCATTTGTTATATGATACAATTTAAATCCAAATTTTTTGGTTGATTTTCTGTCTAAATGATCTGTCCAGTGCTGAGAGTGGAGTGTTGAAGTTCCCAACTGTCTTGTACTGGGGACTATCTCTTCCTTTAGATCCAATAATACTTGCCTTATATCTCTGGGTGTTCTAGTGTTGGATGCATATATACTTAAAATTGCTATAGTCTCTTGCTGAATCAATCCCTTTATTATTATATAATTTCCTTCTTTGTCTATTTTTACAGCCTTTGTCTTAAAATCTGTCTGATATAAATACAGTTACTCCCATTTATTTTTGGTTTCCATGGAATATCTTCTTCCAATCCTTCACTTTCTGTCTATGTGTGTCTTTACAGATGAGGCGAGTTTCTTAAAGGCAGTGTAGAGTTGGGTCTTGTTTTTTAAATTCATTCAGGCAGTCTATATCTTTTTTTTCCTTTTTAAACAATTTATTCTTTTATTTTTAAAATAGAGACAAGGTCTTACTATATTGCCCAGGCTGGTCTGGAACTCTTGGGCTCAAGCAATCCTTCCACTTTGGCCTCTGAGAATGCTAGGATTACAGGCATGGGCCACCATGCCAGACCATCTGTATATCTTTTAAATGGGAAATTTAATCTGTTTACATTCAAGGTTATTGTTGATACGTAAGGACTTACTCCTATCATTTTATTGATTATTTTCTGGTTGTTTTGTGTATCCCTTGTTCCTTATTTCCCCTCTTCTTGTTTATCTTTGTAGTTGGGCAGTTTTCTGTATTTATAAGGTTTGATTCCATTCTCTTTCTCTTTTGTGTATCTGTTTAAACAGTGAGTTTTATAGTTTTGCATGTTTTCATGATGGTAGTTACTGTCTTTTCACTTCCAGACATAAGACTTCCTTGAGCATTTATTGTAAGGCTGATCTAGTGGTAATGAATTCACGTAGTTTTTGCTTGTCTGTGGAATCTTTTGTTTCTGAAGAATAGCTTTGCTGGGTGTTATATTCTTGGTTAGCAGTTTTGTTTTATTACTTTGATTATATCATGTCACTCTAGTGTATTATACCATGCTCTATTCTGCCGCAGACTTTAGCAGAGGCTTAATTCTTTTTTTTTTAATTGAGAAAGTACCACTGTATCTCTGGGGTCTTTATCTGTAAGCACTAGTGAGTTATGAATGTTAAAATGAAATTAGAGTTACAGCCTTCATTTTCTTCTGAGAAGTCCATTATTAGTCAAATGTAGATTTTCTTATATGTGACTTGGCATCTTTTTCTTGCTGTTTTTAAAATTCTTTCCTGTTTTTGACGTTTGACAACTTGACTATAATGTTCTATGGTGAGGACCTTTTGGATTGAATATATTTTGGCTTCTTTGAGCTTCTTGAATCTGGATGCCCATCTGTCCCAACACCTGGGAAGCTTTTAGCTATTATTTCATTAAATATGTTTTCCTCACCTTTTCCCTTTGCCTTGCCATCAGGAATGCCCATAATATGAATATTTGTTTGCTTATTGATGTCCCGTAAATCCTGTAGGCTTTTAAAATTATTATTTTTTATTTTTTGTCTGCCAGTGTTATTCCAAAACACCTTTATTCAAGTTTAGAAATTATTTCTTCTGCTTGGTTTAGTCTGTTGTTGAAGCTCTCAGTTATATTTTTTATTTCACTCACAGAATTTTTCTGCTCTAGGATTTCTGTTTGGTTCTTTTTTATGATATCTATCTCTTTTCTGAACTTCTCATTCAAACATAAATTGTTTTGTGATTTCATTGAATTGTCTATCTGTATTCTATTTTATTTCACTCAATTTCTTTAAGATCATTATTTTGAATGCTTTTTTCTGGCATTTCATATATTTCCTTATGATTGGGGACTATTATTGGAGAATCATTGTTTTCCTTTGGAGGTGTCATATTTCTTTACTTTTCTATGCTTGATGTGTCCCTACGTTAATTTCTACACATCTGGTGGAAAAGTTGTTTCTTCACATTTTATGGAGTAAGTTTCATAGGAAAAGACTTATTCATGTGAATGGGTCTTGGGATGTCAGTTTGGTGAAGGGTGCATTGACCTTGGTTCTAGGTGGACACAGTAGTGTAGTGTTAGTGAAGTTTCTTTATCTGTAATCCACATTAGTGACATTTGTGAGTGTCTCAGTGGCTTAGGCTGAGAGAGTTTGTGGTGGCAGTGATGTGGCTTTGCTGGGTGTGTGCTTCCCAGGTTGCTTCTCAGGTTGGGGTGCATGTGTGCACATGGTGGGTCAATGAACTTGGGGTCTGGCTCATAGGGCTGTTATTCTGGCTTGGAGTATGCTATCCTTTGATGCACAAAAATTTTTAATTTTGATAGAGTCTAATTTACTTTTTTTTCTTTGCTTATACTTTTGTTGTCCTAGGAAATCAAATCCAAGGTCATAAAGATTTATTCCTATCCTTTCTTCTAAGAAATTTATAGTTTTAGCTCTTACATTTAGATCATTGATCCATTTTGAGTTAATGTTTATGTTAGTCTGTTCAGGCTGCATGAGAAAATACCATAGACTGGGTGACAAGCACCAGAACTTTATTTCTCACATTTGTGAAATCTGGGACATCTAAAATCAAGGGGCTAGCATGGTCAGTTTCTAGCTGGGACTCTCTTCTTGGCCTTCAGACAACTGTCTTCTCACTGTGTCCTCATAGTGAAGAGAGAGCTCTTTTGTATCCCCTCCAGTAAAGGCACTAATCCTATCAAAGGCCTTATCCTCATGAGTTCATCTAACTCTAATTGTCTCCCCCAAACCTCATCTCCAAATACCATTACATTGGTGTTATAACTTCAATATTTGAATTTTGAGGAGGACAGAAACATTCGTACTATGACGATTCTTGTGTCCTATTTGAGGTAACGGTCTGACTTCACTGTTATGTCATGTGGATTTCCAGTTGCCCCAGCACCATTTATGGAAGAGACTATTCTTTCCTTATTGAATGGTCTTGGCATCCTTGTTGAAAATAAATTTGATCATAGATGTTTGGATTTATTTCTGGATTCAAGATTTTATTCCATTGATCTATATGTCCATCTTTATGCTGGTATCATACCATTTTATTTACTGTAGCTTTATAGTAAGTTTTTAAACTTGGAAGTGTGAACACTTCAAACTTTGTCTTCAAGCTAATTTTGGTGATTTGGGTTCCATTATAATTTCATATGAATTTTAGGAACAGCTTTTCCATTTCTGCAAAAAATGGCTATTGGGATTTTTATATAGATTGTGTTGAATCTGTATGTTGCTTTGAGAAGTATTGCCATTCTAACAATATGAAGTCTTCCCGTCCATGAATATTGGGGTATTTTTCCATTTATTTAAATATTCTTTAATTTCTTTTGGCAATGTTTTGTAGTTTCATTGTACAAGTCTTGCATCATCTTTGTTAAATATATTCCTAACTATTTTATTCTTTTTGCTGCTACTATAAATGGAATTGTTTTCTTTTCTTTTTTTTTTTTTTTGAGATGGAGTCTTGCTCTGTCGCCCAGGCTGGAGTGCAGTGGCATGATCTTGGCTCACTGCAAGCTCCACCTCTTGGGTTCATGCCATTCTCCTGCCTCAGCCTCCCTAGTAGCTAGGACTACAGGTGCCTGCCACCATGCCCAGCTAATTTTTTTTTTTTTTTGTATTTTTAGTAGAGATGGTGTTTCACCATGTTAGCCAGGATGGTCTTGATCTCCTGACCTCATGATCTGCCCACCTCGGCCTCCCAAAGTTCTGGGATTACAGGTGTGAGCCACCACGCCCGGCCTGCTTTCTTAATTTCTTTTTTGGATTGTTCATTGCCAGTGTACAAAAACTTGTACTTTAAAGAAGGTTTTGGATGCACAAGAAAAGATGTGTGAATGAACATTTGTTAATATATTTTAGTTAAAATAAAAGTTTAAGTAAATATAATGTTTAATGAGTATCTTCTCTAAATCTAATGAGTATCTGATTCTCAATTAGCCAATCAACTACCCTAGTTGATCACATTTGAGAAGTCTATTATATATTTTAATAATTATGAGTATCTGATTCTCTATTAACCAATCAACTACCCTAATTGATCACATTTGAGAAGTCTATATTTTAATAATTTGCAGTTTCATAATACATTTATATATTTCAAAAATATAACCAACATATTAGTTAGAAATATTATATTTGTTACTATTGATATGATTTGACAATCAAAACTTTACTGGGTTAAATAATATTTACTTAGCTAAGAACTCACAAAGATGAATGACGGGAAACAACCTTTACCTGGAATTTACTGCTTTTGGTATTCAAATAAGATATGTTTCAAGTATTAACTGTGGTCTTCTCTTCCCTCGCAGGCTTGGAAAAGCACCAGATAGGAAGGGAAGAAGCTCAGGATCTGGGTTTAGGTTCTAACTCTGAACTTACCATCTATATGATGTCAGCTAAGTAGACCATTTTGTGATTCTGAGCTTCAGTTTTTCTCATCCACTAAATGGGGAAAAAAAACTGCTTTACAGAGTTCTAAGGATTAAATGGGACATCTTCTATGAAAATGCCTGGTACAAGGGAGGCCCTCAAGAAGGTAAGGGTGATTTTGAAAGATTTACCAAATTATGGTTATTTATTATTTCACCTATTTATTCCCTTAAGTTCAACTTTGGGACCAAAAATAAGTGTGCAAAATGCCTATGCTGTACATAAAGTATGTGCTGAACAAATACTGCTTTTTACATGATTAATGAGGGGTCAGTGTTCCTATTTTTGGCCATGTAACTTAGGAAAGTTAACTGGCCTAGAATAGAGACCAGGCCTCTGTCTTGGCTCCATTATTACTGCCCTCATAAATGGAGAAGATTAATGAAGTTTGTTCTGTGAAGGAAGAGGAGACTCTCTAGGATTTTGAGATATTTTCCTGTAGGCACTTGGCTTGTGTACATCAAAAGCCCTTCATAAACTTGCTACTTGTGAATGATTCTCAGATAATTCTAGGTTGGCTTTACCTGAAACATTTAATAACTTGTATATTTCTTTGTTACCCACCATCTTTTCAATACTACCCAGTCTTAGAACATAAAACCCAAACTGAAAGGGGAGCTCTTATTTTAATGTCTTCTTCATGGGTGAATTTTTGAACAGTTCTGCTATAATATGAAATATTATTTGAGCTTTTAGGATAAGAAAATATCTTTGGAAAGATCATGTGTGATTGAGGTAAGTTGTTCCAGTAAGATGTCTAGGACACAGTTCAGAAGGTGAAAATGTATACCATATGACATGTGAGTCTTACTAAATAGAAGGAATCCAGGAGCTTCAACAGATGGTTTGGTAAAGCAGGTTTCTTGGATGGAGCCAAAACCCCCAGGTAGTAGTCCAGCCTGTTTGATCAGAGAAATTGGAAATGGCTTAAAGAATGCCGTGCCTGGATGAATTGGTATGAGCCAAGAAGGACGTTTGAAAGAAATTAAATCTTGTTTGCATTGCTTGGAATTCCCATAAAAAATATACTGCTGGCAGAAGCATCAAGCTGCCATGTAACACAGATGAAGAAGATTTTCTTTACTGATAGTGCTTTTTAAACAAATATAATGAATGAAATGAACCTTGAGGAACTTAGCAAAAATTAAATGTGTGTCATTATGAATGGCTCTGACAGGGAAAATATAAACGATAAGCAATTCTATTTTCCCTGTTGGGTGCTATGTATCATCTCAAGTATAGAACAGAGTTGGCTTCTCTATGTCTTACTTCCCCTTCTGAAATTTTTCCCAACATCTGGATGGCAGCAGTTTGTGAACAAGATATCTCTTCTTTTTTTTTCCTTTTAATTACATTTATTTTAATGCTGAATTTACTCCCGTGCCATAAGTTTTTGTTTCTTCGGTTTCTTCTGGGATATCTTTTTCTTCTGGGCAACCTCCTCTTCTGGTTTAGGAACAATCTGTTCCTTTTCAGTAAGGATCATCTCAATGTGGCAGGGAAGGCTCATGTATGGGTTAATCGGAGCTCATGGTCGGATTAACCCATACAAGATATCTCTTCTTTTCCCCAGACTTAAGTAATGAACCCCATTCCCTCCTCTGAATAAGAAAACATGGACTTTATAAATGTTCGTTTTGTGATTTACTAATAAGTGGTGACAACACTGCATCTTCTAGTGACTAAAGGTGGGAACAGAACTGGAGAATAAATTGAATTGTCCAAGAAACTGAAGGTCAGAAACAATTATGAATTAATTTATATTATGGGATCAACCAGCAGTGGCTATAAAAGAAAGATTTGGGTTGACTGCCAACAATTCAGTTTAGAACTTATTTTTCATGGAAGAACACTTTGAAAATCAGAATAGTCTAGGCTACATTCTGTTAACTAACAACTCCAAAATCTCAGCAGTTTAAGACACACATAAAAGTTTTGTTTCTTGCATCCGTTACATAGTCACTCAAGGACCCAGTCTGATGAAGGCTTTACCACCTTACTAGCTGTGTACCATTTGAAGTATGTGACCTCCATTGCTGCAATAGAAGAGAGAATTGCAGATCTTTCACAGACAAAGGCTTTGGTGTTACTTCTACTCATAATCAGTTGGCCATTAGTACTCAGATGTCCCCATCTGCCTGCATGGGAGTAGAGAAATGTAATTCTTCTGTGTGTCTGGAAGGAGAAAGGAACCCATTTTAGAGAAGCTGTACTGTAGGAAAGAAGAAAATAAGAAAGAAGTGAAGACAAGAAAATGAGCATTTATTTTAAGATAAAGGACCTTTCAATGTCTTGCAGTTACCCTTGAGATTAGACCTAAACCAGTTACCCTGGTCTATATATCTGCACAAGACATGACCACTACCCACTCATCTCATTCTTCTCTTACCCTTGCCCACTCTGCTCCAGCCTTTGAACCTTATTTTTTTTCCTCACACACATCAAGCTTGTTCTTCCCTCGGGGACCTTGTGTTGACTTTCTTCTGCCTGAAATGTTCTCCCCTCAAATATTTGCATCTTTGTTATCTAGGACTCTGCTTCCTCAGAGAAGCCTTTTTCATCACGTAGCCTAAATGAAACACCTTTGCTAGCCTTTCCTTATCTATCCAGCTATTTTATTTTCATTCTAGTATTTACCATTGTCTGTTATCTTCATATTTGTTTGTCTCTTTTTTATTGTTTGTTTTCCTTCACTAGAATATGTTCCATGAGACTAGGGAGCTTGTTTATTTTGTTCAACATTGTATCCCTAGTACACAGTAGGCATTTAATAAATGTTTGTTAACTGAACAAATTTACAAATGGTTGAGCAGAATCCTATGGAGGCTAGAACCACCAGATGGTGTTCTAGGGTCTGTAAAAATAGGCATTTTCAACATGAACCTGATAAGTCATACCTGAAACCAAGAAAGAGAAGACATGGTGCCCCTAAGACCAAGAAGAAAAAAGGAGTTACCAAGCTTGGGTATGAAACAATAATAACAAATTCAATTATCTCAGGTGGCTAAGGAAAACTTTGGATTCAATGAATGACTTACATATTCACAAGTGTCTTATCAGCATATTGCTTCTACTTGATTGTGGTAGCCAGCTACTGAGATGAGCTCTAATAATCTTAGCCTTCTGTAATTCTTGTAGGTCTGTCATCCCTTACACTGAATCAGGACTGGCGTAGTGTGACCTGTGGAATACAGTAGAAGTAAAGATGTGTGACTCCCAAAGCTTGGTCATATAAGGCATTGCAGCTTCAGCCTTGCTCTCTTGGATCACTTACCCTGGAGAAAGTCATCTCCCATGCTCTGAGGATACTCAAGCAACTCTGTGGAGTGTTCCACATGGAGAGGAAGTGCCGAAGACCCGCACCAACTGGCCAAAAAAGTGAGTGGGTGACCTTGGAAGCAGATCTTCCAGCCCTACTAAAGCCTTCGGTTAACTGCAACCTCAAGAGAGACCCTGAGCCTGGATGGCTCAACTGATCAGCTTCTGAATTCCTGATTTACAGAAGCTATGAGAAATAAAAAGTGATTACTATTGTTTTAAGCTACAAAATTTGGGGATAATTTGTTACATAGCTATACTAACTGGAACACAGAGATTTCTTCAAATTTTCAAAAATTTTTTTACTCTCAGTGATGTTCATTGTCTTGGAATGAGAATGGGAAACATAGAGGTGGGAGATAGAAATTTAATGGCTTAGCCAGCCAAATGAACCACATCAACTCTGCCCATTGGTGGGGAGACAGATATTTCAGTCATATTGTCCATCATATATCCCTACTTTTTGTGGCCTTGCAAAATAACTAATAACCGTAAAGCTGTATCATCACAATGCAATAATAATAGGTTATTTCAGTAAAAAGTATGTCAAATTAAATGTTAGAAGTATGTCAACACAAGTGGCTGATTGAATGAATTTTTTACTTTAGAACTGATTATTTGGCCAAAACGTAGAAGGTTCTTGGGATCAAATTTTAAAGCTAAAAATACTAAACTACATTTTTTAGTCTGGGGAAGGGATCCCAGATTTATAATTTTATTTGGGTTTTCCTAAGTATAGTTTAAAACAAGTTTTGCTGCCTTTAATGGAACATGAAATTATGGATCAGGTGACAGGAACACAGTATGTTCCTTTTGGATTATAAACTGGAACTTCAGATGTCTTCCTTGAAGATTTTGAAAAACTGATCTATTATATATGTACATAAATACCTGGCCTTTGGCCTTCCTATGAAGTGATCTGCAAGTTCATAAAGTATTGTTCTGTTTCCAGGCTTCAGGGTATTAAAAATGTATATGTTCATTTGTTTGAAATTATCTGAAGCTCTGGGCTTCCCCATGCTCACCCTTGACTCTTTCCTTTTTGATATGTTCTGCATATCTTGGTGTATTTATGAACGACTTTTTAGATGTAAGTTTGAAGGAGGAGATTCTTTAATCTCTGTAGTTTTCATCAACAGAGTGCCATTTTCCCGGGAATTACTATTTTTCCCTATGGCCTTGAACATGGCTTGTTATTGAGTGGTCTAGTCTCCTGACCTGTTAGGCCATAGAATTAGAAAAACCCTTGTTTCCACTTTCATATTCCTTATATATAACATCTTAATGAAACCATTGTGGTTTATTTGCACAGAAGCTCCCTTGACTTCTCTTGGGAACCTGCTCTAATACTTTGTGGCTCTTGTTCATGAGAACATTCTTTTTCCTAATATCTGCTCTAAATGTTACCTTCCTTAGCTGAAGGCTTTCTGTCCCCCATTTTTTGAAACTACAAGTGATTCCCTTTCCTCACTGAAGACTAAACTTTATACCTAATGGCTAGAATGTCAAACAAACATTAATCTTGTCTCCTGCCTCTTTTCAGATGGAGGAATGCCCAAAAGCAATTTAGCTTTAGACAGCAGATGTATTTGTGTAGTGTTCTTTAACCTCTGATTCATTTTCTCAAATCATTTTGGGTTAAGCTTCACTTCTCAAAGATTCCAACAGCCTAAGGATCTACCTTGAAATTTCATAATCATTCCATACACCTACCTTTCGTTTTAAATTATGTCTCTCCCTTACATAAGCTACCTACTGTAAAAAGGATACTTATACATTTGCAAAAGACCATTTATTTGCCACAACAATACATGTATCAGGTTTGAAATTTTCTCTTCGTAGATAGGGCCTACTCTAAGACCACTTAATACGCAAAAAATTCATACTTTCCAAAGAGCTATGTAAGGGGCAATTGTTCACATCCAGGCAAACCTCCCCACTTTCCTCCACTCCAAACACATACACATGGGCCAGTCACACGGAAATTCCACCTTTAGGAATGTAGCCCTTAGGGATAAGTAGTTCAAGATTTTAATGTAGATCTTCTGGGAGGACACTGGAAATTCTTGATACTCTTGCTTCACACTTTTATTACCAAACTAAGTGGGGTGGGGGGTGGAATTTCAATATGAAGACCTGAAATTAGAATAAGCTAGTACTTTGAGCCAGCAATTATTTATTCTTTTTAATATGAATTAGTGTGATCTCTTCTTTATTGTTAAGATAGTTCATTGAAATATTATTTTTGAGCTAGTGAGGATTTCAATGAAAAGATGATAATTGGTCTTCTTCTGGGAAGAGGGCGGTGATGACTAGCACAAGACAATTTTCAAGTGAATGGGAAGGCTGACCAGTGAAAGACACTTTAACAAGGGGTTGGGGAGTGTTAGAAGGCAGAAGAATTGTATAGAAGAGCATCTGCCCTCCATCCCAACTTAAATCTGTTGCACTCTCTTTTATTCATGCACTAGAAAAATTCTTAAAGCTATGTTGAAGTTACTGAGTTGCTTGTCTGTTACCCCCAGTCAACTCTTTGAGGATAGAAAGAAGGATGCTGTGCTGTGGGGGGGGAATATGAATGAGATAACAGGAGCATAGAGGTCTGGAGGAATAAAAATATAAATAATTTCATACTACCAGCTACAGAAAGTAAAGCCAAATGACATTAGAATGAAATACCCCAATATCTAAGAAGATTTTCAATGATGCTGAAGGTAGCGTGTCAAAATATGGAGTACACTACACGAAGTTTTAAGCTCATTGAAATGGAGTGAAAAGGGTTGAGAAACATCGCTCCAGATGCTGGGATGCAAACCTCATGGAAGTGGAAAAAAAAGGAGTTAGATGGTCCAGAGAAGACCAAGTAAGTTCAAATGGTCTGTTGAAAGAAATGATAACAATGACAATGATTATGATGATGATCAATTTTTTAAATATACTTTAAGTTCTGGGATACATGTGCTGAACGTGTAGGTTTGTTACATAGATATACACGTGACATGATGGTTTGCTGTACCCATCAACCCGTCATCTACATTAGGTATTTTTCCTAATGCTATCCCTCCACTAGCACCCCCCGACCCCTGTCAGGCCCCTGTGTGTGATGTTCCCCTCCCTGTCTCCCTGTGTTCTCATTGTTCAGCTCCCACTTATGAGTGACAACATGTGGTGTTTGGTTTTCTGTTCCTGTGTTAGTTTGCTGAGAATAATGGTTTCAGGCTAATCCATGTCCCTGCAAAGGACATGAACTCATCCTTTTTTTATGGCTGCATAGTGTTTTACGGTGTATATGTGCCACATTTTCTTTATCCAATCTATCATTGATGGGCATTTGGGTTGGTTCCAAGTCTTTGCTATTGTGAGCAGTGCCGCAGTAAACATAGGTGTGCATGTGTCTTTGTAGCAGAATAATTTATAATCCTTTGGGTATATACCAAGTAATGGAATTGCTGGGTCAAATGGTATTTCTGGTTCTACATCCTTGAGGAATCTCCACACTGTCTTTCACAATGGATGAACTACAGTGTAAAGGCGTAACAGTATAAAAGTGTAACCAATAGTGTAAAAGTGTTCCATTTCTCCACATCCTCTCCAGTATCTGTTGTTTCCTAACTTTTTAATGATTGCCATTTTAACTGCCATGAGGTGGCATCTCATTGTGGTTTTGATTTGCGTTTCTCTAATGACAAGTGATGATGATGACCTTTTTTCATATGCTTGTTGGCTGCATAAATGTTTTCTTTTGAGAAATATCTGTTCATATCCTTTGCCCACTTTTTGATGGGAGTGTTTGCTTTTTTCTTGTAAATTTGTTTAAGCTCCTTGTAGATTCTGGATATTAGCCCTTTGTCAGATGGATAGATTGCAAAATTTTTCTTCCATTCTGTAGGTTGCCTGCTGACTCTGATGATAGTTTCTTTTCTGTGCAGAAGATCTTTAGTTTAATTATATAGCATTTATCAATTTTGGCTTTTGTTGCCATTGCTTTTGGTGTTTTAGTCATGAAGGCTTTGCCCATGCCTATGTCCTGAATGGTATTGCCTAGGTTTTCTTTTAGAGTTTTTACAGTTTTGGATCTTATGTTTAAGTCTGTAATCCGTGTTGAGTTAATTTTTGTATAAGGTGTAAGGAAGGGGTCCAGTTTCAGTTTTCTGCATATGGCTAGCCAGTTTTCCCAACACCATTTATTAAATAGGGAATTCTTTCCCCATTGCTTGTTTTTGTCAGGTTTGTCAAAGATCAGATGGTTATAGATTTGTGGCATTATTTCTGAGGCCTCTGTTCTGTTCCGTTGGTCTATATATCTGTTTTGGTATCAGCACCATGCTGTTTTGATTACTGTAGCCTTGTAGTATAGTTTGAAGTCTGGTACTGTGATGTCTCCAGCTTTCATATTGTTGCTTAGGATTGTCTTGGCTATACGAGCTCTTCTTTGGTTTCATATGAAATTTAAAGTAGATTTTTCTAATTCTGTGAAGAAAGTCAATGGTAGCTTGATGGGGATAGTATTGAATCTATAAATTACTTTGGGCAGTATGGCCATTTTCACAGTATTGATACTTCCTATCTATGAACATGGAATGTTTTTCCATTTGTTTCTGTCCTCTCTTATTTCCTTGAGCAGTGGTTTGTAGTTGTCCTTGAAGAGGTCATTCACATCCCTTGTAAGTTGGATTCCTAGGTATTTTATTCTCTTTGTAGCAATTGTGAATGGGAGTTCACCCATGATTTGGCTCTCTGGTTGTCTATTATTGGTGTATAGGAATGCTTGTGATTTTTGCACATTGATTTGTATCCTGAGACTTTGCTGAAGTTGCTTTTCAGCTTAAGGAGATTTTGGGCTGAGACGATGGGGTTTTCTAAATATACAATCATGTCATCTGCAAACAGGGACAATTTGACTTCCTCTCTTCCTATCTGAGTTCCCTTTATTTCTTTCTCTTGCCTGATTGTCCTGGCGAGAACTTCCAATACTGTGTTGAATAGGAGTGGTGAGAGAGGGCATCCTTGTCTTGTGCCAGTTTTCAAAGGGAGTGCTTCCAGTTTTTGCCCATTCAGTATGATATTGGCTGTGGTTTTGTCATAAATAGCTCTTATTATGTTGAGATACATTCAATTGATACCTAGTTTATTGAAAGTTTTTAGCATGAAAGGCTGTTGAAATTTATCAAAGGCCTTTTCTGCATCTATTGAGATAATCATGTGGTTTTTGTCTTTGGTTCTGTTTATATGATGGATGATGTTTATTGATTTGCATATGTTGAACCAGCCTTGCATCCCAGGGTTGAAGCCAGCTTGATTGTGGTGGATAAGCTTTTTGATGTGCTACTGGATTTGGATTGCCAGTATTTTACTGAGGATTTTCACATTGATGTTCATCAGGGATATTGGCCTAAAATTCTCTTTTTTGTGTGTGTGTCTCTGCCAGGCTTTTGTATCAGGGTGATGCTGGCCTCATAAAAATGAGTTAGGGAGGATTCCCTCTTTTTCTATTGATTGGAATAGTTTCAGAAGGAATGGTACCAGCTCCTCTTTATTCCTCTGGTAGAATTTGGCTGTGAATCTATCTGGTCCTGGACTTTTCTTTGTTGGTAGGATATTAATTATTGCCTCAATTTCAGAACCTGTTATTAGTCTATTCAGAGATTGAACTTCTTCCTGGTTTAGTCTTGGGAGGTTGTATGTGTCCAGGAATGTATCCATTTCTTGTAGATTTCCTAGTTTATTTTACATAGAGGTATTTATAGTATTCTTTGATGGTAGTTTGTATTTCTGTTGGATCAGTGGTGATATCCCCTATATCATTTTTTATTGTGTCTATTTGATTCTTCTCTCTTTTCTTCTTTATTAGTCTTGCTAGTGGTCTATCAATTTTGTTGATCTTTTCAAGAAACCAGCTCCTGGATTCATTGATTTTTTGAAGGGATTTTCGTGTCTCTATCTCCTTCAGTTCTGCTGTGATCTTAGTTATTTCTCATCTTCTGCTAGCTTTTGAATTTGTTTGCTCTTGCTTCTCTAGTTCTTTTAATTGTGATGTTAGGGTGTCAGTTTTACAAAGGGTGCTTTCTCTTGTGGGCATTTAGTGCTATAAATTTCCCTCTACAGACTGCTTTGGCTGTATCCCAGAGATTCTGGTACATTGTAACTTTGTTCTCATTGGTTTCAAAGAACTTATTTGTTTCTGCCTTAATTTCATTATTTACCCAGTAGTCATTCAGGACCAGGTTGTTCTGTTTCCATGTAGTTGTGTGGTTTTGAGTGAGTTTCTTAATCCTGAGTTCTAATTTGATTGCACTGTGGTCTGAAAGACTGTTATGATTTCCATTTTTTTGCATTTGCTGAAGAGTGTTTTACTTCCAATTATGTGGTCAATTTTAGAATAAGTGTGATGTGGTGCTCAGAGGAATGTGTATTCTGTTGATTTGGGGTGGAGAGTTCTGTAGGTGTCTATTAGGTCCACTTGGTCCAGAGCTGAGTTCAAGTCCTGAATATCCTTGTTAATTTCCTCTCTGGGTGATCTGTCTAATATTGACAGTGAGGGGTTAAAGTCTCCTACTATTATTGTGTGGGAGTCTAAGTCTCTTTGTAGGTCTCTTAGAACTTTCTTTATGAGTCTGGGTGCTCCTGTATTGGGTGCATATATATTTAGGATAGTTAGCTCTTCCTGTTGAATTGATCCCTTTACCATTATGTAATGGCCTTCTTTGTCTCTTTTGATCTTTGTTGGTTTAAAGTCTGTTTTATCAGAGACCATGATTGCAACCCTTGATTTTTTTTAACTTTCCATTTGCTTGGTAGGTCTTCCTCCATCCCTTTATTTTGAGGATATGTGTGTCTTTGCATGTGAGATGGGTCTCCTGAATACAGCACACTGATGGGTCTTGACTCTTTATCCAATTCGCCAGTCTGTGTCTTTCAACTGGGGCATTTAGCCCATTTACATTTAAGGTTAATATTGTTATGTGTGAATTTGATCCTGTAATTATGTTGCTAGCTGGTTATTTCACCCATTAATTGATGCAGTTACTTCATAGCATCAATTGTCTTTATGATTTGGCATGTTTTTACAGTGGCTGGTACCAGTTGGTCCTATTTATGTTTAGTGCTTCCTTCAGGAGCTCTTGTAAGGCAGGCCTGGTGGTGACAAAGTCTCTCAGCATTTGCTTGTCTTTAAAGGATTTTATTTCTCCTTTACTTATGAAGCTTAGTTTGGCTGGATATGAAATTCTGGGTTGAAAATTCTTTTCTTTAATAATGTTGATTATTGGTCCCCACCCTTTTCTGGCTTGTAGGTTTTCTGCAGAGAGATCTGCAGTTAGTCTGATGGGCTTCCCTTTGTGAGTAACCAGACCTTTCTCTCTGACTGCCCTTAACATTTTTCCCTTTATTTCAATCTTGGTGAATCTGGTGATTATGTGTCTCGGGGTTACTCTTCTCAAGGAGTATCTTTGTGGTGTTTTCTGTATTTCCTGAATTTGAATGTTGGCCTGTCTTGCTAGGTTGGGGAAGTTCTCCTGGATGATATCCTGAAGAGTGTTTTTCAGCTTGGTTCCATTCTCCCCATCACTTTCAGGTACACCAATCAAATGGAGGTTTGGTCTTTTCACATAGTCCCATATTACTTGGAGGCTTTGTTCATTCCTCTCCATTCTTTTTTCTCTAATCTTGTCTTCATGCTTTATTTCATTAAGTTGATCTTCAATCTCTGATATCCTTTCTTCTGCTTGATTGATTTGGCTATTGATACTTGTGTATGCTTCATGAAGTTCTTGTGCTGTGTTTTTCAGCTCCATCAGGTCATTTATGTTCTTCTCTAAACTGGTTATTCTAGTTAGCAATTCCTGTAACCTTTTTTCAAGGTTCTTAGCTTCCTTGCATTGGGTTAGAACATCCTCCTTTAGCTCAGAGTAATTCGTTATTATTGACCTTCTGAGGCCTACTTCTGTCAATTTGTCAAACTCATCCTCCATCCAGTTTTGCTCCCTTGCTGGTGAGGAGTTTTGATGCTTTGGAGGTGAAGAGGCATTCCAGTTTTTGGAATTTTCAGCGTTTTTGCACTGGTTTTTCCTCATTTTTGTGGATTTATCTACCTTTGATCTTTGATGCTGGTGACCTTCAGATGAGGTTTTTGTGTGGATGTCCTTTTTATTGATGTTGATGCTATTCCTTTATGTTTGTTAGTTTTCCTTCTAACAGTCAGGCCCCTCCTGCTGCATTTCTGCTGGGGTTTGTTGGAGGTCCACTACAGGCCCTGTTTACCTGGGTATCACCAGTGGAGGCTGCCAAACAGCAAAGTTTGCTGCCTGTTCCTTCCTCTGGAAGCTTTGTCCCAGAGGGGCACCTGCCAGATGCCAGCTGGAGCTCTCCAGTATGAGGTGTCTCTTCCTGCCTCCTGGGAGGTGTTTCCCAGTCAGGTATCCACTTGAGGAGGCAGTCTGTCCCTTAGCAGAACTTGAACACTGTCCTGGGAGATTCGCTGCTCTCTTCAGAGCCAGCAGGCAGGAAAATTTAAGTCTGCTGAAGCTGCGCCCACATCCGCCCCTTTCCCCAGGTGCTCTGTCGCAGGGAGATGGGAGTTTTATCTATAAGCCCCTGACTGGGGCTGTTGCCTTTCTTTCAGAGATGCTGTGCCCAGAGAGGAGGAATATAGAGAGGCAGTCAGGCTACAGCGGCTTTGCTGAGCTATGGTGGGCTCTGCCCAGTTCGAACTTCCTTGCAGCTTTGTTTACACTGTGAGGGGAAAACCACCTACTCCAGCCTCAGTAACAGTGGTGCCCCTCCCACCACCAGCTCAATCATCCCAGGTTGACTTCAGACTGCTGTGCTGGCAGTGAGAATTTCAAGCCAGTGAATCTTAGCTTTCTGGGCTCTGTGGGGCTGAGATCCTTTGAGCTAGACCACTTGGCTCCCTGGCTTCAGTCCTCTTTCCAGGGGAGTGAGCGGTTTTGTCTCACTGGCATCCATGGTGCCACTGGGGTATGATGAAATACTCCTGCAGCAGGCTCGGGGTCTGCCCAAATGGCTGCCCAGTTTGGTGCTTGAAACCCAGGGCCCTGTTTGTGTAGGCACCTGAGAGAATCTCCTGGTCTGCGGGTTGCGAAGACTGTGGGAAAAGTATAGTATCTGGGCTGGAATGCACCGTTCCTCATGGCACAGTCCCTCCCGGCTTCCCTTGGCTAGAGGAGAGAGTTTCCTGACCCCTTGCACTTTCCAGGTAAGGCAATGCTGGATCCTGATTTGGTTCGCCCTCCATGGGCTGCACCCACTATCTAATCAGTCCCTGTGAGATGAGCCGGGTACCTCAGTTGGAAATGCGGAAATCACTCACCTTCTGTGTTGATCTCACTGGGAGGTGCAGACCAGAGCTGCTCCTATTTGGCCATCTTGCTAGCCACCCCAACACAAAAAATTTTGAGGAAAATTTTGACAACCCTGTATGTTGCTGAAAAATCTAATACCTGATTCTGAAACCTATGTTGCCACATGAAAACTTTAATTAAAAGAAAGACAGAAAGAAAAGGCTCAATAGCAAGAAACCTAACATTCCCCAATCATGTCTTCAACTGCCATTAAAATGGCTTGGCATTTCCTCACAGGTGTCTGTCAGAATTACTTCACTAAATATTCTAATACATGGAATAAAATTAAGGGAGGAATCACAAAAATAAGCCTTGTGTATAGTTTGACCTTTTAACTTATATTAAATAAAATTTTATGCTTTGTTTACTGTTTTGGCCAATTTCAAATGTTCATTTGAAATACTTTCTATGAACAATGGGCACACAGCCTTTGAAACAGAAGAGCTAGCATTGCATTTTCTTAGAAAAATCAGATTTCATGTACCTAATTTTTACTAATGGTATATTTTTCAGTAAAATGGCCTATTATGAGATCAAGGATGTGTTAGTGCATTTTCATATTGCTATAAAGAACTGCTTGAGAGTGGGTAATTTATAAAGGCAAAGGGTTTGATTGACTCATAGTTCAGCATGGCTAGGGTGGCCTCAGGAAACTTGCAATTGTGGCTGAAGGGGAAGGGGAAGCAAGGCACCTTCTTCACAAGGCAGCAGGAAGGAGAAATGCTGAGTGAAGCAGGAAGAGCCCCTTATAAAACCATCATATCTCATGAGAACTCACTCACTATCATGAGAAAGGCATGGCAGAAACTGCCCCCATGATTTAATTACTTTCACCTGGTCTCTCTCTTGACATATGGGGATTATGGGGATTACAATTCAAGATGAGATTTGGGTGGGGACACAAAGCCTAACCATATCATACCACCCCTGGCCCCTCCAAAATCTCATGTACCTTTCACATTTCAAAACCAAGCATGCCTTGCTAAGAGTCCCCCAAAGTCTTAATTCATTCCAGCATCAACCCAAAAGTCCAAGTGTAAAGTCTTATCTGAGACAAGGCAAGTCCCTTCTGCCTATGAGCCTGTAAAACAAAAAAAAAAACAAGTTATTTACCTCAAAGACACAATGCAGGCACAGGCATTGGGTAAATTTTTCAATTCCAAATTGGAGAAATTGGCCAAAACAAAGGGGCTACAGACCCCATGGAAGTCTGAAACCAGGTGGGGCAGTCATTAAATCTAAAAGTTCTAAAATGATCTCCTTTGACTCCATGTCTCACATCCAGGTCATGCTGATGCAAGAGGTGGGCTCCTATGGCCTTGAGCAGCTTCACCCCTGTGACTTTGCAGGGTACAGCCCCTGTCCTGGCTGCTGCTTTCATGAGCTGGCATTGTCTGTGGCTTTTCCAGATGCACAGTGCAAGCTGTCAGTGGCTCTTCCATTCTGGGGTCTGGAGGACAGTGACCCTCTTCTCACAGCTCCACTAGGCTCAGTGCGGAATCTGCATGGGGGCTCCAACCCCACATTTCCCTTCCTTTCCATGGTGCTTGGGTCTAGCACCCTCTGAAGCGATAGCCTGAGCTGTACATTGGCATGTTTTAGCCACAGCTGAAGCTGGAGTGGCAGCAGCTGGGATGCAGGGTGCCAAGTTATGAGGTTGCACAGAGCAGCTGGGGGTGGGAGGGTGGGCCTGCGCTGGGCCCAGGAAACCATTTTTCTCTCCTAGTCCTCTGGGCCTGTGATGGGAGGAGCTGCTCTGAAGGTCTCTGACATGCCCTGGAGAGATTTTCTTTATTGTCTTGGTGACTAACATTTGGCTCCTCGTTACTTAAGCAAATTACTGTAGCCAGCTTGAATTTCTCCCTAGAAAATGTTTTTTTTCTTTTCTACTACATAATCAGGCTGCAAATTTTTCTAACTTTTATGCTCTGCTTCCCCTTTAAACATAAGTTCCAATTTCAGATTATCTCTCTCAAATTTGAAGTTCCACAGATCTCTAGGACAGGGGCAAAATGCCACCAGTCTCTTTGCTAAGACATAGCAAGAGTGACCTTTGCCCCATTTCCCAGTGAGTTCCTCATTTCCACCTGAGACCATCTCGGCCTGGACTTCATTGTCCATGTCTCTATCAGCATTTTGGTCAAACCATTCAACATGTCTTTAAGAAGTTCCAAACTTTCCCACATTTTCCTGTCTTCTTCTGAGCTCTCTGGATTGTTCTGCCTTCTGCCTGTTATCCAGTTCCAAAGTTGCTTCCAAATTTTTGGGTATCTTTATAGCAGCACCTCACTCTACTGGTACCAATTTAGTGCATTAGTCCATTTTTATACTGTTATAAAGAACTGCCTGAGATTGGGTAATTTATGAAGGAAAGAGGTTTAATTGGCTCACAGTTCAGCATGGCTGGGAGGCCTCAGGAAACTTACAGTCATGGTGGAAGGCAAAGAGGAAGCAAGGCACCTTCTTCACAAGGTGGCAGGAAAAAAAAGTACTAAGAGAAGGGGCAAGAGTCCCTTATAAAACCATCAGATCTCGTGAGGACTCACTCACTATCATGAGAACAGCATGGGGGAAATTGCCCCCATGATTCAATTACCTCCACCTGGTCTCTCCCTTGACACGTGGTGATTATGGGGTTTATGGAGATTACAATTCAAGATGAAATTTGGGTGGGGACATAAAGCCTTAACCATATAAGGAGTTAGGGACTCCTTATATAAGTTAGGGACTCTTTACATATAAGAGTAAAAGGACTGCTTTTACTCACTACTAGGAATTAAATAGTATTTGGCCTATAATAAAAATGCACTCATGTTTTTGAGGATGGAAGTGTACCCCAGGTTCCTCTGAAAGCAAAGCCAGAGATTAAGCCTTGTAGTTTGGAAGTGATTCTGGGGAAGGATGGGGGAGTGAAGCAGAGAGGGGAAAAGCCAACACAAAAGTGTGCAATTGATTTGAAAACCACTGTAGGAAACTGGGACTTGATTTTGCTGGGAACTTCTGAGGAGCCTTTTGAAATGTGTCTTAGACTGTTGTCTAGAGGAGGGATAAGCAAACTATATCCTTTGTGGCAAATCTGTCTAGCAGCCTATTTTTGTAAATAGAGTTTTATTGGAACATAGCCTCAAAATTAATTTCTGTATTTTCTATATCTGTTTTTAGGCTATGATGGCAGAGTTGAATAGTTGTGAAAGAGACAGTATGGCCCACAAAGCATAAAGTATTCTCAATTTTGCCCTTTACAGAAAAAGTTTGCTGACCTCTGCTCTAAAGGATGAGAGTAGAAAGCATTTATCCATTAGCTTTCCTTCCTAGTGGTTAAGGGTTGTCTTAATGGAGTTAAATGTCCCACCCTCTGTGTTGCTCTCATGTAGTAAGCAGATTCCCACACTGTGGCATAAGAGAAGCCACAGTGCAAGAGTGAATGTTCCAAGGTTAACCACCGTCACATTAAGACAGGACAATCTTGTCAAAATTTGTGTGGAACTGGCAGTTGTAAGACGGTTGGTGTAAGATGCTGGCTGCTAGAATATAAAGTGTGTTAAAAAATGTCTGATATTTAGTGAAAATGGTATGATGATGGTTTGCTTATTCATTAGAAATATTTATTGAGCACTTATTATATGACAGGCTCTCTTCTAGATACTAGAAACATAGTGGTGAACAAAACTGGCAAAAATCTCTGCCCTCATAAAGCTTACAATCAAGTCTAGAAGACTGATGCTAAATAATGGCACACTAGATAGCAATGAGTGCAAAGAGCTTTCCAGGTAAGAACAATGGCCTGAGACAGAAGTGTGCTTGGAGTATTTAGAAATAGCGAGGTGGAGTGTGATTTGAACTCAGTGTGGGGGAGCTGGAGGAGATCATGTCAGCCATGAAGGACACAGTAAATAGTAAGGACTTAGGCTTTTACTAGGAGTGATAGGAAGCCGTTGGAAAGTTTAAATAGAGACGTCATGTGATCGGAGTTGTGTAATTTTTCTAAACAATTTTTAAAATTGAGATATAACTTATACATAGTAAAGTGCACAAATCTTACATGTATATCTCAATAAATTTTTATATATGTATCCACTCATGTAACCAACACTTGGTTCAATATATAGAATATTGAACTCGAAGGTTTCTTGCTCCTTTCAGTCCATAACCCATCTCCTTAATGAGATAATCACTCTTCTGTCTTCTACCTCTACTGATTGACTCTATTTATTAGTTTTTAAGCTTTATTTTAATGAAATCATGCAATATGTACTTTTGTATCTGTTTTTTTTGCTCAATTTTTTTGAGCTTCATTCCTGTTGTTGCATGTATAAGGCTCTCTCTGTCTCTCTTTCTCTCTCTCATAGAGTACTGTTTGTGTGAATATGCCATAATTTATTCATTCTCCTATTGATGGGAGTTTTGATTGCTTGTGTCTTTTGGGTGCTATGAATAAAGATACCATGAACGTTCTTGAATGTATTCTTCATTAACTATACGCACTAGTTTTTCTTGGGTATACCTAGGAGGAGAAATGCTGAGTCATAGGTTGGGCTTTTATTTAGTTTTAGTACTGTGAAAACATTTTACAAAATGGTTGAATAATTTACCTAACATTAGCAATTTATGTTCATTCCAGTTGCTAGATATCCTTACCAAATGTTGATATTGTGAGTCTTTTATTTCAGCCATATTGGTAGTTATTTAATGGTACCACCTTGTTGTTTTATTTTTTATTTTCCTGATAGGCAATAATGTTAAGTGCATTTTTATGTGCTTCTTGGCCATCTGTTTATGAAGTATCTGTTTACATTTTGCCCATCTGTTTACATCTGTTTACATTTTGCCCATTTTGTTTTTTTCTTTGTTGATTTATTTTTTCCCTTACTGATTTGAAATTCTTTATATATTCCATATATAAGCCTTTTTAAGCTATATATATTACAAGTATTGTTTTTAAGCTATATATATTACAAGTATTGTTTTCCAGTCTGGAGCTTGCCTATTTACTTTCCTAATGATTAATTTTGATGAACAGAAGTTCTTAATTTTCATGAAATCCAATTTATCATTTAAAAAATGGTTACTGTTTTCTGTTTTCCATTAAGAAAATCTTTGCATAACTCAGAAAAGATGTATGTTTTCTTCTAGAACTTGAGTATTTTCATTTTTATATTTAGGCCTATAATCCATCTTGAATTAATTTGAGGTATGGTTTGAGGTGAGTGATATGGATTTTTTTGATAGTTTATTTCTCTAGCAATAGTTATAAAATATACTCTTCTTCCCTGCATTAAATTACAATGGTGCTTTTGGTTTATATCAAGTGACAATGTATATGTGAGTTTATTTTGGATTCTATTGTGTTACATTGTTCTATTTAGTCTTATCTTTCACCAATATAATAGTCTCTTAATTATTTGTAGATTTAAATGAAACCTTGAAGTGGTAATAAAAGTTTTCTTTATTTTTCTTCTAAATAGTCTTAATTATTTTTGGTATTTTGCATTTCCATATATACATTAGAATAAATTAGTATTGTCCTTTCAGTGGTTATTCTAGAAACACAAAATATATCTTTGGCTTACTACAGCCTACTTATGCTTTCAACACATTCCAAACCTTGTAACAGTTTAAATCCATTTACCCACTTCACTATTTTAAAATTTCTTTTTAAGTCTTCCAATTTATAAACCTCACAAACATCATTATTAATTTGCCTTTTTTTTACACTTATAAATTATCCATAGACTTTACACTACAGTTGATTCTTTCTTGTACTTTTGTCTTTCTATCTGTGATTATTTTCCTTCAGCCTGAAGAACTTCTTATAGTACTTCTTGTAGTAAGTCCGTTGATTTAAAATTTTCTCAGCTTTTGTCTTGGAACGTGTATAATTCATTCAAACTTGAAGGATATTTTCAATGAGTGTAGAATACTAGATTGAGAGCATTTTCATCACTTAAAAGGTGTTATTCTGTTGTCTCCTGGTTTCATTGTTTCAGTTAAGGAATCAACTACAACCCTTATATTTGTTCCTCTCAAGAAGATAATGTGTTTCTTCTAAGCTTTTTTCTCTTTTAAAATAAACTTTATTGAAGTTTAAATTCTATACAATGAAATGTACTTTCCTGCTTCTTTACCTATCCAGGAATTTTTGCTTATATGCTAGACATTACAGATATTTTAATTTGATGATAATGTTCTCTTCCTCATTCAAAATTACTAATGTATCACCTTGATTCTGCGAAAGATGGGTTCCAGGTTTTGTTCTGACAGGTCAGTTTCAATGTTTTGCCTAGTACTTGATCATAATGCTATTCCTATGGCATGGTTCTTATTTCTAAGTCATGATATTTTTAAGGTCTCAACACAGTATTCACAAAATACTCTCCTCTCTGGTTGAGCCAGATATCTACCTTCTCCCAAGCATTGCATGACTTCTGAAATATTTGTTCAACTCTCAGCATCCCAGAAGCTGTTCTTTCATAGGCCTCCTGGAATCTTTTCCTGCACACATGTAGTTCAACACAGCCAAAATCCCAAGAGTTTCTACATAACCCTTTGGGGTTCCTTTGTGATTATCTTATATCTCGTGCCCTGCCCTCTACCTCCAAATCCTAGCCACTTTAGCAATCCTGAACTCTCATGCCTAGAAAACTGCCACTTTTTGAAAAGTGCTCTCAGAGAAAAGGTGGGGCTCACCTTATGCGGTTTTCTTCTTTCAAGGTTTGTACCCCTGTATTGATTTCTGTCTAATTTCTGACTGCAAACTATCATTCTATATATTTTATCCAGTTTTATGGTTGCTTACAGAAGGAGGGTAAGTCTAATGCCAGTGACTCTAACATGGCTAGAGCAAGAAGTTCTGAGACATGGGTAGTGAAGAGATTTCCTTGGTTTCTTTCTTGAAAAAAGATTGGAGGGGTGTCAAGGAAGAATCAATGAGATCAGTTAGGTGATAATTGCAGTAAGCCAGGTAAGAGATGACAGTGGTTTGTCCAGAGTGTTAGGATTAATGTGGTAGGACATGGTCAAATTCTGAATCTATTTTGAAGATAAAGATGGAAGGATTTTTCTGATGGACCTGATGAGGGGTGTGAGAGAAACAATGGGGTCCATAACGGCCTAAAAGATTTTAACCTATGCCGCTGGAAGAATGAAGTTGCTATTTATTGAGAGGTAAAGACTGCAGAAGCTGGTGCTTTGGAAGGAAATACTAGGAGCTTAATTTGGACCTATTAAATTTGAGACACCTATTAGACATCCAAGTGGATAGGCCAAATAGATAGTAAATATGGTTCAGGAGTTCAGGAGAGAAGGTGGGCGGGTGACACAAATTTGAGGCTCATCAGCATATAGATTCCATTTAAAGCCATGAGGCTAGGCACAGTCTCCAGAGAAATAAGTAGATATATAAAAACAAGAAGTTGAGGTGTTAAGCCTTGGTAAGACATTTATTAATAACTTAATTATATGTTTTATAAAGGTGAATTTAACTTAATAAAAGTCATCTTATAGGCAGCCTAATGGGGAATGGTGGTGGGGAGAATCCCTATTTACCCAGAATCCATTAATTTTTATGTAAATTTAGATACTGCATACTGACCAGTTTTCTGAACACTGAAACACCAAGTTCCCATCCTTGCGTGAGACTATAATTATAATTTAATCCTAACATTCCAAAATAATGAAAACCAACCTAGATCAATGTAACAAATTTTGAAGACATTTTGTCTAAAACTATTTTGTGTGTCATGAGGATACACACATAAAAAAAGAGTAAAAATCATTTATGGTTACTGATGACATTGGAGCTTATAAAATAGCACAAACTCAATTTTTTTTGCCTTTAAGTTTTTTTTTATTATTTTACTTTAAGTTCTAGGGTACATGTGCACAACGTGCAGGTTTGTTACATAGGTACACATGTGCCATGTTGGTTTGCTGCACCCATCAACTCATCATTCACATTAGGCATTTCTCCTAATGCTATCCCTCCCCCAGTACCCCATCTCCCAACAAGCCCCTGTGTGTGATGATCCCTGCCCTGTGTCCAAGTGTTCTCATTGTTCAATTCCCATCTATGAATGAGAACATACAGTGTTTGGTTTTCTGTCCTTGTGATAGTTTGCTGAGAATGATGTTTTCCAGCTTCATCCATGTCCCTGCCAAGTACATGAACTCATCCTTTTTTATGGCTGCATAGTATTCCATGGTGTATATGTGCCACATTTTCTTAATCCAGTCTATCACTGATGGACATTTGGGTTGGTTCCAAGTCTTGGCTATTGTGAATAGTGCCACAATAAACATATGTGTGCATGTGTCTTTATAGCAGCATGATTTATAAATCTTTTTGTATATACCCAGTAATGGGATTGCTGGGTCAAATGGTATTTCTAGTTGTAGATCTTTGAGGAATCGCCACACTGTCTTCCACAGTGGTTGAACTAATTTACACTCCCACCTACAGTGTAAAAGCCTTCCTGTTTCTCCATATCCTCTCCACCATCTGTTGTTTCCTGACTTTTTAATGATCGCCATTCTAACTGGTGTGAGATGGTATCTCATTGTGGTTTTGATTTGCATTTCTCTGATGACCAGTGATGATGAACATTTTTTCATGTTTGTTGGCTGCACAAATGTCTTCTTTTGAGAAGTGTCCGTTCATATCCTTTGCCCACTTTTTGATGGGATTGTTTGATTTTTTCTTGTAAATTTGTTTGAGTTCTTTGTAGATTCTGGATATTAGCCCTTTGTCAGATGAGTAGATTGCAAAAATGTTCTCCCATTATGTAGGTTGCAAAAATATTCTCCCATTCTGTAGGTTGCCTGTTCACTCTGATGGCAGTTTCTTTTGCCATGCAGAAGCTCTTTAGTTTAGTTAGATCCCATTTGTCGATTTTGGCTTTTGTTGCCATTGCTTTTGGTGTTTTAGTCATGAAGTCTTTGCCCATGCCTATGTTCCGAATGATATTGCCTAGATTTTCTTCTAGGGTTTTTATGGCACAAACTCAATTTTTAAAGAGATGCCCTACTAATCATATGAGTAATTGACCCTTCTTAGTGTTATACATTTTCTGTTTTGGAAGAGCACATTATGGCTCAGCTCAATTATATTTTTAAAAACAATACATAAGGTGAGAAATGCTATTTTCATAGCTTGAAAAGGCTAAGCTTTAGAATTTCCACTTATGAAATCAATCCAATTGCTTGCATATTGCAGTGTGACTTCCATTCTTGGTTCTGTTCTTCATCTTTCGAACTTGTTAAGGGATGATAATCTGAAACTGCAGCCAAAAGCCTGAGACAGCTCATAATAAAAATGGTTGATTTTTTTTGCCTCAAATATATTATCTGATTTTTCTCTAAGGATAATGGAATAGATTTCAGACCAAATGCTTCAGCTGGTCCCATGAAGTAAAACCTTTTCGTGGCCACCACAAGGCTCTGCATTACCACAGCCCAGTTTTTAGAGGTGGTCTGGTAGAGGGATCATGGGAACACAGCAGAGCCAAGAGCTTGTAGGAAAAACTTTGTGTAATATTGAAGTTTTTACTCACAACTGTAAATCACAGTGAAAAATGTGTAAAGGTCAGAACATGAGAAGAATTCAAGATATTAATCAAATACGAAGTGGTCATCTTAATGGTGAAACAGTGCAAAGAGGAATGCAGTCATCATGAGAAAGCTGTGGAAATTAGGACATTTAAAGCTATAGCCATTTTGTTATGTAAGAGAATGTCTATATTCTAAGAAATATACATTAAACTACATAGGGGATAAGGGACATGATGTATGCAACTTACTCTCAAATGACTGAAAAATAATTATATAGATATTTAGATACAGACAGACATAGAGACAGACAGTGACAGAGGAGAAAGGGAGAGAGAGAGAGAAAGGGGATAAGGAATGGAGAGAAAGAACCACAAAATTGGTAAAGTGGACAGGGACAATATGTTAACAATAGGTGACATTCTTGCAGCTTTCTTGAATGTTTGAAATTATTTCCACATTCAAAGTAGGAAAAAAGCACACACACTTGCGCGCACACACACACGTGCACACACACAGAGCAATTAATCTTGAGCGTTGCTGCCTAAGTCACATTGCTCTAGCATCATTCCTCCCCGAGGCCTAACCACCTCAAGAATGTCTTTGGTATTTGTCCAATGACCAAGCTCCTCATGATTCTTCCAGGGCATTAAAGAATGTCAGTATCAGCCTTCCTTTTTCACCCCCTGATCCTTTCTCTGAAGGCCATGACTCCTATAACTTCAGACAAATATATCACTTAATACAAACCTGGAGGACAGAGGCTGCCCCTCTGAGGCCGCAGAACTCAGCTGCCGAATGTGCCATTTGTCAAAGTTCTGCTGGGGGACTCGGCCTCTCAGCACTCGTACCCCCAAACTTTCAGGGTCCTATTGTGGACCTTCCTTGCTTAGCCAGGTATCTCTGCTAGTGGACCGGAGAGTAGAAGTGGCCCTCCGCCCCCTCTCTTGGAGGGGCAGTTCTGAATGCCATGTGATGTGTCCTCTTCCATGTTTTCCAGAAGGAGAAAATTTGTGTCAGATTTTACATTCACAGAAATTGATGTCCTGGAATCTAGAAGGTCAAGTTATAGCTGTTAATTGGCTCACAGATTTACTTTGAAAGAGGCCAAAGAATCGTAATATGTTTACGTAAACTATAATGGCATGTTCAAAAATTGAACTATTCAATGCAATAACATAAGAGAATAATTAAGGCAATGTAGAAGAGTGAGAGGAGGCTCAGAACAGGATGACACTGGGGCCTCTCAAACATTAAGGTGCATGCCATCGCCTTAGGGATCTTGCTAAAATGCAGCTTCCAACTGGTGGTGTTGGAAACTTCTGCATTCAGCTTCCAACTGGTGGTGCTGGTAGTCTGAGGTGGTGCCTGAGCTTCTACATTTATGACCAGCTCCCAGGTGATGCCAGTGATGCTGGTCCCTGGATCAGTCAACTCAATAAATGTATGGAACTTCTTCCATAAACAAGATACTGTGCTGGGCATAGAGGGTGATGGGTGTGTAGGATAAGAAGAAACATAAGACATAGATTTGTTTTTAAAAAGGTGTCATTCCAGTGAGGGACACAAGCATTTTAATATGAATATCTTCTTAAAGAGCTAATAATATGTTGCCATATTTACTCACTTCATTTATTCAGCTACCCATTTAATAAATATTTAATGAGTACCAACTTGAGTGCCCATCACTGTTCTAGATGCTGTGTATATGGTAGTGAATAAACAAGGGGACCCTACTCTTGTTTATGGATATATGTAATTTACAAGCTGATGATAAGTGTTTTGGGAAAAATATAAAGCAGATTAAGGGTACAGAGGAGAGAAAGGGTGAAGGTGGTAGTATTTGAGGTAGGATGGTGAGTGAGGGCCTCTCTAATTAGGTGGCATTTGATTAGAGGCAAGTGGATATATGGGAACATTGAACATTGTGTTCTAAGTTCTGTGTAGGATCAGGAGATCCAAGGAAGAATCCAGTCAATGGGGAAACAAACATTAAATGGGAAATTCCAACATAATTAGATAACTGTTATAACCAGGCCATCCATAACTAAGTGCCAGGTATTCATAGTGGATACTCAATATATATTTACTGGATGAGTGAATAAATGAAATAATGTTAGAAACAGTGGGGAAAAAAAAGAAAAAAGGAATCCAGAGGAAGGAAGACAGTAATTTTGAGTGGGATAGTCATTTTCCAACTGGGCTCTGCTTTCTCTGGGGGTTCTGTGAGGCCACACTCCTGGGAAGCTGTGGGGTAATGGGGAGAAGTGAAGAGGATGGATTAAGTGGGGCTGTGGGCCTTCTACTTACAGTTTAACAGAGGTTTTATCAGCTTTATCTATTGGGTGTCCAGAGAGGATTACAGAGCAAAGGAATCTGCAACTTGTAAACATTGAAAAAGCACTGAACTGGGAGTCAGGAAATGTTTTTTCAGAGCACTGAAGAGGGATAAAATTGGAAGTAGATCCCATTTGTCAATTTTGTCTTTTGTTGCCATTGCTTTTGGTGTTTTGGACATGAAGTCCTTGCCCATGCCTATGTCCTGAATGGTAATGCCTAGGTTTTCTTCTAGGGTTTTTATGGTTTTAGGTCTAACGTTTAAATCTTTAATCCATCTTGAATTGATTTTTGTATAAGGTGTAAGGAAGGGATCCAGTTTCAGCTTTCTACATATGGCTAGCCAGTTTTCCCAGCACCATTTATTAAATAGGGAATCCTTTCCCCATTTCTTGTTTTTCTCAGGTTTGTCAAAATTGACAAATGGGATCTAATTAAACTCAAGAGCTTCTGCACAGCAAAAGAAACTACCATCAGAGTGAACAGGCAACCTACAAAATGGGAGAAAATTTTCGCAACCTACTCATCTGACAAAGGGCTAATATCCAGAATCTACAATGAACTCAAACAAATTTACAAGAAAAAAACAAACAACCCCATCAAAAAGTGGGCGAAGGACATGAACAGACACTTCTCAAAAGAAGACATTTATGCAGCCAAAAAACACATGAAAAAATGCTCATCATCACTGGCCATCAGAGAAATGCAAATCAAAACCACAATGAGATACCATCTCACACCAGTTAGAATGGCAATCATTAAAAAGTCAGGAAACAACAGGTGCTGGAGAGGATGTGGAGAAATAGGAACACTTTTACATTGTTGGTGGGACTGTAAACTAGTTCAACCATTGTGGAAGTCAGTGTGGCGATTCCTCAGGGATCTAGAACTAGAAATACCATTTGACCCAGCCATCCCATTACTGGGTATATACCCAAATGACTATAAATCATGCTATTATAAAGACACATGCACACGTATGTTTATTGTGGCATTATTCACAATAGCAAAGACTTGGAACCAACTCAAATGTCCAACAATGATAGACTGGATTAAGAAAATGTGGCACATATACACCATGGAATACTATGCAGCCATAAAAAATGATGAGTTCATGTCCTTTGTAGGGACATGGATGAAATTGGAAATCATCATTCTCAGTAAACTATCACAAGAACAAAAAACCAAACACCGCATATTCTCACTCATAGGTGGGAATTGAACAATGAGATCACATGGACACAGGAAGGGGAACATCACACTCTGGGGACTGTGGTGGGGTGGGGGGAGGGGGGAGGGATAGCATTGGGAGATATACCTAGTGCTGGATGACGAGTTAGTGGGTGCAGCGCACCAGCATGGCACATGTATACATATGTAACTAACCTGCACAATGTGCACATGTACCCTAAAACTTAAAGTATAATAAAAAAAAAAAAAAAAGAAAAAAAAAAGAAAAAAAAAAATTGGAAGTAGAAATCAAGGGCCGGGGAAGAGAATAGCATTCTGATGCTGTGATACAAAGTGGGGGCCATCCACATCACGTGTTTCACCATTTTAACCAAAGCTGAACCTGAAAAAGACTATGGTTTCAGGAAGGGTGGTGATACAGGAGCTAAAAAGAAATTATTTAGGCAGTTAGTGAGGGTAAGAGAGTCTTTGGTAAGGCTTCCATTTTAACGAAAAGCAGCCCAAAATTATTTCTTTTCTGACAAAGAGCACCCTGTAAAATCAAGCTGCAGATATAGATAAGCAAGCTGGAAGCTTTCGCGGGTGAATGCCGGCAGCTGTGCCAATCGGAAAAGGCTACCTGCGGGCCAGGCATGTTCAACACGGCAGCTCCATCTCCCCTTTTCCTTGTCAACCATGTGTATGGTAAGTAACAGACAACATGGCACCAGCCACGAAGAGAATCCATTTGCATAATAAAAAGATTAGGGTGGGGTGGCCAGCTTCTTATGCGTGCTATGCAAATGGCACACCTAGTCCGACCAATCTCCCGGGCCCTATGTAAATCAGACACTGCCTCCTCAAGCACCTCTATAAAACCCCATGCATTTCACCACGAAACCAGAAGACCCACTCCGGAGCCTGCCTCTCTGCAGGGGAGAAAGCTTTTGTCTTCTTTTTTCTCTCACCTATTACACCTCTGCTCTTAAACTCACTTCTTGTGTGTCCGTGTCCTCAAATTCCTTGGCATGAGCTGACGAACCTTGGGTATTACCCCAGAAGAATGATGCCACTTCAGTGGGAATGGAAAAGGGTTAAAGATTAGGGTAGGGTGGCCAGCTTCTTTGCATGCTATGCAAATGGCACACCTGGTCCGACCAATCTCTCGGGCCCTACGTAAATCAGACACTGCCTCCTCAAGCTCATCTATAAAACCCCATGCATTTCACCACAAAACCGGAAGACCCACTCAGGAGCCTCTCTCTCTGCATGGGAGAAAACTTTTCTGTTCTTTTTTCTCTCGCCTATTATTACACTTCTGCTCTTAAACTCACTTCTTGTGTGTCTGTGTCCTCGATTTCCTTGGCACGAGCTGATGAACTTGGGTATTACCCCAGAAGAATGATGCCACTTCAGTGGGAATGGAAAAGGGTTAAATGCACTTTGCTTACTTGTCTAAAACCACACCAAACCAACAGCTCTTGACCCCAGTTTAGGGTTAGAAAAGCCAAGTGAGCTTAAGGCACTTGCTTTGCTTCCCTGCCATTGCCATGAACACGTCTATGAGGGTTGCAGAGAATGACAATTATCAAAGGCCTGTAAACATTCCTTCCATAACTTTTTATCTTAAAGGAAAATGGCTTGTTTTGGGAAATAGTGAAAAGGGCCAAAAGGGAAGTTGAATGTGGACAGTGTAAGTTTATGCATTCCAAGAAACCTGAAATGAACCCACTATTCAAGCAACACAGCTCTCTGTATTCCTTCAGCTTTATCAGGGCATTTTTAAGATTCTGTCAAATGTCTTTTTACTACAATGTCTGTAAGGGAGAAGACACAATAAAGCCCTCAACAGAGACTGTTGAGGAATCTCCAGTCACTTGTGCTTTTGTGATTTGCCTGATATCCACATAATTATCTAATTATATTTGAATATCTTTTGGCTAAATGTGGACTTTCAGAAGTCACAGCAAAATATGTTTTATCTGCCTAATTTATCATTAAATCAGAAGAGTTAGGTAGGATGAACATTACCCAACACCAAAGAGTAAACTTGTGGTTCCAGAGATTACTAAGTCATACAGCAGGAGGAAATTCAATTGTTCAGGACAGAACTGCTCTTTGAACTCTGAAGCAGGTATGTTCCTATAGTCAGAATGAATACTGTTTGGTGATCAACCCAAATCCTTTACAGACACAAACATTTTCTCCTATAAAGAGAACACAACTACACAGTACAGCTTATGTTAACTTAGCCTGATATTATCCAAGACCAATAAACATCTGGCCAAAAAAGAAGTCACTTTTGCTACCAAATTTGTACCTTCACTTTCCATGTGAGTTCTGGTCATACTGTTACAGTAGGTAGCTAGGCAGAGATGAGCAGGGCAGGAGAGGGCTCCCCCAACCCCACCAGGATTGTTAGGCAACCATCAGGTGATGGTCAGGCCATTGTTAACTGTCTCTCTAAAATAACTGGTCACAGCCAGCACCAGGGAGGAAAGGCAGTCTCCTAATAGATAGAACAAATCTGAAACTGGTGATTAGCAGCTTCCTGATAAGATCTCAGGAGCTGGGCAGGTGGGCTTAAGCATGAACATTAAAAGGCAAAATGGCGGTGTTGAACTGGTAAATGGCCTTCTAGGGACATTCGACTGGTAAGGGAAGAATGTCTCAAGTGAGCATGCGTACAAGTCTAGTAAACACACTGCACATGCTCACCAGCTAAATGCAGCAGACCACTGTGCATGTGGACAGCCCACCCCAAGGGAAGAATCAGGGGAGAAGGGATGCAAGAACCCAGAAGTATGCCCACACATAAAACCCCAAGTCAAATGTCAAATGGTGCACTTGTCTTTCAAGTCGCCCACTTGGTCCTCTTCCAAGTGTACTTTTATTCCTTTCACTCCTGCTCTAAAGCTTTTTTAATAGACTTTCACTCCTGCTCTAAAACTTGCCTGTCTCTCCATCTACCTTCTGCCCCTCAGCTGAATTCTTTCTTCTGAGTAGGCGAGAACTGAGGTTGCTGCAGACCCATATGGATTTGCTGCCAGTGACAACACTTACCTCAGATTGGGTGGTATAATCTCATATGACAGTCAGTCCTGGAACTGACATTCATTCCTAGACTAGTCTAATTCTTGTTATCTCTTATCTGCAAAAATGGCGAGTTGACAATAGAGTTTGAGATAAACATGTAAATGTTTGTATTTAAACAAGATACACAGTTAAATATACCAGCCCCATGGACACTGCTGGTCAAATTTTAGGTTTAGTATACTGCAGCAATGAGTTTTGAGATATATACTGGCTTTGAGATACTGTGGGAAAAAAGCCACGTAGAAAGTCAAAGGCAGCAGGCACTTCCAACGCATCTGGATTTTTTTTTTTCATATAAACTTTAGTCTTAGAATGAATTTTCCTGGGGAAGCGACTAGCCAGAAGCAATTTCAGGTGGAAAAACATTTGCTTACAAGGAAAGTTTCAGCAGAATCATGCTGGTTGAATGGAGAAGGATGAGATTTAAAGATTAATCCAGTTGAGTTTATTTATTTTTTTTTTACAGACGAGGAAGTTAGAGATGCAGGACAATTAAGTGCCTTACTCCAGATCACATGATCTGATAGGGACTAGGAAAGAACTAGAAACCAATATATCCTCAATACCAATTATTTTTGTATATGTCACAAGTGTCCATTTGTAATCATTTCTCTGTAGCCTTATTGAGGAATCTAAAAACAGAAGGATTAAAAATGCTACTTATCTTATTTGCAGGTCATGATGCAGATACATTTGCTTGGTGGACAAGACTAGTGATCATTCTTTCAGGACCACTTGAAAGCCCGAGATGGTTTCTTTGCAACTTAGATCCATTTATGTGTTTGAGTCTTGAGTTTTAGATACATGTAGAAAAATGCTTATTTGCAAAGGATGTGTCCAAAAGCACCTGTACTATAGTTAGAGGATTCCTTAGCTTAACCAAAGGCTTCGGAGAACTTTATCACTAACATTCTAGGTGACCTTGCCTAAGTTAGCAGACCTCTCTATGCTTTCTTTCTACCTGTAAAATCAGGCACCATGTAGATTAACAGAATGAGGATGGTCATAAAGTTTCTGAGGCTATACAAGTTGTTGAGAATGATAGAAACTGACCTATGTGTTTGTGGCAACAATGTGCATAATTTAGGACATAAATTGTTTAATGCAACCATCTTTAAGATTGCCTTAAAAAACTGGAAAGGCTCTTCCTGCTCAATCCCTGAATGTTCCACCCATAGGCTACATTCCATTAGGGTCCCATTTCCTTTCCTTCCCTTGCTTATAGCTTACTACATCTTTGTTAGGGTAATTTGTTGAAAGGAGATGGTCCTTCAGGAGCTTTGCTTCAAGGGACCCAACACTGGGTAGCCAAGTGCCCTCATCTCCTTATCCCTTAGAGTTCCTCCTATTTTAGGGAGACTAAGTGAATGCCACCCACAGGGCAAGGCAGAAAGAGCACCAGTGCCACCACCTGGATGCAGGGAGAATGAGGCAACACATAAAAGAAAAGTCTACCTGTCCAAGGGGGAGCAAGCTATCTTGCTTGATTCTTTGCCCTTCTGTTTTCATTTTCTTATCGTAATTTTTTTTGTCTTTGTATTTGTAATCACTTCTTTTAACATTTCCTACACATATGTGCTAATGATTTCTCAGTATCATCTACAACTCCCCTGCTTATGAAAGGGTCCAGAGAATGGTGAAGCACCCCACCCTAAGCCGGGAGATGAAGGAAACTAGAATTAGGTCATCCTTTGGAGAATGCATCCAACAGGCTTGATGCCTAGATGCAGGTCTACGTGTCCTCCTGAATATACAGGAAAAGCCTCTTTGTGAAGGTCTTTTTCATGCTGCCTGAGGTTCTGTTAAGTTCTATCAAATCATTAGCTACGAAATCAAGAAGACAGGGTCAGCGATTTTCTTGTTCTATGAAGAAAGACAGACAATATGGAGCATAGTAGTTGCCTGCCTCGTGACATGTGAGCCATGTAATTAATGATCCATGATACAAGGTTCTATACCATGTGATATAATTCGTAGACTAATCAGGGATTTAGGGTAATTGACTACAAATGTTCCTTAGAGTAAGAAATAGTCAGAGAGACCAAAAAATCCTTCCCAAGTGGACTTTATTTCCTTAGAGACTTTCCCCTAGACGCTTACTTCTAAAGATCCCTAGGTTATACAGATAGTTATGCAAGTCATTATAGATTACCCACCAGGAGTCAGGCACTGCTCTTGGCACCAAAAATGAGAAAAGGAACCAACTAAGTTTTCTAAATTAAGGTTAGTTTTTGTTTTAGTGGTTTAGTTACCTATTTCTGATGCAAAGTACTCATTTTTAGTGAACCATTTCAGGTCTCCCTGGATCCCAAGGGTTCCCTGGAGATAACTCAAGGGCAATGGGTTGTGGTGGAGGGATGGTGGAACAGTTTTTTTTGAAGGCCCCATGTATCAATTAGAGGAGCTTTACTTCTTTTTTTTCTATTTAGCAATTTTCTTTTTTAACTTTTAAGTTCAGCGGTACAGTGCAGGATGTGCAGTTTTGTTACCGAGGTAAACGTGTGTCATGAGGGTTTGTTGTACAGATTATTTCATCACCCAGGTATTAAGCCTAGTAACCATTAGTTATTTTGCCCAACCGTCTCCCTCCTGCCACCCTCCACTCTCTAATACACCCCAGTATTTTGCTCCTCTCTATGTGTCCGTGTGTTGTCATCGTTTAGCTCCCACTTAGAAGTGAGAACATGCAGTATTTGGTTTCCTGTTCCTGCATTAGTTTGCTAAGTAAGGGTAATGGCCTCCAGCTCCATCCATGTCCCTGCAAAAGACATGATCTTGTTCTTTTTTATGGCTTTATACTATTCCATGGTGTATATGTACCACATTTTCTTTATCCAGTCTATCACTGATGGGCATTTATGTTGATTACATGTTTTTGATATTGTGAATAATGCTGCAACGAACATATGAGTGCATGTGTCTTTATAATAGAATGATTTACATTCCTTGGGGTATATACCCAGTAATAGGACTGCTGAGTCAAATGATATTTCTGTCTTTAGATCTTTGAGGAATCACCACGCTCTTGCACAATGGCTGAACTAATTTACACTCCCACCAACAGTGTAAAAGGGTTCCTTTTTCTCCACAACCACATCAGCATCTGTTTTTTTTATTGTTTACTAATAACCATTCTGACAAGTGTGAGATGGTATCTCATTGTGGTTTTGATTTGCATTTCTCTAATGATCAGTGATGTTGAGCTTTTTTTTCATATGATTGTTGGCTGCATGTATGTCTTCTTTTGAAAAGTGTCTGTTCATGTCCTTTGCCCACTTTTTAATGGTGTAGTTTTATATTTCTTGTAAATTTAAGTTCCTTCTAGACGCTGGATATTAGACCTTTGTTAGAGGCATAGTTTGCAAAATTTTTCTCCCATTCTGTAGGTTGTCTGTTTACTCTGTTGATAGTTTCTTTTGCTGTGAAGAGCTCTTTAGTTTAATTAGATCCCATTTGTTAATTTTTAGTTTTGTTGCAATTGCTTTTGGTGTCTTCATCGTCAAATCTTTGTCCATGTCTGTGTCCTAAATGGTATTGCCTAGGTTTTCTTCTAAGGTTTTTATAGTTTTGGGTTTTACATTTAAGTCTTTAATTCATCTTGAGTTGACTTTTGTATATGGTGTAAAGAAAGGGTCCAGTTTCGATTTTCTGCATATGGCTAGCCAGTTCTTCCAGCACCATTTGTTAAATAGGGAATCCTTTCCCCATTGTGTGTCTTTGTCAGGTTTGTCAAAGATTTAAAAATTCATATGGAACCAAAAAAGAGCCCAAATAGCCAAGGCAATCCTAGGCAAAAAGAACAAAGCTGGAGGCATCATGCTAACGTACTTCAAACTACACTACAGGGTCACAGTAACCAAAACAGCATGGTACTGGTACTGGTAGAAGGACAGACACATGGAACAGAATAGAGAACCCAGGAATAAGATTGCACACCTACAACGATCACAGCTTTACTTCTGTCTGTTTTTGCATTGATATTCTGAGATATACTTGAAGAAAAATTTCTGAGAATTTTATACAATTAGGTATAGATGATTATGCTGAGCAGACTCAATCCTAAGAATGATCAAGATACCCCCAAATTATTGTGAGATCAGTCTAACAATTCAGTCTTTGGCGAACCACAGTGACCCATTCTTAGTGTCAGTCAGTGAATGAGTCCTGGATGACCTAAATATTTAAAATGGCTTATTGAGTATGTTATGGCTCAGTTTTATTTTTAAAATTCTGGGTTGGATTAAGGATTAACTTCTGTTAGGCTAAATGTTTTCAGGAGAAATTTAGTTGTCTCTTTTCTGGAGGAATAATAATAAAATCTGAAATAGAGTAATTCTAATATATCTCAAAGCATAAATACAGAAATTTAACAAGTAAGTTCTAAATAGTTTTATTCTGACTTAGACCATCTCTTCTGCATCCATCATAACACCTACTACAAGGCTGGAAAAATAGTAGGTGTTTAACATATACTATTGAATTGAGCTGAATTTTTCAGATTCTAGCATTGAAGAGCTAGATTGAAGAGCACTGAATATTTCAGATATAGTAAATACTATGTAAGCAAATAATTCCCACCTTTGTAAATCTGTTTAGAGCACTCCTCATTAAGGGAAGGAGATGGCTGAGCTTGGGGTATCCCTCCCTTCTTCCCTTGTCCTCCTCCTTTTTTCTCTTTCTTTCATCACCAAAGAACAGATGTGGTCTTTTCTGAAATTTTTGCTGGGGAGCTAATAATTTAAAAATTTTATTCTTTGTATAACCATTGTATCAGTTTTTATAAAAATAATAGAAGTAACATGTTTGCTAAAATAAATATCAAACAATTTTGAAGTATTGGTAAAAGCCATCCTTTGTATTCTTTTGAGAAAGTATCTTTCTTTATTTCCCCCCATGTTTATTAAGGAATAACTTACAAATAACAAAGTTTACCCATTTTAGGTACAGAGTTGATGAATGTTGGCAATTACATACAATCATGTAAGCTACCACAATCAAAATATAGTTTTGTTTTTTTTTTTTTGAGACAGAGTCTCACTCTGTTGCCTAGACTGGAGTGCAGTAGTGCGGTCTTGGCTCGCTGCAACTTCTGCCTCCCTGGTTCAAGCAATTCTCCTGCCTTAGCCTCCAGAGTAGTTGAGATTACAGGTGTGTGCTACCATGCCTGGTTAATTATTTTGTATTTTTTGTAGAGATGGGATTTCACCATGTTGGCCAGGCTGGTCTCAAACTCCTGACCTCAGGTGATCCGCCTGCCTTCACCTCCCAAAGTGTTGAGATTACAGGCATGAGCCAACGTACCCTGCCAAAATACAGAATATTTCTATCACCACAAAAAGTTCCCTCTGTCCCTTGAAATCATTCCCCCCAAATACCTATCCCCAGACAATCAATGTTTTGTTTTATACCATTACAGTTTTGTCTATTCTAGAGTTTCACATACATGGAGTTATATAATCAGGAGTCTCTTATATTTGTCTTATTTCACATAGATAATGTTTTGAGATTCATCTGCACTGTTGCATATATTAATAAGTCATTTTAAAATTGCAGGGTAATAAACAAATATCCAACATTTATTTATTCATTCACTAGTTGATGGACAATTGAGTATTTTTCAGTTTTTCAGCTATTATGAATAATGCTTCTGCGAACATTCACATACAGGCCTTTTTGGGGACATATGTTTTCATTTCTCCTGGAAAAAACATTTTGATGTGGGATTGGTGAACTATTTTCCAAAGTGGATGTACCACTTTGCATTTCCACCAGCAATGTATGAGAGTTGGAATTGCTCCATATCCCTGTTAACACTTGATATTGCCAGTGTTTCTAATTTTAGCCATTCTCATGGGTTTCTGCAGTATTTCATTGTGGTTTTAATTTGCATTTCCTTAGTGACTTATCATGTTAATAATCTTTATGTTTTATTGGCCACTTGTATACTTCTTTTGATGTATCTGTTCAAAACGTTTTCATATTTTTTATTGAGTTGACTTATTATTGAATTGTTGAGTTCTTTATGTAATTGGAATACACGTCCTTTGTCAGATATATGTTTTGCAAATATTTTTCCAGTTTGTGGTTTGCCTTTTCATTTTCTTAATTATTTCAAAAAGCAAAAGATCTTAATTTTGCTAAAAGTTCATTTTATAATTCTGAAATTTTAGGTCTTATGTATCATACATGCTTTACGTAGCACGCTGAATTCATGTTTAAATGGTTTAAGAAATCTTCGTCTAACCAAATATTTTCTCCTAGAAGTTTTATAGCTTTGTGGTTTGTTTTATATTTGTGCTTCATTTTGAGTTGATTTTTGTATTTGGCAAAAGGTATGAATAAAAGTTCTTTTTTTTTTCGTTGCTTATGGATGGATATCCACTTGTTCCAACATGATTTTTTGATCATTTTGACCCTGCATTGCCTTTGCACCTTTTTAAAAAATTAATTGACCGTATATGTGTGGCTGTATATCCAGGCCCTCCATCCTACGTAATTGATCTATTTTTCTATCTTGATGCCAATGCCACACTGTCTTACCATTGTAGCTTTAAAACAAGTCTTGAAGTTAGGCAGTGTAAGTCTCCCAAGCTTGTTGTTCTTTTTCAAAATAATTTTTGCTAGATTCTTTTTAAAAAATTTTTTTATTTGCATAGGTTATTGGGGAACAGGTAGTGTTTGGTTACATGATTAAGTTCTTTAGTGGTGATTTGTGAGATTTTGGTGCATCCATCACCCTTAACATCACCTTGTCAATTTCCACACAAAAGACTGCTCAGACTTTGATTGAGATTATATTTAAATATCTATAAATATTGAGGAGAAGTGAAATTTTAATTTGATTCTTCTTATCCACAAAACAGTATATCTCATCATTTCTACCAGAGGTACAAGGAGGAGCTGGTACCATTCCTTCTGAAACTATTTCAATCAATAGAAAAAGAGGGAATGCTCCCTAACTCATTTTATGAGATCAGCATCATCCTGATACCAAAGCCTGGCAGAGACACAACAAAAAAAGAGAATTTTAGACCAATATCCCTGATGAACATCAATGCAAAAATCCTCAATAAAATACTGGCAAACCGAATCCAGCAGCACCTCAAAAAGCTTATCCACCGTGATCAAGTGGGCTTCATCCCCGGGATGCAAGGCTGGTTCAACATACGCAAATCAATAAACATAATCCAGCATATAAACAGAACCAACGACAAAAACCACGTGATTATCTCAATAGATTTATTTAGGTCTTTCTAAATTTCTCTCGACATTTTTTTAAATGAGCCCAGATGAAAAGAGAAAATTTTCTTAATTTAAAATTTTAGTAGAGACAGGGTCTCACTATTTTGCCAAGGCTGTTCTCAAACTCTTAGCCTCAAGTGATCCACCTGCCTCGGCCTCCCAAAGTGCTGGGATTACAGGCATGAGCCATCATGACTTGCCTAATTTCTTTCAATGTTACTTGTAGTTTTCAGTATACAGGTCCTGCATTCCTTTAGTCAGGTTAATTCCTAAGAGTTTTGTGTTTTTAATGCTCTTGTAAATATTTTTTTAAACTTTCAATTTCTAATTTAAAGCTAGAACTTCAATTTAAATTTACAGTTTAATTTGAAATTATGTATACAAATGCAGTGTACTTTTTTTGTAGCCTGCAACTTTGTTATGAATTAGTAGACCAATTACTCTTTTTGTATATTCCAAAGGATTTTCTACATAAGATCATGCCGTGACTAAAGATTGTTTTACATCTTCCCCCCTGAGTTGTATACATTTCATTTCTTTTTCTCTCCTTATTGCATTGGCTAGATCCTCCAGTACAATGCCAACCAGAGTAGACATTCTTGCTTTGTTCCTGCTATGAGAGGGAAAGTATTCAGTTTTTACCATTATGTATATGTTAGCTATAGAATTTTTATATTTTAATAGATGCCATTTTGTTCTTTGTCTCATTTGTTATTATTTACCTTTTTTCTGCTTTCTGTTGGATTAATTGAATAGTTTTTTATTTTATTTCCTTTTCTAATATATTAATCAACCAATAAATCTAATCCCTGATGCTGCATTATGGCCAGAAAACCAATGAACTTGCGGAGAAGAAAAAAGAAAGACTTGTTCTACCATATATAAGGATGTGCTATAAAGCTTTAATACCTTTTATGGCATTGTCAGAAGAGAGGATGAGATCATTTGAGCAAAAAGAGCTACAGAAGAGACCCATATGAAGGGACTTATGAAAGAAGTTGCACTGTAGAGGGTTACAAAAAGCACAGTCTTTTCAATAGTGATGCAGAGACCAATGAGCATTCCTATGGAAAAAAGGAAATTTAACCCTATATAACATCATTCACAAAAATCAAATTTTTAGATCTAACTGTGATAGATAAATTTTAGATCTAACTGTGATCGATAAAACAATAAAGTTTTAGAAATTAATTCCAAAGAATATTTTCATTGCATTCGAGTAAGAGATTTCTTAAATAGGATGCAAGAAAGTACTAACCTTGAAGGGAAAAATGACTAAATCTGACTACATTAAAATTAAAAACTTCTGTTTACCAAGAAAACTATTCAGGGCTGAAAAGGCAAGCCAAAGAGTGGCAGAAAAAAATTTCAATATTTTCATTGCATATAATCAGTAAATATCATACCAGGATATATAAAGAATGCTAGAAAAACTGATTGAAAAATAGACAAAAGTTTTGAGCAGGTACATCATAAGAGGAAAGAAAAATAGCTAATAAATCTATGAAAAGTTATTCAACCCCACTAGTAACCAGATAGATACAAATAGAAACTGCAAGATACATGCAAACCAGACTGACAATAATTTAAAAACCCCAACAATACCACATTTTAGTAAAGATATAGATCAATGAAAGCTCATATGTAACTAGTGGTAGTACAAATTGGTGCAACCACTTTGGAAAACTCTGAGATTTACCTGTTAAAGTTGGAGATGCAGATACATTATAATACAACAGTTCTGCTCCTAAGTATATACCCAGCAGAAATGGGTACATATGTATGCTAGGATGCATGGAAAAAAGCCCCAGTCATTATTTATAATAGACCAAGTTCAGAAATAACCCAAATATCACTTAATAGTAAAATGAATACAGAAAATGAATTTAAAAATATTGTGGAATTCTCAAGTAATGGAATTTTATAAAGGAAATAAACTGTAGATATAGCCATGGTCTTAGATAGATCTTGAATATAATGTTGAACAAAATATACCAGATATAAAATTATACACACTTTTTCATTCCATTTAAATCAATTTTGAAAACAGACAAAAGTAATCTATAATGTTTAGGGATAAGTCCCTAACATTACAAAGAAAAGCAAGAAATATGTTGGGATAATGGTTATATTTAGAGGGGAGAATGAGATTTGTGTTTATGGATGAGCACCTAGGGGGTAGGTTTCTAGGGCATTGACAATGTTTTATTCCTTGATCTGGTTGGTGATAACACTTCTGTTAGTCTTATAATAAATCATTAAGCTATACATTTATGCTTTTTGCATATTTATTGTCTGTCATTTTTCACAAGGCCAAAAAGTAAAATGAATCACTAAAAACACAATAATAATTATCCCAGCATCTAGCTTATATTACTCCTATGTAAGCACAAAGATATAAAATACCTTGTCAAATGTCCTGCTTAAGCACATCTCCCTGATGTTTGGAGTAATCTTGTCAAAAATGAAAATGATATTTGCTAGACATGAATTGTTTCTAATAAATCTTAGACCCACGGGAGGCAGTATGTTGTCACATAAAAAATATAAAATGGAACTGACAATACTGCTACATCACTCCTGCCTAGCCCAATGCCTTGGAAAATCAATTGGCTACCTCCCTCTTCTTTAAAAATGACCTCGAAATCGATGATTACTTAGGCTTTCTATGATTTTAAACTTTTTAGAATTCATTAATTCTATGAATAAAAAAATTCTCTAAAATATCCTGAATTTCTGTTGTATAAGGCCTCTCTGATATTCAAGTGAATGTTAAAAAGAGGCATCACAAAACATGCAATTCCAAATTATATTCAGTGATAATCAGTTAAAAAAAACTAGAACATCTATGGCTAGGGCATCTAAAAGTTTTAACTAGAGCTTGCTGAGCAGTGTCTATATATATATGGTCCATGCTGTTGTTAAAGGGTGGCTTACAAATCCAGAGTAGGAGAGAAGTAGTCTAAAAGTTATTTTATTTTTGCTTGAGTTCTCAGCACAATCCATGTTAATTCCAGAAGATAAGTAATAGGCACCGAGCTCTACCCACTTACCTCTCAAGTCCTGATGTGTGGAAATACTATCCAAGTGGGAGCTGCTTGTTTATTCATTCAAGCTACGAGTGCTTATTTAGTTCCCGTTCTGGGCTGACACTGTGGAGAATGCAAAGATGGAGGGAGTATTATCCCTGCCCTCAAGTTGCTTACAGTCGACCTGTTACTTTTGAAAAATGTTATATAATTTTGATTAACATGAAACTTCAAAAAATTCTATTGACAGACTGATTTATTAACTTCTATAACAAGAAAATAATTATCAATGGAAAGTTGATCATTTGAAAATAAAAGGCCAATAATTAGCAAGCCAATCCCATGTTAGAAAGTAATTCCAACAGTATCAGAAAATTCTTATACCATGATGTTTTGTTCTAAAAGGTGAAAAAAAATTGAGTATGCAGCATGATCTCAACTATGGAACATGACAAAAGAGAAAATTACAGTAGTCCCGCTGCATTCATAGATTGACTTTCCATAATTTCAGTTACCTGCAGTCAACCGTGGTCTGACAATACTAGGATACCTTGAGAGAGTGAGAGAGCACATTGACATAACTTTTATTACAGTATACTATAATTGTTCTATTTTATTATTAGTAATTATATTAATCTGTTACTGTGCTTAACTTATAAATCAAACTTTATCACAGCTATCTATGTATAGGAAAAATCATAGCATATATAGGGTTTCAGCACTATCAGCGGTACTATCAGTGATTTCAGCCACCTACTGGGGATCTTTAAACATATCCCTCACGGATAAGGGGGAGCTACCATACACTAAAATGTGAATAGTGGCTATCTTTGGGATATTTATATTTATTTATTTATATCAAGGGTATATTTTCTTTAGAATCAGAAAAATATATACATTTATTTAAAAATATATCAAAAAGGTAGTTAGTATAAAAGTTTTCAAAAATAAAGTAAAAGAAACCAAGTTTGTATTTACTTGGAATTAACCCTGTTTAGCCAGAGCACTGAAGAACAGAGACATGTGGCACCTAGAATTACAAGGTCATACTAGAGTTTGTTTGTAAAAATCCACAGCGGAACCAACCCAAATGTCCAACAATGATAGACTGGATTAAGAAAATGTGGCACATATACACCATGGAATACTACGCAGTCATAAAAAATGATGAGTTCATGTCCTTGGTAGGGACATGGATGAAATTGGAAATCATCATTCTCAGTAAACTATCGCAAGAACAAAAAACCAAACACCGCATATTCTCACTCATAGGTGGGAATTGAACAATTAGATCACATGGACACAGGAAGGGGAACATCACACTCTGGGGACTGTGGTGGGGTGGGGGGAGGGGGGAGGGATAGCATTGGGAGATATACCTAGTGCTGGATGACGAGTTAGTGGGTGCAGCGCACCAGCATGGCACATGTATACATATGTAACTAACCTGCACAATGTGCACATGTACCCTAAAACTTAAAGTATAATAAAAAAAAAGAAAAAAAAAGGGGATTCAAAAAAAAAAATAAAAAAAAAAATAAAAATCCACAGCAAAAACACTGGAAGATTAGAGAAGATAGAGAGAAAGGAAATTCAACCCCATAATTGGGAAAAGATTTTGCTGAAAACATTTGCCAGTTTTTCTAGTAATAATATTGTTTTGCTTGATAATCATTTTGTGTCTGCCAATGGCATTGTTCTCTATGTTCTCTAGTGACAGTGAGAGATAAAAGCGAGACAGATATGTGACACGTAGTAACGTGGGGAAACATTTTCCCTTGCGACAGGAAGAACAGAAAATCTTACCTCCTTGAATCTTGAGAGTCTTTACCCATGCCACTGCAGAGTAACAGAGTTTAAATTTAATATAATTTTTTATTTTTATGGGTGTTTTTGTTAGTCTTAATTTATTTTTATATTTGTATTAAAGTTTAATTAAGTATAATGAAAGGCACAGTTCCTAGGTATTCAGTTTGAGGAGGTTTGACAGTAATAAGATCTAGAACAACTAAGTTCCCTTGTGCCCCTTTTCCCATCAACTCCCCTGTCCCCTCCTCAATTACTTTCTGATTTCTGTCACCACAGATTAGTTTTCTCCCCTTTTGGAATTCTTATAAATGGAACCAGAGAGCGACACATAGTAACAGAGCTTTGACTACAAAGTCTAGTTTGAAATTTGTTGAAATTTCCTGGGCTAACCTCCCAAGAATTCTGGGGTATTATCAATCACTTCATGTAAACAGGTAGATATGTCACTACAACAGCAACAAAAATGAGTTTAAAGTTGCTCTTTTCCCCTTTTGCTCAATTTTCCTAGATAGGAACGTATAACCTTATAACCTGAAAGGTACCAGTTTCAGGATGACTGAAACTGACCATGAAATCAGGGAGACTTGGGCTCTATTCCTGTTAATTCTGATAGCTAGCTTAATAGTCTTGTTCAGGTTGTTTGCTCCGTCTCTGTTCTCTTTAGTTCTTCTAATCTCTAAAATGAATATGACTCGAGATGGCCACACATAAATAGTGGTGTTAAGGATCTTCTTTCAAGGTTTCCTTGCCTTTAATATATATGGAGGTTGTGGTGAGCATGCTCGTTCTAGGCATGCTCCTGCATTGGCCCACACTTTTTCTTGTACTGCCACAGTCTTCTGACTCCTAACAGTCATTCCAGACCTCTGTTCCACTCTTTGCTAGTCAACTTACTTCATTTCATAACCAGCTTCTCCAGGATATTGCCATAACCCAGCACCATTTCATGCAAAGTGTACACCCAGTCCCCTTCAATTCCTCCAAAGAACAGGTGAGATAAGGCCACAATATTTAGCAGAACGGTTTCAAAGGCTTGGAGATAACAAAAGTATAACATCAATTACGTTAGAACAAAAACAGATCCAGATTCTGTGGGGAATAATGTTTATATAATTTGGGGGCTTTCTGTAAGAAAAAGAATACAAACATATCTTACCTTGCAAATTTAAAAACACATGACCATGTACACACATTGTTAAGCCCCCTCCCAAGATCTTTGAAAGGGGCCTACAAAGTAAAGAATGCTGGAAATTAAACTTCATTAGTTTTATGGTGAACCCACCTTCACTTGTATTTGCTCCCAGAAGTTTCCAGACCCAAACCCTGATTATTTATACAGCTCCTATCAAGCTTCCATGAGAAGTGAAGCCAGCTCAGCTCCTAAAAATGGGCATATTCAAGACTCATCACCTCATGCTTCATTTCCTTCCCCAGGATGAATCATGATAGGGACATCTATGTTCTTCAAGAAAATGCCAACCCCCATCTTCAAGATGCGTCCTGGCTCACATGCCATAGACACGGATATCACAGTAGTTCACAGTATATATCCCAAAGTCTGATGTCTGGGTTATTAAGCCCTTACTGACACCATATTTGAGAAATCATTGGTTTAGCCAACACTCCTCACACCTAGGAATAGTACATTTCATAGTACATCATAGATGATGTGAAAGAGAAGGTGAACTTTGTCCATTCCTTTTGACCATCAGTCAATCACCCCTTTCCTATGAGCTAGTGTTGAGGCAAGACCATAGACAGTCTCTCCAACAATAAATACGATTTTTCAGCATAAGGAAACTTAAAACAAATTTTAAAAGTTGTCTAAATCTTTGGATTCATGGTCTTGCTAATAGACTTGCTTTACATTATGAAACCAAATTCTTAACATTTCAGTCCAAAAAGCTTTCTAAAGAACTGTCTATAATGTACTGCCCTCCATCAGCTCCATAGCGATCTCTCCCTGGACAAAAGAAGGCTATATCTGAAGATAAATCCATTTTCTCCTGAAATACACCAGCTGCTTTCAAATGTCCTAAAAGACAATTCTCTAACTGTAAAAACTCTTAATTACAATCTTCCTAGGGTTCCCTCATACATTGTATAACCACACTCTTCACAAGGTCGTGTGAAGATTACATTAAACAGTATCTGTGAAAGTGCTTTGCAACATTTAAAGACTACATAGATATAAACCATGTTACTGTTGGAGAATTGTAGCCCAAATTCTGTCAGTTTTTTAACTGATCAAACTATTGGAAATCCTCTATTACCTCTGTTAGTGGCCTCAGGAAGGGTAAACTAACATTCCCACAAATAATCCCAAATCAAAACTTCAACCGCCCCCTCACTTATTTTATTCACCTAAAAGCTGGTGAAATAGTCCAAAAGTAAGAGGTAAAGAAGTAAAGTGCACAGGTTTAACCAGAAATCAACAATCGAAACATAGTGGTTTTGGAAGAGCAATACATTAAATACACCTAGATAACACTTGAAATTGTTTCAACAAAAAAGCAGGGTATAAATAACTCAGAACCCTTAAAAACCATTATTAGTATATAATGCCAGCATTAGTCCCAACTCCTATTGTAGCATTATAAAGAAACATCACTCTAGTTACTGTCTGCCCACAGGGTGCACAGCAATTTAAATACATGCTTCTTGTTGTGTAAGAGGTTTTCTTTAATTTATTACCTAGTTCAAGGTCTCTTAAATCTTAGTCTTTTGTGAACTACATTCACATAATGTAGTATAATCTGTTAACTTTATTCATGAATTACTTTCCTTTAAGTTGACTCTCTTTTAAGAACTTAAATAGCTAATTTTAGTTTCATTTCAAGCAATAAACCCATGACATCTTCAACTTGTTTTCTATTTTTTAATTTTAATTTTATTTTTTAATTTTTTAAAGACAGGGCCTTGTTCTGTCTCCCAGGCTGGAGTACAGTGGTGCGATCACGGTTCATTGCAAACCTCTGCCTCACAGGCTCAAGCGACCCTCCCACTTCAGCCTCCTGAGTAGCTGGGAATACAGGGGTATGCCACCAGGCCCTGTTAATTTTTGTATTTTTTCGTAGAGATGGGGTTTTGCTGTGTGCCCAGGCTGGCTATTTTTTAAAGATACACATGAAATAAGTGAATAGCTTATCAGGTTTTTTTAAAAAAAGTTTAACCATCTTAAAAAAATTGATACTATCATAGTTCATGTACCACGATGGAGGCAAAACTGAACCACATAATGTATAAGGAGATAGTAGTAGACTTTGCCTGTATTAGAACTGTGAGGATAATTGGAAATCATTTAGTACAGCCTCCACTGAAACTGACAAAACAAACAAGGAGAAATTGAAGAATCAACAACTCTTTTTTTTTTTCTCAGCTGGCCTTAGGCTTAATTTTTTTTTTATTTTTTTTTTTATTTTAAGTTTTAGGGTACATGTGCACAACATGCAGGTTTGTTACGTATGTATACATGTGCCATGCTGGTGTGCTGCACCCGTCAACTCATCGTTTACATTAGGTATCTCTCCTAATGCTATCCCTCCCCCCTCCCCCCACCCCACAACAGGCCCTGGTGTGTGATGTTCCCCTTCCTGTGTCCATGTGCTCCCATTGTTCAATTCCCACCTATGAGTGAGAACATGTGGTGTTTGGTTTTTTGTCCTCGTGATAGTTTGCTGAGAATGATGGTTTCCAGCTTCATCCATGTCCCTACAAAGGACATGAACTCATCATTTTTTATGGCTGCATAGTATTCCAGGGTGTATATGTGCCACATTTTCCTAATCCAGTCTATCATTGTTGGACATTTGGGTTGGTTCCAAGTCTTTGCTATTGTGAATAGTGCTGCAGTAAACATACATGTGCATGTGTCTTTATAGCAGCATGATTTATAATCCTTTGGGTATATACCCAGTAATGGGATTGCTGGGTCAAATGGTATTTCTAGTTCTAGATCCCTGAGGAATCGCCACACTGACTTCCACAATGGCTGAACTAGTTTACAGTCCCATCAACAGTGTAAAAGTGTTCCTATTTCTCCACATCCTCTCCAGCACCTGTTGTTTCCTGACTTTTTAATGATTGCCATTCTAACTGGTGTGAGATGGCATCTCATTGTGGTTTTGATTTGCAGTTCTCTGATGGCCAGTGATGATGTGCATTTTTTCATGTGTCTTTTGGCTGCATAAATATCTTCTTTTGAGAAGTGTCTGTTCATATCCTTTGCCCACTTGTTGATGGGGTTGTTTGTTTTTTTTCTTGTAAATTTGTTTGAGTTCATTGTAGATTCTGGATATTAGCCCTTTGTCAGATGAGTAGATTGCAAAAATATTCTCCCATTCTGTAGGTTGCCTGTTCACTCTGATGGTAGTTTCTTTTGCTGAGCAGAAGCTCTTTAGTTTAATTAGATCCCACTTGTCAATTCTGGCTTTTGTTGCCATTGCTTTTGGTGGTTTAGACATGAAGTCCTTGCCCATGCCTATGTCCTGAATGGTATTGCCTAGATTTTCTTCTAGGGTTTTTATGGTTTTAGGTCTAACATTTAAGTCTTTAATCCATCTTGAATTAATTTTATATGAGGTGTAAGGAAGGGATCCAGTTTCAGCTTTCTACACATGGCTAGCCAGTTTTCCCAGCACCATTTATTAAATAGGGAATCCTTTCCCCATTTCTTGTTTTTGTCTGGTTTGTCAAAGATCAGATAGTTGTAGATATGTGGCATTATTTCTGAGGGCTCTGTTCCATTGGTCTAGAATCAACAATTCCAATGACGCATTTCTAATATACTGCTTTCCATAATCAACAGAACAAACAACAAAACCTAGTGGAGTCGCGGAAATTTGGAAAACACAGTTTAAAACACTTGATTTTATGCCATATAAAAACATGGATTCAACAATTGCAGAATGTGCATTCTTTCAAAATACACATGGAACATTTTCAAAAAATTTGACACTGTACTGGACCAAGAATAATTCTGAACCAACTCCAAAGGATAGAAGTCATATAGAGCATGTTTTTTGACACAAAGCCATTAAGCAAGAAATCAAGTATATATAAGCATGTTTTTAAAAAATACTATTGAAATGATGGAATGTTCTAAAGAAATTAAAGAGGTGATTAAAATAAAAGAGAATAAGGCGGCTGTCTAGACATTGCTGATATTCAGTGGTACCCATCTGCTAATTTTGCTTGGCATCTGTTCAAATTATTCAGTGCATTCTTACTGCCTGCTCAGGATCTGGGTCAGGCTGGTTGCTAATACTCTGAATATTACACCATCTTTACAAACTAACATGGGGGAAAATCCTTTTGGGCATGGCAGAAGGTTGGATAAAAAATAGCCACTTTGCAAAACCCATGCCTGGAATGATTCTATTTTGTCAAAAAAAGGAGTATATGTATTCTTAAAACTAATGGTGAACATTATTTAATTGTACAAAGTGAGTATCTTATTTAATCTTCAAAATATCCCTGAGAAGTAGGTTTTATAATTATTTCCATTTTATAGATGAGAAAACTGAAGCTTAGAGAGGCTTAAAGAACTTGGCCAAATTACGTAGCTAGAAAATAATGGAGTTGCCAGTCACACTGTGCTTTCTGCCCTTCCAAATATTAATTTTAATTGTGCTATTGCTTGGAAGGACGAAGAAGAAGCTGGAGAGTGTTTGGCACTGGTAAGTCTAATTGGAAGCCCCTGGGGGTGGGTATAGGATAAATGTTGAGGAAGCATTGTTCTTTCCACTGTCACTCTGGATTCGATGTACTTTTTGATTATTTAAAGTTTATTTTTTCAAGGAGTACGTTGTGATTTTTTTCAGAGGAAAATTGACAAACCAAACTAAGTAGCAGTAATTCATCCTACTACCAACAGCCTGTACTTGTGACGTCTCCAGTGGAGAGCAGATGCCCAGGAAGGAGCTCTACCCAGCAAGCTGAGGGTTCAAGAATGCTTGTGTGGCTTTGAGAAAATAAACCCCCATCTGTATTAGAAATGCTTTGTATTTCTCCAACACCGTTGTCCCAAAGGCTGAATAAACACTCCTGTATCCTCAGAGCACCCTGTGAAGTCCCTGGTGTGGTCTAGGAGGGTGTGGAATTGAGTGGTGATAGCCCAAGATTAGCTCTCACCAGCATTTAGGGATTCTGGCCCTTGGCAGGAAACGACTTAAACTCTGTGTACCATCAACTAAAGGCATCATGATCTTTATAATAATGATTTCCAGCCTCAAATGGATGCTATTAATTAGTCTAAAGTTTTCAGGGGCTTGAGAATGCCGGATGCTAAGGACTGAATGAATGTGAAGTTTTAGCCAAATCATAGAGCTGGGAGCTTGGAGAAGGGAGGAGGTGAGGTGACTCGCAGCCCGTCAGTCACACGAGGAGGCTCAGGGCAGAAAGAACAGGATGGCCACTGTCCTGGGGCTGAGCTCCCTCTTCTAACCACACCAGACCACGTAATTAGAAATTACTTCAGCACATAAACAGGTACTTTACAATGTTTTTTTGACAACGGGCAGCACGCTTCTCCTTTCCACTGCCAGAGGGGAACCAGCGTTGGCTTCCCATGGGCCCACCTCCTCTTCAGCCCAGCCCCGTCTTCCCCTACAGAGAAAGCAGCAGACACAGTCACACGGGAACATCTGCTCTAAATGTGGGCCCCTTCCAGGGGCCCTGGCTCAAGAGGAGCGGGTAAAATGGCCTCCTTTAACCTAAATCACCGCGGCCACGGTGCCCTCCCCCTCCGCCCTCCCGTTCTCCCATCAACAAGTTTAAGAAAGTTCTCTTCATAGAAAGCCTCATTATTGACATGGACACCCTCACTCAGAACACCCTCACCATACACCACTCCATCCCGCGGTGAGTGATAACAACTCTGTTTGTGTTTAATTAGCTCTTGGTTTATGGGGCAGTTTGAGTTTAGGGTGTGGCTGTTTTAGTTGGTTATGCAGTTGACAGAAATACATGTGTATTGATGTGGGTCCTCTCTGTATGCCCTCCCCCAGGCTCTGGTCTGAAAGCTCAACAGGCCCTCACTGCACTCCCAATGGAGGCAAATTGTTGCAACTTCTATGGTTCAATTTTATTCCATAAAGCTGGAATGGTAACGCGTGTTCTCGGTCTCTCCATATCTGGCCAGGTGAGGGCCCATCTTGCTTATCACGAAGTAGAACTATTGATTGAAGCATAGTGGCTGCTCGGTTTCACAGGGCTGGAGGACAGCACAGCTTTAGAAACTACTCCCCAGGCAGCTGGCTGTGTGCCCTGACCCTAAGTGTCATCTGTTTATTTCTCTTATTTTTAAAATCATGTCCCTCATAGGATCCATGTCATGACTTATATTCACAAAAACATCTAAAATAGAAGCATGATTATAAAGCGGTGGATTATTTTTTGAAACAAACATTACAGAATGTACTCATCTAAATGTGTGTTGTCCCTTTCAAAGTAATCACTTTTGAAAGTTGTACACATATTCCCCAAATGGCAAGATTATGTAACATATTTCAGAAATTCTTTGAAATTATTAAATATGTATGAGGCATCATATGTAAAGACAAAGCAAAATCACAATTTTTTAAATTTAAAAATAATACATGTTCATACTGAAATTTTAATTTTTGTCTTGTTCTTATTGTTTTCTGAATTCATAATTAGAATCCTAAAACCCAGAGACAGGCATTTTTAATGTGTTTTATATATATGGGGATATATATTTATAATTTCCAGTCTTTTTTCCTGAGTTTCGTCCTACTGAATAGACTCAGAAGTGAGAAATCTTTGTCCTCTGAATGTAATTTCAAGCTTTGGAAACTAATTCCATTTTGTTGAGTTCAGCAAATATTTATTGACTGTCTCTACATGCAAGGAGCTGACTAAGTGGAATAAAAAGATTAACAAGATGTATTCATATTGACTTTTTAAAGAGGCCATTAACTGGTTCAGAAGGAGATGCCAAATAGAATTATAGAAAATATTCTGAACAATTGCAACATCATTGGAATAGGTGTGTAGTCTCCCAAGAGGACAAATTGAGGGGACAAATTACACAGTACACATAGTTGTGCAATTCCTGGAATGTTACAAAATGAACGTGGTCCACATCATGTGCTGAATAAAACTATTGCAGCCACCACAGCTCGGAACTAAAACTAGCCTAATGCAATGGTAAAAAATAGGTAAGGTGACGCTGCTCCCAGTTTGTCTGGGACAGTCCTGCTTTATGCCTGTCATCTTGATAAAATTAGTAACATTGCCCCCTTTCCTCTCCGAAGAGGACTGGCCAGGAGGACCAATTCATGATCTCCTTAATAACAGAGACAATTGATGTTGGTACCTTCCCCCATGCCTCCGAGTCTGTAAGAGCAACACTTTAGTTAGTCACATGCTCTAGTTTCCTAAAAATACAATGAGCCAATAAACAATGAGATGATGTCTAATCTTAGCTTTTTATCAAGAAGACACAGGTTGAAACAAGTTGTTACCAATAATTAAAGTCAGTAAGAGTGTAGTAGGTGGATTCTACTACACTCTTGAGTGTGAGAAGAAGAATTTGTTAAGATCCCTAATGGTAATTTTATTATAGATTTCATATTATCTGAAGGTGAAGATTGTGGATTTTGAGCCAGGCTGCCCAAGAATGAATCCTAGCTGCACCACTTACCAGCAGTATGATCCTGGGAAATTATCTACCCTCTTGGTGCCCCAGCTTTCTCATCAGTAAAATGGAGATAATAATCATATTTATCTCATGGGATGGCTTTAAAGATTAAATGATGTTTACATCCTATTACATCCAACATACATACAACTGAGCTCACTCCTGATGAATGGAATGATCTAGGAAGCGAAACTGAAACGCAGCGAAATTATCCATGTATTCAATCCTTTGACAAATGAGTTGGAGGACAAATAACAAATCAAGCACTATTCTAGACATGGTGATATCATAACAAGAGAATGACAGATAGGTTTCCTGTCCTCTTCTTGCCTGGAGGGCAGGAAAAATATTAAACACCTAATTATAGCTAAAGTATGATGAGTGGTAAGGTAGCACCATGCATGAGGGAGCCCCAGCTGAGCACAGGAGGTGGGGAAAGCCCCCTGTTGAAGTGACACATGGGTTTTAATGGGAAGGTGTAAGGAAAGCGCAGTCTGATGAAAATATCTTATACCTCAGCCAATCCTAGTTTGTTAAATAAAGTCAAGTTACTGTGAAGATTATTTATTTATTTATTTTATTATACTTTAAGTTTTAGGGTACATGTGCACAACGTACAGGTTTTTTACATATATATACATGCGCCATGTTGGTGTGCTGCACCCATTAACTCGCCATTTACATTAGGTATATCTCCTAATGCTATCCCTCCCCCCTCCCCACTCCCCCACACCACGACATGCCCCGGTGTGTGATGTTCCCCTTCCTGTGTCCAAGTGTTCTCATCATTGTTCAATTCCCACCTATGAGTGAGAACATGCGGTGTTTGGTTTTTCATCCTTGCGATAGTTTGCTGAGAATGATGGTTTCCAGCTTCATCCATGTCCCTACAAAGGACATGAACTTATCCTTTTTTATGGCTGCATAGTATTCCATGGTGTATATGTGCTACATTTTCTTAATCCAGTCTATCATTGATGGACATTTGGGTTGGTTCCAAGTCTTTGCTATTGTGAACAGTGCCGCCATTAACATACGTATGAGACAGAGACTTGCTTTGTCGCCCAGGCTGGAGTGCAGTGGCATGACCTTGGCTCACTTCAAGCCCCACCTCCCAGGTTCACGCCATTCTCCTGCCTCAGCTTCCCAAGTAGCTGGGACTACAGGTGCCTGCCACCATGCCCAGCTAAATTTTTTTTTTGTATTTTTAGTAGAGACGGAGTTTCACCATGTTAGCCAGGATGGTCTCGATCTCCTGACCTTGTGATCCGCCCGCCTCGGCCTCCCAAAGTGCTGGGATTACAGCCGTGAGCCATCACGTCCAGCCTGTGAAGATTCTTAATACAATGCTCCTATACACTAATACACAGTATGGTCATCAGTTCAGGCTGGAGCATGAGATAGGCGCCTAACACATTGGTGCTTGCTCATTTGATTTTCAAAGTTTAAGGATTTTTCCTAGTGCAGAAGCCCAGACTGCTAAACCTTTGTCTAAAAGTGTGATCTCTTACATGGTCTTTCAGCAGTTGAGTTGTAAGAAGTGGCATTCTTGGAGGGTTATCCAAGACATTGAGTCTGTTCCCTTCTCTAAGCACCCTACATTTTCCCCTGGGACTAACTGCATTTCCAGACACTTTCAGAACTGGTCTGAACACTTTGAAATATCACACATTTTCAAAGTTGTTCTTTAGTTCTATACCATCGAAAATTGCCATCTGAAACCCACTTCTTAATTTGTTGTGACTATACTGATGGTTCAGTCGTTAAATAGTTCTGTGTCTCCTATGTGAAGTCCATGTATAATTTTATTTAGAATTTAGGGTATAGTTTTATCTCACTTCTAGATACTGGTGTACTTCTGCCTCCCTGATGAGGTCTTGGCTGCCAGGTCTTGGCTGGTCTTGGCTGCCAGGGAGGTCATAATTAAATGAGAGGCCCAGTCACAACAACCACATTGACTAGCAGGCACCTTTTCTCTTTGGCCCTGATTTTCTGTCTTATAAATTTATCATATATTTTGATAAAAGCTACCCCAATTTTTTGTGACAAAATGATGGGTATAAATAAACTAAGTATATAATATGTCATTTCCATAAATCATTACATATAAATAGACTAAGTATTAATATATTATTGAACAGTTTTAGTTACCATTAAAAATCTGGTAAAGCATAAATCAATGACAGAGAATGGAACTCAATAATTTTAGCTATAGTTGAGGTATAGGGAATGTTAGAAGCCCATTAAATCTGCCAGTTTGTACCCCAAACCCAGAGGTCCTAATAGCAAATTTTGTAGGTGCCCCGCAGAGAATGTTGACCTCTACCTATAGCTTGGAAACTCTGCTGTCCTAGAAGGAGATGGGAAAGGTCCCAAACCGAGGAAAGCTGAACAAGCATTATTACTCACTTCCATACACAGTATGTTCTCAGAGCTCAAAACTTAAAAATAGACCCTGGTAAAAGGCAGAATCCTTAAAGCATGCTGCATCTTGACTCCTCATGTCTTGTGCCTTTCATCTAATCTATTTAGACACAAGTAGAAATAAAATGAACAGCGTAAGAGTATGTGAAGCATAGAGATATTGTTAGGCTTTAGCAAAAGGGCAGAGCCAAAGTGAATGACAGAGTGGGGAGGACTTAGAACTCTCAGGATTCAGGATCATCTTGAGGGTTGTTTAGGAATCCATCTGTAGAAAGGAGAAAGGAAAGAAGGAGAATTACATTTGCCAAACATCTGCTGTCTTCCAGGCACTGTACTAAGTGCTTTTACATATGCCTTTCTTTTAATTATCACAAGATTTTTCTCTTTAAGATAAGCAATGGTATTCACATGCTTTCTCTTTAAGGAATGGGAAGGCTTACCCTATCCTTTTTTTTTCCCTGTTGGAAAATAATAATATGAATCATAGGTTTCAAGCATTTTTGTTTCTTAATCTATTTTTAATTAGTATTTTTCAATAAAGTTAAGAAATTAATTCTTCTCAATGTTAATTAAGATTATGTGCTTCTGGGGATAATATTGACAGTTTAGTTAAAAATAAAAGCTCTTCAATCAATCTTAGAGATGTTGACTCTAGCAAATCAAGTTCTAAGGATTGGGTGCAATTTCAAAAGCATGAAAAATAAAATAAGGGCAAGGATTGGATCAATTGAGACCACATTTTATCAAATACAAAACATGGCTTATGGTGTGACACTGGCAATCACATTAAGTCACATAGGCATATTAGTTACTACTCCTTTTTCTAGTCCCTCTATTATACATTATCTATCTATCTGATCATGAATAACAAAATGATATGTTTTTTCCTCCTGAAATTTACCATATGGAAAAGCATGTATTAAGGTGAAAAGGATTTTATACCTCTTTCACCAAAATTCCAAGTGTCATTCTGTAGTTGTTTGTTTTTAAAGATGTGAAAACTTGTAACTTGTTTATAGTACATGCCAGGCAAATAGACCCTTTTTTTTAGAGACTGGTCCGTGCTCTGTTGCCCAGGCTGGACTGTAGTGGTGCGATCATAGCTCACTGCAACCTCGAACTCCTGGGCTCAAGTGATCCTCCTGCCTCCATCTCCCAAGTAGCTGAGACAACAGGCATGTGCCACCACGCCTGGCTAATTTTTAATTTTTTTTTTTTGATATGGAGTTTCACTCTTGTTGCTCAGGCTGGAGGGCAGTGGTGCAATCTCGGCTCACTGCAACCTCCACCTCCTGGGTTTAAGCGATTCTCCTGTCTCAGCCTCCCCAGTACCTGGGATTACAGGCACATGTCACCATGCCTGGCTAATTTTTGTATTTTTAGTACAGATGGCGTTTCATCATATTGGTCAGGCTGGTCTCGAACTCCTGACCTCAGGTGATCCACCCACCTCGGCCTCTCAAAGTGCTGGGATTACAGGCATGAGCCACCACATCTGGACAATTTATAATTTTTCAAATTTTTTTTGTAGAGATGGGGGGTCTCGCTATGTTGCCCAGACTTGGTCTCAAACTCCTGGGCTCAACTAATCCTTCTGCCTTAGCCTCCCAAAGTGTTGGGATTGCAGGCATGAGCCACAGTGCCTGGCCATACTTTTTATAGTCACAGAAATGCAGAAATTATAAAACCTCAGAAAAAGAAAGGTGGCTGAAGATGATCTTGCTCAAACTCTTTATTTTATAGGTGAAGAAATGGAAGCCAAAAAAAGCTGAAGGAGACTGTTAAAAAAAAAAAAAGCACTGAGATTCCAGAGTTCCTCTCACCACATCATAGTCAAGATGTTGTTTTGAGTGTCATTTTGGCAAAAACCATACATACACCAGCAAATTTTGTAGGTGCCCCGTAGAGAATGCGCTTACTTATTTTCTTGGTTACATGGGATTGTAAAGCTTGAAATTCTTTCAGAGATCATCGAAGTCCAAACTGTTTATATAGAAATGAGAACAGGAAGGTCCTAAGAGGTGAAATGTCCAGTCACATAGCTAATGAGTGGTAGGCTTGAAACTGGAATCCAACTTTCTTAACTCCCAGGCCAAATATTCTCCATTCCACCACTGCTATCTAAGTAAGACAGGGAGGTCAGTGAGGCTGTTCCAAAGCACAAAATACTGTTATGTAAGGAATTGAAAAGGTGTTACTTCAACATTATGAACTTAGCACAGAAGCCTGCAGCAACTAGGGATTAGCAGGACTAATTCTACTTATTATTTATCAGCCCAGCATTGGAGCTCCTCTGGCAATGTGCAGCTCTGCATTAGCTTTCTGCTTTATAGCATAGTTACCTTGGGGAAAGCTGGACTTCAAGGTCAAATAACTTTCCTCAAGGTTATATATTCAGTCATCAGCTCAAACAAGTCGAAACTCAAGGTGCTCTTGGTTAAGTCCAACCCAGGACAAAATAGTAGAGCAGAAAATGTTCCATTTTCAGTATATCCTATTTTTTCCTCTATGTCTTCTCTTTCTGTTATTTTAACATGTGAGTGCTGGGACACATGGAACATGGATATACATAAGAAAAGAGAACCAGGAACTGGGAGTCTAAGGTGTCAGTAGCAGTTAGGTCAATAGTGAGAAGCCAAGACATACACGTGAGTTTGTAGCTAGTTTAAAAGATGGAGTCAGAGGCTAGCTAGGTATTCATGCAAATACATGAGCAAGGAATAGAAGAAAAGGTCCAGGTAGATATTCAGAAAGCAAAAACCAATAAGGATTAAAGAGGCAAAATCAAGGCCAGGTGCAGTGGCTCACACCTGTAATCCCAGCATTGTGGGAGGCTGAGGCAGATGGATCAGTTGAGGTCAGGAGTTCGAGACCAGCCTGGCCAACATGGTAAAACCCTGCCTCTACTAAAAATACAAAAATTAGCTGTAGTCCCAGCTACTCGGGAGGCTGAGGCATGAGAATTGCTTTAACCCGGGAGGCAGAAGTTGCAGTGAGCCAAGATTGCACCACTACACTCCAGCCTGGGCAACAGAGTAAGATTCTTTCTTAAAAAAAAAAAAAAAAAAGAAGAGACAAAACAAGATAAACTCAGATAAGTAAACAGCGAAGTATCACATTGTATATCATAAACATATACAATTTTTATTTGCCAATTATATCTTAATAAAGCTGGGGGGATACAAGAAAATATATGTCCACACAAAAACTTGTGTACAAATTTTCATAGCAGCATTATTCATGATGGCCAAAAAATGGAAACAACCCAGATTTCCAGCAACTGATGAAAGGAAGAATAGGGTATATCCATACAGTAAAGTATTTGGCAATAAAAAGGGAAGAAATGCTGGTACCTGCAGTAACATGGACAGATCTTGAAAATATTATGCTGAGCGCAAGAACACAGTCACAAAAGGTTACATAATATACTATTCCATTTGTATGAAATGTGAAGAATAGGCACATTTATAGACACAGAAAGTAGATTAGTGGTTTCTAGGTACTGGGGTAGGAGTGGGGGAGTGACTGCTAATGGCTATGCAGTTTCTTCTTGGGATGACGAAAATCTTCTGAATTAGATAATGGTGATAGTTGCACAACTCTGCTAATATCTAAAAACTGATGAATTGTGTACTTTAAAAGGGTGAATTTCATGGTATATGCAGTATATCTCAATAAGGCTATAAGAAGAAGAAGAAGGAGGAGGACGAGGGGGAGAAGAAGAAGAAGGAGAAGGAGAAGGGAGGAGGAGGAAGAGGAAGAGGAGGAGGAAAAGGAAGAGGCAGAAGAAAAGAAGACGAAGAGGAAGAAGAAGGAAGAAGAAGAAAGAAGAAGGAGAAGAAGGAGAAGGAGAAAAAGAAAGAAGAAGAAGAAGAAGAAAAGAAGAAGAAGAAGGAGAAGGAGAAGGAGAAGAAGAAGAAGAAAAAGAGATTCTCAGAAGTGACAATAACCCATTGCTTGAAACCAGGTGATTGCATGCTTTCTGTTAAGGCATAGAAGGGCCTCCTGGTGGTTAATTTGGGATTTGCAGGTAGAAGTTGGTAATACCTTTGCCTGAGATAGGGCATGTGTAGCCTGGAGAAGGCACGTCCATACACAAGGCACCCTGTCACATTCAGTCATTCACTCAGTACATATTTTCTGAGTGTCTACTGCGAGTGTCAGATACAGTGCTAAGTTCTTGACTTTTAGTGACAAATTATAAATAAAGCTCTTGACCTCCTGAGGCTTCCATTGCTAGAGAAGGCAACAAATGATAAAGGAATAAATGTAGATATTCACAAGTGCTTTGAAGTGACAGAAAAGAGATTAGCAATGGTGATGATGGTACTACTCTAGACGGGGTGGTCAGGCTTCTCTGAGGTGTCACTTGTGCGGACATCTGAGTGAAGTGAATAAAAGGTCCCTCAAGTGGTTTCTCCCAAGGCACTAATACTGCCCATCTTGTCCACCTACTTTGCACATCAGAACACTTCTAGCCCATTGTTAGTTATTTTACCTGCTGGAAAGCCCTGCTTTCTAATCTTTAGGATGATGAACAACTAAACTAACTGGCTCTTCTATTTGAAGAGACCCATGGTACCCTTCAAACCACTCACTTTGGTAGTGGTATATGCTTCTTGGTACTTTCCTTCTCTATAGATCATTGGATCATATTGATCACTTAGAGGGAGCAAGTGATGTTTAAGTCAAAGCTAAGACCGGAAGACCGAAGAGCTAAAGAATAGGGAGGTAACTACAGCAAAGTCTGCTGGGATTCAGTAAATCTGAGGCAGGCTGTTTCCCAATCTTTATATTGCTCCCTCTGCTCTCACTGCCAAGGAAAGAGGAAAAGAACTGTATTAGTTGGGATCTAACCAGAAAACCAGAAACACCAAAACTACCTTCAGCATCTAAAACAGGGATTCTGATGAAGGGAACTAGTTACACAAGTGATGGAGAAGTAGAGAGCCAAACCAGGCTGCATAAGCTTCAGTGAGTGAACCCCGAGGCCAGGCATTATCATCCGTCAGCTGGAAGGAAGTGGCACTCACCATGCCTAAGGGACTGAGACCACTTGACCAAAGCTGGAATTGTCGTGGGTCTGTCTGCTAGAAGGGACGTAAAGAAAATGTAGCTGCTACCAGAGCAACCACTAAAGGCTGGGGGCAGGAAAAGGGGAATAAAATACCTTGGGTTGTCCCTATAACCCCTGCCTTCTAATTCCCACAAATATTTCCCATGGGTGAAACCCAGCCAGAAGCCAGGCAATATGGGAGTATGGGGAAAGTAGCCTGCAGGAGGCTATGCCCTTTGTGATAGAAAGAAAAAACAGGGTAGGGGTGAGGAATAGATTTGAGGGCACATATGCCCAGGCCTATCGGACGAGCTGTGTGTGTGTACTGAAATGTTCCTAAGTACTTCTCATGAGGCAAGTTCTAGGTTAGGACCTTTCACAAACATACTCTCATTTAGTCATCATAGAAGTCTTCTTTTGAAAGTAGGAATGATTATCACCCTCTTAAAGATGAAAAATCCCAGGTTCACAGGGTTTGTGGAATTTGTTCATGGTATGATACTAAGTTAAGTACAGTGAAGTCAGGATTCAAATCCATCCCTGCCTGATTAGTAACCCTCTTCTCTTTCTATTGTTTTATATATATAGATATATATGAAGAAAAATATATATTTATATTTAATCTTTTTGGACAGTTTAAAAACATTTTTAAAAATTTTTTTAATTTTTGAGATGAAGTCTCACTCTGTTGCTCAGGCTGAGTGAGTATAGTGGTGCCATCACTGCTCACTGCAGCCTTAACCTCCTGGGCTCAAGTGATCCTCCCACCTCAGCCTTCTGGGTAGCTGGGACCACAGGCATGTGTCTCTATGCTCTGCTGTGTTTTTTTGTTTTTTTTTTTTTTTAATTTTTGTAGAGACAGGGTTTCAGCATAGTGCCCAGGCTGGTCTCGAACTCCTGGGCTCAAGTGCTCATTGCAGCCTCAATTTCCTGGGCTCAAGTGAGCCTCCCACCTCAGCCTCCTGGGTAGCTGGGACCACAGGTGTGCGCCTCCATGCCCTGCTGTGTTTTGTTTTTGTTTTTGTATTTTTGTAGAGACGGGGTTTCAACATAGTGCCCAGGCTGGTCTTGAACTCCTGGGCTCAAGTGATCCACCTGCTTCGGCCTCCCAAAGTGCTGGGATTGCAGACGTGAACCACTGCATCTGGCCTTCATTGTATTCTTGACCCCTCAGGATATTCTTGACCCCTCAGAAGGGGGCACATCTCCTTCCTAACCACAGATTTTTCCTTTTCACCTCTCCTGTGGTGCCCAGGCAACTTTTGAATAACAGGTAGAGTCTCTGTACTCTATCCTAAGACTAGAGTACAGGAAGATATGATCTTTGATTCAAGAGAAACCTCATTTCAGATATAATTGTTGATGTTACAAAACTATATTGAAACCATCTCTCTTGAGGAGATTTACATATTAACTGCTTTTGTTTTATCTACTGCAAAGCTAAGCAGAGATGCCTATGCCTACATTTTCAGAGACCAAGACTGAGTTTTATGCGTGGGGGGTGTTTGCTCCCGGGCAATGAGGTAAGAGACTAAAAGAGCGAGGGTGGGGCTTTCTTTCCCCAGATCTCAGGTGAAACTTCTAGGTTGACAGCAAAATCCTCCTTTCATTTATAAATGGACTATGTTTGCTCTGGAAGCATCTGAGAGGATAAATATGGGATCCCACAGAAGCCACAATGTTATTTTTACAGTGTCTTTTCTCATTATAACTTCAGTTCAAGTCTTGTTTTTTCTTCCTCAACCTCTGTTTTTTTCTGGGGGAAAGGGTGGTTGTGTTCCTCATGTGTGAATGCGTGCACATGTATGATTGTGTGTATGCATACACACATAGTAGAAGTTCTTTCTTTCTTTTTTTTTTTAGACGGAGTTTCGCTCTTGTCACCCAGGCTGGAGTGCAATGGCACAATCTCGGCTCACCACAACCTCTGCCTCCCAGGTTCAAGTGATTCTCCTGCCTCAGCCTCCCAAGTAGCTGGGACTACAGGCGTGTGCCACCACGCCTGGCTAATTTTTGTATTTTTAGTAGAGACGGGGTTTCACCATCTTGGCCAGGCTGGTCTCGAACTCCTGACCTAATGATCCACCCACCTTGGCCTCCCAAAGTGCTGGGATTACAGGCGTGAGCCACCACACCCGGCCCTACACATAGTAGAAGTTCTTTCTTCTTTTTTTTTTTGATTTATTTTATTTTAATTTAATTTTATTATGATTATGCTTTAAGATTTAGGATACATGTGCACAATGTGCAGGTTTGTTACATATGTATACATGTGCCATGTTGGTGTGCTGCACCCATCAACTCGTCATTTAGCATTAGGTATATCTCCCAGTGCTATCCCTCCCCCCTCCCCCCACCCCACAACAGTCCCCGAAGTGTGATGTTCCCCTTCCTGTATCCATGTGTTCTCATTGTTCAATTCCCACCTATGAGTCAGAACATGCGGTGTTTGGTCTCTTGTCCTTGCGATAGTTTGCTGAGAATGATGGTTTCCAGTTTCATCCGTGTCCCTACAAAGGACATGAACTCTAGTAGAAGTTCTTTCTAATTGAGGATCCTAAAAAGATGCAAAGACTGACTCTCTGAATAATGTTTACCTGACAAAAAAAATGTTTGCACCATTACTTTTCCTAATTTTTCCCACCTGGTGAGATTATCCTGAATTGTGGTATAAATTTGGTCATGTTCTACCCTGGAAAAATATGAACTCTAAAGAATGTACAAATTAAATAATGATTATGTGATGTTAGGTATATATACTCTTAATTATTTAAAGAGCCATTTGGTAGCAAGTATCATTTTAGTATTTCTAACAGGCACACTAATTTTATCCTGAGAGATATCAAAATATAATGAAGATCTGGGTGAACATGTTCATCCTCAGTTTAAGTTTAAGGTTAGATTCCACCTTTATGTTGTATCTTAAAGCAACATTTTAGGTACCCTTGGAGAGTAGCCAGAATAAAGGACCCCCAAAGCTGTCTGGTCTGTGTCTTAATCCCCCGAATCTGTGATTATGTTAGGATACATGGCAAATAAGCATTAAGCTTGCAGATGGTATTAAGATCTCTAATTAAGATGACCTTTAAGACCGGGAGATTATGCTAGATCAGCCCGATGAGCCCCGTGTAATCACAAGACCATTCACGTGGCCAAGGAAAGTGGAAGAGTCAGTGTCAGAGTGATGTGATATAAAAAAGATGTGACTGGCCATCGATGGCTTTGAAGATGGGAAGAGGCAACGAGCCAAGAAATGTGGGCAGCCTCTAGGAAGGCTGGGAAAGGGAGGAAAACAGATTCTCCTCTAGAGCCTCCAGAAAGGACATCTGAATTTTAGCTTAGTGAGAGCCATGTTGGACTTCTGACTTGCAGAACTGCAAGATAATAAATTTGTGTGATTTTAAGCCACCAAGTTTGTGGCAATTCGTTACAGCATCCACAAAAAAGTAACATATCTTCTAACTCAGGCTATGCCTACAGAATACTAACAAAAAGCCACTTAAAAATAACAATGTCGGCCAGGCGCAGTGGCTCACGCCTGTAATCCCAGCACTTTGGGAGGCCGAGGAGGGTGGATCATGAGATTAGGAGATCGAGACCATCCTGGCTAACACAGTGAAACCCTGTCTCTACTGAAAATACAAAAAATTTAGCCGGGCATGGTGGCAGGCGCCTATAGTCCCAGCAACTCAGGAGGCTGAGGCAGGAGAATGGCGTGAACCCGGGAGGTAGAGCTTGCAGTGAGCCGAGACTGTGCCACTGCACTCCAGCCTGGGCGACAAAGCGAGACTCCATCTGAATAAACAAAAAAAAACCCCAAAAAACAAAAAAACAATGTCATGGTATTAGTTAAGGCAAGTGATATTCGCTACCATAACAAAAATCTCTAAAAATCTTATGGCTTAATATAATTAGAATGTACTATTTGCCCCGGAGAATTCAGACAGATGTTTGTTTCTGCTCTAGTCACTTTCCATATAGTCATTCCAAGTCCAGTCTTCTTCCATCCTGTGGCTCCGACTTCTTCCAAGACCTTAAAATCCTTTCTCCTTCCAGCAGATGCAGAAGGAGAGAATGTGTGGAGGATTATGTAGAAGGATTTCACGAGCCTGGCCTGGAGAGGACACATCACTTCCAACTCCATTCCATTACCAGAGCTTAGGTGAATGCATGTGCCTCATTTTAAAGCAACATTTTAGGTACCCTTGGAGAGTAGCCAGAATAAAGGACCCCCAAAGCTGTCTGGTCTATGTCTTAATCCCCCGAATCTGTGATTATGTTAGGATACATGGCAAATAAGAATTAAGCTTGCAGATGGTATTAAGATTTCTAATTAAGATGACCTTTAAGACCAGGAGATTATGCTAGATCAGCCCGATGAGCCCCGTGTAATCGCAAGACCATTCACGTGGCCAAGGAAAGTGGAAGAGTCAGTGTCAGAGTGATGTGATATAAAAAAGATGTGACTGGCCATCGATGGCTTTGAAGATGGGAAGAGGCAACCATTACCAGAGCTTAGGTGAATGCATGTGCCTCATTGCAAGGGAGGCTGTGAAATGTAGTCTAGCTGTGTCCTCGAGGAAAAGGAAATTTGGAACTTGACTAACACATAGCAGTCTCAGCCACAACTGGGCAAGGCCATCTTTTGACAAAATATAAAAAAACAGGGACAGGGAAAAACAACAAATTTCATTGTGAAGTAGAGTCAATTAAATAATGAGACGCATAATAGATAAGCAGCTATTAGCGCTAGTTTAAAATACTTGCAACATCACTGAGGGATTCCTGAAAAGTCACTTAAGGTCTCTGGGTCTCAGTTTTCTCATCCCGGATACAGCAATAAAAATCTGCCCTGCCTCAAACTTGTTCTCTGTCCCAGCTTTTGCCAGTTTTCAGGTTTTTAGAAAAAACAGAAAGACACTAAACATGTTTATTTGTTTGCATGTGCATGTCTAGAGAATGTGAGTTACGCTATTTTTTATAAATGAATTTTTCCAAATTGACTAGTTAAATATAAATGCATAGTTTCTTTTTGTTAGGTTGCCCATCGAAATTGCCATTTTTTAGCTTAAATATGGCCAAATGACGGCAATTTCATGTAGTTGAATTTAATATATTACATTAAAATAACATGTTGGCTCCTTTTGTATAACCAAGAAATGACTTAGGAGACTGTTTCTGATTACTGTAAATCTTCACTGTAATTCTCTATCATGATGTCTTGTTTATTATCTTCCCGTATTTTGCAATTTGTAATTTATCTGTTTGTTTGCTTCTTTAAAGTCTATTTCCAGAAGATTATAAGCTTCATGGGGGTAGATGCTTTACTTCATTCATCACTGCATCTCCAACGCCTAGCACAGAGTCCTGAATTACAGGCTCAATAACTATTTACTGAATGTGAAAACAGAGCTGCTTGAAGATATATGAGGCTAATTGAGGTGACAATATCACATAACTTTTATCTGAGATTGCAAATAAATTGTTATACATATTCCAGATAATATTTTTCACCTGTTTTACTTCAATTTTTATAAAATCCAGAATTCCTTTCAATGCCAACCAAAACCACTACGCCATTTGTGTACTACGAAAAAGCAGTGCCTACACTGTTGTAAATGCTTTTCCATGAATTACTTTGGATAGCTAAAGACTGTGACTTTGAAGCTCGTAGTGATTCATTATTATTGTGAATTGCACAGGTGAGAAGGGACATAGAGGTTGCTGAACCTCTCTTTACCCAAACCCTCCTAGACTGGTGCAAATTTGTTCAATTTCTAACATCTTCCTAGAAGAACGTTTCACACTCAGCTTTTGGAACCACTTCCAATGTATACCATATGTCAGCGTTGTTGGGATTTTCTTCCTTTTAATTTAAATGCTTGTACTTAGGTCTGTTTCTTCTTGTTGTTAAGTGAAAATAGTAAAAGACTGTCATCTTTTGGGTGGTGAAAATTCATCAAAGCCAAGAAAACCATCTTTTAATAATCACCAGTTCTCATTGTTCTATGTTCATGTGGTTTTGAGATGTTTTAGACCCATCTCCAAAAATACCTGCACCCCAGGCAAAACTGGTAGCAAAACAGCAACCCGGACGTTGGTGTGCATGTTAAAACGTTGTTCTGACTCACAGAATTGGAATGTAATTTACTACTGGGGATAAACTCTGTGAAAACACCTCCATGATCAAAATAAAAGATGAAAAAGAAGAGCATCCTTGGGCCCCAGGGAGAGAACCAGATCTGATGGTGTCTGGTGCAGCTTGCAAATGTGAACATTTCTTAAGGCCACTACAGGACAGGAATATAGGAGCCCAGAAATAATTGAACTTGAAAATGTTCCTGCCCATTTGGCTGAAATCAATGGTGAAAACCCCTATGATATTGAATATGTTTTTAAATTTATATTAAATACCTCCGTTTTTTGGAAATTCATTTTGCTTTTCTTTTTACTTAGCTTGTGCATTTGTTGGCTATTGCTGCTACAGTGGATGCTGTTGTTCAGTATTCAGATATCAAGAAACAACTAGCCAAAGTAAGGAGGAACGAGGGGCCCATGAAGCTCAGTAGAGCTTGTGATAATATTTGCAAGAGAAGACTACCTGCCAAACTAACTTCAGAAAAGGTGATGATGATGTTCCCTACTATCAAATACAATGTCATGGAAATAGAGTGTTAGGTACAAAGATAAAATCAGAAACACACAAGTCCCCTGGGAGATGCAGCAGCAACAGGAGTGGTGTGTGGGGCAGCCCTAGTAATGTGAAGGAGGACGGATAAGATTGAATTTGCTCATGAAGAGGCAGTTTCTTGTTGCATCTTTCTCAAAGCACTTCTTTTTATCTTCTGTGACACTATGTTTTCCTAGGTAGTAGGTCTTCCTACCTGCTCTGTTTTAATCTCTGGGTAATCTTCAACCTTGAGTCTCCTAATGGAGAGCCTTCCCTAAGACTCCTTTCTCACTCCCCTCCTATGACCTGTTTAGCAAGCAAACCCTTCTCTATTCTCTGGCTATGATCTCAACTCTGGACCTTGTATTTCCAAATGCCATTGATAATTTTTCATAGGCATATGCATTGTAATGCACTGTAAAGTTGAATGGAATTCATAGGAATGAGACACTTCCCTCATCAACCAGAGAAGAACAAACAGAATATATTGGTAACTATATATGCCTCAGGACACATGTTCATGTATCCTTTATAGAATCTAAATATAAGCACAGTATTCTGTCTACATGGAATCCTCAATGCAAGTTATTGACTGACTGACATAAATCTGAGTAAAGCATTCATATAAATCTGAGTAAAACTTTATGTAATAGATTATAGGGGATTTTTTAAAATGAGCTATGTAGGGTCATTAGTGTTGGGCTGATAAGTGACAAAGAGAAATTAGCATTCCTTGGCTCCCATTTTGTGCCTATCTTCTCAGAGTTTGTCTTGACCCCAGGGCAAGAAAGCTGTGCCTCATATTTCTGCACCAGTCAGTCACTTGTTGAGAGTTGCCTGGGGACTTTCAGGTCTGTCCTTGTGTGGGCTGAGGCCCAGGAGCACTTTGGTAGCCCTCCAAGAAAATTGGTGTGAGCTTTGGAAGCAAGAGCACACAGAAGCCAGGGGAGGGTCACACAGCAATAGCAGGCAGAACACTGGCAGTCTCCTCTACACCAAGAAAAAATTTAATATCTCATGAAGCATAGTATTAATATAAATGTAATTCTGTCTTCTTGGAAATTCCAGTAACATGGAATGTTAAATGGATGCTTCCAGAGAGACATCATCAACTATTCGAGATTTAACTCTCACCACTGCTTCTTAAAATGCACCAGGTGGACCCCTCTCCCAAGCTGTGTAGCTTGAACACTTCACTTGGTGACAAGGCTGGCATTAGGATGACATGCTGAGGGCAGCTGGGGCAAAGGACATGACACTTGATGGCTATCTGACAAGCTGAGGCCAGGAGAGTTATACTGTCCCTTCCTGCATACAGAACTCTGAATTTTAATGAGGACTAAGTTCTGATTTTTTTTATCTTGCCCAAATTCCTAGCTAAGGGGTCTGGGAAGTCATGCCCTACAAACCATAAATTCTCATTAGGTGGGTTTTATTTAACCTGATATATCATGACTTACTTTCCTACCTGACTCTGGCATAATGAAGTGACATTGTTGTCTGGGGTTGAATACCTGGGGTTTGTTGTCTCATGCCAAGAAAATTAAGGACATGGACACACACACACAGAGTGGGTTAAGGAGCAGAGTTTAATAGGCAGAAGAAAGGAGACAGCAGAGCAGCTCTCTCTCTTGAGAGAGAGGTTTCTGACAAAAAAGGGAAAAGTGGCCAACACAGCAGATTTTATAGGCAGGCTTGAGGAGGTGGTGTCTGATTTACATAGGGTCCACAGATTGGTTTGGCCAGGTGTGCCATTTACATGCTGCACGGGGAAGGCTGGTCATCCCACCCTAATCATATTATGCAAAAGGCCCCTTGGCCAGTGCCATCTTGTCTGCTCCTTACTATACACCTGGCTGGCAGAGAAGGGAAGATGGAACTGCCATTTTGAACATGATTGGCACAACTACCGGCATCTAGTTCTGCAGCTCAATTTTACAGGCTGCCCTTTGTTAGAAAGGAAAATGATTTGGGGCTGCTTTTCATTAAAAGGAAAACCTTACTGAGGACTTCTGTACCCTCGTTATCTGCCTAAGTAATTTCTAACTCCTGTATCAATAACATTACAAGGAAGAAAATAAAAATATTTTACTCCAAAACATATTTCTTTGCCATATCTTGAAATGGCCCTGCAAAGCTGCCCTTTGTGGGGGAAAATTTGCATCTGTAAAGAATCCCTATTAACATAGCTAGATCTTTTTCTTTCAGGCCCTCCCAATCCTAAAGAGATTAACTGAAAGTCTAGCACCTTTTAAAGACCTGAATAGGAAACATCTGTCATCTATTGTCTCTAACGGCAGCCACTATAAGACCTCAAAAAAACCTTGTGTCCACAATCTTCTTAACCTGAATATTTCCTTTCTACGGATCCCAGGTTTTTAGACAAACTCCATCAATTGTCAGAAAAGGTTTAAATTTACCTATAGCCTGGAAGCCCCCCTCCCACCCCCTACACCCTTTGAGTTGTCTTGCTTTTCTGGACCAAACTAATGTATTTCTTAAATGTATTTGATTGATGTCTCTTGCCTCTCCAAAATGCATAAAACCAAGCTGCACCCCGACCACCTTGGGCACAAGTTCTCAGGACCTTCTGAAGGCTGTGTCACGGGCCATAGTCACTCTTTGGCTCAGAATAAATCTCTTCAAATGTTTTGCAGGGTTTGACTCTTTTGTTGACACTAGTGGCTTTGGCTTTGTGACACTACAAGAGGCTTGAGAGACTGCAAGAGATGCTAGAGAAATTCTTTTAAAAAAAGGGAACTACTTTTAAGAAGAGGTATGACTGAGAAGAAGGGAAATAAAACTTTTTTTATTCTAAAACAAAACCTAAACATATCAATAGTATTGCCCTTCAAAATAGCACCCTCATTCCAGCAACCCGTATTCCAGCAGAAGAGCAGCCATCACTCAACTGCCCCCCAGGGACTGCTATGAGCCAGCTAAGACAATCAACATTTTTAGTTTAATGTTACACCTTGATTCAGTCTCAGAAATGTGAAATAAAATGTGATAAGCTGTTTTACTTATTAGATATCACTCCAAATGATTTCAGTTATTTACAATTTTTTAAAAATCACCTTCATGATTAAAAAATTTGGTGAAAAATGTCCTCCACTGAAGACATCATTCAGATCCAGAAGGCATTAAGCAGAAGTACCATCATCTAGATATTAAAGGCCCCAAAGTACTAAATTAGAATTACTAAGCTATTTCATGTAAATATGGATTTTTTTTCTTTTTTTGCCCAAATTATCCAGGCAATTTACTGGTTTTCTTCTGTAGCACATAGTGTGTTATAGCTCTGTCATGGTTAGTGCATCTTACCAGGTATGCAGTTTTTTCTGCATTGTAGTTTAAAAAGTAATCACATAAATTATATAGCAAAAAGGCTCACATCTGCTAGGAGCATGACAGAAGCACAAACTTAAATTGGAGTTCCTGTCAAAGTCTATGCTGTCGTGTTCATGGACATAACATTGATCCTGGATTCCTGTGGCCACTAACTAAGGCTGGGAGCAGAAGAATTAAAGGTCAAATGCACTCTTTGCATTCATGACCATTGAACAGTAAAATCCATTGTGAGTTGAAGGTTTCCTCTGTGTGGTAATTAATACCATTTCATGGTATTTGCCAGTTACACAAGAATGCACAAAGTTGTAAAAATGTTAAAAATAGTTAAACCTGGATGGCTTCTGTCACTTTGTCTCATAAAAGAGAAGGAATAGAAACAAAAGAGGCAAAATTCCTTGTGGTTGTGTGAGGAGAATTCCATTCACAGAAGGACCTGCTCAGGTGAGCAGACAAAGGACACGGAGAGCTGGAAGTCGTTTAATTCCATTTTTGCTGCAGGTAGAGCATGCTTTATCTGAAATGCTTGGGATCAGAAATATTTCAGATTTTGGATTTTTCTTGAATTTTGGAATACTTGAATATATATACTTGGGAATGGGACCCAAATCTAAACACAAAATTCATGTATGCTTCATATACACCCTATACATATAGCCTAAAGGTGATTTTATGTAATATTTTAAATAATTTTGTGTATGAAACAAAGTTTGAGCACACTGACCCATTGGAAAGCAAAGGCGTCACTACCTCGGCATTTTGGATTTCAAATGTTTGGATTAGAAATGTTAATGTACCTGCTTCTTGAGAGTTCATCACAGCTTGGGGAACAGAAAAAACTCATTTGACTGAAGGAAAAATAACTCCGATATGGTAGCACAAAACATTTCAGAATCATAGAGGTAAAAGAGTCTCGGAGAGAGAATCTGTTACCTTCCTCTGACTTCAAGAACAGCCATTCTAATGAGGCAGTTATGTTTTATATGAAAATATCTACTCTAAGGCAGAGAATGCTAAAACTTATTGGGTAATGCATTTCAATCCCTAAAAATTAAGATATGTACTAATGCTCCAGGTTCTATTAACACCCATTTTTTCTTCATTACTAATGGAATTGATAATCAGTTAATCATTGTCATATGAATAATTCTACTCAAAAAAGGACATTCTTAAGTCATTCTTCAGCTTTAAAAAAATCTCCAGGCTTACTAAGCCTGGAGATAAATATAGGTGTAATTTTCTTACCATTTAAACAATCTTTTTGATTTTTTTCCAAGATTCACTCGTCTTAAAATAAATCTGGTTTTAGCTAATACGCTTCAAATTGTTGTTAATAAATGGAGAATTGACACTACTTATCCTTCCTCATCTTCTGGTAGCATTTTCTAGAAAGCTGGCCAATTTTTAGAAAGAGTGTTGTATCCACAAGCCAATGAGAAAATAATTAGCCAAAACGAGGACTAAATTCACAATTATGTCTTTCTTTGTACCGTGCCTAATAAAATAAAATAGCATATGTGAGGCAAGAAGGCTTTAAGGAGGAAAGAAGAGGAAAGGGGGTTACAGAGTTTGTGGAAAAATCTAAATATTTAGGAAATAGACATTATACTCTTATTCTTACCAGTGGGGCTGGGGTTCTGAAAAGTTAATGGGAAATATCAGTGTTTCTGTGCTAATGAGAGTGCTCATCAGAGAAAGGATAATACAAGAAACGAAACAACTGAGCAGGTGAGAGGGTATGGGATCCAGGTAGAGGGGGACTAGATTTTGGTAAAGCAATGATAGTAAATTCAACGTGGCTGAAGAATTGCAGTTTGGGAACTGAATGCAGGTATGAATTGTTAGATATGATGGTGGAAAGCTGATGGTGACTGCTTCTGTGATGTCTGTAAATGTTACAAATGAGAATAATAGGAAAGGTGAGGGAGTAGGAAATTTTGGGGGGTAGAAAAAAAGATGTGAACTAGTAACTTAGGAAAACAGAAAGGTGAATAAACTAGGCATGTGTGGTAGGATTGCCCATTTGAGGTTAGTGGTCTGGATATAATGTGAGATCAGTCAGCACAGTTCTTGGGTGGCCAGGGCAGTCTCAATTTTAGTTGTTGATTTTTTTTGTATTACCATTTGAGAGATACTTCTCTTTGCCCATTGGCTGTTTGGATAACCTCTTGACTTGCTAAAAGTGTGGAGGGAATGTCCAAGCCCACTGCTGTCTGGAATCACAACCTTGGACTGTGTCACAGCTGATAAGAGATAATGAAACAGAAGGAGGTGCCTAGGGAAGAGAGAAGCAGTTTTTCTCTGAGCTGGAGTATACTCCCTACAAGTTGAAGATAAGAGAGCTTCAGGGAGGCCAGCTTATAGGTCAAGACGCAGGAAGGAAGGGCCTTAGGATGAATAGCCAGCACCATCTTATCCTAGACAGCAAGGCTCCATCCTATTGTTGATTCTGGGAGTAAAATGGTTTCCCTGATTACTAAAGCCTGTTTATTCATTCAGGCCACAGAAGCAAGTATGTTCACACCATGGCAAGCATACAACAAGCTTTTTTTTTTTTTCCTATGCAGCATAATTTTATTTTTTAACTTTTATTTTAAGTTCAGGGGTACATGTGCAGGTGTGTTACACAGGTAAACTTGTGTCATGGGGGTTTGTTGTACAGATTATTTCATCACCCAGGTATTAAACCCACTACCTATTTGTTTTTCCTGATCTTCTCCCTCCTACCACCCTCCACCCTCTGAAAGGCCCCAGGGTGTGTTGTTTCCCCTCCATGTGTCCATGTGTTCTCATCATTTAGCTCTCACTTGTAAGTGAGAACATGTGGTGTTTGGTTTTCTGTTTCTGTGTTAGTTTGCTAAGGATAATGGCCTCCAGCTTCAACCATGTTCCTGCAAAAGACATGATCTAATTCTTTTTTATGGTTGTATACTATTCCATGGTGTATAGGTACCACATTTTCTTTATCCACTCTTATTATTGATGGGCATTTAGGTTGACTCCATGTCTCTGCTGTTGTAAATAGTGCTGTAATGAACATACATGTGTGTGTATCTTTATGTATGTATTTATTTATTTACATTTTTTTGAGATGGAGTCTTCCCCTGTCACCCAGGCTGGAGTGCAGTGGCACAGTCTTGGCTCACTGCAACTTCTGCCTACCAGGTTCAAACGATTCTCCTGCCTCAGTCTCCTGAGTAGCTGGGACTACAGGCGTGTGCCACCACACCAGGCTTATTTTTGTATTTTTAGTAGAGATAGGGTTTTACCATGTTGGCCAGGCTGGTCTCAAACTCCTGACCTCAGGTGATCCGCCAACCTCAGGCTCCCAAAGTGCTGGGATTACAGGCGTGAGCCACCACGCTCAGCAAGCATATGTCTTTATAATAGGACAATTTATATTCCTTTGGGTATATAACTTATAATGGGATTGCTGGGTCAAATGGTATTTCTGTCTTTAGGTCTTTGAGGACTCGCCACACTGTCTTCCACAATGGTTGAACTAATTTACACTCCCACCAACAGTGTATAAATGTTCCTTTTGTCTACAACCATGTCAGCATCTGTTATTTTTTGACTTTTAAGTAATAGCCATTCTGACAGGTGTGAGATGGTATCTCACTGTGATTTTGATTTGTATTGCTCTAATGATCAGCGATGTTGAGCTTTTTTTCATATGATTGTTGGCTGCATATATGTCTTCTTTGAAAAGTGTCTGTTCATGTCCTTTGCCCACTTTTTAATGGGGTTGTTTTTTTCTTGTAAGTTAAATAAGCTTTTCTTAACACTTTCTGTGTCATCACATTGTCTCAGACCTTTGTTTCCATCTAGCTGTGTTATTTCTGCTCTTTCTCCCCAGTGGCTGCTTGTTTTCTTCCACATCCAGCCCTCTAAGTGTGGTCTTCTCTGAGGCCCATCCTTGGTTTTCTCTTATGATCAGTTTATACGCCCACTCTTAGAAAGGTGAATCATTCTTTTGGTTCTAGTGCTCTCCTTGTCTCTCACTTTGTGTTTCCATAGAGATAAACATCAGAACTTCAATGTGTCTAAAATCAAAACATTTGCTGTCTCTTCTCCTGGGTTTACTACATGGGATCACGAAGTTACCATTCTCACCATCTTATAAGCTGGAAACCTTGCAATGTCATTACTTTATACTTTTCCTTCTCCATTACTTCCAATCTACCTCCACATCCTCTCCATTCTACTTACATAATGTCATTTTTTTATCCATGCTTTCTTCTCCATCCACTCTGCCATTTTCTTCAGGAACTACAGCTACTCTCTCAAGGATTACTTTGTAGCATCCTAAGCTGTCTCTCCAGCACTACTGTCTCTCTGCTCAAAGCCTGTACACCACTGTGCTATCATCTATGGTGTGCTAATACCATGGTGTTCTAATTGATCCTGCCCAATAAAGTCCAAAGTACTTAACGTGGCCCTCGTGGCCTTCAATGATGTCTCTAGTCTTTCCAGCCTTATTTTCCGTAATACATGTATCCTCACCACATCAGTGGCACAATAAAACTCTCCCCAAGTATGCCCTATTCCCTTTCCTCCGTATCTCCTCTCACGTCATTTCTTCAATAATCACTTTCTTCTTTTCTCATAATCCATCCCCAATTAAACATTCCAGCCTCCTCAGTTTAACTGTAGCTGGCATGACAACATTGTTTCTACATATATTTATAATAAAAACATATAAAATGTATAAAACATAAAAAAGTAATTGGCTTAAAATGTTATGTATTTAATTACATAGACACACATATATAAAGTTTTCAAGCCAATTATGTTTTAGTTTTCCATTATAAAAGATATGCCAGCACACTGAAGAAAATCTGGGAGATGCAGATAGGAAAGAGAAAGATATAGCTCATGGAATGATCAACATAACACAACCACAATGAGGACACTAGTACATTTCCTTCTTTAGGTGTTTCTGGTTGAAATCGTCGTGCCCAACATTCCACCAGGTTCCTCACATGTTGAATACATCAAAGCCTACTCCACCCATCTGGTGAGTCTTGATTTTAACTCTTAGAGAACTCAAAGTTGTACTCTTCTATTGCTGCTCTGATACTATTTTTATAAAAGGACTACATTATTTTTGTTCAAAGCAACCAAATTAAATCCATAGAATCCACAAAAGATAAATTTAACCAACAGCTCAAAGGCTTGACTTTCTCACCTTTTCCCAAGAAGGCATTTTTGACAATTTTATCAGTTATCTAGGACTGCCATAACAACATACCACAGGCCGGGTGGCTTAAACAACAGAAATTTATTTCTCACAGTTCTAGAAGCTGGAAGGCCAAGATCAAGCTGTCAGCTGGGTAGGAATTTCTCCTGAGGCCTCTCTCTTCAGCTTGCAGATGGTTCCCTGGTCACTGTGCCCTCACATGGTCTTTTCTCTGTGCATGTGTGCCTCTCTGCTGTCTCTCTTCTTTCTTACAAGGACGTCAGTCATACTGGACTAGGGTCCCATCCTTATGAACTCATTTAACTTTAATTACCTCCCGAAAGGTCTTATCTCCAAGTACAGTCATATTGGGTGTTAAAGCTTCAACATATGAATTTCAGGGGGACGCAATTCAGTCCACAACTGTGATGGAAACTTCTATGGTCCCTTCAACATAGGACAAATGTACTAATAGGGATCTCATTTTTTCCCCTTTGCTTTGCTAATAATATGCAATTTGGAATAAGAAAATGTAAAGTGCCACCATAGATTTACATTAGCATCAAATTGGAAAGTTCACTTCTGAATCATTTCACATGGCTGAACATTCACATTGAAATTTTGCCTCAGGTGTAATTGTAAAAACTGCCCCCCATCACTTTCTACTAAAGGGGAATCAAAGAATACCAGTTTCATTAACTGAATTTGGTTACAAATCACACTGATACCAAAGGGAGGATAAGTGTTAGGTCTAGCGATGAGGCAGCTGCTGTCACAGCTTTTCCCATTGAGTTTCCAGTCCATCCAGAAGAGCAGTATCTCCCTTCCAAGAGATAAGTTTATGTTGGATTTGGCACAGAAGGCAAATTCTGATCTGATATATGTAAGACGTTGACATTTCCAAAAGAAAGTCACAATGTGTTCTCTCCCAGGGTCACCAATAAGTTCTGAATATGAAACACAACAGGGCATCTGTTCACCTCTCCCCCAACTTCTAGAAAGTAAAGTAAGTTGCTCTACACAAGAGGCTTAGTGGATGTGCTTCATCATCACAAACAGAGGTGTCGATTATGGAAATTATGGAGAAACAAAGCCATGTGCTGCTTGTCACTGGGAGGGGTAAAATAACCAAGAATCCAGAAAACAAAGGCTCTCAAAGGCAAGCCAGAAAACAAATCAAACACCAAGTGATCACACTGAAAAGAATAAATGTTACAGTATAGCATTTGATTCTTGTACTTGTCAGTTGGCTTTGTGGATGCCCTCAAATTGGAAGCTTGATGTTGGAAGAGCCCCACAGGGATGAAATCAGAAAGGAACAAATAAGGGCTGGAGAAGTGATCAACTGTTTATCACAGGCCAGTCCCCAGCACTTAGAAAAGGTCTATATGTCAGAGGCCCTGATATAGTTTGTGGCATTATGGGATTTGCTTTGGGAATCTAATAAAGGTGCTTACAATAAAGGCAGTCAAACCGATGCACTTATAATTGCTATGGGGTAAGGACAGGATACATTATTTAACTTGCTAGAGGTCTTCAAACTTCATTTCACAGTTATTTTGGTGCTCTTTTCTTCAAAAATCTTCTATGAATACAAAAAACACAAATGTGTTGAATGATGCAAATTCCATCTCCATTGTTTCATGCCAGCTCTCTTAGCGAGGTGCTAATGAGCAATAAAATGGTCCCTAAACAGGCTTTTGGAAAGAGAAGGAAGAAAATCCAGGAACCAGGACAACCCAAAGCTGGATCATCACTCAGAATGAGCTATAAATTATCTTAACTGTCTTCTACAATGCTGCCTGAAATATTAGGTTTCTCAATCCAATTGTCACATGGCATCAAAATTACACCATTACCACTAGGCATTTCTCAGCAGAGAGTTTTCTAGGCAACAATGCTTCTTTTCTTCCTCTTTCTCTTCATAAACAGAAAAACATGGAATCCATATTTTCCCAGAAGATAAACATGTGATTCACTTACCACGGGACTGTCTGTAAAATAACTCTGGCTCAGGGTGTGGACATCATCTCACCCATTGTCATCACAATATTCTTTAAGTAACCACTTTCTGGGATAGAACTGCCCCAACAAGGTAGCAGCCAGGTCACATGGTGGTTTTAGTTTACTCTCTCAAACATGCAATTCCAATTACAAAAAAATAAATGACTCTTAATGATGGGTTCAATAATAGTGGGTGTGGAAGCACTTACAGTTCTAGGACTAAGCCAGGTTTTGTACCGAAAATTAAATCACTGAAATGATATTTTCTTTTAAATAGGAATGGACAAGCAGAAATGACTCACTGTGTTTTCCAATTGCACTCAAGACCTGTCTCCATATGCCCTCCTCCTCTGCTTGAGCAGAAGGTGAAAGAGGTTGTGTTGACTGTGGAATTTGGTGAGCTTATGAATTTCTCAATGAGTCAATTTTCTGAAAACCAGTAGCTTATATTTCACAAAGTTTCAGTGTGACATAATTAAACTTATTTACTATTGACTTTCATAGGCCATTGAATCTTGAAGACAAATGCTCTTTGACTTCACTACAACATCAGAGGGCACTTGGCCAAGGAAGACTAGTTAGAACCAGCCTTTTTGCAAACACAGCTGAGGTTTTTATCCTGTCTTTTCTTCATCACAAAAGTAGCATGGAGAATAATGGACAATAGAGTTCAAGTGGAGCAAGAACTGTCCAGAATTTGGGGAAGAAGTCACATATCAGTCCTGGCCATGATAACTGGGGCACATGTACTATATCCAAGTTGATATCCTTAATTTGGGGAAAGTTTTCTTGCCTTTCCCACAGCCTCCCAAGCCATTGACAATTCCCACATTCAAAACATTCTCATTCACATTTCTGATTCACTTTGGGCTACAGGAACAACAGATGTTGAGTACTTCTAGGGAGCAAATCCATTATAGATGGAGGTAGGTCTTGCAAACAGAGAGGTAGAGAGCTTTCTCGAGACCTTTGGACCAAGCAGATAACATCACAAGGTGTACCTTATGCTAAGTGCCTGATCTCTAAGACCCTCCACCAGCGTCAGAGAGACAGCATGCTCACAACATGACAGCTGGTCATACAGGTGAAGAAGAACATGAAGACCAGCCCACCCCTGAAAATGACAGATCAAACTCAGCTTCACAATGTCTCTTATTCCATCGCTAATGGTGTTTAAAAACACACTTTGTCTTAAGGAACAAGGGGAACTGACCACGTGTTCATGACGGTTCATTTCTTACCCTCTGCTTTGGCTTGACCAAACTTTAGTCAGGTATCTCTCCTCCACAAAGATTCCTAGACTTTGGCTGTCCCCCAAGTTTAAGCAAGCACTGAAACACTAAGGAGCAGAACATCTGTTAACAGCTCATCCTGAAAATCAACTGACCATAGGAAAAAACACTCCCTATTGAGATATCCTGGTTTTGCCACCTGCTCGCCCACACTCTATGCCCTTCTCCTCCACAAAGGTCTGGCTGGTTCTTCTCCCTCCATACAAAGGAAAAGCTTATTTCTGTTTGATTTTGAGACATTTGCAGATATCTGAGGTTGGCATGTTCTTCCTATTGCAATAGTCTTTTTGAGTAAAGTCTCTCTTTATCTAAGTCTTATTTGTTTTTAATTAATATCATGCAACTGGATACTTTATAGAAATAAGAATAAATGAGACACACATATATGCAACAACATGAGTGAATCTCACAAATATAATGTGAAGCATAAAAAGCAAGAACTAAATGGCTATATGCTGTATACTTTATATGAAGTTCAAAAGAGGAAAAATGAACATAAATTGTTGAAAGTCAGGATAGTGGCTCCCTTCAGGGGGGCAATTGCTGGAGGGGGACAAAGAGGGCTCCTAGGGCACTGATAGTATTCTGTTTCTTGATCTGGAATATATTCAATTTGTGAAGAGTCACCTCATGACAGACTCATAATTTGGAAAACTTTCTATGTGTTCTACTCCAATAAAAAATTAACTTAAAATTGAATCTCTTAGAATTATAATTTATTTTTCTCAAACAAACTTGTATGAAGCAAAAAAAAAGGGCCTCAATGCTTTCTAACTAGCAAATGAATGCATATCATTTACATATGTGACTTAGTGATAGAGTTAGAGAATAAGATAAGTTAGCCCACAGTTAATAATTTAATTATTTAATTTAATTTAATCTCTGGTTTTTGTGTTTCATGGTCACAGGAGTATAAATATCTTTGGAACTTTATTTTCTGGTGTGTTCACTATCACTTAAGGAACTGTCTTAGTCCACCTGCATTGCTATGAAGGAACATCTGAGACTGAACAATTTATAGAGAAAAGAGGTTTATTTTGGCCCACAGTTCTGAAGCTGTATGGGAAGCATGGCGCTAGCATCTGCCCCTGGTGAGGGCCTCAGGAAGCTTCCAGTCACATGAAAGATGAAGGGGGAGCTGGCATGTACATGGAGAGAATAGGAGCAAGAGAAAGAGGGAGGAGGTCCCAGATTCTTTTAAACAACCAGATCTTACATGAACTACCTGAGTGAGAAGTCACTCATCACCGAGGCAATGGCACTAAGCCATTCATGAGGAATCCACCCCATGATCCAATGCCTCCCACTAGGCCCCACCTTCAATGCTGGAGATCACATTTCAACATGAGATTCTGAGGGGACATGCATTCAAACCATATCAGGAACCAAATTCTATTTCCCACCAAACATAGTCTAACTATGTTTGTTAGATGTTTTGATGTTTAATACATCAAAAAAGTAAAAATATCAATTTACAATAATCACAGCTTTTTAATGTTCTGTGGGAGAAAAAAATGTAGTTAGTACAGTAGAAGAATATCAGGGGAAGCTGCTTATCATTATCAAAAAAATTTCATGATGACAGAATATGACAGCACAAAATGTGTATATGTTTAACTTAAATGTGAACTTTATCTTACCTGGCTGGTTCTCTGGTTTTCATGTTTGATGGTCACAGGAGTATAAATATCTTTGGAACTTTTTTCTTATCTTGTATAGTGACAAAGAATAATAACTAGTTCAGTTACATTTTCAAGAGACCTGTCATAACAATGGTATTATTCTTTATTTTCTCATGAAATAATGTTTTGACTTGCAACTTAATGTCCCAGCTATAATTTTAACCAAGGCTTTACAAAATGCATAGAGCTTATAAATCTCCAATTCCCAAACATTCTAGTGGAAAGATCAGCTGTAATTAAATAAGTAGTAATCAAATAAATTTAATTACAAACTAGGATAAATGTTATGAAGGTAAATTACACAGTGCTACAAGAACTATAGCTGGGGATTGAGGTTGTATATTTAAGAAAAATCATGTTGGCTTCAATGTGTTGGAGTGTAAAACAGGGAAATGCATGCAGGAAAACTGCCTGGGAGGCTTCTGTGTAGTTTAGGCAAAATGTGGTAATTTATGAAAGGGTTTGGCGTTGGAGATAGAGTTAGTGAATGAATTTGAGGCATTTGGGAAGTAAAAAGCTCTCACATTGTGCTCAAACCTCCCACTGTAGCTATGTAAAACTATCTGCAGGTCCCAGAAGATACCAGCTGTGTCTTGCTTTGTATCTGATGTTTCTTTCCTGAGTCATCTTTTCTTTAATGCTCCATCTAGCTACATCTCACTTATCTTTCAGCACCCTGCTGTTCCGTGAACTCCCATGGCTCCCTGTTTTTGCCACTGTTGTCACACTTGTAACACAGATTTTTGCCATCTGCTTACTGTTAGTCTTCGTGCTAGACTGTTAGCTATTATACTTGAGGGCACTGTCTTATCTATTTTGTTTCTGTACCACCAGCTCTGGAGCCATGATCCAAACAGAGCAGAAAACACGTATTTCTTAAATTACTACCCAGCCAGGTAGGATTATTGCAAACCCTTTCATAAATTCATTATTCTTTCAAAAAATCAATTTTGATTTCTTAAATTCTCTCATGTGTTTGTTTTGTGTTTCGTTAATTTTGGCTTCTATCTTCATTAGTTCTACCTTCTATTTTTGAGCGTTTTAATTTGTTTTTCTTTTACTAACTTCTTGAGATGGACGTTTAAATTATTGATTTTCGGCCTTTATTCTTCGCTAACGTATACACTTAAGGTTATAGATTTTTTTCCTCTAAAACATGACTTTTATTGCATTCTGCACATATTTTCATTATCACTAAGTTCAAAGTATTTTCTAATTTCTGTTGTGATCTCTTTTTTGACCTAAAGGTTATTTAGAAATATATTTTGTATTTTATAAACATATGGTAATTTTCTAGTTATCTTTTTATTATCAATTAGTCTATGATCATATATAGATCAGATCACATATGATCTGTGTGATTTTACTCCTTTGAAATTTGTTGAGAATTGCTTTACAGTCTAGCAATTTAAAAAAATTTCTGCATGCATTTGAAAAGAATGTATGGTCTGCAGTTGTTGGTTATTTAAATACATAAATTCTAACTGGGTTGTTCGAATATTCTATATCATTTTTTTTGTCTGCTTGTTCCATCAGTTCCATAGAAGTACTTTTAAATCTTCTAGCATGAATGTGCATTTGCCTGTTTCTTCTTGTAATTCCATCAGTTTTTGCTTTATATGTTTTTAGGCTATTTTAGTAGGTGACATAAAGGTAGAATTATTATATGTAACTGTTAAATCCTTTTCCCATAATGTCTCTCATTTTTGCTTTAAAGTATATATATATATATATAGGCACACATTATATATATAAGTGTATATACATGTATATATATAAAGTATATATATATATATACACACACTAATATTTCTCATATTAGTATAGTTCTATCAGCTTTCTTTTGGTTATTTACTGGTGACTAACAAAGTATCCATGAACATAGTCACTTAAAACAACAAATATTTATTATTCCCAACACTTTAAGAGAATCAAGAATCTAGGTGCAGCTTAGTCTTTCATGAAGTTGCAGCCAGGATGTCAAGTGGGTCTGCAGTCTTCCGAAGGCTTGACTGGGGCTGGATGATCCACTTCCACAAGGGCTCACTCACATAGCTGTTCACTGGAGACCTCAGTTTCTCACTGGCTGTTGGCAGGAAGCCTTGGTTCTTCACATGGATCTCTTCATAGGGCTGCCTGAGTATCCTCATGAGATGATGGCTAGCTTCCCACAGAGCAAGCAATCCAGAGAGAGAGAGATCAAGGAGGAAGCCACAATGTATTCTATGGCTTAGTCTCAGAAGTCACACACTTGCACTTCTGCCACATTCTGTTCATTAGAAGTGTCACTAAATACAACCCACTGTCAAGGGAGGGGAAATAGGCTCCACCTTTGAAGACAGAAGTATCAAGAAATTTGTGGTCCTATTTTAAAATGACCACAATTAGTATTTACATGGAATATATTTTTTCATTTCTTTACTTCTAGACTGTTCCTTATATTTTAGGTTTGGCCCATATTAAGAAGAATACACGTATATTGTATGCCAGTCTGTCAATTTTTATCTTTTAATTGTAGCATTTAGCCCATTTTCACCTAATGTACTTATTGATGTACTTGAGTTTAAATCTACTATGTCGTTGCTTGATTTCTCTTCATCTCACCATGTGTGTTCTCTTTTCTAATTTCTTACTTTTGGAGTGAGATGATTTGAAGCTGGGTTTCAGTCTCTGTGAAGGCTAGTCTACTTGGATTGACCATTATTCCCAAGGAGCTGCCATTCAGGATCCCTGCTGAGAACAGACTCTGAACACCATTACGGTGCTGCTGTTCATGTGAGCTGGTTGAAAGTTCTGCTCAGCTTCTGGGCTTCTCAGCATCCGCTTCCAGAACCAGCATACAATAGAGGGGAAAAGAGGTCCCAAGCTGAGCTTACTTCAGTGGGTTTCTGCCCCAGATTTCGGCTCTGTAATTCTCCCCTATCTTGTTGGCTCCCCAAAGCTCTCAAGCAGAATATTTTTAAAAATTATTTTCTAACTGTTTATTTGGGAAGGTTGTTCTGAATGTCTCAGTTTGTCTTCAATGGAAGTGCAGTTGTATCTCATTTAATTTTTCACAAATGGTGGAATAAGGATTACTATTCCTTTGCTAGTGAGGAAATTAGTCACAGATGAGCCAAGTAAATAGCTCAAAGTTACATTTAGAAAGTGACAAACTTAGAATTTGAAACTGTGTATTTCTGTCTGTAAAATTCAGGCTATTTACATTAGCTAAAGCAATTTTGGCTGATATCCTTGAAATGGAACACACCATTAGAAGATTTATTAATAATAATAATGCTTATTGTTATTAATACGATTGCTTATACTTCTCACTAATTATAAATATATGTTTGAAAAACTGAAAATCTTTCTGTTTTATAGTAGTTTTTAATTAATTGCATTAAAACATAGTGATTTTGAGGTTCCTAAGTATTGTGATTTATAGTTTTATAATTCCATATTGATACTGACTAGGAATCAGAGTTTTATAAAATAATAGTACTTTATCATGAAGGCCTAATTGAAACAAATAAGTGCTTATTTTTAAAGTATGCATTAAAAATTGTCTCAATTTTAGAATTTCTTAACTGCCACTTCTTCACTCCTTATCCAGGACTCATTTTAAAGAAACTCAGTCTTGCTTCAAGTCTCATTTATCTCCCATTAAAATTCCATTGTAAAACAATGAATTCCTTTTCATAAAGGCACATAAATATTAAATTCTACCATATGTTATTTGTCTTTCAGGGATCACATTTTTGAAATCTGTATGGATCTTTAAATAGTCAACAAATACATATAACATGTGTTGCTATCCAGTTTGTAAAGCTTTAAAATATTATTAAGAACTGAAGAAAAGTTCTTATTTTCTTATTTAAAAGACACATCTGTATTTGGAGATAGCTTCTCTGCTTATTTTCATTGTTTAGAAACTTTACTTTCTCTAGCAGAGAAATCAGAATATTTCCATCTGCTCTGCAATGATGAGGTTAAATTAAAGTTGAAGTCAGTATTTTAGAAAGGCATTAGGTTGGTGTAAAAGTAATTGCGGTTTTTACAATTACTTTTTTTATCTTTTTTTTTTGAGATGGAGTCTTGCTCTGTTGCCCAGGCTGGAGTGCAATGGTGCGATCTTGGCTCACTGCAACCTACATCTCCCGGGTTCAAGCGATTCTCCTGCCTCAGCCTCCTGAGTAGCTGGGATTACAGGCGCCCACCACCATGCCTGGCTAAGTTTTGTATTTTTAGTAGAGATGGGTTTCACCATGTTGGCCAGGCTGGTTTTGAACTCCTGACCTCAAGTGATCTGCCTGCCTCAGCCTCCCAAAGTGCTGGGATTACAGGCGTGAACCACTGCACCCGGCCTTTTGCAATTACTTTTAATGGCAAAAAAATGCAATTACTTTTGCACCAACATAAAATAGCAAAGGCTAACATGTACACATTTCCTCAACAAAGTGGGGTATGGACCTATGGCCTGAGAACCAGAGTTTCTGAGGTCACTGAAGGGCTTTTGTGTCAAGTGTGCTCTTGAGGGCATCAGCCTCTACATAGACTTGACTTTTTTTCTCAAGTGTTGGTGCCACTCAAGAGAAAAGGAAATAATAGAGTCTTCTCAGGCCAACTGGCATTAGCTTTAAGGGAACAGAATAAATGAAATCTGACTTAGGGTTTTTTTCCTTTAGAAGCCCTGAATTATATTGAACAACTTATCTTTCTGGAGTAGGGAGATAGAGATTTGGAGCACGGTCCCAGAGATGACTAAAGAGTGTGCCTTTTCCTGCACCTTTGTTGTGTCTATTAGAACCAAAACTCTGTGCTGGGCAGCTGCAGAAGAAAGATACAGGATTTGAGGCAGTGGAAAAACCGTCACCCTGAGGACGAGGATATAATATTGCCTGGACGTCCTTGAATTCCATCTAACATGCTCTGGATCTGTTGGTTGGAGACCATAGGTCAGTATGGGTCCTGGGAAGTCAAAATTACAGCCTGTATTTTTTTTTTCTGGTTTTAAATACCAAGTATTTGAAAACAGGAGGAGGAAATCAACCAAAAGAGGAGGAAGAGAGGGAGAAGAGTTTTACAAAAAGTTAACTTCAGTAACTGCAAAGACATTCCTCTTTAGTGGAACTTTTTCCTAAGAGTTGCAATTTTTTATTTTTTTTGATTCTAGAAGCTTAAGATGGCAGAGAAGAGAAAATGTAGGCTGCAATGGGGTAAGCTGCCTTTTTGGAGACTACATAGCCTGGTCATATGAAAGATTACTTTGGATGTGATGGTGACGCTTTGGGAGAGAGTTGGCTTACAGCCAGCTTAAAAGGGACTTAATGAACCCTGTCAGGGAACATCTTTGTATGTTGACTGCTGGATTCCGAGGGCCCAAGGATTGACTCCTTAGCACCCCGTCAGATTGCTGGTGACCTAAGAATTGCCATTTGATGTTCCTACTGGAAGAATCTTGAAGAAACTCCAGAAAAATGCTCACGAAAAAAATCAATATTGGGAATCTGCCATACCCTGAGGGCACGACTATCAGATTATGTATCTTTTAGTCCAGTAAGAACTTTCCCCTAACTCTCCCTACTCCCACCCCCAGTAGTAACTCTGTAGGATTTGGGGAGGGTGGAGAAGGAGAAAAATTCAAGTCTGAGAAATAAAAAGGACCATGTTCCTTTCCCTCACTGTGGGTTTCTTAGCTGGAAGTTGCTCTGAACCAGAGGAAGGAAGGAGCTTTAGCTTTAAATAAAGTATGAAAAGTTGATCAAAATAGTGGACTGGACATTTAATTACTGGAGTGAGACTGACCAGAGGACTTATAATATTCAAAATGAATCAGAAAATTATGGGTGCTGCCTGAGTTACTGAGTTACAATGGGTTACCAGCTACGAACTCATTGAGTTAGTGCCAAGGGCAGGGAGGAAAGTAAAGTTACTTTATGATTGCACCTTTTTACGTTTTGCCCCATTAAGTACTGGTTACAGCTCATCCAAATGTCTCAGCCTCTATCAGTCTGTGAGAGTATACGTAGAGACTGTCTTGGTCCTTCTGGGCTGCTATAACAAAAATACCATAGGCTGGGTGGCTTAGAAATAACAGAAATTTTATTTCTCACAGTTTTGGAGGCTGGGCAGTTCAAGATCAAGGTTCAGGTAGATTCAGTATCTAATAAGGGCTCTTCCTGTTGCATAGTCTTCTCACTGTCTCCTATGTAGTAGAAAGCTGAGGGAGCTCTTGGGTTTCTTTTATAAGGGCATGGATCCCAATTATAAGGGCTCCACCCTCATGACCTAATCATCTCCTAAAGGTCCCATCTCCAAATACAATCACATTGGGGATTAGGTTTCAACATATGAATTGGGGGGCGGGGGAACATAAACATGCAGTCTGTAGTACACATGAAAATGTATTTCCAAATTTCCATGACTCTTAGCTCATACTTGCTCCTGTAGGCAGTCACCCTACCCACCCTACTCCCCTACTCAACTCCCCAACTCAGTCAAGGTTTCCCTGGGTCACAGTCAGGAGTTTTCCAAGGTCAAGGAGATTCCCAGGTTCTCAGTACTCAGTACCGCTCCTCTTCTTCTGTTTGTGAACCCTTTAGGAAGTCCATGGGTTCGTAGGCCTCAAATGAGGCCCCTACCCACTGCCTTGGAAGACAAGGATCCTGGGTGTGATGGGCTGAAAAATGATCCCTGAAGATATATATATTCGAATCCCTGGAATCTGTGAACATTATATTATATGGAAACAGAGTCTTTATGCATAGATTTCATTAAGATGATCAGATTTAATTAAGATGGGGATATTTTCTTGGTTTATCAGAGTAGGACCTAAATACAACCCACTGTCAAGGGAGGGGAAATAGGCTCCACCTTTGAAGACAGAAGTATCAAGAAATTTATCTAAAAATAAATTTCTTAAAACAACAGAAATTTATTCCCTAATGGTTCTGGAAGCCAGAAGTCTAAGATCAGCTTGATCAAGGAGGAAGCCACAATGTATTCTATGGCTTAGTCTCAGAAGTCACACACTTGCACTTCTGCCACATTCTGTTCATTAGAAGTGTCACTAAATACAATTTGGAGTACTTTGTTAAAGTGCTTTAGGAAATGAATATACTAGGAAGATACTGCTCCCTCCTCCTCTGTAGGGCACAAGCAGACATTATAGGGCATGCCTCATTCTGGATTCAGTTGGGTCATCTGAGCCCCTAGTCAACACTACTTATGCCTCGAGTCTCACAAGGACTTTTGTGGAAAAAATATATTTTACCTTCTAATGAAAAGTGACCATTCAAGTTTGAAGTGGAGGTGGGGAGATGAGTGAAAGAAAGTAGGCCAGGCCTTCCCCTCCATTGTCCTGGTTTTTCCTGTTCCCGTAGGCACCTGCCTCCAAGTTCCTCTTAATCTTCAGCAAAATACAAAACAAAGCAAAACAAACAAAACAAAGCACAACTCCATACAACCCCAACAATGCTTCCCATGCAGATCAACTGATACAGGGGGTGAGGCTGTCACTCTTCACTTTTCAGAGAAGCATTTGAGTTTGCTCAAATCCAGCCATACTCCCTGAACCATCTAGACATACTGAACTGCCTACTCCAGAACCAGGTGCCTAGAACATATTCAGAAAATGATGGCTACTGTGGGAGAAAAACTCTATTGGAATTGGTAGGACTGGGTTTGAACTCCCAGGTTTGCCTTTCCCTGGCACTGGCACTTTTTCTCATCTGTAAAAGGTGTGGTTGGGGTGGGGCCGGTGGTAAGCATATGCATCTCAAAGAGTAGTTTTAAGAATTTAGTGAGCATAGGGCCTGGTACGCAGATAATAAATAATTCCCACTCACTAATGCTTTTACATTTTGATTATTTCCTTACTTCTTCATGGCATTTTACGTGCAAATGTTTTACCACATTATTGTAGAATAATAAAAATAATCTTCAAAAGGTGATTATCTAGTCATCTCACTGATTGCATTATGAGTTCATTGAAGACAGAGATTGTCTTTTTACATCTTTTGTCTCTATTGTCTAGCACATAGCCGACTTTACAAATATCTGTTGACTAATTCAACATTTTAGACACCTCTGACAGCAGGAATGCCTTTTATTACTAGTTTTAATCAGAAACACAAATTCAAGTTAGATTGTTGCCTCTACCAGGTAACATGTTCATCTTCTTATGAGAACAGAAAAGAATGATCTGAATGGAAGCCTGGAACAGACTTAGCCAGAAACAAACAAACGAACAAACAAAACTGGTTACCTGAGCCAATGTGTATGCCTCTATAAGGTGAGAACAAAGTGCTTTAGAAACAGTGAGAGTCTTCAGTGACCCAGCTTTGACCTGTGTTCATTTCATGAAGTGACATTCAAGCAAACTTTTAGGACCATTTACTCAATCCTCTATGGGGTGCCTCATTTTTCAAAAAATTCAACCCATTGAAATAAAAACCTACTGATAAATAAGGCAATTGTTCCTATTTCAAAAGGAATTTTTTTCTTCACAATACTATCAGGTTCAAATGAGGGAGGTTCCTTAGAGCATTTAAAATATGACTACATTTCTAGAAGTTCTGCAACTTTGAGGCAAACACACCCATAGTGTGAAAATAAAGTCCACTTTCGATTTACATTAATATTCTGTGTTTTTGCATAGTTTAATTCTCCTAATTTATTCACTTAATCACTTTCTTATTTGTTCAAAAATCAGTTAAACAAATTTTACACTTCTGAGACACTGACCACAAGAAGGATAGTCTAAGTTGGTCTAAATAATGAAGAAGCCTAGTCTCTCAGCCCATGTGACATTACATGCCAGACAGGGAAGTTCACATGATTCTGAGTTAAAAAAAAAAACCCGAGTTCAAACTTCAGCATTATGAGTTGCAATACTAGTTGCATGACTTTGGGTAAATTACCTATCCTGCATGTCAGTTTCTCCATCTAGTATAAAAAGGACTAGCTCATAAGGTTGCCTGAGGATTCCTGAGATAACAAAGCACATGATGCTTGATTTACAGGGGCCAAGTGGCTGATAAAAAAATTGTTAGTTTCTTTTTTACCTCATCCAGATATCCTTCTTGTCTCTGGCCCCTCACCTCCTACAATCACAGGTAGCCCTCTAACTAAAATCAGACATTCTGAAATTTACATTTTATCGGCATTTTCCCCCGAAAGTATTCTATTGGCAAGACATAACAGCAACAATAGCGGCAGTAGCAACAATTGCTAATATTTTATTGAAGCCTCATGAAGTACCTGCATTACCTCATTTAATCATCACTACAACCCTTTGATCTAAGTAATAGTTATTATCTTTATTTTAAAGAGAGGTTAAAGTAACTTGCTCAAGTGAGATGCAAACTTAATACATGCTGTCGATACATACTGATGTGTTTTGTTACCTCCAAGTACAAAGGTAGTAGAATTTTCATTACTTGTAAGTATTAGAAAAGCTGTAAATTCTCTAGCCCCTTACTCAGAGATGCTGAAATAGTCCTAAATGTGAAAAAGAGAGGATGTTTCTACTGTGGAGACCTAGTATCATGACAGCTCATAACCAGAATATAAATGTGACATTTGACCTAGTGATCTTTTCTGAATCAAACTTTCTCTTTCAGCAGCCCCCGGTCTCATGAAACCTGGAACTTTCATTCTGCAGAGAGACTCTTGAGTAGAAGACTACCAATGAGATCCACTCATTTGCATACAAATATGTTAGTTAATTATTCACAGAAATTTTACATTACAAGTGAGAATTATTAAAAATTCCTTTGAATTTCCTAGAAAATAATTTTTAAGAAATTAAAGTAATAGACTTCATATTTTAGAACTGTTTTAGATTTACAGAAAAATGGCAGAGTTCCCTTTTGCCTCCTCTCCCCATTTCCCCTCCCCACTCAGTTTTTGCTTTTATTAACATCTTGCATTAATGTGGTATGTTTGTTACAACTGATGAGCAAATATTGACACATTATTAACTAAAGTCATAGTTTACATTAGGGTGACACATTATTAACTAAAGTCATAGTTTACATTAGGGTTCACCCTGTGTTGTAAAGCTTTATGTGTTTTGACAAATGAATAATGCCATGTATCCACCATTAGAGTATCATACAGAATAGTTTCACTACTCTAAAATTCCCCATGTGCCACCTCTCTTATCTCCCTCCCTCCTTTCAAAACCCCTCCAAACCACTGCTCCTGTTACTGTCTCTACAATTTTGCCATTTCCACAATGTCCTACAGTTGGATCCAAACAGTACACAGCCTTCTTAGGCTGGCTTCTTTCAGCAATATGCCTCCATGCCTTTTTGTGGTTTGATTATTCACTTCTTTTAGTTACGGAATAATATTCCATTGTAAGGGTATACCATAGTTTGTTTATCCATTCACCTATCCAAGGACAGCTGGGTTTCTTCTAAGTTTTGGCAATTATCAGCAAAGCTGCTATAAACATTTATGTACAGGTTTTTATGTAGATATAAGTTTTCAACTCATTTGGGTAAATGCTAAGGAGCTAGATTGCTGGATTATAAGGTAAGAATATGTTTAGTTTAGTAAGAAACTGCCACACAAATGCTTGGGCACAAATTTAACAAAATATGTATAAGATTTATATGAGGAAGAGTACAAAACAAAGAACATATTTTGTTAAATTTGTGCCCAAGCATTTCATTTTTTTTGGTGTTAATATAAATGACATTGTGCTTTAAACTTCAAATTCCAATTGTTCATTGCTGGTATATAGGAAAGCAATTGACTTCCTGTATACCAGCAATGGTATCTGTTAAAGATTAATAAAAAATAAACTAGGCATATTAACTTTGTATCCTGCAACCTTACTATAATTGCTTATTAGTTTCAGGAAGTTTTCTTTGTTGATTCTTTGGAATTTTCTACATAAACAGTTGTGTCATCTGTGAGCAAAGACAGCTTATTTATTTCCAAATCTATATACCTTTTATTTTCCTTCTTGACTTATTGCATCAAGTAGAACTTCCAATATGATGCTGAATATGAATGGTGAAAGTGGACATCTCTGCCTTGTTCCTGAACTTAGCAGGAAAATATCTAGTTTCTCACTACTAAGTATGATGTTAAGTGTAGGTTTCTGTAGATGTTCTTTATTAAGTTGAAGGAAAAATAAATTTTTAATGACAGGATTTCAGCAACCAATGAAGGGTGTTTTCTGGGGACAGGGGTTTCTTTCAAATAATACTTCACAGGGCTTCTGTTACATATGCGAATGGTCAAGCACAGTACAAGAAATGATTCTCTTCTCTCAGATAAACAACAAAAAGCTCCCAATCCTGCTCAAAGATGCTCTTCTACAGCAAAGGCAGATCCACTAATTTCCACAGTGAGTTCTCTCTTGTTAAATGAACTCAAAAGCCCCTACTGAATCCCTCCTAACACTTTTCTGCTGCAGAAATGCAAAGATAAGCAGAAAAAAATCCCAGTACTTTAAAAATTTACAGCGAAGTGGGAGCATTTTGGGGATGGAGCAGGGTTTGTTGAGTAGGATAAGATGTGTCTACATGTATCTAAAACGCAAGGTAAAGTATTCTAGATTTTGGCAGTACTTACAAAGTTAGACTTTGTTTTCTTCTTGCTTACTTCTTAGAGCAACCTAGTGGGTCATTGATATTTTTATTTCCATCAGATTTGGACCACTGTCATAAATTTGCTGAGCAGATTCTCTTGAATCCAGTTTCTTTAGCAGAGTTTCAAGGAAAGACCAGCAGATTCTTGTTATGAAGTCTGTCCTAGAATAAGTTGTTGCTGTCAGAGAGATAAAAGACAGCCACATCCAGGGAAAAGACACAAAATGTGATTGTGGAAGCTAGAGAAAGAGAGTACTCTAAAAGATCCCAGCTTTTAAAATGGAAAAAAATAGCTCCACTCAGGCTAAGTAAGGAGCCTTTTACATACATGCAATCATTTGTTTTCTAAACTATTTTTAAAATGAATTAACCAGAGTCCTGGAGGTCAGCTGCTGATTAAAGAGATCACTACTTGTAAAAAGTGATTTTGTTTTGTTTTTTTGAGCAAAGAACTAAGAGTTCCTTACATCATAAAGACTGTCAGGAGAAAATATCCCAGTGAAGGAAAAAATGCATAAAGAAAATATTGGAACTGAGTGCTTCCATAAATTGAATATGTTTGCATTTGTTGAAGTTCATGAGATTTTGCAGAGTGACAGATAATTTAGAACTGTTTGTTCAAAGAAGAGAGGAGATTGTAAGATGTCCTCAAAATAATTCCATATGTTAACATGTTAGTTCTTGGAAAATTCAGAGTATGTTCTGTCACCTCGAAAACAATCCCACACTGGGCAATGGCCTCCCAGGGCATAAAAGAAACAGATGCCACTGGCAAAGCTGAACTGTTTATTTTTAAACATAGAGACCTAAAGATTGGTAAAAAAATAAACTAGACATTTGAATATTTTTTTCTCACCAAGGACTAGAAGTGTGCATGTTGGGGGGTTGGGGCATGCATAAAAATCAATCTGCATTTTCTAGGAGAAAAATTTCCCAAACCATATTGTAAAGGAAAGATAACTAGAAGTGGATGTTAGAGCCAAGAGAAATAGATCTAGTCCTGACTGCATCAATTAGATCTAGTCCTGACTGTATCAAATATGATCCACATACTTTTTAAAAAAAATAACATTTTTTTGAACAAAATTAGACTTTTAGAAAAGTTGCAAAAGCAATATGATATGATTTATATGTGTGTTCCTTCCAAATCTCACGTTGAAATGGGATTCCCAGTGTTGGAGGTGGGGCCTAGTGGGCGGTGAGTGGATCACAGGAGCGGATCCCTCATGAATGGTTTAACACCATCCCCTTGGTGATAAGTGAGTTATTGCACAGTTAGTTCGTGGGAGCTCTGGTTGTTTAAAAGTCTGAGACTGTACTCCTCACTCTCTTGCTCCCACTCTCGCCATGTGACATGCCTGCTCCTCCTTCACCTTCTGCTGTGATTGTAAGCTTCCCTGAGGCCCTCACCAGAAGCAGAGGCGGGCACCGTACTTTCTGTACAGCCTGCAGAGCCATGAGCCAATTACACCTCTTTTCTTTATAAATTACCCTGTCTCAGGTATTCCTTCTAGTAACAGAAATGGACCAATATACAATATAATTTTCATATACTCTTCACCCAGTTTTCCCAAATGTCATTTTAATACATTTGCTTTAAATCTGATCTGTCTGTCTAGCATCTTTTTTCTGAACTGTTGGAGAGTCAGACATAATGTTTCTTTTCCCCTGAACATTTATGTGTGGATTTCCTAAAAACAAGGACATTCTCTTACATAATCACAATAATAATTACTAAAATTAGGAGATGACTTAAGTTTTTTAAATTGTTTCACTGTTTTTTATAGCAAAAAAAAATCCAATCCTGGATCTAAATAAAAAATACACATTGCATACAGTTATCATACCTATTTAGTTTCTTTCAAAATGTGTATACTTTATACTTGATTTCCCTTGGCTTAATTTCTACAACTATAAAAGGGGTGTGGCAGGACTGGCTTTCTCCCTCTGCCAGTACCACCACACATATTCCATCATCTTCCACCCCTTTCTTGTAGACTGGTATATATCCACCTCCTTATGGGATACAAGGCAATATTATGTTTGTTTCTAATGAATCACATATAATATATAGCAGAGGATGGGGAGAGTAGCAGTGATAGTAAAGAGAAAAGAGGTTCTTAAGAAAGATTTTTCTTAAAAATCCCCTAATGATTATGAAAGAGGTGAATATAAGGAAGAGGGTAGACTTTGAGAGTAGAGAATGAAGGAGAAAGATCACTGAGTAACTCTTCTTGGGGGGCATGGTGGAACTGGATATTGTACAGAAAAGAGGAGCCACTTAAACTTAAACTTCCACTGTTCTGTGGATGTTTCATGGGTTGAAATTCTGAAGCAAATGATATGGACGGGAGACAGGGAAACAGGGAAATACTGGGTAGAAGAGGGCAGGGTCCCTGGCAAGGGCTCCACCCTAAAGCCTGGACCTGGAGCCCAAAGTGAGAACTATCTCTGTTTTCCCCACTGAATGTTGCCTTTTGGCCCATCCTGCCCCCATCTTATGCCCATAAAAACTCCAAACTCCAGACTCAGCAGACACACACGCACACGCACACACACACAAACACACACACACATACACACAGAAGAGAGAAGCTTCTGGACATTGAGAGGAGAAGCAGCAGCTGGATGTTGGAGACTATGGTCACAGAGGAGTTTGGCCCGGGATAGCCAGACTCCAGGGGAAGATTATCTTCCTGCTCCACTTCCTTTCTAGCCCTACCTTTTGCTGAGAGCTACTTCCACCACTAAAAGTCCTCCACATGCACCACCCTTCAATTTGTTCATATAACGTAATTCTTCCTACACACTGGACAAGAACTTGAGTACCATGAGGGGTACTGTACACCCAAGAGAGCAGGGTGTAAAAGGCTGTCACCCTGACCCTCCACTGAGCTGGTTAATACTTAACTGTCTGCGGATGGCAAATGTTAAAAAAGCACTGATTTAAACATACACCCTCTGGGGCTCCGTGGGTCACAGACAACCCCTCCAGGACGGCAAAGCTAAAAGAGCATTGTAACACGCTTGGACGCTGTTGTGGGGCCCACACAGAGCCTGCTTCCATCAGAGAGGAGGACCAGCCTGTTCCAGCATTCGTTTGCTCTGGTTCCTGCACCCGTCCGCTTGTGTACTCCCTCCCATAAGGGATTGAGTGTGGCAGCCGAATAAATGAGCCACCCCTTTCATGAGTCCTACAAAGGGGTCAAAGGAACTCTCCCATCTCACAAATACCTATTTTATATAATATATACAGCTCTGTGGGCTTCATGGCAGCACATAGCTGGCAAATGGTAAGGGTGTTATTACTGATTAACTTTACCAGCTCTCCTTTTCACTAGTGAAGAAGAGGACAATAGTATGGGGATAGTAAACACAAAGTGCTATACAAATGCAAGTGATTAATACTAATCAGTTAGTGAAAACTATTCAGATGCAATTATCTATCCATGGGGAATCATTCTAGACTGCAATGTTGTCCTCATACTTACATTCACTCAGTCACCAGGTTTTGTCAATTCTATCTCCTAAGAGTCACTCAAATTCAGCCAAATAGAACTTCAGCTTCCCACAAAGCTACAGCAACAGGGAGTAGTCTCACCCTTATCACTAAGACAACTAAAAACTCAACAAAATATAAATAATAGTTTTTAGACATTGGTCTGTGATCCCCCAAAGAGAGAAAACAAATAAAGTGAGCCGTGTCAGAGTCCCAGATTACTGCCCGGAGAAAACTTCCAGACCACAGTATAGGACAGGAGAACCTGGGCAGAACCCAGTGATCATCTGAATTGAAGAGACAGCTGGGAGCCTGGGGAGACCAAGGCAGTTAAAGTTCACAGGGCAGAGTGCCACAGAATAGTGAGCTGCACAGTGAAAAAGAGAGAGGAGAGAGAGAGAGAGACAGAGACAGAGAGAGACAGAGACAGAGAGAGAGAGAAGAGCTTTGAATATCTGCAGTAGGTTCTGCTCAAGTTTTCAGCAGAATACTAATCAGCACCTGAGTGTAAGAAAATGACACAAGGCCAAGAAAAAGACTACCTGAAATGAGCAGAGGAAACAATTTCCGGATCTTACACTTGAAATAATGTACAAACCATCCGGAGTACGAAACTTCGTAACTCACAGGGTAATGGATAAAGTGCTCAGAAAGTTATTGATTCAGTAATGGGACAGAATTAGCTCTAGAATGAAGTTTGTTATGTTGCTGCATAACAAAGCTTAAAAGAAAGCCTTGAAGGGATCAAACGATTTCAAGGAAACTTAACTATCATCCAGAACAAATCCCAAGAATCCTTATAAAAAATATCAAGTACAGTACAAAATAAAATTCACTATGTATGAAATCCAAAAAAATTACAAGGTTTGGAAAGAAGCAGAAAAATGCAATTCATTATAAGGAGAAAAACACATAGAGATCTCAAAATGAAACAGATGATAGAATTAATAGACAAGAACAATAAACGAAATAGTTATAATTGGCTGGACGTGGTGGCTCACTCCTGTAATCCCAGCAATTTGGGAGGCTGAGGCAGGCAGATCACCTGAGGTCAGGAGTTCGAGATCAGCTGGGCCAACATGGTGAAACCGCATCTTTATTAAAAATACAAAAATTAGCCGGGCATGTTGTCAGGCGCCTGTAATCCCAGCTGTTCGGGAGGCTGAGGCAGGAGAATCGCTTGAGCCTGGGAAGTGGAGGTTGCAGTTAAGTGAGATGGTGCCACTGCACTCCAGCATGGGTGACAAAAGCAAAATTCAGTCTCAAAAAACAAAAAAAGTTATAACTATAATTCCATGTATTCAACAAGGTAAAGACTTAAGCTTATTAAGTAGAGACATGAAGGACAGAAAACAGACTCAAACTGAGCATGTAAACATAAGAAATACAATATCTGAGATTAAAATATACTAGATAGATTTAACAGCAGATTAGATACTATGATACTACAGCAGAAGTATTAGTAAACTTGAAGATACAAAATAAAAATGATCTATAATGAAAAACAGAGAAAAAAGACTGGAAAAAAGTGAACAGAACACAGATGAGATGTGGGACAATTTCAAATGGCCTGTATGTGTGTATGGAAGAGAGGGAGGGGAGATAAAAGTTATTTGGAAAAACATCAAAAAGTTTTCCAAATTGATGTAAGCTCTAAGAAACTCAACAAACTCCAAGCACAAAAGACAAGAAAATGTACCAAGGTATATCATTAACAAGTTGCTTAAAAGCAATGAAGAAGAAAACATTTTAAAAATAGTCTGAGGAAGCAGACATATTATGTACAGAAAAAAAATGGTAAGAACAACAACACGTTTATCAGAAACAATGAAAGCCAGAAGAAAGTGGAGCATCTTTAAAGTATTAAAAACAAACCAACCAACCAACCTAGAATTCTACAACTGGTGAAGATATCTTTCAAAAAAGAAGGCAAGAAAACATTTTTGGGCATATAAAAGATGAAAGCATTCTTCATCAGCAGCACTGCACTACATAAAACACTCATGGAAATCTTTCAGGTAGAAAAAAAACTACCAAAGGAAAATAGGGATCTATGCGAAGAAATAAAGAGTATCAGAAATGGTAAATATGTGAGTGCATATATATATATTTTTAATTTAAAATCTCTTTGAGAGATAATCCACTAGTTAAAGCAACAATAATGTATTGTGGGGTTTATAACAATTAGAAGTAAAATGAAAGACAATCACAGCACAAAGGCTAGGAAAGGAGGAAACAGAATCATACCATTATAAAACTCTTATACTGAAAATTAGCCAAATTAACTTGCAACAATTTGAGAACTCTTTTTTTCAAGAAAAACAGCTGACTCAACCTTTCAGAATTCTAGAAATTAGTCAATTAGCTCACAACAATTTGAGAACCATTTTTGTTTTCAAAAAAAGCAGCTGAATCTCAGTAAGAATAATGAGGTTTTTGGCATTTTAACTTGCCTTATTCCCATCCTCCTCTCCTCAGCTCTGTGGTAGGCTTGAAAGGCAGCAACCTAGAACCACTGAAAGGGAAAGATTGGGTTTGAAGCTCCTAAATATGGATATTCCCAGAGAATTTGTCACTCTTTGACCTCTCTGGAAGCCCTCTGGAAAAGACACTGGGCTTGTCATTATTTTACCCACTCAGGGCTCTCTCAATGGGGAAAGCCGGATCCCTAGGGCATTTGTTGAAAACAATCAGTGACATTTATGTAATATTGCAGCTGCCTGAGGCTGCAGTACTAGTTGGTGCAAACAATAGACTGGTCAAAACACTGAAAAGGAAGGTCTGGGGAATGCAATGTCCATAGGTGGGTTAGGGGTGGGGTGGATTTTGTAAAGGTGCATTCCTTAGGATTTAGAATGCCATGCACATGTGCAGGACTATGTGAATGCCCAGTAAAGAATCAAAAAGGTCCAGCATCTCTCTACTCTGATGCTGAGGCTGTGTGCTAGCAGAAAGTGAAGGATAAGGCAAATTGCTGGAATGCTGAAGGTGTGCCCCAACAAACACATGGAATTCCTTGGCAAAGAGCTTAAGATTTATTGGTTTAGAGTATTTAAGAAAATATCTTTCTAAGTGCTAGCTGACCACTAAGCCAACCAGGAAAAGACTTCAGCATCTGTACATTGTGAGGAGTACAGACCTAAAGGCTTGGCACACACACACACACAAAAGCCTCTAAACACGCAAGTAGTAACAACAACGACAGCAACAATAAAATCCAGAAATAACACAAAATAACAATAAGAGACAATCCTGGGGGGTGGTGGTCTGGTTTCTAGAGTTGCCACATGATATTATTTAAAATTTCCAGTTTATGACAAAAATTATACAATATGCAAAGAAACATGAAATATGGCTCTTAAATAGGAAAAAAAAGCAGTCAATAGAAGCTGTCTTCAAAGAGGCTCAGATGTTGGACTTAAAGAACAAAGACTTTAAATCAGCTATTATGTTCAAAGAACTAAAGGAAATTATGCTTAAGTAATTAAAGAAAATTATGAGATCAATATCTTACCTAATAGAGAATATCAATAAAGGGATAGAAATAATAAAAAATAATTTGGAATTTTGGAGTTGAAAAGCACAATAACTCATAAAAAATATTCACTAGAGAAGTTTAACAGCAGATTTGAGTTGGCAGAAGCAAGAACCAGCAAACTTGAAGATAGGTCAATTGAGATTATGCTGTCTAATGAGCAGAAAGAAAAACGTAATGAAAAAAATTGAACAGAGCCCCAGATACTTATGGGACACTATCTAGCATATCTACATGGAATCCTAGAAAGAGAATAGAAAGAGAACAGGGTATAAAGAATACATGAAGAAATACATGAACAATAAATGGAGAAAGAATACATGAGGACCCCAAACTTCCTTAATGTGATTTTAAAAACACCATTAATCTATACATCCAAGAAACTCAATGAACTTCAAGTAGGATAAACTCAGTGACAGCCACACCTAAACTCATTAGTAAAACTGTTAAATGACAAGGACAAACACAAATCTTGAAAGCAGCAAGAAAAAACAACTTATTATGTATACTGAGTCTTCAATAAAATTAACAGCTGATTTCTCATTAAAAAAAAAAAATCACGCCCGTAATCCCAGCACTTTGGGAGGCCGAGCTGGGCGGATCACGAGGTCAGGAGATCAAGACCATCCTGGCTAACACGGTGAAACCCCTTCTCTACTAAAAATACAAAAAATTAGCCGGGTGTCATGGCGGGTGCCTGTAGTCCCGGCTACTGGGGAGGCTGAGGCAGGAGAATGGCGTGAATCTGAGAGGCGGAGCTTGCAGTGAGCGCAGATTGCGCCACTGCACTCCAACCTGGGCGACAGAGCGAGACTATGTCTAAAAAAAAAAAAAAAAAAAAAAAAATGGAGTCCAGAAGGCAGTGGGATGACATGTTGAAAGTGATGGGAAAAAAAAAGGCTACCAATAAGAAATTCTGTATATAATAAAACTATCCTTCAACAATGAAGGAAATATTAAGACATTTCTGATAAACAAAGAGTGATAGAATTCATTACTAGCAGACTTGCCCTACTAGAAAAATGATAGGAAATTTTTTCATCTTAAATGAAAGGACACAAAAGCACATGAAAAAATAAGGATCACAAATAATAAAGGTCAATATAAAATACATTATAAATGTACTTTTGTTTGTAGCTCTTCTCCTATCTGATTTCAAAAGACAACTGTATAAAGCAATAGTAATAAAGCTGTGTTGATGGGCTTATAATGTATGAAAATTTAACTGGATTGGCAAGAATGGCACAGAGAAGGGAGGAAGGACTAGAGGTGTATTGGAGCAAAGTTTGTGTATGCTATTGAAATTAAAGCGATATTAATATGAACAGGATTACTTATGTTAAGATGTTAATTTTCGTTTCTTGGGCAACCACTAGTAGAATAACTTAAAAAATAGTAAAAGAAACAATAAGTGAATTAATATGGTACACTAGAAAATATATAGTCAACACAGAAGAGTGCAGTAATAGATTAATTAAGGAACAAAAAATACGTAAGATATATACAAAACAAAGAGCAAAATAGCAGACATAAAAGTACCTTCTCATTATATCAAACTAAAAAGCTTCTGTACAACAACAATAACAACAACAACAACAACAACAAAACACCAACGGAGTAAAGAGACAATCTACAAAATGTGAAAAAATGTTTGCAAACCATACATCTGATAAGGGGTAAATATCCAAAATATACAAGGACTAAAAAATCTCAATAGCAAGAAAAAATATGATTAAAAAATGGGCAAGAGATCTGAATACACATTTTTCAAAAGAAGACATGCAAATAGCCAACAGGTATATAAAAATGCTCAACATCACTAGTCATTAGGGAAATGCAAATCAAAACCAGACAAAAGATAACAAATGTTGGCAAGAACGTGGAGAAAATAGAATCCTTACATACTTTGGTGGGAATGTAAATTAGTACAGCCATTATAGAAAACACTATACAGGGTCCTCAAAATTTAAATATAGAACTACCATATGATCTGACAATTCCAGAACTGGGTATCTTTCCAAAGGGAATAAAATCAGTATGTCGAATTTCCATGTTTATTGGAGCACTATTCACAGTAGCCAGGATATAGAATCAACCTAAGTGTTCACCAATGGATAAATAAAGAAAATATGGTATATAAACACAATGGAATACTATTCAGCCACAAAAAAGAATGAAATATTGTCATTTGCAACAGCATGGATGAACCTGGAAAACATTATGTTAAGTAAAATAATCCAGACACAGAAAGACCAATATCACATGATCTCAATTCATATGTGGAATCTAAAAAAACTGGTTTAGATGTGGAACATCTAAATGATATATCCTTTCTTCTAAGCTATATAACTATCTAAATTATATAATTTCATCTAAATTATATAACCATTACCAGAGGCTTAGGTGGTTAACAGAGGTTTGGGTGGCTCTTTCATTTCATTTCATATCAGAATTTCATTATTTTTTCTCTTAGATCTGTAGGACATATCCATTCCAATTTTCTTGGGCTCATTTTATAGAAGAGAATGTGCTAGTCATGACTAATAAGAAAAATAATTCTATATTTGGAATTAACTCATTTCCCTCTTCCTGCCAACTCATCTTGACTTGCTGGGGAATACTAAAAAGCTGGAGGGAGACACAGGAACCTGCCTTCCAGGGGACAATTAATTCCTGGTCTTTGATTCCTAAGCCTCTACCCATAATCAAAGGCAGGAACAACACTCTTGGGTGCTCCGAGCACCCCACACTTGCTCCACGGGTGAGTTCATGCTTTTCAAGGAGACTTTGTTAAGGCTCTTTGCCACGGTAGACACCATGAAAAATTTATCTCTTCAAATTTTCTCTTCCCTTCTTATGTTTTTCTTAATTACTCTAGCCATCCTCTCGCCAACACTCAGTACTTTTGCATAGCCCAGCTGGGTATCTCAGGCTCTCTGCTGAAGGTCCCTGTCATCTGCTGTTCTTTATGGTATCATATTCCCTGGAGACCTTTCCCTCTTTCATCAAAACTAACTGGTCCCAGCAATAAAAACAAAGATAAATAGCTGAGACTTTAAATTAAACTAAAGAGGTTTTGCACAGCAAAAGGAACAGTCAGCAGAGTAGAGACAACCCACAGAGTGGGAGAAAATCTTCACAATCTATACATCTGACAAATGACTGATATCCGGAATCTACAATGAACTCAAACAAATTAGCAAGAAAAAAATCAAACAATCTCATGAAAAAGTGGGCTAAGGACATGAATAGACAATTCTCGAAAGAAGATATATAAATGGCCAACAAACATAAGAAAAAATACTCAGCATCACTAGTGATCATGGAAATGCAAATCAAAACGATAATGTGATACCATCTTACTCCTGCAAGAATGGTCATAATCAAACAATCAAAAAATAGTAGATGTTGGTGTGGATGCAGTGAACAGGCAACACTTTTACACTGCTGGTGGGAATGTAAACTAGTACGACCACTGTGGAAATTCCTTAAAGAGCTAAAAAGTAAAACTACCATTGATCCAGCAATCCCACTACTGGGTATCTACCCAGAGGAAAAGAAGTCATTACATGAAAAAGGTACTTGCATACGCATGTTTATAGCAGCACAATTGCAGTTGCAAAAACGTGGAACCAACCCAAATGCCTATCAATCAACGAGTGGATAAAGAAACTACGGTATATACATACAATGGAATACTACTCAGCTATAAAAAAGAAAGAATTAATGGCATTTGCGGTAACCTGGATGAGGTTGGAGACTATTATTCCAAGTGAGGTAACTCAAGAATGGAAAACCAAACATCGTATGTTCTCACTCATAAGTGGGAGCTAAGTTATGAGGATGTAAGGACATAAGAATGACACAGTGGACTTTGGGGACTCAAGAGGAAAGGGTGGGAAAGGGGTGAGGGACAAAATACTACAAATTGGGTGCAGTGTTGAGGATGTTTCAGGGGAGGGAGGGGATGCTCGGATGGAAAGTGACTGGCCCCTGATAGACTGTTCATTGGATCTTATCCACTCAGCTGACAGTAAAGCCTCAGACTACCCAAGAGTCAGCTTGATGTCACTGAGTCAGGAGGCCTGGAGCTTGTCCCACTGTAAAAAGCTGATAATGTCTTCCCAATTCCTCTTTACTTCCTCATCTGGTTGAACTACATGATTGTACCATCCCTTCCATCTCTACATGACTATGTTTAAAGTAGCCCCAGATAGAGAACTTCCTCTTCTTGACCTTTCACTGACTGAGCCTTGTGGCTGCCATCACCCCCTGCTTGCAAACTCCATGCTGATTCAGTTTATTTGCTGGAAAAAAGGAATTTTGTTTATGATTAGGTGGATCATTCATGCTAGTTTGCCTGGGTCAGCCCTGGTTTATGCCTGTCATCCCAATATAATTAATAACAACACTCATTTTTTTTTTTGAGTGGAGTCTCGCTCTGTCACCCAGGCTGGAGTGCAGTGGAGTGATTGCAGCTCACTGCAAGCTCCGCCTCCTGGGTTCACGTCATTCTCCTGCCTCAGCCTCCTGAGTAGCTGGGACTACAGGTGCCCGCCACCACACCCAGTTAATTTTTTTTTGTATCTTTAGTAGAGACGGGTTTCACTGTGTTGGCCAGGATGGTCTGGATCTCCTGACCCCGTGATCTGTCCACCTCGGCCTTCCAAAGTGCTGGGATTACAGGTGTGAGCCACTGCACCCGGCCTCATTTTGCTTTCTAAATGTCTAGTTTGGATTATAACTTGTGTGGTCATCTTATCTAGATAAGCAGTGGCTAGGGTGGGTGGAAAAACTTAAGAATTATATACTGGTAGCTAAGTTGTCATTATTTTCATAGTTTAGAGGCTTCCATAATTTCTAAATAAGATGACAAAAGTGTATGTAATTAACTTTCCTTACCAAAGAAGGGCTCTCAGCACATAGTTATTGAAATGTATTTCTTGCATGTTTATGTATAAAGCTCCTGATTTGGAGTTAAGTTCAAGGTAAGTCCAATTACTATGCTCTGATAGAAATCCATTCCATTCTGGAGCCCCCCAAAGCTAGGCTCCTTCCTTGTTAGTGAAGTACAAACACATTCACTGTAGCTCCAGTAACCATCTCTTTCTTGGGACTCATGGTATTTAGTCTACAACTCAGTACGCAATAGGCTTTATTCCTGGAAAGAAGAAAAACAAGTCTCCAAAAAGTAAATAAAGCATTTCATTTGATTTTTGTCTAAAGGATCCAAAATTAAAACGCTAATTCCTGCCTTGGGAAGGAGGAGGTAGATATATCATTTGCTTTCAATACTAAGACTTCTAAGACCACAAGCAGGGAGGGAAAGATTGAAATAAAACCTGAACAGTCTTTTATCTGTCTGTGCATTTCTACCTTAGAGAAGATAGCAGAGCCTGGCTGAGTATTTTGAAAACCTGATTATTATCATGCTTTGCATGTGGTAGAAACTCACTATTCACCCAAACACACCAAGCTTTTTCTCACAGTACATTTTTGTTTAATGGAAGTTCAGCCTTATATTTATCACATTCCCCTACCCCTAGCCCCGGCACTTCTAAACACGAAGCCCAAAGTTGCCATTCTAGTGAATGCCTCACCTTTTTAAACCGATGCTGCTTTGTGAGTCATCAGCCTCTGACAGACCGTTCTAGGGTCTTGCAAGTTAGAATTAAATGCTAGTCTGAGAATCAGAGCACCTTGATTCAATTCTGCCTTGTTGGTGTTGAGCAGGATGTATGGTGGCCAAGAGGATGGACATAGAAGAGTGTACTCCTGGTTCTGCCCTTTATTGATGTGTTACCTCAGACATGGCACTTAACCTGATGTCACTGTGCCTGGGTTTCCTCATTTCTAAAATGGGGGTGACAATAGCCTCTATCTCATAGGGTGAGGCAGGAAGGAGTTCTTAGACATAAGGCATTTGAGGCAGAAATGCCTGGGAGAAAATAGGAGGAGCAAACACCCAGGGTCTATTACCTGACTCTTTACTTTTTATTTTTTTGTGGAGACTGGGTTTTGCCATGTTGCCCAGGCTAGTTTCGAACTCCTGGGCTCAAGTGGTCCTGTTCTCCTGCCTCAGCCTCCCAAACTGCAGGGATTACAAGCATGAGCCACTGCACCTGGCCTAATACCTGACTCTTTTTAGGTCTCTTTTCTACATCAAGTCTCCTGGCTCCCCCCACCTCCCTAGTAGACAGAGACATTTCTTTTGGGCTTTTCTTGAATTGGGATCACACTGGTTGGCATTTATTTATATATTTCCTTCTCTTAAAAGAATGTGACTTTAGATGCTGATCATATATTCCTTGAATAGCTGGATGAATTAATATGTGATAAAAGAGTTGAAATGGATAATTCCCTGGGAGTCCCGCAGAACCACCGTGGGATGAGTCAAATGGCTGGGATTGTGCTCTAGTCCATTTGTTCCAGATACTTGTAGATATGGCTGCAATGTAAGGAAAAAAGAAAGCATTTTATGCAAGGTCCATTCTGTAACAGCGTCCTGGAGCAGGAGCTTTTCAAACTTTTTTTAAACTATAGAATATTTTCTTCAAGGGAAATCTGGTGAGGAATCAATCATACACTCACAGATAAAAGCCAAGAGGCCCTCTCTGAGATAGCCTGGGAGGCAGAACCCCACAGCTTGACCCTCATTCTCCTGGTGAGATTTCACTGAGCAGATCTCTGTGAAATACTATTTACAAATCAATGATCTGAGCAGGGATTTTATCACCATGATTAGTTGAGCTCAGGAGTTCTTGGAAAGGGCATCTCAGTAGCACTGAGGGGGTGAGAAAACAGGAGGCCAGTGGTTGGCAGCAGGTCTGGATCTCTCCTTCACCCACCACCTCAGCTGTGGGTCAATCCTGCCTCTGTTGTGATCTACTGATCGTTTGTAAGGATGTAACTTGAAGAAAAGAGTCAACAGCTTAAAGACATTTGAAAAGCACCAGCCTGGAGAGATGAAACAATCACTTGGAAATTGTCATTGGAAAATTCACTCAAGTACTTATAAACTAGGTTATGTTTTTTCCCACGGGATACTTTGCATTGAGAAGTGGTTCCTTCAGGAGAAATTTGTGGTATCATTGGAAGTTGAGGTCTTAGAAAGAGCACTGGAATGTCTAGTTTCCAGTCCTAGCCTTGGTATGGATTATATTTGCCGAAGTCTCCTGTTGGTTGTATACATATCGTTGAACTTTCCCAGTGGTGGTGTGAAGCACAAGTAAATGAAATACTGGTTGGGAAAGGACTTTGTGTTTGTTCAGGTCTTGGAGCAGCAGCCACCTAGATAGATTCAACTTGTAAGAGATGGGGGAAATGCCTATAAGGGGAAAAAGGGAGAGAGTTGAAGCAGGGGTGGAGAACCGTGAGCCTGAGATTCAGGTCTGACCCTTGTGAAAGAGAGGAGCAGGAAGAGTCTTGGCCTGCAGCTCAGTCCTAGGAAGGTTTTGGCCAGCTGCTGGGGAGCCCTGCAGTCAGCTGCTCATCAGAGGAGTCTTGCATCTTGCCCAGAACGAGCCGGCCTTATTCCTCCTGCTGCGTGCAGTCAGGGGCTAGGGGCAGCCAGTGGGAAGTGCAGCCTGTGCGTGGGTGCAGAGGGGCATGGCTGAACCTGCCAGTCACATTCCTGCAGCAGGAGATGTGAGTGGCACACTTTTATGGCCACCACAGGCTTGCACACTATTTCCTGATAATTTGTCCTAGACATATTATACTCCAAAGCAATAATTCCTGAAAGTTAGGCTAGACAGTGGTGAAATTAAAAAACAAACTAAAAACCAAAACAAACCAAAAAATAAAAAGCAGTCATAATGAGTTTTCCACAGAACTAAACTTACTAAAACAACTATTCTTTATTCTTAGATTATGTCCCTTCCCTACCTTTTAGAGGGACATTAAAATATCCTTTTATTTTTAATGAAATGAAAGTGATGCTAGAGAGTAGTGATATTTTTAATATTCACAACTTGGAAGATTTAAAACTGTGCATTGTCTTGGAGGTCCCAAGACAATCTTATTGGATAGGTCAAAAAGACAAGGACTCACAGCTCTAGGATAATTGTAAAACAAACAGCACAGTTCAAAGGAAAAAGGTTTATTGTTAATAGTTTTTTTTCTTCTCAGAAATAAGAGGAAAATATTCAGTATGAGACATTCCTATTCATTATTGCCTGATGCTGTCTGGGTTCCCAGAACTTCCAGAGGTGTAGAAAATCTGGAGGGGCTGTATTTAGTTTGTCCCAAAGTTCGCTTGACTCGGGCTCTTTGCTTCTGTACTACCCTCTAGCTCATTCCCTCTGGCCAGTCTCTGTTCCTTACAGAATCCTACTCTGGCTCCGCAGAGGACAACCGGCGAGTATAGACAAAGACAGTCTCAGGAAAAATGGAGAGTCCAGTCCCTTCATATTACAGATCAAATTGCTAATTCTCCTTTTGGGAGAAGAGAAAAGGTGGACTTTCTTTGGATTAGGGGCTGAAATGATTCAGACTGACCTCATTTCTCCACTTTGCTTTGCATGCACAGCTATCGACACTGAAACCACCAGGGAGGAGGCAACGCAGAGCAGCGTGTTTGCCACTGGCACAAAACTTGCCAAGGAGATCTAACGAAAGCATGATTTTACAAATAACGACATTCTTTTACTATGCCTGCAGCACTGGATCACAGAAAAGTACAAAAAAAATTATACTCAGGGATATTATTTTATATCTCAAAGGCAGCAAAACAGCAAGTTCTTCTAAGTATGCAGGTACTCAGCAAGCCCGGGCAAATTTCTGCTTGAGCTGGGGGGAAGAAAATCAAACAGCCTCTGCTCTTATAAATCCACGTATCTGTATTTTAACATGACAGCATTACCGAGAACTAGTAATTAGCTGGAAGTATATGGTCAAAATAAAATAGATTCAAGCCAACCAGCTCCCATAAATTCATTTAGTCAATTTCAGATTTTGCGATAATAAATTGCTTATGCAAAGTTGCTCATAATAAATCAAAGTAAAAGATGGCTTGAGGACATCTTGTCAGACTTTAATCATTGTAGATTAATTACGTTTTTCAGAAACAAAACACATTAGTTGCGATGTTTCCAAGCTCGGCAACGCCCGGCTGGTGTGTCAAAAGGAAGATTGGTTTAGGCAGGTAGATGTTTTCAGGTTTCTTGTGGTTGAATGGTTGCCAGGCTCCAGTTCTTAGTAAATAGAAATTCTGATTTGTGAGGCCAACATTGCTCTACCGGGAGGGAGGCACTGACAGATACCGTCAACAGGTAAGTTTATGTAGAGATGCAGAAAGTCGTTAGGGGAATACCTCTAAGTGTTTACCTACAAAATTTTACTTGGCACTGCCAAGCTGCTAGTCTTTGAATATTTCTGGGCTGGGCAGAATACTATGAATTTTTTGGATGGTATAGCTTGGATACCGTGAGTTTTCTCTTTCCTACTAAGTTGGTGGGAAGAAGATGGGACATCAGAGATAAATTTAGAAAGCTGCATCTCAAAGGCACATTTAAGTATCCATGACTGATAAGGTGTAAACTGACCACAGATTAACAGTATTAAACAAGTAAGTTATTTAGGAACATGATTTGAATATGTGCTGTTTTTCACTATTTCTCAAAAAAAATATGTGAAGAGGTTACGAGCAATTTAAAGAAAGTACTCCTATATAAAGCACCTAGCTTACATGTGAAACTTGTTGCCCAGAGAATTAGGAAGGTAAGAGAGTATAAACAAACTAGAGTAAGGTTTAGATTCACATTATGAATAACAAAAAGTTTCTGAACACTCAGATTCATCTCTAACTTTTTAAGGGGTCCAAAAACATCAGACCACGGAGGAGAAGATGGGAAGCAAGGTGAGGCTGTGCAGGGTGAAGGAGAAATGCACGACAGTATGGCATTTCCCCAAACATGTCTTTCTGTGTCCAGACAAAGGCACAAATACAAGACTGGGAAGACCACTGATTTCATGGAACCTCAGTGATTATTATCCTTACAGAGTGGGCAAGTGCAAGCACTTCCTTTAGCCCAGGGATTCTTAACTCTTGGACTGTGGGTTGAATGCAGGAGATGATGGAGGAGAGTGTGGCCTATGAACTTAAATGGGAAAAATTTACAAGTTTTTTTCACAGCTTCTTACTGAAATTTAACTTTTTCTTACATTATGAATGTAGGCAACAAACCACAGTAGAATTAGCAGTAGTTCAGCAATAGAAATAAAAAAATTCATATCATATTTCAGTACTTGCAGGCATTTTGAATTGTCATTTATACTCATCATTCTTCAAAATCACAGTAGGTAATAGGTCTGTCACTAGATCATGTATTTGATGCATTAATGATAACACACATATTAGTATGTGGCAAGTTTGATATTTTACTATTTTGATAACTGTGTTTCAATATACTTCCTGTTTGATCTCAATATTTTGATAACTGTATTCCAATAGCATGTATTCCCTTTGTAATGTTACATCTTTTATGTAGCTATGCTTCACCAGTCTGCCAAAGGCTTCCATGATACAAACCAATTAAAAACTCCTGCCTGTGGGGAAATCATGAGGATTGATTTACCTCTATATTAGTCATTAACTAATTTTGAAAGAATTTGATTGTTTTTAGAATAGTTTTAGATTTACAGAAGAATTGCCAAGGTACAGAGAATTTCCATACACCCAGCATCCAGTTACATCTATAAATAACATCTGATATTAGTATGGTATATTTGTTACAATTAATGAACCAGTTATGACACATTATTGTTAACTAAAGTCCATACTTGATTTAGCTTCTCTTAGTTTTTGTCTAATGTCTTTCTTCTATTCCAGATCTCATCCAGGATGCCACATTACCTTTAGCCATCATGTCTCCTCAGACTCCTCTTGGCTATGAATCAACTCATTTTTGACCTAAGTTGTTTAATGTTTTGGTTCTCATTTTCCAATTCTAATTTCCATCTATGCTACACCAGCAAATAGACATATTTCAGATCTTTCAAGTTAACACCTCCACCATTTTCAGTAGGGGAGTTTTATTTAGTTGACAGTCTTCTGTACCAGGTCCAGGTAAGTGGTAGGTAGATCTGTTTCAAACATGCTCTGCCCTCCTGTAGGTGGTAGAGACACATACCTGTTACAACTTCATGTTGTTACTGACCCTTACAGCCATTCCTTGATTTGGAGCAACTTTCCATCTTAAATACCTTGACATATATATAAACAGTGGCTAATAGGTGAAAATACTGCAAGAAAGAAACTTTTATGATAAGAATCACTCAACTTAATTCTACAATGCATAAAGCTTACATTGGGCAGTCAGCAATGGTTGCCACCATCAGCTTGTAAATATCCTTTGAAGTAAATCCTATTTGATAGATTCAACAGATAATATACTAAGAATTGTGCTATATCATTGTATCCAGATGTCAGGGTCAATTTAGAGAGAAGGTGTTACTCATCAGAGCCACTCCTCTTTCTCCCTCCCTCTCTCAGAAAAATGACTTCTTATCTTCAACATTTTATATTTATCTGATCTTTGGTTCAGCACAGTTATGGAAATATCATTTATGATTGTGAATTTCTGTGAATGTGAAGATTATCTCAAAAGAAAGAGTTGCTTATTGAGGCTATCTATCAATCATATATTAATCTATCATTCATCCATCCATCCCATCCATTTATCCATCCATCCATCCATCCATCCATCCATCCATCCATCCATCCATTCATCTATCCATCCATGCAACATGAGGATATGACAATTTCACCTTTGTAAAGCACCTAAGATGAGTAGAAGACAGGGAGTTAGCTAATAGTGCTATGAAGGTGAAGTCTAAGTTGAGGGATGAGATATCAACTGAAGGAGAATTTATCTGTAATAGTAAGTGGGCCAGTCATTTGCTTATTTTCTCTCAGATCCATTCTTAACCCTTCTCTAGCCTTGCTTAGCATCACAGATAATTACATTTCCCAGGATCCATTGCAAATCGACTTTCTCCTAAGATCAGCCAATGGGAGCTCTGGTGGGAGCTTAGAGGAAGGGAGGTAAGAATAAATCATGATATATCAAATCTTCCTACCTCCCTCTCTACACACACACACATACACACACACACACACACACACACACACCTCTTTGCCACAAGCAGCAAAGCAGCATCTCTGACAGGAGCTTCATCTCTTCTATGACTCTTGCTTCTGCTAGGTAGACTCACCCCTCATGGTCCCAGCTCCTGCAGAGCAGACCCTCCCCTGCAGGTAAAAATTTGCCAGGCAGCCCTGTCTGCTGGGCTCCAGTAATACCGCCTCATCCCCCTCTCCCCCCTTTTTTTTAACGTCTGGTTTTTTTTTTTTTAAAAAAGGTCGAAATAGACTTTTTTGCTGTTGCTAATCATCTCTGGGTTGGTTGCCTCATCTCTGTTTAGCTTCTCAGCTCTTTCATCACCTATGTAACCCTAAAATATCTAAACCCTCTATCTAAATTCCATGTTTAAAATATGTAGAGCAATATACTAAGTATAAACCATTTATTATGGCAGATGGTCCTGGGCATACAGGATAGGACTCCCAACATGGGAGAGGCGCCCAATAGCTGGGAGCTATAGTCCAGGTTTCTGGCTGTCACTGTCATTCATCATGATTGTAACCACTTAAGTGGATGAAAGAGTCAGGTCAGCTGCCCTGAAATGGAGCAGCTCCTCAGAAAACTTTCACCTCTGTTTGGAGTTCCATGAGAAGTATCTCAGCTGCCTGATTCTCCCTTGTCAATAAGCCCACAGCTGGCCGGCCCTATACAACTGTTTGAGAAGATGCCTTTTCAAGTGCAAGCCAGCCAGCACCAGTTCCTTTTCTCCTCCATCTACTTTCTGTTCCCAAAGCCTAGAGTAGTGGGAGGAAGAAGTAATAAAGCAGCTGAAATAAGCTCAAAGTCTCTGTTTTTATATCATGTGGCCTTAAGACAAGGAGAACCTTGACTAGGGGATTAGAATCTTATTCAAATCTAATGTGAATGTGTATCCATTCCCTTTGGTATACAGAAAAAGCATTGTTTGTTGAAGCCAATGCTAAATGATGTTTACTTGAAAGTAGACAGGAGAGGAACAAGCAATGATTCCTCCTGTAAGTCATATGGGCATGGATTTACATTAGCTGCATGCCAGAGATGGGGAGGTGGGTACCCACAGGTACACCAAGCAGCTTTAGTGAGGAATTGAATGGCAACATTTATACTCATTATACTAAATGATTTCCCTTATTTCTATAGCAATTGAATCCCTCTCTCCCTTTTACTCCTCATTCCCAGGCTCCCACTGCATGGTCTGCGTGTTGAGGGGGTTGGGGGAAAGGCAGGCATAGAGGGAGAAGATGACGGGAAAGATGAAAGGAATGTAACTAAAAAAAAATCTACTTTAGGAAGGACACGATAGAGCTTATTTCTTCCCAAATCTGGGTCCTTGTTTTCACTTCCCTCTTACAGTACATTCCATTCTTTTTCCTTCCCTGCCCACCTTGCACCCATTTTCTAATGCTTCTAATGACCTCAGGAGTAACGAAGAATCTTCCTGTGCCTCCTCATTCCTAGTAAACAGCAAACCTATAGAGTTTGCTTCTAGGTCTTGTGGTAGTTGCCAAGATGAGGTATCATGTGGTCAGAGCATTTTCCAAGTGAATTGAGAATTGGAGGCAATTCAATTTTTTCCCATGAAAAAGTCCATTAACTTTCCAGGGAGAAGGCATAGGAGTACTCCTGCTTATTCACTTTTTGGGGCAAGGGTGATCTCCTAGGTAAGATTTTTAGTACTGGGTCCTTCTTGGATGGTTTACTGGATGCTTGGTGAGGAATTAAAAGAAAAAAAAGGACCTGAGGTCTTCTCCCCTGCTTTCCATCTAATTCCTTCCCATTCTTTCCCTGCAGGTTAGCACTGGGCTTTTCCAGCTCTAAACTCACGAGGGCTTGAACTCAAGCACTTATTAGGCCTTAACTTCTTATGTGTTTTATTTGTTCCACTAGTTCTTCCCAAAGCAAGAAAGTGTTCAGTAAATATGTACTGCATAATTGATTGGTGGCCTAGCCTTTAAGGAATGTAGTTTAGGACACAGATCACATCTGGCAAAGATTGACTTTGTTCAGTAGGCATGAGTTTTTTAAAAATTTCTTTTTTTTGTTTAAGTATGATTTGGCTTTTCCTATGAATTTGAGTTCTTTTAGGCAGTATGCATGCTCCAGTTTGACCACAGTTTTCTCTCATTCCACCCACCCCCAAAATTTCCTACTATCCCATAGTAGTATAAAATGCTTTACTCATTTCTGTAACCTGCCTGGCCCCATGCAGTCTTTTGTTTTTGATCCCTTTGGTCATATTCCCTTTAGTAATTCTATGTGTTTTAGAGGTTATTGAATAAAATTCTAAGTTGTGTGTTGCTAATAAATGTCACACACCCAGAGAAGGTCTTGGTGTGGGCCAGGGAAGAGAGAAGGTAAAGCTGGGCTAGCTTTTTGGTCTATTTTTACTGTGTCTTGTCTTCCCAACTAGCATATGAGTGCTTAGGATATATACCATCTATTTGTCATTTTGTATTTATAATTCTTTTACTTCTTTCCCATATAGTAGAGGTTCAATGTAATATGTTTTATAAATTGTCCTTGCTATTTTTTAAAGACGAACTTTATTTTTTGGTGCAGTTTTAGGTTAACAGAAAAATTGAGTAGAAGGTACAGGGATTTTCCATAACTTCCTTACCATAATTACGCATAGCTTCTCGCACTATCAAAATTCCACACTAGAGTGATATTTTTATTATAATCAATGAACCTGCATTGATACCCCATTATCATCCAATGTCCATAGTTTACATTAGAGTTCACTTTGGTGTTGTACATTCTATGGCTATTGACAAATGGATAATGATATGTATCCACCATTGCAGTATCATGCAAAGTAGTTTCACTGCCCTAAAAAGCCATTGTACTCTGCTTATTCTTCCTTCTTTCTGCCCTAACTCCAGGCAATCACTGATCCTTTTACTATCTCCACAGTTTTGCCTTTTCTAGAATGTCATATGGTTGGTATCACACAGTATGTAGCCTTTTCAGATTGGCATTTAGTTTCCTCCATGTCTTTATGGCTCATTTCTTTTACTGCTGAATAATATCCCATATCCCAGATATACTAAAGTTTATTTATTTATTATTTATCCATTCATGTACCAAAGGACATTGTGGTTGTATCTAAGTTTGGGCAATTATGGATAAAACACTATACGCATTTGTGTGCACGTTTTTGTGTGGACTGAAGTTTTCAACTCATTTTGGTAAATACCAAGAAGCACAATGGCTAGTTTGTAACATAAGAGAATGTTTAGGTTTTTTTTTTTTTTTAAGAAACCAACAAACTGTCTTCTAAATTGGCTATACCATTTTGCATTCCTACCAGCAGTTAATGAGAACTCCTGTTACTCTACACCCTGACTAATTTAGTGTTGTCATTGTTCTGGACAGCCAGAACACAAGTCATTTTAATAGGTATGTAGTAGTATCTTCTTGTTTTAATTTTTAATTCCCTAATGACATATGATGTTGAACATTTTTTCATATGCTTACCTGGCATCTGTATATCTTCTTTGATAAGGTGTCTGTTCATGCCTTTTGCCCATTTAAAAATCAGGTTCATTTTCTCATTGTTGAGCTTTAACAGTGCTATACTTTGGTTTATTTGACCCTTCCAAATCTCATGCTGAATTGATCCCCAATGTTGAAAGTGGGGCCTAATGAGAGATGTTTGGATCATGAGGACGGATCCCTCATGAATGTCTTGATGCTGTCCTCACAGGAATGAGTGAGTTCTTGCTCTACTAGTTGCCATGAGTGCTGGTTGTTAAAAAGACTCTAGCACCTCCCCTCTTCTCTCTTGCCTCCTCTTTCAGCATGTGATCTCTGCACATGCTGGCTCCCTTTGGTCTTCTGCCATGGGTGAAAGTAGCCTGAGATTCTCACCAGAAGCAGATGCTGGTGCTATGCTTCACAGTATGTACAGCCTGCAGAAATGCAAGCCAAACAAACTTTTTTTATAAAGTTCATAAATCACCCAGTCTTAAGCATTCCTTTATAGCAACACAAATGAACTAGGACAGTTACTTTGGTATATTTTGGATACCAGCTCTTTATCAGACATATCTTTCACAAATATTTTCTTCAGGTCAATGACTTGTTATTCTCTTGACAGTATCTCTTGCAGAGAAGAAGATTTTAATTTTAATAAAGTCTAGCTTTTCAATAATTTATTTGATCAATCATGGATTTGGTGTTATATCTAAAAAGTCATCACTATGCCTTAAGTCATCTAGGTTTTTTCCCACCAAAGCTAAACAGTTGTCCAAATGTATGATCTATTTCTAAACTCTATTCTCTTTCATTGGTCTAGATCAATTTATCTATTAATATCTTGATGCCAACACTACAAGTGTTTCAATTATTGCAGCTTTATTACATTTATTAATATATCCATTATTTATTAATGAAATATCAATTATTATTATTATTTTAATTATATCTTATTTTAGATTCAACAGTATTGTGCATGTGTGTTACATGGGTATATTGCATACTGGTGGGGATTGGGTTTCTAGAGTACCCATTACCCAAATAGTGAACATTGTACCCAATGGGTAATTTTTCAACTCTTGTCTCTCACAAAACCCCTCCCCCATTTTGAAGTTCCCAGTGTCTATTATTCCCATCTTTATGTCCATGTGTACCCATTGCTGAGCTCCCACTTATAAGTGAGAACATGGAGTATTAATTTTCTGTTTCTGAGTTAGTTCACTTACAATAATGGCCTTCAGCTCCATCCATGTTGCTGCAAAGAATATGATTTAATTTTCTTTAACCAATGATATTGGTAATTTGATAGAGATTGCATTGATTCTGTAGATTGCTTTGGGCAGTATGGATATTTTATATGGTACTATGTGGTATTCCATGGTATATATATACCACACATTTTATTTTTCCAGTCAACTGTCGATGGACACTTAGGTAGGTTCCATGATTTTGCTTTTGTGAATCATAATTATATATTTTTTGGATTTGGTCACACTAGTGCAGGTCTCTTTGTATAATGACTTTGTCTTCCTCTGGGTAGATACCTAGCAGGGGGGTTGCTGGGTCAAATGGTAGTTCTGTTTTTAGTTTTTGGAGAAATATTTTTGAGAAATATGCATATTGTTTTCCACAGAGGTTGAACTAATTTACAGCCCCACCAACAGTGTACAAGCATTCCCTTTTCTCCACATCCATGCCAATGTCTGTTGTTTTTTTGACTCTGTAATAATAGCTATTCCGACTGGTGTAAGATGATATCTTGTTTTTGAGTTCCTTGTCGATTCTGGATACTAGTCCTTTGTCAGAGTGATAATTTGCAAATATTTTCTCCCATTCTGTAGGTCATCTTTTACTCTGTTGATTATTTCTTTTGCTGTGCAGAAGCTTTTTAGTTTAAGTAAGTCCCATTTGTCTATTTTTGTTTTTGTTGCATTTGCTTTTGGGGGCTTCATCATAAATTCTTTGTCTAGGCCAATGTCCAGAAGAGTTTTCCTAGATTTTCTTCTCAATTTTTAATAGTTTCACGTCTTACATTTAAGTCTAATTCATGTTAAGTTAATTTTTTTTATGTCATAAGAGATAGGGATCTAGTTTCATTCTTCTGTGTATGGCTAGCCAATTTTCACAGCACCATTTATTGAATAGAGTGTTCTTTCCCCCATTGCTTATTTTTGTTGACTTGGTTGAGGTGCGTAGGTATGTAGCTTTATTTCTGGGGTTCTCTATTCTGATCCATGTCTATTTTTGTTCCAGTACCATGCTGTTTTAGTTACTACAGCCTTTTAGTATAATTTGAAGTCAGGCAATTTGATTTCTCCAGATTGTTCTTTTTGCTTAGAATTGCTTGGGCTATTTGGGCTCTTTTTTGGTTACATATGACATTTAGCATTTTTTCTAATTCTGTGAAAAATGATACTGGCAATTTGATAGAAATTGCATTGATTCTGTAGATTGCTTTGGGCAGTATGGATATTTTAACAATATTGATTCTTCCAGTCCATGAGCATGGGATGTTTTTCCATTTGTTTGTGTCATCTATGATTTCTTTCAGCAGTGTCTTGTAGTTCTCCTTGCAGAGATCTTTCACCTCCTTGGTTAAATGTATTCCTAGGCATTTTATTTTTTGGTGGCTATTATAAATGGCATTGCGTTATTGATTTCATTCTCAGCTCGAATGTTTTTGTTGTAGAGACATGCTACTGATTTTTGTACATGGATTTTGTATCCAGAAACTCGACTGAAGTCATTTATCAAGTTTAGGGTCTTATGGAAGAATCTTTAGGGTTTTCTAGGTATATGATCATGTTATCAGTGAACAGAGATAACTTGACTTTCTCTTTTCTAACTTGGATGTCTTTTATTTCTTTCTCTTGCCTGACTGTTCTGGCTAGGACTTCAGTACTATGTTGAATAGGAGTGGTGGGAATGGACATCCTTGTCTTGGTCCAGTTCTAAGGGGGAATGTTTTCAACTTTTCCCCATTCAGTATGATGTTAGTTACGGGCTTGTCATATATGGCTCTTATTATTTTGAGGTATGTTTCTTTGATGCCTAATTTGTTGAGGGCTTTCATTATGAAGGGATGTTGGATTTTACTGACTGCCTTTTCTGTATATATTGAGATGATCATATGGTTTTTGTTTTTAGTTCTGTTTATACAGTGAATCACATTTATTGATTTGTGTATGTTGAAACATTATTTCATCTCTGGAGCAAAACCTGCTTGATTGTGATATATTCTCTTTTTGATGTGCTGTTGGATTCAGTTTGCTAGTATTTTGTTGAGGATTTTTGCATCTTTATTCATCATGGATAATGGCTTGTAGTTTTCTGTTGTCATTGTTGTGTCCTTGCCTGATTTGGGAATTTAAATATTTATTATTGAAATCAGCTAGTATTGGAACTTCAACTGTTTTCAAAGTAGTTTTTGACTACTCTGGATCCTTCGCATTTCTGTATTAATTTTAGAATCAGTTTATCAATTTATACAAAAAGCCTGCTGGCCTTTTGATTGGGATTGCTTTGAACATATAGATTAATTTGAAAAAACTGATAACAATAACTTAACTGATATTGTAACAACTTTAGACTCATGAACAAAATATATTTAGGTTTTCTATTTAGGTTTTCAATTCTCATGACAATGTTTTATAGTTTCAGCATACAAATCTTGCCTAATATTGGTTAGATTTATACCTAAATATTTTGTATTATTATATTGTTATAAACAGCAACCTTTAAATTTAAACCTCAAATTGTTCATGAATAGTATATAGAAGTACAATTGATATTTATATATTGATTATGTATCCAGCAATCTTGTTAAATTAATTTACTAGTTCTAGTAGGTTTCTGTAGATTACATTGGACTGTCTATATAGATAATAATTTTCAGCAAATAAAGAATTTTACTCTACCTTTCAATGAGGATGATTTTTTTCTCTTATTGCACTCACAATAAATTGTTATCAACTTACAAGAAATTGTTAACAATGTGTGAATCTACATATATGAGGGATATAGCATAAGTTTCATATGTTAAAACATCATTTTCATTTTGTTATAATGAAGTTTCATTTTGTTATAATGTCTTATTTGGTTTTGATATTATGACAATGCTAGCTTCATAGAATGATTTAGGAAATATTCGCTTTTCTGAATGTTTTTAGAAGAGTTAGTGTGGAACTGCTATTATTTCTTCCATAAAAGATTGGTTGAATTCTCTAGTGAAGTCTTTGGGGCTTGGAGGTTTATTTTTTTTTATTTTTTATTTTTTATTTTTTTTTCTGGGAAGGTTTTTAACTACAAATTCAATTTCCTTAATAGATATGAGCTACTCGGGTTGTCTATTTTTTCTTACTTAAGCTTTGCTAGTTTGAGCTTTCAGATAATTTGTCTATTTCATCTATGTGTATAATTCATTGACATAAAGTTGTTCGTATTCCTTTACATTTTTAATGTCAGCCTCTCATTATCCAAGTTGGTAATTTGTGCCATCTTTCTTTTATCCTGGTCAGTCTGGCTAAAGTTTTTTATTTATTTTATTGGTCTTCTTATAGAACCAGCTTTTGGTTTCATTGATATTCTCTATTGTTTTTCTCTTAATTCATTTCTATTCTAATCTTTATTATTCCTTTCTTCTGTTTAGCTTTAGTAGGTTTGTTTTCTAGTTTTCTAAGGTGGAAACTGATATTATTGATTTGGGACCTTTCTTACATTCTACCATGGACATTTAGTTCTATAAATTCCCTCTCTAAATAGATGCTTTAGCTACATGCCATAGTTGTATTTTTTACTGCTATTGAGTTCAAAATACTATCTAATTTCTCTTTTGATTTCTTTTCTGATTGATGGGTCAAATAATGGTGTTACTAGGTTCTAAATATTAGAGGATTTTCTGGATTCCTTTCTTTTATTGATATCTAATTTATTTCACTTGTGGTCAGACAGCATACTTTGTATGACTTGAACCTTTGCCTTTTAATTAATTGTTTTTATTGAATTTTTTATAATTCAATTTTATCCCTCGTTGGGTCATTAGCTATAACTGATTCATCATATTAGTAGTTGCTTTAGGGTTTATAGCACACATCTTTAAACTACTACAATTTACCTTCAAGTGAGATTATAATATTTCGCATATAACATTCAATAGCACACATTCATTTCTCTCCTTCTGGCTTAAATGCTATTTTTTTTACACATCTTATTTGTTGTATGTATATATCCCACAATACAGTGTTATCATTGTGCTTAATAAGATATGAAAATTAAACAAATATTATATATTTACCATGTCATTTCTATTTCTGATTATCTTCATTCCTTTGTGTAATTCCAGATTTCTATCCAGTATCATTTTCTATTATCTGAAGTTCGGTTGTGATAAATATTTATTTTAAAAGATAGTTTTGCTGGGTATAAACTTGTAGCTTGATTTTTTTTTTATTTTTCCTTTCAGTACTTTAAAGATGCAGCTCTACCATCTTTTTACTTGTGCTTTTTTCCACTGAGAAACTTGTCGACATCCTTTTCTGTGTTTCTCCACATATAATGTGTTATTTTTTTTCTCTGATTGCATTTAGGAGTTTTTCTTTATCACAATTTTTCTCAATGGTTTTAAGCAATTTGGTTATTATTTGTCTTGGTATAGTTTTCTTCACGTATCTTGGGCTTGGGGTTTATGGAGTTTTTTGATCCATGGGTTTATAGTTTCATCGTTATTTCTTCAACTATCTTTTGCGCCTTATCCACCTTCCTTTGGGGACTCTAGTTATACATATAACAGGCTGCTTGAATTTGTCGTACATCTCACTGATGCTCTCTTTATTAAAATTTAAAAAAATTTATCTGTGTTTCATTTGGTTAGTTTCCATTATTTTGCCTTCAACTTCATTCATCTTTTTTTCTACTAAAATGTATCTCTCAACATTTGATTTGATTTTTAAAAAAACTTTCATCTCTGATTAATTTATTGAAAATATATAGTTATAACAATAACTATATTAATGCCCCATCTGCTAAGTCTAACATCTGTGTCACTGCTAGTTGGCATCAATTGGTTGATTTTTGTGCTGGTGTGAGATATATTTTCTTGCTTCTTTGTATGCCTTGTAATCTCTTTTTTTTTCCTTTGGAGACAGAGTCTCACTCTATTGCCCAGACTGGAGTGCAGTGGTATGATCTCGGCTCACCGCAACTTCTGCCTCCCGGGTTCAAGCCATTCTCATGTCTCAGCTTCCTGAGTAGCTGGGATTACAGGTGTGTGCCATCATGCCCAACTAATTTTTGTATTTTTAGTAGAGACGGGGTTTCTCCATGTTGGTCAGGCTGGGCTTGAACTCCTGACCTCAGGTGATCCACCCGCCTTGACCTCCCAAAGTGCTCGGATTACAGCCTTGAGCTACCACCTGTATGCCTTGTAATCTTTAATTGAATGCCAAACATTGTGGTTTTACCCTCTTTGTGCTCTGGATATTTTTGTATTTCAATGACTAAAACTATGTCTTGGGATGTAGTTAAGTCACTCATAAACTGTTTAACCCTTTTGGGTTCACTTTTTAAGAGTTGTTAGGTAGAATCAGTGGAGCATTTAGTCTAGGACTAATCTTCCCTTTACTGAAGAAACTTCCTTTTGAGTTATTTCCCATGTCCTATTAATGATCAGGTCTACCTGTCTGGCTAGTGCAAACAGGCATATTCTGACCTTTTTATTCTTTTCCTGGTCAGAAGTGGTTTCCTTGTATGTATGTACCAATCAGTATACAGTTAAGTACTTATCTTTAGAATGATTTTTTCTGTGCAGCTCTCTCAAGTAATCTGTCTGGTAAATTCAACCTTCCTTTGTCTTGTCAGTTAGCACTGTCTCTTCAATGCAGGAAGTGTGCTGGGCTTCACCTGGGATCCCCCACCTTGTACTGCAGACTGTAAACTCTCAAGAGATTAAGCTAGGGCGACAGAAGGGCTCATCTCATTTGTTCCCCACCTTTCAGAGATCACACTGCCCTTTGTTCCCTGAATTCTAGTGTATTGAAAATGGTAATTTAATGCGTTTTTCCTGTTTTTAAAAATTTCAGATGGTAGGGTAAGTCTCTTCTTGTTGTTAATCTACTACAACAGCAGAAGTCATTATATTTTTATTACGCTGTTTTTGCTTTATTATAGATCTATAGATTATCATTTAAAAAATTTTTTGGTGTGCTGTTTAAGCACTCTTTGGCTATTTCAGACCTCCAAAGGTATTTCCTTTATTTTTACTTTAAATGTTTTGGTTTACATTTTACATTTAGGTCTGCAATCAATCTAGATCGAATTTTGTATACGGTGTAAACAAAAAATAAAATTCAAAGGCCTCCCAATCATCTGAATGGACCCCTTCTCTTGGCAAAGGGCATTCCAAAATAACGTGAAAAACAAGTTAAGGCCATGACGGGAATGGAGTACTGAACATCCCTCACTATACTCTTTTCCCTTTTGGAATTACTGATAGAACAGACTCTTTAAGTCTGATAAGAAACATTTACAATCTATTATCTCTGAAGCCTGCTACATGGAGGCTTTATCTGCATGACAAAACCTTGGTCTCCATTCTCCCTTATTGTAACCTAGACATTATTTTCTATTAATAATATCTCTTTCAACAATTTGTCAATCAGAAAATCTTTGAATCTGCCTATGACTTTGAAGCCCCCACTTCCAGTTGTTCTGCTTTTCCAGACCAAACCAATGTACATCTTACATGTATCAATGGACACTTTATGTCTCCATAAAATCTATAAAACCAAGAGGTGGCCTGACCACCTTGGGCACATGTTCTCAGGATCTTCTGAGGGTTGTGTTATGGGCCACTGATCACTCATATTTGGCTCAGAATAAATCCCTTTAAATATTTTAGAGTTTGACTGTTTTGTCGACAATGGAGTGAAGTAGGGGGTCAAAAACATTTTTTCATATGGACATTTAATTGACCTACCATTACTTATTGAAAAGACCATTCTTGGCCAGGCGCGGTGGCTCATGCCTGTAATCCCAGCACTTTGGGAGGCCGAGGTGGGTGGATCACGAGGTCAGGAGATTGAGACCAATCTGGCTAACATGGTGAAACCCGTCTCTACTAAAATACAAAAAAAAAAAAATCGCCGGGCGTGGTGGCTGTAGTCCCAGCTACTCAGGAGGCTGAGGCAGGAGAATGGCGTGAACCCGGGAGGCGGAGTTTGCAGTGAGCCAAGATCACACCACTGCACTCCAGCCTGGGCGACAGAGTGAGAGACCGTCTCAAAAAAAAAAAAAAAAGAAAAGACCATTCTTTCTGCGCTTCACTGCAGTGTCACTTTGTCATAAATCAGGTAAATATACATCTGTTACTTTGTTTATGGACTTTCTATTCTGTCTCAATTCTGAAATTGACTATAATTTCATCATTACTATACATTTCTAATTAGTATGGTTTATAATGGATCTTAATATATGTTAGTAAAGCCTCTAGTTTTAAAATTAATTCTTTTAAAATATTTCCTTGTCTACTCATTGGCCTTTGCATTTCCATATGAATTTTAGAATTAACTTATTAATTTCTTCAAAATGGGATTTTGAGTAGGATTACACTGAATTGATACATTAATTTGGGGGAAATTAACATGTTTACATAGTGTCTTACCATCCATGAACATGGTATATCTTTCCATTTATTTAGCTCCTATTAACTCCTCCCAATAATGTTTGGTAGTTTTCAATGTAAGGTGTTGTACATTTTGGCCTGCTCAATATTTTAAAAGTTGCTTATATAAATAAGGACCATTAATTCATTTTCTCCTCCTAAGATCTCACAATGGTAAGAAAAACCAGACATGGTTTCTGTCTTCATGAAGCTTATAGTCTAGTGATATTGAAAATATTATCATATTCATAGTGCAAGTATTATAGTAATTTCGTATAATTAAAGCAACCATATAAGTCACATTAAATTAATACTGCTAATTTGAATTCTATAAATTTTATGACTTTATTTTTGCTTTATACATTTATTTAGGTTTTATTATATAAGATCAACAGGTTTAACAGCATGATAAAAATATTTTAACATTGGGAGATCAACAAGAACTTTTTCCTTTTTGCAAAACATCTTATATCACTCAAGTTTGAAAACCAGTTTAAGGAAATGGTTTTTGGCTAATTTATGTTATTTTCCAAATTAAATGTCAAACATAGATGCAATCATAGACACATTAACTCAAAAAACTGTTCAAAAGTAGCCTCTAAGTCTTTGGATAAAGATTTTAGTTTCTGATGGAATTTTCTCCTGAAGGTAGAAGAAAACCTTCTACCTAAAAACTCTTTTTTTCAGTGTAACATGTCAGAGGAAAAATGCTGATATATGAAAAGACAGAATGTTAGCTCCAAATCTATTATAGTCTATGAAAAGTTAACTTGTGGTTTTTAGTCATTTGTATTTGGGCCATTATTCATACCTGGTTAAAACACCAACGTTATCTTGGTAGTGTTCATCTGAGAAAGAAAAATTATATAAATATATGAGGTATTTGTTTTGCATTGAGCTCACAACCAGTGTGTTTTAAATAATTTTTTTGAGACAGAGATTTGCTCTGTCACCCAGACTTGAGTGCAGTGGTACAATCAAAGCTCACTGCAGCCTTGACCTCCTGGGCTCAAGCAATCCTCCTGCCTCAGCCTCTAAGTAGCTGAGACAATAGGCATCCACCACCATGCTGGCTATTTTTCTTTTATTTATTGAGACAGAGTCTCACTCTTTGACTCTGGCTAGAGTGTGGCAGCATGATCATGGCTCACTGCAGTCTCAAACTCCTGGGGTCAGGCAATCCTCCTGCCTTAGCCTCCCAAGTAGGTGGTGCTATAGGTGCATGCTACCATGCCCAGCTAATTTTTTTAAACTTATTTTTAGGGACAGGGTCTCACCATGTTGCCCAGGCTGCTCTCAAACTCCGAGGCTCGAGGGATTCTCCTGTCTTGGCCTCCCAGAAAAAAAAAAAAAAAAAAAAAAAGCTCACCTAGCCTTGGTGAGCTTTTTATTTTTTGTAGAGATGGGGGTCTCACTATATTGCCTAGGCTGGTCTTGAACTCATGGGCTCAATAGATATTCCCACCTTGGCCTCCCCAAGTGCTAGGATTAAAGGCATTAGCCACTGAGCCCCGCCTTAAATAATTTTTGTTCGGGTTTTTTGTTTGTTTGTTTGTTTTTGTTTTTATATTTGGTCTAACTCATAGAATCTTTGGAGAAGTATGGTTTGAGCAATTTGGTAGGGGGAATTAAATTGTAAAGTAAGGCAAGATGCAAGCTATATCTATATAAATGCCCAATATTTGGGTAAAAAGTAAAGAATTTAGAATTAATAAGATTTTTCCAAATAGATGTATTCAACATCATGTAATTTAAATATTCAGATCTATGACCACTTTCTCTTCTTTTCCTCCAGATATTTGGCATACATAACAATGGTGATGATTTCAAATACCAGGCACTGTATTTCATAAATATGTGTTTAATTGAAATAAATTTTGCTTATGAATGTGGAGAAAATTTTTTTGGTCCAAACAAAATTAATAGTGTTATTTTTGAGAAAAAAACAAATTAAAAATAATTTCCATAAAGGTAATAGTCATCTTACTGTATCTATAAACTCATTATGAAAATTCTGAAAATGTAATGGCTTTGAAATCAGGGGAAGGAGAGGCCCTGCTCATTTCAAGGTGTTATTCTCCAACGAGTGACTAACAGGGAAGGTATGTGACTCTTGGGGCATCCCTGCAGGTACAGTGAATGAGCAAATTCGTAGCAGCATTATGACATCACCAGGGAGCGTGACTTGGGTCAAGAGCTTGGCAGGAGGCTTTGGGAACAGTAGAATCAACAGCAATCAAGACTGGCAAGCCAACATACTGGCCACCATAAAACTGAAAAGAGAGCTTATTGTACCTCACGCACAGCAGCAGGTTTAACAGAAAAGTAGACATGTTTATAGTCCCAGATTTACAGCACACCTTATAAACACCTTATTACTTAGAATCCAGTCTGCTGTCCCAGAAACTAAGAATGTGACTTTGTTAAGCAGTAGGATTTGTTGACATAAATGTCTTGACTAAGTTTGCCATTGTGGTTAACCAAAACGCATTTACTCCTGGGAAAGTAAACACAAGCAAACAAAATGCCTCTTATACTACAATACGGTAAGTTTCAAATTGACCAAACTTAATGCTATGACATAAATATGCTTAATGTTTATGGAATTTTTTAGAAACCTTTTGCCATGTTAGGCTTACCATCCTGTATAAGTCTTACTGAATGGGAATGTGTTTTCAGAATTACATGTACTTAAAGACTTCATCAGAAATATTCAGACAACCTGCCATGAATACCAGGGCTGACCACGCAGCAGATAAAATGGGTCATGGTCTCCTCAGACATTAACGTGGATAAATCAGTTCTGCACCATGTAATAGCTACACATCGAAATGCTTACCAACAATTAAAATTAGAGAACTAATGGAAAATAATGTTGAATAAATATTATAAAACCACATGAAAATATGTTCAAGAACGGCAAAGTACCTGGATGAAACTCACAAAGTTGAGAAAATTTCTAGGGAATAATGAAAATTCAGACTGATTTTCTGATGCTTAAAACTTCATCCATTTAACAGTGGATACAATCCCTTGTTTTCGGGTAGATTTTTGAAATTACAGACTTACAGGACCATTGGTGTGTAACCAAATAAACTCAGCAGCTTTCCTATCCTTTCAGCCTTCTAGTTAGCCCTCACCAAATCTCAAAAATTCTATAGTAGGAAAGTTCTTTATGGTCAGATATAAATGGACAGCTATGATTACATATTCTGGATCTAAAATGATAAATTCTTTCCCAACAAAATATATATCAATAAAGATCTGTGGGAAATTATTAAGCAGATGGCATGTTTGCGATTGACAGAATAAAAAGTGAACAAATATACAGATATTGATTTGCCAAATCCAACAAACCAGATTCTAGAAATGACAAGAGACCTAGAAATCTTTCTAATAGAACCATGTGACTTTAAAAGCCATGGCAAAGGAAAATGACCACATGAAGTCATTAAAACAATTTTAAAAGTTTGTAATATGGGAGATTTGGTTCTGCAGTAGCATATTCAAGGATGATATTGGGGATTTAGTTGGCTAAGCTCCGACAAGTTTTCCCCAAATCAAATTCAATTATAGGCCAAATTAACAGGGGTAGAATGTTCAAAGTGAAAGAGTTGATGATTACAGTCAACATAGGGATTACTTTTTACAGTTCTAGGCACACAAATTAAAACTGACATTGACAAAGTGAAGCAAGTTCAAAGGAAAGAAATTAGAATAAAGAGATTAGGCCCACATATTCTCACACTGTGATAAAGTTGAAAAAATCAGGGGATATTTAGTTTGTAAAAAAACTATAAGTTTGTGGAGGAATATGATCATTGACCCCAATACTTAGATGGAATAGAGCACAGTCTAGTTCTGTTCTAGTAACAATAAATAGAGGTTACAAGGAGACCATTAAAATATAAGAATGATTTTCCAAATAGACAGTTAAAGCTGTCCCAAATTAAGATGGCCTTTCTTGGGAGGATAGGCACCACTGAAAATATTGAAAGACTGAACAATCCAGTGGTGATTACTATAGAAGGGACTGAAGCACTGGAAAGGGGGAGTATATAGGGTAGTTTTCAAATGGTTCAGTGGATCCTTAATATCTGCAAAAAAACCCAGGAGACTGTGTAATATGTTAGAGTTTCACCTCTCCAGCCATAGTAGTTTTTATTAATTTTATTTTATATACGGTGTTCCACTGATGATTTCATTTTACAAAGGCATGTGCTGTTTAAAAATCTTGCAAATCTTTAGAGAAGATGATTTCTGAAGTCAATTCTGGTGTTATTCTATGATTCAGATCTGGCAGAATTCCATCTTTATGGTGTGAGTAGCTCTGTTTAATAAAATTCTGGTGCTCAGAAGCCTCAGAGAACCACATGTGAAGGAACAGCAGTAAACATGATGGTTACTACCAAGCCTGTGACTTGGGCAGGGGAAAAATTGATATGCAGAAAGATAGGAAAGGCAACATTTAAACCAAAAGAAAAAAAAATCCCCACAGCCTCAAGATGTAAGACATTGGAGTGTTTTCCAGGAGTGAATGTTGTTCACAGCATTGTAAAAGAGAAAATACCCCCGGCCTCCAAAGGTCTTCTAAGTGCTGATACTACTCAAATCAGATTTTATTTTCAGTGGAGCATTAATTTTATGAGTTACTTGCCGAAAACCTGAGCCTCTTAGGACAGGGAAGAAGGCTGATTTCATTTCTGAGCATTTTAAGACCTCTGGCATAATTCCAGACAAGGAGTGCATCCTTCTTTGGTCATCCTCTTCCATAGAAAGGGAGTTGATAATTTAGAAGTATTTTCCCAGACATGATCTCATTTTGTCTCTCAACAATGACCTGAGGGACACAAGGACATATAATACATTTTTATCCTCATTTCCCACATGATAGAATTAAAAATCAGAAACATTAAGTGACCAGCCCAAATCATACTGCTACTAAGTAGAGGGGTCAGGATGAAATCTGCATCTTTTTCCCAAGTCTAAGACTCTTCTGCAGTATCCTCAGCACATGATTTCTTCAACTTAAGAGCTCCGATAAGGCTCAGGGTTTCCTTAAACATTGTGTTCCTTTTTATAATTTGTTTGTGTTTGACATACAACTAACTGCTATTTGACATAGCCTTGGGCTTGAATATATATGTGGACAAAAAAAACCCCACTTGGATTCAAATAGTAACATCTCTATTAAAAATCAACAGTCCTCTAGAAATAAATAGCTCTATTAAAAAAAAACCTTAATTCAGTGACTCAGCAAATTGTACTGTGATAGCTTTTAGTAATTATTTTTTATTTTTGTTTTTGTTTTTTTAAGCATCTATGGTAAGAGAAGTATGCAGGAAAACATCAGGCTTTGCATGCCCTTTAATTTTCATTACCTCTTCTACTTCTTGAGAATGTCTGGCCTCTGCCAGCCTGCTGAATGTCTGGCAGGTGAGCTAGTCTTGGCAAAGCACTTGGGGTTTTATCAGCTGAAAAACAAGTGTAAAGGGTCCAGTTGGAAGCTAGATTCCCCCCAAGTGGTGCCCTTAAAGTGGATCAATTTTTCTTCACTTTTTAGTCAAGAATTTTTTTTGGTTTAAATGTTGACTTTCCTATCTCTCTGCATATCAAACTCTGGTTTGAGTCTTCAAAGTTCAGACTGCCAGGTTCTTGGGTGCAAGAATTCCTTATAAAAAAACAAATTCCAGAATGGCAGTAAATAGGAGAATTTAATCCATTTATATTCAAGGTAATTACTGACAAATAAAGACTTAATACTGGCATTTTGTTAATTGTTTTCTGGCTGTTTTTCAGATCCTTTGCTCCTTCCTATCTTTCTGTCTTCCTTTGTGATATGATGATTTTCTGTCATGGTATCTTTTGAATCCTTTCTGGTTTTTTTTGTGTATCCACTATAGGTTTTTACTTTGTAATTACCGTGAGGCTTACATAAAACATCTTGGCTTATAATAGTCTATTTTAAGTTGATAATAGCTTAACTTCAATAATGTATAAAACTCTACACTTTTACTCTCCTTTATATTTTTGATGTCACAATTTATATCCTCTCATTTCTGTATCTACAAACGAATGATTGTAGCTGTACTTACTTTTAATATTCTTTGTTTTTTAACCTTTATACTAGAGTTATAAATAATTTAGAAATCATCATTACAGCACAAGTTGTGCATTCCGAATCTAAACATCTGAATTCCAAAATGCTCAAACTCCAAAACTTTTGAGCACCAATTTGACCCCAGAAGTGGAAAATTCCACACCTGACCTCATGTAATGTGTCATAATCAAACTGCAGCATAATCAAACTACAGGTGCACAACACAGTTTATTTAGGGTCCCCAAGGCAGTTAACCTTTTAATCAAAACAAGCATTGTAGTGGAGAAAAAAGGCTTCTGTTGTTTGTTATTGCTATGTTGAACAGCTGATGTAGATATTCTGGTGATTATATTCTGTAGATATTCTGTGCTGCTTAGCTACCCAGAACACACTATTATTTTTTTTACTATATTAATGGTATGTCATGTTTTTTACTGTTAGGTACTGATGTGTGAATAAACATAAGAAAATGATTGCTTATAGGTAGCATATAAATTCAGAGTCAGGAATGATGATGATGACAAACAACCACAGATTCTCTACATGGGTGGCTGAGGTAGTGACATCTTTACTTTCTGATTGGTTCAACGTATACAAGCTTTGTTTCATGCACAAAATTATTTAAAACGTTGCATAAAATTATCTATAGGCTACATGTAAAGATATATGTGAAACAAATGAATTTTGTGTTTAGACTTGGGTCCTATCCCTAAGATATCTCATTCTGTATATACAAGTATTCCAAAATCTGAAATCTTAAACACTTTGATCCCAAGCATTTTGGATAAGGGATACTCAACCTGTATTAGAATATTCTAAATTTGACTATATACTTACTTTTACCAGTGAGTTGTATACTCTCATATTTTAATTAGTATCCTTTTATTTCAGCTTGAAAATCTCCCTTTAGCATTTCTTGTTAGGTTTAGTGGTGATGAACTCTCTCAGCTTTGTCTAGGAAAGTCTTTTTCTTTCTTTCGTTTTTATAAAACAGATTTGCTGGTTAAAGTTTTCTTAGTTGACAGTTCATTTATTTATTTATTTTTTCTTTCAGCACTTAGGCTATATCATCTCACACCCTCCAGGCTTGCAAAGTTTCTACTGAGAAATCTGGTCATAGTCTTATGGTGGTTCTCTTATATGTGAGAAACCTCTTTTTTCTTGCTGCTTTCACAATTTTCTCTTTGTCTTTGATTTTGACTGTTTGATTATATTATGTCTTGGTGAAGTCTTTCTTGGGTTGAATCTGATTGTAGACTTTTGAACTTCATATACCTAAATGTCCATATTTCCCTCCAGATTTAGAAAGTTTTCAGCCATTGTTTCTTTAAATAAGCTTGTGCTCCTTTTTCTCTCTCCCTTCCTTCTGGTATATTATAATGCAAATATTAGCTCTCCTGATAACACCATCAATAAATCCCATAGATATTCTTCATTCCTTTTCATTCTTTTTTCTCCCCTGATTGGATATTTTCAAATGATCTTTCTTTAATTTCATAGATTTTCTTCTGCTTTATGAAGTCTGCTGTTGACATACTCTATTGCCTTCTTTAATTCATTCATTGTATTCTTAGCTTCAGAATTTTTTAAAAAAATAATTTTTCTTTATTGAACTTATAATTTTGTTCACGGTTTGTTTTTCAGATTTCATTGAGTTGCCTATCTGTGTTCTCCTGCTGTTTGTTGATCTTCCTCAAAATTGTTATTTTAAATTATTTGTCAGGCAATTCATAGTTGTTCATTTATTTGGGGTTGGTTACTAGCATAGTATTGTGCTCCCTTGTTGGTTTCATGTTTACTTGATTTTTTTAAGTGTGTTCCTTGAAGTTTTGCATTGTTGTCTTTGATTTGAAGAAACAGTCACCTCCTTCAGTCTTTACTGACTATCTTCAGGAGAGAAATTTTTTCACCGAAAAGCATGGCTAGTGATTCTGAGGCTCTCTCTGAACTTTTCTGTGGCTGCATCTGCTCCACATCTCTTGTTCCCTCTAATATGCACATTCTTGAGATATTTTTGCCTTCTTTCAATCCTGCAAAGCCAGGCTGGGTGCTAAGAGCCTCCTGCTTGTTTTCCCTATGGCAGTGCTCTGAAATGTTCAAGTTTGAGTGCCTTCTCCTAATCTGCAGAGTCCAGATGGCTGTCTGCACAAGATGCTTGAATTGCTATCTGTGAAGGTGTGCTGGGGAGCTAGCCTGGTGTGGATGGTGAGCCACGGGGTGTTTAGAGTGTCTGTGGACCAGTTGGGAGGTGTTTAAAAGTCAAAAATTCCCAAGTGGCTCATGGGAAGGCTTCCTGATAAAGTCTGCAGAGTGATTAGTAGAATCTGTGACCTCTTCTCCCTGCTCCTGGTGTCTTCCAACCACTCGGTTGTGCCAATCACCTCAGTGTTCTGGGTGGGATGATAGTGGGCCTCTTGGACAGCATCCTGTGTAGCTAGGGGAGCAGGACACTAACTCAGTATGCTCTTATTTTCCTGTTGGAGAAATTGTGTGCTGAGGATGGTGTCTTTCAGCACTGAACTCTGCTGCCTTGGGGGAGGAGTGACATGGGTAAAGTAAAACTCTTCTTCTTATACTCCTCAGTGTGACTATTCTCAGATTTTTTTCTCTAATGGTGTTCTGGAACTTCTTCACTGTATTCCCTGACTCCCACAAATGTACACTCATCTGTGGTAGTTGTCAAAATCAATGCTTCCATGGGGGATGATGGTAGAAAGCTCCTATGCTGCCATCTTTCTGATATCACTCCTCATTTCCAGCTCTTCATGTTCCTTCTTATATTTTTTCTCTGAGCTCTGCTTGTCAGTCTTGTTCCCTGCACTCCAATGTATCCTGAGGGTATATTTCTGTTCTTCACCTTTGTAGTTAGTTTCACAAAAGCAAGAACCCAGATGGATCCTAGAGTTAGTAGTAGAGTCAAAAGTCAAAGTGTGGTACTTGAAGATGAGTTTTATGAAATATTCTGGTATAAAAGGTTCCATTTTCAACCAAACACTAAATCCCTTTTGTTAAGAATCATAGCACATATGTGATATCCTATGATTAAGAAACGAATTGTTCTTTGTTTAACCCAGCAATTCTCAAAGTTAGCCATGTGCTTATCCCTTGCTTACCTTCTCACTTCTCCCCTCTGAATTGAAGAGAGGAGTGGAAGGGAGGAGGCATCCTGGCAAGCTGCATTTTTCAGGCTTCCATGTCAACTAGCTTTCTGACACTGATGTGAGGCTCTGGTGGGAGATTGAAGGATAGAAAGCAAGAAAAAGTCAGGGTATTCTTCCTGCCCTGATCCACCCAGTGCTTCAGAGGAGTCTTCTGCAAAAGCAGTGCTTCTTCCATAGGAAGAACAGACAGATAGATTCTCAGTGGTTCCAAGTTCTACTGGATAGCTCCAGATCCATTTTGTTCTTTTGTACTAAGAGCAGTAAGGGTTTCCTGTTACTGCTAATCTATGAGTGAGTTGTTTTGCAAGTGGTAGGCCAGATGGTTTTCTGAAAGGATCTAGCATTTTGCATGCCAGGACTCATGAAACATGCTCACTGTCTTTGTAGCACAGCACTATTTGCATAGATGTCAGTATAGTGGGATTATTGGTTATCAGCTTCATGAAATCTGCCTCTGTATCATGCTTCTAGATTTTCAGAGATCTATTAATCCAGATAAGTGCCTTGGCCAGTTTGTTGGTAAGCAGTATGTTCTATCCTAAGGCTTTTGAGCAACTGGGTCCTAGATCTGGATCTGTCCCTACTGCCTGGCGAAAAGCTTTCGTATCACCACTGACACCATCTCACATTTGTGAGGTTGCCGATAAATGACCATATTCTCTACAGCGATAGAAAAATGATGGGTAGTCCATACCAGATCCTGAGCTCTGCCCCACAAGAATATCCCATTTGGAGATGAAGACAGGGCCTCTCCAAACAAGTCTGAGACAATATATTAAGTCACTGATTCCTGGGTAGCATTGACTGCTACACCCTTTCCTGCAAAGATCAGTATCAAGTATGGTAGGTTAATATTGGCCCGCAAAGATATTTATGTTCTAATCTCCAGAACCTGTGAATATGCCACCTTACATATCAAAAGGACTCTGCATATATGATTAAATTTAGGGTTTTGAGATGTGAGATTACCTTGGATTATGAGGTGGACCTAACGTAATCACAAGCGTTGTTATAGAGGGATGCAGGAGCGTCAGAGTTAGAAGAGATGTGATGACAGAAGCAAAGTTGGAATGATGCAGGCCATGAGCCAAGGAATGCAGGCAGCCTTTAGAAGCTGGAAAAAGCCAGGAAACAGATATTCCCCTAGAGCTGTCAGAAAGAACACCGCGCTACCACCCCACCTTATATTTCTTATCTCTAGATCTATACATATATTTTCATTTTAAGCCATTAAGTTTGTCGTAATTCATTATAGCAGTAATAGGAAACAAATATACCAAGAGTCTGCAGGGAAAATACAACTTGGGTAACTGAAAATTTGGAGATTCCTTCAGCCTCTCATACAGTCTAAGTTTTTCTAAGAGGATTACATGGAGCCATTCTCCCCATCCACTTGCTTAGTTGAGGCTGGTTTGTCATTCTCAATTCAATCACACCTACTGTTCTTTGGAATAATAGTTTCTATAATAATAATACATGCTAGGTGATTTTTTCCTCCTTCCTTACACATCAGTATACAATTTGGTGGAAGGTTAAAATTTAACATAAATTCCAAATGATTCTCCACATTATCAAACTTACATACCTTCCAAATGCAGTGCCACAGAGACTTTGAAGAGGCGCTAACATTATTAGCAATCTTCTGAATGCAAGGAACCCAACTTGAACACCAGAGGGGAATTTTTTGGAAGGTTAGCAAGTATCTCACAGAAGAGGAGCAAAGGCTTAAAAGCCAAGCCTTGGAAGGCAGGACTAGGGCAGGAATCAGAGCCAAAAATATAGTCAGAACAATCACATTAATACAATCTCAATGTCTTCCTCCCTCCAGCCTTCCTTTCTCTTTTTCTCTCTCTGATTTAGTCTTTTTCTCTTCTCAGTTTTCTCTCTCTTTTTCTGTCTCTTGCTCTGTCTCTATTTTCTCTCTCTTAACATACTGCCTTCTTTCTGAACATCAGTTTTGTGCTCCCTTCAAAAGGCAGATCTTCTATACAATCAGACACAGCAGCTAGCAATAGCTCGGGCTCTTTCAGGGTCACAGAAGGAAGAAAGTTTTCCCCAGGGAAACACACTGATTGGTCAGGCTAGAGTCATGTGCCAAGGCTGTGAGATTGTGTAAGAAAATGGAGGATACTGTTTGGATTCCGTGTTACTTCAGTGAGAAAAGGAAAGGGGTGGTGGGGGGTGGTGGGGGCAATGTTCAAAAGAAGAATATGGAAGGCAGGCTGCAGATAAATGTCCATTTGAGGCTTTCGGTTTTTTTTTTTGTTGTTGCTGTTGTTTTTTGGTAAAGTCTTTCTTCATTGCCTGAGCTGGAGTACAGGGCATGATCATGGCTTACTGTGGCCTCAAACTCCAGGGCTCAAGCAATCCTTCCACTTCAGCCTCCTGAATAGCTGGGACTACAGGCATGCACCACCAGGCCTGGCTAATTTTTAAATATATTTTTATAGAGATGATGTCTTGCTATGTTGCCCAGGCTGGTCTCAAACTCCTGGCCTCATGTGATCCTCCCACCCTGGCCTCTCAAAGTGCTGGGATTACAGGCATGAGCCACCATACTTGGCCACTGGGTATTTTTAAAGACTAGAGTGAACCTGTGGCTGATGACACAGAACATTTCCCCTCATATAGAAAATGTTTAAGTTTGGGCTCTCAGAAAACATCCACAATAAGACCATAAAATTTTTAAATTAAATTGCACAGATGTTATAGAAATATTCTAGTGGTTTCTTTGTATCTGCTCAAATTTATAAACATATATGTTTGTGTATATGTATGTATGTACAGAGACATTTGAAATTTTCATTTATAATTCTCATTTGTAAAAGAGATTTATTCAGAAATACTTAAATTCAGCACTACCAAGAAAATTGCTTGTCTAATCTTCTAAGACTTTAATGAGTTTCCTAAACATGACATAGTCAGGTAGATAAACATATTGTAGAACTAAAATTATTAATTGTTGATTTATTCACCAATTTTATAAATGCTCCTAGATTTAAAACTTCAGCACTACCTGTTTTCTTTGACACATATTCCTGAGACAATTGGTCTTAAAATATTTTAAAATCTGTAATGGGAAGCAAATAGAGTCAGCCTATTAGGAAGTATCTCCCAGTAGAAATTTTCTGTGGACCTGGTTTAAGAAACAAATCTCATAACTATATATTATCATTTATATTGTTGGTAAGAGTTAAAATATTTAAAAATATGTGTTACCTTGAAATATTTAAATAAACTTCCTTTAACATTGTTTATATTGTTATTTACCTAGGAAGATTCCTTTTTAATAGACATTACAGGTTTGTCAGGTTTGTCTGAGAAGAACAAGCAATGGGGAAAGGATTCCCTATTTAATAAATGGTGCTGGGAAAACTGGCTAGTCATATGTAGAAAGCTGAAACTGGATCCCTTCCTTACACCTTATACAAAAATTAATTCAAGATGGATTAAAGACTTAAACGTTAGACCTAAAACCATAAAAACCCTAGAAGAAAACCTAGGCATTACCATTCAGGACATAGGCATGGGCAAGGACTTCATGTCTAAACTACCAAAAGCAATGGCAACAAAAGCCAAAATTGACAAATGGGATCTCATTAAACTAAAGAGCTTCTGCACAGCAAAAGAAACTACCATCAGAGTGAACAGGCAACCTACAAAATGGGAGAAAATTCTCGCAACCTACTCATCTGACAAAGGGCTAATATCCAGAATCTACAATGAACTCAAACAAATTTACAAGAAAAAAACAAACAACCCCATCAAAAAATGGGCAAAGGATATGAACAGACACTTCTCAAAAGAAGACATTTATGCAGCCAACAGACACATGAAAAAATGCTCATCATCACTGGCCATCAGAGAAATACAAATCCAAACCACAATGAGATATCACACCAGTTAGAATGGCAATCATTAAAAAGTCAGGAAACAACAGGTGCTGGAGAGGATGTGGAGAAATAGGAACACTTTTACACTGTTGCTGGGACTGTAAACAAGTTCAACCATTGTGGAAGTCAGTGTGGCGATTCCTCAGGGATCTAGAACTAGAAATACCATTTGACCCAGCCATCCCATTACTGGGTATATACCCAAAGGACTATAAATCATGCTGCTATAAAGACACATGCACACGTATGTTTATTGTGGCACTATTCACAATAGCAAAGACTTAGAACCAACCCAAATGTCCAACAATGATAGACTGGATTAGGAAAATGTGGCACATATACACCATGGAATACTATGCAGCCATAAAAAATGATGAGTTCATGTCCTTTGTAGGGACATGGATGAAACTGGAAACCATCATTCTCAGTAAACTATCACAAGGACAAAAAACCAAACACCGCATGTTCTCACTCATAGATGGGAATTGAACAATGAGAACACATGTACACAGGAAAGGGAACATCACACTCTGGGGACAGTTGTGGGGTGGGGGTAGGGGGGAGGGATAGCATTAGGAGATATACCTAATGCTAAATGACGAGTTAATGGGTGCAGCACACCAGCATGGCACATGTATACATATGTAACTAACCTGCACATTGTGCACATGTACCCTAAAACTTAAAGTATAATAAAAAAAAATAGACATTACAGAGGGATGTTTGTATCAAGTCTTTATCCAAATAATGTGATTCTATGAGGGCAGTCTTGGTCTGAATTAACAAGCTTCCCATAATTTGATATGTCTATGAAGGCAGCGATGAAGAAACTTGCATCAAGGAAGAGCTTAAAATCAACAGCAAGATTAATGAGTGCTACAAAGATCTAATCTTACTTTATACAGATAGGGTTATATATACAGTTCCATTCCTTGAAATTATTGAAGGCTCACTGAGCATCACAGAAATACTACTCTGGTTTGGCTGCAGAAATTCCCTCTGGCTTAGAATTGCTTGTATTTTAAGGGAATAGTCCTCTTCTTAAGCCTGGATCTAGGAAAGGGTGCTGCAGAAATGGTAGTTTTGACACACTGTGACACCTAAGGTGCTCAGTTTGAGCATGCCATGGTTTTGGCAATGATAAATGGCAAACACTTATATACAGTTACTACATGCCAAGCAGGCCTGCAAACAAATTAGACATCCCACAAGTAGTCAGCATAAGCCCAATCACTAAAATGTCTACAAAGTCAGTGATTACACGATTGGCCATTAGCTCAAAATTGTTTTTTTATATGTGAAACATAGGATAGTGAAATATCATAAGCTGTGCAGTCTGTTTGGTTCCATCATTTACTATCTGGATTCAGAAAAAATAAGCCTTTTAGAACCTCAGTTTCCTCATCTTGAAATGACAGAATATATGCCTACTCCCCTTCCCATGAATAGGGGCCAAGAAAAGTCTGAATGGGATGACCAGAACAATGGTGCTAGAGCTGAAGTTCAGGTCTTCAACAGAGACTTTGGCAGAGAGTATCAGCCTTTAGTTGGCCAGTACACTCAGAGGAGTGCAAGTCAGCATCCCTATCAAAGATAGTTACCAAGGTGAGATATACATCTGATGATACCCCAGGGCTCATCCAAACTCTGGGAAGCTGAAACCACCAATTTAGCATTTGGTGATTTTCCTGATCACTATACTTGGGTAAGAAAACTGTAGGAATTCTAAAATTTGATATAAACATTAGAGAAAGAGATTGAATTTCTTCATTAACTCAACATACTTTAGGTTACAAGGAAAAGGCCTAGTGGATTTGCTAGCATGCATATTCTCTAAAACATCTTAGCTATCTAAGACGAATTTACACTAGAATGGGAGAATTTATAAATTGGGGAAATATCCTAGAAGGCCTTTGAAAAGGAGTATTATGGTTTGGTTTGGGGTTCACATTCACTGAGTAACAACAAAAATGGCTTATTTGAATTTAGTTATTGTTTTGAAACTATTACAATACATTTAAATACAAAAATTGCTCTCCTCCATGGAAACCTGTGTGTTCCTACAATAGTTTTTAATGCATACCAATTCTGTTCTTGGCCATTTTGTTTTTATTTGCATTCCAATTTTAATAGTGAGGACAGAGACAACTGCGTAAATAAAATAAAATTAAAAACATTTTAAACTCATAATAGCGAGTACATTTTGATAAAAAATGAAGGAGGTTAGGTACCCTGAAAAAAACTTCCCACTAAAAACAGAGTGCTCAATGAAATATTGTACATGCCTTTTAAAATGTAAAACTCATTTATACTCACAAAGAAAGTAGAATGGAAAACTGCAGCTAATTATTTAGCTGCCTTCAGGGAATTTGACAATTTCTATGCCCAGAGTCTTGGGTATTAAAGGTGTAGGTATTAAAAGGGGTAACAAGATGTGGAATTGGACCAGATTAAAGCTGAGTTCCCTAAAGACCCTTAACCTCAGGAAAAGTTTGCTGTATTATTCTTTATATATTTTTCATATTTAAAATATTGTATAATAAGCTCCAAAAGGCATTAAAAGAGTGGAGAACTACACTTTCGTTCTTGAGGGTCATCTAAGCTAATTCTTATTCACTTAGCTAAATATTAAAGTGAATTTTTACTTTAAAAATTTACAAAGTTTTGTTCAAAACTTTTTTTTTGAGTTGGGATCTTGCTCTGTTGCCCAGGTTGAAGTGCATTGGTATGATCATAGCTCACTGCAGCCTCAAACTCCTGGGGTCAAGCAATCCAATCCTCCCACCTCAGACTCCTGAACAGCTGGGACTACAGGTATTTGCCACCACTCTGCCTGGCTACTTTTTTTAGAGATGGTGTCTTGCTATGTTGCCCAGGCTGGTCTCAAACTCCTGACCTCAACAAATGCTTCTGGCTCAGCCTCTCAAGTAGCTGGGATTACAAGTGCAAGCCACCATGCCCAGCTACAACCATTTTTAATTTAATAATGTTGACACCTAGTGGTATAATCAATACTTAGACAACTGGTTCTAAAGGATGAGAGGTATGACATGAATAAGCCCATATACTAGCTATCTAAAAGTAATTTCTATTTTTTGTTGGTTTTACAGTCTGCTTATTCAACCAAAATAAGTGGAGTACAGGGTCTTCTGAGTAATTGAATACATATAATACGTGGGTTGAAGCCATTGCCTACATACCCCAGCTTCTCCAGTTTGTACTGCTCTTCCTGGTGCTGATATTCAAGAAGATTCCTTTGGTTTTCCCTTCAATGAGATAAACCTCACACCAGTGCAGATGGCCCATCCAGGGAGCACACAATCTCCTAAATGACTAGATTCTAGTTGTAAATGATCTTCCTTGGGTCTATCATAGATGGAGACTGGCCTTGGTAGTGAAACCACTTGGCAAGACTGGATGCATCCTTTCAGATTCAGTGTCTTGGAGCATAATCTGAAACAAGTAAAAGTGAGAATCAAAATGTTAGCACTCCTGATGAGATGGAATATAGATTTTTTTCTTAATAAGAACAACAGCCTTCATTCTGTGCCAAAAATATTCTAAACACTTTCTTTATCTTGTTTAATCCTCAAAACATTCCAGAAGAAAGATAGAACAATTTCTATTTTATAGGCGAGGAAACTGAGGCTCAGAGATATTAAGTATGTTGCCAACATGTTAAGATGTTGGCAGAGTTAGTTGTGGAGCCAGGATTTAGACCAAGGCAGTTCGTCTCCCCAAATATAAGGTTCTAGGCCTTTTATGTTTTTCATCCATCAAGGAAGATGGCTTTGCCAGGCCAATGGGGGTATATTGGCTTTTTCATCTCAGTTAACCTTGGGATAAGTGCTAGGGAAATACCTAGCTTATATGAAAAGAATCTTTTTGTCCTGGTTTTGATCTAGTTCCCTGGCAGCCTGGTTAAGACTTGTCTTAACACATACATTTCTCTTGCCAAAGCACACGTGGTATGTTTGGACATATGGTCTCATTTTTATGATCTTTTCACCTTTACATATTTTAAATATTTCACGGTGGGATTAATTATTTGTGGTGACCAAGATTGGCAGCTGCTCTTATGGGGCCATGTTGGGAATCCCTAAGGAATGAGAGGGTTGATACTCTGTGGAACATGACTTTTAAAGGTAAATATATAAATATAAATATAAAGGAGAAATATCTGACATACTCATTAATGATCAGAGCCTAGTGATGTCTTATGGTAAATTGGTACATTTACTCTGAGTCCTATCACTATAAATGGTTTTGAAATTAGCCTTATTGTGCTTCTAGCCTTTAAAAAATGTACACATATTGGGTAATCTGAATTGCTTAGAAAATGACCATCTAACTCATCCTTGCTTTTTATGCTCTGAATGAATAGTTGAACTGGAAGCATTAAAATATTGAAAACAGTAAGATTGGCTAAAGGACTTCAACTTTATTGAGCCTTAAAACTATGCCTCAGGTAAACCTGATGGTGAGATTTCTAACCTCATAGTATTCAAATAACTTTAATGCAATTTTAACTACAGAATGGGATGGTAAACCAAATTCTTATCCATCTTATCCAAAGTAGCCCTTTGACAATGTAGACAAAATAAAATTAACAACATTTGTGAAGCACCGAGTAGAGCTCACAAGAGAAGAGGTGTGCTCTTCGAAGATCTTATATAAAACTCATATGGTATATGTACAGCATATGTTTACCATTGCTTCAACTGATTAACTTCAACAAACCATGTTGGTGGACTCATATGAGTTTGCATGTAGAAGTAGTAAAGAGCCTAGATTCTGTGGCACAGTTTCCTTAGGTTTTAATCCACTGAACAAGCTTGTGAGCCTAAATCCTGAATATCTGGAAAGGCTTCTTACCTACCCTATAAACATGGGTCAATTTTGCCCTCCAGAGAACATTTGGCAATGTCTGGAGACATTTTTGTTTGTTAAACTGGGGAAAAGGATGTCACTGTCATCTAGTGCATAGAGGCCAAGGATGCTGCTAAACATTCAACAATGCACAGGAGAGTGCCCCACAACAAAGAATTATTTGGCCCAAAATACAATAGTTGTTGAGGTTGAGAAACCCTGCTATAAACCAAGACCACCTAAGTTAGTTTTTGTAGATCCCACGCTATTTCCTGATTAGATCTCAGAAAAGTTTCTTGCACTGTACAGTTAAGTTAAAAATGGAACTGAATAAAGTACCTGGGGAGAATTTAGTCTCCAGGTTGATTAACAATTGTTTTGAAATGTGAGCTTTGAAACCTTTCTAGATTTGTTATTAACTGTTTTAGCAAGGTCCTCTTTGAATAAATCTAATGTATATTTATTCCATATTCAAAAAGATAACTTTTTGATAGCTTAATATAACCTTTACTGCCTGAAAATACTCACTTATTGAACAGCAATTCTGGGGTTTTCAGACCAAGTGTCTTAATCCATTTTGTGTTGTTATAACAGAATATGTGATACACAAAATAAATTATAATGAGCAGAAATTTATTTCTTACTGTTCTTGCAGGTTGCAAAGTCCAAGATCAAGGGACTGGAATCTTATGAGGGCCTTCTGCTATGAGAGTCACATGGCAGAAGGGCAAGAGAAGACAAGAGAGAATGCAAGAGGAGGAAAAACTCATCCTTTTATGATGGCACTAATTCCACTCATGAGGGTGTAGCCCTAATGGCCTCATCACCTCTTAAAGGACCTACTTCTTACTTCTGTTACACTGACAAATTGCAACATGAGTTTTGGAAAGGACAAACATTCAAACCATAGAATTATGCTCCTGCCCACCCCCACCTAAACTCATGTCCTCACACACAAAATACATTCGTTGCTTCCCAGTAGTCCCAAAAGTCTTAACTCATTCTAGCCCCAGCTCAGAAGTCTAAAGCCCAGAGTCTCATCTAAATCAAATATGGGTGAAGCCCAAGGCACAATTCATCTTGAGGGAAATTCTCCTCCAGCTGTGAGTCTGTGAAATCAAAACAAATTATGGGCTTCCAAGACACAATGGTAGGACAGACATAGACTAGACATTCCCATATCAAAAGGGGTAAATACGCAAGAAAAAAAGGGGTAACTGGTCCCAAGCAAGTCCAAACCCCAACAGGGAAAACAACATTAAATCTTAAAGCTGGAGACTAATCTTTCTTGACTCCATGTCCCTGGGCACAATGGGGTGGGGGTTGGGCCCCCAACACCTTAGGCAACCCTGCTTTACAGCTTTACTGGACTCAGTCCATGTAGGAGTTCTCACAGGTTGGAGTCTCATTCCTGCAGCTCTCCCACACTGTCATTGCTCACTGGTAGCTCTACAGTTTTGGGGTCTTGGGAGTAGCCCCATCCCCACAACTCTACTAGGCCTCATGGGGATTCTCAACAATGGTTTTTACCTCTTAAAACAGTTACAATGGCAATTAAATTTCAACATGAGTTTTGCAGTGGACAGACAGTCAAACCACAGCACCAATGTTTTACATGAGGAATGGGTGGATTGTAGATAAGGCTATTTCAGCAAATATTATTATTATTAGAGATTTCACTATTTCAAGAAGAATGAAACCAGAGACTGTATCATTCATGGCTTTATTACTTATTGTCAGAAATCCTTTATCAGCTCACTGGCACAAGCTAGACATAGAATCCTACTTAAAATTGACATTTAGACAGATTGCTGCATAAAAGAGTCAGGATTAGTAGAAGTGATCTTCCTATTAAATTTTGTACTAGGTTAAAATGGAAAGGCTCTACACTGCCCTCATTTCCATTTCTATCTCCACCCTTTCACTTGTTTCTCAGTTATCTGATAGTTCTCTTAAAGGGTTGGATGCGTTTATCCTTTCTCAGTGGATAGAAAACAAATTCTTTTTGTGATTTAAAAAAAGTTATTATTTGAAAGAAAAGTAGCTGAAATAAACAACTGGCCCTGTTAGCCAAGTACGTCAGATGGAATTTTTAATATTAATTACACTAAGTCAACTCTATTTTTGGCTGTATCCTCTAACCCTGCTTGTTTACTTTTAATTAATAAATAATTTATCCTGTCAAGTATACTAGGAAGTAGTATTACCGAAGCAAGGTGTGTGGGAGATTTACTGAATTTTTTTTTCCTTGGCTGCTGTTGTTGCTTAGGGGTTATAGGTGTTTTAAGCTTTTTTCAGCCTAAAATCATTACAGTCATGCTGTATGGAACAAAGAGAGGGTAGACAGGTATATAGCTTTGCTGAGCAGTGATGTTTAAGCTGAGATCTGAATGACAGCAGGGTTACAGTCATGGGATGATATGCAGGAAAGGTGTTTTAAGTACAGGGCCAGGTTCACCGGCAGAGTTGACCTCAGGAGGAGATTTCTGTGTCTGTGCAGAAGTTGCTCTTTATTTATGCACTCCTTCCCAATGGAGCTCAAATACAGCCTCAGAAACCTTCTCTATGTAGACTTCAGGCAGCAATTATCAATAAGTCAGACTTTTATTTTAGAAATAAAACCAACCCCTGCCCTAGTAATAACAGGATTTCAGGGGCAATGGAAAACACCTTTTGTTCCTACTTTGACTTTCTTCTGCCCTCCCCCAGTAAAGATTACACTATCCAATCTTGTCACTGTTATGTGATATTATTTTTGACTGACAACACTATCATCCCTTCAGCAATTAGAAAGTGGAAATTGATGCTTATACATCCTTTCGACCTTTCTTCCTATCTGTTCTCTCTTCATGTCCCCTCTATGTCATCCCCTTATGCTCTTACCTTACCTTACCTTACCTTAAAGAAACTTACCTTAAGATAACTCCCTCCTAACATATCTTAATGTAATAAAAGCCATCTGTGACAAACCCACAGCCAACATAATACTGAATGAGGAAAAGTTGAAAGTATTACCTCTGAGAAATGGAACAAGACAAGGATGCCCACTCTCACCACTTCTATTTGACACAGTACTGGAAGTTCTAGACAGAGCAATCAGACAAGAGAAAGAAATAAAAGGCATCCAAATTAGTAAAGAGGAAGTCAAACTGTTGCTGTTTGCTCATGATGTGATTGTATACCTAGAAAACTCTAAAGACTCCTTCAAAAAGCTCCTAGAACTGATAAATGAATTCAGTAAAGTTTCAGGATACAAAACTAATGTACACAAACCAGTAGCTCTGTTTTACACCAACAGAGACCAAGCTGAGAATCAAATCAAGAACTCAACCTGTTTTACAATAGCTGTAAAAAAAATCCTTAGGAATATACCTAACTAACCAAGGAGGTGAAAGACATCTACAAGGAAAACTACAAAACACTGCTGAAAGAAATCATAGACAACACAAACAAGTGGAAACCCAACCCATGGTCATGGATGGGTAGAACCAATATTGTGAAAATTACCATACTGCCAAAAGCTATCGACAAATTTAATGCAATTCCCATCAAACTATCACCGTGGTTCTTCACAGAACTAGAAAAAACAATTATAAAACTCATATGGACCAAAAAAGAGCTCACATAGCCAAAGCAAGACTAAGCAAAAAGAACAAATCTGGAGGCATCACATTACCTGACTTCAAACTATTCTATAAGGTCATAGTCGCCAAAACAGCATGGTACTGGTATAAAAATAGGCACACAGACCAATGGAACAGAATAGAGAACCCAGAAATAAAGCCAAATACTTAACAGCCAACTGATCCTTGACAAAGCAAACAAAAACATAAAGTGGGGATAGGAGACCCTATTCAACAAACGGTGCTGGGATAATTGTCAAGCCACACGTAGAAGAATGAAACTGTATCCTCATCTCTCACTTTATACAAAAATCAACTCAAGATGGATTAAGGACTTAAATCTAAAACCTGAAACCATAAACATTCTAGAAGATAATGTTGGAAAAACCCTTGTAGACATTGGCTTACCCAAAGACTTTATGACCAAGAATGCAAAAGCAAATGCAACAAATACAAAGATAAATAGATGGGACTTAATAAAACTACAAAGCTTCTGCACAGTAAAAGAAACAGCAGAGTAAATGGACAACCAACAGAGTGGGAGAAAATCTTTGTAATGTATATATCCGACAAAGGACTAATATCCAGAATCTACAAGGAAACCAAACAAATTAGCAAGAAAAAACCAAACAATCTCATAAAAAAGTGGGCTAAGGACATGAATAAACAATTCTCAAAAGAAGATGTACCAAATGGCCAAGAAACATATGAAAAAGTACTAAGCATCACTAGTGATCACGGAAATGCAAATCAAAACCACAGTGTGATACCGCCTTACTCCTGCAAGAATGGGCATAATCAAAAAATAATAATAATTAATGTTGGTGGGGATGTGGTAAAAAGGGAACACTTTTACACTGCTGGTGGAAATGTAAACTAGTACAACCACTATGGAAAACAGTGTGGAGATTCCTCAAAGAACTAAAAGTAGAACTACCATTTGATCTAGCAATCCCACTGCTGGGTATCTACCCAGAGGAAAAGAAGTCATTATACGAAAAAGATACTTGGATGCATATGTTTACAGCAGCACAATTCACAATTGCAAAAATAAGAAGCCAGCCCAAATGCCCATCAATCAAGGAGCGGATAAAGAAATTGTGGTATATATATATATATATATATATATATATATATATATATATATATATATATATATGCCATGGAATACTACTAAGCCATAAAAAAGGAACGAAATAATGGCATTCACAGCAACTTGGTTGAAATTGGAGACCATTATTCTAAGTGAAATAACTCGGGAATGGAAAACTAAACATCACATGTTCTCACTTATAAGTGGGAGCTATGCTATGAGGATGTAAAGGCATAAGAATGATACAGTGGACTCTGGGGACTCAGGGTAAAGGGTGGGAGGTGGTTGAGAGACAAAAGACTACAAATTGGGTACAGTCTATACTGCTTGGGTGATAGTTGCACTAAAATCTCAGAAGTCACCACTAAAGAACTTATTCATATAAGCAAACACCACCTGCTCCCCCAAAACCTATAGAAATAAAAAATAAAAATAAATTTAAAAACAAACAAACAAAAAAACTCCTCCTAAAACTGTTACTTGTAAAATCTGCCCTTTTATCTTCCCGACCTTTTAAGGTGCGGTCTAGGCCTTCTGCATACACATATTACGCATGCACATACTGACCACCTATTTGAATCTTAATCCTTAGCAGAGTGGCTTTCATCCCATTTACATTCTATTGATATTGCTGCTATTTTCCCTTAATCGAGGACTAGCAGTTGTACAGAATTTGTGGCAAAATACATAATACACATGTACACATACCTCTTTAGGTGATTAAATGGATACATATATTCATCCAATTTCTCTGCCAGAAACTACGGATAAAGAGATTAACTAATTTATAGAAGAACACAGAGATAATAAGTGGAAGAGCAAAGAATCAGTCCTGATCTAATCTTAAAGCCCCTTTACTGCCTTGAAAGACTTCCTTCATGCTGACTTTTCTTCTAGCCCTTATATTCCTCAATCCAACACTGCCTGAAAGAACTTTCTGGCATGAAAAATTTGTTCTATAACTGCACTATTTTTTTTCTGGAAGCCATTTGCCGTATAAGAGCAAGAGCACAGGTCCTGGGGGCAGGGCACAGTTGTGAGTTCAAGAGGCTGGAGGAATACTGCAATGGCTACAGCACAGAGAGTGGTGGGAGATCACATCAAATGATGAGCAAGGCCCTCATTGTAAGGCTGTGTGGGTGAAATTTGGATTTCATTCTGAGTGCCACAGTGAAGCAGTAACAAAACCCTTTCCTGAGGAGCCTCTTGACTTTCACTCCTATTGAAACCATCATGCCCTTTATAGGTTCTTCAGCTTGTGAGAAAGGATATTGCCTGAATTAAAAGAACTGGCAATAAGTGAAAATTATTTAGAGAACAGACAGATAAAACAAAATTCTCAGAATCAGTTCAGTACTTCATGAACAGGGCAGCCAGTTACGTATTCAACTGTGAAAGACTGTCCATTCCCAAGGTTTTGACTTCAGATTATTTCAGGCCTGGTAGAACTTGGTTATACCAGTGGGATCTTTTATAGAGGTTGTAAAAACTTATCTCTGTTTTGGGGCTAGAATCTTTATCTAGGTGTTGCACAGAGTGTTGACGCTGGAGCAAGCTGCTCAGGTTCAAATCTCAGCTTTTCATTTACTAGCTAAATATACTGAACAGTTGTTTTATGCTTCAGTTTCCTCATTGGTAAAGTAGGGATAATAGTATTTAACTTACAGGTTGATGGGGGATTAACAGTACATATATGTCATTTATGACAGGTTGCTAGAGCAGTGCTAGTAATGTCAGCTTTGGTTATTATTATCATTATTAATATTTATCTCTCCTATTCTCTCTTTTTAATAGGGTTTTGAACTTTTGGGTTCACTGTTTTTCACATAAACATTTATTTAGGAACTAAATATCAAACTTGCCTCTTTCCCTTAGCATGCTAAGATAAATGGATATTCCTGAGTCTGAGGGAAGTTAAGGACAGAGTTTGAACCTAAGTTTTATTCTTATAATAGCAATTTTTTGGGAAGGACCCAGGGAGCAGTGTTTTCTTTCCAATGAGATGTCAAACTCTCGGATGATATGGAGCTTGTGTTGTAGAGAGATGATTAGTATTTTTGGAACCTCACCCTTTTGTCTAACACTTTGTATAGAGTGACAATAATGAAAGGAAGACTAAACATAGAGTCAGGATTACAGGGTTCAAATCTAAATTCTGTTCCCAACTAGCTGTGTGACCTTGGACAATGGAGCACCATTATAAAATTGGAGGAGGGTTTAATTACATAATCTCTGAAGCACTTTCTGGTATTAACATTATACAGTTCAGAGTATATTTCCTACAAACCCTTGCTTTAGGCAAAGTCTCTACATAAGGAGAAGTCTCGGAGAAAGGGTAATAGAAAAAAAGAGCAATATAAGGGAAAACAAAAACAAAGGAGAACTAGATTATTAGGAAAGAAGTATAATAAGAAAAGGAAACTAAAGAAAAGCAGGTTTAGTCAGATAACTTGCTAACCTTTTAAATTGAACACTCACCTTATGCCATGCCCTGGGGATGTGACAGTGAACAGGCCTTTGTAGAATTTACAGAGTGTTGGGGAATATGTAAACAGGTGGCTATAAAGACAACATAAAATGCTAACGTCACTTGTAGGATAGAGTGAGGCTTCCCTGAAAAGAATGGTGGAGTCTGAGGGCAAAACATTCTAGGTACAGAAGGTATCTACGAAGGTCCTGGGATAGGAGAGAGCTGGTATTTTCAAAAACACAGGGATTTTATGCATGGAGGCGATCAGGAAAAAAAAATGAAGCAAGAATAAATGAGCATATTCTCCAAGGACCAACTAACAGGGTTGAGATAAATATTATCCATTTTATCCCCTCCTGCATCTGCTGTAATGTAGGATGGCCTGAAATGAAACACCCATGTGGTTTGACCCTCCCCAGTTGCTATTGCTCATCCTATAATAAGCAGTAACACAAATCCTAGCCTAGTGATTCCCCAGTGAATCCTTTCCTGGCCATCTTAAGGCAAAAAAAGAGCCTTGTGTTTTGACGGGGAAATTCTTTAGTACAGAAAAAAAGTGAGGAGAGAAAGTTCAATATGCTTCCCTCTGTTTCCCTCCTACTCTCATATCTGCATCCCATGCAAAGCATTCCCCTTTTTCTTAGATTCTATCTTCCTCCCTCAAGAACAGCTTTTACCTCCCCGTTTTTTTTTTTCTTTTTCTACTTTTGGCCCAAATCATAGTACTGAAAATGTAAAACCTGCAGTTTTGGGTATGTTACCAAAGGAAACAGTTTTACTTAAAATCTTGTTTTTGCCAAAATATTTTCAAAGTAGCTGGAGAGCTGTCAAACCACAGTGGCTCTCAGCTGCGTTTCCTTCTAGCATTTCCCCAGGTTCTCCCAGCACAGCACTCAGTAATTGGATATTATTTGAGGAGAAGGGAAAAAAATGCTGCACGAGAGAGTTTGTAGATTTAAGAATTATTCTCCGGGTGCTGAAGGCCAGAGATCCAGAGGTGCTCAGCTGCCAAACTCCAGGGCTGCGTGACTGTGTATCATTCCTAGATGTAGCTTTCAGCGGGGAGACCCGGAGGAAACATGCTGGTAACTGTCAATATTTGGATTGCCATTCCAAAGTCTTTAGATTGTTTTCTGCCCTTCCTCATGTGGCTTTGACCAAAAGAATTTATTCTGAGAAAAAAAAGTACTGAAAACTGTTTAAAATGACATGCTTTTTGACATTGCAGGTACTGACAGCCTTCCCCTTCTCCTAACCATCTCTTCTAACCCTGGCTAGCATTAGTGGGTTTTAGGCACCAGGATTATATCTTTAGACAAATTTAAAAGTAGGCAGTTAACTTTTATGCTCCTCTAACAACTTTCTTCAAGGACCTTAGAGGAGGTACCAGCTTAATATTTAAGAACTTATTATTTATTAAGAGGCAGTAGTTACCATGCTCACTTAACTCATCCAGAAACTTAAGTTCAGGAAGTGATATGACTTTCCCAAGATCATACAACAATCCTAAACTGCTTCTTCCTTACATCATGCTTCTAATACATGTTGTTGTAAGATAGAACAAAATTAATTAAATTAAATTATAATAAAAATAATAATTTCAATAACCATATAGGAATCATGATAATTATCAATTATCAAAATGGTTATCACAAATCGACAATAGATGTGGCATCAGGACTCAAGTGCCACTGCTTTCCAAATATTTTTACCAGATCTGCTATGTCATTAGGGTCCTGGTAGGAAACAGATGTTATACTCTGAAGCAGTAACTGAAGAGAGTTAAACGGAGTGGACAGGGTCAAGGGAGCCAATGAGAGGATACAGCAGCCAGGGCTGGTAACAGTGAGAAGCAACTGACACTCCATCAGCCCCAGGCCTGGAGGGGCTGGGAAGGAGCAGTGACGAGAACCCAGTGAAACCTCTCACTACAGCAGAGGGGCTGCCTAACATGAGCTGATGGGGAAAAAACCCAGACCTTGCTTTTCTCTTCTTTCTTCTCTCCTGAAAGGGCCACCCATTGACGAAATCCAACAACAAGCCAGAGGACAAAGAAGACTGAGTGACGATGTCTGGAGGGCTTAGATTTCTTCTCTTAAATACCATTTATGTGCTGATGACAGCCAGTTTTTTTAAATCTCTAGTCTTGAATTTCAGTCTTGAATTTCAATTTTCTTCTAGGTATCTCCTAACTGAACTCCTGACTGTTCATCAAAGTTCATTCCTCCAACAATCCTCTCTATCTCAATTGCTACCATCTCCTACCAAATGCAGGCCAAAAATCTTGGAGACATCCCTAAGTGCTCTTTTCCCCTCCTGACCACCATCCTATCCTTTAGCAAATCTTGTTGACTCTGCTTCCACATACATCCAGAATCCCACTCCTTCTCCCTGCTTTCGACACTACCACCACAATTCTAATAACCAATTGCCTGGAATGTTACACTAGATATGCTGTTTCCACCCCTGCCCTCTTATGGTTTAATCTCAAGACAGAAACTAAAGTGATACTTTGAACAACCTAAGTTAGACCATGTCAGACTTCTATTCAGAATGTCTAATAGCCTTCTACTTCACTCAAACTAGAGTAAGTCAAATCCTTACAACTGGTCTATAAGACCCCACGAGATCTCCCATCCATTCTCTTACCTCTGTGACTTCATTCCCCATTACTCCCCCACTTCTCTTATCCTTTCTGCTAATGCTAAACTCCTTTCTGTGCTTAAAATAAACCAGGTACACTCTTATTTGAAAAAGTATTTGCACTTGTTCAATGTGCCTGGTACACTCTTCCCCCAAGTATCTGAGTGGCTCAGTCCTAAATCTCCTTTGAATTTTTGTCAACTGTCACCTCAAAGAGGCCTTCCCTAACTACCTTAGATTAAAATGCAACTATCCCCCAACCCTAGCATTCCCAACCCATTTCCTCATTTCATTTTTCCCATAATACTTAAGACCATCTGACACATTGTATATTTTACTTTTTGTTTGTTTATGACCTGCCTTTCCCTGCTTGCACTCTTATCTCCACTGTGATAAAAGATCCGTAACCCTGACATGCTCATGGGACCATAAGGAGACATGAGCAATTATCTAAGTTTTGTTGCATGAAATAAATCTATTTCCTCATAGCACTTGATAGTACTTGCACAGGATTGCATAAATGCTTCCTAGCTTGAACCAGAAGTTTTAAACATACTTAGACTAGGGTTCAAGTATGATTTGGGCAATGTTTGAGTCCTTTATTTCTTGATAATATGAGAAAAGGCTCCAAAGTAGTTGAGCTATGTAAGGATTCTAGATATTCTGTCTAGTCGTGGCAAATGTTCAGTCAAAGAAAGCCCCGGGGCTTAAACATTAGTCCCAGCCTAATGTTTTTTTTTTTTTTTGAGACAGAGTCTCGCTCTGTCGCCCAGGCTGGAGTGCAGTGGCGGGATCTCAGCTCACTGCAAGCTCCGCCTCCCGGGTTCACGCCATTCTCCTGCCTCAGCCTCCCAAGTAGCTGGGACTACAGGCGCCCGCCACTACGCCCGGCTAATTTTTTGTATTTTTAGTAGAGACGGGGTTTCACCGTTTTAGCCGCCGGGATGGTCTCGATCTCCTGACCTCGTGATCCGCCCGCCTCGGCCTCCCAAAGTGCTGGGATTACAGGCGTGAGCCACCGCGCCCGGCCCCCAGCCTAATGTTTAAGATTTTAGTGTATAAGACCTTAAAAAGTAGTAAGGTATTGTAAGGCCTCACACAATCTGAAGGTCAAAACTGGTAAAATAACAAATTATTGAAAAATATTTCTAACCTTTTTCCCTTTGCTGTATTAAACAGATATCAATAAGTTGATATTTGCTGAATGAGTACACAAAACTTTGCTAACTTTCAGCAGAGTGGAGAACTCGAAAAGAAGTTAATAACCACTGAGAGGTTTCCTTATGCAGAGAATAGAATAGGCACTAGCCATATAATGTGATTTCAGGGACCCAAGAGGCCCCAAAGTGAAAAGAAATCCTTCCTTATAAGCTTGCTGATACATAAAATTCCACATTCCACAGTCTAACTTTTACTTAATCATTAAATCCTGATTAAATGCAAATATCCCCTGTGTGGGGTCCTCCATCAGTTATTTATTCCTCAGAGTAAAAAAAATTGAGAACAGGTTTTGCCAAGGGGCATATGAATAGTTATGAGCAGCTTGAGGAAGCTGTGATCCAGGAAACAAAAGATTAAGTGGCTCAGATGGCAAACTTCACCAACTTAATAGTTTTGCCTGTATTTAATCTCACTATATTGGTTTTAAAGATTCTTTATCTCCAAGATTGATATGGTTTGGCTGGGTCCCCACCCAAATCTCATGTTAAACTATAATCCCCATGTGCTGAAGGAGGGCCTGGTGGGAGGTAATTGAGTCATGGGGGTGGACTTTGCTCTTGCTGTTCCTGTGATAGTGAATGAGTTCTCATGAGATCTAGTTGTTTAAAAGTGTGTAGCGCTTCCCACTTTGCACTCTCTCTCTCTTTCCTGCTCCACCATGGTAAGACATGCTTGCTTCCCCTTCACCTTCCGCCATGATCGTAAGTTTCCTGAGGCCTCCCAGCCATGCTTCCTGTTAAAAGTGCAGAACTGTGAGTCAATTAAACCTCTTTTCTTCATAAATTATCAAGTCTCAGGTAGTTCTTTATAGGAGTGTGAGAACGGACTAATACAAAATGTAATGTCTTTTGGGGTAAGTTGTCATTTCTGAGACACAGGTCAGCTTTCATATATCTGGACATGGGGCTGGCGGGTGTAGAGGAGTGGTAACTATCAGACATGTGAATTATACAATCCTTCTTTTATTTCCTATCTGACCCTTGTACTTCTCATTCTGTCTTTATAATGAATTTAGCAGAATCAATGAGACTAGTAGCAAATTTAGTCAAAGAAGTTGATAGTAATGACTAAAATCCTTTCAGTACCCTTAATGCATGGATGGATTTCAATTACTCAGCCTCTTTTTCCCATTATCTAAGTTCTCACACTAGAAGATAAATCACATTGTGATATGTACTCATTAGGCTAATCTTCATAACAATTCTCCTCTAAGAAACACTGGGTCACTTGATCACCACCAAATATTGAATTATATTAAAGGACTTATAAAGAAATATGGTAGAGTAAATATATAATTACAGAAATTCCCTTGTTGATGGCCCAGGAAAGATGACTGAAGGGGAGGTGAATGAAAAGCCAGAAAAACTAAGGAGAGTCACAATTTTGTTTTTTCCTGGCTTAAAGGAATGTGAGAGAAATACCTCAGGAATAATTATCTGGAACTGACTGTCTATAATAGATAAAAGTTTGGCAGGAGAAAACATTGGAATAAGAGGAAACTGCCACTCCCCAAACCACTGGATACTTTTTCATAGTAGCTAAAAAGCATCACATTGTATAGAAAACCACTAAATTTTGAGTTTATCTCCAACATTCCCTCAAATGAGAGGAGAAATGGCTGGAAAATGGTGAGTTAAGCAATTGTTGTTTTCATATATCCAAAGACTCAGTGCAGCGAAACTGGTGGACTCACCCTAAGATGGGGAAATGATCCAAAGTTCCCCCACAAATAGACAGTATAAGATCTAGTACAAAAGGTTTAACAAACTTCCAAAGAAAGAGATTAAAGATAAAATCCTTGAATAGAACTGATGCATAGCTCTAGTCCCTCTCTCCTCCATGCTACCACTCCCCTTCTCCAGGTAACTAAAAATTCTAACATAAAATCCAGCCAATAAGATCAAGGGGGATTTACAAGAAGGACCAGAGATAAAGTGGAAAGGTAGGCAAGGAGAATCTACCCATATATTTGGGAAATGAGTGGAGGGAGTAGAAAACGTGAAGCAGCTACAACAAAACAATACAGCAAAAGAAAATAAAATTTTGACAATAAAAAACAAATAACATGTAAGCATATATTCTGCAACCTACAAAAATTATCCAGTCTGGATGAAAGACATTGGTAATAAAAAAATCTTTATTAATTAAATAAAATTAAGGAAAAGATAAAATGTTTGAAAGAAGAAATTCAAGATGAAATGATGGTGACACAATGAGGTAAAAATGTGACTGGAGAATGAACTGGGGACAAAATAAAACTAAGAACCAATTAATTATTTTTAAGTAACAACAAATAAGTGATTGTAGCAAAAGACCAAGTTGGTGACAATCTCAAGAAAATACTAACAGAATGCCTAACATAGATAAATGGTAAAAGGAAGTAAAGAGAAGCTATGGTGGGCCGGGCACGGTGGCTCACACCTGTAATCCCAGCACTTTGGGAGGCTGAGGCGGGCGGATCACGAGGTCAGGAGATCGAGACCATCCTGGCTAACACGGTAAACCCCATCTCTACTAAAAATACAAAAAATTAGCTGGGCGTGGTGGTGGGCGCCTGTAATTCCGGCTACTCAGGAGGCTGAGGCAGGAGAATGGCGTGAATCCAGGAGGTGGAGCGGGCAGAGAGCTGAGACCAAGCCACTGCCCTCCAGCCTGGGTGATGGAGCAAGACTCTGTCTCAAAAAAAAAAAAAAAATGAAGCTATGGTGAACTAATAAAGGAGATGAGGTGACATGTGAATAAATTGTTTCCCTAAGTACGTAGAAATGATGGGAAAAATGCAAAGATAAAAAGAAAAAAAACTAAATTTTCCAATTGCAAATGCACTGTATTGTTTGAGGATGATTTGAAGAAAATGATCACTACTGAGACATAGTCTATTGAAAATACTGGTTTTAAAGGACTTTTTTTTTTAAAAAAAGACTTCAACTTCCAGTTTCAACTCCAATACATAATGAGCTTGGAAGTTGACACTCTTGTCCTTACAAGAAGAAAAACATTGAACAAAATGCAGGTCATTGACTCTTCTTGGATCTGTCAATGAGGTTTCAAGGCAAACTGTCATCCTACAATCTGAAGAGACAGACAAACACAGAGAATTACAGCTGAGATTAGTTTACCTGAAGTAGAAGCCACTGAACCCTTAAACTGGTAGGAAAAACTAAATAGTGATTGGGCAAATTGGTGGAGGCTGAGTGTGGAAGAGAGAAACTCTTGGGGGTTATAGTGTTAAGGGGCTCCTGCTCTTTCATGGCTTTTACCTCCAGAAACACTACCAGGTTCCCACAGTGCGGAGCCCAGAAGGAAGGTAAAAATAACCACCTGAAACACACTCAGAACATTCTTCACCACAAAGTACTCATAGAAAAATACTTTACCAGAGCTCAGTCCCACCTAGGGGAAGGGCAATTACCCAACTTCAGTCCTCTCTAGACTTTCTGTCTCATCTAAGTGAGACAAAAGCTAAGAAATACCTGTGAAGTTTCCAGCCCAAGGACACAGGCCTACAAAAAGACAGATTTGATAATAATATTATAGAACTCTTCTCCAGTCCCTCCAACACCCTACCTCATGAAAAAGTTTCAAAAGAAATTAAGGCTGGAAAGTGCCTACTTTACTGCTCTCTAATCACACACACACACATACACTCATCTTGGTGGTTCTGTTTCTCTGACTGAAACCTGAATGATACAGAATTTAGAACTGTCACAAAAAAGGTAAGTATATGAAGTAATGCATGTGTTAATTAGCTCAATTTAGCCCTTCCACCATGTATACATATTCCAAAATGACATGTGCACAATAAATACATATATTTTTCATTTCTCAATTAAAAAATAAAAGTTTGAAATTAAAAATAGTATTGAAAGCAGTTTCTAAGAAACACGGTCTTAAATATTAGTTGCTAAAGTGACTCTGGGTTTTCTCAGTGCTCTGGTCTGTCTGCTTTAAAGGCATTAATGACTGTTTCCAGTGGTATAGACAGCATTAATAGTCTATTAAATGCAGTGGCAAAACAGTTACTCAAATTATCACCTGGACATACCTGTAATAATATGTCTACAGAAAGAGAAAGCAGGGGTTGTGGGTGACAAAATATTTTCTGCTCTAGAGCATTTAAATAAAAAGTGTGCTGGAGCAATTAGGGAAACAAAATTATGAATGAAGGGCTTTAAGTTCCCAGTTCACAGTACTACTTCAATGACTACTCCCAAGGATACTTATCTCCTGGGGCTGCAAGGCTGAGATTTCTGAAAACCAAATGCAAAGTCTAATACCATGTGTACCTCAATTACAGAATAAATGTCTTTGGCAGTAGAAGTAGCCCTCCACTCCTGTGTGAAGAGCTGTCCCCCTTGCATGAAGAACTGGAGGAGGCTCTGATTCTCCTCAGAACATTTCCCTACCACCTGTCATTGCTTCTGCTACTGTAACTAGATACAAGTCTCAGTGTCACACAATCCTTTGGGGGGTCACTTCACCAACCTCTGTTGCCAGCAGTGCCTCTGCTTGAGTTTTGCTTGTTGTGCCTGCTGGGCTTGTCCCGCCCACTCAACCTGTCAGGATGCACTTGGCTTGTGCTACAGGCCTGGATCCCACACCTACTGAGGGCAAGCCAGGAGTGAAGAGGTGAGGGGTATGTGAGGAAGCAAGTGCAGGGTCTGGCCACTGCACACAGCCAGGTACACTGGCTGCCGCGGTGGGGTAGGTAGCTCCAGGCACTGGTTCTGTGTGAGGCTGTGGCTAAACCAGGCGTACCTCAAGCAGCTTCTACTGTGGACACTGGCATCTGGATGAGGAGAATGCAGTGGTGCCTGAAAACTCGAAGACATCAGCAACACTGGAACCCCAAGGGGTGGGGGTGGGCATGTTACAGGTCTCTTGTTCCCACCACCCACAGCATGTTGAATGACGAAGTGGGTGTGTTTTAGCTAGTTTGTGTTACAGCTTGTTCAGTCCCACTGACTCACTCTGGCCCATGGTTCCTGGGCTGGCCCGGTTCTGCTGCTGCTTCCCATTACATGGGGCAGCTTCCTGACACCAGTTAAAGATGGGAGGGCTATAGTGTTACAGTACTGGCTCAGGAAGTCCCAAGGTCTGGACCCCCAGAAGGGTCACACTTCACTCCCACAGTCCCACAAATGGGAGCATGTTACTGCCCGCAGCTCAGCAAGCCAGCCAGGAAAGTGTTACAGACATTTTCATGCCTGCCATTTAGCAGGTCCCGAGTTATTGTCCCATGTTCAGGAAGAATGAGGTTACACAGACAACTGGAGGGTAAGCAAGGCAGAGAAGTGCTTTATTGAGTGACAGAACAGCTCTCAGCAGAGGGGAGACCTGAAGGGAGTAGCTCCTATGCACAGGCAGGTAGTCCTGACATGTGGCTGAGTCTGGGGTTTTTATGCGCTCAGAATCGAGGAAGTGCATGCTGATTGGTCCATGGGTGGGCCCAGGAAGAGCACTATCTGACTAGCTGAAAGGCATCAAGGAAGTTATCACACTGGGCCATGAAATCCACCCAGAATTGGCAGCCCAGCCCCCAGGGTTCAGGCCATCTCTGGCTTAAGGTTTGGGCCTCACTGGGGACCCACTCCTTCCCGCCTAGGAGCCTGTCTGCCTCCTGCCACCATTGTCAGCAAGTCTAAGGATGAGATAAAGAGGATGATCTGAGAGGAGCCACAATACACAGCAAAAAGTATCGCATGATTTTGCCAATTTCTATCAATAGAAACCCAGAGAATGTGTGTAGGAATGGATCTTATGGTTATCCTAGTCACTTTGTGTTGCTGTAACAGAATACCACAGAAATGATAATACATGAAGAAGTTTAGAGTCTGGCAGAGAGTATGGTGAGAAGTCAAGCAGGGAAGCTCCCTCACAGGCAGGTAAGCTGGGGACCTGGGACAGGCACAGCCTCTGCCTTGCAGACACCTGGAGCTCTCACTGTGGCACCCACCGGCCAGGCCTAGGCCTTGAAGCAGCTGTGAACCTCTCTCCACCCCACTTTGGTGACTTGATGGCACCAGTGGCCTCTCCGGGCCTGGCCCCACCAGCGGCCAGTGTCTCCTTGTCCAGCCCTGCTGCACTTGGATGTAGCACCTTTGGGTGGCAGCAAGTGTGGCAGGGTGGGAAGGTGCCCCACATGCATTGAGGGCCACCATGGTGTGGGGCAGAAGGAGGCAGGTGTTTGCACCAAGCTAGGCCACCTCCTCAGGCCTAGAGCCATGTAGCTCTGGGTCCTGGCATGACCGCTTTGTCCTAAGAGCGAGTCCAACCTAGTCCTGACAATGAGGAACAAAGGGCTGAACACCTGAAAGGTAAATGAAGCCCCACATGAAAATGGGTGGAACAGTTAGCAGCTGGCAGTCATCCAGTGGTTGTGGTTGGTCTTCATTCCACCAGACCTTAATGTGGGAAGTGAGAAATGGTAGAATGACATGCCACAGTTGGTCCACTGGAAAGGCCCACCACCGTTTGGGAAGATTGGCCATTTATAGACAGGCTGTGTATATAATATGAAAAAGATGCTCTCAACAATCCTTCCAACCTTTTAAAAGAAAAATTTGCTACATCTAGCCTTTCTAGATGAAAAGAGGTTGCTGACATATGATAGAGTTAGAAAACTACACATCCTGTAAAAGCCCACTTGTTTAAAAATATCATAGAAATTAAGGGTATTCTGAAAGTGACTTTTTGAAATAGAGTTGTTAGACCGCCTCTGGAAGTGACACAAGGAACCACACATGTCCATGTTGGTTCAGTGGGTTAGAGGATGGAGGACGTGGAGCAGAAGACTTAAGAAGGAAAGAAGAAGGTTCATGCCAGACTAGTCATATTTAGAAGACATTTTCATATTATAACCATTGTTTTGTATGTGCATTTTATTCCTCACTACTGTATGTATAATTGACAATGATAAGAACTTTTTGAAATATCTTCATGGATGTTCAGGAGTGCCTGATATATGTTGAAAGTAGAGGAGGTAAAAGAACACATTTTGTAAATATCTTTAAAAAATTCATATAAAATGCTTTTTTCAGTGGGGGCAAGGATGGCCAAACCTTTTGAGTAATATACATTGTGTTTGTGCACTGGTTCAAGGGAGAAGGGAGGACAAATGCAATGAGCTGTATGCCAGTGCACCTGTAGTGAGGCACAATTAACCATTGTCTCTTATGTCTATGCATTTTGTTTTACTTATCTGTGTATGTAGTGTATATAAAGGACAAACAAGTCCTAATTTACAATATTTAGTCTTTCTAGATGTTAAAGAGGTTGCTAGTGTATAAAAAGAGTTAGTAAACTAATATATCAAATATATTTTGTCTTAAAATTTACAGGAAAGACTGCTGTTAAAAACACTTAGGAAATGAAATGTTAAAATCCCTCCTAAACATTACAGATGCTTATGACTGGCCACTAGGTTGAGAGAGGTGGAAGGGGAAAGGGCTGTTGGCCAAATGTTCCTATTTAGAAGATACTTTCAAATTATAGTCTTTGTTATGTATGTGCATCACTTATTTAATGCTGGCTTGAGTGGAAAACTGAAGTCCTATTTGAAATACGCAGTGTTTCTAGATGTTTAAAAGTGTGTTAAAAGTAAAGGGCTAAAGTCACATCCTTTACTTATTTTTTTTTGTTATTTCATAAGAGTGGTTGCATTTGGGGAGTGGCTGCATTTAGATATGAGATTGTTAAAGTTGATGTTTTGGAGAGTATGCTGACTGTTCACTGGGTGGTGGCAGGTGGAGGGAGGAGAAAGGATGAGGAGAGAAGGATTATGTGCCCATGAGTTAGGTTAGTCCAGAGGGTTGAACCATTGTACTCTATGTGCATTTTAGTTAATATTGCTGTGTTTAAAGGATAAACAAGTCCTAATGCTCAAAGTATGTTATAAGTAGAGGTAGTAAAATCACTCCTTTATAAATGAATCTTTGTTAGTTTTTAGGAAGCACTGTCTTCTGGGAGTGACTTTTCTTAATCCACCTCTTGGAGGTAGGCATAGTTCTTTACTTAGTCACTGGAATGCTGGAAGATGGAGAAGAGGAAGGGTGAATGGAAGGGCTCTTTGCTAGTATCTCCATATCTACAAGGTGGTTTTAGATTATAACCATAGGTCTATATGTGCATATTTAGTAAAGTGCCTGTGTTTACTGGGATCAAAATTCATTATTATTTTACAACATCTAGACTTTATAGATGTCTGGAGGTGACAGTACATGATAAAAAGTAGAGTTAGAGAATTAGCCAGTTTGTAAACATCTTTTTGTTATAATTGATAGAAAAGATGCATCTTGGACAAGGGATTGTTAAATAATTTCTGAGCAGTATATGTGAGAACTTGTGGATTAGGTTGGCAGTAGAGGGGCAAAAGGAAGCACAAAGGGAGAGAAGTATGAGATGTGTTCTTATTTACATTCTGACAAAAGCTATTGATGTATGTGCATGTCTTTGGCTGGACTATAGGAATACATTAAGTAATCAATGAAATAATACCTTCTTGCTAATATTTTAATGGTAAGGTCTCATAATAAATTTTCTTAAAACATTATACTTAGTATATCCTGTTGCTTTGTGTTTCATTTTAAATTGAGCTTTAAGGGAATGCGGTATTTTAATCAGAATTCTGCCAATGCTTTTATCTAGAACACTGTTGCCATTTTGTCTTCTATCAAGTCTTTGTTCCAAGAAACACAGGATTACATTTTTTTTCTAACAGATTGAGTTAGTGTAATATATTCTTGGTTATCAAAATACTCATATAGCTTTGGGATTTTGAATTGGTAAGTATGTATGATGTGTGAAAAAACATGATACATTTTGTGTGATGTTAATGCCATAAAATTGGATGTTTTGTCTAAACACATACAGGACCTAGAAGGACATTTGAAAACTGTAAACAGCTTCTGATTGTGGATGAGTTTTTTCTTTGCTTCTTGTGTTTTTCAGTTTCCTATAGTGCACACGTTAACTTTAAAAAATAAATATTATATTTTAAAAACCAAAAAAAGAAGTTTACACAGTTCTAGAGGCTGGGAGGTCCAAGAGCATGGCACTGGTATCTGACAAGGACCTTCATGCTGCATTATCCCTTCTTTTTTCTTCTTCATTCTTCTCTTGTAGAAGGGCAAGGGTAAAAGTAAGAGATAATGAGGGCTGGGCTCACTTTTATAACAACACACTTTTGTGAAAACAAACCCCCTCCTGTGATAAAAACATTAAGCCACTATTGTGGGTGGAACCTTCATGGCCTTATCACCTCTTAATAGTCCCACTTATTAATACAACCACAATGGTGATTAGATTTCAACTTGAGTTTGGAGAGGACATTCAAATCATGGAATCAAGGTGGAAGAAATGTAGAATTGCATAAAGATAGTTCTACTGATATGGTTTCATTGGGAGAGATTCCAATTTCAAGGCGTTAGTTCAAAGGGCTGCAAATGGCTTTAAGAGTTTGCTTGGTTGCTTGAATAAAACGTGGCCACAAAGTAACCTAGAATAATGAAGTTGGAATGCCAAAACAAGTAGTGCAAATAGAGAGAGGAGACTGATAAACAGTAGAGAAAAGAGATTGGAGTGCTAGAGTGGATTATTGCAAGTCCTGCCCACCTACCCCTTCCTGTGTCCTCGAGGAGGGTTAACAGAATATGCCCTTTATCAAAGATGTGGAAATAAATTCATGAAGGAAGCACTCAGCATCCTTGAAGCGTTCCATGGTGGTTCTTTACTGGTCAAGAGTTAGGGTGAAAACTGCTATCATCAAACTGGAATTCCTCAAGTCAGTGCAGATGGTGGCACTCTGGGATGGTAGTGGTGGCGCTTGTTTGCCACAGACAGGGTGAATTTGGTTACTGTAATAAACAATAAAGCCAAAGCAGTAATCAGAACAGTCTGACTTGCAGAGATCTTTAGCGTTGGCTAGTTGATAATGGCATTCCTAAAACTGAATAGATAGTTATACTACTAAACTCTTACTTACTCTGTATAGGCAGAAAAGCTCTATGTCTAGTGAAGAGAGGTCTGATTTGAGTCATTTAAACAGAAAGTTAGGTCTCAATCAATTTCAAGGCATGAACTTTTTCACAGACTCAGAGCCCCTTTAATGTTGGTGAGCCCAAGTTCCCTTGAAGAACGTGCAAGGTTCTTTTGAAGGACTCTTCTATACTGCCAAAAATCTATATGGTTAATCTTCCTCCCAGCCTTCCATGCAGCTGTGCACTGAGGAAGTTAAAATAATCAGAATTACTGGAGGATCACTGGACACTGGCTCTGAACTGATACTAATTCCCAGAGACCCAAGCATCACTGTCGCCCACCAGTCAGAGCAGGGGCTTATGGAGAATCAGGGGACCAGTGAAATTTTGGCTCAGGTCTATTGCAGTGTGCCCAGTGGATCCCTGAATTGATCTTGTGGTTATTTCCGAAGTTCTGGAATGAATAATAGGAAAACATTACTCCACAGTTGGTAGAGTCCTTATATTACTTCCCTGACTCATGAAGTGAGGGCCATTATTATAGAAAAGGTCAAGTGCAGGCCACCAGGACTGCCTGTATCTCCAGAAATAGTAAGCCAAAGAGAAATACTGCTTTCCTGAAAGATTGTAGAGATTAGTACCCACCAAATCTCTATTGAACTTAACTAGCTGACATGTCCAGAATACAGATGGATCTTAATAATGACAGAGAATATATAATTACCCTAAAATTAATCAGACAATGACTCCAATTGTAGCAAAGAAAATTGCCATTAGGTAACCCAGAATTATCAAAATTTAGATATCACCTGGTTGACCACTGGCTCTAGCTCCCTCTCAAGACTCCATTCTCAAATGACTAAAAGTTCTTATCTTCTCAGGTCGAGGGACATGGAGTGGAGGGACAAACATGTATATGGCAGAAAGCCCTATCTAAAGATACAGAGAAAACAAAGTGAGTTGCTATGTCCTAATAATTCTCCTGGGCCAATATTCCCAGATCTGGCTAACAAAACAGGTACCAAATAAGAGATTTGGAATCACAGCTGCTGTGCTGTAAGTTCCAGCCAGCCACCAGGTCCAAAATTGTCCCCATTGATATGTAAATGAGAATAGCAATTGCCATGAAGACTTGGGATACATTTGGATTTTACAAGTGGACATTAGAACTCCCATATATAGACTTGGGCCAGATAGCTCATTAACCTTACAATAATATAATCCCACATTTTATGGAGTTAAAATTTTTGAAACCATCTATTGTGTTGTGGCAGAGTTTAACGATAATACTATAATTCAGGAAAATTTGTCATTTATAAAATTAATCCAAAATTAATAGTTCTATTTTTAACACTAATAGAAAAATAATGAGAATATACCCTTCACAATTGCAACTACAAGAGAGAAAATATCCAGTAATAAATTTCTTCTATCAGAAGAAAACTTTATAACACTTTTGTTTACTTCCTCAATGAATAAAAGTGTTTCCACCACGAAATGCTTCAAGGATGCTGAGCGCTTCCTTCATGAATTTATTTCTCACATCTTTGATAAAGGGCACATTCTGTTGACTCTCCTGGAAGACACAGGAAGGGGGTAGGTGGGGAGGACTTGCAATATCCTTCACAATATTTCTTCACAATATTAAGAAAGAAAAGTCTTAATATTGTGAATATGTCAATTCATATAAAATAATCTATCGGTTGACTATATCTAGTTAAATACTACTAAATAACTTTAGATTTCTATTTTGTACATGGTAGGGGGTGGAATTTGACAAAATGATTTGAAACCCAGATATCAGTTAGAGCTTTCTAAACCTTTTAGCTATGTTTAGAATTGCCTCAATCTAATTTTATAATCTAAGAAAACACTAAACCTTTCCAAGATTTCTGTAAATTCCTTGGGTCTATATTCCCATGATATTATTGTTTTTGGGCCTTATATGTTCAATTAATGTATTTTTTTTCTACAGCACATTGATCTCACTTTGATATTCAGCTCCCCTTTAGTTTCTACAGCTAAAATCAGTCACATGAAGAATTTGTATGGAGATTCTTTAAAAAACTAAAAATAGAACTATTATAAGATACAGCAATCTCACTGCTGGGTATATATCTAAAAGAAAGAAAATCAGTATATCCAAGAGATATCTGCACTCCAATGTATTTACAGCATTACTCACAATAGCCAAGATATGGAGCATATCTAAGTGTCCATCCACATAAAGAAAATATGGTGTATGTGTGTGCATATACATATATATACACACAATGGAATATTATTTAGACATTAAAAAATGAGATCCTGTCATTTGCAGTAGCATGGATGGAACTGGACGACATTATGCTTAGTGAAATAAGCTAGGCACAGAAAGACAAAGATTGTACATTCTCACTCATATGTGGGAACTAAAAAAGTGGATCTCGCAGAGGTAGAGAGTAGGACTGTGATAACCAGAGGCTGGGAAGGGAGAGCAGGGGATGAAGAGAAGTTGGTTAATGCAGTGGTCCCCAACCTTTTTGGCACTAGGGACCAGTTTCATGGAAGAAAATTTTTCCATGGATGGTGAAGGGGAGGGGGATGGTTTCAGGATGAAACTGTTCCACCTCAGATTATCAGGCATTAGTTACATTCTCATAAAGAGTGCTCAACCTAGATCCCTCACATGTGCAGTTCACAATAGGGTTCATGATCCTATGACAATCTAATGCCACCACTGATCTGACAGGAGGCGGAGCTCAGGCAGTAATCCTCGCTCACCAGCTGCTCACCTCCTGCTGTGCAGCCCAGTTCCTAACAGGCCACGGACCAGTACCAGACTGCAGCCTGGAGGTTGGGGCCCCCTGAGTTAATGGGTACAAAAATTCAGTCAGATAAAAGGAATAAGTTCTAGTATTTGATAGTACAGCAGGAAAATTATAATTAACAGTAATTTATTGTATATTTCAAAATAGTCAAGAAGAAAATAATTGTAATGTTCCCAACACAAAAAAGATAAAAGTTCGAGGTGACAGATATCCCAAATACCCTGATTTGATTTTTACTCATTGTGTACATGTATCAGAATGACACATGTACTTCAAAAATATGTACAACTATGATGTCTCAATTAAAAAGACAACAATAACAACAATTTGTATATTCAGCTGGCTTTAAAAATCAGAATAGCACGCAGAAGGACTTTTATCACATCAATGTACTGCTTCTTATTCAATCCCTTCAGATTGCTTCCCCATTCCAAAGTCCCAAATTGGAGATGTAAAGTCAACAAGATGGCTGTTTAGACCCTCCTAGTGTCCCTTCCTTACCACAAAAAGCCCAAAACAATGAATTTACAACCATATTTTGACAAAAAAAATAAAATAAAGGAGAGCACTGGAGAACAAGAAAGAAACAGCTAAAATCGGGCAAAGCACAGAAACTCAGGATGATCACATAGAGAAAGGAAGGAGACACCTCACCTCTGCCACACCCTTGCCGCTCACAATCAAACCCCCTAGGAGCTAGGAGGGACTTCTTCCTGTGAAGAAAAGCAAGCAAGAGGACCCAGAAGCCCCTATCACAGCTGTGGACACCTTCAGTCTTCACTGCTGGACACCGCTGCCATCCTCGCAGGTTCTGAGCCCAACTGAGGGAGCTCCCTGGAGTCTAAATCCTGGGCTACGCCCAGAGAAAAAGCAGACACTGTGCCCCACCCCTCTGTGGCCTGTGCTGCTACTACTCTGTGCCCTCTCAGAATCTGAGCCACTGCTAGGGTGTGGCCTGCTCTGGGAGTGAGTAGCCACTGAATCTCTCCATCCTGGAGGTTTAGCCAGCACTATACCACGCTCAGTAGCGAGCCATCATGGGGCAAAGCTGATGCTATAACCTGACCACTAGGGCCAAGCTACCACAGAATGACTTTGTCCCCTATCCTAGTCGCTGGTTTACCCTCTCCTTAGGGCTGAGCAGAAGCGATGTCCCACCTCTGGTGACTTGAAGCCTAGAAATTCCAGAGCAGTCATACCCCTGGTGCCACAGCTGAGGCAGCATCCCACCCCCAGGACTACCCAGCCTCCTTCACATCAGAGCAGTCACATCCCCTTGGTGCCACAGCTGAGGCAGCACTTTGCTCCTAGGCACCCCAGGTCTGCTGCACACCACAGCAGTTGCGCCCCTTAGCACCACAGCTAAGGCAGTGACCCACTCCCTGTGATCCAGGGACTCCACTGACTCATGTAGCCAGGCTTTCCGGGGCCAAGCAGACATGGTGACTCACATCCTAGGGAATCAGAGCCTTGGCTGAACTGTGGCACTCCACAGTCCAGGACAAACAGTCATAGTCTCCTGCCTACCTGGAGCTGGACTAGGGTCCCATAGCCTGAACTGCTGAGCACCCTGCCTCTATGGGAAGTGGAGTCATTGCTGCACTGCTCCCCATCACCCCACTTCCCCCTTGGGCACAGCCACAGTGACATATTGACATTCCTGGGTTCTTACTGCTGTTGCACTTGACCTCACAGAGCCTGGACTACTGTCATGTCCCATCATCCTAGGGCCCAGAGTCACCACAGCATGGTACTTTATCACCCAGAGTCCGAGCTGTCACTATGCTCTCTTGGATCCTCAGTACTGAACTGCAGCTGTGCCTTGCTCCTGGGGACCAAACCCTGCTACAGTGTGTCTTGCTCTGGGAGTGAGTAGCCACTGCACCTCTCTGTCCTGGAAGTTTAGCCAGTACTATACCACAATAGCAAGCCATCCTGGGGCCCTCCAGAGCACTCATTCTTTCCCAGAGCTATGCCAGTGTTGTGCCCCTCCCCACCAGGCTCAGAACCACAGCTATATCACAGCCCCTTGGGCCCAAGCTCCTGGGGTGTGCCTCAGAGCAGCAGACCCCAGGTTAGTGGGAGAACAGCATTCACTCATGCTTTGGAGAGTAAACTGGCACCTCAAGTCCCTGGCGCTACATTAGTTTTATAAGACCTCAAGCCCAGGAAACCAGCTTTGCAGCTGCTCTGAATATCTATGCCCTGGATTCTAGTGCCATTGTCACTTATATGGCTACAATAGCTGCCTGTGACCCATGTCAGTCCCAATACTAAGAGAGATCCTCTTATGGCTATGATTCCCCACTGTGAGAAAGATAAGAATATGAGGATCCCTAAAGCCCTTGCCCTAATAACCTAAGCAGTCACTGTCACTGCCATAATCCCTGCAGCCTAGACCACTGAGACACTTACAGTCATCACTAACATTGATGACAAATGAAGAAGCTGCATGGTAATTATACCACTGCACCTATATGGAATCAGAGCCATTGCACTCTGTTGAACTGGCACCCTCAGGCCCATATGCCAGTGAAAGTCTTTTATAAAAGCCACTCTTTAAAGTTTGGAAGAGATGACTATACCACCAGATGCAGAACATCAATGCTGGTACATAAGAAACAAACAAACAAAGGAAATGTGACACCACCTGGGGAACACAATAATTCTCCAGTAACTGACCCTAAAGAAACAAAAATTTACATCAAGCAGAAGAAAGAATTTATAAACTTGAAGATAGTTCTTTTGAAATGACTGTTAGAGAAAAAAATGAAAACAGAAAGAAAAGAGTGAAGACAGCCTATGAGACTTATGGGACATCATTAAGTGAACAAATTTTCACATTATGGGAGTTCCAGAAAGAGAAAAGAGAGAGAAAGGGAAAAAAGGCATATTTAATTACATAATTGCTGAAAAATCTTCAAGTCTTAGGATAAATATGGACATTCAGATCCAGAAAACTCAAAAGTTTCCAAATAGATTCAATCCAAAGAGGTCCTCTCTGAGGCACAATATAATCAAACTGTCGAGAGTCAAAGACAAAGAAAGCAGCAAGAGAAAAGCATCCAGTCACATATAAGGAAATCTCCATTAGACTACCAGTGGATTTCTCAGCAGAAATCTTGCAGGCCAGGAGAGAATGAGATAATACATTCAAAGTGCCAAAAGAAAAAAATTTCAAGCCTGGAACATTATACCCAAGGAAGTTGTCCTCCAGAAATGAAGGAGGAATAAAGTCCTTCACAGAGAAGCAAAAGCTGAGAGAATTCATTACTTCTAGACCTGTCTTAAAAGAAATGCTCAACAGAGTTCTTTAAATGTAAATGAAAGGATGATAATTGCTATAGTGAATAGATATAAAAGTGTAAAACTCACTGGTGAAGGCAAATACATAGTCAAATCCAGAATACTCTAACACTGTAATGTAGTGTGCAAATTATTTTAAGTCAAAATAATAAAAAATAACTGAAGCTACAATAAGTTGTTAAGTGATATTCAATATAAAAAGATGTAAATTGTGACATCAAAAACATTAATTTCAGGGGAGGGTAAAAGTTGAGAGTTTTTCTTTGCAACAGACATTAAGTTGTTATCAGCTGAAAATAGTAGATTATAACTGTAAGATGTTTTATATAAGTCTCATGGTAACCACAAAATGAAAAACTACAGCAGTTATACAAATGATGAAGAGAAAGGAATCAAAGCTTTACACTACAGCAAATTATCAAATCACAAAGTTAGACAACAAGAGAGGAAGAAATGAACAAAGGAGCTATAAGAAAACAAGTAAAATGGCAGTAGTAAGTCCTTAGCTATCAAGAATAATCATGAATGCAAATAGATTAAATTCTAAAATAAAAAATACATGCTGTGGCTGAATGGCTAAAAAAAACCCCAATATCCAACTATATCTTACCCACAGGAGACCCATTTAAACTTTAAGATACACATAGGCTGAAAGTGAAGGAATTAAAGAAGATAGTCCACACAAATTGTAACCAAAAAAGAACAGAGGTGGCAATACTCACAACCTGTCACAAGAACAAAGGAAGGTCTCTATTTAATGATAAAGGGGTCAATTCATTAAGAAGACATAACTGTTATAACCATATATGCACCCAATATTGGAACACTTAAATATATAAACAAATATTAATATATCTGAAGGAAGAGATACATTCCAATACAATAATAGTAGGAGATATCAACACCCCACTTTCAACATTGGATATATCACCCAGACAGAAAATTAATAAGGAAATACTGGATTTGATTGCAGTTTTGAACAAAATGACCTAACAGATATATACAGAACTCTCCATCCAACAGCAGAAGAACACACATTTTTCTCCTGCATGCATGGAACACACTCCAGGATAGACCGTATACTAGGCCACAAAACAAGTCTTAACAAATTTAAGAAGCTCGAAATCCTATCTAGCATAATTTTTGGACCACGATGGTATAAAACCAGAAATCAATAACAAGAGGAATCTTAGAAAATTTACAAATATGTGAAAATTAAACAATATGCTCCTGAACAACCAGTGAATCAAAGAAGAAAACAAAAGGGAAATTAAAAATATATTGAGACAAATGACAATGAAAATACAGCATAGCAAAACTTCAGAAAAGCAGTTATAACAGGGAAATTTCTAGCAATAAATGCCTATGCTAAAAAAGAAAAAAAAAGTCTCAAATAAACAGTCTAACAATATGCCTAAAGGATCTAAAAAAGAAGAACAAATTTGACCCAATATTAACAGAATGAAGGAAATAACAAAAATTGGAGCAGAATTAAATCAAATAGAAAACAAAAAGCCACAAAAAGAATCAATAAAACTAACGGTTGTTTTAAAAAGGTAAACAAAATTGGTAAACCTTTAGCTAGTCTAACTAAGGAAAAAGAGAGAAGACACAAATAAATACAATCAAAAATTAACGTGAAGAAATGACAACAGATGTCTCAGAAATAAAAAGGATCATAAGGGACTATCATGTACAATTATATGCCAACAAATTGGACAACCTAAAGGAAAGGGATAAATTCCTAGAAGAATACAACTTACCAAGATAAGTAAGGACTACAAAGCTTAAAGAGAAAAATAACAAATAAAGATATTGAAGAAACAATAAAAAACTTCCCAACAAAGAATAGCCCAGGACCAGATGGCTTCACAGCTGAATTCTACCAAATGTTCAAAGAAGAATAACAATACTTTTTTAACTCTTACAAAAATAGAATTGGAGGGAATATTTCCAAACACATTTTATGAGGCCAGCATCACCTTGATACCTAACCCAGACACAGAGATCACAAGAAAAAAAAACTACAAGCCAATCTCTAATGAACATTAATGCAAAAATCCTCAATAAAACATTAGCAGACTGAATCCGACAACACATAAAAAAGATTACACATCATGACCAAGTAAGATTTATCCCTAGCATGCAAGACTGGTGTAACGTATGCAAATTAATCAATATGATACATCACATTAACAGAATGAAGGACAAAAGCTACATGATCATCTCAATTGACAAGAGAAAAGCATTCAACAAAGCCCAATATCCTTTCTTGATAAAAATCCTCAACAGTTTAGGCACAGAAGAAAAGTTTCTCAATGTAATAAAGACTGTGTATGAAAAATGCACAGCTAACATAATCAACTGGAAAAAACTGAAAGCTTTTCCAGTAAGATTGAGGCAAAGATTTCCACTCTCAGCACTTCTGTTAAACATAGTACTGGAAGTACCAACAAAAGCAATCAGATAAGAAAAAAAAATAAAAGGCATACAAATCAGAAAGGAAAAAATAAAATTATCTTGATTTTAAGGTGACATGATTCTGTATGTAAAAAATACCAAAGGTTCCACAAAAATCTGTTAAAACTAATAAATGAATTCAGTAAAGTTGTAGGATATGAAATCAACACACAAAACTCAATATCATCATTAAACACAAAACAACAGCCTATCTGAAAAAGAAGTCAAGAAAACAATCTCACTTATGATAGCATAAAAATAACTAGGAATAAATTTAACCACAGAAGTGAAAGATCTGTATATTGAAAACTACAAAAACATTGATGAAAGAATTTGATGAAGATTCAAATAAATGAAAAGGTATCCCATGCTCAAGGATTGTAAAAATTAATTTTGCTAAAATGTCTGTACTACTCAAAGCAATATACAGATTCAATGCAACCCCTATCAAAATCCCCAATTAGCCAAAACAATTATATAAAAGAAAAACAAAGCTGGGGGCTTTACAAATCTTGATTTTTAAATTATATTACAAAGCTATAGTAATCAAAACAGTATGTTACTGGCATAAAAACAGACAGACCAGTGGAAAAGAATAGAATCTAGAAATAAATCCAAACATATATGGTCCCCTATTTTTTGACAAGGGCATGAAGAGGACACAATGAGGAAAGTGTAATCTCTTCAATAAATGGTGTTAGGAAAACTGGATTTCCACATACAAAATAATAAAATTGGTTCCATTCTGTGAAAAAGTTCTTCCCTATGTCAACTCTCAGGCACTTCTGGCTTTCTGTGCTTGTGGCTTAGGAGCAAAGTGGCTCTACTTGAGGGCAGTCCTTCAAGAAAGAATCATAGGAACGGACTCTGCCAAGCAAACGCACATCAACGCTAAGGAGGGGCAGTATGGTAATTTTAAAACATCTCTATAAATTCTTTAACGCTTTTCCCACAAAAGGTGATCTAATTCTCTGTCCCTTAAATATGGGCATGTCTTAGTGATCACTTCTAATGAATACAATGCAGCAGAAGAGACACTGCATGAATTCCAAGGCTAGGCTCAAAAAGGTGTCCTACTCCCTGATTCTGACTCTCTCTCAGGCAGTTCTTGCCCTTAGAACTCAGGTACCATGTAATGAGGAAGCCTTATCCACATGGAGATGTGTGGCTGGCAACTCCAACTAAGGTCTCTAAGCCCATAGCCAGTATCAACCACAGACATGTGAACGAGTTAGTCTTCCAATGATTCCATCTCTCAGCCTCCTGGATGATACCCCAGAAATCATAGGCTAGGGCCATTCTGCCCATGCTGTTCCCGGTCCAAACTCGACCTACAAAATCCATAAGCATAATGAATGTTTGTTTCATGCCACTGAGTTGTGAGATACTTTGTTACAAGCCATAGAGTCTAGAACACTAGACACTGAAATTGTAAGAATTTCTGTGGGAAGTTTCCGAAGGAATATGGGGGGAGCACTGGCATTTGTGACAGTCCCTGATGGTATTTGTTGACCAAGGGATTGTGAATAGCATTTCTGCCTCACAGATGATTGGACAGACTCATGGGATAGAATAATTTATTGGAAAGAACATTGGCCATGGAGTCATGACCTGGGTTCAAATTCTAGCTTGGCTATAAATCCTTTAATCTCTTGTAATCAGAATTTTCCTGGACATCCAAAGATAACTACACCTATCTGATAGGGTTGTTTTTGAGGACTGAATAAAATAATGTATGCAAAAGTACCTGAGACTGTGAGGAGTTTCAATGAGGAGTCTTTCTCCATTAAGTGTGTTTCCACTTCACATAGACCAATGTTATTTTGTACAATTGTTGGTCAAGTAAACACTTCTCTTTGCTAATAGGGGAGAGATGCAGACTTTTTCTTTCAAATTAGAGCATTTTCTCTGTTAGAAAACCTTTTTCTACCCTGTTAATCTTAGAGGACACTTGCATGAAGTTATTTTTCCAATACTGAATAGATGGTCTGGTGCAGTTAAAGTCTTAAAGAGCACTTACAGTTCTTTGTTAGGGTGCCATTATTATTAAATAATGTGGGTTTCTCCATTATAGAAACCATCTTGACTATTGGAAATACTGTCAAAACCATATTTGGTAAACCAGGAATGAAATGCATCCTTATTAAGTTATTCAACAATTTTGAAGTTTGCATTTGGAACCATTCACAAAGTTCTTTTTAAGTTATTAATTTCACATGAGGGAAGGAAGAGATGTCTAGACAAATATGCCTTAGAAGAAGTATTTTAAAATAAAACCTTTTCTGAAATGAATATACAGTATTGTACCCTAACATCTTACTTTGAACTCACTGTGATAGTTGTTTCTTGAAAACAAGAAAATGTTCTGTGAGTTAACCAGACTTGAGAGTTGTGATTTTTATATAGAATATATTTTTAGGAATGTGAAAAAACTTAGTTTTGTTCATAGAAAGGCTTTAAATTTTTTTTTTACAAAACATTTTAATGAAGACCTTTTTTCAGTGGGATTTATGAGCCTATAGACATAAAAATAACAAAGAGACCATATTCTGGTCTTAAGAAGAGTCTAATATGAATATATTGAAAAGCTCAAATAAGAACCCCTGTGATTTGTAGTGCCATATCATTTGATTATTGGCAAAATGACCTATCAAAACCATGGAATTTTAAAATCTTATTTGGCTCTTCCACCTACTGACTTTGTCAATGAGCTCTGTTTGGCCATGTCAATATGATTTAACAAATTGTTGATGACAATTAACAATTAAATAATTCAGTTGAATTCAAGATTATTGCGAATCTTATGTATGACTACTTTTTCTCACCTGAGAAGGGTTTTCTAGGCAAAAGCACTGGGGTCAGATTCAGGTCTATATTCTGCCTGATTCTTCCATCTTTCCCAGCACTATCTCCAGAGAAGAAACTGGGAGAACTGCCTTTTTCTTTCTTTCTTTTTATTATTATTATTATTATTATACTTTAAGTTTTAGGGTACATGTGCACAATGTGCAGGTTAGTTACATATGTATACATGTGCCGTGCTGGTGCGCTGCACCCATCACTGGCCATCAGAGAAATGCAAATCAAAACCACAATGAGATATCATCTCACACCAGTTAGAATGGCAATCATTAAAAAGTCAGGAAACAACAGGTGCTGGAGAGGATGTGGAGAAATAGGAACCCTTTTACACTGTTGCTGGGACTGTAAACTAGTTCAACCATTGTGGAAGTCAGTGTGGCGATTCCTCAGGGATCTAGAACTAGAAATACTATTTGACCCAGCCATCCCATTACTGGGTATATATGCAAAGGACTATAAATCATGCTGCTATAAAGACACATGCACACGTATGTTTATTGCGGCACTATTCACAATAGCAAAGACTTGGAACCAACCCAAATGTCCAACAATGATAGACTGGATTAAGAAAATGTGGCACATATACACCATGGAATACTAGGCAGCCATAAAAAATGATGAGTTCATGTCCTTTGTAGGGACATGGATGAAATTGGAAATCATCATTCTCAGTAAACTATCGCAAGAACAAAAAACCAAACACTGCATATTCTCACTCATAGGTGGGAATTGAACAATGAGAACACATGGACACAGGAAGGGGAACATCACACTCTGGGGACTGTTGTGGGGTGGGGGGAGGGGGGAGGGATAGCATTGGGAGATATACCTAATGCTAGAGAACTGCCTTAATAAATCTCTGCCACACAAATTCTCATATCATAATCTGAAAGATGACTTGAGAAGATGCCTCACTGCTGTTATCCCACAGGTGAGATGAAGGATAGTAACATTTAGGAATTTTGGAGAAATGAAGAGTTTTTCACTTCCTTATAACTCTTCTGACACTCATTCATTTATTCAACAAATGTTTACTGAGGGCCTACTATGTGCCAGGCACAATTCTAAGCACTGAGAATATAGTAGTGAACAATGCAGATAAAGATCGCTGTGTGTGTTTATGGAACACATATTCAAGAATGGAGAGGCAGATGATAAGGAAAATAAAATCCATAATATATGCAATTGTGTTAAGTAGCATAAAGAAACGTGAAGTAAGAAAATGAGCATGGAGGTAGAAATTACTATTTTACATGAGGCGATCTGGGAAATCCTCACCTGTAAGTCAATGCTTGAACAAGGACTTGATGGAGAGAAGAAAACAAGCCATTCAAATACTTCGGGAAGAACAGTCCGAGCACAGAGGGCATCCAGTGGAAATATTCTGAGGTGAGAGTAGACTTGGCAAATATAAGGAATGGCAAAAGGACCACTGTGGCTAAATCAGAAGGAGCAAGGGAGCAGACAGTGGGAATGGGGGTCACAGAGGTAGCAGACTAAATCTTAGAGTTAACTTCATACAATGAATGCAAGAATAAGAGTTCTTTGAAGAGAAAGAAAACGAGATGACAAGAACAGAATCTATGGAAATGCCTGCATTTAGGTAGTGGAAAAACATAAAGAGAAAAGAATGTTAAAGGAAGATGACAAGGAGACCCCAGGAGAGGAGAGTCTCCGTAAGAAAATGTAATAAAAGAGGGGCTGTTCAACAGTCTTGACTACTGCCTAGTGTCAACTGTTTTACAGTTTGCATGAAAACAAGGACTGGGTAAAAGCCATTCAATCTGGTAATTAGAGTTACACGAGATCTTTCAGAGGAGTTTGCCTTCAGTAGTAGGGGTGGATGTCAAGTAAGAGGAGTATGTAGCACATGTAGACTGCCCTGGTTTTTTGTTTGTTTGTGTTTTGGATCAATTTGGCCAAAAAAGAAAAAGAGCAGGTAAAGAGGAGACTCTGAATGTGTAGGAATTATTTGTGAGAACAGCTATTGGCTTTTCCTCTTTGCGAATACATGACCAGTGAATCACTGCAGAACTCAAAATCAACTGGATGCTCACGTAGGTTTCAGCTAGGGAATGTAGAGTAACCTGCAATTACTCATGCCAAAAGACTTATTGGGATGAGACATAATCTTTCCTTCAGTTAGCTCTTAAGATAAAATTTGGTTTTGCTGACTTGGAACCAACCCAAATGCCCATCAATGATAGACTGGATAAAGAAAATGTGGCACATATACACTATGGAATACTACGCAGCCATAAAAAAGAATGACTTCATGTCCTTTGCAGAGACATGGATGAAACTAGAAGCCATCATTCTCAGCAAACTAATACAGGAAGAGAAAACCAAACACCACCTGTTCTCACTCATAAGTGGGAGTTGAACAATGAGAACACACGGACACAGGCAGGGAAACATCACACACTGGGGCCTGTCGGGGGTGGGGGATAAGGGGAGGGAGAGCATTAGGACAAATACCTAATGTATGCAGGGCTTAAAATCTAGATGACGGGTTGAAAGGTGCAGCAAACCACCATGGGACATGTATAACTATGTAACAAACCTGCATGTTCTGCACATGTATCCAAGAACTTAAAATAAAAAAAAAATTTGGTTTTGCTAAGGTTATTTATCCAGCTCCCCCCAAATTCCCCATTGCTAATTTGACAGGAAGATTGAGTTATTCCAGTACACGTTGACATACTTGTGAAGATAGTGGAAGTAGTATTTTTAAAAAGGTATGAGTAAAACAGATCAATGATAATGGATTTTGGTGAAAGGGATCAACCAAAGTTTTTAGCTAGGTTTTATTCTGCAGTGGTTGTAAAGGCACATTCTGTTTTTTTTTAATAACAGCTTAAAAATTTGGCTGATGTGTGCTAAGCTAACTGGCAGGCACTGTAATTTTGTGCTTTGTTCAATTCCTTGGGCTGTGCTGACATTCAATAAATGTTATATATTGATATTAATATTTTCCATGTTGCCTTCATTAAGTTTTTAATACCTTAATTAAATGATTATACTGGAAGCAAACCAGGTGATCTATGATTGTAAAATATCTCAACCCCCAAAGTCAAAGACCAACATGTTAAAATCCAATGCACACTCTTCATAATTGACCAAAGAAAGCACATTTATGGCATCACATATAAGGTATGATTTGCTTTTCTCTCTTTGAACTAGGGAACAAAATGAACATCCAATGATGTTTTTGGCTGGCTGGGCTTCCCAGGATGTGCTATTAGAATATCTTTGGGTCAGACACATTTTGCCCTCACACAAACAGTAAGAGGCTAAGCATGAAACCCCCAATAGAAAAAGAAATTTTACAGCGGAAAGTAGGATTTGGCTCACTGGCGCTACAGTTCTCTCAGGCACTGCCCCATCATAACCTAGATCACAGAACAGAAAAAGGGAAGATTAATGCCAAATGAATCAATCATGTTAGTAAAGTTCTTGGCAGGGGATGCTGAGAACCATATAGTATCTCTTACTGATTAAGGTGGGAGTCCAGTGAAACTTCTGTACTAGAAAGATCTGTTTAGAGATATGGGAGGATTTCCATTTCAAGTCATCAAATCCAATGCCAAGTGTGAGGGAAGGTGTGGGTGAGTAGTGGAAGGAGTTTACAAAATATACACTATAAAAACTAGAGAAAGACCAAAGGCCAATCTTAAACACCAGCCATTAAAAATATTCTCCCAAGTTTCCAACTCTTTTAGAGAAAATGATGCCTTTACTAGCTTGCATTTTGCTTTGTGACTCACCAGTCACAGCATTAATTGTATTTTGTCAAAAACTATGGTTTTCAAAATATTGCTTGTATTAAAATCAAGCTGGGTGTTCTTAACTTAAACCTACTTAGAATAGCCCTCTAAGATTCAGGTGTCTTCCCATTTCACAGGGATAAAACAGGATATTTTTGATCCAACAAAGTTTCATTACAAAATGTATAACATTTTTAATGTAAATGGATTAATGTCCCAGGACTTGATTGACTACAGAAAATTGGAAGTAGCCAAGAATAGAGAAGATGTATGTATTCAAAACTCTAAAGTTAAGGTGAGAGAAAAGAATAGGAGAAATTTGTTCTGAGAATATAAATATGTTTGCACGTTAGGAATGTCTGACTGATCACAATTGTGAAGAAGAAGAAATGGGTCTTTGCAGAGGTACTGATGTCAGGGGTAGGAAATAGTACAGTGTTCATTGATTTTCCTTCTTTCTTTAATAGGCTCTTCTGTCCTCAGGTGAGATCATACACCAGAAACTGTTGATTGAAGAATAATTCTGGATTTCAAATACATCCAAGTTCAAAGTATTGATTGGTATCTGTGATGTGGAAGCTTCAATTTTCTTTATTCCTTTTTCAATATCCCCTACTCTATAAAATACCTCAAAATTAATTATATTTGTGGATAATCAGTATTACTTTCAGACCTAAAGGATTTATGTTCTTTAAATTAGCTTTAAGATTCAGAATTAAATGTACTTTTCTCCCATTTAAAAATCAACAGTTTAACCTAGTTATATGGGGAGATACTCATATATACTCAGGGTTGATACTGATTAGGACTCAGATCTCTCTGGCTTTGAAAAAGCATCTTCAGCACTGCTTCCATACCCAGTCACATTGCTCTGTTAAGCATAATTTTAATAAAATTAATAATATACACAGGAAGAAAGCTAGTCATTCCCTCTATGGGAAACCATCATGTGGAAAAGGAGAAAGCTGCCATCTACAACCTACTACTTTTCTGCTTCCACCTACTATTTTACATAGCTTTGTTTTCATGGGTTTTGTGGAAGTTGTGGGGATTAATTAAGATATTATATTTGTTAAGATAATTGACTCTTAATAAAATGATGTAAGCCCATCTATAGTCCCTGTATTAGTTCATTTTCACACTGCTATAAAGACATACCTGAGACTGGGTAATTTACAAAGAAAGACATTTAATTGACTATCAGTTCTGCATGGCTAGGGAGGCCTCAGGAAACTTACAATCATGGCATAAGGGGAAGAGGCACGTCTTATATGGCGTCAGGCAAGAGAGAGTGCGTGTGCAAGTGCAGGAAAAACTACCATTTATAAAACCACCGGATCTCATGAGAATTCACTCACCATCAGGAGAACAGCATGGGGGAAATCACCCTCATAATCTAATCACTTCCCACCAGGTCTCTCTCTAAACACCTGGAGATTACAATTCAAGATGAGATTTGGGTGGGGACACAACACCTAACCATATCAATCCCTGATCTCAACTAGCCATCGCTATAGGTTCTACATGACAACAAATTTAGTAGAGCAAGGCAAAGCTACAAATATTCTTCTATTTCATTACTTCTTTAGAAAACACATTATCTGCTTTCAAAGACCATTTGCAGAAACCCTTTTTACCCTTAGCTCAGGTTTTCCCCTATTAGCTTAGGGTGCATGAGGGATTCAGCTCTGTGGAGGCTTCAGCTACAAGTGAAATCTAGGGCAGTTTGGTTAGTATAGTCAATTGATAGTTAAAAGGACTATACCCTTTTAATTAACTAGTTTCCACCTCAAATTATTGATAAAAATAGGGGCTAAAGCGAAAAGCAATCAGGTCAGAAGCTTCAGTGGGCAAGAATGGTTGCCATGAGGTTAAAACCCCTCCTTCTCTAAGTTGTCTTCTGTAAGCACACTGTGGATAGCAAATGTTCTTCTGATGTTCACCTCTCAAAGAAAAGTCCACATATTTAGGTTCCCAATTCCAGACATTCTTTCTTCAATATCTTCAGAAGTTGATTCTGGTACCAAACCAAAAAGATTGTGGGTTCAAACTACTAGGAAGTAATTAGGCGTTGATGGACTGTACCGTCTGCTGGCTTTATGGAGGTTGAGGGCCTTGGAGCTGAGATCTTAGATCCAAAATTCAGTATGGCAGACCACCCACAATATCAGTCTTCTGACAACCCTCAGGAAAATGCCGAGTACAAGAGACCATGAGCCAAGGAGCATAGTTTTCTTTAACAGAAAATCTTTTTTTCTCTCTCTCCAAACACATCCACACACACAGACAAATACACACATCCCACATGGATATATAATTTATAATCCCTATCTTTAATAACTTCCCAAATATAACCAAACAAATACAGCACAATTTGTTTATAACATTGGTTTCAGGAAAAATAAGCTGCATCATGGAGAAAAAGGCACCAATCTAAGAGAAATATACCAGAGTGAGTAAGAAAGATCTTCCGGTCTCAAGAAGCTTACTGTGCATTGATGAATGTAATACTTTTCATGCAGTGATAAAGATAATATGTACACAATCCAAGATGGAATTAAAATAATCACTCTAAAGGAAGTACAAAGTGTTAAAAAGACTCAAAGGCTTTAAAGTGTTAAAAAGACTCAAAGGATGAAATATGTCTATTTGGCTTTGTCATCTGAAAAAATACAACATATATAATTTAACCCTCAAGCACATCAAGGCACTTAAAATGCAATTTTATTAAGTTAATAATATTTATTTTCTATATCTATATAATGTCATTCATAAATACTTTTATTAATATACAATATTATTATACTTTCTATGTATTGCATGTCCTGGTGTATGTGGCATGTTAGGCATTTTATTTTTTATTAGGTGTTAAACTATATTTGACTAAATGAATGAAGTGCTGAAAATAGAATGGACAACCAAAGAACTGGCTGATTCCACAGCCCTTGCTCTTTTTACCAGAACATTCTACCTTTCTAAATTAGTAGTTTCAACCCTGGCTGCACACTGGAATTATCAAGGGTGCTAGAAAAGGTACTAATCCCTGGGTACCATGTTCTAAAATTCTTGATTTAAGTGGTCTGGTGTATGGCCTGGGCATTAGAATTTTAAAAAATTTCTCAAGTGATTTTAATGTGCAGTTAAAGTTGAAAATCATTGCTCTAAATATCTTCTCTCTCCTTTTTTTTTTTTTTTTTTTTTTTTTTTGAGACAGGGTCTCACTCTGTTGCTCAGGCTGGAGTGCAGTGGTGTGATCACAGCTCACTGCAGTCTCGTCCTCCCTGGGTTCAGACAATCCTCCCACCTCAGCCTCCTTCTACTGGTCCCTCAGTAGAAGGGACCAGAAGTGAGCTCCACCACACCCAGCTAATTTTGTAATTTTTTCTAGAGACGGGCTTTTACCATGTTGTCCAGAATGGTCTCAAATTCCTGACCTTAAGTGATCTGTCCACCTCAGTCTCTCAAAGTGCTGGGACTACAGGTGTGAGCCAGCATGCCTGGTCTAAATATACTCTTTCGAGATAAAAATACAGAAGCTCTTGTTTTCTAGACATGAGCTTTAACAACTGGTTGGGCACAGTGGCTCATGTCTATAATCCTAGCACTTTGGGAGGCCGAGATAGGCAAATCACTTGAGGTCAGGGGTTTAAAACCAGCCTGGCCAACATGGTAAAACCCGTCTCTACTAAAAATACAAAAACTAGCCAGGTGTGGTGGCACGTGCCTGTAATCCCAGCTACTTGGGAGGCTGAGGCAGGAGAATCGCTTGAACCCAGGAGGAAGAGGTTGCAGTGAGCCGAGATCGTACCACTGCACTGCAGCCTGGGTGACAGAGTGAGACTCTGTCTCAAAAGAAAAAAAAATGAGCTTTAACAATTGAAACAAGAAACACACATTTTTAGCAGTGTTTTATGATGATATACCACCCATATATAATTAAACACTTTTAAGCATCAGGGCTTTGTAAAACAAGGGGTAAGTGGTGCAGCTAGAATGTTAAGATGGTAATACTTCACTCAAGGTAGAGATATATTCTGGCGAATAGAATCTGCATTAGTTAATTATAATTATATGGCTTCCTGTATGAAAGTGCATGTAGTAGTTAGGCACAAGGAGGGCTTTCTATTATTGTTTTAAGAATCTTCCAAATATTTTAACACTGCATTTGTTAGATTTGAAAAAGTCTCATCTATATTTGAGGGTCCTCTGTGCGTGCCTGAGTCTGATCTACAAGTTTCTGTTAGACCTATTCATAGTTACTCTCTTTTATCCACTGCAGCACGTTCGAATAAAATGTGTAGTGGAAGATTTATTGTCCAGCCTACAAAATAGCCACATGAAAGCAGAGAAAATCTGAGATCTGTAATGTGGTCACTGCCAACTCAGCCAAAACTAACTCTTTGATATCTTTATGTTCTTAACATCTGCATTTTGCTCAGTCTCTAGTGTAGTAGGAGAGGTAATAGAGGAGACAGATGAGGAAAAATGGAGGAAAAACAGCCCTCCAAAAACACTATTATAAATTATTATAATGTATCTTCATTAATCATGTTCAGCTATGGTTTCAATTATTTATTTTTCAGTGGAGGTTTCAGTGTGAGTGAGTGAGGCTTTCTTTCAAGCTGCTTTATGATTCTTTAAAAATCTGGGGTGGAAAAAAATTCTTAGACCTTAGTGCTGAGATCCTAATTGAAGCCTGATTCCTGCTGAAGCCAACAAAAGGAGGAAGCATGGAGGGAATCTCATCTTGGAACCTACAAATTCCGTTTAACTGATAAATAGGAACAGATCATTGGATTCCCTCAACAAACTAACTCAGCTCTATTTTTTTCCTCACATTTTAGAAATGACAATTATTCTATGATATACAAATGGCTTAAAACAAAATCTTCAATAGAATTCTACTTCAGTGGTAGAAATATTATCTTCCTAGACTGTCTAAACCAGAGTTCCTGTACAGTAAAGCTGCTTATTCTAGCATCAGTGCAAATGATCTCTTCAGTTTTCATGATTTTGCACCAGACTTCAACTTCTAGTCACAACATGACTTAAATAGTTTGAAAATGAGCCCTCTCTCCTATGCCAACTGAGGGTGGCCTTTTCTGGAAGCCCACAAAAGATGGAATGTCTGAGATCCTGAAGGTTTCTCTCTGGAGTTTTAAGACAGTCCACACTCCTCAAAGATGGTGCCAAATTCACCAAACTTTTCATAAGTCTGACCCAAATTATAGACTCTGCACAGGGCCAATCACCAAGCCAAACTCATCTGGTTCAAAAGTATAATTTCATTTGCAAAGCTGGCTGCATCTGGCAAAGGAAACAGTGGAACTGGGCACAGATGCTCAGCATGTGAGAACAGAAGCTGGGGACAGGCACAGGATTTGCAGGAAAGGAGCTTTAACTGGGCCTGGAGGTCTAGAAAGGCTAACAGGAGGGAGGCCAAGGAACAGGCGGTGAAGGTGACAGAAGTTTTTAATAAAATTGTTTGTTTTCTTTAAGTTTCAGAAAGCTGAACAAATAATAACTAATGCTATGAGCACCCAAACACCTCACCATCATTGTAAAATGAAGTTCTGTTTTAAGCAGTGAGCCTAAAAAAGGAAAAAGACATGGCCATGACTCTAGAGACATGGCCTTGGAAATGAGGCGGGTGTGTGTGTGTGTGTGTGTGTGTGTGTGGGGCGGGGGGGTGGGGGGAATGGTCTCTGTTCAGTCTCTGGGTGGTGGTAGCATTCAAAAGAGGCCTAGTGGGTTTGGGACAGTGGGGTCCTGACATTCTATCACATCTGGTGACCACATGTTCCTTTCATATCTTGGGATATGAATGAGAGCAACAGTTTTTTCTATCTCTACTTACTGAATATGTTGTATTTCTAAAATTCACATTTCTCATAACATTGTCCACATATATACACACACAGAAACACACACACACACACACACACACACACACAAACACACACCAAATCCTTGTACCTTGAGGCATGCTACCATCTAGATTAACGCCTCATTTTCTTTTTTCTTCTCGTCATCATAATCTTAGCCGTTGGCTTAGTGCAGAGGAAGGTGATGGAATTGGGAAGTTAAAAAGCAAGGGCTACATTTTTTTTAAACGCCATCAGTCATGAAAGCAGAAAATCAGGAATCAATGGAAAATAATATAAGAAATGGTCAGAATAAGCAAAAATACCCATAAAACTTGGACAAGACTAAAATCATGTATGTTAAATAAGGATATCATTAAATTGTCATACTAAATGTGAGAAAAAATGAGAATCACAATAGTACTGATCAATGATATAAGGGGTAATAAAAGCATTTATTCAACAAATACTTTTGAGACTGCAGTCCCTATTCTTGAGGCATTTGAATTAGTCATATAATGAGATTTGCATAAGTTAAAATTTCACCTATAATAGAGATAATCAGCCATAAACAAAAAAAGAATGCTGAACACAATGATCAACCAAGTGTTGTGATAGTTGGGTGAAAGTGATTTATATTGAGAGAATGCTCAGTGGAAATTTTATGGAGGTTTAGAGTTAGATTTAACCACGAAGGATTAGTCAGATTGCACAAGATAGAAAGGAGAAAGATCATTTGACCCTGGGATAATTTGAACGTTAAAAAGGAAGTGAAAATTCACATGGAGCATTTGAAGAATATAAAATAGACCACCCTGGTTGAAAAGTAAAAGATGTCCATGGAGAAATCAAGAGTGATGTTGGAAAGATATATGGGGAAACAGGTTGTAAGGAACTCAAGCACCATGTCAAGGAGTTTGAACATTACCCTACACTTGAGGACAGTCCCTTGAAAAGTTGAGAATGGAGAATAACTACATAATTACAGCATTATTTTAGGAAAGCTAATTTGATGGTATAAAATAGAATGAAGAAAGAATAAGAGGGACCAGACATAGGAACATTATTCAGTGAATATGTTTTTGGATGCCTTCTCAGTGCAAATAATTGTGAAAGATATTATGGATATGTAGATGAATAAAACATGATCATTTCCCAGGAAAGCCTTGTAGTGTCATGGAGGAAATACACAAATAAGTTTTTAAAATGTACACTTATAAAAAATCTATGGGGCACTTTGGGAGGCCAAGGCAAGTGGATTACCTGAGGTCAGGAGTTTGAGATCAGCCTGGCCAACATGGCAAAACCCCGTCTCTACTAAAAATACAAAAATTAGCCAGTGGTGGCACATGCCTGGAGTCCCAGCTACTAGGGAGGCTGAGGCAGAAGAATCGCTTGAACCTGGGAGGTGGAGGTTGCATTGAGCTGAGATTGTGCCACTGCACTTCAGCCTGGGTGACAGAGTGAGACTCCGTCTCAAAAAAAAAAAAAAAAAAAAAAAAGAAACCATGGTGGGGAAATCACTTGATTGGAGTTTGAAAGATCAACAGATATTCTCTAGGATGAAAAAGATCAGTGCAAATGCAATAGCATGAACAATCATTCACAGATAGAAAGAAAAGGAATATTGAGGCAATTAGACTTTAAAGACTGTAGCATATAATCTATGTTGAAGGGTCAGAGGTAATAAGGCTAGAGAAACAAATAAAATGTAAGATGTAGTAAGAAGTTCAAACTGTATTGAAGGCAATGAAGATCCAGCAAATAAAGTATGGGAGTAATATAAGATAAACAATTTAGAAACTCTCTTAAGCAGTGTGAAATGGTTTAATTACAAACATGGTAATTTGATAGAGGCCAGTTAGCAGATTACTGAAATAGTTCAGACATTATAAGGAATAAAACTAAGGCAGTCACATGGGAATGGAAATACAGGAATGGACTCAATCGGTACTTAGGAGATAGAAACAACAGAAATTAGTGACTGATTAGGTGTGGTTGGAAGAGGGAAAGCAAAAGGAGATGACTTAAAGAGTCCTGGCCTAGGCAACTGGGTGGATGATGGAGAGGAAGGACAGCCTTGGGAAATGGGGTGGGGAGCTGAAAAGGGAGTTCAATTTGGGACATGTTATGTTTCAGGTATCTGTGAGTCAACCAAGAAGAAGAAGGCAGTTATAAATATTGTCTGGAGCCCAGGAGAGAGGGTTGGACAGGCTCTGTGAGTCATCAGCATATAGGTGATCACTGAAGCCAGGGAGTAAATGAGATCATCTATGGAAAGAATAAAGTATGAGAAGAAAAACTTAATAACAACTTAATCTAGGGGACATTGGACATAAAGACCTAAAGTTAGAAAGAAACCAGAAGAATAATTTTTTTAAAAAAAGAAAAGAAAAGTAAGAGGAAAACCAAAAGAGAAAGTATTAGAAAAAACAACAGAAATTCCTCTAGAGGTAGGTAGGGTTGGTTAGGGGTGAATTAACAGTAACAGATATTGAAGAAAATTCAAGTATGGTGATGCCTAGGACTGCTCAAAAGCATTGGAAATTTGACCTTCTCTGGGGACGTTGGCAAGAGCAGCTTCAGTGATGTTGTAGAGAGAGTACCTGTTCTTCAGTGAATGGACAACGGACAAACAGATTGGAAATGAAACAGTAGAAATATCTATTCTTTGACCTTCTCTCTTAAGAACACTGAGAAGAAATGGGAAGCAATCACTGGAGGAGAATAAAGGGTAGAGGGAGAGGAAAAAAAAACAAAACAAAAAACAAACTTTGGGAGGCCAAGCTGATCGCCTGAGGCCAGGAGTTCGAGACAAGCCTGGCCAATATGGTGAAACCCCGTCTCTACTAAAAATACAAAAAAATTAGCTGGGCGTGGTGGCGGGTGCCTGTAATTCCAGCTACTCTGGAGGCTGAGACAGGAGAATCACTTGAACCCAGCAGGCGGAGGTTGCAGTGAGCCAAGATCACACCACTGCATTCCAGCCTGGGCAACAAGAGTGAAACTCCGTCTCAAAACAAACAAACAAAAAGAATGTATTTACTGGCTGGGGTAATAAATCAGTAGAGAAACAGCAGGAATAAGCAGTATATGGTAGGGTTACAAATGAATAGTAAAAGGGGGCTCCTGATTCGAGATCATCTGAGAATTTTATGTAGAAACTTTGAAGGTAAAAATAAGCTAAAAATTAAGGGAATCATTACGTAATGAGATCTTTCTCTAAGAGGTAGGAAACCAAGTCACTTCCTGAGAGTGAGAGCGGTGAGAGGAGGAAGGGAAGTTTGTGAATATGGCTCAGCCAGTGGAATGGCCAGTGTTGCAAATGGGGGCACAGTGAGTTGTAAGTAAAAGGATTTCTGAGTAGTATAGATTTATATTTCAGAAAATATAAATTTATAATAGGGCCAAGATACATATGTTTCCCCACAAATACTTGACAGTCTAGGTATAGCAGTGAAGAAGGCAGGTGTTTTGTTTGATCCAGATTTGAGGGTTGATGAAGCAAGTAGGCTAAAAAGATGAAGGGATTCAGAGTACTGGCAAGAAAGTGGAAATGAGATGTACTGTGGTGTCTGAATAGTCTCAGCTAATGAATCCATTTGACAGAGGCAGGAATAAGAGAGACACAGAGCTAGGCTAAGGTATACAACCTCTAATCATTTCTGAACTTTTACTCAAAAAATACCCTTTCACCTCTGCTCCATCTTTAACACAGCAATTCTACTTCCAGCAATTTATCCAGCAATTTAAATATTCCCATATATATGCAAAGCATATTCCCTGCAGCATTGTGTATATTGGCAAAATATTGGAAACAACATGAATTTTCATCAATAGAAATCCGGTAAATAAATTACAGCACAATGAAATAATTGAATACTAAGAAGGAATTAAATGAAATGAGGCAGATTTACATAAACAAGCAGTGATTCCAGGATATATTAGGTGAAAAAGCAAGATGCAAAGGAGTGTATATTGTGTGCCACTATTTGTGTAAAATTAAAGTACATATACATCATATACATATATATCTATATATGCATAATATCTCTGGAAGGATAGAGAAAGTTTGGATATGGTAATTGCCTCTGGAGAAAGGGCTAGATGGCTGGAGGTAGCAGTGAAGAAGAAAAATTTACTTTTACCTTTATATATATATATAAAAATAAAATTTACTTTTACATATTATATATAGTGAATATATATATTTCTGTTTTTTACTATGGACACATGATTACCTGGACAAAAAAGAGCAAAGAAATATATCTGCTATCATTATATGCTGTACCCAATGGTGGTGAGTGCTAGTGAGGCAGCCTCAATCAATGACACACATAAATACATTTGTGCTTGCTTTTATCTGAGTCCTGAACTAGTAAATTTTTAGTTACATTAGATAAGATGAGGCATTTTAGTATATGCAATATTTTTTATGTCCTGAACCAGCAAGACCTTTAGCTAGGGTTCAGAAAAACATGGGACTGTTTCTAATAACAATGGCATGTAGAAAAGACATTCAAGTTTAATTGTCTTACTGACAAATCGTAAGCTGAAAGAGCTTTCTTGAGAAACACACGCCCACCTTCTTCAGAGCTTAAGGAATAGAATGAGTTTATAAATGTTTGGGAGTAATTCTACTAACTTAAATACAATGTTTTAAGTGATTTCTTCTTTATTAGGATTTCATATGGCTTAAGAAAAAACTTTTGATTTAAAAATTTTTGAGGGTATACTTAGCTATAGGGAAATGCACCTTGAAAGCAGCAGAAACTATTAGTACTTTTCTCTATTTACAGCAAGCCAGAGACAGTCTTTGGCTGCTCTGGGTATAGATAGCATCTACGTTTCAACCTTATTTCTGAAGAGACATATGCAAGATTCTGTAACCTATATGATGTCAAATCAGTCTGTACAAAATCCTCAGTCATATTACCAAAAAGTCTATGCAAAGCTGTATGATACAGGCCATAAGATAGAGACAACACAAGTATCCTTGATGGTATCCTGAGAAAAAGTGTAACGTACTACACAAGCAGCTTTTGTAATGCCCATGTCTGGTAGGTACTCAGCATTCAAAACTAACAGTAATTACTGCCAAAGCCCGCATTGTTTTTTGTGCTGATTTATATTGTGTTTGGGGTGGGGGTGCAAGGAGGAGAAAGAGAGAGAAGAAACTAGAGAGCAAGAGAGAGAATAAATTTTTATACCAAATATTAGTCTCCAGCATTCTCTTCTCTGGTTTATTGGAAATCAGATCATTTTGAACTATTTTAGCAGGCTAGTAGAGCCTAGCCTACTGTTAAGCACATAATTGATACCTAGTAACTAATCAATAGCCAGGCTTGCCATGAGTGCACCTGTGCTTCGGTTGCCAGCCCAGCAGGTGAGCCGTGGCTCCAAAGAGAAACACAAACAGCACTACTTTTCCTGTTTACAAGAAGTACTCCTATGAGTCTATCACTATACCTGAGATTCCTACTGACTAAGATGTCATGTCCCCCACCTTTATTACCTGGAGAGCCATACATCCTTTCAAGTTTTGTTTAAGTGTCCTTTCTACAGTGATTCCCCGTTGCCCAGCCTTCATTCTTTGTGTTACTACAACTCTTTGTTCACATAGCTATGATAGCACCTCTCGCAGAATGCTATAATGATCATTGTATGACTATGTGTATAAGATGATGACTACCTGCTTTGTCACTGTACTGTTGAATTCTATGAGGGCAGGGACCTTGTCTTTCCATCTTTGAATCCCCAACAGATGACAGTGACTCGGGGGCTCACAATCTCTCCCAGCCTTAGTTTCCTCATTTGTAATGCAGAAGGAATAATTTCAGTCTTTAAGGGTTGTCGTCAGGATTAAAAATAATACACGCACAGTGTCAAGAAGAGATGAAAACCAAGAGGGACTCAAGACCAAGAAAACACTGAGTAGCCATATTCTATTTGGAATTGTTATATTTTGTCAGCCATGTGTTGGAGCAAAGAGACAGAAGTTCTGCAGAGAGAAGAATGAATCAGACATGCAGTAAGAAGCAGAGATGGGAGATGGAGTGAGGTCATGCGTGGGTCTCCCTACAGCTTTGCAATTCCGAGTTCCAGTTTTCCTGAGGTCCAGCTGCATTCTTTGGCATTAAAATAAATGGGCTTAAAGTATAAAATGCTCAAGAAAGAACAGCTTTGGAAGAGGAGAATAGAGAAGTAGCAAATTGGGAAGAACTTAGTAATATTTATGTTGCACCTTTTGGATGCTTTGGGATGATTTGCTATGAGATCCCCAAAGTTTCCTTGAAACATATCCAGGAGCATAAAACATGCTGGTCCTGTCCACAGTCTAGATTGTACTTGGTATATAAATGTATGCAGACTTGCCAACCAGATTGCAGGCTCTTGGAGAGGGGAAATTATACCTTCTTCCTTTCCATTTGCCGTAGAGCCTAGCCTACTGTTAAGCACATAATTGATACCCAGTAACTAATCAATATTTGTTAAATGAATGAATCCAATTTTTTTGAGACAAGGTCTTGCCCTGTTGCCCAGGCTGGAATGCAGTGGTATGATCTTGGCTCACTACAATTTCTTTCTGCCTCCCAGTCTCAAGCAATCCTCCCACCTTAGCTACCCTAAAGGTACATGCCACCACACTCAGCTGGGTTTTTTTTTTTTTTTTTTTTTTTTTTTTTTTAAGAGATGAGTTCTCTCTGTATTGCCAAGGCTGCTGTCAAACTCCTGGACTCAAGTGGTCCTCCTAATTTGGTCTCCCAAAGTTCTGGGATAATTGGCATGAGCCACTGTACCCAGCTAGATTCTTTTATAAGGTACACAACAAGGGATCCAGAAAGCAATGAATCAGTAGTGGATGTTTCAGCCTCTTCTCAATCTATATACTCTTTTGGTATGATTCAGTAATACTCAGAGTTTCAGCCACTAGATAGGTTATGGATGGTGTTCACATCCTCATTTCCAGCCCAGGCCTATACTGCGGACTCTGGACTCTCATTCCCAACTGCCTGCAGTAGCTGGATATAATGACCTACAGGCATCTCTGTCCAGGGTCATCAAACACTGATCTTCAGACATCTCCAAATATCATGTTCTCCAAACTTGCCCCTCTGTCTACATTCTTAGTCTCAGAATACGGGCACCAGCACTTGCCATGCAGTCTGCCTAGCTGAAAAACTGTGGGTCGTTCTTCCCTCCTTCATGTCCTTCCCTCTGCAGACTAAGGAGAGCAATGTGGTGCATATAAAAAGCATAGGCTTAAAAGTCTCACAGGCCTGGAATTTGGCTCAATCACTTAGTTTTGACCTTGAAAACATTACTGCCTTGCGGCTCATTATCTTTGTTTGTAAAATGAGATTATTAATGCCTATCTTAGAGGGATGTTTAATAACTAGACTTAATGTATACAGCATTGCAGACTCCAACTGTCATTTAGTGTCCTGGACATGACTTTACTGTTTCATGGAGTACACAATGATTGGTTTATTTTTAAGTCCACACGAATCTCTAAGCAAGTTGAAGAGACGGTATTACTTTCATCTAATGCTTTGAATTTAATGAAATGGCATCGTTTTTCCTAAAAGCTCTGAATCTACATGTCAAAAAAATAGAATAAAAGACACAAGAACCAGTGGCATGGATAAATAAGAATCTATCTTATTAGACTTCATCTATAGAGTTTATATATATTCTGGATGCTTATTTTTCAAAAGCATTTGCGAAAAGGCAAAAGACATTATAAGAAGAGAAGAATATGCTACACTTCTTGGAGTAGAAGAAGACTATAAAATACCATGATGAACAATCTAAATCAGACAGAAATCTTTTAGACAATCAAAAACACAGTTAATATGGAATGTTTGGTCTGGCTAGCTGGGGTGACAGGATAGTGGGGCAAGGCACAACCAAGAATTGCATTTCAGTGACTCACTGCTCCTACAAAAACGGTGGCTTCTGAGAAATACAATTTAGAAGAAAATATCTATAATAAAATGTGAGGTGCCATACCAAAAATAACATAACATTTACTTAGGGGGGAAACCCTCAATTAATTGCCCTTTGAAAACGGAACCTTCTCAGAAATCACTGAGAATCTACCTGAAGATCTCAGGAAGTTTATGTGAGCTCATTTGATCATTATTGGTTCATTCATTCACTCATTAAACAAATGTTTTTTAAGTGCCTGCTATAAGCCAAGGCTGGGATATGTATGGTGGGGAACAAAGTATGCACAGTTCCTGTACTGTGGGGGAGGGGGGGTTACAATGTAACAGGAAAGGCAGGCAATTAACTAAGCAAAAACAATAAAATGCGATATATTCTCTATTGAGCATTATTTTAGTGCTGTAAGAACAGGAAGAATACTTAACCAATCTGGGCTTATAAGGAAGTGCTTTTCTCAAGTGAAGAAGAAGTAAAAAGATGATCAGGTGATAGGAACATTATATCCAAAAACTTGAAGGTAAGAAATGGAGAATCATCCCAAAAAGGAAAAACTTAAAGTTCAAGTTGAAACAGCTATAGATTTGGCTGCTGAGAAAGGTGAAAGTCAGGTTATGAAAGATTTAATTTTTTTTAAATGGACTGAATTGAGGTGCAATTTATATTCAATAATGCACACTCTTAAGGTCAAATGAATTTTGAAAAATGTTTCCATATGTAACCTGCAACCCAATGAAAGCATGGAACATTTCCATCTCCTGATGAAGTTGTTTAGTGCCCCTTTGCAGTCATCTCCCCTCCCTCCCCAGCACCCCCTGATACAGGTAGAAATTGCTCCACTTCCTATCACTATAGATTGGTTTTACTTGTTCTAGAATTTAATATAAATAGACTTTTCTAAGTATAACGTCTATGTGATTCCTCCATGCTGTTGTGTATCTCAGTAGCTCATTCCTTTTTATTGATGAGTAGGATTTGATTTTATGATATACTCTAATTTGTTTATCCAATCATTAATTTACTAGAACCCACCCTTATTTGGGTTGATTTTAGCTGCTATAAATGAAGCTCCCATGAGCATTCATGTACCAGCCTTTTTTATAAACATAAGTTGTTAGTTCTCTGGAGTAAATACCTAAGAGCGGAATCACTGGGTCACATGATAAGTAGGTTTAACTTCATAAGAAACTGGCAAACTGTTTTTTAAACGTGGTCACTCTATTTTACACCTTACTGTAAATGTATGAGAGTTCCTGTTTCTCCACATTCTTGTAAACATTTTATATTACTGGTCATTTTAATTTTAGTCATTCCAGTAGGTGTGAAGTGGTATTTCATTGTGATCTTAATTTGTCCTTTTGTGATGATCAGTGATGCTGAACATCATTTTTACATGATTATTGGCCATTTGTATTTTGCCTTTTGTAAAATTTGTTTACATTGTTTGCCATTAATTTTGAAAGAGTTCTTTATATATTGTTGATTCAAGTACTTTGTTAGTTATATTGTGGTAAATATTTTCTTCTAGTACATAGCCTGCCCTTTTATTAAGTGTTTTCTTTGAAAAGTGATTATTTTAATTTTTGTAGAAGCCCAATTTATCAATACTTTCTTTTCGGGTTACGGATTTTTTTTCCTATTTTTGCTTATAGAAGGTTTATAGTCATAATCTTTGCATTTAGATTTATAATCCATTTCAATTTGATTTTTGTATATGGTGTAAAGTAAGGGTTGAAGTTAATTGTTTTACATACGGAGATCAGATTCCAATTGTTTTAGCACCATATATTGAAAAGACTATCATTTCTCATTGAATTGTCTTACAGAAAATCAATTCCATTTTTACAATTACTGACTTTTTTCTTTTCTTGAGTATGTATAGGAGGAGCATCCTTAATCCAAATATCAAAAAATATAAAATGCTCCAAATTCTAAAAGTTTTTGTGTACCAACATGACCTCGCAAAGGGAAAATTCCACATCTAACCTCATGTGGCAGGTTACAGTTGAAACTTCGTTTTATGCCCCAAATTATGAAAACTGTTGTGTAAAATTACGTTTAGACTAAGTACATAAGGTGTATATGAAACATAAATGAATTTCGTGTTTAGACTTGGGTCCCATCTCCAAGATACCATGTTATCTATATGCAAATATTCCAGAGTCTGGCAAAAATCCAAAATCTAAAACACTTCTGGTCCCAAGCATTTTGGATAAGGGATATATATTACATTTCTGTTTATTTTGTGATTGAATACTAGACACTTGGGATACTATATTTTAGAAAATTAGGATTCTATCTTCCTTGCTTCCTATTTAGCAACAAATTTAATTTCTGGCTGCCCCCTAGAATGTGTCTAGGCTTGATTTTGTGCTTCATTAATTAGTGATATGGTTTGGCTGCATCCCTACCCAAATCTCACCTTGAATTGTAATAATCCTCATGTGTCAAGGGTGGGCCAGGTGGAGATCACTGAATCATGGGGGCAGTTTCACCATATTGTTCTTGTGGTACTGAATAAGTCTCACGAAAGCTGATGGTTTCATAACTGGGAGTTCTCCTGAACAAGCTCTCTTGCCTGCCGCCATGTAAGACATGCCTTTGCTTCTCCTTTGCCTTCTGCCATGATTGTGAGGCCTCTCCAGCCATGTGGAACTGTGAGTCCTTGAAACTTCTTTCCTTTACAGATTACCCAGTCTTGGGTATGTCTTTATAAGCAGCGTGAAAACGAACTAATACAGTTAGGAACTGTAAAAACCCAAGGTATTTTGCAAGCCCCTCTAAGCTGGTAAGACTCAGCCTCCAAACTGTCTCTCTATGGATCTTGGTAGAGGTTGGTTTTAGGCTTTCTTCAGATAATCCTACATTAAGTCTTTCTCTAGGGCATGGTCTTTACTCTTAAGACATGGTCTTTCTGCCATCTCAAGTGGATTCCAGAGGTTTTAAAGAGGCTTGAAGGACATTTCTCCACTCTGGCAAGGCTGGAACTCCAGTATCTGCAGGCACTGCTTAACCTCCAATATCTTTGTTCACCTTTCAGCCCTAGAGCAATTGCTAGCTGTTAAGCCTTGGGTTATTTGCCCTGAACCTATACAACCCCCTCTCAGTCATGAACTTGAAGTGTTCCATCACACAAATTTCTGAGAACTTCCTTCTTCTATGACATTCTACCTATTATATTCCTGCTGCTTCAGCTACCCAGAACTCTGATCTCTGCCCCTATGCTCAGTGGGACCACTGTACTCTGCTTGACTCCAGCTTTCTGTTCTGCAATCAGAAAATTGTTCTCAGGCAGAGAACTGGCAATTGTGGACCCCACTTCATGAGTTCCCCTCCTTTCAAAGATCGCAGGCTTAAAACTGTCAGTTACTTGAGACGTTTATGAAAGAAGTCTAGCTGGGCACCATTTAATTCATAAATGCTGGAAGCTATCAGTTTTTAAGCAGAGAAGTAAAGTAACCTATTTGTACTTTAGAAGGGTCACTCAGGTTTCAATGGAAAGTGAATTGGTAGTGGAAAAGACTGGTGCACACAGACAACACATGGCAATAGGAGTAATCCTGGAAAAAATTACCTATTTAATAAATACATATTTAGTGATCGCTATATGCAAGTTACTGTTCTCATTCTAGTATTAACTCATTCTAGTATTAACTCACTTAACCATCACCAATCCCATGATATAATAGTATTATTATCTCCATTTTATAGGTTGGAAAACGGAGGGACAGACAGGCTAAGTAATTTGACCAAAAAGCAGAGTTTGGGATTGAAAACAGGTGGCCTGAGTTTGGAGTCCATGATCTTTAAAACCAGACAGTGCTGTGGTAATGGTAGCCTAATGTAGTGGAAATGAGCAACCTTTGCTTCCTGAGCCTGAAAAGCATGGACTTCCCTTTCTGGACACTATTATTAGTAGACATACTGTGTGCCAGTGTGAATAGAACAACAATCCAGGCATCTTGGGAGATAAGGGATTCAAAGCAAAGATTCTTAGCCTATAATCAACATAAAGACTCTAAAAAAACAAAATTATGAAGAAAGTAATTATTAAACAATATACTCAGAGCAATTGCTTTAATGCTAAGCAGATGCTAGGGGATGTGACAATTGCAAGAATAAAAAAGACTATCACACCTGTAATCCTAGCACTTTGGGAGGCCAAGGCAGGCAGATCACCTAAGGTCAGGAGTTCAAGACCAACCTGGCCAACAAGATGAAACCCCGTCTCTACTAAAAATACAAAAATTAGCTGGGCATGGTAGCAGGCACCTGTAATCCCAGCTACTCGGGAGGCTGAGGCAGGAGAATCACCTGAACCCGGGAGACGGAGGTTGCAGTGAGCTGAGATTGTGTCATCGCACTCCAGCCTGGATGACAGAGGGGGACTCCATCCCCCTGCAAAAAAAGCTTAGACTCTATTTTTATATGGGTTATATTCAACAAGAGAGAGTCAACAATGGTCCTCAGAGCAATGGCCAGGAAATCGCTGAGAATTTGCCTTTTAACTTATGAAGTCATTTGCCTCTGAACCCACTTCCCTAGCTATAAAATTGAACTAAAGTAATATCAGTCAAAAGCATACATCACTGAATTAATTTTCATCTTTTAAAAAAGTCCTGACAATTTTTGTTACAATGCAATTTGGTGCAGTTGCTGAGATAAAGAACTGAAATGAACTGGAGAGGAAAAAATAAACCCAGAATACAAAAAAAAAAAAAAAGATGAAGTTTTGCCATTCTTGGAACAATAAATGAAACAAAATATCTGTTATTATGAAATAACCCCATTAGAGAGGTCAGGGAAAATGGCAGCTGAGGTTAAAATAAAAATAGTCAGATAGGTTGTGTGCTGACATCTGGGTCTAGGTCAACATGTCATGTGTACCAAGTTAAGAGTGTCTTCTGAATTTTAGTGATAAACAACTACTCAGATTAAAATATGCCATAAAAATTATGTTTTTAAAAAAGCACTGTTTACATTTATCTGTGGAAATTTCTGTCCTGCTGATAACCCAAATGCATGAGTTAAACCATCTGCCTCTTTTTCTGATGTGAAAGGGAATGATGTAAATGCTGTTTACAGCAGTGAGTTGGTTTGCTGGGAGGCTGCTGTTTTTTATCAGCATTTTAACATTGGATAACTGAGATAACTGTACTTCAGGCATATTCCCAAGAAAAGTCCATAGGCATCTCTCCTGGTGAGGGCAGGTTTATCATGTTTACAAATGTCCAACTCTACTCAAGATATACATGCAATCCAGAGAGTCACATAAGAGACAGTGTGATAGAAATGACACGCATTTTGATGGGAGATTAATCCAGATTCAAATTCTGCCTTTCTAATCTTGGCCAAGTTATGGAAATTTTCTAGATCTTTGTTTATTCAGCCATAAAATAAGCTTACTATAGGGGGTTGAATGGTGGACTCCATTTATCCATGTCCTAACCCCCAAAACCTGTGAATGTGACCTTATTTAGAAAAAAAAAGTCTTTACAGGTATAATTTTGAGAAGTGATCTTTCTGGGTTTTCTGGTGGGTCCTAAGTCCAATGACAAGTGGCCTTCTGAAAGATGCACAGGGTTGAGCTGCACGGGAAGAAACGGAGAATGAGGCCATGTGAAGACAAACGAAGAGATTGGACTTATTTAGTCACAAGCCAAGGAATACTTGGAGCCACCAGAAGCTGGAAGAGGAAAGGAAAAATCCTCTCCTAGAGCCTTTAGAGATAACATTGCCCTTAGAATACCTCAATTTCTGACCTCTGGCCTCCAGAACTGTGAGAAAATATATTTTTGTTGTTTTAAACCACCCAGTTTGTGGTAATTTTTAACAGAAGCCCCAAGAAACGAATACAATGACATTATAGGTTTTTTGTGGGGAATATAGATAGAGCTGTGCATAGCCAAAGTAAACATTTATTTAGTGTTAGCTACTATGGTAATAGTACATGATACTTCAAACACATGGCTACAAATACTTGTGGAATCAAGGACCAAGTGTCTTCCACTTCAATATAAAATTTATAAGGTCAAGTGTCCCAGTTACTGCTAAGGATATTTGAAAGAAGAAATCTGAAAAAAAAATTTATTGGCTACTAATACGAAGTTCACTTGTAAGGAGAGGACTCACCTTTACTGAAGATAAGATTTCTAAAGCCCATTTCAGAGGAGAGGCTGAGCCTCTAGGTCCTGGATATGAATAAATGTACTTCACATAAGAGAAGAGGACTCCAGGAAAATGAAGGGGGAAAGAAAGGCAGAAAAGGCTCCAAGCTCTAAGCTATAACCCGCTCTCTATAACCATCTTCAGGAAAGCCTCAACATCACAAAACATGACTTGAGAGGAATGATTCTCTCTCTCCCTCCCTTCCTTTCTTTCTTCACTGCTTTTTTCATTGAAAGTGTAGAGAAATGAGGCTTCAAACCCAGAATAATATAGAAAACTGAGACTGAATGGAAAGACAAAAAGATACAGGTGTTATTAGTGTTTGCTTAGATCCAGGCACCACCTCAAAGTCAAGTTAGGATACAAGAGGACTACATGTGCAAAGAATGACCAAAGATTAGGCTGAAATCTTGATGTTCATTCTCCTTTAGAAAACCTTCACTCACCAAACACATAGTTCAACTGAAGACCTTTTATTCACAAATGCCAAGAATTCTGGAATGGAAATATTTTTCTGAGATGCAAAATTAACTTCCAGGATGTAAATATTTTTTACTTTTAAAAATCTGTCACAGGATGTATTTTTTAGGGCAACATATATGTTTTGAAGTCAGGTATTTTTACCTAAGATTACTCCAAATGCGGTTACAACTGGTACAATCATTTGCAATAAAACTAATTCATCTAATTCATATGTCTAATGAAGAATTGAATTACCAGCCAAATTACATTTTCTATGTAATATGCCATCTTTGAAAACTGTTTTTCGTAATCTAGGGGGACCAAACACATCAAATACATGTCATATTATTAGAGAAAAAATACAAGCTAAAGTGTCTGAATTTGTAGGTAAAATACAAATTCAGACGATGTGATGTCAAATACAGACAAGAATAATTGGAAAAGTTTCGTGGCAGAATAGTGTACTTTAATTAAACACTGAGGAAGAATCAGAAGGTGATCACCAGAATAAAATTTCATAAAGGCAAGCCAGTTAAACTCCCAGGATTCCAGGGATGAAGGTAGGAGGAAGAATGAGGTGTTTTCACTCTTTGACTTCACTGAAGAGGAAATTTGAATGAGAACTGAAGTGTCTGAAAATGAAAATTATATTCGGCATCCATTTATCACATGGGGAAAATGGTAAATGGGAACAAAATAATAATAAGAGGTATAGTTTCTGATGCGCTTACGCTCATGAGCTTAACTATAGAGCTAAACTGCAAAATTACAAAACATTTTAAAATTAAAATGCAGCCTCCTCTTAGGTCAAAATGTTTGCCTAAGTGGGTAGATTGGTTAGTCTGGACCCTTTGGACACTTTTAAGCATTCCAGAATGCCTCCAATGAATTTAGAATGCCAAGATTGTGCACAAATATGCTATTTAAAATTCTAGAATTGCATTTGTTAATCCAATTAAGTCTAGCTTTGCCAGACACAGGGGCTGAACTCCACTTCAAATCATGTAGCTGAAATATACTCAAAAAATTTATGTAAAGAGAAACCCATTCTAATTCCACAATACCTGTTTCTAAAATGACTGCAAATACTCAAGTTACTAACATTTCTTTGGAAATGATTATTGCTATATCTTCAATCACTCCTTTACACACACACACACACACACACACACACAAAAGATGACATGAAATGAACAAAATAGGTAGGAAACTGTTAGTATTGCAAATGTATTTTATTTACCAAACCATTATAGGTTTAAACTTGTATTCATACCTTGACTCGTACATTCTCATTCATAAGCACATATCTTATCTATTTAACTTCATTAAATCATCTGATTTTCTGTTTAAGTCCATTTCTAATATTTTTTATGCTTCTGATGAAGTCTTTCACTCTCTCACATGAATAGTGGGTACATTTTATCATCCTAAGAAGTTGGCAAGCTCCTTGAAAAGACAGACCATATCATATGTTTATTTTATATCGCCTTGATGCCAACTACTGTCATGGTAAATCCTCAATGTGTTGATTTGATTTTCATTAATTCAATTCCAATCTAGCACTTTTTTTTTTTTTTTTTGAGACAGAGTTTCACTCTTGTTGCCCAGGCTGGAATGCAATGGTGCAATCTTGGCTCACTGCAACTCTTGCCTTCCTGGTTCAAGGGATTCTCCTGCCACAGCCTCCTGAGTAGCTGGGATTACAGGCACCCACCACCATGCCCAGCTAATTTTTGGTATTATTAGTAGAGATGGGGTTTCACCATTTTGGTCAGGCTGGTCTTGAACTCCTGACCTCAGGTGATCCACCCGCCTTGGCTTCCCAAAGTGCTGAGATTACAGGAGTAAGCCACCACACCCTGCCCAATCCAGTAGCAAATGTTACTTTGTACTCTTATAGAATCGCATATAAAAATTGGGACTGTTTACCCTGTTTGCAGATGACATGATTCTATGTTTAGAAAATCCCATCGTCTCAGCCCAAAACCTCCTTAAGCTGATAAGCAACTTCAGCAAAGTCTCAGGATACAAAATCAATGTGCAAAAATCACAAGCATTCTTATACACCAATAACAGACAAACAGAGAGCCAAATCATGAGTGAACTCCCATTCACAATTGCTTCAAAGAGAATAAAATACCTAGGAATCCAACTTACAAGGGATGTGAAGGGCCTCTTCAAGGAGAACTACAAACCACTGCTCAATGAAATAAAAGAGGACACAAACAAATGGAAGAACATTCCATGCTCATGGATAGGAAGAATCATTATCGTGAAAAATGGCCATACTGCTCAAGGTAATTTATAGATTCAATGCCATCCCCATCAAGCTACCAATGACTTTCTTCACAGAATTGGAAAAAACTACTTTAAAGCTCATATGGAACCAAAAAAGAGCCCGCATTGCCAAGACAAACCTAAGCAAAAAGAACAACGCTGGAGGCATCATGCTACTGGACTTCAAACTGTACTACAAAGCTACAGTAACCAAAACAGCATGCTACTGGTACCAAAACAGAGATATAGACCAATGGAACAGAACATAGCCCTCAGAAATAATACCACACATCGACAACCATCTGATCTTTGAAAAACCTGACAAAAACAAGAAATGGGGAGAGGATTCCCTATTTAATAAATGGTGCTGGGAAAACTGGCTAGCCATATGTAGAAAGCTGAAACTGGATCCCTTCCTTACACCTTATACAAAAATTAATTCAAGATGGATTAAAGATTTAAATGCTAGACCTAAAATCATAAAAACTCTAGAAGAAAACCTAGGCAATACCATTCAGGACATAGGCATGGGCAAGGACTTCATGTCTAAAACACCAAAAGCAATGGCAACAAAAGCCAAAATTGACAAATGGGATCTAATTAAACTAAACAGCTTCTGCACAGCAAAAGAAACTACCATCAGAGTGAACAGGCAACCTACAGAATGGGAGAAAATTTTTGCAATCTACCCATCTGACAAAGGGCTCATATCCAGAATCTACAAAGAACTTAAACAAATTTACAAGAAAAATACAAACAACCCCATCAAAAAGTGGGTAAAGGATATGAACAGACACTTCTCAAAGGAAGACATTTATGCAGCCAACAGACACATGAAAAAATGTTCATCAACACCAGACATCAGAGAAATGCAAATCAAAACCACAATGAGATATCATCTCACACTGGTTAGAATGGCGATCATTAAAAAGTCAGGAAACAACAGGCGCTGGAGAGGATGTGGAGAAACAGGAACACTTTTACACTGTTGGTGGGAGCGTAAACCAGTTCAACCATTTTGGAAGACAGTGTGGCGGTTCCTCAAGGATCTAGAAGTAGAAATACCATTTGACCCTGCGATCCCATTACTGGGTATATACCCAAAGGATCATAAATCATGTTGCTATAAAGACACATGCACACATATGTTTATTGAGGCACTATTCACAATAGCAAAGACTTGGAACAACCCAAATGTCCATCAATGATAGACTGGATTAAGAAAATGTGGCACGTATACACCATGGAATACTATGCAGCCATAAAAAAAGGATGAGTTCACGTCCTTTGTAGGGACACGGATAAAGCTGGAAACCATCATTCTGAGCAAACTATCACAAGGATAGAAAACCAAACACCGCATGTTCTCACTCATAGGTGGGAATTGAACAATGAGAACACTTGGACACAGGGTGGGGAACATCACACACTGGGCCTGTCATGGGGTTGGGGGAGGGGGCAGGATAGCATTAGGAGAAATACCTAATGTAAATCATGAGTTAATGGGTGCAGCATACCAACATGGCACATGTATACATATGTAACAAACCTGCACATTGTGCACATGTACCCTAGAACTTAAAGTATAATAATAAAAAAAAGAAAATTGAGACTGTTTAAAATAAAACAATATACAAAGGTGGGGAGATAGGTTTATACCTTGAAATTCTGAAATCCTTAATTTCCTTTTAAGCATAACATATTCAACATATGACTATATCTGCAATGTCCAGAAATTGATCCAAAGAAATTTCTAAATATATAAAAGCCAGAAGAATAAAAGAGTGAAAGAAATACAGAAAACTAGAGATTTAACCACAACTTTGGAAGATGGAAAATAGATGATTGAGTGACACCTGACATAACAGAGCAGGTCAAGTTCAAACTCTAGTGCCAGCAAAAAGTAGCATCAACTAGAGGCAGGATAATTTGTACTGCAAAACCCTAAAACAGGAGGACCTAAACAGGAGGATTAATCAGGAGTGTGAATAAAGAGTGTATTAGTTCATTTTCACACTGCTATAAAGAATACCTGAGACCGGGTAATTTACAAAGGAAAGAGGTTTAGTTGACTCACAGTTCCACATGGTTGGGGAGACCGCAGGAAACTTAAAATCATGATGTAAGGTGAAGGGGAAGCAGGCACCTTCCTCACAAGGCAGTAGGAGTGAAAGGAACTGCCAAACACTTTGACCATCAGATCTTTTAAGAGCTCACTAGATATAAGGAGAACAGCAAGGGGAAAACTGCACCCATGATCCAATCACTTCCCACCAGGTCTGTCCCTCAACACATGGGGTTTACAATTCGAGATGAGATTTGGGTGGGGACACAGAGCCAAACCACATCAAAGAGTTCCCCTAAACCCCATCTCTCACTTCATGCAGTAGAATAAACACAACGACATGATAAATGATTGAAAAACAAAATATCAGAGTATTCAAAACAACACAGAAAGTTAGATGACAATAGAGCAATGCCTTCTAAACTAAGGGGAAAAAAAGATCTGTCACCCAGAATTCAACATGAAATTATCAATAAAAAATAAAGATAAAATAAACATATTTCCAGACATGTAAAGTCAAAACATTACCTCTATGACTTCTTTCTTAGGAACCTACTAGAAGATATGGTGCACACAGTAAATAAATAAAGAATGGGGTTTCAAAAAATGGAAAAGAAAAAGTACGAGAAATAAGGGATCTAGTATAGAAGAAAGCTACACGGCATTCCTGGAATGATGGTTTAGTGCAGTGCCAGGATGTGAGGAAGTTGCAGGATAACAGGCAACAGACTGAGAGAACAACCCATCCAGACTGGAGCAAAAGAACCAAGGGATGTGGAAGGGATAGCTTTTCAAGAAAAAAAAAAAATAGAATTGACAGTTTGCCTAATGCATTTGACATTATTTTTAAAAATGTAAGATTGATTTTATAGTGCTTCTGGAGAGTTCAGGCAGAACTAATTGATAGGCATACAAATAACTATGAAAACTACCAAACAGGAATTCTTACCAAAAAAATAAGAAAGGTTATATAAGCAAGGAAAAAATTGTCATATGCAACATGTTTCAATGGCTATAATAATATAAACCCTGAATATTGACCCATCCAAAAACTGTGAAAAAAACTATATAGGAAAGAGGTGGAGGGGAAATTAGAACATATATATTTTTGGTAAAGGAGATACATGACAGAAATGTAGCCTTACATTCTCCAGTAATAAATAAATAGATAATATCTAAAACTAAAAAGAATCCAGAAATGGCAGCATAAGTTTGTTTACTGAAGAATACCATAGGAAAAAAATAAAAGTTGAAAGCAATTGCTACTAGGGAACAGGATTCAGAAGTAGAAAAGGAAGATGAGAGAAATGTCATTTCTTTAGAAACTTACAGCTATATTTGACTTTATGTATATGAATTACTTTGAAGAATAAAAATAATATTACACATAAGTAAACTCAAAGCAAAAACAAAACAGAACAAAATTAAGAAACAAACACAGGCCGGGCATGGTGGCCCATGCCAGTAATTCTAGTCCTTTGGAGGCCAAGGCAGGAGGCTCATCTGAGACTAAGAGTTTGAGACCAGCCTGGGTGACACAGCAAGACTCTGTCTCTAAAAAAATTAAAAAATAATAATAATAAAAAAGCCAGATGTAGTCCCAGCTACTTGGGAGGTTGACGCTAGAGGATCACTTGAGCCCAGGAGTTCGAGACTGCAGTGAGTTATGATTGCCCCACTGGACTCCAGCCTGGGTGACAGAGCAAGACCATGACTTATGACCTGAGTAGCTCAGGTGCATGCCACCACACCTGGCTAAATTTTATTTTTTAATTTTTTGTAGAGATGGCAGCTTGCTGTGTTGCCCAGGCTGGTGTTAAACTTCTGGTCTCAAGCAGTGCACCTGTCTTGACCTCCCAAAGTGCTCAGATTACAGGCATGAGCCACCAAGCCCAGCCTGTTTATTCTTTTTTCTTTTTCAAATTTTTAGTAAGGTTTAATTAATTTATTTATTATTTGTAAAAATTTATGGAATACATGTGAAATTTTGTTACATGTAGATAATACGTAGTGATCAAACCAGGGCATTTACGGTATCCAGCACCCATGTACAATACATTTTTGTTAAGTATAGTCACCCTGCTATGCTATCAAATATGTAACTTATTTCATCTTATTGTATGTTTGTACCTTTTAATCTACTTCTGTTCATCCTCTCTTCTTCCCCTCACTTACCCTTCTCACTCTCTGTTATCTATCTTTTCACTCTCCACTTCCATGTCAACAAATTTTTAGCTCCAACATATAAGTGAGAACATGTGATATTTGTCTTTTCATGCCGGGCTTATTTTACTTAAGATAATGACCACCAGTTCTATTCATGTTGCAGCAAATTACATTATTTCATTCTGTTTTATGGACAAATTGTATTCCATTGTGTATATATGCCAGATGTCTATTATTTATTCACTTATTGATGGACATTTAGGTTGATTCCATATTTTTGCTACTGTGAATAGTGCTGCAATAAACATACTGGTGCAGATATCCCTTTGATATATCGATGTAATTTCCTTTGGTTAGAGGCCCAGTAGTGTGATTATTGGATCAAGTGGTAATTCTGTTTTTAGTTTGTTGAGTAATCTCTCTACTGTTTTTCATAGTTGCTGTGCATCTTCTCTTGAGAAATGTTTACTCACATCCTTTGCCCACTTTTAAAGAGGATTATTTGTTTTATTTCCTGTTGAATTGTTTAAATTCCTTGTATATTTTGGATATCAGTCTCCTGACAGATTCGTAGTTTCCAAATATTTTCTCCCACTCTGCATGTTGTCTGTTCACTCTGTTAATTATTTCTTTTGCTGTACAAAAGCTTTTTAGTTTAATTAAGTCCCATTTGTCTACTTTTGTTTTTGGTGACTATGCTTTTAAGGCCTTAGTCATATATTTTTTACTCCAGGAGAGTTTTCCCTAGGTTTTCTTCTAGTATGTTTAGCGTTCCAGGTCTTACATTCAAGACTTTAATCCACATAGAGTTGATTTTTGTATATGATGAGAGACAGGGGTTCAGTTTTATTTTTCTGCATGTGGCTATCCAATTTCCCCAGAACCGTTTGTTGAAGAGGGTGTCCTTTCTCGAATGTAAGTTTTTGTCAACTTTGTCAAAGATCAGTTGGATGTAAGTATGTGGCTTTATTTCTGGCTTCCTTATTCTGTTCATTAGTCTATGTGTCTATGTTTATACCAATACCATGCTGATTTGGTAAATGTAGACTTGCAATATTTTGTTTTGGTTGTTGTTTTTCATGGAGTATAATTTTATTTAACTATTAATTTTTAAATTTATTTTTTCTTTCAAATTTTATTTTAGGCTCAGAGAGTACATGTGCATGTTTGTTACATAGGTAAATTGTGTGTTGCAGGTATAGGGTGTACAGACTTTTTCATCATCCAGTGATGAGCATAGTACCCAATAGGCAGTTTTTGGACCCTGACTCTCCTCCTACCCTCCACCTTGAAATAGTGCCTAGTGTCTATTGTTCTCATTTTTATGTCCATGACATTCACTATTATACCTCCAATTGTATTATGGTTTTCTGTTCCTGCATTAATTCGCTTAGGATAATGGCCCCCAGCTCCATCCATGTTGCTACAAAGAACATGATTTCATTTGTTTTTATGGCTGCAGAGTATTTCATAGTGTATATGTATCACATTTTCTTTATCCAATCCACAGTTGATGGCCATCTAGGTTGATTTTTTGCTTTGCAGTGAATAGTGTTGCAATAACATACAAATGCATGTGTCTTTTTGGTGGAACAATTTATATTCCTCAATATACCCACTAACAGGATTGCTAGGTTAAATAGTAGTTCTAAGTTCTTTAATAAATCTCCAAACTGCTTTCCACAGTGGCTTTCAATAAAAATTTAAAAAGCTTTCAATAAAATAATTTATTTAAATAAATAAGATTATTATAAAATAAATAAGATTATTTATTGTTCACTAATAAATGGCTGAAGTAATTTATATTCCCACCAATAGTGTATAAGCATTCCCTTTTCTCCATAACCTTGCCAGCATCTGTTATTTTTTGACTTTTTAATAACAGCCATTCTGACTGTTGTGAGATGATATCTCATTGTGGTTTTAATTTGCATTTCTCTAATGATTAGACGTGTGAAGCATTTTTTCATATGCTTGTTGGCTACATGTATGTCTTCTTTTGAGGTGTCTATTCATGTCCTTTGTTCATTTTTTTTGAACTGGTGAAGTTTTTTTTTTTAAATCCACAGAAGTAAAAACCATATCGTGAGGAACTGAGGGATGAGGCCACAAGGGAGTGGGAGTCAGGCCATCGGGGAGTGGGGATGGGGTGACAGGACAGAGAACAAAGCTAGGCTGGGCTGGCCATGTGGACTCCAGCCTCAGGGGCCATCACCAGGGCCACCAGACAGCTCCTGGGAACTCAGGCAAGCACCAGGCAGGCTCATTGGTAGGGGTTCCACCAGTACAGCAGAGAACTGTGAGGCACTGAAGGCCTCATTCATGTGCATTGTGAAGAAGCACTGCAGGCCAATGATGGACTGCACGTCTGCCTCGCCCACAGTTAACTTGATGAATTTCTTGAACACGTGGCCCACGTCCTGACTTTGCCCATTTTTTCATGGGGTTGATTTTTGCTTGCTGAACTTTTTAGTTACTTACAGATTCTGGATATTACACCTTTGTCAGATGTATAGTTTGCAAATATTTTCTTCTTTCTGTAAGCTGTCTGTTTACTCTGTTGATAGTTTCTGTTGCTTTGCAGAAGCTCTTTAGTTTACTTAGGTCCCACTAATGTCAATTTTTTGTTTTTGTGGCAATTGTTTTTGTAGGCTTACTGATTTTTTTTTACGTTCATTTTGTATCATGAAACTTTGCTGAAGTTGTTTGTTAGATCTAGGAGCTTTGGGGCAGAGACTGTAAGATTTCCTTGGTATCGAATCACACCATCTGTGAAAAGAGATAGTTTGACTTCCTGTCTTCATATTTGGATGCATTTTGTTTCTTTCTCTTGTCTGATTGTTGTGGCTAGGATTTCCAGTACTAGTGTTGAATAGAAATGGTGAGAGTGGGCATCCTTGTCTTGTTATGGTTCTCAAGGGAAATGCTTCCAGCTTTTGCCCACTGAGTATGATGTTGGCTCTGGATTTGTCATAGATGGCTCTTATTATTTTGAGGTGTGTTCCTTTGATGCTTAGTCTGTTGAGAGTTTTTAACATGAAGAGACATTAAATTTTATTGAAAGCTTTTCTGCGTCTATTGAGATGAACATGTGATTTTCGTTTTTAGCTCTGTTTATGAATCACATTTATTGATTTGTGTATGTTGAATCAATCTTGCATCCCAGGAATAAAGCCTACTTTATTGTGGTGGATTAGCTTTTTGATGTACTGCTGGATTCAGTTTGCTAGTGTTTGGTTGAGAATTTTTGCATCTATGCTCATCAGGTATATTTGCCCTGAAGTTTTCTTTTTATGTTATGTCTCTGCCAAGTCTTGATATCAGAATGATGCTGGCCTCATAGAATGAGTTAGGAAGGAGTCCCTCCTTCTCAATATTTTGGAATAGTTTCAGTAGGATTAGCACCAGATCTTCTTTATACATGTGGCAGAATTTGGCTGTGAGTAGATCTGTTTCAGGGCTTTTTCTGGTTCATAGGTTTTAATTACTCATTCAATTTCAGAACTCATTACTGGTCTACTCAGGGTTTAAGTTTATTCCTGGTTCAACCTTTGGAGAATATATGTTTCCAGGGATTATCCATTTCTTCTAGGTTTTCAAGTTTGTGTGCATAGAGGTGTTTGTAATCGTCTCTGAGGGTTTTTTTTTTTATTTATTTCTGTGGAGTCCATGGTAATATCCCCTTTGCTGTTTCTAATTATGTTTATTTGGTTCCCTTTGTGGATGACCTGCCCCTTCTCTCTAGCTGCCTTTAATATTTTTCTTCCACATTGACCTTGGAGCATTTGATGACTGTGTATCTTTGGAATGGTAACCTTGTGTAATATCTCACAGGAGTCCTCTGAATTTCCTGAATTTGAATGTCAAGTTCACTAGGGAGGCTGGGAAAATTTTCTTTGACAGTATACCCAAATATGTTTTCCAAATTGTTTGTTTTCTCTCTTTTTTCAGGGATGCCAATGAGTCATATAGTTGGTCTCCTTAAATAATCCAGTAAGTCTTGAAGGTTTTGTTCATCCTTTTTACTGTTTTGTTCTTTTGTGTGACTGAGTTGATTCAAAAAACCAGTCTTCAAGCTCTGAGATTCCTTCCTCAGTATGGTGTATTATGCTGTTAATACCTCCAATTTTATTATGAGATTCTTGTAGTGAGTTTTTCATCTCTATCAGGTCAGTTTGGTTCTTCCTTAAACTGGCTATTTAGTCTTTCAGCTCTTGTATTGTTTCACTGGATTCCTTAGATTCCTTGAATTGGGTTTCAACTTTCTCCTGAATCTCATCCAGATTCTGAATTCTATGTCTGTTATTCTAGTCATTTCAGTATGTTTTAGAACCATTGCTGGGGAGCTAATGCAGTCATTTGGAGGTGGGAAAACACTCTAGCTTCTTGAGTTGCCAGAGTTCTTCACTCATTCTTTCTCATCTGTGTGGCTGATGTTCCTTTTATCTTTGAAGTTGCTGTCCTTTGGATGGGGATTTTTTTGTTTTATATTCTTGGATGCCCTTGAAGTTTGACTATGGCATAAGCTGGCTTCAGTAAACTGGTTTTGTTTCTGGATGATTTCAGGGTGCCAAGTCTCAGCTCAGCACTCCTGGGCTATGTGGTGTAACCCTGGGGGCCTGGGACCAGGCCCATGGCTTTGTTCTTGGCCCCTTGAGGTTGAGTACCTGTAGTGTTGGGAGGGCTGAGGTGTTCCCAGTATACTGGCAACAACACTCAGATGTGGAGGGCTGGCAAAAGTACTTTGACAGGGCTTTGGCAGTGTGGTGTGTCCTTGCACAAGTGCATGCCAGCAGCATCATGGTGGCAGTGCTCTGAGGTCTGTGCGTGCATGCATGCCTGCTGGTGAGGCACTGACATGATGGGGTTTGCATGTGCACAGGTGTGTGTGCCAGTGGTGGCAGTATGATGGGGTCTGCATGTGCACCAGGTTGGGCAGGACCGTAAGGTCCATGGATTCATACATGTCAGCAAAATGGTGATGGAAGGCCATGCATGAGTGTGTGCTGGCAAAGACATAGGGGGAGGCTATGGGTGGGTGTGTGCCCACAGTGGCCCATCTGCAGAAGTTCTATGATACTTAGGCATGGTCTACCTGCGAAGGAGCTATGGTAGTAGCTGATGGGAGGTGCCTCATTTGGTTATCTCTGGCCCTGCTGCAAGTGGGTGCAGCCAGGCAGGGATCCTGGGAAAGACTCTCAGACAGCAGGGTGCTCAGATCAGACTGGCCCCTCTCACTGGCAGGACAGCCCTGTTCTGTCCAGGTCTGACAGTCAACAAAGGCCAAGCCACCTAGAGGAGCATGGTGAGCCTTGGGGGATGGGCATGCTTGGCTGTGCTCCACTGCAGCTATTTCCATGCCAAACTCTCTGGGCTCCACACTGGCTGGAGTTCTATCCCTGCCAACTCTCCAAGAAACTCTACCTGCCAGCTCAAATGTCTGTGGGGGTTGCTGGGGGTCCTGCAGCTAGGATTCAGGAGGTCCATGGTGAGAGTGGGCCATTCCACACCTGTTTAACTCATCCCTTCCCTAGGAGTTACTTGAAGCCAGGAATGAGTCCTGATGCTCAGCACCCTTGTGCAGGGTTCCCAGCTTCCTCCTGCTTCAGCTCACAGTCTGCGTCCTCACTCCATACACTGTCAATGTCTTTCTTTCAAAGATTATTCAGATTGTGCCAGTCTTATTAATGATCTGGTCTCTAAGTGGGAGAAGCACTTCCTGGCTGCATTTAGTCAGCCATCTTGGCTCTTCTCTCTTAAACAATATATTTTGAAGTCAGGCAATGAGATGCCTCCAGCTTTGTTCTTTTAGCACATAATTACTTTGGCTATTCAGGCTTTCTTTTGGTTTCATATGAATTTTAATGCTTTTCCCTAATTCTATAAAAAATGACATTGGGGGCTTGAAAAGGATAGTGTTGAATTTGTAGATTGCTTTGGGCAGTACGGCCACTTAAACAATTTTGATTCTTCCAATCCATAAGCATGGAATGTTTTTCTATTTGTTTATGTTAGCTATGGCTTCTTTCAGCAGTGTTTGGCAGTTTTATTTGTAGAGTTTTTTACCTCCTTTGTTACCTGTATTCCTAGGTATTTTATTTTCTTCTGTAGTTGTAAACAAGATTGTGTTCTTGATTTGGCTCTCACCTTGAAAGCTATTAATGTATGGAAATGCTACTGATTTTTGTACATTGATTTTGGATCCTGAAATTTTACTGAGGTCTTTTATCAGTTCCGTGAGCCTTTAGGCAGAGTCTTTGGGGTTTTCTAAGTATAGAATAATATCTTCAGTGAAGGGAGACAGTTTGGTTTCTTCTTTTTCTATTTGGATGCTTTTAATCTCTTTCTCTTACCTGATAGCTCTGGCGAGGACTTCCAGCACTATGCTGAATAGAAGTGGTGAGAGTTGGCACTTTGTCTTACTGCAGTTCTCAAGGGCAATACTTCTAGCTTTTACCCATTCCATATGATGTTGACTCTGGTTTGTCATAGATGGCTCTTATTATTTTGAGGTATGTTCCTTTTTTTTTTTGAGATGGAGTCTCACTCTGTCACCCAGGCTGGAGTGCAGTGACGTGATCTCAGCTCACTACCACCTCTCCCTCCCAGGTTCAAGCAATTCTCCTGTCCCAGCCTCCCAAGTAGCTGGAATTACAGTGTGTACCACCATGCCTGGCTAATTTTTGTATTTTTAGTACAGACGAGGTTTCACCATGTTAGCCAGGCTGGCCTCAAACTCCCGACCTCAAGTGATCTGCCTGCCTCGGCCTCCCCAAATGGTAGGAGTACAGGTGTGAGCCACTGTGCCCAGCCTGTTTCTTTATTGACTAGTTTAATGAGGGTTTTTAACATGAAAGAATGTTGTATTGGAGGCTTTTTCTGTATCTATCGAGATGATCATATGCTTTTTGTTTATGATTATGTTTATGTGGTGAATCATATTTATTGATTTGCATACATTGAATCAGCCTTGCATCCCAGGAATGAAGCTTAATTGATCACAGTGAATTTGATTTTTGACATATTGCTGGATTCCGCTTGCTAGTATTTTGTTGAAGATTTTTGCATCTATATTCATTGGGGATATTGGCCTGCAGTTTTCTTCCTCTTTTTCTGAGACAGGGTCTCATTCTATCACCCAGTCTGAAGTACAGTGGTGCAATCATAGCTCACTGAAGTCCCTACCTCTCAGGCTCAAGTGATCCTCTCACCTCAGCCTCCCAAGTAGCTGCAACCACAAGCATGTGCCACCATGCATGGTTAATTTTTTAATTACGTGTAGAGACAGAGTCTCCCTGTGTTGCTCAGGCTGGTCTCAAACTCCTGGGCTTCAGCAATCCTCCCACCTTAGCCTCTATTTTTTTTTTTATTCATTGTGTTTTTGCCAGGTTTTGGTATCAGGGTGATGCTGGCTCCATAGAATGATTTAGGGAGGAATCCTTCCTCCTCGAATTTTTTGGAATAGTTTCAGTAGAATTGGTACCAACTTTTCTTTGTATGTCTGGTAGAATTCGACTGTGAATCCAACTGGTGTGGGCCTGTTTTGGTTGGTAGGTTTTTTCATGCTGATTCAACTTTGCAACTTGATATTGGTCTTTTCAGAGTTTCAGCTTCTTCCGGATTCAATCTTGGAAGGTTGTGTATTTCCAGAAATTCACGCATTTCCTCTGGAAATTCTAGTTTGTGTGTACAGAAGTGGTAATAATAGTCGCTGAAGATCTTTGTATTTCTGCAAAATCAGTTGTAATATCACGTTTGTTATTTCTGGTTGTGCTTATTTGGATCTTCTCTCTTTTTGTTCTTTGTTAATCTAGCTATCAGTGTACCCATCTTGTTTATTTTTTCAAATAACCTATTTTTTTCTTTCATTGGTTCTTTGTATGGATTTTGGGGGTCCGAATTTCATTCAGTTCTGCTTTGATTTTATTTATTTCTGTTCTCCTAGTAGCATTATGGTTACTTTGTTCTTTTTTTTTCTTTTTTTTTTTTATTATTATACTCTAAGTTTTAGGGTACATGTGCACAATGTGCAGGTTTGTTACATATGTATACACGTGCCATATTGATGTGCTGCACCCATTAACTCATCCTTTAGCATTAGGTATATCTCCTAATGCTATCCCTCCCCGCTCCCCTTACCCCACTACCATCCCCAGAGTGTGATGTTCCCCTTCCTATGTCCATGTGCTCTCATTGTTCAATTTCCACCTTTGAGTGAGAACATGTGGTGTTTGGTTTTTTGTCCTTGTGATAGTTTGCTGAGAATGATGGTTTCCAGTTTCATCCATGTCCCTACAAAGGACATGAACTCTTCATTTTTTATGGCTGCTTAGTATTCCATGGTGTATATGTGCCACATTTTCTTAATCCAGTCAATCCTTGTTGGACATTTGGGTTCGTTCCAAGTCTTTGCTATTGGGAATAGTGCCGCAATAAACATATGTGTGCATGCGTCTTTATAGCAGCATGATTTATAATCCTTTGGGTATATACCCAGTAATGGGATGGCTGGGTCAAATGGTATTTCTAGTTCTAGATCCCTGAGGACTCACCACACTGATTTCCACAATGGTTGAACTAGTTTACAGTCCCACCAACAGTGTAAAAGTGTTCCTATTTCACTCTCCAGCACCTGTTGTTTCCTGACTTTTTAATGATTGCCATTCTAACTGGTGTGAGATGGTATCTCATTGTGGTTTTGATTTGCATTTCTCTGATGGCCAGTGATGATGAGCTTTTTTTCATGTGTTTGTTGGCTGCATAAATGTCTTCTTTTGAGAAGTGTCTGTTCATATCCTTTGCCCACTTTTTGATGGAGTTGTTTTTTTTTTTCTTGTAAATTTGTTTGAGTTCATTGTAGATTCTGGATATTAGCCCTTTGTCAGATGAGTAGGTTGCGAAAATTTTCTCCCATTTTGTAGGTGCCTGTTCACTCTGAGGGTAGTTTCTTCTGCTGTGCAGAAGCTCTTTAGTTTAATTAGATCCCATTAATCAATTTTGGCTTTTGTTGCCATTGCTTTTGGTGTTTTAGACATGAACTCCTTGCCCATGCCTATGTCCTGAATGGTATTGCCTAAGTTTTCTTCTAGGGTTTTTACGGTTTTAGGTCTAATGTTTAAGTCTTTAATCCATCTTGAATTAATTTTTGTATAAGGTGTAAGGAAGGGATCCAGTTTCAGCTTTCTACATCTGGCTAGCCAGTTTTCCCAGCACCATTTATTAAATAGGGAATCCTTTCCCCATTGCTTGTTTTTCTCAGGTTTGTCAAAGATCAGATGGTTGTAGATATGCAGCATTATTTCTGAGGGCTCTGTTCTGTTCCATTGATCTATATCTCTGTTTCGGTACCAGTACCATGCTGTTTTGGTTACTGTAGCCTTGTAGTATAGTTTGAATTCAGGTAGCGTGATGCCTCCGGCTTTGTTCTTTTGGCTTAGAATTGACTTGGCGATGCGGGCTCTTTTTTGGTTCCATATGAACTTTAAAGTAGTTTTTTCCAATTCTGTGAAGAAAGTCATTGGTAGCTTGATGGGGATGGCATTGAATCTGTAAATTACCTTGGGCAGTATGGCCATTTTTCATGATATTGATTCTTTCTATCCATGAGCATGGAATGTTCTTCCATTTGTTTGTATCCTCTTTTATTTCCTTGAGCAGTGGTTTGTAGTTCTCCTTGAAGAGGTCCTTCACATCCCTTGTAAGTTGGATTCCTAGGTATTTTATTCTCTTTGAAGCAATTGTGAATGGGAGTTCATTCATGGTTTGGCTCTCTGTTTGTCTGTTATTGGTGTATAAGAATGCTTGTGATTTTTGTACATTGATTTTGTATCCTGAGACTTTGCTGAAGTTGCTTATCAACTTAAGGAGATTTTAGGCTGAGACAATGGGGTTTTCTAGATATACAATCATGTCATCTGCAAACAGGGACAATTTGACTTCCTCTTTTCCTAATTGAATGCCCTTTATTTCCTTCTCCTGCCGGATTGCCCCGGCCAGAACTTCCAACACTATGTTGAATAGGAGTGGTGAGAGAGGGCATCCCTGTCTCGTGGCTGTTTTCAAAGGGAATGCTTCCAGTTTTTGCCCATTCAGTATGATATTGGCTGTGGGTTTGTCATAGATAGCTCTTATTATTTTGAGATACATCCCATCAATACCTAATTTGTTGAGAGTTTTTAGCATGAAGGTTGTTGAATTTTGTCAAAGGCATTTTCTGCATCTATTGAGATAATCATGTGGTTTTTGTCTTTGGTTCTGTTTATATGCTGGATTACATTTATTGATTTGCGTATGTTGAACCAGCCTTGCATCCCAGGGATGAAGCCCACTTGATCATGGTGCATAAGCTTTTTGATGTGCTGCTGGATTTGGTTTGCCAGTATTTTATTGAGGATTTTTGCATCAATGTTCATCAAGGATATTGGTCTAAAATTCTCTTTTTTAGTTGTGTCTCTGTCAGGCTTTGGTATCAGGATGATGCTGGCCTCATAAAATGAGGTGGGGAGGATTCCCTCTTTTTCTATTGATTGGAATAGTTTCAGAAGGAATGGTACCAGCTCCTCCTTGTACCTCTGGTAGAATTCGGCTGAGAATCCATCTGGTCCTGGACTCTTTTTGGTTGGTAAGCTACTGATTATTGCCACAATTTCAGAGTCTGTTTTTGGTCTATTCAGAGATTCAACTTCATCCTGGTTTAGTCTTGGGAGGGTGTATGTGTCGAGGAATTTATCCATTTCTTCTAGATTTTCTAGTTTATTTGTATAGAGGTGTTTGTAGCATTCTCTGATGGTAGTTTGTATTTCTGTGGGATCAGTGGTGATACCCCCTTTATCATTTTTTATTGTGTCTATTTGATTCTTCTCTCTTTTCTTCTTTATTAGTCTTGCTACCAGTCTATCGATTTTGTTGATCCTTTCAAAAAACCAGCTCCTGGATTCATTAATTTTTTGAAGGGTTTTTTGTGTCTCTATTTCCTTCAGTTCTGCTCTGATTTTAGATATTTCTTGCCTTCTGCTAGCTTTTGAATTTGTTTGCTCTTGCTTTTCTAGTTCTTTTAATTGTGACATTAGGGTGTCAATTTTGGATCTTTCCTGCTTTCTCTTGTGGGCATTTAGTGCTATAAATTTCCCTCTACACACTGCTTTAAATGTGTCCCAGAGATTCTGGTATGTTGTGTCTTTGTTCTCGTTGGTTTCAAAGAACATCTTTATTTCTGCCTTCAATTTGTTATGTACCCAGTAGTCATTCAGGAGCAGGTTGTTCAGTTTCCATGTAGTTGGGCGGTTTTGAGTAAGTTTCTTAGTCCTGAGTTCTAATTTGATTGCACTGTGGTCTGAGAGACAGTTTCTTATAATTTCTGTTCTTTTACATTTGCTGAGGAGTGCTTTACTTCCAACTATGTGGTCAATTTTGGAATAGGTGTGGTGTGGTGCTGAAAAAAATGTATATTCTGTTGACTTGGGGTGGAGAGTTCTGTAGATGTCTATTAGGTCTGCTTGGCGCAGAGCTGAGTTCAATTCCTGGGTATCCTTGTTAACTTTCTGTCTCGTTGATCTGTCTAATGTTGACAGTGGGGTGTTAAAGTCTCCCATTATTATTGTGTGGGAGTCTAAGTCTCTTTGTAGGTCACTCAGGACTTGCTTTATGAATCTGGGTGCTACGGTATTGAGTGCATATATATTTAGGATAGTTAGCTCTTCTTGTTGAATTGATCCCTTTACCATTATGTAATGGCCTTCTTTGTCTCTTTTGATCTTTGTTGGTTTAAAGTCTGTTTTGTCAGAGACTAGGATTGCAACCCCTGCCTTTTTTTGTTTTCCATTTGCTTGGTAGGTCTTCCTCCATCCCTTTATTTTGAGCCTATGTGTGTCTCTGCATGTGAGATGGGTTTCCTGAATACAGCACACTGATGGGTCTTGACTCTTTATCGAATTTGCCAGTCTGTGTCTTTTAATTGGAGCATTTAGCCCATTTACATTTAAAATTAATATTGTTATGTGTGCATTTTGTCCTGTCATTATGATGTTAGCTGGTTATTTTGCTCATTAGTTAATGCAGTTTCTTCCTAGCCTTGATGGTCTTTACATTTTGGCATGTTTTTGCAGTGGCTGGTACCGGTTGTTCCTTTCCATGTTTAGTGCTTCCTTCAGGAGCTCTTTTAGGGCAGGCCTGGTGGTGACAAAATCTCTCAGCATTTGCTTGTCTGTAAAGGATTTTATTTCTCCTTCACTTATGAAGCTTAGTTTGGCTGGATATGAAATTGTGGGTTGAAAATTCTTTTCTTTAAGAATGTTGAATATTGGCCTCCACTCTCTTCTGGCTTGTAGAGTTTCTGCTGAGAGATCTGCTGTTAGTCTGATGGGCTTCCCTTTGTGGGTAACCCGATCTTTCTTTGTGGCTGCCCTTAACATTTTTTCCTTCATTTCTACTTTGGTGAATCTGACAATTATGCGTCATGGAGTTGCTCTTCTCAAGGAGTATCTTTGTGGTGTTCTCTGTATTTTCTGAATCTGAATGTTGGCCTGCCTTGCTAGATTGGGGAAGTTCTCCTGGATAATATCCTGCAGAGTGTTTTCCAACTTGGTTCCATTCTCTCTGTCACTTTCAGGTACACCAATCAGACGTAGATTTGGTCTTTTCACATAGTCCCATATTTCTTGGAGGCTTTGTTTGTTTCTTTTTATTCTTTTTTCTCTAAACTTCCCTTCTCTCTTCATTTCATTCATTTCGTCTTCCATCACTGATACCCTTTCTTCCAGTTGATCGCATCAGCTCCTGAGGCTTCTGCATTCTTCACATAGTTCTCGAGCCTTGGCTTTCAGCTCTGTCAGCTCCTTTAAGCACTTCTCTGCGTTGGTTATTCTAGTTATCCATTAGTCTAATTTTTTTTCAAAGTTTTTAACTGCTTTGCCATTGGTTTGAATTTCCTCCTGTAGCTCGGAGTAGTTTGATCATCTGAAGACTTCTTCTCTCAGCTTGTCAAAGTCATTTTTGGTCCAGCTTTGTTCCATTGCTGGTGAGGAGCTGCATTCCTTTGGAGGAGGAGAGGCACTCTGCTTTTTAGAATTTCCAGTTTTTCTGCTGTTTTTTCCCCATCTTTGTGGTTTTATCTACTTTTGGTCTTTGATGATGGTGACGTACAGAAGGGTTTTTGGTGTGGATGTCCTTTCTGTTTGTTAGTTTTCCTTCTAACAGACAGGACCCTCAGCTGCAGGTCTGTTGGAGTTTGCTAGAGGTCCACTCCAGACCCTGTTTGCCTGGGTATCAGCAGCGGTGGCTGTAGAACAGTGGATCTTGGTGAACTGCAAATGCTGCTGTCTGATCGTTACTCTGGAAGTTTTGTCTCAGAGGAGTACCCGGCCATGTGAGGTGTCAGTCTGCCCCTACTTGGGGGTGCCTTCCAGTTAGGCTGCTCGGGGGTCAAGGACCCACTTGAGGAGGCAGTCTGCCCGTTCTCAGATCTCCAGCTGTGTGCTGGGAGAATCACTACTCTCTTTAAAGCTGTCAGACAGGGACATTTAAGTCTGCAGAGGTTAATGCTGTCTTTTTGTTTGTCTGTGCCCTTCCCCCAGAGGTGGAGCCTACAGAGGCAGGCAGGCCTCCTTGAGCTGTGGTGGGCTCCACCCAGTTCGAGCTTGCTGGCTGCTTTGTTTGCCTAATCAAGCCTGGGCAATGGCAGGTGCCCCTCCCCCAGCCTGGCTGCCACCTTTCAGTTTGATCTCAGACTGCTGTGCTAGCAATCGGCGAGACTCTGTGGGCGTAGGACCCTCCAAGCCAGGTGCGGGATATAATCTCCTGGTGTGCCGTTTTTTAAGCCCGTTGGAAAAGCGCAGTATTAGGGTGGGAGTAACCCGATTTTCCAGGTGCCGTCTGTCACCCCTTTCTTTGAATAGGAAAGGGAACTCCCTGACCCCTTGTACTTCCCAAGTGAGGCAATGCCTCGCCCTGCTTTGGTGCGTGCACCGTGCGCTGCACCCACTGTCCTGCACCCACTGTCTGGCACTCCCTAGTGAGATGAACCCGGTACCTCAGATGGAAATGCAGAAATCACCCATCTTCTGCGTCGCTCAGGCTGGGAGCTGTAGACCGGAGCTGTTCCTATTCGGCCGTCTTGGCTCCACCCCACTTTGTTCTTGTTTTCTAGTTCCTGTAGGTTTGATGATAAATCATTGACTTGAGACCTTTCTAACTTTTCGAGGTAGGTATTTAGCACTATAAACTTTCCTCTTAACACTGTTTGTGCTGCATCCCAGAGATTTTGTTATAATGTGTCTGTTTTCATTTATTTGATTTTTGCCCTAACTTCATTGTCTAACCAAAAGTCATTCAGTAGCAGTTGTTTAATGTCTATATAATTGTGTGGTTTTGGGAGATCTTCTTGGTAATTATTTCTTTTCTTTTCTTTTTTTTTCTTGAGATGGAATTTCACTCTTGTTGTCCAGGCTGGAGTGCAATGGCATGATCTCAGCTCACCACAACCTCTGCCTCCTGTGTTCAAGTGATTCTCCTGCCTCAGCCTCCTGAGTAGCTGGAATCACAGGCATGCGCCACCACGCCCAGCTAAGTTTTTTGTATTTTTAGTAGAGATGGGGTTTCTCCACGTTGGTCAGGCTGGTCTCGAACTCTCACCTCAGGTGATCCGCCCTCTTCGGCCTCCCAAAGTGCTGGGATTATAGGCGTGAGCCACTGTGTCCAGCCGATAATGACTTCTATTTTTATTCCACAGTGGTCTGAGAGTTGTGTTGGTATGATTTTGATTTTTTAAAATTTATTGAGATATGTTTTGTGGTCAAGTATGTGGTTGATCTTGGCATATGTTCTGTGTGCAGATGAGAAGAATGCATATTCTGTGGTTGATGAGTGGAGTATTCTGTAGATGTCTATTAGGTCCAGTCAGCCAAGTGTCAAATTCAAGTCCAGAATTTCTTTGTTAGTTTTCTGCCTTGATGACTTGTCTAACATTGTCAGTGGGGTGTTGAAGGTACGTCACGATTATTGTGTGACTAGGTCTTTTTGTAGACCGAGAAGTAGATGTCTTATGAATCTGGGTGCTCCAATGTTGGGTGCATATATGTTCAGGATAATTAAGTCTTATTGAAGTGAACACTATCATTGTTTAATGCCCATTTTTGTCCTTTTTATCATTTTCATTTTAAAGTATGTTTTATCTAATATAAGAATAGTGATGTCTGCTCTTTTTTGTTTTCCATTTGCATGACAGGTCTTTCCCCAACCTTTATTTTGAGACTATGGGTGTTTTTATCTGTGAGATGTGTCTGTTAAAGATAGCAGATGGATAGGTCTTTTTAAAAATTTTATCTAACTTGCAATTCTGTACCTCTTAAGTAGGGCATTTAGACCACTTACATCCAAGATTGATGGTGATACATGAGGTGTTGATGCTTTTATAAAGTTGTTAGCTGGTTGTTTTGTATCTTCTATTGTGTCATTGCTTTATAGGGTCTGTGGGCTATGTACTTAGGTGTGTTTCTGTGGTAGCAGATATCATTCTTTTGTTTCCATGTTTAGAACTCCCATAAGGATCTCCTGTAAGGCTGGTCTGGTGCTAATGAATTCACTTAGTGCTTGCTTGTCTGAAAAAGATTTTATTTCTCCTTCACTTCTGAAGCTTAGTTTGATGGGATATGAAATTCTTAGTTGCAATTTTTTTTTTCTTTAAGACTGCTGAAAATAGGCCCTCAGTCTCTCCTGGTTTGTAAGGTTTCTGCTGAGAAATCTGCTGTTAGACTGATAGGGTTCCCTTTGTTTGTGATCTGGCCTTTTTCTCTAGCTACCTTTAAGATTTTTTTCTTTCTCATTGACCTTGACAGTCTGGTGATATACATTTTATGTAGTATCATGCAGGTGTTCTCTGGATTTCCTGTATCTGCATGTCTACCTCTTAGCAAGATTAGGGAAATTTTCTGGAATTATCCACTCAAATATGTTTTCCAGGTTATTTTCTTTTTATTCTTCTCCCTCAGGAATGCCAAAAATTTGTAGGTTTGGTTGCTTTACATATCCCATATTTTTCAAGGATTTTGCTCAGTTTTCTTAACTCTTTCTTCTTTATTTTTGTCTGCTTGAGTTAGTCTGAAGGACCAGTCTTCAAGCTCTGGAATTCTTTCTTCTACTTGTTCCAGTCTATTGATAAAGCTTTCAATTATATTTTGAAATTCCTTAAGTGAGCTTTTTCAAATCCAGGAGTCTGATTGATTTGTTTTTAAGATGTTTATTTCTTCTTTCTTTTCCTGGGTTGATTTAGAAGTTTCTTTGTGTTGACTTTCAACCTTATCTTGGATCCCAATGAGCTTTTTTTAAATCCATGCTTTGAATTCCTTCTTTGTAATTTCTGAATTTCCATTTTGGTTAGGAACCATTGCTGGAGAGCTACTGTGATCCTTTGGTGGTGTCACTGCATTCAGATTTTTCACAGTTTCAGAATTCTTGTGCTGGTTCCGTCTCATCTGGAGATGCTAGAAGTTCTAATATTTGTAATTATTTTCATGTGGGTAGGAGTTTTTCTTTCCCTTTTATTCCCTATAATATTATTGTTTTCTTTTTTCTTTTCCTTTCCCTTCCCCCTGCCTCTATAGTGTGTGACTGTGAAGAAGTTGGGAAGACTATTCTGGTCTTTTTTTTTTCTATAGCTCTAAGAAATTGTTTCATCAGGCTTTATATTATGCTGTACTGTTTGACCTACAAGCCAGTAAATGGCTCTTATGGGTAAAAAGCCAGCTGCAGCCAATGTGACTGGGTATATACTTTATCCTTGTTTCTAGGAAAACTCTCTGTTGCTTCAAGCAATGGGCTGATCTGTGGAGTACACAGTGTTCTGAGCTCCCTGCTCAGCACTGGGGAGGTATGGGATGAGATGGGTGGGGCCAGACTATGCATGCCCACCTATAGTTTCCCCAATAACTGGCACAAGTACCAGCACTGAACGAGAATCAAGTGGGTGGCCACCAAGTGCCCCAAGGAGTGTCTAGGTATGGAGCTGGGAAACATACTCTAAACTCCTAATCCAGGAGAGTGGGTACTTGAGATGCCTAGAGATCTACCTGGGCATGGAGTGTATACAGCTCTGCTGAACCACAATCTCTGCACAGGAAGAGTAGGGTGGCTCAGACTGCTAATTTAGGTGAGTGAGTGTTCCGAATGCCTGGTGATCTGCCTGGCTGAGGAGTGCATAGGGCCCAAGTGCACCACAATCTATGCACAGAGAGGGTCGAGTGGCTTGGCCTTCTAATCCAGGGAAATGGGTGATCTGAATGCCTGGAGGTCTGCCTGGATGTGGAGAAGAGATGGCCCACTGCATTATGATCTATGCACGGGAAGGGTGGGGTGGCTCAGAGTGTTAGTTCATGTGAGCAGGTGCTTCAAATGCCTGGAGATCTTTCTAGGGGTGGAGCAGAGAAGGCCCCACTGCACCATGATCTCAAGGTAGCAGGCTGGGGCACCCAACAATAACACATGCAGACTGGTTCACCAAGCTGACCCTGGCTTCAAGTCTCATTACTCAGGAGAAACTGTAGCTGTAGAAGCTGTCCTCTTGCCCCAGGCTTGCAATGGCAGAGAGCACAATTCTAATGCCTACTGCTGAGGCATTTTCCAGAATTCTGGCTGTGAAAGCCACTACCCTGCTCCAGACCAAGCACTCTAGTCTTTGGCCAGAGACTAAAATGCCTGTGTGGACCCACTGCCAAGTTGCCAAGGAATGACTGATTTTGTAATCATCCAGATGAAAAATCTCATCCTGTTTTTGGTCCCAGATTTGGGAAAATGCCTGCAGCATTTCCCAGTGTATTTCCCTCTCAGTGCCTCCAAATCTCTCCTTAACTTGGCTCCAAAGCTCAGGAGAAACAAAATGATTTCCTTCTGGCCTGGATTGCTCAGATTTCCCTTGGAAAGATGAGTCACAGGAGGAGGCTCTCTGCACCCTCTCATGTACTGTGGCTTCGCTCTTACCAACCAGATGCCTTCATGGGGGCTGTTTGCTCATGTTCTTCTCCCCAGGATCTGGGGTGTCCTTCATGAGTCTGGTTGATTCCCATTTACCTTCTGAATTTAAGTTCATAGAGTTAATCTTTACTCATTGCCTTGCAATTTCCTAGTGGCTGAGGCATGCTGAAAGCCTCTAATCCACAATCTTTGAAAAAATTGTTTTTGAATCTTATATTGAATTTTATTTCTGCACTGAGCTTTATTATTTCCTTCCTTCTAGAAATTTGGGTTTAGTTTGTTCTTGTTTCTCTAGTTCCTTGTGGTAAATCATTAGATCATTTTAAATATTTCTCACTTTTTTGATGTAGGTATTTATTGTTAAAAACATTCCTCTTAGAGCTGTTTTTCTTGTGTTGTATACGTTTTGTCATAATATTTTCATTTTTGTTATTTTCACAAAATTTTAAAGTATTTTTCTATATTAGTCCATTCTCACATTGCTATAAAGAACTACCTGAGACTAGATAATTTATAAAGAAAAGAGTTTTAATTAACTCACAGTTTCACAGGTTGTACAGGAAGCATGATTGGGAAGGCCTCAGGAAATTACAATCATGGCAGAAGGTGAAGAGGAAGGAGTCATGTCTTACATGGTTAGAGAAGAAGAAAGAGAGAGCAAAGAAGGAAGTGCTACACACGTTTAAACAACCAGATCTCATGATAACTCACTATCACAAGAACAGCAAGGTGGAAGTCTGCCTCCACGGTTTAATCACCTCTCACCAGGCCCCTCCTCCAACACTAGGGATTGGATTACAATATGACATGAGATTTGGGTGGGAACAAAGAGCCAAACCTTATCATTCTCTTAATTTCTTTATTGACTCATTAGTTATTTAGGAGCATGCCATATAATTTTCATGTATTTGGAATATTTTCAAAGTTTTTCTTATTGTTGATTTCAAGTTTTATAGAATTGTCAAAAAATATTTGATATGATTTCTATCTTCCTATATTTGTTAAGACTTGTTTTGTGGCCTAATATATAATATATCCAAGAGAATATTCCATTTGCCATTGAGGGCAATGTGCTTTCTGCAGCTGTTGGATGGAATGTTCTGTAAATGTCTGTACATTCCATTTGGTCAATCATGTAGTTTAAGCCCAATGTTTCTTTGTTGAATTCTGTCTAGATGATCTATCCATTGTTGAAAGTGGGGTGGTGATGTACCTACTTTCATTTTATTGCCATCTATGTCTCCCTTTAGATATAATAATATTTGCTTTATATATCTGGGTGCTGATATGGTTTGGGTCTGTGTCCCCACCCAAATCTCATGTCAAATTGTAATCCCTAGCGTTGGAGGTGGGGGCTGGTGGGAGATGATTGGATCATGGGAGCAGATTTCTCACTAATAGTTTAACACCATTCTTTTGGTGCTGTTCTCGTGACAGTGAGTTCTTGTGAGATCTGGTTGTTTAAACATGTGTAGCACCTCTCCTCTTGTTTGCTCTCTCTTGCTCCTGCTCCTGCCTTGTAATAAGGCCTACTCCCACTTTGCCTTCTGCCATGAATATAAGCTTCCTGAGGACTCCCCAGAAGCAGATGCCACCATGTTTCCTGTAAAGTCTGCAGAACCATAAGTCAATTAAACCTCTTTTCTTATAAATTACCCAGTTTCAGGTATTTCTTCATAGCAATGTGAGAATGGCCTACTATAGAAAATTGGTGCCAGGAATTGGGTATTGCTATAAATATACCTGAAAATGTGGAAACAGCTTTGGAATTGGGTAACAGGCAAAGGTCAGGAGAGTGTGGAGGGCTCATAACTAAAAACGAAGATGGAGAAAAGTTTAAAATTTCCTAGAGACTAGTTAAATGATTGTGACCAAAATGCTGATAGTGATACGGACAATGAAATCCAGGCTAAGGAGGTCTCAGATGAAAATGAGAAACGTATTGGGAACTGGAGCAAAGGTCACTGTGCTTATGCCTCAGCAAAAAAACGTGGCTGCATTGTGTCCCTGCACTAGGGACCTGTGGAACGTTGAACTTGAGAGTGATGATATAGGGCATGTGGCAGAAGAAATTTCTAAGCAGCTGGGTGGTCAAGATATTGCCTGACTGCTTAGAACAGGCTATGCTCATATGCATGAGCAAATAAATTACCTAAAGTTGGAACTTATATTTAAGGGGGAAGCAGAGCATAAAAGTTGGAAAGATTGCAGCCTGGCCACATTGTAGAATATAAAAGCCCATTTTCAGGAAAGGAGTTCAAGTAGGCTGAAGATATCTGCATAACTACAAAGCAGGCAAGTGCTGATAGCCAAGACAATGGGGAAAAAACCTCAAAGGCTTTTCAGAGAACTTTGCATCATCCCCTCCCATTACAGTTCTGGAGGCCTAGGAGGACATAATGATTTCATTGACCAGGTCCAGGGCCCTGTGGCCCTGCACAGCCTTGGAGCATTGCTTCCTTCATCCCAGCCACTCCAGCTCCAGCCATGGCTCAAGGGGGCCCAGGTACCTCAGGCCATAGATCCAGAGGGTGCAAGCCATCAGCCTTGACAGATTCCATGTGTTGTTAAGCCTGTAGGTTTGCAGAGTGCAAGAGTTGAGGCTTGGGAGCCTCCACCTAGATTTCATAGAATGTATAGAAAAGCCGGATGTCCAGTCAGAAAGTTGCTGCAGGTGCAGAGCCCTCTGGAGAATCTCTACCAGGGTGGTACAAAGGGGGAAATGTAAGGTTGGAGTCCCCACACAGAATCCCCAGTGAGGCACTGGCCTAGTAAAGCTATGAGAAGAAGGTCACCATCCTGCAGACCTCAGAATGGTAGATCCACTGACAGCTTGCTCCCTGTGCCTGGAAAAGCCACAGGCACTCAATGCTAGCCAATGAGAGCAGCCACAGGGGCTGAATCCTGCAATGCTGCAGGGGTGGAGCTGTTTAAGGCATTGAGAGCCCATTCCATGCATCAGTATGCCCTGAATGTGGAACATGGAGTCAAAGGAGATTATTTTGAAGCATTAAGATTTAATGGCTGCCCTCCTGAGTTTTAGACTTGCATGGGGCCTGTAGCCCCTTTCTTTTGGCTAATTTCTCTCTTTTTGAAAGGGAGTATTTACCCAAGGCCTATACCCTCATTGTATCTTGAAAGTAACTAACTTGTTTTTGATTTTACAGGCTCATAAGTAAAAGGGATTGGCCTGGTCTCAGATGAGTCTTGGGACTTTTGAGTAATGCTGGAAGGAGTTAAACTTTGGTGGACTGTTGAGAAGTCATCATTGTATTTTGAAATGTGAGAAGAACATGAGATTTGGGAGGGGTCAGGGGCAGGATCATATGGTTTGGATCTGTGTCCCCACCCAAATCTCATGTCAAATTATAATCTTCAATGCTGGAGGTGGGGCCTGGTGGGAGATTATTGGATCATAGAAACGAATTTCTCATGAATGGTTTAACACCATCCCTTTGGTGTTGTTCTTGTGATAGTGAGTGAGTTCTCATGAGATCTGTTTATTTAAATGTGTGTAGCACCTCCCTGTCATTGTCTCTCTCTTTCTCCTGCTCCCACCATGTAAGATGACTGTTCCCACTTTGCCTTCCACCATGAGTATAAGCTCCCTGAGGCCTCCCCAGAAGCAGATGTCACCATGCTTCCTGTATAGCCTACAGAACCATAGCCAAATAAGCCTCTTTTCTTATAAATTACCCAGTCTCAGGTATTTCTTTATAGCAATGCAAGAACAGCCTGATACAGGTGCTCTGATGTTTGGTGCATATGTATTTATAATTTTCATATATCCTTTGTTGAATTTATCTCTTTATCATTCTATAATGAACTTCTTTGTATCTTTTCAGTTTTTGACTAAAGTCGATTTTATCTGACACAGGTATGGCTACTCCTGTTCACTTCTGATGTCTGTTTGCAATAAACATCTTTTTCATCCCATCATTTCAGCCTGTTTGTCTTTAACAGTGAGTTGAGTCTCCTGTAGGCAGCATGTAGTCTGTTTTATCCCATTTAGCCACTCTATATCTTTTAATTCAATAATGTAATGCATTTATTTTTGAGGTTAATATTGATAGGTAAAGACTTGACTTACTACTGCCATTTTGTTAATTGTTTTCCAGATATTTTGTAGAATTTTTGTTCCTTTCTTTCTCACTTGTTTACCTCTTTGGTTTGGTGGTTTCCTGTGGTGCTAAAGTTTGTTTTCTTTGTGTCCAGTTATAATTTTTTTTCTTTTTCTTTTCTTTTAAGTTACAGGGTACCTATGCAGGATGTGCAGATTTGTTATACAGGTAAACATGTGCCATGGTGGTTTGCTGCACCTATCAATCCATCACCTAGATATTAAGCCCAGCATGCATTAACTATTTTTCCTGATACTCTCCCTCCCCCGACCCCCTGCAACAGGCCCCAGTGTGTGTCGTTTTTCTCCCTGTGTCCATGTGTTGCCATTGTTCAGCTCCCACTTATAAGTGAGAACATACAGTGGTTGGTTTTCGTTCCTGCACTAGTTTGCTGAGGATAATGGCTTCTAGCTCCATCCATGTTCCTGAAAAGGACAAGATCTCATTTCCTTTTATGGTTACATAGTATTCCATGGTGAATATGTACCACATTTTCTTTATCCAGTCTATCACTGATGGGCATTTGAGTTGATTCCAAGTCTTTGCTACTGTGAATAGTGCTGCAATGAACATGGATGTGCATGTATCTTTGTAACAGAATGATTTATATTCCTCTGGGCATATACCCAGTAATGGGATTGCTGAGTCAAATGGTATTTCCGGTTCTAGGTCTTTGAGAAATTGCCACACTGTCTTCCACAATGGTTGAATTAATTTACATTTGCACCAACAATGTAAAAGCATTCTTATTTCTCTACAGCCTTCCCAGCATCTGTTGTTTTGTTTCCTGACTTTTTAATAATTGCCATTGTGACTGGCATGAGATGGTATCATCGTGGTTTTGTTTGCATTTCTCTAATGAGCAGTGATGTTGAGCTTTTTTCTCATACGTTTGTGGGTCACATAAATGTCTTCTTTTGAGAAGTGTCTGTTCATGTCCATTGCCCAGTTTTTAATGGTTTTTTTTCTTGTAAATTTTTTGTTTATGGTCCTTGTAGGCCCTGGATATTAGACCTTTGTCAGATGGATAGATTGCAAAAATGTTCTCCCATTCTGTAGGTTGTCTGTTCACTCTGATGATAGTTTCTCTCGCTGCGCAGAAGCTCTTCAGTTTAATTAGATCCCATTTGTCAATTTTTGTTTTTGTTACAATTGCTTTTCGTGTCTTTGTCATGAAATATTTGCCCATTCCTATGTACTGAATGATATTGCCTAGGTTTTTTTAATAGTATTTTTATAGTTTTGGGTTTTACATTTAAGTCTTTAATCCATCTTGAGTTGGTTTTTTATATGGTGTAAGGATAGGTCCAGTTTCAATTTTCTGCATATAGCCAGCCAGTTATTTCAGCACCATTTATTAAATAAGGTGTGTGTGTGTGTGTGTGTGTGTGTGTGTGTGCGTGCGCACGCACGCATGCATGCCCATGCATCCTTGGTGGGCTTGGTGAGCTGGCCAACTGTGTGGCATGGGTTCATGTGGGTGCAGTGGATGGTTGGCTATTAGGTGGCTTCTCTGCTATGCAAGTTGGCCTCTTGCTGGGTAGGGAGTGATGGGTATGCTATGTAGTTTTAGACACTGGGGTTTTGGTTGTACCATCAGTCTTAGCCTCCAGACAGCCATTATTGCAATATTGCAGGCACCTGTGTGAATGTGGTGAAATAATGGTGGGACCTTAGGGATGGAGAAAGTCAATGGTTATTGGCCCCCAGGATAGTCTAGACTCTAGCAGTGGATCTGGATTCAGGGTGGTGTCATGCCATAGCAGCTTAAGTCACATGGGTGAGAAGTGTTCAACATAGGTTCCTACTCTGAGGCAATGTAGCCACACAAACTCCTAGCCACTCTCCAGCCTGGATTTGGAGTCTGTGAGGACTGGAGGGCTCTCCTGTGGTAGGGACTAATGGTGTCTGCAATGGCACTGGAGACCACTGGGCATCTATCTCTAGCTAACCTTTCCCCCTTAATAAGTATCCCTGACTCTGAAAAGATCCTGACAGTGCAGAAGGTTCCTCTAACTCCTCTCTATGTTGCTATCCTGGGCTTCTCTGCTCCACAGGGATTTTATCTCTGGAGATCTTCAGCATGTTTCCTCTGTCACTCTACTCAAAATATAGTTGTTTATTCACTGTTTTAGTTTTGTCCTTTTTTTTTTTAGGGGAGAACAAGCATCAGACATCTCTAGTCAACCATCTTGCTGAAATAATTTTCCATATTAACTTTAGAATTAGTTTATCAATATCTACATAATTTTCTGGGATTTTGTTTGGGATTGCAGTGAATCTACAGATCAAGTTGGGAAGAACTGGCATCTTGACAATATTAAGTCTTCCTACCCATAAACAGAATCTGTCCATTTATTTAGTTATTCGATTTCATTCATCAGTGTTTTGTAGTTTTCCTCATACAGATTTTGTGCATATTTTGTTGGTTTTACACCTAAGTATTTTATTTTGGGAGGGTGTTAATGTAAACCATATTGTGTTTTAAATTTCAAATTCCCATTGTTCATTGCTAGTATATAGGAAAGCAATTGACTTTTGTATAGTAACCTTTCCTTGCAACCCTTCTATAATCATAATCACTATTTAGTTCCAGGAAGTTTTTTGTCAATTTTTTAAATTTTGTACATAGACAATCATGTCAAAATAAAACAGTAAGTTTTACTTCTTTCTTCCTAACTAGTATACTTTTTGTTTTCTTGTCTTATTATATTAGCTAGGACTTCCAGTACAATGTTCAAGAAAGATAGCAAGAGAGGACATCCTTATCTTTCTCCTAATCTTAAAAAGCTTCTAGTTTCTCATCAGTAAGTATGATGTTAGCTGTAGATTATATATATATAATATTTATAGATTATATATAAAATATATATAATATATACTTGTGGATTACATGTATATTATTTATCAAGTTGAAGAAGTTCCCCTCTATTCTTAATTTATTGAGAGTTTTTATCATAAATGGGTGTTGGATTTTGTCAAATCCTTTTTCTATCTATTGATATAATTGTAGTGATATTTTTTCCTTGGTCTGTACATTTTATGGATTACACAAATTGATTTTCTAATGTTGAACTAGCCTTGCATACCTGTGACAAATCCCACTTGGTCCTGGCATATACTTCTTTTAATATGTTGTTGGATTCAATTTGCTAAAATAGTCATGTGTCACTTAACAACGGGGAAACATTCTGAGAAATGCACTGTTAGGCAATTGTGTCATTGTGCAAACATTATAGAGGATACCTACACAAACCTAGATGGTGTAGCCTACTACACATGAAGGCTATGTGGTACAGCCTATTGCTCTTAGGCTACAAACTGTTATGACATGTAACTTCCCTGACTATTATAGGCAATAGGAACACAATCATAAGTATTTATGTATTTAAACATAGAAAAGGTACAGTAAGGCTTGGCACGGTGGCTCACTCCTGTAATCCCAGCACTTTGGGAGGCCAAGGCAGAGAGATCACTTGAGGTCAGGAGTTTGAGACCAGCCTGGCCAACATGGTGAAATCCTGTCTCTACTGAAAATACAAAAAGTTAGCCAGGTGCTATGATGCATGCCTGTAATCCCAGCTACTTGGGAGGCTGAGGCAGGAGTACTGCTTAAACCCAAGAGGCAGAGTTTTCAGTGAGCTGAGATCACGCCACTGCACTCCAGCCTGGGTGACAAAGCAAGAATCCATCTCAAAATAAATAAATAAATAAATAAATAAATAAATAAATAAATAGAAAAGGTACAGTAAAAACACAATACAAAAGATTTTTTAAAGTGGTACAACAGTATAACTATAAATGAAACTTGCAGGACTGGAAGTTGCTTTGGCTGAGTTAGTGAGTGAGTGGTGAGTGAATATAAAGGCCTAGGACATTACTGTACACTACTGTAGAATTTAAAAACAATGTATGCTTAGTTTACTGTAAACTTATTATAAAATAGTTTTCTTTTTTCATCAATAAACTAACCTTAACTTACTACAACTGTCACCTTATAAATTTTTTCATTATTGACTTTAATCATTTAATTTTTTGACTCATAATACTTAGCTTAAAACGCAAACACGTTGTATAGCTGTATAAAAATATTTCTCTCATTATATCCCTATTCTATGCATTGTTTTATTAAAATTCTTTCTTTTTTTTTTTTTTTACTTTTTAAACTTTTTTTGTTAACAACTAACACATCAATACACACATTAGCCTAGGCCTACATAGGGACAGGATCATCAATATCACTGTCTTTCACCTCCACATCTTGTCCCACTGGAAGGTCTTCATGGATAATAACATGGATGGAGCTGCCATCTCATATAACAACAATGCTGTCTTCTGGAATACTTCCTGAAGGATGTGTCTGAAGCTGTTTTACCGTTAACTTTTTTTATAGAGAGAACAACTTCACTCTAAATAATGATAAAAGTATGTAATAAATACATAAACTAGTAACATATCAAGTATTATGTACTGCACATAATTGTACATACTATGCTTTTATGCAACTGGCAATGCGGCAAGTTAACACCAGGATTACCACAGAGACATGAGTAATGTGTTTTGCTATGATGTTATGATGTCACTAGGCAATAGGAGTTTTTCAGTTCCATTATAATCTTATGGTACCGCATCATGTATATGGTCTATCATTGACCAAAACATCACTATGCAGCATATGACTGTATTTTGTTGGGGATTTTGCATCTATGTTTATGAGAGATATTGGTCTATAGTTTTCTTTTCTTGTAATGTCTTTGACCGGTTTTGGTATTAGGGTGAAACTAGCCTCACAGAATGAGTTAGGAACTGTTCCCTCTGCTTCCATCTGTCGAAAGAGATTGTAGAGCTTTGGTATAATTTCTTTCATAAATGTTTGGTAGAATTCACCAAAGAACCCACCTTGGCCTGGTGCTTTCTGTTTTGGAAGGTTATTAATTATTGAAACATTTCTTTAGTAGATACAGGCCTAGTCAGATTGCCTATTTCTTCTTGTGTGAGTTTTGGCAAATGGTCTCTTTCAAAAAATTGGTCCATTTCATTTAGGTTTTCAAATCTGTAGGCAAAGAGTTGTTCATAGTATTCCTTTATCATTCTTTTAAAATCTATAAGATCTGTAGTGATGTTCCTTATTTCACTTCTGATATTAGTAATTTGTTTCTTCTCTTTTTTCGTAGTTAGCCTGGTTAGAGGTTGATCAATATTATTGGTGTTTGCAAAGAAGCAGCTTTTAGCTTTATTGATTTTCTCTACATATGTCCTATTTTCAATTTGATTAATTTATGCTCTAGTGTTTAACTTTTTTCTTCAGCTAACTTTGGATTTGCTCTTCTTTCTCTAGTTTCCTAAAGTAGAAGTTTAGATGATTGATTTTATATTTATTTTTTCTAATAGATGCATTCAATGCTATAAATTTTCCTCTAAACTGTGTTTTCACTCTTCCCACAAACTATGATTAGTTGTGTTTTCATTTTCATTTAGTCCTAAATATTTTGAGATTTCTCTTGAGAATTATTATTTGCTCATGTGTTATTTAGAAATGTCTTGTTTAATCTCCACGTATTTGGAAGTTTTCCACTTACCTCTGTTACTGACTTGGAGTTTAATTCTGTTGTGGTCAGAGACCAGACATTGCATAATATCTGTTCTTTTGACTTTGTTAAGGTATGTTTAATGACCCAGAATGCGGCCTATCTTGGTGAACGTTCCATGTTAGCTTCAGAATGCTGTGCGTTCTGCTGTTGCTGGATGAAATAGTCTATAGATGTCAATTATATCCAGTTGACTCATACTATTGGTTTCAACTAAGTCCTTACAATTTTATGCTTGCTGGATTTGTCCATTTCTGAAAGAGGAGTGGTGAAGTCTCCAATTTGAATCCATCTATTTCTCCTTGCAGTTTTTCCAGTTTATGCCTTGCATATTTTGATGCTCTGTTGTTAGGCATATACTCATTAAGAATAGTTATGTCTTTTTGGAGTATTGACCCTTTATCACTATGCAATGACCTTCTTTATCCCTGATAACTTTCCTTTCTTTGAAGTCTGTTCTGTCTGAAATTAATATGATGATTCCTGCTTTTTTAAATTAGCATTAGCAAGGTATCTCTTTCTCTATAGATACGCCCAAATCTCACAAATCACCACTGAAGAACTTATTCATATAACAAAATACCACCTGTTCCCCAAAAACCTATGGAATAAAAAAAAATTTAATATTTACCTTTAATCTATATCTTTATACTTAGGGTGGGTTCTTTGAATGGATCATATAGTTGAGTCTTGTTTTTAAATCCACTCTGACAATCTCTGTCTTTTAATTGGTTCATTTTGACCATTGATGTTCAAAGTGATTATTGAGGTTGAATTAATATCTACCATATTTGTTACTGTTTTCTGATTTTTGTTCTTTTCCTTTTTCTTATTTTTGTCTTCGCCTCTTTTTCTGCCTTTTGCGGTTTTCACTGAGCATTTTATATTTTACCTTCACTTATTCCTTCTTCAATGCTCTTTCTTTCTTTCTTTGTGTAGATCTAAAGAACTTACCTTAACATTTTTTGTAAGTCATGTCCACTGTCAACACATTTCCTCAATTTTTGTTTGTCTGAGAAAGCTTTTATGTCATCTTCATTTTTGAAGAATAATTTCACAGGATACAGCATTCTAGGTTGGTGGGGTTTTTTTGTCTTAACACTTTAAATATTTCACTCTATTTTCTTTTTGTTTGCATGGTTTCTAAAGAGAAGTCAAATGAAATTGCTATCTTTGTATCTTTATAGGTAAAATGTTTCTTTCCCCCTCTGGCTTCTTTCAGGATTTTAATTTATCTTTGAGTTTCTGTAGTTTGAATATGATATACCTAAATGTCATTTTTTGACATTTGTCTTATTTGTTATTCTTTGAACTTTCTAGATTTAAGGTTTGATGTCTGATGTTAATTGGGGGAAATTATTAATGATTCTTATCTTAAATATTCCTTCTGTTCTTTTTTCTCTTTCTTCTACCTTTCCTATTCCTATTATGCATACATTACACTATTTGTAGTTGTTCCACAGTTCCTAGATATCCTGTTCTGTTTTACCAGTGGTTGTTTTTTTCTTTTTTTTTTTTTTTTGCTTTTCAGTTTTGGAAGTTTCTGTCGGTACATCCTCAAGCCATGTCCAGCCTAGTAATAAGCTCATTAAAGATATTCTTCATTTCTCTTACAGTGGTTTTGATCATTAGCACTTTTTTCTTGCTTTCTTCTTAGGATTACCATCTCTCTGCTTAATTACCCATCTGTTCTTGCACGACGTCTACTTTATCCATAGGGCCTTTAGCATATTAATCTTAGTTGATTTAACATCTCTGTTAGAAATATCTCTACCAGGTATGGTTCTTGTGCTTGCCCTGTCTCTTCAAATTGTAGGATTTTTTTTTTTTTTTTTTGCCTTTTAGTATTCTTTGTAATTTTTCTCTTGATAGCTGACATGAGGTATTGGGTAAAAGGATCTGCTGGGAATAGTCCTTCAGTAATGTGGTGGTAAGTTGTGGAAGGAGAGGAAGCATCCTATAGTTCTAAGATTAGGTCTTTATCTTTTAGTGAGCCTGTTTCTGGACGTTGAATGTCACAGTGTTTCACAGTTGCTTTTTTCTACCCCTTAGCTGAGACAGAATGGCTAAAGTGGGCTAGAGTTAGGCATTTTCCTTTTCTCTTTCCCCAAGTCAGGTAGGATGTGATAAAACCCCAGAAAGTTAGGCTGTGATTAACTAGTTTCTCCTGAGGGCAGAACTTATTAAGAACAGAGTGCTCTGGCACATTTCAAAATGGTTCCTTTTCCTCTTTCACTCCTGAAAGAATGAGGGAATTTTATTCCAATATTTACTGTGAGAACCTGGTCAGGCTCCTAGAGGTAAAACACAAAAGTGTGGGGGAATCCATATGATTGGACCCACCTGGCGATTTTAATTCTCAGATTTGTCCACTCGCAGCCTCCAACAATTTATTACAGTTCATGTTTTCCCATCCTCGCACTTGTTCATGAAGAGGTTTCTGCTCTGGTGTGTCGTGATTTTCTGTATCCACCTGCCTGTCCCTCCAATTTGAGGGCAGCAATTTGCCTTGGGACCTCGCTTCTCTTAAAGATCTAAGAGTTGGTTTTTCAGGTTGTTCAGCCTTTCACTTGTTAGGACTGAGTAGTGACTTTTAAGTTCCTGACATGTGGAATCGGAAACTTTACCGTCTGTTTTGCTCAGAATGTTGAAGATATTCTGGTGCTAAGCATATTTTGTGGTAACATTAAAGCTTTTAAAAGTAGATAATTAGCTGGCAAATACAAATGCAGGAAAAACATCAAGGCTATAAATACAGCCATGGAGGAATTCATCTGTTTAGAAATCACATGTGTACTGAGAGAGGAAGACTTCTGAGAGTCTGTGAAAAGAATAGATACTTCAGATTACATCTTGGGAAATTCTTGCATTTAGAAGTTGGGAAGAGGACAAAGTAGGAGAAAAAAATTGTTGAAGTAAAAGGGAGGCATAGACCATTGCAATATTATGGAAGCCGGAAAAATAAAACGCCTTACTTGAAGAAAGTGATGCTGTGTAGATTCAAGTGCTGCATCAAAGTCAAAGGGAATGAAAATGCAAAATGACCTGGAAGTTCTTATTGTGCTAGAAAGTAAGAAAATTCTTAAAGAAAAATGCAGGTATGTCGAAGTAACACAGAATCCAGTTGAAAGTGACTGTCAGCAATCCAAACTGGGACAATTTCAGCATCAAAATAATGATAGTCATGGTTATAAACCACCAAATGAAACAAGCACCCTTGATTTCATACTGTTATGAATTACTGACTGAATGAAAGAGAAGGGGTGTGATGATTAATTTTATGTTCTGACGTGACTAAACCATGAGGTGCCCAGATATTTGTTTAAACATTATTCTGGGTGTGTCTGTGAGGGTATTTCTGGATAAGACTACCATTTGAATCAGTAGAATGAGTCAAGAAGATTGCCTTCTCCAGTGTGGGTGGGCCTTATTCAATTTGTTGGAGGCCTGAATAGGATGGAAAAAGCAGAGTAATTCACTTTCTCTGCCTGATTGTCTTTGAGCTGGGACACAGATCTTCTGTCTTCAGACTTGAATTTAGACTGGAACTTACATTGTCACTTCTCTTGGTAGGCATTTTGACTCTGACTAAAACTTACCTCATCAGCTCTCCTGATTCTCAGGCCTTCTGGTTTAGACTGGAAGTATACTATTAGCTCTCCTTGTTCTCCAGCTTGCAAACTGCAGACTATAGGACTTCTCAGCTTCCATAACTGAATGGGCAAATTCCTTGTAGTGAATCTCTTTCTATGTATCTATATCTACATCATTATCTTTGTCTATCTAGATCAATCTAGATAGATTCTATTGCTTCTGTTTCTCTGGAGAACTCAGACTAACTCATGGGGAAGCTTTTTCTTACTATAGAATGCAGCTAATAAATATAGATTTGGCAAGAGCCATATTGGTGGTTTACATGAATGAATGCTAAGGCTCCTCAGTGAATGCAAAGTGAACCGCTCAGTGAATGCTAAGGCTGCTGGGTGGAACTTTGCTACAAAAAAGTATATTAACATGATCTTGGAATATCTTCCCCCCCAAATACTTACCAATTACCAAGAGGAAAAATGGTGACTTTACAGTAGAGAAATCTGGTAGGCACTAATTTGCCTAGTGATCAGGGTTAGCCGCACTGGTAGTGGGACAAATAGACATTGTTCATACCCATAATCCTGAATTGAGAAGAACACAGCATCACTTCTGTAGTATGACTGCTAGGAAATCATAACTTGAGACTGGTTCCAAGTAAATATTAATATCAGATGAACCCAGGTTGTAGAACACCCTTCAAAATGAAAGGCCTTACTATTTAAAACTGTGCAGAGCATGAAAGCCAGGGAACAATTACGGAGCTGTTCTGGGTGGAGGAACCTAAAGAGATACGAGAACTAAAAGTGACACATAATCTGTATTGGATGCTGGATCAGAGACACAAGTGGTACCATTGGAAAAATCTGAATGAGTCTGTGAATTGGATAGTGTTATTGTATGACTATTGGTTTCATTGTATGGATGCATTTGGTTATGCTGGAGTGTGTTCTTGTTTTTGGAAAACACACTGAAGGATTTAGGGAAGACTGAACAAATGTGGTCTAATGTTAACAGGTGGAGAACTTGAGCAAGGAAGACTTCTTTGTACTGTCATTACACTTTTTCTATCAGAAATTATTTTAAAATGAATTATGTAAAGATGATTAGAAATGTCTATCTCCTACCGAAGTTTCCTGATCCATTACCAAATTAATCTATATTCCTATTACTTAAATTCCTTTCTCCTTATTCCACCACTAACCATTCATGCCTTTACCTACGATTTCCATATATCCCTTTCAAAAAATCCTGAGGTTCATTAAGTCAAAACCAAGAAAAAAAAAAAGAATCAAACCTGTTCCTTGATAAATTATCTTTATACATATCCTCCCTTTCCCCTTCTTAACTTTGAGTGGTGCCCAAATCTGAACAGAAACTGTAATATATCTGCATCAAATTTCTTATTTTTATTCAGTGCATAGCCAGATTCATTATGCACATTTAATTCAAGGTGCTCCCAAATATTGGAGGCTGATTACAGATGACCATGTACATCTGTAATCACAATAAGCAAGAAAGAAAACAAACAAAATCAACTATTCCAGTATAAGAGCATGTCACTGAATCAAGGAACCTAGCTTTGAACAAGAAACTAAAGTATGAAAAAATATCACATTCTTCTCAGATGCCCCTAAGTCTAACACTGGTGATGTCCAGTGGCATTCACTGTGACCACAAAAAATGCTTCTTCCTTCCAGAAATGCACACTCATTTGATCCGTATGAAACTGCAGCTTTCTAATCCAAATCGCAACCCAGACCGTGGGCTTATGAGACTGTTTTGATAACAACAAAAAAATTCAGAATGTTTTACAGACACCATATTGAGAAGGATCCAGTAAAGGAAATAACTTTACTCAACAGAAGATCCCCCAGGAGGACCTATATTATGATTTAGTTAATAGTAATTAAGAAGGTGGGTGGTAACAAGTGAGTTTATCCAGAAGTCAATTGTGCAGAGGTTTAAAAAAAAAAAAAAGGTAAAACAGGTTAGAAGCTGGACAAATTCACAGTTATATTTTGTCACTAGATCATATTCTACCTAAGGCTGCACCAAATATTTTTAATTCCTAATCCTTAAAAAAAGTAAGCAAGTAAAAGAAGAAAGAGACATTGGCACAGGATATAAAGCATTCTTTCTCTAAGCAAATGGTGCACATTTTCTTCATATTTCTCTAACATTTTTACAATTGGGAAAACACCCCAACAGGCTAACAAATATTTATGTATAGTCTAACTTCTAATTTCTTTAAGTGTTTTCCTATGACCTACCTTGCCTGATGCTTCGTAGCACATGATGAGTTGGTGGTAACTGCTTGATGAAAGTCACAAGCAGTGGCAAGAAAAAATGGATTTGTTCCTTCTTTTCAAAAACTAAGTACCAAACATTGTTGGTAGTTTTCAATTAAATGCTACATATATTTCTACCATTATTATAGCATATTACCATAAGACAGAACAAAGTGGTAATAAAGGATAAAAGAGAAAAGCACTATGTCCACCTTTTAGCATATTAGTTGATAATGATGGGAGTACATGACATCTGGCTTTAGATCAACTTATAGGTCTTCCACATATATTATTTTTCATGCAGCAAGGAACTGGATTTGTGATCCAAATAGGTCACAAGGAACATATTGTTAAGAATTTCAGTCTCAGAAGCAGCATCTCCCATAAACAGTGACAATATCAGGCAGTAAGACACTTCTAGTCCATCCTGGTTCATCCAAAGCATTTATAAAAATGGCAGCAAACTACTTCTTGTGCATAGAGCAATTCTGAGTCATTAAGCAAAGTGTTAGGTGCACTATAAATGGGGTGTTGAGGGGAAAAGATAAGAAATAAAAGTGAATGTTGGGTATGCTTTTAAGTTATCCTCAATGACTGCTGGAGGTTTCTAGTTTTTATTGGCCTTAGGTCAGCACATGTTGCCCTTGCCTATCACTCTTGGTGATGGTTGGAGCAACTGCTGCTCCTGCTGAAAGAAATCAGCATCACCAGGAAGAGTACTATAAAAGCAATCACAGAGCCGGGCCTAGTGACATGCATAGTCCCAGCTACTTGGGAGGCTGAGGCAGGAGGATCGCTTGAGCCCAGGAGTTCCAGGTTACAGTGAGCTATGATCTCGCCACTGCACTCCAGCCTGGGCAACAGAGTGAAATCCTGTCTTTAAAAATAAGAAAAACTGGAGGAGGAGCCAAGATGGCCGAATAGGAACAGCTCCGGTCTACAGCTCCCAGCGTGAGCGACGCAGAAGACGTGTGATTTCTGCATTTCCATCTGAGGTACTGGGTTCATCTCACTAGGGAGTGCCAGACAGTGGGCACAGGCCAGTGGGTGCGTGCACCGGGCGCGAGCCGAAGCAGGGCGAGGCATTGCCTCACCTGGGAAGCGCAAGGGGTCAGGGAGTTCCCTTTCCGAGTCAAAGAAAGGGGTGACGGACGCACCTGGAAAATCGGGTCACTCCCACCCGAATATTGTGCTTTTCAGACTGGCTTAAAAAACGGCGCACCACGAGACTATATCCCACACCTGGCTCGGAGGGTCCTACGCCCACGGAGTCTCGCTGATTGCTAGCACAGCAGTCTGAGATCAAACTGCAAGGCAGCAGCGAGGCTGGGGGAGGGGCACCCGCCATTGCCCAGGCTTGCTTAGGTAAACAAAGCAGCCAGGAAGCTCCAACTGGGTGGAGCCCACCACAGCTCAAGGAGGCCTGCCTGCCTCTGTAGGCTCCACCTCTGGGGGCAGGGCACAGACAAACAAAAAGACAGCAGTAACCTCTGCAGACTTAAATGTCCCTGTCTGACAGCTTTGAAGAGAGCAGTGGTTCTCCCAGCACGCAGCTGGAGATCTGAGAACAGGCAGACTGCCTCCTCAAGTGGGTCCCTGACCCCTGACCCCCGAGCAGCCTAACTGGGAGGCACCCCCCAGCAGGGGCACACTGACACCTCACACGGCAGGGTATTCCAACAGACCTGCAGCTGAGGGTGCTGTCTGTTAGAAGGAAAACTAACAAACAGAAAGGACATCCACACCGAAAACCCATCTGTACATCACCATCATCAAAGACCAAAAGTAGATAAAACCACAAAGATGGGGAAAAAAACAGAACAGAAAAACTGGAAACTCTAAAACGCAGAGCGCCTCTCCTCCTCTAAAGGAACGCAGTTCCTCACCAGCAACGGAACAAAGCTGGATGGAGAATGACTTTGACGAGCTGAGAGAAGAAGGCTTCAGATGATCAAATTACTCTGAGCTACGGGAGGACATTCAAACCAAAGGCAAAGAAGTTGAAAACTTTGAAAAAAATTTAGAAGAATGTATAACTAGAATAACCAATACAGAGAAGAGCTTAAAGGAGCTGATGGAGCTGAAAACCAAGGCTCGAGAACTACGTGAAGAATGCAGAAGCCTCAGGAGCTGATGCGATCAACTGGAAGAAAGGGTATCAGCAATGGAAGATGAAATGAATGAAATGAAGCGAGAAGGGAAGGTTAGAGAAAAAAGAATAAAAAGAAATGAGCAAAGCCTCCAAGAAATATGGGACTATGTGAAAAGACCAAATCTACGTCTGATTGGTGTACCTGAAAGTGATGCGGAGAATGGAACCAAGTTGGAAAACACTCTACAGGATATTATCCAGGAGAACTTCCCCAATCTAGCAAGGCAGGCCAACGTTTAGATTCAGGAAATACAGAGAACGCCACAAAGATACTCCTCGAGAAGAGCAACTCCAAGACACATAATTGTCAGATTCACCAAAGTTGAAATGAAGGAAAAAATGTTAAGGGCAGCCAGAGAGAAAGGTCGAGTTACCCTCAAAGGGAAGCCCATCAGACTAACAGCGGATCTCTCGGCAGAAACCCTACAAGCCAGAAGAGAGTGGGGGCCAATATTCAACATTCTTAAAGAAAAGAATTTTCAACCCACAATTTCATATCCAGCCAAACTAAGCTTCATAAGTGAAGGAGAAATAAAATCCTTTACAGACAAGCAAATGCTGAGAGATTTTGTCACCACGAGGCCTGCCCTAAAAGAGCTCCTGAAGGAAGCGCTAAACATGGAAAGGAACAACCGGTACCTGCCGCTGCAAAATCATGCCAAAATGTAAAGATCATCGAGACTAGGAAGAAACTGCATCAACTAACGAGCAAAATCACCAGCTAACATCATAATGACAGGATCAAATTCACACATAACAATATTAACTTTAAATGTAAATGGACTAAATGCTCCAATTAAAAGACACAGACTGGCAAGTTGGATAAAGAGTCAAGACCCATCAGTGTGCTGTATTCAGGAAACCCATCTCACATGCAGAGACACACATAGGCTCAAAATAAAAGGATGGAGGAAGACCTACCAAGCAAATGGAAAACAAAAAAAGGCAGGGGTTGCAATCCTAGTCTCTGATAAAACAGACTTTAAACCAACAAAGATCAAAAGAGACAAAGAAGGCCATTACATAATGGTAAAGGGATCAATTCAACAAGAGGAGCTAACTATCCTAAATATATATGCACCCAATACAGGAGCACCCAGATTCATAAAGCAAGTCCTGAGTGACCTACAAAGAGACTTAGACTCCCACACATTAATAATGGGAGACTTTAACACCCCACTGTCAACATTAGACAGATCAACGAGACAGAAAGTCAAAAAGGATACCCAGGAATTGAACTCAGCTCTGTACCAAGCGGACCTAATAGACATCTACAGAACTCTCCACCCCAAATCAACAGAATATACATTTTTTTCAGCACCACACCACACCTATTCCAAAATTGACCACATACTTGGAAGTAAAGCTCTCCTCAGCAAATGTAAAAGAACAGAAATTATAACAAACTATCTCTCAGACCACAGTGCAATCAAACTAGAACTCAGGATTAAGAATCTCACTCAAAGCCGCTCAACTACATGGAAACTGAACAACCTGCTCCTGAATGACTACTGGGTACATAACGAAATGAAGGCAGAAATAAAGATGTTCTTTGAAACCAACGAGAACAAAGACACAACATACCAGAATCTCTGGGATGCATTCAAAGCAGTGTGTAGAGGAAAATTTATAGCACTAAATGCCCACAAGAGAAAGCAGGAAAGATCCAAAATTGACACCCTAATGTCACAATTAAAAGAACTAGAAAAGCAAGAGCAAACACATTCAAAAGCTAGCAGACGGCAAGAAATAACTAAAATCAGAGCAGAACTGAAGGAAATAGAGACACAAAAAACCCTTCAAAAAATCAATGAATCCAGGAGCTGGTTTTTTGAAAGGATCAACAAAATTGATAGACCGCTAGCAAGACTAATAAAGAAAAAAAGAGAGAAGAATCAAATAGACACAATAAAAAATGATAAAGGGGATATCACCACTGATCCCACAGAAATACCATAAGAGAATACTACAAACACCTCTACGCAAATAAACTAGAAAATCTAGAAGAAATAGATACATTCCTCGACACATACACTCTCCCAAGACTAAACCAGGAATAAGTTGAATCTCTGAATAGACCAATAACAGGAGCTGAAATTGGGGCAATAATCAATAGTTTACCAACCAAAAAGAGTCCAGGACCAGATGGATTCACAGCCGAATTCTACCAGAGGTACAAGGAGGAACTGGTACCATTCCTTCTGAAACTATTCCAATCAATAGAAAAAGAGGGAATCCTCCCTAACTCATTTTATGAGGCCAGCATCATTCTGATACCAAAGCAGGACAGAGACACAACCAAAAAAGAGAATTTTAGACCAATATCCTTGATGAACATTGATGCAAAAATCCTCAATAAAATACTGGCAAACCGAATCCAGCAGCACATCAAAAAGCTTATCCACCATGACCAAGTGGGCTTCATCCCTGGGATGCAAGGCTGGTTCAATATACGCAAATCAATAAATGTAATCCAGCATATAAACAGAGCCAAAGACAAAAACCACATGATTATCTCAATAGATGCAGAAAAAGCCTTTGACAAAATTCAACAACCCTTCATGCTAAAAACTCTCAATAAATTAGGTATTGATGGGACGTATTTCAAAATAATAAGAGCTATCTATGACAAACCCACAGCCAATATCATACTGAATGGGCAAAAACTGGAAGCATTCCCTTTGAAAACTGGCACAAGACAGGGATGCCCTCTCTCACTGCTCCTATTCAACATAGTGTTGGAAGTTCTGGCCAGGGCAATCAGGCAGGAGAAGGAAATAAAGGGTATTCAATTAGGAAAAGAGGAAGTCAAATTGTCCCTGTTTGCAGACGACATGATTGTTTATCTAGAAAACCCCATTGTCTCAGCCCAAAATCTCCTTAAGCTGATAAGCAACTTCAGCAAAGTCTCAGGATACAAAATCAATGTACAAAAATCACAAGCATTCTTATACACCAACAACAGACAAACAGAGAGCCAAATCATGAGTGAACTCCCATTCACAATTGCTTCAAAGAGAATAAAATACCTAGGAATCCAAGTTACAAGGGATGTGAAGCACCTCTTCAAGGAGAACTACAAACCACTGCTCAAGAAAATAAAAGAGGATACAAACAAATGGAAGAACATTCCATGCTCATGGGTAGGAAGAATCAATATCGTGAAAATGGCCATACTGCCCAAGGTAATTTACAGATTCAATGCCATCCCCATCAAGCTACCAATGACTTTCTTCACAGAATTGGGAAAAACTACTTTAAAGTTCATATGGAACCAAAAAAGAGCCCGCATCGCCAAGTCAATCCTAAGCCAAAAGAACAAAGCTGGAGGCATCACACTACCTGACTTCAAACTATACTACAAGGCTACAGTAACCAAAATAGCATGGTACTGGTACCAAAACAGAGATATAGATCAATGGAACAGAACAGAGCCCTCAGAAATAACGCCGCATACGTACAACTATCAGATCTTTGACAAACCTGAGAAAAACAAGCAATGGGGAAAGGATTCCCTATTTAATAAATGGTGCTGGGAAAACTGGCTAGCCATATGTAGAAAGCTGAAACTGGATCCCTTCCTTACACCTTATACAAAAATCAATTCAAGATGGATTAAAGATTTAAACTTTAGACCTAAAACCATAAAAACCCTAGAAGAAAACCTAGGCATTACCATTCAGGACATAGGCATGGGCAAGGACTTCATATCCAAAACACCAAAAGCAATGGCAACAAAAGCCAAAATTGACAAATGGGATCTAATTAAACTAAAGAGCTTCTGCACAGCAAAAGAAACTACCATCAGAGTGAACAGGCAACCTACAACATGGGAGAAAATTTTCACAACCTACTCATCTGACAAAGGGCTAATATCCAGAATCTACAATGAACTCAAACAAATTTACAAGAAAAAAACAAACAACCCCATCAAAAAGTGGGTGAAGGACATGAACAGACACTTCTCAAAAGAAGACATTTATGCAGCCAAAAAACACATGATTAAATGCTCCGCATCACTGGCCATCAGAGAAATGCAAATCAAAACCACTATGAGATATCATCTCACACCAGTTAGAATGGCAATCATTAAAAAGTCAGGAAACAACAGGTGCTGGAGAGGATGTGGAGAAATAGGAACACTTTTACACTGTTGGTGGGACTGTAAACTAGTTCAACCATTGTGGAAGTCAGTGTGGCGATTCCTCAGAGATCTAGAACTAGAAATACCATTTGACCCAGCCATCCCATTACTGGGTATATACCCAAATGACTATAAATCATGCTGCTATAAAGACACATGCACACGTATGTTTATTGCGGCATTATTCACAATAGCAAAGACTTGGAACCAACCCAAATGTCCAACAATGATAGACTGGATTAAGAAAATGTGGCACATATACACCATGGAATACTATGCAGCCATAAAAAATGATGAGTTCATGTCCTTTGTAGGGACATGGATGAAATTGGAAATCATCATTCTCAGTAAACTATCGCAAGAACAAAAAACCAAACACTGCATATTCTCACTCATAGGTGGGAATTGAACAATGAGATCACATGGACACATGAAGGGGAATATCACACTCTGGGGACTGTGGTGGGGTCGGGGGAGCGGGGAGGGATAGCATTGGGAGATATACCTAAGGCTAGATGATGAGTTAGTGGGTGCAGCGCACCAGCATGGCACATGTATACATATTTAACTAACCTGCACAATGTGCACATGTTCCCTAAAACTTAAAGTATAATAAAAAAAAAAAAGAAAAAAAAATAAGAAAAACTAATCCGTCATTCTGCCAAATAAAGATGCCTCTGGGAAATCCAAAAAAAAAAAAAAAAAAAAAGCAATCACAATGTTGCCACAACTGTTGAGCTAGACATCAAATTATAATATCAGGCAGACAAACAGGAACACATTACTAGCTACCCATAGATTTCTAGGGGTAAAGTGGTAACTTTCCACATTTGTGGAAAAGTGATCTTTACTCAGGAACATAATTTTTCTATGTCTAGGGGAAAGATCATTAATGTTAAGTCTGAGAATCCCATTCAGCAGGCCTTACTGAGCTTCACTCCTCCCCACAAAAGCAGCCACCCTTGATAAGGCACACTAGTGATAACAAAGTTCACACATCTATACAAATTCTTCGGGGGAATCTGGGTCAACATAAATTTTTCTTAAAAATTATAGAGTAAATTTCTAGGAGTAAGTAATTAACAACTCTCCCTATTGCATTCCTCTATTTATCTTCATAATATCAGTGACATTAAAAGCATTAACTTTTGAGTTCTTAATTACACAGGGCTCTTGGTTGTATGCAGAGTTATAGAGTCCGTTCTTGCCCTTTAGGAGTTTAAAATCTAAAAACATTTTTTTAAATGCAAAACATAATCTAAATTGAAAATGCCAACTACATGAATAAACAGTAGGTCATCTATAATTTCTCTGCAGCTGTCCTCACGGAGGACCAGAAATTATACTGCCTCGTAAAAGGCATATAGGATTTAAATAGAGGATACTGAGTTTTTGGTATGGTCAAGAAGGAGGGATTAGGGAGGAGAAGTGTGGGAGGAGAAGATGGGGGTGAACAAAAACACACTGGTGAGAAAGTGGAAAGTTGGGCAATGGTGAGTAGCGCTGTTTGATCAGAGCAGGAGGTTCGTGTAGGTAAGTAGTAAACAGAGACTAAAAGAAGAGTCACAGACAACACTGAATACCAGTTTAAAAGTTTGAACTTTATCCTTTGCTGGTGAGTGTCCCCAAAGGAGACATTTCATCAACAATTGAGGAAAACCACACGTCACACTGAATTTACTAAAGCTGGTGTAAGAGGGATGACCTTGAGCAATCTTTTATATGGTATAAATAGCACTAGCTTTCCCAACAGTCACAAAATCTTGCCGTTTTACACAACTGGATATTGATAGAACTGCCACTTGTGGCAAGGTCTCTTGGGCATGCCTTCTGAGCCCTCAAGTTGGTAATCTCTGAGTAGACATTCCAGACACTTACAGAAAAACCAAAGCAGTCATAAATAGCATCAATTCAATTTGCATAGCACCTTTCCTCCAAAATACTTTAAGTGCTAAAGGAGCCTGGCTCTTTACAACAGGACCATGCCAAAACTCACTAAACAAACTGCTTGCTTAAGAGGGATAAATTCCTTGAACAAATGCATCTGTAAACTCTCTACCTCCCTCATTATGGTTTGCACAGGGCAGTGCCACAGATCCAAACAGTGGCCAGAGGCAGAATATCTCCAACTGATGAATGGAAGCAGAAAGGCTGTCTGTGCAAGTGCAGCTCTCTCTTTTTTTGTTTTAGATGGAGTCTCGCTCTGTCGTCCAGGCTGGAGTGCAGTGGCACGATCTTGGCTCTCTGCAACCTCTGCCTCCCGGATTCAAGTGATTCTCCTGCCTCAGCCTCCCGAATCTTAGCTGGGATTACAGGCATGCACCACCATGCCCGGCTAATTTTGTATTTTTAGTAGAGACAGGGTTTCTCCATGTTGGTCAGGCTGGTCTCGAACTCCTGACCTCAGGTGATCTGCCTGCCTCGGCCTCCTAAAGTGCTGGGATTACAGGCGTGAGCCACCAAGCCTGGCTGCAAGTGCAGCTCTCAAGGTCAGCATAGCACTGCTCTAACCTTGGAATGTGTCCCATTAACTGTTGGCTGGCATCTCTGGCCCAAATAAAACTCCTATTTTTAGAAAAATTTTATTGTAAGTTTTTTAAATTATACTTTAAGTTTTAGGGTACATGTGCACATTGTGCAGGTTAGTTACATATGTATACATGCACCATGCTGGTGCGCTGCACCCACTAACTCGTCATCTAGCATTAGGTATATACATGCATGGATTCATTTATGAACTCTATTCTATTTCATTGGTCAATGTGTCTATTTTTATGCCAGTACCATGCTGTTTTAATTACTATAGCTTTGTAGTATAGTTTGATATCAGGTGGTGTGATACCTCCAGTTTTTTTCCTTTTGCTCATGATTACTTTGGCTATTTGGTTTTTTTATACTTTCATATGCATTTTAGAATTTGATATGGTTTGGCTGTGTCCTCACCCAAATCTCATCTTGAATTCCCATGTTGCAGGAGGTAACTGAATCATGGGGGCAGGTCTTTCCCATGCTGTTCTTGTGATAGTTAATACATGTCATGAGATCTGACGGTTGTAAAAACGGGAGTCTCCCTCCACAAGCTCTCTCTTCTTCTATGCCACCATGTGAGACATGCCTTTCACCTTCCACCATGATTGTGAGGCCTCCCCAGCCATATAGAATTTGTAAGTCCAATAAACCTCTTTCTTTTGTAAATTGCCCAGTCTTGGGTATGTCTTTATCAGCAGCATGAAAACAGACTAATACAGTAAATTGGTACCAGTAGAATGGGATGCTGCTGAAAAGATACCTGAAAATGTGGAAGCGACTTTGGAACTAGGTAACAGGAAGAGGATGGAACAGTTTGGAGGGCTCAGATGAAGAAGGGAAAGTTTGGAACTTTCTAGAGACTTGTTGAATGGCTTTGCCCAAAATGCTAATAGCTATATGGACAATAAAATCCAGGCTGAGGTGGTCTCAGATGGAGATGAGGAACTTGTTGGGAACTGGAGCAAACATTATTCTTGTTATGTTTTAGCAAAGAGACTGGCAGCATTTTGCCCCTGCCGTAGAGATTTGTCAAACTTTGAACTTGAGAGGGATGATTTAGGTTATCTGGTGGAAGGAATTTCTAAGCAGCAAAGCATTCAAGAGGTGACTTGGGTGCTGTTAAGAGCATTCAGTTTTAAAAGTGAAACAGAGCATAAGAGTTAGGAAAATTTGCAGCCTGACAATGCGATAGAAAAGAAAATCCCATTTTCCGAGAAGAAATTCAAGCTAGCTACAGAAATTTGCATAAATAACAAAGAGCTGAATGTTAATCACCAAGATAATGGGGAAAATGTCTCTAGGGCATGTCAGAGACCTTTGCAGCAGCCACTCCCATCACAGGCTCAGAGACTTAGGAAGAAAAAATGGTTTTGTGGGCTGGGCCCAAGGTCCCCATGCTGTGTGCAGACTAGGGACTTGGTACCCCACGTCCCAGCTGCTACAGCTGTGTCTGAAGGGGTCCAATGTAGAGCTTGGGCCATGGCTTCAGAGGGTGCAAGCCTCAAGCCTTGGCAGCTTCCATGTGGTATTGAGCCTGCAAGTGCACAGAAGTAAAGAACTGGGGTTTGGGAACTTCCACCTAGATTTCAGAAGGTATATGGAAACACCTGGATGCCCAGGCAAAAGTTTGCTGAGGGGGTGGGGCCCTCATGGAGAACCTCTGGTAGGGCAGTGTGGAAGGGAAATGTGGGGTTGTATCCCTCACACAGAGTCCCTACTGGGGCACCATCTAATGGAGCTGTGAGAAGAGGGCCACCATCCTCCACACCCCAGAATGGTGGATCCACCAACAGCTTGCACTGTGTGCCTAGAAAAGCCTCAGACACTCAGTGCCAGCCTGTGAAAGCAGCTGGGAGGGAGGCTGTACCCTGAAAAGCCATAGGGACAGAGCTGCCCAAGACCATGGGAACCCACCTCTTACATCAGCATGACCTGCATGTAATACATGAAGTCAAAGGAGATCATTTGGAGCTTAATTTGACTGCCCTGATGAATTCTAGACTTGCATGGGGCCTGTAGCCCCTTTGTTTTGGCCCATTTATCCCATTTGTAATGGGTGTATTTACTCAATGCCTGTACTCACACTGCATCTAGAAAGTAACTAAAATGCTTTTGATTTTACAGGCTCATAGTCAGAAGGAACTTGATGTGTCTCAGATGAGACTTTGAACTGTGGACTCCTGCGTTAATGCTGAAATGAGTTAAGACTTTGGGGGACTGTTGGGAAGGCATGATTAATTTTGAAATGTGAGGACATAAGATTTGGGAGGGGCCAGGGGAAGAATGATATGGTTTGGCTGTGTCCCCACTCAAATCTCATCTTGAATTCCCACATATTGTGGGAGGGACCTCTTGGGAGGTAACTGAATCATACAGGCAGGTCTTTCCTGTGCTGTTCTCATGACAGCGAATACGTCTCAGGAGATCTGATGGTTTTAAAAACAGGAGTCTCCCTGCACAAGCCCTTTTCTCTTGTATGCTGCCATGTGTTACGTGCCTTTCACCTTCTGCCACGAACGTGAGGCTTCCCCAGCCACGTGGAACTGTAAGTCAAATAAACCTCTTTCTTTTGTAAATCGCCCAGTCTGAGATATGTCTTTATCAGCAGCATGAAAACAGACCAATACATAATTGTTTTCTATTTGTAGGAAAAATAACATTGGAATTTTGATAAAGATTGCATTAAATCTATAGGTTGCTTTGGCTGGACATTTTAACAATAATTCTTCTAATCCATGAGTACAGGGATATCTTTCCATTTGTGTTTTCTCAAATTTCTTTTTCTTTCTTTCTTTCTTTCTTTCTTTCTTTCTTTCCTTCTTTCTTTCTTTCTTTCTTTCTTTCTTGTTTCTTTTCTTTCTCTCTTTCTTTCTTTCTCTCTTTCTTTCTTTCTTTCATTTATTTTTTTGAGATGGAGTCTCACACTGTCACTCAGGCTGGAGTGCAGTGGTGTGATCTTGGCTCACTGCAGCCTCTACCCTCTAGGTTTGAGCAATTACCCTGCCTCAGCCTCCCAAGTAGCTGGTGTTACAGGTGCCTGCCACCATACCCAGCTAATTTTTGTATTTTTAGTAGAGATGGGGTTTCGCCATGTTGGCGAGGCTGGTCTCTAACTCCTGGCCTCAAGTGATCCACCCGCCTTGGCCTCCCAAAGTGCTGGGATTACAGGTGTGAGCCACCATGCCTGGCCTCTTCAATTTCTTTAATCAATGTTTTAAAGGGTTCGGCATACAGGTCTTTCACTTCCTTGGTTAAACTTATTTCTAAGTAACATTTTTTATGGCTATTGTAAATGAGATTGTTCTCTTGATTTCTTTTTTAAGTAGTTCATTGTTAGTGTATAGAAATATTACTAATTTTTGTGTGTTGATTTTGTATCCTGAAACTTTACTGTATTTGTGTATTAGTCCTAATAGTTTTGTGGTGGAATCTTCAGGTTTTCTATAGATAAGATCATGTTGTCAGCAAAAAGTAACAATTTCACTTCCTTTCCTATTTGAATACATTTTATTTCTTTCTTTTGCCTAATTGCTTAGGCAAAGACTTCCAACACTATGTTAAATACAAGTGCCACAAGTGGGCATCCCTATCTTTTTCCAGATCTTAGAAAAAAGGCTTTTAATTTTTCACTGTTGAGTATGTTAGCTGTGGGCTTATTATATACAGCCTTTATTGTGTTGAGGTACATTCCTTCTATACCTAATTTGATGAGATTTTTTATCATCAAAGGATGTTAAACTTTGTCAGTTTCTTTTTCTGTATCAAATGAGATGATTTTTGGTGGCTTTCTTTTTGTCCTTCATTCTGTTAATGTGGTGTGTCACATTTATTGATTTGTGTATGTTGAACCATTTTTGTATACTGGGGAAAATCACACTTGATCATGGCAAATGATTCTTTTAATGTATTGTTGAATTTGATTTGCTAGTATTTTGTTGAAGATTTTTGCATCAAAATTTATAGAAAATATTAAATTTATGTAATTTCTTTTCTTGTAATGTTCTTTTCTGCTTTAGTATCAGGGTAATGCTAGCTTCATTAAAAAGTCTGGAAGTATTCCATCCTCTCCAATTTTTTCTAAGTGTTTGAGAAGGATTGGTGCTAATTCTTCTTTAATCATTTGGTAGAATTCAGCAGTGAAGCCATAGGTCCTGGTCTTTTCTTTGATGGAAGACTTTGTATTACTGATTCAATCTTCTTACTTATTATTGGTAGGTTCAGATTTTCTATTTCTTTATCATTCATGGTAGGGCATACATGTCTATGAATTTAACCATTTTTTCTAGGTTAGATAATCTGTGTATAATTGTTCATAATCATCATTTGTGACCCTTTGTATTTCTCTGGTATAAGTTGCAATATCTCCTCTTTCATTTATGATTGTATTTATTTGAGTCTTTTTCTTTTTTCTTGGTCTAGATGTAGGTTTTTCAATTTCACTTATCTTTCCCAAAAATCAACTCTTAGTTTCATCAATCTTTTGTATTGTTTTTCTAGTCTCCCACCTAAGTACTAACCTTTCTTAGCTTCTGAGATCAGACAAGATTTTTTCCTAATCTCTATTTCATTTATTTCTGCTCCAATCTTTATTACTTCCTTCCTTTTTAATGTCGGGATTAGTTTGTTCTTTTTCTAATGTTACTTCTTTGAGAAGTAACATTAAGTTGTTTATTTGATATCTTTTTTGATGTAGGCATGTATTGTTATAAACTTACCTCTTAAAACTGCTTTTTCTGTATCTTGTAAGTTTTGGTATGTTGTATTTCCATTTTGGTTTGTCTCAAGATATTTTTAAATTTCTCTTTTAATTCAATTTGTTGTCCATTCAGGAGCATGTTGTTTAATTTTTATAAATTTGCGAATTTTCTAAAATTCTTCCTGTTATTGATTTCTAGTTTCATATCATTGTGGCTGGAAAAGATACTTGATATGATTTTAGTCTTCTTAATTTGCTAAGACTTGTTTTATGGCCTTTCATTATCTATCCTAGAGAATGTCCAATGTGTACTTCAGAAGAATGTGTATTCTGTTGCTGTTGGATGGAATGTTCTGTATAAGTCTGGTAGGTCCAATTAGTCTAAGGTGCTATTCAAGTCCAATGTTTTCTTATTAATTTTCTGTCTGGATGATCTACCCATTGTTGAAAGTGGAACATTAATATCCCCTACTATTATTGTACTGAATAATATCTATCTCTCCTTTCATATCCTTTAATATTTATTTTATATATTTAGGTGCTCCAATATTGGGTGCAAATATATTTACAATTGTTACATCCTCTTGAGGAATTGATCCATTTGTCATTATATACTGTCCTTGTCTCTTTTTACAGTTTTTGACTTAAAGTCTATTTTTTTCTGATATAAGTATAGCTACCGCTTTCTTTTGGTTTCCATTTAGGTGGAATAATATTTTTCCATGCCTTCACTTTCAGTGTATATGTGTCCTTAAAAATGTGGTGAGTCCCTTTGAGGCAGCATATAGTTGGGTCATGTTGTTGTTGCTGTTTTCCATTAAGTTACTTCAAGCATTTTTATGGGAGAATTTAATGCATTACATTCAAGGACATTATTGATAGGTAAGGACATGTTACTATCATTTTGTGAATTGTTTTCTGGTTGTTTTATAGTTATTTTACTTCCTTCTTCATCTCTTGCTGTCTTCCTTTATGGTTTGATGGTTTTATGTAGTGGTATGCTTTGAATTCTTTTTTTTCCTTGTGATTCTACTAAAGATTTTTGCTTTATGTTTACCATGATACTTACATAGAACATATTATACTTATAACAGACTATTTCAAGCTAATATCAACTTTGATGTCATAATCTACATTTTTACTCCCCTTCCTCACATTTTACATCTTTGATGTCACAATGGACATCATTTTGTAAAGTGTATCCCTTGACAATTTATTTTGGCTACACCTTTTATTAATAGTTTTGTATTTTAACCTTTGTGCCAGAGATAAAATTGCTTTAAACACCATTTTTATGTTCCCAGAGTATTCTCAACATGGCTCTGTATTACTAACATTCAGTTTTGTGCTTTCATTTGTTTTATGTCCTTAATTAGCAGCTTTTTGTTTTGGATTAAATAACTCCCTTTAGCAATTCTTGTAAAGCACATCTACTGGTAATGAACTCCTTTAGTTTTTATTCATCTGTTAAAGTTTTTATTTCTCCCTCATGTCTGAAAGAGAGCTTCACTATGTAAAGTATTCTTAGTCATCAGTGTTTCTCCTTTAGCACTTTGAATATAATATCACACTCTCTCCGGTCTTGCAGGGTTTTTGCTGAGAAATCTGCTGATAGTCATATTGAGACTCCTTTATATGTGATATTGAGACTCCTTTATATATCTTATCTCTTGCTGATCTCAGGATTCTTTGCCTTTGATTTTTGATATTTTGATTATTACTGGTAGAATTTGTAGACTTCTGCACTTCCTATACCTGAATGTTGGCATCTATCCCCAAATTGAGGAATTTTTCAGCCATTATTTCCAGAAATATGCTTTCTGGCCCTTTCTCTCTTTTTTCTTCTCTGATACTTCTATTATGCGAAGGTTTGGTGTCTTGATAGTGTTCAATAATTCCCACAGGCTTTCTTCATTCTTTTGTTTTTCTGCTCCTTTGACTGAATAATTTCAGATGCTTTTTCTTCAAGCTCATTGATTCTTTTTCTGCTTGGTCAAGTCTGCTGATGAAGCTTTCTAGTGCATTTTTTCAGTTTAGTCACTGTATTCTTCATCTCTAGGATTTCTAGTTTTGTAAAAAAATTGTTTCTATTTGTTGAACTAGCTTTGTTTGTGTATTGTTTTACAAATTTCACTTAATTTTCTATCCATATATTCTTGTAGTTCACTGAATTTCTTTAAGAGGATTATTCTGAATTCATTTTCAGTCATTTTATAGACCTGTATTTCTTAGAAGTGTCATGATTTCTTGATTCCTCACAATCCTTGTGGTGTTGTCTGTGCATTTAAAGAGAGAGCCTCCTCTTCCAACTTTTACAGGTGTTCTTTGGCAGGGATAGGTCTTCATTATTTATTGTAGTCTGAAATTCTAAAATGGCAAGCTGGTGACAACCTTAGGCAGGAAGAGTTTGTGTGGGTTCTCTAGGTGGCTGAGTTATTGTCTTTGCTCTGATGTCAGATGGGGCTACTGGCTGGACTCAGCTGTCCAGTGAGATCACTTGCTGGGCTCTGCTATCAGGCAGAGCTTCTGGCTTGGTACTGTGATGGCGTCTGGTCAGGCTGGTCACAGGATGTATTTCCTGGCTGGGCAGTTCCATTATTCGGAATCTGCAACTGGGCAGGTCTACAGTGGCCCTGACCTCTGAGGTTAGGCAGAGTTGCTACTCCAGAAGGGTGGAACCTGAGGCTATGCTCCTTAGAAATGCATAATTGGGGATTGCCTCTATGTCCAGGCAGAGCCATAGAGTGAACTTTTGACTGAGTCAAACTGTTGTTTAATTTCCAAGGTTGAGCAGGTCTAGTCCCTATGCTTCTCTGTAATGTGAAGAAGTTAATATCTCCTTGCCCGAATGGGGTCACCAGGGGCTTTTTGGCTAAACTGAGCCATTCTGCACTTGCAGGTCAAGCACTTCTAGCCCCTAAGCTTCTCTGAATGGGCTAAGGCAAGCATCTCCTTGCCCAGGTGAAGTGGTTGGGGTGTCTCAAGAGGCTGATTGTGGAGACTAGTTGTCTAGAGACTCAAGCCAAAGTTAAACTTTTCACTGTGCTTCTGAAAGCAACCAGTTCAGCTTTGCAGGTGTGCTATGCACTTGCTGGGCTCTCCAATTGGGTGCCACAATTGGTAGGAACACGGAGGTACCACCAAGATCCACACACTGGTCACTGTGAGCTCCACCTTCATTCTTTGTTTCTACTTGACTTTGAACAGTTTAGCTATGTCATTACCCTCAGTGTATCCCATAAGATGACGAAGGAAACATCTCAGAATGCTAGGGACACTGGATGACTGCCTCCATTTCTTTTTTCCCACTATAAAAACTGTGGGTCCAGGGGAATCTTCTCTGTCTGGCACTGTGCCAACTTCAAGGGGGTTGAGGGGGTAGTGACACAGCTGAAGTGAGATTTTTCTTTTCTTTTCTTTTCTTTTTTTGAGACAGAGTGTTGCTCTGTCGCCCAGGCTGGAGTGCAGTGGTGTGATCTCAGCTCACTGCAAGCTCCGCCTCCTGGGTTCACACCATTCTCCTGCCTCAGCTCCCGAGTAGCTGGGACTACAGGTGTCTGCCACCATGCCTGGCTAAATTTTTCTATTTTTTAGTAGAGACGGGGTTTCACCATGTTAGCCAGGATGGTCTCGATCTCCTGACCTCATGATCTGCCCACCTCGGCCTCCCAAAGTGCTGGGATTACAGGCATGAGCCACCGTGCCCGGCCAAAGTGAGACTTTTCTAATTCAGTTATCATTTAATTCCACGGACCACATGGGTGTCTCAGCCTTGTTTCCAAGTATTGAAATTTTCAGAAAGATGTTATGGTCTGTAGATAGTTGCTCATTGAACTTTCTGTGTCGAGGAGGGTGAGCACAGCCTGAGACTTCCTATTCTGATACCTTGCTTACCAAACTCTTATCTTTGACTCCTTGTTATTCACATACTCCTGACAGGCTAATTTTCAGAAAATATATTTTTTTCAAAATCAGCACTGTACAATACCCTTCAGTACTTCTACAATGACTGAAAACTCAAGCTTAGACATCAATCAGATGTTCCAAGGCTGAGGTCTTGCCTGACTACTTATTGACCTACTATTTTCTTTCTTACATTTTACATCCCCTCTGCTCTACCTAGGATTGTCTTCTCTCTATTCCTAAATATGTTACACTCATTCTCAGCCAAATATGCTCATTAATGCTAGATCTTTTGCCTAAAATATCCCTCTGTATAAACTGTTTAACCTCCATGAGGTATTTCATATCTATATCAATTATTTACTGATTTCTGACTTCCCACAGCACTTATAATTCACGAATGTTATTCTGGGGCTCAAGCACTGCCTTTTTGTTAAATTAGATTATAAGAGTCCAGAAGAAAGAGGCAATTTCTTTAAATTCTTTCATGTTCCCCACAATGCCTATCAATATATGAAATAAAATTAGGTGTTAATTAAAGACCTAGTAAATTAAATTACCATGAAAATATCCTTTGGTCATTGGTCAATAAAATCAATAGTCAGAAAAGCATGTTGTCATGGAAATAGGACAGGCTCTGGAGTCATAAAGACATGGGTTCAAATCCCAGCTCTACAACTTACTACCTGGGGCACTGAAATTGTCTTCCCTTTGCCATAGTTTCCATGGATGTAAAATGAGAATATTTCACAAGATTATTATGAGAATTTAATGAAACAGCATATACAACCTTTATATGCTATTTTAGTTTGGGCTTCTATCACAAAGTACCATAAATGTGGTGGCTTGCAAAATAAATTTATTTCTCACACTTCTTAAGAATGACAAGTCCAAAATAAAGACGCCAGCAGGGTCAGGTTCTGGTGAGGGCTCTCTTCTGGGTTGCACACAGCTAACAACTCATTGATCCCTCACATGGTGGAAAGAAGGCAAGAGAGCTCTCTGAGGTCCCTTTTTATAATAGGGTGCTAATGCCATTCATGAGGAGTCTACCTTCATGACCTAATTACCTCCCAAAGGCACCGCATCCTAATGTCATAACACTGGGGTTAGGATTTTGGTGGTTGCATATGAATTTTGGGCATATGCAGGCCTTTAGTCCATTGCATATACCATAGTAAATAATAAGTATTCAATAAATTTTAGTTTTTTACTCAGTACTCATACCTAATTATTATAAAGTAGAGGCAGAAGAGTCATCTTAGGCTAGCTGGCTGCTATGGCAGTGACTTGAAGGGTAGAAATTTGATTAAGAAGTCAATATTAGCCTCAGTTCTTCATAGCCAGTACAATAAGGATTTTTTACAGACCAGCACATAAAATGCCAATTTACAATAGAAGTAAGAATGATTTTTCAGATGAGAACATTCAAATAAGGTGGTTAGTGTTATCAGCAGTGAATCTGTATGGGTCTGCAGCAACCTCAGTTCTTGCCTCCTCAAAAGAAAGAATTCCATCCAGGGGCATAAGGCAGAATGAGAGACTGAGGCAAGTTTTAGAGTGGGAGTGAAAGTTTATTAAAAAGTTTAGAACAGGAACCAAAGGAAGTAAAGTACACTTGGAAAAGGGCCAAGCGGATGACTTGATCTCTCAAGTGTGTGATCTGACTTTCGATATGGGGTCTTGGCATGCTCCCAGGGTTGCATTACTTCTCCCCTGATTCTTCCCTTAGGGTGGGCTGTCCACATGTGCAGTGGCCTGCTAGCACTTCGGAGGGGCCTCATGCATAGTGTGTCTACCGAAGTTGTACACATGCTCACTTGTGGTATTTTTCCCTTACCAGTATGATTCCTAAAGAAAGGTCATACACCAGTTAAACGCTACCATTTTGCCTTTTAGTGAGCATGGTTGAGCCCACTTGCCCAACTCCTGAGATCTTACTGGGAAGCTGCTGATTACCAGTTTCAGGTATTTCTACCTATTGGGAGACTTCCTTTCCCTGGTGCTGGCTGCAACCAATTATTATTTTAGAGAGACATCTTATAGCTGCCTAACCACCACATGATGGTCACCTGACATTCCTGGTGGGTGGGATGTGTCTCCTGCCCTGCTCATGTCTGCCTGACTACCTACTGTAACAGTTAGTACATTATTTCCCTACGGAAAAACTGTATGAAAAGCCAAATTATGATCAGTTTGCTGAACATGAAATCACAACAAGGAAATTTTATTTAGTGATTTTAATGTTATGTGACAATAGGCTATCATACAACTCCACTAGGGAAGTAATACATGCCAAAGTGAAGGGAAATTTGAAGTCAATGATCATGGCACCCTATGTACTGTACAGTTTTGAAGATACACAGCCAAACTGTTTTTGGACTCTGCTTTTCTGATTCCAGGGTTTGCCACATGTCAGCTACTTTTGAGAAAGGGTTTGAATGTGTCCCCAAAGTTCATGTGTTAAAAACTTAACCTCCAATGCAACAGCGTTGAGAGACATGACCCTTAAGAGATGATTAGGTCATGAGGACTTTACCCTCTTGAATGGATAAATATCATTATTGCAGAAGTGGGTTTGTTATCATGAGAATGGGTTTGTTATAAAAACAAGTTTGGCTTTCTCTTTCTCTTGCATGCTATTCAACATATGATGCCATCCACCATGTTATGAGGCAGCAAGGAGGTCCTTACCAGGTGTGACCCCTTAATCTCTGACTTCCTAGCCTCCATAATCTTCAGCCAAATAAACTTCTATTTTTTAAAAATTACTCAGTCCATGTTATTCAGCTATGGCAGCATAAAATAGACTAAGTCTCCATTAGTAATGCCCTTAATCACTGTCTACTTTTCTCTTGCTGCTTTGTGCCCTGAGATGCTAATTCCTGCAGATCACATTGTCTAGGCTCCCTTGCTTTTATGGGTTTTGTGACCCCAGAAAGGATATGTTGAAGTCCTAAACCCTGGTACTTTTGAATGTGACCTCTAGGAAAATAAGGTTTTTGCAGATGTAAAAAAGTGAAGATGAGGTCATTAGAGTGAGCCCTAATCTAATATGGGTGATGTATTTACAAGAAGACAAGGCCAGGCACAGTGGCTCACACCTGTAATCCCAGCACTTTGGGAGGCCGAGGCAGGCAGATCACAAGGTCAAGATATCGAGACCATCCTGGCCAACATGGTGAAACCCCATCTCTACTAAAAATAGAAAATACAAAAATTAGCTGGGCATGGTGGTGCACGCCTGTAGTCCCAGCTACTCATGAGGCTGAGGCAGGAGAATCGCTTGAACCTGGGAGGTGGAGGTTGCAGTGAGCCAAGATCACGCCACTGCACTCCAACCTGGAGACAGAGCAAGACTCCATCTAAAAAAAAAAAAGAAAAGAAGACACAAAGAATGACACAGGAAGAAGATCATATGATGAAGGAGACAGAAATTAGAATGATAAAGCTGCAAGACAAGGAACACCTCTGATTGCCAGTAACTAAGCTAAGAGAAGGACGTCAGACAGATTGTCTTTTAGAGTCTTCATAAAGAGCATGGCCTTACTGACATCTCAGTTTCAGACTTCTAACCTCCAGAACTGTGAATGAAAAAATTTCTGTTGTTTGATGCCTCTAAGTTGTGGCACTTTCTTACAGCATCCTTAGGAAACTAATATACCAGTGCAATAAAGCACCTGCAGTAGTGGCTCAGAGATTTTTCCCAGTGAAAGAGGTAGTCCATAAGAATGCAGAGCTCGGAGGCTCTCCTCAAAGGAACTGGCTTTATTAAAACAGAGTATGGGAAAGTTCAAGCCTAGGGACACTCTTGAAAACAATGAGGATTTTGATAGTAAGCAATTAAGAGGAGGTTGCTTAGTTCCATGAAAGAGACAAGCTAAACTTTAGGCCATCCAGTTTACCAGAAGGAACAAGGGAGAGGGACAGCTAAAGAACTCAAAAACTAGTCTCAAAAACTATACTTCAAAAATGTAAATGGTTCTGACTGTGGAACAATCTATGCCCTAGTATATTATTGAAAACAATAGAATAATATGACTAAAATCAGTGAAGCCTAATACCTGGGTATGATATAATATGAGGCACACAGCTTAACAGAGAGATAAGGAAAAGAGACAATCAAAGGGAGCCCATTAAAACCACTCTCATTACAAGGTTACTATGCCCATGCCCAAGGTTGTGCCCTTTGACAACCATCATCAGAAGTTTCACCCTGCAGGGAAAATGGACTTCACTGAAATCGCCTGGCAAAATTACTAAACAAAACAATAATAACAAAAGTAGACCTGTAGAAAAGGAAGGAGAATCATGTTCTGGGTTGCTGCAGCATATTACTTAAAATATGCACTTTCAATGAAAAATGGAGACATTCAAAGAAATAGAAAAGTGTGATCTATACACAGAAAATAAAGCAAGTTAAAAAAATTCTGTAAGAGGGCCAGATGTTGGATTTAAGAAAGACTTCAAGGCAACCATTATAAATATAAAATTTACTAAAGGAAACCATGCTTGAAGAAATATGAAGTTATGATGACATCTCATTAAATAGAGAATATTTCAAAAAAGATATGAAGTATATGAATAATCAAATAGAAATCATGAAATTGAAGGTACAACAACTGTTTTGAGAAATTCCTTAGAGAAGTTCAATAGCAGATTTGAACAGGCAAATTAAAGAATTTGTGGAGATGGAGCAATAGAGATGATGCAATCTGAAGAACAGAAAGGAAAGAAGAATGAAAAGAAATTAACAGAGCTTCTGATAAATGTGGGGCACCATTAAGCATACCAACGTACATATATGAGAGATCCAGAAGGAGAAGAGAGAGAAAAAGGAACAGAATATTCAATGAAATAATGGCTGAAAACTTCCCAGATTTCTTGAGAAATATTATTTATCCATCCAAGAACCTCAGCAAACTCCAACAGGATAAAATCAAAAAAATCCACACCCAGACACATCATAATGAAACTGTCGAAAGGCAAAGCCAACGAATCATGAAGAAACAAGTTGAGAAAGGACTCATGACGTAGGTTACCTTAATAACAGCTGACTTATCACAAACAGTGGAAATCAGAGGGCAGTGACATAATATATTCAATGTGCTGAATAAAGACAAAATAAAGACATTTCCAGATAAGCAAAAACTGAGAGAATTCAATGTTATCAGATCCACCTTTCAAGAAATACATTTTTACAAAGTTCTCTAGGCTAAAAGTAAGTGATCCCAGATGGTAATTTGAATTTGCATGAATAAACAAAGAATACCAATAAAAATAATAATATAATTATGAAAGAAAGTGTGAATGGACAGTTTTACCCCTTTCTTTTAAATAATTTAAAAAGCAATTTTATAAACTAATAGGTATGTTGTGGGTCTTTAACACAGAGATTTACAATTTGTGACAATAACAGTATAGAGGAGGAGGTAGGTGGGAGCAAAGTTTTATTGAAATAAGGAAATGACACCAGATAGTAATTTAAATTCACAGGAACAAATGAAAAGAATTACAAATGATAAATCAAAAGATTAACATAACACACTCCATAATTATATACTGTATCCCCTTTTTTCCTCAGCTTCTTTGAGACACTTACTTAAAGTAATTATAAGGAAGTATTATAGGGATTATAATATATGTAGATGTAATATACATCACAAAATAGCACTAAAAGGAGAAAAGGGACTGGAGCTAATCAGAAGCAATGTTTTTATATGTTACTGGAATTAACAGTATAAATCTGAAATAGATTCAAGGTTGTGTATTACAAACTTTAGAGAAATCATTTAAAAATCTCAAAAATACAGTAAAGAAGATAATTTGAAAAATTAAAATGTTACACTAGAAATATTTAATGCAAGGAAAATAATACAGAAGGAATAGAAGAACAAAAAAGACATTAGACATATAAAAAACAAAAAGTAATGTGTCAGACATATAACTATATATTGATTATGTAAATATATAATAGCATTCAATATGAACAGACAAAATATTCCAATCAAAATGCAGAGATTATCAGACTGGATAAGTAAATCACTTCCAATTATATGTCATCTATAGAAGACCCACTTTAAGTAAAAGTTACAAATAGGTTGAAAGTAAAAGGATTGAAAACATCAAGCAAACAGCAACCACAAGAAACCAGGAGTGTCTATACTAGTATCAGAAGAAACAGACTTTAAAACAAACAAAAAACAAGTTACTAAAGAGAGAGGGGAACATTTTATAGTGATAAAAGGATAATGACAAAAGGGTCAATCTATCAAGGATAAATAACAATTATAAATATATATGACCCAATATGCACCATAAATGTACCACAGAGCCCTAAAATACATGAAGCAAAACCAGAGAAAAAATGGAAAGAAGAAGTAAAAATTTCAATAATAGTAGCGGGGTATTTTAAAACCCTACTTTTAATAATGGATAGAATAACTAGACAGATAAGCAACAAAAAAATAGAAGACTAGAATGACAGTATATATCAACTAGACCTAACAGACATCTATAAAACATTCTACCCAACTATAATAAACACATGCAACATTCTCTACAATAGGCCATACACTAGTCTGTAACACAAGGCTTAATATATGTAAAAGGATGAAAAGAATTGAAATCATACAAAGTATGTTCTCCAGCCACAAAGGGTGAAATTAGAAAACAATAACAAAGAAATTTGAGAAATTCACAAATATGTGGAAATTAAACAACACACTTCTAAATAACCAGTAAGTCAAAAAAGAAATCACAATAGAGTTAAAGAAGGCTGTCACTCAGTCATAAGATTCTATTTATATGAAATAGAATAGAATAGAATAGAATATATGAAATATAATAGAAATAGAATAGAATATATGAAATGTCCAGAATAGCAAAATCTATAAAGATAGAAACAGATTAATGGTTGCTTCAGGGGTAATAAGGGTATTTGTGGGGAAGTGGGGGCTGCTGATAATGAGTATGAGCTTTCTTTCAGGGGTGACGCCAATGTTTAGAAAACATTGTAGTGGAACATGCATGCATGGTTGTACAACTCTGAATACAGTAAATACCATTGTATTGTTGACTTTAAATGGGTGAATTGTATGGTAATCAAATTATGTTTCAATAAAGTTTTATTTTAAGATATCAGGTAATCTCTTGCCGATTCTGTTAGTGGATTTTCAAGTCATAGTTTGTCAAATTCTAGGGTTCTATAAGGGTTAGCATGAAGAAAAAGGAAGAGGATAGATAAGTAAGATTCCTGACTCCCACTTTCCATTTCAGAGGAACTCTGCTTTTACTCATTTTATGTATTGGTATTCTAGATAAGATTTTGTTTGTTTTTAAAGTATCTAATTGCTTTAAAAAAGTTTGACATCCACTGGCTTATAGGCTAAATTTCAAACCTTGAGTATGATACATAAAATCTTTTACTATCTGTCTCAACTTAATATTACAGTCTCATTTGTTTCCACTTCTTCCTTGTGACTTCAGCGATGCCAAACTACTCACTGACATTAGCTGAGATCTAGATTCTCTTCTCTTTCTGATGTCTGAACAAAATCAGGGTTTTGTTAGTGTACAAAACCAGGACATCAGAGGGAAGTGGAGATTGCCTTTCGGGGTAAGCAACAAGCAGTACTTGACACAACATGTAAACAAACAAACAAAAAAGAATGGGATAGAAAGTTAAAATTACACATACACACAAACACACACAATCAATTCTTGTTATTCATGGTAATTGTGTTCTATAAAATCATCATGAACACTGAATTAGCAAATATTAAACTATTGCTCCTTGGGAAAATAAAAGGCTAGGCTCTTGCAAGCTTCTGGTCACATTTTCACCCATCAATCAATATGCAATCTTGTTTCACATGTGTTTCTGTTTAAAGATATCTTGTTTAATACATATTTTCAATTCATTAACATTGAACTCACAGCTGACAAGACTATAACTCATGCCTAAACAAAACTTGTCTAATGCTCATATTTTCTCCATAAGGCACATTGCAGCCTTTTTGCACTAAGGAACACTAGATAACACTTCAGCCCAGTGCTTGGGAGTCTTTTAAGCAGTGAAATCACTAACAAAATAGCACAAAAACATAAAAAAACATGGCATTAAATAGACTTGAAAAGCACATTTGTTTACAGATGAGAGCTGAAGCAAGAATGCACAGTATCACCTTATTCAGCTTCAGCTGGTGACATGCACATAGGGTGACTCAAAATTTTCACTGTTCTGTGCATGTTCACAATGACTAAGAAAACACTTTAAGTATTGACTATGAGGTTACTAATAAGTTTTAGCTAATAGGTGAATTTGCAAATATGAAATCCATGAATAATGAGGATCAACTGTAAATTTTTCTTGCTTCCTTTTTAAACCACATTTATTTCCTCAATAGATTATGGCATTGACTACCACACCACTTTCCTGCTTCTTGCAATAGCATGAATACGTTTCCAGATTTTCTTGGAGTTGGGCATGGTTTTGTGATTGGCTTTTTGCCAAAGGAATGGACTTAGAGGTAACGTGCACCCTTTCCAGACCTGATGCATAAAGCCCTCCCACATAAGAGCCTCTGTGCTGTTTCCCCCTTTTCACTGCCTAGGATGAAGACAAGCCACAGGGAAATCTTGGGAGAGTCCTATGTTGAATTTGCCAGAGCCCTAGTATGGAAGAAACCATAGAAAAGAAACCATTATCCCTAAACCATCATCATTTGGAGGTGAGATGCCCAACATGAGGAAGAAATACATTTTTGTGTTGAACCATTGAGACTTGGAGATTTATTTGTAAATAGCAGCTAGAGCTACCTAAATAATACACTAAACAACTACCATTCCAGTTGGTATAAAAGGGCATCTATCATACTTTGGATATATCTCTACTGCCTAATTCTCTGGAGGATGTACCTTAATTTTCTGATGGGGTATCATTTTACTCACCTATCTCTGGTCAGCTTTAGCATCAAGGTCAAAATAATAACAAAGAAGGCTGGGTTACTGACTACACAGTCAACATGTTCCTCCATGCAAAGATTCATAGTGTTGTTAATTACTTTCTAAATTGCACTAGAAAACTTAGTTTCTGGATTATTTTATTAATTCATAGGAATGTATGGAACTGTTAGGGATATATGGTTATTTCTCTATCTGTTACAGTAGATAGATAGTTTGGCCTGAAAGAGACTCCACAGGGAAACCCAAGCTGAGTTCAATAGGTCAAGCTACATCAAATACACGTAAACCCAGGAAGTGAAGGGAGAAGTTACACATTTTAACTCTCATAACATTTCCGGAATGTCCTTAGCTTCTGGCTTGGTATTCTCCTTTTACTTAATCTCCTCTCTCTTTCAGCATTCTCTTCACAGAAAGTGTAATTTAAGAACCTGTTGGAAACTAGCAAATTAAAATAGCTCCAAAAATGTTTTTTCCCCTGCAAGGATAGCACTTTAGGGGAAAGAATTAAAGTTACCCTGAAGGCTTCCCTCATGGGAGTGCTCTGCGTTCCAGACTAGTTACTCAACCTTTGGTCATGGACTGAGAGCCTCCCTGTCTCTTGGCCAGCTTTCAGCTCTCAGGACAGTTTTTCTGCATCCACAAACATTTACTGAGAAATTGTGTTTCAAGCCCCGTCTTAGGTACTACACTGAGAATTCAAAGATGACAAAATCTCTCTGTTCTGAAGAACTAGATACCTGAATAATATATTAGACAATGCAATAAGTACTAAAATAGAAATGTGTACAGAATTCTATCAGAGCAGAGAAGACAGAGTGATAAATTCTGTGCAGGTGAGAGCAGTGAAATAAGGGTAGGTAAGGCTCCACAGTGAAGGAGACATTTAAGCCAGCCCCTAGGGTTTATGGGATTTTGACATGCAGAAGCAGGAGAAGGGTTCTGAGTGGAGGCTGTAGTCTCTACAAAGGCCCTAGAGATATGAAAAAACAAATCCACCATAATGTGCTCAAGGAATAGTGAGAGGAGTTCAGAATAACTGGAGTATAGTAGGAGGCATGAAGGGGAAAACTAGAGATAAAATTTTAAAAGGTAGAAATGAGTCTGCCAAAAAGCCCTTTGACATAACTTGTACAGTGGCGAGTGGGGAGGACGGGATGCAATTTATCATCCCTTACTGCTTTTTGAGGAGGATGGAATCAGTAATTTAAAGGGTCTTATGTTTTTTCCTAAATAAGGTGATGAGTGTGGGTATGCATGTTTAGTATATCTGGTCTATTACAAGATATATAAGAAAGTTGATATAGGTACGGGACATAGAAGCTGGGAAGATTTAGGGCCTTCATGCTGGAAAAGTTTTTTTTTAAGTCTTCAAATGGCCACACAGTTGAAAGAAGACTTTGGAAGAGAATGAAAATGTGTGATGAAGATTTATTGAGCCGTTTGCTGTATGGTGAATGTTGTCTGCCACTCCTATGAAATTGTAGATCACTTCTACATTGCTTGTTAATGTGGTGGTATGATGGGATTATTTACTGAAGAAATCAAAGAGGTGCTCAGTTCATCTATTGTTCAAGTTTGATACTGGATGAAAACAGAAGCCGTTCACATGGAAATTACATATTTAGGCCAAATTTTATGTTGATCCTGCAAGCAACCAGAACCACTGATTTTACGTGGCTACGTAATATTACATTGGATTTTTAGGCCTAATAACTCTGCATTAAAGCACGTTAACAAGTGATGGTATAGCAGAGATTATAAAATGCTCATCAACATTCACAACTTTTTTCTTATCCTCATAGCTAAAGCTACATTTTCCAGACTTCCTTGCATGTACATGTCATCATATGATTGAATTCAAACCAATGAAATGTCAGCAGAATTGAGGATACCACTATCCAGTCTAGTCTATTAAAAACATCTTTTACTCTCTTCCATGCTCTTTCTCTTTTATAGCTGGCTGGGATGGAGAAGATCCACAATGCCACGCTGGAAGCTAAATGTAAAAAACAAAAGCCTCCATCAATGTGGGCCCCTGAATGACTGTATGGAAGGGGGCTCCCCACCTACCTATTTATAATAGTGTGGCAATGTGATCAAGAAGTAAATTTGTACCAGATGCTCCTCAACTTACAATGGGTTACAAAACTTTCAACTTAAAATATTTTCAACTAACAATGGGTTTGTCTGAACATAAACCAATGATAGATTGAGGAGTGTACTGAATACATCACTTTTGCACTACTATAAAGTTGGACAATAGAGTGTTCATTAGATAAGGTACATTACATTACATGATGAATTCCAAGCATGGAAAGAGATTTATGCCATATCTTTGAATGAAGCAAATAATTTCAAAACAATATTATAATAGGATCTAATGGTTTTTTTTTTTTTTTTTTTTGAGATGGAGTCTTGCTCTCTCACCAAGCTAGAGTGCAGTGGCAGGATCTCAGCTCACTGCAACCTCCGCCTCCTGGGTTAAAGCAATTCTCCTGCCTCAGCCTCCCGAGTAGCTGGGACTACAGGTGTGTGCCACTATGCCTGGCTAATTTTTGTATTTTTAGTAGAGACAGGGTTTCACCATGTTGGCCAGGATGGTCTCAATCTCTTGACCTCGTGAGCCACCCGCCTCAGCCTCCCAAAGTGCTAGGATTATAGGCGTGAGCCACTGCTCCAGTCCTGATCTAATTTTTAAAAATTATCTTTCTCTTAAAAATCAGAAGCATATAAACTAAAATACTGAGAGTTATTATTCCTAGAAGACGGAAATATAGATGGTTCAAATTTTCTTATTTTGCCTATCAAATTTTCAAATATGCTACAGTGAACATACATTTTTGTGGTCTTAGAAATAGACTGAACGTAATTTTTAAATAGAAATTTTCAGAGGAATGGGTCAGTCACAGACACTTGAAAGAGTCTGAAAGATCACTTTGCCAATCATTTTGAGTCATGGAAGAAGGTTATCATCTCTAAAAATGACAAGGAATAACACTTGCCTGGAAACATAAATACTGACGTAATAAGTAAAATCATATTATTTAAGAATCAAAATTTCTACTTAATTGACTAGCTGATTAAAAGCTAGGTGTTGATGAAATTAATGAGGCAAAGTAATCCCCTTACTAAGGCAAAACTGGCATACTGACTATGATGTCAGAAAAAATACTTCAGAAAACAGGGGATTCCCAGAGTACTTTTATATTTAAAATTACATAAATACATAATCTTGCCTGATTGTGTCTATTAATGTTGGTCCTGGCTGTCCATCCCCAGAAGAAAAGGCCAAAGTCTGCCAAAATCAATTCAGTACTGTTACACTGCTACTCAAATGTGTAACAAATAATATTTGTAAATACCTATTATACCTATATTCATATATGTTTTATAAATTATATACACATTTCATAACCCCCAAAGCAATTTGTATTTTAAGGTTAGAAGTACAAAGAATAATAAAAAGAATAACAGATTTCTTTTTTTTTTTTTGAGATGGAGTCTCACTCTGTCGCCCAGGCTGGAGTGCAGTGGCGCAATCTCGGCTCACTGCCAGCTCCGCCTCCGGGGTTCAAGCCATTTTCCTGCCTCAGCCTCCCAAGTAGCTGGGACTACAGGCGCCCACCACCACGCCCAGCTAATTTTTTTGTATTTTTAGTAGAGACGGGGTTTCACCGTGTTAGCCAGGATGGTCTCGATCTCCTGACCTTGTGATCTGCCCACCTCAGCCTCCCAAAGTGCTGGGATTACAGGCATGAGCCACCACGCCCATTTCAATCAGTACTTTGCTCCAATATCACACATATCTATAAATATTTATTGACTATTCTCTGTAGATAAAATACCTTACAGAGAAACACCTAGTCTTTGACTGAGTCTTTTGTGTGAGATGAAACTTGGCCTTTAGTCTTCTGGGCAAACCTCTATCACTGCATCTTACTGCAATTACTTTCTGTTTCCTCTCCTAGACTATAAGCCTTTTAAGTCATATTCATGTTTGTCTTCTAATACTTAGCAGAGTACCTTCCCCATAGTAAGTACAAAATTAATGTTTTTTGAATGCTGAATATTTTGAGAAACTGATCAATGTTTTCTTAGAAATTACTATTAAATTAACAAGTAATTGTAATTTATTTTTTAATGAATTGGAATATGTTCCAAAAACTAGCTAAGATATAACAACAAAAGTCAACAGAAAAGCTGCTAACAACATAGACAAAGGAACATTAATAGAATTTCTCTTTCTGTTATTTTGCAAAATTTTGTTTCTTTCCAGACCTCAGTACATAGTAAGCTATTTCAACTTTCAGACTCTCTTGTCCATGCTAGATGGGTTGTGTTCTCTCTTACAGTGTTGAATTTCAGACCTGAAGTAAAAAGCATCACACTCTTTCTAAACTACGCATAAAAAGATTTCCTCATAGGTTCATTTTCCAAAATAGGACAGTCAAAGCTATTTTTTTAATCAATTCCATAAGGTCTCCTTCCTTTATAATCCATATCTTGCCTAGAGAATGATCATTGACTAGGTAGGCTACCACTTTTCTATAAGAATCCAAACTTCTTTTGGAATCATGTGAATTTAGCATGGTAAAAAGTTCAAATATATCTAAAGTTAGAATGATGATGATCAACTATAGCTAAGGGAGATAGGAGCCACTTCTCTCCTGCCCAAATTCTACCTCAGTTTTAGTTAAAGATCTTGATTCTTTTTCAAGAGAAGTTTCTTTAGCCATTTAAATAATGTGGGCTTTAGTTTGTTGAATGAGCTTTAGAGACTTTTTGAAGGACAAATTTTAATAAATAAAGAAATGACCAGACCTAATTATTCACTCTATGGAAAATATTAAATGGGAGGCCCATGGTACCAAATTTGCAGGTTTGTTCCTGGCAGGCTGAACTTCTTCAAAGTCAAATCATGTTTTAAATCAGTTGTAATTGAGTTCTTACCGATCTCTGCCTCACAGAACCAAGGGATAAACTTTTCAAATTCCTTTGGTAGAAAACCCAAGTATATATCATAATATTCAAGTGTTTTCTCCATAGAAATAAAGTTTGCAATATGAGTGAATTCACTATCAACAGCCTGCTCAGATCAAAATCAGGTGAAAGCCTGTAACACACTTTTGTGACTCCTCTTGTGGCAATTTGAGATTTCAGGGGGAAACATTCTCCAAAACTAACAGAAAACATAACTCCAGTAATCTACAAAAAATAATTTTTCTTATCTGTATTTTATCTGATATACTCCTAGGTGACAGAGAATTCACTTCCTTTGATAATCACAGGGAAAACTGATTCTTCTCCTTTAAGAAGAGGTGGTACTTGTATCTGATAAACATGAATTAAGATTGTAACCCTAGATCCATAGATTAAATAAGATCTATTAGAATCATTTTGATTTTGAAAATGTATTCCTGTTCTTACTTCATATACATTCTCTAGCAGTAGGAGTTTAAAAAAAAATCAAATGGATTGCCTGCTATAATAAGTGAATTTTTAACATGGGTTATGTTATGTTGAAGGATAGCTGCTTTCTGTTTGGTACAGAATTAAGCATAAGGAAGGGGATGACAAGTATGCTCTTTCCCATGAAGTAGTCTACTGTGGAACATGGCTGTCCTCCAAATTATTTAAGGAAAAAAAAAAACCCTAATGAGCTAACACCAGGGAAAAGCTGTTTCCATGGCAATTGAGCTATCAGAAAACCTGCAGAACAGAGATCCTTTCTCTAGCTAGTTTATGTAGTTTCCATTTTTAACGCCTTACTACTGGCAGTCAGAATCAGCAAGAGCTCAAGCTAAGTAAATGTTTACTTTTCAAACACCAGAATAAATCATGGTTTGATTACCATTTCATTAAAAGATGATCATTAATCCCCTGAGAAAGGTGAGAAAAAAAGGCAAGATGAGAAAGACATTTATGAAGAGCTTGGGATGGGGGGACAATGAAGATTAAAAAAAATACAACATGACTTCCCAGTTGTGCTTAATGAATGTGTCCTCACTGCCAACTATTTAGTGAACACCAAGATACAAAGGAAAGCTCCTCTAGATCTGAAGTAATTTAGATTCTGCCACAGAAGGCCATTAGCAAAGAAAAAATTCCTACATACCCTTGTAAAAATCTAGGATAGTGATACACTCAGGGCCTGAGGGACATTGAAGAGGGACATTAATCCCATTTGTAAGGGGGCTGGGAGTTGCCAGAGAAGTGAAGCCTATGCAGGTTTTAGAGGCTGAGTCAGAGCTACGTAAGTCAGTGAGAATGGAAAGGGCACTGTAGAGGATCAGGGGAGGCAGATGAAAAGGGGAAGCAGAAAGGTTTGTATGAGAACTCCAAGCAGTGAGTTTTGCTGAAACAGTTATTATTGTATTGAGGGTAAAAAAAAAAGTAGTCAGAGATAAGATAGGACACAAAATAAAAGGGGCTATGACATGGGAAGATCTGTTACCTTTCTTGATAGTGGTAATTGAAATATACAGAATGACAACGATAACTAGGGCCAGCTCTTATTAAGTACTTTCTATATATCAGGCATAGAAATATTACTTTATATAGTATAATCTAATTTAATTTTTACTTAACCTGTGAAATAGATTCTATGATTCTCCTTTGTGATATAGTTATTTGGCTGACCCAACAGCCTTTGAGATCCCCTTTGGGAGAGCTAAATATTTGTTCTCCTTTACTCCTTAGCTAGGAGTGGCCATGTCACACAATTCTAGCCAATGAGGCATAAAAAAATCTGGGTTCCTAAGGAAGATGTTGCTTTTCTGACTAAAATAAGACAGCAATGATTATTACTGTCACTTCTATCTTCTTCCTGCCTTTAACAAAATGAAATGTCTGGAGTCACAGCAATCAATTTGTTACCATGAGGTAAAAGAATTAGGGAATGGCCTAGAGAAAGGCAGAAAAGCTGACCCTGAAATCTTCAAGTTACTGCACCAAAATCAGCAGCTGCTTACCATTGTATTTCTTAATGGGGGGAAAAATAAACCCATTGACAACTGGAAGTTTTGTTATGTACATCTATGAATGTTCCCAATAAATATACCTGTTTTGTAGAAGATAAAAATGAGGTGTAGAGTTCTTAACAACTTGCTCAAGAGCATGCTGTTACCAAGTGATAAAGTCAGGATTCCAAATCAAGTTTGATTCAAAGCTTGGGCTCTTCTCTGGACCGGATAAACTCACAGCTGAATTCTACCAAACATAAAGAAGAGTTGTTACCGATCCTACTGAAACTATTCAAAAAATTGAGGAGGAGGGACTCCTCCCTAACTCATCCTATGAAGCCAGTATTGCTTTGATACCAAAATATGGCAAAGACAAACACAAAAAAGAAAACTACAGGCTAATATCCCTGATTAGCATAGATGCAAAACTCCTCAACAAAATCCTAGCAAACTGAATCCAGCAGCACGCCAAAAATCTAATTCACCATGATCAAGTAGGCTTCATTCCTGGGATGCAGGGCTGGTTCAACATACACAAATCAATAAATGTGATTCACCCAATAAACAGAACTAGAAACAAAAACCACATGATCATCTCCATAGATGCAGAAAAATATTTTGATAAAATTCAATATTCCTTCATAATAAAAGCCCTCAACAAACTAGGCATCAAAGGAAACATCCCTCAAAATGATAAGCGCCATCTGTGACAAGCCCAGGCCCAACATCATACTGAGCAGGTAAAAGCTAAAAGCAGTCCACTTAAGAATTGGAATAAGATAAGGATGTCCACTCTAATCACTCCCATTCAACACAGGACTGGAAATCCTAGCCAGAACAGTTAGGCAAAAGAAAGAAATAACAGATATCCAAATAGGAGAAGAAGAAGTCAAATTATCTTTCTTTGCTGAAGATAATCATTTTCTACCTAGAAAACCCTAAAGATTCTGCCAAAAGGCTCTTGGAACTGATAAACAACTTCAGTGAAGGTTCAGGATCCAAAATCAATGTATGAAAATCAGTAGCATTTCTACACGTCAATAATGTCCAAGCTGAGAGTCAAATGAAGAATACAATCCCACTTACAATAGACACACACACACAGACACACACACACACACATACACATGGAATACATCTAACCAATGAGGTGAAAGATCTCTACAAGGAGAACTACAAAACATTGCTGAACATATAAGTACATGTTTCTTTTCGGTATAATAATCTATATTCCTTTGGGTATATACCTGGTAATGGGATTGCTGAGTCAAATGCTAAGTTCTTTGATAAATCTCCAAAATGCTTTCCACAGTGGCTGAACTAATTTACATTCCCACCAACAGTGCATAAATGTTCCCTTTATTCCTCAACCTCACCAGCATCTGTTGTTTTTGCCTTTCTAATAGTAGCCATTCTAACTGATGTGAGACGGTATCTCAATTGTGGTTTTGATTTGCATTTCTCTGGTGATTAGTAGTGATGGGCATTTTTTCATGTTTGTTGTCTGCATGCATGTCTTCTTGGGAGAAGTGTCTGATCATGTCATTTGCCCATTTTTTAATGGGGCTGTTTGTTTTTTGTTTCTTGAATTAAGTTTCTTATAGATTCTGGACATTAGACTTCTGCCAGATGCATAGTTTGTGAATATTTTCTCCCGTTCTTTAAGTTTTCTGTTTACTCTGTTGATAGTTTCTTTTGCTGTGCAGAAGCTCTTTAGTTTAGCTAGGTCCCACTTGTCAAATTTTGTTTTTGTTGTGATTGCTTTTGGGGACTTAGCAATAAATTCTTCACCATGGCCAATGTCCAGAATGGTATTTCCTAGGTTTTTCTTCTAGAATTTTTATAGTTTGAGGTCTTATATTTAAATATTTACTCTATCTTAAGTTAATTTTTGTATATGGTGAAAGGGAAGGGTCCAGTTTCATTCTTCTGCATATGGCTAGTGAGCTATCCCAGTATATTTATTGAATAGGGAGTCCTTTCCTCATTACTTGTTATTGTTGACTTTGTCAAAAATCAGATGGTTGGCCAGGCACCGTGGATCATGCCTGTAATCTCAGCACTTTGGGAGGCTGAGGCGAGTGGATCACCTGAGGTCAGGAGTTCGAGACCAGCCTGACCAATACGGCAGGGCCCCATCTGTACTAACAATACAAAAAAAAATTAGCCAGGTGTGGTGGTGTGCACCTGTAATCCTAGCTACTCAGGAGGCTGAGGCAGGGAAAATCGCTTGAACCCGGGAGGCAGAGGTTGCAGTGAGCCAAGATCACACTATTGCACTCCAGCCTGGGCCACAGCACAAGACTCCGTCACAAAAAAAAAAAAAAAAAAAAAAAAAAATCAGATGGTTACAGGTGTGTGGCTTTATTTTCTGTTTCATTGGTATATGTGTCTGTTTTCTACCATACCATGATGTTTTGATTACTGTAGCCTTCTAGTATAATTTGAAATCAGGTAGTGTGAAGCCTCTGGCTTTGTTCTTTTTGCTTAGTATTGCTTTGGTTATTTGGGCTCTTTTTTGGTTCCATATGAATTTTAGAACAGTTTTCCTAACTCCATGAAGAATGATGTTGTCGTTGCGCCATTCACAATACCAAAGATATGTAATCAATCTAGGATTAGATAAAGAAAATGTGGTATATATATACCATGGAATACTACATAGCCATAGGAAAGAATGAAATCCTGTCCTTTGCAGCAACATGGATGGAGCTGGAGGCCATAATTATAAATGAATTAATGCAGGAACAGAGAACCAAATACCATATGTTCTCACTTATAAGTGGGAGCTAAACATTGAGTACACATGGATATAAAGATGGGAACAATAGACACTGGGGATGGCTAGAGAAGGAAGGGTGAGAGGCAAGCAAGGATTGAAAAACTATCAGCTACTATGCTCATGCTCACTACCTGGGTGATGGGATCATTCATACATCAAACCTCAGTGACACACAATTTGCCTATATAACAAACGTGCACATGTAGCCCCTGAAACAAAAATAAAAGTTGACGGGCCAGGCGCAGTGACACACGCCTGTAATCTCAGCACTTTGGGAGGCTGAGGCAGGCGGATCACAAAGTCAGGAGATTGAGACCATCCTGGCTAACACGGTGAAACCCCGTCTCTACTAAAAATACAAAAAATTAGCCGGGCGTGGTGGTGGGCGCCTTGTAGTCCCAGCTACTTGGGAGGCTGAGGCAGGAGAATGGCGTGAACCCGGGAGGCAGAGCTTGCAGTGAGCCGAGATCGCGTCACTGCACTCCAGTCTGGGCGACCGAGAGAGACTCTGTCTCAAAAAAGAAAAAAAAAAAAAAAAAGTTGACAATGAAAAAAAAAGCTTGAGCTCTTAAACATCTCAACATACTGGTAGTGTTTCCTCACTCTTCTTGCATGAAAAGGGGCAAAGTAGAAGGTAAATCCATTCCTATGTTAAAGAAAAAGAATCTTCATGGTAAAGAAAAGGAAAATTTAGGAATAGAAAAGCTGAAAACTCAAATTATTAATAACCTGACTGTTTTTGTCCCTAATGAAAGAGAAAATGAGAAAAGATGGAATAAAAGAATCTCTCCCCCTTCATGGGGTGCCCTCTCTCAGCTATCCAGAGCTTTTCCACCAGGCTTCCCTCCCTTCTCCTTTCTATGAGATGTGTAAGACTAATAGCTTAAGGTACTGCTCGTGGGGAAATAAAAAATTTAGTGAGCATGTTGACAATGTCTACATTTATGATCCAAAACTACAAACTGATGCTTAAGTTGTGGATTCATTCAAACATTTACTGAATTCTTTTTTTTTTTTACAGTGCTAGTAGATAAAGGAAATTGGTTTAAAAAAAAAAACCAAATTTCCTGTCATCTCATATTACACCACACACACACACACACACACACACACACACACACACACACACACACACACAGTTATTTACCCTACCACTTCTGTGGTAAATTGACTGTAGCTTGCTGGGCCAACTCCTCCATGCAATGCAGGTAGCTCTAATCCACATACTATTGCACAGCATTGTGATACAATGAAGTATAGTATGATGGTTAAGAGTGCAGCATTAGTGTCAGATTGCCTGAATCAGAATCTCCACAACTTACCAACTATATAACCTTGAGAAAGTAACTTAATCTCTCTGTGCTTCAGTTGCCACATCTCTAAAATGTGGGATAAGAATAGTACCTGTCTCATAAGGTTGTTGGGGTGGGTTAAGAGACGGCCCATTCAAAGAACTTAGATGCCTGATATGCAATAGGCACTCAGTAAGTATTAGTTAACTTAATTTCATTTGTCTTTGGAATCACTACTCTTCATTTCATCTTCCAAATCCTTTTCCCCTTCATACATCTGGTACTCAAGTGATTTAACCTTTTCAAAAATCTCTTATCAACAACATTTGATTTTATAATGCATTTCAAATACAGTGTATTTAGTATATGTGCTCCCTCACCTAGGGGAATTTGTACCTTAAATTTTATCTGTAATTGTAGAATGAGTTTTCTACCAGTATACCAATAAATACTTAGAAAACTATATTGCTTGTCGGGAAGCCTGTGTACCATTCTTAAAATCACAATAGGTTGGCTATTTTCTAATTAGAGGTAAGTAAAGCTCCAGGTTGAGCCATTATTTGATATTTAGTAATTCACACTATAATGTAAAAGACTACTTTACTGTGGCATCATCTCTGTTACTCTAACATGGCTACCTACAGTCCACATTTGTAAGATGTGCCTTTCCCTACTTTGCTCATAGATTTTTTCTTTGTTTTTCCAGAGTAACAACAACAACAACAACAACAACAAAAAGATAAAAAGGTGAGCAGCTACATAGGATGAAAACTGCCTTACCTTTATAAATTCCAGTAACAACAAAAGACAGTGTCTCATTCAACAAACTTGGCAAGTGCCTAAGCAAATACCAGGGATGTTTTAACAAATATATGCTTTAGGTTTCCCATACTCATCTCTGTCTCACCACAAGGAAAACCCTATTCTTCAGGAAAAAGGTGCCCATCGCATCTTCCAAGAATATGTAAATACTGTTTTGGAACCATCAAGTTTAAGGTAACCTGTGTAACACACACAGATGACACACTTTTCACACGGAGTGCCAACTGTATTTCAATTTAAGTCTTTTCAGAAGTATGTTAGAAGGGGTCCAAATGTATTTCATCAAAACTGTGTATAAAAATTAAACTGAACAGTCTTCCATAAAAGAAAAAATTTTCATAAAAATAGAAAAGATCATGCCTCTTTAGTACAAAAGAATTAATATAATTACTGTTTAATAAAATCTTGTCTTTCCTCATTAGCTTTGACTTTAATAAACAAAACTCACTTTTAAGGATATAGCTCTGTTGCAGCTTGGCTATGTAACTGCAATTTAAAAACTGGCTTAAATATCAATTTTAAGTCTATATGCAATATTACAGATAACTTATTTATTTATAAGAAGAAAATTATTCTAAACATCAATAAAAGAATGACCTTATATGAAAAGGAGGATGATCAGAGTAATTCAGTAAATCATTATTCTAGAAAGAGTAAGATTTGCTCCTTAAAACCCTCTTGAGAGTCTTATTACCAATAATTACCTTGGAGGTGTCTAGATTCTACTACAACTGTGACTGAGGTATTTATAGCTCACTGAATGGCCATGTGCTTCCTACATTACCAGTGCCATTGCTGTTAGGTGGGAACACATGATGAGTTCTTCTCAATGAACTGTGAATAGTAATGACCTTTCATACTTCTAAGACAGAATAAGAGAAGGCTTGAGTTCTCCATTCTCTTCCCTCCTTTGATGTAGAAATTATGGAGTTTTTAAAATTGGCAACGTTTTTGAATCATTCATGTACAATAAATTGTGTATAAAGTAGACAATCTGGTGACTGTTGTATATACCTGTGAAAATATCATCACAATCAAAATAGTGAACATACCCATCACTCCCTAGAGCTACCTCCTGTCCCTTTGTAATCCATTCCTCTCTTAATCTCCAAATCTAAATCCATAGGGAACAAATTATGGTCTTTCTGTCACCATAGAATGGTTTGTCTTTTTCTAGAATTTTACATGATTAGAATTATAAATTGGCTTAGATTTCTGAGTTATTTCACTCAGTGACATTTTTGAAATTCAGCCATATTGCTCAGTGGTTCCATTATATAACCATACCACAATTTGTTTACCCATTCACTGATTGATGGGCATTTGGGTTGTTTCCAGGTTTGGGCTATTGCAAATAAAACATGATCATTCATGTACAAGTCTTTGTGAGCACAAATGCTTTCATTTCTTTCGAGTAAATGTGTAACGTTACAATGGCTAGATGATATGGTAGATGTATGTCTAACTTGTTTTAATGTCAGGAAGAATTAAAACCACAAAGAGTTGCTACTGAATACCCACAAAGATAGCTATAATTTTAAAAAGGGAATATAACAAGTATTGAGAATTTCTTTTGGGGTTATGAAAATGTTTTGGAACTACATAGGAGTGGTGCTTGCACAACATTGTAAATGTACTAAATGCCACTGAAATGTACACTTTAAAAGCATTATGTCATGTGCATAACACCTCAAAAAAAGACATTCTAAATGAAAGCTATTTAAAATTACTACTTAGACTATTTAAAATTACATACTTTAATGACCATTTAAAATTACTAATATTGGTGAATGAGAATTTCAGCTGTTTTACATCATCACCAACCCTTGGTATATTCAGTCTTGTTAATGTTAGATATTCAGTGGAAATATAGTGGTATGTCATTGTGGTTTTGTTTTACATGTCCCTAACGACCAATAATGTTCAACATCTGTTCTTATGCTTACTTTCTATATGCGTGTCTTCTTGTTAAAGTGTCTTTTCAAATCTTTTGCTCAATTTTCAGTGATTTTTTATTTTTTTTTTTGAGACAAGGTCTCGCCCTGTCTCCCAGGCTGGGATGCAGTGGCTCAATCTTGGCTCACTGAAACCTCCACCTCCCAGGTTCAGGTAACCTTCCTGCCTCAGACTCTGAAATAGCTAGGACTACAGGCATGCACCACCACACCCGGCTAATTTTTTGTATGTTTTGTAAAGATGAGGTTTCACCATGTTGCCCAGGCTGGTCTCAAACTGCAGAACTCAAGCGATCTGCCTGTCTCAGCCTCCAAAAGTGCTGGGATTATAGGCGAGAGCTACCACACCCAGCCTTGATTATTTTGAGGTCTTCTAATTGTTAAGTTGTAAGAATTTCTTGTGTATTCTAGATACAATTCCTTTATTGAATACAGTCTCCAATTTAAGATTTTGGCTTAAGATTTTTTTGGGCGGTTTCTCTTTCCAGCCAGCGCCGAGCGATGGGCATCTCTCGGGACAACTGGCACCAGCGCCGCAAAACCGGGGGCAAGAGAAAGCCCTACCACAAGAAGCGGAAGTATGAGTTGGAGCGCCCAGCTGCCAACACCAAGATTGGCCCCCGCCGCATCCACACAGTCCGTGTGCAGGGAAGTAACAAGAAATACCGTGCCCTGAGGTTGGACGTGGGGGAATTTCTCCTGGGGCTCAGAGTGTTGTACTCGTAAAACAAGGATCATCGATGTTGTCTACAATGCATCTAATAATGAGCTGGTTCGTACCAAGACCCTGGTGAAGAATTGCATCGTGCTCATCGACAGCACACCGTGCCGACAGTGGTAAGATGTCCCACTACGTGCTGCCCCTGGGCCGCAAGAAGGGAGCCAAGCTGACTCCTGAGGAAGAAGAGATTTTAAACAAAAAACGATTTAAACAAATTCAGAAGAAATATGATGAAAGGAAAAAGAATGCCAAAATCAGCAGTCTCCTGGAAGAGCAGTTCCAGCAGGGCAAGCTTCTTGCATGCATCGCTTCAAGGCCGGGACAGTGTGGCCGAGCAGATGGCTATGTGCTAGAGGGCAAAGGGTTGGAGTTCTATCTTAGGAAAATCAAGGCCCGGAAAGGCAAATAAATCCTTGTTTTGTCTTCACCCATGTAATAAAGGTGTTTATTGTTTTGTTCCCCCCCCCCCAAAAAAAAGATTTTTTTGAGTTGATGATTGGTTTATCAAGATATAAACCTATCATAAGTCAAGGAGCATCTAGCCTTATAATGGCTTGACTTATGATTTTTTCATGTTACAGTGGGTTTGCCAAGGTATTAAATGCACTTTTGACTTATAATATTCTTGACTTATGACGGGTTTATCAAGATGTAACTCAACTGTAAGTGAAGGAGCATCTGTAAATATTTTGCAAATATTTTCTCCAATATTTAGATTGGCTTTTAATTTTGTAACAATGTTTTGAAGAACCAAAATTATTAAATTTGATAAAAGGTAACATTAATTTTTTTCTTTTCTAGTTTATGCTTCTTGTGTTTTACTTAATAAATCTTTGCCTAATTCATGATTTTTAAATTTTTCTGCCATATTTTCTTTTAGAGGTTTTATAGTTTCAGCTTTTACACTTAGGTCTGTGATCCATTTTGAGTTAATTTTGTAAATGGTGTGAAGACTTTCTTTATATATTTTATGTTATTGCTTATATCCAATCAATTGACCTAGCACCATTTGTTGAAAAGGTCCATTGAATGCCTTGACAACTTTGTTGAAAATCAGTTAACCATATATGTCAACCTATTTCTTGAATTTGAATTCTGTTCTATTGATCTGTATGTCTGTATAAATAATTCTAATACTTCTCTACTTCATAAGTAACAAATTAAATTTTATTACTATGCTTTTATTTTCAATAAGTTTAGATTTACAGATAAATTGAAGGTATAGAGAAATCCCAAAATCCTACTTTATGTTTTTGTTTGTTTTGTAGATGATTGGTTGGCTCTAAGTGTTTGGCTCTATTTCTGGGTTCTCTATTCTGTGCCACTGGTCTGTGTGCCCATTTTTATATAAGTACCATGCTGTTTCAGTGAATATACCCTTATAGTATAGTTTGAAGTTGGGTAATGTTATACTTCCAGATTTGTTCTTTTTGCTTAGTCTTGCTTTGGCTATGCAGGCTCTTTTTTGGTTCCATATGAATTTTAGAATTGTTTTTTCTAGTTCTGTGAAGAATGATGATGGTATTTCGATGGGAATGGCATTGAATTTGCAGACTGCTTTTGGTAGTATGGTCATTTTCACAGTACTGATTGTACCCATCCATGAGCATTGGATGCATTTCCATTTGTTTGTGTTGTCTATGATTTCTTTCAGCAGTGTTTGTACTTATCCCTGTAGAGGTCATTCATCTCCTTGGTTAGATATGTTCCTAAGAATTTTATTTTTTTTGCAGCTATTGTAAAAAGGGTTGAGTTCTTGACTTGGTTCTCAGCTTGGCTGCTGCTGGTGTATAGCAGTGCTACTGATTTGCGTACATTGATTTTGTATCCTCAAACTTTACCGAATTCATTTATTATGTTGACTAGAAGTGCTGAAAGTGGGCATCCTTGTTTTCTTCCAGTTCTCAGTGGGAATGCTTTCAACTTCTCCTCAGTTGGTATAATGTTGGCTGTGGGTTTGTCACTGATGGCTTTTATTACCTTAAGGTAAGACCTTTCTTCCTGGTTCAATCTAGGAGGGTTGTACGTTTCCAGGAATTTATCCATCTCCTCTAGGTTTTCCAGTGATTGAACTGTGGCCTGGGAGAGTACTTGTTATAATTCTTATTTTCTTAAGTTTATTGAGACTGGTTGTGGTCTATCATGTGGTCTATCTTGGAGAATGTTCCCCATGCTCATGAAAAGAATGTATATTCTGCAGTTGTTGGGTAGAATGGTCTGTAAATATCTGTTAAGTCTATTTGTTCTAGGGCATAGTTTAAGTCCATTGTTCCTTTGTTGACTTTCTGTCTTGATGGCCTGTCTAGGGCTGTCAGTGGAGTACTGAAGTCCCCCACTATTATCATGTTGGCAACTATCTCATTTCTTAGGTATAGTAGCAATTGTTTTATAAATTTGGGAGCTCCAGTGTTAGGTCCATATATATTTTGAATTGTAATATTTTCCTGTTGGACTAGTCCTCTTACCATTATACAATGTCCCTCTTTGTCTTTTTTAATGGTTGTTAAAAAGTCTGTTTTGTCTGATATAAGAATAGCTACTCCTGCTCACTTTTGGTGTCCATTTGCATGAAATATCTTTTTCCATCCCTTTATCTTAAGTTTATGTGAGTTCTTATGTGTTAGGTGAGTCTCTTGAAGACAGCAGATACTTGGTTGGTGAATTTTTATCCATTCTTCCATTATGTATCTTTTAAGTGGAGCACTCAGGCCATTTACATTCAACATCAGTATTGAGATCGTGGGGTACTATTCTATTCATCATGCTAGTTGTTGCCTGAATACCTTGGTTTTTTTTTTTTTCATTATGTTACTGTTTCATGGGTCCTGTGAGATGTATGCTTTAAGGAGGTTCTATTTTGGTGTATTTCAAGGTTTTGTTTCAAGATTTAGAGCTCCTTTTAGCAGTTCTTATAGTGCTGGCTTGATAGTGACAAATTCTCTCAGTATTTGTTTGTCTGGAAAATACCTCATCTTTCCTTCATTTATAAAGCTTAGTTTCTCTGGATACAAAATTCCTGGCCGATAGGATCCCAATCCCTTCTAGCTTGTAAGGTTTCTGCTGAGAAATCTGCTGTTAATCTGATAGGCTTTCCTTTACAGGTTACCTGATGCTTTTGTCTCACAGCTCTTAAGATTCTTTCCTTTGTCTTGACTTTAGGTAACCTGATGACTATGTGTGCAGGTGATGATTTTTTCACAATGAATTTCCCTGTTGCTCTTTGAGCTTCTTATATTTGGGTGTCTAGACCTCTAACAAGGCCAGGGAAGTTTTTCTCAATTATTCCCTCAAATACGTTTTCCAAATGTTTAGGTTTCCCATCTTCCTTGGGAACACCAATTATCCTTAGGTTTGGTTGTTTAACATAGTTCCCAAACTTCCTGGAGGTTTTGTTCATTTTTTAAAATTCTTTTTTCTTTGTCTTTGTTGGATTGGATTAATTCAAAAGCCTTGTTTTTGAGCTCTGAAGTTCTGTCTTCTACTTGTTCGATTCTATTGTTGAAAGTTTCCAGTGTATTTTGTATTTCTCGATGTGTGTCATTTCCCAAAGTTGTCCTTGTTTTTTATTTATGCTGTCTATTTCTCTGGAGACTTTTTTGTCCATATCCTGCATTTTTCAAAATTTCCTTAAGTTGGTTTTCATCTTTCTCTTATGCCTCCTTGAGTAGCTTAATAACTGGGCTTCTGAATTCTTTTTTTCTGGCAATTCAGAGATTTCTTCTGGGTTTGTATCCATTGCGGGTGAGCTAGTGTGATCTTTTGGGGGTGTTAAAGAACCCTGTTTTGTCATATTACCAGAATTATTTTTCTGGTTCCTTCGCATTTGGCTATTTCAAAGGAAAGATCTGGGGCTCAAGCGCTGCTGTCCCATGGGTACTCTCTTGATGTGCTCTCCCCCTTTCCCTAGGGATGGGGCTTCCTGGGAGCTGGATTGCAGTGATTGTCATTGCCCTTCTAGGTTTAGCCACCCAGCAGAGCTACCAGGCTCTGGACTGGTACTGGGAAGTGTCTGCAAAGAGTCCTGTGATGTGATCCATCTTCAGGTCTCTCAATCATGGTTACCAGCACCTGCTCCAGTGGAGGTAGCAGGGGAACCATGTGGACTCTGTGAGGGTCCTTGGCTGTAGTTTTGTTTAGTGCACCAGTTTTCTCAAATGCTGGTTGTGCTAGCAGCGAAGTTGTCATGTGGTCAGACTCAGGACCTCTGGTTAGCCAGGATGTGGCAGGCAGTGGAAATAGCTGTTGTTTTCTCCTTTCTTGGAGCACGGTTTTTCTTTTATGAGTTGCTGTAATGGCTTGAGTTGGTTGGCCACCAGCCAGGAGGTGGCGCTTTCAAGACAGCTTCAGCTGCAGTAGTATAGGGGGGATACAAGCTTGTCCTAAGGTCACTTGGATAAGTATTTGGGTTTCTTAGGCAATTGGCAGGGGTCATAGAGCTCCCAAGAGATTATGTCTTTTGTCTTTGGCTACGAGGGCAGGTACAGAAAGACCATTAGGTGGGGGCAGGCTTAGGCATATCTAAGCTCAGACTCCCCTTGGGAGGGGTTTGCTATGGCTGCTGTGGGAGATAGGGGTGTGGTTCTCAGGCCAATGGAGTTATGTTCCCAGGGGAATTATGGCTGCCTCTGCTGCATATACAGGTCACCAGGGAACTGGGGGAAAGCAAACAGCGACAGGCCTCACCTAATTCCCACACAGTCAGCAAGGCCAGTCTCACTCCCAGTGTGCCCCACCAAAAGTACTGAGCTTACAGCCAGGCAGCTGGTGAGCAGGGCTGATATCTTGCCTCAGGCGACAAGCCTCCTCACTGAGAGAAAGCAAGCAGGGCTTTCAGGGTTTGGCCTCCCCACCTGCCAAAGCTTCTGTGCTGCACTTCCCATTCACTGCCCCTCCACTCCTGGATATTGCCCTAGAAAATTTACATTCAGTCAAAATTATTACAAAGTTCACTGGAAGTTTCCTTTTCCTTGCGGTCTTTCCCCAATCCCACTGGCAGCCCTCCCCAAGGACACCTTGAGATAAAGTCAGAAATGGCTTCCCTAGGTACCAGGAGTGCCTACAGGGCTCTTCTTGCAGTTTCTTCTACTTTTGTGTTTCGCTTGGCTCTCTAAATCCATTTCAGCTCTAGGTAAGGTTATATCCTTCTCCCATGATCTGGATTTTCAGGTTCCCCAGTGAGGATATGTGTTTGAAGGTAGACTTTCCCCCTCTCACACTTTGGGAACTCATAGTTTTTTGGCTGCCTCATGAAGTTTGCAGTGACAAGCCACTTCTTTCAAACAGTCTGTGAATTCTTTTGGGTTTCCTGGTATGTTCCTGTGGTAGTATTAGGAGCAAAAGTTCCCGATGTGAGTTTCCACATGCTGTGCTGTCTGTCTGAGTGGGAGCACATATATGTCCTTTATTAGGTTGAGAAATGTTCTATTTCTGGACTGCTGAGAGTTCTATCAGGAATGAATTTGGACTTTGTCAAATGCATTTTCTACATCTATTCTGATGATCATACAATTTTTATTTTTAAAATGTTAATATGGTAAATTACATTGATTAATTTTCAAATACTAAACCAACTGTGCCTTCTTTCTTGGGATAACCCTTTCTTGATTATGATGCATTAACTTTTCAACATATTGTTATATTCCATTTGCTAAAATTTTTAATTTTTAAATCTGTGTTAATGAGAGATATTGGTCTGCAGTTGTCTTTTATTGTAATACCTTTGTCTAGTTTTGGTATTAGGGAAGGGTTGAACTCATGGAATGAGTTGAGAAATATTCTCTCTTTGGTTTTCTTGAGACATTTGTGTAAAATTGCTATTGTTTGCTTCTTTAATGTAGAATTCACCAGTGAAATTTTCTGAGCTTGGAATTTATTTATTTGTGCATGTGTTTGTGTGTCTGTGTCTGTGTAATATATGTAAATATAAATTCAGTGTCTTTAAAAAACATAGGGCTATCCATGTTATCTATTCTCTTGAGGGACTTTGGCAATTTTTGTCTTTCAAGGAAATTTCCCATTTCATCTAATTATCAAGCGTATTCATAAATTTGTTTTAATACTCCCATATTCTTTTAAAGTCTCTAAGATTTATAGATATGACCCTCTCTTTCCTGATATTGGTAATTTGTGCCTTTTTCTTTATTTATTTGATCAATATAGCTAGAGATTTGACAACTTCATTGATTTTCTCTAATCAAACTTTGGTTTCAGGCTACAAATTTTCTCTATTTTCCTAAATTCTATTTCATTTATTTCTGCACTTAGGATTTTTTTCCCATTACTTCTTTGCAGGGTATAACTAACTCTTATTTGTTGGTTTCTTAAGGTAGAAGCTTAGGGCATTGAAATGAAAATTTTCTCTTTTCTAATACGTGTTTAATGTAATAAATTTTCCTCAAAGCACCAATTTAGCAGTATCACACAAATTATGATATGCCTTGCGTTAGTTTTCAGTCAAATCACAATATTTTTTTTTTTTTGAGACAGAGTCTCTCTCTGTCGCCCAGGCTGGAGTGCAGTGGCGCGATCTCGGCTCACTGCAAGCTCCGCCTTCCCGGTTCACGCCATTCTCCTGCCTCAGCCTCCCGCGTAGCTGGGACTACAGGCGCCCGCCACCACGCCCGGCTAATTTTTTGTGTTTTTTAGTAGAGACGGGGTTTCACTGTGTTAGCCAGGATGGTCTCGATCTCCTGACCTCGTGATCCGCCCGCCTCGGCCTCCCAAAGTGCTGGGATTACAGGCGTGAGCCACCGCGCCCGGCCAAATCACAGTATTTTTAAATTTTCCTTATAAACTCTGCTTTGACCAATGTGTTATTTAAAAAAGATCCTGCTTAGTTTTCAAATCGTTGAACATTTTCCAAATACTTTTCTGTTACTGATTTCTAATGTGATTCCCTTGCAGTCAGATTCCACACTTTATATAATTTAAACCCTTTTGAATACTTTGAGACATTTTTAGGTAGTGAAGAATATGGTCTATTTCAGTAAATGTTCTGTGTGCACTTGAAAATAACGTTTGCCCATATTGTTGAGTGGAGACTTCTATAAATGTCAGTGAAGTCAAGATGGGCGTAGTGTTGTTTCAAGTCTTCTATTTTCTTATTTCTCCTTGTTCTACCAATTATTGAGACAAGGGTGTTGTAATCTCTGATTAATATTGTGGCTGCATATATTTTTTCAGTTCTATCAATATTTGCTTCATATTTTTAAAGTATCTGTTATTAGTTGCATACATATTTAGCTCTGTTATGTACTCTTTATGAATTGACTTATCATTATGAAATGACCTTCTTTAGCTCTAGAAATAGCACATGGCATTTACTTTGCCTGGTATTACTATAGCCACTCTAGCTTTCTTAGATTAATGTAGGCATAATATTACTGCCCTCCAGTCTTTTACTTTTAACCTACACATGTCTTTATATTTAAAGTTAGTTTCTCACAGACAGCATATAATTAGGTATCACTTTTTATCAATCTGGCAATATTTGCTTTTTAAATTGGGCTGATTAGACCATTTACATTTAATGTGATTATTGTGTATTAGCTTAGAGGCTGCCATCTTGCTATTTGATTTCAATTTGTCCATACTTTTTTATTTCCCTCTTTTGCCTTATTTTGGATTAACTGAATATTTTTATGATTCTTTGTTATCTACAGCATTGGCTATATATATTTTTTCTTTTGTTCCTTTAGTAGTTGATTTAGGGTTTAGTATAGATCTTTACATTATTATAGTCAACATTCAGTTAATATTACACCACATCTTCATAGGAAAGGAATTTTACAGCAGTATGCTATTCTGGACTTCGTACTATCACTATACATATTACTTCTACATGTGTTATATAGTTATATTGTTATTATCATTGTTTTAAATAGTATATTATCTTTTAAATTCATTTTTAAAATAAGACAAATGTTTTTATACTTAGCCTCATATTTAACATTTCCAGTGGTCTTCTATCTTTTGTATAGCTAGATTACTATCTGCCCTCATTTTACTTCTATCTGGACTTCTTTTGATATGTTTTGCAGATCTTGTCTGTTGTATTTTAGCTTTTTATGTCTGAAATAGTCATTTCTTTTTCATTATTGATAGATATTTGTGTTGGCTCTAGAATTCTTGCTTTACAGTTTTTTGTTCTTTCAGTACCTTAAAAATGTCGCTCCACTGTTTTCTGACATGCATTGTTTCCCATGTGAAATCTGTTGTCACTCTCATTTCTGTTCCTTATTACATAATATGTCTTTTTTCCTGTTTTTACTTTTAAGATTTTCTCTTCATCACTGGCTTTGAGCAGTTTATGATGTCCTGCAATTTTTTCCACTTGCATTTTGTTGAGCTTGCTTTTAATTTCTATCACATTTTTAAATGCCCTCCAACATTTCTTCAAATATTTTTCTATGATCCTTCCTAATCATCTTCTTATAGGACTCTAGTTACACATACTCAGGAAGAGACAAATGGAATTGGAGTGCAACCAAAAGTCTCTATTACTTGAATATTCTCAAACAAAAGATCCTATTCCACTTTTTTACTAGTACCTTCTTGACTTCCATAATTCACAATAGCCACTTTAAATCACACTTCTAAACATCATAGGGTATAAATAAATATTTCTACAATTGTTCCCCTTTCAGAGACTACACATCTCAGAACTACAGCTATTTTAATATAAGTGAGGTTTGGATCTCTAATTTCAGACAACTGCTTTTCTAAGCAAATAGTATTGCCCTCCACCTGAGAAGAGCGTGCAGTCACCTACTTGGATACTTACTGAAACAAACTGAAACAACTATCCTACTCTCATGTGCAGCCACAATACTGTGACTATGTGAAATTTAAAAAAAGACATAATTGATAATTAGAAAAAATACAGAGGAAGAAGTAATTAGCTCAGGCACAGATTAAGGAAGCTTGCAGAAGGCCATCAATAGAAGGGGAATCCTAAGAAGGAGTCTAAAAGATGCCCATCAGCTGGGGAAGAAGGAAAAGAATATATTGGAATAATGGAAGCAAAAGAGAGTCTGTTATAATGGGGTTACTGAAATGCTTTCAGTATTGTGAAAGAGAAAAATGGGAAGAATAGACAGAAGATTAAGGTTAGAGAGGAAAATGCCTTGTAACATGTCATATAATGCCACATATCTACAACTATCTGATCTTTGACAAACCTGACAAAAACAAGCAATGGGGAAAGGATTCCCTATTTAATAAATGGTTCTGGGAAAACTGGCTAGCCATATGTAGAAAGCTGAAACTGGATCCCTTCCTTACACCTTATACAAAAATTAATTCAAGATGGATTAAAGACTTACATGTTAGACCTAAAACCATAAAAACCCGAGAAGAAAACCTAGGCAATACCATTCAGGACATAGGCATTGGCAAGGACTTCATGTCTAAAACACCAACAGCAATGGCAACAAAAGCCAAAATTGACAAATGAGATCTAATTAAACTAAAGAGCTTCTGCACAGCAAAAGAAACCACCATTAGAGTGAACAGGCAATCTACAGAATGGGAGAAAATTTTTGCAATCTACTCATCTGACAAAGGGCTAATATCCAGAATCTACAATGAACTCAAACAAATTTACAAGAAAAAAACAAACAACCCCATCAAAAAGTGGGCAAAGGATATGAATAGACACTTCTCAAAAGAAGACATTTATGCAGCCAAAAAACAGGTGAAAAAATGCTCATCATCACTGGCCATCAGAGAAATGCAAATCAAAACCACAATGAGATACCTTCTCACACGAGTTAGAATGGCAATCATTAAAAAGTCAGGAAACAACAGGTGCTGGAGAGGATGTGGAGAAATAGGAACACTTTTACACTGTTGGTGGGACAGTAAACTAGTTCAACCATTGTGGAAGTCGGTGTGGCGATTCCTCAGGGATATAGAACTAGAAATACCATTTGACCCAGCCATCCCATTACTGGGTATATACCCAAAGCATTATAAATCATGCTGCTATAAAGACACATGCACACGTATGTTTATTGCGGTACTATTCACAATAGCAAAGACTTGGAACCAACCCAAATGTCCAACAATGATAGACTGGATTAAGAAAATGTGGCACATATACACCATGGAATACTATGCAGCCATAAAAAAAAGATGAGTTCATGTCCTTTGTAGAGACATGGATGAAGCTGGAAACCATCATTCTGAGCAAACTATCGCAAGGACAAAAAACCAAACACCGTATATTCTCACTCATAGGTGGGAATTGAACAATGAGAACACATGGACACAGGAAGGGGAACATCACACACCAGGGACTGTTGTTGGATCGGGGGAGCGGGGAGGGATAGCATTAGGAGATATACCTAATGCTAAATGATGAGTTTATGGGTGCAGCACACCAACATGGCACATGTATACATATGTAACAAACCTGCACGTTGTGCACATGTACCCTAAAACTTAAAGTATAATAATAATAAAAAATAAAAATTAAAAAAAAATAACCAAGAGAGTTACATGGTAATACTTGCATTTCAGAAAAATTACCCTGGTAGCTATGTAGAAAAGGGATCTGAGAGGAGAAATACTAGAGGCTAGGAGGTTAGTGGAGAGAACTGCAATCCAGAAAAAAAAAATAATATCCTAGATTAAGTTAAGGGAACAAGGAAAATAAAGATAGGACAGGTTCAAGAGATAATTGGCTAACTTTAAGAAATCACTTATTGTATGCAGCCACTGATCTAAATATCTAACAAGTATTAACACATTTATTTATTTACAACATTCCTATGAAGTAGGTACTAATTTACAAATGAAGACTCTGAGGTTACATAAATATGTAACCAGAATACAAACACTCATATTTTTTGACCTCAGGTAACAAAATTGATAGAAATTGGGAACTGGATACAGGACCAGTAGAGCTTCTTATCACACCTAATAGGTTCCTATGGCCTGAAGGTTTGTGTCCGCCAAAATGATATGTTGAAACCTAATCACCAGTATTATGGTATTTGGAAGTGGGGTCTTTAGGGAAGTGATTAGGTCACGAGGGTTAAGATCTCATGAGTGGGATTTGTGCACTTATATATGAGGCCCCAAAGAGCTTCCTTTCACTTCTACCATATGAAGATATAGATAGAAGAAATCACCTATGAACTAGACAGCAGACCTTCATCAGACACTGAATCTGCTGGCACCTTGATCTCAGACTACCTTGCCTCCAAAACTGTGAGAAATAAATTTCTGTTGTTTATAAGCTACTCAGTTCATGGTATTTTTGTTATAGCAGTCCAAATGGACTAAGATATAAGTATTGAGTAAAAGGTAGTGAAAAGAAATAAATGACTAGATACTGTACAGAACAGTTTAATTCCTTGCATTGATTTCATGTGTTCCAAATGTAGAATTTTCTAGAATACATAAGTCCTGTAGAAATTTTTGTTTGTAGTATTTCCTTTAAAAGTTTCTGAACAGAAGACAGAACTAGAGTCCCATATGATAAACTGTGAGCTAATTTCAGAGTTCTTGAAGTAGAACCCTCCCAATGCCTCACTCAGAACATGATTCTGACTCTCAACCAGAACATACTTATATACACGAACATTCTCTAATGAAAGAGATGAAAAAAATTACCTTTATTTGCTCCCTACTTTTTCTTGTCAGCTCTGACCAACAAGTGGCTTCTCTAATTATTAAAGAGACCCAACAGTTGGGCTGCTTATCCAGGGAAGTGTGGGCTCTTCATAGACGGAGCTGAAGTTGGCTGAAACCATCATCTACTGCTCCTTTACTACAAGGGAAAGTATTCATTTCCAAGCCTCTAGCAACACATTCACAGATTGGCCCCATAATTAACTAAATAGGCCCCATCATTTAGGAGGTTCCTAGTCCTGAGTATCATTCCTGTCAGAGAATCATCTTTTCTAGCCTGTTTGCTGGGAGAGAGAGAAAGACTATTTATAAAGCCAAACTTATCTTTGACGTGAATCAGCACATTAACATGCATTTCAAAGTAGCATCAACGAACTATATTCTAGCCTCTCAGCCCCCACTTGTTCTGAAAAACTAACCAAGCCCGCACTGTTTCATTTGCATCCCATCAAGCCCTCCATTATCTGCTACAGGCTGGAGAATCCAGCTGTTGAGGGGAGAATTCCACTGGCTCCCAGATTCTCTCGCCAAGAGATATGCTGAGTCAGCCCTAACGCTATATAGGCACATATCTCAAGAGTAAATCCTAGCTTCTGCCCTTAAGATGCTCACCTTCTAGAGAAGAGGCAGATTCATAAAATACTATATAGACACTCCATAGTAGGTAAGCTACCTCCAGGTATATATTTCGTTTTTCTTTTATATTTATTTTTTTCTTAACTACCAATTTCTCAGCAGGAAACAATCTTTACTAAAATCTTGAAGTCAGGTGATTTTGGACCACATTAAACTGTTTTCAATTTTTTTATTTTAAGTATATAGTGACAAAATTTCACTATGTTGCCCAGACTGGTCTTGAACTCTTGAGCTCAAGTGATCCTCCCGCCTTGGCCTCCCAAAGTGCTAGGATTACAGGCGTGAGCCACCGCACCCAGCCCACATTAAACTTTTGATTCTCATCAAATAACAAAGAACTTATTGCTGAAATGAAGCTTAGAGGTTATATAGTTCAGTGACGGGAGAGCAGGGGTGCGGCTAAACAGCAGAATCAGTGGAGATTTCTTTGAGAAAATCAATATGGAGACCTTGAGAGAGATTTGATGCATCCTCCTAAGGAAGCATGACTCCCAGTCCCAAGACAGAAAATTTTACTGGTTCAGTTTATTACTATTGTCCTTACTAGGCAGGGATTTCAGTTCAGGCCATATCAAAAGCCTGTGCCTACAGCTTGATATTCTGACAAACCAGCTAGGATCACATGAACGTCTAGTAGCTACCAAAAACCTTAATATTCCAAAATTAAATCAAATTTCTTCAAAGAAGTTGAAGACATAATAGACACTCAGAGACAGAGAGTCTCCTAATATTCATAAAACTGATTTAATTCTCAAAATAACCCTATTAATGGGGGTGGGGGAGGCCTACTAAGGTTGACAAGATTTAAAAATCCATTTCTCTTTGTTAATAAAGCATAAGAGACTATTCTTTGGAAGGAGCTTGGGAATAGGCTATGGAGGAGTAAAAGTCAATGCCACCATATTTTTTGCAATTTCTAGGTCTATATTGATGAAGGAGTAGCAAAGTATTTCCTGCAGAGTTTCAGGTGTACACAGCATGGACATTCTTCTATTATTTAATCCCTGTATAATTATACTAACAAAGTTACCCAACTGTGGATATTTTCTATTTCCAAACAAAAACCTGATTGCAGTGTTGATAATACGCAATTCAAATAAAAAATTTCAAGGTGCTGGGCATAAACGAGACAAGTGAGGAAAAGCAAATAAATCACAAATTAAAAATAAATATATAGTAAGTTAGTTGAAATTAAGAACTATGTAGACAAATAAAGTAGAATATGAAGGATTTAGAAGTCAGCTTCCCAAATGGTCCTCAGTGATTCTTGCCTGTTGGTATGCATGCCTTTGTGTAGTCCTCTGCTACACTGAATAGAGATGACCTATATAACCAACAGGGTTTTGCAGAAATGATAAGGGCTAGGTCATAAAAGACACTGAGCTTTCCCTTTATTCTGGCCTGGGATCACTCATGCTAGTGGAAGCCCTCATGTCATGAAGAGACTTGTGCAGTCCTATGGAAAGAGCAACATGGGGAAAAGCTGAGACCTCCAACCAAAACTAGCATCAACTTTCCAGGCATGTGAGTGAGATAACTTGGAAGTGGATCTTTCAGCCCCACTCATGACTTATGGTTGTTTCTTCAGCTGACCTCGCTTGCAACATGACTAGAGGGCCTAAACAGAATCACTCAGCTAAGCCACTACTAAATTCCTGATCCACAGAAATGGAGACAATATATATTTATTGATTTAAACCTCTGAGTCTAGGGTAATTTGTTATTCAATAATAAATAACTAATATAGGGAATAAGAGCAACTGTGATAGGAGGGAGTATTATATAAGAGGTGGCCAGTGAAAAAACTCTGATAAGTGATACTGAGCATAGATCTAAAAGCAAGTAAAGGAAATAAACATCTGAAAGAAGTATATTTCAGGCAGAGTAATCAGTGAGTACAAAGGCTCTGGGGCAGAACAGTCCTTCAGAGCTTTTTGAAGTAGAGAGTGAAGAAGGTGAGGTTAAAGCAGCAGTGGGACAGATGGGCAGATCACTGTGAAGACTTTGGCTTTTACTCTTGAAGAGATGGAAAGATATTAATGGCTTTTGAACAGAAGAGTCACATGATCTGACTTAAGCTCACTATGACTCCAGTGTTAAGAATAGTTTACAGGAAAGCAATAGTAAAAGCAACAGCATCAATAAAAAAGGTGGTGCAACAATCAAGTACAAGATGATAGTAGCTAGGATCAGGGAAATAAGAGTGGAAGGAAGTGATTGGACTTCAGTATAAATTGTTTGATAACTGCCTCCCAGCCTCTGCATAAGCCCTCTGTTCTCAAAAGGAGTAGGCTAAAGTTCTCATCTTTTGGAGAAATTGGGGAAACATGGAGAAAGGAGTGAACCAAGACAGAAAAATAGTAATCAACTTTGAGAAGTGAAGAGGCAAAGGGTGAGTCTCTGAATCCCAAAGAGTCTCTTGGCTATTTCTCACTAATGTCTTTTATAGAAATATAATTTTTTCCTTGCCCAGGATCCAATTCAAGATTATATATTGGATTTAGTTGTCAGGTCTCCTTTATTCTAGAACAATGTCTCAGTCTTTAATAACCTTGATATTTTGTAGAATACCCCTCAGTTTAGGTTTGTCTGATGTTTCTTCAAGTATAGATTCACATTTTTGCTTTCGGCAGGAATAACAGAAAATATGTGTCTTCTAGGTACATCATAGCTGGAAGTACATGACATTTGTCCTATCACTAACAATGCTGACTTATATTATTTGGTTATGATGGTGTCTGAAAGTTTGTCCACGATAAAGTTACTATTTTTCCTTTTGTAATTAATAAGTATCTTATGGGGTGATACTTTGAGATTATGTAAAAACTTGTTTCTCATCAGCATATTTCCACTCACTAATTTGATTGATGATTCTTGACTGAAACATTTATTACTATGGTGGATGTTTCAATATTTTTTGCTAATTCCATCATTCATCTATATTTACTACTTAATATTTTACTATTAGACAGAGTGCTCCTTTACCCTATTTATATTTATTTATGTGTTTATATAAAAAACTCATGACTTTTAATCTAACTATCATTATTTATTTTGATGCTCAATTGTCCAAAATTTGGTCAGTGAGGGCTCTTTAAACTAGTTCCAATGCCTTTTTGTCATGTCTCTGTCACTATTTGATCACTTCCTTAGTTAACAGCACACAAAAAGATGTTCTAATTGAACTTGAACTTTCTCTACACCAGCCCTGGAACCAGTCATTTTTTTTAAGGAACCCCTATTCCTTTTAGTAAACAATGGTATTTAGAAACTACATCTGGATGGCAGGGATGCTCGATGGTATTAAATGGTATTGTTTCTAGGTTATCTTCGTGAACAAAGATAGAACACGCCCCCCCCCCACACACACACAGATCTGTTTCTATTTACATATATTTTATTATATGTTTTAAAGCCATGAGTTCATAATGGCATCTCAAATTCTAACGTAACATCAAAAACTTCATTCTAGTCTCCACTTTATGTATCCGTAACTTGCTTCTTTGATAATAAAAAAACTTGTCTCACATACTACTATGTATTACTCTATACTAGAATACACTTCAAATAGTTTCAGAATTGCTAATTTATACCCCTGTGATATGGTTTGGCTATGTCCCCACCCAAATCTCATCTTGAATTGTAATAATCCCCATGTGTCAAGGGCAGGGCCAGGTGGAGATAATTAAATCATGTGGGCATTTTCCCTCATACCATTCTCATGGTAGTGAATAAGTCTCACGAGATCTGATAGTTTTATAAATGAGAGTTCCCCTACACAAGCTCTCTTGCCTGCCACCATGTAAGACATGCTTTTGCTATGATTTGCTTTTCGCCATGATTGTGAGGCCTCCCCAGCCATCTGAAACTGTGAATCCATTAAACTTCTTTTTCTTTATAAATTACCCAGTCTCTGGTATGCCTTTATTAGCAGCATGACAACAGATTAGTACACCCTGTGAAAAATAAACCTACTAACTAGAATAAATGTTTGTTTAAAGTTCTTTTTGTCTGTAACCTGAGGATATATAATCAAAATACAATGTTCAAAGCTCTTTAAATGAGTCTGCTCCCTTCCCATTCAGTATAGTTATGTTATCCATTTGAAATACAATTAGCCTCATTTATCCTGTTAGTATTCCATCATCCCCCCACACCCTATTGATTTCATCCATTCCTTCATTTATTTTAGGATGTGCAACATCATCTTGGTACTAAATGTCAGAAGTATACAAATACGTATAGAGAACTATCTCTCCCCCGAACCCATGTATTCTACCTCATTCCTTCTCTCTCTCTTGCTCTCACTCTCATATTCCTAATCATCATTGGTGGCAACTAGCTCATTATTTTTTAGTTTTAGTTTATGTTCCTTGTGTTTTTCTCTGTACAAATAAGCAAATATGTATACATTTCTATTTCCCTTTTCCTTAAATAAAAATTATAGGTGTTAGATGCTCTTTTGCATTTTGCTTTCTAAAAATTCATAAAACAGTATACCACAAGTTATTCTATATCAGAATAGAGGTCTTCCTTATTCTTTTTAAGCTGTATAGTACTACATTGGATGAACAGTCTCTAATTTGCTCAACTTCTCTCCTACATAAAGGCATTTAGGTTATTTCCAATATGTTGCAATTACAAAAAAATGCTGTAGTAAACAACTTTATGCGTGCATTTTTTTTTGAATTGTTGAATGAAAATCTTCAGAATAAATTCCTAGAAAAGGTGTCTGCATTGAAAGGTAAATGTCTAAATACTTTTACTAGATACTGCCAAATTCCCTCTCCAAAGGCTGTACCAATTGGCATGTTTGAGGTTGTCAGTATGAGAGTGCCAGATTACATATAACCTCGCCAACAAATGTGTTGCCATACTTTTTAGTTTTTTCCAATCTGAGAGATGAAAAATATATTTCTGTAGTTTCAATTTGCACTTCTATATTATCAGTGAGGCTGAATAACTTTTCAAATACTTAAGGGTCAATTTTATATCTCTTTTTGTAAATTGTTCATATCTTTTCTACCAAGCTTTTGGTGTTTCTTCTCAATTTTAATAGTTCTTTATACATTAGGGATACTAGCCCTTTATTTGGCTGTATATTGCAAATAATTTTTTTCAGTTGTCTGTTACCTTCTTATTTATCAGTTTTTAATGATCCTTTAATTCTCACATATAAAATATACTACCAAGAGCTTATTTCTCTTTCCTATTTACCTTTACCTCTCTTTTATCCTCTCTCTTTTGTTTGCATCATTACATTGTCAGAACATGTAATATTTCTACATTATACTTATATCTTTGTACCCATATTTCTTTTAATCTCATATCTATGATAAAATCTAGTAGATGTTTACCATATACCCCATTTCTGAAGTTTTCCCAGTTGTCCCTTTATTTAGAAAAAAAAACCATCCCTAGTAGACTTTACCTATTGTTCTAAGATCTGAATAAAGAATCCCCAATGCAAAATTTCTTCCTAGTTCCACACTCCCCACTCTGCACAGTTGCTCTATTGCTGTCTTACTTTGTATGTTGTTTTGGAGAAGTCTGACTCCAGTCTATGTTTTCCTCCTTGTAAATCATTTAATATTTTTGGTAGGAGGGCTTAAGAAAATTATTTTTTAGATTTCAAAATCTAATAGTTTTACTAGGATGTGCCTCAAAGTTCACCATTCCAGGTTGATTTTTCCAGCTACCCACTGAGCTCTTACTATATGCACATACAGGTCTTCATTTATTTCTGGAAAGTGTTCTCGAATTAAAGTTTTAAATATTAGCCCTGTTCTATTGTTTTCTTTTTCTGCTTCAGGGACTATAGTTTTTTTTATTATTATTATTTCGATAGTTTTTGGGGGACTGGTGGTTTTTGGTTACATGGATAAGTTCTTTAGTGATGATTTCTGACATGCTAGTGTACCCACAAAGACTATAATTAATATGTCTTCTTCTTTGCCTGTCTTCCATTTCAGCCACTTCTTTTCTGTTCCATTTTACTTTTCTGTGTGTCACTTTTCAATATCTTTTATGTTTTCCTACTTCAATATACCATAAAATTTTCATTTCAGTCTGTCCTCCCTTAGGCACTCTTTAATTTAGTCTTCATATTTATGATAATTTTCTCCTTTTCCTAATTTCTTTCCTGAGTTTAGTCAATCTCTTTTGATTTCTATAGCTTTTTGTCCACTTTGCCTTTAATGTTTTCATATCAACAAATGCTTAAGAATTCTAAATCAAGTTTGGAGCTTTTTATTACATTTTTCTTCTGCTTCGTGATGCTTTCTGAAGACAAATTTTTATCGGATGAAAATTTTGATTTTGATTTTGTTATAGTAGATAGCAGATTTGTATAGATTTATTCACTTTTGTCTAATCCATTTCGTAGATGTGTGGTGGCTTACAAAATTTTTAGTTCAATGGTGCCCTCTTCTGTCAGTGTAGCAGAGTCTAGTTTCTTTAATGGATATTTTGGGGATGGGGGAAGGGCCCAGGAAGGTGGGATTTTTTTTTTTTATGTGGAAATACCATATCACTAAGTAAAGTATTTCTATGTTTATCATTTTTACATAGGTTTTCATTCTATGACTGCATCTTAATGAATTTATTCCGTCCCTAATGATGAAAATCTAAATCGAACACATTGTCAAATTAATCTCCATAGAAACTGTACTAATATATACTCCTACTAGCAATGTGTAAAAAGGTCTACTTCCTCACAGCCTCTGATATGCTATATTGGCTAACATATCTAACATTTTACTCCACAATTTTACAGGCCTGTGAAAAATGGCATTACAGAGTAGTTTTATTTTATATTCATATTATGAGTGAGTTGAGCATTTTTCGTATGTTTAGGGACCATTTTCCTAAATGGTTCTATATTTTCACATCCTCTACCCTAATCTGGTACATTTCTAAATAACTCTTTGAACCTTGAATAGTTTCTGTAATGAACACAGTGCTGGCCCTTGTCTACAAAAGCTGCATTTTAAGAAGTAGAACAATTAGACAAGACTGAACACCTGACCTAGAGGAAGAAAAATCATAGGCTGAACTGATCCAAGCAGATTTCCCTTACCCTTAAATTTGAACTAATCCAAAACTGAGTCACTTAAGCTCATAAGTTCATAAGCTCTTAAGATAAAATATCCTGTAGATTTGGGATTTCAGTTTCCATTGGAGCTAGGACCACCGTAAGCCAAAGTAATCAGCTGGCTGAAGCTACGAGTAAAATGGGAAACAGAATGCTGATTGGCAAGCAGGAAAAAATGGGAAGGACACTCAGTGAAAAATAGAAATCAGAGATGGTATGACTCTGGAAGACGTGAGGAAGAGGCTTAGCTTGCTTCAGTGTGATGGGAATTTCTTTTTATTGTCTTTGATATTGCCTGTTGTAGCCTTTTTTAAAAAAAATTACTTTTTTCTTTGAATTAGTTTGTGTGAATTATTTTTTCCTTGATTAGAATGCCTTTCTTATGGAAAACACTAGTTTTGCTCTCTGTTGCTTCAGGGGTACAAATAAAGCCAATAGATGAAATATACAACGAATCAAAGTCTAACTTGATTATTCAACTTATGGAATGAATTCTCTCAGGAAGGTGAGTGCTTCCTCTTATTGGAACCATTCCAACACAGACTAGGCAATTACTAGGCAGCAATGTCAGAGAAAGGATACCAGTATCAAACGAGAGATTGAATTAGATGCTGTTTAAGCTTTATTTCACAACTGAAATTTTAAGAGTCTATGTATGGTCCTTTTATCTATTCAATGTTTGCTTATTGAATGAATTAAAGACTCTAAATCAAAAATACTTTTATTAAAATAAAATATATTTTGCTACTGGAAGGAATAATTCTTCCAAAACATCTAGAAAACAATTTTCTAGCTAGTGAAAAGGAAATCAGCCTGTAATATCTGGAACTAGTCTGACATGTGTGGCTGGGCTTCACTGTTGTTAAGAAGCTGGCCTTGTACTCACAGTTAGGCCATGTTATTTCCCTGTAGGACATAAACAATTTCACATGACACCAATATCAGAAAAGGTCACTCTGAGACCATGATAAAGTGAGACAAAACAACGTCAGTTTATAATTTTATCTTAGCATAGACAAAATCAAGGTCATTATGTCCCCCACGAAATACCCAACCTCCCTATCTCCTGGCTAATATGAGTGACTGCTGTTCCTTTACAAAAAAATAGCTTTATCCTCTTTCTTGTCTGCCCTCTCTGTTCACTGAGATACCCAGTCACGGAATTGTCCCCACTTTTTGAGAGTACCCAATCTAGAGCAAATCTCTGCTTTCTTGGACCCTCCCAAAAGTCACCCCACCAATGCTCAAATGCTATTATAGGTTCTTTCCAGCACCCTTGTATTGGTCTGCTCAGGCTGCCATATAAAATGCCATAGAATGGGTGACTTAAACAGTAGAATTTATTTTCTTACAGTTCTGGAGCCTGGAAGTCTGAGGTCAGGGTGCTACCGTGGTCTGTTTGTGGTGAGGGGTGACTTCCTGACTTGTAGATGGCTGCTGCCTTCTCGTTGTGTCCACATATGGCAGGGGTGGGAGGAAAAGGAAACTCCCACCATATCTCTTCTTATAACGGCACTAATCCCATCATGATGGCCACATCTTCATGACTTCATCCAAGTCTAATTACCTCCCAAAGGCCCCGTCTCTAAATACAATTACATCAAGATCAGGGCTTCAACATATGAATTTTGGGGGGACACAAATATTCACTCATAACAACACTATTACTGAGATGTCCCACGATTCCATGGGATTTATTCTCTTTCATTTTATCAAATAATAAATCATCAACTTGTTCAACTAAAAGTGTGTTTCTGGTGTTCCTTAACCAAAGAGCATTTTCATTAGAAAATGCTGCCTTTTGCAAAAGTTACTGCCATGTTGTTTCATTAAGTTTAGAACACTGGGCAGGTGGAAAGTGTTTAACAGATAGTAGGTATTCCTTGAAAGAAAATTAAACGAGGGTGTTGAGAAAATTGCTTAAACTGTACTGCTAAGAACAAAGCCCTGATATTTGCTTTTTATCTGCTTTTCTCCATTCATATCACACTACAAACAAGATGGGTTTTTGGAGGATGAAGTTGTCATTTAATGAATAAAACTGACTATTTAATGTGACTGCAAATTGTATCAACAGATTCAAGCTGGTAGCGGCTTAGTTCATACTGACATCATTCAATCTGCTAATATTTGTCCAGAATACTTAGGTTAATACACTCTCTGTGGTTCTGCATTTAGGGACTATTATATCATTTAAATATATTAATAGTTCTCCAAATGTCCTCAGGCAATGATAGTGGAATGCAAAATTCTCAATCTGATGCAAGCATAATTTACGGATTTTCCTTAATACTCATCTTTTTTACCATGGGTTTATATCAAAATACTAACAGAATAATCTCAGGCAGGCGGAGTAAATATAGTCAGGCCACAAACATTCCTTTCAGCCAAAGGTGCCAAAATTTCCAAAGTATGCCCTCTCCCCTTGGGCAGATAGCATCCTCAGTCTTCAGACACAACTGTCTAAAAACTGACCCCCTATAAGATTCATTCAAAATTGCATAATAACTTTTAGGCCCAGAGCTTCTAACAACAAGTGAAATCCAAGACGCAAAGAATTTAAATTACTTTGTACTGGTTAACTGAAAAAAAGCTGGCTTACTTACACGTGAAACAGATACCACACCTACGGTTCAGTTTTAATGGAACTAGAGCTCCTGGTGCTTTATACATCTTTCTCTTTTAATCAGTAATGTTGTAAATTACATAAACATCTTTCACAGCTTAAGGCTTAAAGCCTTTTATCTAAATGTAAACACTGGGCTAGGTGGGTAGAACCCCCCACCTAGCAGAATACCACAAATACAGAAAGTGCTTCTAGATAATACAGGGGAGGGGTACCTTATCAGGGCTACTCACACTTAAATATGCATAGGAATCACATGATCTTGTGAAAATGCACATTCAGTGGGTCTGTGGTGGTATTTGATAGTCTGTATTTCCAACAAGCTCCCAGGAGCTGCCCATGTTCATGCTGCTGGCCCATAATTAATTATTATTCTTTCTTTGATAGGAAAGCTACAAGTCTGCTATTTTGTAGAAATAAAAATATCCCTTTGAGATTTCCTTCCTGCTTTCTCTTTTTCATCTACTCCATTCCCTGGGTAAGTTCATTCATATAGTATAAAACACAGTTTAGGTAACCGAAACAATCGTACCTCCTAGAATGTGTCAAATGTTAAACAAACAAAAACCAACCAAAACCAGTACACTTTGCATGACAAGCAAAGTCAAATGCTTCTCATTAATTTCCTCTGATCATCACTAAAATTAAAAACAACTTGTCTGATGTTTAAAATTTAGACACAAACTTACTACAAAAGGAAAAAGAATCTTACAAATATTGTAGAACAAAACGATTACTAAATTGTGTTCAACTTAACTCTGCCATTATTATATAATTATTATATATTATTACTACCTTCTGTAACAATTACTAATGCTATTTTTTCCCTTTATCACAAAGAAAAATCAAAAAGAAATTATGATCATTTGTTGCACACGTTAAAAAGTCCTTTCACAATAATCGTCATTCTTCAGGCAGGAACAGTTAATATTTGTGCTCATTCTTCAACCCAATTAAAGCCCTGAAATCAATAATGGGTTGATTATTAGGGAAAAAGACAAAGAAGTATCCATGGCTACATGGGATTCAAAACCTAAATATATGAAGCCTGTACAATGAACTGAAATTATTAAAATTCAATTATGCCAAACAATTGGTTTAATTAATCCTTATTCTCCTTGAATTGATTTAATATGGAAAGTTATGATCTATTTTAATATAGTCCTTCTAAAATGGAATTTGACCATTTCATCTAAGGTGTCTAATACTTTAATATACAGTTCTTCAATTATGCCTTTGTAATCTTCTTTATTTCTCTAGGGTTAGTAGTTTTGTCCCCCTTTTCATTTCTGATTCTAGTCATTTGAGTCCTTTTTTTGTTCTTGGTTAGTTGAGCTAAAGGTTTGTCAATTTCATTAGTCATTTCAGGGAACCAGCTTTTGGTTTCATTATTTTTCTCTGTTTTTCTATTCTACATCTCATTAATTTCCTTTCTAATATTTATTTCCTTGCTTCTGCTAGTTTTAGGTTTAGTTTACTCTCCTTTTCCCAATGTCAATACAGAAGGGTAGGATATATTTTAATATAGTCATTTGTAGTATAAATTTACCTCTAAGTACTGCTTTTACTCTATCATGTAATATTCTTTTTTTTTTTTTTTTTTTTTGAGACAGAGTTTTGCTCTTGTTGCTAAGCTGGAGTGTAATGGCATGGCACGATCTCAGGTCACTGCAACCTCCACCTCCTGGGTTCAAGCAATTCTCCTGCCTCAGCCTCCCAAGTAGCTGGGATTACAAGCATGTGCCACCATGCCCGGCTAATTATTTGTAATGTTTAGTAGAGATGGGGTTTCACCATGTTGGCCAGGCTACTCTCGAACTCCTGACCTCAAGTGATCTGCCCATCTCGGTCTCCCAAAATGCTGGGATTACAGGCGTAAGCCACCGTGCCTGGCCTTTTTGTATTCACCTAAAATTATATCAAAGTGTATCTTTTGATATCTTCATTGAAACTGGTGTGTCACTTAATTTCCACATATTTGGGAGTTCCCCATATTTCTTTGTTTTTAATACCTAATTTCATTCCTTTGTGGTCAGAAAACATACTTTGTATTATTTTTTATCTTTTTAAATTTATTGAGCTTTATTTTATGGCTTAGTATATGTTCTATTTTGAATAATGTTTTATGTGCACTTGAGCAAAATGTAGTCTGCTGTTGTTGAGTGTTATCTATAGATATGCATTAGGTCTAGCATTGTTAAAATCTTCTAGATCTGTGTTGACCCTCTGCCTAGTGGTTCTAGCCATTACTAAAAGTAGAATATTGAAGTTTCCAACTGTGTTGTTGAATTGTCTATTTCTTATTTCATTTTTGTCAGTATTTGCTTCATGTATTTTAGTTTTCTGCTATTAGCTGCACATATGTATACACCAGTTGAGTATCCTTTAATCCAAAATGCTTGGGATCAGAAGTGTTTCAGATTTTGGAATATTTACATATACATAATGAGATATCTTGAGACTGAGATCCAAGTCTAAACACAAAATCGTTTATGTCTCATATACGCCTTATACATATAGACCAAAGGTAATTTTACACAATATTTTAAATAATTTTGTACATGAAACAACATTTTGACAATGTTTTGATTATGGCCTATCACATGAGGTCAGGTGTGGAATTTTCCACTCATGGCATTATGTTGGCCCAAAAGATTTTGCATTTTGGAATATTTCAAATTTCAAATTTTTGGAATAGAGATGCTTAACCTGGAATTGCCATATCTTTCTGACAGATGGATCCTTTCATCATTAGAAAAGGCCTCTCTTTATCACAACTAAAGTCATTTTGTCTGATATTAGTACAGAATCTCCAACTTTCTTGTAGTTCTGTTTACATATCTTTTTTCATCCGTTTATTTCCGATTTGTTTGTATCCATAGTGTGTCACCTTTAGATAGCACACAGTCAGATCTTGTCTTTTAATCTAGTCTGAGAAACTCTGCCCTTTGTTGAAATCTTTAATCCATGTTATATTCAATGTTATAATTGATGTAGATTAAAATCTGCCATTTAACTTTTTGCTTTCTATATGCCTCGTGTATTTTTGTTCCTCTATTCTTTTTTACTGCTTTCTTTTGTATTAAGTGAATATTTTCAAAAGTAGCAGTTCAATTTTTAAAAGTATTTTTTGGTATATTTTTTGTTATTTCCTTAATTCTTGCTCTAAGGCTTACTATATACATCTTATCAGAAATAGCTTCATATTTATCCTAACTTAATTCCAGTGTGATATAGAAACAATACTCCTATATAGCTCTATTCTCTTTTCCCTCTTATGTGGCATTATTGTTATACATATTATATCCATAAATTTTAAAAACCTGACTATTTTTGGTTATAGTTATTGTTTTAATTATTACTATAAAAGACTTTTTAAAAAAAGAGACTCCAAGAAAGGAGAGCAAATATGTATTTATAGGTATTGTTATATTAATGTTCATATTTTTATTTGGTTCTTTTTCTTTATTCCTATGGGTTCAAATTACCATTTGGAGTCATTTTCTTAGCCCAATATGGCTTTGCTGCCATTCATATCCTTTGTATTATTATTGGCAGATAGATTAGATTTCTATGTGCTATAGCTCAGTATGTTTATATTTTATATACATATTGGTTTTTATACTCAGTATTACATAGGTTTAAAAAGGAGAAGAAATATACACTTATACTTTTATGTCTTTTATAATTACATAATTACTTTTACTGGTGCTATTTATTTATTTATTTACATTATTGTCTAGGGCCACTTGCTTTCAGGCTGAAGGAATTTAGTATTTTTTGTAGTGGTTGTCCGCTGGCAACGCATTTGCACAGTTTTTGCTTATCTGGGAATGTCTTTTTTTGCCTTCATGTTTGAATAACAGCTTTGCTAGGTATAGAATTCTTCGTTGACAGTTCTTTTTTCTTTATTTTTGTTTCGTTTTGTTTTTCTTTCAGCACTTCAAAAATGTTAACATACTGCCTTCTGGCCAACAACTGTTTCCAATAAGAAGTGAGTGTTAATCTTATTGGGGTTCTACTGTAAATAATGAATTGTTTTTCTCTTGAAGCTTTCAAGATTTTCCCCTATCTTTGGCTTTCAGAATATTTATTGTGATGTGTCTATTTGTGGATCTCTTTGCATTTACTGTATTTGAAGTTTGCTGAGCTTCCTGGATGCATTTTTCAATAAATTTTGGAAATTTCCAGCCATTATTTCCTTCAATAATTTTTTTTGTTTTCTTTTTTTCGCCCTCTCTCTAACACTCTCATTATGCTTAACAGTGTCCCACATTTTCCAGAGGCTCTATTCTTTTATCTTTATTCTTTTTTTTCTCTCTGCTCTTCAGATTGCATAATACGTATTGTTCTATCTTCAAGCTAACTAATCATTTTTTCTGACACCTCAAATCTACTGTGATTCCACTGTGAATCCACTGTGAATCTGTCACCCTTCTAGTAAATTTTTCATTTCAATTATTGTACTTTTTAACCCGAGTTTCTAACTGGTTGTTTTAAAAAAATTGTTTTACTTTATTGATTTTATTGATGGACTTTATTTCATTTGATATTGTCATCATATCTCCTTTGTTTCTTAATCCCAGCTTCCTTTAGTTCTTTGAACATATTTATAATGGCTACTTTGAAGTTACTGTCTGTTTAATCTCGCATCAGGTTGCTCTCACTGACCATTTCTGTTGCATTTTTTCTGGTGTATGGGTCATACTTTCCTGTTTCTTTGCATGCATATTTTTTTTTGTTTGAAACTGGATATTTTAGATAATATATTGTAGCAACTCAGGGTATTCCTTCTGGGGCTTGTTATGGCTGGTTGCTTGTTTAGCTGTTTAGAGACGACCTAGATTATTTTAGCTAATCCACTAAAATAATCTATCCACTCCTACAGAGTGTGAAGCCTCTGATGTTGCTCCTCAGGGCATGCATTCTTGCTTATGCTCACAGTCACCCTGGGATGACAATAATTTTGGCAGGGCTCTCTTTGTCTTTTTCCCTGACCATATTCAGCTGTTAAGTTCCACTAATTGAGGGCTGATTGCTCTATTTTTTCAACAATGCCCTGAGGTATAAATTGGTTCACAGACTAATCCATTTAAATTCAGGCTCATTTTAAGGGATAGTTCCTCAGTGTTTTAGATTTGTTCTGACCCAAAAAAGGCTATTCTCAGGTATCTCTTTCCTTAGTTTTCCCCAGAGAACTAGTTAGCCTACAATTTATTCTATATCTCCAGTGAGCCCATCCATCTCCTCCCAACTGCCTTTCACCACTGCTTTTGAGTGTTCTTAGGTTTGAACTTTTCCATCTTTCCTTGCAAATGAAGTCAGTTCCTTTGGGTAGGAGCTGGAGTTACATATTCCACCTGCTTTCTCCTCCCTTCCCTAGGAAAGAATCTTTTTTTATTATTATTATACTTTAAGTTTTTGGGTACATGTGCACAACATGCAGGTTAGTTACATATGTATACATGTGCCATGTTGGTGTGCTGCACCCATTAACTCGTCATCCAATATTAGGTATATCTCCCAATGCTATCCCTCCCCCACAACAGGCCCCCATGTGTGATGTTCCCCTTCCTGTGTCCATGTGATCTCATTGTTCAATTCCCACCTATGAGTGAGAACATGCGGTGTTTGGTTTTTTGTCCTTGCGATAGTTTGCTGAGAATGGTGGATCCATGTCTCTGGTGCTAGGGATAGGAACAATGGGAGCTTCTTTCTGAGTGAAATACCTTCTTGAGAGCTGAACACTCAGTTGATAGAGGGCAACAGTCAAAGGTGTCCTGGGCTTGTTTCTCTCACTGTGAAACTCTCAGACCATAAGGTAGGTCTGAGAATTACCTAGGCTAATGAAGGCTCCAGTATTCTCAACAGTACCACAACCAAGGTACAGCCTCGGTCCCATGAGTTGGGGCTGGGCAGAAGAAAGGAGCCTCTAGATCTTAGCTAAATTCACCCACAACTTAGCATCAGCAGTATGTAGGAGGGGGAAAGAATAAGAAATGATTATATCCTGCCACATCATAAAGTAATCCAGATGCCAAAAAGAAATTTGGCTTTAGTTTAGTGGCATCAATTTTTACAATAACTGTAACTTCTCTACTTCACAGTATCATTTATTCTTTCTCCAGAGCATAGCTATTTTCAGAGCTCACATTCATCCCTACGCACTAGAATGGCTAAACCTGTTGTTAAAATATTTAAATATGTTTGTATAAGTTGGCAAATAGCCGCTATCTGAAGTTTTCCAGGTGATTCACCACCACCCTAGTCTCCCAGGTCCTTCCCTCAGGATTCTAGTGATCCCCAGTGTCCAATGAATAAAGGTATATTCACAGCACAGGACGTACAGGACTCTGCCTCAGTGCTATAGCTGTGTCTATTTTGCGTGGTCAGTGTCCACGCTATACAGACTGTTAGATATTTAAATCTCACTTCTGACTCTATTCTACAGAATTAGAGTGTCCAATTTATAAACAGAAAAACTGAAATACTGTCATATAAATCCTTTTCTATTTTCTTAAGTGGTAGGCAAAACTGATCCTTGAAAGCATGATATAGAAGAGGTCATGCACAGATATTTCCTGGGCACCTATTAATTTCCAGGTACTTTATGCTACTTCTGCCTCCTTACTGGGGACACTACTTATTCAATAGGATTATTTCCTTTGGGCAGCAAAAAAGTGCTCTTTTTGTGAAATGGGGAAAACCTTACCCACTTCACAGGCTTTAGGGGGATTTGCAATGTATGATAGTTATTTGTTTACTTGTCAGTCTTGCCTACTAGACTGTAAGTCCTTGAAGTCAGCAGTAGTGTCTCAATTATGTGTGTATAACCAGAACCTATCACAGTGGCAGATACATAGCTGATTCATAATAAATAGTTTGACTGAGCATGAATTATTCAATTGATTAATATATCTGAAATGCTCAGCTAGTTATTCTCTTATCCAATTTCTTCTAGAAATAATGTTCTTCTAATAACTCTTTTAATGACTGATATTACTATCTCTTTTGTGACTGTGTTTAAAGAAGACTTCTGGAGATGCAAAGCTTCAACCTGATACAATCAATTTCAAGCATAAGATAGGCTGGTGATAGGAATTTGTTGGAAAGAGAGCCTTTAGAATGCATCACACTTAACCATCTTTTCTACAAAAAGAAGTCCTGGTGATTACATTCTAATTAAAAAACTGCACTTTCAAACAACATAATCTTATTCCATTCCTGAATTCATGGGAAAAGGCTTTCTAGTACTATCCAAGATGGAAAAATATAACCTGGGAATAATGAATGTTCTATGAGCTTCTCTCAGAATTTATCATAGTTCAAAGAACTGAGGATTGTTCATTTGCTCAGAAACCTTCAACTAAAAGATTTTCTAGACACCCTGAGAATCAAATTACGCACAAAATTTTGTTTTGCCTCAAATCACTGTATGCCAGGTCAGACAGGAGATACCTGTCCTCCGAAAGAATAATACTCAAGCTCTGCCTACTAGTGCAGCCAACCTTATCTATATAGAAAACACTAAAAAAGGTAAGAGAAAGAAAAAGCTAGTCATCTATTTAGAGGAATCACCCATTATTTTTTCTTTTTTTTATTATTATTATACTTTAAGTTTTAGGGTACATGTGCACAACGTGCAGGTTTGTTACATATGTATACATGTGCCCTGTTGGTGTGCTGCACCCACCAACTCGTCATTTAGCGTTAGGTATATCTCCTAATGCTATCCCTTCCCCCTCCCCCCACCCCACAACAGTCCCCGGTGTGTGATGCTCCCCTTCCTGTGTCCACGTGTTCTCATTGTTCAATTCCCACCTATGAGTGAGAATATGCAGTGTTTGGTTTTTTGTCCTTGCGATAGTTTGCTGAGAATGATGGTTTCCAGCTTCATCTATGTCCCTACAAAGGACATGAACTCATCATTTTTTATGGCTGCATAGTATTCCATGGTGTATATGTGCCACATTTTCTTAGTCCAGTCTATCATTGTGGGACATTTGGGTTGGTTCCAAGTCTTTGCTATTGTGAATAGTGCCACAATAAACATACGTGTGCATGTGTCTTTATAGCAGCATGATTTATAATCCTTTGGGTATATACCCAGTAATGGGATGGCTGGGTCAAATGGTATTTCTAGTTCTATATCCCTGAGGAATCGCCACACCAACTTCCACAATGGTTGAACTATTTACAGTCCCACAAACAGTGTAAAAGTGTTCCTATTTCTCCACATCCTCTCCAGCACCTGTTGTTTCTTGACTTTTTAATGATCGCCATTCAAAAACAAATATTTAAAGAATGATATGTCTATCTCTGTCCTCACTAATATTTAACCTCTATCCTATCACTTGAAAGCAAGAACAATGAGAAAGAGAAACAAAAGATAAATGAGAACTGATGAACAGAGAACATTCCTGATTCCTAAGAAGCAAGTAAGAGTGCAGTGTACGCCAAAAGCTTGTCTTAATGTAAAACTAAATTGTTTAACCCTGCTCCCTTGAACTAATGACTGAGAAAATCAAGTCTGTCATGATGTATGACAAGACATGGTCTTCAGGACAACATCTGCTTTTGGCCTTCACTCATACCTCATTGACACTAGGGTACTGAAAACTAGGGCTAATACTGATCATTGCCATGGACAGTAGGATAATCTTAACAAACACCATTTCAGAGACTGGCAATTTCTAAAACTCCTTTGTAACTATATTAAATGTTTGAATTTTCTGTCCTTTCTCTTTTCCAGGGGAGACATATATAATTCATAAAATAGCTACTGGAGGTATTAGAACAAATATGATGAAAATTGAGTATTCTGGAATACACTAAACAGGTAATCAGATCTTGAATAATCAAAAGTTGATTTTTAAAACCACGCCCCTTGTTTCTCTTAAATCTGTTGTTAAATTCTATAACCCCTTAAAGAATCTTTAAACATGGAACTACATATTGAACAAAATCATGTATTCCCTTAAAGTGATGCATTTATTATGTGAAATCCTCTCTATATATTTTCTCTTGATAATTTCAGTGATAGATTATCATTTTAATTCTAATTTTCTCAGATATTAAATAAAGCTTCAATCAACAAGATTGAATCTATAATACATTCATATTTATTCATCTATACCTGTATTTGAATAACATATTTTGTTTGAACATTTTCAACAAATTTGGAGGGTATATCTGGAGTACTGCTAAATAGCCTACTCAAAATTTACTGAGACAGAGAGAGCTGGTGCTCATAATTATCCATATTCTTCTCTTATTCCTGGGTATAAGGCTAGAATACATTTTCCAGTCTCCATTGCAGTTAGGTGTAACCAGATGACTGAGTTTAGTTCAATGGAATGTGAAGAAAAGAGATGTGCACAGTTCCAGGCCCAGCTTATAAAATTGTATCTCATGTAATTCCCTAATCCTGAATGAAGAGGACTCCAAGAAATGAGAAACAGATAAAGCTACACAAATGGAAGGAACTTGGCTTCTGGAAGGCATGGAACAAGGACCTCGCAGACTGCAAGGATGTATATAAGCAATAAATAAGATTTTATTGTGATATACTACTGTGGTTTTAGAGATTGTTAAATGGACAAGAATTACTAGAACTGACTAACACAGGTTTGGCTATTTTTTTTTCTTTTGTAAGGAGTAGAGTAGCACATAATTATAAAGATTTCAATGAATTATGTTGAGAAACTTTTATTATTTGAATTCTGGTCTAATTTAATAAATCTGGGTCCCAAATACTCATTAATTCCTCATGATCTGAATGCCACTCCAAGGATACACAATCTTAGTGTCATATCAGCAAGAGCTGGGAAGGTGAGAGAGGAGAGGAAAGAGTCTAAAAATCTCTCTATAGGGAATTCTTATTTGAAAGCCAGTCTAAAAACAAAGGTTTTTTTTATTTGTTTGTTTGTTTGTTTTTGAGCCAGTTGTAGCAATGTCCTATGTGAGGAACACTTGGGGGCCCACTGAGAGAGGTACAATGTCAAAGGAAAAACAAGGTGAAGAATCAATGTGAAAGAAATTTCAACAACCAAAGAGATAGTAATTTTTAAACAGCTATATCCAACGTGTTATATATGCTGTGATTGCCTTCGCAGAGGTCACTGAAACCAAAGTCCAGCTCAGGGGACATTTGATTGCTGATTCAAAAGGATGCATCATAAGATTAAGATGTTATGTACAAATCAAGAAATGGTTCCAAAACAAGAAATTAAGTATGCTGAGAAATTCAGTATCTGTTGACTATCTGAGATTTTTCAATCAATCCCTAAAACAGAATGGTGAACATAAGGTTGTAACCAATTCCACTGCTAAATCATTTCAGAATTGTTAAAAATTCCTGTTAATGTGGAAAACTCTAGTACTTAAATATTTAAAAGTATTGTGCGGTTGTCTAAATCTCTTCACAGATCTCTAAGAACTTGTTTTATGAATCTGGGTGCCTCAGTATTGGGTGCCTACATATTTAGGATAGTTAGCTCTTCTTTAGGATTGAATCCTTTATCATTATGCAATGTCTTTCTTTGTCCTTTCTGATCACTCTTGTTTTAAAGTCTTTTTTATCTAATACAAAAATAGCAACTCTTGCTCTTTTTTGTTTTCTGTTTGCATGATAGATCTTTCTCCATCCCTTTACTTTGAGTCTATAGGTGTAGTTACTGGTGAGATGGGTCTCTTGAAGACAGCAGACAATTGGGTCATGGTTCTTTATCCAGCTTGTACCTAGCCTTTTAAGTGGGGCATTTAGCCCATTCACATTCAAGGCCAATATTGATATGTTAGGATTTGATTCTGTCATCATGTTGTTAGCTGGTTATTATGTAGACTTGATTGTGCAGTTACTTTATATTGACAATGGGCTATGTATTCAAGTGTTTTTTGGTGGCAAGTACTGTTCTTTTATTTCCATGTTTAGTACTCCCTTTAAGACCGCTTGTAAGGCAAATCTAGCGGTAATATATTCCCTGAGCATTTGCTTATCTGAAAGGAATTTAATTTTCCTTTGCTTATGAAGCATTGGTGAGATATGAAATTCTTGGTTGGAATTTCTTTTCTTTAAGAATGCTGAAAATAGGCCCCCAATCTCTTCTGACTTGTAAGGTTTCTGAAGATCTGATGTTAGCCTGATGGAGCTCCCTTTGTAAGCGACCTGCCTCTTCCATCTAGCTGCCTTTAACATTTTTCTTTCACAATAACCTTGAAGAATCTGATGACTATACATCTTGGGGATGGTTGTCTTGTATAGTATCACACAGGGGATCTCTGAATTTCTTGAATTTGTATGTTGACCTCTCTAGCAAATTGGGAAAATTTTCATGAACTATATTCTCAAATATGTTTTCCAAGTTGTTTGCTCTTTCTCCTCTTTCAGGAATGGCAATGAGTCACAGATTTGGTCTCTTTATACAATCCCATATTGCTTGGAGGTTTTGTTCATTTCTTTACATTCTTTTCATTTTTGTTTGCCTGTATTGTTTTGAAGGAGCGGTCTTCAAGCTCTCAGATTCTTTCCTCTGCTTGGTCTACTCTGTTGTTTTTGCTTCCAATTGTACTTTGAAACTCCTGTAGTAAATTCCTCATCTTTGAAATTTCAGTTTGCTTCATTCTTAAAATGGTTATGTCATCTTTTAACTCTTGGATCGTTTTACTGTTTTGCTTGGATTGGGTTTCAACTTGTTTTATGTCTTGATGAACTTCCTTGCCATCCAATTCTGAATTCTATGTCTAACATTTCAGACATTAACCTGAAATTGTGACACTGTGTTTTCCATGGAGTATAATAAAGGAAAAACTCCTATTCCTGAATGACTCTGAATCCCTAGAACTATTCCCCTTTGCCTCCATAGATTGTCAGTTCCCAGTGAACATCTGTTCCATATCCTTTCATAAAAAGGATATGGAAATACAGATGTTGTTTTGCAATTAAGCTGCTTCTTGTTTATATAGCAAAGATTCACACAAGGTGCTCCAGATAATATAGTGATAATGTGGCATATAAAGTTTTGTTAAAACTTTTTAAATTATTGCAATTATAGAAAAATTTAACAATGTTAATGCCACATTTCATTAATTCTAAAATACACATTTTTCTATATTTTAACATTTCTGAACTTAAGACTTGTCTTAAATAGGTGGCATCTTATATTCTCTATTATCCAGGGAGCAGTCATGTTGGGGCTGTCACTGAAGGAGTGAACTAGGTTTATATTCTTGCACATGACCAGACAGTTGCAATGCCTTGATCTTAATTAATGTCTACAACTTTATAATTTGAGGAAGGAATATCAAGATTGGTTATTGTCAAAAAAAAAAAACCTTTCACTGAAATATTCTAGAAGACAGGAAAATGCCAGTTTCAAAACTGGCAGATTGGATGAGTATTAGTGACTTGAAAGAAAATACTACAGATAATACTGGATTAATATTTTAGGAACAGCTATAGCACTAATGTTCTTGATGATAGAAGAGATAATATGTATGAAAAACAGATACTGACAATTTGAGTTTAAAAGTGATTCAGAAGAATTGAACTCTGAATGCAAAGATGTTTGACAAGTATAATAAATGCATTCTGTTTAAATTTTCTTTTTGCTTGAGTGCTCAGAAGTAATTATTTAAAAATCCACATATAAATGAGTCTAAAATAATTCTTTTGGCAAGTATAAAATAAAAATCTGAAGCAATAAGAAAGTATTATGTTACAGTTTAATTAGATTTTTTTTGGTAGTACATGAGGTATATCTCTGGGTGTTGTTTTTTTTTTTTTTTTGACTGAGTCTCACTCTGTTGCCTAAGCTGGAGTGCAGTGGCGTGATCTCAGCTCACTGCAACCTCCATCTCCCCAGTTCAAGTGATTTTCCTGCCTCAGCCTCCTGAACAGCTGGGACTACAGATGTGCACCACCATGTCCAGCTAATTTTTGAATTTTTGTAGAGGCAGGGTTTTACCATGTTGGTCAGGCTAGTCTCAAACTCCTGACCTCGTGATCCGCCTGCCTTGGCCTCCCAAAGTGCTGGGATTACAGGCATGAGCCACCGCATCCAGCCAGGTATATCTTTTAATAGAAAGAATTTTAGATTCAATAGAATCTGAAAACAAAGTTACTCCTTCAATATAGTAGAGAATGTTAGCTCCTTGACTAGTAAATTTTTATTACAATTTTCTAGGAATTTTAAAATTTATATTTAACTTATATATACATAATGGGACTGTTACATAATGAGATTGAACAATTCTAAAACTGATTTAGTTACTTTGTAGTCATAATGAATCTCTATTTGTATTGACTCATTTTATTTAAGTAAAAATAATTCATAGAAGAGTGGACAAAATACCTTCTTGTTTTATTTAACACAAAAATTTAAATCAGTTACATATTTTTGCTTGTGTATATGTCGTGTGTATAGTCATAAGACAAGCAAATATTCAACAGTATAACACTTGTGTGGTGAGCATTGAAATAGCAAGAGTTCTAACCTCACAAAATCAGCTGGGCATGGTGCTCACAGCTAGAATCCCAGCACTTTGGGAGGTCGAGGTGGGTAAATCACCTGAAGTCAGGAGTTTGAGACTAGCCTGGCCAACATGGTGAAACCTCATCTCTACCAAAAATACAAAGATTAGCCGAGCATGGTGGCACACAGCTGTAATCCCAGCTACTCGGGAGGCTGAGTGAGGCAGAAGAATTGCTTGAACCTAGGAGGTGGAAGTTGCAGTGAGCTGAGATCGCACTACTACACTCCAGCCTGGGCAAGACAGTGAGACTCTGTCTCAAAAAAAAAAAAAAAAAAATCATTTGCAAAATGGTACTTATTTCCCTGGTTGCATTTAAAATGGCAAAATTTAACACTCATTCAAATCACTGTTTAAATACAACCCAATCATAAATGTAATAGATAATTGATGACCTATATTATTACCATATGCCAAAAAAGTTGAGAAAGCACTTATTAGTATTATTATATTATATATTGACAAACCATGATTGTATATATTTATGGGGTACAAAGTGAGGCTATTATTTTTAATGCAATATGAAATAATTAAATCAAGCTAATTAACCTATCCATCACCTGGAATATTTGGCATTTTTTTGTCATAAGATTGAGATCTACTCTCAAGATATTGAAATGTACAGTAATCAATTATTAGCTATATTTACCATTATGTGCAATAGATCTAAAAAATCATAATCATTCTTTTTATCTAATTGTGGCTTTTTACCCTTTGATTATCATCCCCATTCCTCCCACCTCCCAGCCTCTGGTAACCAGCATTCTATTGTTTTGAGGAAGCACTTCTTAAAACAATAACATAGAAAATATTTCCTCTTTAGTGGCAAAAATTTGAGATTTTTCACATTAGAAATTATCAGTATATAGAATAAGTTCATAGAAAAGCATTTTAATAAATTTAGAATATTTATAAAATAATCCGATGAATAGGGTACATGTGTTAGAGTCACTACTGGGCAGTTTAAAAACTGTTTGCTTGTTTTACAAAATCAACTAGAATGAGGTGGGAAGTTATGCTTATCACCAAGGGGAAGAGCTATCTAAGATTAGAAGTCATGTTTGCCTTGGAAAAAATGTCAAGCTGCCATTATACGCTGACTAAAATGAAATATTTTGTCTACGTGGTATTTTTCTATGTTTTGTATGAAAATAAACACAGCAGCTCTGAGAAATAATTACACAATTATTCTGTAGTCTTTGATTTACACTAAGTAGTTAATAAAACTAGTCTTGAAATGTCTTTACTGTCAGTGGTGTAGTTCTCCGATTTTAATCTTTCTGCTAAATGTTTTATGTTATTTCTCATTCCAGTTCATGATGTTATCACTATTTCTGATAAAGGTTTCCTCAGACTAAGGAAATCAGGTCAACTCATTTATGCTATCCATAAATGCATTGGATCTGGGCATCTATTTGATCAAATAAAAACAACCAAAGTAGTTGAAATTCTGAACTGAGTCAAGGTTGAAGCCACACACTATCAGGTTTTTGTTGTGGTGGTCCATAATTCCAATATTTCCATGTCTTTCTTCAGTGGGAGATAATACATCTAAAAACTGTTGAGAAAAATGTTTTTCTTCTACTCACAGAATAATACATTTAAACACACAGACATATTTAAAGCTGATTTAAAAAACATTTTAATAAACAGCTTTTTAATTGTATCTTTGCACAGGTCAATAAACAGATAAACACAGACAAATATTGCCTTACAATTATGTGTATGGCTCAATCTTAGCTTTTTTTCTGTTTTCCAAATATGACTGCCCTCCTACCTATCATTTCACTTAAAGTGATATAAAAAAGGGTCCAGGATAAGAAGAAAGCTCAAATGATTTCAGTTATTGGATGAGAACAAAAATAAAATTACTATCGAAAAACATCTATAGAGAACATATCATCCCTTGAAGTGACTAAGAAAAAGTCATGAAGAGAAAATTATCTATTGAAATCTCATGTTAAATAATCAGTAATTACTAAATATAGACTAGTCTCCTTACAGATACTCTTAAGAGCTCCAAGAGACTAAGAAACCTCAAAAGGAAAATTGTTACTCTAATTAATTTGTTCAGGATACATTCCTTCTTAATGTAACTTGGCTACTTCTGTCTTACCACATTATAACATATAACATTTACAGAAAGCAAAGCACAGAGTAAATTCAGGGTCATTGCGTAAATTACAACCTTGCTGAATGCCCCTTCAATGAAATGGGTTGAGGGGAGAAAATGCTAATGGTTTTAAACAGTAGGCTTCTCTTCAAGATAACTCAAATTCCAATTAATAAATCATTTATATGAGCTCAAATCTTAGCTTTCAGTAGAAGAAAGATAAACTGATCCTGAAAGCAGGCAGTCTCAGGGAGGAAAAAATCAAGTTTCTTTATTATGCTTCTAAATAAGCAACAGTCAAGAAGTATAGCAAAGCCTACAAAGCTAACAACAACAACAAAAAATGGCAAAGCTAAATCAAGAGTCACTGATACACGCGAACCTTCCCCCTGAGATTTCTTTCCAGGATAATATATTCATGAGAAACACATTTTCTTCTAGTAAGAGATTAAGTCATGGGGGAAACCTTTCCCCATCTCCTTCAATATTTAATGATGCTAAGAAAATATACTGAATGGAATGGTTTGCATTTCATAATGCCATCAAAGCTATCATTTCAAGTCTAACATGGTGGTAGATGCCCATAGATTTGTGTTCAACTTTTCATATAAGAAACTTCTAGATGTGGTACACTTATTATAAGAGAGTAACTCTAATGGTGGCTATTTCAGGCCAGGCTGCTTGTCAGTAAGGAAGATATTTTTAAGCAGAGGAGCTTCTCAGTGTCTTTCTTTTTTTTTTTTTTTTTTTGAGACGGAGTCTCGCTCTGTCGCCCAGGCTGGAGTGCAGTGGCGCAATCTCGGCTCACTGCAAGCTCCGCCTCCCGGGTTCACGCCATTCTCCTGCCTCAGCCTCCCAAGTAGCTGGGACTACAGGCGCCCGCCACTACGCCCGGCTAATTTTTTGTATTTTTAGTAGAGACGGGGTTTCACCGTTTTAGCCGGGATGGTCTCGATCTCCTGACCTCGTGATCCGCCCGCCTCGGCCTCCCAAAGTGCTGGGATTACAGGCGTGAGCCACCGCGCCCGGCCCCAGTGTCTTTCAATCTGTACATTTCAGGTAGTGTTTACATTATCAGCCAGCTCTTTGAGCAAATACTTAAAAGATTGTGTATACACAATCTTGCTTTGCATTTAGTGTGAACTGGACTACACAAATAAGGCCTATGTTAATAGCAGGAAAGAAAAATGGCCCAAACTGCTTTACTTTCTAATTGTTCAGTGTCAAACTGTGTAGCAGAATAGAAGTTTTAATTATGTAATTATTTTTCTGCATTAGGCTCTTATTCTTGAAAATGACAGCTATCAATGAAACACAAGACAGAGTCCAGAAATAGATAGGGGTAATATGGAATGTAATATATGGCTAAGATCTCTAATTCAGAGAGAAAAAAACTGTTTATTTAACAAATGATGCTGGAATAAATGGCTATCCAATTAAAAGAAAACAAAGGCATACCCGTCTCACATTACTGACAAAAAGAATCTCACACACATTATATATTTAAAAGAAAAATAAAATAATGGAAAAAATTAGGGGAATAGTTTTGATGTTGATGTAGGGGAGATCTTTCTAAACAACATAAGTAACAAGGAAATATGAAAAAGGAGAGTTTACTTAAAACTTTAAAGCATTGAGGGAAAAAGACACCATAACAAAGATATGACTAAGACAAAGGGCCTTTTGTGGTATCATTATGTCCGACTGTTGGGAGAGAAAAGGGAGTAGGAAATAGTGCCTTCTGTCTTCATCTTTCCATGCTATCTGCTAAGAAGTGTATCATCCTGACTGTCTTTATTTGTAGACGTATACTCTTTAGAGCTGCATTGCTACTCACAGAGGACAGCAAGGTCTAGCCAGGTCTGACTATTACAGTTGCAGCTACTTCCATACAATCTAAGTAGGGAGACAGAATAATGGCTCCCACAAATATATCTACATCATAACTCCTGGAACCTGTGAATGAATATGGCACCTAACACAGCAAAAATAATTTTGCAAATATTATTGTTATGGATTTTAAAAATTAAGAGATAATTTATGCACTATAAAATTCATCATTTTAAAGGGCATAATTAAGTAATTTTTAGTTTATTCGGAGTTGTGCCACCATTACCGCAATCAATTTTGGAACATTTTTATTTCCCTAAAAATAAACTCCATATACATTAGCTGTCACTCTCCATTTTCCTCGAACTCTCTCAGTTTCTAGTAATCATTAATCTACTCTCAGTCTCTATGGATTTGCCTATATTGAATTTACCATACAGTATGGGGTCCTTTGTGACTGGCTTCTTTCACTTAGCATAAAGTTTCAAGGTTCATCTACGTTGTAGTATACGTCAGTACTTCATTCCTTTCTATTGCCAAATAATATTCCATTTTGTGGTTATGCCATATTTGATTTATTTATCAGTTGATGGACATTTGGGTTGTTTCCACTTTATGGCTATAATAAATAATGCTGTTATAACATTTATGAATAAGTTTTTGATATGTTTTAGATATCGAAGTTTAGATATGGTTTGAGATTTGAAGATATGTTTAATTTATCTTGGGTATAACCTGGGAGTGGAATTACTGGGTCATATGGTAACTCTATGTTTATGGCAAACTGTGTTCCAAAGAGGCCAAACCATTTTACATCGCCACTAGCAATGTAATGAAGATTCCAATTTCTCCATATCCTCACCAACACTTGCTATTATCTATCTTCTTGATTATTGCCAACCTAGTGGGTGTGAAGTACTATCTCATGATTTTGGTATGCGTTTCCCTAATAGTTAACGATGTTGAGCATGTTTTCACATGCTTATTGTCCATTTGCGTTATCTTGTTTGGAGCAATAGGTATTCGGATCCTTTATTCATTTTAATTGGGTTATTTGTCTTTATTGTTGAGTTACATGCATTCTTTATATGTTCTGGATACAAGCCTCTCATCAAATATATGAAACAAAAATATTTTCACATTCTTGATGGGTATTTGAAGCACAAGTCTTTAATTTTGATGAAGTCTGATTTATATGTTTTTCTTTTTTTCACTTGTGCATTTGTATTGTACCTAAAAATGCTTTACTTAACTCAAGGTCATAAAGATTTTCTCCCATGCTTTCTTCAAATGTTTTTGTAGTCTTAGCTCTTATATTTAGGTCTATGATGCAACTGGAGTAATTTTTGTGCATAGTATAAAGAAGAAGTAAAATTCTAATCTTTTGCAGATGGATATGAAGCTGTCATAACACCATTTGTTGACAAGATGGATCCTTCTCTATTAAATTATCTTGTCACCCTTGTCAAAAAACAAATTAGTTACATCTACATATTAAGAAAGCACTTCCAATGACACACTGTTAAGTGAGGAAAATAAGTTATAGAATAATGTGCATATTGTCTCATTTTAATAAAAACAGACACTAACTTTCTATACATGTGTATATACATTTATATTTGTGTTTGTATACATGCAGGGTATGACATACTTATAGGGCTTGTCTCATTTATAGCTTCTACGGAGATGCATTCCTGATTTTTTATCTTGGTGGTGGTTTTATTTTCTTCAGATCTCCTAAATTCCCATGAAGCCCTAACCATAGTCTGTGGAGCTCCTGTCTATGCAATTGTTGGTCACTTCTTCCCAGTTATGGAGATGTTTATAACGCCCTTCGCAATGTCAAAGAGTTTTCATCTATGTCTAAAAGCCTGCTGAACTTTATTATCTGGCCTCTCGTATATTTCCTTTTGGGTGCCCTCTCACCTCTAGCCAACAGCAACCTTCATTTTCACAAATAACAACACTTTTTTTTAGCACTCTTGCTGTACTTCCAGTCAAATTACTTGCATGCTTTTTATTAGGCATTTGGGGCCTAAACTTTTCACCTGAACATAAATTAATGGCAGAAAGATAGATCATGTTAAAAATAAAAAGGTTTACAATTTTTTTAAGGAAAAGAATTGGTTTAGTGGCAATCATGTAAACTGAAGAAAGCAGAGAATGGAACACTAGTATTTACAAGTGTAAAACTAGGCAACAGTATGGACTAGTCACTCTTATCAAATATGATCCTTTGATAGGGCTCTCTGGGTTATACTGGGTGACCCACCATGAGAAAAATACATATACTGTATGCTGTAGTCTGAATATCTGTGCCCGCCCCTTAACCCCCAATTTGTATGTTGAAAACTAATTCCCAGTGTCAGGGTGTTTGGAAGTGGGGGATTTTGGAGGTGATTAGTTCATAAAGGCAGAGCCCTCATGAATAGGACTAGTGCCCTTATAAAAGGGGCCCCAGAGAGATCTCTCTCCACTTCTACCATGTGATAACAGAAAGAAAAGACTGCTGTCTATGAGCCAGGGAGGGGCCCTCACCAGACCCCAGATCTGCCAGCGCCTTGATTGTGAACTTCTCAGCCTTCAGAATTGTGAGAAATAAATTTCTGTTGTTTATAAGCCGCCCAGTCTATAGGATTCTATCACAGCAGCTCTAACAGACTAAGACTTACTATACATTTGGTACTGCAATGGGTCTATCTATCTAGCTACTAAACCACTTTGGTTAGTAACCAACTTCATACATTATTCAAAGACAGTAAGAGCAGGAACTTATTGATCTGCAAATTGCAAACTGTTTAATGATTAACTCGTAATAGCTATTCAATAAACTATATAACTATTTGGCAAATAGCCTTTATATCGCCCAAATAATGAATTAACTATCTTTTGGTGAAAGCCACACATGAAATACCCAACCTGTGTGGGCATAGGCTAAGATTGTACGTATTCTCCCTAGCACTAAAACAGTAAACTCTCTGTGTTAAATAGTTCCTATTAAAAATAAACCCATTTATAACCTACTGCTGATTCAGTAATTCTTATCTTTCATTGCTGAGTTGTATTTCCAAAATAATATTCTGCTACCATGCAGTCATCTTTACTCACAATAATGTTGTGAATCAGTTGTCTACAAGAAAAAGTAACTGTTCAAGTAAATTTGTCCACTGTCACACACACACACACACACACACACACACACACACAATTTTGAGTTAGAACTTAGCATCTAAGAAACAAATAACCTACGAAAAATCACCAAATTTCCCATTTTCTAACATATCAAGATAAAAGAATAAAAACCAAGTCAATATGGAAGAGGGTTTCACCTGCTTAGCACTCACTAAATGATGCTTACTTATCCTCTGGCTCCTAGATTTGTTACAGCAGAGGTCAACAAAACTGCTTGCTCTGATTCAACTTAGAAATCTGATAAACAGGTATTAGGTAACAGGAAACACAAAAGCAAAGATATACTCACTACTTTCAAGTTTATTTGGGAGACAAGTACACGCTGAGAACTGGATCAAACGGGTGAACACAGTGATGTGGAAGCAAAAAGTAGAAAGTGATTTAGTTTATCTGAGTTAGGAGTAGGGAAAGTGGAATCATGGAAAGTTCTCAGAATAGATAGCATTTAAGCTAGACCTTACCTTTCAAGATGAGTAATATTTCACCCAGAGGAGAGAGAAGGCAAGGACATTTCAAATAATGAAGACAGTAAGAGAAAAAATATAGAAATACAAAATTACATGATATATTCACAGAATCCCAAATGAAGAGCCAGTGTATATTTATGACAGTGCTATATGGGAAAAGACAGTGGAATTTTTCTGGGAAGTATTCAGTTCATCATTAGAATCATCAATGTGTTATGTAATTTATCTCTGACCTGTCCTTATGCACCAATGAACCTGGCAAAAGGCAGAATTGAGACACGGAGCAAAACTGGAGCAAGAGGCACCTCTGGATGCACTGAGTGCACTACTGGGACCAAGACAACTCAGTGAGTGACCCTGGTAGGAGGCCTGGAGTGGCAACAGAGGGGAGAAAACACAGAAAGAAAGCAAAATGGATCTTAGGGGTTCATGGAGGGTAACACAAGCAGTCCCTTGGCCACTTGCCCTACTAAAAATAGAAGCATCACTAGAGACATTTGACAAAATGCCAATGACCCTGACCTCAGAATTGAGGGAAGAATCCTTCAGTTAGAAATGTTTGGAGTCAAGGGTGAATAATTTGGTTCTGATGAGAGGCAATATAATTTAGTAGTAAGAGTTTAGGCTCTTTAAAAAAAAAAGAGTTTAGGCTCTGGAAATTGACTGCTTGTTTTCAGGCTACCACTTCCTGTTGGACCTTGGACAAGCTACTGAATCTGTATTTACCTTGGTTTCTTCATTTCCAAAATGAGGAAAATAATAGTGTCTACCTCATAGAATTGCTATTTAGAGAGTTAATTAATATATGTAAAGTGCCTAGAACTTTAAATATTGGTGTACAGGCAGAGAAACTAAACCCTAGGGAATATTTTCAAATGTGTTGGAAGTGCTGAAGGCTAACAGGGGACCATGAAGGAATCTAGAGATTAACAAGTGCTAGAAGTCTCTACCACCCCATAGGACTGGAAGACAAAGAAAAGAAGTAGTTTTTTTGTTTGTTTGTTTGTTTTGTTTTGTTTCAGATGGAGTCTCACAGTGTTGCCTGGGCTGTAGTGCAATGGCACAATCTCGGCTCACTGCAACCTCCGCCTCCTGGGTTCAAGCGATTCTCCTGCCTCAGCCTCCTGAGTAGCTGGGATTACAGGCGCCTGCCACCAAGCCCGGCTAATTTTTCATATTTCTTAGTAGAGATGGGGTTTCACTATGTTGGTGAGGCTGGTCTCGAACTCCTGACCTCCTGATCCGCCTGCCTCAGCCTCCCAAAGTGCTGAGATTACAGGCATGAGCTTCCGTGCCTGGCTGAAAAGAAGTAGTTTTATCCAGGCCTAGGAACTGGGGCTTTCTAATCTTCTAATTCTAAGATTCTTCTAATCTTCTGGCAGTGCCTCCATTTTCTGAACTGCTAGATGCCAGTGTGTAAGGAAGTCTGGGAAATGTAGTTTACTGCAAAAGTGGAAAGCAGAACATAAAACGGATGCCTAGTAGGAAAATACCTGGCAAATCTCTCAGTAAATTTTAGTTAGCAGTCATTACTATATTTTACGTTGGAGCTGGGATACGATAGTCACCTTGCTTCCTTTCATAATCCCAAGAAATATTGATTCTGGGCTGACTACAGATTCTCTATTGAGAAACTCCTCTGTTGGAGCAAGAGAGTTCATAGTCAGTTGTATCAATCTTAGGCCTTTTAGGATTGTCTGCTTCTATTTGGAATTGCTTACAGGCCTACCTCATTTTATTGTACTTTGCCTTATTGTGCTTTGCAGATACTGACTGGCTGTTTCCCTTCTCTCTCCCTCTCCTCAGGTTTCCCTATTCCTTGAGACACCACAGTATTGAAATTAGGCCAGTTAATAACCCTACTTTGGCCTCTAAGTGTTCACATGAAAGGAAGTGTTTTATGTCTCTCACTTTAAACAAAAAACTAGAAATGATTAAGCTTTATGAGGAAGGCATGTTGAAAGTTAAAATAGGTTAAAAGCTAGGCTTCTAGTGCCAGTTGGCTACGTAGAGAACGCAAAGGAAAAGTTCTTGAAGGAAATTTAGAGTGCCACTCCAGTGAACACATGAATGATAAAAAAGCAAAATAGCCTTCTTGCTGATGTGGAGAAAGGTTGAGTGGTCTGGATAGAAGATGAAACTAGCCACACATTCCCTTAAACCAAAGACTAATCTAGAGCAAGGCCCTAATTCTCTTCAATTTGATGAAAGTTGAGAAAAGTGAAGAGGCTTCAGAAGAAAAGCTAGAAGGTAGCAGATGTTTGTTCACAGGGTTTAAGAAAAGAAGCCATCTTCATAAAATAGAAGTGCAAGTTGAAGCAGCAAGTACTAATGTACAACCTTCAGCAAGTTATCCAGAAGATCTAGGTAAGATTACTGATGAAGGTGGCTACACTAAACAACAGATTTTCATTGTAGATGAAGCATCCGTATACTGGAAGATACCATGTAGGACTTTCATAGCTAGAGAGGAAAAGTCACTGCCTGGCTTCAAAGTTTCAAAGGAAAAGATAACTCTTTTGTTAGGGGCTAATGCAGCTGGTGACTTGAAGTTGCAGCCGATGCTCATTTAACATTCTGAAAATCCTAAGCCCTGAAGAACTGTGTTAAATCTACCTTGCTTGCACTCTATAAATCAGACAACAAAGCTGGGATGACAGCACATGTTTACAGTACGGTTACTGAATATTTTAAGCCGACTGTTGAAACCTACTTCTTATGAGAAAAGATTTCTTTGAAAATATTAATGCTCATTGACAACACACCTGGTCACCCAAGAACTCTGATGGAGGTATACAAGGAGATTAATGTTTTGGTTTTGTTTTGTTTTGAGATGGAGTCTCACTCTGTCACCCAGGCTGGAGTGCAGTGGCGTGATCTCGGCTCACTGCAACCTCCCCCTCCTGGGTTCAAGCAATTCTCCTGCCTCAGCCTCCCGAGTAGCTGGGATTATAAGTGATCACCATCACATCCAGCTTTTTTTATTTTATTTTTATTTTTCGTAGAAATGGGGTTTTGCCACGTTGGCCAGGCTGGTCATGAGCTAATGGTGTTTTCATACCTGCTAACACTACATCCATTCTTATTCTGCAGCCCATGGATCAAAAAGTTAATTTTGACTTTCAAGTCTTATGATTTAAGAAACATGTTTTGTAAGGACAAAACTTCCAGAGATTGTGATTCTTCTGATGGATCTGGACAAAGTAAATTGAAAACTTTCGGGAAAGGAATCATCATTCTAGATGCCATTAAGAAAATTTGTGATTCACAGGAACAGGTCAAAATATCAACATTAGGAGTTTGGAAGAAGTAGATTCCAAGCCTCATGGGTGACTTTGAGAGTTCAAGACCTCAGTGGAGGAAGGAACCACAGATGTGGTATAAACAGCAAGAAAACTAGAATTAGCAATGGAGTCTGAAGATGTGACTGAATTGCTGCCTTCTCATGATAAAACTTGAACTGATGAGGAGTTGCTTCTTATAGATGAGCAAAGAGAGAGGTTTCTTGAAGTGAAATTTACTCCTGGCAAAGATGCTGTGAACATCGTTGAAATGACAAAAAAGGGTGTAGGATATTACATAAACGTAGTTGATAAAACAATAGCAGAGTTCAAAAGGATTGACTCCAATTTTGAAAAAAGTTATAGTGTGGGCAAAATGCTATCAAACAGCATCAAATGCTACAGAGAAATCTTTCATGAAAGGAAGAGTCAATTGATGCAGCAAACTTCATTATTGTCTTATTTTTAAAAATTGCCACAGCCACCCTAACCTTTAGCTATTCGGAGCCGAAAAGGCCAAAGGGATCGTGACCAACTCGGCATTCCACTGGAGGCTATATGATCAAACAGCAAACTGTTTATCATGAATGCAGGATGTGAGCAAACTCACGGCTGTGCCTGCCACCAGAAGGTTTGCTGAGGGCAGTCAGCCCCTGGCGCTGGGCTCCTTGAGGTTATCTACTGGGACATCTAGAGCTTACTGTTCGAGGAACGCAGTCTTGCAAGCCTACTCTGGACTGAGCAGCTGACCTCTTCTTCCACCCCCCTTCTTGCTATCTCTTTTACCAATGAATACGAAGGGCAGTGGAAAGTCTGGGCCCTTGTCCACTGGAGGCAAGGTGCCCCTGACCCCTTCTTCCAAACATACTCTTTTGTCTTTGTCTTTAGTCCCCCGTTTGCCCTGCTTTGTTCAGTCCCCCAAGGTCTGTGCAGGTTATGTTTAGCAACCACCACCCTGATCAGTCAGCAACCATCAACATCAAAGCAAGACCCTCTACCAGTAAAAAGATTAAAACTCACTGAAGGCTCAGATGATCATTAGCATTTGTTAGAAATAAACAATTTTCAAATTAAGGTATGTATATTTTTTAGACATAATGCTATTGTACACTTATTAGACTACAGTATAGTGTAAACACAACTTTTTATATGTGCTGGGTATATTAGTCAGCATTCTCCAGTGGGACAGGACTAATAGGATATACGTATACATGAAAGGGAGTTTATTAAGAAGAATTGACTCCATGATGACAAGGTAAAGTCCCACCATAGGCCATCTGCAAGTTGAGGAGCAAGGAAGCCAGTGGTAGATCAGTCCGAGTCCCAAAACCTCAAAAGTCGGGAAGCCAAAGATGCAGCCCTCGGTCTGTGGCCAAAGGCCCGAGAGCCCCTGGCAAACCACTCTTGTAAGCCCAAGAGTTCAAAAACTCAAGGCCTTGGAGTTTGATGTTTGAGGGCAGGAAGCATCCAGCACAGGAGAAAGATGAAGGCTGGAAGACTCAGCAAGTCAACTCTTCCATCTTCTCCTGCCTGCTTTATTCTAGCTGTACTGGCAGCTGATTAAATGGTATCCACCCAGATTGAGGGTGGGTCTGCCTCTCCCAGTAACTGACTCAAATGTTAGTCTCCTTTGGCAACACCCTCACAGACACACCCAGGAGCAACTTTGCATCCTTCAATCCAATCAAATTGACACTCAATATTAACCATCACACTGGGAAACTAAAAAATTAGTTTGACTTGCTTTATTGCAATCTTTGCTGTATTTTTGTGGCCTGGAACTCAACCTACAGTATCTCTGAGGTATATCCTTACTATAATTAAAGTGTAACACAAAACAAAAGGGCCCTTTCTTTAAAGTTCCAATCCCTGCTGGATATGTAGCTGACTGACATCAGGAAAAAAAAAAAAAAAGTTGGATCACATTTTTTTCTCTGTTTTATGCATAGCTAGTGGAAAATACAAGTTAACATAATAACCCTGTGTCAAGACTCAAACACAGGATAGTTTCTAACATTAGCAGCCTCCTTAAGCACAATACCAACAAATTTTCCTGATTACCATAGCTGACATCCGCTCACTTTGTACTTTTTACCAAGGAAGAAGAGAAAGGGAAAGAGAACAAAGAGAGGAATAATTAACCCAGTGTAACTGGTTAGGAGCATTAAAAACATTTAACTTTTTAAATATATGGCATACTTAATGTTATTTTATTAATTTTCGGTTGTGGAAGAAAAGAAATTTAATATATACTTAAGAGACAATTCTTTTATCCTGAATATGTTTTGTTAACGTAAAAGGTGTTGAAGTCCTAAGCAATTTTTAAATAATAACATTTTCTGAAATCTTGTTTATGGTCTCAATTTGCTGAGCAAACAGTTTTTTGACACATAGTAAAAAGTCAACAATAATAGAATAAACTGAATTATAAATTTTGAGGAATATAGTTAGTATGATGATACAGCACTTTATCTCGAAAACAACTGCACTTTTCCTAAACCAACTGTAACAAATACCTCTCGTGCCCCATGTCAACCTGAGAAGCCCACCTCCGACTTCAGCTGCATCTGTGGTGGACAGTCTCATGTAAACTCAGATTCAGCTAACACTGATAGGGCTCCATGTAGAGTACCTGGCACATCTTTCCTGTTTCTGCCCCAGGACCTCCTCCAGTGCACAACAGCCTCCACAGCCCACCTGTAAACACAGTCTGGGTGGATGAAGGTATATAAGCCCCAGCAGCTTTCTGCAGCCAATGAGGGATTGAATGAATGCCAATGGTGAGTAAATGCTACCATTTTTCATTCCTCGTGGGAGGACTATTTAGAGAGGCATCTTGAATGTTCCTCAGAAGATCTCAAGGAAATCTATCCCCTGTTACACACAGGGACACCCCAATAATGCCCCCTTATCTTAGTTCTTCATTTTTCTCTGTTGCACTCTCCCCGTTCCTTCACTCTTACTTCCCATATCCAAGTCATCATCTCAGGCTCTGCTTTGGAAGAACCCAAACCAACACAGCAAGGTTACAAAGAATCAAAAATACTGTCTCCATCTACTTCAGAGTTTCTCAGCTTGAGCACTGTTGACATTTTGGGCTGGATAATTCTTCGTTGTAGGAGGCTATTCTGTTCACTGTAGGATGTCGAGCCACATCCTGGTTTCTAACTACTAAAATGCCAGCAGTATCCCTTCCCATATTTGTGACAAACAAAAATGTCTCCTAACATTATCAAATGTCCCGTGAGAAACAAAATTGCCTTCCACTGAGAAACACTGATCTAAGTCCTTAAACAGGCCAGAGTTAGCTGTTCTCTAAGTCTGCACTAGCAGAAACAGAAGCAGATACATTTGTGTATGATGGGGGCCAAGTACCAAAAAATAAATCAAAGTTCAGAAAGTAGCATTTCAATGTAGTGATAACAGAAATGAAATAACAATATTTTTATTTTGTTTGTTCATTCTGACTAAACTGAATTAAATATTCAGCAGTCTATTTGCCTGCTAAATTACCAGTGCAAGTTTATTACATGGCATAAATTGTCCTCAATGATTTTACTTCTTCCTACCTCTACAGTTTTCTCTCTTAACACTGCACACCTGGTTCTCAATAAATGTTTAGCTTGCTGAATGAATAAGCCTGAACACAATCCCATCAAACATGGATATATACAAATGCTAAACCTGAAGGCAGAAAACAAACCCAGTCTTCCCATTCTGAGTGAGAACCTGAGCCAACAGCTCTCAGTCTGCTGGCCCAGAAACTTTTGCATTGTAACCTAATCTGGACCTTAGCCTTGGAAATTCTGCACTTAGGTGAAAAGCAAGTGACCACATATCCCGGGGTGCTTGGAACACTCCCAGTTAATGCCTATTGTTTTTGAAAAATTATTAATAGCCTCCCCTTTCATTTTCAAAAGTGTCCTGGTTCAGATAATAAATTATATGGTTACACATTATTAATAAGTGTCTCAGGGGCAGAAACAGTACACATTCTCTGATAATGTTGTGCCCAGAATATTATAAACAAAGCTCTATACAAATGTATGCTATTGTTGTAATTTTTATGCAACATCCTGGTATTAGTTTTATTTGTGGAAAAATAAAACCGATTGGAGGAGTTCCCTATCTCACTTGCAGCAGGAGGGCTAAGATCTGCTCAAAGCTAACATGTAAGGTCTCAGTTTCTTTCACTACAAAATGAGACGGCTGAATTAAGTTATCTCTAAGGTCCACTTCAACTGAAAAAAACAAAAACAAAAAAACCTGCCAACCACATCTTCCTTTTTCCTACACAGCACTTGAAATTGCACAGCCTCTCTAGAGATATCACTTCCCTTCAAACTGCCTGATTCTTTCCCCAACCTTTTTGACATTTAGCCTGAAGGGCCTCCCTACACAGAGGGGAATCTCAACCACAGAACTGTATTCTAAGAACAGCTCTAAATTTGAGATTTTGCACATTTTTGCCCTTCTTTGCTTTAAATTCAAGACCTATTTTTAAGTCTGACATACTACACACCTCTGAGTTTACTAAGATTCAGCTCAGGGATGTTCAGCCTTGTCTGTGCCTTGACAATTTTTTCTCTTGCTGTCATCCAGTTAAGAGTATATACCACTGTGGGCTGGGTGCGGTGGTTCACGCCTGTAATCCCAGCACGTTGGGAGGCCTAAGACATTTACTGAAAACATAAAGATTATATTATGTTGGCTTGAGGTTAGGAGTTTGAGACCAGCCTGGCTAACATGGTGAAACCCCATCTCTATTAAAAATACAGAAATTAGCCGGGCGTGGTAGCATGCACCTGTAATCCCAGCTACTCAGGAGGCTGAGGCACGAGAATTGCTTGGACCTGGGAGGCGAAGGCTGCAGTGAGCCGAGATCATGCCACTGTACTCCAGCCTAGACGACAGAGCAAGACTCCATCTCAAAAAAAAAAAAAAAAAAAAGTATACCACTTGTGGACTACAGCACTTTTCCAGGCTGGAGAATATGGTAACAGGCTATCTATTCTAGTAGCTACTTCTATTTTCCTCTTCTTTGACACTTTCTTCCCTCTCATCCACTGTTTCTTCTTCTCACATGGCCCTTATGTCATCGAGGAAAACAATGTTATAAATTGAGTCTCACTTAGGTATAAAATACTTAATATGCTATTTTCCCCCAAATGTTTATATTTGAAAAGAAGGTAAAAAAGAGCAAAATGCTTAATACTAGGACACTTACTGAAAACATGAAGATTATAATATATTGGCTCTATACATAGTAGGCTCTCAGTAAACACTAGTTGATATTCAAGTGAGGTCATAAAGAATGCAGGGAAATTTTTTCGGCAGAGGAAGGTGGACTTTTCTCAGGCAGAAATTCCTCCAGCTTTATACATCTAAATATCTCAGCAGAACAAAAGAACATGGTGTGCTCACTAATAGTAATAAGTTCTGTAGAGCTTTAAGTTCAAGATGTGAGGAAAGGAAGGAAATGGCAGTGGAAAGAGCTGAAGAGGTCAGACAGAAGCCAGAGTTGGAAGTAGCTTTCACACCATGCTATGTCCCATGGAACAATTTTAGGAATACAAGTTAGATGTGGAGTTCTGATTTAGTAAGATCACCATGGCATCTGTGTGCAGGGTATACTAAACACAAGAGACATTGTACCCATTACTTCTATCTAGAAGCCTAAAGCAGTTATCTGGGGACTATTAGGTTACACTGGGACCAATACTAGACACTTTTGTCAAGATGGCAAATAGAACTTGATTTGAGAAATATTTCAAAGATATACACTTCATAGGATGTTATGACCAGTAGATATTGGGAGTATGTAAAGGTTATAGGAAGGGAAGAATAAAGGTTGAATGTGATTTTTTAAAATAAGAAAGTACATAGAAGATAAACCCAGCCACTGAGAAAAGTAATAAAGGAGATTGAAGTGGAGATTTGGAAAAAGTTTGATTTTTAAAACATTGAATTAGATTTAGGAGCTGTCCAGTTGTAGCTAGAAATAGAATCTGAAACTTGGAATAGAAATCAAAACTAGAGGCCAGGCACAGTGGCTCATGCCTGTAATCCCAGCACTTTGGGAGGCTGAGGCAGGTGGATTGCTTGAGTTTAGAAGTTCAAGACCAGCCTGGACAACATGGTAAAATCCTGTCCATATGAAAAATACAAAAAAATTAGCCAGGCGTGGTGGTGTGTGCCTGTGGTCCTGGCTACTCTGGGGGTTGAGGTGGGAGGATCACTTGAGCCTGGGAGGCGGAAGCTGCAGTGAGCCGAGATCACGCCACTGCACTCCAACCTGGGTGACAGAACAAAACCCCATCTCATAAAATAAATACGTAAGAATAATTTAAAAAAGAAATCAAAGCTTGAGGAATTACACAGTAGCTGACAGCATGAGATCACCCACTGAGTATGCAGAGAGGGTTAAGAAGACTTGAAATGAAGCATTGGGGAACACTGACATTTAATAGACAAATCTCCTGCATAGAAGAATTTCAAATAATTGATGTCAATAATCTATCCTCAAGGAGGTGGAGCTTAACTCCCCATTCCTGAACTGTGGGATGCACATAATGACATCCTTCCACATAAAGTATGAAATGGGGAATGGGGAGAGAGAGGGAATTACTACAGTGGAAAACTCTGACAAACTCCCTGGCATGTTGCTCAAAAGTGCTTGCAGAACCAAAAATGTACAAGTGCTTTTATCAGTTTTTCATCCACTGTGTCCATAAAGTCTTGAAAAATGACTACTACTAAGTCTTTGGAAACACCTCCTCCCAGTATGCCAATGCAACTCCCTTCTTTCTAGCTACCAACACACCTGTAAACACAAACATACTCACACACTCACACCTTGTAGCTTAAAGAAAATTAATAAATATTTGATAAGACATACCCAGCAAGACCCTGTGTTAGTCCATTTTTGCATTGCTATAAAGAAATACTTAGGGCTCAGTAATTTATAAAGAAAAAGGTTTAATTTGGCTCACAGTTCTGCAGACTGTAACAGAAGCATGCCACCGGCATCTGCCTCTGGTGAGGCCTCAGGAAGCTTACAATCATGGTGGAAGGTGAAGGGAGAGCAGGTGAAGTCATGTGCTGAGAGCAGGAGCAAGGGTGAGGGGAGATGCCACACTCTTTTAAACAACCAGGTCTCCTGTGAACTCAGAGTCAGAACTCACTCATTTACCATGAAGATGTCACCAAGCTATTGATGAAGGATCCACCCTCATGATCCAAACATTTCTCACCAGGCTCCACCTGCAACATTTGGGATTACATTTCAACATGAGATTTGGAGGGGACAAGCATCCAAACTATACTAGACTCCAATCCTATTGCTCATTGATTTGTATTTTTAATGTATATGCGTATATGCATTTAAAAAATGAAGAAAGCAAGAACAACAACAAAAACAAAGCAAATAGCCAAGAAGACAAAACTACTATCTTATACCTTCCTATAAGAATAAATGATATAAATAGACACTTTAACCATGTCCACAATTAAATTCATCCTTCATAAATATTTGCTGTGGTTTGAATGATGATGTTCTTTACAAAATTCTCATTGAGACTTCATCCCAATGCAACAGTATTAAGAGGTGTGGCCTCTGAGGGACAATTAAATCATGAGGGCAGAGCTCCCTCATGGGCTCAACATCTTTATAAAAGGGCTTGAGGTTGAAGAATGGGATCAACCATGAGCAGAGCCCTCATGGGATCAGCACCTTATAAAAGGGCTTAAGGTTGAAGAATACACTGTCTTGCTCTTCTGCCATGTAAGGACACAGTGTTTGCCCCCTTTTTGTTCTTCAGCCCCTTCTGCCATGTGAGGACACCTGGGCAGCAAAAGCTATAAGGAATAGATTTTGATTTTATGTCTGTTGAATACATTTCAACTGACATAAAGCCTGCTGGCACCTTGATCTTGGACTTCACAGCCTCCAGAACTACGAGAAGTAAATTTCGGTCCTTTGTAAATTACCCAGTCTATAGTATTTTGTTATAGCAGTAAAAAGGATGAAGACAGTATTCTTTTAAAAAATATGTATTGAATGCCTACTGTGAAATATGTATTGAATGCCTACTGTGAACCATGCACTATACTAGGAGCTGGAGATAACACAGTGAATAGAACAAATACCCTGTACCTTTGGAGTTTATATTTTATAATAAATAGAAACAGACAGCAAACAAACAAATGTATACACATAAGAGGCCAAGTAGTGATCAGTGTATAGAAGAAAACACTGCAGGTCGGGGGATAGAAGGAGGAGTACATCCAGTGGCCAGAGGAGGCTTTTGTGAGGAGATGAAAGTTAAGCAGAGACCTGGATAAACTGAAAGCTTAGCCATGTGGATATAGGATGAAATAACATTTTATTTTATTTTTATTTTTATTTTTATTTTTAAGATGGAGTTTAGCTCTTGTAGCCTAGGCTGGAGTGCAATGGTATGATCTTGGCTCACTGCAACCTCCGCCTCATGGGTTCAAGCGATTCTCCTGCCTCTGCCTCCCAAATAGATGGGATTACAGGCACGCACCACCATGTTGAGCAAATGTTTGCATTTTTAGAAGAGACCGGGTTTCACCATGTTGGCCATGCTGGTCTTGAACTTCTGACCTCAGGTGATCCACCTGCCTCGGCCTCCCAAAGTGCTGGGATTACAGGCACGAGCCACTACACTTGACCAAAAGAACATTTTAGAAAGAAGAAATAGCATATTCAGAGTTCCACAGATGGGAGCATGTTTAGTACATGTGAGTGCCAGCAAAGAATAGAGAGAAGTGAGAAAAGGAAAGAGATAAAGAAGAACCAGATGGCATAAGGCCTTACGTGGTAAATGGCCCTTTAGAAACTTGCATTGATGTTAACCCTCTGCAAAAGGGAGAGGCTTGAAATAAAGTAAAAACAAAAAAGGAATAGAAGGAAGAAGAAGAGAGACAAAAATCACAAGATGATATGCAGATTTGCTTCTTTGTTGTTAGGGGGTACGCTATTTTAATTTCAAGAAGAAATTTGAAGTCTCTTACTCTCCTAAAAAAAAAAACTCTCAAGTCATCATGTTATCATTCTTTTTTTCTGCCACCATTCAAGTGATCTACATTTGCCCTTATTTCTCCTTCATTCTTCAATCCAGAAAAGTCTAGCTTCTGCTGCTGTAATAACACTACATTTCTCACAAAGCCAGCAAAATAGTCCAATCTAATGGTCCATTTTTAGTTTTTATCCAACAGCATGAACTACCCTACTTGGACTTCCTTAGTTGCTATAGCATCATTCTCCTGCTTTGTTTTGATTTTCTATCTCATTGTTCCTTTCACCCTCTTTTCTTGCTTCTTCTTCCCCTACCTACTCTTAAATGTCAGTACTCCTCAGAGTCTTATCCTGTAGATTCTCCTCTCTCTAAACATTCTCCCCAGCAAGTCTAAGCATTTCTATTGCTTAAATCTTAGCACTTTGGGAGGCCAAGGCGGGCGGATCACCTGAGGTCAGGAGTTCGAGACCAGCCTGACCAACATGGTGAAACCCCATCTCTACTGAAAATACAAAATTAGCCAGGTGTGGTGGCCCGTGCCTGTAATCCCAGCTACTCGGGAGGCTGAGGCAGGAGAATTGCTTGAACCCAGGAGGTGGAGGCTGCAATGAGCCGAGATTGCGCCATTGCACTCCAGCCTGGGCAACGAGAGCAAAAAACTCCATCTCAAAAAATAAATAAATAAGTAAATAAACTTTATAAACAAAACAAAACAAACAAACAAAAAGAACCAAACTTACATTTCAAACAACTCACTAGACATTCCAGTAGGGCAACCAACAGGTATCTCCTGTTTACCGTGCCCTTCAAAAATCTATTAGCCCTATATTCCACAGTTGCTCAAAAGTAGAAACCTCAAATCATCTCCATCATTCACTATAGCTAGTCATCTTATTCCACAAATTTTGCCTCTAAGCATTTCTGATACCCCTCTTCCTCTCCATCCCTAATGTCACCATCTTACTTCTGACTCTCTTCATCTATCTTCATAATTACTTACACGTTCTCCTGACTGGGTTCCTTCTCTATTCCACCTCCCTTCCACACAACCACATTGCTGTCTCAGAAATCTTTCTAGATCTTACCATGATTCTCTCAACTTATCCTAGTTTTCCATTTCATTTTCCTTCCCTAATCCAAGTAGCACCACACTCTAAACCAAACTGTAGGCCCACTCGAGCTTTAGTAGCCATTCCATGAACACAGTAGGCACTTTCACACTTTTATCCATACTTTTTACCTGGAATGTGGTCTCCAATACTTTACTCATTCTATACATCCCACTCAAACCCCCCTACCTCTATAATCCATCAACAACATCTACATGCATGTTCTATAGCTCCAGAAGGATTAATCTTTCTTTTCCATGTGCTTGCAGGAAACATCCCATGTTACTATTGTAGAACTTATCCTATTTTATCATAATGTGCTTATTACATGACTTTCTGCCCAGCTAGAATGTGATTTCTATAAGATCAGGAACACTATACTCTTCATTTTTATATCCAAGCTACTTAACAGAGCAACATATTTAAAAAGCTGCTTAATAAATTATTCTTGAATTTAAAAAAAGAGACTGGGAAATGAGGTGAAAATGGGGAAAGTCGCAAAGCAGAATCAGGAAATAGGAGAAATCAAGATGGCAAAGAGATCTGCAAAATAGGCAGAGAAAAGTACCACAGGATTCAGAGAGCTCAAGCAGCAAATAAGAAGTGTTTGAATCCACGTCTCTATGTTTTGTCCACAGTTCTTAGAATCCACAGATACAGGCCAGGCACTGTGGCTCACACCTGTAATCCCAGCACTTTGGGAGGCGGAGGCGGGCAGATCACTTGAGACCAGGAGTTCCAGGCCAGCCTGGTCAACGTGGCGAAACCCTATCTCTAAAAAAAATACAAAAATTAGCCGGGCATATGTGGTCCCAGCTGCTGGGGTGGGGATAGGGGAGGTGGGGGCTGAGGCAGGAGGATCACTTGAGCACACCACTGCACTCCAGCCTGGGTGACAGAGAGATCTTGTCTCAAGCAAACAAACAAACAAAAATGCACAGATACAAAGCACCTATGGATCTTCCTGCTCCTGCTCACCTCTACACTATGCCTGATATGCCTGAGACAGAAAAAAGTTGGGATAATTTTAATGTACCAGTTCATTTAAAATATTTTTATTTTCCTCTTACATGACAATTTTGCTCCCCTGCATATACCATATTATATGGGTACTGGTATGGGTACTTCACAGTTCATGAAGCATTGACCTGTCATTTCACCGATTCTCATAGCAGTCTTTCCAGCCTTTGGTTTTACTTAGATGTTTTTTCTTTCACTATTCCACTGCCTCCTATAACTATGAAAGGTCACTTACAATATCACTTAGGCAGAGAAAAATGCCATCTGTGCCTCTGTGGTTTAATATAGATGCACTGAAGACTGCATACTGGGGCACTGGGTTCTGATGCTGGCTTTGCCAACCTTGAGCTAAGTGTCACTTCACCTTCAGTGTCTCAGTTTAGGTATCTGGAAATCAGGGAGGCTTGACCAGATCGGTGGCTTCCATACCTGTGTAGACATCAAAACTGTTTGGAGGCTCTAATAAATCTAATTATCTAGACTCTCTCCAGAATATCTCAGGGATGATGACCAGAAATCTATATTTTAAAAGCACTTAAGGTGATTCTGATGAGCAGTCAGGTCTGGAAATATACAAGCCAGATGATTTCTGAAGTTCCCAGCTGGCTCAAAAACTATTAATATATTTCTCTTTTGTAGTCATTGATATTTGTGCAAATCAGTCTTTAAACCCAGACACTGGGTTCCTCTATGTAGCACAGAGAAAGCAGAGTTGAGATGGTAAGATAAGCAAAACCTCAGGATTAATGGCTTTGTTTATATTCTAAGCCAAGAGGTTTAGAGAGGTTTTCTTTTCATTATTTTCCAACAGCAGCTTCTTACTGAGTATATACCTAAAGGAATATAAATCATTCTATTATAAAGATACATGCACACTAATGTTCATTGCAGCACTATTCATAATAGCAAAGACATGGAATCAACCCAAATGCCCATCAGTGATAGACTGGATAAAGAAAATGTGGTACATATATACCATGGAATACTAGGAAGCCATAAAAAGGAATGAGATCAAGTCCTTTGCAGGGACATGGATGAAGCTGGAAGCCATTATCCTCAGGAAACTAATGCAGGAACAGAAAAACACTGCATGCTCTCACTTATAAGTGACAGATGAACAATAAGAACACATGGACACAAGGAGGGGAACAACACTTAGTGGGGCCTGTTGGGGGAGGTCAAGTGGGGGAGATCATTAGGGAAAAGAGCTGATGCATGCTGGGCTTAAGACCTAGGTGATGGGTTGTTAGGTGCAGCAAACCACCATGGCACATATTTACCTATGTAACAAAACTTCACATCCTGTACATGTACCCTAAAACTTAAAACACACACACACACAACTCACATGTTTTCTGTAAGAGTCTGACTGTTATCAACAACATAAGGGTTTATTATTATTATTTTCATTTGCTAGTATTTCCTATTGGTCTCCAAGAGCCATCTAAAAATTACTGAAGACATTCAGTGTCTTCCGTCTTCCTTAATAGATTACATAGGCCGGGCGCAGTGGCTCACGCCTGTAATCCCAGCACTTTGGGAGGTTGAGTTGGGCGGATCACTTGAGGTCAGGAGTTCAAGACCAGCCTGGCCAACATGGTGAAATCCTGTCTCCACTAAATATGCAAAAATTAGCTGGGCATGGTGGCCGGTGCCTGTAATCCTAGCTACTTGGGAGACTTAGGCAGGAGAATAGCTTGAACCCAGGAGGTGAAGGTTGCAGTGAGCCAAGATCATGCCACTGCACTCCAGCCTGGGCAACACAGTGAGACTCTGTCTCAAAAACAAACAAACAAAAGAAAAAGATGAAATAAAAGGAAACAATTAAGATTTGTAGTTTTTGACAAATTACTGTTGTTTTTATGGTACTAAGGAGAAAATAGCAAAGAGAGAGACACTTCACCATTATAAGTTCAGAATCTTTAGTTTTATTATTTTCTATTTCTTTTTAGTTCAGGTACAGATTTCCAACCTCTGGAAAGCCAAACGAATAGCCCAACTCAAAAAAAACGTAATGTATAACTCACAAAATTAATTTATTACAAAGCTAAATTACTGATACATTGAGGAGCATAGCATACCTTAGAACTGTAGAACTTGAGAACTTTAAAGACTACCAAGAGTTACATAAATGCAATTAATCAATTATAATCTTTTATTTATTTCTTTAAGTCACTGATTATACAGTATAGGATTTGGCTTAAGACAAAGTCTCAATGTATGTCACTGGAGACTTCCCTAGATTCATATTGACCAATGACTTTCTAGGCTAGTGATTTAACCAACCATAAATCCACTCTGTATTTCCTTATCTGATTCACAATTATGTCATGAGAAATAATCATATGTCTTTCTGAAATCATAATACTCAATATTCACTTAGTTGCTGAACAAAAATTTGTTGAGCACTTACTATGAGTTAGGAACCTGAAAGATGACTATGATAGCCTATACCTGTTTTGAATGGTCTAAAAGGGAAGACATAAATAATTTTGATAGTGCAATTAGTGCAATCAAAACCAAAAATTTACAGGGTGTCAGGAATAACTTTATGACAAAGGAGATATTTGAGCTGAGTCTTGAAAAATAAGTAGGAGTTTGCCATGTGGCCAAAGGAGGGAAGAGCTTCCAAGCAATGAAAGCATCAAGGAATAAAGATACTTGATGATAGATTGATGAAATTTTAAGTAGTTTGATATGACTTGGAGTGAAGAGCTTTAAAAAAGTGGTGGGAGACACATTGGGAGAGATAATATAAGGCAGGAGACGGCCAAGAATAGCTGGACAGCATTTTCACTACAGTTTTTTGTGTGTTACACTCTGATACCTTCTTTCTCTGTCTGGCCTTTCTGGCCTTATCTTGAGAATGAGTTTTAAAACCCCTAAAACATTAGCACATTCACTACAAACAGTTTCTTCTTGGCCTTCCAAAAACACTTTATCACTTTTCATCCTCCAGTATTTTGGTCAAATTTTTTTTTATTATTATTAATTCCTCTAAATAATCAGGGTCCACTCTCTATACCCTATTTCTTTTTAATTCTACCTATCTCTCCCATTTCTCTGTACAAGTTCTTTAGTTTTCTCAAAAAGAATGTCAAAGCCAGTTAAGATTCATTTTAGGTTTCTTATTGACCACATTAGTATTCTAAAGACAATAAGTGCCAATTAGGTAGCTCTTGGTAGAGTTTTAGACATATTCCATAATAGTTGTGCTTTGGTACTTAATTAAAGTTTAGATTTTGATAGAAAAGAGATTGAGTAGAAAAACATCTTTTAATTCAGCTGATTACATTTCTTAGGAGCCTAGCTGTTAAAATCTCAAGGTCCTATTATAGGTACTACCAGCCTTTGGTTATCTTTTATATGAATGGCATCATTTTAGAAGGAAATAGGTAGCCGTGGAAGTGCTGGGATTTTACAAAACTAAAAATTATACATTAACACTAATTTTCCACTCAAAGTTCCAAAGCGCACACACACACACACACACACACCACACACACACATACACACACACTTTGGTCCTGAACAAATGTGTTGCCATCTGCAGGACTCAAAAGCTAGCAGGTCCAAGCATAAAGCATATTCCCTTCCTAACCCTCATATACACTCCACTAAAAATGACCAATGCTCTTCTTTTACAAATTTGAACCATATAAACAAATTGAGGCTGTATGTGAGCTGAGCTTAGCATGGCTGAGCAAGTTCTATGTTCTAAAACTCTCCAGGGTTGGCTTGTGCTATTTTTCATGACACAGATTAGGACAACTGAGTGAGCCCGTCTAGTAGGGCAGTGATGGTAGGCCCGGACTCACTTTGCTTCTGACCTTTGTTTGATCTGGCCTGCTGCCTTCCTTAAAATCATCTATTCGTTTATGCTTTTTCCTAATCCTCTTTTGTTGGGGCAACCAAAAAGTTTTAGCCCAGGGAATCTATAAAATTCAAATATACATTTCAAATAATGTTTCAATTTTTTAATTCAAAAGATAATCACCCTAGGTAAAGGAGTTCTGGAATTTCTGATTTGAAAATAAGTAAATGTCTTGTTTGTTTCCTAGCACTCTGTCTCATAACAGGTCTCTGCTGCCAATAGAGAATGATCACATCAGAACCAAATCCATCTATCCTCAAGTAACAGACATTGGCAGACACTCTACATTCTGGGACTGTTTGTCAGCCTTTGGCTGGTAGTATTTAAATTCTGATTCAAACTGGCTGCTCCAGAGATAAGATTTACAATTCCACAATCATTCAGATGGGCTCTGATTCCTCTAATATAGACAGGCAGACAGATAGACAGACAGACAGGGAAAAGGAACAGAATGGTAGAGCAATGAGTGAGAAAGAGGGTTTAAAATTTAATGGAAAAACACACACACAGACACATGCATGCACGTATGCAGAGAGTACATATATATCTCTTCCATTTATTCAAGCCACCATAAGTTATCCAGGTTGCACTGTCTCAGAATGAGGTCACAGAGTAATGTAGATTCTACAGCTGCAGCAGAAATTTAGTTTGACTATTTTTTTCTTAAAAAACTATTTGTGGAATTTATCCCAATAAATATGACATATTTACCAGTAGAAATAGGAATGTAAATTTAAACTTTATAGCTCATATCATCTTAAATGTATAGAGTTTCACATTCTTTTTGTGTATTTTTTCATTAGAGTGATTTTTATTATGAATTATTGTTAGCATTATGATAATGCACATTTGGACAAATGCAGAGTATGCATGCCACATTGCCTGCTTTGGAGTGCACTGATCCTGTATAAACTGGTTTAATGTTCGAGGGCAGCACATTATACTAAGAGAAATCGGTCTCCTTCTCCATCAAGTACATTAATATCCTCCTCTTTGTATTAGGCCTTAGATGTTCAGCTGCTCTTCTATTTGTCACTGTTTTCTTTTGGAGCTTCCTTAGGTGGGGGGGCAGCGGAAAGATAACTAGTTAAAGTAACAGAATTTCTTTCTTTTTTTTTCCAACTTTTATTTTAAGTTCCAGAGTACATGTGCAGGATGTGCAGGTTTGTTACACAGGTAAACGTGTGTCATGATGGTTTGCAGTACAGATCAACCCATCCCCAAGGTATTAAAGCACAGCATCCATTAGCTATTCTTCCTGATGCTCTCCTTCCTCCCACCCCCCATAGGCCCCAGCGTAATCGAGTTTCAGTGGTATTAAATGAAAGGCCACTCCTGTCTATAATGATACTATGCTTAAAAGTGAGAGATCCTAGGATCACTGATCTCTTTACTGGTGTCTCACTTTGAACTATGTCACAATGTGTTCCCAGGATATCTCACCAGTCATTTGGGTTAGGGTTAGGTCAAGACTCTTAGCCCTCTCTGTAAAAACATCCTTTCCCTAACCCCTTACCAGAGTGTTAACTTTGCACCATTTCCCCCATTTCCACTAAGTACAATATAGCACTCCAGGTCTCTGCTTCAGGACCGTACCCTCTTTGAATTTGGGTCATTCTGTGCTTACTCTGCAACTGTTTCTTTGCCTTTAATTCCTGGCCTTACATGTCAAAAATTATTTCCTATATAACCCTAAAGTATCCTTCCTTGGCAATCAAACCATCATGAAGTGACTTAAGAAACTTCTCCTTCCCTGGAATTAATTCTGTCTGAATTCTAGATGCAGACATCGGTCCTTACATTTGTTTTTTCCATATCCAATCAACTCCTGTGCATTCTGATTCTTTTGTCTGACTAAGCAGTCCCTAGTTTGCTAGTTAGTTCCTATGGCTAGTCAATGAACTCTAGATATGTCACATCTTCTCATCTCTTATTCTGGGCCCACTTTCTTAAATAACCATGTAGTCAGGATTCTACTGTTCCTCCTGCTGTTTGGCTACCTTTTCCCTTTTTCACATGACAGCTTCTCCAGATGCCTCCAACAGAATAATGAGTTCCCTTTCCTGCAACTGACTTACTCCCTGTTATGTACTGAATGTTTGTATCCTCCCAAAATTTATGTTAAAACCCTAAACTCTAATGTGATGGTATCTGGAGGTGGGGCCTTTGGGAGATAATTAGGTTTAGATGATGTCATAAGGGTGGGGCACCTATGATGGGATTAGCGCCCTTAAAAGAAGAGGAAGAAACTGGAGCTCCTCTCTCTCTCTGAGCACACAAAAAGAAGATGTCATGTGAACGCACAGCAAGATGGTAGCCACCTACAAGCCTAGAGAAGAGACTTCAGAATGAAACCTATGTTGCTGGTACATTGATCTTGAACTTCCCAGCCTCCAGAGCTGTGAGAAATCAATTTCTGTTGTTTAAGCCACCCCGTCTATGGTATTGTTATGGGAGCGTAAGCAGACCAAGACACTCCCTTCAGCCTCTCCATTAAGAAAACCCTGAATGAATGCTTCTCTGCCTTACTGTGGCAGGCCAATTCTCCCTGACAATCATACAAACAGGCCTGCATGACAATCACACAGACAGGCCTGCATAGCACTTCAAATACATAGACAAATTTCCACAGAGCAGACTGAACATTAAGCAAACAGTTAAACCTAAGGAAATCAGTGCCAAGACATCAAAGCTAGAAATGAAACATATGGTAAGTGGGAGCCTTGTATGGGCTTCTCCCTAACCTGGAGCAAGCCAAAATAAGGAATGTAAGAGACAGTCTTACACTTCTAGGGCCGACACCCATCTTGGGTCAACAAAATCTGAGACGAGTCAAGGTAACAGAGGCAGCTGTTTGAATAGATTTATTAGAGAGTCTAAGGCAGCTCTCTGGACCAAGCTGTAAAAGAGATAAGATAGAAATCATTACTCCAGTACCACAGTAGACAGGACTTGAAGGTCCTGGAGCTCTCACAGCATATTCGGACTTAGCAAGCTTTTTTTTTTTTTTTTTTTTTTTTTTGCCTCTGACCTTCTAGTTGAAACGAAATTAGTTACCAATAGATTTAGGTGAATGCTACACTGCACGTAGGCACATAACCCAACCTATATAAGCACTAAGAAAACCGTAACAGAGTTGGTCTGGTGGAATTATCTCCAGCCTTCTCCCTGTATCCGGTTACAGCAATACATTCCCTTCTTTCCCTGTTTGTCTGCTTCTCGTTATTGGGCCTTGAGAAAACGCAGCCAGATCCAGCTTGGTTCTGGGAACATTACCACCATTAACTACCAGATAGACTGATTCTCTGTCTAGGGTCTTGTAGAAGAAGGGTGAAGGAGAGAAAACTTTCCAAAATCATCTCATTACTTTCTCTTGGGCATTCTATTTGAACAGTTTTCTTTGCTTTAATGTATAAACCCTCCCATGGGAAGGTGTGTGGCATTTCATCACCCCCACAGTTCTGCCTTCCACTAATCCAACCCTTCAGAGGCCAGTTGGGCTCATCTTCTTCAAGGAATGTTCCCTGGTGGTTCTTTTTGTTTTAATCTGTCCATTGTCTAAACCTCTGTGGCATTACTGTTTATAACAAATAACTTAGAAATGTATCCAGCTCATACATTCTCTTTTCCTCTTGGAACTTCCCAGTAGTCCTGTGCTCTTGTCTGTAACACTGGAATGTTACTCTCAGTCAGCTGCTAATCTACCATGACCCCTCTATTACACTTTTCTTTCTTTATACCATGCATAAACACATATATTCCTACCATTTTATATTTCTGGCCCCTTTTTAAATTTACCAAAGTTATTTTAGGGTCTAAGCATTTCTTCACTTTCCTCAGCACCTCGGTGACTTCAGCAAACTAGGAGAAACTTTTATACTGCCCCTTCAACTAGGCCGTTGATTTTGTTTTTACATAGTCTCTCCTTGAGAGAAATTAGTAGGATCAGTCTGGACCTCCCAAGGGCCCTTAATGTAGCCCCTGATTATCTCAGTTATTTTTCCTTTTTTATTTTTGAAAGAGTAAGAATGTGGGAACAAAAAATAGCAAGGGTTCTCTGGAGTGCATTGTGCCTACCCAGAAGTAAGAAAACAAAGAAAGGAAGGATCAGTGAGCCAAATACCTCTCATACCATTGTCTGTGTACCCTTTCTAGAGCCTGCGCTGAGGGTAAACCAGCACTCACTATTCCCAGGCCTAACATTCTGAAATGTAAATGCTTCCCCCTGAACATTTGGGTTTGGGTTTACCTAGTCTTCAGGAGCAGCACTAGTTTTCTTAATTAGCTTTGGGAAGACTAGATGGAAAAGCATTCTTCATTTTCAATATTTATTTTGTTTTGTAACATCATTTTACTGGGTTCCAACCTAGTAAGATGGGGACAGGGAGGAAGAATTTCTCCTCTTGAATTTTAGTCCTGCATGTGCCAAATCACACAATAAAATACACACATAAAACGCAACAGATGTCCATAAAATATTCATTTGTTAAACAAATACTTTCCATGCATGCAAAGAGAGGGCCACGCTAATCAGAGAGAGCATGCTCTTGCATAAAACCAGTGAATGCATATTATCACGCTTGAGAAATCTCAATATCAACTAATGTGCACTTAACACCTAGCCATCCATTTCCCAAGTATCTACTTTATCAAATATGTACTTAACAGTATGAGAGTTACTATGAGTCATAAAAATATATATATAGGATCCCGTATCCTCAGAAACATTATAAAGAAGCTTTACAATCTCATAGAGATGTGAGTGATACATGCACTGTACTATGGGGGAATTTTGTTTGACGAAATTATTATCAAGGGTAAAAATTCCAGGCAGAAACAAAGGTATGTTAAGATCTTCTATACCGCCCTCCCAGGTCTGAACTACATACTGCTGAGAAGGGGAGCAGAGACATGATAAACCTAAGGATGCTTTATATTTAGCTTTCAAATGCGTGGAATAGAGGATTCCTGTTCCCACTTCTGCTTGCCTTTAGTCAATGTGAAATTGCACTCCCAAAGCTTGTATCAATTTATCAAGAGAGGAAGGTAAGAAAAACTTATGAAGTGCCTAAAGAAAGCTGGTTGGGAAATCAACATTAACAGATGATTCGCTACCCATGGTTTGCATTTTTATGACACTCTACAATTCACATGCATGATTGGTCCTCCTAACAACCCTTCAAGGTGGACAATATAGGTATTATCCGGTTTTACAGATAAAGGAAATTAAAGGTCAAAGAGATTATCTGACTTGTCCAACAGCCTGAATGTATCCTTTGTGGTCCTGGCAGGAAATAGATGGCACATCTCAAGGATTTGACTGAAAATAGTTGAAGAGTAAAGCTAAGGGGGCCAAAAAGAAAAAAAAAAAAAAAAAAGATGGTAAAGCACTCAGGGACTAAAAGCAGGAAGCAGGACTACACGCCGAGGCCTGAAGAAGAGGAAACAATGTTCCCGGAGCCTGGTGAAAGCTGCCACCACGAGAGGATCTGTGTGGCAGGAGCTGTGGCCTCGGACAGTGAACACAGGTACTGCCAGAATTGTGACAAAGCAGGCATAAAGCCAGCGAAGAAATACTCTGATCCTGCCCTCTTGTCACCTTCCAGTCCCCTGCCAGTACCTCCAATGTGCCAAAATAAAGCAGAAGCCGGAGAGTAAGGATTTCAGATGAGGCAACCAAAAGAGGTCAGCTTCCCGGGCACAGAACTGGTCAAAATAGGGTGGAATGAATCTGACGGATGTGGTGGACATAGAGGGGAGCAGCATGCCAAGCAGACATATCTACTTTCCTGTCTACAAATCCCATGCTCTTTTCCCTATAGGCACTACTGAGATACAGAGTAAACTATCATTGTTTGAAAAAACTAGGAAGGAGACTTCAGTCTTATTGAGATATGTATTTCTGCAGGTTAGGCTGAAGCCTCTGCATGTCCCGATGCCTGATGGAGATGGAGGAATCCTTTCTACCCAGACAGAAGTCACACTATGTAGCCTGTCCTCTTTAGAACGTAAGTACATTTTCATTTCTTCAAAACTGATGCAACCCCCAGAGGGAAAATATATGATTGAGTTTCAGCATAATGTTAAGCTCTACAAAAACAAAAATTGAAAAAGATGATGGCAGATGGGTTAGGTGTTGTATATGACAAACTATCAGAAAAAAAAAAAGTTATACTTTCATACGACAAGCAGTCTTACAGGTAGTATACATTTTTTTCTGGGAAGGACTTAAAATGAAATGATAGAGAATGTGGTAGTCATTAAGCCTACTTCACGTATTAATCAAGCAAAATAACCTTTTTTTCACCGAGTGCAGAAACAGATTTGAAACTCAACACTTTCAGTCCTGTTGGCATCCACTGTACAATTGTATTCACTCTGTTCATCTTTTGCTCAAGTGCCTGCTTATCTCTTCCATTCTGGTTCTCAGGTGTCTAAAAATTCCTTAAGTTCAGCACAGTCCTTTCCAAGTATTAGTAGAAAGATCACTACAAAGTGTAAAAAAAAAAATCCTGAGACTGTATTACCTTAGTATGAATACAGTTTATCAAACTACTTTCCTGCTTTAATTAGAGAATGTTATACTACAGAAAGAAAACACAAGAAATACTTTCAACAACAACAAAAAAGTAATGAAAACACCGTAAGCCTTTGAAAAGAAAATAGAGAAAAGAAACTCTAGAGTTGAAGAAGAGGTTGCAGATTGTGGTGGCGGAGGCCGTGGACACCCGTGGAGGACAAACTTTCTCACTTATTTGCCCAGGGCAGGCCCTAGACAGCCTCTCATTGTGGCGGTGGAGTCCTTTTGTGACCGGTCCTAGGTGCTTTTACTCAGCAGACTAGTATTTGTGACTGTACTGAAAGCTAAGCAAACGGTCACCGAGTGTTTCACCTTCCCCACAAAGCACTCTGGCTTTTATTCCTTAAAGAAATCAATCCAGTTTCCTTTAGACAGATTTCCTCTACGCTGAAACTAACTACACTTCCTTCCACTGAATAAACCACGGCCCCGGCTTATCCACTGCCACTTCCAAGTGTTTGTTTTCTTTTTCCCCAGAACAATGACGACTGTAGCGAATTCTAGATAGTGAGCCCAATACCTGAAATACCCTTTATCAATTAATTACACTATTTGGCAGGCTCCAAAAGAGTGACAAATACAATCTTTCCTTTAGAAGAAATTTAAAGAAAAAAGAATATCAAGGGTATCTAATGAAAATAATTAAATAAGCAAAACTGTTCAATTTTATAGTGATGCAGATACAATAATATGATCAACCTTCTGTGACCTGTTTGCCAATTAGGGCAGAGTCGCGAAGCCTGAAATAGTAGAGGGAAATGGTCAACATCCTTACAACTAAATTGATTTTTTTGTTTTGTTTTCCAACTAATGTGTTTTTAAGTAAACCAGAGTATCAGGCAGGGTAATTGGCTAAAGCCTGAAGGTGGCTAAAGCCTCAGGGGGAAAGGGCTTTTCACCCTGGCTTTTCTTCTGCTCATGGTGTGCATGAGAAAATACTGTTCTCAACCTAGCCATCATTCAGATGGAACTCCTGGGTCAGGTATTTTAACCCAGTGAAGATGTTTGTGAAAAGACCGTCATTATACATTTTGACTAAGGATGACCTAATTTGGTACAGCCCAATTTATCATCCCACAGTGTTCTTCAATTATGCAACATTCCCTCTGTGTAAGCTCCTATCTAAAAGAATTTGACAGTCATGAGATACTAAATGTTGATGGCAAGAACTCTCTTAAAACAATGTTTTTCAATTTTAAGAAATTATATAGTCATAGTACAGAAAATTCCATGCCTACTCATTAATAAGTATCTTAAATGTTTCCTACCTGCATTCATTCATTCTATCAGGCACTCAATACAACCTGTTAACTTGTTTTTTAGATTTCTATTTTCTACCAGTTAAATAACTCACAGGTGCCAGGCATTGTGTTAGGTATAGATAGTCTCACGTATTGTCTCCTAAATTCATTACAGAAATCCTGAGTTAGATATCACCTTCAAGAGACCTTGCTATGGACACGGGGGATTATTATTACTAAGATGCAGGCCTTGTGCTACACAAATACATCAGAATTAGATTTTTAAAGATATCCAATTCTTAGCATTATTTAAAAATTTCTTTGCAAATTTTTGACCAAATAGTTCCTCACCATTGTACCATTTTTTACTCTATTTCGAAAAATCACATTCCTGTGGTAGCAACACATGGTAAGCAGATCTACTCTAGAGCACACTTATTCCTGGTGAAAATCTTGTAAATGCATACTCTCGGTCACAAGATTAAAATGCATTAAACGACTTGGCCCAAATTCAACACTTATAGTAAAAACAGTTTGATATGCACAGCCCAGTGATACTGAGACTCTTATGTCACTTTTATATATAGTGACCACTTTTTAATTTAATGTGCTAGTGTGCTCCATCAACCTCAGAAAAGTGAAATGTATCAGTATTTTGTCGGCCCTTCCAAGGCAAGTGTAAGGGCTATAAATGAGCAGAGCTGAAACACAGGGTCTAAGATGTTTGAAGGTTAGTGGGAGAAGGGTTCTCAGGAGCATTTTACAGGCAAAAATGTGAATAACTAAATGAAACAACAGAGATATATAATGCTAATATATTCATGGCCATAGATGAAATTAACTGGCAGAAGCTAAAATGCATCACAGTGGTATCACTGCCAGTATTATCCTCAAGATTTTATCTTCCTTCAACCTTCATTCTACAGGGATCAGATTAAATCAGCCACAGTGGAAATTCAATTTAACTCAATAGCATTGCTGAATAAATCTGATTACTCACTTCTTTATCTTTTGATACCTGGACCATACTATTACCTGGGCCTCGGTCATCTTTTATTTAAATTAGAGGAGATTCTGTTTTGGTTTTCAGAAAGTTTAAGACAACTCATCCAGGTTAGGTCCTCTTAACAGAATATTGCCTCATTTTAAGATAATTTTTCCACCCTAAAAAGAGACTCTCCAGGCAATGGAGATTTCTGCCTCCTCTTCAGATCTACACTTTATATCTTTGTAGATCTGGCATGTCTCCATGAATCCCTTTAAATGAAGTGTGATTTTTAAACATTTTGGTTCAGACTTGGGGCTGAACATACTCTACTCACACATAAAAGAACAAATTAAATTTTAGCCCAGGATACTTGTGGATATAAGGCCTACAGATTCTGGCAATGCCAGCTAGGTATATTCTTTAGTGTCTCTTTAAATCTTTCTTAATGTATAAATGACATTTAAAAGCCCCTTTTTCATTGCAGTTGGCAGAGTACCTAAGACCGTAACAAGTTGCTTCCCCAGTAAATGTCATTTTCCCTTAACCACAGGGCTATAATTTAAAACCGTAGATTTTTTTTTTTTAAGGGAGGTGAAAAAAAAAAAAAAAACCTTCTGGGAGTGAAGCCTAGAATTTCCCATCTATGAAAAATGGGAGTTGTTACAGAGTGGGAGACTGGCTAGAGGCCAAGAGCCTAGAGTTACTGACTTCAAAATGGTTTTTCAGACCAATATATCAGACGGAGGAGTCCTATGTCTACACTAGCCATGGCAACTTATAAAAGAGAGGAAAACAGAAGGCAGGTGGCAAGAGCTTGGTGCAGTGCAATAGTTAAACATACACACTTTGGAGCCAGAAACTAGGTTCAAATCCAAGTTCTACTACTTGCTTATTTTGTGACCTTAGACAACTTAGTTTAAGTTTCCCTATTGTAAAATAGAGGTAATGATAGCACCAGTGAATTAGTTTTCTATTGCTGCATGACAACTGCCACAAACTTAGCAGTCTCTGTGGATACAAACTTAGTGACTTTAAAACAACACAAATGTATTCCCATAGTTTCTGCAGGTCAAAGCCAGTCACATTTTAGTGCATATATATGTATATGCCCAGGGTTTCACAGGCTGAAATCAAGGAATTGGCTGGGTGCATGCTCATCTAGAGACTTGACTAAGGAAAGATTCACTGCTAAGCTCTTTTGGGTCATTTCCTTGTGATTGTATGACCGAGGTTTCTGATTTCTTGTTGACTGCCAATGGAGGGTTCATTTTCAACTCCTAGAAGCTGCCTGCTGTACCTGACATGTGTCGCTCTCCACAACACAGAAGTTTGCCACATCAAGGCCAGCAGGAGAGTCCCTCTTAAACTATGAATTTCTTCTTTCTCTTTTTTTTTTTTTTTTTTTTTTTGAGATGGAGTCTTGCTCCATCACCAGGCTGGAGTGCAGTGGCGCGATCTCGGCTCACTGCAACCTCCACCTCCGAGGTTCAAGTGATTCCCTTGCCTCAGCCTCCCGAGTAGCTGGGACTACGGGCGCCCGCCACCACGCCCGACTAATTTTTTGTAGAGATGGGGTTTCACCACGTAGGCCAGGATGGTCTTGATCTCCTGACCTCGTGATCCACCCACCTCGGCCTCCCAAAGTGCTGGGATTACAGGCGTGAGCTGACACGCCTGGCTGAATTTCTTCTTTCAAGATGGGCCCAGTCCCTTTTAAAGGCTCACCTGATTAGGTCAGGTTCAAATAGAATAATCTCTCTTTTGAATAATTCAGAGCCAACTGATTAGGGATCTTAATTACATCTACAAACTTATTTCATCTTATAAAACAACAATCATAAAGTGATAGGCTTCATATTTGTAAGTCCCATGCATGCTCAGGTGGGTATGAGGGAGGGGGATCATACAGGGCATATACACAAGGGGGCAGGAATCTTAAGGGTCATTTTGGAACTCTGCGTAAGACAACAAGCTTCAAAAACCCTTGGGAGGATTAACCGAGTTACAATAAATATAAAGCATTTAGTGCCTGAATTGCTATGTAAAATTTCCCATTATTATTTTTCACAGACTGGATTTCTTAGGAGGATACAGAAGGTCTAAATGACCTGCCAACCACGTGTTCCTGTGCTAGAACTCAGAATTAAACCTAGACCTCTCCTGATCTATTCAAGCTTTTCTTCTTCATGCTACATTCCTGATAGCATTTGGCCTATGATGATGACCTTCCTGGAGAATGCTTCTCCCTATAGCTGTTTCTTCTGCTTCTTAAGCAGCTATTTCAGAAGAAATAGTACTTCATCTTTTTCAGCTTGAATCCATAGGTAACAAACTTCTTCCTCATGGGGTGCTGCTATAGGTGGGCTCTTCCATTTGGTCCTCAAAATATGGACAGGGCTGGGGGGAAGGAGTCACACCACGACAGCCAAGCTGCAGACTCTGTTTGTATAAATCATTGCAGATGTACAGTGCTGCCTTAGAAGGGTCAGCCAACTAGACCCATCTAAATACTAGATGGTATTTAGAAAAGGCTGGAGTTTCCAAAGCCACTTCTCCTTCCCTCCAAAGTATAAATCAGTTTGAGCCTGTAGGCTGACTGGTACTCTCAGGTGACCTGGTCCACTAAAAAATATACAAAACTTCCAGTCAATCTGGGGAAGAAAATTCTTTACTTTGATCCCATATCTAATTAGATTCAAGAGCATATTTTGCATTCTGAAGGCGGAGCTTGCTTACAGTGATGTACCAGATCTCTCTTTTGTGCACATCCCAGCAGGAAGTATCTACACAGAACCTTGATAATAATAATCACCAGTAATCCCTCCTCACCTGGCTGCTCTCCTCCTCGGTGAGTCACTGATACACTGGAAAGACATGCAATGGCAGCTCCTGGAAGGTTTGAAACCACTGGGTATAGAGTTTCTAGGGGTTCACACCGAGTACCAGTGGTGTAAATACATGTGAGGGGAACACGGTGTGGAAGTATAGTAAACCTTATGTCTATATGGTGGAAAATTTTGAAATCATGTGCTACTACTAAGTATCCTTTATCATATTATTAGTTTGTTAGGACTAGCAGAACAAACTACCATAGATTGATGGCTTCAACAGCTGAATTTGTGTTTTTTACAGTTTGGAGATTAGAAGTCTGAGATCAAGGTGTCAGCAGAGTTGGCTTCGGAGGCCTTTCTCCTTTGGATTGCAGGGGGCTTTCTTCTCCTGTGTGTTCACAGGGTCTTTCCTCTGTGCATGCACACCCCTTGTGCCTCTTCCTCTTCTTATAAGAACATCAGTCACAGAGGCATGAGGCCCACCCATATGACCTCGTTTTACCTTAATAACCTCTTTACATGCCCTGTTTCTACATATAGTCACATCCTCAGAAAGTGAAACCACAGATAAGGGAAGACTACTGCACATTTGTGACTTACCTAGCCATTACTTCAACCGCATATCATCACAGGCATCTTCTTTACAGTACCCGCTGAGAAAATAGTAAATATGTATCTCTTCTTGAACATTACAGTGATGGAAAAGTCACTTCCCTGAAAGTCAACATATTCCACTTCATTACTGAACCAGTCTATATACTAGAAAGGCGTTCCCATTCATTGTACTTACAGCTACCTCCTACAGCATCTAGCCAATGGTCTTGATTATGCCCTTTGTAACCACATAGAAGTTAGATCTTTTAACTTTCCTTTCTCTGGAGAACTTCTATCAACACTTTTCTTCAGTTTTATGTTCCACATTCTTTTTGTTTGTTTTTATAGGTCATGCTACTGAATAGTCTAGAACAGTAAGAACAGAATATATAAGGACTGTAAAATTGTTTGAACTAGAAGGACAGGGAGATTACTTAACCTAATCAGCATATTTATCATGGGGAAAAGAGTCCAAGAGAACTAAAGTATACACATAAAGTTATATATATAAAACATAACATAAATGTTATATATATATATATGTTATATATATAACATAAAGTTAAAGTTCTAAATAATTGGGGCTGGAATTAGAATATATGTCTCTAGTCTCCTTTTCACTATGTCAAGTGGCTTCCAATCTTCAATGCAGTAATGTTTACATTTCTGTGTAACACAGGGCATATTTTTAAATCTTTATTTAACAGATGAGGAAATAAGACTCATCAGGTTTTTATAAGGAAAGAGCTTGAATAGAAGAACAGCTTCCGGTTCAATATTAATTGGCCAGTTCATTTAAAAAAAAATCAAAAACCTTCCACTGAAAATTTGACAGTGCATCACTGAGAGGCCTACACTAAAGAGGGCTTAACTGAAAAGAACTGAAGGGGCTGTTTACAGAGCAGTGCTGAGTTATGGGAGAAAAGGGAAACTGTGATGCATCTAGAAACTAGGAGAAGTGAAAAGCCATTACTATTCTTAGGTCTGGAGGAGCAAGGGGAGAAACCAGGGTTTATTCCTGGCAAAATGGAGGAAAAATGGCTGCCCCATATAAAAGCTGGGGTCTTAGAGGGTCATCTGTTGCCAGAATGCTGTAAAGCCAGGAGGACTGGGGTAAACCTCCTGGACTTCTTTTTCATCTTGCCCTTAGTTTCTTACTGGTGTCTCTCATTAGCCAAATCTACACAGAAACCAGGAGCAAGGGAGCTTATTGGTGTACAAGGAAGAGAAAACAATGGGTGGAGCAGAGAAAATAACCAGTGCAGGTTGAGAGTAGAAGGATGTAAGCACCTGACAGATGCTTCCCAGCCACCACACAAACAGAATCAATCCACTGAGACCATGGCACTGCAGTAGAGAAAGAAAGAGTTTTATTGACGCAAGGCCAGTTCTCACATGGGAGAACTAAAGTTATCACTCAAATATCACTTCCTCCTGAAGGCTCAGAGGTTAGGGGTTTTATGGACAATTTGGTGGGCAGGGGGCTAGAGAAGAGTGCTGCTGATTGGTTGGGGATGAAATCACAGGGGTGTGGAAAACCATCCTCACAGGCTGAGTCTACCTCTGGTAGGGCCACAGGACCAGCTGAGTCATGGGTCATGAGTCTGGGTGAGGTCAGTGAGAAACACCTAAAGAAAAACCAATGTTAGGTTCCACAATAGTGATGTTATCTATAGGAGCAATTGAGAAGTCACAAATCTTGTGACCTCTGGCCACATGACCCTTGAGCAGTAAGAAATTATAGAAACTATGCCTACATCATTGCAGAATTCAGGCCCCTCCCATAATCCTATACCTGTGACCTTTCATTGGTCTTATAAAGTGAGTATTTCGTCCCTGGGTCAGTTTTAGGGAGGGACTATTATCATAATTCCTCCCAAAGTTAGCTTGCTCTATGCCTAGGAATGACCAAGGACAGCTTGGAAATCAGACTGTCATAATTTTGCAAAGGTGGTCTTAGGGACATCAGTAAAAACAAGTGCTTTCAGCCAGGCTCTCTTTTTAGCTAGTGGTTAACTATTTGATGCTTTTAATAGCCTTAGAAAAGTTGAAAGGATAGGGAGATATATAAAAAATATTCTAGAATCTATAAACACAACTTTTAAAAGAAAATGTATTCTTTGTTAAAATCACATCAGAAAAACAAACTGCTAAGATGTCTAATATGTCTCTGTTGATAAATGAAACTCATCTTGTTCCTTACCTGGCCTAAAATGAGTGGGCCTGCTTTATTATATTTAATGCAGCCTACAGTTCTCTCCTGGATCCTTGTCAAAATCTGTTGTAAGGAACTTATTGAGCTTGAACCTGTCCTAGAAATTAGTTAGACTTCATTTTCAAATGAAGTTTTTCTTTTTTAAATTAAATAGAGGAGACATGGTCTTACTATGCCGCCCAGGCTGCTCTCACAGTTTGGGGCAATCCTTCTGCCTTGGCCTTCCAGAGTGCTGGGATTTCAAGCATGAGCCACCACACTCAGCACTATTATGTCAAAAAGTCTATGTCAAAGCTACCCTCCTTCTATTATTCCATCCCATACCATTTTCTGGCTTTATGGATATATCTCACCCCCAAAATACATGGATTATTTTTCTAGCTACCCTAGAATATTAGGGTTTTTTGACCTCAGGATTGTTGACATTTTGAGCCAGATAATGCTTTGTAGGTAATGAGGGTTAACCTGGCATTATAGCTGTTTAGCAGCATCCTTGGCCTCTGCCAACTAGAGGCCAGTAGAACTGCCCCAGCTGTGATAAGGAAAAACGTCTTCATACATTGCCAAATGTCCCTGGGAGGTAAATTGTCCCTGTTTGAGAGCAACCTCTGTAAATGCTGGAGAAAGGAAACCCAGGCTCAAATTTATCTGGCTGTATCCAGGCTCCTCCAGGTGCTTTGTGTTTGCAGTGATCCCAGCTAGCTCAACTAAGTCCAAATAAAACTAGGCAAAGATCATAAACTGTTTAAAGGAGAGAAATCAATTGAACCTTGTTTTGTTTTGTCAGCCAGCAAGAGAAAAACCTACAGCCAGGTGCTTGCTTAAGACCAAAAGAATAAATTTTATACACCAAACCCCACAAACTCTAAAATAAGGCTTTATAAGGTGTCAGATTGTGAACTGACTTTCCCTAGTTACAATCTCTACCAAATGGTTTTAATGTGGCTTGTAACTCAAATGTTTAGTCTGAAGGAGTCAGGGAAGAACTGAATCCTCAGCAGAACTGAACCAAAGCCTTTTAAAGAGCTGAATCACCTGGCTGCATGAGTCTCGGCACAGACTGAACTGTTGCCCACAAAGAGGAAACTGGGACTTTCAAGGGATTATTTTGAAGGTGACTGTAGGGGAATGTAGTACAAGGACATCTGTGTTTTCAAAACCTTGTGAAGTTTTCCCCCCACAAGGGCATTGTTTTAATTTATCTCTGTGATGCAGGCAATCTTCCTAACCTAAAGTACTGGAGATAACTAAGTTCCACAATTTTTTATCTACAAAAGAATTCAGTTGGGCAAAACACCCTTGAACAGCCGTGATCCATTCCCATGGGGGAGGAAAAGTGAGTTCTTCCTTTTGATGAAGCACCACCCTGAGGAGTAGGAGACTAAAGAGTAGGAAGGAATCCTAGAGACATTCAGTGCAATCATGTACTTTTCAAACTTTTGCTTGTGTAAGAATCACCTATGAGGAACAATGTAGTATAAATGCAGATTGCACGGCCAACCCACAAAATTCTAATTCAATAGGTGCAAGATAGACCCGGGAATCTGTGTTTCAACAAGGATTTTTGAGCATGAAGCACGTGGCAAACAGATCCTGACCAGAAACACTGACCTCGACCAACTTTGTCATTCATTTTACAAACAAAGAAACTGAAGCCCAAGAAAGTGACACTAGCATATTAAAAACAGTACGGAAAAGAGAACCCAGGTCTCCTGGGTGTGCTATTAATGCTCCTTTCTCAGCCTCACCACGAAGTATATTATCTATATACCATAATATGATAAGTAACACCACAGATCAAAATACTGTATCATAATCCAAAAAGCCCATGCTAAGAGAGTTCGGGCCGCAGACCTTGCTTTTAGAACCGATGAGCTGTTCATGGATCCAGGAAAGCTACTCTTTAGGAATAAAGTCTGAACACATGGCAGAGGCTTGTGCTGCCTCTGGACTAGGAGCAGCTGCCCTGTGTTTTGCAGTTTATGCTCTATTATAATCACGGGCACCAGGGGTAAGAAGCAGGTCATATAACTGAGGTATTGCCTCCAGAAATCCTACTTGTCAGCTCATGACCAATCATGGGTAACTTTCTCCTCCTTGGGGTCCTAGTAAATGAGATCTCTATAATGTGCTCTATTAAATATTCGTAAAATTTTACTCAGTTGGCATCATATCAAACACTTTTTGTTGTTCACTGATGCATTAGTTACTACCCTTACAATCATTTCATAAAAGAAAAGCCTTTAAATCCCATTAATAGAAAGTAATCACATTTTTTAAAAATTAGTCTTCTGAAAAACTCAATATTGTGTCCCACTTTATTACACGGCAGTAATTTAAGAACAAAACAGCAACATTTGGACTAACATTTGCTGACCCAACATGGCGTTTGGCCATACTGAATAATGACTTCATAAAAGGATCTCATTGGCTGTTACTACACCGCCCTTGTATAATTATTGCTCACGCCCAATTTGTTTGTTTGTTTAACCAACTGCCTTATCTGATGACTCTGCAGAATTTGAGATGGTATTTTCCAGAAACCAAAGCTGCTCTGAGTTATAAGAAGGTCACGCTTTTTTCTAAAAAGAAACTAATCTTATCGGTGGTCTATTCTTGTTCCCTTGCTATTGGTCAAGGTATAGAAGTAAAAATAAACATGACAAGTGATAGCAGCTGCCGGACAACACAAATTTTTCATCTAAGCATCCTCACTGCAGGGAAGAATGTGTATCCTTTTTACTATGATTTTGAAAAGCATTCATTTAGTCTGTATCATCCGCAAACAGAGAGAAATAAGATGCTTCCAATTTCTCATTATGTCCATTTCAGTGGAAGTAGCATGGAGATAATGAAAGATGCTTAATATTGATTGTCTCTTAAATGTGGAAATTACTGTTGTCCACTGAGAAGTAAATGTGGTGAGAAAAGCTGTTTTCAGCTCATAAAGTAGTGGTTATTATTTCATACTTTTATAGAGCCCTAAATGTACAGAGTGCTGACAATATGTGAAGTGGGGCCAAGCAAATCTAATTTCTGGTCCAAAGCAGGCAGATTCCAAATGCAGACCCAATCCAACATGAAACCAATGACACAAAATCAACATGGTATAGCTTGGAGTGATTGCAAAGGGAAAACTGTGGGAGAGAAAGTGGTTTCAGGGTGAAGAAAATAAGAGGGATCTCCCTAACATGTAATAAAATAATAGAAACCCTTTGAATAAGCCCTGGAGTCTTAAAGTGACTTGTCCAAACCAGCATTTTCTTCAAGAAGCCTTTCATCTTTTACTTTCCCAGCAGATAAAACAAATCCACTCCAGTGCAATGAATTAAATGTCAAGTGTACACATATATAATACATCTAGATGTGGGGGCATTGATCCCTAGACACAAGTCACTCCATCCTCATTAGTTATTGAACTGAAAGCCTGGAGAATGCCCTTATGTAAAGGTGCAAATAATGCTTTTCCTCTGAAGCAAAAGGAAAAAACCTTCTAAATGGTGGAGGTTCTTTTGAACCTTGTTAATAGATCAATCCAAGAATAGAGCTCTGTGTGTACAACATGATCAATCAAAAGCCACACAGAAAACAGAAAAAAAAAATCTTCCAGACCAGTGCCAGCGGCCTTATCATAATTGCTTCCTGACAGATGCAGTGGATAAACAAGCTCACGACAAGGCCAGTCAGGCTGCTCCAGAGGCCTTGTTTCTTGTTGCTCTAGGTATCAAAATAGGAAGTAAATAGCTGAGAAACAGTTCTGAGAATTGCCAGGAGGAAGTGCTCCTTCCTCTCCCTGCACTTGCTAAATTTGCTTATCTTTCATTCTCTTAGCACAGCCTTCTGCACGCTGCCTGGGACCCCTTAGCTGCCCGGGACCCCTTAGCCAAGACCATTTTTTCCCCAACTGCCTTTGACCTAATGCCATCCAGCTGACCCAATGCATCCCCTCTTCTCCTCTGCCAACAAAATGTGATTTAAAAAAAAAATAAGGACACAAACAAACCCCATCAATTTCCATGCAATGGACCCCCTAAACAAATAAACAAACAAACAAACAAGAAAGCAGACCTCTGGCTAAGGGAAATATCCACCATAATGTGAGAGGAAACAGCACTAAGGTTGGGTAGGTTTTCCCCACCAGTCAAACAGCATCTCAGTTTGACTGAAATACTTCGTCAGGTTCCCTATGAGTAACCAATAAACAGCTCTGGAGCTCATTAACTGTCCAACCTAGTGTTGGTTCCTACCAAAAAAAACATGTAAACTTATTTTACGAGGAGCCTGGATTTGTGTTACCACCTATCTGATGATTCTAATACACCATCAGCAGCTTGGCACCTGACACTTACATAAGGCTTTTCATGTATGTATGCCCACAGAGCGTTAATGCATCTGGCTGTCCAAGTCCTTCTGTGAGCCAAAGAAAGCTTGTGTATCCACTTGGTCTCCCCTGCTTGGCTTTGCACGTCCTATTTCTAATTCATGTAAAGGGGTTCCTAATGTCTGTCCTAGGTCATATGAGTTCCATTTAACCTGGGATTTTTTATATGAAACGTGAATACTTTAAATTGGAGGCAACTAACAATTCACAATAGTCTCAGAGAAATGGGCTAGCTCCCTGGGATAGATACAAGGTCCACCTTGGTCTCTACCTTGGCTTTCAATTCCTCAACCTCTACAAAATATTTGACACTGGATTGTCTTTCAAATGACTGTATGCTTTAAAACTACAGAAAATCTGGATTTTTAAAAAGGCATCCAATTATGCTGAGGGTTTTCTTTTTAGCATAAAGAGGACAAATTATTGGATGACATACCTATTTTTTTATTTTCTTTTCCAATTCAGCAAATTATTCTTTAATAAAATTTACCAAAGGATCAACTTTTATAATAAAGAAGCTGAGATCATCATGGTTTCTTTTGGTCTCCTTTAAGGCATAGATGGAAAGAGCATTTGCATTGCTTTTTATGGAGTACTCATATGATGTGACAGCATCTGAGGTATTACTTTTACAATGTTGATCGTGTAAATATTTTCTGCGGCTTTTCAGCGAACTAATCACATCTAACATCACATTAAGGAAGTCATTTTAGAAGGAGCTTTATTTATAGAGAAAATTTCAGCCAAAGTGTATGCAGAAAAATTATTAATATGATGATTTGGTTGAAGAAGCAAAAACACATGCTAAATAAGTCCGAATTTCATAAATGCCGCTCTATGGGGAACAAGAGAACTCATTGGGATTGAATATTTAATTTCCTACATTGAACTGTTAAGAATTCCTTCTTTCTTCTCCACATACTGCATTAACCAAAAAGTACAGGAGCCTTTCAGTGGACAAATTCTGTATCCTCTTGGAGGAAAACCAAACTGACTGAGGGTCAAATGACCAAGCAGGAATCAAAGTCTCTAGTAAGAGCCACCACTGAGGACTTGACAAATTCAGATGTCTACCTCCGGTCATTCAAACTACTGCAAGTGAGCAGTGACTTAGGGAAACAGCAGAATGAAAAAAGTAGCAGCTCACAGGCCAGTCCTAAACATACACATTGTCAATCCATAAATTATAATACCTCTTTATTTCTCTTCTTCAACTGTTTTCTACTCTTTCTTTCCATTAGTAAGATAAAACTCATTCTCATCATTCAGAGTTCAACCAAGCAAACAGGAATGCGAAAATTTAATAGAAGGAATTTAGTTACATAGGTGATACAAAGGCTAAGAAACAAAACAGGGTCAAGGTATAGAAGTAAAAATAAGGTAAGGTAATCCAGGGATTAGCAAAAGCAAGCAGCTGCCACCACTCTGAGCTGTAAGATCAAGTATACAACTACAACTAAATAACTAGATTGACTCATTATCACTTATTCCCAATTATGTAATGGAATCCATCTAGCCATATTTGTTCATTTTATATAACATTCCTCCATATCCCACTCTCCCTGGTGAGTATTTTTTTTTAAAGAAGAAGATGAGTTTGGATAGTGAATGACTTCACAAGTGATAGTACTTTGTCCTCGATGAATTAAAAAACTTGAATCCATGTAAACATAATTCTCCTGGAAGAATGCTGTGGCTATCAACATCAGTGGTCTCTTTCTAAGCCTTAATAAGACAAGTTGAGGAAATATGAAAAGTGAAATTTACTTCCACTCAGTCAAAATATAGAGTAAAGGTTTACTCATCTGCATTTTTCTGTCTAGTGTTTTAGAAGTTCCGACCATTGCTACAAGTTTCTTTCACCTTGAGAAGAAATAACGTATTTTAATCTCTAAATTAAGAATGTTGGCCCTTCTTCCATTCTGGAACCATTTGCTATAACCCCATAACAAGAGCAATTACCTTGTCTCATTAACAACACAATAGGGCCTATCAACCTTACAGACATATCAGTCAACAGTCAGTAAATATGTCAAGTCAGACATGCTGAACTAGAAGTTGGACAGTCAACACATATTTTAGCATTCAATTTTAGTGTGTAAATTAAAATCATAATGAATTACTCCATTACAATACAGTTGAATAGCATGATGTTTACAAATGAATTCCAGTGAATCCGATTGGGATTTCTTCATGGTCTCCACCCTGGAAAACCAGCTTGAATTCTTGTATGCGGGCCAGATTCCAAGAGACATCATAATTAGATCCCAGAAGACTACATGGCAGCTGAAGAGGATGTCCCCTGTGGAATATATGGAGGAAAGGCTGGCCAAAGCAATGTTCACATTCATGCAATTATCCAGTTAATTGCACAAGGTAAATGGAGTCATATAATTATGGCTAAGTTCATACTAGGATTAGGCTAGCCCTGAACAAAATAGTGTATTTTGAGAAAGAACATAATACTGAAGCAAACTCTCCATCAACATACCATGCTTCATTTCCTTTTGCAACACTCCAGTCAAATTTCATTAAAACAAAGGTTTTAGCAGATCTCAAGGCATAATGGGAAAAGTGACCAAGCTTAGGACATGACACATTTTGACCAACTCTATTTATCTCCTATTGGCCCTAATGTGAAAGACTATTTGTGGACATTCAATTATAATCACTTGTACTTTCAAAGAACCAACGAACCTAAGGTTTTAAATAAAGGAACTCAGTTGGGAATTCTTGCAGCAAAATTATGAAGTATAGGAAACATTCAGAGGCAGGAGTGAGAGAGAGGAAGGCAAGAACTCACCTTTATTGTATTTTGTCTAAATTGAGCTTTGTGCCAGGTGTTTTTGTTGTGGTGATACTGGTTTGTTTTTTTGTTTTTATTCATGTTATTTTATTTTTCAGCTGAACTAATAAAAACTTAGTTACTGAGTGCCTATTATATGCTAGACCCCGTGAGCAAAATGGCAAACATTGAAGTTAATAGAAGTTCTTGACCAATAGTAAAATGAGAAATAATTTTTAAACACTAGAAAGAAGCAAATCCGTATTTTTATATACTTATTTATTCTTTTAACATCTTTCAACATGAAATTTCAGCTATAGAAGGTGAAAGGAAAATCTAATACTATTTCAGTAGATTTCAACTCAGATTTCATTTTGTTAGGTAAAAATTTGAAATTTTTTCTTTTTTTTTTTTAACTGGGACAGGATCTCACTATATGTTGCCCAGGTTGGTCTCAAACTCCTGGGCTGAAGCAATCCTCGCACCCTCAGCCTTCTAAAGTGCTGAGATCATAGGCATAAGCCACTGTTCCCTGCCAAAAATTTGAAATTCTTTACTTCATTTGGACATTGCAATCTGAAGATTTAAATTTGTTTTTTCTTTGTATAATTAAAACAGCATCACTGCATCTTATGTAATTATTGTTAAATTTATCTTTTTCTAACAGCCTTTAGCTTTCTTTATTTAATTTTAAATTTTTTCTTATTTATTGATTTATTTATTGAGGCAGAGTTTCCCTCTTGTTTGCCCAGGCTGGAGTGCAGTGGCACCATCTCGGCTCACTGCAACCTCCACCTCCCAGGTTCAAGCGATTCTCCTGCCTCAGCCTCCCGAGTAGCTGGGATTACAGGTGCCCACCACCAAGCCTGGCTAATTTTTTGTATTTTAGTAGAGACGTGGTTTCGCCATGTTGGCCAGGCTGATCTCGAACTCCTGACCTCAGGTGATCCACTTGCCTTGGCCTCCCGAAGTACTGGGATTACGGGCGTGAGCCACTGCGCCTGGCCATTTATTTTTTATTTTTTTCAAGACCGGGCCTCTCTCTGTTTCCCATGCTGGAGTGCAGTTGAGACAGCCAAGTAAAAAGGGACCCCTGGCAGAACCTCCAACCAGCCTGCCACTGGGAGGAGTGCGCACTGGGGTGGGGCCTCGGGAAGTTCATGCCCTTTGCATCTGGGAGGAGCCTGGCCTTTCTGATCCAGGGAAGTAACCTGCCATTCAATCTATGAGGTGGGAAACCAGCTAGCAGGACTCTCACTTTACTGAGAGTCTGTGTTTCCCTTTTATCCCTTTCGCCCAATAAATTCCAGTTTTCTCACTCTTCAAAGTGTCTGCGAGCCTAATATTTCATGTCCATGTGACAAGAACCTAGCTTTTAGCTAAACTAAGGAGAAAGTCCTACGACACAGTGGTGTGATCATGGCCCACTGCAGCCTGGATCTCCTAGGCATGAACCACCCTCCCACCTCAGCCTCTCAAGTAGCTGGCACTATGAGCACATGCCACCGTGCTCAGCTAATTTTTTTATCTTTTATTTTTTGGTAGAGATGGGTCTTGCTATGATGCCCAGGTTGGTCTCGAACTCCTGACCTCAAGCAATCCTCTCACCTCAGCCTCCCAGCCTGCTGTGATTATAGTTATGACCCATGCCTTTAGCTTTTGAGGGGAAAAAAAACTGTATCATTTTTTGCACAAACATAATGCTGGCGGTACACAAGAAGGTAAAACATGTAATGTCTTTCCTCCAGGGGACCACAAACATGGAGATAAAAAGTTTAAACTATTTAAACTTTAAATTCAACCAAATTTAATCATTGATTTAATTCTGATGATATAGAAAGCATTTCTACTGACATTTTACAGCATCCTAATAGCAAATACTTGAAATAACTATTTTAAATGTAAAACAAAGAAGTACCAGTCAACAGAAATTACTGACCAACAAAAACTCAGAAAATGAAGGGAGCATCACTTATATTTGTTAATAACCTACCTGGGAAACTAACTCAAAGGGATTTTGATAGGCTGGATTTTTAGCCTTTGTAAGAATTTATTTAGTGGATTTGAAAACTAGTTAATAACATGAAAACTGTTCAATAACAATGCCAAAGATATGGCTTATTTTTTCCTACAAGGTTGTAAACCCTTTCAATTTAAGTAGCATGTTTACTAATCTTTCCATATTTTCCGCAAAACCCAGTACAGATCTAGAAAAACAATAACGGCACACGAAGTAAATGGTAAGAAAACAGCTACTTCTTTTGCGTTTCCTTTTTTTTTTTTTTTTTTTTTTTTTTTTTTGAGATGGAGTTTCGCTCTTGATGCCCAGGCTGGAATGCAATGGTGCGATCTTGGCTCACTGCAACCTTTGCATCCCAGATTCAAGCGATTCTCCTGCCTCAGCCTCCTGAATAGCTGGGATTACAGGCATGTACTACCACGCCTAGCTAATTTTTGTATTTTTAGCAGAGACGGTGTTTCACCATGTTGGCCAGGCTGGTCTCAAACTTCCAACCTCAAGTGATCCACCCACCTCTGCCTCCCAAAGTGGTGGGATTAGAGGCGTGAGCCACTGCACCCAGCCATCTTTTGTGTTTTTTGAAAAAGAAGAGTGGTAAACTGATTTTAGTCAGAACATACTGAATATATGCCCAACAAATACTTTCTTATATTTTATGAAAAAATACATTTTCTACAGTATGAGTAAATTATTTTCTATATTCCTTCCAGAAACAGTTGCTCTGAGAAATAGCTATTAATACATTTGTCTCTATAATCCTAACAAGTATGACTAGGACCTGAAAATATACATTATCTAGTTATTGCAAATTATTATCAGTACCAGCCAAAAATATTTAATAACATCATCTTAAATTCGTATAATGTTTTAATCTTGTCAAAGACTATAAGACTTTACTTCATTCTTATTTTTAATACTATTATAAAAAGGAAAAATAGCATTTCAATTGTATTGTTTCTACTTGCCTACAGTACAAGGAGATTAACTAAAATCTGAAAGTCTCAAGGTTATTTGATAAAACTTGGATTGAGTCCAGATTTACTTCTGATTTTCCAGTCAAACCAAGACTTGTTCTAAAGCCACAATAACAACGAAATTGATGCTTTCATCTCCCAGAAATATGGCTGTGCTGTGATCCATGAATTTTAAATTAGAAGTAAATCTAGGTAAGATATAGCAGTGGGTTGCTTTGTATATATAAATCATAATTACTGAATAAAGAGCCTCATATTTAGGGTGTGCTTCGATATTATTGTTACTATACTTCAGCATCAACCATGTGTCAGAGGCTATTTTAAGTGCTGGAGATACAATAGCAAGCAACATAATCTATAGCTATAAGTCTACTTTTAAAGGGAATTTACTTTTCAAAGTAGTCAGGAAATGAATGCAACTCTTAACCAATAAAGTCTCTTCAAAGAAAACACTCCAAGTGAAATCAAAGACTCTCAGGATTAAGAGTTTACAGATCATGTAGACAATGATTAAGTCAAAGATTTAAGACCTGAAGTTGAAAATTCAGAAGCAATGGTTTATTTTTATCTATATTTTTAATAATTTTTAATGAGATAATTCATAATAATCTTTACTTTTAGTAACCTTGAAAAGCTAAAAAGAGTATCACAATAGTAACAAGATTAACACCTAGCAAAATTAAATAAATATTTGGGGAGTAGAAACATTAGTAAAGCAAGTATTAAACTACTTCTCCAATTAATCCCATTTTATTATTTCATTACCTAGTGAGAAGTTAAAATTTTAAAAGCCCTTTTCCCCAGGAAGCTAAATGTGCCTTGCCATAATGGCATTTAACGTTGTGCTCTGGAACCAAGGTGCCCATGATATCACTCAATAGACAAAACAGAAAATAGAATTTTATAGTTAAAGGTAAAAGGTCAGCTACTTTTATTCACTTTTAAAAAATAAAGTATGACTTATAATCAAGTGCACATATTTAAGAATACAGAATAATGCATTTTGCATATGTATATATTCATGGAAGTGCCACCCAGATGAAGATATAGAACATTATCAGCAGCACTTCAGCAAGCCTTATGGACCCCTCAGATACCTCCCTCTAAATGTAATCAGCATTCCAAAGATCAAGTAGTTTCATAAATTTAGAAAGTTCTAGAGTAAATGCGGAAAGAACAGGTCTCAATATAAGCTTTATAACTAACAAGAGTGTGGTAAACTCCACCTGACCTCTCCCAAAAAAGAAATAAAAGATAAATTGTATCATTTATTATATTATGCTAAGTGCTTACTACACTCTGCTAAGCATAGTGCCAATTAAATCAGACTGATAGGGGAAGACTTTAAAGAAGAGGTGATATCAAAGCTGATTTTGAAGAAAACGTAAGAGCTAAAAGAAGTTAGGAGAGGGTGATGTATGGAAGGGAATAGGAATGAAAGAGGATAACTGAGTATGTAAAAGCATGGAAGAGCAGAACACATTTGGAGAACTTTATTTGTAGGGCTGGAGCAAAGGATTCACGTGGGGTAGTGAGAGATAAGCTGCAGAGGTAAGAAAGAGACCAATCATAAGAGCTGTGGGCATTAAAGTAAAAGTTAAACTTCATCCTAGACATTAATAAGGAATCACAGCTTGAGCCGAGGCAGTCAAGAAGGGAGGTGGCATCATCAGATATATATTTAAGTGTGGAGGATGGATTAGTCCTCTGGAGAAGTTGGAAGACTGAAAGCAAAGGAAAGAGGTGATTGCAGTAATCTGGATGATGGTGGAGGTGATGTTGTGGATCTAACCAGCCAGTGGCAGAAGGCATGAAAACCAGGGAATTAACTAGAAAGATGTTAGTTAGACGTAAAATCTAACTAGGACATACTGAGCCATCAGAAGTGAGAGGCAAGTAATTGCTGGGGTTTCTGGATTTGGCAATGGTGGCACCCTGCCCCCTGAGACAAGGTATACTTTTGACTACATTTGGAGGGACAATCATGAGTTCAATTTTAGACAAGGTGAGTTCCAAATGCCTGTTAGATATCAAATTGAGATGTCTAAAGGCATCTGGATAATAATAGCTAACACTTAGTGAATAGGTACTACATATAAATATATATAGGTAAATATGTGTATATATATGTGTGTGTGTGTGTGTATATATATATATATATATATAGTACCTATTCACTATATAAATATACAGTACATATTCACTAAGTCAATGTGCAGTTCCTTCTAAAGAATCACATTATATAAAACAAGAAGGGATTCAAATTTAGTAAATCTGTACTGGGGCCCATCAAGAGGCATTTTTAGGAACCCCTGTTGGGATTCTAATGTAGAGAGATCACTTTGAGAAAGGTTCCCATGCCTGAGTATCTCTAGAATCAGGATAGGGACACAAAGATTTTTCCAGATTTGCCTACAGCACAAGGCGATTTGCAAAGCCCCTTTGAAAAGTAAGGGTCCGAAATTCATTTACATTTGGCAAAGTGTAATTCTTTCATTCATTCTTTCTTTTTTTTTTTTTTTTTTTTTTTTTTTGAGAGTCTCACTCTGTCTCAGACTCTCCACCCAGGCTGGAGTGCAGTGGCATAATTTCAGCACACAGCATCTTCTGTCTCCTGGGTTCAAGCAATTCTCAGCCTCCTGAGTAGCTGGGACTACAGGTAAGCCCCATCACACCTAGCAAATTTTTGTATTTTTAGTAGAGATGGGGTTTCACCATGTTACCCAGGCTGTTTTTGAACTCCTGACCTCAAGTGATCCGCCTTCCTTGGCCTATCAAAGTGCTGGGATTATAGGCGTGAGCCACCACACCCGGCATAATTCTTTATTTCTAAGAATCAAAGGCTAGTAGGAAAGATGTTTTGGATACTAAACAACTCTTACCCAACTCTAGCTTGATGAGATGTCTAAATGAATATGAAACACACGGATTGAAATATAAGGTCTTTTTAAGTGAGGAGCAAAGCCCTTGGCAAAACTGGATGGCGTTATTTTGATAAAACCCAGGGTACTACAAAAAGTTTGACACACCCGGCCCATAACCGTCTGTCCTGTTTTCTAAAGGGCATGTTTCCCTTCAAACCATGTGGGTGTTACACTAAGAGAATCAAGTGTAGGACAAGAATCTCAATTTGATAGACTGAGAGTTGACCTTTCAAATTTGTTTGGACAGGCATATTTTTCTTTACTGTAGCTTGTGTTCTTTTCCAGGTTCTAAAGGGCAGTCATGAAACTCCAAAAGTTCAGTAAAAGGGATGCAGGGAAATATATATATATATACATACATATATATATATACACACACACATATGTATATATATGCATTATATATATACAGTATATATTCTATATATATTGTGTATATATATTGTGTATATATATAGTAGATATATTGTATATATTGTTACCATGACCATCCTTGTCTGACTAGTCTCAACCCAACTATCACCTCATTTGGAATGCTTCCTAACCCTAAACTATATCTAACCCTATGAGAATGCACTGTTTTTCATATTGCTGTACTTACCAACTTATTTTATAATTAGTATCTATTCTTTTCAGTGTGCCCTATGAGTCTAAGAGCTACCTGAGGACAAGACTAGACCTTATTTAAGGCTTGAATTGTTAAGTCCTCAGAAAAGTGCCTCACAGTGGATTCTCATTAAACTTTCTCAGAAAGAAAGAAAGGAGTGAGTAAGCAAGGGAGGGAGGAAGAAAGGGAAGAAGGAGAAAGTATGTGGAGGGGAGAGGAAAGGCAGAGAAGGGAGAGGAAGAAAAGGAAGAAGGAGAGAGAAAGAAAGGAGGGAGGAGTAGGGGCAGAGAAAGGAGTTGGGAAGGAAGGAGGAAAGGATACAGTTCAAAGTTTGAATCCTAATAATGGGTCTGTTTATATTGTGTTTAAGAAGAAATACATGAACAAAGTTGACTAGGACCCTTCAAATAATATTAAAATTAGATGAAAAACTGATAATGTGGCAACCCCCCCCCACCCCACACACACACACACATTCAACTGGACACAATTCTAAAATATCAGTTCATACCAGTTCACCTAAATGTCCCCCTAAAGAGCAGATTCAAAATTTTGGCCATGTTTCTCATAGACCAATCAGCAAGACTCAAATGACCAGGCCAAATGGATAGCAATCTGATTTGTTACTCTGAAAGGAGACAATCTCGGTTAGTATGGAAATAAACTGGTTTACATACAAATATCTTCTTATAAAGAGCAAAAATTTACAAAGTCATATTTTAGAAGCCATCTAATCTAACTTTTGCTTGTGGCAGATTAGGTAAATGAAGCTCAATGAAGTGTCAGAAGCGGACTATCATCTAAATCAGGGATATCCATATTGGCTTCCCTGGGCCACACTGGAAGAAAAAGAATTGTCTTTGGGATACACACAAAATACACTAACAATAGCTGACGAACTAAAAGAAAAAAAAACGCAAAAAAAAAATCATAATGTTTTAAGAAAGTTTACGAATTTATGTTGGGCTGCATTCAAAGCTGTCCTGAGCCGCATGTGGCCCGTGGGTTGACGATTGCACAAGCTTGATTGAAATGGCAATAAGTTCATAAGGAGAAAAGAATAACACAAAGCTTTAAGGTTAGATAAATTAAAAGATCTAGTTACAAATCAGGAAATTATTATCAGGTCTGCCCACACTAATTAACATTTTGAAATAATCTATAGGCAGAGAATAAGGCTTGTTTTACACAAAACCATAATGGGATGAATTTTATTGGTGGACAAAGCAAAGTTCAAATTGTTTAATTCCTTGTGGCAAGCTTGAGTCTTGGCTATTGCATCCCTACTAAATGTCGGAACAGCAACATGTAAAACTAAGACACGAGCATCAGCTATGTTTGTTTGTGTGTTTGTTTGTTTTGAGATGGAGTCTCGCGCTGTCGCCCAGGCTGGAGTGCAGTGGCACAATCTCAGCTCACTGCAACCTCCGCCTCCCGCGTTCAAGGGATTCTCCTGCCTCAGCCTCCTGAGTAGCTGGGACTACAGGCACATGCCACCATGCCCAGCTAATTTTTTGTATTTTTAGTAGAGCCGGGATTTCACCATGTTGGCCAGGATGGTCTCGATCTCCTAACCTTGTGATCCACCCGCCTCGGCCTCCCAAAGTGCTGGGATTACAGGCATGAGCCACTGCACCCAGCCTAACTATGTTAAAAATCAATAGTAATTTTGTTCTGGAATGCTATTGACAATTTCTGAACAACTATTATCTTCAAAGCATTGCACTAAGCAGTGCATGGGACACAAATACCAACAAGACTTAGACTGTGCTCTCAATAATTTATAATCTGATAGGAAATAAAGTCCCCAGATGCTTACATCTGTGGCACGCAGGATTACATGTAAAAACACATTGGAGGTGGCAGGGCCTATTTAAGTCCATTCCAAATGATAATCTGCTGCTGGTCCCAGGAGGCTGACAAAAAAATACACTGGAATTCTCTCACCCATGAGTCCACAACAGTGTAAAGAAAATTGGGCTTGAAGTTTGAATTCCAGCTCCCCTCCTTCACTAGCTAGATGACCTTGGCGATTTCAGATTAACATTTAATTAACCTGCATCTTTATTTTTATAAAATCAACATAATAATAATGATCTAAGTTAAAACATATGATTCTAGTATGCAGTATAAATATCTAATAATGATGACAATAATAATACCTAATCCTTATTAAGTACTTATTACATGCCTGGTGTTCTACATATTGTAACTCATTTAATCTTCAAAATAACTCTATAACATAGGTAATATTAACTATTAACTCTATAAGTACTGTATTTTATAGATGAGGAAACTAAGACACAGAGCGGTTAAGTAATTTTCCAAAGAGCACATAGCTACGTGTTAGAACTGGAATTCAGATCCAGGGAGACTGACTCTAGAGTCTATGCTTAAAAATGATTGTTGAAAGCATTCAGCAAGATCCCTGTAAGAAAGGAGTTGGCAAACCTTTAATAAGAAAATAACTGTCTTCAGTGCCCTTGAATTGGGACTTTTTGATGTAACACTGAAAACAGAGTGGGAAGACATGACCATCCTCACATCTAAAACAAGATGTGGTTGGGATCAATATTCCAGCCTAGTGAGATGAGGACTCAGTAAAAACCACAGAAAAATAGTTTATTTTAAATCGTATTTTAGAATTAAGCAATATTTTAAAATGTATTTCATAATAAATAAATATCCCAAAGATGATTTCACAATTAAAAAGATAAATATTAAATATTTGAGCCTGCTATATCTTCCCCTGACTTTTAATAAAGGCAAAGACATTTGCTTTGCTTGCAGTTTTTCAATAAACTATTGACAGTATGTATCTATTACAACACAATTTCATTAACTGTGAGATCTAATAATCTCAATAAATTTATCTTGAATATTCTCAGCTTCCTTGTTTTTCTTCAAATGGATAATAATTGATCTTTAATACAGAAACTTGCCCACTGTTCATCAAAATAGAGAAAAGAACAGCTTTATTTATAAATTCAGGGTTGGTATTACAATCCCTCAAACCCATTTAATTAAACAATATGATTTACTAAAGTTTGAGAACTTATGGACAAAACAAACATGTAGGAAATATGCTGTGGTTCCATGGCTTCAAAAGCCCAAAGCAAATGCACCATAACCAATCTGATCATGTCACAGAATTCCCTCATGCTAGAGCTGGGATGAATTCTAAAGATGACTTCATTCCACAGTCCTCCAATCTGCTAGTGTACTGGTATCACCTGGGAATTTCATTTTTAAAACTTTTTCTTTTTAAATTTAAACCTACAGAAAAGCTGAAAACAGTACTTCACCCAGATTCACCGGTTTTTTCGTATTTTGCTAATTTGAGATCTTTCTTGCTTTTCCGCATTTTTGGTATTATCTTTGTTCTCACATCATTTTACTTACTGAATCATTTTAAAGTAAATTACAGATATGATAACCAGATTGGATGCTGTGGTCTGACACCTATATTCCTCTTCCCTCTTTAGGACTGAACTACTAATTTTCCCCATCAGCTGAAGAGTTTTGGCAATGAACAGCTTGCAGCTGAATCCCCTTCTGGAAATTATCCTTGGCTAAAGAGACACACTTTGATGAATGTCATGTACTCTTCCCTGGGGCAGTGTACACCCAGTGACTGGCTGATGCAGTGGTATAAAGGTCTGCTCCACTTGCCCTAAATTCAGGACAACTCCGTAAAGCCATCCCAGCCCCAGAGCTCTCTGTGCCATGAGCTGAGTTCTTTGTTGTGAGAGTATCACAGCTCCCCTTTCTCCCTAATCCTACTTCCTCACTCCCTCACAAGTGTTGAGTCCTTACAAACTTGCTGAGGAACTTAACCTGGGAAAACTCTTAAATAAGTCAGTATAATTAGATTAATTATAGTATTTAAGAATTTTATATAATATAATAAGTATAATAAGAAAATTCAGAAAATTTAACATTGATGCAATATGATAATCAAATTGTCAATACCATATTTTACCAATTGTCCTAATTTGTCCTTCATGGCAATTTTATTTTTTCTAATTCAAGATCCAATCCAGACCATATATTTTATTTAGTTGTCATACTGGTTTAGTCTCTCTTAACTCTAAAAAGTTCCTCAACTTTGCTTTGCTTTGCTTTGCTTTCCCAGACACTGACATTTTCGAAGAACATAGATCAGTTATTTTGTAGGATGCCCCTCAATTTGGGTTTGTCTGATTGCTTCTTTAGGATTAGATTTAGAGTTTGGTTTTCATAATTCATCAACTGGTCATACAACTTTTTCTAATTTTTAAGGTTATACAGCTAATTCTAAAATATCTAAAAATTTCCATCATCTTTATTTGAATTACTTGGCATATGATAGGCAATCTGCTCCACTGTAACCATTTATGTTAAAGCTATGTCTTTGGATTATAATGTAATCCTTTTGGGGACACCTTAAAATAATAATTAGGTATCCAAATTTAAGGTTCTGTCACAACTACAAGGTGTTTAACTGAGGCAAGTAACTGGGTGAATAGTTATCTTCTCTGATGACTAAGTCCACTCATATAGACGTTAAGAACTATTAATGTATCACACTCCACTTCGTTGTGTAAAATTGACAAATTTCTTTTGACACTAATCACAAGATGCATCATGAATTCAGAAATATTGAAGTGTGAAGGTAATATCCATTTTATGATTGAATCATGTGCTAAATACTGCATGCATCTTATTTAATACTGCATCTCATTTAACATTCACAGCAACTTTATAAGATTGCTATTAAAAATATTCCTATTTTATGGATGAGAAAACTCAGGCTCAGGGAGGGTAAGTAACTTTTATAAGATCACATAGTGAGTAAACAGCATAGTCAATATTCAAACACAGATCTTCTATTTATTTTATACCACATATGCAATTTCTTTTCCCAGTGTAGGCTTTCCCTAATATGAGTTTTATAATTCAGATTCCACACTCTCATTTAAAAATTCTGGGGTATCTACACTACTGTATGCTCCCAAATTCCTTAAGTACCAACTAGAGCTCTGAAACTACGTTAAACATTTTGAAGAACAGAAAAAAATCTGATAGAAGCATATCAACTTTCAAGAAATGTGCAACCTTAAATAATTTACAAATGTGAATGAGCAAAAAATACAAATCACCATTAAAGTACTAAATTGTACAGGGCTGTCCTACAGAAGTGCAGAGAAAAAAAATGACCTTTAGCCAGAATAATCATTGAAGTCTATACGAAAAATTGTCGTTCCAAACAATTTTCAGTAATTTGCAGCCAGTTAGTAAATGACTTTGTTAATGAGGACAACTGACAATAATAGTAAGAAACCAATAGTTCCCTTGCAAGGAAAGGGTCAAATCTATTGAACTAAAGTTGTCACAGGTTGAGTTCCTTGGCAAATTTATAAGGACCCAACACTTATGAGGGAGTGAGGAAGTAGGACTAGGTAGAGAGGGGAGCTGTGATACTCTCATAACAAAGAACTCAGCTCATGGCACAGCGAGTTCTGGGGCTGGGATGGCTTTACGGAATTGTCCTGAATTTGCAGCAAGTGGAACAGACCTTTATAGCACTGCATCAGCCAGTCACTGGGTGTGATTGTCACTTTAGGGAAACTGGGTATCTGGAGAGAAAAAGCCAAACATTTAGACTTTATTATCATCTGAATTCCCCATCCTCCTAATTCATATGCTGAAGTTCTAACCCCTAGTACCTCAGAATATGACCATATTTGAAAATAGGGCCTTTAAAGAGGTAATTAAGTTAAAATGAGGTTATTAGAGTAGACCCTAAGCACGGGGTCCTTACAAGAAGAGGAAATTTGGACACAGATTTGTGCAGAGGGACTTGCACAGATGGAAGACCATGTGAAAACACTGGGAGAAGAATGTCATCTACAAGCCAAGGAGAGAGGGCTGGAACGTATCTTTCCCTCAATGTCCAAAACAGGAACCAACCCTGCCTACACCTTGATCTCAGCCTTCTAGCCTTCAGCACTGTGAGATGATACCTTCTTTCATTTAAGCCACCCAGTCTATGGTACTTCGTTATGGCAGCCTTAGCAAACTAATACGGATTCCTCATCAGGTTCAGATTTTGCTAAATAAAATGTGTTTGTGAGGGTGGTACAAGCAACAGTGATATATTTCTTTAAGTATTTTCCCCCAGCCAAATTCCAACAAGACAATAATGTCTAATGCACTGTCTGGTGAATCGGAAAATCTCCTGAATGAAATAAGAGCCTCTAATACCCAAAAGGGAATGAAGTGAGTCATCACCACAGCCTGTGAATGAAAATAACTGCTCTGAGAAAACACATGTAAAAAATGACACCATGTGGATTAAATAGGGAAACACAAGTATATCCAGATAAATTGGGTGTTTTCCCTGTACCAATTACAGCTATTCTATAAATCCCAGATTATAAATCTTCATTCTTGCCTTTCTCTTGATCCTTCTCAGCTAGTTTGTCATGAAATATTATTTCTTTCTTTCTTATGTCTTTATATGGTAATCCGGTTCGACCATAAAAACAAAAATCTTGGAAGCACTATTCTTTTGTTTGAAGAAAAGATTTGGCCCAACTAAGGTTCTGTTATTTCAAGTAATATTTGATCACAAATTCTATCAAAACATCAGCTGACCCAATCTCATGCCCTCGAATCCACCCATTTTGCTACCAGTTAGTTTTTAGAATGTAGCTCTGATTGGTCCCTTTCCATGTTTAAAGACTACCATTAGTCACCCACCAGCTATTGACTGAAGCCCAAAGTCCTTGATCTGGCAGAACCTTCACAGCCTAGAATCAGTTCTGCATTTTCAGACTGTAGTCATCCTCCACCCCACCACCATATACTCTGCTTGCTAATAGGTGGCTATGCTTCATTCTCCAGACACTGTTCCATAGCATGTACGTATGACACTATCATTGCACATTATGTTTATGATAGGTAATATGTCTGACTTTATCATCATATTATACTCACCTTGGAGTCTAAGACCTGGTCTTCCACTTTCTTCAGTATCACCAGTGGCAGTGGCACAGGAGTAGTAACATTCAATCATTTTTCACCTTCTCAGAGAGGCCTTCACTTAATTCCTTAGCTAGGATAATAATTCTCTCTCCCCACACCTTGTCCTGCTTTATTTTTCTTCTTGGCACTATCAACATCAGACATATGACATATATTTTCAGGGTCACGTATTTTATAATCTCTCTCTTCCCACTTGAAAATAAATTCCAAAAAGTCAGGACTTTGGCCCATTCACTGTTCTATCCTCAGTGCCTAGATATGTGGCATACAAGAGACACTCAATAAATATTTTCTGAATAAGTGAATTCATTCAGCAAATATTTATTGGCAGTTTACTATGTGCCATGAAATATTATAGAAACCAGCAATCCAGCAGTGAACCAACAAAGGCCTTTCTCTCGTGGAACTCAATACTCTCTGGAAGAAGGCAAAAGCAAAAATAAGAAAACAAAAATCTCATTTTATATAACTTCAGATAGTGCTAGTAGGTATGCAATTACTATTTCTGTAATTGAATAGAACTTACACTGATTCAGGATTCACAAATATTTTGTGAATAACTTAATTTTTTTCAGGTATTACCAAAAGTAATATATGAATTAATTTATTTTTGGAACTAAAGTCAATACAAGAATAAACTGTAAAAGAAAGCATCATAACATAATACCCCTGTAGCAATAAAAATAATGTATTTTAAAAGATAGAATTTTCAAATGTGTTACATAAAACAAGACAAAATAAAGTTTCATTAGAAGCATAGCACAGGGACACTTTTATGAAGCATATAACATCAGAAGCAGTAGAAAGCAGCTTTGACTAAGTCTTTTGATATGACACATATAAAGGGATAAAACTGGGGAGAATTTTTGTTTGTAAAATATATTAGCACTGCTTAATAAGAATAATCGTCGATTTATATAGTACTCGGAAATCCATTAATGCAAGTGATATTACAGATTGGCATACATCTTACTATCTTCAAAAAAAATCCAAACTTTGCCACAGCATTATTTGGTACCTGATATGTCAAGCCCTATATCTGTTGTCATTCTGAACTGGAAATCTAGTCTTTTATGTGGCCAAAGATATTTAGTGGTATTTTAGGATTTTAAAAAAATACTGAGCCCTAGTTATAATAGAAAAAATTCTATAACATGACTTATTAACTTGAAGTCCTCCACTTCTGATTAGCCTGGTCCAGAGGTAAAGGAGTACGAAGAGCCACCTAAAAAGCATAGTGTTTGGGAATGTGGATTGGTGACTCATATTTGGACTTCATTAATAAGAGAGGTTGGGTTCCCTAGGGAGAAAGGACTGTTATCAAAAGCTACTAGAGGCTAGAGAGTCAGAGAATCTCTTTAATAAAATATGAAAGGTGAGGAAATATAAGTAACTCTATAATCTAAATGTAACGTGGCATAAACACTTAATTCTGAACTTGTATAACTGAAATATATAGCATCTGTAAAGACCATGTTTCCAAAATTTTGTATAAGTTTCATAGAATAATGTTGAATTGATATTATTATTTTTAGCATACTAAATTTTAAGCTGGTTAATGCCAAATTCCAAGATTTTTACATTTTAATTTTATTCCTAAAGGAAAGGAAAAAGAAGAAATTCTTGAAACTTCAATAATTAATATTATTTCTACTACTTCCTTCAAATTTTGTCACAATAAAAAAATCACAGAAGCAGGAAAACAATTTTTAAAAGCAGCTCAAGGCAATTAATCATTTGAAATACAACTACTTCAAGGAAAGTCAGGACAAACCAAAATCCATCTTGGCTCATGAAAAAACAAAACCTTATTGTTTGCAAATGTCTTGAGAGACCTCTTGAGAGATCTTTATTTTTTTCTATGAGAGTACAAATAATAAATAAATATTTTTAAATGAAAATGGGTAAAAGTTTTGAGAATTTGTATTTAATACTTAGTATACCACCTTGATGTAACTACCATTTATTTATTTGTTTCCCCTCTCCCTGATTCATTTCTGTTGAGACAGATCAAAACTTCTCGAAGTTGACTAGTTTCACATGGAAGCTAGAAGACCAAATACAGGACTATACCCATAAAGAAGAGTCACCTGGCATGAGAAGGTGAAACTCATGATTACTCTACAAGTCTTCAACATGTAGTTACCTTCCATTATTTATTAATATTATTCCCACCAAAAGAGAACTCTGATCCAGTTATTCAGTGTGCCGTACTGGCTTGGAAACATTCAATACTCCCCATCACCACTACAAGCACTACAGAGATCCAAAGATTCTCACCCCTTCCAACATCCTTAACCAAAAGACATATTCAGAAACAGGAAATAACAAAAGTTTCATACTCTCTCTTTTTTATTGAGACCTCTGAAGACCTCCCACCCACCCTCACAAACACTCACACACCCATGACTAGAATTACAGTTGTTATTTCAATGGGAAGAAATGACGCGGGGCAGGAAATGAGAATCTGTTAGATGAGAAGAGCAGTCTTCTCATCCTAATATTTGAGACATTCCTCTTTCATTTTCCTATGACTCATGCTTCTTTCTTTCTGGCATCTTGTTGGAGGAGGAGGAGGAGGTGGGCAAACCCAGTGTTTTGACCAAAAAAAAAAAAATCTTAATACCAAAAGCAATAGAAAATTCCAAGAAATGTATGGAGAAAACAAGGGCTATTGGTCTAAAAATCTATAGTTAGTACAAACTGACACTGGGTAACTGGGTAGCTTCAAGTAGTCTCAGTTAACAGAATTCATGTTTGTATTGTAAAAAGGAAAGATCTAGAAAATCTGATTTAAACTAAACAATAAACTTCAAAAATAAAAGCAAATTTGTCTGTTTCTGAGATAGGGTTTTGGAGAATGATGTTCTAACATTTGTTTGTAATGGAAAAATAAGAACTAACTAGATTTGTAAATATGCGCTGACCTGACAAAAAACTCTAATGAATGGCTTATAACAGACATGGAAAGTTATGGTTGAGAAAATTTTTTTCAAAAAGAACATAACAGGGAGCAGAGAACGAAATTTAATTTTGGAAGAGTAAAATTTGCCATTTGGAGATCATTCACTCATTCAACAAGTATTTAATGAGTTCCTACCATGTACCAGACACAAACTAGGTCTTGGTTTTATGGTGGTGGGGAAAAAAAATGTCATGATCTTTACTCTTTGGCACTAATTTTTTAATACTGAAGAATAAATTTGAATGAGTATCCTTGGGGCTGTGGTGTATTAGTCCATTTTTACACTGCTAATAAAAAATCCTAGAAGAAAACCTAGGCAATACCATTCAGGACATAGGCATGGGCAAGGACTTCATGTCTAAAACACCAAAAGCAATGGCAACAAAAGCCAAAATTGACAAATGGGATCTAACTAAACTAAAGAGCTTCTGCACAGCAAAAGAAACTACCATCAGAGTGAACAGGCAAACTACAGAATGGGAGAAAATTTTCACAACCTACTCATCTGACAAAGGGCTGATATCCAGAATCTACAATGAACTCAAACAAATTTACAAGAAAAATACAAACAACCCCATCAAAAAGTGGGCGAAGGGCATGAACAGACACTTCTCAAAAGAAGACATTTATGCAGCCAAAAAACACATGAAAAAATGCTCATCATCACTGGCCATCAGAGAAATGCAAATCAAAACCACAATGAGATAGATACCATCTCACACCAGTTAGAATGGCGATCATTAAAAAGTCAGGAAACAACAGGTCCTGGAGAGGATGTGGAGAAATAGGAACACTTTTACACTGTTGGTGGGACTGTAAACTAGTTCAACCATTGAGGAAGTCAGTGTGGAGATTCCTCAGGGATCTAGAACTAGAAATACCATTTGACTCAGTCATCCCATTACTGGGTATATACCCAAAGGACTATAAATCATGCTGCTATAAAGACACATGCACACGTATGTTTATTGCGGCATTATTCACAATAGCAAAGACTTGGAACCAACCTAAATGTCCAACAATGATAGACTGGATTAAGAAAATGTGGCACATACTATGAAGAAAATGTGGCACATATTAAGAAAATGTGGAATACTATGCAGCCATAAAAAATCATGAGTTCATGTCCGTTGTAGGGACGTGGATGAAACTGGAAATCATCATTCTCAGTAAACTATCGCAAGGACAAAAACCAAACACCGCATGTTCTCACTCATAGGTGGGAATTGAACAATGAGAACACATGGACACAGGAAGGGGAACATCACACTCCGGGGACTGTTGTGGGGTGGGGGGAGGGGGAATGGATAGCATTAGGAGATATACCTAATGCTAAATGATGAGTTAATGGGTGCAGTACACCAACATAGCACATGTATACATACGTAACAAACCTGCACATTGTGCACGTGTACCCTAAAACTTAAAGTATAATAATAATAAAATTAAATTAAAAAAAAGAGACATATCCAAGACTGGGCAATTTACAAAAGAAAGCGGTTTAATGGGACTTACAGTTCCACGTGGCTGGGGAAGTCTCACAATCATGGTAGAAGGCAAGGAGGAGCAAGTCACGTCTTACATGGATGGCATCAGGCAAAGCAAGAGCTTGTGCAGGGAAACTCTCATTTTTTAAATTGGATTATGAGGAAGTCTTCTATGAGAATAATATAAACTAAAGCCTAAAAGAGAGAAAGAGAGAGTGAGGAGAAGAGAGTTTTAGGCCAAAACAAACAAACAAACAAACAAACACAAACCAACCTTCAAAAAACTAAAATAGGTATGGCTAAATAGTGAGAGAAAGTTTTTAGGAAGTTGGAGAAGCAGGCTATTGTAATAGACATGTATTGTCTTGTGTATTATGGGAAAGCATTTGAAATCCTAGAGGGGTTTTTAAAAGTCAGAGATTTAAGATTTTACAAAGATCTCTTCAAATGCTGAATGGAGAAACAACTGAATAAAGGACAAGAGTGGAAACAGAGAGAACAGATAAAGAAAAGATACAATGAGATTGTAGCTTAGCTAGTAGAAGGACAGTTAAGTTGGAGAGAAGTGAATTGACTCAAATATATTTTGGAAATTGAACAGATGACATTTCTGACAGACTGGATATTAAAGATAAGAGAAAGGGATATATCAAGAACCATTCATAGGCTTTGGCAAGAATATATAAATTGGTGGGAATTCTATTTACTGATGACAGAAAGGTGCAAGGAACAGCAGATTTGAATGGGAAATAGAATGTTTAATATTAAACATGTAAAGTTTGAGATACCTGGAAGTAATTTTAGGGGGAATGTTAAGTAAGCATTTGTTTGTTGGGTCTAGAGTTCTAAAGGGAGGAATGTGTTGAAGAGATTAAGCTACAGAGTCTTTGACATACAATTAGTAGTTAAATCCTTGGTAATGGTTGACATCACCAAGGTTAATACTCCACTGGTATGCACCAGTACAGCCAAAATGGTCCTTGACCTTTCTATACCCAGTTAGTAAATAGATCAGACTCTAAGTATGGGTTTGATAGCAGATTAGATACATTTGAAGAAAGTGTTAGTGAAATAGAAAATAAGTCAGAAGAAAATATCCAGAATAAAAAAAAAAGCAGAAAGACAAAAAGATAGGAAATATAAAAGATAGGATAGGAGATTTAGAGGATATAGTGAGTAGGTCTAACATAGGCTTAATTGGAGCCCTAAACAGAGAAGAGAGAATTGGGATAGTATTATCTGAAAGGATAATGATTGAGGAATTTCTGCGACTGATGCAAGGCATCAATCCACAGGTTGAAAAAGAGCTCCAAACCCCAACTAGGATTAAAAAGATACACAATTTAAACATCATAGAAAAACTGCAGAAAATAAAAGACAAATAAGAAATATTAAAACCAATCTGAGAAAAAGAGGCAGATTACTTTAGGAATAAAAATCAGACTGACAGCTTGCTTCTCAAAAGAAACAATGAGAACCAAAAGTTAATGGAAGGATATTGTTCATGTGCTTAACAAAAATAATTGGCAAACTAGAAAGCTATACCTCCCCAAATAAATATAGAGAATAAAGGTAAAATAAAATTATCTTCAGACAAAATCTAAAAGATATATAAACCAAACTAAAGGAAATACTAAAGAATATTCTTCAGGAAAAAGGGAAATGATTTAGATGGAAGATTAGAAATGTAGAAAAAAGGAAAACAACAAAAATGATAATATGTGGAAAGATGTAGATGAACATCGACTGTATAAATATAGAAAGAATTAAAATGCACAAAAATAACAGCATGTAACTTGGAAGGTCAGTAAATATTGCTCATTTATTCTAATTCATTCTAATTAATATAGCTACTATTAATTAATATTAGATATAATAAGTAAGGGATTCAGGCTATAAGCTCTAGAGTAATCACTAAAAACTGCAGAAAACAAAAGACAAATAGGATCTTTTTTTTTTTGGGGAGATGAAGTCTTGCTATGTTGCCCAGGCTGGTCTTGAATTCCTGGGCTCAAGCGATTGTCCTGCCTCAGCTTCCCAAAGTGCTGGGATTACAGGTGCGAGCTATTGTGGCCCACAAATGGGAAAGCTTAAAACCAACCAGAGGAAAAAGGGCAGATTACCTTTAAAGGATTAAAATTCAAATTGATAGCTTGCTCAGTAAAAGAATATAAATAGTAAAAGAATACAAAATTCCTGGATCAATTGAGGAAAAAATATAATAATAAACGAAAGTAAGCCAAGCACAGAATACAGAACAAGTGCAACAAATAGAAAACACATGGTAAGATGATATAAATACAACTATAAAAATAAATACAATACATATAAATTAAATGCTTCAATTAAAATAATGATTTTCATTTATATTTAAAAACAAACTATAGACTGTTTGCAAAAGACACAGCCAGATCATAAGAAAGCATACAGAAAAATTGAAAGAAAGGATCAAAATAATTTTGCCATGCCAACACTAAGGAAAACAAAGGTGATATAACTAAATTAACATCAAATTAGACTTTACAGCTAAAAGTATCACTGGAGATAAGAAGGATCCTTCATAATGATTAAAAGATTTAATTCACAAATAAGATATTACTATTTTGAATTCATATAAACCTAATAACATGGCCTCAAAATAAAAAGACTGACAAAAATAAGGATAAATAGACAAATCTATAATCATAGTGGCAGAGGTTTATGGTCACCTTTTAGGAACTGCTATGGTTTGAACATGGTTTGTCCCTTCCAACATTCTGTTGAAATTTAATTGCCAATGTAACAGGGTTGTGAGGTGGGGGCCTTTAAGAGGGGATTAGATCATTGTGTGCTGCCTATTCTGCTTGACCCCAAGATCTATTTTCTGCCTTTCTCAATCTCAGGAGGCTGACCACTATATTCTGCAAACTTAGCCTTCTGATAGAGTTCAGACAAGGAGAGGCACTGGTAAGAGACAGAATTGTAGGAGGAAAACAAGGAATCAGGCCATCGTTCCTTTGTTTCCTCTCTGCCTCAACGCTATAGTTGTGGCAGGGGCTATGTCCCTCTACAAGCACACCTCTTATCATAAGATCCATTCATTCCTATTAATTCTATATGCTTAGGCTCCTTTCCTGTGAATATATCAAGCCCAGTAATGGCAATGGCTTCTTATTGTTAGTACCTGAGAGCTTCAGAATCCTTTGTTGGGTTCCCTAACAACATACCTTTAGATATTTCCTTCATTAAATTCTCTACAAAATCAAAGCTGTACATACCTTTTCTTTTCCTTCCAGGACATTTGTTTCCGTTAAAGACTAATAGGATTAATAGCTCCCTGAGGAGATTCATCAAGAAACAAAAACAGAATACACAAATAATCAATGTTAGGAATAAAAATGTGTATATTACTACAGATCTTTCAGTCCTTGAAAAATTTTAGCAAAGAAAATTCATCAATTGATAAATAGAATGATGATTATGTTTAAATTGAGTTTATTTTAGGCATACAAAATTGATATACTGTTTGAAAAATTTGAAAAATTCTATGTAATTCCTATTACAGAATAAAAGATTATAGATGATCTTTTATGAGTATGAATAATCTTTTATTCTATAATAGGAATTGCATAGAAATATTTTTCATAAAAATGAAAGATTACAGATAATCTTTTATTCTGTAATAGGAATTACATAGGATTATAGAATTATTTTTCTTTTCTTTTCTTTTCTTTTCTTGTTTTTTGAGATAAGAGTCTCACTCTGTCACCCAGGCTGGAGTGCAGTGGCAGATCTCGGCTCACCACAACCTCCGTCTCCAGGGTTCAAGTGATTCTCCTGTAATCCCAGCACTTTGGGAGGCCGAGATGAGTGGATCACCTAAGGTCAGGAGTTCGAGACCAGTCTGGCCAACACGATGAAACCCTGTCTCTACTAAAAATACAAAAATATTAGCTGGGCTTGGTGGCGCATGCCTGCAGTCCCAGCTACTTGGGAGGCTGAAGCAGGAGAGTCGCTTGAACCCCGTGTTTACATTTGTAAAACAGATTTTACTTGAATGAGTAGTAAATGCTATGAAGAAAATGTCATTCAGTAAGTGTATGTAACAATAGAATCTGAACTAAAATTGGATGGTCAGAGAAAAAGAGTAAAAGTGGTTATGTATAGTTACCTTTGACAACTGGAGTCACTCATTCTCTCTTCAAATTCTCAGAGAACTGGTATGTGTTACTAATAACTAAATATTTGTTTCTCAAAATATGTGGAAAAAGTAGATAAGAGAAATATACACAAGAAAACACACTGTTTCATACTGAGTGGATAATCATTTTTACAATGTCAATGCTCAAGATTTCTTTTAGGAAAATTTTATGTGAATTCTTATTTTTGTTTAGTTTCATGTCTCTCTCAGTGTTTTTTCTGAAGCACAGCAGACTAACTGGCTGGAACAAAGCAAGGATGGGCCCATTGTTCCCATCACTTCAAAAGTTTCCCTGTGCAGAGTGCTGAATAGTTAATACCTCCAGAGAAAACTAATCAGAAGCACAGCTGTTCAACAGGAATGAGAGGTTATGGAAAGCAGAGGCTCAGGAATGACAGCAGCCAGAAAATTATGGATGATTTTCCAATAGAGTACTGCTTGAAAGTGGGCCAGGAACATTTGGTGTACTGGTCAAGTGAATGCCTCATGTTTCTTGTGACATTAGGTCCCCACAAAGATGTAACGACATTGATGAAGACTGGATGTGGAGGTACTGGTTTGTCACTACAGAACTAAGTGATGATAAAAAGTAAAGCTAGATATCACTACATTTGATATCTCCCATTTGTAAGAAACAAGTAACAGGGATCCTGGAGGCTTAACTAAGAGCAAAAATGTAACACTAAAACATGAATCTTTAAGCTAACAACATTTACACTTCTCCCCCTACCCCATCCAAATCAGAACTTTGTGGCCCACACGTTATTGGGCATAATGGGGATGGGCCTGGGAGAATGACCCACGACCATCTGGCCAAACACAGCTGCAGAAAACAAGCCTCATCATCTGGAAAAAGCTGTGATGGACAGAGAATTGGAAGGGCTGCCAAGAGAAATGGTGGATTCCTCACTAGAAACACTAGAAACACTCGGTATGGGGCCACTCCAACACAGGACAGGCTTTTCCAGTGATGACTGATGCAGGTTGTCCTTTAGGACCTGTCTCTCACGTTACAGTGGGGAAGATGAACCATTAGAGTCATATAATTACTTCCATAGACTTTTTTGGAAATTCAGGTTTTCTGACACAAAATTGGCCTCACACAGCTCCTGTGAATGTCAACACAATTCAAATGCTGGAAAGTGGAGAGCAGTCAGTACAAATAAGTTCTGTTGCTTAAATTCAGCCCTGTCCTCATTTAACATCAGGTCAGCATCAAATGATCTCTGATTTCCTTTCCAGACAAACTGTATAGTTTCCTTTTTCATCAATTTCAAGTAGAGGTAAAAAAGACCACCAAAACTCGGGAGGCTGAGGCAGGATAATCGCTTGAACCAGGGGGTCAGGGGTTGCAGTGAGCCAAGATCGTGCCACTGCACTCCAGCCTGGTGATGGAGCTAGACTCCGTCTCAAAAACAAAACAAAACAAAAAACCCCACTAAAAACAAAAATGTCATCATCACCCTAGCCAAGAGCAAGTGTGAAAAATAGTACACAATCACTTCAAGGTCTTCACAGGAAGCCGAGTGCCTGTGCCTTCTGCTAGTGTTTTAAGAAAAGAAAACTGATAACAAACACCATTTGCCAAGACAAAGGCATAATTTTCTTTGTCAAGATTTTGTCTGGAGTGAAGAATATGAAGGGAAAAAAACCTAAACATGTGGCATAGGTTCTACACAAATGTATCTGAAAAGGAACCTTCTACCACATGCAAAGGAGAGTCTGGTTAGAGGGTGAGAAGCTGCAGTTCTGAGTTTTGGATCTGGGAATGAAGTGCTAGTGCGAGTTGACACCTGTGAAGGTAAGAACAGACTGGAAGAGAACTAAGTAAGGAGAGCAAAAAGTGAAAAGTCCTGGCCAAGACTTTCATTCATTCAAGAAGTTTTACAATACCCATACATCAATTCAATTCAGTTCAAAACAATGATTGGCCATCTACTACAAGTCAAGCACATGCTAAGCACAGTTGAGGGTACAAAGTGAAATAACACGTGATATATCTAAAAAATGTATAGTCTCAGAAAGAAAACTGGTACGTTTTTATGAGTGAAGAGATAGTCCAACTCACTATTCACTTTAGAGGGACTTGAACAAAATGGCATACTAAAAGGGCAGAATTTAGAGTCACCAGACCTGGATTCAAACCCCGACTGTAGCAGTTATAAGATTTTGGGTAATTCACTCAACATTTCTGGCCTTACTTTTCTCACTTGTTAAATAGGAATGATATTTTGCTTGCCTATAGAATGGGTTGAAATGAAGGTGTGTGAGAACTGCAAAGCTCAGACACATGGTTGCTCATAATGGTATCTCACCTAACTACCATCTATTCTAACTCTACTGTGCTGCACCTCACATCCCCAAACACCTCCCAGTCTGCCCACCCTTTCCTTTGCCTATGTAGCCCTCTTACTTGTCTTTCCAGAACTCACATCTTAGGTTAGCTCCACCTGGTAGCTCTCCCTGACCCAAACCTCACCCTTAGAAAAAGATATAGTACACACCCTAATCATATCATTAACAAACTACATTGTAATTCTGTGCTTACTTCCAACTCATTGGATTATGAGCTCCGAGATGGCAGAAACCATGTCTCATGCCTCTTTAAATCCCAATTTAAATCTTTAAATCCCAAGGATTTTCCTTGTAGTGGTGATGGATTTATTCTTTACCCAGTCTTCTTTATAACCAGTAGTACATAGCCAGGTTAGGAATAAAGTTTGTGACCATAAAAGAGGATGAACAACTACCCTCGCACAGCTCTCCTCAGGTCATTAATGGTATGTGCTAATTTCAGTACAACCCAGATAATACACAAGTATGAGGGTCATTATGAATTCATCTAATAAATTGACCACAGGAAGGTACCTAAGAGGTTTGCCTTACTTATTAAAAATACTTCTTTATTTACAACATAAGTAGTATTAATCTCAGCAAGCAAAAACCATAAGAGGATTCATGAAGAGAAAGCTGATGAAAAAGAAGTTCAATCATGTTCCTAATGACATACACAGCTTCCTAAGAACACACCATTGAGTGGTAAGTCCCCTTCTAGATCCTAGGATTAGGGTTCACATTAAGTGAACCAAGTATTGACCAAAATTGAAGATTTTCCTTGTACTTCAGTTTCATCTTTAAATTCTCCTCTTCAGCAGAAAGATACTTGTAGAAAGAATTTCAAATAGGAGGTAAATAGACATACAACGCAAGCCTTGACTTGTTGCTGAGCACAGTAAAACAAGCTGCAGTCTCCCCCAGGGCTATTAAAACTAAATGCTTGAAAGTAGCACAATAAATGTACAATTTAATATAGTATAAATTTGCTTTATATTATAGAACTAGAACCTTGAAAATTCATTGCAATTAATAACCAATTTTTATGGAAAGTTAAAATTACATTTGTCTCTCCAATTTTAAATGCAAATATTTCAAATAATGCTTGGAAACTGGCAAATGGGTCATTTATAAAGTTACTAGTTTTTAGCTGATGTGTCTGCTTCTTGATCAGTAGACTTGACTTCAGTGAAAAGCAGCTAATACACAATAATCTGTTAAAAGACCAATGGCCTACCTCTTTATAGCTGAATGAATGCTACAGAGAGCAGGTTATTTCCACTTGCTTTCATCTCCTTAGTGAATGCAGAATCTGAAATAGGTGTTTGAATACACAGGGTTTGGTTGACCAGGGCCACATTTTGAGGGCAGGGCTATCTGAATGAGAATATGATCATTCTATAGTTATAAGAAGTACAAACTATCTTATAAAAATATAATATTTCATATGGAATTGGACATCAGAAGAGACATTAATCATTACAGAGTACTCAAAAGTCAAGTTTAGCATAAAAATTATTACTCTATATTTTCAGCTCTTGGCAATTTGAAGCCTTATTTTAAAGGATCTTTTAATGTTAAAGAGGTCTTTCCAGACCATACGTCTGAAAATGAAAATAAAATATCCAAACGTACTCTATCAGATTTTACTTTTTGGTAGACAGACATTGGAAATAAATTTATAAACAGAAAAATGTGCTAGCTATAATAAATAAAAAATTGGAAAAAGTAGTTCTTTCCATCTCTCTCTCTTTTTTTAAACAAAGGCTGCCTATAAACTCCACATCCTTCCCCAAATATACTTTGGCACTGCTAGGGAAAGCATTTCTGGTATGTAACAAATCACAACCAATTGTTCTGTTATGGAATAAAAAAAGTCAATATTTTGCTGTCATTGCTAAAAATTCTACAATAAAAGCAGCCTTTCACTACCCACAAGCTAATACTTTCTAGCAAAAAGAATTTGTTTATTATACTATTTGTTCCCTCTTAAGAGGGAACAAAAGCATCCTAAATTTGTTTCCCAAAATAAAAATAGAAAGATGGAGCTTCTTTGATATTAGCTCATGAACAAACTAAAACACAGAGGACAGAAATAAATCAATAAATCTATTCTATAAAAAATTTCTTAATAAAATATAAAATTCTGGTTATGCAAAGATGCTATCATTGGGGGAAGTTGGTAAATGGTGCACAAGAATACTCTACTATTTTTGTAACTTTTAGTGAATCTAAAATTATTTCAAAACAAATGCTAAAAAAGCAGAGTTACCATTTCACCTATCCTGGCCTGTATCCTATATATGAAAGTACTGAGTGAGTAGAAAAGTCTTTTGCCATTCATCATTGCAAATGCCCACCTAGAACACTAAGGTTTAGAGTTTATACATTTAGAATGCTATAGTCCACGTAGCCTCTGAATAGAGGAAGCAGTACCACAATGAATAACAGACATAACAATACTTTTAGTCACTTGCCAAAGAAAAGACGCTTGCCAAAGAAAAGACTCTAACTGGAGTGAGCTCTGACAGAATTATTAGTCATCCTCAGAAATTCCATCAGCACAATCACTATGGATAATAAATAATCATCTCAGGGTCAGTCAGAAGAAACATATAGAATCTCAGGAATAAAAAAATTGCATATTGCCTGTAATCCCAGCACTTTGAGAGGCCGAAGAGGGTGGATCACCTGAGGTCAGGAGTTCGAGACCAGCCTGGCCAATATGGTGAAACCCCGTCTCTACTAAAAATACAAAAAATTAGCAGGCCATGGTGGCAGGTGCCTGTAATCCCAGCTACTAGGGAAGCTGAGGCAGGAGAATCGCGTGAACTCCAGAGGCGGAGGTTGCAGTGAGCCAAGATCACGCCATTGCATTCCAGCTTGGGCAACAAGAGCAAAACTCCGTCAAAAAAAAAAAGAATTGCATCTTACCCATGGGGCAGATCTAAACCGCTATTGTTCACCCATATTCGTGCACTAGTATATTCAGTGAAATTTTGAGCTATGTACAAAACTGAGCAAACACAAGGTGTATATATATATATAATATAACATAATATATTATATATATTATATTTATGTTATATAATATATAAATATATTATATATATAACATAAATATAATATATATATTATATTTATATTATATATTATATATATTTATATATAATGTGTGTATATACATATATATATATACACACATAAAAATTATATCTGTTTGGGACAGAAAAAATAGTAAATGTGCTTATCCTAGGAGCTTTAAGTTCTTTTCTAACAAATCTGAAGGTGAGCTACAATTTTCTATTCTTCTTTTTCTATTCTTCTATTCTTCCCTCACTGTTTACAAATGAAAGTAATTCACAGCTACCCTGCACCCTGAGCTCTGTATATTTTCTTTTTTTAAAAAAAAAAAGTCAGCGTCCCTATAGGAAACAGATGGCACACTGAAGGCAGAAGAGTTTGAGGATGCTTTATTTATAACAAGATGTATACAATGTGTGGAAGGATGTGAGGGGAGAGGCAGTAAGTAGGTCACTTGAAGGCTCACAACGCCCAAGGATCTGTTAATACTCCTAAGCACAGTGGAAGGGGAGTGAGGTGACCGTAACCCAAGAGGAAACTCGTCATGTCAGATGGTCACCTTTGAAAGAGAGACAGCCACTGAAAGTAAACTCAGGAAAAATGCCCAGAAATATGAGCAAGGCTCCCACTGACCAAAAGCATCCAGAAGCTAGAGGCACCAGAGTCTGACTAGTCTATACCTATCAAGTTTCTAGGGGCCAAAGCGGGGTGAAGCAGGTATGAATAAAAAGAGACAGATCTGGAGAGGTGACTCCAACCTAGCCAGTACACCTTTGACACCTTATGAACAGTGTGCTAAACTCATTCTTGTTTTCATGGTAGCAGAAATGAAAATAATAATGTAAATCATCAAATATGAAAAAATACAGAATGTAATATCTACTATAGACATTCAAAATACATTTGTAATCTCTGATACTTGTGTAAGATAACCTCCAAGTGTTAGTGTGATTTTGGGAAAACATTTTAACTTTAACCTAAATAAAGCCAATTAGTGAAGATATACCTGATTTTATAAATACAGTTGTGCATTGCTTAATGACAGGGAAATGTTCTGAGAAATGCTTCATTAGGCAATTTCATCACTGTACAAACATCATAGAGTGACTTCACAAACCTGGATGGTACAGCCTGCTACACACCTAGGCTATAAGGTGTGAACTATTGCTCCTAGGCTATAAACCTACACAGCATGTTACTGTACTGAATATTGTGGGCAACTATAACATTATGGTAAGTATTTGTGTATCAAAACATACCTAAATATAGAAAAAACACAGTGAAACTATCTTTTAAAAGATAAAAAATGGTACACCTGTATAGGGCACTTACCATGAATGGAGCTTGCAGGACTGGAAGCTGGTCTGGGTGGGTCAGTGAATAAGTAAGTGGTGAGTGAATGGGAAGGCCTAGCACATTATTGTACACTACGGTAGACTTTATAAACACTGTACACTTTTCCTACATTAAATGTTATTTTAAAAATGCTTTATTCAATAATAAATTAACCTCAGCTTACTGAAACTTTTTTACTTTATAAACTTTTTGATTTTTTTAACTTTTCGATTCTTTTGTAATAACAGCTTAAAACAAAAACACAATTGCAGAGCTACACAAAGTATTTTTTCTTCATATTATTATTCTATAAGCTTTTTTCTATTTTTAAAATAATTGTTTTTAATGTTTTAAACTTCATTTAAACTAAGACACAAACACACTGGCCTAGGCCTATGATATCAGTGTCTTCTGCCTCCACATTTTGTCCCACTGGAAGGTCTTCAGGGGGAATAACATACATGGAGCTGTTATCTCCTATGGTAACAATGCCTTCTTCTGGAGCACTCCTGAAGGACCTGCCTGAAGCTGTTTTACAGATAACTTCTTTTTATAAGTAGAAGAAGTATACTCTAAAATAATGATTAAAAGCATAGTATAATAAATCAACCAGTAACATAGTCATTTATTGTCATTATCAAGAATTATGTACCGTACATAACTGTATGTGCTGGACTTTGATATACCTGGCTGTACAGATTTGTTTATATCAGCATCACTACAAACACAGAAGTAATGTGCTGCACTATGACATGGCAACAGCTACATCATTGGGTGACAGAAATTTTTCAGATCCATTATAATTTTATGGAACCACCATAGTATATGTGGTTCACCACTGACAGAAACATCATTATGTGGTATGTGACTGTACACATATGATTGGTTGCAAAAATTAATAAATGGTTTTAAATTATCTTGCTTTTTTATTATCTCAGCCACCAAACACTGACATTACCATGAAGACTCAGTAGTTTCCTAATTATATCCTACATATTGTTTTAAAAAAACCATCCTTGTGTGTCATATTCTAAGAGGTAGGAGATAGAGAACCAGGCAAAGCGTTAAAGATGCAAGGGTGGGATTCCACATCATACATCATTCCTGTGGAGATACATCATGTTAATTAATATCGCTTTTTCCATTTACAAAAACAAACCATGCCTCTCAGATAAAGACTTGAGAAGATATGATGATATTAATTTGCTATTTCTGTCTAGTAACTGGGGCCATAGTGAGATCCCACAAATAGATTTACTCAGGACATACATCAATTAGTGTGGTCATTTTTTGAAAACACCAAGAGCTAAAAATAAATTCAAGTGCCTTCTTATTTTCTTTGAAACATTTTTCGTTTTCTCAAGATAAAATATTTGAAATAAATTAACAGAATCTAGTTTGTTGCCTAGTCCAGCATTGTCCCTCCAAAGGGAGGCTTAAAAAAATATATGCTGAATGAATGACAGTGGTATTCCCCAATTCTGAGGACTTTTAACATTTACAGTGTGTGTCCTACAACCAAGGACTTAACAATTAACTGTGTGATAGGATTAAAATACCATAGTTTTGTATCAGCTACTGTATTCTGCCATCCCAGGAATTTAACTTTCCTGTGTTTAAAAAATAGGAGGGTGGCGGGAAAAAGGGTCAAATGTCTGCTGAATACAGGAAATCCATAGCAGGCTGTAAACCAGAAAACATCAAAAGCTGCACCAGAAACTCTGGACAGATGAAAACTGTGAGACTCCATTTCTTACTACTGTTTAATGAGAAAGGCAATAAATTCAACATGAAAACCACAACTTGTACTCTCTCGTCAGGATCTCCTCAAAAATATGTGCAGAAAAGATGGTTAAAATGCTTCCAGGCTTGCCTGGGAAGAAAGAAAATATGTGTTTGGGTCATACTCAAATATAGCACCAGACATACTTGTTCCCAACACCTGGAGATGTGACCATGAGGAAACTGTCACAGTGAGGGCATCTAATTGGCATCAAACTTCAAGAAGAACTAAGACACGAAAGGAAGTCTGAATATCCTGCCAAAATACCATCGGGTGCAGAAGATTAGAGGTGGTCTGCTATGGTATGAAGTGACCTCAGGAGATTCTGGCTGATAGCAACTGATTCCCAGGGCTGAGAATTTCAGAGCCAATTAAACATTCATATGGTAGAAACCTTGGAGGTCTGACCATATCGAATATTTTCAAACTCCTAACCATATTGTGGGAAAGTCTGAGTGGAAATTAAAGAGGTGACATGACTGGACTCCCAGACAAATAAGACAAGTATGTGGCTGCCTATCAGATCAAAATGATTCCCCACATGGAAAGGATTCTCTAAGTGTGGCCAGACTTGTAAACTAGAGCCAACAATTCTCCAGTCTTACATTATAGTCAGACAAAAACAGTGTCCTAAGAAGAAAGAGCCAAAAATCTCGCTGCAACTTTTCCCCTGCCCTTGATTCTTCTTTGCTCATCAGGTGACTGGTTTTGTGTTGTGCGCCTCTCTGTGTGCTTAGTGCACAGCTGTGCATTGTATAAGAACATATAAAAGGCTTGTGCTGGTGCCTATTAGCAGCAACTTTCCTGAGAGGGACAGGGTTAGGGAAGAAAATCAGTATGAGCTTACTTTTCTGTCTCCACATCTCAGTTATTATGAAGAGATAAAATTTGATGAAATGAGGATTAGGAGCAGTGATTTTAAAATGATATCAGAAAATTGCAGCTTGAGGGTGAAATGAGAGAAATTCTATCCCTTTTGGCATAAAATGGCAAAACTGTGGATTGATTATATTTGTGTAAGTCCTTTTGTGCATCTGTTGGCAGGATGACTTCCTTCTTCCCATCACCCACTTCCCTAAGTCATTTCCCTGACACTAGCACAAAAAATAGAGATGAAAGTTTAGGGAAAATTCTTTTACTATCTAGAGATAGCTCTGATCATAGACATGACTATGCTTTAATAAGAACAGTGAATCCTGAAGCAGACAGTAATGAAAACAATCCAGGATTCCAGCTTATAATTAAGCATGCTTAAGCTTTAGTGATAATTACCATGGAGATTTTAATTCCCCTCAGCCAATTAGCTTAGTTAGTGAGTGCAAGCGAAACCGAGGTCATGGTTTTCTGTACTTTATAAACCAAATCTGGATTTGATTAATTCTGTGACTACAGGCTATACTAGCATTTTCTCAAATTGTACCAAAGACAATGGGCAAACCCACGTAGGTTAGAAAGAAAACAGTCTAAAATGCCCAAACTTATGGTCAGAAGCCTAGGTTGAGATATTGGTTTCCCCAGTGACTACTTATGCAGCCTTGGGACAACTCAATTTTTCTGAGGCTCTGTTGCTTCACCTGAGAAATGAATATTTAAAATATCTTGTCTTAAAGAACTGTTACAAAGATCAAGTGGGTCAATTATATGAAGACACCTCATAATGTATAGTCAACTACCTCCCATCCAAGTACTAACCAGGCCCGACCCTGCTTAGCTTCCAAAATGAGACAACATCGAGCGTATTCAGGGTGGTAGGTATAGCCATAGACATTCCTCCAATAACTGGTATGAAAAAATAAATTGTTATTGAGGAATCAGCTGACTTAACATTATCTTAGAGTGAAAAGTAGCACATCTAAATTTGCATAAAAGACCACTCTAATTATGTAAATACTTGTTGAACTAAAGAAAGAAAGTGATATGTCAGTAATTTCAAATAAACGATTCCTTTGCAAGTCAATTTCCTAGCCCTGTGGTTTCCAAGAGGTGTTTTCGTACAAGCCCAGGGATCTTTGAAGAAGCAGCAGCTCAGAGGAAAGAGAAAGACAAGTAAACAGAGCTCCAGAACTCTCACCCCTGACTTCAATCAGAGCACCTATTGGTATATACAAGATTTTCAAACTTGCAAACGTTTACCATAAATATTCAGCTCTCCAGATTGCTTTGTGTGTCCTAATACCCAGATCCTGCCTAGTGAATCTCTGCCGTATCCCAGCATTTCTTTGGCATACCTCTCTTAAAATTTAAGAGGAAATATTACTGATGGTATAGTTCACCAAACATCTTAAATCTCAGACAGGTATGTTGTGTCTTTGTTCTCGTTGGTTTCAACGAACATCTTTATTCCTGCCTTCATTTCGTGATGTACCCAGTAGTCATTCAGGAGCAGGTTGTTCAGTTTCCATGTAGTTGAGTGGTTTTGAGTGAGTTTCTTAATCCTGAGTTCTAGTTTGATTGCACTGTGGTCTGAGAGACAACCCCATTGTCTCAGCCCAAAATCTCCTTAAGCTGATAAGCAACTTCAGCAAAGTCTCAGGATACAAAATCAATGTACAAAAATCACAAGCATTCTTATACACCAATAACAGACAAACAGAGAGCCAAATCATGAGTGAACTCCCATTCACAATTGCTTCAAAGAGAATAAAATACCTAGGAATCCAACTTACAAGGGACGTGAAGGACCTCTTCAAGGAGAACTACAAACCACTGTTCAATGAAATAAAAGAAGATACAAAGAAATGGAAGAACATTCCATGCTCATGGGTAGGAAGAATCAATATTGTGAAAATGGCCATACTGCCCAAGGTAATTTATAGATTCAATGCCATCCCCATCAAGCTACCAATGACTTTCTTCACAGAATTGGAAAAAACTACTTTAAAGCTCATATGGAACCAAATAAGAGCCCGCATCGCCAAGTCAATCCTAAGCCAAAAGAACAAAGCTGGAGGCATCATGCTACCTGACTTCAAACTATACTACAAGCCTACAGTAACCAAAACAGCATGGTACTGGTACCAAAACAGAGATATAGATCAATGGAACAGAACAGAGCCCTCAGAAGTAACGCCGCATATCTACAACTATCTGATCTTTGACAAACCTGAGAAAAACAAGCAATGGGGAAAGGATTCCCTATTTAATAAATGGTGCTGGGAAAACTGGCTAGCTGAACGTAGAAAGCTGAAACTGGATCCCTTCCTTACACCTTATACAAAAATTAATTCAAGATGGATTAAAGACTTAAACGTTAGACCTAAAACCATAAAAACCCTAGAAGAAAACCTAGGCATTACCATTCAGGACATAGGCATGGGCAAGGACTTCATGTCTAAAACACCAAAAGCAATGGCAACAAAAGCCAAAATTGACAAATGGGATCTAATTAAACTAAACAGTTTCTGCACAGCAAAAGAAACTACCATCAGAGTGAACAGGCAACCTAACAGAATGGGAGAAAATTTTTGCAACCTACTCATCTGACAAAGGGCTAATATCCAGAATCTACAATGAACTCAAACAAATTTACAAGAAAAAAACAAACAACCCCATCAAAAAGTGGGTGAAGGACATGAACAGACACTTCTCAAAAGAAGACATTTATGCAGCCGAAAAACACGTGAAAAAATGCTCATCATCACTGGCCATCAGAGAAATGCAAATCAAAACCACAATGAGATACCATCTCACACCAGTTAGAATGGCGATCATTAAAAAGTCAGGAAACAACAGGTGCTGGAGAGGATGTGGAGAAACAGGAACACTTTTACACTGTTGGTGGGACTGTAAACTAGTTCAACCATTGTGGAAGTCAGTGTGGCGATTCCTCAGGGATCTAGAACTAGAAATACCATTTGACCCAGCCATCCCATTACTGGGTATATACCCAAAGGAATATAAATCATGCTGCTATAAAGACACATGCACACATATGTTTACTGCGGTACTATTCACAATAGCAAAGACTTGGAACCAACCCAAATGTCCAACAATGATAGACTGGATTAAGAAAATGTGGCACATATACACTATGGAATACTATGCAGCCATAAAAAATGATGAGTTCATGTCCTTTGTAGGGACATGGATGAAATTGGAAATCATCATTCTCAGTAAACTATCGCAGGGACAAAAACCAAACACTGCATGTTCTCACTCATAGGTGGGAACTGAACAATGAGAACACAAGGACACAGGAAGGGGAACATCACACTCTGGGGACTGTTGTGGGGTGGGGGGAGGGGGGAGGGATAGCATTAGGAGATATACCTAATGCTAAATGACGAGTTAATAGGTGCAGCACACCAGCATGGCACATGTATACTTATGTAACTAACCTGCACATTGTGCACATGTACCTAAAACTTAAAGTATAATTAAAAAAAAAAAAAATCTCAGACAGGTCTAAATTTGGTCACCGGAGTGAAGAATAAATACTCTGATGTCTCTAAAGACTTTACTTGGGTTGCCAAATTCTCTCTGACAGGCTCTGGAAATACAAATGGAAGGGCTTTAAGTATTATTTCCTACTTTTCCCAGTACTTCTTTCTGTATGTGCATACAGACAAGCGGGCCATCTCAGGAGGGTGACTGGAAAAGTAGCAGGAGCAGTGGACTGGGAGTCAGCTCTGGGACCAACTCATGACGTGACCTTTGACCGATCTCTAGACCTCTAGATTTAAAAAAAAAAAATTGACTGAGCATCTCCTCAGGCGTTTTTATGGCAGAAATTCTATAAGCTATGTATTAATGACTTTTATAATAAATTAAATAAAACAAATAAATTTATTTAAGGAAATTACCCTGGCATAAGTCCCTAGCTGTTGCAAGGCTTAATTTTCTCCACTACACTGTGTAGGATATAAAATATGCTAAGGCTTCATGAGCAATATAGAAACACTCTGGTGACTGGCTCTAAGATTTATCATGATGGCTGCAGCTTGCTGTGCTGGAATAACTTTCCTTGGAATGGGAAATACAATAGCTTATCATTTTCTTATAGAGTTAAGAATGGTTTTGCTTTTTGAAGAAGAAACTGACTCCGTAAGAAAACTGTAGGATAGTGTCTTGTTAAACCACATTCTTCATGCCAATAATTGAAGTTATATGGATTCAAGAATATTGTTTCTCTTTAAACTGATGCACATGATTTCATTAAAAATAAAATTTAGCATGGAAGATGTTTAAAAATACACAGATTTGCTTATTCTTCTCAAGAGCAATGAACTCAAACTCGACTCTATAATCATCATAAATAAAGATTCTGCTTTGCTATGTGCTTTATCTTGGCGCTAAGAAGAAAAACCTTCATCTATTTATATTCAGTCTGCTCCTATCTTTTTGTTTATTTAGACTTAGATACAACAGTCCTTTACTTGCTTGTCACTACCATTGCTCACAACTTTTTCTAAAAGCCAAAATGCTGTCAGAAACCCAAACTTCATCCATTCATTAATCTTTCGGCGCCACAACCTGGGAGGTCAGTATCTGGTCACTGTCTTCAGTTTCATATGATATGCAATATTTATATCACGTGGATCTGATCTAAATAGCCTAGTCTTGGAACTCAGTCTAAGAAGGTCATTTGGCTTACAAAATACTACTTGGCCTACATAATAAACACTGGTCCAGCACACAGGAACTACGCTGCCCTTTACTCATTCTTCCCAGTGCCCCAGACCTGACCATGGAAGAAAAAATAAGTAGCATTAGCTACCTATCTATATTTCAGGAAGTAACTTTTTATTCCAAAAGAACATTTCTCATTGCCTGTCACTACTCCTTTGTATCTTGCATTCTTTTGCATCTTGAAGGTTTTGGATTCTTTAGGAATTCCCCTTAAAATTGAGATGTCAGAGACAAGGTGAAGTTAAGGAGGTTGGGGTTCGGGGGTAGGTGGATTATTGTAGCAACTCAAGAGTTGAAGAACTGAAGAATCTGAAAAATGAAAGAAAGGTATATGCTGAAGGAAGGTGTGAGAAATCACCAAAAATCAACATTGCTATCTCATAATTTTGCCAAAAACCAGCCTTCCTATTATTTATCCCTGCAAAAAAAATGTGAACCAGTTTGCTTTCAGCAAACACTAAATTTCTATGTTCAAAAAGTAAGCAAAACATCTCTAAATAATAAAAATTAGTGACATATCTTACTTTATTCTGCCGACTTAGCAGTTTTCTGAGAAATCAATGAAAAGTCACTGTATTTGACCATCTTTGGAGTTTTCCTCTAAAGTGAGACAATTAATAATAAATAATAAAACGTGAATGGTGGCAGCTTCTGATCGTTCTCTTCCCGACCCAGTTTATCAGGGTGTTTCATTCAACTCTCACAGCTAGTCCATTAACCTTGTGGCATTCAAAATGGTATTTGCAGATCACTGTATTTCCAGGTACTCAATTTCCATACATTCTTTTTATTAAAGCTGATCTGCCTGAGGATATGCCTGTGGTGCTCGTTTATAATCTCTTTCTCCCTCCCACAAAAGATAGGCAAACTTTTTACCCATCCAGAATCTTACCCTAGTTTGTGGCCCACAAATGTCAAAACTTCTGGGGCACCAAACAAAGCAACATTTTCAAATATCAGTATCAGCTTTTAGAAAATGAATTATTCTGACAGGGAAGCAAAACCTTTGGAAAATATGATGGTTTCAAATTCTTTGCTTTTAGCAAAATTGAAGGAGAGCCAAAATCAACTTGTCAGCTGATAAATCATTAAAATTAATCTTGATGAAAGTTAACTTACATGAATTTTGGCATTTATTGCAAAAAAAAAAAAGAACTAAGTGAATACTGCTCTAATATCACACGGAATAACACTGCTATAACAAACTTATTCCATTCCATTCTTATCTACTTATTTGTATGAATAAGATTTATAGCATCTACGCATTTAAAAATTAACAGAAATAAAACTGATGCTAAATCCCATTTCATCCTAGCAATAAATAGTAAACATAGACACATGAATTGATTGGGAAAACACCTGACCCATCTAATAATGGTAATAAAGTATGCCTAAGAAAATTTTACTTTATGTTAACAATTATATATTATTTTAAAAATATATATTTATCTTGTACTAATCATGTAGTAATAATATTGTAATGATAATGCAATTCAGGAGAATGTTTTAAATACTTAGAGCCTTATGGTCACAGAAAATTCACTGTTTTAAGTTTTATAAGAATGGACATATGTCTTAAGAGGTATGTAATGAGTGATCCATAAAGTAAAGCAAGCATAAAACTATTTACATTATGATTTATGAAAGAAAAATGCAATGAAAATTATAGTTCCAAGAGAGATATAAAATTTCCAACTGTTAAAAAGAGCTTATGCAAGTATTTTTAAATATATGATTGCCTTTTATTATAATTGCACTTATATGCCACTGAACATATTCTAAAAAGTCATACAGTAGTTTTGTTTTAGTATGTCAATATTTATAATAATACAGTGACAATTCCATCATTTGCAACTATTTTACTTCTTCTTTTTTTTTTTTTTTTTGGGATGCAGTCTCGCTGTGTCGCCAGGCTGGAGTGCAATGGTGCCATCTCGACTCACTGCAACCTCCGCATACTGGGTTCAAGTGATTCTCCTGCCTCAGCCTCCTGAGTAGCTGCGACTACAGGCGCGCACCACCACTCCCAGCTAATTTTTTTATTTTTAGTAGAGAGGGGGTTTCACCGTGTTGGCCAGGGTGGTCTCAATCTCTTGACCTCGTGAACCGCCCACCTCAGCTTCCCAAAGTGCTGAGATTATAGGTGTGTGCCAGTGCTCCTGGTCAACCATTTTACTTATAACAAAAATTTTGAATGTCAACAATATGCAAGGAGGTTAATAGTTTTTCAAAATTCTCTTAGAAGTAAAAAAGCAAAATTCTTTGATACTATCATATTCTCTAATGTTAGGGCAATTCTGTGGCATTTTCAGCAGCTTATAAGCAAATTTGCAAAAGACAATAAGGCTTGAAGGCTGAGACCCATTGGAACCATTTGTGCTTCCACTATTGATCTAAAATGCCAGCATAGTCTCAGAGGCCTCATCGGTATCTGAGAGACTGTATGTGAGTTCTGTTTCAAATGCTTAATCCATGTTTTCACTTTATTATCAAAGAATTAACAGTATTTCACCAAATCTTACATGAAGTTATTTCCTCTTTTAATTTGTATGCAATACCATCATCATTAACAGTGTGTCACAAAGAGACATGAGCACTTAGAGGAAACAGAACACTCTCCAGAGTCTCTACTCCCAGCTCAGCCACTTCTAGCTGAGTGAACTCAGATAACTCTGTTGAGCTCTGAAATCTGTCTTTCAATCTGTAAAAGAAAAGAAATTAATATCTGCCTTGCTACTTCACTGGGTTTTTGTAATAAATGATGTTGTATTTCTTACTAAACTGTAAAGATCTATGTAAAACTTAAATACTATTTTTAGTGAAAAAGTGATTATTGGTTATCTACTCTCTAGCACTATGCTACACACTACTGGGAAATAAAAATACATATTCCCATTTTCATGCTTAAGAAGCTTCCAAACTACTTACAGAACGCAGAAGTGAGAAGGAGGATGGTGCAGTAAGAATAAAATCACATAAAATAGAAAGCAATACTGCTGGTCTGACATTTCTCTTGCCTATTCTTTTCTTCAACAACAGATAACATTCTCTGGCTAACGGTGATTAAGCCCCAGGAAACATATCCAAGACACGTAAGAATACTTTTCAGCCTTCTAACACAAGTATGAACTGTAAGAAAAAGAGAGCTGCATGCTCTTTTACCATCTCAACTTCCCCCAAATTAAAGAGACTTGAATGTAAGGCAAAGTTTGTTTTTTTCAGCTTGTGCATATATTTGTATATTTATTTGAAAACTTTGGCCTTTTTACAAAGAGGGAAACTAAATGAAAATGAGGCATTGCCGACAGAGGCTATTCCCCTAAAATAATAAGTAAAATCAGTCGAAATAAAATGTACTCTATTTACTCATTGAACACATCATTAATGAACAGCAGAGAACATGACAGAACAGATCTCTCCCTTCATGGAGCTTATGTTCCAATGAAATTAGAGAAACAATAAACAAGTAAACAAAAAAAAAATAAGGTATTTCCATTTAGAGATTAACATGGGGGTTAGTGACATACAAAGGTCTAGGGAAAGAGTCAAGAGATAGGAGAGAAAAAAGAAGTCCAAAATCTGCCAACCAAGAATATACTGAGGATGCCCAAATCACAGAGAGAAAGGCAGCATGGCTAAGCACCAGAACAGTGGGTGCTATAGTTTGAATGTGCCCCTCAAAAAGCATGTGTTGGAAACTTACTCTCCAATGCAGCTGTGTTGGGAAAGGGGGCCCAATGGGAAGGTCGTGAGGGCTCTGCCTTCATGAATGTTTTAATGCCAATTATAAAAGGGCTTGAGGATGTGGGTTTGATCTCCCACTGTCTCTCACTCATGTGATGCCTTCTGCCATGTTATAACACAGCAAGAAGGCCCTCACTGGATGGCGGTGGCTCAAGCCTGTAATCCCAGCACTTCGGGAGGCGGAGATGGGCGGATCATGAGGTCAGGAGTTCAAGACCAGCCTGGCCAACATGGTGAAACCTCGTCTCTACTAAAAATACAAAAATTAGCAAGGCGTGGTGGTGCACACCTGTAATTCCAGCTACGCAGGAGACTGAGGCAGGAGAATTGCTTTAACCTGGGAAGTGGAGGTTGCAGTGAGCCGAGATCGCACCATTGCACTCTAGCCTGGGTGACAGAGCGAGACTCCATCTCAAAAAAAAAAAGGAAAGCCCTCACTGGATGTGACCCTTCAATTCTGGTGTCCCTAGCCTCCAGAACTGTGAGCCAAATAAATTTCTCTTCACTATGAATTACCTAGTCTGCGGTATTCTGTGATAGCAATATAAAACAAACTAAGACAGTGGGAGATAATATCACAGAACAGGCCCAAGCCAGATGAAGCAGACTTTTGTAGGTTGAGGTAAGGAGTTTGACTTTTATTCTAAATGTATTGGGAAGCCACTGGAAAGTTTTAATTAGTGGAGTAATATTTGGCTGAGGTTTATAAAATATCATTCTGGCAGCTTTGTAAATATGGAAACTGTGTGGATATTCTGATTGATACATCCTAAATAAAGAACAGCCTCAATAAAAGGGAAGTTCAAGGGGAGAGATGAGGGAGAGTGGAGCAAGAGACAAGATGCCAAGAGAACTGGCCCTGGGATAGGCTACAAAGTCAGTCTGTGGCACAATGACAGAAGCAGTTTGTCCTTAGAAATGGATCTTCCTTTCTTTACTCCTTTCTTTCCCTTACCCCAGATTCCTTAGATACTCACTGCTGTCATCTGTCTTCTAGCTGCCCAAATGTTGACACTACGAATATTTAACGTGCCAAATTAATCAACAATTTCTTCCACAATGCTCATTTTAAGACAAAGTTTATTCCATCAATGAAGTTCATTTCAGCTAGGTGTTAGAAGGGAAGTAATCTGATTCTGCTAACACTAAGAGGATAGTCTTCTACCAACTCCAGATATATATGCATTTTTTAAAACTTGTTAAAATACATGAATTGCACTTGCATTACAACTATGCAATAAATTTCAGACAATAGAGGAAAATGGTAGGAATAGGCAAGAGTGTGAGGAGGGATACTCTCCATGTATAATTCACCCTTGCATGTTACAGTATTAGAATAGTGCCTGGTATATAGACATTTATGAAAGAAAGAATTAATATATTTTATACAATTGAGCACATTTCTGCCCTATTTGAAAAATAAGATCAGTTGTTCTCCTTATAATGTGATCTATCAATTCAGTATATTTCTTTACTTTGGCTCAGAAAACAGACAGCAGTAAAGTATAATTAAAGAATTAACCATTCTACCAAAAAAGCAAGCCATCAATGTCTGAGTATCTCACATAAGGACAAGTTCAACTAAGACTATTCTGTCATTGATATCTGAGACTAGTGACTCAATAAATCCCAAGTTTAAAATGTGAAGCAAACTATAGTGCTACTACTTTTTAAGAGATAAAGACATAAATAAGGAAAAGAAGTCAGATTGAAAAAAATATTTAATGATATCAGCACAATGGTCTCCAATGTGCAAGGCACTGTGGGGAGGGGAGGAGATACTCCAGATTCATTTGGAGATTAACTGTATATTTAGACAGGCCTGATCATCTTGCAATGACCTATTCAGGCAGCACTTACATTCTGAGAGACACATGGATTCATATGACTACTTATCAGCCAATTCCTTTCATAATTATAGACTCAGACCAGACGCTTGTTATTCCTACCAAGATACTTCAAGGTATCACATGGTGCAAATCAATAGGGGACATTAGCTCATATTTGGAAGTGCTTCCAAATATAACCACTCTTCATTTTGCAGTATCATCTGGGAATAAGGCAAGCCACACACATAAATTTTTACATACCTGAACTTATGTTTAAATGCTGAAACGTGTTTTATTTATTTTCTAATATATTAAAACATTTGACTGCTCTCCAAAAGAGGATGTGGTCATGATTGAAGCTTTTCTTAATTCAAATCATAATTGTCAGTATTGTTAATTTGAGTGTAATTTCCTCAGTGATTAAGTATAAAGGGATGGTTTGCCCCATACTCATTACCTCCAAAGTATCTCTTTCCTCCATTTGACAATAGCTATAACGAGTAGACTATCCTTTTCCCACTATTCCCCACAGTGCCTTGCACACTGGAGACCACTGTGCTGATTTAATTTCTTTTTTCAATCTGACTTCTTTTCCTTATTTATGTATGCATCTCTTAATTTGCTTCTTTTAATCACCAAGAAATCACCTTATTTATGTCTTTATCTTTAATTTGCTTCTTTTAATCATCAGTAAAAGAATATCATATTGCCTCTGATATTTTTAAGAGAAAATTGTCATGAATTCATCCCAGTAAACACTGCAGTTTAAGTACATGACTATAGGGCTTTTACTTCTTTGATTTTATGTTTTTATTTTTGTCTATTGTACTGAAAATATTGATTAGTAATGACATAAACATACTTTATTAATGTTATACTACTATATATTATACACACAGACACATATACATATGCATATATATGTATATATATGTACATATACAATGGGTTCAAAATAACAGTGCTAATATTAGTACACAATTACTCAAAACAGTTTAAGGTTTTTTTACAGTTTGTTTTGGCCATAGTATACATCCCACTAGGAGTGTGCAGGCAAATTATCTGTTTTAAAATCACTTGGCATAATTCCCCTCTGTGTAATTAAGCCAGCAATGCAAAAAGTAGTTATATTTTAGATTATTTTGGCTTTTTATTTTAGGAAATTTATTCCCTTCGCTTTTGTTTTAAAAATTACTTAAAACATTACATAGTTCCAGAGTTACATTTATAAAACAGTGTACATTTAGAGCCCTCTAGTTTCTATTCCTATTGTCTTTATCCTGTTCTCCCTCATAAGTAATATTTTTATTAGTTTCTTATTTATCTTTTCATTTTTTTACTCTTGTTTAAAAAACTAGGAATAATGTTCAGCTTTCAGAAAAGTCACAAAGATAGCACAGAGAGGACTATACGCCCTTTACCCAGCCTCCTCTAATGTTGACATCTTATATAATCATGGTACAATGTCAAAAATGAGAAGTAACATCAACTAAGCTATAAACTTTTTTCAGATTTCATTAGTTTTTCCATTAATGTCCTCTTTCTGTTCCAGCATCCAGAATATCTCATTGCATTTAGGCCATTTTTATAAAAATAAGCTAGCATATATTTTTAGTTTATACTTACATATCCTATTTCTTAGATAATATGTGGTATACTACATACTTATGTCTTAATTTTGCTCTTTTGAATTAACAGCATATCCTGGAAATCATTCCATAGCAGTATATGTAGCTATTCCTTATTTCTTTTTATACTGGTTTATATTCTATTTTATAGATATGCCATAGTTTAATTAAAGTCTTCTATACATAAAAATTTTAATTGTTTGATAATAAATTGAATCACTGTGAAGAATTTCTTTGAACAATAAAATTGTGAATTGCTAAAAGGCAGTCATGTCTACAGCCAATTGATAAAAAACCCTAAGAGTAAGTGATTAAATGATTAAACCTTACAATAAACAAAAGTTGGTATCACAAACACCACTAATAAACAAGTACAAGCAACATCATTTTCCTTTACTGCATATGACCCAGTTTTAAAATGTTTTTAAATGCAAAATGAAATACATAAAATTTAAAATGAAACCAATTACCATGAAATACATTTACCAATCACTAAACAAATTATGATGTGGTGTCATATGTGCATCTATATCAACACGGAAAATAATAAGATCTAGGGGCAGTCTAATAACTATTACAACTTCAAAGCGGACATGAGCATAAATCATGTTTCAAGATTTCTGTAACTTATAACGTTACATGAAAGTATCTATGACTTCTATTGATGACAAAGTCACTGATATTGCCAATATTGCTGTGGTTTGTAACCTATATTTATAATTGAAGGAAATGCTGTATTTCAGTTAAAGGGTAATGAAAATAAAGATGTGATTTTCCCCATCCAAATTCCCAGAGCCCCTGAATTCTACCTATGGACCCCAAGTTAAAAACCTCTGCTGTAAAGTCAGGAAAAATCAGTGAAAGAAAGTACTACCCAAGTATTTTGCTAATTTGCTTTTTTAAGAGAAGCCAGAAACTAAAGTTTATTGAACATGTACTATTTGCCAGTTCTCTCTCTCCCTCTCTCTCTCTCTCTCCATATAATTATAACATATATAATATATACATACACATTATATATTTAATAATTATGTACATAACATCATATACATATTTATTCAATATACATATAATTTTTATAGCACTTAATCCTCACAAAACCCAGTGAATTTAACAGAGGTTTAGTAACTTGCCCGCAATCACATAGATAGTAAAGACAGGGTCAGAAATCAAGGCCTGTATGATTTCCACTATATCATGAAGCTTGATATAGTAACATATCAGCAGTATTTGCATTTTAAAAGTGAAAACCTATAGAAAACAATATTAGAAGGAAAAGGAAGAGAGGAATGGGGAAAGAGAATTGCTTTAGTGGTAAAATTTCAGACCTTACAAATGAGCTAGAAAGGATGTTCTTTTGTAGTAAGTTTTCCTTAAAATTCTTCAGATCACTTTGCTATTGCATACCTTTATAAAACCAGCCACATGCACTATCTGGTTAATTTCCATGACAATGGCTTATCTATATCATGGATACTCTCGATATATTCCAATTAAAGGAATAAAATACATGTAGGATAATAAGGTGGGTCTTGACATCTGTCTGCGATCACTGCCATACTTTAGTCACATTTATTTACTAGGCTGTTTCTTACTGCTGTGTTAGAGTAAGGTTGCATACCTAGAATTCAGAGATCCCAAATGGTGAAACTCTAAAAGCTAGCCTTGTAAAACACATGACTGGACATACACTGAGTACTGGAATGCTGCCATGGGATCATTCATGTGCATGTCTCTCCTAGATATAGCTGATTCTGCATCTACTCTGTCTTTTTATTCCTCTGTTTTGTTTTAATCCCCCAAAATATCATTCTTAGGCATTCACTCTGTCTTGCAGGTATAGTCACATTTCTGCTCAAAGCTCTTGTTCCAGAAGTGAATACCTGATATAAATTTCTCACCTAAGTAATCAAGATGGTACAATACTAAATGGTGAAGTACCACCTTTTACCAAGAAATAGCCACAATATCCCCTTTCGAGCTAGTTTGCTAAACCTAATGTTGATAATCCACTGGGTCATTAAGCACCAAAATGATCACTTACTTTGCAAAACCCCTGGTCATCATTTTTTCATTGCTTACAAAATGTTTGCATAACCAGTATTTTTCAGACTGCTTCATTTCATATTTGAATTTTTTAAGCCCGTGGCGTGCTTAGCTTGGGAAAATCTTTTTGTGCCAGGCTGATTATGTATCCAGATTGAACTGCAGCCTGTTGATTTAGGTCTTTGTGTCCGATAAAGGGAAAACTCTAGAAAAAAAAAAAGCATAGTTCTGTCCATTGGCCCAGTCAAAATGAGCAGTCCCTAGAGCTGTCTAAAGTCATCATGGAAAGTCTCCCTGCCAACTGCTTCACACTCTTTCCTTTGGCTGCTATTCATATCTCAAGTGTTCTCCAGGACACATGGCCCTGTGTCAGCAGCTCACCCTACCTCTCATTGCAACCTCCTTGACCTCATCAGCATTTCACTTCTCTGTCCCCTGTGACAGACTGTTGGCAAATATAGTCACAAGTATTCCTCCCATCTCACATGCCCTTTAGCAGTGTGACTTTGCCCCTCTTCTCATCAAGACATGGAATCTATTTCTCCTCTGTGGAAATCTGGGCTAGGCCTTTGATTTGTAGAAATAACACTGTGGCTTCAAAGGCTAGGCCTTAAGAGACCTTACACCTTCCATTTCCATTTTTCTCTCTCTTGGAACTAACTGTGAGAACACCATGCTGTCAAGGAGTCCAGTCTCACCAAGTGGAGGCTGAGAGGCCATGTGGAGGAGAGCCAAGGTGCCCCAGCTGACTGGCAGCATCAACTGCCGGAAGTATTAGGGAGGACATCTTGAACTGCCAGCCCCAGTGAAGTCATCATATGACTGCGATCATGTGATCTCAGGCAAGACCAGCAGAAGTACCATCTAGATTGACAAACCAGAGGATTATGAGAGAGAATACATAGTTGTGTTTTTAGACTACTGAGTTTGGGATGGTTTATCACATAGCAATAGACAAATGAAAAACCTTCCTTTAGCAGTCTTGCCTCGAGAGTCATCCAACACTTTACTTCAATCTTTTGTTCAAGAGGGAAAAAAAAATCTCAGTCTTTACTAACATACCATTTTTGTTCACATAAGGGCTGCATTTTATGCCAAATTTTGGTCAGCCAAAGGTAAGGATATGAACATTACATAATAAGGAAATTCCTCAAACTGCTGTCAATATACAGATAGAAAAATATTCACTATGTGCTTAAGACATGACATTAAGAAGTAAAGTATAAACATTGACATAAGGAAGACCTACTTAGAACGGTAGCTCCACTACCTTTAAGGATTGCATTAATAGGAATTGACAGAAGCTCTTTCCAGTATGTAGAAGAGTCATCTTTCTACCTAGGCTAATCAAATGGAGTTTTACTGTAGAGCTGGGCTATAGGTATTGCCCAGCCTAAGTCAAGACAGAGGCCTGAGTCCAGTATTTCCTCATCATTTTTTTCATTCCCATTCTTGGGGTTTTCTTAGTTTCATAGCTCTTGTGTTACCAATACTTAGAAAATGAATGGTTTACCAGGGTTCTATATGCTGTATATAAACCTCCTAAATCATAAGCAAAATTGAGCAGCAAAAGTCATATTATTTTAATTATATTCTCAGAGACTTCTTTGACCACCCCCAGCAAGAGAGAATAATAAATACTGAGTTAGAGAACAAAGTGTCAACTTAGAGAGCAAAGTGTCACTTAAAACCAAAAGTTCTTTTTTAATAGCACCCATTTAAATGTTTCACTTAAAAAGTAGTAACTCAAATATACACAAAGAAAATTTATTAATTTTTAAAGGCATAAATCAGTATGAAAGGGGACAAGTTATAAATTATGCATCTCAGAACATCTGTTACCCTAAAGATCTAGACTAATGTTTAAAAATAAATTTTTCAGGGGGCTTCCCCTTTCAGGAAGATGGAGTAGATGTTCTTTTTTGTATTCATCCAAGTAAATACAACTAAAACCTCTGCATATGTAAAATTTATATAAGAAGACTGACAGGTTAAGAAAAGGGAGACAGGCTAAGGACCTCAGGATCTGAGTGACAATACAGTGATGAGTTCCCTGCATTTTCTCATTGCCTCATATATTCAGGATTTGCAGCTAAAGAAGTCAGCAACCCCAAAACACCAATGAATACAAAAATAAAACAATAACAACAATAAAAGTCTGCTCTTTCTAGTCAAATGTCCTGGAAAGAGGCAGAAAATGTTTAAAAAATAGTTGCTCTACTCTTGTCAAACATCATCGCCACTCCCCTCCACCACCACCATCAGCAGCAAAAGCCAAGCAAAAACCCACTTTTGTCAGGCTGTAACACGGCATCTCCACATCCCTCATTGTAGTAGTAGAGTAGGAAGTGGGACATTCATTCCCCACTGAGCACTAATGAGCCAGCCCCCCTCAAACACCCATGGTGTCAGTGGAGACCACCTGGGGAGCAATGGAGATGCCATGGGGAACATACTTCTACCCACCCAGCAGTAATGAGGTATGCTTCTGCCTTCTCACTGGAGTGGTGTCAGAGGAGACCTACTGGAAAGTCAGGACTTTCATCGCTCTCCAGGAGAAAATGAGGCCACTCATCCTCTCCCCATGGGGTCAGTAGTAGCTAGGAAGGGAGCAGCAAGGATGCCCTCCTACTCTTCCCCACTAGGAAGGTATCAGTGGAGACTAGAGGGATCTGGAACTCCCATTCCTGCCCAGTAGTAACAAGAAGTATATGGCTTTGGTTACCAATGTATCCAAACTGGGGAACCTGAATGGACTGCTACACAAACCCAGCAGTAACAAGGTAGCACTCAACCTTCCTTTGGTGTCAGAGAAAGCCATCTCAAACAGAGATTTGAATAAGATCTGGAGTCTTATAACATAGTACCTAAATGTCTAGGTTTTAATTGATACTTATTCATTACACCAATTACCAAGAAAATCTGAAACTAAATGAAAAAAGATAGTTAACAAATGCCAGTAAGATGATAGCGATCTTAGAATTATCTGACAAAAATTTTAAAGCAGCCATGATAAAAACATTTCGATGAACAATTACAAATACACTTGACACAAAATAGGATGTCTCAGCAAACAAATTTTTTAAAGTTTCAGCAAAGAGGTAAAAGACATAATTAAGGACCAAAGGGAAATTTTAGAACTGAAAAATATAACTGAAATTAAAAACAAACAAACAAACGAAAAAAAAACAGTGGATGGGCTCAACAGCAGAATGGGAACAGAAGAATCAGTGAACTAGAAGACAGGATGATAGGAATTACCCAGTCTGAACAACAGGGAGAAAATAGATTGAAATAAGTTAACAGATTCTAGGGGACCTTTGGAACTGTAACAAAAGATCTAATTGTCATGTTTTATTCTTGAAGGGGTGAAAAAAGAGGATGGGGCTGTAAAAATACTTGAAGAAATAAGAGTTGACCAAAAACTTCCTAAATTTTGCAAAAACAATGCAAACCTACAGATTTAAGAAGGTGAGAATATTCCAAACAAAATAAACTCAATGAAATCTGTACTTTTACACATAATGGTCAAATTACAAAAACTAAAGAAAAAGTCTTGAAAGCAGCAAAAGAGATGTACCTTACCTATAAGAAAAAACAATTCAAATGACAGTAATTATTAATTTTAAAGATATAGAGACCAGAAGGAAACAGCACGCCATTTTTCAAGAACTGAAAGAAAACAACTGTCAACCGAAAATCTTATATTGGGTGAAAATATGCTTCAAGAATGAAGTGGGTATCAAGATATTTTCAGATGAAGGAAAACTAAGATAATTTGTCACCAATAGATCTACTAAAAAAGAATGGTTAAAGAAAATGGTCTCAACAGAAAGAAATTTATAAAACAGGAACCTTGGAACATCACAAAGAAAGAACATGGTAAGCAAAAATATAAGTAAATACAACAGACTTTTCTGGAGTTTTCTAAATCATGTTTGATGGTTGAGGCAAAAAATATAGCACTACTTGATGTGGTTCTAAATGTATGCAGAAGAAGTATTTAAGACAATTGTATTGCAAATAGGGGAGGATAGAAGATTTAAAGGGAGGTAAGGTTTCTATACTTCACTTGAAGCAATAACGTGATAATACCAGCAGACTATGAAGAGTAATGTATACATAATGTGATATATAGAGCAATCACTAAACAAGTTATTCAAAGAGATACATCAAAATCACTATAGAATATAATAAAAAAGAACAAACTATTGATACATGCAATGCCCTGGATGAAACTCCGGAGAATTCGGCTGAGTGAAAAAAGCCAGTCCCTAAATGTTACATCATGCATTGTTCAATTTACATGTGTGTGTGTGTGTGTGTGTGTGTGTGTGTAAAACAAAATTATATAAATGGTCAACAGATTAGTGATTACCAGAAGTTAAGGTGGTGTTGGAGGCAGGCAGTAACTGGATATGGCTATTATAAATGAGAGATTGTTGTGATGATGGAAATGTTCTGTATCTTCACTGAATAAATGTCAGTATCCTGGCTGTGATCCTGAACTCTAGTTTTCCAAGATGTTACTATTGGAGAAAACTGAGTAAAGAGTACACAAGATCTCTCTGTATTATTTTCTATAGCTACATGTGGATCTATATTTATTTAATTTTTAATTTAATCTATATTAATTTAATTTTTTAAATCCACAAGGGTGAATAAACAAAAATAAATAAATTCTTCCTGAAGAGTTATTGTGGTCTTCTCATGTACGTTTCTTTCTGAGCCAGAATCAATTTCACCACGTGAAAAGTCCTGAGGTCCATATAATGACATATCAGCATACTTAGCTAGAGCAAGAATAGACAGTAACAAACAAACATAAAACATTGAACTAAATTCCAAACACCTCTTCAACCCTCCTTGAATTTAAGAATACTAACTTTGTAAACACAGATATTAGAAGTTCCACTGTGGAAAGTAGTTCAGGGCACTGCTTTGAGGGTCCTGAGCAAGATTCTCCTTGCTTATTTGCTATCAGAGTCTGTGTCTGACAATTCATCTCAGGCAACTTATACTCACCATTCCAACTCTTAATTCCAAGCCAGTTCTACTACTATTGAAGGAGGGTCCCAAAGGCATCAAGTGAATCCAATTCCCCACCCTCAAACTCAGCCACTGGGCATGGAAATATTTTAACCAGTTACCCATTCTCTAAAATTTTCAATAGCTTCCCACTTCCTATAGGAAAAGGTACAAACTTCTTAGTCCAGCACAAGAGGCTACTATCTAAACCCTACCCACTTCCATAACTGGTCTTTTATTTGTCCCCTAAAAGACCACTCACTTGAACCAGAATGTTTCTGTTCATCAAACCCAAACTTCTGTTCATCTTCCCACCTTCTTGTCTTCTTCTCATACTACTACTCCAGACTAGAGAGCTTCCCACTCCTCCTCTCTGGCTTCACTAAGTTCTACTTTTCTTTTAAAACTTGCCTCCATTCTGAAGCCTACCTTAAAGATGTCTCTTGCCATTAAATATTCTTTTCTTTCTGCCATCCCTCATTTCTCCACATAGCATTAGTTATTTTTATCATTTCTGTTTTTTTCTGCTCAAGTCCTATCTCCCTATTCAGATTGCAAGCCACTCAAAGAGCCTTTTATCTCTGTAAATCTCTGAAAACAGAAAAAAAAAGTTTATGTTGACGGCCAAGATTTTAATATTAGATCTGGCATAGAAGTAACTTGCTTCCCATCTGGACTTTAAATTCCTCAAATACAAATAAGGAAGATGAATTAGACGAGTAGTTTTTAACCAAGGATATGCATTGAACTTACCTGGGGCTACCTTTGAAAATATGTGACCCTGAAAAAGTGATTTTAACCATCTAAGCTTCCCTCTCTGCATTTATAAGAAGGAGACAATGGTAGCACTTACTTCATAGGACTGTTAATGAGGATTAAGTTAGTTAATACATATAAAGCAATTTTGCATAGCTCCTTGAACATATTAAGCTCCCAATACATTTTAGCTACTGCTAAATACAAATTGTTAAAACTTGATTCACTTGGATATACTTATCATTCTAGAACAGTGTTCCCAACTTACAGTTGGGAGAAGTGAAACAGGGCAGGAACCCCTCATAGGGGCCTGTGAGTACCACCCCAACAACTAGCATGAAAATAAAGGAAAATCTTGAGTTCCCTCAAGGGTAATTCCAGGCACCTAGCTATCCTTAAGAAGTAAATAAACAACTTGATAAGTGGGAAGGTAATAGTAGCTTAAAACAATAGCCAAGGAGTTAGAATCACCAGAATGTTTGGTTCCCTGTAGAAACTAAAGATAACATCTTAACATGTATACCTGAGTTGTTTTTCAGCAACCTGGACCCCCACCAAATGGATCTGCTGGCACTGAGACCTCAGATAAGGGGGAGCTGAGGATTGCACTCTGACCTTTCTTCTAAATTTCTTCCTGAGGGGCCTGGAGAAAGTCTCACCCACAAGCCAGAGCTAACATTCTTTACTACTGACTTTACAATTTTAAACAAAGTTTCTCTTCCTTAACCAATTGCAAATCAGAAAATATTTGAACCTACCTATGACCTGTGGGCCCCTCCACTTCAAGATGTCCTACCATTTTAGGTCAAACCAATGTATAGCCTCTATATATTGATTTATGACTTTACCTGTAACTTCTGCCTTCCTGCCTTTAAAAACCCTTACCTGTAAGTGTAACGTTCTTGTATCGTTTCCACCCTGAGAGCACACCAACAGACAACACGAGGCGGTGTGGAGCAACATGCTGTTTTAATGACGGCCTGGGTGCAGGCGGGCCCCAAGTGACGACTGGGCAAAGTTTTATAGTCTCCTGTAAACAGTAAGTGTCACAGTCCGATGTAACTGCTACGTTGTACCCGGATGGCCTTTTTCTGGATCTTCGTGTCTTCCGGCCAGGGTAGGTGTCTTCCCCCGGCTCTCTTCCTGCTTCTGCTATCGCGCACCCTGCTGGCGCACCCTGCTGGCGCACCCTGCTGGCGCACCCTGCTGGCGCACCCTGCTGGCGCACCCTGCTGGCGCACCCTGCTGGCGCACCCTGCTGGCGCAAGTTGCGCCTTGGGACTGGGCCTGAAAAGGGAGGAGTTATTCATCTTAAGCTTTCAGGCCCGGGGAGAATCTTACAGTAAGCCCTCTGGGAGTTTGAGTCTTAAGCATGAACTGCCTGATTCTCCTTGCTTGGCACTCTGCAAATAAACACTTTCCTTTCTCCTGCTGCAAACCTCAGTGTGGATATCTGGTCTTCCTGCGCTGGGTGAACAGCGGTTTGATACCAAAAGCTCCAGAGAAACTGCAACTAAATTCTTAGATGCATCTAGTACTATCTGTTAACTAAATGAATAATATAGTTTGCTCACAAAAGTATTCCTATTTAAAAAATATATATATATGTGTGTTTTGTGACTAATAAAATACCAAGTCAGGTACAGTGTTACTGAATTCATAGTTGCTTTTTGTCACTATGTGTTTTCATTGTCAACATACACTATAAATATAACTATTATCATGCAACATTCCTTCAGTTTATTTTCTCCATCTTATAATTTTCAGACAGACTAGGAAACACTACCCCCAAAATATCAAATTACTATCAGCATAATTTCCTAATAAACCTGTTCACCATGCTCATCTCAGAGTTCTGGGTAAAGTGATTTCTAGTTGCAACACAGTACATATGGACTTAAAAAGTTTGTAAATAAAACCATAAAAGAAAAAATATAAACTAATGATTATTTTTTAGTGAAAGGAATAGACTTGATGAATGTAAAGGAAAAAATATGACTATGCTACCCAGTAAAATGCCAATAGTCTTTCAAGCAGGTTTCTAAAATCCTAGCAACTCCCTGGAATTCACAATTCAGTAACCCAATATTTGAAGAAAGAAAAAACAAGAAAATGAACAACATGCTAGCATATCACTCCTTCCATAATTGTTGCTCATGCACACCAGAGCATGGATGAAGCTGAATGCACAACTTTTATGTTTAAATTGATAAAGGTAAAACTAAAGAGGGAAAGGGCTAATTAAGCATGTTCTTCAGCATCTTGCAAACTGAAAAAAAAAAATTACAAATAAGAAGTAAATTTTGAAAAATGAAAACTAACTTCTTTGGCAGAGAAATAATTAAATATTGAGCTGTTCCTAAAGGATTATTTTAGAAAACTCCAAATTTTTACTCTTAATTTTTACTCTCAATTCTCACATAATTTTTCGGTACAATATTGTAAGACACGCAAAATATTACTTAAACGTGTTTATAAGAAATAGAAAACTTTCATCGCAGAGGGTTTGATCACATGATTCCCCAGTTGCCCAAATCATCCTTTCTTTGAAGCGCATTGGTGATAAGGGAGATAAAAATAGTTTAAAATTCCACCCTGCTTATGGGATTTTTTTTAATATTAAGCGATCCCTCAAATTCCCATTTAGCTGTAACCCCCAAGGCAGTCTATTTAAGTTAAAAACACACACATACACAAAAAACAGGCAGAAGCAGTCAAGTGGAAAAACAAGAAATAAGAGTATTGAGACTAGTATATACTATTTTTTTAGCAAATCACTTCAACTCTCTGGGTCTCATGTACCTAGTTGTAAAATGCAGAAGTAGGATTGCTAAAAATCTATGATTCTACAGTCAACAAAGCATAGGAGGTCTCTTTCCTTGTAGCTAGAGATGTGGTAAGGACAGAGTCTCCCTAACCGCAACACTGCCCAGCTCACATAATTTCACTCCCTCAGGCTAAGCCTGTCAGCATGTCTTCTGGGGAACAAAGAGAGAACTCTGATGAAATTAGGGCAACTAATACCCAAGGGACAATTACAATACAGTGATTATCTTCTACAATTACTGGCTTTTAGTTTTCTCAAAGACTTCAGGTTTATCTATGCTGAATCTCCTTTGGAGAGATCCATGATGTCTCGAAGCAACATAGCTAAATTCCTTTTCATCTAAAAGTCATAGCTTTTGACAGATGCTATCATGGAAGGAAAGAAAGCACATTCTGTACCAGCTGCAATTACAGTTGAAGCATTAAAAAAGAAATGTTAGAGGTGGTGGTGCCATCTAGCTGCTGTAACGGTGAGACGTAACCTATTTTTATAAACTCCTGTAGGAAAGCACATATTCTGATCGTTTTCTATAGGCAATGAAAGGCATAATCTTTCTTTCTGTGTAATATCTCCTTGTAGAAAAGTAAACAGAGGCTCAGAGAGGTCAGTCAGCTAGTCAGCTAGTCAGTAGTAGAACCAGGATCAGAGCCTGGTTCTTTTGATTCCTCTTTCCACTTCCTCACCACTAATGAAAGACAGGTCCCTAATCTTCAAAGCAAGTTCTGCTTTCACATCGCCTCTCCACACAGCAAATAAATCACTACATTACAGAAGTATTCTCCCCTTCTTCCACGTGAAGGAAAATGATTTACTAGTCACCCTCTGAAAACCTATTTCTAAGAAGATCCCCTAAAAAGGAGTCAAAGGTATCTGAAAACTTCCAAAATTAGTAACTAGACAGTTTTGTTTTCCACTTGGAAATCCCTATAACCAGGTTCCAAAACCACCACAAAGCTTGGCCCTGTCATACCAGTATTGAAGATTTCCTCCCTGCTAACACGTAGGAGGACTGACTACACTAAAGCAGAAACATAATCTTTCTCTTTTTCTTCTAGTCACACTTGTATTGCTGTTCCCCAACAAAGGCATTGTCAGAAATGGAAGAAAACGGATTCAATGTCACTAGCCCCTGAGGCCCTCTCCCCAACCTTGCGCCCACAAAGAAACCACTCTCCTTGAACAGAGCAGCACTTCTAAGAAAGTTCCCCAATAAATATATACCTGCATTCATACACGCATATCACCACCACTTTGCTTGAAACCCAGGATATTTTTTTAGTTACAAAAGTAATTTTTTTGTGACTTTTTTGTAATAGTTTAATGAATATAGAAGAGTTTAAAGAAAAAAACAGTTTCTAGCTTCCCTACTCAATCCCATTTTCTTGACAAAATCACCATTAATAATTTGGTGTATAGATTCTTTATATTTTTTATGTTTTATGTTTGTGTAAATATATGTAAAGTATACATATTTATACTGTTTTCTTTCTTCTTCTTCTTTTTTTTTTTTTTTTTTTTTGAGATGGAATCTTGGGTCTGTTTCCCAGGCTGGAATACAGTGGCATGGTCTCAGCTCACTGCAACCTCTGCCTCCTGGGTTCAAGTCATTCTCCTGCCTCCGCCTCCAGAGTAGCTGGAACTATAGGTCCACGCCACCATCCCCAGCTAATTTTTATATTTTTGTAGAGATGAGGTTTCACCATGTTGGCCAGGCTGGTCTCAAACTCCTGACATCAAGTGATCCACCCACCTTGGCCTCCCAAAGCCCTGGGATTACAGGCATGAGCCACTGCGCCCAGCCTATAGAGGTTGTTTGTTTGTTTGTTTGTTTTCCGTGAAATTAGACTAAGCATTTTACTCCAAAATTTGCTTTTTATTCCGTTTATCTTTCTGGATATCCTTCCATGTTGATATGTATAGCCTTAACTCATATGGTTTAATAGCCAAATATGGCCAGGCACGGTGGCTTGCCCTTGTAATCCCAACACTTTGGGAGGCCAACGCGGGAAGATTGCTTGAGCCTAGGAGTTTGCAACCTGCCTGGGCAACATGGGGAGAACCCGTCTCTATAAAAAAAAGAAAATTTAATTATCTGAGCATAGTGGCATGTGCCTGTGGTCCCAGCTGCTGGGGAGGCTGAGGTGGGCTTGAGCCCAGGAGGTTGAAGCTACAGTGAGCCTTATTCATGCCACTGCACTTCAGTCTGGGCAACAGAGTGAGATCCTGTCTCAAAAATAAACAAAAAAATAGCCAAATATAGTCCACAATGGAGCTATGCAATACTTTTTAACCATAATGTACAGAATGGACATTCAAGTTGTTTCTAGTTTATTTTTTCTTTCTTTTTTTTAAATCATGAAGGACATTGTTATAAACATTCCCATATACGTCCATTCTTGTTTTCTGGAGTTCTTATTTCTATAAGATAGAGTCATAAAAAGTGGCATTCCAGTTATTAATTGTTAGATAACAAACCACACCAAAAAAAGCTTATGAATTTAAAATTGGGGCAATGCTTAGCACAACAACTCATGCAGCTTTGGCTGGGGTAGCTCAAATGCGGATAGAGGATTCATTTCCAAGAGCAACCACAAGTTGTTGCTGGCTATTGGTGGGAGCTGTTAACAAAGGACTTCAATTCCTTTCCACCTAGGCCTCTCCATGGACTGCTTAGGCTTCCTCACAGCATGGCAGCTGGTTCTAGAAGCAAATGTTCAAGAGAGAGAAAATGGAAACTGCTAATCTCCTAAGGCCTGGTCCTGGAAACTGGCAGTGTCCTTTCAACCATATTTTATTGGTCAGTCAGTCATAGAGCCCACCTAGATTCAAGAGGATTGGACATAAACCTATCCATAGGAGGAGTAGCAAATTCATATGCAGCCAACTTTAATCTATAAGTAAGATTGCTGAGTAAAATTATCGTGCACATTTTTAGTATGAATAAATATCGCCAGATCCTTTTCCAAAAAGGGTTAATTTATACATTCAGCAAATATTTGAGGGATATTAATTGTTTGGCAATGTTCCAGATATAGAATAGAGCAATGATCAAAACAAACAAAAACTTTTGCTCTGATATAGCTTAAATTTAGAGTTTGTAGATAGATAATCAATCAATCAATCATATGTCAGGTGGTGATAAATGCCATGAGAGAAACAGAGCAGAGAGGGGATGAGGGAGTATCTGGGAGGAGAGGGTGAAATTTTAAATAGAATAGGTAGGGAAGGTTTCACTTTCAATGTAACAAAAAAAAAGTAAGTGCAAGCCCTGAAGGGGTGCATGCTTGAGATGTTGAAAGCAAGGTGACAGGAGGAGAGTGAGCATGGGAGAGCAAGATTGAGAGGTAAAAACGTGTGGGCCAGATTGTGTTGGGGTAATTCATCCTCCCATAACCCTGTCTACTAGTGATATATCCTACACGCATATATTTATTGGACATCTGTATATTCTCTTCTGTGAATTACCCTCAGGATAAAGTAAAATAATAAGACATATGCCCTCAAGGTGAACCCTTTATTGGAAACTAATGAAATGGTTTGTATGAGGATGCCGAAAGAAAAAGATTCAATGCAGGCTACAAAGAAGAGAGCCTGAAGGATGCTGTCCAAAGGCTTAGGTTTGACATGTTAATTGTAGTGCTGTAGAGGGTGGGAGGACAGCCCTGGTCGCAGTATGTAAGGGCATGAGACATTCTGGGGTAAGGCATATCAGAAGGCAAAAGGGACCAAAAAAACAGAACAGTGACAGCCAGACCAGAAAAGAAACTTCATCTTCTTTAGCACTTTTTTTATTAGGAACAGCCTAATAAAAACTTCAACTATCAAAATTAAAGATGACTATTTTAATTGGTTTTCTAATTCTGCAATAGTTTTATAATTGTTTTCCAAAGAAGCCTTCAGCATTGCCGCATGCCTTCTTTACTCATAGTAAAAATCCTGTTCAACTTGCTATGATTAAAAATGTCTATTATTTCTTAGCATTCAGAAAATGCTTTAAAAAAATGTCTTTGGGTTTTTCACAACAATCCTCTTTTGCTAAAGTCTGTAACTCAGAAAAGATTCATTTTGGGAGGAAAGTCTACAGTAAATGCCCTTGGGTCAAAGGCCTCTGTCTAGTAGAGTTCTTCTAAATGAAATCCAGTGAAAGCATATTAGCAAGTTTCACAGTTTATCTATGGCTTTCCATCAATTGTTAGAAAATGGCATTTACATTCCTTAGTCAGTTTAACAAGTGCTTTATTGTTTAGTGATATTTGGACTTCTGACATCTTTAGACCCTTGAGGTTAAAGTCAAAATACTTTAAACAAAACAGCATTTATTCAAGTCATTCAGGGCTTAAAAAGCATTTTTCTCCAAAGAAAGGGATATTAGTGGTCATTTCCCAACCTTTATCCTTAGCATATTATAAATTATAGCTTGTAGAAAACCTCTTGACCAAATATCTTTCAATGGACTATCAGGCCCTTATCAGGAGACTTCTTTGAGAATTTTTGTAAATCAGGAGCTTAAGAATTCTCATACTATTTCTAGTGGTGATAAGGTGGTGAGAAATACATAAGATTTTTCTGGAGTAAAGGACACTTCCTGAGAATATTACAGGAGCTCACAGAAGCAGAATTCACCCAACTAGACCTCCCAGGAACTTTTAATAAAATATTTCATCTGAGCTCTAAATGTGAGCCTACAAGCTTTAAAGCTGGGAAAGTAGGTTTTGTAACCCCCAACCCTGAAGCTTGTGTGAACCCATACCCATAAACACCCATACACACCCACACACATAAACGACTAGCAGAGTATTCTGTACTCTATTAAAACTCAAAAATTATTGTCCTTGTCCTATTTAATATATTTTATTAATTACCTGTTTGAGGACTTAGAAGGCATGTCTATATCTATGATAACAAGGATAAGAGAGTTTAAATAAAGAATCAAGATTTAGTGAACCATGCGCTAAACCTGATATGATAACATTAAACATGGTTGAATGTAAAAGCCTGTAATTAGGTCTGAAATATCAACTGCAAATGTGGGGACTAGAGGAGACCTTGTTTAACATAATTCCTATGACAGAGGCATGTAGGTTAGTTAATTATAAACTTACTGTATGAAACAATGTGATATGACTGCCAAAATAGGAAACAAATTCCAAGTTAGGCTTCATTAATAAAGAAGAATAGTGTCTTGATCCAAGAAGGTAATTTTCCTACTTAATGAGAACACATCTAGAGCATTTTGTCTACTTCTTGGTGACATATAAATAGGATATTGAAAACTAGTACCTATTCAGTTCCTGAAATGTACAGATCAGTTGTTTTCAAACTTTGCTGTACAATTAAAATCTCTTCGGGAGCCTTTCAAAATCCTGATGCGGAGGCTTCACCCTATACCAATTAACCAGAATCTCACAGGGCAGGCCCCAGGCAACAGTTTTGTTTTTTTTTTTAACTTCCAGCAAAGTTTGAAAATCAGGACATTAGATACAAATCTCCATTTTTTTTTTTTTTTTTTTTTTTTGGAGACAGAGTATCGCTCTTGTTGTCCAGGCTGGAGTGCAGTGGCGCGATCTCGGCTCACCGCAACATCCACCTCCTGGCTTCAAGAGATTCTCCTGCTTCAGCCTCCCGAGTAGCTGGGATTACAGGCATGTGCCACCATGCCTCGCTAATTTTGTATTTTTAGTGGAGACAGGGTTTCTCCATGTTGATCAGGCTGGTCTTGAACTCCCGACTTCAGGTGATCAACCCACCTCAGCCTCCTAAAGTGCTGGGGTTACAGGCATGAGCCACCATGCCCGGCCATAAACCTCTATTATCTATCTCCTCTGGCCATTGTCTTTGTCTCTCCTTCTTCCCCACTGCCTCAAATTCCCTCAAATTCGCAACCCTCAAAGTTTTTCCAGAACAACCTCAGTAGCCTACTTAGGCTCCCAGATTCCAGATTGCTTTACTTTAACCCACTTTCCCTTTACCTGCTGCCAAGGTGATCAGACTAGCATGCAAATATTATCAAGTCACTCCCATACTCATAATACTTCGATGGCTACCCACAGTACTCAGCATAAAGCTCAAATTCCATGAAGTGTGTAAGACTCTTTATGATCTGGGCCTTATCTATAACCTATAAATCCTTCTCAAGCCTTCTCTTCTATCACTGCACCGTACACTGTTTTCACTCTTGCCATGCTTCACATGAATATGACGCACTATTTCATATTTTGGTGCCTTTGTTATTACTCAGTCCATATATCTCTTTTCCTTCAAGTCTCAATTTAGTTAACTCTTTAAGAAAACAAAATGTCTTTGATGCCTCTACTATGTGTTCTATAGAATTTAGTATATACTTCTAATTAGCGTCAATCACATTAAATTCTTATGTTTCATTTATCTTTCTCATTATACTCTAAACTTTCTCATTTAGTGTCTAATTCTTATCAGTCTCTGTAATCTCAGTGGGTAGCACAATGCCCAGCCCAATATGACTCTCAAAAAAATTCTTGTAGATGGAAAAAAATAAATGAACAATGATAGACCTGAAAGCCATGTTGTATGAACTGACCATGGACATCTGGTCTATGAGAAAAAGGATGTTACCATTTTAAACATGTAAAACAATGAGACATTCCAGTTGATTACAGAAAATCATCTAGAAGAAACAAGTAGATACTATGGGAGACATATTTTTGCTCACTGTATAATTAGAACTTTTACAAATGAGATGATTCCCGTGAGGTAGGATACTGAATTCAATAGAGCTGTTCAAGCAGTCTGAATGCATTTCTTCACTGAATGGGGAATAGAGGGATGGATAAAGAATTTCTAAAATTCCTTCCAACTCTAAGACTCTTCTTCCATTTTAAAATGAACATTTAGTAAACAAATCAACTGACTTTCAGAAAACATTGGTCTTAGTTAGAGAAACTAGTGTCCAAGAAGAATGAAGACCAGAGCACAAAGAAGTTGGCTGTTTTTAAAAAGGCACCCTTATCATCTATCTGGAATTAAAATAAGGGCATAAACATACTTAGAAAAAGATACACTGCTATTTCAAGCTGTCACTAAATTTCCATAAATCAGGTAAAATTCTTAGAGGAAGTGGATCAGAGAAAACAAATAACTGCTATTTATACCAACCTCCTACCCTAAGCCCTAAAAACTCATGCAAAGATAATGACTAAGAGAATGAAAATAACAAATCAGATCAATTATATTACAACTCTTTTACTGTCCAAGAATAGCCCTCTCTTCCAGTGAAGGAAAACTCAATAAATTACATGTAGAAAGAGCAACTCAATCACCCATGTAGCTTCTGGCTGCCACCAGAAAGATCAGAGGAAGTTATTATTAGAAACTTGGGAAACACACATTAGAAACCACAGCAAAGGCCTTGGATATTTAAAAACTCAAATAGTTTCCATCTGTGTGTCAAGCCATAACCAAATTTGCCCAAACATTGGATATACTGGGGAAAAAGATAAATCAACATGCAAGATTAGTAAATAAGAGATACATGGAAATGGAGACCCCTAGCAAATGTAGTGGTAGATACTGAGGAATTAAAAGTGGGAGGTAAGAAGAATATTTTTACTAGAAAAAAATTGCACAGTTCATCTCTTTCTAAGCTAAAATGTCTGCATTTTACACAGAAATTGAAGAATTTTCCTGGCAAATAAAGCAAAGGAGGAGCTAAAATTAAAGAAGGACATTTCAAATAAAATTGTGGAAACATCCCAAAAGACCCATGGAACATTTGTCAGAGGCCTCCAGATGAGCCTGTATCTCTCCGCATGAGAACTTCATCTTACCCTCACTTACATGGGCTTGTTACCAAGACCTAGAAGCTCTCTTTCAGGAAAGTTTCTTCCCTAAATGTCAAAACCCCCACCTTCTTCTGAGAAGTGTTGCATTCTTACAATTCACCAAACAGTGCTTATTGCAAAGCCTATCACATAGTCTATTCTCAGGTAAGGTTTATAGAATGAATGAATGAACAAACTCATCTAAGGTAAATGGATGTCACCAGATCCCAGTGGCCTTTCTTCTTAAACAAATTTAAAATTATTTAGGTACAAATATTTTGGAGTTAAAATTAGTGTCCTTTAGCACACTACAGTTATGATACAGACCCTGGAATTATCTCTGTTGGCACATCTTTGTAAGTTACTTTCTGGGCAGGGCACAGCGGCTGACGAATATAATCCCAGCACTTTGGGAGGTCAAGGGTGGATCACTTGAGATCAGGAGTTCAAGACCAACCTGGCCAACATGGGAAAACCTCCTCTCTACCCAAAGAAAACCACAAAAATTAGCCAGGTGTGGTGGTGCGCACCTGTAATCCCAGCTACTCAGGAGGCTGAGGTGGGAGAATCACTTGAACCAGTGAGGTGGAGGTTGCAGTGACCCGAGATCACACCACTGCACTCCAGCCTGGGTGATACAGTGAGACTCTATCTCAAAAAAAAAGAAATTACCTTCTGATATAATTCAAAATAGAAGTCTTCCAAATAAAAAATTCTACTCTGTCTTCAAAATTGTTCCTGAATTTTGTTAAAAATGCTCGTCTCAGCCTCCAAGCAAATTCCCTTTAACTTGAGATCATGCTAGTGAACCTGTGCATGCATGTTTTGTCAAATTATTTTTCCCTTGTTGAGATGATGAGTTTTCCTAATCCTTCCAAATGTGTTCACCTGGGCTCTTCCTAGGCTTAGTAACAAGCCCTTTTAATTTATCTGGCCTTAAATTCAGGTCATAGTCTATGGCCATAAATGTACCTTTCCTCTAACGAATAAAACTAACCTTTACAGGGTGTCTAATATTTTTATTAAATGAACAAATAGATTCTCAAAACCCAAGCCCCACCACCCACCCCTCATAGTAGCAGCGTATCACTAGACAGAATGCTACCTTTTCATATACTAACTCTCCTTTTTCTGCAATCACAACCAAAGCTAGATCAAGGACGTGGAATTCTTTTTAGGCTTACCAGCCTGGTTTCCATTATCTTCACATGTATTTCCTTTAGGGCCTGACTGTTTTAAAATCTTTTGTTATGGGGTTTGGAGTGCATCTTGAAATATAAATATTTATGGTGAATAAAAGCAAAGGCAAGTCATACAATTTTACAGCCAAAACTCCTCCCTGGACATTATAAGCTCATTTACTGCAAAGGAAGTTCTCCTTATTGGGGAGAAAGAAGCAAGGGGATGAAGCATATCACTAAAATATTTAAGGATAAGCAGCCCAGCTCTGTATTATTCACAGCCAACTTGTGTTGCTGCTCAGAGACACCTAACTCCCCACAGGTAGTTTGCTAATGCCCTTCTTATCTTACCTTTTTCAGAGCTCTATAAGCCCCCAAACTACAAGAGGATCCTAAGTTCATTGAAAATAAAATGGAAATTGTGAGCAACTGAACTTCAGAGCAGCAGCCCCTTTACTCTGTCCCACTCTAAGACATGCTTTAACCTCCACCTTCAGCCACTGCCAAAGCCATTAAGTTAAACTTACACCATCCAGACAACCTTGCTCCCCAAGCAACTAGTCTGGACAACTGTTCTGCCTCAGCAACCTCAGCTCCCAACATAACTCGTTAACCATTAAACTGTTCCTCTAATATCTCTTCAGGGGCCAAGTCCAGGCTGCAAGCAATGTAAATCCGTTCTACTGGAAAGAGTTGTATACAACAGAATGAAAACTGGCTCAAGGTCAAGAAAAAAAGAACAGAAAACAAGGCTACAAAAGACAGAGTGATTACATTCATACATCATTTTTGCAGTTCTTTTCTGACTTTCCTCTCAAAATTACAAAGAAGCATACTTTAAAACCATCCAAGTCCATGGTTTCCTTTATTCTTTCATTTAGAATCCTAGCTCTACACATTCAGAAACTATGACATGATTTTAAAATGCTACATGAATATATATATATGCATATATATGAGTATGTGTATATTTATATATTTTTTTTAATTCCAAACACATTTTAAGAGATCCCAGAGGCAAAAGACACACTGTATCATGTTTATTAAGACAGAAAGAAAAGTCTTCACGATTGCATATGTCAAATAAGTAAGTATTGACTTATGCTTAGCCAAAGCTAAAGACAAGCCAAGATACACTGGGAAACTGCAGAGGATTTTCCTCTTATCAAGCAGATACAGATACAATCCTATCCAGATACAGAATGAAACTTCAAATATGTAATTATGTTTGAAGAACTGAGAGAACAAAATGCCCCAGATACCTAAAAGAACCATCTATGCTTATTATCTGAGTTTCCCATCTGATTCTTCCCTCTAATTCGATCCATTTTTGCCCATCACCATTAAACTGTGACTCTGACCAGACAGGAGATAGGGTATAAAGACCATGCCCTCTCTCATTTTCCACCCTCTGATCTCCAGCTTATGCTTCCCGTTGGCAAAGGAATCTGGCTAATGAGATGCAGAAAGGTTAGCCTCCCAGAGCAAAGAAGGTGAAGCAGTGTGCAGAGTAGACTTTGTGGGCAAATAGAGAAGAGCTAACACATATCCCTGCCAATGCTTCATAGAATTGTGGAGCTGATAAAATAAGATGATACACATGAAGGTGTCCAGCATAATGCCTGCTACACAGAAAGCACTCAGTATACATGAGTTTCCATTCCCCCTAGCCTTGCAGGGCTTTCATGCCACCAAGCGTAAATTGAGGGAGTGGAATTCACAGGGAGCTATATGGTTCCTTCAAACTCTGATTTCTACAACTATGTCCCAACTCCTCTTTTATAAAATAAAACCCTCATCTTGAGAAACTTTATCCGGTAGCTCATCAAGAGTCTTCATTTTGCTGTTTAAGAGCATTGAGAAACCATCCTCCAAATACGGTTTTTCTCCAGACTTAACAGAAAGCATATCTTTAGAAACCAAGAGGGAAAAATTAGGATTGTGGTAGATATACAGATAATTCAGCAAAAATATCCAGATGAAAAGTATTGCTCAAAAAATCTTTCCCCATTCCACCTAAGCCTCCCTTGCCCTTAGCAATGTGTCTTAACTTTAATGCACTAACATAAGCTAAATAACACAATGACTGAATCACAATGATTCATCCTAAGTGCATGGACATGTATCTAGAATAGCATGATTACATTTATTCTAGTCAAATAATTTGAGATCAGAAAACTAAAAGGGAGAGCAAGTTCAAATGCTGATGAGTAGGATGAAAAGCAGAAGACACAAAAAGAAAAGGTTTTTTTTTTTTTTGAGACTGAGTCTTGCTCTGTTGCCCAGGCTGGAGTGCAGTGGCGCCATCTTGGCTCACTGCAAGCTCCGCCTCCCGGGTTCACGACATTCTCCTGCCTCAGCCTCCCTAGTAGCTGGGACTATAGGCGCCCGCCACGACACCTGGCTAATTTTTTGTATTTTTAGTAGAGACGGAGTTTCACCGTGTTAGCCAGGATGGTCTCGATCTCCTGACCTCATGATCCACCGGCCTCGGCCTCTCAAAGTGCTGGGATTACAGGTGTGAGTCATCGCACCCGGCCGAGAAAAGTTTTTATCCTGAGCTTTGATTGAGAGATATTTTTTCCCAAATCAGATTTTTCCTCCTCTGTATATTTGTGCTTCATTCTTAAACTGTCCTGAATGGTCTTTTGAGACATGTTTGTTCTCATAGTTCACAATGTTAACCAAGCATACTTCTTTGCAAATGCTGTTCCTTCTGGAAAATGCTCACTCTCTTCAACACCCCACTCCTGCCACTCCCCCAAATACCCACAAATCTAGCTGTCTTACTTGTTCAAAGCTCTGCTGAAACATCGTCTTATCAGATAGGTCTTTCCTGACCAGTTTATCCAAATAATAGTTCCACCCCATCACTCTCTTTCTCTCTGACCTTAATTTTTCCCAGAAGCATTTATTACCCATGACATATTATGTATTTTTATTTGTCTGTTTCTAACTAATTAAGTCCCCATGAAATCAGAGACTATGGCTATTTAGTTCCTAATAGCCTATACCAGTTTCGATAAATGACGAATATGCAAAAAGCATTCGTTCTTGGCTGAAGATAGGCAACGGATACAATGGACAAAGGATTCTGTACTTTGGGTTGCAAAGTAACTACAAGACATGTGATTTATTTTATCTTTAACACATTCACACCTAAATCTACATATCCAAATTTGTATTGTCCTGTTGAAGGTCTTCCTCTTTGGTATCTATTCACTTACTCTCGTTAAGCTGCCATTACTTACAATTTCTTGGAGTTCCATTTCATTATTGACATCAGCTCAAATTATTTTGAGTAGCCTCAGCTGTAGCAAATATAGATGAATCTAATTTTCTTAAATAACCCCAAATCACTCAGAATAAGGAATGGCAAGTGGAGTGAATAAGCAGGCTGAGTGATACCAGTTGTGGTCAAATATTAAGGATGACTATAAGGTAGTAAGAGCTCAGTTATTCAGAAACTGGACTAAAGAGAATCACCCACACAAAATGAGTCACCAGTGTTTTTGCACAGGGGCCAAATCATCACAATAAATGCACCATCTTCAAGTCAGCACTCTGAGAGAAAACTGCCATTTTGATGCAAAAATTCTAATCATAGCTTTAAAACTCAGGTCATTACCTCCAGTTCATATAGGAGTCTCAGATTTTTTTCTCTAAAGAGTTCAATGGGAGTTTAAAATAAATAGTTTACACAAATTTCAAATCCTTGAACTCTTAGAGGACATATTTTTAAATGTACATCCTCACATTGTGTTTTCAATTTATAAGACATTATTTTCCTTTTCCTAGAAGCCTAAAGCCATGTCAGGAGACTCATGATTAGGTACTGCAGTGAGAACTATCAGAGGAGAACATGTCCAACAAAATGATCTCTCGTGTTTATAGAAATTCACAGTTTACACAGGAACTAATAAAATGAACAAAAAGGAAGGTTTCCTGACCCAATAAGGTTTCTGGGAAATATCAGCACTTTGTATGAACCAAGCCAAAATGAGGCATTTCAGCCAGTCACAAATGCACACCATGTTTACCACAAATCTGAGACAAAGCTTAGAATAGCTTGAAACTTGAAAAGTACATTAGGTAATATATATAAAATTCTTGGCTGGGTTGTTAAATACATCATGGAAACATGAAGATCCAGTAATGTTTCTAGGAAGTAGACTCATGGGATTAAGAGATCACCTGGTCTTTCTTCCTCAAATTTACCACCAAACATAAACATGCCCCTTGCGGGTAGACAGGCCCCCTTGAAGTTAACTCCCATCAAAGAGATACTTTATAAAACAGGCCTTTTGGAGCTTGAGGTAGGCCAGATAATGCCCCAACAAAGATATCAAATTGTAATTTCTAGAACCTGTAAATGTTATCTGTTAAGTGTTAAATTAAATAAGCAGGAGGCCATTAGCCAGAGGCTCTCTCCATACTTTGAGTTCCTACATAACAAACTATAACCTAACTCAGTAGTAAACAAACCAGAACCTAATTCAGAGTATATTTTGTAACAAATAGCCATTTTATCCAATCACAAACAGCGAAGCTTCAGCCAATCACAGGTAGCCAACAAATTAGACCATATCCGTTAACGCAAATGCCTCATCACACCATGCCCAAATAAGGCAAACATCTAGCTAAAGCCAATCAGGTGATTTCTTCACTTTGGTCCCATGTTAAGCCTATAAAAGCTTCCTGCTCACACAGATGGGTGGAGCTCTTTGAACCTCTGCCAATTCTGAGAAGTGCCCAATTCATGAATCACTATTTGCTCAAATAAACTGCATTACATTTGTCTGAAGATTTTCTTTTAACATGAAGCAAAAGGGATTTTGCAGGTGTGGTTATGTTGAGGATCTTCAGATGGTAAGATTATCTAGGTGGGCCTTAAATGCAATCACATGTATCCTTACAAGAGTGAGCAGAAGGAGATTTAACAAAGAGACACACAGAAGGGAACATATGTTTTCATTCCTCTTCAGTACATACATAGGAGGAGATTCCTGATTGTTTAACATTTTTTGGAACTGCCAAACTGTATTCCAAAGTGACTGTACTATTTTACATTCCCATCAACAGTATATGAAAGTTCTAATTTCTCTAAATTCTCACCAACACTTATTATGATGTGTCATTTTTTCATTATAACCATCTACTGAGTATGTATTATGGTTTTTATTTGCATTTCCCTGCTGGCTAATCATGTTGACCATCTTTTCATGAGCTCATTGGCATTTCTCTATCTTTGGAGAAATGTCTATTCAGATCCTTTGCCCATTTTTATTTGAATTATTTGTCTTTTTATTATTGAGTTGTAAGAATCCTTTATATATTCTACATTCAAGTCCCTTAGCAGATACATAGTTTGCAAATATCTCCTTCCTTTCTGTGTGTCATCATTTCACTTTTTTAAAGAACAAAAGCTTTTAATTACGATGAAGTTGAATTTATTTTCTTCTAAGAGTTTTATAGCTCTTATATTTAGGTTTATTATCTACTTTGAGTTAATTTTTGTGTGTGGTATAAGGTATTAAGAGTATGAAAAGACAAGCAACAGATGGGGAAACAATATTTCTGAATAAAATTTCTAAAAAAAAAAAAACTTGTATCTAGAATATACAAAAAACTCACAAAACTCAGGTATAAGAAAATAATCTAAGTTTTAAAAATAGCAAAAAAAAAATTTGAACAGACACTTCACCAAAAAAGTAATAGGGATGGCAAATATGAATATGAAAAAAAGTTCACCATCAATGATCATTGAGGAAATGTAAAAAAAAGGCTGCAATAAGTGTCATTATTTACTTATTATAATAACTACAATTTAAAAAATCTGGCAATACCAACTGTTGGCAAGAATAAGAAACAAAAACAATATTCCCATTGGTAATGCAAGATGGTAGAGTCACTCTGGAGAAGAGTTTGACGGGTTCTTACAAACTGAAATGCACATTTACCATGTGACCAAGCAGTCTCACTCCTAAATATTTATCCTGAAATGAAAACCCATGTTCACATACATGAATTTTTGTACATTCACATACATGAATTGCTATAATTGCCAAAACTTGGAAACAACCCAAATGTCTCTCAATTGGAGACAAATTATTGATACACACAGTAGCATGGATGAATCTCAAATGCATTTTGCTAAGTGAAATAAGCCAGCCTGAAAAGGTTATATACTGCACGATTCTATTTATATGATATTCAGGAAAAGGCACAATGAGAGGGATGGAGAACAGATAAGTGGTTGTCAAGAGTTAAGGTTGAGGGGATCACCATGAGGGAACTTCAGGGGAGGATGATCAAACTGTTTTGTATCCTTTGGTTACACAATTTTATGCATTTGTCAAAACTCACAGAACTGTACACATACCCAAAAGTGAATTTTGCTGTATATAAATAAAAAACAAATCTTAAAAAGTGTGGGGGGCACAGAAGATTTGTGAAAATGTTTAAGAACACAAAGGAATCAGCAGCAGCTCTGAATGTTTTTTTGTGAATCCAGTAGTAACCTATGGATCTCTTCAGTTTAGCTCCTTATAATTTTTATGTTGCTTTAAAAGAACTAGTTAATAACAATGTTATAGCTCTAGTTTTCATTTTATCCATGAATATAAACAGGCATTGTGAAAAAAGCATGTGTTCTTTTGCTTTATCTCAAACAAAGCCTGATGCAACAAAGCAATTTCCATGGTAATGACACTTTTTATTCAACATAAAGACAAATAACTGGATAAAAGTACATAGTTAGATGATGCAGAATGTGTGTATGCCTGGACTAAACCAGGCCTCTAGCCAGATGATTAGCCACATCGAAAAATTTCTTTATTTTTCTAAGAGCAAACTCAGTCTCTCCCTTTTGTGCTCATCTTCCCCAGTGAAAAATGGCAACCTAAAGGCCTTTCTCTGGCTGTCATTTGTTACTGAAAATACAATGAAGAGAGAAATAGTCATCCAAAATGTCTAGTGTTGAGGAAGTCCCACCACTACCCCCTGTCTGAGCACTGAATGTGTATATGTGGGTGGTTTTTTAGGGTGGAGGATAATTAAAGATGAATAGCTAATGAATTAAGTACCACTCCGTTTATCTCTAAGAAATTGCAAATGACCTTATCATTGAACAGAATCTCAGAAACTATTTAATTCAGCTCCTTGTTTAAGAGATGAAAAAGAAATGGGTTAGTAAGTGATCAGACAACTGGATTGCGGCAAAACCAGAACTGGAACTGCAATATTCTGACTCCTGATACTCTACTCAGGGCCAGCTTCAGGGGCATGTGACTTGTGAAATCTCACAGGGCCTGGTTTTCAGAAGGGCCCCTCTCTTGGTTTAATGCTCGGCTGTACCTGTCTTGAAATTCTTGGTAATATTTGAAAAAAGGACCCCGTATTTTCATTTTGCACTGGTCCCGCAAATTACACAGCTGATTCTGACTCTACCCTCTCAAAGATTGTTTCATAGAAAGAAAACTTCATACTCCAGCCAATGGCATGAAGACAAATTCAAGAGATAAGGAAATTAAAAACAAACAAACAAACAAAACAGGAAAAAATTATAGAAGAAAAAAATACTTCTTGTGCATCCTATAGAACATCAGTCACCATGTGACTGAAAAATGGCTTCATGGGAAATAATACAGATAGAACCCCAACAAATTTCACCAGAGGCCAGCCCAAGCTCCCAAGAAACCACTAGTAAGCAGTGATTGAGTGGGAAGAGGATGGGGTACATCCAATCTAGCTGTACAATTTACCTGAACATCCTCTGACCAAAAAGGCCTTAATAGATCTGATTGGTCTTCTCATGCAGGAATCACACTAAACATCTCATCATATGGAAAAAAATAATCTCCAGATAAGAGGCCCTCAAAAGGTGTTTATATGCTGAAGTATACACAGATTTGCCAGTGGGGAATTTGGAGGTGTCTAATTGTAAGAAATGTTACACCAGGCAATAATACCAATGAGGACATTAGGGAAACCTAATCCTTTTGTCCATTAGTGGTGCATTTGACAGGAGGTGGAGAGTCCCTGATCATGAATTACTTTCTTTCAACAAAAATTATATTTTTAGTGAAGCAATATTGAGAAAGATTAAAAACACCAATCCAAGTCTAAGTTTTACCACTCACAGTGCTATGACTGCCAAGTTATATAAGCCTTCTCAGTCTCTATTACTTTATCTGTAAAATAAGGACCATAAATTGACCCTAATTTGTTAGCTTGCAAGGACCTATTTTCCCCAAAGTTTGTTCCACAGAAGACAAGGTCTGGAGAATAGCAAAAGTAATCTGTGAGTCAAACAAGTTTTGAAAACAATTGGTAATACGGTTTGGCTGTGTCCCCATCTGAATCATATCACATACCACAAAGGAAAAGATTATTAATTTGATTGTATTGAAAAGAGCATAAAACAGGTACAAGGTGGGAGAATGTATTAGCAACATAGGACTTTTTATATTTAGGAACTCCAAATCAATTAAAAAAAAGAAACACTAATAGAATAGAAAAAAGGGCAAGAGGCTTGAACAGGAAAATCATGAAAGGGGAAATCCAAGTGATCAATAAATCTATGTGGATGTATTCAATCTCATTTCTAATCAGACAAATACTGTCTTTAACTTAAGACAGAATGAGATTCCTACTTTACTCCAAACTAATTAAGAAAATTAGAAAGTCTGAAAATACAATGTGTTGGGTAAGGAAATTGAGCAAATGGAAACTCTGGTACTGTGCTGCAAGTAGTACAGATTGGTAGAAACACAATGGAAAAAGGAAGTGGGCATTATTTACTATAATTGAGTGTTTGCATATTCTATGATTCATCAAGTCTACTCCAGGGTACATTCCCTTGAGAAATTCTTACGTATTTGCATCAAGATACATACACAAGAACGGTCCTAAAACTCTTGTCCCTAGCTATCCCAAACTGGAATTTTGGAAACAACAAAGTGTCCATCAACAGTAGGATGAATACATTTTGGTATGTATCTCCAAAGTAATACTACACAGCAATAAAAATAATTAAACTACATAGAACAAGATGGTCAGCTCTTAAACTACATAGAACAAGACGGTCAGCTCTTAAAAACAAACTATTCAGTGAAATAAGAAAAGATGACAAAATAAATATAAATCCATTTCATATGGTTCAAAAATGAGCCCTATGCACTAGAATACAGAGTTTAGTAATGCTTACCATTAAAGTAAACTTCTCAGACTATTTACTTATAAGCAGGTAGCAAATATTAAAAAAAATTTTGAACACAAGGGAAAGGTAGAGATCTATTCAAACACTTATTCCTCATATGTACATTTTATAGGAAAGGAGACAGATGAGGTAGTTATTTTTAGTCTAGATATATAAAGAATGAAAGTTTAGTTAAAGATATTAATAGTAGATTTTTGACTGATAGTCAACTGAGAGCAAAACTGATGAGTGAGTAGTTTCCAAAACAAATCTATATCTCATTAAAGTTTACTGGAAAATTGTTCAGGCACTGTATGAGGGATGCTAATCTTCTCCCCAAAAGTGTTTGTAAATTAAATCACAGAGACGAGCTCTATTCCAGACCAGGCTCGGGCAACTCTTACAGTATGTAGTGCACAAAACTAAAAAGCAAGCTGAGGAAATCATTGCCATAAAGCTCAGGACAGTGGTTATCTGGCCAAGACAGAGAGAGGAGATGGGGATTGGGAAGAGACACACAGGGTTTCTAGAGCCCCATCCATGTTTTCTCATGTAGTTACAGTTATACATGTGGCTTTATTTTCTTTATTCATTAAACTGTACATTTATTTCTGAGGTGCTTTTCTGTGTATGTGTTATATTTCTTGACTTGAAAGTTAATAAAGGGCAGATGAAAATCTGAGGCACAGAGTGATTAAGTGATTTATATTTTTCACACTTGCATGACATATGTTACATGAGTGTAAAATTTATAGGGTGGAACCCTAGGATATAGTGAGCTTCTCTGGTACTTCAGAAAGCCTCACATTCTTCCCCCACCTCACAGTGACTGCTTCCTCCTCTATTCTCACAGAGCTCATTGTTTAGACCTCTTACTGGCAATTGACGATGGACTGCCTCACAACCATTCATGTACTATTATTGAACCTTTCTCATTCATATGCTTTGTCTTCCAGCTCACGGCTTGGCTCACAGTATCCTTCTGATACGCATTTATTACTAAAAAGCAATACAAAGTCTAAGTGTGAATCCCACATCAGAGCAGGTCATGTTAAGGCAATCTTCCAGTATTTACCATCATTTCTAAAACACGTTTCTCTAGTCCAGGTCTGAGGGTTAGACATGAAGGCTCATGTCTCTCGCATTGGTCAGAAAACTCTCCTACTCTCTCTACAAACCAGTACACTCTTGGTGACATGAAAGCATTTGTTATCTAATTAGGTGTCAGCTTCTTTAGAGACTCATAAGGACCTTGAGGCTTAGAGCTTGCTGACCAACTCCTGTGCTGAAAAAAAAAAAAAAAAGCAATAGCATGGGCAGTAATCTGATATAGAATGAGAACACAATTACCTTATTTGCTCTATCTTTGTGAGGGATGGACTTAATTCTGATCGTGAACTGCTTTCCTAATATGAATTCACTTTGCAGTTTCCATTCAAACCACAAAATTCAATCATTCTTTCAACAAATATTGTTAAGTATCTACTACATGCATATTGCCATGCCAAGACACAATGATATAAGACATCCTGAATTTTCTTTTTAGAAACTCTCTGCCAAACACATTCTCATTTATTGATAGCTATTATCAAGTCAGAAATACATAAGTCATTAATTAGCAAAGAACCCTTCCCTTTGTAATAGGATGTTGTAACCAAGGTACCAAAATATAATAGCTATGACATTACAAGATAGAATGCTAGACCAAGATGCAAATTTCAAAAGGGGTAGTTGGAAGAAATAATTGCAAAACTCTCTAATCCGTTACATTCATCCAGAGGATAAAAAATGGGAGAATAATACAGCTTGAGAAGAAAGATTTCCTCAGAGAATGTTATGCTATCTTTTTTCCTCCAAGAAAACGGCACAGAAGTAGTACTAGCTCCTAAAATAAAGTCTAATGAAAGAGACTTTGAGGACATTACTTAGAGAATCTCTAACGGGTATTTCAGTGGAGAAAATTATTGGTGTTTTATGAGTCTTTTCCTTCCCAAAGGGGAATAGAGGGCTTCCTTCTTGACCCCAGCCAAGAGAAATTAGGCTACAAAGAGAGCACTCAGATAGCTTTTCATTAATCTTCTTCTGTTAGAGGGGAACTCACTGAAATGGTGTCTGATCCTGCCTGAAAACTCTGAAAAGCAAGAGATAGGTTGGCTTGTGGCTTTGGCAGCCAGAAAGAAGTTGCTGCATTTCCTGTATTTTGCTGAGGCGAAGATGAAGAAGGGATTCCCATGAGATGGGTATGGAACAGTACACACAAGAGCCAGTAATTTAGGTCTTGTCAAAAGAGCTCCCTGGAAGAAACTGAAGACAAGGCCTCAGATTCCCAGGTAGCTTACCTATTTGTCTCCCTTTTTCTGCCCTTGTGTGTTTCACTACAGAAGTCAAATATTTCTGCTAAAATGTAAGTCAAGCTCAGATTCTGCTTAAAACCCTCCAATGGCTTTCTGTGTCACAGGAGTAGAAAGCCAAGTCCCTACTATAACCCACGATGCTACCATGCCCTCATCTCGTCTTCTCTCTTCTGTGCACTGCAGCTATGCTGGCCTGCTGCTGTTTCTCACACTTCTCAGAGCTACTGCACCTGAGATTCCCTCCATCTGGAAAGATTCAATGCCTTGGAGGCTTTAGTCACCTTCTTCATGAGGCCTTCCCTCTGAACCCCATTTGAAATTTCAACCCTTCTCCTTCCCCCAAACTCTCCATTTCACCTTTCCTGGTTTTTGTTCTCTTTAGCTCTCATCACTGTTTAATTTGCTATATATACACATGTATATTTGTATATGTATGTATGTATTTATATTATATATGTACATGTATTATATATGTGTATATATTATGTACATATAATAAATATCTATAGTATAACTGTATGTATGTGTGTATGTAAAATCTTCCCACTAGAAACACAATTTCCATAAAAGAATTTTTGTCTGTTTTGTTGACTGCTGCGTGTACTCAGGGCCTAAACCAGTGCCTGAAACAGAGTAGTTGCTCAACAAATATATGTTGACTGAATAAATGCACTTTAATAAAATGTTTGTGAATGACAATATTTCCTAGGTTGTTGTTCCAAAGAGGAAGCCAAAGGGGAAGAAACAGAAAACCCCAGGGGAAGAAACCAGTAAATCCACACACAAGTTTGCTCGACATGGTAAGATTTGAGCCTCTCGTTGCTTTGTTTTTCACATGCCCAGTGCAAAGATTTCAGGCAGTAATAGTTATGATCTATGTTTTTCCCTTTTGTTTCCCTTCTGTTCTTGGTATTTAATAAAAAAAATCTGCAACTCCATCATTAGTGCATCATAAATCACCCATGTTACGCAGTCTGTTCAGGCAGCTCTGATAGGAACCTCCTGGGCTGGATGAGAACTCAAGCAAGCCAGGAAATGTTTCAGTGGACATGAAAGCCAAGGGAAAAATCCTAGGGCATGAATCATGTGGGATTTCAATTTCCCTGATGCCAAGTATGATAACTATCATGGATTCCAAACAGTGTTGACAATACATGTTTTCTTTGACTGCAAAATTTCATAGAAATGTGTTCCTACCCTTAAAAATCCTGGGTCCAGAATTCAATTGTTATAGGAAGTAAAAGTTGCCAGGTGGCAGAGGAATGAAGAGCAGGAACACTGCAATGTTAGAGATGCCTTCTTACCTCCCCTTCTGTGTGACTTCTACAGTTTCTTTCAAGATAGCCAAGAAACTCCAACAATTTAAGAAAAAAAGAAGAAAAAATATTAAAATTAGGTGAAAAATGTGTAAAAAACATCTCAGATCCAAATAAACTGGTTAAAACACAAACACTTGTGCATACACATGAACATGCATGCACACACATGACCACATGTGGCATACATGTTCACATGCACATTCATAGGCACCTTCTGAGGACCTCTCATTCCAATAGGTCACAAGAGAATCACAGCCCTAAACCTCTTAGGCTTTTTCAAATGTCATAGTCTATTATACATAAGAGTTCATTCATTCTACCATACATGCCTCTCAACCCACTTCTGCATGATGAGGAAGGTTGAAGTTACAAATGAAGATGGTGGAGGCTTTCTCAAAGCCTTCTGTTCATGTTTTTATCCAGATTAACCGTTTAATCCAAAAATCTCTCCACTCATCATCAGCTATGAAAACTCTATCCATTCTGCAGATTCTAGTTTTTTTTATTGTTTTGATTTTTTGTTGTTGTTGTTTTGTTTTGTTTTTTGAGACAGAGTCTCGCTCTGTCACCCAGGCTGGAGTGCAGTGGCACAAACTCAGCTCACTGCAACCTCCGCCTCCCAGGCTCAAGTGATCCTCCTGCCTCAGCCTCTCAAGTAGCTGGGACCACAAGTGCGCACCATCATACCCAGCTAATTTTTTGTATTTTTGGTAGAGACAGGGTTTCACTATATTGCCCAGGTTGGTCTCAAACTCCTGAGCTCAAGCAGTCCACCTGCCTCGGCCTCCCAAAATGCTGGGATTACAGGAGTGAGTCACCATGCCCAGCCCCAGGTTCTAGTTTTGATTTTCCTCCTTCAATATAATTGGAGATATACCTCCACCCAGTTATTTTCACAGAAAGCCTCTGAAATCAAAGAACACATCCCTTTTGCACAACTGCAGAGTCAAATGTTAACCAGCTCAATGTTTCACACTGTGCTCCAAAGAAAAATGTTTTGTGATACTTTAAAAAACCGAAACCAAACCAAACAAACAAAAACAAAATAGACTTCCTGGCCAAACAGTGTTAGAAAACCCTATATACTCTGTCCTTTTCTTGGAGATTCACAATCTATATTAGCATAGTAAAGGCCCCGAAAATCCTGCAATGAAGAAATGTGATTAACTTGGTTTAACCCAGTATTTTCCAAAGTTGTTTGACCAAATTTTCCAGTTTTCGTATATCAATAAACCTTTCTCGGAAAGCTAGTTTTACATGGAACACAGTGTAGGAAACACTGATCTAATATAACTCCCTCAAGGGAAGAGATGATGAAATTGAGGTCTGGAGAAGTAAAATAACTGAATAAAGACCACAAGCTACTTTGTCAAGGAGCCAGTAGTACACCTCAGGTCTCTTGTCTTCCAATCCAATGCTCCTTCATGATACCACCATGATAAAATTATATTATGGTATGAAATTATAGGCTTATAACTTTTATTTTACGTCTCACCAAACTTCTTGGACATTGAAATCTTTTTGGTGGTATTTTCCTTTGGGAGAAAATGTCTTATAAGCACAAAATAGAGAAAGCCATTTTTTAGTTCAATAAAACATTTTGATATATACCAAAAAAAGTAGTTAGCAAATCTAATCTGTATAGTCCTAAGAATCAGAATTCATATTAACAAGCTGAATTTACAGAAATCCAGAATTCTTGAATACCCTGTAAACAAGGTGGTTAAAAAAAAAACGCAAGTTTAGCCTCATACTACACAGCAGGCACAAGCATTAAAAATAAATAAATAAATCCCTTCCGGAACTTGCTCTATAGTATTTGTTCCTTTATCAAAATCCTTTGAATAAAAACCAAAAAAAAAAGAGGATATATTTGTTGAATGAGATCGCGGAGTTATTTATGGCAGATATTGTTGACTGCCTATCAACAGCTTCCCCTCCCATTTTCCCTTCGTGATTTGGGTCAGAGCAGGCAGCCAAGTGCTCAGGAAAGGTGAGCCTCTCTCCTATTTCGAAAATATAAGCCATGATTGGTGCATGCCATGATTATTCTAGCTGCATTTGGCAGTGGACTTAAATGTGGAAATATAACTAATATATAAGGAAAGTATATCAGGGTTTCTGGAGAAGACTTTTACCCCCAAAGTCTTCTTGGAGGTAGTAGGTTAGGCCCACTTTGTATACCTTCCTATATTTATATAAAACTGTAGTGAAATAGTGATGTCTGGAACCACTGAAACCATCTTGACACTGTAAGCATTTCATCTGAGAACAAAAGCTAATATGTTGAGGCTGGCAAAACAGAGGGGTGGAAAGGGCTGACCTGGGCCCTTGATCACATCACTGAGGCACTGAATTATCTGTAGTACCTCTAACTCCAAGCTAATGTAGGATAATAAAAAGCCCATTTTGAGTGCTGACATTTATGATCATCCTCCCTTATTCCTTCCTTCTAGTTCAAGACTGAGCTTCATCTTCCTTTCAGTTATGGAACAGCCAAGTTTGTCCTGCTAGGCCACAGATCTGTCCAATTTCTTTATCTTTTGATTGAAACCTCTGTGCTAGAGCTCGCTGCCTTGCAGACTCCCTGGGCTATGCCAAGTGTGTCTTTTAATCTTCCCTTAGTTGCAAACACCCCCTTAGTTCCTCTATGCTTAGTTACTAACCTGCATCAGCTATTCGCAGGGTGCTATCCTCTCACTCACTTCTCCCTATTTTCTCCCTTCTTTTCCCTTCGCTCTTCCAGACTACAGCTTCTCTTGTTTCTGCCTTCACTTCCAGAAAGCAAGAGTTCTCTGCAAGTCCACACTGTCACCTCAGTGCAAATATTTAAAAACTGAAGATCACACATTTTCTACATACACCAAAATCAACCACTCTTTTCCAATCTCCCAGGCTTTAGTTCCCTCTTCTTCCAGCAAATGAACACCTTTTGTAAAGAATATTTTAATGAAAACAACAATGACAAATTCAGTTTTGCCCAAGGCCACCCTGCCTTCATAAGAGAGACTCCGTGGTGACAGTGTCCAAGATTTCCTTGTATCCACTGAAGTGCTTAACAGTACATTTATCAGTGCTCAATAACCATTTCCTGAGTGATTTGTGAAAATGTAGCCCCAATTAATTTATTTCAATAAAAGAAAAAATGACCATGAAAAAAACATTTGGTTAGTTGGAAGATATTTGGTTATTTTGCCTAAATAAAATTATGGATCCAAGGGTATTTCAACAATGATTTCAAACTGACATGTTGAAACTATGAGGACCTTAATTACAACATCTCATACTTGTACAGTGTTTAATGACTTACAAACAGGCTTTGCTTTGATTACCTCATCCAACCATCCATTATGTGATACGTTACTTTTAGATATATCGTTTGTACAATGATATTAGTAAACAATTTGAGAGACAGCATATGATCAGAGGTCTCCCATAAGCACATATTTCAAGTAGAAGTTGATCTGAAGCTTAAAAAAAGAAAATAAAAATGTAAAATAAACTCTCCAGGACAGAATCCAATGTGTTAGTAAAGCCAGATCTAGGACACTGTGTTTATTTCTCAATGCTATGTTGTAAAAGAAACACTGTCAAAACAATGTATCCAGACAAAGGCAACCAAGATACTGTCTGGAAATTATCTCAAATGATGAAGGAGAGAACTGAGAACATTTAACCTATAAGAGGACAAATTGCAGGGATGACACAGACATCTTTACCTCCAAAGGTTGTCAAGTGCAAAGGCAGCAGGATTCTTTCCACCATGCTTTTGAGGGCCAATAAGTGGAAGTTAAAGAGGAAAGGAATCAACGTAAGAATATCAAGAATTTTCTAATACCCATCTCTACCACTGCTCGCCAACCTTCTAGGGCAGAGGTCCCTAATCCCCGAGCCATAGACTAGTACCAGTCCATGGACTATTAGGAACCAGGCCGTACAGCAGGAGGCAAGTGGCAGGCCAGCAAACATTGAGACCAGAGCTCCGCTTCCTGCCAGATCAGCAGAGGCATTAGAGCCTCATAGGAGTATGAACCCTGTCATGAACTGAGCATGCAGGGATCTAGGTTGTGTGCTCCTTATGAGAATCAAATGATAAATGTAACGGACTTGAATCATCCCAAAACCAACCCCACCACCACCACTCGTGCGTGGAAAAATTGTCTTCCAAAAAGCAAGTCACTGGTGCCAAAAAGGTTGTGGACCACTGTTCTAGGCTGTTCAATGTAAAGAAATTTTCTAAAAACTAAACTAATGATATGCTGGCTTGCATGGGGATTAAAAATCTCTGAAGAGTTTCCAGTGCTCTGCCTCTGGAATTCTGTGAGAGGGAGTCCTATATTGGCAAGATGAACCAGATAACCTCTAGAAATCCTTCCAGCGTGCTCTGAGAGCAATCCAGGAATCATTGATGAATCCCACTCAATTTATTTTTGTGACTAATCTTTTCTTTCCAAGTAGCAAGATAACTAAATGTATAGATTGCTAAAAATAAAGGTAAACAAATGAAATCTAACCTAGAATGATTGGCATTGAGCATTCCCAGCACCTAGAACACTACCAGGCACAGAGTAGGAGCCCCATAAATATGTGTGGTCTAATAAATGATATAACGATCTAAAAGTTAGGTGATTCCTACAGGTTTTCAAACAGTTTCACACACATTAGTTCTTTAGAGCTTTCAGCAACAACCTTGTAAAGCAGGCTAGACAAATTGGTAGACCCATTTTATATACCCTGTTTTGTTTCCCTCCCTCAGGAATGCTTTTTAATGCTTTAGGTTTCGTCACAGGTTGTTATAAGAAAATTCCATCATAAGGATATCTTATGTAAAACCAGAGTTAAAACCATAACTGTCCATCATGCCCCTCATATAAGAAATATGATAAATTCCTCCTCAATTAATCCCAGGAGAAAGTCGGCCTTGCCATACTGATTTGCTTGTTCTGTCCTTGCTCTGCCTGCTCTCTCTTCTTTCTATCCTTCCTTCCTTCCTCCCTTTCATTTTGCTTTTTAATTTAAATTCTTTTATTTTATATTTTAAGTTCCAGAATACATGTGCAGGATGTGCACATTTGTTACATAGGTAAACATGTGCCATGGTGGTTTGCTGCACCTGTCAACCCATCACCTAGGTATTAAGCCCAGCATGCATTAGCTATTTGTCATGATGCTCTCCCCCCAGTCTCCCACCACCACAGGCCCCATTGTGTGTTGTTCCCCTCCCTAGATCCATGTGTTCTCACTGTTCATCTCCCACTTGTAAGTGAGAACATGTGGTGTTTGGTTTTCTGCTCCTGCATTAGTTTGCTGAGGATAATGGCTTCCAGCTCCCTCCATGTCCCTGCAAAGGACATTCTCTCATTCCTTTTTATGGCTGCATAGTATTCCATGGTGTATATGTACCACATTGTCTTTATTCAGTCTATCATTGACGGGGATTTGTGATGATTCCATGTCTTTGCTATTGTGAATAGTGCTTCAGTGAATATATGTGTGCATGTATCTTTATAATAGAATGATTTGTATTCCTTTTGGTGTATATCCGGTAATGGGATTGCTGGGTCAAATGGTATTTCTGGTTCTAGATCTTTGAGGAATCGCCATACTGTCTTCCACAGTGGTTGAACTAATTTACATTTCTCACCAACGGTGTAAAAGCGTTCCTATTTCTCTGCAACCTCGCCAGCATCTGTTGTTTCTTGACATTTTAGTAATTGCCATTCTGACTGGCATGACTTCCTCCCTTTCTTTGTTCTTCCCTTCATTTCTTTCTTCTTTCCTTCCTTCTGTTTCTTTTCTACAGAAGGTAATAGGGGCTGTATAAACAAACATAGTTCCTTCTTTGCCCTAGAAGTTGCTAAGAAATTCAATCAACCTTTTGCTTCTAACTTTGACATCCCAAGTTCCTTACACAAACCTCTGCAACTCTGTAACTAATCAAGACTTAAAAATTTGTTTTTGATAAGCAATGTACCTTTGGCTTGATACATGAAACAGTTAAAAGTACAGCTGTTGAGAGCAGAGCTACAAGCACTCCCAACAAATCTCCCTAAAAAATCCCCCACTGCAAGCTTAAAAAGTTGATATAATAAAGGTAGAGAGTAGAATAATAAATACTAGAGACTGGAAAGGGAGAGGGGCTGAAGAGAGGTAAGTTAATCAATACAAACACAGTCAGATAAAAGGTATAAGTTCTATGGTTTGACAACAAAGTGTTGTCTGTGACTATAGTAAACAGTAGAGTAGCTATAGTAAACAACAGTGTATTATAGATATACAATGTATTATGTATTTCAAAGTATCTAGAAGAGAGGACTAGAACTGTTCCCAACATGTAGAAATAATACTCAAAGTGATGGATACCTCAGATACTCTGACTATTCTACACATGTAGCAAGATATCACCTGTACCCCATAAATATGGAAAACATCATGTATCATTTAAAAAATGAAAAGAAAAGAAAATTAAGCAAAGAAAAAAAACCAATCCCCTACCCCCCGATGGCGCTAGATCCCCTATTATTCCAGTGATTGTCATTTGAAAACCACTGCTCTATAACATTTTTTAAAATTTTAGCTGCCTCATTTTGTGTTTTTATTATAAACCATATGAAAATGTTTTTGATATTAGGCACATGAAAAGTGTATCCATTTCCATACATTTTACACATAAGAAAATGGAAACAGTGAGACAGTAACAGTAGGTAGCAAGTAGGTAGAGTCAAGATTAGAACCCAAAATCGATTTTAGACTCAAGTAGTATCTAGGTTAACCTTTCTGAGCTACGATTTACACACATATGAAAATGATTACCATAATTATCTATCTTGCCACAGTGCTTTGAGGATTAAATGAAATAAAGTGTGTAAATAATGCTACATAGTACTTGACACATAATAGGTACTTACTCTTATCTCCATTACTTTTTTTTGACTCCTACCACTCTGGTCTGGTCAACATGTTACGTTAACAAAAAATTTTAGAAAAAAAAAAGAAGGAGATGCTAAGTCTGGACCCCAGGAAACTTGGGGACAGCTGACAGTACTGACAAGCAACTGCAGGATGAGACTGGCCGAAAAGAGTTGGTTAGCCTGAGACTCATCAGTGATGTTGAAACAAAGGTAAGATTGTCAAACTTTGCTAGCAAAAGAAAATGGGTCCTCATAAAAGGCTGAAAATGAGACACAGACTCAGACCAAAACAAGGATTTAAAGATTTTGTCACTAACCCCATCACCATCAAATCCAATAGATGGGGCAGGTTTTGACTTTCCGAGCCCGTCCCAGACATTTCACTTTCAAGGAAACACATTAAATTGCATGAATGTGAAGAATTACAACTTCAACAAAGCCACTGGAAAATAATGTTAAAGAGCATTTATTAGCCCAGCCCAGCAAATCTGTCCTCCAGCTCCTCTGTCAGACCCCTCCAACAGGAAAGCTTTTAAAGTAATATTTTAGCTCTACCACTGACATCTCCCTATAAACTAATGTGATGTTTGGCACAGAAGGGTGTTTATTTAGGTGTGTGATGGTTCTGGCTGTTAGCGTGGAGAAAAAAGTTATTTCTCTCCTTCCCTTCAGAGACCATCCAAGTACTTGTTTGACAAAGTGAACACCCATTACACACAAAAGAGGGGCTGGGCCAGACTTCTGCAAAACTAAGTAGGTGAATTTGTTCCTGACTCTTCCCTCCCACCCCTTCTGGCTGTGAGTCCCATCCCCTACCCCCAGTTGTCCCCCTGTAAAATCCAGGTTACCTACCCCGGACTCTTTTTGCCAAGATTTTACTGTTATCTAATTATCAGTGGATGCCCTTTCTTTCTTTCTCCCATCCTTTCGAACAAGTTTTAGCTGATAAGTATTCTCAAGAAAATTTAAATTTTAATTGATGCTTAGTTAAGAATGTTGAAAGGTCTTCAGAACTTAAAGGAATGAAACCCAACTGACAGAATTTGAGGTTCTATGATGGCTGCGAGGGAGATGTTTTTGAGCTCACACAAGTTAATCCGTCGTCCCATAAAAGTGACTATCTACTATCCCTATATTCAAGGCTAACCTGGGAGGAGATGGCCATTTCCCTAGAGGCACCTAGGAGAAGGAAATTATATAACAAATTAATATATATTATCTATCGAACTATCTCTCTATAGTAGTATATAGTATAAATAGATTGATGATAGACTGTGTGTATGTGTATATATATATATATATATATATACACACACACATTCATATATATATAATATATATATAATATATATATAATATATATAATATATATATTATATATATAATATATATATATAATATATAATATATATATAATATATAATATATATATATATATAAAGTTTCATGCATATCCAGGCCTGATAAGTTTTCTTTAAAAATTCAGGGGATTTCTTTTGAAGTCATACAACCTTTGCAAATGTTTCCATAATTATATTTTGGCTGACTGCAGAATTATTCTGCACTAGCAGGCTGCTCTCTGCACTAACAGCTCATTTCTAACAGGAATCTTCTAGGGTAGTATAGTTGGACAGCCAAGTGACCTCCAGAGAGCAGCTACTTAAATTGCCATAAATCCAATTCACACAGATGAGTTTCTAGAAATAGCAAGTCACTGACTCCATGCTGGCCACCCTTCTCTTTATCATGAAAAGTGTAGGATACCCTAGAAGTCACAGACACAGGCAAAATACATCAGGGATAATTTCAACATTTAATATAAGTTCGTATTTTTTAAGTCCAGCAAAGTATATGCCTTGGTGTAGAAAGACAGTGAGATAATAGGGAGAATTGGAAGGAATGAAAGCAAAGACAGAATATGAAGAGGAAAGTATATCAGGCCCTTAGATGAATAACAAAAAATAAAAAAGAAAGAAAGATGGAATCCGAACTCTTCATCTGTAACTATCAGAAGTTTGTGGTGGAATATTTTCTTTAAGCCTTAAAGTGAAGGCTCTCAGGCCAGAACATCTGTGGAATTGGACAAAAGGCTAATAATTCAGAGCCTTATGATTGCCAACTTCTCCCCTCCCCTCCCTTCCGTCCTCAGCACCAGCAAAGAGCAATACATTAAGAAAGTGTTTAGACTGTCAGGAAATATGATTAATTTTTTTTTTACTCTGCTGTAAAAGCCTACTACACACTGGAACATAAGCAAATGCTTTCCTTGCAACCGAGTCTGGGTGGAACCTTTGCATTAGTTTAACGCCCATCAAGGGATAGCCTTGTCTCTCCATGGATACAGGGAACACAATCCATGTTACAAGAAAGATTTTGACCTTTCTATATTCCCCTTTCCCTTCAGAACCCCTTGGAATCTCACTCAAAACTAGAAAGCCTCACAATGGAAAATTAACACAAATAAATAGTCCATGTACTTACAGGACCAAAATGGGATAAAGAAATATGAAATCCTGGAGGTATATATACACCCATGAAGTTGTATATATACATCCATGAAGTTGTATACATTGAATACACACAGCTTTTTGTATGCCAGTCATACCACAATAAAGTGATTTAATAAAAAAGAAAAGAAACCTGAAAGCCTGGATTATCTAAGAACTGAGCTTTGTGGGATGGAAACAAAGCTGGATGTAGTAATCAGCTCAGAATAAATGAGGCTACATTTCATGCTCTGTTTTTCCATCCATCAAACTGATTGAGTCCAACAGTCACCAGGATACAAATGATCATTAATGAACTAAGAAAAGAAAGGTAGGGCTTGGAGCTACATGCCAGAAATGAGAATCAGATGTCTGTTAATTTAGTGTGAAGTGTAGACAGTAAAGTGATTATTACTAAGTAGTGATATAATTGTTTACTTAAGGTGAAAGGTCACACCTCAGTTTGTAATTTTACCAGGAATAGAACTGTCAAGAAAATGCTATTTTTCTTATGAAGGACAAAAGACAGAGAGTAGTATAAATCATTGCATAATGTAAATTCTGAACTGATATTCCACATTATATTATTTGGATCTTCTGAATTCACCAAACAACTGATAATGTTTGAAAAACTGAAATACAATATAAATGGATTGGTAATTAAATCTAAGCAGCATCTCCCAACGGCTTTTGCAAACCTTAAAGTTCTTATTTCCAGTTCATATGGTAGAGTTTGCAGTTAGTTCAATGATAATTTTCTTATTGTTTTCCTGTGAGGTCAAATTGCATGGGATACAAATGATGTAGGAGTTGTGTTTTCTTGCTGTGATTTGGTTTATTACTTTATTCTTGGAATGGAAATTGGATATAGGAGGCTCTTACCTGAAGGTTTTCTAAGGCAGGCAAAATTTATGGTAGTGTTACCTTTGTAGTGGCTGTTTTGTAATTTTTGAGAACAAGGAACATCTGGAAGAAATGTGAGTCCTTGGGGGTGAGGACCCTTCACTGTCAACTGCAGTGCCCTGAACACAGGAAATGGATGGATATGTGTGCCCTGTGATCTGAGTGATTATTAGGATGTAGGTTTGTTTCTAAAATACAATGGCTGGAACTTGTTCTATTAGGGGCTATTGTTGCTCTTCTGTAATGCCTATTAGATGGATGGCAATTGATCAAGACTCCTGACACCTCAGTTACTTTTGGAGGAAGAAAAAAAGAAAATTACTAACCATCAGATCTGAAGTAGTTTAATAACCGAAAGAAGAAAATAGCACCCCAAGGGTCAAGAAAAAAAGTGTGTTTGCTCCATCCATTCTCTAGTCAACAATAAGGAGATATTTTATCATATATTTGGGCAAAAAAAAGAAACCAAGACTATTACTGATCAGATTCTGGGGATAATAAACATCTTATTCATCCTAACTGGCTAATATAATATCCTGTTACCCATACTGAAGTTATTAAGATAGGAAAATACTTAATTTTTCTCCAACAAACCCAGGCCACAATAACAGTTCTTTCTTCTTAACTTCTGTAATATCTACCATACTGCAAGAGTCATTTGGCATATATACAGGACACCATCTGTGTGTGTGTGTGTGTATGTGTGTGTGTGTGTGTGTGTGTGTATATATATATACACAGTCATATATATATATATACACACACACATATATATATGTATATATATGGTCCTCTCACCTGTTAAAAGATAGCACAAGACACCTATGTAAACCTACTACTTTCAAAGTTTCCAAAAGTGAAGATACAGCAGAAGTCTCCCCTACTCTTGAAATCCTGAGAACCTCAAGGGGAATTTTCTTGTGTCCTCTGCCCAACCCCAACCCCACTGGGAGGCTAAAAGCCATGCACGTGACTATGTCTAATTCTACTCGTCCTCTTCAAATGCTCCTTTCTTGTGCCAGTTCAAAGAGTCTTTTACCTAGTCTGGAAACAGGATAAGAAACTTGCTCAGTCTGCTGGCATTCTCTTCTCAAATCATCTGTCTTAGTCTTTGAAGCTAGAAGTTGCAAATTTGGCATGTGGGGTTTGCAACACAAAAGCAACAGGTGTCCAAGGTATAACTGCCAAATGGGCAGTTAACTCACTTGGGTTACTAAACTCGGAGGATGAAAAGAACCCATTAATTAAACTTCACATTTCATCACACCACAGATATTTGTGTATTCACTGTCAACTGCAGTGCCCTGAACACAGTGAATGCCCAAGAAAAGTCTGTGATTCATGATTAATGGAAATATTTTAGACATATTTTATATTAAACTTGATAATGGAGAGTTCTGATTATCAATCTTTCCCACTAAAATACTGCTACCTGAAGAGGGGCATGAATGGTTTTCACAGCAAGGGAGACAGTCCTTTAAAGCCTTCTGTTTTATGTTTTAAATATCCAGTTTGACCTTTATGATAACCAGAAATATGAGTGGCCCACGGTAGCTTTTCTATCAACTATTCTAGCAGAGATTTGACTACATTTCCAAATTGAACCTCCATGTATCTATCTCCACACGCAAAAACAAACAGGCCTCCTAGGGTCTGAAAGGGGAATTCTGTCCCTCTATTAGCACCAAATCAAGACAAGCAATCTCCTGGTACCTTTGGTATACCAATTTCTGATTCTTTAACCCCAACCTCATCACTATCCCCAACAATCTAACAAAAACATTGAACCACATGTATAATCGTTCAGTTCTTCATACATGGGCAGAAAAAAATTTACCAGCTCCAAAAATATACAAATCAACTTTTCCTTCACAAATATAAAAAATGAATGAAAACAACAGTGCCTTTATAGCTATCCAATAAAATATCTATCAAAGACGAATCTATTTTTATAAAACCTGGGTCAATTTTCTAAACTGAAATACAGCTCACCAATATAAAAATTCCTTTCTGCATCCATAGAAACAGACATTCAGTACTCATCTATGGCCAACAGATAACATGTGGTAAATGCATGAGAGAAACCACTAATTTCTTGCCAGCTGCCTGGTAGACCCTCATAAATACTTTTTTGTTGTTGTTAAAAGATTGTTTTATTCTGAGGTAATCTCCATAGAGCGATATATGCCATAGAGGGCAATTTTTTAAATGTTAAATTAAAGAAGACTCATGAATCAGGAAATTTTGGTACTCTATATAGAGAAAAGTATGTATATACACAAGTTTGTGTAGAGATAACTTTTTGAGATTATAGACCCTTTGCTGTTATTTACATACATTATTTGATTTAACCATAGGCAACATGGGCTGAGGCTCAGAACTTCGCATGAAGCACCCACAGGGATTATGCTTCATCATCAAGGTGATTGCTGTGTTCTTGCAGAACCCTTCCTATGGGCTATAGCTATGTAGAGTGAACAAAATTAAATGTATATCAATCTTTGTTATTTTTGTTTTTAATTAGCTCCAAAAATATGCACAATGTTTTAAGGATTTTTATAGGTAAAACACCCCAATTTTCTCACTAAATGACTTGGAATGAGAACTTGTACAAATACAGTACCTTCATTTTCTAGATAAAAAACTTTGACCTATCACTACTACTTTTTAGATGTATGAAGATGTTATATTTAATAAAATACACTTCTACTATAAAGCTTTACTACACTCATAACAGTTGTTTTCCACAATAAATATTCTTAGATACTAAAAGTAAAACTAGTATTGTGTATATGTGTGAAAGGAGGTCAGGTGATCGGGGCTGGGGTGATGGCATGACATTTTGTCATTTAACAATGGTCCTCATACTCAAAGAGATTTCAGATCATTGCTGTGTGATTCATGGACACTCAGCATTTTTGGTGGCCCATCTTCTATAGTATACAATAGCATCAGATATAATATCAGCAATCTGCATCATGAGTAACAACTGGTGCACGAATAAGACAGCCAGCAGAATATGAAAAGGATTCAACCTGAGCAATAACAAAATAAACATTTACACTTAAACAATGCTTACTTCTCTTTTTAAGCATCATATGAATTGTAAGACACTGAAATAGACTAGTGAAGGAGACTCTGACACAATCTCTTCCACTGGAGATTTAATAAGAGATGTAATAAGAGAACAAATGAGAGGCTAGGTTGGGTGGGGCACTGGGCAGTCATGCCTGGTGAATTTGAATGTGTTAGATGGTATTTTAAGGTTGCTTACAGCTGACGGTTAATAAAAAATACAAGCCAATCATTCCTTATTCTTAATGGACTATTGGTTTCATATTAACTCAGAAACTTTATTAAATTGTGAATTTCAAGTAAAGATTTTAATGAGAAATCTTTGATTTCTGAAAAAATGATGTGCTGTGTTCACTCAAGTACTTCCAAAGTGGAGAAAATATTGGCACAGAAATATAAGGGCTTCTTTCCACTGGATATTCGAAGCAAGAAGAGCCAGCAAAGACCTTCTGAAGAGAAGGTTCAATTTCTGTGGAGTAAAATTTATTTCACTAACACAATAGCTTCACAGGGAATAGTCTTTAGTAGTTAAAAATCAATAACAAAACAAAACAAAATAGATTCTTCTTTTTCATACCACTTGTATAAAGGTCTACAAATGCTGAGGCTTGGAGAAGGTACTAGAATTAGAAAATTCCCCAGCTTTTCCTGTTTGAATCTATGTATTTCACGTGATCAATCCCTTCTTGTTTACAAAGCCCCTCAACAAGAGCCCATTCTGTAATAGACACTATAGTTAATGTTACCCTCTAAATTTTCACTGTCTCTTATCCTCTTTATGGTGAGGCATGAGTCCAGCCCTCCTTGGTTAAAGACAGAAGCCATGTTAAAAAAGAGATCAGTACCCACTGGTCAACTTTCTCTCCTAACACAACTAGGAACAATCTTTTTCTATAAACTGGGCAGGAATAACACATGGCTATAATCAAAAGACGTACATGGAGCTCTTAAAAGACTTAAGTGGACTTTTTTTTTTTTTTTTTGGAGATGGAGTCTCACTCTGTTGCTTAGGCTGAAGTGCAGTGGTGCGATAGCTCACTGCAACCTCCACCTCCTGAATTCAAGCAATTCTCCTGCCTCAGCCTCCCAAGTAGCTGGGATTATAGGTGCACGCCACCATGCCCAGCTAATTTTTGTATTTTTAGTAGAGACGGGGTTTCACCATGGTTGCCAAGCTGGTCTTGAACTCCTGACCTCAGGTGATCCACCCGCTTCGGCCTCCCAAAGTGCTGGGATTACAGGCATGAGCCACCATGCCCGGCCCCTTAAATGGACTTTAAATGTGAAACACAGATCATTATGTTTCTCTAGCAGTGTCTAGAGAAGAGGTTACTCAAACTAGCCAGATAGTTGACATCTTTGTCAGTGCAAAATCGAAGTAATGGTTAACAACACTCTATAGCTGTTCCTAGGTATCTGTCGGGGTTGGCTGCAGGACTCCCTGGAGATATCAAAATCTGCAAATGCTCAAGTCCCTTATACAAAATGGCACAGTATTTGCATATAACCTGTGCACATCCTCCTGTGTACTTTAAATAATTTCTAGACTACTTATAACACCTAACACAATGTAAATGCTATGTAAATGTTGTTATGCTGTATTGGTTTTTAAAATTTGTATTATTTGTATTGTTGTATTTTTTTTTATTGTTTTGAAAAAATATTTTCTATCCATGACTGGTTGAATCAATGGATGCTATACTGAATAGCTCCGCTACTTCCAAAGCCAGTGCATTTAAGCATTACTCAGAACTGCTTTTACAGGATAGGTGGCTTGTTGAAACTTCTGCTGGCCACATTACACTGGCTTAAACAGCATTTTCAGGCACAGTTCATGACTATGATCAGTTTTAAGGACACAGAATATAAAATGCATAGCCAAATAATGAGAATGAGAAAATGAGTCTATGAGAAAAAATTAAGTACACAATCAGCAATCTTCCCTTAGTTTTCCTTATCTCTACATGAAGGTCAAGGAAACATTAGTTTTTGCATTTCTTTGCCGTGTATTTTTTTTGTAGGAAAGACTCTGTCATCTATAATCCCTGCTATCATTATTCTGATTTCATCACTTAGAGGGGCATGTTGAATGAGTGACTGTTCATCCATCTGCTTGAACTGAATCCAAGCCCTGTCCTACATACACTTGGAAGCTTTTTGAATGATATCCACCATGTATTACTATATGTTCTTAGTGCAAAGCCAGTCATTATCAAAGTAACCCTTGCACAATACTGCCTCTTTCCCACATTTGCCATCTAATACATGTTTTAACAGGACAGGGTTCACATCTTGAGAGAACAGGAATAATTCCTCTTTTCAACTATCCAGTTTCCTTCTTAAGTAAAACAGGGAAAAACCCACGGATGAGTTGCCTCTCTAACTCTCATTTTTACATTTCTCTGATGTGAAGTTGATATTTAATATCTCAAACACCTGGGAAGTAAATATTGTTTGCCATTGAACTAAAGAGTGTTCCACGATTTTGTTATGCCTATGACAAGGCTCTGATACTAATGCTAATGTACATTAAGCAATGGTTTAACTTTCTGGTTACTTGCATCATAACCCAGGTTTATTATTTTTGGCCCTAGTTAAAAAGAAGGGGGAAAAATCCTTAGAACACATAATCTGGGAAGTTTCATGTCATTTGAAGACTGGAGGCCAGGATACAAGAGTGACTTGATTGTGAAAAATAAAGTTTAAACAAACGAATTCATCCACATGTGACCAAAAAAAAAAAACCACAGGGGAAATGCAGAGTACCCATGCACCTATTATGAACTGCCCATGCCTGTGAGGGTGAGCAGGAGTGAGAAGGAGTGGTAGAAATACTAAAAGTACGTGTTCCTACTAATGTAAATAGTGTTTATGACCCTATTCATAATCCTTTAAAGACAGTTGTTAGCACTAGGCACCAAGTCAGGTTCTAGCCAGGGCCTGGCAGTAGAATAACTCTAACAGTTAATAAAATACATAGTGAGAACAGGATGTGAATTTATGCCTCCTGAGAATTACTGTATTCACAAATGACCATTTCAGCACAGCCGTTTTTGGCCACCTCTTGGGAAAGAAAGCACTTTGAGACTAGTTGGAAACACGAAGAAGGGCAATATGCCACCTTCCAGGTAACTGGCAAACTGTCTCGGGAAAGCAGAAAAACTTTGAAAAAACAGATTTCCTAGGGCCAGAAGGTAATGTGAAATGGAAGGCAAAAAAGAAGAGAAAAAAAAAACCAACTGGGAGTTTTAGGTTGTAACATAAAGTATATAAACTAAGCAGACCCAAAAGAACAATATGGATGAGAAAATGTTATTCATGAATGAGCAAAATCATAAACTCTTTCCTGTCTCCTTTAAAGGCCCTGGAGGTGAAAGAAAGGGAAGAACCATGAGTCTTTACATTTCCTTGCAGTGTATATACTTCTGGGTGGATTCTTTCAGGTATAATTCCTAAGAACTCATACAGTCCAGAGCTGTTTAGTAAAAAGGTAAAAACAGCAAATGTTTCTGATAAAAATTAAGGCTACAAAAAAACAGAACTGCTCCTACCCTCTATCTTGGAAGGTAAAATGCAGATCTCCTCACAAACATCTCCTAACTTCCAAAGTGATCTATTGCCCAATCAACTGATAAGCACAGATTGAATGCCAGCTGGAACTCAATGTTATTCTGGGCACCCTGATAACTAGAGAAGCAATTACATGCAGTCTATGTGGTCTCTGTCCTCAGAGTTTACAATAGATGGAGACACAAAACTACTGCACACAAAATAATTTGGTAGCAAAACAAGGAAGTGAATAATTAAGTCCCAAAATAAGCAGTGCAGAATAAGGACTGAAATTTCAGAGGAAGTTGATTAAGGCCTGGGACCAGGGAAAATAGGTGGAACTTATCAAACATTTATTAGATGTCAGGCCCTATTGTAAGCACATTTGTATTAATTCCCTTAATCGTCACACCACCACCATAGGGATACAGTTGTTCCTATTCTGCATTTGAGGAAACTGAGACACACAGAGGTTAAGGACTGAACTGCAGTATCACTCTTATCATAAGTCAGTCTGTTTTGGAGTCTATTCTGTTCTGTTGGTGCATTCGTCTATGCTTGCACCAGTATCACGCTGTCACAGTTATTATGATGGTGTTCGAGTTTATATACCTAAAAATCATCAAAGCTGGGCTTCAAAAAAAGTCTAGCTCTAGAACTTCCTCTCCGAACCACTTTTTTATCTGAAATTTGAGGAAAGGGAGAATCTGAAAAGATAAAAGAACAAAGAGAAGGTCCATGAGCAGAGCATATTTCTCCCAAAGAAATTTAGGATGAATCGGGTCTACCTCCTTTCACTTCTAAAGCCATCACATAACTTTTGACCAATTTCTTCCTACTCTGGCCCCACGAACAATAAAATATTATCTGACAAGTTTACCACTAATCTTAGTTTTCAGTTTTTTTTAAATTGCTAGTAAGCACAAAAGTAGGTGGAAAAAAAGAAAAAACTCCCTCCTGTATCTTCTTTCCTTTCTTTTTACTTAGGTCCTAAGGGAAAAACCAAGACAGTCTAAGGTCCCTCTGGGTTTATAAAAGGAAGACATCCACTTAAAAAAGGTCCTTAAGGTTTTCAAACAGGACTGAGCTTTTGGGATTGAGGTGTGATTGTTGGACAGGGCAGGAATGTGGCTGACAGCCCTAGGACTGGTGGGGTATGTTTGGGGCTTCTCACTTTGTTCTTTGCAATCACAATCCCTGTTGCTGGCAACAGGTCAGCAGAAGAGTAAAGACATCAGTAGATGAAGGAAGATCCTGGGAGGCAGATTAGAATGAGAAAGAAAAAAAGGGAAAAAAAGAAGAAAGCTCCATGCCCTTCCCTCTTGCAGCCATCACATCCTCACATTTCCAGTTGTAACCCAGACTGCAATTGCCATGAACAAAAGAACAAATATCTAAATAGGGACAGAAGAGCCTAGCAAGCAGCATGTTCACTACAATAGCAGTAAAGAGATGGAGAAGAAGACAAAAGATGCCCGTAGGGAGATGATGGACAGGATAAAGCCACAAAGGATAACATATACCTAACAACAGTTACAAATATGCAGAAGTTAAGTGCTACAAAAGGCAGACTAAAAGGATATCACATCCGAAGAGATAGAGTTAGTAGAGTTACCTGAAAATAAATATATGTTAAGTTCTTCAAAATAACAAATAAAATGGTAGGGTTAAACGTGGTGGATTGAACACATGATTTTAGATTTCCTCCATCTCCAAAAAAAAACCCTGTAAAAACAGTAAAATTATTTAATTTTCAAAAACTCATAAACCCACAAGGATCAAAAAACAAGAGAAACAAGAGAAAAGATAACAAATGATCCGCGTCAAAATTTTTGGAACCTGGAAAGTAAATAAAGAGTAGAAACTGAAACATCCTTTAAGACAGAAAGCTAACTACCTACAAGTGGCAGGCTGGAGGTGGAGGGGCAGTGGTAACAAAGAAGCAGATTCACAGTGGGAAACACCAGAAAGAACAGGAAACTGGAGGCACCAAGTGGCTTTGAATATGGTAAGGGACTGGAAAAGGACCCGTAGAAAGAGCACTTCCTCTCCTACCAGGCAAAGCCAGGAGACTGTCTCTCCCCAACCCCAGCAGAAGACTGGACATATTGATTTTTGTGAAGATACTGAAACTAAAGTTCTATGGACTCAGAAACATCAGGCACAGTTGAAGGCAGCAATACTATACTAAAAACAGCAGATTAAGTAAAAGTCTCCTGCGCCAGGGCTTTTGCTCATAATGCTAAAACTGAGTTATATCTCTGGGGCAGGAGAGTAACAGATTTTTCTTTGGGGCAATATACTACCCCAAGAGAAAGGACCTACTAAGGTACTCTTAATACTAAGAGTCAAAGAAAAAGTACTTAAAAAAATGGGATTAAGTTCGAGCAATCTACCTGATTAATTCCCCCTGGAACTTCTTATAGTGAAAAAGCACTGAGCTATAAGTTAGAGATCTCAGACTAAAATCACTCTCATGAGCAAGTCCCTGTTAATCCTCTGGAGCTTTAGTTTTCTCACCTGTAAAGTGCAGATAACAATATACCTCCTATGTCACGGGCTTACAAGGATCAGATCCTCACTCACAATGCCATAGACACTGGGTTAGCTGCTATGCACAATCTCCTTGGAATTTCATAACAACGTTATGAGATAGTACTATTAGCAGTCCTGTTTTATAAATGAAGAACTAGAGGCCTAATGCCTTCCCAACAACTTTTATATGAAAGCTACTCATATTAATTTACCTGAATCTCTCTCTCTAGTAACTCATTCCTGCTTATGAGAATGCCTATACATAGCGAGCAATTCAAATATTTTAAATTTTCCCCCATTATAAAAATTAGAGTAATCCAGTTACGAATACTAGCCCAGTAATCTAAAGTTTGTTAAGAAAAGTTAAGATTAGCCTACAGAAATCCATCTGCAAAAAAACCATGAATTCCTCCTTTAAAAAACTCGAAAACATGCCCCCATCATCACTTTAACACCAATTAGTCAAGGGAGTGCTGCTGAATGTGTGAGTAAGTGGGGAGGCCATGAGCAATAAAAAGCAGAAAAACTTTGAAAAAACAGTCCCCTTTCGGGACTGTTCTAAAGAAAAAAACCATGAACATTTATGGGAATGTTTTGCTTAGTTTGGTAATAAATGTCTGTAACACTGAAGTGTTTGCCAGCATAACTCTCCTCATAGAATGGCTGCGTGAACAGTTTTTTTAAAATTTTTATTTATTTATTTTTATTGCTTTTTATTATTGTACTTTAAGTTCTGGGATACATGTGCAGAACGTGCAGGTTTGTTACACAGGTATACATGTGCCATGGTGGTTTGCTGCACCCATCAACCCTCATCTACATTAGGTATTTCTCCTAATGCTATCCCTCTCCTAACCCCCCAGCCCCTGACAGGCCCCGGTGTGTGTTGTTCCCCTCCCTGTGTCCATGTGTTCTCATTGTTCAGCTCCCACTTATGAGTGAGAACATTTGGTGTTTGGTTTTCTGTTCCTGTGTTAGTTTGCTGAGAATGATGTTTTCCAGCTTCATCCATGTCCCTGCAAAGGACATGAACTCATCCTTTTTTATGCCTGCATAGTATTCCATAGTGTATATGTGCCACATTTTCTTTATCCAGTCTATCATTGATGGGCATTTGGGTTGGTTCCAAGTCTTTGCTACTGTGATTAGTGCTGCAATAGACATACATGTGCATCTGTCTTTTTAGTAGAATGATTTATAATCTTTTGGGTATATACCCAGTAATGGGATTGCTGGGTCAAATGGTATTTCTCGTTCTAGATCCTTGAGGAACTGCCACACTGTCTTCCACAATGGTTGAACTAACCCTTCAAAAAAATAAATGAATCCAGGAGCTAGTTTTTTTTAAAAGATTAACAATATAGATAGACCGCTAGCCAGACTAACAAAGAAAAAAAGAGAGAAGAATCAAATAGACACAATAAAAAATGATAAAGAAGATATTACCACTGATCCCACAGAAATACAAACTACCATCAGAGAATACTATAAACACCTTTATGCAAATAAACTAGGAAATCTAGAAGAAATGGATAAATTCCTGGACACATACACACTCCCAAGACTAAACCAGGATGAAGTTGAATCCCCGAATAGACCAGTAACAAGTTCTGAAATTGAGGCAGTAATTAATAGCCTACCAACCAAAAAAAGCCCAGGACCAGATGGATTCGCAGCCTAATTCTACCAGAGTTACAAAAAGGGGCTGGTACCATTCCTTATAAAACTATCCCATACAATAGAAAAAAAAGGGACCCCTCCCTAACTCATTTTATGAGGCCGGTGTCATCCTGATACCAAAACCTGGCAGAGACACAACAAAAAAAGAAAATTTCAGGCCAATATCCCTGATGAACATCGATGTGAAAATCCTCAGTAAAATACTGACAAACCGAATCCAGCAGCACATGAAAAAGCTTGTCCACCACGATCAAGTTGGCTTCATCCCTGGGATGCAAGGCTGGTTCAACATACACAAATCAATAAACATAATCCATCACATAAACAGAACCAATGACAAAAACCACGTGATTATCTTAATAGATGCAGAAAAGGCCTTCGATAGAATTAAACACCACTTCATGCTAAAAACTCTCAATAAACTAGGTATTAATGGAACATATCTCAAAATAATAAGAGCTATTTATGACAAAGCCACAGCCAATATCATACTGAATGGGCAAAAGCTGGAAGCATTCCCTTTGAAAACCGGCACAAGACAAGGATGCCATCTCTCACCACTCCTATTCAACATAGGGTTGGAAGTTCTGGCTAGGGCAATCAGGCAAGAGAAAGAAATAAAGGGTATTCAAATAGGAAGAGAGGAAGTCAAATTGTTTCTGTTTGCAGATGACATGATTGTATATTTAGAAAACCCCATCATCCCAGCCCAAAATCTCCTTAAGCTGATAAACAACTTCAGCAAAATCTCAGGATACAAAATCAATGTGCAAAAATCATAAGCATTCCTATACATCAATAATAGACAAACAGAGAGCCAAATCATGAGTGAACTCCCACTCACAATTGCTACAAAGAGAACAAAATACCTAGGAATCCAACTTACAAGGGATGCAAAGGACCTCTTTAAGGAGAACTACAAACCACTGCTCAAGGAAATAAAAGAGGACACAAACAAATGGAAAAACATTCCAAGCTCATAGATTGGAAGAATCAATATCGTGAAAACAGACATATTGCCCAAAGTAATTTATAGGTTTAATCCTATCTCCATTAAGCTACCATTGACTTTCTTCACAGAATTAGAACAGTTTTTAAACTAACTTACAAACTGGCACTAGGGAAAAGCTATAACCGTGAATGGAATGCTCAATAATATGCTTCCAGGCAAAGGGCTACATGACTAGTTCCAGATTTTAGTGCTATGATTCATAAATTCCAAAGGCCTCATGCTTCTCCATATCACAACATAGTTAGGTTTCACTGGTCCCTATGGAGAGGTAAAGAATTAATTCCTTACAAACCTTAGGAATAAAGCCAACAGGTTGGACACTCAAAAGGAAATAAAGACAAGTTGGCATCTGAGCAGAACAGGTGAGAAAGAGCTAGAAGGAATCATCCCATCCACGGGCAAAAACGTCCTTTTTAGTGATTTTTCAGTAAAGTATTGCAAAACAGGACCTACATACAATGTGATTATTCACATTCTCATCTAATATGAGATTTTAAAAGTCTGCTGCTTCCAACAGATTTTGAGATATCAATTATTTTGGTCAACTCCAAGGAAAAAATGAGGCAATAAAAAATAAAAAATTTCAATGCTTGCAAATGTTATTGTTTCTAAAGCTTATTTTCCCTAAAAGAGATTTAGATGAGATTTCTTTGAATTTTCTCTGGTTTAATGGAAAGGTCAAGTTAATGATACTATCTAAGTCTCACACTCTAGATAATTGTCAAAGAAAAACTAAAAAGCCTTTGACTGTGAGGAAAAAATTAAGGAAGATAATATACACATGAGTTGGCCTATGGCCCCAAAATCTAAACTGTGCATGGAGCCAGAGAAGACTGGTTCAAAGACAAGTGAGACAGTTGGATGCTGTAGTACGATGTGTTTTACTACTTAAATAATCAGTGATTGCAGCTGCAGAGGTTATCAAAAAACCCTGATTCTAGAGCATTTGAGTGTAAAGAAAGTAAATGAATAGAAGAGTCATTAAAATTCATGATATTCTTGACTTAACCCTGAAACCTAAGTAACTCAAGGACAATAGTGAAAAGAAGCTGGGACTAAGATCTAAAAGCCTTTACTAAGCACCATGTTAGCTTTAGCAAAACAAAGGTCAAGGAAAGGATTAATAACAGTGGTAGCCTCATGTTCTGGGTGTCTACTCTGTGCCAAGCACCATAAAAGCTTTTTATGTGCATTAGCTCATTTGATTTAACCCTCTCAGCAATACTAGTAGTAGTAGTAGTAGTAATAGTAGTAGTAGTAGTGGTAGCAGTAGTAGTAGTAGTTAGGCTCAGAGACTAAGTAACTAAACTGCCAAGGTGAGAAAGCTTGTAAGGGATGAGCTAACATATGAACACAAGTCAGTCTGACTCCAACATATGTGATTTAATAATTCCTAAAAGGGAGTTTCAAAATTTCATTATTTTATTTATCAAAAAGTTTTTAAAGACCTTTGACAGTTTCAAAAATCCCAAATAAGATTAAAATAGCCTCCTAACTGCACAAAACAAAAATGTAGCTAACTAAATAAGAATCAAAGTCTATCAGAGACAACAATGGAATCACATCGTGTAACAAACCTTGTTCAATTAGAACCTCTCACAGAGACAGACCTTTCACCCTATAGTCCATGCTACTGTTGGACAGTTCTAATTACTACTAAGTTCTCTATACTGAGTTGAAGTCCTCCTTCCTTTAACTTCCATGCATGGGTCCCCTCCTACCATCTGTATACATAGATATAGAGTGAATTTCCATCTCCATATATTAGAGGCAGCCAAGATACCCCATCTCTATCTTTTTTTTTTTTTTTTTTTTGAAATGGAGTCTTGCTCTGTCGCCCAGCTGGAGTGCAGTGGCGCAGTCTCGGCTCACTGCAGCTTCCTCCTCCCGAGCTCAAGCAGTTCTCCTGCCTTAGCCTCCTGAGTAGCTGGGTTACAAGCACGCGCCACCACACCTGGCTAATTTTTGTAGTTTTAGTAGAGATGGGGTTTCACCATGTTGGTCAGGCTGGTCTCAAACTACTGACCTCGTGATCCACCTGCCTCGGCCTCCCAAAGTGCTGGGATTACAGGCGTGAGCCACCATGCCCAGTCTATCTTCTTTTAAGTGAAATAGCTGTTTCTTCAACCATTCCTCACATTAGAGTTTCCTGACTCTTCGACCTCCTGTTTATTTGCATCTAAACTCATTTTTACCTTATGAATCTCTCTCTTCACATATAATATCTAATCTGAGTAGATCCTTCTAGAATCTAGATCCTTCTAGAATCTAGAATGTTAGGGAGTATAGCAGGACTGTTATAGACCATTATCTCTTTTGCTTTGGATGTTATTATTGTAACCTGAAATCAATTAACTTCCTTTTTTTGTCTTCATATAACACTGTTGACCTACTCATATTGAGCCCTCAGTCTTTTTTGTACACATGCTCATCCCTGGCATGTGAATTAGAGGTCTCAAATGTAAGACTTTGTATTTACCTCAGTGGAGTTTTATCTTATGAAACTTGAATAAATCCTAAACTGTCAAGATTGACTTGTCCAATGGCTCCTAAGGAAAGAGTGAGTGAAGTAATTGTGAAGGAGCCCACTCTTGTCACGGACCTCTGGGATCTTAACAGCAGGAGCTCCTATGACCCCATTCCCATTCACAATAACCACAAGTAGAATAAAATAACTAGGAAAACAGCTAACCAGGGAGGTGAAAGATCTCTATAATGAGAATTACAAAACACTGCTGAAAGAAATGAGATGACACAAACAAATGGAAAAACATTCCACGCTCAGGGATAGGAAGAATGAATATTGCTAAAATGGCCATAATGCCCAAAACAGTTTACAGATTCAATGTTATTCCTACAAAACTACCAACATCATTTTTCAAAGAATTAGAAAAATCTATGCTAAAATTCATGGAACCAAAAAAAGAGCCTGAATAGCAAAAGTATTGTAAGTAAAAAGAACAAAGCCAAAAGCATCACACTGCCCAGCTATAAGGCTACAGTAACCACAAAAGCACAGTACTGGTACAAAAACAGATTTATACACCAATGTAACAGGATCAAGAACCCAGAAACAAACCCACACACCTGCAACCATCTGGTCTTCAACAAAGTTGACCTAACAAGCAACGGGGAAAGTACTCTCTATTCAATATGAAACTGGACCCCTTACTTTCACAATATACAAAAATTAACTCTAGATGGATTAAAGACTTACATGTGAAACTTAAAATTGAAAACATCCTAGGAGAAAACCTAGGAAATACTATTCTGGATATTAGCCTTGGCACAGAATTTCTTCTCCAAGAGCAATTGCAACAAAAACAAAAATTAGCAAGCAGGACCTAATTAAACTAAAGAGTTTCTGCACAACAAAATAAACTATCAATGGAATGAACAGACAGCCTACAGAATGGGAGAAAATATTTGCAAACTAAGCATCTGACAAAGGTCTAATACCCAGAATCTTTAAGAACTGACATATTTCAACAAGAATAAACAACTTAATTTAAAAATGGGCAAAGTACATGAACAGATACTTCTCAAAACAAGAAATGCATGTGGTCAATAAATATATGAAAAAATGCTTAACATCACTAATCATTAGAGAAATGTAAATTAAAACCTTAATAAGATACCATCTCACACCAGTCAGAATGGCTATTATTAAAAAGTCCCCCCCCACAAAAAAAAAGTTGTTGGCAAGGTTATGGAGAAAAGGGAATGCTTACCTACTGTTGGTGCAAATGTACATTTGTTCAGTCATTGTGGAAAGCAGTTTGGATATTTCTCAAAGAACTTAAAACAGAATTATCATTCAACCCAGCAATCTCATTACTGAGTGTATACTCAAAGGAAAATAAATCATTCTACCAAAAAGACACACACACTCATATATGTTCATTGCAGTGTCATTCACAATAGCAAAGACATGAAATCCAATTAGATGCCCATCAATGGTGGACTGGATCATAAAAATATGGCATATATACACCATGGAATACTACCCAACCATCAAACACAACAAAATAATGTCATTTGAGGCAACATGGATGCAGCTAGAGCCCATCAACCTAAGCGATTAACACAGAAACAGAAATCCAAATGCCACATATTCTTACTTATAAGTGAGAGCCAAACAGCGAGTGCACATGGACACAAAGATGGGAACAACAGCCACTGAAAAATACTGGCGGGGGGAGTGCGGGAGGGAGGTAAGGATTAAAAAACTATGCAATTCTATGCTCACTACCTGGGTGACAGAAGCATTCATACACCAAATCCCAGCAAAACGCAATTTACCCGTGTAACAAACCTGCATGCGTACCCCCTGAACCTAAAACAAAAACTACAATAAATTATAAAATATCACTGAGATAGGTTTTTATAATTTTTCCTTATTTGTAATGATTTATTAAAGTGAAAATGTATTTAATAAAAACAAACATACATTAAAAATGTAAAAAGATTGATTTGTGTTATTTTCTATTTTATTTTATTTTTTAAATTATACTTTAAGTTCTAGTGTACATGTGCACAACATGCAGGTTTGTTATATATGCATACATGGGCCATGTTGGTGTGCTGCACCCATTAACTCGTCATTTACATTAGGTATTTCTCCTACTGTTATCCCTTCCCCTTCCCCCCACCCTACAACAGGTCCCGGTGTGTGATGTTCCCCACCCTCTGTCCAAGTGTTCTCATTGTTCAGTTCCCACCTATGAGTGAGAACATGCGTGTTTGGTTTTCTGTCCTTGCAATAGTTTGCTCAGAATGATGTTTCCAGCTTCATCCATGTCCCTACAAAGGACATGAACTCATCATTTGTATGGCTGCACAGTATTCCATGGTGTATATGTGCTACAGTTTCTTAATCCAGTCTATCATTGATGGACATTTGGGTTGGTTCCAAGTCTTTGCTATTGTGAATAGTGCCGCAATAAACATACATGTGCATGTGTCTTTATAGTAGCATGATTTATAATTCTTTGGGAATATACTCAGTAATGGGATTGCTGGGTCAAATGGTATTTCTAGTTCTAGATCCTTGAGGACTCACCACACTGTCTTCCACAATGGTTGAACTAATTTACACTCCCACCAACAGTGTAAAAGCATTCCTATTTCTCCACATGGTCTCCAGCATCTGTTGTTTCTTGACTTTTTAATGATCACCATTTTAACTGGCATGAGATGGTATCTCATTGTGGTTTCGATTTGCATTTCTCTGATGACCAGTGATGATGAGCATTTTTTCATGTGTCTGTTGGCTGCATAAATGTCTTCTTTTGAAAAGTGTCTGTTCATATTCTTTGCCCAGTTTTTGATGGGGTTGTTTGTTTGTTTTCTTGGAAATGTCTTTAAGTTCTTTGCAGATTCTGGATATTAGCCCTTTGTCAGATGGGTAGATTGCAAAAATTTTCGCCCAATCTGCAGGTTGCCTGTTCACTCTGATGGTAGTTTCTTTTGCTGTGCAGAAGCTCTTTAGTTTAATTAGATCCCATTTGTCAATTTTGGCTTTTGCTGCCATTGCTTTTGGTGTTTTAGACATGAAGTCCTTGCCCATGCCTATGTCCTGAATGGAATTGCCTAGGTTTTCTTCTAGGGTTTTTATGGTTTTAGGTCTAACATTTAAGTCTTTAACCCATCTTGAATTAATTTTTGTGTGAGGTGTACGGAAGGGATCCAGTTTCAGCTTTCTACATATGGCTAGCCAGTTTTCCCAGCACCATTTATTAAATAGGGAATCCTTTCCCCATTTCTTGCTTTTGTCAGTTTTGTCAAAGATCAGATGTTTGTAGATGTGTGGTATTAATTCTGAGGGCTCTGTTCTGTTCCATTGGTCTATATCTCTGTTTTGGTACTAGTACCATGCTGTTTTGGTTACTGTAGCCTTGTAGTATAGTTTGAAGTCAGGTAGCAGGATGCCTCCAGCTTTGTTCTTTTTGCTTAGGATTGTCTTGGCAATGCCAGCTCTTTTTTGGTTCCATATGAACTTTAAAGTAGTTTTTTCCAATTCTGTGAAGAAAGTCATTGGTAGCTTGATGGGGATGGCATTGAATCTATAAATTACCTTGGGCAGTATGGCCATTTTCACAATATTGATTCTTCCTATCCATTAGCATGCAATGTTCTTCCATTTGTTTGTGTCTCTTTTATTTCATTGAGCAGTGGTTTGTAGCTCTCCTTGAAGAGGTCCTTCACATCCTTTGTAAGTTGGATTCCTAGGTATTTTATTCTCTTTAAAGCAATTGTGAATGGGAGTTCACTCATGATTTGGTTCTCTGTTTGTTATTGGTGTATAGGAATGCTTGTGAGTTTTGCACATTGATTTTGCATCCTGAGACTTTGCTGAAGTTGTTTATCAGCTTAAGGAGATTTTGGGCTGGGATGATGGGGTTTTCTAAATATACAATCATGTCATCTGCAAACAGAGACAATTTGACTTCCTCTTTTCCTAATTGAATACATTTTATTTCTTTCTCCTGCCTGATTGCCCTGGCTAGAACTTCCAACCCTATGTTGAATAGGAGTGGTGAGAGAGGGCATCCCTGTCTTGTGCCAGTTTTCAAAAGGAATTCTTCCAATTTTTGCCCATTCAGTATGATATTGGCTGTGGCTTTGTCATAAATAGCTCTTATTATTTTGAGATACATCCCATCAATATCTAGTTTCTTGAGAGTTTGTAGCATGAAGCACTGTTGAATTTTGTCCAAGGCCTTTTCTGCATCTATTGAGATAATCATGTGGTTTTTGTCTTTGGTTCTGTTTATATGATGGATTACATTTATTGATTTGCCTATGTTGAACCAGCCTTGCATCCCAGGGATGAAGCCAACTTGATCGTGGTGGATAAGCTTTTTGATGTGCAGCTGGATTCGGTTTGCCAGTATTTTATTGAGGATATTTGCATCAATGTTCATCAGGGATATTGGTCTAAAATTCTCTTTTTTTGTTGTGTCTCTGCCAGGCTTTGGTATCAAGATGATGCTGGCCTCATAAAATGAGTTAGGGAGGTTTCCCTCTTTTTCTATTGATTGGAATAGTTTCAGAAGGAATGGTATCAACTCCTCTTTGTACCTCTGGTAGAATTCAGCTGTGAATCTGTCTGGTCCTGAACTTTTTTTGGTTGGTAGGCTATTAATTATTGCCTCAATTTCAGAACCTGTTATTGGTCTATTCAGAGATTAAACTTCTCCCTGGTTTAGTCTTGGAAGGGTGGATGTGTTGAGTAATTTATGCATTTCTTCTAGATTTTCTAGTTTATATCCGTAGAGTTGTTTATAGTATTCTCTGATGGTAATTTGTATTTTTGTGGGATCGGTGGTGATATCCCCTTTATCATTTTTATTGCATCTATTTGATTGTTCTCTCTTTTCTTCTTTATTAGTCTTACTAGCAGTCTATCAATTTTGTTGATCTTTTCAAAAAACCAGCTCCTGGATTCATTGATTTTTTTAAGGGTTTTTTGTCTCTATTTCCTTCAGTTCTGCTCTGATCTTAGTTATTTCTTGCCTTCTGCTAGCTTTTGAATGTGTTTGCTCTTGCTTCTGTAGTTCTTTTAATTGTGATGTTAGGGTGTCAATTTTTTATCTTTCCTGCTTTCTCTTGTGGCCATTTAGTGCTATAAATTTCCCTCTACACACTGCTTTAAATGTGTCCCAGAGATTCTGGTATGTTGTGTCTTTGTTCTCATTGGTTTCAAAGAACATCTTTATTTCTGCCTTCATTTCATTATGTACCCAGTAGTCATTCAGAAGCAAGTTGTTCAGTTTCCATGTAGTTGTGCAGTTTTGAGTGAGTTTCTTAATCCTGAGTTCTAATTTGATTGCACTGTGGTCTGAGAGACAGTTTGTTATAATTTCTGTTTTTTTACATTTGCTGAGGAGAGCTTTACTTCCAACTATGTGGTCAATTTTGGAATAAGTGCAATGTGGTGCTGAGAAGAATGTATCCTCTGTTGATTTGGGGTGGAGAGTTCTGTAGATGTCTATTAGCTCTGCTTGGTGCAGAGCTGAGTTCAAGTCCTGGATATGCTTTTTAACTTTCTATCTCATTGATCCATCTAATGTTGACAGTGGGGTGTTAAATTCTCCCATTATTATTGTGTGGGAGTCTGAGTCTCTTTGTAGGTCTTTAAGGACTTGCTTTATGAATCTGGGTGCTCCTGTATTGGGTGCATATATATTTAGGATAGTTAGCTCTTCTTGTTGAATTGATCCCTTTACCATTATGTAATGGCCTTCTTTGTCTCTTTTGATCTTTGTTGGTTTAAAGTCTGTTTTATCAGAGACTAGGATTGCAACCCTTGCTTTTTTTATTTTTCCATTCGCTTAGTAGATCTTCCTCCATCCCTTTATTTTGAGCCTATGTGTGTCCCTGCTCATGGGATGGGTCTCCTGAATACAGCACACTGATGAGTCTTGACTCTTTAGCCAATTTGCCAGTCTGTGTCTTTTAATTGGAGCATTTAGCCCATTTACATTGAAGGTTAGTATTGTTATGTGTGAATTTGATCCTGTCATTAAGATGTTAGCACGTTATTTTGCTCGTTAGTTTGTGCAGTTTCTTCCTAGCATCAATGGTCTTTACAATTCGGCATGTTTTTGCAATGGCTGGTACCAGTTGTTTCTTTCCATGTTTAGTGCTTCCTTCAGAGCTCTTGTAAGGCAGGCCTGGTGGTGACAAAATCTCTCTGCATTTGCTTGTCTGTAAAGTATTTTATTTCTCCTTCACTTATGAAGCTTAGTTTGGCTAGATATGAGATCCTGGGTTGAAAATTCTTTTCCTTAAGAATGTCGAATATTGGCCCCCACTCTCTTCTGGCTTGTAGAGTTTCTGCTGAGAGATTCGCTGTTAGTCTGATGGGCTTCCTTTTGTGGGTAACTCGGCCTTTGTCTCTGGCTGCCCTTAACACTTTTTCCTTCATTTCAACCTTGGTCAATCTGATAATTACGTGTCTTGAGGCTGCTCTTCTTGAGGAGTATCTTTGTGGTGTTCTCTGTATTTCCTGAATTTGAATGTTGGCCTGCCTTGCGAGGTTGGGGAAGTTCTCCCGGATAATATCCTGAAGAGTGGTTTCCAACTTGATTCCATTCTCCCCATCACTTTCAGGTACACCAGTCAGATGTAGATTTGGTCTTTTCACATAGTCCCATAATTCTTGGAGGATTTGTTCATTTCTTTCTACTCCTTTTTCTCTAAACTTCTCCTCTCGCTTCATTTCATTCATTTGATCTTCAATCACTGATACCCTTTCTTCCACTTGATCAAATCAGCTACTGAAGCTTGTGCAGGCGTCACGTAGTTCTCGTGCCATGGTTTTCAGCTCCATCAGGTCATTTAAGGTCTTCTCTATGCTGTTTATTCTAGTTAGCCATTCGTCTCATCTTTTTTCAAGGTTTTAACTTCTGTGGGATGGGTTCGAACATCCTCCTTTAGCTCGGAGAACTTTGTTATTACTGATCTTCTGAGGCCTACTTCTGTCAACGTGTCAAAGTCACTCTCTGTCCAGCTTTGTTCCATTGCTATCAAGGAGCTGCATTCCTTTGGAGGAGAAGAGGGGCTCTGATTTTTGAAATTTTCAGCTTTTCTGCTCTGGTTTCTCCCCACCTTTGTGGTTTTATCTACCTTTGGTCTTTGATAATGGTGACCTAGAGATGGGGTTTTGGTGTGGATGTCCTTCAAGTTTGTTAATTTTCCTTCTAATAGTCAGGACCCTCAGCTGCAGGTCTGTTGGAGCTTGCTGGAGGTGCACTCCAGACCCTGTTTGCCTGGGTATCACCAGTGGACGCAGCAAAACAGCAAATATTGCAGAACAGCAAATGTTGCCGCCTGATCCTCTGGAAGCTTCATCTCAGAGGGGCACCTGGCTGTATGAGGTGTCAGTTGGCCCCTACAGGGAGGTGTCTCCCAGTTAGGCTACTCGGGGGTCAGGGACACACTTGAGGTGGCAGTCTGTCCATTCTCTTATCTCAAACTCCATGCTGGGAGAACCGCTACTCTCTTCAAAGCTGTCAGACAGGGATGTTTAAGTCTGCAGAAGTTTCTGCTGCCTTTTGTTCAGCTATGCCCTGCCCCCAGAGGTGGAGTCTACAGAGGCAGGCAGGCCTCCTTGAGCTGTGGTGGGCTACACCCAGTTTGAGCTTCTCAGCCACTTTGTTTACCCACTCAAACCTCAGCAATGGCAGACGCCCCTCTCCTAGCCTTGCTGCCCCCTTGCAGTTTGACCTCTTACTGCTATGCTAGCAGTGAGCAAGGCTCCATGGGCATTGAACCCTCTGAGCCAGGTGCGGGATATAATCTCCTGGTGTGCCATTTGCTAAGACCATTGGAAAATCGCAGTATGAGGGTGGGCGTGCCCTGATTTTCCAGGTACCATCTGCCACGGCTTCCCTTGGCTAGGAAAGGGAATTTGCTGACCCCTTGCACTTCCCAGGTGAGGTGATGCCCTGCCCTGCTTTGGCTCACATTCCATGGGCTGCACCCACTGTCCAACAAGCCCCAGTGAGATGAACCCAGTACCTCAGTTGGAAATGCAGAAATCACCCGTCTTCTGCATTGCTCACGCTGGGATCTGTAGACTGGAGCTCTTCCTATTTGGCTGTCTTTGTACCCTCCCCCATGATTTGTGTTATATTCAAGTTAGAGACTGATGCAGATACAAGACCCTAGAGAGGTTTTTTTGTTTTGTTTTCCCTTCTGCCACTTTGACTGGTAATGTTCCAGATGGTGGCTGCTTTGTCAACCTTGGTCCCAGAGTAGGGACAATAGTGTAGTGCAACAAAATCCTCTGCTGGGTCACAGTGGACATGAGTGGGATCAAGGAACATGGCTTTGTTGTTTCAAGCCATTCAGATTTTGGTATGGCTTGTTACTACAGCCTGACCTAGCATGGTGAATAGAAGCACTTAAGTTTGTACATAGCAGCTGACTCACCTGGTACCAGATGCTAGTTTCAGCAGTTCATCCCTCTTACATAATTTGAAAGCTGAAAGACAGAGCTCCTCCCTCACTCAATATTGTTAGGAAATAATTCAGAACTGTTGCTATTTCCTTATCTGTGAAATTTGCCATTATTGCCACTATACATACACACACACACACACACACACACACACACACACACACACCATTCTCGGTTATTTTTTCCCTTCAAAAACAGAATTCTGCCCAGGGGCTGGTTTTAAAGTCCAAGGTTTCTTCACTTCTGCCCTGGTACAGTGACTCCCAAGATAGATGCATGTAATTCTTGTCCAAAGGACTACATTACAGCATCATGCAGACATCCAGATACTCAGTTGAATCACATGTGTCATGTTCTTTTGTTCACAAAATGCCATCACCACACAAAAGAATCCTGTGTTGTTTTCTCTGGTGGGTGGTTAGGGTGGGAATACATTATTGAAAAAGGTAGGGAAATGTTCAAATAAAAATTACAGACGGAATTTCTGATATGTAGCAGAAGGAATTTGACCTTTAACCAAATGGTTAGGTCCAAGAAGATACTGGAATAGTAATTTAATTTTAGAAACTCTATCAGGAACCACAAGACAAACTACCTCAGCTCATACCAATCAATTATTTATCCAAGTAGTGATTGTAAGACACAGTATGTCACTTAATCGCCACTGACTCTTTTTTCATAATTTCATGTGTTTTCTCTCGTTTACCTAAGAAGGCTATAAATAACTAAAGGCAAAAATATCTTATATTTCAGTTAAACCAAATACATCTCCTGGCAACACTGAGACTACAGAGTGCTCAATCAATAATATCTTTTTAACACATTTTTTTTCTTTTTCTTTTTTTTTTTTTTTTTTTTGAGACGGAGTCTCGCTCTGTCGCCCAGGCCGGACTGCGGACTGCAGTGGCGCAATCTCGGCTCACTGCAAGCTCCGCCTCCCGGGTTCACGCCATTCTCCTGCCTCAGCCTCCCGAGTAGCTGGGACTACAGGCGCCCGCCACCGCGCCCGGCTAATTTTTTGTATTTTTAGTAGAGACGGGGTTTCACCTTGTTAGCCAGGATGGTCTCGATCTCCTGACCTCATGATCCACCCGCCTCGGCCTCCCAAAGTGCTGGGATTACAGGCGTGAGCCACCGCGCCCGGCCTTAACACATTTTAATGATACTTTTGACACCACCAATTAATTTAAAACATAATTTGCTAATAACAAAACCTAAATTAAGGATAAAGTTTACATTTAGACAGCAAAAACTAATTTTAATAAGAAAGCCCTAAAGATGATTTTATTGTTTTCTTTGTAATTTTTTCATAGTAGCTGTAAATACCCTTGCTTTGTATTTTTTATTAGCTATAATTCAGTTTAAAATCCCTTTATGAAGTCATCCATGACTGTCATATATTTAATTGCATGGTTAATTTTCCATTATTAGGAAAAATGAAAGTTGTGATATATTCAAAATGTTTACATATGTCCAGAGAATATTCAAGAATACATCCACTGAACCTTTTGATGTCATCAGAATTATAGTATGTGGCATCTCTTACAGCTATAATAGTAGAATGAATACAACAGAGATGTTATTTTCTCTTTGTAGACCAAGTAACATCAGTGCTCCTATTTTCATTTTCTCAAATATCTAGCTAGAACTCATTTCAAGAAATGTCAAAATATAAAAGCCAAAACTTATAAAACAAGTAATTAAAAGGTTATAATTTACTTGAGGAAAAAAGGAATATTTCTTTGCATGGTGAGCCCCTCTAAAGAATTTTAAATAATTTGATATATTAAAAATCAAATTACTAAAGTAACAGAGGAGTCACTATCTAGGAATCAAACTGGCTGTGTTCTTTCCTAGTTTACACCAATTATTATTATCATTATTATTATTGTTGCTGTTGTTGTTATTTATTTCTTTTTAAAAGAAAGGATCTCAGTCTGGTCAACGTGGTGAAACCCCATCTCTACTAAAAATAACAAAAATTAACTGGGTGTGGTGGCGGGCACCTGTAATTCCAGCTACTTGGGAGGCTGAGGCAGTAAAATTGCTTGAACCCAGGAGGTGGAGGTTGCAGTGAGCTGGGATCACGCCATTGCACTCCAGCCTGGGCAACAAGAGCAAAACTCCATCTCAAAAAAGTTAAAAAATGAAAATAAAAGAAAGGATCTCACCCTGACCCCCAGGCCAGAGTGCAGTGGCACAATCATGACTCACTACAACCTTGACATCCCAGGTTCAAGTGATCCTCCCACCTCAGCCTCCTGAGTAACTGGGACCACATGCGTGCACCACCACACCGGCCTAATTTTTTGAAAACACTTTTGTAGGGACAGGGTTTCCTTATGTTGCCCAGGGTGATCTCAAACTCCTGAGCTCAGGCAATCCTCTTGCCTCAGCTTCCCATAGTGCTAGGATTACAGGAATGCGCCATCATGCCCAGCCAAAACTGCCCTTTTAATCTCTGGTGATGGCTCTATCTACAAAATTAAAGATTTTTTTTAATAATAATATAACAAATCTCAGACCTAGGATTGAACACCCTTTCTACTTTGAGTCTGGATAAAACATAATCTTCACAGCCACCAAAGCTAAATATCTCTCTAAATCAGCCTTCTTCTTAACTTAGATCTATAGGATCCTGTCTCTCTCAGGGTTTTGGTCTCTGACTGTTTCAATGATTCCCTCTCCACTGATCTCATGTTCTCCCCTCCTTCCAACCGCAAGAGAGGTAAAATGCTTTCCTCATCCCCTCTGTTGTCCAGTCTCATGGGGAAGACAAAGTCATTGGGGTTGAGAATAGCCAATGAATAGGTCAAAGGCAAAGACTGAGACCTGGAGAACAGGAAAGCCTCACCAGACAGCATCAGTGATAACTGGTGGGGTTGGAGAGAGGGAGTGCAGACATAAAAGGACTCTTCCTGCTGAGAAAAATACTTAATATTAGGTATTTAAATGTAAGAACTGTCTTGCTATAATAAACGTCAGTTGGCCCCAACTTTACATTTTAGGAGTAAACTTCCCAAACTATTTTTATTTTAAAAAGACAAATGGAAATAAGCCTTGAAATAAAGATGCATAAGTTAACTAAAATGTCAAATTTCTTTGCTTTATGCTGAACTGATGAGAAATCAGCATGTTAATTTTAGTTATCTCATGATTAAGAGTTATAGACATCTCATTTAATACATAAGAAAGTGACTTCTTTATGATAAATGCAGTCTGAATTGTTTTTCTGTCTAAATTTTGAGTTTTTAGAAAACTCTTTTAAAAAGTTAGGAAAGAGAAACTGTAATTAATTAAAAGAGATTTATGAGATATAGCAACCAAATAAAATGTGTAGGCTTTGTTTGAATCCAGATTCAAACAAACTGTTAAAAAATATTTTTGAGGGGCCAGGACCAGTGGCTCATGCCTGCAGTCTCAGCTGCTTGGGAGGCCAAGACAAGAGGATTGCTTGAGCCTAGCAGTTTGAGGTTACAGTGAGCTGTGATCATGCCACCATATTCCAGCCTGGGCAACAGAGTGAGGCCCCATCTCTAAAAATATATATACATATTTTTGAGGCAATAAGAGAAATTTCAATATTAATTGCGTGTTAAATGATAAAAAGGAATTATCACTAATTTTGTTAAAAATGATGATGGCCTTGCAGTTATAAGAAAAAAAATCCTTATCAATTGGACATACATACTGAACTATTAACATATAAAATTGCGGGATGTCTGGGGATTTGCTTTTAAAATACTCTGGGCAAAATAAAAGGAGAGCAGAGAATTTAAAAGAAACAAGATTGACAAAAAGTTGATAACTGTTGAAGTTGGGCAATAGATACATGGAGACAATTACACTTTTTTAATGATTTTTATGTATAAGATTTCCATAATAAAAAAATTAGCTTTCAAAATATGTTTGCAACAACGGCATTCACAGGGAAAATAATACAAGGAAAAATGTTAGAAACTGCTCTTCATCATTTGGCACAGGGAATGTGTAAATCGAGAGATTAAAGGAGAAAGAGATCAATGACATAGAATGGTGAAAGAAGATTTCAACAAGGAGGAGCAAATGGAATTAGAACTTAAGGAATCATAATGGGAAACAATTTAAAATCAGATAAATAGATTTTGATTAGGAGAGAGATTTTCTTTAATGAAAGACAGGAATAATGACCCAAACCCCAGATCATGGTATAAGAGATCTAAATTAAGTTTATGGGAAAAATAATAATAAAGAAGTCAATAATAATAACACAACTGGCAGCAACTGAGTGCTTATCACGTGCCAGGCACTATGCAAAACACTTTACATTAGTTCATTTTCATGTTGCTGATAAAGACATAACCAAGACTGGGCAATTTACAAAAGAAAGAGGTTTAATCATCTACAGTTCCACATGGCTGGGGAGGCCTCACAATCATGGCAGGAGGCAAGGAGGAGCAAGTCACATCTTACGTGGATGACGGCAGGCAAAGAGAGAGATTGGGCAGGGAAACGCCCCCTTGTAATGCCATCAGATCTCATGAGACGTATTCACTATCATGAGAACAACACAGTAAATACTTGCCCCTATGATTCAATTACCTCCCACTGGGTCCCTCCCACAACATGCGGGAATTTAAGATGAGATCTGGTTGGGGACACAGCCAAACAGTATCATTCCACCCCTGGCCCCTCCCAAAGCTCATATCCTTACATTTCAAAGCCAATCATGCCTTCCCAACAATCCTCCAAAGTCTTAACTCATTTCAGCAGGCCAGGTGAAATGGGATTCAGGCCTGTAATCCCAACACTTTGGGAGGCCAAGGCAGGCAGATCACCTGAAGTCAGGAGTTCAAGACCAGCCTGACCAACATGGTGAAACCCTGTCTCTATTAAAAATACAAAAATTAGCCACGCATGGTGGCACATGCCTATAATCCCAGCTACTCAGGAGGCTGAGGCAGGAGAATTGCTTGGACCCAGGAGGCAGAGGATGCAGTGAGCTGAGATTGTGCCACTGCACTCCAGCCCAGGTGACAGAGTGAGACTCTGTCTCAAAAAAAAAAAAAAAAAAAATCTTAACGCATTTCAGCATTAACTCAAAAGTCCACAGTCAATCCAACATCTCATCTGAGACAAGGTAAGTCCCTTCCACCTATAAGCCTGTAAAATCAAAAGCAAGTTAGTTACTTCCTAGATACAATGAGCTACAGGCATTGGGTAAATACAGTCATTCCAAATGAAAGAAATTGGCCAAAACAAAGGGGATACAGGCCCCATGCAAGTCCAAAATCCAGCAGGGCAGTCAAACCTTAATGCTCCAAAATAATCTCCTTTGATTCCATGTCTCACATCAAGGTTACACTGAAGCAAAGGGTGGGTTCCCATGTTCTTGGGCAGCTCCACCCCTGTGGCTTTGCAGGGTACAGCCTCCCTCCCAGCTGTTTTCACAGGCTGGTGTTGAGTGTCTGCAGCTTTTCCAGGTTCATGGTGCAAGCTGTCAGTGGATCTACCATTCTGGGGTCTGGAGGATGATGGCCCTTTTCTCACAGCTCCACTAGGCAGTGCCTCAGTAGGGACTCTGTGTGGGGGCTCTCCGACCCCACATTTCCCTTCTGCACTGCCCTAGTAGAGATTCTCCATGAGAGCCCCACCCCTGCAGCAAACTTCTGCCTGGACATCCAGGAGTTTCCATATATCTTCTGAAATCTAGGCAGAAGTTCCCAAACCTCAATTCTTGACTTCTGTGCACCTGTAGGCTCGACACCACGTGGAAGTTGCCACGGCTTGGGGCTTGCACACTCTGAAGCCACAGCTCAAGCTCTATGTTGGCCTCTTTCAGCCATGGCTGGAGCAGCTGGGACACAGGACACCAAGTCTCTGCCACACACAGCACAGGAACCCTGGGCCTGGCCCACTAAACCATTTTCTCCTAGAATTGAGAATTCTGACATGTCCTGGAGACATTTTCTCCATTGTCTTGGCGATTAACGTTCAGTTCCTCGTTACTTATGCAAATTTCTGTAGCTGCTTGAATTTCTCCTCAGAAAATGGGTTTTTCTTTTCTATCACATTGTCAGGCTGCAAACTTTCCAAATTTTTATGCTCTGCTTCCTTTATAAAACTGAATGACTTTAACAGCAGCCAAGTCACCTCTTGAATGCTTTGCTGCTTAGAAATTTCTTCTGCCAGATATCCTAAATCATCTCTCTCAAGTTCAAAGTTCCACAAGGCAAGAGCAAAAATGCCACCAGTCTCTTTGCTAAAACATAACAAGAGTCACCTTTGCTCCAGTTCCCAATAAGTTCGTCATCTCCACCTGGGACCACCTCAGCCTGGACCTTATTGCTGATATTGCTATCAGGCTTTTGGTCAAAGCCATCCAACAAGTCTCTAGGAGGTTCCAAACTTTCCCACATTTTCCTGTCTTCTTCTGAGCCCTCCAAACTGTTCCAACGTCTGCCTGTTACCCAGTTCCAAAGTCACTTCCACATTTTCAGGTATCTTTCCAGCAGCGCCCTACTCTACACTCTACTGGTACCAATTTACTGTATTAGTCCATTTTCACACTGTTGATAAAGACATACCCAGGACTGGGCAATTTACAAAAGAAAGAAGTTTAATGACTTACAGTTCCACATGGCTGGGAAGGCCTCACAATCATGGCAGAAGGCAAAGAGAAGCAACTCACATCTTATGTGGATGATGGCAGGCAAAGAGAGAGATTGGGTGAGGAAACTCCCTTTATAATACTGTCAGGTCTGGTGAGACTTATTTGCTATCATAAGAACAGCATGGAAAAGACTTGCCTCCACGATTACCTCCCACCGGGTCCCTCCCACAAGATGTGGGAATTCAAGATGAGATTTGGGTCAGGACACAGCCAAGCCATATCACACTTCATACACATTTCTCATTTAAGCCTCACAACAATCCTATGAAGAATGGGCTATTACTAGCTCCCAATCCACCTCTTTCATATTTGAAGAAACTGAGCTCAGAGAGATAAAAATAACTTACTGAAAGTCACATGTTAAGAAAAGTCAAAGCTAGACTTAAATCCAGGTCTGTTTGAATCCAAACCCCGAGTCCTTAAACATCTCATTATTCTGTTCCTTGTGACATGGCACATTTTTCTACATACAAGGAAAGCATAAGGGACATTTGGGGCTATAGTTCCTAGCATTTGTGATTCCCTATTGTTGCCTGAAGTGTTTGAGGAACAATATAATAAAGAACTATGGAGAATCCCTCAGGGAAAGGTTTACAAATAATACAAGTACATGACACAAGAGAGAAAGTGAAGTACCTAGTCTCACATTTCAGCAAAGAAGCAGGAAAGAGAAAAGAGAATTCCACATTTGTCTCACACCCAGAGGTGATGAAATACCATAAAAAGGACTAGCTTAAGAAAAACTGAGAAGTATGTATGCCATGGTCACATTCCCCTGCTCTTGGAATCCATTTCTACCCTAAAGACAATCCACCTAAGTGTTCCAACTGTAGAGTCCAAGATTGTTCTACGCTCTCCTCCATGAAACATTTTTCTCAGGCAACAAATTCATATCTATTTACTTATTCTATGAGTGTGGAATAGAATGGTTGTCTAGCTTCTCCCAGGTATTTACATTTTATGCCTTAACACATTCCTACTCCGCACTTCTCTCCCAGTAGCAATCAAAACAATCCCCAACCCTCCTTGATCACGAATAAAGGGCGTGTGAACTGGAGAGCCAAGGAGTTCTTGCCTGAGCCTTGAAACGTGCATAATCCGACTAGTAAATTCCTCATGTAATGGTGTTAAGGACTTGGGACATTATCTCTCATAGTCTTGAATAAAAATTACCATGTGGAAGTTGGAGGAACTGGGCTTTTATTTTCCCACTTTTTGCTGCTAATCTGCTGTACTATCTTTGGCAAGTCGCTTAGCCTCTCTGGGCTTCAGATTCCTTATTTGTAATGGGCCAGGGCCATAATTAAGAATTGGTTTTATAGCTTATTTCTAGCTGCAGAATCCTTTCATCAAATGATCATCTTTCAGGAGAACCTACAGTGTATAACAGACAAAAAGTGAAACTACTAAGGGAGGAGGGGTGAGGGGACCCCTTCCCATGCTCCTTTATCACGTTAAGGTGCTTCACAGCTTAAACATCCCATGATTATTAGTTAACTCCCTGCAGTCTGAGAAGGAGGCAGGGTCCCAAGTGGGCCACTGCACCAGAGGACTCCCTGGCCCCCAGATGGCTGCCTTCTTTTATCAATGAGCCTCTTCCTAAAGCAAATAAGCAAAGAGAAATCCCACAGAAACCAAGTCTGACGTGAGGACTCAGGGAGTCGATGGAATACTCAACTCCATCCAGGCAAACTAAAACACACTCCAAGGAAGAGATAAGGTTTACGAAAAGGAAACTAACACAATCACTTAAAAGAATTTCAACACTAAACCACTTGAGCCAGGCCACCGGGAGGCTGCAAAACATCAAGGTCAGCCCTGAAAGAAAAGATTTCACAGGGACCCATGACTTGATTTTCCTCTTTTGTTTCTCATTGCCCTGGGGTCAACCTCTTTGAGGTCACTAAGTGCAGGAAGTGTCAGTGGCAGAGTACATAGGAATTTCTCCTGGCTCTGAGTCTTGCAGGACCTCAGCACACTGGAAAGACAGTTACAGGAGGAATGACTATAAATGAATAAATCTGGAATTCTGAATATACCAGACAAAAGCAGCTAACTCAAGAGGGTCACCAGATGAAAAACAAAACAACTTATTTTTGAATTTCAGAAAAACAACAAGTTTCAGCTATATTTGAATTTCAGATAAACGACAAATGTTTTTAGCATATGTCCCAAATATGATGTACTTTTAAAAAATCATTTATTTGTCTGAAATTCAAATTTAATTGAGCATCCCATATTTTAATTTACTAAACTTGGCAACTTTATCCTCATTTTTTTTTAAGAGACAGGGTCTCACCCTGTCACCCAGGCTGGAGCGCAGTGGTGAAATCATAGCTCACTGAACCTCAAACTCCTGGCCTCAAACCTCCCAGATTGCTGGGATTAGAGGCGTAAGCCACAGTTCCTGGCCCAAATTATTTCTTTTAAACTGTTCCTTGGAAATGGTTTTTACAAGATGAGGAACATTCCTTCCACTAGCCTCTATGGAGTTAAAGCTTCAGCCTTGATTTAATGACTTACTGCACACACACACACACGCACACACTCCAAAAACAAAAACCAAAACCCTAACTTGCACAACTCCTATTCTGTGAAGACATTGTCTCACTCCAGAATGGGTCTTCCCAGGCTTCAAGATCCACCAAAGAGAATGGACTTCCAAAAAATTATTTTACTAAGGTACATAAGAAGAAAGCACCTTTTCAAAAATTCATTTTGGCATCAAGAATGTATGCTTTTTCCATGGTGGTTTGGGAATCATTACTTTAGAGATTTCATGACAAAGAGATGAGGCTAATTTATTATTAGTGTTGGTAAAGTTTAGTGAAAACTGAATTCTAAGAGAAAGATTGGAAAAGAAAACCAAAATAAGGACTAGTACTAAAATAAAGAATTGACCACATTTTTTAAGGAAGTTCAAAGAAAATATTTGCAGAATACTTAAAGTGCCTCCATGGATGGAGCCTTGTGGGAACAGCATTTGAAAACACTTGCTGGCTATTCTTTAGGCCTTTGCTAGCAGTGCATTTCTGCGATTCTAGTTACTCTTTAGTAGAATGTCTCCATATTTAACCCAGGCTATGGAGAGAAAGGACATGGTTCTCTGGATGCCTACTCAATCTCAGAAAGCACAGGCCAGTAAGCCTCAACCAGGCTGAGTTCACTAGAGCCCCTTCTGACCTTGAAGAGTTCCTCCCTACAATGTAAATAACCCCATGTTTTCTCTTCTTGCATAAAAAAAAAGTATACACAGACAAATCTTCAAGCACCAATTTCCTCACTGAGATCATGCCCCTATTACAACGGAAGTGTTTTGCTGAGAGCTATTCATAGTAATTTCCGTTGGTAGTGATATACCCTCTGTTTCTGGTAAGTGCAAGGAAATCCACCAGCCTCTTCCTAGCAACCCCTTACTACTCACATAAGAAAGTGACCTACAGAAATAGGGATGGCCACCCATAAGGTAAGAAGGTGGGTCAAGAGTCCAAGAAATAGGAAGAAGCTGGGGTGATTTTGCTTTATTCTCCTGTAACCTCATCACCACATTTTTGTGTATGAGAAGCGAAGTAGAAAGGCACCCCATGGTCTCCTTCTGCCTTCACAACAATCTAAATCCTCCCTCTTCAGGCAGAGGGGATTTTAAATTAAAAGAGGCTTAAGGGTCACAACAACCAAATAAAACGAGTAGACCATTTTTGGCTCTAATTTAGCATAACACCAAAAAAGAAACGTTAAGACAGTCAGAGAAATATGAACTTGGTATTAAATAAGTAATATTCAAGAATTATTATTAGTTTTGTTAGGTGTGACTGTTATAAAATTGTCCTTTTTTTAGATGCATGCTAGAGTATTTAAGGGTGAGAAACGCCATTCGTCTACTTCAAAGAGTATGTTAGAAATTTTTTGTAGTTTTTATTTTATAAAAAAGAAGAGAGGTAGAAAATGAGTATGGCAAAATGTTGAAAGTCACTGAAGCTCATCTCTAAAATGGAAATACAGTTCACTCTTGAACAACGTGGGTTTGAACTGCACAGGTCCACTTACACACGGAGTTTCTTCTGCCTCTGCCATTCCCGATATGGCAAGACCAACCCCTACTCTTCTTCCTCCTCAGCCTACTCAACATGAAGACAACAAGGGTGAAGACCTGTATGATGATCCACTTCCACTTAATAAATAGTAGATATATTTCCTCTTCCTTGTGATTTTCTTAATAACATTTTCTTTTCTCTGGCTTACTATATTGTAATATTACAGTATATAATACATATAATATACAAAATATGTGTTAATCAACTGTTTATGTTAAATCGGTAAGGCTTCCAGTCAATAGTAGGCTATTAGTAGTTAAGTTTTTGAGGTGTCAAAATTTATATATGGATTTCAACCACACAGGTCAGCGGCCCCAACCCCTGTGTTGTTCAGCGGTCAACTGTAGTAAGATTTACCTTGTTGGACCGTTATTAAGATTAATGAGTTCATAAATGTATTTAGAGTAGTGCCTGACATATAGTAATCATTCAATAAATGTTAGCCATTATCATCGTTAAATAATTTCTGAAAGCATGAAGGTACTCTACAACATCATCTAGTCCAACTCCTTTATTTAGTAGAAGAAACACTTAAGGTAAAAAATGTTTTGTTTTGTTTTAAATGTCACAATGTTAGGTAAGTCAGAGCAGGTTCGAATTCAGCTTTCCCAGAACCCAGGCCAAAGGCCCTTTCCCTACACTTTACTCACTTTAAGATATATTCAATATTGAATTGAGTCAGTGTCTACCATGCTTTCTGCTCAGTACTAAGTAAAATACTAGGTCTTTTAAATAATGTAACATCTAGTTGAGATATAGTAATAATACTGGATTTTGTATAGTGGCTTTCACTTTTCAAAGTGCTTCTAACAAGTTCAAGGACAGGAAAAACATCTGTGGTGATGGAATAGTTGTTGCCTCAGGGTGGGAAGGATTGATTGAAAGGGGATATGAAATGGACATGTGGGAAGTTTCTGGGATGATATCTTAATTGGAGTGTTGGTTACATAGATGTACAGGCATACCTTGGAGATACTGCAAGTTCAGTTCCAGATCAGTGGAATAAAATGAATGTTGTAGTAAAGTGAGTCACATAAATTTTTTTGTTTCCTAGTATATATAAAAGTTATCTGTCGGGTGCAGTGGCTCACATCTGTAATCCCAGCACTTGGGGAGGCCAAGGTGAGCAGACCACCTGAGGTCGGGAGCTCGAGACCAGCCTGACCAACATGGAGAAACCCCATCTCAACTAAAAATACAAAAATTAGCTGGGCGTGGTGGCATATACCTGTAATCCCAGCTACTCAGGAGGCTGAGGCAGGAGAATCGCTTGAACCCAGAAGGCGGAGGTTGTGGTGAGCCAAGATCGTGCCACTGCACTCCAGCCTGGGCAACAAGAGTGAAATTCCATCTCAAAAAAAAAAAAAAAAAGTTATGTTTACACTACACTGTAGTCCATTAAGTGTGCAATGGCATTATGTCTAAAAAACAATCTGCATGCCTTAATCTTAAAATGCTGAATTGGTCAGGCACGGTGGCTCACGCCTGTAATCCCAGCACTTTGGGAGGCCAAGGCGGGCAGATCATCTGAGGTCAGGAGTTTAAGAACAGCCTGGTCAACATGGTGAAACTCCATCTCTACTAAAAATATAAAAATTAGCCAGGCTTGGTGGTGCATACCTGTAGTCCCAGCTATTTGGGAGGCTGTGGCAGGAGACTCGCTTGAACACGGGAGGCAGAGGTTGCACTGAGCCGAGATTGTGCCATTGCACTCCAGCCTGGGCGACAAGAGCAGACTCCATCTCAAAAAAAAAAAAAAATGCTGTATTGCTTAAAAAATGCTAATGATCATCTGAGTTGTACTCTTTTGGCTGTTAGAAGGTCTTGCCTTGATGTTGGTGACTGCTAACTGATCAGGTTGCTGATCAGCTGGGTGGCTTTGGCAATTTTTTAAAATAGGATGACAATGAAGTGTGCCATATGAGTTGACTCTTGAGAGAATCTCTGGAGCATGTGATGCTGTTTGATAGCATTTTACTCACAGTAGAATTTCTTTCAAAATTGGAGACGGTCCTCTCAAACCCTGCCACTCTTTCACTAAGTTTATGTAACACCCTAAATCCTATGTTGTCATTTCAACAATGTTCATAGCGTCTTCACCAGGAGTAGTTTCCATCTCAGAAACCACTTCCTTTGCTCATCCATAACAAGCAACTTCCTCCCCTGAAGTTGTAAATCCCTCAAGTCATCTACAAGGGTTGGAACCAACTTCTTCCAAATGCCTATTAACGTTGTTATTTAGGCCTTCTCCCATGAGTCACTAATGTTCTTGATGGCAGCTAGAACGGTGACTCCCTTCCAGAAGGTTTTCAATTTACCTTGTCTAGATCCATCAGATAAATCACTATCTATGACAGCTATAGCCTTATGAAATGTGTTTCTTAAATAATGAGTCTTGAGAATCAAAACTACTCCTTGATCCATGGTTGCAGAATGAATGTTGAGTTACCAAGTATGAAGACAACATTAATCTCCTTGTGTATCTTCATCAGAGCTCTTGGGTGACCAGGTGCATTGTCAATGAGAAGTAATATTTTGAAAGAAATGTTTTCTTCTGAGCAGTAACTTTCAGCAGTGGGCTTAAAATATTCAGTAACCATGCTGTAAACAGATGTGCTGTCATCTAGGCTTTGTTGTTCTATTCATAGAGCACAGGCAAAATAGATTTAGCCTTAGGATTTTCAGAATGGTAAATGAGCATTGGCTTCAACTTCAAGTCACCAGCTGTATTAGCCCCTAACAAGAGAGTTAGCCTGTCCTTTGAAACTTTGCAGCCAGGCGGTGACTTCTCTCTAGCTATGAAAGTCCTAGATGGCACCTTCTTCCAATATGAGGCTGTTTCACCTACATTGAAAATGTAGTTTAGCCACCCTCAACAATGATCTTAGCTAGATCTTCTGGATAACTTGCTGAAGCACGTACATTAGCACTTGCTGCTTCAACTTGCATTTCTATTTTATAAAAAATGGCTTCTTAAACCTCTGAATCAACCTCTGCTACCTTCCAACTTTCCTTCTGAAGCTTCTTTACTTCTCTCAAATTTCATAGACTTGAAGAGAGTTAGGGATTTGCTCTGGATTAGGCTTTGGCTTAAGGAAATGTGTGGCTGGTTTCATCTTCTATCCAGACCACTCAACCTTTCTCCATATCAGCAAGAAGGTTATTTTGCTTTCTTATCATTCATGCGTTCACCGGAGTAGCACTTTAAATTTCCTTCAAGAACTTTTCCTTTGCATTCACAACTTGGCTAACTGTTTGGTGCAAGAAGCCTGGCTTTTAACCTGTTTCAGCTTTCAATATGCCTTCCTCACAAAGCTTAGTAATTTCTAGTTTTTTATTTAAAGTTAGAGACATGCAATTCTTCCTTTCATGTGAACACTTAGAGGCCATTGTAGGGTTATTAATTGGCCTAATTTCAACATTGCTGTCTCTCAAGGAATAGGGAGGCCTGAGGAGAGGGAGAGAGAAAGGAAACAGTCAGTCAGTGGGGCAGTCAGAACCCACACATTTATTAAGTTTGCTATTTTATAGGGGCATGGTTTGTGGCACCCCAAAACAATTACAATAATAATATCAATGATCACTGATTATGGATCGCCATGACAGACATAATAATCATTAAAAAGTTTAAAATATTGCAAGAATTACCAAAATGTGATACAGAGACATGAAGTGAGCACATGCTATTGGAAAAGTGGCACCACAGACTTCCTTGATGCAGGGTTGTCACAAACCCTCAATTTGTAAAAAACACAGTATCTTCAATGCACAATAAAATGAGGTATTCCTATGTACATTCTCTAAAATTCATCAAATTGTACACTTAAGATCTATGCATTCAATCGTTTGTAAATATTACCTCAAATTTAAAAAAAGCTACTTCTACATACATATATTTCTCTGGTTTCTCAACACTGTTAACTACAGCACATAGATATTTCTTAAGAGTTGAGAAAATTGAAAGTTCTAAGAGGGCATGTTCACTGATACATGGCAAAGCTAATGCTAGAAGTAGGTCTCTTGATTTCTCGTCCAACATGACTTCAAATACAAGAGTAAACTGAGACAACATAAAGCACAAATATTACTGAAAAAAGAGAGGAGGCAACAGAAGAATTGCTAGCCTTGTTTGAAGAAAATATGGAGGAGATAGAGAGCATCACAGGACAGAAGGCTATGTGGGTGAAGTGGGAGTTATCCAAGTCCATTGCTAATATGCTCTGACTTACTTAATGCAGGTGGCATCTGCTCCTCTCTGCCAAAATGTCTCAAGCTATTGAGAGCAAGAACCATATTGTTCTGACTCTTTAATCAGGTCCCATAGCAACGGCATGCAGTAAACTCCAGGCATAAATACTGTCACTTCAGCTTTTCCTCTGGGTCATCAAATTCTGCTTCTTTATCACTTCTCTCAACCCCTTCCCAATGAGGAAGGGACACTGTTAAGTCTCCCTTGGATAAAATCTGAGCCACTTGACTCTACTTTTCCTAATGGCAGATGCCTTGAAACCAGGAGAAGCATAAAAAACTTTGGGCTTTCTGTGGGATAGGGTGAGTGTTTAGTGATTAAAATAAAAGTCCATTGTGCTTTATTCTTCCCTCCAGATCTTATCAACATGGAAAATAATGCCCTTTACACAATGGCAAGGAAAAGTACAATGTGGTCTTTAATCTGTCCTTCATGTAAACACATGAGCCATTCGGCACCAAGTAAGCAAAGAGCAGTTTTATTAAGTGGGCAAGGGGGTGGGGGGTGCGGGGGGGATCCTGTCACTTTCACACAATGCATCAGAGCTGGGCTGTGTAATGTCACTATAGTCTTAAGGTAGAACTACCCACTAAGGAGTTCTAAACTGCTCCTGTTTTTATTGGCTTGGATAGCCTGTGGTTTAACTGCACGTAGCTGAGTGACTCAGTAGAGTTCATTGACGTACACTACCCTCATTATCTACAATGCACTAGCTTTTAGGACTGGAAGGTTCCTTAAAGATCCAGGGTGTGGGGAGTGGCAGATGGAGTGGGGAAGGGTCAAAGGTGAGGAGTGGTCCAGTTTCACTACAGATCTGTCAGAGCTTGTGACCTGCATCTTTCCTGTGGATCTTAATATACCATTGAGTCTTTGATTATTTCCTGTTCTGTTAGTCTCTAATTGCTCCATCCGTGGTGGCTTTGCTTGCCTAACTACATCAAAAGCTCCCAGGAGGAGATCTTATTATAGTGCTAGGCCACAGCAGACAGTAACTACATGCCTTTCTCACAATTCTCATGTCTGGCACCTACTATGTGCCAGACAATGGATTCTTACAATTACCCTATGAGAGAGGCACTATAATCCTCACCTTACAAATAAGAAAGCCAAGGCTAACAAACTAGGACATGGCAGAGCTAAGATTCTATCTCACGTCTAACTTAAAATCCCATGGACTTTTCATTAATCCATTTCATTAATCATGACATTTCCATTATAAGAAAACTTTTTGTAGCTACCATTACCTATGTAACTCTCAAACTTTAGTAACTGCTTCCTATTACATTAAATTAAAACTTTCCAAGCTACCTTTTTGCATTATTTATCTTAGCCATTCTTTAAAAATTAGGAATTGTCGGCCGAGTGTGGTGGTTCATGCTTGTAATCCCAGCACTTTGGGAGGCCGAGGCTGGTGGATCACCAAGTCAGGAGTTTGAGACCAGCCTGGCCAACACAGTGAAATCCCGTCTCTACTAAAAATACAAAAATTAGCTGGGCGTGGTGGCAGGCACCTATAATCCCAGCTACTTAGGAGGCTGAGGAAGGAGAATTATTTGAACCCAGGAGGTGGAGGTTGCAGTGAGCCGAGATGGCGCCACTGCACTCCAGCCTGGGTGACAGAGCTAGACTCCATTTCAAAAAAAAAAAAAAAAAGGGAATTGTCCCAATGACCAATGGTTGGGATTTTTTACTTGTCCTGCTGGATCCATTTTCTCCATTTTTCACCCAGCTCTGTCCCCTGAAAGTCCAGGCCTTTATGAACATCATTCAGTTCTCTTCCCTCTGGATTTCACTTGGGTTTAGCCAATGGGAGGCACTGGATGGAGGTCAAGGAAGGGAAGAGAGTGATGATGATGACAATGTTTTTTCTTGATTTTATAATTCTGACATGACTAGACACTGCAGAGCTTCATTGGCTTGGCTGGGATCCTCTACAATGGCCACAGCACCTATCCTGTGGTTGTCTTCTAGAACCATGGCTATTCTCTTTAAGGCCAAACTTCTCCCTTCAGTTGCCCATTCAGTTTTAGGGGTACCAACTTCTAACTCACTGTTGCAAACCCCAGGGTGCTTCACCATTCCTTGTTACTTTCCCTTATAACCAAGTTACAACTATGTAAATAGTCCCTAGGTTGAACTTTCCTTGTTCAAAGTGGAAATTGTTCCATTTGATGATCTCACTTATTTCCCGCAGGGACTCAGATTGCTACAACCTGAGCTCTGAAATCTGTTTTAAATCACTGATGAAATGTAAAATGTCTTTTCTGTATACATTTACACATTAATTCCACAAATATGTATTGAGCAACTATTGTGTGCCACATACTGGGGAGCAGATGTGGCCACTGCTCTCCTAGAGCACATAATATAGTAGGGTAGATAGATATAAATGGGTAATCATACACACTAATGAAAAACTACAATTGTGCCATGCGCTTTGAAGGAAATGCACATGGCCCATTGAGAGCTTATGATGGGAGTCAATCTAGTCAGGGAGATCAGAAAAGGCTGGTATGAAAAAGAAAAACTTGAACAGATATCAAAAGGACAAACAGTTGTTTATTGGGCATAGAAGGAAAGAAAGATCATTCCAGGCAGAAACGAATGGTTGATAAAAGCCAGTACACAGGAACAGAGAAAGCAGGAGGGCACTTGAGGAAAAATGAAGCTGAAGAGGCTTTGTAGACCATATTAAAAATCTGTCTTTTTTTTTTTAGATGGACTTCCGCTCTTTTGCCCAGGCTGGAGTGAAGAGGCACAATCTTGGCTCACTGCAACCTCTGCCTCCCAGGTTCAAGCAATTCTCCTGCCTCAGCCTCCCAAGTAGCTGAGATTACAGGCACCCGCCACCATGCCTGACTAATTTTGTATTTTTAGTAGAAACGGGGTTTTGCCGTGTTGGCCAGGTTGGTCTAGAACTCTTGACCTCAGGTAATACACCCTCCTCGGCCTCCCAAAGTTTTATGATTACAGGCGTGAGCCACCACGCCTGGCCTAAAAATCTGTCTTTATCTTCTAGTTGCAATGTGAAGATTGAATTGGAAGGCCAGAGTGAATAAACATAGACCAGATGGGAATTTATTACTGGAGTAGACAAAGTGAAAAGTGATCAGATGATTGTGGAGAAGATGGAAAGAAACTGACAGTTTTGTCCCTCCCTGGGCGATGTGCCTCTCCCTTATTCTTTATGTGTATTATACAATTGTCTTAGGACAATGAATGCCCAACAAATGGGAAAATGCTGTCTTCTCATAGTGGGATGGGAGTCAAGAAACACTACTCGGCCAAGTGTGGTGATTCATGTCTGTAGTCCCAGCACTTCGGGAGGCCAAGGCCAGCGGATCACTTGAGGTCACAAGTTCAAGACCAGCCTGGCCAACATGGTGAAACTCCATCTCTACTAAAAATACAAAAATTAGCCATGGCACATACCTGTAATCTGAGCTACTCAGGAGGCTGACACAGGAGAACTGCTTGAGCCCAGGAGGTGGAGGTTGCTGTGCCACTGCACTCCAGCCTAGGCAACAGAGCAAGACTGTGTCTCAAAAAAAAAAAAATAAAAATGAAAGAAAGAAACATTACTCTAGATCTAAAAAAGAGGAAGAAACTCAATGACACAGTCATATACACAGGCTCAGGACATGAAAAACTGTCTCCGTATTGGCTTTCTGCCTTTCCCTCTAACAATTCTCACTGCTTAGAAATTCTGTAAGAGGGAGATATTGAACTCGAGTCAGAGAGACCTGAGTTCTCATCTTGGTTATGTTACATAATATGTTGACTGTGTAAATAATTAATTTCTCTGATCTTAAGATTCTTCCTCTGCAAAATGGAATAATAAATATTTCATAGGGTTGTCATAAGGATTAAATTAGGCAACACATGCGTATACATTACCTTTAGTTAATTTCGGTAACAGAAAAGTGATTTAAAAGGACTTAAACAATAAAGAAAATTATTATCTAATATACTGGAAAGTCCTAAGATACGGCAGAATTCAAGGTTGATTGACTCAGTAGCTTAATTAATTCATTCTCAACTTTCTTCTCTGTCACCCTTAATGGGCAGGGTCTTTCTTGAGCTGGTTCCCCTTACAATTATAAGTTAGAACTACCACATTTAAAGAGAGAAATATCTAAACATAAAAAGGAAATATCCTTTGCAATATTGCATACTTAAGTGTGAGAAGCTTTAAGCAAACAGTAACAGATTTATATCTTATTAAGTAGAATGAATTAGAATGTAAGATACACAAGAATACGATTTTGTGTCTGTTTTGTTTACTGCTGTGCCCCTAACATTCAAATAGTGGTTATGACTCAATGACTATTTGTTTGAATGGACCACATGTCTAAACCTATTCCAGCCATTAGAAAACAAGGTGGGATTATCATGTATTGACACTTTTTCTATAAATGGCAAAATGATAACATAGGTTTTGTGGGCCACATACAGTCTCTGTAACACACCAGTCTTCTTCTTGGAACCTTGTAAAAACATTTTTAAAAATTGTTATCTCATGGATCTTACGATCACAGGCCTAGGATTGAATATCCCACGGGCCATAGTCTACTACCCCTTGGCTTACACTGATCATTTGAAATGCAACAGAGTTAAGCACCATAACCAGCATAATATGTACAGCACTCAGCTGAGTCCTCAATATATCAAAAGCACTCAATCAATACTAGCTGCCACTGTTGTTGATAATGCTATTGTTTTTTCTTGTTCCTGTCATTCTAGGATAGCTGAACTCTAGAATAACCTGCAATAAACCTACCGTAAGAAGTTGACTGTCTCTACCCTGGACTAAACAGCATCTGGGTTACAAACTATGTGAACCACCACATAAAAAGATGTACTGTAAGAGAATAAGTAGACATAGAAAATAATAAGCTCAAGGTCAAAAGCTAAGATTCACAAAATTAGCAGAGAATATGATAGGTGATAATGGGGAAAAATGAATTATATTCTCAAATATTAGAAAAAATCAAAGTTAAAAATGTAAAATAAGTTCCTTTATAACAGGCCATCTCAGAGTCTTGAATAGGCTAATGTACAGTAAGTCTTTCCTAGGTAAAATTCTATGTAGGTTTTCTACACAACAGAATTATTTTTCCAGAGGGCATTTCCATGACATTTTAGAAAATAGTGCTTTAAGGTTTATGGCTGACCCTCTCATGTTTGTAGCTATTATTCCTAATCATTGAAGTAAAGTGGGTCCTTAATGTCCCCTGCTAAGCCATAGCCCTGGAGTGAAGTGGGTCCTTAATATTCCTGCTAAGCCTATCAACCCTTTTGTTGCTAAAGTGTGAGGAGGTGGGAGGGGACCTCAAATGAGGGGATCAGTTGGAATGGGTATTCACTAAATAGTATGGAAGGATTTCAGTATTTTAATAAGCAATATGACCGTACCATTATATACCACATGACTATCAGCCCTGTCTACATTTGCCAAACAGAAAAAGAAAGATGAAGTGGCTTTTAAAGGACTACAAACGAGTATTTGGAAAAGCTGGAATGCAAATCTGGTCTTCAAGGATCCAAATCCTCTACTGCTTTCTCTCTGCCTCCCGCTTTCTTTACTTGTGCATTCCTTTTCACATCCTATGGACCACCCTAGTTAAAGACTCAGACAAGGGAAAGAATACCAGATTTGGAGACAGGGACTTATATTCAAGTCCTACTTCTGTTATTTATTAATTGTGAGACTTTAGGCAACTGACCTAATCCTACAAGACTTAGTTTCTTCAATGGGGAAATCATGGTGATCACGCCTACATAGCAGGGCAGTTGAAAAACTTCTTAAAGCCTGGGCGTGGTGGCTCACGCCTATAATCCCAGCATTTTGGGAGGCCGAGGCGGGTGGATCACGAGGACAGGAGATCGAGACCATCCTGGCTAACACGGTGAAACCCCATCTCTACTAAAAATACAAAAAAAATTAGCTGGGCGTGGTGGCGGGTGCCTGTAGTCCCAGCTACTCGGGAGGCTGAGGCAGGAGAATGGTGTGAACCCGGGAGTTGGAACTTGCCATGAGCAGAGATCACGCCACTGCACTCCAGCCTGGGCAACAGAGGGAGACTCCGTCTCAAAAAAAAAAAAAAAAAAAAAAACTGTGTAAAGTATTAAGCACTATTTAGATGTTAGCCTTTCACATTATTTGCAGATTGGCATTTTCATTTAAAAAATGTGAATGTTGGAACGGTCATTCTTTTTTCAGATAAGTAAACTCACACTTCACAGAGATTAAATTATTTACCCCAGGTCACACAGCTAATGATGACACAGCCAGGACTGATTTCAAACCTCTTGACTTCTGATTCAGGGCTATTTTCTGGGCAGCCTCCTCTAAACTCCTAACATGGGCTTCCTATAAAGAGAGAAATGTGAATGACCCTAAACTACAGTCACGGCGCTGTTGACAGGCCACTGTCATCAGCTCCATTCAAGTTTCCAAGAAAAAGTCCTGCTTTTGGCCCAGCACATATCTTCTATAGTTCAGGATGTACCTAGCCAATTGCTAGGTCACTCCAGCTGCTCTGGTACTAGAAGTCACTCTAGTGCCTCTGGGACTGGAAGAGCAGAAAGTGGTTTGATCCTGCTTCTGCATAGATATAGAGGCAGAAGATAGCAGGAACAGGGACAAGTACCATACCCCATCAGGGTCTAATTTTCAAGCCCTCATCTGCCTTAGGCCAAAGGGGTCAGGCTTTCTGGTATGACAATTGAGAGGGAAGGGTTATTCTCAGCCTATAAAGATTTAGGGTTGAGACAATCCTGACTGAAAAGCAACAGGAAGTCAAAAGGTATGGATCTACCCCAGACCCAGAACTCTAGGCAAGTTGAGTAAAGCCATGTGGTTTTGTGAAATAAACCTGGCTTTGGAGTCAAATACTTTTGGATTCAGAAACCAAGTCTCTGACTTACTTGCCCTGGTAGTCATTTGCATCACCTCCAAAATGTCTGGCTTTATCCTCCAGACACATGGCAGAGCTATACTTCCTGGCCCACCTGTAAATAGGTGGTGTCATACGACTAATCCTAGTCAAAGTATGATGAAAAGAAGGGATGGATGTCACTTCTAAGTAAAGCATTTGTTGCTGATATGACACTCTCCAGAGATGCCTTTCCCTCTGGTGTAGGGATATTTGTGATGGTTGCTGCTCTGCAGCCTGTATCCCTAAGTATAATAAGCAGAGCCTTCCTGCTGGCTCCCAGTGAATATGTATTACAAGCAAAAAATAAACCATTATATTTTAAGTTACTGAGTGTATTAGGGTTCTCTTAGAGGGACAGAACTAATAGCATAGATATATTTAGAAAAGGTGGTTTATTAAGTGTTAACTCACATGATTACAAGGTCCCACAATAGGCCTTCTACAAGATGAGGGGCAAGGAGACTCAGTCTGCGTCCCAAAACTAAAGAGCTTGGAGTCCGATATTCTAGGGCAGGAAGCATCCAGCATGGGAGAAAGATGTAGGCTGGGAGGCTAGGCCAGTCTCGTCTTTTTACATTTTTCTGCCCGCTTTATATTCTAGCCATGCTGGCAGATGATTAGATTGTGCCCACCCAGATTAATGGTGGGTCTGCCTTTCCCAGCCCACTGACTCAAATGTTAATCTCTTTTGACAACACCCTCACAGACACACCCAAGATCAATACTTTGCATCCTTCAATCCAATCAAGTTGACACTCAGTATTAACCACCACACTGAGATTTAGAGATTGTTTGTTATTACAGCATAATCTAACATATCCAAACTGATACATTAGCTATACCATTTTTAGTAAGTTATTTAGCCTCTCTGAGCATAAGTTCCTGATATTTAAAATAGGAATAAACACTTTTTCAGGGTTGTGGGGATTACCAATGGTTTATGTAAAGAAGTAGCACATATTTGGTCCTCAAGCAATGTTAACTATTACTGCTATCAAAACAAGGAGAAAAGCAGGTGGAAGCAAGATATCCTTAAAATATACACAGTTTGGAGACTTCACTCAGCCAGTCACCTAGATAGAGAGCTTTGGCAGCCAGGTAAGCCAGCTAGCAGAAGGCTCCTAAATGCCTCCAGTCAATCATTCATCCCTTCACTTTACCAACATATAGCGAGTATGTGAACAGTGTCAGTATACTTGCACTGTTCACATACTCACTATATGTTGGTAAAGTGAACTGAACATATAATGCAAAACAAAGTCCTGACTCTCCTGAACTTCACCTGTACCATCTAACACATTTGCATACCTATATTTTTCATTTTTCTTAATTGTACCTTCACAGAGAACTAAAGGGTCGGAATTTGATCCTTTGCATTTTAAGGTGTTTTTATTTCTTGGAAAAATGTTTGCCTATATTAACATGTAATTTCCACTGTACACCTAAAAATAAGAAAAATTATTACTATATAAATTCACAGGTGGGAAAACCAGGGTGGAGAAGCTTTTGTTTTTGTTGTTCTTATTAGCATCAAGTGGCACTGCTAGGTCTAGGATCTGTACTCTCAGATTCTTGATTAAGGATTTTTTTTCCGAATCCCAGGTTGACAATAAAGATACGAATCACCACTTTAGGAGGCTGTGGCAGGCGAATCACTTGAGGCCACGAGTTTGAGACCAGCCTGGCCAACATGGTGAAACCCCGTCTCCACTAAAAATACAAAAATTAGCCAGGCGTGCTGGTGCATGCCTGTAATCCCAGTTACTGGGGTGACTGAGGCACTAGAATAGCTTGAATTTGGGAGGCAGAGTTTGCAGTGAGCCAAGATCACGCCACTGCACTCCAGTCTGGGCAACAGAGTGAGACTCCGTCTCAAAAAAAGAAAGATCTCAATCACCATTTTGCCTAAGAGCTGTCTGGATAACTCCTATGTGAAAATGCTCTAGGTGAAAGATATAGGAATGTAGTCACTCTTTGATTATAATACAACATGAACAGTATACTAGACAGAAGTGCCCCTGTATCAAATTCTGCCTACTAGTGGATCAAATTTCAGGAAGTTCCTACTTCAGAACTCTATGTGTTGAAAGACACCTAAGTACACATCTAATGGAGACACTTTCACCAGACTGGCATAGAATATAATAAGAAAAGACCAAAACGAATAGTCCCTGGCTTCCTGGTGACTTTTATTGGAATAAATTTCCTAGAAGGCTGGGCCACATCTAAGTTCTCACCAATAGCTCGATATTTCACTCTAAACCCATACCTTGAAATCCAACAAATCAGGAACCAGTTCAAATGTCATCTCCTTCCGAAAACCTCCTTGATTGCCCTATTAAAAGTGATCACCAATCATCTTTTGTGTCTCAGTCTGGCACATGCTATATCCTGAAGTCATATTCAGATGGCAGAGAAGCAGATGGACCGTGCTGAGACTCCACATAAGGACATCATAAAAAAATAAAATAAGAAATATAGATTGAGGTAAATTGTGAAGGTCCCTAAATGCCAGATTTAAAAAATCAGATTTTCCTCTACAGGCAAGAGTACCTGCTGGGAAAACTGGAGTATTTACAAAATAGAAATATAGTGATGTGATCATTTGTGCTTCTGAAGGAAAGGAAGAAGCTGGAGTAGAAATCAGGGTTTAAATAATGTGAATGATTGAGAATCTAAACAGTTATTTTTGTCTTGGAGATGTTTTTAGATTTACATTTCACTAGCCAGATTTGCTTCTAATCCAATAAACAAGCTGGTAGTATACAATTGCAACTGAACACCTGAATGGTCAAGGCGGAAAATCGTCTCTGCAGCACCATCATCTGTGAAATCCTGGAGGAATTCTCCTAAATCGCTACTTTCATGGACGATAGCTCCTACTTTCCAACAACCCAGGAGACTCTGAAATACAAAGTACTCTTTCTAAAAAGTTCAGTAGTTGATTTAACCAAATACTGATTGCCTTTGGAAAGTAAATTTTTGCTTACACAGGTATCATTACAGTCACCAAGAGAGTCTGGGTGTCTTCAGTAAGCAAACCCATTATTCATTTACAACCAACACTGCATTCCTCTTCCTAAGTGGCATGGGAAATCCTGAGGTGCTCTCACTTCTATGTGTAAGACACACAGACTGCTTTGCATGAGTCGAACCATGAGTGGTCAGGATGGACTTATAGCATCCCCCAGGTGAAATCTTCATGGTTCCTCTCCATCCGCACTGACTCCAACTCACCAACTGTGCTTGGAACAGCTTCGCGTTCCAACTCCCTGGAAATCTGTTGTCCCAAGCCAACTTGCGGTCACGAATCCAATCATATCCTTGTGCAGCTGAACATCTTTGACGAATCTTCGCCATTTTGTTTCACCCTTGCTTGCCCCAAGAGCCACTTCCCTTCCAGCTGGGTCAGCCAAAGACCTCTCTGTCCCTCAGTCTTCTAGCGCCCCTCTATGGTACTTCTGTTGTACTGCAAATAACGTATGCTAATCCTCCTTTCATTGTTCCTCATTTCTTCCCAACTACTCTTTGCTACCCGCAGTAAGTAAAGCACCAACTTTACCTAAATTGCACTTTTCATTTTCTCTGTAACAATGATCTTCCCACTTTTGGTTTGCTTACTTACCAAAACATGGAAAGCTAAGTACCCATTCACATATTTTGTAAATGTTCTCTCAAATTTTTCATCATAAATTTAAATAATTGCAAAAGGTGATGTTTCCGGTGTATTGTAAATAACAACATTTAAAAACAAAACTGCTGCATGTTTTTATAAATTCGTCCAATGAAAGTTAAATACCCTAGCAACTTGGTTTGCAACTATTTAAAAACACATAAATGAACATTTAACATACATGCTACATCGTTGCTTTTTTTAGGCATCAAAAAGAATGCCCCTCACATAATTTACCATAATAAAATATATCTTTATGCTATTTTAATCACCCTGTAATACTCTCCGCAACTGACATATGTATGTTATTTGAAATATGAATTTACTTTTAATTGCTTGTATCCATAATCCTCTCATCCATATAATTTCTTCTAGATTGAAGTAGCCATTGAAATTATTGGTAGTATACAATTGTTCCAAACAACATATATATTACAAAGTTCAATAAATAACTAAATTGAACATAAAAAGTAAAATTTTATTGGACATATGTCTTTTAATAAAATGAGAATTTTTTCAATTAGTTCACTAAATAATAATAATTATTTTAATGAGACACAGCTCAGTATCAATTTTACTCATGTTTTTTATTTTTTATAAATGTAAGTACTGAAAAAACCTAGTCCTATAAATATGTATAGAAGGAATTTTATTATAGCAATATAATTTAATGATTTGAACTCTTTTTAAGTTACATAGCAAAAATTCCACAAGGAACCATCTTCAAGAGTCATTTTTAGTAATTTGCCAACTGGCTACTTTTATTGGAAACAAGGAATTGGAAGCCACTTGAGTTGCAAAAGGTCTATAATCTGACAAAATCGTCCACTTTCTGAAATCTGGAAAATACAACAAAAAGGCTTTATCCAAAGTTGTCAAGTGATTGATATGTCTTGTTCACTTTCAGGAAACTTGTTTAACCCAATATATACAGAAAGGTTTGAAAAACTCGAAATAATATTGACTTGAAATGTGGAAGGGATAGCAGGCACCATGTCCAGCCATGAAGGTGGCAAGAAGCCCCTGAAACAGCCCAGAAAGCAGACCAAGGAGATAGAAAAGGAAAATAAAGGTTTTTCAAGCAGAAGCCAAAAGTGGAGCAAAAGAAACTCAAGAAGCTAAAAGCAAAGGCTACGAGGAAGGGCCCCAGGCCACAGGTGGAATTAAGAAATCTGGGAAACCATGAACTGTTCCTTATGCCTGAGGCAATGGTGCCCCTTGATTCCATTCATATTTAAAGATCTGCCATAACATGTCTTGCCACCTGGCTAGAATGAAATGTTGTCTTGGAGCCTGCTGTACATTTAAGAATAAACTATTGTAAAAAAATTACACTGTCATACATTTTTCAATAAAATTATTTTATCTTCATTTGTGTTTTAAATGCACTTGCAGGTTTTACTCATTCAACAAGTGGAGAATCCTTGTCAAATTAAGTCAGACAGCCAAGTCAAGTATTGTTGAAGAAAAAGTCTGAAATTAAATAAGTATTGAATTAAATTTAAGATTATTACATGTGAATTCTAAATACAAAATAGGAAAGAGAAGAAAGGAAGGACATATAGGGATTTTTTTCTTTTAAGAGAGAGAGTCTCTGTTGCCCAGGGTGGAGTGCAGTGGGTGCTATCCACTAGTGGTTCTAGTAATCTTCTTGTTTCAGCCTCCCAAGTAGCTGAGACTACAGGTGTGCACCACCACACCCAGCTGACTTTTCTTTTGTACAGATGTGGTCTGACCTTGAAATTTTAGCCTCAAGCAATCCTCCCACCTTGGTATCCCAAAATCCTAGGATTACAAGCATGAGCCACCACACCTGGCCTCAGAAATAGAACTTTGTTATGAGTGTGTTACCTGGATGCAATAAAGTGCTATAGTCGTGTGTATGTGTGTGTGTGTGTGTGTGTGTCCAGGTCTTATTCTGTTGCCCAGGCTGAGGGCAGTGACACAATCACATGTAACTGCAGCCTTGACCTCCTAGGCTCAAGCGATCCTCTTACCTCAGCCTCTCAAGTAGCTAGGACTACAGGCATGCACCACTACACCTGGCTAATTTTTGATTTATAGAGACAAGGTCATGCTATGTTGCCTAGGCCAGTCTAAAACTCCTGGACACAAGCAGTCCTCCCACTTTGGCTTTCCAAAGTGCTGGGATTACAGGTGTTAGCCATTGCACCTAGTCCAGTGCTATAATCATTAATATTCATTCAGCAAGTATGTGTTGAATGAATGTACCAGAGCCTAGTTCCTAGGGATATAGCAGTAATCAAAAATAGATGAAAGTCTTTGATATAATAGCATTACCATGAAAAGAGATGGAGATTACAGGTGAAGTAGGTATTAGGGAAAAGATAGTTCTCTTTTAAATATTTTGTTTGAGATGATTATTAGACATTCAAGTGGAGCAATCAAATATGCAATTTGAGTCTGGAGTTCAAAGAAAAATTCAAGGTAGCATCATAGATTTGGGAATTTTCTTCATACAGATGAAACTGGATGACATTATGGAATGAGTGTAGATAGAAAGGACTAGAGACCCAATGTTAAGATAAATAGGAGAAGAGGATAAAAAGGAGACTAAAAAACTGTAGCCAATTAGGTAAAGAAAAACATGAAAAAAGTGTTATCCTGGAAGCCAAGGGATGAAATGACTTCCAGGAAAGTAGTGGTGATCAACAATGTCATATGGCATTTAAGTTCAAGTAAGACAATGACTTTAGGCTTTGGACTTGGCAAAATGAAGGTCATTGGTGACCTTGACAAGAAAGGTTTTAGAAGATGATGCAGTAGATGGAGTTTAGGACACAACACCCCAAAATATGGTACCTTGACACTTGAAGAAACAGCAGAAACAAGAAGGTCATTGTCTTCTTGACAGTTGAAGAAACAGCAGAAAAAAGGTCATTGTCTTCTTACATTTTGTGCTGCTACAGCAGAATACTACAGACTGGATAATTTATAAAAAGTAGAAGTTTACTTGGCTCATGGTTCTGGAGGCTGGGAAGTCCAAGATTGAGAAGCTGCGTCTTGTAAGGGCCTTCTCACTCCATCATAACATGGTGGAAGACATCACATGGTGAGAGAGAGCAAGAAATGTCCTAACTAGATTCTATACAAACCTACTCTTGGAATAATGAGCCAATTTCTGTGAAAATGACATAAATTCATTCATGAGGGCAGAGCCTCAAGACTTAGTTATCTCTTAAAGGTTTCACTTCTCAACACTGTTGCACGTGGGATTAAATTTCCAATACATGTTTTTTGGAGGACACATTCAAACCATAGCAGTCAGGCTCACTTTTCCCTCCCTCTTCTCCCTTGAAGTAGGTAAAAAAAGAATTCTCTGACTTTCTAATGTAAGTTTAGGTCATAAAAACTTTATCCTGAGGTGTCCACCCTGTACCTTGAGGAAAGAAATAACTTTATCCTTGAAGATACAGAGATGCCAAGAAGAATCTGAATAAACAGGTCTTGCTAAGTTCCCATCAGTTTTTTACCATTAGATCATGTCTTTTTGTCCTCCAATCATATTTCTGCATGACTTTTCACAAAAAAACACAGGTTTCCTGCTTTCTTTTAGTCTTCATTTCAAAGGCTCTCAGCTAATGTAAAATGTATATTAAACAAATTTGTATGGTTTTCTTTTGACAATCTTTCCTTTGTTATAGGGGCCTCAGCCATGAATCTTGGGATGGGTGAGAGGTAATATTACTTTTCTCCCCCATGCAGGAAAAGATTCAGTTGAGTGAGTTTAAGACAGAATGCAAGGAAAAGAACTGGAGACAGTGAGTTGAGACACTCTCCTGAGGAGTTTTGCTGTAAAGGGGAGCAGAGAAATGGGACAATACACACCCAGTAGGAGAAGTGATATTGAGAGGTTTGTTTTGTTTTTATGATAACAGAAATAGCAGTTTGTTTATATATTAATTAGGAATGGCCTAATAGATGGCAGAAAATTAATAATCTGGGAAAGAGGGGAGAATGCTTGGAATATTATCTATGCATAAGCTAGGGAATGGAGTCTATCATGCAAGTGGAAGCATTGGTCTTTTGCCTGTACCTGAAGAGTTTAACAGAAAGAAGGTAGAGTATGCAGATATAAATTGTCAGTAGATACATTGACAATAATGATGGTGAGAGCCTGTGAAAATTCTCTTGTGATTGCCTCAGTATTTTCATTGAGACTAGGAATCCAAAGGGAGATGTTGGTGACTTGAGGACTAGGAAAATTTATAAAACAGTCATCTACAAGAATGGCTGTATTAATCCATTCTCATATCGCTACAAAGAAATATCTGATACTGGAAGCATGATGCTGGCATCTGCTTGGCTTCTAGGGAGACCTCAGGAAACTTAAACACAGCAGAAGGCAAAGGGGAAGCAGGCATGTCTTACATGGCTGGAGAAGAAGCAAGGCGGGGGAAGGTGCCACACACTTTTAAATGGCCAGAACTCCCAAGAACTCACTCACTATACAGTGCCAAGGAGGGATGGTGATAAACCATTCATGAAGGATCACCTCCATGATCCAGTCACCTCCCACTAGGCTCCACTTCCAGCACTGGGGATTACAATTTGACATAAGATTTGTTGGGAACACAGAACCAAACCATATCATTCCACTCCTAGCCCTCCAAATTTCATGTCTTTCTCACATTGCAAAATACAATCATGCCTTCTTAACAGTACCCCAAAGTCTTAACTTCTTCCAGCATTAACTCAAAATTCCACATTCTTATCTGAAACAAGGCAAGTTCCTTCCACCTATGAGCCTGTAAAATCAAACACAAGTTGGTACCTCCAAGATACAATGAGTGTACAGGCACTGGGTAAATACTCCCATTCCAAAAGTGAGAAATCAGCCAAAAGATTTCATGCAAGTCTGACCAAAAACCAGCAAGGCAGTCATTAAACCTTAAACCTCCAAAATACTATCCTTTGACTTCATGTTTCCCATCCAGGGCACACTGGTGCAAAGGATGGGCTTCCAAAGTGTTGGGCAGCTCTGACCCATGGCTTTGTAGGGTTCAGCCCCTGCAGCTGCTCTCATGGGCTGGAGTTGAGTGCTTGTGGCTTTTCCAGGCACACAGTGCAGGCTGTTGGTGGCTGTACTGTTCCAAGGTTTGGAGTATGGTGGCCCCCTTCTCACAGCTCCACTAGGTAGTGTCCCAGTGGGGACTTTGTGTGTGGGCTTCAACCCCATGTTTTCCCTCTTAATTGCCTTAGTAGAAGTTCTCTATGAGGGCTCCATCCTTGCAGCAGACTTCTTCCTGGACAGCCAGGCTTTTCCATACATCCTCTGCCATCTAGTTGAAGTCTTCCAAGCCTTCATTCCTTTCTTCACACATATGAGCATAGGCTGGTTGAAGCAGCAAGGCCAGATCTTGACTGCTTTGCAGTTTAGAAGTTTCTTTCACTAGATACCCTAAATCATCACTCTCAAGTTCAAAGTTCCACAGATCCTTAGGGAAAGGGCACAATCCAATCAAGTTATTTATTAAAGCATAGCAAAAGTGACCTTTACTCCAGTTCCTAATACATTCCTCATTTCCATCTGAGACCTCTCAGCCTGGACTTCATTGTCCCTATCACGATCAGCATGTTGGTCACAACAATTTAACAAGTCTCTAGGAAGTTCAAAATTTCCCCTTATCTTCCTGTCTTCTTCTGAGCCCTCACCCTTCCAAACTCTGCCTATTACCCAGTTCCAAAGTTGCTTCCACATTTTCAGGTATCTTTATAGCAATGTTCCACTCCTTGGTACCAATTTTCTATATTAGTCCAGTCTCACATTGCTATAAAGAAATACCTGAGACTAGGTAATTTTTAAAGAGGTTTAATTGGCTTACAGTTCCACAGGCTGTATAGGAAGCATGATGCTGGCATCTTCTTGGCTTCTAGGGAGGCCTAAGGAAACTTACAAACATGGCAGAAGGCAAAGGGCAGCAGGGATATCTTACACGGCTAGAGAAGGAGCAAGGGAGCAGGGAGGTGCCACACACTTTAAACAACCAGATCTCATGAGAACTCACTCACTATAGAGTACCAAGTGGGGATGGTGCTAAACCATTCATGAAGAACCACCTCCATGGTCCAGTCACCTCCCACCAGGCCCCACCTTCAACACTGGGGCTTACAATTTGACATGAGATATGGTGGGGACATAGAACAAAACCATATTAATGGGACATTAAACTCAGACTAGGAAAATGTAAACTATTTGTCAGGAAGCCTTAAGAGAACACTTAGGATTTGTGAACTTTAAAGTGGTGCTAATCAGCAGTGCTGGCACAGAATCCTTCTGCTGTGTTAAGCCACATTGACATAGGCATAGAGTAGAGGAGAAGTTGGATTTAACAATTGTTAAATAGACAGTAAAGGATAGGAGAGTCAATGGATTAGGGTCAATATTTTCTTATGGATTCTCTATTTGCTTTGCTCTCATATGATAGTAATTCAAGAACGATGCAAAAATTATTTTATTCCCACTCACTCTGTACTATGTTTGAACCCACAGCATCCAAAAGTGGGTCAAAATCTTTAGTTCCAAAGTCATACTTTGTTGGTCTATTGGATATAAGACACAGAAAGAAATAAGATACAAACTGTAGATATATAAATCAGATCCATGATTGACAGGGTCTGGGAGAGAAAGAGGTCAGGCTGCAAAGGAGAAAGAGAGAACTTTTTGATATATTGGATGTGTTAGTCTGTTCTTGCATTGCTAGAAAGAAATACCTGAGACTAGAAAATTCATGAAGAAAAGAGGTTTATTTCAGCTCATGGTTCTTCAGGCTGTACGGGAAGCATAGTGCCAGCATCTGCTTCTGGTGAAGGCCTCAGGAAGCTTCTACTCATGATGGAAGGCAAAGAGGGAGTAGGCACATCACATAGTGAGAGAAAGAACAAGACAAAGGGAGGAGGCAAATGCCATACTCTTTTAAAAAAAAAACATATTTCCCCAGAACTCACTCATTACTGTGAGAAGGGCATGAAGACATTCATGAGGGATCTGTCCCCATGAACAAACACTTCCCATTAGGCCCCCCACTTCAACAATGTGGATTACATTTCAACATGAGATTTAGAGGGGACAAATATCCAAACCATATGAGTGGAAATGTTCTATAACTTGATAAGGGTTATTATTGTTTGACAACATGGATTTGTTAATATTCATTGAACTGTACATAAAATGTAGTAATATTTGCTGTATATATGTTAGAACTCAATAACCCTGAAATGAAACTAACCCTGCATGAAAATAAACATATAAGTATCACATATGTGAGTATGTATATATACATGTGTGTATATATATATATATATATATATATATATATATATATATATATATATATACACTCAATAATAAAATAAGAAAGAAGACATAAGACAGGCCTGGCAGCTCACGCCTGTAATCCCAGCACTTTGGGAGGCCAAGGTGGGTAGATCATGAGGTCAGGAGTTCGATACCAGCCTGGCCAATATGGTGAAACCCTGTCTCTACTAAAAATACAAAAATTAGCCGGGCATGGTGGTGCACACCTGTAGTCCAAGCTACTCAGGAGGCTGAGGCAGAAGAATCTCTTGAACCCAGGAGGCAGAGGTTGCAGTGAGCCAAGATGGCACCACTGCACTCCAGCCTGGGCAACAAGAGTGAGACTCTGTCTCAAAAAAAAGAAAGAAAAGGAAAGGAAAGGAAGGAAGGAAGGAAGGAAAGAAAGAAAGAAAGAAAGAAAGAAAGAAAGAAAGAAAGAAAGAAAGAAAGAAAGACAAACATAAAAACATGTGAAGACCTCCCATGATTCTTTGTTTAAAGAAGGCTGTACAGACTCCAATATTTCAAACTGTCTCTTTGATCACCAAACAAACTTAGTTTTACAGCCTGAGGCAATGAAATATAGTAAGATCAGGAATGAATGGGAGATATGCCTTTCTTTCTTTTTTTCTTAATCATTATTTTTAGTTGACAAATAATAATGGTATCTATTTATGGTATACGGTGTGATATTTTGATACTGTTAATTAGCATGTCCATCACCTCAAACATTTATCATTTCTTTGTGTTAAGAATATTCAAAATCTTCTCTTCTAACTATTTGAAAAATATACAATAAATTGGCCAAGCGCAGTGGTTCCCACCTGTAATCCCAGCCTTCAGGAGGCTCAGTTGGGTGGATCACTTGAGGTCAGGAGTTTGAGACCAGCCTGGCCAACATGGTGAAACCCTGTCTCTACGAAAAATACAACAAATTATCTGGATATGGTGGCAGGCACCTGTAATCCCAGCTACTCGGGGAGCTGAAGCAGAAGAATCACTTAAAGCTGGAAGGCAGAAGTTGCAGTGAGCCGAGGTCACATCATTGCACTCCAACCTCAGCAACAAGAGTGAAACTCTGTCTCAAAAAAAATAAATAAATAAAATAAATAAAAAAGGAGTTCCAAGATGGCCAAATAAGAACAGCTCTGGTCTGCAGCTCCCAGCATGATCGACGCAGAAGACGGGTGATTTCTGCATTTCCAACTGAGGTACCTGGTTCATCTCATTGGGACTGGTTGGACAGTGGGTGCAGCCCACAGAGGGTGAGATAAAGCAGGGTGAGGCATTGCCTCACCTGGGAAGCACAAGAGGTCTGGGGATTTCCCTTTCCTAGTCAAGGGAAGCCATGACAGACTACCTGCAAAACGGGACACTCCTGTGCAAATACTGCACTTTTCTCAAGGTCTTAGCAACCAGCAGAAAAGGTGACTCTCTCCCATGCCTGGCTCAGCAGCTCCCATGCCCACAGAGCCTTGCTCACTGCTAGCACAGCAGTCTGAGATCAAACTGCGAGATGGCAGCCTGGCTGGGGGAGGGGCGTCCACCATTGCTGAGGCATGAGTAGGTAAACAAAGCAGCTGGGAAGCTCAAACTGGGCAGAGCCCACCCCATATCAACAAGGCCTACTGCCTCTAGACTCCATCTCTGTAGGCAGGGCTTAGCTGAACAAAAGGCAGTAGACAAATTTTGCAGACTTAAACGTCCTTGTCTGACAGCTCTGAAGAGAACAGTGGTTCTCCCAGCACAGTGTTTGACCTCTGAGAACAGAGAGACTGCCTCTTCAAGTGGGTCCCTGACCCCCAGGTAGCCTAAATGGGAGACACCTCCCTGTAGGGGCTGACAGACACCTCATATAGGCAGCTGACTCTCTGGGACAAAGCTTCCAGAGGAAGGATCAGGCAGCAATATTTGCGGTTCAGCAATATTTGCTGTTCTGCAGCCTCTGCTGGTGATACCCAGGCAAACAGCATCTGGAGTGGAACTCCAGCAAACTCCAAAGACCTGCAGCTGAGGGATCTGACTGTTAGAAGGAAAACTAACAAACAGAAAGGAATAGCATTGACGTCAACAAAAAGGTCATCTACACCATAACCCCATCTGTAGGTCACCAACATCAAAGACCAAAGGTAGATAAAACCACAAAGATGGGGAGAAACCAGAGCAGAAAAGCTGAAAATTCTAAATATCAGAGCACCTCTTCTCCTCCAAAGGATCGCAGCTCCTTGCCAACAACAAAACAAAGCTGGACAGACAATGACTTTGATGAGTTGACAGAAGTAGGCCTCAGAAGGTCAGTAATAACAGACTTCTCCAACTAAAGGAAGATGTTCAAACCCATCGCAAGAAAGATAAAAACCTTGAAAAAAGATTAGACGAATGGCTAACTAGAATAAAGAGTGTAGAGAAGACATTAAACGACCTGATGGAGCTGAAAACCATGGCACGAGGATTTCGTGATGCATGCACAAGCTTCAGTAGCTGATTCAATCAAGTAGAAGAAAGGGTATAAGTGATTGAAGATCAAATTAATGAAATAAAGCAAGAAGACAAGGATAGAGAAAAAGAGTAAAAAGAAATGAACAAAGCCTCCAAGAAATATGGGACTATGGGAAAAGACCAAATCTACATTTGATTGGTGTACCTGAAAGTGATGGGGAGAATGGAACCAAGTTGGAAAACACTCTTCAAGATATTATCCAGGAGAATTTCCCCAACCTAGCAAGGCAGGCCAACATTCAAATTCAAGAAATACAGAGGACACCACAAAGATACTCCTTGAGAAGAGCAACCCCAAGACACATAATTGTCAGATTTGCCAAGGTTGAAATGAAGAAAAAAGTTTTAAGGGCAGCCAGAGAGAAAGGTCAAGTTACCCACAAAGGGAAGCCCATCAGACTAACAGCAGATCTCTCGGCAGAAAACCTACAAGACAGAAGAGAGTGGGGGCCAATATTCAACATTCTTAAAGAAAAGAATTTTCAACCCAGAATTTCATATCCAGTCAAACTGAGCTTCATAAGTGAAGGAGAAATGAAATCCTTTACAGACAAGCTAATGCTGAGAGACTTTTGTCACCACCAGGCTTGCCTTACAAGAGCTCCTGAAGGAAGCACTAAACATGGAAAGAAATAACCAGTACCAGCCACTGCAAAACAGGCCAAATTGTAAAGATCTTCGATGCTATGAAGAAACTGCATCAATTAACGGGCAAAATAACCAACAAACATCATAATGACAGGATCAAATTCACACATAACAATATTAACCTTAAATGTAAATGGGCTAAATGCCCCAATTAAAAGACACAGACTGGCAAACTGGATAAAGAGTCAAGACCCATCAGTGTGCTGTACTCAGCAGACCCATCTCACGTGTAAAGATGCATATAGGCTCAAAATAAAGGCATGCAGGAAGATCTATCAAGCAAATGGAAAGCAAAAAATGGCAGGGGTTGCAATCTTAGTCTCTGATAAAACAGTCTTTAAACCAACAAAGATCAAAAGAGACAAAGAAAGCCATTACATAATGGTAAAGGGATCAATTCAACAAGAAGAGCTAACTATCCTAAATATATATGCACCCAATATATGAGGACCCAGATTCATAAAGCAAGTCCTTAGAGACCTACAAAGAGACTTAGACTTCCACAGAATAATAACGGGAGACTTTAACACCCCACTGTCAATATTAGACAGATCAAGGAGACAGAAGGTTAACAAGTATATCCAGGTACTGAACTGAGCTCTGCAACAAGCAGACCTATTAGACATCTACAGAACTCTCCACCCCAAATCAACAGAATATACATTTTTCTCAGCACCACATTGCACTTATTCCAAAATTGACCACATAATTGGAAGTAAAGCACTCCTCAGCAAATGTAAAAGAGCAGAAATCACAACAAACTGTCTCTCAGACAACAGTGCAATAAAATTAGAACTCAGGATTAAGAAACTCACTTAAAACCGCACAACTACATGGAAACTGAACAACTTGCTCCTGAATGACTACTGGATAAATAACAAAATGAAGGCAGAAATAAAGATGTTCTTTGAAACCAGTGAGAACAAAGACACAACGTATCAGAATCTCTGGGACACATTTAAAGCAGTGTGTAGAGGGAAATTTATAGCACTAAATGCCAAGAAGAGAAAGCAGGAAAGATCTAAAATTGACATCCTAACATCACAATTAAAAGAACTAGAGAAGCAAGAGCAAACAAATTCAAAAGCTAGCAGAAGGCAAGAAATAACTAAGATCAGAGCAGAACTGAAAGAAATAGAGACACAAAAAAACCCTTCAAAATATCAATGAATCCAGGAGTGGGTATTTTGAAAAGATCAACAAAATTGATAGACTGCTAGCAAGACTAATAAAGAAGAAAAGAGAGAAGTATTAAATCGATGCAATAAAAAATGATAAAGGGGATATCACCACCAATCCCACATAAATACAAACTACCATCAGAGAATACTGTAAACACCTCTATGCAAACAGACTAGAAAATCTAGAAGAAATGGATAAATTCCTGGATGCGTACACCCTCCCAAGACTAAACCAGGAAGAAGTTGAATCTCTGAATAGACCAATGACAGGCTCTGCAATTGAGGCAACAATTAATAGCCTACCAACCAAAGAAAGTCCAGGACCAGATGGATTCATGGCCGAATTCTACCAGAGGTACAAAGAGGAGCTGGTACCATTCCTTCTGAAACTATTTCAATCAGTAGAAAAAGAGGGAATCCTCTGTAACTCATTTTATGAGGCCAACATCATCCTGATACCAAAGCCTGGCAGAGACACACACACACACACACACACACACACACAAAAGAGAGAATTTTAGACCAATATCCCTGGTGAATATCAATGCGAAAATCCTCAATAAAATACTGGCAAACTGAATCCAGCAGCACACCAAAAAGCTTATCCACCATGATCAAGTTGGCTTCATTCCTGGGATGCAAGGCTGGTTCAACATAGGCAAATCAATAAATGTAATCCATCACACAAACAGCACCAACAACAAAAACCACATGATTATCTCAATAGATGCAGAAAAGGTCTTCAACAAAATTCAACAGCCCTTCATGCTTAAAACTCTTAATAAACTAGGTATTGATGGAATGTATCTCAAAATAGTAAGAGCTATTTATGACAAACCCACAGCCAATATCACACTGAATGGGCAAAAACTGGAAGCACTCCCTTTGAAAACCAGCACAAGACAAGGATGCCCTCTCTCACCACTCCTATTGAAACTAGTGTTGGAAGTTCTTGCCAGGGCAATCAGGAAAGAGAAAGAAATAAAGGGTATCCAATTAGGAAATGAGGAAGCCAAATTGTCCCTGTTTGCAGATGACATGATTGTATATTTAGAAAATCCATTTTCTCAGCCCAAAATCTCCTAAAGCTGATAACCAACTTCAGCAAAGTCTCAGGATACAAAATCAATGTGCAAAAATCACAAGCATTCCTATACACCATTAATAGGCAAACAGAAAGCCAAATCATGGGTGAACTCCCATTCACACTTGCTTCGAAGAGAATAAAATACCTAGGAATCTGACTTAGGGATGTGAAAGCCATCTTCAAGGAGAGCTACAAACCACTGCTCAATGAAATAAAAGAGGATACAAACAAATGGAAGAACATTCCATGCTCCTGGATAGGAAGAATCAATATCGTGAAAATGGCCATACTGCCCAAGGTAATTTATAGATTCAATGCCATCCCCATCAAGCTACCAATGACTTTCTTCACAGAATTGGAAAAAACTACTTTAAAGTTCATATGGAACCAAAAAAGAGCCTGCATTGCCAAGACAGTCTTAAGCAAAAAGAACAAAGTTGGAGGCATCATTCTACCTGACTTCAAACTATACTACAAGGCTACAGTAACCAAAACGGCATGGTACTGGTACCAAAACAGATATACAGACCAATGGAACAGAAGAGAGGCCTCAGATAAAACACCACACATCTACGACCACCTGATCTTTGACAAATCTGACAAAAATAAGAAATGGGGAAAGGATTCCCTATTTAAAAAATGGTGCTGGGAAAACTGGCTAGCCACATGTAGAAAGCTGAAACTGGATCCCTTCCTTACACCTGATACAAAAATTAATTCAAGATGGATTAAAGACTTAAATGTTAAACCTAAAACCATAAAAATCCTGGAAGAAAACCTAGGCAATACTATTTAGGACATAGTCAAGGGCAAGGACTTCATGACTAAAACACCAAAAGCAATGGCAACAAAAGCCAAAATAGACAAATGGGATCAAACTAAACTAAAGAGCTTCTGCACGGCAAAAGAAACTACCATCAGAGTGAACAGGCGACCTCCAGAATGGGAGAAAATTTTTGCAATCTACCCATCTGACAAAGGGCTAATATCCAGAATCTACAAAGAACTCAAACAAATTTACAAGAAACAAACAACGCCATCAAAAAGTGGGCAAAGGATATGAACAGACAGTTCTCTAAAGAAGACATCTATGCAGGGAACAGACACATGAAAAAATGCTCATCATCACTGGTTATCAGAGAAATGCAAATCAAAACCACAATGAGATACCATCTCAGGCTAGTTAGAATGGCAATCATTAAAAAGTCGGGAAACAATAGATGCTGGAGAGGATGTGGAGAAGATGTGGAGAAATAGGGACACTTTTACACTGTTGGGGGAGTGTAAATTAGTTCAACCATTGTGGAAGACAGTGTGGCAATCCCTCAAGGATCTAGAACTAGAATTACCATTTGACGCAGCAATTCCATTACTGGGTATAAACCCAAAGGATTATAAGTCATGCTACTATAAAGACACATGCACATGTATGTTTATTGTGGCACTATTCATAATAGCAAAGACTTGGAACCAACCCAACTGTCCATCAGTGATAGACTGGATTAAGAAAATGTGGCACATATACACCATGGAATACTGTGCAGCCATAAAAAAGGATGAGTTAATGTCCTCTGCAGGGACATGGATGAAGCTGGAAACCATCATTCTCAGCAAACTATCACAAGGACAGAAAACGAAACACCGCATGTTCTCACTCATAGATGAGAATTGAACAATGAGATCACTTGGACACAGGGAGGTGAACATCACACACCAGAGCCTGTTGAGGGCTGTGGGCTGGGGGAGGGATAGCATTAGGAGAAATACCTAATGTAAATGATGAGTTGATGGATGCAGCAAACCAACATGGTGCATGTATACCTATGTGTCAAACCTGCACATTGTGCACATGTACCCTAGAACTTAGAGTATAATTAAAAAAGGAAGAAAAAGAATATATACAGTAAATTATTGTTAACTATAGTCACCCTATAGCCCTTAGAACACTAGAAATTATTTCTCCTATCCAGCTGTAATTTGTAACCATTAACTAACCTCTCCCTATCCCTCCCGCTTTCCCAGCCTCTAATAACCACTATTCTACTCTCTGCTTCTATGAGATCAACTTTTCTGGCTTCCATATATTAATAAGAACATGTGTTATTGGCCTTTCCATTCTCAGCTTATTTCACTTAACAAAATATCAAATGGCAAAAAGCTGATTGTAAAAGGGAAGTTGAGAAAAGACAGCTAGAATGACTTTCACCTTGGACAGATCAATTTTAGAAAAAGTAATGAAGATAGACCTTTATAATCTAAAAAAAAATCCCCTAAGTCTCTCTTACCCACTTAACCCCATTGAAGAGTTTTTGTGCACACTAGTGGTAAAAGTTAACCAGTTTGTTGATAGCTAATCTAAAGAAGGTAGACACTGGAGTTTCAAATGGCTCAACCATTTCCTAGTTATAAAGTACAAACAAGTAGGCAGAAAAGAGAAATGTAATAAGTATTTATTGACCCCACTTCGTGTGAGGCATTTGGGCTAGATGCTTTCACATATGCTCCATGATTTCAGTCCTGACATTCACTCCAAAAGAGAGGAAGCATGTATGAGCCTCCACCACAATGCTGACATGCAAAAATTATCTCAAGTACTTTTTTTACTGCTACTTATGCAGTAGTGCTAACCCATAGGCAGTGCACCCAGAGTAGCCATGTACTTTTTAAATTCAAGTAGAATTTGGCTTAACCCCACCTGAGATGGCTAAAAATCAGCCCTCGCTTAATTTTCTTCTTCCTTTCCACAGTAACCCCATATTTCCAAACAAAGCTCTGGGCAGTGGTGGTCTTGAGGAAGGGGGATGTCTAATACACAAAGAAACATAATTCCCTTAGGATCCAGAAAGCACAGAACACAAGGGATGGATAAAGGGAGTGGGGATCTGGTTAGAGAAAGGGAAAATTACCTTCAAATCTTCCCATTTTCTATAGTATTGAAAACAAAACATGACAGCAATTAGCATCTCAGTAGATTTTTCAATGACAATAGGTTCTCATTCACAATTTTGAAAAAACGGAAATCCAACGAATTTAAGCAATTTTCCTAAGGATACACAGCTAATTAATAAACAGTACAGAAATAAGGCCAGAATATGGATCTTGTTAAAAAAAATTATTCAGTGACACTCATTAAAGCATCTTAAGGAAGACATGATTCAGCACCATCACGATAGGTATAGCGACTATGGCAACAAGGTCATGCAGTAGGGGAGAGAGATTAGACCCAACTCCAAATTCAGCACGAGCAAGGTGGAATTTACAGCCAAGGAGCAGGGTGGGGTCAGTGGATGGAAAATTACTAAGAGGAAACATTAGTGGTAAGAGGGATTCTGGCTCAACTGACCTAACAGTATTCTTGCTGAAGACAGGCCAGGTAGTCAGACATTGCCTGGGAGATAGCGGAAGTTGAGGAACCCAATCAGATATTGAGGGTGATCAGATATCAAGGGTGGGGGTTCTTTCTGAAACTGGATACTGCAATGAAGTATATGAATGGGCCTAGGAGAAGGTTCAGGAGCCTGACTAATGTTTGGCCAAGCAAAGAATCTTTGTCAGTCTTTCTTCCTAACAGTCCTATTCCACCATCCCAAAGGACCAAAAAGCAGCTAGTGAAGCAAAGTACCACATGAGTGGCTGAAGTCAGAATTATGTGCAAACTTGACTGCTAGTCAGTTATGTGATTTGTGCTGTACTGCAAAGAAATAAGTTGGCCATTGTTTTGTACATGAAACATTATGAATGTTTTATACAATCACATATTGTTGATTTTCACAGGAAGAAGAGAAAGCTCTTGAACACCATAGTGACAGATAGCCAGGAAAGGCTATGATTGATCCGGTTTTAATAACTATTCCACTAATTAAACATGGAAACATCAGCATTATTTTTTTCCTGGTTCCTTAGCAGCTGTTACATATGAATTTATAAAGGCAAGGGAGGCCATCTTAGTGGGTATTTGTGGGCACACCCAGAAGTGGAACACTGCAGTCTTGATGGAAGTTGTTGCTCAAAGATGTGATACAAATGAGATGCCTGTTTGCCAAATTCCATTTTTTTTTTCTTTTTCCTTCCTCCACTGACATCTCTGCTTTTGATTGGCAGGGAAATTACTTGATTCCACCAAGGTCATTACAGTGGAAATCTTAAAGCCAACTGGCATATTTATTGGGCATCTCTCATGGCAGTCTCTCCTGCTAGCCCAGAGGGAGATTACCGGGAGATTCTGGTCTGTCCTGCTTCTACCCAACAGAGGTCATGGAAAAGGGGCAGTCTAAAATTTGACATACAGGCAATGGAGCCAAGAATTAACTGAGGCATCCATTTCTTTCAATCCCAAATCTAGTAATTTCCTTTCTGACTTTGTCAACATTCATCCACATGGTATAAGCAACAAGGAACCACTGCCAAGTGCCCAGAGAGAGCCTCCAGGCTCTTGTTCTGAAGTAACTTTTGATCAGCCCCTCCCTTTCCAAACCCTTAATAAAAGAATTCTTGCTCTTCCACTTTTTGTCTAAGCTCAGGGTGGACCCCTTAGATAATAGTCCAGATTCAATGTTGAGGCAACACTGGGCTTGGCTGTCTTACAATTACCCTCCTCACCATGGTCAGAGGAAAATCTTCTGAAGCCACAGAAGTTCATCTTTTCAGATTTAAGACCTTCAATACATATTCCCCAAGGGAAAATATCATCAGTGATTTTCTTTTTAGTAATTCAAGGTGTACTTTTAAACCATTTTCTATTTACTTGGTATTTTAGGGTATATAAAATTAAAGTACATGCAATGGAGTTGGGAATCTGTATTGTAGAGAAAATAGCTGGGTTTTTTCACAGCAGAGAGAGTTTTCACTCTAAAACCCTGGGATCTGGCCTGCTGTATGGTGCCTGTAAGTGCTTAATAAATGTGAATTGAAGTAAATTGAATATAAGAAGCCAATTAAGTAACAAGATGAACAGAATAAGGAAGTAAAAGACAGGCTGGAGACCAAGTTAAGGAAGGATTCAGGGAACCAGAAACCTGGCCTTCAGGCACAGGTGATTGGTTACCCATCACTGACTGAGAAGATAATTAATGCAAAGCAAAAAGTAGAAATAAGCAAAATGTGCTGGATAGAGGAGCATTTTATAAAGGCAGTGTGAAAAAGAAAGCTGGAAAGGGAAGTTTAAGCTCAATATGGAAGATTTTTGAATCCCTGGCTTAGGAGAGAGGCCTTTCTCCTGTATGCAATGAAGATTCTCTGTAGAGAGTCAGGAGGTTGCCACTTCCTGCACCTTGTGAAAGGCAGCTCCAGTGGGCTCCATTTGCAATGTCAGCCCTACATTTACTATGACGTATGTTGTAAAATATGTAATAAGAAAGCCTCTGTCACTAAGGCTAAGAGGCAGATAGGTATGTATTTGTCTGTGTGTCTTTACTTGGGAAGGAAGCCTCAGAGATATGGCAAGGAAACAAAGAATTCATATACTCAAACTGCACTCTCTCTTAAATACATAAATAATATCTCACATATATAAATACCACTATTTTCAAAATGTATAGAGATATTGTGGGGATTATTAAAATGTAAATTAGTCTAAACACCTGGACTGAACTTAAAATAACCCTTTGCTGTTATGTATTTCTTCAGTCTGACACAGCTAATATCATGTAAGGCTCTGTGAGTGCTTTGTTGTTGAAAAAGAGTCTTCATCCTCTGGAATCTTGATAACCACTGCACCAAAGAAAATTCTTTCACTTGGAGTCTGATGAGTTATCACAATTCCAGGATATGAATACACACATTACAAAGAAGAAAACTGCTTTTCTGAAATTGTCAGTGTGGGGAGAATCTCCACGAGAAAGGGGAGGTGGATAGACCTTTCAGCCACAAATTTTCTAGTCAATAATTAATCTTCTCTTGGAAGAAGGTAAGTAAAGAATAATTGGAAAAAATATTAGATAATTTTCACTAATTAGTGGGAGACAGAGAAGTGAGAAGGGGTATGAACTCCACCATTATGGTAGGTTGATTGGATTAATGGCTCAATTTTTCACCTCTCCAAGCCCTTTGCCATGTAACCTTGTCATTCCCTCTTAACCTGGCCATGTGATTTGCTTTGTCCAAGAGAATATGAGCAGACATGATACTATAAGCATGGCTCTGCTTATTGCTCTTTCCCTCTGCCATGCCATAAGATGGACCTGCCTAGACTAGCAAGGATGGACAAGAACTGAAGAGAAGAAAAACTCCTAGTGATCCCAGTTGAGGTCATCCTCAATCAGTCAGTAACCAGTCAAACCCTAGGAGCAAGTCCAGCCAAGATCAGCAAAGCCACTGAGCCATCCCAGAGCTGGACACAAGAGGGGGACGGGCTGAGATAAACCAAGTCCAGATTACATTAGCTGAACCCCCACAAACTCATGCACAAAAACAAACATTCACTATTGTATGTCACTGATGTTTTGTAGCCATTTATTTTGCAGCATTATTATGGCAATAGATGACTGAAACTACCACTTACCAGTTCTGTGGCCCTCAAAAATAAAGTAGAGGTGATAATGGCACCTATTTCAAGTGTTGGCGTGAACATTAATTAAGATATTATGCATGAAGTTCTTAACACTGTGTGTGACACATAGCCTGCCCTCCAAAAGTATGTATGTGGGTAGCAGTATATGGATACCAAGAAAGTAAGAGTGGTAGTGTGTGTGTGTGTGTGTGTTTGTGTGTGTGTGTGTGTGAGAGAGAGAGAGAGAGAGAGAATGGAGATGGGGAAAGTGAAGGAATTATAGCTGCCTCACTATCCTGACCTCAGGGGGCATTACAGTTTTTTTTGGTTCAAAGAGCATAACAGCCAAGATCAAGTTTAAGCATTTAAATAAAACTACTGAAGATTCTCAGATCACAAAAGAAAAATAAAGTAATATGAAGCAAGATCATCTATTTTATGGAGTATCTTCAGTTATGTCATCTAAAATATCTCCTCCTATGGGGATGTCTCTTAATGTGCCTCCCTGCCTCCATACAGAAGTAGGGATATTTCCCACAATGTACAGTAGGGCCCTCAAATCTATCTCTAATTTTAGACTCACAAAGAGGCAGACTTAAAAGCAGCAGGTGTTCTCCTCCTGTCTAAGAAGTTTCTCCCAAAAATTAGGAGAATCAATGTGCTGTCAGAAGAATGATCCTTTCCAAAAGTGATATACTGAGAGACCCACATCCTTTAGAGGGACCCCTTACCTAGTCATAATGAAGTGGCCTTAACAAAAAAAAAAATCATGTCAGAACACACAACCCAATAGTATATACAGCTGAACAAGATGTACAGATAGGCACGGGGCATTGGAGAGATGAGGCAACAGATAAAAGAGAAAATAATGCTCATAAAGCCTTTGTCCATTATTTCTTCCACCTTTAACGCCCGGCTTCTTCTCTCACTACTATTTCCACTGTTCTATTTCTAACTTGTGCTTTAAGACCATCTTATATGAATTTCACTTCTCTGAAGCTTTCTCCAATCATCATCCTAGTTCAAACTTCTGTAGACATTTATGTGTAGAATAATCATAGATAAGAGAGAGAAAAATATAATCCAACAATCAGAATCCTAGTTATGCCACCCATCAGTAATGGAACCTTGGGCTAGTCATTTACTCTATCTGGGCCTCAGTTTTCTCCTCTGACAATGAAGATAGTATTAGTACCTACCTTGAACAATGATTAAACAGTCTATTAAAGTACTTGATACAGCCTGACATATGATAGGTGATACGGTTTGGCTCTGTGCCCCCACTCAAATCTCATCTCGAATTGTATTAATAATTCCCATGTGTCAGGGGAGGGACCAGGTGGGAGGTGATTGAATCAGGGGGGCAGTTTCCCTCATGCTGTTCTCATGAGAGTGAGTGAGTTCTCACAAAGGCTGATGATTTTAAAGTGTGGCACTTCCTCATTCTCACACGCACTCCCTCCTGTCACCTTGTGAAGAAGGTGCCTGCTTCCCTCTTGCCTTCTGCCATGATCGTAAGTTTCCTGAATCCTCCTAGCCATGCTTCCTGTTAAGCCTGCAGAACTGTGAGTCAATTAAACCTCTTTCCTTTATATTTACCCAGTCTCAGGTAGTATACTTTATAGCGGTGTGAGAATGGACTAATACATTAGGTGTTCAAGAAATATTAGTGATTATCATTATATTATTTTGTTATGTATTATTATCATTTATATATATATATATAACTGTTCACCTAAGGATTCTTAATTCACACTGAGAACCTCTTTTGTAGTTAGTTATTTACTCATCTTATATTTTCATTGGGATTTAAGTTCTTGAAGGTACATTGTTCCAAAATATCTTGTCTGTGGAAGTCAGAGAAATTTAAGGTATTCACAGCTTTAGTGTTAGTTGCTCTCTGGTCACAGAATTGCTAACCTCCCTAATAATGAAAGAACCCCTCTGAATGCAAGCCCAGCCATGCTGCTCTGCAGGGCTAGCTGAACCAGGCAGGACTCATGGTCTCTGTTTCCCTCAGCAATTAAGAAGGATCTAAATGAACATATCAATTCCCCAGCTTAGGAGATGGGGCCTAGGCAGGCCAGCCAGACAGACAACCTGGAGAGGAAGTATAGTTAAACAGGTGGTGACTAATATAACAAAACCTCCTTCCTGTAGCCTTAATAAAAACAGCAAACCCCAGACAGCCTGGATGCCTAGGTCCTGGGCAGCATTCAATTTAGGATGTTCTTTTCCCAGTGAGTCATAATTGCCCTGGTCCTGACACTTGTCACTAGAACAAGGCAAAATCGGTGTAATCACCAGAGCAATTGCTTCAGGAATACATTCTTTTAGTGATTTGGCTGGAGGAAGTTCAAAAATGCAAGTGATGGTTTTCAAATGTGGAGTGACCGGAGTTGCCTTAAGTACTGGGATTTCTAAATTTAAGGAAGAAAAGGGAGTAGAGAGGAGTTATAATTATCAACAAAAGGAAACCAAGTAATGAGAGACTCATCCCACTGTGGATAAAATCAGCTCTGATACTAACCATTGTTGGTCTGCATGAAAATATGAAAAAAATCATCAGATTCCCCAATCAAACAATTAATCATGGAGTTGGTCTGATAAAAAAACAAGAATTGGTGACCTATAAAACAATTGTCTAGGATAACACTCACCTTTTAAGATAAAGCCAGATGAAAAGATGACTAAGCAGGGGAATGAATCTTTGAGTGGTAGGATAGAGCTTAGAGCTCACGGCTGGTGATTTTATTTTCTTGCTGTTAATGTCATTACATTCCTTAAAGGTCCTATAGCCATCTGGATGAAATTAAAATGACAAACCAATATCATCGTCTTATTCCTGGACCACCAAATTTGTAGTTCCTGCTGCTAACGGTCCAATTTCCTTGTAGAGACCATCTAGTTAATTTCTTTGCTTTCTCTTGTTTTTTTTTTTTTTTTTTTTTGAGACAGAGTCTCGTTCTGTTGCCCAGGCTGGAGTGCAGTGGTGCGATCTCGGCTCACTGCAAGCTCTGCCTCCCAGGTTCATGCCACTCTCCTGCCTCAGCCCCCCAAGTAGCTGGGACTACAGGTGCCCGCCATCATGCCTGGCTAATTTTTTTTTTTGTATTTTTTTTAGTAGAGACGGGGCTTCACCGTGTTGGCCAGGATGGTCTCGATCTCCTGACCTTGTGATCCACCCGCCTCAGCCTCCCAAAGTGCTGGGATTGAAGGCATGAGCCACCGTGCCCAGCCTCTTTACTTTCTAAGAATTCCAAAATTATGTATCTTATACTAATTGGTTGACCACTATTCTAAAAAAAATAGGAGTAACTGCCTCTCCTCCCAAATACCAATGTCTTCCCAGAAGTGTGATTAGTACTTAAGAGAGGGAATAGGATAATAATTCATGTAAAACATTTATTATACTGTAATTAAAACCTAATAAATGCTAGCCATTGTTATTATACACGTATATGTTTCAGATATAATTACTTTATTAGCTTTATTACAGCTGATGTTCACACAAAAACAAGTATGCAAAACTTATCATATTGCATTATCTTTACAAAGTAAAACTAAACCTGACCCCAGGCTATCTCTGAACTAGAATGTTGCCTAATATATTGCAGGTGCTCCAAAAGAAGGTGCTAAATAAATAATTGAATGAATGATAGCTGGACAACAAGCACAAAGAAAGCTATAAATCCCAATCCTAGCAGAATTGAAAGCAGATGCTGTAGAGGCAGATTAGAGAAAACAAGAGAATCTCAAAGACTTGATAGTTTCTTTGAGACATTTGACAAAGTTAAGAATGGGATAAGGTGAATGCTAAAGAAAATAGAAAGGCAACTAGAGTTTCCTACACTCAGGGTGGGCAAATTATGACCTGCTGACTCAATCCAGCCGACTGCCTACTTTTGTAAATAAAGTTTTATTGGAGCACAGCCATGTTCATTCATTCATATATTGTCTCTGGCTGCTTTCACACCACAGTAGCAATGTTGAAAAGGAACTGCAACAGAGACCATATTGTCTACGAAACCTAAAATATTCACTATCTGACTATTATAGAAACATTCTGCCAAACCCTGTCCTATGTAAACAGAAGGCTGTACAAGAAATAAGCCATTATCATAACAGATTGCATGGATCTCTTGTGTAGCAAGGTAAACAATATTTACATTGCTATAATATAGACACTGTTTTCTAATTTTATATATTTAGAACCAGTTTATAGCTAAAACACAAAGTTCTTAATAATGATTAGGAAACAGGATACAAATACCAATACTATCAACCTTAAGAACATAAAAGTATAGATCTGAAAAGTTGGAAGCTGAAAGTGGGAGAGGAAAACTGTTAAGAAAGGACATGATTTTCCTCATTGTACAAAATGTGGAGTCAAGTGTAATTATCAATCAACATTTACAAGTGTAATCAATGAAATAATAAAAATGGTCATATGTTTGTATTAGGAATGGGTAAGGAGATCAAAGGCAATATTTATGAGCTAAAACCTAATATGGTAGGATGACAGTAGATAATGCCTAAAATATATAATTCATAATTTAGCAGTAAACACGAAGATAACCATCAGAAGAATAAGAAAGAAACAAACAAACAGGTTCAGTGCTATGGTTTGAATGTATGTGTCCTTCCAAATTTCTTATGTTGGAACCTAAGACTCAAAGTGATAGTATTAAAAGGTGGACCATAAAAACCGTAGAAGAAAATCTAGGCAATATCATTCAGGACATAGGCATAAGCAAAGACTTCGTGACAAAAATGCCAAAAGCAATTGCAACAAAAGCCAAAATTGACAAATGGGATCTAATTAAACTAAAGAGCTTCTGCACAGCAAAAGAAACTATCATCAGAGTGAACAGGCAACCTATAGAATGGGAGAAAATGTTTGCAATCTACCCATCTGACAAAGATCTAATATCCAGAATTCACAAGGAACTTAAACAAATTTACAAGGAAAAAAAAAAAAACCATTAAAAAGGGGGCAAAGGATAAGAACAGATACTTCTCAAAAGAAGACATTTATGTGGCCAAGAAACATATGAAAAAAAGCTCATTATCACTGATCATCAGAGAAATGCAAATCAAAACCACAATGAGACATCCCACACCAGTCAGAATGGCAATTATTAAAAAGTCAAGAAACAGTATGCTGGTGAGGCTGTGGAGAAATAGGAACACTTTTACACTGTTGGTGGGAGTGTAAATAAGTTCAACCATTGTGGAAGACAGTATGGAGATTCCTCAAGGATCTAGAACCAGAAATACCATTTGATGCAGCAATCCCATTACTGGGTACATACTCAAAAGAATATAAATCATTCTAATATAAAGACACATGTACACGTATGTTTATTGCAACACTATTTACAATACCAAAGACATAGAATCAACCCAAATGCCCATCAGTGATAGACGGGATAAAGAAAATGTGGGACATATACACCATGGAATACTATGCAGCCATAAAAAGGAATGAGATCATGTCCTTTGCAGGGACATGGATGAAGCTGGAAGCCATCATCTTCAGCAAACTAGCACAGGAACAGAAAACCAAACACTGCATGTTCTCACTCATAAGTGGGGGTTGAACAATGAGAACACATGGACACAGAGAGGGGAACAACACACACCAGGGCCTGGTGGGGGATGAGGAGTGAGGGGAGGGAATTTAGAGGATGGATAAATAGGTGCAGCAAACCACCATGGCACATGAATACCTATGTAACAAACCTGTACGTTCTGCACATGTATCCCATTTTTTTTAGAAGGAAGGAAGACAGACGAAAGTAAGAAAGAAAGAAAGAAAGAAAGAAAGAAAGAAAGAAAGAAAGAAAGAGAAAGAAAAAGAAAGAAACCTTTGGGAGGTGATTAGGTCATGAGGGCAGAGCACTTATGGATGGGATGATACCCTTGTCAAAGGACTTGAGGGAACTAGCTAGGCCCTTTTGTCTTCTGTCCCTTCTACTATCTGAGGACACAGTGTTTGTCCCTTCCAGAGGAAACAGTGTTTAAGGCACCATCTTGGAAGCAGAGAACAGGCCCTCACTGGACACTGAACCTGCCAGCACTTTGATCTTGGACTATCGAGCCTCCATAACTATGAGCAATAAACTTACAATGTGTATACATTACCCAGTCTAAGGTACTTCGTTATAGCAGCATGAATGGACTAAGACACTTGGTTAAAAGTATTAAAAATGGTGGCCTCAAGGGAAACACCTGGGAGAAGGACTGAAGATGGGGTGCAGCAGAAACTCCAGGTGAACCTGACTCCATTGGTCCATGGACCAATATTTGAGAACCACTGCTAGAGACAAGGCCAATTTTTTAGACATTTAGTTTTTTGAAGTTGTTTTCTGGTTCTTAGTGTGAACTAGGGTTATTGAAAGTGGGCAGCTCCATGTGACAGACAACAGAATGTAGCAAAAGGAATCATGGGTTCAAACCATGTTTCTACTCCCTTTCAGGCTAGGTGAAACCCCCTTAGGTGTCAGTTTTTCCATCTGTATAATAGGACTCAAAATTCTAGACTGTCTGTTACTCAGGAAAATTATCAAGGTGAAATGAGATAATTTTTACAAGAATGCTTTTTAAACTATGCAAAAATTATTTAAATTATAATTTGTTATTGTTATTCTTGATATGGTCAAAGGGGAGTCAATAAACCTGATAGCCACTCTGCTGCAAGAAGTCATTGCTGTTATTGTATTAGGTCCTCCTTTCCATTAAAGTTTTGAATGCACTTATTAAAATATGTTATCAGGAGGAAGGTTAAATTATTATTCAATTACATTATTCTGGTTTGGATCAGCACAAGAAGTAAACATTCTTTCTGCTTGAGGAGTTGGGCTCATACCCAACTACAGAAGCTGGAGTTAGGGGACAAATTATTCTCTTCCTCAACTTTCTGGTAAAGGGGACACAGGTGTAAAACCTAAGCCTGGATAATTGGATGCTTCTTCCTTGGATTTTTGAATAGAGAAAGAATGACGTAAAGGACAGAGACAATGGCTCAAAGGTAGGGGGCCAGCAGCTGTAGCTCAGTGTGCTCAGAGGCAGTCAGGTCAGTGGCCATACTCCAACCAGCTGTTCCTGTGACATGTTCTAAATTATGTACCTGTTGCCTGGCTGATATAGTTTGGCTCTGTGGCCCGAACAAAATCTCATCTCAAGCTGTGATCCCCATGTGTCGAGGGAGGGACCTGGTGGGAGGTGACGGGATCATGGGGGAAGTTTCCCCCATGCTGTTCTCATAGTGAGTGAGTTTTCATGTGGTCTGGTAGTTTAAAAGTGTTTGGCAGTTCCCACCTCACTCTCTCTCTCTCTCTCCTGCTGCCTTTTGAAGCAGGTGCTCACTTCTCCTTCACCTTCTATCATGATTGTAAGTTTCCTGAGGCTTCCCCAGCCACGTGGAACTGTGAGTCTATTAAAGCTCTTTTCTTTACAAATGACACAGTCTCAGGTAGCTCTTTATATCAGTGTTCAGGTAGCTCTTTATATCAGGGTGAAAATGGACTAATTCACTGGCCTTCCTTAGTTTATGTCATTTCTGAGCTTAGAAACCTTCTCCTTCTGTATTTTGTGAGTTACTCAGTATATTTTCAGTGGATTCCTTTCTTGCTTGAGATAGATTCAATACTTGGGTCTGATAGAACATTTGGACTAGAGTTTGTTAATCTCATTACAGTAGTTACAGTTGCCATTCATCTGAACCCTATAGAACCAGGCATTTTGGAGAGGGGTAAAAGAAAGGAAAATTTTAAATAAATCTAACAGAGCAATCTGAAATGAGCTTCTTTATAGCACAGAGAGGAGCAAAGGCACAGAGGGGATAGTCAGGGATGGGGTTCTGAAAATAAGGGAGGGGCTCCTCAAACAAGGTATCAAATAGCACCAAAATCAGGTGCTGCTTCCTACTTTATTATTTCTTATTAGCAATAGCATTCACCAAGACACTCAAAACCTGCCCCTGATCCACGAGACCCTGAACTGTGCAGACCCAGGGGTCAGCAGCACCAAAGTAAGAACTAGAAGCTAGTAACAGAGCTTCTTCAACTACATGAAGCAAAAACTAAAAGAACTGAAAACAAAATAGACAAAGCCACAGCTTGGGTTGTATATTTCAATACCTCTCTCTCATTAATTGATGAAACAAGTAAACAGAGAATCGGTAAGGGAATATGAGACCTGAGCAACACTATGAACCAATCTGGCCTGATTGACACTTATAAAACATCCCACCCAACAACAGCAGAATACACAGTCTTTATAACTACGCATACACTAGTTAGCAAGACAGACTGTATTTTTGTCCTTAAAATAATCTCAATAAATTTGAAAATATTAAATTCATACAAATTACGTTCTCTAGCTGCAATGTAATTTACTTAGAAATCAGTAACAGAAAGGTGTATGGAAATTTTCCAAACATTGTATTGCTTCATTTTGCTTATCTTTATTTTCTAAGTGTCTGATAATAAATGTGCATTTCCTTTCAAGTAAGAGAAAAAACAACAAAAGTTACTATTATTTAAAATATATACCTTGCCTTTAAGAGGCTTACAGTCTAGTTGGAGAAAGAGATGTCTAAATAACATAATACCTGGTGGAAAGGACTAAGCACTCTTGAGGAATGAGGGAGAATTGGTTGGGTCAAGTGTAGTTTCACACCAAAACTGAAACCACTACTCTCTCCAACATCCGGACCATCATCACATTGTTCTATCTGAACAACTGGGCCTACTGTCTTCGCTCATGATGATGTTCTCTCAGGGGATCCTTTATCTCTGACTTCCAACTCCTGCCCCTGGCACCCCAGTGCACCAGACCAGAGTATTGACGTTTGAACCTCAGTTGTGAGCTGAGTTCAAGATCCCTTCCACAAGTGAAGGATGCACCTGAACATTTGCTGCAGTGTCCTTGAACTGCAGGTCAAGGACGATTTCTAGAAGTCCCCTGGAAGTTCCTCTTTTTTTTTTTTTTTTTTTTTTGAGACAGGGTCTTACTGTTACCCAGGCAGGAATGCAGTGGCACTATCACAGTTTACCACAGCCTCAACCTCCCAGACTGAAACTATCCTCCCACCTCAGCCTCCTGAGTAGTTGGGACTATAGGCCTATGCCACCATGCTCAGCTAATTTTATATTATTTGTAGAGATAGGGTCTTACTATGTTACCCAACCTACTCTTGAACTCCTGGGCTCAAGCAATCCTCCCCGTTCAACCTCCTGAAGTGCTGGGATTACAGGCACAAACCACCATGCCAGGCCCCTGGAAATTCCATGCTAGAAGACAACCTGCTAGGAGAGAGAGCATCTCTAAAGCTATTGTATCCCCACTGCCTAGCACACAGTAGTTGCTTAGTAAACATTTGCTAATTGTGTCATGGATATATTGAGAATAAAAGCATGAGCCCAAGATTGTTTTGGTCGACTGGTTATTGCTGGGATATTTATAGACAAAGCCTCTTTCCAGTGTTTTCCACCAAACTTTCCTGTAGTGCTGAGCAGGGCTGAGCAAGCCAAGCAATGAGGAGATTGGTCCAAATTCTTCAACTCTTTCTCAGCATTCTGGATTCACTAAAACCCCAAACACATTTCTATCTGGCAATTTCGTCTTTCATTTTTCAACCCCAGTGAGTTTCCAACAAAATTGAATCTCTGTTGCAAATCTGTTTGTGTTCCACTCCATCCAAATGCCAGAACCATCTATTTCAAGTTAGAAGCCTCCAAAGGCTCATGCCTGAGTAAAGGATAGCTGGGAATCCCAATTTACTCTCAAACAAACTAAAAGTAAAAAAGCTAAGAGTAGATAGAGAATGTATTGCATAATGAAATCCAAACTGTGAGTACTAATTTGTGATGCAGAAAAATGGACACTGATTTAGGACTGAGATGCTGAGCCCAGAATCTGATTTTATTTCTTGATTAATTAAGGTATGTCACTTGGCCTTCTTGGCCTCAGTTTCCCCCCATCTTGTCTAGGGAAGCTGATTCTTTTATGGGAATCAATAAGTTCCCTTCAGCTTTAGTGTTCTGTGATTTTGCAATGCTGCTTTACAGATGCTCAGGGCCCTATCCCTTGGCAAGCTGCCTCCTCTGTCCCTGTCTTGTCTCATTGCTTGTCAGTGTGTGCTAAAACAATAAACGACTGGTTGGTTGCAAGAAAAGTATGCGTTGGATCAAGCAGATGTATCTGCTCTCTGCCCTCTGGAGAGAACATAGAAGGCTTTGATGTTGTCTGAATGGGTTCCACATTTTGACCTAGGGACCCTTCAATTCTAAGTAGGCCCCATTGACAAAATATGAAACAATTATTTACAATTAAAGAAGCATTCCATACCAAACCTGCCACCATCGTTTTATTTTAAAAAGAAAAAAAGCGTAATTCCAAAGATCAAATTTCTAATCCTGAAAATGGAAAAAAAGGAGGGGTGTTGGGGGGATGCCTGGAACCTGGTTTTCATGTACTGTTCAAGTTTAATATGAGGAAATGAGTCGGCTAAGTGAGGCAGCCAGTCTCCATGTTACCATGGAGCTAAATGGATTCTTGGTGTGTATCTGTGACATGAAACACATAGCCCCCATGGCACCCAACAGTCTGCTCATCCTTGGTCTCAAACCCAACCCTTTCTTTGGGCTGGAAGTTTTTGGTGGCCCATGCAAGTGGTTACGTACAGGACGCAGCACAATTTCAGTCACATGAAAATTGTTACCTCCCTTCCTCTTCCCTGAATGTGATTTTAAAATTATCCAGAGGCCTGTCTTCCACATTCACCCAACTTCTATAGAGTAAAACAGCATTTTCTGAAATGTGGTCTGTGGAACTTACATCCTGACAAATAAATAAAGTGATACATTTACTAACACGTTTGAGATGTGCTGCATAATATCTCCTTCTCTTGAAGTTTACTTAGCATATCAAAGGCTCTGAGAAGTTCCATGCACAGTAAATAGTGGTTTTGACACTGGTCAGGAAGAGCAAAGACTACTGGGCCAAAGGAACATTTCATGTCTCTGTATATAGTGTTCATATTTTCTGATCCCAAAGTTCCTCCCCAACATATCTTCCCCCACCAAAATCACCAGTTGGAAATTACCTTTCCTCCTCTGAACTACAAGAACACTTATTTGCATCTTATTTGCATAAACTTTTTAAAAATTATTTTTTGTATTAGATATATACACAGATATGTCTTATCTGTCCCATTTGCCTGTATGCTCCTAGAGAACAGAATCCTTGTTCCTTAGTCTTTATCTATCATAGAAGATTGTACATGAGAGGCTGGGTGCGGTGGCTCACACCTGTAATCCCAATGCTTTCAGAGGCCGAGGTGGGTAGATCACTTGAGGTCAGGAGTTCGAGATCAGCCTGGGCAACATGGCAAAACCCTGTCTCTACAAAAAATACAAAACTTAGCCGAGTATGGTGGTGCGTACCTGTAATCCCAGCTATTTGGGAGGCTGAGGCAGGAAAACTGCTTGAACTTGGGAGGTGGAGGTTGTGGTAAGTCTAGATTCCGCCACTGCACTCTGGCCTCAGTGACACAGTGAGTCTCTGCTAAAAAATAAATAAATAAATAAATAAAAAAGATTGTACATGAGAGCAATCTATACATGTTTAGTTCCTTGACTGAATGATAGACGGATTGAATGGATCAATCAATCTAGGAACTGGCAGCTTTTAAATATCTATACCATCTTTGGCAAATAACAATGAAATCTTCGGCTGGGTGCAGTGGCTCATGCTTGTAATCCTAGCACTTTGGGAGGCCGAGATGGGTGGATCACTTGAGGTCAGGAGTTTAAGACCAGCCTGGCCAATGTGGTGAAACCTCCTCTCTACTAAAAATACAAAAATTAGCTGGGCATAGTGGCATGCGCCTGTAATTTTACCTACTTGGGAGGCTGACACAGGAGAATTGCTTGAACCCAGGCGGTGGAGGTTGCAGTGAGCAGAGATTGTGTCATTGCACTCCAGCATGGGCAACAGAGCAAGACTGTCTCAAAAAAAGAAAAGAAAAAGAAAAAAAATTAAATCTTTAAATAAATTTTAAAAACCCATGCTATACTCAAAGCTGAAGTTTGGAAAGTTAAAATATTAACAGTGACTGTGTAAGCATCATATGTCTCCCCTTTCCTTCTCTCTTCACTCACTAATTCAGTTTCTGAGAAACAGTATATCATCACTCTTTCATCTTCGCATCTGGAAATGTGCTTCAGGTATTCATACAACTTATTTATCATAATTAAACTTGACTTCAGAAGAAAATGTCAATTTCAGAGAGTCCATTAGGGTGGGATTATATTACTGTTTATGAATAACATTTTGTAGGCTCAATGTACAGAAAACTATATAGTGTTATAGGCTCTAATTCTGAAACTTATTGGTTAGAATGGTGATTGTTCTGGTTAATTGAATATTCTAATTATTAAAAAATTACAAAATAAAAGCTCTACATACATTATCAATTTTCAAATAATTTTAGTTCCATAAAATGTACCTAACAGTAATGTTAAGCTGAAAGGATTAGATCAGTTTTGGAGAACATGAGAAACAAGCATTGATCTCTAGAAAACAAATACAAATAAGACAAAAATCTCCACCATCAATAGGCTTATTATATAGTAGAATTTCTCAAGCCTGGTACTATTAATATTTTAAACTACATAATTCTTTGTTGTAGGGTGCAGTCCCATACATTGCAGGATGTTAAACAACATCCCTGGCCCCTACCTTCTAGATGCCAGTGATACTTCCCCAGTAGTGACAATCAAAACAATGTCTGGTCATTGCCACATATGTCTCCTGTGGAATAAAATTGCCCCAGTTGAGAACCTCTGTAATGAAGAAAAAGATACTTAAAATTTTAACAGGAGTTCAGAGTCATCTTCTGACCACGAATTCTAATTTTACAGTTTGATATGATTTGGCTCTGTGTCCCCACCGAAATCTCACCTTGAAATGTAATAATCCTCATGTGCCAAGGGTGGGGCCAGGTGGAGATAATTGATCATAAGGGAGGTTTCCCCCATACTGTTCTCATGATAGTGAGTGAGTTCTCACAAGATCTGATTGTTTTATAATCATCTGTCATTTCCCCTGCTGGTATATTCTCTTTGCCTATTGCCATCCATGTAAGACATGACTTGTTCCTCCTTGTCTTCTGCCATGATTGTGAGGCCTCCCCAGCCTCCCAATTGTGGAACTGTAAGTCCATTAAACCTCTTTTTCTTCCCAGTCTCAGGTATGCTTCTGTCTGCAGTGTAAAAACAGACTAATACACAGTTCCATTGGATGTAGGAAATATAGGAAACCTTGGGCTAATTTTAGAATGAGTCTAAAACATAGCAATAAATGTTTGACGTTATATTTCCTATTCATAGGAGAATAAAAAACTAAAATATTTGCACTTTCTGTGGATCTGAATCAGCCACTAGGTATTCACTTTTTGTGCTCTTCTTTGCACCCAGCTTTCAGTTAGGAATGAAGAAGGTAGAAATCTCAGTTACAGTCCTATGTGCAATTCAAATCTACTTGAGCAGCAGAGGTAATGGAATTAAACTAAAAGCCATCTTAGAGATAACTTACCTACTCCTATATTTTTATATGAAAAAATAAGATCCCCCAAATCGAAAAGGCGATATAACCTAAAAACATTTAGTAAATGGACTTTGAACTAAAACAAAAATATCTTGACTCCCAGGCAATGGCTTTGACCAATAATAAATATTTGCTATCTGCCAAATAATGTGAGACAGACTGTGAGTGCTGGAGGTGTTCAGAGTGAAAGGAAACTTGAGGTGGGTGGGAATAGTTAGAGACAGAAACAAAGAAGAGGAGGGACTGAAGCCAGGCTCTGAAGAGCACAGGCAGCTTCAGGAAAAGGGTCTGGAGGGCCATTCTGGTATCTTTCCCATGGCCCTAATGCCAACTTGGGAATAATATGAGAGGACACAGAGCAGCAGAAAAGTGGCTGATATGAACCAGGAACTAAGTTCATGTTGGGAAAGAAGGAAAAGACGATTTGGGATAGCTTTCAAAATCATTCTGAGGAATCCCAGATGACTTTCTTTTCTGAGTACTGTCCTCACTTTTGCTCTATTCAAAGTGCCCCACTGGCCCAGAGAGGACCCATGGGAGCAGCTTTGCTGAAGGTGAAAGGCATCCCCAAGTCTTCAGTCCATGAAACACATCGACTTTATGGTTCAGATTATGAAACCACACTTCAAAGTCCTAGGAACAGAAAAAATTGTTGTGCTTCTAAAACGGAAACTTTTATCACTTTTCTCCCTTTAGTATTAACCTTGAAAATCAAAATGGACTTGATTCCTTTTGTCTTGCATAAGTTAAATTTTCCTTCTGTATCAAGGGATAAATCTAGCATCAGTAAATAGATTACATAAATCACAAAAAAATGAACGTGACTATATGAGCCAAGAAATTGAATTAATCCAATACCAAAACAAACAAACAAAAATACATTTAAAAACCTAAAACAAAAAAATGTCATCAAAACCTAGAAAAGATCTTGAAACATCTGGTATTATTACTACAACTATTATTTCCAAGGTAAATGAGATAGGGTTATCCTTCTCCCACTTTCTCAGACATTTCTCAAGCAAAACACCTCACTGAGTCATTGGAATGTTTTATCCACTGTTCGCACCTTTTAAAAATATTCAGTGAGCACCAACTATGTAATTTGTTTTTCCTCTTGTAATCAAATTTCACTTGTATGAAAACATTTGGAGAGGAGGAAATACAGACACAAAACTGGAGGAGACAGCATAATGTCTGTTTCAGATATGATTCCCAACCCTATAGACTCAGATCTGAGTCCAGTGCAGAGGGGACTGCAGGCAGAAGCCAAAGAAAATGTTTTCAAAGGAACTCTGTGAGGTGTGGGGGCCTACACAGTGCATTGCTATTTTGAGAGACAAAGCACAGAGCTGGGAAGTGGGGCCTTCACACCTCTTTGTGAAGCATTGGTCCATCCCAGTGAGAACTTTAGGAAGAGCATGAGGACGCTGCACCCTTTGTGGGACAAAAGCATCCCCTGAAAGAGCACGAGCACTTGGGACACTGTGGAAGTATTTTTTAAATTTTTATTTGTTAAGAACCTCAATGTTTGTTTGTTTATTTATTTATTTATTAGAGACAGGGTCTTGCTCTGTCACCCAGGCTGGAGTGCAATGGTACAATCATAGCTCACTGCGGCCTTATAGTCCTGGGCTCAAGCGATCTTTCCGCCTCCACCTCCTGAATAGCTGATATGCAAGGTGCGCGCCACCATGCCCAGCTAATTTTTAAAATATTTTCGGAGAGATGGGATCTCACTCTGTTGTCCAGGCTGGCCTTGAATTCCTGGCCTCAAGTGATCCTCTTGCTTTGGCCTTCCAAAGTGCTGGGATTATAGGCATGGGCAAATGCACCCAGCAGTTAATATGTATCAGTTGCTTTCTGTGCCAGCCATTCTTCTAGATGCTAAGGGATACAGCAATGAACAACAAACAAGGGCAGAAGAAGGCAATAAGGGAAATAAAGAAGTACATGAAAAACTGTTTATGAACTCATCTGGGACATCCCAGGAACTCCCAGAAATAACTAGGGAGTGGAGCTGGCAGGCTGCAATTGGAGGTTGAAGCTGTACAGATAAGAATATAAACCTGTTGGCTGGGTGCGGTGGCTCACGCCTGTAATCCCAGCACTTTGGGAGGCTGAGGCGGGCAGATCACAAGGTCAGGAGTTTGAGACCAGCCTGACCAACATGGTGAAACCCCGTCTCTACTAAAAATACAAAAATTGGCCGGGCGTGGTGCCATGCACCTGTAATCCCAGCTACTCAGGAGGCTGAGGCAGGAGAATTGCTTGAACCTGGGAAGCAGAGGTTGTAGTAAGCCAAGATCATTCCATTGCACTCCAGCCTGGGCAACAGAACAAGACTCTGTCTCAAAAAAAAAAAAAAAAAAAAAAAAAAAAAAAAAAAAAACAGAAAAGAAGAAAAAAAGAATATAAACCAGTTAAATTCTGCTTAAAATTCTTACTATGACCCCATTGATATATGCACACTGATTTATGCCTGCATGGATAAGGGCTGGAAGGAAATATATTAAATGGTAACAGTGATTATTTATGGACAGTTGAATTATGAATGATATGTTAAAATAATTTCATATAAAATCTATTTCCAAATGTCCTAGAGTGAATAGTCTTCCTTTATCCTCACAAGATACATTCCAAGATCCCCAGTGGATGCCTGAACCAAAACCTATATATACTATGTTTTTTTCTATGTATACTTACCCATGATAAAGTTTAATTTATAAATTAGGCACAGTAAGAGATTAAGAACAATAACTATTAGTAAAATAAAACAAGTATAACTTTACACTCTAATAAAGTTATGTGAATGTGGATTTGATAACCAAGATGGCTACTAATTGACTCATGAGCAAGTAGTGTCTACAGCATGGATCCACTGGACAAAGGGAGAATTCATTTCCAGGGCAGAATGATGAAAGATTTCATTATGCCGCTTAGTATGCTGAAAAACTTAAAACTTATGAATTGTTTATTTCTGAAATTTTCCATCGAATATTTTCGAACCACAGTTGACGGAGGGTAGTTGAAACTATGGAAAGCAAGACTGTAAATAAGGGAGAAGTACTGCATATGTTACTTTCATAAACATAAAAATTTTTTTTGGTCTAGGAGGCAGAGGTTGTGTTACTAAGTCATTAATTTTCCCTGGATAGTATGATGTCCTAGGGAAAACTCTGACCCTGCTGTATATTTAGAAGAAATGTATTTGATGATAAACATACCAAAACATTAGATTAAAATAAAATGTGTTTCTAAAGAACAGTACAGATAGTTGAAATGACAAATTTTTATGCTGCTGGATCGTAATTAAATGTTCACTCTTATTGCATCCTTTTCCAGCAAAGTAAACTTTACCAGAAATGAAAAACAAGAGTATAATTATCTCTCTCTAGGAATACTTCTAAAAATAAGCTATGTAGTTTCTTAGAAGATCAATTCTACATCAATAAGTAGATAATTAAGAGAACTCTCCAGACAATTCAAGAATTCAAATATCACATCTTTGCCTTGGTGTCTCTAAATATCCTGTTATCATAAACATGTACTTTCTAGTTCATTTGTAAGGAATTCCTCTTGAAACATCAAGGGTTCAAAAGTTTACTGTTATCCCTTTTGTAACCATGTACTTTAATATTATACATATATTAATTGATTGTGCTGGAGAACTATAATTCAACCTAGTGTCTCATACAGTTGGTATTTCTTAGTTAGAAAAAAAAAAAACAAGAAAACAAGAAGAAACATAATCTTGTTTTGCCTCTTTCACACCTAATTGTGATTTAAAAAGTAAGGTTAATTTTCCTAAAACAACCTGATGAGACTTTATTCCAACACAAGCAACATGTGCATACCTGGGTTAGATAAACGAATAAGATACAGAGACCTGTAACACACCTGGAGGGGCCAGGTTTAGGTAGAGAATAAAAATGAGAGACTAGCTTGGGGACCCCAGAATGTGGAGATTCCTGAAAGTGAGAGACTCTGGAAAGACAGCTGGATAGCACTGATGCCTAGCATCAGTGCTATCCCCAATGGGTCACTAATTACCACTTGATGATGATAATGTTAGTGGCAACTATACACCTGCATCACTGCATTGCTCCTCCCAGAAAAGGAACTGCAAATGCTGATTTGGCTTAATCAGACCTTCAACAGAGTTAATAATCCAAGAAGACCTCCAGAGAATTGTCAAGGAGGTTTATTGTCCATAAAACATTCATGACTCCAATCCAAAAACAAGGGCAAGCTCACCAAGCTTCAGAAGCCAGAATGGCTCCATCCTACAAAAAGATAGCCCAGGAGTTCTAGCCATGGCACTGCACATACATGGGTGGATAGTTTTGTTCTGGAAGCTCAAATCTTGGGGACTGTTTTGCATCCTTCCAGATCTGATTGATTAAGAGGTAACCTTTGAATTGAGAAAGTTCACACTGCTTAGGTCAGGTTCACTGGGAATATTTGCTGCACTACAAGACTTTCTCTGGAGCCCCTGTTCCCTTTCAGAGACCCTATGCTAAGATCTTCTTGAAAATCTAAGAGAAGGGTTGAGAAGAACATCATAAACCACAGCCAGCCTATAGAAAAGTGTGATATTTGGTTCTACTACACTGAAAATGTGGGAGTTTTACATTTTACATTTATGTTTTATATACATTAGGCATACTAATGTATATAAAGCTGCTAAATGGTATGTGTCACATAATAAGAATGCACACATTCCAACCAAAGTTGCCAAACTTTGGATTGTGAGCCATCAGGTTTTTGGTAAAGTTTTACTGGAGTACAGCCACATCCACCATTTACATATTGTCTATGGCAGCTTCCATGCTATGTCAGCAGAGTTGAGTATTTGTGATGGAGACCATGTAGCATTCAAAATAAAAAATATTTGCTATCTGCCCCTTCCCAGAAAATGTTTGTCAGTCAATACTCCACTATTTTTTCATTCAGTCTTAGCTTGCCCTGGGAGCCGGATAGAAAACACGAGGTATCGGGGGAGCTCTCCTCTCCCTGATGGAGATAAACCAACTTGGAATCTCAGTATACTGCTAAGTCTCATCAAATGAACTGTTCTGTCTGAGTAACAATCCAACAGTCTTATTGTAAAAATGCATACACTTTTATTATCACAAAGGCCATACAACCAAAGATGGAAGCCCTTAAGTAACTGTCAAATCACACAAGAGGATGGGAATGACTTTCATGTTGAATTACAATTCATCATCTCAATGGTGCTTGCCAAGGTTTTCTCATTGTTTCCATTTATGAAACACTGCTTTTTAATTTTACCTCTTGAAAGGGTAAAAGAAAAAAATATGCTTTGAGTTTTTTCACTTAAAAAAGAGAAGTTCAAGTAAGTAGTGCATCTTAATAGTACTATTCTTGCTTTTAAGGGAGGGGGAAAAGGTGGGAAAGCTAGTAAATATATTTGGAGAGAAGAGGAATCCCCCTTTAAGCTAAAATATGGGTGGAACAAGTATAGTCAAACATCAGAAAAAGCAAATTATCCGTATTACCAAGCTAAATTCCAAGATTCATCTGGAAAGTATGTTCTGTGACAAACTACTCTGAATGCTCTTCTATATCACTCACCAGTTGGAGTTATTAAGGTTTATATCAAATTTCCTAGTGTTTACTCCTGGGTCTTTTTTTATTTTTATTTTTACTTATTTATTTATTTTTGAGACAGAGTTTCGCTCTTGTTGCCCAGGCTGGAGTGCAGTGGCGCGATCTCGGCTCACCGCAACCTCCGCCTCCCGACTTCTAGCGATTCTCCTGCCTCAGTTTCCTGAGTAGCTGGGACTACAGGCATGCACCACCACACTCAGCTAATACTCCTGGGTCGTTGCAAATCCCTTACGGAAGCTTTTAGCTTTTAGGTGGGAAGGCAAGTCTGTCTAAAAAAAGAGAAAAAAAGAAAAATGTAAGAGACTGACGGAGGTAGACTTCATGCTCAAACTCAGCTCTGCCATTTACTAGCTATGTGTCCTTGGGCAAGTAGATCAATTTCTCTGAGCTTTGGCTTCCTCATTCATAAACTGATGACAATAATAGTTTCCACCTCTTTAGGCATATTCATGTATGTAAAGCAGTGAAGTGGTACCTGTCAAATAATAAGAATGCAAACATTCCAACCAAAATCACCAAACTTTGGTTTGTGAGCCATCAGTTCTTTTTGTATATAAAGTTTTATTGGAACACAGCCACATCCATTCATTCACGTATTGTCTATGGCAGCTTTCACTCTACATCGGCAGAGTTGAGTAGTTGTGACAGAGACCACGCAGCCTGCAAAGCCAAAAATATTTCCTATCTGCCCCTTTCAAGAAAATGTTTGCCAGTCCTTGCATTAAACAATTTTTTAAAACTATCATTATGATAACTTCCTTTTCTTATTTTATGTAGAGAGAAACTTTCACAAACTGACTTTCAGAGAAGTATAGCAACTTAATAAGAATGATCCAACAAAGTGAAGACAGGGCTTCTCTTCTGCTCTTCCCACTGCGTATTCCTTACTACATTTATAGAACCTTGAATGAGAGCATTTTTTCAGGAAGCACATTTAGCTTAGAGGTCCCATAACACATCTGCTATTTTTCCAACTGACTGGCATTCAATTCAGATTGAACTTACTAAAATGAAACATTCTCATTTAGGGTTGTGAAAGTGATTAGAAGTTGTGCATAGTTTGGTTCTTCCCAAGAACCCTACCCCAAAATATTCTTTTTTTTTTTTTTTTTTCGAGAAGGAGTCTTGCTCTGTCGCCCAGGCTGGAGTGCAGTGGCGAAATCTTGGCTCACTGCAAGCTCCGCCTACCGGGTTCGCACCATTCTCCTGCCTCAGCCTCCCAAGTAGCTGGGACTACAGGCGCCCACCACCATGCCCGGCTAATTTTTTTTTGTATTTTTAGTAGAGATGGGGTTTCACCCTGTTAGCCAGGATGGTCTCCATTTCCTGACCTCGTGATTCGCCCGCCTTCACCTCCCAAAGTGCTGGGATTACAGGCACGAGCCACTGCGCCCGGACATTTTTTAAAAAAATTCAACTTCTATTTTAGATTCAGGGGGGTACATGTGCAGGTGTGTTACCTGGGTATATTGCATGATATTCTTGATTTTTAAAAAATTGGCTCAGATGACCCCAGTGTGCTATCTTTCTCTGGGCTCCGTTTTCTTTGAAGTCCGTGAGAGTAGGAAACATCCCCAGCAGGGCTGAGTCCCTGACTGGAGCCTTGATCTCTGAATGTAAGTTTAACAAAAGCCTCAGGGTCACCCAAGTTATCATCAAGTGGGTAAGTTAAAAATGGAGGCGTGCAGACAAATTGGCCGTTTAAAAATTAAACTTATCCAGAAAGACAGTTCAACTCAGAAAGCATTTCACTTCTACAGCACCTTGGCTCACTTACTGATAATCTCTGAAGAGACATTTTTACAAAGTGAATTTGATGTGTAGCTATGTTCTATTCACTTTTATCACCAGAACTCCCTTTCTATCAAAATAACAAGAATTTGAACTCAAACTTTAGAAAGGAAAAAAAAAACAACTCAAGAGAGAAAAGGCGAGTGAAGCAGGATTTCTGTGGCTTTATTTCTTAAATTGAAAAAAGACAGCATCAGAACAAATGGTGCCTCCAGGGCTCTTGGCTGCCCTTTCTGTCCTTCCATTGTGTAACCTTTAGGAAACGACTTAGTTAAAAATAAGAAACTTTTAAAAAATAGAATTTTCTCACCCAGATATTTAATTGGTTTATTTGCAGAGATAAAATGTCCTTCTCTGATCTAAAGATGAACTTCCAAATTACATGAAAATTCATACAGAATGAGAAAATTTACTAAATTCAAAAAATGATGTTTTCGGGATTGGAGTTGTTGAAAAATAGCATCAAGATTTGAGCAATGGGAGGAGGTTTTCACTGTTAATTATTTTATCGCTAACATTTTGTCCAATTTAAGATAAATTTATTTTCTTTCCTAGATGGCTCTGGGATTAAAGCAAGTCTCAAACTCGAGGTAGAGTTTTGTAGCCAAGTTACAAGAGCTTGACAAAGTTTATCATGGGAACGCTGACGCCACCTTACAACAATGTGACTAGCACCACTATAATGTTATCAAAATATGTGGGAAATAATTTGTTTCAGTAATAGAGAAGAGAATATAAAATTGCCACACTGAAATAAAGTACATTTTCTAATTGTTTGCTGATTCTAACACAACAATTTTGCAAAACATGAAGTAATTTGAGGGAATGTAGAAATCCAGTTAGCACATACATGAGAGATATGGGCACGTGATATCCAACTTGTCTTGCTCCCTCTCTGAAACCAACTGGAATATTCCTGCAACATGCAACTTTTGTTTTTTAAGTATAAGTTCATCAAGAGGATTTAAAAAGAGGTAGAAAAATACTGAAGCCTGACCACAGAAAACAGGAAAAACAGCCGAAGGCCTCAATTTTCCAACCCAGGAATAGATAAAAAATACAACTGAAAATAGCTCAAGAAAGATATTACACAGGTCCTGGCTTTCCTTCATTTTGGAAGTGAGCAGGGAAAGCAGAACAAAGATGGGGAGAACGAATGCAAGAGCTGGTCTCTTACGGTCGCAAAGCTCCATCCTATTTGGATAGCCATGGTTTTACCTGCATTCATGACACATCACATCTCAGTATTGATTCAGAGAGTGGTCCCATTTTCTCATCTCTGGAAGAATCTCTGTGATCACTTCTTAACTTTTGGAAAGTAGATTAGTCCAGCTACTTCATCATCCACAGAGAAGTTAACCTCTGGGCTTCCCATATGTTCTAGCTCTTTAATGTTGAGCTCTTCCAGTTTCCGTAGCTCATCTCCACAGGGAGAGCTCTTCTTGGGAGAATGTGTCCATTCACGTTTTCTAACTATCATCATCTTGATAGCTTACAACTATATAGAACTTTCCATTTTCCACAACTCCTTCAAATATCCAACAGCACCTCTGTGCAGTAGTATTATTCTTCTCAGTTTACTGAGGCAACAGAGCCAGTATTAACAGGCTCACTATTTATATACATAATCCAACCTTACACTCACTCTGGAAAAAGGATTTATTGTAACTTCACAGTTATAAGAATTACATAAATGACTTCCCTATATAAGCAATATTTAACTGCTTTTGGACACCAAGACTTCATTTTGAACATTTTGTAGAAAATCCTTCTCAAAAGGCTTGTATGTCACAAAGCACTGTCAATATAATTTAACCTGTTCTCGAAGACACAAGGTTGTAATCAGAAACATCTGTTATTTTGTAATGATGTAAGATAGATTTGTTTCTTTGAGTCTAGCAATCCTCCCCTCTCCTCTTATCAGGCTATCTGCTGCAATTCTGCCTCTTACAGCCCTGTTTCTCTCTCAAATCCTCTCGCACAACTAAGTATTGGGAATCATAAATAAGAGAACCACAATTATTAAGAACTGCATGTTAGACAAAGTTCAAAGGATTACATAAAAATTAATGTTAATTAGTTTGGTTCAGAAACCTAAAAGTTATTTCACTTCTCAAAGAAAGCTGTTTTAAAAAACTTATTTTCTATCCAGAGCCATTTTAAGAAAAGAAAACCTGAAATTCCCAAAGTCCGAAATTCAGATAAGCTAGGTGTGTGTGAACTTTAATTTCCACTTTTATTCACATCTACCCAATTTCTTACATCATCCTGTAAATTATCTTCAAATAGGGTTTTAAGGCAGTCTAGTAATCTATGAGTAATAACTACTTTTTATCTATTGTTATTGATATTATATTGAATCATAGAATTTTTTAACAATTGGTTCCCCAAATTACTTTGAGTGATAGTTCAAGAAGAAAAAGAAAAAATTATCATTACCAAAGTTGACAGCTGATGTAAAAACATCATTTCAAACATCATTCATTTTAAAGAGAGATGGCTCCACTGGAATAGAAATCAGGAGGTCTGGTATTAATGCTAGCTAGCAGTGTGAATTTAGCTAAGTAATTTGATCTATCCAGTCCAAATAGTCTTTTTTTTTAATTAACAGATATGATTGAACAAATACAGTTTTTAAGGTCCTGCTCAACTCCCAGATCTTGATATTTACAAAAAAAAAAATTAGAATAGCAAAAATCTGTGACAAGCGTGACATCTAGTGGCTTTTCAGTTTATATACATCCTGACCTATCAAGAATTCCAACGAAGTCACCATTGATTACTATAGTCTCATGCATGCAAATATTTAGAATTTTTAACTTAGAGGAATCTAGGGGATCATATACTTCAACCTTCTCATTTTCCACTAGTGAAAACGGAGAACCAAAGTGGTAATTTTTGTCCATGCTTAAGGTCACAGAGGTAGAGGTTGCCCAAAGCCTACTGACTCCCAATCCAGCATGTTTGTCATTACATTTGTACCCTCAAAAGCCAAAGAAGGAAAGAAATAATACTTTAAAAAATTGTATTCCTTTGTACAAAATTATTTTCTAATATCAAACCTGTTAGTGATAATTACACTGTTTTGTAATGTTTGTTTACTTATTTAAGTTTTTCTATAAGTTTCATGAGGTTAGAAACCCCAGGCCTCACTCATCTTTGTAGCTCCAGCACCCAGGCCTATACTGACCCTATCACTGATGCCCTAATCTATCTATCTAGCTAGCTAGCTAGCTATCATCTATCTAATCTATCTCTATCATCTATCTAATCTATTATCTATCACCTATCTATCATCTCTATAAAGCAAGAATAGTACATTGTCAATATATCCTTTTTAAAATGTAGTGGGGAGTGTGTAATTTTATAAAATGAGCACATATTGTATATGATTTGTGTGACCAAAAGGAAAACACATTTATTGGGCTGGGTTTTCCCACCTTTCCTTTGAAAAACCAAGTATTTACCTTCTGCATTATTTTGGTGGGGCTGACCCAGTCTCCTGCAGTCCCAGTGAGTTCATGACCAAAGCTTGGCAAGTCTCCATTTGTCTTCCAGTGGGCACAGTGACTGGCTCAGGGACTTTTCCGGTAAAGCCACTGGGAAAGATGGCTCCTCTTCCTCTGGGATCTTGAGCTACAAAGATGTAAAGATAAAATAGAAAAATTAGTGGCCCTTTTCTCCTGGCACATGGAAATAGCTTTCGTAAAACTGAAGTTAGCACGTGAAGGGAAGCAGAGATAGAGACTGGATTCATCATTAAAGCCTCTGAATCTGGCCATGCCATTTTTTGTTTGTTTAAACTTGCTTGAGCGGGTTTCTGTCTCTTGAAATCAAGTGCTGATAATATTAAAATATATCACTCAAAGGCTGAGTGCAGTGGCTCATGCCTGTAATCCCAGCACTTTGGGAGGCCAAGATAGGTGGATACTTGACGTCAGGAGTTCGAGACCAGCCTGACCAATATGGTGAAACTCCATCTCTACTTAGAAAAAAAAAAAAAAAAATTAGCCAGGCATGGTGTCACGTGCCTGTAATCCCAGCTACTTGGAAGGCTGAGGAAGGAGAAGTGCTTACCTGGGAGGTGGAGGTTGCAGTGAGCTGAGATCATACCACTGCACTCCAGCCTGGGTTACAGAGCAAGACTCTTGTCTCCAAAAAAATAATAATAATTAAAATATATGACTCAAAAAAGCAATTTTTTGAGGACAAGCCTTTCAGTTCCCAACTGTTTCCATGCAAAACAAGGCAGTTTTATCAACTCAGCTTGAAAATAGGAAATCATATCCTAGATATGAGATACCAATTATCTCTTCCTCCTTCTCTTAATGCTTATATTGCAGCATCTGATTCAGCTATTGAAAATGTATTGCGAATCTTTTTTCAATCCTTTTTTTATCTTTAATTTTAGGTTTAGGGGTACATGTGCAGGTTTATTATATAGGCAAACTGTGTGTTTTGGAGGTTTAGCACACAGGTAATGTTGTCACCTGAGTAATAAGCATAGTACCTGATGGGTACTTTTCTGACCCTCTCCCTCCTCTTACCCTCTACCCTCAAGTAGGCCCCAGGGTCTGTTGTTCCTCTCCTAGTGGATCCATGTGTTCTCATTGTTTAGGCCCCATTTATAAGTGAGAACGTGAATATTCATTTTTCTGTTTCCTGCATTAGTTTGCTTAGGATAATGGCCTCCAGCTCCATCCATGTTGTCACAAAAGATGTGATCTTATTCTTTTTTGTGACTGCATAGTACTCCAGGGTGTATAGGCACCACATTTTCTTTATCTAGTCTACTGTTGATGGGCATTTAGGTTAATTCTGTCTTTGCTGTTGTGGATAGTGCTGCAATGAACATACCATGCATGTGTCTTTATAGTAGAATGATTTATATTCCTTTGGGTATATACCCAATAATGGAATTCCTGGGTCAAATAGTATTTCTGTTTAAAGAGCTTTGAGAAATCACCACACTGCTTTCCACAATGGCTGAACTAATTTACATTCCCACCAGCAGTGTATAAGCATTCCGTTTTATCCACAACCTTGCCAGCATCTGTTTTTTTTAAAATTTTTTTAATATTAGCCATTCTTACTGGTATGAGATGGTGTCTCATTTTGGTTTTGATTTACATTCCTCTAATTATTAGTGATGTTGAGCGTTTTTCATATGCTTATTGATTGCATGTATCTCTTCTTTGGAAAAGTGTTCATGTCCTTACCCCACTTTTTAATGGGGTTGTTGGTTTTTTGCTTGCAAATTTGTTTAAGTTCTTTATTGATTCTGGACATGAAACCTTTGTCAGATGCATAGTTTGCAAATATTTTCTCCAATTCCATAAGTTGCCTGTTTACTCTGTTGATAGTTTATTTTGCTGTGCAGAATCCCTTTAATTTAATTAGATCCCATTTGTCAATTTTTTTTGTTGCAATTGTTTTTGGCATCTTTGTTGTGAAACCTTCGACAAGTCCTATGTCCAGAATAGTATTTCCTAAGTTATCTTCCAAGGATTTTATACTTTCAGGTTTTACATTTAAGTATTTAATCTACCTTGAGTTGATTTTTTTAATATGTGTTATAAGATAGCAGTCCAGTCTCAATCTTCTGCATATGACTAGCCAGTTATCCCAGCACCATTTTATGAATGTGGAGTCCTTTTCCCATTATTTATTTCTGTCAGCTTTGTCAAAAATCAGATGATTATAGGTGTGTGGCATTATTTCTCAGGTCTCTATTCTGTTCTATTGGTCTGTGTGTCTGTTTTTGTATCAGTACTATGCCGTTTTGGTTACTGTAGCCCTGTAGTATAGTTTGTGCCTTGTAATTGGGGCATTAAACCTGTTTACATTGAAGGTTAATATTAGTATGTGTGGATTTGATCCTATTATCATGTTGTTAGCTGGTCATTATGCATACTATAAACATTGCTATATAGTATCACTGGTCTGTGTATCTAAGTGTGTTTTTGTAGTGGCTGGTAATGGTCTTTTCTTTCCATAATTAGTGCCCCTTTCAGGACCTCTTGTAGCACAGGTTTGATAGTAATGAATTCCCTTAGCATTTGCTTATCTAAAAAGGATCTTATTTATCCTTCACTTAGTTTGGTGGGATATGAAATTATTGGCTAGAAATTTTTTTCTTTAAGAATGTTGAATATAGGCCCCCAATCTTTTCTGGCTTGTAGAGTTTCTGCTGAAAGGTCAACTGTTAGCCTGGTGGTTCCCTTTGTAGGTGACCTGCCCTTATTTCTTGCTGCCTTTAACATTTTTCCTTTCATTTTGACCTTGAAAAAACTGATAATTATGTGTCTTGGAATGATCTTCTTGGGTAATAGCTCACGAGGGTTCTTTGTATTTCCCAGATTTGCATGTTGGCCTCTCTAGCAAGGTTGGAGAAGATTTAATGGACAATATCCTAGAATATATTTTCCAAATTGCTTGGTTTCTCTCCTTCTTCCTCAGGCACACCAATGAGTCATATATTGGGTCTCTTTCCACAATCCCATATTTCTTGGAGGTTTTATTCATTCTCCTTTATTGTTTTTTCTTATTTTTGTCTGACAGTTATTTCAGAGGATCAGTGTCAAGCTCTGAGATTTTTTTCCTCAGCTTGGCCTATTCGGTTGTTAATACTTGCCATTGCATTATGCAATTCTTGTAGTGTGTTTTTCAGCTCTATCAGATCAGTTTGGTTCCTTTGTATAATGACTATTTTGTCTATCAGTTCCTGTATTTTTTTATTGTGATTCTTAGCTTCTGTGGAGTGGGTTTCAATGTTCTCCTGAATCTCAATGACCTTTATTCCTATGTATATTCTGAATTCTATTTCTATCATTTCAGCCATTTCAGCCTGGTTAAGAATGCTTGCTGGGGAACTAGTGTGATCACTTGGAAGAAAGAAGGCACTCTGGCCTTTTGAGTTGCCAGAGTTCTTGTGCTGGCTCTTTCTTATTGTGTGGGCTGATGTTCCTTCAGTCTTTGAAGTTGCTGTCCTTTGTTTTTGTTTTTGTTGTTGTTTTTGTTGTCCTTTGATGCCCTTGGAAATTTGATTATGTATGATATAAGGTGAGTTCAGTTGATTGGATTCAATTCTTGTTCACTACTGGGTCTTGGAGAAGCCTCCTCTGATTACTGTTTCCATGCCCACGTTTCTTTTGTTGAGTGTTCTGGTCCACTGGGCTCCCTTCGGTAGGGGCTGCAGTTAGTAGACAAGCTGTATCCTTGCCAAGTCAGCCCTAATCTGCTGTCTGGGTACTTCCTGGAAAACATGGGTTGTGCCTGTCTGCAGAATTCAGGCAGAAGTAGGACCTCTGGGTTGTAAACTCTAGTGGATGTGGCCTGTCTGGCTATGGGAGGGGAGGATGGATGGAGTTGCCTGCCCTGCTGTAGGGGTTTTCAGGGCAACAGGAGGCTGAACTCTTTGGTAAATTCAGGCAGAAGTAGAACCACTGGGCGAGAAGCTCTAGCAGATGTGGCTCCCCTGGCTACCAGTGGTGGGAGTGGGTGAGGATAACTGCCTTGTTGTCCAGATGCTTCCTGGAACAACAGGAGGCTGCACCCACTAGCTGAATTTCCACAGAAGCAGGATCGCTGGGCCCAAAGCTCTACAGGTGTTGCCCACCTAGCTATCAGTATCAGAAATGTATGGGATCATGCACCCTACTGTCTGGGTGTTTCCCAGGACAATAGGAGACTGCACTCTCTGGCTGAGTTCACACAGAAGTGGGACCACTGGGCTAGAAGCTCTAGCAAGCATTGGCCACCTGGCTAGCACTGGGGTGGTGTGGGTGGGTGGAGTGGCTGGCCGAGTTTAGGGGAAAGAGAGACTGCTGGACTGGAAGCTCCGAGCCACGTTCAGCAAGAGGGGGTGGAGCAATCTTACTGTTCCCAGGCACCACAACTGTGGCCTCTATTGGGGCTGATGTGCTGGTGCTAGTCTGCTTCACAGCCCAAGGCTTGTAGAGGTCCCCTTGAATCCAAGAGTTGCTCCCACATCTGTGTGGCTCTCTGCCTCAGTCTAGAAGCATAGTGCAGGGGGAGGGGTCATGGGAAGGCTGAGGGGATTGTCCTATTCCCAGTCTTTAAAGCATGAATCCACCTGGGGGCTCTCTCTCACTCTTTGCCATGTTGGAGAGGTTCTCCTGACTCTACGCTGAGCCCACACAGGCTGGTGCCCACCTTTGCTCCTCTCTGCTCCCTGTGTTCTCCTGCTGCCTTGATGGATCCCAACATGGCTTCTCAGATGATTGACCTGCAGGGTCAGTGTTCACTAGCCCTTTTGTTTCCTTTTTGTGAGAATGGCGCATATGAGCTCCTTCTAGTCCTCTATCTTGGCTTCATCCCCTGTATTGCTTATCTTTATGTTGAGATATTTTATTTCTTCAAGCAGACTGTAAACTCTCTAAAGGCACAAATCACAGAACAGCCTAAAACAAAATAGGCATTAGTAGATATATTCTTGAGGAACATAAGGTCTAAGTTGTATATACTATCCAGATTATGCATTACATTCTGAGAAAATAGTTTATGAGAGTTATTTCCTAAGGAAAAAAAAAAAACTCCTAACTAAATAAAATTTGCAGTAAGAGAGAGAATCTTTGCTTTTGTTGCAATTTCTTTTGATGTTTTTGTCATGAAATCTTTGCCTGTGCCTATGTCCTGAATGGTATTGCCTAGATTTTCTTCTAGGGTTTTTATAGTTTTGGGTTTTACATTTAAGTCTTTCATCCATCTTGAGTTAATTTTTGTATAGGAGTAAGGAAGGGGTCCAGTTTCTGTTTTCTACATATGGCTAGCCAGTTTTTCCAGCACCATTTATTAAACTGAGAATTCTTTCCTCATTGCTTGTTTTTTCAGGTTTGTTGAAGATCAGATGGTTGTAGATGTGTGGTCTTATTTCTGAGCTCTCTATTCTGTTCTGTTGGTCTTTGTGTCTGTTTTTGTACCAGGGCCATGCTGTTTTGATTATTGTAGCTTTTTAGTATAGTTTGAAGTCAGGTAGCATGATGCCTCTTGCTTTGTTCTTTTTGCTTAAGATTAAGGAACTTAAACAAATTTACAAAAAAAAAAAAAAAGAAGAAGAAGAAGAAGAGAAGAAAACCATTAAAAGGCCAGGCATGGTGGCTCATGCCTGTAATCCCAGCACCTTGGGAGGCCGAGGCAGGTGGATCACAAGGTCAGGAGATCAAGACCATCCTGGCTAACATAGTGAAACCCCGTCTCTATTAAAAATACAAAAAATTAGCAGGGCGTGGTGGTGGGTGCCTGTAGTCCCAGCTACTCGGGAGGCTGAGGCAGGAGAATGGCATGAACCCAGGAGGCAGAGCTTGCAGTGAGCGGAGATCGTGCCACTACACTCCAGCCTGGGTGACAGAGTGAGTCTCTGTCTCAAAAACAAAACAAAAAAACCCAACAACCCATTAAAATTGGGCAAAGGACATGAACAGATACTTCTCATTTATGTGGCCAACAAACATGACATTTATGTGGCCAACAAACATGAAAAAAAAAAATCCCGACATCCCTGACCATTGGAGAAATGTAAATCAAAACCAAAATGAGATATCATCTCACACCAGTCAGAATGACAATTATTAAAAAGTCAAGAAACAACAGATGCTGACGAGGCTGTAGAGAAATAGGAATGCTTTTACACTGTTGGTGGGTGGGAATGTAAATTAGTTCAACCATCGTGGAAGACAGTGTGACGATTCCTCAAAGACTTAGAACCGGAAATACCATTTGACCCAGCAATCCCATTACCAGGTATATACCAAAAGGAATATAAATAATTCCATTATAAAGATAGATGCATGCATATGTTCATTGCAGCACTATTCACAATAGCAGAGACATTGAATCAACCCAAATGCCCATCAATGATAGACTGGATAAAGAAAATGTGGTGCATATACACCATGGAGTACTATGCAGCCATAAAAAGGAATGAAATCACATCCTCTGCAGGGACATGGATGAAGCTGGAAGCCATTATTCTCAGCAAACTAATGCAAGGACAGAAAACCAAACACCACATGTTCTCGCTTATAAGTGTGAGTCAAACAATGAGAACACATGGACACAGGGAGGGGAACAACACACACTGGGGTCTGTCGGGGCGGGGGGTATGGAGGGAGAGCATCAAGATAAATAGCTAATGCATGTGGGGCTTAATACCTAAGTGATGGGTTGATAGGTTCAGCAAACCACCATGGCACGTGTTTACCTATGTAACAAACCTGCACTCCTGCACATGTATCCCAGAACTTAAAATAAAATTACATTTAAAAAAAAGATAGAGAGAGAGAATCATGTAATTTGCAGAATTACCCCCAAGTGGTGGTGTCATGTGGCAGTAGTTACTAATTTTCCACCAAAATATTTTCTTCCCCTCAATAACAGAAATTAAGTGAGGTACATGACTCTTTAGCTAGAGACCAGATTCCTCAGCCTCCCTAGAAGCTATGCAACTCAGTTTGGACCAGTGAGATATGAGTAGAAGTAACTATGTGCCACTTCTGGGTCTGGGCCTTAAAACACTTGGAATAAGCAATTCCACTCTTTTTTTTGCAAATTGAAATGCAGAAATGCCAGCAACCCAAGTACAACCATGCAGATGAGAACCCTCTAGAGAAAGGGTTAACAAGCTATCACCCATAGAGCAGCCACTTGGTTTTGTAAATAAAGTTTTATTGGAACACAGCTATGTCCATTTGTTTACAAAGTATATATAGCTGCCTCTGCACCACAATGACAGAGAACTTAAGTAATTGCAACAAAGACCGTGTTGGGCTGCAAGCCTTAAATATTTGCTATCTAGTGTTTTCAGAAAAAGTTTACCAACCACTGCACTAGAGCAAAAAGATAAAAGGAACTTGGGGCCCTACATAGCTGTAACAGAAAAATAAGTAATCATCTAGTTTACTGTCATTGTATTTTGGAGCCTCTCTTCTACCTCTGTTTAGCATTTACTGTAACTATTGTATCTTATGAATTGGATTTCTGTTTTCTTCTATCTGATTGCTAGAAATAGGGGCTTATGATGGCTAGGGGAAAGCATGAATGTGGCACCATGGTCTTGTTGGCTCCCAAGTAGGTTGTACCAGCAGAGGACTCCAATTTTATTAAGCTTCCAAGCTGCTTCTCACTGAAAAATTCAGCTGGCTATGTATATCCTTGAACTAGCATAGTGTCTCAGATTGAAATATTGGTATCAACATTCCCAAACTCAGTTCTTGAGAGATAATTTAAAATAGTCCAACAGGTCAATGGGAAGATATGATGATTAATTTACATGTCAACTTGACTGGACCAGGGATGCCCAGACATTTGGTTAAGCATTATTCTGCTTGTATCTGTGAGATTTTCTGGATGAGATGAACATTTGAATGGGTGGACTGAGTAAAGAGTGCCTTCCTTAATGCAGGTGGGCCTCATCCAACAATTAAAGACCTGGGTAGAACAAAAAGGCTGAGTAATAGGGAACTCCTCCTGCCTGATTGCTTGAGCTGGAACATTGTGCCTTCAAACTTGACTGAAAAATGGGCACTTCTTGGATCTTGAGCCTGCTGGCTTTTGGACTGGAACTTTTACCATGGGCTCTCCTGGGTCTCCAGCTTTCCAATTGCAGAACTTGGGACTTCTTAGCCTCTATAATCTTGTGAGCCAATTCCTTCTAAGAAATCTCTCTCTGTCTCTTTCTCTGTCTCTGTGTCTGTCTCTCTCTCTCTCTCCTCCCCTCTTTCTCTCTCTTCAGATAGGTAGGTAGGTAGGTAGATAAATAGATGGCAGATAGATAGATAGTAGATAGATGATTTTGTTTCTCTGAAGAACTTTGGCTAATATTCAGAATATTTTTTATGTATACACAAATTACTCATATATTGCTATAAGAAACAGGACTTGAAAAAATGTTTTTATTCATAATCACATCACCATAATTGAATCATTGGGTGGGAAGTACTCAGAAACAACATGGATATGTGCAGATTTGTTTGGAGGAAAAACTATCAGACTATACAACTCAGAGAACCAAGTGATTCTTTACCAGCAAGCACTCAAGTTCCGTATTTTTAGAAAGACCTTCCAGTTACTGCCCTTATATGCATTTTTTTTTTATTTGATGAGGCCCAAAAGATTGTACAGAAGAATTTTCATTTTTTTAGACCAGTATTCCTAACTGTAAGTAATTTTGCCCCCATAGGACATTTGGCAATGTCTGAAAGCAGTTTTGGTCATGACAACTGGGAGAAGAGTGCTATTGATATTCAGTGGGTAGAGGTCAAGGATCCTGCTAAGCACCTATAGTACACAGAACAGTGGCTTCCCTCAACAAATAATTATTTAGCCCCAAAATGTCAATAGTGCTGAGTTTGTGAAAAATCCTGCTTCAGACAATGCTTTTGATATCCGGGTAAGGCCACATATCAAAGTCCAGCAGCCATTTATTTAGTAAAAATGAACTCACAGCCTTTCCTGGAAACTGTTTTTAATAGAGGTAGGAAGGATGAAGAAAAGTGTGAGGTGCTCAGATACCTTCAGGGAATGGCACAGATACTCTGCAAAGAAATGAGAAGGGAGGGACGCCAAAGGCAAATGCACAATTCTACACATTTACAACTTACTTTGGAGGAAAGCATGCCCTTTGGAGATGAGGTTCAGAACCTCCTAAAAGCTATCCAGAATGTATTCCTCATACGCTAGGCCTCTCAAAGCTATTTTAAATCTGTCTTAGTCCATTTTGTATTGCTATAACAGAATACCACAGCTAGGAGATTTACAAAGAGAATGAACTTATTTCTTAAATTCTGGAGGCTGGCAAATCCAAGGTCAAGGGGCCTATACCCAGGGAAAGCTTTCTTGCTGCATCATCCTATGGTGGAAAGCAGAAGGGCAAGAGAGCTCAAGAGAGCAAAAGAGCAAGAGGGGGCCAAACTCACTTTTATAGCATGCCCACTCTCACAATAACTAACCCACTCCCAAGATAATGACATCACTCCAATCATGATGGCAGAGCTGTCACGACATAATCACCTCTTACTAGGCTCCACACCCCAACAGTTGTATTGGGGATTCAGTTTTCAACACATGAACTTTAGGGGACACAGTTAAATCATAGCAAAAGCTCTCAGCAAAGAAGAGATATGACAAAAATGAAAACAAATTGAGGAATATTATCCATAATGGTTCCAAATAAATCTAGAGTAAACCAGAGAGGGTAACCGGCTAGAGCATTCATTTCCCCAAACATAATTAACTTTTATAGCCCTTTAGAATTTGCAAAGTACTTTGTATACTTGTACTTTCATTTTATCCTCCCAACAAGTTCTGGAATCAGGTTTATTACTTCTATCACCATTTTATAGCTGAGGAACATGATTATATCACACGGGGCTCCAACAGAGAACAGAGGGCACACTCGGGTTAGAGTAATTTAAAGAGGGTTTATTTAAAACAGATGAGAAGTATAGGGAGTCAGGATCCTACAAATAGTAATTGTGGGAAATCTGTAACCACATGTAGGCCAGGCAGGGTGAGGGTAGCCAGCATTTGCTGGAACCTAGAAGGGAAGTGTTCTGTAGTTATTGCTATGAGATCAGCAGTGACCTTTGGTTGTGAAACATCAGCAGCACAAGGCAACCTCCTCCTGGGAAGAGCCAGGGGTATACATGTCCTGATTTTGTTTTCTTCCCTCCCAACTCCTGCTGAGGGTCTCACTGGCTGGAAGCAACTGGAGGCCAATGGCCCAGCAGTCCATTGGTACAGGCCACACCTTTTCCCCTTCAACATCCTCTATAGCTTTTCATCCACATGAAAAGTGTGTGCCTCCAACACAAGGGACACATGAAGTCCCTTCAGAATGTGTATCATCATGGAGTGATCTTGATTCAATCATATTCCCTCACGAGAAGTAAAAAGTTAGCCACTCCTAGTATTCTTTATATATGATACATATATAAGGAAAAGTTGGGGGAGTGGAAAAAAAAGTAACAAAAAACATAACTTCTACAGGCCATACTTCTTTCTGGTCATGAGGGCTAATTTAGCAATCATAGCACTAGCACCAGCTCCATGGATGCACAACCTGGGGAGTCACACAGGACTCAATACTTAGAAGCGCGCTCTACACTTAGTTGCTGCTCCACTGTGCCTATTAAATAGATTGAAATTAACAAGGAGCCCTACATTTTTATTTTGCATTGGGTTCTGCAAATTATGTAGCTAATATTGTATAACTCTGTTCTTCTAGCACCTATTCAAGTTACCCTTAGCCTTTGTCAGGACCTCGCTAGACTGGGTTCTTTACCTAGAAGGATAGCCCAAACCTTCCTTCCTTCCTTGTCTTTGTTGGGTTCCCAGAGTTTTCCAACAGCAGAATATTAGACAAGGAAGTACTAAAAAATGTCTCAACGAATCTCCTGGGTTCTTGACAAAACTCTCCTTTATGTAGAAGAAACCCATTTGTCCTCTTGTAATCAGGATCAATCACTCTGGCCAGAAAAACAATCCCAATTCTGCCTGTGAGTGTAGCAGTACGTGAAGCCCCACATAGGGTGTACTCTTAGGCCAGTTGATCAGAACCATGACTATGCCCCTGATAGAAGCATTCTTCCCTCAGGGATTAGTTTCTTCAAAATCATCCAGCCCAAGGTTGTAGGAACCAGAAGCAAAAATTATTCAAATGAGTAATTAAGGATTGATAATGAAGAAGACTCTTTTGCCCCAAACCCATAGAGAGATGGTTATGTACAAACTTCTATTATTTGTAACATTATTTGTAGCATATCACATAATTTTGCTTCACTTCTCAAGGCAGAGCTATTGACAGCCACTTTCCTAAAAAGTATGTAGGAGGCCAGTGTGGTGGTTCACACCTATAATCCCAGCATGAGAGGCCAAGGTGAGAGGATCATTTGAGGCCAGGAGTTTGAGACTAGCTGGGCAACAAAGCAAGACCTTGTCTCTAAAAAATAAAATAAAATAAAAAAAATAAAATAATGTAAAAAATTTTTAAAGCATGTAGGGTAGTTGGTGATATGGTTTGGCTGTGTCCCCACCCAAAATCTCATCTTGAATTGTAATCACCATAATCCCCATGTGTCAAGGGTGGGACCAGGTGTAGGTAATTGCATCACGGGGCAGTTTCCCCCATGCTGTTCTCCTGATAACGAGTGAGTCTCATGAGATCGGATGGTTTTATAAGTGTCTGACATTTCCCCTGCTGGCACTCATTTTCTCTCCTGCTGCTCTGTGAAGAGGTACCTTCTGCCATGATTGGAAATTTCCTAATGCTTCCCCAGCCATGCAGAACTGTGAGTCAATTCAACTTCTTTCCTTTATAAATTACCCAGTCTCAGGTATTTCTTCATAGCAGAGAACGGGTTAATACAGTGGGCATAAATTATAACACTGGGAGTAAATCAGAAGTTTTTTTTTGTTGGCAAATACACAAAAGTTGTATAACAGTGTTTTGTGCTTTAGGTCTGAGATGTGTTGGACGCTCCCGTGATCTTTGCTTAGCTCTAAACACATAGTGAAAGAACACCTTCCTAACACCAGAGGGCACTGTGCCACAGGGATACCTCTGCGAGGTTCCCACACTAGCAACTCATTACATTCTTCCCCTATGTTCCTGCACCACAGTCAACCTGTTAGAAATGCCTTCTGCACCTGTTGTTTCCTGACTTTTTAATGATCACCATTCTAACTGGTGTCAGATGGTATCTCATTGTGGTTTCGATTTGCATTTCTCTGATGGCAAGTGATGATGAGCATTTTTTCATGTGTCTGTTGGCTGCAAAAATGTCTTCTTTTAAGAAGTGTCTGTTCATATCCTTCGCCCATTTGTTGATGGGGTTGTTTTCTTCTTGTAAATTTGTTTGAGTTCTTTGTAGATTCTGGATATTAGCCCTTTGCCAGATGAGTAGATTGCAAAAATTTTCTCCCATTCTGTAGGTTGCCTGTTCACTCTGATGGTAGTTTCTTTTGCTGTGCAGAAGCTCTTTAGTTTAATGAGATCCCATTTGTCAATTTTGGCTTTTGTTGCCATTGCTTTTGGTGTTTTTAGACATGAAGTCCTTGCCCATGCCTATGTCCTAAATGGTATTGCCTAGGTTTTCTTCTAGGGTTTTTATGGTTTTAGGTCTAATATTTAAGTCTTTAATCCATCTTGAATTAATTGTTGTATAAGGTGTAAGGAAGGGATCCAGTTTCAGCTTTCTACATATGGCTAGCCAGTTTTCCCAGCACCATTTGTTAAATAGGAAATCCTTTCCCCATTTCTTGTTTTTGTCAGGTTTGTCAAAGATCAGGTGCTGGAGAGGACGTGGAGAAACAGGAACACTTTTATACTGCTGGTGGGACTGTAAACTAGTTCAACCATTGTGGAAGACAGTGTGGCGATTCCTCAGGGATCTAGAACTAGAAATACCATTTGACCCAGCCATCCCATTACTGGGTATATACTCAAAGGATTATAAATCATGCTGCTATAAAGACACATGCACACGTATGTTTATTGCAGCACTATTCACAATAGCAAAGACTTGGAACCAACCCAAATGTCCAACAATGATAGACTGGATTAAGAAAATATGGCACATATACACCATGGAATACTATGCAGCCATAAAAAATGATGAGTTCATGTCCTTTGTAGGGACATGGATGAAGCTGGAAACCATCATTCTCAGCAAACTATCATAAGGACAAAAAACCAAACACCGCATGTCCTCACTCATAGGTGGGAATTGAACAATGGGAACACCTGGACACTGGAAGGGGAACATCACACACCGGGGCCTGTTGTGGGGTTGGGGGACGGGGGAGGGATAGCATTAGGAGATATAACTAATGTAAATGACGAGTTAATGGGTGCAGCACACCAACATGGCACATGTATACATATGTAACAAACCTGCACGTTGTGCACATGTACCCTAGAACTTAAAGTATAATAAAAATATATTTAAAAAAAGAAACGCCTTCTGCTTTTTCTTTTTGCCATACTTAAATGAGGACTGTTTTTAAAGTTGAAAGAGAACAAAGAGTTAAGAGAAGCTGCTAGAAACAATGTTATATAGCAGTTAAATATAATTGTTAGCCTATCATTTTCTGCATCCAGCAAATTCAGGAATCTTGATCTCTCTGGTTTTCATTATACTTAGTTAAAATTAAGATACAATTCAGGCAAATGTGTCTAATGAGCATAATTAAATTGTTTTACATTAAAAGGTAAGATTAGATCCTATTGATTCTCATTCTAATTTAAATGTGGGGAGTTAGTTTGGTCTATTTAAGCCTATTAAAATTGTACATAACTCCTGGAATATCAAGCACTACTAATAATCTACTCTCATCATAAACTTTCTTCTAGATCTAGTTAGTAAAGGGGTTTTGACTTCTTTTATAATACAAATAAAGAGGTAATTTTCCAAACCTTGCTTGAAAAATTAAGCAAGTTTTGTCTCAACACTCAACATTTATTGAACATCTGCTGTGCGATAGGTTTACATCTTCCAGATGCTGGCAAAAATACACAAAGTGTGCTTTCGTGAAGTTTTCAATCAAGGAGATAAAATATATTTTAAAAAAACTATAAACTTGCAAGGTAGGAGAAGAGCTTAAGCTCAGGAGTTTGAGACAAGTCTGGGTAACATAGTGAGACCTCATGTCTACTAAAAATTAAAAAATATATATATTAGCCGAGCGTGGTGGTGTGCACCTGTAGTCCCAGCTGTTCAGGAGACTGTGGCGAGGGGATCAATTGAGCCTGGGAGATCAAGGCTGCAGTGAGCTGTGATCACACCACTGCACTCCAGCCTGGGCAACAGAGCAAGACTCTGTCTCAAAAATAAATAAATGGATAGATAGATAGAATAAAAAATAAGAAAAAATTAACTGGGTGTGGTGGTGTGTGCCTGCAGTCCTACCTACTTGGGAAGCTGAGGCAGAAGGACTGCTTGAGTACAGCAGTTTGAGTCTGTAGTGAGCTATGATTGTGCCACTGCACTCCAGCCTGGGTAATGGAGCAAGACCTCATCTCAAAGAAAAAAGAAAAGAAAAGGACTATTATTAAAATCAAGGTGTCAGCTAAAGAGCAGTTATATATATATACACACACACACACACACACACACATATGTATATGTGTATACATATATATGTAATCTGCAAATTAGGTAGCTAATATTGCATAACTCTGTTCTCCTAGCACCTTTTCAAGTTACCCTTAGCCTTTGTCAGGACCTCGCTAGACTAGATTCTTTACCTAGAAGGATAGCCCAAACCTTCCTTCCTTCCTTGTCTTTGTTGGGTTCCCAGAGTTTTCCAACAGCGAAACATTAGACAAGGAAGTACTAAAAAAGGTCTCAGTGAATCTCCTGGGTTCTTGACAAAATTCTCCTTTATGTAGAAGAAACCCGCTTGTCCCCTTGTAATCAGGATCAATCACTCTGGACAGAAAAACAACCCCCAATTCTGCCTGTGAGTGTAGCAGTACGTGAAGCCCCACATAGGGTGTACTCTTAGGCCAACTGATCAGAACCATTACTGTGCATATATATATATATAATATATGTATATACATATACGTATGTGTATATGTGTGTGTGTGTGTATATATATATATATATACACATATATAGTAAACTTGCTTAGCTCTAAATACACACATAGTGAAAGAACAAGTTGAACCGGTAAGTTCTACCAAGAACCACATGAAACTACCAGCAGACACTATTGTAAGCGCCAAGGGGACCTTTCTCCTTGGCCCTCTGAGGTTTGGCTGAAAATCACTAACATGAGGAACATTAATAGAAAAAACATACAAATTTACTTAACGTGTATACACAGGAAGAATCACAGCGTGATTACCCACCCCTCAGAGGGCTTCAGAAGCTTGTGGATACAATCCCAGCGACACAGGTTATGATAGGGAGAAGAGGAATTCTGTTGAGGGATTACAAAGGAGAATGAATGTATCAGGAACACATTAATTTGTACAACATCTTGTGAAAGGGTCTGCTCAGGTGTGATTACTACATTCTTGGTCTTACAGGGAGGCAACAAAAACAATTATGTTCCTTGTGATGTGTCTAAACTTTATCCTTTGCTTTGGCAGAGATGGCGTGGGGATTTAGGGGAGTGGGACCTTGAGGCTTCTTCAGTTCAGATGTCAAAACGCCATTATTTGGGGGTATGTTTCTGCGCCTCCAACACTGTTTAACAGGGAGGCTTGTTTCATCCAGTAAGGGAGTCAAGAAATGGTTCCCCGAAGAAAACGATTCTTGAAATCTGACAATAAATGAGGTGTCAAACAGGCAAAAAGTGTGTCGGAATGAGCACGGATGAGGGTAGGGTGGAAAAATCTTGGTACTTAGTCTGTGGGAAGACCTGAGGAAAAAAAGCCACTACAGTTTATAGTTCAGTGTATGGTGGGCGAACGAGATGAAGCCGAAAACTTGGACAATCAGGGATTGTCCAAGAGCAAGGGAAAGCCACCAAAGATTTTTCAGCAGATTGCCGTGATCATATTTGTATTTGAAGACTACAACGATGCTGTATGAAAAATGGATGCACAAAGCCGAATTGGGAAGCTATTGTTCCTGGAAAGTATAACCCTGAAGGCGGAGAGTTGTAGAGAACAGAACTGATGTTTAAAAAGAAAAATCCACAAAACGTGGTGGTGGAGCACGTACCTGAAGTTATGCCTATTGCGCTTCTGATTTCAAATAAGTAATTGTTTTAAATTGCCTACTAACATAAAAAAGCCCAGTCGATTCCAAACACTGGCACCCAGGCGTGAGAATCCATGGTTATTTCCTTGGGTGAGCTTTATTGTATTTTTGCGGGCGCTATGGAAATGCTCCTCCAGGCAGTACAGATCAGCAGCGGCTCGTAGTGAAGAACGTTCAAGGAAGAGTTTGTCCCGGATCAACAGGACATGGGGCTTGGGAAGCCTGGACTGCCATGAGGAAGGTCGATTCACCACTACAGACAGGGAGCCTGAGGCCTGGGTGGTGCCGACAAGTCGGCAGTCACGCCAGGTCAGGAAGCGCCGAAGCCGCGGGAAACCCTGGACTCCATCCCGGGATTTGTCCCCGTGTCGAAGATGGTATCCAGGTCGCCGAAAACTTCCCGGAAGTTTAGACCAAGACCTACTTATTATCTACGGTGTCCGGGAAGGTCCATGATTGTTCCACATAAAGTCAGAAGGGAGGAAAGGCGCACGCGCATTGGGGACTTGACTCTGGAAAGCGTCCAGACCAAGGTCAGCGGAGAGTAGGCATGTAGCTTCTGCAGTTGCTCCTCCTCACCCTCCGCGACCTGATTTCCTAGAAGGGCTCTGTCACCCGAAAAGATTTTCCACTGGCTTAGAGGAGGGAGGGCCCGCCTTCCCCCGTTATCCATTGGCTGCTCGTTCCGCCGCAAGTTGGGGGCGGGGTTAGGGCGCCTTTCGATTGCATCAGCTGGTCCAGCCGAGGCCAAGTCCCGGGCGCTAGCCCACCTCCCACCCGCCTCTTGGCTCCTCTCCTCTAGGCCGTCGCTTTCGGGTTCTCTCATCGCTTCGTCGTTCGCCAATGTTTGAGGAGAAGGCCAGCAGTCCTTCAGGGAAGATGGGAGGCGAGGAGAAGCCGGTGAGCAAACTTGGTGGGACCCAGAGACCAGCCTGGGACTCTAGTGGGTGCAGACGCTACGCTCGCGGCGGGAGCGGGGGGCAGGAAGCAGGAAGCGGCCGGGACCGCGTGGGTCGGAGAAGTGGGGGATGGTGGGACTCCTGGAAAGTCGGAACCCCCTTTGGGAACCATCCATTCATAAATTAGGGTGGGGCCTTGCAGTTCATCTGTGGGTCCATTCTCTTTACAGATGAGGAAACAGACCTTGAGTGAGCGACTTGTTCAGAGCCTCACATCTACAGTAGTTAGACGCGGAGACAGAATCAGAATCTTAGGCTTGAGGCTTCCAAACTTGCGTTTATGGCTTACTGTAAGCGGGAAACACATTGCAGAGCCTTATTTAATCAATCTCCTAAGATCCTGCGGGGGTAAAGAGCTCCATTTTAAGGAAAGGAAAACCGAGTGCCCGAGATCTGACCCAGCTTGTCCAAGTTTGGGTGGTTAAGTATACATTTTGCCCGGCACTGATCTGGGCGGTGCATGTGGGAAGATGAATAGGGCCCAGTTCCCCGACTTTGAGGGCCTCACAGGCTGATGTGTAAGAGACAGGAAAACAGCCCTAGTGCTTTGTGATCAACCTTGTGGTATTACAGAAGAGGAAGTTTAGGAAGGCACTTTAGAATTTAGTTTGGAAGAATGATTTCACCAGGTAAACAGGCAGGACGGGGCTTCCCACGTAAAGGTAGGGAAGGCAGTGAAAAGGGGCACGCAGGTGAATTGTCTTTCGGGTTGTTTGCAAGAGATATGCCAGAAGGGTTAAAGGAACAGTAATCAGAAGGATCTTAGGCAACAAGGATGTTTGAAACTTGTATTCTATACATGAAGGATCTTAAGCAGGAAGATTGTATTTGTAAAAGTCACGCTGGCATTGGGATAGAAGGTTAGGCCACATGCAGAAGGCTGTTGTAATAGTCCAAGTGAGAAGTGGTGACGTCTTCAGCTAAGGGATCCTCTATCCCAAGTCTGTGACAGGACAGTTCACTTAAAAGCCAAATTTTTTTCTTGATTGTCCACTCGAGATTGAATGGAGAAACTGCATACGGGCACATTCTAACTATGTAAATTTAATTCTAGATGATAAATGGTGACTATACGTAGATTTTTTTCACATAAAATGATATTTTTACTGTTTTGTAACTTTTTTTTTTTTTTTTTTTTTTGCTTAATAGAATGTGGTCAACAACTTTCCATGTCCATAAATATTCTCCTGTGCTATTCTTAATTGGACGTGATATGTATGGTTAACACATATGTAATTTTTCCTTCCTGTAATAATTATACAATAGTTAATATTTATTTTGAGTACTAAATACGAGTTTGGCACTGTATTAATGCATTCCATGAATTAACTCATTCAGTCTTCTTTTTTTTGAGACGGAGTCTCGCTCTGTCACTCAGGCTGGAGTGCCGTGGTGCGATCTCGGCTCACTGCAAGCTCCACCTCCCGGGTTCATGCCATTCTCCTGCCTCAGCCACCAGGCCTGGCTAATTTTTTGTATTTTTAGTAGAGACGGGGTTTCACCGTGTTAGCCAGGATGGTCTCGATCTCCTGACCTCGTGATCCGCCCGTCTCGGCCTCCCAAAGTTCTTGGATTACAGGCGTGATCCACCGCGCCCGGCCTCATTCAGTCTTCTTAATAACGCTGTGAAGTGGGTTCTGTTATTATCTCCATTATACAGATGAGAAAGCAGGCGTAGGAACAGTAACTTGCTCAAACCCAGTATCCCCGTTTTTTTCCTTCCTCAAACCCAGTATCCTATAGCCAATACTAATAACCCCTGTGCTGTTCTGAGTGAGTCAGGGACAGATCATTCCTGAGAAAGGTAATTCTGTAGCTTCTCTTCACAATCCGGTTCTGTTTCCCAACTTTTGGGTTGAGATTTTAGATTACTTGTATGTAGATGTACATACCATATATACTCAGGGAAATAGAGAACAGTTGCCTACTCTCTTCCCAGTGTTGTAGAAAAGGGGTCATAGGCCTCAGGGTTCCAGAGAGACCTGTTGTAATTTCCCAGCTCTATTACTTAATGATACAAATGGGCAAGTTACTTCTTTGAGCCAGTGTTCTTGTTTGTAAAATGGAGCCGTATTTAGAACCAGAAAACCTTTGTGGTGATTCCCTCTCTCTCTCTCCCTCTCTCTCTCTCTCTCTCTCTCTCTCTCTCTCTCTCTCTCACTACCCCTGTTCATTTGGCAAATGGTCAAAACCAAAATAATCTTATCAGAAATATAAAACTTATTTTATCATCTTTCCATTTTAAACCTGCACAGACCTGCAATTTTTCTTTCTTTTTTTTTTTTTTTTTGTTGTCGTTGTTGTTGTTGAAATGGAGTCTTGCTCTGTCTCCCAGGCTGGAGTGCAGTGGCGCGATCTCTGCTCACTGCAAGCTCCGCCTCCCGGGTTCCAGCCATTCTCCTGCCTCAGCCTCCCGAGTAGCTGGGACTACAGGCACCCGCCACCACGCCCGGCTAATTTTTTTTGTATTTTTTAGTAGAGACGGGGTTTCACCGTGTTAGCCAGGATGGTCTCGATCTCCTGACCTCGTGATCTGCCCGCCTCGGCCTCCCAAAGTGCTGGGATTACAGGCATGAGCCACCGCGCCCAGCCGCAATTTTTCTTTTTACCCAGTATACTTGATCAGTTACATCACTTCTGCAGTATAACAAAGGCTCTATTGAATCTAAATGAACCTTTAAAGTTTATTAAATCCAGACTTCTGGAGTAGGGGGGATTTTAGCTCAGCATGAAATTAGGAGTCATATTTTAAAATTAGTTTTTTTTTTAATTATACAAGTAACGCATTTTATAGGATTTAAAAGACAATGGCCAAAATGTCCATCAACTGATAAATGGATAAGTAAGCAATGGAATATTATTTGATAATAAAAAGGTACAATGACAAGTATTGATGCATGTTACAACCTGATGATCTTGAAATTATTATGCTAACTAAAAGAAGCCTGTCACAAAAGACCACATAATGTGTGATTCTATTTATATGAAATTCCCAGAATAGGCAAATCTATAGAAACAGAAACTAGGTTAATGGTTGCCAGGGTCTGGAGATGAAGGCAACAGGGAGTAAACTGCTAATGGGTACAAGGTTTCTTTTTGAGGGTGATGAAAATACTCTAAAATTGATGGTAGTGATAGTTGCAAAACAGTGAATACCTAAAAACCATTGAATTGTGTACTTTACATGGGTAACTTGTATGGTATATGAATTGTATCTTAAAACTTAAGAAAACTAAAGGTCACAAACATGCAAACTAATTAAAATCCCTGTTTACATTCCTGGCACAGGATTTATTACTTTAAAACTTTCTATGACTTCACTTGCTTCTAATTGAAGTCTGTATTCCTTATGGTAACTTTTAGTTCTTGCTTCTGTGAGCCTTAGTCTGTCTTACCTTGTATTACTTTCTAAAACAATCCTTCATTAATCAGCCTGGTTTAGTCATTTTTTCTCTCTTTAAATTTTAACATTTCTGACAACAAGCTTATGTGTACACATAGGACACATTTCCTGTATTCTCAGAATCCACCTGTTGAAATGCATTCCATCCTTTAAAACGCTAGTCCTAGCTTATTTGACATCTAATCGTAGCGTTACTACTGTGTTTTCTCCTCCGGGAGTTTCTCACACATGTATGCCTTACTTTCCCTGGAGAGACTAGGTTTACACATGGTAGGGATTGGGCCTTATGTTTGCTTCTTCCATGGCTTTTGTTAGCACTGGTGGAATTCATGGGCACACTTTGCATTCAGTTTTTTTTTTTTTCCCCTGGAAATATGCTTACTGAATCAACTGCGTGCTTCCTTGTGGCCATATGTTTGGTATGTGGTCCAAGTAAACCTGAAGCGAGAGTCACAAGAATAGTTAAAATAAAATAAATGAAATTTGAGGAGTTAAACATCGTTAGTAACTCCTTCCTACTTTTTAAAGACTTGCCTTTATTGTAAGTTGTTAACCTGTCTTTGCCAGTGATGAAATTGTTCAGTCTTTCAATATCAGATTTCCATTTTTTTTAAATTAAATAACAAATACTAAAATAACATTCTCAACACTTCCTGGGGCATCACAGGATGGAGGTGTCACATTAGATTAAAATATAAAACGTTTTTTGCTTATTTAGATTGGTGCTGGTGAAGAGAAGCAAAAGGAAGGAGGCAAAAAGAAGAACAAAGAAGGATCTGGAGATGGAGGTCGAGCTGAGGTAAAAGTTATCATCACAGAGGGCTCTGTTATCAGAGGTTGGCAAATCGCAGGGAACTTTCTGAGACTTTCCTAATGTGTAAGGGTTCTAATGGTTTACATGGTAGTGTAAGATGGTACTGGTTGGAAAAATCAGGAAGAAGAATTAGGAAAGGGTAATCTGAGAGGGGAAAAAAGACTTTCAGTTGTTACTGTAAAAGGAAGCAACTGGCGTATGATTGTATAAGATGATCTGATTGTAGGGTTGAATATAAAAATCAGAGAACAAAAGTTGAAGAGGAGACTGGTAATTATTCAGTTGCCAGATGTGATGCCAGCTCTGACATTTCATTAAATGAGATGTTAGGGAATAGAGACTTGGTGTTTGGGCTTACACTGAATACAATGAAAACCAAAGAAAGCCAGTTTTTTGACCCCCTCCTTGCCCTTTCCATCTGGACCTGCCCTAGGGTTGGCTTCTAAGCCAGGACAGATCCCCTTAAGGCCTCTCAAGTCTGCAGAAAATGCTTTCACTTCTCCAGGCTCACACTGAAAGGAACTGGCATATCAAAAGCCAGCCCTAAATCAACCTGGTTCCTGAGTATTTTGCTTTTACAGGCAGTTAAGCTTGCCTTTCTACTTTATTTTTACTGCTGTGAACTGTGCTTCACTTTTTGCTTTAGTCATTACAGCTGTTTTATTGGAGACTCTTTAGAAAGCTACCAGAAGGAAGAAGCACAAAGGAACAGCCTTTTTAGAAGTAGCACAGTAAGCTGGCTTTTAAGAGCCACTTTTACAAATGCTGCAATTGCTAAATTTATAGTGCCGTCATTTACTTTAGGGTAAGTTTATAGATGATCAAGTGTAGTGTTGCTTAGAACCCTACCTAACCATTTATCTTACGGCTGATCAGTTGATCAGTCTCCCGACCATTATACCCCCACTGTAATTGTGAAGAAAATTGTTGATTGTGAATTTTAAAATTTGCAAGCCAATGGAAAAATGCATATGTTCCCTAATTTCTTTTTTATACTTTCAATACAAACATACGTGCTGTTCCATCACAGCTTGAGAAATGACCTGGAAATAAGACAAAGAGTATAATTAGAAGACTCTTCTGAACAGAGAATTTTAAGTGGGACATGTGATTATTTATGTTTAACGATTGGTCTGGAAAAAAGAGTGTACAGTGAACTGTCCAAGACCTTGGTCTTCCCCTCCAAGGGCAACTTGCAGGTTTTATTCATCTCTGCAATCACAGAGACTGACACAGAGGGTATCTGCTGAATGAATGTTGAAGAGATTTTGACACGAAATTCTAATTGGGACATTGCAAGTGGCTATGATGATAAACTGCAGTTAAGATACAGAGGGTGGTGCAGGTGGGTAGGATTATAATGATGCTTTAGAGTGGATGGAACTGGGTACTGTGCATTAGTCTGAGGGGTTCAGATTATGGTTGTAGAATGACAGGCTCTGTCTGAGCTTTTAGTTAATTCATGGGTTCTTCACCATTGAAGGTTATGGACCGTTGTGATAATTTGATGAAAAGCTCTCAACAACTGAACGACTAAAGAAAGGGAGGGACTGCTGTGGGTGGGAATTACAAAGATATTAGGGCCTGATACGGTGGTAGGAACCAATCACTTGAGACTGAGTGGGAGAATCACTGGAGCCCAGGAGTTTGGGGCCAAAATGCGCTGTGACTGTGCCTGTGAATAGTCACTGCGCTCCAGCCAGCCTAGGCAACATAGTGAAACCCTGTCGTTAAAGAATGGAAAGAAGGAGGGAGGGAAGGAATTACTGGGCAGACAATTAATCTTTTTCATTTGATATTATTTTCTATTATCTCCAGTCAATTTTGTTTTGTTTTGTTTTGTTTGAGACAAGGTCTCACTCTGTTGCCCAGGTTGGAGTGCAGTGGCCCAATCTTGGCTCACTGCAACCTCCACCTCCCAGGTTCAAGCAATTCTTATGCCTCAGCCCCACAAGTAGCTGGGACTACAGGTGTGCGCCACCACACCTGGCTAATTTTTGTATTTTTAGTAGAGATAGGATTTTGCCATGTTGGCCAGGGTGGTATCGAACTCCTGGCCTCAAGTGATCCATCTGCCTTGGCCTCCCTAAGTGCTGGGATTACAGGAATGAACCACCATGCCCTGCCCCAGTCAGTTTCTTAAGGATTAGATATTCCCTTGTACTCCTTTCAAATTGTGGTATGTTGATATATATGGAGACATATGTATGGAGACGTTGGTAGCATTATCAACATTGAATAAATGTTAAAATCTGTATTGCAGTAAGTCATTTTATATCTGATAGATTGAAATTCATTTGAAGATAGAAAGTCATGGCAAAATTAAGCAATCTCCTCTTCACTTTTGTATGAAGTGTTAATGTTCATGTAATTTGAAGATGATGAATGCTGTAGATGTTAGTTTGACTGTTTTGTTACCACAGATTCACTGCCTTTTTGAAATGTTCCATAGATTATAGAGTGACAGTAGAAGAAGTCAGCTCTCTGATTGCTGTCTCTTTTTCTTTCTTTGCCAAACCTCTAGAAACCTAAGTGGGTGTTTTATATAGAATATTTTTGTTAATTTTATCTGCTATAGAAAGTAGTAGTGTGTTGTTTTATATAGTTGCTAATTACATACTCCAAGCTGATCATGGCATCTTTGAATTCAGTAAATACTTTCCTTGAAGGGGAGACCTTAAGTCAAAGAAATTTGTGATTGGTTGTGAGTGGACATATAGGCTGACCCGCTGCACAGACCATCACCTGGACATGAATGAAACAAAATAGAAAAGCCAGTTTATTGTTTTTATTTCCAGTATTGTTTATAGCTCTATTTGTAAAATAATTTAGTTAGAAAAGATCCTAAGAAGACATCTTAAAAGAGAAAAGACCACTTGCTGTAAATAGTAGCAAAATGGTAATTGTCGATTCAGCATAAGAATAGGGCATTTAATTCCTTCTTTTACCTTCATTTAGAACCAAATTGAGGTAATGCCGGGTGATTTTGGCAGTGTTTATTTACCACATTGAATCAATAGTCCTGGGTTTCTGTATTGTTTTTATTATTTCTTTCCCATTTCTAAATAGGAAAGCAATATTTACTGATCATTTATTTCCTGATTTGTTTGTTGTCTTGCAGTTGAATCCTTGGCCTGAATATATTTACACACGTCTTGAGATGTATAATATACTAAAAGCAGAACATGATTCCATTCTGGCAGAAAAGGCAGAAAAAGATAGCAAGCCAATTAAAGTCACTTTGCCTGATGGTAAACAGGTTGATGCGGAATCTTGGAAAACTACACCATATCAAATTGCCTGTGGAATTAGGTATAAGCTACACCCATCATGACCTTCCATAGTTTGTGGTCTAACTAAACTTCCTTTTATTATCTTGCCATGTTTTATTCTTATAATATTTTTATGTTACCATTCAGTGTTTTTAATCTGTTTAATTTTGCCTACTTGAGATTTTTTAAAAATCAAAATGATACAGAGCTTTGTAGTCAAAATTCAAAGTTAATTTCTGAAAGAGTTTACTTTGGTCTTATCTTTTGGGGCATTGTATATTTTTAGTCTTACTATGATTATAAATGTTACAAAACCGACTAGACAGTGTTTACCTATTTCGACTTAAATGTCTTGGTTTTGAAGTTAAAAATGAAGCTACATAATCTCACATGGAAAGGTTAAGAAACTTCATATAACACATGAAAAAAATGTACTATTTTTATAAATTCAATGAAAGACTATTCCTAGTCTTAAAACTTTTATTGGGGTGGGAAGAAGTTATTTCAATTAACTGAGAATTAGATGCATATTTTGTAATAGGGGAGAGGCTTTCTTAATCTGATATGATTGGGATCAATAATTGGTCAGTTTATCAAAATAAGAGTTGGTAAAACATATATATGTGTATATATATACGCGTATATATACACGTGTATATATATATATCTTAAACTGGGTATTGGGAAACTCTAGTCATAATCTGTTTGTGTATGTCCTGAAAGCGAAAAATAAAAATGATTCTTTTTTTCTTTCTTTTTTTTTTTTTTTTTTTTTTTTTGAGACAGAGTCTTGCTCTGTTGCCCAGGAGGCTAGAGTGCAGTGGCGCGATCTTGGCTCACTGCAAGCTCCACCTCCCAGGTTCACGCCATTCTCCTGCCTCAGCCTCCCGAGTAGCTGGGACTACAGGTGCCCGCCACCACGCCCGGCTAATTTTTTGTATTTTTAGTAGAGACGGGGTTTCACCGTGCTAGCCAGGATGGTCTCGATCTCCTGACCTTGTGATCCGTCCGCCTCGGCCTCCCAAAGTGCTGGGATTACAGGCGTGACCCACCGCGCCCAGCCAAAAATGATTCTTAAATTTTTAAATAGTTGGAAAAAATAAAACAACTAAGAATATACAACAGAGACCATGTTTGGCCTGCAAAGTGTAAAATATTTGTGTGGCCTTTTACAGAAAAAGCTTGCCAATCTTGGTCTTAAACACTTCAACTTAAAATATGTGAATATGTATGTATTCACTAACTTTATATACATACATAAAACAGTGAATATATATATGTATGGCAAGGTTTGGGGGATAGCGAGTGCTAATTAGAGTTCTTACATTATCTTAACACATACGAGAAGTAGTCTGAGCACAGAATCCTTGCAGATTTTCATGTAGTTGTAGAGTTACACCTAACTTGACAGTGTTTTTGTGTGTGTGACTTGGATTTATCAAGCCTTCTCAAACATTCAACTTGGTTTTCATAGAATCCATAATTCCCTTATTGTGTTATTTTATAATTATATATTTTTGAAGTTTATTTATAAGTGTTATGTATTGAATTGAACCATTTGGAATCACCATATGAATTGTCATGTGGTTGATTATCATCAATTTTGTATTGTTGAACCAAACACGTAAAAGAACAAGCACAAAAACAGTTTGGGGAACCAACGTGGCTGATTCTTGGTAAGCGTATTATACAACTAGTAGAAGCAGAACCAGTTAGGCCTATGAGCCATGAGCATCTACTGTACCACAGACATTAGTTAGTACTTTTTACAAAGTGAATGGAGTGTTTCCATTCATTTGACAAGTGCTTCTACCTACAAGTTCTTCTACCTTACTCCAAAGGAAGTAAAAAGTTGTAATACCATGCAAGTTTCTATGTGAGAGCATAGAGAACTGGATAGACCTTTACGTATCAGTTCAACCTTTCATTTTAGAGATAATTTTGAAGGTCAGGTTGATTAATAGATTCCTCTGTTGTCACACAATGAGATTGTAGCCGTGTCATTAAAATTTAGGCTTCTGTTAGTTTGGGAACTTTTTCCTCTACCTTCTACAATGTTGATCTAGATTACATTGTAATTTATCAAGTCTTCAGTTGAAAAATATTCTTCAAGAACTATAAAATTCTAAGTTGAATTACATAGCTGGGCGTGTTGGCTCACAGCTGTAATCCCAGCACTTTGAGAGGCCAAGGCAGGCAGATCACCTGAGGTCAGGAGTTCAAGACCAGCCTGGCCAACATGGCGAAACCCTGTCTCTACTAAAAATACAAAAATTAGCCAGTCATGGTGGCGCACACCTGTAGTCCCAACTACTTGGAGGCTGAGGTGGGAGGATAGCTTGAACTCGGGAGGTGGAGGTTGCAGTGAGCCAAGATTGAGCCACTGCACTCCAGCCTTGGTGACAGAGCGAGAGTCCGTCTCCAGGGAAAAAAATAAAAGGTTGAATTACATAAAACATTGATGGGCTTTAGCTCTGGAGTTAAGTCACTGATCTGCACTGAGAATACTTTATGAAATTTTTACAAAAGTCCAGAATAACTTTTTGTTCTGTGAAAAATTATAACATTGATAACAGGCTATTTAAAGATTCACATAATTAGTGGTGAATATGAAAGGGAAGGACAAAAAAGACATGTTCCATTTGCGTCAAAAGGTTTTTCTTTGAAGTTTTGTTATAAATCTTTTTTTTTTTTTTTTGAGACGGAGGAGTCTCGCTCTGTCGCCCAGGCTGGAGTGCATTGGCGCCATCTTGGCTCACTGCAAGCTCCGCTTCCTGGGTTGACGCCATTCTCCTGCCTCGGCCTCCTGAGTAGCTGGGATTACAGGCGCCCGCCACCACGCCTGCCTAATTTTTGTATTTTTAGTAGAGACGGGGTTTCACTGTGTTAGCCAGGATGGTCTTGATCTCCTGACCTCGTGATCCACCCGCCTCGGCCTCCCAAAGTGCTGGGATTACAGGCGTGAGCCACTGCGCCTGGCCGTTTTGTTACAAATCTTAAAGATTATTTTACCCTTCTTTGAAAAATTGAAATGATCCAGTATGGCCCATGTGTAATCTACATTTTCAGAGTAACTCTATTCTTAGAATCTTGGGGCTCCATATTGGATCATAAGATAAAAGTCATGTTCTTCCCAAAGAATATAGAGAATATGATTATCCTTTTTATCAGTTCTTTAATCTCCTGAAAACTGTTTTACACCAATATGATGAAATACATTTCTCTCTGCCAAATTCATGTTATGTTTTGTGAAATGCATGTATTTATTTTATTGACTCCATCTGATCTCAGGAGGAAAGAAAACATTGTTTATAACCTATGGTAAAGTTAGTAGGAGCATTGAAAATAGAAAGGAGTTTGTTGTTTACTTTCTGTTTGGTTCTTTTCTCTTGATCCTCAGATAGGAGTTGTATACATTTTGTTGTAAACCCTTAGACATAGAGAGCCACCAACACAGCAAGCCTGGCTAGCTTAAAGCCTTCTAGTGGTAGGTTTCTTTGAGATTTACAGTGTAAAGGGTGTATACTTTTTCTTCACAGTGTAGAATGTTGCCTACCTTCGTTGAGATGTCCAGGCTGTTATAGACTATTATTTCTCTAGCTGTGCATTTAGATGTATAATCTGGCTCACCTACTCAACTCTGCTCTAGTCACACAGCTTCCTGCAAAAACCTCTCTTCACTTGCATCTCTGCTTGCATCTGTGGCCATTCCCTCATCTGGAATGCCATGGCCTCCTCTTTTCTTCCTGTGAGTGCTTTATCCTCAAAGCCTTTCCAGATGACTCTGACCTGTACTGCTTTCCCTCCTCAGAACTCCTGTAGCTTTTACACTCTGTGTGCTCTGATATTTCATCACTTGATGATACTTTATGTTCGATGTTGTATATTGGGTGTGTAATGTTTTTACTCACATTATATGGAAAGTTTTATTAAATAGTCTTTCATTTTACCTCTATATTTGTTATAAATATTATCATAGGCATTTGCAGAATTTATTCTGAGGTTAGCATTGTCTGTCAAAGAAAGGATCTGGTGTACATTTTAAGCAGGAAGAGGAACAGAGAAGTTATTTAGTAGGCCTTTTTTTTTTCCTTTGGAGTCTACATAGCTTAGCTTTGTAGAAAGAGAAAGGTGGGTGTATTAAGAGAAAACTCGGTGTGGTGACTTGTGCCAGTTGTCCCAGCTACTCTAGAGGCTGATGTTGGAGGATTGCTTCAGGCCAGGAGGCCAGCCTGCGCAACATAGCAAGACCCTGTCGCTAAAAAATTAAAAAAAAAAAAACTTATTTGTTGGAGAAATTAAGATTATTCAAACCATTGGAAATTGATAGTGCTTATTTATCAGAGTTGCCATATCTGCTTAAACAGGAGGCATTCAATGTCAAATGATAATGTTCTGCATTTTCAGGATCTTCCAGTTAGGTTCTTAGGTACATTTTTGGAATTTGTTGTTTTTATCATTATATTTCAGAAAAATAGAGATACATCAATATAAAAAAACAATATATAATAAAAATAGTGTTTATTTTCCTGTTTTCAAATTAGATTCGTGTGTACTTATATATGTGTGGACTTTTTTTTTTTTTTTTTTTTTTAAGTCAAGGCCTGGCCGACAACACCGTTATTGCTAAAGTAAATAATGTTGTGTGGGACCTGGACCGCCCTCTGGAAGAAGATTGTACCTTGGAGCTTCTCAAGTTTGAGGATGAGGAAGCTCAGGCAGTAAGTTGCTGATTAGTATTCATTGAATTTTAGGATGCAGATTCACATTTGAAGTCTTTTCCAGCTCAGTCCTGCTGCGATTGGGTGGCTAACATTTATTGTTGTCTCACTGTCATATTTGAAATCTTCATTTTGTCCTTCATTTAGGGAACATAATAAAAGTGCTTGCCTTAGAAAATAAAGGGGTGAAGCTGAATAAGTCTTTTCATTACTAGACACTTCAATAGGGAAAATGTTTTGGGAATTGTATTAAACATTGATTAAGCAAGTAAAAATTGTTTTCTAAACTGTGAACACTATTTTATTTTAATTTTTTTTTTTTTTAATGATGGAGTCTTGCTTTGTCACTCAGACTGTAGTGCAGTGGTGCGCTCTTGCCTCAGTACAACCTCCACCTCCCAGGTTCAAGCTATTCTCCTGCCTCAGCCTCCCAAGTAGCTGGGATTATAGGAGCGCACTACCACACTTGGCTAATTTTTGTATTTTTAGTAGAGATGGGGTTTCACCATGTTGGCCAGGCTGGTCTTGAACTCCTGACCTCAAGTGATCTGCCCACCTCGGCCCCCCAAAGTGCTGGGATTATAGGTGTGAGCCACTGTGCCTGGCCTCTAAGCTATGAACACTCTAGCAAGATATGTACATTTGACAAATAAATTTGAACCTTACTTCAAAGCACTGCCTTTATTGGATAATTTCTGTATTTTTTTCTCATCTTAAGATGCAAATCTGCTGGATAACACTATAAAAGTCAACCTGCATGTGATGACAAGATTTTCTTTTTAATTCTCCATGGCTGTGTATCATATAAGGGGAGACAAAGTATTTTGTTTTAGTGATGATTGTTCACTTATGTATGTGGATTAGTGGTTTTCAAATGTATTTTGGAGCCCTCAAGTTTCTTACGAGAATTTTTTAATGTCACTTTGGTACCTTAATACTAAATCTTGAAAACATTGCTTTGGGTGTATTCTGACTCATCCCAGTGATTACTTTAAAACCAAGTACTGCCATTTGATTTCAGTGTACAGATGTTTGTCCTCGTGTTTTGTCATTGTGTTGTGGGGTCGGGTTGTACCACCTTTGTTTTGGGCCAGTAACAACATGTAATTTCTAAGTGATGTTCCATAGCCAGCTAAAGGCCAGATCACAGTGTCTGAGACATGGTGCTGTGGGCACATTGACTCAAAAGAACCTGGGCCATTGCAATCAATGAGTTAGTCACATTGTGAGTAGCAGTTGTTTTCAGAGAACAAAGTCTATGTCATTTAATTAGTGATGCCAAGTTTAGTTTAATTTGTTTGAAAACAGCTAAACCAGATGATTTCCAAAATAAAAATACACTAGTAATTGGAAGCCTTTTGAATTACTTTGGCTATGGATAGAAACAGTAGTTTATAGATTTAGAAATTTAGGATTTTATATATTGGGTTTACTTGTAGTAAATATTATCATCTGTCTCTTTCAGACAACCACATTAATTGGCAACTTGTATGCCAAGACTCAGACCATGCCATTTTTCTTTAAATTTTCAGGTGTATTGGCACTCTAGTGCTCACATAATGGGTGAAGCCATGGAAAGAGTCTATGGTGGATGTTTATGCTACGGTCCGCCAATAGAAAATGGATTCTATTATGACATGTACCTCGAAGAAGGGTAAGCCATCAACTAGATAAAGAAAACTGAAGTCAATGACTATGGATCCATAAGTTATTCTTAAGAGTTCTCAGTAAGGGAGGAATGATATAGATCTCACTGCTTCTTCATCAGGTATGCCCATTATCAGTACTTGAAGTGTTGCAATTTACCTGAAGTAATAGAGGATTTGATGAGACCTCTGTTCTAGATTGATGGAGGTAGAGTCCTAAGGTATTTTGGGAAATTCAGGGAGACTGGTCCTCCCCTCTCCTTTAAAACCTGGTGATAGAGTTGCGGGAAGGGGTCACTAGTGAGAAAGGTCTCCATGGATGACCAAGGTAGAAGCTACTGAAAATATAAAATGTAAAAATTACTTATGAAAAATGTTTTGTTTAGAATTCTAAGATACGATGCAATAGTCTAATTTTTTAATATTAAAACCCTTGAAGTATTCCAAATACTATTTCCAAATGAACATTTTTCGAAGCCATGGTGTGATTCGAATGGAATGAAAAGATTATACTTTCTTCTCCTTCAGGGGTGTGTCTAGCAATGATTTCTCTTCTCTGGAGGCTTTGTGTAAGAAAATCATTAAAGAAAAACAAGCTTTTGAAAGACTGGAAGTTAAGAAAGAAACTTTACTGGCAATGTTTAAGGTAAATTGAACCATAGTGCGTGGCCCCCACTGTTAATATCATTTATTCATGTTAGTTGAAGTGACACCACTGGCGTTCCGTGTACTAAGCTGAAGTCTAATTGGTTCTTTAGCAAAAATTAAGTGTTTTTATTATTTTTTTAATTTCATTTTTTTCCTAGCAAACCATTCCTTCAACATGTTTTTAAAACATGAAGTATCAACATTTATATTCATACAGTGCTACGTTTTAGCTATAGTACTTAGAAGTAAAAATTAAAGGACAGTTTTTTAAAATAATAATTTTTCCTGTTTTCAGTACAACAAGTTCAAATGCCGGATATTGAATGAAAAGGTGAATACTCCAACTACCACAGTCTATAGGTAAGAATATTAGATGTCATTAAATGTATCTGGTATGTATGTCATTTTGTCTTTGTTAAAATTCCTTTCATTTTATCTTTAGATGTGGCCCTTTGATAGATCTCTGCCGGGGTCCTCATGTTAGACACACGGGCAAAATTAAGGCTTTAAAAATACACAAAGTAAGTAATGTAACTTTAAAGACTGTGAATGTATCTGTCTAGAATAGATATATGTTTAAACTTTCACTGATTTCTCTTTACCATTTTCTGTTGCACATGAAAGGATGGTATTTTCTCATGCTCTCTATTAACTGGGAGCTGTATGCCATCAGGATTTTATAATTGAAATCCCTCAAGGGGTGACTGACTTGCTGTCATTGCCAGAGCAATCACAGGGGATGGAGATTTTACAAAATCATACAGCATGGGCCATCCTGGCTCTATAAAAGCTTTGAGACTCACTGGGAGTATGTGCTTTTGCCCTTTATATGTCTAAATTAATAATTTCCCAAGTTGTTGTTTTTAACAGAACCCAGTTTTATACTAGTTCATAAACATTTTATGGAGGTTTTTAAAATGCACTTTAAATCAAGAGAATAATTGAGTCATTTCAAGATTTTTTTTTTATTGGCTCATTTCTATTTTTGCTCATTTTGTGAGAAATGCCTTTGCAGGCAAAGTAATGTTTGTGGAATTGTGGTTGAGTATTGAGGGGTGGGCAGTTTTGGGGGTATTGGGGTGTAGAATGGGTCTCACTCTGTTGCCCCAAAAAGACAGAGTGGAGGACCACTTGAGCCTGGGAAATGAGGTTGCAGTGAATGGAGATCGTGCCACTGCACTCCAGGCTCAAGCAGTCCTCCTGCCTTAGCCTCCTGAGTAGCTGCGACCATAAGCGCACACCACCATGCCTGGGTAATTTTCTTTTTTTTAAATAAAGAATGGGGTCTCCCTGTGTTTCCCAGGCTGGTCTCGAACTCCCAGGCTCAAGCAATCCTCTTGCCTCGGCTTCACAGAGTGCTGGGATTACAGGCATGAGCCACTGCACCCACCTGCAGATTGAGGGAGGGGCATTTTTGAGGATAGAAAACAGCCAACTTTGTGCTGCAGAATGAGTAACTACTCTAACAAGGCCTCAAAGCAATTGGGAGTTAAAATAAGTGAGATGTTTACAAATTTGAATGTTGTTTCATGGTTAATCCTTGTTTTCAGAATTCCTCCACGTACTGGGAAGGCAAAGCAGATATGGAGACTCTCCAGAGAATTTATGGCATTTCATTCCCAGATCCTAAAATGTTGAAAGAGTGGGAGAAGTTCCAAGAGGAAGCTAAAAACCGAGATCATAGGAAAATTGGCAGGGTATGTTCAAGAACAATGATGTGTCTTGACTGAGTTTTCTTCAACTTCATTTGAAGTTTGAAATTCAGCTGCATGAAGTACTAGGAATTTTGTTTTGAAGAGATGTTGTGGCTTTTTAGTAACTGGTGCTATGTCCTGTACAAACTATAAACACTTACTGATTGTCCACATTATCTGCCTGGAGTATGCTCAGTACCGCACAAAAATGCATTTGAACTACTTTTATTGAGAGCAAACACTGATGATCTACGGTTTTCTGTAAAAGAAGTATAACAGCTTCTCATAGAGCTGGGAGAACTATGGAAACCCTCTAGTTTCACTGACTCATTTAAAATGTGGAAACAGAGTCCCACAAAGATTAACCTACTTGTTGCCCAAGGTTTAGCAGCATGTCGCACATGGATCCTGTGCTATCATTTCCTCTACCCATTATCTCTGTTACTGCTGAATGTCCTCTAAACTGGAAGTTAGGCTAGATAAAACATTCCCCCTTAAAATAGGCACTCTGTGCCAGGGGTCCTTGGCTATTAGGTTATGAAGCTTGAGCTGGAGGTAGCAGCCACTGCCTTGCACCCCTGACTACCTGACATTCCAGCTATGAGGCAGCCAGCAATGATTGATGGGCCCTTCCCTGAGGGCTTTTGGGCACTTGGGGAGGCGGATGTTGGCAAGGAGGTAGGAGGGTGTGTTTCTTTCACCATGACCCAAAGTCAGCCAACTTTACCATCATCTATTTCATTATCAGTGTCTTTTTCCCAGTCTCCTTCCTGATACTCTTACTAAGAAAATAAATACATACATAAATAAAATGAAAAAAGATCCAGATCTTGGAGCTTTAAGGAATTTAAGAACCATGAGAGGTACTGCAGTGGATAGTTAAAGAACTGAAGGGACCCTTATTCCCTGCCACTGTTGGGGAAACTTGACTGGATTGAGGAATATAACAGGCAGGGCATGTGTTACACGTCTGCCAAATTGTAAATCAGCTGCAATTCTATAACATCAGAAACACTGACATGGTTTCTTTGATTCAGGAGTGGCACTGATTGAAATATGGGACATCATGACCATATTCTGAGCTCAAGAACACTGAAATTTATGTATATATACACACACGTATACGTGACGTACATAAACATTCTTTTGCTTTTCTTTTACCCAGGACCAAGAACTATATTTCTTTCATGAACTCAGCCCTGGAAGTTGCTTTTTTCTGCCAAAAGGAGCCTACATTTATAATGCACTTATTGAATTCATTAGGGTAAGTCATATTTATTGCTTTCTTCTTTAGATTTAGGATATGTGATCATTTTATTAAATAAGGTCTACTAAAAGGAAAGATAATCTGTATTTGAGAAGAAATATATAAGACGATAAGTAAAAGTAGAAGTCTGTGGCCTCATAAATCATCCCTAATAGTTGATTTTGCCCATATACACATAGAAACTGGTGAGCTTGAAGGGGGACCTGTGGTCCTTGACATAGGAGCTCTGTGCCCTCTTTGACTTTGATCATTTATTTGTATTTTCTTTGAAAAAACGGTTTTTACATTGCTTTTTTCCTTTGTAAATTATGAAATGTTTCAAGTATAAGTTTATAGAGAATAGTATATCCAATATCTTGTACTTAACTACCCACATTTAACAAATATTCACATTGGGCTATATTTGCTTGAGATTTTTTCATTCATGATATTAAAAAAAAAATTAGTTGTTTAAAAAGCCTCTCTTTAGGACCCAGTTTTGATCCATATACCTCCATATACTGGTATATATATCCATATACTGGTATATCATATACCAGTTTTCTAGAAGAAACTACTGTTTTGAAGTTGGCATGGATTCTTTTTGTCCATGTTACTTATATCTAGCCCATGTATTTGTACCCTTAAATTATTTATGTATTTGTGTGTTACATATAGGAAGCCTCATTGTGTATCAGACTGCCTTGTGATTTATTTTTAGAGACATGCAAATCAAGTTTATTTTCACTTGCTACATATTATTTTGTTATATAACTACCACAATGCACTCATCCCTGTATTGATGGACACTGATGTATAATTGTCCCTTATTATCAGCCATGCTGCAGTAGCATCACTTTTATAAGCCTCCTTAGGTACATGTGCCAAGAGTTTTCTCTCTGGTATATACTTAGAAGTGGGATTTCTGAATCATGGCATGTGTCCATCTTTTTCATGAGAGAGTATAAAATCACTCTTTAAGTTTTTACTCCCACTTGAAGTATGAGCATTTATTTGCCTACACATGTTTCTGTTTATTTTCTATCAGAGCGAATATAGGAAAAGAGGATTCCAGGAGGTAGTCACCCCAAACATCTTCAACAGCCGACTCTGGATGACCTCGGGCCACTGGCAGCACTACAGCGAGAACATGTTCTCCTTTGAGGTGGAGAAGGAGCTGTTTGCCCTGAAACCCATGAACTGCCCAGGACACTGGTATTCGGCAGCTTTGAATTTCTACTGAAGATTTTCACATGCTACAATTCATCCTGGGTTCTTCCCTCCTTTAACAACATTTTCATTAAAAACAAATTATGTGATCAGAAGAGCATTTAAACGCAACATCTTTGTATTATATCTTCTGCACCTGATTAGATCCCCACTTTTTTTTTTTTTTTTTTTAAAGAGGTCTTCCAACTGGAGTGCAGGTATGCGATTATAGCTCACTGCAGCTGGGACTGCAGGTATATGCCACCATGCCCAGCTAATTTTTAAAATTTTATTTCTGTAGAGATGAGGTCTTGCCACGTTGCTCAGCCTGGTCTCAAACTCCTGGCCTCAAGCGGTCCTTCAACCTTGGCTTCCCAAAGCGCTGGGATTACAGGCATGAGCCACTGTGCCCAGCCAGATCTCCAGATCTGTGGGCATTCAGTAATGGTACTGGGATCATAGCAATGACCAAGGCAGACTATAAAACAGGAAGATGAAATATGGGGGTGTAACAAATTACCTAGTGTGTTGTTGTTTTAAAGAAACCTGTTCTGTCAAAACCTGCTAATGACTCAGCATTCTTGGAAAATGTTCCTTGTCATGAGGCCGCTCTGCTTTCTATCTTTGAAAGTTGGGTGAAGAACAGCTTAAGGGAAGACACAGGAGAGCTGTGGATACAGGTAGCTTAGTGTCTGCAGCTCCTACTAGCCAGGCCTGGAGGGCAGAGGAGGTGAGAGAAGAATCTTTGTGAAGAAGCTGTATTATAGGCTAGGGGACCAACCAAGTTCATTCTTAATTTTCCCAGATTCTTCAGTTGTTGGAATACGTTTTTTAATTCTTCACTGTGGTTCATTGAGTTATAACTTATTTGCTGTTTTATTCATGCAAGTGCTTTTACTGCTGTATGTAGCCCAGAATTTGAGAAATGTTGCTTGGATGGACAGCTAGAATCAGTGGCTTTTTGACAACCTTTCGTGTAATTAAATATAGCATTACAGAAGCAGTTTTATTCTTAAGTGTCCGTGGACTTTTCTTTTTCTCTTCAGCCTTATGTTTGATCATCGGCCAAGGTCCTGGCGAGAACTGCCTCTGCGGCTAGCTGATTTTGGGGTACTTCATAGGAACGAGCTGTCTGGAGCACTCACAGGACTCACCCGGGTACGAAGATTCCAACAGGATGATGCTCACATATTCTGTGCCATGGAGCAGGTATGAGACCCTGGGAATAAAATACTTAGAAAGAAGAGTCAAGAAAGTCAAGGAAAATAACTACTGTTTCTTTTTTTGTTTTTTAATTTGAAGATTGAAGATGAAATAAAAGGTTGTTTGGATTTTCTACGTACGGTATATAGCGTATTTGGATTTTCTTTTAAACTAAACCTTTCTACTCGCCCGGAAAAATTCCTTGGAGATATCGAAGTATGGGATCAAGCTGAGAAAGTAAGTGGTGTTTTTCAGCGTGCTTTTGAATACTGTTTGAAATTGGCTTGTTCTGAGATGTAAGAAAGCCAAGCCTCTTTAAATGGATAAAAGCAAAATGAAATTGGAAATGGTTCCTAGGTTTGTGTAAGCTAGTTTTTTTCTTTATGATTGTGTATTTTTGAAATGGTTGAATGTTTTCATGACTTTTTTCAGTTATCAAGCTATAAGCTTTAAAAAGGGGTTGGTATGAGCATATGTTCAGGTGGACAAAATTCTAAAGCAGAGAATATTGATCTATGAAAGTAATTACTGTATTTTTAGTCTCAAATTAGGCTAAAAGAAGGGAAATTGCGATGAAAAAAATAAAAATCATTTTGCTTTATCCTCAGCAACTTGAAAACAGTCTGAATGAATTTGGTGAAAAGTGGGAGTTAAACTCTGGAGATGGAGCTTTCTATGGCCCAAAGGTGAGCACTAAAGTACATTTGGGTAATATGATTTTCACTTGTGGATGAAGAAGATACGACTTCGAAAAAAGTTGGAAAAAAGAAAATCAGCCCTAATCCAACTATTGAGCTCCACTTTAGTATCACTGGCATTTTATAATAACCCAGTCTTTGCTTCTTAGATTGACATACAGATTAAAGATGCGATTGGGCGGTACCACCAGTGTGCAACCATCCAGCTGGATTTCCAGTTGCCCATCAGATTTAATCTTACTTATGTAAGGTGAGTTTCTGGTGTCTGCTCTGAATATTCTCCAGGGATATATAAGAGAAAATATATATAATAAGACAAAACAATTTTTTTTTTCTTTATAGCCATGATGGTGATGATAAGAAAAGGCCAGTGATTGTTCATCGAGCCATCTTGGGATCAGTGGAAAGAATGATTGCTATCCTCACAGAAAACTATGGGGGCAAATGGTAATTTTTGTCACTGTCTTTTTTTTCTGATTAGTATAAATTGGCTACAAGAAATGTCTACTTTTCGATTTAATTATCAGATGGAAAGGGAGAATGATTCCAATCGGTTGCTTCTAACTAACGACAAGTGTTCATTAAAAAATAAGGAATCACAATCTAAACACAAACTTTTTAGCATTAAGAACAATTGCTAATAGTAATTACTTTAATTCCAGAACTTGATTTGTTTGGATGTTGTGTAATACTTTCTAATTAGGAATTAGTATTCTGTAAGAAGTATACTTACTGTTTTGGATGCTTTTCTAGTAACTTTGTTTTGGGATTTAGATGGCTTTGCTGGTTTTACATAGATAAATGAGGAGGCTTATGGCTTTCTTCGTTCAGCCTTGCTAATCATAACAAGCAGGTATTTGGACATGTTTTAAAAGCCAAGCATTTTTTAAAACAGATGCCAAACCGATCAACATTTGTGATTCATTTCTGTGAGGTTAAGTAAGTTTTTGTTTCCAAGATACATGGCCACATAACTTTCATCTTAATTCTTAAGCAGTTTTTTCTGGACCCACAGTGCATTTGAAAGCAGCACAGGGTTATAAAAGCACCCGTGTGTAGAGCCTTCCATATTAATCATATTGATTTAAAACTTTTGTAAAATGACGTACATTGGTTTAATCTTACACATTACTGTCATTTCAGTTTTATTTGAACTTGGTTACTTCAGAAATTAGGACAGTTTCTCATTCTGATCAATGATACAAGATAATCTCTAGATTTCTCAAAGTCAGATAAAATGTGAGACACATTCTCTGCAAGGTATTTCAAGAATTAAGGGAGTCCTCAGCTAATTGCTCTGCTAAACCTGTTTTAGGTGGGGAAAAGTCCATGATTAGGGTAGAATTTAGTGCCTACTTTAGCCTTTTGCCTGATACAACAGAACAACTGAAAATAGAGGAATGATGGAGAAAAACATTAGCCTGATGTTTGCAGCATCAGAAGCATTTGACACTTGTATTGCTTCAAAGGGAGAATTGGATGGGCTTATTTTTTAATAAGTAGTGAAAACTCTGATTTTTACCAAGTGCCATAACCAGTTATTATCAATTACAATTTGCTGAATGATACAAAATGGATGTTGAGTAAACTGAGGGCACTGTGTCCCCGTGAAGAATAAGTAATAAAATGAACAATTAATCACTACATGCAGTTATTAAATCATTTGTTACCTCCTCTCACAGCCAATACACAGTGTTTTGTGATGTATTAAAGTGTGAGGCCTAGTCCTATCCTCAATTTGCTTTGCTATCTACTTAGCAAGACAAATTGTAGTTACAGGCTTTCCTTACGTAGGGTTAGTTTTCTTCTCCTGCATCTCCTCGCCTTAATCTTTATTGGATAGGTCTTTTCATTTTGGGGTTTTTTAAAGCCAAGTTTTAAAAGTAGTCGTTACATGTTCCAGGAAAAGATACTGAAGAGTAGAGTAAGAAATATGCTGTCCCTGTTTAGTGAATATGCCCACATCTACACTGAATATTTTTATTCTCTTCCAAAGGCCCTTTTGGCTGTCCCCTCGCCAGGTAATGGTAGTTCCAGTGGGACCAACCTGTGATGAATATGCCCAAAAGGTAAGCCTTAGATATGAATTTTCTTTCAATTTAACATCTGTTGTTCAGCTTTTCAAATCACATAAGCCCTGTATTCTTGGTGAATCGAGCTGTTGTGATAAAGAGAAATGTTACTATTTTTAATCTTTGTTAAGCCTGAATAGATTATATTACTTCTTTAATGCTTTTCTCCATGATTCCATAATCAGAAGACATATTTGGATAGTGTTTTATGTACACTTGTATATTTTATTGTATTTGTTTTAAGAGATGGGATCTTTCTCTTGCCCCAACTGGAGTGCAGTAGTACAGTCATGGCTCACTGTAACCTCAAACTCCTGGGCTCACGCAGTCCTCCCACCTTGGCCTCCCGAGTAGCAGTGACTACAGGCAGGAGCCACCATACCCAGTTACACTTGTATATTTTAGTATTTAGTATTTTAAAAAACCAGATTAGCAGATATCAGGTACTTCAGTATGGTAGGTAAATTCCCGTTCAAAATACAGTTTAGGCTGCTCTTTGACTCAGTGAGTAATTTTGCTTCATTTTAATGTAAATTTCTTCAGGTAGTTGAAATTTTTTCAGGTTAATAGTATAGCAGACCAATGTCTTGCCTCTCTACCAAAAAAACTAACTTACCAACAAATGTATAGCCATTCATAACTTCACTTTAAAGCATTGTTCTGCCATAGTGAAAATTCCATACTAAGGAATTTCAAATTATTAAAAGTTGATGAGTGAACAATACTGTAACATCAAAACCATCATGTCTTCAGACCATCAGAATAAACCACACTCAGTTCTTAATTACCCTTAAGAAATAAATGAACTTGAGCATGGAGATGCATACCTGTAGTCCCAGCTACTTAGGAGCTTGAGGCAGGAGGATCTTTGAGGGTTCAGGGTGTGATGATTGTGCTTGTGAGTAGCCACTGCATTCCAGCCTGAGCAACATAGTGAGACCCCATCTCTTAAAAAAAAACTGAAGTGGGCCAGGCGTGGTGGCTCACGCCTGTAATCCCAGCACTTTGGGAGGCCGAGGCGGGTGGATCACGAGGTCAGGAGATCAAGACCATGGTGAAACCCCGTCTCTACTAAAAAATACAAAAAATTAGCTGGGCGCAGTGGCGGGCACCTGTAGTCCCAGCTACTCAGGAGGCTGAGGCAGGAGAATGGAATGAACCCAGGAGGCGGAGCTTGCAGTGAGCCAAGATCATGCCACTGCACTCCAGCCTGGGTGACAGAGCAAGACTCCATCTCAAAAAAATAAATAAATAAAAACAAATAAATAAATAAAAAAAATGAAGTGAACACTAAACCATCTAATAGATAAACCATTCAGACTATTCCTGTTACTGCACTCAGTAGTTTTAGTTACAAATGATGACAATCAAAGTTATGTTCCATGGTTGAGTGCACTTTGTCTTATTTGTATGTGAAAACTCACACAGTAGGAAGAAGTTCTGTATTGGTTAACTGAGTTCTCAACTGGAGACAGCACTGACTTCCCCATTTCCCTTTGCGGGTAGGTGGCATTCCAGATTATGTGGTGGTAAGCTTTTCTTTTGCGGGGAGAGAAGACAGGGCAGTACTCCTGATACCTAATAACTATAGAGCAGACATGTTAAACACCCTGTAATTATCAGGCCACTTCCCCAACTGCAGAATTGCCCATCTCACGTGCACACACAGGACCCATGTTGAGAAAAATGAAGAAACTGATGCCTTATTCTTTAAAGTAGTTATAAGTTGAAGATGTAGACCTATCTTGGCATTCTAAAATTCTGTAACAACCCTTCTGAAATGGGTGTAATAAAATGTCAACAGGTTAATTGGTTCGTGATCACTGTGGCTTAAAAATCTAGTTAAAATGCTAAGACTTGTGCACAGTATAGGCAAAGTCACTTAGATTGTTTCAAAAAGTATGCCTTATAGAAATAAACATTTGACATACATAAATAACCCTTGGTTTACACATAACTCGCATTTGAGAAATGAATGTGTTGTAGATCATTTAGAATCTTTTTCAATCAAAAATTGAAAGAAATATTTCGTCACCCAGGTCAACCAGAGATTGCTGGTTTTACTCATGATACTTAAGTAGAGTATGATAGTTACTATTTCACCTTCAGCTGTACTTAAGATGTTTTCCTGGAAAAATTCATTCTGCTTTCTGACCAGGATTTCCAGAAACTCTGACCCTTCTAAGAGGTCTGGGTGGAATTGTGATGGTGATTCTGCTAGTAGACAGTGTAACTTCTGCGTCTACAAAAAGAGGATAGGCCGTCACTGCTCACATGGCTTTGCGTGAAAGCCCAATGGTACTGTCTCTATGGCAGAGATGAGGAAGGAACACCAGCGTCCTCCAACTTTCCTGTTCTTCCTTTGGGTTAATGGCCACTGTAAGGAAACAGTTTTCTGCCACGTGTGGGGTGATTTGAATGTAAAATGCCCAACTCTCATAGCAGGCTGAACAGAAACATTTTTTATACTCATTGTTAATTTGTTCTAATCTAAATTACTTTTAGACTATTAAATATTATTCTATTTTAAAGTTAAGGGACTAATGCCTCTGATAACCTGATTAAAAAAAAAAACTTTCTGATACTCAGAAGTTAAGATTTATTCAGTTGAAGATCATTTCTTTCAGGTGTTGATCGTGTGATATTTTTCACATCTGTAATCTGAGGTTCATATGAAATGATAGTGAAATAAAATTGTTCATTTAGGTCTTTTTGTCATGTTAATATGTTATCAGGTTAATGGGAAGTTTAATCTAGTTAATGTAAAATTAATAAATTGTAATCTAGTTTATTGCTTTTTTGGAAAAGAATACTGAAAACATTGTTTACTTAATACACATGACCTGAGGTAATAAAGAGGAGCTGGCCTTTTTGAGGGGGGAATAATGGCAGTGAATAATATTATCTAAGACAGTTTTGCCAGCTTTAAATTCCTGGAAGTTCATCCAAGAAGTCCTGATCCCTGTGTTCAGTAAAATCATGTGAGATCAAAATATAATTCTGATTTTAGATCTGACAAATTCTGTATCTCTGTTACAATAGGTACGACAACAATTCCACGATGCCAAATTCATGGCAGACATTGATCTGGATCCAGGCTGTACATTGAATAAAAAGATTCGAAATGCACAGTTAGCACAGTATAACTTCATTTTAGGTAAGAATGGAAACTTACCAAAGAAAATTTGCCACACCTCAGGAAAATCTACTGAAACCTTGAGACAGGTTTAAGTGAATTGTAATCAAGAATTTATTTAGTTCCTTCCAGTCCTGATTTTTTTTCTATTATATATTTTAATATATAATAACTATAAAAATAGGCTCATGCATACATACTGGGTTTTTTTTTTTTTCACTTAAATCATGGATGTCTGTGAGAAAATATTTTGCTATTATAACAAGAATGAAGACGCATTGCTTTTAAACACATCTATTGGATTACTTTCTCAAGATAATGCCTTATGTGGGATTACTTGAAAAAAGATATTCATGATGTTTGGGGTTTTATTATTTGGTTGTTACGTTGTCTAGATTGACTCCATAAGCACAGTAGTTTTAGATATTGCAAAGAGTTTCTTTTAAATATCAACACATGGTCACTTGTACCTTTTAATGTATCAGAAGCTATGGGGTAGGTTTTGGGTCCTAGGATCATTTCTTTTCAGATGTTCAGTGTGAATTCTTCCATATCTTTAGATTAAGTCTGACAAAGCTTTGTGTGTTTGTTTTAGTTGTTGGTGAAAAAGAGAAAATCAGTGGCACTGTTAATATCCGCACAAGAGACAATAAGGTCCACGGGGAACGCACCATTTCTGAAACTATCGAGCGGCTACAGCAGCTCAAAGAGTTCCGCAGCAAACAGGCAGAAGAAGAATTTTAATGAAAAAATTACCCAGATTGGCTCCATGGAAAAGGAGGAACAGCGTTTCCGTAAAATTGACTTTGTACTCTGAAAACGTCAATTTATATTGAACTTGGAGGAGTTTGGCAAAGTCTGAATAGGTCAACCTGCAGGCGTAACTATTTTTGACCTAGTCAGTTTTTAAACAATGTGCATTTGAAGGAGTTAATTAAAAGAGAGCCAATAAAATGATTTTACTCATTCAGTATCTGAGTACTGGAAGTGAAACATGAGGAATGCTTTAGTGTAATGTGGGAGAACTTTTTTGTAAATTTAATGCAATTGAAAAAGTTTTCAAATTCAATTAAGATAACTAGAATTGGATTATGGTGTAAAAATAAAAAAAAAATTTATTCACATAAGTTTCAAGACTGCTCTGTCCCTCACATGTACACATACATGCCTGAGACAGATAATGTGGTTCAGTATTTATCTTTACAGTTTTACAGCAAATATAATGCAGGGTGGATGGAGACGGGGTAGGTCTGCAGCATCATAATGCTATTCATAAACTGGGTGTGAGCTGGGTGCTGGCTTCTCAGAGGATAAACACTTTTGGGAGTGTCATTTTTACTTAATGTTGGATGGACACCTTTTCAAACAAAAACTACCATGGATCTATTACAGAGTAGATTTGCACAAATGTTTAAGATAAAACGTGAATCTTCAGAGAAATATCTGTTTATGGCAGACTGTTCTGGACCATAGAATCACTTGGTTTACAAATTCCCTATTTTCTCATAAGGGATCATTTTCAAAATCTTCTACCAATAAATGGTGATTGAAAGGACAGCACAAAGTAAATAATTTCTTATGTGGATAAATACTAATTCCTCCTTGTTAGAATGATATTTTAAAAGTAACATCTTTTTTTTAATTTTTTTTGAGACAAGATCCTTTGTCCCCCAGGCTGGAGTGTGGTGCCATGATCTCGGCTCACTGCAACCTCAGCCTCCCAAGTAGGTGGGACTAAAGACATGTGCCACCATGCCTGGCTGATGTTTGTATTTTCTATAGAGATGGTTTCATCATGTTGCCCAGGCTGGTATCAAACTCCTGGATAAAAGAGACCCACCTGCCTCAGTCTCCCAAAGTGCTGGGATTACAGGTGTGAGCCACCACGCCCAGCCTAAAAAGCAACATCTTGTCAGTGCTATAATCTCAAATAGCTTGTTTGCAAGGTGTGATGGTTAATACTAAGTGTCAACTTGATTGGATTAAAGGATGCCTTTATTGTTTCTGGGTGTGTCTGTGAGGGTGTTGCCAGAGAGATTGACATTTGAGTCAGTGGCCTGGGAGAGGCAGACACACCCTCTGTGTGCGTGGGCACCATCCAGTCGGCTGCCAGTGCAGCTAGAACAAAGCGGGTGGAAGAAAGTGGGATTAAGTTGGCTTGCTGAGTCTTCTGGCTTTCATCTTTCTCCTGTGCTGGATGATTCCTGCCCTTGGACATCAGACTCCAGGTTCTTCAGCTTTTGGACTCTTGGACTTATACCCGTGGTTTGCCAGGGGCCTTCTGGCCTTTGGCCATTGACTGGAGATGGCACTGTCGGCTTCCCTGCTTTTGAGGCTTGGACTCGGACTGAACCACTACTGGCTTCCTTGCTCCTTAGCTTGCAGACAGCCTATCGTGGGACTTCACCGTGTGCTTGTGTGAGTCAATTCTTACTAAATTTCCTTTCATATATACATATATCCTATTCTGTCTCTCTGGAGAACCCTGACTAATACACAAGGGTCACTTCAAAGAGAAGCTAATTTGCATAGATTAATTTTCACTTTAATAAAGGAGCTAAGATCTTTAATCATAGAGGGCTTTTCTTTTGAAACTTTATAATTAAGCCTTGCTTCTGAACAGCTTTAAAATTAACTTTTGTGATAGAGTTGTAATTTTTATGTGTCTGAAAGAAACTTAATTTTATACTTAAACCAGACTCAACATTTAGAGAAGCTTTATAAATCTTTCAAAACTTGGGATAAAAAAGTGTAATAAAGACATAGTTTAGTGGGACTGGAAATCAAAGGTTTCTCTTGATCTAACTAACACCTACTTAGCTTAGTCCTCACTTCTAGTGGAATCATTAGAGGGCCACTGTCTTGATGGGAGGGTTCTTGTGTGGGGTTTTTTTTTTTTTTTTTTTTGAGACAGGGTCTTGCTCTGTCACCAAAGCTGGAGAGCAGTGGCACAGTCAGGGCGCACTGCTGCTTTAAACTCCCGGATTCAAGTGGTCCTCCCACGGCAGCCTCCCGTGTAGCTGGGACTACAGGTGCATGCCACCACACTTGGCTAATTTTTTTTTTGTTTTATTTTTTGTAGAGATGAGGTTCCTACTATGTTGCCCAGGCTGGTCTCAAACTCGTGGGTTCAAGCAGTCTTGCTGCCTCAGCCCCACAAAGTGCTGTGATTACAGGTGAGAGCTACCACACCCAGGACCACTCTCTAAGAGCTACTATAATTGTGGGTTTACGCCATCTAAGTTCTTATCTGTAATTTTGTTTTCCTCCCTTTCCTGGACAGTGGAGACTGATCTGCTTACAGTTCTTCATGCATCAGTTCTGGCATATAACTTGAAGATTTGAAAGAACCCAATTGCTAAGCTTTCTTGAGCATCTAGTCTATTGTGAGTTATATGGTCTTGATAATTAAATAAACAGGAACAATTTGAGAACAATAATACCTGCAACTGCCACGTGACAAAATCTGTAAAGATAGATTTTGCGAAGTAGAGAGGTAAAACTCAAACCAGATGGTGAAAAAAGTGATGACCAGGGCAGGAAATTTGAGAAACAAGATTAAGGCTTGCCAGAAATACAGCAGTGATGTTAAGAAGGTATAAGGGTAAAGGGTGAAGTTACCTCAAATGATGGGCTGAGTTCAGAATCTTGTGTACTTCATGAATCTTGCTTCAGTTCCTCACCTTTACTACAGCGATAGACACCTGCACCTTATCTCAGGCCCCCTGCACTGTGACTACTAGACAAATGCTTCTCAAATTACAATGGCCATATGAATCACCAGGAGATGGCGTTAAAATGCAGGCTGATTCTGTAGGTCTGGGCTGGATTGGAGACACTGTATTAACAAGCTCCCAGTTGATGTTGAGAAACACACTTTGAATAGAAGGCCGTCATTCCCACTCTGACTGTCCTTATTCTGTTCTGCCTAAAAAAAAAATAAAAAATAAAAAATAGGGAAAAAAGGCTTATAAGGAAACCAACTTTTTGTCCTTTTGACCTCCATCTCTCTTCCTCTTGCTGAGGCAACCACTTTCAGACACACCAGTGTATATCTCTTTTCCTATTTCTAAATACTATTGCAATCTCATTATTTTTAATAGCGATGCCCAGGCCACAGTGTGGTGGCTCATAGCTCACTGCAGCGTCAAACTCCTTAGCTCAAGCAGTCCTCCTGCCTCAGCCTCCCAAGTAGCTGGGACTACAGGTATATACCACCATGCCTGGCTAATTTTTTTGACTTTTTATTTATAGAGATGGGATCTCACTGCGTTGCCCAGGCTAGTCTTGAACTCCTGGCCTCAAATGATCTTCCCACTTCAGCCCCCAACATAGTTGAGATTGCAGGAGTGAGCCACTATGCCTGATTGTTGCTGTCTCTTTTTTCATTACTCTTAGAACCCCTCTCTTGACTTCCTGTTTCAGAAAATGAGGAATTTATTTCACAATCTATTTCTTCCCTCCATCCTTATGATGTCATATCTCAATTTTTTGTGAAATCCATATTAGGTGCCTTTGTTATTATGACCATAAATATTATGCTCTAATAAGCCACGTAGTATTGTATTCTATGATTACTTTTTTTTAAAGTACTTTTCTGTATGAGTTATTGGAGTTAATAATCATTCTTTTCTTTTAAAATGTTTTCTTTAGGCCAGGCATGGTGGCTCGTGTCTGTAATCCCAGCACTTTGGGAGACCAAAGTGGGTGGATCACTTGAGGCCAGGAGTTCAAGACCAGCCTGGCCAACGTGGTGATTCCTCGTCTCTACGCAAAATATAAAAATTAGCCAGGCCATGGTGGCGCATGTCTGTAACCCCAGCTACTTGGGAGGCTGAGGCAGGAGAATCGCTTGGACCTAGGAGGCAGAAGTTGCAGTGAGCCGAGATTGTGCCACTTCACTCCAGCCTGGGTGACAGAGTGAGACCCTGTCTCAAAAATAAAAAATAAAAAATGTTTTCTTTGGCTGGGTGTAATGGTTCACTTCTGTAATCCCAGCACCTTGGGAGGCCACGGTGGGCAAATTGCATGAGCTCAGGAGTTCGAGACCAGCCTGGGCAACATGGCAAAACCCCGTCTCTACCAAAAATATAAAAAATTAGCCGGGCATGGTAGCATGCACCTGTAGTCCCAGCTATTCAGGAGACTGAGGTGAGAGGATTGCTTGGAACCAGGAGGTGGAGGTGGCAATGAGCTGAGATCATGCCTCTGTACTCCAGCCTGGGCGCAAGACCCTGTTTGAAAAATAAATAAATAATACAGTAAAATGTTTTCTTTGTGGCTGGGTACAGTGGCTCATGCCTATAATCCCAGAACTTTGGGAGGCTGAAGGAGGAGGATTGCTTGAGGCTAGGAGTTCAAGACCAGCCTTGGCAACACAATGACTTTTTTTCTTAACATTTGGAAGAAATTGCCCCCATTTTCCTCTGCCTTCCTGTGTTTTTATGAGGAAGCCGTTTTTATTTTCATACCTTTGTATGCCACCAGTCATTTTTTTTCTCTGAAAGATTTAGATGTCTTTTCTTGGGCCTAATATTCTAAAATTTCATGACTGTGTCAGTCTTTTGCCTTCCGTCGTGGTGAGCAGTCTTCATTCTGGAGACCTGGATCTTTCAGTTCTAAATACTTTTGTATTTAGTCTTTGGTGGTTTCCTTCCCTACCTTGTTCTCTCCTTAATGGGCCTTCTATTATTTAGGTGTTCTATTTTAAGGGATATTTTCTTAACTTTCTCTTCCCATTTATTCTTCTATTGTGTTTTTAAATTTTTTCACCTGTATTTCTTTTTTAAGTTTTCAGTGTTTCTGTTTATATATCAATGTATCCTGTTTTGGTTACTTGGATTGGATTTATTTCCTTAGAGCATTCATTTTAATCACATTGAAGTTTTATTCAGCATGCTGCATTTTTATTTCTTTTAAGTTTGTTTATTGATATTTTGGTCTCTTTCATATTGTAAGCATGCCTTGAGGGCAAATAGCCTTGCTAGTTGTTGTTACCCCTCCTGCCATTTGCAGGTGCTTAAATTTGACCTTCACTCTGTCTATTGCATCATTTTCTGATACCCCATTCACTTTCCATCTTATAAACCAAAAATAAAATTCTAAGCCCCCCAATCAACTGAATGGACCCCTCCTCTCAGCCAAGGGCCTTCCAAAGTTAACCTAAAAAACGAGTTCAGGCCATAATGGGAAGGCAGTTCAGACATGCCTGATTGTACCCACCTCCCTTTGGAATTCAGGCACAACTGACCTGCATTAACATTAAAACAGAGACCTTAACGACTGACAAAACAGTTTTTCTAGCAATAAGATACCAACATGACAGCAGGCCCTGAAAGAGATTATTTTACCCTAAAAATATATATTTCTTTGACATATTTTCAGATGGCCCTGCAGAACTGTCTGATAAGGGAAAATCTACATTCTACAGAGAATCCCCTTCCCTTTCCAAGTCTTTAATCCCAGAGAGAATTAATTAAGAGTCTGGCACCTTTTTAAATCTTAAAAGAAAATTTTGCCATCTATTCTCTCTGAAGCCTGCTACCTGGAGGCTTTGTCTATTATACATAAGAAGGACCTTGGTCTCCACAACCCCTTATCGTAATCCAGACACTCATTTCTATTGATTCCAGGTTTTTAGATAATAACTCTTTCAACCAATTGCCAATCAGAAAATCTTTAAATCATATATAGCCTGCAAGCCCTCATCTGGCATTGTCCTCTCTTTCCATACTGAACCAATGTACATCTTACATGTATTGATTGATGTCTTATGTCTCCCTAAGATGTATAAAATCAAGCTGTAGCCTGACTACCTTGGGTACATGTTCTTAAGATCTCTGGGGGCTGTGTTTTGGGCCAGGGTCACTCATATTTGGCTCAGAATAAGTCTCTTCAAATATTTTACAGAGTTTGACTCTTTTTGTTGGCAATCTTCAGAGATTGTGGTTTGGGGTTACAAATGTCTCCTGGCATGTCAGACTGCTTATTGCTCCACTAACTTCTTCTTGCACTCAGATTTAGTTGAGGAAGACAGTGTGCCCTAGGAGCACCCGTGAGATAGATTTGGCCAGTGAGATAGGAGTGGAAGTCCCTGGGTAGTGTTTCTTGGAAAGCTTACTAAATGGAATAAATTTTTGCCCTTTATTTGCCCTTCTTTGCCTTTCTTCCTCTTTTTGCTTAGAAGGCAATCCGGCAGCCATCTTGCAACTACAAGGTGACCATGAAAATGAAAACCACAGGTTAGTGGAGAACAGGATGATAGAAAGAGTTTGGATTATTGATAATGTGGTGGATGCACTGAATCTACCTGGACTGCCTAATTCTGCATTTTTGTATGACAGAAATAAAAGCCAACTTCACTGAATTACTGTGGTCAGATTTCTGGTCCAAAGATGGACAACTTCTTCTGTCTTTGTTTCAAGATTAATTTTGAGCAAACAGGGTTGAAACTCCTCTGCCACAGCTGGGCCTGGTGGCTCCCGCCTGTAGTCCCAGCTTCTCAGGCCACTGAGGTGGGGGGATTGGTTGAGCCTAGGAGTTCCAGGGTATAGTGAGCTATGATTGCACCTCTGCACTCCAGCCTGGGCAACAGAGATCCTGTCTCTAAAAAAAATTGGAAATTAAAATTTTAAAAAGTTGTATTAGTCCATTCTCATGCTGCTATGAATAAACATCGGAGACTGAGTAATTTATAAAGCAAAGAGGTTTAATTGACTCACAGTTCCGCAGGGCTGGGGAAGCCTCAAGACACTTAAGAATCATGGTGGAAGGGGAAGCAAACACGTCCTTCTTCACATGGCAGCAGGAAGAAGAAAAATGAGCAAAAGATGGAAAAGCCTCTTATAAAACCATTAGATCTTGTGAAAACTCACTCACTATCATGAGAACAGCATAAAGGTAACCACCCCCATGATTCAATTACCTCCCACAGGGTTCCTCCCATGATGTGGGGATTATAGGAGCTACAATTCAAGATGAAATTTGGGTGGGGACACAGCCAAACCATATCAAAAGTCCTCTGCCATGTCTGGTCTTTTAATTCCTTTGTTCCCCAACCTTCCACCCCTGATTGTCTCCTGCCCTGTCCCCCTTTTGTTTCTCTTCCTCAATAAGCCTTAATTTCCATGGCCAATCACTTATAAACCTCTTTTTCCAGTAATCCCAATTTCCATGCATCCATGTCCTGCTTGATTCATTGAACAAATGCTGAATGTTTCTCCAAATTCTACAGTTAAGAGACTGAGCACTGTTAGAGAAAACAGTCTAGAATTTTAAGAACTGGAGCTACTTCCAATTTGTTATCTCCAGCTTCAGCTGCACCATAATTTATCTCTATATGTAGTTTCCTTATCTAGTCCCTCAAGTCCCTCAGTAACTGTCACTACGTTCTTCAGATACCTACGTCTCCCCAAGATTGAATTTCCCTAAGAGCCTATAGAAAGCACATAACTTTATATTTTCAAATGTCACTTCACTTTTCGTCTACTCCCTGCACTATCAGCTGACTGTTTGCTTTCCTCCTACTTCATTAAATCTAGAAACTTGTATTAGTGTTTCCCTCCTTCCCTCCAGTAAATGAGGTCTTCTCCCTCCTTTTAAGTCCAACCATTCTACTGGACCTCTCGATCCTCTGATATAGAACCAAGGTAATGAGCTTTGGAGCCAGTTGAGTTGCTATTCTGTCTCTTCTTAGTTGGATAACCCACCATTTAATTTCTCTGAACCTCTTTACTTACCCATAAAATGTGAATAAAACCTTGATATGGTTTTGCTCTGTGTCCCTACCCAAATCTCAGGTGGAATTGTAATTCCTAGTGTTGGAGGAAGGGCCAGGTGGGAGGCGATTGGATCATGCGGGTGGATTTCTCCCTTGCTGTTCTTGTTATAGTGAGTTAGTTCTCACGAGAGATGGTTGTTTGAAAGTGTAGAGTACTTCCTCTTTGTTCTCTCTTCCTCCTGCCACCACGTAAGATGTGCCTTGCTTCCCCTTTGCCTTCCACCATGATTGTAAGTTTCCTGAGGCCTCCCCAGCCATGCGTAACTGTGAGTCAATCAAACCTCTTTTCTATATAAATTAACCAGTCTTGAGCAGTTCTTTATAGCAATGTGAGAATGGACAAATACATACCTCTTTCATTGAATCAGTAATAGCAATCAGTGGGCCTTATATAAAGTATACAAAAAGTAATGCTATTATTTTCATCTGCTCCCATACCTGATTCAACAGTTATCCCCTATATATCATCAACTTCTTCCCTAATTGCTTTCTACCTATAAACCTAAAAGTACCAACATCTTTTCTATTCCAGTGTATTCTGTGTCCCTGATATTCTGACTTCAGCTCTCACCACACAATTCAAATGGTGCTTGCCAAAGACCAAAGATACTCTGTGTTGCATTTGGCAACTCTCTCTGCCTTCACGTCTTTGCCAATGCTGCCTATGAAAGCTGGCATCTCCATCATGATCCAGCCGCATCTCTCTGCTGACTGGACTCGCCCAGTACCTTCTTCTTCCCAGTGAAAATAATGCTCCTTGTGCACTAGTTTTAAGGGAAGTTGGTGGAAGGCTTCCATCTTGAAGAGAAGATGAATAATGGGGGAAATTCCCCAAATGTAGTTTAGGGGATCCCTTTTAGGTCTTAGTGGGCTTTTTAGCTGGGTCTAGAAATCAAATTAATACCAGGCAGATTAACAAGAGAAAAGCACGTAAATTTTATTAGCTTTACATGTATGTGGAAACCACCTTTGCAAAAATTATGACAGCGAGAGAAGTCTAGCAAAGTTGACTCTGTTTTGTTTCTAGGCTCACAGGCTGACTGTTCTAACTCATTCCCGGGTGTAGGCCAAGCTAGCCATGGGAGGAATTTAGTTTATAGCTTAACTTTGAGGCAAGGATGATAATAGTCCCTCCCTAAAACTAACTCCCTACTTGCTTAGGAACCAAAGCCACCTTTGTAAACTAATGAAAGGCCATGAAATTAGGATTATGGGAGGAGCCTGAATTCTGCTAGGATTCTGGTAGGAACAGTTTCTGTAATCCATTACTGCTTGAGAGTCAAGTGGCCAGAGGTCACAAGATTCAAGACTTCCCCAATTGCTCCTATAGATAACATCACTATTGTAGAACCTAAGATTGATCTTTTGAGATTTTTTTCAGACTTTCGCATTCTGGTAGCCAACTGACCCCAGCCGGACCTGGGACTCATGACTCAGCCAGTCCTGTGGCCCTCACCCAAAGGCTGACTCCACACAGGAGAATCATTTTCCACACCCCTATGATTTCATTTCCAGCCAATCAGTGGCACTGGTTCCCTAGCCCGCTGCCCACCAAATTAGCCCTAAAAACCCTATCCTCTGAGTTCTCAAGGAGACTGATTTGAGTAATATTAATAACTCTAGTCATTCTTGGCTAGCTCTGCAATGATAAAACTCTTTCTCTACAGCAATATTATGGTCTTCGTGAATTGGTTTTGTCTGTGCAGTGGGCAGGAAGAACCTGTCAGGCAATTATAGATGGAGATTTTCACAAGAGAGTGAAGTCTGAAGAAGTGGTCAAAGAAAAATGCTTTTATACTTTTTAGACGAAGAATGATAAATTTGAGAAGCAATGACAGAACAAAGGGGGTCTGGCTAGGAGCAGCAAATTTCTTTTTTTTTTTTTTTTCTTGAGACAGAGTCTCGCTCTGTCACCCAGGCTGGTGTGCAGTGACACGACCTCGGCTCACTGCAACCTCCGCCTCCTGGGTTCAAGTGATTCTCCTGCCTCAGCCTCCCGAGTAGCTGTGATTACAGGCACGCACCACCATGCCCTGCTAATTTTGTATTTTCAGTAGGGACGGGGTTTCACCATGTTGATCAGACTGGTCTTGAACTCCTGACCTTGTGATCCACCCACCTCAGCCTCCCAGAGTGCTGGGATTACAGGCATGAGCCACTGCGCCTGGCCTGGAGCAGCAAATTTCCAGGGAAGTCACTACAAAATATGTGAGTGTGGGTGTGTGTGAAACTAGTGGAAGATAAGGATTATTTCTATAAGTATATTTATTCAGGTCTATTGCAGTGCCCAGTTCCCAGTCTGGTGATAAGAGCTATTTTCTCACCCTGGTATAAGAAGTGTACCCCTTCATGGCTTGCTGCCTGCAGGAAGACACAGTCAGCTAGCTCTCTCTGAAACTACAATTTCTTTAATGTTTTCAACTTGAAATAATCAATATACCAATTTTGCATATTTTGGGATGGTACGTTCTTTACCTTTACAGTAGGAACAGAGCTCAAAAACTATTGAGTAACCAAAAAGCATGACCAACATCTATTCCCCTTACATTATCCCATACGCAGAAATCCAGGAGACTGAAATTTAATATATTAATGCATTTGATTTACATGCGTGTACTCAGACATCACAGAACCAGAGTACCACCCTAAGCTAATTTACTATTAAGCTTCTTGTAATAAATAATTACTTTCAAAAAAATTCAACTCTGGGAAGTTACAATTGTTACTGTGTTCATGGCTCTGGAAATGGGTATGTGATATTAAATTAGTCACTGAGTATTAATTCAATGTGCAGCTAACTGGGAAGTTTGCTTGAATAAGTTGTCTTGAGGGTTTTTTTTTTTTTTTTTTTTTTTGGTGGGGGAAGAGAGAGTGATTGGGCAGAGGTCAGACTCTTCTTCATAAGTGTTTGTTTTTCAAAGATTAGCCTTTATAACACCATTTCTAAATCACCTGGAATTCTCATTAAAATCCTAGGCTGATCTCTGACCTAAAAAAATCAATGGAGGAGAGGGAGTCTAGAATATATATGTTTTAACAAGCTTCTTAAGTAATTTCTTCCACTCTTTGAAGTTAGAGAGCTACTGTTTTATGTGAGAAATGCAGATACCTTGATGGAATATTAATTTAAAATTTTAAAGTTAATTATTTAATATATAAGGTGGTGTTCACATTGGTATATTTAATCTGTTGATTTGGAATAAAGTCTGCTACATACATTCTAGTCCACAAATTCTAAAGGGAACACATTTTACTTTTGTTAGCACATTTGAATTTCATATGCCTAACGTTTCCTAGCACTTATCAGTGCTCATTTCTCTAAGCTGGTGGCTACAATCAGGGCACAGCTTCTTACCTAAGCCACTAAAAAATTATCTTTGCTAGAACTGGAAATAGGGCTTATTTTCCCTCCTCCTGGGCTTTAGCCTCTAATTGTCACTTATTTCTTGAAATTTAAAAGTCATTCTCTTTCCAAGAAAATACTCCACAACTTTTCCTATTAGGTAATGTTTTGAAACCAGTGTTTCTCAAACTTCAGTGTGCGTCGGAAAAATCTAGGCTTGTGGAGTCTGCAGGTTTTCTGATTCAGTCATCATGGGCTGGGATAGGTGACCTGCACTTTGGGCATTTGCCCCAGTGGATTGCTGGTGCAAGGACCGCGCTTCAAACTCCACTTGGGCAGTCCTAGCTCCTCATGTTGTGGTTATTCTGCCATAATCATGATGAAGATAATTCAGTTGCCTAAGAAAGATTGTAACAAATTTGTCTCAGACTCATGAAGAATGCAGACAAGTTGAAGTCATCAAAGTGTTGTATTCAGATGGACAGAAACTCCAGGGCTGTGCAGCTGTGTGGGCTGAGCCTGTAGAGATGCTTCAGTGAGCTGTGGAGGGGGAGATGAATTCTAGGTATGCGCTGGATGATTTAGTAAGACCATAAAAACCCATATATCAACATTTGGGTAAGACTTTTTCTTCCTTCCTTTTTTCCCTCCTTTCCTTTCATCCATCCTTCCTTTTTGTGGTAGGCAATGTTAAAATAAGAACCTTCACCACATTAAATTTAATAGAGTTTAATGGAGTAAAAAGTGACTTATGAATAGGGCAGCCTCCTGAGCCAGAATAGGTTCAGGAAGATTCCAGGGTAGAAGATTTATAGACAGTAAAAGGAAAGTGGCATGCAGAAAACGGAGGGACAGAAACAGCTGGATAGATTACAGCTTGGTGTCTACCTTATCTGAACATGATTTGATCAGTTAGCCCCCTTAGATTGGCCAAAACTTGGTGATTGGCACAAGAGTAGGTTACAGTCTGTTTGCACTTCCATTTAGGTTGTAGTTCATTGTAGTTCACTATGTACAGCGAAACGTTTAGGCTGAACTTAAAATAAGGAAGAAGGCAACTTTAGGCTAAACAGCAGAATAGTTGCCCAGGCGCCGTGGCTGATTTAACAGCAGAATGGTGGGCCAGACACGGTGGCTCACACCGGTAATTCTAGCACTTTGGGAGGCCCAGGAGTTTGAGACCAGCCTGGGCAACATGGTGAAACCCCATCTCTACCTGCAAACCAAAAATAAAATTAGCTGAGCATGGTGAGAATACTCAAGAGGCTGAGGTGGGAGGATTGCTTGAACCTGGGAGGCAGAGGTGGCAATGAACCGAGATCGCGCCACTGCACTCCAGCCTGGGGGACAGAGTCAGATAGTTGCAAAAAAACACAAAAACCAAACAAAACACCAGCAGAATAATGAGTCCCTAAAAATGTTCAGATCCTAATTCCTGGAATTCATGAATATATTACTTTACATGGAAATAGGAACTTTGCAGATGTGATTAAGCTAAAAATCTTGAAATGGGGACATTATCTTGGATTACCTGTGGAAGAGGAAGGCACAAAAGGACATAAGAGTGATGTGACGTGAGAAGGACTGGACCCATTATTGCTGGCTTTGAAAATGGAAGAAAGAGTCACAAGCTAAGGAATGCAAATCGCCTCTAGAAGCCAGAAAAGGCAAGAAAATGGACTCTCTTAGAGCCTCCAGGAAGAAACCAGCCCTGACACCCACCCCTCCTTTTCCTCCCCTCCCCTTCATCCCCTCTCCATCCCCTCCCCTTCATCTCCTCTCCATCCCCTCCCCTTCATCCCCTCTCCATCCCCTCCCCTTCATCTCCTCCCCTTCCCTCCCCTTCATCCCATCCCCTTCATCCCCTCCCCCCATCCCCTCCCCTCCATCCTCACCCCCCCTCTTCCCCTCCCCTTCATCCCTCTTCTCCTTCATCCCCTCCATCCCCTCCCCTCCCCTTCATTCCCTCTCCATCCCCTCCCCTTCATCCTCTCCCCTCCATCTCCTCCCCTCCCCTCCCCTTCATTCCTCTTCCTCTTCATCTCCTTCCGTTTCATCCCCTCCAGCTCCTCCCCTCCCCTTCATTCCCCCTCCCCTTCATTCCCCCTCCCCTCATCCCCTCCCCTCCATCCCCTCCTTCATTCCCCTTCCCCTTCATCCCCTCGCCTCCATCCCCTCCCCTTCATTCTCCTTCCTCTTCATTACCCCTCCTCTTCATTCCCTCCCTTCCATCCCCTCCCCTTCATCCCCTCCTTTTCATCCCCTCCCCTGCCTCCCCTCTCCTCCCCTCCCCTTCATCCCCTTCCCTTCTCTTCCTTTCTTTCTGAATAACACGAGGTGAGATTGAGCAAAATAGGCATTTTACTCTCAAATAAGTTTAGGAAAAAAATAAGGTTTTTTCTACTATTCTTGGAACTTTTCTATAAGTTTGAAGTTATTTCCAAAAAGTCTATTATAATATTCACATGTTTCCTTAAAACTTCTTTTGGGATTTAAGAAATTATTTTTTCAAATTGAAGAATAATTAACATGCTGAGAATTTAGGCCTTTTGAACATATATATAGTTCAATGAGGTGTTTTTTTTGTTGTTGTTTTGTTTTGTTTTTTGGTTTTTGGTGTTTTTTTTTTTTTTGACATTCTAATAGGTGTGTAGTGATATCTTTATTTATTTATTTTTTTTGAGACAGAGTCTCACTCTGTTGCCCAGGCTGGAGTACAGTGACATGGTGAGATCTTGCCTCACTGCAACCTCCGCCTCCCGGGTTCAAGTGATTCTCATGCCTCAGCCTCCAGAGTAGCTGAGATTACAGGCACCCACCACCACACCCAGCTAATTTTTGTGTTTTTAGTAGAGACGGGGTTTCACCGTGTTGACCAGGCTGGTCTCAAACTCCTGACCTCAGGTGATCTGCCCTCCTTGGCCTCCCAAAGTGCTGGGATTACAGGCGTGAGCCACCACCCCCGGCCTAGTTCAATGAGTTTTGATGAACATATGCAGTCATGTAACCACTACAAACAACGCAGGGAAACTTTACAAAAGCCTCTTACTTTTAAAACTGTTAAGGAATTCATTGGGTTTTTCGAAATGTTTTCATTTATTTTATAGGTATAAACATTAAAGCTGTTATTACATTTCTCTTTCAAATATACAGGTATATATAACATGTAATACTAAAATTTGTTTAACTTATAAAAAAGGTTAAAAACCTTACAATAAAACAAGGAAACAAAAAGACATAACACAAGATCTGTCCTCCACAGAAGAAAATGCTCGCATTTCCTCTCCTTTCTCCATTAATGCTGCATTAGTGCGGTGTAGGCAGAGACGTGCTTCCGCCAGGAAAAACCTCATTAGTCTCTGGAAGAATCACTGCCCGCCTGTCTCATTGTCTCCCCAGCCATTGCAAGCACAGTCCTTAAGGTGTTATGCTCCCTGGGGAATCTGAATCCACTTACATGCTCCCCTGTGGGCTGCGGCACTTAACTTCCCTTGTCCTCAAGTTTGGTTAATGGGCTGGGAAGCGTTGACTGACACTGCTCCAAGGCCAGCAGACATGAGGCACTGCAAGTTCTGCTCTCAAAGGGGCTTGGAGGGAAGGAGTTGGAAAAAAGGAATCATGAAGCATGAGATTCACAGGTTCCTTAATTCATTCTCTAGTTTTCTCCCAATGTGCTTGTAGTGACAGAAAAACTCAACTCGTCTCACAACTCAGAGGTACAATGAAAAGGAGTTTTTTCCTCTGTGATTGGAACTTTCTCTTGAGCCCTTTCCCTTAGGGGATACTAGGAGACAATTACATCTCTAATTCAACCTAAGTTTATTCCCTTTTAGTGGGGTTCAATTTCTGTTAGCCAAAAGTGCTCAGTCCCTCAAACAGCTTATCTTTTGTTGTTTCTCTAAGATTGTGTAGAATTTGGAAAGGGTATAGCTTATTTGACCTTATGGCTTTGTGCGGAAGCCGGGGTCCCCAGTAGATCTCCTGGCTTCTGGATAATGTTTCTTTGCTGCTGGGTTGCTAGGTGCCTCATTGGCCTCCACTGCCAACTTCTGGGTGGTTATTACTTAGGGTTGTGACTATTGCTTGGGCAATGCACCTGCAGGTGCTTTCTGGGCAATTCCATTTCATCCGGCTCTTGATGGCAACATCAGCACCTTGGGGACACTCTGCGATATGTGTTTTGCTTCTGTTTTTTGTCCCGGATTTTCTGCAGGGTCCCCTGTCTCAATAAGGAAAACTCCTTCTATCAGTTTATCCAGGGTAGGCAGGCAGGTACTTCTAGGTCCGACGCAGTGTGCCTCAGTGGACCAGGATCATGGACACAGGACATGGGTAAGTTCCTGAACTCCTCTCTGCCTAAGGTTCTTCATCTATCAAATGAAAGTAGTAATAGTGAGTATTCACTGAACACTTCCTATTTGGCTGCACTTTTTAATGTGTTTCATATTATGATGTGCCAGGCAGAGCTCTGTAATAAGTCAGTGCTTCTCAAACTCTCTGTGGTAAATGATTACCTTTTTTCTTGAATTTCCAATTTGCCACAGATCAATATTTCTGCAAAGTACTTTAAAAGTTACTTCCTATGAGCTTTTACAGTGACAAATGAAAATTTTAAAAAAAACCTTAAAATTGAAATCACTGTACAAATTAGTTATTGGTTATAAATTACTACAAACACTTCAATAAATATTTAACAAATAAAAAAATAAAAAACTTAATTCCTAGAAAATGACATAAAAAAAAGAAAAACAACTACAAAACTTGTATTTGTTGTCCATTGAAAGTGGATGTGGATATAAAGTGTTTAACATAGAAAATTATACTAATAACTTCTACATATTATTTAACAATCATAACTTCTCAAAAAGTTGTGAGTGAAATAATGATTCCCCGCTTTAAGGGCCTTTATGTATATTTTGTTTTTTTGTTTTTGTTTTTTTGTTTTGAGACAGAGTCTCACTCTGTCGCCCAGGCTGGAGTACAGTGGCACAATCTCAGCTCACTGCAACCTCCGCCTCCTAGGTTCAAGCAATTCTCCTGCCTCAGCCTCCTGAGTAGCTGGGACTACAGGCATGTGCCAGCATGTCCAGCTAATTTTTTGTATTTTTAGTAGAGACAGGGTTTCACCATGTTGGCCAGCCTGGTCTCGAACTCCTGACCTCAAGTAATCCTCCCACCTCGGCTTCTCAAAATGCTGGAATTACAGGTGTGAGCCACGATGCCTAGCCCTTTATGTACACTTTGAATAAATGCTGTATATATCAACATTTAAAGATTTTAATACACCCAATGAACTTTTTTCTTGATTTATAAATTTATCGATCCAGTGAAGATTGGATTAGTTCATTTGTAAATGTTCTGTACTTTTATACCTATCTAGTTGCAGGCTAGTAGCAAGCAATTTTTGGACTGTGTAGGTTCAAAGAATATCCTTTGAATAGCACTATTTTACATGCTTTAGATGTATTAACTAATTTAACCCTCACAATAACTCTACAAGGACAGTATTATTATTATACTAGTGAAGTAACTAATAAGTGTTAAAATTTTGCACTCAGGTTTTGGGACTCCAAGGCCCCTGTTCATAGCATGTTGTAGAGGGAAAGAGGGAAAGAGGTAAGATCAGGTAGATTTCTTTCGTCTCCTAGAGACCCAGGGTGGAATGAACAAATGAACAGGAAGCTGTGAAAACTAGTCTGGGGCAAAAGAGATGAAGTAGATTAGGGCATGGGATAGAATTGAGGTGGGCTGTAGTGGTTTATGTCATTCAGGACTAATGGAAGTTACCAGCAAATTCAAAGAATCAGAAGTGGGGTCCCAGGCCTAGCTCAGGGGTTGAGAGGAGGCCTGAATTTACAAAGGTCGTTGTTGCTTAGAATTGATTATAGTCTTCAAATAGAACATAAGGAAAAGAATATATGAAAGAGTGCCATTTGTTCTGTAAAGACATTCTAACCAAATGGCTAGTATGGACAATTACTTGCAGCTAGCAGAACAAAGAAAGTAATTGATCAAATGCAATTGAAAGAGATCCTTGACCTAGCTCTCCAGCCTCCTGCATATGTCATTTAGAAGGGCGACTTGACTCTTAATAAGTCTTTATTTCTAGAAAGTTTTTTCTTTTAAGTAACATGTTTAATGGGAAGATAATAAAATATTTTCAATGCTATTTTATTCTCATGACTTAAATAAAAACTTCAGGACTTGGGAAATATCCCCCTTATGATAAAGCAGACAAAGAGGTAAATGTATGGATTTCCTGAATTGTCTCATCAAAAGCAGTGTGGGTTAAAAACAGGAGGTGTGGCTGGGCCCAGTGGCTCACTCCTGTAATTGCCAGCACTTTGGGAGGCCAAGGTGGGTGGATCACTTGAGGCCAGGAGTTCGAGACCAGCCTGGCCAACATGGCAAAACTCTGTCTCTACTAAAAATGCAAAAAAAAAATTAGCTGGGCGTGGTGGCGCGTGCCTGTAATCCCAGCTACTCAGGTGGCTGAGACATGAGAATTGTTTGAACCCAGGAGATGGAGGTTGCAGTGAGGCCAAGATCATGCCGCTGCACTCCAGCCTGAGGACAGAACGAGACTCTGTCTCAAAAAAAAAAAAAAAAAAAAAAAAAAAAAAACCAACAACAACAAAACAGGAGGTGTTATTGAAGCTTTTCCTGCCAAAGGCAGAGAGGTAAAAGAAAACCAAGATGAGCGTGAAGGGCTGTGTGTGTCTGCGGGGGTGTGTGTGTGTGTGCTCTCCGATTTCCTTCTAGTAAAACTCTCCTAATCTAACTTGGCTCCATAGTGAGGCAGACATTACTGAGAGCAGTAAGTAATGTGACTATCTCAATTCACGGTAGACTCTCAACTTACTTATATGTAGACTTTGAAGAGGATGAGGTTTGGGAGTTGGGTTACAGGTGTCCATTTAAAATACTGAACCTACAATTTCTCCACCTCTGTTCCCTGCAGAGGCATTTCTGCAGGACATAGTATCAGGCCTGGTCCTGAAGTTCTATTAGAACTCTGCTCTGTCATCCAGGCTGGAGTGCAGTGGCACAATCTTGGTGCATGGCAGCCTTGAACTCCTTGAACTGCCTCAGCCTCCTGAGTAGCTGGGATAACAGGCATGAGAGCCACTGAACCCAGCAATACTTTATTTAATATTATTTTTATATTTATTTTTGTACTCTGCGATTCTAATAAATGAATAACACTTTATTTTAAAATAGGCTTTGCGTTAGGTTATTTTGCCTGACCATAGGCTAATATAAGTGTTTAGGGGAGGCTAGGGTAAGCTATGATGTTGAAAGGGCTGTGCATTAAATGCATTTTTGATTTCGGGTGGGTTTATTGGGACTCATTCCTATCATATGGTGAGAAGTGTCTGTATTTTCCCTATCAATTTCTATGTGCTGTGTGTGTGTGTGTGTGTGTGTGTGTGTGTGTGTGTGTGTCTTAGCCATTGGAGATTAAGTTGTAGACATTGTGAAACTTCATGCTTAAATACTTCAACATGTATCATTCTAAAAGAAGGACCTTTGTGTATTTGACCATATACCAGTTAAGAAAGACCGAGGCAGTGGAAATGGTCTGCTCTTGGTGCAGGCAATAATTAGGTACATTTTCCATAAAGAATTTTAAAACCATAATAAAACCCAACCATACACTGGCAATTCTGAAAATGTTAGTGATAAAATACCTCTCCCTAAAAAAGATTTTGTTGTTGTTTAGGCTGTAAAAAATTGCTGCTTACTCTTGAATGACACGTAAGCTTTGTTGGGGCTCAGAAAGCAATACCTGAAAGACTGGCACTCTGACATGCTAAGAAGCCTTAGGAGCTGCCTTATAATCAAAGCCTTTCTAAACTTGCCTTGTCCCCCTCTCAAGTGGAGATTCTCTCTGGAATTTCCTTATCTGACTAAGAAAGCTTCTTTCCAAATGACATGCAGTTGTCTTAAGACCCCTCCCTAAAAATCTCATCAAATAACCAGGCAAGATCAACCACCCAGAGAAGAGAAGAGACTAGGAGTCCTCATTACTCCCAGACAGACTTTTCATCTATTCTTCTTAGAGAAGTCCTAGAGATTGCCTGGGGAACCTTATCTGGATAATAAGACAATCTTTGTTTCTGTGCAGTTCCACCCTTCACATTCCCAAACAGTCATTTACTAACCGTTTTCTGAGCACTGGGCCTATTAATTCCCCAATTTTCCTCTTCACTGTGTCACACAGACTTCCTATCACACTGTTTAGGATGGAATGTCAAATACACTCTTTTAATTGGAAAGAAAATGTAAACAAGCTGTAAAGAAAAGAAAACAGGCTGTACAGAAAACACATTGTAACTCATTAAATTGGTATAGTTCATAAGCCAGCCTTATTTAGAGAATGTTATAATCCCACTAAATTTCTTTGTGTTCTGCCTATATAAGCAAGATCGTAACTTGAGAGCATTGACCCCATTTCTCTGGAGTCTGTGTTTCCTGGATGGTAACTTCCAGCGTTTTACTCAAATAAACTCATTAAAACTGAATTCTGATCCTTTTGGTTATTTCAGGTCGATGGAAATAAGAATGTTTTCTTACTCTGACTTCCTCAAGAATCTTTATGTTTTGAGAAAAATAAAAAAAGTGATTTGGGCTTGGTGTGGTGGTTCATGCCTGTAATCCCAACACTGGGAAGCCAAGGCAGGTGAATTGCTTCAGCTCAGGAGTTTGAGACCAGCCTGGGCAACATGGCAAATCCCCATTTCTACCAAAAATACAAAAATTGGCTGGGTGTGGTGGCACATGTCTGTGGTATCACCTACTCAGGAGGCTGAGGTGGGAGGACTGCTTGAGCCTGGGAGGCAGAGGTTGTAGTGAGCCCAGATCAGGACATTGCACTTCAGTCTGGGCGACAGAGCCAGACCCTGTATTAAAAAAAAAAAAAAAAAGATTCGTTTTTTTTTTTTGTATGCAGTAACTCTGGAAAACCTATCAAGTCTTTGTCTAACATTTCTTCCACTTTATCTGCCCACTTTTATGGTTAATAGATGGGGTCTCACTATATTGCTCAGGCTGGCCTCAAACTCTTGCACTCAAGAGTCTCCCACCTCAGCCTCCTGAGTAGCTGGAATTACAGGTGCAAGCCACCATGCCTAGCTTCGATTTATCCATTAATTTCTCCCTGCTTGGGAAGTGCAGGAGGGAAGACTGTAGATAAAAGCCTATAATCTGGGTGAGTTTTAATCTTTACTTGGGTAAATTATTTGCCCTCCTTGTGCCTCAGGAACTTCGTTTGTAAATTGGGAAAAATAAGATTCTCTTCCTGGGATCATTTATTGAATACTTAGTACATCCCAGGTCTGTTTTAAGCACTTTGTGCGTATGAAGTTTTCGAGCTCTCACAACAATCCTGAGGCCAGAACTATTATTAATCCCCTTTTACTAGAGGAAAATATCATTAAATAACCTGCCCACGTTTGTCTTGTTAGCACTCCCTTGATCACTGTACTTACACAAGTAGATATGGTGAAAGAATTAAATAAGATCGATGCAGGAATTTTTGGTGCTGCTTCGCCAGCCAGGGACCTCCACAGCCAGCGACACCCTTGCCTGGGCCTTGCTGGGCTCTGGGCTTGCTGCTGGAGGTACCCCGCCTACTCGACTCAGTGGGCTGTGCTTGGCTTGTGCTCCAGCCCGGATCCCGCACTCACCATGGGTTCCGTTCTCAGCCTGCAGCTGGACGGGTCATGCCGCAACCTGCTTCTGCTTTGGGTGCCGGCGTCTGGATGAGGGGAATGTGGTGGTGGCCAAAAATCTTGGAGATGCCAGCAACCCTGAAGCCCCAAAGTGGGTGTTACAGCATGCTGCAGTTTTGGCTCAGGGAGCCCCAAAGTCTAGGCCCCCAGAAGGGTTGTAGCTCTTCTTTCCTTCCTGCTGCTCACAGCACGGTGAATGGGGAGCAAGGCAGTATTTCAGCCTATTTGTGCTATAGCTCTTTCAGTCCTGCTGCCCCACTCTGGCTTGCGGCACTGGGGCTGGCCTGGCCCTGCCACTGCTTCCCGTTGCATGGGGCTGCTGGACACCAGCGGAGGGTGGAGAGTTACAGTGTTACAGTAGCTCCTTTGTCACTGCTGTTTGGCAGGTCTCGAGTTTTTGTCCTGCATCCAAGAAGAATGAGGTTACGCAGACAACCAGAGGATGAGAAGGGAGGAGAAGAGTTTTACTGAGCCATGGAACAAGCTCTCAGTGGAGAGCTGACTCAAGGCGGGTGGTCCCCCACCAGGAGGCAGGTAGTTTGCCAGTGTGGCTCAGAATGGGAGAGTGCATGCTGATTGGGTTGTGAGTATGCAAAAAAGGATTTAAAAAAAGGCACCACTCAAAGATGGGCAAGACCATGCAAAAAAACAATTAGGGAAGAGTAGGTATATGTAAAATAGGTGAAGGGTGGGGATCAATCAGAGGAAAGTGCCCCAAATGGGAAGAGAGGTTCTCAATCCAGTCCATGGGTTTATCTCTGACCTATAGCTTGGTTTTCAGACTTTAAACCGTCTTCAGCTTGAAGGTCGGGTTTCACCAGGGTCCCACCCCCATCTGCCTCGGCATTTGACTGCCTCCTGCCGCTATCAAGATCACCATTGAAAACTCTTAGATTGTCTGGGTGTGGTGGCCACACCTGTAATCCCAGCACTTGGGAAGCCAAGGCGGGTCACTTGAGTCTAGGAGTTTGAGAGCAGCCTGGGTAACATGGTGAGGCCCCCATCTCTAAACTAAAAGGTAATTAAAAATAAATAAATAAATAAATAAATAAATAAATAAATAAAACTCTAAGGTAAGTGCTGACAATGTTGAATTTTACCTGGGCCCTGTGATCCTGGAAAATAGCCATGGTTAAAGATATCCCCCCACTCTCTGTGTTCCCAATATCACTTTATTGCCAAGAAATACACTTTTCCATATGACTTAGATAAGATGCACAGATGCGTCTCCTTTTTACCTTTGTTAGGGCCAAGGGAAAACTGACCAAAGTCAGATTAAGAAAAAAGGCATACAAATTTATTAACGTGTACAGAGATGAGGGGGAGAGAATCACAGAGTGATTACCCCAACTCCCCAGTGGGGTGCAGAAGCTTACATACCCTTATTTCAGAGGGGAGGGGGAACTGAGGATTATGGGTAATTCTGGGAGAAGGAATAAAGGATTACCAGGGAGAGTGAATGGATGAGGAAACAGAGATTAACTTGTAAATGTTTCTGTTTGGGAATTCAGTGAGCCTGAAAGAAGATACTATCTTGTGAAAGGGTTCATTCAGGGTGGTTACATTCATAAGGTCTTAATTGATGCTTTTTTTTTCTCTCTCTTTCTCTCTCTCTCTCTTTTTTTTTCCTTTTTACTCTGCATCTTCATGATTTTTTCCCCCTAGTGGATAATGAGGTAACAGGGAGAGAAAAGAAAAATAATTGTGCTCCTTAGCAGATCTGTGGGGTCTTTATGTACATAGGGGAAAAGACTTTTCTAGCTCTCTGTTGATCTTTAAGGGCCTTTAATTTAAAATATTCATCATACCCAGGAGAAATATTTTCAGGGGAGATATTTGGTTTCTTTCACCTTTGACAAGGCCAGACAAAGATCCTCTAAATTCCTATTCTCTGCCTCGTAAATGACTAGCTGAACTGCTTGTGACCATGGAATCTAAATCTGAACAAAGTTCTTGTTAATCAAACTTTGGTTAAGATTATCTCCTTCTCCTAGATCCCAGAATTTGACCCATCCTTAGCCTGAGCTAGCATACAACTCCTTCTTAACAGCACCTTCTGAAAATAGGCTGGCTCCAGGGTCAAGCAATCTCTGATCTACTATCAGATTAGCCACCTCACTCTTTCATTCCTCTGTCCCACCCCAGATTCTTTCTAGCCAAGGGTCTGACTCTGTCACTCAGACTGGAGTTCAGTGGTACAATCATACCTTACTGCAGCCTTGACCTCCCAGGCTCAAGCAATCCTTCCCAACTCAGCCCCCCAATCAGCTCAGTTAGCTGGGACTACAGCACGCGCCATCACACCCAGCTAATTATTATTATTTTTTTTGTATAGATAGGATCTCACTATATTGCCCAGGTTGGTCTTGAACTCCTCAAGCAATCTTCCTATCTTGGCCTCCCAAAGTGCTGGGATTACAGGCATGAGCCACCATGCCTGACCTACCATTTTGCCTAACTCTTGAATTTGCAGATCTTGTCGAAGACTTCTCCCTGTTGCAGTAGTCTCCCTCCTCCTATTGCAAAATCCCTTCTTTCCTCTCAGCTCTACTTCTTGAAGTAATCTTTAAAAATAAAATTTCTCCTTATCTAAGTGCAGATTTAGTTTTTATTTGACAATGCCTGGCTAGTATCAGTAGATATTATTGTTAGTATTTCCTTACATCCCCTTTCTTCGTCCTGGCTAAAACTTGTTCAGTATAGACAGGAAGCGATGGGAGAATTCATCTTGCCTTCTATGCAATCACCCAATGGGTTCTTCTGCTCTCTGCATAGACAAAAAACGATACACTGAGACTGTGGTATTGAAGTAGAGAAAGAGCTTAATTAATGCAGAGCTAGCCAAGCAGAAGTACTAGAATTATTACTCAAATTAGTCTCCCTGAGAACTAGAGATTTTATGGATAATTTGGTGATCAAGGGTCTAGGAAATGGGTGCTGCTGATTGGTTGGAGATAAAATCATAAGGGTATGGAAAACAGTTCTTGCACATTGAGTCCACCTCTAGGCAGGGGCCACAATTCTGGTTGAGTCATGAGTCCTGGGTCCAGGTAGAGTCAATCAGCTGACAGAATGCAAAAGTCTGAAAAACATCTCAAAAGACCAATCTTAAGTTCTACAATAGTGATATTATCTATAGGAGCAACTGGGGAATTCACAAATCTTGTGACCTCTGACCACATGACTCTTGAACTGTAAGGGATTATAGGAACTATGCTTACATTTTAGCAGAATTCAGGCCCCTTCCATTGTCCTAATCTTGTGACCTTTCATTTGTTTTACAAAGGCAGCTTTGGTCCTTGAGCAAGGAGGGAGGTTAGTTTAAGGGAGGGACTATAATTATCCTTGCTTCAAAGTTAAACTATAAACTGAATTCTTCCCATGGTTAGCTTGGCCTATGCCCAGAAATGAGTGAGATCAGCCAGCATGTGAAGCTGGAAGCAAGATGGAGTTTGCCATGCTAGATTTCTCTTACTGTCATAACCTTTACAAAGGTGGTTTCACTTGTACCTAATGAGTGTACATTAATTAGTCTTGGTCCCAAAAAGAAAGAGATGGCATAATTAGACCCTGCATGATTTGAGGGGGATTTATTTACAAGAAGGACTAGTTAAAAAGGTATGGCTGGTGCAAGAGAACCACAAGTGATAGTAGCAACAGAATTTTCACCATCTCTAGGTTTAAGGGGACAGAAGAAGAAAGATACTACCAGTATATGGAAGGATAGAGTCATATTGAACAGGCCAGTTGGAGAGCAGCATTGACCTTCAAACAATGAAATAACCCATCCAACCTGGACCAGTGGAGCAACTGTTGTGAAAGCTGACTAAAGCCATCTTTATCAGGTTAACAAGAATTCTGTACAGAAATATAGTTATGATTAAGCATCAATTGGGCTGCACTTTGGCCCATTTCTTTGTAACCAAAAGTCACATAGCATTAGATACTGACCATTTGCATTCCCATTGTTCCTATAGATAGGATTTCTGATGTTAGAATCATAAAACTTTTGTGTAAGGATTATTTAAGATGTTTTTCAAATCCTGAATTACAGCAAAACAGCTGACACCAACCAGAGAAATGAAATCAGCGTGAGAATACAGTTTCTCCACCTCTCTGTCCTGTGACTCTATACTGCACTCTTCAACCAGTCGGTGATCTCCATATTTTGTCCCACTCTAAAACCTTTAAAAACCGTAACCCCAAGCCAGGCACAGTGGCTCATACCTGTAATCCCAGCACTTTGGGGGGCTGAGGTGGGTGGATCATTTGGGATCAGGAGTTCGAGACAAGCCTGGCAAACACGGTGAAACCCTGTCTCTACTAAAAATACAAAAAAATTAGCTTGGCATGGTGGCACATGACTGTAATTCCAGTTACTTGGGAGGCTGAGGCAGGAGAATTGCTTGAACCCAAGAGACAGAGGTTGCAGTGAGCCAAGGTCATGACATTGCACTAGAGGCTGGGTGACAGAATGAGACTCTGTCTCAAACACAAAAAACAAAAAACCCTAGCCCCAAACTCCACAGGGAGATGGATTTGAGATTTCCTCCTGTCTCCTGGTTCACCAGCCTTGTGATTCAATCTCTTTCTCTGCTGCATCTCAGTGTCTGGCTATTGACCTGCCATGTGCATTGAAAAAATGGACGTATTATGGTTATATGATTATATGAATTGAGTTACTCTTGTAGTACCAAACTAAAACAGGGTAGGGAAGCTTGTGGGGAAAGCACTCAAGACACACAATATTACTCCAAGAATGTAATTCTCTGCAAGTCCAGCTGCTGAAACTACCTGTTGTAACCTGAAACAAGTTTTATCTATAGTTGCTGAGATAACTTATGCAACTCTAGGACTAATTTTGCACATCGATGTTGCTCACAAATCAGAGTTTGCCAGCTCTCCAGAACCTTACTAGTGCCAATGAACTTTCTCAATGGTCAATGTTTAACATTTCTCCTTTTTATAAAACTTCCAACCTTCTCTTTGTTCTTCAGATATTCTGAAGACCACCTGGTCTGCATGTATGCTCTGAATTGCAATTCTCTCTTCCTGAAATAAATGTTGAATTTCAGAGATTTGTTTGCATATTTTAATTTTGACTTCAACACTACCCAGCCTTGTTTTCCTCCCTCCCTTGAATCCTTTGTGGTGGCACTCTTGACTAAACCCAACAGAAAGCCAAATGGCACATACTAACCCCAACAGAAAGCCAAAGGGCACATAACTTCTGTGCCTGTTGGCTTTCTGTTGGGTTTAGTCAAAAGAGTGCCACCACAAAAGATCCAAGGGAGGGAGGAACAGCAGTTCATGTAATTCACACAATTGAGCCTCCTGAGGCAGAAAGTCAGGAGGGAGAGTGGAGGCCTGGACAAAACAAATGGAAAATACCTATCAAATAATGGTTCACAGGCTTGTGTCTTAGACTGTGTTCCCTAGAAACAGTCTCTGAGACTCGCAAAATATCTGTAGCTCAACCCAAGAGCTACTTAATGGGAAATATCAAACTTCTTCATTTTAAAGTTAGGGACAAGACAAGAAAATCCATGCTTACAGTAATTATTCGACATTGTTCTGGAGGTAGTAGCTAATACAACACAGAGAGAAATTATATAAAAGGTACAAAAATAGGAAAGAAGGAGTTAATTTTTCATTAGAACTATAAAGATAAAATATGTTTTACCAATCAGATTCACACAGATTAAAATGATTATCAAAGTGTTTGATAATACACTTTGTTGGTAATTGTTTAGAGAAACAGGAAATGGGACAGGAAATTACTACAGCCCTCTCCAGGGGACAATCTGGCAACAGCTATTAAAATTAGCTATTAAAATGAAATACATGCATACTCTTTCACTAGTGGAGGCAAAAACAAATGTTTGAGGATGTTAACGTTAGCTTGATTTATATAGTTGTAAAGGAAACAAACTAAATATCCACCAATGTGGAGTGATGAAATAAATAGTACAATCATGGAATGAAATGTTATGCAACTTTAAAAATGAAGGAAGTAGGTTTGTACTAATAAGAAATAATTGCCAAAATATATTGTTGAATAAAAGGAATCAAGATGCAGAAATATGTCTATGCTATGCTATTTTTGTTTGTTTAAAAAATCAACTTATATGCATAGAACATCTTAGGAAGATTACACTAGAAATCTCGTAATGATGGCTAACTCTGAAGATCAGAACAGGGTACTTATTGGGGAGAATAGAATAAGAAAGAAGGTTTTAAAATTACTTTGTTTTGTACCTTTTGAATTTTATGCCCATTTAAAAATCAGTATAAATAAATGGATAAAAGAGATGGATCCAAATCAAGCAAGTATTTAAGACAATGCAACTAACCAAAGTTTTATAAACAGCAACTACAAGAGCTACAAAATAATCAACTCCCGTTCCCCAAAAAGGGAGATGGGGAGACTGAATAACGAAAGAAGTGAATTAATAGCAATCTATAGGAGAATGTATTAGAGACTATGAAGATTTATCTATCCCCAGCCAATAGCTATGGAGCAGAGGGCTGTTTTGTGTTCTGTGTTTAATGACCAGTTAATCGGGCAAGAACAATGACTGTTAAAACATTGCCTGACATCTAATCCACTTTTGATTTTATGGACTAAATTCAGATGTGAGCCAGGCTTGTAAGGCCTTATCCCACAATGGGCTTGGGCCAGACCCAAGGATGCACCACTTTTGAGCAGGTTAGCAGGTGTCTCTCAGTCTGTCCGTACAGTCTCTCAGTTTCCGGAATTTGTAGAGAGTCTGGCTTGGGCTGGGATGTGCCTGGATACACTGGACTGTTTACCAGCAGAGGGACAATAACCTCTGTTGCTCTCTTGTTTTATGCAATAAGTGTAAGAGTATCTTGCGTGGCTAAGGGACAAATGTGCCTTAACACTAAGCAATGTGAGCACAGGTGACAGTGGTCCAGAACTTGAAAATGTTGGGAGTCACCAGTATGAAATTGAGTTTGAGGGTAGCCCCTCCCACTGAAAAAAGGAAAAATGCCATTGCCCTGTGTTTTGGAAAAACTCTTCCAAATCATGTTTTTCCTCTGCTCTTTATACCACCATAACAATCAACACAGAAGACTTCTGTGACCAAATGCATAGGAGTTTTCCCCACACACCAGGCAGCAGACACCAGCTGGTTGTCTTCTAATTCAATTCGGACACATCTACCTAGAGACAACATCAGATCCCACAGGTTGAGAGCTCTGTCCCACAAGACTGCCCCCTCTTTTCCACCAGTCACAAATCTGGGCCTCTGGAACTTCTGATCAATCAGTGTCAAATTGGGGCTCCCATGATCCCCTCTTTGAGTTCAATTCATTTGCTGGAGCAGCACACAGAACTCAGGGAAACACTGAGGTTTACTGGCTTATTATAAAGGATACTATAAAAAATCCAAGCAAAGAGATGTGTAGGGCAAGGTATGGGGGAAGGGTGCTGAGCTTCTCTGTCCTCCCTGGGTGCACCACCCTCCCTGTGTTCAGCTATTGGGAAGCTCACCAACCCAGTTCTCTTGGGTTTTTATGGAAGCTTCTTGAGTCAGCATTCATTCCCCCAGTTACAGAGTGGGACCCTCTCTGGGGATGGTCTTGAGACCCACAGTCAGAAAGTCAGGAGCAAGGGAAGGTCAGAGAGATTCTGTTTCCTGAGAACTAACATACCCAACATGATAATAAAAGACTGTACAAAGGATTGTGGGAGTTATGAGCTGGGGACGAAAAACCAATGTATATACACGTGTGTATACATATGCGTATATGCAAATATATGTGTGTGTGTATACATAGGTATGTGTGTATTTATACGTATGTGTGCATTTATACGTATGTGTGCATATAGATGATAGATATCATAACACTACACCCTGCTAACCAGGTTGAACCTGGTCACTCATTGGACAATCCTTACTTTAACTTTTACAGGGCTTAGTAGAGACCCCTAACTCTTAAAGTACCCTTTTTCTGATGCCCTTTCACAATTCAAGGGAGCCAAGAAAAGGTGGTGAGATCAAACGTCAGTCTCTAGGGTTATAAAACAGAAAAATATGTTTTATCGAACCTATTCTTTAACTTACGCTTCTTTAATGGGAGACCACTTTTTGATAACTGGAATCCAAACCTTTTTGCCAAAGTAAGTCACAAGTGTGTCTTTATATGCTTATGATAGGGTTTTATTTATTTAATTTGTTTTATTTTTTGAGATGGGGGCCTCGAAATATTGCCCAGGCTAGACTCAAACTCTGGGCTCCAGTGATTCTCTCATCTCAGGTTCCCAAATAGCTGGGATTATAGATGTGTGCCACTGCACCTGGCTATGATAAAGTTTAGTATGTATTAATGTCTCTATAAGCAATTGTTCCTACTATTTAACTTCTACCAGAAAGAATGGCTCAAGTGTCAATTACTGCCCTCCCTAGGTATTTGTAGGTGAGAAAACATAATTTCTTTTCTTTCTTTTCTTAGGTTTTTAGCTGAAACACTCTCCTGAAAACAAAACAGGATTAACAGGAGAAAAACAAGCACAAGTTTGTTAACCCATGCTGTACTCAACATGCAGGAGAGGCCTCAGTTCAACAGTACCTCTCTCTCAAGGCAGTGGCTTAGAGGCTTTGCTTAAATGGTATTTTATCAAAGAGCCATAAATCCCTCATAGTGACAAAACAAAGGAGAGAGCAGTTCTGGCCTTTTTCTTTTCTTTTTCGTTTCTTTTTTTTTTTTTTTTTTGAGACAGAGTCTTGTTCTGTTGTCAGGCTGGAGTGCAGTGGTGTGATCTCGGCTCACTGCAACCTCTGCCTCCCACATTCAAGTGATTCTTCTGCCTCAGCCTCCCGAGTAGCTGGGACTACAGGTGCATGCCACCTTGCCCAGCTAAATTTTTGTAATTTTAGTAGAGATGGAGATTCACCGTGTTGGCCAGGATGGTCTCCATCTCTTGATCTCATGATCTGCCTGCCTTGGCCTCTCAAAGTGCTGGGATTATAGGCGTGAGCCAGCGCACCCGGCCTAGCCTTTTTTTTTCTTTTTTCTTTTTTTCTTTTTCCTTTTCTTTTTTTTTTTTTTTTTTGTTGTTGTTGTGAGAGAGAGGGCCTCATTATATTACCTAGCCTAGACTGCAGTGGCAATCATGGCTCACTGAAGTTTCCATCACCCAGGCCCAAGCAATCCTCCCACCTCAGCCTCCTGAGTAACTAGGACTACAGGTGTGCACCACCACATCTGGTTAATTTTTAAATTTTTGTAGAGACAGGGTCTTTTTATGTTGCCCAGGTGGTTCTCCAACTCATGGCCTCAAGGGATCTCCCGGCCTCAGCCTCCTAAAGTGCTGGGATTACAGGCATGAGCCACTGTGCTTGGCTCAGTTCTAGTCTTTTAAAGGGTGGGGGCTGGGCAGCAGTGGCTCATGTCTGTAATCCCAGCACTTTGGGAGGCCGAGTTGGGTGGATCACCTGAGGTCAGGAGTTTGAGACCAGCCTGGCCATCATAGTGAAACCCCATCTCTACTAAAAATACAAAAAATTAGCTGGATGTGGTGGTGCATGCCTGTAGTCTCAGCTACTTGGGAGGCTGAGGCAGGAGAATCGCTTGAACCTGGGAGGCAGAGGTTGCAGTGAGCCGAGATTGTGCCACCACACTCCAGCTTGGGTGACAGAGTGAGACTCTGTCTCAAATAAATAAATAAATAAATGGTGGGGAAATGTGGGAAGATAGTAAAATCTGTTCCCAGATTCCTCTGGTGCCTGCTGGTACCTGCTCTGGGCTGATGAGCCAGAGCTGTCTCCAGTAAGGAAGAGTTGATGTCCTGCCATTGGGCAAACAGAGGCTGGGGCAGAGCATTTCCCTAAGTTCATTCAGTGTGTTTAACTTAACAATCCTCAGTATTTTGGGGGAAATAATTTGGCTTCCTTCACATTCACCAGAATTTAAATAGCTCCATGCAACAGATCATGGCGTGCAGGTGCCTGGCTGTGCAATAGGTAGCTAATTCATTCTGGCAGGTGTGTCAGGAAATTACCCCGTTCAGAATCCACTGTTCCACAGGAACATTGCTGGACTTTTTCTACAGCTGAGTGGCAAAATGGATGATAACTGCTCCGAAAATATTCCAGTTGGAAAATAACCTTGAATTATCGATTATTTCATTACTTTCAACAGCTAAGCAGAGGAAAATGACATTTAGTCCAGATTGTCTTAGGGATATGTTATTCATTTACTTTTTGTTGAATTGTAAGATCTGTATATTACATTAATTATAATAAAGCTATATATTTATGTGACATTAATTTAGTCCCCTCCTACTCATTATTAATTTATTTTTTAGACAGTGTGAGGATCAGATTTGCTGTAAAACCATTAAGTTTATTGATTAAAATGACCTACAGCGTGTCCTATATAAGGCACCACATGATGAGTTTATTTTAAACTCATTCTAAAAAATTGATTTCCTTATTTCCCATTCCAAGGGTTATGCAACACATTGTATTACTCTTTTCTAGATTGGCACAGATAGAATTGACATCACTCACATTTACTATATTAGCCTTTTGGGGTAGAGTATACACTTCCTCCTCCTTTTTATGACTTTAGTATTCCATTTCTATCCCAATAAAGGTATTATATATGTATCTTTTGTTGGTATCTATTATTTTGAGAGAATAAGTGTTTAAAAGTGAAACTACTGAGTCAAAGGGCATACACATTTTGAACATTCTTTGATATATAGGGCCCCACTGCTTTTCTGAAATACGGTACTAATTGATAATTCTATCATCACTGTTTGTGAATTCTTATTCTTTGGTATTTTGGCCATTCTAACACAACGTTCCTGTGTTAGAATTTTATAAACATTAGCAAATTTTGTCGATAAAACAGTGTATTGTTTTTAATTTGGATTTTTTAATGTTTATAGGCTAGTTTGAGGCCATAACTACTAGTTCCTGTCCTTTTCTCACGTTAAGAAAAGCATTTTGTCTCATTACTTTATATAAGCTTTTTATATTGTAAAATATTCATTCTTTGTTATGCAACAAAATGACAGATAAAGCCCTAGCCCAAATTTCTAGCCCTAGTCCAATTACACATTGTATTCTCAGATAACAATGCAATTTAGATAGAAAATCAAACAAACAAACAAAAAGCCATATATTTGCAAGTTTGAAACACATTTTTAGGGGCCAGTCATGGTGGCTCACAGCACCCCCTCTCTATAAAAATAAAATATTAGCTGTGCAAGTGCACACTTGTAGTCCCAGCTATTCTGGAGGCTGAAGCAGGAGGATCACTTGAGCCCTAGAGTTTGAGGTAACAGTGAGCTACGGTTGCACCATCGCATTTCAGCCTAGGCAACAGATATCCTGTCTCTAAAAAAAAAAAAAAAAAAAAAAAATTAAAAAACCCATTTTTTATTTTAAAAAAGTTTGATTTTTAATTGACAAATAATAATTGTGTGTATTTATGGTGTACAATCTGATATACATCATAAATATATACTTCTTGGAAGGAAGTATCCACAGTAGGTACCTAAGTAAGGCAAGACAGAGGTCAGGTCCAGGAAGGCCAGTTCTGAGAGTGCAGAGCAGGGAGTCCATGTGGGATGGAGGTTCTGTGGGTCAAGGCAGCAAGTCCACATCAGTGAGGTCAAATCCTGGCACCAGAAATCCAGGACAGTTGAAAGACAAAAAGCTGGGGCCCCAGGCCAACAGGAAACAAGAAACTGGAAACCAGTGCCAGAATGATCAAATCAAGGTAATTAGCACATCCATCACTTCAAGTATTTATCATTTCTTTGTGATGAGTCCTTAAAATCCTCTTTTTGCTATTTGAAATACATAATATATTATAATTAACCATTGGCCTTTCAGCTGCAGGCTTATTTTTATTCTTCATAGTCCCCTATAAACCCCAGCAGTATTTCAGAATGCTATTCTGGATCCACCCCAGATTATTTAAGTCAGGATCTTAAAGCATGGGACCCAGAAATCTGCACTTTTGAAAGGGCCCCAGATGATTCTGGTTTATTGGTAGGATTGAAAACCACTGGGTTACTCTAATTTCTGGAATGATTATTCTCTATCTACCTGTTTCCAATTTTCACTAATCACTTTCTTATTAATTTCCTGTAAGCTGGATGCTGAGTCCTCTGCTTTTCTAAAACCAATAACTTTCTTTGGATCCAATTAAACATGATTCACTCCTGAGAGTAGACGGTAGATCCAGAAGTTGGGTTTTATTCCCCGGACATATTTTTTGTGTTAATTGACAAGTTTCGTATTTGTTTCTTTCAAAGTTTCATGTTTTAAATGTATGCTATTTATTGCTACATTGCAAACTACCCCAAAACTTGGTGGTTGAAAACAGCGAAACCCAGATCCTTGTTAGTGGGATGCTGCCACGTGGGCAGGACTGGGTAGGGCATGCTGGTCTCTGTTCCACATGGTGTTGGCTGGAACGCCTTGGCTGGGGCTAGATATGTCTGACTCACATGTCTGCTGCCTTAGTTGCTTTCTTTTCTCCAACCGTATACTGCATTATTTTTAATACAATAGCTCATGGCCATGGAGGGCAAACTGGAAGCTGCCAGGTTTCTTAAGCCCCGGCCTGCAATCAGCAGGGTGCCACTTTTCCCACATTCTGTAGGTCAGCGCAACCATAGACCAGCCCTGATTCAAAGAGAGAGGAAATAGACTCCACTGTCAATGGAGAGGAGTGACAGGTGTCAATAGGGATGGAAGCTTTCAAGTTGGGGAAATATCACAGGTATGTGGAAGGTGTATAAGCTTGAATCATTAAGTGAATAGATGAATGAATAAAATAAAAGGATGTAAAATATTTATTTTGCCTAAGATTTGATTTCTGATAAAAAATAAGAAAAAAATAGAAAATATTAAAAAAATATACAGACAGGAGACATAGACAATAACGATGTTTCAATCTTTTATATAAGGAAATGTATGTGATGGTATTCAATTTTGCACCAGAAAAGAGGCTAAGGAAAGCAATGGACATGTCACATTAAGACAGACTGTGTCAGGCCGGATTGTGCGAATCTAGGGCCACGTCAGCCAGCCCAGAAGGAAGTAACCACAGCAGGTGCCTAAATGAGGCAGGACAGGCCCGGAGCAGGCGCCGCCGCCAGTGAGAACCCGGGCCCTGAGCCGGGCGGTAGTTTGCTGGGGCTGAGTCTGGGGCGCGCAGGCCCTGACCTCCGCCCTCTGAGCTCTCCCATCGCAGGTGACCATGGGGAAAGTGTTGGCAGTCAGCTCCCTGCCTGCAGGGCCGCCGCCACCACCTGTGCCGGCCCTCGTGGGACTGCCGCCACCTCCGCCCTAGCATCCAGGCTTCAGGCTGCCGCCGCTGGGAGGCGGCCTGGGCGCCAGGACCAGTGTGGGTCGAGGTTTGGAGCGGACCCCCGGAGCTGCAACCGCCAGTGCTGCAGGGGGTGCCGAGGATGGGGCCTGCCGCTGCCTGCCCAACCCCTGCACATTCGAGGAGTGCCACCGGAAGTGCAAGGAGCTGTAGATGGAAGGTGTCAAGTTCACAGAGAACAAAGCGTTGTGTAAGCATTTTCAGGTGAACCACACAGTAACCCTCAGCACAATCAGGGAGTCCAACCACCATTTTGGTGTCAAGTATATGGGGACAAAGCAGCTGAGTCCCACAGAGGCATTCCCTGTACTGGTGGGTGACATGGACAACAGTGGCAGCCTCAATGCTCAGGTCATTCACCAGCTGAGCCCCGGCCTCAGGTCCAAGATGGCCATCCAGACCCAGCAGTCAAAGTTTGTGAAGTGGCAGGTGGATGGGGAGTACCGGGGCTCTGACTTCACAGTGGACGTCACCCTGTGGAACCCAGACGTCTTGATGGGTTCAGGAATCCTCGTAGCCCATTACCTCAAGAGCATCACGCCTTGCTTGGCCCTGGGCAGTGAGCTGGTCTACCACCGACGGCCTGGGGAGGAGGGCACTGTCATGTCTGTAGCTGGGAAATACACATTGAACAACTGGTTGGCAACGGTAACGTTGGGTTGGACATAACACCACAAACCCAGTGACCAACTGCAGGTGGATGTGGAGTTTGAGGCCAGTACAAGGATGCAGGACACCAATGTCTCCTTTGGGTACCAGCTGGACCTGCCCAAGGCCAACCTCCTCTTCAAAGGCTCTGTGGACAGCAACTGGATTGTGGGTGCCACGCTGGAGAAGAAGCTCCCGCCCCTGCCTTTGACACTGGCCCTTGGGGCCTTCCTGAATCACCGCAAGAACAAGTTACGGAGTGGCTTTGGCCTCACCATCAGCTGAACCCTCCTGACCCTTCCACGCCCTTCCTACTTCAGATTCTATTTCCACCCTCCTCCTGCCACAGAGAGGAGACCTGGGGCCCCCTCCCCCTCCCTTCCCTTCCTCCTCTGGGGTCAGGCGGACAGCAGAAAGGAGGGACCCCACCACCCTAGCGGCTGAGAAGGGGATTATGGAACCAGCTGGCGCTTCGGGATTCTGAGTACCAGGGGCAGCGTGTCTAGTGGCCCTGGGGTCAGTCCCAGAAGGGATTCTGGAATTGAGTGGCACACAGGATTCTGAGCACCAGTGGTAGAGGCAGCCAGACAACCTCAGGGAGGAATGTCCTGGAGTCCCCATCCTCCAAAGGGCCTGGGCCTGCTCCAAGGGGGCAGCGAGAGGAGCTTCCCCATCCCCGGTCAGTCTGCCCTGCCCCTGTCCACTTTCCCATCTACCCCTCGGTATAAATCATGTTTATAAGTTATGGAAGAACTGGGAGATTTTACAGAAAAATAATATATATATATGTGGAAAAAGAAAACAAACAAAAAAAATGAGGCAGGACACAGGTCACGTCCAAGAAAGCCAGTTAGTTCAGAGAGTGTGGAACAGGGTTGACAGTCAGCATGGAATGGAGGTTTTGTGGGTCAAGGCAGCAAGTCCACATCAGTGAGGTCAGACCCTGGCACCAGAATTCCAGGACAGTTGAAAGACAGAGCTGAAGGCCCAGGCCAACAGGAAACAAGAAACTGGACACCAGCACCAAGCATAGAGCTTGACCCTGGGCACACTGTCTTCGGAGCTCCTCTTCCACTCCCAGCATGGGGCAGGACTGATCATGCATGATGCTGGGACTCAGTTTATAAAAGGAGACAACGTGGCTAGAGTACAGGAATGAGAAGGCCAGAGGCCAACAGTTCCTGCCAAGTTGGGCTCAGTGAAAGCCATTATCTTCCCTTTGATCAGTCACTCCAAAAAAATATCAGGATGTTCAGGCCATCTATTTCAGTGTTTGATCATGCTACCACAAAGAGTCTTTTGTGTGGATATATAGTCTTTGCCTAACAAAGCCACAAAATACAAAGAATATGCTGAATTTTTCTTTTTCTTCTTTTTTTTTTTGAGATGGAGTTTGTCTCTTGTCCCCCAGGCTGGAGTGCAATGGCGCGATCTCGGTTCACTGCAACCTCTGCCTCCCGGGTTCAAGCAATTCTCCTGCCTCAGCCTCCCGAGTAGCTGGGATTGCAGACACATGCCATGAGACCCAGCTAATTTTTGTCTTTTTAGTAAAGACGGGGTTTCACCATGTTGGCCAGGCTGGTCTTGAACTCCTGATCTCAAGTGATCCACCCGCCTTGGCCTCCCAAAGTGCTAGGATTACAAGTGTGAGCCACTTTGCATGGCCCTCTGCTGAATTTTTCTACCTGCTTGGCTCTGTCGTCCATACTGAAAACTATCAAACCTATTATGTAGCATGTGATATTTTGTATTACTTGCCAAAGATAGCAATTCAAGTTTTGGAATGGAATCTAGCAAAAGTATAAAGCAGGAAGAGTTTTAGTATGAGCTGATGATAATCATTTTTTTTGCCAGAATTATTCAAAATGTGATGTGGTAGCCAGCCTCCAAGAGGACTCCCTGCAATCCCCACCCGCTTGGTATTCATACCCTTTACTAGTCTCCTCCCACGTTGTATGAGGGTTGGCCTGTGTGACCAATAAAACACAGACATTGTCAGCATTCTGGTCCTTTTCTGGATTAGTGTTTCCTAAAGTGATGTTCTTCAAAATCAGATTGAGCAGAATGACAATTGTTGCTATGACAAAGAAAAAGAAAAAAAAATTGGAAAATAACGTGCTAAGCTAAATGAAAAAAGTTTCCATATTTTTAGGACTTCCCAGAGCCTTTAATATGGTAAGTGCAGTGTGAAACTGTAGGAAGAGTACTGAGAATTCAGGGTATTCTAATCCTATTTGACCCTGGGAATCTTGTTTTTGGGGGGGAAGGTTTGCAGTGTTATGTTCGCCAGTATTCACTTTGGTGAATGCTTCTCTAAAGTTTTCTTGGCTGGGCACGGTGGTTCATGCCTGTAATCTCAGCACTTTAGGAGGCTGAGGTGCTCACATCACCTGAGGTCAGGAGTTCGAGACCAGCCCGGCCAACATGGTGAGACCCCCATCTCTACTAAAAACACAAAAAATTAGCCGGGCGTGGTGGTACTTGCCTGTAATCCCAGCTACTTGGGAGGCTGAGGCATGATAATTGCTTGAACCCAGAAGGCAGAGGTTGCAGTGAGCTGAGATTGTGCCACTGCACTCCAGCCTGGGTGACAGAGTGAGACTCTGTCTCAAAAAAAAAAAAAAGTTTTCTTTATTAATATTGTTTTGAAAATGTAGTATACTAAACAGAACATGATACCTTTCATGTGACTGACCAGTAAAAAAGAAAAAAAACTCATTATAAGATGTAATTTCAACTTTATTAAAACAGAAGTCTTCTTTCAACCCATTGATAGCTGAGACAATCCTTTCATTTTTTTCTTTCTTCTCGGTACCAGGAACCTCTCTATACAGCCGGCCTCTATTCTGATGTTGGGGGAAAAAGCACATATGGCATAAATAGGCTGTAGCATTTTTTGAGAACCAAATTATTTTAGAAAAATACTTTAGAAAATATAATATTCTTTTTTTTAAAAAAGCCCACTTTATAGTTGATAGATACAAAAGGAGATGTAGGGGTAAATTTTTAAAATGCTGAATCAAATTTTTGTGGCATGATGCCAGGAAATTCTTTCCCTTTGTTTTAACTGAACAAAGTTGCAAGATTTTATTACTCACCTTCCTCCAGTTAATTTATTTTAATTAATTAATTATTTTATTTATTTATATTTATTTTTCTGAGACAGGATCTTGCTCTGTCACCCAGGCTGGAGTACAGTGGTGTGATCACGGCTCACTGCAGCCTTGATTTCCTAGGCTTAAGCAATCCTCCCACCTCAGCCTCCAGAACAGCTGGGACCACAGGCATAAGCCACTATGCCTGGCTAATTTTCTTAATTTTTTGTAGAGATGGGGATCTCACTTTGTTGCCCAATCTGGTCTTGAACTCCTGAGCTCAAGTTATCTTCCTGCCTCAGCCTACCAAAATGTTGAGATTACAGGCATGAGGCACTGCACCCGGCCTTCACCCTTGCTTAAACTCAGTTTAGGTTTCATATAGGCCTGTCTTTCTGGTTAGATTTGACATGAATACTGAATCAAGATCCCTGAATTACAGACTACAACTCTCAGCTTCCTGAAGATTATTACTCCTTCACTTGTGTTATTTTTAAAATTCACTTATTGCCTTGGATTTGAATCTTAAAAGTTTAATCACAAAACATCAGCTTCATACATTTTTAAAATTAATGGCACAAAATTGAATCTTAGAAATTCAAAATTTTTTAGTATTAATTTTTTGAAGGAAGAACAAAGACTTTCTTATTTCCAAATCTATCAAATTAGAGAAATTAGAGTAAACCTGTAATACACCTAGTGATAATGAGCTCATCTCATATAAAGCCAAGGACTCAATTCTTATCAAGGGAATGTTTCAGTATTTTACATGTTTATATCTTGGTTACGCCTTTCTCACTTGGAAAGTACATTGAAATTACTTGTTGTATTTGTCCGTTTTCACGCTGCTGATAAAGACATACACCCCTGAGACAGGGAAGAAAAAGAGGTTCAATGGACTTACAGTTCCATATGGCTGGGGAGGTCTCACAATCAGCCAAAGGCAAGGAGGAGCAAGTCACATCTTACATGGATGGTGGTGGGTAGAGAGAGAGTGAGCTTGTGCAGGGAAACTCCCATTTTTAAAACCATCAGATCTCGTGAGAACTTATTCACTATCACAAGAACAGCATGGGAAAGACCTCCCCCCATGATTCAATTACCTCCCACCAGGTTTCTCCCAAGACATGTGGGAATTGTGGGAGCTACAATTCAAGATGAGATTTGAGTGGGGGCACAGACAAACCATATCACTTGTCAACAATCTCACTTTTATTTGAAGCATAGAAAAGTGTCTCGTTAAATATGAGAAATGAGAGGAAACGTATAGAAGTACCCGGTCATCTTTAGGAAAAAAGGACTGTCTCAGAGATCCATGGAAAGGACTATTTCAGGTACTCTGAGTCATAGGCTTCTAGGGCACAAGCTTCTGATGGCATTTCTTGTTTGTTTGTTTTTTAGACAGAGTCTCACTATGTTGCCCAGGCCGGAGTGCAGTGGTGCAATCACATCTCACACTGCAGCCTTGACATCCTGGGCTTAAACAATCCTTCCACTTCGGCCTCCCAAGTAGTGAGGACCACAGGGGTGTGCTACCATTCTTGGCTAGTTATCTAATTTTTTGTAGATACTGGGTCTCACTATGTTGCCCAGGCTGGTCTTGAACTCTTGGGCTCAAGCAGTCATCCCTCCTTGACCTCCCAAAGTGTTGGGATTATAGGCGTGAGTCACTGGGCCCAGGCTGACGGCATTTCTTAATTATTTTTGAGACCATACCACTGTACTGAGTCAAGATTTCTAGAACTCTAGTGGAGAAGCCAATGGGTTAATAATATTGCTAACCCAAGATTGAACAGAATAAGAAGTGATTATATGTGACTGAATGGATTATAGTTCTATGAACGAATTACATAGGGCTGATAAAAAATGATTATGGATTTTGTTTGGAATCTTGTGGATACTGTTCTATGTTTTGATTATAAGGACCCTCCTTCTCTCTTCTTCTACATTATTTGTAATGCATAACAATTTAGTAGATTATACTTTTGTAAACAGAACTGAAACAATTATATTTTTTCCTTGGCTTGATTCTTCCAGAATTTGCAAATTCTTATATTTTTATTTCATGACAACATAATTTTTCTGCATAGATTCAATGAGTCTGACCCCTTTGTTAACAGGAAATAATTAGAAACATTGGTTATATAAACCAAAGCTTTGACTGAAGTGTCATATTTGAGAATGATGATCATAGAAACATAGAATCAACTGTTAGTAGCTAAGGCTGATTTTATGTAGCTAATGCCTACAAAACTCTCTTGGGAAAACCCAGCCTGGTACTTGGCTTACAGAGTTCCCAGCCTTATAGGTGAGTAAGGAAGGTCACATCCTGGCAGGCCCAGGAACTTTACAATATTTTGGAAACCTTGAGAAGACAGGAGTTCATCCAAATCTAAAGCTACTGCAGGTAAAGTCTGGTAGTGAGTTCTTGGCATGGCTTCCTAGCCTTGACGTGCTTTTAGAAGTCTAATCTCAGATTCCTTATGAAAAACTTCAGTAAAGCAAACTAAAAAAGGTCTATTATGGTATAAATTACCTTTCTTGCTGTATTTATGTAAACGATCAGGCCAAATCTAATGATATCGGCCCTATTTTATAATCAAGAACATTTTTTCTTTGGGATTATCTTTGATCATAAAAGGGTAACTGTTGAGAAAAATTTTGTTTTTCATAGAAAATTATAGCACACTATTGTGGATTATCAGATTCTGATCATATTCATAGTTTTTGAGCTATATAACATCTCTTTGTTAATTGTAGGTAACTAATGAATATGAAAAAAATCTCCAAAATATGTTAACATGTTACTTACCTGTAAATTGAACTGAATCCTGTCATCTTCCATTCATTGCCAACTGTTACCAAATTTCCAATTCTTCAATTTTTTTTAAAACTATCTAGCCACAACCCTCTACTTCCTGATGTGGCATCACTGAGAATTAAATCCTAACTGCTCAGATCCTTATTGGAACCCTAGGTTGCTTTGTAGCTGGCCTTCCCACCCCTCTCCCGCCAAGGATCTGAAAAAGTATTGAGAGTTAAAGCCCAATGATTTGATATGTACTTCAAAAGTCTCATCACTACAGCAGTCCATGCATAGGCTGGATCTCTCCCTGGACCAGCCACTATCTGGACCACTAAGGAAGTCTGGCAAAATACTCAGGTCATGCTCATGCATGCCCTTATTGATAGGACACTCTGAGTATGAAAAACATCACCAGAGTCTCTAAACCTTTGCTTCAAGGAACTCAATCAGCAGCCTCTGGTAACCACTATTCCACTCTATTTCTGTAAGTTTGAATGTTTTAGATTCCACATGCTGTGAGATCATACAGTATCTGTGCCTGGGCTTATTTCACTTAATGTAATGTCCTCTATGTTTATCCATGTTGTCACAAATGACGGAATTTCTTGCTTTTTTTGGTTGTTGTTCGTTTCTTTTTTTAAAGGCTGAATAGTACCGTATTCTATTGTATGTATGTATACCACCTTTTAAAAATCTATTCATTCAGGCTGGGCGCGGTGACTCAAGCCTGTAATCCCAGCACTTTGGGAGGCCGAGGTGGGCGGATCACGAGGTCAGGAGATCGAGACCATCCTGGCTAACACAGTGAAACCCCATCTCTACTAAAAATACAAAAAAAAAAATTAGCCAGGCGTGGTGGTGGGCGCCTATAGTCCCAGCTCCTCGGGAGGCTGAGGCAGGAGAATGGCGTGAACCTGGGAGGCGGAGCTTGCAGTGAGCCGAGATCGCGCCACTGCCCTCCAGCCCGGGCGACAGAGCGAGACTCCATCTCAAAAAATAAAAAAATAAAAATGTATTCATTCATTGATGAATGCTTAGGTTGCTTCCACATCTTGGCTAGTGTGAATAATGTTGCAATAAATGTAGAAGTGCAGATATCTATTCCACATACTAATTTTAGTTCCTTTGGGTATATACCTAGTAGTGGGATTGCTGGATCATATGGTAATTCTATTTTTAGGTTTTTGAAGAACCTCCATACTGTCTTCCAAAAAGGTTGTACTAATTTATAATACCACCAACAGTGTATAAAGATTGCCTGTTCTCAAAAACCTCACCAACACTTGTTATCTTACATCTTTTTGATGATAGCCTATCTAACATGTATAAGGTGATATAGCTCATTGTGGCTTTAATTTGCACTTCTCTTATTGTTACAGATGTTGAGCATTTAAAATATGTATCTATTGGCCATCTGTACATCTTCTTTTGATGTCTATTCAAGTCATTTGCCCATTTGTAAGTAAGATTGTTTTCTTGTTATTGAATAGTTTGATTTCCCTTGTGTATTTTGGATATTAATTAGCCCCTTATGAATGATTTACAAATATTTTCTCCCAGTCTGGGGCTTGTCTCTTCACGCTATTAATTGTTTCCTTTGTTGTACGGAAGCTTTTTAGTTTGACACAATCCCATTTGTCTATTTTTGCTTTTGTTGTCTGTGCTCTTGGGGTCATATCCAAAAAATCACTGCCCAGACCATGTCATGGAGCTTTTTCTATGTTTTCTTCCAGTAATTTTATAGTTTTAGGTCTTATGTTTACATCTTATTTCATTTTGAATTGGTTCTTGTATGAGGGGTGAGATAAAGGTACATTTTTATCCTTTTGTATGTGAATATCCAGTTTTCTCATTTATTGAAGGGACCATCCTTCCCCCATTGTGTGTTCTTGGCATCTTTGTAAAAAATCAGTCCACCATATGTTTATTTCTGGGCACTCATATTCTATTGGTTAATGTGTCTTTTTAAAAATTTACTTTTATTTTTCCGGCTTATTTCTGCAAGAAAGAAGCCCTAAGGCTTTAGGTTGGTCTGCATATTCCCTTCAGGACCACTGCACCTACACTTTGTACCAAGGCTGACCATCTTAGGAAGGCTTCAGGTTTAGACTTCGGCTGTTTACTTCAAATGCAGTTAGGTGTGTGTGTGTGTGTGTGTGTGTGTGTGTGCGCGCGTCTACCTATTCATATAAACATTCAAATTTTGATAACTTTGACAATTCTTCATTTTTAAATATGCTGGAATCCTCTAAAAATAGAAATGGCCTAGAACTCTTCAAGACCTCTGAGAGACCCTGGGTCCATTCTGCTGACCAGGCCAAGCAATTGAGAGAGTAGAAGACTGCTCTGTGACCCTTGGACCATCTGTATCTGCATCACCTGAAAATTCTGGGGCCTACACCAGACCTACTAAATCCTCCTGAATCACTGGAATTGGGGCCAAACAGCTCACATTTTAAAAAAGTTCTTCCATGTAACTTGTGTAAACTCAAGTTTGAGAGCACAGGGCTGGGGAGTTAGATGGGTCATTAGACACTGAATTTCTCAAAAAAAGAGTAGAACTGGCAATGGGAAGTGAGAATGAATACACAAATAGACAATGGCCAGACCATAGAACTTTGACCCACGACCTACAGCAACTTTCCCAGGAAGCCTATCCCCTTACCTACAATAGACAACCCAGGAAGCCAGCCTGCTGTAAGTCAGTATTGCAAGAAGCCAGGTTGCTGTCTTTATTTTTTGAGACAGGGTCTCACTCTGTTGCCCAGACTGGGGTGCAATGGTACAATCAGTTCACTGCAACCTCCACTTCCCTGGCTCAAGTGATCCTCCCACCTCAGCCTTCTGAGTAGCTGGGACCACAGACACACACAACCATACCCAGTTAATTCATTTTTACTTTTTTGTAGAGATGGGGTTTCACCATGTTACCCAGGCTGGCCTTGAATGCCTGGACCCAAGTGATCCACCTGTCTTGGCCTCCCAAAGTGGTGGGATTACAGGTGTGAGCCACCGTGCCCAGCCTAGATTGCTATATTTTAGTGACAATCCAGGAAGCTAAACAACTCCTGTAGCAATCAGCCCCAAATGATCAGGACTTGATTAATAACTGAAAGCCTCCCAAATTTTTGTCCCGATTTGTAATTTAGGACCAACCAGAGAAAGCCAAATATGCACCTTAATCAATGACATAGGATGACTGCTTCTCGTTAGCCTCCTACAGCTTCCCAAGCCAAAAGCTTCCCATCAGGGCACACCTGAAGCCTTCCCTTTTGTCCACTATAAGGTTTTCCCACTTCTCTATCTGTCCTTGAGTCTCTGCCAAAGGACACTGACAGTGGCTGCCTCCCTTGCTATAGTAAGTTCAGAATAAATATACTTTATTTTTCTCATTCGGTTGGTCTTTATTTCCAGAAGGAAGACTGAAGCAGGAGCAAAAGGCCTTGATAAATATGGAGGAGGGATGAAAGATGACAGAGACGAGGAGTGGAAGAGGGATATTAGGTGGATGGTATGACTCTCAAGGACACAATCTCTCCTGTGGGTGGCTGAGTGGCAGTGGATGTATCTTGGGCCCACCATCTTTGCCAGGCCCTTTCCTATACTCTGTTTTAGCTCCCTAGCCACACTGAGAGGTTCTGAGGTAGGCCAAATATTGTTAACACTGTCGTACTGATGTGGAAAGAGATAACAGATATGCTGTCTCTTGGCACCTGGTCCTGAAATCCTTCTGGGCATTCAATTCCCGGTAATCCCTATATGGGAACAGCAGAAGCAAAGTCCCAAATGGTTCTGCTGTTACTTCGGTCCCCAGATGTATACGTCATGCTTGATAACTTGATAAGGAGTTACTGAGTTTGGCTTCCTAGAGTGAAATGTGGGAACTTTTTGTGAAATCCCAACAGTTTATTAATGATTCAGAGTGATAATTAGCTTCTTTGTCTGAGTGCAGAGAAAAGATAATTGGTACATTTGATCTTTATTTTTTTTTTTTGAGATGGAGTCTTGCTGTGTTGCCCAGGCTGGAGTGCAGTGGTACGATCTCAGCTCACTGCAACCTCCGCCTCCTGGGTTAAAGCAATTCTCTTTCCTCAGCCTCCCAAGTGGCTGGGACTACAGGTGTGTGCAATCATGCCTGGCTAATTTTTATTTTCATTTTAGTAGAGACAAGATGGGTTTTGTAAGGTTGGCCAGGCAGGTCTCGAAATCCTGACATCAAGAGATCCACCCACCTCAGCCTCCCAAAGTGCTGGGATTACAGGCATGAGCCACCGTGCCCAGCCTGATAATTGATGCATTTGAAATAGGCCCTGCCCATATAGCCCCTCTGCCCATGTCTTTTGCTTCTCGGTCCTCTGTGAATCACATTCCTGTCATTAGGCAGGAGTGGAGGCTGATGGGCCAGAAGTGGGGTGGAAGCACACCTCAGAATTTGCGCTCAAGAAACATTGGTTCTAATTTGTTGATCCCATTCTGGCCAGTCAGTCATGACTTAACAGCTTGCCTTCCTGAGTGGCCCTCTGAAACCTGGGCTTCAGGGCTGGAGCATGCCAACAACTTTCCCAGCCGTTCATCTATCCTATTGCTCAAGATAAGCCTGGACCCTACTTGGCCACAAGGTTCTTTTCCCACAAGCATCTCTGCTCATAGTTGGAAATTCTCGTGAACTACACTGGAGCGTGCAGTATTGCTTCTAGGCCTGGCAACAGGAGCCCCTGCCCCAAGCCTGGCTTTCTACGGGCCAGTACTCCAAAAGGCTCAAATACAAATACTTCTGTCCTTGTGGCTTGGTAACAAAGTCTTTTGAGTTTTGTAACAGACTGAGTAAGAATTATCAAAATACAATACACACATTGGGCGCCCCAGGCCAGAGAAGGGTGTGGGCCTGACAGTCTGTAAGTGCAGGCTGGGGATGCAAAAATCACAGGCTAGGCCCAAGGAAACCAGGAAAAGAGCTGTGCTCTTGCTTATACTTCGCCACCCCATAGCACCCATGGTGAGTGTCTAGGGGCCTGGGTGGACCAGGTCTGCAGATAACTGGCTCCCTCCCCTTTCTCTGCCCATGTGATATTGTTGGAAGGTTTTTAGAATTGTTGCAGGTTATGAGGTGGAAAAGTGAGGCATGGGAGCAAGGAACCTACCCCTCCCAGACTCCCTAGGGAGCTTGGCCAGCTCAGTCTCCATCAGGGATTTGGGTTTAGTCACCTTGGAGACCTGGGTCTGTGCCACCAAATTCTCAGGAGGCAGGGCTGGCCCAGTGCTAGCTAATTTAGCCTCTCAGTCACATGGCTGATCCTTGGGGAGATGGCTGTGAGATGCTGGATGAGAACAGAGGCCAGGCCTAGAATGTAGCTTGTTTCATGACTTTCAAACCTTTATACATTTGGTAAGTGGCCCTTCCATTGAACTCTTACCCCAGGCCTCAAGATCCTAAGGAGCAGACCTGGAGCAAGCAACTTTCAGGTCCCAGGATGGGCAGGAGCACACCAACCACCTGCGTGACAGAGAAACCATACACAACTTTGGAGAAGCCCCCGGCACATGGCTTCCTTACTCCCTGAGCTGCAAACAGGCTGGGATTAGCAGAGACGAGAGGAGGATTCAGGTTAGTGCAAGCACAGGGAGGAAGTACCCACCCCAATCCCTTCTGAGATGGCCCAAGCTGTGCCCTCAGTCCCCTGCCACAGTGCATGGACAGGGAAGGATACTGTATCTGTGCACTTCAGCCTCTGATATTTACTCAACTCCTCTCCGTGACCCCAACACACACACCCTACTGTGTCCGGAATTGGTGGATTCTTGGTCTCACTGACTTCAAGAATGAAGCCGCTGACCCTTGCGGTGAGTGTTACAGCTCTTAAGGTGGCGCGTCTGGAGTTTGTTCCTTCTGATGTTCGAATGTGTTCGGAGTTTCTTCCTTCTGGTGGGTTCGTGGTCTCGCTGGCTCGGGAGTGAAGCTGCAGACCTTCGCGGTGAGTGTTACAGCTCTTAAGGCGGCGCGTCTGGAGTTGTTCGTTCCTCCCGGCTCGTGGTCTCGCTGGCTTCAGGAGTGAAGCTGCAGACCTTCGCGGTGAGTGTTACAGCTCATAAAAGCAGTGTGGACCCAAAGGGTGAGCAGTAGAAAGATCTATTGCAAAGAGCAAAAGAACAAAGCTTCCATGGTGTGGAAGGTGACCTGAGCAGGTTGCTGCTACTGGCTCGGGCAGCCTGCTTTTATTCTCTTATCTGGCCCCACCCACGTCCTGCTGATTGGTAGAGCCGAGTGGTCTGTTTTGACAGGGCGCTGATTGGTGCGTTTACAATCCCTGAGCTAAATACAAAGGTTCTCCACTTGCCCATCAGATTAGTTAGATACAGAGTATGGACACAAAGGTTCTCCAAGGCCACACCAGAGCAGCTAGATACAGAGTGTTGATTGGTGCGCTCACAATCCCTGAGCTAGACACAGGGTGCTGATTGGTGTGTTTACAAACCTTGAGCTAGATACAGAGTGCCGATTGGTGTATTTACAATCCCTGAGCTAGACATAAAGGTTCTCCAAGGCCCCACCAGACCCAGGAGCCCAGCTGGCTTCACCCAGTGGATCCCACACAGGGGCTGCAGGTGGAGCTGCCTGCCAGTCCCACGCCATGCGCTCGCACTCCTCAGCCCTTGGGCGGTCGATGGGACTGGGAGCCCTGGAGCAGTGGGCCGCGCTCCTTGAGAGGCTCGGGCTGCATGGGAGCCCATGGAGGCGGGGGAAGGCTCAGGCATGGCGGGCTGCAGTCCCGAGGCCTGCCCTGCGGGAAGGCAGCTAAGGCCCGGCGAGAAATCGAGTGCAGCGCCAGTGGGCTGGCACAGCTGGGGGACCCAGTACACCCTCCGCAGCCGCTGGCCTGGGTGCTAAGTCCTTCATTGCCCGGGGCCGGCAGGGCCGGCCCGCTGCTCCGAGTGTGGGGCCCGCCAAGCCCACGCCCACCCGGAACTCCAGCTGGCCCGCAAGCACCCCACGCAGCCCCGGTTCCCGCTCGCGCCTTTCCCTCCACACCTCCCTGCAAGCTGAGGGAGCCGGCTCTGGCCTTGGCCAGCCCAGAAAGGGGCTCCCACAGTGCAGCGGTGGGCTGAAGGGCTCCTCAAGTGCCGCCAAAGTGGGAGCCCAGGCAGAGGAGGTGCCAAGAGTGAGTGAGGGCTGTGAGGACTGCCAGCACGCTGTCACCTCTCACTACCACATTCTCCACCCCATCGTCTGCTCTCTTGTCCCTGAGCATGACCTGTGTGTTCTTACCTTTTCCTCTCTCCCCTACTCCAGCTCTTTTATGTTTGCTGCTTCCTCCTCCTTCAAGACATCTTTTCTATGAATGGGCGAACAAAAGAAAAAAGATGATTTCCACAAGTTATGAAATTCTTACTATATGCTGGGAGCTATGCTAGACATTGAAATTCTCTGAACATCCCTACCACTCACTTGTTGAGTGAGACCAGGGAGAGTGGAGATTGCAATGTCACAGTAGGTGGTCAGATGGCTGCTCCCACTGGGCCTCAAGAAGTGGCATTTTATGGGGAATGTAACAACCATAGTTCAAGGTCTGACCTTTGTTTTGGCAGCTTTAGAAAATTTTCTCTGATTTAGGAGAATTAACATACACTAACCAAGTTCACAAGAAACTAATATATAAACCAAAATATCAACTTATTCTATTTCTAGGGGTATGATTGAAACCAACTTTGCAAAGATTATGACAGTGAGATAAGTCTAGCATGGTTTATTTCATCTTGCTTCTAGCCTCAGAGGCTGGCGCTCATTCCTGGGCATAGTCCAAGCTAACCATGGGAAAAATTTAGTTTATAGTTTAACTTTGAAGCAAGGATGATAACAGTCCCTCCTTAAAACTGATCCCTTCCTTGCTCCCACCGAAAACTGCCTTTGTAAAAGTAATGAAAGGCCATGAGATTAGGATTATGGGAGAGGCTCAATTCTGCTTACATGCAGGCATAGTTTCTATAATCCCCTACTGCTCAGAACCTCTGGCCAGAGGTCACAAGATTTGTGACTTCCTCAGTTGCTCCTATAGATAACACCACTATTGTAAAACCTAAAATTGGTCTTTCGAGATGTTTTTTTTCAGAATTTTTTTCATTCTGGCAACCAACTGACCCCACCCGGACCCTGGACTCATGACTCAACTAGTCCTGTGGCCCCCACCCAGAGGTTGACTCAGTTCCTGAGGACCATTTTCCACACCCCCAAGATTTTATCCCCAAGCAAGTAGCAGCACCCATTCCCCAGCTCCCTGCTCACCAAATTATCCATAAAACCCTAGTCTCCGAGTTCTTCGAGAGGCTAATTTGAGTGATAATGAAACTCCAGTCCTTCCACTTGGCTGGCTTTGTGTTAATTAAGCTCCTTACGACAATAAGGCTGTCTCAGTGAACGAGTGAACTGGGCTTCCTGAGACCAGGAAAGTCAGTTCCAAATCCCTACAAGGGAGATGCCCAGCTGACCACCTTCACTTTTGATTTTCCTGCTTCCAGTAATCTGATGATTTAGTTTAACAATAATCTTCTTGCTTCCTGAGTTGTGTCTCCCTAAGTAAGGAGAAAAGAAATGTTAGTGTATTTGTTAGCGTGCATCTTCTGATCCTAGTGTATTTGTCAGTGTGCTTCCCTTTCTGAGATTCAGATGTGCATTTCAGTGAGGTGTCTGTCCCCAACCACCAGACAAAGGAGAGTTTACTTAATGTTCTGCTCTTTGGTTGAGCAAAAAGGCCATAAAAGAGCTATTGATCCCCCCAGCAATATATAACTAATTCCTTTTCTAATCCATAAGAGCCAAGGAGAGCTAATTCAATCTCACAATTCATTAGCTCATCTATTGTCTGAGATCTAAAACAGATGCAAGACCATCAGTTGAACACAAATTGCCATTTTGTGCAGCCCCAGCTTCAAGCTGGTCCCTTGTGGCTCCCACCATTGAAACCCATTTGCAATTATTTCCATGGAGTTGAGGAAACGTGTTCCTGCTTATTAGCTAATCAGCACCACCACAGTCTACCATTCTAATTTCTCCTCACAAGGGTCTTCCTTTCCTGTGGATTCTCCCATGTTGTTAGGGTTGAGCAGTTTCTCTCTTCCTGAAGACAGTCACCAGGGTACAGCTGATGCACAGTCAGGCCCAAGCTTGTGACCAAGGCAATGATGATGACCTGGGGCCATATGGAATTGAGTAGCTTGGCCATGGATGCACAGGTCTGGGTGAGGCAAAACTGGAAGAGGTTCGAGAAAAGAAGGCAACTAGGAGACAGAATAGTTAGGAGAGAGAAGAATTCCCTTTCCCTGGAAGACTCCCTAAAATCAGACTGCAGAGATGCACCATGAACAGAATGAGGGGAGCAGGGATGATAACTTTCAGGCCAGCTTCTTGGGATGTGAAAGAATGGAGGGCACCCAAACCTGGGCTCACTGTCCCCAAATACTTTTACACTGTGGGTAGACAATACTTCATTCCCTGAATTCCAGAGCACCATAGTTCCTGTTCCTGTGAGTATTGATAGTCTGTGTTTATTAATATTTGGGGATAAGGGTGTATTTTAAGGTTGCCTGGCATATAGGAGGGAGTTAGGGCAAAGGAGACCCCCACATACCTTAGATACAGATCTATAAGGCATCAAATTAAGACAACTCAAGACAGGAAGGATTCAGAGTCAAAACCACACAACCCGACAGGATGGAGGCTACAGGTGTGCCCAAGATACTGAACTCCTCAGTGCTCAGGGTGGTCAGGCCTGGTCACATCTGGCTGCTAGTGGTTCACAGTTACTGCAATGGGCTAGGCAAATATGATCATCTTTCTGTGTGCCATATGTAAAGAGCTTGGGAAGTGCTGTTTTAACCAATCTTTCTCTTCAATGACAAGGGTAAGGCAAAGTGACATAAGCCCAAGAAAGCAGAATCCAGTTCTGCAATGTGAGGCATTAAATGGGATTGAGAGACTCCCAAAGGGACTCAGAGGTCAGGCAGAGAATCTGGGAGACTGAGAGGTCAGAACTCAGTGAGTGGCCTGAGAAGTGGGCATGAGTGACCCGTAAGAAGAATGGATCTTCACCAAGTGTTCAAGGCTGCAGTGAACTATGATTGCACCACTGCACTTCAGCCTGGGCAACAGAGCGAGACCCTGCTCCCCACTCCCCACCTCCCAAAAAAAGAAGAGTGGAGCTTGATACTGACCCATCTGTACTCACTTCTGTGACACCACACTACCACCCTGGGCTGTGGCCTGACCAAGACCAGACTGAAAGAGTGGGTAGATTCTGTTTCATGGGAGAATCAGGTAGGCACACTAGGTTCAAATGGGAAATGCCAGATTTGGTAGCAACGCAGCACAATAAGGGCCATTGTTCTCCATATTTCTCTTCTACGATAATGTCAGATGCTGACATTATATGATATGGTTTAGCTGTGTCCCCACCCAAATCTCATCTTGAATTGTAGTTCCCATAATCCCCATGTGTCATGAGAGGGACTCAGTGGGAGGTGGGAGGTGGGTTTTTCCCATGCTGTTATTTTGACAGTGAATAAGTCTCATGAAATCTTGATGGTTTTATAAAGGGCAGTTCCCCTGCACAATCTCTCTTGCCTGCTGCCATGTAAGATGTGCCTTTGCTCCTCCTTCGCTTTCCACCATGACTGTGAAGCCTCCCCAGCCATGAAGAACTGTGAGTCCATTAAACCTCTTTTTCTTTATAATTACTCAGTCTCAGGTATATCTTTATTAGCATCATGAGAACAGACCCATACACTTCCCTTGTACTCATCATATTCAGTGTCCTTTCATTTCCCAACATCCACCCAGTTATCTTACTTCCCCAAAGCAAAGCCTGAGACAAGGACTTGGATGCAAGTAGTTTATTTAGGAGGTGATCTTAGGAAATAAAAGCAAGAGAATAGGAAGGGTGAGACGGGAAGAAGAAAGGCAAATCTGGCAGTGTGTTATAGAGCTTGCTGCTGTGGGCAACTGGGGCTCAACAATGCTGGGACCTCATACAAAGCATGCAGAATCCTCCCAGATTGGTGCATCTGAAGCATGGGAGGCCCAGTGGTCTTAACTCCTTTGCACTTCAGAGCTGTGCATAGGTGAGGGTGCTCTGGAACAGAGGGCAGATAGATGCATGGCATGTGCTTGAGGCAAGGGGACTTTGAGCACATACAGAACTTAAATGGGCCTTCGGGAATGTGACATGGGCACCAGAGGTGTCTGCTTCTTCAATTGAAGAGGCTAGGTTAGAGCCGTGGTTCTCCAAGTGTAATTCTTCAGAATAGCTGCATCAATATCACCTGGGAACTTATTAGAAATGCAGATTCTTGGTTCTGAATCAGAAATTCTGGGGGTGAAGCCTAAGAATGTCCCATACACCCCTCCAAGTCAGCCATCACCCCCACCCAACCCCTAGAGGCAACCACTGTTCTTAATTTTTTCCACTGTAGACTGATTTTGCCTCTTTTCAATTAAAAAAAAAAAGAATTATATAGTAGGTACTCTTTTGGGTAAAGCTTCTTGCACTCAGCATAAAGTTTTGAGATTTTTTTTCATATTGCTGTATCAATAGTTTATTCCTTTTTATTGCTGAGTAATATTCCACTGAATAAATATATCAATTTGTTTATTCATTTGTCTGTTGATGGATGCCAGATATGTTTCCAGTTTTTGATGATTTTGAATAAAGCTGTAATGAACATTCTTGTACAGGCTTTTTGGACAGGTACCATACTTCTTGCAGGCTAATAATAATATAACACATTATGACTGCCTCACCTCTAAACCCCATGGTTATATAACGCTGTATTCTGTGGAAATGACTCTAACCCAATGGCTCTCAAATTTTAGTGTGCACATCACAGCCTTCTTGTGTTTCAAAACACCAGACAGCATTGTAGCCCTGCAGTTGAGGGCCATTTGAAATAGAAAAAACACCAAAACAAACATGCAAAAGACATGGCACTAAACAGGCCTTGAAAAGGAAGGCAAAAGGCTGGGCATGGTATCTTATGCCTATAAACTCAGCACTTTGGGAGGCCGAGGCAGGCAGATCACCTGAGGTCAAGAGTTCGAGACCAGCCTGGCCAACACAGTGGAACCCCGTCTCTACTAAAAATACAAAAATTAGCTGGGCATGGTGGCTTGTGCCTGTAGTCCCAGTTACTCAGGAGGCTGAGGCAGGAGAATTGCTTGAACCCGGGAGGTGCAGGTTGCAGTGAGCCGAGATTGTGCCACAGCACACCAGCCTGGGTGACAGAGCGAGACTGTCACAAAAAAAAAAAAGAAAAAGAAAAAAAGGAAAGTATCTCATCGTTGGAACATATGTATAAGGATGACTGGAATTTTTCAGTACTCTGTGCATGTCTGCAAAAGTGTTGCCACAAACAAATTTTATCAAGTAGGTACATTTGCAAATATGGAACTGCAAATAATGAGGATCTATTCTATTTAGAACTTGAAATTTGATACTTCTTTCTTTTTTGAGACAGGGTGTTGCTCTGTTGCCCAGGCTGGAGAGCAGTAGCCTGATCATAGCTTACTACAGCCTCTAACACTTAGGCTCAAGCAATCCTCCTGCCTCAGCCTCCCAAGTAGCTAGGACTACAAGGATGCAACACCACATCCAGGTAATAAAATATATATATATATATATATATATATATATATATATATATATATATATATATATTTGTAGAGACAAGGTCTCACTATGTTACCTATGCTGGTTTCAAACTGGCCTCAAGTGATCCTCCCACCTTGGCCTCCCAAAGTGCTGGGATTCCTGGTGGACACTACCACACCCAGCTAATTAATTTTTTTTTTTTTTCAGAGATGGGGTCTCACCATGTTGCCAAGGCTGGTCCTGAAATCCTGGTCTGGAGTGATCCTCCCACCTCGGCCTTCAAGTGCTGGGATTATAGGCATGAGTCACTGTGTTCAGCCCATGTGGTAGTTTTTAATCAATGTTTCCTCTACCCGCTTTTTCCTTCACGCTAATCTTACCTCTTTCCCATAGGGGCATGAATCCTCCACTTCCAGAGTGGATAGTATTGAGATATCCCTTTGGGGTCTTTATGATAACCCTTTTACATGCTCCTCCCAGGGCAGGAGAGGGTGCTTCTGTTGGTGAAAGTTTGATGGCCATGAGACTCCTATTAACTGAGGTTAATAGGTTGAGTGGTCCATTTCTCTCTGTTTCTTTCTACTGCATTCCCATCTCTCTTGAGCTTGAAGCCTGGAGTTCAGAGAACCACTGGAGGGAGGCCTGCAGATCTCCAGCTACTTGCCATGGGGGGATGCAGATGTGAAGGGTAGGAAAACCCTTTTTCCATTTGCACCCAAGACATGCTCTCCAAGCCAGCTTCACCACTACTGAAGCCGATATTTTGATCTGGCTGATTATGTGTATTCTCAGTTTGATTAGAAATCTCAATTAGAGGAGGATGATTAATCCAAACTAACACACCAGTTTTCCATTTTGCTTGCTTTTGATTTATTGCCTCAGTTCTAGGATCGAAACACCTTTGTCCCCAGGGGCTGGTTTAAGACTCTTTTGAGCTGTGCTCATTATCCTGTATCCCCTTCAACATCAAGATTCTTTAATCAAGCTGGTGTGCTTTGAACCCTGATGTATTTTTTAGTCCTTTTGAGGTTTTCTGACCTACCTCATCAGTCCTTTCGAGAAGTCTGAATTTTAGTGAAAGCTTGGTTTTACTCAACCAAGATCCCCTGCTACTCACTACAAGGTGATAATTGTTTTAGTGCAGGGTTTTTCAACTTTGGAACTATTGACATTATGAGCCAGACAATTCTTTGTTGTTGAGGGAATGTCGTCCCACAGAATGTTCAGCAACATTCTGGGCCTCTGTTCACTAGATGCCAGTAGCACTCCCTCCCTCCCCCACTGCCCAGTTGTGAAAATCAAAAATGTCTCCAGACATTGTCAAAGATCCCCTGCGGAACAAAAATCACTCTCAATTAAGAGCTACTTTTCTAGTGGAAAATGTACCCAGTATAGTGGGAGCAGAGTATAACGGAAAATGGACCCTGTCTTTCTGGCAGCGTCAGGGTAGGTGTCCCAGGGGAAGTAGCATTTGAGCTGGGCTTTGCAGTATTAGAAAGATCTCATAGTCACAGATAGAATAATTTGTAAGGTATAATCAGGGAGGTATCCATGGCTCTCTGTGATGCCTTCTTGACCAAAACTACATTTCCTACTATTCCTATTCATGCCCTCAAACATCCTAGGGATCACCTGGAGAGGCCTGGCTCTTCCCTACCTCTATGGTTTTGTTTATTCCATGTGAGTAGACTCTATCACTATATGTACAAATTCTGCTTTTGCTAGTTGCATTTACTGAGCTGTACACCCATCTTTGAATAAGGATTGAATTCCCAAAGCAAATTCCCCTAGAGATGGGTCATTTTCTCTTAAGCATTAGGCCTACACTTTGGATAGATGAAGGAGTAGGTTCTGCTGTGAGCAGCATGAATATGTTGAATTCAGTGTTTTGGGGAATTTTAGGCATCACTTCAGATTATCATATGGTGGAGTGTGGCAGTTGTTGCACATTCATGAGAAGAGACCGGCTTACCTGGGATGTGACTCATCTGATGATGTACTGGTCTAGGGGTAGGGTAGGAGGGAATCTGGAATGAGTGTGGGAGGAAGAAATTGACAGCATCCTTTCCCAGGTTGCTAAAATCCATAGTAACACTGGTGGGTGGTGGGAGTCTCACAGCAGGGGTAAAAGAATCACACAGAAACATCAATGAGTTTGGCTATTTATTGATGCCACACAGAGGGAGGTTATGATTACAGTCTGGTTTTAAGTACTGAAATATCCACCAAGGTACCCCTTGAGGAGGCTGGGTAGAAGGGGAAATGGCAAAGCAGCACAGAGATGCAGGGAGGGCAATGGGCTGGGCCGTGTATGTCATACAATTATTTTGGAGGACAATGATGGGTAGGATTGTGCTTTACCCACCATGTTTTTTAGTAACATAACTTAGAATACTACTTGAATAAGCAGTACAGACAACAGGAGTAGCATCAAATATGTTAGCTAGGTTGTAACACCAGGCAGTTCATGTCATGTGGCCTCTCCTTCAAAAGTGAATCACTGTGGACCAAGCACCAGAAACATCGTCCCAAAGATTCATCTTGAAGTCAGAAAGGAGAAGAGCTAAGACCTGCACTCTCTGGAGTAGCAGTGTGCAGCTTTCAGAGTTTGGAAGATTTTAGTCAACTAAATGGGATGTTATTATCTAAAACAATATAATCTCTCACATTGTGTTTCAGATACTGGATGAAGGTTATCAGAAACATTCACTGACTATCTGAAAGCATCACAGTGGGATGTCAGCGGAGACGTGGCTGTCTCAGGAGATTGGACGGAGGTGTGCTCTTCTTTAAGAAAACCCATCACAAAACAAAGCATTCCTACAAAGGAGGCACTGAAACGATTTCCTGATTGAAGAAAGTAATCACTATTAAGTCTCCTGGAATATTGTTCTCTCGTGGTGTGTTTAATTACATTTTCATGTTTAAGAATTATATTAACCCACAACTTTCCAGAGAAGAGCTAAATATACTACTGTGAAAGACAACGTAAACCAAACTGGGTTTTAGAACGTTAATGTAGTTAAGTACCAGGCCCTGCGATGGCCCTCTCTATTTCATAGAGATATGTATCCAGTGTCTCCTGATACACTTCTCAGTTGCTTGATCCAGGTGAGAAGAAAGAAGGGCCTAGATAAAGTAAATCAACAACTCTGCTTCATATCAGCACCCAAGTATCAAAGATGTAAGATACCATGCAGGTTCCTGTCTTCAGAGTCTTCCTGTTGATCTGAGTCCCCTCTTGTACAGCAAGCACTGGGACATGTCAAAATACTGACGACTCATCACTGAGTGATCGCCAAGGCAACAGATGATACCAACAGGACAGAAAACAGCAAGCCCTGTCTTCATTCTGGAGTCAAGAATGATGGACATCACACAGCTGTCTTACAACATAGCTCCAGAACAGGAAGCAAATATCCATGGCAAATAATTAGGAGCCAATGTTCTGCCTTTGAGAAACTGGAAAAAGACCTAGAATGGAGCACCTGGCCAAACTCTCTCCACATGTCTACCATCTTCTCCACCACGTGGATTGTAAATAACGTGGTCCATTTTGTACACGGAGAAATTTGGCCTAGTTTAGTTGGTTGAGGTCAGTAGGAATCTGAGTTTGTTCCTGAGTTTTGTAAGCCTGGTCATACCCAGGTCTCTGATGACACGTATTTGACCCTATGCTAGTACAGTACCAGGTTAAATCAATCTAGCTTACTAAATGAATCCCCCTGAAAGACTACACTACACTTCAGGGACAGTCTTTGCAAACTGCCTCATTAGTAAATATCAGATTCTCCTCCACTCATGTCACTAACAATTTAAGTGTCTCCTCTCCTCGAAAACCATTATTCACCAGAGATTGCTATCGGCCAGCAATGTTTATGTTTAAAGGCAGAGAATACAATAATGTAATTATCATCTAGAAATAAATTCTCTGGCTTTAGGTAAACATTTGTACTTTCCTCCTGTTTCTGGTCTATCTTGAATTTCATCCCAATCCCACTGTTTTATTTTTCACAGGAATTCATGAGAGTAATACACGTTAATGGCTTGGAAAAAAATAAAAAGCACATAATATTAAATCTTAAATTCAAGGTACCCAAGCAATAAAACTGGCATTGGTCAGCAACACCGTTACATGTTTAACAGAAGATGTATATGGAGAGTTTCACATACACTTACCCATTTGTATGCCTATCTATGTTTACATTAATTCTGCCACCATCTAGATATTAGCACCATTTTTTTAATAGCACCATTCTGCTGAACGGATAGGTAAAGGGAGACGTGGGATATTGTGTTCCATGAGGAGTATTAAGTGTATCTGTGCATGAGTCAGAAAATATGCTGCCCATCACATGAAGGCCACATCCTTGCCTTTCTCCCTGTCAAGAATTGGTTCTGATATCTTCTTTCATTTGAAGCTTATGCCCCTCCACCCACCCACTTACCCTCTTTCTCTGGGTTCAGTTCATGTAAGTACCTTCCCTTAGAAATCACTTTGTCTAGAAATTTGCTCTGAATTTGAGACCAAGCCTACTTTGACTTCTGGTGGGAGGTAGGAACATCCAGAACAAGCATTCTAACTTTCATTTCAGTTTCTTTGGACTCCCTGATTCACCTGTTCTCCCCAAAGTAAAAGATCTTTAAGACTAACTACATATTGGGTACACTGAGGAGTAGATCCCCTTTACCTTACTTTTTAGAAATGTTTTTTCTCTAGATTAGAAGTTTGCACTATGTTCTTGTACTTAGTACAATTTACCTGGTTCTTTGAAATATTTTAATATGGAACCTCCATTTTCCAACCTGAGAAGAGGTGAGGACAGGTGGCAGCCCTAGAGCTGGTCATAGTGGTCTTTGCATATACAGCCCCTGCAGCAAGACGATGGTGGGACCTGAGCTCAGGCCTCCTGTGGGGACTGGAGGATGGGAGGAAGTCAGCCAGGAAGACACATTTTCCCTTCTGCAAAGGAGTGTGTATTTGCCAGGAAAGTGGGAAGAATAAAGGCCCACAGTTCCTTTTCTGTAATATTAAGAAATTGATTTCTGCTCATTTGCATTTTACGAGTTTTCATAGAAATGCTCTTCAAACCAGAAGTGTTTTCTGTGTAAGTGACCTAAACCCCTTAGGCTGTGTTTCTTATGCCTGTTTCCTCTTAGTCTAGTGTCCCAAGGTTGGCAGGAGACTCTAAGCAGCCCAGATATGGAGCCCTACAGGGATGGAGGAAGAGACTGAGGGATGTAACCAGCACTTCCTGCCCTAGTTGAACATGGGGTGAAGAAAGCAGTCCTCTGCCTGGATGAATTAAAGGAATGTTCCTAAAGCTCCGCTGTGACATTTTAAATAGCAGCTGCCCCAGGCAGGGAGGCAAGAAAAAAAAAAGAAAGGTATTCATCAAGATAAATTAAGAAGATTATTTGTCCCCTGGGTAAGTGTTGCCTGATACTCTTGAGGTAGTCAGGGAAATAGCTGGTCTCTTTGTTTTTATCTTTAAGGGAGAACAAAAATACAGTATTTCACAAATCTGTCTAACCTGGCACCTTTCCCAGGAGCCGATACCAGGTGCTGCCTGATTCTCCTAGCTATTTCACCTTCCTATCAGGGAGCAGCAAGTACGGCAGCCTAGGCCTCCTGTGAGGGACATTCGGTGGCTAGAGGAACACAATGGATTTTGTTTCATCATGACCCAAAGCTGAATCTGAAATATATGAAGCAAAACCTCAACGAAGCAGCTCCCAGGGCTAAAGCATGTCATGGTCAGCAGGCTGCTGCAGTCTGGTGGAAGCTGGCTTCCTTTTGGGCTTAGAGTTCTTTTGACTTTTGGAGCAACCGTTGCCTTCTTTGCCTTTGGGTGTGTGTGATGTGTGTCTGGGGACACGAGAAGCAGCACTCAGCCCTCACGGTGGGCACAGAACATTTCTTCATGGCTTTCAGTGTCTGGCAGAAACTGGCTGACAGTTTGTCCTTAGTGCAAAGTAAATCTGTGGAAGGAGAAAAAGAATAAGAAAAAAGTCCAAAGATTATCCTTTGTGGATATACAAGCACAACTTCTATTAATGTAAGACTTTATATGTCTACCAAGAAAGGAGCCATAACAATTCATAATAGGTGGTATCTACTGAATGTTTATTATGTATCAGACGCTGTGCAGAGTGTTTATGCTAAACTGAATTATCAGTCACAATTCTTCACTCCCATGTAATTGTTTTATACAGAACATTCCCTCCTTGCCATGGCTGCCTAGTGGGTGGAGAATCCTTCCCAACTACTTGCCTTTGGGTTCAGCTCTGTGACTTGCTTTAGATAATGGGATGCTAGTAGACACGATCTCTGCAGTGACTTGGAATGTGCAGGAGGACAAGCCTTCCCTGATGAGCTTCTGCTGTCACCATAAGAAGAACCTGGCTGGTGCAGCCACCAAGGGTGATAAGAGACACATGGGGCAGACCTGGACTCAACCTACAGTTAGCAGCCAAGGTCAACCAAAGCCAAGCTCAATCATGTGAACCTTGGCTGACCTATAGATGCTCAGCAAAAAATACATGACTGTGCATTATATGAAAAAGACACACACACATGCATGTTTATAGCAGCACAATTCACAATTGCAAAGATATGGAACCAACCTAAGGGCCCGTCAACCAATGAGTGGATACAGGAAAATGTGGTATATACACCCCAGGAAATATTACTCAACCAGAAAAAAAAAAAAAAGGAATGAAATAATGTTTTTTGCAGCAACTTGGGTGAAGCTGGAGGCCATTATTCTAAGTGAAGTAACTTCAGGAATGGAAAACCAAATATATGTTCTCATTTATAAGTGGGAGCTAAGCTATGAGGACTCAGAGGCATAAGAATGATATAATAGACAGGGGGCCCAGGGAGGAAACTTGGGGGTGGTAAGGAATAAAAGACTACATATTGGGTATAGTATACACTGCTTGGGAGATGGGTGCACTAAAATCTCAGAAATCGCCACTAAGGAACGTGAGTTTTGGTTATCCCCCACAACTACTTTGGTACCCCCAAAACTATTGAAATTGTAAAAAAGAAAAAAATACATGACTGTAGTTTTAAACCCGAGTGTCGGGGTGCTTTGCTATGCAGTATTGCTATGGAAATAGTTGAATGCAGTGTCTTCCATGCTTCACTACATTTCATCTTTACAGTGCTACTAGCAGACAAGTATTTTTTCCATTTCACAAATGACGAAAGTAAGGCCTCAAGTAGTGAAGAACTTGTATAAGGTTGTCCAGCTGATAAATGGCATAGCCAGATCTGAACACAGGCAGTCTTAACTCTAGAGCTCATGCTCTAATCAATCATACTATTCAGAGTGTCAAGCCAACAACCCGTCAGCAAAATAACCAATGCTTCCGGGCCGGGCATGGTGGCTCACGCCTGTAATCCCAGCACTTTGGGAGGCTGACGTGGGCGGATCATGAGGTCAGGAATTCGAGACTAGTCTAGCCAACATGGTGAAACCCCGTCTCTACTAAAAATACAAAAAGTAGCTGGGCGTGGTGGTGGGCGCCTGTAATCCCAGCTACTCAGGAGGCTGAGGCAGGAGAATCGCTTGAAACCGGAAGGTGGAGGTTGCAGTGAGCTGAGATCGTGCCATTGCACTCCAGCCTGGGCAACAAGAGTGAAACTTCATCTCAAAAAAAGAAGAAAAAAAATAATAACCAATGCTTCCAGAGTGAGTGAGGGATACAGACATAAACTGTGATCCCCGCCCTGCAGAACTTTACCATGGAGGTGAAGGCAGAAGATATGTACAAATAATTCCCAGAGTAAGTATACAATTAGTCACCTGAGTTCTAACCCTTGTTCTCCTCTAACTAGCTCTGGGAAAGTGTGTCCTTTAATTTTCTTGGCCTTGCTTTTCCCATACATGAGTCAGGGAACGAGAGTGGGTTGCTCAGGGACCACCCCCACACATTTGTACGGGTGGTTCTCAGATGGCACTGGCCTACACGTTCCAGGTCTGTTAAGAATTCAATTAGATTTTTTTTTTTCTAGAAAGTGAAGTTGTTTTAAGCTTGCCTTAGGTACTTCTTGGAGCTCTCATCTTTCTTTCTCCTTTACAGAGAAAATATTTTCATAGTTCTGAAGAAAAGCACTTTCATAAACAGGCCGCTGTCCTTTGTAAAGGGAACAGTCAGGAAAAGTAGAAATGGAAATAATAGCCTCTCCACCCCAAATTTGCGACAGTATCTTTGCATCTCTATGCTTTTTTCACCTTTAGATCATAAAGGCAAAAAATTCTTTTTATCTCCTCAGAACTCCTTATTCTCTTAACTGTGCCTTATTTTTGTGAAGAAATGAATGTCTTCTGTTAGCTTCCAGAGTCCTGTTTGGTGCTGAAGTTTTAAGTGCCCTTAGGAATTGGTAACATATAATGCTCCTAGATTCCAAAATCTGAGTCTTCAGCTTTCCTTCTTCAGGCCTCTTCTTTAAGCCTCTTATAAAAACCCTGTCTCTCTTAAAACCCCACAGGAAATTGCCTGACACCCTTGGGAGTTTCAGAGAGAGAGTACACGTTTTTGTATTTTGAGACGGTTCCCTCTGTCTCCCAGGCTGGAGTGCAGTGGCACAATCTCGGCTCACTGCAACCTCTGCCTCCCGGGTTCAAGCAATTCTCCTGCCTCAGCCTCCTGAGTAGTTGGGCCTACAGGCATGTGCCACCATGCCCAGCTAATTTTTTTTTTTGTATATTTAGTAGAGACGGGGTTTCACCATGTTGGTCAGGCTGGTCTTGAACTCCTGACCTCGAATGACCTGCCTGCCTCGGCCTCCCAAAGTGCTAGGATTACAGGTGTGAGCCACTGTGCCTGGCCTTGTTTTTCTTTTTGTTTCAGATTTTCTCCTCAAAATTCAACTTCAGAGAGTACATGTTTTGACCAAGCATGTCTCTTGTGGAATATCCCTTCCAGCTCTTCATCTCCCTCATCCCAGCAGAGCAGTGGGTGTTGTTCACTGGACCTGGGCCATGCACTGTGTGCACTGCTGATCGGAACAAGGCAAGGCTTCCTTCCCGGGCTCTGGGAAGCCCCCTGGCAGGGCAGTCCAAGCATCACAAAGCCGCCCCAGTTTCTTAGCCAGCCTCTCCTGAAGTCTCTGTGGATGGAGGCTGGAGAGGGCACAGGTGGGGCGGCTCTTTGCCCCACAATCTCGTCGCTGTGTCTGTGAGTGCTCTAGGGTTGCTGGCCAGGAGGAGAAAGACAGAGGAAGGGTGGAGGCTCAGCTGACAGCAACCGTTCCACAAAGCTTCTTCTGGCAGCGCTGACCCACATGAGTCCCCTCTGTCTCCATCTCCAAACAGGCATTATTGTATTACACACTCGGGCACGGCACCATACTCTCTCTTGACCTGCTCTGTAAATTGAGCATAAGCCTCTTCTGCTAAGGGCAAAGGTATCTGCCATTATAAAAAGGACCTCTAGGAGGCCCCCCAAAGGTTGTGGGTTGAACTGTATCCTTTGAAATGTACCCCAGAGTGGAAGTCCTCACCCTTTGTATCTGTGAATGTGATCTGATTTGGAAATAAGATCTTGGCAGATAGAATAATGATGTCAGTTAAGATGAGGTCACTCTGAACTAGGGTGGGCCCTTCATCCAACCTGAGTGGTGTCCTTATAAAAAGAGGAGAAGAGACACAGAGAGAGACACACATACAGAGGAGGAAAAGCCGTGCTGAGACACAGACACAGAGAGGAAAGACAGCCATGTGGTAATGGAGGCAGAGACTGGAATTCAGTTTCTGTAAGCCAAGGAATGCCAGTGATGGCCGGCAACCGCCAGCAGCTGGGAGAATGACTGTGGCCCTACTAATACCTTGATTTTGGACTTCTAGCCTCCAGAACTGTGAGAATAGATTTCTGTTGTCTTTAGTCACCTAGTTTATTATAATTTGTTATGGCAGCATGAATATGTGTGCTTGTAGCCCAGGAAGCTAATATACCCCTTCCTCCATGAAAGCAGAAAAAACACAGATACAAATTATTAAGCATTTACCACACACTAGGCAATGTTTGATATATACTATACCATTTGATTGTCGCAGAAATCAATAGATGTGGGTGCATGTATTCTTTTAATAACTGAGGGTTCCAGAGAAGCTTAGCAATTGACCCAACATCACACAGCTGGTACATAGATGGTGCCACTGGAAATTGAATGTTGTCTCAATAGCTCCCAAGCTTTGTCTCTGAGAGAATGAATCTCTTGTACTGGTGATGGGGCAGGAGAAGATCACATGAATAGGTCTTCTCTGCCCAGAACATCTTCTTTTTCTCAACACAGGAGGCCCACTTGTCAGGTTAGGTCAACACCTAAATGACTGAAAGAGACTCAACCAAGCCTGGAATCCTCACATGTTCTTGGAAACCATGAGATCAAGAGCCTTGCTTTTCAATAGTCCTTGGAGCCTGGATACATGCAAGGTCCTGGGGCCCCACTTTTTGAGAGTGGGGGACCGGAAGGAAGAGTGGAGGATGAGAGTGGCCTATATTGGCAGTCTGTGTTCCAGAACTATATTTAGCAACTCATTTAGATGATGACCGTGAGCCCAACATGATGACAGGGCTCAATTACATCAGTTCTCCCTATTGCTGTGAAACAATGAAGGCTTGTTGTGTTCATTAGTCAATTGGATTCCACTTCCAAAGTACATACAATGCTTATAATTATGGGCAACTTGGAGGGGAGATCCCAATTTGCCTCTGCTGGTTCAACAAAAATCACATTTGGAAATTTAAAGGGACAGTTATATGCCTGTATCTTTGTTGTCAGCTGCGTTATCAGGCGATAATATTTTTTTCACCAAAGAAGCTTGAAAAACAATTTCAATGTTGTTGACAAATACAGCTTCCATGACTTTGGGCTTCTTGAGGCCAAGAACTGTATTTTACTCATGTCTTTCTCCTCAGCTCTTAGCACTTCTCTGAGACATCTTGTGATCAATAATATTTTGTTGAATAAGTGAATGAATGAGATCCTATTCATCTGGCAGAATATTCTTTACTAGAAAATTTACCGACTTAAATGTTCATCTGTATCAACATTGGATCTAAGTACTGTTTCTATTTTTTTTTTTTTTTTGGCCTTTTCTACCCTTCCTCAAATTAAAAACAATAGCAGCAGCAACAACAAAACAACCCCAGGAATGGTAGGCTTAAGGGTTTTGCTTTTGTTTTTTAATCAATAAGAATGTAATGCTGAGAATAAAGCTGATACTTGGTAAATGAATTTTGTTGATTTTTTTTTCCATGTAGATATGTGGAAAGGGTTTTGTAGGCACTAATGTGGAAATAATAGTTCCAATTTAGATTTTAAGTCATTAAAACTTCAAATGGTTTCTAAAAGAAGTAAAATGACCTGGAGGAAACTAAACCTTATATGAATTCATACCTGATATTATAAAATATACTTAGGAGTATGTTATGTTTATTGTGAAAGCTGATTGACAAGAGTCTGGGCATTGAATGAATATTTTCAAAGAATTTTAGAGAATTATAGTGGTCAGGGTGGGTGGCTGGTTTCTTAAATCAAGGAATTTCTCACAACTCTTCTTTCATTTTCCTTCTATGTGAGTAGGCATGGCTCTGCCTTCAAAAGAAGCTAGTAATTAACTTTTGTGGCCCTGATAATTGTCAGTGAGTGGAATTCATTGTTAAGCACATCAATTGCCAGCCAACTATTCGTCGCCATTTATTCTGTGTGAGATTTCAAAATGAAAACTACCATCTATGCATTTAACCCTGTTTTGATTATTGAAGATTTTATTGTCCAGCAATAGGACAGTTGAAGACAACCTACATATAATTCAAAATAACAAGCCCTAACACTAGGCATGATCAACCAAGAGTAAGTTGTTGCTTCAGTTATATAAAAAATAACACAACATAGAAGGGATTCTATAGCCTCAACTATTTAAAGTATGGTACCATAGAAGGTAATGAAATGAAATGAAAGGAAAAGAGTCTCAAATTGGTCCCTTGGTCTAGAACGAGGTGCTTCTCAAACTTTGATGTGCACATGAATCACCAGGGATCTTGTTAAATGAAGATTCTAATTAGGTAGGTCTAGAGTGAGGCCTGAGAGCCTCAAACTCCCAGGAGATGCCAATTCAGCTTGTCCAGGGACCATGTTTTGAGAAGCAAGAGTCTGGAAGACATGAATAACACTTCTGAAAATGAGCTCTAGGTGGTTTCTTCTGGAATTTCAAGTAAGGCCAATGAAAGCCACCCTTAAGTGCAAGTCAGTAAGAGCTTCCTGTGATAATCACACCTAAAGCATTTCCTCGCTCAGTGCATTTTTATCAGTATTTCCAGACCAGATCTCTCTCCTGGCCTCCATACCTGTAGAGCAAACCAATCACAGGACACCCTTAACTAGATAATTCACAGACTCCTTAACAAACATGTCCCAGACAGAACTCACTATCTTCCCTCTTTCCCAAAGCTCCTGTTGGGCTTCCTCTCTCAGTGCATGGTAGCTTCATCTACTCAGCTGCCCAAGTCAAAATTATGGGCATTAGCCTTTCTCTCCTTTCTCCCAGCACAAAGGGCTATCAAATTTTTCTTTTAATGAGCTCCTGAATATACTCACTTCTCTGTTTTTAATTTTATTTAGAAATTTTACATGTCAATGAAGCCCAAACAATCAGTGGAATGGACATTATAGGTCATAGCTGAACCTACCCAACCTATAGGAGCTCCTTTGTCTCTCACGCAGAGAGCCTCCTGTAAATTCACTTCTCCTGGGGTAGCCCTTGGCCAATGGCTGAAGAGTGTGGGAGTGTGAATGTACCACTTACTGGCTCAGGAGTGGACAACTTGGGGGTATAACTTGTGCTCTGGAGCTGCCTGGAGGACCAGGCTGAAGCTAGGACTCAGGTTCCTGAGAAGGCACCCTGGCTGTGTCTCCTCGTTTTCCATCCAGCTTTCTCCACTCCCTTAATGATCTTCCATGGAAATACTTACTTAATGAATCCCTTGCACACACACTTTCACCCCAGAGCCTGCTTCTGGGGGACCTGGCCTAATGCAGTGGTACCAGATTTATAGAGATGACCATTTCACACTTGACTGGGTTCCTAAGAAAGGCTGGGATATCTCTCAAGACATCTTTGAAAGCATAGAAGTAATTCTCATCCATGTTGGATGACATCAGTGTGAACAGGCTTACAGAGAGAAAATGGTATTTTATGATACTCAATAAATAATAATAATAAAAAAAGAAAAATGGATGAGATACTCTCTCAAGAAGTTAGGATTCAAACCTCACCAGATCAGATAGTTTGTTCCCAGGGTTACTGGTTGACCTCTTTAACATTAAGATTTTCTATTCAGTAAAAGAAATGTAAAGCTATCTACAAGTTGTATCATGCAGGATGACATTTGTGCAAAGATCTCTTTCTCCCCGAGCAAACCCATTCACCCACCGGCACTTTTCTTGCAGGCCTGCTGGTTGCATTTTTTGAATTCTGGAGGTCTGGGTTTGTGATCACATAGACATTGGTCTTGGTCTTCAGTTTTATTGCCCTCTGAGGGCACACATTGGACAGTCCTCTTCTGAAAGCCACCTCCACAGGAAGTGGAACACTGAAAGAGAAGGTGAACAGAGAGTCAGAAGTCCTCCCCACGACTCCCAAGGAAACACCAGTAGAACACCTCCAATCCCACTGTGGTCAAGAATGGAAACATCTCAATAACCAGAAACCTTTTTGGAGGAGTCATAGAATAAAGGCACTAATAATTTGGAGATGTGAGTTTAGAGAGACTCTATACTATAGGTTGTGTGGATTGAATCTGACTGAAATTACTATTAGGTTCTCTGCAGAACGTGCTCCTTTTTCACACGTTTGAGAATGGCCTGATGCCTTTCGCCACATGGCTACAGCACTGGGCTCCAGGAACCTACGTTGGTGCCGTTGGACCCAGCCACCTGGCCACACATGACTGCTCTAGGGAAGGTCCCTGCATCAAGCTGGGCCAATCAGTCACTTCCTTGGGAATTTGAATTGAGACCCAGCCAGAGATTCCATCTAAGGCTGAAATTTGAAAACTTGGGTGTTGTTGGTGGCCACATTTCCTGCCAAGTAGAATGAGTGAAAACCAGATGGCAGAAAAGGTGAATGGAATGAAGCATGTGCTTAGAGAGGAACGGGAATGAGGGAGGCATTGCCCATGGGGTTCACACCCTTGGTTCTAGCTAAGACTCCCAACCCAAACATTCATCTTTGCATCATGAGTATATGGAGTGAAACATATGGAGGGAGGTTGAATTGCAAGCAAAGCAGAATACAATTTCATATCTGTGTCGTGGTACTTCGGCCTGAACTAATTTTGATTTGGGGCTGGGGATTGGATGTGAGGAGGGGTGGAGCTACCAGAAGAGATGAACGTTGGGTAAAAAGAGAAGTGGGAGGGAAAGACCCCAGTGGCATGCAGAGAATGTGGAATGGGGGTAGGGACAGGGCTGAGCATGGAAGCTGGGGAAGAAGCAGAGCAACAGCGGACCCAGCTCTGTGCCTAGCTGGACCAGGTCCTCTCAAGCCATTCTAATGATATGGTTCCACTGCAATGTCATGATCGCCCACCTGGCTGCAGGAGGGAGATTCGCTGGCCTGGGAAAGCAGTTTACATAAGATTCTTCAGGATGCAAGAAAATGTGCCTGAATTTACCACATATGCTCTTTTCTTAAATTATTTTTTGAGGTAAAATATATAAAGCACAAAATATACCATTTAAACCATTTTTTCTGAGACAAGGTCTGGCTCTATCACCCAGGCTGAAAGGCAGCGGCACAATCTCGGCTCACTGCAACCTCCCTCCCTGGGTTCAAGTGATTCTCCTACCTCAGACTCCCAAGTAGCTGGGACTACAGGCGTGTGCCACCACACCTGGTGACTTTTTCCTCTGGCACACTCGCTAAGTCAACTGGAAGTTTAGCCATTTGTTTCCAGATTCCAATTTTATTTTTTATTTTTGGCAAGGGGGAGCTAAAGATAGATCAGTGTAATTTTACAGGTTCCAAAATTGTATGAACCCATCTCTCTGCTCTTGTCTGCTGCCCCCATCTTTGTCCTTCTGGGTTTGTGCCATTTTTAGTGTTTTATGCCTTCTGCCTATTTAGTGGAGTTTTGAGAACAAGGGCAAATGTATATGTTCAATCCATAGCTTGTGTAGTTTCACTTAATAATAGATCATAGAGGTTACGAGTGATTCCAAAGGCTGGCCTGGTAGGTGTTAACCACTCTCTCATTATCCCTCCATTCTTTGCTATGCACAATTGGTTAATTCCTGACACACAGCTCTTCTAAGGAACTTCAACCCAAGTCCACCCCCGATAGACTCACCTGGAACTCCTTCAGGGAGTTAAAGGGGAGACTTAAAAATGTTCTTTTACAATTTTGAATCTTCTATGAGATTGTTTCCCTGAATGGGCCCAATTCTTACAGCATTTTTATGACTTCACATTGTATCACATTTTCTCTTTTCGAGGTCATGTTTGCTTTGATTAGAGGTACTTATTTTGTTATACAGAGCTCTGAGATATTTATAAAGAGCCTAGTCCTGAAATATATCCAGGCAGCTGGGGCAAGGCCTGCCAGGAGTAAGCATGGCCTTTGCTCAGGCCCATGTGGCTGGAGAAGGCCACTGCTGCCTTGATCCAATCTGCCATAATGTTAATAATGAATTTTGTGAAGCTCATGGCTAGACTAGGCACACAAATCTTGCTCAGAGGAGTGAGTATTAGTTTGGTAACTATTTATTGGGTGCCAACAGATAAACATTCTAGCAAAGGGGCAACTGTTAAGTAAATATGATCAATCAACTTGATGGAATATTACTGTAAAGAAGAGGTTAACATTAGTCCTGGTTCAGAGTACTTGGAGAGAAAAAATGACCTTGAAGTATGGTTTCCTTGGAAACTAGAGAGTTAAGGTAAATGCAAAAGATGATGACTGTCTTGTTCACTAGGAAATTCCTGACTGTAGGACTGCTCCCTACTGGAGGCCTGTGAGTTGGCATGTGGCCTTGGGCATGTGAGACCAAAATAGTTTAAAATATTGGCAAGAAACTGAGGCTGAGGCTTGTGTCAAGGTGACCTGTGTGCATCTTGGCTCTGATTTCTTGCTACCCATACATACCACACTTGACAGACAAGGAAGCAAATGAAGTTGTACTCTTGGATAGTTGCTGAAATTGTATCCTTCGGTAGCAACCTCCTGCAGAGATGAGGCTGTTGTGCCTAATATAATTCCTGCTTGTATCCTTCTACACAGCTAAGTGAATTCGGTGTTGAGTCCAGCCTATTGTGCCTCACATGTCTGACTGCCAATAGACTGCCAATTTGACACAGCATTAGAGTGGATCAATGGCTGTGCCGGTGCAACTATGCAGCTATGAACAATGAGAATTACAAACAGTATAGCAACCTACAAATAGCTGGGGGCATTATGTTGGGCAAAATACTGCATTCCCGTGTGTGTTATAATTATAACCATCAAAACATACATGCACAGGAACAAGTTACTTTATAAAAATGTTAGTAGTTGTGGTGTCAGTGTATCAGACCATCTTGGCTCTCCTGTCTCCCAGCTCGTGGCCCTAGGATCTGTCCCAGCTGAGGTGGCAACCAACTTTCTGAAAGCACAACCCAGTGGCCTTCACCTCATGCCATGTGTATTAGCCTAGTTTCACACTGCTATAAAGACATACCTGAGACTGGGTAATTTATTAAGAAAAGAGGTTTAATTGACTCAGAGTTCCACAGGGCTGGGGAGGCCTCAGGAAACTTACAATCATGGTGGAAGGGAAGAGGCACATCTTACATGGCAGCAGGTGAGGGAGAGTGGGGAGTGAAATGGGAAGAGCACCTTATAAAACCATCAGATCTTGTGAGAAATCACTGACTATCACAAGAACAGCATGGGGGAAACTGCCCCCCATGATCCGCTCACCTGCCACTGGGTCTCTCCCTTGACACGTGAGAATTACAATCCAAGATGAGATTTGGGTGGGGACACAGAGCCAAACCATATCACCATGTCTCATGCCTCCCTGCTTCTGATTGGGTTTTCTTGTTGCCAATGAGACATGAGATACAATGGGACTTGCTCAGTGCCCATATCTGGACAATTCAGAAGTATGGAGATATTAGCCCTCTAAGGGGAGACTCCACCAAAGGGAGATAGGAGCCAGTGGATAACTCTTCTTCTTTCCTACTCTTCCCTCCCTTCCCGGATAAACTGCCACAACACGCAGTAGTTCACACAGTTTTTAGAAGCCTTCCTGTGAGAGCCAGCAGTCAGTTGCTCCTGACACCAAGCGATGGTCAGTTAGGTAAGATAATCAGTCTAGTAACACACCACTTCATTTTTGACTCTCCTTCTTCTCTGCCTCCTTTCTCTTTTCTATCACCCCTGCTTCCCTGGCACTGAATTTCCTAATAAAGTGTTAAATTTTTTCTCGAGATTCCATTTGATAGAAAACCCAGGATAAGACAAATCAGAATGATGGCAGAATCTGTCCATGGGAGAATTTTCTTTATTTTCTTTTTCTGAGATGGAGTCTTGCTCTGTCACCCAGGCTGGAGTGCAGTGGTACAATCTCGGCTCACTGCAACCTCCACCTCTTGGGTTCAAGTGATCCTCCTGCCTCAGCCTCCGGAGTAGCTGGGATTACAGGCATGTACCACCATGCCTGACTAATTTTTTTATTTTTAGTAGAGATGAGATTTCACCCTGTTGGCCAGGCTGGTCTTGAACTCCTGACCTCAGGTGATCCACCTGCTTCGGCCTCCCAAAGTGCTAGGACTACAGGTGTGAGCCACCACACCTGGCCACAATTTTCTTTATTTTCAGTATTGCTGATAGAGTGTTATTTATGCAATAAGCAAGCTTAGGGAGAATAATACCTCTTTCCTTCATTTACAGTTTAATTATTTTGTTCCATCAAACAGGCTGGCCATCTGGCAAACTGATCTGTGGGCTGACAAGAGGCCTGAAACTCAATAAGTCTGACTATGCCTAAAGCTTTAGGACAGATGCCAACTCCTCTTTGCTCTAGGAAAAGCCAGAGAATCCAAGGTGCTGGTTGTAAAACAGATGTTTCTTAGGCTGTGTGCCTCTGGAATAACTTTGATATTTGATCTTTTCTCTTTTGAAAGTATTTAATATTTTCCCTTCTCAACTCAAGACCCACAGCAGCCGTGGGTCAACTTTTAGCAGACTTAGAGGTATTCAGTGGCAGAAGAACACGAAAACCGAAGTATCCAGAAACATACTGTAAATCAATGAATGCACTGAATATTTACAATGAGTATAGATTATTTTTGTAATCAAAAGAAAATGCATGCTATTTTATTTTTATTTTTTTGCTTAAGTATAGTGGCAAGAAACCATTTTTTTAAAAAGCTAAAGTAGATTGAGGTTCCAAGATGGCTGAATAGGAAGAGCTCTGGTCTGCAGCTCCCAGCGAGATCGACACAAGATGAGTAATTTCTGCATTTCCAACTGAGGTACCTGGTTCATCTCACTGGGACTGGTTGGACAGTGGGTGCAGCTGTCCCTGCACCATGGAGGGCGAGCGGAAGCAGGGCGGGGCGTCGCTTCACCCGGGAAGTGCAAGGGGTTGGGGGATTGCCCTTTCCTATCCAAGGGAAGCCATGACAGACTGTACCTGGAAAAATGGGATACTCCCACTCAAATACTGCACTTTTCCCAAGGTCTTAGCAACTGGCAGACAAGGAGATTCTCTCCTGTGCCTGGTTCGGCAGGTCCCACACTCACGGAGCCTTGCTCATTGCTAGCGCAGCAGTCTGAGATCAAATGGTGAGGTGACAACCTAGCTGGGGGAGGGGTGTCCACCATTGCTGAGGCTTGAGTAGGTAAACAAAGTGGCCAGGAAGCTCGAACTGGGCGGAGCCCACCACAGCTCAGCACGGCCTACTGCCTCTGTAGACTCCACCTCTGTGGGCAGGGCATAGCTGAACAAAAGGCAGCAGACAACTTCTGCAGACTTAAACATCCCTGTCTGACAGCTCTGAAGAGAGCAGTGGTTCTCCCAGCATGGTGTTTGAGCTCTGAGAATGGACAGACTGCCTCCTCAAGTGGGTCCCTGACCCTTGTGTAGCCTAACTGGAACACACCTCCCAGCAGGGGCCAACAGACACATCATATAGGCAGCTGACCCTCTGGGACGAAGCTTCCAGGGGAAGGATCAGGCAGCAATATTTGCTCTTCTGCAATATTTGCTGCTCTGCAGCCTCTGCTGGTGATACCCAGGCAAACAGGGTCTGGAGTGGACCTCCAGCAAACTCCAACAGCTCTGCAGCTGAGGGATCTGACTGTTAGAAGGAAAACTAACAAACAGAAAGGAATAGCATCAACATCAACAAAAAGGACATCTACACCAAAAACCCCATCTGTAGGTCACCAACATCAAAGACCAAAATAGGTAAAACCACAAAGATGGGGAGAAACCAGAGCAGAAAAGGTGAAAATTCTAAAAACTGGAGTTCCTCTTCTCCTTCAAAGGATCGTAGCTCCTCACCAGCACTGGAACAAAGCTGGATGGAGAATGACTTTGACGAGTTGACAGAAGTAGGCTTCGGAAGGTCAGTAATAACAATTTCTCTGAGCTAAAGGACATGTTCTAACCCATCAGAAGGAAGCTAAAAATCTTGGACAAAAGGTTAGATGAATGGCTAACTCGAATAAACAGTGTAGAGAAGACCTTAAATGACCTGATGGAGCTGAAAACCATGGCATCAGAACTTCGTGACGCATGCATAAGCTTCAATAGCAGATTCAATCAAGTGGAAGAAAAAGTGTCAGTGATTGAAGATTAAATTAATGAAATAAAGTGAGAAGACAAGTTTAGAGATAAAGAGTAAAAAGAAACAAACAAAGCCTCCAAGAAATATGGGACTATGTGAAAAGACCAAATCTACATTTGATTAATGTACCTGAAAGTGAGGAGAAGAATGGAACCAAGTTGGAAAACACTCTTCAAGATATTATCCAGGAAAACTTCCCCAACCTAGCAAGGCAGGCCAACATTCAAACTCAGGAAATACAGAGAACACCACAAAGATACTCCTCGAGAAGAGCAACCCTAAGACACATAATTGTCAGATTCACCAAGGCTGAAATGAAGGAAAAAATGTTAAGGGGAGCCAGAGAGAAAGGTCGGGTTACCCACAAAGGGAAGCCCATCACACTAACAGTGGCTGACACTCTGCAGAAACCCTACAAGAGAGAAGAGAGTGGGGGCCAATATTCAACATTCTTAAAGAAAAGAATTTTCAACCCAGAATTTCATATACAACCAAACTAAGCTTCATAAGTGAAGGAGAAATAAAATCATTTACAGACAAGCAAATGCTGAGAGATTTTGTCACCACCAGGCCTGCCTTACAAAAGAGCTCCTGAAGGAAGCACTAAACATGGAAAGCAACAACCGGTACCAGCCACTGCAAAAACATGCCAAATTGTAAAGACCATCAATGCTAGGAAGAAACTGCATCAATTAACGGGCAAAATAACCAGCTAGCATCATAATGACAGGATCAAATTCACACATAACAATACTAACCTTCAATGTAAATGGGCTAAATGCCCCAATTAAAAGACACAGACTAGCATTTTGGATAAAGAGTCAAGACCCATTGGTGTGTATATTCAGGAGACCCATCTCACATGCAGAGAAACACATAGGCTCAAAAAAAAAGGGATGGAGGAAGATCTACCAAGCAAATAGAAAGCAAAAAAAAAGCAGGGGTTGCAATCCTAGTCTCTGATAAAACAGACTTTAAACCAACAAAGATCAAAAGAGACAAAGAAAGCCATTACATAATGGTAAAGGGACCAATTCAACAAGAGCTAACTATCCTAAATATACATGCACCCAATACAGGAGCACCCAGATTCATAAAGCAAGTCCTTAGAGACCTACAAAGAGACTTAGACTTAGAGACCTACAAAGAGACTTAGACTCCCACACAATAATAATGGGAGACTTTAACACCCCACTGTCAATATTAGACAGATCAAGGAGACAGAAGGTTAACAAGGATATCCAGGACTTGAATTCAGCTCTGCACCAAGCAAACCTATTAGACATCTACAGAACTCTTCACCCCAAATCAACAGAAGATACATTCTTCTCAGCACCACATCACACTTATTCTAAAATTGAACACATAATTGGAAGTAAAGCACTCCTCAGCAAATGTAAAAGAACGGAAATCACAACAAACTGTCTCTCAGACCACAGTGCAATCAAATTAGAATTTAGGATTAAGAAACTCACTCAAAACCACACAACTATATGGAAACTGAACAACTTGCTCCTGAATGACTACTGGGTACATAACGAAATGAAGGCAGAAATAAAGGCGTTCTTTGAAACCAGTGAGAAGAAAGACACAATGTACCAGAATCTCTGGGACACATTTAAAGCAGCATGTAGAGGGAAATTTATAACACTAAATGCCCACAAGAGAAAGCAGGAAAGATCTAAAATCGACACCCTAACATCACAATTAAAAGAACTAGAGAAGCGAGAGGAAACAAATTCAAAAGCTAGCAGAAGGCAAGAAATAACTAAGATCAGAGCAGAACTGAAGGAGATAGAGATACAACAAACCCTTCAAAAACTGAATGAATCCAGGAGCTGGTTTTTTGAAAAGATCAACAAAATTGATAGACCGCTAGCAAGACTAAAAAAGAAGAAAAGAGAGAAGAATCAAATAGACGCAATAAAAAATGATACAGGGGATGTCGCCACCAACCTACAGAAATACAAACTACCATCAGAGAATACTATAAACACCTCTATGAAAATAAACTGGAAAACCCAGATAAAATGGATAAATTCTTGGACACATACACCCTACCAAGGCTAAACCAGGAAGAAGATGAATCTCTGAATAGCCCAATAACAGACTCTGAAATTGAGGCAATAATTAACAGCCTAACAACCAAAAAAAGTCCAGGACCAGAAGGATTCACACGCGAATTCTACCAGAGGTACAAAGAGGAGCTAGTACCATTTATTCTGAAACTATTCCAATCAATAGAAAAAGAGGGAATCCTCTGTAACTCATTTTATGAGGCCAGCATCATCCTGATACCAAAGCCTGGCAGAGACACAACAAAAAAAGAATTTTAGACCAATATCCATGATGAACATCAGTGCAAAAATCCTCAATAAAATACTGGCAAACTGAATCAAGGAGCACATCAAAAAGCTTATCCACCATTATCAAGTCGGCTTCATCCTTGGGATGCAAGGCTGGTTCAATCTATGCAAATCAATAAATGTAATCTATCACATAAACAGAACCAACAACAAAAACCACATGATTGTCTCAATAGATGCAGAAAAGGCCTTCAACAAAATTCAACACCCCTTCATGCTAAAAGCTCTCAATAAACTAGGTACTGATGGAACGTATCTCAAAATAATAAGAGCTATTTATGACAAACCCACAGCCAATATTATACTGAATAGGCAAAAACTGGAAGCATTCCCTTTGAAAACTGGCACAAGACAGGGATGCCCTCTCTCACCACTCCTATTGAACATAGTTTTGTAAATTCTGGGCTGGGCAATCAGGCAAGAGAAAGAACTAAAGTGTATTCAATTAGGAAAAGAGTAAGTCAAATTGTCCCTGTTTGCAGATGACATGATTTTATATTTAGAAAAACCCATCGTCTCAGCCCCAAATCTCCTTAAGCTGATAAGCAACTTCAGGAAAGCCTCAGGATACAGAATCAATGTGCAAAAATCACAAGCATTCTTATACAACAATAACAGACAAACACAGGCCAAATCATGAGTGAACTCCCATTCACAATCGCTACAAAGAGAATAAAATACCTAGGAATCCAACTTACAAGGTATGTGATGGACCTCTTCAAGGAGAACTACAAACCACTGCTCAATGAAATAAAAGAGGACACAAACAAATGGAAGAACATTCCATACTCATGGATAGGAAGAATCAATATTGTGAAAATGGCCATATTGCCCTAGGTAATTTATAGATTCAATGCCATCCCCATCAAGCTACCAATGACTTTCTTCACAGAATTGGAAAAAACTACTTTAAAGTTCATATGGAACCAAAAAAGAGCCTGCAGTGCCAAGTCAATCCTAAGCAAAAAGAACAAAGCTGGAGGCATCATACTACCTGACTTCAAATTATACTACAAGGCTACAGTAACCAAAACAGCATGGTACTAGTACCAAAACAGATATATAGACCAAAAGAACAGAACAGAGGCCTCAGAAATAACACCACACATCTACAACCATCTGATCTTTGACAAACCCGACAAAAACAAGATATGGGGAAAGGATTCCCTATTTAATAAATGGTGCTGGAAAAACTGGCTAGCCATATGTAGAAAGCTGAAACTGGATCCCTTCCTTACACCTTATATAAAAATTAATTCAAGATGGTAAAGACTTAAATGTTAGACCTAAAACCATAAAAACCCTAGAAGAAAACCTAGGCAATACCATTCAGGACATAGGCATGGGCAAAGACTTCATGACTAAAGCACCAAAAGCAATGGCAACAAAAGCCAAAATTGACAAATGGGATCTAATTAAACTAAGGAGCTTCTGCATGGCAAACAAAACACCATCAGAGTGAACAGGCAACCTACAGAATGGGAGAAAATTTTTGCAATCTACCCATCTGACAAAGGGCTAATATCCAGAATCTGCAAAGAACTTAAAGAAATTTACAAGAAAACAAACAAGCAACCCCATCAAAAAGTGGGCAAAGGATATGAATAGACAGTTCTCAAAAGAAGACATTTATGCAGCCAACAGACACATGAAAAAATGCTCATCATCACTGGTCATCAGAGAAATGCAAATCAAAACCACAATGAGATACCATCTCATGCCAGTTAGAATGGTGATCATTAAAAAGTCAAGAAACAACAGATGCTGGAGAAGATTTGGAGAAATAGGAATGCTTTTACGCTGTTGGTGGGAGTGTAAATTAGTTCAACCACTGTGGAGGACAGTGTGGTGATTCCTCAAGGATCTAGAACTAGAAATACCATTTGACCCAGCAATCCCATTACTGGGTATATTCTCAAAGAATTATAAATCATGCTACTATAAAGACACATGCACATGTATGTTTATTGTGGCACTATTCACAACAGCAAAGACTTGGAAGCAACCCAAATGTCCAGCAATTATAGACTGGATTAAGAAAATGTGGCACATATACACCATGGAATACTATGCAGCCATAAAAAAGGATGAGTTCATGTCCTTTGTAGGGACATGGATGAAGTTGGAAACCATCATTCTCAGCAAACTATCGCAAGGACAAAAAACCAAACACTGCATGTTCTCACTCATAGGTGGGAACTGAACAATGAGAACCCTTGGACACAGGGCAGGTAACATCACACACTGGGGCCTGTCGGGGGGTGGGGGGCTGGGAGAGGTATAGCATTAGGAGAAATACCTAATGTAAATGATGAGTTGATGGGTGCAGCAAACCAACGTGGCACATGTATACCTATGTAACAAACCTGCACGTTGTGCACAGGTACCCTAGAACTTAAAGTATTAAAAAAAAAAAAAAGCTAAAGTAAAAAAAGTATGTATAACCAAGTCTTACCAGGTCCCAGTTCCCAGTGGCCCAGTGACAGCACAGGTGCTCATTGCAAGACATGGTGGATGTGGGTCTTTTTGTCCAATCACAGAGGCCTCCTGGACAGAACACTCCTCTCTCCTGAACTCCACCTCCACAGGACCTGGAGCACTGATACACAGCAGTGACAAGATTAGGTAAAAGTCAGGTGGAGACATGTTTAATGATAAGTGAAGAACTTCGTACTGTCATTTTTGTTATGTACAGTGTTACTAGGAATATTGGTATCTGTATTAGAATTTATAGCATTCCTGCAAATTCCTTACAATGACCACTCACTATTTAAAAAAAAAAAGGGGGGGAAACAAGAATTAAAGAGAGGTGGAAATATTGATGAAGCAAATCCTGAAGATATAAGGAGGAGAAAAGTCAGAAGATTTAGATTTTTTATAATGATTTAGATTTTTTATAATGATTATCTCTGACAGCCCAAAAGGGGGGCACACATTTGCAATACAATTTTGTTTGCCTCCTATTAAAATGAGATTTAGTCTTCCTTTTCCACTGCATAAAGTTTTAGAATTAAATTTGTCCATAGTAGGAGTAATAAAATGGATGGATTTGCTCAGGACTCAGATGCATTGGCTGTTAACACTCACAACAAAATAAATTCAAGATGACAAGTCAGATTTCTAAAAGGGTACAATTCTGAAACATGTCAGGTTTTTGCTTACTAGAATAATTCTATAAGATACATTATCTCATTTGCATGACTTTTTAAGGAGGAAATAAAATAATTCACCAAGAATGTTTGAAAAGTTCCTAGAGTATTTGGAAAAGCATTTTGAAAAATCTTAGTTTTAGCATGGTTACAACGATAACAATAAGATAATTATGGCTGTCTTGCAAACATCATGTCCATCACATCAGGTAGTATGTGTGTGGTAGTATCATAGAAAACAGGGAAATTATATGCAATTAACCTTTTCTGCTCAATAAAAGAACTAACGTAGTGCCTTCACAATATTCCAGCTTTGAGAATCAACATCAACTTTTTTCCCACTTATTCAACCTGTTTTTAACCCCATCTGAGGAGAGAGGGAGAGGAATTCCACATCTGGAGTTCTTGTGCATACCTACCTATGTGCACACAGATTCAGCACCACCTGCCTAAGTAATTTCCAGGAAAAGGGGGTCAAAAAAGTGGTTCTCAAATGCTCCTCAGACCAGCAACTTCAGCATCTTCTGAGTGTTTGTTAGAAATGCAAAATTTCAGGCCCCACCTCAGATCCCCTGAATTGGCCATTCTCGGGGTGGGACCTATCCATCTGTGTGTTGACAAGCCCTCCAGGTTGTCCTGAAGCATGATAAAGCTTGACTACCACTGGTGTAGAGATGGTCCCACAGCTAAAATGCATCTGCCATGGAGGGTAGTTGAGGCGGGCCGATATGCTTGCCAGATGGGTTCGTAACATTCCCAGGATGGCAGTCAGCACCACGGGCAAGGAAAGTACCTAAAGATGCCCAATCCCTTAAGAGCAGCTCCGGGTACTCAACTGACTTTTACATTTTCTATCTCTACTACTGCTTAAGAGGGAACTCTACCAACTTTGTGGTTTGCTCAAAACAGGGCAATTTAGAAAGGAGAGAAACAGAAGGGCTTCAGGGAGCAGGTTCCTGATGGCGATCCGAGAAGCTACAGAGGAAACATAAAGAATAGACCTTTTTCATAACCAGAAAGATTTGATTGCTCATCTTTGATCGCCTGCAAATGTCATTTCTCTGAAAGGGCAATCTAAGCTCCTCTGTGAATTCCTGGATTCTGGAAGCTGCTGCCTAAACAGGTCCAGGCCAGGCTCAGCACATATGGAGAGTTTGGAGGTCTGGGTTCAGAGCCTGGGAGTAGCAGGCACTTCATGTACTCAAGAACTAGGCAGGGGAAGGAGGATGAAGAGGGGACAGTGGTGGCTGCTGCCCCAGAAAACTCTAGCTAGTGGCCCAGAGCCTCAGGAATCAGTGTGGATGCTTGGCCGGTGGGTGGTAAGTAACTCGGGGCTCAGTCCTCCACAGGCTTTGACACTAACTCTGTAGCCTCAGGTTGGGATTCTCTGCCTTCCCTTCACTGGCACATGGTAGGTGCCCCCAAAATAGTTATTGATTCATTCTTTCTCCTTAGTTCACTTTTCGCTCAATGCCCATTGGGCTAGTTCCACATCATAGCAGGATCAAAGATGGGCAATCAAAGATGAGCAATCAAATCTTTCTGGTTGTGAATGCCTTATGTTTGAATTAAAACTCCATTTATTTTCTCATTGTGTGTCTCAGGTAGGTTTCTCAACCTAAGTCTCAATTTCTTCCCCTATAAAATAGGGTTAAAAATGCCTACCATCCAGGTCATGGAGATAATTAAACCAAGTATCATAGGGAAAGTGCCTAGCTCCTGGACACACTCAAAATATGCAGGGTTCCTCTTTTATTTTTATTTTTTGGCCTTCTTTCTATCATTTGTGGATGTAGTTGGGAGTATGTTTTAGCTGTTGAGATATTTAAACATTTGACTGTTGAAAAATGAGATCATCACACTTCACCAAAGAACTTCATCAAATAACCTTGTTTTCATGTGCCAAAGTAAAACTAAGACCCAGCAGAGCCAGGGCCCTCATAAAGAGAGCACACACACACACACACACACACACACTCGTTATTTGTACAGTGATCTGAGAGCTGTAAGAGATGAAACTCTAATATTATACTGTGTGGAAAAGATAGGGCTGTTTCTCCCAGCCTGACTGCAGAAGCCTCAGAGAGCATGTTAGGCTCTGTCTGTAAGTGGCTCTCATCAGATTCGTCCTTGTTCAAATCATCCCATTGCGTTCATTTTCCCTGCAAGGACACCAATTCCCCAGTATATCCATTGGGAGACCAGGTTGCAACACAACACTGAACTGCTGTGATTAAAACTATAACACATTGTCTCCACCGTGGAATTTTTTCACCTCCTGAAAGTGTTAGACCCATTCAGCTTCTCACATACAGGGTGGGGTCACTGAACAGAGGCCAGTCATTGGCAGGACACAGGTGTGGTCTTCCCTGATTTCTACACTTATGCAGTAACACAGAGATTCATGGCTTGCCAGGTTGTGTGAGGACATCTCTCCCTTTGTGGGGGACCTACCTGGCTCCAAGGCTCCACCTGCCACGCCTCACAGGGCTCCGGGTTACAGCTCATGCTCAATGGGGGAGGAATGCCGGCCAGGAACTGGCAGTGAAATGGCCTCAGGTTCCGGTGGTCCCGGCTGTCCACGCACTGAATCTCGCGTATCTTGAAGCCCCCACTGCAGTTTCTGGAGCACTGTATGGAGAGAAAAATCAAAGGCGATCTCTGAGTCATTGGCATCAGGCCTCCCTTCCTTCCCCTCAGCCGTGGAGGCGCCAGGCATTCAGTCATAAAGAGGGGTTAGGTCTAGTTCCGGTGAACCCTGCTTTCCCTCCCACACCACAGAGCAGGAGGCACCCCAGCAGCTCCCGATGTCGGGAAACACATGCATAGGAGTGTTTCTGCCACTCGCTAGTCTTGAGCCCTTGGGCCTGTCACTGAAGTACGCTGAGCCTCAGGTGTCCCATCTCTAAACTGGGATCATAACTGCTACCTCCCAGCTGTGGGGAGATTATAGACCCTGGGGCTGGAGTGCCTGCTGGCACAGCATCTGCCCCAGTGGGTGGCCATTCCGTCTGGAAGTCAGTATTCACTAGAGGCAGAGTGGCCTGCCTATCCCTTCCCAGGAGTGGGCATGGCTGCTAAGCCTTGTCCGTCTTTCCTTCAGAATACTGGTTTTCTCTATGATGCTGGATGCAGAATAGGTTACTATGTCTCTCTCATGAAGGGCCTTGAGTAGGGAAATAAACTGAATTAACTACTCAGTGGTTTGACTCATGGGTGTGAGCAAACACTGTCCTTGCCTCCACCGTCACCATTCCTCCTGCAGCACCATCACGTGCAGCCATCACTGAGAGTCTTCTCAGCACTTGCCCCCGATAGCCACTACACAGGCCCTACTCACTCCCTTCCTCTCTGACCCCACCCCTTGTGCAGCAGCCCAGGTTCACCAGCAGGCTGCTGATTTCCCTTGGACCGTGATAAACACTGATGGGTCTGGGTCACCTACAACCAAGTTTGCACAGCCTGTTCCAGAGTGCTGCTTTTGTTGACTCTCTGACTTCTTGGATTTTGGCAGCTCCCCACTCCCTGACCTACAAAGATTTTATCTGATCATAACTTGTGCTTCTAGGACTTGCTCTCTGGTCTGTTTAGAACTCTAGTGCTTGCCATAGGCCTTCTGCTTATCTTCCCTCTGCAGCCTGGTGTCTCATGGCCAGACCTGGCCTGACCAGTCTTGTTACTGCCCACACTGAGGTGGGGACCTGAGGTAGGTGGGATGGAGGCTAACATCTGTGCTCGTCAGCCCAGGTTCTTCCCCAGGTTCTCCTCGGGTTAATACAATGTCCTTGGGGTTCCCATGTCCTGAATGTTCCTTCCTCTATTCTCTGCATTACCCATCACTGCTTTTTTTTAATGCCTCATTTTCAATGGCACCTCTTCTGAGAGGTTCTCATGGAATACCTGATCTAAAGGAGGTGATTTCTCTTGTAATTTGTCTCAGCTCCTCTTCTGTTTTCATCCCACAAAGCTAAACTGCAGAGCAACTTTGATTGATTTTGTCCATCCTTTCTACTATCCATCACTGCCATGAAAGCAGAGCCTGCCCTGCCCTGCCCTGTTCCGCATCACACCATGGATCCCTAGCACAGGGACAGACACAGTGTAGATGGCCATTATGAAGCTGTTGAATCAACATTGAATTATGAGAAAATGCCAGCTGGGAGGGCTCCCAGTGGGCTAAAGAGATCTCCAGTAATCATAGGATAAAGAATGTGCTTCTTTACCCTCTGAATCCTTCCATCAATGATCTCATTGGCAGTCTTGGCTGAGGAAACAAGTCACCAAGAAAGGGTATCCCTTGCTGTAAGGTATATTTTCATCTGGCTCTTCTCTCTGAAGGGTAAAAGACCATGCTGTCTTTCTGGCTATGGTGGAATAGCCATGATTCTAGGGCTGTGGTTGAGGAAAGAAAATTCCTCACGACTTTTCAGTAGACATAGACCCCAAATACTGCTCCCCTTTATTCCTCTGATTGGCAGATTTCACCAAGTCACCTGACTTCAAACATTGGTCTGTATTTTGGAAACACATGGGCCCATGTGATGAGGGGACAGATTGATGCTCTGGTACTTCCATAAATCAAGTGTGTTTAGATTATCAGAAATAAGCAATACTTGCCAACAGCTTCCCAAAAGTGCAAATTAAAAACTTTGTTTTCCTGCCACACAGTAAGCACACAAAGAAAAACAGTAACAGCAAACTTAAAATTTGCCATAGAACAAATGAGAAAGCATGCTAATAGCTTCCACTCAAAGCAACTATTTGTCTGACAAAATAAATTTCCAGGAAATAGCCCATAGTTAAAACAAGAGTACTTTTTATTAGGAAAAGGGGATTTAAAAGACATAAGCATAAAATGAGATTTTACTTTTTTATTTTCTATTTGTTGCTATAATCTGTTATTCCTAAATTTATTTTTCAAATTAGCATTACTCTTTTGTCAAGAGCATGTGCACATTCAGTGGGAAATAAAATTTATTAATATGCTGAAGTCAGTAATAAGGGAAGACACTCACTAAATCTATCATTATTCTATTCCATTTTCAAAAGAGCCTCTGATTCTGTTAGCAAGAGGGAAGTGACAGCATATTAAGTCACTCCAGTCCTAACGCTCTTTTGCTTTTGTGTGCTGAATGACAATTGTTATGTTATATTCATTTTCTTATTGCCTGAGAGGAAGGCCGTTTGTATTCCTGTTTTCCTAATGTAAAGCCTGCGAACCAGACTGACGACAAGAGGCAGGCTAATGAGAACAGAAAGACTGGTAAATGCCCTGTTGAAACCAAACAGGTCTGATAGTATCCAGTTACCACATCACTACATCAGTTTGTTTAATTCCTGTGATTTGCACAGCAAATTGAGTTAGAATGAAAAATATCCTTAGCTTACTGGGGCCACTGGCAGAGGTAAAATGAAATCAAAACCTTTTCTTTCTTGTGCTATTTTTGATTTATGAAATCCTAGTACACTTCCCAGGCTGAACTTCTACAGAGTATTCAGAGAAGTATAGCACAACTAACAAACACAGGATTGGGGGACTAACAGACCAACTCCATCTATGACCCTGGCATCAAGTGGCTATGTGACTGCAGATTAATCACTGCACTTCTCTAAGGCTCCATTTCTCCATTGGTATTCAAAAGAGGATAAACTAGATGATTAAACTATCCCAGCATTCTAGAGTGTCATAAATGTATGAGATCACTGAGTTTGTGCTCTGTTTTGATTTCAGAATACTTTCTTCCTCTCAAAGTTATACATCAAATACTAAATTGGGATACGGAAGGAATTCCTTTCCAGCCTTTTCCTAAACACATTCATAAGACCCTTAAAATAATTCTTTCTGAAATATGGAAAGAATTCCTTTCTGGCCTTATGCTAAACACATTCATAAGACCCTTAAAATAATTCGAAGATCAGATAGTTGTAGGTGTGTGGTCTTATTTCTGGGTTCTCTATTCTGATCTGTTGGCCCATGTGTCTGTTTTTTACCAGTACCATGCTGTTTTGGTTACTGTAGCCCTGTAGTATACTTTGAAGTCTCTTAGGCTGATGCCTCCACCTTTGTTCTTAAGCAATTACAATAGAAGCAAAAATTGACAAATGGGATCTATTAAACTAAAGAGCTCCTGTACAGCAAAAGAAACTATCAACAGAGTAAACAGACAATCTACAGAATGGGAGAAAACTTTTGCAAACTATGCATCTGACAAAGCTCTAATATCCAACATCTCTAAGGAAGTTAAATTTATACAAAAAACAAAAAACAAAAAACAAACAACCATATAAAAAAGTGAGCAAAGGACATGAACAGACACTTTTCAAAAAAAGACATACACGCGGTCAACAATCACATGAAAAAAAGCTCAATATCACTGATCATTAGAGAAATGCAAATCAAAACCACAATGAGATACCATTTCACATCTGTCAGAGTGGCTATTATTAAAAAGTAAAAAAATAACAGATGCTGATGAGGTTGTGGAGAAAAAGGAATGCTTATATACTGCTGGTGGGAGAGTATATTAGTTCAGCCATTGTGAAAGACAGTGTGGTGATTCCTCAAGACCTAAAGACAGAAATACTATTTGACCAAGCAGTCCCATTACTGGGTATATACCCAAAGGAATATAAATTATTCTGTTATAAAGACACATGTACGCATATGTTCATTGTGGCACTATTCACAATAGCAAAGACATGGAATCAACCTAAATGCCCATCAATGATAAATTGGATAAAGAAAATGTGGTAATATACACTATGGAATACTATGAAGCCATAAAAAAGAATGAGATCATGTCCTTTGCAGGAACATGGTTGGAGCTGGAGGCCATTATCCTTAGCAAACTAACACAGGAACAGAAAACCAAATACCACATGTTCTCACTTATAAGTGGGAGCTAAATGATGAGAACACATGGACACATGGAGGGGAACACCACACACTGGGGCCTAACAGAGGGTGGAGTGTGGGAGGAGGGAGAGGATCAGGAAAAATAACTAATGGGCACTAGGCTTAATACCTGGGTGATGAAATAATCTGTACCAGAAACCCCTATGACACAAGTTTACCTATGTAGCAAACCTGCACTTGTACCCTGAACTTAAAAGTTAAAAAAAATTTATTCCAAAAATTCTAAGCAGAACAGCATCAAAATTCATGGGTCTGCCTGTCCTTCTCCCCACCCCACTTTCCCTTCATTGAGCACTTACTATGTTCCAAGCTCTGTATCTCTACCCTAAGTGGTTTGCAATCTAGCTGAGGCAGGAGAATTCACATAAATGAATAGAAGAAATAAAGATTATATGCCATAGTTGTCTACAATCTAGTGAGGACACAAAGGAGGAGACAGTCAACTTCACCTGAAGAAGTCAAGAAAAGCTTAAATAAAGGAGTCAAAGCTTGAGCTGAATCTTAATGAGTAAATGCTCATGTGGCTGGCAAAATAGTGTGGGGGGACATTTGAAGTGGAGGTAATGGCATGCACAGAGACTGTGAACCCACATGGCTTGTCTGGGAACAGTAAGTTGGTCAGAATGCTAGAGCAGGGGGTAGGGGTAGACAGAGAAAGATGGGTGGACGCCATCATGGAGAACCTTGTGGTCTGGACATTGGTGGTCTTGGGGTCACTTCTTATATGCTCCTAAAGGCTTCTATTTAATTGCCACTCCTCCAACCACTTCTTCTTGAGAATCTCTTAATCTGAAATGCTCAGGGGTGTCAAGAGAGTGTGATGGTTTAGACATAGAAAAAATTATATCAACAGTAAAATAAATGTAGGGATACTCAGTGTATGATTCATCTTTCTGCTACTCAATTTTTGCCTTCATAGGATAGAAGCTCTCCTATAACATACAATTCTAGGTTTTGACTTTTGCACACTGGACTTTAGTAAATGTTTCTGGGAACATGCTGTGTATGAAAGTATGGTTTGTCTGTATTTAGCAAAACAAAGGCTATTCTCCCATTTCATTCATTTGTAAAAATTCAGGTCCATAAAATGCAGTACTGCCATAGACAATCTGTAAAATTCAATAAACATGGAGACAAGAACTAGAATAAGACAGAAGGACTAGTTAGCAAATACATGAAATCCAAGGCCATAAGGAAAGGCTGTCACTTTCTGTTACTTTCCAGCAAATAACTTAGATGATAAAGTTACCGCTAAAATAAAAAGGCAACGTTGCCTATGTGGGAAGACAGATTATTACAAAAAAAAAGTAAAAATCTTTCTGATTCACTTCAGAAATAAATCAAGATCTGCTAGACTTAGCTATGAAAAGGGCAATGTTCATTCTAACTGAAGTAATAAAGGGGTTGTCAAATCAGCAGTTGCCAAAACTTCAGAAGAAACAGACAAAATATCAGTGAGGAAGTGTGTGGAGCTGTGCAGATGATGCATCGTTTTGCTGTCAAACCCAGCTGAGGATTTTTCAAGCTCATTATTATCTCTTACTACATTTCTTCCATCAGAAGAATCACTTTTTCTCCCATATGATTTTTTTTTAAGATGGGGTCTCACTCTGCTGCCCAGCCTGGAATGCAGTGGTGGAATCTTGGCTCACTGCAACCTTTGCCTCTTGGGCTCAAGTGATCCGTCCACCTCAGCCTCCCGAGTAGCTGGGACTACAGGCATGTGCTGTACCAAGCCGGGCTAAGTTTTTTTGTATTTTCAGTGGAGACGGGGTTTTGCCATATTGCCCAGGCTGGTCTTGAACTGCTGAGGTCAAGTGATTGCCTGCCTTGGCCTCCCAAAGTGCTGGGATTATAGGCATGAGCTACAGTGCCCAGCCTCCCCCATACAAATTTTAACATTCTGAAACCGGCATGTGTCCTACAACTGATATACGTATTAATTGTGTAGTGTTTCATTTCTTTCTGAAAAGCTGTAATTAAAATGACATAATCCCCCAGGTGACGGTTTCTTAGAATTGAGACTATTCAATATTAGTTTTGTGATCAAGTATATATTGGTGATTTAAATACTCTAAGCCCTAGTTTCCTTAGTGGAAATTATAAAGTCCTGTATTATGGTAAAAATAAAATTGTTTATCCAAAGCTTCCATGCAATGTCAGACACGTGGCAGTACTACCACCCACAGTAGGTCAAGTCCTCCAGAGTTCAGGAACACTTTGAGCACCCTGACTGTGTAGTACTGGGGAGTGAACACCTTCTCAGGCCAGTTTCTCCATTGGCAGGGCTTACTTCACTAACCTGTCCACAGGCCTCTTGCCCTAAGTCCAGGAAACAAGAGATTAGTCAATGTCCAATAGCCAGCCCTAACTTTACCTAGAGCTCGACGTTTGTCCAGGGCCTTGTTTAGTCTTTTATCATGAACAGAGTTCATTGCACACATTTTCTCTTTTGATCCTTATAACAACCTCTACAAAGTAAGTAGAGGCAATATCATCCACTTCATTTCAGGGGTGAGAAAACTAAAGCTCCTAAGTAGTTAGATGAATGGCCAGTGTCACATACAGATTAATGACAGAGTAGGTTATCATGCCAGATACATCTGATTCCAAGTCAGACCCCTCTGGGATTCAATACTGCATAATTGCATTTTTCCAAGACTGCCTCTGGGAGAAACCTGAGGATGACAACCTTGATTTTGTTTCAGACAGATTAATGCACGAAGAGGAGGAAAGCCACTGTGATAAACTACTTGCAGACACTGGAAAGGTAGAGATCTGAATGTCTCAGTCCTCTGTCATGTTGTAAGGAACATGGCTGTGCTTTGGTGAAGGATAGGCCGAGGTAGGATGTTTACATCCTGTGTGACTCAGCAAGTTTAGAGTGCAGGTGTGTAACTCCACTTGTTATCACAGTCATGGAGCCATAACGTGGGAAGGCCATCACTTGGCTCTAAGCCACTGTTGTCTGTAAAAGGTATAACTGCCCTGTTTGACACAGTGTGGTCACACTGCACCAAGAGAAAGAGAGAGAGCCAAAGTTGTCCATCTGCAAAGATGGACAGAGGGGAGCCAGGACACAGCTCGGCTCACTCATGCCCAGAGAGAAAGAAAGAGTTAACCTGCTGACCCTGAAAGCAAGGGAAAGCCAGCCATGCAGCTGTGTGTGGGAGCCGGACTAAGCAGCCCAGATGGGGCGGACAGTGTGAAAAAGCTGCTGATGAGAGTTGCTGCTGAATAAAATAATCTTTCACCAGCCTGTGGCCCCCGAGTGTTCTTTCTGCTCATCCACCCACTCCCTTCAGACTGCAACATGACCTTTGGTGTAGTCATGAACCTGACATATGTATATGAGAAAATGTTCACAGCAGTTCTATCAGGCTTCATCAAGAAGAATGGTATGAGAGAAATAAGCCAGTAAAACAATTGCAATCCAGACAGCAATCACAGTGGTAGAAGTTCCTGGTGAGTAACCTGGATGCCTCAGGTATGATACCTGTGGGTTCAGGTGAGGCTGCAACATACCCTGTCATCCTATGAGAATTAAAGTGTTTCTGGATCTGGAGGAGAGATTGCTGGAATAATGTAGAAAATTCCAGGTAAAATTAGAATTTTTCTTTCTGAGAAAGTATCTGTGAAAAGGCAAATGATCAGTTCGGCAGAATCTAAACTCTCTGGATATTTAAAGGCAAAACCAGGGATCCTCTTTCCTGCTCTGGATTTTGAAGGTCTGCCACAAAGAGAGCATAAAAGGCCTATCAGAATTAGCGAAGCTCAGAGGGAAGGCCTTCAAATCTTTCTTAGCACATGATTTGGACTTTAGACATCCATATGAAAAAGGGGTCTCCAACTACTTGAAGCTAAGGCAGGAGTATTGTTTGAGCCCAGGAGGTTGAGGCTGGAGTGAGCTGTGAGTGGGCCACTGCACTCCAGCTTAGGTGACAAAGTGAGACCCCATCTCAAAAAAAAATTAATTAGAAAAAGGGGTCTCAATAATCAAGATTTAAGTTAATATCTCTAGGAAAGACAAGCCATGTATGCCAGGGATCCCCAATCCCCCAGTCTGTTATATCTCAGCCTGTTAGGAACCAGGCTGCACAGCAGGAGGTGAGCATCGGGCGAGCAAGCAAAGCTTTATCTGTATTTACAGCTGCTCCCCATTGCTCACATTACTGCCTGAGCTCGACCTCCTGTCAGATCAGCAGCAGCATTAGATTCTCATAGGGATGCAAAGCCTATTGTGAACTGTGCATGCAAGGGATATAGGTTGCACACTTCTTATGAAAATCTAGTGCCTGATGATCTGTCACTGTCTCCCATCACCCCTAGATAGGACCATCTAGTTGCAGGAAAACAAGCTCAGGGCTCCCACTGATTCTACATTTTGGTGAGTTTTATAATTATTTCATTATATATGACAATGTAATAATAATAGAAATAAAGTGCACAATAAATGTAATGTGCTTGAATCATCCCAAAACCATTCCCCCAGTCCGTGGAAAAAGAATTTTGTAGAGATCACAAAACTGGTCTCTAGTGACAAAAAGGTTAGGGACTGCTGATGTATGCAATACCCATAATAGTGGTCAGAAAAAACAAAAATCAGGGCAACTGACCATCAGTAGTTAAATAGCATCTTTGATATAAGGTTTATCTATTATCTAATAAAAGAGACACTTTCTTTACTGGTAGGAATACAGTAATTTTGAGGATTATATTTTAGATATAGTAGTTACCTCATTCTAGCTGAATTTGATGATGTGTCAGAAACAACTCCTACAAAACCACTCAGGGCACTACAGAGATTAATCAATATATCTGCAACCCTAAAGGCCATGAAAGAGAGAGAGAGAGGGGCATGAGAGACCCTATAGGCCAGGCAAGGAGTCAAGCCAGGCTTTCCTTAGGAGGCCGGACCCCAGAGATGAGCTTGCTAATCTTTCATCCAGAGTTTGCACTGGCTAGACTCCCTCAGGCTGGAGCTGACCTTTTCAAAACACAAGCTATTTCACACATCTTTCCTTTTCATGAGTCATGTAATTTCCAATGAAATGATTATTCCCAGTGACAGGAAAGTGGAACTTTAGGACTTGGTCAACATTTGGCAAGCTCAGGGATATGAGATGTTTCTTGAGATTTCTCTGGATATGGAAGAGAAGTTGTAGCCAAACTTTCAGTCCTTTTCAGATCCTGAGTTTGTTATGAGTTGGAAGAGAAATAAAAAAGACCAGTATCGATTCTTGAAAGAAAAATTATATAGAAAGAGAAAGAAGGTGGTAATTTTCTCAAGGAGTAGCCTCACAACCCCTCTCTTCCAAAGACCAGAGCCTTGCTTTGGGAAAGGGTCCGAAAGACCGACCATCAGACAGTAGCCTCCCATGTTCCTGTCTGATGGTAAGTCTGCCAGGAGAACCAGAGACAGAAATGCCCATTGCAACACCTCTGGGTCCTGTCTGTCTGGGGACATGAGCTCTTCACTAGATGAAGAAACAAATGTCTAGAGGTGACATCAGCTTCCCTAAACCTCTTGGGTAGCTCTTTCTTTTCCTTTCTCCTGTGTCTCAGCTATCAAGAGGAACCAGCTCCCTGGAGAGAAGACAGGGGCCTACCAGGCTTCCTAGGGTTGATCATGTATGGCAAACAGGTATATGCACAGCTCACACCTCTGTACTCTCTACCTGCCAACTGGCCCTCAATCTCACCACTGACCAGTGCCTTATAGCCCTGAATTATCCCCCAAGAACTGGTTAAGCCCTAGTCCAGCGTGACAAGCAGATTAGGCCTAGTTAGTGTCTCAAAGCACCAAGGCTAACTAATCTGAAAACCTGATACGTTCTTTTCACAAGGAACTATGGAGACAGCACAGCAAAATGAGTAATCACAGTAAGATTAGCAAAGATGGTAAAATTGCACTTTAAAAAGATCAGTATGGCTGGGTGTGGTGGCTTACGCCTGCAATCTCAGCACTTTGGAAGGCCAAGGCAGGCGGACCACTTGAGGTCAGGAGTTCGAGACCAGCCTGGCCAACATGGTGAAACCCCATCTCTACTAAAAATACAAAAATCAGCCTGGTATGGTGGTGCATGCCTGTAATCCCAGCTACCCGGAGGTTAAGGCACGAGAATCGCTTGAACCCGGGAGGCAGAGGTTGCAGTGGGCCAACATCACGCCATTGCATTTCAGCCTGGGTGACAAAGTGAGACTCCATCTCAAAAAAATAAAAATAAAAATAAATAAGAAGATCAGTGCAGGGAGTACGCTTTTAAAGAACAAATTATTCTTTATATCTCAGCTTTTGTTTCATTTTGGGTCTGGAAGATTAAGCCATATATTCGCTTTGTAAAGCACAGGTGATTCATGATTTAATTATATCCGTGATAATATAGGATTATTCATTAAAATGCTAAATTGAAGTAATATAGAAATAGCATTGCATGCTGGAGAAGCAATTAATAACCCAAACTTAACTTTTCTGGTTTATCTTGTAAGAGAAAGGACAGGTGGGTTACCACATGTGGGTTAATAAAAACTCTGTACTTCTAAGACTTTTGTGTAACTTGAAGTTGGCCTATGGTAATGCCCATGATTTGCTCATCCCTGATTTTATAAGAGGTAAAAGGGCAGCAGAAAGGTAGAAAAAAAAACACTGTTGGTGGGACTGCAAACTAGTTCAGCCATTGTGGAAGTCAGTGTGGCGATTCCTCAGGGATCTAGAACTAGAAATACCGTTTGACCCAGCCATCCCATTACTGGGCATATACCCAAAGGAATATAAATCATGCTGCTATAAAGACACATGCACACGTATGTTTATTGCGGCACTACTCACAAAGCAAAGACTTGGAACCAACCCAAATGTCCAGCAATGATAGACTGGATTAAGAAAATGTGGCACATATACACCATGGAATACTATGCAGCCATAAAAAATGATAAGTGCATGTCCTTTGTAGGGACATGGATGAAGCTGGAAACCATTATTATCAGCAAACTATCACAAGGAAAAAAACCAAACACCGCATGTTCTCACTCATAGGTGGGAATTAAACAATGAGAACACATGGACACAGGAAGGGGAACATCACACACCGGGGCCTGTTGTGGGGTGGGGGGAGGGGGGAGGGATAGCATTAGGAGATATACCTAATGTAAATGACGAGTTAATGGGTGCAGCACACCAACATGACACATGTATACATATGTAACAAACCTGAACGTTGTGCACATGTACCCTAGAACTTTAATTAAGAAAAAGAAAAAAAAAAAAAACGACTTTAGCAAGTGTTTATATAAGATTCCCTTTCCAACCCATCCCCACCTTCTCTACCTCCAAGACTCTGCCAAGCCTGATAAGTTACCTTGCTCCAGTTTCCCACTTTCCAGCCAGCACAGGGACGGAGGTGGCATCTTTTTGCAGGGTCAGGTCTCTGGATGGCCGCACAGTCAGAATCCATCTGGGTGCTGCACTCCACCCTTCTCCAGTAGGCCCCCAGGCCACATGTGGTGGAGCACTGTAGCAGGGAAGGAGAGAGATGACAGAGGCTGAGTGTCACCTTCTCACACATGCCCCATCACTGGGATCCTGGAGTCAGTTCTCAGTCCCGTTTGCTAACATTGCCCACAGAGCTTTTTAAAAATTACCAACACTTGGGGCACCCCACTCACACAAATTAATCTGAATCTCTTGGGGTAGGACCCGGGGATGCTCAGTATTAAAAATAATTCCCCAGCTTATTTTAAAAAATAGTCACGGTTGAGAAACCTTGATTTGCATGTAGAAGGAAAATTCAATGCAAATGGAAATTTGCTTCCCTTTAAAACTTATCCTGGCAGGCCAGGGGCAGTGGCTCATGCCTTTAATCCCAACACTATGGGAGGCTGAGGCAGGAGGATCCTTTGAGCCCAGGAGTTTGAGATCACCTGGGCAACATAGGGAGAACCCATCTCTAAAGAAATTTAAAAATTAGCCAGGTGTGGTGGTGTATACTTGCATTCCCAGCTACTTAGGAGGCTGAGTTGCTAGGACTGCTTGAACCTGGGAATTTGAAGCTGAAGTGAGCTATGATTGCACCACTGCACTCCAGCCTAGGTGCCAGGGTGAGATCCTGTCTCAAAAGAAAACAACATTAATTATCTTGGCATGATTGCCCAGGGGGCTGCAGGCAAGCTGCCACATTTCCTACCAATGCTGTTCAGAGTGGATGTCAGGTCCAGGTGTCTGCCCCTTGCCTCTCCTCCCTAACACTGAATGATACTATCTCACCTATTTCTCTCCATGACAAACCTGAGTTGTAGTCTGGTATCATTATGGTGTAGATGAAGAAACAGGCTTTGAGAGCTGACCTGCCCAAAGGGTTTTCTGTCTCTAAAACCCAGGAAAATATTTGTTACAGTAGTGCTCCTCAAACTTTAGGGACCATATGAATCACCTGGGGACCTTGCTAAATGCAGATTCTGATTCAGTAGGTCTGGGGAGGGGAGGCGATTGTGCCTTTTAGCAAGCTCCCAGGTGCTGCTGATGCTGTTGGTCCTCAGATCACACTCGGAGTTAGAAAGATGTTACAGCATGATGCTTTTCATCCCTCAATCCACTGGTGGTGAAGAACTCAGTCGCCTTTGCCACACATACAGCTCATTCCCCTCAAAGTGTTTTTGTTTGTTTATAATTCTTAAATATCTCAGGTTTAGCGGGGGGTCACTTTGAAAACCATGAAAATGTCCATCACAAAATTTGTTCCCTTTTGTGTGCCTGATTCTTTCCTGTAACTGATTTTTCTTGCATCCCCTCTCCCCTGCTCATCCTCACTAAAAGGGGCTGTTTCTGGATGAGCAAAACAAAGTGCTGAACTAAAAAAAAAAGACAGGGTGGAAGTTCCATCTATGACATGCTTGAAGGTTTCTTTTGATAGGCTGTACATAAAGACCAGACTTAAGTTTCTCTTGCTGTAACTTCACTCTCCATATAATTTTTTTTTTTTTTTGGGATGGAGTCTCACCCTGTAGCCCAGGCTGGAGTGTAGTGGCATGTTCTTGGCTCACTGCAACTTCTGCCTCCCAAGTTCAAGCAATTCTCCTGCCCCAGCCACCTAACTAGCTGGAATTACAGGTGTGTGCCACCACACCTAGCTAACTTTTGTATATTTAGTAGAGACAGGGCTTCACCATATTGACCAGGCTGGTCTCAAACTCCTGACCTCAGGTGATCTGCCCTCCTTGGCCTCCCAAAGTGCTGGGATTACAGGCATGAGTCACCACGCCTGGCCTTCACTCTCCATATAATTTTATGTTTCATTTTGTGCACGTTCTTGTGTTACAACACATATATAACATAATAGAGTTCTTAGGTAGATAATCTGTAGATCACAGAAAGAGAAAAGTAGAAATTATTTTCTACTACATCATCTTTTCCAAGTGAGTCATTTATAGAGGTAATATATTCTCCTCCTTATAATTCTTTAGGATTTGTTTCTTTTGTTAAGTTTCTACCACTTTCTTCTTTGTATCATATTATGTATCTAGGTAATAGAGATAACAGCTGAAGTACTATAGATTGATAGCACTAATGGCCTGCATCGTTCATACTTCCTTAAACCCATGCTCTTTGCAAGGGGACTTTGCAGCTTCTGTCATCCAGAGGTGGAATTTATTTCTCCAGCTCTTGAATCAGGGCTGTCCTTGTGACTTGTCTTGGCCAACAGAATGCAGTGGATGATGCTGTTCCAGTTCTCAAGAGTTGGTGCTTTCCATTCTTGCTCTTGGACCCCTGCCTCTGCTATGAAACTAAACCTGGGCTGGCCTGCTGGAGGATGAGGGCTCATTACACCTAGTGACCCTGTGGCGACTGACTAACCAAGTCAAAGGTCAGCATCCAGGTGTTCAGAACCAGAACTGATGCTGGGGTTCACATCAGCACCATATGAACACTGCTCTGAAATGCTGTGGAAAATTATGCTGTCACTTCTATTTTACACGACCACACAGTTTACAGTTAACTGACTGGCCCAAGGGATCTGACTGAATGATGAGGCAAGTCAATGAGAGGTGAGTCTCTATCAAAATAAAAGCCATACCCATGCACACTGCATAGCACTGAAGTTCTCTGTTTTGTAAATATGGATCAGAGCAAACACTTACTGAGTACTTCCTATGTGCCCGACACTCTTCTGAGTACCTTACATATAGTTATTCCTTTTATCTCCTAAGTCATATAAGTTGGGCATTATCATCATCCTCATTTCATAGATGAGGGAAATGAGGTAGAGTGAGGACATACAGCTGGTAATTTACTGAGTCAGGACTAAACCCCAGAAAGTCTGGCTTCAAGGTTTACACCTACTTACAGTGTTAGCTCAGCTTTTACATCAATTACTTAATATTTGAAAACACAATTAAAGGAATGTGCTGTGTCCAGTGGGGCTGTGGACAGCCTCCCACAGGCCAGAAGGCAGGAGGACATTGCAAGAGCGATTTCAGATCACACCCAAGGAACTTTAGAAATCACTTCCTGTTTTAGGGATCAGGAAAAGCTTTGTGCAAGATCAGACTCAAAGCTTGATCCTGAACAGATAGGATTTAAAAGGGCAGAGGAGAAGGGGAAGGAAATTCCAGGGAGAGGAACCAGCATGAATAGAGACACCAAACTGGGACAGGCAGGAGGTTTAAAGCAACTGAGCTGTTGAAGCTTAGCATGGATGAAGAAAAGTAGGAGGCAGTATGTTTTGAAAGCTTGATTATGTAAGCCTAGGAAGGCTGTTGGATATTGGGTTGCAGTAGATTTTATCTGAATAAGTGTGAAATGAGGAGATATCAAAGACTTATGAGCAGGAGTTTGGAATGATTAGAATAGCTTTTTGGAGGATGAATTTGGCAGTCTCATGTCTTGTGCAACAGTGTGTGGAAAAGATAGGAGAAGGGAGAGGCTGGAGGTATGTAGACCAGCAAGGATGCAAGGGCAGGTGTTCTAAGCAGGAGTGGTAACCCAGGTCCTTCACTCTCATCTATTGGGCACCATTGGCATTTGGGACTCAACAATTCTTCCTTATAAGGGACTTTCCTGAATGTCATGGGACTTTTATCATTCATGCCTCTCAGACATTCAATGCTAGTTGCCGCCCCTTCCCCACATTGTTGTAACAAACAAAAGCATCCTCCTTCATCTGTAAATTCCTCCTACCATCAGATTAGAAACCACTGGGTCTTAGACTAACAGAGGACATAAAGAGGAGAGGACAGGAATGATGAGGTGATACTGACTTGAAAAACTATTACAATTTTTTTCTTTTTTGTAGGACAGAGGCAAATTGATATCAATGGTGATTCTACGGGCTCTAAGTTGTGGTGATTGGGAGATAAGTGACTCATTACGGAGAGAGGCAATCCCAAATAAATAGCTTCAGGAATAGGCAGAAATAAAAATCAGGGACAGTGAGGAACTCAAAACTCAGAGTTTTCATTCTGAACCCTGACCCTCTCTGACAGTTATTTATTATTATTATATATTATTTTAAGACAGGGTGTCACTCTGTCACCCAGGCTGGAGTGCAGTGGCTCAAATTTGGCTCACTGCAACCTCTGCCTCCCGGATTCAAGTGTTTCTCATGCTTCAGGCTCCCGAGTAGCTGGAACTACAGGCATGCGCCACCACGTCTAATTTTTATATTTTTTTTGTAGAAAGTGTTTTGCCATGTTGGCCAGACTGGTCTCAAACTCCTGACCTCAAGTGATCCACCTGCCTCAGCCTCCCAGAGTGCTGGGATTACAGGCATGAGCCACCGCTCTGGCCTTCAGTTCTATTTATTAAACATTTTCTCTCAAAACATGCACAAAGAGAGCAGGCACCAGGCCCTGTCATGAGGGGGGACTCTTGCCAAATGTGGAGTTCTATTCTAGTAATAGTCCTTACAGCTTTGAAAACTCTAGAATCTGAGCCAATATTCTTTTTCTAGCCAAACTGCCAGGAATTAACAGCTGTTAATCGTTCCACCACTGTTGCCAGTTTTTTGTTTGTTTTTTTTTTTTTTTTTGGTGAGCTATAATGTGTTCAATAAGACCATTTATTTCTGTCAAAGTCAAATAATGATGTTTGAGATAGAATTAATTCTTTGTATCTTGATTTACTATAATCAAAACGTGTTAATTAACCTTTGAGCTCAAACAGTAATCATAGTTGATGCGTACTTCATTTTGGCTTAATTTGCGTGGATATAGTAATGGCTCGTTAAATCAATTAACATTTGTCAATTAATTAACATGTATTAAATATTCTCAAGACAAAATAATTAAAACACATTTAAATTCCATAATTCCACAACTGCTCTGGGTTTTGGTGATGAATGAAAAGTGAAGAGGATGGGGAAAAAAATGAATATCTGGGTCATCATACAACCATTTTGTTTTTAGAGACAATTTCAGTTCATAGGAGCACCACCCAGCAGACAATGAAAATTCAAATTTAACAGTTGATTCAAATTGAATAGTCAATGACAGTCAGTTCAAATGGAATAGCCAAAACCCAAATTGAATAGTGGTTCATGCCAATAATCTCAGCACTTTGGGAGGCTGAGGCAGAATTTTGCTTGAGGCCAGGAGTTCCAGACTAGCCTGGTCAACATAGCAAGACTCCCATCTCTGCAAAAAATAATAAAAAAATTATCTAGGTGCAGTGGTTGGCACCTGTTCCTATCTACTCAGGAGACTTAGGTGGGAAGACTGCTTGAGCTCAGGAGTTCAGGATTGTGATGAGCTATCATCAAACCACTGCACTCCGACCTGGGTGACAGAGTGAGACCCTGTCTCAAAAAAAGTCAATGAGTCAGTGACGGACTCCTTCTCTTCTCCTCTCTCTTCTTCATTCCCCATATCCAATTATTTACAAACCCTGATTTTAAGTTCAAATATATATTAGATATATTTTTCCCTCTTCATCCTGAATATTCTTCTTATAGTTCTCATGCCTCACCTGGACTATTGCAATAACCTCCCAATAGGTCAAAATCCTTATTGCTTCAGAATAGGCTACCTACAGTCAGTGGCAGAGAGTGCTAGATATTCACCATAATCCTTTTTCTTCTTCTGGGCACATAATTGGGTTGCATTTCCCAGCTTCCCTGAGTTTGGTTTGGCCATGAGACCTAGTTCTAGACAACGGAATGTAGGCAGAAGTGATTTGTTCCACTTCAAGGCTTGGAGCATACAACTTCCTGCAGGAGTGCCTCTATGCCCTTTTCCCTTTCTGATTGACTGGGATGGTGACCCCAGGGCAAATTTGATGATGGGAAGATGGTAGAGCCATTGTTAGCCTGGGTTCCCAAATGACTGCACCATCCTCTACCATCAGCACTGCAGACTGGAATCATCACCTTGTATTGCCTTGTGACTGAGAAGTCAACACCTCTTCTGGTGAGACATTACTTGTTGGGCTTTATTTGTTACAGAAGCCTAGCCTTCCTAATGTGTGTGAGTGTAGGCAAGTGTGATTTCTAATTACATATGCACACACACACATGTCATTCATATTTTAATGGTTCTGATATCAATCCTACATGTATGCCTTTTATCGCCTACTCTTTCATATTCTGTTTGACCTAGGCTGTCTTATTCTCATGGCCTACAGTGTCATTAATTGTAGGTGCTTTCAGACCTTATTGCCATTAACTAAATATCAAAATACAAATTAATTAGTAGCTTCCACTTCTACCACTTGTTTTCTTTGTTTTCAGTCCACAGAAGCCACACACTGTCTAAACTATGTCGACAGAAGAAGACAGTAGGCCTGCTTATCTGCCCTTTAGGGATACCATGATTTAGGAAGAAAATACATATCTTGACAGTACTGTTTGAAAGGTACTGGCAGGTGCCTCTCCCCAATGTTCCCTCCGCATCCGCATTCTGTAGGGCATGCTGAAGCACAAGTAGCTGGACTGCCTTTGGGGGAATCCGAACACTATCACTTCAAAAACACCTAAACAGATCCATTTTGTTTCAAAACATCTAGCCTGGATCCACTGTGGTAATAGAGGGACAATTTGCCCAGGTGAACTCAAAGTAACCATGAGTGGCCTCAATGTTATTTTAAATAACTTTCTTGTGAACTATGTCATTTTCTCATCTGTATACCCAAGGTCACCACATAACTGGCATTATTTTCATATGTAATATGACCAAAGAAGAAATAAATAAAATCAAAGACACAGAGGATGGTAATATTTTCTGACTTGCAGAGCCAGGGGTCATGGGTTCTGAAGTCCATCTGTCTGAGTTCAAGTCCCCGTAGCTCACAGGTATGTACGATTCTGGCCAGCTACTTAAATTCTCTCAGCTTCGGTTTCCTTGCCTCTACAATAGGGAAAATACTACCAATCTCCTGACACTGTGGTAAAGATTAAATGAGAGAATTTATGCTCATTAGCATAAAATCATGCTTGTAAAGCCTGATGCATGCTTAGGAAAGAAACTGATTAGGAAAGAAACAGGACTAAAATGTCAGGAGTCATAAGACCCATTCATCTCCTTCCTTCAACAAATTGGCTTACTGTAAGCATGAAAACCTTTTCTACCTCTGAAGCTGAATTCTTTACCTCTAAATGGAGATAAGATGACAGAAAATGTGATAACTCATTTTAGAAATCAAACATAAATCAAAGCGAAAACATAGCTCAAATGCAAGCAATTATAGTATTTGATGCAAGAAATTTTGGAGGTGGTTTGAATTTACCTATTTATTGCTTCTAGTCAATTCCATGACCAATGATGTTGATTACTTTATATAAAAGAATTTTATATAGTTAAATTGTCAATTGGTGCTAAAATCCACCAGAGAGATAGCAGATCAGAGTGGGAAGAGACAGAAGGTTCATCATCCAATTGTGTCTTCAGAGAAATCAGTTAACTGTTACAAATCTCTTTTTCTATTTGTAAGTCAGTATCAGTGAGACACTTACCTACTCATCAGGACCACGAAAAGGAAAAAATAAGAGACTATGGAGTCTGCGTGAGTGACGCAGAAGACGGGTGATTTCTGCATTTCCATCTGAGGTACCGGGTTCATCTCACTAGGGAGTGCCAGAAAGTGGGCACAGGACAGTGGGTGCAGCGCACCGTGCACCAGCCAAAGCAGGGCGAGGTATTGCCTCACTCGGGAAGCGCAAGGGGTCAGGGAGTTCCCTTTCCTGGTCAAGGAAAGGGGTGACAGATGGCACCTGGAAAATCAGGCCACTCCCACCTGAATACTGCGCTTTTCCGACGGGCTTAGGAAATGGCACACCAGGGGATTATATCCCGTACCTGCCTTGGAGGGTCCTACGCCCACGGAGTCTCGCTGATTGCTAGCACAGCAGTCTGAGATCAAACTGCAAGGCGGCAGCAAGGCTGGGGGAGGGGCACCTGCCATTGCCCAGGCTCACTTAGGTAAACAAAGCAGCCAGGAAGCTCGAACTGGGTGGAGCCCACCACAGCTCAAGGAGGCCTGCCTGCCTCTGTAGGCTCCACTTCTGGGGGCAGGGCACAGACAAACAAAAAGATAGCAGTAACCTCTGCAGACTTAAATGTCCTGGGCTGACAGCTCTGAAGAGAGCCGTCGTTCTCCCAGCACGCAGCTGGAGATCTGAGAACGGGCAGACTGCCTCCTCAAGTGGGTCCCTGACCCCTGTTCCCTGAGCAGCCTAACTGGGAGGCACCCCCCAGTAGGGGCAGACTGACACCTCACACGGTCAGGTACTCCTCTGAGACAAAACTTCCAGAGGAACGATCAGACAGCAGCATTCGTGGATCACGAAAATCCATGGTTCTGCAGACACCGCTGCTGATACCCAGGCAAACGGGTCTGGAGTGGACCTCTAGCAAGCTCCAACAGACCTGCAGCTGAGGGTCCTGTCTGTTAGAAGGAAAACTAACAAACAGAAAGGACATCCACACAAAAAACCCATCTGTACATCACCATCATCAAAGACCAAAAGTAGATAAAACCACAAAGATGGGGAAAAAACAGAGCAGAAAAACTGGAAACTCTAAAAAGCACAGTGCATCTCCTCCTCCAAAGGAATGCAGTTCCTCACCAGCAATGGAACAAAGCTGGATGGAGAATGATTTTGATGAGTTGAGAGAAGAAGGCTTCAGACGATCAAACTACTCTGAGCTACAGGAGGAAATTCAAACCAAAGGCAAAGAAGTTGAAAACTTTGAAAAAAATTTAGACGAATGTATAACTAGAATAACCAATATAGAGAAGTGCTTAAAGGAGCTGATGGAGCTGAAAGCCAAGGCTCAAGAACTACGTGAAGAATGCAGAAGCCTCAGGAGCTGATGTGATCAACTGGAAGAAAGGGTATCAGTGATGGAAGACGAAATGAATGAAATGAAGCAAGAAGGGAAGTTTAGAGAAAAAAGAATAAAAAGGAACAAACAAAGCTTCCAAGAAATATGGGACTATGTGAAAAGACCAAATCTGCCTCTGATTGGTGTACATGAAAGTGACGGGGAGAATGGAACCAAGTTGGAAAACACTCTGCAGGATATTATCCAGGAGAACTTCCCCAATCTAGCAAGGCAGGCCAACAATCAGATTCAGGAAATACAGAGAACACCACAAAGATACTCCTTGAGAAGAGCAACTCCAAGACACGTAATTGTCAGATTCACCAAAGTTGAAATGAAGGAAAAAATGTTAAGGGGAGCCAGAGAGAAAGGTCGGGTTACCCACAAAGGGAAGCCCATCAGACTAACAGTGGATCTCTCGGCAGAAACTCTACAAGCCAGAAGAGAGTGGGGGCCAATATTCAACATTCTTAAAGAAAAGAATTTTCAACCCAGAATTTCATATCCAGCCAAACTAAGCTTCATAAGTAAAGGAGAAATAAAATCCTTTACAGACAAGCAAATGCTGAGAGATTTTGTCACCACCAGGCCTGCCCTAAAAGAGCTCCTGAAGGAAGCACTAAACATGGAAAGGCACAACCGGTACCAGCTTCAGCAAAATCATGCCAAAATGTAAAGACCATCGAGATTAGGAAGAAACTGCATCAACTAACAAGCAAAATAACCAGCTAACATCATAATGACAGGATCAAATTCACACATAACAATATTAACTTTAAATGTAAATGGACTAAATGCTCCAATTAAAAGACACAGACTGGCAAATTGGATAAAGAGTCAAGACCCATCAGTGTGCTGTATTCAGGAAACCCATCTCACGTGCAGAGACACACATAGGCTCAAAATAAAAGGATGGAGGAAGATCTACCAAGCAAATGGAAAACAAAAAAGGCAGGGGTTGCAATCCTAGTCTCTGATAAAACAGACTTTAAACCAACAAAGATCAAAAGAGACAAAGAAGGCCATTACATAATGGTAAAGGGATCAATTCAACAAGAAGAGCTAACTATCCGAAATATATATGCACCCAATACAGGAGCACCCAGATTCATAAAGCTAGCCCTGAGTGACCTACAAAGAGACTTAGACTCCCACACAATAATAATGGGAGACTTTAACACCCCACTGTCAACATTAGACAGATCAACGAGACAGAAAGTTAACAAGGATACCCAGGAATTGAACTCAGCTCTGCACCAAGTGGACCTAATAGACATCTACAGAACTCTCCACCCTAAATCAACAGAATATACATTTTTTTCAGCACCACACCACACCTATTCCAAAATTGACCACATACTTGGAAGTAAAGCTCTCCTCAGCAAATGTAAAAGAACAGAAATTATAACAAACTGTCTCTCAGACCACAGTGCAATCAAACTAGAACTCAGGATTAAGAAACTCCCTCAAAACCACTCAACTACATGGAAACTGAACAACCTGCTCCCGAATGACTACTGGGTACATAACGAAATGAAGGCAGAAATAAAGATCTTCTTTGAAACCAACGAGAACAAAGACACCACATACCAGAATCTCTGGGACACATTTCAAAGCAGCGTGTAGAGGGAAATTTATAGCACTAAATGCCCACAAGAGAAAGCAGGAAAGATCCAAAATTGACACCCTAACATCACAATTAAAAGAACTAGAAAAGCAAGAGCAAACACATTCAAAAGCTAGCAGACGGCAAGAAATAACTAAAATCAGAGCAGAACTGAAGGAAATAGAGACACAAAAAACCCTTCAAAAAATTAATGAATCCAGGAGCTGGTTTTTTGAAAGGATCAACAAAATTGATAGACCGCTAGCAAGACTAATAAAGAAAAAAAGAGAGAAGAATCAAATAGACACAATAAAAAATGATACAGGGGATATCACCACTGATCCCACAGAAATATAAACTACCATCAGAGAATACTACAAACACCTCTACACAAATAAATTAGAAAATCTAGAAGAAATGGATAAATTCCTCGACACATACACTCTCCCAAGACTAAACCAGGAAGAAGTTGAATCTCTGAATAGACCAATAACAGGAGCTGAAATTGGGGCAATAATCAATAGCTTACCAACCAAAAAGAGTCCAGGACCAGATGGATTCACAGCTGAATTCTACCAGAGGTACAAGGAGGAACTGGTACCATTCCTTCTGAAACTATTCCAATCAATAGCAAAAGAGGGAATCCTCCCTAACTCATTTTATGAGGCCAGCATCATCCTGATACCAAAGCCTGGCAGAGACACAACAAAAAAAGAGAATTTTAGACCAATATCCTTGATGAACATTGATGCAAAAATCCTCAATAAAATACTGGCAAACTGAATCCAGCAGCATATCAAAAAGCTTATCCACCATGATCAAGTGGGCTTCATCCCTGGGATGCAAGGCTGGTTCAATATACGCAAATCAATAAATGTAATCCAGCATATAAACAGAACCAAAGACAAAAACCACATGACTATCTCAATAGATGCAGAAAAGGCCTTTGACAAAATTCAACAAGCCTTCATGCTAAAAACTCTCAATAAATTAGGTATTGATGGGACGTATCTCAAAATAATAAGAGCTATCTATGACAAACCCACAGCCAATATCATACTGAATGGGCAAAAACTGGAAGCATTCCCTTTGAAAACTGGCACAAGACAGGGATGCCCTCTCTCACCACTCCTATGCAACATAGTGTTGGAAGTTCTGGCCAGGGCAATTAGGCAGGAGAAGGAAACAAAGGGTATTCAATTAGGAAAAGAGGAAGTCAAATTGTCCCTGTTTGCAGACGACATGATTGTATATCTAGAAAACCCCATCGTCTCAGCCCAAAATCTCCTTAAGCTGATAAGCAACTTCAGCAAAGTCTCAGGATACAAAATCAATGTACAAAAATCACAAGCATTCTTATACACCAATAACAGACAAACAGAGAGCCAAATCATGAGTGAACTCCCATTCACAATTGCTTCAAAGAGAATAAAATACTTAGGAATCCAACTTACAAGGGACCTGAAGGACCTCTTCAAGGAGAACTACAAACCACTGCTCAATGAAATAAAACAGGATACAAAGAAATGGAAGAAGATTCCATGCTCATGGGTAGGAAGAATCAATATCGTGAAAATGGCCATACTGCCCAAGGTAATTTATAGATTCAATGCCATCCCCATCAAGCTACCAATGACTTTCTTCACAGAATTGGAAAAAACTACTTTAAAGTTCATATGGAACCAAAAAAGAGCCCACATCACCAAGTCAATCCTAAGCCAAAAGAACAAAGCCAGAGGCATCACGCTACCTGACTTCAAACTATACTACAAGGCTACAGTAATCAAAACAGCATGGTACTGGTACCAAAACAGAGACATAGATCAATGGAACAGAACAGAGCCCTCAGAAATAATGCCACGTATCTACAACTATCTGATCTTTGACAAACCTGAGAAAAACAAGCAGGAAAGGATTCCCTATTTAATAAATGGTGCTGGGAAAACTGGCTAGCCATATGTAGAAAGCTGAAACTCGATCCCTTCCTTACACCTTATACAAAAATTAATTCAAGATGGATTAAAGACTTACATGTTAGACCTAAAACCATAAAAACCCTAGAAGAAAACCTAGGCATTACCATTCAGGACATAGGCATGGGCAAGGACTTCATGTCTAAAATACCAAAAGCAATGGCAACAAAAGCCAAAATTGACAAATGGGATCTCATTAAACTAAAGAGCTTCTGCACAGCAAAAGAAACTACCAACAGAGTGAACAGGCAACCTACAAAATGGGAGAAAATGTTCGCAACCTACTCATCTGACAAAGGGCTAATATCCAGAATCTACAATGAACTCAAACAAATTTACAAGAAAAAAACAAACAACCCCATCGAAAAGTGGGCAAAGGATATGAGCAGATACTTCTCAAAAGAAGACATTTATGCAGCCAAAAGACACATGAAAAAATGCTCATCATCACTGGCCATCAGACAAATGCAAATCAAAACCACAATGAGATACCATCTCACACCAGTTAGAATGGCAATCATTAAAAAGTCAGGAAACAACAGGTGCTGGAGAGGATGTGGAGAAATAGGAACACTTTTACACTGTTGGTGGGACTGTAAACTAGTTCAACCATTGTGGAAGTCAGTGTGGCGATTCCTCAGGGATCTAGAACTAGAAATACCATTTGACCCAGCAATCCCATTACTGGGTATATACCCAAAGGACTATAAATCATGCTGCTATAAAGACACATGCACACGTATGTTTAGTGCGGCACTATTCACAATAGCAAAGACTTGGAACCAACCCAAATGTCCAACAATGATAGATCGGATTAAGAAAATGTGGCACATATACACCATGGAATACTACGCAGTCATAAAAAATGATGAGTTCATGTCCTTTGTAGGGACATGGATGAAATTGGAAATCATCATTATCAGTAAACTATCACAAGGACAAAAAACCAAACACCGCATGTTCTCACTCATAGATGGGAATTGAACAATGAGAATACATGGACACAGGAAGGGGAACATCACACTCTGGGGACTGTTGTGGGGTGGGGGGAGGGCGGAGGGATAGCATTAGGAGATACACTTAATGCTAAACGACGAATTAATGGGTGCAGCACACCAGCATGTCACATGTATACATATGTAACAAACATGCACATTGTGCACATGTACCCTAAAACTTAAAAGTATAATAATAATAGAAAAAATGAGACTACCTATGAAAGTGGTTTGTAAATTACATACTTTATAAATTGTTATACTCAAATTGTTATTTTTATATTAGCTGCTAATAGTTTACTTCACTTTAACTGGCGAGATGAGTCATGAAATGTCAAAAATGCTGAATGATTTGAACATGTGATTACTTTGCTGCAAAATCCTCTTTTGCATTGTTACATTATATTAACAAGTTTGTATACTGCATATTCAGATTTCAAATAGGTGAGAAATGATTTTGATGCTTCAAAGGATGTAATTGGTTCTAGAAATGAAAAGACAAATACCTAGCCAAATTTCTGGAGCATGAAAATAGGGGCCAGCATGATGTCATCATGCTTATTTTCTTCTTCCTCTATATTCTAATTCTTTCAATAAGCCAAAATGAATTTTTTAAATGCAAGCACTCAAACAAACCAAAAAGAAAAGAAAAAAAATCACTGATATGGCGAGCTATACAATTGTTTTAACAAGTTTTGTCTTAGGTTTCCGTTCCATCTGTGATTACTTCACAATTTTAAACCAAGTCTCAAAACTAGGTTTTTGAGAAATGTGAATCAGGCCTTTTCAGTCATCCTTCATCATAGGATCATTGTAGTTTATAGCTGAAAGGGACATTAGAGATAATCTACACTTGCCTTATCATTCTGTAGGCCAAAAAAAAGGCTCAGAAAGATAGATGAATTCGACATAATCACACAGCCGAATGCCCAGGCTTCCTAGCTTAGTTCAGGGTACTTTTCACTATATCTCACTACATTTGTTCTCCTTCCCTATATATAAATTTTTAGCTTCCCTTTCCAATGACATTTTAAGTCAACCACCAAACAGTTGGCACTTGAACATAGACCACCCAGGGGTCTTCACTGGTCAGTTTACCTTTCTCTGTCTTGTATCCCTGATCTCAAAACAGGTTTCTTAAGGATGGGGACTGCATAATGATTTCAAAGGGCTGCACAGACATTATTCTGTGTGATATACACAACATCCTTCAGAATTGTACACGGCAGGAACTCTCATTTGGTTGGGTCAGGTAGAATCAGATTAAAAGCTAGACAATATATCTATACAATTTCACAAGTTATATAATTTACATAATTTTTTTTCCATTTAAAGAGTTATGGGGGTAAGGAGGGAGGGGAGGGCATGGGTCTGATTGCTTCCTTTTGTTTTCACAATAGAATATATTTTAATGCAAACTCATTTTGAAATTTTCACATGAATTTAACACTCCTAGCTTTTTTCCATGTAAAACCAGGCCAGGGGTAGGAAATGTCTTACCTCGCTCCAGTTTCCGACGATCCAGTGTGCAGAGCCGTGGCCGTTTGTGAGCTGCTTGTAATTGGAGGCATTTAGCAAAAAGCCCTCAGTAATCAGACTTGTTGCATCCTCCTCAGTCAGGACTGGTTCAGAACTTTTTGTTTGGTTCATGTTGTTTGGAAGTTTCAGGTGGTTACGGTTTGCCGTCTTTCCTGAGGGTTCTGGCTGGTGGTCTCCTCCCAGAGGGAGCAGAGTGTTGGCTGGCTTTTCAGTAACCATCCCCTCAACTCTGGGTGTCCCAGTTTCGGAAGTAGTGGGCCTTTGGCTGGGGAGCAGTCCTTCCATTACTGTGCTGAAGGGTGGCCACCAGGACTCCCTGCTGAGATCTGGTGTTAGTGGAGGTGCAAGTGGCATTTCTGTACTTTCCACTGGAGCGTCATTTCCAGGTACTCTGATCTTGGTCCATATTACAGGATTGCTTTCATCTTTGTCCTCAGGCTGTTCTCTTTCTTCCCCTGAGCCACTGTGAATCTCCATTTCTGGACCTTTGGTCAAGGTATTGTAAAATGGAGTCACAGGCCAAGTGATAGGGTTGCGGGAAGATGACAAGCCAGAACCACTTGTTGTTGTAGCTACAAGGCCTCCCTCCGAGGTAGGACCAGTATCTGAACTGGAAACATTTTCCTCACTTGGCTGAATGCTCAAGGATTGGGAAGTGAGGATGGGCTGGGAAGTGCTTCCAGTGGAAATGAGATAGCGAGAGCTCAGCTCAGGTTGGGTTGAGCTATCTTGCCACTGTTTCCCACCCAGGTCTCCTTCTTTGGAGGCTGTGGTAGGACTAGGGCTGCTGATTGCTGGAGTGCTTGTGCTCATAGACTCAGGCCCTGTGGGTGTGGTCAGCATTCTGGGCCTGGATGTAGGTGGAGGGACGGGCTTTAGTGTTGGTGGGTTTTTTCCATTGGAAATAGTGCCTTTGTTTGGTTTCAGAACTCTCCGGCTAGAAGGGCATTGCTGGAGGCCACACAGAGCTCGGCTGTTGGGTTTCCTTGTCACATCGCAAGGTTCATCATGGTTCTTGGCACATGTGACACTGCGAATCCGCACTCCACCACCACAGGAAACAGAACACTAGAAGAGAGAAACAGCTGTTAGCCTGGCGAGAGAAGATGCTTTTATTCTCATGGTTAGGTCTATAACAGATCAAAACAGGCCTGATGGAAACTAAACTATGCAGCTAAAATTGTCTGCTATCTACATTTGGTTTCTGTGCTCTTTCAGTTTTCCATGGAAATATGTATCTCCTGGAGACCAGCTGGGACTCAGTCTCAACCATTTATTCTTCACAAACTGAAAATGTAAACCATGATGTAGTCAAACTGCAGTCCCTTTGGGCTGTGAATCATGGATGGCGGGATCCACAATGAATGCAATGGTTTACACAAGTTGCTAAATCTTTTAAAGAGCTAGTAAGTCACACTGTCTCTTTTCTGGGATTGTGATTTTATTAAATTAATGTATAATGTGTGCATATTCTCTGGAATATGAAATTCGGTATAAGGAACCTTTCCCTTTCTATTTAGAAAGCAACTATCATAACTCACACATTTTCCCCAGGTACCTTAAGCTCCATTTTCACTTGCCTATGGCAGGTGGAATCAGATTAAAAGCTAGATAATCACCATACTCACACAGGTGCATAGATCCAAGACCTACTCTAAAATTTAAAGGTACATAGTTAATCAAAGGTAGGAAATAGCCTTTCCCAAGGAGTTCGGTCAATCCCTCAGCATGGCACTGAGGTATATATTCGGGTACTGGTAAGTGCCCCTCCCCAATGTTCCCTCCACATTCTGTATGCCATGCTGAAGCCCAAGCAGCTAGACTGCCTTTGGGGGAATCCTAACAGAACAGGCCTTCCTCAGGATACATGGTAAAGAATCTTCATTGCATCAATTTCAACACCTGTGAATGGCAGATATGGAGTTGCTATAAAACACTAAATGTCTAAATATTTTGAAAAATCCGTACTTTTACCAAATGGTTCCATTTTTAGCTTCTCTTTCCAATGGCATTTGAAGTCAACCACCAAATAGTTGGCACTTGAGCACAGACCACCCAGGGGTCTTCACTGGTCATTTTACATTTCTCTGTCAGGTATCCCTGACCTCAAAGCACATTTCTTAAGGATGGGGACTGCATAATGATTTCAAAGGGCTGCGCAAACATTATTCTGTGTGATATACATGACGTCCCTATGAGATGTACAAGGCAGGAACTGTTATTCTGCCTCCCACAAGTGAGGAGCCTGAGGCCCAGGAACTCACTTGAAAGGCGGCAAGTCAGTCATAGAATAAGCATTAGATTTATTTTTACCCCCATCCCCAAACCTAGTGCAACACACTGTACAAGTAGCTGTCCATGGAGTTCACTCAGTGACTTTTGATTTATTAAAAGCTATCCAAAGGCAGGAACTGTTTTTTATTCATAATGGAATTCCAGGATAGTTCTGAGGACACAGTGATCACCTTATACATATTAATTAAGTGACTCTTTTACCTGGAAAAAAAAATCAGGAATGGAAAAATTCTCACTCATGAGCTTCTGCATTTAGATTAAGTTCCTTGCCTTCTCAAGTTCTATTTTCAGTTTTCTCTAAGTAGGAACATAATATTGACATAGAAAACTTCTCCTTTATTTTGTTTCAATCAAACATAATCACTTACTGATGTAAAACAGCTCTGTGAAATCAGCTCTTTTGAAAAGCAGATGCTGTGAGCACAGGAGAATGTACAGCTGAAGGAGTGTCGAACTGTGTTTGGACCCAACCAGTGAAGCTGTGGATTTAAGATGTCCACAAAATATTAAAGCAAGTCACTCCAAGATGGAACTTCCAGATTTGTTTTGAAATAATAATAATAATAATTTGGGCGGAAATGATGCTTAATGCACAATCATTTCCCACCAAAGTGGGGGCTACCAACTGCAAGTGTCAGAGCCCAACAGGGAGGAAACAGTCTCTTCTGGCATGGTCCATGACTCACTTCTCCCTGGACCTAGAAAGGGAAGGCAGGAGGTATTTATCTTCCTGGTTTGCTGCACTGTTTCTTCCCTTCTTGTGTAGGAAGATACTCTGTGCTCCATCTATTTTAGTCACGCTGAGTCCCTCTCCATTTATTACATTCTAATCTGAACTTCTTGGATTTTCAAATCCCCACTTTGTAAAACTGATCAGTTTTGTATGTGTGAACACATTTCCATGCTGGCTGCCTCAGGCAGGCTCAGTCTTGAGAGCTGACTGATAACTGAGGTCCCAGCTACTGCCAACTCTTCTCAGGCAACAGGTGGCTCTCTTTCGGCTTTCCTTTCCATGAAGTATTAGACTAGATAGTAACATAATAGGAAACGCTTCTATTTTTATTTTCTTTCTCTTCTTTCTCTTTTTCTTTTTGGTTTGTTTTGACTTGAAATGTTGCTAATATCTCTAAAGAAGTTAGCTTTACTTGTACACTTTTACAAAAAAATTTTAAATGCCAAAGTATAGGATCATATCCCCTCCACCTCCCCATTGAACTATGAAGTCAAAAAACTATAAAACCTCTGAGAAATAGCTTAAATTCCCTGATGTATCATATTAACTCCTTGTGTGATTCGGTGACTAAGTCAGCTTCCTCACCTGGAAACAGAGACAGCAGCACCTACCTTTGCAGGCTACTGTGTGGATTACCTTCAACAACAGGCTTAACAGAGGTGGCATAACATATGAAGACAATTAGTGATTGAAAGCTATTATTATCACTGTTCTAATAATGATGCTGATAATAATAATAGTGATCATAACAAAAGGCTTGGGGTTCCCCAATTTCTACTGCCCTTGTGGGTGACACACAGAATTGTCTCAACAGGGAGGTGTGACGTGAGCAGCTGTCTTGGTGAGGTAGGTGCAGGCACATGTCTACAAGATACTGTGGAGATCCACACACCCCCTACTGGTTTACTGCTGGATGTTTTTAGATTCAGATTTCCTAGAGCCAACCGATGGATATGTGGTTTTCAAATTTACCAATAACAAGAACTAAGTAATCTTACTGATGGTGTGAATTTGCTCAACCTAAAAGGGTAAGGCAGGAGTGAAGAAAAGCTACTGTATTAGTTTGTTTTCATGCTGCTATAAAGAAATACCAGACAGGGAAATTTATGAAGGAAAGCAGTTTAATTGACTCACAGTTCTGCATGGGTGGGGAGGCCTCAGGAAACTTACAATCATGGTGGAAGGGGAAGCAGACACATCCTTCTTCACATGGCGGCAGGAGAGACAAGTGCAGACTGAAGTGGGGAAAGCCCCTGATAAAACCCTCAGATCTCATGGGAACTCACTGTCACAAGAACAGCACGGGGGAACAGCTCCCATGATCTAATCATTCCCCATGAGTTCCCTCCCTCAACACATGGGGATTACAATTTGGATTACCATTCAAGATGAGATTTGGGTGGGGACACACAGCCAGACCATTTCAGCTACCTAGCTGGTTGCTGAGTTAAAATACATTAGATTTTAATATTTTAAAACAGAAGATGGTTCTTGAAGAGGAGTTCCAAAGTAGCAGCCTAACAGCTACATTTGGCCCACTGACATGTATTCTTTAGCCTGCTCAATCTTAAAACCCACCAACCTACCAACCAACCAACAAGCAAAACACAAAAACCAAAATAGTAGCCAACATTTTAAAAATTAGCAATTTTATGTTAATAAAATTCCTGATTTTTGACTTCTCTTGGAAAAGCTGATGATCTGCATCTATTGCTCTCATTCCCAAATAGCAACCCAAAACCTGATTAATGAAGACCTGGGGTCTGGGAGTTTATACGTCCCTCAGTGCACCAACCTTCCATCCACATCTACTTTCCTTAGCCAGCAGACATCGAATCTTCCAAATAACCCAGGATTGCCATTCCTTAGTTCTGGGGCACACTATGCCCAGCTGGACAGTATTAGCTGTCTACCAAGCATATTGGGCCTGAATACGAACTTGCCTTTTCTCCTAGTCACTGCAGAACAGGCAGTGCTGCTTTGTATTCAGCTCCACGCTTCTTCTAGTACATCTTCCAACGTGTTTATCTCCTTAGGAGCTGTCAAGCCCTTCAGATGAGATAAATGCAGTACACAACGCCACACTCCAAACCTATCTCAATTGGTAGTTTCAGAATTCTCTAAACCAACTTCAGCTATGATTATCGTATGCCCTTTCCTTGTAATTTTGAACCCTGGACCAGGAAAGCAGCATGTCAACCTGTTAACCTGCTCTTTGGGAGTCATTTTGCCCTCACTTATCACCATCCTGGATACAGGCCTCTTGTCGGGGAACCCACTGAGAAAGAGGTTTGCTGCCCAATTTATCAACTCCACCCACCTGTGGTCCACTGTGGTGGGTGAAAAGGCTCACAATTGGCACTGAGCTGTAGTGCTGAGAAAGGGTTTATTCGAAAACACAGTCGGAGTTTATCAGAGGGTTTGGGCTAAAGGGCTGAGTAGAGAAACAGTGAATACTTTGGGCATTAAAACATTTAATGCACAATCTCAGAAATTTATAAATGAATAATTAGATCTCATACAAACACCAGCTTTGAAAGCAAGCTAAAACACATAGGTATCTGTTTTGGGTTGAATTGTGTCCCTCTCAAAAAAGATATGTCAAAATCCCAATGCCCCCAATCTCAGAATTTGACCTTATTTGGAGAAAGGATCTTTAAAAAGGTAATCAAGTTACAATAAGGTCATTAGGGTGGGCCCTAATGGTATCCACATCAAAAGGGGAATCTGAACACAGAGATCACAGGCAGGTAGAATGTCATGTGAAGATGAAGGCAGAGATTGGAGTGATGCATTTACAAGCCAATGAGCACCAAAGATTGACGTCAAACCACCAGAAGCTGGGGGAAAGGCGTGGAACAATTCATCCTCCCAGCTTTCAGAAGGAATTCACTTTGCCAACACCTTGACCTTGGATTTGTAGCTTCTGCACATGTGAGACAACAAATTCCTGTTGTTTAATCTGCCCAGTTTGTGGTACTTCATTAGGGCAGCCCTCGGGAGCTAAGATAATAAAAAAAAATCAGACCTAGATAATTAAAACAAATCAGACCTGAGGAGGACAATCAACATAGCTCTCAGCTGGTTTTCTGTGAGTAGTTGTTGCAAACAGAGGTGCCCATATCTGTTCCCCAGGAACCCTGGCAGAGCACAGGCTACTGATGCCTGGGAAGAACTGAGATGTTGATGAATGACACTCCACACCAAAAGAGGGAGTGACAAGGTCAGAACATCAGGTGGCCAGCCCCACAGGAGTGCCTGGGACTGGGGAATCCAGAGGGTCAGCGACTCTCAAAAATGCCCCTATCCCTCCATGCTCTCTTCCCTCGGGTGGCAGGGACTTCACATGAGTCTAGCTTTGCTTCCCACTTAGCAATAGACATAGCATTGCCATTTGCTGCCACGTCTTCTATCCCAAGAGCCAGAGAGCTCATTTGTGAACATCGGCATTCGGTCTATTTGGTCACTCTGCATTCCAACACCCCTGTGATGAGCTTTGTACTTTATCGATTCTCAGTACCTTGGTTAAGTGAATGTTTTGTTTGTGTGTTTTTGTCAGGCGCAGGAAGGGCCAGTTAAAGATCTTCCTAGACTCTGTGTGTGTCTGCTTTTAGAGCCTCCACCTCATGTCCCATCAAATATATTCAAATGCATTTCTTGTCTCAAGTGAAACGTAACTTTTGCTATAAAAAACATTTGAAATTATTTTTTTCCATTCCAGTTTTAAAAAATGTTTATGGGTACATAGTAGGTGTATATATTTATGGGGTACATGAGATGTTTTGAAACAGGCATGCAATGTGAAATAAGCACGTCATAGAGAATGGGGTATCCACCCTCTCAAGCTTTTATCCTTCGAGTTACAAACAATCTAATTATACTCTTTAAGTTATTTTAAAATGTGTAATTAAGTTATTATTGACTATAGTCACCTCATTGTACTATCAAATAGTAGGTCTTATTCATTCTTTCTATTTTTTTTTTGTACCCATTAATCATCCCCACCTTCCCTGCAAACTCTCGCTACTGTTTCTAGCCTCTAGTAACTATCCTTCTACTCTCTATGTCCATAAGTTCAATTGTTTTGATTTTTAGAGCCCTAAAATAAGTTAGAACATGCAATGTTTCCCTTTCTGTGCCTGGCTTATTTCACTTCACATAATGATCTCCAGTTTATCCACGTTGTTGCAAATGACTGAATCTCATTCATTCCTATGGCTGAATAGTACTCCACCATGCATATGCACCACATTTTCTTTATCTAGTCGTCTGTTGAGGGACACTTGGGTTGCTTCCAAATCTTAGCTATTGCAAACAGCGCTGCAACAAACATAGGAGTGCAGATATCCCTTTGATAGACTGGTTTCCTTTCTTTTTGGTATATACCCAGCAGTGGGATTGCTGGATCACGTGATAGCTTAACTTTTACGTTTTTGAGGAACCTCCAAACTGCTCTCCACAGTGGTTAAACTATTTACATTCCTACCAACAGTGTACGAGGGTTCCCTTTTCTCCACATCCTCACCAGCATTTGCTTTTGCCGTCTTTTGGATGTAAGCCATTTTAACTGGAATAAAAGTTGTATCTCATTATAGTTTTGATTTGCATTTCTCTGATGATCAACGATATTGAGCACCTTTTCATATGCCTGCTTGCCATTAGTATGCCTTCTTTTGAGAAATGTCTATTGAAATCTTTTGTGAAAGGCTTTATTTTTTTCCTGCGCTTTTGAAGTTATTCACTGAGGGTAACATTTAATTTTGGGGAGGCTCTGATTTCTCAGCAATTGTCATGCATAGTCTGAAATTCCAACAGAATGAGAAAAGCCAGTCTACAAATAATTTCCAAACACAAAACATTTCTTATGAATACTAAGAGCTGTCATATTGCTACACTTTGCAGATATTTGAGATGCAGTATGGCAAAGTGTACATTCAGAGTAGACGCTGTGCTGCCTGCGTTCAAATCCTGGCTCCGTGGTTTAGTGGTTATGTGACCTTGGACAAATTTCTAAATGTTTCTATGCCTCAGTTTCTTCACTTGTATTAATAAAATGGGGCTAAATAAGTCATGGTGAAGATTAAATGTGCTAATACCCATAAAAGTACTTAATAGATACATACATAATACATAGTAATAATACATACAAAATGCTTGGTATGTATTTCCTATTAATATGTAATTAAATATTGATTTCTGATTTTGCAGGGTCCTTTTGTTTTTATAGATGCAATGCATGAGGTTTTTTTTTTCAGGTCTCAAATGTTGTGCAGGCCCTTGAAAAATCTGTAGGCCCCAAGCACTGCGCTTATAGTGTTTCATGCATAAAATGAATGAGCTCCCTGAGCTCAAGGAGAGGATAGGTGAAAACTTAAGGGGCCACAAATCAGTTCCTTCAGCACATTTGGGTACGACTGATTGAACAAGGTTTGCAAAATCAGAGTAGCATGGAAAACAGACTTTTGTCTTCTTGTCTGATAATAATTTAGTGAACACTTACTTTTTACCAGGCACTACGCTAAGTGTTTGCATGAATTATCTTATTCAATTCTTACAATAATCCTATCTTTCTCAGTGACAACAGGCTAAGAGAGAATTAGCACTGGCTCAAGGCCACACAATTAGATTGCCAGGGCTGGAAAACCTAGAAAAATTACCACCTATCATTACTATTAGTCTAATTACTAGGAGAAATAACATGTTGGTTCATAATTGAGCAAACTGAGGTCCTATAAGGAAAAATCATTTTCCTAAGACTGTTCAATATGCAATACAAGTTTATGCAATACAAGTTTATGCAATACAAGGCCAGAACTAAGATGGTTTCTCCATGATCTCAGCCAGGACTCTTCCCACTTCCCTTTCTGCCAAGGATGCACTAGTCAAACATTTATTAAGTACATGGTGGTTATCCATGTATCCATCCATCCATCCATCCATCCATCCATCCATCCATCCATCCCTCCAAGGAAAAAGATGGCATAGGTTTTTACAAAGTATCTGACTAAACCATTGGAGCCATGATTAAAAATCTCATATAATTTTGGCAATTTATTTTAAAGCTCTCATTGGGGGTACCAGGGGTGTCTCTTGAAGAAGAGGTACCCTTCCATCTATCAAAAAGAAAGAATTATGGAACCCACTGGGCTGCCCTTATTGCCCTGGTTGTCTGGATGCACTGGGTTAAACTGAAAGCTTCATCAAAATAACCCTATTATTCTCATGTTTATCATGTTGCTCTCTGCTCCCACGTGTGGCTACAACTTCTAGTTCACCACTTCAATGTCTAGAGCCCTTTTATTGTAAACTGCCTGAAATGCCTTTGGAAAGGAAAACTGTATAAACAAACACACACATCCTGGCTTCTGGAGTGTCCTGTTTGCCACACATACACATTTGAACCCAGGAAGCCATGCTCTAGGGGCTGTGCCCTTCACTACTAGACTGGCTGCCTCTCACAAGGCATGTCCCTGAAATGGTGTATCTGGGAAGTAAGGGAGTCACAGTAACTTTGATACCTGGTCTCTGTTTACAATAGAGTTCCCTTCTTTACCCTTTAAGTCCACAAAGTAGGATGGGCAAAACCAGGATAAGATTCTTGGTAAAACCTGAGATTGGAGGTGAGAGTCAGGTATCTAGAACATAAGCTTAGAGAAAAGGGGCTGGTCACAGGGGGCAGGAAAGCCTGTCTGGGGCAGCAGGGGAGAGAGCTCCCCTTTCTGATCCCTGCTGGGACAGGGATGAGTGTACCAACCTGGCACGGCTGAGCCCACTCTCTCCTCACTGCTTGAGTTGGTGGAGTGCTTTGATAAGGAAAGGAGCTCATGAATGTACTTCCTCTTTCTTCTCACTTAGTTCAGCCCAGAGAAGGCCATTTTACAGGAGTCTAGAAGGCTGTCAGTTCTTGGGCCTTTTGGATAAGTAACTTTACAGTTTTAGACCATCCAGGGTGATGAAAATGACAAATGCAGATGAAAATGACACAGTGCAGACCAAATGATGGCTGGAGCACTATCCTGCTTCAAATGATGTTGGTCTCCAGACAAAATCTAGATAATAAATACTGCCTGCCAAGAATCACTATGTCACCTCTCTTTAAAAAAAGTATCTGGGCATAGTTAGAATGTCAAAGACATTTCATCATACTCCAGCAAAGTTCATTAGGAGGTTATTAGTAAGAGAGCAGATAGAAGAAAGGAAGACCCATTTGATGAATATTTTGATACTGATTTAACTAAAAGCACTTCCAATGACATCTTCTGAATGAGGGCATTGGCCCAGCCTTTCTGCTCAGCTCTGTCAAGTGGAAGCTAGAAACTGTCCATGTGTGGTCCATTGACTATGCAATGGCCTACATATGGAATCACAGACCCAAGTGCTTCTTACATCATGCCAACTTTTTGGTCTCTTGTTCTCCAGTTAAGACAGGTTACTACGCTTCCCATAAACGTGAACACATTAAGAAGAACTCCTCAGCCAAATCTGTAATTGCAGTCCTCTGAAAAAGCATTAAGATGTTGGCAATTAGTAAATTCTACATGACAAGAATTATTAACAGTTTTGGATGCGGCCAACACATTTTTGGTAAACAGATTTAATAGGCCAGTCACAATACTCCATTCAGCCTTATTTTGACAACACTGTAATTCACAGAAACCTAGGTTGCAGTGGACTAATAAGGCAGGCCAACCAAATGCCGTGATTATACTCTCCCAGGAATAGCAAAAAGAATGTATGGCTTATCACTGATGTGTGTACATACATCTGTGCATGAATCAGTAATACACCCATATTTGTATGTAGGTATATTTCTTTGCATGCATATCTTTATCCTTCCTTTCCTTTTTTCTTTTTCTTTTCTGGATCCCATCTCTCCCACTGGATGGAAGTTCTTACCATCTAGGGACCATATTTTCTGTTTCTTTTTTTTTTTTTAATTTCACCTAGATGCCCAAGAGAACATCCTGTACAGATTCAGAAGGTAAATAAACCTAAACTGTGACATAAGCTAATAAAAGGGAGTCTTGGAAATAAGGTTTCATCAAAGCTGCTGTATTTAAATGAGTGTTTTGCTTTCAAATAGGTATCTTCAGAGATGGTATCTTTGCTTACACAAATTTTAGAATTTTTCTTTCAGAGCAGGTGAAAAGCAATCTGTCACATATTTATCATCAAATATTTTTTAAACACAAAGATTTTGATCACATTATTCATTTATCCATCAGGCCCCATTCTAATTGACTTTCTGTGGCATTCTCCTGAATCAGATATTCTCCATTTTCTCCTGAGTCCTCACAGGAGTTCCTAAAATATCCTGAGCAATGGTGGCATTATTGTTATTATTATTATTTTGAGACAGGGTCTCACTTTCTCACCTAGGCTGGAGTACAGTGGCATGATATCAGCTCACTACAGCCTCGATCTCCCAGTCTCAAGCGATCCTCCTGCCTCAGCCACCCAAGTAGCTGGGACTACAGGCATGTGCCACCATGACTGGCTAATTGTATTTTTCATAGAGATGGTGTTTCATCATGTTGCTTGGGCTGGTCTCAAACTCCTAAGCTCAAGTGATCCTCCTTCCTCGGCCTCCTAAAGTGCTGGGATTACAGGTGCCTGTCCAGTGGTAGCATTATCATGGAAGCATACGGCTTCTCAAGGAAGCTCGTAAGATAAAGTCAGCATCCATCTCTAAACTCTGGCCTGTTAATTTTTAAAAAACATGTATTTTCTAGTTATTCTTAGGTTGTTCACTGAACTGCACATAGAGAAGCAGAGCTGAGGCCCTTGGAGACTTTGGGGCCTTCCACTAATAACTGGGAACATGACAATGCCTGATGAAACCAGATTCCAAAGTGACCCAAAGAAAATTAAAGCCTGAGAGAGCTTTTCATAACCTTCCAGCTTACTGATTTCCAATTATAGTCAGATAATTAGATCAAATTAATTTTGGGAAAATGCAACATTTATCTGAACTTGTGTGTCTGATAATAGATGTTAGAAACCTTGGTCTGGTTTGGACTTGACACATGGTGAATAGATGGATAATTTGAGGGGATTTTTCTCAGTGTCAAGCGACACTCTTTTGGTTTGGGTTAACTACAGTGATGTGCAGTCAATGTTTTATAAACCACTTTTGGGGTGTGTGGGAGGTCCCTTATCTGCTACCAGTGGTTTAACAATGGGCCTGGCCAAGCTTCTGATGATTTATTAACTAGTCTTTGTGATCCTGTACTGGGAGTGGGGGGTCTACCTCACCCCTGTCAGATAGTAAGCTGACCATTGAGCAAGTGGGAGCAAGATCCCCTATGAATGGAAAATAAGTAGTGGACACAGGAAAGGCAGGAGACAGGCCAGGGGTGATGAACACTGGCTATTTTGCAATTTTACCTAGGGTCACTTTGGATTGGATAATGAGAAGGAAGGCAGGGGCTGATGAAGCTTGAATAATGCCAGTTTCCCCGCCGAGCCCTGAGCTCACCTCACTCCAGTTGCCCACTGTCCAGTCCGAGGGGCACAGGATGTCTCTGTTGCAGGAAAGGAGGGTCTTGGGCTTCAGCAGGTGCTGGCAGTCTGTGGGCGGGAGAGCCTGCTCGTCAGAGACCATGGTCTGGATGCACAGCACGGTTCGCTTCTTCTCCCCGTGGGGCCCGCATGTCGCCGAGCATGCTTCCCACTCCCCTGCCCACCACCTGCAGGCAAACATGGATATGTGAGAGAAGATCGCCAACTTACGCATATGTTCCATTCAACCACTGAGAAAGCAGGGGCAGAAATGCAGATCACAGGGCTGGAAGGGCCATGGAGACACTCCAACCCACTAGGGGGCGTGCTGCAGACAGGGCCACCGTGTCTTCAATCATAGCTCCGTAGCTCTGCAGGGCGCCTGGCATGAGCTGTTGCTAAATACGCATGTTTTTGAATGAGAAAAAAATATATATGCATGCCCTCTCTTTTCAGGAAGAAAACTGAGGTCCAGGGTTCTGCTGTGCAACTTTAAGCAAGTTTAAGCCTCGCTTTCTCATTATTCAATGGGTGTGAAAATATATTTTCTTTATATGAGTGTTGTGTTGTACATGAAATGAAAGACCAATTCATGTAATGTGCATAGTACAGAGCCTGACATATAACAAGAACTCAAGCATTTGTTATGATTTATTGTTATTTTGACCATGCTATTGAATAAAAGAGTCCAATTAGACTCTAGGTCTCCTGGCTCTTAATTGAATGTAAAGTAGCTACTTAAACATAAATTTTTAAATTATTTAGGAGGCGATCAATCAGGGATATTGCCTTTATTTTTTTCCCTATCTCCTGCAGTCTACTTGTTAATATTCTCACTGGTCCCTTTGATAAGAAATGAGTAGAAAAAGAATAAACATAAATAAAATCGTTTTTTACTCAATAATCTAGGATGTGGGCCCACTGGTTACATAAAAGTAGCTTTTGAAAATGGCAGGGAGCCATCTCTTGTCCATCTTCTCCATTATTGTGCAAATCTTCCCCAACACCGAAGACAGATTGAGTGTCTTCACCCAGTGTGGTTTGTGTCCATTATTTTTCCTGTGTACAGCCCGCTTGTCCATCCCTTCATATAGTAACAAGTGGGGCACTTCTATTTTTCATGGGAAAATAGTACACTGGGGGAAGTCCTTCATTCCTGACTTCAGGAAAGCCTCCTGACTTGAGACAGCATTGAATTTTGGTAATTTTGAAGATAAAACTTTTTACTTTTATTTTTATTTACTAAATATTAGATTTATTTATGTAGAATTTCTTTTGATTGTGACACTTTTAATCTCAAGTTAAAAATATCAGAAGAAAGCAATTCCTCAATTCAATCATATTCTTCATTTAATAAGTAATTGAGATTACTTATTTATTCTTTGGTGTTTAACATCAGTGGATAAAGAGCTAATAATATTGGAACAGTATGATGTGAAACCAAATAAGTGCCCCACTGTATTAATCTAATTACTTTGTCCTGCCTCTGACTTTTCTAAAGGAGGGCAGGCCAAGGGAATATATAAAATGCCATTCTGAAAAGGTCTTAATCTGAGTTGGTTGAAAGCCTAATTTATCTAAGTACTTGCTACAGGGCTTTCAGCTGTATTACTGCAAAGTGATAATAGACGTTCTTGTTTTCTCTTCTTGGAGTTTTCTCTACAGTCCCTTAGGGGACATATTGCCTGTGATTTTGCTATAGTCTGAATGTGTTCCCCAAAACATATGTGTTAGAAACTTAATCCTCAATATAACAGTGTTGGGAGGTGGGATCTGATGGGAGGTGTTTAGATCGTGAGGGCTTTACCATCATGAATGGATTAAGGCCACTTGGAAAAGGATTTGGGAGTGGTTTACTCCCTCTCACTCTTCTGTATGAGGACATGAACGTTTGTCCTCTGTTGCCCTTCCTCCTTCAGCCTTATGAGGATGCAGCAAGAAGACCCCCGCCAGATCAAATGAACCTCCAATCTTGGCCATCCAATCTCCAGAACTGTGAGAAATGTTTATTTTTAAAAGAAATTTATTTTTTATTTTTATAGAGAAAGGGTCTTGCTTTGTCACCCAGGCTAGTCTCGAACTCCTGCGCTCAAGTAATCCTGCCGCGGCCTCGCAAAGTGCTGGGATTACAGAGTGAGCCACCATACCTGGCCACGAAATAAATTTGTTCTTTATAAATTACCCAGTCTGTGGTATTCTGGTACAGCCACACAAAATGGACTAAAACAGCTTAGTCTTAGTCTCACAAGATTAAAGTGAAAACCATCTTCTTCTTCCTTTTTTTTTTTTTTTTTTCCTGTAAAGGTCTTCCAGGTCCAGGGCTCAGGAGCCATGGTCCAGTTGTTCTCTGCTGCCCATCTCATTCTTTTGGGTGTTTGCCATAATCCCACCTCTTGTTGGAGATTTCTAAAATACTGTTTTTATATTTATGGAGATTTTATGTTTTATCTAAATGTCTAAGTGTGTGTGTGTGTGTGTGTGTGTATGTGTGTGCCTATGTTTGAGATCTTTGAAGAGCCTGTAGTTGTTCCAGAATTCTGTAAAAGTTTACTGTAGTTTGGATATGAGTCCTCTCTGAGATCAAGTAGAAGGGATGGGTTAGAGACCCTTTGAACCTCTCTTTTATTTTTAAAAGAACCCTTCTTTTATCAGTAGCTTCTACTGATTCCCCTATCAGTATATGTTCCAACAGCGCTGATCGCCAACAAACCAGGACACGTCACTCTTTCTAACCTTCATTACTCAGATAAATGAAAGTCCAAAACTGAATTTGTTAAACCCTTGCTGAGAATAGTAATTTCCTTTAAGAAATCAAATTTTATAATTATCATCTTTCTTTGTACTAATATTTTTCCTAATAGAATTTACATTCCAAAATCCGATTCAACTAAACATTTCAAATTCTGACAAAACCATGACTACAGTATAAGCACTCTTACCTCCTGGCTCTGTGTACCCATTGTCTCCATATTCTCATTATATCCCATTCCTCCAGCCTCATTTTCCCTAGCTTTCTTGTCCCCTACACACACCATGCTCAGTCCTTTTCCCTCTTTCATGGGCTTTTCCCAGTCTCAACGATCTTATTCCTTTCATTTCGATCAGAAGGTCTCAATCAGCAGAGATTTCTGCAGCTTCCCTCCCCAGGGGACATTTGGGAATGTCTGAAGACATTTTTCGTCGTCACAAATCAGTGGTGACAGGGAAAGGGGGGTGGGTTTCTATTGGCATCTAGTGGATAGAGTCCAGGGATACAGCTAAACCTCCTACATTGGCACTAGACAGCTTCCCACAACAAAAAACTATCCAGCCCAGTAAGCCAGGCGCGGTAGCTCACGCCTGTAATCCCAGCACTTTGGGAGGCTGAGGTGGGCGGATCACCTGAGGTCGGGAGTTCGAGACCAGCCTGACCAAAATGGAGAAACCCCGTCTCTACTAAAAAAAAAAGAATACAAAAATTAGCTGGGCGTGGTGGCACATGTTTGTAATCCCAGCTACTTGGGAGGCTGAGGTAGGAGGATCGCTTGAACCTGGGAGGCGGAGGTTGCGGTGAGCCGAGATTGCGCCATTGCACTCCAGCCCGGGCAACAAGAGCGAAACTCCGTCTCAAAACAAACAAACAAAAAAAACAAAAAACAAAAAAACAAAAAACAAAACAAAACAAAAAAAACTATCCAGCCCAAAGCAGCAATAGCGTTGAGGTTGAGAAACCTTGATTTAAGTCATATGTCATTATTTTGTGGACTGAAACCTACATGTAGCTGCCAGAGTTTAAAAAAATCACTGTCAGAGGTTTATTGAGTACTTTGGATATGCTAGGCACTATCACAGCTGTGGCCTAGCAGAGCTTTGCTTTGCTGAAAACCAAAATTCAGAGAGAAGTCAGTAGGGAGAAGGGACTCAAATAACCTCTTTCTGGAGTCAGATATATTAAATTTTCAAAGAATTTCTTTCTTGACAGCCTACCCTCTCCTGGAACATGCTCTACAAGGCTTTCATCCTGAAAGCCATTGGCAATGTAATATATATTTTTTTATGTTTAGATAATCAAAAGTTTTTATTAAATCTTAAAAAAATCTCTCTCAAATACTCCTTTGGGGAAGAACACAGAATGTTGAAATTGGTTGTAAAAACAAGATATTACTGAAGAAAAATGATCCATAAATAAATAAGATTAAACCTTGCACAGGAAATTTTTTGGGAAAGGAAATGACAGCTCCCAGTGATGGGTATGAACTTTTTAGAGATCATGGAAATTCGGTGACAGAAGAAGATATTGCAGCTTGAAATTCATATACAAGGAAACTAGTGAACTAATCTTGCAAAAACAAATAATATTAGTTTATTATTTATTTATTTTTAAAAAAGCAAATCGCCAGGCACATGGGCTCATGCCTGTAATCCCAGCACTTGGGGAGGCTAAGGCGGGTGGATCACTTGAGGTCAGGAGTTTGAGACCAGCCTGGCCAACATGGTGAAACCTAATCTCTAGTAAAAATACAAAAATTAGCCAGATGTGGTGGTGTGCGCCTGTAATCCCAGCTACCCACGAGGCTGGGGCAGGAGAATTGCTTGGACCTGGAGGCATGACTTAGTTTTGGAGTCAAGCATTCATAACATTTTTATTGTGTTTTAATGTGAGAGAAAAAGTTTAAATGTAGGGGATTCTGGTTCTAGTACTGAAACCTGCTTATCCTGAGATCCTAGGCAGCAGCATGGTGTAGCAGCACATACAGAGGCAGCACAGCAAACAGATCTGGGTTCAAATCCCGACTCTACAATTTGTAGCTAAGTGACCTAGGAAAATTTTGGTGAAAGCTTTAGAGTCTTCATTTGTATAATGAGCATAAATGTATCTACAAATTAGGGTTGCTTACAGGCTTAAATGATATGGTTATGTGGAAACAGCTTGGAAAATAGTGCATTCTTAAAAAGTGCTAGTTTTTAACACAGGAACAGAAAACCAAATACCATGTCATGTTCTGACTCATAAGTGGGAGTTGAACAATGAGAACACATGGACACAGGGAGGGGAACATCACACACTGGGGCCTGTAGGGAGTTGGGGGGCTAGGGGTGGGAGAGCATTAGGACAAATACCTAATGCAAGCGGGGCTTAAAACCTAGATGATGGGTTGATAGGTGCAGCAAACCACCATGGCACATGTATATCTATGGAACATCCTGCACATTCTGCACATGTATCCCAGAACTTAAAGTAAAATTTAAAAAAAGAAGTGCTAGTTTTCTCTGCAGCCATTTCCCCTAGGGTATGGCATCAAATTTCTCTGAACCTTTATCTCCTCATATACCACCTCAGAGTAATACCCATACCCTGTCTTATGACTATTTCATAAATATTTGTAGAAGCTAAAATGCAATCATAAATAAAAAGCACTTTTGTAAATTGGCCATTGATATGGCTTGGCTGTGTCCCCACTCAAATCTCAGCTTGAATTGTAGCTCCCATAATTCCCACGTGTTGTGGGAGGGACCTGGTGGGAGATAATTGAATCACGGGGGCGGATTGCCCCATACTGTTCTCATGCTAGTGAATAAGTCTCATGAGATTTGATGGCTTTATTAGGGCAAAACCCTTTCACTTGGCTCTCATTCTCTCTTGTCTGTAGCCACATAAGACATGCCTTTCCCCTTCTGCCACGATTGTGAGGCCTCCCTAACCACATGTAACTGTGAGTCCATTAAACCTCTTTTTCTTTGTAAGTTATCCAGTCTTCATTATATCTGAATGTTTCATGCAGTTCTACTTAGCTTATTATATCCTACTTGAGAGTGCATTTTCAGAAATTATACCTGTATGTATTATATTGTGCCTAATTAACATTCTCAGCAGTCAAAAATCTCACAGTTCATGAACTCTGTGGAGTAGTAGGCAATGGACTAGCTCTAAGAAGGGCTGTCTTCCCTGCCTCATTCTTCCCTGAGAAAGTAACATAACTGCAATTTCAGGTAAAACCTAGTGCTAGCCTTATCTTCCCTTGTCATTTCTAGTTCTTCCTGGCAAAAGAACCACAGGAAGGAGCTACAGCACGGAGAGGCAATGACACATTTCTGTCCTGCTTCAATAGTGGTGGGGTCCAGCTCCTACCTAGAAAAAGCCACAGAACAGAAGAGAAAATAAACCTCTCTCTCTGAGCTGAGAATACCCTGGCCTCTGGGTCCTGCCTGTTTGGACTGCTAAGAGACTGACATCATTTTTTTCAACTGTCTTGTCCTGACTCTTCTTTCTAACCTAGTTCTTGGATATTTATCACATTCTAGCTCTTCTTTAGAATCCACCCTGTCACCTGTTTGAGTCTCCCCCTTGTTTAAATGCCTCATAGTGTGTCTGCTTAGAACTGGGATGAATGCTTGATGGACTCTGCAACATAAATACATCCCTGTTTAAGGTTGCCAGAGAATGAAGACTCTTTCTGGAAATCAACCAATATTCCTTCCTTTCTTCCTCTTTCCTCTCCCTTTTTCCCTCCCTCTTTTCTTCTTCTCCTTCTTCCTCCTTTATCTTTTTCCTTTCTTTTTTTTCTCTCTCTTTTTTTTAAACATAAGCCTGGCATAATAACATCCCAACTACCTTCTAGGATCCCAATCTCTTGAACCAATGTGATTAGCAACACCCTGAATATTGCTGAATATCTCTATAACAGTGGCTGTCAACTGAGGATGATTTTACCCCGTAGTGGAAATCTGTCAATGTCTGCAGACATTTTTAGTTGTCATAGCCTGGACTGGGAGGGAGGGAGTTCTACTAGCATCTAAGTAAACACAGGCCAGCAATGCTGCTAAGCCTCCTGCAATTCACGGACAGCCCCCCACAACAAAGAGTCAGCCAGCCCCACGTGCCAGTAATGTCAAGATTGGGAAAACCTGCTCTCTGAGCCCCCTCTTCTGGACAGCCTGAAGTACAAGTGGGCACTGTGATCGGAAGGTGCCAACCTTTTGTCTGAAGGCTGGTGTTGCACTGGTAAAGCCCTTGGAAAAGACAATTCTGTAGTAAAACTACTTTTGGGTGATCCACTTAGCACTCTCTTCACCAATGCTTTGGCAGTTAGTCTTGCCAAATAATTAAACACAGAACACATCACCTTGTGAAAATACTGCTCTTGGGAGAATATGTCCTCACAGCTTGCCACAGGCTCCAACAGCATAGCCACAGAAAACTCTAACCGCGTTCTTGTATTTATCCAAATAACAAAACCACACAATATTTCTTTATCAGCAAGCACTAGGTCACTCTTGAGTCAGACATCACTGTAGGCAGACACACAGAGCTCCAGCTGTTAGCGATGGTTACCTGGGTGGACAAGCCTTTTCATGGCACTTCTTCTGTCTCCCATTGGGCTGTGTTTCTGGGTCACAGAATGTAGCTTTCACCATCCCGCGGCCCTTCTTTATGCAATGGGCAGTTTGGCGGCGGATACCTGGGGGTCAGACAGAAAGATTCACACATATTGAATCCTGAGCCCACATGCTCATGGTCAGGTGAGGTACCTGACCACGTCAACGATCATGCTGACGGCTGATGGGAAAGTTGTTCAAAAGTTACTTGGTTTTAAAGGAGGGATGAAGAATAGGGACCTCTTACAATTCACCCTGATGCTGCAGCTGGCAAGAGGAGGAGGAGAGCTTGCCTAGGAAAAACTGTAGATCATAGAGGTAGGAGGTAAAGTCTGTTCCATAGATTACAGTCCAGCCATGGAGACGAGACTAACACACACATGCCAGGTGGAAAACCAAATGAGATTTAAATAATGAAAGTAGGTTGGGCGCAGTGGCTCACACCTGTAATCCCAGCACTTTGGGAGGCAGAGGCAGGTGGATCACTTGAGGTCAGAAGTTCGAGATCAGCCTGGCCAAAATGGTGAAACCCCATCTCTACTAAAAATACAAAAATTAGCTGGGTGTGTTGGTGGGCTCCTGTCATCTCAGCTACTTGGGAGGCTGAGGCAGGAGAATCCCTTGAACCCAGGAGGCGAAGGTTGCCGTGAGCTGAGATCGTGCCACTGCACTCCAGCCTGGGCAACAGAGCGAGACTCTGTCTCCAAAATACTACTGCTACTACTAATGAAAGTAGATATCATCACCAGGTGTTATGAGGCAATTGCTACATTATTAGCGTAATTAAAGGATAGAGGAGACAGATATCTTTATATTAGTTGATGTCAGTAAATTCTGAAAGACTGAAATACAATTTAAAATAATGTTGTGAAGTTTGAGATGTTATGTTTTTTAAAATACAGGGATTTGATAGCAAGGATTGATAATCCTGCTGCCTTCAGAGACCAGGTAGTTAATGTAAGTAAGGGACTCACACAGGGTCTATAGGCAAATGAAGCCTTGTCCCAGGCACTGTTCTAAACTATGTGTATTTATATCAATAATGTATTACCTGTTATCTATTATGATGTATAATAACCCAAACCTCTCAACAACCCAATGAAATCAGCACCGTCATTATCATTATCTGACAGGCGAAGAAACTGAGGCACAGTGAAGTCACAAAGGTTGAGAAAGGGAAAGGACCACTGACTTTGATAACTAGGACATCATTAGCAAGGGAATGTAGAGGAGTGGCCAGACTGTCATGGACTGAAGTGAAGGGGCAGTGAAGAAGCAACTCAGCATCTCCCTTGAAAGGGCTAGTGCTCACATGTGACACGTGAAACACTGGGTAAGAATACTAAAGACTAAGAACCCTGAAAGGCAGAACAGTCTGTACAAAGGCTGGCACCCTGAGCTCTCAGGATGTCTAGACCTTGTGTGGGCTCACTGGTGTACAGAACTCCAGAATTGGAAAGGCCCGGAGCAATCCAACGAGCTGGTCACCTCCTCCCTTTACAGCCAAGGACACTGAGGGGCTTTCCCTCAGTCACACAGCTCGCAGGACTGACCTGGAACCTGCTGTCCTACCACCCACCACCTCGCACTGCCTCAGCATGGACTCGCTTCAGCCAAATCCCCCTGATGCCAGATGGCATCTTGTCACTTAAAAAAGTGTCAGAGGGAGTTGCAAAACAGTAAGTAAATCCTTTAAAAAAGAACAATTTTTTTTTTTTGAGAAAATTCTGTTTTCAAGAGACAAGTAAACCTTCAACCTCTCAGGCTTTCCCAACTAACAGATGTCGGTGGAATAGAGACTCGGATCATTGACATCAGAGAAGCTGACATGCATCTGCCATTGGAGAGTGGGGGAAAAAAGTTTAGCTGCTTAGAAGTTTCATTAAAGCTTGGGTGGTTTGGCAAATTCTTGATGTCAAAACATGAAAAGGACCGTCAGATGACTGTAACAGGTTGGAAACATTCCGAAAAGGCTTGTATCTGTGCACGAATAGCAAAGGTAAGTGTGCTTAGTGTCCCTGTCTCCAGAAGGGCACAAAACCTTACATAAAATCCCCTTCGGAAAGTTAATAACATGGCATGGGTCAATCCACTGCACCAGCTGGGAGATGAATGGATAGGCCAGGCAGATGTCATCAAGGGCAAAAGGAAAAGGGATAACTATGTGTCAGAGTTTCTCCACTGACATTAATGGTCCTGGTGACCATTACTCTTCTCTCAGCAACTGCATTCTTATATGCTACAGCCCTTGTATGTGCCAGATACCAAGCTAAGCCCAATCTTCCAATGAGGGCCCCAACCCAGTAGGTCGACCCCCTGACATTATAGGATAGCCAAGGGCTTCTTTCTCAAGTCTGATGCTTGTGTGTTCATTTGGTAAAATTTAATTTATCAATTCATTTCTTATCTATTCCTGCTTAAATAAAAAAAAGAAAAGAAAACAAATAGAATCCAAGCGTCCTGAGTTCTAGTCCCTACTTTTCCTTCTACACATCACTGGGTTTAGTCTGTAGGAAAATGAGAACAGTGATATTCATGCTGTTGGAGGGCAGGAAGCTCAGCTAGTTTATCCTGGAAGCATCTCTTACATTTTAAAAGTGATGCTCCATAAAAGGAAGACAAAGTTTAATCATTGGAAACCTTGGATAATGAAAGGATCTGGTTAATATAATTTTATGGTTAACCTAGAAAATGGTTTGTTGAAACGATTGTCAGGATGTTTCAAAATGATATTAGTTCATATTGCCTTCGTGAGTGTGCATATGGCAGCTCATATTTTCCAAAGGTGGCTGCAACAATATTCTCCCATTCAGCGTGCTCTTCTACAACATGACCTTGTCATCCCTCACTGAGACACAGAGTCTAATTCTCCTGGCCTTGAACTAAATGCAGAAGTGATGCTGTGTGACTTCAGAGGCCAGATTAGAAAAGGCCAAGCAACTTCATCTGCTGCATCTGTGTCTCAATCTCGGGACACTCCAGCTACCACAGTGGGGAAACTCAGCGCCCTTGGAAAGGCCACATGTAGGTCAACAGTCAGCCCCAGATGAACCTAGCCCTTGGATCAACCGGCTTAGGTGCCACTCACATGAATAAAACAGCATTCAGATGGTTCTAGCCCCCAGGCATTTGAGTCTTCCTAGCCAAAGTGCCAAACACAGTGGAACAGAGGCACAGCATACCCAATGTGTCCTGTCTCAATTTCTGACCCACAGGATCTGTGGCATAATAAAGGGGTGGATGTTTTACTACACTAATTTAAGGGTGCTTTGTTATATACCAGGAGTAATGGAAAGAACACTCAATAAATGTGAGCTTTCTTCTTTCCTCCAGTCAAGACCCAGAGCTGCAGTTGAGCTTGGCTTGCTATAGTCCAACCATGATTGATTTTATTGATTTTTCATGTTCTTTTCTCTTGTGCTACAGTTCTTCTGTTTTCCCTCCAGATCCACTGTGCCCCCTTCTCTTCCCTGCCCTAAACCTCAAGAAGGTCATCCTGTGGATTGCTGTGGCTTCCCATGAGATTTGGGAAATGGAGGCACTATCTCTTTAACTGCTCCTCCCCCTTAATTCTTTAGGCCTAGGGATGGTAGCCTTATTCCCCTGACCCTTCACTGTTAATGGGCAGGGGCAGTAAATTACCTTTCTTAATTTCCCTAAACCCTACCCATACCTTTGAAAGTAGGCAAGGTCGTCAGCTTGACTGTTCCAGCTGTTCCCTGCTGGGTCCCTAACTGGTAATTTCTCCTTTGCAGTAAAAATCCTAAACTATTCATCTTCAGTGATACACTCATTAACTCTGAAAATCGATTGCTGAAATAAAATCTTTCTTTGACATAGGATATTGTAATATCTCTTGTGGAGGGGGTTCAAATCAGTCACCCTTTTAAGAGCAGTTATCATTATGTGACACTGCAAATGCAGGAAATACAACACATTCAGCTAAGTCTATGTGACCTTGATCTTTCCCTGGAAATTAAAGAAAGATAAATGATATTGGCTTTTTATTTGGCTTGCTATTTTTTCCCTTTCTCTTCTATACTAAATATAGTCCCAAAAGAAATTCCAGCTAATTAAGGATGCCAATCAATCAATATGTTGCCACAGCACTAAGTTAACTGTTTATCTGGAAGCACTTACTTCAAAAGACACAAAGTAGAAATCAGTTGCATTCCAAAATATATGAGAACTAAATTCAAAATGTTATTTCCAGATGATTCTGAATGCCTTTCCCCAGGTAGCAACCAGAATGTTGCCATGCAGCAGTACTTAGTAAATCTCATTGGATACTAGCAATGAAAAGTCAACTAAGTGCCTTTAAAAGAACGTCTTCCTGTACTCTAAACAGGAGTACTCATCTTGAATGAAAATTATGCCTCGATATAAGGAACAAGCAATGTTCCTTACGTCTAAAAGAAAATGACATAGCTCATCATATTCTCAATTCAATATCCAGATTGTAAAATCAAGGGAGTTTGTTATGGTTAATTAAATTTGATTCAAAAATTCAGTTTAGACAACTGAAAGACTTAGATAAAACAAGTGAAGACATAGCTTATTGTAATGACTTATGGTTAAAACTATAGTATTTCCTGTTATGTATAAACTTAAGATTAGATACTTAAGACAGTGAACATTTAATTACAGCATGTGAAAGTTTCAAGGCATTGTATACTCAATCTTTAAAATACTGTTAAGGTCTCTTTTTTAAAATAACCATTTAAGTGAGAATGATACCAGTACAAGTTAAATTGCACATTAGCACGTAAATTACAATCCTCCCCAAATTAGACATAACATTGATTTTAATAATAGAAAATGATAACAATTCTGTGACTCAATAAAGAGCTTGTCACTTACAATTCCCCTAAATAAGTAGCAAACATTAACTTCACAAGAAGAAGAGAAGTGTAGGAATTGTTTATCCGTCCGTCTCTCTTGTCAATGAGTCCATTCTTAGCCAACTTTCACTTTAGGTTCCCACTAAATATTTACCTTTTTTCTTTCTGGCTCTCTAGGTTTCTTCACCTGTTTTCATGCTCTATGAGTTCAGATCTACCCTTCATAATGAAGGCTCTGTCAAGGACAGCTTGGGTCTCATGACTATAGAAGCTCAAACACATTTAAGAGTGTGTGTGTGTGTGTGTGTGTGTGTGTGTGTGTGATCAACAATCACAACATCGACAGCACCATCAAAACTGGAACTGGTTTTGAATCCTGCTTTTAACATTTACTTACTGAGTAATCTTGGACAATCCTGCTAACCTTCTCAAGCCTCAATTTCCTTGTCCTCATCTTCAGGATGGCAAAAGATTATAGTATAGGGTTGTTGTGAGGACAAAATGATGTATGCATCCTCATATGCCCACGATGTACCCTAAGTCCTGGTACTATGCTGAATGCACATAGTAGGACCTTGAGAAAAGTTTTGTAACCTGAATCCAAAGCCTCTTTGTAACCCACTCATCCAATAGTGAATATTAACTCCCTCTAAAATTCTGCTTCCTGCACCTCATAAGATCAGGGTTGGCTTCACACTCTGAGGCTAGGGAATAAAGCGAACTCAACTCATCCAATTCAATGAAGCCGTAGTTTTCATACTTCTGTGATGTAAACTCCTTCCTACAAACAACTAGACCCTTGTTACACAATTCATTTTTATTTCCTAGCTCAAAAGAACATTGACATTGACTTCAATAACCACAAATATTGAATGTATATTAGATAATAAGATATTATTTTACTATCATCATTTGTTGAAACCTATACCTCTCACATCAGTAAAACTCCAAGCCACTACTTTTTCTCTCCCTGAAATGCCAATGAACTGTTACATAAGTTCATAAGTTGACTGTCATGATTACGGGTAACATAAGAATTTATATAAGAAATGCTTAAATAAGGTGCTTAAAGAATGTTTAATAGTCTTAGGTAGAAAAAGATTCTGCCCTATGAAGGAGATATTTTCAAAATTCACCACAATCAAGAGTATTCCTGCCTGATTATGACTCCCTTTCTGTGTCCAAGTCAGGGACCTCATTCACTTAAAGAAAATCAGAGGCCTACAATGCCTCACAGCTCTCATGGGTTAACAAGAAAAGCAGCCAGTCAGCATTCCACAGAGCACACCGAGCAAGGCAAAGCTCCACAGAAACCAACTGAGAAATTCCAGGCAACTGCATTATTAAAGAACAAAACTAAGGCCTTGAAATAAGGGCAGGATAAATCTCCGCTGGCCGCACAGGGTAAAAAATGGAACTAGGAAGGCTGGCTAAATAACAGACCATTAGATTAGCCACTCTGATTAAGGATTCTCATTTCTTCATTAGTGAACTACAACAGAAAGGTTATCAGACCTCCACTGTATATTACTAGTAGATTATTTTATATATTTATGCATTTAGTAAACTATATGATCCTCATTCTAGAGTATCCATCTCTCAATTCCAATAATTTAATTCCATTGAAATCATCTGAATTCGTCCTCCTATTATCTTTATGAAGTCCTACATTATGACAGATCAATATCTGAACTTGGTTGATCCTACCTGACCATTATGGTGGACAAAGTCAGATGGATTAGCACCAAGATGAGTGCACTTTGAAAATGTTAAATAAGTATCTGACTCTGAGTTTCCAAAGAAGTGTATTCTGCTTTCTAAATATCAGTATATGGTCACAAATCAGGGTTATAGCGGAATAGGTGCTTCTATTTATGAATCTCGTGCTTTACCAAGGATATGTGGACATTATCTCAAGCATGGTTACACTGAGCTTCAGTAGGAATACTATTGGATAAATCCTGTAGGAACTAGTTTCAGTAAACAGAAGTATCTGCTCCACGCTAATTTATTTCCAATGAATGTGATCTAGTTTATAATTCAGTTTAGAACAGTCAAACAATCTCCAGGAACTTTGTAGGCATGGTCTTTGCAGTTTTCAATATTTGCTTTTCCTACCAGCACATGACATTTTTTGAACAAAGGGAGAATGACTTAACTCCAGAGAGAATTTACCCAGGAGATAAAGGAAAAGGAGAAGCCCAGGGTAGGGCAGAAGTGTTCTCTCTTTTGTGTAGGCCACTGTTGTACCTACAGGCCCCAAAACGCAGAATCAAGATCACTGAGCACAAAAATGGCAAAGGTCACGTTCAGAAGTGAGGAGCTATTTTCCAGCAGTAGGGCCATTCCAGGACACAGGAAATTTTGGTTAGACGCTATTATGACTGACAGAACTCTGCAGTACTAAGGCTGCAATGAGGCAAAAAGGTGGCTTTTGCATCTCTCTAAAAGTGATCCTGAGCTTTTGCCCAAATATTTTCTTATAAGGAGTCCTGAAGCTTCCTGTGGAGATGAATATCTGTGTCAAGCCATTTCTGCAGATGTTTCTTCACAGATAATCTATTGGCTGAACTTTCATTGGTGATCTTTTGATGGGTGACTCAGATAAATTACTTTCATTAAGCCTTCCGTAATGCATGGTAATTCTTTTCCAAGTTTCCTGAGGAGTAGTCAGTCCTAAATTCCCCTAAAGTCAGAGCGTCACTCTCCATGGTAAGGCAGAAGTAAAAGCAAATGCCGCTGAGGGGAGAGAAGAACAGACACTGGCTTGGAGACAAAGCTGTCACTGGTGTTCTCTGAGAGTGCCCTTTACCTCTGAGCACTAAACTGTGGAAAGTCGGCTGGCTCTCATACCAGTGAGCTCAGTTTAGACTATTGTCTTGCCAGTTTTTCACATGGATCTCTGATCTAGAACAAAGGTAATATTTTAAAAATTCAAAATAAGAAAACAACATCTTAGTGAATTTATGCTTACTTTGTTCCAAATGTGTAACAGTAATATATCACATATAAACACGTAAACAAAATTAGATTATAAAATACAAAAAATAAGGCACCACACTCAAATGTAGTCAAACAGCCCTGCAAAATACTGAGCAGAACTTAAGTGAAGTGCTTAACTTAAGCAGAGCTCTGTCAGGCTCCTGGCCTTGTTAGTGTCTTACTACCTTCTTAGGCCTAGAACTCATCAAGAGTGAATGCAGTTAATATAAGTATAAATTTATATCATATTAAGTAAACTGTAACCAAGGAACGCCAGTACAGCTCAGTAACAGAAAATCTATTCATGGAGTAACCAAATTAGCATATTAATAGATATAAAACAAGATCATCTCAGAAGATACAGAAAAATATCAGATTCAACACTCGTTTATAATGAAAGATGTCATAAACTAGGAATAGAAGAAAATTTATTTTCCCTGATAAAAATCATCTGAAGGAGCAGGAATGAAGTGGGCAGATCACCTGAGGTCAGGAGTTCGAGACCAGCCTGGCCAACATGGCGAAACCCCGTATCTACTAAAATTACAAAATTAGCTGGGTGTGGTGGCGCATGCCTGTAATCCCAGCTACTGGGCAGGCTGAGGCAGGAGAATCACTTGAACCTGGGAGGTGGAGGTTGCAGTGAGCGGAAATTACGCCACTGCACTCTAGCTTGGGCAAAAAGACCAAAACTCCATCTCAAAATTAAAAAAAAAGAAAAGAAAAGAAAAGAAAGAACAACCCCCCACCACCCCCCTACTTAGCACAATCACTCTTGAAGAGTTTTAGGCCTGGGAAGTTAGCAAGACAAGAATTCAATTTCTAATCAAGAGCTCAGCCGACCTACCTGCTGGCTCCATCACTTTATCCGGTATATTGTCAATGTCACCATGAGACAACAGTTCTAAACAATCATGACAAATCCTGGTCCTGAAATGAGGCTCTGCAGTGTGGTCAAGTAAAACTGCAAAAGTATTAGAAAGGGTGGGGTGCATACAGACAGAAGATGGGAGAAAAGAGGCAGGAGAGAGAAAAAAGAAAAAGCCACTAAAAGGAAATTACACTCTAATCAAACCTGTAAATTATAATTCCAAAATACATTTAGAGAAATCTAATGCTAAGACAAGCTACAAAGTAATTAGAATAGGAATCCACTCTGGGTGAAATAAATTTGATAGGGCACTCTGATAAGCTTTAAAATAAGCATGTTACTGCCTTTGGGCATTTTAATTAGACATATATAAAAATAAACTCTTCTTCAGACCTGTTTCTTGTTATATGTTCTTTGTCGCAGTGAATGATACCACCATTTGGCTACTTACCCAACGGAGCACAGAGAGTGTTACCTTTCAGTCTTCCCTATGCTCAAATCACTGTCCACTAATAGATAAATGGAATCAACCACTGAGCCGAGTCTAGCCTATTTCCTAAAGAGCTCCACATTTGTACAATTTTTCCATCTATGTCACTTTAATTTCAGTTCTAGCCACTGTATTATTTCCCTTGACTGCTGCAAAAACTTTGGATATCTTCTCCTTACCTCTTGCATTTTTCTCCCACACAGAAATAAAATGTTGAGGATGTTCAAATAAATTTAAAAAAGATATAATTTCTATTAGTTGAGCATAATAAATTGTAAAAATGGAAGAAACAAGAATAGATACATATAAAAATGACAACTGGAAAACTTAGGAAAATATAGTCATTGAAATAAAAAATGCTGTGGTGAGGGTAAATTCTAGATAGGACACAGTTGAAGAGTAAGTGAGTGATGTTGAATAAAGTTCTGAGGAACTCAGAGTTCAGTTTGAAAGGAAAAAATACTTGAAACATATAAAAAGCATTTAAGATGTATACAGAGTAAATCGAGAAGTTTCAGCATTCATGTAATAGGAGTCACAGAACAGAGAATAAAGAGGATAATCAATGAGTAGTATTTAAATAGATAATTACTAATAATTTTCTGGCACTGCTTTTTAACAATTACATTTTACATATATTCATTCGTTTAATTCTCATACCAACCATACAAAATTTCTCACATTTATAGATGAAGAAATTGAAGCACAAATAAGTTATACAAAGTTATATAGTTGATAGCTGGTTAAGCTGGGATTTAAATCTGAACAGTCTGGTTCCAGAGGCCACAATCCTCTCTTTTTTTTGAGATGGAGTCTCACTCTGTTGCCCAGCCTGGAATGCAGAGGTGCAATCTCGACTCATTGCAACCTCTGCCTCCCCGGTTCAAGCAAATCTCCTCCCTCAGCCTCCCAAGTAGCTGGGACTACAGGCACACATCACCACGCCTGGCTAATTTTTGTATTTTTTGTAGAGATGAGGTTTCACCATGTTGGCCAGGCTGGTCTCAAACTCCTGACCTCAGGTGATCTGCCTGCCTCGTCCTCCCAAAGTGTTGGGATTACAGGCGTGAGCCACTGCGCCCATCCCAGAGGCTACAATCTTAATGAACTACCATGACATACTAATAGGACTATTTATTACTTAAGAATGAGAAAGAGAGCCATGGGACCAGGGAAGATTTTATACAATTGCAGGAGACACTTACTTGAATGCTTCTCTATCTTAAAGGAAAATAGTAGCCAGTCAACAGGAAGAAAGAATAATATAAATGAATGAGAAAATAAGGAGTACCTATTGACCCATATGGTCAAGAAGTGTGAAGAAACTGTAAGGATGAGTTGCCTTCATGCACAGACCACTGCGTGCCCACTCTAGCCACTTGATCTGCAGACAACTTACCTTTGAATGCATTCGTGAGTCCTATGTGAGGACAGAAGAATGAAGAAAAATCTCCCCCACCTAACCAAAGTAGGACTGACTAGAATCTGTGGAGAAATTTCTCTGGAAGCAAGAACAGCAATGGACACAAACCATTGTTATTCTTATTTTATATAAAGTTGCAGAGAAAAAAGAGGAAAAATAACCCAACTCATTTATGAGCCTTCTATAACTTTGATACCCAGCTGAACAAGGAGAGTGCTGGAAGGGAATATTAAAGATAGATCTCATTCATGAATGTAGATGCAAAAGTCCTAAGTGAAATATTAGCAAACAGAACTCAACAGTGTATATAATACATGTATGAATTTATACCACATTAAGTAAGCTTTGTCAAAGGAATGCCAGTACAGTTCAATAACAGAAAATCTATTCATGAAATAACCAACTCTTTTAGAATATTAATGGAGAAAAACTATATGATCATCTCAGTAGATGCAAAAAAAATTAAACAGATTCAACACTCATTTATAATAAGGTAATAAGCCAGGAATAGAAGAAATTTTTTTTTCACCGATAAGGATCATCTGAAGCATTCTTATCAAAGTCAGCAGAAAGGCATACATATCTCTTATTGTCTATTGGGATCTATTCCATTCAGCACTCTGTGACAGGCCCAATGCAATGCAATGCAATGCAATGCAATGACTTCAAAAAACAAAAAGTGAAACATCTGGAAAGGAGATAAAAATGTTCTCATTACTGAAACAAAAATTCAAAAAATTCTACAGACAAACAGAACTAATAATAGAGTTCAGCAAGGTTGCCGGATACAAAATTAAAACATAAAAATCAAGAGCATTCCTATGTATCTCTAAGGAGAAAATAATTCTTAAAGAATCCCGAAGACCTGAATAGAGAGATCTATTGTATTCATACCTTGGCTATTCAGGCTCTTTTTTGGTTCCATATGAATTTTACAATAGTTTTTTTCTAGTTCCGTGAAGAATCTAAATGGTAGTTTAATAGTAATAGCATTGAATCTGTAAATTGCTTTGGGCTGTATGGCCGTTTTAATGATATTGATGATTCCTTTCCATGAGCATGGAATGTTTTTCCATTTTTTGTGTGTTATCTCTGATTTCTTTGAGCAGTGTTTTGTGGTTCTCCTTGTAGAGATCTTTCACCTCCCTAGTTAGCCGTATGTATTCAGACCCAGGAAAACTCAGTTTTAAAGGTATCAATCCTCACATAAGTAACATACAAATTGATCACAATTCCAGTAAGGATTTTCTTGGAGTTTTACAAACTGATAAATAAGCAAAGGCCAGGAATAGATAAGAAGATTTTTAAAGAGAAAGAACTAGATAAGGAATTTTAATACTAACACATATATAAAGCTGCAAAAATTAGAGAACTAGATCAATGCAACAGAATAGGAGCTGGGAAATAGACCCACACCTATAAGCAAATTGGATAAATGCCAGTGAAAGAGCTTCCAGATGGCTGAACACATGGAAGTTCCTGGAGGGTGGAGCACCCAGAGGGGGCATGGAAGCTCTATCACCTTTCCACACACTTTGCCCTATGCATCTCTTCATCTGTTTCCTTTGTAACATTCTTTAGAATAAACCAGTAAGTAGCACTGTGCCACACCTGGGAAGGAGGAAAGACACACAAAAAGCATCAAGCACAGAACCTGTCATCCAGGAGTTTACAATCTGGCAAAGGAGATAAGACGTGCACACAAATATTATAATTAAAATTACAAGTCGGCAAATAATCAGAGGTAGATGAAGACAGAGTTCGATCATTTTAACAATAGAATTCTGTGCTTTAAAAACCAAGCTAATAAGATTTTAATGACTACAATTCCTAAAAAGTTGGGTCTTTTTACAGATGTGCTTACAAAACTGGATGGAAAAAGGAAAACAGAAGAGAATCATCACTTATCACGCTTAGAGTTCTCACAGATGGGATACAGTGAGTTTGTTGAGATGCAGTTCCTTTGACTCTCTGATAGTGGCAAAGCATCACACAGCTGCCCCAGAGAAGCCACAATGAACCCACCTTTTCACGTGCAACTGCAGGAACAAGAGGAAAGAAAACCAGTTCCACCCAGAGGTACAGACAAAGAAAAGCACCCTCCCAAGGAGCCTGAATGGTAAGTGACCATGGAGAGCATCACTCGGTCAGAAAGGCAGGTGAGTTATTAGCTTAGTCCCGGCCCTCCTATTTAATGCAGGACAGTGGTGATGTTTAACAAACCCTGGCTGTGGTGATAAGCCTCGGATCTGATGGAGGAAATCCAATTGAAAAGCAGCCAAGGGAAACAAGAAGCTAGAAACAGATGTTCCAGCTACTAGGATGCGCGCATATTTAACCTGAATTACATGTAGGTGGGGTGGGATGAGAGCATTCATTTCTAAGTACTGTCTAGAGATTTCACTTCCTCCCCCATACAGATATTGTCAAGTGCAGTTATAGCCATCCACATTAGTTTTGTCAAATTCTCAGCAATTTCTTTAAAATAAGGTATTAAAATAATAACAGCTTTAAAAGTGCCAACAAGGAGGGGTTGTCATATTAAATAAATGTGGTTGGAATAATTGATTATTCCTAAGGAAACTGGATTCCTACTTTACACCTCACACAAAAAATAAGTTTAGGTGGGTTAAACTCCCTATGTGAAATTCAAAATCTAAAACTTTTAGAAGAAAATATAGGATCATATCTACATATAGGATAGAAAAGTATTTTTAGTTAAGACACCGAAAGCACAAACTTTAAAGGGAAAACACACAAAATTCATTATATTAAAAATTTAACTTTTTTTTTTTTTTTTTTTGGAGAGAGGTTCTCACTCTGTTGCCCAGGCTGGAGTGCAGTGGCAGGATCTTGGCTCACTGCAGCCTCAACCTCCTGGGCTCAAGTAATCCTCATGCCTCAGCCCCCACAGTAGCTGGGACTACAGGCGCCCACCACCACCACACCTGGCTAAGTTTTGTATTTGTTGTAGAGACAGAGTTTCACCATGTTGTCCAGGCTGATCTCAAAATCCTGGGCACAAGTGACTTCCTGCCTCACAAAGTGTAATATTTCTACTTAATATGAGTTCTGCTTAATGTAAATAAGTCAACGTAAACAAAGTTTAAAAGACAAGGCAAAGACTAGAACAGAGACTTGCAACATTTTTGGTTCATATTGCCCTTCATGTTTCAGTCATTTTTCTTGTGGCCTCTATGCAAAATAAAACATTTAACAGTTCCATTCATTAAATAATTCAGTCTTAATAAAGATTTATGGTCCAACAACTTAGTAGCCATCTGAAAAAATAATACATATAAATTGAAAAACAGGCCAGGCATGGTGGCTCATGCCTGTAATTGCAGCACTTTGGGAGGCCAAAGTGGGCGGATCACCTGAGGTCAGGAGCTCGAGACCCGCCTGACCAACATGGAGAAACCCCGTCTCTACTAAAAATACAAAATTAGCCAGGCATGGTGGCGCATGCCTGTAATCCCAGCTACTCGGGAGGCTGAGACAAGAGAGAATCACTTGAACCTGGGAGGTGGAGGTTGCGGTGAGCCGAGATTGAGCCATTGTGCTCCAGCCTGTTCAACAAGAATGAAACTCTGTCTCAAACAAACGAACAACAACAGCAACAACAAAAAAGAAAAACAAAATAGTATTTTTGTTTCATTTTAAATTGACTTGATGAGGTGTGTGCCTCTATTGGATACTGTACAACTTTTCAAATCTTGGAATGAGACACCATATTTCCGGTTTCACATCGATTTTCAGGAGGTACTTGATTTTTTAATCACAGCAACCACTGAAAAACCAGTTTCACAAACATAGAATGTCATTGAAAAGAATGTAGTATGACCTAACCTTGAACTACCTCGAGCAGGTAGTAGACACATGATGTCCAAGAAATGTTAACTCCTGCTGTGTTTCCCTTTAACATTTCATTGTTTCCCTGGAAAATTTAAAATATTCCACGGCACCCTATGAGTTCACAGATTTACTCCTATGATATGGAGACTGTATGACCTAGGCATTTTACTTTTAGGTAGACATATTAAAGAAGCCCAAATACGGAGGTAATGAGGGAATAATCATAAGGCATTCATTACAGAATTGCAGAAATATTTATAGCTGCAAAATAGTAGCATGTATAAATAAATCATGATATATTCACGGAACGGAATAGTACACAACCCTTAAAATAAATGTATGAGAGACTGGGCACAGTGGCTCATGCCTGTAATTCCAGCACTTTGGGAGGCTGAGGCAGGTGGATCACTTGAGGTTGGGAGTTTGAGACCAGCCTGGCCAACATGGTGAAACCCTGTCTCTACTAAAAATACAAAAATTAGCTGGATGTGATGGTGCATGCCTGTAATCTCAGCTACTCAGGAGGCTGAGGCAAGAGATCGCTCGAACCCAGAGGTAGAAGTTTCAGTGAGCCAAGATCGTGCCATCCCACTCCAGCCTGGGTGACAGAAAAAAAAAGTACTAGAGCTACTTTAATCAATGTGGATTTACCTCAAAAGCATAATGTTGAGGGAAAAAAAAGACAAAGCATGGTATAGTGCATATGATACTATTTGCAGAAAGCTTAAATGCCTGAGAAACAATCCTATATAATGTGTATGGCTATACATATGCATAGTAAAAGTATTTAACCATATACATGAGAATAATAAACACTAGTTTCACGACCCTAGTTAACCCTGGGGAAAAAGTGAAGGAAGTGGATGTGGAATGCGCTTCTTGATTGTAGCTGTGGGACTTTTTTTTTTTTTGTCTTTAATAGTAAAGATTGAAACAAAATGGTAAGAGCAATAAAGCTGAGTGGTTAGTACAAAGGAATTTGTTACTACATTCTCTATTTTGCTAATATGTTTGAAATGTTTCTCAGTAAAACGAAAATAACACAATAATTAAAAAAATAAAATGATTGCTGCCACCTATTTGTAACCCATTTACTATGGAAATCAATTTGGCAATAAGTTAATATTATCTGGTAATTTGGTATAAGTCAATTATCAGAATATTTATATTCTTTGAACCTAGAAATTTCACACAGAAATTAAAACTGAGGAGACCATTTTTTTACACAGGTCCCTAAATGCTCATCAGAAGAACAGCAATAAGGAATTGGTTAAGGAAATTTTACTTTATCTTTTCAGCAAATTAAATGCATCCTTAAAATTGATAGCTATGAAGATTATCTAACACATGAAAAAGTATCCGTATTGTGATAAGTGAAAATATGTGTGTAATGTACATAAATGCATCCATATACACACACCTATATACATCTATGATTAGAAAAAAATGCACTGAAAGGAAAGAAAAGCAAAGTAGCAAAAGTGCATGTGTTAGAGTGGTGACAATTTTTCATGTTTCAGTAATGTGTTTAACTTACTTTTACAGTGTAGAAAGTTTTAGCCTAAATAAAATAAAAATCCATCACTGAATGATTCAGTGTTTCAGGCAACCTTCCAATGTTACATTTAGCAATGTGTGTCCTGTGTGAATAATAGCATTTCATTCTCTATGTTTGAGAGTATTACAGTAGATATGCTGCTGTCTTTCTCCTTTGCCAGAGTAAGATTCGCCCTCACTCAAACAAACAGTGTGGCTGAAGTTCAGGTGAGCATGTGAGCATTGTGATCTTTCCCATTAAGGCTTAGTAATCAGAGTGACATTTACCTAGGTAGGTGGAAGTGCTGCTGAAGGCTTAGGCTGTAACAAAACCAAATGTCTGATTTACATCTGGTGAGAATGTCCAATTTCCTAGCTGACTTCAGATGTCTTTTTATGATCACTGCACACATCAGCCACTTATCTCTTGATTCCTGATGTTCTGAAATATTGTGTGTGTGATGCAAAGGGTCCATTCTATCTTGAAACAGAAGTGAGTGGAGGATGTTCTCTTGTTTCTTTCAGGAGTCCCTGCCATCAGCACTGGCTGTTTCATTCCATGGTGCCCTGAGACAAATGACTTAGAGCTTAAACTTGTACTTCATAGAAAGATGAGAACAAAGGGGATGACAAATCAACAAAGTATTTATATCTATAGTCACAATGACTTCATTTTCCTCCTGTTGCTCCTCAAGGGAAATTTTTTTCACCCACTTATTTTCTGCTTAAATTGCCTTCACCTAACTCCAAGCCCAGTCCCCGACCCTGAGCAGTGGTGGGCAGTATGTTTGGAAATGCTAGAGGCAGTGGTAGGAATGGCAGGACTGACTCTCCTATCAACACCACTCATGGCTGCTGCCACAGACTGCACCTTTGACCTTGATAGATTTCCAGAGGGTTAGTTAGCATTGTTAAATATCACATAATTTAATTTTATTCTTATGAATTCTAAAAGCTAACCTTGGCTTTCTGTGCTGAAATGGGGAAAGAAAGAAGTTGATAATACAAAAATTGTTTATAAGGTTGATGGTGCACAACTCTCAGGGGTGGGAAAGCCAGTGCAGGTGCTGCAGAGACCTGGTATGTGAGAGGGAAGCCTGTGGGAGAGTAGGCCATGGTCTTCTGCTCCATTCACTTGCTTCAGTTTTCTTCCCTTTTGCTACATCACCAATTCTGGCACATCACTCTGCAGCTGTCCTAGTTTTGCAGGTTGCAGTTACAGCCTAGAGGCAAGAAGTTTCAGAACAGACTTGGACGTGACCCAAAGGAGAAAGAGAGGTAGAGGCTTTTGCATATGGCAATATTACTAAAGCCCCCTAAATGAGTGATATAGCCCCAAGTATTCAGCAGGCCCTGACCCCTGCCTTCACAGGGCTTGGGAAAGTTCATCCAGCACTGCAGCAGAGATTCCATGCTCCTCAAATGTCCACGTACCCCTCCATAATTGCCAGCCTCCCTTTGCAGTTAGATGGTGCCCATGTGACTAACGCCAACCAACGAGATGTGAGTGGAAGTGACTTGCAGCACTTCCAGGCCAAGGCTGTCAACAGAGCCAGGGTGCCTCTCCCATCTTTCTTTCCTTACGGGGCAAGCTGGAAGCCATGTGTTTTGTATGTCTTATGTAGGAAATGAAGCAGAGTCTTCTAACCTGCTTCAGGCATACAGTGGGTTAAAAATCAACCTTCATTGTGTTGAATTACTAAGATTTCAATTTTTTTGTTCTTGTGGCAGAACTTATCCCATCCTGACTAGTACATGGCAGCAAGTGAATCTCTCCAGTGCTTGATTTTGTGAGAGTAAGCTACTCCTCTGCTATATGTATAAAAATGAATAAACAGGAGATGGAGAAAGAGCACTGGGTTAGGAATCAGAAGAGCTGGTTGTGGTTTGAATTTGGCCATGATTTATGGTACACATTTGAGGAGTTGTTCCACTTTTGTGGTCTTCAGGTTCTCAACCAGAGCATTGGTTGTTAATGCTTTTTGTTTGACACGTAATGAAACATTCAAACAAAGGTTTTACTGAAAACTTTTATCAACTTTTTTATCAGCTCTATAAAAGGCCAGTATATAGAGCTGATAAAAGAAAAACTGCCTCTCTTCAAACCATGCCCATGTTCACTGTCCGCAGAGGCCCCTGGCCATCTCAGTGGAGCCCTGCAGATCCATGGGCAGAGAGCACAAAGCAAATCACTGGTGTAATCACCTCTACAAACTGCTCTGAGGCTGGCATGGCTTCATAGTGAGAGCAGCTGTTTCTCACCTGTCCCGCAGGTCACACTGCACTCTGTCCAGTGGCCGTACTGCCAGAAGTACATCTGCTGCTCAACATCATTGTCAAGGCCATCTTTCTGGATTGTGTACTCATACTTGATGCCAGGGTTAGTCACCTGGAATAGAAGCTAAAAGGCAAGAGAGGGGTCATGTCAAACTGTCATGACTTTATACCATAAGCCAGTCATGTAAAAACACCACAAAATGTCAGTCATCTAAAATTAGTAATGGGAGCATGCATTGGAATAAAGCCATTAAATAGATCTATACCTATGTCTGTGCCTATGTCTATACCTATGTCTGTGTCTAAGTTCATATCTATATATCTACATCTACCTCTATAGCTATATATTTTCCATCTAATTAGTTCTTGGCTGGATTCCCATGGGAATTTCAGTTCACATAAATGAGGAGATCAAATCATATGGGGAGTACTCTGTGGAAATGGCAAGGAGTATCCTTTCCAACAATAGGCCGATAGGTTACTTTGTGTTCTTATGCACTTACCAGCTTTGTGAATATAGGTAAGTGCCACAGTTTGCCCATATACAAAGTGGGGATAATAAATAGTGCCTATTTGTAGGATTGTTGTGAGGGTTAAATGAGTAAACACATGGAAAGTGGTTAGAACAGTGGCTCAGCGAATGTTAACTTGTATTATGTTTGTTATTGTTGTCTTACGATGGCTTTCCCTACCTCTCAGGCTACTCAGTATCTTTAACAAATAGTAGTTCTGAGCTAACAATGGTCATGGACTTTAACTTAGGTATGCTGCTCTTGGGATCTTCCCCTTACTTCCCTCTCATGCAGGCAATCTACTTATCACATGTTTAAAATTGATTCACCTTAAACATAGAGGCATTGGATTGGTTGCTCCCTGGGACTGGGGATTCCCATGTGTTAATCCTTGCCTGTGTCAGAAGCAAAGTCTCCCGACACTCATGGATCACAACTGCCACGCTTGACCTTCAGCTTCTGTGAGTGCTCTGATCTCTGGCTCGAAAAGGATGTCTCTCTAACTTTAGACTGTGGCTGGATCTAACTCCTTGGCCATCTCTCATCCTCAATCTGCCTTGCTGCTATCGGTATATTCATTCCACTCCTTTTCTACAGTTCTGTGCCCAATATGAAAGATAAATTTCTTGGACCTTTGAAGAGCACATGTTGTATTCTAACTCCTCCTTCCAGCAAGAATTTCACAAAGCCAAATGCTTTGCTTGAGGACAACACAGAGTAACATGTCACTTTATCCCCACTGTTGGAAAGCTACTTGGAAACCCGTGCCACAATGACAATAGACTTCAGGAACAATCACCCTCAATTAAATCAGCCCAGAAGCTGAACTCAAACCTCCCAGTGGGTGGTTTTAAAGCACCTTGCATTTTGTTATGGGGGTTTCAGCAATATCTAGGCAATAAAGGATTAACAGCACAAACTAATATCTCATTCCCCTCCCTGCTCCTTGCTAAAAGAGGTTTTAAAGATTCTGACTTAATGTCCCCTAGCAAGTACCTTGGGGAAAAAGGAGAAGTATTCTAACTAGCACACATGTCAGCAGTTTCCCTCCTTTCTGCATTACCTGGATCCACACAGACTCATTGGTGGGACCTGTGGCCATCAGCTTTTCCAGGTCTCCTTTCCTGTCATACTGAAAGACAGTCCCTGCCAGCTTATAGTTCCCGTTCCACTGGATAATAAACCCTCCATTCAGGTAATATTTTTCAGGATCTTCACTCCTGATGGCCAGGAAGTTTCCAGCTCCCTCAATTTCCATCACTCTTATGTCCCTTGCTCCTTTTGGAATGAGCCCAATGTCAACATAACCTAAAGAGAGAAGACACAATCATGAAAGAGGCACGCCAGCTTCTCAGCTGAATGCAATCTGTTTGTGACCCACTGTTAATCCTCTTTCCAGCCTCCCCATCATTTAGTGACCTTGCTGGGTGGCCACTGGAATTGGCAGAAGCACTACTTATGGGGGATTTTCGAGAACTTGGACACGAACAGAATTCTCAGGAGTTTTGTGACTCAATATGTGCCCAGTTTTGTAAGGAGAGGTGAAATAAGAGCAGATTGGACTCTGAAGCTTTTGTGGTTGATCTAGCATTTATTTTTCTGTAATTTTATGTTGATACTTCAAAACCCTAAAGCTCCTTGCTAGCTTCCTGCTAGTATCTCTGCTTCCCCCTTTGTTGCTACTATTACATTAGACTTCCTGAACATTGCATTGGATACATACTTTTCCTCACCCCCCTTGCCAGCAGGTTAAAGACAGACTCTTAGAAGTAATGTAATCCTAGCTTCCATTCATTAAGAAAATCCTGGAGGGAATCTCAGATTGTTTGCCACCTGGCTATCTTGAATACAGCCTATGATGAGGAACTCAACTCTGAGTACAGCCTTTTATACTGTTGGACGATTCTATTCATTAGAAAGTTTTCTTTCTCATTTTTTCTTTTATATATCACTGAAATAGGAACTTATAATTTATTCTCTTGTGTTCTAATTCAGCCTTCTGAAAAAGCATCATAGGTTGACATTTACTTAAAGATAACAATCAACTCCAGCCACAGTCTTATTATTCCTGTTTAATGGTCATTATGGTAAGAGGCATACTGGTGAAAAAATTAACACTTAATGGTTGCCAGTGTTTGCCAAGCTCTATGCTAAACATTTTATGCATTCACTTTCTTTATGATTCTTGAGAACCATTCCCTAATAAAATGGAAAGAACATGGACTTGGAGGTTGGCATTGCGAAAGGAATTCTGGGGCAATGGGAGTTGAAAGACTTGCATTCTAGTCTCTGCGTTTCTGCAAATCAGCTCTATGAGTTTCATTGATTCATCTAACTTCTTTGAATCTCATTGCACAGAAGGGGATTGAATGATGACGTCTGCGGTCCCTCTCAGCTCTAATAGTGAGTGATTTTTCTCTTTTGCAAGTTAACTATTCTTTGTTCTTTCAACTTTTTTTTTTTTTTAAATATAAAATACAGTTTTAAGACATTGATGATCTTGGTTATTTTTCCACTGGATATGCACTACGTTATTTGGTCTGATGAGCAAGCCCTTCCTCTTTGTCACCTGAAAGTGCCTCAATTTCTTCATCTTCCTCTGGCGCTAAAGAAGTATGGGGTCCTAGGGGTCAAACTGTGGCCTGTCCAGCAAGAATAATTTGCTCTGAAACTGGATACAGATCACAACCTCTGCCTCATTTTTCAAATTGGCAGCTCTCATCCAGAGGAACAAAAATGTGGTTTGCGTAGTATTTAATTAAGTTCCATTTGGCTCTCAAACACTTGCCTAGAACAGCTGATTAAAACCACTAATGTATGACCACCTCCGGGAAGATATTGATCACATGTAATCGAGGCTAATGGTTTTAAAAAATAAATGCCCTCCGAGTGTTGCTATCTGCAGTCATTTTCATACTTAGGATGTTGCATGCCTTTTCATATCAGAGCTCATGCAGGTAAATGAACTGGTATGAAATACTGTGTCTACCACCTTGCTCCTTGCTTTTAAAAAATAAAAACCTAAATAGAAAAAAAAAACAATAAATAACAGTGTTTGCTTTTTATTCTTCCACTTAAGAGAGAAAATCCAAAACTAGAAATATTTATTATGGGTAGATTGAAAGAGGCATATTTAACTTACTGCTTCTGAATAGCTTGTAGATAAAAGAAGGACCAGTAAGAATAGCTCCAAAGTACAAGTGGCCCTTAAACAACACAGGGGTTAGGGCACTGAGCCCCTACGCAAGTAAAAATATTTGTGTATAATTTTTGACTATCTCCAAACTTAACAACTTGACCAGAAGCTCTACCAATAACATCAACAGTCCACTAATACATATTTTTTGTGTTATATGCATTATATATTGAATTCTTATGATAAAGTAAGCTAGAGAAAATAAAATGTTAAGAAATTCATGATGAAATGTATTTACTATTCATTAAGCAGAAGTGGATCCTCATAAAGACCTTCATCCTTGTTGTCTTCATGTTGAGTAGGCTGAGGAGGAAAACGAAGAGGAGGGGTTGATTTTTCTCTCAGGTAGAAGAGGTGGAGGAAGTGGAGATGGAGGAAGAGAGGCAGACACATTCAGTGAAACTTTGCAGAAATTCATTGCAATTTCTGTCTGACATTTTGCTTTTTCATTTCTCTAAAAGTGTTCTATATGGTACTAATCCTTCTTCCACCATTTGCTTTAGTTTCAGTGTCTGTATCACAGAAGAGTCCATGTCATATAAGAAATCAAAAGCAGTCTTGAGTAATCAGAACCCTTCTGTTAGACTGTCCAATGTCTATTTGTTTTCTGGCACTGTTTCTTCTCCATCTTCTTTCTGGGACAGTCGTCTGGTCCTGGTTCGGAAGCACTCTCTTCATCAATTTGTCTTCTGTTAATTCCCCTGGTGTGGTGTCTAGCAACTCTTGAATTTCTCCAAAATCCATATCTTGAAACCCTTCACCCCTGCCTTTCTCACATATTCACAATCTCTTTCACGATTTCCTTGATTGTCTCTGTTACAAGTTCTGTGAAGCCATCCACAACATTGGGACACAGTTTTCTCCAGCAGAAATTTACTCTTGGGCTTGATGGCTTTCATGGCATTTTCTAGGACAATGGCATCTTCAACGTTGTAATCCTTCCAGACTTTCATGACGTTTCTGTCAGCGTTCTCTTCCATAATGTTGACACTCCTTTCCAAAGAGTATTGGGTGTAATGAGCATAAAAGATCCTTATGACCCTCTGGTCTAGAGGCTGAATTAGAGACATTTTGTTTCTGGGCAAGTAGGTCACTTTGATGCCTTTGGTGCTGAGTTCATGGGTAGCCAGGGGCATTGTTCAATATCAAAAGAACTTCAAAAGGCAGTTCCTTACTGGCAAGGTACTTCCTGACTTTATGGACAAAGCATCAATGCATCCAATTCAGAAGAAGCATTCTCATTGTCCAGGCCTTCTCCTTGTACAACCAAAAGACTGGCAGCTTGTGTTTATCTTTTCCCTTCAAGGCTGTTACGTTAGCTCCTTTACAGATCATAAACCAGACTGTATTTGCATAAAACAATAGAGGTAGCCTATTCCTTCCTGCCTTAAATCTGGTATTCGTTTATCTTCTTTACTAGTAAAAGTCCTTTTTAGCATTTTTGCCCCACAATAGGGCACTTTCATCCACATTAAAAATCTGTTTAGGCAGATTTTTTTCTCTTCAAGGATTTTCTTAATGGCAGCTGGAGACTCATCTGATGTCTCTTGCAGAAGCTGCTTCTCCTGTTATCTTGACACTTTTAAAACCAAACCTCTTTCAAAAATTATCAAATCATACCTTACAGGTATTAAATTATCCAGCTTTAGGTCCCTCTCCTTCCTTTTGCTTTAAGTTGTCATATAATAACTTTGCTATGTATGTATGCATGTATGTATGTATGTATATATTTATTTATTTATTAATTTTTTTTGAGATGGAGTCTCGCTCTGTCACCAGGCTGGAGTGCAGTGGTGCGATCTGGGCTCACTGCAACCTCCGCCTCTTGGGTTCAAGCGATTCTCCTGCCTCAGCCTCCTGAGTAGCTGGGACTACCAGCGCGTGCCACCACACGCAGCTAATTTTTGTACTTTTAGTAGAGACAGGGTTTCACCACGTTGGCCAGGATGGTCTCGATCTCTTGACCTCGTGATCTGCCCTCCTCGGCCTCCCAAAGTGTTGGGATTACAGGCGTGAGCCACTGCATCCGGCCAATGACTTTGCTTTATGCTGAATCATATCAGAGTCTATAGGTATGGTATGCCTTTCCTATAGCAGTCCTGCACCGATGTGAAAGCTACATGAAAGATAAAAAGTTTCACAAAAAGTGCAAGGTCTTTGTACCTGCTGGCATAGCTGTAGTGATGGCTTTACAAATTTCCTTTTCTACACTAGATTCATTTATCTTGAAGTAGCAGACAGCTATAGCTGCAGACCTTATGGTACATATCAAGCAATTCAACTTTTTCCTGTAATGTCATGACTTTTCTCTGCTTCTTGGGAGCATTTCCAGCATCACTAGTGGCACTTTGTATGAATCCCATGGTGTTATTCAAGGTTTATGGTATTGTGCTAAACACAATGAAAAATATTCAAGAATTGCAGGAGATCACTTTTTACTGTGATACACAATTTACTGGACAAATATCCTCACATGGAAATGATTAGCATCACACAGCGTTTTAAACAGATATTTGCAACACTTGAGCTCACCACAATAGCAAGAGGAGGTGGCTATGAAATTATTCTGGTAGTACAGTATTACTACAGTCACTTTTATGCAGTTATGATTTAATACTGCATCTTTGGTTTGTTTACACTTCTCTCAACTGCAAATGGTGCCATGTGTGGCCTGTAAGTGTTTGTGTTCATAAGTTTTAATAGATTTTTAACTTTTTATAATAGATTTGTGTATATTTTATGGTAGTAAATGATAAAAAAGACTAATATCTACATATATTTTATGCACTCATGGCATACCTTTTTCTTAATTTTTCTGATGTGTCTAGGCTACACAGTTCATCTGTGAGTTTTCTCAAATTGTCACAAAAATCTCCAAAACATTTTTCAATGTATTTATTGAAAAACATCCTCATACTAAGTGGACTCATTTGGTTCGACCCCGTGTTATTCAAGGGTCAACTGTATTAAGAATGATGACTATATTTGCTTAGCAAATCAATTTTCTTGCATCTTCGCCAGTGGAAGCATTAGCTGCTTGCACCAGTATAAGGGGAAGAGGAGGAACATAATTTTGACCTCAAACAAGAAGTCTCTGGGTCCAAGGAGACCACCTGGAGAAACTATTCCATCACTATCCCAGTCTTGAGCACATTGAGCTGAAAGAATACTCAGGATGCCTGTAATCCCAGCATTTTGGGAGGCCGAGATGGGTGGATCATGAGGTCAGGAGTTTGAGACCAGCCTGGCCAATATGGTGAAACTCCATTTCTACTAAAAAAATACAAAAATTAGCCAGGCGTGGTGTCACGCACCTGTAATCCCAGCTACCAGGGAGGCTGAGGCAGGAGAATTGCTTGAACCCAGGAGGCAGAGATTGCAGTGAGCCTAGATCATACCACTGCACTCCAGCCTGGGTGACACAGCAAGACTCCATCTCAAAAAAAAAAAAAAAAAAAAGAATATTCAGGATGTTTGAGGATGCGGCAAAAGATAGGCCCTCATTTCTGAGATTCTGATAAGAGACATCATACATTATTGATGCTAACACACATCTTATCCAACTGTTTTTGTGGTCCACAAAAACGGACTTTACTCACTGGCATATTTGGTCTCCAGTCTTTGACATTTCTAATAAAAATGTGCTCATAAAGAGGTTATACCATTAACCCTGGGCAACTTATCTACAGTGGTCAGCTTGTCTTTTTAAAGATTTATGCTGTCCATTTGAGACAATGCTCACTGCAGGCCAATATCTCATGATTGATGTGTGGAGGCTCCTGGGAAATGCTGGTCCATGTCTGATCCCAGGCTTGAGAGCAGTGACACATAGGTGTCTGGTTCAGATACAAACCAGTGTTTGACAGGCTCACAAACCACAGAGTGAGGAAGAAATATATAAAAATAACAGTACCTGGTATATGTTTTGAGAAGTTAAAATGCCTTGCCTTAGATTAAGACTCTTAGTCTCAGTTATCTCAAAAGAGGGTTGTGAGATAATTGGAATCTTGTAACACACTGCGAGCAACCATGACCCTCTTGTTAGAAGCTGGTGGAAAGGAATTGTAGGAAGGGGACATGGGAGAAAGAGAATGGAAAACACAAAGGCACAGGGAGATGTCAAATGCTCAGTGGTGGGCATGTGGCTAGAGGTATTGAGATCTTGGAGGCAGGAAGGGGTAGGGGTAACAGGGGAGCAGAAGACATTTATAATCCCTCTTTCTCATTCCCAAGAGACCAGGGCAGAGGAAAGAACCCAGAATTAGAGTTGGATTTCCTAAGGGATTACAAGGTTAAGTGGAAGAGACCTGGGGACAACAACTCTGGTTTTCAATTGAGTTATCATAATATTAGAAGAACAGCACCTCAGAGGCCAAGATAGGAACTCATAAAGAAAATTAAATAAAACAGGTTAGCTGGTCCCAGTGGCTCATGCCTGTAATCCCAGCACTTTGGGAAGCTGAGGTGGGTGGATCACGAGGTCAAGAGATCAAGACCATCCTGGCCAATATGGTGAAACTCCGTCTCTACTAAAAATACAAAAATTATCTGGGTGTGCTGGCGTGCACCTGTAGTCCCAGCTACTCGGGAGGCTGAGGCAGAAGAATTGCTTGAACCCAGCAGCAGAGGTTGCAGTGAGCTGAGATTGCAGCACTGCACTCCACCCTGGCGACAGGGCGAGACTCCGTCTCAAAAAAACAAAAACAGAAACAAAAACGAAAAAACAGGTTAAATGCAGAAATACGATTTTAAGTGTAACTTTTTATAAGTAAGTAAAGCCACTATAAATAATGAAAAATATTTACAAAACACCTTTGTAAAGCTTGTAAAAACATTGGCTATCATAGGGTGCTTAATCATAAGCCTAAGACATACCGGTTATCATTCACATTCCAAATAAGTAATTCAGAGAGTATTTTTCATCCATAATAAAGCTATCAATCAAAGACATGAAATACAGTCTTCCAGTGGTAATTCTCATGGGCAGGACAAGCATTACATCTCACAACTTAAGCTTAGTAATCCAATAGTCAAAGATGAAAAATAGGGATGGAAATTAAATTTAGACTGTTTGCTGTTATGATTACTAGGGAACAATAGGTCATGTAATTAACTGAAGAACATACTTGATCCTCTCAGGATCCTACTCAGTAACTTCATCCTGGGTAGGAAGCATGTTTAGAAGAGAGATATTATTTTTCCAGGATCCAGGAAAACAGGGCTTTACCATCTCTCAAAGTGGCTATCACTTCCTGTCCTGGGCATCAACCCTGTGTAGCAGACACTGCCCCTCTCCCCTCAGGCCCTACTGCAATAGTGCATGATGGATTCCCTACTCCCAGCATCTCTATGGAATCCAGAGAATTAACAGTCCGATCTCCCTAGAGTAACCTCAACCCATGACTGGTGGAAAGTGGTGTATATTATCTCAATTCCTTCACCCCTCAGGTCGGGGAAACTCAGAGGTGCAAGATCTGCCATGGTTCCCATATAATGGTTCACCCTTTCTTAGCTGCCTTCCTTGGGAACTGACTCTTCCTTGGGGTCCACCCTTGAAGGTGAACTCTTCATGCCCTGAGGACTATCCATAGCCCAAAGCTGCACAGAGAAGAAACTCTGCAAAAGGTGACTATGGGAAAAGAATAGTAAAGCGTGGGTAAGAAGGGGATGCTAGGTGGAGGAGCTGTCTGGAAATTCATAAGGGACCAGTGGGTGGGACCCCCTCCCAGGGAGCAATTGGGAATAAACGAGATTTGATGCAACCCTGCCTTGCTTCTCTTTTGACTTTGAATTGAAGGTGCACCCCAATTCTTTTGCCTGTAAACCCATTGCTGGCTTCTGTCCTCACTACAGAATCTGTCCTTGTGTCTGCAGCCTTCTCGGCCAGCTTCTGATCTCTTCTCTCCCCTAGTTCTTGGTCTGTTCCAATGCCATTGGCTTTAATGCTGGATCCTCTTGTGATGCTTGTTCCCAAAGGGGATCCTCTCCCAGAGATCACACTCTTATACCTGTTCCTGTGCACAACCACAGGGCCATTTCAGATCTCTATCTCACTGTGATGCATCCTGTATTTTGTCAGCAATCAACCCGTTTCCTACAACTGCCGAAGAACCCTTCCTCCTTTGTGGTAAAGGCTATATTCCATTTTGAATACTTTGAAAATCACAGACTGTTTAAAGAAATAAAAACAAAAACTAGGAACCAATCAACCATTTATCTTGCCCCCCACCTTTGGTCCCCTGCCACTTCGATTATTTATTTGTTTATTACCAGATCCTTCCTTCTGCTTAAACATCTTTCTCACAGTCTGGCAGGAAGAGCCATCTCCCAGGCACACACCGCAGCGATCCTCGGTGGCATTGGAATCGATCTCATAGTCACAGCCAACCATCTGTGGGGAAGAGAGGTGGAGGATGAATGCCCAGGCAGGGGATGCCACTCTTGCCTGGATCTGTGACTTCTTCTTTCCCCTTTGGTGCTTCATAAGACTGGGCAGGAGGTACCAGGTACAAGGACAAATGTTTGTTCCTGGTGGCAGCAAGAGGAATATCCAAGCATCCACCAATGGTAAAGGCACTACTTGCTCAGAGAGGAGGGAGGCACACATTGAGTGAGGTCTCTAATTTCCCGAGTCAGAGGCAGAACTGAACAAAATCTATGCAAATGTTCCAAAAATCTAACTATGAAAACATCTTGGAGTTGAAGCTGGTAGAGCAGCAAGTCTCTTTCAGATGTGTTCTCATCCTGGAAAAGGAGAGCCACGAAGCTTGGGGTGTTCTGTGGGAGTGGATACCAAAGAATCATGACACTTAGATTGAAAGTCATGAGCCGTATCTGACCTTCACCTGGACTTTTCTGTGGCTTGCTTTCTTCCATGACCAGAAGGGAAAGCTATACCATATTCCTTTAGTCATAAGTTTCTTTCTTGTTTGGGAACAATTGTGTCCAGATAGTTTCATTTCCTTTTTGATCTTTAAAGATCATTTTCTTTCTAACTTGAAAGCCACCTCAAATCTACTCAAAGGAAGAATCGTTTGAATCTCTTTTTAGAGAGAGATGGGATTTTGCTATTTTGCTCAGGCCAGAGTGCAGTAGCTATTCACAGTCAACAGCCTTGAACTCTTGGCCTCCCACCTCAGCCTTCTGAGTAGCTGGGACTACAGGTACCACACCAGGCTTATTTTGAGTCTTTAAATACACCCTCTACCAGCTAAACAGAGAATGAATACCCACTAACAGAAAATAGCTTCATTCTTTAGGTTAACTGTCTTTAATTTCCTTTAGGTCCAAAGACTGTGCTGCTTCACCTAGTAGGGGGAAAAAAATTAAGTGCTAAGAGATTTAAAAAAAAAAACACCAAAATTTAATTATGCTAATAACAATGGGAAAAAAAGCAATGTGGGAAACAGGTGCCTTTAGTGACTATGAGTAAAATGCCAGCCCTTCACAAGCAATATGTTTGCATCAAGCTTGAGCACCCTCTAATAAGCTGACATCTACAACCACATTCCCAGTGGCCTTCATTCCTTCACTGATTTAGAATGAGCTATGGAGATTGACTCTGAGGCATATTAATTTTAAAGTATTTTCTTTAATCTCTACCAACAGGGAAATAGATATAAAAAATGTGAAGAATAAAGGAAAGAAAGTCAGAAAAGCAAACATCTGAAGCCCAAGTCTTTTTTCTTGAATGGGTAGTTTTATATTTCTAAAGTAATATTTGCCTGCATAACTGAGAGACAAGGGTTGGGGGAAGGAGACACACCCATGTCCCCAACATTCTGTCCCACAGCATATTAAATGGGTTCTTGCAGAGACTCACCCAATTTAGTTTTCCTGTGAGCTGCATGCAGTACAATAAAAACTGAATTAAGTATGCAACAAAAGGTCTATGAAGACATAAACCAGTCCTCCTTGTTGCATATAAAACATAAGGAGCTCTCAGGGGAAAAGAAACAAACCTCACTCTTCTTCATAACATGCTCTGGCAACACAGAAAGCCCACAACAGTATGCTCTTTCTGCCTTCAGCAGAATCAGAGGTGGTTCCACTGCTGCTACCCTATGTGGAAAATGACTTCAGCATGGCCCTTTTCTGATGTGACTCTGAATATGCCAGGCAATCACCCCAATAGGTAGTGTGTTTGTGAAAAAAAATCACTTTGATTTCCCATCTTACCATCAATTACAATGGTGGTGGGAACAGTGATGGTAGTGGTGGTAATGATGGTGAAGGTGGTGATAATAGTGGTGATGGAGTAGTGGCGATGGTGATGGACAATAATGGTGGGGGGCAGGATGGTGGTAGTGGTGGGGGTGGTGGTGGTGACAGTGATGGTGCTGCGGGGTAATGGTGGCAGTGATGATGGTGGTGATGTGGTAGTAGTGGTGGTGATGTGATGGTGGTGGTGGTGATGGGGGTGATGGTAGTGGTGATGGTGGTGGGGGTGATGGTGATAGTGGTGATGTGGTAGTGATGGTAGTGATTTGATGGTAATAATGGTGGTGGTGGTGATGTGGTAGTGGTGGTGGTCATTTGATGGTAGTGGTGGTAATGTGGTAATGGTGGTGGTGATTTAATGGTAATGATGGTGGTGGTGGTGGTGATGTGATGGTGGTGGTGATTTAATGGTAATGATGGTGGTGGTGGTGGTGAGGTGACGGTGGTGGTGATTTGATGATGGTGTTGGTGGTGATGTGGTAATGGTGGTGGTGATTTGATGGTGGTAGTGGTAGTGGTGGTGATGTGGTAGTGGGGGTAGTGATTTGATGGTAATGGTGGTGGTGGTGGTGATGTGGTAGTGATGGTGATGATTTGATGATGGTGGTGGTGGTGATGCGGTAGGGTAGTGGTGATTTGACGATGGTGGTGGTGGTGATGTGGTAATGGTGGTGGTGATTTGATGGTGGTAGTGATAGCGGTGGTGATGGTGATTTGATGGTGGTGATGGTAGTGGTGGTGATGTGGTAGTAGTAATGATGATTTGCTGATGGTGGTGGTGGTTATGTGGTAGTGGTAATGATGATTTGATGGTAATGGTGGTGGTGATGCAGTAGGGTAGTGGTGATTTGATGATGGTGGTGGTGGTGATGTGGTAATGGTGGTGGTGATTTGATGGTGGTGGTAGTGGTGGTGGTGGTGATGATGGTTGTGGTGGTGGTGGTGGTGATGTGGTGGTGGTGGTGGTGGTCGTGGTGACTATGTGGTAATGGAGGTAGTGATGAGGTGGTGGTGATGGTGGGGTGATGGTGGTAGTGGTGGTGGAGATGGTGGAGTGATGGTGGTGGTGGTGGTGGTGGAGGTAGAGGTAGTGGTGGTTATGTGGTAGTGGTGGTGTTGATTTGATGATGGTGGTGGGGATGGTTGGGTGATGGAAGTGATGGTAGTGATGGTGGTGATGGTGGTGGTGTTGATGGTGGTGGTGGGAGTAGTGGTGGCGATGATGTAGTGGTGATGGTTGGGTGATAATGGTGGTGGATATGGTGGTGGTGATGGCAGCAGTGGTGGTGTTGGTGGTGGTGATATGGGGTGATGGTGATGATGGTGGTGGTGGTAGTGGTGGTGGTATAGTGAGTAATTAACTGTGAGAGGAGAGTTGAGAAAGACTCAAGAATGACTTACTGATTTCTGGCCTAGATATCAGTAAACCTAAATGGTTTTAGCATCATTCCAAAAAGAAGTGCTATAGAAGAACAGGTTGGGGCAAGAATTAGGTATAATTTTAATTTAGAAATGTTAAGATTGGAGTAACTCTCAGGCTTTTGAGGGTCAGGAGATAGGACCTGGTATTCTGAACGTAGATCTAGCTCTGAGCAATTGATTTAGGGATGTTTAGTGTATCACTGAGATGGCCAAAATGGCCTTGGAGATGAAAGAAGGTTCAAAAGAGTTTTTGAGAGAAATGAGTGAGGAAGCTAACTTGGGACAGTGGGAAGATTGTCAGGTAAGGATAAAAGCTTAGGTGGATTGAAGACATTGACTTTGTAAGGACACATGCATAACGTTGAATTTTTATTTTAAGGAGTGCACAGTAGGCTAATGGTAAGATCAAAAAAGGGGTGTGATGGGGTTGATCCAGAACCTTATCCAGAACTGGTGTAACAGATTGGGGGAAGGCTAAGAGAAAGTTAGGGAGCAGCTGATGGATAGACCAGGGCATCTGGTCTATTTTAGAAGGAAATTCAGCCAACGTTATGCTGACTGTGTGAAGACGGAGGAGTCCAGGAGCTGAAGTCAACCAACTGGTTACCAGGAGAAAGAGGGGAGAGAGCTGGAAGGTTAGCGAGCTGGCCTCAGACAGTGGGTATGAGAGTGAGAGTTCAGAGCTGGAAGTGGGTGGAGGTGAGTAGGGCATTTGCTCATTTTTAAAAGCTTATTCTATGTCATCCTGGTAATTTAAAACAGAAGGTGTCCTGAAAAGTCAAAGTTTAAATCTATATCTTTGATAAACAAGCTTACTAAAAAAAACTAGGGGGAAGGGCACAGATAGTTACCTCCCAGAACAAATTCAGTTCTGATCAGGGCTTGATAATTTCCTTGACAATAGAATCTGCAACTCTAACATACCAAAATATTGGCAAATATTGTAAATTCAAAATAGACATGAATATAAGCAACCAAGTTTTCATATTCACAACGAATGCAGATTAGACAAACACTGCATACATTGTTTTCCTGAAAGCATATACTTTTATGTAATACATGCTCAATCCCCTTTGAAAAAACTAGTAAATGAATAGGAGAGTAACAATAAGACTAACAAATAAGGAGCCTGGAATTACCTACAACCTGGATCCTTGAAGATAAAGTATTTAGGCTATTAAGCATATTTGATTTGACACCATTTTTTCAGCTTAAAAACTCAAACCAGTGTGCTATAGACAGAAAGTGGGTAATTATAGCTTCTAAAAGGTCTTAACTGGCTCCCACAAAGAGTAAGGCAGGCTGATAAAATCTGGCTTATTCTATTGGGTTCACTTGATTGGCCTCAAGAAAGACATCCAACTTATAATGGTTCTCAATCCTGGCTACTTATTAGAATGCCTGGAGAGCTTTTAGAAATTACTGATGTCTGGGCTCTATTTCAAACCTATTAATTCGGGATCTCTGGGATGTGGAGTCTGGGCATTGATGTTTTAAAATCTCCCCTGGTGATTATTATATGCAGCTAGGGCTGAGGACTTTAGTCACTGAGGAGTGAATGTGATGCTGAAATTATCTTTTAGATCTAAATACCTTTGCATTGAGAGAAATAGCATCTTTAGCCTGTGATGGAAAACAGGTGCCTTGAATAAAATAAATGAAAAAGCAACTGTATAGATAAATATGAAACTTCTCAGAGTGCTGAATATTTAGGGGCAAGAGCTTGTCACAGGGAATAATTTTGTCCAGTGGAAAAACATATTATAAATATTTTTAAAAAACAAAATTTGTTGAGTTTACAAATCTGTTTTCTAAGAGTTCATTTTACACCAGGGCCTCTGTTAAGAGCTTAACATATATTACCTGTGAAAGTTGTCAGAATCAAAATGGAGCAACTAATGTTAAGAAAAAACCCTGATAAATATAGCCAGGGAAGGCTAGGAAGAATGAGTTCTCACCCTTGTATGCCTGATGATGAAAAAGCCTCTGCAAACACCACAACCTTGCACAAAGGCTATCACAACCTTACACAAAGAATACTTTTGCAATGACATCTGCCCAGCAACTTCCTGAGCAACCTTGGATTGGCGTCACCCTTGTTATTGATCTCTGCAGGAAATAATAATTATTTAAAAACAATTTTGCAATTCTCTTCAACTTCTTTCCTTTAAAAATTTTCATTTTCTTTTAAAAACCCTTGTCTTCCTTTACCTTCCTAAATATGCACATAGTTAACTGTGGCATACATATTCCCATTGCAATGCACTATTCCCAAATAAGCTTCATTTTCTTTTAGAGAGCTTCTCTCTGTCTGTTATTTAGGTTAACTGACCTTATTTAATCTTTTGACAACCCCACCTAGGCAGATACATAAAAATATCCCAGTTTTATGACAGAAGACTGAGTCTTAGAAAGATGTATAGGATCATACAACTAGTAAATGATGGTGTTGAGTTCATATTCTAAAACCCCAGTGCTAAACCATTATGATTCACTAACTGATTAAAACATCTTCCTTTAACCAATTAAAAACACTTTCTCTTTAAACTGAGATTTATGCCTGGGGGTTGGATCACAAGTCCTGCTCCTCAGTTCCTTGCAAAATAAAATGCAAGCAGCAACAAGGAATTCTTTAATGGTTACACACTTAAAAGCATCAACACATCAGGTCTAAATAATTTATATAGACTTGATTAATGAAGTGAGTGTGGAAAAATTACATAGAAATCAGAAACGTGTTTTGTAACTATTGTCATGCCGTCTCTCTGAGAAGCTCATGTTGATAGTCAATGGAGAATTAAATGTGAAAATGCATTATGAAAAGTACCATAGAAACTATTATTAATTTCAGTTTTTCTCAAATTTAATGCCACTGAAATAATCTGGGCTGGGTTTTCCTGATAATTCCTCTTTTTCATGCTCAATGTCTAAAACAATATCGTAGTGCACATCAACTAATCAAGAAATGAAGATGACGGCAGAAGGAAAAAACTATTCAATCCAAAACTGTGACTTTGATGAACACTGGGAAGTCTTATCTTTTCGTTTCATGAACTATATATAAAAAACAGATGAGGTGTAAATGCTGTGAAAGCACAAACCTAGAACATCTGACTTCCCAAATTAGTAAAAGTCATGATTTTATAAAGTTGTAGATTAAGGAAACATACCCAATACCTTACATATGCCATTAATACAGACATTTCTGCTGTTGCCGCCTTCAAAGCAAGGGGTACCATCAATGACAGCATCCAGCATTTTCTCAGAAAACTGGCCATCTATGGGTCGGCAGTAGAGCTCACAAGGATGTGCTGAAGGGAAAAAAGAAGGCAAAGCCTTGCAAATTAGCTTTTAGCTCAGCATCCTCCCCCAGGATTCCTCCGTACTTAGGACCCCCAAGTGTCATTTACTCTGGCAATCCCACCTTTTCACCTCCTTGAGACACATGCTGAAATATGCCTCAAGACACATTTCACACATCCAGGTGCTGAATCCAAGGATTATTTTTCCTTTTTCAAAACAAGTTTCATAATGAATTAAATTAAAAGGTTGCTTTAAAATACTCTATGCTTTGCTGTAAACAATGACTTCTTTCTATTCAACATTGAATTGTGCTTATAAAAATAAGGCACTGGGCATCTGGGGTTAGCTTAGAAAATAAGTTATTGCAACCAGCCATGAAGGACTCCAGGCAAGCGGGATGCCTGCTTGTTTCTTGCAGCAAAGTAAGTAGACCTCCAGGGGACAGGCATCCCCTCCCACAGAGCCAGCTCATTACTACCACAACCTCCATCACCACCAGCATAATCCTGCCCCAACAAATATCCTCCTCCAGTCTAAGAGGTGCTTAGATTGACAACCATGTAGAAACATTTTTTTTGTTGAAGCTGAAGCCAACCTGCTTATCATAGTGATCCATCCCATCATCTTGGTCCTACACTGAATCCATTCTAAGGTTCAGTTTTCTACTCCATTGTGAATGAAGATAGGGTGATCTAGAGCACAGGAACATTTACATAATAAAATGCATACCCATATGTATGTATACAGAATAACCAGAAAGATAGATAACATTTAAATCACAGATTGCCTTAAAAATTTTAATAGTGAATACATGTATATGATAAGAAGAATTCAAATAATAATTTTTTAATGAATGTAATGAATGCTTTTCTTTAGTGAAAAACACAATAATGTCTTCTTTGGCAGGGATTTTGGGGTCTCTTCTGGATGTGTTTATTATGGGCAGGGCTGTTAGTTCCTTCATTGTGTGATCAGCTGAGGACTCAATGGTACCAGCCATAAGGCTATTCGTCATGGGCCCTTCTCACTGGGCTGGGCACCAAATGCCAAGCCTGAGTGCACAGTGATGGCTCTGTCTGCTTGAGGTTGCAGTGATTCATGTGGCCAGGAAATGAAAGTGCAAATTTCACACAAATGTAACCATGAGCAAAAGCTCCAAATGCTGAAATGCTGAACAAACTTGAGACTGAGGTCAAAAACATGTTTAAAGCTTAAAAGAGATAAGTGAACTAGTTCAGAAGCAGAAAGTTAGATAACACATGTTCTCACTTTTAATTGAGAGCTAAACATTGGATACCCATAGAGATAAAGATGGAGATAGACTCTGGGGACTCCAAAAGTAAGGAGGGTGGAAGGAGTTTGAGGGTTGAAAAATTACCTATTGGGTACAGTGTTCAATATTTGGGTGCTAGGTACACTAGAACCCCAATCCCTACCATTATGCGTGTAATACCCAGGTAACAAACAAGCACATGTGCTCCCTGAATCCAAAAACAAACAAACAAACAAAAAAGCTTAAAAGAGAAAGATAAAAGCAAATATGTAAATAAAGAAAACCAACTGATTTCATATAAGGTGCAGTGGATAAGCTGTCTGACCAGATAGACTCAAAATGAGTTGAAGAGATCATTGGATAAACAGCCAGGGGAAAAGTGTCAAGACTCTGGGACAAAGCGTGACTTGGGATTATTGTGTAGCTCCATTTCTGGTAGCACGATTAGCTCTGTTACTGCGCAAACTGGAATAGAAGTACTAAAGGGAGCAACCTGGGAACAATTCTATTCTCCTAAGGATGAGAACATCAATCCAGGTGCTGAATCCAAGGATTATTTTATTAAGACTTTGGTTTAAACTTTAGAATTGGATTTGGGATTTTGTATTTGGAATACATAAAGCAAAAATAGAAAGCGGCCCTGAATAATTCTGGAGCTTTTCTAAGGAATCATCTGTTTCAAGGCTGCTGGGAAGAGTTGGGACCAGAGCATGTTCATTGCGGCAACGGAATGTTTATTCAGAGAGAAACGGACAGATTCACTAAGTCGCATTTACATAATGGACTGCTATGCAGTCACTAAAAGGAATGAGGTAAACCATGATGCCATGATCTACTCAGTGCATCAAGTTGCAGAACTGGCAAATTATGGTTCTATTTGTGTGCAAATGAAAACCTGCTGTTAGCATGGTTATCTTGGAGGAATACATTAAATGCAGTGGGATAATAGGAATTCATTTCTGTTTCATTCTACTATATGCACTTGCATTTTTATAAGACACATATATTCCTTTTAAAAATAATAAGTCTTGGCCCTCAAATAGGAAAACTGGAAAAGTCTTCTTTCCCCAGTGATATTCATGACACATCACCATAAAGAGAGTCTCTAATTTCAAAACTTCCCTTCATCCTGTTTCCACAACACAGGACTAGTACATTCTTCAAGGCTAGACAGGTTAACTGAAGTACACTGCCTACAAGAAACACACATGTGTGTTGACTATAAGTATAGTGGTTTATGGAGTCTTAGAAATTATCCAGGAAATAACATTTATAATAACAACAATGACAGCATACAGGTCCTCTGCTGCAACTCTCCCAGAGCTCCCACCACCATGACCTATAGGTGTGCCTCAGGCCTATGTTTGAAAGCAGTCATCCTAAATGGAAGGTTCAGTGCTATTCAAGGCTTTTATAAGGCTGAGCCTGAAGTCCTCCTCTGTCCCCTCCTTCTCTGGCCTTTGTCTTTCATGGTGCTCTGGAAGGGCTGTGGTTATATCATTAAGTTGTCCTGTGGCACAGGGATCTGCAGGAGGAGGCAAGGGTGGTAATGGATGGTCTTAATTCTTGGGAGTCATCACTGGTATCAGAGATTCTCTGTGCCGGACATCAACCTTGTTGAGTCCATCATCTCTACAGAGTTGAGTACTTTCCTTGTCTCACATTTACTCCCCTGCCCTGACACATCCTTTTTTAGGGTCATGTGATTTTTTTTCCCTCTAGCTTTCAAAAGCTTTCAAGTCCATTTATAATTCACCTAAGCAAAAGCTCTAAAACTAATTTACTAGTGAACTCTCACCCTCACACTCTCTGATTAATCCTCTCAAAGGGAGCTTAGGAAAAGAGATGAACTTACCGAATCAAAGTTTGCATTTTCAATTTTGCAGAAACAGGGTGGCTCAACATTTTTGGATAATGATCTTAATAAATGACAGAAATGAAAGCTCTAACTTGCTAAAAAGAATGAAAATATTTCTTAGGTAAGGAAAAGTTTTGATGCATTTCGTGTTTTGTGAATAGACTGGAAAGTGAGTTTCATCATTTTAAAGAATCCAGTTTCTAAAATCCATTCACAGGCAGGGCTTCGTGGGCATTAGACCGGTGCTTTTACCCAGGACCTCACACTTGGTTGAATGCTATTGTCTCTGTCTTGCAATTCTTAAACATTTTACCTTTGAACTTGTGTTCGGTAAGGGAAGGCCAAAACGGGAAGGCGGTGTGCACATGAAGAGAAGGGATCTGTGGTGTGCACCCCTGCCACTCCTCAACAGATCCCAAGAAATACTAAACCCCAAAGCAAAAGGCATAACTTAAAATGTTTTATTGATGCAAGAAGTTACGTTTAACTTAAAAAGGAAGCTCAGCTAAGAATTAAAATCAAATCAGCTTGGAGGAAAAAGCAAAAATGAAAACTTGTCACTCTGTATCACAGCCCAAAATCAGTCATTACCAAGAGTTTGAAACCTTTGGCTAGTCTAAAATGGTATTCTTGTACTTTCTAATACTATAATCTTATTGTAATCCCCACAATACATAGAAATATGTATTAGTGAAATATAAGAAGGCATTAAAATGAATATATTCTATAGTAACCACAGAAAGGTATAAAAACAAAAGTAGAAATAATTTTTTAAAATGAATTAAACCCTTGTCATTGATGTTTTCTCTTTATTTTATATTTTATTTTTAAAATTTTTCTGTAGAGGCAGGGTCTTACTCTGTCACCCAGGCTGGAGTGAGGTGGTGCAATCATAGGTCATTACAGCCTTAAACTTCTGTGATGAAGCGATCCTCCCGCCCCACCCTCCTGACTAGTTCGGATTACAGGGGTGCACCACTATGCCTGGCTGTATTGATGTATTATATTAGGGTAAGTGCAGTAATGAGTTTTCTATTTACCGTGTAGTTTTAAGTTCTGTCTTTTGGTTAAGATGCTTAAGAGGTAAACTTAGAATCACAACTTAAATTATTTAAGCAATGTAATAATTAGTCATCAATGCTTAAATGTTTAGAAAACACTGGTTCTCAAGGGCAAGATATATAGGTTTAATAAACTGAGCCTTAATCATAATAAAAAGGGTTGTTGGGTTTTCTAGCAGAGCTCCTGGCTTACGAAATAATCGAAGGTTTTAAAGACATGAACATTGCCTTAGGGAAAATTCAAAATTCAGTGCATTGGTCTTAAGGAAATGAACTTAACCCAGTCCCTGTGTGTTTTCGTGCTTAATGATGAGGCTGCAGAGTCAGGCATGGGCTAACTCTTGGTTCTATTTCATAGTCTGAATTTGGGCAAGTTACAGAGGTCCTCCGAACCTATTAGCTTATCTCTAAAAATTGGGTCAAAAACAGCTCTCCTTGAAGGGTTTTCTTGTGGAGATAAAATTAGGAAAAAGCATATAAAGTGCTGTGGGAAGTATCACTGTCCACTGAGGGGGTAGAAAACTCTGCTGTATGTTTATTTTATCCTCTGGTGATTTCTAAAAGGATGCCTGGGAGGCTGTAAGGCCCTCGATATCTGGCACAGAAAAAATGCTGCATAAATCCTTGTTGACATGAACGACCTACTGGCAGGGATGCCTGTTAACTAAGCAAATAGCAACTCTGTAGACAGAGTATAATGGGGAAAGTCATCAGTGTGCTGTTCAAGGTAGTAGCTATTCAGGTTAGCAGATAAGTCATTGTCTGCTAATGAAAATAATAGCATAGGAATCTGTAAAGAAACTACCGGGATAGAGGATGAATACTGATAGACTGGGTAGGGAGTAAGGTCAGCAGGTGGCAAACTTCATCTGAGTTAGAGAAGCAAATCAATCACTCCAGAGTGAGTGGAATTGATGTCAACTTGTATAACGCTCACTTCTTTAGTACCTATTGCTTTGCTAGTCAAAAAGTAGGCACATGATGAATGCTTGCAAACAAATGAAAAGCAATGCTGAATCAAATATTTTTATTCTAAGTCCAGCTACTTGAGCCATCAGGGTTAGATAGACACAAATCCAACTGTATATCTGGGAGGGGGATCCCGTACTAAGCACATGTGATATCACTGGAGCAGCTATGCTATCTTAGCTCTGACAGGCTGCTCATTCAGAGTCTACAGGACCACTGACCCAAATAGTTTTAACAAATCAAGAATGCGCAGGATATACACATAGATAGCACTGGCTGGATGCACCTTTCATCACTTGATAATTTTGGAGTACACCTGAGTATATGTCTGAGTTTTCCTGTATTCAAATGCCTGACTCAGGAAACTAAATTGCACCAATAACCAAATGGTTTTCCCCTCTAGATCATAAATGACACCAAACGATTGGGGGCAAGGAGCAATCACTGCCCTTGACAACTAAGAGCATCAGGGTATTTTGGAGACCTGAGCTGAGCAAACCACTGCAGAGTCTTTCTTTCAAAAGCTATTGCATAAGTCATTGTTCTAACAGCCCAAATACACAATTCTCAAATCTGTGATTTTTCTTGTGCCCTATTCACAATGGATTTTCTGGAACTCAAAAATCATGAAAAATTTGATTAGCTATTTTTTACTACCTTGCCTTAAATTTCTTTAACACAGGAAAATCTTTTCTGTTTCATTTCCTACTCAGATAACAACAAACAACACAAATATGTTTTTTGATGTTGATGTCTAGCTAACGGTCATTGATTCTTCTTCATTTTAAGGAGAGAATGTGTCTGGACGTTTTGCCAAGGCCGCTATTCCATTCTCCAACTCCATTATGTCCCCATCCCTCCTGTGCAACATTCAGATGTTTGATTTTACTTTTCACCCTTCTCATACTCCAGTACATATAAAATGTTGACTTCTGTTGCAGAGCTGGCTTTTGTTCTTTCATTCCTATTATCTTGCCTTTCCGCCTGTTATTCTACTCCCACTTGGAATGACTCTATTTTGAATGTCTTCCCTTTTCTTTCTTCTTGTGGAAAGACTGCTCATGAAAGCATAAGTAGTCTTAAGAATCATCAACTGCTTCACTGGAAGCCTTTTTTTTGCAATTACTTCAAACCCACAATGACCTTTTCTTCGGAATTTCTGACGAAATCACAGTCAGTTTCTCATGTCCATCAACAAGCAATTAGTTACTGAATTCCTACATGTCCTATTAATGGCTCAATTGCACCTCAGCTGTTTTGAAGCAAGTCACCATGTTTTATAAACTTCTTTTATCTCCCACAAAGCTCAGACAGAGTTGAATGTATTCAGCCTTCAACATTTACTGATCAACTTAACCAGGTCAGTGTTTCCATCTTCTAAATTACAAAATTCCTGGTGTACAATTGTCTTTGTTAAGCTTTGTGTGGATCACAGAAACCCTGACTGACATACAAATGCTTTGAGAATGGCTGTTCCCTAGATCTGAGATACACCATTACAGCTCCTTACCTGGGTTAAAAATGGGAAACCAGTGGTAGAGTTCATTCTTGTAGGGAACAGTGTCAAATTCACTGCACTGCATCTGCCGAAATGTTGGTGCCTCTGAGCGACAGGGGTGGACGTTGCACAAGCGATAGCGTTTTCTTTCTCCAGTGCAATATTTCCCTCCAAACTTTGGCCTGCAAATGAAACAGACAAGCTTTTCTTTTAGTTTGCTTCAACGCCAGCACTTTCCTTTAAAACTCCTCTGGTATCTGGCCTTGACAAATGATGTCTCTCTATGCCCTCAAAACTTACCTTTTAAATAACTGCTTCAAATTTTACACATTTTTTCCTTGCCTGACAACATTTCAGTCCTAAGTGTATAGTAGCTTATTTTGAAATAGTTTATATATCATTTCCACCTGTATATCCTCCAGGTGAAATCTACGCCAAAAAAGGATACATCATTTTCCTTTCGAGTATGCTCCTTCTCTGATTCCTATTTGGTGAGTTAAAAGTGGTCAGATTTCAGAATCATCCATCTGTGCCTTCCTTGGATCCCACAGTCAATCAGTTGCCTGGTCATCAGTTGCCTATTTACATTTGTTTCCTACTCTTCAACTCTGCAATAATCAAACCAGTCCAATTCTTATCTCCATTCCTATCTCTACTTTTAAAATTCTTATCTCCATTTCTATCTCTACTTTTAAAATTGAACCCACAGTACAAACAATTATCAGGCTAAATTTTCAGATGACCTTAATTATTTTAGTTCCCTGTTTTAAAATCACTAACAGCATCCAATGGTCACATCAGCCTCCTGAGCTTGGCATTCAAAGCTCTCACAATCCTGCCTTAACTCACCTTAACAATTTACTTCCCACACTCTGCTTCATGTTACACTGCTCCAGTGGTGCCACCTGCCTTATTTAATATTTCTTTTCTGTGCATTTGGATAGATTTTTTTCCTCCCTTAAAGTCTCCACATGTCTACATACTGCTCATGCTTGAAGAACTAAATAAATGCTACCTCCTTCACGAATCCTTCCTGGATTTCCACCAGCAGTAATTTTTTTCTCCTCTTCAGTGACACTTTGTGTGCCAGCTGCCTGCACGTCCTGAATCTATCATTCCCAAAGATAGTTCTTTGATGGCACAATCCAAGCTCTGTGTCCTCTGTGGTGCCTCACAGTACTTTGGGCATAGGAGGCTCTTAATAGATATTCAATGGGTGAATAAGTTAATCTTATTTTAGAAAAATCACTTTTTGATTTTTCTTTCCTTTGTGATACACCTGAGGGCATACCAGCCTTCCTGTCAGGATCAATGGGTCTCTCAAAATGGGAGAGGGGAGACGTGAAGAAACTATCCTTTGAGAAGGTTCCCAGGCATGCCTTCTGGTCTCCATCTTGCTGCAGTATCTGAATCAGGGAGTGTGCCTCCTATCGCAGGAGTGCCAATAGCCTGGAGTTCGAATTTGGTATTATCTTTTTGTTAGATGGATCTGAATAAGTTACCTCATTTCTCTGAGCCTCAGTTTTTTTTCGTTTGTAAAATGAGCATAATAGTTTTTATCTCACAAGTTGTATTGCATGAGACAATGCACACACAGATTTAGTAGAGTAACTAACACAGAATGAGAGATCAATAACTGAGAGCATTTTTTTTGGTTATCGTGAATAATAATCAACCAGCATTTATATACTACCATGTGCTCAACACTGTTCAGGGAGAAGAGAGTGCAAATGAAGGTCAACCCATGCTCTATGCTTCCTAGAAGTTTATAATTTGGTTGAGGAGAAAAAAATGAGCTATATAAGAAATGAGAGAAAATTTAAGACAGCAATTATGTATCCCAGACTGAAAGTACAATGAGAGTTATGTGAAGGGGAAAGCCATGGAAATGAGGCTAGTTGGGAAGGATTTACGGAAGGGCTTGTCCTGGAGAATGGTCTTAAAGGACGACTGGAAAGTCCTTCTCAGTGCAAAGGCAGAAGGCATGTCGAGCGAGCAGTCCAGATGAAATCGTATTCCAGGGACACAGAAAGCTAGAACAGCTCCCCAAAGGACACAGGTGGTAGTGGCAAAGCCAAGACTTGAATCGTCGTCTTCCTTGATCCAAAGCCTGAGCTCTTATCCACTATGTTACACTGCCTGACCACAAAATCCTGAGAGACAGAGAACTCAAATCCTGGCAGTCTAGTCAAGTACTGGTTGCAGCTGTAATTCTTGTTGATTCTGCTGTACTTTGTTCTCCTTGAATGCCCATGAGATTTTCTATACCTCCCCTCCCTCAATGTGGCCTGAGTAAGCTTCTGTTCCTCACTCATGAAAGAGTTTTGACCAAGGCAGTTCACATAGTAGGCTCTTAATTTGTTGATTCCCTTTAGGAGGTACCAAGAATTGTCCTTGTTATTTAAGGTGAGGCTGGTTTTCTATTTGTGCTGATGCAGGGACACTCTATGACCTGGTATGTCTCCAATTCATTTCCATCCAATCAATATCACTGACAGCCTCTTATGAGCCGAGCTCTGCTGGGTTCTCACTAGACAGTTGACCTACAGCAAGGATGCAGTCCCAAGATCAGCTGGCTCATGCACTGGCCTGAATCTGTGACTTGAACCACAGATCCAAATCTATGATGCGGTGCCATTGGCAGTGTTAGCAATGAATTTAAGCAAACCGGCAATGAAGAACAGGCATGTCCACTCACCCAAAGAGACTCTATGACAAACTGTGGCCTTGGAGATGAGAATTAGAACTACCTTTCTCCTGAAGCCAGGTTAGAGATTCATCCTTCACCTCCTCAACTAGGAGTTCCCTTCTCTGATAGCCACAAGTCACTGACCAACCTGCCAAGAACTTTCACACTGGTGGTGTCTGAATATACAGCATTGACAATAAGTCCCAGAGCAAATTGCCTTTCTTTTCTGATCTCTCAAATGAAAATGGAAATCACATTTCTGGATCAAATGGAAACAAACGATTAAATGACAATTTTCTCTAAAAACAAAATACTCTATGAGAAACTCTTGGTTTTGAATTTTGAAAGTCACAGAAACCCAGTACTTAAATAAAACAACTTTCATCAAAGGGTGAAATTTTAAAATAATTTTGTGAAGAATTTCCAAATGCATGCTTATAAATGTGGTAAATGATAAAGATTCATAATAACTACTATTTATTAACACTTTATTATGTAGTAGATACTGTGTTAAATTCCTTACACATACTAACTTATTAACCCTTAGAAAAAATATATAATATATATAGTGTATATATGTATATATGTAATGTATACATGCATATATATTCATATATACATATACTTATATTTAAATACTATACATCTAGGTAATACAGTTATTAACAAAAAGGATAAATAACCTTTGGAATTGAGATATTGAGAGATAAAATCACTTTTATTGCTCGCCTTTTAAAAAATGTGACTCCTACTTTTCAAAGTAGATGAATGTAAATTTAGATAAAAGAAACAATATAATTTCCACTTAAAGGAGATATCACATATACACTTTTAAGAAATTACTTGGGAGACAGTATATCAGAAAATAATGAAATTAAGAATGTAATGTGTATTTGGAAAACAAGCAAGTTTAAATTTACCTCATATATAATATTATCATACAAATAGAATATATGAAAAATTAAGCAATTTGCTTAAACAATTGAAAGTCACTTGTAAAATAACATTTGCAGAATCCTTAACAGGCCACTGCGGAACTTTAGGGTTTATAAAAATCCTTATCGAAAAATATTAAAAATAATTGTCCTCAAAAATGTACCTGTTTTACTAGTTGCTTAAGGAAAGAATTATTCTCATAAAATTGTGTATTCATTATCATTGAAAGCAAGCTACAATCTTATCAGCAAAATTGCGTTTCACTAATCTCTACTGATAAAATTGAGTTATTTAAAAAGATTTAATTGTATAATCTCCTAGAGGCTTTCACATAGATTGCACATTTAAAAGAAATTTGCTTTATTTCCCCAAATGATAAAATCAGCTTACTTATCCAAGTTTTAGTGAGAATCCAGTGCCAAGCCGAAATGAAACAACACAAAACAGAACCACTTTTTTTCCCCACTCTCTGTGAATCTTCTTGTTCTGTTTTGTCCTGGGAACCCATTTAATTTACCTGGAGGAGGCTTGGGGTCACTGAGGTCATGCCATTCAAGACTGCCCCCCATCCCGCCCCCAGCACATGTGGAGAGAAGGGAAATATATTTATCTGGACTCACTCGGGGTTGTTGCAGAGCCTCTCTGCGCTCTGGACTCCAGCCCCACAGGTCCTGGAACAGTGGGACCAGGGTGACCAGCGGCCCCAGCCTCCAGGAATGCTCTCTGGTTTCTTCCCCACTGTGATGCACTTGCCTGCCATACACCACTGGAAAGGGAAGAGGCAGGAGATGGCCGTATCAGGAAGGTTACCAGAGCAAGCTGAGCCAAGAGCCCTAAAAGTCTAAACCCAATTCTCTGCAAGCAAGCCGGCTTTCTACAGTCACATATCAGATGTAAAACAAACAGGGGCTCATATAAGTTTCTGCCAAGAGTCGTGGGTTTTAGAATCAGAGAGTTTCAAGAATGGAAGGAAACTTTACGTTGCCTAATCACACAGGTGCTACACAGTGTGGTTGGCAGATCGAGCACGAGAATGTAAATCAACATACTACTTTTTTCATTGAGAAAGTCTTGTTAGGAAAAGCATGTCAGCTTAGTATGCTTAGCAACATAGTTGCTTAGTAACATAGTTGATTTGCTTTCTGGTGCATGATCCTTATCTTGTTGCAAACCACAATAGTTCACAGACTGGCACAGCGAATAGCACTTCTTTATAGCTCTCTGGGAACTTAATGACTGCAACAGAGAACTCATCCGCTGCAAAAAGTCAATTTCACTGCCAAAACACACTAGCTGTTAGGAAGTTCTTCATTACATCAAGAAAAAAATTACACTTTCTTTTAACTCTACCCATTGTTTGCAGCTCTGGCCTTTCAAGCAACTAAGAAAAAATCCACTCTCTCCCCTCTTCAAGGCAATCCTTCCACGACTATCGGTTTAGGAGAGTAAATATACAAAAATGAAAACAAAGGGAAATGCTATGTGGTTGTCGTGAATAACCACATTTCCTGGAGGATTTGGACATGTTTTATTGTCTGATATCCTTTTTTTCCTCTTGTGTTTTTTCTGGCCACTGTGTATTTTGCCCGGGTTCTGTAATCTCAGTGAGGGGTCCTGCCACACTCAAGCTGCATAAAGATGCCCACAAAACATGTAAGCTCTAGGCCCACAAGGAACCCAGCCTAGAGGATATCAAACCTCTCTGTGTTCTGTGGTGTCTGATTTGCCTGCTTAGTAAAGTAGCAGAACTTCAAGAAATGCAGTCATGTCAGAAGATGAGAAAGAAGATGATAAGTGGCCTAAATCCTGCATTTTTGGGAAAAGAAGCCGCTGGCTTATCCTTTTCAATCTTCCATATGAGAGAAAAAAAGTCAAAAGGAAGGCTGATAATAAGCTTAGGAAATGTTGACCACAAACTCCATAGAAATTCATCAGGGAAAGATGAAACAGATGTTTTACAAGTGAAGTGTGAAACTGGACCTCAGCCCTCCCTCCTTAACTACCTGCTCCCAAAGCAGGTTCACCAGGAGTGGTGGATGTGGGTGATCTCCTCTGGCTGGTCTGACTGTTTGACCTCCATCCACTGCTCTTCCCTTAGAGAGAGTTGCCCTCTAGGGCCTTCTCCTCAGCTCCTCCCAAGAACTCTGCCCACCGCCCTCCCACCTCATTCCTCGGCCTGACGCATCACCTTCTTCTCACCACATTGAGTTCCATCTGCAGCAGCGTCCAGCTTAGAGCGACAAAAGCCCTTCACGGAGCACCACAGTGTCTGGCAGACGTTCTAGAAAACAAATTGCACTTCTTTTGTATTTTCAAAACCTGCCACAAAGCATTTCTATAGTTACAGTAAAATATGCACACTCATCCACACACTCACAATAAATGCCACTGTTGTTAGTGACTAAGAGTGACAGAAAGCAATCATTAGAGTTTTCAGTTCAAGCTTAACTTGGACTTTGTCATCATTCATAAACAATGGTCTATAGATCATACTAGGTAATATGGAAATGAGGGATAAAACCTATTTTCTAAGGGTTGAGATGGTCATTTCTATATGTTTGGCACAATATCCAGCCCTCATTGCTCTTGGGAAAGGTAACTGGTGATCATCTATGAAAGGTAAATCTAAACTGTGGCTGGAAGGCAACCTGATTACTAACAGTTGGGGGTGGTTATAACTTGAGCCTGCTCAGTGAAGAAAATGGAAACTCTTCCATCTAGAAAGCCTCAGCTTGTTCACTTATTACCTTAAGTAGTCAGCTGGTTTCAGTTTCCAGGAAGAGAGCTGCATATTCCTTCTTATTTCTACCCTTATGGGGATAAAGGAAGGTTGGCAGGATTCTCAGATGCCATCTGAAATGGCTTAGCTGCTTCCATCTATCTATCAGTATTTTTTTCTGTCTATTCATCTTCCATAGTTCTATCCACTTATTGTGTTCTACACTGCATGTGTTTTTTCATTATATGACTTGATATTTTAAGCCATTTTAGAAAATTATCAATCTTTCTCTCTCTAAATTTTGCCTCTCCTTTCTCTCCTTTTGGAACCCGTAATTGTTGTTGATGGACCTTCTTATTCTGTACTTTGTGTTTCAACCTCACTTTCATATTCCTCATCTCTCAATCTTGTTGTATATGAAAACCGAAGAAACTTTCTCCTCCATCACACACCCCTAAGAAGCACCCAAGTGGGAAGGGAAGTAATTTTCTCAGCTCTAAATTCCATTTGATTGATTTTCTTTTCAACCATGTCAAGTCTGCTGTTTAATCCATCCACTGAATTTTTAAGTCAATAACCACACCTTCCATTTCCAGAAGTTATATTTATTCTTCCTCATATCTGCCTTACATATATCTTCTGGTTCTTTTTTCTCATGTACAGTTCATTCTTATATATTTATTTTATTATCCCTATATAAAAATTCAATTTTTGAAAGTTCTTAAGGGCTTGTTAAGGGCTTCTTAAGGGCTTCAGCTCACTTAGCTGAAGATAGACTACATTAGATTTTTGAATTAGAGGCTGAATTATGAACTCATCTGAAGGGTGGCTTTTTTTTTTTTGACAGAGTCTCACTCTGTCATCCAGGCTGGAGTGCAGTGGTGCCATCTCGGCTCACTGCAAGCTCTGCCTCCTGGGTTCACGCCATTCTCCTGCCTCAACCTACTGAGTAGCTGGGACTGCAGACACCCGCCTCCACGCCCGGCTAATTTTTTGTATCTGTAGTAGAGACGGGGTTTCACAGTGTTAGCCAGGATGGTCTTGATCTCCTGACCTCGTGATCTGCCCACCTTGGCCTCCCAAAGTGCTGGGATTACAGGCGTAAGCCACCGTACCCGGCCTAGGGTGGCTTTATCTATTGGAGTTTCATGCCACCTTGGTTGAGTGTTGGTTCCTCTGGGCCAGTTTCACCTTTATTTCCAGGCATCCATGGTATCTCCAGGACAAATGCTTTATTTATTATTATTATTATTATTATTATTATTATTATTATTATTGCGTGAAGGCACTCAAGCTATAAGGGGTACAGATTTAAACTCTAGATTAGCATGAGCATGGCCTGTAGTAAAGAATTTCCAAGTGAGAAAGTTATTCACCAGTATTTCCACACACCCCCCACTTCCCCACTAGAAACTAGGCTGAGATAAAAGATGCTTCTCTGTCATCTCTCTTTCCTTTTGGTTGATTTCTTCTAGCTCATCCTTTCATTGAAGCACAACTCTTTGAGAATCGCGGCTTCATGCAAAGGTCTCAGTTCTAAATCCTGGCCCTGGTCAAGGAGAATACATCATTGTCTCTTCCAACGTGGAAGTGAAAACCCACATAACCCTTTTGTTATCTCCACTTCAGCCTCAATATCTGTTCATGCTTATCACTCCCCCTTTTATTTTTTTTCCTTCTTTCCGAGGATTTCTTTTACTTTAAGTTCACTGAGCATTTAGAAAGGATGATGTGCTAGGCGAATGGTACACAGAAACTTTGTACTATTTTTTTCAATTTTTTGGAGTTTATACTATCTCAAAATAAAAAGTTATAACATGGATAATGCTACATTTTCTGGTATTTTAGGGTGTTGTTAACACGGAAAATGATGAGGTTATCTTGGCTGCCATATAAAGAGATATGAAGTCTTCATTCACTTATCTGTTGGGTGCCTACTATGTGCTAGGCATTGCTGAGTGTCAGGGATAAAAATTTCCTCACAGAGCTCACATGGTAGGAGAGGAGATAGTCTAGTAAACAAAAACCTAAAATATAGTCTAATAAAGCTTTGACACAGGAAATTCAGGATAGGATATAAAAGAATTTTTAAGCTGAGGCTCAAATGATGAGCAGAAGGGATGGTTCCAAGGAACCACTGTGCAGGGTTCTAGAGGTTGTGGAGAACCCAGCACTTTCAGAGAATGGAGGCTGTTCACGACAGATAAACATGGATTGCAAAAGAGGAGCTGACCAGAGATAACTTGGGTGTCCTGTTTCTAGTAAACAATGGGATACCCTGGAAAACGCTTACCTCTATAAATCTTCTAAAATCATGCATAATATATTTTAAATATTTTAAGTGCATCCTTGAGTCACCAAGAAAGTAAGGAAACCCCCTAAAGGCTAAAAATGTAGCAGAAATGTTAATCTGGAGATGCAAACCTAGTTACTTAGGTCTTCGATTTATTAGTCACTTAGATACTGGAGACAATGTGTAGGGCCTATGTAAGGTAGGAAGTTGGAGACCTTCATATAAGGCCTTGAGTGAAAGGGTGACCTGAAATCTAGGTACACAGAAAACTTGTCTCATTTGACTTTAACTCTAGAAGGAGTGGTCAAATGTTACTCCTGAGAGTTGGTAACCACACTCGCCCCCATGCTGCTCATGAAGTCAACACAACATCAAATCAGTAACATTTTAAATTGACCCAGAGATAGAACTGAAAATTTTCGGTGAAAGAATGTGCCAGCCATCTGAACCCTAAAGGAAAACCTGACATAAAGTTTTATAACTAAAGGCTCACAATAAAAGCAAAAATCACAAAACAAAATAACACGTAATATGTTAAAAAAACCCCAAACAGGAGAAACAGATGCACATAGACTCTGAACACTGAAATTACTCAGTATAAATTGCAAAATAAATATGTCACATATTATTAAAGAAATAAAAGATTACATCAAAAGTTTAAAATTAGGAAAGAAATACCATGAAAGTGAGAGAAAATTCAGAAAAATAACCAAATAGACTTTTATAAATAAAAATATGATAAATGAGATTCAAAAGTCAATAGACAGGTTAAATATGCATAATTGGACAAATCTGAAGAGAGAACTAGTGAACTAGAAGATAAAGATACATGATATAAAATACAGAGACACAAAGAGATGAAAATATGAAGGAGAGGTTTCCCAGATAGGAAAGATTAGTGATTAAATTCCATATACATATAATCAGTAGCAGATTAGAGAGTGAAGGGCTAAAACAATATTCTAAAACATAAGGCCGGAGAGCAAGAGGAGAGCGAATTATGAAGCCTCTTCTTAAGCCATTTTAGGAAATTTGTACTTTATTGCAAGAAAATAGGAAGGCCATGAGATATTCTACTCACAGGGGAGTAAGTATTTATAAATCCATTTATAAATGGATTTCCATTTATAAAGGTTACTTAGGCTGCATTTTAGAAAATGAATCAGAGTTGAGGGGAAGCGTTCAGATTCTACCATTCAGGGAACTGCTATAGTCATCTAGGAACAGGTGGATTTTAGAAATATTTAGGCTGGGCACAGTGGTTCATTCTTGTAATCCCAGCACTTTGGGAGGCCAAGGCGGGTGGATCACCTGAAGTCAGGAGTTCGAGACCAGCCTGACCAATATGGTGAAACACCATCTCTACTGAAAATACAAAAATTAGCTGGCCCTGTTGGCGCATACCCGTAATCCCAGCTACTTGGGAGGCTGAGGTACGAGAATTGCTTGAACTGGGGAGGCAGAGGTTGCAGTGAGCCAAGATCATGCCACTGCACTCCAGCCTGGGCGATAGAGAAAGACTCTGTCTCAAACAAACAAACAAAAACAAACAAAAATTTAGGAGGCAGAATTGGCATAACTTGGTAGCCAGTTAGAAATGAGGGGTGAGGATTTTTGTATCAACTTTACCTTCTCTGTTAAGTTTGCTTGTTCTGTCTAAGCACAGTTATTTACTTTCCCCTTTAAGTTTTTTCTGTTTCATTTTGAATTTATCTCACTGTATTAAAATTTTTATGCCTGCCTCCTCCACCATGAGCTCCTCGAGGGCAGAGACTTTGTCTTATTAATTTTTGAGTGTTTATATTTTCTTCTTATTCTGTACATAGCACAGAATCTGGCAGGGATTCAGCGAGACTTGCCTCGTCAATATGTGTGTGTTAACACAGATACTTTTGCATTATAAGGGATGAGTTCAGAGAGTAGACAATTTCCAAATCACGAAGGACTGCCTCAAAAGGAGGTGGAACTTTATCCTGTGGTCAGCGGGGACCCTAACAGCAGAGTAGACCACGGTTACATTGTGTTTTTAAAAAATAACTTGAGCAACAATTTGAATAGGAGGGAGACTAGGTAGGAGATAATTACGATAGCAAGGAAAGATGATGAGAGACTGAATTGAGGCAGTGACAGTGGTAATGAAGAAGATAGAACAGAGCTACAGATTCTTCAGAAGGTACGGTGTCAAATCCTGAATTATTATTTGGACGTTGAAAATAAACAAGAAGAATGAATTGGTGAATAAATCCTACTTCTAACTTGGGAGCTGCTGGTACTCTTCAGCCAGATGTGAAATTCAAGAAAGGGAGCAATTTTAGGGATTAAGTTGGTTGCTATGGAGTCTGCAGGTGTGAATCACTGTGAATCCTGAAAATCACTATGGAGCTGTGTCAAACACCACCCAGTTGCAATGGAATATAGGCTTCGTAGAATACCAAGGTGGCAATGTCAAGGCATGTGATTCCAGCTTAATTGTTTTCCCTTACAGACACACCTTGCCTTAAATATAAAGCTTCTATTTCTGTGTCTGGATGTTCAGTTATTTCCAAATATTGTCCTGGCCCTTCCTTCAGCATGCTGGAGATCTGAAGCCCTGCATATAGCCACCAAGAGGTACACTTACTTCTACTTCCTGGCAGAAGGTAGCATTGGGTCCATATTGTAGCTGGCACTGGTGGTGAACATCATAGATCACTCCGGGGGCAATGACCTTGGACTTCAAGCCTTTCTTTTTAGGTATGTCATCAAGACAGAACCCCCAGCCTCGGCTGAAAACAAGTTAACAGAAATGAGAGGAGTTGTTTAGGATTCCCTTTACCTTCAGCCTTTCATTCAACAGAAACTTCCCTCTGGTTTACTCTTTGTCCTTTAAGACAACTTTATTTTTTACAAGGCAGAGAACTCTCTAGGCCCATCATGGGAGTTATTAAAGAAAATGCAAATCATATCCCACAACATAAGCTTAGTTTATCTAGAAAATACAAGCCATGGTAAAATTAGAAAATCATTATCCTACTCTCAATGAGGTTTGAATGACCACTCTTATCTCTGTTGGGTGTTCCTGCCAGTTCCCAAGGACTTAATTCATAATTGGCTCATAGAAAGCTATTTTGGGGCAGGAGCAATCTGGGATGGGACAGGATGCTCACCTGCCTGTGACAAGAGGGCAGAGCCCATCTAGACCTCAGGATCAGAATGCAGAAGTGAAATCCGCCCCTTCTGATGCCACCCTGACATGGTGGCCTGTGGGATGGAATCCAGCCTTTTCCAGGCATCAGCTTCTCTGTGTAAAACTCAATGCAGCTTCCAATTTAAAGAGACCCAGGTGAGGGCGTCATGAGACACTGTCACTTACTCCAAGAAGCGGGTGATGTACTCCTCGCTGCACTTGGACCATGTCAGCGGAGTGGGATCGTACTGGAGCTGGCGGGACATGATGTACGGATGTCTGCCCACAGGCTCACAGTCATTTTCTTTCCCATCATGCTGGATGCCGAAGCTGGCAGGGAAGAACCAAGCACAAGAAGAGCCAGCAGGCAGGCATTAAACAGGAAGAAAAACCATAGTTTCCCTAAGAGCGTAATAACTCACAGACAGCCACGTTTGTACAGAAGGCAACTGTTTGCAAAGTGAGACTTTGAAGTCGGAGGGGCATAGCTAATTTTCAAATGAAAAAGGACAGGGAGCATTGTAGGCATGCTTTACCTCAAATATGCATCCATGGGAGTCATGCAGCTAATTCAGAAACTTCTGCTTGGCAGAAGGCTAAGAGCTCTGTCTGGCTTTCTTTCTATGAATCAGGAGTCAGGAAGGCAAATCCTGCCCCCAGCTATTTGCTTTCTCCTGCTGCAGCAACCACAGTGCACAGCACAAAAGAACAAAACCTTCCTTCTCCCTTTTCATCAGAATTTAAGAGACAGCATGAAAGGAGAAGCCTCTGGGAGACTTTGTCAAAGCCTACAAGCTTTGAGGGATCAATGTCTTTCTACTATTGCTACAGGAGTCCTCCTAATTCAGTGTTAACAGCAGGATTTTTAAGACAGATGATCTGTATTTGAACTCCAGCCTTGCCACTTAAATGACCTGTAAATCATTAAAACTTGCCTCATTTTCTTCTCCTAGAAGATGGGGTAGTCATCCTAGTGCTACAATGAGATCTGAATAGAATAAAGTTTGAAAACAATTTAACAGGGTACCTGGCAGATAATAAGGGCTTCACCAAGGATAGAATTTTTTTAAAAAAACATTCTTGTTTTCTTTTTATCATGATCTAGCTTATTTTCCTTTTCCATATGAAAAAGTTTAGACTTTGAGATTTGTCAACAATCATATAGCTTGTTAGTGGTAAAACTAGGTTTCAGACACAGATCTTTGGCTCCTAACACAGTACTCTTGTCCATGTGTCACTTGGTCTGTTCCCTGACCTTCCATTGCCAGGGCTGACCCAGTGAAGCAGCCTTTAAGGGCCTTGAAAAGCTTAACCATCCACCATGGCACGAGGGTGCCTAGGGAAGAAGACAATTCAGAAGCCTTTGTTTATAAGCCACGTTCTCAAGATCACCCAAAGACGTTTTCTGAGATTCCCAGAACTCTCTCCACTGGGGTGGACTTTGAGACACTAGACATTTAAACCTGGAGACATTGGCTTAAATTTCTAAATCTGTATGACCTTTTACTCTTTGTAGTGAAATTCAACTCGTCTGACTGGGAAGCTCATATCCAACTTTAATGAAACCTTCTGATCAGTATTAGCAACTCTTGCTGAGAAGAGTCTTTGGGGGATTTGGAGATTTTCTTGTGTTTTCATGCATTATGGTATTATCAATGTACTTAACAAACTCTAATCACATTCCACATGAATATAAAACTCACAAAGGAGTCAGAGAATCAATGTACAAAGCTCTTACCACACACCCACAAAGAATGTGGTTCAACGAAAGCTTCCTTCTGAGCAGGTTTTCCCTAGCCTGCTACAAATCCAGCCCCACCCAGAGCATGAGGTACTCTACAAGTTTGACTGTTCAGTAGTTAAAATCCTAAACTGCAAGCAAGGTTCTAAAAACCTACATGAATAATGATCTTCTTATCTGTGGATATGTCGATACACCAAGCCATATAATCTAGGGCCCTCACAAATGGATTTTTAAGTTTTCTCTCAAAATAAAAGTAAAATTATTCACTTGGGTGATAGCACAAGTTACTTTCTCTTTTGCATTATACACAATCAGTGATGAAACAAACAAGTGTGCAAAAAACAAAGGGATATCTTTGTTATTAAACTATGATGGGTGTCTTCTTGGGATATTGTTTTAATATATTTTTCTCCTTATGGTCTGTCCCAGGCCATTTCGTTGATCTCGCCAATGTTTCTTAGTTTGATCCACAGCTAATTAGAATTATACAACTAAAAAAGAAGTACCTGAGAGGCACCTTAACAGTTTTTTTCTATTCTTTATTTTTATAAGTTTGGGGGATACATGTGCAGGTCTTTTACATAGATACATTGCATAACACTGAGGTTTGGGCTTCTAGTGTACCTATCACCCAAATGGTGAACGTTGTACCCAGTAGGTAACTTTTCAACTCATTCTCCTCCCACTCTCCCCAGCTTTTGGAGTCCCCAGTGTCTATAATTTCCCTCTGTATGTCTATACATACTCATTGTTTAGCTCCCACTTGTAAGTGAGAATATGAGGTATTTGATTTTCTAAGTTATTTCACTTAGGATAATGGTCTCCAACTCCATCTATGTTGCTGCGCAAGACATGATTTCATTCTTTTTTATGGCAGTGTAGTATTCCGTGGTCTATATATACCACATTTTCATTATCCAGTCATCTGTTGGTTGATTCCTGACTTTGCCATTGTGAATAGTGCTGCAATAAACATACGAGTGCAGGTATCTTTTTTACACAATAATTTCTCTTCCTTTGGGTACCTAACCAGTAGTGGGATTGCTGGGTCGAATGATAGCTCTAGTTTTAGCTCTTGAGAAACCTCCATACTGTTTCCCATAGAGTTTGTGCTAATTTATATTTCCAACCACAGTGGTGTATAAGCATTCTCTTTTCTCCACATCCTTGCCAATAGCTGTCCTTTTTTGATTTTTTAAATAATACTCATTCTGATTGGTGTGAGATAATACCTCACTGTGGTTTTAATTTGCATCTCTCTGATAATTAGTGATGTTGAGGATTTTTTATATGTTTATTGGCCACTTTTGTGTCTTCTTTTGAAAAATGTCTGTTCTTATCCTATTCCTACTTTTTAATGGGGTTGTTTATTTTTTCTTGTTCAGTTGTTTGAATTCCTAATAGATTCTCGATATTAGTCCTTTGTCAGATGTATAGTTTACATATGTTTTCTCCACTCTGTGGGTTGTCTGTTTACTCCACTGATTATTTCTTTTGCTGTGTAGAAGCTTTTTTGTTTAATTAAGTCCCATTTGGTTATTTTTTGTTTTGCTGCATTTGCTTTTAAGGTCTTAGCCATAAATTCTTTGCCTGGACCAAAAGAGTTTCTTTCTTCTAGGATTTTTGTAGTTTCAGGACTTACATTTAAGTCTTCGATCAATCTTGAGTTAGTTTCTGTATGTGGTGAGAGATAGGGGTCCAGTTTCATTCTTCTGCGTGTGGCTATCCAATTTTGCCAGCACCATTTATTAAACATGGTGTCCTTTCCCCATTGTATATTTCTGTAGACTTAGTCAAAGATCAGTTCTCTCATTGTATATGGGGTCCCCCACATATACAATGATGTTACTTGCAAACAGGGATAGTTTTGTTTCTTTCTTTCCCATATGTATGCTTTTTATTTCCTTTCCTTATCTTATTGTACTGGCTGCAACTATTAGTACTATGTTGAATAAGAAGTGGTGAGAATGGACATCGTTGTCTTGTTTTTGATCTTAGGGGAAACATATTCAGTGATTTAGCATTAAGTATAATATTAGGTTTAAATTTTTTGAAGATGTTCTTTATCAAGTTGAGGAAATTTCAGTTTCTGAGTGTTTTTATGATGAATAGATGTCAAATTTTGTCAAATGTTTTATCTACTAAAATTAATATTAATATAATCATGTGGTTTCTCTTGTTTAGCCTGTTACAATGGTGGATTATGCTGATTTTCAAATATTGAGCCAGCTTTGCATCCCTGAAATAAATCCCACTTGGTCATTGTGTCTAATTCTTTTTTTCTTATATTGCTGAATTCTACTTGCTAATATTTTGTTAATTTTTTTACATCTATATTCCTGAAGGATATTGTTCTTTAGTTTTCTCTTTTGCATTGTCTTTGTCTGAAATTAGTGCCAGGGTAATACTAGCTGCATAAAATGAATTAGAAAGTTTTCCCTTCTCATGCACTTTATTTGGTTTATGATTCTTGGTTGTCGACAGGTCTTTTCTTTTAACATTGAAAAATATTGCACCTCTTCTTTGGGCTTCCATTGTTTCTGATGAGAAATCCACTGTCACTCAAATAGTTTCCCTCCTATAGATGGGGTATCCTTTCTCTCTTGCTGCTTTGAAGATTTTCCTTTCTCTTTAGATTTCAGAAGTTTAATTATGATAGGCCTGGGCATGGATTTTCTTTGGGTTTAACCTGGTTGAGTTTCTCTCACCTTCTTAAATATGTGGGTTTATGTCTCATCCAATTTGCAGAATTTTCAGCCATTTGTTCTCTGAGCACTTTTTCAATGCCATTGTCTTTTTCCTCTCTTTCTGAGGCTCCAATGACATGAACGTAAGATCTTTTGTTATATTCTCACGGGTCTCTGAAGCTCTGTTCAATTTCTTTTAGTCTCTTTCTCTTTGCTCATACAGATTACATAATTTCTATTGTTCTATTTTCTAGGTCATTAATTCTTTCCTCTTTCTCATCCATTCTACTGTTGAGCCCTAGTGTTCACTGAGCTTTTTATTTACATTATTGCATTTTTCAGTTCTACATGTTTGACTCTTCTTCATGTCTTTTATTTCTTAGCTGACACATTATTTTTTCATTTGTTTAAAGGTTGTTGATAATTGCTCATTGAAGCTTTTTCACCATGGCCGCTTTGAAATATTTGTCAGCTAATTCTAAAATCTGTCATCTCTTGACATTCTTTGTTTTCATTCAGTTTGAGATATTCTGGTTCTTGGTATAATGAGTGATTTATATTGAAACCTGGAGGTTTTTATATTATGTTATGGATCTTATTTAAATCTTCAGTTTTAGCTTGCTTTTCTGACACTACTCTGGAGGGGAAGGGAGTGGGGCCACTGCTTCAATACTGCCAAGCCTCTATAGGTACCTGAGTTGTCAAAGGGATGGCTCCTTGTTACTGTCTAGGGGTGGATGAAATTTCTGGCTCCCCATGTAATCTGTCCTGACACCACAGGGGTGGGGCTAGGGGAGCCCTCATTACTGGCCTGTAGGGATCAAAGTCTTAGTCCCTAACTGGTCTTTTTGACACTACCCAAGTAGTGGTGTTTGATGCTTTGTTATAGCTTCACACAGATGCAAGTCTAGGCTTCCCACTCAGACTTTTCTAGCATAGAGCCACAGTTGTACAGTTTTTTCTTTCCTTTGCTGTTCACCTGGAGTAGAAGAGTTACTGTCTAGAATTTTCTGCCTTGTTAGACTGTCCCTTTCCTACTCCTTTGGATAGAGAGAACAGGCGTATGTGGGTGATTTTGTGTGTGTGTGTGTGTGTGTGTGTGTGTGTGTGTGTATTTCCAGGTTGTTGCCATCATCAGTTCCAAGTCTGGCATATATGAGAGAAAAGAAAAGCCAGGGAATTCACCACCATGTCACTCTTCAGGTTCTGTGGTCCTCAGCCTGTCTTCCTTCTCTCCATCTTTCAGTCTTCCTATGTTTGTTTTTGATATAGTGTTCAGTGTTTTTCATCATACTTAGTAGACGGCATATGGAAAAGTATGTATATTCTATCTTCCATGACTTATAACTTTCTAAGGGGCAGCATTTAATGCCCCTGAGTAAGTTATTGGTAACAGATGCTACTGGTACCTGTTCATAGACTCACTACTAGCTGCCTTCCAGCTGCTAGTATATGCATCTCTTTACCTGGGATTTCTCCAGAGCCAATTAGACTGCTCTGCTGAAAGTATCAAGGAATTATTAATAACAACCTCTGGGAACAGCCTCTAACCAACAACTTAAGGGTGTTGGTATATAAAACAGCCCAGTTCTTCTCACGTTGGGTAGGGTAACTCTGAAACGTGTGTTGTATATCGTTCTTGGAGTTTGTCCATGGGATTAAGGTTCAACTGCTCAGAGTGGAAGCTGAGATAATGAATTGTTTATTGTCTACCTTCCCTGTTCTGTTTTACACCCTACTTCCCTACTGGTATTTCCTTTACCTTCCACATAAATTAATTGCTCTCAAATCCTTGTCTCGGGGTTGACTTTTTTTTTTTTAGTTTTATTTATTTAATTTAATTTAATTTAATTTAATTTTACTTTAAGTTCTGGGATAATGTGCAGAATGTGCAGGTTTGTTACATAAGTATACATGTGCCGTGGTGGTTTGCTGCACCCATCAACTCATCATCTAGGTTTTAAGCCTAGATTATGCATTAGGTATGCCCCGAATGCTATCCCTCCCCTTTCCCCTGAACCCCGACAGGCCCCAGTGTGTGATGTTCCCCTCCCTGTGTTCATGTGTTCTCACTGTTCAACTCCCACTTATGAGTGGGAATATGAGGTATTTGGTTTTCTGTTCCTGTGTTAGTTTGCTGAGAATAATGGCTTTCTGAATAAACTCAAAGACGGTTCTCTAGTTCTGCCTTCAGTGTTCTTTAATTCTTTTACTTAGAAACTTGATATTTAGTTAGAGGTTTTTTTAGGAGCTAGATCCTCACTTTTTTCCTGCATAATTTGAAATAGAACAATAATAACAACAAAAGTATAGGATAAAGAAACCTTATAGTAGTTTTATTTCCACAATGCATCAGATAGTTCTGAACGAGTGTTCAGTTTAAACTTACTACAATATCAAAGTGATTCAGGTAGTGACTCAGTTCTAGTCTGTTAAATAATCCACCACTCCCAATAACTACTAAACATCTACCACTATTTGTTTTTAAGTGTTCGGAGAAATTGTGCCCAAGTAATGTTACCATGAGGTTCTTAACTTTATTAGAGAAAATTTGAAATCTGGAAGGAGGATCATACTTGCCCTTAGCTTTGTTTACTTAGGTGGCCTTCCTTACAAAGGTGAAGTGTCCATGCCCAGGAAGTTAAGTCCATGATTGCCTCAAAAATTGGGCAACATTGCTTTTGAAGGACATGCTTAACATATTCTTGTTACAAGATCAGGTTGAACTTGAGGATAGAAAGAATCCATCCTTGGAACACAAAAAGTGAGGATTCGAAAATGTCTTTTATCAAGCAAAGTCTTTTCCATTTCTCTTTGGTTTGAGTATACCATTGTTGGGATGGCTTGAGTGATAACTTCTCAGTTTGACCCAGTTACAGTCACCTAGCATTGTTTGGCCAGCAGGTACTGTTGACAGCAATGTCTTGACTGAAGGCCACAGGGGCCATGTCCTTCCACATTTCAGAACTGGGGACTCCTGTCTGTTTGTGCATAACAATAACTTAACATTTTGCCAGGTTTTATTATCGACATGCCAACAACTATGGCCTAGCCTCATCAAGATGGCCAGCTCCCCTGCATCCCTAATTATTATTTAATGAAAGCAAGTCACTTAGCTTCTCTATCTCTGAATTTTTGATAACTAAGGATACTGGAATATACCACATTTATAACCAAGGCCTTTTTGGTGAGAATCCAATAAATCACCTTAGATATTGCCTAGTTCAACCTACTCATTTTATAGATGAGGAAACAGGTATAGAGTGGTGAAGGGAATTATCTAAGGTCATAATATTGGTCAGTAGAAAAGTCAGAACAACAATTCTGTTTCTCCAATTCTCAAAGCAATGCTCTGGCTTTATAATGTAGGTAAAATTGTTTTAGAAAGTCCAAATGTTATATTAGAAAAATGGTGAGCAAGCTGAAACTGGAGAGGCCAGGCCTGGAATAATTCAGTCTCCAGTGTTTTTTCCAATCCTGCCTCTTTTCTAGTTGTGCACTAAGAATATTCCCCAGCATTTTTCCTTCTTCAAAGGGAGGAGATCCAGGCTGGTGGATACATGACAGGCAGGGGATATAATTCAGCTGTTCATGTGCCTCCCCACCCAGTTTCCTATTAGTATGATGCTCTCTTATTTGTGGTTAGCAAATATAACAGCAAAGAAAGTTACAAATAAGCTAAGAACTTTCCTCCATGGAAACCTCTGATATCTGGTGAATTCAGAATCTCATTATATCTTCACTCAAGCATTCTGAAACCTGCCTTCAAGGAATTCACCTAATCAAATTCACACATTTTTGTGAACAACTTGGACATCCAGTTAACTGGTGTTCACATTATAGTCTTTCCAAATTTACAGCAGTTTTCCATTTTTTATTTATTCCATGTCCTCCTTTAATAAACATAAGTAAAACGGGACTAACAGTACCATCTATTTCAAGAGGTTGTTAAGCAGATTCAATGATGCAATGAAAAGCACAATGGCACAAAGTAAGGTGCAAAAATGTTAGGTTTTATGGCTTTTTAGTGATATTAACATTATCATTTCATAAGAACTAACCAAGGGTTATTCCTCAATTAAACAACTGAGTTCAAGCTTATCTCTGCCCTTCCTCCATTCTAATCCAGAGAACTGGAGTGGCCTATTTGGTTCTGTGATATGTGTGAGTATACATGGTCTGGGCAGTGGAGACAATGGAGCCCATGAGGTGCATTACTATCCCCACTTTACAGATGAAAGCAGAGGTTGAGGAGGGTGAGTCACAAGCCACAGTATAATCTGAGTCTCCTGACCCCCAATTTGAGGTGTGTTCACCTCAAATTCTCTCTGCTGATATTGACACATGAATATGGTGAGCAAACCTCCCTATCATTGGCCCTTTACCTGTGTCCTAGCTCATGGGCAATTGTGAAAGCCAGAGGGAGTCCCGAATCTTCATTGATGTTACAACTGCGGTGAGGCTGACACATTCCTGAAAGGTGAGACAGGCCCAGGGTCTCGCAGGGGCGATTGAAACCAGCACAGATGTCCTTTCTGAAAGCAGAGAATACAGAAGCTAAGGCGCCCAAAGGAACATCTGGAAAAACCTCCTGGAAAAAAATCTGGGTATAAACTCACATTCAATATGGTCTGTAAAGTATGCTTGGCATTTTTTAAAAAGTCTACATGAATGTAGGCAGCAATTTTGAATTCACTGAGATGATTCTGATTTTACCTTTTGATTACTGAATTTCACCAACACAGAATGTGGGAAAATATAGCAAATGTGTTATTTTGAGCTTATTTTGCTCTGGATCTCGGGAGGTCAAATTACATGATTTGGCCAACAAAAGATTTTATTGAAAACTCAAGTTAATTTGAAGTTTTAAATAGGGAAGGAACAATCAGCAGTGACTGGAGTTTTTCAAATATGAAAATCCTTTTTAGTCTTTCTGAGGTCTGTGTTCAAAACTCATCTAAGAACTTCTTTTTCCCATTCATGAAAAAGATAGTTGGTCCCATCAACCTATCCAGAGATTTAATACTTGTCTATCCAGCCCCATTCCACTAACAATATTGCATATATGAGAGAATGCATGCCTGTGTGTGCATGTACATCTAGAATCTCAGAAAATACTAATTATGGCTTTTAAATAGAAAAAACATGCTCCCATAAACTGGTAGAGATTATTTCAATCACGGACAAGACTTTTGAAAGAGTCACTAATTAGTCACTAGGTTTTCTTTAGCACAAAAGGAGCTCTTTGCCAAGAGGGACTAGCAGAAATGGCCACAATGTTATGAGCTCTAGTTAATTGAACACCAGCAGCTAACGGGGTTTGTGTGGGCACCATTTCTAGCAGCAAATGGTCTGCTTTTTTCATCCATTGGGACATGGAAAAGATCCAGACTTTGAGAACCCATGTGAATCTTCAGTTCTCCAGGTTGCAATGGCTGGGGTAATAGGACAGGAAAGAGCAGGCCCAGTCTCAGCACATGCACCACAAACTCAAATCCGCACTCTCACTAGCAGCAGCAGTTACTGGGGGTTCAGTACTGGAGAGCGAGATTATACAGCCCAGTCATTTACGTAACTTCTAGGTCTGTAAGAGAACCAATCAAACACTTTTCTACCCCTGCTGCAGAATGCACTTGTTATTATTTCATTCAAAAAGTCCAGGTCTGTGTGAAGCTGCTGGAAAAAGATGAATGGTGCTCATTGCTGATCCCCTGACTTTCTCATTTTGATATGGCAGGAGGTCAGGCACATTAAATACTGATTATAGAGTGCCTCTGAAGTGTCCAGCACTAAAGAAAAAAGTGGCTAACAAAAGAATTATAGGAACATGGTTCTTACAGGCCAGCAGCTTAAGCTCTACTTCCACCATGCACTGGGGCCACTATGTAACAGAAAATATGCCTTGGCTTGCAGCAGCCACTAGCTGCACATGTGGAACCCACATTGGGTGTGTTTCATGCCAAATCTTCCATCTACTGAATGCTGTTCTGTAGAGAACTCTGTTAATGTGGATCTCAGGATAGTCTCTCAGAGGCAAAGCTCAGTCTCATACCTCCCTCCCTTCGTGATCCTACCTATCTTTTCAGGCAAGTGGTTTTCAATGAGGGTGGGTGATTTTGCTCTTCACCCCCTCCTAAGGGACATTTGGCAATGTCTGCAGACAGTTTCAGCTGTCAGAGCTTGGAGGAGAGTGCTACTGACATCTCATGGGTAGAGGCCAGATATGCTGCTAAATATCTTACAATGCACAAGATAGGCCCAACGACAAAGAATCATCAGCCCCAAATGTTAATAGTGCTGAGGGTGGGAAATACTGCTATAGAACTTGAAATGCTCTCCACTGTCTAGGAGCTGTTGAGGTTCAACACACTTTTATGCAAACAGACCCCTGTCCTAAGGAAGGAAAGTGACTATAAGAAAAAAAGGAGATCAGATCCTTCGTATTCATATTGGGTAATAGCTAAGTTATGGCTGTTGGGGTCAAACTACCTGGACTTAAGTCCCAATTGTACCCGTTAACAGCAATGAGATTTTGGGCAAGAGACATAACCAAGGTTCAGTTTCCCTATAATGTAAAATATGAATGATTAATAGTAGCCAACTACCAGTGTCCTTGTGGGAAGTAAATGGAACAATGGCTGTTCTAATAGACATAGCACAGTGCCTGGTCCATATCAAACATTTCACACATGTAAGCTATCATTAACTCACTCATTTCTTCAGGTGAGAATGACAGGAGCATCTGAATCTGCTCTCAGGGGAAGGAAAGACTTTCTGAGACACAACTTAGTGGGCAATGCCATTCCCTGACTCTGGGGTTCTTCCCTACAGAAGTTTCTGTCTGACTGAAGCCTTCACCTGGCCTCTTGATCAGGTCCTCGGTGTCCCCAGGCTGTCTGCTAGCTCCCCAGAGTCCCCGTGCTTACATTCCACACCCATGCTATTTCCCAGGGGACCTATTGATCAACCCAAGGTGTCTTAGAACCTAATGTACCTACTGTCACAGGCTTATGTCAAAAACTTCCTGTGGGATACATTCACATTTAACCAGCGTTTGAATACCTTCACTCAAAAGAGTGATTCTGATGACTGGAGTTTTGGATCAGGGCAAGGTAGACATTTGGATAGGGTGGGGGCTGATTATCCTTCCTTGTAGGGATTCTATGCATTGAGATGATCTTATCACAGGGACAGATCACAGGGCCAAAATGTTCATGGGCAGCCTATCCTCCAAAGGGACAGTGCACACCAAGGGCCTTTCAGTGCTTGAAGTTCTCTGTGGTTGAAGGGCAGGGCCAAGAGGCCTCCTTTACTATACATACCTGGATTTCTGGACAAATAGGCATACGGAGCCCAAGAAGAATTTACTTTACCCCATTCTAATATAAGCCCTTCTTTCATCTAGATTAAAATAGTGCCTAGTATATAGTAGGTGCTCAATAAATATTTATTGAATCAATGAGCAAACATAGCCTTCAAAGAGCAAGAGTTGATCAAGAAAGTTCATTGGATTTTTACAGCTATGAGTCCTGGAAGGTTTGATGGTTCTTATTAGCACTATAGGCTCTATTGTGATTAGAACAAAATGATATTTTCATGGGAGAAAGATGTAACCAAACCAGTCTGCCTACTCAGCGGGGACCTGCTCCTCATATCCTATCCTCAGCATCAAACAGTTAAAAGGTGTACAGATTTCTGTAAAGATATTTCATGTTTCTACATTGGAGAAAAATAAAATAGCAAAGGATTGGAAATCCCACTGGTTAAAAGTAACAAGAGTCTTTAATGAGGCTCTGCAAGCAAGCTTCCTGATTGTTTATAGAGCTACATGAAGAAACCAGTTTTAAAAAGGAAATCATCAGTGGGATAGTAAAGAGGCCTGCATTTTGCCAGCAGATGCAGTTTATTAACAAGGAGAGCTTTGTCGTATTAGCAAGTTTGTTAAACTGTTTCCTCTACTGATAGGGAAGTCAGGAGTTGACTAGATCAAAGACACTGTCTTTACAAGAGCAGCAAAGAATAGTGAGAATGTCATGGGTTTGAACACCTGGTAAGCCTTTCACCTGCCATCCCTCCCTGCTTTACTGCCCCTGGGTTTCATGTAGTCTCTGGTGTACCTGGTGAGAAGGACAGCCACGTCGTGATGAACAGGATTGAGGTCACTCTTGGGATTGATACTCTTCTGCCACTTGCAGAAGCTAGACAGTGTCTTTTCTGCATGGTGAACTATTTTCAGTCCTTGCTGGAGAAAGAAGAGGAAGAGATTAGCATGGGAGAGCTCACTGTGGTCAGGGACCATTGCATTAGGCATTCATCTCCAGAGGTGTCCAAGTGAGATGAATTCAGGGTGGGTGCATCAGACATTTGGCAGTCATGTGGCAGAGGCCAACTGACTCCTCTTGACTAATCTTCTGGGTTAAACACTCCCATTCTAATGACCTCCACTAGAAGAACCTGAAGGGGAAAACTCCAAGACAGAAATTATCCCTGGGACAAGCAGCCCTTGAAGAACATTTAAAAATATATTAGCAATAACCAAAAGCTATTTGAAGGTCTATTTCTGTGTCTCTCTGCATCCTAAACCAATGCAATATCAAAGAGGCATTTTTATTTCTAATGCAAAATAAGCAGATTTTCAACAAAAGTTTTTTCTTCTCATGAGACATCCTGCAAGGCTAGAGTTGCACTGGATGTTTTCTAACCCTTGAATTTTATTTTGGTTTGACACCCATGGGTGAAGGACAGTGGATGACATAATCTCTCCAGGCTGCTGACCAGTTAGGAGAATTGGTCCTCTGACAACAAGTAGGATGCTGTAGCAGATGCCCCCAGCCTGCAGCTTCAAGGGCTTCTGAGGCCTATGCCAGCCCTGTGGCATCTGCCTGGCTGGTAGCTACTACTGGGGCTACGAGGGAAGGGATTACTCCAAATTATCTGGATGAACACTTGCTGAATGGGGAGAAGAAGAAAAATAGTCAGCTCTTTAGTGGCTCCGGTTTAATTTGAATTTCTAAAGGAGAAATTACTTTCCCTTGCCTCATTTCTTTGGGGCCTCCACATAGAGCCATCCCTGGTACAGGATGGATTCCACCAGGAGGATGACTAACCTCCACTGGCTCACTCTCATCTGAGCCTTGCTCTGGGCTCAGTCCAAGAACTTCAGGACAGTCTCTGCATGAAATTATGAGCTTGCTTCTCTACCATTCTGTATTTTGCTGAGGCCCACACCCAAATCATAAAAGGCCCGAGGGGCATCAGTTATGTGTTAGAGGCATTTTTAGGTCTCCTCGTCATAAGTAACTATTATAGACCAGTTTCCTTTTGTGAAAACACCGAAAGGTGGCTCATCACGTGCTAAAAGTCACTGAGCTGCTCAGCATAAAGAATTTAGATGGAAGACACTGACTTCATTATTTAATAATTTTCATTGTTACATCACCCAGCAGAATGATATATGGTAGAGGAATTCTGGGGGACGAGCTGGGAATGAGGGAGTCGGCCTCCAATTCAACCAGCCAAGCTGTTGCTAGATTAACAGCCCTCCCTAGATGGGAGCAAACGTGCCCACCCATCATAAAAAACTGGTCAGGTGGCATGAATCAGGAATAAAGGGAAGGGATAAGAGAAAAGGAAAGAAAAAAAGGAGGGAGGAAGGAAAGGGAGGAGAGAAACGAAGGAAATATTTCTTGATCATTTACTATGTGCCAGATGCTTTTACATACGCTGTCTCTTTTAATTGCATCTACTCAGTATTATTTGTAAAGAAGGCATTATCATTTTTATTGTATAATAAGGGAAATTAAACCTCAGGGAAGTGAAGAACTAGATCAAGATCACTTAGCTCAGATACTGAGTCAAAGAATATAAAAAAGGTTCCTAGATAAAACTTGGAGTTGCAGTTGGTCATCAACCTCACTGGGAAGGTGCCTCAGTTCCAGCTCCTTCAGACAGGAAGGCATGTTATCACATAAAGCATCAACTATGATCAGATATTTTTCTGGTCTGTTTTTAACCCTACATTTCTTTGTTATGTTTTGGGAGAGGTCTCTTAGAGAACACTCATTAATTTAACATTACCATTTACAATTACCAATAGTATTACCACTTATAATTGTTACAAAAAGTGAAATACTTAGGTATAAATTAACAAAACATATACAGGATCTGTATCCTGAAAATTATAAAATGCTGCTTAAAGAAGTCAAAGACCTAAGTCAATACAGAAACATACTGTGTTAATGGATTTGAAGATTCAACATAATAAAGACATCATCTATTCTCTCAAGCTATGAATGCATAGCTTTACCCGCAATTCCTATCAAAATCTCAGCAACTCTATTGTAGACACACACAAGCTCATTCTAAAATTTATATCAAATTTATTTAAAAAGTTCCAGGCCTCAGGTTAGCTAAAGCAATTCTGAAAAAAGAAAAATAAAGTGGAACGTATCACTTTACCTCATATTAAGGCTTACTATATAGCTATAATAGTCAAGAGAGTGTGCTATAGGTGCAGGGATAGTCACATAGATCAATGAAACAGACAGGAAACACCAAATGTGACCCACCTAGATATGCCCAACTGATTTTTGACAAAGGTAAAAAAGCAATTCACTGAAGGAAAGACAGCCTTTTCAATAAATTATGCTGGATAGCAAGAAAACAAATAATCCAATTGAAAAATGGGCAAAGGACCCGAATAGGTATTTCTCAATGGAAGACATACAAATGGCCAACAGATACACATATAAAAATTCAACATCACTTATCATCAAGGAAATGCAAATTAAAACTACAATATGATATCGTCTCATACCTGTTAAAGTGGCTACTATCAAAAAGATGAAAGATAAGATTTGGAGAGGTTGTGGAGGAAAGGAAACCATTGTACACTGTTGGTGGAAATGTAAATTAGTAGCCATTATGGAAAACAGCATGGAGGTTTCTCAAAAAATTAAAAAAAGAACTACCATATGATCCCAGAATCCCATGGGGTATATATCCTAAGGATATACAATCAGTAAGTCAAAGAGATACCTGCCATGTTCACTGCAGAATTATTCACAATAGCAAGATATGGAATCAACCTAAGTGCCCATAGACTGATGAATGGATAAAGAAACTGTAAGGTATACATATCATATATATTCCATTATATATATATGGAACAAACGTGCCCACCCAACATAAAAAACTGGCCAGGTGGCATGAATCAGAAATAAAGGGAAGGGAAAAGGCAAAGGAAAGAAATATATATATATAATGGAACATTCATTATTCAGCCTTAAAAGACAAGGAAATACTGCCATTTGTGACAACATGGATGAACTTTGAAGACATAAGTGAAATAAGCCAGGCACAGGAAGACAAATACCACATGATCTCACTTATGTGGAATCTATAAAAGTAAAACTGAGAAGCAGAGATCAGGGGCTGGGGGAGGAGCTGGGAGAGGTTTGTCAAAGGATTCAAAATTTCAGTTTAGATAGAAGGAATAAGTTCAAGAGATCTATTGTACAACATGGTGACTGTCATTAATAACAATGTACTGTACTGTATATTTGAAAATTGCTAACAGAGTAGATTTTAAGTAGTCTCATTACAAAAAAGAAAGCATACAAGGTAATGTATGCGTTAATTAGCCTGATTTAGCCATTCCACCGTGTACACATATTTCAAAACATGTTGTCCACCAAAAATAAATACAATTTTTATCAATTAAAAATAAATTTAAAATGTATAAGAGAGAAAGAGAGAAATCAAGAAGAGGGACCTAAACCAAAGCCAAAGCCATGAGCAACAGCCAAGAATTACACAAAATGTGAGAGAAAGACTTCAGGTGGAAACCACAGATGTTGTGCCAAACCTCTATTAACCTCAATAGGGAAGGCATCAGGTTCAAGAGACTGAAGAAGAGACCCAAGGCCAGCAAATGAGATACAGGGTTTTATTAGGGGCTTATGTGATGGGGAGAGGGTCCAGTGGTGGGCTGGACAATATATCTGCCTTCCCACCATCGATCCCTCTGCCTCCCATAAAGATTTATGGGGATCACATCTCTCAGGGGGAAGATGAGGCAGGAAAATGGGTCTAGAGGCAGGTAAAACATTCACACTTCGGCTACAACAGGAAATATCGTCTCCATAGGGCATATGCCATAAATGACTTTGTAACTTTACTTCATCCTCTCCATTTACATAGGGCGTATCCCAAGTAACCAACGGAATCCTCTAAAGGGTATTTAAACTCCCCAAAATTCTGTAACAGGGCCTTTGAGCCTCTAAGCTCAGTCCTGCTCCCACACTGTGGAGTATACTTTCATTTTCAATAAAACCCTTCATTCCTTCCTTGCTTTGTTTGTGTGTTTTGGCCAATTCTTTAAGATGCCAAGAACTGGACACCCTCCACCGTTAACATACACAGTCCAGCGGCGCAGGGCCGGCCAGAAAAACTACAACCACCTGCCGACATCATGTGGTCTATATTGTATTTTCACTTAATAACGTCCTGCTAATAACCTCCACCTGGCAACCTTCATTTACTCCAAAACTCAGGGCCTCAACCCCCGTATGGCCTGTGTTCCACAGGATGGGGGAGAGGCTCAGGTGTTTATCATAGATAAGGAACAAATCTCTGGGGTGGCTCCTCTCGATTCCCTAGCTTGTAACACACATTCAGGTGTATCTTCCATACAGGGTCTTTTTTTTTCTATTGAGACAGAGTCTCACTCTGTTGCCAGGCTGGAGTGCAGTAGCACAAACTCAGCTCACTGCAACCTCCACCTCCCAGGTTCAAGGGATTCTCCTGCCTCAGCCTCCCTAGTAGCTGAGACTACAGGCACGCACCACCATGACCAGCTAATTTTTGTATACTTAGTAGACACAGTGTTTCACCATGTTGGCCAGGATGGTCTTGATCTCTTGACCTCGTGATCTGCCTGCCTCAGCCTCCCAAAGTGCTGGGATTACAGGCGTGAGCCACCATGCCCGGCCACCATACAGGGTCTTTTTAAGGATATGCTTAAATTATTGCTATTAGGTGTGTTTACTCTATAACAGATTAATCCGTTTTTTATATATGTGAGTCCCAGTGAGGTTCTACATAATAATAAAACCACGTTTCATGCTTAGCACGTTATGGCTTATCAATCACTTCCACATACTTCATCTTATTTGATTTTGCGAACAACTATGTGAAGTATTAATAGTTAGGAGAGTGATGATTAACTCCTGTCTACTGCTAAGAAGAAAGTTTACTTTAGTAATTAGAATTGATCACTAATGGTTTTCAAGTGGTAAAGCCACAAATAGCACATAAAACTTAAAGAGTTTTCACTTACTGAAGCCCCATCTTTACTAAAAATACAAAAATTAGCTGGGCGTGGTGGTGCATACTTGTAATCCCAGCTACTTGGGAGGCTGAGGCAGGATAATTGCTTGAACCCAAGAGGCGGAGGTTGCAGTGAGCCAAGATCACGTCACTGCACTCCAGCCTGGGCAACAGAGTGAGACTCTGTCTCAAAAAAAAAAAAAAAAAAAAAAGATTTCTCGCTTACAGAGACTCACACTTGAAAGAGTAAATATACAACCTCAATAATAGGAATAATTCTGTATGGTTGCAACTGGTTACACCATTGGTTGTATCTGTAGCATTTTTGGCATATTTGCATTTTCCATAGGTCCTCCATTATTTTATATGCACCTCAAAGACTATATTTTCTCTATAACTCTCTACTTTGCTGTGGTGGATGGGAGGATATTGAAGCCCTGCTGATGATTAAATAATCTGAAAACAAACTCTGTTTAGAGCCCCAACAATACCTAGCATGGTTCTAAAACACCTTATGAATGACAGCACTCATTAAACCAAACACTTCTAAAGATAGGTAGATAATTAAATATATATGTATCGTCTATCTTCTAAAAATAAGTAGATAACTAAGAATCTCCTCAGTTCTCAGCCACATTCTCCTGACAGCTGTCATTTGAACTGGAGTGGAACTTGGTACCAGTTAAAAAGTCATTCTGTATTAATTAGGCTACCAGAGGCAAGATAGGGAAGCTCAAAAGCAACAGTTTTGGAAATCATTAAGATTCCAGAGCACCTTTGAAAGACTTTCCTCAATTAACTTCACCATACTACTGCACCTGCTTCCAATATCTTTCTATCCTAGCATTTGTTTTAATGTGTGCAAGATACTAGGAAACAAACCTGACAAATTCTCACCCCAAGCAACAAGAAGTAAGTGACACAGATACTCCTTGAGTTACAACTGGGTTACGTCCTGATAAACCTGTCATCAATTCAAAATATCATAAGTCGAAAATGCAATGAATACACCTAACCTACCGAATATTGTAACTTAGCATAGCCTACGTTAAGTGTGCTCAGAACACTTACATGAGCCTACAATTGGAAAAAAATCATCTCATACAAAGCCTATTTTATAATAAAGTGTTGAATAGCTCATGTAATTTACTGAATACTCTACTAAAAGTGAAAAGATTATATGGGCACTCGAAGTATCATTTCTACTGAATGCATATAATTTTCTCAAGTCAAAAAATCATAAATGGAACCATTGTAAGGGGACACCTGTAATTGTGTTCTGATATTTAGTGGTCCTGGCATCTATTTTAACCTACGGATCTGTTCCTTGATGACTGATCTACTGATTTACATTACAGTTAAATCTGCTTTGGAGGAATTTTTTTTTTCTTTATGAGGCAGGGTCTCACTCTGTCGCCCAGGCTGGAGTGCAGTAGCACAATCCTCCAGGGTTCAAGCGATTCTTGTGCCTCAGCTTCCTGAGTAGCTGGGACTATAAGCCTGCACCACCACATCCGGCTACTTTTTCTATTTTTCGGTAGAGACGGGGTTTCACCATGTTGGCCAGGCTGATCTCAAACTCCTGACCCCAAGTGATCCATCTGCCTTGGCCTCCCAAAGGGCTGGGATTACAGGCGTGAGCCTCCACACCCGGCCTCTGGAGGATTCTAATCAGATACTTAGCTGATTTTTTCCTCCCTCTTACCCTGCAAGTCAGTCACCATTTATCAGACTTGTAACTTTCCCACTGATGACACAATCAAGTTCAGGGCAAATATCTTGATTCAATAGCAACTCAAGTTCTCAATTTCTTTGTTTTTTTGGGAGAAACTGCAGACAGCAAGCAGAGTCAGCCCAAAATAAAAGGTGTTCAGACTAAAACAATAATGAAACATGCATTTTAATAAAGAGATGTAAAGTAAACCAAAAATAGGGATTTGCATTCCTTTGAAAATAGAAAAACAATGGTCTGAAAGTAATCAATACAATTAGTTAGTGGACATAAACTTTCGAACAAATAAAATTGAACATGTCTATGTTCAGCAAATCATAATTCTTTACAGTCCTCCCTGAATTATTATGATTTCTAAAGCTATTTTCCATAAAAAAGAATACTCTTTCTCCAGTCTTTCTCCTGTTTCCTACCACAGTCTTTTCTTTTGTTCGTTGTAATGATATCATCCAGTTCCCTAAAACTTTTGACAATGTTTCACATTGCCCATGAGGATGTTGCCCATGGGGATGGGGAAGCTCTTACCCAAACCATATTCAATCTGTGAAATGTTCCACAATGAATCCTGTACCAATAGGTAAAGTCCAAGCATCATGTAGGATATGTCATTAGTTCTACTGTGTGTGTTTATTGTGTGAATATCATGACCTGGGAATGAATTCCATTTGTTTTCGGAATACATCACTATATTTGCACTCTATAATGTAGTAGATCTGTTAAACTTTTACTTAAATTAATATTACACTTATTCTGCACTTCTTGAATATACGAGTTGAAGGCCAGAAGGTGTAGTATTAAAAAAAAGGCAAAAGTCTTAGATTAAGAAATACATAGTGAAAAATTTAAATCCAGATAATAAAGCATTATTTGCATTTGGGAAAATAAATATATAGTGCTGGAGCAACTAGATATCCACAGGCCAAAAACAAATAAACAAAAAGAGAGAAAGAGAAAGAAGAATTTCAATCTAAACCTCATAGCTGGTACAAAAATTAACTCAAAATGGATGATAGACTTAAATATAAAATGTGAAACTATGAAACTTCTAGAAAAAAAACATAGAAAATCTTAGGAACCTAGGGATAGGCAAAGAATTTATAGACTTGGCACTAATAACATAATTAATAAAAGGAAGAATTGATAAATTGGATCACATCAAAATTAAACACTTTTGCTTTGAGAGAAACCTTATGAAGAGGATAAAAAGAGCTACAATGTGGGAGAAAATACTTGTAATACACATATTTGACGAAAGACTTATATTTAAAATACGTAAAGAGCTCTCAACACTCAACAATAAAAAAAAATAAGAAAATAGGCAAATATCATAAAGAGACACGTCACCAAGGAGGATATACAGATAGCAAATAAGCACATAAAAAGATACTCAACATTACTAGCTATCAGGGAATTGCAAGTTAAAACCACAATGATATATTACTACACATTTACCAGAATGGGTAAAATAAAAAATCATGACAACACCCAAATGCTGGTGAGGATGAGGTAAAACTGAATCATTCACTGCTGGTGAGAGTGGAAAATGGTGCAGTCATTATGGAAAAACAGTTTGGTAGTTTCTTAAAAATACTACATAGGTGGCCGGGCGCGGTGTCTCACACCTGTAATCCCAGCACTTTGGGAGGCTGAGATGGGTGGATCACCTGAGGTCAGGAGTTTGAGACCAGCCTGGCCAACATGGTGAAACCCCGTCCCTATCAAAAGTACAAAAATTAGTCTGGTATGGTGGTGGGTGTCTGTAATCCCAGCTACTCAGGAGGTTGAGGCAGGAGAATTGCTTGAATCCGGGAGTCAGAGGTTGCGGTGGGCCGAGATCGTGCCACTGCACTCCAGCCTGAACGGCAAAAGCGAGACTCTATCTCAAAAAACAAACAAACAGACAAACAAAACCCTACATAGGCAATGACCATATAACTTAGCAGTTACATTCCTGTGCCTTTATTCCAGAGAAACGAGGACTTATGTTCACACAAAAACCTGTAGTTGAACATCTATAGTAGTTTTATTCATAATAGCTAAAAACTGGAAACAACCCAAATGTCCTTCAGTGGGTGAATAGTTAAACAAATAGGTACATATCATAGAATACCACTCAGCAAAAAGGGGAAAAACTCTTGATACACACAATTTCAATGGATCTCAAGGGAATTATGCTGAATGAAAAAAATCCAGTCTCAAGTTATATCTGGTATTATTCCATTTATATGACATTCTTGAAATGACAAAAATCATACAGATGTATTATCACAGAGCAGATTAGTGCTTATCAGGGATCAGGTAGGTAGGTGGAAGGGAAGTATAAAAGGTATGAAAGGGTAGCACAAGGGATGCTTGTGAGGGAACTGTTCTAATGTTAATTGTGGTGATGGTCACACAAACCTATATGTGTGACAAAAATCGCATAGAACTAAATGTATACACACATGATCATGCACATGCACACACCACTGTGTGCATCTGAGGGTAGGTGGAATTGTTGGACTATCACATTCTGAGTTGTCATATTGTACTAAGATTACACAAGATGTTACCATTAGGAGAAAATGAATGAAGGGTAATAGGAATTTCTCTGTACTATTTCTTACAACTGCATGTGAATGTACAATGAACTCAAAACAAACAGAAAAATACAAAAACACCTTAAAAATAACTGGTCTGAACCAAGGCTGGAGGGTTGCAATAGAAGATCTTATAACACTTTCTGGTATGATCCTATGCAGATTACTCACTGATTATATGTGAGAACTCATACCTTTGAATCAAAGGGAACCTGTAGTCTTTCAGATGAGTTACAGTGGGTAGGAAGAGCCCATGCACTCACACAACCGCAAAGCCACATACTCACATACCCATACACACCCACATACTCACAAACACACACACATCCACATACATACACACACAACCATATATCTACCCACACACATCCATATACTCACATACCCACACACCCACACACTCACATACACACACACCCCCACATACACACACACACAACCATATACATACCCACACACATCCACATACTCACATACACACACACCCACATACTCACATACACACACACACCCACATACATACACATCAAACTCACATACTCACATACACACACACCCATATACTCACATACACACACATCCACATACATACACACACCCACATACTCACATACACACTCACATACATACAAACCCACATACATACACACACATCCACACTCACATCCACACACTCACATCCACACACACCCACATACATACACACACACATCCACATACTCACATACACACATACACACAGATCCACATACTCACATACACACACACCCCCACATACATACACACAGATCCACATACATACCACACCCACATACTCACATACACAGCCCCACACCCCCACATACATACACACACCCCCACATACTCATATACACACAGATCCACATACACACACACATACATACACACACATCCACATACATACACACATACCCCCACAGTATTCTACATCCACACACTCACACATGGATACATCCATGCTAAAGTTAATTAAGATCTCTAATTCAATAGCCATGAATATAAAAGCTTATTAGAGTTGAAGCAGCTACACAGGCAGAAATAGAGCTCTTGTTCTCCCTTAGCTCACAGGGTCCCTGGCAAGGGCACACTGTTGAAAGGGGGATTTGATTGGATCTGAAAAGCTCTACCTTTCAATATTGTCCTTTTATACACTGGCTTCAATCACCAGTTTGAAAATCTTACATTCCAATCTACGTGTGTCTGTTTCGAAAAAGCGAATGTTTACAAAGGTCCAGTCTCCCACATTCCTGAACCAAATTCAGTGTCAGCAAGGACCCACCTTCATCCTTGTGGAGAAAGCAGAGTCATCTTCCAGATGTTGCATTCCAAATGCTGCCTCCAATGTTTTCATCATAATGAAGAGCCCATTTCCCTGAAGGGCCTCAGGAATTATGCATTTAATACTCTCATTTAAACAGTGAGGGACAGTATCTTAGCCAAGTCACAAAGCAGGCATTGGCAGAGCAGGGCTTGGAACACAGGTTTGCAGCTATGAGTTTAGGACTACTGGTTTCCAAACTATTGAGGACTTCTCTAAACTCTGCTTTGAATAACTGGAAAGACTTAGTAATTAACCAATGAATGATTATGGCTTATTTCTACTCCTCAACCTCACAATCCTACCCTCAGTGAGGAGACAAACAGAAAAGCAGATAACCTCTTCTTTCGAGATTCTTACCTCTGTCCTCTTCTTACTCTTTGTCCACTTCCTGGGCTCCTCTGTGAGCCCTTCTTCTTCTGTCCTTCCTTTGGTTCATTGCTTAGTTCACTCTCAATCAGTCATATTTTTGGAAATCACTCCAAAATATGATTGTTGGCTCCCACATCTGTATTTCATTCCAAATCTCTCCGAGTTCAAATTTATGAACCTAAATCTCCTGATGGTCACCTCCACAGGTACTTTCAACTCAGCATCCCCGAAATCTTTTCCTCCCACTTTAACCTGCGATTCCTTCTGTGCCTTCTGTGGTTGCAGGAACCACCATCGACTCAGTTGCCCAATCTAGAAATGCCAGTGTCTTGTTATCCCCCTCTCCTCCTATATCCTGCATCCCAATCTGTCATCATGTGCTGCTAATTTTACCTCCTCTACATCTTTGCTACCTACTGTCCTTAGCCCAAACCTTCATTTTATGCTTGGTTTACAATATCCAGGCCCTCTTCAAATCCATCCTCCTCACTGTTGGCAGGTGGATCAAAACAAAAGTCTGTCCATATCATGACCATGGCTCAAGATCCTTCGAAGTCTAGCCTCCAGGAAGCTCTCCTTTCATTTGCAACCTCACGGTTTATGCTTTAGCAACAACTGCTTGTATTAGCACTCCCTCAGATCTCCCTCACATACTCCCACACACCTTCCTTTCTTCAAGATGTTCCCTCTTCCTAGATTGTCTTTTTCTCTTACCCCCTTTAACCCATTCAACCTCTATTCATTCTTTAAGATTTAATTTGGGCATTTCCAGGGAGCTTTCCCTGCCCCCTAGTCTGGTTTAGCTTCCTGCCAATATACCTTCTTCATACTTGGTTCACAGCACTTGCTGTGCAAGGTCGTAATAATCAAATTGTATGCCTGCTTTCCTCTTAGGGCCTCCAGAACAAGAATTGAGGTTTATTCTTCTCCTTGTCTCAGGCACTGAATATATCCTGGTTTACAGCAGATATACTGACTGACAAAACTGAGGATGCACACCACCCATGAAGGAAAGGAGAAAAGGGAGAGAATATATCCATTAGGCCAGAAAAAGTGAAGACTAGGTGAATGGGAGGCTTTGTGGTAAGTTAACAAGAGGCAAGTTCTCCTGTGGATTAGGGAAGGGGCAGTAAAGAGGCCAGAAGTTTGAGAACTCAGTAGAAAATCTGCAATAATAATTCCAGTGCCTGTAATAGGAACTGCTAGTAGAAGATTCTACATGGGTGTCTCGTGTTTCTGCACATCATCTGAGCAAAGATATAGGTTTTGTTCCAGAGTATCCTTTGAAGGATGTTGTAAAGGAAACAGCCTTAGAAGATAGTCTTTTTCCAGGGAAAAGGAAGGATTTACTTTATGTCCATAATAATAAAGGTGATGGCTTCCTCTGGGGCAAAAGTTGGACACGTTTGCTTACAATCTGTTTTAAAGGATTGGGGCTTCCTTATTTTGGGGGTCCTAAGCTGGAATAAAACCCACTGTATGCATAGCATACACTTGGGCTGCCTGCAACACCCCAGTGCAAATTATGGGACAAGAGGGACAGGTACAGATGCTCGTGTCCCATTATGCTGTGAGCAATAAAGTCCTTTGTCTGTGACTCAGGATTTTCATGTCTTCTGCCAGCATTTCATTCATAAAAGCATGGCAGACTAACTTGTTAGCTTGCAAGTAGGGTAAAATCTCAGATTGCTATGGCTTGAATCTCCCCTCAAAAACTCATGTTGAAATTTGTTTGCCAATGTAAAGATATTGGGAGGTAGGACCTTTAAGAGGTGATTAAGAGCCCTTGTAAATGGATTAATGTTGTTATCATGGGAGTGAGTTTGTTACTGCAGGGATGAAAAGGATGAGTTCAGCCCTATTTTCTCTCTCTGTCTTGGATGCTTGCTTGCCATGTGATGCCTTCCACCATGGAATGACACTCACCAGATGCTGGTGCCATGATCTTGGACTTCCCAGTCGCCAGAACTATGGGCCAAATAAACTTCTGTTCTTTATAAGTGACCTAGTCTGTGATATTCTGTTATAGAGAATGGAGCAGCAGATGATGGACTAAAACAGACCCTGCCTAGTTCTTGACAGGAATAAGGAGGATAACAGAGAAAAAGTGATCAAGCAGTAGTGAGAACCACGTTAAGGTTGGACCATCTAAATATATGGGCAGGTCTGCATGGTTGTTGAGATTTTCTAGCAGCAGGGCTGTTGGGGAAGGAGTAAAGGAGAGGGAAAGAAGCTGAATAGTAAAATAAAATCTCAACATAGGAGATTCTTCTGACATTCCAGTTTTGCTATAAGAGTAATTCTGGAATAACCTGAGAGATAGTCATTGATGAAGAGAAAAAATGCTAGGGCTTTAAGTCTACTCTCAAAATCTTTCTTGCTTTCTTCCTATTCCTATTTAAAGTTCCTCGTGCAGACAAAGCAAGTGTACAATTAATTGAGTTGATGATTACCTACAGCTTGATACTTCGCCCCTGTGTAGAACTTTCATCTGCAATATGTGACATTTAACACAAATTCAGTGACAGTGTCTTTTCTATTAAATGTCACAGCTCTTCCAGAAAGCTGTAATTGAGCACATTTTTTTCAACCTTTTCAGCTTCTTAATCTCCAAGTCTCAGAAGGGGTTAAGTCCAAGAAACACTCATTTAATTTATTGTATGCTCTTGATCACAGAAGCCTTGAGAATAGTAATTAGTTATGGATTAAATTGAGGCAGCCCTAAGCACACAAAAAATGCAACAGGACTTCAGAGAGACTATGATGGCTCACAATAAATGCGAGGGAACTTGTGCTAAACATTTTCCGTAAAGCATCCTGGAAACTATTTGAGCATGTCAAAACAAACCCCCATTCACACTATTTTTTCCTCATTTCCTCTGCAAACAAAAATAGATTCCTCTTTTTGTTTATTTTTTTTCACTTCAGCTTCTCAAGCTAATCCAATTCACTTTCCACTTCCCCTTTTCTATACATTTTGTATGTGAATTAACAGGACAGGAAGCTGACCTAGAAGAAATCATAGAAAGCTCATAAAATAGCTCCACATGGGAAATAATTTTGCAAGAACGTGGCTTTTGTTAAAAATTGTTCTCGCTCTTTGTAAGCTCTCTCTATAATGAGAAAATCTTGTATTGATTTCTCTTGGAATTTCTGATAGCAGTTTTTGACTCAGTGCACAATCTGACCATGCTCTGGTAGTCAGGCTTACGCTACTGAAAGAAAGAGGATGAGCAGAGAAGAGACAAGCTGTAAAAGGTTTAATCTGAAACTTCTCATGTGTCTAAGGGACAACTCATCTGATTACCAGAGGAAAGGATACTTTTTTTTTTAAGGTTCAAGACCAGCTTGGGCAACGTAGTGAGACCCCATCTTTAAAAAAAAAATAGCTAGGCATCGTTGCAAGTGCCTGTATTCCTAGCTACTTGGAAGGCTGAGGTGGGAGGATGGCTTGACCCCAGTAATTCAAAGATACAGTGAACTATGTGCCACTGCACTCCAGCCTGCTTGACAGAGTGAGACTCTGTCTATCTTACACACACACACACACACACACACAGAGAGAGAGAGAGAGAGAGAGAATAAGTCTAAAAATTCTTTGCCAGTATTTTTGACATTTACCCTGAAAGAACAATACAGACCCACACATCAGCTGGGGGGAGGGGTAAACCACCAGCCTGAATTTTTAAAATCAGCAGGCTTTTAATTCTAGAGTTTCCAAAAAAGAGTAGACTCAACACTAAACCACTCTCAGTACACCAAGAAGAATTTCTTTGTGAAAGTGGTTGTCTCCTTCCTGCTGCTGTCAGCCCTACTGCTGTACCTTCAAGCCCCACCAATGCCATTAGGCTCCTCCACTGGATGGCATAGTCACCTAGGATGGGATTCATTTGGCTTCATCCGACTCACTCTCATTCCAGTTTTGTCTCTATCTTGTTCTTAAAAGAAGTCTCCAACATCATATGACCCTGATTTTGTCCTTTAGGTCTTTTATTTTCCTCCAAGGACTTTGAAGTCCTTGTGAAATAAGCATAGTATTAATAAGCTTACAGGGTTTTTGTGGGAGCTAAATGATGATGATGATAAAAATAATAAGACTGATATTAACAAGTAACATTTATTGAGCAGTTTCTACAAGCCAGATACTATGCTAAGTATTACATGAATGAAGACATTTGATTCTCATGACAATGCTATGAAATACATATAATTATCACTATTTTACAAAATGAGGAAATGGAGACACAGACAAGTTAAACAACCTACCAAAATTATATGGCTAGCAAGCAGTGGAACTAATGATAAATCTGGTACTCTCTGTGATGTCAAGCTGCTCACAAGAATTGGAGGAAAGAGTCTAATCCCATCCCTAACCCCCGACCCAAGAGGGGAGCAGGGGGCCCACCAAACAAATTGGTCTAAAACAGAAAGGGCTTAGAGGTCAAGTTTGTGTCCAAGTCCTAGGAGAAAATTAAAAGGATAGAATTTGGGCCATAAAATGAAAATCAGAGCTCAATTCAGGGATAGACAGGGACATGACAGGAGTGAGAGCAAGCTGGCTCCCATCTGAACTCACTGTCTGTTTTCTTGGCCCATGGTTTCTTAATATGTTTGACACGTCTTTTCAGAACATGGTTTTGTATACGTCAGTTACCTCAGTTTCCACTGCTTTGAAATATGACTATCTCGCCTATGAGAAAGCCTCCAAATTGTTCCAAAGTGAGTTTTACACCCAATACTCCAATTTATTCTCAAAATGTGATGAAACCCCATAGTGGTCTTTAGATGGTGGTAACTGACAAACATGCATTTTATGTATATAGCCTAACCTCAAGGTCTGTTGAAACCACCGCAGAAAAATAAAGCCCCAAATGGTGTTACCCATGAGATTTATTTAGAATAAGAACGACAAGAGTGATAGAAAGTCACTGATAAAAGGAATCTACCTCAGAGACCCAATCTCGGGATTCCCCACCTCACACACTTTCCACAGAGCCTGAGTGATCTCTCTAACTCCATTTGTTGGTTTGGAATAATCTAGAGTATCCCACAGGATTAGATCCAAAGTCCTTATGTGGCCACAAGGCCCACAGCAACTTGGCTGCCATTGGCCCTGGTTCACTGACAGACTGCTGGCCTCATTTGCACACTTTCTCCTATTTAGTATTTGAACAAATATTTATTGAGGGTCTATTATATACCAGTGAGCAACACCAAACTCAACCTCTGCTCTTAAGTCTTACATACTAATTGAGGAAACGGTATCGATTAAATAGATCTAAGATTACAACTGTGAAACATGCTGTGGAGAAGAAATGTAGTTTTATGGGAGTCAATAACAGAATCTTACTAGGAAAGGGGGTCAGGAAAGGCTTCCCCAAGGAAGTGACACTGGAGCTGTGATCTGAGAGATTAGGCTGTTAACTAAGTGAAGACAAGAAGACAGTCCAGGCAACAACAAGACCAGAGGCAGGCCTTGAAAAAGCCTGATGAATAAGACTATTGCTACCTCTCAAGAGCAAAGGCAGGAATAGCGAGAGATGAGAAAGGGAATCAGAAAACCACTGGACTAAACGAAGCCAGGTGTAGGGGTTGGAGAAAGGGTGGCAGGAGGGTGGATATGATCAGAGTACCATTTTCAGATTATCTTGACTACACTGAGGAAACAAGATGAAAAGAAATCCAACTGGTTTTGAGTAGACCAGAAAGTATATACCAGTATAGTCCAGAAAAGAGATAACTGTAGCTTGAATTGAAGTGATATAAATGGAGATGGTCAGATAAATGGTCAGTACCTGATAACAGACTTGACATGGGAGGGAGAGAAGGAGGTATCATCAGTGCATCGAGATTTCTGGCCTCTGCAACTGAAAGGATGATAATGTCATGTGCAGACATGAGCAACATGGGACAAACCGAAGTGCGAGTGGAAGTAGGCAGGTTTTGATTGGCTGCTTTCTCTCCTGTCTCCAGCACAATCACTTTGTTTCGTTTGTATCACAGCAAGACTTCTCAACCTCCCATTGTGTGGTCCAACATCAGTGATATGTCCACTGCCTCTCATATGCATATTGTTGGTTTAAGAATAAAGCCATTGCCCATGCAGGTCCCTCCACCTGGAATTTCCTTCCTGTATTAGTCCATTTTCACATTGCTATAAAGAACTGCCCAAGACTGGGTAATTTATAAGGGAAAGAGGTTTAATTGGCTCACAGTTCAGCATGGCTTGGGAGGCCTCAGGAAACTTACAATCATGGTGGAAGGTGAAGGGGAAGCAAGGCACCTTCTTCACAAGGTGGAAGGAAGGAGAAGTGCCAAGCAGAGGGGGAAGAGCCCCTTATTAAACCATCAGATCTCATGAGAACTCTCTCACTGTCACAAGAACAGCATGGGGGAAACCACCTCCATGTTTCAATTAGCCTAACCGTATCACTTCCTCACTAGTTAATTCCTTTTTATTTTCTAAAATCCCAGCTTAGACATCCAAGTACCCTTTCCTATCCCAGTACTTCTATACTCATGCCAATCTCAACTTGAAATGTGCTATTTTTGTGCTTTTGTGCAGTAGACTCAAAGTTCCTCAGAATCAGGAAAAGGGACTTGTGTTCACATTTTCATCCCTGGTGCTACCACAAGGTGTGACATATGCCTGATGTTCCACAACTCTCTTCTCATTACAAATTAAGAAAAATGGACATGGAGCAATGATGTAACTTCCTTAGAGTTGCTGAACTCAGGTCAACTTGCTCAAAGGAGTCACAGCACTGAACCTCACACTCTGCTTCCTGTGCCTGCCATCTTGACATTAGTTAAGGGCTGGAATCATTGCTGTCTGTTGTTGAGCTGCTTATTAGTCACAGATGTGAAGAATGGCTTGAGCCATTTCCTGGGAATTAGGAAAATGAGAATTGTGGACTGCAATTCTGCTGTTAACTTGTGAACTCTGTGCCAATTAGAGACTCCGTAAAAGCTTGAACGAGGATAATATTTGGCAAGTGGGAGGTAGAGAGCCATGGCTTCCTGAAGCAAGTCATGTGTGTCTCTTTACATTTGCAAAACCAGGTTGGTAGAGAAGAGGAGAAACAATGTGATTGTGATGGAGTCAGGGGGCAGAGGCCAATCAAGCTCCTTCAAACAACTTCACTGGCATCAACATGCCATGGAGATGCCCTGGTGACATTATTTCTCGGGAATGAAGAGACATGGAGTTTAAAGGGGCCTGATCCGTGGAAGCCACATTATGAAATCCTACCAGTGGTGCTGCTGGGACTACAGAGGGTCAAGATTTTTCCTTCTGTTTTATATGAAAGCAGTTCAAACCCAGGATTTTTCCTTCTTATTCCCAGAAGTAGCTTTCTTCTTCTTTTTTTTTGGTCTGAAAATGCTAAATGTTTCTTCACATTTCTATCTAGGAATGCCTATGTGCTCAACCAGTATGAAAAAGTAAAATTTTTTTCTCCAAGGTATCAAAGCATGCTTTTCAAAAGTCAAAAACACAATTTTCATACAAATATACAATGAGCACATGTTCAAGATGTATTTAACTCATTAGTGAGGAGACAGGCAAGATAATTTGGCTCCTTAATGAGGGGATAGGCAAGATGGCAAAGCTAGTTCAAAGGCAGATGCAAAAAACTGATGCAGCTATAGCCAGTGTGGGAGAACTGCTGAATGAGATTGCTAAGTTAGATACAAAATTAGGTACCAATTTTTATTGGTCTGGTTCCGCCAACCAATAAAACCATCTTCAGAATTATCTTCTCTGCTGGACATAAATCATTTTCACCTCTACTAGGCAAAAACCATTTGTACCCTATCATTTTCTACATGTCAACATCTAACTTTACCACATCTGTGCCCCAATCAATGGTAAACAAGCAGTTACATTTTCATAGAGTAAGATAGGTATCTTTAAATGTCAAAAGGATATATAGGTTTCATGTTGCCTGTTTTCCAAGTTTTGAATATATTTTCTTAATAAAAAGACCACATGAAGGGAAATGACATACCCATTGGTATTCCAAGACACCCAAAGTAGGTTTTAGGTGACAAAGGGAGACCGGGTTACAGGGGAAAGAAGAAAAAATGGATCCCCACTCCACAGATTGTTTTAAAAATAATCTAACACACACGATCGTGGAGATTTTTCCTGTCAAGAAAACAATAAGCCCTCCCTTGGCATTTTGACTGCAGGTCTCTTGCTGATGGGAAGCTGAATGATGCCGTTCTTTACATATCCTAGCTGCTGGTTAAGCTCTATAGATTTCAAGGGCATTTCATCAGTTGGCTGGTCCTACCATTCATTACATTTCACTTCATTCATTCATTTGTGTCCCAGGCACTGTTTTAGGTGTTGGGGATCTAACAGAATAAAGACACATGGCTTCCGCCCTCATGGAAGCCATTATCACATTCTGGTAGAGGCTGTGATAAGCAAAAAAAGAGTAAACAAATACACAGAATCATGATGAATTGTGAGACTGCCATCATTCTGTGATGAAAAGCAATAAGAGGGGTCTACTTTGAATAAACTGGTCACTGAGACCTCTCTGAAGAGGCAGCATTTACACGGGGCATAAGGCATGAGAAGGCGCCAGTCATGTGCAGAACCAGGAGAGAGATGTTTCAGGCACTGAGAACCACAAGTGCATAGACAGTGAGTATGAGAGTAGGAAACAAGGAAGAGAGTAACATAACCAAAGACCAGAAAGGTAGATGGAGGAAAGATCATGAAAGTCACCACAGGTCACAGCAAGAAATTTTGAATTTGTTCTAAAAAAAACCCAGAAAGACATTAAAGGGTTTTGTGCAGTGCAGCACTTCAGTTTGTATTTAAAATGATCAATTATGGCTGCATTTAAAATGATCATCCATGGAGAATGAATTCTTATGGCAAGGCTGAAAATAGGAAACAACCATTTGGGAGTTCACTGCAGTAGCCTATGCAAGATATGATAAGGCCAAACCAATGTGATGACTGCAGAGATGACACGTATTTTGGAAGTAAGACCACAGTGCTCCTTGCTATTGGATGTGGAAGATATGAAAAAAGGAATCAAGAATATCTCCTGGGCTTATGTAACCAATGCGTAATAGTACTGTTGGGTAAGGTGGTGATTTGGGGAATGGAGGTGGCAGAACTGAGATTATTTAGGAAGGGAGTAATCAAGGTTCCATTCTGGATTTATTAAGTTTTCAAGATTGAATGGACTTTGACACCTCCAGGTGGAGATTTCAAGTACTTGGATATGAGCCTGAAGCCCAAGGAAGAGGTCTAGGCTGGACGTATCAATTGAGGGTCTCAGGACATAGATAACATATAAGTCTCTTACATTTATATAAGACTTACATTTAAGTCTTATATATTAAGACTTACATATTAAGTCTTATGTTTACTTTACATCATCTCTGAGAATAGATGAAATCCCCAAAGGTAAACGTGCAGATAGACAAGAGGTCCCAAATCTGAGAGGCTTGTGTTAAATATGCAAGAAGTAAATTAGTAGTATCAAAGGTTCGACATTTCCATGTCTTTCTTACCTTTTACTGAAACCATCCAACCATGTCATGATTTAGTCTATTTCTTTTGCAGAACATCTTTAGTGACTGCGGTGAGTCTCATGTGTATGTTATTAGATACAATGACTGTCAAGAGATTTCAACTATGTATATTTTGGAAATGTTATCCACATCCCGCTCAGTATCACTGAACTCCCAAGGGAATAACACAGAAATAATATTTTCCTTCTCGATGGGCTTCCAAACACTTTCTGGTACCCTCTTTCTTGTCTACCAAGAACTCCCCTGAAAAAAAGAAGGTAGGAAGTGCGAGGACATATAGCAGAAGAGTGAAGGGAAAAAATGTTACCTCTTCTTCTTCGAGTAGAATGAGCCGAACCACAACAATGTGAATTGCATTGCCAATGCTTGGGTTATGGAACAACCCAGTGACCTAGGGTCAGAAATAGAAAACCATTAGCTCCACACGAAGAGATAATAAATAAATACCAGAGAAGAAAATAGCATTGTAATGCACATAAAATAAAGGTTTTCTTATAGGTCAGAAATGTTTGGCGGTGTGCTAAGAAGAGTGAAATATGCCCACAGCTCATTCCACATTACAATATTTAAACAAAATCTTTCAGGGTGATAGCTTGGCTGTGTGTTTGAAGGATTAACATTTTTCTTTTCTTAACCCAGCCCACAGTATTCTCCTCTTCTATTATCAGTTACTCAGGCAAATACCTTTTCCCACCTCAATAGGACTAACATCTTCTTGAAGGCAGAAAACATCAACAATGCAAAGAGAAAGCTTGAAATTAAGAGTCATTAACTTTATTCCAATTCTATTTCTAACTACTTTGAGGAAATTATGTTCTAGTTCTTTGCCTCAGTTTACTCCTTCGGTTTACTAACATAAACTGATGAGACAAAGCCACACGAAAAGGATTGAGTCACTTGGAAAATACCTACCAGAAGTATGTAACTAATAAATTATAAAATGTTCCCAGGATACACATCTTTAAGGGAAAGACTAATTCATCCTGAATTTCCATCCATATTCATCCTTAGGCAGGTACTAGATTCACATATATATTTATAAAAATAAGTTAAAAGGACCCCAAAAAGGCCTTTCTTATTTATTTATGTAAGCATTTCTAATGACATCTGTTCACTAGCTGCCCCAGCCCCCATGTAGTCTGGCATACCATGTTCATGATGGTGAGGATGTAGGACTCCACATTCTCACTCCCATGGTATTCAATCATCTTTGTGTCGGCCACCACCAGTGTCTCCACCCATCTCTCCTTGCTGATGGAACGCCGAGAGAGGCTTCTGCTTGGCAAGTTGTGCCTCTCCCACTTCTCCCGCCATAGCTCTTGCTTCTGGGAGATGTTAACACTGTCTAAACAGTAAACAGAAGACAATGGTCTAACACTGTATATGTCTCATATATTATCTACTTATGTTAGTAAAGATGCAAGGCCATAAGTTTAATTTACATTTAATAATATAAACGCAATGTTTTTACGTACATAACCAAAATAGACCAATTTAAATGAATATGACCAAGAGAAATTTGAATCTTACAGAGAGGTTCAAAAAGTACTTTATAAAAATGTTTCTTACCTATTACATTAAATTATGTCTTCCACTATTGAAAAGACGTACCCAACAATGGGAACTTTCTCTTTCTTCTCCTCCTTTAAATTATTTAGTGCCTACTGTGTGCAAGGCAATATACCTGGCTTTTAAATGCCACATTGTTTATCCTCATGAATGACAGAGGTACATATTCTTCTCTCCATTTTGCAAATGTGGAAATTGATGCTCAAAGTGGCTGGTTAAATAACTTACCCAGAGTTGTGCAGCCCATCAGTCAGTAAAAGATCCAGTACTTTCTATGCCCCAAAATCATGCATTTTTAAAAATATACATCACACCGTTTCCAACAGAGTAAACATGTATAAAACTGTAGTATATATAAGCTGAAAACCTGCCAAAGGTTCCAGGCATTCCACTTGAAGAAGGCACAAAAAGAGGTGGAAAAGATCCAAAGGACAGCAAAACTATCAAGGTGACTAACAGGTTTTAGTATGAAAAGGATTTGATACATGAGGGTCATGGTTTGGAAGACGAAATCTAGGAGAGGCTATAGAATGATAAAGAAAGTCAGACAGTAGCTGCACGGAATCATTCTCAAAATCCCAGAATACTGTAAGTAGGGAGCATATTCTAACTTGAAAGAGGTCTGTTTAACACCAAAACGAATAAAAGGCTACTTCGCACATCAGGAAGCAGGTACTTAACCCAAGTGGAAGTCAAGTGTAAAAAGTTCCAGTGGGCTCAGAATGGCTTAGGGAGCCGAGGAAGACAGGTTGACCAGAAGAGAGTAAAGAAAGAAGCCTGGGCTGATACAGGGCAGCGCCTGGGTCTTTGAAGATTCCTATCAGGATCACAGCCACAAACACTTCCTGCCTCTCCCTCATCTGCACCCTGGGCCCCTGGCAGGGGCAGAACATCGAAGCAGAGTGGCAAACCTCATGTCCCCTTCCTAATCTCTGGTAATGGCCATCCAGTCTGAACTTGAAAACTTCCAGCAGGAGGAAGGGACACTCAACAACTCACAGGGCATCTTGTTCTATTGGGAAATTCTCGACTGCATTGAGCTGAAACCTGCCTCTCTGTCATTCCTCCTCGTTAGCTCTGGTCCTGTTCTCTGAAGCATCTAGGACTATACCTCCTCCTGAGGCCCTGCCTCAGACCCTGAGTTGGGACAACTAACACCATATCCTGCCCTCTCCCTTGGTACTCTCTAGGCTGTGGAGTTGCTTACACTGATTTGTGTGTAACCCTTCCTGGTTCCTCAGTTTCTCTGTCCATATGAATTTAGACATGTTTGGCGATATTGACAAAAGAAATGAAACATCATCATAGGTCTAAATAAATTCAAACTCTAGCGTTGTGAGTTTTACTTCAAAATAATAATGCTGTACTTCAATATAACACTTCTGAGAAATAATCTAGGATTATGTAAACTTTGGAGGGAAGTCCTGTGAAGATTTAAAAATGGGGAGATGGTTAACCCCTCATTTGTGCTGGAACCATTTTCTAGTTTCCTTCTCCACTCACTTTGCATGGGGAAGCATGAATTCCCTAAGAAATGTCAAGATTTTATCAATGGTTTCTAACTTTCTGAAACCCCCTCCCTCATTGCCCCATCAGCTTTTTGTCCCTGTTTTGAATCTCACATGAATGTTTCAAACCGCTATCTGCTTTCAAATGTCTCTGTGTAAGCCAAGCAGCCAGCCCACTTTAAGCCCACGTGGGCTGGTGTTTTCTGAAACGGCTGTTACAGGTTGGGCTGAGTACAGGAATCCTGTCAACATGGATTCGGTCTCATCTTTCTCTAAGGCCCCTCCTATTTTGCTGGGTGGGGACAGGTCTGTTCTAATCAGGAGGCTGCTCCATGCCGCCCTGACCTTGTGTGTGAGGGTGACTGGCAGACAGTTTTCTCACCCAGTGCCCTCACAAAGCCCTTGGGGCCTTAGCCCTTCTTCTCCCTTGGCCCCCGCAGGCTCAGCCTCCCTCCCCTGGGTGCCGGTCCCCTCACAGAGGCTTCAGCTCACCTCAGCAGGCAAAGACTGTGCTGTGCACAGCCCCTCATTAAAGCAGAACCCTGTGCTCCTGGCTGCAGCCTCAGTCCCCACCCTCAGATATCTACCGTTAGGTGCTAGCAGGAAGCTGTCATGGGTGAGAAGCGTGTAGAAAAAAGAAGTAGTTTCTCTGCTTCCCTTGGTCCTGTGTTTCTTTACTTCTTCTTTACTCTCCCCTTTTTCTACCTTTTATCCCTCAGTGTTGAAAAAGAGAGTTGCTAGGCACTGAATGTTTGCATCCTGCCCAGACGCAGATGATGAAGCCCTAATCCCCAAGGTAATGGTATTTGAAGGTGGGGCCTTTAGTTGGCAGTTAGATCGAGATGAGCTTGTGACAGTGGAGCCCCCATCATGGGATTAGTGTCCTTATAAGGAAAGGAAGAGACATCAGAGCCCTCTCTTTCTCTCAGAGAGAGGAGACATGAAGACACAGCAGGAAGATATATACACCTCTCTCTCTATATATATATATATATTCAGTGCCTATATATATAGAGAGAGAGAGGGAGAGAGATGTATATATCTTCCTGCTGTGTCCTCATCTGTCTCCTCTCTCTCTATATATATATGTAGGCACTGAATATATATACACATATTCTCTATATATAGGCACTGAATATATATATATATAGAGAGAGAGAGAGAGAGAGCAAGAGAGAGAGAGATCTTGGACTTGATCTTGGACTTCAAGTCTCTAGAATTGGGAGAAATAAATTTCTGCTGTTTAGGACACCCAGTCTATAGCATTTTGTTATAGCAGCCTGAGCTAACTAAGACATGAGTTTTTTTTTTTTAAAGACATCTTTAAAGTCCAAGTTACTTTCATTTTTCCAGCAAATAGGTAGTTACTCAGTAGTAAACAGTCATATAGGAGGAAATGTGGAAATGAGAGATGAGGTCTGCTAAAGGCATATATCTATTTGAAATTTTTCAACAAAACCTACATTAAGCACTTATGAAAGTTCAGGTCCTATACTAAGCACATAGCACCATACCTCATTTAACTTGCCAAAAATCTATGAGATAAGCCCTCTTATGATCACCATCTTATAGATGAAGGACCCGAGGCTCAAAAAGATTAGGTAATTTTCCTAAAGTCACATAGTAAATGACAGATTCAGCCATCTGTGTGATTCCACTACAGCAAAAACAAACATTTATACAATAGGTTTTCTGGGCAAGGCCCAAGTTACTCTCCTGAATAGAGACAAAGGAGTATGTGACGTGATCCTTGACTTTATGCAAAAACCAATCTACTTGTGGGTAATGAGACATGAACATAAGAAAAATTGTCATCACTGGGGTTCAAGTAATTCCCAAAGAGAAATATCAGTTATATTATAGATAGTGCCGGAAGCTTTGCGGAAGTGGTAAGATCTGAACTGGGCCTTAACAGGACTGAGCTGGGGGAGAGGACTGTATATATGTGGGCTGACTCTGCGGAGTTCTAGTGAAATCTCAGATTTGATGGAAGAAATGTTTCTGCTACGCAATTTCAGAAAGTACAAGAAACCAGCCCTACACATTTATCTCTAAAGCTGATGACAAAGACAGCTAGTTCTTTGGGTCAGGTGAGGGGCTGATGATTCTGGGAAGCTCCCCTCACTATTTCCCATCATACACATCACTCTGTTTAGAGACCCCTCTTCTCAGCTGGCATAGCTTCTGGCCACACCTCAACCTGAGTACTTTTTATATTGCTATAATTTCCTGTTTTAAATAACAGGACTCTCTAATTAGGCTTTAAGCAACTAAAGGGCTAGAAAAACATCTTCTTTGGCCTTTGCCCCAATCCTAACACCATAACAGGCAAAAGTGGCACCCAGTAAATACCAAATGCACAAGCAAAGAACTGAAGATGAATCAGAACCAATGTATGAACCACAAGCAAAGAAGAATTGCCAGGTTTGTCCATTTTTTCCATTCGATGACTTTTTTCATTTAAGGAATTCTCCCCACTGAGACCATGACATGTTTGTTTCAAGCAGAGAAATCCAGCCAAACGGGCAGCTTAAGCAAGGAAAATTTCCAGTGCTGAGAGAGGACAGTGAAATGATTTTCCTAAATGGAAGCTAACAGAGTGCAGATGTCTGTCCAGCGTTGTCTGAGGTGCTCAGGATACCTGACCACTAACAGAACAGAAGTCCTAGAAGATCCCTGGAAAATGCAATTTACCGAGTACTTTTTCCTTCCCCACATACTGCAGGCAGCTCTTCACAAAGCTCTATTTAGGGATTTTGCAGATGGCAGAGCCCTCACCTGCTGATCTCTGAGTCAGTGTCCACGGCAGCCAGGCATGGATCACGCCTTGACGAAGCCACACAGAGAACCTGGAGTAGTGCTAGGGAGCAAAGAAACTGAACATAGATGGCAGAAGACTCTGGAAATTACAGTTTCCAGTACATTCTGGAGTGCTTTTTAACATGCCAGTAGTTTCCAGTGTGAGCAATGAGGCTGCTTATTCTACTTAGAAAATTGCTCAAGGCTCTGCCTCCAGCCCAACCCTTCCCTCATCTGGATTCTCTTCTACACCCTTATATCAGATTTCCAACAGAGAAGGATTTCTGCCCAGCCCACGCAGGTTGACCACTAACTGGACATTGGCCACTAATTACTACTGCCTTGTTTGAGGTCCAGCTTCCCCCAAGATGACCTTCTCAAGTTGATCTTCTCCAGCCTACACTGCAGCTTCCAGACAAATGAGACCCAGTACCCTAACTGTCCCACCTTTCTGTCACCACTTCTGCAAGGTTTCTGAAACATGACACCTGGGCAGCAACACAGCAACATAGACACTAACAGCCATCTGGGATCCAGTGCCTATCAAGAGCCCAACTGGTGCTAAACACTCTTGGATTTGATCATTTATCTTAATTCTCACATTAAAACATGTAGTAAATCTTATTGTCATTTTAAAATGAGAAAGCTGAGACACAGAGAGATTATAGAGTTTATTCAAAGTCTCATAGCCAGTAAGCAGCAGGACCAGCATTTTAGCTGGTTTAGTGTGAATCTTATTTAACTTAGTGGCATGGAGATGGGGATGGGGTTTCTGGGATCATCTGCCTAATAAAATTTCAGCATGAGGAATGGAAAGGATCAACTCAAAAAAAAAAAATCATACATAGAAGAAGTTCGACCCCAAACCAGCTGAGTCCTAGTCCTCCAGGTCCCCACCAGTCTTCAGCAATGCATGAAGGACATTTGTCTACGAGTGCAGTAGGAGGTAGGTGACCTTTTGATACTAGATTTCTGGAGACAATATCCTGCTTCTTTATATAACTCAGACAAGTGCTACTCAGGGAAGATATTCTGGACCCAGTGTTGAGGGCTGGAGAGATGGTACCAGGAAAAAAGAAGGAAAGCATCTTAAGACTAATAGGTCCTATCCAGGCCCACTATTGATAGCTGCTTGCTCCCCATGCCTACTGGCCTGACCCAAACCACCTGTGACCTTGGACAAATATTACTATCTCTTCCCCTGTCTAATGAAGAAACTGAATTGAATTCCTATTTTTTTAAGGGTCATGGAACCTTTCCTTGATACAAAGATTATGCAAAAAGTAAAGAAAAGAATGAACCCCAAAGTTGCTGGGGTCATGGGGTGTGGTGGGTGGCCCCAAAGGGGATTCCACATGGTGCATCTTTAAACCACCAGCTGACACCATATCTGGGGTTCTTCCAGTTCTAGTGTTCTCTGAGTTGGGCGAACACACGTTCCCACTGCCAAGGCATAATTGTGAGCTATCTGCCACTACCACACACTTGCACCCAGATCCTCTTCTTGGCAGGTCATTGTGGCCTTCCCCAGCAGAGTCAAACACCAGTGCAGGTGTGTGCATCCATTAGCAACAAGGGCTGAGCAGCCCGAGGGGCCCATCTCTCCAGGCCAGCTTGGGTATATTTGAAGGGTCTCTGTAGGAAGCTCATTTTTACTCCACAAAAAGTTTACCACACTAACTGAGAACAAAAAATATTTTTTTACATTTAAGTAACAGACTATCCATTTCTCAAAACTGGCCATTGTTGAAGTACAAACAGCTGCCTTTAAAGAAAGAAATGAAGCAACCTGAGTCTAAGTTGTTAGAAACTGCTAGATCCCCAAAACAAGTACATCCTAGCTTAAGAGTATGGACAAAAAGTATAAGCACCTGAAAAAAAAAAAGAAAGAAAGAGATGTATTCTCAAAGGCTGGATGGTCCTGCCTGACACTGCACTCACTTCATTCAGAATATGTCAAAAAGGAAGATGGAAATGGTAGATCATTTGGGACACATGACTCTTCCCAAAATACCAACATAATTACATCAAATGTAAGTAAAAAGGATGTTTGAAGATCCTTCCAGAGAGTCAATAATCTGAATGAGTCGAGAATTTATAATGAATTTATATTAAATCCATTGTTATTTATATGTTTATATTAAATATAATAATGGATTTATATTAAACACATTATTATTTTGTTAATTATCTATTTAACACTTGGAACGCAAAGTAATTCCACTGATTTGCGGTCTGACCCCACACACTTTTTTCCGTTCCGCACTCTCTGATAGAAATGTGCTGATGCATTTCTCACAATGAAGACCAGATGCGGAGGAGGCTGCTGGGGGCAGAAGTAAAATAACAAAAAATGAAGTAATCAACCGAGTGGATAATGAGTCCCAGTATGCTTAGACATCGATTGAACTCTGCTGACACACTTCCCTTGGCTTAGTGACTCAGGATTGGGGAATAACTCAGGGACTTTCACGCTTCATCCAAGCCTCCACAAAACATTTCTTACAGTTTCTTTGTCCTCAGTGGTGAGCTGGCCATTGCTGCAAGTGTTCAAAAAGAGTTTACTCCTGCACAGTTACATTTCATGTAGGGTATAAAGTTTCTACCAGCCTATAAAAGAAAGACTACCTATATTGTGACTCTCCTACTGGGAAATTTAGTACATGTTTACAAAGCTTTCTAGACAATGAGTCCCAGTTTGTTTTCAGAGCTCCCATTAATACCTAGTGTTCTGAGGAACATCACTTGAAAAAATACAACTTTTAGGGAATACTAGCTTAGGAAGGAAGTGAGATTCAATGAATACTAAAGTCTTTTCATATTATAAGCCTGTCATTCTATGATGATCTATATGGAAATGAAGGGGAGCAAAGTCTTATCCAGGAACCATACAGTGGGAATGGAATGCTTTCTTTTTAGGGTTCTCCCTGGTCTTAAGGACAGTTTCCATCTTGCCGGAACAGAAATACTGTTAGTTAAATAGAGCCACTAGGGAAGCAGGCGAGACATGGAAGAGAGGTCTCTTGGAAAACGGAGTTACCTTCTATCTGTGGAAAGATGGGTGATGGACCAGCAAGAAGTCATGCTGGCATTTAGTTAGGGCTGGTCCTAAGCTTCAGCAGGACCTTCCAAAGACAAGACCATGCTGGAACTCCGTGTCTACCTCCTTCCACATCCTGGCAGCACTTTTAGAGATTACTCACTAAGACCTGCAAGCATAGTGTGTGCTCAATAAATACAGTGCAAACTGCTTAAGAGGCTTTTCTTAATGTTCACACCAACCTAAGGCTAACTATTGACCTAAGAAGAAAAAATGAATTAGTGGTGTCTAAATAGATCTGGGCTATCCTAAGGTAAGCCCCCTCTCAGTGTCCCTACCCCACTGGCCCAGGCCCTTCTCTGTTGTTTGCATCAAGTCCTTAAAACTTACCAGGTCAAATACTGAACATGCCTGAGGCAATTTGTGCCTTCCTTTATGATGACTGTGTTAGACTGCTAATTGTCCTCAATATTTGTTCTTCCCCTCTTCCTCCTTGATTTTGTTCTGGGTGCATGGCTTCCTAGAATATAGACTAAATTTCCCAGCCTCCCTTGCAGCTAAATTCTGACCAATAAGACACAAGGGGAAGGGCTACATGTAATTTTCAGAACTTAAAGGGAAGGCAGAGCCCCTTCTCTTCCTTTTCCTCCTTCCTGGCCTGAATATGGATGGTTTCAACAAAGTGGATGCCAGATGTTGAAGAAGATGGAATAATATAGAAGATAGACAATAGAAGGAGCCTGGGTTCCTGATTGTGGAGATAAAACCTGGGATGTTTTATTTCCAAATTCCATTTATATGTGAGAAAAATAAAAGTATTTTTCAACTTGAATAGAAGAGGGCTGTTTTGTCTGTTTTGCTCACTCCTTTTACCCCCAGCACTTAGAATAGTTCCTTCTACTCAGTAACAATATTTTAAATAAATCAATCTTATGTGGTATTTTCTGTCACCCAAAAGCCTTATTATCCTAAGCAAGTGACATGATGACTTAACTCTCCCCTTCATGTTTGGGAGGCACTATCTCTTCTCAGAGTCCGTAATCCTAGGTGTGGGTTGCTTTCATCTCCAAGTGACAGCATTCAATCCGTCCCCTCAGATCAGCAAGTTGATAAGGTATAAATAAACAGTGAGTTCTCTTTTACTACCTTCAGTCTGTTAACATAGGAATAAGACTGATTTCCCACAATGGCTTCCAAAAATAGTATTTTCAGAGAAGTCATATATTTACTCTTGTTCCGGAGAAAATAATCCCATGAGTCCTACATGTATCTTCTTAAGAGAACTGAAGGTACCAAGGTTTAGTTGAGAGGGAAAGTAGACACTATGCTTGGAAACCTCATATGTACTTTTAAATGAAGCAAGAAAATTCTGGGTGATTCCCACTGGACTGCTTATTTATTAACACTCTCTCCACTGTCATCAAAGGGTCAGCAAGTCTGTTAGTCGGAAGCCTGCAATTCAGCTATCTCTGTTGCTGCTACACCCAGCTCACACATAACTGCTTGATATTTCATTTCATGAACTTAACTGCAGGGCATAAATACATTTATGTTCTTCCCATACTCCCAGATTGACAAATGTTAACTTGGTGAGTCAGCAATAATCAAGCTCAAAGTCAAGAGTAAAAATTCTCTATAATTAGAGAATATATCATAGAGACCTTGAGAAACCATCTGCTCTTTCAATAGACAGCAACAAAGTAATTCCATGCTGATGAGACTTCATTTTTAAAGAACGTGAAAGAGATAATATTTATATATGGTTATATTTACATATATATGGGCTTATTACATACCTGTGTACACACAAACATATTTACAGTTTGTTCTAATTATCTAATTTCATAAAAATAAAATGTCCTACATGCCAACTTATTATAAAAATAGTATGTATGTTCATTCAGCTTTTGAAATGTTCTGTTTGAACTAAAAACAAAACACACATGATCAACTCCATAGATGCAGAGAAGGCTTTTGATAAAATGCGACATCCCTCCATGATAAAAATCCTCAACAGACTAGGCATTGAAGGAACATACCTCACAATATAAAGAGTCACCTATGATATACCCACAGCTAACATCATATCAAATGACCAAAAGCTAGAAGCATTCCCCTTGAGAACCAGAAGAAGATAAGGACGCTCACTCCCACCAATCCTATTTAACACAGTACTGGGAGTCTTAGCCAAAGCAATCAGGCAAGAAAAAGAAATAAAAGGTATCCAAATAAGAAGAGAGGAAGTCAAACTCTATCTCTGTTTGCAGATGATATGATTCTATACCTAGAAAACCCCACTGTCTCCTAGATCTGATCAATGACTTTAGCAAAGTCTCAGGATACAAAATCAATGTACAAAGTTCAGCATTTCTATATACCAACAACATCCAAGCTGAGAATCAAATTAAGAAAGCAATTCCATTCACAATAGCCACAAAAAGGACAAAATACCTAGGAATACAGCTGACCAGGCAGGTGAAAGATCTCTACAACAAGAATTACAAAATACTGCTCAAAGAAATCAAAGATGACACAAACAAATGAAAAAACATTCCATGCTCATGGATAGGAAGAATCAATATTCTTAAAATGGTCATACTGCCCAAAGCAATTTAAAAATTCAAATTTCTTCTCTAATTCTTTTATTAATGTCTGACTTTATAACAGAAAAACTAAGGGCTATTCTCTCAACCATCTAAATTGTTCCTCTAGTAAGAGCAATCACATAGTAACCTATATAATTACTGAGAAATATAAACCTATGCAATTTGAGTTTTCATTGATTTCTTGGTTGTTTAAAAGACAGAAAAGTAGACCTAGGGAAACAAGCAAAATCAAGGAGAGAAAAATTACCCTTTTGGTAATAAGCCAGCCATTCTTCTATGAAGGTACCTGACTGGTAAAAAGGTTCGAAAATAAGAGCCAGCATTTCTACTAAGGAACTACTGACACATAAAGTATAAAGGGAAAGACTGAACGCAGAGAGCCACATGAACACACTTTCTGGTGAAGGAAAGAACACTTTAGTCTAGAGAAGTCCGGGCCAATATGGTGGCTGCCAGCTACATGCAGTGATGGAAGCTTGAAATGCGCTGTACACAAAATGAGATGTGCTGGCTAGATTTCAAAGACTTGATATGATAAAAAAGAATGTGAACTCTCACACTAATAAGGTACATTGATTACATATTGAAATAATAATATTCTGGATTATCTTGAGCTAAGAAAAGTATTAACATTAATTTCACCTGTTTTTTCATTTTCTTCACTTGGCTACTAGAAAGTTGAAAATTACCTATGTGACTTCATTGTGACTCACATATTTGTATTGTAGAGCACTGGTTTAGAGGTCAAGACACTTGGATATCCATCTAGGGTCTCCTAGTTATTTGTTATTTTATCTAAAGTCAGACTCACATAATATAATTGCTTGAAGAAAGGAGTCAAGCACCATACTTGCCACATAGTAAAGTCACAGTATGTATTATTCTGTTTTCTTCAATCCTATTTGCAACTAAAGAGATGATGTCCACAATAGATCAAAACTCTAATTCCTCTTGTTTTCAGTTAAGGTTTATTTAATTCTGATTAGGGAGAGCCTTGTCTTTAATCAGCCTGGCTGTTTTATCCTCACCCTCACCTTGTGAAATGGCTGCCTAGTTCCTCACCCACTAGAACAAAGTGACAAGAAAGCATAATTCAGTTAAGAAATTTTTATCAAGTATTTTTTCATTCTCTTTTTTAAAGAGAGAGGGGAATAAATAGAGACAGAGAGAGAGAGATCAGTAAATCGTGACATAGAGATTTATTTTAAAGAGTAACTTCCTGTCCATAAACAAATAAATAAAATGTCGTATATACAATACAATGAAATATTGTTCAGCCTTATAAACAAAGGAAATTTGGACACATACTACAACATGGATGAATCTTGAGGATGTTATACTAAGTGAAACAAGCCAGTCACAAAAGGACAAATACTGTATGATTCCATTTACATGAGGTACCTTGTGTAGTACAGTTCACAGAGGCAGAAAGTAGAATGCTGGTTGCCTGAGGATGGGAGTTGGGGAGGAAAAGGGAAATGGGAAAAACTGTTTAATTTGTACACAGTTTTGGTTTGGGGAGATGGGAAAACTTCTGGAGAGGGATGGATGGTGATGATGGTTGTCTAACAACAGAATATACTTAAAGCCACTGAACTGTACATTTAAAAATGGTTCAAAAGGTAAATTTTTTGTTATGTATATGTTACCAAAAACTTTTAAATCAACTTTCTAAAAAAGTAACTTCCATGGTAGATGGTGGATGTCAAATTGAATACAGATTCACCCAATTTCCTGCACTTCAATCGCTGCATTGACGAGTCCCATAGTGTCCCTAAAGAGACTCAATCCTTAATCACTGATTCACAGTCACTAACATGTGCTTATTAAGGTGTTAATGTTTCAGTACTTGTAATTGGAGTTATTAAAATCAGGGTTTTCTGACTAATCGTCAATTAACAAATTATAGCTGGGCGTCGTGGCTCATGCCTGTAATCCCAGCACTTTGGGAGGCCAAGTCGGGCAGATCACGAGGTCAGGAGATCGAGACCATCCTGGCTAACACGGTGAAACCCCGTCTCTACTAAAAATACAAAAAATTAGCCGGGCACGGTGGCGGGCGCCTGTAGTCCCAGCTACTCGGGAGGCTGAGGCAGGAGAATGGCGGGAACCCGGGAGGCAGAGCTTGCAGTGAGCCGAGATCGCGCCACTGCACTCCAGCCTGGGCGACAGAGCAAGACTCCGTCTCAAAAAAAAAAAAAAAAATTATAATTAGCCAGAAATTCCATTGTCCAAAACCTTTCAGTTGTCCAAAGCATTCCGGTTAAATGAGGTTTGACAATAACACAAATTGAAAATTCTTTTCCGGGACCCTAACTGAATCCTTGATGGCAGCCTGGTTGGTTTTTCCCTCATCTAATTAGAGATGGAGTTCAGGGATAGTGTCACAGCTGGTGAGGGACATCATGCAGCTGGCTTTCCAGGAAAAGCAAAGGAAGGGAAGTAAGTCTGCACTGGGAGGCTGCTTCCAAGATTAGAAAAACTATGTAAAGGCTCAAGTTTGAGTTAATTTTTTCAATAGAGATATTTACTAAAGCTTCATAACCTCTGTGATGTTATCAATACTGACAAACCAGTCTTGGCTTCACCTATGGGCCTCTGCCCACTTCTGCCCTCTTGAAGCTATTATAGTCTCCTAGGCAGTTCTTTTCGGCTTAATATGGTCAATGTGAAATGCTGTTCTCCACAGTTCAGCTTGCTTTTTTGGACTATACATTTTAAGCTTCTAAATTTTGTTGTCTAATTCTTTCACTCCACTAATTCCTTGTTAGCCCAAGAAAAAAAGCTTTTTATTACATACCTCCCTCTGTAACTCCTCTCTAACATGTAGTTTAAAGCCTCCAGTCTTTAAAAAATAGGAGTTCTGGAATGTTCTCTTCTCAAAAATGGGATAATGAATTCAATATACTTAAACTGTGATATTTAATTAGGCATAAGGTGGTGTGTATATATTCAGAAACTGCCGGGCTCTCTAGGGAAAGATAAGGTACAAATAATGCCTTTTAATCTCAAGATGTTCTCTCATTTATTGGAGAAGACAAAAACCATCCATAAGAAACAGAATCACACAAATGATAAATGATTAAATGTCACTAAGAGTGATGAGAGGCATTTAAAAGGAAAAAGAGATCAAGGTAAACTGAATTCAGTGAGCACCTGTTTGTTTCCCGTTGCCATGCCAGGCCCAGAAATTACAGAGATGAGTAAAAGCAACTTTACTGCCATTAAGGGACTCATTATCTAGAGAAACAGATTGTGGGATATGATGAGGTTTCTCTTCAAATAACCCAATTAATCTTTTATTCTTTAATTCACAGTACCCCGCTCCTTTTTCCCTTTTTCTCCTTTTCTTCCTTTTAGCGTTTGTTAGATGCCCAGACACAATACCACAATACCAGGCATTATCAGTACCAGCTCACATTCCTTTCCTTATTTGGAAAGAGGACTTTCTAGCTTACTACAGACACCCCTTCCCCTTTCCTCTCTGCTTTCTTTTACGTGCCCACCTTATCTAAAACAAATCAAATGTTTAGCCAACCGGGATTAGTTCAGATTATACGAACTGACCCCGGCCAATGGGGAAAGGGTACAGGGGCAGGACTTGCTTCAGGAATAAAGGTTCTCATGCCCCTTTGTTCAGGTGTGCTCTCATGGCAACTGGCCAAGGAGGCACCCCTCTGCGCAAAAGTAAAATTGCTTTGCTAAGAATCCATTGTTTGAGTGTTGAATTTCCTTAGAATTTTAAGCGTTATTCCTAACAAGATGGAACAGCCTTACTTCTTAGGGTGGTAAGCAGGTCTTTGGGGGTGTGCAGAATGCAACTAGGCGGAGGAGAGGGGAGAGCCAACTGAGTAAGCAGGATGAACAAAGGTGTGGAGAGAAGAATGAACGTCTGGCTTTTTGAGAATTCAGAATAGCCTGGATAATTCCAAACTGCCCAATTCTAAGTTATTTCTATTTGCCAAGTGACCAAGGGATATCAGCTCTCCTTTATAATGATGTTACATTTTGCTTATTAAAATCATCTTATCTTTCTGAACCTACACAAGCTGGGATGATGAGAGGAATCCAGGAAGCCTGCAAAAGATCTGCAGATAGAGGCTGGGCAGGAATCCTAACTTTGCTACAAAGTTTCCATACAGTGGACCATTCTCATGTCCCTAACTGAGCAGTAACTCACTCATCATGGTTCCCAGAATAAAAATATAAAAATTGAAGAATGCCAATCAGATAAGCTGAAAAAATGTCAAGGGGGAATGAGTGACATCTCTATATTCTTCTCAATAATAATATATTACATTCAGATGTTGCTTTACAGCTCACAGAGCTAGTGCCTTTAACACAGTAGTTGCTTCTTCTAACAACTTAGGGGTAAGAGGGCAGATATCACTAGCCCCATTACATTTTAAAAAGCTTAAGTTAAGCACAGGTGCAGTGGCTCACACCTTTAATTCCAGCACTTTGGGAGACCCAGGCGGGCGGATCACCTGAGGTCAGGAGTTTGAGACCAGCATGGCCAAGATGATGAAACCCCGTCTCTACTAAAAATACAAAAATTAGCCAGGTGTGGTGGTGCATACTGCTAACTCTCTTTTGGAAATAAACTCAATTACTTGTTTTAACTAAGTTTTTTAAAGTATCTGGCTGGGCGTGGTGGCTTACGCCTGTAATCCCAGCACTTTGGGAGGCCAAGGTGGGTGGATCACCTGAGGTCAGGAGTTCGAGACAAGCCTGGCCAACATGGTGAAACCCCGTCTCAACTAAAACTACAAAAATTAGCCAGGTGTGGTGGTGGGCACCTGTAATCCCAGCTACTTGGGAGGCTGAGGCAGGAGAATTGCTTGAATCCAGGAGGCGGAGGTTGCAGTAAACTGAGATCACACCATTGTACTCCAGCCTGGGCAACAAAAGCGAAACTCCATCTCAAACAATAAAAAATAAAAATAAATAAAAATAAAAAGCTTAAGTTAGGAGGCATAGACATACAGATTAATGGAACAGAACAGAGAACTCAGAAATAGACCCACACAAAGATGTCTAACAGATTATTGACAAATGTGCAAAGCAATTCAAAGGAGAAAGGATGGTCTTCTCGACTAAGATGTTATAATAATTGGGAATTAACAGGCAAAAAATTAAAAAAAAAACCTTGACCTAATCTTTACTAATATATAAAAATTAACTCAAAATGGATTATGGACTTAACCATAAAACGTAAAATTATAAAAATTTGTAGAATAAAATATACGAGAAAAATGTTTGGGATGAAGGACTAGGCCACGAATTCTAAGACAGTCTATAAAAGAAAAAAATAATAAATTTGACATCATTAAAATTACTTTCTCTGCCCATGTGAAATCTGGAGTTTCGTTTTGGATTGATAAAAAGCTCTAAAATTGATTTTGGTGGTGGTCGTACCACTCTGCACATATGCTAAAAGCCACCAGATTGTTGTACACATTAAAATAGTGAATTGTATGCAAATTATATCTCAAGAAAGCTTCTACTAAAAAGAAAAAGCCCATTTGAGGAGAATGAAAAGACAAACTACCTATCGGGAGAAAATGTTTTCAAACTATATATTTAACAAAGGACTAGTATCAAGAATATAAAAAGAATTTCCAAACTTAAAAGTAACAATACAAAAACAAGCAAACTACACAAAGAGAACTGAAGAGGATATCCAGATGTCAAAAAAGCACATGAAAAGTTAGTCAACATCATTAGCTATCAGGGAAATGCAAATTAAAGCCACAATGAGATATTGCTATATATCTATCAGAATGGCTAAAAGAAAAAAATAGTGACAACACCAAATGCTGTTGAGGATGTGGAGAAACTAGATCACTCATATACTACTGGTGGAAATATAAAATAGTCTACCCACTCTGTTTTAACAAACAGTTTGGCAGTATCTTATAAAACTACACATGCAATTACCATTCAACTCAATAATTTTACTCTTGGGCATTTATCCCAGAGAAAATGGAGACTTATGTCCACATAAAAATCTGTAGCAGCTTTATGCATAATAGCCAAAACCTAGAAACAACCCAAATGTGCCTCAACCAGTGAAGGATACATTCGTACTGTGGAAGATTACTTGATAATATAAAGTAGAACAAACTCTTGATGGACACAACAACTTGGATGACTCACCAGGAAATAATTATGAGTGAAACGAGCCAATCCCAAAGGGTTAAACACTTTATGATTCCATTGGTATAACATTTTTAAATGACAAAATTTTAGAAATTTTAGGACAGATTAGTGGTTGCCAAGGGTTAGGATGGAGGGATGAGGGCATGGTAGGGAGGTGGGTATGGTTATAAAAGATCAACATGAGGAATCTTTGGGGGCTGGAGCTGTTCAGTATCTTGACTGTCAGTGGATGCACAAAAATATACTTGCGATAAAACCATACAGAACTAATTACACGCACACACACGTACAAGTAAAATTGGGGAAATCTGAATAAGATCAGTGGATTGTATCATTGTCAATATCTTGGTTGTGATATTGTACTGTTGTTTTAAAAGATGTTATGATTAAGCGAGACCGGGTGAGGGGTACATGAGATCTCTTTGTATTGTATCTTATGACTGTATGTGAATATACAATTATCTCAGTAATAATTTTATTTAAAAAGTATATGTCTAGGCTCACACAATAATAGCTTAAACAAAACCTACACGTAAATCTCCAAATTCCTAGTGCAGAGCCAGTGGTGAACTACAACTCTGGCCCAGACAGCCCTTCTGAACTCCAGATCTGTGTTTCCTTCTTGAGTGGACTTAGCACCAAGAATAGCAACTTCTGAGGAATGGAGATGAGGGAGGGAAAGAGGAAGTGTCCATGACAAAAACAGCATATACAATATAATCCCAAGTCTGGGAAATTATAGATGTGTGCATAAATAAATGAAAACAAGATAAAGTTAATCAAATACAATTAGCCTATGAAAGGGCCTAGCAGGACTGTCATCTACTAAGGGATTTTCTCCAGGTTCTACTCCCCAACATCTGAGCACCCTTAGAACTTTACATCTACTTGTGGTTTCCCTGGTGATGCAGAGCTACTGCTCTCTTCCAAAATTTGTTCTTTCCTCCTTCCTTACTAGCTGGGCTCTGACTGCCTGGCTACTCTTTTCGTTAAGTATGACCCAGTGAATTCCATCTGCACTCATCATAGACTGCCAAGCCAGTATTCACTTCTTTCTCTTGAGCTTTCCTTGAAGCTCAAAGGGGAGTGCCGTTGACAACCACCCCACCCACCCCAGCATAGTTCCTGGGAGCAGATCTGATTCAATACGAAGTTACTCAAATCCTAACATCTAGAATTACTGAGAAGTTCTCTTCATATCTTAAATGGTCAAAATATAAAATACAATTAAACAAAACAAGCAAGCTCATCCAGGCCATGGCAAAGGTATCTTGAGATTGCCATATAAAGTGAGAAGAAACCCCACAGCCTTGCCCTTCTAAATAACCACTCTCAGAGTTGGCAATCCAGGTAGGGTGGACCCTCGTCTCCCAAGTGTTTTGCAAACTAGAGGCTTAACTTGTGGGATTCAGCTTGAAGATACAAAGCCCATATAACCTTCAGCACAAGATCTTTCCCATTGCCTGCCTTAAGCTGTTTGAAATGAAGATGGAAAATCCCCCATGGCCACAAATCCTAAAACATCCTCATCATTTTCCTTTTTCAAGTTTCCTCTTAATGAGAACTTAAAGGAGAGTGACAACTTCTGACAGTAATCCTTAAGGGACTCTGGTGGTGCATGCACTGGATCAAGTGGATTTTCTATTTCACAGATGGCTAAAAACTAAAGTCTCCAACCCATCCCACCGAAGGAGAGTGTTACTAACACAGCACTAAATGACTGTATTCACAGAACCTTAACGAGTGCAAAGCTCAATTTAATACATAACTAGAAAGTCATTCCTCTTCCTAGACACTTTTACAAAAGAGAGGAAATTGACTAAATGATAAGGTAATTGATGTTAATAATTTATATAAAGCAACTTCCAGCATTGGTTCTAGAATCAGCCTAGCATCTCTACCAGGGTATTATTTCTTCTGCTGCAGCATTACCTGGTATTGTTGATGTTCATGAGTCTTTAAAGACTTACACATGTCTTCCCAATCATCAAAGGAATAATTGTGCCCATCTGAGTTCTCTTACTGAATACTTTCCATCATCTCCTGTGTTTTTAAACAATGGGAATGCATAGTGGTGTAGACAGGAGTGTAAGTCAAACAGAAGGTGTAACTTCCCTGATCCTTCATTAGCTAATATTTTTAGATAAACAAGAGTCTACTGTACAATGAGCTTCAAATGAACTGGCTCACCCAGTACAAAAGTGCCCCATGAGTGGCAAATGGCACTATATCTATTTTATCACCTCAGTCACCACAAACTCTACTTAGATGAGAGTTGGCTTCTTTACGAATCAACTGTGCATTTTTTTTCATTGACAAAACCTGACCTTTTATTAAACATTCCTTTAGAAGGCAGGTCCAGGACAGTTCATACAACTGTGAGCTTGATGGATTCTACCTCTTGACTAGAAATTTCTCTTGAGGCAGAAGTAACGCTATTTCAGATGTAGGACCCTCATGCCTTGGCATTAGGCAGCCAGAAAGCCTCCTAACGAGTGGCTGGAAACAAGACTGTCTGTAGATGGTACCTCAGTGCCATTCTACAGGCAAAACCATGGGTCTCACTGGATTCCTACAACCTGTTCATCCACAGGTGGGGAGCACCTTGATGATACCCCACTCCTCAAACTTGAATACCTTGAATCGTACCATTGAGATTCTATTTTGATATGCATCACGTGACTAGCAAGTCTCTCATTTCACCAATAAAACCATTTCTGACATTCTCTGTGCTAATTTTCAAAGCCTCTGGTGATGATTAAGATCTGAAGAGTTATAGTCTTTCTAATACAATACCAGCTGACTACCCCTGGAGGGTGAATTTTCTTTTCTTTATAACTGTTTTGTTCAAATAGGCTTGACACATGAAAAGCTGTACATATTTAATGTGTACAACTTAATGTGTTTAAAGATAAGTGTATACCCATGATACCATCAAACCATCATCACTATAAATGTCATAAACTCATCCATAACATCAAAAAGTTTCATTCCGCCCCCATTTGTGGTAAAAGCACATAATATAAGATCTGCTCTTTTAGAAAATGTTTAAGTATATAATAGAGTATTGTTAATCATAGGCCCTATATTGTACAGATCTCCAGATCTTATTTATTTTGCATAATTGAAACTTTGCACTCTTTGACTAACACCTCCCCATTTCTTCCTCCCCCCAATCCTCTGGTAACCACCATACTACTCTCTGCTTCTACAAATTATTTTAGATTCCACACATAAACAAGATCATATGGCATTTATCTTTCTGTGTCTGGCTTATTTTACTTGACCTAATGTCCTTCAGGGCCAACCATATGGTCACAAATGGCAGTGCTATCCTTTCCTCAGTTTTAAGGGTGAATGGTAAATTAAATAAAATTTACAGGAGGTATTGGTTTGGGCTGAGCTTCTGCACTAGGCCCAAGAAACCAACCAAAATGGAGTCACTTATGCTAAATTCCATGCCATTGAGACAAAACTAAGTTGTTACCTGATCTTCCATGAAATCAGGAAAGAGAGCAATAAAAGCCTAATCCCCAGACAGGCCAGTTTTAGCTAGTACAATAAGAAGCCTCTTCTGCTTTAACCTTTACAAGGAAATTAACTTTCTAATGACGAATAAGCTTTTTGTTCCTTGTTTTTTGCATTCTTCAGCCCTTTTCTGCTTATAAAGCCAAACTTCTTTACGCAGCTTATGGGAACACTCATTCTATTCTACAGAATGAGTTGTTGTTTGATCCTAAAATCACAAATAAAAACCAACTAATATCTTTAAACCAAATTTGTTGTAATTTTGTCTTTTGACAACAGTATTTCATTGTATGTATATACCACATTTTCTTTATCCATTCATCTATTGATGGAAATTCAGATCGCTTCCGTATCTTGGCTATTGTGAATAATGCTGCAATGAACATGGGAAAGCAGATATCTCTTGAAGATCCAGGTTTCAATTCCTTTGAATGTACACCCAGAAGCGGGATTGCTGGATTAAATGGTAATTCTATTTTTATTTTTTAAGGAATATTCATATTGATTTACATAGTGTCTGCACCAATTTACATTTCCACCAAGAGTGTAAAATGATCTCCTTTTATCCACATCTTCACTAGCATTCATTTTCCTTTGTGTTTTTGATAATACCCCACCTAATAGGTGTAAAATAATGTCTTATTGTGGTTTTGCTTTGCATCTCCCTTATGATTAGTAAAGTTGATCCCGTTTTCATATACCTGATGGCCATTTATATGCCTTCTTTGAAGAAATTCCTATTTAGGTCCTCTGCCTAATTTTTAAATGGCTTCTATGTGCTATTGAGTTGTAGGGATACATTTTGGATTTTAACCACTTATCAGATATGTGGTCTGCAAATATTTTCTCTCATTCCATCAAATGTCTTCCATTTTGTTAATTGTGTCTTTTGCTGTGCAAAAGATTTTTAGTTTGATATAGTCCCACTTGTCTATTTTTTGTTTCGTTACCTATACTTTTGGTTTTATAAGCAAGAAATCATTTCCCAGTCCAATGTTTAGAAATGTTTTTTTCCTATATTTTATTCTAAGAGTTTTATTGTTTCAATCTTGAGGGTTTTTTTGTATATAGTGTGAGGTAAGGGTTCAATTTTATGCTTTTGCATGTGGTTATTCCTTTTTATTCCTTCCCTGTCTACCAGCCTTCCTCCGAGACCCCAAAGTCCATTGTATGATTCATATGCTTTTGCATCCTCTTAGCTTAACTCCCACTTGTAAGTAGAACATATCGTGTTTGGTTTTCCATTTCTGAGTTACTTCACTTAGAATAATGGTCTCCAACTCCTTCTAGGTTGCTGCAAATGCCATTATTTTTTTCCTTTTTATGGCCAAGTAGTATTCCATGGTGTGTGTGTGTGTGTGTGTGTGTGTGTGTGTGTGTGCGTGTATACATTCTTTGATTGATGGGCACTTGGGCTGGTTCCATACCTTTGCCTTTGCCCAATTTTTAAATGGATTGTTTTTTGCTGTTGAGTTGTTTGAGTTCTTTGTATATTCTGGATGTTAGTGCTTCATCAGATGAATAGTTTTCCCATATTATCTCCCATCCAACAAGTTGTGAACATATAAAAATCAGTCATTTTCTTATATGCTAATAATGAACTAGCTGGGCCAGGCACGGTGGCTCAAGCCTGTAATCCCAGCACTTTGGGAGGCCGAGGTGAGTAGATCACATGAGGTCAGGAGTTTGAGACCAGCCTGGCCAACGTGTGAAACCATCTCTACTAAAAATACAAGAATTAGCTGGGCGTGGTGCTGGGCACCTGTAGTCCAGCTATTTGGGAGGCTGAGGCAGCAGAATCGCTTGAACCTGGGAGGCAGAGATTGCAGTGAGCTGAGGTCACACCATTGTACTCCAGCCTGGGCAACAGAGCAAGACTCTGTTTCAAAAAATAATAACAATAATAATAATAATAATAAACTAGCTGAAAAAGAATTCAGGAAGGCAATCCTCCTTAAATAGCTACAAAAAATATAACATATCTAGAAATAAATTTAACCGATGTGAAAGACCTCTACAAGAAACTACAAAACACTTATGAAAGAAACTGAAGAGGACACAAACTGATCTTCCATGTTCATGAATTGAAATAATTAATATTGTTAAAATAATATGACTAACCAAAGCAATCTACAGATTCAATGCAACTCCTATCAAAATACCAATGACTTTTTTTTAAAAAAATAGAAAAACAATCTTGAAAGTTTTATGGCAAAATAGAGTCTTTTTGCATGCTGTTTGTTTGGCTTGGAATACTGTTCCCTTCCCCCTTCATCTCATGAACTCTCATGAGATGCTTGGCCCAGAGCTGAGTTCAAGTCCTGAATATCCTTGTTAATTTTCTGTCTTGTTGATCTAATATTGACAGTGGGGTGTTAAAGTCCCCCACTATTATTGTGTGGGAGTCTAAGTCTCTTTGTTGGTCTCTAAGAACTTATTTTATGACTCTGAGTGTTCCTGTATAGGGTGCATATATATTTAGGATAGTTAGCTCTTCTTGTTGCATTGATCCCTTTACCATAACATAATGCCCTTCTTCGTCTTTTTTGATCTTTGTTGGTTTAAAGTCTGTATAATCAGAGACTAGGATTGCAACCCCTCTTTATTTTGGGCCTATGTGTGTCTTTGCACATGAGATGGGCCTCCTGAATACAGCACACCGATGGGTCTTGACTCTTTATCCAATTTGCCAGTCTTTCTCTTTTAATTGGGGCATTTAGCCCGTTTACATTTAAGGTTAATATTGTTATGTGTGAATTTGATCGTGTCATTATGATGCTAGCTGGTTTATCTCAACAGATACAGAAAAGGCCTTCGATAAAAGTCAACACACCTTCATGCTAAAAACTCTCAATAAACTAGGTATTGATGGAACATATCTCAAAATAATAAGAGCTACTTATGACAAACCCACAGCCAATATCATACTGAATGGGCAAAAGCTGCAAGCATTCCCTTTGAAAACTGGAACAAGACAAGTATGCCCTTTCTCACCACTCCTATTCAGCATAGTATTGGAAGTTCTGGCCAGGGCAATCAAGCAAGAAAAAGAAATAAGGCATATTCAAATAGGAAGACAGGAAGTCAAATTGTCTCTGTTTGTGGATGACATGATTGGATATTTAGAAAACCCCATCATCTCAGCCCAAAAACACCTTAAGCTGATAAGCAACTTCAGCAAAGTCTCAGGATACAAAATCAACGTGCAAAAATCAAGCATTCCTACACACCAATAATAGACAAATAGATAACCAAATCATGAGTGAACCCTCATTCGCAACTGCTACAAAGAAAATAAAATACCTAAGAATCCAACTTACAAGGGATGTGAAGTACCTCTTCAAGGAGAACTACAAACCACTGCTCAAGGAAACAAGAGAAGACACAAATAAATGAAAACACATTCCATGCTCATGGATAGGAAGAATCAGTATTGTAAAAATGGCCATACTGCCCAAAGTAATTTATAGATTTAATGTTATTGCCATCAAGCTACCACTGACTTTCTTCACAGAATTAGGAAAAACTACTTTAAATTTCATATGGAACCAAAAAAGAACCCATATAGCCAAGACAATCCTAAGCAAAAAGAACAAAGCTGGAGGCATCATGGTACCTGACTTCAAACTATATTACAAGGCTACAGTTACCAAAACAGCATGGCACTGGTACCAAAACAGATCTGTAGACCAATGGAACACAACAGAGGCCTCAGAAATAACACCACACATCTACAACCATCTGATCTTTGACAAATCTGAGAAAAACAAGCAATAGGGAAAGGATTCCCTATTTAATAAATGGTGTTGGGAAAACTGGCTAGCCATATGCAGAAAACTGAAACTGGACCCCTTCCTTACACTTTATACAAAAATTAACTCAAGATGGATGAAGGACTTAAACATAAGACCTAAAACCATAAAAACTCTAGAAGAAACCTAGGCAATACCATTCAGAACATAGGCATGGACAAAGTCTTCATGACTAAAACACCAAAAGCAATTGCAACAAAAGCCAAAATAGACAAATGGGATCTAATTAAGAGCTTCTGCACAGCAAAATAAACTATCATCAGAATGAGCAGGCAACCTACAGAATGGGAGAAAATTTTTGCAATCTATCCATCTGACAAAGGGCTAATATCCAGAATCTACAAGGAACTTAAACAAATTTACAAGAAAAAAACAAACAACCCCATCAAAAAGTGGGCAAAGGATATGAACAAACACTTCTCAAAGGAAGACATTTATGCAGTCAATAAACATATGATAAAAAGCTTATCATCACTGGTCTTTAGAGAAATGCAAATCAAAACCAAAATGAGATACCATCTCATGCCTGTTAGAATGGCCATCATTAAAAAGTCAGGAAACAACAGACACCGGAGAGAATGTGGAGAATAGGAATGTTTTTACACTGTTGGTGGGAGAGTAAATTAGTTCAACCATTGTGGAAGACAGTGTGGAGATTCCTCAAGGATCTAGAACCAGAAATACCATTCGACCCAGCAATCCCATTACTGGGTATATACCCAAAGGATTATAAATCATTCTACTATAAAGACACATGCACACATATATTTACTGCAGCACTATTCACAATAGCATAGACTTGGAACCAACCCAAGTGCCTATCAATGATAAACCGGATAAAGAAAATGTGGCACATATACACCATGGAATACTATGCAGCCATAAAAAAGGATGAGTTCATGTCCTTTGCAGGGACATGGATGAAGCTAGAAACCATCATTCTCAGCAAACTAACACAGGAACAGAAAATCAAACACCACATGTTCTCACTTATAAGTGGGAGTTGAATAATGAGAACATATAGGCACAGGGAGGAGAACATCACACACCAGGGCCTATCAGGGGGTAGGGGACAAGAAGAGGGATAGCATTAGGAGAAGTATCTAATGTAGATAACGGGTCGATGTGTGCAGCAAACCACCATGGCACATGTATACCTATATAACAAACCTGCACGTTCTGTACATGTATCCCAGAACTTAAAGTATACTAAAAAATAAAAAATAAAAAAACAAATAAAAAACAAAACAAAACAAAAACAAACAAAAAAAGAATACTATGCTTCACCATATTAAGAAGAAATTGGGCAAAGAACATGAAGACACTTCTCAAAAGAAGACATTTATGCAGCCAACAAACATGAAAAAAAGCTCAACATCACTGATCATTAGAGAAATGCAAATCGAAACCACAATGAGATACCATCTCAGGCCAGTCATAATGGTAATTATTACAAAATCAAGAAACAACAGATGCTGGTGAGGCTGTGGAGAAATAGGAACCCTTTTACACTGTTGGTAGGAATGTAACTTAGTTCAACCATTATGGAAGACAGTGTGGTGATTCCTCAAAGACCTAGAACCAGAAATACCATTTGACTGAGCAATCTCATTACTGGGTATACACCCAAAGGAATATAAATCATTCTATTATAAAGATACATGCACACATATGTTCACTGCAGCACTATATTCACAATAGCAAAGATATGAAATCAACCCAAATGCCCATCAATGATAGACTGGATAAAGAAAACGTGGTACATATACACCATGGAATACTATGCAGCCATAAAAAGGAATGAAATAATGTCCTTTGCAGGGACATGGATGGAACTGGAAGCCATTATCCTCAGCAAACTAAAGCAGGAACAGAAAACCAAACACTGCATGTTCTCACTTATAAGTGGGAGCTGAACACTTGGAACACATGGACCCAGGGAGGGGAACAACACACATGGGGGATTGTTGTGGGGGGATGTGGGGGTTGAGAAAACATCAAGATAAGTAGCTAATGCATGCTGCGCTTAATACCTAGGTGATGGGTTGAAAGCTGCAGCAAACCACCATGGCACACTTTTACCTATGTAATAAACCTGCACATGTATTCCAGAAATTAAAATAAAATAATAAAATAGAAAAAAACAAGTCAAAATCCAATCTACCATGAAAATAACATATAAAAATAAAATATTGTCTGAAAAAATGTAGTAGAGTAAGCAATCCACGCAAACCAAGTGTACGAGATTCTAATTCCAGCTATTTGTTAATGGTTACAATCACTTAAACTCTTCGAAGCCAATTCCTTATCTTCAAAATAGGTTTAAAATTGTGTGTCTTAGTCCCTTCCCAGGACTGTTACGGTGACCCAAAGATATGCTAGGTATGACCATTCCATAAAAAGTGTTGTGTTATATGGGAGGAATCAGTAACTTATATTATTTCAGAACTATTTTTAGAGTTTTAAATTTGGAAAATAAAAATTCCTGAAGGCTCCAGCAACGTGTTAGTGTTTTCCAAGGCACTAATCAGATAAAATTTCTGCTTCTTCACTCAGGTCTATCCTCCAACCATTGCCATATAAGACAGCCTAAGAATCTGCATGTAAAAATGATCCTGAATGCAGTTTCCACCACTGGAGCATGGTGTCAAGGAGGCCAAGGTTGTAGGCTGGAACTAATCGTAACACATTTTAGAGGTTCACCACGTCTCCATTTTCTGATCTCAAATTGTCAAGTCTTCTTGCCACTCTCTCCCTTTGAAACAAATATTTATTATGCATCTGCTATGACCTAGTCATTGTACTAGAAATGGAGAAGATATCAGTGAGCAATAATGACATGGCTCCTGGCCTCATGGAGCTTGGAATTTGATGGTGAAGACCTACGACAAACAAGTAAGACAATCACACTTCTCAAAAGTTAGAGGTTGTCCTATGCACTGTGGAAGACACGAACAGACTGCTTAAACAACAGTGTAGGGAAGAATGCATTTTAGATAGCATGATCTAGAAGCATCACTTTGAGGGTGTGCCATTTAAGTTGAGACCTCAGTGACGAAAAGCCTATGTGCAGACACACAGAAATAATATTTCAAACATAGAAAAGAGCAAGCATAGAACTTCTATAGCAGGAAAAATCTTAATGAGTACTAAAAATTTTCAGAAAGAGGATTGGTTGAGACATAGTGAATGTGGGGCAAGTGGTCTAAGAGACTCCCCTGCACAGATAGGCAGGGCCAAATGATATACCATCTTGAGGGATGGCAAAAATAAGAATGGAAATTATGTGGTCATTTCTTCTTCTTCTCTCTTGCAGTGAAGATTCCAATAACAACTTTCAGCACCACCATTTTCAAATACCATGTCCTACCCCTGGACCAGCTTTATCACCAGCTCGGGACCTCAACAATGCCTTTTACACAGAACTCACAACCCAGAGAGTGACTGACTAACCCCACTCAACTTACTCCCAGAACCCTGAATCTCCTCTCCTCTTCCAGCCACATCCCCACCTCCCCATCCAAATTAACATGGTGCTTTCCAAGGCTCTGTTACTTATTTCTCTCAGGGGTGTCCACCCTCGGTGACCCAGCCCAGTTGCTAGATATCATACAATTTTTACAGCTGACTGGCTGTTTTTACTTCCTTTTCAATTATTATTTTGAAACACATAAGAAATATTTTGGAACCATAAGTGGCTCAGGAAATTCTAAATTAAAGGCCTTGTAGGGCTGCAGCTGGCCCTGTCAGGTCTCACACCCCAGGGGACACACAGCACAAACAGATTTTGGTGTCCTTCCAAACTCACTGCATGATGCTCCAGGCACCACTCCCTACTGTTACTCTCTTAAACGACAGAACTGTGTAAACAAACACACAAGCAACATCCTCCCAAAGAAGAAATATGTACAATCAATGTTAATAAATGAGTATGATCATTGCTTCCCTCATCGCTCTTCCAATATTCTCTCTGAAAATGTCTAGAGTTAGAATTGTCAAATTTATTGTCTTTCAAACTCAAAGATACAATTACTACTTAAACACAGGGAATATAATGGATCCTGGAGAGAAGGAGTGACCCTAAGGATATGTGCAGAAAGCAGATCACTGATCACTTAATATTAGTTGTACTTGGAATCTTCAAATATCTGCTCAGCCTCTTACACTTGAGCTTGTAATTTTAAGAATAGTATTTCCATATTTTCTGAGGATGCAGTAGGTTACCAGTGAAGGCAGGATAGAATGATGTTTGGGCACAGTTCCAAAGCCAAATTAGTACCATCTCTTAGTAACTCCTAAGTGACTTTGTATAACTTACTTGGCTTTGTTCTACCTCAGTTTACTCATCTGTAAAATGGAGACATATTGGAATGTAACGAAATTCTGATGAGGATTAAATGACTTGATGCATAAACCACATGTAACAGTAGCAGGCACACCGTAAATACTTACTAAATGTTAAATATTACTATTAATAATTGATCTAACAAATAAAAACTGGCTGGAAAACATAAAAAACCTCACTGTCAATTAACAGCCAAGGCAGCATCAGGACTTCGAATGATGGCAGAAGGTCTCAACATATCCCCCAAAAGCACATACCACCCTCAAGAAGTAAAATGCTTTCAATGCTCTTTCGAGGTGGGTTTCAAATATAGACAAGTAATGAAACTTGGGCAGGGAGAAGAACTGCATAGATAGGAAGAGCAGCAAGTTGTGAAAAGGAAGTTATAAAACCCTCATCTTTGCAGCAGATTTATCTCTTGCAGGGGTGGATACGTTGGCAACACTAAGCCACAGAGATTCAGTTGAAGGTACTGAGTGAAGTAGTTACTATAGGTTTTAGGAATGACAGAGGTGGAGAAAAGAGTTGGTGAGGTTTGACAAGGTAAAAGATAGAGACAAGGCTAAGTGCAAAATCACTGACATAGGTGAGAAGCTGTGATGATCTACATAACAAACTGGCAAAGATGAACTAGTTTGGCCTCTTCACCCAAACCTCACAACTCTTCAGCCTCTTGAGTACTTCTTGTACAAAGAGGTGAAGCTGGTTGAGATGGGTTAGTACAATGCTGTCCTCCTGAACACTGGGACTTTGGTTTCCTTGATTCAATATCTGGCTTTGGGGCTGCAAAGTTGCCTGTAAAAAAATCAATGGGGTCATGGCCTAGATCCAATAGCAATCATCTAGTGGCAGAATATGGGATTTGGCTAGACTCTGTATAGCTTGGCCACATTTTAAAATAAATTTAGGACTTGTTAGGGATTTGCATCTTGATTTTAAACACATACTGGACAAACTCCACACTGGAGCTGTAACTGTGGAAGGCCAGGAATCTGAGGCCTTAAGCCTCTGAATGGATGTTTCTGAAAAGAAGAAGACGTTTCCCAATCAGTTCTTAGAGTTTGGTTCATAATGTGAAATGCAACAAAGGGAACAATCAGTATTATTAAAAGGGCCAGTCAGGGAGCTATACTTACACTCCTCAGCACACATTGTTTTATCAAGATTTTTTGTATGTAGATATGCCCAGTCAGCAATAGCAGGAGTGCTGTTAGCTCACTGCTGTGGAAATCAAGTTCTAGGGAGCAAAAACAGAACCAAGTAAACAGAAACCACCAACATACAAAGTAACTTCCTCATTAGTTTTAACTTCCTCCTTCATTCTCAGAAGTTTTAACAAGAGCTTTTAAAAATACATATTTAAAAGCTAGAACAACCTTTTATTGCTGGTTTTAAAGCATTTTTAATCCTCAAAACCACAAGATATCACAAACAGAAATTTGGAAATGGACCCAGTATGGGCATTTGATTTATATATAGCCTGCTTTATTTCACAAAACAACTAATGTGGGTTCCAAATAAAGACAGGATGGCCAGATGACTTAAATCAGGAGATGACAAGAAAAAAAAATTGATGAGGAGAAGATAAAATAAACTGAAACTAATGAAACTAATGAGAAAAACGGGTCACCATATTCTGTCGATTCACTTGTTTGGTTAGTCCACAAAGTTGGCTCTAGTTCTTGCCACTACTGAGTAAAAGGCAAATGTGATTAATTTTCAAGTCAGACTGATTATATGACAAGAATCTACTGTCAATAGAAATAAATCTATTTGGGAGACATTAAAAAACCCAGTAAGAACTAGTTATTCTGGTCATTATCATTCAGAGTAAGAGTCTTAAAGATCTCGTTTCTGACACCAACCTTCTTTTACAGATAAGAGCATGGTAGTCTTGGTTGGACCCCTGTCCTCCAGGAAGAACCTGAAATCTTCATGTGGGCTTGTGATACCACTTGTATTTATTTGAAAGTCTGGACAATTCAACAATTAGAGTCTTTCAGGAGTTGGTGTTTCTTTTAGAGAGTTTTACAAATTGGGGAACCATAAATAGGAGATAAAGTAATAGCCTACAGCTGCCTATATGTTACAGCTGAAGAAGGGGGAAAGCCCCTTTAAACTAATTTAGGATGAGTCGATGGGATATCATCTCACCCCAGTTAGGAAGGCTATTGTCAAAAACACACACACACACAAAATGCTGGCAAGGATGCGGAAGAAAAGGAACTCTCAAACACTGTTGTTGGCAATGTAAATCAAAATGTAATGCAAATGCAATGTAAATGCAAAGCCACTATGGAAAACAGTATAAGCGTTTCTCAAAAAACTAAAAATAGAACTACCGTATGATCCAGCAACCCCACTAATATCTTTTTATCCAAAGGAAAGGAAATCAGTATGTCAAAGGGATGCCTGCACCCCATGTCTATTTCAGCACTATTCATAAGAGCCAAGATATGGAATCAACCTAAATGTCCATCAACAGATGAACAGATAAAGAAAATGTGGGATATATACATGATGGAATACTATTCAGCCATAAAAAAGAATGAAATACTGTCACTTGCAGCAACATGGATGGAAATGGAGGTCATTATGTTAAGTGAAATAATCCAGCACAGAAAGACAAAATTACATGTTCTCACTCATGTGGAAGCTAAAAAAGTTGATCTCATAGAAGTAAAGAGTAGAATGATAGTTATCAGAGGTTGAAAGGGGCAGAGGGAAGGCAGAGTATGAAGAGAAGTTGGTTAATGGGTACAGACATACAGTTACATAGAAGGATTAAGTTCTAGGGTTCGATAGCATAGTTTGGTGACTACAGTTAAAAATAATTTATTGTATACTTCAAAACAACTAAATGAAAAGTTTTGAAACGTTCCCAAAATAAAGAAATGATAAATCTTTTAGGTATTTGATATCCTGAATACCCTGATTTGATCATTGTACATTGTATGCATATATCAAAATATCACATGTACCTCATAAATATGTACAATTATTATGTAACAATAAATAAATTTAGAATGAGTGATGATCCATTTTCAGGGCCTGTTGACTTGAAGAAGCTCTCTCTTTTTTTTAATTCCAGGCAGGAATGTCATAATTGAGTTAAATTTCATTTCATTCAATAGGATAAACCCACAATTATGGAACAAGGGTTGAGCTTCATATGTGGAACTAATGTTTACAAAACCATACTGGGAAATCAGTATGTCTCTATTCTGTGACAGTAAAGAGGAAGTTTGAAGGCATCCTAACAGTCTTCAGACCTTAGCAAGTTTGGGGGGACACTAAGGAGAGAATTCATATGCAGTTGTGGGCATTGTTGGTGAACTCTGGATGGAAATAAGTTTTTTCTTAATTTTGTTTCTCTAGCATTAGAAAAAATAAGCATATATGAGTGATTAAAACAAAGAAGTAAAAATAAAAACTTTGGCTAGGGGAATCTCTGGAATGATAAAGGTTATTGAGATGCAATCCTAGATTCTTTACAAACTCTTCAGACCGAGCTAATTCTTCGGCTTTTGTAGTTGCTCAGCTTCTCGTGGCTGTAGATTTACTGCACTCTACAACAGGAGGGTAGTATGTGTTCTGTATGCTTCTCCTCTGTAAATGAATCCCACAAAGAACGCAAAACACAATGAAACCAGCCTTTTTTGTGATAAAGAAGAATCCTAGGAGACTTTATAATCACACAAGGAACTATTTTTAAAAATTAACCAAAACATGGGAGTAGGGCAAAAAGATGACTGTGTAACCTTTGTTGTCAGGCCAGGGAGTTGTCTAGCCAACCCCACCCAAGTTTCTTCTAACTCTCTCTAGGCTGGGGACTATAACTTTGTTTGACTCACAATTTACTGTTAATAAGGGCCCAGGCATTTTACAGCTCTGTAAAGATAGATGTTAACTTTTAGAAACATTATATACTACAAATAATTTTTGTCCAGTAGATAAGATGCTATGATCTGAATTTTTGTGTCCTCACAAAACTCATTTGTTGAAACTGAATCCCCAGTGCAGAGGTGTTGAAAGGTGACTAGGTCAGGAATGTGGGGCCCTCGTAAATGGGATTAGTGCCCTTATAAAAGAGGCCTGAGAGAGCTTGTTTGTGCCTTCTACCATGTGGAGACACAGAGAAATGGTACCATCTTTTAAATGGTACCATCTTTTAAGTCTGCCCTCACCAGACATTGAATCTACCTTCACCATTATCTTGGACTTCTTGGTTTCCTGAACTGTTAGAAATAAATTTCTGTTATTTATAAATTAACCAGTCTAAGACTGTTTTCTTATGGCAACCCAAATGGACTAAAGACACAAAATAACCCTAAAACTTATGGTTTTATTGTCTTGTAGAAAATCAACCAATTGTGTATCTATCTAGCTCAGCAATCTTATTGCAGTTTCTTTTTTATTGCAGTGCTTATTTTGGTGTTTCCCTCGCTTATTATATACACATTAGTTTCTCCTGTCCTCCTATGAATCAGCCTTGTCATCCTGCTGTTTCTCTCATTATTGAGTTAATTAAAACCTGACACATATTCAATATGATTTTTATCAGAATTGTGTTTTTTATTTATTGAAAATTAAATTTCAATATGACCAAAGGAACACAGTTCAGCCACGAACAAAATACATTTTGAAAAAACTTGAGTAGTTTTCTAGCAATGATGGATCATCATGATAAAGATCATTTTCTTAAACTCACAAGATTCTTCCAAAATCCCCTGAAAAGCCTCTTTCCCCAGCCCAGGCCCAAAGGCTTCAGATTCTTCTCCACTTTCACTTTTCTTCTAATTCTACAGTATAAAATAAAGTACAAGAGAACTTGTCTAATAGGACTAAATCCTACTCAGAGGACAGCAGGAGGGGCATTGTACTTTCCAAAGCAGAATCCTTATTTTATTGGTTTGCAAAAGGGAAAAACTGGGAACATGCATACAGTAACAATTTTGATCCTACCCTATAGAGTTATGACTCTATCAGTTTGGAAGCTGGAAAACTGGTGTAAGTAGAGATTGAGAAAGAAATTGTAGGTTTTTTTTTTTTTTAAGCTCTTTTCATCCTTGTCACAGGAGAGAGGTGTGGGGCACAACAGGGAAGGCTGTCCCATGTCCTAGCATCGTGACGGATTTGCATGACTTATCTTTCCTCACTGAAAAGCTCAGTCCTCGCAAGTAAACCACCCCTCTCTGCACCCAAATTTCATCTAGTCTTCTAAGGGGAACCCAGAGTTGACTTTCCAGCCTCTTTTTCAATGGAATAGTTAAGTGAAAAGTATTCCAGAAGCAATAAACATGTAATGATGGCCCAGTGCCAGATCCTATCAGAAGTGCTTTGCATATATTAATTCATTTAATCCACATAATAACCCTGTAAGGTAAGTACTACTATTACCCTCATTTTACAGACGAGGGAAGTTAGTTTCTGGATACCATACAGATAGTAAGTGGCAGAGCAGGGACTGAAACAGCCGATTTGGCTCTTCACCATGGCACCATATGTCTCTTTCAAATACTCTCCTTCCCCACCAAGCACCCTGCACCAAGTAAAAGGCCTTGATCACTGTGAATAACTTAGTGACTCTAATCTTGATATCTTTATTATTTCTACATGCCTTCCTCAACTTACACAATTGAGTATTCAGGAAGTTATTATGAAATTAAAACTATGATAAGCCCAAGCCCATAAATGATGAACAATAACTGATGAATATATTTTTCTACTTATTTTTGTCTACACTGGATTGAAATAAAACAAGTCAATGTGAAGAATTTGCAATAGTAAGAAAAGAAAATGACATTGGAAGTGAAAGTCATTTTGTCATAGCTGTGACCCACACTACTGCCTAGTTTCCCATACTTATCTCCACAACAAACTTCTGTGTATTCTGTGTGTTCCCATTTGTGAGGCAAAAGTTTTACACAATCCTAACATTTTAAATTGCGCTTCTCACGTAGCAGGTTGAATTTTCCTGGGCTGAATACTGTGCTATCTGAGCTTCAGCTCTAATAATATTGGCAAATAATATTTAAAAGTATAATACAGTCTAACATGCGCCACAGAATCACAGATTGTGATAAATAGGGCACTAAAGATCATCTATCTCCATATGTATGATTATATTAGATTTTGTATGAGAACATATTAAGCAAATGTCCTTTGTCCAGATAACATGGATTCTGAGAAAGATTTTATAAAATTGCTGTAAAGCAGGGGCCCCAACCTCCAGGCCATGGACCAGAATGGTCCATGGTCTGTTAAGAACCAGGCCGCATAGCAGGAGGTGAAGTGGCAGATGAGCAAGCATTACCATCTGAGCTCTGCCTCCTATCAGATCAGCAGCAGCATTAGATTCTCATAGGAATGTGAACCCTATTCTGCACTGTATATCTGAGGGATCTAGGTTGTGTGCTCCTTATGAGAATCTAATGCCTGATGATCTAAGGTGGAACAGTTTCATCCCAAAACTATCCCACCCCCTCCCAGTCCGTGGAAAAAATGTCTTCCATGAAATCAGTCCTTGATGCCAAAAAGGTTGGGAACTGCTGCTGTAAAGAATAGATGGTACTTAATGCTAGAACTAGAAGAATGCCCACATGTGATGACTGCTTTTCTGGTAAATGAGGCCACTTTCTGGGGGCCGCAAACTGGTCACCATACTTGATTCAGGATCCTTTATGTGTCATAAAATGATAAGGAAAGAGCCATTTAGTGCAGTACAGCAGTGCACTTTCTAACGACGGGCACCTGAAAATATTGCATGCACTTGCCTAGGTACTTGGTTTATGATTGGCTTGAACACCGGAGATCAAGTCAGTCAGCAAAACGCTTATTCTACACTATGTTGTGTTAAACGCCAGGAAGCATCAGGAGTGGCAAAAGTAAGAAAGTCTCTGTTCAGGTTTCTGTGCCTCTGTGTCTATTACATGCCAGGCAACATGCTGAGGATTTTACATGCCTTGCGGTGCTTAATCTTCCTCACAGCCCTGTGAGATGGGTGTGATTGTGCTCATTTTGTCACTGAGGAAATAGAAGTTCTCAGAGCTTAATGATCCACTTGGGATTTAATTCTTAGGTAGGAAGGTAGATGGGTTGTGCCAATGGAAGAGGAATAGATACAGATATTTGCTGCAAAGTATGCAAAATATATGCCACAGAGAAGAAAAAGATAGATGCTAAGAAAATACAGAGTGCAGTCATGAAGGGAGCGCTCTGGAGGGAAACCAAGAGGACTTTGTTTCTCCCAAGAGGTTTTAGAAGAAGGAATAAGAAGAGCAGGCACCCTCATACACTCTGGGTTGGGTGAAAAGTGATACAACTGTTTTTGGACCTCAATTTGGCAATGTCTGTAAAAGTTTACACTTAATTACCCTTTGACCTAGCAATTCCATTTCTAGAAATTTAGTTAAGAAATGAATTGTACACATGATTAATCAGATCTTCTGACCAGAGAGCAACAAGATGATCGAGTGGCTCAGCTGTCCAATGAGTGTCTATTGAGTGATTTCACAGCACCATCAGCACCTAAGAATCTTAAGGGGGTTCATCCTGCCAAGTGGCATTTAAACCCTGTAAGCCTAATGTTTTATCCATAGGACAACTCAACTCCTAGCCACTGACTTTTGTCATTTTTACTTGCTGGAACTTAAGTCTATTTATGAGCTTTAAGGAAGCATGGAAAACAGCAACCTTATTAGTTCTCTTAAAAGCGAAGTTACTATAACAGATGGATGCTGTATACTTTTTAAAGGCCTTTCTGCCCATAGCCTAATACAAAGAAAAAATTGTTTTGAAAATTACTGAAAAATGGAAACCAAAGAGAAATACTTGGTGGGGGTTGCTAGGGGAGGGATTCAAAGCACTCATGTGTATCTGCTTTAAATACCTAAATGTTATTTGTTGGCTGATTTGTATGGTGACCTTATACATCTGTATCCACAATCTCAAACCCAATATCTTTATTACAGACATTTGCCAAACATTCCACACACACACAAAATGCTCCTTATAAAAACATCCAGACATCCATGATTGAAGCTATCCAGAAACTCAAAATTGTGACCAATTCTCATTCCACTGGACAATGGGGTTAAGAGAAATTTATTGATCAGAATGAAAGGGATTTTTTGGCATCAATGTATTAAGTTTTTTGAATAAAATGTTAATAGTTTCCATTCACCCCTCTCTCTCTCTCTCACTCACACACACACACACACACACACACACACGATTGCCAATTTCAAAAAGTGGTTTCATTTTCCAACTCCATTAAGTATTTTATTCTGGATTCAAGAATAAGCATTCCAAGTTCATTTCAAGTTCAACCATAAATAGGTCATGGAAATTCAATTATTTGATGGTAACCATCAACAATAAATGCTAAATAGAAAGACCAGAACCAAGAATTTCACCTGTGTTTACATCAATAAAGATTTGCTGGCTCAAGAAAGAAAGATGAGATAAATCTTGCCAGATGGAGAGAAGCTGAGGTGAGCAGCAACAGTATTGGTTCTACTTTGAAAATAATGTTGTCACCTATTTAAGTGGGATTACATATTCCATTATGTGTGCTTATTCCATGTGCAGTTTGTCATCCTGGTCCTAGAATCAAGGGAGACAAAATTGAATGGAGACCAACTGAAACCCTTATACACTGCTGGTGAGCGGGTAAATTGGTACAACCATTTTGCAAAACTGACAGTTTCAACTAAAGCTTAACATATGCATACTATATGACCCTGCAATTCCACTCTTAGGGATGTGTGTGTACATGTGTATGTGTATGTGTGATGTGTGTGTATTCTCAAAAGCATGTACACATTTTTACCAAAAGACATGTACTAGAACATTGATAGCAACACTAGTTTTATAGCCCAAATGAAAAATATCCACTGCCCAACAACAGTAGAATGAAGAAATAAATTGTGAAATAGTCACACAATGGAATTCTGTACAGCAAAGAATGATATGCAACCACATCTAATAGTATGGATGCACTCGCCAATGTAATGTGACAGAAAAAAGCCAGACACGAGAGAGAGTGTATTATTTCACCCATATGAAACACCAAAAAGGCCAAACTAATCTATTCTGCTAGAAGTCAAGGTAATGGTTAGCTCTGGGGAGAGGGATGACTAGAATAAAGAGGCCCCGGAGAGTCTTCTGGGAGCTTGTCATGTTCTGCTTCTTGGCGTGGGTGTTAGTTACATGGACGTGTTCTGTTTGTGAAAGTTTACAAACTGTGCACTTACGACATAATAACTTTTTCAGTTGAATAATGAGAAGTACACATGAGAAAACCCCCTCCGAATCCAGTCAAACAATTGGAATAGGTGCTTGGATCAGGAGGCAGAACCAATCATGAGAGGGACCGTTGCCTTTTCCCCTCTCTATAGCTCCAACATGGCTGGAGAAAAGGTCTCCATGGTCTCTCAGTATGGGAGGGTCCTTTTTCCTCACTCTGGATTGCCACCTGCAAAATTATAAAAGTTGATATTTTAAGGGCCGCAAGCCTGCTAGTGCATACAAAATGGCCAGAAGATATTGCTGAGCTGGCAAAGCAAACGCTTGCCCCGAGCCTTTCCTGCCAATGCCAGAGTAAATATTTTAATCCTGCATCCTGAGTTGGAGTTGGATTTATCTCAGCTTTCCTGGGTCTATTCCACAGCCTCTCCCTTCACCACCTGCTTCTTCCTTTATTTGTTTTCAAGGATAAGTTTTTGCTGAGAGTGACACCCGGCAGCTCAGCCTGCCATCTCACATGGATTGGACTGGCCTTCTTTCAATAGTCCTCAGAGCCTCTGAAGGGCTAAAACCAAATGCCATGGTCTTTGTTCACAGTGATCTGAGCCTGAGAGTTCTTTATATAAATAAGCAGCAGGATCGGTATGTGAGGACGTTTCCTTTCATTCTGATGGCAATTTGACAAGGCTTCTTCCTTATTCTGGCTTCAGTCAACTTTCCTTTATAACTTGACATAAAAGCACTCCTCTGGCCACAGTGTTTCTCTTGGTAAGAATATCAAACTGCAATGTGACTAACACTGCAACCACATTTCCATCCAACTCAGATCATACATTTTTATATTTGGACCTAAAGAAATGCTATTACAACCAAAAGAGTAATATAGTCCACCGGTAATTGTTTGTTATCAGAATAAAGCAACACAGTGATATAGATCTTTCCAATGGACAAGTAGTAAAACCTTTACTACTACTGACCCTGTATTGTGTTATTTGTGTATTTAATATCAATAATGATGATGGTAAACAGTTATATTAGTGTTAGTATTGTTCTAAGTGTTTTTACGTTATTGATTTTAACGCTCAGAATCACCCTATAAGGTAGACATTATTATATGCCGATTTTACAGCTGAATGTTAGGCATAGAGACATTAGGTGATCTGTCTAAAATCTCAGAGTTGGTTAGAGGTGAGGCTGAAATGTGAATCTAAGCAGCCCTGATGACTGTCCTAAGAATGATCTTCCTAATATTTTCTTAGACCAAATAACAAAATGAGCTTGTTTCCTTTACGCACAGTTTGGCTATGCAGAAACGAAGACGATCTTTAGCTGGAAGGGTAAAAAGACTACACAGGGAACATCTACTCTACCAACAAACCAAGGGAACAGAGGGGAATGGACCAAGAGTAATTCTCACAGCCGGTGAGTCAAAGGCACGTAATTGAGGGCTCACTAGCAAGGTGATGGTTATGTCATGACCCAAAGTCAGGAAGGTGGTCCAGGCAGTGACCACTGTAGTCTAACTAAATTGGAGCAGCAAACTGGCCTATAGTGAGGCAGGAGAGGGCTATGAGCAGAGAGGAAGTGCCTGATATACAGCTGCAGAAGCAAGGAAGGAAGGAGAACAGACCCTGGAAGCCCAAGAAAAGCAGAGAGAGTGGGTATGAGGATGGGGAAGATGACAGTGGCAGTTCAGGATCAGGGGTCAAGGCAGGACAGTGCTGTGGCCCTGATGGATGGCTTTGAAAGCTCAGCCTCTCCTGTCATTCATACCTGGATGACAGGTATGCCTTGCTCTAAATGCCTTGCTCTCCTCCTATGCCCTCAGCCTGGGCTAATACCTCCCCTCCCCATTTTACTGTCATGTGTTATTCTAATCTCAGGTCTTGTGTAAAGGTTTTGAGAAGCGAACTCCATTTTTCCTTATATTTGCTGCATATAAACTACTCTCTTATTCTCCCTTTTGTGTAAGAGGAAGAGAAATAATCCCATCTTTTTGCTAACATTTTAATCCTGTGTATCTCTCTAAGACCTCAGTCATCCTTTTGACCCCAAACACCTCTATTTCTTCTTGTCCTACTGTTCTTGCCCCTCTATCTCCAAATGTGCATAGATCTCTTCCATCCCATAATAACTGAGCTTGGCCTCATGGTTCTCCACATTGTTCTTTCTTTAACAGGGTAGGGGAGAAACACAAGCACTAATCTTAAATCAAAAGAGCTGGGGTACAAGCATTGGCCACATCAGTTACAACCTGGGTGGGATTGGCTAAGTCACTTATCTTCTCTGCTCTCATTTCCTCCTCCAGAAACTGAACAATAAAAGCAGCACAACATGGAGTGGTGTGTGCAACCCCAGCCCTGGGCAAGCAGAGGTACTTGGTACTCCCCAAATGTTTCATGTACTCCCCTCCATTTCTCAGCACCCCTGTTGTCAGATTGGGGCCAATGACCTGTGCATGGATGTGCCATGTGTTTTTCAAGCTGAAGCAGTTCACAGCTGGTGCCCTCTTCCCTTCCACTCTATTGCCATAGTACTTTGGAGAACACATGTTTCAGGTGGTAAGGATGGAAGATGTAGGAAGCTGCCTGGCCCCTTCAGATGCAATGCAATGAAGAAAGACATCTTTACTGGGCAAAGCTCCTGAGATTTTCATGGTGATTGTGGCTCTGCCTAGCATCGTTGTCCTGAATATCCCAGAACAAGCACAAGCTGGATCCAGAGTGAGCCTGTACCAAACTCTCTGGTTCTCTCCTATGCTGTTGACCAACAGTGTGATCATAGGCACATCTCAACACCCTCTGGATTTCAGTATTCTCTCTTCTATTAGAAATAGAGATTTTTAAACAGTTCTGGATTTTGAGCCCTTTTTAAAACATAAAGCCCTTACTTTAAGTGAAATCTGATGTGGAGGCCCAACATAGAAAACAGAAAAGTGTGGAGAAACTCTGGTTGATTGGGAGGTCAGGGAGGGGCAGGGACCCCACACAGTCATCCCCCACCCCCACCACTTTCATCCCTGAAAATGAAAACTAACATAACTCCCTTTATTTAATTATGCTAAATAATACTGGAAACAGACATACTTTTCTGTCCATATCTTAAACGATTCTGAGACCAAGTGAGAATACATTAACCATGTGTTCTGAACACACTGTTACTGAAGAACAAGACTGAGGACTTTGTAAACAGCTTGGTCATCAAGGCTAACAGCTTCTTTTTTTTTTTTTTTTTTTAATTTGAGATGGAGTCTCGCTCTTTCGCCCAGGTTGGACTGCAGCGGCGCTATCTCGGCTCACTGCAAGCTCCGCCTCCCGGGTTCACGCCATTCTCCTGTCTCAGCCTCTTGAGTAGCTGGGATTACAGGCGCCCGCCACCGTGCCCGGCTAATTTTTTGTATTTTTAGTAGAGACGGGGTTTCACCGTGTTAGCCAAGAAGGTATCGATCTCCTGACCTTGTGATCCACCCGCCTCGGCCTCCCAAAGTGCTGGGATTACAGGCGTGAGCCACCGCACCCGGCCAACAGCTTCTTATCAAAATCCACTTATTTCAAGACTCTCACCTCGTTGAGCCAACCAATCCAAAGCTATTTCCAAAAACTCTTTCCAATCTCAGCCATTTCCTCCCTTATCCCTTATAAGACCTGTCTTGAAATGGCCCAGCTCAGGCCCGGAAACCCTATACCTTCCCCCTGCCTTCCCCATTTCATGATACTACTAAGGCTCGCTTGTTGCCAAGTTCTCCCTGACTGCAGCATGGCTCATCAGCTTAGCTCTGCTTGATGAACAGGTGTTTCCAGTAGTCTTTGGAATTGACAATCGGCATTCCTGAAACAGCTCCCGATATGATTCTGTAGAAACATTGATTTCTTTCAAAACCACTGAGCTGGGTGATCTCTAAAGCCCCACTACCTTCAGCATTCTACTTGAATTCCAATCCCGATTTCCTTCCAGTTCATCTTCTGGGTTGCCTGGCTCCCTAGACACAGTCTCTCTTTCTCTGATAGTTTAAGGTCAAATATGAAGGGAATGCATTGGTGCAAGAGCCAGCTGTTCCTCCCCTGCCTGATCATCTCATTCAGCCCCAAAAAAGTGAGATTCTGCATTACCCAGAACTTTCCCCACTTATGATACTAAATTCTGTTGCCATCCCAGAGCATAGAAACTCTCTGAAGTCTTTAAAGCTCTGTGTGATAAGCTTGCCAAACTAAGGAAGGGAGGAAAGAGGGGCTGAGAGAAACCATGAGAAAGCACCCAAAGTAGATCACAATGGTCAAACAACAGAACCGGGACTTGGGCACAACTCAAAGCCTGCAAGGAAACAGGCACACAGCCGCAGCTGGGAATGGCCTTGCCAGACACATCGGCGAGGAAGCCCTCACGTTGTGAAGTTTGCAATCATAGCCACACCTCAGCTTGAGGACTTCGTGAGAAGATTTATCAAAGTAGGTTCCCAGGACCAGCAGCACCAGAATCCTCTGGGAATATGTTATAAATACAAATTCTTGGGTTCCACTCAAGGCTGATTAAACCAGGACTCAAGTGGGGACAACACTCAAAAATCTGCAACTTAACAAATTCCCCGGGGGATTCTGATGCACACTCTCGTGCGAGAATCAGAGTTATCTTAGAACATACATCCCTAACTCTTCTACTGTAAAACCAAGGAAACAAAACAGAGGCCCAGAGAGGCTGAGTCATTTGCTCCAGACCACACAGCTCATTAGTGCCAGGGCCAGGCCAAGAATCCAAGCCTCCCATGTCCTGTTCTGGGTCACATTCCACTATGTGGCTTAAGCAATGGCCAACAAAGATCTGGGTGTCCAGGATCACCAGATGGGTCTACAAGCAAGAGCCTTAAATGCAGCAATCTGGTTGGAAGGGAAAGTGTCCAGGGGACTAATCATGCCACTTCCTTGCCTCGGTGAGTACACTGATGTCACTCACATTGTAGGTACAGTTGAGGAGGCCTGGGGCAGAGGGCTGCAGGTGTGAGCTCCTAAAAAAGCTCCGTGGCTGACGCTAAAGTCTCTGGCCAGTCAACTCACCACCAAAACCCACCAAATTGTCTTTATTATTGTTAACAAAGAAAAAGCTTTAGACAAATTAAACTTAGAAGAGTTTAACTGAGGGGGAGAAAAAAAGATTTGCAAATGGGTCAGCCCTCACCCAGAACAGATTCAGAGAGACTCTGGACCTGTCTCATGGTCAGAGGACATTTATGGACAGAAAAGGAAAGCAAGTACAGAAACTGCTGGATTGGTTACAGCTGGCATTTGCCTTATTGGAGCACGGTTTGAACAGTTGGCCATCTGTGATTGGTTGAAGTGTGGCCACTGTAATAGGCCGAGATTCAGCTATTGTTACTGAAGCTTACTCCTAAGTTAACTTTTGAGTTAACATATTAGATTGCAGTTCAGACTTAAGAATTCAAATATGCAAGTGCAGAGGCTTTCTTGGGCCAAATTCAGCTTGATGTAACAGTACTATCAGAATCATCCTTACATGTGTGTGGTGCCCCGCAGTTTATAAAGTGCCCTCACTCTGAAGCCATGTGAATGCATCCTTTTGGACGGCCAGATCCAGGAATCCGCCTGGGCAGATGAGGCATCTCCTGGGCTTGGATCTAAGCCAGCTGCAGTTTGCCTCCTTCCAGCTCCAGAGGAAACTCCTGGGTGAATCAAATCTCTAGTCGAGTCAGCTCACCGCCTCCAGCAGGCTCTCACAAAGCTTCCTCTCTCTCTCCTCTCACCTCTCCTGGAGGCGCAAGGCAGTTGCCACCTGCCCTATGCTGCTGGACACTGCAGAGACAGGATCACCAAGCGCAAAAGCAAGGCAGGGTTGGCCCAAGCACAATGAACTGTGGCTGCCGCTGGACCTGTGTGTCTGGGTCGAGGTCAAGCCTCACCACCGAGATCTGGCCTGGGTGACGACGCGTGTGTGTCCTCGCATTTCTGAGTGAATTCTCAGTTATTCAAGAGAGGGTCCATTGGGCTCTCGCCTCCTTGTTTCTTCTCCTCCATGGAGGCATTTCATCGCTTTGCAGCTGCCTCTCCGATAGGAGGAAGTTAACATAGCTGTTTTCTGTGAGCAACTCTGCTTTGAAGTTAGAGCAAACCCAAAGCAAATGAAGCATTAGCTTTACAGACTGTCCTGAGGTATCCCTTTCATGGGCATTTTCTGTTTTCCAGACTTTCCAAGGGCTTCAACTGTTGTAAACACATGAATATTAACTCAGTTTAATTCAAAGGTGCTTTTGGCTCTCTTTCCAAGCTTATTCTCTTTATTGTCACACTGGCCTTCGTTTAATTCCTCAAAGAAGCCAAGCTGTTTATGCTTGAGGCTTGTATGCATCCTGTTCCCTGGAACACACTCTTTCTTAGATTTTGAACGATTAGCGCTGGTTGATTTGTCCATTTTCAGCCTAAAAGTCCTACAGACCATCCTATCGTCTCCTTTGCCCTCTGGTGCTTCATCCCACTAATTCCGTTCCTGGTATTTATCGGTTTGCCTGTGTTTATGTTTACTTATTTGTAATTATTTATCTGTTTCTTTACCAATGTTCCCATGAGGCAGTAGGCTTACTGAGAGCATGGCACCTGTCACATTCACACTCTACGCTCAGCATCTTTAATGCAAGCCCTCAATAGATACCTGCAGATTGAGCAAAAGCATGAAGATTGCAACCCCTCTTATTTTCTAAGGAAAGGAACAAATATATTAAACAAAAATTGGCTCATACCCTGGAGTGTCCCTGAAATGCACAGGCAACAGTTAAATGACTGTTGGACATCCTCATCTTCCTTCCAGAGCAGCCCTGAGACCATCCTCTTCCCCTAGAAGGAGGCCCAGTCTTTTTCTGTGCTGCTGGATTCTCTGAGGCAGAAGGACATTATCCCACTCGGGATGTTCACTGAAATGAGACATTTCAGCTGAAAATCCACAGCCTACGAGAGAAGTGGAAAGGGGGAGGGGAAGAACAGTGTCAGAGCATTGGACACGAAAGGGATGCTCTGAGCAAAACCTGGAGGAGTTGGCTTCCTTCCAGGACACTGTTGGCTGTGGGATGAGACCTTGGTGGCAGGTGTGACTCCCCTCCTGTCCGAATCAGCCTCTTAACTCTGCCACTTGCCTCCTTCAGACTCGCAAAGCCCTGTTCCTGGTGGCCCTCACCATCCTCTCAGTGTGGCCTCTAGTCATGGGCTGTCACTGGGATCAGCCTGGCCCTGGGCCTCTCTGCCAAGGCCATTTGCCCTTTAAGCCTCACCTCTCCTCAGGGAGGGAAAGACAGTGTTCCTTCTGGCCTCAGGCTCAGGCGACCACCAGCCTCTTCCACAAAACACCTTAGCACCCCAGCCTGAAGAAGGCCAGCTACCCCTGTAGAGAGCTCTGACTGTGTGTAGGAAAGGGGAAGGCCATCAGAACAGTCATGGAGAGAAAAGATTTCTAGAATCAAACGACTAACCAGTAATGTCAGGTATGGTTGAACTCATCATTTCACCTCTCAGTTGTACTAATCTCATTTATAAAGTATATTTCATTACAAAGTAGCATGTATCATATGCATATATGCTTATATAAATGCACATGCATATGTGTATATGTACATGATATATCATATGCATATATGTGTATATAAATGCACATACATATATGTGTATATGTACATGATATGTATACATGTTTGCACATATGTGTAGGAAAACCGATGAGCATCAAATATGAAATATTAACAATATTAGCTTGGTATGATGATGACAGCATACTGATATTTTATATTCTTTATACATGTATGAACCTTCCAAATGTTATATTATACAAACTATTAAAAAGGTAAACTGGGACACAATAACATTTTAGAGTTTATTTGAGTGAATAGCAATTCATGAATCAAGCAGCCCCAAGCCAGAAGTGCTTCAGGGGTTCCATTGGAGAAACATAAAGGATAAGCTTTTATAGAGTGAATGTGGAAGTCATGCAAAGAAAATATTTGATTGGTTACAGGTATAAAGTTGCCATATTTGATCTACCTCACTGGAAAGTCCCTAGTTGCATGATTACAAGTTAGTTGGCTGCATCTTATTGGTTGAGCTTAAATTGTTTCACTCTAATACAAGCATTCACAAGAAATAGCCCAAATTAAGTCTCCTTCCCATTTCCAATGTAAGCAAAGTTAAGGTTATTTTCAAGACCTAACTGGCTTTGTCTGCTCAGGGAGTTTTTGTGGCCTCCATTTTAATTTGCTTTAACAACACATAATTTACATACTTAGAAAGAGTTTAGTAAGAAAATAATTTCCAGACTGCTGACTTCAGAGGGTAGATGTGAGCCCCGGTGGGATGGTACTCTGAAGGGTTCTGAAAAGTCAGAGGCATCACCCGATGCCTCTGGGATGCTGGAGACTGGCAGGTCAGGCAGATCCTACTGGTTGGCAAGTGGCAGAGTGTCCCAAAGTTTCTCTCTAAATAAAGGAAGAGACACTGGCAGTGGCTGAGATTGATAACACCCAATTTCAGGCTTTAGAGCAAGAGGGTTGGAAATCAATTTGTGTGTGGATTATGAATCACTGATACACAGCATGTGGCTTTCCAAATATTACTTACTAAACCACCCAACATTTTCCAAATATAGTAATGATTAAGAGTCTGTCTATGGGCAAAAGTTCCATTCTGGAGCTCCAAAAGTTCCATTCTGGAGCTCCAAGGCAAAAGTTATACATTAGAAGGCTTCTTTCTTCCACCCTGAGGCTCTTGACGAAGTCCTTCACTACCCACCCACGGGTAGAAAGGAGACCCACATTGTACAGGTTACAGATCAAATATGAAATCTGAATCTTTCTGTGTGATATGGGATTAGACACAGTTTATGCCAATAGTTGCAAAAACAGCATATGTGTGGCATTGTATAAGTATCACTATTGTATAAGGTGCTGGTGCTATTATGAGATCAGAGTCCATTAGGGTGTGTGTGTGTGTGTGTGTGTGTGTGTGTGTCTGTGTGTGTGTTTCTGTGTGTATGTGTGTGGTAAGATTGATCCTTTTTTGGAAGAGGATGGGTGGGGGGAAGACTGGAGGCAGGAGGGGCCACAAAAGCTGTCCTTTTTGTTTCCTTCCCTGTGTCTTCTCCTCTTGTATGTGTTCCTTTACGTGGTTAAAATATAGTTTAAATGCCTATTTTTATTTTTTCCTATAGAATGTTGATTCATTATCTTAAAGTGATGAATAAAGGTCTATAATTTTATTGTTTTTTGTCTTAAATAACAGCAAAATATACTAAAACCAGTGGTCTTCCAAAGGCAGGTTGCTTCCATTGACCTACAGCAAGCTAGTGTCAAAAGACAGAAAGATTCATCCTTCACTTAGTTAGGATTGCTTCATTGGAACCCTCGACTTTATCTACTGTTTTTCACACTGGTATAATATTAACTCCATTGATGTTTTCACAAATTCTCAACTGGACCACAAAAGACAGGCAACCCTTTGCATGGTCCTTTAACTTTGCTCATTTAGAATAACCCAATTATTGTCCTGAAGTTCTTCAGCAATGAAGAAATCTGTACCTTGGCAGAGATAGCAGAAGGGTTGAGAATAACGGGTACTAGCTCAGGAGTCAGACAGACCCGGATACAAATCCCAGTCACACTTAACTATTTGGGAGATCTCTGACTTGCCTTACTTTTCCCATCCGTAAATAGGGATAGTAAAAGCAGTTGCAGTGTGTTATTGGGAGAATTAAATAAGGGATGTTTGTAGAGGATTTAGCTCAATGTCATGCATATAATAAATAATTTATTTCTAATCACTGCTATTATGAATTAATAAATTCCAGTTTCTTAGTTTCTTCTCTGCTTATCTTTCTTTTCTTTTTTTTTTTTTGAGACAGGGTCTCACTGTCTCCACCAGGCTGGAGTCTAGTGGTGTGATCTCGGCTCACTGCAACCTCAGCCTCCCGGGTTCCAGAGATTCTCATGTCTCAGCCTTCCGAGTAGCTGGGATTACAGGTGTAAGCCACTGCACCCAACCTTATCTTTCTTTTCTCTACATTAAAGTGAGTGTTGAAGACGACAGCCATGTACACAGCACAGGAGGCTCTCCTGCTGCCTCATCATGGCAATCCTAAGCTTCATTCAGATGTGTTCAGGAATGGTCTTTATCAGATGCCTTGAAAAGGTATGCATGATAATGAGGCAAGGCAGCCAGCAGAGGCTGGGACATGCACTCCAGCTCCACAGGAAGGGCCAGTTGTGTCTACCAAGATGGTCAAATCCTAGGACATCAGGAAAGGCAGAAAGGAGCAAACAATTAAGGATTGCTAAAAATCCTTTTTGGGACTATGCTGATAGGATCTAGAATTAAGGCCAGTGTGAAAAGGCAGCACTCAGGAACACGATGCTCTGGCTGAGGCAGAGGCTGTCCACTAGAGAGATGCCAGAGGTCTGCTGATGGCTCATGACCCTGCCTAAGAAATGTTAACATTGCATCTTATTAGACTGCATGTGTTATTATGGACAAGACTATAAATTATTCCATATAGATATAAGATTTATAGGGTACTTAGGATTTTAAAACTGGTCATCTTTATTGTCAATATCAGAGAAATTTGTTCTTTTGGAGAGATGGCAAAAAGGTATAATCTCATGTTCCACCTCTGACCAGCTGGTGGTAGCTAGACCTGGAGCTGCCTTGAGAAATATTCTAGGGCTGCATCCAGGCCAAGCAGAATAGGGTGACAGCATAGATTAGTGATGTCTACCCAGCACCAGGACTGCGCAGGCTGAGCAGAATAGGGTGCCAGCATAGACTAGTGATGTCTGCCCAGCACCAGGAGCCAGAAGAGGCAATACATGTACCACATATTCACCATCTCCCTTCTCATTCAAAATCCAATTGTAAACCACATAGAAGTGCTAAAAAAAATAAATGTAGGTGAATATTTATCTGACACTAGAATGGAAAAGGACTTTGTAAGCATAAAAAGAATGGAGGAAATCAGAAAGAAAACGTCTAAATGAAAATCTTACATAAGAAGAGATAAAAAAATTAAAGATGAAAACAGAAAAAGCATTTTCCCACAAATATGACAAAGATGTTACATACTTAATCTCTTAAGTGCCTTTATGAAAAATTAAGAAATTGCTAATAATCCTATTAAAAATGATCAAAGAACATGGAGAGATGATTCTTAAAGAAGAATTATCAGTGGTTCAAAATCTGACAACTGTGGATATTCATATTCACAGAAATAATTAGGGCACTCCTGATATAGCATATTTTGCACAACAAATTAGAGAAGATTTAAAAAATACTTTGTCCAATGCTGGCAAAAGTAGAACAAATGGATACTTTTTATATGTTGCTTTGGAAATATAAATTAGTGTTACGTTTTGGAGGAATTCTTAGAAATATTTTCAGTAATTCATTTATAGGACTCTTAAGATAATATTTTAAAATGTGGGCAAAATTGGTGGTACAAGAATAATAATCACACAGAGTTTTATAATAAGAAAATTTGTGAAAAAAATCTAAAAGTCCAACACCAGGGGAATGTGTAAATAAATTTTGATTTCATTCCACAGTAAAGCTTTAAGTGATCCTTAAAAATGTTTTAAAATAGCCTTTTATAACTTGGGAAAATGTTCACAATATAAACTGTGCAGAATGAATTTACACATCCCAATTGTGGGTTTTATTATATATTATATTATATTTTTATCCAATATAACACTAAATTATATTATTTCATATCATATAAAATGTTACATAAATAACATATTCACAAATAGTGGCTATTTTTGGTTGTGTGATTATGAGTGACTTTTATTTTCCTCATTATATTATTTTCCCAGTAAAAAAAATATATGGTTATTATATTTGGTTATTATAATAACCAAGTTACAGAATAATACAGTTACTATTTTTTTAAAGAAATTTAAATCCAGATTAAAACTGTTAAATGAAACTTTCTTCAAGAAAACCAGTTGTAGGAAAAAAGTCCTAGAGCATGCTGGTCCAGAACACAGAATCTGTAGTGACACAAACCTTTGTTACTTTTAACAGCGTGAGCCTGAGCAAGTCAGTTGATCTATGCCTCAGTTTTCTCATCTGTGAAATGGGGATAATAACAGCCTCTAATCATAAGACAGCCACGAATCTTAAGTAAGAGACATTGTTAAGTTTCTAGTAGCTTGCCTGGAATACGTGGTCTTCAAATACTGATAACTAGCTAGTCTGAAGGGAGCTGGAAACCAGCTTTGAATGGATTGGTCTTGGCCAGTAAAAGTGGCTGCAGCACCCTTGGGTCCTTATACTCCAAACAAACATGGCCGTGCTTTGTGCAAATCCAGGTGGCTTTGCATTTGGCTAAAGCATCCTTGTGACCCAGAGTTTCCTGAAAGGATCATAAGTGTCATTTTGTAAACCATCATTCCATGTGGCCATGGAGACTCATCAGCGAGACACGGGGGCTGCCAGCTCTGATAACAGAGATCAGTACTTAACATGCATGCATCATCTCCAATTCACACAGACACAGCCAAGCAAGTACCATGTGCATTTTACAGATGTAGATCATAAGGCTCAGAGAACTTCAGAAACACCCAAGGTCTCAGAGCTGTTCAGTGCAAGAATTCACACCCAGACCCATCTGATGTCAAAGCCTACACTTCCCCACTACACACACACACACACACACACACACACACACACACACACACACACAGAGTAAGCTCTTAGCCTCAGGATGTCTCTGAAAAAGCGCTGAGCAGACAAGGAGGGAGGCAGCCCCCAAGCAGTGGCCAAGCCATCAGTGGGTAAAGAGAGAAGAGACAACAATATCCTTCCTTTCCTCCATTCTAAAAGCAGGAACGTGTTCCTTGCTTCTCCTGTTCGCAGCTAGAGACCAAACCCCACTCTGCCTCTCAGGAGAAGTGGTCATACCCTGTCACTTCTGGTTCTTTGGAACAAAAGCTGCCTAGGTCAGAGGTGAGGACACAGCTCTGCAAAGCCTGACTTCAAGAATAATAGCACCAGAAGAAAAAAACGTGAAGTACCTGAAGAAGAGCAGTAACATTAGCAGAAATCATTGCTGTCCAAAATAATTTGCAGCTTCTCTTGATGTTAACCAGCTGGAGTTGTAGTTACCCCAGGTTTTTAAGTCACAATTGTGAATTAAAAAAATTATAACAAGGAAGACAGCTAACATGTTTTCCACATTTAATTTACTGTGCTAAACATAATATAGCTTCTAAAATTCCTAACAAAGACCCAGTCCCCTGAGAATGAATTTTACTATCCTGATTGCCCCAAATGATTCACGAATAAAGTATGAGTACTTATGCTCCAGGTTAGCAAGGAAGTGAGAAGCTGCAGCAAAGGATGACAACACCAAAGGCCTGAGAGGAAGGGGCTATAGCCAAAACGGTGGGTGGGGGAGGAGGCTGAGTGTTCCACTGGAAGAAACATCAACTGGGGTGTCTGCTCAGGGCTTGGGAAATGTTCCAGAGCCTGGCTGAAGGAGGAGCTTGTGGGCCACCCTGACAGGGTCTGTAACTCTTTGGCTCTCAAATTTCTAGACCAGCACTTCTGATTCCCACCCGGACATACCTTACTGCAAGATACCTTGCATGTACCTTAATGATTCTTGCTAGAATTTCAGATGTCTGGTAAAGTCTTTTGATTTTTAACCTAAGCCTAATAAAATGCTTTTTTAAATAATAGTACATTTGAGATAACAATAACTAATATACATTGGGCATTTACCTTAATAAGTTTTACATGTTTCAGCTGTTAAATTCTCCCAACCCTTACTGATGAAGAAAATCCAGCACAAAGAGGTTAAGTAATTTGCCCCGGGTCTTCTTTTCTGAAGGAATAAAGAAATAGCTCTCCAAAGTTAAAATGCAGATACTGTGCCCCACCCTAGGGTTTTCGATTCAATAAAGCTAGGGTGGGTCCTGTAGATTTGCATTTCTTATAAGTTCCAGGGTGATGCTGATGCTGCTGGTCCGGGGACTAAACTTTGAGAACCAATGGTCTAGACCAGGGATCAGCAAGTTTTTATCACTATTAAAGGGCCAGATAGTAAATGTTTTTGCTATCTTGTATAATTTGCAGGATGAAAGGTAAAATCGAGGATATTATATGAGTACTTATATACCCATCTAAAATGTAACCACTTAAAAATGTAAAATCCATTCCTAGCTATCAGGCTGTACAAAACAGATGGCACGCTGAATTTGGCTTATGGACTGTAGTTGCCTGGCCCCTCATCTAGACACTAGACCAATTTCTGGTCTTGATCCCAACTGCCCCCTGACCCCACAACTGTTTTCTTGCTTTTCCTGAGGTCCCAGCTACCTAATGGCCTAATCGGGGAAGTACACCTTAGCTTCAAGCTGCTGGAAAGGTCAATGAATGTCCAGCACGGACCATGAAATGCTCAGGACAGTGGTAGAACTGCCACTAAGGAAAGGAAACCTCTTCTATTGCTGGCTCCAAACCTCTGGTGCCCAGGAACATCCTGGTCACTATGAATCTGAAATGTTCCATGTTGATTGATGATGTTGGAAACTGATCATTTGTTTGATTTTTCCAGGGCCAGATAACATTAAAAGTGTTAAACACTAAACAACATTTAGTGTTGTTTTCTTTGAGAATAAAGGATTCTTAGAGCTTTTAAAATGGTAATGATGATAATAAAGGCATCCGAACAACTGTATTCTTTTTTTGCTGTTTTTTTTTTTTCTTTTTTTTTGACACAGAGTCTCACTCTTGTCACCCAGGCTGTGGTGCAACGGTGCGATCTCGGCTCACTGCAAACTCTGCCTCCCGGGTTCAAGCAATTCTCCTGCCTCAGCCTCCCAAGTAGCTGGGAACACATGCGTATACCACCATGCCTGGCTAATTTTTGTATTTTTAGTAGTGATGGGGTTTCACCATATTGGCCAGGCTGGTCTCGAACTCCTGACCTCAGTTGATCCACCTGGCTTGGCCTCCCAAAATGCTGAGATTACAGGCGTGAGCCACCACGCCCAGCCTGTAGTTTGTTTTTAAAACATAAAATTCTTGGCATATTTTCCATAACCCAAAAGTAGAAGTTCTGGTACTAAGGTTATTTTATATTTATCAGGAGTGGTCCATCAGAGGGTTTTGTATTCTGCAGAATTTTTGTGTTCATGGGCTTCCAATTCTGAAGGCATCCACTTTCATCCCTGGTATTTACAAACAGGAAAAGAAAGCACAAGCCTCACACAGAAAGTAACCTCGACATTTCCCCAGGATGTTTACAGAATGGGCAGTGTGGAGAAGACATTCCAATAATGATGCCTGACCACTGTCGGGTTTTTCAATAACAAGTCTGGGTTGTCCTTTCACTCACACACATTATGAAACATGTGAAGAATTCCCTGTGTTATTCCAGTTATAGGGAGCATGACTCAGAACCGGTCTCCATACTGTGATCTGCTGGGGAACAGCAGGGTAAGCCCTACTGCTTTTCTGAAGATTCCTAGAGAGTTCTGCAAAATGGATAAATCTGGCCTTCAATGGCTTCCAGCAAGTTCTAAACAGACTGTCAGCATCTTCCCCATGAGTTCAGTCTGCATAAAGGTTTTCATGCCTTTTCACTGTAAAAGCATCCTCCATCATGGTCCCTGGAATGGAAATAAAAAGTAGATGCCAGAACCAGCTGCCAACATGTGCACTTCTACTTACTGAGAAAAACTGAGATCAAGGGAATGACAGAAAAGAAGGGGAAGGTATCAAACATCCCATGCAAGTACCTGCGTTCTGTTTGCTCTGGTCAGAATCTAATGGCCCTTGTTCTTGTTACTGTGCCATCTTTTACAAAAGGGCATCGATGTTGGGAAGCAGTGTGCTGTGGTTGACAGGCCCCTGTAAGATTGGAAGAACTCCCTCTTCCAGGATCATCTCGAAAGGTGGTGACTCTATCAAATGTTAGGCATTCCCCTTCCCTAATTAAGTTTCCCAATCCCTTATCTGAAATGCTTGTGAGGCCAGATGTGTTTTGGAATTTGGAATTTTTGCAATTCTAAAAGAAATTTGGAAAGTCAAATGGTGGTTGCCAGGGGCTGGGGAAAGGGGAAAACGGGGAGTTGTCTGATAGGTACAGAGTTTCAGTTTAATAAGTAAAAAGAATTCTGGAGATTGGTTGCACAACAATGTGAATATACAAACACTATTGAACTGTACCCTTAAAAGTGGTCAAGATAGTAAATGTTGTGTTATATGTATTTTACCACAATTTTTTAAAAAAGTCATTTAATTCATATATTCTATGCTTCCAAATACCTGGGTATTTTCAGGGTAGTACTCTGAAATCAAACACATGGATATTTCTACAGTAAAATGTACAACTAGTCTCACTAACTGAGATTTACAAAATATCATAAATAGCCTCATGTTAATTCAAGTCAGTTTTGCCACCAAGGGAGTTTGCTGAACATTCACTGAAAGACTTTTTATTTTCAGGGGGCTGTGGAATTTCGAATTGCAGTTTTCAGGAACAGTGAGCCTGTAGCTGTCACTCACCCACCCTACCTTTGCGCAACATTTTCATTACCCACAGTTTACAGAGGAGAAAATAGAAACAAGAAGTAACAGTAGTAGGAAAGTAGTCATTTGCCCAAGGACAGCTAGCTAGTTGGGATCCAAACTGCCTGGTACCACTGTTAAGCCCTCACCTTAACTTCAGGCTACCCTGGGCACAGACAGGCTCACCCAACTACAGAATCTTAAAGAGGTCTCTTGAAGTTTTAAGGAAGATTGCCAGAAGATTCATCCCAATATAGGCACTAGTGGAAAGTGTGTGGGATGGGGCTACCTGGGGTCTTTGGTAATGGCCTCCCCATCTTAGAAGGCCATAACCCTGACCTCTAACCAGCCCCTGATAAATACCCTTCTCCAAACCAGGAGCGAGAGTGGAAAAACTACTGCTCTGTGGCCGTTGGGACTGCCCTTTGATTTTTTTTTTGTTTGTTTGGTTACTCAGGCATAAAGTACAGAATCTTGCCAATCAGGTGAGCTTTTCCAATGCTAATAGCCGCTTTAGGCTGGAACTGTTCTCAAGAAATGAAGGTATGCAAATTAAGTGTCTTTGATGCCTCCTGCATATTCCAGGGGAAATGAGACCAAAAGAGTTCTGAAGCCCCATGAAGAGCTAATGAGAAATGGCTTTCGGCTTTCACCTCTCATGTCATGGGTCACCTGCCCTATCCTTTGGTTAGGAATGTTCCCTACTTGCAGATACTGTATCAAAATTGATCTTCCTAACAGACCTGCATTTGCAATGCCTGTCTTCTGCACATCAACATCAGTGCCATGGGAAACTCGCTATGTTGGTCAGTTTCCACATCGCAGCACTGTCCTGGCTGAGGAAGGACGGAGCCAGTCCTCAAGCCCTCAGCACAGCTGATCCTATTAGGAAGGAGCTGAAGAGCCAAGGCCAGTGTTCTGGAGGAGCTGGCACGAAGGCTGGTTTCCCGTGCAATGTCTTTGAGAGGATGGCGTGGGGAGAAGATGCTTTACAGAAAATGAGCCCTCTGCCCTTTCTGGTGTCAATTTAGCAGTAGTAATTCCCTAAGAAATGCAGCCAGGGTGCTGGTCAGCTGCTGGTGGGGTTGACATTGACTCTATTCTTAGCACAACTTATCCAGCAAGGGAAAGCCTTTCGTTCGGAGGTGTTTGGACTCCCTTGCTAGTTAGGTTAAACAAAGAGTTTAACCTCTCTGTTGACTGAGAGAATACCTCAGGCTTTCAACATGCTGCATTTAAAGAGAACAGGTAGAACTTCCATAAATCCCTGAGTCATCACAGCTGAGCAAGCCATCTTTACATCCTGGAGCTGACAGTGTGTGACGTGACGAATGTTTAAACACACATGTACACCCCACGCATCAACACACACTCCTTCACACACACATAAACACACACACATATAGGCAAACACACACACATTCTCCATACACACACACACACACTACGCACAGCCCCCACTGGGCTGAGTTTAGCTGAAATGCTAGGTCCTGAACTTAGAATAACAGCCCTGATGTATTTGACACTACTCAAATGCATGTGGAGTCTTTTTAACCAAATACCACATTTCAGAAGAAACTATGTGTATGTGTATGTGCATGTGCATGCATGTGTGCATACGTGTGTGGTCTCACACATCTGATGCCAGGATAAGGAGCCATGCCCTGAATAAGTAGGCACTCAAATCCGTCATACTCTCACCTCTCTCCCCGACAGATATTAGGGATCTTGTGTCCAGACTCGGTTTCTAGGACTGCCACTTCCTCCTTTCAATGTTCTGACCCGTGATGATGAGCTAGACACATCCACTCAGTCATGACCCTGAAGTTCTGCCGCCTCTTTAGGTCCTGACTGTCCCTTCTGGGTGAGAGGCAGAGTACCAGGAGCAGTGGGCCTGTGCTCCGAAGTTTGTGGCTGTTAGGGATGGGGCAAGGGTGTAAAGAAGGCAGAAGGCCTGGGAGGAGAAAGCACCTGAGAGCCAGATGTCAGGGTTACCAGAAAGATGGGTCAAGATCTTCACTTTTAGATGTGAGATGCCAGTGTGTACAAGCCCACTTGATGGGCTTTAAACCACATTGGTGTGAATAAAGAATGTCAAGATTGCTTTGTTTCTAGATACTGCTGAATCGAAACAGAAAGACTCATAACTCACGAAAGTTAAGAGAATTCCAACCCCTTCATGTAACTGATGAGGAAAAGTAAGGGTGGGATTTATGTAACTTGCCCAAGTCAGGGAATGACAGAGGTGGTACCAGAACATAATTCTCCCAGTTTCCAGTCCATTTCTCTTTCAACTCTAACGTGAAGAACAGAGAAAAATATAAAACTCATTTGACTGTATATAAGCAAGACTAAAAAGAATAATAAATAATCATTGCTTTTCATCTATAGCAAATAATACAGCAGTCTCAGGTATATCATTAATGTGTATCAGATTCACCTCAATTTTTTGCAAGTAAAGCAACTCTAATCCCGGGGCCAGCTACATAATTTGTAGAATACAGTGCAAAATAAAAATGTAGGGCTCCGGCCTGGGGCAGGGAGGTTAGTCTTCCCCTTTGCTGAGGGGCCCACCACTCCAACCCACCACAGATGGGTGGTTCCCAAGGGATTGAAAACTCTGCACAGGGATGTGTGTGGTACCTGGATGACGGGGATGCGGGGGTGAGAGGTCCCCTGAGTCACTTGCCAAATGCCATCTTGGGATGGGGGGGATGATTGCTATGTCCCACTCCAAGACACTGCGGGCACGCACCCAATCCTGACCCTCCCCATGTTTGCACCCAGGCTCCTACCAGGGGCATAGAGGGATAATGAAGAACAGGCCTCCCTGCTTTCATGTGACCTGGTCACTGCCCAAGACAGGCGGTCACAGTGGTAGCGGGATTGGAGCAGAAAGGGAGAGGCCAGGTGGGGCCAGGGAACCAAGGGGCCAGGGAGAAAGTGACAGAGAACCCAACTCCAGAAGGCAGGATGTTGGCGAGAGGTGGACCGTGAGTGAGGCCACGTCCCAGGCCCCAGCTCGTGCTCCACTGTCTCCTCAGACTTCACTTATAAAGCGGACATTCAAATATTAAAAACACTAAAAATTTCAAGACGCTACCTCAAAGCACTACACCCCAAGCATGGAACTCTTTCTAGTGTAAGGCCTTGTGTGGCCCCTCTAGTCACAGTCCCATGCAGCCAGCCCTGAAAAAACCTCACTGAGGTGTGTGTGTGCAGTTTCCTGCTGCACACACAGCGTAACTAAGTGCTCCTGGGTTGGCAGAAGGAAAGGAGCCCTGTGCCAGCAGGATGGCCAGTGGATGCTGTGTTCATCTGCTAGGGCTGCCATGACAAAGTGCCACAGACTGGCGGCCCAAACCACATAAACAGATTTTCCCACAGTTCTGAAGGTTGGAAGGCCTAGATAAGGTATCTGAAGGTTGGGTTTCTCCTGAGGCCTCTCTCCTTGGCTTGCAGATGGGGCTTTCTCTCTGTGTCCTCATGGGGGACTTTCCTCTGGACATGCTTGCGTCCAGATTTCTTCTTCTTATGAGGGCAAAGTCAAAGCCCACTATAATGACCTTATTTTAATTTAATTAGGTCTTTAAGACCCTGTCTCCAAATACTGTCACATTCTGAGGTCCTGGGGGTCAGGGCTTCAACATACGGATTTTGGGGAGGACACCATTTAGCTCATAATGGACACCACTTCTCAAGTGCTGAATACCAGTAGAAGCGATCTTGGAAAATGGCTCTCTAAGAATCCAAACCCACTTTTTTTTGGAGATGGAGTCTCACTCTGTCGCCAGGCTGGAGTGCAGTGGTGCGATCTCAGCTCACTGCAACCTCCGCCTCCCGGGTTCAAGCGATTCTCCTGCCTCAGCCTCCCGAGTAGCTGGAATTACAGGCATGTGCCACCACACCCAGCTAATTTTTGTATTTTTAGTAGAGATGGGGTTTCACCATGTTGGCCAGGATGGTCTCAATCTCTTGACCTTGTGATCCACCTGCCTCAGCCTCCCGAAGTGCTGGGATTACACCAAACCCACTTTTGTGGCTTATTTGGGGGGAACATTTCTAAACCTCCTAATTATATCAATTTCCTCTGCTATATACTCTTACAGCATTTGTCACAATGTTCATGCATACGATTTTGTGATTTTTTGTTTAAGTTCTTTTTCCACTAGACTGTAAGTCTCTGAGGGCAGGGTCTAATTTGACAGGTTCAGAGCTGTGTCCCTTAGTATCTGACAAATTAAAATTTCTTGAGGAAAAGGAGGTCAATCAATGACACACAAAGCAATGTAATTAAAGGTCTTAACTTTCTCATTTTTGGCTTACTGGCCCAAAAAGTGCCCTAGGGGATTCATTAATCTGCCTTTGAAGAGGAAGATTAGAGCATAAAGTACATTGATAATTTCCTCAAACATCTGATGTCAAATCTAACAAGTAAACTTCCTTCCCCGTAAAAAAAAAAAAAAAAAAAATGTGGTGATGTGTGAGACTTCCAGCTGCTGCACAGAAATGGGACACCACGGGGGTGGGAGTGTTTGTCTTCCCAAACATTGGCATCAATTGAGCTGTGGGACAAATTCATAGTTATCATTAATTGCTGTCTAAGAACACATTTGCCTTGCCTCAGTGGCTCCCAGTGCTCTTGGAATGCTGAGACCCTTGCCCCAGGTAAGACTGATATCTACTCATACCTGCAGCACCACACTGTAAACATACCTCATTTACTCATGCAATTAATTAACAGACATTTATTAAATGATTACTATGCATCGGACACTAGGCTTGATACTTAAAATACAAAGATGTGTCTACTGGTGGAAATAAGATCCAAGTTCAACAGGATAATCACTAATGAAGCTATAATTCACTCATTTACTCATTCATTCATTCATTCAACATTTACCAGATGCTCATGACTATGGCCAGCTCTGTCTTAGGCAACTGAAGGATACTGCAGAGAACAAAAGCGAGAAAGTATTTGCCTGGATTGAGCATATTTCTGGTTCATGGAAGACAGACAATAAACCAATACACAAATAAGCAGCTAAAATAACATCGGGTGATGACAAGTGCTGTGAAAAAATAAAGTAGGATAAAGGGCTTACAAAGTGACGGAGGAAAAGCTATCTTAAACAGTGGTCAGGGAAGGCTTCTCTGGGTATTTTGAGTTCATTAGCATGAAAGGGTGAGCCATAAAGAAATTTGGGAGAGGAGTGTTCCAGGCAGAGAGAACAGCCAGGGCAAAGGCCCTGCAGTGAGCCCACTTCAAGGAACACTGGAGAGGCAGAAAAGGAAGGGGAGAGTGGTGGGAGATGAGGTGGATGATAACAAGGGGTCACATCAGAATGCAGATTGAGCTCAAGAAACGGTGGGGGCCAGCAGGCCTCGGAGGCAGTCCAGGGTGGGGGAAGGCAGCACTATTCGAAATGAGACTGGAAGAATGCCAGAAATCTACTTAGTGGACTGGATGAGAATTTGTCCTCCCCCTGCCCACAGGAAACTAAAAACTATGTATGCTCTAGGCTCAGAGACAAGCACCCAGTTTGCTAGGATTGCTGTGGCCAATTGGCTGGGCCTCAGGGCCTCATCTTCCATATCATCCTCCAAGGCCCCTGCCTCTTTTGTATCTGCCAGAAAACACACCTGCTCCTCTCTACCCAAGAGCTCTCTCAGGCCTCCATCTCTACATTTCTGCCTGCTTCAATATTTTGTTCACCCTTGTATCCTAATTACCCGGTGTCTGGCACAGTGTGAGTGTGGGAGCTCGCTGAGTAAATGAAATCACTTGCTTTCTTTTTCTATCTGCGTCTATCCATCCATCCATCTATTCATCCATCCAACCATCCATCCATCCATCCACCCACCCTTCTTTCCTTCTATCCATACATACATATATACATGATCTGCTTTTCTCCAAAATAAAGATTTTAAGTAGTCCTTTCATTTTTAACTACACCCTCAGGCCACAAGTCACAACCCTTGCCACATCTTTGTCTCTGGTGCACATTCCTCTTTAGGAGTGAGGTAAGTTGCAACTACTGCTGGTTTGCAGGCCATTCAGATCATACACTGAATTTCTCCAGGAAAGGGTGGCTATCCTCAGGGGTTAAACTGGCTCCATATAGGTAAAATAGAAGTATCTAATAAGCTATAAAATGCATCACAGACAGTAAGTTCAATACTTCAGTTGAACATATTTAAGTTCCTGCCGTGGCCAGGAACTCTGACAGATCTTGGGAACACCCCTGGGCATAAGCAGACATGATTCCTGTCCCAACTGAGCTTCTTGTCTAGGGAAAGACATAGGCAGATACTCATCATATGATAGAGCCTGTGGTAGGGTATGAAGTAGGTAGTGTTCTAATGGAAGCCATGCATGGGTCTCACAGAATAAGTAGAAGTCACTCAGAAAAGCATTTGGGGAGAACACGTTTCAGGGAGAAGGAGTCTAAGGGCAAAGGGTAGCAGTGATGAAAAGCAAAGCTTCTTTAATGAATAAAAATGAGGTCAGGATGGCACCAGGCTATATTTGGAGTGACAAGAGAATGTGCTCCCAAAAGGTACTAAAAGAGCTGGGTCTTTATCCTAAGGGTAATGGGTTCACTGATAGGCTTTAGTCATGGGAAAGATATGATTTGATTTGTGTTTTGGAAATATTTCTCTGACTTCTAATGGAAGACATCAAGGGCAGATAGACTAGTTAGAAGGCTGCTGCAATCATCCAAGTGAGAGGCGACAGATGCTGGGGCACAGTAATGATACTGGGGAAAGGCAGACAATGTAGAAAGCTATTTGGGAAGGCAGAAATGACAAGACTTGGTAATAATGTGAGTTGGTTGAGGACACAGATTAAAGAAGGCCACCCTCACCAGGGGTTTACTTGCCACATAGAGCTTTGAAGCTAGAAATGTTGTCATTTGTTTTGGGTTTTCTTTCTTTCATTTTTTTAAAAATGAAAGACAGGGTTTCACTGTCACCCAGACTGGAGTGCAGCAGCATGATTATAGCTCACTGCAGCCTCAATCTCCCAGCCCAAGCAATCCTTCTGCCTCAGCCTTCTGGGTAGCTGGGAGTACAGGTGTGAACCACCACTTCTGGCCAATTAAAAAAAATTTTTTTGGTAAAGATGATGTCTTGCTATGTAGCCCAGGCTGGTCTTGAACTCCTGGGGTCAGGTGATCCTCCCACATAGGCCTACCATAGCACTGGCATTGCAGGCATGAACTGCTGTACCCAGATCTTTGGGGGTTTTCTTTAGAGTGAATCTCACTTTCTCATCAGAACTTCTGATGACTCTATGGGTGAGGGGTGGAAAGCTCAGAGGCTCTCTCAGGCCTTTGCAGGATGAAGCCAGAAGGTGGGTCAGAACAGAACAAGCCTCCTCCTGCCTCCACCCAAGGCAGATGGCAGCACAGGAATGATGAAGGGAAAACTCAAAGCTACTTATTCATTGCCCTGCAGAGTTGTGGGAAATGCCAGAGAGCTTAGATAGTGAACACATCAAGTAACATTTATTTAGTATTAAGACTTTCTGTCCTACAAAAGAACCATCTATCAGGTGAAACTGATCCTTTGCTCATATTGTTCCAAAGGCACCCTCCCACCTTAGAATGCCTCCCACAGTGCTCTTGGCTGTTCTAGTTCAGTTCTGCAGCCTCTGCCACTGTGACAGGATGGGCTCAGCACAGAGCATCCTGGAGGAGATAAGACAAGCAGATGTTGTGTTTCCTGGAGAGCCGTCTCCTTATTGGGGCATGGAAACCCAGACACCTGAAGTGATGAAGGAACATACCAAAAGACTATCCAGTGCTGAGGAAATGCAAAGAAGAAGATTATTTGCATGAAGGCTGGTTAATGAAAAAAGGCTTTAAAAAAAAACTGAGTATCTCAGAGCTACAGAGAAATTGTGCTGAGGCCTCTGGCACTCTGAGTACCTAAAGTGTTGGTCTCGAATTTTATTAAGCAAACAAAACTAATAGGGTTATTATTTTATCTCCCTATACATTCATGCATTAAGCATTTCCCCAAATTTTCACCAACAGTCTTTTCATCCCTCTCGTTAGTAAAATCTTGAAGCACTTTATCAATCCTCCCACCAGTTCTTACGGCAGATAATAATAATAACATATATGCACATGCCACCCCTCCAAAAAACAGAAGAAAAAATAAAAAACAAATATAGAGCAATAATTAAAATGTTCGCTATCTCATAGCAAAGCAAAGCACAAACTACTGTGAAGCCACCTCTATTCACAAGGCAATCAAGTAATCAAGAAATTCAAGACAAGACTCAGGCAGGTTGTGTCAAGAAGTGTTTGTGTTAGCCAATTCCAATAGTACCATCTACTGAGTACATGTTAAACTCAATGTGGAGTATGGTGGTCACTTAGAATCTTCAACTCACTGGATTTCCATGAAATCAGAACAAAATTATAAATATCCCCCAAGTTTATAACTTTGTTCTGATTTATCAGATTGGTGATCTGACAAGCTAATAAATTCCAAGGAGCTAGTGTTAATGGTATTATACCATTTACATTTATTTATATTAGAGCATGTAATTTTTAAAAAGCATCTCACAATTTCCGAATGTCTTAAATAAGAAGTTTACTTGAGGCTTTGATTTCGTGCAATAGACAAGATATTCTTAAACATCCTCCAGTATTAAGCCCCTAACAATAGTAAAACATGAAAGAAAGAAGAAATCCTCAGAGGCCAAAAGTAGAAAAAAATTAAGCAAAACAATTCAGGGAGAAAAGTAAAAGATGCAGCATGATGATGTTCTTTATGTGTCAACATGGTTAGGCTGCAGTCCCCGTTATTCAATCAAACACTAATCTGGGTGTTGCTAGGAAGGCATTTTGTAGATGTGATTAAAGCCTATAATCAGTTGGCTGTTAGTAAGGAAAATTACTCTTCATAATGTAGCAGGCCTGATTTAATCAGTCGAAAAGCAGAACTGGGTCTAGAGCAGAGCTGAGGCTTTCCAGAAGAAGAAATGTTGTCTTTTTTGAGCACAGCTGTTTCAGCCTGTGCCCAAGAGTTCTAACCTGCCCTTTTGGATGGCCTGCCCATGAATTTGGGACTTGCCTAGCCAGCCCCCACTACTGCATGAGCCAATTTCTTGCAATGAATTTCTTAATATATATTTCCTACTGGTTGTTCTTATCTGATTGAACCCCTGACTGGCACATGGCACTGGTAGCTCATCTGGGATATGTGCTGCTCCCTATTTTTGCTCCGGGGAAAAAAGACATTAGGACTCATAGGGTTAAAAGTCAGTCTAGGGACTAAGCGAAAAAGGAAAACAGAAAACAAGCAAACAAAGTAAGTAAAGTAAGCAAATAAAGTGGGCCTTGACTCTGGGTCCAGGGGAGACAACTATTCATTGAGAATCTATAGCCACAAGCCATAGATTTAGGGCCCATAGATTAGGGCCCTAATTCACAACAGGATATGTGTGACTTTAACATTAAACATAATGAGATACCACTTCATATTCACCAGACTAACTACATGTAAAAGTGAGAATGCCAAGTACTAGATATAATATGGGAAAATGGGAACTCTCATTCACTGTTCTTGAACAATTTTGCATTATCTGTTAAAGTCATAGATGTATTTATCTTATTGGTTACTAATTTCATTCCACTACTGGGTGGAATGAACCCAGTACTGGGAATATCTATGAACCTGTGTACTAGGAAATATGGACAAGAAGGTTCTTTTCAACATAATGTATAATAGTCCAAGCCTGAAAGCAGTTCAGATCTACTCAAAGGAGATTGGATCGAGTGTGAAAGATTCATGAGATGGAAAAACTACAGAAGAGAAAATGAATGAATTATAGCTACATGTCCTAGCAACCCAATATTGAGTAGCAAAAGGTATAAAACATGCATTAAGATTCCAAATCTCTTGTTAGTCTTACTATATATTATAAAGATAAAACCAGGACTAGATCTCTACTTACTCATGTCCTATATCCAAGCTGTCAGTGCTTCAGACAAAGAGGTATATTCTATTTACAATTCTACCCAAAGAACCTAGGAAAAACCTGGCGCAAAGAAGATACCTAATGGATATTTGTTGAATGAATGAATAAATTTTGAACACAAGCATGTATGCCAGGAGCCAGACCCTGTTTTTCTAGCCTAGAGTTCTAATGCATGAAATCCCAGACTCTGACCTTACCTGCCAGGACCCTTTTCTGCCATAGATGACCCAGTATCTGTTCTCATCTGATTGATCTGACCAGTGTTAATTCTTCTTCCCCAGATTTCTGGAACAAAAGTTCCCACAGAGACTTCCACCTAACACCACTCAAATCCCAGTGTGATCATGTTCTCACCAAAAAGCCTTAGAGAAAGGAGCTTGTCATCGTTGATAAAATGAGGTTTTGAAATTTCCCCTGGATTTAATTCAGGGAAGCTTTATTTTCCCACTGTTTACCATAGATTCTAGAAAGTCGATCTTAGAGGAAACAAGAATTGCAGCAGGGCTTAGCAAACATAAGGCTTAGAAAAGCAAACAAAACTAGCATAACAACTTAAGAAAACATAGTTAAAATTGAGAAAATCAAAAACAAAATAGCATCACATTAAAGGCCTGGAAAACAGAAATTAAGTCATATTGTGACATTTGGGCACCTTTCTATGTGGGAAATAAAAATGAGTGAAAGGACAGATTTTAGGAGAAATGAATTGATATCCTTTCTCTCTTGAAGCACTAGGGTACTTTTAAATTACATCTTTCTTCAATATCTAGAGTGTTCCTCTTTGAACGTTACAAAAGCAAAATGCTCCATATATGGTAAAGGTGATCTTTTTTTCATATAATCACAGTAATTCAGTCTGGCAACATCAACTGACCTAAGCATGAAATGTACTTTAATGTTGGTTAATGACACCACCACTGTCAGTTAATTCTGTTCTCTCTGCAGGGCAATATGGTATAAGAACACTGCAATGACCTGGTTCAGCAAGGCCAAGAACATTTCATTACACCAAGATTTAAAAATTTTAAACGTCATGTGTAGTTTAAGAATATTCACAAGCACATTAGCAATTCTTGGATCTCTAGCTACTGTTTAAACAGTAACTATGCATTACACATATTGTCTGAGGAAGAGAGATGATCACACACAGTTGATACTTCAATATTTGGAAAAGGCATGTTTCTTTTTTCTTTCCATGAGTGACATATATATTAGACACTAATATACTCTAGTTTCATCTTCTTGGCTATGAAATACTCTTTGTCAGTTCCTTTTTGATGACTTACTGAATTCCTACTTTGCATTGAACCCTCTGTTACACACTGACTGGGGAGGGAATACCTATTCTAATAGGGCTTGTGAGAATTATTGATGAAACAAGGTGTATATTCAAGGAAGACTTAAAAAGTAAACCGGAGGCCGTATAAAGCTTCAGGTAGAATAGAACCGTGACTTGTGAGCTTGGCTATATTCTGACACCAATTATCTTGATGCTTTTGACAATTCTTTCCCTTCTCTGAGACACAACTATCTCTTTGGTGAAAGAAGGAAGGAAGCTACATAAGGCATCCTCAAAGGTTCTTCTAGTAGAGCTGTTCAATTCTGACACTCTGGGGTACTAAGCAGGTGTAAGAGAGTGTCTTTTTTGTGAATTTCTCTACCACATACTCTCTCATACTTGCTTAGTACCTCAAGGTACAAAGGTGGAGAAATTCCACCTGGTGGAAATTCTATCTGGTGGAGAAATTCACAAGGCAAAGATTGTATGGCATTAATCAGAGAAGGTTCTTTAGAAGTGGAAAGTCTTGAGATCGGCCTAGAAGAACAACATTAAATGGGATGACAAACATAATTGTGGTGTTGCATATGCCCTAATAGGGGGCCATGATAGTTGTAAACCCCACTCTTTTCTTATCCATCCCTTCTGTTTTCATGACTAAATATTTGCTATTCTCAATTCATTTGTAATTAACTCTGCCTCAATAGGGGAGTTATGAGAGAGAGGTGTTCAAGGTGGGTAGATAAGGAATAGTCTCACTCATTTCACAGAGCAAGGATGCCTACAGGAGTAAGTGTCCAGTCAAGATCACTCACTGTCCTAGTAACTTTCTCCACCGTATTGATGTTCTAGTGATTTAAAAGGTATAAAATCACAAAGTGTTCCCCATCACCCAGAGTGTAATAGGAATTGGGCAATTATCCAGGTGACTGGATCAATGACAAACAAGAGAACTCTAGATATTCACATTAAGACTAACTTATCTATACTGATACCTTCATCACTCAAATCAGCTACATGATATATTTCATCCCTTTTCTTGGTACTTGTTAGAGGATTTAGCCAGCAAGTTATCTAATTTAGAATAAAGCTGTAGTAGCTTACTGAAGTCAACAATTTAAAGCAGTTGTGTGTTTTTGTGTACAGAAAACATTTTAGACTCAAAAGTTTCTTGTTGCTTACATGCTCTGCTAAGATGATAGACGAAACTCCCAGGGAAGTTGCTATCTGGCATAGGGACTGGGTGAAGTCTGTAGAGAAGTTGCTTGTCCTCTTGTCCTTTCATTCTATTTGCAAAGCTCCAGTTCTGAGTCCCTCCTGCCATTTTCAGGATCCACCTTCCCTCACTGCCTCATCATCTGTTTTCCCTTTGAGGTCCATTGTTTCCAAATCCTCAAGACTCATAAATAATGTTAGGGATTCCTTTTGTTAACAGCCCCTCTGGCATTGTTTTTTTCTCTGAAGAAAGGAGACATTATGTAATATTTAAGAAACTGTCCCGATTCCCAATCCCGATAAACTAATGCATAGCTTATTATCTCCTACACACTAAGAAGAATGTGGGAGTTGCAAGGAAATGACTTGGATCAGTTTACTTCTGAAAACTACCTGAAATTATTTGGGACAAGGCCAAGAGGACCAATTCAGATCATTCTTGGGGCTTAAGGGCAGGGAACGCAGCTCAGCAAACTGCAGACACAACACTGTGTAGCCAAAAGAGGCTTTACTGAATTCATCATCTGACAATGTGTTGATAATTTTTTTCAGTTTTTCTTCACACATTATTATCGGCATCATCAAACATTTAAATCTGCCTTCCATATGCAGATGTGATGAGCTGTCTGGTAATATTCCATACTAATGTATTATAACACTGCTAATACTGAAAATCATTACGTCTTTATTTTAATTATTTTCCTGTAGACTATTCAGAAGAGTTTTTTAAAAAAAATTCATTGTAAATGTCTTATGAGCATCATCAATTAATGTGGCAAAGATGCTTTTATTTCCTTCTCATTAAGAATATGCAGAGACTCGAGTATTGACAAGTGAAAGGGTTTATACAAGCAAAAAGAATGTACACTTTCTGGCAAGAGAATACAGAAGAGATTTGAATGTCATGAAGATATTAAAAAAAAAAGAATACAGAGGAGATAAGAGACTTGAGTAAGAATAGGTCATGTTTTAATAAAACAACCAAAAGAACAAAACAGATTCTTCAACCCAGGAGGACATGTGAGTCACAATACCCTTTAATCCACAGGTTGGCTCCTTGGTTTCTGGAACTTTCTGCCTCCTGTAAACGATGTGCGGGTGGTACCCTCCCTCAACCAGTGGATGCTTCTTCACGGGTTCAATGAAAAAGTCTCCATGTGGTAGTTGGAAAAATCCAGTCTGTAAATACATTCAGTAAGAAAGTTTATTTTAACCAATTCTACATACCTACTAAAAACAAAGTGAAAAATTATATAGCTTATGAGTATCTCTGAAACTCCTAAGACCAGTGCTTTCAGAGTCTGCTGTTCGATCTCATAGAAGAGTTACATACAAATAATTTAGTGAAATATCTTTATAGTCATCGTTATTAAATATTTAGGAGTCACAGATCCATTTGTGACCTTATTGAAAAAAGTGCACACATACACATGTGTCCGAAATGTAGCCTACAATTCTTTAGGTTCACAGATTCCTCTAAAACCCATTGCTGGATATCTATGGATCCCAAATGAAGACCCAGTGCTTCCCAGTTGTTCTATTATGGAGTTGGGACCTATGTCCCACACTCCACTGACAACTTTTAGAACATTTACCTGCATGGGGGTAGCCCAGCCACATGTTCACACAACTGTGTGGCTGGAAGTGTTTAATGGCACTCTTCACTCAAGAAAACAAAGAAACGTAATGCAAAGTCCTTGATCTGAGACTGAGTTTCAGGGGCCTACAGCAGAAAGCCCTCTGTCAGTTTCTAGGGAAAGGGGAATATTCTCATTTCACAGATATGAAAATCAGTGATATGCTACAGAACACTGGCCAATGAGTAACTCCTTTTAGAGGTCAGGTCTAGAAGTGCTATAACCTACAACTCTCTTGTCCTTTTAGGAAAATGTTTAGTGCCCATTTGAGGTGCTTAGAAAACTGCTTTGCCAATGATCTCCTAAGATGGGTTTAACTCTCAGGATCTCAACGCTAAGTCTATGAAACAAAGGACCTGACCTAGACAGACTGCTTGGGGCATCACATTAAAGTGATCAGGAGCTCAGACTCGGGAATTAAATTGGGTTCAAATTAAACAACTCCTCCATGCAATAGTGAGCAAGTGACTGGCTGAGTTTTTAATTTCTCAGCTGAAAAATAGGATAAATCAAGGGTTGCTATGAAGAGTAAATGAGTTAATGTATGCAAAGCTCTTAGAAGAGGGCCTGGATCATAGTCTCACCTGCCATTAGGCTCTTTCTGGATCTCTGATTCTATGTCATTTTATTGTAATAGGGTCTCCAGAGTCAATACAGCAGTTCAGTAAATGTTAAGGTTGCAAAACTAAACTTGGAAACATGGGGGGCTTAGGGAAACTGCAAAAGGCTTTCAAGGTTCAAGGTCCTTTCACTATTCATCAGTAACTCAAGGCTCCCTGCTCTGCAGATGAGTCTGAAGACAAGCTGAGGAGCCCCCACAGTCAGGAGGCAAGAGGGGCTCCAACAAAGGGGGATGCTGGTCTCCACTGGACAGCTCTAGACGTGGGAGTCTTTCCAAAATGTTTGCTTCACTGTAGCCAGTAATGTAACAAGATCTTAACATAAACCTCACAATCAGCTTCCTATTTTGATTGCTGACCTTAGAATGTCTTTAATAATAAGCACAATAGAAAAAATAGAGCACTTTACTGGGAGTAATAAGAATAGCTGTGTGACCTTCAATGGGTCATGCAAACTTTTTGAGGCACAAAGTCCTCTTCTGTAAAAGGGGGCAACGCCTACTACCTCATAGGGCTGTTCGGGGAATCAAATGAGGTGAAGCTTGTAAAAGTGCCATGCAAACTGCTTTATAAATGCAGAGGGGTAATACTTTAACTACCAACGCCAATAGCAGTTACATCTGACATAATTTGCTTCTATGCTTACATTGCTTAGAAAACATGACATTTTTTTCAGTATCTGTCTCTAAGGACAATCTCTGGAACAGGAAGGAAGAACGGACAAGGCCCAAAGACAGTTGTCAAATAACTGCCATAAAATAGTGGGAAACAGACTCTGTGCAGTACTGAGATTTGGTTCCGTTTCTCCTCTGAGTCAGAGACCAGGCACAAGAGGAAAATGTGAGCCTGTTGTCAGAAAGCTCATTTGTTCTATGGAAACAAAGCAGAAGTCCAGGAGTCCTCAAAGATGATTGGACCTAGGGGCCCTTAGTGTACCTGCTATCAGCCCAATACTGATGTCCTTGAAGGAGAAAAACTACAAAAGACACCACCAAGATGAAGGAGTTATTGATATTTCCTCAGCCTCAAATTTTGGACCCAAGCGGCACAGAAGAAACAGATGGGGCTCCACTTGAGGACATAATAACCATTTTACGGGCAACATGAATAAGAAAGCCTGAGAACCAAACCAGCATCTTCCTAAAGGCTTACTCCATTTGCATTCCTCCACAAAGTGGTCTTGCCAGGGTGCACGCGGAAAATCACCTATTCAACCTCAATATTTCTCAGAAGCTACCTGGAAACCTGTGAGAGCTGCTGACTCATCCACTAGAGGAGAAGCCAGAGATCTGCTGACATGCAAGTAGGCTGCTGGTCCCAGGATCTCGTGTGTTTGTCACAGAGAAAGGAATAGGTAGGAGAGGGGATGAAGCAGCTGTAGGGAGAGTGAGGTGGGGAATTCCTCATCTGAGCTCTGCACCTCTTCTCTCTCCCAACATATAAACACAGGGCTTTGTACATCTAGTACCCAGGTGGGCCCAGTTTATTGATCTCTTCTCATCTAACTGGAGCCAGGGTCATGCTAGAAAAAAATCACCCGTGGTTTGCTTTCCAAAGAAAGGGCTGGCCCCATACTTTCCCTGAAGCAAATTGCCCAAGAGAACCACCTTCTTCTGTTACAAGGTCTGTACCTTATCCAAAGAAAATAGTTTCCATTCTGGTCTCCTTTGCAACCTGCCCACTTCTCTTACATCTTTAAAGGAGAATGGAAATGGAATTGAGGAAAAAGTATCCAATTTAGTGAGGACTTGCACTGGGCATTCAGAAGAACCTGGGCAGGATGAGCCCTAGGCTAAAGCTCGAAGATAAACATGCCCCTTCACCTCCTGTGCCATCTGCTCTTCTCCCACCCAGTATCCAGGAGTCTCTGCATACTGCTAACTGTCTTTTGGAAATAAACTCACCTACTTGTTTTAACTAAGTTAAAAACATCTGGCTGGGCACGGTGGCTCATGCCTGTAATCCCAGCTCTTTGGGAGGCCAAGGTGGGTGGATCACTCAAGGTCAGGAGTTCGAGACCAGCCTGGCCAACATGGTGAAACAGCATGGTGAAACCCTGTCTCCACTAAAACTACAAAAATTAGCCAGGTGTGGTGGCACGTGCCTGTAATCCCAGCTACTTGGGAGGCTGAGGCAGGAGAATTGCTTAAGCCTGGGAGGCGGAGGTTGCAGTGAGCCGAGATTGCGCCATTGCACTCCAGCCTGGGAGACAAGAGGGAAGAAAACTCCATCTCAAAATAAATAAATAAATAAATAAATAAGTATCTGTGAATGCTTCCCAAGTCTACTAAAAACTGTTTTAAATAAACTTTATTTTGAAGCATTATAAACATATGGAGAGATGTGCAAAATCCTAGTTGTAAATCCTCATAAATGTTTTATAAAAAGAACACCTAGATGCAGAAATAGAACATTACCAGCAGCTGAGAGACTCCCTGTTCCCTCTCCAGATCAATAACATCCCCCAAGGGTAACAATGATCCTGATTTCCAACACTGAAATGTTAGTTTTGAGCCTATTTTGAATTCTTTGGAGGAAAAAATATTTGATATACGCACAAACACAAAAAGGCTACTAGTTCATTTCAAGAGTTAGGGGCTGACCAATAAAAAAGATTTTGTTACAGTGGGCGAATTTCCCCTGGCTTATTAAATCAGACTCTTCATATTGCTTTAGGAGAAATATGGCAAGCCCAGATGGTAGGGATAAGACCAAAGGCTGAGATGCATTGGTGTGAGCCAGCTGGTATTTGACCTCCACTGCTCTTTGATGAGGAAGGATGGGGAAGGATTGTTGCACTCTTCAGAACAGTCCCAGAGTGAGAAGAGTTGCCTGTAATCTCTCCTCCCTCCCCTCAACTTGCATCAACATATTAGTCATCTTGATGTATGTGATATTTTACTTCAATTAGTGACAGTGATCTGGGGTTAGAGGGAAACTGACAGCATCTTATATGGAATTTGTGAATAGAATGTTCTAGAGTCACAGAGACTAGAGACCTTGAAGAGTCACCCACCCCATGCTGTTGTGCCTTCTGGAGTACCACAAGTAAAGCCTGAAGGGTAAGAGCCAATGATAGTGTAAAAGACACATGAAGGCACCCCAGACTTGTGTGATGGAACTGTGCTTCTGAAACCATCACCCTGCCTTGAAAATTCCTTTTACTCATTTGAAAATCGCAGATGTTACCAGATGAATTTGTTTATTCTTGTAGTGACAAAGACAACACAACACATTCCAAAATCAAGAACAGAAAAAAAATTGAGGATAAAGAGGTACCCAAGGTACCCAATAGTATACGAAGCACTGGAAAAGACATCACCTGTTCCCCATCATATAGGCAGGAAAAAGGATAAAATAGCACCCCAAAAATTCCTCTTACAAAGTATCAATCTATATCTATCATAGGGTCAGCCCTGTGCTGAGAGGGCTAAGAAAGGTACTGACCCTGCCCTCAAGGTTTATATGCAATCCAGCCATGAAGACAAGGCTGATGTTCATTAACAAGTAGGGAAGGGAACAGCAAAGCCCAGGGTAATTTTATGCTGAAAAGGACTTAGTGTTCACACAACTCAAGAGGCAAACCCATGGCCTCTGGTGGCACTGGGCCTAGAGCCCAGACCTGAAGTCCTGTGTCACAGAGCCCTTCCCCACAGAACACAGCCCTCACTGGAGCGGCACTTCCATGGGTGCTATGGATTCCAGCACTGTGTTTCGGAGGCCACTGAGAGTGGCTGCTTTTAGGCGGCGAAGCCAAGATTGAACTTCCACAGACTCCAGAACACTTGACACAGTCTTAAAGCCATGAGAGGCTCTCCAAATTATTATTTCTTGTTGCTGGTTTGCAAGAGACAGTTTTTTTCTCATGTAATACACAGCCAAAATAATAAGTCAGCAGAAAGTATAAGTCAAGAGATTATAGAAGCCTCAGAATAAAGAGAGGTGGGAGTAGGACCACCGGGAAGATTTCACCCAGCACACCCTACCCTCTGCTGTGATGCCTAAGTGGCCTCCATGAAGCCAATGAAGAGAGTGACCAGTGATGTCATCAATTCATGAAGATTTTGCATATGAGTCTGGGCAGCCCTAGTAACTCATGTGGTTTCAGGAAATATGGACTGAAGCCAGGAAGACATTGGTGTATCTGCCTGATAGTTACCATGACCCAAGCAGGTATCAGGGATACAGCAACACAACAGAGCTGGTCCCTCTGCCCTAAAACAGTGCTGTCCAACAGAACTTCCTGTGGTGATGAAGACGTTCTGTATCTGCACTGTTCAATTTGGGAGCCACTAACCCCATGCAGCTGTTGAGCACTTGAGATATAGCCAATGCAACAGAGAAGCTGAATTTTTAATTTTATTTAAATTTAATTAGCTTAAATTTAAGCAGCCACTGGCAGTTAGTGGCTCCAATATTGGACAGCTTATTTGTAAAGATTGGCCAAGTAAGGAAAGAGAGAGATTCATAATCATAAGTATATTCACCTATAGTGATGACAGCTGTCATCAGGGCCAATTTAAGCACTTGCCTTAAAAGCAAATGAACTGCAAAAATGTGACCTACTTCACTATAATGGTTTGGTTTTCATAAGCAAATACATCAGGAGCCAGATTGGGAACACCCGTGCACTGCACACAGGCTTCAGAGAATCAATAGAAACACCTGGATATAAAAAATGCAACATTCACCAAAATTAAAATGAATCATTGGGAATAAATGTAACAGGATAAGGGCTATGTGAGGGAGCTGCCACTGTCCTGAGGACAGAATGGAATGGGAACAGATGTTTGTTCTAGCAGGAACCACGGACGGGGGCTGTGATCATGCAGAATTGGAAGCTGGGTTCCACTTCTAGAGGGAGTTGTACCCTGAGAGCCCTGAAATATCAACCTACATGTCCCTCATCCCTCTCAGATGCTTTTTGAAGGAGCCTAATACAACCCTAATATACACAAGACCACATCCACTGGCTGGCAGCTCAAGAATCCAAGCGGTGGGAAAAAATAATCCCTTTGTTGGAAAATGGACAAAATGGGTTCTAAAAGAATATAGGATCAAAAACGTATGATATGGTTGAATAGAAACAGCATGAGCTGTGTGATCTTGGTCCCATTGCTTAACACATTGAGCCCCAGTTGTCTCATCTGTAAGATGGGGCAAAATCAGTTTTAACTTGCAGGGTTATGACTATCAGAGACACTATACGTAAAATGTCTAGCAGAGGTCTTGACATATGGTAGGTGCTCAATAAATGCACAGTTGCTCATTTCATCATAGCATCGTCTACCGCAAACACAGTATAAAGTGGTGCTTTAAAAGCAGTTACTCTAGAGTCCATCTGCTTGACTCATCTCTTTGCTGCAAGTAACTGAAGCCTACGCCTCAGTTTCCTCATCTGATAAATATGAATACTGATAGTAATTTATTAACTCATTAAAGGATGTCATGTGTATTAAACGAGTCAGTGTAAAGTGCTAGGATGAGTATCCATACATAGTAAGTGCCCGATAAGCATATTGGGCTATTAGCTATTATGCTAATATGCTACTACGATATTAGCTGCTATGATAGTCTAAGGGATGCCTGGGCCACAAGTTAAGGGTTTCTGTAGGAATGGACAGAGGCATTTTTTAAAAGCTACCCCCTGTCATACTGGTGAAACTCAAATAGGCAGAAAGGTGCTGCCCACCCAGACAGATGGGAGGAATGTCAGGGTGGCAGTGATCCTGAGCCATCGCTAGGCTGCAAGAAGGGGCCACACTCTGACATTCAGCCTCTTGGCATAATGAACAAAAGCAGGACTCCTTCAGCAGAAGTATGAAGTGAAGTTGATGGCAGGCAGGCAATGGAGTAAGTTGTTCTCAGAAAAACAACAGCAGTGGGCTTGTCTGAGGGCTGGAGAGAGAGGATGTGGATTCGCGCAAGGGGGTAAAGGGCTCCCACAAAAGTAAAACTAAAATTTCCAGATGTCAGTGTCACTAAAATTCTGAGCAGAAGGAGGAAGGTGTGAACCAATGGACGGGGTAGGCAGTATCTGATGGCAGAAGGGTAGAGAGAAGGAAGCAAGACGGAATTGCTCATTAGTAGTTGTCATGGGGGTTTGTCAGACTCAGGTGATACAGCCAGGAGGTGGGACACACTCCAACATACCCAACTCACAGCCCAGATTCAGATACTGGTGGGATAAGGAGAAGGCACTATATATGTCAGTTCCAACTCTCTCTCTCCTCATGGCCACAGAAGTAACTTTCTCACAACTGCAAAGTTTGTGTGTCTCACCAACAAGCAGGGAGGGGAGGAAAATTCTTCTCTAGGGAGAGGCCTGCCCTTAGTTAACACAAAACAGATCAGATGATACCCCACTAACCGAAGTAGAACCAGTGGTGACTGAGTCTAGAAAAATCTGAGCAGGGACAGAATTAATCAATTTCTCTTTTTTCCTTTTTGATAGAGTCTTAGAGCTGGAAGCCATGGCCGAGGCTTCTAATCAAGCCTCCAGCACATCCCAGGCATCTTCTTGGCCTGAGTAATTGGTTCTTAGGGCATCTCTTGGGCAGAATCAAGCAAACTCCCAAACGGAGATTTCTTCAAAGGAATTAGAGCTGAAACCTTCAACAGACTTCATTTCCAAGTCTCTAAATCAACCATAGACGCCAGGTCCTGGCCTCCTGTATTTCCTGCTGGAAGCACATTCTATAGCATAGTCTGTTTTTCTCTAGTAAAAGAAGCCAGACTTCAGAGACAGGCTAAGTTCAGCACCCAATTCCAGCATTAACAAGCAGTTTTTGCTTTGCACAAGTAATTTTGTTTCTCTGAGCCTTAGTTTCCTCATCTGTAAAATGACCATGACAAAATGGTTTTTGCTGACAAGAACTAAATAAGGCAATTCATGAAAATGACCCCAAACAGTGCCAACCTTCAGTCAATCTGCTGTCTCTGTGGATGTCATGTTGATGGACAGCATCTCAACTCTTCCGTGACTAAATCAGTCATTTCCTTATCCTGAAGTATGGTTAACATAGTTGTTTATTCTGGAAATACTCAGTTTTTGGTTTTAGAAGAAAACCCTCTCCTCACATAAGACTAGAAAAGTTGCCTTTTAGTTAATTATCTTTGTTTCTCACTTGATAGCACTTGGAACTGAGTGCATTTATTTCGTTTTAATTCCCAAGAGCTGCTCCCACAGATTCACAAACTATTGTTCCTACAGAAGGAAGAGTAAGTCATTGATAGACAGCCATTCAGTCCAATAAAGTGGATTTTTAGAAATAAAAAATGCAACCACCAAAGAGAATAAGGCGTCAGGTGACCCACTAGTCCAGAGGTTCTCCAATTTTAATGTGCAAAAGAATCATATGGAGAGCTTGTTAAAAATGCGTATGCCCAGGAGCCCTGCGCAGAGATTCAGCAAATCTAGCGTGAGACCCGGGAATCTGCACTGTAGCAAGCATCCTGAGGTTTCTGTTATAGATAATCCATGTACCACCCTTTGGAAAGCACTGCATTCTTCCATCATGTGGTGCTTAATTGTTTTCACCTCCCACCCCCAACCCCCAAATGGCATAGTATTAAGGATATAGAGAAGTACTAGTAATGGCCCCAATTAACACTTAGTTAACCTTCATCATCAAAAGAAGTTCTAACTATGACAATTGTTGATTGCAGTTTGTAAAGACTATTCCCCTGAATTCAAGGTTCACAATGTCTGTAATAGCTTGGCAGACTAGGACGATAAAAAGATGCCAAAAAAAAAAAAAGATTTGAAAAACATTCCAGTAGGCAGATACTCTAGCTGAATAAATGTTTTGCATTTGAAATGTAAAATAAATGTGAAATTATTTCATGTCAAGAAGAAAATGGGCATTCTGAAAGAAGCTGGGCTGACATATATGCTGAAGAAAATTAGGAAAAGGAAAAAGCTGGCCTGACATACATGCTGAAGAAAACTAGGAAAGGAATTTTCATTACATCTCAAACCATGCATTTCTGGATAAACCAACGAAATCCAGGAGCATCAACTAAGAGACACTGTAGCATCTAAAAAGCTCATCAGAACTTCTCTCTAACACTGTTCTCAGGGACAAGGGTGGGAGCCCCATAAATGACACCACCTGAAAATATGGCTCTTTGAAGCCCTGAGCAAAAAGAGGAATGCCAGAGTTTTCTGGTCATTTTTTACTACCTATCTTGCACCCAACAATCTTCTATCAGAAAAGTTTTCTGCTTCTCATAATTTCTTTGTCTTTGCTCTGTGTGTGTGTGTGTGTGTGTGTGTGTGTGTGTGTGTGTGTGCGTATGCGCTTCTAAGCAGCAATCCATAAACCCACATTTGCCATGTCTCACCAAAAAATAAAATGTCCGACTAAAAGGAAGAGGAAAAATTGCTAGCACATCGGGAGCCCAGGAAACATGTTACTAGGGAGAACAATGGGAGAGAACCTGTTTCCAGTAGTGAAAGCACTTTCCCCGTGGGAAGCAAAAAGCCATTATGGCGGATTTAGCCTTGATACAGCACTTCTTTTTCATATCCCAGTAGCTCACCATTTTCAAACCAGAAACCATCCTTCACCGGAAGGACATAAAGCCTTTCCGAGGCTGGGAAGAACATGGCCCTGGGCCTTCTTCTCCCACTCTGATAGGCAAGGATCCCTGATGAGGGAGTGCTCCCACCCTGGAAGGAGGGGCAGCCAGGCAAGGCTGTTGCTGTGGCCACACGGTGACCATCCTCCTTACTGTGAAGGCCTCACACACAGCATTCCAGGGATGTTTCACAATGATTTGTGGCAGAGGGGAATGCCATCTCTGATGGCTTAGTGATGGACATAGGCTAATCAGGAGGAATTTGGTAGTGTTGATTTCACCAAGAGTCACAGCAGAGAAAGGGTAACAAAATGAAGAGGAGGTCGAGTGAGATGTTAGAGACATAAATGAGGACATTAATGAATATTTATATCTACATCATGTCTCTAAAACAAAAAGACAAAGAAAGATTTGCCTTCCTACAGGGTCTTTCTTTACAGAATATACCCACACCCGCTGTCTCCATTTTCTACGGCCGACTAATGTCATAATTATAGCAAAATAAATTCATTTTAGTTATATGTAATCCCCCACTACCCTATAAGGAGAATAGGTCTGAGTAACTGTAGTATTTTTTGGCTGGGGGCAATAAAAATCTTCCTACTTAGGCTAATAGGCTTTCACATCCTTGAAGACAACATTAAAGTGGTGGTGGAGAGGAGCTGAGAAAGTCTGAAATAATCATGTTTAAGAAACAAGGGGGCCGGGCATGGTGGCTCACGCCTATAATCCCAGCACTTTGGGAGGCACAGGCGGGTGGATCACCTGAGGTCACGAGTTTGAGACCAGCCTGGCCAATATGGTGAAACCCCATTTCTACTAAAAATACAACATTAGTCAGGTGTCGTGGCATGCGCCTGTAGTCCCAGCTACTCAGGAGGCTGAGACAGGAGAATCGCTTGAACCTGGGAAATGGAGGTTGCAGTGAGCCAAGATCGTGCCACTGCACTCCAGCCTGGGTGACAGAGTGATAAAGATGCCGTCTCAAAAAAATAATAAAAATAAAAAAATAAAAGAGGCTGGGCGCAGTGGCTCACGCATGTAATCCCAGCACTTTGGGAGGCCGAGGCGGGTGGATCACGAGGTCAGGAGATCGAGACCATCCTGGCTAACACGGTGAAACCCTGTCTCTACTAAAAATACAAAAAGTTAGCGGGGCGTGGTGGCGGGCGCCTGCAGTCCCAGCTACTCGGGAGGCTGAGGCAGGAGAATGGTGTGAACCCGGGAGGCGGGGGTTGCAGTGAGCCGAGATCGTGCTACTGCACTCCAGCCTGGGCAGCATAGTGAGACTCCACCTCAAAAAAAAATAAATAAATAAATAAAGGAAAGAAAGAAAGAAGAAAAAAGTTAGGAGGCCTGGAAATAACCCACGTACAGAGAAAGGGGTGACCTGGAGATGACAAGGCCAGAAGGGAAAAATCCATGGAGGGAGATACAGCAGCTGGTGGCCAAAGTGAAAGATTTGCAGGAAGAAAATGGGGATTCTTCCCTGGAGCATGATAGGAAATGTACAACATAATCTACTTTACCATTTTTACCTATGACATCTTCAGTAAACTATTCATTGTTCTCTGGTACTTCAGAGTGACTAGCAGTGCTGTGTTCTCCTTCCAGGATAGCACAGGGAGAAAAGAGAGGACGGGAGCTGAAGCAATACACACCAGGAACCTCTTTTTCTCTTTAAGTAGGAGGTAAGATCATCTGCTTAAGGCAAGTAGATGGGCATTTGGGAAACTGCTCTGAGGAATGGGAGAAGGAGCTGATCTTTTATGCAGCCAGGTTGAAGGCTTAGCTGATATTGTGAAAAGCAAGTCAAGGGAAATGACAAAGAAGGCAAATGCAGAGGAAGTGGTGGTCAGAAAGGGGACTGTTGAAGTTTGAGCATTCAGAATTTGTAAAGCAAGCCTGGTGTGGTAGGCTGAATATAGTCCCCCAAAGCTGTCAACGTCCTAATCCCTGGAACCTGCCAATATCTTACTTTACTTAGCAGAAGGGAGTTTGCAGATGTGATTACATTAAAAATCTTGAGATGGGGAAACTGTCCTGCACCATCAGAGTTGACCTATGTAATCAGAAGGGCCCTTATAAGAGGAAGGCAAGAGGATCTGCACAAGTAGGAGATGAAGTGACAGGGGCAAGAGGCTGGAGTGATGTGATGAAGGAGCCAGGAGCCAAGGTGACCTCTAGAAAATGAAAAAGGCAAGAAAACAGATTCTCCCCTGGACTCTCCAAAAGGAAGGTAGCCATGGCAACATTTGATTTTTGACTTCTGACCCCCAGGATTGGAAGAGAATAAATGTGTGTTGTTTTATGTCACTTTGTGGTGATTTGTGAAAGCAGCCCTAGGAAACTAATACACCCTAGGGGGTGGTCATGGAAATGGATCACCAAAGTAGACCCATTCAGGGAAGTCCAGGAGGCCAAAGGTCCATGACATTAGGGCATTGGCCGTGACCCACAGTATAAAGTACATTTCATGTCACAACCGGTTCACATGCAAACAAATGTTGTAGGAAACAATGCTTCCACCTTTTCCTATGTGGGAGGCATTCTGATATATTCCATTCTGTGCCACTCTATTTCATTTATTTTAAATTCTGGTTCCAGATGCAACACTACTGATATGGAATGGAGAGCTTGGGCTTTACAGTTAATGTAGATCTCAGTTCTTACACTGATTCTGTGTGACCTTGGTCAAATGGATTGATGGCTGAGTCTCAGACTTTTCATAGGGAAACAGGGAATGCATACTTGATACAGCTGTTAAGAACAAAAGAAATACCATGAGGAAGCACCTACAGGGCTGTAGTGCCACACACAGCATTCATTAAGAAACAATAGTGGCTTCTTCTATAAAACCAGATAATCCTAGCACTGTAAGACTCTGCAAGGGCTCTGTTTTCAGCTGATACTGGAACTGCCTCCTCAAACACGCTCGTCTACACATACAAATGCATTTCCAGCGAGGAGAGACTACTTCTCAAGTCATCTATGATTGCTAACCTACTTTAATTATTAGAAATCTCTTCCCTTTATGGCATGATGAAAAATCTGAGTCCTTATAATTTCTGTTCATCATCTTAGTTCTGCCTTCTGGAACTATATCTGAATATGTCTAATATCTTTTATACATAATATATCCTTAGATTGGATGACATTTATCATGTGCCACTAAGATTTCTCTTCTCATGTTAAATGCTTCCATTCCTTTCAACCATTTGACATTTCCCATTGTGCTAATTCTTCAGCAGTCTGGTCATTCTCCCTGAAACATACTGTAGCTTGTCAATATTCCTCTTGAAATAACACCAGAACTGAACATTGAGAGTCCAGCACTCCAATGCCATCAGCTTTGGAAAAATAACATAGTGGAAAAAGAATAACTTTTTTCCTTCATAAGAATTAAATTCGTCGGGGAAGAGATTAGTAAGGCAAAACTTCAGTCTAACTTACCTCTTTTGCTAGGCCTTAACCAAAAGATCTACTTTCTCCATGGTAGACGGGGTGGGGTCTGGGAAATGAGCTTTAAAATTGGGGAAAATATATAGTGACAACATTGAAGACAGAATGGCTAAGTGCTTTCTAAAATTTGATGATTTTTTTTTTTCTTAAACAAGGCCCAAATTGACCAGGCATCTTCATTAGAGTTCAACTCCCACCCCCATTTGCACCCCCGATTCTTACCATTCTCTCAGCATCCAAGATGCCTACAAACAGTTTAAAGCAGCGCTATTCTGCATATGAACATAACACACCAAAACCAACCCACTACAAACAGTCCCAGTCTCTCTGCAAGCTAGGCAGGAAGTCCTGGGTGTTAAATTACAGGGGAAAGGTTGATTTAAAGTATATACGTGAATGATCTTTTTTCTTTTCCCAATGTTTTATTTTGCAAAATTTTTAAAGTACAGAAAATTTAAAAATAGACACACATATGCCCACCCTTAGATTCAACAAGTATTTTGCCACCTTTGATTTCTAATATATATGCTCAACCATTTGAAGGTAATTGCAGACATCATGGCAATTTAGCCCTAAATACTTCATCAGGCAAGTCTTAAGGAGCAGACATTCTCCTGCATAACCACAGTTCTGTTACTTCACCTGAGAGAATTAGTAAATATGCCACAATTAAAATAACCTTATTTTCATTCCATGTTTGAATTTCTCAAATTGTCCCCAAAACATCTTAGTTTTGCATTGGTTCTGTCTTTGTTTGTAATCCAAAATCTAATCAAGCTTAACACTTTGCATCTGGATACAAGTTTTTAAAAAATAATTTCATACTTACTTCAAGCACATTAAAAAGCAGAATATTTCTTAAAAGTAAAATGTACCCTCCATTTTTCAGTAACCTTAACCCTGATCAAGGCAATGTTCTTGGAGATGAACTTGCTGGAAGCAAATGACAGCCTGTCTGACACTTAAATCATGACCCCCAAATCGCTAATGAAGAGCATTCTTAAGCAGAGCACAAAGGTATAACCAATAATCTCTGACCACAGAAAAAAAAATAAAGATAATGGCTCTTGCCTCTTTTATGCTTTTTTCTACAATTTCTAAATTTTTTACAACCAAAAAAAAAGTTATTTAAAAATTTGCCACTGGTTATCTCTATGTGACACACTTAATTTCATAAGATTAAAGTACAATACTTTGAATCTCTTTCAGATGATGTGATTAAGTGCTCACTGTCTTGAGTATCCTTGATTTAAATTTAGATATAACAGGAAACACCACTTTTTTTTAGCCGTAGGTCGTTACAATCAGGTAAATCTTCGGTTGTTCTGCCTATACTTCTTAAGTCTGTAAGTACTAAGTCTACATCTGAAGATATCTACAAACGTCTTCCTGTACAGAAGATTTCCAAATAGTTTAATCTTCTCTCCAGGAGGTGGAACTTAACTGCCCCCTGTGTTTAGTGACTTGGTTTCAAAGAGCAGAGTATTAAAAGAGAAGGAAAAAAGTTACTTTACAGTGAGGAAACATGGCAGGCACTACTTCAACCACGTGATCAAGGTTAGCATCAAGTCTTACTGATACATGTGCCCTAGATATGACATGACCAGAGTGGCATGTTATCTCTGCTGTGTTCTTCTCCAAAATCCATAACCCCAGTCTAACCATGAGAAAAACATTGGACAAATCAAATTTAGGAGCATTCTACAAAAAATCTGACCAATACATCAAGCTAAGGAGACATGACAGTTAATTGTAATGTGGTGGCCTGGATATTCCTAGAACAGAAAAAAATGACAATAGGGGAAGACTAGTGAACCCTAAATAAAGTGTATAACTGAGTTACTAGTAACGTACCAATGTTGGTTCCTTAGTTTTGACAAATATAATTTAATATCATAAGATGTTAACAGCAGGGGAACTGGATGTCAGGTACACAAAGGCTCTCTCCACACTATCTTTACAGCTTTTCTGTAATTTTAAAAACAGTCTAAAATTTTAAAAGTGTACTTTTAAAAAAAGGTACAAAGAACTCATTCTTTTTTAATTAGTATTAAAATTTACAGAAAGTTGATCCCAATCAAAGTTGGAAATGGAAATTTAAAATTATCCCGTAGTAAAATTGTGCAATTACTCTATCAATCTGGCAATGTCATCATACCGTGGTCAAACAGACACTGTGGGAAAGTGAGGACTGCATCTGTCTTTCAGAACAATATTCATTAAAAGCCTCAGAAATACATACTTTTCATCCCAACACTCCATCTGTAAAATCTCTGAAAGAACTGATCCAAAATAAGGAAGTCAGCTTGTGCACAAAGATACATATCCACCACTGCATTATTGATAATGATGAATACTAGGAAACAAACTAATGGCCAATAATAATTGCCTGGCAAACAAATTGCACATCTACACAATGGGATGTCATGCAGCAAATAAAAAATGTGTTACATTTTTAACGACATGGAAAAATATTCATTATATAAACTTAAATGAAAGAAAATTGTATGTTCAACATGATTCCAACTTTGTAGAAATATATAGGAAATACAGGAAAGAAATACATATGTTTTAATATAATCACAGTCATTCCTGAATGGTTGGATAACGGTCCTTCTCTCTTCTATACTTTCAGTAAAAATTCTGAACTTGCCACATCAGATATATATTTCTTTTATACTAAAAATAAAGTTATTTTCAAAGCATTTGCTACTGCTTTTCTTTGTATAATTAGATTACAATTAATTTTTATTTTCCTCTTTGTGCCTTTCTGTATTTATCCAATCTCTATATTAGCTGTGTTATTTTTTGTAGCCATATAGAATGTATTACAATGTTTTATTATACTTTTCTAAATGCAATGGTTTCATTGGTAACATGTTTTAACTAAAAATAATTTTTTTAAGGATACTAAATAATATATACAAATAGCTTGGATGTTTTAGGGATATTTGTTCATTTGGGAAGCATGATTTTAATTGAAGTTTTAAGAAATACATTCTGTTCCTAAGAGCCAGTCAAGAGTTTGTGCAATTACATTGCTAATTAGAGGTCCCCAGGTAAAGCGGCTAAAGGCAGGGAAGAGGAGGGAGAGAAGATGATAGGGAGGAAGAAAGAAGGAAACTACACCAGAAAAAGAAGAGATGGGGAAAAAATAACAGAAGAAGTGGGAAAGGTGAGACAGGAAAAGATGGAACAAGAGCAAGGAAAATAAAGGGAAGAAATGAACAAACATGTCTTTCAAATCTGTAAAGTAGGAAATTGGAAATTGCATGAAATAAACTCACTAATAGGCAACAGTACAGGGTGAGAGATGATCATAATCAGTAGATAAACCAACAGAGTTAGAACTGGCACATATTTTTTCTAAAAAATTTTTAAAGCTGTTAAAAAAAATGCCCTGGGGAGGCAACCATTCAGGCCGAAGTTAGTTGATAAAGAACAGCCAACAGGACTGCTGTGCTGGGCAAGAGGCCATTCAGGAGGTCTCCATGCTATGGAAGAGGGCTGTGCTGTTTACTGATGTTGCTCCTGGCCTCCGGTTCCAACTGTACTGCCTTTATTCAGTCATTCACATGTTTACTTTATTCACGGCAAAAGAGGAAGACCAGACGAGGAAATAATTTTTGAAACCCATAACTCTAAAGCCAAGGGGGTGATTTTTTAATACCTCTGCTAGCTACAGAGAAGTAATAACATCATTAAGCTTTTAGAGGCATAGGGGTTATCAAAATCACTATTTCGAAAGCCCTTTTAAATCATAAGGAAAATTCTTATTATTTTATAGATGTTTGATTTGCAAGGATATTAGTTTTCAATCATATTTAAATCATGCAACAGAATTGCATTTTGCACGTTTTTAAATTTTAGATATATGGAAATATAATATGTAATGATTGTACAGAATATATTCATCCTGTTTTATAGGACTTATAGCTTAATTGTATTATTCCAAATAATTTATAAGGTTTTTAATGTCCATGTCTTTTATAGTAGTTGTGGGTTTTAGCTATAATTTATTTGGTTCAAATATCCTTAATGGAAAAATAGAATCCCACTTATTACCATGTTCAGGAACATGTAGTGGCATGATAAGAAACTACTCATATTGTTACATATCAAAATGCACATTGTTAAATGAAACAAAATAAGACAAGGTATGCTTGGTAGGCAAAATAACAGCCCCCTCAAAAATGTCCATGCCCTAATTCCCAGAATCTGTGAATATGTTAGATTACATGGTAAAGGGGAATTAAGGTTGCAGATGAAATTAAAGTTGCTAATCAGCTGACCTTCAGATAAGGATTATCTGAAGGTAAGGATAATCCTTACCTTCAGATAGGGATTATCAAGGTGGGCCTGAGTTAATCAAAAAGATTATAACTGGAAGACAGAGGCACAACAGAAAGAACCAGAGAGATGGCAGTATGAGAAAGGCTGGCTTGGAAGATGGAGAAATGGGGCAAGTGACCTCCAGAAGCTGGAAAAGCCGGGAAACTAACTCCCAAGAGTGTCACCTTGGAAACTCCCAAGAGCCTGCAGAAGAAACACAGCCCTGCCAACACTGATTTTGACTCACTGAGACCCATTTCAAGCTACTGATTTCCAGAACTGTAAGATAGTAAGTTTGCGTTGTTTGAAACCCCACAGCTAAAGCAGCATGGTTACATACATCAAGTACAAATGGAGGGACCGTGCCAACCAGAATTGGGTGCCAGCTCTTAATAGAAATGACCTAATCCAGACAAAAGCTAGTGTCCAGCCCTGGGAGGGATAAAAAGAACTAAACTGGCTTCCTGGAAATTTTAGCTACTTAATCTAGACTAAAGCCTCTGCAAGACTTAAAATGAGTCCATTTTATTCACTTACATCAATTACAGGCAGTGATGTTGTGAGTCCATCTCAGCCCCAAGAGTTGCCAAAATCAGCCCAAGAACTACTTGGAAGAAAATGCCAAGTTTGGCAAGGTTCAAATACAGTTATTTTTTCTACTGGGAAGAAAAATCACAACTAGAAAGGCTTAAGGTATTTTGTTGATTTGGGACACTTGGGTCAAATGTAAGGCATGACCAAAAGGAATCTGGTCAAGCAATCAAGAGATGCAGAATTGTACCCTGATGTGAGACCTTACGCAAGTCACCAAATTTTTGGGGTCTCAGGTTTTGCAGCTGAAAAATGGAAATTATAACACCTGTCCTGCCTTCCTCCCATGGGTATTGTGAAGAGCAAATAAAACTATATGCATGATTCCACAGGTAAAGTATGTATATACCCTTCTATAATTTTCAGCTTAATAATCATAATAAATTGTTTTGCTGCAAATCACAATGATGCTGTATGAATGATTTTCTTTTGAAAAATATCATGTCTGGGGATGGTGGGTGGTGGCTTTTTAATAATATAATGGTCCCGCTAACAAAGTCTCACCATCCATGGACAGCATGAGCTCATGGTTTTAAACATGTCTTCATTCCAAAGGTTCCAAAGAGACCTTCCCAGAACAGTCTGATCTCAAGGGCTTTGAAGAGGAAATGGCCTTATGTGCTGGATCCTGGTTGCTTCCAATTTTGAACTGACTATAGAAAAACTTGAAATCTGTGGGGAGTAAGAGATCCTATTTGGATCAAATTTCAACTTTTCTGGGATCTACTGGGAAACATTGGGGAAAACTCCATTTTTTCTCACTATTTATTAATTTGTAACTTGCACACTGTTTGGGGGTCCAGGAGGAATCTGTAACTGCCCGTGATTCAGCTCCTCCGAGGACAGAGCAGGAGCTTTAAGTAAGTCCATCTCTCATCAGCTATACACCTGCAGCTTTATCTGGAGGTTTTGTGGCAATATAGGAATGTTTTTAAAAATGTTTTTCACATTCATCTGAAATATAAACTCAGAAAAATTCAGGGGTCTAAGAGAGAGCTTGTGTTGCTTTAGGCCCAGGAGAGGATGATTCAAATGTTATTTCACGGTCTCTGCCCTCAAATTCTGCCCTCATCCCCCACCCCCAGGTACATGTACACTTCTGATGTCACCTTCTAGAAGGTCCTTCCCTGACCACACAACCAAAAATGTTCAGAGCTCCCAACCAGCACTCCCTATCCTCCCTGCTTTCTTCTTCTCCTTCTCCTCCTTCTTCTTCTTCTCCTTCCTCTTCTTCTTCCTCTTCCCCTCCTCCTCCTCTTCCTCCTCCTCCTCCTCTATTTTTTCTTTTTAAATCTTTTTGTAGAGATTCTGATCTTGAACTTATGACCTCAAGCAGTCCTCCTTTCTCAGCCTCCTAAAGTGTTGGGATTTGAGATGTGAGCCACTGTTCCTGGTCCTCATTACTTTTTAAATTTTTCTTTAGAGGACTTCATATTATAGACAGGCAGGCATATATTTACAGGTTAGTAAATGTCACTAATATCACTCTCTGTATGAGAATTTCAGTTCCCTGATGGGTAGGGTTTTCATCTATTTTGTTCAATCCTATATCTATTAAATATATTGCATACAATGCTACCCAACACATGATAGACACTCAACAAATGTCTGTTTAGTGATGACTGTTGAGTAAATGATGTTGAACATCCATAACTAGATCTTTATTCCTTTAGCTTAAAGTAAAAAAGGAATCTGTCCCCTGAAAAATAATTACAATGGGTTTGGAAGGAGTATCATAGTAAAGTTTTTAGCCTGTATGAATGAGTGGGTACCAGTTATTGCCTGGGAGCAGACCTCAAAAAGTCAAAGAAAAATGAGGTCACAGCCTTGATGATCAAGTGAAACATTCATCAACACATTAATGGTATTAATGGTCCCACTCTGAGTGAGGTTTTTCTTCTTTTTTATTTCCTTGAATATTCTAAATTTCCTATAATTATTAGTTTCTTTTATTAAAAATAAATATCCATACAGCAAAAATAGAATTTGTTTAACAGATAGAGTTTTAGTTTTGCAAGATGAAGAGTTCTGTGGATGGATGGGTATGGTGGTACAACAATGTGAATACACTCATGTCACTGAATTATACACATAGAAATGGTTAAGATGGTACATTTTATATATTGTATATTGTATATAATATTAAATATTCACTGTCCTTAAAGTGATAACACTGTGTAGTAAAGTTATACTGCGTACTTGATGTCCTTTGTGGTCCCCTCATCCTTTTTCTTTCTTTCTTTCTTTTTTTTTTTTGACAAGGTCTTGCTCTGTCACCCAGGCTGGAGTGGCACAATCTCAGCTCACTGCAGCCTCAAACAATCCTCTGGGATTAAGCCTCAAGCTATTACTTCTGAGCTCAAGCAAGCCTCCCACCTCAGCCTACCAAACAGCTGAGACTACAGGTATCTGCCACCATGCCTAGCTAACTTTTTTTATTTTTTGTAGATATGGGGCCTCACTATGTGACCAGGCTGCTCTTGAACTCTTGGCCTCAGGTGATATCCTCTCTGCGGCCTCCCAAGGTGCTGGGATTACAGGCATGAGCCACCACACCCTGCCTTGTGGTCCTTTTCAACAAGTATATCCTGTGAAGTTTTCATTCTAGACTCTCAACAGCAGTTCCCTTGCACAAGAGCTACCATAAGTAATTCGTCCAGACCAGAGACAGCAAAAAAGGACACTGTCATCTGCCTCACCTATCTGGTCCCATCCTGTGCTCACAGCAGACACTGCCATTCATCCTTGGTGCTCTCACCTCACACCTTCAACCCATCTCACAGTCCTCAACTAGCAGCCCAGGCATCTTCTACCAGTGGGTCCAACTGAGCAGTGTGAGATGAAACTAATTTACCATGTGTTTTAGCCATAGCTCCTCCCAAGGTGCTGTATTACTCACTTGGAAAACATCCAGGAGGTCAGGAGATTGAGCAAAAATAATTCCAGAATTAAGAAAAGAGAAGACAGTTTCCTTATGTGCCTGTATGCATACATAACAAAGCATATGCCCAAATGAAAACTGAGATACTTCTTTTCCAGGCTTCTTGAAAAAGAGCAGCTTGGCTGTGCTTCATAAACCCTTAGCATAGTGAGGGTTTCTAAGTTAAAGACAGATCTGCACCACTCTTAAAAACTGAGCTAATCCTGGATGAGTTTTCGTTGGATTTAATTCATTTTAAGCACCACTATTTGAAGCTCATTGAGATAAGCACACCACGTGTGATGTAAATAAGGCTTGGACCCTGCCTTCTAGACACAGGAATGAATAATGCTAATATGAAGTGGGCAGTGAGAAGAAACAGATCCCACACTGTGGATGCACAAAAGAGAAAGAAATCAATTCCATTTGGGAAGGCTTCAGAAAGAAGGTGTTTGTGATCTGCGTCTTGGAGAATGAGTATTACTTTAGAGTTTGGAAAGGTAATCTTTTAGACAGCTGCAAATACTTTGCAAACAACCTGCATATGGAAGGTGCAAGGCATAAATAACCAGGATTCTTGAACACATGAGCTGTTCTTGATGGAATCTTTTGTTTTTATTCTTCTTTTTTCCAAGAAGTGCAACTGCTGCTTATCTTTTTTTGTTCGGTGACTTGTTTCTTTCTGAATTTAGACTCAGACAGTAACTCTTTGGACACTCCTCAATATCAGTCTACTTGACACTTAGGCCATGTTCTTGATATTTTGATTAGAGCTTCCTATAATAGATAGTAGGCAGAGAAGTTTTCATAGCCTTAAGAACCACATTCCCTTCTGTTTTCACTCTTCTCACATAGGGTATTCACAGTGAGAACTGGCTGCGGATGAGTGCACTATGTTCTTTATAAAATGAAACCCTGCTGCCAGTCTGTGGCCTGACATGTGCTCTAGGCATGGACATGTGTCATCTACGGAGCCTCCTTCATGGCTGGTCACAGCTCCACCATTATGGCAGTCAGGATGACAAACTAGGGTCTGTTTCTCTCTGTGAATTCTTAGTTATTGGACTCAAAATTACCCTGACTCCCAGAAGTAGCATGAAACTAAGTCTGTGAATAAACTGGGAAGAAGAAAGATCATATAGATCAGCTTTCTTGCCTAATCCCAAGTAGTGTTGATAATGTTGAATGCCTTCTCTCCAGGAGCCTAGCCCAGCACCACATACCCCGAGCTACTGAAAAAGTTGCTTTTTGAGGGTGATTATGATAGACTTTTTTTGCATACATACATATGACTTTCAGTTCTTCATAAAACTGAGTTGGCCCTTCATTGAAAGAAATATGGCCAAGAAGCCACTGACTGTCAGGGGGTGCCCAAAGAAAGCAGCTGGCTGAGTTTGCTCAGAATCCACTATTAGGTTGGTGCAAAAGTACGTACACACACTGCCATCCGCCTCACCTACAAAAGGTGGCACCTCCACTACTGGGGGTGTGGCCTTTGGGGAGGTTACTTCCATTTAAAGTAATGGGGAGGTTACTTCCATTTAAAGTAATGACAAAAACCACAATTACTTTTGCACCAACCAGTATATTAGACTTTGGTTTCACTCGACCCTAATCTGGTCTGAGATCACCACTTTCATCCATCCAAACAAAAAACATTTATTAGGTGCTTCCTGTATGCCAGCTTCTCTATCAGAACCCTAAGAATACAGCCGTAAACGAACCAGACATTCCTGCCCATGGACAATTAGAAGTCCTGACAAGGAAAATTTAAGAGGGGAACCTGAGGGTCCCAGGAAAGGATCTCTAGAGGAATTGAAATCTGAGCTAATCTGGCACCAAATGTTTTGGGTTTGCTTATATATATGTGAACTACACTATTTTTTTTCTAAGCATGATTGTACATGGTGTTATGAAAAAAAAATCAAAACTTTGAAATAATGCAAAAGGATGAAAGCATGCCCTTTTGGCTTCATACAGAACATTGTGTAACAGGCCCACCCACTGAAAGGCTGTCTAATTCTCTGGAGGACTGTACTCTTATTCCAATTACCCTTGACCTTTGATGAGAGTCCAGAGTCTGCGAAGTTAGAATTAACTCATAGAAGATTGAAAAGTTGAAAATTATTTTTGTCCAGTAGAATACAAATGACTATTATCCAATAGAAAAGATAACCCTGAAAGTTAATATTTATTGCTTTGTACAACATTAACCCATTTTGTATCTGTCTTGGCATTCTTATCCCAGTAGCCTGTCTTTCATTAACTGTTACTCATGTCCTGCTTTGCCCAGCTTTATTCTCCCGCTGATTTGTTCTTTAATGAGTTAATTAAACTTTCCCAAGTTTCCACTATTGAGAACACTATATTTATGTTTATATAAGAATCACATTTTTGACTTTTTGAAAATGATACTGTGATGGTGAAAATCATCTAGGTAGACGGAAGGGATGAATGCGGTAAAAATACAGATTCTTAGTCTCCAGTTCAAACCTACTGAATCAGCATCTCTGGGTGATAGGGCCTGTGAATCCTGATGTTTTTAAAGCTCCCCAGGTCATTCTGATGCAGAAAGTCAATGTGACAGTGTTTGGGAACCACTGGAAGAGAAACACCAAGAATGTCCAAATGCGCAGAGAAGACCTGCTTGGCACAAACTGACATCCCATCAATAGAGACGTTCACCCCTTATCTTAGGGCTTTGAGCCCTGTAAAAATATAATTCTTTTTTGAAGAGTAATAATTAAAGCTATTATGTCACTTATACTTTGGGCAACAAACGGAAGAACATAAGAGAATAGGATTTCTGAGGTGGGTAAAGGGCCCATGGAAAAGGTGGAGAAAGCTCAGAAGAGAGGAAAGGAAGTTCTTGAACTTCACTATTTTGCTCACAGCCCTTACAGACAGAGCATGACTACTCTTAGGAATAAATCATGTTTAATTTACATACCATCAGAGTACAAAAATATGCAAAGTTTCTTCCAATCAAAGATGTCTGGAGAGTGATATGAACAAGGCGGTGGAATAGGACTTTCCAGTATGCATTTCCTCAGAGAAACATCACTTTGGAAAACTAGCCATTAAAGAAAATACTTTTATAAGAACTAAGGAATCCATGTGAGACATTGTAACACCTGGGTGGAGTGCAGAAATACGAAATGATGCATTGAAGAGGGTAGGACAGCTCCACATGACCCACATCACCCTTCCCCAAGCCTGCAGCCTGGTGCAGAGAGAGACCCTCCACGTGGGGTGCTGGGATCTGAGTGTTTGTGTTCCCCCAAATTCATATATTGAAGCCTAATCACCAATTTGCTGGAATAAGAAGGTACACCCTTTGTGGAGGTGATTCGGTAATGAGGACAGAGCCCTCGTGAAGGGATTAGGCCGAAGGGAGCTCATTATCCCTTCTGCCATATGAGGACACCTTTGACTTTAAGTCAAAAACTGTCACAAGAGACGAAGAAAGTAATTATACAATAAAGGAGTCAAATCATGAAGAAAACATAACAATTGTACATAAATATGCACCCAACATCACAGTACCTCAGTATATGAAACAAATATCAACAGAACTGAAGGAAGAAATAGACAACAATACAATAATAGTAGGAGACTTCAATGCTCTTCCTTTAATATGGATAAATCATTGAGACAGAAAATAAATAAGGTAACATTGAAATTGAACAACATTTTAGACCAAATGGACCTAACTGATACATACAGAACATTCCATCCAACAGCAGCAAAATATATATTCTTTCAAGTGCAAATGAGACATTCTCCAGTATAGATCATGTTAGTACACAAAACAAGTCTTAACAAATTTAAGATGACTAAAATTACAGCAGGTATCTTTTCTGACCACAGTGGTATGAAACTGGAAATTAACAACAGAAGGAAAATTAGAATATTCACCAATATGTGGAATTTAAACAATGCACTCCTGAATTCCTGAATCCATGGATCAAGATGAAATTAAAATGGAAATCAAAACATATCTCAAGACAAATGAAAATAGAAACAGCATACCAAAACTTATGGAACGCAGCAAAAGCAATTCTAAGAAAGAAGTTTGTAGCAATAAACGCCTCCATTAAGGAAAAGAAAAATCTCAAACAACCTAGCTATATACCTTAAGAAATCAGAAAAAAAGGAACAAATTAAGTTCGAAGTTAACAGAAGGCAAGAAATAATAAAGATCAGAGCAGAGATAAATGAAATAGAAACTAGAAAATTAATAGAAGATAAATAAAATTGACAAACCTTTAGCTAGACTAAGAAAAAAAGAGAAGACTTAAATAATAAAATCAGAAATGAAAGAGGAGCCATTTCAGTTGATACCACATAAAACAAAGGGTCATAACAGACTACTATAAACAATTACACTCCAATAAATTAGAAAACCTAAAAGAAATGGATAAATTCCTAGAAACCTACAACCTGCCAAGTCTGAATCATGAAGAAACAGAAAATCTGAACAGACCAGTAGTGAATAAGGGATTGAATCAGAAATCAAAAACCTCCCAACAAAGAAAAACCTAGGACCTCTTGGCTTCAGTGCTGAATTCTTCCAAACATTTAAAGAGAAATTAACACCAATCCTTCCCAAACTCTTCGAAAATATTGAAGAGGTAGAATGACTTCCAAACTCATCGTATGTGGCTACTATTACCCTGATACCAAAGCCAGACAAGGACACTAGAAGAAAAGAAAATGACAGGCCAATATCTCTGATGAACCAAGATGCAAAAAAATCCTTAACAAAATATTAGCAAACGAAATTCACTGGCACATTTAAAAAAATCATGCAACATAATCAAGTAGGATTTATCCCTGAGATGCAAGAATAATTCTACACACAAAAATTTTTAAAAATATGATACACCACACTAACAGAATGAAGGACAAAAATCATATGATCAGCTCAATAGATGCAGAAAGAGCATTTGAAAATATTCAACATCCTTCATGACAAAAACTCTCAATAAATTGGGTATAGAAAGAATGTATCTCAACATAATAAAGGCCATATATGACAGGCCCTCAGCTAACAGACTAAATGGTAAAAAGCTGAAAGCTTTTACTTTAAGATCAAAAACAAGACAAAGATACCTACTGTCACCATTTCTATTAAATATGGTGCTGGAAGTCATAGCCAGAGCAGTTAGGCAAGAAAAAGAAATAAGAGGCATCCAAATTGTAAAGGAAGCAGTAAAATTTTCTGTTTGCAGATGACATGGTCTTCTATATAGAAAATCCTAAAGACTCCACCAAAAAAAAAGTTACAACTAGTAAATTAATTCAGTAAGGTTGCAAATACAAAATTAACAAATAAAAATTAGTAAGATTTTTTTATATAGTAACAAAGAGCTATCCCAAAAGAAATTTTTAAAAAATCACATTTATAATAGGAGAAACAAAAATAAAATAATTAGAAATAAATTTAATCAGAGGTAAAAGATATGTACATTGAAAACTGTAAATCACTGATGAAAGAAATTGAAAAAGACATAAATAAATGGAAAGATATCTCATGTTCATCAGTCAGAATAACTGATATATGAAAAATATCAGTACTACCCAAAGCAATCTACAGATTCTATGTAATCCGTATCAAAATTCCAATGGCATTTTTCACATATATGGAAAAAATTCTGAAATTCATATAGAACCTCAGAAGACCCCCTCATAGTCAAAGCTATTTTGAGCAAAAAGTTGAAGCTGGAAGCAAAACATTACCTGATTTCAAAATATACTACAAAGCTATAATAATCAAAACAGCAGAGTACTGGCATTAAAAAAGGACACAAGGACTAATGAAACAAATAGAGAGCTCAGCAGTAAACCCACACATTTATGGTCCATTGATCTTCAACAAAGATGCCAAGAATGCATACAACAGGGTAAAGACAGTCTCTTCAATAAATGGTGTTGGGAAGACTGGATATGCACATTCAGATGAATAAAACTGAAGCCTTATCTCATACCATATACAAAAATTAACTCGAAATGGATTAAAGACTTAAAACCTAAAACTAAAACTACCAGAAGACAACTTAGGGAGAAAACTTATTGACATTGGTCTTGGCAAGGATCATTTTCTTAAAATATGAACTCAAAAGCACAAGCAACAAAGGTGAAAATAGAGAAATTGGATTGCATCAAGCTGAAAAGCTTCTGCACAGCAAAGAAAAAAAATCAACAGAGTAAACAGACAACGTAGGAAATGGGAGAAAATATTTGCAAATCAGATATCCGATAAGGGGTAAATATCCAAAATACATAAGAAATTTAAACTCAATAACAAGAAAATGAATAACTCAATTAAAAATGGGCAAAGAACCTAAATATATATTACTCAAAGAAAACATACAAGCAACCAAGAGATATAACAGCACTAACCATCAGGAAAATGCAAATCAAAACCACAATGAGATACCATCTCATACCTGTTAGAATGGCTATTATCAAAAAGACAAAGGATAACAGATTTGGGAAGGCAGCGTGTGGAGAAAATGAAACCCTTGCACGCTGTTAGTGGGGATGTAAATTAGAACAGCCATTATAGAAAACATTATGAAGGTTCCTTAAAAAATTAAAAATAGAAGTACCATATGATCCATCAATCTCACTTCTGGGTATATATCCAAAGGAACTGAAATTAGTATTTTTTTTTTTTTTTTTTTGAGACGAAGTCTTGCTTTGTTGCCCAGGCTGGAGTGCAGTGGTACAATCTTGGCTCACTGCAACCTCCACCTACCAGGTTCAAGCGATTCTCCTGCCTCAGCCTCCTGAGTAGCTGGGATTACAGGTGCCTGCCACCATGCCCAGCTAATTTTTATATTTTTAGTAGAGACAGAGTTTCACCATGTTGGTCAGGCTGGTCTTGAACTCCTGACCTCAAGTGATCCACCCACCTTGGCCTCCCAAAGTGCTGGGATTACAGGCATGAGCCGTCGCATTTGGCCTGAAATTGCTGTCTTGAAGAGATGTCTGAACTCCTATGCTCATTGCAGCATTATTCGCAATAGCCATGACAGGGAATCAACCTAAGTGCCCATCAACAGATAAATGGATAAAGAAAATGTAGTGTATATGTACAGCAGAATATTATTTGGCCTTTAAAAGGAAGGAAATCCTGTCATTTGCAACAACATGGATGAACCTGAAGGACATTATACTAAGTGAAATAAGCCTGGCACAGAAAGATAAATACTACATGATCTCACTTATATGTGGAATCTAAAACAGTTGAACTTATAGGAGAGAGCAGGATGGTTGTCACCAAAGGCTGGAGGATGAGGGCCATGAAGAGATGTTGGTCAAAGGGTATGAAGTTTCAGTTAAGCAAGAAGGATAAGTTCTGGAGAGCTAATGTGACTATAGTTAATAATAACTATAACAGTGACTATAGTTAATAATATTGTATTGTGCATTTGAAATTTGCTACGAGAGTAGATCTTACATGTTTTTACTACAAAAAATGATAACTGTGAGATGATGGATATGTGAATTAGCTTAAATATGGTAATCATTTCACAATGGATACAAAAACATGTTGCATACTGTAAATATATACAATGTTTATTTGTCAAAAAACTTCAATAAAGCTGTAGGAGGGGAAACCAACCAAGAAGTCTGTTAAGATAAAGATAGAAAATTAATCCATGAAGAGGAGTAAAAATTTACCTTAACAATTAAGCATTATTTCTATTCAGAATTAAGTTTGCCTTGAGATTTCTGTCAGTCAAGGTTAAAAAGGAGATCAGATGAGTTATACAATTCTTATTCTCTGAAAAGAAGAAATGCACCAAATTTTCAGTCATGAAAGACTTTTTTTTTGACACTAGAATTCTGATCTCATCATACAAGGTATGAGATACTTTACAGATAAGGGATTCAATGATATTTTTACAAAGAAACATGTGCATGATCTTCATATGGCTGCTTTCTTTCTGCCACCTCTCAATAAAAACCAGTGGTGCCTCCTTAAGGCGAGGTGGTTACAGAGATTGGAAGCACTGAAGGGAAATAAGCTAAGGTGGTTCAGGTAGATTGACGCAAAAAGAAATGGAGTTGGGCATTCCCTGTGTAAAAGAGCTTTTACAAAAGAGTCTAAACTTTTGTTTATGCCACCAAGTACTGATTCTTGTCCCTTATCAGGCTAATATTATATTCAAATTGTTTTCTAAATCGTATTGCTTTAAGACAAGAGCAGCCAACCTCATCCCACTGGGTCAAGCACCCCTTGCTTCCCAGCTGACTCCTTTCCTTTTATAGCTCTCTCGTAAGAAGAGTCTAATAAATGTGAGATTGGTCTTTCCCCTTCTCACTACAAGCAACATTTCAGAAAGCTCCTGATGGTCATGCAGCAGGAGTGGTCTCATCAGGGAATCTCAGTGGTGGGATGGCATAAGTTTCCAGGCAAAAACTGACAAATACGTTCCCTTTTCTTTTTCTTTCTTTACTTTCATGAAGAATACTGTCATAATAGATATGCAAAACTGGTTGAAACAACGCATTAGGAATAATAAGTGTTTTCTGGGATTAAGTGAATAGCACAGCTATTATAGCTGAGTTCTTGGGGGACATTTATTCTTTCAGACTTTATGCTGTAAGGTAAGAAAATAGACAGCTCCAATTCATACATACATAGATATAGATAGATATAGATACAGATATACACACACATGCAAATGTCTGTGCATGTGTATAATACAGATATGTGCATGTGTGTGTGTGTATATATATATATGTATATATACACGCATATCTTAATGGGTCTTAAAATTATTGAACTAAGAGAAATACCAAGAAGTCATCTAACTTAGTCCTTCTCACACATTAAAGTACATGAGAATCACACAGGGATCTTACTAAATGCCTGTTCTGATTCAGAATATGTGGATGTGGGCTGGAAGTCTGCATTTCTCACAAGCTCCTTGAGGATGGCCATGTGACCAGACCAGGGACCACACTAAGTGACATGACTCACATTGACCAGGCCAATCTGTCAGTGAAAACAAAGAAGCAAACAAAACAGCTGCAGCAGCTGCATATCAGATAATGGAATCTGCTGAGACACTGGGAGACACTGACTATAATTGAAAGGTCAACCAGTAAATTTATCCTGCCTGCCCTTGCATTCTTTCTTATCAACCTGTAAACTCTTTTTTTTTTATTTTATTATTATTATACTTTAAGTTTTAGGGTACATGTGCACAATGTGCAGGTTAGTTACATATGTATACATGTGCCATGCTGGTGTGCTGCACCCACTAACTCGTCATTTAGCATTAGGTATATCTCCTAATGCTATCCCTCCCCCCCGACCCCACAACAGTCCCCAGAGTGTGATGTTCCCCTTCCTGTGTCCATGTGTTCTCATTGTTCAATTCCCACCTATGAGTGAGAACATGCGGTGTTTGGTTTTTTGTTCTTGCGATAGTGTAAACTCTTATTTATCCATTAAAGCTCAGCTGAATTATGGCTTCCTGTATCTATACCTTAACCTCATCTTGAATTGTCTCTGCTTGAGTACACAGCAATAAATAAAGATCTGAAATGACAAATATAACAATTTTCTATTTTCTTCTCTTATTTTTTTAAAAAGCCATAAGTATATATAAAGCAATAATGCCAACAGTGTATTAATGGATTTAGAGTTTATATAGATGTAATATATAGGAAATAATAGCACACAGGTGAGGGAGTAAATGGAGCGACATTAAAGCAAAGTTATTATATACTACCGAACAACCAAAAAGAAAATAGTTTAAAAATATGGTTAAAAATCAACAGAAAAAATTAAATGGCACATTAAAAAATATTTGGTTAGCACAAAGCAAGGCAGTAAAAGAGAAACAGAAGAAGAAAAAGACATGAGACATGAAGAAATAAACAGATGTAAATCCAACCAACATCAATAATGACATTAAATGTGAATAGAATAAACACTCAATTCAAAAAACAGAGATTGTCATATAAAATAAAAAAGTAAGACCCAACCAAAATCTGTCTACAAGAAACACACATTATATTCAAAGACATGGAATAGTTGAAAGTGAAAGAATTGAATAAATGATAAATCATGGAGACCATAATCATAAAAGAGCTAGGTTGACTACATTAATAACAAAAAATATTTTAAGGTAAGAAATATCAGAGAAAAATTGAGACATTTCATAATAATAAAGAGATAAATATATCGAGAAGATATAGTAACTATAAATGTATATGTACTTAATAACAGAACCATAAAATACATAAAGTAAAAGACTGGCAAAATTGAGGATAAAAATTATGCAAAATTATTGCTTCATATCTCAATATCTCTCTTTTAGTACTTCATAGAAAAACTTGACAAAAATCAAGAAGGATTTAGAAGACTTGAACAATGCTATCAACTTGACCTTACTGACACAGAACATTTCCCTCATAAAAGCAGAACACACATTATCTTAAGCGCATGCCAACTATTCTCCAGGGTAGACCATATGCTAGGCTATAAAATAATTATCAAGAAATGTAAAAGAGTTAAAATCATGCCAAGTAAGTTCTCTGAACACCAGAATATTAAATTAGAAATCACCAACTGAAAGAAATTTGAGAAATTAAACAATAAACTTCTAAATAACTAATGAGTTAAGAAAGAAACCAAAAGAGCAACTACAAAAAATACTGAATTACATAAAGATGGAAACAAAACATGTGAATTTATGGGTTACAATGAAAATAGTATTTAGAGGGAAGGTTTCTAGCTTTAAATATTTGAATTAGAAAAGAAGAAAGCTATAAATGCATTTATATAAAAACATTAAAAAGGGACCAAATAAAATCTAAAGTAAGGAAAAAATAAAGCTCAAATTAAAAATTAATTAAGTACAAAAAAGAAAATCAATAGAAAAAAGTCAACAAAAAACCAAAGGCAGGTTCTTTGACAAAATCAGCAAAATCAATTAGCTAGAATAACTGAGCAAAAAGAAAAATAAAATCCAATTACTAAAAACAGAAATAAAAGAGAAAACATCACTATCTGCCCCGCAGAAATTAAAAGAATTATAAGGGGATATTAGCTGTAATTCTGTGCCAACAAATTAGACAAATTATATGAAATAGAAAATTCCTAGCAAGACACAAATTACTAAAATGACTCAAGAAGACAAACTGTAACAGGTTAAAAAACCAAATCAGTAATTAAAAAATCTTACCATGAAGAAAAACCCAGGTTCAGTGGCTTCAATGATCAATTTTATCCAATATTTAAGGAAAAAATAATATCAGTCCTACACAAACTCTTCCCAAAATAAATTTTCACATAAAATTTTCCAACTTTTTCTGGAGGCAGTACTGCCCAGACATCAAAGCTAACAAAGACACTAAGAAGATACCACAAAAAACCTGGCTAATATCCCTCATGAATAAGGATATAAAAATTTCAACAAAATAATAACAAACCAAATTTAGCAATATATGAAAAAGAGTATGTATGATGGCCAAGTGAGATTTACCCATGATTGCAAAGTTCATTTAAAATTTTTAAATCAATTATTTTAAAACACCAAATTAATAAAATAAAGAACAAAAACCATATGACCCTCTCAATAGATGTAGAAAAGTCCTTGACAAAAATCACTACCTATACATAACAGAAACTTCAGGAAACTAGAAATATGAGGGAGAATTTTCAACCTTATAAAAGATATGTTTAAAAAGTGTCTACAGCTAACCTCATAGTTAATGATAAAAGACAGAATGCTTTACCCTAGGATTAAGAACAAGGCAAATATGTCCCCTCTCACTACTTTCATTCAACATTGTACTGATGGTGAGCCAACGTGATAAGACAAGCAAAAGAAATTAAAGGCATGCAAATTGGAAACAAAGTAAGACTCTTTTATAGACAATATAATTATTTATTTAGAAAATCCTAAGGAAACTTCAAAAAACTTACTAGACATAACAAGCAAATTTAGCAAGGTTACAGGATAACAGGTCAGTATAAAAAAAATAGTTGTATTCTGTACCAGAAATAAACAATCCAAAAATGAAACTAAGAAAGCAGTTTCATTTCCAAGATAATCAGAAAGAACAAAATAATTACAAATTAACGTTTAAGTCAATGTGCAATATCTATATCCTGAAATGTACAAAACATTACCGAGATCAACTAAAGAATTTCTAAATAGTTAGAGAGCCATACCATGTTCAAGGATTAAAGACTCAAGTCTGGGAAATTCTCAAATTGATCTATATATTCTATATACTGAAATTCCAAGTGGCTATTTTGGTAGAAATTAATAAGCTGATTCTAACATTTATATTGAAATAAAAGACTTAGAATATTCAAAATAAATGTTATAAAGAAAAACAAAAGTTGCTGGACTTTCAGTACCTAATTTCAAAACTTATTGTAAAGTTACAGTAATTAATAGTGTGGTATTGGCATAAGAAAAGATGTGCAGATCGATGGAAGAAAATAGTGAGCAGTTAACCCTTGCTCATAGGTTAATTAATTTTGAACAAAGTTGGCCCAGGCAATTTAATGATGGAAGGGCAGGAAAAGTGGGAAAGGATATGAGGCTTTTCACTGGATATCCACATGAAAAAGAATGATGATGGACACCTTTCTCATACCACTCCCAAAAATTCACTCAAAATGGATCATAGACATAAATATAAGGGCTGAAACTATTAGAACTATGGGAGAAACTATAGGAGAAACTCACTCTACCTTGGATAAGGCCAAAATTTCTTAGATATGATACCAAAAGCACAGCTTGTAAAAAAAAAATGATAAATTGAACTTCAACAAAATCGCAAACTTTGCTCTCAAAATATGTCTTAATTGAAATGAAAAGATATAATGCAGACAGGGAAAAATATTTGCAAACCATGTATCTGACAAAAGACTTGCATTCAGAGTGTGTGTACATGTGTGTGTGTACGTGTGTGTTTGTGTGTGTGCATGTATGCTCAAACTCAAGACAAACTACGAAATGTGCAAAAGATTTGAATAGGCACTTCAGCAAAGAAATATTGAAAAGATATGCAACATCATTAATTATCAGGGAAATGCAACTTAAAATCATGATTATATACTACTACAAACCCATTTAAATAGCTATAATCTAAAAGATTAGCAATGCCAAATGTTGGCTAACATATGGAAAAACTGAAACCCTTGTATGTTGCTGTTGAAAATGTAAAATGGTACAATTATTTTGGAAACCAGTTGGGCAGCTTCTCAAAAGACTAACATAGACATTTCATATAAGCAAACAATTCCAATCCTAAATATTTACTTAAGAGAAATGAAGCGTGTATTCACACAAAGATTTGTGTGCAAATATTCATAGCAGCATTATTTATAATAGCCCCACATTAGAAACAATCCAAACATCCCTCAGCTCATGAATGGATAAACAAAATCTGATACAGCAATACAATGGAATACTATTCATCAATGAAAAGGAACAAACTGTTGATAAATGCAACATAAATGAACCTCAAAATATTATGCAAAGTGAAAGAAACCAGATACAAAAGACTACATCTTGTATGATTCCACTATATGACATTTCTTTAAAATGCATCTAATGAAAGACAAACAAGACAACAATATTTGCTTGTGGCTGGGATAGGAATGCAGATTGCCAACAGGCATGAGTGAACTTTTGGGGGTCATGGAAATATTTTAAAAGTGTATTGTGATGATTCCACAACTGCCTAAATTTACTAAAAATCATTGAACTGTGCACTACAGTAAATGAATTTTATGGTGTGTAAATGATACCTCAATAAGGCTGTTAAAAACATTTTATAAGAAAATAAAAATAATTTCCTTTCTTTGGGTTTAATGGTTTTCCAACAAGGGTAAAGGGCAGAGATGGGGAGGGAAAGAGAAGAGGACAGAAGGCAGCATATTAAAATCATCTAAGAAGCTTTTTTTTTTTTAACACACATAGACTTCCTCCTCCGTGGAATAAATATTAGAAGTTGAAGAATACCATCTATTATCAGGAGGCTGTACGTACTTTGCAAATGTTCCCCAAATGATTCTGATATGCATTGCCTCCCAAGCATATTACCCCTGAGAACCTCTTCTCTTGATAGATTGGGTCCTAGGAGTCTGTTTTCAATAAGCAAAGCAGTGATTCTTGTGACCAGGTAAGTTTAACAAGCACAGCCCATGTCTGCAACAGTAGGAACTTTCAGCACTGTGGCAGTGCAACGTGGGATAAATATTACTCTACGAAAAACTATTTTCTGACCTTTTATTCACATCTCCCCAGTCCCCTGTCAGTGCCAGACACTAGGGATAGCAAGTACCTTCCCAATCCTAATAAATTAAACCAACAATTAAGATTCCCAATTCCCCTGCCTTTGGTGGGGATTCTGGTCCATCAGAAGGGATCCCCCTCTTATATCAATAGCAAAGGGCTACTCATTTTGTTACAGTTAGGACCAAATCATACTCGTTCTACATATTAGTCATGAAATAACCTAAGTGGATGCCTAGATGTGGTCCTCTATGGCTGAAAAGTCCTTTAGCTCTTTCCAATTCAGTGATTATAAGACTATACCCCCCAACCTGAAGCACATTGTCATTCTTTACTCAGTGGGAGTTTTTCCATTCTTGGAAGAAGGTAGGAAATATGAAAAAAAAAAGCATTTGTAGTCACCTCCTATTGATTTATTTTACTGATTGTCAGGTTTACCCCTGAAAAAGATCAGATTGCTGATGTAAAGGCTAAAGCTTCCTACGGTTGTTAGAAGAAAGACAGGTTTGTAGATGGGAGAACATGGAGCTTCAAGAAAATTAAGGCAACCATCCATTGCAGGGCCACTGTCCACTTTTCGAATGTCAAAAACATTCCTAAATCTGCCTAGCAAATTGCTTGAAATTCCTAATATTTTCCAGCATTTGTGGACAAAACCTTCAGCATTTCTATGAAGACATATTCATCACGAGAACATGTTTCTTGAGAGAAGAAGGCGACTATGAGGACTTTAGTTGCCAAGTATATGGGGTAGGTTTGGCAGTGACATCAGCGATTGGAGCCATGCTCCTGGTGGGAGCCACATGCTGGCACAGAGGCTGCAGGAATTGAGTGGCTTGAAGTCTATGGGCTACCTGTCCATAGCAGGCCATTTTTAAAAAGGCCTACCCTGATTTCCACACCAGCTGCCCACATCCCCACTGCCCCCACCTCCTCAATGTCCCATCCTTGGGGGTCTCTCAGACATGACTGGTTACAGAACAGTTTCCCATACAGAAAAGAGCGTGATATTTCTTCAACACTTTACAGAGGCAAAGTAAAGCACGATAGGAAATGGAGCTGTTTTCTCGTGACTCTTCCACACATTTACTGAGCATCTACCATGTGTGAGGGAATGTTCTGGGTGCCAGATAATTGAAGACAAACATACCATAGACCCTGCCACCAGGAAGGGCACAGCCTCACTCAAACGGGAGGGAAATGGCAACACTTAGCCACCCACCATAATGAACTTTTAAGGATGCCAGTGAGTTCCAGCACAGATGGGCTCCCTTGCCCTGCCTTGGTCACCTGTGAATGTGAAGCATGGCCAGCCCCTCGAACTACAGTCTTGCTCTGGAATATGGACGCCTGTCCACAGATGGCTCCTTCTGAACAGCCAGTAGGGGTTCCTGTCACTTTTCAAACCATGAAATAATGTATGTCCTCTAACTGAAACAAGCAACTTCAACTAAAGGAGGTACATTAACAGTCTTTTTTCTCTCTCTCTTTTTTTTTGCCTGTCCAATAAATACGCAGAAGTTCAAGGTGAGAAATTTAATTAAATTTCATAACAACTCACTGGAATCATAGGCAAATGTACCAAGAGGGAACGAAAGAGGGGAGGGATGGGAAGGGAAAGGAAGGTAAGGGGAGGAGATGGGAAGAGAGAGAAAAGAAGGGGAGAGAGAAAAGGTAGGACTGCTAAAATATGCCAGGTTCAGGTGCACACAAAAAGCAAATGTTGTCTTTCTCTTCTTGATAGTTCCACAGAATCTCATTTTCCCAGGAATTCAAGTGAGTTGGCGAGGAAAGGAATAGGGCATGATGAAGAGAAACACTGGAAGCAGGTGCACCAGGAAGCTATTTTGAATTTCTGCAGTCATGAAAGGATCCTTGGATTATAGCCTTGAGAAAGAGACGGGCTATTCAACAGGAGGAAGTGGCTTTCACCATAAGCAAACCTATTACCAAAAACCCTACTTTCCACCTGTAGACCACTTGGCAGTTACTAAAGCACATGCGCACACATTCACCTTTGTTCTTCCCATAACTCTGTAAAAAGGGGCTGGGCAGGTATCCCATCCTCTTTCGTTCAGATGCAGAAACTGAGTTTCCTCCACATCTTCTGGCTGTTCCCACAGCAATTTTTCCACAGTGCTCAGCAGAGGTTCTTCCCTTCCCAGGAGTCTAAGAATCTCCCTAACAGTGAAATCCCAGCTGGCCAAAAATGTGAGTCAGGGTACAGAAATCTGAACCACATCCACATACTCAGGATCACACGGATTCTGTACATCAAAGCATGATTTTCCTCTCTGAGTCATGATTGGGATCTATGAGAACACGGGAGGTTTCATAGGCTGTGGACATTGTGTGAATTCCCTAGGGGACAGAAAGGTCTCTCACACACACTCAGCAAGGAGAGAGCCTGACGGCTGCTGTGTCCCAGGCCCAAGGCCTCAAAGACCCAGAGAACCAGCTGCTGTCCCACCATGGATGTCTATGAAATAGGGACACAAATACAGCTGCCAATGAAACTCCAGCAGCAGATGCTGCCCACACATGGCCTCCCCCAGGGCTGAGAGTGAGCCATCTCCAAGGAGAGGTTGGAGATGGAACAGCCACCATTGTCCATGCCTCACTGCTTAATACACAGTCTGCTTTTAGGGTCTCTAGACCGCTCTCAGGGTCTCTTCTTTATTCTGTCAGAGAAAAGCCAAGGGAGGTTTCTGCACTTCCCTCATTGGTCTCTCTGGAGGAAAGCAGAAGCTAATAACCCTGCCCAAGGAGGAAAATGGCTAGTGGCTGCGTAGAGTACCTCAACAGCAGTCCCAGCAGGTTTAAAAATAAATGATGAATGTGTTAGCAACATCAGTGCTTTGATAGAAACACACACAGCGTTCTTGACAGTCCTTGGCACTTCAGAGCTGTGGCTGGCTTTTCTTTAATTTTGAAATTACTTAGTGTCCCTGACAAATGAACAAACACAGGGGAAAGTCCATTTCCCCACAGTGCTCTCAAGTTCGTTCTTGGCATGGAAGCGCCATGTGGTCTGCAGCCTCTTCTTTCTAAATGGACAGTTCAAGCCTGCCTCTCATGGATTTACTTTGCCTAAGAATACAACAGTGTTGATTGCCAAAGTATCTTAAAGCAAATCCGCTATCTCATGTCATTTCACCCCGAGACTACACTATGAATCCTTAAAATTACGGACCTTTTCAAACATAACCACAATATTATTATCACACCTAACAAGGTTATAGAACAATTCCTGGGTGTTATCTAATAGATTATCAAATTTTGTAGTGCTCTTTAAAAAAAAAGTCTCTTTACAGTTCATCCATTCGAATCAGGTGCGGCCAGAGTCCACACATAGTATTTAGTTGTTTTATCCTTAAGTCTGTTTTCTTTTAGAGCAGTTCCATCTCCCTTTTTTTCCTGCCATTGGCTAATTGCAGAAACCAGTTGATTGTCCTTTAGAATGTCCCACATCTGGCCGGGCGCGGTGGCTCACGCCTGTAATCCCAGCACTTTGGGAGGCCAAGGTGGATGGAACACAAGGTCAAGAGATCAAGACTATCCTGGCCAATGTGGTGAAACCCCGTCTCTACTAAAAATACAAAAATTAGCTGGGCATGGTGGCGCATGCCTGTAGTCCCAGCTATTCGGAAGGCTGAGGCAGAAGAATCGCTTGAACCCAGGAGGCGGAGGTTGCAGACAGCCGAGATCGTGCCACTGCACTCCTCCAGCCTGGGTGACAGAGCAAGACTCCATCTCAAAAAAAAAAAAAAAAGAAAAAAGAAAAAAGAATGTCCCACATATGGATTTGTCTGTTGCTTTCTCCTTTAACCTTTTTCTCCTGTAAATTGGTCAACAGAGCTAAAGGCTTTATTAAAGTGTGTGTGTGTGTACACACACGCACATGTGTGCACATAGAGATTCAGGTATACACACAAACACACATATACTTGACTCTAATCAAACTTCTAGCTTGACATACAAACATATATATATATATATATATATATATATGCATGTTGATATATATATGGCTAAGGTGCAGACATCAGCTACATGTATATGTGTATATGTAAGAATACTGAATAGGTGGTGCTGTGTTCTTCCTGTTGCATCCCACAGGAGAAACCCCTAATGTCTGGTTCTTGCACATTTAGTGATGTTAACATTGGTCAGAGGGTTGCATGGTGATTCCCAGTCCCTCCACTACAGAGCATGCGGTCACACTCTCATGATGAAAGCAATCTAGCCAGATCTAAAACCACTCCAGGAGATGGAGGACAAGGCCTCTGAGCTAAGCTCCACACCTGATTTCTTACCCCACCCAGGTCACAGCTACTCACATGCACAGCAGCATGGCTGGCCAGTACCTCTTGACTCTCAGCAAGAATTAGATGTCTGGTAGTTATTGAGTTGGATGTTCAGGCTTAAAATATAAAAGTCTCCAATGAAAACATCCTGGGCAATATGAGGTACTGGGAATTTTGAGATTCTCAACCTGACCCTGATATTAATATGCTCTGTAATGCTAGGCAAGTCACCTAAACTTTTCTGAATCTCCAACTGTAAAATAAGGGAGTTGGTCTCAATCTCTTTCAGCTCTAAATTCCTGTAAGATATATTTTATTAATCCCTTATACATATATCCTTGCTGTGCCTAGATGCCTTAAAAATTTTTTTTAACAAAAACAAGGACTACTAAATAAAAAAAGAACTAGGAAAAGTGTTTATCCAAGCCAATCAGATTTTTATCACCTGGGAATTAGAAATTTGTACTTCTATGCAGTGACCTATATAATAGGCAGCTAAGCCACTTTAATGGAAATTCTCTAGAGAAAATGTCCATGAATGCTTGTTTCTTTGGTCCCTGAAATTTCTGAGTCTTAGTTGTTAAGTCTGTCTGTGGTTCCTTGAGATACCCCAGATATCCTTCCAAACCACCCAATCAATTCCACTCTTTTTTATTTCCTTTTCTTTTTTTTTTTTTGGCCTTAGGATAGCGAAGTTGGTATCTGTCATTTGATATAAAGGAAGCTTTACTAATACCCATCCTCCAAGCCTAACTCAGATCCTATACTCCTTGAAGACTGTTAGGCTGCATTGACCCTAGTGATGTCTCTTTGTCCATAGGTCCTGGTGGTAATTATCTGTGACATCTTTACATTTATACCTAGTCTTAGCTTAAACGTGCTTTCACACTTTTTTTTTTTTTTTTTTTTGAGATGGAGTCTCACTCTTTCATCCAGGCTGGAATGCAGTGGCACGATCTCGGCTCACTGCAACCTCTGCCTCCCAGGCTCAAGCAATTCTCCTGCCCCAGGCTCCAGAGTAGCTGGGATTACAGGCGCCCACCACCATACCCAGCTAATTTGTTTGTTTAGTAGAGATGGGACTTCAACACGTTAGCCAGGCTGGTCTCGAACTCCTGACCTCAAGTGATCTGCCTGCCTCGGCATCCCAAAGTACTGGGATCACAGGCATAAGCCACCATGCCCAGCCTGCTTTCACTTTTAAGTCCGCTAGATTGGTAGCAAAGGGACCCCGTACTATAGAGCCAATTGCTTGATACCATGAATGTGCATGTCACGTAACTGGCTCCCCTACTTCATCCAGTGCCCATTTGAGAAAATTAGATAGGACTAAAATTCTGTCTGAAAAGTACTGGTTTTCCTTGACCTCGTGATAATATCTCTACAGTTTACATAATTGACATCCAATTATTGAATTTGGTGGGCTTATTATACTTTTTATCCCTCAAAGAGCCTGGCACAAGTGTTAAGCACAGGTGATGTTCAGCAGATATGTGTTGATTCAACACCTGCCACTGCAGCTATCTCTGACCCTGTGTGGAGCAATGATTGGCAGAACAGACTGACACTTGGTTATCAGGCTGTTTCCATAGGCACAGAACAAAAACAAGAAGATAGTATCCTTGAAAAGCCAGTCATAGCCTCTTCTCTATACTTGCAGTCCTGCACATAAGGGACAACTTGGTGAGCAGAGTGTGAGCCGAACTCCAACTCCACTCAACCTTTGGCTGGTGTTATTGCTCAGTGCACAATCTGGACAACTGAACATGGTTTACTTGTGGTTCCCCTGGACTGGCACAGAAGTCAATCTCCCAAGGTAGCCTTCTGAAAGGAGCCTGTGTCCTCTGTTGTCTCTTTCCCATAGCACTCCCTAAACATCAAGCACAACAGCAGGCACTGAGTTCTGGGAACCAGGCTTAGTGTCCATGAATTTGCCTTCATTCGGGATGTGTGCCACAGTGGATCACTGGGGTTTCATCTGCCTCAGGACTTTGGCCTCTTGGCCACCACGGCTCTTCCTCAATTACGGCTATCCAATTTATCTCCAGTGTGTTTCAGATAAAGGACTAATCTTATTTTATTCCTTGCTAAAAATTTCTGTTCACAAATACAAACAAGAAACATGAGCTCTAACTATTTGGGACCATGGACAGATAAGGTTTGTGTGTAATGAGGCTGAACACTTAAAATCATGGGTGAAGGTCAGACCCCCCAACAAAATGAGAATCTGTTCAAAATGTTAAAGCAAAATATCAAATGTTCCCATAGAATAAACTTTATTTTTTTGATTACTTAAGAATAATCTTCTGAATTGCTTAAAATAGTTTAAAACCCTGAATTTGATTAAGCAACCAGGAACAGATGTTTTAGAGAGTGAAGTTTCTTAAAATCTGGATGGGCTATAAATATCGACATAAATGGAAAGTTATCTAGTCACATTTTTTAAATTGAATTTAAGATTTTTTGAAATGAGAGACTGTATTGGATTATTTTACCCAAACTTTTTTTTCTTATTTGTTTAATGTATTTCCACATGAAGCTCCATATCCACATATTCAATTTAATATCCACAGCAACTCAGGGAAGTGGGGGAAAGCCGGCAGTCACAGGCCTCACTCAGCTCCCATGCAAACTGAAGGGCCAATCTCACTCCCACCGTGCCCCCACCAACAATCCCAAGTCTGTTCCCAGGCGAAGGGCGAGATGGGCTTGAAAATTTGCCCAAGACCATCTTCCTCCCAGCTGTGAGAGAAAAGGGCTTTAGTTCTTCCCCCCTCCCCGCCTGTGAAGTCTGCATGCCCGATTTGCACTCTCCCGCAAGTTCTGGTCAGGAGGCTTCTCGCCGCTTTCAAATTGTTACAAAGTTCAGCTAGAGAATTCCTCCTCCCCGTGGAGTTTACCCCCTGCTCCTCTGCCCACCCTCCCCATGAATCCCTGTGGTGCCCAGCGGGAATGGGCTGCTTGAGGACCCAGGGAGCTCCCAGGGCCTTCCTGTTGCTTCCTCTACCTCTGTATTTCGCTCGGCTCACTAACTTGACTCAGTTCCAAGTAAAGTCGGAAACTTCTCCCGCAAACAGACCTTCAGCTTCTCCAGTGGAGGTGTGTGCTTGGGAGAGGAGGGTCTCCCTTTCCCACTTCCGCAGCTGGGGCACTCACAGTATTTGGGGTGTCTCTTCCGGTCCTGCAGGAGAAGTCCGCTTCCTTCAGAGGGTCTGTGGGGCCTCTTGGGATTGCTGGTTTGTTCTTGCAGTCGATCTGGAGCTAAAATTCCGGTCCTCATTACTTCAAGAGTGGAGAGTGGAGGTTGCGCAAGCAGGCAAGATGGTGCTGAGCCGGTGAGCGGAAAGCCAGCTGCATGCCTGGGAAGATTCTGGTTTTCTGCACCCAGCCTGCTGCAGCTTATTCTCATCCTGCTACACTGACTTCTCTCTGTATAGCTCTGCCACTCAATTAAGTAAATCAAATATGCACTGTCTGCTGGCAATGGAGACCGAGGTGCAGGTAGGCACGGCACTTCTTCCTACGCTCCATTTTCCTTGGAAACCGGCACTGTGGATGGCACATCAGTAGCAGAACCAGCAGCAGCTGCCTGTTAAGATGTGAATGTATCTCAGCAGCCCTTGATATGGCAGGCATCTGAGGTACACACCTGAGTATCTTCCTCTATCTGCAAGGGGCCAGCGGGGGAGATCGCTGACTCCAGAACTTAAGAGTAGGAAAGTGGTATGATCTCCAGCACTATGAATCACATCCTGAGCTGTCATCAGTGAAAAATAACTCCATCGGCAGCTTGAAATACTCCTCAAAGGACAGTTCCCTAATGATGTCCTTTTTCTCCCAGAGAACCCATTATTTACATATTTTAAAAATTAATTAAAAAGTGACCAAGTTTTTTTAAAAAAGACATTTGAAAAGTTTGTTCATTTCAAGCAGCTGGTCACAAGAACAGACTTACGTGTACAGCAAAGTCTGGATTTTATTTGGAAACTACATGCATAGCAGAGGAAAGCTGGAAATAATTTCTCTATAGTTCTGGCTGTAAAAGCATCACAGGACCCATGGGCTGAAAGATTCCAGTAAATCTAATCTGCAAGCATCTGCCCTGGCACCCAGTGTGCTTACAAATGGCACTGCCCTACCTGTAAAGAGACGGGAATCATTAGGCTGGCGAATTCAGTGATTGGAAATGTCTCAATATATTATAATACACCAACCCAGATAGAAATCCCTGTGGGAACAACAACAAAAAAGTGTTGCTCTCACCAAATGCCCCACGATGTAGTGCACTAAAAGACAAGAGACATCTGGAAAAGGTGGCAGAAATATTAAAAATTACCAAATTCCAGAATCCCTACGTCAAATGAAAAAAAATTTTAAATCGAAAAATAAATCTATTCACGTAGCACTGAAACTAGGAAATAGTCTCATTTCATACGAACAACCTTAAGAAATGTCATTCAGAAGCACAAAGGGACTCCAGCAACTACGCTCCTCAGAGGAGCGGTGGTGAATGGACAGACTCCTCAAGCTCTGGCTATACTCCCAATGTGGAGGAATGGGGGAGCTGGGATGTGGGAGCCATTCTTCGTCTCTGTCAGTAAGAGCCACCTCAGCCCAAATGTGGAGGGTTTTGAAAATTCGCCACTATACTCCCCACTGGTAGAAGTAAAAGCTGAAGGGAATGAAGGAACAAAGTGCCTGAGGCCGATTACTTCACACACAATTAAATGCTGGCCTAAGCTGAGAACAAAGCCCAGGCAAAAAAATACTTAGAAATTCCATTTGGAGAGCCCCACTCTGAAGAGTCCATTCTCTCTTCCATTGTGATAAATAGAATCTTTCTGGGCACATGAAGAAATGCTGGAATTTGCAACTTTTATTTTCTGCTGTCCATACAAGAGAAAAAACTCAAGCAAATGCCCAAAGATGTGTGTGCAACAATGTTGCCTGTGGCATTGTTTGTAACATCTAAGTCTCATCTACAGGGACACCAATAGGACAATAGATCATGGCACATACGTACTGTGGATATGCTGCAGAATGTGCCATGCAGGACTGCCACTGCCATCTTCTTCACTCTGGCACCCAGCATAAAGCGTGGCATACTCTATCCACCAACAATCACAGAGTTCATCACCAGTAGGTGCTGGAGGATGCATCAGTAAAGGAAAGGAACACACTACTGTGCAAACTTTAGAACAAATGCAACTTACATACTGACATGGAAGGATGCCAAGGTATATTGTTGCATGAAAAGCACCAAATTACAGAACACAGTATGACACCATTTTTATTGTTAGTGATTTCCTACACATTTATTTCTTCATACATTTCATTTTAAAATTATGTATATTAATATAGGTATGTAGCATTTATATACACCTGCAGTGCCTAAAAAGGTGTTGCTCACTGACATCCAGAACTTCTCTTCTTATAGGCAGATGGAGAGCTGAATTCCCTCATCCCTTGTGGTTGGATGGGGCCTCATGTCTAGTTTTTGCCAATGAGTTGTAAGAGTAAATGACACATGTCACTTCCAGGCCAGACCATTTACATACCAGCATGGGCCTCAGAGTTTCTTCCCTTTCCTAAGTTTATCTTGAAAGTATATATGTGCTGAGATCAAGCCTATGGCAACCTGGATCCTGTAGGGTCTATGAAGAGCAGGAAAAGAAATGGTGCAAGGAGCAACTTCAAAAGCCTCCCCAAAGCCAAACTTCACCCTCATCATCATTTGATTAAAAAACATAAAATTATGTGCTTTCAAATGAGAGCTGTGGACTCCCTAAGTCCAGCCTTTGGGAATGGAAGACTGGATGATGAACTCAGTGATTGTTGATGGATAGAGACTCCTTCAAGGAAGCTTGACTTCTCTCCAACTACTGGATCAAAGCATGTCCAAATTGAAAGGCAAAAACCTCACAGAAGGCAGGACTGAGAGGACTCTGAGAAACCTTCTTCTATAAAGGCATCTCTAAATCCAGGCATGAAAAAATAATATCCTGATAACAAGAATGTGAACAAGCAACTCTTTACATCACGTCAACAAATCTAGATGCCTAGCCTCCCACAGCCCCATGCCAGTTGCTAGCAAGAAGAATTTAGACTTCACTTTTACAGACCTTGAGTGGTCAAGGGTCTGTAATCTTCCTGGCCAAGCCTGTTGAAGAGGGCTCCTGCCCTATAAAATGGGAGGATATGCCATTGACACTGGAGACTAATTAAATGCTATCTCCTGGAGTTATAAGAAATAGGGAAGTTAGTAAACACTGGAATTAAAGAAGTTGTGAACAGAGTGTGTAACTGCTAGCACTTTGATAAATCTTTTCTCTAAAATAAAACTCTTATACAACCAATCTGAAACACAGGAGAAAGATTCTGGGATCCAGAGGGACACAGCGAGATTGACCCTGAGTTGACCATGGCTGAGCGCAGAAGCCAAAGTGAGCTGGCTTTTAATGTCAGAACTTAGTGATGAAGGTTCCCCACAGAGAAATTCAGTACATTCCCAACCACTCTAGACTATGTTCGCATTCCTTATAAAATATGATAAATAATACCTTACTTACTTGGGTTGTCGTAAGGATTAATGGAATTGTATTTGTAATTATTTCTAGCACAATAAATACTGATGTGTTTTCTTCTTCTTAAAAAAAAGTTACTATGAATATTTCTCAAGCTATTATGGAACCTGAATGAGTACTAAATAGAGAGCATAGCCCAACTCCACAAATATGCTACACAAACATATACTAGCTACACAAATACTTATGTTATTTAAATTGCAATTTTCTAATGTCTGTAGCAAAGTACTAACATAAAAAGTGAACATAAAGGCTTATAGCAAGTATAGACTTGAAGAGTTTATTTCATCCATCCTACTGCCTCTTGGTAGGTAAGACATCTGACAATCTCTTTCCTCAGCATCTTCAGTGATGAATTCAAAGAACTGACTATCCTTCTCGTTCCTAAATATGAAGGAAATTTCTGAATAAAACAAGTACATTTTAAGTTATATTTTGAATATAACTTAAGTATATTCAAAGAGCATCTACTAGATGCCTACTTACACTCTCATGACATTTTTTTTTTTTAATTTCCAAGGGTAGTATATTAGTCTTTTAGGGCTGCCATAATAAAATACCACAGACTGGGTGGCTTAAACAACAGAAATTTATTTTTCACATTTCTAGATGCTGGAAGTACAAGATCAAGGTGTCAGCAGGCTTGGTTTCTCCCAAGAACCCTCTCCTTGGTTAGCAGACAAGCCTTGTCTCTGTGTCCTCACATGGTCTTTTCTCATGTTCCTGATGTCTCTTCTTTGTATCTTTTTTTTTTTTTTTTTTTTTTTTGAGATGGAGTCTCACTGTGTCACCCAGGCTGGAATGCAATGGTGCAATCTCGGCTCACTGCAATCTCCGCCTCCCGGGTTTAAGTGATTCTCCCACCTCAGCCTCCCGAGTAGCTGGGACTACAGGCACCCACCATTATGCCTGGCTAATTTTTGTATTTTTGCAGAGACGGGGTTTCACCATGTTGGCCAGGCTGGTCTTGAACTCCTGACTTCAGGTGATCTGCCTGCTTCGTCCTCCCAAAGTGCTGGGATTACAGGCGTGAGCCACCACTCCTAGCGGCTTCTTATAAGAATTGTGGTTCTATTGGATTAAGAGCTCACTCTTATGATCTCTTTAATCTTAATTACCTCTTTAAAGGCTCTGTCTCCAAATATAGTCACATTGGGGGTTAGGACTTCAGCCTATGAATTCTGGGGGACAGTTCAGTCTATAACAGATAGCATCACCTTAGAAGGGCTCTGTGGCATCTGTGCAATCCCCTGCTTTCTTCCTGTGTGAGCTTCAATGGGAGACATGAAGAAAGACAATACACAACTTTTTCTACCTGGAGCTCACCATCTACTTGTGGACAAGACACTTTCCCCATGAACACAGGGCTCACAGGGCAAATATACAAGCAGTGGCTCAAGGCAGCGCATGAGGGATGAGGCAGTAAGTGCCGTGCACTTAAAGATGAGAACGACCAGTGTGGGCATGTGTGCTCCAGAAGCAGCACTAGAACCCTTGGGAAGTCAATGTCCTGTTCATTAACCACATCCCTCAATGTTGCTATATTGGTTGGTTTACTAATTAAGTGCAAACACAGAATGTTTACTACTTTAGCAAATAAAATCCCAACCTTCTTTCTACTCTCCCACAGGACCTAAATATACTCATCATCAGGCCTCACTGAGACTCATTCTACCTCACCCTTTCCCAAGGGGCTGCTCATACTTCTAGTCCCATCACACTCTCCCTCCTGTGTGTGCAAGAGTTGCTGGGCAGAGTCTTTCCCACTTCAGACTCTGCAACTGCCTGGAGTGCAAGTTCTTTCCATCCATTCATCAGGCAGCCTTCATTCCCAAACCATTTATTGACATGCTAACTGAACCCCTTATTTGGCTTTGAATCTCATCATCCATAAAATGGGCATTATACCCATTGGCTGGGTTGTCAAGGGAACTAAGTAGAAAACCATGTTGTAAACCCTCTAGTCCGATGCTGACACATTGTACTGTATGTGCTTAATTAATGTATTTCCCATCTCTTTCTTTCTTTGCTGCTCAAAATAGTTGAGTGAATATCTGAAAGCAGGATGGTAGAAGCTGGGCCAACAGCACTGAATCCAATCAAAGGCACAGGAAGGGGTCTCAGAGTGCCACATCAGGCTCACAGAGAGTGTCCCTCTTATATGTGACATACACAATCTTCTCCTCAATCCAGATAAGGGCAACTGAGACAAGGTTATTAAATGAAGGAGCAACAGAGACCAGTAGGCCAGAGTATTTTCTGGGTTAGTGGGGAAGGGTGACCAACATTCTTGGAAATGTTCCTGGGTCCGGGACTGTGGCCTCCTCTAAGGGCTCAGGCAACACAGGCTGTGCTAATCAGGCACTTAAGCCAAAGGGGATACCAATATGACACTGACTTTGATGACTTTAGCAAAATACAAACGCAGTTCTAACTTTCACTCATTCAGTAGACTTATATAGATACACACACTTCAATTTGGTGAATAGCTCAGTCAGTCTATAAATAACAAAATAATTGTGGAGATGTTAAGTTCAAGGCACCATACCAGTGTCGCAGGATTGCAGAAGGGAAAAGGTTGGAGTAGTAAGGGAGTATAACACACGTCCCTGCCCAAAGACCTTAGTCTAGTGAGACAGATGAAACAAAGCATATGACAAATAAAAATCAGGACCGGAAGACATGAGCTGAGGGGAACACTCAGAAAAGGAGTCACTGCGGATATGTGGGCTTTCCAAAGAGCTCAATACTACACAAACTTGGACATGATCCACAAGATTTTCTCACAGAACTATGAGTTTTGGCCGTTTCCCATAGCCTTCTACTATTTATTTCTACGACAATTCTCACAATTTGAAGGTTTTTCCTAGAAATAAACAACCTGAGTGGTTTGGCATTAATCAATTTTGGAGTTGTCAGATTTCTTAATCAATTCAAAAGTATTTTTTTTTTGAGCTCTAGTTTATACAAGCTTCACCAGACTAAGGATTGTAGAGGATACAATTAATTGGTAGCCTCAGTCTTCTCCTACAAGAAGCTTACATTCAATGGTGTGCTGGAGCCCCCATGTGCCTGCTTGTAAGGACCATTTGCTAAATATCCAGAAATTTTGTGAGCTGGTGTTAAACAGAGATGTGGTTGCTTGAATAACGGTATCTATGTCCTAATCCCTGGATCCTGTGCATGTTAACTTATATAACAACCAAAAAAAGGATTTTTCAGGTATAATTAAGCATCTTGAGATGGAAAGATTATCTAGGTGGGTCCTAAATGTAGTCACATGTATGCTTATGAGAGGAATGCAGAAGATTTGACACACACAGAAGAGGAGAAGGTGCTGGAACCATGGAGTCAGAAATTGAAGTGATGTAGCCACAAGCCAAGCAATGCCATGAACCACTAGAAGCTGGAAGAGGCAAGAAGCAAATTCCCCCATAGAGTCTCCAGAGGGAGTGCAGTCTTGCTAACCCCTTGATTTCAGCCCGTGAAACCGATTTTGGACTTCTGGCCTCTAGAACTAAGAGAATACATTTTTGTTGTTTTAAGGCACCAAGTTGGTGGTAATTTGTTACAGAGCTGTAGGAAACTGATACAGGTGGGTAGCCTGAAATCAGCCATGGTGGGAGTATTTACACCCCAGAAACTGGCAAATGCTACAAATCAGGGCTTTTAGTTTTAGAGACCTGGTTTGCTCACATCATAACTGAGTAAATCAGCCTTAAACAACTAGCAAATGTCACTTCATGGCATGACATGACAGGATGTGCTGTGATATGACATGATATAATGTGATGTGTCATTAGGAAACACACTCAACTTATAACCAGGTTCCTCATTCTGAATCTTTCCCAAACAGGTTCTGTCTGTTATTAGGCAGATCTCTTTTCTTCTCACTGTGGTTTGGTGTCCTTTCAGAAAAAACAAGAGCCTCAAAACAAACTCATTCATTATAGAAACATTTACTAAGCACTTACAGTGTAGCAGAAATGGTGCTGAAGGTACAAAGGTGAGGGAGTCCCAGTGCCAGTCACTGAAGAATGAATACTCATTGTGACATCAGACAGCGAAGCAACAAGAAAATGCCGTGAGGTTGAAGATTAAAGGTGACTGCTGGGGTGTTTCCCATCTTTGTGATTTCCACTCTTTGTGATCCCAGTGCCAAATCATTGACTTATTAAAGTGGAGCTTTCAGTGGAAGATTGCTATGGTCTGAATGTTTATGTCCCTCCAAAATGTATGTTAAAAACCTTATCACCAATGTAATGCTATTAGGAGGTAGGGCTTTGGGAAGGCGATCAGGCCATGAGAATGGAGCCCTCATGAATGAGATCAGTGCCTTATAAGAAAGGCCCCAGAGAGCTGCCTTCCCATTCTACCATGTAAGGTTACAGTGAGAAGGCACTATCTATGAATTGGGAAGTGGGCCTTCATCACCAGTCACTGAATCTGCTAGCATCTTGATCTTGGACTTTCCAGCCTCCAGTACTGTGAGAAATAAATTTCTGTTATTGATAAGCCACTCACATATAGTATTTTGTTATAGCAGCCCAAAAAGACTAAGAGAAGTTCTCCAACACTAATCAAACAGCATTATCTGAAAGGGGCTGTGTTGGAAAGTTGTTACTGTGTTGAACTCCAGCTCAAACAACTAAGCAAAGCTAAGCTGGGCCAAGTACAACATTGGATCCTAATCACAGGCAGGTAGCATTTGTCAAACAAGATGACACCACCCACAATGTCACAGTAGTGGAGGTGGTGCTCATCATCAAAGATGCCACTGCTCCACAGGATGGACCACCCACTGGTGCTATGGTAACAGCAACATGCAAACCACTGCTAGGATGGCCACCTGGTCCCTGCTCTCTGCATCTTCCCCATGACTCCCGTTAAATGCCCTCACTGGGTGCTCTGCTTAAAGTTTTAAGATTTCAGGCAACTTCCTCTTCCCAGGTGGCATCTAAAGTTAACATCCAGGGATAGCTAACAGAAAACCACCTAGCCTTCCCTTTTTAAGACACTACATCTCAGGGGCCCTACTCTGATCCCCAAGTAAATTCTTGGACATCCTTTCAAGCTACAAATGTTAGCAATAGCAGTCCTCTATGGGAGACGTAATACAGTTGCTATTATTAGGCAATTTGCACCGGGTAACAAGTTTACTCTTCCAGATGTGGGACCTATTTGCGGCAAAAGTCTGTTTATTCCTTCATGTAAGAAATGCTTACTGAGGAACTCTACATGCCAGACAATTAACTAGGTACTTGAGATCCAAACACAAGTGAAAAACAACCCCTGCCCTCAGAAGGAGACTTACCCATAATCAGCAAGTGTCACTGATATTATAAGATAAGGATGTCCAGGGAACAGCAAGGCACAAATGAGGTGGTAGACAGTCTCTCTAGAGGGCTAGGAAAAGACTCATACATGATAAGGTACATGGATCCAGGGAAGATGAAGGCAGTGTGGGATTGCTTTTGAATTTCTCCAAACTCGCCCATAAAAGCAGACAGACAAACTAAGATAACTAAACAAAAAAACCCACAGACAAAACTATTACAAACCCCAAAAGAAGTGTGGTGGGAACAAACATCTGATAGAATCAGACACATTACTGGTGACCGGACATAAGCCCTGTTAATGAGAAGCTTACATTTAGAGAGTCAATTAAGTACACGCTATACACAACCTAAAGTGGTAAATGCTACCTTGGTTATTCAACTTCACTGTTACATGCCTTGAAGTGTGGGGTGCACTGGCCTGAACCATTCTGGTTGTGTTTGATTCCTTAGGATGCCACCAACAAATAACATTGAGAAATACCCAGCTACTTTCATGTTCTCCAATGGCAGCAAAGTACAATGATCTCTATGATTCATGGGAGGTCAGATGAAGAGTGAGACAATTGTATTAGTCTGTTCTCGCACTGCTAATAAAGGCATACCCAAGACTGGGTAATTTATAGAGGAAAGAGGTTTAATTCTTCCAGTTCCACATGGCTGGGGAGGCCTCACAATCATGGCGAAAGGCAAAGGGGAAGCAAGACGCATCTTACACGGCAGCAGGCAAGAGGGTGTGTGCAGGGGAACTGCCCTTTTATAAAACCATCAAATCTCATGAGACTTATTCATTATCACAAGAACAGCATGGGAAAAACCTGCTCCCATGATTCAATTACCTCCTATGGGATCCCTCCCACGAAACATGGGATTATTACAATTCAAGGTGAGATTCGGGTGGGGACACAGAGCCAAACCATATCAACAATGTAGGGGAAGAAGACAAGAGCCTAGCTGTGCTGCCTATTGGCTGGACATCCTTTACCAAATGTCTTTAACTTCCCTAGGCCTTAATTTTCTCATTAAAAATGGAGACAGATATAACACACACCTCATGGGCTATTATAAGGACCGAATGGGATAATGTATGTGGGTGAGGAGAAGTCTTTGCAAACTAAAAACTGCTCCAAAATACATTATCTTCATTCACAGGCCACAGTAGATTAAGTTATTCATATATATTCCCTTCCTCTTCCCCCATCTTCATATATAGAGTTCCCTGCCCCTTGACTTTGGGCTCATCTATGTGACTTCTTTTGTTGGAAGGGATGTTAGCAAACCCATCGCAAACAAGCTATGATTGCACAGTGGTGCTCACCTTCTGCACCCCCATCACTGCCATGGGAAGAGCCTCCTGCCAACCTGGCCTCAGAAGGAACATACAGAGAGCAGACCTGAGCCCAACCCTGCATGAGGGGCCAAGCCCAGCTCTCTCACAGCTGGAAGGAGAGCCAGCCAGCCAACTCCCAACTGACATGCAGATGTGTGAGCAAGAATAAATGATGGCTGTTTAAAGCCACTGAGTTTTAGAGTGGCATTCCCCAACACGTGCTGAAAGGTACACAGCCCATCACTTCCCTCCTCAGCCTAAGAGGTCCTGGGAAATTGACAGCACTGTAGAAACCATTTTGATAAAATATTTGCAATGCAATTCACAAGTGAAAAGAATGATAGAGCCAAAAGGAAGAACTAGCCTAAGGCAGTGAGGTGGGTGAAGGGTGGCATCAGAATCATTCAGAAATTTCAAATTACATATACCTGATCCGCTCACCATCCCCATTCCATTCATTCCTATAGATATTTACCAGCCTAAGAGTAAGGAGGTGAAGAGATAGAACATTGTACTCCAAGAAATCATAGTAAGAAAACCCTGCACTACAGAATAAAAAAAAATGTGAAAGTCAATGGGGATCAGCACAGCAAAGATGAAGTACCCATTCATTCCCACTTTGCACCCCTGACAAACAAACAATGTCTGACTAGTACCAATGTACTCATGAGAGTGAGCATCATGAAGTCTGTAACATACTGGAAAATATTCCAGTCTACTCAGTGTGATATTATGTAAGCATCAGTTAATTTTAATTTAAATTCTAAGATTGATCAAGCTAACACTATGCTTTATACACAGCCCTGGGGTGGTTAGCTAGCATTACAACAAAAGGAGCCACCCTCCAGGAGAGGCTCCCCAAATACTTCCACTACCTGGGTCAACATCAACAATCCACAGCTTGCTAATTATTATATAACAAATTTTAAAAATTATTGGTGAAAGTAGGGTCTTGTTAATTAGCATAATGAATACTAGAAATTCAGTCTCATTAAAGAAATTAAAGATGTTGGAGATACATAAACTGCCATGGTAGTTGAGCCGTATTCTCCATTGCATGAACAAGGTATGAGACCCCAGCAAGGCTCAAGGTCTGTATAGGGCACCTGAGGCTTACTCCTTAATCAGATCCACATCCAGCAATTGATCACATTAGGAGGATCACTGACTGCACAGACTTGTAATGTGGCAGTGGCTGTGCTGAATCTGCAGACCATCCTAATGGAGTGAGGTCTCCTAAGGGGAGCGCGTGGAGGCTTTCATCAAGCTCACAGAATAGACCTATGCACTATTTTTGTGTCTACTTTGATAATGAATGTTTGTCTAATAAATGTATGTGTGACAGGAGAAAAGAGGTTATGATATGTATGCTGTGAAGGAAAAAAGGGCTGGGTGCAGTGGTTTATGCCTTAATCCCAGCACTTTGGGAGGTGAGGTGGGAGGATAGCTTGAGCCCAGGAGTTCGAGGTTACAGTGAGCTGTGATTGTGCCATTGCACTCCAGCCTGGGCAACAGAGTGAGATTTTGTCTCTGAAAAGAAAAGGGGGAAAAAAAAGCCACCTCTCATTTAAAAAAAAAAAAAGACTTTGTAAAGAACATAAATTGCAGAACACTTAAAAATAAAATTAAACTTTATTATGTTTAGAGTCTGCTGCTAAGTGGTAAATAAGTGTAAATATCTAAAATTAGATACTTTTTTACAATTTCAAGTAAGATGAATAAATATTTTAAAATTCATTATTTATTCTTCCATCTACTAGCTACAAATCTGTTGTGAATTTCAGCTTACTCATTAGTTATATAGGTCATATGTACCTTGAAGGAATGTTGTAAGCATTTAATGAAATGATGCAGAAGATCATGAAAATACAAAAAAATACTGCGTGTTTTCAATGTGTTAGTTCCTTCTCTCCCCTTACTCCCAATATACAGAAGTCACTGAAGAATCTAGAAATGCATCCAGTCCATACACAGAGATGTCATTAATGGAAGCACAGCCTCGAGGTTGGGAACACCATTCATCATGGCCAGCTAGCTCAGGGGCTTTTCAATACCAGTCTGTGGAATGGAATGGTGTTGGGCAGAAAGAAGTAACTTTTTAACTTTTTAACATTCTTACATGGAAAAGTAGAAACATCAGAACCTAATTTTAAACGATTCAATGAAATCCAAGTCAAGGAGTCTCGGCTTTGGTCCAGTGATGGAGCTGATGCTGACACTCCCCTTCTCCATGATTCCTGCCAAGGGTACATTACAAGGCTCTGTCTGAGCTTCTTGATATGCAAAAACATGTTACTGAGGCCACAACCTGGAAACTTTCACTTAGATTCTAGATCTTCTAAATGTGTTGGTTACTCTAGAATTTAGTGGGGAGGAGGGGAGTTTACATTTCTTTTAAGAAAACGAATACTGTCATGTTTCAGATTTCCAACGCATCCTATTTATCCTGTTCACTTTATCTTTGAAGTTTCTCCTGACGACGGCTGTCATCCATCCAGCTGCCATCATCCCCGTGCAGCCGCCACACAGTAACTGCTGACGCCAGGTGGCTCCTGCCCGCACTCTAACTCCTGCAGTCCACTTCCCACTTGACTGCCTCTACGATAGGTTAAAACTGCAGACCTACTCGTGTCATACCCCTGTTAAAACCCATTAATGGTTTTCCATGCTCTCAGAATAAATTCTGAATTCCTACACACAGCGTACAAGGCCCTTTCTCCTCTGGCCTCTCTGTGTGTCTCTAACCATTTTTCTCCTTTCTCTGTCTGTTTCAGCAATATTAGACTTTTATCTCCTCCAGGGTTCCACATTCCCTTCGGCCTTTGGACTTTTGTACTTGCTGCTTTTTGTTTCTCTCTGCCTGATATAGTCATTTTACAGATAAAAAAACTAAAGTTCAGAGAAAGGAAGTGACTCAGCCATGGACACTTCATCTGTTTCTTCATTAAGGAAACATCCAGATTTCTAAATACAGGAGAGGAATACAGTAGCATGGCTCCAGAATCAGACAGACTCAGCTTGAACTTTTAGCTTCATCATTTACTAGCTGCGAGATCTTAGTCAAATGACCCAACTCTTCTGTAATCCTTGTTTTCCTCATCTATAAAATAATGTTAGCGCCTATATCATTGGGTACCTGTGAGGATAAACTGAGATGATAGATGTAAAGTTCTTTATTTCAGAGCCTGGCACACAATAAGCATTAAATAAAAATCTGGTGGTGTTGACTTAATTATTGTTTTCATAATCATTGGTTGGCTTGATTGTTGACTTTTCAGATTTAAATTTAATGCAGTCATAAAAATGAAGGCATAATTAATTCACCCAGAAATATGGGACCACTTCAAGAATGGAGAGTAAATTACTTGTATCAGATGAAAGATCATTACATACATACCTGGGCAAGCGCAAATGAAACTTGTGTGGAATTCAAAGAGAACCATCACGAGTAATGGTTATTCAAAGTTAATAGGCAAAAAGAAGCAGGTGTGGAAGGAGAGTGCAGTTATCTGACAACGAGTTGGAGCTGGGATGCAGCTAGTAAGTGTGGGCCTCTCAGGAAATTTCACTATAGAAGAGGAAAGAAAGAGATGGGGCAAACTGTTTCTCTCAAGTGATTACAGCATATTGGAATGCGTGCAGGATGAAGTTAGCAGTAGAGGACACGGTGAAAATGAAGGACAGAAAGGTGGTAAGTGATTCTTCAAAGTTCTCAAGGAAGGAGAAACAACGGGATCAAAGGCTCAAGGGAAGGGAAAGCACGAGCCGCGTACAGAAAGAAGGACTTCTCTTCGGTGTAGTCAGAAGGAATTAGAGAAGTATGTGTCTTTACATACACTAGTGCAGTTTTCTGAAATGGCTGTGGGGAGCAGGGCCTGGGAAAAGCTATTTCCAGTTGCAGAGATGCCTTTGGTGTATGGAGTCTCTGTCAACAGTGGTTCTCAAACTTGGCTCAGCCTTGGACTCCCTGGGAAGCTTTTAAAAATTCTGATCTCCGTTATGCCCCATGCCAATTAAATCAGTATCTCTGTGGTGGAACACAGGCATCAGTAATTAAAACAAAACAAAAACAGGAGATTCTAATGTGTAGTCAAGTTTGAGAACCAGTTATCTAGAGGTATTATAGGAATGAATTGCATACGGTTAGAATAAAATTGTGTACAGTTAGAACCAAAAATAACTTCAGCAAATCTTTGGTTTTGTCTCTTTAAAATCAACACTACACCAGCAAATGCATAAAGGAAATCGAATAGAAGATATCAGAGTGCATTGCATATAAAAAGGGAAAGCATAATTTGTATAAGCATGTCTATTTACATACATTCATATGAAAGAACTGGGTACAGATATAAAATGTTTTTCTTATTAGGTCAGGGTCAAAAAAGCTTGGAAACCACTGATCTAGATAAACTCCTTTCACAGATGAAGAAACTGAGGCCCAAGGAGATTAAAAGTCTTCCTTAAAGTTACACAAACAAAAAGATAGCCAATTCCGGACTAGAATCTAGTTTCCGTGACTACTTTCAGGGTGCCCCTTGACCCTCTGTTTCCTGTGTGTTTTGGTTTCCTCTTCTCAGCACTATGATAAACTTCCTGAAGGCAAGGATTATGTCTTCAATTCTTTAGGGTTACCCACATTTATCCATTTCTTTGCTTTCCACATCCCGCTTCTCTCCTATGGATTCCATTCTTTTTCTTATTGAAGTAATTTTTCCGCAAAGCTCTCTTTTGTTCTTTGCTTGAAATTGTTTTTGTTTTGGTCTCACTTTGAATGATAGTTCACTTCATCAGGGATTCTCAAACTGTAATGAGCATTTAAAACACCAGGGATCCTGTTAAACTGCAGACCATGATGCAGTAGGTCTGGGATAGATTCTGCATTTCTTACTCACTTCCAGGTGATTCTGGTGCTGCCGGTCCTTGGACCACAGTTTGAGTAGCAAGAGTTTAGCAGATTCAGAATTCTACATTGACACTTACTTTCCACTCCTCCCATCCCGCCCCCAAATGCTTTGAAGATATTTTCTTGTCTTGTGGCTTCTATTATTGCTAATGAGAAATTTTATAACAGTCTAATATTTGTTTTTAAGAAACTTCTCAATCCCTCTGATTACTTTCAAAATTTTTATCTATCTTTGTTGTGTTCTAATTGTGTTGTGATGCACCTAGATTTATGTTTATTTATTCGACTTGGGATGACTTCTTCAATCTGAGGATTGAGCCTCTCATCACTTCTGAAAATTATCAGTCACTACTCCCTGCAATATGGCCTTATGGATCTTGCATTCCAGCAGGAGGAGACACACAATAAGCAAAAGACATAAATAAGTAGTGGTCACTTAAGAGGTAAGGGGTTCTAGGGCAAAAAGAAAAGGCTGCTGTGGGTGGGGATGGAGGTGCAATTTCAAATATGATAGTCAGGGTCAGGCTCACTGGGAATGTGACATTTTAGTAAAGACGTGGAGCATGCTGGAGAGACAGAGTTCCAGGCAGATGGGAGGCAGTACCAATTCTTTAGTAGAGACTGGGGGTGGGGGTGAAAGAGGAGAGAGGGAGAATCATACAGGGGCTTAGCACTGGAGTACCAAAGAAGTAAAAGGCATTTTAATCCTTAAGAAGTTTAACAGAAAAAAAAAAAAAAAAAACAGATTAGAAGCACTGAAAATATGATCCACTGGAAAATGCTGAATTACAGAGTCCTAAGAGTGCTCAGGGGAGAGGCAGGAGTGAAAGCACAAAAGTGGTCCTGCAATGCAAATACTCCTCCCTGAAAGCCCCTGGCCAAAACATAATGCATTTTACTGTCTAGAGAACGCTACTGGGTAAACAGAACACTCATCTGGTAGCAGAAAAAAATGCTAGAAAATAGGCCTGTAAAAATAAAAATCCAGTCATGAATTTAATGTCCTTTCAAGAGGATTTTTGAGATAGGTTCCTCTTGGATTGTATCCCTCTAAAAATCCCATGTTCACATAACCAAATGTGGGGCAAGTTTTAATCAGGCATAACAACTACGTTTCATTTTCTCTTCCACTTCCAGGATGATCAGAAGTAAATGTTCCAATTGCAGTAAATCCATGCAAAAAGCTTTTTTGGCTTATTACACCCCATACCCCCACATACGCTATTTATCTTTTTTGTTTGTACTATTGGTCCTATTCAATATGTGTCTTTTATTGTAAGCAATTTCAAACCTGATTAGAAGGGGAGTTGTGGAAAAGAGTACAAAAAAAGTGAAGTAATTTCTAGAAATCTAGACTTGATTCTCATGTGAATCCCTGGGATAGCTGAGAGCCCTAAGAGTTCTGTGAGTACCAGCAAAACAAGGGATATGACAGCATCATCCAGGAATTTTGCCCTAAAATTGAGGGGAAAAGTCTTTCTTCTGCCCCACTTCTTGTCTCAGGACTCAGAATAAAGCCAAGCCTATCTTTACTTGACTCAACAATGGCCCCTGGAGACAATGGGCCAGTTATCCCTTAGCCAGGCTCTGTCACATTCATGTCCATACACTCCTCAGCCATCTTGCTTCATATCTAAATTAAGTCCTGGTCACTCCCTGTGCTCCTTGTCCCACCTCTTTGCTGGGTTCTCTCCAGTGTATCATCTGCCTTTTAGTTACAGCTGTTTGATGTGGGGGATGACGTGTCATGGCAGGAAAAGTACTGGCCTTGGAGCCAACTCCTTGAAGACCAAAATATAAGTCTTGGCCCTGCTCGTGATCTTGGACTCTACGCACTAGTTTCTGCATCTGTTAAGCAACAACAACAAAAACATGGGGGCTAATAGTACGTACTGTGCCAACTCATAGAGTAATATCAAATTCAATAATGAAATGTAAGAGCACTTTGTCACCAGGATGATCAACACTAGAGCTTCCCAAACTTTAAATTGCTTCAAAATCCCCCAGGGAGTCTGTATAAAGGGGAAAAACAGATAATAAACATATTAAACTAGGAAAATATATATAGTTTTTTAGAAGGTAGTCAGTGCAAAGGTGAAATCCAAAGCATGGCAAGGGAGTGCAGGGGAAGGATGACTTCAATTAGGATGGTCACAGCAAGTCTCACTGAGAAGGTGATGTCTGAAAAGACTTAAAAGGGGTGATCGTCATGCCAATATCTGGGAGAAAAGTGGTCAGGAAGAGGAAATGGAACAAGAAGGGCAAAGGCCCTCTGGGGAGAGCATGCTTACTGTGTTCAAGGAACCAGAGGACCAGAATGGCTAGAGGAGAAAGGATTCAAGGAGACTAGAGAGAAAATGGGGCCATATCCTCCAGGGCCCCATACGTTGCAGTAAGGGCTTTTGACTTTTACTCTGAGTGAGATGGATGCCACTGGAGGAGGCCATAAAATGCCTTGTGTTTTGAGTGGACATCTGACTGTGGCACCAAGAATAGCCTGTAGGGAAATAAAGTAGAAGCTGAGAAACCAGGTAGGAGATGATGGCATTAACCCAGGTGAGCCAACAAGGTGTCCTGGACCAGGACGGTTCTGGTGGAGGAGGAGAGAGTGGTTGGAATCTACACCCGTGCTGAAGGCAGAGCCAGCCAGATTTACAGATGAACTTGGGAGGTGAGAGGAAGAGAGAGTGAAGTCAGGGATGACATAAACGATAGGGAAGCCACTAACTCAAAGATTTGTCAGCAGCTTGGTGTGGTGTCTCAAGCCTATAATCCCAGCACTTTGGGAGGCCAAGGCAGGTGGATTGCTTGAGCCCAGGAGTTTGAGACTAGCCTGGGCAATAAAGAAAGACCTCGTTTCTACAAATTAAAAAAACAAAAATAGCCAGTCTTGGTGATATGTGCCTGTGGTCCCAGCTACTTGGGAGGCTGAGATGGGAAAATCACTTGAGCCCAGGGAGTCAAGGCTGGAGTGAGCCATAGTGGTGCAACTGCACTCCAGCCTGGGTGACAGAGCAAGACTCCGTCTCAAAAATAAAGATCTGTGAGTAGTGATTGTGAGTAGGACAGATGTTGATGGGAGAATTAGAAGTTCAGTTTTAGGCAAGTTGGTTTCTTAAGCTTAAATGAATATATCGAAAAATGAACACATTTTAAGTGGGCAGCTCGTTGAATTTGTACACAGAGAACATACCAAGTTACTCACCTCAAGATCAAAAAGAGAATATTCTGTCCAACAGAGAAGCTTCCTTCACACACCTCTTGGTCATCACCTATCCCAAAGATAACTGTTATTCTGACATTCATAAACATAGATTAGTTTTGCCTGGCTTTGGACTTCATGTAAATAAATGGAATTACACAATATCAACTCTTGTGTTTGACTTTTTTCATTCAGTATGAACTGTGTGAGAATCATCCACATTGTTAAATATAACAATGGTTCATATATTTTCCATTGTTGTGCATTATTCTATTGTTTGAATACATCACAACTCATTTATCCATTCAATTATTGATGGATATTAGGCTTGTTTTCAATTTGGACTATTACTGATACTGCTGCCATGAGCTCTCTTGTACATACTTTTGTCGCACATATATGTGCATCTGTCCTGGGTATATATCCATATATACATATGTCTAATGCATCTTTTCATTTAGAACCTAGCCAAGATGCCATAAGGAAGCCCAGGCCGCCAGGAAGAAAGACTCATGTGAAGGAGAATCAAAGCAAAAGTCAAACACAAAAGAGTTTATTTTGTATAATTCTATTTACGTGAATTTCAAAAACAGAAAAAACTAATTCATATTGAATTCCTAAGTGATAGCCAGTACCAGCTTGCAGCCATGTGGGTGACTTGCTGGATCACGCAAAACAGATTCCCAGTGTTATGCACCAACTTAAAGTCCCACCAGCAATATTTAAAGAGTCTATATTGCTCTGCATCCTCCCCAATAGTTGTGCTGCCAGATTTGTTTGTCTGCTTTTTTCATTTTAGCCATCTGGATCGGTATGTAGTGTTATCTTGTAATTCTCTGATAACAACTTGTATTTCTCTGATAACACAAGGTGAGCACATTTTGATGCCTATTGGTAATTTGAATAACCTTTTTTTGCAAAGTACTTGTTCAAGTTGTCTGTGAATCTTTTAATTAATTGCTGTGGTTGATTAAAGATGGCTACAAGTTCTTTGCAGCCATTCCCCATACACTCTGAGTGGTGGAGTAGATTTCTCCACCCCGCTGAATCTGGGCTAAGCCATTGACTACTTTGATCAGTAGAATACAGTAGAAATTATGCACTGCCAGTTCTGAGCCTAACCTTGAAGAGGGCTGACAGCTTCTGTGTCCTCTCACTTAGAACCTAGCTACCATGCTACAAGGAAACTCAACAAATCATATGGGAATGCCCATATGGAAAATAATTAAGGTCTCAGGCTAACAGCTCCAGCTGGATTCCCAAGTGACAGCCAGCACCAATTTGTGGGCCATGTGAATGGCCAGTCTTGGAAGTGGATTCTCCAATCCCCGTCAAGCCACCTCATCTGATGCCATGTGGAGCAGAGACATGCTGTGCCCCCTGAGCTCTGCCCAAATTGCAAAACTAACAAATTGCTCAAATTACAAAAATAACATGGTTACTTTTTTAAAGCCACTAAGTTTTGAGGTGGTTTGTTATGAGGCAATAGGTAAGTAAAAATAGCTTTCTGTCTTTTCTTACTGATTTTCAGGAAATTGGGGCATATACTGAATATGAATCCTTTGTTGCAAGTATGTTCTTCAAATATTTTCTCCCAATCTGTGGCTTGCTATTTCCCTCCCTTAATGATGTCTTTAATTAGAATGAAATCCAATGTATCAATCTTTTCCTTTATCTTAGTGTTTTAATGAAGGAATTGCTCCTTGCTCCAATGTTATAAATATTTTCCCCTGTATTACATTCTAGAAATTGGAAGGTTTTCTTTTTTATACTAAAACCTGAAATTCATCTGGAACTGATTTTGCTTATGATATGAGATAGAGGTTGAGATTTACTTTTTTTCCATATAGATATCTAATTCACCATTGCAATTATTGAAAAGGCCATCCTTTTCCTGCATTGTAATATTACCTTGCTCCTAAATTAAGTGATTGCATGTGAGATCTGTTTCTGGACTTACTGTTCTGTTCAATTTGCATAAGTTAAATTTAAATTTTCTGTTAGCTCAATTAAGTGGAGCAGTCAATTAAGCAGTTAGATACATGAGTTTGAAATCCAAAGCAGATATTTAGGATGAAGATATAAATTTGGGAATCATATGTTTATTGGTTTTCTGAAAAGCCAATCTCAATGGAACTGGATGAAATCACCCAGGGAATATAAGTGTAGATGAGTAGAGGGGAAGCCCAGGCACTGAATCCTAGGATCCTTCAACATTAAGAGGCTGGGAAAAAGAAAGAACTGGAAAAATGGAGAGGCAAGTGTACAACATGCACACTAGAAAAAGTTCTTCACGGAATAACTTCACGTCAACTGCGTCAGTGACAATGATAAGTCAACTCAGGACTGATAATTTACTGTTGGCTTTATCAATGTGGGGACTACTGTGACCTCGACCAGAGGAACTGACAAGACACTCCTTGAAAGGAGGAGTGATGGAGACAAATTCTCGAATCGTAGAGTTTAGGAAAGAATAGGAAAAGGAGTAATGAGAGACAGTGATTTTGCTGCAAATACTGTCAGTAGTTTTGTTACAGATGTGGAGCAGAGTTGCCAACTCAGGTGCTGGGCTTGTCAAGGAGGGTTGTTGTTGTTATTGTTGTTAAATATGGAAGAAATAACAGCAAGATGGTGCAATGAAGGGGAAATTAACAATGCAGGAAAAATAATTTGCTATTACACCTCAGCACTGATTACTTTTGCAGGCTAGCATCTCTTCCCTTGCACCCTCTGGGTCTTGGAGACTGGTGCACAGGTCAGGGAAGTTGTTACAAACTGAATGTTTCTGTTCCCATTAAAGTCATAGATTGAAGCCCCAATCCCAGTGTGATGGTATGTGGAGGCCGGGCCTTTGGGAGGTAATTATTAACAGGTTTAGATGAGGCACTGTGAGTAGAACCCTTATGCTGAATTAGTGCCATTATAAGATGAAGAGACAGCAGAGTTTCCTCCCTCTGCCGTGTGAAGATGCAGCAAGAAGTCAGCCAGTGCCTGCAAGCCAGAAAGAGGGCCCTTGCCCTGAACCTGACCATCCTGGTGCCCTGATCTCAGACTTCTAGCCTTCAGAACTTTGAGAAAGGAATATCTGTTTTTTAAGTCACCTACTCCACAGTGTTCTATTATAGAAGCCTCAGCTAAAAAAAGAAGATTTTAGAGGATTATGGGGAACAGACTTAGCTAGGACATCAACGTTAAAGATGTTGCACAATGAGCAAGGCAGATATCCTGGGGTCCTGGCAAATGAAGGAGAGAGGAGCGCATAGTCCTGAAAGCAGGAAAGGCAAGTTTTACCCAGATCGCAAAGGTATCCAGGACCAGTCCTAATTCCATCTCCTCTAACTATCCAGGAAGGATTCCTCTAAAGTTCTGATGATATTAATGGAGACCCTCTTTCTTCTCTTTCCTTTCACAGCTGGTGTGGACCAGCATCCATCAGTTCACATACCAAGAAAATGTCCAGATGGATGTCCTGTGCTCTCTCATGGGTCCTCCTGGTCTCCGTCTGCAAATTCATTGCCAATTTGCCATCCTTCAAACAAAGAGTAGTGTGATTCTATGGAAAGATGATGAGCACCCAGGTCTGGTCCTGCCATAGTGACTAGGAGCAAGTCAGTGGGCCTCCCTCAGTTTCAGTATCCTTGGGTGAAAAATGCGCACCGCCTGTCAGATCTTTTTCTGTCTTCTGATTATATTTTCCTCACCTTCAGGATTTTTTTGTATTATAAATGAAACAGTTTATAATTGTGTAAATTTGTGGGTATAAAATAATGTTATGATTTATGAATACAATGTGGAATAATTAAATCAAGCCAGTGAACACATCCATCATCTCAAATGCAGTACCTAACAGTTTTTGTGATAATATTTTAAATGTACTGTCTTAGAAATTTTGAAATGTACAATACTCTGTTATTAACTGTATCTACCATGGTATGCAATATAATTCAAAACAAGAAAAAATATATATTCCTCCTGTCTGAGATTTTGTACCTTTTGACCATCATCTCCCCCTTCCCTTCCCTTCACCCGCTAGCCTCTGTATCCCCAGTCTTCCCTTCACCCCCATTCTACTCTCTGCTTCTATGAGGATTATAACCTCTATTGATTCCATTAACATTTATCTAACATATCCAATCAAGAATTACTACTTAACAGTTATGCACTTAGTGCTGTGCTATGTGTTGAGGTTACAAAAAGTGAAGTATAGGCTAGTGGGAGAAAGCCAATGAGAATGAAAAGAATCACAATCCAATGGAAATGACAGGTGAGGAAAGCACAGGGGTGTCTGGGGGTACATCAACTGAGGATGAGAAGCTGAAGAGCAATTTTGTTCTAAGAGTGAGTAGGATTGTTCTGAATCAGATTTTAACTTAGTAGCCTATTTCTTCATCTTTGCCTCAGATACCTACAACTCTAGCTCTTTATATATTGGGTCTCTGTTGATACTGAAACATTTCCAAACAAGTTTCCAAGCAACATAAACTATTGTTTCCCTCAGTAAGTGTGTAGTTTACGGTGCTTCCTCTCCAGGGTGCAGGGGTCAAGAATGAAAAACAAACAGCCTCTCAGTCTATGAGCTGATCACTCAAGCTGTATCCTTAAAAAATATTAATCAGACTTCTACACAAAACAGCTGCTTGGAGGACAAAAGGAAGGTTCAATTCTGCCATTTTGGAAAGATAAGTCACACAGCAAGGTCAAAGCATGTGGTACAATGTTGGATAAACAAGTAAGAAACTCCAATCTTGAAACCTACAGGTAGTAAGTAGTCTATGTTTTACAAGAGACATTAACTTGAACTTTAGTGGAAACTGCCTTGCACTAGAATTAGAAGAATCAGGTTTGGTTATCAATTCATTCATACCTGCAATTTATCATTTAGTCAGTCAAGAAATATTTATGATTCCACAGAATGGAATTCTCCTCACCCTCTTCATTCTTCCCTCTCTAAACCCTGAATACTCAAGGGTCTCAAGTTCCTGCCTTTTCCATTAAACATCCTAATAGGAGTTCTTTATATTGTTATTATGGAAAATACCAAACATTACAAAAATAGAATGGTATAATGAACCTCCATGTACTCCTCACCCATTTTCAGCAATGATCAATTCTTGGACAATCTCATTTAATCTATACCCACCCACTTCCCCCAAACCACATCCTGGATTATTTTGTGGCAAATTCCAGACAGCAGATAATGTCATCAGAAAATATTTGAGTATGTATCTCCAAAAACACAGATTCTCTTTTAAAAAAAAATACAACTACAATGCTCTTTTCACGCCTAAAGAAATTAGCCATAATTCTTTAATTTATCAAATAGTCAGTCAGTATTCAGATGTCCCTGATCATCTCATTTTTTAAAATATGTGACTTTTTCTCCACCTTTCTCTTTTCCATTTAACATTATATCATGTAAATCTTTCCATAGTAGAATATAGAGATACTTAAAAGATCCTTTTCATATAAATAGAGCATTGAGGTTTTATCATGTGAAAAGAGAGCAAGGTATGGATTTATTTGTCTTTTTAAAAATAAATGTTACTGTGTACATTTGAGGTTTACAACATAGGATATATGTAGACAGCAAAATAAATCTGTGGTGAAGCAGTTTAACATATCTATCATCTCACATAGTTACTTTGTTGTGACAAGAGCAGGTAAAATCTACTTATTTTCTACAACAAAAATCCCTAATATTATATAATTTTATTAATTTTAGTACTCATGTTACATTAGATCTCTAAACTATTTTATATATATCTTATATATTTGCTGTTTTCATCCTTTGACCTACAGGTCCATATTTCCTCTCCCCCATCCCCCTGATGACCACTGTTTCATTCTCTGGGTATACAAGCTCTTTCTTAAAAATATGCCACATATAAGTGACATCATGCAATTATTTTTCTTTCTGTGTCTAGCTTAACTTAGCATAATGTCCTAATGGCAGGATCTCCTTCTTTTTTAAGACTGAATTGTATTCCATATATACACATTTCCTTTATCCATTTGTCTGTTTATAGATACTTAAGTTTTTTCCATATTGGCTATTGTGAGTAATGCTGTAATTCACATGAGTGTAGATCTATGTATGAGGTGGTGATTTCCTCTCTTTGGGGTATACTCAGAGGAGGGATTGCTGGGTCACATGTTAGTTCTATTTTTAATTTCTTTAGGAATCTCCATATTGTTTTCCATTGTTTTCCATAATGGCTGTACCAATCTACATTTCCACCAATGGTGTACTAGGGTACCCTTTGCTCCACACCCTCACCAACGTTGGTTATCTCTTGTCTTTTTGGTAATAGCCAAACTTACCAGTGTGAGGTGATATCTCATAGTGATTTTAATTTGCATTTCCTTGATGATTAGTGATGTTCAGTACTTTTTCATATAACTGTTAGTTATTTGTATGTCTTCTATTAAGAAATATCTATTCAAGTCCTTTTCTTATTTTTTAATCAAATTATTTTGTTTTCTGCTATTGAGTTGTAAGAATTTTTAAATAAATTTTAGATATTAACCTCTTATCAGTTATATAGTTTACAAATTTTTTTCCCAGTATGTAGGTTGCCTTTTCATTTTGTTGATTGTTTCCTTTGCTGTGCAAAGCTTTGTACTTTGATGTGGTCCTATTTATTTATTTTTGCTTTTGTAGCCTGAGCTTTTGGTGTGATATCCAAAAAAAGTCATTGCCAAGGCCAATGTTCAAGGAGCATTTTCCTTATGTTATCTTCCATGAGTTTTATGGTTTTAAGTTTTACATTTAGATCTTTTAACCATTTGAATTTTTTGTATGATGTAAAATCAAATTTCATTATTTTGTCAGTGGAAATCTAGTTTTCTCAGCATCATTTATTTAAGAGACTATTCTTTTTTCATTGTGTCCTCTTGATGCCCTTGTTAAAAATTAGTTGGTTAGGATTTATTTCTAGGCACTCTGATTTGTTCCATTGGTCTATGTTTCTGTTTTTATGCCAGTATCATACTGTTTTGATTACTGTAGCTTTGTACTATAATTTTAAATTTCGACATGTGATGCCTCCAACTTTGTTTATCTTTCTCGGTTTTGCTTTAGCTATTTGCAGTTTGTTTTTGTTTTTGTTTTTGTTTTTTGCATGGTTCTATACAAATTTTAGGATTCTTTTTCTAGTTCTGTGAAGAACACCATTGAAATTTTCATAGGAATTGTGTTAAGTCTGTGTATTACTTTGGGAAGCATGGACATTATAAACGATCCACTCAGAAGAATCTGAGATACCCAAACACTTCCTGTAGTAAGGACTAAGGAGCCATCTCATCTGGGGGCCATCAGTGATGGACTTCCTACCTCAACCTAGATGAGAAGGACAAAGAGGCAGTAAAAGGAAAGAGGCAGGAGACCAAGGAAAGAAGCAGCTCACAGTACCCATGGGGAGCTAAAAGTTGGCCATCTCGGAAGGGAAAAGGAATATTCTCCATCCTCTTGCTGCCATTTTGTATTTGTGATTATCTGGTAACAATTGGTTTCTTTTCTGCTGTTGAAGGACACATGCAAGCCCTTCTAGGTATTGTTGGGCATGGTGAGTGGCTGACATTTATTTAGGAGTCTCTGGAACTGGCTAACTGTGGCCTTGGAAAAATCACTTTATTTCTCCAGGTTTCAGCTGTGCCACCTGTAAATAGGGACTGGGTTATATAATTTCAAATGTTCCTTCAAATTCTAGCACTGTTTAGATGTTTTCAATCAAAAATTGAAATCACAGAATTATTTGGGAGCAATCAAAGTAAAATACTAGGATTTTGCTCTTTGCAGGGGGAATTTTATCTTTGAAATGAAGAGCAACAGATTTAAATTAAACATAAAGCAAACTGCCAACAATAATCAAGTTGTTATCATGTTGGAATATGTTAAAAGCACCACCTGCATTATTTGCTTTTAAGTATGCTTTTGCATTTCCTATCCTGGACCTCTTAGAAGAACTTTATACAGATCTTTTAACATATGTTTATTAGACTATGAGTGGCATTTGCACAACATCTAAAGACAACTGATAAACAGTTTATTGGTAGAGGAGATAATAAACTGTTCTGTAGCCAGTAGAACTGAAGTCGGTTTTGACTGAGAGAAGAAATTTCTGTTTGATTATGGAGTTGGGTTTTTTAATTACTAAACTATATATTGCTATAGCTTAATATATAAAAAAAAATTTGGAAAATATAGATCAGGAGAATAATCTCATGCGATCCTATTCACAATAACAAAGACATAGACAACCTAAATGCCCATCAATGATAGACTAGATAAGAAAATGTGGTGCATATGCACCATAGAATATTATGCAGCATGAAAAAGAACAAGATCATGTCCTTTGCAAGGACATGGATGGAGCTGGAGGCTGTTATCCTTAGCAAAGTAATGCATGAACAGAAAACCAAATACGGCATGTTCTCACCTATGAGTGGGAGCTAAATGATGAAAACACATGGACACATAGAGGAAAACAACATACACTGCGGCCTTTCAGAGGGTGGAGTGTGAGAGGAGGGAGAGGATCAGGAAAAATAACTAATGGGTACTACCCTTAATACCTGGGTCGTGAAATAATTTGTACAACAAACCTTCATGACACAAGTCTACCTGTGTAACAAACCTGCACTTGTACCACAGAACCTAAAAGTTAAAATAATAACAATCATCATCATCATCTCACATGATCATAACACCAGTAATGACCATTAATGACATTCTTATAGTTTTACTACATTTATATCTATAATCATTATAATGTAAAATTTTGAGTCATATCATGTATTGCTTTTCATATTTAGCAATCTTATGAATTCCTTTATTTACTTTCAAATAATCTTCCCAAGTACTGGGAGTGACTGCATAATTTTCCACTGTATGAAGATACGCCAATTGTTGGGCATTTCTCTATTTTTTGGCATTTAGTTTGTTTCCAATTTATGTATTTCGTTATTATAGCCAATACTGTTGTAATCATCCCAGTCACTGATTTATAGTGGATATACTGGAAATAAAATCCTAGAAATGAAATTATAATGTTTTAGGTCATACAAATTTTTATTTTGATCTGCATTAAGAAATTGCCCTCTGAACACTCTTGTCACGATCTTTTCCAACCAGCAGTACGTGACTGAGGCATCTCCCCACTCTCTAAGTACTCGTTGTTAGCTTTAACATAATTGAAATATATAAGGCAACACATTTTACTTACAATTTTAAATTTAAAAAAATCATTCCTGTTGCTTAGCTACTCCAAGTCACATTTTTATCAAATACATGAAGCTACTTCCCTTCTCTAGCTGTGAACTTGCTATACAGATGTTAATTACCCAACATCACCCTTTCAATCCTCTTAATGAAAGGTTTTCAGTATAATAATGTTTCTCTGCCAACCAAGTCACTGATTACTACATTCCAGCTCTTCATTTAGAACTGATGAATTTTAGATTTCCTGAAACTGTCTACCTTCTGTCTAGACTAAAATAGTAAAACTTACTCTTCCACGTGTTTAATCAAGATTTAGGCATCTTCAAGTCACATTCTGTTTTGTTTTTACAAATGTCCTCTATAATATTGTTTATGAAAAATAACTACTATATTTTTCCCTCACTCCTGGTCTCCTCTCTATCCTTGGAATCTACAACTTATCACCATGGAATATTCCATGTTCCACAATTGAGAGATCCTATTTCTCCCTTCCATGCTGGGGAAATGCCTTAAATCCTGATTTCTTTTATTTTAATGCCTTGAAAATGAAAAGCCACATGATGCTCCATTTGGTCTCTAACACTGAGTAGAAAATTCACTTCTGAAAGCTCTCTAAGTGGCCAACCTCACCCTGGGGACGTATAATTGCCCACTTGGACACAGAGCATGCAAGCACAGCCCTGGGAGGAAGACTTTAGTTCTGGCTTTAGTTCTGTGATCTCATTCACTTTTTATTGGGCCTCAGTTTCCTCATCTGCAAATGAGGAAATTGGGTTATATTTTCTATAAGACCTCTTTAATCTCCATGGTGTTCTCCAAAAGTTCCTTAATTACCAATAAAAAGTGAACTTATAGACATCAAGTGTTTTTCAACTTATCACCTGCAAATGGCTGGTGGGTTGCAGCAAAATTTAAAAGAATCCTCAAATCCATGTGCACATATATATTTTCTTGGTCCACAAATTAAAAGATACTATGATTATTACTATTATCATGCAGGAGATCTGCAAAATTAATTGGTATTTAAAAGGAGTACTCTTCTTACTAAAAAATTTAAATAAAAAATAAAATCATGATTCTAAAGAAAAATAAAAAACATCATTGCACAGCTCAAGAAAAATATAGGCCGGGAATGGTGGCTCACGCCTGTAATCCCAGCACTTTGGGGGGCCAAGGTGGGAGGATTGCTTGAGGCCAGGAGTTCAAGATCAGCCTGGCAACTTGGCAAGACTCCAACTCTACAAATAGAAGAATTAAAAAATTAGCCAGATGTGATGGTGCACACCATAGTCCCAGCTACTTGGGAGGCTGAGGTGGGAGGATCCTTGGAGCCCGGCAGCTTGAGGCTGCAGTGAGCTATGATCACACCACTTCACTCCAACCTGGGTGACAGAGGAAGACCCCATTTCTAAAAAAAAAAAAAAAAGAAAGAAAAAGAAAAGAAATACAAAAAATACAAAGCCCTCCTTTGGACTGCCCATAATATTGACTGCATTATCTATTCTGATACTTAATTATACACAACTGAGAGCTTTTCTCCCTGGGTGGCAAGCTCAATTGCCTTCAGGGCCAAACTGGTAACATGAATGAGTGAAGCACACTGGCTGTTATTCTTTCAAAATTGGCACATGCTTTATACTTAGAAGCAGGAATGATCTTCACTTTCACAACGAATTATGCCTTCTCCCGTCTTTGTCACACATTTAACACCCTAGGCATATCTTTTGTTATCCTCTCTTTTTTATGTAGTTATTCACAAGAGAAACAACATCCTTCAACCACTAGCAAACAAGGTACAAATATAATGATCAATGGTGACTACCACATGTTGGTCTTAGTGTCAGAAAAAAAGAGAGGTAGTGGTGGGAGCTACAGTGAGTAGACGGGACTCACCCTGTAGGGAGGGGAGACTCAGCCCCCAGTGACTCTGGCCCAGCTGGCATAAAAGCCTATTGCTATAACATTTTCTGCCTTTTTTTTTTTTAAGAAGAAGAAACTTCACATGTTTAGGTGGAAACTCCTGATATTTACCTGTCAGTTTTGGCTTATTTTCAATATTATGGAATCCAAATAAAATATGTTGTATGTCTTCGTTAATCCGTTTCAGAATGACCCTTGAGATTCCTTCAATGAGAAAAAATTATCTGATTGAGACAGGGGTCTCGTTTTTAGAATAAAAAATAGGGTGAATTGGGGCAGAGAAGGAAGAGTGTGAAGAAAAATAATTGATGAATATGTTGGTTAATTGGACTGTGGTGATCATTATGCTATGCATACATGTATCAAATCATGTTATACACCTTGAATATATACAATTTTTACTGGTCAGTTATATACCCCAATAAAGCTTGTTGAAAAAGAAAAAAGTTTTAAATTGTTAAAGAGTCCCAAGCATATCATGGTCATGAGCCAACTCACTCACTGAGGAAAACCTCTTTCTTCTCAATAATAATAGATCATAACAAGCACTAAGATATCCTAAGAACTAAATCCCAGATACTGGGCTAGGGCTTTATATGGTTAATTTTACTTCACCTCAAGGTCACACAGCTTGAGCCTGACCCAGGACTCAACCCTAGACTTCTATGCTACCTTCCCGTGAAGCCACCTGCCAGAAGACGGGAACAGAAAGGGGGGACTTACGGGTTTGCAGCAGCCCCAGTGAAGAGCTGTGGGCCTCGAATGCCCTTGAAGGTAGGTTCCCTTCTATATTAAAAGATCATTTGGTCAGTTCATTTTTAGAAGAGGACATTGCCCCCAGGTTTACATTTTTGTAGGCTTCAATGGAGCAAGTTAGTCCATATAAAAATAAAAAACAAATGAGCAATCATAACATAATCATACCTAAAGAATAGATTCCTCCACTCTAAGTCACTGTCTTCATCCAGACCAGGAGTGTAAAGCAAAAAAGAGAGGGCTGTGCTGGTTGCCTGAGAAGAGGAGCCTGTCAGCTGTGCTAATGAGTGGCTGTCTAGGGGCAGGCCATCAGTTCAGGAGTACAAGTGAGGAAGAAAGGCTCGTGACAGTGTTGCAGCAGAGACTGCCTCAGTGTTCACCTTCCCATTTCCTCTTTCTGGTCACACAAGAAAACTTCCCAGCATCCCTTGCTCTGTAAAGTTACACAGTTAAGGCTAGGATGATACTTCCCAATCTGGCCCCTAAAATCTCCTAGAAGACTCTCAGCTCATACTTTGATAGCTTTTCAGCAGAATGGGAAGTGAGGGACTCTAACACTGCAAAAGCCACATGATGAAGGAGTTTGGATTCCTGAGCTACCACTGGAAGGAGAGTTATTTCTTGGAGGGGAGCCATCCCACTAGAGATGCTGACCCAGACTGTGCTATCGTGTGAATGAGAAATAAAATTTGATATTAGCCACTAAGATTTGGCAGCTGTGTGTTAAAAGTAGCTAGCAAGCACATCCTAATAGAGTTCCCGGGAAAACTACAGCGGTTTCACCCATGCTTATGCAAAGATCCAGTTTGCAAAATCATTTCTGCTCTGCAAAGAGCTTACTATTAAGAAGGTCTCTTTGTGGAGGTGGCTCCACAAAGCATGCTGAAAATCCCTTATATGTATGAAGAGTCAAGTCATCTACTGAAATTCCAGACAAATCTTCCTGACCATATCCAAGAACACAGAGTACGTGCAAGTTTCCAGGATTCTGGTGATATCAATGAATGTGCTGTGGGCTCAAACTTTTTAGAGAGGAAAACTGAGCTGGATATATCATGTCATTAGATGAGAGATTTAGTCAGTGGCCAAAGCTGGATGAGTGTAAGTAAGAGCTGCATGAATGTTGCAGAAACTCTGGCAAAGAGGAAAATTTGTACATTCAGGATTTGTGTTGCAGATGCTACACAAACCCAAAAGGAACTAAAGGGCAAAAAGCATATGAGTCTCTTAACTAATTGCATAAAACTATTTGATCAAGGTAGTGCTTTAAAATTTTATGTGATCAGAATTGTTTTTGTTTTTGCAAAGAAAGATCAGGTAATTTCCAGTGATAATTCTAAAATGTATGGTTTTTGCTTTGCAAATCGATAGAGGAAGAAGCAATAATCCATTATACAAAAACTCTCTGGAAGTGGGAGAGAAAGTAAGACCAAACGGCAAGCAATTCTTTCCAAATGAGTTTTGGTTCAACTCCTCCGTGGAGACCTTGCTAGCAGTATTCTTGTCATGTGGTTCCTCAGTTATGTAACCAGAAGAGAGTATCTCCAAACTAGAATCAAGTTTGGTCTAGATGCTGTGGCTGCACCAGCTCACCTCTGCAAATTGAATTTAGAAAACTCCACACTGGAACAGATCTCTACCTTGCCATAGTTGAACAGGCGGTACACATCATTTGACTTCGTTATGTGAACTGCAGTTAGGAGGTGTTAAAAAAAGAAGTCCTCTTAAAAACAGGGAAGATGAAACTACATCACCTCTATACTCCTAGATGATTTGTTGGTGAGAAGAGTTAGGGACATTTCTAAGGGAAGTCAAGAAATAAATTGTTTTCTCTACTTCTCTTTGAAAATTTTATATTCAATTTATGCATCTTGATGTGGTCTACAATAGTGTGCTTAGCAAAGAACTTTTCTTCCTCAGCTATGGAACTTAAACTTATAAAAATGATAGTCTGCTCAGTGAGGGCAAATGATTAGCTGCCCACCTAACTCACCCATTAAAAAAAATGTTAATAAAAAATAGTAATATTAATACTAGCAAATTTGGAAAAGTGTATATGCAAAGGTTTAAGTATTGGTAATTCAATTTGCATATACATATGTATGCATACATGTATGTATGAATGTATGAATATATGTATGAACTCATGTATATGCATGAATATATATATGCTTTTAAGTCTGTTTGAAAACAGAAATATGTTTATGTATGTGTATGTGTGTGTGTGTGTATATATATATATATATATAATTTTGAGTTTAATTCTTTGAAAACATAGAAATATTCTTGATGAAAATGTGTACCACTGCCCATTATTGGCTATTTAACAAATAACCTAAATTAATAATGAAGCTAAACTAATAGCAATTTATAATGAAAAACAAGTACCAAATAAACAATAAGCACTAAAACAAGTATCAAATAAAAATAAACAGTTAAGTACTACCTTGATGGTAAACTTCTGTCCCCAAACTGCAGAACTGCAGCCATCTATGTGTTTGGATGGTAGTGAGACCTCAGCTACATTGCCAGGCATTACGGGGAGAATGGGCTTCTTAGTAAAATACCAAATTGGAGTCTATAATAAGCTTTAGTCATGTACTGACTTTATGAATACTAAAATTTAATGACCCTTAATAAGTCACGTAATTGTTTCCTATTAAATAGCTCTCAGTTCATCCACAAAAATTAATGTCTATGGAATGATGTGTCTCATTCACCGCATAAAGACCTGGTCCCTTTCTCAGCCCATTAGGGGTCTGCTCAAGGCTGACAGATGGGCTTGGGGAAGCACTTTCAGAATTGACCCTGAAAGAAAGCAGAGTTTTCTCCAGCTGGGCAGAGGGACACAAGTCGGTGATGGGAAACAGAAGAGGATCTGATGTGTCACCACTGGGTTGAAGATGAAGGAGGGTCACATAGCAAGAAATGCAGTTAGTCTCTAAAAGTCGATGGTGTCACTGGTTTATCACTCAAAGAAACAGGGGCTTCAGTCCTACAGCTGCAAAGAACTGAGCTTAGAAACGGACTTCTCCCCACAGTCTCTAGAGAACTCAGCCCGTTAATACCTTCATTTCAGTCTGTGCTGCCCTAAGCCAAGAACCCAGTCATGCTGTGCCAGATTTCTGGCCTACGGAATTGTAAGCTAATAAACAGGTATTGTTCCAAACTTTCTAAGTTTGTGGTAGCTTATTATGCAGCAATAGAAAGCTATTACCTCAGCAAATTTCCTTTATCCCCACTTCCCTGTCTTACTCACCCATTAAAAAAACATGTTAATAAAAAAATAGTAACCACTCTGTTGTGCTTTGACATGTATCCTCGCATTTGGATATGTCCTTGGAGAAAACAAAATAGATAGATAGATAGATAGATAGATAGATAGATAGATAGATAGATAGATAGAATGTTTTTGTTTGCTAATGTAGTTTATTTTATATCAATAGTATTGTGTCATAAATACTATGCTATTTATTATCTTATAAAAAAACTCAAATATACCTTGTTACCATCTATCCATTTGCTGTGGGCATATCTAGTGGGTTCCTTCTAACTGCTACAAAATATTCCATAGTGTGTATTTGCTGTTTTTCTTTATGCATTTTACTAAGTTGACCTTCAGTTCCTTTACCAAAATCAGCACTGTGATCATTTCCTCATAATCCTATCTAAGAATTCCTCCAGGGCATATACCCAGGAATGGGATGGTTGGGTCACAGGACATATGACCACTTAATTTGGAATGCACTCTCAGACTTCTGTCTCAAATGGTCACACCAGGCTACTCCCCTGGCAGTGCAAGAGGTCCTGTTTTCTATATCTGCCAAGATTTGACATTACCAACTTCTGAGACTTTGTCAATCTCCCAGGTATAAAGTAACATCAAGTGCTTTTAATTTGTATTTTTCTGAATCACTGAGTTCGAGTATCACTTCATATATTTATTAAGCAATTCAGTTTCCCCTTTTGTAAACTGCCTTCTCATGTGCTTTTGTCAATTTTTCTACCAGATCTCCCATCTTCTTATTTATTTCCAGAATGTCCTCTATCTTTTAGACACCAAACTCTTCAGGTATCTCTTACTGTTATATCTTTCTGTTAACTCAGAAATGCTTAATTTTATATAATCATATTTCTCAATGTTTTGCTATATAATCTGTGTTTTATTTGGATCTTTATTAAGAAATATGTTCCTACCACTAAGTCACTAAAATATTATCCTACATTTTCTTTTGTTGGCTTCACACTTTTACCTTTCACGTTTCAGTCCTTAATCCACCTAGGGTCCATATTTGTATGAGACCCTCTAGTTTTATTTTTCTCCATATTATAAGCCAGTTTTTCTAACACCATCTGCTCAACAATCCACCCTAGGCAGAGGTAAGATGAGAAATATGTATGTGGTTGGGAAGCCAACATGATCCCACTGTACTGTGGCAGAGGGTATGATGCAGTGACTCAGGATCTTGTTGGTGGAGAAGGGGTAAAGGGAGGGCTCTGTCGCAGTAGATTCTGCCCTGAACATCCTCTTTCGCCCCTGTGTTGCAGTTACTAATCCTTGATTTATCTTTTCCTATTGAAAACTGGAATCCCTCTCCACTTGGGATGGGGAGTGGGAGGGAAAGGGTCATGCTGCTATTTGCCTTGTCAGCCCTGGTAACACTAGCAACGGGCATACACACCATACTGCTCTGAATGAGATCCACTCCAGCACATGGCCATCTTAAAACCTCTTTCATCACGTAATTGATACAGTTCAATGAGACAAACAGATGGCACCTTTCGTCAGGCTACTTGCATGCCAATAATGGGAAAAGAACCCATTCAGAGACTCATACTCATGAGCTGTGCTCCTCCCCAAGCTGGCGTTCCTGAATGTAACATGAAGGAAGATGCTCAGGCTGCTGCAGGACTTGGCCTTAGAGACGGGGCATCCTAACCTGCCTTACTAGCAAAGCTTCATCCAGATATGACCTTTCACTGCATACTCTATTTTTTCCCTGTGTGCTTGGATTTAATTCTTAATAGTACTTTGAGTTGCTGTTTTATTATTGCATACTTTAAACTCACTACTCTTCTTTCCATCCTTCTTCTCTTCTCACCAGCCAGGACCTTCCCTCCCCACCTTTCCAAAGCAGCACACAGCTAGCTGCCTGCTATGACTTCAACTTCAAATTCAGCCTGGAAGTTAAGAAATGATTTCCCAAGAACTGCATAGAAGGAGGATCTGACCATTGGCCTTTGTGCTGCCCCCTGCCTTCTTCAACCCCCTTGGGTCTTAATAATTAATTCCTCCTGAGGCATGTTGTTCCATGGGCCTCTCTGTTCCCCTGAACTCATTCCCTGGAAACAATTCCCCTACACATCTAAGAGCAGATTTCACTTAACTAAGCAGCTGTGGTCGGAAAGTACAAATTCTCCTTTAAAAATGGCCCTTTCCAGTCCCACTCTAATGTTGACCAGCTTTCCTCAATTCCCAAAGAATTCACCCGCTTCATACTGAGAAATCCATCTGGCCCCAGTCCTTTTCCATCTGAGGCAATCAGCCTCAGTGACATTCAGAGAGCCCTTTCCATAACTCTCTTGGTCTAGCCCATACCTACCTCTAACTCAATAAAATGTTAGAACCCTGAGCCCTAACATATGAAGAAAGGGAGGCCAGACAGCCCAAACTGGAAGACAGGTCAGTGGCTTTGATATAAATCAAAGCTAGGATCTCAAATTTGAAATGAGGTAGACATTTCTAGCTATGCTGTGGGCATGAGGCTCTGATGGATTAAAGAAGAAATGATGGGACAACTTTGGAGAAATAAAGGATCCATGAAGTTGGAAGACCTCAGTTAAATGGTCCAATAAGGGCTCTGGAGAGCCATTGTACCACCCAGATCCCTTCAGAAGATAGAGGGAAGAGGTGATATGAGGAGAAAAATGGCAAAAAGGAGGTAAGACAACTGGAATATAAACTTGATCGATATCACAATTTGATATAAGACTAGCTCAATTACATGATTAGAAGTATATTCACAAGAGAAGATAGTCAGAAAATGGTCAGCCTACCAAGAAAGCAGCCAATTGATATAAAACACAGAAGTGTCTGGGGACGAGAGGTCCTAACAACTTTAAAGCCACTTGCTAAAGAATTCTGTCTTGGCCGGGCATAGTGACTCACGCCTGTAATCCCAGCACTTTGGGAGTCCAAGGCTGGAGGATCGCTTGAGCTCAGGAGTTCAAGAGCAGCCTGGGCAACTTATCAAGACACTGTCTCTATTAAAAATTGAAAAAAAATTAGCCAAGAGTGGTGGCGCACACCTGTAGTCTCAGCTACTTGGGAGGCTGAGATGGGAGTGCTGTTTGAGCCCAGGAGGTCAAGGCTGCAGTGAGCCATGATTACACCACCGCACTCCAGCCTAGGCAACACAGCAAAACTCTGTCTGTATATATATAGCTTTCATTTATATTGCTTCCACTTATATCAGTATATGTATATACTGATATAGACAGTGTCTTACTGGATATATACATAAGTTAAACATATATATTAATTTTAAAAAGAATTCTTTCTTATTTTCAGTTTCTGCAAAAGAAGCCCATACTAAAACAGTAGCATGATTTGATGCTTTTGGTTCCTGATTTAATTCCATTTTCAAAATGATCTCCTTCATGGCTATGCTACAAACAGACTCTTAATTTATGGAGAACACACACAAAAACACACACACATAGCTCCATATGATACACCAGAAGAATGGTTAAAACAATTGAAATAACAATAGGCAAAAACAATAGAGAATATTTACTATGTAAGGCATATTTACTATGACATTCTTTTAAGCATGCTACAGATATTAACTCATTGAAGCCACATCCTATGAACTGCTACAATTTATATCCCTTATTAAAGATGAGGTCAGTGAGGCATATAGAGATTGAATATCTTGTCCGAGATTATACAATGGAAAGATGACAGAACTAGAATTCCAGTCCATGCATTCTGCTTCCAGACTCCACCACTAAAACCACTCTACTATACTGTCTCTTAAAGGATGGTGAGTTACCTGCCTAGCAAAAATAAACAATGATCTTAAGTGTTGCTATCCTGTGAAAGTTTCTGCACAAATTAGCCCAAATAGTAGTCTGGCTTCTGAAGGCAAATATTTTGCTTGACTTACTGCATTTTGAGAACTAATAGCAGGTGCGTTGTAGGTTCCAACTGAAGAGTCCTGCTTCCATCTTCCAGCTGGTCCTCCTTCTAGATGATTCATTACTCCCCAAATCACATGATTGTAACAAGCTTAATCCACATTCACTGTGCTGCTTAATTACCAATAGAATAATAGCTGAAATTAAGCAGACTGCTTAATCACCTTCTTTTTATTCTGGCTGCTTTTTTATGATTATTATCCCTCCTGCCTTCACAGGTAACAAAATATATTGCCATGATAAATGACCAGCTCTCCAAGATGAAAGCTCCAGGTGGCAGAGACAGTCATGAAAGCCCTGCTCTATGGCCGAGGCCACTGCAGAAGCTAGAAGTGGGGAGGTCCTCTCAAGGACTCCTGACGCCTAGAAAGCATTCTGCCAGGAATGACAAAACAAACAGTTACAATTAGGAGACAGGATTCACAGGGTCCCTGCAAGGTAGCTGGTACCAAGCACAGCCCCTTCTCTTCTGAAGAATGCAGTGATTTCTGCAGCTTTCAGGTTCACACTTCAAGTGATCACCAAGACTGTCGTTCATGAACCATTGCTGAAACTATCTGATAGATTCACACGAAAAGGTGTGAACAGTATCTGCAGTTTGATTTCCAAAGAAAAACCTGGGATTGTATGGGAGGATATATAAGTTGGTGATTGAAATAATTAGATAGGAAGGGGGTCTTTTATTCATTCCCAAGTTGTGCCCCTGACTCCTTGTGTGAGATTCATCGAAGTCCACAAGCTTACTATGCTTCAGTTTCCTCATTTGTACTGTATGAACAGGTTCTACCTATTTGCTTTGCAATGAGAACAACCCAATAAATAACTGAACATTTTGTGAGGAAAAAAAAACCCTTTGGATATGGGCACAGTACATCTACTTAAAGTCACTATATGAAAACTGAAAATAATCATTGTAATTGGAATAGTCTCAAGCACAAAATTGAATTCCCTCTTCTTGTACTCAGATTTAAATCGAGTTCCATTCAACAAATGTGCAAGTAAATGTGTTAGACATTAAAGACTCAGCAAAACGTGTACAATTTCTACCATCTGGCAATGCGCATGCTCAGAGAGAGAATTTCCACCAGGCACTAGCGGGGTGGTGGTGTTTTCCCTTGATGCGGCTTGGTTTGGGGACAATAATGCAATGTTGCTTTATTTGAAAGGATGGTTACAAAGAGCTGGATTTCCCCTTCTTTAACTATAACCCATACTTTGCTTCCATTTATATCAGTATAAATATAAGGTCCATTCCCTCGGACTCTCACATATGCACTAAAGACAGCCGTGGGAGGTAGAAACCAGACTGAACAATTGGCCTGAAATCAAATGGCCTGAAATCAAAAAGTGAAGGGGAAAAAAGCCACTTGCTTATTCCTCTATCTTTAACTTTTTAAATTCAGTCAATATCATCTCTCTTGTTCACATAGATTCCAGGGAAGCTTTTGTTTCTCTCTAGTCATTGATCTTCCAGAAGTACAATAGCTATAAATAAGTCACCATGAAATAAAAGCAAAACTTGTGAGTCACTGCTGCCATTTTTTCCTAAGAACACATGGGAATTAGTGTGAGATGATGATCATGAATAACTATGGTGATGATGTGAAGGCAGAGGGAAGAAATAAAATTTCTGTTCAAAGAAACCATGTTCCAGTAAGTTCCAAGTACACCTCCAACTGCATAACAGTATTTGCTTTTTTAGTTTGTATGTACCCATTGGCCTCATTGGACTTAAGCTCAAGGGACCAAGCTCTGACAAGCATTTCTGTATCTGTGACTGGGAAGCCACACAGCAAGGAAACACGAGGTCATAATCATTGCAACATGAATTCTCACAGCTGCCTCTTCAGGGGAGCTCAGGGACTTTGTCATTTATATCAGCTCTCTTTTCTTTTCAGAGACAAAGAGTGGTTCACTTTCACCTTTCAAGGACCAGTCCTAAGTCTTTACATCTCTTCAAAAACCTCCCTAGAACAAGTTAGCTAAAATATCTCAAACTGTATAATTCACACATAAAAGGTACATTTGACTGTATCTGTTAGAAATTAAGTACCTTACAATGGAGAGTAGATTCAACCAAGGAAGAAAAAAAGTTTTCTCTACAATGCTCTACACCTGCAAACTCTCTCTCAAAAACCGTCCAAGCTTTTGTGAATGGTTAAACTGATGATGGCACAGCCATTCAATGAAATCTTCTGTAGCTAGAAAAATTAATTCACAAAAAAATTCATGACTCGGGAAATGATTACAATAAAATATTAAATAAAAAACAGGATTCAAAGCTAAATACATAAAATGATGTAAATTATTAACTACATGCATAGGAAAAAATGGGGCTACATTAGTTTGCTAGCACTGTCATAGGAAGGTACCACAGAGTGGCTTAATCAACAAAAATTTATTTTCTCACAGTTTTGGAGGCTGGAAATCCAAGATCAAAGTGTAGGCAAGGTTAGTTCCTTTGGAGGGCTTCTGAGGAAGAATCTGTTCCAGCCCTGCTTGGTGGCTTTAGATGGCTGTCTTGTCCCTCTGTCTCAAATCATAATCCCTCTGTATGTTTCTATGTCCAAATTTTCTCTTGTTATAAGGACAGCAGTCATATTGGATTAAGGTCTGATTTTAAGTTAGTTACCCCTTTAAAGACCCTATCTTCATATATGGTTCTATTCTGAGGTACTGGAGGTTAGGACTTCAACATGAATTTTTGGGGGAATCACAATACAGTCCATAACAGGGGCCCAATATACAAGAGTGTTTTAGTGGTGGGATGTGGGGCAATTTTCATTTTCCTCTTTGGTAGTTTCATGAGTGTTTCAAATATTCTACAATAAGATGTATTATTTTCATATATAGAGAAAACAATGAAATTTATCTTTGAAACACGTTTTTAGCATTCTTGAGGGTTTCCATCAGAGCCACATTCTTAGCAATGAGTTAACTGCCAGGCATGTGTTAGGGAAAAACCCACTCCTCACTCAGGAACCCATGACCCTCTATGAACTCTTAGCTTGCATTCCGAAAGGCCAGGAGCCCTGCCCTTCTCTATGAATCCCCACTGGAGGAGTCAGAAGGACAAAGCCATCCTCCAAAGTCAGGTCAATCCCTCTTAACCACCATCCCATACACATACCTTTCACCCAAGTTCCCTGGGCAGGTATGAATTTAGGACAGATGTCCCTAGTTTCCTGGAGGATTAGGACACTGTGTTCTATGTCTACACACATGCTGCTGTTGGCCAAAAATTATTCTTTCAAATGCCTGCTTAAAATACATATTTAGGTCACAAGTAAAAGGTCTGAGGCCTTGCTGATAGTGCTTTTTGGACTGATTTTGATCCACCTAATATCCTTGAGAATGGTGGAGTCCCAATGGCCCTTGCAGGGAGAGGGAGCAGGAAAGAAGCAGGAAACTCACTTGACCGTGTGGCAACACCTGCCAAGTATTATCAATAGAATATAAACAATAGTACTTTCCATAACCCAGGAATGCGGCTAACCATTTTTCAAATACTATCTCTTTAAACTTCAGGACAACCCATGAAATTGAATCTGTTTTTAGAAATGAGGAAACAGAGAAGTTACTTGTCCAAGATGCACAGCTAATAAGTGGTCCAGCCAGGATTGGTACCCAGAGCCCCAGTTCATAACCTCCCAGGACCGTAAGACCAAAAGGCAGGGGGGCCATGTCTGTTTTACTGTATCCCCAGTGAGGTCCATACTAAGTATTTGTTGAGTAATGAAAGAACAAGACCAAATTAGCTTTTTACTGAGAGTCCATAGCACCAGGTAAAGACTTGTTAAGCATTATCCCTAATCTTTGCACTAACTTTGTAAAATTAATAGTATTGTCTTACTCCATCCAGGCTGCTATAGGAAAATGCTATCAACTTGGTAGCTTATAAATAACAGAAATTTATTTCTCACAGTTCTGGAGGCTGGCAAGTCCAAGATCAAAGTGCCTATAGATTCAGTATCTGGCGAGGGCCTGTCTCCTAGTTCATAGGTGGTACATTCTTGCTGTGTCCTCACATGATGGAAGAACTAACTAGCTCGCTGCGGCCTCTTTTATAAAGGCACTAATCCCATTCAGGAGAGTTCCCCTTCATGACCTAATCACCTCCCAATGGCCCTACCCCTAATACCATTACCTTGGGGGTAAGGATTTTAACATATCAATTTTGGAGAGACACAAACATACAGACCGTAGCAATTATTGTCCCCATTTTAGAGTTGAGATAACTGAGGTTTAAAGAAATGAAATATATGCAAGGTTCTCAGGACTGGAAAATACAGAGCAGTATAAGATTTTCTGCCCTCACAGAATTCATGATCAAACTGAGGATAATATCCATCTCTCTCTCTCTCTCTCTCTCTCTCTCTCTCTCTCTCTCTCTCTCTGTGTGTGTGTGTGTGTCCATCTGGGCAGTTTATGCTAAGACCCAAATAAGGGAAATAGGCAACATATGCTCCAGAAGCTCAGCAAATGTATGGATGTTACTGGGTTTGTTTTTGTTTTCATGAAGCCCACATCCTCAGCAGGTTAAGTTATCACAAAGCATTCCCTCAAGTGAAAAAGCCCAATGCGTGTGAGCACAGAATCTGAAAATCACACGGCCATGCCCACTGTGGTTGGCTGGGTGGAGGGAGAAGCAGGGATGCAGGATGTTCACCAGCCACAAAAGACTTCCTCAGCCTGAAGGAGGGGGCCGGGCCAATTTGGAATGACTTGAAAGGTCCCAGGCAGCCCCGGACCTGAAGGCTCATCAGGCTGGACGAGCCTTCTCCAAACACCCTCCTCTGACATGCAAATGCCAGCTAGACAGGGGTGGCACATTACATTTCTGGGAGAGGGTAAAGATCAGCTGCAAAACCTGGAAGGCTGGCTGGGAATGAATTCATTCAACAAATGTTTATTTATTTAACTAAATATTAAGGACATAACAGAAGAACAAGGGTGGACAGGACAAGAACTCTGCTCTGGGGGCACTTCCATTACAGCAGGGGAGGCAGACAACGGGACCAAGGCAACAAAAAAGCACAAAGTCCATTCTGTAGAAGTGCTGGGTGGGAAGGAAATAGTAAAAAGCCAAGAAAAAGAAAGTAAGGCAGAGACTGACCCAGAGAACCCAGCAGCTCTCGGAGGAGGTGGCAGGGAAGCTGAGAACTGAGGGAGAAGAACCTGGGTGGAGGTAACAAATGTCCGCGCCACAGACAGCAGCAGGTACACAGACCAGGGCTGGGAAAGAGCACGGAGCATCTAGGCCAAGGTGGCCAGAGCCTAGAGGGCTGGTGGTAGAATGGGAAGGTCAGAGGCTGCAGAGAGAGGTCATCTGGCCTCCGGGAGAGTCTGGCTTTAAAATTTTTTTTTTTTCTTTACAGGCAGGGTCTCACTATGTTGCCCAGGCTGGTCCTGAACTCCTAGGCCCAAGCAATCTTCCTGCCTGGGCCTTCCAGATTGCTGGGATTACAGGCTTGGACCACCATGCCCAGCCCTGGCTTTTAACCAGAGAACAATGGGAAAACCCTGGGGGACTTAGCACACCAGACAAGCCCCACTGTGTGCTTTAAAAAAGTCCCTCTGGCTGTCCTGTGTAGACAAACTCTTAGGGAGGAATGAGACCAGGTCAGAGATCGGGGCTGGGCCCGAGTAGGGGAGTGGACAGACAGGACTTGAAATGTATTATTTTTGTCATTACTTTTAATGGCAAAAACTGAAATTACTTATGCACCAACATAATACTTTGGAGACAGAATCGACCAGGCAATGGAAGGACTGAGTGGCAATGGTGGAAAGTGGAGATGGGTCGGTTACTAGGCCAGCCTCAGTTGAGTTGCTGCTTTTAATTACCTCTTCCAAAGATGTACTGGAGAAAGTCCTCATAAGCACTTTGCTTGCCACACCCACAGAAATAAACAAATTCCTTTGACAATCTACCACTTGGTTCCACCAAGAAATTCTTGAAAATCCTTCATTTCTTGCAGGAATCTGACCCCACAGGGCAGGGCATGTCTTTGTTTCCAGCCGAATGGGATTTCTGGGTTTAAGAGCACTTCCCACTCCCTTCCTAGCATCTGCATGGTTCTTTTGGTTGGTCCTTCTTGAAGTGCATGATGATTTTGTAAAAGAAAGCTTAAGACGATATGTGGAATATGACAGTAACAAAACCAAGGAGACGGGTCCATGACAGTGACTACCTGGATCCAATCACTGAGTTACTTAGTAAACACTTCTTACACCAGAACACTGGGGATAATTAGTTTTTAAAGAAGCCACATTTGTAACTTTTAACCAGAAAACAGATTTTCTGTTGAGCAAGCCTGCCTTTCTGAAAACGTACTGTCAAAAAATTAGAAGTAGACAACAGAGGGTACAATATTGAAACTATAATTTACTAAGCCCAGTAAAACATCACAATTAAATCTGTATTTGTGGTTCCGCTTAACAGCTCTCATATTTTTTTTTAGTGAGAACTGTCATGAAGAATAGCACTGTGTTTTAATTACTCCCCACAACATCCCCACAGAAAGGATTATAGAGAAGCTCCCCTGTGCCTCATGTGGACTCACACAGGTGTGGTGTATAGCTTCCAGGTTGAGCAATGACTATGCACATTTAAAGACTATGAAGCAATGGTTAACACTTAAGAGCTGAAAGGACTAAAGACATTCAATAACAAGAACCACATCAGTTATATAGTTTGTTAGATTTCTAATGGCAGATTCAATGGTGTCAAAGGATTAAAAAAGGAAAATTAAAACATTGGAAATGATAGTGTTAGAAAAAGAGGAATAAATGCAGACAAAAAGAATCGTAGGCCACAAAGGTATTCAAGAAGCAGAACTAGGCCAGGCACGGTGGCTCACACCTGTAATCCCAGCACTTTGGGAAGCCGAAGAAGGCAGATCACTTGAGGTCAGGAGTTCAAGACCAGCCTGGCCAACATAGTGTAACCCCATCTCTACTAAAAATACAAAAATTAGCCGGGTGTGATGGTGCATGCCTGTAGTCCCAGCTATGTGGAGGCTGAGGTAGGAGAATTGCTTGAACCTGAAAGGCAGAAGTTGCAGTGAGCCGCGATCGTGCCACTGCGCTCCAGCCTGGGTGACAAAGCGAGACTCTGTCACAGACGAAAAAAAGAAAGAAGCAGAAGTAACAGGGAAGTGGAGAGAGGGAGAAGAAAGGAAAAGAGGAAAGATGGAGCAGAGAAGAGGACCTGGGGAGGGATGGTGAAGGGACTGAAGTGAGTAGGAAGAAAAAAGGGAAGAGGAAGAGCTTACCACAGAATAAGGAAGGTCATTTCCAAAGAGAAAGTGTACCTGTAGGGCAGATAATGGACTAAAACTCTTAGAAACAATAACATGGTTTTATAGTCACTGCCCCTTCTGCTGGATAAAAAACGACTGGATTCAAACTCCCAATTCTGGCATTAACCTGAGTTGCTATGTCAACTGTGTGTCCAACTTCCTTTGATCGCAGTTCCCTCCTCTAAAACGTGAAGATCCTAAAACAGGTCTTTTCAAACTTGATCTTTCTGTGATTTAAAAAAGAGGCAGAAGAGCGTTGAGATCAAGATCACAGGAGCTGAGGGTAGGCTCCTTTAATCTTCTCTCCATATGTGACTTTTAGAAAGGCACTTAACATGTTTGTGCCTCAGTGTCATTGTCTACAAATAGGAGATGATAAGAATATCTATGTTATAAGATTCTAGTAAGCTTTGGCAATATAAGCTGTGTGTGCTATTATTAGCAGAAATCTTTTATCCCACATTTCAAGTGTCTTTTATAGGCTAATCAATATGAGGGACTGTAGGTTTAACCGTATTTTAGACCTGAATTTTGGTGTATGCTGTTGTCAGTCATTTTATTGTCACGCTAATTGGTGTGTGTCCTTTCCACATCTGTGCATTACTAAGTCACACTGAGGCACATGCTTTTCCTTCTTTACAGGATCCCAGGTCAATTTTCTTTCCTAGTTGAACATATGGTGGCTCCAACTCTGGAAGGGAACCAGAGAATGAGGTCTGCGCTCCATGCTGAGGGGAGCCGACTGAAGACAGAGGGTCCTTTCTTGGTTTCCACCAACATCAAGCTTCTTGCCTCCTAGGTTTGACTGTCCACTTTAAAACTCCTCCCACAACACAGTGTTCTCCACCCTTATCCCCACCACCGTGCCCTGCCCACTCAAAAAGGTTGTATCGCGTTCTTCACTGAAACGCAAGCAATACAAACATTAGCCCTGCTTCTCCGCATTTGTCCGTGCTATCATTTTTGTTCACTATAAACAAATACAGTAGTTTGCTTGGTAACTTCATGAAACGGGAAGAAGACAGTTCTTCTGTGTTTTACTAGGGCTGAATCAAGTGACTAGCTAGGAAGAAAAAGACACTACAAAAAGAAGACGGTTTGGGCATTAAATAATTCAAATTTATTCCTCTAAATGTATTTTGATGAAAAGATAAATCTTTCTAAGCAAACTCACTAATTCCCCATTCACTGACTTTCCTTGACAAAGCCTAAGGATCTCCACTTGCAGAAAGACACCAAATCTCCATGAAGGAAGAAGTGCCCCAGAGGCAAGTTTACTTACACCCATTTTCTCCAAAGCTTTACAAAAGCAGGGTGATCTCTGGCCAGGATGTGAAATATCAGCATAGCCTACTTTATTCTTTTACATCTTCATCTTCCTCTTTGTAAGATCTCAGGTAAAGATATACAATGCTTGAGCTCTAGGGTCTCACTGTATGTATTCAAATTCTTTTCTCCTTACTACTTCTGTTTAGGAAGGGTTTCCTAACACTATCTCCTTGCTTCAGTTTCTCCATCTCACCCTTTAATTAACCATGGCATGTTGGTGAAGACCTCAGGATGAAGAACCTGGCAGCCTGGGTTAACTCACAGCTTGGCCACAGATGTGCCACCCTGAGCAACTCACCTAAGTTCCCTGTGGCCTGTTTCCTCTTCTCAACTGTGGAGATGATAATGGTACCACCTCATAGATTAGTTGTGAAGGTTATGTGAAATAAAGAAGTAAGCACCTCTGACAGTGCCTGGCACACAGTCAGGTGTTGAAACTGGTTGTAGCCATGGGAAGCTGTACTAACAGTATTCAGCTCTATGCCCAAGGCCCCAGGAATGCAGCAGCCTTACTTACTGCAGCCCTTCTGGCATATGAGACCCTGGATCCCCAGGGCCACCCTGCAGGGATAGGAGGAATCCTCGGCCTGCAGGTGCAGCCCTTGTTTGGTCACTGATCAGCCTCTGACACCTTTGGTTTAGTGCAGTGCTAATCCAAAGGCAGCCTCAGATGCAGTACTAAGCCAAATCAGCCTCAGTTTAGTGCAGTGCTAAACCAAATCAAACTCAGATGCTTTAGGTTTAGTGCAGTGCTCAAATCAACTGAAGCTAAGCATTCCAGTCCTGCTGAACTGAGCTGCTCCCACCCTTAGCTCTGCCATGTCCCTCCAGTCTGTGTGGCACATATGGCCAATTGAGCTGCTCCCACCCTTAGCTCTGTCTTGTCCCCCCAGTCTGTGTGGCACACATGACCACACAGTCTCCTGGCTGGATTCTCTCCCTGAACCCCAGACTGTTCAATCAGGCTTCAATAGCCACAGCCCTTACCAGTACTGCTAGGGTTTGGTGACTCCAGGCCCTGCTGCAGCTCCCTCCACCTCCTGCCCCACAACCTCACAGTTGTCTGCAGCTACTCCCTCCTTCCTTTTCATCCTTTTTGTAGCATAAAGGGCCTGTACTTCCATCTAAGGCAAAGTCTTCTCACTGTGCTGTCAGCTTTGGACCTCTTACTTCCTCTGCCACTTCATTTCACCAACCATCCTGTCTCTGGTTAACCTCTGGTTCTCCTGTGGCTTTGCTCATTTCTCTTTCAACTTCCAAAAGAAAAACTCAAACTCACACTTTTTGTTCTCCTCATGCTCTGACCTGTATTTTTCTTTCTTTCAAATAGGGTGGCCTACATTTGGAGCATAACCCATTTTTGCCTAGTGTTCCATTATTGGAATGCTAAGCTTGTAGGAGTTATTTTTATCCTACTGCTCAAGGTCGTCGCCAAGGTCTGATTTTTCACACACAAAAACTTGCAACCTCTGGCATAAATGGGTTAATTTCCTACTATTCAGTCTTGCATGTAAGTGCATTATGGTTTCTGCTCTCTCCCCATCAATGGGACTGCTATGCTAGGGTTCCTGACAACGCAATGCAAGAAGGAGCATTTGTGCTGAGTCCTAGATGCTACCAAGCAGTCCAGAGTAGGGTAGGGTATTCTGGGAGAGAAGTAATTTTTTATGCAGACTCATGCTTCTCTCCTCATCAAAATCTTTCAGCCAGGGCCACATGGGTCAATAGGTTCTACCTCTCATTCTTACACAACCATGAAATTCCACACCCTGACACATCTTCATTTTCCTCTTACACCATCCCCTTTTTGACTTCATGATCTCCCTGAACACCTGGACACCCGGGTAAATGCCATTAGCACCACTCATGCAATCGGGTGAAGCCTCAGTTTTGTCTCCTTAACCATCTCTCAGCAATGCCTTCTCAATCTCCAGAACAAAAGGATTATGACTTTACTTTGTTAAGACATCTAAGTAGACAGGCCCAGCGAGTCATTGGAAACGTTCATCTGTAACTCATAAGAGAAGCAAAATAATTGGTAATCCTATGCAAAAAAGCGAAATGTGCTTTCTTCATGCCTTTTCTCCCCTGACTCTTTCATCTTTGTTGTGGTCCTCATTCTTCCTTTCTAATTTTTACATAAATTTAAAAGGTGCTTTACTTAGGGAACTATTACAAATTATTCTGCTGAATCATGGTAAAATAGAATTTGCTTTGGGGATGGCTCCAGTATAAGAAAATCCTCAAGGTTGCAGCTTTCCACAAAGGGAGGGTTCACAAAAGTCTAAGTCCTCATAGCATAAAAGCTTTTAGAGCAAAAATAATTTAAAACAGGAGTTGTCTACACTGCAACTTTTAAACAGAGCTTTTCATGCTGAAATTAGCACAAAGCTTACTTAATATCCAGAGTGCTGCATAAGGAACTATTGAGGAAACGCAAGGGGCAGCTGGAAAAACAGAGGAAAGTGGGAGGCAGGCATGGTGCCAGGCACTGGGACAGTCTCTCCATCTAAGCCCTCTAACAGTGCAGAGACCCTGTAGGTGACCCATAAAAGGACAGAAGACCCCTGGACACCAGGACAGTAGGCATCATACCAAGAGCCAGGATAACAGTGGGGTGCGAACACACATTCAGAAAGCTAAGGCTAGAAAAACTACAAAAGACAGAGCCAGACTTGGTGAGCTCCAAGAAACACTAAGGTAGAGCTGGGAATCTGTAGCTAAGCCAGCATAGGGTCAACTTCATAGATTTGTTATGAAGGTTACAGGAAATGAAAAAGTAAGCAATGCTGAGTGGCTGGCACTCACAGTCTAAATCCCCATAGCATGAATTGGAAGGGCCCTTGGTGATCACCCAGACAAACATGGTGCCCTTCTCTCCCTACCTTTCCCTTCCTGAACAGTTCAGTTCTAAAGCCCTTAAGTAGGACAGATAAAAGTATGCATCTGTGTAGGGTTGGAACGAGAGGAGAGCTGAGGTGGACTAGCAGAAGGCCATAGCCTGAGCAGAGTGAAGACATCTGCATAGGCATGATACATGGTGCAGGGTAACAGAGCCCAGGACTGAGCAAGATGAGAAAAATGTCCGTGTTAATGAGAAAGAGGCACAGTGCTAGGTTCCTGAGCCTGAGCAAGCTAAGGTGGACAGCCCCAGAGGGAGCAGTCTGGAGAATCAATGCCCCGTGGCTTGACATGGAGGTCAGAGCCCAAGCAGGGTGAGGAGGGCATCCATATCAGGCAAGGGGGTAGTGAGTAGCCAGCACAGAATGTGGGAGCTGAATTTTGGTGAGAAGAGAGCAGGGAATGGTAGCAATAATGGAGATGGGATATTAATCAAAAACAGGGAGACTGATCAAATACTAAGGAGAATGAAAGCCAGTTACATCATTGTCAGAGAAGATATTTTCATAAATATAAAAGGGAGAAAACCAGAATGAATACTATGATGTTGGCCTGGAAGCGAAGGTACGGTAGTCACCTCTTATCCACAGAGGATATGTTCCAAGACCTCCACTGGATGCCTGAGACCATGAATAATAACAAATCCTATATGTGCTATGGTTTTGGATCTGATAAGCAGGAAGTGACTAACAGGCAAATGGCCTAGGCAGTGTGGATACTGGACAAAGGTATGAGCAGGATGGTGCAAGATCTCCTACTACACAGAATGGCACACAATTTAAAACTTATGAATTATGTATTTCTTGTTGCAGGAAGTCAGGGACCCCAAACGGAGGGACTGGCTGAAGCCATGGCAGAAGAATGTGGATTTCATGGGCATTTATTAGTTCCCCAAATTAATACTTTCATAATTTATTATGCCTGTCTTTACTGCAATCTCTGAACATAAATTGTGAAGATTTCATGGACACTTATCACTTCCCCAATCAATACCCTTGTGATTTCCTATGCCTGTCTTTAATCTCTTAATCCTGTCATCTCGTAAGCTGAGGAGGATGTATGTTGCCTCAGGACCCTGTGATGATTGCATTAACTGCACAAATTGCAGAGCATGTGTGTTTGAACAATATGAAATCTGGGCACCTTGAAAAAAGAACAGGATAACAGCAGTGTTCAGGGAACAAGAGAGATAACTTTAAACTCTGACTGCCGGTGAGCCAGGCGGAACAGAGCCATATTTCTCTTCTTTCAAAAGCAAACAGGAGAAATATTGCTAAATTCTTTTTCTCAGCAAGGAACATCCCTGAGAAAGAGAATGCGCCCCTGAGGGTAGGCCTCTAAAATGGCCCCTTTGGGTATGGCCATCTTCTATGGTGGAAACTGTAGGGATGAAATAAGTCCCAGTCTCCCATAGTGCTCCCAGGCTTATTAGGATGAGGAAATTCCCACCTAATAAATTTTGGTCAGACCGGTTGCTCTCAAACCCTGTCTCCTGATAAGATGTTATCAATGACAATGGTGCCCGAAACTTCATTAGCAATTTTAATTTTGCCCCGGTCCTGTGGTCCCATGATCTCGCCCTGCCTCCATTTGCCTTGTGATATTCTATTACCTTGTGAAGCACGTGATCTCTGTGACCCACACCCTATTTGTAGACTCCCTTCCCTTTGAAAATCACTAATAAAAACTTGCTGGTTTTGCGGCTTGTGGGGCATCACGGAACCTACCGAAATGTGATGCCTCCCCCGGACGCCCAGCTTTAAAATCTCTCTTTTGTACTCTGTCCCTTTATTTCTCAACCCGGCCGATGCTTATGGAAAATAGAAAAGAACCTACATGACTACTGGGGGCAGGTTCCCCGATAATTTCTGAAATTTTTTATTTAAAATTTTCAGACCACAGTCGGCCACAGGTAAACTGAAAACAGAAAGTGAAACCATAGATAAGGGAGGACTACAACATTAGTGTAAACCCATAATTTTCCATACATGTATATTAGTATATAGATACACTAATAACTAGAGCTGCAAGCAGGTATTGTGGCTTACATGCACATATGCCCATATACACACATATTCTCTACCTCTGTCCATTGAGAGGGTCTGGAACAGCAGCACCTGATAGCAATGAGCACATTTTGTGCCCAGATCTTTGCTTCAAAATATCACTCTTCAGAGGAGGGAGAAAAAGGTTCCCTGAAGAAATAACTATAGGGCTGGGAAAGTACAAAATGACCCTAGAACATCTTATTGTCCCAGAAAGCAAGAGCATACTCAAAGAATGATGGGATGAGGCAAAAGACACAGAAGCCAGATTGAAGGGGCTCCCACTGACCAAACTGAGATAATTGAATATCATCATAAATACTGCCGTTATGTATTAATAATAACAGATATAATAGTAATAACATATTAAATAATGATGTTACATTAGTACAGACATAAGCATAAGACCATACCAATATAAATACATGAATAAATAAATTGCATGTCTGATGAGGAACAGAGTGCTCACATAGTTTCAAAGCATTTTCCCTCAAATGTATATTAATTAGAAAGAGAAAAAAGACTAACTTTACAGGAGAGAAGCCTAGTAGACATCATCTTAATCAAGTAATCAAAATGAGTAGCAGAAATGAGACAAATCAGAAGTATGTGACACTTGATAGGATGCAATGAGAAAATACATGGTCACTTCCGGCTATTTCTGCCAAAGATGCCATCTCTCCACTCATGGTGGAAAGCAAAGTGGGGCTGATATCACACAGTGAGAGAGGAAGCAGGAGAGAGAACGAAAGGAAAAGAGGGAGCAGAGGAGGTGCCAGCCTCTTGTCAACAACCAGGTGTTGCAGTGGGAACTCACTCCCACAAAATGGCAGCTCCCCATACATTAAGGATCCACTCCAATGACCCAAATACCTCCCACCAGGGCCCACCTCCAGCACTTGGGATCAAACTTCAGCATGAAATTTTGAGGGGACAAATATCCAAACTGTATCATGTGCACAATCTGAATCAAATCATAAGCCAACGTCAGACAAACCCAAACTGAGGGACATCCTACAAAATAACTGGTCTATAATCTTCGAAAGTGTCAAGGTCATAAGAGCTAAAGAAAGGCAGAGGAATTATTCTAGACTGAAGAAACTGGAGTTATCAGAAAACAGTGTCATGTACTGTTTCCAATACTTACTAGATGTCCCATATGTTTGATTAACTGAATTCTTCTGTCTCTAAAATAAACAGCCACCTAAACATCAGGCTTTCACAGTGATTCACTCCTTCCCTCTGTTCTCTAACCTGAAAATAAAACCAAACACTTGAAATGCTGTAATAGCCCCCAAAGCCAGTAATAGAATTGAGTTTCTAAAGTTCCTTTTTACTCATTTTTCTAGGTCAAGCTCAAATGCTCATCTTCTAGGAAGACGGCCTTGATTGCTGCTCCAGAGCTCATGTTTTCCTCCATCTTCTGAGAAGAGCAATGATAAGCAACACAAGACTCAACAGTTCAGGAGTGTATCATGTGAAGGCTTCAAAGGCAAAGTTAGAGATCTTGATGGGGGTGGGGGTAGCTACATCTTATATTTCTTTGTGTCCTCAATAGTAGTAAACACCTTGCAGAACACACAATGGGTACCTAACGAATACTTGTTAATAAATTCCTGAAACTTTGTTCTGATTAAGGAAATGTTTGTCCCCGGAGGTTTGAAGGCTTTTCAGCACAACTATGAAGCAATGAGTCCTAAAAAGATAAAATAAAATTGCACACCAATTAGCTCATTTGATGATCAAAGACCATATTCTTGGGCTTCCCCAAGATGTAGCAATATTGCTTCTTTCTTCTGATGTACTAGATTAACAACTGGAGCTTCTCTTGCCCACCAATACCTCCTTTCTGTCTTCTCTCCCACTTTGCTACTTATCCAGGCAAGACACCAGCTGCCTCTGATCAAGTTCCAGAAAGGGAAAACAAACAACTTCGTGGGGGTCTGTCCTACAGTAGAACTCCCAAGTTGGCCTGTGAGAAGAACTGAGAGTGAAGCCCTAATCCAGCACAAAGGCCCTGAGAGAAGGAAAATGTTAAAGGTGCTATGTTACAGATGTGTAGATCTATCTCAGAGATATGTGGATCTTCACGTATCCACAAGCATTTCTACCCATGTCCAGACTCAAGGGTAGCACCTTCATGCAAGCCTGGCCAGACCACATGTTCACTGCCCACAGGACACTAATAAAAAACAGGAAGTTTCGGCCAGGCACTGTGGCTCACGCCTGTAATCCCAGCACTTTGGGAGGCCTAGGCTGGTGGATCACCTGAGGTCGGGAGTTGGAGACCAGCCTGACCAACATGGAGAAACCCCGTCTCTACTAAAAACACAAAAATTAGCCGGGCAAGGTGGCACATGCCTATAATCCCAGCTACTCGGGAGGCTGAGGCAGGAGAATCACCTGAACCCGGGAGATGGAGATTGTGGTGAGCCGAGATCGCGCCATTGCACTCCAGCCTGGGCAACAAGAGCAAAACTCCATCTCAAAAAAAAAAAGAAAGAAAGAAAGAAAAGGAAGTTTCAAGGACTGGATCAAACCCAGAATGATTATACCCAAATGATCAAGTATAGGATTACTTAACTGCCAAGGAAGATAAAAGTAGCAGTAAGTTAGGCAAAGAGGGCCTTGGAGAGGCTCAGGTGAAGCTGTTACCAGAAAACAGGCCACCTTTAATGGGTGGGCACAGCACCTGTAAGGTGAATGAGGTAGAAGACTGTATTCACCAAAGATCTGTCACAGGAAGAAATTGTGTTTCCAAGGATATCCTCTCCCTTCCATAAAGAGTGAAACAATGGCCAGGTGCAGTGGCTTACACCTGTAATCCCAGCACTTAGGGAGGCCAAGGTGGTCAGATCACTTGAGGTCAAGAGTTTGAGACCAGCCTGGCCCATATGGTGAAACCCCATCTCTACTAAAAATACAAAAAAAGGAGCAGGGCATTGTGGCAGGTGCCTGTAATCCCAACCACTCAGGAGGCTGAGGCAGGAGAGTCGCTTGAATCCAGGAGGCGGAGGTTGCAATGAGCCAAGATCGCACCACTGCACTCCAGCCTGGGTAACAGAGTAAGACTCTGTTTAAAAAAAAAAAAAAGTGAAGCAAGGAAATGCCTGAGTACCTGGAGTTGCCCAGACCACCACCAGCCACCTTGGAGTGTCTCAGCTCAGCCAGAATCCAGAACCTGAAGTGCCAGTTGTCACCCAACAGGAAGTCAACATGAGGGCAGAGGATAGACAAACAAGCGACATAGTGAGGTGAAAGATGGAGGGATTTCAGAAGCTTCTGTGAATGTGAATGTGAAATGTTGAAGACAAGAACAAGATCTATACAAGATTTTAAGAAAACTGTCTGTAGGATGTTTCCTATGATACACATGTCTACATCATGAGAAATGTTTCTCTCCAATCCTGAGAAGTCAAATTTGTGTTTCCCTCATTGGTATTAGTTGCAAAACTGGACTTCAGAGAGTCCTATCTTTTATACAGGTTACTTGAGGTTGTTGGAATTGTTGAGATGTATTCTGAATCAGTTGCCCCAATGACAACTTGCCTAGGGAAAATGCAAGCAGGCTTCTATTCTTAGCAGAAGTATTTTGAGTGTCTATCACCTAGGGTGATTGCAAGTATTAGCACTGAAAAAGAGAAGTGGGAGGGCAGGCCTTGGAGAAGCAGAAGAGAAAATATGAATCTAGAACGTAGATTATTAGCTTACAAACCTGGCTGCACCAGAATCACCTAAGTAGCTTTAATGTGTATATATTATACACACACATGATATATATATATCGTGGTGTTTTCATCTAAGCTGTTGAGAAGAGACATCTATATATATGTATTGCATAGCAATATATATATATGTATTGCATAGCAATATATATATATGTATTGCATAGCAATATATATATATGTATTGCATAGCAATATATATATATGTATTGCATAGCAATATATATATGTATTGCATAGCAATATATATATGTATTGCATAGCAATATATATATATGTATTGCATAGCAATATATATATGTATTGCATAGCAATATATATATGTATTGCATAGCAATATATATATATGTATTGCATAGCAATATATATATATGTATTGCATAGCAATATATATATATGTATTGCATAGCAATATATATATGTATTGCATAGCAATATATATATATGTATTGCATAGCTATATATATATGTATTGAATAGCAATATATATATGTATTGAATAGCAATATATATATGTATTGCACAGCAATATATATATATGTATTGCACAGCAATATATATATGTATTGAATAGCAATATATATATGTATTGCACAGCAATATATATATATGTATTGCACAGCAATATATATATATGTATTGCATAGCAATATATATATATGTATTGCATAGCAATATATACATATATGTACTGCATAGCAATACACATGTGTATTGCATAGCAATACACATATGTATTGCATAGCAATATATATGTATTGCATAGCAATATATATGTATTGCATAGCAATATATAGTATCTATATATGTATTGCACAGCAATATATGGTATCTATATATGTATTGCATAGCAATATATAGTATCTATATATGTATTGCATAGCAATATATAGTATCTATATATGTATTGCATAGCAATATATAGTATCTATATATGTATTGCATAGCAATATATACATTGTATCAATATATATGTATTGCATAGCAATATACATTGTATCAATATATATATGTATTGCATAGCATATTATATATGTATTACCTACATATAGATAGCATGTGTATATAATATATACACACACTATACTAGTAGCAGAGGCAGGTGGGAGATGTATTTTATAGTGTAAATCCTTTTTATCTTTTAAGTTTTGTAGCATGTGAACTTATTACCTGCTAAACGTATTATAAAACGAAGGGGGAAAAGCCTAGATTCCTCTCACGGAGATTTTCACTCTCAATAGATGATCTGTTCTTACCATATCGTCTGTACGGAGCAGATCTCACCACCAGACTGTGACCCACCCTTACCACGAGCGTCTAATGGTCCGTCACCTGCACATCGGTTAAGCAGGTGAAAGGGGACTTCCTGACCCAGGATGTGGCATGGTCTCACATGCCTCTGGGTTTCAGACACAATGACTCAGCAGAAAGTTTCACTAAAAGAGAGGATTAATCAGACCTCAGGGGAAGCTGGCCACGGCGACCTCTGGGAGGCCTTCTTGTTCCCTTTCACAAGAGAGTTCTTGGTGTGGCACTATGCTAAGTGCTACACACCCATCCTCCCAACCAAAACAGGTGCTGTCAGCCCCTTTTACAATCTCAGAGCTAACATGCCCAAAGTTACAGAGCTAATGACTGAAATCTGCCTACCTGGAAAGCCCAACAGGCTCTCGACACCATAGGCCTCTCTCATTGCAGCAGCCTTTTCCTCACAGGAACAGTCTGATACCAGCATCATGCTGCCACCATCCATGTCCACAGCACAGAAAATGTTACAGTGTAAATATCTACTCTGGATGACCTGGGCTAGGATATTATTTCTCACCTTCATATTTTTTGACTGTTTAGTTTTTCAGATTCAAAGGTCAAAGAGAGAGTTTTTTCCCATCCTGCTGGTCCCTGGGCTGCAAGGATCCAGTTCACCCAAAGTAATAGATCTAAAGAGGCGAAGTCTTGTCTAAGGTCACCCACCAATAAAACAAACAACTATATACCTAATTTTGCACGTATCACCCCATGAGGTGATATGCTTTGGTCAGAGTTCCTGAGTTCTATAAGATCTTAGGAATTAGCCTTCATTTCCCAGAAAAAGAAGCTGGAATCTTGAGTGTTAAGAAACTTCTCTTAGAGCTTCTGGCTAGATGGGAGCATTCAGGCATAAACTTCAGGTCTCCCAACTCCAAGTCCAGTGCTTGCGCATGACAGAGTACTCTTCTGAAGTCTTAAGCCTAAATCACAGTGGACTAAGCTAGCAATAAAAATAAAAGGAGGCCAGACACAGTGGCTCATGCCTGTAATCCCAGCACTTTGGGAGGCCGAGGCAGGCAGATCACGAGGTCAGGAGATCGAGATCATTCTGGCTAACGTGGTGAAACCCCATCTCTACTAAAAATACAAAAAATTAACCAGGCATGGTGGTGGGCACCTGTAGTCCCAGCTACTCGGGAGGCTGAGGCAGGAGAATGGCATGGACCCAGGATGCAGAGCTTGCAGTGAGCCGAGATCACGCCACTGCACTCCAGCCTGGGTGACACAGCGAGACTCCATCTCAAAAAAATAAAATAAAATAAAAGGAAAGAGGAGTCTATTTGTCAAATTTGAATCTCTTTATTGAAACAGTTGAATTAACTAATTGAATTAAAAGGATTTACTAGTAAAAGAGAGAATCCTTTCCAGAGGAGGGATGTAAAGCACTCACCGATACATCTCAAATCCTCCTCTGGTCATTGCCAAAGCAACTGTTATCACAACCTTCCAGATAGAAAAGAGTATCTGCTCAGAAGGGATACTGGATTGCTGCCCAGTCCCCCACAATATCCAACCTCCAAGATCAGATGTGCCCTCTGCTGCAATGCAATTTCAAATAAATGAAGAAAAAAGATGCAGAGATGCTTTTATGTCTTTTTCAGTAAGCCTAGCTGATTTCATTCATTTATTCTGCACCATACGTTCAGGTAAAACCCCTTTCTGCAGACTTATTCTGCATTAGCTACTCCCAGTATGGGCATACACATGCTCATGTGCACACACGCATGTGCAAGCACACACACACACACCATAGCCTGCTTATCAATCAACTCTAATTTGTCCGGAAGCTCTGCCATGAGTGGCACATTCCCCATATTCTTTCCTTATCAAGCTCTGTAGAGGTTGGAAAAGATAAGAGACCACTGACTATTCCTAAGCCTTATATTATCTAACAGTTTAACCTCCTGTGTTTCTTCTGCAAATGTGCTAACAACAACAACAACAACAAAACCAAATTGTAAAAACAACTAAAACAAAGACCAAGGAAGAGAAAGAAAAGCCAAAGAAAATTCCCAGAAAGCTCAGTTTGGTAAACAGAAAAAAAAAGTCCTTAGAGATCGGCTGAGAATACTGAAGGACCAGAAAGAGAAAGAATCAGTGGTAAACTTTTAAAAAGTTTTTAAAAAGGTTTTCTAGAAGAAAGAAAGGCTGCTTGGAAGAAAGATAGTAGTATCTGATGACCCACTAAGAGACTGAAAGTTGTGCATTTTAAAATTAAGTGACTCATTTCTTACGGCCAAAGCAGAAATCAAACGGGAAAAAACAGTCTAGAGAAAAATCTGCCATAAACAGGGTACAGAGGGTGAGTGGATGGAGAATGGGTAAAGGGAGGAATCAGTGACACCAAATGCGGCCGTTTAGTATGAAATTTCATAATCTGATAAATCTGTTTCTGAAAATAGTTTATTGTCCTCCCAGCCAATTTAATTGCAGAACTATGAAGGAATGTCTACATGGAAATGTGCAGTCTGCAAGTTAGAGAAACGGTCTGGTAGGAAGCACTAGTGTATGAAATTCACTCTATTAAAGTAAATGTCTGAAATCTCTCAAGGAGGGAAATAAGCAAATCCAGCAACATACACCATTGGGAAAAAAGCTAAGAAGGTCATTTGTATGTGTTTGTTGAAAGGAAGATTTTCAGTATTTGATTATTTGAAAGGGCTTAAAAGCAAATAACAGGTATCATCAATAAAAAGGCAAACAGACAGGATGGCTGCAGTTTATGGAGACACACAAAAAAAACACATGCATACCTTCTCTAAATCCCCATTCATTTAGTCAGGGGTCTAGAACTTAACAGAGGCAAGGTGGCCACAGCCCCTCAGGAGCAGGGGCCATGCCTCCTGCCCCTACCCCTGCCGTCCCCAGGGTGCACTGCTGTCAGCAGCCCTGTCTGCATGGGTACTGTCCTCCCGGAACCGAGCAGGGAGCCTAATTCTTGTTTTGCCACTGCCCTGTTACACATAGATTTTAATCACCACCTTGGAAAACTCCACACTAACAATCTCTTAAGAGAATATTTATAACATCAAGGTCTCTTCATTCTTGACCTAAACTTAGAATCAACAAGGTCCATCCCCTTGAGATAGGAATAAAACCATCAACAATGCTAGCTGTCATTGTCTGTCCCAGCCCTTCTGTGGCCCAGAAAGCCTGTCTCTTCTCAACAGCTTAGATGAAAACACCAAAACAAGAGATTATTGCTTGGCACACTCATCAAGCAGACAAGAATTAAAGAGCATGAGAAGAACCAGCAGCTTTTCTGGTAAGAGCTATCCATGCCAAAGACACAGATTTGAACATAACGCAACACAGCAGAGAATAGGGGAGCAGAAAAGGATGACAATGAATGGGTACATTTGGCCAAATGACCCATCTTTTTTGGCTTCCAAGTTCCCATGTATCTTCTCAGTCTTTTCCTGAATCACATTGTCTAAGATTCCTCTTCCACTCCTTCACCCATCAACATTGATTAGAGCAGCATCATTCCCTGCTACTGTTTTAAGCATCATTAGGCTTTCGACAAACAATTTGCCACAAGGATGCAAGACATAAAAGGGTGAACTCAAATAGAATTAGTGTCTGTGTTTAATGGGTCAATGCTTCTCAAATTTTAATGCACATACAAATCACCTGGGGATCTTGTTAAAATTTAGGTCTAATTCAGCTGACCAGGGGAGGATCTGAGAATGTGCATTTCTAACAAGCCCTCAGGTGATGCCAATCCTGCTGGTCCCTGGGCTGCAAGGATCCAGTTCATCCAAAGTAACAGCTCTAAAGAGGCAAAGTCTTGTCTAAAGTAACACAGTGCATAGTCGAGCTAGGACTTGAGCTCAGCTCCTCCAACTCCCAAATTCGGTGGAATTGCCCTTTATGCAAAATATGTCAAGCCTCCACATGGGTTGTCTGGTTAAAAATAAATCAGTCATCTTATACTGAAAGATCACCTCCAATGACCAAGTAAAACAATTTTTCAGTTACAGGACATAAAAACCAGGCCTCTTGTTTTCCCATTTTTCAAAGTCCTTATTAATATCTGTAAATCAATGGGGACATTTTCAAAAGGGATTAGCTCTCTTTAATATTTAAGCTCCCTACCTGTGATTCATATTCGGTCAAAAAGAACAGAAATATTAATCCATGAATATCTGGAGGGAGGCTCTGGACACCTAGTCTTCAGTTTATGTAATGAAAACAGAGAAGAGATTCAAAGTAAAGTCTCCAGAAGAGATAAACACCAGAAGGGAGTAACATCTGTGGGCTGCATTTGTGTAGACCCTTAAGCCAAGTCACTAACCCTATAATAGAGAATCTGGCCTCTTTCCCCAGTAATAGCAGAGATCATTCTCCATTCCTTCTCCTGTACCATCCCTAGACCATAGGAAGGTCTGCTGATTCAAGACCCAGCAGAAAGAAGAAAACAATGCTGCTTCTTAAAACATAGGTTCTTCAATTCTATCCCTCCCATCTCTAATTGGTCATGATGGGAACTCACAAAATAAACCTGATGAACTGAAAAGTAAGCAGAAAGACAAAAAGGGAGGGAGGGGGAGAAAAAACCATTCCTATTTATGAGGCTGCAGCACAAAGCACTGATAGCGACAGGAGGAATTTCCGCCAGCCAGAGGCCCCATTCCAAAGTCTCATGTCTGAGTAAGCATGGGTCTTACCAGGCAACCCCCAAAGGTCAGAGGTCAGAGAGAATTCCTCATCCTGGGGGGCAGAGTCAGGGGATAAGCAGAACATTTATTTCCCTCCCCCTGGTGAGGGACAACAAACCCTGACACACAGGCATCCTGCAACTCAAATCAGTGATTTCTGCCAGTGAGCCACAAAGTTCCGGATCAGGAAACAAGGCAAGAAGCCTCACTGGGCAAGTTTTCCCACACAGCTCTGCCAGTAGATTTCATTCCTCAGCTACATCACCCCAGGCTTTAGACAGCATTCAAGAACAAGAGGGCAGAAACGGTCACATTCTTTGATTGTATGGAAAAGGAACCAGCAGAATTTTCCATCTGGGCCAAGAACTGAACTGCACTTAAAAGAGTAACGTGGTATGAGGCATGTCCCCTCTCTCAATGGAGGCACCATCAGATGGCACACATTTTAAATGTCACTAATCCTCATTTGTAGCATTCACACAGCTAAACAGAGAGAATGCTTAATCCTTGCATTTCTGGAAATTAGAATCTAAGGAAGTTTAACAAGTTCAAATTATTATAACAGCATATCCTAGGACAAATTGATTCCTTGCTGGTTAGAAGCTGGAAAGCTATTCCAAAGCTCCATGGTGTCCTACATGTTAAAAGAAGGAAGATTAAATTTCTTTTTGGAGCAGACATTCTATTTGTTCTGGTGATTAAAATAAAAATTGTCTTCATCTCGATGTAAAGGTGGTTAAACAGGGAAACGAGTCATGTTTGCCTTCGAACATGACTACTGGGTTTATATTTCAGCAGAAATGTGTCACTGCAGTTTTGCATATTTGTATGGGAGAAATGTTTTTTTTCTCTGCATATTTATAGAATGTGAGTCTTTATATAATTGTATCTTTTTTGTTGTTGTTGTTTTTGAGACAGGGTCTTGCTCTATTGCCCGGGCTAGAGAGCAGTGGCATGATCACAGCTCATTGCAGCCTTGCATCAACCACAGTCTCAAGCAATTCTCCCACCTCAACCTCCGACGTAGTTGGGACTATAGGCAAGCGCCACCACACCCAGCTATTTTGTTTGTTTGTTTGTTTGTAGCGATGATGCCTCACTACGTTGTGTAGGTTTGTCTCCAACTCCTGGATTCAAACAATCCTCCTGCCTCAGCCTCCCAAAGTGCTGGGATTACCAGCATGAGCCACTGTACCCAGCATAATTGTGTCTTCTTGAGAAGGCCTCCCAACTTGTATTCCAGCACAAACAGTTCTTCACTGGAGATAGAAGCAAAACCTGAATGATTTCGAGAAATAGACACAGACTTATTCTTCACCTTGAATCAAAGGAGAGACTGGATAGAGAATTGGTCAGGACCTGCTGTAGCTCAGTGGAAAAGGATCTGTTGAATAATACACACACATCCCCCGCAAAACCTCCCTGCACTGCTGTTTGAGACTAAATAACTCAGGCTTTGGAAAACATGCTGGTGATGGACTATTGTGTCCTGGGTGATTGTCATCTGGGAACATAAAGCTGGGCCAAATCCTATGGGTAAGGGGCTATATGACTCTTATAGTCACACATATTTGTGCAAATTGCAAGAAGTCATGCAGGGAAGGCAGGTGAAATTGTAAAAGGTAGCCCCTCCAGAAAAAGTGGCAGCCAGTGGGATGATTTGCACCTTTAATCCCAGCCATTTGGGAGGCTGAGGTAGGAGGATCACTTGAGCCCAAGAGTTCAAGTCCAACCTGGGCAACATAGTGAGACCCCATCTCTAAATTTTAAAGGATTTCTCAAAAAAAAAAAGCATACAAGTAGCAAATACGTATATGAAAAGGTGGAAAACTTCACTAAATATCTGGGAAATGCATATCAAAACCACTAGATATAGCCCTGCACCTGTCAGAATGGCTATTATAAAAAAGACCAGGGATAACAAGTTTGGCCATGATGCGAAGAAAAGAAAACCCTTGTATCCTGCTGGTGGGAATGTAGATTGGTACAGCCATTACAGAAAACAGTGTGAAAATTCCTCAAAAACTAAAAGTAAATTACCATATGATTCAGCAATTCCACTTTTGGGTATATACCCAAAGGAATTGAAATCACTGTCTTCAAGAGATAGCTGCAATCTCACGTTTATGGCAGCACTATCCACAATAGCCAAGATATGGAAACAGCCTAAATGTCCACTGACAGACAAATGGATAAAGAAATTCAATACATGTACACGTGTGTATATGTGTGATAAAATATTACACAGCCTTTAAAACGAAAGAAAACCTGTCATGTGTGACAACATAGGTGGACCTGGAGAATGCCACGTTAAGTGAAGTAAGGCAGCTGCAGAAAGACAAATACGGCATGATCTCACTTATATGTGGAACCAAAATAGTCAAACTCACAGAGGCAGAGAGTAGAATGGTGGTTGCCAGAGCCTGGGGGAAGCGGGAAATGGGGAGATGTTGCACAAAGGGTACAGAGTTTCAGTTATGTAAGATGATTAATTTCTAGAGATCTAATGTAAAACAATGTGACTGTTGTTAACAATACTGAAGTGTATACTTGAAATTTGCTAAGAGGGTAGATTTTAAGTGCTCTCATCACAAAAAAAAAAAAGAAAATGGTAAAATGGTAATTAATATGAGGTGATGAATATGCTGATTCACTTGACTGTGGTTATTATTACATATATATGTATAACAGATCACCAAGTTGTACATCTTAAATATACACAATTTTTGTTTGTCAATTATACATCAGTAAGGCTGGAAAAGAAAAAAAACTGAAGCTCCAAAGCAAAGGGAATTTGATAAGTTCAGTTAGAACTGAAACCTCTCTTATGTTCCTTGAGAAACACACAAAAAATTGGAATTATATTTACTTCTGCCTCTTAAAGACTAAGTTAGACGTTAGAGCAAAGGAAACTGCCAGAGACAGAGATAAACATTATACAATGATAACCATGTCGCTTCACCTGGAAGACCTAAGTGTATAGCAATCCCAAATGTATATGCATCAAACAACAGAGATGCAAAATATGTGAAGAAAATCTGATAGAACTGAAAGGATGAATAGACAAATTCACAATTATGGTTGGAGACTTCAATACTTCTATCTCTCAAAAAATGACAGAACAACTAGACAGAAAATCAGCTAGGGTAAAGTAAAAGAATTCAACAAGACCATCAGCCAACAGTATCTAATAAAACATTTATGAAACACTCTCTCCAACAACAGCAAGACACACATTCTTTTCAAGATGGAACTATAAATTTCAAGAAACTTAAAAGAATTGAAATAATATAAACTGTGTCCTCTGACTACAATGAAATTAAAATGGAATTCAATAACAGAAAGATAACAGGAAAACCTCCAAGCACTTGCAAACTAGACACTTCTAAATAATCCATGGGTCAAAGAAAAAGTCTCAAACAAATTAAAAACTTCAGTGAACTAGATGAAATCAAAATGTAACATATCAAAACTGTAAGACACAGAAAAAGCAATGCTGAGAGGAAAAGCTAAAGCACAAAATGCTTACAGTAGAAAAGGACAAGTCCAGGTGTGCTGGCTCACGCCTATAATCCCAGCACTTTGAAAGGCCAAGGTGGGAGGATTGCTTGAGCCCAAGAACTCAAGACCAGCCAAGGCAACATAGTGAGACCCAATCTCTACAAAAGATTTTAAAAATTAGCCAGGTGTGGTGTTGCACACCAGTAGTCGCAGCAACTTGGAAGGCTGAGGTGGGAGGATTGCTTGATCCCAGGAGGTTTAGGCTGCAGTGAGCCAAGATTACACCACTACCCTCCAGTCTGGGTCACAGAGCAAGACATCATCTCAAAAAAAAAAAAAGAAAAGAAAAAAGAAATTGCCAACAACAAAAAAAACTTGAGACCTGGTTAAGATGGCCAAATAGGAATGGCTCTGGTCTGCAGCTCCAGTGAGATCAATGCAGAAGGCAGGTGATTTCTTCATTTCCAACTGAGGCACCCAGCTCATCTCATTGGGACTGGTTAAACAGTGAGTGCAGCCCACAGAAGGCAAGCAGAAGCAGGATGGGGTGTCACCTTACCCGGGAAGCACAAGGGGTCAAGGAACTCCCTCCCTTAGCCAAGGGAAGCCGTGAGGGTCTGTGCCTTGAGGAACGGTGCACTCCAGCCCAGATGCTACACTTTTCCCATGGTCTTCACAATCCGCAAACCAGGAGATTCCCTCAGGTGCCTATGCCACCAGGGCCCTGGATTTCAAGCGCAAAACTGGGTGGCGGTTTGGGCAGACACTGAGCTCACGGCAGGAGTTTTTTCATACCCCAGTGGCACCTGGAATGCCAGCAAGAAAGAACTGTTCACTTCCCTGGAAAGGGGGCTAAAGCCAGGGAGCCAAGTGGTCTAGCTCCCCAGATCCCATCCCCACAGAGCCCAACAAGCTAAGATCCACTGGCTTGAAATTCTCGCTGCCAGCACAGCAGTCTGAAGTTGATCCGGGATGGACTAGCTTGGTGGGGGGAGGGGCATCCACCATCACTAAAGCTTGAGTAGGTGGTTTTCCCCTCACAGTGTAAACAAAGCTGCCAGGAAGATCAAACTGGGCGGAGCCCACCGCAGCTCAGCAATGCCACTGTAGCTAGACTGCCTGTCTAGATTCCTCCTCTCTAAGCAGGGCATCTCTGAAAGAAAGGCAGCAGCTCCAGTCAGGGGCTTATAGATATAACTCCCATCTCCCTGGGACAGAGCATTTGGGTGAAGGGGTGGCTGTGGGCACACCTTCAGCAGACTTAAACATTCCTGCCTGCTGGCTCTGAAGAGAGCAGTGGATCTCCCAGCACAGTGCTCAAGCTCTGCTAAGGGACAGACTGCCTCCTCAAGTGACTCTCTAACCCCCATGCCTCCTGACTGGGAAACACCTCCCAGCAGGGGTCGACAGACACCTCATACAGCAGAGCTCCAGGTGGCATCTCGTGGGTGCCCCTCTGGGACAAAGCTTCCAGAGGAAGGAACAGGTAACAATCTTTGCTGTTCTGCAGCCTCTGCTACTAATATCCAGGCAAACAAGGTCTGGAGTGGACCTCCAGCAAACTGCAGCAGACCTGCAGAAGAGGGGCCTGACTGTTGGAAGGAAAACTAACCAACACAAAGGAATAGCATCAACATCAACAAAAAGGTCATCCAAACAAAAACCCCATCCAAATGTCACCAACATCAAAGACCAAAGGTCGATAAATCCACAAACGTGAGGAAAAACCAGCACAAAAAGGCTGAAAATTCCAAAAACCAGAATGCCTCTTCTCCTCCAAAGGATCACAACTCCTTGCCAGCAAGGGAAGAAAACTGGATGGAGAACGACTTTGATGAATTGACAAAAGTAGGCTTCAGAAGTTAGGTAATAACAAACTCCTCTGAGCTAAAGGAGCATGTTCTAACCCAATGCAAGGAAGCTAAGAACCTTAAAAAAAGGTTAGAGGAATTGCTAACTAGAATAACCAGTTTAAAGAAGAACATAAATGACCTGATGGAGCTGAAAAACACAGCACAAGAACTTCGTGAAGCATACACAAGTATCAATAACCAAATCAATCAAGTGGAAGAAAGGATATCAGAGATTGAAGATCAACTTAATGAATAAAGTGTGAAGACAAGATGAGAGAAAAAAAGAATGGAAAAGAATGAACAAAGCCTCCAAGAAATATGAGACTATGTAGAAAGACCAAACCTGTGTTTGATTGGTGTATCTGAAAGTGTCGAGGAGAATGGAACCAAGTTGGAAAACACACTTCAGGATACTATCCAGGAGAATATCCCCAGCCTAGCAACACAGGCCAACATTCAAATTCAGGAAATACAGGGAATACCACAAAGATACTCCTTGAAAAGAGCAATCTCAAGACACATAATTATCAGATTCACCAAGGTTGAAATGAAGTTTCAATCTTCATTTTAACCTTAATAAAGTTAAGTGCAGCCAGAGAGAAAGGTCCGGTTACCCACAAAAGGAAGCCCATCAGACTAACAGTGGATCTCTCTGCAGAAACCCTATAAGCCAGAAGAGTGGGGGCCGATATTCAACATTCTTAAAGAAAAGAATTTTCAGCCTAGAATTTCATATTCAGCCAAACTAAGCTTCATAAGCAAAGGAGAAATAAAATCCTTTACACACAAGCAAATGCTGAGAGATTTTGTCACCACCAGGCCTGGCTTACAAGAGCTCCTGAAGGAAACACTAAATATGGAAAGGAAAAACCGGTGTCAGCCACAGCAAAAACATACCAAATTGTAAAGACCATCAACACTATGAAGAAACTGCATCAACTAACAGCCAAAATAATCAGCTAACGCCATAATGACAGAATCAAATTCACACATAACAATATTAACTTAAAGGTAAGTGGGCTAAATGCCACAATTAAAATACACAGACTGGCAAATTGGATAGAGTCAAGACCCATCAATGCGCTGTATTCAGAAGACCAATCTCACATGCAAAGACACACATAGGCTCAAAATAAAGGGATGGAGGAATATTTGCCAAGCAAAATGGAAGAAAAAAAGCAGGGTTTGCAATACTAGTTTCTGATAAAACAGACTTTAAGCCAAAAAAGATCAAAAAAGACAAAGAAGGGCATTACATAATGGTAAAGAGATCAATGCAACAAGAACAGCTAACTACCCTAAATATATATGCACCCAATACAGCAACACCCAGATTCATAAAGCAAGTTCTTAGAGACCTACAAAGAGACTTAGACTCCCACACGATAACATTGGGAGACTTTAACACCCCACTGTCAATATGAGACAGATCAATGAGACAGAAAATTAACAAGGATATTCAGGACTTGAACTCAGCTCTGGACCAAGCAGACCTAATATACATCTACAGAACTCTCCACCCCAAATCAACAGAATACACATTCTTCTTAGCACCATATTGCACTTATTCTAAAATTGACCACATAATTGAAAGTAAAACACTCCTCAGCAAATGCAAACGAACAGAAATCATAACAAACAGACTCTCAGACCACACTGCAATCAAATTAGAACTCAGGATTATGAAACTCACTCAAAACCTCACAAGTACATGGAAACTGAATAACTTGCTCCCAAATGACTAATGGGTAAATAACGAAATAAAGGCAGAAATAAAGAACATCTTTGAAACCAATGAGAACAAAGACACAACATACCAGAATCTCTGGGACACAGCTAAAGCAGTGTTTAGAGGGAAATATACAGCACTAAATGTTCACAGAAAAAAGAGGAAAAGATCCAAAATCGACACACTAACATCACAATTAAAAGAACTAGAGAAGCAAGAACAAACAAATTCAAAACCTAGCAAAAGACAGGAAATAACTAAGATCAGAGCAGAATTGAAAAAGATAGAGACATGAAAAACCTTTCAAAAAATCAATGAATCCAGGAGCTGATTTTTTGAAAAGATTAACAAAATAGATAGACCACCAGCCAGACTAATAAAGAAGAAAATAGGGGAAAATCAAATAGACACAATAGGGGAAAATCAAATAAAAAATGATAAAAGGGATATCACCACTGATCCCACAGAAATACAAACTACCATCAGAGAATACCATAAACACTTCTACACAGTAAACTAGAAAATCTAGAAGAAATGGATAAATTCCTGGACACATACACCCTCCCAAGACTAAACCAGGAAGAAGTCAAATCCCTGAATAGACCAGTAACAAGTTCTGAAATTGAAGCAGTAGTTAATAGCCTACCAATCACAAAAAGCCCAGGACCAGATGGATTCACAGCCTAATTCTACCAGAGGCACAAAGAGGAGCTGGTAGCACATTTTCTGAAACTATTCCAAACAATTGAAAAAGAGGGAATCCTCCCTAACTCATTTTATGAGGCCAGCATCACCCTGATACCAAAACCTGGCAGAAACACAACAAAAAAAGAAAATTTCAGGCCAATATCCCTGATGAACATCAAGGCAAAAATCTTCAATAAAATACTGGAAAACCAAATCCAGAAGCACATCAAAAAGCTTATCCACCAAGATCAAGTCGGCTTCATCCCTGGGATGCAAGGCTGGTTTAACATATGCAATCAATAAATATAATCCATCACATAAACAGAACCAACGACAAAAACCACATGATTATCTCAATAGATACAGAAAAGGCCTTCGATAAAATTCATCACCCCTTCATGCTAAAAACACTCAATAAACTAGATGTCGATGAAACGTATCTCAAAATAATAAGAGCTATTTATGAGAAACCCACAGCCAATATCATACTGAATGGGCAAAAGCTGGAAGCATTCCCTTTGAAAACCGGCACAAGACAAGGATGCCCTCTCTCACCACTCCTATTCAACATAGTATTGGAAGTTCCAGCCAGGGCAATCAGGCAAGAGAAAGAAATAAAGGGTATTCAAATAGGAAGAGAAAAAGTTAAATTGTCTCTGTTTGCAGATGACATGATTGTATATTTAGAAAACCCCATTGTCTCTGTCCAAAATTTCCTTAAGCTGATAAGCAACTTCAGCAAAGACTCAGGTTACAAGATCAATGTGCAAAAATCACAAGCATTCCTATACATCCATAATAGGCAAACAGAGAGCCAAATCATGAGTGAACTCCCATTCACAATTGCTACAAAGAGAATAAAATACCTAGGAATCCAACTTACAAGGAATGTAAATGACCTCTTCAAAGAGAACCACAAACCACTGCTTAAGGAAATAATGAGGACACAAACAATAACACAAACAAATGGAAAAACATTCCATGTTCATGAATAGGAAGAATCAATATCGTGAAAATGGCCATACTGACCAAAGTAATTTATAGATTCAATGCTATCCCCAGCAAGTTACCATTGACTTTCTTCACAGAATTAGAAAAAACTACTTTAAATTTCATATGAAACTAAAAAAGAGCCCGTAGAGCCAAGACAATCTTAATCAAAAAGAACAAAGCTGGAAGCTTCACACTACCTGACTTCAAACTATACTACAAGGCTACACTAACCAAAACAACATAGTACTGGTACCAAAACAGATATATACACCAATGGAATGGAACAGAGGCCTCAGAAATAATGTCACACATCTACAACCATCTGATCTTTGATGAATCTGAGAGAAACAAGCAATGGAGAAAGGATTCCCTATTTAACAAATGGTGTTGGGAAAACTGGCTAGCCATATGCAGAAAACTGAAACTGGACCACTCCCTTACACCTTATACAAAAATTAACTCAAGATGGATTAAAGACTTCAATGTTAGACCTAAAACCATAAAAACCCTAGAAGAAAACCTAGGTAATACCACTCAGGACAAATTTACAAGAAAAAAGCAACCCCATCAAAAAGTAGGCAAAGGATATGAACAGACACTTCTCAAAAGAAGACATTTATGCAGCCAACAAACATATGATAAAAAGCTCATCATCACTAGTCATTACAGAAATGCAAATCGAAACCACAATGAGATGCCATCTCACACCAGTTAGAATGGCCATCATTAAAAAGTCAGGAAACAACAGATGCTGGAGAGGATGTAGAGAAATAGGAATGCTTTCACACCATTGGTGAGAGTGTAAATTAGTTCAACCATTGTGGAAGACAGTGTGGTGATTCCTCAAGGACCTAGAACCAGAAATACCATTTGACCCAACAATCTGATTACTGGGTATATACCCAAAGGATTATAAATCATTGTACTATAAAGACACATGCACATGTATGTTTATTGCAGCACTATTCACCATAGCAAAGACTAGGAACCAACCCAAATGCCCATCAATGATAGACTGGATAGAGAAAATGTGGCACATATGCACCATGGAATACAATGCAGCCATAAAAAAAGGATTAGTTCATGTCCTTTGCAGGGACATGGATGAAGGTGGAAACCATCATTCTCAGCAAACTAACACAGGAACAGAAAACCAAACACCGCATGTTCTCACTCTTAAGTGGGAGCTGAACAATGAGAACACATGGACACAGGGAGGGGAACATCACACATCAGGGCCTGTAGGGGGTTAGGGGGCTAGGGAAGGGATAGCATTAGGAGAAATACCTAATGTAGATGACAGGTTGATGGGTGCAGCAAACCACCATGGCCCATGTATACCTATGTAACAAACCTGCACATTCTGCACACGTATCCCAGAACTTAAAGTATTAAATAAAAAAAAAAGATCAGAGCCAGATGAATTCACAGCTTAATTCTATAAGACATTCAAAGAAAAATCAGTGCTAATCCTACTGAAACTATTCCAAAGATTGAGAAACAGAAAATTTTCTTAAAATCATTCTATGAAACCAGTATCACCCTGATACCAAAACCAGGAAAGGACATAATAATAATAATAAAAAGAACTACAAACCAATATCCCTGATGAACACAGATGCAAAAATCCTCAACAAAATACTAGCAAACCAAATCCAACAGTATATCAGAAAGATAATACACCATGATCAAGTGGATTTCACCCCAGGGATGTAGGGACGATGGAAGTCAATATATGTGATATATCACATAAACAGAAATAAAAACAAAAACCATATGATCATGTTGATAGATACAGAAAAAGCATTTGATAAAATCCCGCATTGCTTTATGATAAAAACCCTCAACAAACGAGGCATAGAATGGACATACCTCAAAATAATAAAAGCCATATATGACAAACCCACAGTCAATATCATACTGAAGGGGGGGAAGTTTAAAGCATTGCCTCTGAGAAATGGAACAAGACAAGGATGTTCACTTTCACCACTTCCATTCAACATACTACTGGAAGTCCTAGACAGAGCAATCAGGCAGGAGAAAGAAATAAAGCACATCAGAAAACAGAAAGTCAAACTATTGTTGTTCACTGATGATATGACTGTATAACTAGAAAACCCTAAAGACTCCTTCAAAAGACTCCTAGATTTGATAAACAAATTCAGTAAAGTATCTGGTTATAAAATCAATGTACAAATATCAGTAGCATTGCTATACACCAACAACGACCAAGCTGAGAATCAAATCAAGAACTCAATCCCTTTAACAATCGCTACAAAAGCAAAATACCTAGAAATACACATAACCAATGAGATAAAAGAGCTCTACAAGGAGAACTATAAAACACTGCTGAAAGAAATCACAGATGATACAAACAACCAGAAACATATCCCATGCTCATGGATTAGAAGAATCAATATCATGAAAGTGACCATACTGCAAAAGTAATCTATAGATTCAATGCAATTTCTATCAAAATACCAACATCATTTTTCACAGAATTAGAAAACAATCTGAAAATTCATATGGAACCAAAGAAAGAGCCTGAATATCCAAAGCTATCCTAGGCAAAGGTATCACATTACCTCACTTCAAGTTATACTACAAGGCTATAGATACAAAAAGAGCATGGTACTGTTATAAAAATAGATACATAGGCCAATGGAACTGAATAGAGAACCCAGAAATAAAGCCAAATACTTACAGCTCACTGATCTTTGACAAAAAATACAAAAATAAAACTTGGGGAAAGGACATCCTGTTTAATAAATAAATGGTGCTGGGAAAACTCTAGAGCCACATATAGAAGAATTAAACTGGATCCCCATCTCTCACCTTATACAAAAATCAACTCAAGATGGATCAAAGACTTAAATTTAAGACCTGAAACCATAAAAGCTGTAGAAGAAACCTAGGAAAAACTCTTATGAACATTGGCCTATGCAAAATATTTATGACTAGGACCCCAAAAGCAAATGCAACAAAACAAAAAATATATCAGTAGGATCTAATTAAATTAAATGGCTTCTGCATAGCAAAATAAATAATCATCAGAGTGAATAGAAAACCCACAGAATGAGAGACAATATTTGCTAACTATGCATCTAAAAAAGACCAATGTCCAGAATCTACAAGGAACTCAAAAAAATCAGCAAGAAAAAAAGATAACCCCATCTAAAAGTGGGCATATGAAATGAACAGACATTACTCAAAAGAAGATAAGTGGCCAATAAACATATGAAAAAATGCTCAACATCACTAATTATCAGAGAAATGAAAATTCAAACTACAATGAGATACTATTTTACCCCTGCAAAAGTGGTCATTATTTAAAAGTAAAAAAAAAATAAATAAATAAATGTTGGCATAGGTGTGGTGAAAGATGTGGTGAAAGGCAATGCTTATACACTGCTGGTGGGAATGTAAATTAGTAAAACCTCTATGGAAAACAGTATGGAAATTTCCTAAAGAACTAAAAGTAGATCTACCATTTGATCCAGAAATCCCACTACTGTGTATCTACTCAAAGGAAAAGAAGTCATCATATAAAAAAGACAACTGCATACGTGTGTTTATTGCAGCACAATCCACAATTGCAAAGACATGGAACCGACCTAAGTGCCCACTGACCAACAAATGGATAAAGAAAATGTGGTATACATACACCATGAAATACTATCCAGCCATAAAAAAGAAGAAAATAATGTCTTTTGCAGAAACTTGGATGGAGCTAAAAGTCATTATTCTAAGTGAAGTAACTCAGGAATGGAAAACCAAATACTGTATGACCTCACTTATAAGTGGAAGCTAAGCTATGGATAATCAAAGGCATATGGAGTGGTATCATGGACTTTGGAGACTCAGAAGTGGGAGGTTGGAAGGGAGATGAGTGATAAAAAAAACCACATATTGGATGGTGTACACTAGTTGGGTGATGCGTGCACTAAAATCTCAGACTTCAACACTATACAATTCATCTATGTAACCAAAAACTACTTATACCCCAAAAGCTATTGAAATAAAAATACACACACACACACAGCACAAACACACACACACATATATAAAAAGTTTTTAAACAAAAATTATGCAATGTTGGGTGTACTGTTATATATATGTCCACAAGTTAAAATTATTAATTGTGATGCACAAATCTTCTAGATTCTTACAGAATTTTTTTATCTGCTTGTTTTATCAATTATACTAAGTCAAATGTAATATTAAGTTTGATATGGTTTGGATTTGTGTCCCTGCCCAAATCTCATGTGGAACTGTAATCCCCAGTGTTGGAGGAGGGGCCTGATGGGAGGTGATTTGGATCATGGGGAAAAATTTTCTCCTTGCTGGTCTCATGATAGGGAGTTGAGTTCTCATGAGATTTGGTATTTAAAAGTGTGTAGCATCTCTCCCTCCATTCTCTTTCCTCCTCTGGCCGTGTAATATATGCCTCCTTCCTCTTTGGCTTCCACCATGATTGTAAATTTCTTGAGGCCTCCCCAGCCATGCTTCCTGTACAGCCTATGGAACTGAGTCAATTAAACCTCTTTTCTTTATAAATTACCTAGTCACAGGTAGTTCTTTATAGCACTATGAGAATGGACTAATATAGAAAATTGGTACTTAGAAGTGGGTCATTGCTATAAAGATACCTGAAAATGTGGAAGTGACTTTGGAACTGGATAACAGGCAGAGGTTGGAACAGTTTGGAGGGCTCAGAAGGAGAAAGGAAGATGAGGAAAAGTTTAGAACTTCCAGGAGACTTGTTAAATTGCTGTGACCAAAATGCTGACAGTGATATGGACAATCCAGGCTGATAGTGACATAGAAGTCCAGGCTAAGGTGGTCTCAGATGGTGATGAGGAACTTGTTGGGAACTAGAGCAAAGGTCACTTTTGTTATACATTAGCAAACAGGTTAGAGGCATCGTGCTCCTGCCCTAGAGATCTATGGGACTTTGAACTTGAGAGTAATGATTTAGAGTATCTGGTGGAATAAATTTATAAGGAGCAAAATGTTCAAGATGTGGCCTGGCTGTTTCTAGCAACCTATGCTTATACTGTGAGCAAAGAAATGACTTGGAACTGGAATTTACATTTAAAAGCAAGTTTGTCCAACCCATGGCCCATTGGTCACATGTGGCCCAACACAAATTTCTAAAATGTCTTAAACATTATGACATTTGTTTGCAAAAATTTTTTAGCTCATCAGCTATCATTAGTGTCAGTGTATTTTATGTGTAGCCCAAGACGATTCTTCTTTTTCCAATGTGGCCCAGAGAAGCCAAAATATTGGACACCTCTTTTTAAAAGGAAAGCAGACTGTAAAAGTTTGGAAAACTTGCAGCCCAGCCATGTGGTAGAAAATAAAAACCCACTTTCTGAGGGAGGAATTCAAGCTAGCTGTAGAAATTTGTGTAAGCAAAGAGAACTGAATGTTAATAGTCAAGACAATGAGGAAAGTGCCTCAAAAGCATTCTAGAGACCTCTGCAGCAGCTGCTCCATCACAGACCCAGAGATCTAGGAGAAAAGAATGGTTTTGTGGGCCAGGCCCAGGGCACTACTGCCCTGTGCAACCTTGGGACACTGCTCCCTGTGTCCCAGCCACTCTAGCTCCAGCCATGGCTAAAAGGGTCCCAGACATATGTCAGGCCACTGCTCCAGAGGATGCAAGCTGTAAGCCTCAGTGGCTTCCACGTGGTGTTATGCCTGCAGGTGCACAGAGGGCAATAGCTGAGGACTGGGGACCTCCACCCAGACTTCAGAGGATGTATGAAAATGCCTGGATGTCCAAGCAGAAGTCTGCTGCAGGGGTAGAGCCCTCATGGAGATCCTCTGGTAGGGCAATGCAGAGGGGAAATGTGTGGCTGGAACCCTACACAGGGTCCCCACTAGGGCACTGACTAGAGGAGCTGTGAGAAAAGGAGAAATTTTAAAGCTGGGTGTCCAGGGGAGACATCACATGTTGGCAGGTTCTGTGATGCCCCCTGAGCCGCAAAACCAGTAAGTTTTTATTAGCGATTTTCAAAGGGGAGGGAGTGTACGAATAGGGTGTGGGTCACAGAGATCACATGCTTCAAAGGCAATAAAATATCACAAGGCAGAAGGTCAGAGCAAGATCACAAGGTCAGGGCAAAACTAGAATTGCTAATGAAGATCCATGTCCCACTGGGCACACATTGTCACTGATAAACATCAGGAAACAGGGTTTGAGAGCAGACAACTGGTCTGACTAAAATTTACTAGGCAGGAATTTCCTAATCCTAATATACCTGGGGGCGCTGCAGGAGACTAGGGCATGTTTCATCCCTATCTACAACTGCATAAGGTAGACACTCATAGAGTGGCCATTTTAGAGGCCCTCCCTGGGAATGCATTCTTTTCCCAGGGATGTTAATTATTAATATTCCTTACTGGTGAAGAAATTCAGTGATATTTCTCTTACCAGTTTTTGGCAATAAGAGAAATATGGCTCTGTCCTGCCTGGCCCCCAGGCACTCAGACCTAATGGTTATCTCCCTTGTTCCCTGAACATCACTGTTATCCTGTTCTTTTTTCAAGGTGCCCAGATTTCATATTGTTCAAACACACAGGCTTTACGAACAATTTGTGCAGTTAATGCAATCATCACAGGGTCCTGAGGCGACATACATCTTCAGCTTATGAAGATGATGGGATTAAGAGATTAAAGTAAAGAAAGGCATAGGAAATTATAAGACTATTGACTGGGGAAGTGATAAATGTCCATGAAATCTTCACAATTTATGTTCAGAGATTGCAGTAAAAACAGGCATAAGAAATTATAAAAGTATTAATTTGGGGAAGGAACTAACAAATGTCCATGAAATCTTCAAAATTTATGTTCTTCTGTCATGGCTTCAGCAGGTCCCTCTGTTTGGGGTCCCTGACTTCCCACAACAGTGTACAGTGTACTTTTGAGTTAATGCTGAAATGAGTTAAGACTTGGGAAACTGTTGAGAAGGGATGATAGTATTTTGCAATGTGAGAATAACGTGAGATTTAGGAGGGGCCAGAGCTAAAATGATATGGTTTGGATTTGTGTCCCTGTCCAAATCCCATGGCAAATTGTAATCCCCAGTGTTGGTGGAGGGGACTGATGGGAGGTGATTGCCTCATGGGGACAGATTTCCCCCTTGCTGTTCTTGTGATAGTGAGTGAGTTCTCATGAGATCTGGTTGTTTAAAAGTGTGTAGTGCCTACCCCTTCGCTTTCTCTTCCCCCTTCTCTGGCTATATAAGATGTGCCTCCTTCCTCTTTGCCTTCTGTCACGATTGTAAGTTTTCTGAGGTATCCTCAATCATGCTTCTTGTACAGCCTGTGGAACTATGAGCCAGTTAAACCCCTTTTCTTTATAAATTACCCAGTTTCAGGTAGTTCTTTATAGCCATGTGACAATGAATTAATATGAAGATGAAAGTAAAATTTCCCCCCAAAAAAGATATGAGAACAATGAACAAATCAATACATAAATTTAACAGCTTAGATAAAATAAACTAATTCCTCAGTAAACACAAACCACCACAACTCACCCAAAATGAAATAGAAAATTTGAATAGCCCTATTAAGAATTATGTTAAGAATATAAAGTTCATAACTTTTTAAAACTCCCAAAAGGAAGTCTCTAGGCCCAGATAGTTTCAATACAAATTCTACCAAACATGTAAAGATAACTAACATAAATTCGATGCAATCTCTTCCAGAAAACAGAAGATAAGGAAACACTACCCAATTCATTTTATAAAGCTAATATTACCCTGATACCAAAATCAGACACAAACAGTACTGAAAAGAAAGGAAAACTACAAAAGAATATCTTTCATAAATATAGATGCAAAAATCCTTTTAAAAATATTAGCAAATAGTATTTAGTGATATATAAAAAGAATTGTACACCATGACCAAGTGGAATTAATTCCAGAGATGCAAGCCTGTTTCAATATTTGAAAAATGAGCCAATGCCACCTTAGGTAACTAGAAAAAAAAAGAGCACATTAGATTCAATGAGAAAAAAAACTAGTAAAAATTAGAGCAGAACTCAATGCAGTTAAAGATAGAAAAAATAGTAACACCAAAAGCTGATTATTTTAAAAGATCAATAAAATCAGTAAGCCTTGAGCTAGGCTAACTAAGAAAAAAAGAGAAAGAACACAAATTACCAATATCAGAAATGAAAGATGGGATATCACTACAGATTCCATGGACATTAAATATTGCCCACTCTCAGGTAGTTCTCTATGGCAATGTGAGAATGAACATTTCTCACATGTTCATTATGTGAGAAATATTATAGAATAAAGAATAAAGGAATATTATGAACCACTATATGCCCCAATATTTGGTAACCTAGATGAAATGAAACAATTCCTTGAATGACACAATCTTTCAAAACACAGACAAGAAAAAATAGGCAATGTAAATAGGTCTCTATCTATTTTAAAAATTGAATCAATAATTAATAACCCTCCAAAAGAAAAATCATCAGGCCCAGATAGGTTCACTGGTGAACTCTACCAAATATTTAAAGAAGAAATTATGTCAGTTCCCTGAAATATCTCTCAGATGACAGAAGCAGAGGGAATTCTTTCTAACTCATTCCGTGGGGCCAGCATCACCCTAACACCGAAACCAAAGTCATTACAAGAAAAGAAAACTAGCTGGGCGTGGTGGCTCACGCCTGTAATCCCAGCATTTTGGGAGGCCAAGGCAGGTGGATCACGAGGTCAGGAGTTCGAGACCAGCCTGGCCAATATGGTGAAACCCCGTCTCCACTAAAAAAAATACAAAAATTAGCCGGGTATGGTGGCACACCCCTGTAGTCCCAGCTACTGGGGAGGCTGAGGTAGGAGAATCGCTTGAACTCGGGAGGCAGAGGTTGCAGTGAGCCGAGATTGTGCTACTGCACTCCAGCTTGGGTGACAGAGTGAGACTTCATCTGAAAAAAAAAAAAGAAAGAAAGAAAAGAAAAGAAAACTACAGACCAATTTCTCTGATAAACAGAGACGCAAAACCCCTCAAGCAAACTGAACCCAACAATGTATAAGAAGACATTTGCTCTGCTCCCTGTGTCCCAGCCACTCCAGCTCCAGCTATGGCTAAAAGGGACCCAGACACATTTCAGGCAGGACACATAATACAACACAATCAAGTGGGATTTATCCCAGGTATTCAAGGCTAGTTCAACATTCAAAAATTGATTAATGTAATCCATGACACTGACAGGCTAAAGAAAAAAATTACATGATCATACCTATAGATGGAGGACAAACACTTGACAAAATCCAACACCCATTTATGATAAAATATCTCAGTAAAATAGGAATAGAGATAAAACTCTTCAATTTAATACAGAATATCTCTTCATACTTATGAGAATCTAGAAGCTTTCCCACTAAGATCAAAAGTAAGGCAAAGATGTCCTCTTTCACCACTCCTTTTTGACACCATATTGAAAGTTCTAGGTAGTACAATAAAACAAGAAAAGGAAATATAAGTATACTAATTGCAAAGGAAGAAATAATACTTTGTTCACAGATGACGTGAATGCTATGTAGATTTAAAAAAAAAAAAAAAAAACACTCCTGAAACAATTGTAGCAAGTGATTGTACCCAGCCTTGAAGGACACAAGGTTAATAAAGTGAGTTGTTTTACTATATACCAGCAATGAACAAGAAGTATTTAAAATTAAAAACTTAATACCATTTACATTAGCATTCTCCAAAAATTAAATACTTAGATACATCGAACAAAATATGTACAAGATCTATATGAGGGAAAATACAAAATTCTGATGAAGGAAATAAAAGAAGCTATAAATATATGAAGAGATATTCCATGCTAATGGATAGGAAGATTCAATGTTATTCAAATGTTAGTTCTTTCCAACTTAATCTATAGACTTAATGCAATCCCAACCAAAATCTTAGCAATTTACTTTGTGGATATTCACAAAATGATTCTAAAATTTATATGGAGAGTCAAAACACACAGACTAGCCAATACAGAATGCAAGGAGAAGTGGAGAACTGACACTATCGGACTTCAAGATTTACATTAAAGGTATAATCATCAAGACCATGTGATATTAGTGAAAGAATAGATAAATAGATAATGAAACAGAATAGAGAGCCCATAAATAGACCAACATAAATATAATCAACTTATCTTTGACAAAGTGGGAAAGGCAATGTAATGAAGAAAAGACAGGCTTTTCAACAAATGGTGCTGAACAAATGAACATTCACAGGCAAAAATAATCCAGACACCCTTTGGGAAAACTAACACAATAAATCTTATATTCTTCAAGAAAATTAATGCAAACTGGATGACAGAGTTAAATGTACAATATAAAACTCTAAAATTCTTAGAGATAATACAGGAGAAAAATCTAGATAACCTTGTTTTTTTCAATGACTGTTTAGATACAACATCAAAGGAATTACCCATGAAAGAAATAATTGATAAGCTGGATTTTATAAAACTTAAAAATGTCTGCTCTGTGAAACACACTATTTAGGGAATAAAAAGACAAGTCATATACTGACAGAAAATATTTGCAAAAGACATCTGATAAATCAACTGCTGTCAAAATTTACAAAGAACTCTTAATACTCAACAATAAGGAAATTAGCAACCTGATTAAAAACTAGAACAAAGACCTTAACAGGAACCTCACTGAAGAAGATATACATATGACAAGCATATGAAATGATATCCCATATCATATGCATTTCCATGGTGAAGAAAATGCAAATTAAAACAAAAATGAGATACCACCACACATCTATTGAAATGGTCAAAATCCAGAACACTGACAATACCAAATGCTGGCAAAGATATGGAGCAATAGGAACTCACCTTCATTGCTGGTGAGGATGCAAAATAGTGCAGCCACTTTGGAAGACAATTTGGCTGCTTCTTACAAGACTAAACATACTCGTACCATATAATCCAGCAGTAACACTTCTTGATATTTACCTAAATGAGTTGAAAACTCTTGTCCACAAAGAAACCTGCCCAAGGTTGTTTATAGCAACGTTATCAATAACTGCCAAAACTTAAAAGCAACGAAGATGTCTTTCAGTAGGTGAATGAATACACAAACTGTACATCCAGATAATAAAATATTATTCAGCACTAAAAAGAAATGAGCTTTCAAGCCATAAAAAAACTTCAGGGGGCTGGGTGCAGTGGCTCACACCTGTAATCCCAGCACTTTGGGAGGCTGAGGTGGGCAGATTATGAGGTCAGGAGATTGAGACCATTCTGGCCAACATGGTGAAACCTCGTCTCTACTAAAAATACAAAAATTAGCTGGGCATTGTGGCACGTGCCTATAATCCTGGCTACTCGGGAGGCTGACGCAGGACAGTTGCTTGAACCAGGGAGTCAGAGGTTGCAGTGAGCTGAGATCATGCCACTGCACTCCAGCCTACTGACAGAGTGAGACATATTACTAAGTGAAAAAGGCCAATCTGAAAAGGCTACATATTGTATGCTTTACAACTATATGACATTCTATAAAATGCAAAACTAAAAAGATCAGTGGTTTCCAGGGGTAGGAGAGTGGAGAAATGAATAGGTGGAGCACAGAAAATTCTCAGGGCAGTGAAAATCCTCTATATGAGAATATAATGGTGGATATATGTCATTATAAATTGGTCCAAACCTATAGAATGTACAACACCAAGAGTGAACTCTAATGTAAACAATAAACTTTAGGTGATAATGATGTGTCAACATATATTCATCAATTATAACAAATGTACTACTCCGGTGGGGGATGTTGAAAATGGGAGAAGCTATGTATATATGGGAGCAGGGAGATTATGAGATATCTCTTTACTTTCCTCTCAGTTTTGGTATAAACCTAATACTGCTCTTAAAAAATAAACACTTTTTAAAAAATTAATCAATATAGTCCATCATATTAATAGGCTAAAGAAGAAAAGTCACATGACCATATCAACTGATGCAGGAAAAGCACTTGACAAAATTCAATACCCATTCAAAATCAAAAAAAGCTCTCAGAAAACTTCCGTGACTTGATAGAAAGCATCTACAAAAACAAAACAAAACAGATAGTTAATAGTATACCCAATGATAAAAGTCTGAATGCCTTCTCCCTAAGACTGGAGAAAAGGCAAGAGATGTTGCTCTCCCCATTCTTATTCAATATAGTGCTCAAAATTCTAGCCAAAGTAATAAAGCAAGAAAAGAAAGTTGAAAGGCATATGAAGAGAAAGGAAGAAATAAAACTGCCCCATTGGCAAATGACATTATTGTATACATAGGAAATCCCAAAGAATCTTCTAAAAAAACCATCTTAGGGTTAATAAGACAGTTTAGCAAATTCACAGTATATACAAAGTAAACATACAAAAATTAATTATGTGTTTACATACTAGCAATAAGCACATGAATACTAAAATTAAAAATATAAGGACTTAGAAAATGAGATATTTAGAAGTCAATCTAACAAAACACATATAGAGCTAGGATGTTGAAAACTACACAACACTGATGGAAAAAATCAAAGAAGATCTAAATAAATCAAGACACATACCATGTTCATGGATCACAAGACTTGACATAGCAAAGATGTCAATTCTTCCCAAACTAATATATAGATGTAATACAATTCCTGTTAAAATCCCAGCAAGATTTTGTAGACAAGATTATTGTAAAATTTATATGGAAGGACAGAGAAACTAAAATTACTAAAACAATTTTGAAAAAGTAGACTAAAATGGGAGGAATCAGTCTACCTGATTTCATGACTAATTATATAGCTACAGTTATGAAGACTGTGTGCTATTGATGGAACAAAACCTAAAACTCAGATATAGACTCGCAAAAATACATCCAGCTAATTTTTTACAAAAGTGCAAAAGCAACTTAATGAAACAAAAACAGCCTTTCAACAAATGGTGCTGGAACAATCAGACATCCATAGGCAAACAACAAAGCAAGAAAGGAAGGAAGAGAGAAAAGGAGGGAGGAGGGGAGGGAGGAGAACCTCTAAGTCTCATACCTCATACAAAAATTAACTCAAAATGGATTATGGACTTAAATGTAAAATATAAATATGAGGTGGTGGTACCATGAGAGAAATGGGTATAGCTATAAAAGGATAACATGAGGGATTCTTGTGATGGAAAAGTGTGTCATCTTGACCACATCAGTGTTAAAATCCTGGCTGTGATACTGTGCAGTAATTTTGCAAGATGTTGCCATCAGAGGAAACTGGGTAGAGGGTACATACTAATACCTCTCTGAATTAGTTCTTACAAATGTTATGAATCTACAACTATTCCAAAATAAAAAGTTTAACATAAAAATACTAAGAAATATCTCTCTCAAAAGTTTAACCCATATTTGAGTTTAAAACAAGAAAGGAAATCTCAATTCACCCAAAGAGAAAGGGAAACTTAAGGCTGGAGAGTGGATGGAAGTTAAAGCTGGATGGCCCTTGAGAGATCCATGACCAGCTATTCAGATAAAGAATTAGAATTTGATTTCCCAGCAGGGGCTGGAATTAGAGTTTTTGATAGAGTCAAAAACTGTATTCACTTTAGTAAAGCCTGAGCTAAGAAATGCTATGAACAGGAATTACATAATGTGCTATAAACAGAAATTAAAATTATAAGTTTAATGACCCAGGTACACAGTCCAGAGGATAAGTGCTTAGCAGAATTAGAACGCCCTTTGAAAAATCAGAACCCCAATCCTGTCTTCTGCACGAGGGTGGATATCTTGGACTATCCTTCCAGTGCAGAAATCTAAACTAAAATACTAACAACAAATTCACTTGGAACCAATTTGGTAGTGCTCCTGGCAACAGCAAAACCAAACCCACCCCCACTGCGATACTCATTCCTGAGGATAAATTCAGAATCTAACTGATTAAAGAACACAGTTCCTCCATCAAAAAGCTGAGAATGGAAGAAATTAACTAAACTGTTAAAACAAACAAATTCCACAATGCCAAAGTTGTGAAAATGTTGATGGGAGAAGGGTAGTGAAAACGGTGGAGATGAGAGAGGACAGCTGCTGAGCCGAGACACGGGCTGACTCAGTCTGGGAGCAGCCTCAAAGAGGACAAGGGCTGGAACCATGCTAGAGTATATTAAATGCAGGAAGAAGGTTGTCCCACAGCTTCCCATAGGTAGCTTTTCTAGGGTCCTCAGTTTGAAATCATCTGAGTCTGCTCCAGAGGAGACTAAATGAGTCTCAAATCACAGACAACTCCAAGAGCCTCCAACATCTCATTCAGATGACCACATCTGAAACAAACAAAGCCAGGCTTGCACCCCAGGAATGACAGGCAGACGTCCTGGTCCACATGAATGTGTTTCTTCCTAAGAAGGACTTCCCAAATGCTACTTCTGCCCCTAAAAGTGGAGAAGGGCTTAGTGCCAGCAGATCCTAGGCCTGCCATCCTGTGAATTTGAATGTAGGGCCATACCTGGGTGAAAGAGAGAACAACTACACTGGATGTCAGACCCTAGACACGTGATCAGAAGTCAGGTACAAGTCCAACCACTATCCTTTGGACTACGACCACTCTAGGTGGACACTGGCAAATTGTGGCACACAAGCAAATGAACTTGAATCCAGCCAAGTAGTGCACACACAGAAAGGAAAGAAACTCATTTGGCTTTGGGTGCCTTTTTTTTTTTATAACCATCCATTAAACATCCAATTTTGTGTAAAAGGTTCCAAAATAATCCTCCCAGTAGAATTTCTTCTGGCAAAATCATTCACTGATCTGGATGTGAAAATTTCCCATCATCTTAACTAACACTTTGTGCTTCTGAACGTCGTATGAATCTGAAATCTGAATCTGAAAATGCCTACATGGTAGTACTCCTGCTCCTTGGGGACATTTGAAATTGAAAGGGTCCTAGTATTCTATTCCCAAGCCTAGGATAATGCTAAACAATATGCAATTTCCCTTAGAAAGCACAAGATGAAAATAGGGAGCAATTTACAGCAGTGGTTGCACCCCTGGTTGCTCATTAGAATCACCTGGGGAGATCTGGTACTTTAGAGTAACACTGGCCAATACCACCCATTAACACCCACTTATGCTAATCCAGTGGTTGGCAACATTGACTGCAATTTAGAATCTCCTGCCAGGGAGCTTTAAAAAATGCTGATGCTGGGACTCTACTCTCAGACCAATTAAATCAAAACATCTAGGCTGTGGGGTTGGTGCATGGGTCCATTTTAAAGCTAGCCAGCTAGTCTTCATGTTGAGCCAGGGTTAACAACGACTACTCTAGTCCAGGGCTCCTCCAACTTCAGCGGGCATCAGAATCTCCTGGATAGCTAATTAAAACAAAGGTTTCAGACAAGCAAATCTACAGAGACCAAATGTAGATCAGTGGTTCCCTAGGAGTGGAGGAATGGGGGAATGGGTAAGTGACTGCTAAGGGATATAGGTTTCTTTGTGGGCTAATGAAAATATTCTAAAATTCATGGTGATGGCTGCACAACTCTGAACACATTTAAAGCCATTTAGCTGTAAACTTTAAGTGGGTTAACCGTATATATGTGAATTATATCTCAGTAAAGCAGCTAAACACACACAGAGACATTTTTGCCCATTCCCCCGAGATTCTGACACACTAGGTCTGAAGTGCAGCCCATGGGTTTGTCTTTGTAATGAGCTCCCCATTCAATGTGATGTTGATTCTGCAGGTCCACAGACCATACTGCTCCATCCCATGGAAAGATGCTCATGTTTAATGAGCAGGATAATGTTTCATCATCCAGAACTTTCTCCAGTTCTGGCCATAGAGGACCAGGTGCCATAATGCTTCCAGGGTTGTCTCACAGGAATGAGAGCCAGGATTGCAAAGGCGAGATGTGATGTGAGTCCAGAGCAAGCCTAGATGATGACAGCCGTGGAGCTGGGAAATGTTCTGCAGCTCAATGAAGCCCCTGATGAGGCCCAGAGAGAAGAGGAAAAGAAAAATAGAAAACCATTCACCATTCTTGATTTTCTGCTATGATCTAATTAGGAGGAAACGATAAACACCTAATATGAAAATCCAAATTTACAGAAAGAGGCAAAGCAAGACTTTCCATTTATTGTACAAAGCAATTCATCCCCAGAGGTCCTCTGGAAAACTTAAACTGCTGGATAATGTTTTACTGAATTTTCTCACAGTATTCTAGCAAAGCCAAACTCCAGAGATACAAGATAAACAGAGCCCTAAATTACAAAGTACAGAAATTCTTAGCAAAATGGCAGTAACAATGGGAGGATTTGGAACAAGTGCCTTTTGTAGGAATGCCAATGCCACTAGAAGTTTTGCTTAGCAAACCAGCCCTGGCACAGGGACCAAGGCCAAAAACACGGACTCCTCCATAACCACTTTCGAGACTCTGGGATTCCTTCCCCTGCAGTCACTCACTCCCTAAACACACACCTCAAAAAATCTCAACAGAATTCCTGAGCATTGTTTGCCCTGCAGTTGCTGGTGGGGCCATCACTGTTGCTGCATTTTGAGATATAGCGTATAATGATAGAAAGACTTGAACCCAAAGTAACTTGCACAGTGAATTTATTCAGTATCTCCAAACTGTCTCATCTGCTAAAACGAGGCAAAGTGGACAATGTACATAAACCACATAGTAAACCACATATCCCAGTGCCTGGCATATTCGAATAATAAAATACAATAACAGCAGCCAATATTCATTGAGTGTTTATTATTTATTAAACACTCTTCACAATTAAGTGTCAGTAAACTTTTTCTGAAAGACCAGACAGCAAATATTGTGCGGTTCTTCAGCCATACAGTAACTACACCAACTACTCAGCTCTGTTGTTGCAGTTTGAAAACAGCCATAGACAATCTGTAAACACACAGCATATCTGCCTTTCAATAAAACTTTATTTATAAAAACAAGAGGCAGGCCAGATTTGGCCTATGGTTCATAGTTTGCCAAACTTTGCTCCATGAGACAGGTACTACTATTATCTCCATTTTATAGATGAGAAAACAGAGGCACAAAGGGATCAACTGACTGCCCGAGGTTCCCTCATGAAGTCTGATTACGAAGCACACAGAGTCAACTATTATATCACAGCAGCTTCTATCACCATCATTATTCATAAATTCTCAGTCCAAATCTAGGTTCTGCTCATTCAAAATACGCTGTCCAGCCAGTCAGTTGCCTCAGAGCTGCCTCAGAGGCTGAAAACCAAACTCAAATCCTCCCTCTTCTTCCCCCTCCAACCCCAAACTGATGTTGCTGGTTGGAGTTCTGTCTGCCTCCTCTGAACCCTCAGTGCCCTTACTCTTTGTATCTCTCAAGTCGATCTCTTTTATTTATTAAATACTTTCTCGCCAACCACTTTGGAGGCCAGGATCATCACATCACAGGGGTTCAACTCCCATATGTCAGTGCATCTGTGAACCTGTTGGTAGTAGGTCTACCAGCTGAGACTCTAGGGGCCAGGGCAGAGGAAGGAGATGCCAGAGCCCACACTCACCAGTCCATGGCAGGCACTGAGGGCTGCCGTCCCAACTCTGGTGCCCTGCTGTAGAACCGTGCCACTGAGATGGCAGAGGGGGGCAGAGGAAGCCATCATCTTAACATGGGAGAGGTTCCCATATCTCTTCTCCATGATGTAGCTATTGGAAAGAAATCCTTGATTGACCGTCAAGTTAAAAAACAGGTCCTTCTCCTCGTGAGAAATTCTGTAGTACACCCAGTCCTCTGAGCCATCCAAATCTCTCTTCCTCCTGCTGCTCGTGATGGGATAGTGCAAGCCATATGACAAAAAATGCCCACTGGCATCTACTCGGACTGGACCCACCACGTGGTATTCTGGCAGGCCCTTGATAAAATGCTCTGAAAGAAAAGGAGAAATGGAAGAACAGTGAGGGAGATTGGTAGTAAAGCAAAGCCACTTTCGTTTGGAACTTGAATGCTAGCTTTTTTTTTTTTTGGAAATGGAGTTTTGCTCTTGTTTCCCAGGCTGGAGTGCAATGGCACGATCCGGGCTCACCGCAACCTCCTCCTCACTGGGTTCAAGCAATTCTCCTGCCTCAGCCTCCTGAGTATCTGGGATTACAGGCATGTGCCACAACACCTGGCTAATTTTGTTTTTTTTTTTTTTTTTTTAGTAGAGACAGGATTTCTCCATGTTGCTCAGGTTGGTCTTGAACTCCCGACCTCAGGTGATCCGCCTGCCCTGCCCTTCCAAAGTGCTAGAATTACAGGTGTGAGCTACCATGCCCAGCCACTAGCTTTTTAATTACAAAATCCCACTGTTGACTTGAAGTTTAGAGATCCTTTCCATCACACAAATACTGTTAACATTAAACTCCCAGAACAACTCAAATTTACCTAGTGCTTCCTCCTCAGTGACATGATATCAGGTGTTTTACCAGAGACACATTAAGATGGGAATTAATCCGTGAGGGGTACTGTTAGAAAAGGGGCAAGATCTGAATGAGGAACAGGAATCTTTCAAGTCTAGAGTTCAGAAAGACAAATCACAGAGCTTCACTGTGGATTATAAGGTGCTTCAACACATCAAGAACTTCCTGATAAAGTCAGATTAGAGGGAAAAAAAACACAAAATCATGGAGAACTCATCATATGCACGCTGACAAACCTCATACCAATTACAGCATAAGAGTGTTCCATAATGCAGCAAAGAGTGCATAAAAGAAGCTGGGTTTTAAAAAAGTGTTTACCAAATTAATATGATAAGGAGATATGTCAGGATCTGAGGCATTGGCTCAAAACATAAAAACTGCCACTTTAAAAATGCAAGACTGGAACCCTTGATCCTTCCCCACACAAGAACACATACACATTTTGACCTACTCAAATTTGCCTCCCTACCACTACCTCCTTATTTTGATGTTTGAGAATAACAAAGGATCTACCTAGGAGGGAATTTATCATCACTCTGGATTACACTTCTTCTTTTTTTGTTGTTTTGTTTTGTTTTGTTTTGTATTGTTTTTTGAGACAGATTTTTGCACTTGTTGCCCAGGCTGGAGTGCAATGGCATGATCTCGACTCACCGCAACCTCCGCCTTCCAGGTTCAGGTGATTCTCCTACCTCAGCCTCCTAAGTAGCTGGGATTACAGGTGTGCACCACCATGCCCGGCTAATTTTGTATTTTTCGTAGAGATGGGGTTTCTCCATGTTGGTCAGGCTGGTCTTGAACTCCTGACCTCAGGTGATCCACCCACCTTGGCCTCCCAAAACTATTAACCATTTAGTAAGATAAACTAATATTTTGAAACAAACAAACAAAAAACCTTCTACTTATCACCTCTCAGTTGTAGTTTTGCACTTTGGATCTTGCTTTTACTTTGCTCGTGTAACTTCCCCAACTAGAATGTCTTTTGCATTCTATCAAAATCCTGTTTAAGCATTCAAATCTCAACTCAAATCCTTCCTCTTTATTCTCCTAGTGTCCCTGGCTAAACTTCTCTCTCCTTTCCCTGAACCCTCATGCCCTTACTTTCTGTACCTCCTAGAATGGCTTTATTTTATATTGCCTTTTATTATATGATTTATCCCCAAATCTGCCAGAATCTTGCACATCACAGGTGCTCAGTTCTTATATGTTGATGTATCAGTAAACACTATTGCAGCTGGTTAATTAAAATAACTGGGCTTGATGGGCTACAATTATAAAAGAGTTTTTTTGTTTGTTTGTTTGGTTTTTTTTTTGTTTTTTTTTTTTTTGTTTTTTTTTTTTCCAGGCAACTACCTCCAAACCCTTTGTGGAATCATTCTTCTCTGCCTTGGATGAAATATGGGGCAGAATACAGAGTTTTCACTCTCAGGTACTAACAAATGGTCTCCATTTTTAGGTGTAAAAAGCCCGGACCCATTACTTCCTACTGCAGCAGCTAGGCACAGCAGACCACATGGCAACATGGGCAAATCTTCACAGCAACACTCCACGAAAAACAAGAAATAAAATAAGCTAATGCAGAGCTACTTACATTCATGGAAAATACACACACACTAAAACAATAATACAAAGTTTTCCAGAACACACTGGAACAAGAAATACATATGGAACCCATTAAAATGGTTTTCCATGGGGAAGAATTGGAGTAGGGAGTGGGAACAAAAATGCATAAATATATATAACAAAAAAAGCTTTTTCGCAAATTCATGATACTAGTGTGCCATGAACTGAGGTGTATAACTGACTCAGTCCTCTCTCCTGTCCACTCACTCCCTAAGAAATGTCTGCTCCAATCTGTATTGGAGGACCTTCCAGGTCTAGACCTACCAAAGAGAGAAACTGTGGGTGGGTGAGGCGGATGCAGTCAGCTTCCATAGTATTTCCCTCTGGCTGCTCTTCTCCTCTGCTACTCACAGTGATGCCTCTGGCTCCTCCAGGGCTCGAACAGTGAAGGGAGTTGGGTCAGAAAATATCTTATTCAGCTGGGTATAGTAACGGTGTCATCTAGCAATGGTGCCCTGTATGTAGTCAGTGTCCACATGCTGACTGGCGCCTTCTATTAAGAGAAGCTCTGTGTCCACTGGGAAACCTCTGCTCCCTTCAGGTCCCTCAATGTGGACAATTCCTCCTCCAGCTGGCTGCCCACTGCCTTCCTATCTTCTACCCCTTTACTGAAACCACGTCACCCCTGCAGGGCATCCTCTTTGGCATCTTTTCAAGATGATCCACATCTTGTTGCCTTCCATGAGGTCTAAATCTGGCTCAAAAGAAGCAACCATGATCGCTGACATCCCCTTCACTCCCATCCCACGTCATGAAAATCAGGCCACTCCTGGCCGTGCTTTTGGTCAGCTCTGTCACCAAATGTCATTCCAGGCAGTCTTTTGCCTATCAGTATTTTAAGGCTAAAATGCTAGTGCCCATGCTCCCCAAGCCCATAGCAAACCCTCAAGATCTCTAGCTGTCCCTTCACTTGCCTTGAGTTGGGGCACAGTAGGGGGGATGAATGCCCTGGCACTCTCATCTGTCCTGAAGGAATTCTCTCTCTGAAATCTCTCCACTGGCCTTTAAGCCTCTCCTCACGTGCATACTAGGAGAGTGAAGGAATCAGAATCACACCATCACCCTGCAAGTCCCACACATATGGTCTGAAATTTCTCTTTAAGTGTATGTGGAAAATTAATCTTTTCTTTCTTCTCAGACTTAAGGTCTTGGCAGAAACTGAGACAAAAGAAAGAGTCCCATTTGAATACCCTGTTATACATGCAAGTTTCTGCATCTCCATCAAAACAGAAAAATAAGCATCTTTTCTAGCAGATTATTTTTTCCAAAAGCCAGACTGACTGATTTAAAGGGAGCACGAACGAAAAGCAATCACATTTTAAAACATGAATTCTGAATAAAATGTTATACTCTTCCAAGTCAAATGAGCTATAACCTATTGAAAAACTCTGAAAAGAGTTGAAAATATCTTATTTGTTATACTTAGAAAACAACTATAATAAAATTTAGGTTGTCATGAAACAGAAACCAACAAGTGTGATTCTAAATCAATCTTACATTATTAAAAAGTTACTCTAAATTTTTGTGTGAGATGATATATCAAAATAATTGTGGTAATTTTTCAGAAATATGGAAACAATAGGATATAATAAAGGGGCAATAAATGTATAATTGCATCTCTACTATAATTGCAATTGTGAGATATATTAATATATATGCATATGAACAAAGCCTTTGAAATAATGGGTAAGAGTACATATTTTTATGATGATGAGATTTGGGGTGTGGTTTTTCCTTTTAAAATTTGTAGTTCCTCCGGGAGGCCGAGTTTACGGTGAGCCGAGATCGTGCCACTGCACTCCAGCCTGGGCAACAGAGTAAGACTCCGTCTCAAAATAAAAAATAAAAAATAATAAAAAAAAATTGTAGTTCCTGTGTTGCTTTTCCCAATTAAAAATAAATAGGTAAGAAGGATTGAATGGGAGAGTGCTGTGCTGGCTTATGACAGAACTATAGAGAATATCCAGTAGACAAGATAAGTAAGGCATGCCAGTGCCCCATGATACAAGGCAGTCTGACAATGATCACTCCCGATGCCCTGCTCACTGTGCCCATTACAGCTGGCTGCATCCTGAGGGAAGAATTCACCTTGGAAGAGGCATCCCTTGACTGAGACTGCTGGAGATGGGGAGGGGGCAGCTAGAGTAGAGCTCGAGGTCTTCTCAGGCAATAGGAAAGCAAAATGAGTTTGGAGTGACAGATCAACAGGAGTGTTAGCAGGAGGCAAGGATGTGAGAAAAAGCAGGCCAGGGTGGAGGCAGCCTTAAATGGCAGGCTTGGTATTCTGCCATCCAGGCCATCCAGCAGAGAAGCAATAGTCCCAGATCTGAGTTAGAAGAACTGCAACGGGAAGAGTGTGGCGGAAGCAAACTTAATCTAGGAGTTATCTCAATTTATCCAGAAAATAACAATTTTTCTCATAAATTTTCTGACTTAAAATATCCCTTATAGAAACTGCCTCTGAAGATACATCTCACAGATTTAAACATGATTTTTGAAAGTATAAAGTGAAAGACTAAAGTTTGCCTATGCCCTAGCACCTATTGCCCAATAAATAAAAGAGCAAACAAATTTATAAATTTTGACCCAGTTGCTTTTGATCTAATGAATTTTTAAGAGAGCCAATTTAAGTTGGCTGTAGAATAATATGATAATAATTATAGTAAGTGTTTCATGAGCACTTGCTATGAGCCAGCTACCATAAGTCTTTCCTCCTTCAATACTCACAACAACCCTGTGATAGAGATTCAGTTGTTATCCCCATTTCATAGATAAGGAAACCGAATGTAGGAAGTCACTATGCCACGTTATATAACATTCCTTGGATTGAAACGCTGTGCCTCCTATTTCAAAACCATGCTCTAGCCACCACACTTCATTAGTAAATAAAGAAAAGCAGCTGCTCTTGGCAAAGAGTATAGCAGGGTTAGAGGTGATAACACTGCTCCCAGGGACGGTGATCTGACCAGACAAGAAGTGCTTCACCTCTTTACACCTCAATTTGCTTAGCAATCAATGGACTTAGTAATTGCCTCTTTGTTGGGCAAAGTGATGAGGGATAAGATCGGTTTTCCCTCCTGATCTAATTGCATAGGAGGCAGCTAAGCCATGGCAGCCCATAGGTGTGGATGGAAATCGGGGGTCACTTACAAAGTGTGGTTTGTGTTGGTGACCCAAGCTCAGCTACCTCAACTATACAATGGGCATAATAATAATAGCATCTACCTCCTAGGCTGGGAGTGAGGCTCCAATGTATTAATATATTTAATAGATTTAAAATTGTGCTTGACAAATAACATTCATTAGCTAAACATTAGCATTGTTGGTTTTAAAGGTAGGAACTTGGCTACCCGGGATCACTGTGGACATAAACATGTGTAACCTCCAAGCAGAGACAGGAGAGAAGCCCACACTCACCATAGCCTCCTCTCCGCAAGCTAAGATTAGTTTGGCAGATTTGTTAGCTATAATCTTGGCCAATGAAAGCAGAACTCAGAGGAGATATGACAGCGATGGAGAAATAGGTGTCAAGAAATAATAATAGCTCCTAATTTTTATCATTTCTATGGTCAAGTACTACATTAAGAGTATGCCGGCTTGGTCTTATCTAATCCTCACAGTTCTCTGAGTAAGCATTATTAACTGTATCCCTCATCTGGGACTATACTTCCATCTCCGTAAAGTGACAACAGTGAGGGATGAGGATTTTTTCCTGGGCAATCGGATCCCAGAGCACACACTCCTAAGCTCTGCCCTCACTGTGTGCATCTCCAGGGTCTGTCACCTAGCACAGATGTCAAGGCGGGTTGTCAATAAGGTGTGGGGTTGGGAGGGCCAGAGGCTGAGATACATGAAAATTACATCACAGTTTATACAAGGGTTTGTAGAAATATTATAAGCTCCAAATACTTTGATTTGCCTTGTTTAAAATTATATTTAAGGCCTCAGTCCACAAGTTTCAATGGTACTTCATGAGAAATTCAAGTAAAGGCTACTGGCACAAGCACTTTTGAAAACACAAAACAAGGCATCTTTTTCCCTCAGCTTAGAAAGGACAGAGGTAAGAGAATATTTACCTACTAGTTGTATACAGTTTAGGCTCAGTCTATAGTAGTTATTCTTTTTTTTTTTTTGAGACAGAGTCCTGCTCTGTTGCCCAGGCTGGCATGATCTTGGCGGCCCACTGCAACCTCTGCCTCCAGGGTTAAAGAGATTTTCCTGCCTCAGCCTCCTCAGTAGTTGGGACTACAGGCATGCACCACCACGCCCGGCTGATTTTTGTATTTTTAGTAGAGATGGGGTTTCACTGTGTTGGCCACGCTGGTCTCGAATTCCTGACCTCAGGTTATCCACGCACCTCGGCCTCCCAAAGTGCTGGGATTACAGGCATGAGCCACCACGCCGGCCTATTCTTTTTTCTTTTTAATGGAACGCTTCACAGATTTGCATGTCATCCTTGAGCAGGGGCCACGCTAATCTTCTCTGTATCGGTCCAATATTAGTATATGTGCTTCCAAAGCGAGCATTATCTGTACTTATTCTTTATATTTATTTCTATCTTAGAGACAATTGAATTTCTCAGATCCCTTTCTAAAAAACAAGATTATGAAATTCCTGTAATAGAGGTTTATTTTCATAATTATCTTCCATGTAAGATAACTGTAACCTTGCAACGCTATTTTTATTATAGAAATTTACACATGTTGGAATGTTGTGAAGAACTGTGTTGGGCTCCTCAAAATTGTAAAGTATGCCACAGAAGGTTGGATTTGCTCATAAACTTTATGATAACTAATGTGCTAACTGTATAGATTATTATAATCAACACAAAATATCAAATCTGTGAACTCTCTTTTTACATTAAGAAAATAGCTGAAATCCTTTCCTCCTTGCAGAATTTTTTTAATAGAATACATAAATAATTAAAACTCTTATCTGAAAACACTGCAACATTCCCTCTGTTTCTTGCACAAGCCTGGAGTTCATCTCTAATATGGAATAAAGTGACTGTCCTGTTGATTTCACAGAGATGTCAGGAGCAAAAGAGGTCATGGAACAGACTGGCGCTTTGTAAACAGCATAGGGGTAAACAAACCTAAGGGGATATGATTGGCTGTAGAAGACACGCAGCATGTTGTGTGCAAGATTAATATTTCCCGTTGTTCTGATACTTGGTTGTGAACCAAGAAATCCTGTGTAAGTCACAGCACATTCCTATATCACAACTGAGCAATGTGGAAAGAATACTGGGCAGTTAGTCAAATAGCCTGTTTCTATGTTTCTAGTCCCAGAAAGGACTGGATTTATCTCCATACTCCTTCCAACGACTAAAATCCTGACTTAGCCCAACTCTTAGAACTAGAAGGAACCTAAAAGGTAATGTAGTGTCTGAATCTGTCTCCAAATGTGGAACCCTGTGCAATTCCCTTTACCCTCCTCGTGAAGGGGCATTTATTAGGTGCTCAATCATATATGTTGACTAACTGATGCCCTAGACCTCCCATTCCTTATCCATAAAAGTAAAAATGGGGGCGAGGCATGATGGCTCATTCCTGTAATCGCAGCATTTGGGGAGGCTGAAGTGGGAGAATTGCTTAAGGCCAGGAGTTCAAGATCAGTCTGGACAACATAGCTAGACCTCATCTCTATTAAAAAAAAAATTAAATATTTCAAAAATAAGAATGGGTGAGATGATCCTGAAGTAATTTGCAAGTTTAAACGTTCAGGATTTGAATGCATTCAAAAATGCTATCAAAGTGGAAATGGAAGTCTAAGGAGATTGGTTATTTGTGAGGCTGTAGGTAGGTCATTTGGAGGGAAAAACCCAGGCCATCCTAATCCCAGATAGCCTTAGAATTTCATTCTCTACTGGTTTGCCCTCATCCATCCCTTCCTCCCTCTTTGTGACTTTCCTTCTTAATTCTAAATGTAAGTCTGCTTAGAAATTTCTCCTTTGCACCAAATGTGGATTATTTGTAAATCCACTAGGGAATTGATTGTGGTTGGTGAAATGCTTTTAAAAACTGAAATTATTGGCTGGGTACAGTAGTTCACACCTGTAATCCCAGCACTTTAAGAGGCCAAGGTGGGCAGATCACCTGAGGTCAGGAGTTGGAGACAGCCTGGCCAACATGGTGAAACCTCGTCTGTACTAAAAATACAAAAATTAGCCGGGCATGGTGGCACACGTCTGTAATCCCAGGTACTTGGTTGGCTGAGGCAGGAGAATCACTTGAACCCGGGAGGCAGAGGTTGCAGTGAGCTGAGATTGCACCACCGCACTCCAGCCTGAGAGACAGAGCAAGACTCAGCCTCGAAAAACAAAAACCTCTAATTATTTTTAAACCTAAATAAATATATATATCACCAATAAGCTTGGAGCACTTTATAGGTTTTTTGAACAGTGGATACTCTCAGCACATAGCTCTAGATAGAGGTGACTAGGGAAAATAATCATATCTCACTTTCCAGAGAGCAAAAACCATGGCCCCGTGGTGTCTGCTTCACACCAAGCTGAATTCCCTTACAAAGAAGATGTGGAGCAGAGCTGAAAACCAACCCAGGAGAATGTGTGTCTTTGAACGAAATCATCTCCAAATGCCCTGGGAAGTGCTTGCAGGCTTTGTTTGTGCTGCCCCAGAAGGGAGACTTTTCACAAAGGAACTGTTTTTCAAAGAACAACAAGCCCTGCTATTTTAAACTTGGGGGTGGGAGATTGTATCTGGACCGTTTACACAAGTGAGTGCTGGCTGACTGACATCTAACCCCAGTGTTTGCTGGCTCCAGCTTTCCAAGTAAAGCAAAGAGAGGGACTTGCTTCTGATACGTCTTGAAGCCACAGCAGATGAGTTGTCCAGCAATATTTGAATTTTACAACATGAGCAGAAAACCCTGCTTAGAAATCCTAAACAAGGACAGGCTGGTGATGTTTATCACCCGAGTGGCCTTGGGAATTAAAGGGATGTCAGAAAGTCATGGAGGACACTTCCCGAGGCTTCAGCACAGTCAGCAAACACAGGACTTAGTGCATGCTAACCCAGTGCTCTGTGTGCGTGTGCATGCGTGTGGGTGCATATGCGTGTGTGTGTGCGTGTGTGTCCCTATTATTGCTACAGGACAGTGCTGCATGATTCTAAGAGTCAGACTACCTGAGCTGAAAACTCTGCTCTACATTAGCTGGCCTCATAAGCTCTCCAAGCTGCAGCATCCTCATCTGTACAGCAGGGACAGCAACACTGGTACCTGCACCCTGGAAGGCTATTGCCAGTGATCGGATGGGCTGACACAGAGTGCCACGCGGGCCATTGCTGCTGCTAGGACTGTTTACCCCCAGAGGTACAATGAACCCCCCACCAAACATGAAGGTGCCTCTGACCCTTCCAAGTCCAATAAACTGCTGACTGTTAGGCTTAAAAGAATAAAACAACAACAACAAATTGTCCACCAGAACGCTTCCAATGCTTCCTACAATAACATGAGTTCAGAAATTCATAAAGAGAAGCAGCCAGCTGTGGTCAGTGAGACAGGACAGGAAAAAGTGAGCCCTTATGGAGGTATAGTTCCCCCAAAAGGACTATTCTTTCAAAAATACAACCCTAAATCTTTCCAGGAAACCAAAACACAGCCAAGCCTGCTCAGTAGGGGGGAAGAATCACATTTCCCCTTTCCTGACCAGAGGTTTAAAACTAACTAGAAACACTGCAATGACGGCCAGTAGCCAGTTAGCACTTAAAAAAAAAATTTTCCATGTTTAGAGTCTGAAAAATAGGGGATCAAAACAGTACAGCATTCAAAGAGGAGACAAAAGAGAAAAAGTTACCAGCTACCTCTTGGGTCTTTCAAAGACTGCAGTGTCATCCCTGTAAAAGAGTGAGGTACTCACCTTTCTATAAGAATGAAGGACTCATCACCTTAAGCACTGAATTCTGAGAAAGCCTAGGCTCCTGAGGTCCCAGCCCAGATTTCCTTACAACGCAGCCAAATGGCTTTTCAGAGTTCAGTTCTGCCGGGTGGGGGAAGGGAAAGGGGAGCAACAAAATTCCCGCAAGTCTTACCACCACTGTTTTAAAAAGAAATAAAGAAGAGTCACTAACCTTGCCTCCTGTCCGGGAAGCGAACCGGGCCTGGCTGAGGCTGTCTCCCATAGCAAAGCGCCCCAAAGTTAAGGAGCTGAGCCACCACGGAAAGGTTTGCAAGCCAGCTCCTCTGGGCACATGGCATGATTCAGATGTTGAGGAGAAGAAAAGTCAAAAAAGTTTTAGCCCTCAGCTCCAGAAATAAAGCGCTCGCCTGTGGCCCAGCAGGAAGATGCAGGGGTGCATGGTCAGGCGCGAGAAGGCAGCGACTGCAAAGCTGCCCGCGATCTCCCTGTGCTTTTTTAAGCAGAAAGGAGCTAGACACCTTTTTCCCCTCCCTCCTCCTAAAAGGGGAGTGATTCAGCTGACAGTGTCCGCTTTCGGCGGGGTGTGGAATGGGCCAGAGCGGGAGGGCGCAGCCCACCCCGGTCCCCACCCCTCCGCCTCCCGCATGCCCCGCGGCCTCGCAGCCCGCCCGCTCGGTGCATCTTCCTCCCGGACTCCCACCCCCGCGCTCCTCCGGCCCCGCCCCGAACGCCAGGCCCAGCTGGCCGAGCCGGCCAAATAGGGGAGACCCGGGAGAGCCGCCCTGGGAGGCACTGGAGGAAGCTGCGAGTGAGAGGCCCCCAGGCCAGCCCCCCGGCGTGCTTAAATACAAGCTCAAAATGAGGAGAACAGAGTTGAGGCAGAGGGGGGCCCCACTCCCTCCATCCTTCCGCGCTCAGCGCTGCCCCCTCCCCTGCTGTTCTCCTCCAAGTTCCTGAACTTTTCCCAACATCGCTCTATCAAGACTCCTCACCCACTCGGACCGCTCTGGGATTCTCTTCCACTGGAAAAACTAATAGGCGATTTTTCTCTTTGCCAAGTCACACAAAGGGAAATGGGCTGCGCTAATCTGCTAATGTGACCTCAGACAAGCCCCCTCAGCTGTGCAATGAGGTGACTGCTGCAAATGCCTGTGGGCCCCTCTGAGTCTGCAGATCTCTGTGCGGCTCTTCTGATTCTAGAACCCCATCTTTCCTAGCCCACCTCCATTCACTCAAAAGGAAACCAGGAATTAAGTCAACCCAGGAAGGTGTTAAGGTATCTCCCCAGTTTCCCTGAACTGGCTACCCTGGAGAGGGCGTCCATTCATTCAGAGGCTCAAGCTTTTACATCGGTCAGAGAATGCCACAATCCAGGACGCTTGCCAGGCATCTTGAGAATTTACTGGGCTAATCCAGCCAAGATTTTTCACCTCTGAGCTGAAACAGGCCTCCTTACTCCATTCAGGAAGAATTCGGCCCCCAATATTGACTTTTCCCTGGCTGCCAGCCAACCACATGTGTTAATCAAGAGTTCTGGGATACCAGCTTACTCAACCTTGTATAGGGACAGAGCCTCCAAGGCAAACTCAGTGGTCTGAAAGCAAGGTGGTCCTCTCAGATGTGGAACACATGGGCACCAAGACTTTGAGAGGTATATGCTAGTTTCCTATTTTTGGTGTTACAAGTTACCATAAATTCAGTGGCTTGAAACAACTCAAATTTCTTATGTGACAGTTCTGATCTGAAACTGGTCTCACTGGGCTAAAATCAAGGAGTTAGCACAGCTGCATTCATTTCTGAAGACTCTAGGGGAGAATCTGTTGTCTTGCCTTTTCCAACTTCTAGAGGCTGCCTGAATTCCTCAGCTCATGGCCCTCTTCCCCCATCAAAGCTAGCAATGGCCCTTTGAGTCTTTCTCACATCACATCACTCTTCTTCCTCCCTTTTCCACTTATAAGGACCCTTGCGATTACATTAGACTCATCCTGGTTAACCAGGACACTCTCCTAATCAGCTGATTAGCAACCTTAATTCCATCTGCAACCTTAAATCCCCTTTACGTGTAACAGAACATGTTTTGTTGTCACAAGCAAGTAAAAGAACTACTCTGAGCCTTTTTTCTGTTACGTAAACATTAGGAAGCAGGATCACAACTGGAGTTAAAAGACATTCAGATAACACAGGCATGATGACCTGCATTTGCAAGGGCATTGAAGAACAACTTTGGGCTAGAATTCTTTTTGCTTCTTTTCTTTTCTTCCTCTTCCCCTTCTTCTTTGCTTCCCTTCACCCTTTCCTTGTTTCTCTCTCCTCCTTGTACTCTTCTGTCACTCTTCTTCTTCCACCTTTTTTTCTCCTGCTGCTCCTTTTAATAGCAAGCAAGATCTTGTCCAAAGGGCAAGATCACTCCTAGCTCCCAGGTCCTGGAGAAGAGATTTGTCTCTCAGGCAGAAACCTGAAGAACTCTGGAGAACTGCTGAGTTCCACCAATATCAGGGATGATACACTGAACACTCTGGCTTCACAGTTTAGCCTCTTCAACTCTAATGGCATTTCCCTTATTCTTTCTCCCATCTACTCTCAAGACCATAACCAGGAATATCTATTATCCATAAGTCAACCAAGACTGAAATATTAAAATTATAAAATCCCACCAACACTTTGTATTCTGCCAGCCCTTCCAAACCTTTATACCCAGTACCTCGGATCTTCAGCCTAGTAGGAACTTCTAGTTCCTTGATCTCCCCATCTTTGGTTTTCTAATAATCAGCATCTCTCTGGACTCACCACCTTTTTTGCCCAGTCATACCCTTTGATCCACCTCCTTAAACCAGTACATTCAACATCTCATATCTTCCTCATCAAAATCTAACTCTGTTTTACCCTAGCTGCTGATTTTCTCTGCTCTCTGTTTCCAAGTGCTGTTGAAAAAACTCACATAATTGCATCTAATTGTGCAACTATCAATTCATGTCTCCAACTTTAGCACGTTCTCAACATGACTTAGCACAAATATACATTCTGCTACTATTCTAACGTTCCTCCTACTCTTTCCAGAATTTACAAAAATCTCTCCAAAGCTTGGAGTTACCTCAGCGTAGAGAGACTTAATCCTCCTCAACTTTGCTTCTGCTTAATGAGAAAAGGTAACAAATCCCCTTGGTGACCAAGGTTGGTAGCAATAAAAAAGCCAACTACCTCTCCTGCCCACTGTAGATAGCAGAACTGTGAATCACTGCATAGTATCCAAACTACCTCTGAGCTTATACAAACATGCTGCCCTTGAGGAAACACTACAAAACCATGCAAGATTCCAGAGTTGAATGATAGCTAAGAATAGCAAGCATTTATTACATGCTGACTATATGCTTGGCTCTGTGCTAAAGACTATATGGGTATTGCTTTACTTAAACTTCATAAAAAACTTATTATGTGGGTACCATTAGTATCTTCATTTTATAGATGAGGAAACAGACACTGAAAGGTTAAGTAACTTGCCTAGGATTAAGTGGCTGTGAAAGTAAAATCAGGATGAAGCACTAAAGTTCAGAGAAGTTAAAAGATGTAGCAAAACCACTAAGTCAATTCAAATATAGGTCTGTTTTACTTCAGGCCCCTAGTAATGTCCTCATCCACAAAGAGTGAAGAGGATTAGAACACTGACATATAGACATCATCAGAATGCCTTGGGTGGTAGTTTAGTTCATTATAGTATTTTTCCATGTAAAAATGCAATTTGTGACCCAAGATCTAAGATACCTCACAAAGAGCTCCCTCTGTTTCATTAGCAAATAAGGCATAAAAAATGTTCATACTTTCCTAATAAACCGTTAGGATCACAAGGGATGGCTGAAGTTCAAGGAAAATTAGCTTAATGCATCTTTCGGAGCTGTCATTAGCATTGGAAAGACAAAAAATAAATTGACAGTGGCCCAAAAAACCCTGAGTTGGACCTAAGAATCACAAATGAATATGCCACAAAAAGAGACTTTACATCTGTTAATTCTGCCTAAACACCACAATCATCATCTCACAGCAATAATCATTGTGTTGAACATTACAGTTTTTAAGGTGTTTCTCCCAAGCAGGTCAAAGGGTAGAAGGGAGAAAAATCTTCATCTGACGTTTTCAAGAGTAGTTAGACCTTAATTCCACCTGAAACTCAAAAAGTAGTGACTTCAAACATCATATTTAAATACTGTTGCCACATGTATTATTTTCTTTTAAATCTTTCTGCAACCAGATCTCACAAGAATTCTCTCAAGTTACTGAGACCACGAAAGTCTCTTTTTTTTAACTCCACTTCCAACTTTGCTGTAAGTTTGAGATTGCTTCTAAATTTTATTAAACTATCAAATGTCTTAGTCTGTTCTCATTCTTTATAACAATTGAAAGCTTGGTAGAGATGCTGTAGAATTTTTTGGAAATTAGGGAGGCCTATAATGACACATTTATCTATTATATTCTGGAACTTAGCCAACTAAATGCCAATGTATGGTAGTTTTTGGTGCAACTGGGCAAAAGTGTCCAAGCTGATAGCTGTGGCTCTTACCATTATCATACTGGTGTTATATTGGTCCTGAACCACATGGACACTATCCCTTTTCTTTCATTCAACCTTAAAGATTAAATCTGAGTTGAAGAATAGCGTGCCCATTTTTTCCCATAGACAGGAAGAAATTAAGGATGAAATGTATCAGGGACAATTTCAGTACTACCCATTTAGCAAAAAGAAAATACTCTATTTATTCAACAAATATTATTGACTGTCTACTATGTCTAGGCACTGGGAATGGAGCAGTGAATAAAATAGAGTCTCTTTTCTCATACATGCATGCATACACTCTAGTGTGAGCTTGTGGGAGGTAGAAAATAAGCAAGTAAATATAGAATATGTGCTACAGTGATAAATGCAATGGATAACAATAAGCAGGCTAAGGAGAACAGGGAGTGATTGAGGGGGGTAGGTTACAATTTTATATGAGGGGGTCAAGAGTGGTCTCTCTAATAAGATGATATTAGCAGCAACCTGAAGCAAGTAAGAACCTGAGCAAAATAGATATCTAGGAGAAGAATATTCCAGGCTGAGAAAACAGTAATAGAAAAGACCTTCCATTGGGAATATGTAGAAACATGCTTAGAGAGCCCAAGAAAAGCAAGGAGTTTGGCATGGCTGGAGTGTGTGGACAAGAGTAGAATGATGGTAGAAGTGGGGAGGTTGTGTATGTTCTTAGAGACCATAGTGAGAACTCTGAAACCCTGAGGAAGTTAAGAAGCACTGGGGATTCTGAATAGAGGAGTGACAAGAACTGACTTAGGAGTTAAAAGGATCTCTTTGGGTGCTGGGTTGAGAATGACTGCAGAGAGATAAACGCAGATGCACAGAGAGCAGTTAGGAGGTTGTTGGATTAACCCAAGTAAGAGGAAATGGTGGATTAGATCAAGTGGTAGCAAAAGACAGGGAGAATTAATCAGATTCTGGATTTATTCTGAAGGTAGACCCAACAGGATTTTCTGATTATTTGGATGTGTGGCACGAGGGAAAGCAAGAAATCACACATGACTAAAAGGTTTAGCATTGCCAGTAATTAAGATGGGGAAGATGGGAGGTTTGAGACATGTTTAGATGTCTCTTAGATATCCAAATGGAAATGTCAAGTAGATTGTTGGATATACGAGACTGAGTTTCACATAGAAGTCCAGGTTGGAAGTATCCATTTGGAAGTCATAGTAGTTACATGGATGAGAGTACCTGTGAGTGAATTCAGTAGACAAGAAAGTAGACATGGGGACTAAACTCTGAGGTACTGCAATATTTAGAATTACAGGAAATAAAGAGAAATCACTAAAGACCAAGGAGTGAGCAATGAGGCAAGAGGAGACCCAAGACAGCATATTATCTTTGAAATCAAGTGAGAAAGGAGCCGTTATTCAATAGCTCAAACTGGAGTAAGAGCTGGAAAGGAGTCCTGGCTCTTCATACTAAGCTGCATGGAAGACAAAAATGGAAGAGTGACACCAAAGACTGAGTCTGATCAGTTAAGAAAAATAACTCCACATACCAATAAATGCAGTGTGATCGACGTCCTTGAAATCTGTCCAGATTAGAAATTCCCTCATGGAGAGTGTTGTCAGGAAGAGATGAGTGTACCAAGGAACATCCACAGTCCTAGTTTACCCCATTCTTTATGTTCTCTTAACTCACTGAGTTCAACCAGAAGCCTAAGAGAGCCTGGAGTGTGCCTCTCCTACTCAGAGCGGGAGACCAGCTGAGGGTCAGGGAGTTCTACTGTGATCTGAGAGGGCCACTGCCTCTATTTTTCACTGCTCTTTGGTATCCTCCTGGGATCACCGAGAGGAAGACATCAGCTGTGCCCTCAAGAAAGTTTGAAGTGAGTAAATGAGATTAGTTCAGGTAGCAGTAACAATATACAGTCATGTGTCACTTAATGGAGATGCTCTATGTAAAATGTGTCTGTAAGTTATTTTCATCATTGACAATGATGAAGTCACCTAACAACTTATAGAAACCTAGATGGTATAGTCTACTGCACACCTGGGATACATGATATGAACTATGACTCTTAGTCTACAAACCTATATAGCATGTTACTGTACTGAATACTGTAAGCAATTGTAACACAATGGGAAGTATTTGTGTATCTGAACATATCTAAATATAGAAAAAGTACAGTTAAAATACAGTATAAAAGATAGAATGTGGCACACCATTATAGAGCAACTCCATTATAATCTAAGGAGACCAGTCATATATGCAGTCCATTGTTGACCAAGTTGTCGTTATCAGTGAATAACTGTATCATACTGGTACCCACTCTTTTTTTTCAGCTTCATTGAGGTATAATTTAACATAGGATAAGCCGAACATATTTAAAGTGCACACTTTTATAAATATTGAGATGAATATACCTGTTAAATAATCATCACAATAAATTTTGACATATATGTACCAGAAACTTTCTCCTGCCCCTTTGTAATCCCATTCTCCCATGTCTCACCAACCACAGATAGCCACTGTTCTGTTGTCTGTTACTGTAGATGGGTTTTCATTTTCTACAATTTTATGTAGAGTCTACAGTATGCACTCACTTTTGTCTGCCTTCTTTAACTTGGCATACTCACTTGAGATCTGTGGATATTGTGTGCCAATACATTGGTCCTTTTTATTTCTGAGTTGTATTCTATTGTATAGATATATCACAATGGGTCTATTCATTCACCTCCTCACTAAATATCTATTGACCATTAGAAAAATTATGGAGGGAAAACGTGGTCAAGGACACCTAGCCTAGAAGCAAGCAGATGCATGCATACCACTATTCATGTTAAAGATCTTTTCCTGGAGTTGAGGAAGCAAGGACCCCAAGTGCTCCAACAACTGCATGTCAATGGACAGTACATATTTCTCCTCAAGATAAAATGATTTTGGGCCAGATGCAGTGACTCACATCTGTCATTCCAGCACTTTGGGAGGCTGAAACAGAAGGATCACTTAAGCCCAGGAGTTCAAGATCAGGCTGGGCAACATAGGGAGACCCCTTCTCTACCAAAAAAAAAAAAAAAATAGCTGGGCATGGTTGTGCATGCCTGTAGTCCCAACTACTCAGGAGGCTGAGGTGGGAGAATTTCTTGAGCCTGGGAGTTAGAGGCTGAAGTGAGCCATGATCGCACCACTACACTCTAGCCTGAGCAATAGAGCGAGAACTTTTCTCAAAAAAAAAAAAGGTGACTTTAAAAGATACACATTAACAAAAAATCAGCTTTGAAGTTAAACCTAGATTAAGATTAAAGATTTCCTATGGTTTTGTTGAGTCTCAATACAGCTTGACCACACTGCTAGAGAGAAGTGTAGGTTATCTCCACAGCCACAGATGAGCATTTGCAGCACTTTGATTCTTTGGAGCACAGAAATGCAGACTCTGCTCTCAGGCATTCCTGCCTCTGCTAACGCCTTTATCCATCACTGCCATGCTCTAAAAATGGTGCCCATCTTGCCAGGGGCAGGGTAGGGAGGCCTCCTTTGCTACTTTATAGTCCCTCTGTGTGTTACAGATAACACTTGACATACTGTGAGTTACTTGTTTTGCTCTCACCTGAAATCTGCACCAAGTCTCTTCGGAGGCCTCCAAGATCAAAGGGTTGTACTGATTTAGCTACTACTTCCTAGAGTAAAGTAGTAGCCAGAATCAGATTAAGGTGTTGTGATTCAGCTTTTGAAGGCAAGAGTGGTGATATATCTCTGAATAGCCTGATGCAGTCTTTGAAAGCTAGTGTGAGAAAATCAGGTACACTGGTTATGTTGATTGAATACACAGGTTACTATGTAAGGCAGAGGGAAGTCTGTGAAGAACTCACAAAAACGAGTGATGCCACCAAGTAGGGAATTAGAAAGCAGGCAACTGAGCTGCGTTTCATACAGTGAGATTCGAGTTCATTAGATGCTGATGATTGATTTTCTACTTGATTATAAACGGTAGGTGCAGAGAATATGCTTTATTCATTTCTGCATTTCCCTCAAAGATGAGCCTGGTGAATAAATACTTGATTAGAGTATGGGTGTGTGGGAGGATGAACTAGTGGGGAACATTCTGGGGAAGGATCTGGGCTTTGAGGCCCACAGAAATGTCTCCCTATTAAAAAGAGTTGGTTTCCTCGCTGAACTCCCACCTGACCTGGGGAAAGAGATTCTGGAGTTAGTGTTAGACTATTCTCTCCTCTCTTTTCCTTCAGGAATAAACTACTTTGCAGATTTTCTCAAAGCAAAATATCTATTTAAATCATCAGTCACTTAAGCAAGAAGAGGTTTGTGAATATTGACCTAAGGGCCACTTGTTATAACAGACACCTCCACAGAAGGTGAGGCATGGCTGCTGCTCAGGAGCTTTTGCACTGTTCTGCACACGCCCTCTCTGTCATTTCTACATGTGGTTCTGGCTCCAGCATCTAAGAGTATCGATGAGAAAAAGGAGCCAATGGCCGGGGCTCTGCTGGTAAGGATGTGGCCACTGAGACCCAAGATCACATGCACTAGCAGTTGTTTTGGGGGAAAGGGTACAATATCTATAATTTACTTCAAAATATTTCATTATCAATTATTCTTGTGTGTTACTTTTGCACCCTAGAAAAAAGAGGCCAGGTATAATGGGTCGCACCTGTAATCCCAGCACTTTGAGAGGCCAAGGTGGGCAGATCACTTGAACCCAGGAGTTTGAAACCAGCCTGGGCAACATAGCAAAACCCCATTTCTACAAAAAATACAAAATTAGCCAGGCTTACTACAGGCTCACAGTCCCAGCTACTTGGGAGGCTGAGATCAGAGGATGACTTGAGCCTGGGGAAGTTGAAGCTGCAGTGAGCCATGATCACACCACGACACTTCAGCCTGGGCAACAGAGTAAGATCCTGTCTCAAAATATAAATAAATAAATATTTTTAAAAAGAATATGGGCTGGGTGTGGTGGCTCATGCCTGTAATCCCAACACTTTGGGAGGCCAAGGCAGGAGGATCATCTGCACTCAGGAGTTTGAGACCAGCCTGGACAACATAGTAAGACCTTGTCTCTACTAAAAAAATTAAAAAATTTAAAAAAAGAATATGAACCCAGAGAATGGTGAAGTAATATGTAATCAAAAGTTTATGCTACAAGTTAGCAACTGAAAAATATTTCAACTATCTTTATCTCTGATAAGTACCAGATGTTTCTTAACTAGAATGTTTAAGACATCTGGCTTGACTGAGATATTGTAGAGACAATCCCCAAACTTGTATAAACAGGATATTAAAAAAAGGGATTTCTGCTTTTAATCTTAATGGAGTAATAGGGATGCAATTTGCCCTTTCAACTCAACCAAGTAGAAAATAACGGGTAAAATACATAAAACTACTTGTTTCAGACATTGGGCAACAAGCAGCATGGGGCAGTAATCCCTGAGAAAAGGCAAACAAGTGATGTGAGACCAACAATTAAGCAGCTTACTTTCTAGAGAGACTTTCCAGGTTGTAGTGTTGGGAGGGAAGGGTAGAGTGCCAAACAGCTCTATGGTATCTCTGAATTGAGGAGTCAGCTAAGAACTGGAGGAGGCCAAAGTGGCTAGAAGTTTGCACAGGAAACTGCAGAAAAGGAAGGACTTGTCCAGAGAGGAGAGAGCTACACATAGAAAGAGTCCCAGAAATGTCTAGAGGGCTCCCTTCAAGCCTTTAACTGAGTATTGCTCACCCTCTGCATGTGCAGAAACTACCTGAGGCAGGAGGGAAAAAAAGGAAACACTAGAAAGCTTCAGGTGGAATAATGCCAGTGATTATATAGGGCCAGAAATAATTTGTTGTCCCACCAGTCAAACTGGAAAAAACCTTGTAATACACAGGCCTCAGAATATTGCTTCAGTAATGAGGCAAAATTAGACCTGGAATAAAAGTTGCTCTGGTCTCACATTTTACAAAAGCAAATCTTCAAAGGACCAAACTTTATAAGTAATTGAAATGTGACCCAAAGTGCAAGAACCAAGAGCAAGAATATTTAAAGAAATTTTTTAAATATCCAGCATCCACAAGGTAAAATTTACCATGTGTCATTCAATAAAAATAATTGCCAGACATAAAAAGCGGAAAAAATACAGTTCAAAATAAGGAGAAAAGCCAAACAACAGAAACAGACCCAGAAATGACAATGATAAGCATTAGTAGATAAAGATATTTTTAGAGTTGTAACAATTGTATTTTATAAGTTTAAGAAAGTAGAAGAGCATGTTGAGGAAAGACATGAGAGATAGGAAAAAGACCCAATTCCAAACTTCTGGGGATGAAGAAAACAAAATCTGAGATGAAAACTGCACTGCTTAATATTACACTGGTATTAATAGTTGATTAGACACTGCAGAAGAAAATATTAGTAAATTTGAAGACATAGAAACTACCCAAAGTGAAATACACAAGGAAAAAGACTGACAAAAAAAACTGCATCAAGGAGCTATGGAACAACTCCAAGAATCCTAATTTGTATGTAATTGAAGTCCACAAAAGGGTTAAGGGGGAACAAAGGCTATTTGGAGAAATAATGATCAAAATTTTTCAAAAACTGAAGAAGGCTATAAACCCACATATCCAAGAAGTTTAATGAATCTCATGCACAAGAATCAAAGAAAACTACTGCAAAACAGCATCACAATCCAATTGCTCAAAACCAGTGATAAATGGAAAATCTTAAAAGCAGCCAGAAAAATAAGACATATTACATGTAGAACAAAAACAAAAGAATGAAGGAAACTTTTCACTTAAAATGTTGCAAGCCAGAAAACAGTGGAGCAACAGCTCTGAGGTATTAAAAGAAAAAAAAAAAAAGCTAAAATTCTATAATCAGTAAAAAAAACTTTCAGACTCTAAGATGAAATACTTTCTCTCAGACACACAAAAGCCAAAATAATTCAAACAAAAACAGACTTAGACATACATTGTTGTCTGCACAGAGTCTTGTGTCGTGAACCATCTGCAGGTCTCTCAACCGTGAATACCAGCACCTGTTCCGGTGGAGGTGGCAGGGGAGTGAAATGGACTCTGTGAGGGTCCTTAGTTTTGGTTGTCTAATCCACTATTTTTGTGCTAGTTGCCTCCTGCCAGGAGGTGGTGCTTTCTAGAAAGCATCAGCTGTAGCAGTGTGGAGAGGGAACAGTGGTGGATGGGGCCCTAGAACTCCCAAGAGTATATGCCCTTTGTCTTCAGTTACCAGGGTGGGTAGGGAAGGGCCATTGGGTGAGTCAGGGCTAGGTGTGTCTGAGCTTAGACTCTCCTTGGGCAGGTCTTGCTGTGGCTCCTGTGGGGGATGGGGTGAGGTTTCCAGGTCAATGGAGTTATGTTCCTAGGAGGATTATGGCTGCCTCTACTATGTCGTGCAGGTTGCCAGAGAAGTGGGGGAAAGCCAGCAGTCATAGATCTCACCCAGCTCCCATGCAAACCGAAGGGCCTGTCTCACTCCCACCATGCCCCACCTACCCGTGACAGCACCGAGTCTGTTTCCAGGCAGTGGGTGAGCAGGGGTGAGAACTTGCCCCAGGCTACCCACCTCTCAGCTGCAAAAGCAAGTATGGCTTTCCTTCTTCCCCAGCCTGTGGAGTCTGCCCTCCCCTGAGTTCTGGCCAAGAGGCTTCTCGATCAGTTCAAATTGTTACAAAGTTCAGCTGGAGATTTCCTTTTCCCTGTGGCCTTTTCCCAGTGCCTCAGGCCACCCTCCCAAAGGACCCCTGTGAGGCCAGGCAGAAATGGCTTGCTAGGGGACCCACCAAATTCACAGGGCTTTCCCTGCTGCTTCCTCTACCCCTGTATTTCACTTGGCTTTCTCAATTGACTCAGCTCCAGGTGAGGTCAGAATCTTCTCCGGTAATCTAGACCTTCAGTTTCCCCAGTGCAGGTGTGTGTTTGGGGGCAGATGATCTCCCTTTCCCACTTCCACAGTTTAGGCACTCACAGTATTTGGGGTGTCTCCCAGGTCCTGCAGAAGCAATCTGCTTCCTTCAGAGGGTCTGTGGGTCCTCTCAGGTTTTCTGATTTATTCCTGCAGTCATTCTGGAGGAAAAAATCACATTGGGATCCTTCACATGCTACTCTGTCTGTGCAAGTCCAGGCTGCAATATAGTCTTGCCTCCCATCTGCCATGATCCAGATTTACACATACATTGTTAATTGACTTTAATAAATAGTACCAAGTCAATTCAGTGGATGAAATAATCACTTCAATAAATGGTGCTGGAACAACTGGGTAATTATACACAAAAATTTACCTTGATCTTCAATTCACACCAAATACAAATATTAATTTAAAAAGGATTATAAGGCTGGCCACGGTGGCTCACACCTGTAATCCCAGCACTTTGGGAGGCTGAGGCAGGCAGATCACCTGAGGTCAGGAGTTCAAGACCAGCATGGTCAACAAGGCGAAACCTCATCTCTACTAAAAATACAAAAATTATCTGGGCATGGCGGAAGGTGCCTATAATACCAGCTACTTGGAAGGCTGAGGCAGGAGAATCACTTGAACCCAGGAAGCAGAGGTTGCAGTTAGCTGAGATTAAGCCATTGCACTCTAGCCTGGGCAACAAGAGTAAAACTCCATCTCAAAAAAAAAAAAAAAAAAAACAACGGAGGGGAGGGGAGATTACATTTATTTTTCAAGAAAAGTTTAAGAATTAAATATATGCAACATTAGAATAAACTTTAGCAGAAATTCTGAGTGAGCTTGGGTTTGGAAAATATTTTTAAAATATAGCCCAAAAGCTTTCGTAGTTTCTAAAGATAAGTAAGAAAAAAATATATATGCTAAAAGCACAAACTCTAAAAAAAAAATAAATTACTTGGACTTCATCAAAATTAAAAACTTTTTCTCTTGAAAAGACACTGCTATGAAAATGAAAAGGTGATGGCCGGGCATGGTGGTTCACACCTGTAATTCCAGCACTTTGGGAGGCCGAGGCAGGTGGATCATGGGGTCAGGAGTTTGAGACCAGCCTGACCAACATGGTGAAACCCTGTCTCTACTAAAAATACAAAAATTAGCCAGGTGTGGTGGTGCATGCCTATAATCTCAGCTACTCAGGAGGCTGAGGCAGGAGAATCGCTTAAACCCAGGAGGTGGAGTTTGCAGTGAGCCTTGATTGTGCCACTGCACTCCAGCCTGGGCAATGGAGCAAGACTCCTTCTCAAAAAAATAAAAGAAAAAAAGAAAGAAAGGGAAGGGGAGGGGAGGGGAGGGAAAAGGTGAATCAAGGACTAGAAAAAACTATTTGCAAAACATGTATCTTAAAAATTATATAAATCGTTAATATGTAAAGATCTCTCACCTCTAAATGAATAAAACACAACCAATAAAAATGGACAAAATATTTAAATGGACACTTCACCACAAAAGATTTATAGATGCCAAATAAACACATGAAAAGACTGTTAACATCATTAGTCATTAGGGAAATGCAAATTAAAACCACAATGAGATATCATTATGCAGCTGAAAGGCTAAAACTTAAGAGGCTGACCATACCAAGTATGCATATCTTGATATGTAGGAACTGAACTCTCATACACTGCTTGTAGGAATGTAAATGGTATAACTACTTTTGAAAATACTTTGGCAGTTTCTTAAAAAGTTAAATATACACCTACCATATGACCTAACCATTCTACTCTTTGGTATTTACCCAAGAGAAATGACCGCATATATCCACACAAAGATTTATATACAAATGTTTATAACAGTTTCATTTGTAGTAGCCCAAAACTGGCAACAATTCAAAGCTATCAACAGTTGAAAGAATAAACTGTGATATAGCCTTATTGTGGAAAAACACTCAACAATAAAAAGGAGTAAACTATGTTGCAGGAAGTCCGGGACCCCGAACGCAGGAACCAGCTAGAGCCGAGGCAGAGGAACAAATATTATGAAGATTTCATGGACATTTATCACTTCCCTAATAATACTCTTATAATTTCTTAAACCTGTCTTACTTTAAACTCTTGATCCTGTTATCTTCGTAAGCTGAGGATGTACATCACCTCAGGACACTGTGATGATTGCGTTAACTGTACAAATTGATTATAAAACATCTGTGTTTGAACAATATGAAATCTGACTGTAAAACGTGTGTTTGAACAATATGAAATCAGTGCACCTTGAAAACGAACAGAATAACAGTGATTTTAGGGAACAAGGGAAGACAACCATAAGGTCTGACTGCCTGCGGGGTTGGGCAAAAAGAGCCATATTTTTCTTCTTGCAGAGAGCCTATAAATGGACGTGCAAGTAGGAGAGATATCGCTAAATTCTTTTCCTAGCAAGGAATGTTGATATTTAATACTCTGGGAAAAGAATTGCTTTCCTTGGGGGAGGTCTATAAACGGCTGCTCTGGGAGTGTCTGTCTTGTGTGGTTAAGACTGAAATATGCCCTGGTCTCCTGCAGTACCCTCAGGCTTATTAGGGTGGGGGAAAAACCACTCCCCGGTAAATTTGAGATCAGACTGGTTCTCTGCTCTTGAACCCTGTTTTCTGTTGTTTAAGATGTTTATCAAGACAATACGTGCAGAGCTGAACATAGACCCTCATCAGTAATTCTAATTTTGCGCTTTGCCTTTTGATCTTTGCTTTTGTCCTTGCGCTATTTCCTCAGAAGCATGTGATCTTTGTGACCTACTCCCTGTTGGTACACCCTCTCCCCTTTTGAAATCCCTAATAAAAACTTGCTGGTTTTGCGGCTCAGGTGGTCGTCATGGACCTACCAATATGTGATGTCACCCCCGGCGGCCAAGCTGTAAAATTCCTCTCTTTGTACTCTTTCTCTTTATTTTTCAGTCTGGGTGACACTTAGGGAAAATAGAAAAAACTTACATTGAAATATTGGGGGCAGGTTCCCCCAATAAAACTACACTCAGTAGTATGGATAAATTGCAAAATAATTATGCTCAGTGAAAAAAAAAGCTAGATTTTTTTCTAAAGTACAAAACAAGGATACATACGATTCTATTTTTATGAAATTCTAGGTTAAGCAAACTATAGTGACAGAGGCAAATCAGAATGAGTGAGTCTGAAAGACAGACAGATTACAAAGAGGCAAGAAAAAACTTCGGGCATGTTGGAATCAAGTGTTATACTTCAAGCATGTTGCACTTTATTATGTGTGAATTATATTGCAGTTTTAAACATGCTTTTAGAATCTAGAAAGTAGTCCCTCTTTGTAAGTGGCACCATTGACCTGATTGATAAATAGATTTATGTCAAGTCTGTGGTTTTAGAATGTTTTTACTGTTTGACTGAAGCTACATCACTAGCCATATCTTGCTGATAAAACATTGTTGCATTTTCCTGAGGTAAATCCTTGATACTAGATGCTAGCTAGATTCACCAAGCCTGCAGAAGAATGGTTTTGGTTTGCATTTCCCTAATGATTCATGATATTGAGCATTTTCTCAAGCACCTGATGGCCAGTTGTATGTCTTCTTTTGAGAAATGCTTATTCAGGTCTCAATTACCATATGATCCAGCAATCTTATTACTGGATATATATCCAAAGGAAATGGAATCCGTATGTCAAAGAGATATCTGCACTCCAATGTTTATTGGAGCACTATTCACAATAGCCAAAATATGGAATCACCCTAAGTGTCTAACAACAGATAAATGGATAAAGAAAATGTGGTAGATATACGCAATGGAATACTATTTGGCCATAAAAAAGAATGAAATTCTGCCATTTGGTACAACATGGATGAACCTGGAGGATATTGTGTTAAATGAAATAAGCCAGACCAAAAAGACAAATATCATATGATCTCATTCATATGTGGAATCTAAAAAAGTTGATCTCATAATAGTAGAGAGTACAATGGTGGTTACCAGAGACTAGGGTGGTTGGGGGAGGAGCGGATGGGAAATGTTGATCAAAGGATACATAACTACAGTTAGATATAAGGAATAAATTTCAAGAGGTCTTCTGTATGGCAAGGTTTTTATACTTAATGGTGATATACTATATTCTTAAAAGAGAGTAGATGTTATATGCTTTTTCCACAAAAATGATAACTATAGGAGGTAATACATTTGTTAATTATCTAGATTTAACCATTCCACAATGTATATATACTTCAAAACATCATATTGTATACAATAAAAGCATAAAATGCTGTCGATTTTTTAAACTTTTTAAAAAAATACAAAATAAAAGAACTTAGAAGCTATACATAAAAAGTCAGCCTAAGTTAGTTTGCAATGATGGAGGTGGGAAGAGTGTAGGGGCTGATATTCAAAAGCATTCCTCAATGACTTTGTAGTGGTTAGACCTATGTGCAAATGCTACTGTCGTTCCTCTGATCATTGTAAACAAGCAAGAAAAAGAGTGGTAATGTCAGCTCTTGGACTGAATACGAGGCCACTAGAAGCAGCTAGGATTGGATGTTCCCAGTCCATTTCTGATTGTGTCACACATGGGCCTAGGAGGTAACAGGGAGTTAAAATTCCTTGTGTCATTCTTAAAAGACAACAGAAGATCTAGGGCAATGCATTTTAACCTCAGCTGCATATTAGAATAACCTGTGAAACTTTGCAAAAATAACATCTGGATCTTAATCCAGACCTACAAAATCTGAATTCCTAGGGGGAGGAACCGAGAGTTTGGAATGTTTTTAAGCTCCTCAAGAGATTCTAAGACAGCTATGAAAACAATGCATCAACAGTTTATTCTGTGGCAGAATAATCAATTGGAAAAATTTTACTGTATTTTGTTTTTACTTTCATGGATATTCATAACCTTAGAAGGCGAAAGCAGCCAATGCACATACCTGCTCCCCTCCCCCTAATCCCTCACATCCTTACATCCTTATTTTCTTTTGCCTGAACTTTATTTAAGGGGAAGAGTAATAACCAATTCCTCCCTTCCTATATTCCTTCCTTCTTTCTCAATGTGTTTTAGAGTGGGAGTTGGGGAAAGGCTACCTCTTTGTTTTAGAACAGTGATTCTCAAACTTCAATATATCAAAATCACCTGGTAGTCTTGTGAAAACCTAGATTGCTGGGTCCCGGCCCCAGAGTTTCTGATTCAGTAGATATCAGGTATGGCCAGAGTATGCATGTCTACAAACTCCCAGGTGATGTTGATGCTGCCTGCTGGGAGCACATTTTGACAACCACTATTTTAGAGGTTCTGCCATGATTAGGTTGTATTATTTCTCAACGGTCGAATGGACGAGTTCAATAATTTAAAAAGGAAGTGCTAAAGTCCAAAAGGTCATGAACTTTAGAGACTGGGATAGGAGAGAGGTTGGAGACTTAGAAGAGTTCAAAGCTTGCCTCCGTGCTTTCCTGAGTGAGAAGGCCTGCACGGGTGTCAATAGCAAGTGGGCATATGGGGTCATCCTGTTGAGACACTCGACAGAGATGACCAGGGCTGAGCTCAGCATAAAAAGAAGCTGCCAGTGGAGCTGCAGAATTTGTTAGGCACTCAGACATGACATGGCAACAACATCAGCAGTGTGCCTGCAGGGCACCGGAACCAGGATCCTCTCTCTCTTTCCAACTGCATGAGCCCTAGGGTACAGCTGAAGAGGAAGAGGCTACCAGAGATGATTGGTCTGATGTCTCTCCAACTTAGTTAGAGGAGCCTTAACCCAGCCTGAATTTAATTTAGAAAAATAATGAAATGTGATAAATATTGCCCTCTGAACGCTGTGGAGCAGTCAAGACCAGTTTTAATATCTTCTGCTGAAACAAAGCCCCATTAACTCTTTGACTAGGAAGCATGGTTGTTACCCTGATTGCAGAGGCCCCCTCAGCTGGGGCAAAGTTCAGGGGGGATATTGCTTCCCACACACGGAGAATGGCAATTGCCAGGTTGTGAGCATGTGGAATACGGAGAGGACCAGAGAAGCATTTGAAACGGAGCTCACAGATTACTGCAGGGTATTCTAACTGTAAATGCATTCTCTTTGTTAAATGGATGTTAGTTGTTAGGAAAGAAATGGAATTAATGTCTCATTCATAGGTTCAAGCTGCATATGATTTTCTAGGCATATGTCAGGAGCTGGGTATACAAAGGTGCATTAGATATGACTACAGTTCTCAAGAGGTATTCAGTTTAGAGAAGGGGTGGTCATTTGTTATTGTGTTTGTCTAAGGCAGTAAAAGGTACTATAATAAATATTCATGCAAAGTTCTATGGCAGCACAAAAAGAGTAATTCATTCTGTCTAGGGAATATTGGGAATAAGAGAATCCTTCAAAGAAAAAACAATGTGTGAGTTGAATCTTGGAGAACAATTAGTAGCTTACCAGACAACAGGGACAGAAGAAAAATGTCTACCTGAGCAAAAAGAGTGATGGGGTAGGCAAAGAAGAGAGGGAGATTGCTTCAAAATGTAGGGAATGACTAGTGGGCTAGTGTCAGCACAATTCAGTGTTTGGGTATTGCAGCTGGTGGGGAAAGGTTGACAAGAGGATACAATAGAGGGTGGGACCATATTGAGAAGACTCCATATTCATATTCCACTGGTATGAGGGAATTTAACAGTAGAAGTTTTATAAAATGTTTATATGTCTCCATACTTATAGGTTAACCACTGCCCCGAGAGCACTAAGTAACCCCTGCCCCAAGCTGCTCTCATCCTCTCTTGAGGCCCCCTTCACACATCTCTCTATCATCTGGCAACTAGAAGGTTAATACTTGCCGTCACAGAAACTCTCCATGTATTACTCTGCTCCTATCTTTAAAATTTTCATACTTCTTTTTTTCTATGTAAGTAACATATTTGTCCTCCTCCAGTATTTTGATTTGGAAGCTTAGATGTTTAACTTCTCATCTTTTTAAAAATACGCACATACAACTATAAACTTCCCCCTAAGCACTGCTTTAGTTGCAACCTACCAATATTGATGTGTCCCATTTCTATTATGATTTAGTTTAAAATATTTTTTAATTTCTCTTGTTAATTTTTCTTTCACTCATGGGTTGCTTAAATGTGTGGCTTAATTTCAAAACATTTGAGGGACATCTAGTTATCATTCTTTCATTGATTTCTAGTTTAATTCTACTGTGCACAAAATACATGCTCTGTCTGATTTCAATCCTTTGAAATTTTTTGAAACTTGATTTTGGCCCAGCATGTGGTCTGTTTTGATGAATATACTATGTATACTTAGAAAAAAAATGTATATTTTCCGTTTGTTGAGAATAGGGTGTAGAACCCTTAGGATGTGTTCCTTCTGGAGTTTCAACCAAAAGCTTAGACAAATTACTTGCACCCTTCCACTTTACCAGGTTGGAACTTCAATCTCTGTTGCCCCAGCACTGTGTAGTTGTTGAAATATCTGCTTAGATGACTTTCCCTCCAACTCCTGTTTTCCACAAGGTATCATGACATCCTGCCCTGCTGTGCTACGCAGCGTTTAAGATGTCCCCCGTGACCCATGTACTCTTGTGTAGTCCCCTCCTCTTTGAGTGTGGACTGGACTTACTTGAGTGTGTCCCCCTCCTCTTTGAGTGTGGACTCTCCTTTAAACAAGAAGATACGGCAGAAGTGTTGGGAGTGTCCCTGCTGATGGGAGGTTATAAGAAGACTATAGCTTCTATGCTGAGCACTGTCTGTCTATCACATCACTCACTCTGGTGGAAACCAGTTGCCATGCTGTGAGGCAGCCTGAGGAGAATCCCACAGGGTGAAAGATGGAGACCTGCCATGTGAGTGAGCTTAGGATTAGTTTCCTCTGCCTATCAGTCAAGGCTTCACATAAAACCGTAACCCTAACTGATAGTTCGACTGCAGCCTCATGAGAGAGAGACATTGAGCTAACGGCATTATGCTGCACCTGGATTCTTGACTCATAGAAACTGTGCAATAATAAATGTTCATTGTTTTAAGCCATAAAGTTTTAATGTAATTTATTATTGGGCAAACAGTAACTAATACAAAATATTACCAGTGGAAATGGAAAGAAGTAAACAGATTCAAGAAAAAAGAATTTTTTGAGACCATGCTAGCAGAACCTACTAGGTAGGGTTAGATTTGGTACAAAGGAAAATGAGAAATAAAGAATTATTCTTGGGTTTTTAACTTGCACAGATAAGGGAATAGTAATGCCACTAAGCAAGATTGAGAAATCTGAAGGAAAATCAGCAACCATGTGGGAATATCAAGTAGCAATTGAATAGACAACTCTAGAGTTCTGGAAGTAAAGGACTGCAAGTATAGATTTGGGATAATAATGGTATCAGCCTCGCTGGTTGTGGTCATTAGGTGAGCTGATGCAGATGAAACCCTTTGCACAGTGTACACAGTTGTACACCTGTGGTAGGTAGAATTGTGCTCCCCCAAAAGATATGTTCAAGTCCTAACCCCTGGTATCTACAAACGTGACCTTATTTGAAAATAAGGTCTTTGTAGATGTAATTAGTTGAAATAAGGTAATACTGGATTATCGTGAGCCCTAATTCAGCTGATAGCCTCATAAAAAGAGAAAACAGAGACACAGAGATACACGCAGAAATGACTATGTCATCTGAAGGCAGAGACAGAAATTGGAGTGATGGGATGGTATGATAGTCTGTTTTGTGTTTTCATAAAGGAATACCTGAGGCTGGGTAATTTATAAAGAAAAGAGATTTATTTGGCTTACAGTTCTGCAGGTTGCACAAGCATGGCACTAGGATCTGCTTGGCTTCTGGTGAAGCCTCAGGAAGTTTTTACCCATGGCAAAAGAAAGGGGGAACATGCATGTCAAATGGCAAGAGAGGGAGCAAGAGAGATAGGAGGAGGTGCCAGTCTCCTTTAAACAACCAGCTCCCTCATGCACTAACTGATCAAGAGCTCACTTATTACCATGGCAAGGGCACCAAGCCATTCATGAAGGATCCATCCCCATGACCCAAACACCTCTCACCAGGCCCCACCTTAACATTGGAAATCACATTTCAACATGAGATTTGGAGGGGACAAACATCCAAACCGTATCAGATGGATTCTCCCTGAGGGCCTCCAGAAGAAATCAACCCTGCCAATGCCTTGCTTTCTGACTGTAGTTTCCAGAATTGTAGGAATAAATTTCCATTGTTTTAAGCCACCCAGTGTGTAGTAACTTGTTACAACAAGGCTATTAAACTAATAAAGTGTCCAAATAAATGTGAATGGTCATCATAGCTTCTATCAATATCCATATTGTATCATCGTTGTCATTGTTATATATCTAAGCACCTAACACATTACTGTGTGTATACAAGAACTCAATTCATAATTATAGTAGGATAAAAGATTTGTCACATGTGCAGATTAAAAAGAAGTAATGCAGTGTGAGGGGCAGCCACACATACTCCAAAGGAGTCTTGAAAGAATAAATTCTTTTCTCTATCTGAAAATCCACTTTGCCTGTAAAATTTCAGGATCTAGAAGTTCTGATTATATAACTCCTCTCTAATTTGACTCCAGGAGTGATTTTCTGTCTTCTAATCCAGATCCACACAAATTATTCCTCCGTACTACAGTCTTCCAAAACAAACTACCCACATGACTATAGGCTCTTTCAAACCTACATCCTAGCCTTTACTTACACATTACTTACATATTACATTATTTGGATTGTAAGCTTATATATTTATTCAACTTTTCATGTCACTTTATTTTATCTCTAATTATAAGTACCTAAAGGTCAGAAGAACAGTCTTTATCTTTAAAAATGCCACAGAGTGCTTTTCTTAGACATCATGGATATTGCTACATTTTTAACAGACATATCTCCTGATCACAACATCTTGAAACTATAAGATGAGGATTTTTTTTGGTATTTTTTTAATTTTAATTGGTTTTGGGGAAACAGGTGGTATTTGGTTACATGTATAAGTACTTTAGTGGTGATTTCTCAGATTTCAGTGCACCCATCACCTGAGCAGTGTGCACTGCACCCAGTGTGTAGTCTTTTATCCCTCACTCACCTCCCACCCTTTCCCCTGAGTCCCCAAAGTCCACTGCATCATTCTTATGCCTTTATGTCCTTATAGCTTAGCTACCTCTTATGAGTGAGAATGTACGATGTTTGGTTTTCCATTCCTGAGTTACTTCACTTAGAAAATGGTCTCCAACTTAATCCAGGTTGCTACAAATGCTATTATTTCATTCCTTTGTATGGCTGCATAGTATTCCATAGTATATATGTACCACATTTTCTTTATTCACTGGTTAGTTGATGGGCATTTGGGCTGGTTCCATATTTTTGTAATTATGAATTGTGCTGCTACAAACATGCATGTGCAAATATCTTTTTTGATAATGACTTCTTTTCCTCTGGGTAGAATCCCAGTAATGGGATTGCTTGATCAAATGGTAGATCTACTTTTAGTTCTTTAAGGAATCTGCACACTGTTTTCCATAGCAGTTGTACTAGTTATATTCTCACCAGCAAAAATCACCAACAAAAAAAAAAGTCCCTGACCAGATAGAATTCAGCTGTGAATCTATCTGGTCATGGACTTTTTTTTTGTTGACAATTTATTTTACTACCATTTCCATCCCACTGCTTGTTATTGGTCTGTTCAGTTTCTATTTCTTTCTGGTTGAATCTAGGAGGGTTGTATATTTCCAGGAATTTATCTATGTCCTCTAGGTTTTCTTTTTTTTTTTTAAGTTTTTTGAGATTAGTGTTGTTGTTGTCATTGTTGTTCTTGTTTTTATTTTAAGTTCTAGGGTACATGTGCACAATGTGCAGTTTTGTTACATAGGTATACATGTGCCATGTTGGTTTGCTGCACCCATCAGCCTGTCATTTACATTAGGTGTTTCTCCTAACACAATCCCTCCCCCAGCCCCCCACCCCCCAACAGGCCCCAGTGTGTGATGTTCCCCTTCCTATGTCCATGTATTCTCATTGTTCAACTCCCACTTATGAGTGAGAACATGCAGTGTTTGCTTTTCTGTCCCTGTGATAGTTTGCTGAGAATGATGGTTTCCAGCTCCATCCATGTCCCCGCAAAGGGCATAAACTCATCCTTTTCATGGCTGCATAGTATTCCATGGTGTATATGTGCCACATTTTCTTTATCCAGTCTATTAATGATGGACATTTGGGTTGGTTCCAAGTCTTTGCTATTGTGAATAGTGCCACAATAAACATACGTGTGCATACATCTTTTATAATACTTTGGGTATATACCCAGTAATGGGATTGCTGGGTCAAACGGTATTTCTAGTTCTAGATCCTTGAGGAATTGTCACACCGTCTTCCACAATAGTTGAACTAATTTACACTCCTATCAACAGTGTAAAAGCATTTGTATTTCTCCACATCCTCTCCAGTATCTGTTGTTTCCTGACTTTTTAATGATTGCCATTCTAACTGGCATGCATCTCCTCTAGGTTTTCTAGTTTGTGCACATAAATCTGTTCATAGTAGCCTTGAATGATCTTTCATATTTCTGTGGTATTGGTGGTAATATCTCTGATTTCAATTCTAATTTAGCTTATTTGGATCTTTTCTTTTTGTGGCTAATCTTGCTAATGGTCTATTGATTTTGTTTATCTTTTCAAAGAACCAGCTTTTTACTTTATTTATCTTTTGTATTTTATTTGTTTTAATTTTATTTAGTTCTGTTCTCATCTTTGTTATTTTTTTAATTCTGCTGGATTTGGGTTTGGTTTGTTCTTGTTTCTCTAGTTCCTTGAGCTGTGACCTTAGATTGTCTACTTGTGCTCTCTCAGACTTTATGATGTAGACATTTAAGGCTATGAACTTTTCTCTTAGCACTGCCTGATATGGTTTGGCTGTGTCCCCACCCAAATCTCATCTTGAATTATGGCTCCCATAATCCCCACATATCATAGGAGAGACCTGGTGGGAAGTAATTGAATCATCAGGGCGGGTTTTCCCATGCTGTTCTTGTGATAGTGAATAAGTCTCACAAGATCTGATGGTTTTATAAAGGGCAGTTTCCATGCACAAACCCTCTTGCCTGCCACCATGTAAGATGTGACTGCTTCTCCTTCACCTTCTGCAATGATTGTGAGGCCTCCTCAGTCATATGGAACTGTGAGTCCATCAAATCTCTTTCTCTTCATAAATTACCCAATCTTGGATATTTCTTCATAGAAGTATGAAAATAGACAGATACAGTAAATTGGTACTGCAGAGAGTGGGGTGCTGCTGTAAAGATACCTAAAAATGTAGAAGCAACTTTGGAACTGGGTAACAGGCAGAGGTTGGAACAGTTTGGAGGGCTCAGAAGAAGACAGGAAAATGTGGGAAAGTTTGGAACTTCCTAGAGATTTGTTGAATGGCTTTGACCAAAATTCTGATACTAATATGGATGATAAAGTTTAGGCTGAGATGGTCTCAGATGGAAATGAGGAACTTGTTGAGAACTGGAGGAAGGGTGATTCTTGCTACAGGCACCAAAACATGGTGCCTGTAGTCCCAATGTTTTGGCCAATTTCTCCCATTTGGAATGGGTGTCTTTACCTAATGCCTGCACCCCCATTGTAGCTAGGAAGTAACTAACTTGCTTTTGATTTTACAGGCTCATAGGCAGAAGGGACTTGCCTTGTCTCAGATAAGCCTTTGGACTGTGGACTTTTGAGTTAATGCTGGAATGAGTTAAGACTTTGGGGGACTGTTGGGAAGAGATCATTGGTTTTGAAATGTGAGGACATGAGATTTGAGAGGTGCCAGGGGTGGAATTATATGGTTTGGCTGTGTCCCCACCCAAATCTCATCTTGAATTGTAGTTCCCATAATTCCCATGTGTTGTGGGAGGGACCCAGTGGGAGGTAATTGAATTATGGTGGCAGATTTTTCCCGTGCTGTTTCCATGATAGTGAATAAGTCTCATAAGATCTGATGGTTTTATAAAGGGCAGTTCCCCTGCATATGTTCTCTTGCCTGCCTCCATGTAAGATGTGCCTTTGCTCCTCCTTTGCTTCTACCATGATTGTGAGGCCTCCCCAGCTATGTGGAACTATGAGTCCATTAAATCTCTTTTTCTTTATAAATTACCAGCCTTGGGTATTTCTTCATATTAGTATAAAAATGGACTAATACACTGCCTTTGCTGTATCCCAGAGGTTTTGATAGGGTATGTCACTATTATTGTTCAGTTCAAAGAACCTTTTAATATTCATCTTGATTTCATTGTTGACCCAATGATCATTCAAGAGCAAGTTATTTAATTTCCATCTATTTTTATCATCGTGAGGGTTCTGTTTGGAGTCAATTTTCAATTTTATTCCACTGTCATCTGAGAGAGTATTTGATATAATTTCAATTTTCCTAAATTTATTGAGACTTGTTTTGTGACCTTTTATATGGTCTATCTTGGAGAATGTTCTATGTGCTGATGAATAGACTGTCTATTCTGCAGTTATTGGGTGGAATGTTCTGTAACTATCTGTTAAGTCCATTTGTTCTAGCGTATAATTTAAGTCCATTGTTTCTTTATTGACTTTATCTCTATGACCTGTTTAGTGCTGTCAGCGGAGTATTGAGGTCCCCCACTATTATTGTGTTGCTGTCTATCTCATTTCTTAGGTCTAGTAGTAATGTTTATAAGTTTGGGAGCTCCAGTGTTAGGTGCGTATGTATTTAGGATTGTGATATTTTTCTGTTGGACAAGTCCTTTTATCATTATATAATGTCCCTCTTTGTCTTTTTTAACTGCTGTTGCTTTAAAGTTTGTTTTATCTGATATAAGAATAGCTACTCCTGCTCGCTTTTCATGTCCATTTGCATGAAATATCTTTTTGCACACCTTTACCTTAAGTTTATGTGAGTCCTTATGTGTTTGGTGAGTCTCTTGAAGACAGTGGATACTTGGTTGATGAATTGTTATCCATTCTGCCATTCTGTATCTTTTAAGTGGAGCATTTAGGCCATTTACATTCAATGTTAGTATTGAGATGTGAGGTACTATTTGATTCACTGTGCTAGCTGTTGACTGAATACTTCATTTTGTTGTTGTTGTTGTTTTATTGTGCTATTGTTTCATAGGTCCTGTGAGATTTATGCTTAAGGGGGTTCTGTTTTGGAGTACTTCAAGGATTTAAGATTTAAAGCTCCTTTTAGCAGTTCTTGTAGTGCTGGCTTGGTAGTGGCACATTCTCTCAGCATTTGTTTATCTGAAAAAGACTGTATATTTCCTTCATTCATGAAGCTTAGTTTTCCTGGATACAAAATTCTTGCCTGATAATCGTTTTGTTTAAGGAGGCTAAAGATAGGACCCTAATTCCTTCTAGCTTGTAGGGCTTCTGTTAATAAATCTGCTGTTAATCTGATAGGTTTTCCTTTACAGGTTACCTGATGCTTTTGCCTCACAACTCCTAAGATTTTTTCCTTCATCTTGACTGTAGATAATCTGATGACTATGTGTCTAGGTGGTGATCTTTTTATGATGAATTTCCTGGGTCATCTTTGAGTTTCTTGTATTTGGATGTCTAGATCTCTAGCAAAGTCAGGGAAATTTTCCTTGATTATTCCCTCAAATATGTTTTCCAAACTTTTAGAATTCTTTTCTTCCTCAGGAACACCAATTATTCTTAGGTTTGGTCATTTAACATAATTTCAAACTTCTCGGAGGCTTCATTTTTTTTTATTCTTTTTTGTTTGTCTCTGTCAAATTGGGTTAATTCGGAAGCCTTGTCTTTGAATTCTTTCTTCTGCTTGTTTGATTCTATTGTTGAGACTTTCCAGTGTATTTTTCATTTCTCTCAGTGTGTCCTTCATTTCCACAAGTTGTGATTTTTTTTTTTTTTTTTTTTACTTATACTATCTATTTCTCTGGAGACTTTTCCACCCATATCTTTTAACTTTTTTTTTTTTATTATTTCTTTAGTTGGTATTCACCTTTCTCTGGTGCCTCCTTGAGTAGTTTAATATTTGACCTTCTGAATTCTTTTTCTGGCAATTCAGAATTTCTTCTGGGTTTGGATCCATTGTTGGTGCACTAATGTGATGTCTTGGGGGTGTTAAAGAACTCTGTTTTGTCATGTTACCAGAATTGTTTTTCTGGTTCCTTCTCATTTGTGTAGATTATGTCAGAGGGAAGATCTAGGGCTCAAGTGCTGTCATTCAGATTCTTTCATCCCATGGGGTGCTCCCTTGATGTGGTACTCTCCCCATTTTCCCTAGGGATGGGGCTTTCTGAGAGCCAAACTGCAATGATTGCAATGATTGTTATTTCTCTTCTGGGTCTAGCCACTCAATGGAGCTACCAAGCTCCAGGGTGGTACTGAGGAGTGCCTGCAAAGAGTCCTGTGACATGATCCATCTTCAGGTCTCTCTCTCTGCTAATAAATCTGCTGTTAATCTGATAGGCTTTCCTTTACAGGTTACCTAATGCTTTTGCCTCACAGCTCCTAAGATTTTTTCCTTCATCTTGACTGTAGATAATCTGATGACTATGTGCCTAGGTGGTGATCTTTTTATGATGAATTTCCTGGGTGTTCTTTGAGTTTCTTGTATTTGGATGTCTAGATTTCTGGCACAGCACCTACTCTGGTGGAGGTAACAGGAGAGTGAAGTGGACTCTGTGAGGGTCCTTGGTTATAGTTTTATTTAGTGTGCTGGTTTAGCATTGGTTAGCCTCCAGCTAGGAGGTGGCCCTTTCAAGAAAACACCAGCTGCTTGGTATAGGGAGGATACGAGCTTGCCCTGGGGTCATCTGGATAAGTATTTGGCTTTCTCAGGTAGTGGGTGGGGCCATAGAGCTCCCAAGAGATTATGTCCTTTGTCTTCAGCTACCAGGATGAGTAGAGAAGGACCATCAGGTGGGGCCAGGTTTAGGTGTGTCTGAGCTCAGGCTCCCCTTGGGCAGGGTTTGCTGCAGCTGCTGTGGAGGATAGAGGTTCTCAGGAGAATGGAGTTATGTTTCCAGGGGGATTATGGCTGCTTCTGCTGTGTCATACAGGTCACCAGGGAAGTGGGGGAAAGCCAGCAGTGACAGGCCTCACCCAGTTACCAAGCAATGTGAAAGGTCGGTCTCACTCCCACCATGCCCCCCAACAGCAATGAGTTAATTTCCAGGCAGCCCGTGAGCAGGGCTGAGATCTGGCCTCAGGCTACAGGCGTCCCCGCCAAAAAAGCAAGCAGGGCTTTCAGGTTTCATACATCTCAGCCTGCCATGGCTTCTGTGCTTTATCTGCACTCATCGTTCACCCCCCTCCCCCAGACTCTGTCCAGGAAACTTCATGTTCAGTTGAAATTGTTACAAAGTTCTGCTGAAAGTTTCCTTCTCCCTGTGGTCTATCCCCAATTCCACTGGCAGCCCTCCCCAAGGATTCCTGCAAGACAGTCAGAAATGGCTTCCCTGGGGACCGAGAGTGCCCACAGAGCTCTTCCTGCTGCTTCTCCTACCCCTATATTTCACTCAGTTCTCTAAATTCATCTCAGCTTCAGGTGAGTCAAATCCTTCTTCTGTGATCTGGACCTGCAAGTTTCCCAGTGAGGATGTGTGTTCAGGGGTGGACATACCCCCTGTCACACTTTGGGTACTAACAGTTTTTCAGTTGCTTCATAGAGCCTGTGGCAGCAAGCTGCCTCTTTCAGTGGGTCTGTGGATTCTCTCAGCTTTCCTGGTATGTTCCTGTGGTAGTTCTTGGAGCAAAAGTTCATGTTGTGATTCTCCACACACTGCTCTGTTTATCTGAGTGGGAGCTGCAAGTTAGTCCTGTGTCCTATTTGCCATTTTCCTATATCAGAACTTTCTTTTTTATATCCCCAGTGATCATTTTCTGAGCTTCATCCATAGGACTGTGAAAAGTCCATCTCTACCTTGTCTCCCACTTGCCAAGAACCAAGGCAAAGAACCCAGGAAGACTGCTTATGTGTTCTGCAAGTCTGCCTAGGTGGTCACTTGCCCTTATGCCAACCACATAAGCTTTGAATGGATCACCTTAGACTGCCTAAAAACTTGAGTTTACAATGCACAGTCATATAACTCTCCTTTTCCCATTTTTCTCTCCCACAACAGTCCACCCTAGGCATGGATTCAAATCACTTCTTTCATTCCCCCAAACACAGCTAAATTCAGGCAGTAGTGTTTAATAAAACTTAACACCCAGAGGAGTGACACACAGGGCTGCTTCTCTTGCTACTAGTCTTGGCTACCCTTCAGGCTCACAACTAGAGGATCTTTGCCCAACTTGTTCCATAGGGATGGCCCAGCCCCACCCAGACATCTGCATAGTCCAGAGTCCAGCCCTCCAATTGCCTTAACCGAAGAGTAGGTGAGTCCTTCCCTTCTACAGCCTAAGGTCCAAAGCTTGTTCACTGACACAGGGGGCATTTGTTTCCTTTAGAGAAGAAAAGACATCATTTCTAGTCACAAGGTGAGGTCTGATCTTCTTGGGACCAGTCCAAGTTATCACAACAGTTCCATGAAAGCCCACAGGGGATTGGAGTCAGGAAGTGGGACAAGAAGCCTAGATCTTGCACTCACAAAGGACATCAAACTTAGGCTTTTACAACATCTCAGGTTACACAGTCTTTTCTTGTGTTAAAATATTAAGCTTCTAATTAACTATGTATATTATAACAATATCATCTTGTAATTCAATTTTGGCATATTTTCATTATATGTATACATCATTATATTATCTATTTCTTTATCTTTATCTTTCTGTCTATATCAGGATGACTTCTCAGCCTTTTGGCTAAGATCAAGTGCCTATCTATATCAGGAGCATTAGGAAAAAAATTGAAGGAAGCCCAGGCCTTTTTTGATCTATGAAAAGCCCCAGTTGACAGTGAATTTTCCATATTTAGTAAAAAACAATTATGCATTCTTCAAGGTCTTAGTCTTATTAAAGATATGCTCAACTCACCTTTTTAATATTTTCTATTTCAGTCTCTGTTATCTGCATTCAGTTTGGTGGAAACAGTTCCAGTTTTCTCCAGAAATTTGTTTTTAAAATAGGTATTTAAATTAAAATGCTCATCCTGATAGCTTCCTCTAGAAACTTTATGGAAGCCTTGTCTTTGGAAACTGACATTTTCTGTTCTACCCTGGATGGGTGCATGCCTTCTTCCTCTATACTCTCTCTCCTTGGGTGATTTCACATGTTCTTATTCATTTAGTAACCAATCCAGTCCCAGCTTGTAAGACCCACATACCTGTTTCCCCCTGCCTGTTTGACCTCTGCACCTGGATATCAGAAAGGCAACATGTCCATGAGAATTCTCTTAGTCTTGCACCATAATCTTTCTTTTCCCAGTCTTTCCATTGTAGTAAATTCCTATTAGCTTCCTAGGATGAAGTTATTTTTGAAACTACCTTTTCCCTTCCCTCTAACTCCATCCAGTCCATCACCACATCCTGATTATAATTCTACTCTTTAAATAAAACTCAGATCAGGACTTCTCTCCATCCCCACAATTACCACTGCTAAGCTGCTCCCCCTTCCACCTAGACTACTTCAGTAGCATTTTTCTAGGTTCCCAGCTCACACCATGGTTGCCTTACAATCTTTCACCATACAGCAATTAGTATGATCTTTACACAGTTTAAATTGGATTCCATAATGTTCCTGCTATCTTAATTTAGACTCTCCCCAAATCAGATCCAGAACCAAAAATTCAAGTGAAAGTAGTTTATTTGGAAGATGACCTCAGATAACACAAGTGGAGTGGAGAAGTGAGATAGAGAAGGGAAGAAATCTAATAAAGGGTGTATTGTCGCAAGTTTCCACTCTGCCAACTAAAGGTTTATCTCTAAACTCCAGGAAATAGAGTAAGCACACATCAGAGTTGCTCTGCCAAAGAAGCAAGGTAGCCAGGATATTTATACATCAACTCCCATCAGTGATTGCTTATAAGGTCCCCTGAGACCTTATAAGGTTGAGAGTGGAGGGTTAAATTTCCACCACCTCTAGGCTGCCCCACAGCATGCAAGGAAGGTTCTGACTGCCACAGAAAGGCCTTGGGGAAAACAGTCTCCAGAGCTGATACTTGAAAGTCAAGCTAGCAAACAGGGAAATGGCACGTGCTAAGGTGAGATGTGCAGGGTACCAACAGCATCTACTGCACCTACATAAATCCCTCTGGTGGCTTCCTGTTGTGCTGTAAGTGCAATCCAAATTCTCAAGCATGGCCTCCTAGGCTCTTTCCACAGTCTTTTCATGTGTCTCTCCCTCAAGCATAGTCTCCCATGCACAGCTGACTTTGGTTCTTTGCTCTTTGCCTGCTAGAAGGATCTGCCTAAATCTATCAGCCAAATTTTCTTTGGAGTTGGAGTAAGATAACCTTCAATCATTTCCAGGCATATTCACTTGTCCTGTCTTCTTCTTCTTTAAAAAAAACTGTTCTTCTGCTGGAACCCATGAAGACAAACTTGAATTTAGTAAAATCCCTCTCTCACTACCTCCAGAACTGACAATGCAGATGACCTGCAGAGGAAGCTGATACCTTTTGCTATAGAGCTACACATGTGCCTGGCCCAGGACTCAAAAAAAGCTAAAGAAAGATATGCAGTAGAAAGTGGAAGAGCTAAAATCCCAGCTGCTGCCCAATGCCAATAAAGTAGCATGGAGGTCACTTAAAATGTGAGCAAGATACAACTGCCTCTTGCCATACACAGAAATGGTTGCCATTTCATTTCCACCTGTGCACCCCTTAAGTCCTTGGTGATGACACTAACTTCTGCAGGATTCCTCCAAGTATATGGTATGACTTTTGGTTTACTATTTTGGTGAGGAAAAGCCACTCTACTAGCTTCCACTTGGGCTTCTACAGTAGCCCTCACTCCATGGACCAGGGAACCAATAGAGGAATTCTGCGCATTGTTGAGTAATTCAATTATGCATTCTGTAACTGAGTAAATAACCACAGTGTGGTTTAGGGGACACACTAAGCCCACCATATGACAGAGCTTAGCCAAAATTTCATTGATCACCTGATGTCCATAAGCTTCTATTCTGATTAGTGGCCCACAATGCAATGTTGGGCCTTTAGGAATTAGTGTCAATTCAGAGCCAAAGTCTAGCTATTTCTTCTCCTCTATTCCCAGTCACACTGGCAAATGAATGCAAGTTCTTTTGGTGAAAGCTAAAGAGAATGATTACAATACAAATTTTTGGCTGTTTTTCACAGTTCTTCCTTGAAGGTACCTGGCCTCCCTTTCATCCAAGGGACTCCGCATCTATAAACTGGTTCAAATCTGGTAATTATTTGAGGGACAACATCTCTGTTACTGTGATTCAAGTTAGATCTCTGTTCACAAAGTTTAGTGACTTTTTTGCTTGTACATATCAAGTAAGACCTTACAAGGTTGTCCACCTATTTCAGTCCTAGAAACAATGGTCAATTAGCACTGAAGTCATAGGTCAAACCATTCTGATCATTGCTTCCACTTTGCTGCATACTGTCATGCCTTTCCTACTTCACCTCTGCTAATTCAGGGCCTCCACTGGGCCCCTGCCACCCTGAAATCCCATTATCTTCATTGAATTCAAGGAGTCTAGGTCAATGACAGCAGTTCCCACTTGCATTCCTGGCCTACTGATAACAACTCCACAGAGGTCTTCAAAGATGCCCAGGGTCCCCTCATGAATGTATTTCTTGCTGCCTTGTTGAAAGAGTATACACAGTTAGGGATGAGTAAGCAGATCTTACGTGGTAAATCTACTTTACCATGCCTATCATCCTAAGCATCTGGGTAGTGTCCCTTGTAGTATACTGAGACATTTCTAAAATTTCTGGCATTTCAGTTTAAATTTTGTCTAGGATACTTCTAGATCCATGTTTCAACCAACCAACAAGTACACTGTTAGAGCCACTTCCTATAGCTTGAACTAATATACTAAATCTAGAATCTCTGCATGCTGTACTCATATCAACAAATGTGACCAGACCAACATTGCATTTCTTCCACCATAATCCAGCACTTTTAGGATCCATTTCCATAAATGTTCTCAGTTTCCATCAACAACATTGATAAACTTGCAATTATTTTGGTGTATACTGTACTTTCTTCACGTGTCACGCTTAAGTATTCCCAGACTCCCTGGGGCCTGCCAGGACTTTGTCTGATTATAGAGCCCCCTCTTTAAACAGGGGAGGTAGTCCTTAGGATGACCAAAAGCCCTTTGCAAGGCCCTAACCTCAGGGCAGAATGTCTTTAGGCAAGAAGAGGCTAACATCCTCAGATAGAGAAGAACCTAATTTTTTTAAGATATGGAGAAAAGATTTTTCACAATTCAAAGACAGTTTGAGGATACTTTAGTGATCATTACGTTGAACAAACCACGATAATTGCTAATTTCAATGGAGACAAAACATTGTGCAAGAAAAAAAAAACAATTGCTATATACTGTATGGCTCAATTGTTAGTAAAGTCATTACAGCATAAATGCTAGAAATTGATCTTTCAAAAGTACAACAGAACCAAATGGGGAGGTGTTAGAATGTTACTAGAAGTGAAAGAGCAATGTGTGAGAAAAAGGGCTACTCACCTTCCACAGTAGGAACTGAAAAATAATGCCTAAAATGAAAACATAGAGTAGCAATATAAGCATATCAGCTAGAGTTATTGAGCTATATAGTAAAAGAATTGTTTAAAACATTTGAATGTGCCTATGGGCAGAAGAAATATAGAGGACCCAGCTATTGGGGAACTGAAATTTTCATGTTTTACTCTTCCACAAGTGCTTCTGATTTAATTGTTTTAAGATTGGCACTGGGCATCAGTATTTTTAAAAGGCTTCACCCTTGCTTTAATGTGCAGGTGGCTTTAAGCTAGATGCAGGTATAGGTTAGGCAAAAATAAAATATTTTAAAATGTCAATTCCCCTAGAGTTACACTTGGATATTCTACATGAGTGGATAGTTAGGGGAAACTTGTAAGTTACCTTTTAAGGATTTTTGGATTGCCTTCCTAAGAGGAAACCACCTGAATGTAGACTCCAATCAACAAGCCTGTTCTGTGCTCACACATGTGAAAGATTTGGGCTCAGCACTAAGAGCAAACAACCACGATGATGATACACGGCCTGTCCACAAGAGGATGACACCCTTTGAAATGAGATGAGAAATATACTGAAAGAGCCACAGCACTCCTTACACAGGTACGTATGCCTTAAGAGATATGCTAATAGAGGGTTCTAAGATTGAGAGGGGAAAAAAATCACACCTGTTTCTTTTTCTTTTTTCTTTTTCCTTTTTCTTTTCTTTTTTTTTTTTTGAGATGGAGTCTCTCTCTCTTGGCCAGGCTGGAGTGCAATGGTGCAATCTCGGCTCACTGCAACCCCTGCCTCCCAGGTTCAAGCAATTCTCCCTGCCTCAGCCTCCCGAGTAGCTGGGATTACAGGTGTCCACCACCACACCCAGCTAATGTTTGTATTTTTAGTAGAGATGGGGTTTCACCGTTTGGCCAGGCTGGTCTCGAACTCCTGACTTCAAGTGATCCACCCACCTTGGCCTCCCAAAATGCTGGGATTACAGGCGTGAGTCACTGCCCCCAGCCTACCTGTTTCTTAAGAAATTAGGGAAGGCTTCCCAAAGAAGGTAGCATTTTGCCTTAAAGTACAGGTCAGATTGAAACACATTGAAATGAGGGAAAAGAGAAAACATTCACAAGAACATTTTTAGCAAAGGCACCAATCTGGGAAAACAGAGATTGACATGTGTGCATCCACAGTGATAAAACTTGACAATCAGATTAATGAGTGAGGATGGGGAAGCAAGCGGTGGCTGATTTAAAACCAGACTATTGTGGGCTGGGCGTGCTGGCTCACGCCTGTAATCCCAGCACTTTGGGAGGCCGAAGTGGGTGGATCTCTAGGTCAGGAGTTCAAGACCACCCTGGCCAACATGGTGAAACCCCGTCTCTACTAAAACTACAAAAATTAGCCGGGCGCAGTGGCAGGTGCCTGTAATTCCAGCTACTTGGGAGGCTCAGGCAGGAGAATCGCTTGAACCCGGGTGGCAGAGGTTGCAGTGAACTGAGATCACGCCACTGCACTCCAGCCTAGGTGACAGAGTGAGACTCTGTCTCAAATAAAATAAAATAAAATAAAATAAAATAAAATAAAATAAAATAAAATAAAATAAAACCAGACGATGGAGAAATAAATCTTCTCTTTTTATTTTTCCACAAAGTAGATCCTCCTGAACAATACAATCAAATTATCCACCAGCCTAATTTTCCAGTAGAAATTTATATGGCAAGATTTTGGTAATATTTTAACAGTACACTGACATGGTATTTGACCATGATTGTGATGCCCCTCTCCTTGAAATTTTTAGATCCTGTTTGAGTAAACCATGGCCCATACTTTTAAGATAAGTGATCTAAAATATCTTTAAGTGTTTTTGGAAAAGAAGTCATTTGAAAAGGGATTTTTTTAGGCTGGGCACAGTGGCTCACGCCTGTAATCCCAGCATGTTGGGAGGCCAAGGCGGGTGGATCACAAGGTCAGGAGATTAAGACCATCCTGCTTAACCAGGTGAAGCCCTATCTCTACTAAAAATACAAAAAATTAGCCAGGTGTGGTGGCACGTGCCTGTAGTCCCAGCTACTCGGGAGGCTCAGCAGGAGAATCGCTTGAACCTGGGAGGCTGAGGTTGCAGTGAGCTGAGATCGTGCCTCTGCACTTCAGTCTGAGCGACGGAGCGAGACTCCATCTCAAAAAAAAGAAAAAGGATTTTTTGGTTCCACAACACAGGCTTAGTTAAACAGTAGTATAAATTCTTACACATGATCTTGTGGTTCATTTTCAAGAACAGATTCAAAAAGTCAAGTACATTCTATGTGTGTTAGCATTCCAGCAGCAGTCTCCAAGGGTCACACTTGGGAACAAGTTCTCCTGGGGTCCTGTAACCACCCAACGTGTTGACCTTGCGCACCGCTTAGACAGAGCCAATTTATCAGGAAAGGGAAATTGCAATGCAGAAAGAATCATTCACGCAGAGCCAGCTGTGCAGCAGACCTGGAGTTTTGTTATTCAAATCAGTCTCCCTGAGCATTCAGGGATCAGAGTTTTTAAAGATAATTTGGTGGGTAGGGGCTCAGGAAGTGGGGAGTGCTGATTGGTTAGGTTGGAGATAGAATCATAGTGGGGGTCAAAGTGAGGTTTGCTTGCTGTCTTCTGTTCCTGGGTAGGATTGCAGAACTGGTTGAGCCAGATTAATAGTCTGGGTGGTGTCAGCTGGTCCATCAAGTACAGGGTCTGCAAAATATTTCAAGCACCGATCTTCAGTTTTACAATATTGATGTTATCCCCATCAGCAATTTGGGGAGATTCAGACTCTTGCAGCCAGAGGCTGCATGACTCTTAAACCATAATTTCTACTCTTGTAGCTAATTTGTTAGTCCTACGAAGGCAGACTGGTCCCAAGGCAAAAAGGGGTTTTTTTTGGGGAAAGGGCTGCTATCAATTTTGTTTCAGAGTCAAATCATAAACTGAATGCCTTCCCGAGGTTAGTTCAGCCTATGCCCAGGAGTGAGCAAGGACAGCTTAAAAGATAGAAGCAAGATGGGGTCAGTTAGGTCTGATCTCTTTCAAAGTCATAATTTCCTCATTTATAATTTTTCAAAGGCAGTTTCAGTTTCAGCTTGGGTCTCATGTTGGTTGGTACTCATGGCCTGATGTACCTCCAGAGCACATGACCCTCATAGTCCAACAATGAAGAGATATCACCTGTCAGGCTTCAATATCCCCTTCTCTGTATGTCTTTTACTTCCAATCGCAGTGTATGATAAACCATCATTGCAGATTAATTCTTTGAGATTTAAAATTTGTTTACATAGAGTGTTAGAACTAGAATAAAATTTAGTCCAGAGGTTCTCAAACTTGAAAAAAAAATAGTATCACCTGGAAGAATGTTTGAAATGTAGATTCCTGGGCTCCTTTCCAATCCACTGAGAATCAGAATCTGGGGTCTGAAGAGCGATGCAACCCGTATTTTTTAGCAAGCTCTAGTTGATTCTGATGTCACCGATTCAGTGTCTATCTTAGAATATTCAAGAACCTCAATTCCTTCGTTATATAGATGAGGAACCTGAGACCCAGAAGCATTGTTCCAGGACCAAACTGAGGGTCGGGCTTCTATTTCTCATGGCCCAATAATGAGATGCAGATGAACTGGGGAAGAAGAGAGTTTTTATTTCTGTAGCCGGTTACAGGGAGTAGGCCTGGAAATTATCGCCAGACCTATTCAAAATTACAAAGTTTTCCAGAGTTTATAAACCTTCTAAGCTGTATGTCTACTTGTAAGTGTGCATTCATCTAAAGACATAAGTGATTAACTTCTTTTAATCTATAACTACGGTCTGAGTCTTGAAGACCTTTCTCTGGAGCCTCAGTAAATTTACTTAATCTAAATGGATCCAGGTGCTGGCGTGATTACCCTTATCTTGTCTCCTGCTAAATTACGGAGGCTTGAGGAGTTTCTTCAGACCCCCCAACGAACTTGTTTGAGGCCTGGGGAGTTTCTTCAGCCCCACGATAAAACTTGTTTCATCCTAAATGGGTCCTGTTAAGAATTCCTTCTTTATTTTGTCATGCTTTAAGGCCCAGGAAAGGCCTAGATAAAACTCTTGATGGGCTTTTGTTACATACCAGCCTTTGTATAAAGCCACTGGCTTTTCGTATTTAACTTAACCACTCAGTACTGAAAGAGTTGTTATGGAGGCCTGTGTTTGGTGAGACTTGGCTTCTACACTGTCATTTGACTGGGGTATCGTTATCTGGTTACTTAGTGTCAGACCTCAGATTTCTCACTTCCAAATAAGAATGCCCTATCCCTGGGCTTCTCTTTCCAACATTCAAATCCCTATTAAATTAGAATGCCTGTTGGAGAAGTCTAACCTGAATCTTAGTTGGGAGACATCTGAACACAAAGTTCCAAAGGTACAACCCGTGTCTGTTTGTAGTTTCCTTCACTTGCAGAATGGGCTCGGGAGGACCAGCAGCACAATGTCCTCAGGCTATGGAGCAGGCCCCTGAGTGAGCCAGAGCCTTCTTTAGCACGGTGGTGATGGAGGCGGCATCCAGTAGCCACAGGACTAAACCATTCCACTGTGGGTGGACATCAGAACTGCCAATGTGCCAAGGTCCGGGTTTCCTGAACTTCTCTTCCATCTAGGCAATGTCAGGGAAGTCTTAACCATAATGTATGAGCGAGAGCCTCTGAAGTTTCCCAAGGCAGGTCTGCTCATCTATTTAAAAGAAATTAGCAAGCTCTGCTTTAGCTTAACTGAAGAGCATCTAGAGAAAGGATGGGGATTTCCAGTGAAAAGGATGCATTGCACCAATGCTCGGAGGGGTGTGTATGTAGCATACAAAAATGTAACATGCTGTTGTTCTCTATACACCCTTCCAACTCCCACCTAAAGGGGAGGTCCCTTGAATTGTTTTCCTAGAAGTGAGAATGAGTAACAAAAGATTCTTTCACAGTCTCCTGCCATTTCCCTTTCTAACAAATGGTTCATGTTTAGCCCAGTGGTTTGCAACCTTGGGGAAGGAAGAGATATTTGCCTCCAGGGTATGTCTGGCAATGTTTGGAGACAGTTTTGGTTGTCTGACAAGACAACATCTGGGATTGCTACTGGTATCTAACAAGTAGAGGCCAGAAATGCTAGTAAATAATAATCATACAATGCAGCCCCTCCCACATAACAATGAATTATATGGCCTAAAATGTCAATAGTTTCAAGGTTGAGAAATTTTAATTTAGACTAAAGTGACTGCTTAGATTAGCAGTGGTGCCTGAGGACCCCAAAGGCTCAAACTCTTTGATTTGTTAGGCAGTTAATCGACTCAATTAAAGAGTCAATTGACTCAATTAAAGCGTCAATTAACAAACCAAAGGGTGAAATGTTAGTCAATATCTCTGAATCCCTTTCTAATTCTGTCACTGACTTGCCAGTTGAACTGAAACAAACTTTTGTCTCTCCTGTTGACTCAGTTTCTTTGGTTGCTAGAAGTCAATGAGAATAGCTTTCTAGTTTCATTGGTATCTCCTCTCCCAGTATCTGCCTCCCGAAATAGTGCCCCAAGGTTTTCAATGGTCTCCATGTCCATAAATCCAATGAACATTTCTCCTTTCCTGCCTTCCTTGGCCTCACATTAGACACAGCATTAAATACAGCCCCTGCTTTTTTTCCCCTACATTTCTTTTATTTCTTGGCTTCCATGTGTGAAAGGAAAGTATCTTGGGCCCCCAAAATTACTGAAGAAAACTCAAGCTGGAAACTGCTTGGAGCAAATCTGCCTCCCATTCTATTCAAAGTCACCTCTCTGTTCACTGAGATAGACGCATACCTGATTTTCCTCCTTTGGAAAGGCTAATCAGAAACTCAAAAGAATGTAGCCCTTTGCATATCACCTTCTGTGACCTGGAAGCTCTCTCCCCCGCTTCGAGTCTTCCTGCCTTTGCTTCAAGTTGTCCCGCCTTTCCAGACTGAACCAATGTACTTCTTACATATATTGATTGACGTCTTATGTCTCCCTAAAATGTATATAACCAAGCTGTGCCCCAACCACCTTGGGCACATGTCATCAGGACCTCCTGAGGCTGTGTCATGGGCTCGTGTCCTCAACCCTGGCAAAATAAACTTTCTAAATTAACTGAGACCCGTCTCGGATTTTCGGGGTTCACATGTCACAGGCTCCTAGTTTTCCTCTTTTCTAGCTCTAATTCTCATTGTCATAAACAGTGAGAATATTCATTAAATATACATGTAGCAATTATCATCAACAGGCTTTCCAACCTCTACCAGACAGTCCAATCTCAGATTTCCCCCAGGTTTAACAAGAGATTTCTTCTCACTCTACACTTTTTCTCTAGACAGTCTCATCAATGTCAAAGCTTCAATTATAATCTATACACTGCAGACCCACATATTTTTATCTTCTCTGAGTCACTGATTCATGTATTCAACTGTCTTTTTGACATCTAAATCTGATTGGGGCATTCACACTCTCATATGTCCAGCCTGAATGTGTCATCTTCCCCCACCTCACTTGCTCAGCATGCCTACCTACCCACATGCTCAGGGTAAAAACTTGAAAGCTTTTAATTTGTCCTTACCTTCACCCTTTCTTTGTATGCAGTCCACCCCCAAGTACTGTCAAGTCAGTGTCTTAAATGCCTATTTAAATCTTATTCTGCCCCGCATCCCTCTAGATTAAAGTACAATCATCTCTCTCCTGAACTATTGATGTAGCTTCCTAATTGTCTTGATTTATATCAGCTCCGCCCCTTCCAGTCTACTCATCACACTATATCTAGAGTGATGGTTTGAATATGCGAAACTGATTGTGTTGCTCCCCTGCTTCAAATTTTCCAATGTCCTCCATTACTCCAAAGTCATAGATCAAAATTCTGCAGTCGGAAATTGTTTGACACCTGCCCATGTCACCAGACTATCTAGCACTATTTACTTCATCTCCCTGTGTTATAGGCACTTCATCTTCTTTCTGTCCTACAAAAGCATCATGCTCTTTCCTGCCCAGTGCCTTCACTCAGGCTGTTCCTTCTGCCCAGAGTCCTCTTTCTTCCCCTTTCCTTACCCCCACCTCACCCCCATTTACCTGATTATAGAATTTCCTTTCTTCCAAGATACTATAGCTTATAAGACACACCTTTTGTTTACAGCTTTCTAGAGAAAAAAATTATTCACTAAATAGGTATATAGCAATTGGAAATCCATATTGATCTTAAAAATCTTTAATTTGATAAGATGTGAATCTTAGAATTAGATAAATATGCTTGTAAATAGTTAAAAGTTAGTTACTTGCACATGGTTTTGTAACTTTCTATTTTACTCTGTTTTTTTCTTATTGTAATTATAATAATACAATTTATTAGAATTTTTTTTTTTTTTTTGAAATGGCGTCTTGCTCTGTTGCCCAGGCTGGAGTCCAGCCATGTGATCTCAGCTCATTGCAACCCCCACCTCCTGGGCTCAAGCAAGTCTCCTGGCTCAGCCTCCAGAGTAGCTGGGACTACAGGCATGTGCCACTACACACAGCTAATTTTTGTATTTTTAGTAGAGACGGGGTTTCACCATGTTGGCTAGGCTGGTCTTGAACTCCTGACCTTAAGTGATCTGCCTGCCTCAGCACCCCAAAGTGCTGGAATTACAGACATGAGACAGTGTGCCCAACCCAGAATTCAAATTTTTAAAAGGTCTCTCTCATCTATTAGAATGTGAGTTCTGGTACCACTAAATCTCTAGTACATGACACAGTGTCTAGCACAAAGTCGGTGTTAAGATTAACCAACATGTTCAAATCAGAATTGCTCCATTTCCCATTAGGTTATGTTCAAGCCAGGCTGTGTACCCACCCTATGCTAGTTTCTATTGCTATTATAACACATGGGCAGAAATGTTGTGGCTTAAAAGAAGGTACATTTATTCTCTCACAGTTCTGGAGATCAGAGATTCAAAATCAGTTTCACTAGAGTAAAGCCAAGATGTCAGAAGAGCTGTTTCCTTCTTGAGGCTTTAGGAGAGAATCCATCTTTTTGCTTAGTTAAGCTTCTAGTGGCTGCAAAGTTCCTTTGGCTGTATAAAGTAACATCCAAGGGCTTGGGAAATGGGATGTGGACATATTTGTGTGTGGGGGGAGGCATTATTCAGCCTACCACCCACCCCTGTGTTGAAAAACAATATGGAAGACTTAGATCCAAATTGGAAAATGGAGCATAGATCAAGAGACATCACTTAAGAGTCAAGACTATGTTTTAGACCGGGTGTGGCTCCTTCCTAGTGGTGAGATTCTTGGTAAATACCTTCATTTCTTCAAGCCTCCTCCGCAAAATGCTGGACCAAAGCAGGTGATTTCTTCCCTTCTATGATCATGGGCTCCCAATGGTTACATGCTAGAGTATGATTTTATGCTGTCCTCATGGCTTCGCATGGCCCACATGGCTTCAGGAACACAAAAGAAGCCCAGAAAAAGGTTTCAAGATCCCATACCCTGCCACTGTGAATGAGAGACAGTTTCTTGATGCTGATTTTCCTCCAGGCCCCCATCACAGCCTGGTTTCAATTTTGGTAAGAAGAGGAACAGAAAAACAGACCACATATGTAACATAACAAGCTCTGCACCCTTCCTCCTTTATGGTTTCTTTAAATACCAACATAGAGTACCCCCTCCCAAAAAACCTAAAACTGGAATATCCCATCAAGGTATAACTATTTATTACCTACCCACCCCTTAAAAAAAAAGGGAAATAATAAAAGAGGTAAAATTATTGTCCACTTATCTGGCATGAATCATTACATTCTAGATAACTTAGTCATGCACAAAACTAAACAAAAAATATAGTTTTAGACACTAGTAGATTGCACACTCATCTAGATTAAGAATTCCAGAGACGCTCAAAATAGAGGACTTATGTCTTTCAGCCTATCTCAGTGCCTGGCAAGAGTAAGTGGCCAATGAATGTGAGATGAATTGAATCAGGCCCCTATAATTTTTTCATAAAGTATGAATATGTACATGTGATTTGGAGCAGACCAAGTAGATATATTCCTGGGTGTGCCTAGAAGCACTGAGAAGCTGTGTATGTGTTAGATGGAGGTCATTGGTGTGAACATACCAAAAATTTAACAGCAGAGAGCTTTCAGGGTATGCCCCAGCTTTTCTTGTGTTTCAACAGCCCCTTGAAATATTAGAAAAGAGAAATAGAGACATAGATGAAGAGAGAGAGAAAATTGATGGAGAAATAACCAGTTAAAAATAAAGTCAAAACTGAGTGTGAAAGTGAGGCTACTAAAACCAGGATAATAGTCATCCATAGAAATAACCTGTGCTTTGGGAGGAATCCTCAGGGCAGGGGTGATCTCCAGGTAAGAACTGATCAAAGGAGATGTTTGTGTTTGGCTAGGTTTTTACTAAAGCCCTTACTCCCTCTAGTGGGAAGACGGAGCTGTGCAGCATCCGTAGCAAGGTGTGTGCTCTTCAGGGCTAAAAGTCCTTTGGAATCAAGATTGTTTCTTGTTTCTTTTTTTTTCTTTTTTCCTTTTTCTCTTTCTTTTCTTTTCTTTCTTTCTTTCTTTCTTTCTTTCTTTCTTTCTTTCTTTCTTTTTCGTTTTTCTCTTTCTTTCTTTTTCTGTTTCTTATCTCCTCAGCTTGAAGGTTGCATCCTCTTTATCTCCTTAAGTAAAGCTGGGAGTTCTGTAGTACTCCAGGAGTGAGGACAATTATGCTTAAGAAACTTTGGTTTCAGTTTAGTCCCAGACCAAGAGGAAAACATTTCAAAATTTTAAAGTAAATCCTAAAAGTGTAATTTACACCAGAGCGATTGACCTGGCATTTATGTAGACTGAAGCTTGAGAAGTAATTCAAGTGGTTTCCACTCATTCCCTTGGAAGAGTCCTTAGAATGTACTTCCATTGGTCTGAAAAACGCCTGAAAAAGAGTCCTGATGCTAACAGTAATGGAAATAGGAGGGCTGGTGGTTCACGATCAGCCCAGTGGTATCCTCTATTCTATTTGCATCTAGGTAAAGAGACTGTGGCCTGTATGTGATCAAACAATTTGTTGAAGCGCTTTGGGCTTAGGGCATTTAATTTCTGTGAAGTAGGACCATCAGTTGTTTGCTCTGTTTTTGTGTCACCTCTCAGAATACATTAAAGTAGGGGCAACCCTTGAGCCCAGACTTCTGCCATGTGAAGACCCTTTGAAAATCCTGACAAACACAGGTACTGCGTAAGTGGTCAGCTAATTAAAGAGGGGAGGTGGAGCTGTCCTTTGTGTATCCAATAAGTACCCATTATCTCATTTGAGCATGAAAAGAGGCCACTGTTATTACTTTCAAGAAGGAAAGTAAGCAGGATAGCTCATATTTTTAGAACAATTCCTCACCAAATGGAATAATTCCGGTGAAAAGTGGGAGTGAGGAAGAAAGAAAAAAAAAACTTCTAATCATAATGTTTGGGAATAAGAAAGGAAGAAGAAACTCACGTCAAAGCCGACTTTCTCCTGCAGCTGTAAAATAAACTCTTAAGACCCTTCCTGCTGAAACTCTGGAGAGGAAAACTGGAGTGGCGGGTGGGCTTTGCCTGCAGCTCAACTCTCCCTCGCGGCGCGGGCGCGGCTGGGTTCAGCACCTCGGAAAGCGCCCCTCGCGGCGCCCCGGGATTACGCATGCTCCTTGGGGCCCGCCGCCTTGGCCGTGCAAGTGCCACCGTAACTGGTGAGAGCCGCTGGCAACCCACCCGGAGTTGACAACCGCGGAGAGACGCAGACACCCACTGACCTCCAGGAAGCTGAGCGTGGTGGATGGAACTCTACGATCTCTTTCTCTCCAAGGACGGAAACCTCATCCAAGCAGTCCCAGAGGAAACGGATAAAGGTATTTGAAAGGGAGCGAGCGGCCCCAAATCGCACAATTGAGCGGCTGGGGGAGTTATGCGCCAGTGCCCCAGTGACCGCGGGACACGGAGAGGGGAAGTCTGCGTTGTACATAAGGACCTAGGGACTCCGAGCTTGGCCTGAGAACCCTTGGACGCCGAGTGCTTGCCTTACGGGCTGCACTCCTCAACTCTGCTCCAAAGCAGCCGCTGAGCTCAACTCCTGCGTCCAGGGCGTTCGCTGCGCGCCAGGACGCGCTTAGTACCCAGTTCCTGGGCTCTCTCTTCAGTAGCTGCTTTGAAAGCTCCCACGCACGTCCCGCAGGCTAGCCTGGCAACAAAACTGGGGTAAACCGTGTTATCTTAGGTCTTGTCCCCCAGAACATGACCTAGAGGTACCTGCGCATGCAGATGGCCGATGCAGCCACGATAGCCACCATGAATAAGGCAGCAGGCGGGGACAAGCTAGCAGAACTCTTCAGTCTGGTCCCGGACCTTCTGGAGGCGGCCAACACGAGTGGTAACGCGTCGCTGCAGCTTCCGGACTTGTGGTGGGAGCTGGGGCTGGAGTTGCCGGACGGCGCGCCGCCAGGACATCCCCCGGGCAGCGGCGGGGCAGAGAGCGCGGACACAGAGGCCCGGGTGCGGATTCTCATCAGCGTGGTGTACTGGGTGGTGTGCGCCCTGGGGTTGGCGGGCAACCTGCTGGTTCTCTACCTGATGAAGAGCATGCAGGGCTGGCGCAAGTCCTCTATCAACCTCTTCGTCACCAACCTGGCGCTGACGGACTTTCAGTTTGTGCTCACCCTGCCCTTCTGGGCGGTGGAGAACGCTCTTGACTTCAAATGGCCCTTCGGCAAGGCCATGTGTAAGATCGTGTCCATGGTGACGTCCATGAACATGTACGCCAGCGTGTTCTTCCTCACTGCCATGAGTGTGACGCGCTACCATTCGGTGGCCTCGGCTCTGAAGAGCCACCGGACCCGAGGACACGGCCGGGGCGACTGCTGCGGCCGGAGCCTGGGGGACAGCTGCTGCTTCTCGGCCAAGGCGCTGTGTGTGTGGATCTGGGCTTTGGCCGCGCTGGCCTCGCTGCCCAGTGCCATTTTCTCCACCACGGTCAAGGTGATGGGCGAGGAGCTGTGCCTGGTGCGTTTCCCGGACAAGTTGCTGGGCCGCGACAGGCAGTTCTGGCTGGGCCTCTACCACTCGCAGAAGGTGCTGCTGGGCTTCGTGCTGCCGCTGGGCATCATTATCTTGTGCTACCTGCTGCTGGTGCGCTTCATCGCCGACCGCCGCGCGGCGGGGACCAAAGGAGGGGCCGCGGTAGCCGGAGGACGCCCGACCGGAGCCAGCGCCCGGAGACTGTCGAAGGTCACCAAATCAGTGACCATCGTTGTCCTGTCCTTCTTCCTGTGTTGGCTGCCCAACCAGGCGCTCACCACCTGGAGCATCCTCATCAAGTTCAACGCGGTGCCCTTCAGCCAGGAGTATTTCCTGTGCCAGGTATACGCGTTCCCTGTGAGCGTGTGCCTAGCGCACTCCAACAGCTGCCTCAACCCCGTCCTCTACTGCCTCGTGCGCCGCGAGTTCCGCAAGGCGCTCAAGAGCCTGCTGTGGCGCATCGCGTCTCCTTCGATCACCAGCATGCGCCCCTTCACCGCCACTACCAAGCCGGAGCACGAGGATCAGGGGCTGCAGGCCCCGGCGCCGCCCCACGCGGCCGCGGAGCCGGACCTGCTCTACTACCCACCTGGCGTCGTGGTCTACAGCGGGGGGCGCTACGACCTGCTGCCCAGCAGCTCTGCCTACTGACGCAGGCCTCAGGCCCAGGGCGCGCCGTCGGGGCAAGGTGGCCTTCCCCGGGCGGTAAAGAGGTGAAAGGATGAAGGAGGGCTGGGGGGGGCCCCATTTAAGAAGTAGGTGGGAGGAGGATGGGCAGAGCATGGAGGAGGAGCCTGTGGATAGGCCGAGGACCTTCTCTGGAGAGGAGATGCTTCGAAATCGGGTGGAGAGAGGAAATTGGCAAAGGGATAGAGACGAGCCCCACGGGCCAGACAGCCAACCTCCGCTCCGCACCCCACAGCCTCTCCTTACTCTTCCCACGCTGAGTAGTGTGGGGGCGCCCAGAAGCGAAGACAAGCAGCAAAAATGTAGAGAAATTGGCACGGGGAGCGGGGCTTAGCCAAATGATGCACAGACAATTGTGCCCGTTTATTCCAGCGACTTCTGCGGAGAGGGCAGCCGTCGGCACAAACACTCCTTTGCGTCTTGGCAAACGAGACTGCAGCAGCGCCAAGGTCCTACTTGCTGCGGGGCTGCCCCAGGAATCTAGAGCTGGTAGGCAAGAAACGCTTTTGGAGTTAAGAAAAAGAACTGACCATCCTGGTCCGCCCACAGGAGAAACGGCAAAGGAAAGCCACCTCCAATGGAGTCATTATGACAATTATCATTCCGGACTGGGCCAGCGGGAACACCCTGAGCCCGACCTAGCTGCACAGCCCCGGAGCTCAGACGTTAGCAGGGGGATAACACCTGTCACCAGCTTGGGAGAGCCATTCTCTGGGGAGTGTCGTCGCTGCGGGAGGGAGGAGACACAGTGTGATTAGAAGGGCTGGACAGGGAAATTTCTTCAGGCTGCTGCCCCAAAAGGTAAAAGGGGGCTCATATGCTCACTTGGTAGCAGAGTTGGAAGTGGAGCGCTGGCGCGTTGCGCGCAGGAAGCTCGGGCGCTCCAGTTCCTCTGAGAGCAGTCTGCGTGCTGCCGGTGAGCTGGGCCCGGAGGCATCTTGAATAGCTCTACTGGGAGGAGTGGGGGCACTTCTTCAGTTCCTCCCTTCCCACGCTTTGGGAATCAAGCTGTTCCTTTGATTGAGGCCCTGGACCAGCGAGTAGAGGGATGGTTCAGTATTTATTTTATTATTAATTTTTTTCTGGTAGGCTTAGATAGAAGAGGAAGAAATACCGCAGAAATGTGCAAGGGGAATTGGGGCGGGGGGCGGGGGGAAGTGGAATCTTGGAAACCAAATTCCTAGAAGCTGGGTCGGATCTCTCAAACAGAGGTGTGGGGTAGGAAAGAAAATAGAAGGTTCAGGTACCATGTTCTAAAGCGAGCAGAGTACTGGGGAAACTGTTCTGAGGGTATCATCAGAATTTCAGTTGTGGGCTTTTTTATTGCTTATATTATTGACAAGAGAAGGTAGGAAATAGTAATTCCCATCGGACATTACCATCACCAATTTCCATTTATTCTAAAGAGTGCTTTACATATTAAGCATGCATGACAAATTCTTTCCCAGCCTCCAGACAGTTTATGGAGCTGTCTCTGAAGACCGCCTCACATTTCTCATGTTGACTCTGTTTTGATCACAGGAGCTTAAGATGTTAAACCCTCACAAAGTCCTTTCTTGAGGCTCTTCTAAGAACTGGGATCAAACATCAGTCTACCTACCCCTCTGCTGGCTTTCATAGAGGTACTGCTACTCTCTTCGGCAACCTGGTTTGGGGCCAAAAAACCAATGATGCAGGCACCCACCAGGGTGGTTGGTTTAATATAAAAAATAGCCATTCGTAAAAACAGGTCTGTTTAAAGAGCCTCTTGAACGGTAGAATTGTTTAGTGATGTCGTTGAAAGTTTTCTGCAGTATCTGAGATTCAGGGCTCAAAATGTGAGATCTACAACTCCCACCTTCCCTGATCTGCTTTCTGTGATTGCAAAACACAGTGAAATGACTAAACACTCATGCCTTCCCACAAAGGCAGAAGCTGCCAGTCGCGATTCTGAGCAGTCTTGTGAAGTCAGCTCTTTTAGAAAACTGAATGGTGTGTTTGTTTTGAAGTAGTCCATTTTTTTCTTCACCCTTTGGGAAGAACAATTATTGATATAGATATTGAATAGCAATTAGGCTAACAAAGACTGAAATGTAAGCTCCACAAAGGTCCCCAAAATACAAAATACATGAAAAAGTAAACACAGGAGAAAACTAACATTTGCACGGTAGGAGATACATCTATAACACGGATAATAGACTCTTACTGAGAGATTCTTATCAAAGCAAATTTCCATTTCAATTTAACAATAAAATAATGTATGGGTAGCTCAGAATTTTTAGGAAAGGGTGTTGAAGTATGTGCATCTGCTACTATGGGCACTAGAAAAACAGCAAAGAAGGAGCTGGAGGAATGGGAAAAAAATAACCTCTATAAAAAGGGTCACTTTGTCCAAATCCCAAGCACAAGGCTTCTGAGAACATGGCAGGAGGGATCAAAGATCATGACTTTGGTCTACCACAAAGACAAAAGGGTCACCAAAGGAAATGGTCAGATCAATTGTAATCAACAATTACTTTTTGAGTGGCTGTTTTGTGCCATCCCCTGTGCAGGGTGCTGAGGTGATGTACACGAACCAGACACGTTTCTGACCTCCACACGTAAAAGGACAGACAGCGGTGAGCACAAGCAAGATAAGACAGGGAATGATCAGCTGAATGTCAAAGTAAGGCTGAAAGAAAGAAAGACAAAGGAAGGAAAAGTTGATCCTGCTGGGAGGTCAGACTTTCTGGTCAAAATAATATTTGAGACAGGTCTAAATATATGGGCACAGTTTAGGCAGAATGGCAGGGGTTGGTTCGGAGGTAGAGAGGATATTCAACGCTAATAAAATGTGGTGACTAAAAGCTTTGATGTTGGAATGTCGGATGCTTGGTTAGGGAAGCAGGAAACAAAGTAGTAGGGATTCTCTTTCTCTTGCAGGATTTCCCAGGATTTCTGTTGAGAGTATGCGTCCTTGTACTAGTTTTATTTGTCTGGGGAAAGGAAATTTCTTTTGCCAGAAAGAATATGTCATTGGTATACTGAGAACAAATACTTAGATTCCCAAATGTGGTTAAAGACTTTGAAAATTGGATTATATTTATTCATTCAAACCTCAAGGGAGTTGAGTTCAATGAGTATTTGCATATTTGTGTGTGTGTGTGTGTGTGCGCGCGCACAAGTGCCCTGTGGTTGGTTAGGGATGACTACATTTGACTTCTTGGGGGTTCAATAAGATGGCCCTTAGCTGTGGGTCACCTTTCCAGCTGGCCCATCTATTCATTTCCAAATCTTCACACATCAGAACAGTTTTTGGAGAAACGGACAGGAAATAAACACTGAACCCTGGAGAGGATTCCATTTCTAAACCTTGCAGAGGCCAAGTACAGGTAAGGGAGATAAGACAGGTGGCTTGTCGCTGTTTCTTTCCTAATGCCAAGAGTTATGTGCCATGAAGTCCTCTGAACATTTACCCATCCTCATCCCACACAATGGGGTTGGGAGCAGGTGTTTTCCCTCGTGGCCTCTCTAAATGAGTCATTAACTTATTTCTCCAGGATGGATAATGGCAGGGGGATGGGAGGGTGGAGTAGAGAAGAAGGGGTAATTTTGTATATATTCTGTAAAAAGAAAGAGATTATTTCATTTGGGAGTGAATGTACTAATAGAATACAGGAGGACCTGATTGGGAAGCAGAAAATGAGAAGGGAGCAAGGCTTGGAGGGTGATAAGTAAAAGAGCATGCTCAAGCCAGAGAAGACAGCCTAGCTGGGTCTGGAAAGCACCAGTGATCTGGAGAGAATGGGACAGACACACTGCAGGAGCCTGGATAAGGAAGCTGCATGCCCTGCAGGTGACGAGGTTGAGCAGGGGGCAGGAAGAAGTGGCCACTTTAGCATAAACCCCTGCCCTCTATTGTTCCCCCCAACATATACACCAGAAGTGGCCAGACTCACAGGGGCATTTCAGATGCCTTGCTCCACACCCCAGCACTGCCTCAGTCACAGGTATAAGAACCAGGTAGCTGCAGAGAGTGGGTTCTTTAAACACAAAGGAGGTAATGGTAGAATTGAAGCAACAAAGTGGAAGCCCAAGCAGCAGCAGCAGGAGGAAAGCGCGTGTGAGATATCAGGGATGCCACTGCCTTATAAGACACTTGGGGAGGCTGGGAAGGAGAAGGAGGCTGCAGCACAGAATGACAACAAATGGCTCTTTGCTCCTAGGCTGGCCAACTTCAGTAGATACGGTCCTTAGCCCTGGGCAGCCAGGGCCCCTGGTCTGGGTGTCATCATTAGAGGAGACCCTGCTCTTCCCCTGCCCCTCCCCACATGGCAAGGATTGCACAGGACCTTCTGGAATCTGTGCCCCCCTAGTCCTCCCACCTCCTAGATTATGCTTGGGTACGTGAGACCTTGGAATCTCTTGTCCAAATGGCCCTGAGTCTATTTACAAGGAATCCATGGGTTCTTTCTTGAGTCTATCCTCCAGAGGGAATTCCATGCCACTGAGTCTGTCCACCCTTAAGTGGCTAAGGGTGGTCGTTTGCAGGAGCGATAGAGGGTGGAGGCAGGTGGGAGGCTATGGATGTGCTGACGCCAGCATGCACACAAGGACTCTACACTGCCTAGGTAGAGAGAGGAGTGGGGGAAGCAGTGAAGAGGGATGGGCTGTGGATCACATGCCTCCATTCATGTGCCAGACACCAGGCTAAGTGCTGTCCATACAGGAAGCAACGGAACCAAAGTGACTGGGTTCAAAGCCCAGCTCTGTCACTTAAGAATTGTGTGGTTTCAGATAAGTTATATCTTTCTGCCTCCATTTCTTTATCTAAAAAATGGAGAGTGGTAACAGCACCCACTCCCACAATTGCTGTGTTAACGTTAAAGCATTTAGAATAGTGGTAAAGACTCCATAAATGTCATGGTTTGTGTTTTGTGGTTTGTTCGTTTGTTTGTTTTGAGACCAGGACTCGCTTTGTCTCCCAGGGTGGAGTGCAGTGACAAAATCACAGCTCACTACAGCCTCGATCACCCAGGCTCAAGCAATTCTCCCACTTCATCTTCCCCAATAGTTGGGACTACAGGCATGCACCACTATGCCCAGCTAATTTTTAAAATATTTTTTGTAGAGAGAGGGTCTCCCTATGTTTCCCAAGCTCGTCTCGAACTCCTGGCCTCAAGGTATCCCCCTGCCTCGGTCTCCTAAAGTGCTGGGATTACAGGTATAAGCCACCATGCCTGAACCAATGTTACATATTATTAATCATCACAACTCTCTGAGATAGCAATTCTTATCCCAAATGTATAGATGAGCAAGTGTGCCTTGGGGAGATTACATAGTTTACTGCTGAGTGGCAAAGCCAGGATTTAAAACCAGCTGATTCCAAAACACGATTTTTATTAAACCATGCTGTCTCTCAAGGCTGCTGAAAACCTCATCATGGGGCAGTTGAAGGGGTGTGGTTAGAGAAAAACTGCTTAGCTTGGAGAAAAGAAGATCATAGGAGAAACAGGGGGCTGTTTTTTGGAAAGACTTTCACATCAAATCCAGAGGACGAAACAAGGGTGCAGACTAGAGAGAAATATTTTTACTGTGTCAATGAAATGAACTATTTTAAAGTGGTGAATTCTCCAGCATGAGATGTTTGAGTAGACTTGTCAGGGGTATCATAAAGTAATAGGAATTAATTATGAGCAAATTATGAATAAATTAATAGAGAATAAATCATTAGCAATATTTTGAATATTTGTGAATTTGATGAAATATATGATTCCCCAATATATATGGACCCCTGGCTAAAAAAAAAAAATCAAATCACTTCACAGAACACATCCAAGCATTGTATATGGAATTAGTCTGCTTCTGAGGTCTCAGCAAGATTTGTAATGCCCTGTGAAAAGCAGCTCCTGCCTCTTCCACCCTTGCACCGAGATGCTGCCACCCACACTTACCCCTTGCCACCGAGGCATAGAGGCATAGTCCAGGCAAACGTTGCCTGAAATATGGGGACTGTTGTGCAGAGGATTGGTTTAAAGTGAGAGGTGGGACTGGGCGCGGTGACTTGCGCCTGTAATCCCAGGACTTTGGGAGGCCAAGGGGGGCGGATCATGAGATCAGAAGGTCGAGACCATCCTGGCTAACATGGCGAAACCCCATCTCTACTAAAAATACAGAAAATTAGCCATGCATGGTGGTGGGCGCCTGTAGTCCCAGCTACTCGAGAGGCTGAGGCAGGAGAATGGTGTGAACCCAGGAGGCGAAGCTTGCAGTGAGCCGGGATCGTGCCACTGCACTCCAGCCTAGGTGACAGAGCAAGACTCCATCTCAAAAAAAAAAAAAAAAAGAGAGAGAGAGAGAGAGAGGTGGGCAGATTCCACGGCTGAAATCACAATAGTGGGCGTCCAATGGGCAGACCCTAAGATTCAGAGCTGCAGAAAATGTTAACTTCCTGCCATGTGCTTCACTGTCTCTGAGGTTAGGGTCATTGTCTCTTTATTGACCTAATCCACATATCTAACAAAGAGAGCGACAAAGCAACAGCCTATCAGTGCCACCGCAGACGCTGTGATCACCACGACGACAACGGTCCCGGCTGTGTTGACCAGAAAGCCCAGGCCACCTCCGACCAGGATCTGAGCCAGCTGCACCATGCATGTGAGGGTGGCGCAGTCCATGCCCTTCCCTCTCACGCTGTTGTCTGGGTCCCCTCCTGGGGCCTGCTGCCTCTGCAAAGGAAGCACAGAACCACCATTTGACCTACAAGGAACTGTCATTTAGGGCACAGGTCAGCAAAATTTTTCTGTGACCAGCCAGATAGTAAATACCTTTGGCTTCGTGGATTATACAGCCCTGGTCATAACTACTCAACTCTGCTGCTGTAGTGCAAAAGCAGGGGCAATGTGGAGCTGAGTTGGCTTTCCAATATATATTGATGGACATTATTAGCATTTGATTTCATGTAATTTTCATGAATTGGTGATGTGGAACTGAACTGAATATTGATGGGTATTAGCATTTGATTTCATGTAATTTTCACCTGTCACAAGATATTAACCTTCTTTTGAAAGTTTTTTTCAATCATTTAAACAATTAAAAGGAATTCTTAGCTCGCAGACTGTACAAAAACAAGTGGCGGGCCATAATCAATACAATGTAGTGGATACTTAATAAATATCCCATTCTTTTCCTTTCTTAGTGTTAAAAATTCAAAGATTTTAAGAAGGATGTTGAATTGCTGATGTCCTTAAGAGAAGCAACTTTAAAAAGCATTTCAATCTTTCAAAATATGGTTGCTACTTGATTAATATAATAATGTTTGGTTAATACTTGATATTTCTTCCGAACTGGCTGATAACTTTGTCATTTGTTGGGTATCGCTTATGTGCTGGGCCTGGGTTTTTTTTTTACCTGTTACTGTATTTCAACCTCACCACCTCCCTGGATGCACATGTTATTATCATTACCCCCATGGTAACAATTATAATACTAGCTATCACATTTTGAGTCTTTGTCGGGTGCTAGGGGGCACTATGCTAAGCACATCCACTAATTTGTTTGCTTTTCTATAAGGTAAATAACATTCTTTCCATTTGCCTCATGAGGAAACTGAGGGCCTGCGAGCTTAAATGATGATTTCCTACACTATTAGGCAAAAAAAAAGCATTATGCTGAAAAACGCATATTATCCTTTGAATAAGAAAGGAAAATAAGAAAACAGATTTACATTTGCTTGGTTTTTATTTAAAAATGCCGGAAAGATTAACAAAAAACTAGTAAGAGTGGTAACACGTTGGGGCTGGAGGGAGATAGTAAATGGTAAAGGGAGCACACAGTGTGCACTTTTGTGTATCATTGTGAATATATTATCTCACCTAAAAATGAACTCATTCTAAGTGCTAACTAATAAACAAGTAAATAACATCCCCAGTGTAACACAGCTTCCAAGTGAGAGAGGCAGGATTTGAATCCAGGTTTCTCTGAGCCTGAAGCGTAGGTTTTCTTCCCCCAACACCATGTAACACTCTCCTTGTAGGGACAGTTTTTTATGATGACTCTCCCATTAGCAGCAACATCCCACCTTGGTGACAATGTTTGCCAGGGGATGAGGAAAGCCACACCTCTTTTTTGAAAGGTTTTTACTCCTGGTGCACCTCTGCCCTGCTGCCAGATCAAATGATGAAAAACATGGCCAGAATTATAGTCTGATGGTTATATGTTCAGTGTTTTTGCAGTTTCATGCTGAGCTGGATTAAACTTGGAGTTATCTCTGTAGCTTTTATATCATTGCTCCAGTTAAGGAACTATAAGCCTATTTTCACAGGAAGAAAGTTGCAAATTTTGATAAGAAGAGGTGGTAATTTTAGAGTGGAAACACCAACTCTGTTATAAGCACTGCATAGGCGCTTGTTCACTAGTTGCGTTCCAAGGTTTAAATGGCACAGGTCCCGCTCAGGGCAGCAAAGTGGGGATTACCACCCATGATTCCAGCTTTCCTTCTCACACATGGGGTCTGACTTACTAAAATCTGGACTCCATTGCCTAGGACTTTCCTACCCTCAGCAAATAATGCCAAGAAATTCCACTATGTACCTCTGAAAGTTGGGGATAGGGAGACCCTTATTGTCGGTATCTAGAAATGCTGCAGGTGGCACCAGGGAGACCTATGAGGTGGTTACAGAAGACCTGGGTCCCCCTTTTTTTGTCTTTGTGTAATTGTGGGCTGGTTTCTCAGCCTCACCAAGCCTTTTTCTAATTAGAAAAATGGGAGTAACACTTCTTGCCCTACAGCTCCCTAAGTGAGCAGGAGTTGAGAATAAGGAGGACAGGACAGCTGGGCTGGGCTGGGCTGGTGAGCATGCCTGTACCAGATCATGGTTGCAGTTGGTTGGGCATTTGACTGTTGCTGTTTCAAGAACCCTTATTTTCCAGCTCTGCTCTACACATTGCTACCAAATCCTCCCCAGCCTTCAGATGAGTCTGGATGTTACCCAAGGCAGAGGTTCAATGACAGCACACCTCCTTTTCTTCCTCGCGGTGGTACTCAGTAATGAGGTTAAAGGGCACAGTGTACAGGGTGCTGGACATTACACCAAACAGGCTGCACAGGACCAGGGTGGAGTAGACATTCGGGAAGAGCCCAATAAATCCCGTCCCCAGGCCAAACAGCAAATATCCCGTGAAGTAAAGACCCTTTAATCCAATGTAGGATACCAAAACTTTCTGAAAGTCTGTGGGAAGAAGAGAGGGAGAAATTACAGCTGGCAGTGCCTCATAACATTTAATAATTTCAGACAATCCTTTCTTCTGAAGATTCACCTTTTTAGACATCCTTTGATACTGAGCCAGGAACAAAAGAATCCCCTTATCTGTGGGTTGAAAACAGCTGGCTTTTGGAACCATTTTAAAGACCTTTCCATAAAGGACAGCTTGAAATTGCCTTGGTAGGCTGATTTTTTTTCTACAAAGAAGAATCTGGCACTGTTTAGCAGACAGCTGGATAGCAAAAAGAAGCGAGAAAGGTGGTGGAAAATCTGACCTAACTATGGGAACCTGGGGCTTCAAGAAAAGTGTGGGTTATTCTAAATCAGATGGGCTGTGGCCCCATAGGACGAAAATAATAACACAGGCCTATCTTGGCCCTACAACCCAAAGTCAGGTTGGGGAAAATTGAAACAACCAAAATTTACAGAATGATCTAAGTCATTCATGATTTCTTAGCCCCCATCTGAATGGAGTCTGCACACCTGAGAAGGAGGTAAAAGATGTACAATTATCTGAAGACACCTTCCCTGACTTGCCAATCCTTCCCAGACTGGTAAGGGGCTCCCACAGCACCCAGCATCTCCTCATCGCTGGCTCCCTAACTCTTGGTAAACAAGTTCCTTGACTTCTCAAAACCCCAGCTTCCTCATCTGAAAACTGGGAATAATAAAACCATCTTTTGGAGTTGTTGCCAGGATCAAGTGAGATGAAGTGTCTATGAAATCACCCAGCTTAATGCCTAGCATGTAGAAAACATCCAATTAAGCAACAAGACAGGCTGAGCTGGAGACAGTTGACTTTTAACTGGGTTCCTCTTCTAGCAGGTCAACTTGGCTTGCTTATATCAGTATAGTGGCAGAACTAATTTTTAAAAATGAAAAATTCTGCTTTAAAACATTTTACAAGGTTTTCTACAATGGCAAGGAAAATCTCTAAATTGTTTTTATCTTCTTCCCTCAGTCGTTTTTAATCCACACATTCCTCATCTCTTCCCTGCCCCATTCTCCTGGAACACAAGAATCAGAGGATAAATAACAGATACTTGAAACGTGACTATTAAGAATGACATTTTCCATATCTATTCATATAATTATTGGACTTACACCTTGTAGACAAGCAACCTTATTTGCAGTACATTTGAATCAATTATGAAACTAAACACTCTCACACTGATGGAAGACAAAGATCTGGAAATGACAAGTAGGCAACATTGCTTCCTCTATTAAACTTATACCATGACTGGAGGACTGTTGTTAAGGTTGAGAATACAAAAATGAGAATAAAGCTAGAACAGTTTCTGCTTGCTTAATAATTATATTTATACAGAAAATGTAATCTAAGGTGTCTCAATACCTAAAAGATACCATCAATACCCATTAGGGAAATGCTCTTATCCAAGTGTGTATGCCAGCAGAGGAGAAGGCAAAGTAGGGCAAAGAGGTATTTGGAAACATAAGTAACTTCAGTACAGAGACTGAAAGTCTGGCAAAGAATACTTTATTCACAAAGATAATTCAGTGAACTTCAGGGCCAAGCTTGAATTGCCCTCTGATGGGTCTGATACCCAGTGGTAGTCATATCCTCACACAATGCCTCTCTTCAGGACTGAGGGGAAATTATAGATTTAAGCACCAGTTATGACTAGTAGTGTATGATATTATGGTATGAACAATAGGCCATATCTTAGTACTCAGTGTTGTTGTTCTAATTGGTATACCTGTACCTGCTGTATACAAAAGGAGCTTAGAAACAAGTCCCTATCAGCACTCTCCACCTCAGCAGCCAGATTGTCCTGCCAACCTCCATGTGGATAGAAACTCTGAATCTGCTCCTGATGTTATGTGATGAATCCAAAATAGAGGGTAATATAGTGAGCTCTGGAAGGAAAGGAAAGGATTGATTCTGCCCAGAGTGGGTTGAGGTGCAGGGGGAAGAAAACTTGAATGATTTCACTGAGGAAGTAATATTTAAGCTGGGTCTAAAAATATTATTAGAAGTTGTCCAGTTGGGGAAGTAGAAAGAGCAGTTCAGGCAGAAGAAACTAAAAGCAGTGGCAAATACCCAGAAATGAGAAAGTCTGCATAGTGGGTCATTGAGGGTGGTTAATTGATATGGGAGTGAAAAAGGGCAAAGTATGAACTAGGCCAAACTGTGAAAAGCTCAGGAATTTGACTTTATCCTATGGGCATGGGGAATCCCTAAAATCCTTGAGCAGAGCTGGCTGGTATTTTATAAATAAAATGTTGATTTGAATTAACAATGGTAGGGATCCCATAGATTTATACATTAATAAAACTTTGGAAAACTATTCAACTAATAATTTCTTTTGTAACTAGAAACGCTTTTAACTAGAAGGGACCTAAAAATAATATGCTTTAAAGTTTCAAATGCCATAAAATTTATGCGGACAAGACTAATGGAATGTTATCTAGTAGGAGTTCCCTGAGGAAAAATAAGTTTAGATTGACACTTTTCTTTCTGACAAAGATGAAGGTAGGGCTGGATGTAGTGCCTCATGCCTGTAATCCCAGCACTGTGGGAGGCTGAGACAGGAGGATCACTTGAGCCCAGGAGATCGAGACCAGCCTGGGCAATGTAGGGAGACCCCATCTCTAAAAAAAAAATTTTTTTTAAATTAATAAGCCAGGCACAGTGGCATGTGCTTGTGGTCCCGGGTACTCAGAGGGCTGGGACTTGCTTGAGCCCAGAAGGTTGAGGCTGCAGTGAGCCATGATCATGCCACTGCACTCCAGCTCAGGTGGCAGAGTGAGACTTTGTCTTAAAAAAAGAAGAAAAACAAAAAAAAGCATGAGGGTAGTGGTAAATAGTCCCCTCAGCCCTTGAAATCATGAAGGACTTAAGCTGGATAATTTACTAGACCCTTTTAGTCTAACATTCTTTTATTCTATTTTAAGTGCTTGAAATCTTCCTCCTGGATTTTTTCTTAGTTTGCACACTCGAAGAGGAAGAAAAGAGTTTGCTAAATAAATGTGATCTTTAAGCACTACTCTTTGAGTATCATAAATTTTAAAATAATGAATGTTGTTGTTACGTGATTATTGGGCTCATCAACTTGCATGTTTATATGAGGTCCCATTTTCCCAATTGGGCTAAATTTTTAAGAGGTCTTGAGGCAGGTTTCCTGCTGTGCTATGGCTAGGTAAAGGGAAGGGGAAGGGGCCCTCACATACATCCACACTTTCCCTTCACAAGAAGCAGGCTGACAGTGACAGAGTGAGTCCTCCTGAGAATGGTAACAGGGATTCTCCCCATCTCTTCCCACTTCCTTCACCTGGGCCATATCCCTGCTGTCCCCTGGACCTGTCCAAAGCCCAGAGCCCTGAATTGGGGGTCAGTTATTCTTACAATCTTGCAGAAGAAGAGCTCTTTATAGGAGCTCTTTATAATTAGGAGAACTGCATACATTTTTCAGGCCAGACGTTTCACTTAACTCAATGTATACAGAGCTTGGAGATATCCATACACAGTCGCAAGTACAATGCAGCCTGTGCAATGCCCTGGAGTTATAGCACAGCCACCTGGACTTACATAAAGACAATAGCAGAAATCCCTTTGTTCAGTGTCTTCACAGCTGCAACTTAGGTAAGTGGAGGTTAAGAGGCTCAGAAAAGCTGGCACCTGGGAAGGAAAGCCAGCTGTCCCCAATCCTGGTGTGGTGCTCCTATAACCCACCCAGTTACACATCTGAGCTAAGGTCATTTTGCATGCTGACTTTGTCACCTGTCATATTAATATTGCTTCTCTTCTGTATCATCTACAAATCTGATAAGCCTATCTATGAAATGCTACCAATGATCTTGCTCCAGTAGAACACGAACCTGCTGGGACTCATCCATCCAACACTTCATCTTGTAAAGATTCCCTTTCATTTTCCAGAGAAACTTGATCAGGAACCCACTGATTCCAAGAGCAAAGTAATCAGTGAGGAAATGACACCTAGAATTCATGATGAAAAAAGGATGCTTTATATGGTCCTTTTTAAGGTGATAGTTTTTCCTGACGTCCATAGATTTATTAAGAATCTGGTATTTTAAACAGTAGGAAATACACATAGAAATATCAAATCCAAGTTGTGCTAGACCAGAAACTTTTAGAAGACATCCTTAGGAGAGAGAAAGACTTACAAGAATAAAGTGAGGAAAACACGGAGTTGATGCACAAGCCCCAACATCCAACCTCGACTCCTCTTTCGTAGATGAGAAACTCTGTGGAGTTGTGTGCACTATAGGGATCCCCGCGGTACACAATCTGAAAGAGAGATTGGAGGCTGTTGAGGTACAAATGCAATGTAGTAAGAACCCTTCTCATGCACTCTGCTTCTCCACCTCTGGGGAGCAAATGTCCCTGCCTGAGGGACCCTTTCTAGAGTACAGAGCTGATGCTGTCATGACCAAGTCGCATCCTATCACATCTTCATTCAAGGACCTATCAGAAATCTAATGCTTGCTGCATCAGATCTCAACAACACTCTCTTGGATCCTTAACATTCCTCCTTCCATCTCACAGCTGGCCCCACCTGACTTAGGAAATCCCACCACTCATCTTCTGCTACAGCCAATCGGCTTCTGACTCATCTCCACATGGGCCATTCCTGTTCCTGCTTGGAATGTTTTCTCCCTCTCTAATATTCCTCTAACTCCTACTCACCCTTCAAGGCCCAGACCATACTGCACCTCCTTTTTTATGTGTATTTATTATCATATTTTATTTTTTAAGAGACAGGGTCTTGGTCTGTCACTCAGAATGGAGTACAGCGGCACAGTCATAGGTCACCGCATCCTTGAACCCCTGGCCTCAAATGATTGCTCCACCTTGGCCTCGAAAGCACTGAGATTACAGGCATGATCCACCATGCCCGGCCTGAACCCCACCCCTCCTTTTTGAAGCCTGCCATGATTGCTACAGCTCACATCAATTGGCCCTATTTGTTGTATTTTTTTTTTTTGTAGTTTCAGCATTTTATTTCTTATTTTGATTCAAGATGTGAGAGGTATTACAAACACTCAATTATGAGTGATGCATTTACGTGTCCTATTCTTCCATCTGTAGATAAGTGAAAAGTCATTTAAGAAATTAGAGGTCTCTGTAGTAAATCCAAGTCACAGTAAAGCAAACAAAAATGCATATGTGTGTGATATAATGTGGAACTTTACCCCCTTGGAAGACTTTGCAGGCTGTAAGAATTTCATTTTTAATGTATTTCATACAGGCCGGAGCTAACAAGTTAATTTCTATTGAGCAAAAGTTTTTTTTTTTTTTTTAATTTTTTTTTTTTTATTATACTCTAAGTTTTAGGGTACATGTGCACATTGTGCAGGTTAGTTACATATGTATACATGTGCCATGCTGGTGCGCTGCACCCACTAACATGTCATCTAGCATTAGGTATATCTCCCAATGCTATCCCTCCCCCCTCCCCCGACCCCACCACAGTCCCCAGAGTGTGATATTCCCCTTCCTGTGTCCATGTGATCTCATTGTTCAATTCCCACCTATGAGTGAGAATATGCGGTGTTTGGTTTTTTGTTCTTGCGATAGTTTACTGAGAATGATGGTTTCCAATTTCATCCATGTCCCTACAAAGGACATGAACTCATCATTTTTTATGGCTGCATAGTATTCCATGGTGTATATGTGCCACATTTTCTTAATCCAGTCTATCATTGTTGGACATTTGGGTTGGTTCCAAGTCTTTGCTATTGTGAATAGTGCCGCAGTAAACATACGTGTGCATGTGTCTTTATAGACAGCATGATTTATAGTCATTTGGGTATATACCCAGTAATGGGATGGCTGGGTCAAATGGTATTTCTAGTTCTAGATCCCTGAGGAATCACCACACTGACTTCCACAATGGTTGAACTAGTTTACAGTCCCACCAACAGTGTAAAAGTGTTCCTATTTCTCCACATCCTCTCCAGCACCTGTTGTTTCCTGACTTTTTAATGATTGCCATTCTAACTGGTGTGAGATGATATCTCATAGTGGTTTTGATTTGCATTTCTCTGATGGCCAGTGATGATGAGCATTTCTTCATGTGTTTTTTGGCTGCATAAATGTCTTCTTTTGAGAAGTGTCTGTTCAGATTTTGTCACCACCAGGCCTGCCCTAAAAGAGCTCCTGAAGGAAGCGCTAAACATGGAAAGGAACAACCGGTACCAGCCGCTGCAAAATCATGCCAAAATGTAAAGACCATCGAGACTAGGAAGAAACTGCATCAACTAATGAGCAAAATCACCAGCTAACATCATAATGACAGGATCAAATTCACACATAACAATATTAACTTTAAATATAAATGGACTAAATTCTGCAATTAAAAGACACAGACTGGCAAGTTGGATAAAGAGTCAAGACCCATCAGTGTGCTGTATTCAGGAAACCCATCTCACGTGCAGAGACACACATAGGCTCAAAATAAAAGGATGGAGGAAGATCTACCAAGCCAATGGAAAACAAAAAAAGGCAGGGGTTGCAATCCTAGTCTCTGATAAAACAGACTTTAAACCAACAAAGATCAAAAGAGACAAAGAAGGCCATTACATAATGGTAAAGGGATCAATTCAACAAGAGGAGCTAACTATCCTAAATATTTATGCACCTAATACAGGAGCACCCAGATTCATAAAGCAAGTCCTGAGTGACCTACAAAGAGACTTAGACTCCCACACATTAATAATGGGAGACTTTAACACCCCACTGTCAACTATTTGTTGTATTTGATTAAATACTGGCAGGCTCCGTAGTGTCCTCTAGTTGTCCAGGGTATAGTAGCATTTTTCTACACCTGTCTGTAAGTCAGCTTCTTGATGGTACCCTTTCCTACATTCTTACTGTGCCAATCTTAGAGGATAGCCCAGAAGAACCTCAACAGGTGTTAATGGAGGAAATGATGTGTAACAGTGATTGTGTGCACAGACACGTTCATTACCTGGCCCATGAAATCTGTGAAGAACAGCATGTTGGACAGGAAGGCTGTCCATCCAATGAGGTGGCTGATGCAAAGGTAGCGGTAGTGAGGAGGCATGTTCACCAGTGCTCTCAGCAGTGACTTTAATGTCATTGCCCTGCGAGTCTGAAATAAAACATGAAACAGAGGTGTGATCTTCACTGCAGAAACTCAGCCAGCTAAGGGAGCCAGAACACACAGACATGTTATGTATTTGTCAGTCAGCCATCACACAAAGTGTCACTTTTCCTGGACATGGAACTAGGTTTCCATGGAGTAGACTCACAGGAGGTATTCTGTTAAGCACGAGTGGCTGCTTGGCAGTTTCAGGCCCAGAATGAGGCTTTGGACACAAGGGCAAAGGGAATGAGAATGGTGCTAGCTTCAGGCCAAGGTGTAGGAGACATTGAGCATCCTATGTCTGAATGACAGAACTGTTGCACAAGGACAAAGCTCACAGACATAAGCCAGCTCTTAGATGATTATAATTCTTGGGTCTCTTAACTGTGAGAGCATAGTAGGCAAATCCAAGATGTCTGTCATGATCTTGGTCCCCTGATGTCATCCCTGTGATTATGTGCTGTTACATGGCAAAGGGATTTTGCAGATATATTAATAATTAAGGTTATTAATCGCTCACTTTGAGTTAATTGAAAGGGAGATTACCTGGTTGATCCTAACCAAATTCCATGAGCCCTTGAAAAGTACAGAATTTTCTCCAGCTGGTAGTAGAAGGGAAAGTCAGAGCAACTCAAAGCACAAGAAATGTCTGCTTTGAAGGTGGAGGAAGCCACTTGAAAGGACCTGAGAGTGACATTTAGGGGCTGAGAGCAACTCCAGGCCAACAGTCCACAAGAAAGCAGGGACCTCAATCCTATAACCACATGGAACTGCATTCTGCCAACATCCTGAATGTGCTTTGAGGCGGGCTCTTCCCACTGAGCTTCCAGATGAGAATACAGCTCTGCTAACACTTTGACTTCAACCTTGTAAGACCCTGTGCAGAAAACCTAGTGCAGCTTACCCAGGCTTCTGATCTACAGAACTGTGAGATAATAAACTGATGTTGTTTTAAGCAGCTAAGTTTGTGAAAATTTTTTATTCATTAGAACATTAATACAGAGAGCCAGTCAGCTCCCTGTTCTTAGCCAGATGTCTCCTCCCAGGTTATATCTCTGAATCCTAATGATAGCAGAAACATGTTAATGAGCCTTACATTGAGTTAGAAGTAAGAACAATGTAGAACTCAAATATATATGTTTATACACACACACACACAAACACACACACACACACACGGTCTTCAATATGTTAATGGAAAATGCATATTATGAAAAAATTATGCATGGATTCCAAAAATTTTTTGAAGCAATATAAACTCATACTAACTTGTTATAGCATGTCTGAAGAAGATTTAGTTTGAGGCACTAAGAAGGATAAGACATCAGTTTGAAAAGAGCCCCTAACAGAGCAACATGAATTCTACTAAAATTGAAGCTAGAATAAACATCAAATTTATGGTGAAGCTTCAGTAGAAGAATGGTGAAACACTGATTTTTTTTTAACTTTATGAAGACAATGTCCCAAAGAAATCAGCAGTTTACAAATGGATAACTCATTTTAGGAAGGAACCAGATGGTGTTAAGGATGAAGTCCTCAGGGGCAGACCATCTACATCAGTTTGCAAATAAAAAAGTTAATCTTGTTTATGCCCTAATTGAAGAGGACTGACAATTAATGGCAGAAACAATAGTCAACACCATAGACATCTCAGTTGGTTCAGTTCACACAATTCTGATGGAAAAGTTAAGGTTCAGCAAACCTTCCACTCAATGGGTACCAAAAGTATTGTGCCCAGATCAACTGCAGACAAGAGCAGAGCTTTCAATGAAAATTTTAAACATGCAGGATCAAGATCCTGAAACATTTCTTCAAAAAGTTGTAACAGGAGATGAAACATGGCCTTACCAGTATGATCCTGAAAACAAAGCACAATCAGAGCAATGGCTACCGAGAGGTAGAATTGGTCCAGTCAAAGCAAAAGCAGACAGGTCAAGAGAAAAGACCATGACAACAGTTTTTTTGGGGATGCTCAGGCATTTTGCTTGTTGACTTTCTGGAAGGCCAAAGATTGATAATATCTACTTACTATGAGAGTGTTTTGAGAAAGTTAGCCAAAGCTTTAGCAGAAAAACACACAAAAGCTTCACCAGGAAGTCTTTGTCCACCATAACAATGCTTCTGCTCATTCCTATCATCAAACAAGGGCAATGTTGTGATAATTTTGATGGAATATCTTTAGGCATCAATCCCAGAGTCCTGATTTAGCTCCTTCTGACTTCTGTTTCCTAATCTTAAAAAATCTATAAAGGGCACCCATGGTTTTTCAGTTAATATTGTAAAAAAGGCTGCATTGACATAGCTAAATCTCCAGGACCCCCAGTTCTTTAGGGATGGGCTAAACGGCTGGTATCATTGCTTACAAAAGTAAGCAATGAACTCAATGGAGCTTACATTAAGAAATAAAGTTTATTCTTTTTAATTTTTATCTTTTAATTCTATTTTTCCATTAACTTTAGGAAGGCCCATCCCACACACATATATGTAAAAAATGAATATATAGGCCCCGATTCCTTAATTTAGATTTAAATTAGGTTAAAACTAGAAGCTATAGTTTTTCTGGTTTCAGAAACATTGAGAGAATGAGAAACTTTAAACTATTGATACAACTGTTTTGAAATACAAAAAATGATAATAGCTTTTAGCATCTTGTCATATAAGAGAAGAAAGAAACCTTGGGAATATTAATTGATTAGCTTCCCTGAAGACACTGAGACCATAAACATCAGACACAATTTGGTAATTGGTCTTTCTTGTCATATTTTTATTTATTCTGAATCACGACATTGAGTACTGGCTAGTTTATAAGACAGTCTACTGAGATTTTCTATTTTAACTGTAACAGCATATTTTTTATACTTCTTAACCTTATATAATCATGCTTTTTTCTTCTTTGCTGTGGAAAATTATATTCGCCCATTTTAATTTTGTTGTGTAAGTTGATTTTTTAAAATTCATCAGTCTTGCAGTATCTAGCCCACTGACCATAACTATACTCATTTTCTGATAATCAGTGTTAAACACTATAGACATCTCCCTGGATTGAAGGAAAATAACTGTTTTTCTGCAAGTTCAATATGGTACCTGTAAAAATAAATGATTATAACCAAAATGAAGTGCAGAATTACTACTTTTTCCTCAACCACAGAAAGAAGCAGCTAACAATAGCCCAAGAAACAACAGCCTGGTTTTCATGCCTCCAACTAAATGGTTTGTCATCACTTTCCTTCCTCTCCTTCCAAAAATGCAAAACTGAGAAAGCGAATCTGGTCAGCAAGTACTCAGCCTCATTCTAAATATTAATATATGCTTCTGACTTATACATAATTTTCAGCCTGCTTTCATTGTTAGCCTAATTTCTCCTTTCTTCTAAAAATAAATATGAGCTTTCAAAATGTGCATAGTATTTCTGTAAAAGCTGAGAGTGTAAATATTCAAAGCCCCTTTGTATATTTTAACTCAGAATAAAAACCCAGCTGGGATATTATTCCTGACTCATCAATTCCCTTGGTAAAAACCTTTCAATGATTCTGAAACCTTGGGAGTTGTTTTACTGCATTTATTTTGCACCACTGTCAGCTGGAGACTGGGTAGTGATGAATTTACAAGCGAAAAAGGTACAGAGTCATCAGGGAGAAAGAAAACTTCACAAACATACCCTCAAAAGGAGACTATTTAAATGTTAAAGGGAGCAACTGACGACATGGAGGAATTGGAGATAGATTTTATGAGATCTGGTTTAAACTTCTGAAATAATTCAGCCCTCTTGCCATTAAAAAAGAAAAATTTGTTCTTAAATTACACAGCCACCCTTATTTTGGAAAGCAATGTCTTTGGCAAGCAATGACAGCCCTGAAGCCTTGGCCCTGACCCTGGGGAAGTGCAGACTTCCTTTGCTTAACTGGAGACCTCCCAGGGCACACATTTGGAAGAGAAGTGCAAATCCATGGCTTTGAGAGTAAGATGCATTACTCTGTGCTATATTCTTACTTTAACTTTTTGTCTTATTTTATTTGCTTATTTATTTATGTTTTTAGAGGTGGGGTCTCTCTCTGTTGCTTTGACAAGTGTGCAGCGGCATGATCACAGCTCACTGCAGCATCAAACACTTGGGTTCAATGGATCCTCCCACCTTGGCCTCATGAGTTGCTGGGATTACAGGAATGAGCCACTGCACTGGTCTCAATTTGTTTTTTAAACCAAATAACAAGATCATTCAGAGTCTACAACATTTTTCATGTGGCCCCTACTAGAAAGTTCGTTGTATCTGTTGTATTTATTTTTGTACTCGTGTGGGAGTTCCATGACTTTCAAAAGGCTTCCACTCAGTTGATTTCATGTGATCCTCACAGCAGCCTCTGAGTGGATGGGACGACCCCTGTCCTATGCGACTCTTGGAGGGGGAGTCCCAGTCTATCGAAGGGGACATCAAAGAGGTAGATAATCTATCAGGGTGTTATCTATTATCACGTATATACTTTTATTTAGTAAAACCGCACCTTGTTTTGTTCCCCAAATCACCACATTATTTTTTAATTTTCACTTTCACATTATTTGATTACTTTTTCCCTTTTTTTATCTATTATAGAAATTTTGGATGTATTGCAGGATTTAAAAATAGAAAATTAAAGCTTCCTGTGAGCCTATCATCCAGACTTTTCATTTTTTGTATATTTCCTTTCCATTTTTTCCTCTATGTTATGCAGCTTTGTTTTCTCCCAAAAAAAGATGGTTTTGTGCATGTAATGTATATTTTACCTGATATATTTTTAGTAAACCTTCGGAAACATACATTTTTAATGACCGCATGAATGTTATCATATAGATATTCCGTGATTCTTTGGCTGTCCTGCATAAATGCACAGAGGGCTCCAGTCCAACTAGTAATCTTAGAGTTCTGGCTTCTTGGTGAAGGAGAGTCAAAGAGTACAAGTATTCTCCTCCAGGCAGCCTGGTGTAGGGAAAGGGGGTTGAGTCCAGGCATTAGGAGACCTAAAATCTCAAATTTTCTCTACTTGTGTGATTGAGATAAAATGAAGGCTTTATCCCAATGACCTCTTAGTTCCTCGTTGCACTCTTACAGTTATGAAAAACACTGCACTCATCCTAAAATAGGAGCTACTGTTGGAATCAGATGAATAGATTACTCTCTTCAACTGTATTCTCCTATCAAGTGGCATGGCGAGAGGCAGGTTGATGCGCTGTGGCAACTCAACTTGAAGGCAGTCATGTTTATAGAATGAGGCCTCGTTTCAGCAGATCATACTCAACCATTTTGCCAATTCAAACATGAGCAGTGTCGAAGTTTACTTTTGCATTTATTTTGGAAAAATGCTAAGCAAATGAACAGAGTAAACAATACTGGAGGAAGCACTTGATCTCAAGGGAAAACTACTTACACACTTTTATAACTAACAGCTAAGATGTATTGCTTTTATTTATATACATAACTGTATACAAAAAAATGAGGTTTTCTACTGACTATACATAGCAAAAAAAATTCCTTAAAATACCATTAAAATAAAGTACCGTTTTTAAATTTTGTAAACCGCTTAGCTAAATGTAATGTGGTATCCTAGATTGGATCAGAAAAAGGATATTACCCAGGAATAGGATTGCTGGATCAAATCGTAGCTCTACTTTCAGTTCTTTCAGGAATCTCCACACTGTTTTCCATAGTGGTTGTACAAGTTTATATCAACACCAGCAGGGTAGAAGTGTCCCCTGTTCACTGCATCCACGTCAACATCTATTTTTTTTATTATGGACATTCATCTGACATATATATATATATATATATCATAGTTTTTTTATTCACTTGTTGATTGATGGGCATTTAGGTTGGTTCCACGTTTTTGCAATTGCGAATTGTGCTGCTGTAAACGTGTGTGCAGGTATCTTTTATATATATGATGGAATACTACTCAGCCATAAAAGGAATGAATTAATGGCATTTGCAGTGACCTAGATGAGATTGAAGAATATTATTCTAAGTGAAGTAACTCAGGAATGGAAAACCAAACATTGTATGTTCTAACTCATAAGTGGGAGCTAAGCTATGAGGATGCAAAGGCATAAGAATGACACAACAGACGTTGGGGACTCAGGGGGTAAGTGTGGAAAGGGGATGAGGGGAAAAAGACTACAAATTGGGTGCAGTGTGTACTGCTCAGGTGATGGGTGCACCAAAGTCTCACAAATCACCACTAAAGAACTTACTCATGTAACCAAACACCACCTGTTCCCCAATAGCCTATGGAAATACATTTTTTTTAAAAAAAGGGCATTAGTAGAAAAACTGGTGAAATTCAAATAAGTCTGCTGTTTACCTAACAGTATTGAAGCAGTGTTAATTTCTTAATTTTAACAAATGTACATGGTTCTCTATGATGTTAACATAAGAGAAAAGCTGGTGAAGCATACATAGGAACTCTCTCTACTATCTGCAACTTTTTTGTAAATCTAATTAAACTTTGATTAAGAAAGCAAAATAACACATAGGCACACTTTTCTAGGTGACAACTCCATGGGGTAGAACAAGGGCTGTGGTGTTCACTAGTCTTCTGATGCTCAGCACTGGGTCTGGCAGGTGTAATTAATAGCTATTGAATGAATAAAAGAATGCACAAGTGAATGAACCAAGCACACAGTGCAACTCATTCCAAGACATCTTATTATTCACCCAAATAAACCCTCCTGGGTACCTCTTTATTCCCTGTAGTCAGCAGCTGGATTAATATCAAAAACAAAAAACCAACCAAAAAAAGCTAACATCAAGGAGTCCTTTGCCCCACTAGTTTTGATGGACCTCCATCATCCACCTAATAAAATTTTAGTTCCTATGCTGGCATTCAAAAGCTTCCAAAATGTGTCTCCAATTTGCTTTCCTAACTTTATTTCTAAAGTTACAAACTCTGTGATCTATGGTACCACTTATACTTTCTACAAATATGCTTCATGCTTTAAAAAAAATTTTTTATGTCTGTGGCTTTGCTGATGCTCTTCTGTCAGAAGTACTTTTCCCCCAAAATCTCTATTCAAATCCTAACTATCATTCAAGGCACAACTCAGGGGCGATCTCTTCCATAACGCTTTTCTCCATTTATTTAGGCACAATCCTTCCCTCTTTAAAACTAAAAGCAATTGCTATTTTGCCATTTGTGGCCACCTTGGAAATGTGCCGTTTGGGTCACCTACCAGAGAAAACACAGTTGATCGACAGCGCTGAATGCTGCCTCTCTGGATCCACTGTTCCTGTTCCTGCCAAGGAACTCTGTTCCTGTACCTGTTCCTGCCAAAGTTACCCCTTTCCTGGCTGTTCCCAGATAGTGACTAACAAGACGGGGGGTATTAGTGTTAGCCTGTTCCTACAAGAGTTGGGACTCCTCTAAGGAGCAACTTTGGCTGGAGGACTCCCATTTGGCCTGAGTGAAGCTTTCTTGAAACTTCACTGCATCTGAGAGGCTTCCTACCCTATCCTCTTTCCTTTCCTTTCTCCTTTCACAGGTGTTTGACTTGCATCAACATAAGAAGACTTTCCCTTCCTATTTCTGCTTTCTCCACTTTATCTTTCATGCTGTTTTCTCCAATGAATCTCTTACATGTCAAATCCTATCTTGGTGCCTTTTTAAAAGATCTGAACTGATACATTGTTTTATAGCATTTACCATGTTCTATCATGGATTATGAGTCATGGTATAAATGGCATATGCCACGTGTTAGGCTGCAAATTCCTGGGCATAGAGACTGGACATTTGTCAGTTTTATGGTCCCCAAATATCTAGTACAGTGCTTTGCACATACTCAGTACCCCAAGCTGTTTGTTAAATGAATAATGATTATAATGTATTGATATATTTATGTGAAGTTTGAAAAAGTGTCTTTGTATGCTTTATCTTAGTTGAACATCCTAATAATCCTAGAAAATAGACTGGCCAAGCCAACAAAAGAAGTTGACCTCACAGGAAGGTGAGATTCACTGAGCTTGTCTGAAAGTTGTTGGAGTCCAGATTTGTGTTCCCTGTTTGTGCTTAAGGCACTCTAGTGTTCTGCCAGGGTCAAAATAACAAGGCCTAAACCCAACAGCTTATTATGTGGTTGCAAACACTCTAAGTAACTTTACCTGAATTAGCCCCTGCAACCTGCACGAAACCCTTGTAGGTAGATGGAATTATTTTATCATTTAACACAAATGTAAATGCCCAAAGTCATGCAATCCAGAGGTGGTACAGCCAGGATTTAAGCACTGTGCTCTTAATCTTTAGGTTACCCTATAGCAAGTAGCTATTTGTGATTCACTGAATGAATAACACAAGTCAGCAGCTAGAGGAACCAAGATTTGAACTTAAGTCTTCTACAACATTTTGTCAATCAAGAAATCCTCTGTTCTATATCCCTGAGGTTTTGGCATTCAATTTTAGCTTGAAGGAAAATGCAATTATTTCATCAGTGTTGTCCAACAGAACGTTCTACAATGATGGGAATGTCTTACATCTGCACGTCCTATATTTTAGCTAGAAGCCCTATGGGGCCTTTGAGCATTTGAAATGTAGCTAATGCAACTGAAGAAATGAAGTTCTAATTTTATTTTTATTTTAATTTAAATAGCCCCACGGGATTATTAGCTACTATATTGCTCAGCTTAATTCTAGTCTCTTCTCTGATCATTTCATCTGAACATGGTCTCATTTCTCTGGCAGTTAGTTGAGTTTTATTTCAAATTTTAAGCTGATGAATTCACTGTGCAGTTCGCTGAAAATGAACGAAAATATCCAATCAACTCATGACAGGCAAATTCGATATGCCCAACTCAGTCACCAACCCAAGGATGCTACCATTTGGAGGAAAAAATTTCTAATTTATGATCCTAATCTAAGGGGATATTTCTTCTGGCCTAAGGATGATTTTAGGCTTCTCTTGTTGCCTAACCTTTCTCAACTGGCTTCATCTTCCCTGGTTGGATGCTACCTGAGAGGAGTAAGAGACAGGAGGACCAGAGGAAAATGCAGACATTTTTCTTTGAGATATAAAATTTTAATTCCAAGGGATGATAGCTACGGGGGATTTGGGAATTCAGTTAGACCCCATGAAACTCTTCTCGTCAAACAGACAAAACAAACAATTAAAAAAACAACAACAACAACAAAGAGCAAGAATATTTTCCCTTGTAAAGAAAAAATGTTGCATCTTTACCTGTTCAGCATGATTTTTGTTTTTTGCTCCCTGCATTGCCAGCTCTGGATTTACGTAACCATTTTTAACTTTCTCGATAGAACCATACTCGTACATTCCATCTGATGACAATGGAGGGTCCTGAGGGGTTTGCTGTGGGGGAATGCCCTTTGCAACCTCTGTAAGTGGGGCTTCAGAGATACTGCACAGATGAACAGTAAAACACAAAGTGAGCACCAATGCAGAGAAGAAGAACATGACCTGGAATTCTGTACCCAACAGTCTTCCCAGCTCCAGATGGGCCCAGTCTATAGCACCCAAAAGGTAACCCAGGGCACCTCCAAAACCTGGAAAGCAAGAAAAGCTATGTTAGCATATTTAGCAAATTATCGTTCATTTTCCTCATGCATAGACACTCCCCTTCAGTGGGAAAACTCCCTGAAGACAGCAGAGGCAACCTGGATATAATTGGAAAAGCAATACAGCAAGAGGCTGAAAAACACACAGCCAGGCAATGTGGGTTCAAGTTTTGGCTCTAGCATTTACTTGCTGTGATCTTGGGCTTCCTCACCCAGAATATGGAGGTAATAGTAAAAGAGTAACCTACTAGTAGGGTCATGATTTGAAAATAGAAAGTGTTCAGGATGGGGCCAGACACATAGCAAGGGCTTACTAAGTATTGCTACCATCAGAGATACTGTGACCTTTCCAAAGTGCATTCTCTAGACTGCTTTTGAACTTAAATTTCTGACCAGAAAAAGCCCCAAAGAAAACCAATTTCTGGCAGCAATAAAATTAAATGACTTGCAGTTTCTTATTATTAAGCTTCCTGGGATGACGTAAGCTTGCAAAGATGAAACACCCTCAAAAGCTGTCTTTCTTCCTCTATTAGAAGCTCAAGGTACTTGTTCCCAGTTGATAGCTGGGAACAGGAAATAATGAGAACAAAAGTTTAAACATGAATTTTTAAAAATCCTATTATCGTTTCCCAGGACTCCAACCTGAGGTCTTTTTGGTGCTTGTTTTATCTTCTCAGGCTTAAACATTGTGTCACTTGAGGGATACTGAGGAAAGGCTCCTCAAAATCTATTCAATCCTAATTATCTGATATTTAAAATCCCATTATTAGTTATTCCTTTTTTGAGTTTCTGTTTTAAAATACACGTGTTCCTGGTATGGGCAAGAAATTACTCAGCACCAAAGTAGTAACTGTTCCTCAGATGTTCCTTCTGGTGCAGACATCAGTGACTTCTGATAAAGGTGGGGAGATAGCATGGTTGGGGAGGGGGCAGTGGACATATTATGGGATGTCGAGGGAATTAAAGAGTTGAGTGCTGGACACATCCACTACATATGTCACAAACTTATGTAGGACTGATCCTCCTGTCAAAATTCTTTAAACGTCAAACTCCCATCATGCCTACCAACCACAACTTATCTAGCTGAACAGATCAGCTTTCATTTTTGTTTTTGATTTTTTTTGTGTGTGTGTATGAGTGAAGTCTCTATTTTATTTCTCAGATAAGGACAATATCTTCACAAGCTAGAGAATCAAGGAAGAAAATAGAACTAAAGGAGTTCCTCTCTAACCCTAAACATCTAAAGTTACATAAACTCTGACCTCAAGAACACAAACCTGAATGTCAAGTACCATGAATCCTAATTTATTCAAATTAGTGAGAGAGTAGACAATTTTGGTCACTTCATATTCTGGTTAGTTGCAATTTAACATAGAGCCTATTTAAGGAGGACCAACAATCTAATCATTGGATTCCAAAAATAAAGCATCATTAGCATGTCCTGAATGCTGAAGTGTTTTAAGGCAGAATTACAAGAAACTGTGGCCAATGGGGCACAGTGAAGTAAGACATATAGTCTCTGGAAGCAAGAAATTTATGGCCTAGTTATATGTGATGAGCATATACATAAACAGATAAAGGACAGATGATGGTGAAGTGCCCAGGATTTGAGAGAAAGAGAAGGTCCTGAAACAGCCACACTCTACGACTGATTCAGAAGAATGTTCTGGGATTTGTAGTGCCTCTGGTTATTATTAGACAATGACTATTCAATTGTAGAGAGGCAGAAGGTATCAGAAGTCATGCGTCAAGCCAAGCAATCAACCAATAAGAATGTATTAAGTCTGCTCCCCAACCCATTACGACAACCAAAAATGTCTCTAGATATTGCCAAATATCTCTGAGGGAAGGAGGTTGAAAAGTGGCCCCTAGTTTAGAACCCCTGACCTAAGTCAACCCTATGACAGACACATTCCTTTTTCGAAACTATCATTTGTAAACAGATCAAGGGTTTTCACATTGCCATTCAATTTCTTATCACTTATGCCTCTATCTTTCAAATTTTTGTTCAACTGAGCATTACTCATTGCCTCAGTTGGAAGAATATAGAGCAGAAGACCCCTGCTCATTTGAAAGAATTGATATGTGAAATAAATCCTCCACTGTGCAATGGAATGGTAGTTTTATTTTATGGAAAAAATATAAGGATATGCATATAATGATGGATTTGTATTAGAGACTAATTTGGAAAATGGAGTCCTACAATTGGGGAGTTTCCTGATGCAGTTGCATGTCTACTGGTTTACTTTAGTTCAATAAACATGTATCGAACACTAAATATATGTAAATGACTCTACAAACTTCTGGGGATATAAACATAAAAAAGACACAGTTTCCCATTTTTTTCCCCAGAAGGTGGTTTCAAGTGGGAGAAGCACATAATGGGAGAAGCTACTTTCTTTTTTTTTTTTTTTTTTTTTTTTGAGACGGAGTCTCGCTCTGTCGCCCAGGCCGGACTGCGGACTGCAGTGGCGCAATCTCGGCTCACTGCAAGCTCCGCTTCCCGGGTTCACGCCATTCTCCTGCCTCAGCCTCCCAAGTAGCTGGGACTACAGGCGCCCGCCACCGGAGAAGCTACTTTCAAAACAGTAATAAATGATAAGCTAGAACTCAGAGCTGGGTACTCAGAGTACAGAGGAGTTTCAAAGAGTCATTATTGGTGCTAGTTAATAGTAACAAGGTGATGTCGATTATTAGTAAATCTGACAGGATTTCTCTTCATTAGCAATGAAAGTTATAAGAGTTCAATATATCAATGAATTCAAAAATTTTGGATGTAAAAGGAGATTTGAAGAGTTAGATCAGAAAGCTATGAGCTTTAGTGACTCTGTGATGGAAGACCACACAGAGGGAAGAAGAGATTTGGAATCGTGCCTGATTTCCATTCCTATCTTTGTGCTTTCTAGTCACATGCTCTTGGGCACTTCTCTGAGAAACAAGGGTGGTGCTGCCTCCTCATCTGAATTTAGTGAGGATTAATGCAAATAATCCACGTCAAGCCCCAGCACATACCATGGCAGAACCAGACCCAAAACTGAGCTCCCTGCTGACTTCCTATAGTAACCCTAATTCCAAAGCCTCCCCTAGAAGCAGAAGATAGCTACTGCACTGAACTGGCTGAAGGCAGCCTGCCTGGAACTTGCTGAAAGGATTTAGTCATTTTAGGCCCAGTGATTAGAACTAATGGATTATTCTGAGGGCTGAGACCTGGGCTTACCCCTGACCCTATTGTGGCATGTAGCAAGTATCAAGAAAGTAAAATATATCTCAAACTTGGAAAGTGTAAAAATTGCAACTGCTTGACTTTTAAAATATTCCTCTAGAGCAGCCTTCTTAAACTTTAATGTGCACGCAAATCATGTGGGCACCTTGTTAAAATGCAAGTTCTGATTCTGAAGGTCTAAGGTGGAGCCTGAGATTCTGCATTTCTTTCAAGCTCACCACTGACACCAATGCTGCTGGGCCAAGCATCACTCTTTTGAGTGGCCAGGTGACAGCAGTTTCTAACTAACTTCCTTTCTTGAGAAATGGTACTTTGTTGTCACAGGATATTTGACCCACAATTCATAACTGATAAAGCACAGTGATTTGCAGTCCTGTAAAATTAAGGTAGTTTGCAGATATGAATAGGGTTTTTGTTGCCTGGTAGGGAAATTACTCCAAAAGTATTACAGAGGGGTTATACTTTTATAACCCCTTGTCTTGTAGAAGGTTAACCAGGTTCATATTTAGTCTAGCATTTTTTATTTTGCTAGACACACACACACACACACACACACACACACACACACACACACACACATTTCCTGCAAGAACCTGGGGGAAACTCTTCTTATATCTTCCCCATTGGTTCCTTTATTAATGTGTTAATTTAAAACCTTGACATAATCTATAACTTAGAGAATTATTAGCACTCTCTTATCTTAGGGAAGGGGGTAAAAAAAAAAAAAGGGAAGAACTGTCTTATTTGTCCCAAAGCTACTGTTTTGAAGTAGTTGTAGCTGCAAGTTAGAATAGTACAACACGACATGCCAGGAAAGCAAAGTGGGCCACTGGGGGAATTATCCTAACAGAATATTAAGACACTGGAAAAAAATATTTAAACTTTATCTATTTGCTGCCTCAGATATGATGAGGGCCAGTAGAGGGCTGCAGGAATTCATTAAAGGCCTTTCTTTTGCTTCTTCTTCTTAAGCCAAGGGTTTTATCTTCAAAGACAATCTCCCCAACAAAACCTAATTGCGCTATGATAAAGGCTGATAGTTTTACCATTTTACCACCTCCCACACCTACATCCAGACTGTATTTACCTCTGCTGCCAAAATCAGCCTCTGTGAGGCCACTGGAATCAATCACCAGGCTATTGGGCAAGCCATAAGCCAGAGCATTCGGAGGACATCTGCTGCCACATTAGATAACAAGCTTTTACAAAGAAGGGCCAGAAGTGGTCCAGCTGGCCCCTTCCTCACCAAGCCAGGCTGTGTTGTCAAACTCAGCAGAATAAATGGCTTTAGAAGACAGATGTCATATTTCATAACTAATGATGCAACTTGAACAGTGGCCCATACTGGAAGAAGTCCAAATATATAGAAATATGTAAAAAATTGTCTTTAGTCCACAACTATGACAGGTAAAATGGGAAATTGGTAAACTGTCAGTACCAAGGAATCTAAAGGATGAAAGGAAACTCAAGAGAGTCCATCTAAATCAAACTCTGCACCTACCATCTGCCTGTAATTGCCTGCAGGCATCAGGTGTGTGGCTTGGCAAGCTCAGCACCAGGGCTGACACAGCTCAAGTCATGAGAGCTAGCTATGTGCTGTTTGCTACTTTACCTCTGAAGGAGGACAGACTAAAGAACTCCCATCTTCCCATGGGGTTCATGAGAAAGTCGTTCTGATTCTTTTCTACATGTTGAAAAAAATAGCAATGAAAGTGTCAGATTAGGTGCATGCTTCCTACTTATTCCCACCAGGTACATACTAAATCCTGGACAGTTAACATAAGTACCAGCTACTCTCTCTCTCTCTCTCTCTCTGTGTGTGTGTGTGTGTGTGTGTGTGTGTGTGGTGTCCTTGACCCATTTGTTTATCAATAGAAATTGTTAGAGCACCTATCTTCACCAGGAACTGTGCTAAACACTTGAGATACATCAATGAGCAAGACAGACATGACCTCTGCCCTCTTGGAGGCTGAGTACAGAAAAAGCAGTCAAAATGATACATGTGTTGTGTTCCCAATGAAAAGAAAAAAAAAATTTTAAATTAAAATAAAAAAAAAATGATACATATGCTCTGGTCAAAGACCAGCTTGACCAGACAAGCTGATCTGATATTTCTTTAGGTTTACAAAGCAACTTTTCTCTTCAAAGATGCTGAGATAATATATTTAAAATATTGCTCACTGTTTCCATCCACCTACCTCTAATCCTGGCATCCCTTTCTCTCATTGGGCCCTTCTTTCACATTTAAGCTGGGCCAGGATGCCTCGTTGCTTTGAGGACAGTATGTAACAGTAGAGAGCAGAGAAATAAGAATGGTTTGTCTTGCTTCAGAGTTCCGAAAGCCCTTAGGCTGCGAAGGCATCGAGAGTAGATTCATTAGAAAATGTGCTTTAAGAACCAGGCTTCCCAGGCTAGACAGAGCATTCATGATGGGTGCACACATATTGGTAAATCCCTTAGGCGGCGATGGTCTTGCTGCCTGCTTGATGGGCCTAGCTAGAGTTGGAGGGTGGGAAGAGAGGAGCAGAGCCTCCCCTGGAAGGCTTGAGGGATCCAAGAGCAAGAAGATAGGTGCCTCATTTCCTGGTCAGACCCCATGGAGGCAGTAAGAATCCCAGGAAGAAAAGGCTGTGCAGGAGGTCAGGCATTAATTGGCCTCGTTCTGGAGCCATTTATGGCTGTCTTGAGCTTTCTTAAAGTTTACAGAACTAATATTTCCAGTTCTAAGTTGTAATGGCTCAGCACACCGTGAAGCGTTTTGCAAAATGCTTTAACTCCTCCTAGTGGTGACCAGGGAGCACAGGGCACAAATGCTAGAATGAAAAAGCTGCAGACTAGAAGTCATCAGCTGAGTTAGACAGCCCCTGTGAGCCACTGCAAACCTTCTCGGTCCCCACCTGCCTCCCTTGCTCCAGCAGCTGCTGCAGTGACCAAATCTAAGCCAGCTCCGGCCAGCTTTGCACTGGACAGGTGCATCTGGATGGTGCCTAAACTGAGGGAAGACAGAAACAGCTGGGGTTCAGGGCTTACAAAACCCATGGTACCACCCTTAGTCAGTCAGTACAGACTGGATTAATCTTCCCTCATTCATCCCCTACATGGAGAGTTCTTTGGTGCCCTTCCTAAGCCTCCTCAGAGCCAGCTCTGTAATGCTTATTGTTTGGCCTGTTCCTGTCCACCATTTCCTTACTCTTGCTCTCTAGAATCCCTTCCCAAATAAACTATCTGTATACAAACCTCTGGGGTTCAACTTTTAGAGGAATCCAGACTAACTCATGAACCACATCTTTGGTTAGCTGGTTGGCTGACTGGCTTGTTGGTTGGTTGGTTGGTTGGTTGGTTGGTTTTACCCCTAGTCTACCACTAACCAGCTGTGTGACCTTGGGTTAGCCACTTTACCTCTCAACAACACAGCTTAATCATTAATAAAATTAAGATGTTAAAACTGAATATCCATCTCACCAATATTTTTTGAGCACCTTCCATATTCCAAGCACTATTCAAGATAGTGGTGGTCAATGAACAGGAAACACAATGTTCTTGTACTTGAGGAGTTTATGTGATGGTTAGAGAGACAGACAATAAACAATAAACAAATAGCACTTCTCATCATGGTGGACCCTAGAGATAAGATATTTCAGGACTACAGCAAGAAGCTGCCAGAGTGCATGGAGATGGGCACCATCTTAAGGAGCTAAGGGAACAATTCAAAGAATTTACCAAACCGTATGAAAAGTCTGAAAATGATCTGAAGGCCCTAAAAAGTGTTGGGCAGATTGTGAGTAACATGCTTAAACAATTAACTGAAGAAAAATTCATTGTTAAAGCTGCAGATGGACCAAGATGTGTTGGGAGTTGTCGTCGACAGCTTCACAAAAGTAGCTGAAGCCAGGAACAAGAGTTGCTTTGGATAGGGCTACACTAACTATCATGAGATATTTACCAAGAGAGGTGGAGCCACTGATTTATAACATGTCTCATGAGGATCCTGGGATGTTTCTTATTCTGAGATTGGAGGGCTATCAGAATAGATGTGGGAATTGAGGGGTTACCACTTACAAACCCAGTTATTCCAACTTGTAGGAATAATACCTCCAAAAGGCTGTTTGTTATGTGGACCACCATAAACAGGAAAAACACTCTTGGCACACAAGCTATTGCTGGCCAGCTGGACTGCAACTTTTTTCCTTTTTTTTTGTTTTTTGGAGACAGGGTCTCACTCTATTGTCCAGGCTGGAGTGCAGTACTGTGGTCTTGGCTCACTGCAACCTCCATCTCCCAGGCTCAGGTGATCCTTCCACCTCAGCCTCCGGAGTGGCTCAGACCACAGGTGTGCACCACCATGCCCAACTAATTTTTAATTAGTTAATTAATTATTTTTTATTTTTTATTTTGAGACGGAGTCTCATCTGTTGCCCAGGATGGAGTGCAGTGGCGTGATCTTGGTTCACTGTAACCTCCACCTTCTGGGTTCAAGCGATTCTCCTGCCTCAGCCTTCTGAGTAGCTGGGATTACAGGCATGCACCCCCATGCCTGGCTAATTTTTGTGTTTTTAGTACAGACGAGATTTCACCACATTGGCCAGGCTGGTCTCGAACTCCCGACCTCAGGTAATCCACCCACCTTGGCCTCCCAAAGTACTGGGATTACAGGTGAGAGCTACCACACCCAGTTACCCAGCTAATTTTTGTATCTTCTGTAGAGATGGGGTTTCACCATGGTGCCCAGGTCCACCTGCCTTGGCCTCCCACAGTGTTGGGATTACAGGTGTGAGCCACCACACCTGGCCAGGACTGCAATTTCTTAAAGGTTGTATCTAGTTCTATTGTAGACAAGCACATTGGTGAAAGGGCTCATTGGATCAGAGAAATGTTTAATTATGCCAGGGACCATCCACCATGCATCATTTTTATGGATGAATTAGATGCTATTGATGGTTGTTGGTTTTCCAAGGGTACTTCAGCTGACAGAGAGATTCAGAGAACTTTAATGGAGTTACTGAATCAAATGGATGGATTTGATACTCTGCGCAGAGTTAAAATACAACAGACCAAATACACGGGATCTTGCTTTGCTGCATCCAGGAAGATTAGATAGAAAAAAATACATATTGATTTGCCAAATGAACGAGCAAGATTAGACACGTTGAAAATCCATGCAAGTCCCCTTACAAAGTATGGTGAAATTAATTATGGAGTAATTGTGAAGTTTGCAGATGACTTTAATGGAGGAGACCTGAGAAATGCTTGTACTGAAGGAGGTATGTTTGCAATTCATGCTGATCATGGTTTTGCAAAGCAGGAAGGCATCATGAAAGGTTAGAAAGTGGCTGATTCTAAGACGCTAGAGCTTAAATTGAACTATAAACCTGTGTAATTTACTTTTTGATGGCTATATAAAAGACATTGGCTTAATGTGAAAGTGAAGTTAAAGAAAATACTATACGTATTGCCAATGATCTCATTAAAAGTGTATGAATAAAAATATGAGTAACATCATACAAATTAGTATAATAATTCAGTAATCCAACTTTTAGGACTGATATGGAAGTATGTATGTTTGCTAATATCGCATTTATTGCAGCAGAAGTTACAAGAGAAGAATGTGTTGAAACTTTTCGTATTTGCTAGGTGAGCATTTTGTAAAACATTGAAAATGGTTTGAGGTAGTAGGATAAGAAAGCATTTTTGTGACTTATTTTATATCATTTGTTTCCCTCATTCTAAAAAGTTGAATAAAATCTGTTTGATTCAGACCTACAGAAATAAATAAATGAAAAAATAATACAGTGTCAAGTAATGATGGGTACCTCTGTGATGGGAGTCAGGGCTGGGGGTGTGTGTTTGCGATCAGAGTAACAAAGCAAGGAGGCCAAAAGCCAACTGCCAATTGGTACCTGGGAAAGCACTTTCGAGCAGAGGAAACAGGGAGGACAAAGTCCCCCAGATTCCCACTTCTCTAATCTGACTTGGAGATTCTTTGAGAGTTGTGTTGATCCCATTTGAATGGAAAAGAGATGGCAATTTGGAGACTTAATCACCCTAAATTGCATAAATCACCCTTTTTATCCACAAGCTGAAATCCCTGTATCCTTGGTTTCTGCCCTGGCCATATCCTTTCCAAGCTGCCTGAATGAGGAGATGTGAAAGTCTACCATGGGTGGAACTTCAAAGGTTTTGTTTGATGAAACAAAACCACTCATCTAAAGATGAAAAAGAGAAAAGGTTAAAACAGTCTCAAACATGAAGTGACTCCTTTCCTCTGTGTAAAAGGTTTAGTCAAAGAGTCTCTTGTTTCAATTTCGTTTTTAAGACTCTTTTCTTAGCCCTTAATTATTTGCTATTTAGAGCATTTGTTGCATGTTCGCATTTTTTGTGCATACTTTGAAGTATTAAAAGACAAAAGTTAAAAGAAGTTGATATCTGACAAGTTACCCATTCTTCTTCCAAGGATGTAATGGGGCAAGTTTCTCACTGAGTCATTACAAATAAAATGTTTGCAGGCGTAGTGAGGATAGCGGAAATCAAGTAAATATAAACATTTGGCGTTTCATCTCTTTGGGTTAGATGAAATCCTTTAGATGGTTCATTGTGCTGTGCCTGTGACCCTTGCAAGGTGGTTATTAACTAACATGGTGCAGAGATTTGCAAGCCTGTGAAGGAATGAAGAAAGCTCAGAAATGCTGAGGCTACTCTGCAGTGAATAGGAGGAACCAGGAGCTGAACAGGGCTGGCCTTTCCTGTCATGCCTGATCCCAGCCTCCCGCCAAGCAAGAAAGCCCACTGCTAAGAACAGCAAAGTCTTGGGTTCAAGTAGCAGAAATACGCTTGGTTAGACTCCCTGGGCACAAAAGGATTTCCAGTCTTCCCTGGTGAGTACCACTCTGTTAGCTCACTCGGTTCCACAGCCTCAGGTGCACCCAGGAGTGAAGGATCTGTGTGGTGAGAAGATGCGGGTGGACCCACCAAACCTACCATGGCTACCACATATGCCAGGGATGGAGGAGGATAGAGTTGCCTTTAAATATGAAAGATAGAAGCTAGAGGAATTAAATGTCTCCCTAGGAGCCAGTACAGTCTTTTCTCTAGAAAATCCCAAAAAAATGTCAGAAATATGCTGGGAAATATTTTGGTAATGAACCCTTGGATGCTTATTTATGAAGCATTTGGAAATGCTGGAACAGAACCACAGCAGTGAAACAAAAAAAAAAAAAGAATTTCAGTTTACTGGGATGATTGGATTCCTTGGGTGAATAATATTTTGCTGTTGATGAAAAATCAAAATGGGCCCTGACACTGAACATGCCTCTGCCGGAAAACGTTTGCTTCAAGTGGAATGCTGTAGTTATCTCTTTGTCAAGGGCATGTAAATTCAAAAAGTTTGGCATGTATGCAAAGACAGGGCAGAGGGACAAGGCCCTGCTTGTTATTTTCACTCATCTTTTAATGCAGTTTTTCATTCAGAGTGAGGATACCACAGTGGGATCACATATCCCACATTTAACTCACCAGAATTCAACTATTCACACTTTGAACACAGGGAGAAAGAGAGAGATTGCAAGAAAGACAAGAGTAACATTTTAAATAGTATGGGTAATTCTATTAATTTCAGGAGTAAACATTAAAGGAGAGACAAATCTGCATATATATATGTGCAGGTTTGTACACACAAAACAAAGCATATTGTATTTTATGAGTAATCTGAGAGATATTTACGAATAATGTCGATTGTCATTGTCACTGAGTTGGGGACTTTAGAATCTAAGCCTTAAACAAAGTGAGAGACTCCACTGCACTGTCCTAAAAGAGGAAGATGTTTTAAGTTGTTTTTCTAGTTGGGGAAAGAAATTGCTCTGAGCCATCCACACAACCTCTGCTGCTTCCATATGAGCAAAGACATGCACGGGAGACAGTCGGCTGAGGTTCGGGGTTCAGTGCTGGTCATGAGACAAAGTAATTAAATGAGCATATTTGTCTAATTGATGCAATTTGTCGTGTCATTTAAAACCATGAATTATAAACAGGGTTATGTAACCCTCGGGTCTCCTTTTACACAACTAACATGTTTAAGTGCCTGCTAACAGCAAGGCAATGAATTAGAAGCCATGGGGAATTTGCAGGTAAACCCTCATGGGAGAGTTTACGAATCTTGCAGGAGGGGTAGATAAATACCTTGTAAATTACAATACAGGGGAGAGAGTGAACAAATGTGCAGATCAGGTAAAATTGCGAGCAGGCATGTATATCACTCCAAAATATAATTATCCTTTAATTATTTACTCATATATGGGACTTTAAAAGCTCTAATTCATTTTCTTATAATAGTCTTGGTCTTTAATTATTCTTATTAAGCTAACATTCAACTGTGTTTGCATTTTATGTGATAGCTACCAGCTTTGTCTATTCAATTGTAATTGCTCCTTCCTTTTTGCTAATAAAACCCCAATGTGGTTTAGGGAGATACATGACCAACTCCCAGCAAAACCCTCACTTTTCAACCTCCTTAGGCCACTGAATGCTCACATAACCCAATTCTGCCTAATGAGAAACAAGCAGAGCTCTGGGAGAGGGGAGGTTTCTAGGGCAGATTTGCTTTCTTCATTTAAAGAGTGAATGTAGGCTCTTTCCCCATTCCCCCTTCCTTCTCCCTGACCCTCCTCTCCCCTCCTCTTGTCTTGAAACAAACAAGAGCTATGGACCCGTAGCAATTGTCTTGCATCCAGGAGGCAATACATCCTTAAAGCTGCCAAGGAAACATTAAATTGTTGGCTCTGACATCTAGCAGCTCACTGAAAGCCAGCAGACACGTACTCCCAGACTTTTTGTTACATAAGAAAAATAAACATCTGCCTTGAAGCCACTGTTTTGTGGGCGTTAGTGACTTGCAAACAACCCCTTCCTAATCACTCTATTCCCTAAGCATATACCAAGTGCTGATAGGGAAGGGGCCGAGAACACGGGGAAGGGCTGAAGGAAATCAACCTGGATTTTTGGGTGGCAGTACCAGTCCCCCAAAAAGATCATTAAAGTGCATATAACATTGTCTCTCATTCACACATCCCTTATCCTCTCACTCATTCACACGTATGTTACCTCTGGACAGCCCCCTTCCCTCAAGAAGTTTATGGTGTAATGAGTATGATTAGAAATGTATTCAAATAACTAACATGGAAGGTGGAAAATGGCAAAGGCCAAGAAAGAGACATAAGAAAGTAGCCCTTTAGGGCTGGACTGTTTATCTAAGCTGGGAGGTGGTAAAATGTTTTCCTCAGGGTGTGAGCCAACTTTCCCTTTGCCACCAACTGCCCCTCCCTCCAAGGATGGGGTGGAGGTTGGAGGGGTGAGGGGGGTGGGGGAGATTTTTTTCCCCTCCCTGCAGGACAGGGGTGGAGGGATTTTAGAAGATCTTAAAGGGAGCATTCTGCATGAGAACCTGAGAACAGCTAGATTGGAACACAATACTCCAGTTCCATAACTGCTCTTATGAACACAAAAAGACCTTTTGTGTTTTTCTTGTTTATTTGAAAATTCTAGAATATCTTCATTATGCAAAGAAGGAAAACAAAAGGGATTGGGGAGGAGGGAAGAGAGAGAAAAGCATGTGTGCTCCATCCACATCCCATCCAAGCTTCAGGAGCTGGACTCAGCGGCAACAAGGGTAAAAGTGAAAGGGCTCAATTATGGGCTCAATTGTGTCCCTGTACTCCCGATTCCTGTGTTGATACTCTAACCCTCAATGGGACTGTATTTGTCGACAAGGCCTTTAAAGAGGTAATTAAGGTTAAATGAGACTGTAAGTGTGGAGCCCTAATTCAAATCCAATAGGACTGGTGTTCATGTAAGAAAAGGAAGAGACAGTGAGGGTGCAGGTGCACAGAAGAAAGGCCACATGAGGACACAGCAAGAAGGCGGCTGTCTGCCAGCCAGGAAGAGAGGCCTCACCAGAAACCAACCCTGACAGCTTCTTGATCTTGGATTTCCATACTCCAGAACTGTGGGAAAATGAATTTCTGTTTACCTAGTCAGTGACATTCTGGCATGGCAGCCCAAACAGACCATAAAGGCCCCAGGAGGAGATGAAAATTCAGGATGTATGTGTGATCAACTGCAGCCTCAATGGTCTCTTCCTGATGGAGTTATCTACCTCACTGGCACCTTCATGTTCATCTACTCAATAAACTTTTGTGCTTTGATTATTTTGTGGATCTAGTCCCCGACCAAGTTAGAAATTAAGTATACCTGCAGTTTCGAAGAGAATGAGGGCCCTTGTTCCTAGAAAATGAGTGAGCATTTCCAAGCAGCTTTGATCTCCACAGGCAGAAAAGGAGAAAGAAACTTTCGATGTGAGCAAAGACCCAGAACCTGAAGAAGGAAGGGCTGGCTCCTTCATTTGTCCCATTGGTATTTATTTTGAACACCTACAATATGCAAGGCAGTGGTAGAGGAGTGAGGGATGCAGGGAATAAAACAGACCTGCCCGCTGCTCCTGGAAACATGATGAAAAATTATTCAGAGCACAGAGAATGTGGAAGGAGTAATGGGAAGTAAAGCTTGGAGAGTAGGATGGGAACAGATTGTGGCAGCTTTGAACCTCTGTCTAGGAAAATATTATTTACCCATGAGGCACATAGGGAGCCACTGAAGCTCATCAAGCAGGAAAGTGTCCTGATCACGGCTGGCTTTTAAAAATATGAATCTGGAAGCTATCAGTTGGCTCAATTGGAGTGGGAAGAAACTGGAGACTGGAGAACAGTTAAAGGATGAGTACTGCAAACCAATAATAAAATTCTAAGGCCTCCAACTGACTGAGTGGACACCCTTCTTGGCCAAGAGGATCCCAAAGAAACCTGAAAACCTAGTTCAGGCCATGATGAGAAGGGAGGTGTTGGACATACCCTGTTATAACCCTTCCCTTTGGAGTTTAGACAGAATTAACCAGCATTAACATTAAAATAGAGATCTTAAGACTGCCATACAAAACACTCTTCATAGCAATAGGATGCCAAATTCCAACCTGACTCTGGTATACCATCACATGACAGATAACAGACCCTGAAGAAAATTAATGCATTTTACCCAAAATATATTTCTTTGATATATCTTGGAATGGCCCTGCAAAGCCATCTTTTGTGGGGGATTTTTTTTCCTGTAGAGAACCTCCTTCCCTTACCAGTTTTTTTTTAGAGAGCCTGACACCTTCTAAGACTCAAAAAGAGACATTTACCATCTATTCTCTCTGAAACTTGCTATCTGGAGGCCTCATCTACATAACAAGAACCTTGGCTTCCACAATCCTCCTTAACTCAAGCATTTCTTTCTGTTGACTTCAACTCTTTAGGCAAAGCTTAACTCTGAATCAATTGCCAATTGAAAAAGTTTTGACTCTACCTATAACCTGTGAGCCCCCCTCTTCAAGGTGCCCCAACTTTCTGGGCCGAACCAATGTATTCCTTACATTTATTGATTTATATCTTTGCCTGTAACTTCTAGCTCCCTAAAATATATAAAACCAAGCTATAACTCAAACAACTTGGGCAACTGTTCTGAGGACCTCTTGAGGTTGTGTTCCAAGCCATAGTCATTCATATTTGGCTCAGAATAAACTTCTTCAAATATTTTAATTTTTTTCCATCAACAGTACTAAAGCTCAGATGAGATGTACTAAGAGCCTGAATGAAGGTAATATTAAAATTATTGATGTTTGCTGGCACCATACCATATACTAATATCAACAGAAAATCTCAAAAGGGATATATTGTCTGAAACTCATAAAAATACTGTCAATGAAAAGAGTCAAACTCTGTAAAATATTTGAAGAGATATATTCTGAGCCAAATATGAAGACCATGGCCTGTGACGCAGCTCTAGGAGATCCTGAAACATGTGCCCAAGGCAGTAGGGCTACAGCTTGGTTTTATACATTTTAGGGAGACATCAGACATCAATCAATACATGTAAGATGTACATTGGTTTGGTCTGGAAAGGCAGGACAAATCAAAGTGGGGCTCCCAGGTCATAGGAAGATTCAAAGATTTCCTGATTGGCAATTGGTTGAAAGAGTTATCTATAGACTTGGAAGCAATAGAAGAGAGCGTCTGGGTTAAAATAAGGGGTTGTGGCAACCAAGGTTCTTATTATACAGATGAAGCCTCCATGTAGCAGGCTTCAGAGAGAATAGACTGTAAACGTTTCCTATCAGACTTAAAAAGGTGCCAGATACTTTAGTTAATTCTATCCTAAATCAGGAAAATAACTGGAAAGGGAAGAGTGAGGAGTACAGAAGGTAGATTTTCCCCATAAGAGACAGCTTTTCAGGGCCATTTCAAAATATATCAAATAAATGTATATTGGGGTGAAATACTTCTATTTCTTTCAGGGCCTGCTATGTTATCATGTTAATACCTAATTGCTACAAACAGTCTGTTTTGTCAGTTTTAAAGTCTCTGCTTTAATGTTAATGCTGATCAATTGTGCTTGAATTCCAAAGGGACAGAGGTATAATGAGGCATGTCCAACCACCCATTCCCATCATGGCCTAAACTAGTATTTCAGATTTACTTTAGGATGACCTTGGCCGAGAGGAAGGGTCCTTCAGTTAGCTGGGGGTTAGAATTTTAATTCTGGTTTACAATACTATCATGTATTGGCCTTGGAAAAGTTTCCCTAACACAGAGTTTTGTCTTTTAATGTCAAGGCAGCAAAGCATGGGTCTTTTAGCCACATCTAATACAATTGTAAGCTGGGAAGTGGTGGCCACATTGTCCAATGTCCTGTAGATCAATAAACTCTTAATATCGAGTTCAAAAGCCAGAAAGTCTCCCATGACCTTGTAATTAATTTCAACAAATTATAATAAAACAGAAGGAATTGTCAGATTCAAGTTAGGAAAATGAAGTTGGAATCTATTCAATGAGACTTTCCGGCTATGGACTATGGGCAAGTGACTTAATCACCGAACCCCCCTCCTACTCCAATCAGTGGACTTCAGGTAAATATTTAACAACTGGCTTTCCAAGAAAAAAAAAAAAACCATGATTTATAGCTTTGCCAATTTCTAGAGTTTTAATACTGCCATCATGGCCAGTTTCAAGCCAGCAATATGATGTCAACAAGTTCACTGAATTCCTAAAATTTGACAATTGATTCTCAAGAAGCCAGCATGAGCCAGCTGTAAGCACACCACTGCTTTCAAGGCTCAGCTTCCACATCTGAAAAATGGGAATCACACCACTTCCACATGGCCATTGTCAGGATCGAGATAATGTAAGAGAAAATACCTAATACATGGTTATTATCATACATGGGGTATTTGAGAAATGTTTGTTCAGTATTTACTGAGCACCTACTATGCAGCAGACACTTCCAGGAACTGAAGATTCATCAGAGAACAAAACAACAGGTCTGCTCAGCTGGGATTGATGTTCTAAATGGGAGAGACAACCAGAAAGAAAAAAGAGAAGGAGAGAGAGAGACAGATGATAGATAAATAAATAGCCAGTCAGTTAGTCTGGTATTGATAAGCACTAGAAAGAAAAATCAAACCCAATAAGGATGAGGAGAAAGAGGAGTGGTCATACTATGCCAGGTACGGTAGCCAAGAAAGACCTCACTGATGAGAGATATCTGATGAGAAATCTGAGTGGAATAAAGGCATGACTATGGGATTATATGGGGAAGGGTGTCCCAGGCAGGGCAAGAGCTCATGCCAAACCCTGGGGCAGGTATGATGGGCTGGGCTGACCCCAGAGACAGAAGGACGCCAGCGGGGTGGGAGCACCCGAGTGAGGAGACACACGTGGAAAGTGCAGTGGGAAGGGAAGCCAAGAGCAAAGGTGAGGCAGGGGAAGTCTCAAGCCCTGGCCATGTCTTAGGTGCCTTTAAACACCTGGAGACATAGTGGGCAGGGGCCAGTGACAGACGGGGCTGCACTCCTGCCCCTCTGCCTTCCTTACACAGAGGAGGATCTACCAACTGTGCTCCAACGGCCTCACTCCTTCATGTTTTCAACTATTCAAATGTTTGCTCAAATGACAAATATTGGCTCCAGTGGCTTCCATGGGCAGGCAGCAGTCTTAGCTCTAGAGACAGAAACTATGAGCAAAACTTGAAATCTTGCTTTTCATGGACCTACCTGGCCATGGAAGGAGAGAGAATACATCAAAACATAAATAAAGGCATTGGCTGGGCTACAAAGACAATCAAATAAGGTGGGCTGATAGAGTCCCCCTCTTAGATATAAAAATCCTCTTGGGCCAGGATCCTCCTGTCGCCTTATATTTCAATGCCTAGTTCTAGCATAGTCCTAACTGGTGCTCTGAGTAGCATTGCTCTAAACAATTGACCAACAGTAACCAAAGTAGGCTGGCAACAGTCCCAAGAGATCAAGAGAGCTCCCATTTTCCTCCTGGCATGAACTTTTTCAAACCACAAGGTTGAGGAAATGCCAACCTTTTACATAACTAAGAAATTTCTAAGACGTTGAGTTTTTTGTTTGCTTGGTTTGTTTTCTCTTTTTGTTTTTTAAACCTGCCACAAAATCATCTGGGGTCTTTATTAAATAAAATACAAATGTCTGGGCCCCGCCTTAGACTCACTGAATCAGAATAACTGGAGAAGGAGCCCAGGCAACTGTATTTTCAATGACCTTCTAAGGAATGTGGATGCTACATTGCTGATGCTTGAGATCCTCTGCTCTAATGCAAAAGTACAATCCACAAGGCTTCTTTCCATTTCAGTTGTAATTGTCTCCACAAAGCATTCTTAAGAAAGCTCTTCTGTAAACTTCCTTTGCAGAAACTGCAGCACTAGTCACAAGCTGACTGTTCAGAGAAATGCACGGGGAGACAGTGCCCGCATGACGGGAGCAGCCCATCAGCTGACCCGTTCATTCAAAAAACTCCACGTGTAGAGACACTGGATGGCTTTAGTGGAAGTGCCTCATTGTCTGGGGAGCTGAAGGAGAGACTTTCTGGAATATTCCCTACCTGTGAAGAGGGCATGGTAGTGGAGGCCCTTCTCCTTGTCCTGATGGGAGCAGACATCAAATAAGTAGGCTTTGATGGGCCCATCAATGAAGTCGGCAGCAAAATCAAAGAGAACGACACCTATCATGGTGACACTTATGGCCCAAACCAGCTTCCTCCTTGGGTTAGCAATCAAAGCTAAAAGAAAAATAAACATTGGTCTCCTAAATCCTGTTTTAGAATCATCCGCGTTTTGTAATTTCCACCTAAACTTCTTGCCATAAAATCATCTTCCTTGCTTTTATTTTGCTTTTTTCCAAATAAAAATAGCTTTACATTTTTTTTCAGGTTTTAAAAATTATGCAAGCGAATGTCCAGAAAACACAAATCTATGGAGACACAAAGTAAATTAGTGGTTGCTTAGGGCTGGTGCATAGGGGAAAAGTGGACGTGACTATTGATGGTAATGGGTTTATTTTGGGGGTGATGAAAATGTTGTAGAATTAGAGAGTGGTAATGGTTGCACAACATACTAAAGGCACTGAATTGTACACTTTTAATTAGTGAAATTTCTGGTATGTAAAATATCTCCTTAAATAAAAAAGTATGCATGCTTATCGCAAGCAATTCCAATTCTATTAAAAAAGCTGAGGGAGATGCTTCCAATCCCAGCCCCAGCAAAGGTCAGGCTTTAAGGCCTCCTTTTACGCACTTCTGCACATACAGACACACGTGTACAATGGTAGTCAAACGCAGTGCTTCTCAAAGTCTGGCATATTGAACTATCGCTTGTATGTCTTGTTAAAACACAGATTGCTGGCCCCATTTCCCAAGACTCTGATTCAATTGGTGGGCCTGAAGGGGGCCCGAGAAACTGCATCTCTAACGGTCTCTGCTGATGCTGAGGGGCAGGTCAGAGGCCACATCTTTGAACAGCACTGATGCAGTAACCAACTTTCTTCATATAATTTCAGCTCCTCACAATTTTTAACAGCTGGATTTTCATTCTACGGATACGCTGTAATCGTTTACCCAATCTCCTATAAAAGATACATTGTTGTTTCTCTTGTTTCCATTTGCTTTTTAAACTTAAGAATAGCATAGATTATATACACGTTTTAAAAATTGCAGTATAAAATTAAATGAACAATAAGTCTACCCGCCACTTCTCACCTCCTGTCCTTCAGTAATCCTCCTTAGAGTCAACAATGCTTATCAGCTTTTTGTTCATTCTCCTGGAAATATCCTACATTTGTACATTTACGCTTTCTTTCAAATATGTACAAATGATAATTGATTATCCTGCCTCATAATCACCGATTCTGCTAGCTTGAGAGTTAATGATCTACAAATGTGTGCTATTTTTAGCGATCCTTTTTGCAATGCAACTTTATTGTACTACCATCAATTACTGATTAATTGGTAGCTGATTAATGGCTAGAAAAAATGCCTACCCTCAGGTTTGCTTTTGTCCAGAATTTGCAATGCCAGAAAGGTCCTCTTGAGCTGATGGGCTTATGCCCTACGCCTATTAAAACGCTCTACATAAAACTATGAACAGAATTAACTTATTTGGATACACAGGTGACTTATTGTAAATATTTATGGAGCTATTTGGCAGCCAGTCAATTTGATAAGAGTATTAAATAGAGCATAATGGGCTCAAAAAGTAACTCAATTGATAAATATGTAAAAATATTCAATTCGATAAAATAGATACAAATTTAATAAAATAGATACAAATTTAATCCTATTTTTAAATCTTCACAACAATGAAACATATTTATTTTGATATTTCTAGAAGTAGAGGCTCCCCAACCACAGAATCTGGGCCAAATTTGTCAAAGGGGAAGTTCATTGTAACCTAGGAGAGATCAATTCTAACAAATTTCTAGGAAAGGTCAAACACATGAACATCCTCCTCCTGCAGAGGTACACACTAAGACACATATCCCTGTCTGCCCACCTTGTGCAGCCCACTTACCTGCTACAACAGTAGCCCCATTGAGGTACAGAGCCATGCCCACGAGCATCATGACTCCCAGGGTGAGGATGTAGGGTCTCCGGCGGCCCCACCTGGACCGGCAGTGGTCGCTGGCCGATCCGACCACGGGCTGCAGCAGGAATCCCAGGATGGGGCTGAGGAACCACACAATGCTGTACAGGCTGCTGGGCAGACCTACGCTGAGCAGGACTGGGGTCACATACGCTGCCTCCACCGCGTAGCAGAACTCTCTTCCGAACATGGCCATGCTGTGCATGATGAGTCTGCTGGTGGGTCTTTTAGGCGGCTCCACAGAGTCAAAGGGGCCATCATCAGCTAGGGATTTATAGATGTGGCGGCCAGCCTGCCCACTGTTGCTACCCATGGCCACTGGGAGAGGAACCTTCCTGCGAGCCCACCACCTCCTGCGTGGTCCTAGGGTCTGTGTTTCAAACTGGATTTGACGTGGAGCCTGGCCGAGCAACCAACAGAGATGGTCAGGCTGGGGGAGGGGCTCAAATTCTTTCCTGCCTCTAAGATCACAAGTTATGATGAGAGGGAGGGGGTGGTGCTGGAAAGCATGACAGAGATTAGCAGCTGTGAATCAGCCCTCTGGCTCCATAAGACGTTGGAATACTTTTCTAAAGGGATCCTCCTTTGTACTGTTCCCTCTCTCTTTCTCTCTCTCTCACACACACACACAATTACACGTGATCACACACATGGCTTCTCTCCCTCTCACACACACGTTATTACACGTGATCACACACATGGGCTCTCTCAGACAGTATTACACATGATCACACACATGGTTTCTCTCTCACACACACATGCTATTACACATGATCACACACGTGGCTTCTCTCACACACACATTATTACACATGATCACACACATGGCTTCTCTCACACACACGCTATTAAACGTGATCACACCTGGCTTCTCACACACACATGCTATTACACATGATCACACACGGCTTCTCACACACATGCTATTACACATGATCACACACATGGCTTCTCTCACACACATTACACATGATCACACATGGTTTCTCACATACATGCTATTACACATGATCACACACGGCTTCTCTCATGCATGTTATTACACATGATCATACACATGGCTTCTCACACACATGCTATTACACATGATCACACATGGCTTCTCTCACACACATTACACATGGTCACACATGGCTTCTCTCACATGCGTTATTACACATGATCATACATGGCTTCTCTCTCACATGCTATTACACATGATCACACATGGCTTCTCATGCATTTTATTACACATGACCACACACATGGCTTCTCTCACACACGTTATTACACATGGTCACACATGGCTTCTCTCACGTTATTACACATGATCATACATGGCTTCTCTCACACATTATTACACATGACAGCTTCTCTCTCACACACTATTGCACATGATCACACATGGCTTCTCTCACACACACATGCTATTGCACATGATCACACATGGTTTCTCTCTCACACACGTTATTACACAACGATCACACACGGCTTCTCTCTCATACACATTATTACACATGACCACACACATGGCTTTTCTCTCACACACACTATTACACATGATCACACATGGGGCTTTTCTCGTTATTACACATGATCGGACTCATGGCTTCTCTCACACACACATGCTATTACACATGATTGCACACATAGCTTCTCTCTCACACACGTGTTATTACACATCACACACGGCTTCTCACACACGTTATTTTACACGATCACACACATGGCTTCTCTCACACACGTTATTTTACATGATCACACACATGGCTTCTCTCTCACAGACGTTATTACACATAATTACATATGGCTTCTCTCTCTCATACACACATGCTATTACACATGATCACACACATGGCCGTGAGGTAATAAAGCCTTATTACATAGAGTTTGTCAAAATGTAAATAAATTGATATCTTTTCATAAACTTTTTATAAATATAGACATTCTATTTTTTACTACAAGTTTTCCACACACACAGCTCAGGAGTGAAATAACTAGATTTAAAATGGTGGCAGGTCACACCCTTCTTCAAATCATTAGCTGTGTCAGATCGCCCTGATATTTCTCCTCGTGGTACTTAACACATTTTACAATGAGATAATTCTGGGTTTATTCCATATCCTGTGTTTGTCTTTGATTTCCTCAAGAGCGGAGAACAGGTCTGTTTTGTTCATTATGGTATCCCCAGCAAGTATCATGATACCTGGCACCTAGTAGATCCTCAATAAACATTTGCTAAAGGAATTACTGAGTGAATAAACCATACACACTGCATTTTGTGCTGCCTGTCTGCTCAGATCTATTTCCTTTGGTGCTCTTTATCTTATGGGGCTACATTTCCAGGGTTCCCTTGTTTTCTGGCTTCTAGGTAGATTTGGCTAATGGGAGACACTGGTAGGAAGACTAGGGGAGAGAGAGAAGGAAAGAAGCCAGGATATTTCCCTAGATTTCTTTCTTCTCCCTGAGGTATTACTGCCAGTGTCTATGTCTCCAAGGTGGGTGCAGCAACTTTGGCTTCTGGGTCCAAGTACACCAGCTTTCCCATCACCCCTGCAACCATAGGAGTGGTCTTGGCTTCCTAGTTATGTTCCTATCAGGGTTGCCTCACTATCTTCTGGGCTTCTCTGCTCTTTCGTCACCAGTGGAATTCTTTATATTAAATTTCCTCTGTTTTAAAGACTTCGAGTGGGTTATATTTTCCTTGCTGGACCGAGTTCAAATGAAAAGTCTGAGTTGTAGGGAAAACATCTTTTTTATTATTATTATTTTTATTTATTTATTTAGAGACAGGTTCTTGTTCTGTTGCCTGGGCTAGAGTGCAGTGGTGCAATCCTAATTCACTGTGGCCTCAAATTCCTGGGCTCAAGTGATCCTCCTGCCCCACCCTTGAGTAGATAGGACTACAGGCACACACCACCATACCTGGATAATTTTTTTATTTTTATTTCGTAGAAACGGAGGTCCAGCCAAGTTCCCCAGGCTGGTCTCGAACTCTTGGCCTCAAGTGATCCTCCATGCCTGGGCTGGAAAACATAACCTTATGGGAAAGTTCCTAAAAATGGTTGAAGAACAAGACTGAAGGCTAGAATATGAAAGCTTAAATTCTGATTCTGCCCCTTCCTAGTTGCATATTCCTGAGCAAATATTTTCAACTGGTATTTCTAAAACTGTGCCAAGGCACCCAGGGCATTAGAGTGACCTCACAAGAGTATCTCAGAATATTTAAAAATTTGAACACACAAACACAATGAAACTCAACATCTGTCAGACATCACGTGAACTACTAGTGAGGTAGTTCATTCTTTCAACATAAGATTGCACTATAATCCTTCTGATAATTTCATATTTTTGTGAGACTGGGTTTTCCAGGCCATCTGATAAAAAATCAAGTACTATATGGACACCAACATGGAGCAGAAAATGAGGGCAGCAGTGTCCAATCTCATTCCAGGTGAGAAGTTGCACAGTGTCCAATAGGTGCATACATCTCCTTAGTAAGTAGTTGTGATTAACAATGAAATAGAAATGAAAAATATATTTTTTTATTTATGTGTATTATATTTTTCAAGCAGCTAATAAGTTGGTAGGACATAATATTTAATTCGTTGGGGACCTAATTATTTATAAATTGAATGGTTAGATATTTCTTTTGGCCTAAGCCACCATGAAAAAATCACTGAGGCGCTAAGGGAAACATGAACTAAGAAGCCCTTCTGAGTCTCTGTTTTCTCAACTGTAAGATGAAGAAACCTGCTCCACCTTCCTCTTGCGATTGTTGAACGGCAGTTGAGATACTGCGCAGAATGGACCTTATTGATGGCCTACCCAACATCCATTCTCTACTCCCTCTACTCTGATGGCACCCGGATTAGATTGTGGAATCTACCCCTTCCTCACATGCCTTTAGGAAGTTGAGTCCAGGGAAGCTCCAGGAGCAGGCTGGTTTTATGTAAAGACAATCCCGTCTTCTTTGTCAAAGACAGGTATAAGAAAGGCTTGTAACTTAACTCAGTCCAAGGAGACACAAAACGACTTGCTGGGGGGTCCTGAGATCTTTATTTCTGGATGTTGCTGTGTGTTGGGTATAAGATCCAGAACTTGCTACCAGCCTGAGGAGAAATCAAACACATGGAGAAAGGAAAGCTGACAGCCCAGAGACCCACGGGGAAACAGGCCCCGAGTTACTGGATACAGGCAACCCTAAAACTGACTGTCCCTCTGGACTCTACGTAGTGAGCCAACACATTTCCTCATTATTTTGGATATGTTTTTTTCAGTTGAAGGCATTCTGATTCAATACAGGTGAAACTTTTCTTTGCAAATTACAAAGTGTGATAACTGTTGCTAAAGTTTGGAATGTGCTTAGAGGGAGATCATGAACACCAAGACAAAAGGCCTGGATGCAACCAATCACTCTGTTTCACGTGACTTTTATCACCATACAATTTGTGGCATTTCCTCATTTTCTACATTGTAGAATCAAGAGTGTAAATAAATGTATATCGATGTCTTCAAGAATATATCATTCCTTTTTCACTAGAACCCATTCAAAATATAAGTCAAGAATCTTAATATCAACAAATATATCAAGCAAACTGGAAGGCAGAATAACTACCATAATTTAGTATAAGTACCCAAAGTTTTATAAATCAAAAGCCCTAATGATAACCATTTTTAGAATTCAATCATCACTGTAGAATCAGAGTCTGTAATTCTTTTCTTGATTAGAGTGGTAGGACACTGTAATACTGTTCCTCCATGTTTCCATGCATACAATGTTATGTGTTACTCTACACTGTAAATGCAGTATTCAAATTCACTTGAGCCGTGGGCCTGGAAGTTAGAGACTAGCTTTTACCTTATTACTTTCAATGATTTTATCTGAGTTAAGCTGATAAATCTCTTCGCGGCTGAATCCAAATTCTTCAAGTATCTCCTCAGTGTGTTCTCCTATGAAAGGATCCCTTTTGAAAGAAGGGATGGCTGGGGTGTTTAACAGCAGAGGTGCAGGGCGGGGGCTCACGTCCTGCTCCTCACTGGTGATAAACGAGCCCCGTTCCTTGTTGTGATCATGATGAACAACCTCCTCAAAAGTCAGAACCGGAGTCACACAGGCATCTGTGCCGTCAAAGATTTGACACCACTCTGCCTTCGTCTTCTCTGCAAATACATCTGCAAACTTCTTCTTCATTTCTGGCCAATCATCCATGCTCATCTGATTGGGAAGTTCATCAGACTTTAGTCCAAGTCCTGAGGAAAAATACAATTTCCTAAATTATTATGCTTTGAACAGAGCAATTATAATCAATAAAAATGAATGCTGAGCCCACTGTACTATGCAAAATAAGATGTTCTATAAGGGCTTCTCAAATGAGTCAAGAGAAAAAAATGTAAAATCAGTTTAAGGTTAGAGCCAAAGGCTAGAGAGGGCAGAGGTAGTCAGACTTGTCACTACTGAGATTTTATTATTCACATTTCATCAAAAGTAGTCTGTTTTCAATGGTCTGGTTTCCAGAAATTGATTTCCTACCTCTGAGTAGATTTTGAAAAAAAATTTCCCCAGGGTGTTATTACCAGTCATACTGAGCTAAAATAACTCCCTATTTTCTATAATGTATTCAAACCTTATAAAAAAATAAAATATAAACAATTTTACATTTGGCCATCTCAGTTTCCAAGGAAGAAGCCTGAAGACAAATTATTTAATTCAGGATTGCAATTTTTTAAATACATTCATTTATCTTTATTTTGTTAAAATAAAAGAGCTGGAATGGCCAGGAGTGATGGCACGAGTATACTGCAAGCTACTCGGGAGGCTGAGGCTGGAGGATTGCTTGAGCCCAGGAGTTCAAGGCCCAGCCTGAGCAACACAGCAAGACCCCCATCATCCATCATCCATCCACCCATCCATCCATCCATACAAACATACATACATTTTTAAAATAAAAGAGCCCAAAAGGGCTTTGTACTAGGATGAAGGACTTGTAAGGTAACCAAAGACTCAAGCAAATTGTTCCTATAATAAACAAAACAGAAACTTATTAGCCGCCAGTCAACAGTGGGGCATGCAGACTTTCCTCTCCGGCATGAAAGGGACTTGAAGGGCCCATCAAGACCACAGTGCAGAGGACATGACAGCAGCTACCTGGGGACTTAACAGGAAAGGTGGCCTCTCTAGCTCTTGACCCCATCTGCGTTTCCTTTACTGACTATGTGGTTCTACCCCTGCAGACATGCCCAAACTCCAGTTCTGATTAAATTATACCCAAAGAGCAGGGCTGCTTTACAATAGTTGGTGTAAATTGTCCTTTTTCTTCCCCATATAAGCGGGCTTTTAAAAGTGCATGGCTAAGTGTCGAATGATAATGAAAGGCCCTTTCTTTATGCATCACACTGTGTGTAAGTTTAGCCAAGTTAATTGAATAATCCTCACTTATAGAATACCTTCCTTCTGTAGCATGTTGACAATCAAGGCTAATTGTAAATTGCTCTGAAGATGGTAAAGTCCCTATAGAGGTAAGAAGACATAAATACTGAAGCCTCTTCTTAAGGTTTTGAGGACTATGAGGAAATAGGAAGAACTAACACAGTTCCAGATTTTTGTAAACAGCCTCCTGTGGGATATAAGTACATTTTCTTCTGTAACCACCAGTCCCATTCAAATACCAGGACGGATATGAGGCCATAGTTTCAGGTTATCACTATAATCTACAGGATGTCTTTCACTTGATGTTCTTTCTTGATTGCCCTGAACTCTGTGAGTGAAAGGCACATAAAATGAGCATTGAGCAAAAAGTAGTGATCTTCACATGCTTTTAAAACAGTTTCTTTTTATCAGAATGTGATCAGAATCATAACACTAAGTAAAGCTAGAGCCAATGTGTTCTCTCTTTAACTTTATAGCTGAGATTACACAGGTCATAGTTTGTATGCTAGAAAAATACTAGAAATCAAAAGCCCCCAGATCCTACCCTAACTCTAACACCCCAATTCTCCCATTGTCTACCATCCCTTCACAGCCCACAATCTCCCATCCTGCCCATGACCCTGACCAAGGCCACAGGATTAAACACCAATGGTTTAAGGTGAGCTGTTTGCTGTGCTCCTGACACTCCAATATGGAACTTGGAATCCAGTCCCAAGTCTCAGAATCCATAATTGTATAAATACAGTTATAGATTGTGGCTAGCTGTTATGGTACAATCACTATGAAATTTCTGGCATTTTAAGTCAAACAGATTTTCAGGAACTAGCCTGGGGACTCAGACACCATTTAAAACTTGGGAAAGCATGTTTTGATTCCAAAAAATAACTACCATACACACACACACACACGTTACACAAAATGCTTATTCTTTTAAGTACATGCCATAAACTTTACTGCTTTATAATATTAAGTATATAGTAAGCAGTCAAAATTCAAGTTGTAAGTATTCAATGATATATGTCCAGGATGGCAATTGTAAACACTATTTTATTATTATTATTATTATTATTATTATTTTTGAGACGGAGTCTCCCTCTGTCACCCAGGCTGGAGTGCGGTGGTGTGATCTCGGCTCACTCCAAGCTCTGCCTCCCAGGTTCACGCCATTCTTCCACCTCAGCCTCCCTATTTTTATTTATTTGTTTACTTATTTATTTAAGACAGAGTCTCACACTATTGCCTGGGCTGGAGTGCAATGGCACGATCTCGGCTCACTGCAACCTCCACCTCCCAGGTTCAAGAGATTCTCCTGCCTCAGCCTCCCGAGTAGCTGCGATTGCAGGTGCCTGCCACCATGCCCGGCAAATTTTTTGTATTTTTTAGTAGAGATGGGGTTTCACTATGTTGGCCGGGCTGGTCTCGAACTCCTGCCCTCGTGATCCGCCCGCCTCGGCCTCCCAAAGTGCTGGGATTACAGGTGTGAGCCACCACACCCGGCCATAAAAATTATTTTTATAATACAAAATTGGAAAAAATGTAAATGAACTTGCATAGGGAATTGGTTATATAAATTTTAGTACAGGCAGATCAAAAATATGATATGGCTGCTATATCAAATGGGTGAGGGTGAAGATCTTTTGTACAGACAAGAAAGAATGTCTTTGCTATATTGTTGTATAAAAAGCTATAAATTATAAATTTATATAATTATATATATAAATTATAAATTGTAAAACAGAAAATAATTGCTGGGTGTAGTGGCTCACGCCTGTAATCCCAGCACTTTGGAAGGCTGAGGCAGGAGGATCACTAGAGCCCAGGAGTTCAAGACCAACCTGGGCAACTTAGTAAAGTCCCTGTCTCTACAAAAAAATCAAAAAGTTAGCCAGGCCTGGTGGCACAGGCCTGTGGTCCCAGCTACACGAGAGGCTGAAGCAGGAGGATTGCTTAAGCCCAGGAGGTCAAGACTGCAGGAAGCCATGTTTGTGCCACTGCACTCAAGCCTAGGCAACAGTGTAAGTCCTTGTCTCAAAAAAATAAAATAGAATAGAATAATTGTGCATTTGTATGTGTACAATAAAAATTCTTGAAGGCCACATCCCATATTTTCCCAAACCGTAAGAACAAAGGAAAATTTTCCCTTCTTACTTTTTAAAATCCGTATTGCTTTTTTTTTTCCTAGCAAACATATAATTTTAAATTGTTATTTCATTTTTGAAAATTGTGGTAAAATATACATAAAGTTTACCATTTCAGCCATTTTTTGGTGTACAGTACTAGGGCATTAAGTACACTCATACTGCTTTACATCTATCACCACCATCCATCTGTACCACACAACTCCTGAACTTTTTCAACTTTTCAAACAGAAACTCTGAACCCAGTAAACACTAACTCCCGCTCCTACCTCCCCACAGCCTCTGGCAAGCACCATTCTACTTTCTGTCTCTATGAACTTGACCACTTTAGACATTTCATGTAGTAGAATCATACAGTATTAGCCCTTTGGTGACTGACTTATTTCACTCAGCATAATGTCTTCAAGATTCATCTCTGTTGTAACGTGTTGGAATTTTCTTGTTTTTTTCAGGCTGAATCACATTCCATTTTATGTCTGTACCACATTTTGTTCATCCATTCATCTGTTGATGGACACTTGAGTTGCTTCTACCTCTTGGCTATTGTGAATAATGTCACTATGAACACAGATATACAAATATATGTTTGAGTCACTGCCTCCAATTCTTTTGGTTATATACTTAGAAGTGGAATTGCTAGATCATACAATTCTATGTCTAATTTTCTGAGGAAATGCACGCTGTTTTTGACAGTGGCTACACCACTTTACACTCTCATTGGTAATACACAAGTGTTTCGTTTCCTTACACCCTTGCCAACACTTGTTATTTTGTATTTTTTAGAAATAATAGTTTGAAGGCCAGGAGTGGTGGCTCACTCCTCTAATCCCAGCACTATGGGAGGCTAAGTGGGGGCAGATCACTTGAGGTCAGGAGTTCGAGACCAGCCTGGTCAACATGGTGAAACTCCGTCTCTACTAAAAATACAAAAATTAGCCGGGCGTGGTGGTGGGCACCTGTAATCCCAGCTACTCAGGAGGCTGAGGCAGGAGAATCACTTGAATCCAAGAGGCAGAGGTTACAGTGAGCCGAGATCATGCCACTGCACTCCAGCCTGGGTGACAGAGATCACCCAGCTTTTGAAAATTATCTACTGATAAAACAGCTTTTGAAAATTATCTATTGCTTACCTGATTGTACTATAAGAGACTTGCTATCTCAAAATGTCATAAAATTCTCAGTGTTTTCAGATTATTTTTGTCCTAGAAAATAGCAGGGACGCAGCAGAGTATGCACCTTAAAAAGATTTTGCATACTTATGTTCAGAAACTGAAGATACAGATTAAAGTATGGTATCAAAGATCTAAAACACAAAGGGGAGTAAATTAGATATGTAATTAGTACTACCTCAAAAATTATTACTATTATTGTTGTTGTTTTGAGACAGAGTCTCGCTCTGTCACCCAGGCTGGAGGGCAGTGATGCGATCTCAGTGCACTGCCACCTCTGCCTCCCGGTTCAAGTGATTCTCGTGCCTCAGCCTCCCGAGCAGCTGGGATTACAGACACGCGCCACCATACCTGACTAATTTTTGTATCTTTAGTAGAGACGGGGTTTCACCATGTTGCCCAGGCTGGTCTTGAACTCTTGACCTCAAGTGATCCACCTGCCTCGGCCTCCCAAAGTGCTGGGATTACAGGCATAGCCATCGCACCTGGCCCTCAAAAAATTACTACAGATGTGGGGGTTTGTCCAGTAGGACTTGAGAGAGAAGAAATGTATATGTGATTAGTAAAAGTACTATTTTTGTAAATAAATATTATAAAAGAAAGAGAATGCTGAGGCATTTTGGCATGGACTAGGTAGATTAGGTGAAAGGTGGTTTAACATGCTATCTCCTATAGCACAAGTCATCTGTCAGCTAAGGATCCTAGGTAAACTATGAAGGGAGATGAGGGTTAAGGATATCATAAAAGGCTATGGATGCAAAAAGAGGGGGCTGTAAAAAAATCAGGGGAGTTACAAAGTTTAAACTCAGCAGAAGAATACCCAGGAGAAGGTGATCAGGAGTTAAGGGGTTGGAGCAATGACCCTGCTAGAAAAATGTTGTCTTGTTTCATTTTCAGTGTTTCCAGGAAGGCTCATTCATTGAGGTGAAGTGTGGATATGAAAAATGAGCACTCCACACATACAGCAGTGCTTCTTCATCCGAGGTTTGGCTTTCTGTGGTTTCAGTTACCCACAGTCAACCATGGTCTGAAAATACTGAATGAAAAATTCCAGAAATAAACAATTCATAAATTTAAATTGCATGCTGTTCTGAGTAGCATGATGCATGATGAAACCTCACATCATCCTGCTCCATCCTGCCTTGGACATGAACCATGTCCATCCCATCCACACTGTGGGGCTATCAGCCCATTAGTCACTTAGCAGCCAACTAGGTTGTCAGGTTGACTGCTGCAGTATTGCAGTGCTTGTGTTCAAGTAACCCTTATTTTACTTCCTAAGGGCCCCAAAGGTTGTAAGCAAAGGTGATGCTGGCAATGTGGATATGCCAAAGAGAAGCCTAACGTGCTTCCCTTAAGTGAAAAGGTGAAAGCTCTCAGCTTAAGGGAAGAATAAAACTCATAAGCCAAGGTTGCTAAAATCGACTGTTAAGAATGAATCTTATATTCATGAGATTGTGAAGAAGGGGAGAAGGAAAAAGAAATTCATGCTAGTTTTGCTGTCACAACTCAGACTGAAAAGTTACAGCCATAGTGCATAAGTGCTTAATTAAGATGGAAAACGCATTAACTTTGTGGGTGGAAGACATAAACAGAAACATCTTCCAATTGACCGCAATCAGGTTCAGTACTATCTGCAGTTTCAGGCACCCACTGGGGGTCTTGCAATGCATCCCCCACAGATAAGAGAGGACTACTGTATATGTTTTAAAATAACAGGATACACCAAGGAAGGGAGTTAACTCCAGAGTGGCAGAATGACAGCCTTCAAAAACCGGCATTAAAGCAATGAGAACACTAACAACAACTGTCAGAATTAACTTTTTCATAATTCTGGAAATTAAAAGCTTGCAGCAAGCCAAGGAGCATTTATTCAAGAAAAACAGCTGAATCTCAGTAAGAGCAGTGAGCTTTGTGGTGTTAGAACTTGTGCTAATTTCAACCCTCTCCCTGTGGTAGCCTTGAAAAACAACTTCCTCTCAACTCTGGTCAGTTCTGAAAACCAGCAGGAGAATAGCCCCGAGAGGAGGAAAAGAAGTTTGCAGCTTCCCCCAAAATCCCATCCCCAGAGAACTGTCATTATTTAGCCTGTCTGGCAGCTCCCTGAAAGGCTCCATTCTCAGGGCTTGTCTTTCTGACTCAGAGCTCACTTTGCTCTAGCCCTAAATTGTTGATTTAATAAAAAAAAAAGGCAATATTTTATCGCAGCTGTCTTAGGTGGTGTTATTTATTGCAGCTCATAAGATGCTGACCAAAAAACTCAAAAGAATAAACTGGGGAATGGGATATCCATAGGGGACTTTGAAAAGCTCCAACATATTCCTGAGAATTTTTTTTGCAACTCCTGAGAAGGCAACGCACACGTACACACGCAGGGCAGTATGAATGCCTGGGAGAGATCTGTAAAGGCCCTCGTCTCTCACCTCTGGCTGACCTTGAGGCTCTTCACAAGCAAGAAGTTAAGGCATATAGTGCCTCAGAAAAAGATGGGAGATTTATTGGTTCAAGGCATTTAAGGGCCAGGCGCAGTGGCTCATGCCTGAAATCCCAGTACTTTGGGAAGCTGAGGCAGGAGGATAGCTTGAAGTCAGGAGTTCAAGATCAGCCTCAGCAAAATAGCAAGATTCTATTTCGACCAAAAATAAAAAATTTTGCCTATAGTCCCAGCTACTTGGGAGACTGAAGCAGGAGAATCACTGGTACCCCAGAGTTCAAGGCTGCAGAGTTCAAGGCTATGATCACACCACTGCACTCCAGCCTTGGCAACAGAGTGAGACCCTGTCCCCTAGATTAAAACAAACAAGCAAACAAAAAAAAAAGGTATTTAAGGACATTTCTGTCCAATCATTAGCTGAAGCTAACTCAGCTGACTTCGGTGGCTGCACATGCCAAAGAATACAGATTTAATTTAAGAAAATCATTAAACAAACAGCAACAATAACAAGCCCAGGACTGAGGGATCCTGAGGAGTCCTGGGAGTTGTCACATTAAATTATTTAAAATGTCCAGTATTTTTTTTTAATTTTACACGTTTATTTTCATTAAAACTTATTTAAGTCACTTTGGACCCAGCATGTCCTTAGGTTTTACCCATTCATCAAACTGCTCTGCTGTGAGAGAGCCAAGTTCAACGGCAGTTTCCTTTAAGGTTGATCCATTTTGGGGTGTTGTCTTAGCAATTCTGCTGTTTTGTCATACCCTATATGAGGGTTGAGAGCTGTCACCAGCATTAGCGACTAATTCATTAGCTTCTTGATCCTTTCTTTATTGGTCCGGATTCCCACTATTTAGTTTTCTGTGAAGGAAACTGAAGCATCCCCCAGCAGCCTGAGTGTAACATAAATTTTTAATCATCATTGGCTTGAAAACATCCAACTCAAAATGGCCATTGCCGCCTCCAACGGTTACTGCCACACAAAACCCCATGACTTGGGCTGCAACGATGGCCATTGCTTCACACTGACGAGGGTTTGCCTTGCCTGGCACGATACTGCTTCCTGTTGTATTTTCAGCAAGATCAGTTCTCCCAGACCTGGCCAAGGACCAGAACTCAGAAAATGAATATCATTTGCTATCTTCATCAGACTGCAGGTGGCAGTGTTCATGGCTCCACAGAGCTCCACCAGAGCATCATGAGCAGCCAGAGCTTCCAATTTATTTGGAGCAGTGACAAAAGGCAAGCTTTTTAATTTCTGGACAGAGAGGTACCCTTTATGATCTAGATAAACCATTGTGTTCTTCTATAGTTTTTCCAACTATATTTGAATAGGTGAAGTTAATATGTTTAATCATAAAATGCTCTCAGATGCTTGCAAAAACAATTACTCCATCAGATAAGAACACATCAAAAATTTGGAAAATTTAAAAAAAGTCATTCCAGCTATATGCAAATAACTTTTAGTATATGCATCTGAAAAGCTACCAAACGTAACAATGAAACTCTAAACTTGTAGTAGAAAGGTAAATGCACTGTGATCAGCTTTCACATCACTTCAGAGTATATTCTAAAACTTCTTAGATTCTACATTATTTATAGAGTGAACTCTAAATTCAAACATTTCTCAGGAACAAAACGACTCCCATCCAATTATTTAATTAGGGAAGAAGAGATCCCAAATTTTCTTGCTAATTTATGACAACTTGCCAAGCAGGCAAGAATCTGCAAGACAGGTCATCTGCAAAGGCATAGTGATATAGTAACATATTCTAACAGAATCTCATTTGGCAAAATCTTTCCATGCTCTGGTGACTTCTGACATTGAAGTGCCATAAGGGACATCTACCAAGAAATAGGAGCTGGTAGAATATTGAATGGAAAGCAACCCATGTGAGATCATTTCTAGGGAAGAGTAAGATCTGGGCACACAGGGTCAAGATTATCCAACACAAGGAGTGAACTGTAATAAAAGCACCGAACATCCTACAAAAGGGATTATTATTTTTAAAACCCTCAGCTATTTTATAGACTAGTAAGACTGCTGGTCAATTTAAAAGCCATGGAAAATGCCCCACATTATATTGATGGCTATAATTAGGTTAATTAGAAAGTGGCTATATAATAAAAGACATCCTAGATGCCAAAAGTCTTTAAAATAGAACCAAAGAACATCCACAGCAAAAGGGGAACTGGGGGAGACGCGTGAAGTTCACTTACCTTTGATCAGCAGCTCGTAGAACTGGGGTTCTATTGCTCCAACAGCCATGAATTCCCCATCTGCTGTCCTGTAAGTCGTATAGAAAGGTGCTCCACCATCCAACATGTTCTGTCCTCGAGGTGCTTCCCACAGACTCAATTTCTGAGTTTTCCACAGAAAAGAACTTAAATATGCTGTTCCTTCCACCTTTGAGAAAACAGAATACAAGACAAATCCAGATAACTCAAGTGTCAAAGCATGAATAATTCCTCCCATTCAAGTTAAAAAAAATTTGCGTAAAAATTCTTATCTTAGAGTATACGAAGATTCTACCTAATTACACAACTTCTCTGGTATTTCCAGAAAGTGAGTTAGAGCAGTTTGTGTTAAAATAACAATTGGCTGCACTATTCAGTTCCAAAAATACTATAAGACTTAGAAGAAATGACCTTTGCTTTCCATTTCAAATAAGATTGGCAAAATGCTAGTGATTTAGCTAGGTGAGGGTACATGGAAGGTCACTATACTATTCTCTCTACTTTTTATAATGTTAAAAACTGCCAAGATAAAAAGTTAAAAATTAAAAGAGCTTTTAAAAATCCATCTTCTGATCTCCATACCTATAAACACACACAGATGTATAAACCATACCACATTTTAAAGGTAAATCACATAAGAGTAAAATTTGGCTTATTCTGGCTTGATTCCAATCCCAAGAAAACTGTATTTGAGTATTTAATGTATTTCATAATCACTAGAAAGTTATAAAATAAACTAACAATATGGATGGCAGGTATGTGCATTTTCTGAGTCCAGGCAAACTGGTTTGGGAATGCCACCTTCCCACTGAGTCCTAAAGTCATCTCATCACGCCACCTTCCCACTGAGTCCTGAAGTAATTACACAATAAAGTACAATTATCACAAGGCTCAAACTCAAAGGCTGAAGGCACTGGACTATTTGAAGAAGATGATGTTCTGACCTTTATGCCTTTTATGAGCCTAATGTCTCCAGCACCCCAGGAGGAAGGCCTTCAAAGCATCCTCGTCTCAAAAGCTACCAATAGAGCAGGCCTCATTCCAACTGCTAGCAATTTCTCAGTTACTGACTGTGGAACAACCACAAAATGTATCTTTGGATATATCCAATTTTCCCTCTTAACTTGAAATTTCACGCACATCTGAATTTATGGCTGTGACATTTATTGTCACCAAATAGCTGAGTTCATGCAAGTGGCCTACGGCAGTGCCTTTTTTTGAGGCTGGATTACAGAGATATTAGAGTTCCACATTTATACACATACACACACACACATATATACACATATGCATGTATATGCGCACTATTTTAAATATATTTTATGTTTATGTTATTTAAGCACATATTTAAATGTATCCTATACCAAATTCTGACTCATCAGAGCCTCAACTCATTAACATTTGTTGCTAGACTTTAAAATAAAGCTTTTCCTTCCAATTTTGCATAAATATTACCTTGTATTTGAAACACTATTGAGGAAAACCTTTGTTCTGCATGGTTCTCCTCTCCTCTTAATTTGTGCTGACTCATACAAAACCAACAAGTTAGCACCTTCAATAAGCAAGTGCCTGCTTTCCGCTCAAGCTTTACTTCTCTCAGAGCCTAACGCCGAATCAATAGGGCGGTAATAGATGAACTGGAAGCAAGCTTGTCATACAGTGCAAGAGAGAGTTTTAGCAGAGAGTTCTGAATACTGTTTATCTGGCTTTCATGTTCAGGCCAAAGAATGTGAGAAGTTTTTACACACTGTAGTGAGTCGACCTAGAAACAAAGTATTTTTGTTCTGCTTCATCATAAATGAAATGCAATCTGAAATTTTAAGCAAGTTTTTAAAAATATAGGGTCTTTTTTTTTTTGAAATGGAGTGTCACTCTGTTGCCCAGGTTGGAGTGCAGTGGCACAATCTCAGCTCACCGTAACCTCCACCTCCAAGGTTCAAGCGATTCTCCTGCCTCAGATTCCCGAGTAGCGGGATTACAGGTGCCTACCACACCCAGCTAATTTTTGCGTAAAAACTATGGATATTTTTAACTTATCTCTGTAACTCAGGATTTTCCTAACATCCAGTCAAAATGAAATACAGTAATAAACTGAATACTGAAAGCGATGAGACAATCACCCATAAACTCTAACTTCCAGTGTTTGTGTTTAGCAGAACAGCTTCGTTGGTCTGACAAAATAATATATAAATATTGAATATGTAAACATAAAATGTTTTATGCTAATAAAATACCCCTTTAATCTCTTTTATATGTTGAACGCCCTGATGAGACTGCTGAAAAATAGACGTGTTAACAGAGTTACAGATCCAGTTGGGTCCACTCAGGACAAAAACAAGCTCTGGTCTAATCCTTAGCATCAGAGGAGGTACAGGACAAGAAATACAGCAGGAACCCTCCTCGTCTCATCATAAGGCCTGGCAGTGGCTACCCTGGCACACGGCTTCTCTTGCCCCATCACTCATATACCATGCATGCGAGTGAAGAGCCCCCTGACACAGGGAAACCGCAGCCTCAATTTGCCACCAACCTTTGATACTGTTAAAAGAAAAACTTTAGACGAATTAATTTAAGAGTTTAACTGAGCAACGAATGACTCATGAATTGGGCAGTCTGTGGAACCAGACTAGGTTCAGAGCGACTAGTGTAGCCCTGGGGCCAAAGAGGACTTATGGACGGAAAATGATGTACAGAAAACAGAAGTGAGGTACAGAAACAGCCGGATTGGTTACAAGTGGGCCTTTGCCTTGTTTGAACATGGTTTGAACAGCTGGCCGCCTGTGATTAGTTGAAGTACGGCTGCTGTGATTGGCTGAGACTTGCTGCTTGTTACAAAAGCAGGTTACAGTCTGTTTACACATCCAGTTAGGTCACAGCTCATTATGTAAGAGAAACCTTTAGGTGGAACTTAAAATACGTAAGGGGGCAGCTTTATGCTACAGTTAATTTAACAACGCTGTGCTCATCATGTGGGCTCAGATTGAGTGTAAATACAGCAAAACGCACTCCATATTCCAGAGTTATCTTAACTACAGTTTCCAAGGAAACAGCACTACAATAAGGCAGCCTCCAGCTCTTCACAGGCAGGCCCAGGTCTGGAATTCTGCTGCTAAACACTGTGAAAACTTTCGGCCCATTAGAAGGTATCTGCCTTCCCCTAATCAGCTTCTGCAATTGCCTGTGTCACAAGGGGTCCTAGTGATGAAGTAATGACTATGATTTACTGATTCTTTTAGCCTTGTGTAATTAGCAAACACTTACTAGCCCCTAATGGAAATATGAACCCAGAAGAAAGATTACAACATTTTCACATACCCTAAAACCTTACTATCTTCTTTATTTAATTTATTTATTTTGAAACACGGTCTCACTCTGTCACCCAGGCTGAAGTGTAGTAGTGTGGTCTCGGCTCACTGCAACCTCTGCCTCCTGGGTTCAAGCAATTCTCATGCCTCAGCCTCCCAGGGAGCTGGGACTGCAGACGCGTACCACCAAGCCCAGCTACTTTTTTGTATTTTAGTAGAGATGGGGTTTCACCATGTTGGCCAGGCTGGTCTCGAACTCCTGACCTCAGGTGATCCACCCACCTCAGCCTCCCAAAGTGCTGGGATTACAGGCGTGAGCCACCATGCCCAGCCAACCTTACTATCTTCTAATCATTATATAATTCTGATTAGCTACATTCTGCTGAAAGCAGCAATCACCTTTTATTTATATTTGATGATAATCAATTGCATCTCTTCAGTAAATTATTCAAATTATTACTAGAGAAGTATCTAGGCTCAAATTCTCCTTAACACTCCCAAGACTCCATGTTTGCTCTTAGTTCATTCCTTTTGGACCCCAGGGACCATGCTCTTGGGGCAGCAGGGGAAGTTGTTGAAAGCAGTGGCTTTAGGGTCCAACTGCCTGGGGCAGTGCTTCGGACCCTTTCCCGTCATCTGCTTTAGAGGAAGGCAGTTAACCTCGCCAAGCCTTCAAGTCTTCAATGCCAATGATAGTAGCACGTCTCCCTCAGGGAACTGTGTGGATCACAGAAGCCCTGTGGAAGGTACCGGTCTTGAGTTTGGCGGGTACTGGTATAAATCCGGTGCTGCTATCTCATGCAGCGACTATGCCATGAGTACGCCAAGAGCTGGCCCACAAAAGATAAACCACACTCCCCTGCTGCTGGTACACACTTCAGAGAGGGCACACTGGAAAGTGTGAGATGTGCCCTGATGACAGTGTCCCACAGGCACACACTCAGTACAGGGCTGGTCATGATTCACCATGAACAGGAGAAGGAAGCGCAGGCTGAAGCTTTGGAGATGAGGGGGTTTCTGGTAGAAAATGGATTTTGTGAAGATCAGCCAGGACCCAATCCAGTTGACACTCTCAGTCTCTAAACTCTTGAGGTATCCACCAACATTTGACCCTCTGACCACTCCTTTCTTTGGTTTCCATGACAACACTCCATTCTGCTTCTCTCCTTAGCTGTCCTCAGCCCTTGCTTCTCTTTTCTGCCCACGCATTCCTTAAATGCCGGTGTTCTATCCCCTTTCCTAGTGGATCACATAGTCTCATATGGCTCCCAAATAACTCCGAAATCTGTTTCTAGTCCCTAACCTCAAGTATCCCACCTGGATATCTGAAAGGCACTTTAAAACTGAAAAGACCAAAACTGAGTTCCTTTTCTTCTAGTAAAAATAACCACAATGACAAACTTTTACAGAGGGCCCACTGTACGCCAGGCACTGTTCCCACACTGAACAATGGATGAACTCATTGAATTCTCATAGCAACTAACAATGCTATGAGGTGGATGTCATTATTATCTCCATTTTACAAAGGAAACTACAGCACAGAGAGGTTAAGTAACTTGCCCAAGATCACAGAGCTAGTAAATGGCAGAGCTGGGACGGAGGTAGTCAGCTGCCACTCTATGCTCTGACCACTGTGTTCAGCAGTCTTCCCTCAAGACACTAGCAGGTCATCTAAGCCAGAAACCTGGGAGCCAGCCTCAACTTCTCCCTCTTCGCTCCCTGTCAGTCCATTATCAATTCCCAGCAATTTTATACCTCAAATGTCCCTTCAATGCAAACCAACTCTACCATTAACTGCTTTAGTACTTGCCCTGATCTCTTCAGCAATAACCCAGTCATTGGTCTCTGTACCTCCAGTCTTGTCTCCTCAGATCCATTCTCCATCCCACCTCCAAATGTCTGTGAAAATGCAAACACGCAGTGGTGGTGCTGGAGTGGGCTCTCTTACCCACTAGCTGTGAGATCTTGAGCAAATGGCAATGCTTCCGTTCCCTCCTCTTTAAAACAACAAGGTATTCCAAATGCAGTTTTGAGAATAAGAAGAAATCACACAGGGAATGTGCTCAGCAGAACATGAGGCAAGCACTCAGTGGATGACAGTGAACAAACAGAAGTGTTATGATATCAGAGCATCCCCTATAAAACGCAGCAGGAAGGTTTAGACAGGGAGGTCCATTTGACCTTAGCATTCCTAAGAATTTTCTCTACCAGCTGAGGGAGACTTCTTGAACTTTTTTTGAATGACGACTGCTTGAAAATGATATACTAAGCACAAGAGATACTTGGGGAAAATTGTTGAAATATTTAGGTTGGCAAATATTTGGCAAAACCTGCAATTACTTTTGCACCAACCTAAAACAACGTAGGAATCACATGAGTCACAGAAAGTTCAGAGAACTGACTCCAAGGACAGATGATCAAAATATGACATTCTAACAGATATATAAAAGACATAAGTCTATTTTAAAAAGAAAAGGATATCCTTGGTAACCTGGCTTGAAACTTCAAATGTCATTTATCTCTTGTCTTCTTCTTCAAAAAAAGGATTTTAAGCAGCTATATCTTAAACTTAGGGACAAGTGGCAGGCATCTACCCCAATTAATACTTACCATATTTGCATCAATGACCTGACCCTTGCCAGTGCGTGTGCGGTCAAAAAGAGCCATTATAATGCCCAGTGCACACATAAGGCCACCACCAGCAAAGTCAGCCAGGAGATTCAGCGGGGCATACGGATTCTCACCACTTCTGCCAATTTTTGAGAGAACACCTACATCATTAAAAACAAATTTAATGTCTCTTTTAAATTTAATCTCTTCTTAAAATAAATATGTGAGCATCTTAGAGGAATAATCAATCTCTCCAGCAGATAATCTAAGTGAAAGCTAGTATACATCACTTTTCCAAATCTGAGCTTAGTCAGTAAACTCATAAACAGGCTTTCCCTCAAGACAGGATCCTTGTTTTGTTGTTTTCCTCTCTAAAACCTATTCCAACCAACATTTTCAAATATTGCTAAGTTTTTACTCACTTACTTTTGGAAAAGAAAATGATTATTTATTTTGTGGTTTTAAAACAGTAAATGCACTTTCATTCTTAGCATAAAGAAATGTAAGAAAATACTTGCAGACAAGAAAAAAAAGGAATTTAATTTTTAAGTAGATGTGAAGAGACAATTCTATACCCACTTCTTTCCTCAACTTTTAAATGTGTACTCACAGAAAATCTGAAATGTCCTATAGTCAACAACACATGGTTCTTAGAATTCTGGAATCAGGCCTATCTCACATGTCGTCACAGGCAAAAACTCTAATAAAGTGATATTAGGACCTGAAAACCATGGGCTTTTTTTAGTGCTCATAGAAGTCTGAAACAATGACTCAGGCAATGATTCTCAATATGGTGGGTGGAGATTTCGGGGTCCGGGGGAGAAGTAGCTGTCAGAATCTAACTATGTCAACATTTTCAAACCACAGAGCAACCATCCGTAGTACCCAGTAAGCCTCTTAATTCCTAGCAGGGGTTTGTCTGAGAATTGACTCAACAAATGTAGTAAATAAATGATAGTAGTGGGCATGTATTAACCTTCCAACCTGTTAAGGGATGGGGTGAGGGAAGGTTGAGAATGATTGTTTCAAGACTCAAACCGATCCATTTTGAACACCCATGCTCTCTTGATTGATTCTGATAAATGTTTAAATTTTTACCTTTACAAATTATTGTTAATCAACATACCTGTAGATCTTGATGGAATAAATTAAAAGTGTAGACTAAATTTTTTTTCAACATACCTGACAAAGCCAAATAGTTGATATCGTGGCCAGCTAACCGGCAGAAGCTTCCTGACTGGCCAAATCCACTCAGCCTGGCATAAATAAGCCTTGGATTTTCCCGCTGCAGAATCTCTGGGCCCAGCTGGAGTTTCTCCATGACACCTTAAGAGAAAAGTAACGATCTTCTTAAGAGAGTATGAATTGAGGATGGAGATAATCCCTTCTCTGAGACAAACATAAAATAGCACCATTGCAAGTAATATTAATAACATTTGCTGTAGGCTAATGGCATGTTTACAGCAGTTAAGGACTCAAAGAGTGAAGCCACCATTTCTGGAATGTGTGGCTTCTTCCCAGGATGTAATTTCTCCCAGTACATCTCTGTTTCCCTCTAGGTTTATCCAAGCCTATTTATTCAATCCCCAGAGCAGGGTCTCATCCCTTTAGTAAATCCCTTTTCTCTTTTTCTATACCGCATCAGTGTTTACCACATCCCACCTTAGCTGCACTTGCTTGTACATGCATACACTTATCTTCCCTATCAGCTCATGAGCTCCTCCTGCAGAATTTACACCTGATGTTTCCACAGGCGCTAAAGTGCCTAGCATCAGTACCTTCACGAAAAAGTTTAGCACCCATCTGTAGAAAGAGTGGTTAGTGACAATAGCACCTGAGAGTTTTTAAGCTATCAACAAGTATAGTATTTATAGCACAAACCCCAGGTAACCAGCACCTGAAATTTCCTGGGATTAAAAGTAATCAAAATTACATAATAAACTCACTATCTTTACCTTCCTAAGGCTAAAATAAATCACAGAAAACCTCTAGTCATCTACCTAAACACCAGTCACAACTCCTCACCCGGAGGCTATATCCGTATTCCCAGCCGACCTTCCTCCTAATTACAAGACCTTGGACAAGCCTCCCTCATCTTAAATGGAGCATTCTTAAATTATTACATAATCTTAATTATTAAATCATTATTGTTACAAGCCTCAAATACAGCTGTGAGGGTTAAATGAGTTAACGCATTTAAATAAGCCGGCTGTGCCGTAGGCATTCATTCATTCACCATTTACCGATTTCCCACTATAGACCAGGCAATGCTTTGGATTTCTACTTGAACAAAGTTATTCTGGCAGCTGTCTGAGAATCCACTGGAGTGATACCAGCCCCAAACACCAGTTTTTAAAAGGCTGTCACACCAGTGTCAAGGCAGTTGCAGCAGGTATGGAGAGAAATAGTCCGAGTGGGCTAAGGAGCAAAATGACTGTATTGATGATCATTGAAATTGGATGTGAAAGGAAGACTGGAGTCCATGATGAAGTACAAGTTTGAGATTCAGGCATTCACTGAAATAAATAATACAGAAGGTGGAGATGCTGTTTTAGAAGGAAGAAGGAAAGGCTCATTTTGGGATTTGTGGAAGCTGCCTGGCGGGCAGCCTTGACGGCGATGCCCAGGACCTGTGTATGCCAGCGTCTGCCGCTCTGAAAGGGGGAAGTCTACAAAAAGGTGAAAATGATGGGAATGGGTAACTGGGCTTCAGGGAGCAGATGCTGAGACTTAGAACGCCAGCATTTCAGGCAGGGAGGAGCGTTAGCCTGGGCCCGTGGATGGCTTGAGGGTACAGCACTCCAAAACGGTAGCCGAATGACCGCCTATATGCAGTTTTCCAGGAAGGGAATCCTATGGCTTTCATTAGATTCTCACAGGGTTCAAGACCCTCAATTAATTAAGAAAGGCAAATACGGAACGTTTCTTAGAAAAAAAAGGAGGAATTTGGGAAGGAGTCAGAGAGGCAAAAGGAGAAACCGGGCAACAGCAGTATCTCAGAACCCAAGTTTTGGACAATCCAGTTTGGGAAGAATGATCACTAACAATACCCTAGGAGGCAAAAATCTGGAAGGCTGGGGCCGACAAGGGTTCTTGCGGCAACAGGGCAAAGGTGTGGCGGGTGCAGCCTCGATCGAACGGCCAGGCCCCTCCCCTCCGCGGGAACTTCCCGAGAGCAGCCCGCGGGGCCCGGGCTCACCGCGGCGGAAGGGCTCCAGCAGCACATCCGACCGCTTGCACAGACGCCGCAGCACGGCGGCTCCCCGCGGCTGCTTCAGGTCCAGCACTAGCGAGCGCTTGCCCCGGCCCAAGCGGCTCACGTCGTAGCGGGAGCCGGGCCGGTCCACGCGTACCACACGCGCCCCGAAGTCAGCCAGGACCATAGCACAGAACGGGCCCGGGGCCAGGCCGGACAGCTCCACGACCGAGATGCCCTGCAGTGCCATGGCGCTTCCCAGTGCCCCGCTGAAGGAAACTGAGCAGCCCTTAGCCCCAGCCCAGCAGCCTGCAAGAAGCCCTCCCAATCCCCGGCGCCACGCCCCCAGCCGCGGCGCCGCGCCCCAAAGGCACCACCCCCGTCCCTCTTTTGCGGGCCTGCGCAAGCCCGCGGAGTCTGCGCACTGGGCGCTTCCCCACCCCCGGCCTCCCGGGACCGCCAGTGCCAAATGCAGTAGGTTGCTTTCCTTTTTGTGCAACCTAAATTCCTGAGTCTTAAATTGCAGGGACTGACCTTTGGAGCTCCTGCCTGTTACCGTCCTCTCTGGACGCTTTTATTGTACCAGGGCGATCCCCAGCCCAACTGTACCATTCGAGTCCCTACTCCTGCCTTGCTCTAGGGAAATAAAATAACGTAAACACGTAAGAACAATGCGAAAGCGTTTTCTTCCCTAGGCTGCAGATTGTCTTCTTCACCGCCCCTGCTTAGCTAGCTAGCTAGCTGGGAATTTAATCCAGAAACGGCTTGCGATACCTCCTAGATGCACTCGTTTTGAGTTACAAACTCCGCGGATTACATGTCTTTTTAAAAAAGTTTAGACTACACTAGGAAAATTATTTTAGTATCAGAAGAATATCAGGGGTGTAGTACTCATCAGAGCTAAATGAGAGCGCTTTAAAAATGTTAGTTTGTCTTCCGCCATTTCTACAGAAAGCTGCAATTTCAGGTTTTCAACCTAATAGGTGATATTTAAGAAAAAAAAAAAGCAATCGCAAATAGCCCCACTGCTTTTACAAATCATTTTTTCTCTTCTAGGTATAGCCTGTCAGGTGGCCTAATGTAATTTTTGACATCTCTAGGAATTTTAATAGAACCAGAAATGGGTGCCAGAGATATGCCTGCACTAATCTTAAGTGGGGATTTATGTATTTCTCAAGCAAGTGATTAAAGCAAAACTAGGCACGATTGAAATCAAGATCTTTTAGGCAAGAAAGTCATGATGAGTTTTAGAATTATTTTAGGACTCTGTGGCTTTCTCTTCATAGAAATAGAAAAAAAAATTGTATAAAACCACAAAAGGTCCTGAATAGCCAAAGCAACACTGAACAAAAAGAACAAAGCAGGAAGCAACACACTACCAGAATTCAAATTATACTACCAAGGTGTAGTAACCAAAACAGCATTCTATTGGCATAAAATAGACACAAAGACCAATGGAACAGAATAAAGAACCCCAAAATAAATCCATATATTTACAGCCAGCTGATTATCAATAAAAACACCAAGAACATATATTAAGGACATTCTATTCAATAAGTAGTGCTGGAAAAACTGGAAATCCATATGCAGAAGAATGAAACTAGACCCCTATCCCTCACCATACACAAAAATCAACTCAGAATGGATTAAAAAACTTAAGACATACAACCCAAAACTATAAAACTACTATAAGAAAACAGATAAAACACTTCAGGACATTGACCTAGGCACAGATTTTATGACTAAGACTTCAAAAGCATAGGCAACAAAAACAAAAAATAGGCAAATGGGACTATATTAAACTAAAAATCTTCTGCACAACAGAAGAAACAACAGAATAAACAACTTATTGAATAGAAGAAAATATTTTGCAAATTATTCATCCAACAAGTGACTAATATGCAGACTATACAAGAAACTCAAACAACTCAACAGCAAAAAATGAAATAATCTCATTAAAAAGTGGGCACAGGATCTGAACAGACATTTCTCAAAAGGCATACAAATGGCCAACAGGTATATGAAAAAATGCTCAACATCACTAATCATCAGGGAAATGCAAATCAAAACCACAATGAGATATCATCTTACTTCAGTTAGACTGGCTATTATCAAAAAGACAAAAAATAACAAATGCTGGCAAAGACGCAGAGAAGAGGAACTTATATATACTGTTGGTAGGAATGTAAATTAGTTTAGCCATTATGGAAAACAGTATGGAGGTTTGTGAGAAAACTAAAAATAGAACTTCTATATGATCCAGCAGTCCCACTACTGGATATATGTCCAAAAGTATCGGGGGAACCCGCCCCCAATATTTCAACATAGGTTCTTTCTATTTTCCCTAAGTGTCGGCCAGTCTGAGAAATAAAGGGAAAGAGTACAAAGAGAAGAATTTTACAGCTGGGCCACCAGGGGTGACATCACATATTGGTAGGTCCGTGATGCCCACCTGAGCCGCAAAACCAGCAAGTTTTTATTAAGGATTTCAAAAGGGGAGGAGGTTTAAGAACAGGGAGTAGGTCACAAAGATCACATGCTTCAAAGGGCAAACAAGAAGAACAAAGATCACATGCTTCTGAGGCCAATAAAGATCACAAGGCAAAAGGCAAAATCAAAAACTCCTGATAAGGGTCTATGTTCAGCTGTGCACATATTGTCTTGATAAAAATCTTAAGAGAAATCAGTATGTCAAAGGAACACCTGTACCCACATGTTTATTGCAGCACTATTCACAATAGCCAAAATATGGAATCAACTTGAGTGTCCATTACTGGATGAATGGACAAAGAGAATGTGTACATATACACAATGAAATATTGTTTGGTCATAAAAAAAGGATGAAATCCTGTCATCTGCAGCAACATGGATGGAACTCGAGGTCATTATGTCAAGTGAAATAAACTAGACACAGAAAGAAAAGTATCACACGTTCTCACTCAGATGTGGGAGTTAAAAATTTAATCTCATAAAGAGTAGAATGATGGGGGGGCAGAGATGAAAAGAGATTGGATAATGGGTATGAACATGTAGTTAGAAGGAATAAATAATAGCTAAATAATAGTATTTGATGGCACAGTTGGGTGACTATAGTTAACAACAGTATATGGTATATTTCAAAATAGTGGCCAGATGCAGTGGCTCACACCTGTGATCCCAGCATTTTGGGGGGTTGATGCAGCAGGATCACTTGAGGCCAGAAGTTCGAAACCAGCCTGGGCAACACAGTGAGACCCCATCTCTACAAAAAACTTGAAAAATTGGTGAAACCCCGTCTTTACTGAAAATATGAAAATTAGCTGGGCATGGTGGTGCGCGTCTGTAATCCCAGCTACCAGGGAGGCTGAGACAGGAGAATCACTTGAACCAGGGAGGCGGAGCTTGCAGTGAGCTGAGATCGTGCCACTGCACTCCAGCCTGGGCGACAGAGCAAGACTCTGTCTTGAAAAAAAAAAAATCTTGAAAAGTTATCTGGATGTGGGGTACACCTATAAACCTACTAACTCATGAGGCTGAGGTCTGAGGATCACTTGGGCCCATGAGTTTGAGGCTTCAGTGAGCTATAATCACACCACTGCATTCCAGCTAGGGAGACAGAGTGAGATCCTATTCCAAAAAGAAAACAAAACAAAACAAAAAAACAAAAACAAACAAAAAGCTAGAAGAGAAGATTTGAAATGTTTCCAACACAAAACAATGATAAATGTTCTGGGTGATGAATATCCTAAAAACCCTGATTTGATCATTACACATTGTATGCATGTATCAAAATATCACATGTACTCCATAAATATGTACGAATATTATGTATTAATAATAAATCAATAAAAATTTATATGTTGAATCCCTAGCCGTCAATACCTCAGAATGTGACTGTATTTAGAGATAGAGCCAAAATGAAGTCATATGGGTGGGCCCTCATCCAATATGACTAATATTCAATCCTAGTATCTGTAGAAGAGGAGATTAGGACCAAAAAAACACAGACCTAAGGGAACCATGTGAGGACACAGTGAGATCAAGTGAGGACACTTGCTGTCTTCAAGCCAAGGAGAGAGGCTTCAGAAGAAATCAAACCTGCCAACATCTTGATCTTTTATCCTCCAGAACTGTGATAAATTAAACTTCTATTGTTTAAGCCAACCAGTCTGCGGTATTTCATTGCGGCAGCCTTAGTAAACGAATAACCCCTCTGCCCAAATTACAGATGAAGTCTCTAACGAGGTTCTCAGGTCACCTAATAGACTTCATTTTATATCTCAGAGAATTGCTTTAGCTATGGAACCATGCTTCTTAGATTCCGGGTTTATTTACCATAAATAATCCTTTGGCCAGGGATATCTTGTTAAGTGCATTCAGTCTTTCAATTCTCTTCCTCCTAGACAATATCATGCATCTATTTACACAAAATCCAGTTAATATGGAGATTCACTTGCCTTTTTCTTTCTCTTTCAGGGCATCCCTGTAGTAAGGGGGTAAATGCATCATCATGCAAGCTGCTTTTAAACTCCTTCCATAGCTAAAGTCTTCTTTAACTTTCACCTGTAGTGAGATTTCTTTGCCTCCCCCACCGCAGCATTCAAGAGGTAAACACAGCCAGGTGCGGTGGCTCATGCCTGTAATCCCAGCACTTTGGATGGCCGAGGTGAGTGGATCACTTACGGTCAGGAGTTTGAGACCAGTCTGGCCGACATGGTGAAACCCCATCTCTACCAAAAATACAAAAATTAGCTGGCCATGGTGGCCCCCGTAATCTACTCCAGAGGCTGAGGCAGGAGAATTGCTTGAAACCAGGATGTGGAGGTTGCAGTGAGATGAGATCATGCCACTGCACTCCAGCCTGGGTGACAGAGTGAGACTCAGTTTAAAAAAAAAAAAAAAAAAAAAGAGACAAACACTCCCATGACTTTGATGTATGTCCTACAGTCCATTATATCTATCTGCAGACATAGCTGTACTATTTATATACTATGTTTTGTTTTGTCAAAATGTTATTTTGTTTTTTATTTGATAAAGTATATTATATTGCATTTATTTTTCTAAACTACCTTACCACTCAATTTTATGTTAACTGGCTTCCCATTTCTACTACTTCCTCTTAGATCCATCAGGATTCTTGGCATAAATACAAAAAAAAAAGTTCACTGGAAGGATACCAAGTAGCTCATAGAATTGCTGGGAAAGCCAGAATTCAGGCAATTGGCAGGGCACAGAATAGTTTGAGCTGCTAGAGTCACATTCAAGGTTGCAGCATGAATGTCTGGTTAGGATGGAGAGTCTGCACAGAGACTCCACTCACCCCTGCCCTGCTGAACTCCTGCCAGCTGTGCAGGATTGGCACCAGCCTAAATCTGACCCAAATGGGCAGAGGGACTAACTTGAAGGGCTTCCCACTGACAATTAAGATGGAGCCTGTTAAACTAGAATAATGACTGTGGTGGATTAAAACACATCAAATACTATGAACATTCATGAGTTCACAATAATGGTTTTTAAAGCCTTCATTGATCCCTGCTGGAGATTGTTAGGGCACCAACTTTTTATTGTAAAAGTTGAATATTTATCTTGCCCTCCATATGAATGGTATTTCAGGATAACCAAATAGCTAATGAAAGAATATCTGTCTTTAAAACTTTCACTATTTGCAACCCCAAATGAAATAGCAGATTTCAGCTATAATCCTAAGTGGCTGCTGAAAACATTAGGCAAAAAGCTAAAGGGGGAAATGTCTTAGTCTCTTCAGCTGCTATAACAAATCACCATAGACTGGGTGACTTAAACAGACATTGATTTCTCACAGTTCTGGAGGCTGGAAAGTCCAAAATCGAGGTGCTGGCAGAGTCAGTTCTTGGTGAAGGCACTCTTTGTGGCTTCTTGTTATGTTCTCACAAGGTAGAGAGTGCGAGGGAGAGAAAGAGAGAGGCAAGCTCTCTCTCATGTCCCATGAAGACACTAATCCCATCATGAGGACCCCACCCTCCTGACCTAATCACATCCTGTATTAGTCCGTTCTCACACTGCTATGAAGAAATACCTGAGACTGGGTGATTTATAAAGGAAAGAGGTTTGACTCACAGTTCAGCATGGCTGGGGAGGCTTCAAGAAACTATCATGGCTCAAGGTGAAAGGGAATCAAGGCACTTCTTCACAAGGCAGCAGGAAGGAGAAAAGCTAGCAGGGGATATGCCAGGTGCTTATAAAACCATCCGATCTTGTCAGAACTCTCTCAGTATCATGAGAACAGCATGGGGAAAACTGCCCCTGTGATCCAATTACTTCCCACTGGGTCCCTCCCACAAAACATGCAGATTATGGGAACTACGATTCAAGATGAGATTTTTTGGGTGGGGACACAGCCAAACCATATCACCTCCCAAAGGCCCCATCACCAAATACCATTACACTGGGGATTAGGGTTTCCATATGTGAATTTTGGGGAGATACAAACATTCAGTCCATAGCAGGGAACTTATAATGTATAAATCTGGCTTTGACATCCTGAATCCACTGATAACTTTAATATCAATATAATAGGGCACTATGTACCTCCCTGTATGATGCAATGGACAGAACCACATATGAAGTTTTTCTGCAAAAATCTGAAGCCTAAATTTAATCAAGGCATCTTATTCATCTACTTATAGGAAATATAGAGGATAGAGGATAAACCAAAGGATATAATTGGCAAAATCCACAATGTTAGAAAGTAAATGATAAATAAGCAAGAAATTATTGCCCATTTAAAAAGACTTAGATACATCAATCGAATGTAATATACAAATATTGTTTGAAATCCTGATTTAACCAAACATACAGTAGGAAGGTATTTGTAAGACAATTGGGATATTGTTAAACACTGACTGGATACTTGATAATATTAAGAATTTTTTTCCTTTTGAGTTTATAATTTTTTTTTTTGTGGTTATCATCTTGTTTTTTTTCTTTTTCTTTTTAAATAGAGCCAGTCTCAAATTCCTAGGCTCAAGCGATCCACCTGTCTTAGCCTCCCAAAGTGCTGGGATGACAGGCATGAGTCACCTCGCCCAGCCCATGTTTTCTTTTTATGGTTATATTTTTTTAAACTAATCTCTCTGAGATACATGCTGAAGTGTTATAGGCCTTGAAAGCTAATCAAGGAACTTATAATTTCTGACCAACTGGATTTAAGAATTGCTATGAATCTTTGGCCTTTGTCACTCTCATTCCCTTCTTTTTTGAATAGAAACTTTTACACCTGTTATATGTATTTTCCTGTCCTACTATTTTATTAGATGTGGGGGGCCAATAACTTTTCTTTTTTGTTTCACAGGTTAGCAGATCAAAAGTAACTGTACTCGAGGAGCTGGACTGAAGAATTACTTCCAAAAAGCCTCACCCATATCTGGACATGATGCAGAAGATGAAATTCTAGACTTTGAGATGATGCTATGATGATGATGTGAGACCTCTGAGGACCTTGCAAGAAAATGACTGTATTTTGCATGTGGGAATTATTTGAGTCATTAGGGGCTGGAGGGCAATCTAAGGTTAACTTTAAGATGGCCCAATTGATCCCCTCCTCCTGGAATTCATGGCCTTGTGAAACCCCCTCCCTTTGAGTTTGGGCTGGCCTGGTGACTTGCTTCCAACCAACAGAATACCACAAGGTGATGGGATGTCACTTCCATGATTAAGTTCTAAGCTGTTGTGGCTTTTGTCTTGCTAGCAGACTTTCTGCATCATATTCTCAGTTTCCATGCTTTGATGAAGTTAGCAGTTCATTGGACAAGCCCATATCATAATGAGCTGAGGGTGGCTTCCAGACAATGGCTAGCAAAGAACTGAGGCCCTCAACCCAACACCCTCAACAAATGGAGTTTTGCCAGCAACACTAGGGAGCACGGAAGCAGAGCCTTCTCTAGTTGAGCTTTCAGATGAGCCAGCCCTCGTTGATGACGGTAGACCTGTGAGAGCTTCTGAAGCAAAGAATCTGCCTGAGCCATGCCTGGACTCTTGACCCACACAAACCATAAAACAACGAATGTGTGCTATTTTAAGCTGTTAGTTTGTGGTCGTTATGTATCACTAAATAATTAAAACATGCAGTAACTAATTTCTCTTTTAACAATTCTTTGAGGTACATGCTAGCAGACAACCCAATTTTACAAGCGAGGAAACTCAGGCACAGACATTGAGTAACTTGCCCAAAGTAACTCATTTATGCCAAGAGGGGAGAGACTTCTTTCTTATTCCACAATATTGCTGTGACACTAAAGAGTCAAAATGAGTGACAGTGGGTGTGTTTTGTGGGGTTTCTGCAGGGGAAATAAGGGTAGAGAGTATTTTTAAGGCATTCTGCAAAGCATGGTGTTGCTATGTCCATTCCACTGGATTAACACTTACCATCCAAACAGGGGTTGTGCCTCCTTACCTTGCACTGTCCAATAAACATTTGGAGAAGAAATTGTGCGGGGGTGGTGGGGAGAGGGTGGGATGTATGTTCAGCATTAGCTAGCTGTGAAAGTTGCAGATACCAGGATGAAATCACTTTCATCAGACCCAGACAAAATAGAGCTGGTAAAGCCCGAAAAAGAGGATGCTCGTGCTTATATGTCTGAGATAAGAAAAACCGTTTCCAAGAACTTTCTAAAAACCCTTTGGTTTATGACTAGACATTCTCCAGGACTGCAATAATTCAGAGATGATGTTCTCAAGAACACTTGCCCACTAACAGCGTCTCCATCCATAAACTGCTAACAACTCTGGCTTTCAACCTCTAGGACCAACGAACTCTGTTTCTAAGCAGCTTATGTAAACCTTTTTTGCTAACAAAAGTTCCCCTTCCCCTTGCCTCACCAAATGTACTCATGGTTTGCCATTCCATGCATTCAGATTATAATACTTATTTCTATTACCAAGTAAAGCCAACATATTTAATTTTTTTCTAGTGTCTTTTTTTGTAAGGTTGACATAATCAATGCTTGTCTTTAAAAGAAAAAAAATGGGAGCACCTCAAAGCCTCCCATTTTCAGCAGATTGATTTTCCTAAAACTTAGCCCTGGTTACATCAAAATATTGATCACAATTTAACAGTGATTCTTTAGCTGCTAATTTAAGTGTAGGTCTCACCTTGGCATTGAAAGCCTATGGCATTCCTTCTGTCTCCCTTTCTAGCCGTACCTGCTTTAACGCTGTATCAGCAATTCATTCCAGGCTGACTGCACACTATGCTGTTGCATACAAAGAGCTTGCAATTTCCCTGCCTCTTTTTTTTTCCAAACTGTTTTTCATTGCATAGAACACTTTGTCTCCCATCCTCATGAATCACAATCCTACCTATCTGCAGCATTTCTAGCATTCTCAAATATTGCTAGTAGAAGTGCAGATTTCTTGGAGGACAACTTGACAATATTTATTGGCAATGTTGAACCTTACCTGAGCCCCGTGTTTTTGGAAAGGAACTTTAAAAATCCTCCTTCCCTTTTGTTCTGGGAAATGGCTTGCTGCAAACAATCATGCTTTCTCTTATGACTTAAAACTTTCTTGTTTACATAGAACATGACCAGGCACAGACCCTCTAAATTCCCACTTTTTTTGTCTTATAAATAGCTGAAGTGTTCGTTGAACTGTTCGATCTGGGCAAAATGCAAACTAACTTGACTTGACCAAAGTTTAGTAAGGCTTTTCCCCTTTGCCCAGGTACCTAAACTTTGGCCCACTTTGGGCACTGGAACATGGAGCCATGTTAAAGTTAGAGGCCCCTCCTTCAGGGAACTGGCTGAACTCAGGAAAAAGTGTTCCCTAGTCAATGTCCCATCATACCTGTCACCCATCCCATCCCCTGCACCCAGTTCTTGTTTACTTCTCTCCATAAAAGAAAGCCTATTTGTGTTTGTCCTCTGAGCTACAGATCTCATAGATCTCAGAGCCTTTTCCCTATTGTCGTAGTCACCTTCCCCTTATGGCAATAATCCTTTTGAATAAAGTCCCTCCTTACATAAGTTTAAGCTATTTTTTTTTTTTAAATGTGACATTATTAACAGCTTTTAAAATGTCTAGGCTTTTTTACCAAATAATCTCACTTCTGGAAATTTAATCAAAGGAAATAATTATATGCACACATAGTTTATTTTTTTAAAAAGAGAATGCTCATGACATATTATTTGTAATAAAAAAAAAATAATATTTTCCAAAACAGGAAAGTTAAATAAATTATGCAGTCATTAAAATTATGTTTTCAAATTGTCCTTAGTAGCATTTGAGAGTGTTCTTAATATGTTTAGTCCAACCCATTAGAGCAAGATACAAAAATATATAAAAAGCTAATTTCAAATTATTTTATTACTATATTTAAAAATAAAAGCCATAAATACATGCAGGAAAAGACTGAAATAAACACTTTAAAATAGTAATATTATTTAATATTTGATGGGATGATTAATTTTATACTAAATATTTTGGGGAATTTTATAAATTTTCTATAGTGAGTTTTTTAAATAAAAATATATATATTTAAATATAACACTTCAAACATACCAAAGCAAGAAATTGTCTCTGGCCATCAGATATTATCTTTTCCACAAGCTTTTCTTATGCTCTCAGCTAGATACTGTTTCTCTCTCCTGTGAATTCCTAGCCCTTTGCCTTCTATGGCTGTAAAAACATTCTACTTTATGTTTTGTTATCCATGTACTTATTCCCTTTAGCCTATTGTCCTCTACTAGGTTGAAAAATTAGGGAAGGTAAGAATTGTACTTTAAATGCCATAGGAGTGCCTGGAATAGCACAGTATCTTGCATAAAGTAAATGTTTATGAATTCCAGCCACATCATTTGGAGTTTACATTTGCATATTCCATCCTCTGAATTATTTTTTTACATTTTAATTTTGACTTCAGCTTTTATTCATGATACAATCAATAAAATTCCTTCAATATAATCTCTTTGTTGTCCAAGGGTCAAATATAATGTTTTCTACACTGGAAAATTACCAAGGCTGATCATTATGTGAAACAGTTCTACACCATATTACATCCCTGAAGCAAGCAGAAACTCAAGTGCTTCGTTTGCAGAGTTGTTTTAAGATTTAGAATTTGCGGCTGGGTGCGGGGGCTCACGCCTGTAATCCCAGCACTTTGGAAGACCGAGGCAGGCAGATCACCTGAGGTCAGGAGTTCCAGACCGGCCTGGTCAACATGGTGAAACCCCATCTCTATTAGAAACATTAAAAATTAGCTGGTCCTGGTGGTGGGCGCCTGTAGTCCCAGCTACTCAGGAGGCTGAGGTAGGAGAGTCACTTGAACCCAGGAGGCGGAGGCTGCGGTGAGCTGAGATCATGCCACTGCACTCCAGCCTGGGCAGCAGCGTGAAACTGTCTCAAAAAAAAAAAAGATTTAGAATTTGCAAGTTTGTTTATTAGATGGTACATGTAAATTTCCTATGACACCTACCTACTGTTTCCTTTTTAGCATCTCAGTTTTGGGACACTTGTGAAATCAGTCTTCCAAGTATATTTCTGGTCATGGGTAAATTGTGAAGGCATTGGAAATTATCTGCACCTTTTCCCATCTCTGTTGTGAATCAATTTCCCACACACCTGGGACTTGTTGCCTACAACCAAACCTTGTGTGTCACTAAGGTGAAAACTTAGAATTTAAGCATGAACATTACAAAGACTTAAGGTATGTGATAAAAAACCTCTTTCCTTACAGGTATTCAGATTTTATTTGTGAGCCCTCTAAACATCAATGTCTTAAAGGGTTGACATTATAACAATGGAATAACTGAAAAGCGAAGTTTTCTGAAGTCATATGACCCTGCTGTGTGCCCAAGTCACCTATTCACATGGCTGTTCACATCATCTGCATGAAAATATTTTCACTTTCTGTTAACCATAGTGATTTACAATTCTATGACTATTAAAGTTTATTAAACACAAGTTTAGAAAGTATCTTTAACAAAGGTGTGTTTATTTCCATATATTGCTCATTACATTTTTCTTGCCACAGTTTTATCTAAAGCCAGGTCAAAATCTTTCTCTAAGGTATTTATTAATAGTGTATGTTCTTCAGATATAAAATCCCTCTGGTCAACATGCAACATTTGAATATCTATTGGCACTGTACCTCTATGAGATATTTATGACATTTGTTAATAGTGAACCTCAACCTCCTGACCCCACATCCGAAGTTGGGGGCGATGTGGGGGAACATACACAAAATTACAACCACATTACTGGTCAAGCACTTTATAGCTAAAATCTATTGACTTTAAAATAGCATTGTATGTGAATTCAGAGTTTTAATGTATTTTGTGGATCAAAAGGAAAGGGTCAAAGGCTAAGCTGAACACGGAGGGCACTAAATTAGCTAATAAGGCAGCTAGTGCCCCTGTTCTTGCCCCAGCCCTGTCATATCACTACATCCGATTCTCTCAAATGTTATAAAGAATAATGAACTTAAAACTTCAGGGGTTCCTGAAAACTGGTATTAAATTAAAAGCAGAGTAGTCAAAATTCTTTGCAAATGACTTCTGTGATAGAAAAAAATATTTCCAACCTGCGTCAGAGGAGAATTATCTTTTAGGTGCCAAGGAAAGAGTGATAAAGATGCTGAGTATATTAGTCAAGGTCATCTGAGAAGACTATTTTGTGGTTGATTCTTCTGAGCCCCTGAATTGTCCAACATTATTGGTGTACCTGTAGCGTGAACAACATTGCAACCAATAATTTTTTGAATACAGCAATGTAAAACCCTCAACTTTAATGTTCCTCAGATCGTAACAAATCAGCTCAGCTACAAGTCTTCCCCAAAGTGGAGCTATTCTAGTCATATATTTACTTAGTTTCAAAGAGCAGGAATCCTGCAAAGGTGGAGAAGCGTTGGTGGTCCCCATGGAGAGCGCCATTGCCCATTCGCAGCCAAACCTCATCCCCTTTGGCTAGCTTCAGCACAGCATGATTGCTGGATGTATCTGATTTGCCCTTCATTTCATAGCTGGAAAGAAAAAGAGGAACAAACTACTTAGTTTTTGCCATGAACAACCAGCTCTTCACCAAAGTCTGTGCTCCCCTTCTCTCCTTCCCACAGGTATAATCCTGCGGCTAAGTTCTCTAAACAGCCTGTGAGCAGAAATGACCTATGTACCACTTCTAAAGCTGGCTAGTAACACTCTCACAAAACCCCTCCCTGCTCCTTCTTATGACTGTCTGGAATGTTCATGACAATGACCAGAATGATCTTAGAAGCCATATGTTGAATACTGGGTTCTTGGAGACCATGTGGAAAAGAGCTCTCTCTCTTCTCTGCTCCAACCTGGAACAACCTTGGGCTGTTTGATGAGAAGGAAAGAAAGTTATATTATGTTTGAGCTATTCCACTGGGTTTTTGTTACAGTAATTTAGCTTCCCCTAACCAAGCTAGAATTTGGTACAAAAGGAGGCTGCTCCGCAACCCAAATAAAAATAGGCTTGCACTGGCTCATGGTCAGGCAAGGAGCAATGGGGAAACAAATATCATGGTCTGGGAAAGCAGAAGATCCATGTTACACTGTGCAAAAACATTTGGAAAATGTGATAACTTGGAAGACAGATCTAATGCCTGTAGGGTAAGAAAGGGAAGTGACTGGAAAAAGCCAAAGTACTCTTTGCTGCTTTTAGAAAGATGTTGCTACCAAAGATGAGTTAGGCAAAAACTGACTTGTTTGAAGAAAAGGAAGTAAATAATGTCTACGTGATTAGGGCCTAACAAGGTTAAAAAAGCCAGGTGTCTTTATATCTGGAAGAGCAGTGATAAAGTTGATGTTTTTTCCTTAAGACTACTCATTCAGCAGCCATAAAAAAGAATGAGTTCATGCCCTTTGCAGGGACATGCATGAAGCTGTAAGTCATCATTCTCAGCAAACTAACAAACACAGGAACAGAAAACCAAACACCGCATATTCTCACTCATAAGTGGGAGTTGAACAATGAGAACACATGGACACATGGAGGGGAACATCACACACCAGGACCTGTGGCAGGGTGAGGGGAAAGGGGAGGGAGAGCATTAGGACAAATAACTAACACATGCAGGGTTTGAAACCTAGATGATGAGTTGATAGGTGCAGCAAACCACCATGGCACATGTATACCTGTGTAACAAACCTGCACATTCTGCACATGTATCCTGGAACTTAAAGTAAAATCATAATAAAAAAAGACTACTCATTCAATCAAGTAGACACAGCTGTGGCACAATCTGATGGATTAAAAATATTGCCTTTCTGCCCAAATCGATTGCTTTAGAAGGCCTCAGGGTAACTCCATTAACTTGAGAGAAAGGCATGAAGACAAGGAATAGCAGGCTGAAAACTGTCAAGAAAAGTATATGGAGTGTGGTTTAGTAACACATGTAACTGACTTCACTTAATCTATTTAACAAATGAAGTAAAAGCCAGCTAAGTAAATAGAGTAAAATCGAGTAAAAAACAGAGTAAAAGCCTGCCAAGTAAGTTTCTGAGGAAATGGGTTTGCCAGAGACACAAAACCAGACTCCAGAGGCTTGGGCTGTTTGACTCAGCTTTCAAATTTGCACCAGCAGGAAGTGGGCTGTGAGAGAGCCTCGAGGAGGCCCTGCTCACCTTTCAGATGTGCCACAGAGAAAAGCAGATAAAGAAGACCCTCCTAGAGGACAGAACCAGGAGCCAAAGAGAAAAACAGCCAACAAACCAATCTGATAAAAAGGACTACTCATTGACTGACTCAGGGCTTTGAGCTGGATGCATTATTTGTGCTTCACAGGCTGTCTCCCATAGGGACAGGGAGATGGGGAGACATGTATTGTAAGTGTAGGAAGAAGAATTCAGCAGATATTTGGAAGCCAGTGGGCAGAGAAGGTTAGCTGTTCACCAGAATCCCCTTTCTTCTGTTCCATTGGCACTGCAATTCCATGTCACCTTTGCATTTGTTGGGTGGAAAACAATGTGACTAAGTTCTCTGAACAGAATTCCTGATCCATAAATATTTCCACAAGCTTGCAACAGCAAGCTTTTCTCCTTCTGACTCTGGCAATGACAATGACCAGAGAGAATTTCAAAGTCAGTTTTTTTGTTTGTTTGTTTGTTTGTTTTTTGTTTTGTTTTGTTTTTGAGATGGAGTCTCGCTCTGTCGCCCAGGCTGGAGTGCAGTGGCGCAATCTCAGCTTACTGCAAGTTCCGCCTCCTGGGTTCATGCCATTCTCCTGCCTCAGCCTCCCGAGTAGCTGGGACTACAGGCGCCTGCCACCATGCCCGGGTAATTTTTTGTATTTTTAGTAGAGACGGGGTTTCACCGTGTTAGCCAGGATGGTCTCGATCTCCAGACCTCGTGATCTGTCCACCTCGGCCTCCCAAAGTGCTGGGATTACAGGCGTGAGCCACCGCGCCTGGCTCAAAGTCAGTTTTATAGACAGCAGAGCTGCTTTCATCAGCCTGGCTTCCTCAAAAAACAGGAAGAATAAACCCACTCCCAACCTGCACCTCTCCTACAACCCCTCATTCTTTCTCAACCTGGAACTCTTGCCCTGGACTGGTGAAGAAAAATCAACTTCTAGCATGTTAGAGTAACTGGATCTCTTACTTGCAACAATTTCACCTACCCTAACTCATCTTCCTGTCTTTTGGCATTTCAAATACATCTTCCCACTCAGGTAAGGAAGGCTCCAGAAGTAAACACAGCAATTATCACACATCATCAAAAATAACAGGGAAATGATAACAGCCACAAAGTTTTTCATAGATAACTCATGGCCCTTTTAATTGTAAGAAAGGTGTCGGCTCTCTGCCTCTTTGCCACATTCCAAGCTAACATCAGAGGGCATGGGAGAATGGGAAAGCAGAAAAAGGGGCAGAGAGAGAGGAGAAAAATAATGAGTTATAAAAATAATCCAAATGACTGGTTATTGGGAGTGCTGCTAGTAATTAATGCAAGGCCTCTTATCAACCTGCTGATGCTCAAGTTCATCAGATTTACTTTTTCCCAAACAATAATGATGATAATGTGGCCATACTGGTGCATGAGGGCTCTTATTAAGGATAGGGGCCATGTCAGGCTCTATTGACTCCTATACGCTTCCCTGTCATTAGGCATTCCTTGAACAAACAATGGCAGCATGGATGAGACCCATGACAGAAAAGACCACCCACCTGTACATGCTGAAGACTGTGTTGCCATTGTGCATAAGGTACACATACACTTCCTCAACATCCTCATGCTTCATCATGCTGAAGGTGAAGAAATACACACCTGAAAAAAGCAGGTATATATCCATGTTGATATTAACATGTTATACATTGAGGACCTGGAGATACCTGGAGATTTGCCAACTGCCTTCACATGTCTTTTATTGATATTCTTTGTAGTATGGTGTCTCTCCTTGGCCTTAATTTGCAGGAATGTCCCTATATCTACTCCCCTTCCAAGTGCTTTCAATGTGTACACTGTGTATCCCGAATAAGACTTAAAAGTCTTTAAGGGAAGGAGCCTACCTCATTTTAACTGTATCTCACTGCCTTGTACCCTGACAAAGTGCTTAGGGCAAAGTAGGCGTTGTTCCTGGGCATAGGTTAGCGATCATCCTCATGTACCACAGAACTCGTGTTACCAAGGTGCAGAGATGTTTGTGGTTGAACAACGATGCTCCATGACTTAAGAAAATGAGCAACTATTACAATATAACAGATGATTAAACTCACCAAAGGGATTAGCCAAAGATGAGGAAATCCTGGAGCACAGAACAAATGTTTATGAGTTCTAAAGAAATGGTTCTGGTAATTTCTCATGCTATACCTTGTATGTTGGTGAAATTATGTACAATAAACAGAAAGACCCAACTTAGACTCAGCAACAGGACCTTGTCACTAAAAGTCTGTATCCTCTTCATTTGGAAAAGACCAACATATATTTTAAAAGATTTGAGTTTTTTAATAAGAGCCTAGGGCTCCTAATTGAAAGCAATATAATATGACCTAATATACTCTAAATGCCAGCACACAAGATACTTTCACTGAATGATTAAGAAGAATCCAATAGCACACAGACAAGACAAAAGGAAAATTTTTCAAACTCTAAATGATATGGGATTTTGGTGTGCATTTTGGAAAGGTGAATGAACATAAGTCATCAAACTCTTACTGATTTCCATGTTACATTTTAAACTAATGGCCTTTCAAGACAATAACCCAGAAATAGCTTTAATAGAAGATAGTTCTATTTCTTTCTCAAAGGGCAATCAAGTAAGATGAAAGTTGTAAGGGTGCCATGTCAATTCACCTGATTCTAAGTCAAATTAAACAAAGAAGTATGATGATGCTTTGTCTAGTGCCAGGAATGCATATTCAATGTTCTGGGAACAAAGGAAATGGCCTAAAAGTTTATCATGCCTATTCATATGCCTAGAGATTGGCCCACAGAGGAAAAGTAAAGGCAGATAAAAATTAAAAGCCTCAAGGAAAATAGTTTATATGTGTTTAGTTTTTCACATTTTACAAAATTTCCTATTAGACACATACACACACATAATTTTCAATGCCTCAAGAAGATAAAGCTGAAATCAAAATGACAGGAAAATATACTAGTTTTTCTTACAAAATGATGACTACTATTAAAAATAGGTTGCAAAAACATGTTAGAAAGAGGAGACTAAAACACCAGATGGTGAATAAATGAAATGCCTGGAGTTGGAAATACCGAAGTGAGTATGTATTATACCCACATGTGGCTTTCCTGCAAGGGAAGGTACTGAAACCAGAGGAGACACATTTGCACTACGGTTTGGAGGTCTTTGTGTTGCTGTAATTTCAAAAACCAGCCTTCTCCGTCTCTTCACTCCCAAAGTTGAAAAGGACAAAATGGTCTTTTTGCAATCTATTGCAAAAATGGAGACTGAAACAGAAAACTGTGAGAGTCAAATGACAGTTGGTATCACTAGAAGCTGAACGTCTGGCCCAAGAGAGCTCTAAAAAATTAAATCCTTACTTAGGCTTCAATTATAAAGCCATTTAATTCCATGGAAATGTGGACTAGGTATTTCTAGGCATTAATGTAATCTGTGGCATAGATAGCATTTAACAGAATAGTTGTAAGAAAATTATGACATAAACCTTCAGAGCAGAAAATCACACAAGAACATTTAAAGATGATTTTCATGACATTAAAGTGTGATGAAAGATTGCTTCTATCATTTCATATCTCAGTTCATTTCTGACTTAAACTGAGTAGAAAAAATAAATCAAGGTGCACTTAAAAGCATTTGTGAAAATCTGACAGGGCCACTGCCTCCATCAGAAGTTGCTTCCTTTTAATTCTGGATACCATATAGAGAAATGAGTAGAATTGAAAAACAAAAACCAAATAAATATCCACGTTCTGCAACGCTAGGAGACTGGAAGAAAATCAATGAACTTCAAAAATACCTGTAAGTGCTGCCAAATGCCCCTGAGGGTGGACAGAGTCATGTGGAGATAACACGAGGTTGGGCCAGGCTCTGAGGAGGCCAGGTGGCAGCAGGTGTCACACAGTGCCAGGAGAAATGCACTCCCTGATAGTGAGGGCCACGTGGAAGAGCAATGCTGAAAACAAGTCCCTGTGAACAGGGCTGAGCGGAAGCAAGGCTGTGTTTGGGGTGATGGTTGCTAGATACAGTGTAGGATGTGGAAAGAGGACCTGCAGTGGCCAATCTCAAAATCTGCCAGCAAAAAAAAAAAAAAAAAGAAAAGAAAAGAAAAGAAAGAAAAAAAAAGTCTCCTGAAGGCAAGGGAACCAGGAAGTATAAGGCTGGCTTCAGAAGCTTTCATGGACCCGGTGCAGTCTGGAGAGGTAGTGGAAGTGTGACCAAGAAAAACGCACATTAGGGCCATACTTAAAAGAATCCGTTAGTCCCCTGGCAGCAGGGGAGGGAGCCTTTGAGTTATCCAGTCTAGAAACTGCCCTGGTCCTTTCTTCACCAAGAAACTAGAGCATACGGCTGGTCTAGGAAAATTAAACTCATTCAACCCTCAGTTAATTTTTTAAAGTAGAAAAGAAAAGCAAAAATGACCCTAATGGATTAACAATACTCTCCAAGAAAAAATGTTGTCATGTAGTAGATGAAAAATGTAGCCATGAATTTATACTAATAAAGCAAATACCTCTATAAAAGAACATTATAGAACAAAAGGCGTGAACCCATGGTAGAAATGGCCAGACAATAAATGGAATGAAAAGCTGAGGGCATCAGAAAAACCTGGTGAGATCTGAATGAAGTCCATAATTTAGTCATAGTATTGTACCTAGGTTCATTATTTATTTTTATAATTGCACTTTGGTTATTTAAAATGTTAATAGTAGTGGAAGATGGTTAAACAAAATATGAGAACTTTGTATAATATTTTCATAACTCTCCTATAAGTCTAAAATTAATTCAAAGTAAAAAGTTTGTAAAGTGGGATTTTCTATTTATCAACTATCCAGAAACTTGAAAGCACATTTTGTTGATAAGGCTATCAGGAAATAAGTGCTTTCATATCTTGACAATTTAAGTATATTGGTACAACCCTTACAGGGAGCAATTTGGCAAAATTGATAAAAATTATGGATATGTTTATACTGATAATATTCCTAAAACTTTAGCCTACAGATATACCTGTAAGTGATCAATTACAAAGTGGTATATTCTTGCTGGCATGGTGGCTTACACCTGTAATTCCAGCACTTTGGGAGGCTGAGGCAGGTGGATCACTTCAGGCCAGGAATTTCAGACCAGCCTGGCCAACATGGTAAAGCCCGTCTCTACTAAAACTACAAAAATTAGCCAGGTGTGGTGGCCTGGGTCTGCAGTCCCAGCTACTCAGGAGGCTGAGTGGGGAGGATCGCTTGAGCTTGGCAGGCAGAGGTGGCAGAAGTTGCAGTGGGCTGAGATGGTGCCACTGCACTCCAGGCTGGTTGATAGAGACCCTGTCTAGAAACAAACAAACAAAAAAAATCCACCACCACCAAAAAAAAAAAAAAAAAAAAGCAAACTGGAAACAACCCAAATGTCCAGAAATAAGGGAATTCATTAAATATACTTTGGTACATTCAGCTACAAGAAAGAAGATGAAGTAATGACGTGAAAAGATTTCTAAAATATATTGTTAGTTTTTTTTTTTAAAGCAAGACACAATCAGAATGTAGAGTGTCCTAGCTTTTATTTAGAAATATGAGAAGATATATTTGTATTCATTTGCATAAACAAGCTCTTTTTTTTTTTGAGACGGAGTCTCGCTCTGTCGCCCAGGCTGGAGTGCAGTCGCGCGATCTCCGCTCACTGCAAGCTCCGCCTCCCGGGTTCAACCCATTCTCCTGCCTCAGCCTCCTGAGTAGCTGGGACTACAGGCGCCCGCCACCACGCCCGGCTAATATTTTGTATTTTTAGTAAAGACGGGGTTTCACCATGTCAGCCAGGATAGTCTCTATCTACTGACCTCGTGATCCGCCTGCTTCGGCCTTCCAGAGTGCTGGGATTACAGGCATGAGCCACCGCGCCGGGCCTTAACTTTTTAAATAAGTAAATGTATTACCTGCTCAATTTCTTTTAATTAAAAAAATAGGATCAGGCACTCCTTGAGGTGGTGGCAGGGGGAGGAAACAGTTATGACACATTTAAACTGAGAATTATGTTTTAAGGACTTTTAAAGTCAGAGGTAAGTATGTCCTCTTAAGAATTATTTAGCTCAGTCTAAATCAGAGTTAATAATATTAATGACTATGGCCATATTTTAAAAACTATTTTTGTCTTTTCAGATTCTAATTCGTTTACTTTGAAATCCAACAGAAATCTAAATGAGCTGTTTGGTTTAACGTGAATCAGAAAAAAAATAACTACCTTAATGTCATTCTTTATTTCCTACTCCCTTCCTCCTTCTTTCTCTCCCTCCCTTTCTCCGTCCCTCCCTCTCTTCTTTCCTTCCTTCCTTAATTGTCTTTATTATTACATTGATTAACTCAATCTTCATCCTATGTTTCCATCTCACCTGATACTGGGGCCCCAAATCTACCAGTCATGACATCAAAGAAGTTTCCAATGTTGGTCTCAACACTGCTGAAGATAATCCCACTGTTCTGATTGCTGAAGTGGGTTGCCAGAGAAGCCATGAATGCAATCTAAGGAAAGAATTATTGGTCAATAAATAGGCAATTTATCTTAAAGAAGTCAAGTTTTTATGCAGATTAGTTTGTTAAACATTATACATAACAGCAAGATTGGGAATAAACATCAATCTATGGAGAGAGAAACAAATAAATTATGGTAATTCCAACATTTGAATGCTATGCAGCCATTAGATTGACAATGTCTATCAACAGTTCTGAACATAGGTTTCAAAGATTATTTGTCTTTCAAATGATTTTTGAAATACTAAAATTCTGTTATCAAATAATACCAGAAAATTTTATATGAAATTTTCCACTTATAGCCGAGAAATGCACATTAGCAAATTCAAGGACCTGAGAAACCCTATAGCCAAACATTTTAATTTTGGTAACCCTGCATTATTTTTTCCCGAAAAGATACCTATTAATTTCTTTTTTTTTTTTTCTTTATAGAGACGAGGTCTCACTATGTTGCCTAGGCTGGTCTCAAACTCCTAGGCTCAAGAGATCCACCTTCCTCGGCCTCCCAAAGTGCTGGGATTATAGGCGTGAGCCATGGTGCCTAGCCTATTAATTTCTAATGAAATTAATTCTTTGAATACACTTTGAGAATTCTTGATGCTGATCTAAATGTGCATCTGTATAAAAGGAGAAAATATCTTCAATACACTGTTTACCCAAAAAGTAGACAACACAAGATCATTATTATCTGATACCAGCCTTTATTAACTGTGTCTGTGTGGATGGAGTCATTGTGTGGGCAATTCAGAAAAATATCTGCAAGAATATTCTTGAAATTATTAATAGCAGGTCTTTCTTGGTAGAAGTTTCATGGGAAAGTTTTCCTTTCTTCATTACACTTATAATTTTCAAGTTAGCATGTATTAATTTTATATTCAGAAAAAAGATACTAATTTTAAAGCTATAGGATTGTATTTATTTATATGAACAGACATTTAGGATAGATTGTCATTCATGAAATAAAGTAATAATATGTATATATGTTCCCATCATATTTAAAAGTAACATGTATATAAGTATGCATAAATCTGAAAAGTTACATAACTGTATGTTAACAGTAATCATCTCTTGGCATGTTTTATTATTTTTGGCCCAGAACTTTTCTAATTTTTTTTAACAGTGAAAAGATATTACGTAAATAACCTTGAAAAGGTAAAAAGGAGTGTTTGCAGTTATCTAAAATATAGAAAAATGGTTTACTAAAATTAGCAATCTTTTTGAATATTAGAACAGCAAAAATTTCTCAGCATGATTTTGGATGAAAAAATGTCATCTTGGAACTGTAAAGTTTAGAGATGGGAGAATCCAAGAAGTCATTTAATGGTCAACACCCATTTCTGGGAATGGTTACAAATACTTTATGTGTAATCTTTTAAGGGACTTTGAAAGCCTCTGCTTAATCAGTAAAAGATCAGCAAAGAGAATTAACTTGAGAAACCTGCTCACGGTGGCAACCAAGAGGCTCTATGAGTTTGGGAATAAGGCTGTCTATTTGGGTCCAAAGATATGAGATTAAGGTCCACCTCTCTTAATTCTGTCACTTGGCAATTGAGTAATTAGTAATTGGGCCTCAAATTTCTATATCCCCTAAGTGGAGAATGGGGTAGTACTCTTCCTCCTCTTGCCACCACTACTACTATTGTTGCCACCTCTATACTACTAATATCCAAAGACAGGGTTGAAGTTCAAAATACAAAATGTTAACAATAATTTTAAAAGCCTTGAGACAATTCCGCCTGTCAAGAAAACTTTTGTCACTATTCACAATAGCAAAGACATGGAATCAATCTAAATTCCCATTGATGATAGACTGGATAAAGAAAGTGTGCTACATATACACCATGGAATACTGTGCAGCCATAAAAAAGAATGACATCATGTCCCTTGCAGGAACATGGATGGAACGGGAGGCCATTATCCTTAGCAAACTAATGCAGGAACAGAAAACCAAACACTGCATGTTCTCATGTATATGTGGGAGCTAAATGATAAGAACACATGGACATATAGAGGGGAACAACACACACTGGGGCCTATGGGAGGATGGAAGGTGGGAGGAGGGAGAGAATCAGGAAAAATAACCAATGGGTACTAGGCTTAATATCTGGTGATAAAATAATCTGTACAACAAATCCCCACGACACAAGTTTAACTATGTAAAAAACCTGCACATGTACCCCTGAACTTAGAATAAAAGTTAAAAAAAAAGAAAAGAAAAGAAAAGCTTTTGCTTAAAACCACCATTGAAGAATGAGCTGTGAAAGTCAAAGTTAATCCTTCGTCCAAATGAGTCATTGAAACTGAGTGTAAGTTAGATTAATAAATTCTTTAATTTGCTGGGACCTTCAAAGAATGTGAAGTTCCCTCCTTCACAATCTGTGTAAGACCCAAATGATTGTATTGTGATTTTAGGGTAAAATAGCTGATGGGACAAATTTAATAATTGCCCAGAATGTTCTCTATCAAACTGGCTACTCTAGGGCCCCTTCTCCGTGGTTTACCATTCATAGGTTATGGGTTAGAGTGTCTAGCTTTGAGATGTTTATCTTCTGTCTTATTAAATACCTTAACCTGGCTGAGTGGCATCTCTAGCCTTTTTGTTTGTAAATTTATATTGGCACATGGATCCCAGGTTGCTGAAATTATTAAACAGCATTTGGCTAGGCACAGTGGCTCACACCTGTAATCCCAGCACTTTGGGAGGCCGAGGCAGGCCGATCACTGGAGGCCAGGAGTTTGAGATCAGCCTGGCCAACATAGAGAAATGCCGTCTCTACTAAAAATACAAAAAAATTAGCCGGGCATGGTGTCACGCACCTGTAATCCCAGCTACTCCAGAGGCTGAGGCAAGAGAATCGCTTGAACCTTGGTGGAGGCTGCAGTGAGCCAAGATCACACCACTGCACTCCAGCCTGTGCACACACACACAAAACAAAACAAAACGGCTTTCATTTAAAAGTTGCAAAACCCACAAATGAGAGTAACACACTAACTATTCAAGCTATTTTAAACTTGAGAAACCAAGGCCCAGAAAAATGATGGAACTTATACAGGGTCAAACCACCACCATACACGCACAAATGAAAGACAGTTTCCCCCTAATTGATCTTTCAGGCAAGAATCGCTTTATAGTCTAGTTCTTCAAAAATCTCTCATGTTGCAGTACTTTATCTCAGTTACTTTATTTTTATCCACAAGTTACTTTTTTTGGGAAGACACTAGTCAGAAAGAAACTTAATTTTTAAAAAATGCTAGTTTTCAATGCTGATAGAAGTCCCCCAGAGGGGATCCATTTCAAAATATTAGCCCTCCTCCACCTTCCAGAAATAACCCAAAGTTAGTAATTTTCCTTGTGACCTAACCTCACATTTACAAGTTTAAGATCGTGTTGGCAATAAGAACTTTAATGATCATTTAAAAGAGAGAGAAAGAATAGGTAAATGGGTACTTGAGCCTGGAAAAAAATGTACAGTTTTAACCTCATAAATTGATTTTTTAAACTTTATGCTGAAATGAATGTAATCTGGTCTGGAACACTGAGTGGATGGCTCAAAACTGAAATTCTCCATTGATAAAGAAGATTCTGACAAGAAAAGCTCAAGTAAAAATTATACCACAAGGTCAAGTGTGGTGGCTCAAGCCTGTAATCCCAGCACTTTTTTGGGAGGCCGAGGCAGGCAGATCACTTCAGGCCAGGAATTTGAGACCAGCCTGGCCACCATGGCAAAAACCCGTCTGTATTAGAAATACAAAAATTAGCCAGGTGTGGTGATGCATGCCTGTAATTCCAGCTATAGGGAGGCTGAGGCAGGAGAATTGCTCAAACCCACGAGGAAGAGGTTGCAGTGAGCCAAGATCGTGCCACTGTACTCCAGCCTGGACAACAGAGCAAGACTCTGTTTCAAAAAATAAACAAAAATTATACCACAAAATCTGAGTTGAGAGAAAACAATATATATCAATATTTATGTATGGATTAGTATATGTAAATATAACAATGTTAATAAATACAATATTATAACTAGACATTTCATCATTCCATTTATATACTTAAATGTTTATACATTCAAGTTGGCCCAAACCCTTATTACATCTTATTACATTCTTAAAACATCTTATTTGGGAAAATAGGAGATAAGTTTATATTTAGGGTTGCCTTGGATTTGGTTCTATGAGGGACTTAGATTTCACCCTTCATAAATGTCTCTCCTCCCTAAGAATAGTATCTAAGTCCTCCTTTTGGACAGTATGGGCCTTATGCAAACATCCTGTGATGTAGATGAACAAACTGAGACTCAGATTTACTCAGGATTGGGGAAGACTTGAGGAAGCGCTCGAACATCCTGATTCCTGGCCCCTTTTGGTCAGGCAGGTTGGAAAGCCACCAGGAGATGTACCGAGGATGGTTTACCTGAAGTTCTGGTGGAATCCCCGGGTAGCCCTTCTCTCCTTTGGGGCCATGCTGCCCCCGCTCCCCTCGAGGCCCCAGGTCACCTTTGTCGCCCTTCTCACCTTTGGCTCCTTCATGACCAGTGGCTCCATTGTTGCCATTGTTTCCATGGTTTCCTTAAACAACCAGACATCATCACATGAGAAAACCCAGTCACTCATACTTACCATCCATTTCTAGACATACTATCCAAACTCAATTATGAAAGGGGACCATTCAGAATAATCCCAAATATAACCAAGGGGTATCATCATCTAAATAGGGCAATAGGCTCTGAAAGAAGCCTTAGATACCCTAAAGCTCCAAAGCCTGTTTATCCTTTGAAGCGAGGCTTGGAGGAAAAATTGTGTACAATTCTGATTATCACATTATCATTTAAAATAGCAAAGATTGGAAACCACCTATATAATCACCAATACTAGGAGGGCATGACATATTCTAGAAACTATGTTATATAGTCATAAAAAAGAAGGCTGAAGAAAAACATTTAATGATATAGTGATATTCATGATATTTTTAGATTTTAAAGTTATAAGTGGCCAGGTACAGTGGCTCACAACTGTAATCTCAACACTTTGCGAAGCCACAGTGGGAGGATCACTTGAGCCCTAGAGTTTGAGACAAGCTTGAGCAATATGGTGAGATCCCATCTTTACAAAAATAGAAATTAAAAAATTAGCCAGGAGTGGTGGTGCACACCTGTAGTCCCAGCTATTTGGGAGACTGAGGCAGGATGACCTCTTGAGCCTAAGAGGCCAAGGCTACAGGGAGCCTGGATCATGCCACTTCACTCCAGCCTGGACAAAAGAGCCAGACTTTGTTTCAGGCAAAAGAAAGTTATGAGTAAATAGAAATAACATGATACTATCTTTGTTTGGAAAAATATGTGTTTATGTATTATATCCATAGGGAAAAAAAGACAAGAATAAGTTACAGAAAAATATTCACAGAGGTTCTTTTCTAAATGTGGAACATGAGTAATTTTCATGTCATTCTGTATATTTTTCTGTTTCTTTGAAGTTTTCTACAAAAAACACATCACTTTTATAACTGGGGAAAAGGTAAACTCATTCATTAAACAAATTACAGCAATGATTTTGAAAGCAAGAGTTGGAAAACAATTTTAACTTTTCCCTTTGCCAACAAGAGACAATTTCTACACCTCTTCTTTATTTTTAATATTTGCTAAATTTCAGGCTTTTTGCTGTTCATTTTGCATGCTACCCTTGGTTGGTTATCATACCAGGCTTACAACCCTACCAAATGGATGAACTTTGACTGTGTTTACAAATTAATGTGTTCAGTGACAAAGCCATTTCCTGGTTAGAAAACATTTAACCAAGGCCAATCTTTTGTGTAACCTCACAAGAGTTAAGACCTGAGAAGATTTTACAAGGGTCGAAGTAGGCCCTACCCCTACATCATTGCTCCTGCTGGCTGCTGTCCTTGATGGCCAATGACATAGATTCCAAGCCAGTAAGTGTAGTTTAAAGTTTAACATAAGATTTTCTTGCTGTAAATTTGGTTTTGTGCAAGAAGCTACTCAAAAGTAGAAAAAAAATTGAACCACATTTGATAAATATTAACATCAATGAGAGTAAGTCACAGAAGAGCCAGTGGACTTTGGCCAGACCCTGAGATGAGGTCCTACCCTAGGGATTAACCTGAGGATGAAGACAATAAAACCCAAGATAGGCTTGGGAGCCCCATATTGAGGAGACCTGGGCTACCCTTTCCTGGACTGACCCAGGGTACCAGCAGGCCCGCGGCACTCTCCTATGCCTGGTGGCATTGGCACAGTACAGATGACTGAATTGCTGGTCTAGTGGGGTCTCATGTAGCTCCAGAGCATTCCCCATACCACTACATGGTACTGGAGCCTAAAAATGTTTCCATGAGGTCAAGAGTGGCATGAGAGTCAACTGAGAGACGGCTGAACATGGAGAGATCCTGAGACTGGAGGAAGAAGCACTTAGCTGGACCTAGAGTCACACAGAAGGATGCACAGCTCAGTGACTGGCATTGAGATGGCTGTAGCCCAGAGCAGTAAGCTTTTGGCTCTACTCTGCCCTTCATAAAGCATGCTGTGGCAGATATACTGGAACGAAGACTATGACCTGGTCGTTTCGGACTCAATGCTGTTGAGGAGCCTCCCAGCCTATGAACCTGGTATTCCAGGGTGCCAAGAGTCTAGCGGATCCTTTGGATCACACAGAAGTGATCCCAAATTATTAAGGTTTGCCCTTTGCTCCTACTTTAGCTCAGGCTGCAATTAGATTGACAGTATGTCTTGCTCATCCTTACCTGGAATGCCAGGAGGGCCCGGTGGCCCAGGGGGGCCTTGGTAGCCTCGAAAGCTGTAGTCTCCATGACAACACTTACTGCAGTCTGGGGGTAGTCCTCCGGTTTGTGGAGACTAAAAAGACAGAAAGAGAAGCTTCAGAAAAAAAGGTACTTGTGAGCAATTAGGATTTTTAAATTTCCACTGGCCTTGGCCCTTAGGTAAGCTTAATTCCAATCGAATCACAGCAAGATCACAAAAGATGGGATGGGGTGGAGATATCAATGGCAAAGGGTCAGGGAGTAGCTAAGGTCAGTTGATGATCAAAGGAAAAGGCAACAAGAAAGTCAATAGAGGAAGATGCTCTTTGAAAAGCGTGTGGGTGGGGGTGGGAAGTTGGGTCCTATTTCTGGAAAGTGCCTTCCTGCTGCTACTGTAACAGCAAAGGAAGAAACTCCTTCAGAAGTGGACTTGGAAGCCTTTTCTCTTTTCCAACTGCCATAGCCCCAGATGTAGCTAAATTGAGTAGATGGTCCTCAAATTACAAGAATTATCCACTTTAAGCACTGTTTTTAAATGCTTACTATATCCATGATACTGAGTTAAGAGCTAGATTAAGATCTCTTAGAAATTCTGAATAGTAACACTAGTTTTTCAAACAGCCATAGCACACTTAAATTGTCTTAGAAAACGAAGGAAATAAAGTATTTTTTAGTCCAATACATTTATTTACTTATTTAACTGACAACTAGAAATTATATATATATTTATCACGTATAACATGTTGTTATAAAATAAGTACACAGTGTAAAATACTAAATTGAGCTAATTAACATATGTGTTGTCTCATATACTGTTTTTGTAGAGAGAGCACTTAAAATCTACTCCTAACAATTTTCAAGAATATAATACATTGCTATTAACTATAAGTCCAATACATTTTTATTAATTATCTACATCTTGAAACAACTTTAACTTTATCAGTAAATCAACTATTTAACATGATTTCTATTTCACACATTCCACTTTAAAATGTGAAATGATTGGGCTGAGCATGGTGGCTGATGCCTGTAATCCCAGCACTTTTGGAGGCCGAGGCAGGTGGATCACCTGAGGTCAGGAGTTGGAGACCAGCCTGGCCAGCATGGTGAAATCCCATCTCTACTAAAAATACAAAAATTAGCCAGGCATGCTGGTGCATGCCTGTAATCCCAGCTACTTGGGAGGCTGAGGCAGGAGAATCACTTGAACCCAGGAGGCGGAGGTTGCAGTGAGCTGAGATAGCACCATTGTACTCCAGCCTGGGCGACAAGAGCAAGACACAGTCTCAAAAAAAAAAAATTGTGAAATGATTATCTCACTGTTTGAACCAATGTTTAATAAGCACTTAATGGGTACTAAACATGCTCAAGTATGACACTGAGTGAAATGCTTATTTATACAAAGATAAATTTCTAAAATGTATGTTTACCGTCAAAGAGCTAAAGACCTAGTGGAAGTTGATTGACAGAAGAGTTAAAGTTGCTTATGAAATTTGAACTCCCATCTAAACTGGCAACTTGCCTATTAATTATGTCATACAAAATACTTGTGGAAATGTTCCTAGACATCAATTATAATTCAACGGTCTTTTGAAAACAGCATGTTGTTGCTAAGAGATTCATGAAAAAAATGAAGCAAAGGAGAGAAAAAGGAGGCCAGGGAAGAAGAGAAAGAAAAAGGAGACACAGAGGGAGGAAAAAAGAATTTAAAATTCAAGTTGTATTTGTCACTAAAAATTTAAGCAGAGAACTGGATCAAACTTCACACAGTTAAACACTTAGACCTTACTTTCTTTTCTTTAATAAAAAATGGGCTTGAATTTTGTTCTCACTCTCTCACTGCTTTGTCCTAAAATTTTCCACCAAGCTATTCAGGGAAAACACAGAACAGAATCTGTAGCACAAGCATTCTCCTGCAACCTCTCAGAACCCAAGTCTTGCCTGATCAGGAGCTATAACTTAGAGCTAACTCCTAGTCTTGTCTTCAGTCTACCAGGCTCAAACCTGGACAAGAACTAGAGTCTATGAAAACCTTCTGTCAAATTGGTAGGGGAAGAAAAGTCAACTAAAGCCATTGGTTTGAGATGAGGGATTTCATCTCAGGGATTTTATCTGAGGGATTTCAGGACACTTGGAAAGTCAAAGACACCACGGCACACCCCACCTTCTAATCCAAAACTGTAATCTGAGAAGGAAGGATTCCATATTTCCTGTTATGGTTTTGCCAATGTGAAATTCAGCCTTTTAAACCTCAGAAAATCCAGGGCTCTGCCAATGATGAATTTTAAGGATGGAGAAGGGAGGGGAAGGAGGGAAAATCCTCAAGTGGAACCATCGATATAGGAATGGAATGGAAATACTGAGATGCTTAGGAATGTTGAAACACCCACTGGACTGAAACCAGAATTTCCATCATGGTGCTGTGTGACCTTAGAGAAGTCGCTGTTCTCCAGACATCTTTTTTTGTTTGTTTTGTTTTTGGCTATTAAATCAGAGGATTGGATGAGGTGGTGTTGGTGCACAGAAAATGACTCTTCAAAATACGTGCTTCAGCGTGTTGAGTGCTTTGGAAATGGAAGGCTTCAGAAATAAGCCACGAAGATAAGGTGAGCACAGGGAGGATGGAAGGCTCTGCAGAGCAGGACAAAAGCTTGCTTGATCTTGATTTTCAGTATGAATGCAGATCATGAGAGAGGGGCCTCATGATCCTTCTGAACTTAGGTGTTTTAAGAAAGACGTATTGGAAGAGCTATCACAGGGAAAACTGACTTGTGGCAAATCTCTTATTAAAAAAAGAGAGAGAAGCCTCAGATCCAAGGTCTCTCTCTGACCTTTCCCTGCCTCCCAGTCTCTCTGATCTTCTTTCCAGAAGTGCCGGGAGGGACTCTGTCTGGAATTTCTTTATTTGACTAAGAAAGCATCTTTCCAAAAGAAATGCAATTGTCTTAAGACCCCCTCCTTAGGAATCTCATCAAATAACCAGGAAAGATTAACCACTGGAGAACTGAAGAGACTGGGAGTCATCACAAGGCTCAGACAGGCTTTTTTTCTATTTCCTGAGGGAAGCTAGGAGCCATAATCTGGGAAGCTTTAAGACAACCTCTGTTCACAGTAAATTTCTCTCCCTTCCCTTCTTGATACTGTTACAGTAGGTAGCTACTCAGACATGAGCAGGGTAGGGGAGGGCTCCACCTGACCGGGAATATCAGGTGATCATCAGGTGATGATCAAGTGGCTTTTAACTGTTTCTCTAAAATAATAATTGGTTGCAGCCAGTGCCGGGTAAAGGCAGTCTTCCTAAAGATAGCAAAAACCTGAAACTGGTTATCGGCAGCTTCCCAATAAGATCTCAGGAGTTGCGCAAGTGGGCTCAAGCATGTGCATTAAGAGGCAAAATGGCAGAGTTTAATTGGCAAATGACCTCCTAGGAGCATTTGGCTGGTAAGGGAAGAATACCTCAAGTGAGCATGGTTACAACTCCAGTAAACATACTATGCATGCTCACCTCCCAAGTAAGTGCTGGCAGGCCACTACACATGTGGACAACCCACCCCAAGGGAAGAATCAAGGGAGAAGTAACGCAAGACCCCAGAAGTATGCCAACGTAAAAAAACCCCAAGTCAAAAGGTCAAACCGTGCACTTGTCTTTCAAGTTGCCCATTTAGCCCTTTCCAAGTATACCTGCCTTCCTTTTGTTCCTGCTCTAAAACTTTTTAATAAACTTTCATTCCTGCTCTAAAACTTGCGTTGGTCTCTCCTTCCGCCTTATGACCCTCAATGGAATTGAGGAGCCAAGAATTGAGGTTGTTGCAGACCCGTGTGGATTCACTTTTGGTAACAGCACCTCCCTCAGGGCTCAGAGGAACTTTGTAATTTACTTCTACATTCCCCAACTCCCTGCTACCCTACGTGGAAGGGTGTGTAAGCATGCATACCACATTGGGCTATTGGGAAATCATCCCCATGCGGTATGTGTGTTTCTCCTATTGATCTGCCTTTGGACAGTTAATTTTCAGAGAATCTTCAGAGGATGAAACAAGAGAAGATTTCCCACTTTTCCACTACAGTCGTCTCGCATTTTTTTCCAGCTCTACAATGCAAAGATACTAAAGTATTTTCCAAAGCCTCAAATAATAATTTAGAAACATTTTGTTTTTAGTATCTAGGCACAAGAATTCAGCTCCAGGAGATGAAGTTGCTCAATGCTAGAGCCAACTAGGATTGGAAGTGCAAGACCAAGCTACTTGAGGGCACTTTGAGGGCACAGAGCTGCCACCAGAACAGTGAGAGACTTCTGGTTACTACTAGTCGAGCACCTCGTGAGAACCCTTCAGCAGCATTGCATTACACGTTCCTTCCTCTGGCCTTGTCTTTCAAAGTTCAGTTGAATGGAGCAATGCTTTTGCATTGTTGAGTCTTTTGTTGGAACTCTTAGAACAAGTTGGAAGGGATGTGTTAATTCAGAAGTTTTCTCCTAGGTAAGGGAAAATTACATGTAGGTAGTTGCTATTTATGACCTCCTTGTTTATCATCCCCTTTCCCAAAAGCAGGACAAATTTGTATGCAAAAGGCAGGTAAATTTGCAGCATGCGAGAAAGAGTTTGTCTCTAAGAAATGCTCCATCAATTTTGCAGATGGAGGCCTAGGGGTAGGGATGCAGAACTGAGCTCTACTACTAGTAAGTGACTTCTAGGAAGGAGAGTCATAGCTCCTTTTTTTAAACCTCCTGCCCCAAAAAAAGGGAAAAGAAAGAAGAGGAAGGGAAGTGGGAGGAGGGAGAAATGGGTATCCGGGAGAAGGAGGGGAGATTGACAAAGGTGAATGAAAAAGAGGCTACAGAGAAGAAAATACCAGGAAAAAAGAGCCCAGGTCTGCCCACCCCAGATCTCTGGCCATTGTACTCCACCATGAACCCACAGCTGGAGCATCTTTCCAGACCATATATCTGATTACCTCACTGTCCTGCTATGAACAAACAAAACCTAGCTAGCAAAGCAAAATCTAAGCTCCTAAACCAGCTAGCAGAATCCTTCTTGGCACTAAAGTCGTGTAATGTCCCGTCGTCCCCCCAACCCCCACCCCTGCATCCCCAACCCAGGAGCTTCAGCCACAGCCAACTCCTCACAGGCTTTCCAGTCTCTGTTGCAGCACTTTTTTTTTTTTAATTTGCTGTGGATAGTCATTCTTTTAATACCATCTTTTAAGATCCAGCTCAAAAACTATCAGTACTTTGACACTTTTGCCCAATTGCCTTTCATGTACTGACTTTATTTAACACATGGCATTTAATTAAACTTAATTTAATTAACAAAAATTTATCTCTACTACAGCCCTTCAGGATGGTTTGGACATGGGAGCTCAGGCATATTTATCTTTATATATCCCTGGCCCCCCTTTTAAAGTTTGGTACAAAGTAGAAGCACAAGAAATACACGGGAACTGAATGAATAAGAGGAAAATTGAATTACGATCAAAGAAGAGGGACAGGGGAAGTAGGGAAAGAAGGAAGAACATAGCACAATCCTAAATGCAAACTGTGGTTTCCATAGCCGTTGGTAGAGGAGTTGTAGTGAAAACTTCCAGAATGTCAGTAACTCTAAATATCCTCAATATCTCCTGTTGGTGGTTTGTTTGAAAATACTTCAGGAACCTAGAAGGTAGAGTGAAGGAGAAATGTGATTTGAATTTCAGTGGCCTGCTGGGTGTTGGTTGTCAGGACATAATGACCAAAGACAACCTTTAACTTCCTTCTGCTTCCTCTGGGGGAATCACACTGTCATGGCCAGGAAAGATACCATCTGTTGGCCAAGAAGGATACCATGTGTGAAATGGAAAGTCCAGATCAAGTCTTGGACACAAGTGAAAATATCTTCACCACAAAACAAAAACAAACAAAAACCCACACACAAATTAGTGCTAATCATTACCCTTTAGCCAAAAGATTATCAGATGAATAGACAATCTCTAAAAGTGGTTTTCAAAAGATAGGATCATATTTAGAGATTATCATTTCTTCCGTGGCTCCTTAAAGAAGCAATTTTCTCTGGATGCATCCCCCACAGAATGGTTTGGGCAACTGCCTTGTGTGGTCAAGTTAGAAGTTCTGGGTTAGTTTCAAATCTGCAATTGATTCTGTGTGTGATCTTGGTCTGACCATATAACCAAACAACCAACCCAAACTTCTGAATCCATGGTAGGAAGGATTTAGATTTCAATTACAAGAAATTCTTCAGGTCCTATTTAATGCATTAAAGTAATCAAATCTTGTAGTAAAAACCTGTATGTTCAAATATCATATAACTCAAAGTAACTCTTCTTGCCCCCTCTGACAGTTTTCAGCATACTAGATGTCTAGAGGGTAATTCAAAATATGTCTCTTCCTGTACTTAATATTTTAAATTACATTGAGTTTCACCAATTTGCAATTCACTATACTGAAATCTTAACTCACTCTCATACTACCAAGAGTTAAAGATATTTCCTTAGAGCTGAATTTATAACCTGAGAAATAGATCAAGTCCTCTGTGATTATCAGGCATCAAATCATGCTATAAGGTATGCATTTCAAACAGTTTATTTTTTATTTAACTCTTTAATTCTTTTTAAAACAGGCTGAACAGAGAGGCTTAACAATCTAGAATGCTATAAATCAAATAAACAAGACTGCCATGAAATGTCACAGTATACTCACAAATCAAAGTAAAAAAACTTTGATTGCTTTTGACAAACTCAAAGGGCAGCTTCTCCCTGCCGGAAGGGATGAAGAAAGCCCAATTCTCTTAAGAACAACAAATGATTGTCTACAGTGACCGATCTGTCTGCATGGGTCAGCACTCCTTTCCGGACCAACAGAGCAAGAAGGAAATCAAGTCCCAGCATAGCAGGAAGCTGGCTGGCCAGGTTCCCCTTTCTGATGGGGTGATGCTACGGCCACTATCCCATCACATCATTGCTGCCTCTGCTGATTTTCTAACAGAGACCGACAGTCTCTCTTGTACCCAAGAGCAATCCAGAAAGAGATTCACAAGCAGCTTAGCGAACTTCTCGAAAGCATTCATTGATTCTAAGAATCTTAGCCAAAAAAAGAACAACAACAAAACAACAACAACAACACTCATTAAGCTTTCACAAAAATCCTTAGAAGAGAATTCTGAGTACCTGGCCCCAGAATGTGGTGATCTGGGCTAGGTCATCTACCTCGGGGTGCGGTAGCTCATCTGGTCTCAGGGATTTTAGGTCTGTAGAAGTGTTATTATCCACAGTCCCAGTTTTAGGATGGCTCCGCTCTCTCACTTTCTCCCTCCTGGAGCCGCTACGGCCAGTCTGCTGGTGGCTTTGCACTATTCTTGCCACCACTTTATTAGTTCTTCCGCTCACCTCCATGTATTCATCTTGACACAGGCAAAAAGGGAGGAAAAACAAAGCCAGCAGTTGCCAATAGATGAGCTGCCTCCAAAGCATGATTCTCAACAGAGCCTCAGAGTCTCCCTGAGAAGACAGCAGAGCTCCAGGAGCGTGGTCTCCTCGGGCAGATGCCAGGACTGGAGCTGAGAGCTGCAGCGGCGGAGTGGTTTTATACTTTGGTGTGTAATAAATAAGGCTGTAGGCATGCCAGAGTGACAGCAGCCCTCCTCCCCAGGCAGAACAGCCCCCATTCATCATTTTCCCACACCACAAGCAAGAACGATTTGTGTGCACAGTTCCCAGTTGGCGAAATTCATAAATGTCACACCTTGGCACGTTTCTGTTGAAGTGTGAAGAAAACATACACAACCAGCTGGGAACAGAGAGCATGTGTCCAGCAGTTTGCTTTTGTGATTAGACATGGAAAGGCTGTGTATTTGCAGTCTAAAAAGCCTTTTGGAAAAATCTACCCTTGTGCTTGCCAGGAAATTCAGGCTTAACTGCATCAGTTTTGTCTGAAATAGCAGTGGGAACCCATTCAGGGCTTTCACGACAGCTCTTGGTTTCTAGCTGTACTGTTAGTATTTCCCCACTTTGGCCCACTTAAGGTAACTCATTTCCCCTTCCGGATACCAGTGGCAGAAGGCAGTTGGTTGCCTACAAAACACTGAGCAGGATTCAGGTGCAGTGTCTCTGGGTTTAGCAAAGGTATTTCGCCACCCTCAGCTTTACTTCTTTTCCCCATGACTTCCCAAAAGCCAAAATTAAATCAAAGTTAACTAAGTCACTTATTGTCAGATGAAGATACAACACCCTGCTTTGTGTTAAGAGAAGGCTGTCTCTGGCTCCTCTTTCTTTTGACATATTCTTGATTAAAATAGAAACGGGGCCGGGCACAGTGGCTCATGCCTGTAATCCCAGCACCTTGAGAGCCCAAGACAGGTAGATCCCTTGAGCCCAGAAATTCGAGGCCAGCCTGGGCAACTTAGTGAGACCCTGTCTCTACTTAAAAAATAAATAAATAACAAAACTGAAGAAGTGGAAAGCACCAAACACGTTATTTCAAACACAGCGTATCCAGATTAAGAGGATTCTCATGTCTTTGCTTTAGTTGCTATACTTTTATTAATTCAGCCAAAAAGAAAATGGACATTCCTAATTGCTTCAGGATAATAAATTAAGAGAATTTAAACAGTTTTGTCATCAAAAATTGCTTCTATTTACATATGATTTTATTTATATTACTCATTCACTCGCTTAAGAAAATGTTACTGGCCTTCTCTCATGAAAACTGGAGAGACCCAGGACCGTAAATAGCATGGGTGGCAAGCGTCTGATGAGAAGGGGGCGAGGAGGCACTGTGGGAAACTGAGGCTTGGAGAAGCTCAGCCTGCTGATGAAGAGTCAGAGCAGCTGGGGAAAGGGGAGAGGAGAGAGAGCTGTTGACAGCTGCCCCCATTGCTCAGCCAAGGGCCTGAGAACCAAGAGCCATCTCTGGAAGTGGCCAGAACTGTCAAAACTAGCCTGGCCCCTCCTGCAGCTACCAGAACAGCCGCTTCCAGAGTCCACACTTATACATGGAAAGGGTTTGGTGCTGGGGACGGAGGGAGAGAGTTACTCTGTGAACTAAAAGCTCTCCAGGCCACAGTTCAGGGGCCTTGGGAGTCATGTTCAGTCCAAGCAGTCAGTTCCCACCTAGTAGGGCATAAAAATTCAGCCATCTCTGTGCTACAAGTCTACCCTTGAGCATCTAAACCTTCCTCACTGGAGGATTCCTTGAGTTCTGTCATGTCCACCATTAAAAGGTAGATGTCCCTGGGAAGGGAAGTGTGTCAAACTGTTATTCTTAGTAACTGAGGATTTTCTTCCCAGACCTGGAGCTGGAGCTGGGGAAAGGATGGCGCCTGTGTTTGGAGGGTGAGCAAGTGGATGGGCTTTTGCTGTGGGAAGGAAAGCCCAGAGCAGTGTCTCAGTGGGGGTGTTCCCTCCTCAGGGAGGCCCAGAGAAAATGTCACAGGGAGACCACAAAGCAAGCAGTGGCTCTGAAATCTAGGTCACCCAATTCACAGGTTTTCCAAGAGCTGTCTCTGGCTCTCACCATCATGCATCCCCCACGAAGTGGGCCATACTGCTAAGTAACTATAAATCAGCCTCTGACTTTCTACCGCATTGAGACTTTCCATTCGTGTTTTCAATCCTGTCATCTATTCTAGTGGTTCTCAACCCTGGCTGCATATTAAACCAAGGAGCTTCTAAAAATATTAATGCCTGGACTCTATCCCAGACCAATTGAGTCAGAATCTGTACTGGGGCCTGGGCAGTTTTTAAAAGCTTCCCTCAGATGATTCTAAGGTGCATCCAGGGTTAGGAATCACTGATCCATCCTCTCATTGACTCAAAAGGAATAAATAATAATATCCATAATTTGTTAAGCACTTACCATGTGCTAGCCAAGTACTACTTTGCTTTATCTCACTGACTTCTGTTGGCAAACCTATGATCCCATCTTATAGATGAGGTGATAGAAGCTTGCAGAGGTAAAGTGACTTGTCTTGTGTTATGCAGCTGGAAAGAACTGGACTCCATCTGTCTTTCCAGAGTGAGTTCTCCTGCCTTGCTATAGAGAAAGATCTACAGAGAAGGATTCTGCAAAGAAGGATCTCTCCTTCTCTCTGCCATTGGCCCATTATTGATCTCTCCCAAGAAATCAATAATGGGTCAATGGCAGAGAGAAGAAGGTCAGTCTGAGAGCTGCCAGGGAGCCTGCCTTCAAGAATTGGGGTCAGAAAGTATTATGGGTTGGATTATGTACCCCCAAAAGAAACTTAAGTCCTAATCCCTAGTACCTGCAAATATGACCTATTTAAAAATAGGGATTGTTAAAGTAAATGAAAATAGACACCAGGCCTGAAGAATCCCTTAGCAGACAAAGCCAATTAGGTTTCATAAGTGGCCTTAACCTTGCTTGGTTTGCAAACATAGGCAAAACTTAACTTCAGCAACTTTTTGTAAATGCCTATATTAAAGAAAAACACAATGTAAGTTAAATGACTCAGAAGCTTTCCAATGGGAGAGACCAAATAAGGCAATTGTACAACTGTAACCAATCAACTATTTTATTTGCTTTATATCTGTGTTTGTCCTGTAGAAGCCTCCCCACCCCTTGTGCTCCCTTGGTAGAGCTCCTGAACCTCTTCTGGTTTAGACTCATGCCTGAGTCATGAATTGCTGTTTGCTCAAACTCTTTAAAACTGTATTGTGCCTCAGTTTACTTTTGAATAGGTCTTTAAAGGTGATCAACTTAAGATGAGGTCATTAGGGTGGGCCCTGACCCAAAATGACTGTGTCTTTATAAAAAGGGAGAACTTAGACACAGAGGCAGACATGCACACAGGAGAACACTATGTGAAAATGAAAGCAGGGATGAGGGTAATGCATTTACAAGCCAAGGAATACCAAAGATTGCCAGCAGACCACCAGAAGGTAGGTGAGAAGCGTGGAACAGATGATTCTCTCACAACCCTTAGGGGGAACCAACCCTGCTAACACCTTGATCTCAGACGTTGAGACTCCAAAACTGTGACACAATAAATTTCACTGTTTAAGTCATCTCATTTGTAGCATTTTGCTATGTCAGTCTTAGCAAACAAATAGGGAGAACATGTATGAAAACTTTTCAAAACAACAACAAAAACACTCCAGACCCAGTAGAGGTCTGGAGTCTACACATGTACTATCTTGTACACGCAGAGATGACAGTCTGAAAAGATTTAGTAAATTACTTAAGTTCATGGGCAGTAAGTAGAAAACTGGGCCAGAGAGAAGAGTCCCTCATCTTTCAATATAGGTATCTTTTACTTCCCTCCAGTAATTTCTCATTAAATGCATTTTAAACATTGGTTTATTATTAAATCTTACTTGGTTATCATTTCATATATGCTCCAGAATGTTCCTTATGTCTAGTTTTCAAAGATGTGAATAACAATTGGGCATAATTTTTTACCTATGGGTTGAATATTAAAACCATCTAGAATCTGCCCCAGGCAACCTCCCTGGAGGTGATGAAGTCCCAGTTCTGCACAGTTGTCTCTGGCTGTGAAAGTTCACAAAAGACACCTGAGGACATCAGGCTCCTGGATACACTGGGACTGTCACTGCATCCTGCCTGCCTTGGCCCCAAGGGCCCAGTTAGGACGTTGGCAGGGCCACTAATGTGAGCAGCAGAGGTGCAGATGCATATGAATATACATGTAAAAGCCAGATCTGTGACTCAGCTTTGCAAGGCAGAGGGAAATATTTGTTTAGCTTTACAAAGGAGGCCGTTATAAGATGTGTAGGTACTCCGTGGCCTCCCCCATGGTGCTTCACTGTGGCCTAAGCCAAAAGGAGATCAGTTATGGTCTGGCCAAGGGACAGTCAAGAACTGTGTTGGACTGAACGTGTCTTTGTATCAGTGCCAACTTAAAGAGCAGCTAAAGGAGGCAACTGTTTGCATGATTTTCGAGAGCAGTGGAAATGTGACCCACCTCTCTCTTGCCTCTTCCCAGTGAAAAATACTCCCCGTACTAAGCACAGTGAATTCTGAGATTCTAAAATCAAGGCTTAGTCTCTTTGATTTAAACCAATTAGAGATTTATCAATATACAAATAAAATTAATATACACCTTGAGATGAGGTAGTTTAGCTGTATTGGTTGTTTATGACTTCATGTTAAGGGCTTTTTCAGATGCTCTACAGAGAAATTCCAGTTGAAGAAGAAGTTTTAAAAAGAATCAGAGTGTGTTCAGAAAGGGGACATTGCCTATAGATATTAGATATTGCCATTTGAAGAAAAATGGGTTCACCTTGCCACCAGTACAGGGCAAAATGAGGAACAAAGGAATAAGAGAGGAAGTTGGTCAGCTGGTCAGGATGTTACAATTTTGGTGGAATTACATGTTTAGGGTCATTATTCAAGTGCAGGAAACTCACTGCCAGTGTCCCAGGAATGGATCTGTCTCCATCACAAGAATAAGGCTTTCAGAGACTCATGTACAAAAACTATCATCTTAATGTATTCATTTATAATGAAAAATATAACTCTCAAACTGGCTACATGTATTATAGATGTTTGCTGAAAAACAAATTCTCTTGGTAGACAAATCTATTTGAGAAGCCAAATACTAATCAGAGATGTGTGTGTTAAGCATGGTAGTGTGTGTGTGTATGTGTGTGTGTGCATGAGAGAGAGAGAGAGAGAGAGAGAGAGAGATAACTTGTTGGATAATGTTAACAGCTGGTGTCATTGAGCATTTGTGTCCATCAGGCTCCAAACAGAGAAACAGAAACCACACTAGATATTTTAACACAGAGAATTTACTATAAGAAATTACACAACACAGGGAAGTAACCATCTTGTAAGGTTGAGGGAACCAAGGGGAGAGGCTGGTGTCATCTGAATTTAGAAGCTGGAAGAAGGGACCCTGCAGGTTTCTGTGTAGGGGGCACTGCCCAACTAAAACTGATACCTTTGCCAGGGTACAATGAGAAGAATTCTGGGAATATAGAAAGAAGTTGACCTGGAACCAACTATAGCTACCAGGGTTAAGGGCCATTGCTCAGATGACACAAAAACAGCAAGCCAAAAAAAAAAAAAAGAGCAAGTGCCTTCTACAGCCATCCAGGACCCTCTTCTGTCACCCCCTATGGGTTGACAAAGGAGAAAAGTTATTTGCAGAATCTGAGTTCCAACATCCCAGGGCAGAGTTTTGAAGGGTGAGCTGGAGCAGAGAGACAACAACATAAAACCTGATGCACCAGTCTCTAGGAATGCTCCTGCCACAAGGAACAGACATTCAAGCTCCTGGGGCAGAGCTTGAAACACATCACCCAGGTTGGTCTGTCTGAATTCTCCTTTTGTAAATTTTATTCAGATCACTTCCATCTTTCCTAATCGTTTCTTTCTTCAGACAGAGGGCAATTTAATTCCTTATATAAAAGCTTTCTTTTTTCTCCTAGTGTTTGCATCCAGTATACCTGGATTGGATTTAGGGTATTCACAGACAATCTTTTGAGTCTTTCTCTCTAAGATGACCTGCTAACTGTGTATTGGACACTGGTGGCTGTAGCTGGTTCCAGGTCAGCTTCTTTCTATGTTCCCAGAATTAGCCTCATTGTACCCTGGCAAAGGTATCAGTTTTAGTTGGGCAGTTCCCCCTCCTCAGAAGCCTGAGTCTCAGCCCTGTAGGGTCCCTTCTTCCAGCTTCTAAATCCAGATAACACCAACCTCTTCCCTTGGTTCCCCTAGCCTTAGGACACAGTGACCTTCCCCAGGGCTAGTCTGCTCAGCCCTATTTTGCTCTTTGAGAAGCCAAGGTTGACTTCTGTAGATGGAAGTCAAACAAGCTTGATCCAGATCATGAAGAAGCCTGAAGCAGAGGCAGCTCTGACCCTCCGGAACCCAGTTTCCCAAAGGGACCTTGCTATACTGGCCTCCTAGTCATTTGACAAGGCAAATTGCATTTACACAATGAAGGCAAGACAAGGGTTTTCTTGAAGATCTTGCTTAGCTACAGCAGGATCTTGAAAGATCCAAGTAAATTCCTCAAAATGGGAGACTGATTTTCAGGAATTGCCTAATGTGACTGTGAGAGCTGGCAAGTCTGAAACTCACAGGGCAGGCCAGTAGGCTGGAAATTCCAAGAGTCGATATTGCAGTCTTGAGTTTAAAGGCAGTCTGGAGGCAGAATTGTTTCCTCTTCAGGGTCCCTCAGTCTGTTTTCTTAAGGCCTTCAGCTGATTGGATGAAGCCTGTCTACATTATGGCAGGTAATATAATTCATTCAAAGTCTACTGATTTAAATATTAATCACATCTAAAGGAATACATTTACAGCAACATCTAGACTGGTGTTAGACCAAACAACAGGGAACCACAAGATAGCCAAGTTGACACAAAAAATTCACACTGTAAAAAGTAAATAAACATCTCAGGAGAGTTGAGAACATTTGATAATCATGAAGAATAATCCAGTGATTCTTGAGACAATGGAAGATAACTTTCTCATTCTGAAATATTCCAGAGAAGATAGGATAAGCCTTTTTGAATGAAGCTGCAGAGATCACCTCATTGTCCACATCCCCAGTTCCTCCAAGCTCAGCCTTCTTTAGGGTTCCATAGACCTCTCCACCCCAGTTAGCCAGTTACTTCCATTGCTCATCAATCCTTCTCATGTGCGCCTCTCTCCTAGTCATTGTCTCCTTGCCTTAAAAGTCCTCCTATTTTACTCTCTCTTCATGAAGTTTACTAGGCTTATTCAGATAATACCACAAAGTGTTCTCTTGCTGTTATGGTACATGTCCAAGCTACTCAGCGCTTGGCATCACCACTATAGCAGACACTGTTTGTTGTTATTTTTTTTCTTTTTGTGGAGGCCAAAGCAACTCCATTTTGAATGCTAATCTTCCATGTTGACTTCTGATTAACACCTGTCCTGGGAAGGCCTCTAAAATTTCCAGTATATTTATTGTTCCTTAGGTAAGAGCACATACTTACTGTAAATCCTGCCCTTCGGTTAAAACAACCTTGATGTTATCATACCTCACTTGTCCTACACATCCCATCTGAATCACATATACCCCTTCCCTATGACATATAAGTTCTGGCTTTGGGGAGTAATGGCACAGGGATCCATCATCTCCTCTCACCACCACTTGAGACGCAGACATGGCTTCTCTTCCTAAGTTCCTATTAAATGTTTCTTTCAGAGAAACTGCATATGTCAGCTTCTGTCTTCCACCTCTCAGCTTCCTTGGACTTTGGGGGTAGGTTTGCATAGACCTGCCCAGCATGGAACACCTTGTAACAGAGTCTTGATTTTGTTCTTCTGTCTTTCAGATAAAGTGAGTTCTAGTCACAGGAAATAAAATATGACTAGATTCATCTTTTGGCCAGGGATTATTTTAGGCATGGACTTGACATTATATGATAAAGAAGAGAATCTGCTGGGGAATTTTGGGAAGGACTCCTTACTCCTGAAAAGGGACATACAGAAAGGAAATGTACTTCTTCTCTCTCTTCTTCCACTGAATATAGTCATGTTTACATACAAAATGGGACACTACAGCAAACCCTAGGATAGCAGAGCAGAAAGATGGAAATAACCTGGTCCTAGATGGCATTTGTGAGCCACCAAATTACCTAATTGCCCAGTCTTCAAACCATTCAACTGTTTTCTACATGAAATAATAAATTTTCTATTGTTTACACCTTTGAGGTGGTTCAACATTGTCTTTATTGTGTTATTACTTAATACTCTACATATCTGTCTTATTTTTTCAACTAGATTAAACATCCTTGAGGGAAATAACAATATCATGATTATCTTTGTATACAGCCTGTTCTGCAACTCACACATAGTAAATACTCCATAAATGCCTGTCCTTGGTAGAATAAGTAAACGGAAAATATAAACCAAATTAATGGATTAAGTATGTGCTGTACTGGTTAGTTAAACACTGCCTGAGCTCAAATAAGGCAATTGTAAGGGAGCTGAAGGATTTAGAGAGCTGGAAATCCTCCATTTATTTGGTTGTCCCAAGATACTTCCTGAGAAGGCAGGGTACTTCCTCTACATGTCCGGTCCTTCTTCTGGGAGGCCTTTCCTGATTTCTCACAACAGAAACAATGCCACGTCCTAGACATTTTTCCAGTTAAATTGGGGCCAGCTGACTGGGTTCTGGCCAATGGGTGTGGGTGAGGCAAGCTATTCCTCAGCTTAGCCTTTGAAAACATTCAGTGAGATCATCCTACTCTTCCTCTCCTCCTTCACTTACTTTGGTGGCCATGTGTTCCACGTAGTGGAGCTATGATGGCAGAGTCTCTGTCAGCCTGGGTCCTTGAGTGACTGGGTGGAGGAGAACTCTCTGTTGACCTTTATAAAACATGTACTCATGGTGGCAGGCGCCTGTAATCCCAGCTACTCGGGAGTCTGAGGCAGGAGAGTTGCTCGAACCCCGGAGGTGAATGTTGCAGTGAGCCAAGTTCGCGCCACAGCATTCCAGCCTGTGTGACAGAGCAAGACCGCGTCTTAAAAAAAAATGTACTCCAAGTTATTACTAAACTTTATTGTGTTAAGCCACTGTGCTTTCAGAATTAATTTATTACTACAGATAGTCTATGGACTGTCCCACTCGATAGACATCCTTAACTAGATATGTTCTTTCCCCTATGATCTCAGAGCACTAAAATGTCATCTTTGCAGTACTTTCCAAATTAAAATTTATATTTATCTATTGTATTCATTAATGCTGTTCTCTTCTCACTAGATCATCTATACCATAACGAGATCTTTATTTTCTTACTACTGTACTTTTAATGCCTAACACAGTGCCAGCCATATGATAGATGGCAATAAATATCTGCTAATGAATGGACAGATAGATGGATGAACAGATGGATGCATATTGACTTTAGCTGCAGACACACCTGAGTTTGAGTTCCATCTCCTTGACTTTCTAGCTGTTACTTTGTCCTTTCTAAGTCTCAGTTTCCTCATTAGTAGGATGAGGCTCATGATATCTATCTTACATGGTTGTTGTGAAGATTAAAAGAGACATTGCTGCAGCAAAACACTTTCTTCCTAGCACAGTGCCTGGCACCCACTCACTGTCAAATGTTGGCTATTATTACAGCTCAGGGATTGGAGAAGGGGGCAGAGTTAAAGAAAATTACTAGACAGAAAACATCAAGTCTGCATAAATTGTTTTGTATTTCCTGCTCATGATTAAGCAATTAAAATAGGATTTGAGTCATTAAACCTATTAAGAGGTTACAGATCACTAAAAACAATTTCTTTTTTTAGTAATTGGCTGGGACAAATTATGCCTCCACTGAATTCAGCTCCAGATACTACAGGGTGTTGGTGTTAAGTTTGGGAGGCTTCTGCAATTTTGAAGATATTTTCTTAGCTTCTTCGATTTTTCCAAAGGTGAATTTGAAAAAATAAGGCCAGATTTCTATATAGAAACAGAGATAAACATCTTAAAGGAATAAAGCTGTATAAATTTATGAATAATCCTTATAAAACCTTGAGTGTGCCTTGAAAATTAATCACTGGATTCAGCAAATAATGGAGCTGCTCTGTCTTGCCTGCTTTCATGGTTTGCCACAGGCTGTTCCAGGACTCTGAAACTATTAAGGAGCAAAATGTTTCCACATGAGTAATGCTGATTTCAGACACTCCACCCGAACCACAAAGGGAGCAGATCTGGGGTTGGCATCCCAAATACATTTCTTTATTCTGAGCCTTAAACTAGGCAGTAAAGAAAAAGCATTCTTGGATTCTAAACCAGGAGTCCACCGAACCATGTCCCATTGGTTCCTGTCTGCTGGTGTGACATGGGGCTCTCATCTTTCAGAGCCATTTGCCTGTCTGTCTGCATGCCTTCCTACAAATCCAGTCAAATGCTCATGCTCCATAACTGCATCCTTGGATGGCCCCATTTAAGACAGACTTTGGCACATAATCATCCAGTTTTTATGCACCTAACCGGCATGTGTATCTCTGGAAAGGACACCTGTGTGATGAGCAATAACAGTACAACAGGATTTTAAGAAAAGCAGAGCCAGCTGCAGCCCATTTAACCCATTTCCCCACCCTATTATATTTGACCGAATAATAGCCCAGAAAATAGAAGTAACATGCCCAAGGCAGTGCAGCTAATTAGTGGCAGCTCCAGAACCAAAGCATAAGTCTGCTGACTCTTAGTCCAGTGATCTTCATGCTTCATTATGGGTGACATATTGTGTATCTAGTACAATGAGATGTTGCTCTTCAGTAATTATGTACTGAAAAGAGATGAATTAAGTTTTTGCTGGCTAGATTATCCCTCTGGTTTCTAAGCTAAACTCAAATGCCACTACTCCTATTAAGACTTCCCTGATGAGGCAGAGTGACAAGCAGAGAAACAGGCCGAGTATGGAAAGACCTGGCGTTGGGTCTCAGCTGTTATAATTAGCAGTGTGACCTTGAGCCTTTTGCTTCTGCACACTGCCCAGAAGGATGGCTTTCAGAGTCCCCCAGAACCAGGCCCCCAGATGGGGAGTTCAATAGGATTAAAGAGAGTTGAGCTGTTTTCATCTCTTCTTCCTTGTTTGCTCCTATCCTCTGGGAAAATGGATCTTAGCCCACTGAAAAAGAGCAGACCTCTTGTATTAATCCTCCACACTGGGAAACTTTAGCTGGAAAAGGAGGGCATCTAGGAGAGGCGTGAAAGATGAGATAAACACAGTTCTGTATCTCAGTTCCCAGAGATTCAGATGCTCTATCCAGGGGCCAGTAGACTTTTCTGTAAAGGGCTGTGTAATAAATATTTTAGGCTCTATGGACCATAGAATCTTTGTCTCATCTACTCAGGTCTGCCACTGTAGCTTGCAAGCTGCCATGAACAGTTCAGAAATGAATGAGCCGGGCTGTGTTCCAACAAAACTTTATTTATAAAAACAAATGGCAGCCCACAGGCCATAATTTGCAGACCACTGGTCTATTCTAAGCCTGATCACTCCAGGATCTTCTTGACTGAATTATGAAAGAGATTGTAGGGGAAGTCACTGTGTTCCATAACTCAAGAAAAACTATCAGCACATGGAAAAATAGAATTTTTAAAAGGGCAATAAGTGGTGATTCTAAACCAACTGTAGGAATCTGTATTTTTTTTACCTTCCTGTCTGTCTCCTTTTTGGTTTTGTCTGTATCTTCTACATCTGTCCATGTTTTTTATCATCTCCTCCATCTCCCCCTTTTCTCCCTCCTTTTCCTTTTTGATTATCATCATCACTACTCTCTGCCATATGTAGACCAAAAAGCACGCATATCAATTAAGGATTTGAATGTCAGCAATAGAAATCATCACATGTTGTCTTAGGCAGAAAAATTTTGCATCAAAAAGTTACAAGGTGCTCACAGAATTGACTGGCAGCTAAAGGACCAGGCTTCGAAAAATGCAGGAAAAACTGTATAGAAGGTTCCACACAGGAAACTAATCAATTTATTTTTCAGCAGGAACAGTTTGGCTGTAATGTCACTATTGGTGGAGTCAGACCTTACACCCTCCTGGACACCTGTAAACCACCATAACTAATTCTTAACTGACCATTTGTTCTTTGTCATTTATTCCAAATTCCTGGGTAGGAGTTATCCAATTATCTGATTGGCTAATTCTAAACTATATGCCCATGCCATAGCTACCACATGGTAGAAAGAAGGGGAAAACTCCAAACTTAAGTACTACACTGGACAGCAGGACATTGAATCCCACTACTGTCACACAAAAGGAGGGATTCTCACCGTATGAAAAGTATATAGATACTGCACAACAAACACAATGACAACAGCCAATCAGCACAGATGAGGCATTCAAAGCCAAAGTTGACCTCTGTGTGAAACATCCAATTAACATCTGAGGACTGACATACACGGGGCTGATTCTAAATTGACCACAGTATTATTACTGTGTTCTGCCTATGGGTTCAGGCATGGGAGGGAGATATAAATTGTCAACCTAATCAAATTTACATTCCCTGGCTGTAGAAGGATTTTCAATTCATAACAGGAAGTTTAAGGCTACAGATTAATCACTGACATGGATTTATACCCTGATAGGTGCTGGGTGACCCACATCTGTTTTCTAAGTCCATGGGGAATTTAATAATAAATCAAAACTCCAGGGGCAGACTCAATGCCCTGGCAGTTATGCCCATGAAAATCTAGTATTTTCCAATATGCAGTGGGAAATCTGCATACATCTGTCTTCAGCTCTGAAACACACAGCAGCTGGGGACAGCTGCTCAGCCTCGGGGAAATACGGTCAATTGTCCTGTGACACTCACCCCGTCAAAATCTGGACCCTCTCTTTAGATGGCTGCAGTTCCTGGTATCAATCTACTTTAAGATGCATCACCTACCCTAGTCATTGTCACTGGAATTTCAGAAACCTCCCTTCTCCAATTTAGAAATGGCATCCATCAGTTTTATCCTGAAATGCATGATTCTACACTTGCTCCAGAAAAATCTCATTACTTTCGCAGAAAAGGTCCTCTGCTTTGATTGAAAATTATGCAAGGTTTTGATGAGTTCCAAGTCATTATTTTATGGTTTCACGATAGAAAACATATCAGGGAAGGGAAAAAAAGGGGAGTGAGGGAACAGAGTCAATGTGTGCAATCCTGGATGTTCATCATGGTACAGCACTTTTGTCTTTTTTCTTACTCATGCTTGTGCATATTTTAGTTCACCTTTTATTTTTGACATCATTTTGTCTCTAAGAATCATACTTATTAACTTTTACCATGACATATATATATATGTATATGTATGTGTGTGTGTGTGTGTGTGTGTGTGTGTGTGTGTATATATATATATATATATATATATAGAGAGAGAGAGAGAGAGAGAGAGAGAGAGAGAGAGAGAGAGAGAGAGAAAGAGATAGGGTGTCAGCCTGTTCCCTAGGCTGGAACGCAGTGGTATAATCATGGTTCCCTGCAGCCTTGACCTCCCGGGCTCAAGTGATCCTCCGACCTCAGCTTCCCGAGCAGCTGAGACTACAGGCATGTGCTATCATGCCTGGCTAATTTTTTCTTTTGGTAAAGATGAAGTCTCACTATGTTGCCCAGGCTAGTCTCAAACTCCTGGGCTCAAGTGATCCTCCCACCTGGGCCTCCCAAAGTGCTGGGATTATAGGTGTGAGTCTCGCACCCGGCCATGACTTTTACATTCTAATGAACCAGTCCAGGTAGTTGAGACATTTTCATGAATTGGAAATACAGTGCAGACAGGAAAAATAACAAGAAAAAAACCGCAATTTTAACAAGCACAAATAGTAACCTACTAATGCCATCAGCAGAACCACATCCTTACTGGAATGTGAGCAGAGGTCACCTGACCAATGCAAACTTTGGGTTCCCTTTAAAAGTAGAACACTTATTAATAATGTTCAGGAATCTGTGAGATAATAGTTAATCTTTCATTTCAAAAATTTCCAACTGTACATCCATCAACGTATTTTCCTCTGAAACGAGATTAAACCACCTGCTAATCACTTGATTGACATGCGACAAACAGCGATCCAAAGACCACACTTTGAAAAGGACTCAGCCTTCATGTCAAATATCAAGAGATAAGTAGAACAGATGGTGTGGGGATGTTTGGAACCCTAGAATCACTGGCTTTTTAGTTGAAAGGAATTGTAAGAATAATCTAGAACAATGTTGAAAATTGTGGGCTGTGTGACTCAGAGTCACTTACTATGAATGTGTGAAACCAAGTCAAGCAGAGAAGGGTGACTATGAAATAGTAATAAAAAGAGTTTTAAATGTCACTGGTTTTGTTATTCAAGAAATAGATTGAGGATAGACAATGTATTGGGACATTCATCATCCCACATGCCATGAGGATCAAGTGTCTGGCTATCTCTAAGACATTTCTTCCCAAAGAAATTATTTTTCCAGTTTGTTCTCTACAATTCTCATTCCTATAACAAGTTCTCAAAAAATATGGACCTTTCAACCGTTCTAGAATATTTAATGTATTTTCTAATTTCTTAGCAAAAACCCTTTACTACAGGGCTCTTTTTGGTGACTAGGGTAAGTTTCTCTGAATCAAGGAAATCTGGTTTTACGGCATTGAGGAAGGCTGGAAGCCAGGAGCTTATGGTACAAGTTGGACAACTTTATTAAGTGGTAATGAGGCGTCCTGGTCTGTGAAGTAGGCCAGGAGGTGCCGCAAGTTTTTAGAGCCCACAGTTTCTGCAGCAGAGCCAGGTAAACATATTTCTTACCATTGTAAACATGCCAGTGTTCGTGCCATGCCATTAACCAGTAAAAGGGACTTTGGTTGTTTTTCTGGGCAAAAGACCTGCCTCCCTGCCTTGGCTCCTGGGCTTCCTTCACTCGACTCCTGGACCATCCTTGACAGAAAAGAAGAAGTTTGTCCTGTTCTGTAAGAGGGCTCCATCTGCACAAGCACGTATCTACCACACTTGCAGACACTCTGTTGTTACAGCACGAAGAACAGCAGCAAATGAGTCTTCTGGGATGCTTCAATAAGATTTATTTTTCCATCCTATTTATTTCCTCTCTGTGGATGTCATTTGAGGCTTCTTTTTTTTTCAGATCCAATTCCCCACCACACCCCTTTACCTTTGCTCATTTTCTTTGAAGTTCTCTGAAGACCACGTGCTCCTGAATTATGGTTTTGTCATCATCACTTGAAGGTTGCTGATTTAGGGTGAAGAGTGGAAGAGCAGAGCAAAGGTGTGGGAGAAGAGAAAGGGAAGAGGAGCAAGGAGCAAGATGGAGACTTGTTTCATCACTTTTCTGTCGTATTTCCGGCCAAAGTATTAATCACACTTTGCTTTCCCGGCTCACTGGGCAGTCACTCAGTATACAGACCCCCAGGGGTCCCAGAGAAATGTCATTCTCCTCAAAATGTAATAGCCTTCAGCCCAGACAAAAGCCTGAGTCAGACAAATGATAGGCTGGTGAGAGAGACTTCGCTGGCTCTCAGAGCAGACTGGAGCAAGGAGGAGGCAGAAATGTTACCTGGCAGGCAAGCTCTGAGTTTTTCCCCTTTCTCTAGGAGTGGGTCAGGTCACAGGCCTAGTCAATGTGTTAGGTTGCACAAAGTAGACTTTCAAAGGCCACTATTGGCATCACAAATGCCCTGACATGCTGTTTGTCATTCTGCATTGATGCACAGCCAACTGCCCCTGTCTATTTCGATCAGTAAATCTGAGAGGACACCCTTTACAGCATATGCAGGAGTCCTCTCCAACTTTCTTTGAGGTTGAAAATAGAAGTTGACCAACACAGAGTCCCCCTACTCAAGGGACTCAAGGTCAAGAGGAAGAGGTCAAGACGAGAAACAGAGAATTACAGCCACATAAAAAGTTATGGTGAAGGTTTGAACTGCGTGCAGGAGAGCAGATGCAAAGCTGAAGATGCCAAACAGGTTTCCTCCCCTCTTAACAATTGTATTCATTTACTAGGGCTGCTGTAACAAAGTATGACAGACTGGGAAGCTTAGACAGCAGACGTTTATTTTCTCACAGTTTTGGGGGCTGGGAGCCCAAGATCAAGGTGTACAGGGTGTGTGTCTCCTTGGTTTGCAAATGGCCGTCATCTTGCTGAGTCCCTACATGGTCGTCCATGTGTGCACGTATCTGGTGTCTCTCTGTGTCTCTAAATGTCTTCTTCTTTTAAGGCTACCAGTTGGATTGGATTATGGCCCACCCTAACAGCCTCATTTTCACTTAATTAACTTACCTCTTAGTTCCTTCAGGCTGCTATAACAAACTGCCAAATACTAGATGGCTTAAGCAACAAGTATTTATTTCTCACAGTTTTGGAGGCTGGACAGTCCAAGATCAAGGCACCATCAGATTCAGTATCTGACGAAGGCCTGCTTCCTGGTCTATAGACAGCTGTCTTCTCTGTGCCTTCACATGGCAATAGGGGCTGGGGAGTTCTCTGAGGTCTCCTTTATAGGGGCACTAATCCCATTTATGAGGGCAAAGCCCTCATGACCTAATCACCTCCCAAAGGACCTCTTGCTAACACCATCAGCTTGGGGGTTTAGAGCTCAACTTATGAATTTGGGGGAAATACAAACATTCAGTCCATAAAGACCTTATCTCCAAATATAGTCATATGCTGAGGTGCTGGGGGTTAGGGCTTCAACATATAAATTGGGGTGGAGGGTTGGGACACAGTTCAGCCCATAACAATAGCTATGACCTGTAAAGATCCTGGATGCACCTCAGGCCTTAGCATCCCTGGCCCTACTATGTGCTGAGTCTGCCACAACCACCACTGCTCTGGGCTCAGGTCCTGCTGTCTCCCTGAGAATAATAGGCAGGCCTCTGAGGGGCATTGTTAAATGATGGGAAGTGGCCACCTTCCTCAGGACCTGATTGCAGATTTACTCATGCCATTAAATTATAGCCTTCTAAAGACACAATCAGTGCACAGAATGTTACTAGTGTTATACCAGCTTTCTCAAAGAGACTTTTCATGCAAATACTTCCTAATGTAAATGACATCACTGCCTGACTCTGTAAGACTGGCCTTGAGTAAAATAATAGACCAAACAAAGTACAGTCATGTGTTGCTTAATGATGGGAATATGTTCTGAGAAATGCTTCATGAGGCAATTTTGTTGTAGTGCAAACACCTTAGAGTGTGCTCACACAAACCTAGATGGTATCGCCTACTACACACCTAGGCTATATACTATAGCCTATTGCTTCTAGGCTGCAAACCTGTAGCAGGTTACTGTAGTGAAGATCATAGGCAATTGTAACACAATGGTATTTATGTATCTAAACATATAGAAACACAGAAAAGGCAGAGTAAAAATTTGTTATAAAAAATTAAAAATGGTATGCCTGTGTATTAGTCTGTTTTCATGCTGTTAATAAAAACTTACCCAAGACTGGGGGCAATTTATAAAAGAAAGAGGTTTAATTGGACACACAGTTCCACCTGGCTGGGGAGGCCTCATAATCATGGTGGAAGGCAAGGAGAAGCAAGACACATCTTACATGGATGGTAGCAAACAGAGGGCTTAGGCAGAGAAACTTCCATTTTTAAAACTGTCAGATCGCTTGAGACTCATTTACTATCATGAGAATGGCATGGGGAAAACCTACCTCCATAATTCAATTACCTCCCACTGGGTCCCTTCTACAACATGTGGGAATCCAAGATGAGATTTGGGTGGGAACACAGCCAAGCCATATCATTCCATCCCAGCCCCTCCCAAATCTTATGTCCTCACATTTCAAAACCAATCATGCCTTGCCAACAGTCCCCCAAAGTCTTAACTCATTTCAGCATTAACTCAAAAATCCACAGTCCAAAGTCTCATCCAAGACAAGGCAAGTCCCTTCTGCCTGTGAGCCTGTGAAATCAAAAGCAAGTTAGTTACTTCCTAGATACAATGGGAGTACAGATATTGGGTAAATATAGCCATTCCAAATGGGAGAAATAGGCCAAAACAACAAGGTTACAGGCCCCATGCAAGTCCAAAATCTAGCAGGGCAGTCAAATCTTAAAGCTCCAAAATGCTCTCTTTTGACTCCATGTCTCACATCCAGGTCATGCTGATGCAAGAGATGGGTTCCCATGGTACTGGGCAGCTTGGCCCCTGTGGCTTTGCAGGGTACAGCCTCCTTCACAGCTGCTTTCATGGGCTGGCACTGAGTATCTGTGGCTTTTCCAGGTGCATGGTGCAAGCTGTCAGTGAATCTACCATTCTGAGGTCTGGAGAACAGTGGCCTTCGTCTTGCAGCTTCACTAAGCAGTGCCCCAGTAGGGACTCTGTGTGAGTGCTCTGACCCCACATTTCCCTTCCACACTGTCCAAGCAGAGGTTCTCCATGAGGGCCCCACTCCTGCAGCAAACGTCTGCCTGGACATCCAGATATTTCCATATATCTTCTGAAATCTAGGTGGATGTTCCCAAACCCCAATTCTTGACTTCAGTGCATTCTCAGGCTCAACACCATATGGAAGCTGCAAGTTTTGAGGCTTGCACCCTCTGAAGCCATGGCCCCAGCTCTATGTTGGCACCTTTCAGCCATGGCTGGAGCAGCTGAGACACAGAGCACTAAGTCCCTAGGCTGCACATAGCACACTGACCCTGGGCCCAGCCCATGAAACCACTTTTTCCTCCTAGGCCTCTGAGCCTGTGATGGGAGGGACTTCTGTGAAGACCTCCAACATGCCCTGGAGACATTTTCCCCATGGTCTTGGGGATTAACATTTGGCTCCTCACTACTTATGAAAATTTTGCAGCTGGCTTGGATTTCTCCTCAGAAAATGGGATTTTCTTTTCTATTGCATTGTCAGGCTGTAAATTTTCCAAACTTTTATGCTCTGCTTCTCTTGTAAAACTGAATGCCTTTAGCAGCCCCCAAGTCACCTATTGAATGCTTTGCTGTTTAGAAATTTCTTCTACCAGATACCCTAAATCATCTCTCTCAAGTTCAAAGTTCCACAGGTCTCTAGGGCAGGGCAAAAATGCCACCAGTCTCTTTGCTAATACATAACAATATTCACCTTTGCTCCAGTTCAGGGGTGAATCCTAGAGCTGGGCTGGGTTCCTGAGTATTTCATAACAACCCAGTTGCCCCATCAAGGTGCAGTCCCATAAACAACAGTTATTATGCAAAATTGTTTCAGAGAGGGTGTAGGTAACCTTTTGAATCAGGAGTGAGATGGAGTTTTTGCCTACTAGAGTCTTTGTCCTTCTTTTCCTTTGTAGGAATATGCCCTAATTATTGATCTTAAACTTTTTGTTGCCCCAGATTAAGTCCTTTTGGGTACAATATATGAGAGATGGATCCTGTTTATCCTATGTGCCTTTTTCCTATGAGAAGGAGAGCGAGCAGTAAAAGATGGGCTTGCTGGTTTTCTAAGTACTTTAAGGCTTGGCTGAGCACAAACAGCTCACACGTTTGAGCAAACCAATTATTAGGCAATTCTCCTAACTCTGCTTCCACAAGATTCTCCCTATCATTACTGAATACCCATTGTGGTTTTTTTCTCAATCACCCAGGAGGAGCCATTTATCGTCCTGTCCTGAAGGGAGTTCCTCCCAGATCAGGTCAGATCTTTTTAAGGTAATAAAGATTTAAATCCCCTGTTAGGAAATCTGCTGGGTTAAGGGAATTTTCAGTGGCTAATGTTAAATCACCATTTCATTTTCTAACAGAATGGCCCCATACTTTAAGATTTTTGAGTTAGTAAGCTACCTTTCTGCTTTTTTGACTTAGAATAGTTCTGAACTGGTGAGGTGTGCTCCCAATGAGGTTTCCTCTAAAGTTATTTTTCTACTTTCTTCTGTCAGCAAAGCAGTTGCTGCTACAGATTGAATGCATTTGGGCCATCCATGGGTTACTGGGTTAAGGATTTTTGCTAGGAAGGCTACGGGTTGTCGGTGGTCTCGGTGTTTTCAGGCTAAGCCCTTGTTTACACTGACAACCAGGTAGTATTGGAGTGTTATAGGGTCATGGAGAAGACCTCCAATTACCAATTAAAGGTTTTAAATTGATCCTGGATTTTAAAGGAATGGGGTACACTGTTTTTTTCTTAACTACTTGTATATCTCTTTCTTTCTCTCTTTGACTTTCTGTCTCTTTCTCTCTCTTTCTTTGACTTTCTGCCTTTCTCTCTCTCTTCCCTCTCTCTCCTCTCTCTCTCACTTCTCTCTCCCTTTTCTCTCTCTGTCTCTCTTTCTCTCTCCTCTGTCTCTGTCTCTCTCCTCTCTGTCTCTTTCTCTCTCCTCGACTTACTCAATTTGCTTTCATCCTGATCTATTATGTTGTCATAGACCCAGTTCTAGTTGTTAAAGTACTGGGTCATCAGTCTAAGGCCCTGGCCAAGGAGCCAAGGCTTGGAGATTGTACTGGTGGGGGGGCTGGGGGGAAGCTGGGTAGAAACTGGGGGAGGAGAGCATCTTACACAATGGGAGAGCAATCTTCCTAGCCATTTACAAACTTGGGGTCCTGGCAAGGGTGGTGGGGAACAGGCCACACATAACTGCCCATGTTGAGAGCTGTATACCTAAATTGGGAGGGATACCAGGGACAAGACCCCCTGGGTTCATAGTCTAGATGCCTAAGGATGCAGCATAAAGCTTCCTTAGATCCCTTTGGAGATACAACTTGCTAGAGGAAATGAAAATCTGAACCATTAGTACCTAGGAGGCAGGGATCGGAGGAAGTAGGTTCAGAGGTAAGGAGAATTTTTGGGGCTACACTTTCAAGAAAGTCATGGTCAGGACCCAGGAGGTATGGGTCAGAAGGAAAGGTAGGAGCGCATGCATGGGCGACTGTTAAGTAGAGACTTCTGACTGTGCCATGATCTCAACCAGCTAATGCCAGGAGTTCAGGATGCCAGCTTTCTGCCTCTAGTTGGCCCTCAGCTTCCCCAGGAAAATTGAAAGTGGAAGCTGGTTCTGGGCAGACCAATGCTCGCAACCCAGAAGGGTTGGGGGTTGTTAGAAAGCCCTTCCCCAGACAGCCTCACACCTGAGTCTTAAGTCCAGCAGCCACGCTAATCTTTTTAACCAGCCAACAGGTGCCCAGTATTTTCCTCCAATTCTAAGGAAGGATGGGACAGAATAGCAAGTGAAAGGGGTCCAATATTACTCACCACTTTGAAGAATACCCATACGGGCCACCAGATGTTATAGGATGGTCTTTGTTCTTAGAGCTCCCAAGATGTGGCGGGCCACTCCCAAGATAGGGGTGGGCTGCTCCCAAGATGGCCTTTTGTTCTCTGACCTGGGGTTCTTGGCCTCACAGATTCCAAGGAATGGAACCTTGGGCCATGCAGTGAGTGTTATAGCTCTATTAGAAGCCATAGGTCATGGAAGAGAACCATGGAACCCAGCGACCAGTGTTCAGCTCAATTAGGATGACCCTGGACACTTAGCTGTTCAGCAACAATGACGAGCCTTTAGCCTGATCAGGAGCAGCAATGGGTGCCTCGCTGGATCAGGAGTGCAGCGGACACACTGCCGGATCTGGAGGGGTGGAAGTCAATGGCAGATCTGGGACGGCGGCAAACAGCAGTGGTGGATGGCAAGCAAAAGCTCAGCTCAAACTGTAACAAACACAGACCAGAAGAGTGCGCAGTTGCAAGATTTAATAGAATAAAAACAGAGCTCCCATACAATGGGAGGGGACCCAAAGGGAGTTGCCTAGTCTTTTCTCTTAAGGCCTTCAACTGATTAGGTGAGGCCATCTACATTGCGGTGTGTAAAATCATTTATTCCAAGTCTACTGATTTAAATGTTAATCACATTGAGGATTTAAGTGTAAGACTCCAAATTGTGAAAAACTTATGATATACCCTTCTTGAATTGGTCTTGGCGAAGAATTTTTGGCTAAGTCTCCAAAAGCAATTGCAACAAAAATAAAAACGACAAGTAGGTCCTAATTAAACTAAAGAACTTCTGCACAGCAAAAGAAACTATCAACAGAGTAAACAGACAACCTATGGACTGGGAAAAAATATTCACAGACTGCACCCAACGAAGGACTAATATCTAGAATCTGTAAGGAATTTAAGCAAATCAACCAGCAAAAGACAGATAACCCCATTTAAAAATGGACAAAGGACATGAACAGACACTTCTCAAAAGAAGACATACAAGCAGCCAACAAACATGAAAAAATGCTCATTACACATCGTAAGAAAAATGCAAATCAAAACCACAATAACACGCCATCCCACACCAGTCAGAATGGCTATTAAAAAGTCAAAAAACAGGCCATGCATGGTGGCTCACATCTGTAATCCCAGCACTTTTGTAGGCTGAGGCAGGCAGATGTCCTCAGGTCAAGAGTTTGAAACCAGCTTTGACCAACAAGGTGAAACCCCATCTCCACTAAAAATACAAAAATTAGCTGGGCATCATGGCATCTGCCTGTAATCCCAGCTACTAGGGAGACTGAGGCAGGAGAATCACTTGAAACCAGGAGGCAGAGGTTGCAGTTACCCGAAATCAAACCATTGCACCCCAGCCTGGGCAACAAGAGGGAAACTCCATCTCAAAAAAAAAAGTCAAAAAACAACAGATGCTGGAGAGGCTGCAGAGAATAAAGAACACTTATACACCGTCGTTGGGAATGCAAATAGTTCACACACTGTGGAAAGCAGTCTGGAGATTTCTCAGAGAACTTAAAACAGAGCTACCACTTGACCTAGGAATCCCATTACTGAGTATGGAAAACAGATCATTATACCAAAAAGACATGTGGACTCATATGTTCATTGTTGTGCTGTTCACAATGGCAAAGACGTGGAATCAACCTAGGTGCCCATCAGTGATGGACTGAATAAAGAAAATGTGATACATATACACCATGGAATACTATGCAGCCATAAAAAAAGAATGAAATACATACAAAGTTGTATGTATGCTCTTTTGAGGTGTTATTCCCTTACCAGCTGAATTTTCCTAGAAGGTCATATACCAGTTAAACTCTATCATTTTGCTTTTTAACATGCATGCTTGAGCACACTTGTCCAACTCCTGTGATCTTATCGGGAAGCTGCTGATCACCTGTTTCAGGTTTTGTCTTTCTGCTGGGAGACTGCCTTTTGCTGGTGCCAGCTGCAACCAATTATTATTTTAGAGAGACACTTTAACAACCACCTGACCATGACCTGATGGTCACTTGACATTCCTGGTTGGGGGAGGGAGCCCTCCCTTACCCTGCTCATGCCTGACAAGCTACCTACTGTATCAAAATGATCTGTTTTTTTGAAAAGACAAATAATGAATTCATAACAAAATAAACATAGATAAACAAAGTTGTTATAGATTATAAAAGACTTACAAGACAACAATCAATTGCAATGTGTGACTTATGGATCATGATTTAAACCAATGGATTGTAAAAAATGAATTTTGAAATAAATTGGCACGTTTATTTTGGGTTACAGATGGCAGTAAGAAAATGTTGCAAATTTCCTTCTGTGTGATAATGACGGCGAAATTTAAAATAAATAATAAAACTGCAATATTTGAAAATGTAAAATATAAAATATTTAAACCATACTCAATATTGAAACTATTTTCTCCTAGGCCCCTGGACCTGTGATGGGAGGTTCTGCCATGAAGACCTCTGGCATGCCCTGGAGACATTTTTCCCATATTCTTGGGAATTAAAATTTGGCTCTTTCTTACTTATGCAAATCTCTGCAGCTGGCTTTAATTTCTCCTCAGAAAATGAGTTTTTCTTTTTTATCACATTTCCAGGCTGCAAATTTTCTGAACTTGTATGTCCTTCTTCCCTTATAAAACTGAATGCTTTTAACAGCACTCAAGTCACCTCTTGAACACTTTGCTGCTTAGAAATTTCTTTCACCAAATACCCTAAATCATTTCTCTCAAGTTCAAAGTTCCACAGATCTCTAGGGCAGGGGCAAAATGCCATCAGTCTCTTTGCTAAAACATAACAAGAGTCACATTTGCTCCAGTTCCCAACAAGTTTCTCATCTCCATCTGATATCATCTCAGCCTGGATTCATTGTCCATATCCTTGTAAGCAGTTTGGGGCAAAGCCATTCAACAAGTCTCTAGGGAGTTTCAAACTTTCCCAGATTTCCTTGTCTTCTTCTGAGCCCTCCCAACTGTTTCACCCTCTATCTGTTACCCAGGTCCAAAATTGCTTCCACATTTTCAAGAATCTTTTAAGCAACACCCCACTCTACTAGTACCAATTTGCTGTATTAATCTGTTCTCACACTGCTGATAAAGACATACCTGAGACTGGGCAATTTCCAAAAGAAAGAAAGTTAATTGGACTTACAGTTCCACATGGCTGGGAAGCCTCACTATCATGGCAGAAGGCAAGGAGGAGCAAGTCACATCTTACATGAATGGCGGCAGGCGAAGAGAGGAAACTTGTGCAGGGGAATTCATCTTTATAAAACCATCAGATCTCATGAGACTTATTCAGTGTCATGAGAACAGCATGGGAAAGACTTGCCCCCATGATTCAAGTACCCCCCACTGGGTCCCTCCCACAACATGTGAGAATTCAAGATGAGATTTGGATAGGGACACATTAAAACCATATCAGCATGACATCTAGGATTTTCTTCAAACATCTAGTCCAAGATGAAAAAAGTGGAGAAGAATATGAAACAAATTTGGAGAATATGTTGATTATTCTTGAAGCTGGGAGCTAAATACATTAAACTGTTTACTGTTTTATTTTTGTATACATTTTTAAATGTTCATAATAATAATATTTTAATATATGCATGCAGTTGAACCATTGTAATGACTGAATAAACTAAAATCGTTCCTTATCTTATAAAATCTAAATATCTTCCTCAGTTACAACTTCATGGTCTTAACCATTCTCTATTTTTTCCTTTTTTTAATGAATGATTTACTTTTTTACTACATTCTTAAGAAAATCAGTGTCAATAGTATATTAACAAGACGATTTAGTTTATTCTGACAAACATATGCAGAAGTTTACTTTGTGCTATGAACTGCCAGATGCTGGAAATAACTTGTGTAGAAGATAAACTCTTCTTAGATTTTATTTCTTCTGGTACGTCTACTTGTGAATGTCAGAAATAGCCAACAAAATTGAATTCCTAGTGGTTTTTGCTTTATTCACGGCTCTTTTCAATTCACTTCACATTCATTTCAAGACATTTCTTACATCTAATATCTTGCCTTTTTAGGTTTTGTCTGATGATTTTATATTCTACAGCCTGAAAAACTAGAGCTTTATACTGTTTCTCCAACATTAATCTTGAATTTCTCCAACTGATAAAATGGATTTAACATAAAATCAATTGATCCTCATGCTAGCTGGTACTTCTCACCAGGTTAACTTAATTCTCATAAACAGAAATCAGAGAGCCCTCAAATATATATACGTATATAGAGAGAGAGAGAGAGGGAGAGAGAGAGAGAGAGATTTAATTCAACATAATATTTGTATCTTTGTCTTTATGCAGAGATATTAAACAAATGCAAATTTCCATAAGCTTAGTTACATTATTTGTCATACATAAGTAATAGTATGACCATGTTGTATTTGTTAAATGAGCTCAATAGTCTTTTTATGATATAATGCTGTATAATGTAAGAAATGAGCTACTAATAATTACAAAAATACTGTTATCAAACTTGTGGTTTACAGAGTGTAACATTATATGTGAAAAGGCAGAACTCTTGGCAACATAGGTATGTCCTAGTTTATCTATGTCACAAATAACAATGAAATTCTTAATTATTTGATTAGTTATAGATATCCATGCACAGTATCCCTTGCCGAACATGTAAGTTAAGTCATAGGTTAAATTTAATCCCCTGCAAATGTACTTGCCTCAAGTTAAGAAACACAGTAAACATCACCTGTGTGTACATCAACAAACTCCATTAACCTTTTCATTAGTTAGATTCACCCCTTGTTGCAAATCTGCTTCCTATAATTCATCCAGTCTGTAATTTATCACAAAACTCAGCCAAGCTCCATAACTGCCTACTTTCCACTGGAGAAAGCTTCAATTAAATACTAGTAAAATGCTAGTAGTTCCCATCGATCAATATTTCATTCAGGTTTCTGCTCAAATGACAAACTTAAAGGATTTCAGTGATGACTGTATCTAAAGTTGTGTATTTTTAGTAGAGATATTGAATTCTTACTTTTCTTCATTTACTTTTTCAACAGATCCCTTGCATGATATTAAATTATACATCTAGCATTTATTTATTTATTATCTGTATTTTCTACTAGTATAGATGGTCACTGAAGGCAGATATTTCTACTTTTTGTGCTATACTATCCCCTCTGTCACAAAAATGAATGTTGCATAATAGGGGCTACATAAACATTTGATGAATAAACAAATTAATGAATGGCTATAGAGAGAAAGAAAATCTGTCCACTGACCTCAGTTAACTATGACATGACATTTCTCTCATATTTTGTTAAGTAATAGTTTAAAATACTGAGATTATTAAATGAGAAACATTCTCAAATAAAGGGAATGGATACATTACGATGAGAACGAAAGCAAAATCAAATCTTTACCTTAAATAATTTGAAATGTGTGAGGTTATATCATTGGTAGATATTCATACAGACATAGGTAAGCAAAAGTGAATAGGTAGCATATTCACAATCAGAAATAGAAACTCTTATATTCATCCACCATTGCACTGCTGTTTTTCCAAATAATAATGCAAAAATTCAAATAACAATAATGTTACTGAAGAATATTAGAGTCACATAGAACAGAGGTATTGTATGTCAGAAAGACCCAGGCTTCAGCTCTATCAGTGTATAAGGTGATCAAGTAATATAATTTCTCTATCTTTAAATTTATTTCTTAATATATCAGAAATATAGTAGGTTTGTCAAAGGATGAAATGAGATAATTAACAGAAAGTACTTGTGAAAGAGACTGGTGGCTACTATCCAAAATGTATGATCTCCTGTTCTTATTGGATACACAGCTAGCCTACATTCCAGCCACAGTCATCCCAAATTATGAACTCCACTTCAAGACCTTGTTCATAACCTCTCACTTGCACTCATTTCTTCTTCTATCTCGTTGGAGTGAAAAAGACATGAGCACCAGACTAATTTTCCGGCCACTTCTGTCAGTATGAATCCCTGAATAACCACGTGGAGAAGGGCAGTCCTGCCAATCTACTCCACTCAACCAGTCATAATTTGAGCCATAAATAAACTTAAAATAATTTTAGTTTTGCTTTATGTTACAAAAAATGGCTTTTTGGGGGCAGAGAGTAAATTCTCTTAACATAAAACTTATAAAACTATGACATATTTAATATAATAAATACCTCAACATACTATGCAGTTTTTATTAAATTGTCTGAATAACTAGTTAGCAATTACTTACTTCATGGGTAGAGTTTATGCCATAAAAAGATTTGCAAATAGCAGTATTGAATTGATTTTTAGAAACCTCAAAAAATTCTATATTGTTAAATGTACCATTATGTACTACATAGAGTTTATATTGAAAGTGAAAACTCATTGATAAGTGAATTTTTGGTGATTAACCAAAATTAGGTGATGAGGTTACTTGTTAAGTGATGATTTCAGGAGGAAATGGGGATCAGGCAGCATGGTAGCATTGACTTATTAACTAAATTTAGGTTTTCTGGAAATAACCTCAGTCCTTCATGCCTAAAGAAACTGAAACACTGTAAGCAATTTATTTTAGGCTAAAATGCGGTATTCATTCCAGTAAAGTCGCCCTCAATCTTTTGCAAGACTGTCAGATGGTGTTGTGCCCTTCAAATAACTTCAGAGGCTCAAAGTCATGGGCTGTTAACAAATTTGTCAATAAGCATTAGCTATCGTAAATACATTTAGAGCAAAATGAAATTGTGGATATTCAATTATATAGCAATCAACTTTGTTGATTTGTTTTAATTCTTGAAAGACAGCCCCAGCTTTAACAGATTAACAACATACCATCTGTATCTAAGCTTGACACTAATTGCCGGTAAACCAAACATTAAAGCTTATTTTCCAAACCTGCATATTATGCAGCTTGTAATCAAATTTAAGGTGGTCATTTTCTTGAAACTTTCCACCCTATAAGTGAGATAAACCTTATCATTTTCTCCTTAGATTTTATCCCTTTGGGATTTTGAACTGCAATTGATAATAAACTTATTATTTTGTATTTTTAAGCTATCTAAACTTTTTTGATTATGTATACGTATATACTAGAAATATTTCATCAAAAAGAATTAATATATCAAACAAATTAATAGATGTTTTTCCCACTATCAGTATTTCTTTAATGACTCATTATTTCCATAAACAACCTTGGATTTCCTCATAAAAACTAAGATGGCACAATGAATTATTTCCCTATTATATCGCTGTTGAGAGGAGGCTATATTCCACCAGAAACTGAAAAAAAAACATTCGTACAATGTACAGCCATTGAGGAAGATTAGGCATATCGTTTTTAAAATAAACTTTAAATAATAGATTAAAGGAGCTTAGGATGATAGAACAAGTTTTACCATCCTCTGGGATGGTAGATGTCACCTTCAGCCAGGGGTGCTCTAATCTATAATAGCATCAGTGATCATCTACTGAGTGCTGAATTAGGGAAAAGCAAGATTCAAACCTTAAAAGAAGAAAGAAATATTGCTGAGAAAAGAAGATGTGGGAATGCTGAAGTTCTAGGCCACTGGAATAGAACTGTTCCAAGCTGAAGTTCCAGGCCATTGGAACAGAAATAGAAATTACCGGGAAAGAAACGGAGTTCACAAGAAGGGATGCAAAGCTATTGTGATATTACTTTGTAGATTCTCTACTTTCCATTGCTGGGGATGACCAACGTGTCTTCAATCTTGATTTGGAAGAATTCCTGGCCAGAAACTAGTTTACAGCATTTCCTCTAAACTTTTGATAAGAAAGATTGATTATAATTAAAGATTTATATCAGTTACTCAGTTTCCATTTTTAACAAGTAAACGGAGAATGATAGTTACAATTCACTTGTTGTGAATTATTATTATTTTGCTGGGGGAATGGGGTCTCCCTTTGTTGCCCAAGCTGGTTTTGAACTCCTGAACTCTAGTGATTCTCCTGCCTAGGCCTTCCAAAGACCTGGAATTAAAAGCATGAGCCACCACACACAGCTGTGAACTAATTTTATCTGTTTACATCTGTAAGAGTTCCTTGCAAAAAAATAAAACAGTACCTAGCAGAAAATTAAAAAAGAAAGAGAAAGAAAGAAAGAAAGAAAGAAAGAAAGAAAGAAAGAAAGAAAGAAAGAACAGAAATGTACTCAGCAAAATGTGAATGTGAGGCTCAGCAAATGATGGATCATTTGTAGAATACAGAGGTTTCCAGTGGAGGAAAAGTGGAACAGGTAAGGCAGAAATGTCAGTAGAAACTCTACAGTAATTCACCAGACATATGCTGAGAAGAAGCACTTCATGGGATCGCAAGGAAAGGTGAGGAGCTAGAAACTAAATATTATATGAAAATCATGAGACTTAATTTCAGGTAAAGTAAAAGGACAATATTAATCTTGAAGGTATTCTTTTTTCAATATCAAATGTACAAGTCCTGGTTGTTGCAAATTTTTTTCCTGTGCATGTGGAGTCGAAAAATTCAAATTTTGTAATTATTACACTAACATCTTTATTACGTTTCTCAACCTGTCTTGTTTATTTTTCATGTCATAAAGCAAGTTATGAATATTCATTATAATGTTTTATTATTTAGACATTTGTTACTGAGAATACTAAAAAACATTGAAATCTATTCTAAGACTTGGATTACATTTTTTTCTGTAATCTATTAATTAGATTCCAGTTGGTGATGGCTTTCCCAGATTAAAAATGGTTTTACTGAATTACTTATGCCAGAGAAATACCATAAAAATGTAATTGTGGCCGGGCGCGGTGACTCACGCCTGTAATCCCAGCACTTTGGGAAGCCGTGGCGGGTGGATCACGAAGTCAGGAGATCGAGACCATCCTGGCTAACACGGTGAAACCCTGTCTCTACTAAAAATTCAAAACATTAGCCGGGTGTGGTGGTGGGCGCCTGTAGTCCCAGCTACTAGGGAAGCTGAGGCAGGAGAATGGCGTGAACCTGGGAGGTGGAGCTTGCAGTGAGCCGAGATCGCGCCACTGCACTCAAGCCTGGGCGACAGAGCGAGACTCCGTCTCAAAAAAAAAAAAAAAAGTAATTGTATGTGTGTTAATGAAACATGATACATATTTTCAATTGTCCATGAATAATGCATTTATAAATTTTGGGTTAAACAGCCTCATTGTCTAAAGACAATAAAAACATAGTAATTAAGCAGGTGAGTGAAGATTATGCGTTTGTCTAGATATTTTATATAAAACGGACAAAGAAAGATTCAGTTTTATATAAAAAGAACAAATCACCTTCAACACACATTCCCCAGACTACACAGAATTTCTCAGACAAGAGCAAAATTTATGAACACAAGAAATTAAATTATTCTTTCGTATAATATTGTTGGCAATTGCAGCCTGATTAACTAAACTCAATTATTCCTTCACAATGTATTTTATTCTCTAGCTCCCCAAATAAAATTGTAACGACATGCATGTTTCTAAGCAAAGCTCAGAAAGTAGTGCATATTTTTGACTCTCATTTGAATCTATTATATTTTTCACAGAACGTGCCCCTTTCACCTAAAACGTGTCCTGATTTTCCAAAAGTATATTTGAGAAAATTATGGATTTTCCTTGAAACAAGTGAAATCGTATGCTTCAAAAATCAGATCATCAGTTGATTCCTATAACCAGGACTTACCTTATTTATCTCATTCAATCATTTTTTTGATTTATTAGTTCGATAAATTGGCACACTATGAGAAACAATAGTGATTGTCAAACATCCAATATTATGTAGTAAGTAGCATTTATTGAATTCTTACTATGCCCTAGTTGCAATGCTAATTTTGTGATATTTCCTAATCAATGTAATACTCAAAACAAACTATCAGATATTATTATTGTACTGGTGAGAAAACAGAGGTGCAGAAATCAATAAATCATGTCTTTAAATTGAATTCACGTGTCTACAAGAAAGATAAGAGCAGTCCCTGTTAGCTTGGAGCAGGAGCCCAGTTAGGTCTTGTCGTTATGCTGAATGCAAACAATTTGAGAAAGAATCAACATCAGACAAGGCCATTGTGGGACTGTAGTAAATAAGACAAAAACAAGGCCACTTCATATTCATGTCTAAACACAGACAAAACTTGACAATTGTCTAAGCCACAAAATAGCAAACATTTCTCTACATCGGCTAATATAAGTGTCTGCTGTTTCCTTCCCAAATAAACCTGGAGCTTCAACCTTGTCATCTCTCCTTCTTGGTAAGATTTATTTAAAAATGCAATCATATAACTACTCTCACACTCAGTTTCTCCCACTCTAAGTCCAAAGCAAAGCCCCACTTTGTTAAACAACCCCAAAATCACGTAAAGCAAATGCTCTTAGTTTGCTAACACCCTCTTACAGAGCTGTTTCAGGGTTCCACATGCTGGACATTCTTTCTTACTGCACTGATTAATAAAACAACTATTTCAACTGTAAGTGTGTTCCTGGTTGTCCCTGGCTGGAAGGCACTAAGAATATGATACCAGGAGCCAGGAATCACTTTTCTAATCCGTTCGAGATATTGAAAAAGAGAAAAGAGAGAGAGAAATAAAATAAAATAAAATATGATAGCAAAGCATAAATTATACAAGAAAAAAAGGTGTCTTGAGACTGTTGGAAAGCTGGAGGAATTGTAGGCTATTTGAAAGTGTATATTTGGATTTCTAAAATAGACTTATTATTCATGTAATTGTTTGTCTGCATTCAATTTAAACCTGTACATACATTAAAAGGTTTCAAATTTCAAAATATATGTAATTTTAAACAGAAAAAAAGAATCAGAAAACTAGTTAGCATGCAAAAATACAGTGGATCCATTATCTTAAGTTTCCATAACTGTGTCATTATATCAGCCTTTTAAACAAAAAATACCTTCTCCATATTTTGTTAGATATGGATATGCATGGATGAAAAAATACTCATGTTTGGTATTCTAAGGAATTATAGCTGACCCTGTTTAGTTCTCTGGAATAATTAGAGTTATATCTAGTCTACCATCAAAACTAGTGTCTAGGAAATAAAGAGGCAAATATAATTCACAAGAGTTAAAAATAAAGATCCTACCGGGAAATACTGCAATTTATATTTTCTGGTCATTCATGAGCTTAATGATGTATTATATTTGAGTCTAGTAGAACTGAGTATTAACAGAGTTGAAGTACATGGAAAGAAAAAGAATAGAGATGATATATTAAGCATTATTTAACCCAATGTGAATTATGAGTCTTCAATTTGATAGCATAAGAGGAGGAAGAATTACATTAAATCATACACCTACTATAATAAATAGGAAATGACAAATGTTAGAGAGGATGCAGAGGGATGGGAAACTCTACTGTTGGTAGGAAATTAAAAGGGTGCAGCCACTGTGAAAAAATGGAATGGAAATATCTAAAAAAATGAACAACAGAATTACTCTATGAACCACAAATTTCACTTCTGGGGATATATTTTAAAAAAATGAAATGCAGAGTCTCAAAGAGATAATTGTGCACCCATGTTCATAATAGCATTGTTTACGATAGCCAAAAGATGGAAGGACCCCCAGGTGTCACACAGTCAATGAATGGATAAACAATTATGGTGTGTGTGTGTGTGTGTGTGTGTGTGTATACACACACACACGGTGGAATATTCATCAGCCTTAAAAAGGAAAAGAATTTTGACACAAGTTGGAATATGAGGGAAACTTAAAGACATTGTACTAAATGAAATAAATCAGTCACAAAAAGACAAACACTGAATGATTACACATGTATGAGGTAGCTAGAGTCATCAGAATCATACAGACAGAAAGTAGAAAGTTGGCTGTCAGTGACCGTATGCAGTAGAGAATTGTATGGGGTTGCTGTTTAATAGGTATAGTGTTTCATTTTGCAAGAAGAGCCCTAGAGATTAATGACGGTGATGCTCACACAACAATGTGAATGTACTTAATACTACCAAACTGTACACTTAAAAATGATGAAATGGTAAGTTTTATTTTAGGTGTATTTTACCACAATTAATTTTTTTTAATTTTAATGATCATTTAGAAAATACCTAGTGCTTAATGAGCCAAGCTATATGAAACTATTAAACATAAAAGCAAAAAGTCCTTTAAACCTTTCTTTTCTGAAAGTCATCTTATTATTTTGCAGAATGATCCAGTAATATGTGTATATAAATGTTTTTGCTGTACAGATTACATACACATCTAGTATCAGAGTGCAGACAGTAACATCTCAGTTATATAGAAAACTTGGCTCTCCAATAAAATTTGGGTCACAGAATTTCAGAGTGGCAGAGGCTTGACTCAATTATTTAAATTTCAGTGGCATCTAGGAGCTGCAGATTTCAAGGACATGTATGTTCAGAAAAACATCACTTTTAATAAAACATGAACTCATCATTTCAGGATCAGCTACTCTGACATTTGTCTTGGTAATAAAAACAACTAACTTCTGTAGTGACATTTTCTTAAAGTTGCTATCAACTATGATGGTCCGCTTTCACTATGACACATCCCAATCATATTGGGCATTCCCGTGTTGACCTTGGCATAGTTGGTCCTGAGAACTACTTAGCACTCTCAGGTTACGAGCTAGTCAGTGAGATCACACAGGGTTATGAGAGCCAAACATGATTTATGGCAAGATTCACATACTGTGATGCCTTAACAGGCAGGATAGGTAACTTAAACAAGGGAAGGTGGCTGGCAATGGGGTCATGCAATGTCTTATTTTAACAAGCTGTTATAACGCCACACAGGAACAGTCTTCAATTAAACTAAGAAATATACTTTTTTGTTGTTTTTCTCTCAAAATGCATGGCTCTTTGGGTTCCCTATTACTATTGTAACAGTGACTAACAATAAAGAAGAAATATTTTTCTTTCCTTTTAATGTTACACAACCGCAGCTGTTTTGCAATGATTAATTTAAAATCAGACTTTAAGAAGTAGAACATCTGGCTTCTTATGTAAGATCTTCAGGTTGTTAAATGTTGCTAATAATTATTTTTTTAACCCTGAGTAATTCTGTAAGCCAAATGACAACTTTGTGACCCTTAATCTATGCCCTTTTTACTAAATTGTTGATTTTCAAAATAAAACACATTAAACAACAACAACAAAACACTGTTGAGTCCCATCAGTTCTACAAAACAGTTCTATAATCTATCCATTATTTTGTACACTATTTATTTGTGACAAATGTCTGTAAGTTTTGCTGACCCATTTGTTCATGAAAGTCAAAACCTGGAATTAAAAAAAATCTTAAGTTTTCTTAAAAATATGTAACATTTTCTTTACATTTTTGAAAATAATTCTTTAAAAGTTTAAGTATATAAACAATAGAAAAATAATGTAATGACTATTATGACTAATAGTAAGAGATACTAACTCTGTAGTATCTCTTCCATTTTAAATAACTCTGAAGTAAGGAGAAACTGGGAGAGGCTGACTTGAAAATAAGTGTCTAAAGACTGTCCCCTGACAGTGTAACTTTTAGATAAGCCCATCATGGAGCTGATAATAGCTAAGCAGCCACCTCAAGAGCAGAGGGCTCCCAGGCCAGCAGGACGTGACGTTAACCTGGTTGCAACTATTAACACCTCTAAAAAAAAAGAATGTGTTACTCAGAAGGGGGATTATTCAAATACAAAAGTGCAAAATAGAGAGGACTGCAGCATTAAATATTATATAAGTGCCTTTAACCTCTTTCCAAGAGAGCAGGTGCTCAGATACTGACCATGGACTTATTTTTTTTATTTAGTCGGAATGTTAAAGCTATACCTAATGTAAAGATAAATGCTTTATGTGACAGAATTGGTTGCCTGCTTACCCAATGTGCCCTGGTTGATGTCTGTGATGTGAATTGGTGGGACCCCATCCCCTGCCATTTTATTGGGGCGTGCTGCTAATGCATGAGCTGCTATAACATGAATTTTGTTTTTATTTGGTTTGACCAAGGCCCAGTCGTTCCCCTGTTCATTTGCCTCCACCGGATACCCAGCAGTGATAATCCACTTGTGTTAGTAAATTTTCCCACTGCTGTAAAGACACTGAGACTGGGTCATTTGAAAACAAAGGAGGTTTAATTGATTCACAGTTCCACATGTCTTGGGAGGCCTCAGGAAACTTACAATCATGGCGGAAGGGGAAGCAGGCACCTCCTTCACAAGGCAGGAGGAGAGAAGGAGAACAGGAGAAACTGCCACTTATAAAACCATCAGATCTTGTGGGAACTCACTCACTATCATGAGAATAGCATGGGAGAAACCGCCTCCATGATCGAATCACCTCCCAGCAGGTTTCTCCCCTGACACTTGGGGATTACAATTTTGATTACGATTTGAGATAAGATTTGGGTGGGGACACAGACGCACCATATCACCACCTATCTCCAAACTGGGTCAGTTATCCTATAGATTTCAGCTATAGAACTGTAGGCACTCCCCTCTGTTTGTCCCACCTTGTAAACCTTCTTGTGGGCTTGCCTTCCACCACCAGCTATCGCCACATTTCCCCAAAATGCAGGACAAGTTCTAGATTCTTTATATCGCCCATGTGCTGAGAATGGCTGGGAAGTGCTAACTTCCTCCCTTTCTGCCTTCCCAAATTGTTGCTGAACACCCTGTGAGATCATCATCTCCTTCTGCCCCAAATAGAAACGGAAACAAATGGCCCTTTTCCATCTGCGTTCATCTATTATTTTTTCACACTCTAACAACACTTGGTTTTCTGGCCTTCCCTACATTTGCATATCATTTTCTTCCAAAACTTCCTCAGCCTTGGAGAAGTTGGTATTCCACTATATTTAGAACATAAAAAAATAAAAACACATAAACTAATGAAAAACACTGTGATCTAAGCCACCAAGCTTGACTTTTGATATACAAACTAGGAGCTAATGGGGTCTAAAAAATTATTACATCTCTGAAAAAATCCTCAATTCTAAATCCTAGAAACTACAAGACATGGAATTCTACCTTTTTATTTCTCAGAAAACAGTCCTCACCTACTATCTTCCAATCACTAAGGAGATAATTATGTACATAAAAGTGAAGAGGGGGGACTGCTGGATCATATGGTCATTCTATTTGCAATTTTTTGAGAAATTCATATTTTTTTCATAGTGGTTTCACCCATTCGCATTCCTACCAACAGTGTCCCAGGGTTCTCTTTTTCCACATCTTCCTAATATTTATTATCTTTGTTTTTTTATTAATAGCCATTCTAGCTGGAGTGAGTTGACAGCAGATTAAATGTTTATCAAATGAATGGATTAAAAAACATGGTATATGCATACAATAAAATATTCTTCAGCGTTAAAAAATAAGTAAATCCTGCCATTTGAGATAACACGGATGAACTTGGAGGACATTATGCTGGTGAAATAAGCCAGACACAGACAGACAAAATCTACACAATACCAATTATATGATAAGTCTGAGTCAAAATCATAGAAGCAGAGAGTAAAAGGCAGTAGCCAGGGACTCAGGGAGAAGGAAATGGGGAGGTGCCAGTCAAAGGGTACAAAGTTATAAACAAGATGAATAAGTCCTAGAGTTCTACTGTTTAGCATATTGCTTGTAGTTAACAATACTTTTTATATACTTAAAAATTTGCTAAAAGTGTAGATCCTATGTTGTGTTCTTATTACAAAAATAATAAATAAACAAGAAGGAAATAAGAAACTTTTAGAGGAGATGAGTAAGTGCATGGCATAGATTGTGGAGATGGTTTCACAATTGTGTACATAGCTCCAAATTCATCACGTTGTATACATTTAACTATGTGCAGTTTTTTGTATGCCAATCAAGCCTCGATAAAGCAGTTCTTTTTTTTAAAGTGCAGAAGAAAAAATACATCACATATTTTAAAATGCTACTTTCATTAATAATTTTGAATGCTATGTAATTTATATATATATTCAACTTTACAATAAGTAACACTATAAACAATTTAGCATGCACAATTATCTGTGCAAAGTGATGCACATAACTCAGTTAATCTTCATTATTAGGATCTCAGGATTAGAGATGAAAAGACAATGTTTTAGACAAGTGAATTGTTTTGCCCAAGATCGAAGAGCTACTAAGTGTGAAACTGGTATTTAATGCCAACGAGTTTAGCTCCAGAGCCTGTGCTGTTAAACATTTTTAAATATATATCATTTATATTCACACTGATCCAATATGTACCTGTTAAATCTTTCCCATAGAAAAACACTTTGCTAGATGCATGTGCTACAATACCTCTAAAGTTAATTTAACAGGCCATCAAGGAGCTGTTAAAGAGTAGTGATGAGACATAAATAAATACATTTTACAGGCAGCCTATGAATAGTCCCCAGAGAGCTATAGATATATCACAAAATGCATTTCTTTCTTCTTTTGATTTATGTTTTCTTCCTTCTTTCACTTTAGAATATGCTTTCATATATTTGACCTGTGAAAAATTCACGATTCTTGTCCTCTTTTGTTAACAGCAGAGGAAGAGACAGAATGTGCTGACATCAACATGTCCACACACTTGGAGCTATCAAAATGTTCTGCTTCACTGTGTGGACAATTGACACCATCAGTCCCTCCTCAACACACGTCTCAAGAAAATGAACATTACCCATTTTCTAGTCTTCTTTTCCCTTTGTTGACACCCAAACTGGAGATCAAATGGTCAATACGCTGAGTGAATGAAACCTTTCTCTAGATCAGTCAGCTACAGTTATTAAAAGCACAGTTTCCCTGGGGTCAAATCCTCAACCTGCCTCTTTCCTTTTGTGATTGTGGGGAAGCTGCCTAAACTCTCTATGCTACAGTCTTCGAATCTTTGAACAAGGTTGGTAAAAACGCTCTGTGATTGGTTATAAAGATGAGGAAGATTTACTTATATACAGTAGGCGCAGTGCCTAAAACAGAATGGGTATGTTATTATTATCCTTTTATGACTATAAAAAAATGAACTTCCAATAATGAAATTATTGACAAAACTTACCGTATACCCAGGAAATACACTAGTGTGATTCTATTATAATAATAATGCATTTGCAAAGAAATAAACTGAACATCTATTTATGTTCAAGTAAAGAAACATTTCTTAAAGAAGCAAAGTTCCAATTTTGAATCCAAAATTCTAAATGACATTTTTCCTTTTATATATCATCATCTTAATCAACACTGATCTATCAGTGCAATTTGTTTCTCCATGAAATGTTTCTAACTTATTGACATGATTCTTAATTATTTATTTTTTGGCAACAAAAATTTGAATCAACAGAGAATAAAAAATGTAGGTGATCGCCCCAAAATAAGCTATCAAGTAGATTAAATTTCAATTAACAAATGCCAATGGTAAATGTTTACAGAGGTTTGAATTAAAGTAGAAAGAAAAAAAAAACAGGGGAATTTAACTGCAAGATATTTTATGAGCCTAACTTTCTCTAGTGAAGCAGTTTTTCCGGATTTAATTGTTTATTTATAATGATAAGTCATGCATTTAGTTCCCAGGATGCTAGCTTTAATGAAGCAATATAATAATAAAATATTTCCAAAATTATTCAGGAAGTACACCTAAGTATTGAAACATATCATAGTATTTTTGATATCCTACATAATTTTCAATTAATGATAAAAAGCATAAGTAGAATAAAATATTAAAGGTTAATAATTCAGAAATAATTAATTTTAGTTGAGCAAAATAAATTGTCATATGGCTTTTGCTATGTCCCAAAATTGATTTTTTCCCCCAAGTAGAAATTTGAGCAACCTTGACCTTTTATAAGGGACACATTTTTACAGACATACAACTCCTCCATCTGTTTCCACATTCAATTTTAATTTTTGTCTTTGCAACCATTACATTGCAATGCAAGGAAATAGCAGATATAAATGAGATGTTGCTTTGCTCTGGCCCACTAAATCATGATTCAAGGTAACATTCAGGTGACATTACAAGTTGTCAGAACAGCAATGTGCCATACTGTAGAAAGGGAAAAAATGTGTGAAGGATGTTTATTTCCCCATCCAATATAAGTGACAAGGTTGAAATGAGAATGTTGTGTGTCCCTGAAAATATATCACCATTTAAATAATTCTATTATTAGGCACAGTGGAAGCTCTATCTTGGAGAAGCCTCCCATACTGTGAGTAATTATCACAATCTAGCATGCTAATTGCTTTTCGATCTGCAGGCTGTGCTTTCAATGAGTCTTGTTGAGCATTATTGGGCTGCACCTACACTACCATTTAATGAGAGCAGACTTTATCAAAGGACAGCATCGTCTCTGACTATTGAATCGATACGAAGCCATTATCCTAGGGTTTAAAGTTTGGAAACATTCTGGTCAATAGACTTCTGTTCAAGTACTGTAGATTTCAGGATCATGCCTAGAAAACACCGCATTTCCCAAGTCTATTAATAACCTGCGTCTGAAACACCTGAGAAAGCAACAGACAAGGGTCAGCCAGTGTCTTCTTTCTGTTCAAAGTAGATGTAAACGTAATTATACAGCAAATGAGCTTCAATGTGCAATGAGACATTTTAGATAACTGAGTCAGAATGTTGTTTCATGAAATTATTCACTTATGTGTATATGAATACATATGTACATATGTTTCATAGTGTGCAAACCTTTGGGCTTTGTGTGCTGTACAGTGTGTGAATATAATACTATTGTACAAATGTGGAATTATTTCATATTTTTATAGCAAACTAGCAGATATTGAAACAAAATAAAAGATAACCAAATTTGCTAAGGTGATCTAGTAAGTGACAAAGACAAGGTTCAAATTCATGCCTGTATGGCTTCAGCATACATACCTAATATACACATTTTTTAAATGACTATAGAAATGTATATTTACATTAAAATATCCAACCAATAGGGAATTATATAAAAGAGTGGATCTCCAATATAGCAGACCCAATGGCTCATTTTATAATGAATATTTAAAGTGTTTCCTTTAACATGCCACAATTCAGTTTAGACAGAATAATCTGCCTTGACACTTAATTAGTAAAGGCGATTTAATCCTGCCATTTACATGGAAGACTAAATTAAAAACTACAATACAACACCTATTTTAATATGTAAATCTTCAAGTACAGTAAGACAGGAGCTATGATAAAGTAAACACATGCCACGTAGAATCTGCACTAGCACAGCAGCTTAAATCGAAAGCAAAATTGGATACAGTTTGTAATCTTACCTTGATTTATCAGGTAATGAATTTGTAAAAAAAAAAAAAAATCCAGCGTATATGAAAACTAGATGATTTCAGGAAACAGACCATATTTATATTGTTTAAAAAGCAGATTTATGTATAAATAGATTTTTCAACTACATGAATGTACAAAAAGACATTCTGCTAATTTTGCAGTGCTCAAGAACATTCTTTTATGTTGGGAACTGCTCGGTCTCCAAGGGAGACTAAATGCCGGTAGTAATTCCCATTCATTAGGACAACAAACCTCTTCCATTTCCAAAACATTTTATAAAGTATTGTGCATTATTTCATTTACAATCATAATACATGTTTATATATGTGTATATTTGTACATGTGTACATGTTACAATACAGATGAAGTCATTATATTCAAATTGTTCCATCACAATATTTTCACTAAATATATTTCAAAGAAGTTTCCAATTCTCTAATACTTATAAATCGGTTTCACTATTTTAAACCTCTGGGCAGTGTTGCATGGAATGTATTGCCATAATTATCTAGCCATTCCCCTATTGCTACATACACTATTTTTATCTTTCTAAAAGTCATGGTCTTACCCTCACTTTAAGACTGTTTATTACAGTCCCTGTAATGTACTCTGGTTATTTTCCAATTCATGCAATACCTGACTTTATATTCTAGGCATCTGTAAGTGCACCAATAGTGGCAGTTAGGGACTGAAAACAGTGTCTAATGGTGACGTTCAGACAAAATATTTATTTGTGAAGGTGGCTATTTTAGTGGGAATGTTGTGACAATTCTCCCCGGATCTCTATATGTCTGAAATCGAGTTTTTCTGAGCAAAGATAATTACAGACAAATTAGGAAAGTTTGTATATTGAGACATTCGCTGAGAGTAAAGTTTAGAAATATCTCACTGTTTTGAGCTGTTCTAGAGCAATAAAGATAAACGTATCTCTATCCAATTCCTGGAGAAAATATGCTTACATTCCAGAGTAAAGATATAGTCTCCCTGTCTTTTTTCTCCCTAGAAAGAGGTGTGTGACTGGGCCACCAGCAGCCCTACATAAGGGCGAAGCTTCTTAATTGCATTGCGCCCCTCTGCATATTTGGATACTACATGAGCCTCACCACATCACCTTGTGGAGACTGAAACTCAGGGAACAGAATGGGCTCTGGCTGCTGCTTTTACTGAGGATAATAAACTGTATTTTTTTCTTGTAAAATTGCTTAAGTTCCTAGTAGATTCTGGACATTAGCCCTTTGTCAGATGGATAGATTGCAAAAATTTTCTCCCATTCTGTAGGTTGCCTGGTTTTTCTGGTTTTTTTTTTGTTTTTTTTGTTTTTTTTCTGTGCAGAAGCTCTTTAGTTTAATTAGATCCCATTTGTCAATTTTGGCTTTTGTTGCCATTACTTTTGGTGTTTTAGTCATTAAGTATTTGCCCATGCCTATGTCCTGAATAGTACTGCCTAGGTTTTCTTCTAGGGTTTTTACAGTTTTAGGTCTTACGTTTAAGTCTTTTTTTTTTTTTTTTTTTTTTGTGACAGAGTCTCACTCTGTCGCCCAGGCTGGAGTACAGTGGTGCAATCTCGGCTCACTGCAAGCTCCGCCTCCCGGGTTCACGCCATTCTCCTGCCTCAGCCTCCTGAGTAGCTGGGACTACAGGCGCCTGCCACTACGCCCGGCTAATTTTTTGTGTTTTTTTTTTTGTAGAGACCGGGTTTCACCGTGTTGGCCAGGATGGTCTCGATCTCCTGATCTCATGATCCACCCACCTCAGCCTCCCAACGTGCTGGGATTACAGGCATGAGCCACCATGCCCGGCCACATTTAAGTCTTTAAACCATCTTGGGTTAATTTTTCTATAAGGTATAAGAAGGAGTCCAGTTTCAGTTTTGTGCATATTGTTATCCAGTTTTCCCAATACTATTTATTAAATAGGGAATCCTTTTCCCATTGCTTGTTATTGACAGGCTTGCCAAAGACCAGAAGATTGTAGATGTGTGGTGTTATTTCCTAGGCCTCTGTTTTGTTCCATTGGTCTATATATCTGTTTTGGTACCAGTACCATGCTGTTTTGGTTACTGTAGACTTGTAGTATAGTTTGAAGTCAGGTAGCTTGATGTCTCCAGTTTTAACCCCATCAAAAAGTAGGCAAAGGATATGAGCAGACACATCTCCAAAGAAGACATTTATGTGGCAAACAAACATATGAAAAAAAGCTCATCATCACTGGTCGTTAGAGAAATGCAAATCAAAACCACAATGAGATACCATCTCATGCCAGTTAGAATGGCTATCCTTAAAAATTCAGGAAACAACAGATGCTGGAGAGGATGTGGAAAAACAGGAACACTTTTACACTGTTGGTGGGAGTGTAAATTTGTTCAATCATTGTGGAAGATAGTGTGGCAATTCCTCAAGGATCTAGAACTAGAACTACCATTTGACCCAGCAATCCCATTACTGGGTACATACCCAAAGGATTATAAATCATTCTACTATAAAGATACATGCACATGTATGTTTATTGCAGCACTGTTCACAGTAGCAAAGACTTGGAACCAACCTAAATGTCCATCAATGATAGACTGAATAAAGAAAATGTGGCACATATACACCATGGAATACTATGCAGCCATAAAAAAGATTGAGTTCATATCCTTTGCAGGGACATGGATGAAGCTGGAAACCATCATTCTCAGCAAACTAACACAGGAACAGAAAATCAAACACTGCATGTTCCCACTAATAAGTGGGAGTTGAAGAATGAGAACACATGGGCACAGGGAGGGGAACATCACACACCAGGGCCTGTCAGGGGTTAGGGGGCTAAGGGAGGGATAGCATTAGGAGAAATACCTAATATAGATGACAGGTTGATGGGTGCAGCAAACCACCATGGCCCATGTATACGTCTGTAACAAACCTGCACATTCTGCAAATGTATCCCAGAACTCAGAGTATAATAAAAAAATTAAAAATAAAAATAAATAAACTGGCTTTTTCTCTGACCCAGAAGTTTTGTGTGTTGTGTAAGAGTGTGTGCTCTGTGTAGGCACACATACACAGAGCATACACAGTATCAGCACACGCACCTACTCTCTGTTGTCTTGTAGGTAGAATAAAATACCAGATTCTTCAATGTTTCTGACCTAACAGAGGATAAGTTGGGTTATGTTGCAATAACACCACAACAGCAAAATCAAAAACTTGGTGGCTTGTGATAAAATGTGATACAGCATTTGTAAGAAATAAGCCATTGGTGGCATAAGCCAGTAATGTGTGTCTGTATTTGTGTTGGAGTAACGTAATCTAGCCCCTTTGGTGAGGGAAGCAAACAAATAAATGCAGAATTTTGCTTTTAACATGAAAAATATAGATTTTCCTGTGCCCTTGGGTGCATCAAAAAATTAGCCATGCTTCAGTTTTTGCATTTGTAAAACAAGAAAAACTCACCATATAGCCTTTAACACCCCATAGCCAATAAATATTCGAAGGTTTTATGAAGATATTTTAATGCAATAAAATATTTCTTTCAAAATTAAGTATGCACTGGCTACTCTGAAACAGCTGGGTGTCTACTTCATGTTGTTTGCTACAAGGGCAGGAGATAAACAGTAAATTAAAATATGCACTGGCCCTTATAGATTCTGTCCATCATTTTGTTGGTCAGTTTTAGTCATTTCACTCTGCCTATCTTCAAGGGGAAAGTAACTGCCAGCTTATCTTATGCCTGGAAGTAGGAGAACGAACATTATGAAACCACATACTATATCTCCAAGCTGCGATTTTGCTACAATTCCATGAAGTAAGATTATGTAACTCAAAAAAAAATCATCTTGGCATTTAGATACAATAAATTCATAAATGAAAAAGTTCATGGACAAAGTTTCGGATTAACACCTGTTTACTGTTAAGCTAAAGAGGAGCCGAATATTTTATGTCAAAAAGAAAATGACTTCATCTAAGATTGTATGCTCACTCAACCAGCCTGGGCTCTTTTAAAAAAACACTTAAGAGAAATGTAATTTAATTGTATAAGATATCTGAGAAGTATAAGCAAGCAATGGCTAAGCATTTCAGTAAGAACGCTTTTGTCTTTTTTTTTTTTTTTTTTTTTTTTTTTGAGACAGTCTCTGTCACCCAGGCTGAAGTACACTGGCACCATCATGGCTCAATCAGCCTTGACCTCTCCAGGCTCAAATGATCTTCACACCTCAGCCTCCTGAGGTAGCTGGGAATACAAGTACTACATGCACATGACACCATTTCTGTCTAATTTATATATTTCTTTAGAGATGGGTGTTTTCTCATTTTGCCCAAGTTGGTTTCAAACTGCTGAGCTCAAGCGATCTCTCTGCCTTGGACTCCCAAAGTGCTGGGATTACAGGCATGAGCCACTGCATCTGGCCCTTTTATTTTTTTATTACTGAAAAAGTAATTGGCCCTCTAGATTCCTGTAATATGAAACCAATTAAATTATCCGCATATATTTGCAGGGTAGTTTACTCTTTGCCCATCCGGCCTTATCTCACTGAAAGCAAAGCTTTATGAGTAAACTCCTAAAAATTTAAGCAAATTATGATGATAACTGTTGCCTTAAAGCTAAATAGTTTGTGTTAAATATGGTGCTCAATAAGCAAGAGTTACTTTAATAAATCTCTAGATTTGCTTCATTAAGATAATCAAGTAGCAGATGGGTTAGGCCTTCTCTTGTTTTTCATCCTTTTGCCCTTTCCAGAATCTTACCTACATAATGTCCCAATTCCTGAGCAATTCTGAACTAAGAAACTCATCCACATTCTTGAATTCATTTTTCACAAGCTAACTTGGTCTTTTTCATCTCTATGTCATATTAATGTAATGTAGTTGTGTTAATGTAGCCACAAATGTATTGTTTATTAAATTCTCTCCAAATATTTGTGAGCAATCAGAATGATATTATAAACATCCTTTAATGTTTTAGTATATCATTAACCTCAAGCTTATAATAGTATCTATATTTTATTTTCTATATATTTTTATATTTGTAAGTGAAATTGTGTGAGTAAAATACTTAATAAAATGTGTCAACATATATAATTGGACCAATGTGAAAATTAAAATGGTTCTCTGACATTTGGCATTAAAGCTTATGTTTAAATTTTGTCTCCCTCTGTTGGAAAAATCATATTGCTCTACAACTGGGTGCTTTTTTGCTTTTTTTGTTTGTTTGTTTGTTTATGAAACTGGGTCTCACTGTGTTGCCAAGGCGGGTCTGGAACTCCCGGGCTCAAGCAATCCTCCCGTCTTGGCCTCCTACAGTGCTGAGATGACTTGCGTGAGCCACCTGTGTTCTGCCCTATAACTGAGTCTTTACCTTTTCTTCATATACTAAATGTAGCACACCTAGGCATTATTTACATGGGGAGAATTGTCTCAGAGTTATACGCCAATCAAAGATTAACAGATTGTTTTTATGCCTGTATTTTTTTTTGATAACCTCCTTGTTCATTCTGGAACACTTTTATAGGTTTGATCTCCTGAGACACAAACTCTGAGACAGAGACAGATTAATTTCCAAGGAGTTTATTAGGAAATGCTCTTGGGATCAACACTTGCTGGGCAGAGATGGAAGTGGAAGTGAAGAGAGAGAAGCTGGGCTGTGAAGCAGTTTCAAGAAAATCTCTCCTGATTCTGTGGGATGGTATGAAGCTGGTATCGCTCTAACAGGGTTGAATTTGCAAACTCATTAACAGAAATAAAATGTTGGCAATCTAGATGCAAATGTTAAATAATCAAATCTACTTCTGTGATTTCAATTTTCTTTTCTAGGACCTTGTTATGATCAAAATGTTTGTGTCCTCCCAAATGTATATGCTGACATTCTGATTCCCAAGGTATCAGGTATGGGGTCATATAGTATCAGGATGTGAGGCCTTTGAGAAGTGATTAGGTCATGGGGGCATAAATGGTATGAATGGAATTGGTGCTCTTATAAAAGAAGTCCCAGAGAGCTACCCTGCCCCTTGCATCATGGGTTGTGAAGACACAGCTAGATGCAACCATTAGTCTACAAGGAAAAAGCCCCTCAGCAGACACTGAATCTGCTGATGACTTGATCTTTGATTTCTCAGCCTCCAAAACCGTGAGAAAGAAATTTGTTTATAAGTTACCCAGTGTATGGTATTTTTCTATAGCGTTCTGCACAGACTAAAACAGACTTACATAAAATAATATGATGAAAGCAGTTAACTGCTTAGCTAAGTGTCAAGCCATTACAGATTCTCAAAAAATACTAGCATGCATTATTTTTCAGAAGTGATATTATGGCTGGGAACTTCTGTTGAATAATTATTATTAATTTTCTGTATTATCATGCCATCACTTCTATATTATAAATAATGTCAACTGTATCTTTTATGAAAATTGAAGGACTTCACATTCATTGTATAAAAGACATAGTTCCAGACAAAGGAGTCAGTTATGACGGAGCTGCATATGTCTGGGGTTACCCTTGCATAGAACATAGTTGTTAATCATAATCATAGCTCTATTTCCTTATGTGGTAGCATTAAAAATGGATGTTCACTTAAATTAGGTTGCTCATCACTGAAAATCGTTTCATGCTACAACACTGAAATGGGAAAACAAAAAATGACTGTACTTGTAAAAATTGCTTATGACACACCAGGTACTGCAATTAAAGGAAGTAGAAATTGCCAAATCTGTATGGACGATCATAAAAATTATGTTAGTTACCTCTTAAAAATACTCCTCCCTTCATTCTGTCTTAATTAAATTCTGAAATTCTTCTTAGATACCAGAAAGAACTTCTAGATCTCTACTGGTTTTCTCATACACTTTATATCTCTTTATGCTACCATAAAACTTAAAAAATCCTTATGTTCAGTCTTTGGGCTCACTGTTTTTCTCCTAAGTTGCAACTGTTTTGTTATTCAGCCTATCTACCAGTTTTCCTAATGGCAATGATAAAATTTTTACATTTTTAATACCAAGATCTCTAGAAGATTTTTCATAGAGCAGATACTCACCCCCAAAAGCCTTTGTTTTAACAATAAAACAATTAACTTATTCGTTTACAATATTATGATTGCTCTTCTATTTTTTGTTTATTTAGGCCAAGCATGTTTGTATCCCCCAAAATTTATCTGTTGAAACCTTATCGCCAGTGATGATATTTGGAGGTGGGGTCTTTGGTAGGTAGTTAGGTTATAAGCGTGGAGCCCTAATTAATGCAATTAGTGCCCTTATAAAAGAGACTTCAGGGAGCCCCTTCTTTCCTTCTGCCACGTAATGACACATTGAAAAGACAGCCATCTGCGAAGCAGGTTGTGGACCCTCAATAGACACCAAATCTGCTAATGCCTTGATCTTGGATTTTCCAGCCTCCAGAACTGTGTAATAAACTTGTTTATAAAGCACCCAATTTATGGTATTTTATTATTACAACCTGAATAGACTAAGACAAGCTCCATTTCCTCTATTTAGTGGTGGTTAATTTTCTGTTCATTTATGTATTTCTTAAATGTAAGAATACCAGATCCTTGGTATTTGTAGGGGAAGGGCAGAAAATAAGCATTGTGCTGGATGCGTGTATTGAAGGTGTTAGGCTCTCCTGTCCCAAAGGGGTTGATAGGTTTTAGGAGAGCTGCACCACTGCGCAGCCTGGAAATGACCTACCCCGCTTTGATAGATGAGCACATTGAGCGTTACAAGCAGTGTTACAAGAGCTGACATGCTGACCTGTTGCAGACCCATGGTTAAATACCCTGAGTCTGTAGAGCGGCCCCACCTACTTTGTATAACCTTTGTCATCAGCTTCGAGCTCTTCTAGATAAATGTGACCTACACAACATTCTTCGCCTCTTTATGTGGGAATGTGCTTTCCTTTATTTTTCATTGTTTTGTTTATTTTGTTTCCTCTTTGCCTGGACCACCACCACTACTAGTTCTTCTTCTTCCTCTCCTTCTTTCTCTTCTTTCATTTTGTTTGTTTTTTACTATTTATAACCTCTTCAAACTCTCAAAAAAACTAATGTTGTCTTTATTTTTAATTAAATAATGAATTTTGAGTTTTAAAATGTTTGCTATTTCATGACATTTGTATGAAAGTGTTATATCCTCTATCGTTACATGGCAACTTAGTCTTCATTTCTGGTATTTAACTGCAACACCAGATGCTAGTGTATAAACTGACTTAAAACCTTCTCTTTTCTTTAAGATCACAGTAAGCCTTATAATATTTTCTAGCATGATGTCTCGTTTTATAAGCATAGTATTATTTATTAATTTAAATTAATAGTATAATGTAAATGAATAACACTAGTTTAACTGGCAAATATTTAAATAGGATTCTATTTTGTAATTATTTTTTATATGTCAATGAAATTTGCATGATGAGATCATCATTCAATATTTAGTGACAATTCATCTCTCAGACCAAAATCATTGTGCTTTAAAAAAAAAGTTTATTCAATTGTTAACGTTGACTACAAGATGATTAAAAAAGATGAGGCACATAGGTGATCGATAGCCTAATAATCTAAGACAAATAGATATTGAGCTCCTTAAAGACAGGAACAAATTATTTATAGTCCCATGGAAACTGAATTTTTCTGTAAATCATAATCGTTACTCAATAATTGCTTTGATTTCTAAGACACTATATTTGCATCTGTCTTATAGATATATTATTGTTCAAATTATTCAACAGAAAATCGAGAAACAAAACTAATCTATCTATTTGAGAAGAATATTTGATGTAATGAGAGCAATTTTCCAAATAGTTGCATTGGGGAAAAGAAAAATTAAATAATATACTCATGGCATCATGGAAGACATGGGAAAAAATGGATGCTACTCAAATTTTACATTTATAAGTGTATTCATCTGCTTCTTTAAACACAGTCTTTGACATTTAATTTATAACATATTTAACATTTTATAAAGGATTTGTTCCAATATATTTAACCTCTCTTTAGCTGAAAATTAATCTCCAAATTATACTTATTAAACACTTTATCCCATATCCTGTGATTTTCAGAATCTTCAGCTTATGAAACCATATAATTTAAAAAGTAATCTTATTAAATGTGTGAATTGCATTAGTTCTCATTGATCTGAAGGGCTGTATTTTTGTGAAATTAACTACTTTGTTCTGTTATGATGACTACTGGGTTTTTCAATGAAGTTTGTATATTTCAGGTATGAAAGCAGGATTCCAGCAAGTAACTTATTAGATTTATCAGTTTACTCTTGCTTCCAGAGTATTTCCCCAGAGGTATGGCAGCAGTAACTCTATTAAAGACACCAGGTCCCATTTACTTTCATGTCACACTTTTCTCTCTTGATTTTCTCAGAACTAGACTTGTTGGTTTTCACTGAGCCTCAGACATAAATAAAAACAATATACCTATTCACCAATCTTGCTGTTAAATTTTATTTTAGAGAAAAACGATGTAGACTATGATATGTTCAAATTTAGCAATTCTTATTTGTAAATTATCTCTGATATACTGGCATTATTAACTTGATTTCTGTCCTATAACAAGTTTTAATACATAGTTACATAAGCATTTATTTTTAAGGGATATAATTTCAGACATTAGCTGACTGCATTTAGTTTTTACCTTTTTGCACTATTTTTTCTTCCAATTATTTTGGAAATTGCTACTGCAGCCAACAATAGCTACAATATATGTTTTGAAATAATATTTTTACTATTTCAACCACCAAAAGTATCTCATTTATTATCTAGGTGTAGCAGCCCTCATTGCTTCTAGCTTGCTTACAAATCCAACCACTAAAACCTATTCTTTGTTTTTTTTAAAAAATTACTATAATTAGAGTCTTGCTTCCTTATTATACTTAGCTATAGATTTTTTCATCTATATTTTTTCTGTTTAATTATTCTTCTCTCACTTCTAAAATATGCTTTGTAAAAACATCACCAGTGACGTCCTTATTACTAAATTCAGTGAACAAATTTAGTCATTCTCTGCCTTGACCTTTATGAAATATTTACCACTGTTAATCAAGGAGGTAGCAATCTACCAACCAGTGATAGAGGCAGGAGGCAAAGGCCTAGGCAGATAGGGGCGGTTCCTGGTGAAATCCAACCTTCAAGCTGGAAACAGTCCTGGGTAAAACCTCGAACAAGATTGAGAACCTGTCTTCCCATTTGGCACACTTTCCTCTGATTGATCCCCATCCTTTACCTAGTTTATATATACCTACCCTAGCCTAATTGGTTTTCTACACTATCTTCTACACCTTAGAGTGGTGTCTTCACTTTAAACTTTTTTGCATACTCACAAACCAATCATCACACACTCTGTATTCTGAGCCCATGAAACACGGCGGGGTTAGCCATATTGGGAACTCTCCGACCTTCGGGTAGGGATACCACACCCATGTCTCCTTTCTGCTAACAGCTGCTTCATCACTCAATAAAACTTCCTACCTGGCTCACTCTTCAAGTGTCCATGTGCCTACTTCTTCCTGGTCATAAGAAAACAGCCCAGACCTAGCTGAGCTAAGGAGCAATCCTGCATCACCAGGATGCCCAGAAAACACCCTTGTAGAAGACTGTGGTTTGAGAGGGTCCACTAAGGCCCTTAAATATAATTGAAGGTTCAAACTCTTCTATTTTCCATCTTTGCTTAGCATCAATTTTGCTGCAATAGAATGGGGTCACCCAACAATAAACTCTATCTTTTAACATGCTAGTTCATGTTATAGGAGCTTCTCTAAACGTTGTGAATTCTGTCTGCTAGCAAAAACAACATAAGAGTGATTTCTGATTTCAAAAAATGGCCAAATCTGTTATTGGCAAAGTTTCTGGTAATACAGCTGTGAGCTCCAGGCTTCATGTGAATTATTTAGCACCTGGGATCCTTTTGTGTTTTGTGAAAGATAAACTGAATAGAATGTCTTTGTACCCATGTGGAGAGTAGCAAAACACTAAGGAAAATAATTAAAATAGAGCAAGTCCTATGAATGTTTTTTGGAAGACAATACGAAGAGTAATATAAATGTTAATTTTCTACTTGCATTTGGGATTTCCATTTTCCACTTTTTTTTTCAAATACTTATTTTCTGTAATTTTTACAAGATGATTCAACAGGCTACATAGACCGTGTATTAATACATATTAGATATTGTATCTTATGATATAGAGATAGTACAGTATACATTTCTTTTTTATTTTTCTTTCTGGAACTTTATAAGGTAGGTTGGTCAAAAAATACAAAGTATTGTGCTTACAGATGGTTCCAGAGCAAATTCAGTAGTTTATCATAACACTCATTGATTAAATATGCATAATATTCTATTCCCCAGAATTATCTTTAACTGACATGGAGTAAAAACTATTTAGAGTTTTTGTGAGTTTTCCTTCATGTCAAAACTTAGTAAATTAAAAGGGATTCAGAGAAGTTCTTCAGAAATGAGTAGTCAATAGAAAATGGGTCGTTTTTGTATTTGTTTTTATTAGTAAAAATTAATAGAGTACATGTGAAATTTTGTCACATGTATATAATGCACATGTGTATAATGCACACTGATCAAGTCAAGGTATTTAGAGTGTTCATAAATTTAATGTTTGATAGTAGAATAGGGTGACTATAGTTAACAAATTGTATTGTACCTGCATATAATGCATTTTTGTGAACTATAGTCACTCTACTCTACTATCAAACATTAAATTTATTATTTCTATCTGACTGTGTATTTGTACCCTTTAACCAACTTCTCTTCATCTCCTCTTCTCGAAAATTCCTAATGTAAGATAAATCTCTTACATTAGGATCTCTTACATTATTAATCAAGGATAGTCTAAGATAAAAAATGAAAGAAAGGTAATTTAAAGGTTATATCAAAGAGTCATATGGTGAGATTGAATTGAGAGGGAATAAAGAAAAAGGGAGATTCATGTTAAGATATTTGTTGAATGTATATATGTATTGTGGATGGTTTTCTATTACATGTAAATTCTTCCAAGAATCCTCATGGTCTATCTTACACAAATTTTTATCAATACTATTTTTCCTCATTTACTTCCCATTATCTGAAACTATATTATTTATTCATCAATATCTCCCCATTCTAAAGCACACTCCAAGACATTAAGAACTTTGACTCTTCTATTTTTGTGTCTCCAGCACCCATAGCAATTTGTGGTACATAGAACATAATCGATACTTCTTGAATGACTGAATAAACTGAAGTATTCACAGACTTGGATAGAACTTGCAAGTTCTCAGTGGTCTTGGGAGTTGCAGAATAATTCAAGTTACCTCTTGGCTTTTAAGATATATACGAATAAACACAGAGAACAAAGAAAATTAGCTTTTCAAAGCGAAAATGGAAGGTTAATTGTGCCTGTCCAAGAAGATCAAGAGAATACCACAGAGAACAACTTTCCTAAAAGGGTCCTTTGCCATAAAAACCAGGAATAATTTCAAAACAACCTGAGTGGATACATCTCAAGCACAGAAGAAAAAGAGCCACAAAGTCCAGCTTAAAGGGATGTCAATTGCTGACCCAATGACCCTAAAGTTTTAGCATTTCTTAAGTATTCTCTGGCTTCTACACAACTTTGTTTATGCATGTTCTGAATATTCATACCTTAGTTTATAGATGTCAAAGTTGACCGTACGCTTGGCTAAATTGTAGAGTAAGAGGGGTTAGTGGGAAGGCTGAGAAAACAAGGCTACAGATGCAAGAAATTTCCAAATGCTAAGCATTTTAATAGTTGTCTCAGTCCATTCAGGTTGCCATAACACAATGCTTTAGACTGAGTGGCTTGCAAACAACAGAAAATGACTTGTCATAGTTCTAGAGGCTGGGAAGATAGCTGATGCTACAAAAGGATATCACTAATTTGGAGTTGCTAAGAGACATGCACCTTTTTTTCCAGATGATGCACACATGCCCTCCACATCACTGAATTCAATGATCTTATATTATATGTGAAATGCTTTATAAGAAGACAGATTATGATTAAAGAAATATATTGTAAATTCTAGAGCAACCACAGCACAACTATAATAACCGCCATAATTACAATAATAATAAATAATAATTACAATAATAACAAATTACAATTGCTGACACACCAATAGTGGAAATAAAATGGAGTCCAAACCATGGCAGGAAGGCTTAATTAATCTAAACAGAGGCAGGGAAGAAACAAAAGATAGATGGGAAAAATTAAAATAGCTAAATAAGTAGAGATAGGAACAAGCAAGTTAGACGTGATTATCAAAAATCTAGTGGGTACATATAAACCTGGGTTAATGGAGGAATATGATATATTTCCTCCAAAAGGAAAGCTGTGAAGTTTATGAACAAATACCACTCTTTGTTATCAGCTTATTTCAGAATTTTAGCTACTGTCTTTGGATGCAAATCTTGAAAACAAAAAGGGATGATGAAGGATGATAGAAAGGTAAGAAGGACTCTGATATTCAGTAAATTTCTGAGTTTTATCTCCAACACAAAACAATAAAAAACCCATTGAAAGAATGAAGTATGAACAAGTAAATTAACAAATTTTAGCCAAATTCACACTGCAAAGATTTTTATCTTTCTGTTTGGAAAATTAACTTGGCAATGTGTGAGTCAATCTCATCTCCCAAAAATGTTTTCAATAGTCCATGAAGTTTTGATCATCTGGTTTAAAATTCTGAATATAAACTATGTAAAACCCACATTTTAGTAGGCACAAAAAAAAAACCGAAACATTTTGCAAATATCTGGTGTTCATATTCACTTGATGTTTTACTTGTTTGAACATTCACCATCCTCTTCGTCTTCATCATCATCATTGTATCTGACATTTATATAGTGCTAACAATGTGTCAGGTATATATAGAAACTGCATTTTTTCAAGTTGACTATACCAGTGAGAAGAAATTGTGCATTTTTAACATTAAATTTTTCTCATGAGAATTTCAATAGTTAGATACTATTATTATACATACATTACAAATGAAGAGATTGAGGAACAGCAAGGTTAAGAAAATTATTGAATAAATGATGGAGCTTGACCTGAATCCAATCAATCTGGCTCCAAGGACTATGCTTCAACTACTCTCCTATGCTCTGTATACATAGATCACACTGTATGGACTAATCTCTAATCTATAATTTGTCATTTATTTGATTTTAGAAAGTCCTACTTCTCTCTGACCTGTTGCTAACTTCCCCAAAATAGCTCCTGGATGTATTCAAATATTTGCCATTATGCGTATCTTTAAACAAGCCCATTATGCATCAAGAGGTCTGCTCATTTATTAGCTTCACACTTTGATGATATCAAAAGTCAACGCCTCCAGAAGCATCCAGCTGCACCCTGCTATTAATTTACTGAAAAAGGACAAAGGCACTTTGCAAGACAAATAAATTTTAAGGTTATATGTATCATAATCAACAATGCTTCTGAATCTAAGGATTTCCCCTGGAGAGTTATTTACATATATCTTGGCCCTGGTGCCAATGCAATGATAAGCAGTTTGGAAATTTAAGAAAGGAAATGGAAAATTACTAGTTGTTGGTGAGGGTTAAAATAAATTTGAGATTTTAATTTGAAGAGTTTCATATATATCTTACAAATTTATGGTGTAAGCAGTTAAGGAACAACATATATTCAATGGTGTAAATATAATACAATGTTTTTAACACAGAAACCATGAATAACTTATTTCTAACATTTTTTATTAAAGCAGATAGGAGAGAGAAGTTTCATTTCATAGATCATTTCCCTGTATTTTACTGAACTTAAAATTGAATTACAGCAGTTCACTTTGTTCCAGACTCACCTTGAACACCATTCAAAGCTTTGCAAGTTAAGCAAGTTAAGTGTGAGGACATGTTCATATGATTTGGGGAACAGCCAGTCATTCACACTGTTCACTGTCATTCAACTTGGTTAGTTCACAATAATTTTCATCGTTGACACTAAGGAATGATAGACAGAACTAAAGGCTGGGCCTGCGGAGGAAACAGGCTTTTATGTCACCAGGTTCTAAAGTGGATTCTCAGAAATGCGCTGAGTTATTTGTTTGTATCACCACTGTTACTTTTGTCTGAGAAGGAGGTAGGTACAAAGCCAGAGTCTTCAGAATAATCAGGCACGAAGTGGGGAGGATACAAAACTCTCACAATCAGAGGAGGAGAGCTTTTCCTCTCTAGTGGATCCTCACTGAGGGTGGCTGAGTCTATCCACATCTGACAGTTCCAACAGTTCCAATAAGGAACTAGGGAAATCTGAGGAGTATGTGTTTCACTATTACTTGGTTTATGTAATATTCTCACTAAATTTGCATAACATTTTCTACTAAAGATAACGTGTCTGCTGGTTTTGTTTGTATTGCTTCATTGTCCCACTGTAAAAATACGCATTGTGAAAAACATTTAATTGTTACTGTAAGACAGCATACATGCTATGTTCTGTTATCGGAAATCAGAATTCAGTATGTGTTAGTTCTTTTCTATATGTGGCAAATGTACATGTTAACTGGAACTGTGTTAGACAGAATATTTACTCCAGAAAATTAAGAAATCCTGTCCATGTTTTCCAGATATGAATATTGGTGGCAGAAAGAAACCTGTAAATTAAATGGCACCGAGAGACTTTAAAGTTTAATGCTCTAAAATTAAGATTGGATGCATGTGACTTGTTAAGTATTTGTATGAAATTACTGTTTTGAAATGAAAGTAAATTAGACTGTTATTAACATTTAAAAATAACAGATGGATCATCATTTTTTAAACGGCATGTTAAATTATAAAACTATACTTTAATGTTCTTTAATGCTCATCAACATATTTACTTAGTTAATGTGAAATATATATCACTAAAGACGTTTTAACTATTCTGAGATGACGGAATGACTTTATAAGTTAAAAGAGAAAATATAGCTACATTTAATTGCTTATTTAATTGTTGCTAAATTTAAAAAATCATACCATATGAAAAACAGTGTGAAAATGTCAACTTAAAGGCAAAAGCTGAGGCAAAATTAATATAGAGACTTTATTTGGGCCAAGATTAAGGACAACAACCTGGGACACTTTCAGCAGCCTGGAGTCCAGGTTGCCTTGAGCAGGGCTCTGGAGTACAAAGGAGAGGCTCAAGTTTGTAAAGAACAAAGAATGAATCAGGAGAGGGGGTGATTACAAAATTGCTAATCAGGAATTCTCACTGGTTTACAGAAGTAATATTGATTAGTGATTGTCTATACATTGCTGAACCATAGGCGTACGGCATTTTATGGCTACTTAGCATTAGTCTAGATCCCACATAGGAAGAGGCTTCAAGAGGTAATTGTTTATCTCAAGGGGGAGTGAGATATGACTGCTTTCACATTCGTAACACCTCTCTGATAATTTAAAGAGGTTTTCATTCCTCAGATAAAGGTTTGGGTCTTTTTTTTTCCTTTTTCGATATGATAACTAAAAGCACAGAAATTGAGATTGGACTCTTGTCACAAGCTAGTGGCTGTCTTAGCCCCTTTGTGCCAGTGTAACAAAGTACAACAGGATGGGTAATTTATAAACAACAGAAATTTGTTTCTCACAGTTCTGGAGGCTGGGAAGTCCAATGTCCAACCACCGACAGGTTCAGTGTCTGGTGAGGGCCCTGTCTCTCTGCTTCCAAGATAGCATTTTGTTCATGTGTCCTCCAGAGGGGACAAACAAACATTGTATCTTCATGTGGTAGAAGAGACAGAAAAGGCAAAAGGCCAAATGCTCTATGAAGCCTTTATCATGAAGGACTTAACTCATTCAAAGGAGAGAAGTTCTAACGACCCAATCACCTCTTAAAGTTCCTCTCTTGAAACTATTGCATTGGAGATTAAGTTTAAATACATGAAATTTTGGGGACACATTCAGACTACAGCAGTGAATTTGTTAACTTTAGCAAATGGCTTAAAATACTTGCGGTTCAATTTTTGCATCAACAAAATGGGCTTATTAACATATATTAAAACAGTGTTAATAAAGATTGAGTCATTATATGGAAGATAATTAACACAGTACCTAAAATATATTGTGTAATAACATAATTTATTAATATCATTATTATTATAAAAATATCAAACATATTTACATACTGTTTTATGTTAAAGTAATTATTCTTAATGTTAATCTATTATGTTACTATTAGCTCTATTTTCTTTACATAATTTCCTGAAATTCAATGGTATATGAAGAGTTTTAAAAATTACCTAAATACAAGAATGAAAGTTTCAGAAACATCATAAAAATAACAGGCAATACATAATTTTTCTAATTATGTGAAAGCACAGTTATACAAGCACACTGAGTTACAAAAAATTTTAAAGTATTGCATTTTATTATTCTAAAAATAAACTAACCCAAATAGTATTCATTTTGAGCCTAACAAGTCCATTCTTTCCAGTAATCATTCATATTTATTATTTCCCAACACTTTAAAAGATATAGGCTTATGGCTGGTGCTGCATATTTGTTTCCCAAAGCCATAAAACTTAGATGAGGTCACTTTCAATTTTCATAAAATATGCCATCTAGACATTGGTTTGTATAAATATTATATTTTCCCAGAAGTTTGACAATTCTCTTTTTTAAAAAAATCAAAATAGCTTTCTTTTTGTAATAAATATAATTTCCATTATTTTAGAAACTGAAACAATAGAAAATTAAAATAAAATTATAATTAGTCAATATATCAACCCACCACCCAGAATGCTTGCTGTCATCTTGGTGGAAGTATTTTCTTTGGTCCTTTTTAGGTGAAGGGGGAAGATTCTGGAGTCAGATTGCTTGGGTTAAAAACCTGGGTCCTCCATTTATTAATGTGTGAATTTGGACAAGTTATCTATAAGCCTTAGTCTCATCATCTGTAAAATGGGCATAATCTTTTCAGAAGCCTCATAAGGTTGATGTGAGAACAAGCAAAATAATTTACATAAAAGTGCTTGGCGCATTTCTTGGCATGGAATTAATGCTCAATAAATGTTTTCTATTATTTTTTATTACTATTGTCAACAACCTCAATAGAATTAGACTTTTCTTTCTCTGCTTTATATCATATTGCAGGCATAGTTCCCTAATAGTGACACTTTTTCAAATTTATATTAATTGATGCATACAATTTCCTTCTAAACAGACCAGCTCTGCTTTCTGTGAGGAAACCTTGCAATTCCTGCTGCCCTAAACCTCTCCTCTCTCCAGAAGGCCACAGAATGGCCTCATATGGTCCCTGTAAAATTCCCACCTTTGGTCAGTTTTATAGATTAGGCCAGCCTCTTTGATCATTTCAGATCCTTTTGAATTCAGGCTAAACCTCTGTTCATGTGCCCATTTTCCTCTTTTCCTCATGAATCTTCAGGCTCAGTGATATTTGTTTAAAGTAACTCAATATTTACTTTATTTCTTTCAGCCTGAAAGAGACTGAAACATATTCCAAATGAGGATATACTAATTGCCTTTCATCTTTTTGTTATTGTCAGACAGTATATTGGGAAATTTTCCATTTTTCTTTAATATAATTGGTCTGTCATGAACATGGTCAATGAGGTCTATTTCAAAGGAGATTCCTAGATGTGAAATAAATAGAAAGCCCTTGCTATACAGTAAAATTGATTTCTAAAAATCTAATGTAACAATGTTTACTCACACAAAAACAACCTATCAGAAAATCTCAGTGTTTCCTCAAAGATAACGAATATTACCTTTTTAAATACGCCATTGTAATGGGAAGCATGACATCTCATTTCGTCTGATTTTAGCTTATTTTTCTCTTCATTATTTATACATTGTTTACACACATAAGTTTTTTCTTTATTCTAATAACACAGAATACTAATATTATTAAATAATTTGAATTTTATTTTCACTTAGCAAATTTGATTTGTTTTCCAAGCCAATAACTATACTTTCATTAGGTTATTTTAGCAAAAAAATAGTATTTCATTTTAATTTTATTCCATAAGTTTTATAAAAAATTGTTATGATCCCTATTAAGGATTTAAGGTTTTTTCAACTTGTGGCTATTTAAACATCATCATCAGGGTCATTCTTGATGCGAATTTTTTTTTTGCCAAAATGAACTGTAAGAAAAAATGTAAAATATAATAAAAAAGTAAAAAAGATATGTAAGTTTATAAAGAAACACTGAATTACCCTTAGGAAAAAATGCCCCAACAAATGATGAGTTCATGTCCTTTGTAGGGACATGGATGAAGCTGGAAACCATCATTCTCAGCAAACTATCGCAAGGACAAAAAACCAAACACTGCATGTTCTCACTCATAGGTGGGAATTGAACAATGAGAACACTTGGGAACATCACACACCGGGGCCTGTTGTGGGGTGGGGGCTGGGGGAGGGATAGCATTAGGAGATACACCTAATGTAAATGACGGGTTAATGGGTGCAGCACACCAACATGGCACATGTATACATATGTAACAAACCTGCACGTGTGCACATGTACCCTAGAACTTAAAGTATAATTAAAAAAATAAAACAAAATGCCTCAACATACTCTCTCAATGTTCTCTGGACAATCAGTTTTTATCTCGACAATCACAGTGGCATATGATTTCCATTTTATTTTTGAAATATGTTAAATGCTGGTTGAATTGAATATTTCTGCATTTAGTGGCATGAAACTCTAAAAAACATATAGGGACAATTAAAATTTTTTCAGTTGACTTTCTATTCCTGTGTTTTGCTGGGTTTTGCTGTTGTTATCCTTCCAGAATCCCACCTTTGTTAGAATAATGAACTTTTAATTTTTAAATTATTTGTGTGTGTTTTTTTTTATTTTTATGTTTTCTACTTTTTAGAGAGAAAGTCTTGCTCTGTCTCCCAGGCTGGAGCGGAGTGTAGTGGTGCAATCACAGCTCACTGCAGCCTCAAACTCCTGGCCTCTAGTGTGTCCTCATGTGTGTTCTTTAGATGTTACAAACATTAATGTTTCTTCTATCATTTTTGTTACATATATTCACAGCTTATAATTTGCCTTTCAACGATGTCTTATCTTTGGTATAAAGTTAAAAAACAGGTAGTCTGGACGCGGTGGCTCACGTCTATAATTCCAGCACTTTGGGAGGCCGAGGTGGGAGGTCACCTGAGGTCAGGTGTTTGTGACCAGGCTGGCCAACATGGTGAAACCTCGTCTCTATTAAAAATACAAAACTAAACTAGCCGGGTATGGCAGCAGGCACCTGTAATCCCAACTACTCAGGAGGCTGAGGCAAGAGAATTGCTTAAACCTGGGAGGCGGAGGTTGTAGTGAGCTGAGATCGCACCACTGCATTCCAGCCTGGGTGACAAGAGCAAAATTCTGTCTCTAAAAAAAAAAAAGGTAGTCAAATCACGTTTTATATATGTATATTTATTTATTTAAACTTGAGTTACTTCCTGCATAGAGATTACGTTATTTGTTAAATATTAGCCCAGATATTTTTCTATTAAAAGCTTATTGACTTGATGTAATTTAACACTACTAGTGAAAAATTATGTTGCCATCACTTACTCCCAATATGATATGTGGAGAAGGGCACTCCATCCACTATTGTGATATTCTTCCCGGAAGACCAAACATTTGGTATAACCACGAGGAAACATCAAACTCAAATTAAAGGACATTCTACAAAATACCTAAGCATTTTTCTTCAAAACTGTTCATGTCATAAGAAACTATTAATAGGAAAGACTGTCATAGATCATAGGAGATCAAGAAGATATAACGACTGAATAAGACATGGCATTGTGAATAGGATCTCAAAACAGAAAAGGGAAATTTGTGAAAAGCTGGAGAAATTAAAGTATAAGCTATAATTTACCTAAGAGTACTGTATCAATTTTAATTTCTCAGTTTTCATGAATGTGCCTTTATTAGGTAAGATCCTATTGTTAGGAAAAGCTAGGTGAAGAGTATACAAGAACTCTTTGTAGTGCATTTGCATATTTTCTGTAAATCTATAATTATTAGAAAATTATTTAAAAATTATGATCATATATTTATACCATGACATATCTTAACTTTGCTTTGTTTTATTTTATTTTATGTATTTTTTTGAGATGGAGTTTCGCTCTTGTTGCCCAGGCTGGAGTGCAATGGCATGATGTCAGCTCACTGCAACCTCTGCCTCCCAGGTTCAAGTGATTCTCCTGCCTCAGCCTCCTGTGTAGCTGGGATTACCAGTGCCCACTACCAGGTCTGGCTAATTTTTTTGTATTTTTAGAAGAGACTGGATTTCACCACGTTGCCAGGCTGGTCTCAAACTCCTGACCTCACGTGATCTGCCAGCCTCTGCCTCCCAAAGTGCTGGGATTACAGGCGCAAGCCACCACACCCTGCCTGTTTTATTTTAATGTAAATATAATAGATAACTTTTTTTTTTTAAGGCTAAGATCCACAATGGCAGGTATATTCCTATAGGCTTCTGTGAGAAGATTTTTAAAAGTTTTATTTACATTTTTATCAAATATTCTAATTTATTTCAGCAAGAGTTTTTTTTTTTTTACTTGTCAGAATTACATCTCTATCTTTTTCCTAATTACACTTTCTGTCTCTTGTGTTTTAGATTCCATGCTACCTTTCATCTTCTTGAGTTCTTCCTTATAAGTTTTCCTCTCTGACCAAAGTCAGTTTCAGAAGTATGATGACATGCACATTCAGTTTAATTCTTATTCTTAAGGTGTCATACTTGCTTCATTTAACTTTGATTTCACTATGTGTTGTTTGTTTATTCATCTTTGAATTGTAAGCATGACAAGACTCAAGCTGTAACATTCTCTCCTGTGTCATATATGAGGATAGAGCAATGCTATTTCCCCCTATGTGAATTTGGAGCTCCGAATATTTAACTTTCTATAGTGATGGGCTATTCTTCTGATGTCGAGCCCTTTTTTCTCACTGGAGGCTTTCTTGACTAATACCTTGAATTTCACATACGTCTTTTGCGCCTGGCCATTTTGACCCTCTCCTTGTGCTAGAACTAATCTGTATGTATTTCTTCTGCATATGGAAAAAGATTAATTTCCACAAGAAAGTAAATGTCTTATGAGAGACTCCTTTATATTGTAGGTTCCAAGTTATAGGCGATCCAGAATGAGATTACTTTATGGGAGAGACAGATGTAAATTGAGCTTTGGGTGACTGAAAGTAATTTTCTTTCAATTTCATGGGTATTACTCTATTTTTTCGTCAATACTACCAAGAAGTCTAGAATTTAAGGATAGATAATGTGGGTAAATCAAAGTAGCCTTAACTTTAAAAAATGTGTATTTTATTAAGTTCCATTGAAGTTGCTTTAGTGCAGAGTACATAACAAATGAAATGTAATACAAGAATGTACTTTCTAGTCTTTTCAGCTAATATTGGATTACATTAAATCCCTTACTTTTTTCAATACTCAGTTGCTAGATCTTGGCATTGTGTCCTCTCTCATGCATAATTTAAAGACATAGGCCACATCTAACTTTTGTTGTTATCTTTACAACCTTTTAAAAAATTAGCAGATTTTTTAGGCACTGATAGTTGGATATCCAAAGTTACAAATTACTTTTCTTATTTTGGTAGAATTTGCTTTCATAGTTTATTTGCTCATTTTAATAGATGATATTAGCTATTTTTATTTATAATGCAATACAAATAGTTTATAGTATATCATATTTTTAAAACTCAAATGGAATTGTGATACAAATAAATTTTAGCAAATATTTGCTAGCCAAAAATAGTAATTAAAATAGAGTGACATTTAAAAAAAAAACTTGAGAGAAATTGCACTTTCATAAATTTTCGATGAGATTATATTTTACTTAATTTTCCCTCTAATATGTTAACATTTTATTTAAGTAATTCAAAGAATATAATAAGAATTCATTGTCAGAGGCAACTGGCTATTAAAGGTTATTAGGAAAAATATATATATTTCATAATAAAACCCTACTGTAATTAGGGAATAACCTGTTCCATAAATGATGATAATTTGATTAGTGAAAACTGAATTTAACTTGGAGAATTTGATGAACTATAAAGAGCAGAGATAAACTTACAAACCACTTCCCAACTCCTTAGCAGCCTCAAAATTTATTAAAATGTAAACATGTATGATGGTATGATATATACACAATATTTTGTTTTAAAAATAGTTAATGCTCTTAGAATTTCTTTCCTTTACAGTATGTTTGTTTTTCCCCAATATTCACAATAACTATTTTCTTAAAAACATTAAGATTATTGTTGATTTTCATCTTAGACCCACACATAAGCATGATTAACATTTTGTGAAATATGTACCTTTGTATCCTATTACAGATAAATTAAAGTTAAAGATAGCCCTGTTATAGCCTTATACAGACCAAGGTAACAGAACTTGACAGTTTCAGGTTAATCACTGCAAGAAAAATATCCCTGCTAGAAAATAGAGAAGTTTTATATTATTCTTTGTGTTTATTGTTTGATTTTACACTAAACCTAATTTGTTTTATTATAAATAGTTTCATCTTTTTACATATTTTGAACGCTGGAAACCCTTTTATATAATGATCATGTTGTAAAGGTTTTAATGTGTAAGCACATTCATTTTCACAGGAGTTGTTGCTAAGTATAGTAAGTGTCTAGATGGGCATTTTAGACTTCAATGGCGCTTTAAAAGGAGATATGCTGAATATACTTGTAAAGAAAAATACAGGTATAAACACTATCATATGAGTTCAACAAATGTAAAGAACAGTATTCCTACCCCATAATGTTTTTCATTAAGACAAGCATATTACAATATAAATATACTGCTGCACTTTTGGAAAAGCCTTCCTACCCCACTTGAAATATATTATAAATAGAGACAATTTGACTTCTACCTCTTATGATATAGCATGTTATACTGTCTATACGGGACAGACACATGACTCATTGTCTCAATCATAAGCCCCCATGATAACTATCTTTGTTTTTAATTGATCCATTAATATTAATGATAATGACAATAACTGTCATCAACAACTAACATTTTTATAATTCTAAATCTAAAATATGATTTTGGATGCAAACAAGATAGAATTAAGAAAATTAATTATTAATTAAGAAAATTAAGAATTAAGAAAATTAGCAACAACAGGTTACAATCATAAACTAAGAAAAAAACAAGACCTAATACAACAGCAGGACCTAATAAAACAGCATAAAAAGAGAGAATGAGGAAAGGACCTGTATAAATAATGCCAAAGAAACAGATGACTGACAGTCTGTTCTTTAGGTCAACTTCCTCTGCTGGTTTATTGCCAAAATTCAGTCAATTTCCTCCCAATAAATGTTACCACTGACCAATTCTTCACCTTGTTTCTTTATTCTTGAATGTTCCATTTCCCACCAGCACAAAATACTCAAGACTTGAGCTCAGTTTTATTTTTCCAGTTACCTTTGAATTACTACCACAAGATACTAGTAAAACTAGCTGGTCTACACTCCTACTAAGATTTATCATTTGCTTCTGCTGTTCTTCTTTCCCTTATTAGAGGCCAATGCGAACCTACATTAATTAAACAGAGGAAAGAGGAAAAGAAAGAAAGAAAGAGAGAGGAGTTTTATGAGCCCCCCCTCTCCTGCCCCATGGCAACTAGAAATCTATTTCACTACCAGTTTTAAATGTCAGAAGATTTTTCCTGGATCTTGACAATACAACATGTTTTTTTGTTATCGCTATATTATATCATATCACTTCTTCACCTATGCCCAAGTTCTCTCTTTATAATTATTATTGATTTTATTATTGACTCTCTTGGAGTTCCACATACAAGTGAAGTTCTTTGGAGTCAAGAGTATTCTTCTATACACATAGACTATGAAATGGCTTTGTTTCCAATATGTGTTTCCAGTAAAAAGCAAGATTAAGTACACTCTTATTTATTGTGCTCTCCCCGTGCTGAAAATCCAAGTCCACCTTAGGTGTTCTTTTGCCAGAATAGCATGGTTCTTAAACAACCTTCTATCTTCAGAAAATTGGTAAAAGGAGACACTTATATTTTGCAGTATCACAATATTTTTTAAAAGTACACGGACAACAGAATTTTATTTAAGAGCTGTCTAGTATTTTCTCGTCATAAAGTACTATATTTCAGTATTTTAAGTCTTAAGGAAGACAAAGTACTAATATGTGTAGTAAATAAAGGTATTCATAAAGGAGAAAATACAGAATAGAAAACTACTTTGGCTACCTCAAATTTGTATCTTACAAGACACAAGCAAAAAATCACTTACTGAGTCTTTTTAATGAAGAGTATAGACTAAAAGAACAATAATAAAAAAGTCAGGCCAAATCTGAAATACATTTTCTAAGTCATCAATTCACAATAAGATGCTTTCAATATTCCTACAGAAAATGCATGTTTGTGTGCACTGCATGAGACTGAATAGTGGCTTCCTAAAGATGTTTCTGTTACAATCCCAGGAACCTGTGAATACATTACCTTGCATGGTAAAAGGGAATTTGCAGATTTTATTGTGTTAAGGATCTTGAGATGATGAGATTTTCCTGAATTATCCAGGTGAGTGTGATGTAATCACAATTACAAAGGTCCTTATAAGAGGGAAACTAGAGGTTGAGACGGCAGGTTGGGAGGAGGCCGGACAAAGTTTCAATAGAACCAGAGGTTGGTGTGAGGCACTGTGAGTCAAGGAATTCAAGCAGTCCCTAGAAGCTGGAAAAGGCAAGGAAATGGATTACTCCACAAGCCTCCAAGAGTAACTCAATCCAACCAACACTTTGATTTTTAAACTCCAACCTCCAGAACTCTAATTTTTTTCCTAAGAGAATTAATGTGTGCTGTTTTAAGCCACAAAGTTTGTGGCATTTTGTTACAGCAGCAATAGGAAAGTAATACAAGGACAAAGATCATGCATAGCTTCTTCCTTATCCTTTTCACAGCAGCAAGAACCAGACTCTGCTATATGGTGGGAAGTCAAAGCATATTTTCTAAGTGAATATATTTCTAATAAAAATTGCTAATTAATTAAATCATAATTACAAGGCATTGGGGTATAAAGTAAGATATGGGCAAAGTTCTGTTTCTCAGAACTCTGACAGCAGGAATCAGGCTATAAAAGCTTTAATCTTATTTCTTACCACTATTTTAGAGATCCCCAAATTCAGTTGTTTTCATAAGATAGACACTTATTTCTCACTCCTAAAGTTCAAGAAGAGGGAAAACAGCCCAAAGTGATAGGGAACTCTGCTCCAGAGACATCCAGGTTCAAATTTCTGCCTTCCTTATTCCAGCGTTGCCTTGTGAAACACTTGAGCTATACAGTAGCTTGTTTATTTACATATCTTAACAATTGATACAGACTGTTTTCTGAGAACTTAGCAAGGGCTGTTGAATGGAGCAGCTATACATGGTGGCTCCATGTGGTCTGCACTTCCTCACGGTATAGTGGCTAGGTTCCAAAGGTGAACATCCTGACTCAGAAAGAAAGCCAAATTGAAGAGAATTATGTTTTACGAGTTGCCTTAGAGTTTATATTCCATCACTTCTACCATACTCTACCAGTCGGTTTAGTTACAAGTCTCAATTCAGTTTAATAAAGAGAGAGCTTGGAATCCAGGAAATATTTGGAGGATTGCCAATAAAATTGCAAGAAGAGCATGAGAAATGAGACATTATCATGTGACAATACGTGAAAAATACAGTCCAGCAGATCCGACAAAAGAGGGAAAAGATAGAGCAAAGGGCAAGCAGCGTTCCTTTGAAAAGATGCGATGTGAGGTTGTTTGCCTCATTTCTGTGCACATCTCTTTGGCTGAAGTGTAGTGAAATCTCTAAACCTAGTTGACACAGACCAGAAAAAACCCTGGAGGAAGGCTAGTTATTATTAATAGAAAGACAGACAGCAGTATCTTTTATAATCTGCACACCCTTCTTCCTCAAGTTAGAACATGTCTACCCACTTCCCAAGAAAGACAAGCCATAGTTACACTCAGGCATGGTATACAGTTCAGATGTCAGGATATTTGGGTACAGTCCTCTCTATCACAAAAGTTTCCTACGTATCATTAATAGCAACTATATATTACTTAAAATTACAATAAAATGTCTCATTTGAGAAAAAAAAGAATGACCACGCAGTCACTGCTCAGAGCAATAAAATTTTGCAGGACAAAAATTGCAGAGACTCTCTGCTCTACCAGTGGAGAAAGTTTCTTGCTTAAAACTGATCGCTGCTTATTGAAAAGAATTTCCTGTCCTCTATCCTCTGCGGTCCTGGCTTTCTCTCTGAAAAAATTTGTTCTTGTAATACATTCTCCCTCACCACATCTGCATGAATATTAAAGAGATTTCTTTTGTCAGAAGCACTGCAGTTTTCATAGCCTGCTTCTGCACCCACTAATTTGGGAACTTGGGACTTTTTGAAGGCTAAATATTTGATTTCTTTAGTAAAAAAAAAAAATTATTAGAAGATTCAATGAGTTTATGGTCTAACTGCATACAGCTATTTTCTTGTGCTGGAAACCTACATCCAAGGCTCTTTTCTGGAAATAATTATGAAACCTATTCTTACGGTCTCACTTCTTTGTTAAGCCAGTGTCAATTGTTACCATTTTGATGATGGCTCTTGAAAGTATAAAACCATATAAAATAATAGACTTATTTGGAAAGCAACATACTTTATCTGATCTTTTGCACAGATGATCTATAGATTCACTTGTTGAGCTGAGAATTCTTAATGGACATTTTTTATTAAATCTTTTGAGCAGCAGGGTTATCTCCTACTGTGTAGGGTGATAAACGAAGGTGGCTTTTCCAGCCCCATCAGATCCCACATTTCTGGACTCTTTATTCTCTTCAAACTCTACTTGAAATTGTCTTGTTCTTCCTTCAGCTCATTAATTCCTGAAATAAGCTAGCTAAATGCAGCAATAAACAGCTAACACATGGTAACATTCTGGCCCTTTCCATCAGCCTCTCCTCCAGCTGAAGGCTCTTTAGGCAAGGGGTTTGCTCTTCCAGTTACCAGAAGTGACACTTTAAATAAATGTACTGCCTTCACTCTCACTTACGTGTCTATTCCACATTTTTTTTAGGTTTTTGTGGCAGGCAGAAAGCCTTCCAATGTACCAATTATTTATTAGCTACAGTAAAACCTACATTGCTAGAGCTAATAAGCCCCACAATATAGATTTCTTATTAAAACTGAAGAGTGTTTTCTGCTTACATTATGAGCCCAGGAACTCTATGCTCCATGAATCAGTCCAGAACCCAACAAATTGGGTATGGCTTTGTTATCCATGATACACAGCTATTAGTGTTGCCCTGGTCATCACCATTTTCATTTGGGATGAAAGTAAAAAACAAGGGAATTATGGGCAATTACATTTAATAAGGGGTATTGCTGTCCTGCATTTCACATTTACTTACATCTCAATCATGAGCACTTAGTCACATGGCACACCTAGCCACAAGGGAGGCTGAGAAGTACAGTCTCTCGGCAGAAGAGTATACCTGAGTTGGAGGAGAGCCAGAAGTCTGTTACTTGTGTAAATGTAACATATTATATCTGATCTTTGCCATAGAGATGTGTCACACTGTCTAAGGACTCTCAATAGGAGACCCTTGACAAGGGCTCTAGATGATCATTGTTTCCCTATTATTTGGAGTATAAAAGTAGTTGATTTTTACAACATTGCAAGATATCAAATTACTAGAAATTTATGCAATTTATATTATAGGCCATGGACAGACAGAGATTTTATTACCAAGATGTATTCTCTTCCATTTCCATTGTTGTTTGCACACTGATTATTTCCAACCAATCAATTACAACCCCTTTATATCCCATACTGAAAGATCTGAGGAGCTGCCAACACACACCAACATGCTAGTCTTTTTCAACAACTTTCCTGGCAGGGTGCAGTGGCTCATACCTATAATCCCATCACATTGGAAGGCTGAGGCTGGAGGATCACTTGACCTCAGGAGTTCTAGACCAGCCTAGGCAACATAAGGATACTCCATCTCTACCAAAAAAAAAAAAAAAAAGTTAGCCAAGCCTGGTGGTATGTACATGACTGTAGGCCTAGCTACTTGGGAAGCTGAGGTGGAAGCATCTCTTGAATCCAAGAGTTCAAGGCTACAGTGAGGTATGATCATGCCACTGCACTCTAGCCTGAGCAGCAAATCGAGACCCTGTCTCAAAACAAACAGACAAAAAAAACCACATCACCATCCCTAAAGCAGTAGGTTTTGCATACAAAAGATCCTTTCCGCTGAGCTTAGCAGGGGTTGTGGCCATTAATTTTTAATAATAACTAGGCAATCACAATAAATAATCAAATTCAAGTCATTAAATTTGAGTTAACTGGTTATTCAGCAGTCCATGAAGTTTGGTCTTTTGGCCCTTTTCTTTCAGTAATGCGGGCATAACACATGGTGACAGAGGAGCAGCTTGGTAACCATGAGACAGCATGAATGAGGACGAAAGTCAACTGCTGGAAATTAGAGAGGGAAAGACAAAGATAATCTAATTCAATGAGGTTATCATGGAGACCCTCCCTCAGTTTCATGCTTTCTTCCCCTAGACTTCTGTTATATAAGAGATAACCCTTCATGTTTAAGCCATTTTCAGTTGATTTTTCAGGATATCCCATATTTTCCCAATAAAAAGTACCTATAAAATATTTAAAGTTTCTGCTATTGGTAACCATTAAGTGATGCCTTGCTTTTGCTTGTGAATATAACCTGCAAGACCTATTTCAAAAGCAAGAATTCTAGAAGCAGGATAATAAAACAGGAATTATATCATTCAGTGGATGAGTCTTTGTTTTGAAACATTAGCCAGATACCATGTGGTCACCAGGCAGATTCGGTGAACAAGCATATCAAAATGACACATTCAGGCCTATAAAGGGCTAGTAGAAGATTTTGATACTAACCACTCCTTTCTGTACATGAAGATCAAGTCAGAATATGTTTTGTTTTTCTCTTTGTCTCATTTTTAACCTTCTATTGTCACTCTACTGCAGATAGCAACAATATATATATCAGAGAATTATCAGTTAATGAACCAGTACCAAAAGCATTCTAACTATTTATTAAAAATGATATGACCTTATTATTAATACATTGAAAAAAACTAAAAAATATATTTAATTTTTAAAATCTGGAAAATTTCTACATTACATCTTTACTCTCTCTCTATATATATGTATATGTATTTTAAAACATATATCCATATAGCAAACATATATTTCACTTCATAAATCTAGGAATTTGGAACATAACCCAAAAAGCACTGGCTTATTATACAAATAATTTGGGTCAAGATATCTCATTTCATGTTTCTTAGTTATAAAATATTTTGGTTGTGAGTAGATTTGAAAGAGCATGCGAATGCAAAAACTACTTATTAAAATGAGAGCATCCAAATCATGGTGGCAGTGAACGTTCAGCAGCATCTGAGGAAAATGCCATATCCATCATAGACACATTCATAATTTTCTTTTGATTAGGCTTTGCGATCTTCAATGGAAATTTTCAGGGCCATTGAAAAAATCTCACACATTTTTTTTCTGTCTCAATCTTAATTCTTCAGAGAATAATTAAGGAAAGTGAATAGCTCTGTTAGGCATTTCTCAATCATCTTTAAATGGGTCATGGTTTTAAATAGGATGTGTCAAATTGAAATTATATGAACTAAATTATACCTAAGTTACACTGTACCGTCTGCTTAATGACTTCTTTACAGGGGGTCAGTGAGTCATCAACTATTAATTGCAATTCATCTTTGAAACAGTCAAAATCAATGTATATTTTTCACTAAAGTCAAATAAGTAGCCTCAAGAAACACTGAAAAAGAGGTAACTAAATAACAGTCATAAATATTCAGTATCTATAAGCAAACAAAAAAATCCAGTTTTAATGTCAGATATATAATTTATTGCTAAATTCAGTCTCATATTTTGTTTCATGAATATGTACTTATATCAAAGATATATAATTCAAACTATCAAATCACTGAGACATCTATGTCCTTTAAATTTTTCTGGGACTTATATTTTCCTGTGTAAAGCCTATATTTCATATAGTTATTTTATATCCACAGAGATGAACTCACATTCTATCTTATTTTGACAGATCATTTTACTTTTTTTTTGTTTTACCATTTTGCTTTTCCTTTTTGCTCAATTGCACACTTTATTTCAAATGCTCAGTTTTATACTTAAAGTTTTAATATGTACACTTGACTAAACAAATTCTATAGTAATAAATTTCTGCACTTTGTGAGCAACGTAAAATATTATTTCATGACTTCTCAGCCATCTCTCTTCTAACACATCATTGTGCCCTGTGTCTTAATTTCATCACTTTTTCCAACAAAATATCCAGTATAGAATATTTATAGGTCATCAATATTTGTTTAGATTCACCACTATTTGTGCAGTTTCTGGTCCCATTAATCATTCTAACACATCATAGGAGGATCTGTGTCTACTTTCTGAAAGGTAATAAAAATAAAAAAATTTATTCAATAATGTTCTCCTAGCCTTAGGCACTTTGTTCAACTTTTTTTTTATTTGGCCATCAAAAATAGTGTCATTAATATTTTCAAAATTATAAATAATAATTTGAAATTATCATTATTTGGATATATAATTCTAGGTGGAGAATTATTTTCTGCCAGCATTCCTTCTAAGAAATTATCCAGCTCTGTGTTTGTTGGAAATTTTGTTTCACCTTGTTGCTGTTTCTTAGTAAGCAATCTAAATGAGTATTAGATTTAAAAATTATATCTTCATATCTAATGCTGGATAGTTTCATCATAATGTATCTAAGATTCATTTAACAAATGTCTGCTAAGTATATGCTTGGTGAGAGACACAATTTTAGAATACAAAGGTACAGTAGTTTTGAAAACTGTGCTGCCTGAGGTGAGGACGGACATCTTCCGCCAATTCTGGAAAAACTTCAGCTGGTGGCCGGACACGGTGGCTCATGCCTGTAATCTCAGCACTTTGGGAGGCCTAGGCGGGAGGATCACAAGGTCAGGAGATCGAGACCATCCTGGCTAACACGGTGAAACCCCATCTCTACTAAAAAATACAAAAAATTAGCTGGGCGTGGTGGCGAGCACCTGCAGTCCCAGCTATTCGGGAGGCTGAGGCAGGAGAATGGCGTGAACCCGGGAGGCGAAGCTTGCAGTGAGCTGAGATGGCGCCACTGTACTCCAGCCTGGGTGACAGAGCGAGACTCTGTGTCAAAAAAAAAAAAAAAAAACTTTCAGCTGGTATGTCTTGATTAGTATGGCCTTTTTCACACCCTATAATTCTTTAAACCTTTTGTTAGATATATCTTAGATGTTCTTATTATATATCTGCACATTTCAAACTCTCATATTCTCTGAATTCTAAACTCTCTGCAGTAAATCTTTGATCATGTTTTTAATTTATTTCTATAAATTTTCTCTTGGAACAAACTTAAAGTAATTTTTAGGTTACTTATTTTGGATACTGTTCTTTTTTACTGTAAATGTTCATAGCTATGTGTTTCACTCTGAAAACTGCTTTAGTTTTTTGTATACTTTTTACCATTTTATATGTACATTATATTCATCTCAAAGCATTTTCAAACCTTTCTTGTAATTTCTTCGACCCACTGCTTATTTAAGAATCTGTTGTTTGATAGCTGCATATTTGTAAATTTCTCAAATTTCCTTTTGAAGATTTTTAAAATTTCATTGAGGTTGAAGAATATAATTTGTATTATTGCAATTTTAAAAAATTTTATTGAGGCTTTTAAAAATGTTCCACGTGCACTTTAAAAAAGTATGCTTTCTGCTTTTGCTAAATAGAGTGTCCTATAGATAGATGTGTGTTACAGTTAGTTGTGTGTTAAAATCTTTTTCTTTATTGATCTGTCTCCTTGTTCTATTCTCATTGAAAGAGGTATTAAAATCTCCAACTACTACTGTTGAATTGTCTATTCTTTCCTTCAATTCTGTCAATATTTATCTAAAGTATCTTTGGATTCTGTTGTTAAATGCTTAAATTTTATATATTCCCAAATCTATTGACTCTTAGCATTATGCACTGTCCCTCCTTCTATCTAGCAACATTTTTTAAAATTTTATTTTTGTTATTTGAGATGGAGTCTTGCTTTGTCACCTAGGCTGGAGTGCAGAGATGCTATCTCGGCTCACTGCAACCTCCGTCTCCCAGGTTGAAGCGATTCTCCTGCTTTAGCCTCCTGAGTAGCTGGGATTACAAGCGCCTGACACCACGCCCAGCTAATTTTTTGTATTTTTAGTACAGATGAGGTTTCACCATGTTGGCCGGGCTGGTTTGAACTCCTGACTTCAAATGATCTGCCTGCCTTCACCTCCCAAAGTTCTGGGATTACAGGCATGAACCACTGTGCCCGGCCTTTCTAGCAACATTTTTAAAGTTTCACTCCAGGTCTCACGATTGCTTTTTGCACAGTATATCCTTTCATCCTTTTATTGTAAATACATTTTAATTTCTGATTCTGAAGTACCTCCCTTGTAAACATATAGCTGGATATTGATTTTATTCATTGAAACTCATAATCTTTGACTTTTAATTATATTGTTTAATCTATTCACATTTAATGTTGTAACTGATATGTGGGAGTGATATCTAATACATCATCCATATTTCTATCTCTTTCTATATCCTTCATGTGTCTTTGCACTTCTGTTTCCTTTTAACTATTTCATATTAAGTGGCTATATTCTAGTATAATCCTTAATTCTTTTAGTGATTTTTAATAATATTACTTAGATATTTTCTTAGTGATGGTTTCAGGGTGTTAAATATGAATATTAACTTCCATACAATTTAGATTATACTGACTTAGGTCCAGTGTAACACAGCAGTTTTATTTCTGTAGAGCTTAATTCCTCCCCTCCTTTTTGTGTGTTATCATCTCATACATAGTGGGCCCATAGGTGTTACAACCCCAACAAACATTATTAGTTACCATTTCTATTTCTCTTCATTTCTCTCTGGAGATCTGATACAAGGGCCAGGCATGGTGTCTCACGCCTATAATCCCAGCAATTCAAGAGGCCGAGGTGGGCGGATCACTTGAGGTCAGGAGTTGGAGACCAGCCTGACCATCATGTTGAAACCCTGTCTCTACTAAAAATACAAAAATTAGCTGGGCATGGTGGCAGGTGCCTGTAATCCGAGCTACTCAGGAGGCTAAGGCAGGAGGCTGCAGTGAGCCTAGATCATGCCACTGCACTCCAGACTAGGCGACAGAGTGAGACTCCATCTCAAAATAAAAATTAAAAAAAAAAAAGGATCTGATACAAGTTCTTCACTCCAATGTAGTATGCTTTGTTTCCATCCCCATTCTTTGTGCTGTTATTGTCAAATACATTGCATTTTTACGCTGATGGCTCAATAAATACAAATATGTAAATGTTATTTCATACAATTGCTTTTAAAATCAACTATGAAAAAAGAGTAGAAGAAATATCAATTATACTTCATCTTATATTTTTTGTAGTGATCTGTGTAACTATATAATTATATTTTATAGTGATCTGCATAATTATCTTTACCAGTATTCTGCTTTTTATCATGTGATTCTTTTTTTCTTTAGACAGAGTCTCACTCTGTTGCCCAGGCTGGAGTGCAGGGGCATGGTTTTGGCTCACTGCAACCTCTGCCTCCTGAGTTCAAGTGATTCTCTTGCCTCATCCGCTCGAGTAGCTGGAATTACGGGTGCACACCACCACGCCTGTTAATTTTTGTAGTTTTGGTAGAGAAAGAGTTTCTGCATGTTGGTCAGGCAACTTTAGAACTCCTGACCCCAAATGATCCACCTGCCTCAGCCTCCCAAAGTGCTGGGATTACAGGTGTGAGCCACCATGTCCGGCCTATCATGTGAATTTGAATTGCTGTCTACCTATCACTAGCTCTCAGCCTGAAAACCTGCTTCCATATTTTGTATTAGCTGGGATTGACAACAACACATTCACTCAGCTTTTGTTTATCTGGGAATGTCTTTCTTTTGTCTTCAGTTTTGAAAATCATTTTGTTGTACATAAGATCTTTGCTGACAGATTTTTTTTTGGCTGGTTTTAATTTTAACATTTAACATAATATTCCATTGCCTTCTGACATGTATTTTTTTCTAGTTGGAAATTCACTGTTAACTTGGGCTTTTATTACAAATGATAAATAGTTTTCTTCTTGCTATTTTCAAGATTTTCTCTCTCTCTTTGGCTTTCAACATTTTACTTGATGTGTCTGATTTGGATCTCCTTGTTTTCATCCTATTGTACTGTGTTGAGCTTCTGGGTTTGTAATTCCTGCTTTTCATCACATTGAAAAGGTTACAATCGCTTTATCATTAAATATTGCTTCTTTTCCTTTCTTAGTGTTCACTATCTCTCTATCTAAACTTATATGTGTGTATACATATATATATATTTACATATATGTGTAGTGTGTGTGTTTGTATATACATTACCAACACATATTTGTATGCAGACAATGAACCTCACTGACTCATATGTGTCCAAAATTCAGAGCAACAAAAAACAAAACACAGCAGAAAAAGTGTGTTTTTATTGCTATTATTGTCTCTTATTTTAAAAATTGAAATAATGTCAGCTCTTAATCTTCTACATTAAATGCCATCGAAATGGTATAACTCAGAATATTCTTTTAAAAAAACAACAATTCAAGCTCTTAGAATCTGATCAATATCTCTGAGTGTTACTATCCTAAGGGAGAAATCTTAATCTACCTCATAGTGCTAAAATGTCATAGCTCTTTGACATTAAAAGCTTCCCCAGTTTTCTAAAGAGAATTATCCCAATGATAGGGCAAGGTTCTCTTATTTGTCAGATCCTGTACAACTTTAAAGATTAGATGTCAGGGACATAGTGCCATAGAGATTCCTCCATGCCTCTCTGCCACCCCTCACAAGCAACCGTCTCTCTATTATACTCTGCTTAGGGAATCTCCCTTTTATAAACAACTGTATTGTTTTCTATTGCAGCTATAAGCACTTACAACAAACTTTCTGGCATAAAACAACACAAACTTATGACCTTACAGATCTGGAAGCCAAAGGTCCAAAATATGTCTCACTGTGCTAAAATCAAGGTGTCCACAGGGATGCATTCATTTTTGGAAACTCTAGGGAAGAATCTGTTTTCTTGCCTTTTCCAACTTTGAGAGGCTGCCCAGATTCTTTGGGTCATGATCCCATTTTATCCTGAAAACCAGCTACGGACAGTTGAGTCTTTCTCACATTGCGCATCACTGTGATACTAACTCCCCTAACTCCCTCTTCCATATTTTAGGGATCCTTGTGATACATTATGCCTACCCAGATAATCCAGTATAATCTTCATTTTTAAACGCCAAATTCCATCTGAACCCTTAACTCCCTTAAGCGATGTAACATAATAACATATTCACAGACTCCAGAGATTAAGAGCTGGATATCTTTGGGGGCCTCTTATTTTGCTTACTGCAGTACTTTTGACTTTCTCCCACACATTTTTCTAAACAGAAACATCGGTATTTGATTAAACTTGAGGAATGGATTGTTCCTAATTTTAATACTACCTCAAGTGAAAGTCCTGTTTAAGTCACCTAATGCTTTTACAATAAATAACATTTGGTCTAATGGTCCAGATTTAGAAATTCAGTAGATTTCTAATCAGACCTAGAAATTCACTTTGGCATTCATGCATGTTTCAGAACTATGATATTCAGGAACTCAAATATTTCTACTCTTGATTTGTATTTCCTGAACTGACGTTTTTGTTTTAGATCATATCAGTTTCAGTTTTTTATATTCTTACTTTAAGTATAGCCATCTATAGTCTTGTGAAATTTTCATAAATCACATTTTTTTTTTCAGAGTGGGAAAGCAAACTGTATGTTTGAAAAGAGGATTTGAAAAAAAGGCAAATGGAAATTTGACAGTAAATGCATTTAATGGGAAAAGAACAATATGCCATATTTACTTACTTAATACCTGGTATGATTTGGTTGTGTCTCCACTCAAATCTCATCTTGAACTATAGCTCCCACAGTTCCCACGTGTTGTGGGAGGGAACTGTTAGGAGGTAATTGAATCATAGGGGTGGGTCTTTCCCATGCTGTTCTCATGATAGTGAATAAGTCTCATAAGATCTGATGGTTTTATAAAGAGGTGTTTCCGTGAACAAGTTCTCTTCTTTTGTCTAACGCCATGTGAGACATGCCTTTCACCTTCCACCATCATTGTGAGGCCTCCCCAGCCACGTGGAACCGTGAGTCCATGAAACCTCTTTCTTTTGTAAATTGCCCAGTTTCAGGCATGTCTTTATCAGCAGCAGCATGAAAACAGACTAATACAATACCCGTCCCCCTTTATTTAGGTTATGTGATATAGTAATAGCAATGAATGAGCATGTGATTCCTCATTTACTTCCTGCATTGAGAAATTTTATTAACCATTAAATCCTTGTCTCCCCTCAATTTTTACTAAAACCAATAATTTTATAAATGTTTAAAAATATCTCAGGCAGAGATCATTAAGAACATCTTCCATATTTTCTTTAATGATTACTTTTATTCTGATAAATGTCACTGCTTTAGGAAGGCTTTGAAAATTCCCATAGTGTGTGTAGGTATATTCACATATTTTTTAAAGGAGGCAAATTCATGAGATTAATTAAACATTTCACTTCATTTTATATTTCATTATTAACATGTTTTGTCAAAGGAGCTAAAAGTTGGGCAACTGTTATAATAACAAAGTCCTATTTGTTTTTGTTGTTGTTGTTAACAAATAACTCATCATATTAGTCCATTTTCATGCTGCTTATAAAGACATACCTGAGACTGGGAAGAAAAGGAGGTTTAATTGGAGGTACAGTTCCACATGGCTAGGGAGGCCTCAGAATCATGGCAGGATATGAAAGGCACTTCTTACATGGCGGCGGCAAGAGAAAATGAGGATGCAAAAGCAGAAACCCCTGATAAAACCATCAGATCTCAGAAGACTTATTCACTATCATGAGAACACTATGAAGAAAACCATCCCCATGATTCAAATGATCTCCCACCAGCTCCCTCCCACAACACTTGGGAATTATGGGAGTACAATTCAAGATAAGATTTGGGTGGGAACTCAGAGCCAAACCATGTCATTTGGCATTTGTAAATATTTGCACAGGGAGAATTAGAAAAATGATATTTTACCTGTTATGGTCTGAACATTTGTACCTTTCCAAAATTCACATGTTGAAACTCTAATCCCCAAAATGATGGTATAAGGAGGTGGGGCTTTTGGAAAATGATTAGGTCATCGGAGTAAAGCCTTCATGAATGAAATGAGTGACTTTATAAAATAAGTCTGAGAGAGACCTCCCCCTGAGCTGTTCCGCCATTTGAATTTATAGCAAAAAAACAGATGTTTATGAACCAGCAAGTAGGCTGACCCTCACCAGATACCTAATCTGCTGGTGCCTTGATCTTAAACTTCCCTGCCTCTAAAACTATGAAAAATAAATGTCTGTCATTTATAAGCTACATAGTATGTATCAATTTATTACAGCAATTCAAACAGACTAAGAGAAAATTAGTACTAAAGAGTGGGGGTGCTCTATGCTATAACATATACCTAAACATATGGAAGTGGGGACGTTTTGGGATTGGGTAGTGGGTAGAGGCTAAAAGAGTTTCAAAGTGCATGGTAGAAAAAGTCAACACAGCTCTGAAAGGATCTTTAGAATGTGAGTCTGGTGTGAGCTCTGAAGGACAGGAGAAAAGCTGTAGAGAAAGCTGGAATTTTCTTAGAGACTAAGTAGTCAAGAATATAATGCTGGCAGAAATAAGCTTGGTAAAGGTCACACTGATGAAGTTTCAGGTTGAAATGAGGAACATGTCATTGGAAAATGGAGAAAAGGTCACTCTCTTAATAAAGGAGTAAAGAATTTGGCTGAATTTTCCTCGTGTTTTCAGGAAAGTAGAAATTGTAAGCACTGAAATAGAATATTTGGCTGAGGAAATTTCTGAGCAAAGTATTGGAAGAGTGGCCTGGTTCCTCTTGCCTGCTGATAGTAAAATATGCAAAGAGAAAAATGATTTAAAATTGATTGTAACCAAAAGGGAAGCAGAACTTCAAAATCTTGAAGCAGATTCAGCCTATCTACATTGGAAAGCATGAGGAAACCTGTTTGGGAGAGAACAAGTGTGGGCCAACCAACTGTTGGATAAGTAGATTAGTATGGATAGGCCACCTCAATGGAAGGTAGGTGCTATTCATCAAAAATAATGAAAGGGTTATGCTGCCATCTAAACAGAAGCCAGGGCTTATTGTAAAAGGCAATGGAAGAATGACCCTGAAGGCATTTTAGAGATTGTCTATGCTGCCATTCCCATCACGAGCCCAGAATTCCAGGGTCTGGGGGGCAGAAGTTTATCAAAAGAGAGACCACCACTGATTATAACAGCCTCCTCACATTGCAGTCTCCACTCCCCGCACTCTGCAGTTCTCCTCCTCAGTCACCCCACCAGTGAAATCAGCAGCCTTAGCGAAGTGTGTATTTCACCCAGGAAAGCAGAGGGGATGTGACTAGATTTCAAAGGATGCCCTGAGAGAGCTAGAAGGTCCAGGCAGAGAACCCACAGGGATGGGCCCACCTCAGAGAACTGCCATGGGGACAGGCTATCACAGAGAGCACCAACTAAGGTAATGCCAGCAGAGCCATGGGGGCAAGGCTGCCTCCATGAACCCAGATTTCAGCACTGGAGAGCTGCAGCCCTTACAATTTGATATATTTTGCCCTGTTGGTGTTGGACTTGATCTGGGCCTGTGTGTATATGAATGCACATACATACATGCATGCATCCATATCTACATCTACATAAACATATATACATATAAATAATATCAGATTTTCAGCAAACATGAGGTGTGTGTATTTTAGTTCCTTGCATGTCATCTCAGAAATTGAGGTCACAGGAATAGATTAAAACAGGCTCTTTTTTGTCTTCAATATTTTATTCTCAGAAAAATCTTTCTTAACTACTCTACACCCTGATCTATATTCTCTTCATGTTGTCAATGATTATGTTGTACTCCCAATTTCCAGGACAGCAGAACAGATATGCTTTTTTTTTTTCTTTGTGCTTTAAATGCTACAAATGAAAATTACTGGTTTAAGACACAGTTTAATTTGTAATCACATTTGGCTTTGCCAAATTAATGAGTATATTCTAATTGATAAATGCTGCAATTTTTTTCATACTAAACACTTGTCTCCTTCTATCCACGATTTTATTTCTAAAATGTTATGTTTTAAAGCAAAGCTTCAAACAATAGGTGTTTGTGTATGAGTGGTATACGTATGCGAGTGTATGTGTTTAATTTTTTTCCAAAGGAAAAATTAAGTGTTCTTAATTTTGTGCTTGAAATACAGAAATACATTTTTTTTGCACACAGATGTCTACTTCTAAAACTGATAAGCCCATGTGTCTTTTTTCTAACCTAAATCAGCTTATAATATCGTTGATCATACCACATTGCTAAAGGTCAAAGCACTTTTTAACAGATGTATAGGTACTTTAATGTCAAGTCAGAAAGAAACATGCTCCCTTATTATAAAATATTTACTAACAGATAAAATATAACACCCACACAGATACTGAAATGTTGTTCTAATGATTAGCCGTCCTTTTATTAATTAGTTTATTTTTGAAGCCCTTTGTATAAAGATGGCTAGATCCCTGGAAAGCTGGTAAACTTTTTAGATTTATTTTTATCTATAATCACATCCAAAAACATTGCCAGATGTATTAGGCTGTTGTTGCACTGCTATAAAGAAATACCTGAGACTAGGTAACTTATAAGAAGAGATATTTAATTGGCTCACGGTTCTGCAGGCTGTGTAGGAAGCATAGTGATACCTGCTTCTGGAGAGGCCTCAGGGAGCTCTTAGTCATGGCAGAAAGTGAGGCAGGACCAGGCCCGTCACGATGAGACCAGGAGCAAGAGAGATGGGAGGAGGCACTACTCACCTGTAAACAATGAGATCTTGTGAGAATTCACTCACTATCACAAGAACAGCACTAAGGGGATGGTATTCATGAGGGATCCACCCCCATGATCCAATCACCTCCCATCACACTCCACCTCCAACATTGGGGATTACAGTTCAACATGAGATTTGGGTGAGGTCACATATCCAAATTATATCACCAGATTAGGATTTTTGTTTTGTCTTAAGCAGTCTTTATATTCAAGGACAAGTGAGGAAGACTTCCTCAAATAGTTTTTGTTTTAAGTAATCTGACCTATTTTGGGGAAAGAAATGAGAAGTTCTTCTACAAAAGTGATTGATTCTCCACTAAATTGTTATAGTTTCATGATTCCTAAAAATGGGTTTATGCTATAGAGATTTGATATCTCCTATACGCCACTCTCAGGTTGGCCCTCTCCATTACAAGGCAAGGAAGGGGAGGAAATGGACTCAAATCTCTCAGCCTCACCTCTATCCTTTCTGACTCCAAGAGGTGATGGAGAGAGGAAAGAAAGGAAAGAGAAGGCAAGCATGACAAAACTTCTCTACCTTTGAGTCATTTTTAAAGCCACAAAAGGTGGAATTCAGCTATCTTCATCAGCAAAATGAGATGGGTGATGAGTGGGTTGGCCAGATGACAAATTGCTAAGCATCACTCTCACTAAATGTTGTATACGTAACCTCCACAGCTCCAGCAAGCTCTCAGGAATATAACCCAAGGGTCCATGCATATAAGCTAAGGAAATTTTATAATATTTCTCCATTTACTTCTCATATCTTCAACAATAAGTTATATGAGGTACCTGCCAAAAGCAGAGGTAACTTCTATTTTTTAGTATTTTAAAATAATTAACAAAGTATACATTTTATAAAACTAAGAGATCAAACATTGAATTATTACAATGCTTATCTATTTCCTATTCAAAAAATTGCATCATATTGTATCTTAACACACTGAGTTTCACATTTTTCTGGGGAAATTTTCTTATGTAGAGTTGTGAGGAGTTTCAGAACCTCACTGTTGGAGGGCAAGTGACCACTGGTTTTGCATGTGACCTACTGTGTTCTGCAAAAGTACAGCACATTGTCTGCACATTTCTAAACATTCATGAATCAAAACGAAGGAACAGTGATTACATCCTTTTATATATTTTTAAAAGGTTTCACGTCTATTAATGACATGAAATATTCAACAGAAAAATTTAAAAATTATTTCACACGAGAGATATATGCATTTCATATTTCTTATATTGTAATAAATAAAATAGGTTTTGTTGAAAATGGTAAACACAATATTTGTTGTGACTTTCTTGACTTTAATAGTCAATACTAAATTTATTTAGCTTTTATTATAGGCTTTTTCCACAAAAAGAGGAAAGAATTATTATGTGACTATTTGAGTGTCAAGGGGCTTGCTTCAGGTGTATAAGAGGGAATTGTCTAAGTTTAATTTCTCTTTAATTTTTCTGAAAATATTTCACACAGGATCAAGAACATCTTGATAAAGAAAAGATAGTGTTCTTTTGCAAATGCAAATAACAACATAAAAATCATCTCCCTTGTCAGCGAGAAATGTTCTACTCAGACAGAAAGTAAATGTTTGCCTATAATATCTCATACTTAGAAATGGATTGGATATACATACATCAAATTTACATTCTATAAATTATCCACATGAAGTCCTAATATTTACCTCCATTATGCATTGCTGGAGTAATAGGAAGTACACACAGCCAAAGTTATGTTTATTGAAACCTCTTTTGTTACTTCTGCAATCTACCTTATCAAGAAGAGTCTTGCATAAGAACCTTGGTGGCAATAGCTCTGAAGTGATCATCTGATCCAAATATATATTTACTGCATTAAATACATTTTATTTAACTCAGAAAATTAAAAATATACAAAATGCAGATTACAAGTATTAGGGAGGATGTGGAGAAAAGGGAAAGCTTGTATTTTGTGTGTGAAACTGTAAAATAGTACAACCACTACAGAAAACTGCATGGAGGTTCCTTAAGAAGCTAAAAATTAAATTACCATATGATCCAGCAATCTGATTTCTGAGTGTATGTCTAAAATACATGAAATCAGCATGATGAAGAGATATCTGCACTTCAGATATTGAAGTATCATTCATAACAGCCAAGTTACGGAATCAACCAAGTGTCCATCAGAGATGAATGAATAAAGAAAAGGTGGTATATATATACAATGGAATATTATTCAGCATTAAGAGAGGGAAATTCTGTCATCTGCAACAAAATGAATAAACCTGGAAGACCAATATGCTTTGGCCCTGTGTCCCCATGCAAATCTCATCTAGAATTGTAATCCCCACATTTCAGGGGTGGAGCCTGATGGGAGGTGATTGAATCATGGGGGCGGACATCCCCCTGGCTGTTAGCATGATAGTGATAGAGTTCTCATGAGATCTGATTATTTGAATGTGTGTGGCACTTCCCGTTTTGTGCTCTCTCCTGTCACTATGTACCTTGCTTTCTCTTTGCCTTCCGCCATGATTGTAACCTTCCTGAGTCCTCTACAGCCATGAACTATGAGTCAATTAAAACTTTTTTTTATAAGTTACCCAGTCTCAGGTAGTTCTTCATAGCAATGTGAAAATGGACTAATACAGAAAGCTGGTACCGGGAAAGTGTGGCACTGCTACAAAGATACCTGAAAATGTGGAAGTGACTTTGGAACTGGGTAACGGGCAGAGGTTGGGAGAGTTTGGAGGGCTCAGAAGAAGACGGGAAGATATGGGAAAGTTTGGAACTTCCTAGAGACTTGTTGAATAGTTTTGATCAAAATGTCGATAGTGATATGGACAATAAAGTCCCGGCTGAGGTAGTCTCAGATAGAGATGAGGAACTTATTGTGAACTATAGTAAAGGTCACTCTTTCTATGCTTTAGCAAAGAGACTGGTGACATTTTGCCCCTCTCCTAGAGATCTGTTAAGCTTTGAACTTGAGAGAGAGAAGTTAGGGCATCTGGCAGAAGAAATTTGTAAGCAGAAAGGCATTCAAGATTTGACCTGGTGGTTTCTTTTTCTTTTCCTTTTTTTTTTTTTTTTTGAGACGGAGTCTCGCTCTGTCACCCAGACTGGAGTGCAGTGGTGTGATTTTGGCTCACTGCAACCTCTAGCTCCCAGGTTCAAGCGATTCTCCTGCCTCAGCCTCTCAAGTAGCTGGGATTACAGGCATGCACCACCACGCCCTGACCTGGCAGTTTCTAAAAGTGTACAGTCACATGCATTCACAAAGAGATGGTTTGAAATTGGAATTTATGTTTAAAAGGAAAGAAGACATTAAAAGTTTGGAAAATTTGCAACTTGACCATGTGGTTAAAAAAATAAAAACCCATTTTCTGGGGAGAAATTCAGGCTGGCTGCATAAATTTGCATAAATCAAGAGGATCCTGATGTTAATCTCCAAGAAAATGAGGAAAAAGTCCTCAGGGCATTTCAGAGATCTTCACGGCTGCAACTCCCATCACAGTCCTAAAGGCCTAGAAGGGAAAAATTTTTTCTTGGGTTGGGCCCAGGTCCTCGGTCCTCTGTGCAGCCTTGGGACGTGAAGACCTGTGTCCCAGCAGCTCCAGCTCCAGCCATGGCTCATGCCACTGCTTCAGAGGGTGCAAGCCCCAAGCCTTGGCAACTTCCACATACTGCTGGGCCTGCAGGTGTGCAGAAGACAAGAATTGAGGTTTAGGAACCTCCACCTAGATTTCAGATAATATATGGAAGTGCCTGGATATCCAGGCAGAAGTGTGCTGCAGGAATGGAGCTGTCGTGGAAACCTCTATGAGGGCAGTGCACAGGAGAAATGTGGGGTTGGAGCCCTCACACAGAGTTCCCACTGGGGCACTGCCTAGTGGAGCTGTGAGAAGAGGGCCACAGTCCTATAGAACCCAGAATGATAAATTCACCGATAGCTCGCCCTGGCTGCCTGGAAAAGCTGTCGGCACTCAATGCCAAGCCCTGAAAGCAATCAAAGGGGCTGTATCTTGCAGAGACACAAGAGTAGAATTGCCTAAGGCCTTGAGAGCCCACTTGTTGCATCAGCATTCCCTGGATGTGAGACATGGAGTCAAAGGAGATTATTTCAGAGCTTTGAGACTTAATGACTGTCCTGCTGGGTTTTGGATTTGGATGGGGCCCATAGCCCCTTTGTTTTGACCAATTTCTCCCTTTTGGAACAGGAGTTATCTACCCAATGCCTGTAACCCCATTGTAACTAATCTGTTTTTGATTTTACAGGCTCATAGGCGGAAGGGACTTGTTTGTCTCAGAAAGACTTTGGACTGGACTTTTGGTTTAATGCTGGAATGAGTTAAGACTTTGGGGAACTCTTGGGAAGGCATGATTGGCTTTGAAAAGTGAGAAGAACATGATATTTTAAAGGGGCCAGGGGCAGAACAATATGGTTTGGCTCTGTGTCCCTGCCCAAATCTTATCTCAAATTGTAATTCTAACATGTTGGGGGAGGGGCCTGGTGGGAGGTAATTGAATCATGGGGGCACACTTCCCCTTTTCTGTTCTTGTGATAGTGAGTGAGTTCTCATAAGATCTGGTGGCACTTCCCCCTTCACACTCTTTCTCTCCTGCCACCATATAAGATGGCTTGCTTCCCCTTTGTCTTTTGCCATGATTGTACATTTCCTGAGGCCTCTCCAGCCTCAGGAACTGTGTGTCAATTAAACCTCTTTTCTTTACAAATTACCCAGTCTCAGGTAGTTCTTTACAGCAGTGTGTAAAAGGACTAATACAAAGACATTATGCTAAGTGAAATAAGCCAGGCACAGAAAGACAAATACCATATGTTCTCACTTTTATGTGGACTCTATAATAGCTGAATTCTAGAAGTAGAGAACAGAATAGTTACCAGAGATTTAGGAGTGAGAGGAATGAAGAGATATTGTTGAAAGAGTGCAATATTTCTGTGAGACAGGAGAAATAAATGGTAATTATTAGAGGCGATGGGTATGAACTTGATTTAGTCATTCCAAATTGGATGCATATATTAAAGCATAACTCTATACCCTATAAATGTAAGTGATTATAATCTGTCAATATTCAATATAATATACACATATATGTAATTATATACAGATACCTATAATATATAGAAAATGCATCTACTGAGGCTGAATGAACCTTTCTTTAAACTGGAAGCTGTAAAATTGATCAATATAAATATATATAATGATATATAAAGGTTATAGTGGGCCTATTGGGTCTTCTAATAACAACCTCTATATTTCTCCCCACTAAATAATGAGTATTAATCAGAGTGCCTAATGGAATAATTTTAGTCCAATCAATTATTTTCTTCAGCATCTAATTTTCTCATATTCCATAATGTCTTGTTTTCATGCATAACATTTTTTTCCTTCAGGACCATTATACTAAATTTTATTTATTTTATGTGCACTTGTTCCAAGCACATTTTCTTAAATGTCTGTTCCTTATCTATTGATTTCTATGGAAATTTTTATTTTCCTCCAAAATGGCATCTGGGAGTTCATATGTTTGGACCATTTTTATCCTCATTGCTGTTTGTCTTCATTTGTCTTTTTCTCTGATCACTATTTTATATATATACACACACACACACACACATACATACATATATAAATATATATGTGCATATATATTTCCCAGCATTTAATACATTTAATATCCCTTAGTGGATAGGGATGACAACTTACAAATTTAAATACTTTTTTTTATAAAGGAGTCATTTTTTTCTATTGAATTTAAGCTAAAACATGATCCCTCAGTTCTGTAGGCCATTGCACTTTCAATATAGCATTATTAAATCCAAATCATTACATAGCAATAAGCAAATAACTACACCCATAAGAAGAATGCCCATATAATTGAGCAAAAGAACACTTTGCCCTGGAGCCTGTGCTTTCAAGGGCTCCACTATGGTCCTCTCTCTGGCCACATTCCTCCCCAAAGTACAAGGAGTTTACCAGGTCCAAGGGGATGAGGTTAGTTGGAGGTGATGCTGCTCACCCCCACCTACCACCTTTGAGATCATGCTGTAGAACATAAAGACTTAGAATTCTGTCTTCAAAGGGTTTTGAGACTGCTTCCAGCATCCATGTTCCTCTCCACCAGTTCTGTCTTTCATGGTGAACCACATATACAGAGTGCACAACTAGAGGCCCTGTGGGCCAATGGGAAGCTTTTTGCTAGAGCTACAGTGGTAGACTGAGTTTCAACATATCAACAGAGGTACCCAAAATGTATACACACAAGGCCTCTCACGGTGTGAGACCAGGTCAGGGCACTGGCTCTCTCTATGTCCTCATATTCTGTGCTGGATGTTGACGGCCCAAGAATTCTAGTTCCAAACCTGAATTTCATTGAGAAGGTATATGTGTCAAAGTGAGAGAACACAGCATACTTTATTTAACAGTTTGTTAACTTGATTTATAACTTTTAAATATGCAAACATACACTATATAGGTTTTGATTATTATCCTTGCCCTAGGCCTTAAGAATGTTAAGTTTAAGACAACTGAATATTTTATTACATATAAAAATGCAACCACATATACTCAAAAACATTAATGTCAAACTAGTAGTCCCTACTTCTAAAATATAATGAAATATTCCATTTAACATTATATTTAGAGTGGCTCCCTTATGGAATCATGACATCTTTGCTGATTTAGTTACAGTTGAACTAAGTATTTTGCCTGAAATCAACACTTTATTTTTCAAAACTCCCAAGATATAGTGTGTGACAGATATGTCTTCCACTTATTTTTTTAACCTAGGCTTTATTAATAAGACAAATTATTAGTCACAAATAAAACCTTAAAAATACAGTTCAGCCTTATTTACAACTATTTAGTTGTTTACCTAAAATATCCTACATTATACACACACAGGCGCACACACACATATTTCTAATAGAAACTATAAGAAGCAGCCTCGACAAATCAAGAGGACATTATGTTACGTAAAATAAGCTAAGAACAGAAAGTTAAACACTGCATGTTCTCACTCATATGTGGAAACTAAAAAAAAGTTGATCTCAGAGGAGGAAAAATAGAATGGAATATACTAGAGACAGGGAAGGGTGGGATGAGAGAAGGATAAAGAGAGATTTGTCAAGGGATACAAAATTACAGCTAGAGACAAATAAGTTCTAGTGTTCTATAGCATTGTGGGATGACCGTAGTTGATAATAATATATAGTTTCAAATTGCTAGAAGGGGTATACTGAATGTTCCCATCACAAAGAAATGATAAATTTTGACATGATGGATATGTGAATTACACGAATCTGTTAACTATTCATTTTATGTATCAAAATATCACTACATACCCCATAAATATGTACAATTATCACATGTCAATTTAAAAAATATAATAATTAAGAAAAAATACAAAACATTAAATAACGGTGATAGTAGATTTGTCCTCTCAAATATTAAAACATTCGATAAATTTACATAGTTAAAATAGAGGGTAAATATAGAAAAATAATAAAAATTGTGATGACTCGTGTGATAACTTGACAGTGCTACTTTGAATATTAAGAATAGTGTAGCTGGCTGGGTGCAGTGGCTCATGCCTGTAATCCCAGCACTTTGGGAGGCTGAGGTGGGTGGATCACCTGAGGTCAGGAGTTGAAGACCAGCCTGACCAACATGGAGAAACCCGTCTCTACTAAAAGTACAAAATTAGCCAGGCGTGTTGACAGATGCCTGTAATCCAAGCTACTTGAGAGGCTGAGGCAGGAGAATCACTTGAACCCAGGAGGCGGAGGTTACGGTGAGCTGAGATTGTGCCACTGCACTCCAGCCTGGGCAACAGAGGGAGACTCCATTTCAACAACAACAACAACAACAAAAATATATATATATGTATGTGTATGTGTATGTATATATATATATATATATATATATATATATATGGTGTAGCAGAACCAAAATTTAACAGGTGCAAACGTTTAAATAAGTGTATCCTCTCTAAATGATTTGAACTTGCTGATGGATAATCAAGGTCATAATGTTTGGGACATAAATGCCTGTATACTTATACCAAAATATATCAGCAGTTACAGTTAAAATGATCTTACATATTATTTGTCATATCAGGACTATTACTATTACTATAATTACTATTTTCATTATGCTGAAGGTATATGATAAATTTTGAGATGTGATTGATGGATGCTTAGGTTTGAAGAAGCAAAATTAGAGAAAGAGCTTAAAGGTGTCTCCGATATCTTCCTTTCTCCCTGGATATGGGCTCTGTAACTACTACATTCAAATATAATCTGGAATATCTAAGGTCCTTTCTTCACAATCTTCCACAAGGGGCTGAGAATCATAATGAGACACATTAATGAAGCCTAGTTATCATCTGATAATACTGTCATTAACATTTATTATCACATAATTAGATTGTGCATTAGCCGTTTCTCAGAGCCACTTTAAAAGGAAAAAAAATACGAAGACATATATGAGAACAAACACTGTAAGGAGTGCCTGTATAGTGATAATGTTTCGGAGTGAATGAGACATTTTATCACCTGGCATATTAACAGTGTGAAAGGACAGGGATCATATCAACCTCTCCCCTTCTTCTCTCTATCCTTTGCATATTAGTTACGTGTTAAATCTTCTACCTTCTCAAACTGGGGCAATAATCTTAGCAATGACAGTTTTAGTGATGGGAGGAAATCATAATAGCTGTGGGTAATTGTTAGAAAGAATCAACACAGCTCTGAACTTTATAGGTCATGATATCTCTGTAGCTTGTGGGTTTAGCTGCATTTTGAAAAAGATAACTGTGTCTCCCTTAGCATCTTCCTTTTTCCTATTTTTTCTTGTAAGTTTACAAAGGTCAGATGCCAGTATGATCTAGAATAAGAGGTTTTGTGGCTGACTTTGAAAGGTTACTTTAGAGAAAAATCTCATGAAGCAGCAGTACCCCAAAGTGCTGCGGGGAATGTGGCTAAAATCTTGTTACATCCTAATGGAGCTTCTAACACATTAGACATATAGAGCATTGGATTCCAGAATGTGTCTGAGAGATTTAGTGTCTAGTTACTAAAAGGAAACGAAGAGGCATCTCAAGGTTAGAGTTACACTGACGAGGTCATGTTCATGGGACATCAAAGCAATGTGGAAATCAATTCTACCATCATAGCAAAGCCTGAAGTGCCTGTTTAATGATTAATTAGAATAATAATTGAAATGCAACATAATTATGATAAAGAAGGAAATGCCAGGGGCTTCTTTTCTCTATGGACTACAATACCATAGTGAATTGGGCCTTTCAAAATCCAGAAACTTTTTATTGGCTGTTCGTTTCACGAAAGCAGAAATACTCCAGGATGTGTTTTCAGTAATTAAGGTAATCTTTATAATACATATTTTTCTTTAGCCCAGCTGACTATCCAAATGAGTGAGTGTTTGGTGACTAATGTAAATAGCTGTATGAACCAATTCCAGATATTTTAGCTGTGAATGACTTGATGATAATTATAACAGAAGCAAAATGAGTGTTCCTCATTTTAATGTGACCTAATAACACCATATCATTTAAGACAATATTTATTTTTTAGTATAATATGAACTGGTCCTAATTCTGAGGTATGCTCATACCTTAGAGTATCAACACTAGAGAGTTATTACAATTAATGACTGGCTTTCTATTGTGTTCGAGCCAATTAAATTTTTTTTTCAAAATTCTCTTCTGCAAGTCATTTCTGAGGTCTCCTTGCAAACCATTTGCACAGTCATAACATCTATACAAGTATTTGCTTATCACCTTGGCCAGAAAAATCTCTTTTCAAGGCTGCTTCACAGGGTTTCTTGAGTATGCATGAGTCAACACACATGTTCATAGAGGAGAAGATTGTGCTGATTTGCTCTACACCAACGTTCTGTTAAAGGTGGACCCAAGTCACTTCTGTCACTGATCAGAACACCGCTTATAACCAAATAAAATAAAAATAAAAAATTTAAAATACTTAGCCTAGACCTGACTGCAATATCTAACAAAACTTTCCTGGAGGCTTAAGTATTAAGCGAAGTACAATACAGAAAGTGACTTCCTTGAAGAGATCCTTCACATCCCTTGTAAGTTGGATTCCTAGGTATTTTCCTCTCTTCGTAGCAATTGTGAATGGGAGTTCACTCATGATTTGGCTCTCTGTTTGTCTGTTATTGGTGTATAGGAATGCTTGTGATTTTTGCATATTGATTTTGTATCCTGAGACTTTGCTGAAGTTGCTTATCAACTTAAGGAGATTTTGGGTGGAGACGATGAGGTTTTCTAAATATACAACCATGTCATCTGCAAACAGGGACAATTTGCTTCCTCTTTTCCTAATTGAATACCCTTTATTTCTTTCTCTTGCCTGATTGCCCTGGCCAGAACTTCCAACACCATGTTAAATAGGAGTGGTGAGAGAGGGCATCCTTGTCTTGTGCCAGTTTTCAAAGGGAATGCTTCCAGTTTTTGCCCAGTGTGATATTGGCTGTGGGTTTGTCACAAATAGCTCTTACTATTTTGAGTTACGTTCTATCAATAACCTAGTTTATTGAACGTTTTCAGCATGAAGGGCTATTGAATTTTGTTGAAGGTCTTTTCCGCATCTGTTGAGATAATCGTGGTTTTTGTCATTGGTTCTGTTTATGTGATGGATTATGTTTATTGATTTGTGTATGTTGAACCAGCCTTGCATCCCAGCGATGAAGCCGATCTTATTGTGGTGGATAAGCTTTTTGATGTGCTGCTGGATTCAGTTTGCCAGTATTTCATTAAGGATTTTCGCATTGATGTTCATCAGGGATATTGGTCTAAAATTCTCTTATTTTTTTTTGCGTCTCTGCCAGGCTTTGGTATCAGGATGAGGTTGGCCTCATAAAATGAGCTAGGGAGGATTCCCTCTTTTTCTATTGATTGGAATAGTTTCAGAAGGAATGGTAACAGCTCCTCTTTGTACCTCTGGTAGAATTCAGCTGTGAATCTGTCTGGTCCTGGACTTTTTTTGGTTGGTAAGCTCAAAATACCAATGACTTTCTTCACAGGATTGGAAAAAACTACTTTAAAGTTCATATGAAACCAAAAAGGAGCCTGCATTGCCAAGACAATCCTAAGCAAAAACAAAACAAAACAAACAAACAAAAAACAAAGCTGGAGGCATCATGCTACCCAACTTTAAACTATACTACAAGGCTGCGGTAAACAAAACAGCATGGTACTGGTTCCAAAACAGAGATATAGATCAATGGAACAGAACAGAGCCCTCAGAAATCATACTACACATCTACAACCATCTGATCTTTGACAAACCTGACAAAAACAAGAAATAGGGAAAGGATTCCCTATTTAATAAATGGTGCTGGGAAAACTAGCAACCCATGTGTAGAAAGCTGAAACTGGATCCCTTCCTTACACCTTATACAAAAATTAATTCAAGATGGATTAAAGACTTAAATGTTAGACCTAAAACCATAAAAACTCTAGAAGAAAACCTAGGCAATACCATTCAGGACATAGGCATGGGCAAGGACTTCATGGAAGTCCTTGAAGTGAAAACACCAAAAGCAATGGCAACAAAAGCCAAAATTGACAAATGGGATCTAATTAAACTAAAGAGCTTCTGCATGGCAAAAGAAACTACCATCAGAGTGAACAGGTAACCTACAGAATGGGAGAACATTTTTGCAATCTACCCATCTGACAAAGGGCTAATATACAGAATCTACAATGAACACAAACCAATTTACAAGAAAAAAACAAACAACCCCATCCAAAAGTGGGCAAAGGAAACGAACAGACACTTCCCAAAAGAAGACATTTATGCAGCCAACAGACACATGAAAAAATGCTCATCGTCACTAGTCATCAGAGAAATGCAAATCAAAACCACAATGAGATACCATCTCACGCCAGTTAGAATGGCAATCATTAATAAGTCAGGAAACAACAGATGCTGGAAAGGATGTGGAGAAATAGGAACAATTTTACACTGTTGGTGGGAGTGTAAATTAGTTCAACCATGTGGAAGAGAGTGTGGTGATGCCTCAAGAGTCTAGAACTAGAAATACCATTTGACTCAGCAATCACATTACTGGGTATATACTCAAAAGATTATAAATCATGCTACTATAAAGACACGTGCACACATATGTTTATTGCAACACTATTCACAATAGCAAAGACTTGGAACCAACCCAGATGTCCATCAGTGATAGACTGGATTAAGAAAATGTGGCACATAGACACCATGGAATACTATGCAGCCATAAAAAAGGATGAGTTCATGTCCTTTGCAGGGACATGGATGAAGCTGGAAGCCATGATTCTCAGCAAAGTATCACAAGGACAGAAAACCAAACACTGCATGTTCTCTCATAGGTGGGAATTGAACAAGGAGATCACTTGGACACAGGGTGGGGAACATCATACACCAGGTCCTGTTGGGGGGTGGGGGCCTGGGGGAGGGATAGCATTAGGAGAAATACCCAATGTAAATGACGAGTTGATGGGTGCAGCAAACCAACACGGCACAGGTATACCTATTTATCAAACTTCCACGTTGTGCACATGTACCCTAGAACTTAAAGTATAATTAAAAAAAAAAAAAAAGTGACTTCCCCTAGTAACAAAAGTGATTACTTTCAGGGCCCAAAGGTCCAAGACAAATATCAGGATCCCTGAAAGTTTTCATATGTTCAAGGTCTACTTAATCACAATCTATCAAAATTTTCTGGTTTTATTTTAACTTTAATGCCTTAGTTCACCAGATTCTTCATTTCTACGTCCTGATTCCAAAAGCTTCAATAGTCATGAAAATGTCGTCTTCCTTCAAATTCAAGGATTGTTACCACTCAAAAGTTAGACACAGCACACATATCCATTTATTTATGTGTGAAGTCCTCTCTCCTATCTGCTGTGGATCATTCAATCTCCAGGTCTCCCAGAGAATATCACAGTATTTTTTCAAAGTCTGAAATAATTCATCACAAAATACAAAACACTATATGTGGGCAACCAGCAGTCTAGTCTAACTCCATTTGAAAACTTAAAATGATTTTCTAAGTCTTTGAAAGACAATCCTCTTAAAAGTACACTAAAATTCATGTGTTCAGATATACAGTGACTTTATGACTTTTGTTTTCACATGCACACACATATGAGTGCTCTCATACAGGAAGAAGTAAATTAATTTACATTTGTATAAACATAGTACTGTTCTGCTGGTTTTCTATTAAGTAAAGGAAGACTCCTAATAGAATGGATGCTTTCTTTGCTAGAAAAAGAATTCATGTGATATTGGCTGATTTGTGATCCCCCCAATTCATATATTGAATCCCTAAATCTGAGTACCACAGAATGCAACCCATTTGGAGACAAGATATTTAAAGAAGCAATTAAGTAAAAAATAGGCAATAAGATGAGTTCTAATCCAATATATCTGGTGTCCTTTTAAAAAGAGATTAAGACAGACAGAGACACCAGACAAATGCACACACTAAGAGACAATCACGTGAACACACAGCAAGAAGGCAGCCATCTGCAAGCCAAGGAGAGGCCTCAGCAAAAACCAAACCCGCTGACACCTTGATGTCAGATTTCCCAACTCCAGAACTGTGGGAAAATACATTGCTGTTGTTTAAGCCATCCAGTCTCTTGTATTTTGTTGTGGCAGCCCTGGTAAAATAATATGTGGTGCTTAATAGATTTTGAATTAAAATTATCTTAACAAGCATAGTAATACTAACGTGAACACTATTTTTTTTCCACCTGGTACCTATTACCTTATATACAGATAATAATATATACAACATATAAAATAATTACTCCATAAATTACAGAAAAATATCACTATCATTGACTCATGTACTTTAACATACGACTATATTGTAACTTTTTCTTACAGCTTAGATAGAAACTTGAAACCTAGAAAGGTTTGAGTATTTGTTTTTTTTTATAAATTTAAATTTAATTGACTTTCTGAAGTTCAAAGTGATGCTTTATATATGACATCATTAATCTCTCACTTGAATTCTATGATGTTGGCAGGGACAATTTTACTTTTCCTGTCATGAATTTTTTTGGTGTGAATTTAAAATAAATAAAATCACCAAAAGAAAAACTGAGAAATAATTACCCACACAGCTGAATCTTTGAGGTACATTAATCAATTTGATTTTATTTTATAGAGTGCCTTTTGTATTGAATAGTCACATTACATAATTTTTGAAAAAATACTTTTTTTGAGCACTTCTTGTGTATAAAGTCTTCTGCTAGTTACAACACAAGCATCATTGTTTTAAGCATCACAACACACGCATCATACCTGTGTCTTCCTAATTTACAGACAAAAGGTTCAGAAAATTAAATAATTTGCCTAAGATTGCAAAACTAGTAATCAACAAAACCAATGTTAGGGATTATTCAAATTCTAAACCAAGGCTTCTAAGTGTCACACAATATTTTTAAGAAGGGTTAGCCTGAAGGAGGATTCCCAAATGATGAAGCTTAGACATATTGTATGTATCTAAGTATGTTTGTATATACATATTGTACACATTTCTATATATGAAGGTATTCATAATATATAAGCATATGTATACATATATTTGAATGTAAATATGTGTGTATATATACACATATGCATACATATATGTGTGCTTATATATACTTACACATACACACACGGACTTATTTTTCTATGTAATCATGATACATTTTGGAGAAGTGTGATAAGTTAAAAGTAAAATATTATAGAATATTAAAAAATAATTAAAAGTAAATTTAGGTATTTTACCCAACTTCTTTAAGTACATTAAAGTATACTTCATAAAAAACATAGCAAAATTTCATCACCCTATCCTCCCTTCTCAAAATTAGTAGAATCCCTAAATTACTCTTGAGATCTTCATAGATAGAGTAGGAAATAATGAACTTAACCACTTTAACCAATTAAAAGGAAAAATACAATCAATTCAACTATCATAGAAAATATCCTTTGATAAAGTTCTATACAGATCTTGGTATAAAATGTTTGGATTACTAGAAACAATATATTTTTTTTTACTTGACAAACTGCATCAACTAAAACTTAACATCGCTTCAGAAATAAAATGATAGAACTAATCTCATTAAGTTAAAGAGTACAATAAACTGACCTAGAATCACTATTTCTCTCTGCATCATCTAGGAGATCCTAGGCACCCAAAATTAAAAGAAATTAGCAAGATCTGATTATCCAGTGATGTATTGGAGTCTGTTGAAATGGGTTAACATTAATAAATGAAAAGAATATGTTTATCTGAAGTACCGTCTTATTTCTGGTCAGAAAATGAGCAAATCACGTAGGTGCTTACACTTGCTAAACTGGACACCACAGACCAAAGCTGGGACATAAATCTAGTAGAACAAAATGTCAATATTCATTATTGGTTATAGCTTAATATAGAAGTACAGACACCCGCTGATTTTACTCTCTGCACCAGCACATCCTCAACAAAGAATTCAGGGCACACTGTCACAATGGAAGCTATAGCCATTGAAGTTGTGAGCAATACCTATGACTCAGCGGAGAGTTGAAGATTTGAGGAGCTTTCTTTTGGGAGAACCAGAGCTATATGAAATGAAAGGAGAAATAAAAATGTCACTGCAGAAGGAAGAATTAGAATCTTTATTCTAGGATTGGCAGACTGTACCAGTAATTCGTGAATATTGTTTGGGAGATGCGTGTGCTTCCAGTCTGAGCCAGCTGGGAAATCTTCTGGGTTTTTCTAAAGAATACTGTCCCATTATCCTCAGAGTGAATCATGAGGACTCTGAGTTCTTAGAGAGGAAAGGAGATTAAACAGCATCAGGATGACATAAATTTTGTTTGAGAATATAGAAATATTATTAATTCCAAAGTTATTAACACTGTCCAATACATTAAGAATAAAACTTGTTAAAGATGATAAATTATTGATAAATATTCGTATGAGAAATAAGTCAGACAACTAGAGATGATATATGTAGGTGGTTATGTTTGTTGGTCAAAATTGTGAACACTTGTTAGGATGGATAACTTTATTTGGTGTTCTCAGGACATCCCTATGGGGATTAGAAAGTCTGCATTTTGAAGAGGTGGTAAAATTAAAAAAATTCTTCTTTCATGATAGATTTCTCACCCGCAGGGTATCAGCGAATGTGCTTTAGATTGGAAAGATGATACACACATGCATACACACACATGCTTTCAACTTCATAGACTCAAATGATTTCACAAACTGAAAATTTGTAGCACCCTAATAATGTTTTAGGAAAACTGTATTCTAAAGAAAACAAAACAAATAAATCAATATGTTGCTTGGGTCATAATTACAATGCTTGTCAATTATAAATTCCTGACCTCCATAAATGTCCATTTTTGGTTAATGGACATAGACTCATAAAGGAATTATGTCACTTGTGTGCTGACTTGCTAGGACTGGCATGACAAAGTATCACGAAGTGAGTGGACTTAATAACAGAAATTTATTGTCTTTTAGTTCTAGAGGATAGAAGTCTAAGATGAATGTGTTGGCAGGGTTGACTCCTTCTTCTTTTTTTTTTTAAATTGAGTCCCACTCTGTCGCCCAGGCTGGAGTGCAGTGGCGCAATCTTGGCTCACTGCAACTTCGCCTCCCAGGTTTAAGTGATTCTCCTGCCTCAGCCTCCCGAGTAGCTGGGACTTCAGGCGCCTGCCACCAGGCCCGGCTAATTTTTTGTATTTTTAATAAAGATGGGGTTTCACTGTGTTAGCCAGGATAGTCTCGATCTCCTGACCTCGTGATCTGTCTGCCTCAGCCTCCCAAAGTGCCAGGATTACAGGAGTGAGCCACCGCGCCGGGCCCGGGGTTGGCTCCTTCTAAGGGCTGTGAGGAAGAACCTGTTTCATGCTTTTCCCATTGTTTCTAGTGGTTTTCTGGCAATCTTTGCTGTTTCTCCACATCTTTGCCAACGCTTGTGCTATCTCTTATCTTTTTTGATAGTAGCCATCATCTCAGGTATGAAGTGTTATCTCATTGTGGTTTTGATTTGCATTACCCTGATGAGGAGTCAGACAAAAAAAGACTAATATTGCAGAATCTCATTTATATGTGGAATCTTAAAAAGTTAAACTTACAGAAGTAGACAGCGGAATGGTGGTTACTAGGGGCATGGACATATAACAAAGAGGGTGGTGTCAGTCAAATGGTATAAATTGCAGTTATAACACCAAAAGCTCAGAGTGTCTGGGTGCTTTCTTGCATTTGAGTACTTTCCTGGTGGCCTGAGAGCATTTCAGATCTCCTAGGGCACCCAGAAGCCAACCCAAGGATCTGGAGAATGGAGCCACCAGCCAGTCTTGTTGTCCCAGGAATTCAGCATGCAGCTTGGGAGTGCCGAGCCAAGATCTGTGGCCATTACTCAAGCAGGGGAGGAGCCTACACTCAGAATAGGTGGGGATTGATGGGGTGGCACAGGAACTGGTTATGTCCCCCTTGACAGGGCCAGTTCAAAAAGTGTGTGGCTTATCCCCATAATACAGCATCTGCCCAAAGGAGCCCCATGGTCCAGAACATCTAATAAAAGAAACAGAGGCAGCTGGGCGCACTGGCTCATGCCTGTAATCCCAGCACTTTGGGAGGCCAAGGTGGGCAGATCACCTGAGGTCAGGAGTTCGATACCAGTCTAGCCAACATGTGAAACCCTGTCTCTACTAAAACCACAAAAAATTAGCTGAGCATAGTGGTGCGTGCCTGTAGTCCCAGCTACTTGGGAGGCTGAGGCAGGAGAAACGCTTGAACCTGGGAGGCAGAGGTTGCAGTGAGCCGAGATTGTGCCACTGCACTCCAGCCTGGGTGACAGAGTGAGACTCCATCTCAAAAAAAAAAAAAACAGAAAAGAAAAGACACAGAGGCACAGTGCCAATGATGAGAGGAGCTCCCCCAAGGACCAGAAGTTGACCTGCTGAGGGGGTCACTTCTCTCCCTCTCACACTGCAGAGCATGGCTGCAAATGCAAGAAAAGACAAAGGAGCTGTGTGACTGAGTAAAGAGCCTATCTACTGTCATTACTCTTACGTGTCATTTAGTGGATCACAGCCCAAACTAAAACATCAAATATCTTTTGCTAATATACTTCCCCGTGAAACCAAGAGCAAGAACTCAGCCACAAATAAAGACCTTGTACGGAGGTCTGGCCCTCTGAAAACACCCAAAAAGAAAAGCCAACTGACCATACTCAACTTAGTCACCTTTAAAAGAACACCAGCCCTCTCAGAGGAGAAAGAATCAGCACAAGTACTCTGGCAATTTAAAAAGCCAGAGTGTGTACTTACTTCCAAAGGAGTCCACTAGCTCCCTGGTAATGGTTCTTAACCAGTCTGAAATGACTGAGATGATGGACATAGAATTCAGAATTTGTATAGCAAGAAAGCACATCAAGACTTAGGATAAAATTAAAACCCAATCCAAGGAATGCAAGGAATAGAGTAAAATGATGGAAGGACTGAAAGATTAGTAACTTTTTAAAGAAAGAACCACACTGAACTTCTAGAGCTCAAAAATTCACTACAAGATATATAATCGGAAGTATTAACAGCAAAATGGACCAAGGTGAGGAAAGAATCTCAGAGCTCAGTAACTGGTCCTTTAAACCAGGCTTAATTAGACAAAAAATAAATACAAAATAAGTTTAAAATGAACAAAACCTTAGAGAAATATGGGATTCTATAAGGAGATCAAATATATGACTCATTGCAATTCCTGGGAGAAAAGGAGAAAGAATGAAAGACTTGTAAAATACACTTGAGGACATAGGCCATGAAAATTTTCTCAATCTTGCTAGCGAAATTGACTTGCAAATTCAAGAAAGAGAGAGCATTCTGGCCAGATGCTGTAAAAGGCAACCATCCCCAAGGCTCAAAATTAGATTCACCAAGGTCAACACAAAAGGAAAAATCTTAAAGGCTGCCAGAAAGAAGAGTCAGGTCATATATATTATATACAGACAGAACCCCATCAGGCTGGCAATGGACCTCTCAGTAGAAGTCTTACAACCCAGAAGAGATTGGGCTTAGTTTCAGCAACTTAAAAAAAGGAAATTCCAATGAAGACTTTCATATCCCACCAAACTAAACTTCATCAATGAAGAAATAAAATTCTTCTCAGAAAAGCAAATACTGAGGACATTTGTTTCCATTAGACCAGCCTTACAAGAGGTCCTTAAGGAAATGCTGAACGTGAAATTGAAAAATGACACCTGCTACTCCAAAAACACACTTAAGCACATAGCCCGCAGACACTGTAAAGCAACTACATGTTCAAGTCTACATCACACTCAGCTAACAACATGATGAAAGGATCAAAATCTCACATATCAATACTAACCTTGAGTTTAAATGGATTAAACACCCCACTTAAAAGACACAGAGTGGCAGGCGGGATAAAAAGACAAGAATTAACTGCCTTCTGTCTTCAAGAGACCTATAATAAAATCCACAAGCTCAAAGCAAAATGATAGAGAATGATCTACCAAGCAAAAGGACGACAAAAAAAAAGAGCAAGAATCACTATTCTTGTATCAGATAAAACAGACTTAAAACCAATAATAATTAAGAAAGGCATTACGTAATGATAAAGGATACAATCCAACAAGAAGACTTAACTAACTGTCTTAAATATATATGCACCCAACATTGGAGCAACCAGATTGAGAAAACAAGTTCCTCTTTATCTACCAAAAGACTTATTTAGCCACACATTAATAGTGGAAGACATCAACACCCCAGTGACAGCATTAGACAGATTATCAAAGCAGAACTCTAACAAAGAAACTTAACTTTGACACTTGACTTAAACTTGACACTAGACCAAATGTATCTAATAGACATCCAAAGAACACTCCACCCAGCAACCACAGAATATACATTCTTCTGACCTTCACACAGAACATTTTCTAATATTAACCACATGGTCAGTCATAAAGTAAGTCTCAATAAATTCAAAGAATTAGATATCATACAAACCACACTTTCAGAATAGAATGCAATAAAAAAAAGAAGTGAATATGAATAAAATCTCTCAAAATTACACAAATACATTAAAATTAAACAATTTACTCCTGAATAACTCTTCAGAGAACATCAAAATTAAGGCAGAAATAAAAAATTCATTGGAATTAATGAAAATAAGGACAAATCTTATCAAAATCTCTGGGATGTAGCTAAAGCAGTAGTAAGAGAAAAGCTTATAGGCCTAAACACCTTCATCAAGAAGTTAGAAAGATCTCAAATATCAGTAAAAATAACTAGGCTCATGCCTGTAACCCCAGCACTTTGGGAGGCTGAGGCAGGTGGATCACGAGGTCAGGAGTTTGATACCAGCCTGGCCAACATGGTGTAACCCCGTCTCTACTAAAAACACAAACAATTAGCCAGGCGTGGTGGTGCGTGCCTGTAATCCAAGCTACTCGGGAGGCTGAGGCAGGAAAATTGCTTGAACCCGGGAGGCAGAAGTTGCAGTGAGCCAAGACTGTGCCACTGCACTCCAGCCTGGGTGACAGGGTGAGACTCCATCTCAAAAAATAAAATAAAATAAAATAAAAATAAACTAGAGAAGAACTATATGTAATTGAGGTGCAAAAATCCATACAAAAGATACATGAAACCAAGAGCTGGTTATTCAAACAAATAAGATTGATAGAGCACTATCTGAATTAACAACAACAGCACAAGAAGAAAATCCCATCAGAAATTAGAAAGAAAATATTACAAATGATTTTTCAGAAATACAAAACATCTCAGACTACTATGAACAACTCTATGCACAAAAATCTGGAGACAATAGATATATTCCTGGAAACAGATAATACCTCAGAATTGAACTAGGAAAAAAATAAAATCCAGAATAGACCAATATCAAGTTCTGAAATTGTATCAGTAACAAAAAACCTACCAACCAAAAAAAGCCCTGGACCAGATGGATTTACAGTCAAATTCTCTCATATGTATAAAAAAGAACTGACATCAATCCTACTGAAACTATTCCAAAAAATTGAGGGAGACTCCTTCCTAACTAATTTTATGAAACCAGCATCAACCTGATACCACAATCTGGCAGAGACACAGCAAAAAAAAAAAAAAAAAAAATCAAAAACAAAACTTCCCGCCAGTATCCCTGATGAACATAGCCATAAAAATACTCAACAAAATACTAGCATACTGGATCCAGCAGCACATCAAAAAATTAATTCACCATGATCAACAAGGTTTTATTCCTGCGATGCAAAGTTGTTTCAACCCGTACAAATCTATAAATATGATTCACCACATAAACAGAATTAGACAGTAAAACCATATGATTATTTCAACAGATATAAAAAAAAGACTTTTGATAAACTCCAACAGCCCTCCATGATAAAAAACTCCCAACAGAGTTGGCATCACAAAACATAGGTCAAAATAATAAAAGCCATCTATGGTAAACTCACAGCCAACATCACACCAAATAGGCCAAAGCTGGAAACATTCCCCTTAAGAACTGCAAGACAAAGGTGCCCACTCTCACCACTCCTATTCAACATATACTAGAAGTCCTAGTCAGAGGAATAAAGTGAAAGAAAGAAATGAAAGGCATCCATATAGAAAAAGAAGATGACACTAATAAATGGAAAAGCATTACATGCTCATGGATAGGAAGAATCAATATCATAAAAATAGCCATAATGCCCAAAGCAATTTAAAGATTCGGCACTATTCCTAGCAAACTACCAATGTCATATGGAACCTAAAAAGATCCTAAATAACCAATGCAATTCTAGGTAAATAGAACAAATCCAGGGACATTGTACTACCAAAGTTCAAACTATACTGTAAGGCCACAGTCATAAAAATAGCATGATACTTGTACAAAAACACACATGTAGATCAATGGTACAGAACAAAAAACCCGGAAATAAAGACTCACACTTACAATCACCTGATCTTCAACAAGGTGGACAATAATAAGCAATTGGGATAGGACTACTTATTTAATAAGTAGTGCTGGGATAGTTGGCTAGTCACATGCAGAAGAATGAATCTGGACCCCTAACTTTCACCGTATACAAAGCTAACTCAAAATCAACTAAAGCTTTTAAAATAAGTCCTCAAACTAAAATCCTAGAAGAAAACCTAGAAAATACCCTTCTTGACAGTGGCCATGGCCAATAATTTTTGGCTAAGTCCCCAAAAGGAATTTCAACAAAAACAGTAATTGACAGGTGTGATGTAATTAAACTAAATTGCTTCTGCACAGAAAAATAAACTATTTACAAAGTAGACAACCTATAGAGTGGGAGAAAATATTCGCAAATATATACCAATCACCTTGTATCTGACAAAAGTCTGATATCCAGAATCTATAATGAACTTAAATCAAGAAACAAAAAAGAATCTCAATAAATAGGCAATAGACGTTAACAGATACTTCTGAATAGAAGACATACAAGTGGCCAAAAAGTTCAACATCACTAATCATCAAAGAAATGCAAATCTATACCACAATGAGATACTATCTCATGCCACTCACAATGGCTATTACTAAAAAGTAAAAAAAATAATAATAATAACAGATGCCGGCAAGGCTGTGGAGAATAGGGAATGCGCATACACTGTTGCTGGGTATATGAATTAGTTCAGCCACTGTGGAAAGTAGTTTGGAGATTTCTCAAAGAACTTATCATAGAGCTACAATTTGTCCCAGCAATCCTATCATTGCATATATGCCCAAAGGAAACACAGATCATTCTACCAAATGGACACATGTACCTAAATGTTCATCATCATGCTGTTCACAACAGCAAAGACATGGAATCAACTAAGGTGCTCATTAGTGGTGGTGGATCGGGTAAAGAAAATGTGGTATAAATACATTATGGAGTACTACAGAGCCATAGAAAAAAGAACGAAATCAGGTCCTTTGCAGAAACATGGTTGCAGCTGGTGGTCATAATACTAAGCAAATTAGTGCAGGAACACAAAACCAAATATGGCATGTCCTCACTTATAAGTGGGAAATAAATACTGAGCACACATGGGCATAAACATGGGAAAAAGAGACACTGTGGACTACTAGATGGGGTAGAAAAAAAGAGTGGTGTGAATTGAAAAACTACTTATCATGTACTATGCTTACTACCTGGGTGATGTGATGCATACCCCAAACCTCAGCATCACACAACAGATTCGTGTAACAGACTTGTATATGTACCCTCATATCTAAACTAAAAGTTGAAATTAAAAACAAAAACAAGGGCGGGAGGAGCCAAGATGGCCGAATAGGAACAGCTCCGGTCTACAGCTCCCAGCGTGAGCGACGCAGAAGACGGTGATTTCTGCATTTCCATCTGAGGTACCGGGTTCATCTCACTAGGGAGTGCCAGACAGTGGGCGCAGGCCAGTGTGTGTGCGCACCATGCGCGAGCCGAAGCAGGGCAAGGCATTGCCTCACCTGGGAAGCGCAAGGGGTCAGGGAGTTCCCTTTCCGAGTCAAAGAAAGGGGTGACGGACGCACCTGGAAAATCGGGTCACTCCCACCCGAATATTGCGCTTTTCAGACCGGCTTAAGAAACGGCGCACCACGAGACTATATCCCACACCTGGCTTGGAGGGTCCTACGCCCACGGAATCTCGCTGATTGCTAGCACAGCAGTCTGAGATCAAACTGCAAGGCGGCAACGAGGCTGGGGGAGGGGCGCCCGCCATTGCCCAGGCTTGCTTAGGTAAACAAAGCAGCCAGGAAGCTCGAACTGGGTGGAGCCCACCACAGCTCAAGGAGGCCTGCCTGCCTCTGTAGGCTCCACCTCTGGGGGCAGGGCACAGACAAACAAAAAGACAGCAGTAACCTCTGCAGACTTAAGTGTCCCTGTCTGACAGCTTTGAAGAGAGCAGTGGTTCTCCCAGCACGCAGCTGGAGATCTGAGAACGGGCAGACTGCCTCCTCAAGTGGGTCCCTGACTCCTGACCCCCGAGCAGCCTAACTGGGAGGCACCCCCCAGCAGGGGCACACTGACACCTCACACGGCAGGGTATTCCAACAGACCTGCAGCTGAGGGTCCTGTCTGTTAGAAGGAAAACTAACAACCAGAAAGGACATCTACACCGAAAACCCATCTGTACATCACCATCATCAAAGACCAAAAGTAGATAAAACCACAAAGATGGTGAAAAAACAGAACAGAAAAACTGGAAACTCTAAAACGCAGAGTGCCTCTCCTCCTCCAAAGGAACGCAGTTCCTCACCAGCAACAGAACAAAGCTGGATGGAGAATGATTTTGACGAGCTGAGAGAAGAAGGCTTCAGACGATCAAATTACTCTGAGCTACGGGAGGACATTCAAACCAAAGGCAAAGAAGTTGAAAACTTTGAAAAAAATTTAGAAGAATGTATAACTAGAATAACCAATACAGAGAAGAGCTTAAAGGAGCTGATGGAGCTGAAAACCAAGGCTCGAGAACTACGTGAAGAATGCAGAAGCCTCAGGAGCCGATGCGATCAACTGGAAGAAAGGGTATCAGCGATGGAAGATGAAATGAATGAAATGAAGCGAGAAGGGAAGTTTAGAGAAAAAAGAATAAAAAGAAATGAGCAAAGCCTCCAAGAAATATGGGACTATGTGAAAAGACCAAATCTACGTCTGATTGGTGTACCTGAAAGTGATGTGGAGAATGGAACCAAGTTGGAAAACACTCTGCAGGATATTATCCAGGAGAACTTCCCCAATCTAGCAAGGCAGGCCAACGTTCAGATTCAGGAAATACAGAGAACGCCACAAAGATACTCCTCGAGAAGAGCAACTCCAAGACACATAATTGTCAGATTCACCAAAGTTGAAATGAAGGAAAAAATGTTAAGGGCAGCCAGAGAGAAAGGTCGGGTTACCCTCAAAGGAAAGCCCATCAGACTAACAGCGGATCTCTCGGCAGAAACCCTACAAGCCAGAAGAGAGTGGGGGCCAATATTCAACATTCTTAAAGAAAAGAATTTTCAACCCAGAATTTCATATCCAGCCAAACTAAGCTTCATGAGTGAAGGAGAAATAAAATACTTTATAGACAAGCAAATGTTGAGAGATTTTGTCACCACCAGGCCTGCCCTAAAAGAGCTCCTGAAGGAAGCGCTAAACATGGAAAGGAACAACCGGTACCAGCCGCTGCAAAATCATGCCAAAATGTAAAGACCATCGAGACTAGGAAGAAACTGCATCAACTAATGAGCAAAATCACCAGCTAACATCATAATGACAGGATCAAATTCACACATAACAATATTAACTTTAAATATAAATGGACTAAATTCTGCAATTAAAAGACACAGACTGGCAAGTTGGATAAAGAGTCAAGACCCATCAGTGTGCTGTATTCAGGAAACCCATCTCACGTGCAGAGACACACATAGGCTCAAAATAAAAGGATGGAGGAAGATCTACCAAGCCAATGGAAAACAAAAAAAGGCAGGGGTTGCAATCCTAGTCTCTGATAAAACAGACTTTAAACCAACAAAGATCAAAAGAGACAAAGAAGGCCATTACATAATGGTAAAGGGATCAATTCAACAAGAGGAGCTAACTATCCTAAATATTTATGCACCCAATACAGGAGCACCCAGATTCATAAAGCAAGTCCTCAGTAACCTACAAAGAGACTTAGACTCCCACACATTAATAATGGGAGACTTTAACACCCCACTGTCAACATTAGACAGATCAACGAGACAGAAAGTCAACAAGGATACCCAGGAATTGAACTCAGCTCTGCACGAAGCAGACCTAATAGACATCTACAGAACTCTCCACCCCAAATCAACAGAATATACATTTTTTTCAGCACCACACCTATTCCAAAATTGACCACATAGTTGGAAGTAAAGCTCTCCTCAGCAAATGTAAAAGAACAGAAATTATAACAAACTATCTCTCAGACCACAGTGCAATCAAACTAGAACTCAGGATTAAGAATCTCACTCAAAGCCGCTCAACTACATGGAAACTGAACAACCTGCTCCTGAATGACTACTGGGTACATAACGAAATGAAGGCAGAAATAAAGATGTTCTTTGAAACCAACGAGAACAAAGACACCACATACCAGAATCTCTGGGACGCATTCAAAGCAGTGTGTAGAGGGAAATTTATAGCACTAAATGCCTACAAGAGAAAGCAGGAAAGATCCAAAATTGACACCCTAACATCACAATTAAAAGAACTAGAAAAGCAAGAGCAAACACATTCAAAAGCTAGCAGAAGGCAAGAAATAACTAAAATCAGAGCAGAACTGAAGGAAATAGAGACACAAAAAACCCTTCAAAAAATCAATGAATCCAGGAGCTGGTTTTTTGAAAGGATCAACAAAATTGATAGACCGCTAGCAAGACTAATAAAGAAAAAAAGAGAGAAGAATCAAATAGACACAATAAAAAATGATAAAGGGGATATCACCACCGATCCCACAGAAATACAAACTACCATCAGAGAATACTACAAACACCTCTACGCAAATAAACTAGAAAATCTAGAAGAAATGGATACATTCCTCGACACATACACTCTCCCAAGACTAAACCAGGAAGAAGTTGAATCTCTGAATAGACCAATAACAGGCTCTGAAATTGTGGCAATAATCAATAGTTTACCAACCAAAAAGAGTCCAGGACCAGATGGATTCACAGCCGAATTCTACCAGAGGTACATGGAGGAACTGGTACCATTCCTTCTGAAACTATTCCAATCAATAGAAAAAGAGGGAATCCTCCCTAACTCATTTTATGAGGCCAGCATCATTCTGATACCAAAGCCGGGCAGAGACACAACCAAAAAAGAGAATTTTAGACCAATATCCTTGATGAACATTGATGAAAAAATCCTCAATAAAATACTGGCAAACCGAATCCAGCAGCACATCAAAAAGCTTATCCACCATGATCAAGTGGGCTTCATCCCTGGGATGCAAGGCTGGTTCAATATACGCAAATCAATAAATGTAATCCAGCATATAAACAGAGCCAAAGACAAAAACCACATGATTATCTCAATAGATGCAGAAAAAGCCTTTGACAAAATTCAACAACCCTTCATGCTAAAAACTCTCAATAAATTAGGTATTGATGGGACGTATTTCAAAATAATAAGAGCTATCTATGACAAACCCACAGCCAATATCATACTGAATGGGCAAAAACTGGAAGCATTCCCTTTGAAAACCGGCACAAGACAGGGATGCCCTCTCTCACCACTCCTATTCAACATAGTGTTGGAAGTTCTGGCCAGGGCAATCAGGCAGGAGAAGGAAATAAAGGGTATTCAATTAGGAAAAGAGGAAGTCAAATTGTCCCTGTTTGCAGACGACATGATTGTTTATCTAGAAAACCCCATCGTCTCAGCCCAAAATCTCCTTAAGCTGATAAGCAACTTCAGCAAAGTCTCAGGATACAAAATCAATGTACAAAAATCACAAGCATTCTTATACACCAACAACAGACAAACAGAGAGCCAAATCATGGGTGAACTCCCATTCACAATTGCTTCAAAGAGAATAAAATACCTAGGAATCCAACTTACAAGGGATGTGAAGGACCTCTTCAAGGAGAACTACAAACCACTGCTCAAGGAAATAAAAGAGGAGACAAACAAATGGAAGAACATTCCATGCTCATGGGTAGGAAGAATCAATATCGTGAAAATGGCCATACTGCCCAAGGTAATTTACAGATTCAATGCCATCCCCATCAAGCTACCAATGACTTTCTTCACAGAATTGGAAAAAACTACTTTAAAGTTCATATGGAACCAAAAAAGAGCCCGCATTGCCAAGTCAATCCTAAGCCAAAAGAACAAAGCTGGAGGCATCACACTACCTGACTTCAAACTATACTACAAGGCTACAGTAACCAAAACAGCATGGTACTGGTACCAAAACAGAGATATAGATCAATGGAACAGAACAGAGCCCTCAGAAATAATGCCGCATATCTACAACTATCTGATCTTTGACAAACCTGAGAAAAACAAGCAATGGGGAAAGGATTCCCTATTTAATAAATGGTGCTGGGAAAACTGGCTAGCCATATGGAGAAAGCTGAAACTGGATCCCTTCCTTACACCTTATACAAAAATCAATTCAAGATGGATTAAAGATTTAAACGTTAAACCTAAAACCATAAAAACCCTAGAAGAAAACCTAGGCATTACCATTCAGGACATAGGCGTGGGCAAGGACTTCATGTGCAAAACACCAAAAGCAATGGCAACAAAAGCCAAAATTGACAAATGGGATCTAATTAAACTAAAGAGCTTCTGCACAGCAAAAGAAACTACCATCAGAGTGAACAGGCAACCTACAACATGGGAGAAAATTTTCGCAACCTACTCATCTGACAAAGGGCTAATATCCAGAATCTACAATGAACTCAAACAAATTTACAAGAAAAAAACAAACAACCCCATCAAAAAGTGGGCGAAGGACATGAACAGACACTTCTCAAAAGAAGACATTTATGCAGCCAAAAAACACATGAAGAAATGCTCATCATCACTGGCCATCAGAGAAATGCAAATCAAAACCACAATGAGATATCATCTCACACCAGTTAGAATGGCAATCATTAAAAAGTCAGGAAACAACAGGTGCTGGAGAGGATGTGGAGAAATAGGAACACTTTTACACTGTTGGTGGGACTGTAAACTAGTTCAACCATTGTGGAAGTCAGTGTGGCGATTCCTCAGGGATCTAGAACTAGAAATACCATTTGACCCAGCCATCCCATTACTGGGTATATACCCAAATGAGTATAAATCATGCTGCTATAAAGACACATGCACACGTATGTTTATTGCGGCACTATTCACAATAGCAAAGACTTGGAACCAACCCAAATGTCCAACAATGATAGACTGGATTAAGAAAATGTGGCACATATACACCATGGAATACTATGCAGCCATAAAAAATGATGAGTTCATATCCTTTGTAGGGACATGGATGAAATTGGAAACCATCATTCTCAGTAAACTATCGCAAGAACAAAAAACCAAACACCGCATATTCTCACTCATAGGTGGGAATTGAACAATGAGATCACATGGACACAGGAAGGGGAATATCACACTCTGGGGACTGTGGTGGGGTCGGGGGAGGGGGGAGGGATAGCATTGGGAGATATACCTAATGCTAGATGACACATTAGTGGGTGCAGCGCACCAGCATGGCACATGTATACATATGTAACTAACCTGCACAATGTGCACATGTACCCTAAAACTTAGAGTATAAAAAAAAAAAAAAAAAAAAAACAAAAGCAAAACAAAGCAAACTAACTAGGTGAGATTATAGATGTGTTAACTGACTTGATTGTTGTTATCATTTCACATAATATACACATACCAAATAATTAGATAGTATAGATTAATCACATAATTTTTGAATTATACTTTATTAAACCTGCAAAATAAAAAAAAAAAATGTCATTTGGTATAAATAATGCAAGGTCTATCTATCTAATACCAATGAGAGTTGTTTCCTATTAAGTATAGAGTTTTTGTGAATTATTATGGAATTTTTCCTGCATTTATTGTGAAGTAGTAGTAATCATCGGAAATTGAAATTTGTTAATATTTTTACTTTTGAACATATTTTGGAAATGGAAAGTATAACGAGTTTTTTTCTTCTTATAATTAATCGCAATGTACTGAATCTGGGATGTACAAAATCAAATGTGTATTTATTTATTCAATCATTCAAATATGTTTGTAAAGCTTTCAAAATAGGCATTCGTCCTTTTTTAATGAGGATCACAATCTAGTGGGTAATACCCATTTATTTCTTGCTGTTAATCAGATTGATTAAATGTTACCCTGTGTCCTTGTCTCAAAATGCAAACTCTGTCTACATCTTTAGTGGAAAATCTGTTAAAATGCTGAGAACTAGTTTTCAGTCAAGTCAGTCAGCCAATGGCTTACATCTTTAGAGGAAAATCTGTTAGAATGCTGAGAACTAGTTTTCAGTCAAATCAATTGAATAAATAAATACACATTTGAAATGACTTTGTGGGCATTAATAATTCACTTAATCTTTCTGCTTGGTACATTCTCATCTAGATCAGCGTTTCTCAGCCTTAGCTGCAAATTTGTATCATCTGGAAGTAGGACATGATAAAGAGAGAGAGAGCTAGAGATACACTTAAAGAAAGTGAACTATCTCTGGGCATGAACAATCTCTGGGCATCAGGTAGAGATAGAGACAGATAGAAAATGAGAACCATCTCTGGGCATGAACCTGAGTATCTAAACTATTAACAATCTTGCCAGCTTAGTCTGATGGACAGTTGAGAACCACTGGTGTATGCATGAAGCAATGCTAATCAATTTAAATAAAAATCCCGTAAATATGTGTCTCCTAACACATTGCTATGGTCACATACTTCTTAGTTATCATTTATGGCTGTTAGTGACTATTTTCACCTACCTACCGCAGATATCATGAGAATAATTAAAATGGCTTGTGGAAGTACATTCAGGGGATTTCTTTAAAATTACAAAATAGAGCTTGGCTATAATCATCAAGATTATGACTAAAAAGGAGAAAAGAAATGCAAATTATGTTTTGGTCCTATAATTGGCTGTGTAATAACAATGGATTGACTCTGCATGTACACAGCATAAAGGGACAGAAAATGAGAATCTTAAGCCTGTGTTATTTGACCGAGGCAGTTTCTAAGGAATAATGCACTTTATACACAGACATTACAATACTTCTTAAGGATAAATAACCTACAAGTAATCCCGATTCCAAACGATGTTGCCAAGTACCTTTTGACCTTCATATCAGCTCTGAAGTGACTAGTAAATTGGATTACCCCACTGGGCATATTTATAGCAGTATTTAATTTTAACTACACAGAATGTACCTGTTTACTCAGACCTGATTTTAATATCAGAGTATCTGTGGAAGGCTTAATACAAATCCTTTTAAGAACTCTATTGACAGATAGAATTTTCCAGCAGAAAAGTTAGTTTAAAAAAGTCAGCAGAGCAGGAAATACATCAGTTTGCCTTGATTGGAAGAGACAAAGAGATTTTGAATTGTTCTTAGGAAGATTTTTAAAAATCTAAAAATATTTGCTAAATATATGGAAGTGGTAGGTTTTCATTTAATCAACAAATTATTCAAGAAACTACAAATCTTGACTGTTGTTTTACATGAATATGGTACAGTATGCCAATATATTAAACCATTATTAACAAATATGGCTCCTAAGTGACATTAAGAAGAGATAAAAGAAGGGATGAGCAAACCTGTGTACTAAAATACTTTTAAATATATAATAAAGTCAAACTAATTTAGCTTACTTTTTGCTTTTTGATATTGCAATAGACTTTTAATTTCTCTGACATTTGAATTCACGCACAAAGTCATCATGTCTCTCCATCTCCATGTTGTGATGTCTCGACTACACCATGAGGAGTTTGATTTCTCCAAATTTTTAAAAATTATTTATTTATTTTTTGCAACAGAATCTCGCTGTGCCACCCAGGCTGGAGTGCAGTGGCATGATCTCGGCTCACTGTGGCCTCTGCTTCCCAGGTTCAAGAGATTCTCCTGCCTCTGCCTCCCCAGTGGCTGGGATTACAGGCGCCCACCACCAAGCCCAGGTAATTTGTGTAATTTTAGTAGAGATGGGGTTTCGCCATGTTAGCCAGGCTGGTCTCAAGCTCCTGACCTCAGGTGATCCACCCGCCTCGGCCTCCCAAAGTGCTGGGATTACAGGCATGAGCCACTACGCCCGGCTTCCAAAACTTATATAACAGTCTTTCATAAAAAATCTGAAGAATAAATCATAGTATTTATACTGTGATTATTCTTTCTAATTGCTCTGTAATTTCAAATGCAGAAAAACTGGTCAGTTAATGCAATAGCATGTCTAATACTATGTGGTTAACTAATTACTCTCCCAATATGTAATTATATTATGAGAAATAAATCTATTTATGGGAGTGACAGAAACCTAAATGGACATTTCCCTACTTTATTTGCACAGTTAGAATTTGTGAAATTCTAACTACTAATATACATTTAAGACATATGTCTTCACACATAGATGTTACTAGATATTATATGTTGTGGGGGGAAATTATTGACCCAAATAAACCCAAACAAAAGCAAAACATTTAATAAAACTCATTGTGGAAGAAATTGAAGATGAGAAAAAATATGGAATATATACGTGGTCTTAGTCACTTTTTATATCACTTTTTTCTAATTGTTTGAATGAGATAGTCATGTCTGGCCTAGGAAACTCATTCTGTGAGTAAACTCTGAAATAGAATTGCTAAATTACTTGTTCCTAGTCACAATTTCAGAAAGTGGTAATGGTGAAATTATGTTACAGTTGTTGATTTCCTCTCCAAACCTCTTTTTGCTACAATTGGTTAGCATTATTCAAATCAAAACTTTAGAGTTTAGCCATATCAATATATAATTTTTATGACTATTGGAGTAATTTTGATTTATAACAGATAATTACTTAATCGCTGGGAATAGGACTTTCGGCAAATTTCATATGAATGTCTTCTGTTTTCAATTACTGAAACATACTTGTAGAATTTACTCAGATTACTCACGGCCAAGACATGCACACTCCCAATGGCTGCTGCTGAGCTTCCTATTTCACAGTAGCCACAACTGTATAAAATATGGCTACTGTGTTATATACCAAACTTTCCTAATCATGATTAAATAATCAAGTTTTATGACTCTCCTCTTTTAGAAGATGCAGTATGAACAAAATCATTATTGAGAAAGACCCTACTATGAATCTGTAGCTCTATTACTGAAATCACACATTGTAGTAAGCTGAATGATGGCCCCCAAAGATGTTTGCATTGTTGTCCCCAAAATATGTGAATATGCTACCTGCCATGTTGAATGAGATTTTGTAGATGTGATTAAGTACCTTGAGATGAAATTATCCTCGTTATTCTGTTTGGCATATAGTCCATGGGTTCTTAAAAGCAGAGAATCATTCCTGGCTGTGGTCAGAAAGAGAGATGTGACTATAGAAGAATGATCAGAGAGATAAAACTTTGTTGGCTTTGATGCAGGATGGGGACCAAGGGTTAAGGAATGTCGATAGCCTCTAGAAGCTGTAAAAGTCAAGGAAATAAAATATTTCTTCTAGCCTCTAAAGAGGAACACTGCAGCCCTTTCAACATTGGGATTTTAGTTCAGTGAGACCCATATTGGACTCCTAACTTATAGATCTGTAAGACGATGAACTTTTCTCGTTGTAAGCTGCCAAGTTTGTGGTAATTCAATACTTCAGCAATACAAAAATAATACACAGCTCAAAAGCCTCAGCTATTCAAAAATCTACATTTCAATGTATTATTACCTTTCAGGATCCAGATTGTGAATGGACCTTACCACCAATATCCTCTCCATCTACTCATATATTGTTCAGATAAAACAAAGTATGGGAACTAATCAATCTAAGAGCATACTAAATCTGGGCAAAGGCTGCTTTTCTTTTTTTTTTTTTTTTTTGAGACAGAGTCTCCCTCTGTCGCACAGGCTGGAGTACAGTGGTGTGATCTCAGCTCACTGCAACCTCCCCCTCCCGGGTTCAAGCAATTCTCCTGCCTCAGCCTCCCGAGTAGCTGGGATTACAGGTGCATGCCACCATGCCCGGCTAATTTTTGTTTTCTTAGTAGAGTCGGGGTTTCACCATGTTGGCTGGGCTGGTCTTCAGCTCCTGACCTCAAGTGATCCACCCGCCGCGGCCTCCCAAAGTGCTGGGATTACAGGTCTGAGCCATCGTGCCCAGCCAAGCCTGCTCTTTTTCAGGTGGCCAAGGCAATTTTCAAACGTGATGTGATTTCTCTTATTTTTTACAAACATACAAACCTTGCCTATATGGAATTAGTGTCTATATTTCAGAAAAATTAAGTTTCTTGTAAAGTGATTTTACTTACCAGGTGGTCATTTATGCATAAATTTACATCTTTTCATATAATAATTATGTAGTTTCCTAGAGCCAATTTAATTTCTCTTAAAATAATTTATTTTGAGATGACCATTATCTGATTTCATATGTGGAAATTCATAGAATGCAGAAATTCCAAACCTGAATTTCCTAAATATTTTTCATAAGACCTTCTATATAAATGATTCTGACCCATTTAGGGAATAATCTAATTTATTTGAATATTTTTTCTGTTAATCTACTAAAAAACAAAGAAATAATATATGGATTAATTACAATCAGAGATTTTGGTTACAACCATGGATATATTACGAATGTTCACCTCTTGACACTAGATTATAGAAGAAATAAGACTGAAGTGAGGGATTTAGGAGAAATATACTTACACACACAAACAATCATATATATATATTTATAAACATACGTATGTAACACATACATAGTGTATAAATAATAATTTTATCAGTCGCATTTTCACATTTGTTCTTAAAAACACCAAATAAGTCAGTGCCTTCTGTATCTCTTTAGAATTTTTGTAGGTTTGATTTTAAATAACTATATATTTCAGTTTAAATTTATCACATCAATGTCTACTATCTGATCATATTTATTTCAGAAAAAAACTCTGTGTATTTGAAATTCATAAACCTATAATGTTGTTTACTATGCATTAATCACGATTTAAAAAACATACAATAATAGCAAACAAACTTGAACAAAGACATGCAACTCATTCCAGAGGAATGAGAGATGTTTTTTCCAAGAAACTAATTTTCATCTCCTCATTATTTATTTTAATGTCTCTTTTTTACCAAATTATACAAATAATATGCAAATAAGTGATTAAAATAACGTGACAAAATCATAATGACCTCTAAAAATTATGACGAGCTGCAAAAAAGAATACTCATTAACAAGGTTGTACAATTAATTCTGTAAAAATGTTCCAAATGCAATTTGGCAAAAGAAAGATGCACAGGTTCCAGAAACAATTTATAGTGTTTATTGAAACATGCATATTTCCCAATTAAAATCCACTGATGAAATTTTTAAAATTTAACTTTTGAATGTCTTTATTCTATTTTATTAGATAGTTCTTTATCTTCAAATATAATACTGATAAATCTGAGGACTTGCCAAGTAATATGCTGTGATAAGTAAGAATATTGGAATTTGTCCCTGTACTACTCCAGGTAAACATTGATAAGAATAAAAGATATATACAAAAGTAAATAATTCAGATACTAAAAATTTAGATAATTAAAGCATTAAAAAAAAAAACCGGAAGTATAAACATAGAAACATGCCAAAGTTCTGTGAGAAAGATTCCAAGTAACACATTTAAGAATACATTAAGGAGCAATATTATGAGTACATAAATAATTCTAAACAAAAGATCATTAACGCAAGTGAAAATAAATATTAGGAAGTTTAAGTTCCTACCTTTAGACCAAAGAAGCTAACATAAATTGAGAAAAAATATACAAATGCAGATATAGGGTATAGAGTTCATTAGGTAGCCCCTACCATCAGACTTGTGTTTATTATTCAGTACTGAGGGCATTACAATCCACAATGGATGAGAGAAAAACATAAACAAAGGACCAGGGCAGTGTAGTCCTAAAGAAAACCTACTATAGATTTGCAAAGTTGCATTAAGTTAGTAGGTAGGCGAAGGACAGAACACCTGTCTAACAGAACTCCTACCATCCCGTTTTTCTTTTGCTTTCTGTTTGAAATCATTAGTTTATTTCCACAAGGCCTCAAAAGGATATTGCCCCAAATGAACATACCTGGATGAATTTCTTTAAATTATATGGACGTGTAAAGCATATTCATATACATTCTCTCTACATATATAATTATAATTTGCCCAATTCTCTGTGCCTGAATATTTGAAAAGGATGTTTGATCAGCATCTAATTGGACTACGAGGGAGCTGGTGATAGGTCCTACCGTTCACCAACACTGGGCTCCCTAAATTATAAGGGGACGCAGTGTGGCGTAGCAGTTAAGAGTTCCGTTACTCTAGAGTCAGACAGACCAGATTGCAATCTCAACTCCACCACTTACTAAATGTGTGACCTTGGCCAATATTTATATTATCCAATTTACAGCTACTCCAACTGTTGTCAAAATAAAACCAGTTATGATAATGCTCCCTATCTGCTAAAAGCACTGTGAAGGTTAAATCAAATAATCCCTGACCCATGACAGACTGATAATAATCCCTGACCGCTGACAGAGAGACTAAGAGAGAGGGAGCGAAAGAGAGAGAGAAAGAATGCTATGTGAAACAAAATCTGCAATACTAGCAAAAGAAAAAAAAAACCTTTTATATTGGGAAAAAAAAGAAAGAATAAGAATTTCAGAAAAATACTGCTTATTTTTCTTAATAAGAGTCTCATAGTTTGGATTTTCTAGAAGTAGAGTTTAAGACAGTGATTCATATGCATACATTTTATTGGGCATACTTCTGTCAGACAAGGCCAATTCTCTGGAGTGAGCTGACATCACTTGGCAGCTGGAGATCGCTCACTGACCCAGTAAAGAATATCTAGGTAGGGCACTGTCCAACCCTTGCAAGCCTCAGATGAATATGGCTCTCGCATTAAGTTCACCATATCCATGGTTACAAACGCTGCCCATTCATAGCTCAATGTGGGCAACTGTGCAATTGGCATTATGCTTCAGAGCCGAACTTTATGAAATACAGTTTATGTAGCCAAACCTTCCACTAGGAGCTTTAAAAAAACATAAAAATAAAAAGGTTTAAGAGGAAATTTTAATACACTAACAGGCCACTTAGAGAATATTTCAGTGTTCAAATGCAAATTCTTAGCATGGTATGGTTTTTCAATTGTTAAAAAAAATTGAATTCAAAAACTGTATATATAAAATGTTACATTTTTCTCTAAATTAAGAGTCTCAAACTCCAGTGAAATTAATTTTAAAATTCTTAATATCAAATATGTATATTAGCAGTTTTTTAAGATTAAACATAGTCTATTTATTTATGAAGCTGTTTGGACATTTTACTATTTTTCAGGTGAACTATCTGGATTCTGCTTACCTAGACAATGTCCATTGGACTTTTGACAGGAATTATTACACTCTTTATCTTTCATAGTGAAATAGTTCTTATTACATTAGACTACTGGTTTAAATTTTAAAAATATTGTAAATGTATGAAAAAACAACATATATGGAGAGTTCTATAAATTATATACAATGACAAAGCTTGGGAGATAATTATTGACAATGTTACTGATGCTATACATTAGTTGAATTGCTAATTAAAAATAAATGTCATGGTCAGTGAGGTTTCCCACTTAAACCATGCATTGTGTCTCCTTTGGGTACAACCATTTAATTTTTTTAACGATTTTTTTTCTAATCCATGCATCAATTTTCATTAATTTGATTTCTTCCTTTTATCCTTCATTACATAAAGTTAGTTTTACCCTGGACTGATTCTCTCTACACTGGATAGTGAAAGGTAGTCTGAGAGATTAATCTTGTATTCATTTTTTCATATTGCACATTAGGGACTTAGTTCATTTTATACTCATAACAGACTCTCACAGACTTGTTAGTTTATAATGAACCATGGTTCATGGTTCTGGAGACTGGAAATTCAAATGCATAGCAATGGCAGGTGAGTGCCTACATTCTCTGTCATCCCATGGCAGAAAGCAGAAGGTCAAGAGTAGGCAAAAGCAAGCTAGCAAGAATGGGCCAAACTTGTTTTTATAACAAAACCATTCTCATAATAACTAACCCACTCCAAGGAAAATGATATTAGTCCATTCATGAGGGCAGAACTCTCATAATTTAATCACCTCTTATTAGGCCCTAACTCCCAACACCATTACATTGAGAATTAGGTTTCCAACACATAAACTTTGGGGGACACATTCAAACCATAGCAGGTATATAATCAAATTAATGGTTTTGTCTAGCTCTGAATTACTAGATATGGCAGAAAATCATTTCTACAGTTGAGATTTTAAATGTATAGAATCTTGAATTCCTCTATTGTTTTTATATGCAAGTTCTCTTTATGTATCAGTGAAGAGGGGCTAAAATATTACAGAAATTTGTTTTAGATTGATGATTAGTAAATTGCAAAGCTTGTAATGGTTTATCTGAGCAGGGTAAGCTATTCTAAGCTCACTACCTCTTATTAAATAATGTGAAGAGTTCAACAAAACAGAATTTTAATCAAATTATAAATACTTATGGGTAGTTGGCTCTCTTTCTCCCCTTAGTATTCATTTGGATTTTAAAATTGTTTTAATTGAGAAAAATTATCATTGCCCTGACTTGCCTACCCTTTTCTTTGCAGCTGAAATTTCAATGCTACAGAGAAGAGAGAACAAGATAAACATGTTTCTTCATCTTAATGTACCTCTGTATAAGTTCTTGCATTCAATTACACATAATCAATGTACAGAATGTTCCTCATACAATGGGCATTCCACCTTGTATGTGCACACACGGATAAAAAATATAACTTCTGTACAAATTACATTGGCAGCTTCTGTGTCTTACCTTTAAAGACATGTACACGCTTGCATATCCATTTTTGGAGGATGGACATTTAATTACAATTTTAGATTTATGGTCCAACATAAGGGAAATAATATAGCTAAAAATGAAAGAAAAAGATTCTGAGCTTAATTTCTGGGTGATGTTATGTACAACAACCCCCCCATGACATGTGTTTATCTATATAACAAACCTTCGCATGTACCCGCAAACCTAAAATATAAACTTTTTAAAAAGATTGATTCCAACATTAGGAAGTCAATGTTTCTTTAAACTGCAATCTAGAGAAAGATGCTACTATAGTTTTGCCTTATTATTATATTTGTATTTTAATATTTTACTATAAAATGTATTTTATTATGATTGATTATTTTAATTAAAAATCTCAATAACAAAGTCCTCACAATTTCATATATGTCCATGATATACTAAAGTTTCTGCAAGTATTGAAAAGTGCTTAAAATGAGAAGCAACATATATGTTGTTGATTATCATCCAAAGGCTATGGGTAAAAAGGAGTGCTCTAGAAGGGCAAAAAACCAGACTGGACATAGAAAGACTCTCACCACATTGATAAAAGGTCCCTATTATATTTTCAAATTAAAAATAACAATAATTATTATATGCATTCATTCTTAAATACTACCTAGTAAACACACATTTTGAATCAGTGATTGGATTCCATCATTTTCAACCCTTCTGTAACCTTTAAAAACTTAAGACATGTTTATCTTGCCTATCCAAACAACAATGAGATGGTATCAATGGAGCATACAGAATACTTTGGTTTGTGTTGATATGTTAAAAACAAGAAAACAAACAAAAAACCAATTGATTTTTATTTTAGGACAGACAGTGGAACAAAGATATAAAATAATATCTACCATAAACCTTTGCACAGCAGTGCTGACGTGATCTTAACATCTGCCTATATTACAAAAGGGAAGTTAAGCTTGAATATGAAATGTGAAAAAAATAGCCTATTCAATTAAAAAGACTGATTTGGGAGGCGAACATTAAACACTAAGCAAATGCCCTTAGTGAGTTGGCAGGTGGTTAAAGAAATTACAGCAAAACGGTGGACTCCAGAGTCCTGAAGGGGTAATCAGCACAATGCCTGAGATGAAATGGTTAGGAAGCAGACTGTGATGTCTATTGCCAGAAAAATGATCAATGGTACGAGATATTTTGCACTCGAATTAGACAATAATGTGGCTCTTCCTACTAAAGCAGTAGAATAAAACATCATCTTTCACCTCAGCTCCTGGAGAAGATGATAATGTTTTTAGCAGAGTTCAAAAGGAATAGTGACTCAGGTTTTAGAGAGAGCTGCCAGGTGAAGCAAACAAGCAAAACAATTGCATGTTTAAAAAATTAAACAAGTAGCCAACATTTGGAAAATTATATTATGGAAAAGAAAAACCTTTCCAAATTTGCAGGATAAAGTCTCTGAAAGTGTCGAAAGGGACTTAAAATGAGAAGCTACAAATATGTTCATTATCGAACAATGGCCATGGGTAAAAAAGCAAGGAGTGCTCAAGAAGGGAAGAAAAACAAAATGGAAGAGACAGACTAACACCACATGGATAAAGAGACTTTATTATATTTTAAAATTATATACAGTAATTATTATATACATTCATTCATAAATTCTATATAAGTAAACATTCTAATCACAGTGTTTCAATTCCATTTTTCTCAAAACACACACACACACACACACACACACGAAAAGCCTGTAACCTTTGAAAGCCTAAAATGTAGGAGTTCCTCCAGGTACTCACTTCATAGTTCAGATGGATCTTACCAGATTATTAGCAACAAGAATTCAGTGCCTATATCACAGTTAAAATTATAGTTAAAATATTTAATAGAGGGACACCCACCCTCAATGCGGGTGGGCACCATCCAATTGGTCAGGGGTATGGATAAAACAAAAATGCATAGGAAAGCTCGCTCTCTCCTGGACCTAAGACACCCTCCTTCTGGTGCTTTTGGACATCCAAACTCCAGGCTGTCTGGCCTTGGGATTCCAGGAGTTGCAAAGTGGCTGTCTGAGTTCTCAGGCCTTTGGCCTCTGACTGAGAGTTATACCATCAGTTTCCCTAGTTCTGAAGCTTCAGGACTTGGAGAAAGCTACTCTACTCTCTTCCCTGGTTCTCCAGCTTGCAGACAACCTATCCTGGAACTTCTCGGCCCGCATAATCGCATGATCCAATTCCTATAATAAATGTACATCTCTCTCTCTCTCTCTGTATGTGTAGGTATATGCATGTGTGTATATATATATGTATACGTGTAGGTTCTGTCTGAGAGAACCCAGCCTAATACATCATGCAGCATATTATCAGAATAAAATTTGATAATGTATGTACAATGCTGAACACAGCATCTGGTATTTAAAAACATATTCAGCATCGAGTTACTGTAACTGCTGTCATTGATGCCTCTTCTTCTAAAATGAGATGCCATCACTTGTAAAATTATTTTTAAAAGATATATTTTTAAATGAAGAAGTCTTTTTATATGTCAAATAATTTACTTTAGATGTTTAAAATAGTATAGCTCACAAAAAATGTTGGCTTATAACAACTTCTACTGAGTATGTAAGAAAATGGTTTTGAAGTTCAATCTTTTTTTAAAAAAAAAGTTGTATGAATGTATTCAAAATTTACATGAACACTCAGCTATGTATACTATAAATATTTTCCAAACTCCATGAGCTGATTAATTAAAACAGATCCTCTAGCCAGGAAGACAAGCATATGAATACAACAGTCTTTCTTTTATCAATTCTCCTGAAATATCTAGTATAGCACATAATAATTTTTATATATGAGTGAAGGTGGTTTCTATGTCCAATTAGCAATAATTGTGCCTCAGGTCATCTTCATTGACTATGATACTGCCACTCTGAAAAGCTGTCTACATCCAAATATTGATTTAATTTGGCAAAAAAACAGGCAGGCTTAGAAAGTGTTTTAGAACAGGACAATTAAATAATATAATATTTTCTATAATATTTCATTTTCTTATTTCTTCTCAAGATCTCACGACAATGGATATAGTTGCCTTTTTATCTTAAGAAGTATAAATTTTACAAACATAAAAGGTATGTCTCCCTTCAATATTTCCTCTTAATGCTGAGTGCAAAATTGGTTCAGAAAGAAAATTGCTGACATTAAGCTAGGACGTGACTTGGCAACTGATTGCAACATATTTCTATAGGATGCTGTGGGATGTACCGAAAAAAGGATGTTTTAGACCCAGAGAGACTGTTGCTCTGTTCCCAGGGAAATGGAAAAAAAAACAAAAAACAAAAAACTTAATCTTGAGCTCTAGTTCTCGACTTATATAGAACATGGAATAAAGAAAAAGGTTTCTGTTCATCTCTATACTTCAGGAAGTGGAGCAATATTATTGGCTTTGCATCATTTCATCAATTAAGGAAGGTCTTATAATAGCATACTTCAACTCTTTTAAATATTAGACAATGGGTTTATTCACAAAGTATTTTTTATAAACATATGTTTTAGGCATAAAGTTTATTCATCCAAAATAAAGATTCCCATATTTCCATCTACTATGATTTTTCCATCATGCTTAGTATTAACCAATAATTTATACTCCACTACTGATACTTGCTAATTGAATTACACTTCTGATGATCATTTTTTTTTTCAAATGACATAGTGAGAGTTATGATCGGTTACTTGGGTTGTAAGGATTGAAAACATACCTAGATCATATAAATTTGTGAAGGTTTTGCCATCACAAGCATTATAGGGAATAATGAACATCAACTATCCTACAGCTAAACCTAATGAAGACCAAATTGCCTCCAAGGTCAAAACAATATTTCTTTGTGCTCAAAAGTGGTTCACATAATTGATGCTGCATTGATGCTGTCTATAGAGATTCTAGTTTTCTCCACATTTTCTCTATTTTTCAATTTCCTTTCTTTTCACTGGGGTCTATTGTTCTTTAACAGAAGTAATGGCCTTTTGTAAATATATAATTTTCACGTTGTAAGCATTCTTTCCAAGCTAGCTGCCCATCATCACGTTTTGGCTAGTCCCAGTCTCTGCTCATAGAACGCTTGTCCACACTCTAAATTCTCTCCGTTCTCCATAGCCCCCACTCATCTAATTCCTATAGTCTTTTAACTCAAAGCCTTCAACTTATGTACAGCTTTCTCTGCCTCACGTTTCAAGCTTAATGCATCATCTTAATTCATCTTTCGACATCTATTTCTACTACATGCTGCTCTCTTTCTCTATCTTACATCTCCCAGAATGTTTTATTTCAACAAATTGCTAATCTGTGCCAGGCATTGTTATTAGCAAAATGATAAGCCCTGCATGTAGCAAAGTTCCTGCCTTCACTGCATATGCATTAACAGCTCTGATTAGTCCACTTAAAAACCATTGTTCCCGTCATGCAGAACTCCATTGCCAAGCCACACAACACCCAGCCAGTAGGTTAGCAGCTCCGTGGAGCAAGGTAAACATGTTGATTCAATTGACTTTGGGCAGAAGGGTAAGATTTTGTCTTCAGCTTTTCTCATGAGGAACATATACAACCCAAATGGGAAAACCCTGTATCCTCCTGCCAAAGCAAATAATTCGATAATAAATAATAGCTTCCACTAAAATATAATGAAGTGGTTACTTTGATAGGTAATAAAGTATGTGTTGTTTTCCTTTAGTTTTCTTTTAAAAATGTATGTTAACCTTGTTTCAGTTTGGTTTTCCAGAGTATCCTGCATAAATGGACACAAACCACATTCACTTTGCTATGTGGATGGGGGAGATGCAAAAGGTGTCTTCAGTGCATGCCCAGATATTCCCACATGTTCAACCTTCCACTTAGCTCCCAATAAAACATGTTTCTTTTTTCACAACTAGGAGAGCTCTCCTTTTCATACCTCTGCAGTGACATAATGGCATACTAAATAGAGAAGTAAAAGGTTCATATGAAACTGTAATGTAAATATTATTCACATATTGAAATTCTGTAAACAGTATTAATATTTTTCCTGTGATGCTTTTAAATTTTAATATTCTGTAAAGTATATTTTAAGCATTCACAATTTGGATTTATTCGTGATAAGAGTATATTTTACCTATAATAGATTGGGAAATATATACATATGTGTGTGTGTGCATGCGTGTGTGTGTGTGTGTGTGTGTGTGTGTATTAATATATTTTCCTTGAGACTAGTAGTGAAGGCAAAGTTCTGAAACTGAATTTGCCAAAATGGGATTAGATGTGTGAGGGATTTATTTGGATAAACACTTTTGCAAGGTGAGGTGGAGGAAGCAGGAATAGACACAGCCTTCAGCCACAATACTTGTAAACCTTATGAAGGAGGAAAGAAAATAAAAAAGGTTAGGTAAAATGAGTTTCAGATAGTAGCACAATACTTAACATATTTTGGCAGGCCAATGGAGAGTTATCAAGCCAAAGTTTTCCTCCATATTGAGCAGGAACAGCACCTCACTATGCTTTGTCATTGGCTGACAACAGCTGTGAGATGGGGATTTTGGACTATAGGTAGTGATGGATACAAAGATGAACCCCTGGAGCTGTCAGTCAACTGTGATAGTCACTAGGGGAGATATACATGAAGCAGTCTCATCACAGTTACAAGCCTTGACCTTTTATTTTATACTAAAGTAAAATATAACTTTATTATGAAGACCATCGGGCCACCTAGTTACTATATACCAGTTGCTATGGTTTGAATGTGTCCCTCAAAATTCATGTGTTGGAAAATTAATCCCCAATGCAACAGTGGGAGGAGGTGAAATCCTTTGGGAAATGATTATGTCATGATGGTGGCATCCTCATAAATGAATTAATGTCACTACAAAAAGGCTTGAAAGAGGGAGTTTGGTCCCTATTCCCACCTTCGGTTCCTTCCTTCATGAGAAGATACAGTATTTCTTCCCTCTGGCGGGTGCAGCAACAAAGTACTCTCTTAGACGCAGACACTGAACTACAGGTGACTTCATCTTGGATTTCCAGCCTGCAGAACTGTGAAAAATCAATTTCTGTTCTTTATAAATGACCAGGTAGTAAATATTTTGTAATAGTAGCACAAACGAATTAACACAATTGTGAGGAAATTATTTCTGTAACATTTTACATAACAAAATTCAGCATTTTATAGGTTAGTCTGTGAAGTAGAGTTATTTATTTATTTACTTGAAAGTTCTACTAATCTGCATGTCCCTGATAATTAAAGATGTTGAGCATATTTTTTAATGTATCTGTTGGCCATTTGTATATCTTCTTTGAAGAAATGTCTGTTCAAATCCTTTGCCCATTTTTTAATCAGATTATGCATGTTTTGCTATTAAATTGTAGGAATTTCTTATATATTTTGAAAATTAATCCATTATCAGATATATGGATTGCAAATATTTTCTCTCATTTTATAGATTGCCTTTTCGTTCTGTTGATTGTATCCTTAGCTGTGTAGAAGTTTGCTTGGTTTTTGTTTTTCTTGTTTGTTTTTAGTTTGATATAGTCCAACTTGCCTATTTTTTGTTTCTGTTTCCTGTGCTTTTGATGTCATATTCAAAAAGTCATTGCAAATAGTAATATCAAAATGATATTACCTCACTCTTGTTAGGATGTTGATTTTCAAAAAACCAAAAGATAAATGGTGAGGATGTAGGGAACTTGGAATCCCTGTACACTGTACATTGAGAATGTACAATGATACAGCAACTAAGAAAACAGTATGGCGGTTCCTCCAAAAGCTAAAAATAATAGAATTACCACGCGATCCAGCACTCTTATTTCTAGATACATATCCAAAACAATTAAAATCAGGATCTTGTAGAGATATCAGCACTCTCACATTTATAGCATCATTTTTCACAATAGCCAATATATGGAAATGACCCATGTCTATGCCCATTGGCAGATGAATGGATAAAGAAATTGAGGTATATACACACAATAGAATATTTTTCAGTCTTAAGAAGAAAATCCTGCCATTGGTGACAATATTGATGAACCTAAGGGATCTTATGCTAAGTGAAATAAGCCAGTCACAAGAGGACAAATACTACAGAATTCCACTTATACGAGGTATCTGTAATAGTCAAACTCACAGAGGCAGAGAAGACCACAGTGGTTTCCAAAGGCTCTGTTGTGGGGTAATGGGAAGTTTTTCAAGGAATATGAACTTTGTTGTGCAAGATAAATACATTTTAGAGAGGGGCTGTTCAATATAGTGCCAATAGTTTATACTATATTGTGCATGTCAAAATTTGTTGAGGCTGGGTCTCAAATTCAGTCTTCTCACCACACACATACACACATAAGGGGTTTAAAATAAATTTCGGGGCGTCTTGGATATGTTTATGTGAATCATATCCAAGTGAGTGTGGTGACAGTATCGGGGGTGTTTGCATATGTTTAAACTCATTAAAGTATACAAGTTAAATATGTGCAGTTCTCTGTATATAAATTACCCTTCAAATAGCTGTTAATAAAGTGCTCTTTAATATCACTGAAAGTGCATTAACTGAAAATTCAAACTTCAGAAAATATATTAATGGTATGCAGTCATTAGTTGGTATAATTTCCTACGGTGATAACATCTCTCTCCTTAAATTCAGTACACAAGAATTGATACCAACTGCAGTTAAACAGTGTCCACCTTATTTTGTTATATTTTACACATCAATGTGTTCAAAAACCCAGAATTAAAATTTAAAGAATCTTAGAATATTTTCTCACTTATTGACAGAATTACAGATTCAATTTTTCTGATAGTTTATATTCAGCCATTGCTCCAACTATCCCAGAGATTGAGGGAGGTCTCAATAACTTATGAAGCATCATTATGTATTAGACATATGATGGTTAAAATGCCAGCTCTTCAATTTTTCCTTTATTTAAAATGGGTTCCAGGCACACACTGCTGTGACAGCCCTTCCTTTGTAAAGAATAGAATCTGCCAACCTTATTCTCAAATTTTAAACCTAGAGCTGTATCCAAAAGCTACCTATAAAGTCATTTATTATGGGCTTTGCTTGACTCATTCTGAATACCACAGGGTAGTTTTAGAGTTCAGGGTTTCCACCGAGATATTTTCATTAAGCATATACTAAAATAGAGTTTTCTTACTGAATTTTTTTCAGCAAGTTTATAAATCTCAAGTGCAGAGCTTTCTGTAAGTTATTAATCAAAAATTAACGTTGTGAATATATCTACAGTATAATATATATACATAAATATATTATATACTATAAATTCTGAATTCCTGAAATTAAATACTAGTTTTATAATTAAGTGAAATGTCTAATTTCCCCTGGTAGGGACATTTGTATATTTCTAAACCAAACATTCCATTTTGTTATGTGTATCAGTTAAGATGACCTATACTATACTGCAGTAATAAATAACTTTCACATCTAAAACCAATTCAGTCTCTATAATAAGTTTACAAGGAGACAGTCATTTAGGAAGACAGCTGATAAAAACTCTGTCACCACTCATGCTAATACAGCTCATAAGGGACCATGGGAAGGCCTTGTAAAAATTCCTTCTATTCAAATGACATTGGTCAAAACAAGTAAAGTGGTTTCATTTACCTTCAAGCAGGATGAAATACTGCCATCTTATTATTTGTATAGTATGAGAAAAACTAAAGTATTTGTGAGCAGCCTAATAGTTACATGATTGATAACATTTGTATTCACAATAGTGCCAGTAATAGAACCCAGAAGTATATTATTTTTCCTTTCAAACTACCCATAAATGTACCCATTGATTAATCATTGTGGGTATATTTATTCAACCAAGTATACAGCACATAATACTTCCATCTGGTTTGATATTTTCTATGTGTGCATCAGAATTTCATGAGATGTTGTCAAATGTTATAATAAAATTAATAAGCTCAAAGCCCATGCATGACATTTAATCTATTCCAAAAGAATGCCATTATGAAACTTAGGAAATAGAGTAATCCCTCTTATCCATAGAGGATACATTCCAAGACCCCCAGTGGTTGCCTGAAACTGTAGGTAGTTCAAATCCTATACATACTGTACTATGTATTTTTTTTCTATACATACATAGCTATGGTAAAGTTTAATTTATAAATTAGGCATAGTAAGAAACTAACAACAATAAAAATGATAAAATAGAACATTTATAATGTACTGTAATAAAAGTAGATGAATGTGGTCTCTTACTCTCTCTCAAAATATCTTGTTGTTATACACTCACCTATTTTTAGACCTTAGTTGAATGCTGGTTAACTGAAACCAGGGAAAACAGCCATGTACCCGGGGTTGGGCGGGGGGGGCGGGGGGAACTAAACATGCTTTCTTTATTCTGAAGTTCTCAAAATCCTAATAATTGAGTAACTTTATTCTTTCCCTGTGTAACTCCAGGCAATTTATTGAACCTCTATGCACCTAAGATTCAGGGATGCAATGAGAATGATAAAACTGCTCTATCAGCTGATTTATGTGAGAATTAAATCAGCCAATGCATGTAAATTCCTTAACTTGGTCCCACACAGAAAATTCTTTAACGTGTTAACCAATACTCTGTATGAAGTGAATGATATCATGTATATTATTTTGCAAACTCCTATTTTGCATATAGGTGCAGACATAGCTTCAGGTAAATACATGCAAACTAACTTATCTTTTAATATCTTAAAATTTTTCCATTATAAGGATACAAAAACTATTCTACCAATTACCTGTTGAAGAAACTCATGTTTAATTCCGGTTTATTTTGCCATCATAAACAATGCTGTGAAAGCATTCTTGTATATCGAGGATCACATATATGCCTTTACTTCTGTAGGATAGATTCTTTTTAAAAATATTTTAACTTTTATTTTAGGTTCAAGGGTGGACTTTTAATCTAGATGCTCAGACTAGCACATATGTATACTTTTGCACTATGAAAATATCAATAATTTTTTTCTCCAAGTGTAGTAACTTACAGTTGCACTAAAGTATATAAGATTTTCCAGGTTCATTGAAATTCCCTAAGAAATACTATACACTCTTATGATAAAAAATATATGTATAAAACTTATATTAGATTTCCGCATGTATGAATTTAGTAAAGCAACTTTATAATTTTGCCAGAAGCCCAGCACAGTGCCTAGAATGTACAATTTCACAGTATATTTTAGTTAAAATATTATAATTATGCCAATTGAGGGATGTATAATATTAGTAATAAACACTGAAATTACAAATATACTACTTCTGATATTATCAGGCCTAACAAAAACAAACTTGGTTGAATGTTATAAAATCAGTTACACATAAAAACATTATTATTAGCTATTACCCACTACATATTTTTCAAAATTCTGTTGTTGATTTAACTCATTTGCTAGATTAATATAATCGTCTCATTCAAGACCATAAAATCAATTTCCCATTTGTTTTATTTTATCTATATCTATGACAAACACTTTAAACCAAAATTTGAAGTGAATGTATTATAAAATAATTAGTATAAAATAAAAGCTATTCAAAAGACATATACTTCTATTGTATGGATATGTAAAATGAGTAAGAATGAGTAAAATGAGTAAGAAAAACTTTTTGTGTTAGCCACTGGGATTTTTGGTTTGTGTATTACTTTAGCATATTATCTCATTTTGAATGCTATAGTTTAGGACACTAGTTTAAACTACTGAAGTTAAAATGTTCTCCTTATTTCAGAGGATAGAAGGATCTTACAGTGACAGACATCCATTAGTAAGAATTAATTTCTAGAGATAAAGTGAATTCAGTAACCAAAGTGTCAGTAGAGTCAGCATGGTCAAAATAGTCTACATGGGAAATGCTTGGTGGCTCTTAGTTGATCATGGAGTCTCTAGAACCAAAAGTTGTGAATGCCAATTAAGTTTCGATTTGGCTTATATGATCTCAAATCTTCAGGTTTACAAAACATATCTTGAGCCACCACCCAGCTCTGTCACCCAGGCGGGAGTGCAGTGGCACCATCTCAGCTCACTGCAGCCTCCGCCTCCGAGGTTTAAGCGATTCTCATGCCTCAGCCTCCTGAGTAACTGGGACTACAGGTGCTCACCACCACGCAGGGATTCTTTTTCTATTTTTTTGTAGAGACATGGTTTCACCATGTTGGCCAGGCTGCTCTCGAACTCCTGACCTCATGATCCGCCCACCTCGGCCTCCCAAAGTGCTGGGATTACAGGCGTGAGCCACTGCACTGAGCCTACAGCTCATTTCTTACCACATAAAGCTTTGCACCTCTCCACAAAACTGCCATCAGGGATGTCCCCAGAAACCATTCATCCTAGGTGCCACGCAGAGAAGAGTTTCTTGTTCTCCTTTTCCCTCTACTTCTTCCCTCTCACCTCATCATGTTCATTCATTCATCCCTTTTCCATTCTCACTTTTAAGCTTTAACCTTTCAAAAGCCTATCTTCCCCTATAAGTAATGTATTGTAACTCCCGCCATCACCATATCCTTCTCCAACCAACCAAACTGCCATCCTGAGTTTATGGAAAGTCCATAAACTAAGAAGGAATGGGAAACATTCATTGCTAACTTGGCAGCCTCTCATCCACCCTACGTGAGAGCACAGATCTTATTGTCTTTGAAGACCCTTTTTTTTTGAGAAGCAGTCTCACTGTCGCCCAGGCTGGAGTGCGGTGGCACAATCTCGGCTCACTGCAAGCTCCAACTCCTGGGTTCATGCCATTTCCTGCCTCAGCCTCCCGAGCAGCTGGGACTACAGGGACTACAGGCGCCCACCACCACGCCCGGCTGATTTTTTTTGTATTTTCAGTAGAGACAGGGTTTCACTGTTAGCCAGGATGGTCTCGATCTCCTGACCTCATGATCTGCCTGCCTCAGCCTCCCAAAGTGCTGGGATTACAGGCATGAGCCACCGTGCCCAGCTCCTTTTTTTTTTTTTAAAGACAGGTCTCACTCTGTTGCCCAGGCTCAAGTGCAGTGGTGTAATCACAGCTTACTGCAGCCTCCAACTCCTGTGCTCAGGCTATCCGCCTGCCTCAGCCTCCCAAGCAGCTAGGACTACAGGCACACACCACCACACCTAGCTAATCTGTTTAGTTTTTGTAGAGATGGGGGTCCTCCTATGCTGAACAGGCTGGTCTCGAACTCCTGGCCTCAAGCAATCCTCCCACCTTGGCCTCCCAAAGTGCTGGGATGACAGGCATGAGCCACCATGCGGTCTGAAGACTTTTAAATGCTGCCATATTCAAGAAGCGTTGAAACTCACCTGTATTCGATGAGCCTGCTTTTCGCAAATGAGTAACATAAAACAGACTGAAATACCTTAAGCTTCTCAGCCTTTTACCCTCCTCTGGAATGATGAGTGTATCCCAAAAGTAAATCCATAATGAGGTCCAGTGTTTCCTTCATCCTTGGCTATGAAATAGACAAGAAAAAGGCAAGCTAGCCATTTCCATCTCACTATAGCAGACTCTCATGTTTGCTTTTTGACCGTATGTGGGAAGCGGGGACCTGACTCCTTTCCTACTTCCTAAGCACAACTTACTTTTCCTAGGAAATTCTCAACACAACCTACATGGATTAAACCAGCTTCCCCCCTTTGTTTCCAATATTCTTACAGCCAAAATGTCCAGAATGGGCAAGGCAACCTGAAAAAATGAGGACGGGTACATTATCCCATGCGCTAAACTGCCACTTACACTGGTTAGTCATGAAATCGGCAAAATTCCAGATGAGCTCTCCAACCACGTATTTTCTGCGTTTTTGATTGAGACCCAGATGGTACTGCTCTAGCAGACTTTTCTGGTACTCTTCACTGAACATCAGAGGTGGATCCTGGGAATCAAGGCAAAGAGAAGAGTAAGAACTGGCAGAATTGTAAATGTTAGATAAAAATAAAGATCCACTTGATGGTGACCAAAATATCTGTCCTCACTGGGGGCTGTAGTGACTGCAGGACTCACTGATGCTAGGGTAAAGACAGTCAGGGAGAAATTGGAAATCATCATTCTCAGTAAACTATCGCCAAGAACAAAAAACCAAACACCGCATATTCTCACTCATAAGTGGGAATTGAACAATGAGATCACATGGACACAGGAAGGGGAACATCACACTCTGGGGACTGTTGTGCGGTGGGGGGAGGGGGGAGGGATAGCATTGGGAGATATACCTAATGCTAGATGACGAGTTAGTGGGTGCAGCACACCAGCATGGCACATGTATACGTATGTAACTAACATGCACAATGTGCACATGTACCCTAAAACTTAACGTATAATAATAAAAAAAAAATACAAAAAAAAAAGCCAAGGAATGATGTAACCCAGAATTAAAAAGGAGGTTTAAAAAAAAACATCAATTAGTAACTGCTTTATTTATAAATATAATCTGATACTCAATTTTTCTTACTTTTCCGTCTCTATCTGCTGATACAGTCTTAAGGCTGAACTACACTAGAAGGAAAAATACGTCTTTAGGTCAGGTGTGCTGGCTCATGTCTGTCATCCAAGCACTTTGGGAGATGGAGGTGGGAGGACTGCTTGAGCCTAGGAGTTCAAGACTAGCCTACAAAAAGTACAAAAGTTAGCCAAGCATGGAGGCACACACCTGTGGTCCCAGCTACTTGGGAGGCTGAGGTGGGAGGACTGCTTCAGTCCCGGAGGTCAAAGCTGTGGTGAGCTGTGTTTGCACCACTACACTCCAGCCTGGGTGACAGAACAAGACCCTATCTCATGAATGAATGAATGAATGAATGAATGAATGAAAAATGAAATTAAACTAAACCAGGCTGGGCATGGTAGCTCAGGTCTGTAATCCCAGCACTTTGGGAGGTCGAGGCAGGAGGATCACTTGAGCTCAAGAGTTCAAGATCAGCCTAGGCAACACAGTGAAACCCAGTCTCTATAAAAAGGCTAAATATTCGCTAGGTGTAGTGGCGCATGCCTGTGGCTCCAGCTACTTGGGGGGCTGAGGAGGAAGGATCACTTGAGCCCAGGAGGTTGAGCAGTGAGCTGTGATTACGCCACTGCACTCCAGCCTGGGCAACAGAGTGAGGCTGTCTCAAAAAAAAATTTTTTTAAATTAAACCAAATAAATTCAGTTAACCTAGTCATATATCAAGACCTCAATAGCCACATGTAGCTAGTGGCTACCATTTCAGACAGTGCAGACATGGGGCATTTCCATCATTGCAAAGGTTCTTTTTTGAAACAAGGTCTCACTCTGTCACCCAGGTGGGAGTACAGTGGTGCAATTATGGCAGACTGACTGCAGCCTTGACCTACTGGGCTCAAACAATCCTCCTACCTCAGCCTCCCAAGTAGCTGGGACTAGAGGCAAGCACGACCATACCCAACTTTTTTTTTTTTTTTTTTTTTTTTGAGACGGAGTCTTGCTCTGTCGCCCAGGCTGGAGTGCAGTGGCACAATCTCGGCTCACTGCAACCTCCACCTCCCCAGTTCAAGCGATTCTCCTGCTTTAGCCTCCTGAGTAGCTGGGATTACAGGTACATGCCACCACACCCAGCTAATTTCTGTGTTTTCTTAGTAGAGACGGGGTTTCACCATGTTGGTCAAGCTGGACTTGAACTCTTGGCCTCGTGATCCACCCACCTCAGCCTCCCAAAGTGCTGGGATTACAGGCGTCAGCCACTGCACCCAGCCACAACTCATCTTAAATATTTTGTAGAGATGGGGTCCATGTTGTGCAGACTGGTCTCAAACTCCTGGGCTCAAGAGATCCTCTGACTTCGGTCTCCCAAAGGGCTAGCATTCCAGGTGTGAGCCACCACACCCAGCACTGCAGAGGTTCTATCAATGCTGACCTAGACCCTCTCGAGTTTCTTAAGAATTCAGAACGGGGGCTGGGCATGGTGGCTCATGCCTGTAATTCCAGCACTTTGGGAGGCCAAGGCAGGTGGATCGCTTGAGGTCAAAAGTTCAAGACCAGCCTGACCAACATGGTGAAACCTCATCTCTACTAAAAAAAAAAAAAAAAAAAAAAAAAAATTAGGTGAGCATGGTGGTGCATGCCTGTAATCCAAGCTACTTGGGAGGCTGATGCAGGAGAATTGCTTGAACCTGGGAGGCGGAGGTAGCAGTGAGTCAAGATTGCACCACTACACTCCAGCCTGGGTGACAACTGAAACTCCTCCTCAAAGGAGAAAGAATTCAGAGCTGGTTACCTTTTCAAAGAGAATGAACAAGGGTGCATATCCACAAACCATTTCCCCTTACTTGACTAGTTTGCAGAAGTGTCATTCTGTAAGCACGATAAATTTAAGGGTGCAAACAGAACAGTGCAGTCCACTGTGGGTGGCTGTTCCCTGTGTGTCAACTCCAACCCTGGAGTTACTAAATCAGGATCTCAGAATGCAGAGATCTGGCATTTCAATAAAACTTCCCCTGGAGATTCTGATCAGCCAGGTTTGGGCCAGATGAACTCTAAGCTCACTTAAACCTTTGACATTTTATGAGTCTATTAAATCGAGTACAAAAAATGCTGAGTCCAAACTGGGCAAACAAATCCCATCTCCCTATGCCCAGCCTCCTTGGATTCAGAAAGCCACACTGCCTGGAGAGTAAGCAGAGAGAGAATTGTCATTAACCCAAAGACCATCTTTGAAAACAGACTGGCTGCGGCTGAGTGCGGTGGCACACGCCTGTAACCCCAGCCCTTTGGAAGGCCGAGGCAGGAGGATCACTTGAGCCCAGGAGTTCGAGACCAGCCTGGGCAACATGGCAAGACCCTGTCTCTATCTTTCTAAGTAAAACAAAATAAAAAGCTCAGACTGGCAGCACATGGTTCTTTCCAGCTGTTCCCATGAGCAGGCTTCAGGACAAGCCCAGGCAAAGGCAGGGAGAAATGGGGTGGGGACCCCCAGGCTCACCCCCTTGTCTGCTGCGTAGGTGGAGTTGGTCACAAAGGTCACAGGCTGGGAGGGGTCCAAGGCTTTGGTGTGAGCAATCACCATCCTGTCCACAAAAGAGAGAAGACACAGGTTCCGTCAGTCCGGGAAAGGCTCAGACACCCTCCCATCCTCTCTGTCCCATCTTCCCCTGCCAGAACACAACTGGGGGCCAGGCATGATGGCTCACATCTGTAATCCCAGCACTTCAGGAGGCTGAGGCAGGCAGATCACTGAGGTCAGGAGTTCAAGAACAGCCTGGCCAACATGGCAAAACCCCATTTCTACTAAATATACAAAAATTAGCCAGGCTTAGTGGCACGCATCTGTAACTCCAGCTACTCGGGAGGCTGAGGCACAAGAATTGCTTGAACCCGGGAGGTGGAGGTTGCAGTGAGCCGAAATCACGCTACTGCACTCCAGCCTGGGCCACAGAGCAAGACCCTGCCCCAAAACAAACAAACAAACAAACAAACAAAAAGAAAGAAAAGAAAAGAAAAAAAAAAAAACAAAGCACAGAGCCGCTGCTTTCTTCCCTAACTTGAGATGTATTTTACATAAGGGCACGTTCCTCTAGTCCTAGACCAAGCTCTCTAACAACACTCTTTCTCCCCCACACCTGAATCCAATTCCCCCAGAGGCGTAGCCACCCTGCCAGGTACACACAGCTGAGGTCACTGGACTGAACACTGCCAAAAATGAGGTTCACTTCCTGAAATAGCCCTTGAACACAGGAGTGAATGGGCTGTGGATTCAGGTGGAATATTTATTAATGCATCAAGCAAACAGGTAGTGCGAGGTGGGAGGTAGGCATGAGGCTGGGTGCTAGGTGCTCAGTAATGACTCAAATCTAAGTCCACAGGTCCTGGGCAGTAGGAGTGGAGATGCATGCACAGAAAAACGGTGCAAGTGCCAGGCGAGGTGGCTCACGCCTAGAACCCCAGCACTTTGGGAGGCTTACTTGAGACCAGGTGCTTGACACCAGCCTGGGCAACATAGCAAGACCTTGTTTCTACAACAAATTTAAAAATTAGGGCCGGGCATGGTGGCTCAAGCCTGTGAGCACTTTGGGAGGCCAGGGCAGGTGGATCACGAGCTCAAGAGTTCGAGACCAGCCTGGCCAACAGGGTGAAACCCCATCTCAACAAAAAATAAAGAAGAAAACTAGCTGGGCATGGTGGCGTGAGCCTGTAATCCCAGCTACTCGGGAGGGTGAGGCAGGAGAACTGTTTGTACCCAGGAGGTAGAGGATGCAGTGAGCCAAGATCGCAACACTGCTCTCCAGCCTGGGAGACAGAGCAAGACTCTGACTCGTGGGGGAAAAAAGATATTAAAATTTAGCCTGGCAAGGCAGCGCACGTCTGTGGTCCCAGCTATTTGGGAGGCTGAGAGGGGAGGATCGCTTAAGCCCAGGAGGTCGAGATGGCAACGAGCTATGATTGCACCACTGCACTCCAGCCTGGGCAACACAGTGAGACCCTGACTCTGAAAAACAAACAATGAAAGAAATGTTGCGAATGGAAATGACAAATGGTGGCAGGAATTGGGCACTCTATGAGACAACAGACACATCCCCGATTGGAGAGTCAGGGACAGGCTCTTAGAAGAAATGGCCTTTATGCTGAGTCAAGTTAACCAGGAGGGATGAAGGGAAGAGGCTCCCAACAGAGGGACCAGTCTGTGCTCAGAGCTCCCAGCATCTGCCCAAGGCCTCCACAGAACAGACTGTTGTGTTTTTGTTTTGTTTTGTTTTTTTGAGATACAGAGTCTCATTCTGTAGCCCAGGCTGGAATGCAGTGGCATTATCTCAGCTCACTGCAATCTCTGCCTCCTGGTTCACCTGAGGCGATTCTCCTGCCTCAGCCTACCTAGTAGCTGGGATTACAGACGTCCACCACCATGCCCAGCTAATTTTTGTATTTTTAGTAGAGACAGGATTCACTACCTGTTGACCAGGCTGGTCTCGAACTCCTGACCTCAGGTGATCCACCCACCTCAGCCTCCCAAACTGCTGGGATTACAGGCGTGACCCACCGCATCCGGCCTAGACTGTTGTTGAAGCTGGTTTTCTTCTTCTTTCCTCAGTTCTTTTCTTTTACATCTTCCCCCCACCATTGCTCTGCCCATCCGAAGGCTGTGGCTGGCACAGGACAGAACAGAACCTCCTAGCCTCAAGTTCCAAACCCACACTCTCCAATAGCCAGGCTCTCAGATGGGAAGCTTCAAAGCCTTGTGACAGCCTGGCTGAACCTCTCCAGCCTGGGCGCTCCCTCCATTTCCTGCCCCGGAAACAGGCATCTCCTCTGGCCACCTCCCAAAGCCTGTCTGGAAGCCTCAGGCACCCGCTCCTGGAAGCCTGTACGATTCACAACAAAGGGCCCGTCCACCCAGTCGTGCTGAGCACACCCCTATTCCCCCGAGCTCTGAATTGTCCTTTGCCCAGGCTAGGACAACATCTCAGAGCCTTCTGCCTGCTGCAGACTCGGCTCAGCCCAAATCACTCCATGAAATTGGGGTGTGGCATCTGCCTCAAGGAGCATTTCTACAACCTCTGCTGCCTCTACCGCAAATGAAACTGGCTCTCACCCACTGGCTCTCGGTGACGGGCACAGTGCGGAGCCCCACAGGGAGTGTGTAGAAGTCAAAGGCCCCAGTGACTTCTGTGCAGTCAGCCGCACCTATGACAGCCAAAGCGCCAGGTGTGAGCGCCCCGACAGCCTGAGCCCCATCTGGCCTGCCCTACAGCAGGAAGACCCCTCGTGCATGCACCCCAGAAGTCGCCTCTGGGCCTGCAGAGAAGCAGCAATCAGAGGCTCTGCCCTTCACTGGCTGACCCTGGGACCTGCCCTTCAAAATCAGGCCTTCTCCTTGACCAGACGAGGTGGCTCATGCCTGGAATCCCTACACTTTGGGAGGCTAAGGCAGGAGGATCACCGGAGTCCAGGAGTTCAAGACCAGCCTGGGCAACCTAGTAAGACCCCCAACTCTATAAAAAGGATTTTTTTTTTTGAGACAGTCTCACTCTGTCACCCAGGATAGAGTGCAGTGGCATGATCTCAATTCACCGCAGCCCCTGCCTCCTGGGTTCAAGCAATTCCCCTGCCTCAGCCTCCCGAGTAGCTGGGATTACAGACGTGCATCATCATGCCCTGCAAATTTTCATATTTCAGTAGAGACGGGGTTTCACCATGTTGGCCAGGCTGGTCTCCAACTCCTGGCCTAAAGTGATCCGCCCGCGTCAGCCTCCCGAAGTGCTGGGATTACAGGCGTGAGCCACCATGCCCGGCCTACAAAAAAAATTTTTTTAATTAGCCAGGCATGGTGGCATGTGCCTGTAGTCCCAGCTACTCAGGAGGCCAAGGGAGGAGGATTGCAGCTCAAAGCTGCAGTGAGCTGTGATCAGGCCATTGCGTTCCAGCCTGGGTGACAGAGTGAGACCATCACAAATAAATAAATAAATAAATAAATAAATAAATAAATAAATAAATAAAAAATCTGGGCCTCCCGCCAAGGGTGGGAAACATCAGAAAGCTCAGAAAAGCTCAGAGGACCACACCTGCCCGTTCACCTGTCCTGGGCTCCTGCTGAAGCCAGGGCTACCAGATGGGAGCTAAAGACCTCCCTTAAGCAAGTCCCAAACCACCATTACCTCCCACGAGTACAGGTAGGCGGGGTGTTCGTGCATCAGGTACGGCCACCAGAGGTTGGCACCCAGCACCTTCAGCTGGCCCTGGGTCCCAGCCTGGTTGTCCACGACTTTGTTGTCTGATTTCAAAAGACACACTTCCAACTTGAACTGGTTACTGCACTTGACGGAGATATGGTAATTCACCAGCCCTGCAGGAGGCAAGAGAGACCAGGGCTTAGGGAGGGACATGACCTGGGTCACACGAACAGGAATGCCCCACAATGACCACTCCCAGGCACTCTCATTTGCTTCTGTTGCTTTTTTTTTTTTTTTTTTTTGAGATAGAATCTCGCTCTGTCACCCAGGCTGGAGTGCAGTGGCATGATCTGGACTCACTGAAACCTCTGCCTCCCAGGTTCAAGTGATTCTCCTGCCTCAGCCTCTGGAATAGCTGGGATTACAGGCACCTGCCACCACATCCAGCTAATTTTTGTATTGTTAGTAGAGACCGGGTTTCACCACATTAGCCAGGATGGTCTTGATCTCCTGACCTCGTGATCCGCCTGCCTCGGCCTCCCAAAGTGCTGGGATTACAGGCTTGAGCCACCGTGCCCGGCCCTGAACCAATGCGCCCGGCCCGCTTTTTTTTAATTTAATTTTTTAATTTTCTTTTTTTTTTTTTTTTTTTTTGAGATGGAGTCTCACTCTGTCACCCAGGCTGGAGTGTAGTGCTGCGATCCTGACTCACTGCAACCTCCACCTCTGGAGTTCAGGTGATTCTCCTGCCTCAGCCTTCCGAGTACCTGGGAATACAGGAATGCACCACCATGCCCGGCGAATTTTTGTATTTTTAGTAGAGACGGAGTTTTGCCATGTTGGCCAGGCTGGTCTCGAACTCCTGATCTCAGGTGACCCACCCGCCTCAGTCTCCCAATAGATTAGATATATTATTAACGAATTGCTTCCTTTAACACGCTATTCATTGAATTTTCCAGTAAACCACAATTACTAATTACTCCTGAAATCAGAAAAGAGGTTAAAAAGATTTTATAACAGTATCTTATGAAATCTACTACTTTCAAGTAATAGTAGTTGAATTACCAAAACCCGTCACTCAAGCCAATGACTACAATTAAGATATCAGTAATATTTCCTAGATAAATAAAGTCAATTAATTATATTTGCATCTGGGAAATAGAGAAAGTACATATAAGCCATGATTTTGAAGTCAAAAGAGAGAGAATATTTGGCAAGGAGGGGTGAGTTATAGTATGTAATTATAACATATAGTAGTTTTTTGTATGCTGGTAACTAATTTTAATTTCCTACATTTTTATGTAGATTTCTGCTATTCTTGTGCTGTTTTCCTAATCACCTTTCTATATGGATGACTACATAAGTCTGAGAATACCAAAAGAGACAGACACAGAACCAATCGGATTCCTTTCTTCTTGAAGCTTCTGCACAGCAGAAGAAACTGTCAACAGAGTGAACAGACAACCTACAGAATAGGAGAAAACTGTTGCAACAATGCATGTGACAAAGATCTAATGTCCAACACTGATAAGGAACTTAAACAAATTTACAAGAAAAAAAAAATCTCATTAGAAAGTGGGCAAAGGACATAAACAGACACTTCAAAAGAAGACACACATGCGGCCAACAAGCATATGAAAAAAAGCCCAATATCGCTGATCATTAGAGAAATGCAAATCAAAACCACAATGGCATACCATCTCACACCAGTCAGAATGGTTATTATTAAAAAGTCAACGCCGGGCATGGTGGCTCACGCCTATAATCCCAGCACTTCAGGAGGCCAAGGCAGGCAGATCGCATGAGGTCAGGAGTTCCAGACCAGCCTGCACAACCTGGCGAAACCCCGTCTCTACTAAAAATACAAAAATTAGCCCAGCGTGGTGGCGGGCGCCTGTAATCCCAGCTACTCAGGATGCTGAGGCAGGAGAATCGCTTGAACCCGGGAGGCAGAGGTTGTAGTGAGCCGCGATCATGCCACTGCACTCTCCAGCTTAGGTGACAGAGCGAGACTCTGTCTCAAAAAAAAAAAAAAAAAAAAAATTTGAATTTTGTTTAAATCACTAACACATACTGGGCATTTAATAACAAAAAAAAGGACATGAGATTGTGATCCTTAGGAGGGTTTGAGAGGCATTTCACTAGGGTTCAACATAGAGCAGTCTGAAACATACTGTAATAATTTAATCCAATGGCTCATCTACAGCACCTAAAAAGATTACAGCAGATTCTCATTATTCAGTGTAGTTACGGTCTAGAAAGTTCCATGAACAAATAAAAAGTTAGGTTTCAGCAAGCTACTGGTCACATTTTTGTAAGCTTACCAACACCTACTTTTGTTGTATGTGTGCTTATTTAATATATATTGTTGGCCAGGCACAGTGGCTAATGCCTGTAATCCCAGCACTTTGGGAAGCCAAGGCGGGCAGATCATTTGAGGTCTGGAGTTCGAGACCAGCCTGGCCAACGTGGTGAAACCCCGTCTCTACTAAAACTACAAAAAATATATATATATATTAGCCAGGCATGGTGGCGCATGCCTGTAGTCTTAGCTACTTGGGAGGCTAAGGCAGGGGAATCGCTTGAACCCAGGAGGCAGAGGTTGCAGTGAGCCAAGACTGCACCACTGCACTCCAGCCTGAGCAACAGAGTGAGACTCTATCTCAAAAAAAATAATAATAATTAATTAAATGAAGAATAAATAAATAATATACATTGTTCATTCATTAACATTGAACTCACAGCCAATGGCACTACAGCACTCACGCCTGAATGGAGTTTATTCAATGCATGTATTTCCTCTGTAAGACACATCACAGACTTCTTGGACTTGTGAATGCTAAGCAGCACTTCAGCACTATGCTTGGGGGTTAATTTAAATGGCAAAACAACCAACAAACAATACAAAAACAGGAAAAGCATGGCATTAAATAGACCACAAAAAGGATACCTGACTATTGTATGAGAGCTGAAAAAGAAGGCAGAATATCATCCTGTTCAAACTCAAATTCTTTTGACACTCTGCGCAAACACATGACTATGAAAGGCTGTGAGTACTGATTTGGGGGTTACAAAAAATAGTAGGTGAGTTCACAAATACAAAAGCTGAAAACAAGGAGGATAGACTGTATTTTCGTAGACAATCTAATCTCAGAAGATTTCAATTCAGACAAAAATCATGAGAATTACTGTATTACAAAAGGGCACTAGATAGGGGAAAAAGAGTAAAAATCACAATTAAAACAAAGGTTCAAAATTCTGCAGCAACCATATCCAGTTACACTTTAATATGTTTGTGGCAGACTACATTATTGTTCCCAACTCATCACCCCTCCCTATATCTAAAACCTTTCCCCAAGACAATGCAGTTCCTCCTGCTAGAGATCAGGTATATTTATCTATACTATCAATGTTAGCCATGGACAAGGTATGTGCTTTGGCTGACTGAATGTTAGTGGACATGATAGAAGCAATGGCTTAAAATGTACTTCCAGAACTGGAGTTTCCTTGTGATTCTATCACTGTGACAAAAACACATTCTCAGGTAGTCCACTGATCCAAGGGGGAACAAACACACAGAAAACATACCTAGACTCTATCTGCAGCTCGCAGCCTCACCAAGCCAGGAACAGTCAACTCACAGATATGTTAGCAAAAATAAATGTTTTTCGTACCTTAAGTTTTATATAATTATTGACCTATAGTTAACTGATATACAATATACATTAATCTTAAAATATCATTATCCCATTAAAAATATTTACATTAAAAACTGAGACCACTTTCTTTCCTCCTTTTTTTTTTTTTTTTTTTTTTTAAAATTAAGAGACAGGGTGTCTCAATGTTGCCCAAGCTGGAGTTCAGTGGCTAGTGGCTATTCACAAGAACGATCATCGCACACTACCTCAAACTCCTGGGATCAAGCAATCCTCCTGCCTCAGCTTTCCAAGTCGCTGGGACTATAAGTGTGTACCACAGCATGTCAGCTCTCTCTCTCCTTCTTGACCTAAAGCCTAGCATAAAATTAGCTAAGTAGAATGTTTCCAAAGATGCCTGCATCAGTATCTCCCATCCCACATAATTTCTGTTTGATTTTGCCATTCACCCATAAAATGGTGGGATCTACCTCCCCTCCTTGCAAATTTGAGCTGGCCCTCTGATCCTGTCTAAGATCTGAAGCCAGATATTAAGGTACTTCATTAATTTCCATGTTTGTCCTCTATGCAACCTAGCAATCAAGCCAGAAGTCAAAACATACTGACATAGTTTGGATGGGTCCCCACCCAAATCTCACCTTGCATTGGAATAATTCCCACGTGTCAAGGGTGGGGCCAGGTGCAGATAACTGAATCATGGGGATGGTTCCCCCCATACTGTTCTCGTGGTAGTGACTAAGTCTCATGAGATCTGATGGTTTTATAAATGGGAGCTCCCCTGCACATGCTCTCTCCTGCCTTGCCACTATGTGAGACATGCTTTTGCACCTCCTTGCCTTCCACCATGATTGTGAGGCCTCCCCAGCCATGCAGAACTGTGAGTCAATTCAACCTCTTTCCTTTATAAATTACCCAGTCTCAGGTATGTCTTTATTTGCAGTGTGAGAACAGACTAATACAATAAGTTGATACCAGTAGAGTGGGCTGCTGCTGTAAAGATACCCGAAAATGTGGAAGCAACTTTGGAAATGGGTAACAGGGAGAGGCTGGAACAGTTTGGAAGGCTCAGAAGAGGATAGGAAAATGTGGGAAAGTTTGGAACTTCCTAGAGACTTGTTGAATGGCTTTGACCAAAATGTTAATAGTGATATGGACAATAAGGTCCAGGCGGAGGTGGTCTCAGAGGGAGATGAGGAATTTGTTGGGAAATGGAGTAAAGTCACTCTTACTATGCAAAGACACTGCAGGCACTGTGCACCTGTATTAGAAACGGGCATAAGATAGGCGGGAAAGAGTCAAAATAAGAATTTTTTTCTAGAGTTCCCTAGAGATCTGTGGAACTTTGAACTTGAGAGAGATGATTTAAGGTATCTGACAGAAGAAATTTCTAAGCAGCAAAGCATTCGAGAAGAAGCAGAGCATAAAAGTTCAGAAAATTTGTAGCCTGATGATGCAACAGAAAAGAAAAATCTATTTTCTCAGGAGACTGGGTTGTAGAAATTTGCATAAGTAATGAGGAGCCAAATGTTAATCACCAAGACAATGGGGCAAATGTCTCCAGGGCATGTTAGAGACCCTCACAGCAGACCCTCCCATCACAGGCCAGGAGGCTTAGAAGGAAAAATGCTCTTGTGAGTCCAGAACCCCCTGCTGTGTGCAGCCTAGGAACCTGGTGCCCTGCATCCCAGCTGCTCCTGCCACAGGTAAAAGGGGCCAAGGTACACCTCAGGCCATGGCTTCAGAGGGTGCAAGTTCCAAGCCTTTCAGGTTCTAGGTGGTGTTAAGCCTGCAGATGCACCGAAGAATTAACGTTCATGAACCTCCGCCTAGATTTCAGAAGATGTATGAAAATGCCTGGAAATCCAGGCAAGTTTGCTGTGCACGGGAGCGGGGGGCCCTCATGGATAACCTCTGCTAGGGCAGTGTCAAAGGGAAATATGGGGTTGGAGCCCCCACACAGAGTCCCCACTGGGGTACTGCCAAGCAGAGCTGTCACAAAGGGGCCACCATCCTCCAGACCCCGGAATGGTAGATCCACTGACAGCTTGCACTGTGTGCCTGGAAAAGCTGCAGACACTCAATGCAGCCAGAAGGGGGGGCCGTACCCTGCAAAGCCACAGGGGCGGGGCTGCCCAAGACCCTGGGAACCCACTTCTTGCATCACCTAGATGTGACACATGGAGTCAAAGGAGGTCATTTTGGAGCTCTAAGATTTGCCTGCTGGGTTTTGGACTTGCATGGGGCCTGTAGCTCTTTCGCTTTGGCCAATTTCTCCCATTTGAAACGAGTGTATTTACCCAATGCCTGTATCCCTGTGTATCTAGAAAATAACTAACTTGCTTTTGGTTTTACAGGCTCACAGGTGGAAGGGACTTGCCTTGTCTCAGATGAGACTTTGGACTATGGAATTTTGAGTTAATGCTGAAATAAGAGTTTGGGGGACTTAGGGGAAGGCACGATTGCTTTTGAAATATGAGGACATGAGATTTGGGAGGGGCCGGGGAAGAATTATATGGTTTGGCTCTGTCCCCACCCAAATCTCATCTTGAATTGTAACAATTCCCATGTGTCAAGGGTGGGGCCAGGTGGAGATAACTGAATCATGGAGGCAGTTTCCCCCATGCTGTTCTCATGGTAGTGAATAAGTCTCATGAGGTCTGATGGTTTTATAAATGGATGTTCCCCTGCACATGCTCTCTCCTGCCCACCATGTCTGACTAAATTTTGTATTTTTACTAGAGACGGGGTTTCACTATGTTGGCCAGGCTGGCCTCCAACTCCTGATCTCGTGATCCGTCCACCCCGACCTCCCAAAGTGCTAGGATTATAGGCATAAGCCACCACACCCGGCCTCTTTTTTTTCTTTTTCTTTTTTTTTATCTGGAGACTGAGTTTTGCACTCGTTGCCCAGGCTGGAGTGCAATGGTGCGATCTCAGCTCACTGCAGTCTCCACCTCAGCAGGAGAGCAGGAATCTTCAGTGATCCACGGGCAGATCTGCAGCCATTGTGGGCACCTGTTCCTCCCGCGACCTTTGTGCCCACGTCTCTCCCTCCAGTACCTATTGCACGACCCCCCACGTCCGCCTCCTGCCATTGCCAGCAAGTGCCTTGCGCGGGTACCTGGCTGCGCTTATTAATCCATTATGGTCGCTCTGTCACTGGTGCCATTATGTGCTCACGTGCCCACTCCCTCAGGTTTAGAAGTCGCGTCGCCCGGCAACAGAACAATCTGCTGGCTTAGCCTTTGGCCAAGTTGGCAGCTGGACGAGGACGCTCAGAGCCCAGCTCTCGAGAGTTCAAGTATCCGACAGTTCCCCACTGCTCCCAGGAGCGGTTACCCGGGCACTCTGTGCCCCTCATTCCTGTTTGGGCCAAGGCCGAGGACCTGCGAGTAGGGCTCAGTTGCCTGGAGCCCCTTCAGCCCATCGCCCAGTTCACTTTGCTTGTGGGATCTCCCCGTTGCTCCTGCCCCTGGACTGAGTGGCAGGCCATCCTACAAACACCCGGACACTCGACATCAGTGGTGTCAAGACAACTCTAAGAAGGTTTTCCGTGATCCTGCAAGACCTGTGTTCCATCCTGGTGATTCTCTCTTCAATTTCACTGCACAGGTACCACAGTAAGCCAGTGCTGTGTGCTCCGAATTCCAGGGCATCCCCCAGCTCAGCCACTACACTCAGCACAAGGACTCTGTGGGGCCCAGGAGCAGGTAGTCACCCCTTTGGGCTCCTCAACACCCGGCTGTCCCCAGACTTGTGTCCAGGGAAGATAGTGTTGAGGGCCCTCAAGGAGAGCAGGGCAGGGATGCCTGAGCAGGACAAGGACCCCAGAGTCCAAGAAAATCCTGATGATCACAGAACGGTCCCCGAGGTCACCGGGGATGCACGGTCTGCATTTTGGCCCCTGCGGGACAATGGAGGCCTCTCTCCCTTTGTGCCCAGGCCCGGGCCTCTGCAGACAGACCTCCATGCCCAGAGCTCAGAAATCAGATATAACCAGACATCCCAGACATCCTGGACGAGCTCGAGCACCAAACGAAATGCTATCTCCAGCTCCTACAGCTCCACGGGAGGCTTGCCGGGGCTAAAGCAGAGGAGGGGACCAGCCTCATCCCGCTGCCAGCTGACCCTCAGTTACTCAAAGACAGTGAGTGAGGACAGGCCTCAGGCTGTCTCTTCGGGTCACACACGGTGTGAAAAGGCGGCAGATACAGCACCAGGGCAGACACTCGCCCCCAGGGGTGGCTCCCCCAGATCCCAGGCCTCTAGGCCCCGTAGACGCAAGATTCCCCTGCTGCCAAGCAGGCGAGGGGAGCCTTTGATGATGCCACCTCCCTTAGAGCTGGGGTACCGGGTCACGGCTGAAGACCTGCACCTGGAAAAACAGGCGGCATTCCAGCGCATCAACAGTGCACTGCACGTTGAGGACAAGGCCATCTCGGACTGCAGACCCTCACGGCCTTCCCACACTTTGTCCTCACTTGCAACAGGGGCTTCGGGTGGGCCTCCCGTTTCTAAAGCACCCACTATGGATGCACAGCAGGACAGACCCAAGTCCCAAGACTGCCTGGGCCTAGTGGCCCCCCTAGCATCTGCTGCAGAGGTCTCCTCTACAGCTCCCGTGTCTGGGAAGAAGCAGAGACCACCAGGACCCCTGTTCTCCTCCTCAGATCCCCTTCCTGCCACCTCTTCCCACTCCCGGGACTCAGCCCAGGTCACCTCGATGATTCCTGCCCCCTTCACAGCTGCAAGCAGGGATGCCGGCATGAGAAGAACAAGGTCGGCCCCTGCAGCTGCCGCAGCAGCCCCTCCCCCCTCCACATTGAACCCCACGTCGGGGTCACTACTCAATGCAGTGGATGGAGGCCCCTCACATTTCTTGGCCTCAGCCACAGCTGCAGCACGTGCCCAGAGGTCAGAAGTGAGATACAACCAGAGATCCCAGATCTCCCGGACCAGATCCTGCCTCAAACGAAATGCCAGCTCCAGCTCCCACAGCTCTACGGAAGGCCTCCCGGAACTAAAGCGGAGGAGGGGGCCAGCCTCATCCCACTGCCAGCTGGCCCACAGTTCCTCAAAGACAGTGAGTGAGGACGGACCTCAGGCTGTCTCTTCGGGTCACACCCGCTGTGAAAAGAGGGCAGATACAGCACCAGGGCAGACACTCGCCCCCAGGGGTGGCTCCCCCAGATCCCAGGCCTCTAGGCCCCACATCAACAGTGCACTGCACGTTGAGGACAAGGCCATCTCGGACTGCCGACCCTCGCGGCCTTCCCACACTTTGTCCTCACTTGCAACAGGGGCTTCGCGTGGGCCTCCCGTTTCTAAAGCACCCACTATGGATGCACAGCAGGACAGACCCAAGTCCCAAGACTGCCTGGGCCTACTGGCCCCCCTAGCATCTGCTGCAGAGCTCCCCTCTACAGCTCCCGTGTCTGGGAAGAAACACAGACCACCAGGACCCCTGTTCTCCTCCTCAGATCCCCTTCCTGCCACCTCTTCCCACTCCCGGGACTCAGCCCAGGTCACCTCGATGATTCCTGCCCCCTTCACAGCTGCAAGCAGGGATGCCGGCATGAGAAGAACAAGGTCGGCTCCTGCAGCTGCCGCAGCAGCCCCTCCCCCCTCCACATTGAACCCCACGTCGGGGTCACTACTCAATGCAGTGGATGGAGGCCCCTCACATTTCTTGGCCTCAGCCACAGCTGCAGCACGTGCCCGGAGGTCACAAGTGAGATATAACCAGAGATCCCAGACCTCCCGAACCAGATACTGCCTCAAACGAAATGCCAGCTCCAGCTCCCACAGCTCTACGGAAGGCCTCCAGGAACTAAAGCGGAGGAGGGGGCCAGCCTCATCACACTGCCAGCTGGCCCTCAGTTCCTCAAACACAGTGAGTGAGGACGGACCTCAGGCTGTCTCTTCGCGTCACACCCGCTGTGAAAAGGCAGATACAGCACCAGGGCAGACACTCGCCCCCAGGGGTGGCTCCCCCAGATCCCAGGCCTCTAGGCCCCGCATCAACAGTGCACTGCACGTTGAGGACAAGGCCACCTCGGACTGCAGACCCTCACGGCCTTCCCACACTTTGTCCTCACTTGCAACAGGGGCTTCGGGTGGGCCTCCCGTTTCTAAAGCACCCACTATGGATGCACAGCCGGACAAACTCAAGTCCCAAGACTGCCTGGGCCTAGTGGCCGCCCTAGCATCTGCTACAGAGGTCTCCTCTACAGCTCCCATGTCTGGGAAGAAGCACAGACCACCAGGACCCCTGTTCTCCTCCTCAGATCCCCTTCCTGCCACCTCTTCCCACTCCCAGGACTCAGCCCAGGTCACCTCGATGATTCCTGCCCCCTTCACAGCTGCAAGCAGGGATGCCAGCATGAGAAGAACAAGGCCTGGCACCTCGGCTCCTGCAGCTGCCGCAGCAGCCCCTCCCCCCTCCACATTGAACCCCACGTCGGGGTCACTACTCAATGCAGTGGATGAAGGCCCCTCACATTTCTTGGCCTCAGCCACAGCTGCAGCACGTGCCCGGAGGTCACAAGTGAGATATAACCAGAGATCCCAGACCTCCCGGACCAGATCCTGCCTCAAACGAAATGCCAGCTCCAGCTCCCACAGCTCTACGGAAGGCCTCCAGGAACTAAAGCGGAGGAGGGGGCCAGCCTCATCCCACTGCCAGCTGGCCCTCAGTTCCTCAAACACAGTGAGTGAGGACGGACCTCAGGCTGTCTCTTCGCGTGACACCCGCTGTGAAAAGGCAGATACAGCACCAGGGCAGACACTCGCCCCCAGGGGTGGCTCCCCCAGATCCCAGGCCTCTAGGCCCCGCATCAACAGTGCACTGCACGTTGAGGACAAGGCCATCTCGGACTGCAGACCCTCACGGCCTTCCCACACTTTGTCCTCACTTGCAACAGGGGCTTCGGGTGGGCCTCCCGTTTCTAAAGCACCCACTATGGATGCACAGCAGGACAGACCCAAGTCCCAAGACTGCCTGGGCCTAGTGGCCCCCCTAGCATCTGCTGCAGAGGTCTCCTCTACAGCTCCCGTGTCTGGGAAGAAGCACAGACCACCAGGACCCCTGTTCTCCTCCTCAGATCCCCTTCCGGCCACCTCTTCCCACTCCGGGGACTCAGCCCAGGACACCTCGCTGATTCCTGCCCCCTTCACACCTGCAAGCAGGGATGCCGGCGTGAGAAGAATGTTTTGTGTTCGAAATTGTTTGAGGGGTTTGGGTTTATTTTTGTTGGTTTTTTCTCTTTTTTTTTTGCTTACATGGGCATCCTTCAGCTTTTAATAATCTGAAAAACTCTATTTACCCATTGTCAATGTGTATAAATTAATCTGAGTCAATTTTATACAATAAAAGGTGAACTTTTATGCATGAAACAATAATTTAACAAAAAATGTACCTGAAGAAGAATGTTCATTACAAATATAGGAAACATAAATATTACCAAATATTGGCAAGCACTAAAATGTTCAGAAATATAAGTCTATTACAGTTATAGCTCTCTCAAGCAAAAAAACAGCAGAGAAAAACTTAGTTTACCTTAGGGGCTATTTATTTACTTAGGGATTTGTTAAAAGGTCGAATGGGGTCACACAGAATACTAAGAAGAGCTGTTCACCCAGGCCTCACTAAGAACTCTTCTTCATTCAGTAGCTGTATAGTAACATGACAACTGCTCCTACGACCCAAAGAGGAACTACAGCAACTACTCTTTAGCATCTGTTGCTCCCAACTCTGCTTTGCAATTATATGACTCAAGCATTCTGGCTCCGTTAACTATTACTGCTGTTACTCCCAATTAAATTCCCTCTAAAAAATAAAAATTTTTAAAGCTCTAATTTAAGCTCTCTGCTGCCTCATGACTTCAATTCCATCAGAGTTATGCATTGTTTCCTCTGTACATCTTTGCTCTGCTTCCATTGCTAATTCCCTAGTAAAGTGTTGTATATTCAAAGTTCCAAAGAAACAGAATATCCAAGACATCACCAATCATCCAAAACACAGTGTAGGAGGCCACAGTTAAGAGAAGCAAGACCATTAGCTCTTTTTATAGGCTCGAGAACAACAGGATGCTTTGGTCCTGTATCAGCAGGACGCTTTTCGGGTAGATCCTACTGCCACCCTAGCTATGGGCACATGTCAGAGTCCCATGTAATAAAGGAGACAAAAGGAAACCACCACGAGTATAAACTAAGAAAAGTACTCCAAGGTTTCTAAGAATGGAGCTGTATAACTCACTTTGCCCCATTTGTTACTTCTCCACGGTACTTACCACCACCTATTACATATATTTTGTTTATAGTCAGTCTTCCCCCATTAGAATGAAAGTTCCGTGAGGATAGGAATATACAGTCAGCCCTCAGTATCCATGGGGGACTAGTTTCAGGATCTCCTGAGGATAACAAAGGATACTCAAGTCCCTGATATAAAATGACATAGTATTTGCACATCACCTTTGCACATCCTCCCATATACTTCATATCAACTCTAGATCACTCATAATATCCGATGTAAATGTCATGCAAATAGTTATTGTACTATATTGTGTAAGGAATAAGGACAAGAAAAAAGTCTTTACATGTTCAGTACAGACGCAATTTTTTTTTCCAATATTTCCAATCCTTGGTTGGCTTAACAGATGTAGAACCCAGGAATAAGTTCTGGTGTCCTATTGCATAGTAGGATGAGTATAGTTAACAATAACATATTATATATTTGAAAATAGCCAGAAGAGTAGATTTTGAATTTTCTCCCTACAGAAAAATCATTATGCAAATTACCCTGATTTGATCATTACACATTGAGTACATGTATTAAAACATCACATTGTACCCCATATATATGTACAATTATTATGTGTCCATAAAAATTTAATGTCAATATGTGAAATAAAATGAAAAAATAAAAATTTTTAAAGCTGTAATCATCTCCATCTGGTAGGAATATATATAATCTGAAATAAAAAATATATTTGTAATTGTTAGGACAAAATAGATTATACATTAATCTGCAAATTACAAATTATAAAATTCTCACAGAAACTGAAAAATTATTGATACTGTTAAATATTTAAAAAGCTGTCGTTGGAGAGAAAGAAACCTATCAGATTTACATCAACAAGTGTAATATATCAGCCTATTACCATCTGCTACAGACTGCATGTTTGTGTTCCCTCAAAATTCATATGATAGGCCGGGCGCGGTGGCTCATGCCTGTAATCCCAGCACTTTGGGAGGCCGAGGCGGGTGGATCACGAGGTCAGGAGATCGAGATCATCCTGGCTAACATGGTAAAACCCCGTCTCTACTAAAAATACAAAAAATTAGCCGGGCGCAGTGGCGGGCGCCTTAGTCCCAGCTACTGAGGAGGCTGACGCAGGAGAATGGCGTGAACCCAGGAGGCGGAGCTTGTAGAGAGCCGAGATTGTGCCACTGCACTCCAGCCTGGGTGACAGAGCGAGACTCTGTCTCAAAAAAAAAAAAAAAAATTCATATGATAAAGCCCTAACCCCCAAGGTGAGGATACTGGGAGGCGTGGCCTTTAGGAGAGAATTAGGTTTAGATGAGGTCATGAGAATAGAGCCCCTGTGGTGGCATTACTTCCTTTATAAGAAGAGACACTAGAGCTGCTTTTCTCCCTACCATGTGAGGATACTGAGAGAAGATGGCCATTTCCAATCTAGGAAGCAGGCCCTCTTTAAGAAACACAATTTGCCAACACTTTGATCTTGCACTTCCAGTCTCCACAACTGTGAGAAATATCTGTTTTTTTTGTTTGTTTGCTTTTGTTTTTTTTGAGACAGAGTCTCATTCTGTCATCCAGGCTGGAGTACAGTGGTGCGATCATGGCTCACTGCAACCTCCGCCTCCCAGGTTCAAGCAATTCTCCCACCTCAGCCTCCCAAGTAGCTCAGACTATAGGCGTGCACCACCATGCCCAGCTAATTTTCGTAGAGACAAGGTTTTGCCATGCTGCCCAGGCTAGTCTCAAACTCCTGAGCTCAAGTTATCCACCTGCCTCGGCCTCCCAAAGTGTTAGGAATACAGGCATAAGCCACCACGCCTGGTCAAAATATCTACTGTTTAAGCTACCTAATTTACGGTATTCTGTTTTAGCAGCTGAAGCAGACTAAGATACCATCCTATAAGCTACAGACCAGCACTATCCAATAGAACTTTATATGACGAGGAAATGTTTTATATCTGTGCTATCCCTTATGTTAGCCACTAGCCACATGTATCCATCAAGTATTTGAAATATGGCTAGTGCAACTAAAGAACTTAATTTTTAATTTTTTTTTTTTTTTTTGAGATGGAGTCTCGCTCTGTCCCCCAGGCTGGAGTGCAGTGGCGCCATCTCGGCTCACTGCAAACTCTGCCTCCCAGGTTCACGCCATTCTCCTGCCTCAGCCTCCTGAGTAGCTGGGACTGCAGGCGCCCGCCACCACGCCCGGCTAATTTTTTTGTATTTTTAATAGAGATGGGGTTTCACCGTCTTAGTAAGGATGGTCTCGATCTCCTGACCTAATGATCTGCCCGCCTCGGCCTCCCAAAGTGCTGGGATTACAGGCGTGAGCCACCACGCCTGGCCAATTTTTATTTCATCTTATTTAAATAACCACATGTGGCTAGTGGCTAATGTATTGAACACTACAGCTGTAGACAATACGAAATAAATATAAAGCAGTCTCAACTTTGGAAAAACAGAAGACTCTTACTGCCTCATAATATAGATGAAAAATGAAATACTAAGTTAAGTAAAACGTTCTTTAAAGAACAAAAACAAAAGAAAACCTAATGAAAGCTATAAAAGTCCATTGGATAATAATGCTACCAGTACTAAGGAAGTACAGCCCCTAAAAGTGACTTGCAGTCACAAATATAAAAATGACTATTCAAGTGAACTCCTAAGGTAAAAATTTCTTATTCACCATGCTCCAAAATGGTCTGTAATATTCTTCAGAGATGGCATGGTAAAGTACGATACAAGGGTAATATTAACAGTATGCTGTCACAGGTGCCATTCTCTTATAAAAGAAATCCCAAAATAAATATAAATGGAAAGCAAATAATTAGTGGAGTTTTTACGGTCAATCAATGGTAAATATTATTGGCATTAGATTTTTCTATTAATTATAGTTTACCTATGATCATGTATTTTTCCATTTAAAAATTACCCTAAAACTTAATGGCTTAAAATAACAAATATGTATGACACAATTTATAGAAGTCAGGGAAATGATGGATTTGGGTAGGTGGTTCTGACTCGAAGTCTCTCATGAGTAAAGGTTGCTGTCATGTTGTTGACCCAGGCAGCATCCCCCGAAGCCTTTAACTTGTGTTGGAAGGTCCATGTCTTAGTTTGTTTGCACTGTCGCTATAGAATACCATAGACAGGGTAGCTTATAAACAACAGAAATGTTTCTAATGGTACCGGCGGCTGGATGGTGCAAAATCAAGGTGCTTGAGGATTTGGTGTCTGGTCAGAGCCCATTTTTTAGTTCATAGATTACTGTCCTCTAGCTCACATGGCAGAAGGGTCAAGGACGCTTTTTGGGGTCTCTTTTATAAGGGCACTAATCCCCGGCTGGGCACGGTGGCTCACATCTGTAATCCCAGTACTTTGGGAGGCTGAGGCAGGCAGATCACGAGGTCAGGAGTTCCAGACCAGCCTGGCCAGTATGGTGAAACCCCGTCTCTACTAAAAATACAAAAATTAGCCAGGTGTGGTGGTGCATACCTGTAGTCTCAGCTACTCAGCTACTCAGGAGGCTGAGGCAGAAGAAACAGTTGAACCCAGGAGGCAGACGTTGCAGTGAGCTGACATGGCACCACTGCACTCCAGCCTGGGTAACAGAGCAAAACTCTGTCTCAAAAATAAATAAATAAATAAATAAAAATAAAAATAAAAAATAATAATCAAGGCACTAATCCCCAACATGAAGACAGACTATCATCTACCAAAAGCTCCACCTCCTACTATCATTACACTGGGGGTTAGGATTTCACAAATTCAGTGCATCATAGTCTGCTTCTAGAATGTTTAATCATTTGGCTGGATATCAGATAGGATGCCTCGGTTCTTCATGTGAGCTTTCTAGAAAAGATAGTTTGGAATTATTTGCATGGTGGCTGGGCTCGTAAAGAGTTGAAGGAGAGAAAGAGAGAGAAACACCAGTAAGGAGCAAATTAGTTCACTCAAAATTAAAACCCTAGCCTTTGTGACCTTGTCTCAGAAGGTAACATTCCAATCCTGTGGTGTTTTATTTCTTAGATGGGAGTCACTCAGCTTAGCCTGCCTTCAAGGGGAGGAGTATGAAGCTCCACTTCTTAAACTGAGAAGAATCAACAAATATGTAGATATATATATTTTTAATAGTATTACAGCTCATGAACCCATTTAAACCCATTTTAGAACTTTAAAGAAATATTTTAAAACGGAATTTTCAATTAAGCAGAAGAAATTGCCAGCTGTGGAACAGTGAACTTTATCGCTGAAATCACACACATATATACACACACACAGTGCAAACTCATACATGATCAAATCTATAATCTTATTACACAAAGTTTTGTGAGAGGAAAAATGCTTGACTTTTCAAAAGGGCTCATTTATTAAAAATAAAATGACCATTGTGTTCATTTTAGCTGCAACCTTTAAGCAATCAATGACTATATACTTGCTGTAATCATCCTTTAAAATTAGAATTATTGAAAAGCTTTATCACTGATGAATGAAAGAAAGTAATATTGATTTGTGGCCAAGAGAGATAATCTCAGGCAATAAACAGGTGCAGTCTTTGAAGGAATCATTTTATTTTATTACTTTCTGACATTATTGAAGCCAATTTTAAATAAATTCATCATGTTTTTAAATTTAATCACGTATTATTTTATCATACATTAGGTAAAGTTTCAATCTAAGTAACTCCTGGATAAAAAATGAAGTATATCAATTTACAATTACAAATACCCAAATTGTACAGGCATGCATTTTTCAATGACATTTATAAATTGTGTTTTGTTGTTTGTGCCTTGTGTTTGTTTTATTAATCAAATTAATTTATATAGATATATGTATGGAAATGAGACAGATATAACCAGTTCTCTATAAGTAAGCATTATTTAATGGAGTCTTTCCTTTCACTAATGATCATCAGGACAGCTAGGGAAGTGAGTTGAAATTTTCAGGCCATTAGGTTAATAGTTCTAGTAATTCTAGTAATGTTTCGACAGTCATAATATAAATGATACTATGTGGCTTGAATTAATGCATTTTCTTATGTAACAAATAATAAGACAATTTTTAAAAGTGGTAATTACTATTTTTAAATATGACAATTAAAAATAATGAAAGAAAAGAGGTTGTACATTGAGTAGCCATAACATTATCTTTAAACATATTTATTCTTCATTTCCTAACTTTTCCCACCTTTTGGCTAAATCGTATGTTCTTTCTCTAACCTCACTTCTGTTTTATTACTCTCTGGGAAAGATTTTTATATAAAACGTCTAAGCAATCAAACCTAACACAGGATGAATTTCTACACATTACCATACCCTCTGGTCACTATTTTTTTCTTCTCTTTATTGCCCATTTCCCTGTTCTTGAAACATTCCAATTATTTGCCTTCCATGACATTCTACTCTTACTTTTACTTTTCTGTCTCTGATTACTCATTTCCAGTTCCCTTTGTCATCTCCTTGTCTTCCTACACCTGCCAATTAAATTTGAATTTCCTCTGCATTTCATCTTATGTCTCCTTTTCTTCTGCCAAATTCTCTCCTTAGACAAATACAGTCATTCCCATGGTTTTATATCCCACTTATATTCAGGGGCTCTAGAATGTATAGCGCCAGGCCAAATCTATCTTAAGAACTTACTTTACTTAACCAATTACATCTGCATCTGCTCAGGATCATGTAACCCAGATCAGCATTTGGCTCTTTTGTAGACCCATTTTTTCTTTTCCTGGAAGTCTATTTTGACACCTACTTTCTGTCACTACCCACGTTTTAGCATTTAGCCTTGTCAATTTACTCTCATCCATATGTAACTCTATCCATTTTCTTCTCTCTATTATGAACAGCAGTTTGAGCCATCATGACCAATTTTGCAGTATCCCTTCTTAAATTAGCCTCCTGTTTTGCATTGGACATTTTCACCCCCCAGCAATTCCACCGATTTCATTCTCGGAAAAATATAAATGAAGAGTTACATTTTTCAATACCATAATCATTAAATTTCCATGCGTAAGAAAATGTTCAGAACAGTATCAGTGCATTTATAATAAAATTAAAAAACTTGACCCACAAATCTCTACTTGTCCTTCTAGTTTTATTTCATTTGTCTCTCGTCAATCTCTACATTCTGATCACCACAATCTTTTAATTCATCTGAAAGCTAAGCTCTCTCTTAATTTAGATTCTCTATACTTGCAATTTTGTCTACCTGGAAGTGTTTTCTTCCATCTTTGGATTGTTATTGCAAATCCATTGAATAGTTCTCATCTGAATTGTTTCTTCCTTGGGATGACTTATAAACACTTCATCCTACAGCCAAATCAGAAGACCAATATCAAAATCTTTCATCACATCCTAAATTTGCTTATATGTAATTATATGGCAAGAATCTCTTTGTCTTTATAATCATTATTCACTTATCTATGGTTTTTAAAAACTCTTCTATGTGGTGATGCTAAGCTCCGTAATGTTGGGCTTGTTACCTGTCTCAACTATCTTCCACACCTACCACAGTACCTGCTACATAGATGTATTCAATATATATTTTTAGAATTAGTAAATGATGAGCAAGCGTGTACTTTTGTTCTCTTTCATTACAGTGTTAGAAATGCTATTACAGCATTAGAAAAGATAATCAGAAAGAAAATTTAATAGATCATCAGAAAAAATCCCAAGACTTTTAGGCAAATGAACCTACAAACACAGGTGGAATGGACTTGCAATTTACCAAGAAATAGGTTTGTCATACTTAGAAACCAACTCTATAAACATGTTTTTATCTATTAATAACTTCATTTTCCAAAACGCTCTACTTTATATGAGACAATTCTTGATGGAAATACCATTTGCTTCTAGGCTCGTTGCTTAAACATAAAGTTAAAAATCTTTGTATGACACATAAAATTGTGGTGACTGCTTAACTTTGCAACTATAGTGCTCCTGAAATGCTCATCTAACCAGTCTGTGTTCCAGACCTACAAAACTTAGATGGTGCTAAAATTGCGCAAAAATTGTGTATTTCTTCTACAACAAACTTCTGATAAAAAGGGGGCAGAGAAGGTTAACTGTCTCCCCCTTTAGCTTTATTTGCTTAGTGAATTTCTACAAAACATCATTTAAGTGCTATATTTTTCCAAGGTTTTAATAAGGAAATAAAAACCGCAATAGGTATCTTAAGCAGAAAGTGCATTTCATACATATACAATAGGAAGAGCTAAAATAACTAAAGTAGCTGTGGCATGGAGGAAGGTTTTGAGTTCTTGAATTCAAAGGCACGCAATCATTTCTGCAATCCTGGGTCAAAAAGATGCTCCTACTATTAAAACTTTAAGCTTCTTATGCCCATGAAACTGGGGATTAGGCACAAGGATATTGAATCCTACCACTTCCACTACTTCTGAACTATTGTCTCCATGATTTCACTTGCCAGAATCAACAATAGCAAGACAGGCTTTGATCTCTTCCATTTTTCTAAGTCTGATTCATATGCAAACAATCGGTAAGTGGTCTAAGCTGCATTCATAAAGCTAGCTCAAGGGAAGCTGCATTGCTTGTTTTGTTTTGTTTTAATTTTCTAACCTCTTCAAAGAGTGGAACGAAAGTTGAGGAAACCTGTCCAACAGTCTACCACACACCTTCCATGAAAGGTTCCCCAACACCTCCAACAAAATAATGTAAACACATGCTGGAACCTATATTACTCTCGCACCATAACACTTCCCACACTTCCCACAATACTTTTTCTCTTCATGGGAATATCCTTCCAAAACATGCTGATATCTCCTAAGCATTATTCATCTGTCGAATTTTCCCACCTATTGTAAGGTCTTCCAATTGTTAGGTTCTTAATAAATACATTTTAAATTATTAAAATTCTGAACTAATGGGTAATCAACTGTACAACCCGAATTGCTGATTTGCATACAGCTGAAGTCCCTCCTCAAAACTTCTGTAATACATGAAACTTAGGCAAATGGTTGGGTCATTACCATATATTACTTTATATTTTTATTTATCAGTATATGTGATTACAGTTATGCTTATGTTAATTGATATGTATATGTTAACTTTTATACATATGTACATTGTATTATTTTGTTGCATAGCACAGCATTTTGTACTCAAAAAGTGACCAATAATAATAAGCTGCATACTTTGGGAAGCATTGCAGGCTAGTCATACAGTTTTTTGTTTTTTTTTTCCCTGCAGCCTGACAACCTTTTTAGTCATTCACTAAACCTCTCTCAGCTTCAGTTTCTTCATCTGCAACATATAGCAAATAATAAAACTTAACTCAGATGGTTCTAGTGTGAAATAATACAGAGTAAATGTGCCACCAAATACAAACCAATGGCTTGATTGACATAACTCACTGCTAATTTTCTTGAAATGATTCAAAGTATTTTCCAGACAAGCACACACTGAGGGAATTCGTCACCACTAAACGAGTCCTATGAGAAATACTCAAAGGTGTCCCAAACACAAAAATGAAAGGTCAACATTCATCATCATCAAAACACATGAAAGTAGCAAACTCATAGGTCTTGTAAAACAGTCACACAAAGTAGGACGAGAAATCAAATAGCAACACAACAGATTTCCACCAAACCACAAAGACAAAGAGACAGACAGAAAGAAAAACAAAAAACAACAACAAAATAACCCCAAAGAACTTATAAAACAAGTAGAAAACAAATAGCAATATGGCAGAAAGAAAACCTCATGTATTAATATTAACCTTGAATGTAAATGAATTAAACATTCCACTTAAAATATATAGATTGATAGATATTGGGCCAGGTGCAGTTGCTCACACCTGTAATCCCAGCACTTTGGGAGGCCGAGGTGGGTGGACCACGAGGTCAGGAGTTCGAGGCCAGGCTGGCCAACATAGTGAAACCCTATCTCCATTAAAAATACAAAAATTAGCCAGGCGTGGTGGCCGGCACCTGTAATCCCATCTACTTGGGAGGCTGAAGCAGGAGAATCGCTTGAACCTGCAAGACGGAGTTTGCAGTGAGCCAAGATTGCGCCACTGCACTCCAATCTGGATGACAGAGTGAAACTCCATCTAAAAGTAAAAAAAAAAAAGAAAGGTAGATTGATGGAACGAACTAAAAAATGATCCAAAAATATTATGCTTACAAGAAACATATAGACACATACAGACTGAAAAGTAAAGACACATACAGATTTAAAGTAAATGGGTGAAAAAAGATACTCCATGTAATGGAGACTAAAAGCAAGCAGGAATAGCTATACTTATATCAAGTAAAACAGAACTTAAATCTAAAACAGTATAACAATGACAAAGGAAGTCATTACATAATGATAAAGGGATCAATTCAGCAAGAGGATATAACAATTCTAAACACATATGCATCCAACACTAGACCACCAAGATTCATCAAATAAATATTACTAGACATAAAAAAGGAATAGACAGCAATACGGTAATACTGGGAGACTTTACCATCTCACTCACAGCATTAAATGTTATCATCAAGACAGAAAACAAATAAACATAAGACTTAAATTCAACCTTAGATGAAATAGACCTAACTGACATTTACAGAAAATTCTACCCAGCAACTACAGAATATACATTCTTAATAAAACCGCAATTTCACCCAACAATCCCACTACTGGAGATCTACCCAAAGGAGAACAGATAATTATATGAAAAAGGTATCTGCACCCATATGTTTATCACAGCACTATTCACAATAGCAATGTGTCCCTCAGTGGATAATTAGATTAATAAATCTGGCATATATGCCCTATAGAATACTATTCAGCTATACAAAAGAATAAAATCATGTCTTTTGTAACAACATGGATGTAACTGGTCATTATTTTAAGTGAAACAAATCAGACACAGAAAGACAAATACTGCATGTTCTCACTTATAACTGGAAGCTAAATAATGTATATACATGGACATAGAATGTGGAATGATAGACAACAGAGACTTGGAAATTTCAGGAGGGTGGGAGGAGGGGATGATGAGAAATTATGTAATGAGTACAATGTACATTTTTCAGGTGATGTATATTCTAAAACCCTTACTTCAACACTATGTACTTTATGGAGGTAATAAGATTATATTTGTATCCCATAAATTTACATAAATAAAAAATTGCCTTCTGTACTTACTTTAGCCCAGTTATTGTTAGGTTCAACATTCAGCACTTTACTTAAATTTTCTATAGCTTTCTGGACCTTTTTTTGATATTTATATATAGTAGTGTGGCACAGAAGTGCTAATATTTACCAAAATAAAAGTTATATTTTTAATTAAAAATTAATTAAAAGGTTGTAGAATCTCAGGATGGAATGCAGACTGTTACAAATTTATCTAGCTCTATTATGAACCATACAAAATAACTTCAGTGAGGGACTTAAGGGAAAGGGTGCTAGTCAAAGTGATATTGAAAATGAGTGCAGTCTCTTAAGATGAAAGGCAAAAGAAACTTGTACGAAGGCATTTAATTTAGTTGATAAAGATGTTCTTCTACTAAGGGCAGGTTATCAATTCTGGTACAGCTATATACATATACTGGAAGTGAACAATTAACTAAATAGATGTCACAAAATAAGAGTCAGGATTTTTATTGTTGGAGTGGGGGTTTAGAGATACAGGAAGGCACTGATGCTTGCGGGACTAGGTTAGAGGTAGTGACATCAGTAAGAACCCATGTTTAGCTTAATAGAGACATAGATGGTGATATGGTTTACATTTTGTCCCCTCTCAAACCTCTTGTCCAATTGTAATCGCCAGTGTTGAAGGAGGGGTCTAGTGGGAGGGGATTGGATTATGGGGGCAGATTTCCTCCTTGCTGTTCTTGTGATAATGAGTTAGTTCTCACACAATCTGGTTGTTTAAAAGTGTGTAGCATCTCCCTCTTAGTTCTCTTCCTCCTTCTCCAGCCATGTAAGATGTGGCTGCTTCCTCTTTGCCTTCTGCTATGACTGTATGTTTTCTGAGGCTTCCCCATCCTTGCTTCCTGTACAGCCTGTGGAACTGTGAGGCAATTAAAGCTCTTTTCTTTATAAATTACCTAGGATCAGGTAGTTCTTTATAACAATGGGATAATGGACTAATATAGATGTTTACATATAGAAATATTTAAAGATATGTGTCTACATATGTGTAAGAATATACACATTGTTTCTTTGCTCTCTCATCTTAGAGAGCTATGAAAAAATTGATACTCCCTTAGCTACAGGCACAGCTAGCACTTAAATATTGATTTCATATATAGAAAGCAGGGCGTCTTTGAAAGTGGCTGATTCTAAGAATGGGGAAGAAAATACACAAGATGAGCCTGGGACATCCTCTAGTGCCAGAAATTATGAAAATACTAACAAAAATCTATTTGTGAGATATGTCAAACAAGCACAGGGGCCAAGTGAAAGGTCTTTCAATTTCTAGAATAATTTTAGCAACACAATACATTAATTGGTATTATATTTGGATTATGCCCAAAAATGTAATTTTCCTTAGTCCATATTGATATCAATAAATGACTGAATAAACAAATGAATGAGATAAAAGAGGTAAATCTCCTCTGCAAATAATTTACATATGTATTCCAACTAAAGGAAGTCAGCTCTTAAAGACATCTTAAGCAATACTGCAACTGAATTAGCTTTCCAAAGATACTGTCACAATTCATCTATTCCAAGACCTATACATTTCATATTTTAATATCTCCTGAAAATATAATGCATTTTACAATTCAGTGGTATGTCTTAGTTTAATTAGCCACAGTGCGAATTACTTGCTTAACGGGACATAAAATAGTGCATTATACAATCTATGGGCTCTTGGACTCAAGAAAATACGATAGAAAGGAGTTTATGTTAGAGTCTGCACACTGACTAAAGATCAGAGCAGAAAGCAGATTCTAGGAACAGTCACATTTGTGGCAGTCACTGGTCTCGGCATGCAACAAAATTCAAAGTAAATAGTGGTAAGGTGGGAAATGGACAAAGCTATGTAGCTAGAATCAGAAGTCTTTGAAATCAAAACATCAAGATTCAAACTATTTAGGGGCAGTGGGGCTGACGTGGTGACCGTGGGCCTGATCAGATAAAACCTTTACAAAGAAACAGTAGCTCTCAGACTCACCTCCTGAGACAGAGTTGTTCTGAGGGGAAAATGGGTAAGTTTCTACAGTAACATACAGTACTTAAACATACAGTAAGATACAGTACTTAAAGCCCTGACCTGTCCAGTTCCCAACACATCTTTCTTGATGGGCATCTAAATGTCACCTTTTGGTTTTATTTTTGTGTTTTTCTCATCTAAGCTCTGAGAGCAAACCCTGACAGGGTGAGCCCCCAAAGTGTGTTCATGTCTTAAGAGTGTCCAGAAGCCACATAGGGAGTGTGCAAGTTTTTCATTTTCATGCCAGGGACAATGTCTCTCTTTATTGAGCTAATGGCAAGGTATGGGCCTCAGAATATGTACAGTTTGAACATATTTGCATCTTCCCTTTAATTAACTGTGAAATCTGTGAGGCTAATGAGAAGAAAATTGATGGGTAGTCGGTGGAAGAATTTTTTTTTCATTGTCGTATCTTCAACTTTCCTGGGGTATAATAAGAGATGCACAGTCAATTCAGTATACTTGAAATGTGTGATGTGGTCAAATTTGAGATATATATATATATATATGTATATACTTTTGGAAATATCACTACATTCACAACCATCATTATGAAAAGTTTTCTTGTGCACCTCAGTAATCAGTCTCTCCCTCCATGCTGTCTCCAGGCAGCCATTTGATTTTCCATCAGGTAACATGAGTGAGAAGAAAATGTTTGTTGCAAGCTATTTAAATTTTGTGGTTGTTCACTTTTTAGAAACTCTTTGGAATTTTCTTTCTCATATCTTTATTAATATATAAAGTGTCTGTTTGGCATACTTTCAGATAATGTAAATAATATACTCAGCAATTGTTTTGTGCTGGGCTTCCATTTAATCTTTCAAGATCATATGGATTTTTATAGCTTTATATGTTGTGTTTGGCATCTTAAGCTCACTATCTACCTACTGACTCTTAAATCCCAAACTCTAAAGAGGTTCTGAAGATTCCAAACAATGGCTTGATAACTTAAAGTAAAAAAAGCTCAGGATAACTCAAATTGTGTGACTTAGCATGCTTGAGAAAGTTTTTTTTTTTTTTTGAGACAGAGTCTCACTCAGTCACCCAGGCTGGAGTGCAGTGGCGGGATCTCAGCTTACTGCAAACTCCGCCTCCCGGGTTCACGCCATTCTCCTGCCTCAGCCTCCCGAGTAGATGGGACTACAGGCGCCCGCCACCGTGCCCGGCTAATTTTTTTTGTATTTTTTAGTAGAGACGGGGTTTCACCGTGTTACCCACAATGGTCTCAATCACCTGACCTCGTGATCTGCCCACCTTGGCCTCCCAAAGTGCTGGGATTACAGGCGTGAGCCACCTCGCCCGGCCTTGAGAAAGTGCTTTTAAGCTCCTTCCTAAATGAATGATTATTTAGTCTTGCAGTGTCCATAATTTCTTTAGGTCACTTACGGAAGTCTCAAACTTGTCTGTAACACCTGATAATAACTTCCAGTACTATTCTAAAATGTAGATTTATTTTATCACATTTTCTTCTAACTTCTACTTGCCCCTGTTATAACAATCTTCATTCTTCTTTTGTACTTATATTTTCTCCTTTTAAAACTCAATATCTAGGTCCTCTCTTATAATTGTGCTTAAAATTCATCCTGCAGTAGTGTCAGAGCAGGGTTTCTCAAAGTCATTGTGGGGAACTATCGTGTACACTGTAAGATGATTAGCAACATCCCTAGCCTCGACCACCAGATGCCAGTAGCACACCCTCTCTTTCACAGTTTTTTTTTTTTAATCAGAAATATCTGTACACATTGACAAATGTCCACCGGATGGGAAGAAGAATGTGGGGTGTAAAATTCCCATTTTTGAGACCCACTTGCTTAGAATGTATTAAAGACCTATAATTGAAAATACCTTGGCAAAATCTCCCAAAATTGTCTCTCAAAATAACAGTATATACAGTGTAACATACACAACATCCTAAGTTATACTAATGAAAAAATCTAAGAAAAACTCTATATGATGATATTTAGATATTACAGTCACTATATTAACTATTAGGATAATGTGCCACTAATTCCCAATCGTCACTGCTTTCATGTAGTGCTTGCTCCATATTGTCTTAATGTTAATCCTTAACATACACAGCCTAACATATTTATTGATGTGAAAGTTTTTGTTTTATTTTCAACAACACGGTCTCAACCAGGGGTGATTTTCACTACCAGGGACCATTTGTCAATGTTTAGAGACAATTTTAGTTTTTACTGCTGTAGGTAGTGGAGTGTGCTATTCACATCCGGTAAGTTTAGGGCAGGAAAACTGGTAAACCTCCTATAATACGAGGCTAGAGCCCACAACAAAATTATCAGGTCCAAAAATGTCAATAGTATTGAAGGTGAGACAATTTCTAGGGAGATATTACACCTTGATATTCTCGAATGAATATGCTGGTAATGTAATCCAGCATTTTTCCGAAAATGAGAATAGCCTGGTGGCCTTAAATGTCATTGTTTTACTCTTACTTACATTGGACTAAAGAATGAGATCAAATGCAGCTGAATAATTTGGATATTTAAAGCAATAACATTTTTCACTAACGCGCATAGGCTTAATGCCTGGGTGACAAAATAATCTGTATACCTATTTACCTATAGGTTTACCTATATAACAAACCTGCACATATACCCCTGAACTGAAAATAAAAGTTAATAAATAAAGTAATTACATTTGTTTAGAAATAAAATAAATTTAGAAATGGAAAATATTGTTGAAAATATTCTAAGAATTTTAAATTTATACATTAAAATAGAAATAATCTGAATATTATTACTAATAGAAAATCTTTGTCTTGATCTCAAATTCCAAGTAGAATATCTTTAGACTATCTCTAGCAATAGCTAACAGAATAAGATTTACAAACCTTGATAGATCATTTTTCATGCCTGTGTCATTTTAAAATAAATTGATGGCTGTTAAAACTTAATTTAGTTTGAGTCTCTTCCGGATCATATATATAGTTTTACAGACAGCCATGTTCAATGAAATTATAATATGTAATACAAGAAATATGCCAGATGTAAAGTAAGAATCTCTCTTAAACGCTCTGATATTCAAAAATCTTTATCAGATTTCCTAAACTAACGATTTTAAACAAAACCTTTTAGTTAAGAAAGCACTGGTCTCAATAGTAAATCTGCCAATATGAATTGCTGCATTTTATTTTTGAATTTTCTAAAGGACATCTGCCAGAGCAATTAGATATAAAATCCTGCATGCAATCTAATATTAGATGAAAAGTTTAAACTACCAATGATACAATATTGATGCACAGAGGAATGAATTGATTTTTTATGTTATTCTCAAATTGAAAGTCAATCTTTTTATAAAATAAATTAAATTTATAAATAAATCCAAATAGTGATATTTTAGCTCACTTTTGACAGTAGGTTTTCAGTTTCTGATGTTAACAATGGCATAATTATGATTTGTTGAATGACTTTAAAGTGATCAGATAAGGAAATAATTAGGGTTTGCAGTAGCTGGAGAAAGAAAAAGAAGAAATATTTTGATATTGCATACTCAATATGGCACATACTACGTCATAGGCTTTAATATCAATTGACTACTCTCTTTAGAAGGAGTACGGTTTGACCTAGACAAGTTTATTTATTTATTCATTTTTGTAATAATTTTTTCTCATTCTCTTTGACACATTGGTTAACCTAAAATTACTGTGTTGCTTAGGACATTGACTAAAAATCGTAGTCTTTCAGTTTGTGGCTGCTCACATAATTTTTTTTTTTTTGCTTTGGCTTACTAAATAATCTTTTATTGGAGTTAAAACAACAAAGCTAGTAAAGATATATAAATCAATGCCAAAAAAAAGGAGACAGGCCTACTTATATGCCATTATCTTCTGTTACTGCCATTGGATAGAAGACAGACATTATCATTTTTAATCAATTGTATACTTCATAAATATGATACAACAGATATTTTTACTTCCAAGATTATACATAGAGTTTTTATGATTCCTTTGTGAGTGTGAACTATATAGCTGTCCCTAAAACATAATTCAGAACAGAAAGGTTTTATTTTTAATTATATAATTTTCTTGCCCAAGTTATATGGATTCATAGGTTACAGAATGTATAACAATATACATTTTTTGCATTTTTTAATTTACTATATAATTTATTTGTGAAACCAAATTTGATATACAACTATGTAAACCACTAAATATGATTTGGATTAAAATAATCTTAACAGACAAATCCAAAAACACTGCATTTTATTATTTCTATTTCTAATGTTACCTCCAGGTTTAAACTCCCCTAAGTAATTGACTCTACCTATTATGTTTGTGTTTTGAAACATCACTCTATATTGTAACAAAAAGAAAAATGACACAATTAGTTTCATATATGTACACAAAAATTTTCAGTTTTAAATAAGGAAATATAGTTTTGAAATTTAAAAAAGTAAATGTTATAATATTTTCTCAAATAATTTACTACTCATATTCCCATTGCTTAGTTTCATTAATTTTTACACTCACATTTTACATATCCAAGATATATTTCCAGCTTTATTTTCTGAATGAACTCCTAGGATCTTAGATGAGTTTATTATTTTGCATGAGGTGCCACTGCTTGATACCTGAATGTGTGTATACCCCCTTTTTTTTTATACTTTAAGTTTTAGGGTACATGTGCACAGTGTGCAGGTTAGTTACATATGTATACATGTGCCATGCTGGTGTGCTGCACCCATTAACTCCTCATTTAGCATTAGGTATATCTCCCAATGCTATCCCTCCCCCCTCCCCCCACCCCATAACAGTCCCCAGAGTGTGATGTTCCCCTTCCTGTGTCCACGTGTTCTCATTGTTCAATTCCCACGTATGAGTGAGAACATCCGGTGTTTGGTTTTTTGTCCTTGTGATAGTTTACTGAGAATGATGATTTCCAATTTCATCCATGTCCCTACAAAGGACATGAACTCATCATTTTTTATGGCTGCATAGTATTCCATGGTGTATATGTGCCACATTTTCTTAATCCAGTCTATCACTGTTGGACATTTGGATTGGTTCCAAGTCTTTGCTGCCCAAGGTAATTTATAGATTAAATGCCATCCCCATCAAGCTACCAATGACTTTCTTCACAGAATTGGAAATAACTACTTTAAAGTTCATATGGAACCAAAAAAGAGCCCGCATCGCCAAGTCAGTCCTAAGCCAAAAGAACAAAGCTGGAGGCATCATGCTACCTGACTTCAAACTATACTACAAGGCTACAGTAACCAAAACAGCATGGTACTGGTACCAAAACAGAGATATAGATCAATGGAACAGAACAGAGCCCTCAGAAATAACGCCACATATCTACAACTATCTCATCTTTGACAAACCTGAGAAAAATAAGCAATGGGGAAAGGATTCCCTATTTAATAAATGGTGCTGGGAAAACTGGCTAGTCATATGGAGAAAGCTGAAACTGGATCCCTTCCTTACACCTTATACAAAAATTAATTCAAGATGGATTAAAGACTTAAACGTTAGACCTAAAACCCTAAAAACCCTAGAAGAAAACCTAGGCATTACCATTCAGGACACAGGCATGGGCAAGGACTTCATGTCTAAAACACCAAAAGCAATGGCAACAAAAGCCAAAATTGACAAATGGGATCTCATTAAACTAAAGAGCTTCTGCACAGCAAAAGAAACTACCATCACAGTGAACAGGCAACCTACAGAATGGGAGAAAATTTTCACAACCTACTCATCTGACAAAGGGCTAATATCCAGAATCTACAATGAACTCAAACAAATTTACAAGAAAAAAACAAACAACCCCATCAAAAAGTTGGCAAAGGACATGAACAGACACTTCTCAAAAGAAGACATTTATGCAGCCAAAAAACACATGAAAAAATGCTCACCATCACTGGCCATCAGAGAAATGCAAATCAAAACCACAATGAGATACCATCTCACACCAGTTAGAATGGCAATCATTAAAAAGTCAGGAAACAACAGGTGCTGGAGAGGATGTGGAGAAATAGGAACACTTTTACACTGTTGGTGGGACTGTAAACTAGTTCAACCATTGTGGAAGTCAGTGTGGCAATTCCTCAGGGATCTAGAACTAGAAATACCATTTGACCCAGCCATCCCATTACTGGGTATATACCCAAAGGATTATAAATCATGCTGCTATAAAGACACATGCACACGTATGTTTATTGCGGCACTATTCACAATACCCCATTCATTAGACTTTTAAAATCAATACCCACTCTTCCCCACGAAAAAGAGAAAGTAAAAACAACTAAGAGTGGATTTCTATATCACGATGACTCATTTTCAATAGAACACTACCATAGGTCAAATGGATGAATGCATAAATAATGAATGGATTAATATCTTTTATATAATCATGTGCCACATAACAACGTTTACATCAATAAGAGACAGCATGTAAAACAATGGCTCATTAAGATTATTATAGGGTTGAAAAATTGCTATCACCATTATAGATTGATCACTCTATGAAGTTTGCACAGTAAGATAAACACCTAACCACACACTTCTCAGAACATATCCTCATTGCTAAGTGACACAAGGCTATATTTCATTTAATGATTGCGTAAATATTTGTTGAGAAAAATCTGCACTCTAAGTACCAGGATAAAAGAGATTAATAATAAATTAATGATTAAATGCACCATGATAAATCTTATCATTGAGGTCTATATGCTACATTTGGATTACATCATAAAGGCAGAGGTTAATCATCGCAACTTACACAACAGGATACAGAGTGGATCAGCAGATAATTACATAATAGAATACAGTTTGTAACCTGCAAGATGCATTAGAATTAATTAGAATCAAACCATATGTGTGACTTTGGTTTAAATGTGCAAAACCTATTAATATAGATATAGCCAGGACATTTCTGTTGTGTGTGTGTATATATATATGTGTATATATATGTATATATATACACGTATATATAGTGTGTGTATATATATATACACACACACACATACGTGTATATATACATATATATATATATATATATATATTTTTTTTTTTTTGTGTGTGTGATGGAGTTTCGCTCTTGCTGCCCAGGCTGGAGTGCAATGGCATGGTTTCAGCTCACTGCAACCTCCGCTTCCAAGGTTCAAGCAATTCTCCCGCCTCAGCCTCCCAAGTGGCTGGAATTACAGGGGCCAACCACCACACCAGGCATATCTTTGTATTTTTAGTAGAAACTGCTTTCACCACGTTGGCCAGGCTGGTCTCGAACTCCTGACCTCAAGTGATCTACCCCCTCGGCCTCCCAAAGTGCTGGGATTACAGGTGTGAGTCACTGTACCCAGTTTGTCTTTATAAATCTTATAGAAATATTTAACTTTTAAAATCAACCACATACAATTAAGACTTTGATAAAGTAATTAAGAAGTAAAGCAACGGAAAAAGCAATTTTTAAAAACATATATGAATGATTGAAAGCCAGGAGTAAAATTAAGAATTGTATTAAAATATCAGTATTAAAATTAGCTATATAAATATTTAATTAATGCAGCTAAATTGTTAACAAACAAAATTTCCAGAAGAAAAGTATGTTAACATTACTGAATCATCTTAAAATCTTATTAAAATTTAAAGTTCTTCTAAACTGAAATTATATCACAGAAAAAAATAATGTCACCTTAAAAAGTTTAGGATTAGAAATACATAATTATTTTTAAATATAGTCTTTATATATTAATTATATTTCATTAATGTCTTATTTCTTGAATAAACTTTTTTCATGATACTATTTAAGTGCCACATTCTACAATAATATGGAAAACAATTCTACAAAATGTGGCATACAGTAATTTATAGGTAGTATAGCACACCTTTTATCTCTTTATAGCAAAAACATAATGTGTAAATTAATATAACACTAAGTCCCATATTGTCATTTTTTGTCAAAGAGCTATCTCCTTGAAAACCATCATCCTCAGATGCATCTCTAACGTAAAAAGACCTTAGAAACTGTAACAATTGTAAATGCATTATAACTTAAAGAGATATTATCTTCACATTAGAGGCTAACAGGCTTATACCTACTGATAGCTGACAAGTATTACAGGAATCCTGGCAGGCAAATTGTTGCATAAAAATTATGTAATTTACTAACTGTAAAATAACCTTTAGAGTTTAGAATCAGTCAAATAAGTAGAACAGACAATTGTTATCAAAGCCATATAAATGGCTATTAAAATTATGTTTTGCTACCCTCATTTTATCTCTGAAGAGACATCTTGTTAAAAAATGAATAATAGACACATATAAATACCTAATTACAAGCAGAGTTAAGATTAAAATTCAGCCTCATTGGGGTGGGATAGAAATCAGTACAGTAAAGAATATTTTGGTGCAGGTAGTTTGTTTCAAATGATTCAACCTTCAACATTACTTCACTTAAATTTTAGCAAACTTTCTGCTAAAATTTAAGCATACATACATATGACACTAGACATATGTCCTGTGTAAGCCTGGGCTAGGGGAGCTCTATTAAATACTTATATAAACCCCAAAGATGTCCTAAGAAACACAATTTGGAAAAACTTTGATGTGCTACAGCACAGATTTTCTCATACAGCAACAGAGCAGACACTTGAATGTAGTTATACTCCTGCTTTCCACCTCCCTGTCAAAACAATAAAAAAGGCCACAGGCCTGTGGTTCTGGCCTCCAGGGAACCGGTGGCTTCTTTAACCCACACTGCTGCTGCTGAACCCCATTTAGGTTTAGGGTTTATTTTGTATACGCCTTTGTACAGGCTAAATGCTGGTCTAGTTGAAAATCAACATAAAACAACCTTAATAGCATCTCATTTTATTGTGACTTTACTTTTTGTGTTGTTTTGTTTTTTTACTTTTGGAGACAGAGTCTTACTCTGTCACCAAGGCTGGAGTGCAGTGGCATGATTATGGCTCAACCTCCAGGCTCAAGTGACCCTCCCACTTCAGCCACCTGAGTAGCTGATACCACAGGAACATGCCACCACATAAGGCTAACTTAAAGAACATTTTTTTAGATGGGATCTCACTATGTTGACCAGGCTGGTCTTGAGCTCTTTGCCCCAAGCAATCCTCCCACCTTGGCCTCCCAAAGTGCAGGGATTATAGGTGTGAGCCACTATGCCAGGACTCTCTCATGACTTTAAACTTGAACATGCTTTTGTGCTGTGGCCAAGTTTAGGATCCCAACCAGCCTGTGATTACTGTGGTCACCACACAGATTCCCTCTTGTTCCGTCTTTTATATTCCATCTTCTCACTCTCATAACTGTGTGGATAGTAAAACAATTATCCATACAGGTATGATATTGGCAAAGAATATCACAAAATGTTTTAATGAGCAAACACTTTGGGGATGGTAATAATCTTTCTACCACCTTCATTGTCTTGTTTAAGTATCTCTACATTCTTCTTTAAAAATTAGGAATATATCTTTCTTGCTCTTTTGTTGTTGTTGAACACCAGAAGGGGATATTCCTTAATTCTCCATAGCTAAGGACAGTACAGCACAATATTCCATTCAGCAGGTGAAGTCAGTATGAATGAATGCATTTCAATCAGCAAATTGCTGGTTGTGTTGCAACTCCTAGTTATGATGTTTTGTGTACTTTGAAGGGCTCCCATTAATTAAGGTATTTCTTATAAGCATTTAGAAAGATTTTTTTTCTTGGCATGTGACTTGAAAATTTGTACCGATATTTTCCCTGTGACAATGTTTTGTGAATTGTAACTCAGCCACTCAAGTGGCTCCTCATAATAAAGCCACATGGTATCCATGTACACATATTTAACAAATCAAAGAAGTGGTTCTCAACCTAATCTCTAGAGGAGGTCCGTCTTGTTCACTTTCAATAACTATGTTGAAGAATAGATTCTAAAAAGCTATTACTAAATTTTCCAATATGTTTTGAAATTTGTGTCCACAAAATCTATAAATCAATAAATGTATAGAATAGAGCATAATAACCCAATTAATGAATTTAAGATGTCATCTAAGCAGGAATGAATGCAATAAATAGGCCTTCTTACTTCAAAATCAACTGCAGAGGTAATAATGCATTGCCACTAGAATTGTGTGCTGTGTTGGTAATAAATTGACAAAAACATTGGGGATAAGAAAAATCTGCAAATAAAACGGTGTGTCATTTGTGAAATATAATCACAAAAATGTTCAGATTTTTATAATTAACAGAAAAATTATTGTTTTTATTATCTCCAGTGTTTAACAGACACTATTCATCTATACATACAATATTCTTATAATAACTCTTGTGTCCATGTAAATAGCAGTCTTGCCAAAAAGAATTGATTATCATGTAGTAGTTTATAAGTGTTTTCATGCATAGTCTGCAACCTTTTAGAGTGCTATTCTAGTAAATTATTAATATTAACTTGATGAATACAATTCTAAGACATTTCATTTGAGGATATGTTTATTAACTATTAGGTTGGTACAAAAGGCATTGCGTTTTTTGCCATTATTTTCCATAAAAAATAGAACCAGCATTTAGAAATCTACTTTCAGAAACTTAATAAAATGAGAATTTGTCCTCTTTTACATATAGGAAGCCTGCATAATAAGCATTCTGTTGCTAGTACATAAGCTTCCCATTTTCATCAGGAACCTATACACTTACATTCCTCTTTTACTAACTTCAATGAATGACTTCTATCTTCAAGGTGATTTCATGCTTCTAGCCACCATGTCTGTACTCCAGGACAGCAGCAGAGTGTAGAAAAATAAAAAAGACATACCTCCCTAATGAGTCAACTGCACTTAAGGAGCCATCCCAGAAGTTTCACACGGCTTATGTTAATACAGCTATATCCAGATGCAAGGAATGCTGGGAAATGTGGTATTGTGCACAGCTAAAGTTGGGATTATGTTAGTGAAAATGAGACCATGAACACTGGAAGGTTAAAAGCAATCTCTCATGACATATACAATACAGAAATTAAATTAAATCTTTAAGCAATGTGATAAACCTATGGAATGTTAACAGGCAAAAATAGCAACATTAAAAATTACAGTGAGGGAATAAGGTATGATTCGTTTGTAGATGGTTGGTGTGTCATTAATCTAGGCAAAAAGTGATAAACTCCTCTAACAGTGACCAAATGTATAAAAGAAATAATAATACACACTATGGCTAACAACATTCCATTTTGGCCTATTTACTGTTGTTAAGTCTCTATGGTTAGCATCAGAAATGTACAGTTATGATAGCCTATGACCTCAACATGTTCAGTTTGATAGTAGAAAGGACAACATAAAGACAAACCAATCAACAAATAAGAATAAAAACTGTTAAAAAAGGACAATATTATCATAAGAACATAAGGATGTGATAATGTATTTGATATATCGTTTATTTATTGTTTTATAGTTTGATAATACATATAAATTTACTGCTCCTTCAATGTTAGAATCAATAGAATCATAGCAGAAGTAATTAAGCAGATAAAGATCAAAACGTCACCTTTATTACTTACTGTTTGAAAAATAGTCTAAGGCTGGTTTTACAGGGTTGCTCCTATCCATCACCTGATGTGAAGTTTCTTAGGAAGCTTCAGGACTACACCAAAGAAGCAGAACCTGCTCTTTCACTCTGTTGCATTGTGTGGAGTGCAGGCCATCATGACTGCTCTCTGCAAGAAAAAGAAAGGAAATAATTAAGAAACGCACAAAAGTTTGTGAATTGAGAATCGCAAAATAGGTATGAAATTGGTTAGCTTTCTAAATTCACCAATCTCATAACTAACACCTGTCCCCATGCAGTGAATGAGTAAAGGATGGACAGAGTCCATAATGATTATTCTAGGGAAAGCCTTCTGAGTAGAAAGAGGAGAGTTTTGCGAACAGTTTTGTACAGTTTACTCTTGTTTATGCACTGATAATAAATAAGAGTTCCTAAAATTCTCTCTAGAACTCTAGGTAAACGAGATATTTCACTGCCCATGCTGTGTGACCTTCATGTCCCATCTGCCTAGACTGTAAATATGCTTTCTGAATTTTAAAAGAATTAGTATACTATGCTTACATTAAGCAAAAAAGTACCCTTATTATGCAGGATCAAGTAACACTCTAAAGATTCATGTTTATGAAAAAACACTGATGATTCTATTTTATTATGTGTCTTCTAAAGAGAAAAATACTTGTGCTCTGCAGCATAATTTTACAATGTGCTATTCTAAATACTTTCATTTAAACAAGATCATTATGAAGATGTTTTGCACACAGAAATATATTTTGAATACTTTTTTTAAAAGATCACAAAGTATATGGTCTCTGTACGTGTTCAATTATTTTAATGCTTTCACTATAACAGGAATTCTTAAAGAGGATATGTATTTGCATAATGCTGATAGTCCTTTCTCATTTCTGTTTGTGCTCTGGCTGTTGTTACAACCACTGAAAGTAGTAATTACATGAGTGTATTATCCATGATTATCTTTAGATATATGTGCATTTTCTTTAATTAAACTATAAACTCTAAATGAAAAATAAAAAAGAAGTCACCTCTTGTCTCTTTGTACAATATTAAAATTTTTTTCTTGTATCCAGAGTTTCCCAAATGCCTGTTGCAAAATTTTACTTAGGGAGTAGAAAGTGGAGAATCAATATGGTAAAAAAAAAAACTGTGTTACAGGGAAGGAGACACAGGGTAAGCATTTTCCTTATCTTCTCTCCTGTATCTACGTGCTGCACAAGCATAAATGATAGCAGTCACATGAACGAGTACTTTTCAAGAACATAGAATATTGTGATGGAAAAAAAAAAACCGCTTTGAAACATCGAATAATATAAAAGCCAGAACTACTACAACTGTTTTTTACATCCAAAGAAGGTAAACTATTTTTAGATATAAAATTCCTTCTAACAGTGGTCCTGATCATTTAACCAATATTTTGATAAAAGAAGGGAAAAATGGACATTCAGTCCAAAGATGGGCATGTATTCCCATGCCTAGTCAGGCAAAACTTGTGGATGTTCTTTAAAATAACAATTCATTCAACAAATAATTTTTAAATGGCTACTGAATACCTGGAAAGGTTCTAGACACAGGGGCTATACTAATAAACAAGAAGGAACTAATTGACAAGAATGTGCTCACTGACAATGAAACATCTCCTCATGGAGCTTCAGTTCTATTTGAAAAGACAGAGAACAAAAAAATATTATTGCACAGTGTTAGTTATGTGTGAATTAAAAGACTGGTCAGTACTTGAAGGAGAAGGAGTGACAACAAATCTCACTTCCAGTTCTATTTACCTGAACAGATTAATTCTATTTTGTTTCAATGCAACAGTAGTCCTACGGTTAACAAGATGCACTACACAAAGCAAACAACTTATAAAATGCATTTTTTCCTTACATTGCAAATCAATTTTAAGTGGATCTACAAATATACAATAAATAATATAAATTAGGGATCGTTTGTTTCTAAGGTAATAAGTAGATTTGTTAATTCCACATAAATAATTTCAGAAGGAGAGCAAATGTAAAAATGTGTTTTAGACAGTGGAGATGCCATTTTATTGTAAGACTATTTATACTCAAAGGTCAAAGTAATGAGCTTTCTATGTCAATGATCGTCCTTCTCTATTTCACCCAGTTCCAGACAAACCCAAGTCTTCCAAGTCTCTTCATATATCTGATCCAATAAAATCTATAATGAGTTCAGTTAGCATACACACACACACACACACACACACACCACACACGCACAAGCACACACACACACACGACTGCATTGAAATACTTGCTCTAGGGAAGGAACATAGTGTATATGCAACTTGTGTACTTTCTAAGTATGGAAAGACTAATCCTTTAACAACTGCATTTACTTTCTTTCACTTCTATCGTTGCTATCTACTCCTCAGAAATCTACTTAAACCAATAAATATATATGATGTTGTTATGAGAGTTTTGGAAATAATTCCTAAAAATTTGCATGGCTGCCTCTTTATATTTGGCAGCTTCTATCACCCATGGGAACAACCCCTACAGAATGATCAGAATATAAAGCATGTGAGCCCTGGGTTTCTCAGGCACTGGAAGGACCTGTCAGAATCCTCTCAGGTGGGTCAAAATGGCCGGGCTTTATACCTCATCTCCATTCATGTTTGCATGTCCAGTGCTCCAGGATGACCTAACATTCAGCCAGACAATGGTTACAGCTGAGGCAAACTTTGAAGGAGCTGAAAGCTGAAGGCTGCTTTGTAATATTGCTCCTAGCAGCCAAGGGGGAAAGAAATCTTTTCTTGAAGAGCGATCTGTGTCCATAGCAAAATGTTTTTTTCTTAGCTCTTGTAAAATCGAAATTGTTTGCTTTTGAATTTTTTTAAATGATTCCTTTAAGATTCTTCATACCAAGATATCACAAGGTCAAGGAATTTTATAAAGAAGTATTTCTATTTATGTCATTTCCTATATTTATCTATACATAAATCAGCACTAAAACATGCCTTTGATACTAACAACTTGATTGGTTTGTGAACCAAATCTGTCATGCAAATACATACGGCTGTTTTTAGATAAATTCTAAAGGTATTACCAAATCATTTAATTTTATTGTGTATCTCAATATTCTGGTTGATGTATAAGTTTAAATAGAACAAACTATTTGACATTGAAATGTTCTTTATCAAAGGAGAAGGAATACAATTTTAAAGCCATAACGAGTGACACATAGTTCTGAATGATTTATTAGCTGTCTGCCAGTCTGAAATGGCTGCCAGTCAATGTTACATGTGACATCTTTCAGATAGTGTGAACTCTTTTATGCAAGTACCTTTCACTATAAAATTACAGCTGAAGATGATGAAGAGAAAACTGTGGTGTTTATCTTAATGGGCTGAAAGACCTATTTCAACAGTGACAGTAATTCAGAAAAATAGTCTGAAGTCTAGTATTTCAATAATGTTATTTTCATAGATTTTAATCTCTAAAGACAATGCTTCAGTTTTGTAGAAAATGACTTTTCTAATCATCCTGGATTTCAAAATTCTTTCCATTACTTAATATTTAAATCACTGGCAGAACTTGGCATGAGGACTAGAGACCTGTCACCAAGCAGCCGGTCATTTTTCTTGGCTTCTCATATGCCATGCCCAGCAATAGAGCATTTCTTAGGGGCTGAGGAATAGCAGCAGTGCTAAACACAGAGATGACATTAACAGGAATGAGAGGGTCCAAGCTGTTTTCCTAGACTAATTCTCATTCAGCCTGAATCAAAGCATTTTCCTATCATTATTATAGATATTTCGCTTGTGGTATTATCTATCTTTTGGCAATGTTGATTTTTTTGTGATTATCCAAATAAGTAATGTTAATGGAAAAAATCAGATATTAGGGGAAAAAAAACTCTAGAAATAAATGTTAACCCAAGACAATAACAATTCAATTAATTTATATGATACCTTAGGGATTGTGTCAATTATTTTTTAAATGAAATTCTAAAAATTCAACACCTGTGTTTTCTCCTATGATTACATATTCAACTAGGGCACAATTGTAAATGGTTGTATTTGGTTGAATTTTTAGATTGTTTATAAGTTTTACTCTTGCAGACAATAATAATGGAGTTTCTTTGAAAATAAATTTAGTTGTTCTATAACCAAGGCATAAATATTCAATTCAATAAAATTAGCAAAAATATTAAATGAAAAGTATATTATATATAAAATGCATAAATAAAATATCCTGCACTGATCATTTTATGTCTATGGTTACCCTATTGATTCTGTGCACATTTGCATATGGGTATATATGCAATTTCATAAAATGAAGTATTCATAGTGTACATAAATTTAGTAATTACTTTACCCCTTAAAAGTATATGCAATGAGTGTCACTTATATATAAATTCTGTTAACGTGGAAGAAGAATGTTAGTCAAAAAAACTACGAATTTAACAATTTTCTGGTTAATTCAAAGGGCTTTCCAAAAATGTCTTTTAAAATTCAATTTCATATATTTTCTCATAGCAGAATATGAGAATGAATCCTTTTTGCTGCAAACTGGCTAGCAATAAATTTTTATTTTTATTATTTTAATTCTGTGAATTTCGGGAATGGAGTCTCATTCAGTATAAATATTATAATACTAATGAGATTGACTCCCTCCTTCTTATTAACAGTGTGCATTTTTACCCTCAGTGATTCAGTGCATGGTGTAGTGCTATAATTAAAAATGAACATTTTTTTAAAAAATGTTATTTTCTTATTACTATATTTCAAGTTTTAGGGTACATGTGCACAATGTGCAGGTTAGTTACATATGTATACATGTGCCATGCTGGTGTGCTGCACCCATTAACTCGTCATTTAGCATTAGATATATCTCCTAATGCTATCCCTCCCCCCTCCCCCCACCCCATAACAGTCCCCAGCGTGTGGTGTTCCCCTTCCTGTGTCCATGTGTTCTCATTGTTCAATTCCCACCTATGAGTGAGAACATGCAGTCTTAGGTTTTTTGTCCTTGTGATAGTTGACTGAGAATGATGATTTCCAATTTCATCCATGTCCCTACAAAGGACATGAACTCATCATTTTTTATGGCTGCATAGTATTCCATGGTATATATGTGCCACATTTTCTTAATCCAGTCTATCATTGTTGGACATTTGGGTTGGTTCCAAGTCTTTGCTATTGTGAATAGTGCCGCAATAAACATACGTGTGCATGTGTCTTTATAGCAGCATGATTTATAGTCCTTTGGGTATATACCCAGTAATGGGATGGCTGGGTCAAATGCTATTTCTAGTTCTAGATCCCTGAGGAATTGCCACACTGACTTCCACAATGGTCGAACTAGTTTACAGTCCCACCAACAGTGTAAAAGTGTTCCTATTTCTCCACATCCTCTCCAGCACCTGTTGTTTCCTGACTTTTTAATGATTGCCATTCTAACTGGTGTGAGATGGTATCTCATTGTGGTTTTGATTTGTCCTCTCTCACCACTCCTATTCAACATAGTGTTGGAAGTTCTGGCCACGGCAATTAGGCAGGAGAAGGAAAGAAAGGGTATTCAATTAGGAAAAGAGGAAGTCAAATTGTCCCTGTTTGCAGATGACATGATTGTATATCTAGAAAACCCCATTGTCTCAGCCCAAAATCTCCTTAAGCTGATGAGCAACTTCAGCAAAGTCCCAGGTTACAAAATCAATGTACAAAAATCACACGCATTTGTATACACCAATAACAGACAATCAGAGAGCAAAATCATGAGTGAACTCCCATTCACAATTGCTTCAAAGAGAATCAAATACCTAGGAATCCAACTTAAAAGGGATGGGAAGGACCTCTTCAAGAAGAACAACAAACCACTGCTCAATGAAATAAAAGAGGATACAAAGAAATAGAAGAACATTCCATGCTCATGGGTAGGAAGAATCAATATGGTGAAAATGGCCATACTGCCCAAGGTAATTTATAGATTCAATGCCATCCCCATCAAGCTACCAATGACTTTCTTCACAGAATTGGAAATAACTACTTTAAAGTTCATATGGAACCAAAAAAGAGCCCGCATCGCCAAGTCAATCCTAAGCCAAAAGAACAAAGCTGGAGGCATCACGCTACCTGACTTCAAACTATACTACAAGGCTACAGTAACCAAAACAGCATGGTACTGGTACCAAAACAGACATATAGATCAATGGAACAGAACAGAGCCCTCAGAAATAATGCCACATATCTACAACTATCTCATCTTTGACAAACCTGAGAAAAATAAGCAATGGGGAAAGGATTCCCTATTTAATAAATGGTGCTGGGAAAACTGGCTAGCCATATGGAGAAAGCTGAAACTGGATCCCTTCCTTACACCTTATACAAAAATTAATTCAAGATGGAGTAAAGACTTAAACGCTAGACTTAAAACCATAAAAACCCCAGAAGAAAACCTAGGCATTACCATTCAGGACATAGGCATGGGCAAGGACTTCATGTCTAAAACACCAAAAGCAATGGCAACAAAAGCCAAAATTGACAAATGGGATCTCATTAAACTAAAGAGCTTCTGCACAGCAAAAGAAACTACCATCAGAGTGAACAGGCAGCCTACAAAATGGGAGAAAATTTTCGCAATCTACTCATCTGACAAAGGGCTAACATCCAGAATCTACAATGAACTCAAACAAATTTACAAGAAAAAAACAAACAACCTCATCAAAAAGTGGGCGAAGGACATGAACAGACACTTCTCAAAAGAAGATATTTATGCAGCCAAAAAACACATGAAGAAATGCTCACCATCACTGGCCATCAGAGAAAAATGAACATTTCAAAGACAGATTATGTGCTTCCAAATGCCAAATCATCACTAAATAGCTCTGTGGCATAGAGGAAATTTCACAACCTTTTAGTGCCCCAATTTTGTGGAAGAATGGTTAGGAGGCTATTGCAATAACAAAAGAAAATTTGAATAGCTGTATCCAACATGAAAAGATTGCTAGTAGAATTAAATGAGTTATATAGGTAAAACAATCAGGGAAGTAATTAAAGAGAATCTGCACTAACATTGTTTTGTTAATTTAAAATATCTCTACACAATCCTTTGATTCATTTGGAATTCGTTTTAGTGTATTTTAGAAAATAAGGTTTATTTTTTATTTTCTCCCAAAACAATACTTCAAGACAACTTTTCAAACAGTAAATTCCTTCTTTGTTTATAATATGTATTTTAATAAACTGACTTATCTTCATGATTTCTAGGACATCTGTTCTATCTAATCTATTGTTCAGCATTCGTCTGAGTATTTTCTGGGCAGCAATTGACCCCTCTGTACCTCTGAGTGCCCACATTTCCTTGATCCATTTCACCTTGCTGATCAATCCTTCTTTACTCATAGTCTAAATTTTTTTTTAGAAATTCTGAGAGTGCCCCAAACCTTGGTCTTGGGTCTTCCTTCAATCTTATTTGTCTTTCCACCTGATCTTAATTATTTACATCACATTATACCCTATCTTTATGGTGACAAATCTCAAATTATCTCTCTGACCTAAACTTATCATTAAAGATTTGGTTGCAACTTATTAAGAAGTCAGGTTCAATGTAATACATGCATTGTTGATTTAATATGCTCATCAAAATATTTAAAATTTTATTTGAATGCAAAAAAATAAAGCTTTTAATTTTATCTCCTATTTAATAATTTTGAGAAAAACATTATACCAATCATTACTAATTATTGCTGGCTTTTAAAATATTATCTGATTAAATATTTTTGACTTTGAAAAATGGTAACAAATGCTTCTCTCTTTCTTGTCCCCTTGAACCATACTTGATATTGCTTTTTCCAAATCCGGGCCACAAGTTCAGAATATAACCTGTTAAAATATCTTCTATGTATAAACTATCTTTAAATTTTCTTGAGAGAATACCGACTAACCAAAAGCATTGCTCCTTCACCCTACAAAAGAGAGAAAAATTTAAAAATCCCATTAATTTGTTATTTTAAATGGTAATTAAAGCTATTGTGAGGGCTCTTTTATCGGCCAAACTTGTGAACAAAAAACAGCTCAAATTTATGTGTAAATAAAATATACTGAGATGAAGCCTTTCATTTAATGTGTGATTTTCAGTTCAAAAAAACACACTGATGTTCAAGAACAAAGACTGGTACAATAACTATCTACAAAATGCTTTTGTTACTAGATTTTAATTCCTTCATCAAACAGACACAGTCAAAGTTGATAGTGTCACTAGATCTAGAGGTCTATCAATATCCTTCCCACCATTTAATATGTTCTTAATCTCAGGGAAATTCTAAATCATATTCTTCTCAATTGTACAGTTGACTCCTGAACAACACAAGGTTTAGGGGCATCAAACCTCCCTAACCCCTCCCCACCACCCCAGCACAGTCAAAAATTCACATATAACTTTGGACTCCCCAAAACTAAACTAAGAGCCTACTGTTGACTGGACAATCCTTAACACATATTTCGTATGCTGTATGTATTTTACACTGTAGTTTTACAATGAAGCTAGTTACAGAAAAGAAAGTGTTATTAAGAAAATTATAGGGAAGAAAAAATACGTTTACAGTACTACAGTATATTTATTTCTCTCATAAGTTTACAATCCTGTGTTTACAAGATGGATCCTTCTTCTGAAATGGCAGCACACACAGCTGCAGACCTCAATCTAGGGTACCTATCAAGCAATTGATTGTTTTCCTGTAATGTCAGGACCCTTCTCTGTTTCCTGGAAGAACTTTCAGCATCACTAGCAGCACTTTTTATAGGTCTGAAGGTGTTATTCAAGGTTTATGGTATTGCACTAGACATCATGAATAATACAGGAGAAACATGAGAGAACACTTTTTACTGTGTTAATTTACTGGAGAGACAAGCTACTCACAAGAAGATGATTAGCATTATGTGGCATTTTAAGTGAATACTCACAACACTTGAGTTCACTGCAAGAACAACAGGTGGAGGCTAGGAAATTATCCCAGTAGTACAGTATGTACTACAGTTAATTTTGTGCAGTTATGATTTACTTTTGTATATTTTTGTTTTACTTTTCTCTAAACTTCAATTGGCTGCATGTATGCTCTGTGTGTGCCTACGTCTTGATAAATTTTAACTTTTTATAATAGATGCATATATATTTCATTGTATTAAATGATCACTAGTATCTACATATAATTTATGCATTCATGGACTTATCATTTTCTTAGTTTTTTAATATTGCTTGTGTAGATGGGTCACCTGTTATCTTTTTCAATTTTTCATAAATCTCCAAAAATTTTCTAATATATTTATAGGAAAAAATCTACATATGAGCGGACCCGCACAGTTCAAACCTGTGTTGTTGAGGAGTCAACTATATATTATAATTTAAGAGAGGATTCAACTCTTTCATTCTACTGGCAATGGGTTAACATAAACTTTAGTCAGAACTGCTGAGCTTTTCTGGCACAATGAGGACAAATTGACCAATGTATTTAACCAATAGCTGGGGGAAAATTTTGCTAAAATTGGTAAGTATATCTTTATATAACTATATCCTTACAACTTGTCTCAACCTTCGTCAGATTAATCCTAGCAAAACTGTAAAATGTCTCAGTAAAAATCTAAATGAATTTTTCATAACAAGTGCTGGCAACAGATTTTAAATATGTTCTGATCATTATTTGTCTCTTGTTGGCATGGAGAAAATCCTTTTTTTTTTTTTTTCAGCCTGGGGAATCCCAAACTATATCTCTAGTAACAAGGAAACCATTTTACCGGAATTTTTATTAACTAACATGGAAAAGTTTTGTCAATTAATCAGACTTCACTGTCCATATCACTTTCAACCTTTTCGGAAGGTAGAAAGATGGAATTCTGAAACTAAAGTTGGTAAAGTTCACAGAGATCGTCAAACTTGCATGGTCTAAGGTATTTCTTCTTTCTGTGGTTCATAAGTTAGTAACAGCTAAACCAAGTGTCTAGGAATATTAGCTCTGATTCTAGAAATCTACACTTATTTAACTAAATGCTGTAAGGACTCAGGAAATCCATTCTTTCAACAAAAGTTACTGAAGACTTTCCCCATTAGTATCCTAAACAATGTCTGCAAAATTGGTTTTCATACCTGGATACCTTGTCTTCTAAGAGACACGGCAGGGAAAGATCATAGGAAAAAAGTCAATATCAGGCACAGCTAACAACTAGCAAACCCATAGTCTTTAAAAGACTGATCCTTTGATTCCTATCTCTCAAGTAAAGAGGTTTAGGTCATCTTCATATTACAGGAAAGTATCCCTACCAAAAACTTCTAACTAATGACTCTTAGGATTCTTCCAAAAGCAAATAGTCTTTGGGAGAAGACAGCTTCCATCAAATGCCTTTGGATCAAGTGAATCACTATATGAGATATCGGTATCTGCAAACCAAGATCCACATAAAAAGATCCATTGTTTGTCATATTTAATCTGCATATCTTGAGTTTTCATTTTCCTAGTTAACTTTATCTTTTTATGCTTAAGGTTACATTTAATTACTTTACCTATAAAGCTACTATTCCTAATTCCTCTATGCCGTCCTTAGTCACTCTCTAGAAGAGTCCGGAAGCTGGCCGTAATTTGTTCACAATTTGGCTAAACATGCAGTTGAATCAGTGCTAAGCTGCACACATTTTCCTTAGGATGCCAATTAGAGTTTTTTTTTTTTTAACATCGATTCCTAAATATGAAACTTCTGGGTTTATCAATAATTGGACTATTTATTGTTATTTTATCTGACAAACAGCAGAGTATTAGATAAATAGAAATCTTAAATCCTAACATGCTGCACGCAGGAAAGAAAGCTTATGCCTACAGCAGAACAGCACTTACGGATCTTTAATAGAATGCAACTTCTGTCACTAAACCTTTAGAAAGAAATGTCTTAAAAAGAAGAGAACAAATGGCACATACTTAATTCATTTCTCACATTTACATATCATAAAAAATTCTTATTACATATTCAAGCTCCTATCACATCTACCTCTTCCTCTATGTGATAAGGTCTTCATTTTATATCCCCAAAAGTGATTAATAGCAGAATGGAGCTGAAAGCAATCAATAAACTCAATCAACCTTAATGACTGCTACTGGATTTGTGGTACCAGAACCTATTGATTATTACAGCAATCTTGACATAAACTAACATATTGATGTGGTAGTCAGAATAATGGCTCTTCAGAGATGATGGGGTCCTAATCCAGATAATTTATAAGTTTGTTAGCTTACCTGGCAGGACAGAGTTTGCAAATGCAATTAGAGTTAAGGATTTTGAAATGGAGAGACTATCATAGATTTTAGATGGCCAAATGCAATCGTAAGATTCTTTACATGTAGAAGAGGGAGATATAAAAGGAGAATGTGAAGACTTGCTCCTTCATTTGTAGCTTTGAAGGTGAAGGAAAGGAACTGTTATGAACTGAATATTTGTGTCTCCCTAAAATTAATCTATTGAAGATGATTGGCATTGTTCAAATATTAATATTTTCAATAATCTATTAATTGGCAGTGTGATAGTATCTGGAGATGGAGCTTTTGGGAGGAACCTAGGTTGAGATAATGTCATAAGTGTGGTGTTCTCATGATAATGTTAGTGTTCTTATAAGAAAAGGTGGAGATACTAGACCACCTCCCACCCAACCACCCTTCTCTTTCTCTCTCCATAAACATGTATCCAGGAAAGGCCATGTGAACACAGAGAGAAGGAGGCCATCTACTAACCAGAGAGGGAGTGGGCCCTCACCATGAACCAAATATACCAGCACCTTAATCTTGGACTTCCCAACTTTCAGAACTCTGAGAAATAAACGTCAGTTGTTTAAGTCACCCGGTCTATGGTATTTTCTTACAGTATTCCAAGCTGCCCAAGACAGGGAACATGCATCAAAGAATGCAGCTGGATTCTAAAGCCTGGGAAAGGCCGGGTCATGGATTATTCCACAGAGCCTATAGAAGGAATGCAGTCTTCCAATGCTTTGATTTTAAATCAGTAAGACCTGTGTTGAACCTCTAACCTGGAATACTGCTAGACAATAAATTTATGTTGTTTTAAACTACTAAGTGTATTGTAATTTTTATAACAGCCACAGGAAAATAATACATTTGGCAAATCAGTGCATGTTTCATGATGGTCAATGATATGCCCCAGGGTCCATCTTAGTCATGATTTCTATCCCTTCAAAAACCAAAACAAAATAAAAAAGTAAAACAAAAAGACCAATTTTACCATATAACTTGATTTTTAAAAATATTTTATATTTATTTAATCCATTATATCCAAAATATTGTCATCTCAGCATAAAACAATATTAAAATTATTCAGCTTTACATTTTTTAAACTAAATCTAGTTTGTATTTTACATATAGCGTAAATCAATTCAAATTCACCATATTTCAAGTGTTCAATATCTACATGTCACTAGTAATGACTGTAGTGGACAGAATTGATCCAGATTTCCAGGTGTATTGGTATAAAACTAACCATATTTTTATCTTATTAAAACAAAACAAAACAAAACTCCTCCATAACTATGTCTATGTTCCTTTTGCTTTTATTAACATTGAACATATTCTTGTTTTTAATCTAATTTTGTCTGTATTTAGGTCTATTTTTTGGTGTTGTTATTTCTTGTATGCTTGGCATCAACTTTTTTTGCAATTTCTTAGACTATCTAAACTATTATGCTCTAAGTTTAGCTCAATTTCAATCAGCTACTCACTTTGAAAGACTCATTTAACTCTCTTAAGCCATTCTCCACAAACATGAAAAATCTTCCTCTCACTCTTCCCTGCTGAAACACTGCAAAAGTATGTCAAAATGGTGTACTTTCTTGGCACAGGGTTTCAATAAACTTAGTTTTGCTTTAATAACAAATTATCTGAATATATTTCAGGGAGTTCCACTGGTAAAAGCATAAAATCATGTTAGTTCAGGTCATCTTTTGTAAAGTTATGATTGTGCCATAGTATCAATTCTTGTCAAAATTTATGACTTCAAAATCAACTTAATATGCATCAACATAGATATTTTTTAGTTAATTCTAGACTCCAGGTGCTCATTTAAATAATATGGGTACATAAGACTGAACAAAACCAGTTGCTATTGAATGTACATTCTAGAGAAATACTTCATACACAGCTGTGTTTTGTTAAATAAGGAACTTGATGACATAATCAATATCATGGCAGCATACAACTGTTTGGTTAGTATGTCTCTTTAAACAAGCACATATGCTCATTCATGGAGTGTGTATTTGTATCTGTGTATGGTCTGTGTATGGCTAAAAGGGTCCAAGGCACTACTCAGGCCATTGCTTCAGAGAATACAAGCCTCAAGCTTTGGTGGCTTCCACATGAGGCTGGGCCTGTGGTTGTGCAGACGGGAAGAGTTGAGGTTTGGGAACCTCCATCTAGATTTCAGAGGATGTATGGAAATGCCTGGATGTCTAGGCAAAAGTCTGCTGCAGAAGTGGAGCCCTTATGGAGAACCTCTACTAGGGCAGTGCAGAGGGAAAATGTGGGGTTGGAGCCCCCACACAGATTCCCCACTGGGGCACTCCCTACTGGAGCTTTGAGAAGAGGGTCATAGTGCTTCAGACCCCAGAATGGTAGATCCACTGACAGCTTGCACAGTGTGCCTGGAAAAGTCACAGGCACTCAATCCTAGCCTGTGAAAGCAGCTGTGGGGGCTGTGCCTTGCAGAGCCACAGAGGCAGAGCTGTCAAAGCTCATGGGAGCCCAGATATTGCATCAGTATGCTCTGGACGTGAGAGATGAGGTCAAAGAAGATTGTTTCAGAGCCTTAAGATTTAATGACTGCCTTGTCGGGTTTTGGACTTGCATGGGGCCTGCAGACCCTTTGTTTTGGCTAATTTCTCCCTTATGGAATTGGAGTGTTTACCTGATCCCTGTACCCCCACTGTATCTTGAAATTAACTAACTTGTTTTTGATTTTACAGGCTTATAGGCAGAAGGGATTTGCCTTGTCTCAGATGAAACTTTGGACATGGACTTTTGAGTTAATGCTGGAATAAGTTAAGACTTTCAGTCTGTTGGGAAGGCATGATTGGTTTTGAAATGTGAGAAGGACATGATACTTGGGAGGGGCCAGAGGAGAAATAATATGGCTTGGCCCTCTGTCCCCACCCAAATCTCATCTCAAATTGTAATCCCCTCATGTCAAGACAGGGGCCTGGGTGGAGGTGACTGGATCATGGGAGCAGATTTCCACATGCTATTCTCATGACAGTGAGTGAGTTCCAAGAGATCTGATGGTTTAAAAGTGTGTGGCACTTCCCTCCTTGTGCTCTCTCTCTCCTGGTGCCATGTCAAGAAGAACCTTGTTTCCCCTTTGCCTTCCACCATGATTTTCTGAGTTTCCTGAGTCCTCCCATTCATGCTTCCTGTAAAGCCTGAAGAACTATGAATCAATTAAATCTCTTTTCTTCATAAATTACTCAGTCTCAAGTCATTCTTTATATCATTGTGAAAATTCACTACTACGGTTAGCAATCTTAAAGAATACTTGTGATTTTGAGAATCAGGCACATATTTTTTTAATAATCGGACTGCTTATAATTGTTTAACTCCTTGCAACTTACAGTTAATGCCTAAAACTTTGATGACTTTCATTACATTTCAATGGCTCTGTTCCCTTATAGCAAACTACTTTTACTGTACTTACTGTAACTACAGTGCATTTCTTTTCAGCCCAAATAGTATTCAGTAATAAACATTTCTTCCCACATAAGAATAAGTTATATTCCTATTCACTATATTCTAGAATTTCTATTTTCCTTCCACAGTGCCAGCTAAAATTAAAGTGGAATAATCTATTGGGGCCCTGTGTATTTAATGTTTGTTTTCTTAGTATATTATAAACACTGTGAAGGAAGGAAATCCTTGCCTCTTGTTTATACTTTTATCTCCATTATAGAAACACTCTGCATTATTTTCTTACTGCTGCTGTAGCAAATTACTACAAAGTTAGTGGTTTAAAATAGCACAAATATAGTGTCAAACAATTGTGTTTGTCAGATGTCTGACATGCATCTTATGAGGCTAAAATCAAAGAGTGAGAACTGTTGTGTTCCTTTCTGAAGGTTTTAGGGGAAAATCAGTTTCCTTGACTTTTCCAGCCTCTAGAGGCTGTCCTGATTTGTTAGCTTGTGGTCTTTCATTTGTTCAAACCAGAAATGCTGTATCTCTCTGACCATTCTTTTGAAATCATATCACCTTATGTTTCTAGCCAAGAATGTTTCCCTATTTTAAACCCATTTGATTACACTGAACTCAAAAGGACACTTTTTCATCTTACCATCCTTAACATTATAATACTTGCAAAGCCCCTTTTACCAGATAAAGTTAACATATTCACAGGTTCCAGAAATCAGGACATGCGTTTTTTTTTTTGTTGTTGGTTTGTTTGTTTTGTAAACCATTATTTTGCTTCCTATACTGTCTTAATTGGAGGAAGCAACTTCTTCGAATAGGTGAATTAATTTCAAATTGATAATGTGGTGATTCTGAATGAACATTAAAGAAATCAACTATTACACCAAACATTACTTTATTGAGCTAAACAAATATTAACTGACTATATGAAATTCATTACACATTTGGAGATAGAATTTTGTACTTTTTAATAAGACTTTTTACATTTTGCAATCCTTTTTCTTATTTAAAAAAATCAGTATTGTATTAGTACCCACAATATAAGTTTGTTCTAAGAATCAAATGAGATAAACATTTCAAACACCTATCATAGTATCAAGTTCATATCGTAAGCCTAAAATATCAGATGACTTTTATTATTTTCAGAATGTAGTCAAAATCAACATAAAGTTACATTAACACTTGGTTTACTGTATTATAATGCTAGCTTTGTGTCATATCTATCTAGAGAGTACACTGAATAGCTTAAACCAAGTAGAAGGTGATTTCTTGCTTACATATCAGTTTACCGTTAAGTAATTTTGGCTAAAGACGCATCTTTCCTGCAAAAAATAATTCAAGTTAATGAAGGATCTACTATTACCAAATTGTATCTTCCCAGATTACTTTGTATATATCACCATTCCAGAAGACAAAAGACTACTCATGAAATACAATTTGCACACTTCTTTATATATGAAAAATTCACTTCTCTTCACTGTGTAAACAACTTAAAGTTTTGCCCAGTTACTGCCTACAACTTAAGAGTTCAGGATGTTTCATGACGTGCAGTTCTCTCCCTTAGGCCACTATATGACTTAACGAGGACTAGTGTCCTATAAAGTCAAAACACAAATTATCTGTAAAATCTAAGTTACCATGGTGAAGCTCCTATCAGAAGACAAAGAAGTCTGCATAGCACTGACAAAAATATTTCTGAGCAATACAAATATTTATTCGATGAAACCATAAACATGTCCTGTGGAAATAACTTTAAGGTCCATTGTCCCTGTGGCTCATAGATTTACTTTCTGAGGTAATTTACATTTTCTCTTATTCTCCATGCCTCCATCTTAAAATTAGAACAATGAGTGTTTTCTCAGCATGACTAATCAATTGCACTGATTAGTGCAATTTGGGATGCTTGAGGATATTTTAAGCCTTAATTTTTTTTCTCACAATAGGCTTATTATACCTTTGCCCAGTAGTTATGTGGAAAACATTTATTTATTTATTGCATCTAGTTTATAACCAAACATACAGTTCTTTCCTAGGTATAATTCTAAAGTCTGCCTCATTTCCTTCTTTTTTCTCCTCCCCAACACACATATGCTTCTCTGACTGTAAAGATGACCACTTTAAGGTCATTTGAAATCATAGACTTGAAAGAGAAAACAACTTCCCTGATTAGTTCTTTGCTTCAGGGCTGGGTTCCTTGTTTTTTATGAACACAGTAGGATTTAATTTCTGAGCAGCTTTTTCAACCTAATCAGAAAAACCTGAGCTTTTCTGTCACTGGATAATTCCACCATTACTAGACTTTTTGTTCACAAGTGGTTTCCAACAAGGAATGATTTTGTTTCCACAGAACACTTGTCAGTGTCTGGAGACATTTTGAATTATAATGATTAGGTGGTGATGCTACTGGTATGTGGTGGTATAGCCTAGAGATACTATTAATATCCTACAATGCAAAGAATAACCTCCCACAGAATGCAGGAATATCAGGCATAAAATGTCAATAATGCTAAGGTTTAGCAACTCAACTCTATCCACTTTCTTTCCACTCTAAAGACAGGATATTTCTTTTTCTTTTTTTTTTTTTTTTTTTGCCTGTGTTTATCTATTTCTTGGATTATGGAACAGAACAAACACGAACACATTACCTTTTGCCTTTCCTCATTTCCCACACTCTTTCCTAGAGGTAATATTAAGCTTCCAATTAATTTTAGATGGTAGTTTCAATAATTTTTTTTCACTGGGTATTACAAGTCTTCATTTCAACCCTCTGAGTTTGGTTTACTTGTCCATTTAATACTAATTTAGTGGATATGTTTTAGGTGCTGTTATAGCAGACCCAACTCAAGCTGGTGATTTCTATATTACTTGGAATAGTGCTAGTTGCTTTGACAACTACACTCAACAACATATAATATCTTAAACAGAACAGAAGTTTCATTCATATAAACTGTTTTTTTAAGATAGGAAAAGCATTGCTCCTTTATGTCCGCATTCAAGAACATAGGCTACTAAGGTATTTAATCTGCAGTATGTTGCTTCCAAGACTACTGTAGAATTGGCCACTCCAGTCAAGCATACTGAAAAACGTATACAGAAGAGTGCATGTTGGGATTTTGGAGACTAAGTTGGATATAAAATATGTTATTTCTACTAATTTTCCACTATTTTGACTTTAATCCCATGCCCTAATATAAAGTATATAAGAATGAGAAATATAGTTTATGTATCTATCAAAATAGAACATAAATGTTTGTGAACATTTGAATCTGTCAGCTTCTCTTGCTCACGTGCCTGTAGTGCCTGTACTCGGGATGCTGAGGCAGGAGAATCGCTTGAACCCAGGAGGTGGAGGTTGCAGTGAGCTGAGGTCACATCACTGCACTCCAGCCTGGGCAACAGAGCGAGACTCCATCTCAAAAAAAAAAGAAGAAGAAAAAGAAGTGACTCAACTGATTGATGTGTAAAACCTCATTGTAAAATAATGTTCTATAAATGAGACATTAATACAGTTAAATTTTTGGATTAAAAAAGTCTGCCACTTTGTGAATATGTTTTATTTAGGCTTGATTTAGTTAATTTTCTTTTTTCTTTTTTCTTTTTTTTTTTTTTTTTTTTTTTGAGGAGTTTCACTGTTGCTGCCCAGGCTGTAGCGCAGTGGTGGGATCTCGGTTCACTGCATCCTCCACCCCGCCAGGTTCAAGTGATTCTCCTGCCTTAGCCTCCTGAGTAGCTGGGATTACAGGCACCCACCACCATACCCAGCCAATTTTTTGTGTTTTTAGTACACATGGGGTTTCACCGTGTTGGCCAGGATGGTCTTGAACTTCAGACCTCAGGTGATCCGCCCACCTTGGCCTCCCAAAGTGCTGGGATTACAGGCATGAGCCACCGCACCCAGCCAGTTAATTTTTCTATTAACTAAGACCTAATTAAGATTGAGGCAGAAGAAATGGGTCCTTGGGATTTGAAAAGTAGTATTCAATTTGGAAGTTTAATTTGCAACATAGATTGTTTGTTATTAAATTACTAGATATAGTATCACAAAGGCGGAAAGAAAGGTTGCTTAGTTAAAGATCTAAGTTACTAGTCATGGTGTCAGATATAGAGAATGATTGAAGGTTATTAGAGTCACACACCAGATGAGTAAATTGTTGTTTTCAAGGAAGAGGTTACATAAAGGTAAGCGGAGTAATATTTTAGCATTTTTGTTAATTAAAAATTTGTAAAGTTATTTCCATTTCAAGGAAATTACTCTCAGTAATTTTACGGGTAAAATGACAAATTCCAAGTTTAATTTTCACACGTAACACCCTCCTTGAGCACTTATTTTTATAAAGCTATTAGTCTATTTTGGTCTCAATTTACCTTTCTTTAAAGAGATGTTAAAATTTTCTGAAAGAAGTTGAGATCTGGAAGTGTAGCTGTGCTATTTTTCAATTTTTAATTACATATTTAATTATCCTTTAATTACTTAAGGTTATTCTCAAAAGTGAAGAGATAGCTGGGATCACACTGCATAAGATTTTACTCCTGAATGTAATATTCAAAAATGTTACAAAGTCTATCAAAGAGGTTTTCATTCTGCGACAATAGATGGTCAATTTGACATGGTCAGGAAGCACCACCCCCACTGAGAGATACCAAATTATGGAGTAAACCACCATAATTTAGGCAGATCTTGAGAGAGAAAATGCTGAGTGGATGGAGAGGCCTGAAGCAATGAAGCTGAGCTGAAGAGGGAGGAAGCCTGTGCAGGGAACCCAAACACTACAGCTAGTTCCCCAGAATGGCTCCTAGGAAAGGGCCTCTGCCTGAGAGAGACCTGTGGCCTAGAACACCTAACACAAGAAACACAGTGATTGCAGGAGACTCCCCCAGGGCCCAGGAGCAGATCTGGTGATGGAGGCATCTCTCCCACCCCCACTATAGAGCACACCTGCAAACAAAAGGAAGTATAAAACAGCCAAGCCACTGGGTATTAGGCTAGCCACTGGCCATCACTCTTAAGCACCATGCATTGGATCACATCCCAAACTACAACATCAAAATTTATCCTGCTACATATACACCTGTGAAACCAAACACAAGAATTACTCATACATAAAAATCCTGGACAGAGACAGCCCTGACCCTTTGAAAGCATCCAGAAACAAAACCAATTGCCTATACTCAACATACACTACAGTTAAAGGAACACTAACCCTACCAGAAGAGAAAAAATCAGTGCAAGAACTCTGGCAATTCAAAAAGCTAGAGTGTCCTCTTACCTCAAAATTAGCCCACTAGCTACCAAGCAATGGTTCTTAATCAGTCTAAAATAATTGCAACAGACATAGAATACAGAACCTCGATGGCAGGGAAGCTCATGAACATTAAGGAGAAAGTTGAAACCCAATCCAAGTAATCCAGTAAAGCAATCTAAGTAAGTGCTGAAAGATGAAACTGCCATTTTAAAAAACAGCCACACTGAATTTCTAGAGCAGAAAAAATTCAGTATAAGAATTTTATAATACAATAAGAAATATTAACAGAAGGTAGGCCAAGCTAAGGAAAGAATCTCAGAGCTCAAAGACTGGTTCGTTCAATCAACTGAGTCAAAAGAAAATTTTAAAAAAGAATTAAAAAAAGAAAATGAACCAAAGCTTTAAGAAATATGGAATTATATAAAGAGACCAAATCTACGACTCATTGTCATTCCTAGAAGAGAAAGAAAGAGAAAAGGCAACTTGGAAAATAGATTTGAGAATAGAGTCTATGAAAATTTTCCTAACCTCGCTAGAGAGAGTGACATGTAAATCCAAAAAATACAGCAAACCCAGCTAGGTACTATAAAAGGTGACTATCCCTAAGGTACATAGTCATCATATTCACCAAAGTAAATACAAAAGAAAAAAAAATCTTAAAGGCAGCTAGAGAGAAAGGTCATGTTTTCATACAGCAAGAACTCCACTAGGCTAGTAGTAAATATCTCAGCAAAAACCTTACAAGCCAGAAGAGATTAAGAGCCTATGTCCAACATCATTAATGAAAATAAATTCCAGGCAAGAATTTCATATTTCACTAAACTAAACTTCCTAAGTGAAGAAGAAACAAATTTCTTCTCAGATAAGCAAATACTGAGGGAGTCAATTTCAACTTGACCAGCCTTATGAAAGGTCCTTAAGGGAGTGCTATACATTGAGTAAAAAGAATGACACCTGCTACCACAAAAACCCACTTAAGTACATAGCTCACAGGCACTATAAAGTATCTACACAATCAAGTCTACCTAAAAACCAGCTACAAACGTGATGATAGGATCAAAATCTCATGTATCAACATTAACCATAAATGTAAATAGGCTAAACACCCCACTTAAATGACGTACAATGGCAAACTGGATAAAAATGCAAGGCTCACCATCTGTAGTCTTCAAGAGACTCATCTCATATGTAATGACAGCCACTGGCCCAAAATAAGGGGACGGAGAAAATCTGCCATGCAAATGATAACAAAAAAGCAGGAGTAACTATTCTTATATCAGATAAAACAGACTTTAATCAAAATTAAAAAGAACAATTGAAGAATGAAGAGCATTACGTCATGAGAAAGTATATGATCAAACAAGAATACTTAAGTACCCTAAATATAAATGCACCCAACATGGAGCACCCAGATTCATAAAACAAGTTCTTTTTGGACTACAAAAAGACAGACGACCACCCAATAATTGTAGGAGACTTCAACACCCCCGCTGGCAGCATTGGATCATCAAAGCAGATAACTAAGAAAGAAACTGTGTACTTAAACTTCACACTTGACCATTTGGACCTAATAAGACATCTACAGAACACTCCACTCAATAACCACAGAATATACATTCTTCTCATCTGCACAGGGAACATATTCTAACATTGACCACATGCTTGGTCATAAAGCAAGTCTGGATAAATTTTAAAAAATGAAATCATATCAAGCACACTCTTAGATCTCAATGTAATCAAAATATAAATAAATATCAACATCTCTCAACACTACACAAATAGATGAAAAGAAAATCAAACAACTTTCTCCTGAATAACTTCTGTGTGAAAATCAAAATTAAGGGAGAAATTTTAAGAAAGTGAAATTAATGAAAATGGGAACACAAATTACCAAAATCTCTGGGATGCAGCTAAATCAGTGTTAAGAGGAACGTTTAAATGCCTTTATCATAAAGTTAGAAATATTTCAAATTAACAATCTAACACTACACCTAAAGGAACTAGGGAAAAAAAAAAAGAACAACCCTACATCAACGCTAGGAATGAAAAGAAACAACTAAAATAGAGAAGATCTGAATGAAATTGAGATGCAAAAATCCTACAAAAGATTAATGAAACCCAGAGTTGATTTAAAAAAAGAGATTGATAGACCTTTAGCTAGATAAACAAAGAAAAAAAAGAGAAGATCTAAATATATAAATCAGAATGACAAAAACGACATTAAAAATGGTCCCACAGACATACAAAATAATCCTCAGAGAATACTAGGAATAACTCTAGACACAAAAATTAGAAAATCTAGAGGAAATGGATAAATTTCTGAAAACAGGCAATCTTCCAAGATTGAATCAGGAAGATACTGAAATACTGAAGAGACCAATATGAAGCTCTGAAATTGAATAAGTAATAAAAAATCTACCAAGCCAAAAAGCCCTGGACTATATGGATTCACAGCAAAATTCTACCGGAAGTATAAAGAAGAACTACTACAATTCTACTGAAACTATTCCAGAAAAGTTGAAGAGAACGTACTCCTTCCTAACTCATGCTGTGAAGCCAGAATCAGCTTAATACCAAAACCTGGCAGAGACGCAAAAAAAAAGAACATTCAGGTGACCACTGTTGACGAACATAGACTCAAAAATTCTCAACAAAGTACTAGCAAACTGAATCCATCAGCAGCGTATCAAAAAATTAATCTACTATGACAATACAGGCTTTATTCCTGGGATGCATGGCTGGTTCAACATATGCAAATCAATAAATGTGATTCACCAGATAAACAGAATTAAATCAAAAACCATATGATCATCTCAATGGATGCCGGAAAAGCTTTCAATTAAATCCAGTGCCCCTTCATGAAAAAACAAAACAAAAAAAAAACCCTCAACAGTTGAGGCTTCAAATAAGCATACTTCAAAATAAAAAAGAGCTATCTACAACAAACCCACAGCCAATATAATACTCAATGGGCAAAAGCTGAAAGCATTCTCCTCTAGAAATGAAACAAGCCAAGGACATCCACTCTTACCACTCCTATTCAACATAGTACCAGAAATCCTAGTCAGAGCAATCTCGCAACAGAAAAAGAGAAAAGCACCCAAATAGGAAGTAAAGATTAAGGCAAACTATCTGTCTTCACCCAACAATATCATTCTATACCTAAAAAACCTTAAAGACTTCAACAAAAGTCTACTAGAAATGATAAAGGATTTTAGCAAGGTTTCAGGATACAAAATCAATGTACAACAATTAGTAGCATTTCTATACAACAACAACATCCAGGTTGAGAGTTAAATTAAGAACACAATCATATTTACAACACCTAGGATGAAAATAAAATCCCTGCAAATACAACTAACCTAAGATGTGAACGATCTCCACAAGGAGAATTACAAAACACAGCTGAAATCTGAAGCTGGATGCAGTGGTTCATGCCTTTGGGAGGCCGAGGCAGGTATATCGCTTGGACCCAGGAGTTTGAGACCAACCTGGGCAACATAGTGGAACCTCATCTATACAAATTTTTTTTTTTTTTTAAATAGCGAGGCATGGTGGCACATGCCTGTAGTCCTAACTACCCTGACGGCTTGAGGCCAGGAGTTCAAGCCTGCAGTGAGCTATAGTAACTCCACTGCATTCCAGCCTGGGTGAAAGGGTGAGGCCCTGTCTCAAAAAAGGAAGGAAATAAGAAAAGGAAGGAAGGATGGACGGAAGGGAGGAAGGGAGGGAGGGAAGGAAGGAAGGAAGGAAGGAAGGAAGGAAGGAAGGAAGGAAGGAAGGAAGGAAATTTTGATAACACAAATAAATGGAATAACATTCCATGTTTACAGATTAAAAGAATCAATATTGTTAAAATGGCCATACTGCCCAAAGCAATTTGTAGATTCAAGGCTATCTCCATGAAACTACCAATATCTTTCTTCACAGAATTAGAAAAAAACTACTCTAAATTTATATGGAACACCCCCAAAAGCCAGAATGGCCAAAGCAATTCTGAGCAAAAATAATAAAGCCAGAGAGGCATCATACTACCCAATTTCCAGCTATACTATAAGTGTACACTAACCATGATACTGTTACAAAAGCAGACACTTAAGCCAATGGAACAGAATAGAACACTCAAAAACAAAGCTGCACACTTACCACCATCTGGATCGTGGACAAGGCCAACAAAAACAAACAATGGGGAAAAGGCACCCTATTCAATAAATGGTGCTGGGATAATTCGCTAGCCATAAGCAGAAGAGTGAAACTGGATGCTTACCTTCCACCATACACATAAATTAATTCAAGATGGATTAAAGGTTAAAATGTAAGACTTCAAATTATGAAAACTCTAAAACAAAACCTAGGAAATATTTTTCTCGACATTGGCCTTGGCAAATAATTTTTGGCTAAGTTTCTAAAAACAATTGCAACAAAAACGAAATTGACAAGTGAAAGTCAATCAAACTAAAAAGCTTCTGCACAGCAATAGAAACTATCCACAGAGTAAACAGACAACTTACAGAATGGGAGAAAATATTTGCAAACTATGCATCTGATAACGATCTAATATAACAAATCCATAAGGAAGAAAAAATGACAAGCATAAAACAACCCCAGTTAAAAAGGGCAAAGCTAATACAGGAGCAGAAAATCAAACTCCGCATCTTCTCACTTATAAGTGGGAGCTGAACAATGGGAACACATGGACACAGGGAGGGGAACAACACACAATGGGGAACAACACACAACACACACTATAATTTTCTGTAGGGGGTTGAGGAGAGGGAGAGCATCAGGAAAAATAGCTAATGCATGCTAGGCTTAATACCTAGGTGATGGGTTGACAGGTGCAGCAAACCACCACCACACACGTTTATCTATGTAACAAAACTGCGCTTCCTGCACATGTACCCCAGAACTTAAAATTTAAATCAAGAAAAGGCAAAGGACACGAACAGATATTTTCTCAAAAGAAGACACTCAAGTATATGAAAAAACACTCATCCTCACTAATCAGCAAATAAATAAATGCAAGCAAAAACCACAGTAAGATGCCATCTCACATCAGTCACAATAGCTATAATTAAAAAGTAAAAAAATTAGATGTTGGCCAGGCTGCAGAGTAAAGGGAATGCTTATACACTACTGTTGGTGGAAATGTAAACTGGTTCAGGTACTGTGGAAAGTATTTTGGAGATTTCTCTAAGAACTTAAAACAGAGATACCCTTCGACCCAGCATTCCCATTACTGGGTATATATTCAAAGGAAAATAAATTATTCTACCAGAAAAATATATATGCACTCGTATGTTCATCAGCATGTTATTCACAATAGCACAGACACGGAATGAACCTAGGTGCCCATCAACGGTGGACTGGATAAAGAAAATGTGGTACATATACACTATGGAATACTATGCCTCCATAAAAAAGAATGAAATTATGTCCTTTGCAGCAACATGGATGGAGCTAAGGACATAATCCTAAGCAAATTAGTGCTGGAAAAGAAAACCAGATACCACACATTCTCACTTATAAGTGGAACCTAAACATTGAGCACACAGGAACATTAACATGGGAACAAGACATGCTGCAGGCTATGGGGGTGGGGGAGAGAGGGGAGCATGGGCTGAATAACTACCTACTGGGTACTATGCTCACTACCAGGGTGCACTGTACAAAAGTAACAAATCTGCATATGCACTATCTGTGTCTGAAAAAAACTGAAATTATAAAAACCAAGAGAATATGTTTCTAATGAAGGTAGACTTTATTTGATGGACTGGATTAGAATATAATATTTTTTAAGGGGGAAGGCATTGGGGGATGCACAATGTCTACAGGTTTCTAAATCTCTCTGGTTTCTCACCTAATTCATAGTCTCTTATGTCATTTTCATAGTTTTCATATTCTGCCTTTCCACCTCTTCTTTTTAACAAGTAAAATTCCTCATAGCATACAAAAAACCAATTTTATAAAAAACCCATATTATCGATCAGGGACCTGTGGATTATGTGCTATTAGAACCATACAAAATGTCTCTATATAGTTTTCTGTATCTTTGGAATATCTTTGGGTGAAGCTGCAGACCTTCTTGGTGAGTGTTACAGCTCTGCGCAGAGCCAAACAGTGAGCAGCAGCAAGATTGCAAAGAGCAAAAGAACAAAGCCTCCACACTGTGGAAAGGGACCCTAGCACGTTGCTGTTGCTGGCTCTGGCAGCCGCTTTTCTTCCCTTATCTCACCCCACCCACATCCTGATGATTGGTCCATTTCATAGAGAGCTGATGGGTTCATTTTACAGAGAGCTGCTTGGTCTGTTTACAATCCTTTAGCTAGACACAAAAGTTCTCCAAGTCCCCACCAGATTAGCTAGACACAGAGCACTGATTAGTGCGTTCACATACCTTGAGCTAGACACAGCATGCTGATTGGTGCATTTACAATCCTCCAGCTAGACGTAGTAAGTTCTCCAAGTACCCACCGGACTCAGGAGCCCAGCTGGCTTTGCCTAGTGCATCCCGGCCGCGGGCGGAGCTGCCCGCCAGTCTCTGGCGCGCTGCCGCACTCCTCAGCCGTTGGGCGGTTGACGGGACCGGATGCCGCGTAGCAGGAGGTGGCGCCCGTCCCCTCGGGGTGGCGCGCGGGAGCCCGCGGTTGGGGGGCGGGGGGCAGGGGACGGGGGCGGGGAGCAGGGTGAGGGCTCCAGCATGGCAGGCTGCAGGTTCCGAGCCCTGCCCCCTTGCCCCGCGGGGAGGTGGCTGAGGCCCAGCGAAAATTCGAGCGCGGCGCCGGCGGGCCATCACTGTTGGAGGACCCAGTGCACCCTCCGCAGCTGCTGGCCCGGGTGCTAAGCCTCTCACTGCCCAGGGCCGGCGGCGCCAGCCGACCGCTCAGAGTGCGGGGCGCGCCGAGCCCGCGCCCACCCGGAAGTCGCGCTGGACCTGCGAGCACCGCAGGCAGCCCAGGTTCCGGCCCGCGCCTCTCCCTCCACACCTCCCCGCCAGCAGAGGGAGCCCGCTCAGGCCTCAGCCAGCACAGAGAGGGGCTCCCACGGTGCAGCTGCGGGCTGAAAGGCTCCTCAAGCGCGGTCAGAGTGGGCTGAGGCCGAAGAGGCGCCGAGAGCCAGCGAGGGATGCCAGCAAGCTGTCACCTCTCAGAAATACAGGAAGAACATCAATAATGTTCGAAGTTATAAAGTAGGTTTCTATCAAGAATAAAACATAAACGATCAAAGAATTCCTTATAAAAACATTTTTTATTTCTAGGAATCAAAACATAAATATAAAATTTGAGAGTCCACCAAAAAAAATTAGATGCCAGATTTCACTATAATTATCAGGGAAGCGCCCAAACGGGTTGTTTACGGCGCCTCGGGGAAACTTTCTGTTTCGTGTTAAGGGTCTTGAACCATGATGTTTAGAAAACCATGGGCTGATGCTTTCAGAACCTCTGTGATTGTTGCCTCTGACACTGCATCCAATAGACTAGCATGTTGATTAGGGAAAGCTAAATTCAATAAAATACGACTGTAAGTGGGGTCACCACCTTGAGGGGTTATGTTAGAAAAGTAGATGATAAGGTGGTATTGATAGAGTATTGAAGTCTGGGCTCAAATGGTTGCCCGGGGCCTTTCAAGACCAATGACTGACAAGAATAGGTAATGTTCAGGACATAGAGTTTAGGATTGGGGGACACTGTGAGTTAAGGGCCATGACAGAAGTCTTCATAAGTAAACTGTTACTGGCACAAGCTGCTACCTGCCCAGGTGAGCAATCTGTTGGCCCAGAGGAGAGTTGCTTACTGACATAAATTGATTTGCAGAAATTTCCTGAAGCAAACAATAAGTTATTTATAGGTTTGCAGCCTTACTTTCCTGGAAAAATACTTTTCTGGAATGAATTGTGAAATCATGTTGACACAGATGGCCTCAGGTTTCAGTTCGGATAATTAAGCTGTGTAAATATAGAAAGTCTAAGGTTTCTGTGTGCTGTTGATTCACAGTATGCAACAATGATCATATTACTTTTATTTACTATGAGCTTCAGCTGAAAGTCCAAAAGAAACTTTAATTTCAGATATTTAATGAAATCATTATAGCTGTGGTAATTTCCTTTAGCTGGGTGTGAGTGTGTGATGTGAGCGTGTGATGTGTGTGTGTGTGTGTGTACTCTGGCAGCATATTCCAAATAATTTCTGTAAAATTTCAGTTTGAAATTAATAGAAGACATATTAAGTTGTTTAAACTCTTTGTTATTTAAATTCTATATTACTTTAGTTGATTACTCTGTATTATTACGGCAAAGCTTTGATATGTTGCCCTGAATTTAAATGAAAAGGCTGTTCGGCATAAAAACAGGAATATTTTATTACCAAAAAGAATTAACTACCATATGTCATTTACAGAAAAGAGTAAATTCTTCAGGGCATAGAAAATACACATTTCCTTCTGTTTGTGTGGAAATAAGCAAAATACCTGTTATAATAGATTCCTCACAGAATTTTGTGAAGCTTCAGGTAAACTTGAAAGAGAAAAATTAAAATTCTAGAGTTTCATAATTACAAATTGGGATATAAAAATAGAATAATTATTTGAATTTTGTATTTCTCTCCAGGGGATCAAAAGTAATATATAAACTTTTAATAAATATTGATATAGCTTCACGTTGACTCCATATGTGAGCAATTTGCTTTCTGTTAAATTCACAATTGCATAATTTTTTTCAGGCTGGAATGCACTTGGATGCCAGAGATTTTGATTTCTTAATGTGAAATAAGGTGATAATACATTCCAAAGTATATATTTTTTCAACTTTGAATATATCTGGTGTATTTGGAGTAATATCTGAGTAAATACACTTATATGTAAGAGAATCAAAGGAACAAGATATTATTTTATATCCAAGGAAATTAAAACACTTAGAACATAAATACGTATTGCATTACTTCATATTAAAGAAATGTTTTACAAAAGAAAATAAAAGAGCTTATTTTATAGCCCCATTTCCACAAATAATAGCAAAGGTACATATATCTGATGTTTTACACACTCATTATTGTTTCTCTTAAAATTTGTTGCTTATACTATTTTAAAAAGCAAGCCTATAGATTGTTGTGTGTATATACATATACACACAACATATATATATGTGTATATATATATATATATATATATATAGCAGCAAGCAAGAGAATGGGCCTCTTCCTACTGAGGTTTAACATTTGCATGCATATGTATATTTTGATTCACATAGACTTATTGTTCTTTAATTACGTGAACAGTGATTCCTGGTTACATTATTGGAAAATGGAAGCAATGCTCAAAGAGCATCACCTAAATTTCCATCATATTTTGCTCTCAATATATTTTGTACATCCAAATATATTGTGATTAATCTGCATACATTTTTGCTGTTCTAGGTGACGCTGATATGAGGCTAGGTAATACACGACCTTAGTCTGCATGTTGTACTTGTGTAACACACATAATTTTACAGTGCTAACAGGTGCTATAATAACTAACTATAGTTAATGATGAATGAAAGAAGGAAGATGTTAAGATGTTAGGGAAGGACTCAAAAGATGCAGTGCTTGAGTTAGAATTTTAAGGGAGATTATGCAAAAGCAGTCACTTAAGGTGGGTTGGGATAATCTAGAATGTGGGAATGATGTATGCAAAGTCACACAGGAGAGATACAGCATGCATGTTTAGAAAATTGTTGATTACATATGGAAAGTTTGCAGGACTTGCATCCTAGAATGTCAGGATTTTAAGCTAAGTAGGGTTCAAATTAAATTTTTCACATACTTCGCTGCATTATAATAACTAGTTTATATTTAACTCATCCACTAAACTAAGTTATTTGAAAAGAGATGCCAGTGTTCACTCAATCTAGTTGTCTGTCATTAATAATTTAAAAATAATTGAGATTTTAATTTTGGTCTGCTAAGCCTGTTTAATTAAAATTTGACATTAAATAAGATTTTACAGGGCCTGTAATTTTTTTTTTCAGTCATCACAGTTTGAATATTAAACATTACTACTTTTATCTCCCTCAGTCAGCATAAAACATACTACTTATGGTTTTAATAATCAAATTCAATGAGCACCAACAAAATTTGATGTAACTATTAACTTTGAAATTTTATTGAAATAGAACTATGCCTTGGGTATCATTCAAAGCATTTAATTGTTGCAATAAAAAACTTTGAGATAAATTGAAATGATGGACAATATGGGTCGAAAGCAACATTGGCTTGAGGGAATAGGCTAATGTTTGAGAACGGAATTGTTAAGGACAAGATTGGATGTTTATATTATTTTAGGAAAGATACACTCTAATGGAGTTTAATTCTAAAATGTTTAATATTATGAAAATATTATATATTATATGATCATTATAGAAAATTAAATATATAAGAACATCAGAAGCAAAATAGTCAAAGTCTACCTAAACCCAATTAGAAGTGAATACTATTAATCTTGATTTGCATGTTTCTAATCTTATTATTATCAAATTAATAAACAGCTTTCAGATATTCTGCTTCTCCCTGTTACTAGATCAGGATAATGTCATTTATGTACAGGCATCTCCTGCTTACTCAGTTCAGCATTGATCAATAAATATTTTAGACTTCCATTCAAAACACTTCCATTTTTCTTTTGCCCATATTCTTTTTATTCAGTGCTACCTATTTTCAAATACACAACACTTTGTCAAACAAATTCCAACATTAGATTGGATCTAGTTGGTATCAAAGTAGTAATACACATTGCCATTCCTAATCCTCAATGCATTGATCCTGAAAATTATTTGTAAGAATAGAAAAATACTGGATATTTCAAAATAAGTCTCATTTTGTTGCTTACACATGAAAGACTGGAATTAACCAACATAACCATTACAAGGTGATTGAGCAAATGAATAGATGGAAAATATTATAGAAACTTTACTGCAGTTCATCAACCATTGTGGTCGTTAGGCCATAGGAAAATACAGTGTGATAGTACCCTTGTCTTCTTTTCCATTTGTTAAGTCTCATATCCAAATAACAGTGGATAGACCTTATGAGAATACAAAGTGAGATAAAAATAATTTTTGGCTTTTCAATGTATCTTATTTGATCTAAGAGGTATTTCCCCGACTTTGATGCAATAATTATTGTCACAAAATTTGACTTTATTAAAGACCATTTTAAGGATCTTTGCAGCTGACAGCAGTGACTTTTTTACCTCCTACAAAGTTTCAACTGACAGTCTTATTGTCTCTGACTTTCCCAAATTAATGACATAATTAGTCACCAGGGCTTTGGCTGCTCAATAGGGATTTAGTAAGCAATGAGTCATATGTTGGGGAACACTTCAACAAACAAAATGTTGGCAGAGAAAGATGTATGAATCAGCTAGGAAGAAACACTATTCTATCATTGAGGATCTTTCTAATATTAGATATCACAGAAAAATTTTCATATAGATTACCATATAAGTGAGCCAAAATCTCTAGGAACAAAAAAGCTTTGTATAATTATAACTCCTTGCCATGATTTAACTTAAAATTTCTTTACTTATTTAGCAATTCTATAAACAAGAATCATTTCTGTTAAGGATACTAAGGAGACTGTTCCTATTGAATCAGAACATTTAAAAGAAATAATTGAGGAACTCACACATGTAAAACGTCATTAACCAAACTAAAATAAAATGTGAGGGCATAAACTTAACCAGAAATGTTTAAAACCTATATAAAAAAAAAACTAGAAAACACTTCTGAATGGCACAAATTTGGACTTGAGCACGGGGAAAGAAATTCCATGCTCTTGAAAAAGCCTTAAAATCATAAATGTGCCAGTTCTTTAAATAAACTTATATCTTCTGTGTCATAACAAACAATATTTTCTAGAATTTCTTTTTCCAGATTTAGAAAAATAGACAAATTTACTTGGAGGAATAAAGAAGCAAGAATAGCTAGAAATAGCCTATAAAATCAATGGAATTTGGAGTCAATACAAAATATTAAGCAATTCTTAAAGCTTCTATGATTAAAATGAGTTATAAATACAGATAGATGAAGATCATATAGAAAATCAAGACATTGACAGATATGGAAAGGTGGTATATAATGAAAACATTTCAGATCAATGAGGGGGAAATGTTAACTGGAAAAGAATATTAAAAAGGCAATGAACTCAATAAGACAACAAGAAGCAAACCACAGAAAAATAACTGGACTGGATTAAAAAGAAAATATTTTAGACACTTCAAAAATAAAATATTCAAATAACCAATGAACTTATTAAAAGGTTTTCATTTATATTGGTTATCTGAAAAAAAAATTCAAACCACAATGAGATGTAAGTACTTGTCATTCAGAATCCTGAATTTGAAAGGAATATTTTAGAATTCTAAGTTGAAGAGAAAATGCAAAGTTTTGATGAGAATGTTGACTAGTTAGAACACTCAAATTGATGTTATTGGCATAGCTTAGTTCAAATAATTTGGATAAAGATATGTATTAGGCCCCAAAATTCTACTTGTAAAGATGGTTTCTCCAGAAATGCATGCATATATATAGCTAAAAAAAAATGTGTACTCATGAAAACACTTTTCAGAATAACACCAAAATAACCCCAAACTGTGGGCCAAAAGTGGACTAAAATACTTATAAAGAGTACAGTAAACAAATAAGTTGTAATATGATCACCTAATAAAATATTAGAGAAATAAATGTAAATAGTTTCATTTGCAGGTCATATAATCAATTAGTCTCACAAATAAAATATTAAGCAAAAAAATGTGGTTCAAAACACTACACACACTATTTGATTCCTTACTGGTAAAAGTTAGAATAGTGTTATGTTAGGAGGGATGGGTGGAAATCAGGTGTGTGACTATTACATTTTCTTATTCTGGATGATCATAGTATTTTAAAACTCACTAAGCTTTAAACTTATGTGCATTTACCCATGTGTATACAATACTTTAATAGAAGCTTCAAATCAATGAGAAAACATAAAACTGTCTGATGGAAAAATAGCTTGAGGAAATGAACAGGTATAGCAGAAAAGAAGGGCTGCATATAGTTTAAAAACTTGAAGAGATGTTTAATCTCTTTGCAAATAGAAAAACTACGCATTTAAATTGAAATACCATTTTCATGTTCCAAAATTAAAATTATTAGAAATATGATGGTATACAGTGATGGTAATATGGGAGAAAGGAAACGTCCTAGGCAATTTGGATAAGCTTTTCTGAGAAAGATTTAGGCAATATGCCATTAAGATTTAATGTGAACAAATATGCCATTAAGATTTAATTTGCCCACATAAATTTCCCATTTGGAAATATTTGGAAAGATATTCTATTTTTCAAAATTTAATCTGGGCCGGGCGCGGTGCCTCACGCCTGTAATCCCAGCACTTTGGGAGGCCGAGGCGGGTGGATCATGAGGTCAGGAGATCGAGACCATCCTGGCTAACAAGGTGAAACCCCGTCTCTACTAAAAATACAAAAAAATTAGCCGGGCGCGGTGGCGGGCGCCTGTAGTCCCAGCTACTCGGGAGGCTGAGGCAGGAGAATGGCGTGAACCCGGGAAGCGGAGCTTGCAGTGAGCCGAGATTGCGCCACTGCAGTCCGCAGTCCGGCCTGGGCGACAGAGCGAGACTCCGTCTCAAAAAAAAAAAAAAAAAAAAAAAAAAAAAAAAAAATTTAATCTGAAAATACCTAAGCCCCTGATATTTTTCTAAAAACTGGAATGTCCCTGTGGTCATTGGGTTTTAGAGACATAATTTTCACTGTGATGGTCATAATTTTAAAAGGTTGCATCATCCATTTTTAGTTAACATATATTGTACTAACATCACATATCTATGTAATAGAAAAATAGAGTCAATTCATTTAGGGACAGACATGAAAATGACAAATACATATAGAGATAGAAAGGTATCTTGTGCATTATACTGAGAAAGACAATAGAAATAAACAATTTACATGGGTTGATTTATTTTGATTAAGATATATAAGTGGTTAGATAAATGTTAAATAGGTCAGTATGTAATTACAGAAAATGACAAATTGTTATGTATGGTACATTTGCAGGCATAACACAGACATTACATTTTGGAAAATTGTGTTCTATGCAACAGTGCCAAGTCTAATGAAAGTAAGAGGAAGAGGAATTCAGCCAAAGTACCAACCCCTGTTATCCATTCCTTAAGAAAGGAACTCCTTTATACACTCAAAAGAGGGGATTCTTTTTAAATCTGTTTCCAGAGGGGCATCTGCATACACATACACATACACACACACACACACACATTTACATTATATTTAAATGTGTGTGCATGATATATACATGTATTTATTTATTTAATATATATGTGTTATCCGGGTCCTATATAGGAACACACACACACACACATTTTGAATCAAACACTCTTTCGTATAATTTTGGTGACAAATGTATGCAATAAATGAGAATACTTTAACTTTCCAAAAAGCTATTCAAAAGTATAATTTTCAAATAAAATATATGTTTGTATGACAACAAATGATTTTTTATAAATAATATATTCTGCATTATCAATCTGCCACTGGTTTTTATTAAATAAAAAAACCCGTAAGTTTGTATGCTCTTAAAATACATATAACATTTGTAAGAATAGTTTTTATGTAAAAATAATTATAGTTCACTATAACTATGTTAAAAATAGACATAGCCAGGCAAGTCGCTCATGCCTGTAACCCAGCACTTTGGTAGGCTGAGGCGGGCAGATCACTTGAGGCCAGGAGTTCAAGACCAGTCTGGCCAACATAGCGAAACCCCATCTCTAATAAAAATACAAAAATTAGCCGGGCATGGTGGCCCATACCTTGTAATCCCAGCTACTCAGGAAGCTGTGGCAGGAAGATTGCTGGAACCCGGGAGGCGGAGTCTGCAGTGAGACAAGATCATGCCACTGCACTCCAACCTGGGTAACAGAATGAGACTCTGTCTCAAAAAAAAAAAAAAGAAAAGAAAAGAAAAGAAAAAAATAGACACAGATGAAGGGTGTCTTTGATTATGCAAATAGATTACCCATCTTGTACTCACTGTGTTTATTTCAATAAATGATCCACAGAATATGCTACTTTTGATTTATAGTTTTCTTCTCCTTCACCGCTGTGGACTGGGAAAATATTTCTTATTATTTCTGCTGCAGAGTAGCAAAAAATTATGAGCCAGAAGGAAGACCACTACAACAAGCAAAATCTCTGAGTAATCATAAAATGAAGAACTATTTCCTGTTGGGATTCATTGTGACGAATTTGATTTTAAATTCTTGGTGTTGGCATTTTATTTTTAAAATTTAGCTTTCTTGCCTATTCTGAAATTGTCAAAAATTCAGAAAAACAATCATCATCATTTGCTTGCTGATCAATGGAGACCTAATGATTTTTAGGCTGTGAGACTACAGTAATAAATAAATAAATAAAAAAGTTGATACTTCCTTCTATCGAGGGAAATTGAGCATTTTTCTCATAGTCCTAAGTCACCAGATCAAGGGATATATGTAATACTTGAGTGTTGACATTTTATTAATTTTTATATTTAACTAGAGCTGTAAAGTTGAAACAAATGGGTCAATGCAATAGCCCATAAAATATTTTAAAAACACATAAAAGAAATATCACTAAAATTTAAACATAAAAAAAATACAAAAAAACCCTGAGCTATAGGAAGGGAAGTATCCTCTAAATGCCCAAGTTGAAGGTAGTCCTCTTAGAAAGGCACAGAAAGAAGCAGTGTTTGATGGGAACGTGATTTTTCAAGTATTTTGAATTTTCAAACTCACCACATTAACTGAGTAAAATGAAAAAAATATATAAACTTCCTCTGAGGCAGAAAAAACATTTGGCATTTTCAAGATAGAATTATAATAAAAATATCTCGCCCCAATAGAATACAAAGAAGCATCCTTAAGCAAATAGAAGGCATCTACGGAAATATCACACTGAAGTTTGAACTAATAAATTATTCATTTAAGATCCAGAAGAAGACAAAGTGTCCTCTTTCACTATTGTTCTCTCTACTGTATGGGAGGAATTAACCAGTGAGACAAATCAAATAAATAAGTAAAACATACACAGTTAAGAAATGAAAAATACAATTCTAAATTTTTAAACAACTCCATTACCTATACATAAACTTCTAGTGACTGTAAAAATCAGCTGCTGGAATAAACTAGTAATTTTAGCCACATCATAGAAAAAATAAGTCAACCCATTAACTTATTTCTATATATTTCCAATGAGTAATTAATGATAAAAATCAAATTCATGTAAAATACTAATAAAAATATGTATATATGATTTTAACAAATTACATGCAAGATCTCTCTAAATAGGAAACTAGCCAAAGTGTTGGGAGATGTAGGAAAGTTCTAAATAAATGGAGTCACATACAATAATTGATGGTTTTGATGTGTGTCCCTGCCCAAATCTGATATGATGTAATCTCCAATGTTAGAGGTGAGGCCTAGTGGGAGGTGATTGGATCATGGGGTGGATTTCTCATGAGTGGTTCAGCATCATCCCTCTTGATATTGTTCTCATAATAGCGAGTGAGTGAGTTTTCATGAGATCTGGTCATTTAAAAGTGTGTAGCACCTTCCCCTTTCACTCTCTTGCTGTTCTGGCCATATGACGTGCCTGTCCCCCTTTGCTTTCTGCCATGATTGTATGTTTCCTGAGTCTTCCCAGAAGCTAAGTAGATGCCAGCATCATCCTTCCTGTATAGCCTGCAGAACAGTGGGGCAATTAAACCTCTTTTCTTCATAAATTGTTGAATCTTCTGTATTTCTTTATAGCAATGCCAGAACAAACTAATACAATAATCATGGCTTGAAAGTTCAGTGAATTTTAGTGTGTAAAAGGTTTTGGTTTTTCCAAATTAATCATTCTAGAAATCCGCACCATAATCACAAAAGATATTTTTATATAAATTGACACACTGATTTAAAAATGTACATCAAGAGAGCAAAAACAAATTATAAAAAGCTGAAAAAAAAGCTGGAATACTCACACTTCCTAACACCATGCAATAACTTAAAGCTATAGTCATCAAGAGAATGTGTTATTAGTATATGTATAAACAATTAGAGTAATGGAATGGAATAGAGTTCACAAATAGATCCATGCTTATATGAATAATATAATATCAAAAATACTGCAGTTATTCAAAGGGGAAAGATAATTTTATTTAACAAAGTGTGCAGAACTACGAGATAAATGTGAAGAAAACAAACCTCAAGTCCTTCCTCACAACAAAAGCATGAATGAGTTCAAAATTAAATGAGTCCAAAATATATTATGGAACAATGTGTAAAAGTGAAAGCATAGGCTTCAAATATAAAGCACAGAAAATGTCTTAGTAAACTACATGAAAGCATTTCTTTTTATCCAAACCGTGGAGAAATTTCTTTTTATTCAGAAAGCAATAATTATATAATGATAAACTACAGAAATGTATAAATATATTTATACTTTAATGTTTATGTTTAATTCCGCAATTATATATACTATTTATTATGAATAAGAGCAAGAATATATAAATATAATGTACAACATAGAAACAAGAGAACTATAAGAACTAACAGATGCTACACAAAAATGATATAATAGCAAATAAGCAAATGAAAAATTTCTTAATATCGTTAGTAATAAAAAATAAAATGAGATAATTATACACATCTACTAGAAAAGCTACTATTTTAAAAATTGTGTTACCAATATTTGGCATAGATGTCAAGAAACCAGAATCTAGAGTTTGCATACATTGACGGTGGGAGTGTAACACAGTACAGCTACTTTGGATAACTAAATCTACCTTACATGTACCAATTCTACCCCTAGGCATTTATCCTAGGGGGGAGAAAAGCTTAAGTCTATAAAAAGGCTTGCACAAGTACCTTTATTCATTATTGTCAAAAACAGACACCATGCAACTGTCCACCAGGAGCGGCGTTCTCAAGTTCAGCACTGTTAGCTGTTGAAGTGGCTTAATTCTTTGTTGTGGGGAGCTACAAAACTCAACCATAAAAAAAGCAAATAATTTGATGCAAAAGTGGGCCAAAGACCTTAACAGACACTTCACCAAAGAAGATACGCAGATGGAAAATAACATATGAAAAGATGTTCTATATCTTATGTCATCAGGGAAATGCAAATTAAAACAATGTGAGACTACTACACACATATTAGAACTGTCCAATTTCAGAACACTGACAATACCAAAAGCTGTTAAGGATGTGGAAATACCAAATGCTGTCAAGTATGTGGAAATACAGGAAACTATGTTCATTACTGGTGGGAATGAAAAATGGTACAGCAATTTAGGAAGATATTTTGTTTGGCAATTTCTTACAAAACTAAACATCCTTTGTCTTAGTCTGTTTTGTGTTGCTATAAAGAAATACCGAAGGCTAGGTAATTTACCAAGATCAAGTTTATTTGCATTATGTTTCTGATGTCTGAAAAAGTTCAAGATTAGGTATCTTGTAAGAGCCTCCAGCTGCTTCCACTCATGGTAGAAGGCAAAGAGGAACTGGAATGTGCAGAGATTACACGGTGAGAAAGGAAGCAAGAGAGAGAAAGAGGATAAGGTGCCAGTTTCTTGTTTGACAATCAGCTCTCCTGGGAACTAAGAGTAAGAACTCACGCCTGAAGGAGGGCATTAATCTATTCATGAGGAATCTGCCACTGTCACTCAAATGCTGCCCATTTAGCCGACCTCTAACATTGGAATCAAATTTTAGCATGAGATTTGGTGGGTACAAACAGTATATTCAAACTATAGCACTTACCATATGGTTCTGCAATCGTGCTACTTGGTATTTACCCAAAGGAGCTAAAAACTTATGTCCACATAAAAAGCTGCAAAAGGATGTTTATAGCAGTTTTATTCATAATGACCAAAACTTGGAAGCAACCAAGATGTTCCTCAGTAGGTGAATGGATACATAAACTGAGGAATATCCAAACAATGGAATATTATATAGAGCTAAAAAGAAATGAGCTATAAAGACATGGCAGAAACTTAAATGCTTGTTACTAAGTGAACAGAAAATCCACTGTATGATTCCAACCATATGACATTCTCAAAAAGGCCATATGATGGGGCAGTAAAAAGATGAATGGTTGCCAAATGTTAGAGAGAGGGAGGGATAAATAGGCAGAGCACAGAGGATTTTTAGCGCAGTGAATCTACTCTGCATGAAACTAAAATGAGAGCTACATTTGTTTAAATGCAGTTTGGAAACGTGAAGTTTGTCTGATAATGATGAGTAAATGCAAGTTCAAAAATTGTAACAAAATGTACCACTCTAGTGGGAGATGGAAAAGGCTATGTATTTGTCTAGGCAGGGTAATTTATGGGTATTTTACACAGCTTTGGGTAAATTTTGTTGTGAACTAAAACCAGTCTAAAAAAAATCTATTAATAAAAAAAGCCAAGCCTGCACTATGTCATGAGGCAAAACACTGGATATTATGATGGTAAATAAAAATTATTACATATGCATACAACGAATTAGTATTGCAGATATTTTTATTGTCTCTATAACAAAATTATAATGTCTTGAATCATTTCTTATATTTAAGCCAGGGATATTGGAATTTAAATTACAATGAGTTTAAGAATGAATATCAACATAGGTTCTATCCAAAAAATTAGAGTGAGGAAAAGTTAAATGTTAAAATACACTGCCTTCTATTTAATTACAGAGTAAGCTTCATCAGCTGTCTTCAAGAAAAAATTAGTGATAGATTCCATTTCTCTAAAGTAGGTACATTTCTATGGTCAAGTCTCTTTATTCACGATAACACTGATAAAAGAGAATGTCTATTGAGCCTTTTCTCATCATTAAAGACATAAGCAAATTTGGAGACTATTTCTCAGCCAATATCATGTGATTGATAATAAGTTGTAAAAGTGTTCCTATTTCTCCACATCCTCTCCAGCAGCATGTACCCTAAAACTTAAAGTATAATAAAAAAAAAAAAAAGAAAAGAAAAAAATAAATAAGTTGTATGGCTGAAGTTTGAACATGGGTCTATCTAAATTTAATTAACCCTCTGAAGCACTATATCACCCTAAACAAAGTGGAGTATTTTACATATATCCTGATTGCATGATGAAATAATGCCCGGAAAACAAGAAATATGCATACACACACACCCACATTCAGAAGTTAGCATTAATAAAATGTTAACTAGAATTTTTTTTTCTCATTCCTTTGTTCATGCATTCAACTACTTATTCATTCATTTATGCTATTATGCATCTACTTTACAATAGTAGCTGCTATATAAATTCTGGGGATAGAAAGGCAAACAAAACAAGTTTCCTGCCTTTGTGGATTATTATTCTAATGATTAATACAAAACAAATAATAAAATAGTGTATAATGTCTGATCTTAAAAATGTCATAAAGAAAAATAAACTCAGGTAAGTAGATAGAGAATAACAAGAGAATATTTTAAATAGGTGCAGTAAAGGCAGTAATTGAGGCCTACACTGAAGGGAAAGATGAGGCATGTGACTATGGCTGGGCTATTCCAGGAAAAGACTTATAAAGCCTTGAGTCAGGAGTAGTGCATTTGGCATGTGGCAGAATAGAAAAAACCAAGGTAAGGAAGGACAGGACACAGCTTCTCCTGACCATGCAGAGGAATTTGAATTATGTGATCCATAAATTCCCAATGGTTTAATTATTAAACAAAAATATATAATTATATAAGTTGTGACTTGCATTTATTTACATGAAAACATCTCTATATTTTCTGTAAAATAATGCTTTATTTGGGGCAATGTATTTAAGATATATATTGATGATCTCCGTGAAAACACATCTATCACCATTATCTAAATGTTTGAAAAACACATGTAAATATAACTTCATTCTTTAAAATTAATATTGTAACAGCAAATATGTGGAGGGGCTTCACTAAATGAATACAGGTGGACCTTGTCCCAGAACTGAATGATTGTTTTAATACGTGAGTTTGTGGAGATGAACTGAGAATGTAGGAATCCTATTCTTTTTTGCCGAACCTGCTCGATTGCTGGAGACACACTCTCTGTGTCTCAAAAGCTATTACAGTCTCTGCCTCAGGGAAGGTGGCCTGCTGTGGGGTTGGTAAGTGATGCCAATGGCTGTGGTTGGATTTATATTCAATATTGACGTGCCGTCATGGGAACCTCATTATTGTCGTATTACACACTATCTCCTTTATCAACATTAGAATGTTAATTTAATCTTCCTTTTGCTTAACTCCTGTTTTTTTCTTGTGATGTTCTGAATCAGGCAGTGAAAGACATGCTATTGATTGGATTCCAGCCTAGAAACAAAATATAATCAGAAGTAAAAACATCAGTAATTCCATAACAAATTCTAGCATATTCATTCTTTCAAAAATGAACATCCATTTGAATTATTTTGCACAATAATCAGTCAGGCATCTACACAGATTAATGAATTCACACTGTATTTATTTATATTAATTTATTTGATCTTGTGCTTGAACACAAATGTTGGAATATGGAGCTTACTAACCACACATATATCAAACTTTCATGTGAACCAAGCAAAACATTTTTGGTTACTTGCAAAAATGTTAAAAATAATAAAATCTCACATTAGAAGCTCAGTCACTCAGTAGTGGTGTATTCAGTTTACTCCTCTGGTCTACAAACGTATTTAAGAAGAAGTCTGCACTATTAGCCCTCCTTTCCCCATTAGTAGACATTTCTTCTATTCTCTTCATCCAAGTCTCATATTATACATATGTATGATAACACTAGGGGATCTTGTTTTAAACGTGTTCATCTTTTTATAATTTCATTGCACTCATTTTTTTTTCTCCTTATTTACCTCCTTATTCATGACAATCTGCTGTTTTACTTAGACTTTTTCTTTCTGTGATAGTTTTATGGATATCTTCTATTTCTTCCTTGATGTTGCCATTTCACATTTTTAACGCCACTTTCACATCATTTTTTATTCTATGTTTAAAAAGCCAAAATGTTCCTTTATTTCTTTGATAGCTTGCAGAAATGTATGTTAATATTTATATAGTTTGTGGTATAATTAACCTCTTTTGAACATTTTCATCTTTGTTATCCAAATTTTTCTTCATATCATTTTCAAGCTATGAATTCACCTAGGTTCTCTGCAGATAATTTTCTAGTGATCACACTGAGAATTAATTATGGACCAAAGCTTCTCCACCAACACCGTACCTCAGCCTGTATAATCTGGTTTTGCTCTGGATAAGAAGTCTTTTTTCTTCCAGCAAATACATATTTCAGCATTACTTTTGTGAATTAACAGTAAATTTAGTTCAGTTGACTAAGTTTAGTTGGTGCAGCACTGTTGACCATAATCTCTGTATCCTCTCTTTATCATAGCTGTATCTATAAAGAATGTTTGTTTGCCTGTTGCTCTCATTCAGTGCTGCTTATGTTAGCAAAAGTCTTTAATAGACATCTACCTGGCATAGGAAGGAAGAGATTTTTTAAATTTGACTCCTCATAATGCATAGCCTACCTTTGGAGAGCACTTGCACTGCTGTAGGTCTGTACAAGTATGAGACCATGCTTTACTTCAACACTTAATTTTCACTGCACTAGTGAGTCTTTCTTCATAGTTTGTGGCTAGTGGTCATGGTTGACTTCTCATTTTATTGATGATTGAGATGTATTTGCTTGTTTGATTGTTTTTCTTCTTACTCAAAAAAGGAGGCTGATGCAAAATCTTTACTCTGGTATGTTTAGCTATGAGCATTGATAGAAGAACTCTAATTTGTGTTAGTGTTTTGAAGATTTTATGTTTATATATGAAGTTAAAATACTGACATTTGCAAAAATATTTGTAGTCATCATGCATATGAGAATCAAACCTAAGACATATTTTGTCATACCTGGCTGACAAGCCTGAGACACGCCTGTTTCACCCACAGAAACCCTTCCACTGCTGTCTCAAGCTTAGAGTTGGCCTGTGTCAGAATCAGTAAAAGCCACTGGGGGAAACCCTGCCTCTACTAAAAATACAAAATTAGCTGGGCGTGGTGACGCATGCCTGTAATCCCAGGTACCTGGGAGGCTGAGGCAGGAGAATCACTTGGACCCAGGAGGCAGAGGTTTCAGGGAGCTGAGATAGCGCCATTGCACTCCAGCATGGACAAAAAGAGCGAAACTCCATCTCAGAAAAAAAAAAAAAAAAAAAAAAAAAAAAAGAAGAATGCATAATGACTAAATGAGGTTCATTGAGGGATACAAGAATAATTAAAAATTAAAAAGTGAAAACCAGATATAATCAGAGGAGAATTATAGTCATATACAAACTTCAAATAACAGTGGTTTCACTATAAATATAAGGGGAAATTATAAATTATTCAATAAAGTATTTTTAGAGAAATAAAAAATTAGTTATTTTATACATTAACTTCATAGGGGCTAATGAATTTAAATACATAAAATGAGGTGATGCAAAAAGTAACATATAGCAATGAAAGGAATACAGTACATGTATATATTTATCCTTATGGATTGATCTCAAGCATGCTGTGTATGGCCAGTGTGGTACTCTATTTTTATGTCCATACTTATTTATGTAAGCTTAAATTGTTAAGGCAAATAAATCAACATTTTTTTTTTCTGAATATTTCTTCTCACAATTTTCAACTCTTCCTCTAGAAAATTGAAGGTTTTTTTTTATCTGGCACACACATATTCGAGATAATTAGAGCATTATTTGAAATTACTATGAAAGTAACTCTTTGGAATTGTTCAGTTATTTATTGTGTCCTTGATAACTCATGCAAAGACTTAATTTGATTGAAATTGTGTTCTAATTAAATTCACTTTTTCTCTTTACCATCTATACCCAGACTAAATTCATTTTGAATTGTTCCATGTAGAATTAATATGGTTCAATTTCATTTTGACTAATTATGAAACTCTTCATTATATTGAGTGACTAGGTATATAGTTACGTATAATGGAACAGTCAGTGTCTCTAATTTTTCCCTTTGGACTAATTGTCCCTGTCCATGCTCGCATTTCATGATCGGTGACTTTCTTTCAGGCTCAACATGAGAAAAATAAAAATTGCCAGGGATGTAAACACCCTAGAGCAGTTCCCAGCCAATGACAGAATAGAGATTTCCTTTATTTTCCATGGGACAAGTCTTGAGACATGGTTTCAAAAACTATCAGAATTTCCACCAGTATTGGGTGGTTGGGAAATCTAAACCTCAGAATATGGGTTTAACAAAGATCACACAGAGATATAGGTAGATAGAACATATGAAAGATATTAAAGAGCTATTGACAGCAAAATAAAAATTCTAATCTTTAGAATAACATGAAAATATTTGTCTAGCGTATCTTGGGTAAAAATGGAAACTAAAGGCAAATGTGTAGACCAGCATATTAACAATTTGATTATATTAAAATATGTATATTTATAAAATCATTACAAATCAAACCTTTGCTATTTACATAAGATGGTCTTAAAACAATGATCTATAATTTTAATCATAAAATATTTGAAAACTGGAAGAAGTAAATGATAAACATCAATACAGAAATTAATAAAATATCAAATATAATACCTAAACAAATTTAAACAGAAAAAAATCTAGTGAATAAAAGCATAACTCACTATTTTAGAAAATGGATATATAAGAAGAAATATAAAGAAAATTAAAAGAATATTATGTGTACAGTCTATATAAATTATTTGAACATATACATTCACAGGGTAAATACATTGCTTTATTAGTCTTCTTTTGATGCGGTAAACAACAGCCACAAAATATCAGTTGTTTTATAGATCTCACTGCATTATGTTCAGAAAAGTAGTTGGTATGATTGGTACTTATTTTATGACATTTAGGTATAAGAATTTCGGGGAGTTTATGCTTAATTTTTCAATGTGTTATATGAACACTTGAAAATCATATGTTCTTTTTTAATCATGTCACAATTCAAAATACGTATATTTGCTTACAGGCATTAAACATAGTACTTACTTCAGTTTTTCTCCAGTCATTATTTTATTTTAATTGTTCTGATTCTAGATAAAGATCACCTACTGAGTCTTGTTTTTATTCTGTGTTGCTTTCCTTTTTCTTACAGTTCTAATTGGCTTAATGTATTTTACTGTTACTTAGTGTGTCAACATTCATGGGAGTTATATCTGCACTTTGAAGGTGTAAGTTTTTAATATTCAGATATCAAATTACAAAATAAATAATGTGACTCTATTTTCTTATGTTAGCATTTGCCTGACTTATTTTATCTGTCTCTTTACTTTCATTGGTATATACATAAGGAATATCTGCACATTGAATTTATTTTTCTTCCTACCTATGTGAAGGTATCTCATTAAAATTAGTCCTTTAACATATATATTTAGTATTACTATCATCTTATTTTCCTCAAGGTGTTTTCTTGGATTTTCATCTTTGATATTGTTCTTATTCTATCTGAGGGCATATGTTCCGGGCCCTGTTTCTCTTATCTCGCATCTGACTCATTATGGTCTATTCTGTTTCTTTCCCTCAGTCCTTCACATTTTTTTTTTTTTTTTATTTTTGAGACGGTCTCGCTCTGTCGCCGAGGCTGGAGTGCAGTGGCACCATCTCGGCTCACTGCAACCTCTGCCTCCTGGGTTCAAGTGATTCTGCTGCCTCAGCCTCCTGAGTCCTTCACTTTTTAGGACAGTTACTGATGCCTGTTTTTCTGCTTTTCTGCTTTTCTGTTTTCCAATGGATTTAGAAAGTTGGACTCAGCTGGCTGTTGGTAATACAAATTGTTGAATTTGCTCTCTGCATTTTTTCAGTTATTGAGTTGAAAGTACTGTGCAAGGATTTATTTCCATTCTAAACAGGGTACTGGATAATCCCTCAATTTAGGATGGACTCTTAAGCCTTTGCCAGTGCTTAAGGCAATTTGATATTTATACCCTCCTGTTGCCAACATGTAACCAGGAACTGCTCTTCTATTCTCACTCATCAAAGCAGGGACAACAGATGGGGGGTGAAATACCACTTTGATTATAGTGACAGACAAGAACAATTACCTGGAGATTTTTGTATTTTTCTTTTAGTGACATATTCTCACTAAAACTTTCTGTCCTTTTGCTTTCTTTCTTTTTTCTTTTTATCGATATTCCAGATCATTAGTTTCTTCGAAAAGTTAAGCATAGACTATGTTATTATAATAAACATGCTTCCCAGTATCAGTTGATTAGCACAGCAATTTTTATTTCCTCATCATATCACAGTCTGATTAAGGTTGGCTTCTTTCTCTGAAAACTTGTGAATCAGACCCATTCCATTTTGTAGATGTAGGTTGGGAAAACCTAGGTTCCAAATTTCCTGCTGAAAGGCAAAATAAGGCTGTGAGATGGTGTGTAATGAGTCAAGACTCAGAGGGCCAAACCTGGAAGTCTTTTTTATATTACGTAGGCTTATATTCTGCCAATCAGAATTCATTCCTTTGGTCTACAATCTGTGAGAAAGATTTAGAAGTTCAACTTTTGTTCCCAAGAAAATAGCCAGTGCTTTGAACATCTCATATTATCTTTAATAGAGCCTTTTGGTCACCAGACCATTTTATTCTATGTTCACACACTGAACACTCTCACCCTTCCCTGACAGAGATAATATAAAGTCACACCTGGTCACTGATTGTCGCTCAGAGTCCAAGTTCTGTAGGTACCATCAGATCCAGATGTGACCCTCTGTAGTTAGGAGACCTATAAATTTAAAAGGTAGATTATCTGCCTCTCTCTAGCACGAGGACTGAATATGCAATGATGGAGAAGGCATAGAATACACATAATGAATGCCCCCATTCATTATATTGTATAATTCTGGACAGCAATTTAAATCTCAATAGGAAGGAATTTTAATAAAGTTCCCAAGCACATGCTGGGAGTGCAGTAAGCACCTTCGCTGGATGAATTCTGCCCACTAGACAGAACCCTTTGTCCACGGTTCTTTAGGAACTCTGGCTCTTAAGTCTGAGAAGTTTTTGTTGCATTACTCTCCTTGGCCATTTATAAACTGAGGGATGAAGACGACCACATGCTCCTTGAGGGTTCCACGATGAGCCTCTGCTTTCCTGAAAGAAAGATAAGAACCAAGGCTTTTTTTTTTTTTTTTTTTTTTTTTGGTCTTGAATATTTAAAGGCTTGTATAGATAAGCCTTGGACTTACCCAGTTCTCCCTGCTTATTTGATTATAGTTCTCAAGAATAACTGTAGAATGTACTGGGAATGCAACATCCTGAGATAGAAAGGGACTGGCTAGAACAGACCAGGCTCTGTTCCAGTGCCCCCCGGAAACAGGATGCACTTCAATGCTTTAGTCCAGCGAATCACGTTCCTCTGGAGTGTAAAACCCAGGGCAGGCTGCTTTACCGGATCCTTCAACTGCAGGACCAGTGGGGCACACACAGAGAAGACTCCATCTACTTTAGGCAGCTTTCCGGAGCCTTGGGAAAAAGTTCACCATAGATCATCAGCTTCTGTTGGTCCTTGCTGCTTATCTGTAAGTATCAAACCCACTTCATGAAACTTGTGTGTGAGCGTTCAGTCTTACTAGACTCAGACAAGTTGGTCACAGAACTTTCTCCACCAATGGTTTCTTTGGTAATCTTGCAAAAATATAAGCAGCTTCTGATCCATTTGCTTCTGCCTCCTAAAATTTCTTTCCGAATGTAGATGTCAAGTGTATTTTACTTCCCTGATTTCTGGCTCTGTGTCTCTTACTAGCTGTTCCTTTGATGCTATCTGGAAAAAAAAAAAGATAGAAGGGCCATCATTAACTTGATCTTTCATTGGGGGTCACTTTACTAGACCAAGATTCTTTTACTGGCCTATTTTGTATAAAATCTTATGTCAGACATATTCTCTCTTACTCTTGGAAGGCCTTGAATTTCTGGAGTCTCTCTAATATTTCTTCTCATATATTTAAAAATTCACCAATGGCTACAAATACATACTATCATTTTTCTTAATTCTCTGTTTTGTAAGTATGTCATCTGCCTCCCAATTTACAGTAGGTTGTCTTTATATTTGTCAGTCTCTTACATGTCTTGACTTGCAGTCCCTTTTATAATTGCTGCCTTCCTATATGAGACATGAAAATAATGTTTTGCAATGTAAGTTAGATTTTTCATGGTGTAGCACCTCACTCCTGTATAAAGTTATTTCCTGATCAGAATATTCTAAACTATCCTGTGGCAATAAACTGCTAAATCCCTGTGTCTTTGCTCATTAATGTTTTATTTGTTGATCACTTCACAGCTTTCCACAGTTTTCTCCATTAAACGATGATTCTGTGACTTCTTCCTTCTTGTAACTTTACCATCTAACTCAGTGCTTCCAAGGAAGCTTTGAAGGGGGAAAGGGAACGGAGGTAGCACACAGAATTTTCTAAAGGCCCAACTGGAAGTGACTTGCTTCACTTTCTTTATATTCCATTGTCCAGAACTTGGTTGCATGGCCTGCAAACTGACTTCAAAGAAGTGTTGGGAATGTGGTTTTCCTGTGTTTCTAAGCACAAAAAGAGTGGAATGAATTTCCTGATATACAAGCTTATTATTAACAGTCAATTAGCATCAGAAGGTTATCATAATTTTTGTTTTCTTTTCTTCTGTATATCAAGCCAAGAAAAAAAAATCCTGCACCTTTTTAAAAACTCATATGGCGGTCACTATACATCATGCATGGGAAAGTGAATTTTTTAATATTGAAATAAATTACATGTCTGTGTCCCTAGACCAAATACCCATATTCCTTTACTTAGTATTTTTCTTAAATGTGTTTGAGGTTTTATAATTTCCATACTTTTCACTTTCCATTGATTTTCCATCCACACTCCTGTTGTTTACCTCACAGTGCCTTTGGGTGAGTAGGCAAGATCGGGGCACAGGTTTCTTCTTAAGGAGAATTCATAAAGCTACCACTTTTCAAGTTCCGAATCATTGGATCATTTATCTCTGTTAGAAAAGACATATGAAATACAAATTAAAACAAAAAGTGAAGATGATAATTAAATCGTTTATTTCTGTATATATTCAACAATTTTACATTTGCCCTCTTGTAACAAATTCACATTATAACTGCATTATCCTGCTATCCCTCAGTAATAAAACCTACAAAATTTATGCAATTTTACTTTTACTAGATGCTTTGTTTAACTGTTGTAAAAAATATTCTTATGTGCCATAGGGTCCTAACTCAATGACATTTTTTCTGTAAAAGTTAACATAGCGGGTTGAAAAATATGCTTTCCATAACTAATTAAGCGTGGTCAGTTTAGAAGTGTGGTCACTTTGATTAGCTATCTCAGATAATGACTTCCTCTTCTCATTGTTAGTTTCAAGATATTCCACTACTTGCACAGCTTGTTAGCTAGTTAAAAAAATCTACTATATCTTCAATAATTGCTTCTTTTCTTCTTATCTTTGAGATTCTACGTGAAGATACTCATACAATAGAAGACAGCCAGGAAGAGTCTTTGAAAGTCAATACCTGTTTTTCTTAAAACTTTACTCTGCTAGAAAATCTTATCACTGGTCAACAATCTTATCACATAAGAAAACACATTAAACTTTAAAACAAAATTGATTTCAATAGACTTAATGGAAACATCTTTATGCAGACTTTTACTGTCTATTTGGTACCAAGGTGAGAAGAAAAGATTGTCTTCCTCTGTAAATCTCGAATGGGTCTGTTACTTTGACTTTTCTTTATCTAGGACATGAGAAAATTGTATATCTTTTGGGTAAAATTCAAAAACAATATCAAGGTATCTTATTTCCTTACCTTGGCAATGAAGTCTTAGTATGCGAACAATACTCTATGTTACTATCTTAATTGAAGTGATATGAACCACATCTATTAATTTGATTTGATTGTTACAACTGGGATACTAATATAAGATTGCTTATTCATTTTATTACCAATTGTTGACAAAAACATAAATATATGAACAAATTTATATGAATATATTCAAATAATCCTCTAGATTCCATGTATAATATTCTGCTAAAGCAATTGACGTATTTCAAGTTCTTTTTAGAAAGAGATTAATGAAATATAATGTAAAGTGGGGGACTTTTGCTGCTTGAAAGAATGGCAATTTTTAAAAGTACAGGTAAATATACCACCGCAATTTTATTACCTCTGTGTTTTCTAGGTAATTCTTACAGAAGTTCTATCCTAAGCCATTATATTATAATTTCATAGGAAAATCAGTTCCCTTGGTTTTGCTGAAATATGGTTTCTCTGTTTGCTGAAATAAAGTTTTTGTTAATTAGAAATATATATTTCATATTTGGACTATATTAGTCAGGGTTTTTCAGAGAAACCAAACCAAAAATCTGTATTGTCACTGTCCATTAGAAAAACAGAACACACACACACACACACACGCACAAATAGTTTATCATATATAACATTATATATAATACCTATACATATACATTATTGATGTACAGTTGGCCCTTGAATAACATGAGTTTAACAGCATGGGTCCACTTATATGCAATTTTTTTTCTACCTCTGCCACCCCTAGTACAGCAAGAGAAATCCTTCCTCTTTATCCTCGTCCTCGGCCTACTCAATGTGAAAAATATGAGGATGAAGGCCTTTATGATGATCCACTTCCACTTAATAAGTAGTAAATATATTTTCTCTTTTTCATAATTTTTAATAACATTTCCTTTTCTCTAGCTCACTTCATTGTAAGAATATGGTATATAATAGATATATAACATGCAAAATATGAGTTAGTTGTTTATGTTATCAGTAAGGCTTCTGGTAATCAGTAGGATATTAGTAGTTAAGATTTGGGGGAGTCAAAATTATTATGCAGATTTTTTACTGTGCTGGGGGTCAGTGCTCCTAACTCCTGAATGGTTCAAAGGTCAACTGTATTATGAAGAATTGACTCACATGATTGATTATGGTGCCTGAGAAGTCCCAAGATCTGCTGTCTGTAAGCTTCAAGACCTAGGAAAGCTGGTGGTATAATTCAGTATAAGCTCAAAGGCCTGAGAAACAAAGGAACAAATGATGTAAATCTTAGATGAGATAACTCAGTTCAAGCAATTACGCAGGAGAAAAGTGCAAAGTTTTCCTTCCTCTGTCTTTTGTTATATTCAGATCCTTAAAAATAACCACTGACTGGGCATGGTGGCTCATGCCTGTAATCCCAGCACTTTGGGAGGTCGAGGCGGGAGGATCACTTGAGGTCAGGAGGTCAAGACAAGCCTGGCCAACATGGTGAAACCCTGTCTCTATTAAAAATACAAAAATTAGCCAGGCATGGTGGCGAGTGCCTGTAATCATGGCTACTTGGGAGGCTGAGGCAGGAGAATTGCTTGAACCTGGGAGGCGGAAGTTGCAGTGAGCCAAGACTGCGCCATTGCACTCCAGCCTGGGCAACAAAAGCTAAACTCCGTCTCAAAAAAAAAAAAAAAAAAAATACCCACCAACAACAGGGAGGCCACCTTTATTTAGTCCACTGATTCAAATGCTACTCTCACTGGGAAACTCCCTTATGGACACATCCGGAAATAATGTTTACTCTGAAGTTACTTGACTCAATCCAATTGGCACATAAAATTAAAGATCAAAAAGACAAATATTTTTCTCATCTTTTAAAATACACATTCATGTGACACTAAGTTCATTATACAATTTGGAGGGACCAAAGCTAACTAAAAATTGAGATCTCTTTAAAAAGCCAGAAAAGCAGAAAAAGTACATTAAATATACTAAAATATGAAACCTTTAAATGTATATCCTGGTCTCTCTTTCTTAACCTTATAATGGTAATTTTTTAGCTATTTAATATAATTGTAAGTAAAGAAAATTTAAATTAGAATTATTACCAAGGATTTTATCATTCATTTGTATCATGCAATATCAGATCCAATGAGCTAACTACAAGAACAGGGGGGATGCTGCAACTATCTCAACTGTTTTTATTTCATTTCTTGACATATGCACATTCTACCAGTATCTTCTACATTTGATTTACTGATGAACAAGGAAAGATTAAAATAAACAAAAACTTTTAATTCCCCATCTGCCTTTTTTTCTATGTCATCCTCTTCAGCATAAGTGGTTGGCTGTATCTGTATTTTGTAGAAGTTTATTATCTTCTTTCTCTGTCTGGAGTAGGTTGTAGTTCCAATGGAAAGCATGGCTTCTCAAAGATTTTATCACCCAACTTACTAAACTATAGACCACAGTTAGCTGGTGCAGCCATACCTCGTTTTATTGTGCTTCATTTATTGCACCATGGAGTTATTTAATTTTTTCCAAAGTGAATGTTTATGGCAACCCCACACTGAGTGAGTTTATCATTGCCACTTTTCCAGCTGTATGTGCTCACTTGGTGTCCCAGTGCCACAGTTTAGTAATTCTCACATTATTTCAAACTTCTGTATTATTATTATATATTTTGTGGGAATCTATGATTAGCGTCTTTGATGTTACCATTGTTATTGTTTGGGGGCAGTATGAATCATACTCATATAAGGTGGTGAACTTAATTGAAAAAAGAGTGTGTGTATTCTGACTGCTCCACTGACTAGCAATTCCCCTATATCTTCCTCTCTTCAAAACTTCCTATTCACTGAGACACAAAAAAATTAAAATTATGCTGAATAATAACCCTGCGATGGCCTCTAAGTGTTCAAGTGAAACAAAGAACATCTCTCATTTTTTAAATTAAAACATCTCTCATTTTTAAATCAAAAGGTAGAAATAATTAAGCTCAGTGAGGAAGGCATGTAGAAGGCTAAAACAGATTCTCTTAGATTCTCTGAATGCTGAGGGAGGTGATGAATCTGCAAACACAAAGTTGAAGCTAGCAAAGATTGGTAAATAAAATTCAAGGAAAAAAACATTTCATAATATAAAAGTTCAAGGTAAAGTAGCAGATGCTGATGTAGAAGCTACAACAAGTTATCCTGAAAGTCTATCTGGCTAAGATAAGTGATGAAAGTAGTTACACTAGCAACAGATTTTCAACGTAGACAAAACGGCCTTTTATTGGAAGAAGATGCCATCTAGAACTTTCATAGCTAGAGAAGTGAATACCTAACTTCAAACTTCAAAGGATAAGCTAACTCTCTTGTTAGGGGCTAGTGCAGCTTTTGACTAATACGGATGAAAGACTTACAAATGGATTTAACTCAAAAAGTTCCTCTGTGAGGCACATTATAATCAATCTTTCAAAGTCAAAGAGAATTCTAAAGACAGCAAAGAACAAAGTATCAAATCACATATAAGGGAATCTCCATTAGACTAACAGCCTTTATCAGCAAAATCCTTGCAGGCCAGGCAAGAATGGCATAATGTATTTGTGGAAAAAAGAAAAAAAAAAAAAAAAACCCCCTCTGTCAACTAAAAATACTATACACAGCAAAGATTAACTTCAGAAATAAAGAAGAAATAAAGTTTTTCTCAGACTAACAAGAACAAAGAATTCATCACCATTATCATGACGTACAAAACAATGCTTATGGGAATCCTACATCTCAAAGCAAAAGGACAATATCTATCACTGTGTAAACATGACAGTGTAAAACTTAGAGCAGATACACAAATAAAAAACAGGAAGGAATCATGTTATCACTACAAATACCACCAAATTACAACACTAAACAATAAGAGAGGAAGAAAAAATAAAGGATATAAAAGAAAATCAGAAACCAACTAACACAATGATGAAAGTAAGTCTTCACCTACAAATAACAATTGAAAATTTAAATGATTGACATTCCCAATTAAAATATATAGATTGGCTCAGTGGATGAAAAACACCGAACCAACTATAAGCTGCTTACAGGACACTTATTTCTCTCTATGTAAGGACAGACAGAGCAACAGTAAAGAATGGAAAAAGATACTCCACACAAACAGAAAACAGCAGCATAAAGTAGGAGCTCTACTTATATTGGACAAAATAGACTTTAAGGCAAAAACCACAATAAAGAGACAAAGAAGGTTATTATGCAATGATAAAGGGCATGACTCAGGAAGAAGATATAACAACTGTAATTTATGCACCCAAGACTGAAGCATCCAGATATATGAAGTAAATATTTTTAGAGCAAACGAGAGAGATAGACCAAACTACAAAATAGTAGAGAACTGCAACACCCCGTTTTCAGCATTGGACAGATCATGTTTACAGAAAATCAATGAAGAAACATTGGATTTCAACTGCACTATAGGCCAAATTAACCTAACAAGTACAGAACATTTCATCCAATAGCTGCAGAACACACATTCTTCTCATAAACACACATAGACCATATGTTAGACCACAAAAGAAATCTCAATTACATTAAAAACTTAAACTAATAAAATGTATATTCTCAAACCACAATTTTAAAAAACTAGAAATTAATAACATAACAAGAACAACTCTGGAAACTGTATAAACACATGAAAGTTTCAATAATATGTCCCTAAATGTTCAGTGTTTCAATGATGAAATCAAAAAAGAATAAAAAAATGGATTGAAATCAATGAAAGTAGAAACAAAACATTTCAAAACTTATGGGATACAGCAAAAGCAGTGCTAAGGGGGAAGTTTATAGCAATAAAAATGTACATCAAAAAAGCAGAAATAATTCAAATAAGTGAACAATGCACCTTAAGAAGCTAGAAAAGGAAGAATAAACCAAACTCAAAATTAGTACAAGGAAAGAAACAATAAAGATTAGAGCAGAACTAAACAAAATGTAGACTAACATATAATGTGAACAAATCAATGTAACAAAAAGTTGGTTTTTGAAATATATAAAAAAAGACAAACCGCTATTTTGACTAAGAAAAAAGGAGAGAAGACCCAAATAAATAAAATCAGAAGTGAAAAAAGGGACATTACAATTGATACTTCAGAAATTCAAAGGATCATTAGACACTAGTGAGAACAACTATATGCCAAAAAATTAAAAACCCAAGAGAAAATTATTTTCTGTACACGTGAAACCTATCAAGATTAAATCAGAAAGAAATAGAAAACATGAACAGAACAATAACCAGTAACTAGATTGAATTCATAATAAAAAGTTTCCCCAAAAGGAAAATGCCAGGACCACATGGGTTTACTGCTAAATTAAACCCAACTTTTAAGGTAGAACTTGCACCAATTCTTCTGAAACTATTTTAAAAAAATTATCCATATCTCATTTTATGAGGCTGCCATTGCTAAGATCAGACAAAGACAGAACAACAACAACAAAAACTGAAGGCTAATATCCCTGAAGAACATAACTGCAAAATCCTCAACAAAATATTAACAAACTAAGTCCAATAACACATCAAAAAGATAATACACCATGATCAAGTAGGATTTATTTCAAGAATGGAAGAATGGTTTAACATATAAATATCAGATGTAATTCATCACAATACAATAAAGGACACAAAGCATATGATCATTTCAATAGATGCAAAAAATCATTTGATTAAATTCAATACCACTTCATGATAAAAACTCTCAATATATTTGGTATAGAAGGAATATACCTCAACATAATAAAGGCTACATATAACCAACTTAAGCTAACATCATACTGAATGGGGAAAAACTGAAAGCCTTTTCTTCAAGAGCTGCAACAAAACAAAGATGTTCAATTTTACCACTGTTATTCAAAATAGTACTGGAAGTGCTAGCCAGAGCAACTAGGCAAAAGTAAGAAATAAAAAAGCATCCAAATTAGAAAAGAAGAATTCAAATTTTCCCTCTTCATACATCATACTTTTACATAGAACCTAAAGACCAGCAAAAAACTCTTAGAACTGATAAACAAATTCAGTAAATTTGCCTGAAACAGAATCACATACAAAATTTATTTGCATTTTTGTAAACCAATAATGAAAATCATCAAGAAAGCAATCACATTTACAATATCTACAAAACAAAATAAAATACTGGAAATAAATTTAACCAAGGAGATGAAAGATCTCTACAACAGAAACTACAAAACACTGATGAAAAGGAACTGAAGCGAATACACACAAAAAATGGGAAAACATCCCATACTCATGCACTGGAAGAACTAATATTGATAAATTGAACACACTATCCAAAGCAACTACAGATTACATGAAAGACCTATGAAATATCTATTTTTTTCCACAGAAATAAACAATACTAAATTCCTATGAGAACATAAAAGATTCTGAATAGCCAAAGCAATACTGAGCAAAAAGAAGAAAGATGGAGGCATCATACTACTTGACTTCAAAATATGCTACAAATTTATTGTTACCAAAGAAGCACGGTTTTTGTAGAAAAACAAACACACAGGCCAATAAAACGTAAGGAGCACCCAGAAATAAATCTATGCTTTTTAACCAACTGATTTTTGACAAAGGTACCAAGAACATGATTTGGGGAAGGAACATTGTTTTCAATAAATGGTGGTACAGAAACTAAATATTCCTATGCTGAAGAGTGAAACTATTATAGATCTCCATCTCAACACAAAAATCAACTCAAAATGGATTAAAGAGTTAAGCATAAGACCTGAAATTATCTGGTATCAGAAAACAAAGAGGAAATGCTTCAGAAAATTGGTCTAAGCAAAGATTTTATGGGTAAGACTTCAAAAGCTCAGGCAACAAAACTTAAAATAGATAAATGAGACCACATCAAACTAAAAAGCTCTGAACAGCAAAGAAAACAACAGAGTGAAGAGACAACCTGTAAAATGGGAGAAAACACAAGCAATCTATTCATTGACAAGGGACTAATATCCAGAATGTACATGTAAGTCAAACAACTTAGCCAAAAAAAGAGAGAAAAAAAATAGATTTTTTTAATTGGCTAAGAATCTAATAAACATTTATCAAAAGAAGGCATATAGGCTGGGCACAGTGGCTCAAGCCTGTAATCCCAGCACTTTGGGAGGCCAAGGCGGGCAGATCACGAGGTCAGGAGATCGAGACCATACTGGCTAACACAGTGAAAGCCCGTCTCTACTAAAAATACAAAAAGTAGCTGGGCGTGGTGGCGGGCGCCTGTAGTCCCAGCTACTCGGGAGGCTGAGGAGGGAGAATAGTGTGAACCCGGGAGGCGGGGCTTGCAGTGAGCCGAGATCGCACCACTGCACTCCAGCCTAGGGGACAGAGCAAGACCCCGTTTCAAAAAAATAGAAGGTATATAAATGACCAAGAAGTAAATTAAAAATGCTCAACATCACTAATCATCAGAGAAATGCAATAAAAACCACAATGAGAAATCATCACACCCCAGTTAAAAGGACTAATACACTGCATGTTTTCACTTGGATATGGGAGTCTTTTTGTTGTTGTTGTTGTTGTTGTTTTAAAGAGCTCATAGAAATAGAGAATAGAATTGTGGTCATTAGAAGTTGGGCAAGTTAGTGGGAGGGGATTATAAGACGAATTTGGTTAATGAACACAAAGTTACAGCTAGATGGAAGAAAAAACTTCCAGTGTTTTGTAGCAGTGTAAGGTAAACATTGTTAACAATCATTTACTGTATATTTTCCAAAAGCTAGAAGAGAGGAATTTGAATGTTAACAACATGAAGAAATGATAAGTACTTGGGTTGACAGATATGCTAATTACCTTGATTTGATCATTACATATTGTATATTTGTTTCAAAATATCACTCTGTAACCCACAATTATGTACAATTATTGCATGTCAGCTCAATATAAAAAATAAATAAATTGTCACCAATTTTTTACATGGTGGTATGAGTGAATTTGCTTTTTCAATTCTAATTTTGAGCAACTCACAGTCTGCTCTCAGATCCCCACCTATCTAGGTTGTATTGTAAGGTACATCTAATTGATCCACCAATAGTAATGGTTCTAACCTCTTCCCTAGTACATTTTTTTTTTCTATTTGTATCCAGACATGAGCAGAAATCAGCTAAAATAACCATGACTCTTCTACATCTTTTACCTCAAGACAAAATTTAGAATTATAAAAACCACAAAGCCAGAATTATTTCTGTGGAATTTTCTGTGTTATATCATACTTCTTCATTCCTAAGTCTATGAATTTGGTATATATTATCTACATGCATTAGGAGGAAAAATGCATAAATTAAAAGCACAGTGTATAGGGTGAGAGAAAACAACTATCTGAAAAATTTACATACACAATAATTGCTTTGGGGAACAACTCTCTGAAATCAATAAAATGAAAAAAAAAAAGATCCTTTTTTATTAAAAACCTTTTTTTTAAAGAATCAGATGGAAGAGGAATTCAGCCATGGCTGAAAAGCCAAACGCTTGTCTTTATTTTAAGAAAAATAATTTATAAATGATCTTCCAGAGACATTTTTCATTTCACTAAATTCAAAAAAAATGTAATGTAGTTCATTATCTGATACAAATATTGAAGAACATAACAGACACATTTTCTAATACACAGATTTCAAGTTTGAATGTCTTTCATTATATCTCTGCTAGAAATAAAGACTTTATATTAAAGTATAACCATTCATAAATGGGAGGGTAGGTGGTGTACAGGCTAATGTATTTGTAGTTTTATATCATAGTGTAGGGAATGAAGTTAAAATTCATTACTGTGTCATTTAAGTAAACAATTCTGAATCTAACCTACCTTCCTTTAGAACTTTCCACTATTTTCCCTCAGAGACATTCTTTAAATCTGACCTATGTAATATTCCTCCTTATGCCCCATGATTGGTTTCGATTTTCCATTACACATACCTAAAGTCAAAACACAGTTCAGATGCCACTCCCAATAAATTCTTCCTTATTCCCCAATCCTAAATATTCCTGACCACCCCCAAACTCCAGTTCTTTATTCCATTATCTGCAGACCTTTGTGATTCTCTTAATACTTCAAATAAAATTTTAATATATGTGAACTAATTGTCATAAAACCCACTTCCAAAATTGCACTAACATTCTATATTGCTTATCATATTTATAATATCAATACCCTAACACTCACCTAACTAGAGTTGTATTTTAAAAATTAATTTATTCATTAGAAGTAGTCAACGTAATGCAAACTTTCCAATAAAAAGTTACCTTTAAGGCCGGGCGTGGTGGCTCATGCCTGTAATCCTGGCACTTTGGGAGGCCGAGGCAGATCACGAGCTCAGGAGTTCAAGACCAGCCTGGGCAACATGGTGAAACCCTGTCTCTACTAAAATACAAAAAATTAGCCGGACGTGGTGGCATGTGCCTGTAGTCCCAGCTACTTGGGAGGCTGAGGCAGGCGAAACGTTGAACCTAGGAGGCAGAGCTTGCAGTCAGCAGAGATTGCGCCACTGCACTCCAGCCTGGGTGACAGCGTGAGACTCTGTCTCAAAAAAAAAAAAAAAAAAAGTGACCTATAATAACTTTTGTATTAATACACACATATTTTGTGCTCATGCTCCCATGTCTTTCTGTTTCTTTTACTCTCCCTAGTAGCTTCTCTGGCTACCACTGTGCATTAGATAAAGTAAGAACCTCCATCAGAGACTCAGATTTAAACTGTGAAAGGAATTAAGGGATATCATCCATCTCAGCAACAAACCATTGTAGTTATTTTAACTGTTTCCAGGTCATCATCCTATATTTTCTCCCATTTACTTCTTTCAACATGTTGGGATAAATTAGAATCAATTTATTCTTTAATTCACAAGAAGTTCTTAGAGTGGTTTCTTCTCTTCATGTTATTGAGCTACAGACATCAAATTTAACTGCTGTCTTTGCTGTTCTTTTCTCTCTTCAATCTGTTTCTATTGATGTAACCACTGAGCTATCTTCTTTGACCTGCTTATTTCTCAAGATTTCTCACACAACTGTGGAAACGCCCTGTTTCTTACTGAATGAACTTCATAAAACAATGAACCTCATACCATAGAACTACTCAGGAAGACTTGATATGGAGCCCATAAAAATGTCAGGGTTTATTTATTAGTTGTTTCATCACAGTAATCTCAAGAGGAATAGGAAAAACATGAAAGAAAAAAGGAATAAGCCACTGATACAGTGGGCTTAAGCTTTGATGTGCAATGTGGAATGCTTACTGTGATATTTATTCTCTGTCCCAATGAACTGGGAAATGGGGATGGAGTCCATAAATCTACGTGGTTTTAAACCACCTCAAAGGTGAGAGATAATTTAAGGTGAGATTACTGGATTGCCTTGTGGTTACTTTTGTGCTGCCTCATGTAAGCAAAATACTAAAGAGAGCTATGGGCAAATGTGGAAAGTTATTCCAGAGAAGTATTTGAAGCTGTTATAACATAAATTTACTTGGGAAAAAAATGTGTGGAAGAGTTAAGCAAAGCATATTTGAAGGAATTAATGTCATCTTGTTACCGGTGTAGGAGATCTGAGTTACCCTGAGTTACTGACTCCAAATTCCTATGGGTCTGCAGCAATTTCAGTTCTCGTCTCCTCAGAAGAAAGAATTCGACCGAGGGGCATAAAGCAGAGAGACCAAGGCAAGTTTCAGAGCAGAAGTGGAAGGTTATGTAAAAAGCTTTAGAATAGGAAAGAAAGGAAGATTTACTTGGAAGAGATCCAAGAGGGCACCTGAAGGTCAAAGAAAGAAAAGGGGCATTTAACCTTGATCCTAGGGCTTTTATAGGCTTGCCTCTTTACCATGATTCTTCCCTTAAGGTGGGCTTCCCTCATGCGCAGTGTCCTTCCTACCTTTGGGAATTGAACACACACAGTATGTTTAGAAATTTGTGTGCATGCCTATCTGAGGCTTTCTTCATTTTTTTTTTTTTCTAGTGGAGTGTCCCTGGAAGGTCATATGTCACCATCTTGTCTCCTAGTGCACATACCCAGGAAGTTTCTTCTCCCTGGAATCTGCATTCAATCAATAATTTAGTGTTAACAGCTGTGGAGCATCAGGAGATTGTTTCTCCCTGGCTTTGAAGAAGTAGTGTGATAATTGTCAAACCATCACCTGATGTACCTAGTGGGTGGGGTCCTGCCATGCTCATGCCATCTAACTACCTGTAATAATCTGTGTCCACTCTACAACTTGATTGGAAACATTACTTTTCTATCAAATGAAGGCTCCCAACATTCTCTTTCTACCTCTCTAGCATAATTTTTTTATTTGGATGTACAAAATCATTTAGTTGTATAAGAAATATATTATTCCTTTGGAAGATTAAGTGTAATTGGTTTATAATATAAATAGGTTCCACCTATAACTTACCATGCTATCCCCACTGTTAACTTTATTCAATTGTAAATACAATCAAAGTATTATTTTTACCTAGAGTATCGTAAGTGCCAGCTTCTTAGCTGAATCCTAGAATTTTCTGAAGATTCATCTTATTTTCATGTAGTTTACCTAATTTTAAACTACACATTCTACCCTGTGTCATCTTGATTTCACCGAAGAAGGCCTATAACTTCCCACGGTTTATCACTTGTGTTTTCAAAATGATACTATTTCAGCCTTCTCTAGAAATGTCTTATGTCCTTTTAAGGATAAAATAACATATTTTTTCCCAGGTTAAAACGCTTTTGATTTCTGATAAATTTTGGCTCTGCAAATCTCATCTCGAATTGTAATTCCAACGTGTTCCTATTGTGGGAGGGACTTGTAATCTTCACGTGTCAAGGGAGAGAGGTGATTAGATCATGGGGCTGCTTACCCCCGAGCTGTTCTCGTGATAGTGAATGAGTTATCACTAGATCCGGTGCTTTTATAACTCTGTGGAAATTCCTCTTTTGTCCTTCTCTCTCTCCTGCTACCTTGTGAAGAAGGTGCCTGCTTCCCCTTCCACCATGATTGTAAGTTTCCTGAGGCCTCCCCAGCCATGCAGAACTGTGAGTCAATTAAACCTGTTTCCTTTATAAATTACCCAGTCTCAAGGAAGTTCTTTATAGCAGTGTGAAAACAACTAATACAATCTCCTTGTTATTTCATCCCCAACTATCTTCCTTCTTTTTCACTATAAATACTTCAACAGTACCATAAGTTTTCAATGTCAAAAAAAAAATGAGATAACCCTACAATTAGGTGACTAATCTTAATTATTTTTCACTCAAGTGATTTTCATCTCCATTCCCTTTTAGTTATTTTTACAATGTTTCTCACTAAAAATCTTATAACCACCCAAGGGTTTTCTACTTCAGTATGTTAAATTTAAAACCCTCTCTCTCTGTCATCTCAGCTATTATCTTTCAAAGTGTCTCACATTTTCTATAACAACATTTCCTGCCCCTTTAGGTTCAGAACCACAGGTTCTAATTTGAACTTCTCTGTCACCGGTTTTTGTCTAATCTCTTATACTCTAATCTACCCTCACAGAAAGCCTCTTCAGATTGATATTTAAATGCAGAATCCCTGTTTATACACCTAGAAACTGGAAGAATTGGATAGAAAAGGCCACTCCAGGTCTATAACATGGGAAACTACAAAGTCATGATCTCCAAAATAACTTGAACCATTGACATTCCCCTTTTAGACTTTGCTTACCATTTTGTTCAAATGTCTGAAGAAAAACAAATGCAAAATGTCACCCCTGACTTCAAGATTCCTCTATCTCTCTACAACTTCACCCTCAATAAGTGCTCCTGATTCCAACCTGATCAAGAAAATTAAACAGGCATCTCTTCCCTAAATTCTCATAGGACTCCATAGGCACAAAATGTTATCTTGAAGAAGTTTTCCCTAATTTTCTTCTAAAGCTTGACTTAAATATGGATTGTTCTGGGATATAAAACCTGGACAAACTACATCTCAATCCACATTATCCAAAAAATTAAAAAGCTATATCTTTGTCAAATGTTTATGAATGTTTGAGATTATTAATTTAACTTCAAGGGTATTCTTATATAAGGACATAATAATCACAGAAAAGTTTTAGGAAGTTATCTTGAACTAATTTGATGACTGAATTTATTGGTAACTTTAAGAATAAATCACCTAGAAGTTTCCTTGATTTAGCAAGTGTAATAATTTTATGTAATAATCTGAAATTGAAAGTTTTCTTGTAGATTATAAAATGATTTATATAAAATAATGAAGTTTATGCAGATCATCATGGCTTCTGATGTTACATTATCTGAATACATCATCCAGAGAGTGTTGTTTTCCTGTTTCTAAAGTGAAAAAATAAAATAAGCAGTAAAAAGTGAATAAATACAAATAGTAAAATACATAACTGAATCAATAGACACTGAGAAAAAATGATTATCTTATCTGCTTTATATATATTCTTATTAAAATTATTTCAATTATAAAAATGGGAAGATAAAGTTAAAACCTGTAAAATTGTCTAAATACCACCCAAAAATATGTAAACAGGTTATCTGGACAAATAAGTGGCAGAGGGACATTTTTTTACCATAGATACTTTTCTACATGATATGGGATTTTAGCTAAGGTTCATGGATTTAGCACAAAAAAGAGCATTTGGTCTTTGCATTTATCTGCTTTTCTAAGATTATAATTTAGGTTAACTATTCATTAAAAGTATAGCCAAGCAAAAAGATGAAATTAGCAAAGATTGGATTGGCAGAATTATTTTCTTCTTCCACATTTAAATCATAGGCATCAATTATGCAGCACTCTGCCCAGGTTTACTAAATAATAAGCAGCATTTTTTTGGTCATCATTGTTTTCCTTCTAATTTCTCATTCCCATGCTGTCAAAAGCTATAAAGAATCTTTTCTTGCCAATTTTTCCTATGACTATGAATTCCATCTATTCTATGTCCCGGAATTCCTCCTGTAAAGAAAATATTATTAAAATGTTTGCAACATTAAAACAAATTTTTTTCTATTCACAAAGCAACAGCAAGAGAAAGTGGAACAGTGCAGAAGGCAATAAATATTCTGAGTCTTTCCTGAAAATAGCTCTTTGTGCTTTCAGCCTTCAGTTGGTGCACCTATGTTAAAGTTATGTTCTAATTAATTACTGAAATTAAAAAGTGAGAATATGAGACAAGAGATCAAGTATTTGGAAAGGTGTTGTATTTATGGACCTGCCTTCATGATGTCCTCTAGGTTTCATTGTATGCATCTGTGAAGTAAGGGGTCCTGTGTACCATAAAACCTTCAAATGACCTTCAAATACCATTGTTGCAAAAACCTGATTAATAACTAGACCAAAAAGCTTCTCCAAAATTTGTGAATGTCTGTCTCTGTAAAATTCACTGAATCATCTTTTACTTTCTCAGATTTTGCTTTACAAAATTTTGACTTAACTGATGATCTATGTGGTTTGTTTGTTTGTTTGTGATGGAGTCTCACTCTGTCGCCCAGGCTGGAGTACAGTGGCGTGACCTCGGCTCACTGCAACCTCTGCCTCCTAGGTTCACGCCATTCTCCCGCCTCAGCCTCCCAAGTAGCTGGGACTACAGGTGCCCACCACCACACCCGGCTAATTTTGTTTTTGTATTTTTAGTAGAGACGGGGTTTCACCGTGTTACCCAGGATGGTCTCGATCTCTTGACCTCATGATCCGCCCACCTCCGCCTCCCAAAGTACTGGGATTACAGGCGTGAGCCACCACCCGGCCAATCTATGTCTTTTTAAAAATTATCATCAGTAAAACAGTGCATTTAAACTCTGTACAACATGAGTTTTACCTGCAAGTGTCCACTTAAATGCAAATTTTCTTCTGCCTCTGCCATCCCTGAGTCAGCAAAACCAATCCTTCCTCTTCTTCCTCCTCAGCCTACTCATTATGAAGGCTGAAGGATAAAGACCTTTATGATGATCCACTTCTATTTAATGAATACTACATGTATTTTCTCTTCCTTATTTATTTTTTCATAACATTTTCTTTTCTCTGGCCTACTTTATTGTGAGAATACAGTAGAATTTTTATATATCATACAAACTATATGCTAATTAACTATGTATGTCATTGATAAGGCTTATGATTAACTGTAAGCTATTAGTAATTTAATCTTTGGGGAATCAAATGTTATACATGGATTTTTGACTGTGCTGGGGTCAGTGTTCCCAACCCCTACACTGTTCAAAGGTAAAATGTATTTTAAAAGATTTTGTAAATACGGTTGTTGGAAAAGTTTTCCACTATTTGTAATTTCTTTAAAAAGAACACATGTAAAAAATGATCTGCAGCTTATTTTTATTTTATTTTATAACTTGTTCATTTTGAAATAGAGACTATCAAACATTTTCAGAAATAACAGAACACGTTTTTATATACCTTCATTCACCTTCCCCAATTGTTTTAACATCCTGCATAAGCATAGAATTCTTAGCCAATAAATAAAATAATATTGTATCAAGTTAAAGTAATTGATTAGTAACAGATATTATTAACTATTAACTAATCAACACATTTCAGCCATACTGTACTAGTTGTTTGCTAGTCTACTTTTCTTACTTTTACTAACATTTTCATGCAAGATTTCACATTGCATTCAATTGTTATGTGTTCTTAATCTGCTCCCATGGGGAACAATTTTTTGTCATGTGAGAAAATGTTCAGTTTCTCTTTATCTTTCACGATGACACTTGAGAAGTACTGGTCAGCAATTTTCTCCCCCGTCTTAAAACTGGCTTATAGTCATTGAGAGTAAAAAGATTGAAAAAAATAAGAAACATTATGAAAATCTGTCACATTAAGATTAAGAATCTTCTTCAGGTAAAATGTGCATTATCTTGTTCTTATGCTATGGGTTACCCGTGAACTCCTCTTTTATTCTCCCATTTATGTTATGTGAGTAAAGCACATTTGACAGATAGAGACTTTTCCCTTAGTTTTTTGTTTTGTTTTTTACTTTTAAAAATATCTACTTGTTCTCATGCTCTTTTTCTAAACAAAAGAAAAAGTAATGAAAGTTGTAGCAAAAGATGGAGAATTGTATATCCCTAAAGAATTGTATATATCTACATTATTTCATTTTGTTATTGCAAACATAATATTTTGATAGTTTAGTTGTTAATATATATAAACATGAAATTTGATTGTCGGGTTGCTTCATTTAATATTTGTTAACTTTGAAATATAGGGTTTGGGTTTCATGAACACTAAAGACACTTTCCTTTCTAACTCTACTAAGCCTTTGTCTACTTAGAAATAATTCCTATGATGTTAGAGTTAATCCTCGATCCCAAAATGGAAAGTCATCAATATACTATCCAAATATATAACCAACAAATTTAATGATAACATTGATTATCCTATTCCTTCACTTTAGCATTTTAATATTTTTCTTCTGAACAATAAAAATAGTCAATAAATTGGACACTTTAGAAAATAGAAATGGTGTCAACCAAAATAAAATCAGAATAGGTAAGATAGATAAGTGTTTTGATAAATAGGAAATTAGAAAGAACTTTACACAGTCTCCATATAACTGAGAATTTATTTTGGGCTCAGAAACCTGTGACTGGCATAGGCACTTTATGAAACAATATTACATCTGCAATTCATTAAAATAACTTGTGTTTGTGGCTGGGTACAGTGGCTCATGCCTGTAATCTCAATACTTTGGGAGGTCGAGGCAGATGGATCACAAGGTCAGGAGATTGAGACCATCCTGGCCAACATGGTGAAACCCTGTCTCTACTGAAAATACAAAAATAAGCCAAACGTGGTAGCACACGCCTGTAGTCCCAGCTACTCAGGAGGCTGAGGAAGGAGAATCACTTGAACCTGGGAGACAGAGGCTGCAGTGAGCCGAGATCACACCACTGCACTCCAGGCTGGGCAACAGAGCAAGACTCCATCTCAAAATAAATAAATAAATAAATATCTTTTGTTTGAATCTAGAAGCAGCATAGGGCAAATGGTGTTTAGATCTCGTAATGCTGTTTAATCTTAGTATAAAAGACAAGTTACAATAAATTATAGGCAAAATAATATTAATATTATAATAGAGATTATTCAATTCTACACTGCAAACCATTCCTTTTTTTTTAAGTGTCTTAATTTTTTTCTTAAATACTTCTGTTCAAAGTTTTAAGCAACTATGTTAATTAAAATTCTACTTCAATGATTGTACTTTTCCACATTTTCCCAAAACTATCCTTTTGTCTGGAACATATGAAGCAAGTTTTATATAAATCACATTTATTTGTTTATATTTTATATGCAAGAAGCTGTATCAGTTTAAAGAATGATGGGTTAGTTTTGACTGTTTATATGCCTATGAACACATTGCCACAATAAAGATACAAAATTTTGCTATCACCCACAAAGGTTCTCTTTGTCCCCCATGCAGTTTATATTCTTCCCTGTCCCCAAGGTCAAGGAGTCACCAAAATGTTATTTCATTATAAAGTGTGTTTGCTACGGTCTGCATGTTTCTGTATTTCTAAAATGTATATGTTGAAACCCATTCCCCATTGTGAGGTTATTTGGAGGTAGAGCCTCTGGGAGGTAATTAGGTCATTGGAGTGAAGTGCTCACAAATGAGATTAGTGCCTTTAAAAAAGAGCTCCCAGAGAGCTGCTGTGACAGTTAATATTAAGTGTCAACTTGCTTGGATTGAAGGATGCAAAGTATTCTTTCTGGATATATCTGGGTGTTTCTGGGTGTTGCCAGAAGAGATTAACTTTTGAGTCAGTGGACTGTGAGAGGAAGACTCTTTAGGAAGACCTATTCACAATGTGTAAGGCATCATAAAATTGGCTACCAGCACAGCTAGAAAAAACAGGCAGAAGCAGGTGGAAAGAGCTATTGACTTGCTGAGTATTCCAGCCTTCATTTTTCTCCCTTTCTCCCATGCTGGGTACTTCCTGCCCTTGAACATCAGACTCCATGTTCTCCAGCTTTTGGACCCTTGGACTTACACCCATGGTATGCCAGGGGCTCTTGGGCCTTTGGCCACAGACTGAAGGCTGCACTGTGAGCTTCCCTGCATTTGAGGTTTTGGGACTCAGACTGGCTTGCTTGCTACTCGGCTTGAAGATGGCTTATCGTGGGACCTCACTTTGTGAGTCAATTCTCCTAATAAACTCCCCTTCTATGTACATCTATCCTATTAGTTCTGTCCTTCTAGAGGCTCATGACTAATACAGCGGCTTTGCCCTTTCCTCTAGGTAATGACACAGTGAAAAGGCACCATTAAGGAACCAGAAAGCAGGCCTTCATCAGACCTACAGTCTGTCGGCACCTTGATTTTGGACTTCCCAGCCTCCAAAACTATGAGAAATAAATTTATGTTGTTTATAATCTACCTAGTTTATGATATTTTGTTACAGAGCCAAAGCAGGCTAAGACTGCAGTTTCTAGAATTTTATAAAAATGGAATATTATAGTATATATTCCTTTGTGTCTGATTTTTCTAACTTAGCATAATAATTTTTAAAATCTTTCATGCTTTTGTATGTGTCATTGGTGTATTACTTGTATTACTGAGTACACTTCTATTCACCCGTTGGTTGGATTTGATTCAAATTCCCGTCTACTGTAAATCAAGTTCTGATGAATAACCGGCTCCAAATCTACGTGGGAATATATGATCTCCTCTGTCTTGGTGGAATACTTAGGCATGGAATGTCAAAGTTAGAGTGTATATTTATATTTGAATCTTTAATGAACTGCTGCATACTTTTCCAGAGTGGTGTAATTCCATTTTACAATCTCGCCTCAGCTGTGTAGGAATTACGGTTGTTCTTCATTGTTGTTAACACTTGATATTGTCATGTTTTTGTTGTTCTTTTTGGCACTTTTGAAGGGCATAAAAATGGCATCCTATTGTTTTCTCTTAAATTTTAATAATTAATGATGTTTTCACATAGGCTTAGTTATCCATTAGTCTTATTTTATAAAATACTATTTTGTGAATTTTTTGGGGTAGTAGAGTATTATATATAAGATTTTTAAACATATTCTGAATACAATAACTTATTCAGATGTAAGTGGTGCTACATGTTTGCTAATTCTGTGGTTTGCCTTATTTTCTTAACTATGTATTTTTTAGAGTTTTAATTAGAAAAAGCATATTTTTTAAATTTTTATTTTATTGTTTATTTTTTGTTTTCATGAAATTGTCTGATAATGAAAACTGTGAAAAAAAATATTTGTTTTTTAAGCTATCCAGTGAGTGGTATTTTACGATGGCAGCTTCTACTAAAGTAATTTAATATATTTTAAAGTTATTTGTGTATATCTTGTTTTTTTAATTGATCAAAATAATCAGTGCTTCTTTAGTACTGTTTGTTTTGTTAATCATAGAGTTTACTATTAGGGTCAATGAATGTTAGCAGGAAAAGAAATTAGGATTATTATTTTATGTTTAAATTAAAATTAATATGTTTAATATGTTTAAATGCCTAACATTCAAGAAATAGATACCAATCAACTTAAAATTTAACAAGGCACATTAATTTCCCTTGGCTGGGGAAAGGCTCATTTAATGTGCTAGGGGACAATCATAATGAGTCATAAGTTATCTTCAGTAATTAAGATCATAGGTAACAACAAAGATAATAACCTTATAATATTTAATAGAAAGTATGCAAGCATTGGCTTTTTATTCTCTATCATGTCATTCATTAACAGGAACCACTTACTTATTTTTTCTTAGTGGTATATCCTAGATGTTTGCATTTTGTATTGCATATTCAAGTAAATGATATTATTTATAGTGTAGACTTTTGTTTATGATTGCCCCATTTGAGAACACACATTTTTAGTAAAATATGAAACAAATTTGTTTAAACCACTTGAAGCCTGGGAATTTCTTCAGCTCTGGAATCAGAAAACCAAATGTAACATTCTAGAGAGACTTTAGTGTATTTATTTGTAAGAGTTATATAGCCAATTGATATGGTTTAGCTCTGTGTCCCCACCCAAATCTTATCTCAAATTGTAATCCCCATGATCCCCACATGTGAAGGGAGGGACTAGGTGAGAAGTGGTTGGATCATGGGGGCAGATTCCCCCATGTTGTTCTTATGATAGTGAGTTCTTATAAGATTTGATGGTTATTTAAGGCAGTTTTCCCTGCTCTTGCTTGCTGTCTTTCGTCTGCCACCATGTAAGATGTGCCTCTTTAGCCTTCGGCCATGATTGTAAGTTTCCTGAGGTCTCCTCAGCCATGCGGAACTATAAGATAATTAAACCTTCTTTGTTTATAATCTTTATAGTAGTGTGAGAATGGACTAATACACCAATTAAACGATATTACAAACAATAGTCCAAGTTATATAATATTGTGTTGTTTGTGACAAAACAGTTTTTGGGGATCGATATTTCATGTTCTTTATAAAATGGTTTTATAAGTTATCATTCTTTTTCTATGCCTGGAAATAGTTAATAGCACTGCGATTATCATATTTTAAAAGATTTAATAGAATTTCCATGTGAGACAACCTTGCTGAAAGTAATATTTGTGGGAGATTTTTCATTGTGTTCTCTATTTAATGTATTATGTATAGTTGGCTTAAATTATTTCTCAAGTTAGCTTAGTGTTTTGAATTTTTAAAATTTGTAAAAACATAAAATTCTCTTACTTGAGCTTTACAAATGTATTTACAAAGAGGTGTGTAAAATTCATTCCTATTTTGTGCAATTTTGTGTTCTTTGTTCTCGATTAATTATCTAGTATATGTCATTATGTTTGATTTTTCAAATAACTAGTTTTTTACAAGTATTTTCTAGTTATGCTCTTTTTTATTCCCTGAATTCACTAGTGGGCACTGGTATAAGTCCCAAAGTCCAAACACCTGAGACCCAGGAGCTCCTATGTCTTTGTGTAGGAGAAGGTGGATTTCCCAGCTCAAGAAGAGTGAGAGAACTTGCCTTTCCTTCACCTTTTTGTTCTCTTAGAGGCCCCAAAAGTCTAGATGATGACCACCCATATTGGTGACAACAGATCTCCTTTACTCGTCCTACTGATACACATGCTAATCTCTTCTGGAAACACCCTGATGGACACACCTAAAAATAATGCTTTACCAGGCATCTGAGCATCCCTTAACCCACTCAGATTGATGCATAAAATTAACTATTGCAGGTATGCTCAAGAATCAAAAGATTAAACAAAATAAGGAATAAACATCTAATGAAAGATTGCCAATAAAAAAGAATGAACTACTCATGCATATGGCAACATGAATGAATCTCAAAATTATTACACTTAATGAAATAGTCAGAAAAATAGAGTACTTTCTGTTTCAAAAAATATAAAGTAATGTAAGTGGAAGCCAATTTATTGTGACATCAGTGGTTCCTAGGTCAAGAATTGGAGAGAGGGAGGGATGCACTACAGAGGACATCAGGAATTTTGGGAGGTGTTGAAAATTTTCTGTATCTTGACTGGATAACTAGCTACAACATGTGAAGCTCAACTCTCTACTGCATACCTAATTTAATGTGACTTTTGAAATTATAATGAGCCATTACTATTAGGAAGGATCCTCGTTTCTGTTGAATAGGTATTGCACGTGCTTTACATGCCACACATGCAAGAGTCCGAGTAAGCTGTTCTCATTGCCCTGAAATGGAGGCATACTGCTCCTTTCTTCCTATAATTTTGCTAAACAGGTGACACTTTTATGTATACACATTCACTTCAGAAATATTCCTAGCATTCTGGTATAATAGATTTCAACTTAATTTTTTCAGATCCTATTGGAATCAGCTCTAGATGATGAGATAATATGAGTGATAATTGTAATCTTTCTAGTTTTACTACTTCCAAGAGTTAACACGAACATATTAATTTTACAGTTACAGAAAAATAATATATAATGGCTGATCACAGTTAGGAATGTGAACTACTTTTGGATCCTTTCAATGTGAGCGGCCGAGGAGGTTTCTTTTTAGGCACAGATTACTCTTAATGTGTCATTGATGAGACTCTGGTTTCTGAGTCTAAGGTGGTGGCATCATAATAAGGTCTCTGGTTATTTCATGATGTAGTATACATAATGTTCATATTGATTTGGTAGCTCAGTGAGTATGAGTTTTCAGGTGGATTGATTAGTGATCTCAGTTACAGAGAACTTGAGAAAGTTGAGTCACATATAATAAAGCAGGGTTCTAGAGGGAAAATCCCAGGATAGCCATAGCAATATTTGGTGTTAGATGAAGGTGAATGTATCATGTGTGTTTCTGCCTTATTCCACCATCTCAGACTCAAATACCTACTGGTACCTACAGGGATCAAGCAGTAAAAATAAATATATGAATGAACTAGCTGTAACATAATAGAGAGCTGTATGGCCTGTGGTGAACCAGAGAAATGATACTTTTTAAATGACATTCAAATTTATTGTTTCTATCAAGACTGTGTAGATAGAATTTAATCCACGGTATGTCAATTTACAAGCCCCTGTTACACTGCCATAAAAAGGAGTCAAACAATGTAATTCTGTCACACATGTACAATTCATTGACTACTCAGTGCCTTCTCCTACATGCCCATAAGTACTTATAGTAAAGAACTGTCTCTCTTTGAGCTCATTGTGTCCTCATTATAAAAGTTAGCATAATTATTTATTATTATCAGTTTTAATTTTCATCAATCAACTTTATCTATATAGTTATTTACTTATTACAAAATAACTGATCTGATAGGAGATCAAAGGAAGAAAAATTGAGAGTAGATTTTATGCCTAGCAGTCATTTCCTCAACTCCTATTTTATAACCAATTGCAATACATGTAGCTCTGAGCTCTCTGTTCCATTGAAACTGCTCTTTCTAAAAGAATGTATCACTTTTGAATGGAAACATAATGTCTCTATGAATACACTGATCTTCTAGACTTCTCTGATGCAAGTGAAAATAATGATCACTTTCACTTTTGAATTCCCAACTTCTTGTCATTTGGATTTTGGTTCAGCCTCCAACATCTAAGCATTACGTATCCCAGGTTCCCTACTGAGACACTTCTGGTTCTCCATATTTAAAATTTGGAGGTTTGATTTCTTCTGAGATCCCAACTACTATTAATATCCACACTCATGACTCTTAGACACTTGCATCTTAATATGTCAAAAATGTAATGGCTTCACTTCTGCACATCTGTTTACATTTATATCACCTGTCTCTATGCAAAGTGGTAAAACCCCATATAATTTAACTGAAGTCAAAAGTAACAGGGTAAACTATGATCTCACCTGCTTGAACTGATTTCACATTTTAATTTCATGTATATTTTTGTTGGTTAGCTATTCATATAAGTATATATTTCACATCTTATCTTGAAAAACTACATCTATAGAACTATATTTGATATCTCTGATTTTAAAAATAGTCAATATTTTTTATTATCCCATATGCATTTTAAAATCTCACATATTTGTTTATTACTAGCCTTAATGCAATACTTTCAAAATATTCAGGGCTTTGCATATCCAATATATTTTTAAAACCTTGTTTGTTTTTTTCATTTTATAGATTATATTACATCTTTTAACGAGAATAGTTATAATAATTTAAAACCTACTGATGAACTACATCACCTTTAATTCTCTAAACTTTTAAGCTAAAGTGTAAGAGTTTAATATCAGTTAAATTCTTTTTCCTGACTTTGGAATAACTAACTTTCATAGGTATGGAAAAAGCAAAGAAAACTAGGTTAATAAAAATACTACAGGACTGTTTCTATCTTAAACCACTTGTGATATTCATCGTCCTTTTGTCCTAAGAAATGGAGTAACCGCTCAAACTTCAAAGTACATGTGTCAATAAAGAAGACATTTCCAAGTAAGATAGAAACTGCTCCTTACCTACGTTTGATCTCACCTACTCACACACAGGTCTTAGAAGCCAAATGTGAATGTTAAAAATCACCCATCACAGATTTATGCATGAAAATAAATTTGAAATCAGACAGCCTTGCCCACTGCTTATATGTGGATGTCTGACTTTGATATACAATAAACTCCTTACAATATTTCCATACATTTTCTATTGTAAACCAATTCTATACAGCAGAAAAATAACTTTTAAAGCTCCACAGCTTATGAGGCATTTCTAAAATAGAAAATGAAGATCTAGAAATGTTTCAAAACACTACACTGAAAACAATGAACCCTAGGTATCAAATTTACATAGTTGATGTCAAGGTGTATAGACCTTGGAAGATATTTTTGCATGAGGTCAGAGATAAGATCAATCAGGGAATGTAGAGTTAAGCAAAAATGTGCTTCTGAGAAAAGAACCATAAAGCTAGTTAAGAAGCCTGAGTAGAAAATTATTCCTACAGTTATTTGAACCATGTTATGACACCAGTGCAACTAAAGACTACAAGGAGATCTGCTCTTTTGGGCACCTCGAAGTTTTTAATGCTTGGAAATATGATGCAACAACAGCCCACTTCAGATGTGTTCTGGGTGTGATGTGAATGAGCAGAGACGGCTGGTGGAAAACATTAGAAAACCAATGGTCATGTCGCTGTGCTGTGGAAATGTCTTGTGGGTAAACATGGAAAGAATGAGTAATCACCAGTCCTTGTAAATTATGGACTTATTAGCAAGAACACAAAATAATATGCTAATATCTGCCAAAAATAAGTGGATACAAAGTCTATGAAATAAAGGGAATAGACTAAGTATGTTTTTCAGAGATATTCATTGCTTTCTTGGTAACAGCAAAATCTTGGAAACCAAAATCTTCATTAAAAGAAGAGTGGTTAGGTTAATGATGAGTTAATAAAGAGACTATTCTCCATTGCCAGTTTAAAAAAAATGTACCTTGGTATGAAACACTCTTTAATATATGTTTTAAGTAAAAAATTAATTTATAAAGCTTTACAAAAATCACATTTATATATATGTGGGTGTGTGTATGTGTGTGTATCTATCTCTCTATCTCTCTATCTATCTATCTATCTATCTGGCATATGTATTGATATAGATTGGATAGTTGTCCCTTACCAAATCGCATGTTGAATTGTAATCCCCAGTCCTGGAGGTGGGGTCTGGTGGGAGGTGTTTGGGTAACAGGGTGTATTAGTTTGTTTTCTTTTTTTTTTTTTTTTGAGACGGAGTCTTGCTTTGTTGCCCAGGCTGGAGTGCAGTGGTGTGATCTTGGCTCACTGCAAGCTCTGCCTCCCAGGTTCACGCCATTCTCCTGCCTCAGCCTCCCGAGCAGCTGGGACTACAGGCACCCGCCACCACGCCAGGCTAATTTTTTTGTATTTTTAGTAGAGACGGGGTTTCATTGTGGTCTCGATCTCCTGATCTTGCGATCCGCTCACCTCGGCCTCCCAAAGTGCTGGGATTACAGGTGTGAGCCACCGCACCACCGGGTCTAGTTTGTTTTCATACTGCTGATAAAGACAAACCCCAGACTGGGCAATTTACCAAAGAAAGAGGTTTAATGGACTTACGGTTCCACATGGCTGGGGAGGCCTCACAATCAAGACAGAAGGCAAGGAGGAGAAAGTCACATCTTACATGGATGTCAGGCAAAGAGAAAGCTTGTGCGGGGGAATTCCTCTTTTTAAAAACGTCAGCTCTCATGAGGTTTATTCACTACCATGAAAACAGCACAGGAAAGACCCGCCCCCATGATTCAATTATCTCCCCCTGGATCCTTCCCACAACACTTGGGAATTATGGGAGCTACAAGATGAGATTTGTGGAGAGAAACAGAGCCAAACTATATCATTCCACCCCTAGCCCCTTCTAAATCTCAGGTCTTCACACATCAAAACCAATTGTGCCTTCCCAACAGTTCCCCAAAGTCTTAACTCATTTCAGCATTAACTCAAAAGTCCGCAATCCAATGTCTCATCTGAGACAAGGCAAGTTTCTTACACCTATGAGCCTGTAAAATCAAAAGCAAGTTAGTTACTTCCTAGATACAATGGAGGCATAAGCATTGGGTAAATACAGCCATTCCAAATGGGAGAAATTGGCCAAAACAAAGGGGCTACAGGCTCCATAAAAATCCAGTACCCAGAGGTACAGTAAAATCTTAAAGCTCCAAAATGATCTCCTTTGACTCCATGTCTGGCATCCAGGTTACACTGATGCAAGAGGTGGGTTCCATGGTCTTGAGCATCTTTGCCCCTGTGGCTTTGCGAAATACAGCCTTCCCCCACACTGGCTGCTTTCACAAGCTAGGGTTGAGTATCTGCAGCTTTTCCAGGTGCACGGTGCAAGCTGTCAGTGGATCTACCATTCTGGTGTCTGAAGGACCATGGCCCTCTTCTCACAGCTCCACTAGGCAGTGCCCCAGTGGGGACTCTGTGTGGGGGCTCCAATCTCACAATTCCCTTCTGCACTGCCCTAGCAGAGGTTCCTCATGAGTGCCTGACTCCTGCAGCAAACTTCTGCCTGGACATCCAGGCATTTCCATACATGCTCTGAAGCCTAGGTGGAGATTCCCAAACCTCCATTCTGCCCACAAAACCACTTTTACCTCCTAGGCCCTGGGCCTATGGTTCTGGGTAGGGGCTGCTGTGAAGTCCTCTGACAGTCCCTGGAGATATTTTCCCCATTGTCTTGGGAATCAAAATTCAGCTCCTCCTTACTTATGCAAATTTCTGCAGTTGACTTGAATTTCTCATCAGAAAATGGGATTTTTTTTCTACCATATTGTCAGGCTGCAAATTTTCCAAACTTTTACACTCTGCTTCCCTTATAAAACTCAATGCCTTTAACAGCACCCAAGTCACCATTTGAATGCTTTGCTGCTTAGAAATTTCTTTCACCAAATACCCTCCATCATCTCTCTCAAGTTCAAAGTTCCACAGATCTCTAGGGCAGGGGCAAAATGCCATCAGTCTTTTTGCTAAAACATAACAAGAGTCATCTTTGCTCCAGTTTCCAACAAGTCCCTTATCTCCATCTGAGACCACCTCAGCCTGGATTTCATTGTTCATATCATTGTCAACATTTTGGCCAAAACCCTTCAACAGCAGTTTCTCAATTGTTCCAAAATTGGAACTCTAGGGAGTTCCAAACTTTCCCACATTTTCCTGTCTTCTTCTGAGCCCTCTGAACTGTTCAAACCTCTGCCTGTTATCCAATTCCAAAGTTGCTTCCACATTTTTGGGTATCTTTTCAGCAATGCTCCATTCTACTGGTACCAATTTCCTGTATTAGTTTGTTTTCACACTGCTAATAAAGACATACCTGAGACTGGGTAATTTATACAGGAAAAAAGGTTTAATGGGCTATCATTCCATACGGCTGGGGTGGTCTCAAAATCACGGCAGAAGATGAGTAGAAAGTCACATGTTACATCAATGGCAGCAGGCAAAGAGAGAGCTTGTGCAGCAGAACTCCTCTTTTTAAAACTATCAGATCTTGTGAGACTTACTCACTATCATGAGAAAGCCCAGGAAAGACCAGCTCCCACGATTCAATTATCTCTCACTGGGTCCCTCCCACAGCACATGAGAATTACTGGAGCTACAAGATGAGATTTGAGTGGCGACACAGAGCCAAACCACATCAGGGTGGATCTCTAATGCCTCAGTGCTGTCTTTGCAATAGAGTGTTCTTGTGAAATCTGGTCGTTTAACAGTGTGTGGCACCCCCTCCCATTCTCTCTCTCACTTGTCCCTGTTTTCACCATATGGCATGCCTGCACCCTCTTCACCTTTTGCCATGATTATAAGCTTCCCGAGGCCTCTCTAGAGGAGGAGCAGATGCCAGCACTACGTTTTCTGTAAAGTCTGCGGAACTGTCAACCAGTTAAAACTTTTTTTCTTTTTAAATTGCCCAATCTTGGATATTTCTTTATAGCAATGCAGGAATGTCCTAATACAGAAAATCTTATCAAGGATTGGGGCATTGCAATAATGGTATTTGACAATGTGGAAGCAACTTTGGAACGGGTTGAAAGAGTTTTGAGAACTCAGAAGAAGATAGGAAGATGAGGGAAAGTTAAATGGTTGTAACCAAAATGTTAATTATGATATGGACAGTAAAGTCCCAGTTGATGAGGTCTCAAATGGAAATGAGGAACTTATTGGGAACTGGAGCCAACATCACACGTGTTATGCCTTAGTAAAAAATGTGGCTGTATTGTGTCAATGCCCTAGAGATCTGTGACAGTTTGAACTTGGGAGTGCTGGCCTAGGGTATCTGGTGAAATAAAGTTCTTTTATTATTTTTAATTTTAATTTTAATTTTTTTTTGAGATGGAGTCTCACTCTGTTGCCCAGGCTAGAGGGCAATGGTGCAATCTCGGCTCACTGCAAGCTCCGCCTCCCGAGTTCATGCCATTCTCCTGCCTCAGCCTCCCAAGTAAGTGGGACTACAGGGCCTGCCACCATGCCCAGCTAATTTTTTTGTATTTTTAGTAGAGACAGGGTTTCACTGTGTTAGCCAGGATGGTCTCAATCTCCTGATCTCGTGATCCGCCCACCTCAGCCTCCCAAAGTACTGGGATTACAGGCATGAGCCACTGCGCCTGGCCAGAAATTTCTAAGCAGCAAAGTGTTAGTGTTCAAGATGTGTCATGGCTGCTTCTAACAACCTAAATCCAGATGCCGGAGCAAAGAAATAACTTAAAATTAAAATTTATACTCAACATATAAAGAGTATAAAAGTTTGGAATATTCGTAGCCTAGCCATGTAGCAGAAGAAAAAAAAAAATCTTTTTTGCAAGAAGAATTCAAGCAGGCTATGGAGCAACCACTTGCTAGAGACTATTTGTATAACTAAAAGAGAGCCAAGTGCTAATATACAAGACAATGGGGAAAAGGCCTCAAAAGCATTTCAGAGACCTTCACAGCAGCCCTTCCTATCACAGGCTCAGAAGCCAAGGTGGAAAGAATGGGTTTGTAAGTCAGGTTCAGGGCTATGCTGCCCTGGCAACCTTGCAACACTGCTCCCCCATCTCAGCTGCTGTAGCTCCAACTCCAGCCAGGGTTCAAAGGGGCCCAGGTACAAGTCAAGCTGCCACTTTGGAGAATGCAAGCCTTATGCCTTGGTGGCTTCAACGTGGCATTAAGCCTGCAGGTGCACAGAGTGCAAGAGTGGTGGATTCTGGGCAGCCTTCACCTAGATTTCAGAGGATATATAAGAAGACCTGGGTGTCCATGCACAAGCTAGCTACAGGGACAGAGTCCCCAGAGAGAAGCTCTACTAGGGTAGTGACAAGGGGAAATGTGGGGTTGAAGCTCCCACACAGGATCCCTATTAGGGCACTTCCTAGTGGAGCTGTGAGAAGGGGGCCACTGTCATCTGGATCTGAAAAATATAGAGCCACTGGCAGCCAGCATCTTGCATCTGGAAAAGTTGAAGGCACTCAACCACTTGTGAGAGAAGCTACAGGGGCTATACCCTGTGGAGCCACAAGGATAGAACTGCCCAAGGCCTTGGGAGCCCACCCCTAGCACCAGAGTGCCCTGAATATGAACATGGAGTCAAAAGAGATTATTTTGGAGCTTTAAGATTTAATGACTGCCCTTCTGGGTTTTGAACTTGCATGGAACCCATAGCCTCTTTCTTTTGGGTGATTTCTCCATTTTATAATGGGAATGTTTACCCAATACCTGTACCCCCATTGTATCTTGGAAATAAATAATGTATTTTTGATGTTACAGGCTCATAGATAGAAGGGACTTGCCTTGTCTCAGATGAGACTTCGGAATTTTGAGTTAATGCTGGAATGAGTAGAGATCTTGAGAGACTGTTGCGAAGGCATGATGGTGTTTTGCAGTTTGACAAGGGCATGAGATCTGGGAGATATCATTGGCCAGAATGATAGAGTCTGAATGTTTGTCTTTGCCCAAATCTCATGTTGAATTATAATCCCCATTACTGCAGGTGGGACCTGGTGGGAGGTGTTTGGGTCATGGGAGCAGATCCTTCATTGCTTGATGGTGTCTTTGTGATAGTGAGTTCTCAAAGATCTGGTCATTTAAAAGTGTGTGGCTCCTGCCCCGCCCTTCTCTCTCTCACTTGTTTTTGCTTTTACCAAGTGATGTGCCTCTTCCCCCTTTGCCTTCTGCCATGATTATAAGCAAACTGAGGCCTCCCTATAACCTGAACAGACGTCAGCACCATGCTTTCTATAAAGGCTGCAGAACCATGAACCCATTAAACCTCTTTCCTTATAAATTGCCAAGTCTCAGGTATTTATTTACAGCAATGCAAGAATGGCCTAATACCTGCACATAACATTTTGTAAGGTTGAAAATGAATATTGTATGCACACGCACAGACACACAAACACCCATATATACACACACATACTTGCCTGTATGTGTGCATGTATGATTTTTAAAGATAAACCACCCAATTAAAAATGGACAAAAACTTGAAAGATACTTCTCAAAAGAACCTATACGTATTGCCAACAAGTATATAAAAAGATAATAACATAATTATCACAGTAAATGTGTATTAAAGCCACAGTAGAGAAAGATTACTTGCCCAATGACATGGCAAAAATGCAAAAGTAAGACAATCCTAAATGTTAGCAAGAATGTGGAGGAAATCTGTACTATAATATAGACTATGGGAGTGTAAAATTGTTTAGTAACTTTGCACAATAGTTAGCTATTAATTAGAAAGTTAAAATTATACCTGCTGCCGTAATTTGGATGTTTGTTCCCTTCAAACCTCATGTTGAAATTTTATCCCCAATGTTGGAGATAGGACCTAATGAGAAGTCTTAGAAGTGGATCCCTGAAGGACAGATTAATGTCCTCCCTTGAGGGGAGGGTGTCGGGTGAGTTCTTGTTCTATTAGTTCCTATAAGAACTGGTTGTTAAAAATAAACTGGCATGTAACCTCTCACTCTTTGTAGCTTCTTTCATCTTGGGATCTCTGCATACACCAGGTTCTTTTCACTTTCTGTATAAGTGAAAGCAGTGTGAGGCCCTCACCAAAAGCATATGCTAGCAACATATGTTTCTTGTACACCTTATATAACTATGCACCAAATAAACCCATTTTCTTTATAAATTACACAGCTTCATGTATTTGTATAGCAGCACAAATGAACTAATACACCTACTTTATTATTTATGATAATTTCACTCTTATTTACATAAAAATATGAAAAACTATGCCATACATACACAAAAATTTATATAAGAATGTTCAAATAATTCTTACTAAAAATTCAAATATCTGAAATATTCCAGATGTACATCAAATACCACATAACGATGGTGATATTTCCATAAAAGGGAATGTTATTCAGCAACAAAACAAAACAAATTTCTGGTACATGCACAAATGTGAGTAGATCTCAAAAAATATGTAATGAAAGGCATTGTACACAAAAATGTATGTATTCTATTTATATGAAGTTTTATTATAGGTGAAACTTTTTTTTTTGGAAAAAAGAGAAAACTAGTTTACTGGTCTGGGGGAGGACATTCAAGGGATCGAGTGAAAAAGAAAAATAATTTTCTGGGGTGATGGAAATGGTGAATTGTCTAATAGTTGTTTTGGATTATAATGGGTGTTCATTTGTCAAAATGATCAAGTCATACACTTAAGATAATATGTTTTATGTAGTAAATCATACCTCAGATACATTTGTGTCTATATCTGTGTTTGTGTATATGTTAAAAAGGGGTAAACAGACATGGCAGGTTCCTCTCAAAATATTCAAATGACTACCAAATAGCAAATGGTATACCTACCATTTTCACATTTCATTCTATGTTCAGATTAAACAATTACTAAAAAAAAGTTGAATCCTAATTAGTACTATGTATGCTGAATTATTGGAGAGAAGTGTATTCATGTCTCTAACTGCCTTACAAAAATATAAGATGGATAGATAGAGTGATACATGATAAGTTGTATGTTATTGGTAGAATCTAAGTGGTGAGTGTACTGGTGTTCACTGTACAAATATTGCAACTTTTCTGCTTGCTTCAGTAACTTCATAATAATACACTTGGGTAATCAGAGCTTACCATGAGCAGAACTTGGAGGGTTTGTTTCAGTGGTCCTCCCCGGCCCTTTGTCTTCCCTCCCTCCCTCAGAGTAGACCGCCACTTCTTAGGCCTACGGTGCCTAAAGACTATCTTTCAGTGTTTCCTCCCTCTTCAGAAGGAAGCAGGACCCACCCACCACCTTTCCTTCATAGAGTGTCACTCTGAGCTCCCCTTGCTTCCCCAGCCAATAGTTGCCACTGACTTGTACTTAATGAGAAAATGGTGTTCCTGGAGGATTTCTTTTAGTGCTCGCCAACAGAAAAGTAGAAATGAAAAGCATTGTAAATGTAAGCATTTATATTGTGCATCAAGCATCATCAAGGTGAACACGTGGGGAAAAGAGTAGCACATAATATGCTCTTTTGAGGCCAGGAGGAAATAACTGATGGTGTTTGTTAGGTATATCTTTTGTCTGTTCATTTTTTTCCTTTGTGTAACCTATTAAATATTTCTCTTTTGTCCTCCTTTTTCAGACATATGATGTTTGCACATAGAGAGTACTTGAACAAGGAAAGCTTGCTGGGTTTGGAACAGATTCTAGATTGTGAATGTGAGACCAAAACCTACTCTGAAATACCAACATACTGAATTTCACTTCATGTTTTTCTCTCTAAACATATAATCTAAAGATATGTTGTTTATGTTAGTTTTTGATAATTCAGGTGTAGATAAAAGGGCTGGTCACAGTCTAGAATATAATACATTTAATCTCTATAAAATGCTGTGTTTTTTTTTCTTTGCAAATATATGATACATTTGAAAACAGGAAATTTGAATTATAATTAATCACCAGACTCCGTTTATATTCAACTCCTACCATCTAAAAACAACTAAACTTTCCTTCAGGACCAATATATCTCTACTTCTCAGAAGTATGGGGTTATCTCATTCTTAGCTGTGATAAAATGGCTTTGTTTAATTGCCTCGAGCTTTATAAATTTCAAGAAAAATATTGTCATTCATGCTGTGCTCTTTCTCTTAAAATAATTCAAAATTGACAGAGTATTTTGGCAATCTATTCATTATATTGGACAATAAAGCACATGGGTTAACATTTTAAAATGTCAAACGCTTTTGCTTAATTGAACTGGTTTTTTCTAAGATGTTAGTATGCAATATCAATAAATGAAAAATACAATTTTGACCTTCCAAATGGTCAAATTAACATTTAAAATAAATCTATACATATTGAGACATGACTTATTTTTCTTTGAAATATTATATTACTTTTCAATTCATGGAGGATTAAATAATGATATTGAAAGGACAAAATGAAAATAAAAGAGATAATTCAATTTGTACCTCGATATTGAAATTGCAATTCCTGGTTTACTTTTCAACATACAATCATATTCCTCGGACGCAAAAAAAAAGTTTGACAATATGTCATTAAAAAGTCACTGATTTGTTGATACTACGCAGTCCCATGACTTTTTATTTTGTCAGTGAGTAGCACGTTAGAAATATGAATTATTTTTGTCCTCACGACAACTCTATGAGTGAGTTCTTCCAGAAATTGAGGCACACAACGTTTAAGAAACTCTTTCAAGATTCACAGCTAGAGAGTGGTAGAATGGAGTCTTACTCTTAAGTATTGTCAATATAGAATTGTCACATATGTATACATTTTAAAATAATTTTAAGGCTTTCTGCTCTTTAACAGCTCTACACATACACACACAGCATATATAGAATTGAATAAGTATATACGTAAGTGTATGGCACACATATTTTGTGATTCCACAGCTCTTTGGTTGATGCAATTACTCAATACAAGCAATTTTCCCTTTTGCTACCCTTGATCCTCCTAACTCCTAAGGAGAATTAATGCATCTTATGAGTATTTATTTATTGTCTGCAACTACATATGGAATATATGTTAACTACAAAACTGCTCACTGTGTTGCCTTCTGAGCCTCTCTCTCCTCTCTCCTCCCCTCCCCGAAAAATCTCAGATTCTGAAGTGAGAAATTAAGAATACTGCGGTTGTCATTCTGTTTGGGTCAATATATTGGGCCTTCTTTGAAGCCAAAACTACTTCTGGAGTTCTCAACCATGTAAAGATATAGATTTATTTTTTAACACAGTTATAACATAATTTTATATTATTTGTAGCATACACTTGCTAACTGAAGCATTGTTTATTTTCTTTATTAATGTGAGGTATCTATTATACTGAATCATATTATTATGTTTCTGTCACCATTGCTTATAATAATTCCTGACCATCGTAGTCTTTAGATACTTAAAATACTTGAAAAACAGGATTAGATATAATTTATCAATAAGGTTTTAAAAATCTCACTTTATAAAATATACATTGATAACCCACAGTAATTAATAATCTAAGAAGAGCGCAATCTCAGTGCCCAGACCTCTGAAATTAAGCTCACTGATCTCAGTCAATATAACATACTTTGTAACTTGACATCAATAAACTAATGCTGAATAGAAATAAGGTATACATGTATACGTGTATACACATATACATGTTTCTTTTGCTTTTTTTAAATTTATTTTATTTTATTTTATTTATTTATTTTTTGAGACGGAGTCTTGCTCTGACGCCAGGCTGGGGTGCAGTGGCACGATCTTGGCTCACTGCAACCTCCGCCTCGTGGGTTCAAGCGATTCCACTGCCTCAGCCTCTCGAGTAGCTGGGACTACAAGGCACCCGCCACCACTCCTGTCCAATTTTTTTGTATTTTAGTAGAGACAGGGTTTCGCCATGTTGGCCAGGATGATCTTGATCTGCTGACCTCGTGATCCCCTCGCCTTGGCGTCCCAAAGTGCTGTAATTACAGGCGTGAGCCACCTGCGCGAACCAAACTAAAGTCAACATAGTTTTAGTTTCCAAAATGACAAACTTATTTCTGATCCTGGGGACTTGAATATAGCTTTTGGGATGGGGACAGTATAGAGGAATGTTAGAATGTTCACTGTTGGATCACAGAGGCCAAATGAATATATCCCCACTGTCCAAACGTTCCCTATAGTCCCAAGAGACAGGCTTCCTCCTTTTTCCTTTGAGATGCAGTCTTCATGTGCATAAAGTGCATTACTTCCCTACCCTTTTTTCAATGCCACATTTGTCTCAAGCAGATGTGCACATATTGGATCCAAGCATAGGAGTTTCCAAAGAGCTACAAATAGCTTAGATGTCTCAGTGATCTAAACAGCACACAATCACGGCCTTGAGTAATACAGATTTATTGCAATTAAGGAAAGAAAAAAAAAACCCAGAAAACAACTTATATGTATCAGCCTGATGGTGAGCTTCCTGGTATCAGAAACATTGTATCTTTTTTTTTTCTCTGCCTCCTGTGTTGAAGTGATTCTCCTGCCTCAGCCTCCCGAGTTGCTGGGAGTACAGGTGCCCATCACTTTGCCCGGCTAATTTTTGTATTTTTAGTAGAGACAGGGTTTTGCCATATTGGCCAGGCTGGTCTCCAACTCCTGACCTTAAATGATCTGCCCGACTCGGGCTCCCAAAGTGCCGGGATTACAGGCGTGAGCCACCGTGTCCAGCCAGAAATATTGAATCTTATTATTCTATAATATTTCAAGTGTTCAGTTCTGCCCTTTTTGGGGAAAAAATGCATTGACTCTTACGGGACCAGCATTTGCTTTTTTCCTTTGGAATCGAATTATCCTTTACTACATGCAGACATGTTAGGACAATTAATTAAATTTCTGCACTTCTTAGGCCAAGTGAGGTAGAAAAGGATTTATTTTTAAGTTTTTGTTGTGATAGAATGTACATAATATGAAAAGTATCATCTTAACCATTTTAAGTTGCAGTTCAGTAACATTAGTACGTTCACATTATTTTGTGTAATCCTCACCACTGTGTGTCTTCAGAACTTTTTTTGTCATCCCAAGCTGGAACTCTGTAGCCAGAGTTCTGTAAACAATAACTTCCCATTTCTGCTTCCTGCCACCCCTGGTAACCAATATTCTACTTTCTTTCTCTATGAATTAAACTATTCTAGGTACTACACATAAGTGGAAACCTACAATATTTGAGCTTTCGTGTCTGGTAATTTCACTTAACATAATGTCTTCATGGTTCATCCATGTTGTAGCATGTATGTGAATTTCACTCCTTTTTAAGGCTGAATGATTTTCAATTGTACGCATATATCACATTTTGTTTATTCATCCGTTCAAGGACATTTGGGTTCTTTCTGCCTTTTGCCTATTGCGATGAATGGTGCTGTGAACATAGATGTACAATGTTCTATGAACATTATTGTAGAACTATCTATACTGTTTTAAAATAAATATTTCTGTTTTGAATTCACTTGGATATATTCCTCAAATTCATTTTATAGTAAATTATCTTTTTTTTACTTCTATCATCTTCACTCTAAGCCACAAAATGAAATAAATAGATAATGACAACTAATTAATCTTGAGTTATCTTTTGCTTTTCTTCGCTGTTATTGTTATATGTGTGTGTTTTAGAAATGCTAATCATATAACAGTATTTCTGAAGCATGTGTTACTATTAGGTACAAAACACTTTCAAAAAAAAAGATTGCCATTATATATTTTTTCTCTTTAAAATGTATGGAAAATTCAGATGGACAGATTTAATTACTAAAGCTCTTATTTTTTTTTTTTTTTTTTTTTTTTTTTTTTTTCACACACACACCCCACATTTATTTCACATGTAACCTTTCAGTAATGTAGATCAGTGGTCAGAAACTGTGAAATTTTTCTAATTAAATTGGGCCAGTTCATTTTGCAGTTGTAGATTGAAGCAGGTTAAAAAATACTCTCACCTAGCAATCCATAGTTTTCTATTTCTATTGCTGTTTGTTGGGTCCTCTTACCAAGAAAATTGTTAGTGAGAGTGCCATGCCAAAGAAGAGACCCCTTCTTTCACAATTAGGAATTTTTAAGTCAATTTCACAATTAGACTTTTTTTTTTTTTTTTTTTTTTTTAATTTTTTTTTTATTGATAATTCTTGGGTGTTTCTCACAGAGGGGGATTTGGCAGGGTCATGGGACAATAGTGGAGGGAAGGTCAGCAGATAAACAAGTGAACAAAGGTCTCTGGTTTTCCTAGGCAGAGGACCCTGCGGCCTTCCGCAGTGTTTGTGTCCCTGATTACTTGAGATTAGGGATTGGTGATGACTCTTAACGAGCATGCTGCCTTCAAGCATCTGTTTAACAAAGCACATCTTGCACCGCCCTTAATCCATTTAACCCTGAGTGGACACAGCACATGTTTCAGAGAGCACAGGGTTGGGGGTAAGGTCACAGATCAACAGGATCCCAAGGCAGAGGAATTTTTCTTAGTGCAGAACAAAATGAAAAGTCTCCCATGTCTACTTCTTTCTACACAGACACGGCAACCATCCGATTTCTCAATCTTTTCCCCACCTTTCCCGCCTTTCTATTCCACAAAGCCGCCATTGTCATCCTGGCCCGTTCTCAATGAGCTGTTGGGCACACCTCCCAGACGGGGTGGTGGCCGGGCAGAGGGGCTCCTCACTTCCCAGTAGGGGCGGCCGGGCAGAGGCGCCCCTCACCTCCTGGGCGGGGCGGCTGGCCGGGCGGGGGGCTGACCCCCCCACCTCCCTCCCGGACGGGGCGGCTGGCCGGTCGGGGGGCTGACCCCCCACCTCCCTCCCGGACGGGGCGGCTGGCCAGGCAGAGGGGCTCCTCACTTCCCAGTAGGGGCGGCCGGGCAGAGGCGCCCCTCACCTCCCGGACGGGGCGGCTGGCCGGGCAGGGGGGCTGACCCCCCCCACCTCCCTCCCGGACGGGGCGGCTGGCCGGGCGGGGGGCTGACCCCCCCACCTCCCTCGCGGACGGGGCGGCTGGCCGGGCAGAGGGGCTCCTCACTTCCCAGTAGGGGCAGCCGGGCAGAGGCGCCCCTCACCTCCCGGACGGGGCGGCTGGCCGGGCAGGGGGGCTGACCCCCCCCACCTCCCTCCCGGACGGGACAGCTGGCCGGGCGGGGGGCTGACCCCCCCACCTCCCTCGCGGACGGGGCAGCTGGCCGGGCAGAGGGGCTCCTCACTTCCCAGTAGGGGCGGCCAGGCAGAGGCGCCCCTCACCTCCCGGACGGGGCGGCTGGCCGGGCAGGGGGGCTGACCCCCCCCACCTCCCTCCCGGACGGGGCGGCTGGCCGGGCAGGGGGGCTGACCCCCCCCACCTCCCTCCCGGACGGGGCGGCTGGCCGGGCGGGGGGCTGACCCCCCCACCTCCCTCGCGGACGGGGCGGCTGGCCGGGCAGAGGGGCTCCTCACTTCCCAGTAGGGGTGGCCGGGCAGAGGCGCCCCTCACCTCCCGGACGGGGCGGCTGGCCGGGCAGGGGGGCTGACCCCCCCCACCTCCCTCCCGGACGGGGCGGCTGGCCGGGCGGGGGGCCGACACCCCCACCTCCCTCCCGGACGGGGCGGCTGGCCGGGCAGAGGGGCTCCTCACTTCCCAGTAGGGGCGGCCGGGCAGAGGCGCCCCTCACCTCCCAGACGGGGCGGCTGGCCGGGCGGAGGGCTGACCCCCCCACCTCCCTCCCGGACGGGGCGGCTGGCCGGGCAGAGGGGCTCCTCACTTCCCAGTAGGGGCGGCCGGGCAGAGGCGCCCCTCACCTCCCGGACCGGGCGGCTGGCCGGGCGGGGGGCTGACCCCCCCACCTCCCTCCCGGATGGCACGGCTGGCCGGGCGGGGGGCTGACCCCCCACCTCCCTCCCGGATGGGGCGGCTGGCCGGGCGGGGGGCTGACCCCCCCTCACCTCCCTCCCGGACGGGGTGGCTGCCGGGCGGAGATGCTCCTCACTTCCCAGATGGGGTGGCTGCTGGGCGGAGAGGCTCCTCACTTCTCAGATGGGGCAGCTGCCGGGCGGAGGGGCTCCTCACTTCTCAGACGGGGTGGTTGCCAGGCAGAGGGTCTCCTCACTTCTCAGACGGGGCGGCCGGGCAGAGACGCTCCTCACCTCCCAGACGGGGTCTCGGCCGGGCAGAGGCGCTCCTCACATCCCAGATGGGGCGGTGGGGCAGAGGCGCTCCCCACATCTCAGACGATGGGCGGCCGGGCAGAGACGCTCCTCACTTCCTAGATGTGATGGCGGCTGGGAAGAGGCGCTCCTCACTTCCTAGATGGGATGGCGGCCGGGCGGAGACGCTCCTCACTTCCCAGACTGGGCGGCCGGGCAGAGGGGCTCCTCACATCCCAGACGATGGGCGGCCAGGCAGAGACACTCCTCACTTCCCAGACGGGGTGGCGGCCGGGCAGAGGCTGCAATCTCGGCACTTTGGGAGGCCAAGGCAGGCGGCTGGGAGGTGGAGGTTGTAGTGAGCCGAGATCACGCCACTGCACTCCAGCCTGGGCACCATTGAGCACTGAGTGAACGAGACTCCGTCTGCAATCCCGGCACCTCGGGAGGCCGAGGTTGGCGGATCACTCGCGGTTAGGGGCTGGAGACCGGCCCGGCCAACACAGCGAAACCCCGTCTCCACCAAAACCAGTCAGGCGTGGCGGCGCGTGCCTGCAATCGCAGGCACTCGGCAGGCTGAGGCAGGAGAATCAGGCAGGGAGGTTGCAGTGAGCCGAGATGGCAGCAGTACAGTCCAGCTTCGGCTCCGCATGAGAGGGAGACCGTGGGGAGAGGGAGACGGAGACGGAGACGGAGACGGAGGGAGAGGGAGAGGGAGAGGGAGAGGGAGACTGAGAGGGAGAGGGAGAGGGAGAGGGAGAGGGAGAGGGAGAGGGGGATTTTTTTTCAAGACATTTGTGCTAACGTCTTTTATTTACACAAATAACATACTTTATAAAAGAGAATGGACTCTAATTGTGGGTGTAAATTAACATTATAAAAAAATTTAAAAACTAGTTAGGCATAAAATTTCAACTTTGCATTTGTCTATGTAATGTGTCTACTGTATATAAAACATTGTATTGGCCATTGTGCAGGAAATTATAATGACCCTAAAAATAAATTGTAGCCAAGCTCTTGAGAGGAACAGTTAGGAAAACAAAGTGTTCCTGTCAAGTTATTTTTATCAAAATTATTTCATTTTCTTTGCCCTATCAATGATTAAACATAGTCAAATAACATTTTAAGAAATCTTATGAAGAATACATAAGACATTTATGTCTAGAAATGGTGGATCAAGTAACAGAGGCCAACTCTCCTATTGAAGGTAATAACGGATCTTTTAAAATCTGCTCCTAGGTATCAAGGGGCTCATAAAATTGCCAAGAATTTCTGGGCCAACTTTTCAGGGAAGAAGGTAAAACACATTCTGAGATCTGAAGCTAGCATCTGGAACTACTTTTCCTCAGTATGTATTTGTCTCTCATGAAAGATGTAGCAGAAAGCCTGAGATGAGTTTTGAGAGCCCAGTGGGGTTATGCAGACAAAATTTGGAGACCAGACTTGGCCTGCAAGGCAGCCCTGCTAACCTACCCTCACCAAATTTTATTTTGTCACCCTGAAAGAGTCAGGTGTAATATTCTGGCACTTAACCAAAAACTAGCTTGAATCATTTTAATCCTCAAATTAAAATATCGTGACTTTAGTTTGTTAATGGCCTAAGATGTCTGAAACAAGTAATGAAGTTATAGCATAAGGAAAAACATCATCTTAGTATACACTATTTTAAAATATTGTTTAAATGCACTTTTTACACTCAATCAAAAATGACCAGACCTACGAGGAGGAAAGACAGTGTTAAATGACATGTAGCAAGATCAACCAACACTAGAAACAGACCCATGGGAGTTTCAAATACTGCAGCTACTAAGGAGATAAAATATGAGGTGAAGATTTTGTTAGATCAATAAAACATACATAAAACAACATAACAATATTTTAAAAGAAGTATTCTTTTATTTTACTAATAAAATAAAAATGCTTATCTTGAAATAAAAATATTTTATACAAAGAAAACATGAGAGAAAGATTGAAAGCAAACCAGCATCAATGGAAATACTAAAGGCAGAAATAATATAAGCAAAGTTAAGTCATAGACATGGGGATGGCGGGGACCAGAGAGAAATAATGAGCCATGGAGATGCTAACTATGCCAGTAAACTAAAAATTATGACTATTTAATATATTCTTTGGAAGTTAAATCAAATATTTACTATTGAAATACAGAATGACAATCACATTAAGTTGAATAGTATGGACTACATATAAATATTTTGAAGGTTCTTGCATTGACCGAGAAAAAAGTGAATACACTAACATTAGACTTGACAAACTTGAAATGCATGTTTAATAAATATAATCATAAAAATAAGATAATTATAAAAAGGTATGCAACTTCCAAGCCAACTGAAGGAATGGGATATAAAAAGACTTATAAGTTATAAAACTCATAACAGTAATTATAGTCAGCGTGAACTATATAAGCATGAGAAATGTTCATTCTATTAATTTGTACATAAGCTTATGCATTACATGATTCAAATACATACAAATTTGGAGCTGTATCTGCTTTTCTACAGCAAGCTAATCAAATAACCAGACAATACAAAAAGGGATTTTTTTTAATCCATTTTAAACTGTTTAAGGAATAACGGAGTTCCTCTCTTGATTAGTTAAGTATTACATAATCAAAATTAGGTGATTATATTCTATACTTTTTAACATATTGTATTAGTCTGTTCTCATGCTCCTGATAAAGTCATACCCAAGACAGGGTAATTTATAAAGAAAAGAAGGTTTAATAGACTCACAGTTTCACATGGCTGGGGAGGCCTCACAATCATGGTGGAAGGCAGAAGAGTAAAGGCATATCTTACGTGGTGGCAGGCAAGAGAACCGTGGAGCACAAGGGGGAAAAGGGTTATAAGATCCTGTGAGAACTCATTGACTATCACAAGAACAGCATGAGGGTAACTGCCCCCATGATTAAATTACCTCCCACCATGTCCCTCCCTTGACATGTGGCGATTATGGGATCTACAATTTAAGATGAGATTTTGGTGGGGACACAGACAAAGCATATCATTCCACACCTGGCCCCTCCAAAATCTCATGTCCTCACATTTGAAAACACAACCATGCCCTTCCAACAGTCCCTCAAAGTCTTAACTCATTCCAGCATTAACTCAAAAGTCCAAGTCCAAAGTCTTATCTGAGACAAAGCAAGTTTCTTCTGCCTATGTGCCTGCAAACCAAAAGTAAGTTAGTTACTTCCTAGATACAATGAGGGTACAGGCATTGTGTAAATACATCCATTCCAAATGTGAGAAATTGGTCAAACCAAAGTGGCTACAGGCCCCATGAACATCTGAAATCCAATAGGGCTCTCATTAAAACTTAAAGTTCCAAAATGATCTCCTTTGACTCCATGTCTCACATCCAAGTCACTCTGATGCAAGAGCTGGACTGCCACGACCTTGGGCAGCCTTGCCCCTGTGACTTTGTAGGGTACAACTGCCTCTCTCCTGGCTTCTTTCACAGGCTAGCATTGAGTGTTTGCGGTTTTTCCAGGCACACTGCAGGCTGTCAGTGGATCTAACATTTTTGGGTCTGGTGGACAGTGGCCCTCTTCTCACAGCTTCACGAGGCACAGGCCCAGTAGGGACTCAGTGTGGGGGTCCCAACCCCACATTTTCCTTCCTCACTGCCCTAGCAGAGGTTTTCCATGAGGGCCTCTCCCCTGCAGCATACCTCTGCCTAGACATCTAAGCATTTTCATACATACTCTGAAATCTAGGCAGAGATTCCTAAACCTCAACTCTTGATTTCTGTGAACCTGCAGGCTCAACACCACATGGAAGCTTCCAAGGCTTGGGGCTTGCACCCTCTGGAGCCACAGCATGAGTTGTACCTTGCCCCCTTTTAGTCATGGCTGAAACAGCTTGGACACAGGGCACCATGTCCCTAGGCTGCACACAGCAGAGGGGCCCTGAGCCCAGCCCACAATACCATTTTTTCCTCCTCAGCCTCTGTGCCTGTGATAGGAGGGACTGCCATGAAGTTCTCTGACATACCCTGGAGATATTTTCCCCATTGTCTTAGTGATTAACATTTGGCTCCTCGTTCCTTTTGCAGATTTCTGTGGCTGGCTTGAATTTCACCCCAGAAAATGGGTTTTTCTTTTCTATCACATCATCTGGCTGGAAATTTTCCAAACTTTTATGCTCTGCTTCCTCTTGAGCACTTTGCCACTTAGAAATTTCTTCTGCCAGATATCCAAATCATCTCTCTCTAATTCAAAGTTCCAAAGATCTCTAGGGCAGGGGCAAAATGCCACTAGTCTCTTTGCTAAAGCATAGTAAGAGTCACCTTTTCTCCAGTTCCCAACAAGTTTCTCATCTCCATCTAAGAGCACCTCATCCTGGACTTCATTGTCCATATCACTATCACAATTTTGGGCAAAGCCATTCAACAAGTCTCTAGGAAGTTCCAAACTTTCCCACATTTTCCTATCTTCTGAGCTTTCCAAACTGTTCCAACCTCTGCCTGTTACCCAGTTCCAAAGTCGCTTCCACACTTTCAGATATCCTTATAGAAGCACCCTACTCCTGATACCAACGTACTGTATTAGTCTGTTCTCACACTGCTAATAAAGACGTATATGAGACTGGGTAATTTATATAGAAAAATAGGATTAATGGACTCATAGCTTCACCTGGCTGAGGAGGCCTCGCAATCATGGTGGAAAGCTGAGGAGAAGCAAAGACACCTCTTACATGGCAGCAGGTAAGAGAAGTGCCTAGCAAGAGGGGGAAAAGCACCTTAAAAAAACATCAGCTCTCATGAGAACTCACTCACTATCGCAAGAACAGCATGAGGGTGACTACCGTATGATTAAATTACCTCTCACTGGGTCGCTCCCTCGACACATGGGGATTATGGGAACTACAATGCAACATGAAATTTGAGTGGGGACACAGCCAAATCATATCACATATGTATGTATATAGTTTACAAAATAGCTAATATATTAGGCACATGTTCATATAAAGTTTGTTTACATGTCATATAGTATACATTTACATGTCATATAGTAAATATAATTTGTATTATCAATATGTAATATTGATTTTACCTATAAAAATCAATTCATTATATTCTCTACTTTTTGAGAAAATATGGCTCAACAAAACAACTCCAGGACCCACAGAAATCCAATACAAATTTCTATTTCTTTTACTTTTCCCAGGAAAAGTAATAGAAAATACTAAGGAATTGATATGATGTTTGATATAATAAAGGTTGCATTTGCTCTATCTCTACAAAATAAATGGTGGCTAATTTATTAATATCATAAACTCTTTCATAAATTATTATGAAGAGGAGATGAAACTGAAGCACTAGAGTAATAAAGCAATTGCTAAAAAGCATTTTCAGAGTGTACTAAAGAATTCTCTATTTCAGAATACTTTGTCTCAAACTGGGCCAGTGCCATTTTAATCTACATTTTAGTGAACAGCATCTTTGATCTTTAAACTGTGCACATGGTTGTATTATTTTGCTTAGTTTTCACACCAAAATTAAATACTCCATATATCCAAATATACTTAACAAGAAGTTGAAGGAGACAATAGTACACCATCACCATGTCTCACTGCATGCCTTCTACCTCTGCTCCTTGACTAAATAAATATTCTAATTTTCAATGGTGTGATTTACCAGAACAAATTATGAGTTATGGCAGTCAGTATGAAACCCTTGCAGATTGGAAAATCAGAATCTAGCCTCCACTTCCATCTCTTCATGTATATTGCTCTGGCCAAGGCCAATAGTGACCTGTGCGCAGCTAAGTTCAAGGGTATTTTTGAGTTTCTAAATTGTCTGTGAATAAATAATATTGACAACTCTTTCCAATTCAAAAAATTATCTTTCCTGTTTCTTTGGCAATCTCAATATCATTTTTTCTATCTGAATAGCAAGAATGTTTCTCTCTGGATTAATTCTTTCTCTAACACTTAGGACAGTGTCCAACAAACTATGCTATTAAAAAAGTAGTTTCTGAATGCATGAATGAATATAAGTAACTCTTGTACATCTACATTTGGATAAGTAGTAAATATCCTCAATGTCAGCCCCAAAGTATCCTCTGATTATCCTTTGTAAACCATAACTTCTAGGATCACACCACTTGCCACAGTGCAGTAAGCTTCTTAACAAAGGAATCAAGGAGGCATCTTTTATTTTTGTCTGTTCTATATGTCCCCACACTTTCTTAGCATACAAATAAAGTGTAATGCATACTATTTTTTTGGAATTTTTATATTATCATATTTCCATAAATATTGTTACTTAAGGTGTTTTTAACATTTACATGTTTTTGTGTGTGTTTTAACTACATATGTACTTAACTGTATTATTTAGATAAAACATTTTGGCTTCTGTTTTACGTTAGAAGGAGAAAACCTGTCTGGACAATTCCATAATGAGTAAAAGCTACATCAGAACAGATCTACAGAGAGTGGTGCTTTTAATATGTTCTTTGTTTTATAACTAATTGTCTATATCTCAAATAAATACCTGCTTCATTATTTATACGGACATACCAACTACATTTTTTTTGAATAGAGAATGCTGTATTAACTTAGTGATTCCGTCAACAATAGTTATCACGTATCAGATACTCTTGCTAAACGCTAGGAACACCACAGTAAACAAAAGAGATAACGGTCTTTGCCATCAAAGTCCTTGTATTCTAGATATGTTGAGTGATCAAGATATATAATGGATGCTACTATCCAATTTTCATCAAAAACTCCCCTTGGATAATCTTCGCTGTCATGTTAGCCTTAAAAAATACTTGAAATGATGTGGTGCGATAGTGACAGCTCAGATATGGTTCCAATTCACAAATTTATTGTGTGAAATGGACCTATGATTGCTGCCAAAGGGCTTTATATAGAACAACAGAAGTTGCTCTGTGAAGGACTAAATTATCTCTGCATGATGTGGTCCCAAATAATTAATATTCCCTCTAACCAAAGATTGTTGATCATGTCCCATGACAAAAATTAGATGTTTTTGGCAAGGAATGCTGCCTGCAGTGGGCTTTATATTTTACTTTGTTGATGGCTAACTTCCACATTAAAGGCTAAATACCTAGCCAATATTTTCAAGTGAAAAATTCCCTAATAGACTTCATGTAGTGAAGCCCAAAATTTTCATAACTTTGCTGGCGTTAAAATGCGTTTGCTCCACAAAAACAACCCCATCTAGCTAAACTCTGACTGCTGATGATATGTGGTTAGCTTAACTACATTAGGCAGGTTCTCTTCTGACCATAGCCCCAAATGTCCAGTTTGAGACCAAGTGCTCAGCCTTATTATCTTTTTTTTTTGAGACGAGTCTCGCTCTGTCTCCCAGGCTGCAGTGCAGTGGCGCTATCTCAGCTCACTGCAAGCTCCCCCTTCCGGGTTCACGCCATTCTCCTGCCTCAGCCTCCTGAGTAGCTGGGACTACAGGCGCCCGCCACCACGCCCAGCTATTTTTTTTTGTATTTTTAGTAGAGACGGGGTTTCACCGTGTTAGCCAGAATGGTCTTGATCTCCTCACATCGTGATCCACCCACCTCGACCTCCCAAAGTGCTGGGATTACAGGCGTTAGCCACCGCGCCGGGCCAGCCCTACTATCTTTACACAGTCATGGAATTTTAAGATTCTGAACAACAGATCAGATAATCTTTGAATTAACATTGTTAGTATATTAGCACTAGTATAAAATTTCATAAACCTTTTCACAAAAAAGCCAACACTGTCACAAACCATAAGAAAATGTATTATTCCCTTCACACAAAGTCTGGAAGTTGGTGACATTTTTGGTTTCAATGGCAAGGGACAATCACATCTCTGTCATTTTTTGACCTGTTACTCAAAATGCATAGGTTATAAACCCTCACTTTAGTGCCTGTGGTAGTAAGGAAGGGCAGGGCATAAAGACGGGCACCTCGGAAGTGCTGCCGTGCAAAGTATTTTTTCAGTAGGTGTAATATTATGATAAAGAAATATTTGTTTCATCCACAGTTCCTGGCTCATAACTCCCGTAGCCTCTATTCTTTCCTAAGTGACTAAAACAATAAGCAGATCTTTTGCTAAACTATTTGGCCTTTTGTTTTTCGGTCCTGAAGCAGCTTTGGGACAGCTTCAGAACAATAAAGGTGAAAGATGATCTTTGCTTATAACCTTAGGATGCGTTAGGCCCCGGAAGCAATCTCGGAAAACAGAACCTCTCTCTGACCTCCTCCTGCCCCTCTTTTACCTGTTCCTTTTTCTCCTCAAGGCAGGCCATAGAAGCTAAAAATACACTCTAATCTCCTGAATTTGTGTCTTAGAGCTGCTCATAAAGAAATTCTTCTAGTGTGATGGTTAATATTAGTTGTCAACTTGATTGTATTGAAGGATGCCTAGATAGCTGGTAAAGTATTGTGTCTGTGAGGGTGTTGCCAGAGGAGATTAACATTTGAGTCAGTGGACTGTGAGGGGAAGACCCACTCTTAATGTGGGTGGGCACCATCCAATCGGCTACCAGCACGGCTAGAACAAAGCCGGCAGAAGAAGGTGAGATAAGTTGGCTTGCTGAGTCTTCTGGCTTTCATCTTTCTCCCATGCTGTATGCGTTTTTCGTTTGTTTGTTTGTTTGTTTGTTTGTCTGTCACCCAGGCTGGAGTGCAGTGGTGCAATCGTGGCTCACTGCAACCTCTGCCTCCCAGGTTGAAGTGATCCTCCTGCTTCAGCCTCCCTAGTAGCTGGGACAATAGACATGCACCACCACACTGGGCTAATTTTTGTATTTTAGTAGTAATGGGGTTTCACCATGTTGGCCAGGTTGGTCTCAAACTCCTGATCTCAGGTGATCCGCTCGCCTCAGCCTCCCAAAGCGCTGGGATTGCAGGCATGAGCCACCACACCAGGCCCTGTGCTGTATGCTTCTGTCCATTCTTCCTGCCCTTGGATGTCAGACGGTTATTTGACCTTGGAATCTTGGACTCACACCAGCAGTTTTCTGCGGGCTCTCAGGCCTGCAGCCACAGACTGAAGGCTGCACTGTCCGCCTCCCTACTTCTGAGGTTTTGGGACTTGTGCTGGCTTCTTAGCTCCTTAGCTTGCAGATAGCCTACCGTGGGACTTCACCTTGTGATTGTGTGAGTAAATTCGCCTTTATAAACTCCCTTTCATATATAGGATATATATAGGATATATAGATACATATCTCACTAATAGGATACATACATATATCCTATTAGTTCTGTCCCTCTGGAGAACCCTAATACACTGAACTACTTTGTCCTATTTTGGGTCATAAGATCCCCATTTCAGGAGGGGTCCTGCTCCAAGCCCTATAGAAAAGAATGCTGCACAGAGGGGCCAAGAAGAATCTGGGCAGACAGGCCTTGCTGGGTTTTCCACTCAGTATTAGATCACACTCATTTCATCCAATCACATTTTGACATGGTGGTCCATAACTTAGTCATACCTCTCCATGGAAGTCTTCCTAAAAGGCCCAAGAGAATGGGGGATGGAGAGCTTCTGGACAGCTGAACTTGTGAAGGCTTACAGAAAGGTGAACAAGAGCTCACATATGTGCCAGGAGGGTGGCACGCCCCCAATCCATGAGACAGAAGCTCCTGTGCTCAGGACCCTTCCAGACCTCTCCCTATATATTTATCCATGTGACTGTTTATTTGTATCCTTTAAAATGTTATTGATAATAAAAGGGTAAATGTAAACAGATGTTTTTCTGGGTTTTCTGAGACACTTTAACAAATTAATAGAGCCTAAAGAGAAGGCCATGGGAACTCCAACTTGAAGCAATAGATCAGAAGTTCCAAGGGTCTGGACTTGTGACTGGTGAAGGAACTGGGGGCAGTCTTGCGGGACTGAGCTCTCAAGCTGTGGAGATCTGACATAATCTTCAGGTAGGCAGCATCAGAATTGAACTGGATCAGGAGCTGCCAGCTGATAGCTGCTGTAAAATTGCTTGCTTGCTTGTGAACAGAGAGAAATCTCCACACATTTAGTCACAGAAACTTCTTGTGTTGATAACTGTGGCATGAGAACAGAAGAAAAACATATGTTTTGTCTACATAGTAGGTGATAAAGGTCTAATATGGTTTGGATTTGTGTCCCAGCCCAAATTTCATGTTGAATTGTAATTCCCAGTGTTGGATGTTGGGCCTGGTGGGAGGTGATTGGATCATGGAGTCGATTTCTCATGAATAGTTTAGCCCCATTCGCCCTTGGTGCTGTTCTCATAATAGTGAGTGAGTTCTTATGAGATCTGGTTGTTTAAAACTGTATGGCACCTCCCCCAGCCCTTGCTGCTCCAGCCCTGTGAAGTGCCAGCTCTGCCTTTGCTTTCTGCCATGATTGTAAGTTTCCTGAGGCCTCCCCAGAAGCTAAGCAGATGCCAGCATCATGCTTCCTGGACAGCCTGCAGAGCCAATTAAACTTCTTTTATTTATAAGTAACCCAGTCTCACTTATTTCTTTATAGCAGTGGGAGATACTAGATTCTTCAGCTGATTTCTTCTCATGACTAGCACTGAATTATAAGAACATCCTTAGACTAAGCACCGATGAAATGGAGTCGGATTATTACTGCTTTGACAAAGTATGATTCATCACCTGGGACCCTGGTGGGGTTTTACCTCTCTGAGATCGAGGTCTCTCCGGCATTTCCCGAATGCAATGGAATTGCATTGCCTGGTACTTAAAGCAGGGCGAGTGAGGACACTAGACATTCAACAGTAATTTCCACAAGCATAAGATACAAGGCCCACTACAACTTTGTGCATTTCTCTTCCAGATTTAGGAAAAGTAAAGGTGATCATATTAAAAACAAACAGACAACAACAACAACAACAAAATAAACTAAACTCCAAGACTGCTTAGATAGCCTGGAACTGCATACAACTTTTGTACTATAAAGTAGTTTGGAATTAATATAATTGTTAAAGATAAAACAAAGATAGCTGGGGACTTATTCTAATTCTTAATATTAGTGAATGAGACCATTTTTCAATTCTGTGAAGTTTTGTTTTATAGACTGTACAGTATTAAAGGAGTAAACTACTGTCTTCTGTCAATATGCATTTGTACCTCAGAAAGGATACAATAACTTATGGCAAGTTATTCCTTGTAAAGATACAGTCGTATGTTTATTTTTATCTACTTATGGTTTTTGTGCCTTATTTTCTCTACCTGTCCAACAGTGGTCAATTGGAAATATTACTGAGCTTTATTTTTTCTTCTATTTTTTGTTACATAAACTGTAAATTTCCATAATCTCAAAAAATGTACAAAAGGTGAGAATATTTACAATCTCTATGACCTGCGTATTGATGAGACTGATACCACCCTCAAATATTTTCGCCTAATAGATAATAAACATGAGTCTACTTTGAAACAGTGCTAAGTGAGAAATTAGTTATTCTTTGAAATCTTGATATAATTGCTTGTTTCAAAATAAGTATGCATTCTTTTTATTTGAATCTGTATCACTTCCCTGTGACTTAGCCTACTTCATCTAATATTTTAAGGCACACAATTATATGGGGAGATTGTTAGAAATGCAATATCTTAGCCTGTACTACCAGACATTATAATTCAGTAGAACAAGACTGGGGCTGTGGAATTTTGCCTCTTTCGTGTACTCTAGATTGTTCTGATGCATGCCCTCTATGAATCTTTGAATCCTTCTAGGGAAAACAACTGCAGTACATTTGATGTTTTTGTAACATTTATTTTAAGTTCAGGGGTACATATGCAAACTCTTCAGGTTTGTTACATAGGTACATGTGTGTCATGAGGGTTTGTTGTACACATTATTTCATCACCCAGGTATTAAGCCTGGTATCCATTAGTTATTTTTCTTGATCCTCTGCTTCCTCCCATCCTTCACCCTCTTATAGACCCCAGTGTGTGTTGTCCCCTCTGTGTCTGTGTGTTCTCATCATTTAGCTCCCACTTATAAGTGAGAACATGCAGTACTTGCTTTTCTGTTCTTGTGTTAGTTTGCTCAAGATAATGGTATGCAGCTCCATCCCTGTCCCTGCAAAGAACATGGTTCCCTTCTTTTTTATGGCTGCATAGTATTCCATGGTGTATATGTGCCACATTTTCTTTATACAGTCTATCACTGATGGGCATTTGGTTTGGTTCCATGTCTTTGTTATTGTGAATAGTACTACAATGAACATATGTGTGCATGTGTCTTTATAATATGAATAGAATAAATAATTTATATCCCCTGGGTATATACTTAGTAATGGGATTGCTGAGACAAATGGTATTTCTGTCTTTAGGTCTTTGAGGAACCACCTCACTGTCTTCCACAATGACTGAACTAATTTATAGTCCCATCAACAGTGTATGGCCAGGTGCAGTGGCTCATGCCTGTAATCCCAGCACTTTGGGAGGCCAAGGCAGGCAGATCACATGAGGTCAGGAGTTCGAGACCAGCCTGGCCAACATGGTGAAACCCCATTTTTACTAAAAATACACACACACACACACACAAACACACACACACACACACACACACATTAGCCGGGCATGGTGGCATGGGCCTGCAGTCCCAGCTGCTTGGGAGGCTGAGGCAGGATAATTGCTTGATCCCAAGAGACAGAACTTGCAGGGATCCGAGATCGTGCCACTGCACTCCAGCTTGGGTAACAGAGTGAGGTTTCATCTCGGAAAACAAAACAAAACAAAAAACAAAAAACAACAACAACAACAAAAACAAAACAGTGTATAAGCGTTCATTTTTCTCCACAACCTTGCCAGCATCTGTTATTTTTTGATATTTTAATAATAGTCATTTCAACTGGTGTGAGATGGTGTCTCATTGTGGTTTTGATTTGCATTTCTCTAATGATCAGTGATACTAAGCTTTTTTTTTCAAATGCTTGTTGGCTGCATGTAGGTACAAACCACTGCTCAAAGAAATCAGAGATGACACAAACAAGTGAAAAAACATTCCATGCTCATGCATAGAAAAAGTCAATATAATCAAAATGATCATACTGCTCAAAGCAATTTATAGATTCAATGCTATTCCCATTAAACTACCATTGATATTTTTCACAGAACTAGAAAAAATGATTTTAAAATTCATATGGAACAAAAAAAGAGTCCAAACTGCCAACACAATCCTAAGCGAAAAGAACAAAGCTGGAGGCATCACGCTATCCGACTTCAAACTATACTACAGGGTTACAGTAACCAAAATAGCATGGTGCTGGTACAAGAATAGATGCACAGACCAATGAAACAGAATAGAGAATGCAGTAATATGATGACACGCCTGCAATTATCTGATCTTCGACAAACCTGACAAAAAAAAAAAAAAAAGAAATGCAAATTCTTCATCGCCAATCAAATCTACTAGAAATAAAAACAAAACAAACAAACCAGCAAACAAAACTCTCTGTGGTTGGGGCCTCAAGCTTCAGAAGTGGTGACTTCTTTGTGAACTACTTTAGGGAATTATATTGCACACAATAAAAAAAAATCTGGATTCTGAATCAACACTAGTAGGAAAACTGTGAACCAAGAACAACCACATTAAATGGCTATTTTAGAAACAAATTTGTTTTTGTGTTTATTCACAGATAGTTTTAATTGATACCTGGAGTATCAATCAGAGTTCCTCACAAAAACAGAACCAATAGGAGGGGTGTTTGTGTATGTGTGATTTGTTTTAAGGAATTGTCTCAGATAATCATGGGAACTGGCAAGTTCAAAATCTGTACAGCAGGCAGGCAGGCTGGAAACTTGGGAAAGATTTTACAATGCAGTCATGAGGCTAATTTCTTCCTTTCTAGGAAACCTCAGCTGTTGCTTTTAAGACCTTCAAATAATTGGATGAGGCCCAACACATTAATGAGAGTAATCTCCTCTACTTAAAGTTAACTAATTGTAACTGTTAACCACATCTATGTAATACCTTTTCAACAACACACAACTTTGTTTTTGTTGTTGTTGTTGTTGTTGATTTGTTTGTTTGAGACAAAGTCTTGCTCTCGTCGCCCAGGCTGGAGCGCAATGGCATGATCTTGGCTCACTGCAACTGCCACCTCCCTGGTTCAAGTGATTCTCCTGCCTCAGCCTCCCAAGTAGCTGGGACTACAGGCGCCTGCCACCATGCCTGAGTAATTTTTGTATTATTAGTAGATACGGGGTTTCACCAAGTTGGCGGGTCTGGTCTCAAACTCCTGACCTCAGGTGATCCGCACCGCCTCGGCCTCCCAAAGTGCTGGGATTATAGGTGTGAGCGACCGCACACAGCTGTAAATTTGTTTTTTATTAAATAACTGGATACTATATGGCCTAGCCAAGTTGGCATGCAAAATAGTCATTACAACCAGCTAGCATTATCTTAACTAATAGAATCGTTTTACTGTCCTCCTTAACAAATTCCATTTTCCCACATGATAGCCAGAGTGATATGTGGCCTACACTTTCTTCCCTCAGCTTTAAAATCCTCAGTGGATTTTCTTGCATTATTTAATTATTAAAACTCCATTATTCAAACTGAATCTCAAGGTCCGGCAATATTTGGCCCTTGTCTATTTCTCCAACATCATCCCAAAGTATTCTTCTCTCTTTCTTTGCTAGTAGCTTCCATATATATACATGCGTACAAATATAACAGTTTCTAGAATGTGATAAAGTGTTTTCTGTAATAAGATCTTCTTTTATGTGGCTCACTTTACTAATAATGTTTTCCTTCTTAACTCTTTACCTAATTCCCATTCAACTCCTATTTCATCTTAAGTGTTATTGACTGAGTGTTCCCTAACTCTCCATTTAATTAGGCACTTCATTTTATTTTCATTAAGAACACTTTAATTGTGTAGTTATATATATGTTTATGTGTTTAATGTTTAATTTTACAATTACTCAGAAGGCTGAATGAGAGCAGGAAACATGTCCTTATGTGGCCTATATTCATTATCATTTTATACTATTATTAGCAGGGAGACATCACTTATTTTTCTGAGAGAACTGAGAAATAGCTTATCTAGCATTACATTATACAATCAGCTGAGGGGTTTGCTGAGGGGAAAAGGAATACAGAATGGAAGAAGGAATACAGTAGTGGAAGAATGTATTTAGAAATATCAGCTACACCAAGTAACCAGTTACAATTGTTTGTGTACATATATTAAGCAAACATTGCTTTACTTCCGCTATTATTCCCTTATCATGTAACACAATGTGTATTGATTTAAATAATAGTATTTAGGTATTGCTAGTGCATTTTCAGTTGTATGCAGGCCGGTTGTCTCATGTTAAGTGGAAGTATGACCTTGTTATTGTCCTTTTTTAGAGATTAAATATGGTTTAAGGAGATGCATATGGATGCCGGAAGGACAAGGGGTGGACTTGTGATGGTTAATTTTATGTGTCAGTGCATCTGGACCACAATGCTCAAATATTTGGACAAACATTCTGTAGGCTTCTGTAAGGGCATTTTTAAGTGAGATTAACATTTAAATCAGTAGATTTAAGTGAAGCAGATTGCACTCCATAATGTGGGTAAGCCTCATGCAATCATCTGAAAGCCTGAATAGAACAAAAAGACTGACGTCCCTTGAGCAAGAAGGAATTCTGCAAGCAGATGGACTTCAGACTTCTACTGCAACATCATTTCTACTGGGGTGGCCTGACAGTGTCTGCCCACCTTGCAGATTTTGGACTTGCCAGCCTCTATAATCACGTAAACCAATTACTTAAAATAAATCAATGTCTATGTATATCAATGTCTATGTCTATGCACATCCTACTCGTTCTGTTACTCCTGGAGAACTCTGGCTATTTAATGCAGAGTTTGCAAAACACCTGAGCCTATATATATGCTCAGATGTGTAAATGAATGCTGTTTATTGGGAAGAAGTCTCAATGGCCTGTTCAGATACTCAAAGTAGTCTGATCTGAATTATGTCTAAGAATCTTGCCTAAATTGTCTCTCTATTTAGCAACATATTAATTATATCGATAAACCTGGAAGGCAAATTTTTACGTTCTGAATTGATCTAGAAAGTACGATCCCCAGTGTATTACTTATTTAACTGAAGCAGCGGCAATGACTCGGTAGTACTTTTCCAAGACAAATGTATAGCATTTCTTCAGTGTGATTTCAAAAGAGCATGAGACCTGTATATCCTTCAGCCTCAGTCCACTCTTTAGTCTAAATTTCCTGACAGGAAATGCTTATGGAAGAACAGTTGACCTACTCATACAGTTTAATTTACTTCTGAAGTATGAAAAATAAATTTTCATGCATAGGGTATGTGAAAGCTAGGATTATGAAAAACAGTCTCTAAATCTTTTTAATTAGTGTGTGGGTGAACAGAATACACCTTACAGACAAATTACAGTATTTATCCATGAAAGTTAAGCATGCTGGTGAATCACCAATTTCTTTTAATTCCAAAAATTTAACATACAAATTCCATATGCCTTTCATTACAGGTATGAAGAAAGAGAGAAATAAGAAAAACAAATTTTACTGCTGTATAACTATTTTACATATCTAGTATTTAAAATACCTACAAAAATGTAACTGCAGAATCCAGAAAGGCTTAACCTCTATCAAGCTGAGAGCGTGAAACTGGTTCTCCTATCAAGTTCACACAACTCTTTCAGAGTACTTCCCATGACACTGTCTCAAGTGTGCTGCAGACTAAGCCTCCTCGGTTAGGTTCTTTCAGCCCGACATCATCGTGCTCCCTCTTATATTGAACCACTTCGTCCCCATCATATGCTGACCAAAATTGTAATCCGTGATCTAGTAGAAACAAGTGTGTGTGATTTCATCATTCCTTTGAGACACTTTAGATTTGTCAGAAAAAAATGCTATTACCATAGCTCACAATGAGATTTCCCTAAGTTTTGCCCTCAAATTTCATTTCCTTACAGGATTTCTAAATTGCAAGTGTGTTCTTGCTCTTTTCATACTGGAAATAGTGCACAAATGCAGGCAATAATGGGCTCTACTTGGCTATATAAAGTGTAAATTATAGAATTTTCACTTCATGTGTTAAAAATAAACCATTTGTAAGAAATTCATCTTTCGTTTTTATATACATAATTCAAATAAAAGCACAACTTTACAAGTATCTTCATTTCCCATGTTCATTTTGACAAGGTTATTATTCACCTCCCCTAGTAATTTATTTTCCTTTATCTTTCTGTCACAAAGAATCCAGAAGAAAAAAAAAAAACGACTATAGTATTACATTTCTCAGTGTTTCCTTGAATATAGTGTTTCAAATTATCAATCAAACTAAGGTTAATATTTCTTCCAAAGTCAAAATTTGTATTGAATTAAAAGAATAGAAGAGAAAGAAGCCAACTATGGAATTACAAAATGAAGCTGATAATTTATTGAACAGTTTTAGGTTTTTGCATTCATAAATAGACTTTCCTCTTGCCCAATATAAAGGCCATTTCAAACAAATTATTCTGTGAATAAATGTATTAGTCGTGGTTCAATTCAAAGTGTCTATTACGCATTTCTTCAATGAGTCATTTTTAGTTATATATTTATTTAAGTTGCCTATAGCCCCAATAAATTTGTTCTCTTACAGTTCATGAAATATATGGCAATGAGGTTGAAAGTATGTCTTTTACCTTATTTTTATTTCTAACCATTTCTCAAAGATTCAAAATATGAATCATATCTATTGGAACCAATTTTACAATTCTTCTTTAAAGGCAATCTTTATGACTCTCAATTTATTTGAATGACAAAGTGATCATTATGTAAATGATAATTATAGAAAGCATTCAAAAGGGAAGGCTTTTAAAATAATTTATATTTAATTTTCTCTAATGTAACATTAACAAAAATAAATTTTTATAGGACCTATTGGTTGCATAGAAAAAATTATAAATTAATAGATGTATCTAAAACTAATGAAAGGAAATGAATATGAATTGTTAGCTTTCAATCAAAGCAAGTGAACACGAGACAATATAGAAAAAAGCTTAATTACTTCCTGATTCAACAGTTAGAGTTCCTCTAAAATGGTAGTAATATTTTTGATAAAATCTATAATACACTTATGATACTTTTCTATTTTATAGTAAATTTTTACATTTGTCAAATTTTAATCTGACTACCTCATAAATAAAAAATTAATCAGATACTTAAATATATCTGTTTTCAGGACATATTCTATATAAATATAATCTTATCAATTTTGAATGTTAGGTTCAGGGATGAAAGTTTTTAAAAGGCTTTCTATTTCCTTTCTTACTCACTTTATCCTTTTTGGGGGAAAGTGTTAAGTTGGATAAAAGGTCTATTTTCTCATATAGAGTAATTTTCTTAAACCTATACATAGTCTTTTAACACATAGTTTTTTTACTTGTTTTGTTATTGTTATTGAAGAAGACATATTCTTGGGCTTGATGATATATTACAATTCTATACACCAAGGAAATTACTATGTTTCTCAAGACACCTAGCATTGCCCTGACCCAAGATACTTTCATGCTCTTTTTCAGTTACTGACTTCCAGATCTATCACCATAGATTCATGTGCTTGTCTTTGAATTTCATATAAATTGTATCATGCAGTATGTACTTTTCTGTATCTCATTTCTTTAACTCAATATATTTTAAAATGTTGTCTGCAGTTTGCCTATGTTTTTTCTGAGTAGTATTCCTTCCTATTAATATATAGCACAATTTGTTTATCTATTCACTTGTTGAACATTTGATGCAATTCAGGTCTGTTATGAATAAAGTTGTTATAATCATGCCTGTCTGTGCATGTCTTCTGGTGCACACAGGCATTCATCTCTTAAGTATACACTTCTCATTGGAGCATCTGGGCCATAATTATCTAACGCTCAGTTTTATAAGGCACTAAAATAGGGTTTTCCAAAATAAATGTACAAAGTTCTATTGTCACCAGAAAGGTATGAGTGTTTCTGTTGGTCTACATCTTTCATAACACCCAGATTGCCTGCAAAAAAAAAAAAAAAAAAAAAATTTAGGCATTTTGATGGGAGGGGAATACAGTAGAATAATATTTTGGTTGTAATTTCAATCTCTGATCACAGATAATGTCAAGTATATTTCACTGACAGAACATTTGTAAATTCTTTTTTAACAAATGCCCCCTAAAATATTTATTAGACTGTTTTTTTCTTATTGATTTGTATGAATGATTTACCTATTATGGATACAATGTTGATTTCATATATGGCTATTGGGAAACCTACCAGTCTGTGACTTGTCTTACATACTCACTTTATTAATGTTGTCTTTTACTTAATTCTTAAATTTTGTGTAGTTCAACATATCTTTTTTAAAATCTAGTGATTTTAACAGATTTATTTGGATACAATTTACATAAAATAAAATTAAATCACTTAAAATTTACATCTTAACTCTTGGTCAGTTAATAAAATCATGTAATCAAAATCACACTTAAGGTATATCAATTGTATCACCCTGTCGAGTTTCCTCATTCTCCATTGCAGTCAGCTCAATCCAAATATCTACAGTCCAGGCAAACACTAATCTGCTTTCTATCACTGTAGGTTTATTTTGTTTGGAAATTTATATTCACAGAGTCAAGAGGTATGTCATCTTTTGTATTTTTTTTCAATTAACATGACATTTTTGAGGTTCATCCATGTTTCTGTGTGTATTAGTCGTTTTCCCTTGCTGTGGCTGAATAGTAATCCGCTGTACAGATATACTACATTTTAATTGCCCATTCACCTGTTAATGTTTGGATTGTTTCTAGTTTTAGACTATATGAATAATGCTATTAAAATACATTAATCAAAAGTCATTTTGTGGTCAGATGCCTTCATTTATAATGAAGAGATGTCAAAAAGTGTGATGGTTTGTAACCATATTGTAAGTGTATATTAGCTTTCTAAGAAACTCCCCAACTCATTTGCAGTGTGGTTATCCCATTTTGCATTCTCAGTAACAATGCCTGAGTCATTAATACTTTCAGCTGTTTTAATTTTTATCATTCCTATACTGTGAAGTTGTAGTTCATTGAAGTTCTAACTTCTATTTCTTGAAGACTAGTGACATCGAGCAGTGTTTTACAAGCTTTTGAATATTAACATATTGTCTCTGTGAAGACAGTTTTATTAAGCATCTGACATTTTTAATTGTTTTTTTCTTTTTTAATCAAATTAAAAGCATTGTTACATTACTTTTTTATTTTTAATATTTTTGGATTTGTTATTTCCAACTGGTAACCAGCCTTTCATTTCTGGGATAAAATTCAATTAGCTATGATGCATAATTCTTTTTACATACTGCTAGACTTGATGTGTCTATATAATGATAAGAATTGTTTTTTCGGCCGGGCGCGGTGGCTCACGCCTGTAATCCCAGCACTTTGGGAGGCCGAGGCGGGTGGATCATGAGGTCAGGAGATCGAGACCATCCTGGCTAACAAGGTGAAACCCCGTCTCTACTAAAAATACAAAAAATTAGCCGGGCGCGGTGGCGGGCGCCTGTAGTCCCAGCTACTCGGGAGGCTGAGGCAGGAGAATGGCGTGAACCCGGGAAGCGGAGCTTGCAGTGAGCCGAGATTGCGCCACTGCAGTCCGCAGTCCGGCCTGGGCGACAGAGCGAGACTCCGTCTCAAAAAAAAAAAAAAAAAAAAAAAAAAAAAAAAAAAAAAAGAATTGTTTTTTCCTTTCCAACATTTATTATAGAATCGAGGTACATGGCAGCCTTGAAACATGGGTAAACTGCATGTTAACAGGGGTTTGATGTACAGATTATTTCATCACACAGTTAACAAGTGTAGTACACATTAGATTGTTTTTCAAACTTCACTCTTCTCCCACCCTCCAACCTCAAGTAAGCCTTTGTGTTTATGTTTCCCTTCTTCATGTCCATGTGTACTCACTGTTTAGCTCCCACTTAAAAGTAAGAACATGCGGTGTTTGGTTTTCTGTTCCTGCTTTAGTTCACATAGGATAGTAGCCTTCAGATCTATCCATGTTGCTGCAAAGGACATGATCTTGCTCTTTTTATGGCTGCATAGTATTCCATGGTGCATATGTACCACATTTTCTTTATTCAGTCTACAATTAATGGGCATTTAGGTAGATTCCTTGTCTTTGCTAGTGTGAATAGTGCTGCAATGAACATGTGCATGTATGTGTCTTTACGGTAAAATGATTCATATTCCCTTGGGTATATAGCCAGTAATGGAATTTCTGGGTCGAATGGTAGTTCTGGGTTAAGTTCTTTGAGAAATCTCCAAACTGCTTTCCCACACACTGTGGCTGAACTAACTTACAATCCCACTAGCAGTGCAAAAGCATTTCCCTTTCTCCACAACCTCACCAGTATCTGTTATTGTTTGTTTTGTTTTGTTTTGTTTTTTTAATAATAGCCATTCTGTTTGGTGTGAGATGGTAGCTCATTGTGATTTTGATTTGTGTTTCTCTAATAATCAGTGATGTTGAGCACTTTTTTGTATGCTTCTTGGCCACATGCATGTCTTCTTTTGAGAATTTTCTGCTCATATACTCAGCTCACTTTTTAATGGGGTTATTTGTTTTTTGCTTGTTCAATCATTTAAATTCCTTTATAGTCTCTGGATATTAGGCCTTTGTCAGATCCATAGTTCGCAAATATTTTCAACCATTCTGTAAGCTTTCTATGTATTTTGTTGATAGTTTCTTTTGCTGTGCAGAGCTCTTTAGTTTATTTAGATCACATTTGTCACTTTTTGATTTTGTTGCAATTGCTTTTGGGGTCTTTGTTATGAAATCCTTATCAGAGCCTATGTCCAGAATGGTATCTCTTAGGTTTCCTTCTGGGGTTTTTATGGTTTTACGTAAACTATAAAACTATATAAACTCTATACCTATAGTTTGAGGTTTTACATGTCAGATTTTTTTTAATCCATCATGAATTGGTATTTATTTATGTTGAAAGGTAGGGATCCCGTTTCAGTCTTCTGCATATGGCTAGCCAGAATCGTTTATTGAATAGGGAGTCCTTTCTCCATTGCTTGTTTTTCTCAACTTTGTCAAAGTTCAGATGGTTGTAGATGTGAGGCTCTATCTCTGTGTTCTCTATCCTATTCCATTGATCTGCATGGCTGTTTTTATACCAGTACCATGATTTTTTTTTTTTTCTGTAACCTTGCAGTATAATTTGAAGTCAGACAGTGTGCTACCTCTGGCTTTGTTCTTTTTGCTTAGGACTGCTTGGGCTATTCAAGTTTTTTTTTTTGGTTCCTTGTAAACGTTAGAGTAGTTTTTTCTAATTCTGTGAAAAATGACATTGGTAGTTTTATAGGAATAGCATTGAATTGCAAATTGCTTTGGGCAATATGACCATTGTAACAATGTTGATTCTTCTTGTCCACGATCATGGACTGCTTTCTCATTTGATTGTGTCATGTCTGAGTTCTTTCAGCAATATTTTGTAATTCTTGTAGAGATCTTTAACTTCCCTGACTAGCTGCATTCCCAGGTATTTAATTTTTTTCTATGGCTATTGTAAATGAGATTGTATTGTTGATTAGGTTTTCAGCTTGGATGTTGTTGGTATATTGTAATAATACTGTTTTTTGAGTAATTATTTTGTATCCTGAAATTTTTCTGAAGTTGTTTATCAGATCTAAGAGCTTTTGGGCAGAGACTATGGGGTTTTCTAGGCATAACATCATATCATCTGTGAAGAGAGATAGTTTGAATTCCTTTCTTCCTATTTGGATATCTTCTATTTCTTTCTCTTGTCTGATTGGTCTGCCTAGAACTTCCAGTACTATGTTGCATAGGAGTGGTTACAGTGGGCATTCTTGTCATGTTTTAGTTCTCAAGGGGAATGGTTTCAGTTCATTTTATTGGACTCCTTATTCAGTATGATATTGGTTGTGGATTTGTCACAGGTGGTTCTTATTTTTTAGAGGTATGTCCCTTCAATGTCTTGTTTGCTGAGGGTTTTAACATGAAGAAATGTTTGAATTTATCTAAAATCTTTTTCTCATCTATTAAGATCTATTATGGTTTTTGCTTTTAGTTCTCTTTATGTGATATATTACATTTACTGATTTGCATATATTAAACAAAGCTTGCATCCCAGGAATAAAGCCTATTTGATCATGATAGATTAGTTTTTAGTAGTGCTGCTGCATTTGGTTTGCAAGTATTTTGTTCAGGCTTTTTGCATCTGTGTTCATCAGAGATATTGGCCTGAAGTTTTCCTTTTTTGTTGTGTCTCTGCCAGATTTTGGTACAAGAATAATGCTGGCTCAGAATAAGTTAGGAAGAAGTCCCTATTCCTCTTCATTTGTTTTTGGAATTGTTTCAGTAGGATTGTTCCAGCCCTTCTTTATACAATGGGTAGAATTTAGCTGTGAATCGTCTAGTCCAGGAATTTTTTTCAGGTTGGTAGGCTTTTTATTACTGATTCAATTTTCATACTCATTACTGATGAGCATGGGGTTTCAATTTCTTCCTGGCTCACACTTGGGATATCATATGTTTGAAGGAATTTATCCCCTTCTGAGTTTTCTAGTTTGTGTGTATAGAAGTGTTCATAATAGTCTCTGAGGGTTGTTTTATATTACTGTGGGGTTGGTGGTAATGTCCCCTTTGTCATTTCTGATAGTGATTATTTGGATCTTTCCTCTTTTTTCTTCTTATTATTATTCTAGCTAGCAGTCTATCAGTCTTATTTATTCTTTCAAATAACAAATTTTGGTTTCACTGAATTTCATTCAGTTCAGCTATGTTTTGGGTTATTTTCTTCTGTTTTGCTAGCTTTGGAGTTGGCTTGCTCTTGTATTTCTAGTTTCTCTAGGTGTGATGTGAGGTTGTTGTATGTATGTATGTATATACATGTTAGAAATATATATATTTAATATATATTATAGAAATATATAAAAAGAAATGTATAGTTAGAAAATGTGTGTGTTTAGCACTATAAGCTTTTCTCTTAACTTTCAAAAAACAGAAATCATACCAGCCACAATCTTGGACTACAGAGCAATATAAATAGAAAGCATTACTAACATGGCCTCTCAAAACTATGCAATTACATGGAAATTAAAAAGCCTTCACCTAAATGAGTTTTGGGTAAACAATGAAATTGTATCTGCTTTAGCTATGTCCCAGAGATTCTGGTATGTTGTATCTTTATTTTCATTAGTTTCAAAAATTTCATTATTTTTGCCTTAATTGCATTGTTTACCCAAAACTCATTTAGAAGAAGGTTGTTTAATTTCTATGTAATTGCATAGTTTTGAGAGATCATGTTAGCAATGCGTTCTATTTATATCGCTCTTTAATCCAAGATTGTGGCTGGTATGATTTTGCTTCTTTGAAAGTTGTTGAGAATTGTTTTATGGTCAACTTGTGGTCAATTTTAGAGTATGTGCCATGTGCAGATGAGAAAAATGTATATTTTGTTGTTTGGTGCATTCTCTAGATGTCTTTTAGGTCCATTGGGTCAAGTGTTGAGTTTAGGTCCCAAATATATCTGCTAGTTTTCTGCCTCAATGATCTATCTAATATTATCAGTGGCATGTTGAAGTCTCCCACTCTTACTGTGTGATTATCTAAGTGTTTTTGTAGGTCTCTAAGACCTCGTTTTATGAATCTGGGTGCTCCAGTATTGGGTGCATATATATTTAAGATAGTTAAGTCCTTCCTTTGAATTGAACACTTTAATATTATGTAATGCCCTTCTTTGTCTTTTTTAATCATTGTTGGTTTAAAGTCTATTTTGTCTTAAATTAGAATAGTAACCTCTGCTCTTTTTCATTTTCTGTTTGCTTGATAGATTTTTTTCCATCACTTTACTTTGAGCCTATCAGTGTCATTGAATGGGAGATCGTTCTCTTGAAGACAGCATACAATTGGGTCTTGCTTATTTATTCAATTTTCCACTCTGTGCCTTTTAGGTGGGGTAAGTAGCCTGTTTACATTCAAACTTAATATTGATATGCATGGATTTAATCCTGCCAGCATGTTTTTAGCTGGTTGTTGTGCAACCTTGATTGTGTAGTTGCTTTAAGTGTCTATGTACTTAAGTGTGTTCTTGTGGTGGCCAGTAATGGTCTTTTGTTTCCAGTTTAGCACTCACTTAAGGGTTTCTTGTAAGGCAGGTCTGGTGGTAACAAATTCCCTTAGAATTTGCTTGTCTGAAAAGGATTGTATTCCTCCTTCACTTATGAAGCTTACTTTGGCTGGATATGAAATTCCTTGTTGGAAATTCCTTCTTTAAGAGTGCTCAATATTGGCACCCAATGTCTTATGGCATGTAAGATTTCTTCTGATAGGTTCACTGTAGCCTTATGGGTTTCCTCTGTGCATGATCTGCCCCTTCTCTCAAGCTGCCTTTAGTATTTTTTGTTTCAAAATGATCAAGAAAAATCTGATGACTACATCTTGGGGATGGTTGTCTTGTACAGTATTTCACAAGAGTTTTCTGAATTTGAATGATGAACACTCTAGCAAGGTTGGGGAAATTTTCATGAACAGTATCTGCAAATAAGTTTTCCCATTTGCTTGCTCTCCCTCTCAGAGACACCAATGATTCATAGGTTTGGTCTCTTTACACAATCCCATGTTTTTCAGAGTTTCTGTTCATTGTTTTTTATTCTTTTCTCCTTATTCTTGTCTGACTTAGTAGATTTGAAGAATCAGCCTTGAGCTCAGAGATACTTTCCCCAGCTTGATCTATTGTGCTGTTAATATTTTTGATTGCATTATAAAATAGTTGTAGTGAGTTTTTCAGCTCTATTGGATCAGTTGGTTCTTTCTTAAAATGGTTACTTCGTTTTTGAGCTCTTCTATCATTGTATTGGATTCCTTAGATTTCTTGGATTAGTTTTTTACTTTCTCCTGAATCTCGATGATCTTTATTGCTATCTAGATTCTGAATTCCATGTCCATCATTTCAGCCATTTCAGCCTGGCTGAAAACCATGGCTGGGGATCTAGTGTAGTCATTTGGAGTTAAGAATGCACTCTGGCTTTTTGAGTTGCCATAGTTCTTGCACTGGTTCTTTCTCATCTGTGTGGGCTGATGTTTCTTTAATCTTGAAATTTCTGGGCTTTCAATTCAGTTTTAATATTTTTATTCTTTGATGTCCTTGAGGGTTTCACCGTAATGTAACACAGCTGAGTCAAAAGAGTTGACAGTTCAGTCAACCCCCTTTATTTCTGGATGATTTCAGAAGGCCAAGTTTCAGCTCAGCGCTCCCGAGCTGCATGCTCAATCCCTGGGGGGCTAGTACCGGGCCTACAACTTGGTTCTCTGACCATTTCAGGTTAAGCACCTGGTTTGCTGGAGGGGCTGAGGTGTTCCAAGTGTGTTGGCAACAACACTCCAATGTGGACATTCTAACACAAGTGTTTAATCAGGGAAGGGGCAACATGGTTCATGCTGTGTACATGCTCTGGTGGCAGTGGGGGGACAATGTGGAGGGGTGCTTGAGCACTGAAATGGGGCAAGGCAGGTATTTGTTACATATGTTTATAAGTGGTATTGCATAGCAGTCTTCATTTCCTGTAATATATTTGTCTAGTCTTGCTACTAAAATAATAATTCCTTTATAATAATAATTCCTTTAGCCAGTACTTCTCTTTTCTCTACTGGCTTATATAGTTTGTACGGATGTGGTATCATTTCTATCTTAATGTTTGATAAAATTCACCAGTGAAGACCTCTGGACTCAGAGATTTTATCATATAAGGACATCTAAGTATGAACTCAATTTATTTAATTAATCTAGGTTAATTCAAATTTTCTATTCCTTTTTAAATCCTTGTTGACACATTGTCACTGTCATTGCTTTTTGTGACTTTATGTAAGGTTGCATCCAGTATAGCCACTTGCTTCATCCACAGCATGAGATTTAAGGAGAGAGAAAGACAGACATGTCAAAACTACAGTCTTTGATAATTATACACTAGTTGAATAACATTTGGCAGCTTGCTTCACTCAGAGGAAGATTTAAGAGGAGAGGGAAAGACACAGATGTCAAAACTACAGTCTTTCATAATTATACACTAGTTGAATAACATTTGGGTTGATTCCAGTTTGAAGTAACATACTATCATTTGTACCTATGCTACTTGTCAGACAGACAAATTCTAGTAAAATAGTTAAAGTGATTAAAAGAGGTTTCAAATACAAGGAGGCAGAGGTCATTGGGCATAATCATGTAGGAGGCTAATAAAACATCTTTACTGATTTTGTTTCAAACTTCTCTCATTTTTTCCTGATGGAAGTGAATAAAGCTCTCCAAATAAAAATTAAAAACTTCTATTTCTATATTCAATTCTGTCAAGTTTTTCTGCATATATTTCAAGCTCTCTTTTAAGGCTATACAATCTTTCACATATTTTCCCTGTGTTTTTCATTTTTAATATAATATACCCCTACTTATTTTTTATTAATAATACTTTGGCTTAAAGTGCAGTTTATTTGATATTAATATAATCATTCTGACTTTTGTTTTTGTTCACTATTTTCATAATATATCTTCCCCCCCAATGATATCTTGCCTGAGATCATTTTGTATAGCTATTTATTTTTGGTTTATTGATGTATTATTTACAAACAGTAAAGTTCATTGTTTTATCTGCAATCCTAGAAATTTTGATAAATGTATACATTTATAAAGCCTCCAACATAATCATGCTATATAGTTCTTTCGTCAAACTCAAACCTTTAGGCAATTTTATATATCTCGCCCAGTGATTGCCAATGAACATTCTATTTACTGCAGTGATAAATTTGCCTTTTCTAGAATATCATATTAATTGATCATACATTATGTAGTCTTTACATCTACTCTCTTCTTATTTTATAAGATTCATCCATGCTGTTGTGTGAATCAATTCTTTCTTTCCAAAATACTATATTATTGCAGAAGAGTGATCTATTTTGTTGTAGATACTATACTGTCTGTTTATTCAAACACCCATTAAAGCAATTTTCATTGATTCCAGTTTTGAGTGTTTATAAATAAAGTCATCACAAACAATCATATGCAAGTTTTTTTGAACAAAGCTTTTCGTTTCTGTGTGTATATATGTCATGTGGATTATTGGATTATATGGTAAGATTTTATTTATATAGGAAGATGCTAAACTGTATTTTTTTCAAACTAGTTGTACCATTTGCACTTCCATTAATAATATATGAGATTTTCAGTTGCTCCACATACACCAGCACATGATGCTATATTTTTAAAGTAACTCTAATAGGTGTTTAATGCTATCTCATTGTGGTTTTAATTTCCACTAATGTCTAATTATCTTGCATATGACAAAGTGCCTATTCAAATGTTTGGCATTTTTATAGTGTTTTAAAAATTTTAATGAGTTTGCGAGTTCTCGATACATTATAGATACAAATCCTTTTATATCTATTTATTTTTGAATATTATCTCCCTATCTGTGGATTAAAATTTATATTTTCTGTGAATTATACTTTATATTTTTAGCCCTATATTTTGAAGAGAAGTTTTTCATTTTTAAAGGCACAATACATCATCGTGTGCAGGTTTTCTATGTTTATTTCCTAGAATTTTAAAGTTTAACATTTAACAGATAGATCTATTTTGATTCATTTTCCTTTACATTTTTGATGTATTTTTAATGGTATATGTCAAGGTTTTTTTGCAGATATGCATAACTATTTGTTTCAGTATGATTTGTTAAAAGTAATTATCCTCATTTTATGAATTGCTTTTGCACCTTGTAAAAATTCTTTTGACTACATATGTTTGGAGCTATTTCTGAATTCTCTATTCTATTCAAGTCATATATTGAAACAACTTTTGCCAACATCACACTCTTATGACTACTGTCACTTTATGATAAGGCTTAAAATTAGGTGAAGTGTGTAATCCAACTTTGTTCTTTTTCAAAATTGTTTCAACAAGTCTAGTTGCTCTCCTTTTGCATACGCATTTTAGAATTAGCTGGCATATTTGAACAAAAACTCCGAACAGAAATCTGATAAAAATAAATTGAATCTATGTCAAATTTGGAAATAATTCACATCTTTAGAACTATAAACACAGTATAACTCTTGATTTCAAGTGTACCTTAATTTGTTTCTTCAGTATTTTTTACTCTTTAATATGTATATTTGCAGAAATGTTTAAGATTTATACTGAAATACTTCATGTGTTTTGATTATAAAAACCAAAAATAATAGCTTCCTAAGATTTAAAAAATAAAAACTTGGCCGTAATCAAAAGTATTTTTACATTTGCCAGATTCCATTTGATATTTTGTGAAACAGTTAATATTTAATATTTATTTATCATTAATATTTAATAATATTTAATATTTAATTTTATTAATTTAAATTTATTTAAATTAATAAATGTGTTTAATATTTAATTTATTAATTTAAATTTATTAATATTAATTTTAATATTAATAATATGTAATAATTAATATTTAAATAAGGAGAAATAATGATCTTCAGTTTTCATTTGTCTTTCTGATTTTGTATCAGGTGGTCAAACTATATTCTCTTACCATTAATACATGTAACTAGTTCTTAATATCAGAAAAATTCATGAAAATTTCTCAAGTAAATAAAAATCAGACAACATACTTATAAGAGTCTGAGTCATCAAAAAGAATGTTAAATGGAAAACTAGAATGTATCACGAACTGAATGGCAATTAAAACACAGTGTACATAATCTTGTTGCTAAACCAGCTAATTTAATATCACTCAATGCTTGCATTAAAAAAAAAAACTGTCTCAAAAATGTAAGTTACCACCATAGAAAAGGTAAAAAAAAAAAAAGAATAAGCCCAAAACAAAGAAAATGATAGAAACAATAAAGTTAAGAGACTAAATTAATTTAAAAAATTAAAGAGAACAAGAAAAAAAAATCAATGCAACCAATGCTGCTTCTTTGAAAATATCAATAAAAATGACAAATTTCTATCATGCTGCCCCCAAAAGGATGTGTAATAAAGGGACACATTACTACATATCCTACAGACCTTGAAGGAGAGAAAAATAGAATGTCACGAAGAATGTCATTTATGCCCATAAGTATAATATAGAAACTATTTGAAAGGGATACCTTTAGTTAAAGACATAAATGACCAAAATTCATTCAATATACAGTATATAACGTGACTAATCCTTTGTTAACTAAAGAAAGAAATCAATACTTAAAAGCTTTCAGCAAAGGACAAGGTAACAAGCTCCTTTAAAAAAATTTGCCTGTAAGTCATTTATATTTAATGTCATTATTTATATGATTTGATTAAGTAGTCCATCTTGATAGTTATTTTCTTTTTGTTATTCTCACTTTGTTTCTTGTACTTTTTTTTGTTTTCTTTCTTCAGTTGGGTCAACTGAGTAATTTTTCTGATTTATCTTCTCTGCATTCTTTTAACTTATTTAAAAAAATTATTAGCATATACTTTTGGGATTACAATGTATGTATTTTTGGCTAATAAATCTAGCTTCCATTTTTATTATACTACTTCACTCATACTGTCAGAATCTTAGGAAATTATATATTCAATTACTGCTATACATCTTTTATTTTATCTGTGCCACACATTGTTACGTATGTTGTAAAACTATCCTGCATTACAACGATTGTTGCTTTACACAGGTGTAAATAAACTATGCAATCTATCATCAATGGGCCAAATTCAACAGTATCTAATTTTCTTTGTATGCTCAATGTGCTAAGTACATTTTTTACATATCTAAAGAATTGAAAAAAGAGGATGAAGAAGAATAGAAAAAAGAAGGAGCCACCCCGGAAAAGGAAGAAGAGAAAGAGGAACGAGAAGGGGAGAAATGAATATAAATATATGTGAGGCATACATGAGGCACATACATACACATATATATTTCTCCGTATGTGGTCACTAAAACCTAACATATTTATCTCATCCTTTAATAAAAAGGTTTGCAAAGCCTCACCTTAGATGTAATTTATTTTTAGTGATTAACATTAAAAAAATAAAGATATTTGCTATGGTCTGTATGATTCTGTTCCTCCAAAATTCATATGTTGAATCCTAAGCACTAAAGTAATAGTGCTACAAAAGGGGTACTTTGAAAAGCTATTAGGTAATGACGGCTAAGCCATCATAAATGGAATTGATGTTTTTATAAAAGGGGCTCCTGAGAGATACCCTGCCCCCTTCAACCTTGTGATGAAACAGCAAGAAGTACCACAGTCTACAACTTGGAATGTGACTCTCATCAGAACCAGAAAATGCTGGCATCTTAATCTTGGACCACCCAGGCTCCAGAACTGTGTGACTTAAATTTCTGTTGCTTATAAGCTACCCAGATAATTGCATTTTATTATAGAAGCCACAAAAGACTAAGATAGTTGTTTAACATTTATAATTATTCTAACAATTTTGAGACATTCATTATTTATATAGATTCAAATTTTGTTCAATAGCATATTGCTCCAGCTTAAATAATGACTAAATACTTTTTGTATCACATTTTTACTCATCATTAATTCATTAAAATTGTTGCTTGTCTGAGTATTTTTTTGTCCTTTATCATATGTATTTTTACTGAGTATAGAATATGGGACTGACAGGACTGACATTTTTTTCTTGTATTGCTTTAAATATGTCACTCCATTGTCTTCCGACGTATATATTGCTTCGGATTTGCAAAAACAGAAAATTTACTGGAGCTTATCTTTTTTTCTCATTATGACATTTTTCTTTTCCTTCAAGAAATTGTGTTCATCTCTGATTTTAGAGGGTCCTTGTATTTATTATATTTATGGCTCTCTAAGCTGCTTGGATCTGTGGTTTGACATATTTCATTATTTGCAGAAAATTCTCACCATTAGATATTTCTCTTTCCCTTCTGGATTTCCAATTACATGTATGTTTTGCCATTTGATAGTTTGCCATATCCCTGGATGCTTTCTTCTTGTTCATTTGCTTATCCTGCCTATATTTCACTTGGGTAAATTATAATAATCTGTCTTCAGGTACACTGAATCACTTGTTGGCTGTCTTCAGCCCATTGAATACATTATTCACCTCTCTTAGTGTATTTTTGATTTCTACTGTCTATACTTAGTTCTTTTTCAATTTCCATCTCTCTGTTGAAATTCTCCTTTTTTATTCCTGCTGTCAATTTTTCACTTGAGTTTTAAACATACTATTCACTTTATTTTTATTTTTAAATTACTGTCTAATATTTCCAACATCCAACCAACTTTGTAATGTTGATTTTTGTCTTTTGACATTGTTTTTCATTGTTTCTCTTAATTCTTGTTAGATACTGGACATTGTGTACAGGATGATAATAACAGTAGTAAATAATATATGTACTTTGAAATACGCATGCTTTTTCTTCTGCTATGCTGTTACTGTGGGAGACACAGTTAGTTGAGTCAGCAGTTGATCTAGGTCCTCAGCTTGTTGTTGCTATTGTCAATTAAGGAATGACAAGGTTCATAAATTTAGAAAAAAGAGTTTTATTTCTCATAAATGGCTGCAGCCTGCCACATGGCCCTTCTAACAGACTGGGAAGCATAGCTTCCAGCCAGAAACCAAAAACAGATGATTCAACGGTGGGAGGAGTAAGACAGGAACATATATTCAATTAGCTATAAGAGGAGTCATGAATATTTGAAAGGAGAAGCATGTGCATAGGCAATTGAGCTTCATGCCTCCCCCATGGGACCCATGTGAAAAAAAAATGATGGTGTTAGCATAACCCAAGGGTGTGGATTTTGCCCTGTGACATCAAAAGGTGAAACAGGGATATGAAAACCATCTCTGCATCCTCCATAGACTGGCCAGAACCACTCTGTGGTCAGTGATCTCTTGTCAAGAAGAAATGCTGATCAGTTGTTCTGTTGAAACCCTAAAAGTCAGGGGCAGCTGCCAGTCAGTTGGTTGATATTATCAGTAAAGTCTTTTGAAAGGGCTAGTTTCTGTTAGAAAGCCTAGTGGCTATCAGTGTGGAAGGGGTTATAACGAGGTATGTTTTACCTCCCATCCAGTTATGTCTGAGAAATCAGTTTTCAAGGTTTCTCTGGGGTTCCTTTGCCCAAAAGGGAGTCTGTTCAGTGAGTTGTGAGGCTTAGAATTTTATTTTTATTTCTCACTATTATTAATTTCAGTACAAAACTACCCTCAAATTCTTCTAACATTACCTTGTACATAGAGTGAGGACTAGTTTGTCCGTGGGTGTTTCCTCAATATTCTTGCTCTACTATTACCTTTATACCTTCCCTGTATTCCCGTATCTTAGAGTCTCTCTTTAAATTGTTGTGTTTCCTCTGTCATATAATGCAATTTCTTATTACTTAAGGTTTGCTAATCTGGTAATGATAGGAATTACATATGTTCTCTGTTGTGCTGGTCAGCCTCTCTTAGTTTCTCTTTGCTCTGTGTTTCAAAGGAGGAATTTCTTGGTGATTTTTGCCTATCCTCAAATAATAAGAGATCTCTAAATGATCTGGGCTCAAAATATTTTTCTTCCTTCCTTTAGGAAATAGTTGGATTCCCACCCCACCTCCCCCCATCTCTGTAGTAGTAAATCTTCATCGCTACCCTAGGAGAAACAGTATTCGCTGTTTTTGTCTTTAGATTATTATTATTTTTTAAATGGCCATTTCTTTCTCATGTACCCTGTAACAGATGGGTATATTCTTGTGTCCCACCTCTCTTACAAAGTTTTTGGTGTATCCTGGGACTTTAGGCTTGATCTTTTCTCTTTAAACTCAATTCTAATAGTCTAAAGGAAAACCATTATCTTGCAAATCACTTCCAAATGTTATGGGTGGCAAGATGAGTGTGAGCCTCTTTCCAGCTTTCTACCTCATAGAGGGAATCTAGAGGATCCATGTCTTTATATTTGAAGTGCATCTCCTGATAGGGTATACAGAAGAATCTTGATTTTTGCTGTTTTATATTTGTTTCACCTCATACTTTTATTTCTTCATTTCTCCTTCTCTGCCTTATTTTTATTTTGCCAACATTTTAGTATACCATTTAGATTACATTGACATTTAACATTTAGCATTATTATTTGTATTAATTTTTAGTTATTGATCTAGTATTGATTGCAACATGCATCTTTATATTATCAGAATACAGTTGTATTTAATGTAGAATTACACCTAGTAAAAATTACTTAGCAGTCGTATATTGCAATTACCACCATTTCTTTAAGCTATTTATATCACATAAGTATTTCATCAATGCATGTTACAACAAGATGGTGTTGTTTATTATCCTATACTTTACACAATTTAATATATGTATGTAACAGGGTTACATATCTATAATATAGAAGCTCTTTATATAACATATAACTAATAAATTATTTTTTGAAATGTGATATTTAAAAATAAATAGAAATGTTATTTGGATTATCTAGTTAATTGGAATATTAAAGTCACAGTATAATAAAATATTTTAAGAATGACAAATATTAAATGTATTTTATGCACAACAGAAACTTTTTTGTTTCCGAGACAGGCTTTTGCTTTGTCACCCAGGCTGGAGTGCAGTGGCACAATCATAGCTCACTATAACCTCAAAATCCTGGACTAAAGATATCTTCCCACCTCAGCCTCCCTAGTAGCTGGGACCACAGACATATACTTTCATGCCCAGCTAATTTTTTAAAAGTTTTTGTTCAGAATGGGTCTTGCTATATTGCTCAGGGTAGTCTCGAACTCTTGGCTTCAAGCAATCTACCAGTCTCAGCCTCTTGAATTGCTGGGATTACAGACCTGAGCCACTGTGCCCAGCAGGAACTTCTCATTTACAGGACAGAAGGTATGTTGACAGAAAGTTTATTTTCACTAGTATTAGCTAATGCTAATTAACTTTTGATAAGATATTAGTAAATTACAGTAAACCCTTGAAAACTGAAATATCTAGTGTCATGAGATAGTTTATTTTAAAATGATTGAAGTCAAGTCTCAAATTCAAATGTTTCTTCTAAGTTTGTTGATACTATATTAGATTATTAAATACATTTCAGTGCAGCAAATTTTATTCATTAAAAATTTATAATATTTGACATAATAAATGTCACTAATTGAACTACAATGATTTAGAATGAATATAGTGGTAAACTACCAATTGTAATGCTCTATAAGATATATATTCAATTTATACAAATTAAAACCATTATATATTCGGTATATTGCTCGGCAAAATAGTGAATAGTATATTTAAGAATTAATTAAATGAATATATACGTGCTCACACACACACACTCACACATCTATCATGCCATGCCAAGATCACTAGAAATGACTTATCTCTTCTAACACAAATAATTGATTCATTTGGAACAATGGAATTGGAGCTCTCAAAAAGAAGTTTAATAATGTTATGTTTTTCAAGAATCTCAATATTTTACACTCAATGTTAATCATGTATCACTATATATTACTTTTCTACTGCTGAGGTTAGTTGATCTAAGTGTCTATGGAGGTTAAATCACTTGATCTTCAGCAATTCTTCCGTGGTTCTGCTCAGTCTACTTAACCTAGAAATTACTTCAAGGGAAGAGATTGTGAATCCTATCCTTTATGCCATTATTGGAATAGAGAAAATTGACAGTGATTTTATACAGTCATGATTCTGACACCTTTAAAGGTTAATTGAATGCAACCAACAAGAAATGGTAAATTAGCCAGAACTAGTAATGGTGAAGTTGTGGAGAGGAAACCCTTACAATATCAATTCTAAAGGGATGGGGAAAGAGCTGTTAATGCAGCTGGAACAATAAAGGCAGCTGAGGGAGGGGGCTTCTGAAAGGAGTTGGGGAAATTCTCCCGCTACCAGACCTTCACTCCTCAGGTGAGAGCAAGAAGAACATGGACCTGAACTACCTTTCTCCACTGAAAGCCAGAAGGCAAGGGATTTGGATAATGCTGTGCATTGATGACAGACTTCAGGCACAACTGCAGGGCAGAGAGAAGAAATCGAGTGGTACATAGAAAATTACCAGAGCAGATTTTCTGGACAGTCATTTAGAAATGTAAGATTTAGCAAGACATTTTATGATACAATTTAAGTAGCTTGTTGCAAATATATAATTTATCTCTTGCAATGCAAACAGCAAAATGTTTCAGTAGCACGCTAGCAAATCATTAAAGTTCACTAATTCTACTTTTTGAAGATGAAAAGGAAAGGAAAATTGCTAATATGGCTAAGTTCCAAAATATGCTTAACCTGTAAGGAAAGCTATAAAATAGATTTTTGTAATAAAAATAATTATTATTCCAGAAACATTCTGAGACTCTAGAAAGCAAAAAAGTCATATATTATTTCTAATTTTAAAATATTTTATGACTGTGTATGTTTAATTTGGGCGCTATAGTAAATAACATAGTATATATATACTCTCCCACAGTTGCATAGTTCTTTTTCATGGATATATGACAAAGGAATAAAATATTAATCACAAACCAGAATACAGTTTCAGAGTCGGTGACTTTCCCTCCAGAACATGAAAAATGATATTATTGAGAGACAATTATAATATAAAGGATGAGAACATTTCAAGGTAGACCCACGGGATATAGCAAAGAAAGGTCTCATTTGCATAAACAGAGTTGTATTAGGGAACGGATATAACAGGAAGAGTTGCAATAAACACAATTCATAAGCACTACGACAAAATGACTAATCAAACAGGTATACTAAAATACAGCAATAAAAGAGATTGCATATAGTCTAGTAAGAGAAAAGATAGATATTCAAAATTTATGGCTCTCATATTTCTTTATTCAAACTTTTTTGACTTCCAAAATGGTTTGAAAGGTTCTAAAACCAAAAGTATATATAAAATTAAAATCCCTTTCTCCCTTTTTCTCTCACTCTTGCTGTGTATATGTATATAGTTATAAATAGAGATATAGATATATTTGTGTGCTGCCTATGTATATAAATATATGTGTATCAGATTCTTTTTACCTGCCTATAATTGACTGATTCATTTTTAAAAGTTAGTTAGCAAAAGTGATAGTGTCAGCCAGGCACGGTGGATTACGCCTATAATCCCAGCACTTTGGGAGGCCGAGGTGGGCGGATCACGAGGTCAGGAGTTCGAGGCCAGCTTGACCAACACGGTGAAACCCCATGTCTATTAAAAATACAAAAATTAGTCGGGTGTGGTGGCACACGCCTGCAATCCCAGCTACCGAGGAGGCTGAGGCAGGAGAATCGCTTGAACCCGGGAGTTGGAGTTTGCGGTGAGCCGAGATCACGCCACTGCACTCTAGTCTGGGTGACAGAGTGAGATTGCCTCGAAAAAAAAAAAAAAAAAATGGCAGTGTCGTTAGACAAATTGCCCAAGAAATTAGTTTAAATTAACTATAGAAACATGATGGTTTATTAGCTAATGAAGGAAGCATCCTTCAAGGAGAAATTGAGTATATTTCAGAAATATACCTATGAGCAACAACATTTAAGTAATAAGCTCTTTTAAGTTTAAATAAGATTGTGAAAGCTTAAAAAAACAGACAGTTGAAAATAAAGCCAATCAGAAAGCAATAAAGCGGCCGGGCGCAGGGGCTCACGCCTGTAATCCCAGCACTTTGGGAGGCCGAGGCGGGCAGATCATGAGGTCAGGAGATCAAGACCATCCTGGCTAACACAGTGAAACCCCGTCTCTACTAAAAATACAAAAAAATTAGCTTGGAGTGGTGGCGGGAGCCTATAGTCCCAGCTACTCGGAAAGCTGAGGCAGGAGAATGGCGTGAAACCGAGAGGCGGAGCTTGCAGTGAGCTGAGATTGCGCCACTGCACTCCAGCCTGGGAGACAGAGCAAGACTCCGTCTCAAAAAAAAAAAAAAAAAAAAAAAAAAAAAAGGCAATAATGCAGGGGAAGCAAAAATCTAAAAATCGGCATCTTTAACATTAAGTATTACGTGAGTATTTCCAAAGGCAAATTAAACATTTTAAAGTACACGTCTGCATCTACCAAGTCACAAATCGAATATGAAGGTACAATAAAGTAATTTTCATATACCCACACATTAAAAAATATGCATCTAGGACTTTGCATTTTGCAAGTTAATTGATATGGCTAGCAGCAAAATGTAATTAGTAAACCACGAAGCATTGAGACCCAGGTAGAAAACATTCGAACTAGCCTAAGAATTTTATGCCGGGGAGTCTAAATCATCAATATATTTAGGGAAGGGTTAATGCACAGCCTTGAATGCCTGATTAGAAAGCTTTGATTTGTCATTTGGTATGTAGAGAGACACTCAGAGAGAGAGAGAGAGAGTACACCAGACAGACAGAGGCTATGGTGCCAATCTTGGTACTACCACAGGCTACCTGAGTGAAATTTTTAAGTTATACTTATCCTTAAGTGTCACGTGAGGAGGCTAGGCTATATTTTCTGCAAACTTTTCATCAAGCAGAAAGTCACACTGGACAGTAATGTTCTAGCCAAAGATTACAGATAATAAGCTAGTAAAAATATTAATATACCACATATTGCATTGTGCACAACCATGGGGAAAATTAAAAAGCACGATAAAGTTACAGGAGATGTGGGAGTGGTGCATAAATCATTTTATAATAATATTTAGTTAGAGTTTTGCTTCAAATGTGATATTTGTGTATAGAGTTAAAGAAGAGAGATCAAGGTACACAGATATAACAGAGAAGAGTATTCCAGGCACAGAGATTGGCAGGTGCAAAGGTTCTAAGGTAAGAGCATGTTCAGTATATACCAAGAAAAGCATGAAGACCTTCCTGTCTGAAGAAGATCAAGTGTAGGAGAAATAAGAAGGGGATTTTGTAGTGTAGCAACAGTGAGAAGTGATCAAATATACAATATATTCCGAAGAGACAAGAACACAGGCTGATGAAATAGATGTGATGCGTAATAGAAAAAGGAAGAGCAACTAAGGATTTCCAGATCATGGCTTGAAGAACAAGAAGGGTGGAAAACTCATTAGCTTAAGGGAGAAAGTAAGATTAGCAGGTTCTTATTAGATGACTCTAATGAAACAATAGGTATGGGTCATGTTAATTCCAAGAATCCTATATGATACCCAAGTAGAGAAGTTAAATCATGTTAAAGATATATTTTAAGAGTTCAGAATTGAGATAAAAATGTAGGGCTCGCTAGCCCATAGAAATTGCATCAATCATTGTAACAGCAAATATTACACAGGAAATCAGCAAAATTTAGATGATCAAGAAATGAGCCTTGGACTTCACCATCTTTTTGTCAAGAAATCAGTAAAGGCTTTTAATATATTGGAAAAAATCAGGAGTGTGTGTCTTTCTAAAGACAGACAGAGAAACGATTTCAAGAGGGGACTGATCACTTGTACCAAACTCTGCTAACAGGTCAAGCAAAATGGAGTTGAGGACCTGATCATTGGATTCAATAATGTGGAGATTATTGATGAGCTTCATAAGAATGGGTTTGTTGAAGTGAGGGTGAGGATGAAATCCTAACTGCAGGTACTGACCAAATCTGTGAAAAAAAAATAACCTATCCTCTCAGTAGATTGTTTCTTCATCTACATTCAGACACTAAAGATTATGTACTTTTCTGTATAAATAAAAGGGGCACAAATGCCATTTTTTACATGGATATATTGAGTAGGGGTGAAGTCTGGACTTTTAGTGTAACTAACTGTCATTCAAATAATGTACATTTCCTCTATTAAGTAATTACCTTTTGCTTTACCATAAGCCTCTCCATTTTTTAGGTAAAATTATTTACTAGTTGCAATATATTCTCTCTTTTTTTCCAAAAATTATCACACCAGTTTCCTTATTTTCCTGTTTCCACTCTCTGCCATCAATGCACATGCATTCCAAAATTATCACATATACATGATTGCATCGGCCTGTGCATTTGTTCTTGATTTTTTCACTAATGGTTTAGCCCGTCACATTTTACTACTGCTGTATTAATTTACAAAATGAAATTTTCTAGTTTGTCTTTTTTTGTCAAAAAATACCTTATGTCACAATCTGAAAATAATCTCACTTCTTTTAAACTGTATTTTTCCACTGAATATATTCAAAATTCTAATTTTAAAAGTCCTCCATTGCAATTACATGTTTCTGCAATTGTAGTCCTCTCTCCTACCTATTCAAACCACATCTCAGAATAGTTTCCTAAAAATGCTGGCTTCATTTCCTCACCTATCTCTCTCTCCTTAACCCCGGACAATCTGTTTTGTATCCTATCACTTCTCTTAAATAGCACTTCTAAAATCTTCATTGATTTCTCCATCTCAAAAGCCAGTGGTCAATATCCTCTTACTTGACGTCTCAGCATTTATTGACCTTGTTGACTCTTCCTTGAAACGTTTGTGTGACATCACACTCTTGACTTTCTCTTAACTTTCGGATTTATTCTTTCTTGAACTCCTCTTGACCTTATCTATACTACGTAGTCAAAATTTTGGTGATCCTTTTTCTTTTGTATTGCTTCCTAGCAAAGCTCCTTGACTGCTCCAAGTCCCATGACTATTGGTGAACAGATTGTGCATACCTTTCTATATATTCAGTCCAGGCTTACTGTTTTAACTTTGAAAATCCACATATTTCTTGAATGTCTATTTCAAAGGAACATCAGAGGTACATTAAGCTGAGTTTATGGTCCTCTTGTCTTAAAGGATTTTATTTTCTGGTCTTGTCCAGATTCCCTATCGCAATGAAAAGAACCATCACGCCCCCAAATATCACAACTAGGGAACAAAGGAACCCTGGGATACTCTGTCTCTCTAATTTCTAGTTATCCAATATGTACTTTCAATTTTTAATTTTAAGTACTTCTTAAATTACTACATAGCTATCTATCTCCAAAGCACTTATTTGAAGCAACCATTAGTTCTCAACTAGTCTAGTGGTAAAGCATTTTAATTTGCTGACCTCCAATTCTCTTGTCCAAACCAACTCTTTACTGAAGAGTGAGTGCTTTATAATTAAAATGAACCTCTGATAATAATACATTTTCTCCTATTATTCATTTAAGTAATACCTCATTACATTTAGAATAAAAAACAAAGTTAAAAGCTCCTATAATATCTGAGACTGGCTTATTTTCCCTGTCTCCCGTGCAACAGGACAACACTTTCACCTAATTCTAATACTCTTGTGTCCTACTCTCACTTCTATCCATCTCAAATCTTTTTTCTTTAGGAAGTTCTTTGATCCTACTGATGAAGTTAGAATTCCTATTACAAGTTCTCTAGCACTGTGCCTTCGGAGAATCATCTAATTGTAGTTTTAGCTATATTTGTGGGATTATATCATGCATTTCTACCTTCTTTCTAGATTATATATTCCCCAAAGATGGTGTTTCTTGTAATGTGAAGTATGTGTTACTAGTATTTGATATGGTATCTGGAATTCTAGTTTATAATAAATTATTGGCTTAATTAGTTAACCTTTAGCAATTAAATTATTTTACAATATGATGCTAAACTGTTTTTCTTCCTTTGTATACTATTATTCCTCTACATTTGCTCACTGAACAATAGAGATTATTTATTTTTCTGAACATGTTTCTTACTTTTCCACATTTTCCCATATATTTTATGCCGACTACAGAGCTGTCCAATTCCACTCTCTTTTTTCATCTTTTGACTTTTTCCTCAATCAAATTTCAAGGTCCACATCAAATACTATGTCATTATTATAATATTCATTCCTTTTAGTTTCTTATTTTTAAAAAATCTTTACAAAGGCATATATTAGTTCTCTAATTTTTAAAAATCTCTTCAGAGCCACAGTCTATCTTATGTCATGATAACTTCTATGCTTTTCTTATTTTCTTGTTTACCCCAAGGGAATTGTAAACTCCTTGAATGCAAAGACTTTTTCTTCTTTTGCTTTGTATTTCTGCAACATAAGTTTCAGTTTTTTGATGGTATAAATTAATCATTTTTTGTTATTGTTGAGTTTATATGTTCAAGGTCACAGAAGAAAGACAAGTATCAGAGTCCAGGTCACCTCACATCATTATACAAAGTAGTAAAATATTTCATGAAAATTTGTTACCAGTATAATAAGAAGGCCATTATTTTAAAAAAAACAGCCTCAAATAAAATGAAAATTAGGGGTATATTCTGAGTATGAATGTTTGTGTCCTTCCAAAATCTCTATGTTGAATCCTAACCCCTAAGGTGATGGCAGCTGGACGTGGGGCCTTTGGTAAGACAGCCCTCATGATTGGAATTAGTACTCTTATAAAAGATACCGCATCAGATCTCATGAGACTTATTCACTATCACAAGAAAAGCACGGGAAAGACCCAGCCCCGTGATTCAATTACCTCCCACCAGGTACCCCCCACAACACATGGGAATTGTGGGAAGTAGCTTTCTTTCACTATGTGAGGACACAGGAAGAACTATGAAGCAGACAGCGTGTCCTCACCAAATGCCACATCTGAAGCATATGATCTAGACTTTCCAGGCTGCAGAATTGTGAGAAATATTTTGTTGTTGTTTATAAGCTACCCAGTTTATGGTATCTTGTTAGAGCAGCCTGAATGGACTAAGACAATGTGCATGACAATTGTAATTTGTTTGTTATTAAATGATATGTATTAGTTTACTCTCATGCTGCTAATAAAGACATACCTGAGACTGGGTAATTTATAAAGAAAAGAGGTTTAATTGATCAACAGTTCTGAATGGCTGGGGAGGCCTCATGATCATTGTGGAAGGTGAAAGGGAAGTAAGACACATCTTATGTGGCAGCAGGCAAAAGAGAGCTTGCGCAGGGGAACTCCCCTTATAAAACCATCAGATCTCGTGAGACTTATTCACTATCATGAGAACAGCACGGGAAAGACCCAGCTGCACGATTCAATTACCTCCCACCAGATCCCTCCCATGACACATGTGAACTGTGGGAGCTACAATTCAAGATGAGATTTGGATGGGGACACAGCCAAAACATATCATTCCACCCCGGTTCCTCCCAAATCTCATGTCCTCACATTTCAAAACAAATCATGCCTTCCCAACAGTCCCCAAAAGTCTTAACTAATCTCAGTATTAACTCAAAAGTTCACAGTCCAAAGTCTCATTCGAGACTGGGCAAGTACCTTCCACCTATGAGCCCATGAAATCAAAAGCAAGTTAGTTACTTCCTAGATACAATGGGGTTACAGACATTGGATAAATACAGCCATTCCAAATAGGAGAAATTGATGAAAACAAAGGGGCTATAGGCCCCATGCAAGTCCAAAATCCAGCAGGGCACTCAAATCTTAAAGCTCCAAATTGACCTCCTTTGACTCCATGTCTCACATCCAGGTCATGCTCATGCAAGAGGTGGGTTCCCATGGTCTCGGGTAGCTTTGCCTTTGTGACTTTGCAGGGTACAGCCTCCTTTCTGGTTCCCTTCATGGGCTGGCATTGAGTGTCTGCAGCATTTTCAGGTACATGGTGCAAGCTGTTGGTGGATCTACTATTCTGGGTTCTGGAGGATGATGGCTTTCTTGTCACACCTCCACTAGGCAGTACCCCAGTGGGGACCCTTTGTGGGGGCTTCAATCCCATATTTCCCTCCTGCACTGCCCTAATAGAAGCTCTCCATGAGGGCCCTGCCCCTGCAGCAAATTTCTGCCTGGAGATCCAGGTGTTTCCATACATCCTCTGAAATCTAGGAGGAAGTTCCCAAACCCCAGTTCTTGACTACTGTGCACCAGCAGACTCAACACGACATAGAAGCTGCCAAGGCTTGGGGCTTGCACCCTCTGAAGTAACAGCCCAAGCTGTATGTTGCCCCTTTTAGCCATGACTAGAGTGGCTGGGATGCAGGGCAAGTTCCTAGGCTGCACACAGCAGGGGGGTCCCAGGGCCCCGCCCACAAAACAATTTTTGTGTTCTAGGTCTCAGGTCCTATGATGGGAGGGGCTGCCGCAAACATCTCTGACAAGCCCTGGGGATATTTTCCCCATTTTCTTGGTGATTAACATTTGGTTCCTCGTTACTTATGCAAATTCTTATAGCCGGCTTGAATTTCTCCTCAGAAAACGGGCTCTTCTTTTCTATTGCATCACCAGGCTGCCAATTTTCCAAACATTTATGCTCTGTTTCCTTTTTTAAAACTCAATGCTGTTAATAGAACCTAAGTCACATCTTGAATGCTTTCCTGTTTAAAAATTTATTCAGCCAAATACCCTACATCGTCTCTCTCAAGTTCAAAGTTCCAGTTCCACAAATCTCTAGGGCAAGGGCAAAATGCCTCTAGTCTGTTTGCTAAAATACAGCAAGAGTCACTTTTTTTTCCAGTACCCAACAAGTTCCTCATCTTCGTCTGAGACCACCTCAGCCTGGATTTCATTTTCCATATCATTATCAGCATTTTGGTCAAAGCCAGTCAACAAGTCTTTAGGAAGTTCCAAACTTTCCCACATTTTCCCTTCTTCTTCTGAGCCCTACAAACTGCTTCATCCTCTGCTTGTTACCCAGTTCCAAAGTCACTTCCACATTTTCCAGTATCTTTACAGCAGCACCCCACCCAACTGGTACCAGTTTACTGTATGAGTTCATTTTCACGCTGCTAATAAAGACATACCCAAGGCTGGGTAATTTATAAAGTAAAGAGGTTTAATTAATTCACAGTTCCACATGGCTGGTGAGGCCTCACAAACATGGCGGAAGGTGAAGGGGAAGCAAGACATGTCTTACATGGCAGCAGGCGAGAGAGAGTTTGTGCAGAGAACACCCCTTTTAAAAACCATCAGATCTCATGAGGATTATTCACTATCATGAGAACAGCAAAGGAAAGACCCACCCCCATGATTCAATTACCTCCTACTGGGTCCATCCCATGACACATGGGAATTGTGAGAGCTACAATTCAAGATGAGATTTGGGTGGGGACACAATCCAATCATATCATGATACTTTTCAGTTAAGTGAAGATTGGGCTTTGGTTTGTCCCATTGCCTACTACTGTTTATTATGACTGTAATATGAGAGATTGCATAATGCATACATAGGCCAAATAACTTTAAGTGGTGCTACTCTTTACAATCAAAGACTCAAAGCAAAGCCTTGAAACATCAAGGCAATTTATAAAACGGCAGTATTAATGCTTCTTGCATTTTAATGCTTAGAGTTCCTAGCAATACACAATCATGCATTTATTGATTTTAATTTTCTATGAGTATCAGGGTTAATTATTTCTCAAGTTGCCTAGATAAAGATATACACTGTAGTCAATAATTTTTGATATTCATTTTGAAAAGTCAATATCTACTTATAAATTATGTAATTGTCAAGATATTTATAAAGAAGACAGTAATTCCTTTCTTCAAATAAAGTATACTTTTAACAACTATTTTCTTAGAAAAAGACAGCTTGGAGAAGATACCTGTAAATTACTAAAATAAACTGCTTTTAATTAACATTATTGACTCTTTGATGCTAAAACTTTTTTTGAGTCAGTTAAATTTTTATTATTGGAGAAATATCTGCGTATGGATAGAAGCGATTCAGTTTTTATACAGAATAACCAAATCATGTATCTAGCGTTTATATATATATATATAAGGCAACATATCATCCTCCCATTGAAAGAGTAAAGAAGAAGCTGCAAAGTGACAATGCAAAATACACAAAAAATGTGTTCTCCTTGTAACACTTTACTCTTCAGTAGGTGGAGAATTACCCTCATTCATTCATACAGATATATTTCTAGAGAGAGAAGGAAGATTCTCTGAGGCAAAATAAGTAAATAAATAAAAAGGAAGTGTATGAAATGTGAACCTAAAATAATAGAAACTCTACTGCTTTGGACTAAATTGAATCCTCCCAAATTCATATGGAGATATCCTAGTCCCAAATGTTATGGCATTTAGAGATAGAGTGTTTGAGAGATAATTAGGTTTGCATAAGGTCATGATAGTGGGACCCAGATGATGGGATTATTGACTTCATAAGAGACAGAAGAGAGCTTCCTCACTCTTTCTGCCTGGAGGGCACAGAGAGAAAGCAGCTATCTGTAAGCCACGAAGAGAGTCTTCACAGGAAACTGATCCTGCTGTCACCTTGACCTTGAACTTCTAGTATTCAGAATTGTAAGAAATCAAATTTCTGTTAACTCACTCAGTCTGGCATTCTGTTATGGAAGCCTGAGTGGACTTATATAATTACCAAGAGTCACACACAAAAAGTAGATATTATTTTATTTTTATACTACCAAAATAGTTTCAGAGCCTGGGTACTACTAGAATTTGATCTGAAGGGCATTTATCCATAGATAAATAATTAAAACTGCATAATTAATATTATCAGTTAATTTATTGTCTTAAAAATAATAAGAATGAGTAACATGCGACCTAGTATTCACAATGCAAACAAAAAGTCTTAAGAAGATTGGGAAGAACTTCAGAGGAATAACAAAAACAATGGTAACAGTGACATTAATGGTGGTTATGCTGATGAAGATTGTGATGATGAACTATGAATCAATTATTTTAAAAGAACCATCAGTAGTTTTAGAATGAAAATACATGATTTTGAAAATTTTTTTAAAAATGACTGAAGAGCTGACCAGCTGATTAAACATACCTTTACAGTGAATTATTGAGCTGGAAGTCCATACCACCAGGTTTTAAGAACATAGCACAATAAAACAAAGATTTTTAGAGTACAAAATAACAGTTTAAAATCATTTCATGGAGTTTAGCTTCTCCAGACGTAGAAGTTTAATTAATATCAATAAAATATAATTTCACATTTATTTTTTATCACATTAAAGACATATTTTTGGACACAGAATGCCTTATTTGTTTATTGATTTTTTAAAATATTATTAAATTAATGTGTAAATCAGTAGTGAGGTAAAGAATAATTTGGAAAACTTGGAAAGTAGCCCAAAACACATTTGATATATTTTCTTACACAGAATTTTTAAAAATAAAAATGCTATAGAATAGTTTGAAATATTCTATATTTAAAGTATGCAGTATTCAAAGCTAACCAGGAAACTTAAAAAAGTAAACACACGCAAAACTACATATACACAAACAAACACGTTTCTTTTTCCTTTCAGGTGGAAAGGCATCTGGAAACAGAGGAAAACATTCCATTTAGAAGAAAATCTCAATGTTGTCCTTGGGTTTGTGAGTTTTCAGATCTCTCTTGTTTGAAAATGAGAAGACCAAATCTGTATTTTTCTATGTTCTCCTGGCTCCAGAGAAATAGCCATTGTTTTCCCGGAAATGATGAGGCAATAGAAATCTATAGGCCCATTCCTATAATTGCCACCTCAGCCGTTGCTAATCCACCTGGTAGGCCCTGGGTTCTTCAGGACATTGAGAAATATGAAACTTTTCTAAAACAGAGGGAGCCTTCTTGGATTACATCTCATCCATCAGGGAGCAAGGCTCATGCTCTAAGCTCCAGTACACTGCTAAGAATTCTAGGTAAATCTCTACTGATAAACCCTTCATATCTCTCTGTCTACCTACTGACTCCTTCTCTGGGGTCCTGAATATATCTATTATAAAACTTTCTTGAGAAACTTCACCTATATCTTATCCTGTATCCTATTTACTTAAAAAAATATTTACTGAGAATGATGATTTCCAATTTCATCCATGTCCCTACAAAGGACATGAACTCATCATTTTTTATGGCTGCATAGTATTCCATGGTGTATATGTGCCACATTTTCTTAATCCAGTCTATCATTGTTGGACATTTGGGTTGGTTCCAAGTCTTTTCTCTTGTGAATAATGCCGCAATAAACATACGTGTGCATGTGTCTTTATAGCAGCATGATTTATAGTCCTTTGGGTATATGCACCAGCATGGCACATGTATACATATGTAACTAACCTGCACAATGTGCACATGTACCCTAAAACTTAAAGTATAATAATAAAAAAAAAAGTATTTACTTTTTACTAATGTCAACAGCTTTAGGGTAAAAGTGGGTTTTGATTACATGGATGAATTGTACGGTGGTTAAGTCTATATTTTTAGTGTACCCATCACCCGAATAACACGTGTTGTACCTAATAGGTAATTTTTCCTCCTTCATCCCTTTCCCAACCTCCTCGCTTCTGAGTCTCTAGTTTCATTATACCATCCTGTATGACCCTGCATACTCATGGCTTAGCTCTTTGCAGTTGTGACTTGTGCTGCAATAAATATCTCATGAGGAAAACACATTTTCTAATAATACTTTAGCTACTATTAGTACATCAGCCTTCTTGCATAGGAAAACTTTCACACATCCAGAAAACATGTATTGCAAATGACAGTTGAATCAAATCCTCCTATAAGTGTTTAAGTGGTCCATCAAATAGCAGATACATACCAGAAATTTTTATTGTCTTTATTCTCTTCCCAGGATTATGTGTTTGACAAACCAAACCTTGGTCATAAGCCATTTTAACAACTTAGAACAGTCACCACATATATGTATATATCTAAATGTATTTGATTTTTTCCTCACAAAAGCCCTTTTGGAATAAAAAGATAAAACATTATTCTTATATGAAGCTCCACTTAAAACTCTCTATGTGCCTTCTAGTGTCTTCAAATATCCCACCTCCTACCCATAACATACTAAGAAAGTTTAAGGCAATAAAAATCTTAAAAATTACTCTTATAACATATTCTCACCCTCCCTAGAGCCAGAGATCTCCTAAAAAAACTTAAATTCAAAACAAAATTAATTTTCTTTAACCTTAGTAGTCAAACCTCCTTTACTCTAATGCTATTATTTTTTTGTGAGTTTCTTAAAAGGCTGTACACCAAAGGTTAAATTGTGTAATGTCATTTTAATCATGACAGTATTTATATTCTTTGGAGGAATGAGATTCATCTTAATGACCTACTGTACTGGTATAATTTTTTTATAGTAAAAATGACCAAACAAGGAAGGGGAAATACATTGAATATATTTCAAAATGTCAAGTTCTTAGATTGGAGCTCATATGGTTGTCTAGTTGGGGGAGATAACTCCATTCTCTTCTTTAATATTTTACAAATGAGAGAAGAGTTCAAAATTATTTAGAAATTGATTTGTAAATCCAAGACAAATAACCAAGTATTCTGACATCTCATTAAATGTCCCTGTAATATGTATTCAGTGTATTATTTATACCCTTTTTAAAACTAAATCACTGCTACCTGAAAATTAAGTCCGGATATCAAACAGCTATATAGTCTTTTTCATATAAAAACAAAAGTTTATTCTATTCATATAAACATTAAAATGTGGGCTTGTTTTTAAGCAAACAAAAGTAAGAGTGCTAGTATAGTTTTACCAATATTCTGTCATTTGAACTAGGCACTGTGCTGATTATAGGACTGGAAATTGACTAAATATTTTAATCCAATATAATAATATTCACAAATTCAATCAAAGCTATGTACATATAATCTACAACTATTAACTTCCCAATTAATAGAATTATATATAGTACAATGTATAGTAGGGCATTTAATAATACAATCACCACTACTGAAAAGCTTTACTCATAACATTTTAGTGCCTGGAATATAAAAGGGATTGCATGTGTCTTGAATAAGTAAATAAAATATTAAAATATATTCTTCTTTGTTAAAATCATTTTGTGTTCAGGTATAAATTATATATTAATAAAAGAGATTTTTACTATTTAAATGTAAGTATATATTATCCATTTGAAGTTTATTAATGATGAATGTAAGTACACAAAATACTGTATATTATTTGATACCAACATTTATTCACTAGTGTCTTTACTTTTCCATAAACAATACATAATGAATGCAGCTCTTTACAAGTAAATTTTGGTAGAAACAAAACCTTATGGAATAATTATGAGAGAAAAAATGTAAGAAAATCTAAGGCCATAGAAATTTAAATTAAAATTGAAAACATTGGATGCTTAAGTCAATACTTATAACTATTTCCTATTCAGATAGCTTGTTCAGATATACCATTTCTTGAATTTTTAATTCACAAAAATATTATTTTTATATGTATCATACTTGACAAAAAGGACCAAAAAACCCTATTCTTGAATTTAAGTTTAATATTTTGCAGTTATTACATAAACGTAAGGTTTAGCAAACAGTTCTAGCAAATAAATACAATTCCCCAAATTTTTCAGCACTTACCCAGTCATAAAAATACTCTGTTTGAAAATAAAATATGTTTATTTTCCCACAACCTGGTATATGAGAGGACCTCCCCTCTCTCTGCATCCTTGACAGCATTTTTTTTTCTTTTTTTCTTTTCTTTTTTTTTTACTTTTTGATAATAGCCATTCTAACTGGGGTAAGGTGATATCCCATCCCAGCTTTAATTTTCATTTGCCTGATAATTAGCGATGTTGACTGAGCATTTTAAAAATATACATCTGTTGACTATTTGTATGTCTTCTTTTGAGAAATGTCTATTCAGGTTTTTGCCCATTTTTAATAAGATTATTTGTGTGTTTTGCTACTGAGTTAAATTCCTTATATATTCTGGATACTGAGAAGTTGTCAGATACATAGTTTAAATTATTTTTTAAGTTTTTATTTATTATTATTTTTATTTTTTGAGATGGAGTCTTGCTCTGTCAACCCAGGCTGGAGTGCAGTGGCACTAGCTTGGCTCACTCCAACCTCAACCTCCTGGGTTCAAGCGATTCTCCTGTCTCAGCCTCCCAAGTTGCTTGGACTACAGGCACGTGCCACCACAGCAGGCTAATTTTGTGTATTTTTAGTAGGAACGGGGTTTCGCCATGTTGGCCAGCCTGGTCTTGACCTTCTGATCTCAGGTGATACACCTGCCTTGGACTCCCAAAGTTCTGGGATTACAGACACATAGATTAAGTTAATAGAGTCATTATGGAAAACAGTATAGAGGGTTCCTCAAAAAATTAAAAATAGAACTACCATTTGATTCAGCAATCCTATTACTAGGTATATATCCAAAAGAAATGAAACCAGTATATCAGAGAGATATCTGCACTCCAATGATTATGCAGCATTATTCACATGGCCAAACCATGGAATCAAACTAAATGCCTTTCTACAGATGAATGGGTACAGAAAATATGGGGTGCGTGTGTGTGTGTGTGTGTGTATGTATGTATTTTAAAAAGTTGATCTCACAGAAATGAGAATAGAATAGTGGTTACCAGAAGCTGGGACAGTACAAGGGAGGATGGATGAAGAGTGGTTGGACAAGGACTAAAAAGTTATGGTTAGACAAGAAGAATAAGTTCTGGTGTTTTAATACACAGTAGGATCACCATAACTAATAAAATGTTCATTTCTTTTTTTAATTTTTTTTTGAAACGGAGTCTTGCCCTGTCACCCAGGTGGGAGTGCAGTGGCGCAGTCTTGGCTCACTGCAACCTCCGCCTCCCAGGTTCAAGTGATTCTCCTGCCTCAGCCTCCCGAGTAGCTGGGACTACCGCACCCACCATACCCAGCTAATTTTTGTATTTTCAGTAGAGACAGGGTTTCACCATATTGACCAGGCTTGTCTCAATCTCCTGACCTCAAGTGATCCACCTGCCTCAGCCTCCCAAAATGCTGGGATTACAGGCATGAGCCACCATGCCCAGCCTAAAATGTTCATTTCAAGATAGTCAGAAGAGAGGATTTTGAATGTTATCACCACAAAGAAATGACAAATGCTTAAGGCAATGAATATAATAATCATCCTGATTTGATCATTACACATTGTATATATGCACTGAAACATCACACTGTATCCCACAAATATGTACAGTAATCATGTGTCAACTATAAATTTTTAAAACTTTTAAATTAAAAAACTAAATGGTAGATATTTAATTGCCACTGATAAGTGCAGAGATTTAAAGAGACAATAAGGAAAGATGCATAGAATCATGAATTTTGGAAAATAATTTCCTGGGTTTAAATCCTAGATCAACTATTAATTAGCTTTTTAACACTAAGACACTTACTAATTATTTCCATTTCTTATTATACTCATTTCAAAATTAGAGATAAATTAAATGCATAGTATTAGCCAAGATTGAATGATGGATATAAAACTGCAATGAATCGTGGAAAAGATAATTTATTGTGGGAATTAGACCTTGTAAAATTGTGAAATGAGAGGGAGACATGAATATAAGACAGGGAACAGGAGAGATTTAATTGAGTCACCACTCTGTCAAAGTGAGAAGCCAAACACATATTAAGGAGTTGAAGAGGAAATACAAAGAGGAAGACACTAACAGAGGGAATGTGAACATGTTGCCTCTGTGGGTCTATATCACCTGTGGTGAACAAACCACGACACATAGTTATAGAGAAAAGCCCACAGTTCAGAAGGAGACCTGGATGGCTGGCACGGGGGCTCACGCCTGTAATCTCAGCATTTTGGGAGGCCGAGGCAGGCGCATCACCTAAGGTTGGAAGTTCGAGACCAGCCTGACCAACACAGAGAAACCCTGTCTCTACTAAAAATACAAAAATTTAGCTGGGCGTGGTGGTGCATGCCTATAATCCCAGCTACACGGGAGGCAGAGGCAGGAGAATCGCTTGAACCAGGGAGGTGGAGGTTGTGGTGAGCCGAGATCACCCCATTGCACTCCAGCCTGGCTAACAAGAGCGAAACTCCCTCTCAAAAAAAAAAAAAAAAAAAAAAAAAAAGGAGACCTGGACGATGTATGGGGGGGAGCAGGAGGACAAGCTGGAAATTTCTGAGTGTCTCTGTGTCTGTCATCACCTCTAACCACAGCAACCTTCAAAGAGTGGTGGCCAATTCCACACTCTCCATCCCACATCTTGTGAAAGGTTCTGTTCTTTGTTTGTTTGTTTGTTTTCCAACCCAGAAATATACAGGGAGGTAGAATCTGGAGAAGTTAATTCACAGTTTAGTCAAGTTAAAAATAGGATGATCTGCCACAACTTCGTTATTGGAAGTCTGTGAGAATTACATGGGTTAATGCATGTAAACAAGTCGTACAAACTCCCACTTGTAGAAACAGTAACCACAGCCCCCCTCCACAACTATCACATACAACTGGGATTTTGACACCAACGTAAGAGATGCTATCAGACATAAGAGCAGCAAAGTGATGTGACACTTGAGGTAAATAAAACAAGTGGAATCTGATGATCTTGCTTATTCTCCAAAGGCATTTTCCAGGACTCAAGGAAGGAAGATGAAAATCAAAGAGACTCAGCATCTTTGCTGATTTCAAGAGACAAAGATCAGATTTTGAGGATGTTGAAATGGCTAGAATTTTCAGGGCATAATATAAGATAAAAGGGAGCTGTATAGAGAAAAAGCTTTTCAGATTTCCTTGAATCTTTGAATGCTGATCTGTGCATTCATAGAAGGAATTGCTAAGAGGTTCAGGAAAACAGTAAACTGAGGTTTTTGGACTTGACAGAGAACTAGGAGCTGTGTGTGTTCTCAGCAGCCAGATTAGAAAGACCTCATAACGTCCAGGCCATCTGAGAGAATCCTCAGAAGTGTATCACCATATTAATGGGATTACATTAGTGTTTGGCAAGAGATAGTCCAGAGTCATTTTCATAGGGGTAAAAGTAAACCTTAAATTGATTAAATGGTTTCTAAGCAAATTTATACCAAGAAAAAAGTTCAGCTTTCTTTAAAGATATAATTCAGAATCCAAGAACTAAATTGACAACTGGCATTCAATTAAAAAAAAGTAAGAGATACAGAAATGACAGTTACTGGAATTAGAAGATAAGCGCATTTGAATGGCTATTATAAACATATTCAATATGCTTAACGTTATAGAAGAAAATATGTCCATAGTGAGAACAGAAATAGAAGATATAAAAGTGACCTAACTGCAACCACCAGAGATGAAAATTACAACATGAGAAATAAAAAAAAATACTGTCTGAGATTATCAACAAATGAGACACAGCAGAACGAAATGCCACTGAACATGAAAGCATAACAATATACACTATTCAAAAGCAGGCAGAGAGGGAGGAAATAGAGAAAGAATAAATACACCATCAATGAATTAGAGGACAATAATAAGTGACCTAAATATATGCTAAAATTCTTGTAGTTAAATAGTTGTAGTAATGGCTAAAAGATTTCAAAATTTGAATAAACCCATATACCCATAGGTGCAAGAAATTAAATCAACCACAATAACAATAAATATAAACCCACAAAAAGGCACATTGTAATCAAACTACAAACATCTAGTGGCAAAGATACAATCTTAAGAACACCTAGAGCAAAATACAGAAGAGTAATAGAAGAAGAAAATTAGGTTAAACAATAAGTTTATCATCACAAATCCATACATGCCAGAAAAAATGAAATAATAAATTAATATGCTTTAAGAAAAATAAAGTGAACCAAGGGTTTTAAATACTGAGAAAATGTATTTCTAAAATAAAGAGAAATAAAGAGTTTTTCAGGAAACAAAATAACAATTTATCATTCATGAACCTGCCTAAAAAAAGTAAAAGTAACTTCCGATGGTGGAATGAAATGATACCTGATGAAAATGAATAAAAAGGCATCAGAAAAATAAATGTATGTGTAGGCATAAAAATAATACTTTTAACCTTGTTTCAGTTATTTTCAAAAGATACTTGATTTTATGAAAAATAATAGCAACAATACCCTTTGAGATTTATGTACAAGTAAAATATTTGACAACAATAATACAAATGGGGAAATTAAAGTGCACTATTGTGCTGCTCATCGATTATAAGTGAAGTAGTATAATAGCGTATGAAGGTAGACTGTGATAAATCAAAGATGTATATTTTAAACTACAGGACAATCACTAACAAGAATAGTTGAATGAAAATATGTAGATAATAGACCAGGCGTGGTGGCTCACTCCTGTAATCCCAGCACTTTTTGGATCTCCTGAGGTCAGGAGTTTGAGACCAGCATGGTCAACATAATGAAACCCCATATCTACTAAAAACACAAAAATCAGCCTAGCGTGGTGGCGCATGCCTGTAATTCCAGCTACTCGGGAGGCTGAGGCAGGAGAATTGCTTGAACCCGGGAGGCGGAGGTTGCAGTGAGCTTAGACCACACCACCGCACTCCAGCCTGGGCAACAGAGGGAGACTCCATCTCAAGAAAAAAAAACATATACAGATACACACACACACGTAGATAATGAGACAATAGAATACAAAATGGAAGGATACTTTTTTAAATATAGAAGGCATGAAATAAAAAAGAATAAATAAGAAAAGAGAAAACAAACAGCAAGATGGGTAGATTTAAAACCTTATCAAAATTACAAGAAAATGGGAATGATCTAATCACACTAATTAAGATGCATAGAGTATAACATTGGATTATAGAGGAAGACCAAAAATATTAACTTTAGAAAAATTTACATTAAATACAAAGACACATAAATTAAAAGTTAAAGGATGTTAAAAAAAAAAAAAAGACATACCATGAAAACACTTCTTGAAAAGAAGCCAGAGTGACTATATCAATATCAGAAAAAGGGCAAAAATGTCAACTTTCCTTCATTTTTATTCATCATTTTCCATGAGATCCTAGATAGTGCAAGAAAGCTACAGAATTAAAAACAGAGACATTTTAACATCTTTTTTTTGCAAAATTGTGTACCAATAAATAATGAAGAAATATGCAAAAATGCACTACAGTTCATGTCTTTTCCTAGTGTGATTGTAGGCTAAATGGGAAACATATTTCTATATATCAGTCATAAAGAATTGAAAAATGGAATTTTATAACAGCAAAACAGATGGTAAAAGAACTCAGAATAGTAAAAAAAAAATTATAAAAGATGCACATAGTTTGAAGGCCTCAATGACCTGCCTTTAAAAACAATTATAAAGCCATAGTAAACAGTATGGGTTATTGTGAGCATAAGAACAAATATAGTTTCATTGAGCCAGAGGGAAGAGAAGTAGATGCACACATATGAGATCAACTGGGTTTGGACAAAATACACAGCATTTCAAAGGGGGAAAAGAGAATCTCTTTAGCAAATGCCCCTGATATACCTGGAAATCCATTACAATAGAAATCTCTATGCCTTTTGTTCAATTTTGCTGTGAATATAGAAGTTTTCTAAAAAATAAAGTATTGAAAGGGAAAAAAGAGAGAATGTACATTACATGACAGATGATAGATCTAAATATAAAATTAAATACCTAAATTTGCTTTTAAGTTTAATTTGATATTTAGATAGAAATATCAAATTAAACCTAAAAGTAAACTTCTAGAAATAAGCGTTAGTAAAAAATATTTGTGATCATTAGTTAAGCAATAATTTACTGGATAAGGTATACAAGCACAATTCATAAAATAATTTAGAAAGATGGCTGTACATCAAAAATATCATAAAACAATTCAAACATTTTATAAATAAAATGTTTAACATGGAAATAAATATTTGCAAAACTTATACTTTAATAAAGTAATTTAATCCAGACTATATTGTTTGTACAGATCAAAAATAAGCCCACAATCCAATAAACTTAATGTACAACAGTTGTAAACAAGCATTCCACTGAAGAAGACATACACATTGCAAAGAAACACATGAAATGATAGCCAACATAATTTTCATCAGGGAAATGAAAATCAAAACTATAATGAAAAATTACTACAAATTCTGCCTAATGATTACCATTAAAAAGACTGACAGTACCAAGATTTGGAGAATAAATAGAATAGCTGGAAGTCCCATTGTTGCTAATGGGAATATGACATGATGCAGCTATTTTTGAAAACCAGTTGGAAGTTTCTTACATAGTTGAAAATCCACTTACCATGTTATTCACCAATTCCACTCCTAGGTATTTACTCAAGAGAAATAAAAACATGGGTCTACACCAAGACTTATTGACAGAGTGATTCATAATATTTTCTGTTTCCAAACATGATACAATCCATATCTTCATCAATAGGAGAATGCATAAGACCAATTGTGTTGTAACCTTAAAATCAAAGATTATTTAGCAATAAAAAATAAAGTAATGATGGATGCAATAAATCATGACTCTCAAAATCACCTCAAAATCATCATGAAAAGGGAAAAGACCAGGAACCAAAGGCTATATGACATATTACAATTCTTATGTCAAATTTTAGAAGTGGAAAATAATGGAGACAGAAATCACACCAGTGGTTGCCATGGGAAGGCACTGGGGAGAAAAATGACACAAAGTGGCCATTGTGACTTTGAAGTTTGGTGGAAACACTCTGCACCATGAATTTGGTGCTAGTTACATGAATGTGTACATTCGTCAAAACTTGTCATAATGTGCAACTAAAATTGGTGAAGTTTATTGTTATGTTAACTGTACTATAATAAAGCTATTTTTAAATATTTTAACTTTTCTTTAGGTGCAGGGATACATGTGCAGGTTTCTTATGTAAATAAACTCATGACTTGGGGCTGTGCTGCACAGATTATTTTATCCCTCAGGTACTAAACACAGTATCAGTTGTTTTTTTTCTGAACCTGTAGCTCCTCCCAACCTCCTCCTGCAACTAGGCCCGAGCGTCTGTTGTTTCCTACTTTCTGCTAATGGGGTTTCATTATTTAGCTCCCACTTATAAGTGAGAACATGCAGTATTTATTATTCTGTTCCTGCATTAGTTTGCTAAGGGTAATAGCCTACAGGTCCATCCATGTTCCTGCAACAGATATGATCTCATTCTTTTTCATAACTTCATAATATATAATGGTGTATATCTATCACATTTTCTTTATCCGGTCAACTGTTGATGGGCATTTTGGTTGATTCTATGTTTTTGCTTTTGTGAATACTGCTGCTACAGTGAACGTATGTGTACATATGACTTTATGGTAGACGGATTTAAATTTCTTTAAGCATATACTTAGTAGTGGGACTACTGGGTCAAAAGGTATATAGAAACTGCACACAATATATGTTAGCTACTGTAAAATACTCTATGCTTGCATTGTCACACTATTTTTAATTCCAGAGGGGAAAAATATTCTAGGTTTTAATGGAGTAAAATATTATTATTAACTATTGGCAAAATATTTAGAAATAACTATCCATTGTACATGAGTATCCATTGTACATAACTATCCATTGTACATGAGTAGAGTATGAATTAATGAATGCATTTAAAAAACCTGCATATTTGAAGAGGAAATGGGAAGAATTATTTTTCGAACCAAAGCAATAATACACAAGTTACCCTAAATTCAAGTTAAAAAATCAAATATTTACAAATATGAGATAAAAATGTACTAAATTATACTATGCAAAATAAATTATGAATCTAAAATAGAAAAATATGAAATTTCACCTAGTTGCAGATATTATAGAACTTTAAGAAATTTAGAGAAAAATTTTCTGAGATTGAAAAGAATTATAAATATGTAATAGAAAATAAAATGACTAAGGAATTATACGAAAAAAAGGAAAAAGAAAAGAAAAACCTGTGAAAGACATGTTAGGAGTTCAAGATATTAAAGTGAGTCCAATGATGTGGGTGAGACTTGGGAGCAAGATAGTAGACTTATAAATAAAAGCCTTTGGTATTTGGTGTAAGATAAAAATATATACATAAAATGTGTGTGTGTGTGTGTGTGTGTGTGTGTGTGTGTGTGTGTGTGTGAGAGAGAGAGAGAGAGGGAGAAAGAGAGAGAGATGGATTTTTAACCTAAAGTGTTTTTCAATAAACTAAGTATTTCTTATTTTATAATACATTCGGTAGATAATTACAACACATGTAATTATATTTTTATTTTCTTTCTCATATCCATCAGAGTGACCAGCATAGCTTGAATGAATGAAAATTTATATCTTGTCTCATTCACTGTAATCATTTAGTCCAATGGTAACTTCTGCCTGTTTCTACATACATATGTATCCTCAAAGCTGAATTCTTAAAATTATATTCTTATATAGACACCAGGTCCCACTACTAAACCAAGGAAACTTACTTCAATTTACAGCTAATCATCTTATTCCCATGAAGTTTTAATGTATGTGCATATTTTTGCTTTGTTTTTTTATTGTGTTTTAACTGGAAGTCTCTAAATGTGTTGATAATTGCTTTTCGAACATTTATAAAGCTCATTTGAAATATGTATACTACACTGAAGAGATACAGTAAGTAAGGTGCTACAGGCCCCATGCAAGTCCAAAACCCAGCAGGGCAGTTGTGAAATCTTAAAGCTCTGAAATTATCTTCTTTGACTCCATCTCTCACATTCAGGTCCCACTGATGGAAGGAGTGGGCTCCCAAGGCCTTAGGCAGCTCTGCCTCGGTGGCTCTGCAGGGCTTAGCCCCCACGGCCGCTCTCAAGGGCTGGTGTTGATTGCCTGCAGCTTTTACAGGCACATTGTGTAAACTGTTCGTGTATCTACCATTCTGGGGTCAGGAGGACAGTAGCCCTCTTCTCACAGTGCCCCAGTGTGGACTCTGTGTGGGGGCTCCAACCCCACATTTCCCCTCCACACTGACAATTTATTATTGCATTGGCTTAAAAATCAATTTGTTAGAAATAACAATATAAAGTTATTTCAAGATATATCTTCTCAAGAAACTAACATAACTTTGAAATGTTAACTGAGTTCTATATCTAAAAAAGGATGTTACACACTGTTGTGAGTTAAATTTTCTCTTCAAAATGATAAATTTAAGTCCTACCCCTGAAATTTGAATAAACATCTATCTTTTATTAGATCTGAGTTTTTAAAATGAAACAAAACCATTGCATGTTCCACAGTAGAGAATGCAAAAGAAATCATAAAGAAATGACTCCAAAATTTTCTTAAATCCTCTGGGGTCTTATTAAGACTTATATTGGGTACACATCTTTGGAACACTAGCACAGCAAGGTAGTATAATCACATGGGCATTTGAACAGAAATTTTCTGGATATCAATACATCCTATGAACGTAACCTTATTTGGAAATAATATTTTTTAGATGTAATTGAGTTCAGATGAGGTCCTACTGAATTTATGTGGCCATATCCAATGGCTACTGTCCTCAAAAATGGTAATTTGGACACAGAGACACGCAGGAAGAAGGACATGAGATGAGGGAGACAGAGTTCAAGTGACGCAGCTGCAAGCCAAAGAATGCCAATGATTATAGATGACTATCAGAGGCTAGGAGAGGCACATGGGACAGATTCTCTTACAGAGCCTCCAGAAGGAAAGAGTCCTACCTTAATTTTGGCTTTTAGCCTCCAGAACTGTAAAAGAATAATTTTTTTGTGTTAAACCACCCAGTTTCTGGTAATTTTTAAAGGTATCTCTAGGAAACTATTACATACACTTATTACAATACTGTTGCCATTATTCAAAACACTTTTGGAGCTTCCCATGGAAACTGCCTCAGGCAGCATTAGGTTCCCAGTCATGTTATGTTAGCAAAGCCTTTGTATTTTCATAGTGGAATTGATTTAGTAAATAGCCAAAACTGATATAGTAACTGTATTAGTCTGTTTTCATGCTGCTGATAAAGACATACCTGAAACTGGGAAGAAAAAGAGGTTTATTTGGACTTACAGTTCCACATGGCTGAGGAGGCCTCAGAATCATGGCAGGAGGTGAAAGGCACTTCTTACATGGTGGCAACAAGAGAAAATGAGGAAGAAGCAAAAGTGGAAACCTTGATAAACCAATCAGATCTCATGATATTCATTCACTATCACAAGAACAGCCCAGGAAAGACCCACCCACATAATTCAATCACCTCCCACCGGTTTCCTCACACAACACTTGGGAATTGTGGGAGTTACAATTCAAGGTGAGATTTAGGTGGGGACACAGCTGAACCATATCAGTAACATATACTACTTAAGATGCTTCTTTTTTTTCTTTTTCTTTTCTTTCTTTTTTTTTTTTTTTGAGACAAAGTTTTGCTCTTGTCGTCCAGGCTGGAGTGCAATGGTGCGATTTTGGCTCACTGCAACCTCTGACTCCTGGGTTCAAGTGATTCTCCTGCCTCAGCCTCCCGAGTTGCTGGGATTACAGGCACCTGCCCCCTCGCCCACCTAATTTTTATTATTTTTAGTAGAGATGGGGTTTCACCATGTTTGCCAGGCTGGTCTCAAACTCCCCACCTCAGGTGATCCAGCCACCTCAGTCTCCCAAATTGCTAGGATTACAGGTGTGAACCACTGCACCCAGCCAAGATTCTTCTTTTAAAAAACGTACTGAAAAAAATTTTAATAAGAAAATAAGGAAAGCTAAGACTTATTAGTAGTTTATAATGTGTTCAGCACTTTATATTGCTTTATGTTTGATATTTTATTTAATCTTAATAACCCAGTGCAGTATATACTTCTTTATTGACATTTTACAGACAAGGGCCAGGGAATTGAGAGGTTAAGTATTGTGATGAATAATATACAGCTATACAGAGAGGACGTACTAGTCTCTTTAAAGCAATATTTTTTAAGCATCTACTTTATTCTAGGTAATCTTTTTGGACCCAAAATAGTAGATAACATGAACAAAAATGGGATATAAAAATAAATTTGATGTGTATAGTGTTCTTTGCAATGAAAACGAGTGACTTAAAATAGACTCTGATTCACATGAAAAACTTCATTAGAGAAAAAAAATCTTAAAATAGTCTTAGCTGAAATTTGGTATAAAAAGCTTTTCCTTGGATAAAAAAATAACTATCTTTTCTTTAGATTTGAATTTTTTTGATGAAACCATTACATGTTCCACTGTAGATAACTCAAGAGAAATTGGACATAAATGACTCCAAGATTTTCTTAAATCTTCTGAGGTCTTATCATGACTTATATTTAATACAAACCTTCAAGGCTCCGACAAAATGTAGTATAATCACATGGGAATTTTAAAATATTATTTTCCTGCATAAAAATATTGAAATAAATTCCCTGTTGCCATTCTATGTTTTACCCTAAGATAACTCAAATGATTTCAGGAAAATGTACAAATATGTATTATTTCTGAAGTAATAAGACATATATTAGAGCACAGACAATGGTTGAATGAAGAATACAATATTTTGAGATTAGACATTATAATACTTTAATCACTATTGAAGCTTTCAAAAGTCTTGCAAGTAAGAATGTGAAACTGACAAGTTGCAATTACGGAAAAATAAGTGTAAACATTTACAAAGATGAGGGTGCTTACTTATTTAACAAAATGTAACTATAGACCAAGTCTTTAAATACAATTTTTCTTTGCTACCATAAATATTGTATGTAATTGGATGCCATGTTCTAACTATACCAAATGATTAAGGAGTAGTTAAGTCCCAATCAGATTATGTATGGCTTTCTCTGCATATAAAGACTTTACTATTGAAGAAGTTTAAGTTGATTGCTCACATGAAGCCATACTCCTTTTTAAGAGCTTTATCTGTTAGTCTTGTTTGGTATGATTTGGAGAAAGGGAGACAGACTAAAGTCACGTGGATCAGTTAACAGACAACTAAAATAGAGCAGGTGTGAGGTGATGGATGAAGTAGAAAAGAGAAAGGTAAAAGAAGAAATGGTTAGTATATAAATGGAGACTATATCAGAGTTAGAATTTGATATATATGGGTGGTGGCGGGGAGAGGGAGGTGTTCAGAATATATGAAGAACTTGCACAAAGTGATAAATCGCCAACAGAAAAATTTGCAAATGATTCAAATAAGCTCTTCGTAAAATATCCAATGGTCACCAAATATATGAAAAGGTGCCTTTATGTCATTTGTCATAAAGTAGAAAATGCAAATTAAAACAGAAATGTGATCTCACCAGAAGAGTAAGTGCAAGTGACAGAGAATTGCATGAGTGTGGAGAACATGGAGCAACTGGAATTCTCATATGCTGTTATAGAAAATGTAAACTGGTAAAGTCACCTTAAAAAGATAGTAGTGTCTATTAAAGCCAACCTACTTACACCTGTAACCAAGTAGCTTTTCTTCTGTGTATATACTTACCATATATGTTCAACAAAATACAAGAAAAGACCATTCATAGCAATGAACTAATAATAGCTAAAATCTGGAAAGAAGACAAATGTCTATCCACAGTAGCACCAATTAATAAATTGTGATATATTTATGCAATTGAGTCCTGGGCATCATTGAGAATGAAGAAACTACAACCACATGCAACACTGTAGATATATGCCACATGCAAAATATTGAGCAAATTAAGCGAGACATAAATAGTACCTATTGATGATCTTTTTAACATCAAGTGTAAAAACAGACAAAAATGACTACGATCTTAGATGTGAGGATTGTGATTACTCTTTTATTGGGAGTGGTGGGGGCACCATTGTTATTACCAACAACAAAAGTATATGAGGGAGGCTTTGTGACATCAGGTTGTGTTCTGTTTCTTCTTGTGTGTGCCTGTCACAGGTGAGTTTATATAAGTGTATCACTGGTGCGCTTATGAATATGCACTGTTCTGGATTTAGGTTATAAATTTAATAAAAAGTTTGGTATTAAAAATAACCTGATAAATATGCCGAGGAGCTCTGAGAAGCTATAAAGCATATAGTGGGGTGTCTAGAATTGCTAAGCATGGCTTGAAAATATGCATGTCACATTAAGATCCATGAGTAACTTACTGTTACTTCAGCATGTCTAAGAAATAAAAATATAATTATTAGTTCTCCTTGAAAAAGCATTTACAGATTACTATTATTTGAAATAAGCCTCTAGCTGAAAAGATTGTCATTTTTATTATTACAGATAGAACGACTACTTTAGAGATTTGCAAAAGTATTATCAATATTCAAAGTCATCTGTTTATAATTCATTTAGTTAAGCTTTTACCTCTGAAAAGTCAATAAAAGGACTTTCTCTTCTTTAGTGTCTTAGTACTCTTTCTTTCTTAATACCTATTTATTGTTCTTTAGTTTGAATGCAAAGTTTAATGATCCATACATTTTAGGCATTTAATTTAATAAAAAAAGAAACGTAGGATCTTAAAAAATGACTAATGACATCTTAAAAATACTCTTAATAAACTAGATTGCCTCATGATGCCATATAACAAATATTAATGACTCAACAGACACTTCATCCACCAATTCACTTGAAACACCGCATATTCTCACTCATAGGTGGGGATTGAACAATGAGATCACATGGACACAGGAAGGGGAATATCACACTCTGGGGACTGTTGTGGGGTGGGGGGAGGGGGGAGGGATAGCATCGGGAGATATACCTAATGCTAGATGATGAGTTAGTGGGTGCAGTGCACCAGCATGGCACATGTATACATATGTAACTAACCTGCACAATGTGCACATGTACCCTAAAACTTAAAGTATAATAATAAAAAAAAAAAATTAAAAAAAAAATTCATATTAACTGGCTACTCCAGGAGAGAAATGCATGTATCCAAAAGTGTCTTTTTGTGAAGAAGTGATGGTACTAAAGGTGGAGAAGTGAAGAATCTAGGGAGAAGATTGTCTTTCATGGTTTTTCAAGTGTACTATGATGATATTTGGATTATCCTGATGCATATGTAACATGAAACACTGTCTCATTTGTAGATTGATTTATTTCACTAATAGTAGTAGTAGTAGTAACAAGGCAGTAGTAGTTGGCTGACCATAGTGGAGGGCAGGAAAACCAGCCCCATACTCTAGTCCTGGATGTGATGAGAGACAGAAGTAATTGCAAAGCCTAAACCACGTTCAACCACAAATTAGAATGACTCAACACCTCCACAGTAACAGAAGCAATGTACCTATATCTGGGCATAAATTGTATTTACCTCAGGTTTTATCTACCTTTACACACAAAGTATATAAGACACATTAAAAAACGAGGATACATGACCCATCATGAAGGGATAAACAATAGAACCAAGCTAGAAGTTAGAATTATCAGGAACCCAAAAAATAATCAGAGATGAAATTACATATGCTATATCAATAAGAGTAGAAAGGTGAGCAACATGCATGAATTGTTAGGGGATTTTAGAAAATATAAAAATAAACACTGTGAGAGGAGCCCAATAAAGAGAACATAAATTGAGAGAGAGAGAGAGAGTGTGTAAAATAGATGAGGAATCACTAAGATCGGCTTACAGCCAGAATAGATACAGCAGTGGAAAGAATTAGTAAACTTGAAGAATCAGTGAACTGTATCTATGGCCAAAATAGTTACAGCAGTGGAAATAATTAGTGAACTTGAACTAGTTAACTTGAAGAATTAGTCAACTTGTACTATTAAGTATCTTACCTGGAGCACAAGAGTGGAAATAAATGAAATGGATTATTTTAAATTCATGGAACTATATTAAAACATTCAAATATACAAGTATTGGGACCCAGGAAGAGAGGAAAGAAACAGAAAATGGGTCACAATAAATATTTGAAGAGATAAGGGTCAAAATGTTTACAAATATTTGAAAATGAACAAGCAAATAGATATAAATTCAAAAAAATTTGGAGTACTTGAAGTGTGATAAAAAAAAAAAAACACAGCCAGGTATAGCATAATCAAACCAATGAAAACTAAAAAAAAGAAAAATTTGAAGCCAGCTAGAGAAAATTAAGATATGGTATAGATTGATGGTAAGAATAATTGCTGAATTCTCACAGAAACAATGGAAACCAGAAGAAAATAAAATTGTCTTTAGAAACCTAAAGAAAAAGTCAAACAAGAAATACATTTTCTGTGTAAATATATTTCAAAAATAAGAATAAAAATTTTATGTTGATCTATATAAAAAGATACAAAATATAGATATGACAAAAAAAATCTGAAATCATCTCTAACAAAATTGTATTATACTACAGTCTTGTAGTAAATGCTAAAGTAAAGCAAATGCTAAAGAAAGTTTTATATTTTTAAACAGAAAAATAAAAATAGAATATATTATTTACTAAATACAAAGAACGTCTAAAAATTCCTGTGTTTAATGCAAACATATCACTACATGTTCTAAATTGAAAACAAACGGGCTGGTTTCAGGACAGTAGTGCTCCATGTCTAAGGGATCCTGTGAATTGGCCTTGGATCAATGCCAAGCCTATCGAAAGCTGTGGCAGGGCTCCACGGCCCCTGAAGAAATTAATGAGACCATGATGTCCAGCGTGAGGCAAACAAGAATGAAAGAAGTAGATACTTTTGAAAGAATCAAAAAAGAATGGGCTTGGAAAACAGGATCTGACAGCCAACCTATAAGTGATAATCAAAAATGAATTGTGAATATTTTATAAATGGCCTTTAGAGGAAGCTCAGAAGATGGGTGCTAGCTGCTTGTCACTCACATAACATGATTGGTAAATGTCAGTATAAAATTATGAGAAGACGAATTATCAATCACTAATGACTTCAGACATTATTCTGATGTTGCAAGTTAGAAATTTCTGAAATCTATTATAAAAGAGATTTACTTTTTAAAACTACGGGAGAATTTTTGATAAAGAGAATGTGGATGCTAAAGTTGAAGATAAAAAAAATAATGAAGTGTGTTTGTCTATGAAGCCTGTATTCCAGTCCTTCTTAGGAAGAAATCACAGACTGGGAAGTGCCACGTGGAAAATATCTTTAAAGCAAAGAGTAGTGAAGATGAGAATAAAAATGATCTGTCTGTTGTCCCACTAAGCAATCTGGAACCCATCACTGCATTACAGATCTGGCTAGCCAACTGGAAAGGGATCATCCAGAAAGCAAATACTTCTCACAGGCACTTATAGGTATACATTTCTCTAAGCATTGCTTGGGCTGCATCCCGCAAGTTTTGGGTAAAGAACATCAAAAACTTCACTGGAAATTGCCAAGGGTCTCAAAAAACTCTTCCTTTTCCCTGGCACCAGGTCTTATTTTACTCGAATTGCAAGAGGAAATATTCACACTGGAAGAAGCAGGTTTACACAATACTGTGATCAGAGACTCTAAAGACACAAATATTTTACATAACTCCCATAGCATTCATTTTAACAAAAGAAGTGAAAAAATTGTAGAGTAAAATGCTTATAAGTAGGTATGCACATCAAAATAGAGTAATAAAATCTCAATTTCACTAGATATTGGTTCAAGTCTTATTTTACTTTCTCCTTATTGGAGAATTTAAAAAAATTAATACAAATTACAAAAGTAAAATATAACTGGAGATGTATTTCTGAAACTCAATTTACTTATTTCCAAAAGGCTGCTCAGTGAGAAAAAATATATATTTTCAAATACCAATTAGTCAATATAAGTCATGTTATAAAAACTCTATAACTATGCTTTTTGTTCCTTTGCATTTGCTGAGGAGTGTTTTAATTCCAATTATGTGGTCAATTTTAGAATAATGTGATGTGGTGCTGAGAAGAATGTATATTCTGTTGATTTGGGGTGGAGAGTTCTGTAGATGTCTGTTAGGTCTGCTTGGTCCAGAGCTGAGTTCAAGTCCTGGATATCCTTGTTAATTTTCTGTCTTGTTGATCTGTCTAATATCAATTTAGATATGGTGCAAATTAGCATCATTCATTGAAAAAAGTATCCATTGCCTTCCCAGACACTAGTGATTTATTAAAAAGTCAGCTGTCTCATGTTTAAAAGATGGCAATAAATTTTAAAAATTCGACATTGCAAGTTAGGCTAAAACATAATTATGTTTTTACCTGAGACACAAGTAAAAGTCTGCAAGGGAATCTTTTCCCCATATCTATGTCTTAATGTCACAATGTACTCAATTTTGTTCTGCAAGGTCAAGATATACTCAAATATTTATCTGACAGCTGCATCTAAGAGGTATTTTTATTTAAGAATAACATTTTGTAGCTTATTAGAAGTCTAAGATCAAGACGTTGGCAGATTTAACTTCTGAGGATTTTCTCCTTGGCCTGCAAGACGGTTGTCTTCTGAGTGCCCTCACGTGGTCATTTCTCTGGAAGTGACCATTCTAGGTGTTTCTTCACCTTCTTATAAGGACACAATCACATTGAATTAAGGACCCATTCTTATAGCTTCATTTAACCTAATTATCTCTTTAATGGCCTTATCATTTGCAAATACAGTCACATTTAGGCTAGCATTTCAGCATATAAATTGTGTGTTTGGGGGCAGTTCATAATAAGAGGTTTTATAGCATATGTGGAAGTAAAAATATTCCAAAGGAAAAAAAGAAGAAATTGGAAGGTATTTCTCTGGAAGCAAATAATAACAGAACACTTAAATTTTTGTGGAACAGCACACTATTTTACACACAGAATATTCAAAGGTAAACAACAATATTACCTAACCTAAAGGAAACACAAAGCACAAATACACAAATACACGTGCATGAAACACAAATACAAAGACATGAGGAGATAAAATAAAATAAAAATTTTTGGATTCATCTAAAGTAATAAGGGGGAGAATAGTAGATGTACAAACATGACACAAGTCAAAATTAAATAGTAATATATTAGACTTGAAGTCATGCGTATCAATAATTTGTATTACATGTAGCTAAACTAAACACTCATTAAAAAGCAGACATTTTCAGTCTGGATAGAACAGCAATATGTAATCATATGTCATTTACATGAAAACTGTAAATATAAAGATACAAAGAGGTTGAAAGTAATATGATGAACATGTATTTATCATGCCAACACTAACCTGTTGTTAAGGAAAGCTGTTGTTGCTATCCTTAAATAGAAAAAGTTTTATTCAAGAATATAAGAAGGGGCATTTCATAAAGTTAAAGGGCTTGGTTAATCAATAATCCATAATAGTAAATGTGGATTCATCTTAGAGCAAAGCTCCTAAGTACATGATGGAAAGAAAAAACACTAGAAAAAGGATAGGTGAACTGGCAATAAGAGGAACACAGAAAATAAAAATACAATATAAATCAATTAAATAAAAGACAAACAGAAAGAAAATAAAAGAATCAATAAAGTGAAAAGTTTTTTTCAAAAATATTAAAATTTTATGAACTGCTAATTGAATGCTGAAGAAAACAGAAGAAAATACAAATTAGTGATATCAGAAATGAAGAGGGGTCTCCACTACACATCTCACAAATGTTAACATGATAACTAGTGGATATTTTTAGAACTCAATACCAATAAATTTGAAAAACAAAATGGAATGCAAGAATGACTTAAAAGATGCATAAAACCAATATCCTTCCAATAAGAATGAACAATCTAAATATTCCTATATCTACTTCAAATTTAATTCATAAAGAACTTTCCACAAAATAATCAGTTCTAGAATGCTTTAGTAATGATTGTAGTCAAATACTTAAGAGAGAAAGAATATCAACATTAAATAAGCTTTTTCAGAAAATAGAGGGGCAAGGGCTTCTCAATTCACCGTATGAGACAAATACAAGCCTAATAGCAAAATCAGACGCTGATATTACCCGTCCTAAAAATGAAAATTATGAAAAAGTATTTCTTATGAAAACAGATGCAAAAGTCATTAAAATATTAGCAAATCAAATCTATCAATATGGGAAAATAAAAACACATTAACATACGATGGTTTTACCAGGGACATAAGAATAATGTATCACTCAAAAATGACTATTTTTATAACATTGATATATTGAGATCTTATTTGATAATTTCAACAGAGTCAGGAGATGCATTTGTCAAAGTATAATATCCATTTACTATTAAATATATTAGCAAAGTATAAATAGAAGGAGACTTCCTCAACCTGATAAAGCACATCTATGAAAAGTCCACAGATCACATCATACTTAAAAATAAAATACTTAATGCTTCTTCCACTTGGATCAAAACAAGATGAGAATACTATTCACATCACTTTTATTCAATTTTATACTAGGTGCATTAGTCAGTTCAATAAGATAAGAAAATTAAAGGAATAGTGACTAAAAAGAAAGAAGTAAAACTCCTTCAATTCTGAGAAGGGAAGATTGCATGCATGAGAAAATGAAGGAACTTACAAGAGTGGTATAACATACAATAAACAAATTTAGAATATTTCAAGATAAAGCCAAATTCAAAAGTAAAAATTAAAAACTGAAATTTAAAATTACTAATTAAAATAGTATCAAAAATCATTATATATGGAAGTATAAAATTAATTTAAAAGTTAAATACTTTTTACAGTCCAAGCTATAAATTATTGATGACAAAAACCGCAGATTTGCTGTAGACAATAGTTTTGTCTCCCCATATTTCTTATATTGAAATCTTGACATCCAATGTGATAATATTAGGAGGCTGGGTCTTTGGTGCTTAATCAGGTCATGAGGATGGAGCCCTTTGCTACTTCTGCTGTGTGAAGACACAGCAAGAAGTCAGCAGTCTGCAACCTGGAAGAGGGACCTCGCCAGAACGCGACCATGCTGGCTTCCTGGTCTCAGACTTATAGCTTCCAGAGCTGTGAAAAATAAATGTCTGTTGTACATAAGCCCCTCAGTCTATGGCACTTCATTATAGCAGCCAGGATAGAATAAGCCAAGATTTAAATAAATGTAGAACTATACCACATCTATGGATTAAAAGATTTAATGTTACTAATATATCAATTCTGAAATTGATCTATGAATTCAGTGAAATCTCAATCAAAATTTTAGCAGACTTTTGTGTATTAATTGACAAAATTAATTTTAAAATTTATTTGTAAGGTAGAAATTAATAAAATCAAAATAATCTTGAAAAAAATCCACTTGAAAAATGTTACTTTATGATAAAATTACAATCATCATGAAAGTACGGTATTGTCTTAGTAAAGCATAACAGAGAATTGAGTAACAGATGTAATTGAACAAGTTTTAAGAAAGCCTGCAAGGAAATTTGATAAAGAAATAAAAACATCTTCATTAAATTGTGCTGGAAAAAGTAGATATTTGTGTTGAGAAGATGAGAAGAGTGAACAAAAGAAACATAATGACTATCTCACAAAATACACAAGCATTAATTTGAAATGAATCAGAGACCTAAATTTAAAACTAAAATAATAAATGCGTCAGAAAAAAAGATAGGGTAATGTATTTCAATCTGTAATAGGCAAAGACTTCTTTGTGCATATGCAGAAAGCATGAATCATAAATAAAAAACTGATACATTGGAATGCTAAAAATGGAAAATGTTTACCTAAAAAGGAAAAGAAACGGGAAAAAAAATATGCAATCCAAAGTCTGGAGAATATTTTCAACACAAACATCTGACAAAGGACTCTATTTGGAATATATATATATATACTCTTAAATTCGGTAATATAAGATCAACATTTATATAAAAGAAAAAATATTATAAGGCATGGACAGAATTCATTAAAGAAGATAATCAAATATATAATAAAGTACATGGAACAATGGTCAACAGTGCTACTTACAAGAGAAATATGAATTAAAACTACAATAAAATATTATCCCACATCCATTAGAATCAGTAAATAAAAATAAGTGTATCAAATTTTGGACAGCAGGTGAAACAGCTTGAATTGTTATACATTGCTGGTTTAAAATGGCACAGCCACTTTTGATAATGACAGTAATTTCAGAGAGTTAAACATATGTTATCTTCTGAAATGGTGATACTATGAGTATATATTCAAAATAGAGAAAATATATGTCCACAAAAGACCTGTATAACCCTTGTTCATAGCTTATCAATAATAGCCCTAAAATAGAAACAACTCACCAAGTTGGTATCCACAAAAGAAGCTGCGATGGTTAATATTGAGTGTCAACTTGATTGGATTGAGGGATACAAAGTATTAATCTTGGATATGTCTGTGTGGGTGCCATCAAAAGAGATTAACATTTGAGTCAATGAACTGGAGAAGGCAGATCCACCTTTAACCCAGTGGGCACAATCTAATCAGCTGGCAGCAAATATAAAGCAGGCAGCAAAACGCAAAGAGATGAGATGAACCTAGCCTCTCAGCCTACATCTTTCTCCTGTGCTGAATGCTTCCTGCTCTTGAACATTGGACTCCAAGTTCTTCAGTTTTGGGACTTAAACTGGCTCTCCTTGCTCCTCAGCTTGCAGATAGCCTATTTTGGGATGTTGCGATCATGTAAGTTAATAGTTAATAAACTCCCATTTATATACATTTATACACACACACACACACACACACACACACACACACAATTAGTTCTGTCCCTCTAAGGGAACCCTGACTAATACAGATTTTGGTACTATTTTGGTACTGGGAGTGGTTCTAGAGGAACAGAATATTAAGGATCTACTTCCTTTGTTGGTTTTGAGGTTTCTGGAGTTGGCTGCTTAATATGATTAGTCCCCAAAATGCTAAGGACTCTACCTCTAATAGTATGCAGAACACTGATAGTCCTTGGCAGAAACTGTTTAGAGAGTTATGCAAAATAAATGCATTTGACACTCCTGATTCACTGCTTGTGAGAGGCAAGGAGTTTAGTGACTTTATACATTAATATCTTTGACCATATGTGGAGAACCAAGGAACATAATGAAGGTGGTTGGTTGCTACTAACTTCAGTGGACAAAGTGATGAAAGAAAATGGTGAACTCACGGATTCTATCTCCTGGCTTCAGAAGCAGATACTGAGACTCAAATCTGCTAAGATTGTCCCTAGGTGAGAGTCTTATCCCCTGTAGAGAAAGAGCTGAAATTGTGAAAAAACAGACACAAGCTCTTATCGTGTGAGTAGTTGACCTGCAACGAAAGATTCAGGCACAACTTTGCCAGGTGTCTACTGTTAAAGTGAGGGCATTGATTGGAGAAGAAGGCGACCTTGAAACTTGGAATGGGGACATGTGGGAGGAACATGATGAAACTGGGGACACTGAGTTTGTAAACTCTGTTGAACCTTTTTTGCCAGAAGGAACAGAACAGCTTCCCCATCCCCAGTAGTGGCAACATCTCCTCCCTGACCCATGCTGCCATCAGCATTTTTCACCTTTGTCTGAAGAGATAAACCCTGCACTCCTGAGGCAACAGTGGTGGTCTCTCCTGATGGAGTTGCCAGGCAAGATAATGTTGATTCTCCTCAGAAACCACCCACAACACCTCTGTTTGCTTTTAGACCTATAACTAGACTAAAGTCCTGGTGGGCCCCTAGAAGTGAGGTTGAGAGTGTGACCCATGAGGAGGTGTGCTACACTCAGAAAGAACTGTTTGAGTTATCTGTATAAATAGCAATCTGAAGAACAGGCATGGGAATGGATATTGAGAGTATGGGATAGTGATGGAAGAAACATAGAGCTGGATCAGGCTGAGTTTATTGATTTGGGCCTGCTGAGTAGTGACTCTGCATTTAATGTTGCAGCTCAGGGAGTTAAAAAAGGTTCTAATAGTTCATTTGCTTGGTTAGCTGAAATATAAAGATGGCCCACTGTGAGCAAGCTGGAAATGCCTGATCTCCCTTGGTTTAATAGAGAGGAAGGGATCCAAAGGCTTAGGGAGACTGGGATGATGGAGTGGATTAGTCAATTTAGACCTACTTATCCCAGCTGGGAGGGTCCAGAAGATATATCCTTGAGCAATGACTTGCAAAATACATTTGTGAGAGCAGCACCTGCATCTTTGAAGAGCCCTGTAATTGCTCTTCTCTTATGTCAGAGCTAACGTTGGAAACCACCGTCACTCAACTACAAAATTTAAATAAAATGGGAATAATTCGATCCCGAGGTGGGGGGGGGGGCAAGTGGCAGCACTCAACCATCAAAGGCAAGATGGGCATAGCTACAGTAATATACAGGAGAAGCAAAGCAGCTATCAGAATAGTTTGACCCATGTAGAGCTCTGGCATTGGCTACTTAATCATGGTGTTCATAGAAGTGAAACTGACAAGAAGCCTACTGCATTCCTACTTAATTTATATAAGAAGAAAACTTCTAGGTTGAATGGACAAAAGACTAATCTGAATTATAAAAACAGAGAGTCATGGCCCCTCAATCAATTTCCAGACTGGAGCTAGTTTACAGACCCAGTACCCCTTGAATGAAGGAGAGGCCAAGTTTCCCTTAAGAAGGATCCCACCACACTCCAGACAATTTTTGCAGTGAATCTTTCCCCCATCCTTCCCCAAGGAGACATCCAGCCTTTTACCAGGGTAACTGTGCTTTGGAGAAGGGGAAGTGATCAGACATTTCAGTGACTACTGGACACTGGCTCTGAGCTGACACTGATTCCAGGGCAACCAAAACATCACTGCGGTCTTCCAGTTTAAGTATGGACATATGGAGGTCAGGTAATTAATGGAGTTTTAGCTCAGGTCTGACTTACAGAGGGTCCCTGGATTCATCCTATGGTCATTTCCTTAGTGTCAGAATGCATAATAGGCGTCAGTATACTTAGCAGCTTGCAGAACCCACACATTGGCTCCCTGACTGATAGGATGAGGGCTATTATGGTGGGAAAGGCAAAATGGAAGCCATTATAGCTTCCTCTACCTAGAAAAATAGTAAATCAAAACAATATCATACCCCTCGAGGGATTGCAGAGATTAGTGCCACTTGTCTTGAAAGACACAGGGGTGGTGATTCACACCATAACACAGTTCAACTCTCCTATTTGGCCTGTGCAGAAGACAGAAGGATCTTGGAGAATGACAGTGGATTATCATAAGCTTAAACAAGTGGTAACTCAAATTGCAGCTGCTGTACCAGATGTGGTTTCATTGCTTGAGCAAATTAACACATCTGGTACCTGGTATGCAGCCATTGACTTGGCAAATGCCTTTTTCTCCATTCCTTTTCATAAGGCCCACCAGAAGCAATTTGCCTTCAGCTGGCAAGGCCAGCAATATACCTTTACTGTCCTACCACAGGGATATATCAACTCTCCGGCTTTGTGTCATAATCTTATTCAGAGGAAATCTTGATCACTTTTCGCTTCTGTAAGATACCACACTGGTCCATTATATTTATGACATTATGCTGATTGGATCCAGTGAGCAAGAAGTAGCAAACACACTGGACTTATTGGTGAGACATTTGCATGCCAGAGGATGGGAAATAAATCTGGCTTAAATTCAGGGATCTTCTACCTCAGTAGAATTTCTAGGGGTCCAGTGGTGTGGGGCCTGTCGAGATATTCCTTCAAAGATAAAGGATAAGTTACCACATTTGGTCCCTCCTACAACCAAGAAAGAGGCACAATGCCTAGTGGGCCTATTTGGATTTTGGAGGAAACACATTCCTCATTTGGGTGTGTTACTCTGGCCCATTTATCAAGAGACATGAAAAGCTGCCAGTTTTGGGTGGGTTCCAGGACAGGAGAAGGCTTTGCTAAGGTCCAGGCTGCTGTTTAAGCTGCTGTGCCACTTGGGCCATATGACCCAGCAGATCCAATGGTGTTTCAGGTGTCAGCAGCAGATAAGGATGCTGTTTGGAACCTTTGGCAGGTTCACATAGGTGAATCACAGCGGAGGCCTCTAGGATTTTGGAGCAAGTCCCTGCCATCTTTTGCAGATAACTACTCTCTTTTTGAGAGACAGGTCTTGGCCTATTACTGGGCTTTGGTGGAAACTGAACATTTGACTGTGGGTCATCAAGTCATCATGTGGCCTGAACTGCCTATCATGAACTGGGTGCTTTCTGACCCATCTAGTCATAAAGTGGGTTGTGCACAGCAGCATTCCATCATCAAATGACAGTGGTATACATCTGATGGATCTTGACCAGGTCCTGAAGGCACAAGTAAGTTATATGAGGAAGTGCCTCAAATTCTCATGGTCTCCACTACTGCCACCCTGCCTTCTCTCCTCCAGCCTGCACTGATGGCCTCATGGGGAGTTGACAATATAATAGTTGACAGAGGAAGAGAAAAATAGGGCCTGGTTCACAGATGGTTCTACATGATATGCAGACACTACTTGAACATGGACAGCAGCAGCACTACAGCCTCTTTCTAGCACATTCCTGAAGGACAGCGGTGAAAGGAAATCTTCCCAGTGGGCAGAACTTCGAGGAGTCTACCTGGTTGTGCACTTTGCATGGAAGGAGAAATGGCCAGATGTGCAATTACATACTGATTCATGGACTGTAGCCAATGGTTTGGCTGGATGGTCAGGGACTTGGAAGAAGCATGATTGGAATATTGTTGACAAAGAAATTTGGGGAAGAGGTATGTGGCTGGACCTCTCTGAGTGGTCAAAAACTGTGAAGATATTTGTATCCCATGGGAGTGCTCACCAATGTGTGACCTCAGAAGAAGAGGAGTTTAATAATCAAGTGGATACAGTACCTAGAGGATTCAGAGATTTTTATGAAGTTATTTTTAAGATACAAGACAATACCTAGAGAATTCAGAGATTATTATAAAGTTATTTTTTAAAGCCCCTACAAAAATACTATTGATTCACAGTTCATTGTGATTCAGATGTCCAGACATAAATAAGAGAAAACATTTTCATCCCAAATGAGGTAAAGTAAGGAAAAAATAAAAAAGCTTTAACGTTTTTTGTGCTCCTCAACTCACAATGGGGTTATGCCTTGATAAATCCATCATAGGTTGAAAATATTGTCAGTCAAATGTATTTACTACAACTAACCTACCAAATGTCATACCTTAACCTGGCCTACCTTAAACAGGCTCAGAACATTTACATTTGCCTATAGTTGGACAAAATCATCTAATATAAAATCTATTTTATAATTAAGTGTTGAATAATTCATGGCTGTTAACCTTTGTGATTATTTGGCTAACTGAGAGCTGTGGCACACTGCCCAGTATTACACGAGAGTATTGTACCATATATCTACAGCCAGCAAAAGTAAAAAATCAAAATTTGCATTTCTGTTTCTACTGAATTTGTATTGCTTTCATTACATCATAAAGTCAAAACACCATGTCAAATGACAGTAAGTTGGGAACTGTCTGTTATTTAAATAAAGTACTTAATATATTAGAAAACCTTTGTACCATAATTGGCAATAAAATTAAGAATTTTAAGAGGTTTTAGTCCATCTATTTCCAAATTCTACTTATCTTGAGGAAGGTTTACATTTAAGTGATATATTTCATTTCAAAGACTTTCTTAACATTGATCTATTCAACAGATTTTTCAGCATCAACTAAATATCTGACACCACTGCTATGTGTTGGGGATGTCAATTCAAAATATAGATGGCTTCTGGATTAATCCTGATAGAAATCTGTTTTCAAAAAGTCAATGTATTTTGGGAAGAGTTATAATAATGTATCATAGCTCTAAGGTACAATAATACAATATATAAATTCATGTCAATCTTGCTCAGAAATTCTATTCAGATGCCTAAAATCTAATCAATATATCATAATTAATTAAAACAGTTTACTCTGGTAGTTCTCTGTGATAAATTTAATATATTTTCACTGTATTAGACATAAATAATGTTTATTAATAAATCCCACTGCAAAACAGTTCGGGTGGCTTTGGGTCTACCCAGTTCTCCCCTGACTCTTGCTTGTATTTTTCAAGAATAACCATAGAATGTGCTAGGAAGGCAACATTCTGAGAAGAGGAGAAATTGTCCTGAACAGCATTCTATGTTCTAGTCTCCCTGCTAGAAACAGGATGTCCTTCATGCCTTATCCCAGAGTTTCCTGGGACCCTGGTATATAAGACCCAGGATTGCTGTTTTCTAGAGTCCTCCAGGGTCAGTGCAAGGGGGACACATGCAGATAAAATTCCGTCTAACCCAGGCAGCTTTTCTGAGCCTCAGGGAACCAGCTCACAGTGAATCCCAAGTTTCTGTTACTCCTTGCCGCCCATCTATAAACTGACTTCATGGATGTTCGGATGTGTGTGCGGATGTTCTGACTCATTGGACTCGGACAAGTTGGTAACTCTGAACTTTCTTCATATCCATCTAATCATGGCACTCAAAATGAATTAACGTACTTGAGAATTTGAAAAGATCAAAAATATTTTCTCTGATATGGACTTACTACTACTGCTGTATATACACAGACAAATCATAGTGGCTATGTTCCAACAAAACTCTATTTACAGAAACAGGCAAAAATTGGTCAGTAGGCTGTCATTTGCTAATCATCGATTCAGATAATATTACATCTGATTTTCATTACTCAATTCTTGAAAGATTGATACTGTATACAACACAATTAACGTGGAATACTGGGAAAATGGAATCCAAAATACTCATTTTAAAACATTAATTTGTTAACACAATTCATTTTAATGATTCCACAAAGCCAAAAGACAAAGTCGGTATAAGGCAGAGGTGGTATTTTTTTGAAAATCTACGAGTGTGTCCTGCTGACTATCGAGTTACATAGAGCACTTATCAAGAAAATAAAAATAAATCCTAGAAATGTCAGTATTGCTTTAATTCAATTCAAATTTAAAGCAAATTAAAAACAAAAAGAATGCAAACTCATTTTTACAAGCAATGAACAACATTTACAGGTTCCTAGTAATATGAAAAAATTCAAGGTTTCTTACATGTTTCAAACTTTTAAACAAAGCAATGCATATTGTTCAAGATATGTGTTACATTTTAATTAAAATTAACCAGTTGAACAGTTCTTTTTTTTTCTTTTTTTTAATTATATTTAAGTTCTGGGATGCATGTGCAGAAGGTGCAGGTTTGTTACATAGGTATACACAGGCCATTGCGGTTGGTTGCACCCATCAACCTGTCATCTACATTAGGTATTTCTCCTGATGCTATCCCTCCCTTAGTCCCTTACCACCTGACGGGCCTGGGTGTGTGATGTTACCCTCCCTGTGTCCATGTGTTCTACAATAGGTATTTCTCCTTTTTAATGTGCTGCTGGATTCGATTTGCCAGTATTTTATTGAGGATTTTCACATCAATGTTCATCAGGGATATTGGCCTGAAATTTTCTTTTTTTTTGTTGTGTCTCTGCCAGGTTTTGGTATCAGGATGATACTGGCCTCAAAATGAGTTAGGGAGGAGTCCCTCTTTTTGTTTTGCTTGGAATAGCTTTAGGAGGAATGGTACCAGCTCCTCTTTGTACCTGTAGTAGAATTTGGCTGTGAATCCATCTGGTCCTGGGCTTTTTTTGCTTGGTAGGCTATTAATTGCTACCTCAATTTCAGAACTTGTTATTGGTCTATTCAGGGCTTCACTTTCTTCCTGGTTTAGACTTGGGAGGTGTATGTGTCCAGAAATTTATCAATTTCTTCTAGATTTTCTAGTTTATTTGTATAGAGGTATTTATAGTATTTTCTGATGGTAGTTTGTATTTCTGTGGAATCAGTGGTGATATCCCCTTTATCATTTTTTATTCTGTCTATCTGATTCTTCTCTCTTTTCTTCTTTATTAGTCTAGCTAGCAGTCTATCTATTTTGTTAATCTTTTCAAAAACCCAGTTCCTGGATTCATTGATTGTTTTGAAGGGTTTTTTGTGTCTCTATCTCCTTCAGTTGTACTGTCATCTTAGTTATTTCGTCTTCTGCTAGCTTTTGAATTTGTTTGCTCTAGCTTCTCTAGTTCTTTTAATTGTGGTGTTAGGGGGTCAATTTTACATCTTTCCTGCTTTCTCCTGTGGTCATTTAGTGCTATAAATTTCCCTCTAAACACTGCTTTAGCTGTGTCCCGGAGATTCTGATACATTGTGTCTTTGTTCTCATTTGTTTCAAAGAATGTATTTATTTCTGCCTTAATTTCGTTATGTACCCAGTAGTCATTCAGGAGCAGGTTGTTCAGTTTCCATGTAGTTGTGTGGTTTTGAGTGAGTTTCTTAATCCTGAGTTCTAATTTGATTGCACTGTGGTCTGAGAGACTGTGTGTTATGATTTTCATTCTTTTGCATTTGCTGAGGAGTCTTTTACTTCCAATTATGTGGTTGATTTTAGAATAAGTGCTATGTGGTACTGAGAAGAATGTATATTCTGTTGATTTGGGGTGGAGAGTTCTGTAGATGTCTATTAGGTCTGCTTGGACCAGAGCTGAGTTCAAGTCCTCAATATCCTTGTTAATTTTCTGTCTCATTGATCTGTCTCATATTGACAGTGGGGTGTTAAAGTCTCCCACTATTATTATGTGGGAGTCTAAGACTCTTTGTAGGTCACTAAGAACTTGCTTTATGAATGTGGGTGCTCCTGTATTGGGTGCCTATATATTTAGGATAGTTAGCTCTTCTTGTGTAATGTAATGCTCTTTGTCTTTTTTGATATTTGTTGGTTTAAAGTCTGTTTTATCAGAGACTAGGACTGCAACTCCTGCTTTTTAAATATTTTTTATTTTTTGCTTTCCATTTGCTTAGTAAATCTTCCTCCATACCTTTATTCTGACCCTATGTGTATCTTTGCATGTGAGATGGACCTCCTGAATACAGCACACCGATGAGTCTTGACTCTTTATTCAATGTGCCAGTCTGTCTTTTAATTGGGACATTTAGTCCATTTAAATTTAAGATTAATATTGTTATGTGTGAATTTGATCCTGTCATTATGATGCTAGCTGGTTATTGTTTCCCATTAGTTGATGCGGTTTCTTCATAGTGACGATGGTCTTTACATTTCGGATTGTTTTTGCTGTGGCTGGTGCCAGTTTTTCCTTTCTATATTTAGTGCTTCCTTCAGGAGCTCTTGTAAGGTAGGCCTGGTGGTGACAAAATCTCTCAGCATTTGCTTGTCTGTAATGGGTATTATTTCTCCTTCACTTATGAAGCTTTTTTCACTGGATATGAAATTCTGTGTTGAAAATTCTTTTATTTAAGAATGTTGAGTATTGGCCCCCACTCTCTTCTGGCTTGTAGGGTTCTGCAGAGAGATCTGCTGTTAGTCTCATGGGCTTCCCTTTGTTGGTAAGCTGACCTTTTTGGCTGCCCTGAACATATTTTCCTTCATTTCAACCTTGGTGAATCTGATGAATATGTGTCTTGGGGTTGCTCTTCTTAAGGAGTATCTTTGTGGTGTTCTCTGTATTTTCTGAATTTGAATGTTGGCCTGTCTTCCTAGGTTGGGGAAGAGCTCCTGGATAATATTCTAAATTGTGTTTTCCAATTTGATGCATTCTCCCCGTCACTTTCAGGTACACCAATCAAACGTAGGTGCGGTCTCTTCACATAGTTCCATATTCCTTGGAGGCTTTGTTCGTTCCTTTTCATTCTTTTTTTTCTCTAATCTTGTCTTCATACTTTATTTCATTAAGTTGATCTTCAGTCTCTGATATCCTTTCTTCTGCTTGATCAATTCAGCTATTGATACTTGTATATGCTTCACGAAGTTCTCGTGCTGTTTGTCACCTCCATCAGGCCATTTATGTTCTCTCTAAACTGGTTATTCTAGTTAGCAGTTCCTGTAACCTTGTATCAAAGTTCTTAGCTTCCTTGACTTGTATTGGTTTAGAACATTCCTCTTTAGCTAGGAGGAGTTTGTTATTACCCACCTTCTGAAGCCTACTTCTATCAATTCATCAAATTCAATCCAGTTTTGTTCCCTTCCTGGCAAGGAGTTGTGATCCTTTGGAGGAGAAGAGGCATTCTGGTTTTTGGAATTTTCAGCCTTTTAGTGCTGGCTTTTCCTCATCGTCATGGATTTGTCTACTTTTGGTCTTTGATGTTGGTGACCTTTAGATGGGGTTTTCGAGTGGTCATCCTTTTTGTTGATGTCGATGCTATTGCTTTTGTTTGCCAGGACCCTGTTCTGCAGGTCTGCTGGAGTTTGCAGGAGGTCCACTCCAGACCCTGTTTGCCTGGATATCACCAGTGGAGGTAGCATAACAGCAAAGATTGCTGCCTGCTTCTTCCTCTGGAAGCTTCTTCCCAGAAGGACACCTGCCAGATGTCAGCTGGAGCTCTCCTGTATGAGGTGTTTGTCGACCTTTGCTGGGAGGTGTCTCCCTGTCAGGAGGCATGGGGGTCAGGGACCCATTTAAGGAGGCAGTCTGTCCCTTACTAGAGCTCGAGCGCTGTGCTGGGAGACCCACTGCTCTCTTCAGAGCCGGCAGGCAGGAACATTTAAGTCTGCTGAAGTTGTGCCCACAGCAGCCCCTTCCCCCAGGTGTTCTGTCCCAGGGAGATGGGAGTTTTATCTACAAGCCCCTGACTGGGGCTGCTGTCTTTCCTTCAGAGATGTCCTGCCCATAGAGGAGGAATCTAGAGAGGCAGTCTGGCTACAGCACATTTGTGGGCTGCGGTGGGCTCCGCCCAGTCCAAACTTCCCAGTGGTTTTGTTTACACTGAGGGGAAAACTGCCTGCTCAAGCCTCAGTAATGGCAGATGCCCCTTCCCCCACCAAGCTCCAGTGTCCCAGGTCGACTTCAGATTAGTGTGCTGGCAGCAAGCATTTCAAGTGAGTGGATCTTAGCTTGCTGGGTTCTGTGGAGATAGGATCTGCTGAGCAAGAACCCTTAGCTCCCTGGCTTCAGCCCCATTTCCAGGCGAATGAACAGTTCTGTATTGCTGGCATTGCAGGCACCACTGGGGTACAGAAAAAAAATCTCCTGCAGCCTACTTGGTGTCTGCCCAAAGGACGTCCAGTTTTGTGCTTGAAACCCAGGGTGCTGGTGGCATAGGCACCCAAGGGAATCTACTGGTTTGCAGGTTGCGAAGACTGGGAAAAGCGTAGTATTTGGGCTGGAATGGAGCCTTCCTCACGGCACAGTCCCTCACGGCTTCCCTTGGCTAGGGCAGGGAGTTCACCAACCCCTTGCACTTCCTGGGTGAGATGACATCCCACCCTGCTTTGGCTCTCCCTCCGTGGGCTGCACCCACTGCCTAACCAGACCCAATGAGATGAGCTGGGTACCTCACTTGGAAATGCAGAAATCACCCACCTTCTATGTTGGTCTCACTGGGAGCTTCAGACTGGAGCTGTTCCTATTCAGTCATATTGCCCATGAATCCCTGAATCCAAAATATTAAACACAAATATGGATTGGTATTTTGAAGGTCAGTGGAAAATAAATTACCTTCTACGGGTAATTTCTTTTTGTCACTGTTGGTCTCCATGTTGTCAAAGTATAGAGCAATGAGAGTTTTTGACCAGCAGTGGTCTGCAGATCACACCTTGTGAAACTTTGCTTAGAGCAAAATACAGTACCTTATATTTTTCTTGCCAAAGTTCAATGTCTCTGGACAACATTGGATGAGTATTCATCACATCTAGATTGTTAGACTTTTGTTTTTCCAAATTTTTAAATGGAATATGCTTACAAACTTAGTATAGTAAGAACATTTTAAGATATTGAGTGTTCCCTGATGCTTTGATATACATGGTTATTGAAAAACAGCTTTGCTCAGAAATTGCAGTCTATCCCTATCATTCATATATTAGCCACAAGCTATTGTTAGTCATTTGATTTTTTTTAAGCTTCAATTGATATCATCATTTATCTTGGCTCCATCTGAAAATGTTTTGTTTACTTTGTGCCCATGCTTTGGCATGTTCTACAGCTCAGGGTAGAAACACACACACAATAGACTTACATACACAACTATGATACACAATTGTTAAGCAATTGACTATTACATCCATTTTTCCATAAAAGATACACTAATCTTATAGTAAATATATATTTTTAAATCTAAGTATAAAGGATCAAATATTTTAAAAATCTATTTAGTATTCCTTCCACCAATTTATAATTATATTTGACTTTTATTGTTACCATTATTGAGTTGACTGATTGGCTAACTTCTCTTCTATTATTTTCTTCCTTTTGACCTTCAAAAACTAGACATGTTGACTAGAGATAGCTGCAAAAACACATTCTTTGCAATTTTTTTTTGTTAGTCAAATCTTGAGCAACACTGCATTTCTTTCTATGTTAATATCTGGTTCTTTATTGAAATTGAGTAATTGTGTTATGAAATATGTTATTTCTTAGGCAGAATTTATGCAAATGATTTGCATTGTGATGCAATAAGAATGAGAAAAGCTACATGAAAAGTAAACTCACGAAATCAAATTATGTGAAAAAATTTAGATTAACTGTATTTAACTTTAACATCATTTTCTGATTTTTAATGTAAATCTTTATTTAGTTTCATTATTTCAAATAAGAAATCACAATACTTCATGAATTGTTTCAAACAATGATGAAAGAGAAGCAATAGTTTTGGTGAAAACCTTCAAGGTCAATGAAATTGCCACAGCATGGTAGTCACTAAGTTGTATGAGAGTTATTAGAAAGAAGAGACTGAGGGTATAAGAGTTTTAGTAAACATATTATAAAGAATAAATATTTAGCAATTTATATCAGACTAAAATTAAAGCAAAATATTTTACAAAATTAAATTTAAAAAGGAAAGACTGATGTGAGCACATTTGATTAACAAGAATATATTTCGGCTTTGTTAGTAACCCCAGTGGCCTAGAGGTTAGTAACTCCAAGCTACCAAGTACCAGTATTGTGGAATAATATTAAATGCCCACATTTTGATCAATAATACTATTTTTATTTAAAGTCTCCAGACCTACTTTGAGAATGCTGCTTTAATGAATGAATACATAAAATATATCTTAAACCTTGCTCTACAGATAGAATATTATATTTAATCTAATCTAATATTATATTATAATATTATAAACACATAGTATTCCCACTGACAAAGTATGATAATGTTACTATCAAAAGAAAATACTTATAGCAAGCTTTAAAATTGAGTCTAAGCAGCAAACCACCATGGCACGTGTATACCTATGTAACAAACCTGCACGTTCTGCACATGTACCCTAGAACTTAAAGTATAATAATAAAAAAATAAAACTGAGTCTGTAAGAAGCCTTGATAATATAAACATTCACAAGAAAACTAATATCAATATATAATTTATAAAGTCAGAAGAGGTAACTTCAGCAGTGAAGAAGGTTGCCAAAATGAAAACAGTTTTCATTTTTATTAAGTGTAATACATTGGGAAGTGTTCAGATATGTGGGTTTTCAATTTCATCTGCTACCTAAATGTTAATGAAACAAGGGATGTGATTTTCACTATCTATCATAGTATAGACAGATGGACTCAGTGAACTTAAAGCCAGTCAAGCAATTAATATGTTGCATTGGGTATTTATCTTCTAGAAAGAATTAAATTGTTTATCCAAAATGATCATAAAAGAGAATTAATTCGCTGTATAGATTCTAACTTCTTATAAAACTACACAGTTCTAACATTTGTTTTCTGTTGAACTGAAGGTTGCTGGCTGGGGCCAGGCTTACCCAGTATGTAACTCAGCCTCTCTTTAGTACAGCTCTAGGAGTTTCTGAAATCTAGTTTGAAAAGAGCAATTCTAGAATATTAGCAAACTTGTCCTGCAGCCCTGTGATATTTGGCAGGGCAAATATCATCATTACCAATACTTACTTTTATCCTCTAAAATTATAATTGACCTTTATAATTTATATATTATAAAAATGATCCGTTATTGTCCATGGCCCTTGGATAGTTTCTTAAGATCTTGGATCATTAGCACTCAAATACATCGTTGATATTACTTCAGTCAATGTGCTTTTTAACAATTCTGCTCTAAATAGAAAAATCAGCAGTGAACCAGGGGGATAGTAATTCTCTGAGCAGTAATCTTGAAACAGCAATATTACTTCAAAGCGCGTATAGCCATGTAAAATGAAGTTCAGATACAGTTATAGGCCATGGACTTCTTTAGCTCTGACCACAACTCTCAATAACAAGAACAAAGATGCCTTATAAGGTCTAGTGGCAGCTGTTCGGTCACAGACACAGGGATTTAGAAGACCAGTATTACCATTCAAGTGCCGCACAGAGTTAGAAAGTTTCTAATAAACAATTTTAGTTAATATTTAAATATTTGTAGTTCTTTTCTACCTCCTTTTTAGTTTTCAATGATATTTGTAACCACTTTTTATTATGACCAGATTTCCTTTCTTTAATTTAACATTTTTCTGTATTACCCCAAAATCTATTGTGTTGAAACTAATTTGTTTACATTGTCTCTGGATAAAATATGGATCCTGTTTTTTTTTCAAGCCAGGCATTTATATAACTTTCCTTGGCATTGATAAATGGAATATTAGTCAAGAATAATGCATTTCTTCTTATGTCCCTTGATTATATAATCCATAATAATCCAATTATGTATTCAAGGGATACAAGAAGAAATCAAATCAAATGAAAAGTACCTCATAATGTAAATAAAACTATATGTATATTCTGAAATTGTACTCTTGAAATTACATCTAATGTTAAATATTCTGTGAGTTTTTAAACTTGCTGTGTGTGAACGTGTATGCAGTTAAATAAGCATACAGCCAAATATAGCCAATTGAAGTCACTGACTCAGATAGTACAATTCCTTGAGTTGTAGAAAATTACAATATTAAGATATTTTGAATGAGGTGTGCTCTTTTATAATTATGAAAGCGAACAATAATAGATGAAGAAAATTCTGTAATTAATCAAGATTTGAGAAATTAGCTTTGAATACAAGTCACAGAAACATTCTTCATTAATAATTCAATAAGATTTTCCTTAATAGTTTACTAAAATTTTATATGTATATTCATACCTCTTATGCAGATGACATTCTACTAGGAGATATGGAGAATTTTAACACATAAAATACTATTTTGTGGTGACAAGAGATTGACAATTTAACATAGAAGAGAATATGTTCATAATGTTCATTTTTTTTTTCTAAGAGGATTTTTCCTTCTGCAAAGAAAGGCACTCAAACTGATCCTTAAAGAATTAGAAAAATTTAGAGAAGAGAAATTGAATCAGAAAGGAAGGAGAAAAGAGGGAATAGTAGGAGCAAGGATATCCTGGTTAGAAAGGTGTCAATGAAACCAACACAGCTTTCCATGGCAGAGGGACGTCAGGGAAATTGGAACACTGGGCATCAAGGGAAAGTCATAGAACATTCTTGGGAGCCCCAAATTGTTAGATCATTTGTCTGAATATAGGATTCTAGATTAACACTTATTTTTCTCAGGACATTAAAATAATATGTTGTCTGACAATCAACTCCTTTCTCATGCTAGTACGTCCTCCTTTTCCTATCATTCCTTTCTTTTCCATCCATATGTCCATCAGTCAATGAATGGATAAAATACAGTATGTACAATATATGAAATATTATTTATGAATTATAATTATTATTTTGCTCTTTCCTTACTTTTTCTTTAACTCTTTCTTTTATAATTGATATCTCTGTTAAGTATTTAAATCAGTTGTTGCAGATTATTGATAATTGCAAAATCAGCACACAGGAAGGGCTGGACCAGCACAATTTAAGTGATCCTTGGTGACAACTTGAGGATATTTGTTACTAATTGATATATTATTAAGAGACAATTATACCATAATATGATGTCACATCACACTTACTTGGTTATAATTAAAAAGATATAAAAGTAGTGTTGGTGAGGATGTGAGAGGCTGGAAGCTTTGTACTGTGCTGGTAGGAATGTAAAATGGTACTGCTACTTTGTAAAAGTCTGGCAGTTTCTCAAAAAGTGAAACATAGAATTACTATATGATCCCACAATTCCACTCCTAGACAAGTACTTGAGAAGTAAAAATATATATACACCAAGTTCATAGCAGCACTATTTATAATAAACAGGGAAGAAACATATAAATGTCCATCAACTGATGAATGAATAAATGTGTTACGTGCAGTGAAATATTATTTGTCAATAATAAAAAATAAAGTACTGATGCATACTAAATTAAAAATGAATTTTTAAAAATATTATGTCAACAAAAGGAATTAGTCACAGAAGACCATGTGTTGTATGATTTCATTCATATGAATTGTCAAAATTGGCAAATCTCTAAAGACAGAAAGCAGATTGGTGGTTGCCTAAGACTGAGGGTGATGGTGGGGAAAAATGAGGGTGACTGTTAAGCAAGTGGTATAGAATTTTTGCTTTGGGGTAATAGAAGTTTTCTAAAGTTTATTGTGGTGATGGTTGCCCCACTCTGTGAATATACCATCATGAGCTGCGTAACTACGTTTTGGTCAACAATGGACTGCATATATGGTCCCAGTAATTACAACAGAACTAAAAATGTTTCTATCATATCATATGTTTTCTATGTTTAGATATGTTTACACAGGCAAATACCATTGAGTTACAATTGCTTACCGTATTCACTACCGTAACTTGCTGTACAGGTTTGTAGCTTATGAGCAGTAAGAGCAGTAAGATATACGGGGTAGCCTAGGTGTGTAGTAGCCTATACTATCCAGGTTTGTGGAAGTACATTGTATAATGTTCTCACAAGGATGAAATTGCTTAATGATGCATTTCTTAGAACATATCTGCATTAAGCAATTAAGCAATGCATTATTGTAACAAAATCTATTGAATTTTAAAATTTAAATTAATATATTGTATGGTATGTTAGTTTATTTCAAATATATACGTATGTGTGTGTGTATATATATATATATATATATATATACACATTACTAGATGGCTACTAGCATTTTTATAAACTATTGTATAAATTGCTGTATCATGGGTCATATGAGTTTCTTTAATCATAGACAATGTTCACAGTATAAGGATATAGTGACGGGTCATTTCTAGGTAGAATAAAGATGAGAGGTATGATCCAATTACTGCAAGGAATTTCAGTGATGATTATTTTCATAACAATTGGGATATGGCTTAATTCCTGAAATATACCTAAAAAGTATTATTTATTTGAAGTATACCTAAACAAATATCAGCTTCATATTATCTTGTGTCACTTTTTCTGAATTTAACCTTACCTTGAATAAAAATCAGTAAGTGTATCAGAAATGAACCATTTGTTATATTTGTGTATAATAAGCCAAATTAATAAGCTCACTTTTATTCTCAAACATACAGCAGGCCTGGCCTTTCTTTCTGAGTTGCCAATTTAAGCCAAAAAATTCTTTAATTGCTGGAATTTCTTGCAGTAATTGGACTACACTTTTCATCTTGATTCTACCTAGAAATGATCTGTCACTGTATCTATGTACTGTGAACACTGTAATAAAAAGAATTTATGTAAACCGCCATACAGCAATTTTTACATTTAAATAATTTATAAAAATGCCAGTGGCTCTTATTTCACCGTGTAGTTTGCAGCACTACAGAATAATTGCAACTCACAGAAAGATAATGAGCAATGGGAGCATTTAAGATACTTTTAGATTAGCATAATTAACACAATTTTATTCAAAGTCTAGTTAGAATTTTAGAACATTCCTTAACTAACTTTACAGTAGTGTTCTCATCATTCAGTGTAGATTAACATAATCCTGATATTTTACCTTAGTAAGTGTAAGATACAGTTGTGCAGGAATTACAAAAGCACTCACTTCCTTATTGTTCCTACAAAGAAAATAAACTAGTTAATTTGAAACAAGTAAAACACATTCATTTTTGTAACCTTAGCAACTAGCTTTATTTGTAATAGTGAAAGTATGTATTGAGATCATTAAGGTCATGCAAAAATTTGCAATGGATCCCAAATATTCTGTAATGTAAAAAGATTTCCTCAATTTTGAGTTTCTTTAATGTGGTGTGTAAATAATTGAGCCTAGATATTTTGCACATTTGGTTAAAACACACAAACACAGAGACAGGGGGAGAGAGAGAGACAGAGAGAGAGAGAGAGAGAGAGAGAGAGAGAGAGAGACATACTTCGGAGATATTGCAGGTTTGTTTCCAGAACACTGCAATAAAGTGAGTATTTCTTTTTTTTATTTTTATTTTTATTTTTTTGAGATGGAGTCTCACTCTGTCACCCAGGCTGGAGTGCAGTGGCACAATCTCGGCTCACTGCAAACTCCGCCTCCCGGGTTCACGCCATTCTCCTGCCTCAGCCTCCCGAGTAGCTGGGACTACAGGCACTCGCCACCACACCCGGCTAATTTTTTGTATTTTTAGTAGAGATGGGGTTTCACCGTGTTAGCCAGGATGGTCTCGATCTCCTGACCTTGTGATCCGCCCACCTCGGCCTCCCAAAGTGCTGGGATTACAGGCGTGAGCCACAGCGCCCGGCAGTAAAGTGAATACTTCAATGAAGCAAGTGCTATAGTTTAGATGTTTGACTTCTTGAAAATCTCATGTTGAAACTTGTACTCCAATGTTGGGGGTGGGGCTTAGTAGGAGGTGTTTGGATAACAGGGGTGGATCCCTCATGAATGGCTTGATGCCATTCTTACAGTAGTGAGTGAATTCTTGCTCTAATAGTTCCCTGAGGGATGCTGTTTCAAAGAGCCTGCAACCTCCTACCCTGCTCTCTCGCTTGCTCTTTTTCCATGTGTTTCGGCACCACATAGTAATGCTGCTCCCCTTTGCCTTCCGCCACGAGTGGAAGCTTGACCTCCTCACATCCTCACAAGAAGTCAAGCAGAAGGATGCCAGGGCTATGCTTCTTGTACAGCCTGCAGAACCATGAGCGAAATACACCTCCTTTCTATACAAATTACCCAGACTCAGGTATTCCTTCATAGCAACATAGAGTAAGACAGTGAGCCACACAATGTTTTTTTGGTGTCCCAGTACATATAAAAGTTATATTTATATTATACTATAGTTTATTAAGTGTGCAATAGTATAATATCTAAAAAACAATGTGCATATGTTAATTTTACAATACTTTATTTTAAAAAGTGCTAATAATTATCTGTCCTTTAAATGAGTCCTAGTCTTTTTGCTGGTGGAGGGTTTCACCTCACTGTTAATGGCCGCTAACTTAAGAGTAGTGTTTACTGAAGGTTGGGGTGGCTGTGGCAATTTCTTAAAATAAGACAAATTTTACCCATAGTAGAAATTCTTTTGAAATTGGAGTCAATACTTTCCAAAACTGCCACTGCTTTATAATTTAAGTTTATGTAATATTCTAAATCCTTTATTGTCATTTCAACAATGTTCACAGACTCTTCACCAGCAGTAGATTTCATGTCCAGAAACCACTTTCTTTCCTCATCCTTAAGAAGCAAGTCTTTCTTCATTTGAGTTTTATCATGATATTGCAGCAATTATTTATTGAAGAAAATAAACTTCTTCCAAACTCCTGTTAATGTTGATGTTTTGATTTCCTCTCATGAATCAAAAATATTCTTAATATCGTCTAGAATGGTGAATCCATTACAGAGGTTTTCAATTTATTTTGCCCAGATTCATCAGAGGAATAACTATCGCTATACCTTTAGAAAATGTGTTTCTTAAATAGAAAGCCTTGAATATCAAATGACCTCTTGACACATGGGCTACAGAATAGATTTTGCATTAGCAGGTATAAAAACAATATTAATCTCAGCCAGGAGCGGTGGCTCACGCCTGTAATCCTACCATTTTGGGAGGCCAAGGTGGGTGGATTGCCTGAGCTCAGGAGTTTGAGACCAGCCTGGGTAACATGGTGAAACCCCGTCTCTACTAAAATCCAAAAAAATTAGCCATGCGTGGCAGTGTGTGCCTGTAATCCCAGCTACTTGGGAGGCTGAGGCAGGACGCTTGAACCCAGGAGGCAGAGGTTGCAGTGAGCCGAGATCACGCCATTGCACTCCAGCCTGCGTGACAGAGTGAGACTCCATCTCAAAATAATTATAATACTAAGAAGAATAAGAATAATATTAATCTCTTTGTATATCTCCCTCAGAGCTCTTGGGTGACCATATGTATAGTCAATGAGCAGTAATATTTTGAAAGCAATTTTAATCTAAGTGGTAGGTCTCAACAGTGGGCTTGACAATTTTGTAAGCCACGCTGTAAACATGGGCATGGTTATCTAGTCTTAGTTTCCATTTATAGAGCATAGGTAGAGTATAATTCTCAAGGGCCCTAGACTTTTCTAAATGGTAAATGAGCATTGACTTCTACTTAAAGTTAATGGCTGCATTAGCCTCTAACAAGAGAGTCATCCTGTCCTTTGAAGCTTTAAAGTCAGGCTTTGACTTCTCTTCTCTAGCTATGAAAATTCTAGATGGCATCTTCTTCCAATGTAAGGCTGTGTCATGTACATTAAAATCTATTTAGTGTAGTCATCTTCATCAGTGATCTTTGCTAGATCTTCTGGATAACTTGCTGCAGCTTCTACATCAGCACTTGCTGCTTCACCTTGCACTTTCACGCTATGGAGGCTTATCTTCTTAAACTTCATGAACCAACCTCTGCTAGCTTCAAATTTTTCTTCTGCAGCTTCCTCACCCCTCTCAGTCTTCATAAAATCGAAGGCAGTTAGGACCTTTTAATGAATTAGGCTTTGGCTTAAGGGAATTCTGTGGCTGATTGATCTTCTATCCAAACCACTCTTAACTTTCTTCATATCAGCAATAAGGCCATTTGCTTTCTTATCATTTATGTGTTCACTGAAGTAGCACTTTTAATTACTTTCCAAAACTCTTCCTTTCTGTTCAAATCTTGGCTAACTTTAGAACAAGAGGCCTAATTTCAGCCTCTATCTCAGCCTTCCACATACCTTCCTCACTAAGCTGAATAATGTCTAGCTTTTGATTTAAAGTGACAGATATGTGATTATTCCTTTCACTTGAAAATGTAGCAGTCATTGTAGGATTATTAACTGGCCCTATTTTAATATTGTTGTCAATAGGGAGGCCTGAAGAGAGGGAGAGAGATGTGGGATTGTTGGGGCAGTTAGAACACACATATTTTTCTACTGAGTTTGCCGACTTGCATGGGAAAAGTTCATGGGGCCCCAAAACAATTACAATAGGAACATCAAAGATCCCTGATTGCAGATCACCATAACAAATATAATGATGATAAAAATATTTGAAATATTGTGAAAATTACCAAACTGTGACACAGAGACACAAAATGAGTACATGCTGTTGAAAAAAAAATGGCACAAATTATTTTGCTCATTGCAAAGTTGTTAGAAATATTTCATTTGTAAAAGGTACAATATTTGCAAAGTACAATAAATTAAATCATAATAAAATGAGGTACGCCTACATACATGCACGCACACACACACACACGTATAAGGTTAAAGTTTTAGGGTAAAATTTATCAATAAATTACATGAGAATGACCTTTCATGTAACTTCATAATGACTATGGAAATTTACATGGTCCACATGGCATCTGCTTGTGAAATTAAATAAAAAACTATGGGAGGGGAGTGTTAGTGGATGAATCATGTCCCTCTAAAACTCATATTGAAGCTGAATTTCCTAGCACCTCAGAATGTGAAAATATTTGGAGACAGGGCCTTTAGAGAAGTGATTAATCTAACATGAGACTATTAAGTGGGCCCTATTATAATCTGGCCAGTGTGTTTATAAGAAGAGGAAATTCAGAAACACACAATCATACCAGAAATGCATTGTCAGAGAAAAAAACCCATGTGAGAACACAAAGAGAAGACAGCCATCCACAAGCCAAGGAATGAAGCGTCAAAAGAATCTATACTTGTCAACATCATGATCTTGGGCCCTCAGCCTCTGAACTATGAGAAAATAAATCTCTGCTGTTTAAGACACCTAGTTTGTGGTATTCTGTTCTGGCAGCCCTAGGAAACATACAGGAGATCTTTGCCAAAAAGTCACAAGATAATTTTGTTAACTTTAAATACTTAATGATTACTACATTTACCTATGCATGAAAGGGGAGAGAATGTTTGAATTTCTCATTTAAAATGTCATTTTTGTTGCAACATTTTACAAATACTCAATACAAACTTTATTTAAGCTGCTGTCAGTTGATAATACTCATCATCTATTTCCACTCCATTTTAAGATCACTCATGTATTACTAAGAAGGCAACACTAAAGCTCATATTTTAAGGATGTGCATGTAGCCAGGTAACTAGAAACAATTCAGACTCTACTTTCTTGAAGTAGTGGCATAAAATTCAAATGCAGAAGAGAAGAGGTGACGTTTCAGTATCAGTGATAACTCACAGGTGATCTTTAGCAAATATAGAGTAGCAGCAGGCATAGTCTATGCCTCCTTACCTAGTCACAAACTTCATGAGTGTGGGTGGCTCTGTGATGACATCAGTGACAACAGTAGTTTTCTGGCCAGGGTCATGGCAGCAATGGTATGTCATTGTAGACAATGACAGTGACTTCCATCCCTCCAACTCCGCCAGTGGTTTGACAAGCATGTAATTTCCTATGTTAAATGTATTTCTGCATTTAGTATGATTTTGGTTGTAGATTTGTTGCATATAGCTTTAACTATATTGAGTTCTGTTCTTCCAATACCTACTTTGTTGAGGGTTTTCATCATGAAGCCATGCTGAATTTTATTAAATGCTTTTTCTGCATCTACTGAGATGATCATTTGGTTTTATTTTTAATTTTGTTCATATGGTGAATCATGCTTATTGATTTGCATATGTTGTATATCCTTGCATCTCTGAAATAAAAGCCACTTGATCATGGTATATTATCTTTTTGATGTACTGTTGGATTCAGTTTGCTAGTATTTTGTTGAAAATGTTTGTATTTATGTTCATCAGAAATATTGGCCTGTAGTTTTTTTCATTGTTGTTGTGTCCTTGCCTGGCTTTGTTATCAGGGCAATAGTGGCTCCATAGAGTGAGTTAGGGAAGATTTACTCCTTTTCGATGTGTGTGTGTGTGTGTGTGTGTGTGTGTGTGTTTAACAGTTTTTAGAGGATGGTGCTAGTTCTTCTTTGACACCTGGTATAATTTGGCTGTGAATCTGTAAGGTCCTCGTTTTTTTGTTGTTGTTGATGTTGGAAAATTTTTTATTACTGATTCAATCTCACAGTTGATTGTTGGCCTGTTCAAAATTTCCTTTTCTTCCAGGTTCAATCTTGGGAGTTTGTATGTTTCCAGGAATGCATATATTTCTTCCAGTTTATCTAATTTGTGAGCACACAGAGGTTCACAGTAGTCTCTCATGATCTGTTGTATTTCTGTGGCATCAGTTTTAATTCTCCTTTTTCATTTCTGATCATGCCTATTTGAACCTCTTTTTTTTTTTTGGTTAGTCTAGCTGGTGATCTATTAATTTTGTTTACCTTTTCAAAGAATCAACTTTTAATTTCATTGATTCTTTGTATTTTTATCTCAATTGCATTAAGTTCTTCTCTGATTTTTTTTTATTTCTTTTCTTCTAATAGCTTTGAGTTTGGTTTGCTACTTTCTTTTCTTTTCTAGTTTCTTGAGGTACCATAGTAAGTTGTTAATTTGTGATCTTTCTATCTTTTTAATGTAGGCATTGAATGCTATAAACTTTCTCCTTATCACTGCTTTTGCTGTATCCCAGAGGCTCTGATATGTTGTGCCTCTATTATCACTTGTTTCAAACAATTGAAATATCTGGAATGACTTCTGTTTCTTATACTGAACGATGAATTTGTTATATAATGTTGTGCTTAACATATGAAAAATTTTTACCAGCAAAGGATTAAAAAAATCATAACAAACAGTTTTGATACTATCAAGCTAGACAAGGAAAAGGCAAAATATTTCAGCTTATCCTACCAGATACCCCGAGTCTTCCCTGAGCAGACTACAGATTCCCACCTGGTTTCCACATTAAACAGGCAACATGTTTTCTGAATAAAACATTGCTAAAGACAGAGAGCAAAAATTAATAAACTAGGTTAAAGTTGAAAAATATATAGAAATAGATAGTGAACAATGTATTCCTTGATAATAAAACAAACAAAATAACACTAATAATGATTACAACAAGCAAATTTGCTCTATTGTTTACCTTGCTGGGGTCAGTTTATAAAAAGTTAACATGTGTGTTCTATTAGTCCATATTCACACTACTGATAAAGGTATACGCAAGACTAGGAAGAAAAAGAGGTTTAATTGGACTTACAGTTCCACATGGCTGGGGAGGCCTCAGAAGCATGGCAGGAGGTGAAAGCCACTTCTTACATGGCAGCAGCAAGAAAAAATGAGGAAGAAGCAAAAGTGGAAATCCCTGATAAACCCATCAGATCTTGTGAGACTTACTCACTATCACGAGAATAGCATGGGAAAGACCAGCCCCTAAGATTTAATTCCTCCCCCTGGGTCCCTCCCACAACAGGTGGGAATTCTAGGAGATACAATTCAAGTTGAGATTTGGGTGGGGACACAGCCAAACTACAGTATTCCAACCCTGGCCCCTCCTAATCTGTCTTCACATTTCAAAACCAACCATGCCTTTCCAGCAGTCCCCTAAAGTCTTAACTCACTTCAGCATAAACCCAAATGTCCACAGTCCAAATTCTCATCTGAGACAAGGCAAGTCCCTTCAGCCTATGAGCCTGTAAAATCAAAAGCAATCTAGTTATTTCCTAGATACAATGGGGGTACAGGTATTGGGTAAATACAGCCATTCCAAGTGGGAGAAATTGGCCAAAACAAAGGGGTCACAGGGCCCATGCAAGACCAAAATCCAGTGGGGCAAATTTTAAATCTCCAAAATGATCTCTTTTGACTCCATGTCTCACACCCAGGTCATGCTGATGCAAAAGGTCAGTTTCCATGGTCTTAGGCAGCTCAGCCACTGTGGCTTTGCAGGGTACAGCCTCTTTCCTGGCTGCCTTCATGGGCTGGTGTTGGGTGTTTGCAGCTTTTCCAACTGCACAGTGCTAGCTGTGGTGGATCCATCATTCTGGGGTCTGGAGGATGGTGTCCCTCTTCTCACAGCTCAACTAGGCAGTGTCAATGTAGGGATTCTCTGTGGGGGCTCCAACCCCACATTTCCCTTCTGCATTGCCTAGAAGAAGTTCTCTATGAGGGCCCCACCCCTGCAGCAAATATGTGCCTGGGCATCCAGGCGTTTCCATTTATCTTCTGAAATCTAGGCAGAGGTTCTCAAACCTCAATTCTTGACTTCTGTGTACCTGCAGGCTCAACACCATGTGAAAGCTGCCAAGCCTTGGGGCTTCCATCCTCTGAGGCAAGCCCCTCTGAAGCCACAGCCCAAGCTCTATGTTGACCCCTTTCTGTCATGGCTAGAGCAGCTTGGGCACAGGGCATCAAGTCCCTAGGCCGCAAACAATACAGGGACCCTGGGCTAGGCCCACAGAACCACTTTTGCCTCCTGGGTCTCGGGGCCTGTGATGGGAGGGGCTGCTGTGAAGGTCTCTGACACAGCCTGGAGACCTATTCCTCATGATATTGGGGATTAACATTAGGATCCTTGCTACTTACATAAATTTCTGCAGCCATCTTGATTTTCTTCTCAAAAAATGAGTTTTTCTTTTTCTACTGCATTGTCAGGCTGCAAGTTTTCTAAACTTTTATGCTCTGTTTCCCATTTAAAAGCAAATGCCTTTTACAGAACCCAAGTCACCTCTTGAATGCTTTGCAGCTTAGAAATTTCTTCTGCCCGATACCCTAAATCATCTCTCTCAAGTTCAGAGTTCCACAAATCTTTAAGGCAGGGGTAAAATGCTGCCAGTCTCTTTGCTAAAACCTAACAAGAGTCACCTTTGCTCCACTTCCCAAAAAGTTCCTCATCTCCATCTGAGACCACCTTTCATTGTCCATATCATTATCAGCATTTTGGTCAACGCCATTTAACAAGGCTCTAGGTTGTTCCATACTTTCCCACATTTTCCTGTCTTCTTCTGAGTACTCCAAACTGTCCCAACCTCTGTGTGTTACCCACTTCCAAAGTCACTTCCACATTTTTGGGTATCATTTCAGCAACATCCCACTCTCAGTACCAATTTATTGTATTAGTCTGTTTTCACCTTGCTAATAAATATGCAGTGCATATTCCAGTATTTAAGAAAATGGGAATTATAGCTACAGATGAGAGTTGAACACCGTTCAAAAAAGGCTCTTGGTACACTACTGGACTTTACTAAAAAACTGAGTCCTGAGAATGGAACATTGAGAGGCCAGGTAGGCAACATTCCAATCATGAAGTAGTTATTATCCCACCACCAGAATTGGAAAGTTGCTGTACTATGGGAACTGAATAGTAGCCCTGAAAAGCAGCAGTGAGGAAAAAAAAATTTATATATATATATTTATATTTATATAACATATAATATATATAATTTATATATTACATATATTTTGTTTATATATATATACATACATGTCTCACACATATGTTACCCACACACACACATAAATAATGTATATATATTACTTAATACACACATATATATGCAATTTACTTGAAAAAGAAAAAAAACAACCACTGGGCCTATTTATTTAAGTTATCAAAATTAGCCAATTTGTACCAATATTCTTTGTTCATTTAATTAACTCAGTGAAGTTTAAGGATTAATTTTTATTTGTGATTTAAATATTCAAAATCTCCTCAGGAGTTTATAGAAAAAACTCAATGTAAGAGCAAAATTATTTTAGTAAGCCGTATTAATCATGAAATAATCTTATCCTTTTAAGGTGTTCAATTCCAGGATGAACTGATTAATGAAACACAGTAATAATGCCAGATATATTAATCAGTAAATTATAGTAATAAATTTAAGCATTTACAATAATATATCTTTCAATTAAAATAAGCAGGGTTTGTTGTTGTTTTTTAGCTTCATACAATCTAGAATAAACCAGTTTGAAATACATAGCCCCAAAGGTGTTTATTTTTCAGCATATTAAAATATTGTATTATTATAGTATTTTGTCAATGTTAGACATAAGAATGTAAATGATGCATAACAATATTAATGGAATAATTTTATGTCATCTCACCACACATTGAACCTAGACATCCCCAGTACACTTGAAACACACCTTCAAAAAGAAACAATGACAACCCAGTAGAAATGATAAAGTAATCAAATGATTGATTAGGCAACTTTAGTTTAGATAGTTTAGATGAGCCCTTGATAATCAATGCCAAAAAAAAGATGGAACTAGAAAATCACTAATTTATGTATTCAAAAGAAATAATGAAGTCAATTGATATGGTTTGGCTCTGTGTCCCCTCCCAAATCTTATCTCAAATTGTAATCCACACATGTTGGAGGAGGGGCCTGATGGGAGATAATTAGATCATGGTGGTGGATTTCTCCCTTCTTATTCTCATGATAGTGAATGAATTGTCATGAGAGCTGATGGCCTTAAAGTGTGGCACTCCCCCTTGCTCTCTCTCTATCCTGCAGCTATGTAAGACATGCTACGTTTCCCTTTTAACTTCTGCCATCATTGTAAGTTTCCTGAGGCCTCCCCAGCCATATGGAACTGTAAATCGATGAAACCTTTTTTTCTTTATAAATTACCCAGTCTCGGGTAACTGTGAAAACAGGCTAATATAGAAAATTGGTACCAAATTAGTGGGACATTTCTATAAAGATAACTGAGAATGTGGAAATGACATTGGAACTAGGTAACCAGTAGAGTTTGAAACAGCTTGGAGGGTTCAGAACAAGACAGTAAGATGAGAAAAAGTTTGGAACTTCCTAGAGACTAGTTGAATGGTTTTGACCAAAATGCTGATAGTGATATTAACAATGAAGTCCAGGCTGAGGTAGCCTCAGATGGAGATGAGGAACTTGGTGGAAACTGGAGCAAAGGTGACTCTTGCTATGCTTTAGCAAAGAGACTTGTGAAGTTTGCCCCTGCCCTAGAGATGTGTGGAACTTTCAACTTGAGACAAATGATTTAGGATATCTGGCAGAAGAAATTTCTAAGCAGTAAAGCATTCAAGAGGTGACCTGGCTTTTTCTAAAAGCACATCATCATGCACATTCACAAAAAGATGGTTTGAAATTTGAACTTATGTTTAAAAGGGGAGCAGAGCATATAAGTTTGGAAAATTTGCAGCCTGACCACGTGATAGAAGAGAAAAACCCAGATTTTTGGAAGAAATTCAAGCCAGTTGCAGAAATTTGCATAAGTGACAGGGAGCCAAAAGTTAATAGCCAAGACAATGGGGAAAATATCTCCAGGGCATTTCAGAGGTCTTTGAGGCAACCCATCCCATCACAGATCTTGAGGCCTAGGAGGGAAATATGGTTTCTTGGGCTGAGGTGAAGGCCCTCCTGCTCTGTGCAGTTTTGGGACAAGATATACTGCGTCCCAGCCATGCCAGCTCCAGCCATGGCTAAAAAGCGCCAAAGTACATCTAAGATCATTGCTTCAGAGGGTGCAAGCCCCAAGCCTTGGCAGGTTCCACATGGTGTTGGGCCTGCAGAAGTGCGGATAACAAGAATTGAGTTTTGTGAACCTCAGCATAGACTTCAGAGAATGTATGGAAATGCCTAGATGTCCAGGCAGAAGTCTGCTGCAGGGGCCCATGAAGAACCTCTACTAGGGCAGTGGAGATGGGAAATGTGGGGTTGGAGCCCCCACACAGAGTCCCCACTGGGGCGCTGCCTAGTGGAGCTGTGAGAAGAGGGCCACTGTGCTCCAGATTCCAGAATGGTAGATCCACTGACAATTTGCATCATGCACTTGGAAAAGCTGCAAGCACAAAATACCAGCCCATGCAAGCAGCCATGGGCCTATTCCCTGCAGAGCCATAGGGGTGGAGTTGCCCAAAGCTTTGTGAGCTGGCCCCATGCCTCAGCATGCCCTGGAGGTAAGACGTGAAGTCAAATGGGATTATTTTGGAGTTTAAAGGTTTAATGACTACCCTGTTGGGTTTGAACTTGCATAGTGCATGTGGCCCCTTTGTTTTGTCCCAATTTCTCCCATTTGGAATGGGAACATTTACCTACCACTCTCTCAAGCCTCCTGTACAGGAGGTCCATTAGTGCCTCAGTTCTATTCAGCGTGGACCTGAAGGTGCTTCCCACCCCCAAGCCACCTGTCAGGGTGAGCTGAGAGATCAGCTGGGAAGAGCAGAGCCACTTGTGGCCAAGAGGAATTGTTCTGGGGGTTGATTAGTAAGTAGGAGAGTGAAAGGGGAGAAGAAAACAATGTACGGGGATTGAACGTCTCCAGCTGAAGAAGAGGAGGCTTAGAGGTTTTTTACCACTGGGGAACATATCCGAGTCACAGCACCAAAGTATGTTCCCAGCAGTGAATCCATATGTGTCTGCAGCAACTTCAATTCTTGCCTCCTTAGAAGAAAGAATTTGACTGAGGAGCATAAGGCAAAAGGAGAGACAGAGGCAAGTTTTAGAGCAAAAGTGAGTTTTTTTTAAAAAGCTTTAGAGAAGTAAAGCACTCTTGGAAGAGGGCCAAGCAGACGACTTGGGAGATCAAGTGCCCTGTTTGACCTTTGACTTGGGGTTTTATACACAGGCATACTACTATGATCTTGCATTCCTTCTCCCCTGATTCTTCCCTTTGGGGTGGGCTGTCCACATGTGCAGCGGCCTGCTAGCACTTGGGAGTTGAGCATGTGCAATGTGTTTACTGGAGTTGTGTTTACTGGAGCAGTGTGAATGGAACTGGAGGCCATAATTCTAAGCAAATTAATGCAAGAACAGAATACCAAATACTACATGTTCTCATTCAAAAGTAAGAGCTAAACATTGAGCACACATGGACATAAACATGGGAACAATAAACACTACAGACTACTAGATGGGGAGGGAGGGGCCCATGGCTTGAGAAACTACCTGTTGGGTACTATGCTCACTACCTGGATGTAATATACTCATATAGCAAACTTGCATATATACCTCCTGTATCTGAAATAGAAGTTGAAATTTTTAAAAAATAATAATTACATAAATGTTAATCACATCTAAAAAATAGCTTCACAGCAACATCAGACTAGTGTTTGTCTAAACATCTGGGCACCATAGCCTAGCCAAGTTGACCCATAAAATTGACCATCACACCTGCTTAAATGCCTCCAGAAGCTTCCCCCTTCTAAGCACATGTTCCATGACCTGTTGATTGCTCGCATTTCAGCCTCAGCATGAAGTGCTTCCACCTCATCTTCCACTCCAGTAAGGCTGACCCGCCAGCAACTTTCCTTTTTATAGCATTCATTTATTCAACCAGTGTAATGAACAAATACTTGCTGAGCTCCTCCAAGGTACCAGGCACTCTCAAGGCTAGGCACTGGAGACAACAAAGTTGACAAAGCCACACACTCCTTTTCTCAGAGCACTTACATCTATCAGTACTGCTGCACTCACCACATCCACAGAAATGGCTGCATCTACGTGTTTCTCTCACCAGGCAAATCCTATGTGTCTGTCTGTATCCTCCACTGCACAGACAAGCATGCATGTATATCTACAGTGTATAATTTTTGAAGGTCACAAAACTAATCTGCAAAATCTCACTTTCTTAATTCATTCCAGTCCTAAAATAAATTTGTATTTTGAGCTGTTATTACCCTTGGAACTGGAAACAATAGTGCCAATAGATGACACTTTTGGCAATTGAGTAATAATTCAATCATTTCAAAAATGAAATTTTTCAATTTCAGGAGGCTACCTTTTCCCATTCTTTTTCCCAGTGTGACAACTAAGTTCTTGGGAGAACGTTTATACCTGAAGGTTATAGCTAAGGTGTGCCCTTAGACGGGTTGTAGAAAACTCAGGTGTTCTTCTGTGCCCCTCTGGGCTTAGGAGGGGCTCAGGGACTCTGTTGGGCCTTAGCTGCCTGCACACCTGGAAGCCATGTTTATTTTCTGCTGCAGGTTCTTCTCTTTTAATTTGCTGCTTCCTTTGCTTCACCCTAGGAGTGAAACAGATGTTTTCTCTGCTTTCAGAAGGAGCAAGGGAAACAAGGTTGAATGTGGAAGTCTGAGACAGCAGTACAGTTCTAGGGATGTTTGGCAAGGCTGATGGGGAGTCCTCTCATCAAAGTCACTCATCTCAGAAATGGGCCTGTCTGGTATCCCTTCCACACTCAGGCATAGTTGAGGAGCAGCCTGTGGACAGGGTACTCTCTGCAGGAACCCAGTGATGAATTTCTAAGCACAGCAGCAGGGGCTGTTGGTCACTTATGAGATAAATAACAAGATCCAAAATATTTTCAAAGCATTGCATCATCCAGATTGAGAGGTCAGGATTTTTTGGGAAAGCCATTTATAGCTAAGGCATGGTAACTAGATGGAAATAGAGTACACTTGGTTGCTGGAAATTCTTCATTGGTTCATTTGGTCAGTCATTCCCATTTTCCAGGCTCCATCTGACTTTATTCCTACACTCAAGAAGTTTACACTTTAATGGGGATACAGATATTCATTATTAGCAAATGTATAATTACAAATATATTTATATATGTACATACATACATATACATATGCATATACATTTTTAAGGTAATTGAGGTAGTGTATTAGTCACTTTCTATACATTCTCATATTGAATTATTTAATATAGTGGATTTCTGTAACTGTAACTAAGAGGCTTGGAAACAATGACAGCAAATGTTCCTGTAGCTGTGGAAATTATTTAAAATGCATCTAATGCAGAGTCCAGGTATTGGCTTTCTTGTGATGCCCACCTGTAAGGTTCTGGTAAAAGGCTGAGTCCCATGATAGCTCAATAAAGGTGAAAATCAGCATCCAATAAGGAAGGGCAAAGGGTAGGCTACATCTATGAAAGGGAGTGTCCATCTGCACCCATATCACCTGTGAGAAGAGGGATTTTTGCTATGCAGAGATCTAATGATTATTTGCAAAGTGCCTTTCTTAAAGAGACTCCTTTCAACATTTGAATGTCAGAATCATCACCCTAAAATGTAGTCTTTGTGTTAGTTGAACCTTTGTTCTTACAAGAGGCTTGTTGAAGAAAAGAGTCAAACTCTGAAAAAATATTTGAAAAGATTTATTCCAAGCCAAACATGAGTGACCAATGGCCTGTGACACAGTCCTCAGGAAATCTTAAGAACATGAGCCCAAAGTGGTCAGGCACAGCCTAGTTTTATACTTCTTAGGGAGACATGAGACATCAATCAAATACATATAAGATTTATATTGGTTTGATCTGGAAGGGTGGGACAACTTAAGTGGAATGAGAGGCTTCCAAGTCATTCCAGGTAGATTAAAATATTTCTGATTGGCAATTAGTTGAAAGAGTTATTATCAATAGAAAGGAATGTCTGGGTTACACAAAGGGTTGTGGAGATGAAGGTTTTGTCATGCAGATGAAGCCTGCAAGCACCAAGCTTCAGAAAGAATAGATTGTAAATGTTTCTTATCAGACTTAAGATTTGTGTTCAAGTTAAAGCTGGTCAGCTTTTCCTGATTTCTGAAAGGGAAGAGGCCATTCCAACCCTCTTGGAATGTGGCATTCCAACCCCCTATTCCCATGATGGCCTGAACAAGTTTTTCAGGTTAACTTTGGAATGCCCTTGGCTGAGAGGAGGGCCCATTCAGATGATTGCGGGAGCCTTACAATTTTTTTTCGTTTACAGGCTGGAAGCCTGGGGTTGGTCTGACCACACCACTGTGAAAAAAGTGATAGCTGATTGGTTGGCTTGAACTTCTCTGACAGTGTTTTGGCAAAATGGGTCTGTCATGAATTGCACAAACTCAGTATCTGTCTGTTTCTACTTATTAAGGTAATGAACATTCCCCAAGTCACTATGAACCAATATTTTTTTTTTATTTTCCCTAAGCACATCCTGTGGTCAGGACTAATATTTGAATAATAGTTTTTTTATTTGTCTTGTTCCTTTTCCTGGAATTTCATGGGTAGAGGTCTGCCTTCTTCATCTCTCAGCACCTAGCTCAGTGACTAAACAGATTATTGGCCCATTGTTCACCACCACCCATGACGATCAGAGAAAACCAAAAACCTGAGCTCCCACAACTTTATGTCAAAGAGATGCTCTTATCTAAGCCCCCTTTTTCCCAAGCCTTGTAATGAGGGGAGGCAGTCATTGCAGTTTGTGAAGGAAGGCTCTATACAAATGGGCCTTCTGGCACCCTAATTACAGCCATAAAGTCAGTTCCCAAATAGGATTCACAGCTGCTCCCTCTGACTTGACCACAGGCCACATGGCAACTGGCTAGCCCTGTAGTGCAGCCAAGCCACTCTCAGCAGCTCATCAGTGAATCTTATTCCCCTGGTATTACAGGAACATCTGCAAGATTCATTTTGTCCTGCAGAGTAAGGAAAAGAAAAATGCCACATACTGACTTGCTTGTTAGAAATAAAAGACTTTCCATTGAGCTGAGCCATTTGCTTCTGAATAGCAATGTAAATAAAGTCATTCTGCAGCTGGATCTCCTGCAGCCTAAGAGGCCCAGGATGGAGACAGGGCTGTCTGGGGCAAGTGTCATCTTGGCAGATGGGAGAATGTAAGGGCAAGCATGCTGAGCAGTTGTCTGTTCAAAACCTCTAAACATGAGAAGGTGGGAGAGAGATGGATTATGAAGAAGTTCTAGGCTGAAAGCATTGCACAACTCTGTAATAGGTAGTTAATACCAAGTATGAAAGGAAAATAAAAACTTGGGACCCTAATTCACTCTGCCAAAAGAAAAAAATTAAGCTGAAAGCTGAGTCATGCAAGAAGCTACCTTTCCTTTTGTTCCTAAGCAGACAGTTACAGATAAAAGGTTAACTACCTCCACAGGTAGGTACTGTATATTCACCTTATCTCATGTAAATTGCCAGTTTACTGAGCTCCAGACAAATATGTAATTGACTATTCCCCTACCTGCTCCTTTTCTCTTGCAACATGTGGATTCAGTAATGTGACCACACCTTCCCTTCCAGCCTGCTTTTCCCCTTTAAATATTGAAGCCCTCAAAATCATATTTGGAGAAAGGCACAGACATGTCTCCCAAGTGCACTTCCTTAATCTTGGCAAAATAAATTTCTAAATTGATTGAGACCTGTCTCAGATACATCTTGGTTTACAAATAGGCAACCAATGGAAGGGATTCTGAGTGGAGGTGGTCCTGACCTTTGACAAACCTCCTATTGGTGCTTGGTACCAGCTTGAGCTCTTTTCATTGCTCAAACCAACAGGATAATTTGCCAAGGTCCAGGGACTCCGCCTCCAGAAAAATCTCTCATCTCCCAAAATGTGGTTGAGATCTAAGGTTTACCTTGCTGTACAATTCCTTTTCTGGAGTTTTACTTCCAACAAGGAAGGCCAGATTTCCTGCTTCCTTTATGATGGAGAGTAGGCAATTCTTTTCTGCAGTTTCAGTTCACTTCTGTAAACCGCAAAGTATTTGAGGATAGGTCTCAATTGATTTAGAAGGTTCTTTTGCCAAGGTTATGGACGCACACCTGGAAGACAGATCTGTGCCTTTCTCCAAAGATGATTTTGAGGGCTTCAGTATTTAAAGGGGGAAGGCAGATACTGGGGAAAGAAAAAGAAATTTTGAAAAGATGTGGGTAGATAAGAGGCAAGCAGTTGCATTCTTTTGAGTCTTTGATCAGCCTTTCACATTTGACGGGGTTAGAGGAATCATCACTTAGGCATTCATCTAGCTCAGTGAATCTGCATTTTTATATAAGATAAAATAAACATAAGGCAGAGGAAGCAATCAGATATGCATTTATCTCAGATTAGCAGAGGGAGGACATTGAGTCCTGTCCTTTGTCCCATACTTGTGATAAGCTTTCAATTTACATTGTCAGGGTGAAATTCAAGAGTTGTTTTAAGGTAAAAATCTTGGGGCCCACAAGGCATTTCCTAGGGGGCAAATTATGGGGATTGTAACTTTTTAAGAAAAATCTTTGTAGCTATCTTTTTTAGAAATGAAATGGGAGGCAGGTTTGCCTGATGCCATTCTCAGCTTGGCTTTTCCCTTTGGCTTAGTGATTCTGGGGTCCCTAGATTTATTTTCCTTTCACACTTCCAATAGGGAAGGCAAGTTTGAGTTTTTGTTTGCTTCTAACATGGTAGAGAACAGTCTTAAATTTAAAACTGCCTGTCTAAATACAATTGGTCTCCTTACACATATTGTGAAAACTGTAAAAAAAGAAAAGAAAACTGTAATAGTAATCATTTAAAGTTATTTGGTAGATTACCATATTTGGTAGAATATGGTAGATTTCTATAATTTTATGTTTGACTTGGCATCTATTTTTAATCTCTTTCTAGCACACCAGACTCTCTCTTTGTACTTTGAGAAGTAAATTTCACAATCTGATTTTCACCTCAGAGTTGTTCTTTTAGTAGGCAAATTTAGTGCTATCTAGCTGACAATTGCATAGGGTAATGAAAAAGATTATCAAGAAATTGGAAGCCTATAATAGGAGGTAAAAAAAAAAAAGTGGTCTTATGAATCTATAAGATCTACACCATATCTACATGTCTAATATGTCTATGTATTTATGTGTCATGCATGTAATGTTTCACTACCAAAAATATATAAAAGAGCTCTGATTAACTGGCTTAAAGAAAAAAAGCACTCAAATGAAATACTGTATCAGAAAAATAGAAAGTTTAAACCCAAATGCTTTCTCAAGTTCATATGACTTAAGAAAATCCTTAATAAATAAGTTGGTTTAAAAATTATTGGTAAAGGCTGGGTGTGGTGGCTCACACCTGTAATCCCAGCACTTTGGGAGACCGAGGTGGGTGGATCACCTGAGGTGAGGAATTTGAGACCAGCCTGACCAACATGGTGAAAACCTTTCTCTACTAAAAATACAAAATTAGCTCGGCATGGTGGCACATGCCTGTAATCCCAGCTACTTGGGAGGCTGATACAGGAGAATTGCTTGAACCTGGGAGGCAGAGGTTGCAGTGAGCCGAGATCATGCCATTGCACTCCAGCCTGGGCAACAAGGGTGAAACTCCACATCAAAAAGAAAAAAAAGAAAAAAAAAAATATATATATGTAAAATAAAACTAGAAATGTTTTCAGAATTGTTAACATGCATTATCATTTAGATTTATTGGTCAAGCAGTTTGATATTTATCTCTGCCAGATACTATAAGCTTCAAAATTTGGCATGAGAGTTATAAAGCTTGCAGACCAAAAGAGAATTATGTTTGTGTAATTTTTTAACAAATAAGACATTTAATATTGTTGGTTTAATGAAAATAGCTAAATCCTGAGTTATTGAGCAAAAACACTCATTTGGTTATTTCATAGGTAATTTAGGTAAACTATTTTTTAAATTAATTAATTAGGTAAATATAATGAAATAAATGCTTGTAAAAGGAAAATATCTTGAGGCCCAACATCACTAAGCTAAAGGGAAAATTCAAGCTGGGAACTGCTCAGGGCAAATCTGCCTTCCATTCTATTCAAAGTCATCCCTCTTCTCACTGAGACAGATGTACATTCTGATTGCCTTCTTTGGAAAGACTTACCAGAAACTCATAAGAATGTAACCATTTGTCTCTCACCTATCTGTGACCTGGAAGCCCCCCTCCCTGCTTCAAGTTGTCTGGATGGAACCAATATACTTCTTACACATATTAACTGATGTCTCATATCTCCCTAAAATGTATAAAACCAAGCGGTGCCCTGACCACCTGGGCACATGTCATCAGGACTTACTGAGGCTGCGTCATGAGCACGTCCTCAACCTTGGCAAAAAAACTTTCTAAATTAACTGAGACCTGTCTCAAATTTTGGGGCTTCACATTTTGGTAACCACTAAGGGGTTCTGAGTGGAGATGCCCCTGACCTTTGACAAATCTTGTGTTGGTGCTTGGTGCCAACATGCGCTAACTTCATGGCAAAAACCAATAGGACAATTTGCTGAGGTCTAAGAACACTGCCTCCAGAGGATCCCTAATTTCCCAAAATTTAGTCAAGATCTAAAGCTTATTTTGCTGTAAAAACTCCTTTTTTTTTTTTTTTTTTTTTTTAGTTTTACTTGAGTCCAACATTCCAACACAAGGAAGGCAAGTTTTTCCTGCTTCCATGATGATGGAAGGTAGGTAACTCCTTTATGGAGTTTGAGTTCATTTCCAACAGGGAAGATGAGGGGTTTCTTTTCCTGCTTCTAGGATGGTAGAGAGCACTCTTCAGCCTGAGACCCATCCCTAGGTAAGTAATTGAATTGGGATTTGTCTTGGCTAAAGTTAGATTAACAGCCAGCTGGTCTTAATTTCTCCTTACCATTAGAGCACTCAGTGATCTTACCGTTGGAGTTTCTTTGTTATTTGTTCTGGTCTGAGGTTGTTGTTTAAGGATTCTCATTCTACTTTAAAGATGCATTCTAAATAGTCTTCTCCATTGCCTTTTCTCCCAAATTTAATCTTAATTTGGTTTGTCAGTGTGCATTTTCATGAGGAGCTGAAATGTTGTTTTCACATGTTAATGAGAGACTGAGCTTTCTCAGCTCCAAAGAGGAAGGGCATTTGTTCCTCCCAGCCAAAAGGTGTCCCTGGGTGACTGGGGGCCCCATCACAGTGTCTAGGGCATTGATCCCCCATGCCATGACATGTAGTGGCCCTTCTGGGAAACCCCCAACAAAAATTAATTTTTAAAATGGCTCATCCAGGAAATACATATAAGGGCTGATCACCCAGCATTTTTAGCCCTCTCTGAGGTCATAGACCTCTGGAGAAAGAAACTGAAAGAAACTCTAGAGACAGAAATGTAAGAGGGTGGATGTACTCAGTGGTGACACATTGTAGAGTCCTGACCAAAAGCAGCATATATCAATCCACCACATAAAAACCTTAGGCAAGAGCTCAGTTCTTCCTTTTAAGAAAAAGAAAAGCGGGAAACAAATAATCTAAGAAAGAAAACAAGGAAAATGACCCCCTTTCAAGGACTCCATGGGTTTCATGGCACATCTACTTGCCAAAGTTTATGTAAAATGAAAATAATATGGTCTTTGTAAATAATTACCTTAAGGAAAAGGAGCCCGAAGGTCAACCTGAAAACTATAGAGTTCCTAAGTCCTCTTTTTCTCTATTTTTTTCTTTTCTGCCTGCTCTAAATATGCTGTTATTTTTCTATTAAGACAAAAACCGCTGTTTAGATCCAACAAGCCCTTTTTGCAAGCCAATGATTTCATGTTTATCTCATGGTTAAAAGTTCTGAAGTAAAAGCTATAGGATCTTTGTGTGTGTGTGTGTACATATTTAAAAGGCCTTTATAATTTCCATAATTTTATGTTTAATAGGCAATTAAAACCATTTTAATTTCCCTCCAACATACCAAACTTTTTCTCTCTGCACATTATAATGTAAATTTTGCTCTTTGACTTTTACCTGAGTTGCTTTCTTTAATATGCAAATTTAAGGCTATTTAGCTGACAACAGCTCAGGGTTGTAAAACACATTATCAAGAATCTGAAAGTCTAAGATAGGGAAAAAAAGGTTTTTGTGAATCTATAAAATGTACTTCTATCAGCATGCCTAATGCATCTATATATTTATGTGTTGTGTACACAATATTTTACTACTAAAAATATATAAAAGATCTCTAATTAATGGGCTTAAAAGTAAAATCAAAGTGCTTAAATTAGATATGAAAAAGGAAAAGACTAGTCAAATGCTTTTTCAAGTTTATGTAACTTAAGTAAAATCTTTAGTAAACAAGCTAGCTTTAAAATTATTGGCAAAGTAATATTAAAAATGTCTTAAGAATTGCCAGCATACATTGTTTGCATTTATTAATCAAGCAAGTTCATACTTATCCCTGCCAAATACTATAAGGTGTCAAAATTTGGCACAGAGTTTACAAAACTATAAACCTAGCCCAAGACAGAATGATCTTTGCTTGTGTAATCTTTAATGAATAAGACACTGATACTGGTTTCATGAAAATAGCTACATCTTGAATTGTTTAGTAAAATTACCATAACTTCTAATCTTCTGTATTTACACAGCCTAGTCCATGGGCAGTAAGGAGGTTTGTTATGGGACAGGACTGTAATCGTCTTTGTTTCAAAGCTAAAGTATAAGCTAAGTTCCTCCCAAAGTCTAGTAATTAACAAGGACAGCTTAGAGGTTAGAAGCAAGATGGAGTCAGTTAGGTTATATCTTTTTCACTGTCTCAGCCATAATTTTGCAATGGCAGTTTCATAACTTCAAATCATGACTATTGTAGTTTTCATAAATAATCTAGGGAAACAATTAAAATAATTAGGGAAATGTAATGGGATAAATACTTGTAGACAAACTCAGCATAATTTAGACTCTAAGGTTATATTAAATTAAATAATAGATATTTCATTATTTGGGTATTTTCTAATAAATATATATTGCAGGAAAACATTTTTTTTTTTGAGACGGAGTCTTGTTCTGTTGCCCAGGCTGCAGTGCAGTGACATGATCTCAGCTCACTGCAACCTCTGCCTCCCAGGTTCAAGTGATTCTCCTGCCTCAGCCTCCTGAGTAGCTGGGATTACAGGTGCGTGCCACCATGCCTGGCTAATTTTTGTATTTTTAGTAGAGACGGGGTTTCACCATGTTGGTCAGGCTGGTCTTGAACTCCTGACCCCACGATCCACCCACCTTGGCCTCCCAAAATGCTGAGATTACAGGCGTGAGCCACCACGCCTGGCCAGAAAACATTCTTACTGAAAAAAAAGGGAGGGTGTTCTTTTTAAAAAAAAGGTGAATAAGTTTTATCTCATTCAAAGCTTATTTAAAAGTTATGTATAAAACAAGGTAAAAGGCACCAGGAAATAAGACAGATGTAAATAAAGTTATAAAAATAAATTTTTTTTTTGTGGTAAGAAAGCTGAAAGAGAAATAATTGTATATGAGAAAGAATCTTGTATGGTAAATTTAGCCCTAAAATAAAATGACTGGTTGTTAAAGAAAGAGGGATATTCAGGACAAACCAGAAAGTCCAGGCATGTCATGAACAGTTGGTTTAAGTAATAATAAGAGAATTTATCTGAAAAAAAAGCTTTCATTTGATCAGGTTGTCACATTATTATTAAGTTCTGGTTTGCTTATGAATAAAAACTGAGTTTAAAAAAATTTTTGGATTAAGGTTATTACATCCATGTTATCTTCCTGTATGTGTTTTTAAAGTCTTGTGACATTTAGGGCTTTGAATCCTGGGTCTTAAGAGGACACCAAGTCTTGCTAAATCTTAAACACTCACAGCAATTAAAGCCTCATTATTATGCCCCATAGAAGATGCCAATCAAAATAAACTGCTTTTCTGAGACACAGAGCCAGAAATTAAAGCTAGTCAACTCCTCAAGGCCCAGGGACTGAAATGCAAGATGCAGGCACATGAGATTGTAAGGGTGAGTTTTGAAAGATAAAATTAAGTTCAGTTTCTCTATAAAGTAATCATTAATGTCAAAGGTGCACTGATGCAAGATCAGCATATGGGCCCGTGTGTCAGATTAACAAGGTTTTCTTTAAGCATTAGCCAACTCCTTAATGAAGGTTGTAAGGGTTATAAAAGGCTTATGGAAGCTATAGCTGATGGTCAAGATTACAATTTTATAGATTGTTTATAAAATTTTGGAAAACAAATTTAATTGGCTTCATGTTGTTTTTATTAGGGCTATTGCTTGGAAAATTAAGTCTCCTCTCTCAAAGAATAAAGATTTTGCCTTTTTAAAAAAAATCCTTGCATTATCACTTTGGTTAAGTGAATGACTTATTTTGCAATGACCTGTGATCCTATTTTGTGATATCAAGTGTTTTAAACCTTTGATATTTGACAAACTTTCCAAAATCAAGTTATAAATTATGTTTTCTTCTGACCTAATTAATTCTTTAAGATATTAGGTCCTCTAAAGTCCAAAAATGACATAATTTGGCTTATTTGCTACAAAAAAACTATCCAGGAAGTATTGTCAAATATGAAATGGTGTTTGGTTTTCTTTGGGCTGTATTTGTATAAATATGTTATTGGTATGTGTTCCAAAATTATGGGAAACTCTTACAATTCTGATATAACAGTGTGCATTATCAGTAATAATTATAATTGTTATGTTAAATTATTGTGTGCCACAGAGGTAACAAATTTCCTTGTCAATTGTGTCTTTGACTATGACTGCCCTAAAGCTTTTTGTCTTCCACAGACAAGCCTTGTTTTGGTCCTCTTTAGAAGGTGGTTCTATAATCAGCTATGGAACTCTAACAGGTGTTCTTAAATGCAGGTTTCTGATAACTTTGGAGACTGTGACATTATAACAGAGGGAAAAAAACTTTCAGGACTCTCATGAAGAGCTGAAATGCTCATGAAGCAGAACAAGAGTTAACGGAGTAAACTGAACTGATAGAAAACTAAAGCAATCTTTTTTACTTTTGCTTTAATCGTTGCTAATCCTTTGTGGGTTGTTTTTAGGCTTGAAACTTTTGTTTTGAGCTATTGACAGCTTTTAACAATTCAGTGTAATCCTATGAGCAAAATTTGGAGCATATTTGTTTCTGTCTACCTGATTTCCCCAGAGTTTGGAAACTATTGGTGAGTATTCTTAACTATGGCAATATAGTTATTGCATAAGTTCAGTAAGAATCTAGGTGGGGCGCAGTGGCTCATGCCTGTAATCCCAGCACTTTGGGAGGCCGAGGCAGGAGGCCGAGGTCAGAAGATCGAAACCATCCTGGCTAACATGGTGAAACCCCGTCTCTACTAAAAATACAAAAACAAAATTAGGCGAGCATGGTGGTGGGCACCTGTAGTCCCAGCTACTCGGGAGCTTGAGGCAGGAGAATGGTGTGAACCTAGGGGGCAGAGCTTGCAGTGAGCTGAAATCATGCCACTGCACTCCAGCCTGGGCGACAGAGCGAGACTCCATCTCAAAAAAAAAAAAGTATCTGTTTTCATTTGTAACTGGAAACAATTAGAGAAACTGGTTATTTTACCAAGGCTTTGACTGGAATGATGTGCTTTCCTTTAAGGAATCAAACTTGACTTATGAAGCCAATAAAGCCCTTGGAAAAGCTGGCCTTATGTTTTGTGTACACAATCCCTGTACGGGGTTCCTGACCTGTGGTAAGTAAAGAATGTCATTTTCTGACAGGCCCAGGAGCCAGGTTTATCTTGCAACTGCAAGAGAAGAAGAAACTCACATAACTCATAGTTATTTAATGGCACAGATCCATGGCTGGGCTCAGCTTTAAAAAAGTCTTGTCTGGGTCACACCTATAATCCCAGCACTTTGGGAGGCCAAGGTGGGCAGATCACTTGAGGTCAGGCGTTACAGACCAGCCTGGCCAACATGGTGAAACCCCATCTCTACTAAAAATACAAAAATTAGCCAGGTGTGGTGGTGGGTGCCTATAATCCCAGCTACTTGGGAGGCTGAGGCAGGAGAATTGTTTGAACCTGGGAGGCAGAGGTGCCAGTGAGTTGAGACCATGCCACTGCACTCCAGCCTGGGTGACAGAACAAGACTCCATCTCCAAAAAAAAAGAAAAAAATAGTTTTATCTGAGATTTCTCCTATGGAACAAAGTTCCATCAAAGCCAATTTAAAAGCCTATATAAAAAACAATTATTCTTGCTGCACTGTATACAAATAATTAGGCCAAGTATAATAAAGCAAACTAGTCCTACCATGATTTGTCTTTAGTATGAGACAGAGAGAGAGAGAAATGAGAGAGAAAAATTATGTTTCAAAACTGTGCATCTATTGTAGATTCTAGTCTTGCCTAATGATTATCTTCTACAATTTGGACCAATTCTAGATTTTTTTGGCTACAAGTCTTCAAAATAATGTTTTCAATTTTTTTCCTTGTTTTTTTCTTATTTTTCCTAATTTGGAGTCACTGAAAACTAAGCTATGTTTTCTTAAAGTCCTGTGAACCGAAGCCAGACAACTTAAACTTCAGAAGAAAATAACAACAACCTATTTACATGCATAAGCCACTTTCATACCTGCCCACTAATGTCTGGACTTCAGAGTAATGTGACCTTTATCAATTATTCCAGGATTGTTCTTTTGTTTGTTGTTGTTTTTCTCCCTTCCTCCCCTATTGCGGGATCTGGCCAGCAGCCCACAATGCAATGGGGCTCTCTCTGTTCCCAGGTGGATCAGCAGGTTGAGAAATAATAGACACACAGAAGATAGTGAAAGCTGGGTCCAGGGGGGTCACCACCTTCTGGTCCCACGGTGCCAACAATGCACTGGATATACCAGCATTTATTATTAAATTTAGTGAGGGCAGGGGTAGGTTAGTGAGGGATTTAGGGTCATTTGATTATGAGGTGAGATGGTCACATGGGGATAAAGTAATTCTTTAACATAACATTTGTATGTAGAAGTACAGTATACAGAGATAAGAATTTACAATATAATGTGTGCATCAGTAATTTCTAACAGAGCCTTAAAACAGAAACACAATCTTTCTGTAACCTACGATTAGCAAGATATTAATCAGCAGTAACAATTTCAACAAAAGCTGGTTACAAACAATCCATGGAAACAGGAGGTGAAGCTAGACAACCGGTTAGACCAGAAATTCTCAGAAGGGAGTATGCCTTAACCCTAAAGAGACCTAGAAGAGCCGTGGCAAGAAGAGGGTGTTTATAGCCCTGTCTTATCCATATGGACAGGTGCCCCCACCATGCATCCGTTTATAGGCTCTCCACAAGGGTCACATTCCATTCCCAGAGCTATGAACATCTGCTTTTCTGGGATAGGAATCTTGGTGATGTGAAACCTCCCTGACTGCACGTCCATTCATAGGCTCTCTGCAGGGGGAAGCACATTACACGCTGTTGGCTTGTTCTGGCAGTCCAACCTGGCATTGTCTTTACACAATCCTGCATTCAATTTTGTATTTACAATAATCAGGAGCATTTCATCTTTTATTCCATAGCAATAGTTTCAGGGGGTCTCCCTACACTCCCCCTATTTTCTCTTCATACGACATGAAACTTCACAGACTGCTAAAAATGAGCTTTCGGGACCTAACCCATCTATGAATAAACTGTCCTAGCCATGAGAGATCAGATAAAACCTGAGACCAGAGATTCATTTTCTTCTAAAATGCTTTCCCCAAAATATTTTTAAAAAGAAGATGGGGAAAATGTGCAAGGAAGATATCTTGGGCTCCCAAAATCACTAAGCTAAGCTAAAGGGAGAATTCAAGCTGGGAACTTCTCAGGACCATTCTGCCTCCCATTGTATTCAAAGTCATCCCTCTGCTCACTTCGATAGATGCACATTCTGATTGCCTCCTTTGGAAAGGCTTATTAGAAACTCAAAAGAATGCAACCATTTGTCTCTCACCTACCTGTGATCTGGAAGCCCCTCTCCTTGCTTGAAGTTGTCCCCCACTTTCTGGACAGAACCAACGTACTTCTTACACATATTGATTAATGTCTCATGACTCCCTAAAATGTATAAAACAAAGCTGTGCCCTAACTACCTTTGGCATATGTCATCAGGACTTTCTGAGGTTGTGTGCACATCCTCAACCTTGGCAAAATAAACTTTCTAAATTAAGTGAGACCTGTCTCAAATCTGGGGGGTTCACATGCTTGTTAATAAACATGTCACATAATTTAGCATCTGAAGTTATATTGAACTAAATAGTAAATATTCATTAAATGTCTGGGTCATTTTGAATTAAAAAATATATTGTAGGTAAATATTTTTCTTGCAAAATGCATTCTTATTTAAAGGAAAATGATTTTTGTCTAATTCAAAGGTTATTTATAAAACAAGGTAAAAAGAATCAGTAAATAAGAGAGATATAAAGAAAGTTATAGATATAAAGAGTTTTTTTGGTAAGAAAGGGCACATGAGATTGTAAGGGCCAATTTTGAGAAATAAAATTCATTCTGAGTTTCTCTATAAATTAAACATTAATATCAAAGGGACACTGATGCAACACCTGTATCTGGGCCCCTGTGTCAGACTAACAAAGTTTTCATGAAGCATTAACCCACTTTTTAATTTAAAAAAAAGCATAAAAAGGTTTATGGAAACTATATCCTGTGGTCAAGATGATTAAAATTTAATAGATTTGTTTATAAGATTTGAGAGACAGATTTAATTAGCTTCATGCTGTCTTTATTAAGGCTTATTGTTTAGGAAAGTAAGTATCCTCACTCAAATAACAAGGTTTTTCTCTGTTTAAAAAAAAAAATTGAGTTGTCACTTTGGCTAAATGAATGACTTCTTTTACAATGACCTGTGATCCTATTTTGTGATGTCAAGTGTTTTAAACTTTTGATATTTGACAAACTTTCCAAAATCAAATTCTATATTCAGTCCTTTTGACTTTATTTACTTTTTTGACTTTAGGTCCCCTAAGTCCAAAAGAGACATATTCAGCTTATTTGTTATAATAAAATCATGCAGGAAGTATTGTCAAATATGAAATGGTATTTAGCCTTCTTTGGATTATATTTATCTAAATGAGTTATTAGTATTTGTTCCAAAATTGTATGAGATTCCTGTGATTCTGATATGTCTTAGCATATACTATCAGTAGTAATTATAATTATTATGTAAAATTGTTGTATGCCACAGAAGTAACCAAATTTCCTTGTCAATTGTCTCTTCAACCATGGCTGTTCTAAGACTTTTGTCATCCGCAATTGTTGTTTTACTTTGATTCTTTCATAGAGCAGTTTATAATCAGCTATGGAGCTCTGAGGGGTACTCTTAAATACAGGTTTTGTATAAATTGAGAGATTGTGCCACAGGAATAGAGAGAAAAATTTCGAAGATTCTCATGGAGAGCCGATGTATTCATGAGGACTGTTGATCCAATATCAAGCAGAACAGGAGTTAGTTACATGGGCTGAACTAACAGAAGACTGAGTTAATCTTTTACGGCTTCTTCAAAACATTTGCTGACTCTTTGTTTTGTTTTTCAGAGTCAAGAAAAGTTTCTCTTCTTTTAAGCTATTTAAAGCTGTTAACAATTGAGTAAAGGATACTCTTATGAGCAAAATTTGAAATGCAACCCCTTTCTCAAAACCTAATTTCTTTAAAATTTGAAAACTGTTTTGTGAGCATTCTTAATTTATGACAATATAGTTATCTGCATAAGTTCAATGAGAATCTGTTTTCTTTTCTAACATGGCATATTTGGAGACACTGGTTATTTTACCAAGGTTTTGAGTGGAGTGATATTTTCAGATTGACTTTAGAAAATGAGGCTGACTCATAGAGTTTAGAGAAGCCCCTTAGAAAAACTGACTTTATACCTTGTCTTTTACAGGGTGCCAACCTGTGGTAAATTAAGAATGTCATTTTTTGTCAGGCCCAGAAACCCCAAGTTTTCTTAGAACCTTGAAAAGAGAAGAATTCATCCAATTCACACAGGTATCTGCAAGCACAGATAAATCCTTGGCTGGGCTCAAGCCTTTTAAAAAGGTCTAATCTTAGATTCCTTATGAAAAAGGTTCTGGCAAAGCCAATTAAAAAAAGACGGAGTGCCTATATGGAAAATAATTATTTTTGCTGCACTTTATGCAAATAACCAAGCAAAGTGTAATAGGACTAAAAGTTATTTTACAAATAAATTAGTATTATGATGATTTTGTCTTTCATAAAATTGAGGAATTGAAGAGGGAAAAATTATGCTTCAAAATAAACTATAGGGTCAGACACAGTGGCTATGCCTGTAATCCCAGAACTTTGGGGGCCTAAGGCAGGTGGACCACATGAGCCCAGGAGTTTGAGACCAGCTCAGGCAATACAGTGAGACCCAGTCTCTACAAAAAAAATTTAAAAATTAGCCAGGTGTTGTGGCTCAATTGACAGTCCCAGATACTTGAGGACCTGAGGTAGGAAGATCACTTGAGCCTGGAAGGTTGAGGCTGCAGTGAACTGTGACCAACTCACTGTACTTAAGCCTGAGAGACAGAGCAAGACCCTGTCTCTAAAAAAAATAACTGCAGTACACCTGTTATTAGATTCTAGTCTTGCCTAATGTTTTTCCATTTGTATTATTTTCTAAATAATAAAATTTTTATTTGAACTGAATTCTAAAATTTTTCCTGGACACAAGCTGGAATGTTTTCAATTTTTTTCCTTCTTCTTTTCCTTTTTTCTGTCCATTTTGTTCTAATTTGAAATCACTAAAAATTATGCTTTGCTCTTCTTAAAGCCCTGTAAACTGAAGCTAGATAACTTAAACATCAGAAGAAAATAACAGTAACCTATTTATATACATAAACTACTTTCATATCTGCCTACTGATGTATGGACTTCAGAATAATGCAGCCTATATCAGTTTTCTAGGATTGTTCTATTTTTTTGTTGGTTTATTGTTTTCTTTTTCTCTTCCTTCCCCTATTTTTTCTTGATAGGATAGGAGACCTTAAAATCTGTTAAAAAAAATGAGCTTTCCTAACAATGTGGGACCTATTTGTCTAGGAACAAACTGTCCTAGCTATGAGAGATCGAACAAAACCCAAGACCAGAGACTCATTTTCTTCTAAAATGTTTCCTCTGAAAGCTTTAAAAAGAAAAAACAGAGAGAGGGCCGGGCATGGTGGCTCATGCCTGTAATCCCAGCACTTTGGGAGGCTGAGGCGGGCAGATCATGAGGTCAGGAGATTGAGACCATCCTGGCTAATGTGGTGAAACCCTGTCTCTACTAAAAATACAAAAATTAGCCGGGCGTGTTGGTGGGCACCTGTAGTCCCAGCTACTGGGGAGGCTGAGGCAGGAGAATGGCATGAACCTGGGAGGCGGAGCTTGCAGTGAGCCGAGATCACTCCACTGCACTCCAGCCTGGGCAAGAGTGAAACTCTGTCCCAAAAAAAAAAAATAGGGAGAAAATGTGAAAGGAAAATAAAAACTTGGGACCCCAATTCATTACACCAAAAAAAAAAAAAAGAAAAAGAAAAATTAAGCTGAAAGCTGAGTCATGCAAAAAAGCTGCCTTTCCTTTTGTCCCTAAGCAAATAGCTACAGTTAAAAGGATTCCACAGGTAGCTACTCTATGTTCAACTTATCTTATATAAAGTGCCACTTTACTGAGTTCAAGACTCAAGATGAATATATAATTGATTATTCCCCATCTGCTCTTTTTCTCTTGCAACTTGTATGTATTTATCCATTTTCAAATGGCTATAAAGAATTACCTGAGACTGGGTAATTTATAGAGGAAAGAGGTTTAATTGATTCACATTTCTGCATGGCTGGGGAGGCCTCAGGAAATTTACAATCATGGCAGAAGGTGAAGAGTAAGTAAGGCACGTCTTACATGGCAGAAGGAGAGAGAGAGTGGGGTAACTGCCAAACACTTAAACCATCAGATTTCATGAGAACTCACTATCATGAGAACAACATGGGGGATACCACCCCCATGATCCAATCATCTCCCACCAGGTCCCTCCCTTGACATATGGGGATTACAATTCGAGATGAGATTTGGGTGGGGACACAGAGCCAACCCATATTATTACACTCCTGGCCCCTCCAAAACCTCATGTCCTCCTCACATTTCAAAACATAATCATGCCTTCCTGACAGTTCCCCAAAGCCTTAACTCATTCCAGCATTAACTCAAAAGTCCAAGTCCAAAGTCTCATCTGAGACAAGGCAAGTTCCTTCTGCCTATAAGTCTGTAAATGCTTCCTTTCCAAAAAGGAGAAATCAGCCAAAACAAAGGGGCTACAGGCCCCATGCCAGTCCAAAATCCAGCAGGGCAAACATTTAATCTTAAAGCTCCAAAATAATCTCTTTTGACTCTATGTCTCACATAGAGTCAGGCATTGGGTAAATACTCCCTTTCAAAAAAGGAGAAATCAGTCAAAACAAAGGGGCTACAGGCCCCATGTGAGTCCAAAATCCAGCAGGGCCGCCATTTAATCTTAAAGCTCCATAAGAATCTCCTTTGACTCTGTGTCTCACATCCATGGCACACTGATGCAAGGGGTGGCCTCCCACAGCCTTGGGCAGCTCTGCTTCTGTGGCTCTGCAGGGTATAGCACCCATGGCTGCTTTCACAGACTGGCGTTGAGTGCCTATGGCTTTTCCCAGTACAAGGTGCAAGCTGTTGGTGGATCTACCATTCTGGGATCTGGAGGATGGTGGCCCTCTTCTCACAGCTCCACTAGGCAGTGCCCCAGTGGGGACTCTGTGTGGGAGATCCAACCCTACATTTCGCCTCTGCATTTCCCTGGTAGAGGTTCTCCATGAGAATTCTACTCCTGCAGCAGACTTCTACCTGGACATCCAGGCATTTCCATACGTCGTCTGAAATTTAGGCAGAGGCTCCCAAATCTCAATTTTTGTCTTCTGCACACCTGCAAGCCCAATACCATGTGGAAGCTGCCAAGCCTTGAGGCTTGCACCCTCTGAAGCCATGGCCCAAGCCGTAGCTTGGCCCCTTTTAGCCATGGGTGGAGCTGGAGTGGCTGGTAAGCAGGGCACCAAAACCTCAAAAGTAGGGAATCTGACAGTGCAGCCTTCAGTCTGTGATCAAAGGCCTACGAGCCCCTACCAAACCACTGGTATAAGTCCAAGAGTCCAAAAGCTGTAGAACTTGGAGTCTGATGTTCAAGGGCAGGAAGCATCCAGCACAGGAGAAAGACGAAGACAGGAAGACTCAACAAGTCTGCTCAGTCCACTTTTTTCTGCCTGCTTTTTCTAGCTGTGCTGGCACCCAATCGGATGGTGCCCACTCAGATCAAGTGTGGATCTGCCTCTCCCAGATTAACTGACTCAAATGTTAATCTTCTCCAGCAACACCCTTATAGACATACCCAGAAACAATACTTTGCATCCTTCAATCCAATCAAGTTGACACTTAATATTAACTATCACAGTATAACAACCATAATAAACCAAGTTTCAAATCTCCAGAGCTGGAAACTAGTCCATGGAAAATTATCCCAGTAATCACATGGATAAAATTCTAAGTGGATAATTTGGTTCTCATTGATGCATGGTCAGAAGTGAAGGCTTTATCCTGGTATATATTGAATAATGCATCATATTGAGGACTAAATTCTGACCTTTTTTTCTTCTCTTGTCCAAATTCTTATCTAAGGGGCCTGGGGAGTCATATCCTACAAGCCATAGACTCTTATCAGAGAAATTTTATTTAACCCATTTAATGTGGCTTACTTTCCAAACTGACTCTGGCATAACATCATGACAGATAAGAAAAGAAATCATAATATTTTAACCACACGTATGTTTCTTGGGTATATCTTGAAATAGACCTGCAAAGTGATCTGTTTTGGGGAAAACTCTACATTCTGTAAAAAGTCCCCTTTCCCTTTTCCAGGTCTTTTTATTGATCCAGGAGAGAATCAACCAAAGTCTGACACCATTTTAAGTCTAATAAGTAACATTTACAATCTATTCTATCTGTAGCCTGCTACCTGGAGGCTTTATCTCATAATAAGAACCTTGGCCTCTAAAATCTCTTATCTTTATTATTATTATTATTATTATACTTTAAGTTCTAGCATACATGTGCACAACGTGCAGGTTTTTTACATATGTATACATGTGCCATGTTGGTTTGCTGTGTCCATTAACTCATCATTTACATTAGGTATTTCTCCTAATGCTATCCCTCCCCCATCCCCCCACCCCACAACAGGCCCTGGTGTGTGATGTTCCCCACCCTGTGTCCAAGTGTTCTCATTGTTCAATTCCCACTTATGAGTGAGAACATGTGGTGTGTGGTTTTCTGTCCTTACAATAGTTTGCTCAGAATGATGATTTCCAGCTTCATCTATGACCCTGCAAAGGACATGAACTCATCCTTTTTTATGGCTGCATAGTATTCCATGGTGTATATGTGCCGTGCTTTCTTAATCCAGTCTATCATTGATGGACATTTGGGTTGGTTCCAAGTCTTTGCTGTTGTGAATAGTGCTGCAATAAACATACATGTGCACGTATCTTAATAGCAGCATGATTTATAATACTTTGAGTATATACGCAGTAATGGGATCGCTGGGCCAAATGGTATTTCTAGTTCTAGATCCTTGAGGAATCACCACACTGTCTTCCACAATGGTTGAACTAGTTTACAGTCCCACCAACAGTGTAAAAGTGTTCATATTTCTCCACATCCTCTCCAGCACCTGTTGTTTCCTGACTTTTTAATGATTGCCATTCTAACTGGTGTCAGATGGTATCTCATTGTGGTTTTGATTTTCATTTCTCTGATGACCAGGGATGATGAGCATTTTTTCATGTGTCTGTTGGCTGCATAAATGTCTTCTTTTGAAAAGTGTTGGTGCATATCCTTTGCCCCCTTTTTCATAGGGTTGTTTGATTTTTTTCTTGTAAATTCGTTTCAGTTCTTTGTAGATTCAGGATATTAGCCCTTTGTCAGATGGGTAGATTGCAAAAATTTTCTCCCATTTTGTAGGTTGCCTGTTCACTCTGATGGTAGTTTCTTTTGCTGTGCAGAAGCTCTTTAGTTTAATTAGATCCCAGTTGTCTATTTGGGCTTCAGTTGCCGTTGCTTTTGGTGTTTTAGTCATGAAGTCCTTGCACATGCCCATGTCCTGAATGGTATTGCCTAGGTGTACTTCTAGGGGGGTTTTTATGGTTTTAGGTCTAATATTTAAGTCTTTAATCCATCTTGAATAAATTTTTGTGTAAGGTGTAAAGAAGGGATTCAATTTCAGCTTTCTACGTATGGCCAGCCAGTTTTCCCAGCACCATTTATTAAATAGGGCATCCTTTCCCCATTTCTTGTTTTTGTCAGGTTTGTCAAAGATCAGATGATTGTAGATGTGTGGTGTAATTTCTGAGGCCTCTGTTCTGTTCCATTGGTCTATATCTCTGTTTTGGTACCAGTACCATGCTGTTTTGGTTACTGTAGCCTTGTAGTATAGTTTGAAGTCAGGTAGCATGATGCCTCCAGCTTTGTTCCTTTTGCTTAGGATTGTCTTGGCTATGTGGGCTCTTTTTTGGTTCCATATGAACTTTAAAGTAGTTTTTTCCAATTCTGTGAAGAAAGTCATTGGTAGCTTGATGGGGACGGCATTGAATCTATAAGTTACTTGGGACAGTATGGTCATTTTCATGATATTGATTCTTCCTATCCATGAGCATAGAATGTTCTTCCATTTGTTTGTGTCCTCTTTTATTTCCTTGAGCAGTGGTTTGTAGTTCTCTTTGAAGAGGTCCTTCACATCCCTTGTAAGTTGGATTCCTAGGTATTTTATTCTCTTTGTAGCAATTGAGAATGGGAGCTCACTCATGATTTTGCTCTCTGTTTGTCTGTTATTGGTGTATAGGAATGCTTGCAATTTTTGCACATTGATTTTGTATCTGGAGATTTTGCTGAAGTTGCTTATCAGCTTAAGGAGTTTTTGGGCTGAGACAATGGGGTTTTCTATATATACAATCATGTCACCTGCAAACAGGGACAATTTGACTTCCTCTTTTCCTAATTGAATACACTATTTCTTTCTCTTGCCTGATTGCCCTGGCCAGAATTTCCAATACTATGTTGAATAGGAGTGGTGAGAGAGGGCATCCCTGTCTTGTGCCAGTTTTCAAAAGGAATGCTTCCTGTTTTTGCCCATTCAGTATGATACTGGCTATGGGTTTGTCATAAATAGCTCTTATTATTTTGAGATACGTTCCGTCAGTATCTAGTTTATTGAGAATTTTTAGCATGAAGTGTTGTTGAATTTTGTTGAAGGCCTTTTCTGCATCTATTGAGATAATCATGTGGTTTTTGTCTTTGGTTCTGTTTATGTGATGGATTGTGTTTATTGATTTGCATATGTTGAAACAGCCTTGCATCCCAGTAATGAAGCCAACTTGATCTTGGTGGATAAGTTTTTTGGTGTGCTGCTGGATTTGGTTTGCCAGTATTTTATTGAGGATTTTCACAATGATGTTCATCAGGGATATTGGTCTAAAATTCTCTTTTTCATTTGTCTCTGCCAGACTTTTGTATCAGAATGATGCTGGCCTCATAAAATGAGTTAGGGAGGGTTTCCTCTTTTTCTATTGATTGGAATAGTTTCAGAAGGAATGGTACCAGCACCTCCTTGTACCTCTGGTAGAATTCGGCTGTGAATCCATCTGGTCCTGGACTTTTTTTGGTTGGTGGGCTATTAATTATTGCCTCAATTTCAGAATTTGTTATTGGTCTATTCAGTGATTCAACTTCTTCCTGGTTTACTCTTGGGAGGGTGTATGTGTCCAGGAATTTATCCATTTCTTCTAGATTTTCTCGTTTATTTGTGTAGCAAAGTTTATAGTATTCTCTGATGGTAGTTTGTATTTCTGTGGGATTGGTGGTGATATCCCCTTTATCATTTTTTATTGCATCTATTTGATTCTTCTCTCTTTTCTTCTTCATTAGTCTTGATAGTGGTCTATCAATTTTGTTGATCTTTTCAAGAAACCAGCTCCTGGATTCATTGATTTTTTGAAGGGTATTTTGTGTGTGTGTCTGTCTATCTCCTTCAGTTCTGCTCTGATCTTAGTTATTTCTTGCCTTCTGCAAGCTTCTGAATGTGTTTGCTCTTGCTTCTGTAGTTCTTTTAATTGTGATGTTAGGGTGTCAATTTTTGATCTTTCCTGCTTTCTCTTGTGGGCATTTAGTGCTATAAATTTCCCTGTACACACTGCTTTAAATGTGTCCCAGAGATTCTGGTATGTTGTGTCTTTGTTCTCATTGGTTTCAAAGAACATCTTTATTTCTGCCTTAATTTCGTTATGTACCCAGTAGTCATTCAGGAGCAGGTTGTTCAGTTTCCATGTAGTTGTGCGGTTTTGAGTGGGTTTCTTAATCCTGAGTTTTAATTTGATTGCACTGTGGTCTGGGAGACAGTTTATTGTGTTACATTTGCTGAGGAGTGCTTTACTTCCAACTATGTGGTCAATTTTGGAATAAATGCGATGTGGTGCTGAGAAGAATGTATGTTCTGTTGATTTGGGGTGGAGAGTTCCGTAGATGTCTATTAGTTCTACTTAGTGCAGAGTTGAATTCAAGTCCTGGATATCCTTGTTAACCTTCTGTCTTGTTGATCTTTTTAATATTGAAAGTGGGGTATTAAAGTCTCCCATTATTATTGTGTGGAAGTCTATGTCTCTTTGTAGATCTCTAAGGACTTGCTTTATGAATCTGGGTGCCCCTATATTGGGTGCATATATATTTAGGATGGTTAGCTCTTCTTGTTGAATTGATCCCTTTGCCATTGTGTAATGGCGTTCTTTGTCTTTTTTGATCTTTGTTGATTTAAAGTCCATTTTATTAGATGCTAGGATTGCAACCTCTGCTTTTTTTTTTTTTTTTGCTTTCCATTTGTTGGTAGATCTTCCTCCATCCCTTTATTTTGAGCTTGTGTGTGTCTCTGCATGTGAGATGGGTCTCCTGAATACAGCACCCTGATGGGTCTTGACTCTTTATCCAATTTGCCACTCTGTGTTTTTTAATTGGGGCATTTAGCCCATTTACATTTAAGGTTAATATTGTTGTGTGTGAATTTGATCCTGTCATTATGATGTTAGCTGGTTATTTTGCTCATTAGTTGATGCAGTTTCTTCCTAGCATCAATGGTCTTTACAATTTGGCATGTTTTTGCAGTGGCTGGTACTGGTTGTTCCTTTCCATGTTTAGTGCTTCCTTCAGGAGCTCTTGTAAGGCAGGCCTGGTGGTGACAAAATCTCTCAGCATTTGCTTGTCTGTAAAGGATTTTATTTCTCCTTCACTTATGAAGTTTAGTTTGGCTGGATATGAAATTCTGGGTTGCAAATTCTTCTCTGTAAGAATGTTGAATATTGGCCATCATTCTCTTCTGGCTTGTAGAGTTTCTGCCAAGAGATCCACTGTTAGTTTGATGGGATTCCGTTTGTGGGTAACCTGACCTTTCTCTCTGGCTGCTCTTAGCATTTTTTCCCTCATTTTAACCTTGGTGAATCTGATGATTATGTGTCTTTGGGTTGCCCTTCTCGAGGAGTATCTTTGTGGTGTTCTCTGTATTTCCTGAATTTGAATGTTGGCCTGTCTTGCTAGGTTGGGGAAGTTCTCCTGGATGATATCCTGAAGAGTCTTTTCCAGTTTTGTCCTTTCTCCCTGTCACTTTCAGGTACACCAATCAAACGTAGATTTGGTCTTTTCACATAGTCCCATATTTCTTGGAGGCTTTGTTCATTTCTTTTTACTCTTTTTTCTCTACACTTCTCTTCTCACTTCATTTCATTCATTTGATCTTCTGTCACCGATACCCTTTCTTCCACTTGATCAAATCAGCTACTGAAGCTTGCTCATGCGTCATGTAGTTCTCGTGCCATGGTTTTCAGCTCCATTAGGTCATTTAAGGTCTTCTCTACATTGTTTATCCTAGATCACCATTCATATAATCTTTTTTCAAGGTTTTTAGCTTCCTTGCAATGGGTTCGAACATCCTTCTTTAGCTCGGAGATGTTTGTTATTACCAACCTTCTGAAGCCTGCTTCTGTCAACTCATCAAAGTCATTCTCCGTCCAGCTTTGTTCCATTGCTGGCAAAGAGCTGCCATCCTGTGGAGGAGAAGAGGTGCTCTGGTTTTTAGAATTTTCAGCTTTCCTGCTCTGGTTTCTCCCCATCTTTGTGGTTTTATCTATCTTCGGTCTTTGATCATGGTGACCTACAGATGGGGTTTTGGTGTGGATGTCCTTTTTGTTGATGTTGATGTTATCCCTTCCTATTTGTTAGTTTTCCTTCTAACAGTCAGGCTCCTCAGCTGCAGGTCTGTTGGAGTTTCCTGGAAGTCCACTCCAGACCCTGTTTGCCTGGGTATCACCAGCAGAGGCTGCAGAGCAGCAAATATTGCAGAACAGCAACTATTGCTGCCTGATCCTTCTTCTGGAAGCTTCATCTCAGAGGGGCACCTGGCTGTATGGGGTGTCTGTCAGCCCCTACTGGGAGGTGTCTCCCAGTTAGGCTACGCGGGGGTCAGGGACCCACTTCAGGAGGCAGTCTATCTGTTCTCAGAGCTCAAACACCATGCTGGGAGAACCACTGCTCTCTTCAGAGCTATCAGACAGGGATGTTTAAGTCTGCAGAAGTTTCTGCTGCCTTTTATTTAGCTATACCCTGCCCCTAGTTGTGGAGTCTACAGAGGCAGAGGGCCTTGTTGAGCTGCAGTGAGCTCCACCCAGTTCGAGCTTCCTGGCCCCTTTGTTTACCTACTCAAGCCTCAGCAATGGTGGACGCCCCTCCCCCTGCCAGGCTGCTGCCTAGCAGTTGGATCTCAGACTGCTACACAAGCAGTGAGCAAGGCTCCGTGGGCATGGGACCCGCTGAGCCAGGCGCAGGATATAATCTCCTGGTGTACCGTTTGCTAAGACTGTTGGAAAAGCACAGTATTTAGGTGGTAGTGTCCCGATTTTCCCAGTACAGTCTGTCACAGCTTCCCTTGGCTAGGAAAGGGAAATCCCCGGACCCCTTGTGTGTCCCAGGTAAGGTGATGCCCCACCCTGCTTCGGCTCACCCTCTGTGGGCTGTACCCACTGTCCAACCAGTCCCAGTGAGATGAACCAGGTACCTCAGTTGGAAATGCAGAAATCACCCATCTTCTGTGTTGATCATGCTGGGAGTTGCAGATCAGAGCTATTCCTATTCAGCCATCTTGGAACAGATCCCCTACAATCTCTTATCTTAACCCAGACTTTTCCTTTCTATTGATTCCAGATCTTTAGATAAACTCTTTCAACCAACTGCCATCCAGAAAATCTTTGAATCTGATCATAATAACCTGGAAGCCCCACCACTTCCAGTTGTCCTGCCTTTATGGACCAAACCAATATACATCTTACATGTATTAATTGATATCATATGTCCTCCTATAATGGATAAAACCTAGTTGTGGCCTAACCAGGGGCACATGTTCTCAGGGTCTCCTGAGGGCAGTGTTATGGGCTGTGGTCCCTCATATATGGCTCAGAATAAATCTCTTCAAATATTAATATTTTACAGAGTTTGACTTTTTTTTTTTTTTTGAGATGGAGTCTTGCTCTGTCACCCAGGCTGGAGTGCAGTGGCACAATCTCAACTCACTGTAACCTCTGCCTCCTGAGTTTAAATGATTCTCTTGTCTCAGCCTCCCAAGTAACTTGGATTACAGATGCCAACCACCATGCCTAGCTAATTTTTGTATTTTTCATAGAGACAGGGTTTCACCATGTTGGCCAGTCTTGTCTCCAACTCCTGACCTCAAGTAATCCACCTGCCTCAGCCTCCCAAAGTGCTGGGATTACAGGTGTGAGCCATCATGCCCAACCTAAAGTTTGACTCTTTTCATTGATAATATACAGATGTAAATGCTTTTGAATTATGTTTCCCAAAAGGATAGGTTGAAGTCTTAACCTCCAGTACCCATGCATGTGACCCTATTTGGAAACTGGGTCTTTGGAGATATAATTAAGATGTAAACAATGATGAGGTCATACTGGAGGAGGACAGGCCCTGATCCAGTGACTGGTGGCCTTATAAGTAGTGGGAAATTTGGCCATAGACAGACATGAAGAACCCTATGTGACGATAGAGGCCAAGATAGAAGGGATGCAGCTGCAAGCCAAGGAATACCAAGAAGGAATGGCAAGACCAGAATCCAGAAAGAGGTGAGGAAGGATTCTACCCATACCTAGGGTGTCAGAGGGAGCATGACCCTGCCAACTCCTTTCTTTTGGACTTCTAACCCCCAGATGTGTGAAAGAATAAATTTTTGTAGTTTCAAGTCCCTCAATTTGTGATGCTTTATTACAGTAGCCCTAGGAAACTGATAAAACACCTTACTTTCCCCTCAATTTTTGATAGAAATCACATGAAATAGAATTTATCCAAATTCCTATTTTTTAGGGTTCAAACCTATAGCAGCAAGTACCATAATGAGTAAATGTATGGAATTACATATTGCATGCATCCCAACTACAAATCATAATATGCACATTTAAATCAATCATGTTGAGTAAATATTGAATTTCTATTGTTTCTATAGAAAATGAAATTACAAAATTATTATTGGATGAAGAGGCAAAGCATGTGCAGCCAAAAATTATAAGAAAAAGTATTCAGAAATTATAAGAAAAAGTATTTCAGAAAAAATAAAAATGTTTGCTGAATGTGGTGGCTCACACCTGTAATCCCAGCACTTTGGGAGGCTAAGACAGGTGGATTGCTTGAGCCCAGGAGTTTAAGACCAGCCTGGGCAATAGGGTAAAACCCCATCTCTACAAAAAATACAAAAATTAGCCAGGCATGATGACATGTGCCTGTAGTCCCAGCTACCTGGGAGGCTGACTTGCGATGATTGCTTGAGCCTGAGAGGCAGAGGTTGCAGTAAGCCAAGATCATGCCACTGCACTCCTGCCTGGGTGACAGAGGGAAAACCTGTCTGAAAAAAATAATAAATAAATAAATAACTTAAAACGTTTTGTCATTTTCCTGACATTGGTGATGTTAGTGGTTTTAAAAGATAAACTTAGGCATGTTAAAATTCTAAACAGTTTATTTGAGCAGGCAGCGATTCATGAATCAGGCAGCACAAGACCAGGAGGGGTTCAGGACTCCACCAAGGGAACTCAAGGGGAAACTTTCAAAAACTGTTCTCAGTAGCAAGACAAAAAACATATGTTTGATTGGCTAAAGTGCAGAGTCCCTAGTTAGAGGTTAGTTGTCAGTTTCTGATTGATGAGTTCTCTAATTACTGGTTAGTTGACAGTTTCTAATTGGTGAAGTTTAAGTTTCATTTTACTGTTTAAATCGGTTGGGTTTCAGTTTGTTTACATAGGAACTCAAGGCCCTGGAAGCCATCTCAGCCAAATGGACTCTCAATTCATATTTTTTTAACAGTGATATTTGTTAGTGTAGTGTGTTGAATGGTGACCTCCCAAAAGATGTATCCAAGTCCTTATCCTCGGAAATGGTGAATGTTATCTCATTTGGCAAAAGGGACTTTGTGGTGTACTTAAGTTCAGGATCTTGAGATGAGATCATCCTGGATCATCCAGGAGGGCACTAAATCCAATGATAACTGTCCTTATAAGTGACACACAGGGAGATAGATGGACCAGGAGGAGGTAATTTGACCATACAGGCAGAGATTGGAGGAATGCAGCCACAAGCCAAGGCACGCCAAGGCATGCTGGGGAAGCCCCCAGAAGCTGGAAGAAGCAAAGATGGGTTGTCTCCTACAGCCTTTGCAGGGAGTGCAGCCCTGCCAACAACAACTTGATCTTGGCTGGGCACGGTGGCTGAAGCTTGTCATCCCAGCACTTTGGGAGGCAGAGGTGGGCGGATCACCTGAGGTCAGGAGTTCAAGACCAGAGTGGCCAACATGGTGAAACCCGGTCTCTACAAAAATACAAACAAAAAATTAGCTGGGCACGATGGTGGGTGCCTGTATTCCCAGCTACTCCAGAGACTGAGGCAGGAGAATCACTCGAACTCGGGAGGCGGAGGTTGTAGTAAGCTGAGATCCTGCCACTGCAATCCAGCCTGGATGACAGAGCAAGACTCCATCTGAAAAAGAAAAAAAAAAAACTTGATCTCATACTTCTGGCCTCCAGAACTGTAAAGAATAAATTTCTGGTGTTTAAGCCACCAAGTTTGTCGTAGTTTGTTACAGTAGCCACAGGAAACTAATACAGTCAGATTAAATTTTTATCATGTTGTTGTGATTTCCGCTCTTATTCTGAATAATCACTTCCATGCCTAATTGTGTATCCATAGCCATATATTATTTTTCTTAAAGAGGGCTCTCCAAGTTTCGCAAGCTTCAGACGCCATAAAACCTGGAATTGTGTGTTCTTAATATTTCAGGTATGAATTTAGTCTTAGAATGCTAAAGTGAAAGTCAGCATCATGTTACCTTATTTGTTTAAAGGTAGTGGAAAAAGCAACCACAGTCCTATTTTAGGAATCCTTTCCCCTTCCTAGAGTCAAATAAGAATCCAAAGCGCTTACAGTTAGAAAACAGAAACTCTAGACATGTTTCCTTCCTGGTCACTACTGGGGTGCTCCTGGTTATGGTCTCCATTTAAAATCAGAAAAGTCAGGTGACTTCATTTTCACTTCATTTTCAGCCAAGCAAATAAGTAGGAATGTTTTGCCTCAGTCTCCAAGGCCACTGCTCTTAGCTTTCTTCTGCTGCTTCCACACTTGACTCCATCAGAAATCTCATCACTTGTCTTAGCAGGCTGTGTGGTAGCAGGGCACAGGCCGCCACCAGTTTTAGAAAGGCCTCTGCGGTGGCTCACGTTTGTAATCTCAGCACTTTGAAAGGCTGAGGCAGATTGCTGGGCGCGGTGGTTCACGCCTGTAATCCCAGCACTTTGGGAGGCTGAAGCCGGCGGATCACGAGGTCAGGAGGTAGAGACTATCCTGACTAACATGGTGAAACCCCGTCTCTACTAAAAATACAAAAAAAATAATAAATAATAAAAATTAGCCAGGTGTGGTGGTGGGCGCCTGTAGTCCCAGCTACTTGGGAGGCTGAGGCAGGAAAATGGCGTGAACCTGGGAGGTGGAGCTTGCAGTCAGCTGAGATCGCACCACTGCACTCCAGCCTGGGCGACAGTGCAAGACTCTGTATCAAACAAAACAAATCAAAACAACAAAAAAAAGAAAGGCTGAGGCGGGTGGATCACCTGAGGTCAGGAGTTCGAGACCAGCCTGGCCAACATGGTGAAACTCTTGTCTCTACCAAACAAACAAACAAAAAAATTAGCCGGACGTGATGGCCGGTGCCTGTAGTCCCAGCTACTTGAGAGGCTGAGGCAGGAGAATCACCTGAATCCAGGAAGCAGAGGTTGCAGTCAGCCAAGATCATGCCATTGCACTCCAGCCTGTGTGACAAGAGCAAAACTCATCTCAAAAAAGAAAGAAAGAAAGAAAAAGAAAGAAAGAAGGAAAGAAAAAGAAAGAAAGAAAGAAAGAAAGAAAGAAAGAAAGAAAGAAAGAAAGAAAGAAAGAAAGAAAGAAAAAAAAAAAAAAAAAAAAAAAAAGGCCTCAAAAGCCAAGTGCCCTCTGAAGTGCCTGGGAGACCTGTCTCTTCTCCCCTGGGCCCAGCCACCTGCTTCTCCCTCTACTTCTAGCACCAGCCCCCTCCCACTCAGTGGGCCACTCGCCTCCAACAGAAGCCTTGGTGGGAGCTGTTCTCATGCCCCAAAATCTCCATCTTCAGTTATAAAACACAAGGAACTCTGGGAGTCCTCAATCCCAAAGAGAAAGGCTGGACTACTCTCTTAGGATGGGGTGAGAAAAAACACCTCTTAGTCTTTCTCATCTCTTACAAAGCAAGCAAAAACCCAAAGCAAAACACGCACACAAAAATCAAAATCTCAATCACTTCGCTTGCCATGTTATTATTACTCTTTTAGTTGATAACGCTGAGCTTCTTGGGGTTAAATAGCTATCTGATAAGAACTAAGCTGCTTAAGCCTTTCCCTGGGTGACTAGAGCTCTGTATCTGAGAGCAGGGACCTGGGCAAGTCCCTTGGGAACCTTAATGAGGGCTCCAGCCGTGTTGCCATCTAACCTTTAACCTTTAAGAGGAGAAGCCTACACCCCCTTCCTTTTCCAGACAAATCTTCCCTTCCTGAATGACGGAAAACATTGCAGCTGCTACCTCTCCCAGACTCTTCCCACTATCCAGGGCTAAGTCTGAAAGGACGCAGGGAAGGAAATGACATTTGCCAGCCACATCGGCTGTCTTGGGACACGTCGTCTTCCACTGGCTCTTGCCTGGGTGTTTTGAGGAAAAATGTTCATCAAAGGAAAAATACACACACGTGCATGACTGGAGGAGTAGTGAATGGCAAGCTGTCTGCCTCGCTACAATATCCCTCCTTTCCCGAGGAGACAGAGGCAGCACCTGAGGAAAGCCAGTTTCAAGAAGCTTGCGGAAGTCACAGTTAATTCCTTTTGCTCATTTTAAAAAATGGTCTCTTGCGGCCGGGCGTGGTGGCTCACGCCCGTAATCCCAGCACTTTGGGAGGCCGAGGAGGGCGGATCATGAGGTCAGGAGATCGAGACTATCCTGGCTAACACGGTGAAACCCCGTCTCTACTAAAAATACAAAAAACTAGCCTGGCGTGGTGGCGGGCGCCTGTAGTTCCAGTTACTGGCCAGGCTGAGGCAGGAGAATGGCGTGAACTCTGGAGGCGGAGCTTGCAGTGAGCCCAGATCCTGCCACTACACTCCAGCCTGGGTGACAGAGCGAGACTCCGTCTCAAACAAACAAACAAGCAAACAAAAATGGTCTCTTGCTAATTCTATTGGCATTTCTGTTATTTCACATAGGTGAAAAAACAAAAAGCTGGCTGGATGTGGTGGCTCATGCCTGTAATCCCAGCACTCTGGGAGGTGGAGGCAGGAGGATCCCTTGAGCCCAGGAGGTCAAGGCTGCAGTAAGCGGTGATAGCACCAGGGCACTCCAGCCTGGGTGACAAAGCAAAACCCTGTCTCAAAAAAAAAAAAAATTCCTTTCAAAATATCTTTCTTAGTCCCTTCCACCTCTTCACAGCCATTTCTGCAGCTTTACTTTAGACCTCTAGGGCCTCAGTCCACGTGTCCACTACTAATTCTAAATAAATTCCACATCTCCTCTCTCCCTGCTGCAATCCACATTTCAGGTGATCCCAGAAGGCTTTATTCCTACACCTCCACTTTCAAAAAGGCTGTCACTGCTCAGGTGGAGGACAAAGGGCTTACGACTAGGCCTGTAACAGATTAAACAGAAATTTAATCATGAGGCCATTAGGCTGAGATAGCTCTCCCACCTTGGGTTCCTACCAAAGCAGACTAAATCCCAATGCAAATGGGAAAACAAAACTTAAGCTCAACCCTTCAGAAACCACCCACTAACCACTAAATAGGGACTGGGCACTTTAGCTCGTCAAATACATTTTCTTTTTATTGCTCTTTTGAACACCTTATCAAAGTAGTCCTCTCCCCTCCCCATCCAGGGGGAGCACTGTTACTTGTGGTTTGGAGCTGGCCAATTTGTGAATTACTGTCTGCTTAAATAAACTCTTCAGAAGTTTAATGTGCCTAAGTTTATCTTTTAATGACATGATGGCCAAATGAGGTTGTGTGTTGCTTGACAACACACGCTGGATTCAAGTAAGAAGACTACATCTTAAACTTATCCTGTACCTACTATGCCTACACCTACTCTGCACTGAGTTAATAATGATTTACGAATGATTTAGTTATGATATTAACAGTACAATTTTGTTGCATTGCACTTTTCCTATTACAAGCATTTCATTTGTAAAAGGTAAATATTTAAACTGCAGCATGGTATTCATAACCGCATTTTTGCATTTCTCTCCATTTCTAATATACCTATATATATATATATATTTTTTTTTTATTATAAGTTCTGTGGTACATGTGCAGAATGTGCAATTTTGTTACATAGATATACATGTGCCATAGTGGTTTGCTGCACCCATCAGCCCATCACCTACGTTAGGTATTTCTCCTAATGTGATCCCTATCCTAGCCCCCCACCCCCTAACAGGCCCCAGTGTGTGATGTTCCCCTCCCTATATCCATGTGTTCTCATTGTTCAGTTCCCACTTATGAGTGAGAACATGTGGTGTTTGGTTTTCTGTTCTTGTGATAGTTTGCTGAGAATGATGCTTTCCGGCTTCATCCATGTTCCTTTCCTGAAAAAGACATGACCTCATCATTTTTAATGGCTGCATAGTATTCCATGGTGTATATGTGCCACATTTTCTTTATCCAGTCTATCATTGATGGACATTTGGGTTGTTCCAAGTCTTTGCTATTGTGAATAGTGCTGCAATAAACATACATGTGCATTTGTCCTTATAGCAGAATGATTTATAATCCTTTGGGTATATACCCAGTAATGGGATGGCTGGGTCAAATGTTATTTCTGGTTCTAGATCCTTGAGGAATCATCACACTGTCTTCCACAATGGTTGAACTAATTTACACTCCCACCAACAGTGTAAAGCATTCCTGTTTCTCCACATCCTCTCTAGTTTCTGTTGTTTCCTGACTTTTTAATTATCACCATTCTAACTGGTGTGAGATGGTATCTCATTGTGGTTTTGATTTGCATTTCTCTAATGACCAGTGATGATGAGCATTTTTGCATATGTCTGTTGGCTGCATAAATGTCTTCTTTTGAGAAGTGTCTGTTCATATTCTTGGCCCACTTTTTGATGGGTTTTTTTTTCTTGCAAGTTTATTTAAGTTCTTTGTAGATTCTGGATATTAGCCCTTTGTCAGATGGATAGATTGCGAAAATTTTCTCCCATTCTGTAGGTTGGCTGTTCACTCTGATGATAGTTTCTTTTGCTGTGCAGAAGCTCTTTAGTTTAATTAGATCCCATTTGTCAATTTTGGCTTTTGTTGCCATTGCTTTTGGTATTTTAGACATGAAGTCTTTGTCCATACCTATGTCTTGAATGGTATTGCCCAGGTTTTCTTCTAGGATTTTTATGGTCCTAGGTCTTATGTTTAAGTCTTTGATACATGTTGAGTTGATTTTTGTATAAGGTGTAAGGAAGGGGTCCAGTTTCAGTTTTCTGCATATGGTTAGCTAGTTTTCCCAGCAACATTTATTAAATAGGGAATCTTTTCCCCATTGCTTGTTTGTGTCAAGTTTGTCAAAGATCAGATGGTTGTAGATGTGTGGTGTTATTTCTGAGGCCTCTGTTCTGTTCCATTGGTCTATATATCTGTTTTGGTACCAGTACCAGTTGCTGTTTTGGTTACTGTAGCCTTGTAGTATAGTTTGAAGTCAGGTAGTGTGATGCCTCCAGCTTTGTTCTTGCCCAGGATTGTCTTGGCTATACAGGCTCTTTTTTGGTTCCATATGAAGTTTAAAGTAGTTTTTCCCAATTTTGTGAAGAAAGTCAGTGGTAGCTTCATCAGGATAACTTTGAGTGTATAAATTACTTTGGGCAGTATGGCCATTTTCTTTCTTTTTTTTTTTTTTTTGAGACGGAGTCTTGCTCTGTCGCTCAGGCTGGAGTGCAGTGGCTCAATCTCGGCTCACTGCAAGCTCCGCCTCCTGGGTTCACACCATTCTCCTGCCTCAGCCTCCCAAGTAGCTGGGACTACAGGCACCATTTTCATGATATTGATTCTTCCTATCCATGAGCATGGAATGTTTTTCCATTTGTTTGTGTCTTCTTTTATTTCCTTGAGCAGTGGTTTGTAGTTCTCCTTGAAGAAGTCCTTCACATCCCTTGTAAGTTGTATTCCTAGGTATTTTATTATCTTAGTAGTGATTGTGAATGGGAGTTCACTCATGATTTGGTTATTTGTCTGTTATTGGTGTATAAGAATGCTTGTGATTTTTGCACATTCATGTTGTATCCTGAGACTTTGCTGAAGTTGCTTACCAGCTTAAGGAGACTTTGGGCTGAGACGATAGGGTTTTTTAAATATACAATCAAGTCATCTGCAAACAGAGACAATTTGACTTGCTGTTTTCCTATCTGAATACCCTTTATTTCTTTCTCTTGCCTGATTGCCCTGGCCAGAACTTCCAATACTATGTTGAATAGGAGTGGTGAGAGAGAGCATCCTTGTCTTGTGCCAGTTTTCAAAGGGAATGCTTCCAGTTTTTGCCCATTCAGTATGATATTGGCTGTGGGTTTGTCATGAATAGCTCTTACTATTTTGAGATACATTCCATCAATACCCAGTTTATTGAGAGTTTTTAGCATGAAGGGCTGTTGAATTTTGTGGAAGGCCTTTTCTGTACCTATTGAGATAATCACGTGGTTTTTGTCACTGGTTCTGTTTATGTGATGGATTATGTTTATTGATTTGCGTATGTTGAACCAGCCTTGCATCCCAGGGATGAAGCCCACTTGATCGTGGTGGATAAGCTTTTCGATGTGCTGCTGGATTCGGTTTGCCAGTATTTTATTGAGGACTTTCACATCGATGTTCATCAGGGATATTGGTCTAAAATTCTCTTTTTTTGTTGTGTCTCTGCCAGGCTTTGGTATCAGGATGACGCTGGCCTCATAAAATGAGTTAGGGAGGATTCCTTCTTTTTCTATTGTTTGAAATAGTTTCAGAAGGAATGGTACCAGCTCCTCTTTGTACCTCTGGTAGAATTCGGCTGTGAATCTGTCTGGTCCTGGACTTTTTTTGGCTGGTAGGCTATTAACTACTGCCTCAATTTCAGAACTTGTTATTGGTTTATCCAGGGATTCGACTTCTTCCTGGTTTAGACTTGGGAGGGTGTACGTATCCAGGAATTTATCCATTTCTTCTAGATTTTCTAGTTTATTTGCATAGAGGTGTTTATAGTATTCTCTGATGGTAGTTTGTATTTCTGTGGGATCAGTGGTGATATCCCCTTTATCATTTTTTATTGTGTCTATTTGATTCTTCTCTATTTTATTCTTTATTAGTCTTGCTACCTGTCTATCAATTTTGTTGATCTTTTCAAAAAACCAGCTCCTGGATTAATTGATTTTTTGAAGGGTTTTTCGTGTCTCTATCTCCTTCAGTTCTGCTCTGATCTTAGTTATTTCTTGTCTTCTGGTAGATTTTGAATTTGTTTGCTGTTGCTTCTCTAGTTCTTTCAGTTTTGATGTTAGGGTGTCAATTTTAGATCTTTCCTGCTTTCTCTCATGGTTATTTAGTACTATAAATTTCCCTCTACACACCGCTTTAAAGATGTCCCAGAGATTCGGGTCCATTGTGTCTTCATTCTCATTGGTTTCAAAGAACATCTTTATTTCTGGCTTCATTTCATTGTTTACCCAGTAGTCACTTAGGAACAGGTTGTTCAGTTTCCATGTAGTTGTGTGGTTTTGACTGAGTTTCTTAATCCTGAGTTCTAGTTTGATTGCACTGTGGTCTGAGAGACTGTTTGTTATGATTTTTGTTCTTTTGCATTTGCTGAGGAGTGTTTTACTTTCAATTATGCAGTCAATTTTAGAATACATGCGATGAGGTGCTAAGAAGAATGTATATTCTGTTGATTTGGCATGGAGAGTTCTGTAGATGATTATTAGGTCAGCTTGGTCCAGAGCTGAGTTCTAGTCCTGAATATCCTTGTTAATTTTCTGTCTTATTGATCTGTCTAATATTGAAATTGGGGTATTAAAGTCTCCTACTATTATTGTGTGGGAGTCTAAGTCTCTTTGTAAGTCTCTAAGGACTTGCTTTATGCATCTGGGTGCTCCTGTATGGGGTGCATATATATTTAGGATAGTTAGCTATTCTTGCTGCATTGATTCCTTTACCATTATGTAATGGCCTTCTTTGTCTCTTTTGATCTTGTTGGTTTAAAGTCTGTTTTATCAGAGATTAGGATAGTAACTCCTGCTTTTTTTTTTTTTTTTTTTTTTTTTTTTTTTTTTTGCTTGGTAAATATTCCTCCATCCCTTTATTTTGAGCCCATGTGTGTCTTTGCACATGAGATGGGTCTCCTGAATACAGCACACTGATGGGTCTTGACTCTGTATCCAATTTGCCAGTCAGTGTCTTTTAATTGGGGCATTTAGCCCATTTACATTTAAGGTTAATATTGTTATTTGTTAATTTGATCCTGTCATTATGATGCTAGCTGGTTGTTTTGCCCATTAGTTGGTGCAGTTTCATCATAGTATTGACGGTCTTCACAATTTGGCATGTTTTTGCCGTGGCTGTTACTATTTGTTCCTTTCCATGTTTAGTGCTTCCTTCAGGAGCTCTTGTAAGGCAGGCCTGGAGGTGACAAAAATCTCTCAGCATTTGCTTGTCTGTAAAGCATTTTATTTCTCCTTCACTTATGAAGCTTTGTTTGGCTGGATATGAAATTCTGGGTTGAAAATTATTTTCTTTAAGAATGTTCATTATTGACCTTCACTCTCTTCTGGTATGTAGGGTTTCTGCAGAGAGATCCACTGTTAGTCTGGTGGGCTTCCCTTTGTGGGTAACCCGACCTTTCTCTCTGGCTGCCCTTAACATTTTTTCCTTCATTTCAACCTTGGTGAATCTGATGATTATTTGTCTTGGGGTTGCTTTTTTCGAGGAGTATCTTTGTGGTGTTTTTCTGTATTTCTGAATTTGAATGTTGGCCTGTCTTGCTAGGTTGGGGAAGTTCTCCTGGATAATATCCTGAAGAGTATTTTCCAACTTGGTTCCATTCTCCGCATCACTTTCAGGTACACCAATCAGACATAGATTTGGTCTTTCACATAGTCCCATATTTCTTGGAGGCTTTGTTGGTTCCTTTTTATTCTTTTTTCTCTAATCTTGTCTTCATGCTTTATTTCATTAAGTTGATCTTCAATGACTGATATCCTTTCTTCCGCTTTATCAGTTCAGCTATTGATACTTGTGTATGCTTTGCGAAGTTCTTGTGCTCTGTTTTTCAGCTCCGTCAGATCATTTATGTTCTCCTCTAAACTGGTTATTCTAGTTAGCAATTTGTTTAACCTTTTTTTCAAGGTTCTTAGCTTCCTTGCATTGGGTAAGAACATGCTCCTTTAGCTCAGAGGATTTTGTTTCTACCCACCTTGTGAACCCTACTTCTGTCAATTCGTCAAACTCATTCTCTGTCCAATTTTGTTCCCTTGCTGGTGAGGAGTTGTGATCCTTTGGAGAAGAGGCATTCTGGTTTTTGGTATTTTCAGCCTTTTTGTACTGGTTTCTCCCCATCTTTGTGAATTTATCTGCTTTTGGTCTTTGATGTTGGTGACCTTCGGGTGGGGTCTTTGAATGGACGTGCTATTCCTTTCTGTTTGTTAGTTTTCCTTCTGACAACCAGGCCCCTGTGCTGCTGGTCTGCTGGAGTTTGCTGGAGGTCCACTCCCAATGCTGTTTGCCTGGGTGTCACCAGCAGAGCCTGCAGAACAGCAAAGATTGCTGCCTGATCTTTCCTCCAGAAGCTTTGTCCCAGAGGGGCACCTGCCAGATGCCAGCCAGAGCTCTCCTGTATAAGGTGTCTATCAGCCCCTACTGGGAGGTGTTTCTCAGTCAAGATACACAGGGGTCAGGGACCCACTTGAGGAGGCAGTTTGACCCTTAGCAGAGCTCGAATGCTGTGCTGGGAGGTCCACTGTTCTCTTCAGAGCCGTCAGGCAGGGATGTTTAAGTCTTCTGTAGCTGTGCCCACAGCTGCCCCTTTCCCCAGGTGCTCTGTCCCAGGGAGATGGGGGTTTTATCTATAAGTCCCTGACTGGAGCTGCTGCCTTATTTCCAGAGATGCCCTGCCCAGAGCAGGGAAATGTGGCAGTCTGGCCACAGCAGCCTTGCTGAGCTGCAGTGGGCTCCACTCAGTTAAAATTTCCCAGCAGCTTTGTTTACACTGTGAGCACACTGTGAGCGTAAAACCACCTAATGAAGCCTCAGCAATGGTGGACTCCCCTTCCCCCACCAAGCTCCAGCATCCCAGATCGATGTCAGACTGCTGCTGTGCTGGCAGTGAGAATTTCAAGCCAGTGGATCTTAGTTTGCTGAGCCCATGGGGGTGTGAACTGCTGAGCCAGACCACTTGGCTCCCTGGTTTCAGCACCCCTTTCCAGGGGAGTGAATGGTTCGGTCTCACTGGTATTCCAGGTGCCACTGGGGTATTAAAAAAAAGAACTCCTGCAGTTAGTTCGGTGTCTGCCCAAATGGCCACCCAGTTTTGTGCTTGAAACCCAGGGCCTTGGTTAGGTAGGCACCAAAGGGAATCTCCTGGTTTGCAGGTTGCAAAATCCAAGGGACAAGCGCAGTATCCGTGCCAGAGTTCCCCAGGCTCAGTCCCTCATGGCTTCCCTTGGGTAGGGGAGAAAATTCCCCCACCCCTTGTGCTTCCCAGGTGAGGTGACACCCTACCCTGCTTCGGCTCACCCTCCGTGGGCTGCACCCACTGTCCAAGCAGTCCCAGTGAGATGAACTGGGTACCTCAGTTGGAAATGCAGAAATCACCCACCTTCTGAGTTGATCTTGCTGGGAGCTGCAGACCAGAACTCTTGCTATTTGGCCATCTTGCCTTCTCTCTCTAATATACCCATTTTTTAAGTTGATTAATTTTTTTTTGAGACAGGATGTCGCTCTGTCACCCAAGCTGGAGTGCAGTGGCTCAATCTTGGCTCACTGCAACCTTCACCTCCCAGGTTCAAGCAATTCTCATGCCTCAGGCTCCAGAGTAGCTGGGATTACAGGCGCCTGCCACAACACCCAGCTAATTTTTGTATTTTTAGTAGAGATGAGGTTTCCCCATGTTGGCCAGGCTGGTCTTGAACTCCTGGCCTCAAGAGATCTGCCTGCCCCGGCCTCCCAACGTGCTGGATTACAGGCATGAGCCACCACACCTGGCCAGAATATATCATTTTGTAATTGATCATTTACAGGTATATCTGTAGGTTAAAGTATTAGAAATAGTATCAGAGTAAAAATATCCATAATTTTGATCAGTTTTGCCTAATTGCCCAGCTGTATACAAGTTTCTCATAACTTCTAAGATACCCTGCCCAAAATGCTCAGAAGTGCACAGATTAAAGGGCCTGATTTGTAATGGCACTCAATGCCATTTTGTCAAACTAGCAAGGCTGAGAAATCTCCTCTTGCCTCCTGCTCCTCCCCAGGTCAGTGGGGAGCTGTGCTGGCCACAGCCCTCTGGTCAGGGGCCTTGGTTCAGGAAGTTTCTGGCTGGATCTGAGGCAGTCTTGCCCCTTGGACAGCACCTCAGATCCAGCCTCTGTGGGCAGCTGGCATTAGTCTCATTTGTTTTCTCCACCTTTGGTCCTTCTTCACTTTCACTTTGGTATCACCCTTGGCAGTCTGCAAAGTGCTTGCCGAGCTCTTCCCCCTTTTTAATTCTAGAAACAGCCCTGAAAAGGCTGAAACTGACACTCAGAGAAGTTAACTGACTTGCTCGCACTCCCATCGGTGGTAAGCCACAAAGTAGATTGGAATCAAGTGTCCTAGCTCCAAGCTCAGTGCTCAGTTATTAATAACAATGGCAATTATTTGTTGAGTACAGCCATGTATCTCCTAACAATGGGGATACCACCTCAGAAATATGCTGTTTGGCACAGAGCACGTACACAAACCTAGATGCTACAGCCACTGCACACCCAGGCTGTATGATACAGCCTATTGCTCCCGGGCTGCAAACCTGTCCAGCATGTGATGTGGTGGAATACTGAATTGAATACCGAATACTGTAGGCAATTGTAACACAGTGGTAAGTCTTTGTGTATCTAAACATAGCTAAACACCAAAAGGTATAGTAAGAATATGGTATTATAATCTTATGGAACTATCATTGTATATGTGGTTTGTCAACCAGAATGTAGTTATACAGCACAGGACTGTACTTATGATGTGCCAAGCACAGCTCTCAGTACTAACTCCTTTAATCTTCATATCAACCCTAGAAGGTAAGTTCTTAGGTTATCATGGGTTCCCCAGGAGAAGACCTTGAGACGAGGGTCCAAGTGCAAGTTGTTTCTTTGGAACACAATCTTAGAAACCAGCCTAGAGAGTGGGGAAGTGAGAGAGGGAAGGGGGAGCTGACAGGTGGTGCCAGTTACCCCACTGCGGTCATCAGAGCTTATCTCTGCTGAGGAAACTCTAGAACCAGTGTAGAAAACACACCTCAGATTTACTCACCAGAGAGGCTGGACAGCCAGGGCTCTTACACATCAGCCTCATCCAGCATTGTTTGCGGGGAGGCACTGTGGTGTTAGGGGGGTGTAGTGAGGGCAATTGGACAGCTGGCTTTCATACCCAGGAGAGCTCTGAACCCAGAAGTTGGGCAGGAGTGTGCAGAAGGGATTAAGACACCAAATGCAGGTCGTTGCTGATTATGTCTACTACAGCGTTACTACAAGACCTGTTATATTTTTAGAAATGAAGAAACAGAGACTAGACAGTTTATGCCTCTTGCCCATGGTCATGCAGGTAATAAGTGGCAGAGCTGACTTAAGCAGTCGCATCGAGAGCCTGTGCTCCTGGCCGCCATGCTGCACCACCCCGGCCCTCACTACCTGACATTGCCTCTTCTTACACCCCAGGCATCCCATGAGATTTTTGTTTCCCATCCTGAAGCTCCTCCCTGAGCCCACTCCTCTGGACTTGGGTGCACCAAACTCCACTTGATCCTCAGTATATTGGCACCCCCTCTTCCCACTACACAGTTCCACTAAACCAGTGGCTCCATTTTGCATGCATCAGAATCCCCTGTGGGTCTGCTATATCAGACTGCTGGGCCCCGTCAAAGTGTCTGTCTCACAAAACAAGACACTCTGGTTACCAGCCCCAGGGGAGAACTCCAAACACTTGTGCCTATTGACCTTGGCATCAGAGTCACCAAGGAAAACAGTGCAGTCAAGCACTGAAAGGGACGATGCTTTGCTTAGGTAGAGAAGACACAGAACAAGACCAGCTCCAATAGTGTGGTCAGTGTAGATAGGGTAATTTACCTATGCACACTCCTCTTGCACCCTAGAGGAATAACCCCATATTTCTATCTCGAGTCTGAAATACTGAAAGCTGGCGGGGGGTGTCTAGGGCCCTTGACACACATCCATTGAGTCTGAAAGCTCTCCCCACACAATGCATGAGGTGATAGGCACGGCACAGGCTTTCTCTCTCTGTAAGGAAGTACCCAAGGCCCCTTCTCATGTGGCCCCACGTGGGTGGAAAGACCATTTTCCCCTTTCCCGACGGTTTATCTTTCCTTTCTCCGTCCCTTCCTTCTTCTTCCTTCCTTCCTTCTTTCCTTCCTTCCTCCCTCCCTCCCTCTCTCTCTCCTTCCTTCCTTCCTTCCTTATGTTTTTTAGAGAGTGAGTCATGCTATGTTGTCTAGGCTGCTCTTGAACTCCTGGGCTCAAGCAATCTTCCTGCCTCAGCCTCCTTAGTAGCAGCAATTAAAGGGGTATAATCCCTGAGCAGGTTAACAGTTTCTCATTCCATGTGTCTAGGGAGAGACAGAGAATCTACATTTCTACAGGTCCCCGGGCGGTGCTGTGCAGGTGCATGATAAGGAGCGTGATCTGATGTCTGATTCACACCAGGGTGTGGGAATCTCAGAGGCAGAGAGCCCTGGAGATGAAAGGGACAGAGACCTGGATTCAGATCTCATTTTACAATGAAGACCCCAATGCAGAAAGTCATGTCTGAAATTCTGAGCTTACTCTTCTGCCTGCTGGGACCTGCTCTGGATGAGAGAAGGGAGGAAAAGGACTAATCAGAGGAGCCAATGAAGTCACTCCATGAGGTGAGGACAACCCAGCCCTGCACACATCAGGGAGATGCTGGCTATGGTTTCAGCCAGGGCAAGGCTCGCATTCACTGGCCTTCAAGGGTACCCATAAGGAAGAGAGTTGAATGAGAAGAATGGGAGGCTTTCAGGAAAGCTGAGGTGAAACAGGCAATGTTTTGTCATTATATTTATTGATGTTTTTCCTATATTTACATGATCTTCAAACAAAGAGCCAATTCATTTAGCTTAGTTTTTTTAAGGCAGTTAAAACAGCTAAACATTACTCAGTGCTGCATAAGCTAAACAGCCAGTTGATTAAATTTTCTCAGTTTTTCATAAATCTTGATATTGAACATATCAGTTACAATCAAAAGGTGTTCATGGGCACCTACTCTGTGGCAGGCACAGATGTCAGGTGCTGAAGAAGCAGTCAGCAGTGAACCAAAGTCCCTGCCCATTCTGACCAATCTAAAATCCCAATGTGTGTGAGTGTGTGTGTGCGTGGGTGTGCATGTGTATATGTGTGTGTGTGTATATGTGCACACACACACTCCCTTTGTTATCCTACAATGCACGACCTTCACCCTTCTATTTCCCCACTATCCAAATTCCCTTTACATCCTGAACCTGTTTGCATATTTGGACTCCTGAACACAAGAACCACGTGCATTTTGTGTGCAACATAATAATGCTGCCAAAACCATCATCTTAAGGTGTTTCTTTGGGCTCAAGTGGGACCTTGAATTACCCTATCCATACAGCATATGCTTAGCAGAGACCCTGTTGTAAACATCTCCACCACCGCTGATCAGGAGGTTAAAAATCAGTCTGGGATCCCTCAAAAAGCTGAATTTTTATAGACTGGGGTGGGAAGGGGGAGAATTACCCAGTCAGAAACTGGTTTAGCAGGATTTGGAGGTAGTACGACAGCGCCCTCTCTTGGTTCCTTTAAAGAAAACAGGTAGCATTTTCATTGAGAACAAGGTCCCAGTGGGAAAACACCACTGGTTTCTTTTCAGGCATTTGTCAAGGAGTTTCCAGGGTGCCTTCTTATTTATCCCAACACCTGTGACAGGCACCTCATCACTCAGAGCCTGCCTTTCCGCCTTCCCAAGCCTGTGACTATCAGGCTGTTCAGAATTCCCATCAGTCCAGGGCGTTCCCTCCTCACCTTCCCATCCAGGGCTGCCTCCTTATGCTTCTACCCTCCATCCATATGATACCTTGCTTCCTACTGAAAACCATCTGTCCGTCACCTTCTCAAGACTTTGGTCCAATACCTTGGGCTTCTGTGAGATCACTGAAGAAACTAATCTGTGCGGGACTAATGGAAATAAATAAGACTAAACAGCCTTTCCCCCAACCCCATAATCCTTCAAAGACATTGTGGCAGGTCAGGCTTCCATTTGCAACCAGAACAGTTCATTTTTACTGGCCTTTTGCCATAATTCTGATGAATGTATAAGTTAAGCGTTAAAGTACTGGAGAAACTAGTGCCTGAGTGCAAGGGCTGGAATGCCCAAACAAACCCATTAATACCCCACTCAGGTTTTCTCCGACATTAAAGTCGGGTCAAATAATAAAAGCATTCTTACACATACACCTCGTACCAGGGCCCACTTAAGATAAACTTTCCGAGACTCTAGAGAAAGCTTTCCAGACCCCAGACCCTAGTTAAAGATTAGAGAGAGATTGAATTAAACACCCCTGCTTGTAGGTGCACTCCCATGCGCAGCATGGAGCTTAAAATGTATATAAGCACTAGAAAAAAACTTGAAACTTTGAGTTGGTCTGGTGAGTGACTCCGACCTTCTGCCTATAACTAGTTGCAGAAATAAACTTCCTTATTTCCCAGGCTGTCTGCATCTTGTTATTGGACCGTGAGATCAAGCAGCCAGACCTCGTTCTGTCTGGGAACAACATTACTGCACATCTTTTTAAGACAACCACCCAGCCTTTGCTTTCTGGCCAGACACTCTGAATAAGTAAGGGATTGGGGGCCACAATGAAGGGAAGAAGGTATCACACATCTTAGGCCAAAGGAAGAAACACTTGTGAAAGGTTTTCTCATGTTAAAACCAGTAAGTAGCTATGACTTTAGAGTGATAGGGCCTGAACATTTTCAGGAAAACATCATTATGGGTCAGAGACTTGTCTTTCATAAAATGTTTGTGGTGCCACTCTTGGAGAGTTCACAGTGCTCTTACATGCATCATGATGACATTATAGTATGTCTTCAGGAATTATATAAAGCTAGATTTACCAAATTCCTCCTCTAATTCATAGCTCAGCTAAACTGCAGATGAAATGACTGAGCGTCGAGCGTGAATTAGAAGATGAAGCTTTGGGCTGGGCACGGTAGCTCACGCCTGTAATCCCAGCACTTTGGAAGGCCAAGGTGGTTGGATCACCTGAGGTCAGGAGTTTGAGACCAGCCTGGCCAACATGGCAAAACCCCCTCCCTCTCTACTAAAAATACAAAAATTAGCCAGGCGTGGTGGCGCATGTCTGTAATCCCTGCTACTTGGGAGGCTGAGGCAGGAGAATCGCTTGAACCTGGGAAGTGGAGGTTGCAGTGAGCCAAGATCACGCCATTGCACTCCAGCCTAGGCAACAGAGCGAGACTCCATCTCAAAAAAAAAAAAAATGACGTTTTGAAAGATTAAAGACTTGCTCATAAAAATTTCCTTTTAATCTCAAGTTTCCTGAACCCTGCCCAGCTAGAGATTAACGTCTGACCATCAACATAGGACACTGTGCAGATGGCTACTTGCTGGCGCACATGAAGACCAAAGCCAGGACACAAGCCCCAGCCCTGCTAAACACGGCAGAGACTCTGCCCCAGCCCACCTCCTGTGAGAATCTGCTTCACTCCACAGCTGACCCCAGCATCTTCATGTGAGGACCATGAATGGACATAGTTTCCAGGATTTTTTGTGACCCAGGAAACCCGAACTCTCATCAAAAATGAATAAATAAAAGGAGGGATGGGTAAGAAAATGCTAAAAATCTCCTTTTTGAATCATTAACATTCACTTGAAATTTGTCTCCACTATTTCCTACTACCCTAGCAAACTCCAACCTGAATAGCATGGGTGATGGCACTAAGCCCTATAATAGAAAAAGTGCCCTTAAGCTCTGTATTAGTCCGTTCTCTCACTGCTAATAAAGATACACCTGAGGCTGGCTAATTTATAAAGGAAAGAAGTTTAATTGACTCACAGTTCAGCATGGCTGGGGAGGCCTCAGGAAACTTACAATCATGGTGGAAGGGGAAGGGGAAGCAAGGCAACTTCACAGGGCGGCAGGAAGAAGTGCTGAGCAAAGGGGGAAAAGCACCTTATAAAACCATTAGATCTCATGAGAACTCACTCACTATCATGACGACAGCATGGAGATAGCCACCTCCATGATTCAATTACCTCCCACCGGGTCTTTCCCATGACACATGGGGATTATGGAAACTACAATTCAAGATGAGATTTGGGTGGGGACACTGTCGAACTATATCAAGCTCCATTCTGATTTGTGGTGAGTGTTGAGCCTGCTTAATAATATCCCATTTTTCTACAGCTTTTCTCATTCCCCAAATGGCTCTCAGCAATGTTTGCTCATTGAATATTAGCAAGTTCCCCAGACAGGAATTGGATTTAATATTATTATTCCCCATTCACAGTTGATGGGAGGGAGGTTCAGAGAGATTAAAGGCTCTAGTCAAACTTGGTAGACTGATGTGATAATAGAGGCATTTTTCTCTTCCCATTAAACAGTGCTGTCATTCTCAGTTTACAGATTAAGGCAAATCAGGGCAAAGCAATTTGTTCGAGAGTACTGAGTCAGAGTTCCGTCTTTGCTCCAGTGATTTAAGATGCCACCTCTATTATTCACTACATTTTCATATGCATTTGATTCTATTTCTGGACTTTCTATTCTATTTTATTGGTCTGTCTATGCACTATACCTCATTGTTTTTATTATAGAAGCTCGATTAGATGTCTTAATGTCTGGTAGAACCCTCTACCACCACTATCGTTATTATTTTTTCTTTTAGTATTCTCTGGCTATTCTTGCACATTTATTTTTCCACATAAACTTCAGTATTAACTTGCCAAGCTCTAAAACAAAAATCTGGCCAGGAACAGTGGCTCACGCCTGTAATCCCAGCACTTTGGGAGGCCAAGGCGGGCGAATCACTTGAGGTCAGGAGTTCGAGACCAGCCTGACATGGAGAAACCCTGTCTCTACTAAAAATACAAAATTAGCCAGGCACAGTGGCGCATGCCTGTAATCCCGGCTACTTGGGAGGCTGAGGCAGGAGAATCACTTGAAGCTGGGAGGTGGAGGTTGCAGTGAGCTGAGATCGTGCCATTGCACTCCAGCCTGGGCAACAAGAGTGAAACTCCATCTCAAAAACAAACAAACAAAGAAAAACCTTCTGTATTTTTATTGGGATTGAGATAACTTCATAATTTTATTTATAGAGAATTGTGAGAACCCTGAATATTTGAGACATGTCTCAGTTAATTTAGAAAGTTTATTTTGCCTAGTTTGAGGATGCACGTCTGTGACACAGTCTCAGGAAGTCCTGATGATATGTGCCCAAGGTGGTTGGAGCACAGCTTGGTTTTATACATCTTAGGGAGTCATGAGACATCAATCCATGTATGTAAGATATACATTGGTTCCACCCAGAAAGGTAGGACAACTCGAGTAGGAAGGGGGCTTCCAGGTTACAGGTAGGGGAGAGACAAATGGTTGCATTCTTTTGAGTTTCTGATTAGCCTTTCCAAACGAGGCAATCAGATATGACCTTATCTCAGTGAGCAGAGGGACAACTTTGAATAGAATGGGAGGCAGGTTTGCCCTGAACAGTTCCCAGCTTGATTTTTCCCTTTAGCTTAGGTATTTGAGGGCCCCAAAATTTATCTTCCTTTTGCATTTCCCCCCTTTTCTTTTTTAAAATCTTTTGGACAATATATGCTTTCACTTATTAGTGGGAGCTGAACAATGAGAACACATGCGCACAGGGAGGGGAACAACACACACTGGGGCCTGTCGGGGGAGAGTGGTGGTGGGGACAGTATTAGAGAAAATAGCTAATTCATACTGGGCTTAATACCTAGGTGATGGATTGATAGGTGCAGCAAACCACCATGGCACATGTTTACCTATGTGTCAAACCTGCACATCTTGCACGTGTACCCTGGAACATAAAAAAATACAATTAAAAATAAATAAATAAATATACTCTTTTGGAGAAAGCATTTTAGAAGAAAATGAGTCTCTGGTCTGAGGTTTCATCTGATCTCTCACAGCTAGGATGGTTTCTTCCTAGACTGGTAGGTCATGAGTTATTAGGAAAGCTCATTTTTAGTAGGTTGAGAAGTTTCATGTTCTGTGAAGAAAAAATAGGGGGAGGCTAGATGGCTGGCTGCAGTGGCTTACACCTGTAAGCCCAGCACTTTGGGAGGCTGAGGTACGTGGATCACCTGAGGTCAGGAGTTCAAGACCAGCCTGGCCAATATGGTGAAACCTCGTCTCTACTAGAAATACAAAAATTAGCCAGGAGCAGTGCATGGCATCTGTAATCCCAGCTACTTGGGAGGCTGAGGCAGGAGAATTGCTTGAACCCAGGAGGTGGAGGTTGCAGTGAGCCAAGATCATGCCACCACATTCCAGCCTGGGCAGCAAGAGTGAAAACTCCATCTCAAAAAAAGAAAGAAAGAAAGAAAAGGCAAAGAAAAAAATAGGGGGAAGAAGGGAGAAAAAGAACAGCAAACAAAAGAACAATCCTGGAAAATTAATACAGGCCACATTACTCTGAAGTCCACACATCAGTAGGTAGTTTGAAAATGGCTTACATATGTAAATAGGTTACTGTTATTTTCTTCTGAAGTTTAAGTTGTCTAGATTCAGTTCACAGGGCTTTAAGAAAGCACAACTTAGTTTTCAGTGATTTCAAATTAGGAAAAATGGAAGAAAAAAAGGAAGAAAGAAAAATTGAAAACAGTATTTTGGAAACATTTTAGCCAGGAAATATTAAAATTCAGTCCAAATTGTAGAAAATAGTAAAAACTGAAAAACATTAGGCAAGACTGGACTCTAACAACTGGTGTACTATATAGCTTTTTGAAACATAATTTTTCTCTCTCCAGTTTCCCATTTTTACTAAAGACAAATCATGGTAGGACCAATTTGCTTTATTATACTTGGCCAGATTATTTTTATAAAGTGCAGCAAGAGTAATTATTTTTCACATAGGCTTTTAAAATTGGCTTTGATGGAACATTGTTCTACAGAAGGAATCTCAGATAAGACTTTTTTAAGCCGAGCCCAGCTGTGAATTTGTACAATCGAATACGTATAAGTTGGATGAATTCTTCTACTCTTGAGGTCCCAAGATAACTGGGGGCTCTGGACTTGTCAGGAAGTGACATTCTGTACATTCTGTGACATTTTGACCCTGTACAGAGACTGTGTAGACAAGGTATGAGGCCAGTTTTCCCAAGTGGCTTTTATTGGCTAAGTCAATTTCAATTCCTTAAAGGAAAGCATACCATTCCAGCCAAAGCTTTGGTAAAATAACCAGTTTCTCCAATTGTATCCTGCTACAACTCAAAACAGATTCTTATTGCACTTATGTAAAAAACTATATTGCCATAAGTTAAGAATACTCACAGTTTCCAAATTCCAGAGAAATCAGGTAGAGAGAAACAAATATGCTCTGAATTTTGTCCATAGGAGTATATTAAATTGTTAAAAGCTGTCAATAGCTCAAAAGAAAAGCTTCCTTGACTCCAAAAAATAAAGGATCAGCAACATTTTAAGCAAAAAGTCAAAAAGATTCCTTTAGTCTTCTATTAGTTCAGTCCATGAAGATAACTTTGTTATCTTCTGTTCTGCTTGATATTAATGAACATTTCAACTCTCCATGAGTCCTGAAAGTTTTTCCTTTATTCTGAAGTCACAATCTCCAAAGTTATCAGAATCTTGCATTCAAGAGTAACTGTTAGAGTTTTATAGCTGATTATAAAACCACCTTCTAAAGAGGACCAAAACAAGACAGTAATTGCCCATGGATGACAAAAAGTTTTAGGGCAGCCATAGTCACAGACACAATTGACAAGAAAATTTGTTACCTATGTAGTACACAATAATTTAATGTAACAATTATAATTATTACTGATAATGTACACTAAGTCATATCAGAATTATAGGAGTTTTCCATAATTTTGGAACACATACAAATAACATATGTATACAAATACAGCCCAAAGAAAACCAAATACTATTTCTTATTTGACAATGCTTCCTGTATAATTTTTATACGAAATAAGCCAAATGTGTCACTTTTGGACTTTAGGAATCTAATATCTTAAATGACTAATTAGGTCAGAAAAATACATAATTTATAATTTGATTTTGGAAAGGTTGTCAAATATAAAAGGTTTAAAACACTTGATATCACAAAAGAGGATCACAGTCACAAAGTGATAACTCAATGATTTCAAAAAAGGTGAAACCTTCATTCTTTGAGAGAGGAGACTTAATTTTCCTAAAAATAAGCCCTAATAAAAACAGCACAAAGCCAATTAAATTTGTTTTCCAAAATTTTATAAACAATCTATAAAATTTTAACCTTGACTATAAGATATAACTTCCATAAAACTTTTAACCTTTATTGAGGAGTCCATTAATGTTTCAAGAAAACTTTGTTAATCTGACACAGGGGCCCATATGCTGGTCTTGTATTGCTGTATCTTTGACATTAATGGTTAATTCACAGAAAAACTGAACTTATTTTATTTCTCAAAATTGGTTCTTTAAATCTCACATGACCACCTCTTCCATGATAGTCTCTGGGCCTTGAGGAGTTGAATAGCTTTAATTTCCGGCCCTGTGTCTCAGAAATGCAGTTTATTTTATTGGCATCTTCTACCAGGCCTGATAGTAAGGCTTTAATTGCTGTCAGTGTTTAAGATTTAACAGGACTTGGTGTTGTTTTTAGACCCAGAGTCAAAGCCCTGTAACTCAATGTCACAAGGACTTTAAAAGCACATACAGAAAGATACACAGATGTAACAACCTCAATTTAAAAAAAATTTTAATATCTTTTTTCTAAGCAAACCAAAACTTAATAATAATGACATTAGAATTATTTCAATAAAATGTAAAATCTGTTGGGCCAGTTAGCAAAAGGCAAAAGAAAAGACCTTCTGCAGTGCACAGAATATTATGTTGGAAGAAAACATTTCCTTTAGCCTTTAAGAAAACGTTATTAGCATCAGGCCACAATGAACAGAGCTTTAGGGGGGAAAAAATCTTATATGAGCTGAAAATGAGTTGAAGGAAAGTGTTATTATTTCATGCCTTTTAAAGAGGGGAGAGAAAACTGAAAAGAGTGAGATGCAATAAAAATTGAACTTTGGGTTAAAAAAATTAAAATCTATTATAATTTATTAAGAGTAAATCAGTCCCTTAAGAAGATTTCATTGCTCTAACCAATTCTTTAGTGTATAAGCGTTTTTTTATATTAAACCCAGTCTCCAGAAGGACCATTATAATTTCTCTTTAATAATAGACAACTTGATCACATAAAAGTCTGTTTTAGTAAATCCTCTTATTGTGACTTACGCAGACCATTCATGACATGTTTGGACTTTCTGGTTCGTCCTGAACATTTCTCTTTCTTAAAAAACCAGACATTTTATTCTAGGACTAAATTTACCATACAAGATTCTTTCTCATATAAAATTATTTCTCTTTAAGCTTTCTTACTCAAAAATGTCTCTTTATTTCTATAACTTGCTTTACATCTCTCTTATTTCCTGGTTCTTTTTACCTTGTTTTATATATAACCTTTAAATAAGCTTTAAATTAGACAAAATTGTTCACGTTTTTAAAAAGGACACTTTTTTAGAAAAAAGGTTTTCCTACAATATATTTTTATTGGAAAATACCCAAATAATGAAATATTTATTATTTAATTTACTATAACTTTAGATTCTAAATTATGAAGAGCTCATCTACAAGTATTTATTCTATTACATTTACCTAATTATTTTATTTTAATCACTTACCTAGATTAAGAAATCTGTGACAGTCATCATTTAAAGTTATGAAACTCACCATTGCAAAGTTATAACTGAGACCATGAGAAAGATATGACCTAAATGTCTCCATCTTGCTTCTAACTTCCAAGCTGTCCTTGCTCATTCCTGGGCATAAGCCCAACTAACTTTGGGAGGAATTTAGTTTGTAGTTTAGCTTTGAAACAAAAATAACACTCCCTTCCCAAAACAAACCTCCTTACTGCCTGTGGACTAGGCTGCCTAAAGCCATAAGACTAGAAGTTACAGTAATTTTACTAAATAATTCAAGATGTAGCTATTTTTATTAAACCAATCAATGTCTTACTCGCTAAATTTTATGCAAGTAAAGATCATTCTCTTTTGGACTTGGTTTATAGTTTTGTAACCCCCGTGCCTATTGCGGGATCTGGCTAGCAACAAAGGGGCTCTTTCTTTGTTCCCAGGTGGATCGGGAGGTCAAGAAATAAAAGACACACACAAGTTAGTGAAAGCTGAGTCCAGGGGGTCACCACTGAGATGCCGCCAATGCACTGGATATACCAGCATTTATTATTAAGTTTAGTGAGGGTGGGGGTAGGTTAGTGAGGGATTTAAGGTCATTTGATTATGAGGTGAGGTGGTCACATAGGGATGAAGTAATTCTTTAACATAACATCAGTATGCAGAAGCACAGTATGCAGAGCTAAGAATTTACAATATAGTGTGTGCATCAGCAATTTCTAACAGAGCCTTAAAACGGAAACACAGTCTATCCATAACCTATGTTTAGTAAGATACTAATCAGTAGTAATAATTGCAGCAAAAGCTGGTTGCAAACAATCAATAGAAGTAGGATGTGAAACTAGACAACTGGTTAGACCACAGATTCTCAGAAGGGAGTATGTCTCAACCCTAAAGAGACCTAGAAGAGCCATGGAAAGATGGGGTGTTTATAGCCCTATCTTATCCATATGAACAGGCACCCCTCATGCATCCGTTTATAGGCTCTCCACAAGGGTCACATTCCATTCCCAGAGATATGAACATCTGCTTTTCTGGGATAGGAATCTTGGTGATGTGAAACCTCCCTGACTGCATGTCCATTTATAGGCTCTCTGCAGGGGGAAGCACATCACATGCTGTTGGCTTATTTTGGCAGCCCAACCTGGCATTGTCTTTATACAATCCTCCATGCAATTTTGTATTTACAATAATCAGGAGCATTTCATCTTTTATTCCATAGCGATAGTTTCATGGGGTCTCCCTACATCTCCCCCTTTTCTCTGATTTAAATGAACCATAGCAATCATAGCTTGGCACTGATCACAATTGGATTGAAGAATATTTTTTCCAATTTTACACATGAACAATAAACCAATAGCACAAATTATACACAGAACAAAATTAATGATAGTGGATCCTCCCAAAGAGTTTACCCATTGAATGGGGTTGAGATTAAATAACCCCTCAAAGATACTGTCTAAAACTTCAGCACTGGGTAAAGCAGTTAAGTGTGCTTGAGATGACTCAAAAATCTGTTCTTTTAGCTTGCTTACGTCTAAACTTAAATTATCTTCACTTCCTTGTAAATGGCGTTTTACTGATTCCCAATTGTGAACAGACTCATTATATTGGAACGGAGTTATACAAAAATCAGAAGTATTCCAATCACATTGCATTTGTAATCTATGTTCTAAACTCATAATTCTATCTCCCATCCATATAACAGTTTGTCTTAGATCGTTAATTTGATTAGCCAATTTTTGATCAATACCTGAGAATTCCACATCCAAGTAGAATTATTTTGCCATTGATTCACAAAATGAACAGTTTGAATAGATTGATGTAATGCAACTCCAGCAGTAGCAGCATTTGCAGTAACAGCAATCAAGCCCACTATTACTGCAATTAATGTAAAAATAAATTGTTTACTCCTTTTAAGAATTTTTTGTAGAATATTGTTAATAACATGGATAGAAGGGGAAGATTCCCAAGGCCTATGTAAAGCTATGGGGAGCCAAATATCTTCTCTGGCTCTGACTATTAAAATACTATGATAATTGATTAAAGGATGAGTCAATACAAGTATACAACTAACAACACAGGTAATTATGTTGGTTTTTGGACTAATATGCATCTTTCCTACTAATAACATATGTGGTGGTTTAACACAACTTTTAAGTGGTATAGTTTTGTTAGACTCCATGTAGATAGTATATATATTTTGGGATGGTACTCTTTTTTGTGAATGTGGAGTGGGGGGAATAGGTTGTATGGCAGGTGGTGGGGGGACATTAGCAACAGGGGGGTATAAGTCCTCATAATCTTTACTGTCCCATCTTTGAATTGACCTTCTGATGATTGCCATAGTGATATTTTTGGCTATGTGGGAATAGTAATGTGAATCAATCTGTTGTCTTAGTTTTTGAGGTGACAAGGTGGATTTACTTATAACACTTTCCCCAGCCCAAACTCTCATACCAGTCATAGCTATGGTTAATCTCCATAATTCTGAATGTTCAGATCCTAAGTGGGGAACGATGAGCCTTGGCTTTGGAGAGGCAACCCCTGCCCCTTTCCACTTAAAAGGAAAAAAGGAGTTAAATCTATGATATACTAGGGGAGAGTTGTCACTACTTTCTTGATAAGTAATATCATAGAGAAAATGTTGACAATCTCTGTGACCTTGAGAGCAATCATTAGTAATATGACTTTTAGAAGCCCAACCAACAATGGTGTAGAGAGAAAAATTAAATAACACAGTTCTTTCTGTACTAACACAATCCTTCCATATTAATTTGTCAGTATTTGAAGAGAAGTTCAGAGGACATGCAGGTCCTAAAGGCTTATTTTGGGATGTGTGAATATAGTCAGCGATTCCTATTTTGATCTGCCTTAGAGGTTTTAATGACAGTCCTGATACCAAGTGTCCCAAAGGAGGGACAGAGTGACCAGATGGTAGTGTGTCCACCCATGTTTGAATATCTAATGAGAGACATCCATTAGTGAGTCCTAGGCACAAAGGTGGATACCTAAAACCTAAAGTAATATTGAAAGGGGTTCCTTCTTCTGAAGATAGGGCAGGACAACGATCATCTACAGAACCAGGCATCCAAATACTATCATTAACATAGACCTCGATAGGAGCATCCATCCATGTCATGGCTTGAATAAGAGGAGGAAAAGCAGGCCAGGCGTGTGGCTCACCCCTGCAATCCCAGCACTTTGGGAGGCTGAGGTGGGCAGATCACGAGGTCAGGAGATCGAGACCATCCTGGCTAACAAGGTGAAACCCCATCTCTACTAAAAATACAAAAATTAGCCGGGCGTGGTGCTGGGCACCTGTAGTCCCAGCTAATTGGGAGGCTGAGGCAGGAGAATGGCATGAACCCGGGAGGCGGAGCTTGCAGTGAACCGAGATTGAGCCACTGCACTCCAGCCTGGGCAACAGAGCAAGACTCCGTCTCAAAAACAAAAAAAAAAAAAAAAAAAGAGGAGGAAAAGGAATATAGGCTCAATATGTATAGTTTTTAACAGTTTGTGGAGTCACAGAGGGTGGAAGGATCAGTGTCATTAGGAGGAGGCAGAGGTTGAGCCAGACCTGGATCACTGGAGATGAGTTGTTCAGGATGGCTGACTGGATTGTCTGTTGTAAAGGAGTTAGTGGGGTTATTTTTTTTTCTTTGATGACTGGATGTGTTAGTTGTTTCCTGCTGTGGTGTTTTCTCAGTAAATTTCTCTGTCTCGTTGTCGCATGCATCTTCAGGACACAATTTCAGGTGTCTAGTAGGAATCCAAACAGGAGACTGATGTTCACCTGGGGAAACACAAGCATAGCCTCTTCCCCACGTTAAAATAGAAACTTTCAACCATATATTAGATTGAACATCTTTCCACCATACTTCCTGTCCTTGGTTTACCATAGGGTGGTTACCAGAGGAATGTGTTTTGGCAGCAATAACAGAACTAGATTTAGGAATATTAAGAAAATTTAACGTGAGCAATGCCAAGTTTAGTTGTATGTGAGGCGTAGACAACTCCTTATCCCCCTCTTTTTGTTTACGTATTGTAATTTTAAAGTTCTGTTACTTCCTTCTATAATAGCTTGACCTTGTGGGTTATAAAGAATACCAGTAATATGTTTAATATGCCACTGATCAAGAAAATTTTTAAAAGCTTTACTGCTATATGCTGGACCATTGTCTGTTTTGAGCTCACTAGGAATTCCCATAACCACAAAACATGAAAACATATGTTTTTTAATGTGAGAAGTGGCTTCTCTTGTTTGACAGGTAGCCCAGATGAAATTGGAAAAGGTGTCAACGGTGACATGCACATAAGCTAATTTTCCAAAAGAAGGAAAATGAGTAACGTCCATTTGCCAAACAATATTAGGAGAAAGGCCTCATGGATTAACTCAGGAAGATTGTGTGGGTAAGACAAGAACCTGACATTGAGAACAGTGTTGTACAACGTGTTTAGCCTGTTTCCAACTGAGACAATATTTATGTTTAAGACTTGAGGCATTAGTGTGAGTGAGTTGATGAAATTGTTCTGCATCTGCAATGGCTAGAGAAACTAGAGTATCAACTTTATGATTACCACTAGATAAAGGTCCAGGCAAATTAGTATGAGAATGAATGTGAGTGATGACAAAAGGGTGGTTTCGGTTTCTGACAGTTTTTTATAATAAAGAGAACAAGGAAAACAGATTAGTGTCAGCAATATTTTTGATGGTAGCTGTTTCTATTGCCTTAGTGGCATGGACTACATAAGCTGAGTCAGAGACAATATTAAGAGGCTGATCAAAATCCTGTAATGCAGAGATAACAGCAAACAACTCGGCTTTTTGAGCAGAAGTGTATGGAGTAGAAATGACTTTATCTTTTGGTCCTACATACCCTGCCTTTCCATTACTGGATCCATCAGTAAAAATGGTAACGGCTCCCTCTAGTGGTGATGAACGAGTAAGTTTTAGTAGAATCCAGGAAGTATTTCATAGCAATTGAAAGAATTTTGACTTAGGCAAATGATTATCAATAGTGGCAATGAAGTCAGCCAGATTAGTCTGCCAGCACAAAGATGTAGAAAAGGCATTTTTAACTTCATTTTTTGACAAAGGGACCACAATAATGTTTGGATCAAAGCCGGAAATTTTAGTGATATGTTGACATCCTAACCGAATTAAAGTGGCCGTTTGATCAAGATATATTGAAAGAGTTTTACAGGCTGAATTAGGAAGAAATACCCATTCAACTAGAGAATCATTTTGTACTATAAGTCCCCTAGGAGAGTGGATGGAAGGAAAAACTAAAAATTGTAAAGGCAAATTTGGGTCAATACGAGAGACTTGTGCCTCTCTCGCTCGTTGTTCTACAGAAGACAACTCTTGTTTTACTGGTTCAGATAGAGAGTGAGGACTGTTTAAATCTGTATCTCCTGATAAAGTGGCAAATAGATGAGATAATGCATAAGTAGGGATGCCTAGAGTTGGTCTGAGATAATTGATGTTACCCAGTAAATTTCAAAAAATCATTTAAGGTGTTTAAATTGTCAGTACGAAGTTGGACTTTTGGAGGCTTAATGGAGTGAGCTTCTAGCTGCATTCCTAAGTACAGAAAAGGAGTGGCTTTTTGAATTTTATCAGGAGTGATGTAGAGTCCTGCATTGGCAACAGCTAATTTTAAAGAGGGAAAACGTTGAATTAATTCATCTTTAGTGGGAGCAGCAATCAGTATATCATCCATATAATGAAGAATGTAATTATTTTTTAAAGTCTGTCAGATAGGTTGTAACACAGTACCAACAAACAACTGACAAATAGTAGGACTGTTAATCATTCCTTGAGGTAAAACTTTCCGTTGATATCTAGCTGTGGGAGCTGAATTGTTAATGGAAGGTATAGTGAAAGCAAATTTTTCACAGTCTGACTTGTCTAAAGGAATATGAAAAAAGCAATTTTAAAGTCAATGATAATTAAAGGCCATTCCTTAGGAATCATGGAGGGGGAAGGCATGCCGGATTGTAATGCCCCCATAGGTTAATAACTGCATTAACAGCTCTTAAGTCTGTTACCATCCTCCATTTTCCTGACCTTTTTTGTACAACAAACATGGGCGAGTTCCATGGAGACAAGGAGGGCTCAATAGTGTTTGCTTGTAGTAAATCATTAACAATTTCAGTTAAAGCCTCCAACTTGTGTTTGGAAAGTGGCCACTGCTCTACCCAAACAGGTGACTCACACATCCATTGTGCAGGGGCAGAGGAAGAGAAGGAGAGTGAGGGCACTGGGATGTGGACTGGGGGGAAGCAGGATTCCAAACCTCTGAAAGAAGGGGTCCCGGAGCATCAAAAGAAACAGTAGGCTTAGAAGAGGGGAGAAGTCCAAAAGGACGAGAGGAACAAGAAACAAGCCATTCAGGTGAATGCCACACATCCTCCTCTGGCAGAGGGGGCAACAGCTTAGTAGAAGAGTTAATATATACAGGTTCCAAGATAGGAGGCAGAGGGAGGGGATCATCACCAGGTTCCTCCTTTTGGGGAGAAAACAAGGAGAGATCAAATTCCTCCTCATCATCAGAAGGAGGACTAGTAGGGGGGGTCAGGTACCCAAGGTAAAGGGAGTGGCTCACCATCTGCATTAATTTGTGGCAGTTGAAGAGGATCACCAGACTGAAAAGGAAGTAAAGCAACAAGAATAAGAGCCCGGTCAGTCCAAACAGAAATAGGAAGTAAAACACCATCTCTCATGAGTTGGCAGAGCATGGCGCCAACTCTATCCCAGTCTAACAGGTCCATAGAACCTTTGTCAGGGAACCAAGGACAAGGTTTTTCAATAGTCTGAAATAAGAGAATAAGGTTACTGGAATCAGCCTTGATTCCACCCTGTTTAAGAAGAAGTTTAATAAAAGACAGATAAGCCTGGTGTTTAGACTGTGATTGTCCCATCCTAACCCTGGAATAATACTGGTCGACAGACCCAAAAACAGGGGAGAGTTGGAAAATGCGTACCCGGAGACCTTACCATCGAGACTGAAGACTAGTCATCACAAACCAGCACTCGGAGCGCACTGAGCTGAGGAACAAAGAAGGCCAAGTTGGGCCAGATATTGCAGGATCTGGCCAACAGCCCACAATGCAATGGGGCTCTTTCTTTGTTCCCAGGCAGATTGGCAGGTTAAGAAATAAAAGACACACACAAGATAGTGAAAGCTGGGTCCAGGGGGTTTACCGCCTTCTGGTCATGCAATGCCGCCAATGCACTGGATATACCAGCATTTATTATTAAGTTTAGTGAGGGTGGGGGTAGGTTAGTGAGGGATTTAGGGTCGTTTGATTATGAGGTGAGATGGTCACATTGGGATGAAGTAATTCTTTAACATAACATCAGTATGCAGAAGTACATATACAGAGATATGTACTTATACAGAGATAAGAATTTACAATATAGTGTGTGCATCAGCAATTTCTAACAGAGCCTTAAAACAGAAACACAGTCTATCCATAACCTATGTTTAGTAAGATACTAATCAGTAGTAGTAATTGCAGCAAAAGCTGGTTGCAAGCAATCAATAGAAGCAGAATGTGAAACTAGACAACCAGTTAGACCACAAATTCTCAGAAGGGAGTGTCTTAACCCTAAAGAGACCTAGAAGAGCCATGGCAACTTAAGGGCATTTATAGCCCTATCTTATCCATATGAACAGGCACCCCTCATGCGTCTATTTATAGGCTCTCCACAAGGGTCGCATTCCATTCCCAGAGATATGAACATCTGCTTTTCTGGGATAGGAATCTTGGTGATGTGAAACCTCCCTGACTGCATGTCCGTTTATAGGCTCTCTGTAGGGGGAAGCATATCATGTGCTGTTGGCTCATTCTGGCAGCCCAACCTGGCATTGTCTTTACACAATCCTCCATGCAATTTTGTATTTACAATAATCAGGAGCATTTCATCTTTTATTCCATAGCAATAGTTTCAGGGGGTCTCCCTACATATGCCAAATTTCAACACCTTATAATATTAGGAAGGGATAAGTATGAAATTAAAGATGGATGCCAAATCAAACATAAAATTACAGAAAACAATCTTAGTATTGTATGAAGAGACCAATTTTATTTAGATAGGAGCTACTTATCTTTTACTGGACCTCTGAGTTCTGGGCAGAGCTCACACTGAATCCTGGGTCTCCAAAGGGAGAACTATTATGAGGCTTTTGTGATGCTTTTACAGGGCACTTAAACCAAAAAATTGGGCAAGGGGATCCACCAAGATGGCCAAATAGGAACAGCTCTGGTCTGCAGCTCCCAGTGAGACCAACGCAGAAGGTGGGTGATTTCTGCATTTCCAACTGAGGTACCCTGTTCATCTCATTGGGACTGGTTAGGCAGTGGGTGCAGTCCATAGATGACGAGCAGAAGCAGGGTGGGGCATTGCCTCACCCCAGAAATGCAAGGAGTGGGGGGACCTCCCTTTCCCAGAGAAAGGAAGCCATGAGGGACTGTGCTATCTGGCCCAGAGACTATGCTTTTCCCATGATTTTTGCAATCTGCAAACCTGGAGATCCCCTCGTGTTCCTACACCACCAGGACCCTGGGTTCAAGCACAAAACTGGGCAGCTGTTCAGGCAGACACCGAGCTAGCTGCAGGAGTTTGTTTTTTTTTTTTGTACCCCAGTGGTGCCTGGAACCCCAGTGAGACAGAATCTTTCACTCCCCTGGAAATGGGGCTGAAGCCAGGGATTCAAGTGGTCTCGCTCAGCAGGTCCCATTCCCACAGAGCCCAGCAAGCTAAGAACCCCTGGCTTGAAATTCTCACTGCCAGCACAGCAGTCTGACGTCGACCTGGGATGATTGAGTTTGGTGGGGAAAGGGGCGTCCACCATTACTGAGGCTTGAGTAGGCAGTTTTCCCCTGACAGTGCTAAGGACTGGGCAGAACTCAACACAGCATGGCAAAGCGACTGTGGCCAAACTGCCTCTCTAGATTCCTCCTCACTGGGCAGAGGATCCCTGAAAGAAAAGCAGCAGCCCCAGTCAGGGTCTTATAGATAAAAATCCCATCTCCCTGGGACAGGTAGCACCTGGGAGAAGGAGGGATTGTGGGCATAGCTACAGTGGACTTAAACGTTCCTGCCTTCTGGCTCTGAAGAGAGCAGTGGATCCTGACAAGGAGGGTTCTCACAGCACTTGAGCTTTGCTAAAGGACAGACTGACTCCTCAAGTGGGTCCCTGACCCCCATGCCTCCTGACTGGAAGAGAGCTCCCAACAGGGATTGACAGACACTTCACACAGGAGAGCTCTGGCTGGCATCAGGCCAGTGCTCCTCTGGGAAGAAACTTCCAGAGGAAGGAGCAGGCATCTATCTTTGCTGTTCTGCAGCCTCTGCTGATGATATCCAGGCAAATAGGGTCTGGAGTGGACCTCCAGCATACTGCAGCAGACCTGAAGAAGAGGGGCCTGACTTTTAGAAGAAAAACTTGAAAGCAATAACATCAACATCAACAAAAAGGGCCGACACACAGAAACTCCATCCAAAGGTCATCAGCCACAATGATCAAAGGTAGATAAATCCACAAGGATGAAGAAAAACCAGTGCAAAAATGCTGAAAATTCCAAAAACCAGAATGCCTCTTCTCCTTGAAGTGATTACAACTCCTCTCTAGCAAGGGCACAAACTGGCCAGAGAATGAGTTTGATGAATTGGTACAAGTAGCCTTCAGAAGGCGGGTAATAACAAACTCCTCTGAGCTAAAGGAGTATGTTCTGACCCAATGCATGGAAGCTACGAACCTTGACAAAAGGTTACAGGAAGTGCTAACTAGAATAACCAGTTTAGAGAAGAACATAAATGACCTAATGGAGCTGAAAAACAGAGCACAAGAACTTCGCAAAGCATACACAAGTATCAATAGCCAAATCAATCAAGCAGAAGAAAGGATATCAGAGATTGAAGATCAACTTATTGAAATAAGACATGAAGACAAGATTAGAGAAAAAGAATGAAAAGGAATGAACAAAGCCTCCAAGAAATATAGGACTATGTGAAAATACCAAACCTATGATTGATTGGGGTCCCCGAAGGTGACAGGGAGAATGGAACCAAGTTGGAAACACACTTCAGGATATAATCCAGGAGAACTTCCTCAATATAGCAAGACAGGCCAACACTCAAATTCAGGAAATACAGAGAATACCACAAAGATACTCCTCGAGAAGAGCAACCCTAAGGAACAATATCGTCAGAGTCTCCAAGGTTGAAATGAAGGAAAAAATGTTAAGGGCAGCCAGAGAGAAAGGTCAGGTTGCCTACAAAGGGAAGCCCATCAGACTAACAGTGGATCTCTCTGCAGAAACCCTACAAGCCAGAAGAGAGTGAGGGCCAATATTCAACATCCTTAAAGAAAAGAATTTTCAACCCAGAATTTCATATCCAGCTAAACTGAGTTTCATAAGTGAAGGAGAAATAAAATCCTTTAGAGACAAGCAAATGCCAAGGGATTTTGTCACCACCAGGCCTGCCTTACAAGAACTCCTGAAGGAAGTACTAAATATGGAAAGGAAAAACCAATACCAGCCACTGCAAAAACACACCAAAACATAAAGACCAATGACACTATGAAGAAACTGCATCAACTAATGTGCAAAATAACCAGCTGGAATCATGATGACAAGATCAAATTTACACATAACAATATTAATCTTGAATGTAAATGGACTAACTTCCCCAATTAAAAGACACAGACTGGGAAATTGGATAAACAGTTAAGACCCATTGGTGTGCTGTATTCAGGAGACCAATCTCTTGTGCAAAGACACATATAGGCTCAAAATAAAGGGATAGAGGAGTATTTACCAAGCAAAGGGAAAGCAAAAAAAAGCAGGGGTTGCAATCCTAGTCTCTGGTAAACAGACTTTAAACCAACAAAGATCAAAAAAGACAAAGAAGGGCATTACATAATTGTAAAGGGATCAATCCAATAAGAAGAGCTAACTATCCTAAATATACACGAACCCAATACAGGAGCAACCAGAGTGATAAAACAAGTTCTTAGAGACCTACAAAGAGAAGTAGACTGCCACACAATAATAGTGGGAGACTTTAACACCTCACTGTCAATATTAGACAGATCTAGGAGACAGAAAATTAACAAGGATGTTCAGAACTTGATCTCAGCTCTGGACCAAGCAGACCTAATAGATGTCGACAGATATCTACCCCAAATCGACAGAATATACATTCTTCTCAGCATCACATCACACTTATTCTAAAATTGACCACATAATTGGAAGTAAAACACTCCTCAGCAAGTGCAAAAGAACGGAAATCATTAACAACCTCTCAGACCACAGTGCAATCAAATTAGAACTCAGAGGCTAAAGCAGTGTTTAGAGGGAAATTTATAGCACTAAATGCCCACATCAGAAAGTGGGAAAGATCTAAAATTGACACCCTAACATCACAATTAAAAGAACTACAGAAGCAAGAGCAAAAAATTCAAAAGCCAGCAGAAGACAAGAAATAACTAAGATCAGAGCAGAGCTGAAGGAGATAGAGACAAAAAAAACCTTCAAAAAATCAACAAATCCAGGAGCTGGTTCTTTGAAAAGATTAACAAAGTAGATAGACCACTAGGCAGAATAGTAAAGAAGAAAAAAGAGAAGAATCAAATAGACACCATAAAAAATGATGAAGGGAATATCACCACTGATCCCACAGAAATACAAACTACCATCAGAGAATACTATAAACACCTCTACACACACACACACACACACACACACACACACAAAAAAAAAAAAAAACAACTAGAAAATCTAGAAGAAATGGATAAATTCCTGGACACATATACTCTCCCAAGACTAAACCAGGAAGAAGTCTAACCCCTGAGTAGACCAACACCAAATTGAGGTAGTAATTAATAGCCCGCCAACCAAAAAAAGCCTAGGCCCAGACGGATTCACAGCCGAATTCCACCAGAGATACAAATAAGAGCTGGTAGCTTTCCTTCTGAAACTATTCCAAACAATAGAAAAAGAGGGAATCCTCCCTAACTCATTTTATGAGGCCAGCATCAAAACCTGGCAGAGACACAACAAAAAAAGAAAATTTCAGGCCAATATCCCTGATGAACACGATGCAAAAATCCTCAATAAAATACTGGCAAACCGAATCCAGCAGAACATCAAAAAGCTTATCCACCATGATCAAGTCGACTTCATCCCTGGGATGCAAGGCTGGCTCAACATATGAAAATCAATAAACATTATCCATCACATAAACAGAACCAATGACAAAAAACACATGATTATCTTAATAGATGCAGAAAAAGCCTTTGACAAAATTCAACACCCCTTCATGCTAAAAACTCTCAATAAATTAGGCACTGATGGAACGCATCTTAAAATAATAACAGCTATTTATGACAAACCCACAGCCTATATCATACTGAATGGGCAAAAGCTGGAAGCATTCCCTTTGAAAACCAGCACAAGACAAGGATGCCCTCTCTCACCACCCCTTTTCAACATAGTGTTGGAAGTTCTGGCCAGAGCAATCAGTCAACAGAAAGAAATAAAGCGTATCAAATAGGAAGAGAGGAAGTCAAATTGTCTCCGTTTGCAGATGACATGATTGTATATTTAGAAAACCCCATCTTCTCAGCCTAAAAACTTAAGCTGATGAACAACTTCAGCAAAGTCTCAGGATACAAAATCAATGAGCAAAAATCACAAGCATTCCTATACACCAATAACAGACAAACAGAGAGTCAAATCATGAGTGAACTCCCATTCACAATTGCTTCAAAGAGAATAAAATACCTAGGAATACAACTTACAAGGGATGTGAAGGACCTCTTCAAGGAGAACTACAAACCACTGCTCAAGAAAATAAGAGAGAATACAAACAAATGGAAAAAGAATTCCATGTTCATAGATAGGAAGACTCAATATAATGAAAATGGCCATACTGCCCAAAGTAATTTATAGATTCAATGCTATTCCCATCAAGCTACTATTGACTTTCTTCACAGAACTAGATAAAACTGCTTTAAACTTCATATGGAACCAAAAAAGAGCCTGTATAGCCAAGACAATCCTAAGCAAAAAGAACAAAGCTGGAGGCATCATGCTACCTGACTTCAAACTATACTACAAGGCTACAGTAGCCAAAACAGCAACTGGTACTGGTACCAAAACAGAGATGTAGACCAATGGAACAAAACGGAGGCCTCAGAAATAACACCACACATCTACAATTGAGGGACATTCTGGCTATTACTCCTCAAAACTGGCTAAATACCTGGCTATTACTCCTCAAAACTGCTGTCATGAAATCTCTCACAGACTAGAGGAAACTGAGGGAACATGAGGACAGAATGAGATGTGCTGTCCTGAGTGGGATCCTGGAACAGAAAAAGGACATTAGTTGAAAAACTAGTGATATTAAAATACAGTCTGGATTTTGACAATAATGTGGAAATGCTAGTCTCTTAGTTTTGACAAACGTATCATGGTAATGTGAGATTTTAACCTAGAGGAACCTGGGTGAGGTGTGTATGGGAACTCTGTATCACTTTATAACTTTATTTATTTATTATTCATTTATTAATTTTTTTTTGAGACAGAGTCTCACTCTGTTGCCCAGGCTGGAGTGGAGTGGCATGATCTCGGCTCACTGCAACTTCTGTCTCCCAGGTTCCAGCGATTCTCATGCCTCAGCTTCCCAAGTAGCTGGGATTACAGGCCTGGGCTACCACACCCGGTTAATTTATTGTATTTTTAGTAGAGATGGGGTTTCACCATGTTGGCCAGGCTCGAACTCCTGACCTCAGGTGATCTGCCCGCCTCGGCCTCCCAAAGTGCTGGGATACAGGCGTGAGCCACTGCGCCTGGCCACTTTACAACTTTAACATAAATCTAAAATTATTCTGAAATTTAATAAAATTACAATGCTACCCTGTTGCTTCACCTCCCAAATTCTAGCCCGTTTTAGAACTGTTTGTAGGCTGTAGAATCTCTCATATCTGCATTATATTATGTACTATATTTCTGCTATATTGAATTTCTCCGGAGAAGAGCAAAATACAGAATACCAAACCTCTCAAAGCTGTGTGCAAGTGCTGTTACATAGTATGACCACTAGATGGAGATCGTGTCCAGGTGGCTAAAACTTAGGCTTCCTTGACCAAGCAATGTCTTGGAGCAGAGTTCACAACCAAATCTCTTTTCTGAAATAATGCAATAGGCATGAATCTCAAGTCTCCAGATTCTAGGATGTAAGAAATACTAAAGGTCTTTGTTTTCTATAAATCCGCTTGTGTACTACTTCAGGAGCCAAAGAAAATGAAACTTCCGTCCTTCTTGGGGCAATTCTCTCTTCCATTTAACCCCAGGGAAATGAAAGGTGTCAATGTTCAGGGTTTTACCAATGAACTAGGAGCCCCTGCTGGCACTGGTTACCTGTTCTCAATGAGGACCACTGAGATGCTGAGACAGGAGATAGAAAGAAATTATTTAGGCAGATAGTGAGGGTAAAAAAGTCCTCAGCAAGGCTTCCCTTTTAACAAAAAGCAGCCCAAGAAAGCATTTTTTTCTAACAAAGAGCAGCCTGAAAATCTAGCTGCGAACATAGATAAGCAAGCTGGAAGCTTGCACGGGTGAATGCCGGCAGCTATGCCAATAGAAAAGGGCTACCTGGAAGCCAGGTATGTTCAACATGGAGGCTCCATCTTCCCTTTTCTTTGTCACCACGTGTACAGTAAAGAAATAGGCAACATGGCGCTGGCCAGGTAGAGAATTATTTGCATAATAAAAGATTAGCGTGGGGTCAGCAAGCTTTTTGGGCCCTATGCAAATGGCATACCTAGCCCTAACCAGTTTTTCGCACCTTATGCAAATGACACTAGTCCCACCAATCATTCGTACCCTATGTAAATCACACACTGTCTCCTCAAGCTCATCTATAAAACCCTCTGCATTTCACCACAGAACCGAAAAACCTGTTCAGGACCCCTATCTTCGCAACAGAGAGAGCTATTCTCTTTCTTTCGCCTACTAAACTTCCGCTAAGCTCACTCTTTATCCCCTTCCTAGTTTTCTGCCGCCGTGAGACAACAAATCTCAGGTATTTACCCCAGACAATGATGTTAATTCAATGTTCATTGTTCCTGCTCCCATGACCTCATCTGGCCTACGGCTGTCTTGCTTTAGTGTCAGGTTTGGAACCTGAGCACCTTGGCAAGGTTGGGGACCAAGGAACATAGGACAGGCCTCTCTGCTGTCCTTCTGGGTCCTTTCACATCCTCAGAGCACTCTTAGGACCCAAGGCACAGATGTCTTCTCCTCCCAGCACCCCAGGACTACTCTTTTGTTTATGCTGGCCTTGCGTCCCTCTCTTCCTCTTCAGGCTGCCCTCCAAGGCCCTCTCTTTCATTCACCTCTGTCCATCTAAAGGAAAAAATGGAGGCAGAATTGACATAAGTAGAGAGTTTATTTGGGCCAAGTTTGAGCACTGCAACCAAGGGGCAGAGACCCAAGTTGCCCTGAATCTATGCTCCCATTAACAGCAGTTACAAGTGGGTTTTTAAAGGAAGTGGGTTTTTAAAGCAGTTCCTAAGTTGCTTACCAAGAACTTACATTAAAATAACGTAAGCTATTGATGGGCTGTAGAATGTTCTTTGTGTCACAAATTTCAGAAACATAAAGACAATGGGTGAGGCAGCTCTTTGCTAGTTTTCTTTTCTGACATCAAACTCTATTCTCCTCAATGGATTTAAGCATCCATAAACAAATGTTAAGAGGAGATGGTTTGAAAGCAATACCTGCTTTCAACCTGCTATAAACCTTCCCTAAAGCAAAGAAGTACCAGCTGCTATTTTCCACAAAAGAAATAAAATGTAAACTCAAAATTCTTCAGTAAGTACCCTGTCACACCATGGAGGCACACCTCTGTGACCAGCTCATAATGGATGCCTCTATACCACCGTTTCCTATGCAAATAGGAAATAATAAAATAATAAAAATATTTAAAAATAATAAAAGCTGCTACTTGCTAGAAAATGCCTTCCTTTGTTACCTTCTCTCTGGATACCAACTCTGTGATAGACCTCAATAAGGATGAGGAGTGTCAACTCCCACAGAACAGATTGGTTGGGAAGTAACTGATCCCTGGATCGCTGCCTACGGTGGCCCTGCTTATGCAGACAGGTGGCAAAGTGAACCTTCCACAACCCTTGCTTCAGTTCATCTTAGTGAATAACCATTGAGCTTTTCCATAGGTAGAACAAACAAACGACCACTGTGATCACTGTCTAAGATTTACCCCCTGACCGTAAGGAGCTTATGCTTTCAGGGGAAGATGCATCCTTAATTGTGAGAAGGATCATGGTGTGGGTTCTCCAGTTCCACAATGACAGGTTATGTTATAGGAAGGGAAAGGTGATGCATCCCGTTGTCTTAAGAGTTTCTACCCTTCTCCAAAGGAAACAACAAAGCAGCAAGTGCCAAGTGCCCTTCCACCTGCTTCTAGATCAAGGCTGAGAACATTTAAGCAGGACTATCCCAGAAGGTAAACCAAACTGGTTTTGCCAGCTGCTGTGGATTGAATTGTACCCCCTACCCCTAAATTCAGACTTGGAAGCAGTAACGCTCGATGTGACTGTATTTTAAGATGGTATCTTTAAGAGGTAATTAAGGTTAAATCAGGTCATAAGGCAGGGCCCCGATCTGATAGGATTAGCGTCTTTACCAGAAAAGACGTCAAAGGCCAGAGAGTTCATGCATGTGGCTCCCCAGCCCCTCGGAAGAAAGGCTATCCGAGGATAAGGCAGGAAACAGCTCTCACTGGGATCAAGGCTGACACCTCGAGCCCGGACTTACCAGAACTGTGAGAAAGCACATTTCTGTTATTTATGCCACCCCGTCTGGGGTATTTGTGATGGCAGCCGAGCTGACTACCACACCACATTGCTTCATCACTCACCTGACACACACAAAGGGGTTGAGGCTGAGGAGGTCTAGGGGTACATTGATGTGGAGGATTAAGAGGGAAAGTCATGAGAGAATGAACCCTGACTTATGTCACAGGGGCTTAGAGGACACAGGAATCAGTGCCACACCTACCTTCGACATCTCTCTTCAGGGTCTGGTTGGAACAGGCAGAAGGGGGCAACGGCTGCGCTGGAGCAAGTGTGCGTGCTTGCTGGGGCCAGACGTGGCGCTGTGAAACAGAGCCCCTCTGAGAAGACTCTGTGGGGATCAAAATGCGACCCTGACGGGCCAGGCAACCAAAGCCCAGGGCCTGAGAGAGGAGTCAGAAGAAGCCCACCAGAAGAGAGGCGTGGTTGCTTCAGCTGACCTACAGCGGCAGGTCCCATGGGGGTCTGCAAGGGTCTCACACTAGCTGCCTGATACGGTTTGGTTTGTCTCCTCCAAATCTCATGTTGAAATGGGGTCCCCATTGCTGGAGGTGGGGCCTGATGGGAGGTGTTTGGGTCATAAGTGTGGATTCCTCATGGAATGACTTGGTGATCTCCTTGCAGTAATGAGTGGGTTCTTGCTCTGTTCCTTCAGGCAAGAGCTGGTTGTTTAAAGAGCCTGGCACCTCCTCCCCTCTCTCACTCCCTGTCTCATCAGTGGGACACACCTGCTCCCTCTTCACCTTCTGTGATGAGTAAAAGCATCCTAAGACCTCAGCAGAACCAGAGGCTGGCACTATGCTGCCTGTACTATCTGCAGAACTGTACAGGGAGGTCAATTATGTCCTGTCTCTCTTGGAAAATCTACATCTTATGTAAGGTAAACTAAACACATGACAAGAAGGAATGGGACAAGTCAATGAGGCATTCGTCTTAGGGTGGGCAAAGGGATGATTTCTGGTGTTGTCCTTGTCCTCTACCTGTGAAGATAGGCTGGCAAGTGACACTGTCAGGGAGAGAGTCAATAGAACTGTTTAGGGCAGTTAATCCAGGGCAAATCCGTATCCAGACAGGTCTGCAACAACCTCAATTTTTACCTCCACAGAAGAAAGAATTTGAGGGGCAGAAGGCAGAAGGAGAGAGACTGCATCAAGTGTTAGAGCAGGAGGTTTATTAAAAAGCTTTACAGCAGGAATGAAAGGAAGAAAAGCACACTTAGAAGAGGGCCAGGAGGGCATTTTGAGAGATCAAGTGCCCCGTTCGACCTTTTGACCTCGGGCTTTATGTATCGGCATATTTCTGGGATCCTGTGTTACTTCTCCCCTGATTCTTCCCTTAAGGTGGGCTGTCCATATGTGCTCACCTGAGCCCACTTGCCCAACTCCTGAGGTCTTATCAGGAAGCTGCTGATCACCAGTTTTAGGTGTTTTCTATCTACTGGAAGACTGCCCTTCCCTGGCACTGGCTGCAACCAATTATTACTTTACAGAGACAGTTAACAACCACCTGACCGTCACCACCATCAACATTCCTGGTGGTGAGGGCAGGGAGCCCTCTCCTATCCTGCTCGTGTCTGACTAGCTATCAACTGTAATACTTACAAGAAGAGCAAGAGATACCAGGCAGGCATGCACGTAGAGGAAAGACCATGTGAGGACATGGTGAGAAGGCAGCATTGGCAAACCATGGACAGAGAAACCAAACCTTCCGACTCCCTCATCTTGGACTTCCAGCCTCCAGAACTTGGTAAAAATCCATTTCTGTTGTTTAAGCCATCCAGGCTGTGGTATTTTGTTATGGCAGCCCAGACCAACTGATTCACTGCCCCTGCACACAACTCTGGTGGGATGAGCCACAGCAAAGCCAGAGAGTCAGGCATGCCCCACACCGTTGCTGGTTGCCCAGCTAGAGCAAGGCAGGGCAAGGGGAGGCTTCACACTGGTGAGTGTCTAGGATTTTGATAATTACACCAACTGTATCAGAGCTCCATCGTCATGGCCAGGCGCAGTGGGCTCATGCCTGTAATCCCAGCACTTTGGGAGGCCGAGGCAGGCAGATCACGAGCTCAGGAGATGGAGACCATCCTGGCTAATACAGTGAAAGCCCGTGTCTACTAAACATAAAAAAAAGCCAGGTATGGTGGCACGCACCTATAGTCCCAGCTACTTGGGAGGCTGAGGCAGGAGAATTGCTTGAACCTGGGAGGCAGAGGTTGCAGTGAGCTGAGATTGCGCCAGTGCACTCCAGCTTGGGCAACAGAGCGAGACTTTGTGTCAAAAAAAAAAAAAAAAAAAAAAGAGTTCCATCGTCATTAGACTAGACTGGACTTTTTGTGATCTAAAAGTAAGTGGAACTATTACGGGAAATGCTGGACATTCATCAGAGGGATTGGGAAGCGGGAGTCTGCAGAGTGGCTTTGTGGGGACAGACAAAGAACACAGGTGTTCTCTTCTTGTGCCCCAACCAATCCAGCCCATTTAAGGAAACAGCTAAACTAATATTTACTGAGCACTTCCTGATTGCCAGGCACTTTTCTAAGCCTTTGCTGTGGATTAATTCCTCAGTCCTCACAGTGAGGCTCCTCCTCATTTCTCACCAGAAGAAATTGACGTGCAGGAAGGTCAGGCGTGTTGCCCTGTCTCACGGTCCTGCTCCCCAGGGAGGGTGGGGAGGCTGGCTCTTTGCGAGTTAGGTTTGGCTGGGCCTGGAAGCACAGGAAGGACTCTGACAAGCAGGGATGGGAAGAAACACCTTCGAAGCTTCACAGGGTTAGGCACAGACACGAAGGTGGGAAGAGCAAGGTTTGTCCTAATAATGTCTGGTGAGGGGCATAGAAGTGAGGAACCTAGGGAGGTAGACTGCTGGAAAGAGGGGGGCCGAGTTGTGAAAGACTCCACCTCGCCAGCTAGGAGTCTCTGGACACCAGTTTTCACTCCTCCGCACACTGTGTGCCATGTGCATATTTGCTCTTTTTTTATCCTCACGGGGACCCAGTGGGCTTGAAACCGCCTTTGCAAAATTATGACAGAGACAGTGAAAGAGATCTAACATAACCGACTCCATCTTGCTTCTAACCTCCAAGCTGTCCTTGTTCCTTCCTGGGCGTAGGCTGAACTAACTATGGGAGAAACTTAGTTTATAGTTTAAAACAGACAATAACAGCCCTTTCCCAAAGCAGACCTCCTTCTTCCCTGAGGACTAGATTGCCTTTGTAATACTAACATTAGCCACAAAATTAGAAATTATGGTTTAGGAGTCATGCCGCTGGAGGCTACAAGATTCTGACCCTCCCTAAACTGCTCCTAAGATCAGTGCTTGAGATATTCTGCAGACCCTGCACTTGATGTATCAGCTGGCACCACCCAGATCAATAAACTGGTTCATCTGATCTAGTGGCCCCCACCCAGGAACTAACTCAGTGCAAGAAGAAAGCTTTGACTCGCTATGATTTCATCTCTGACCAATCAGCATTCCTGGCTCACCAGCTTCCCCCTACCCACCAAGTTGTCCTTAAAAACTCTGCTCCCTGAATGCTCATTTGGGGAGACTGATTTGAGTAATAACAAAACTCTGGTCTCCCACGCAGTTGTCTCTGCATGAATTACTCTTTCTCTATTGCAATTCCCTTGTCTTGAGAAATCGGCTCTGTCTAGGCAGTGGGCAAGGTGAGCCCACTGGGTTGTTACAGCCTTTTTCAGTCTGTGGTCAGGTCCCCTCATAATGACAATACTGGATCTTAGTGACATGCAGATAGGACCCGAGACTGCGGAAGCAAATAGAATCTCAGGACCCCAAACTCACTATGCCAAAGGGAAAGTTGAGTTTGGGAACTGAGTCACACAACACTTTTTCGTGTTCCCAAACAGATAGCTGTAACTTCACAGCCCATGTCATAGCCTCATCCAGAAGCCAGATTCCTACAACAATAGAAGGCCACATACCTCTCTAGGTGTGCTCCCTCACAAATTGCTCACAAGCACATTTTTTGTGAGCCCCTAAATCTTTTAGATACATATCCCTCCTATAAATGGGCCCTAAATCTGAGTTCTGTTGACTCTCACCCTGACAATATCAATTGCCAGCTTATTTTCACAGGTAGAGGACAACACCAGAAATCACCCTCCACCCACCCTGAGAAGAATGCATCATTGACTTGTCCCATTCCCTCTTTTTACATGTTTACCTTATGTAAGATGTAGATATACCAAGCGAGACCTTTTCCTTTACTCCCTCTTTTCAGGTAAAAAATGTAGATTTACTGAGCGCTAATCAGAGCCTCACAAGAACATGACCATCTGCTTTGCTGTCCACCCTTCCTCCCTTTCCCCTTCCTACTTGCTCTTTCCCCTGTAAATGCTGAAGTTCCCAAAACTTTATTTGGAAAAAGTGCAAGTCACCGAGGCTCCTGTGACTTGTTTCCCTAGTGTATCCTCAAATTTTGGCTAAAAATCCTCTATCAATGGAGACACTTGCCTCAGTCACTTTTTGGTTAATAAGACCGATATGGACAGGAGGCTGGGAAACACTGGGTAGAAGAGGGAGGTTCCCTGGCAAAAGCCCCACCCTCAAGCCTGAAAACCCATGGCCCTAAATGGGAACAGGCATTCCTGTTTTTGTGCCCTAATGTTGCCTTTTGGCCCATCACACCCCACTATCCTGTACCCATATAAACCCCAAACCTCAGGCTCCACGAGCAGAAGAGCACAGAGCAGCAGAGTGGCACAGCAGAGAAGGGGAGAAGATAAGGAGCATCTGAACATCAAGAGGAGTTTGACTGGGGACTGTCAGAGAGGAGATAGGCCATAGAATGATGGAACTCCAGGGGAAGATCATCTTCCCACTCCATCCCCTTCCCAGCTCCCCACCCATCCTGCTAAAAGCCACCTCCACCTCTCAATAAAATCCCCACATTCACCATTCTTCAAGTTCATGTGACCTGATTCTTCCTGGACACTGGATGAAGACCCAGGTACCAAGAGGGCAGGGTGCAAAAGGCTGTCACCTTGACTCTCCAATGAGCTAGTTTAATACTTAGCCATCTGTGGATGGCAACTGCTAAATGAGCATTAATTGTAACACACCGCTGGATGCTACCATGGGGTCAGAGCCCAAAAGTGCTTGCCCCAGCTCCTCCACCTGCCCATCTGTATGCTCCCCATCCCGTAAGGGGTTTGAGCATGCAGTGGCCAAGCAAATGAGCCATATCCCTGTCTCTAGTTCTGCAAGGGGGTTGGAGAACTCTCCTGTTTCAAGACCAGTAATGGGACAGCACAGACAGTTGTGTAAGAACAGCAGGACTGAGCCCCGTGGGAGTGAAGGGAAGGAGAGTGAGGGCCAGGTCTGGGAGGACTGGGACAGTGACAGCAATGGGCTTATGAGGTAAAGGAGGGTTAAGGAGAAAGGGGAAGGGGTAGATGGGTGGCCCCATGACTCAGTCCATTGGCTACAACACAACACTGCAGCCTGGGGACTTGCAAATAACAGAAATTTACTCCTCACAGTTCTGAAGATTAGAAGTCTAAGTTCAGGGTGTCAGCCAGTTTGGGCCCTGGTGAAGACCCTCTTCTGGGTTGCGAATGTCTTCTTCTGGTTGTGTCCCCACATTGTGGAAAGAGAGCTTGCTGAAGTTCCTTTTATTGGGTCACTAATCCCATCATGAGGGCCCCACCCATGAGACCTAATTATCTCCCAAAGGTCCCGCCTTCTTATACTGTCCCACTGGGGGTTAGGACTTCAACATGTGAATTTCAAGGAGATGCAAACATTCAGTCCATAGCACCCAGCCACAGTGACAACACATGACATACACAGGGGCAGAACACAAAGGGAATTCCAACTTGCTGCACCTTCCAATTAGAAACACACATTCTGTCCCTGCAGAAACTCTGCCGTCACAGCCCATTTGGGTTCTAACAGGACTCATACAGGCTTTCTGAAATCAACTTACACCATTTCTGCAAAGCCATGTTAGATCACCTGTTTCAAGCCCCACTTGATGACAGAAAGGCTGCTGGAAGAGTCCAGATCTCTACACCTCCACCTTGTCTTGCCTACTCACTGCCTGAAGTGGGGGGTCAGGGTGCAATTTTTGGTGGGAGAGGGTTAGAAACATGTTTTTGCGGTGTCTTTCAAAAATCACATGACCAGAAAACAAAAACACAAACTACTGTGATTCAACTCAGAAAGCACAAAAGGGCTTTCAGCTCAACAGCTGGTGGAGAGCGCTTGCCTCCCTTCTCTCTGCGGGGTCTCAGAAGCCAGACAATAGACCTGTGATTTTGTTGCAGCTGTAAACTCTTTCGTGGCTATACGATGAGTCAGTAGTTTTGTATTCATAATCATTGTCCTTTAAGATGCTACAGGTTAATTCAAAAAGACATTTAATGTTACATGAAGGCTGTTTGCTAACATTTTTCATGCCCCCAAACAAAAGGAAATTCACATTAGAGAACTGAATTCATTTGCCAACAAGAGGTCTCATCCAAAACTAAACTATATTTAATAACAACAACAAACATTAGGACAATTTGCAATTTAGAAAGAACTAAAACTTAGGTTCAAGTTCTGGGGTTTGCTAGTAATCCATCCTGAGAGGTCAAGGGAGTTCATCATGGCTCTTTGACTTAGTTTCCTCTTCTGCAAAATGAGGAGTTTGAAAGGGGTGGCTTTATAATTATTTGTTAGCAACACCCAATTTTTCCCCAGAACTTTAATATTAAAAAGCAGATGTAAATATAAAATATATGTTTATATATATAAACAACCTCAAATACATATTGGATTATAAAATAATGAAACAAGGCTGTTTGTGTATCTTATTTTAGTTGTCATGTATCACAAAATATCCTGATTGATCCAAAAGGGTGTTTGCAAAGCCTTCCTTCCTCTCTCTCTCTCTTTCTATTTTTTCAGTGATTGCCTTGCCAAATAAGGGCACTCATTAACTAGAGCAGAACAGGTTTGAATCTGAGGTCATCAAAACCAAAATGAATCCAAAAAAAACCTAGCTAATCAGGCAGCATATAGTAATGCATTTGGGTGTGTCAGTAAATTTGAATATGCATTTTAATAGCACTTTTTATCACAGGCTAAAATGTATTTTTAATGACATTGGAATAAAACATTTGAACAGCCATCCAAGCCCCTCTGTGGAGCCCTGGTGTTCACAGAGCACTCTTTGAAATCCACTGGGCTGCATGTTGTCTAAGGCAGGGGTCTCCAACCCCTGGGCCATGAACCAGTACTGGTCCCTTCCCTATTAAGAATCAGCAGCACAGCAGGAGGTGAACGGCGGGCAGCTGACATTACTCCCTGAGCTCTGCCTCCTGTCAGATCAGTGGAGGCATCAGATTCTGATAGAAGCACAAACTCTATTGTGAGCTGTGCACGTGAGGGATCTAGGCTGTGCACTCCTTATGAGAATCTAATGCCTGATGATTTGTCACTGTCTCCCATCATCCCCAGAGAGGACCATCTAGTTGCAGGAAAACAAGCTCAGCTCCCACTGATTCTAAATGTAATGTGCCTGAATCATCCTGAAACCATCACTCCTCCCCAACCTCTCCAACCTCCCCAACCGCAACCCCTTCCAAATTGTCTTCCACAAAACTGGTCCCTAGTGCCAAAAAGGCTGGGGGCTGCTGTTCTAAGGTGTCTTGTGGTCTGACTGTCTGTGATCACTGCCTTTTCCCTGCAACCTCACCTCCCACCCCCACCCCTTCATTCACTCTAGAAATATTTATTGAGTCCTCCTGTGAATCAGGCGCAGTTTAGGCCCTTGAGACACTTCAGTGAAGCTACCCAAATATGTACACAAGCCCTGCACAGGAACTTTTATTTTTTATTTATTTATTTTGTTTTGTTTTGTTTTTTGAGATGGAGTTTCACTCTTGTCACCCAGGCTAGAGTGCAGTGGGGCATTCCTGGCTCACTGCATTCAACCTCTCAGGTTGAAGTGATTCTCCTTCCTCAGCCTCCCACGTAGCTGGGATTACAGGCACCTGCCACCATACCTGGGTAATGTTTTTGTGTGTGTTTTTAGTAGAGATGGGGTTTCACCATGTTGGCCAGGCTGGTCTCAAATTCCTGACCTCAGGTGATCCACCTGCCTCGGCCTCCCAAAGTGCTGGGATTACAGGCATGAGCCACTGCACCTGGCCACCCTGCACAGGAACTTTACCCTTGCAGCTGTTTTCGTTTACAGCTTTGAAAACAATTCTAGTTGATACTGTATCAGATACAGCCCAATTCTTTCCTGAGTGACTGGGTTTCCCACTCAGTTACCAGTTCCTGGACATTAACAGAAGATGGCAGACAATTCATCAACTGGCTGACAGGCAGCTGCTCAAGACAAGAGGTCTGTTTGTACACTTTCCTCTCTCATATGTTAGCTAAACTGAAAGAACAACTAAGCAAGCAAGGTTGCCTAGCCAAGCAAGATCCTCACCAGATCCAAACACTTCTTTGAGTTTTGGGAAGGCTTATGGGTTAAATTAAGCCATTAACATTTGGTCCATCTTGTGTCTGTATTTTGTATTTCTTCAAGATGCTTTAAATAAGGTTGTAGATTTTTAGAAAATATGGTTCCTTTTTCAGAAAAACTCGGGATCCTTCCAAAATGCTCTCAAAGCCTGACCAACTGGTGGGTAGCCTTTGTAAACCTGGAGAATAATGGATTGTTGGAGAAGCCTGTTTTATTAAGTCTCTTTCCCTTTGGAAGCAAACCTCAGAAGCCCCATCCAACTAATGGTGGGATATTTAATTATTCCAGATTCTTCCAGAATGTCACTGGGGACTCAGATTATGTCATTTGGGTTCTGTGATGCGACTTTTAACGGGGTTGTCTCCCAAGAACAGGAGTAAATACTCAGAATAAAAAGCTCGAGAATCCGTGCCCAGTAGGTGGCGCTGCTCTTCCTTCTGTTGGGATTCGATTCAGACCCGCTGGGAACAAAATCATCTGTTAGAAAGAGTATGCAGGAGGTTGGAGTAGGCAAACGTATCGGAGGCAGAAAGGCAAACAATTTTGTCAGCTCTCCTGACATACAGAAGATAATCAAAGCAGGCAAAGCAAACCACCCCAAAATTCACAGACTATTTGGCTTATATCTTTAAAGTATAAAAACATCCTGTACTGAATTTAATTTAATCAACAATGATAGAATGTTTAGAACGATGTAATCAACTGCTTGCTATTTTCCTGAAGTCTCCAAAGAGAGTGACTTCCAAGAGTACAGATGTTCCTTGACTTATGCGGCTACGTCTTGTAAACCCATCGTGAGCCGAAATTATCATAAGTAGAGAATGCATTTAATACTCCTAACCTACTGAACACCATAGCTTAGCCTAGCCTACCACAAACGTGCTGAGAACACTTCCATTAGCCTACAGTTGGGTGAAATCATGTAACACCTAAGCCTATTTTATCATGAAGTGTTGAATATCTCGTGTAATTTATTGAACACAGTACACTGTAGAGCACAGTATCAGTTGTCTGTCCTCATGACTTTGTTGCTGACTGGAGCTGCTGCTCACTACCCCTGCCTGGCATCATGAGAGAGCATTGTACTATATTATCACCAGCCCTGGAAAAGATCAAAGTTCAAATTCTGAAGTATAGTTTCTACTGAACACATATTTTTTCTGCACCATCGTAAATCTTAGGTCAAACCATGGTCAGTTGTGGACCTTCTGTATATGTCTTTGACCTCATTGCCCCAGGGGCACCCAAATCCCAGGAATGGCCTTCCAAGGGTACCTTAAATAAAAGTTAAAGGGATGAACAAGGGTGGTTGCCCAGACCAGAGGAGCGCTCTGAAAGCAGTAACATTTAATGCTCGAATGCCTCTACAAGAGTCGTCATGAGGTTGCACAAAAACATGTGGACATTTGCACTGAGAACGCTCTCTTTCCCAAGGCAACTCCGATCTTTGAGGAAATCCAATGGACCCTGCACCTTTCTAGTTCTGCCATTTGAGGCCTTGTGAAACAAGCCTGACTCGGCTTCTCGGTGACCAGTCCTTCAAATATTTGCCCACAGCTCTTATGTTTCCCTCTAAGTCTTTTCTCCTCCAAAATAAACACCATGGTTGTTTCAACATTTCCGTAGTGTACTAGCACAGTTCTATTAATACTTCAGTTGCAAGTTACAGAAACAGGCTCTGGTGAGCTTTACCTGAGATGTCTCATAGAATCAAAAGAGGAATTAAACATCTCCAACCTGAGAAGGAAGTTGCTGGGATTCAGAGCAGGAGTCAGCGTCCTCCTACTGCAGTCCTGCCATTCACGTAACTCATTGGTGACTTTCATGTCAATTTCAACTTCCTATTGAGATTCTGAAGACCTACCTGGGATTAGCCAACCCTGGGCAGGGGCCTGCGTCACATAACATAGACATGGCTACCAAGTCTCAATACAGAAAAGTGAGATCACATAGGTTATTTCTTGTTATTCTGATCTCTCCTCTGAGCAGGGGCTATTTATTAGTGTTTCCTTTACTGTGTGGGGCCAAGTACTGAGGGTGACTCTGACCACGCAGAGCAGAGCAGGACCATCATCCTCCTGTTCTGGACTCTATACTTTTATTATTACGGCCAAAGATAGTGAGCATTTTTTTTTTTTTTTTTTGATTCACATGACTCCTCTTGCCTGTTGTTATGTCACATCTCTTTCATCTTGTACTTCACTCGTTTGGTCTGGTGACTCTAAATGCCAGACCATATCCCTAAGAATTGTCATTGGAAACATCTGAGATGCTGTTCCAGCCTGCCAAAAGCTTTTGGATCTTCATTTTATCACCCATCATAGGATAAATGTATGCCAATACTACTTTTGTCTATTTATTTAGCAAAGTTTCATTGTATTTTGTTTTGTAAGAAACTGAGTTTAGCAGGAGAGATAATAGAGTCACTGAGCTACGCAGAGAAATCATAGAAAATGTGTAAGCGATCTAGTCATTCTACTTCTAGGAATTTATCATCAGAAATTGTCGGGGACATAAGCAGGTTTGAATGCTTACATTTTTGCCTCATTATTATTTATAACAAAAAAAATGAAGCCCATTTACTGCCAAACAGTAAGGGAATGTTTACATAAATTTTGATATATTAATTTAATAAAATATATTGCCACCAATAAAAATGTTGTTGACACATACATCCTCAAGACATCAGAAAATATTATAAAATACATATGCAATTTATTTAAGTTTAGAAGAAACTAAAACAAAAATCAATAATGTTTTGATTTTTGTCTTTTTATTTTTTTATTTGCCCCACCTTGGAGAAACTAATGCCTTTTTATTTTTAATAAAACATAAACTGAAGCAAATATACCAAAATGTTATCTGTGGGTTATCTCTGGATGATGGAGCTTTGGTGATGTTGTTGTCATCTTTATACCTTTCTCTATTTTTTTAACTTTATAATAAATATGTATTTCTTCTCTTATAGAAAATCTTTTTAAAAGAAAGCTTATTTCATGATCATTCACAGAACTTCACTATTGATAAATTCTTTGCATTTTTATGCTATGGGACTTTTTTTTTTTTTAAGCTGTGATAAAGCCCAGAGTTTCCTTGGCTTCTCCTACTCGTGTGCAGATAGCAGAGCCACCCCCGCCCCACCACCACCCTGTGTTACTAGACCTTCCTGTTGAGCCAGTCCTCCACCTTGGAACTGACAGCTCTGAAGCTTGATATCTTCACCCTCCTGTCCATCAACAGCTCCTCACAGTTTTGGTCATTGCTGTCCTCTACCTCGGGCTCAGCCTTGCCCATGTTCTGAGTTTATCAGGCCAGCAGCAGAAAGAACATCAGCATGTCAGCCTCAGACCTAGTGTGACCTGACATCATGTCACACGCCCATCTCCTGGGTTCTGTGTTCTGGGAAGAACCCTGGGTGTCATGGAGATTTTAAGTAAAAGGGTTTCTGTGCTTGGCAACCACAGAACTGAGCTTCTGCCTCGATTTCCCTATCATCATCACCTTACTTCCATATTAAGATTAGCCCTTGGGGCCCCAGCCTATTTGGCTGTTGTCTTGTCATCCCACCCAGGTCTTGCTAGTGATACCTTTATCCCCTCACCTTTCACGCCCTACCTGGGCTCCTCATGATCCCCCAGAGCCAATAGTGTCTGCCACCCGGGGTTTCTCCTTGTCTGTGCTCCTTGCTGGGCTGGGTGTCTGGCTTCTCTCCCTTTCCCAGTGTTTATTTTTCCCATGTGAGTGTCCTCCTCCTTTGCTGCCTGCCTGTGTCATCAAGGACTCAGGATGCCTCATGCTCCAACTAAGGCGCCCTGTGACATTGCACATGTTAAACATGTGCAAAACAGGAGGAGTTGGGGAGAAGTATTGGGGGGAGGGGATTATCTTTAAAATGTATTTTTTCAAGCCAGGTACGGTGGCTCATGCCTGTAATCCCAGCACTTTGGGAGGCTGAGGCAGGTAGATCACTTGAGGTCAGAAGTTCGAGACCAGCCTGTCCAACATGGTGAAACTCTGTCTCTACTAAAAATACAAAAATTAGCTGGGCATGATGGCGGGTGCCTGTAATCCCAGCTACTTGGGAGGCTGAGGCAGGATAATCACTTGAACTCAAGAGGCAGAGGTTGCAGTGAGCCGAGATCACACCACTGCACTCCAGCCTGGGCAACAAGAGCAAAACTCTGTCTCAAAAAAAAAAAAAATTAAAAAAGTATTTTTTATTATGAAAGTAGAAAATAAAAATTATATTTCTCTCACTGACAAATAACCTTCACTGCTTAATATCTTAGGTTTTCTTCTAGTCTTTTTGATTGCTATGTAATTTTTACAGTTGTTGAAACTACTTAAAGGACCCAGGAATGGTCTTGTCAGTCTTCTACTTTTTTCTTTCCCTTTCCTTCTCTCCCTTCTTGCCCGTCCTTTTTTGACTACTGGTACATAAGGTAAGTTGGAGTGAGGGGGAAGAGGTACAATTAATTAGCATCTAGTTATCCCATTACTAAACGTGGTTCCTTGACTGGGTTGATTTGTTTGGATGCGCAGCCTCCTTACAGGTACCAGGTACCAGGAGGAGTCACCCTCTATAGACTAGGGAACTTCACCTTCCGTGAGATTTAGTGGCTTGCTCCTCATGACACAGTTAGCGAGAGGCAAGGCTGAATTCAAGTGCAGGCTTCAAAGGCCATTTCTCTGTGTCCCTGTTGTAAGCACTGGGCCCATGGGATTTGACAACCATCAGCCTGGGCTCAGATTTCAAGTGGGGAAAAGTATCAGCAAGTGAGTGGAGCCGGAGGTGAAAGCAGCAGCAAGGAAACAGCGGCTGGCCGGGGGTGGGCAGGGGGCGGGGGTGGCAGGGGCGGGAGGGGAGGGTGGCGGGGGCAGTGGTGGCGCGGGGGGGTGTTGGCGGGGGCGGGGGGGCGGTGGTGGCTGTGGTGGGGGGGGGTTGGCCCCTCCTGGGCCCTATGCTGGGCTTTCTGGAGGAGCTCCACAGAGCCCGGGCCTATTTTCCCATTGGAGAAACCACTTTTGTGTTCTTAGACACAAACTTTGTTTTTAGTCTATTTGTCCCTTTCTGGTGGGCCATTGATCAGAGGAGCAGCCATGAGGCCCACCCAGCAAGAGCAGGCTTTGCATTTCTCTGGATTTGTATGTGTGTGTGTCTGTGTGTGTGTTTGTGTGTGTGTTTATTGTGGGGTGAGGGTTTCAATCACACACAGGATAGAAGGGAGTTCCCCAGGGCTCCCACCAAACTGCACAACCTTCACAGTAGCCAGTCCTCAGCAGCACTGGCTGTTCTTCTATCAGCTCCTCCTAGATCTTCTCCTTAGGCTTCTGAATGACTCCTCATTCATTTTCTCTGAAAAGAAGAAAAAAGTATCCTCAATTGCACTCATATTAGTGTCTGCCCTCTGGGAGTCGGCTTTTTCTAAGCTGAATGCATGCAGCAGACATGCAGAATAGACCGTGGGTGAGCCAGACGCTGGGGGGATGGCAGGGACAGCGGGAGCAGGCAGCCTGTCTCAAGATGTGGCCCTAGGCAGACTTCAGCGAGTCCTGCAGTAAACTGTTCATTTATTATCCCACAAATATTTACTCCAGAGCCACTAAGTGCTCGAGAGAGATGTGACACCATCTGCACAGCTTTCTAGTGACTGAATCCAGAGGTAAAGCTTTGAGAATCTGCGGCCCTGTGCTGCCAGGCTTAGCCCATGTGTCCCGGAAACCACAGTCTGCAGACAGGGCCAGGCAGCGACGGGGTAAATGGGGGACAAATAAAGATGGTGGAGTGCTGGTGACCTTAGTTCTGCAGCCAAATGCTTGCTCTAACTTCAAAATACCCTCCAACCCATTTGCTGCTCCATATAAACAATAGAGCTTGTCCAGAGCGCTTACAGGGCCTAAAGTCAGAAACGGCTTGAGCCAGAGGAGATTATTACGGTTAACTATTTTATCAAAAAGAGTGGAACCTGATGGAGCATCAAAATCATCGCTACCTTAAGATAATTTAAAAATGACTTTGTGCGGGAAAGGAGAGAGATGAGTTTCTTCCTAAACATGAAGATTAACGTTCTTTTACAGTTTGTAGTCTCACTTTCATGACAGACTAGTCAAAGGGAAATTGGGTAAAATCTTTTTTTTTTTTTTTTTTCTGAGACAGGGTCTTGCTCTGTCACCCAGGCTGCAGTGCAATGGCGTGATCATAGCTGACTGCAACCTCGAACTCCTGGGCTAAAGCAATCCTCCCACCTCAGCCTTTTGAGTAGCTGGGACTACAGGCACACACCACTGTGCCTGGCTCTACTTTTTTTTTTTTTTTTTGCGACCGAGTCTGTCTCTGTCGCCTAGGCTGGAGTGCAGTGGCGCGATCTCGGCTCACTGCAGGCTCCGCCCCCCGGGTTCACGCCATTCTCCTGCCTCGGCCTCCCCAGTAGCTGGGACTACGGGCACCCGCCACCTCGCCCGGCTAATTTTTTTTTTTTTGTATTTATAGTAGAGACAGGGTTTCGCCGTGTTAGCCAGGATGGTCTCGATCTCCTGACCTTGTGATTTTTTTTTTTTTTTTTAAGAGAGATGGGGTCTCCCTTTGTTGCCCAGACTGGTCTTAATCTTCTAGGCTAAAGGGATCCTCCTACCTAAGCCTCCCAAAGTGCTGGGATTACAGGCCTAAGCCACTGCACTCAGTGAAATCTAATTTTAAATTGCAAGTTTTCTGCGTCTCCATCCATTAGTATTTCCCATAAACACAAATATTAAAGTACATTATATCTTAATTCTCTCTTAAGAAGGATTATCCTTTTTTCTGAGTTTATAGACTTGTAATTATAAGGTATTATAATGGATTTCTTTTCTGAAAGGGTGATGATAATGAAAAATAGCTGCTCTTTTTTTAATTTTACTTTAAGTTCTGGCATACATGTGCAGAATGCGCAGGTTTGTTACATAGGTATACACGTGCCATGGTGGTTTGCTGCACCCATCAACCCATCACCTATGTTAGGTATTTGTCCTAATGCTGTCCCTCCCCTAGTCCCCCACCCCCTGACAGGCCCCAGTGTGTGATATTCCCCTCCCTGTGTTCATGTGTTCTCATTGCTCAACTTCCAATTGTGAGTGAGAACGTGCAGTGTTTAGTTTTCTGTTCTTGTGTTAGTTTGCTGAGAATGAGGCTTTCTAGCTTCATCCATGTCCCTGCAAAGGACATGAACTCATCCTTTTTAATGGTTGCATAGTATTCCATGGTGTATATGTGCCACATTTTCTTTATCTAGTCTATCATTGATGGGCATTTGGGTTGGTTCCAAGTCTTTGTTATTGTGAATAGTGCAGCAGTAAACATACATGTGCATGTGTCTTTGTAGTAGAATGATTTATAATCCTTTGGGTATATACCCAGTATTGGGATCGCTGGGTCAAATGGTATTTCTGGTTCTAGATCCTTGAGGAATCGCCACACTGTCTTCCACAATGCTTGAACTAATTTACACTCCCAACAGTGTAAAAGTTTCCTATTTCTCCACATCCTCTACAGCATCTCTTGTTTCCTGAGTTTTTAATGATCACCATTCTAACTGGCATGAGATGGTATCTCATTGTGGTTTTGATTTGCATTCCTCTAATGACCAGTGATGATGAGCTTTTTGTCATATTTTTGTTTGGCCACAGCTGCTCTTTTTAAATCTTCTTATATTAAAAAATTGACAATCTTATGTTGGCCGCTGCTATGGTTCAAACGTTAGTGTCTCCCCAAAATTCATATTTTGAGATCTAATCCCCAATATGGCAGTTAAAAGAAGTGGGGCCTTTAGGAGGTGATTGAGTCAAAAGGATGGATCCCTCATGAATGGGATTAGTGCCCTTATAAAAGAGGTCCAAATGAGCTTATTCACCTCTTCCACAGCATGAGGACACAGTGAAAAGTTCATCTCTGAACCAGAGAGCTAGTGCTCAGCAGACACGGACCCTGCTGGAAACTTGGTCTTGAACTTCTCAGCATCCAGAACCATCAGAACTGAATTTCTATTGTTTATAAGCCACCTAGGTTATGGTATTTTGTTACAGCAGCCTGAACAGATTAATATTTTTAAAATTTTTTTATCCTAATATTTTTTAATGTCACAGCAAACCTAGAAGTGCCTCTTTTTCACACCCTCCTATCCCCCCCAAAAAAATCAAGAAACAGAAATGCAGCCCTATGTGTGATAAACCTATGTAATATTTGCAACCCCAACTGCGATATCTGATGAAAGAATGCCAAACCCACTGCAAGTCAAACAGGAAGGCAGGGAGGAGCTGAGAGAGGTGGGGGACACCAGAGAGTAGGAGCCAAGTTTAGCCCCTGTGAGAAGTTGAGAATGTGGTGCTGAGAGAGGATTCACTCAGATTCAGATTCACATATGCACAGGAAGCAGTCTATCTGGGAGACAGGAGGAAGCAAGCGTTTCCACACTGCATTATGAGTAACTCTGCAGCTGCTGTCAATTATCTGGAGAGAAACACAGGCTAAACTATTCACCCACCCAAACAACCCCAAGTCATAAGAAACAGCACAGTGATCCAGGGAGAATTCCTGCTAGCTCTGTGTGTCAGTTATCAATTGCTGTGTAACAAACCATCCCCACAACATAGTGGCTCAAAACAACTATTTTACTGGCTAAAGACCCTGTGGGTAAGCAGTTTGGGCTGTGTTCAGTCAGACAGTTCTTTGGGTGGTCTCCCTCAGGGTCATTCATGAGGCTGTAGTCCTCCTCTTCTTTGAGTGTCTCTGGATGTGACCTCCTTCATGTGTCCCGCAGTTGGAGCTGGAAAAACATTTTGCTGGCCTCAGACTTTCCCCATAACAACCTACAAGACTAGAAGTCAATAGCACAATGCCTTCCAGGTTTCAAGAGAAAAAAGTAACCTAAAAAGAAAGCTATAGTACGATGTTTTTGAATGTACAAGAATTCAGGGAATATAGTTTCCATATGCTCTCTTTGAATTAATCACTAGGGGAAGAAAAGGTGAGGTTTAGTCATGGGCTGAACTGGGTCTCACCCCCTCCAAATTCATGTGTTCAAGTCCTAAACGCTGGTACCTCTGAATGTGATATATCTGGACATAGAGACTTCAAAGAGGTAATTAAGATAAAAAGAGGTCATATGGAAGGGTCCTATTCCAATATGACTGATGTCCTTATAAGAGGAGGGAAGTTAAACACAGACAATTACAGAGAGAAAACCACGGCCATCTATCAATGAGGCAGTCCTCAGAAGGAACCAACCCCACTGACTTTGATCTTGAGTTTCTAGCTTCCAGAATTGTCAGAAAATAAATTCCTGTTGTTTAAGCCACACAACCTTTGGTACTTTGTTCTGGCAGCCCTGGCTGGCTAATATGCCGACCAAGAACAATTACTTAAACTAATGAAAACAGAAGAGGGATGAGCATTGAACCGTTTCACCATAGGACCAACTCTAAACCAAATGTGGTTAATAAATTGCACATTAAGGCCAGGTGTGGTGGCTCACACCTATAATTCTATCACCTTGGGAGGCTGAGGTGAGTGGGTCACTTGAGCCCAAGATTTCGAGACCAGCCTGGGCAACATGGCGAAACACTGTGTCTACAAAAAATACAAAAATTAGCCCAGCATAGTGGCTCACACTTGTAGTCCCAGCTATGTGGAAGGCTGAGGTGGGAGGATTGCCCAGGAAGAGGAGGCTGCAGTGAGCCAAGATTGCACCACTGCACTGCAGCCTGGGCAACAGAGTAAGACTCCGTGTGTGTGTGTGTGTGTGTGTGTGTGTGTGTGTGTGTGTGTGTGTGTGTATTGAGAGACAGAGAGAAAAAACATTTAGCAGAATTTCTCTAAGTGCATAAACCTGATTTTAAGAGACCTGGGGTCCAGTTGTGCCCAGGTCTCCAAGTAACACCTACCTTGGGCGAGTCCTTTGGGTTCTCAAGTTAGTTACACTTTGCTCCATGGAAACGAGTGACTTTCAAAGTGGGCTCTAGAGAATATTAGGCATTTGGCATGAGAACCTCAGGAACTACCAAGAGGATCAGGGAGCGAGTCTGTGGGGCCTGGACCCTTCCCCACTTCTCGGGCACCCCCATGGGCTTCTCAGTAAGATTTCACTGGAGGGCAGGTTACTGTGGCTTAAGAAAACCTGAACACCTGCAAACTGGTCATTTCTGAGTTCTGTTCCTAGTCAAAAGCCATCAGCATTTTAAGTTGTGTTTCGTACCTTTCGCCTTAAGAAAATGCAAGGTCTGTTGAGTAGTTACATGGGATTTGCCTGAAAGTGGGGGTGTTAGCAAGTGTGTTGCTACCCAAGGCCTACCACGGGGGCAGAAGCCAAGCCTGGCTCCCTCTCTTTCAGGACGGGGCCTCCTGTGGGAAGTGGATGCTGCTGCCAAGGACCGAGAGGTGATTGACTGAAGAAGCTGCATAGGGAGGGAATCTCGGGAGCTGGCTGCCAGGCTCTGGAGTGCCCTCAGAGGAAGAGCTCGGAGTGACCGCTCATCCTAGTGGGCAGAAATAGGAAGGCAGGGAGGAATAGGAGAAATAGGAAGCAGATCTTCAGCATCGGTCCCTTCCCCTCCTCCCCAGCTCACGGCTTGGTTCTCACAACCAAACCTCGGCGGGGCTAGAAATTCTCGCTCACAAGCCAACAAACGGCAAGTAATAGCTTCTAAAAGGCTCGCCTAGGATTTCTCCTCAAACTATCCTTGAAGAGCCCACCTAGAAGGTGGCATCCCCCACATACTCGGTACCATTGCAGGCTACACTCTTTTAGGAGTAGAACGCAGTCTTTGCTCTCTGTCAGGACTTCTGAAATGTTTTTATTGGAGCTGGAGGCTGTTTTCAAGGTGTGTGGGGGTGGGTGAAAGGGGAGGAGTAGCCACATACCACATGAATAGCCACTCAGAATTGTCTGAGGAGAGACTGACAGAAGGTTCCCCTGGGACTCAAGCAGTTGTTTCTTTTCCAGGAAATTTCAGACAAGTTCATAGACCACCATGAGCTTGCAAATAAACTGTTAATAAAGAGACTTCCAGATGGGCTGGAGCAGGAAAGGGGAAACCCTGAGGCCGTTCAGCAAACAAAACAGAAAAACAAGGTGGGATCCAGAAGACAGGGAGGCTGAACGTTAACCTGGCTGGGGAGACCATGGGCCACAGGAAATTGTCCAGCGCTCACGCTGCAGAGGCTCTGAAGGCAGAGGACCATCAGGCTCTGGCAGCCAGCCAGGGTGATCGAGGTCTATTTGACTGGGCTTCAAATGGCTCCTTGGAGACCTAGTGTTGGACAAGAATTGAGTAGAGCAGCCAGTTGCCTGATGTGAGTCCCCACAGCACAACTTGGATGTGTTTTTCATGTGATTTAAGAGCTCTGGTTGCCTCTCAAAGGGAACAGAGTGCAGCTGGCCCATAAAGCTGTCGTTGTTTGGGGTTTTGGAAAATTCTCTTCTGAGAGGGTCAGAACAACCCTGAGTCGTGACCAGGGCCAGAGCTCAAGCTACTCAGGGAAACCGCGGTCCCAAGGGTGGTGGGGTCAGCCAGCCAAACACCTAATCAGGGCTGCAGCTTTCCACATGGGTGGGAGCCTGTGCATCGGTCTCACAGGGTCTCAATTCCACTTCCTAGGTGGTCTGAGACCTAGCAGTTCTCCAAGAGGAGGCAATTACTGTAAGCGGGGAAGCAAGGAGAAGCGGGGAAGCAATGATTCTACTGATGGTCCACACCAGTCCCACACTTTGTCATGGAAGATTCAGTTCCAACAAACCCCACAGGCAGGAATTCAACTCCCAATGGAGCTAGAAACTTCTACTTCTTTTTTTTTTTTTTTTTGAAACAGAGTTTTGCTCTTGTTGCCCAGGCTGGAGTGCAATGGCGCGATCTCAGCTCACTGCAACCTCTGTCTCCCGGGTTCAAGTGATTCTCCTGCCTCAGCCTCCTGAGTAGCTGGGATTACAGGCATGTGCCACAATGTCCAGCTAATTTTTGAATTTTTAGTAGAGACAGAGTTTTGCCATGTTGGCCAGGCTGATTTCGAACTCCTGACCTCAGGTGATCCACCCACCTCGGCCTCTCAAAGTGCTGCGATTACAGGCATGAGCCACTGCACCCAGCCTTCTACTTCTTAAATAATATTTTCTGAAACCCTGAGATGTTGCAACGTTGTTCTACTCCCACTCCAATTTAGAACATCACTCAGTTATTTATTTCTTTATTCATTTATTTGGCAAATATTTAATACTCGCTGGATGTAAAACAACAGCAACAACAACAATAACATGGCCTGGCACTGTGCTAACCACTACAGTGAAAGAACAGATACAGTTCTCCTCTTTATAGATCACACAGTATCGTGGAGGAAACAGGTATTATTTCTTTTATTTATGTAATACTCGCATAATCTCTGCTATGCACAGAGCACTGCTCTAAGCACTTTACAAATATAAACAGTTAATCCCCTCCACAACCCTATGAAGTAGGTGATATTAATATCTCTATTTTTACAGATGAGGAAACTGAGGCACCAGACATTAAAATAACTTTCCCGGGATCACACAGCTGGGAAGCGCTTAAATCCAGGTAGTCTAGCTCCAGCACTCAGGCCCTCAAATGCTACAGTTAGGCTGCCTTTCAAGCAGATAAATGCTAATCAATAGACTATCCAGAAATGAAGACTGTGCTCGGCACTCTGAAAGAAAGCCAGGAAAGAGCAAGGGGATTTTTCACATTGGTTGAGAGTCAGGGTAGACTTCTCTGCAGAAGGAACAGAAAGGAGGAAGATTGCTCCAAGCAGGGAAAATTGCAAAAGTAAAGGCCCTTGAGTAAACAAATCTTAGTGAATTCAAGGACCTTCGAAAGAGGTTAGAGTCATCAGAGGGCAAAGGGCACATGAAGAGATGAGGTTGCAAGGGAAAAGGGTACGCAGTGTCAGGCCAGACTCAATTTTGTTTGGTGGTTCTCAAAGTAAAGTGGAAAAAAGGGCCGATCTTTAGGAAAACAGCCATAGGAAATAGAATGATCAAGTAGGGGAGCTTCATGTTTTCATTTTGAGAAGGGCCCCTGATATGATGTGGCTCTGCTTCCCCACCGAAATCTCATCTCAAATTGTAATCCCCATATGTTGACGGAGGGACCTGGTGGGAAGTGATTGGATCATGGGGGTGATTTTCCCCATGCTGGTCTCGTGATAGTGAGTGAGTTCTCACCAGAGCTGGTGGTTTTAAAGTGTGGTACTTCCTGTCTCTCCTGCTGCCTTGTGAAGAAAGTACTTGCTTCCCCTTTGCCTTCCACCATGATTGTAAGTTTTCTGAAACCTCCCCAGCCATGCAGAGCTATGAGTCAATTAACCCTCTTTTGTTTATAAATGACTCAGTCTCAGGCAGCTTTTTATAGCAGTGTGAGAATGGACTAATACAACCCCATAGCACATTTCACAAATGTCTAATCCTCACAACCACCCTGGAAGGAAACAGATCAGATAGATTTAACCCCTTTGCGATATCCCACCCACCTTCCTAATGCCTGTCCCCTCTCCTGTGTTTCTGCTGGTATAATCTCAGTTTTGTTCTGGGAAACCTATGTCTAGCCCCACACAAATACCCCTGTCCTAGCCTGCCCTGTAGCCAGGGGTGGCCTTGTACACTGCCTTGGCAGAAGAGACATCAGTGCAAATCTGCTGGGAGTCTGGGGAGCCCTTCGCTTTTCCTAATAGGCATAAACTTGGGTCCATGGGCTCATCACCACCTCCCCTTTCTTCCTATCTGGAGAAGGACAGGATGTCTACAGCTGTAAAAGCCATCATGCAACTGTGGTGGGACAAGTATAGGAGAAAGGCCAAGAGATGCTCTGAGAAGCTGACCCTGAACCAATGCCGGCAGCCACCCACAGCTAGACTTCTTGCTATGACTTCGTTTCAGCATTTTTAAGTTTTAGGGCTTGCATTCTCTACCTAAATGAAGCATCTGTTTTTATTTATTTATTTATTTTTTATTTTTCCAAGACAGAGTTTCACTCTTGTTTCCCAGGCTGGAGTGCAATGGCACGATCTTGGCTCACGGCAACCTCCACCTCCCAGGTTCAGGTGATTCTCCTGCCGCAGCCTCCTGAGTAGCTGAGATTACAGGAGTGCACCACCACGCCCGGCTAATTTTCACATTTTTAGTAGAGACGGGGTTTCACCATGTTGGTCAGGCTGGTCTCGAACTCCTGACTTCAGGTGATCCACCCGCCCCAGCCTCCCAAAGTGCTGGGATTACAGGCATGAGCCACCACGTCCAGCCAAAACACCTATTTCGCTACAAGCAAACTAAGGATGAGGAAATATCAGACTTGCAAAAACATCACAGAGCGGATTTAAGACCAGGTACACCTGACTCCACATCCAGCGCTCTATCTACTATATTACAAATAAATTCTTGTTTGCCTTAGGGATTTCTATGCATGTTCAAACTTTCCGGGCATTACACTCACCAATCCCGGAAACTGTGTTGCACAGAGCCCCTTCTGGACAGGCATGATTTGGGTCAGTGAACCCATCCTCCTCTGGTTACCAGAGCCAATAGGGTCAATGCACCGTCTAGCTGAAAGCCAGTGATATTGTCTGCTCCAAAAGATGTGCTGGCCAAATAAAAGTCTCTCTTGCAGGGATTTGAATTACGTCATTCTGGGAGATTAAGAAAGGAGACAATGGGACCCAAAGTAGGAAGGTAAGGACTGGTGAGAGCAGCTCACAAGATCTTGTGAGAGGCGAAGTTATGAGTAAGCAGAAAATTGAGCAAGCAGAAGTTATGACAGAAAACACCCAAAAGATGGGCTCAATGAAGCAGTGGGCCACGGGCGGGCAGGGGAGCAGTCCACCCCAGTGCAGGCATGACCCAGAGAGACTTTAAAAGCAATAATGAAACCCACACCAAATTGATCTGCTTTTATTAACACCAAGCACTGGCAAATCTAAACGATATCAGTAAAGCAACCTTTTGTTGGTCTAAGTTTCAAACTATTGTGGCAGTTAATGTTGAATTTTAATAATGTGTATGCAAGCTTTAAATAGCCTGCTCTTCATATCTTATATTTTAAGAAACACCGTATGCCACATGGAAGTTAATTCAGAGAACATCCAGTTAGCATTTAGTCCAAATACAGCTACACACAGACTCAGCTACACATATTTGTTTCAAGTGTAAGTCTTCAACAGCTTCGAACTGTTGAAACTCTCTTGGGATATAGCTCATTTCTCCAAAACCCTATGGTATGGCACATGTGTACATTTAAACAATAAACTCAAAATAGACTATGACAGTGCCAAGTTTGTAAAGAGGAAGAAACATACCTTGAGTTATTTCAGTTCTGTCATTGCACATGCCCAGTGGAGTTTTTAACTTAAGTCTAGAGCTGTGATGTGCAATCTTTTTCTTTAATAAGTGCAAAATTAAATTCATTCATGTTATGTTTTACTGAATTTGAATAATACCTGTACATTTAAATGCATTTTTTTTTTGAGACAGAGTTTCACTCTTGTTGCCCAGGCTGGAGTGCAATGGCACGATCTCAGCTCACTGCAACATCTGCCTCCCGGGTTCAAGTGATTCTCCTGCCTCAGCCTCCTGAGTAGCTGGGATTACCAGCATGTGCCCCCATACCCGGCTAATTTTGTATTTTTAGTAGAGACAGGGTTTCTCCATGTTGGTCAGTCTGGTCTCCAACTCCCGACCTCAGGTGATCCGCCCACCTCGGCCTCCCACAGTGCTGGGATTACAGGCGTGAGCCACCATGCCCGGCCAATGCATTCTTTCTAGGTTGTGAATTGGTTTAAAGCTAAGGATTAAATCAAGATCAAAGTAATTATTTCTGAATAGTATTGAAAATAAATTTTTTGCATAGAGTAGGGTGGTTGTATATTATCTGACCTGTGTGTCAAATGCCCCCAGTGTCCCGATTGCTGGAACTTTTCTGTTCACCCTCCAGTTTTGCTTTCCAGCCTTCTTCAACCTCCTGTCTGACCAAGGTGGTTGATCTCTGAGGACACACTACCGACAGCCTCAATTCTGTCTTCTCATTGGGTTTGGCCAGTGGAGAGCGGTCAGAGGAAGTCAGGAACTGGAAGAGGGGAGAAAGATGTTGGGTTAATTATTTCCACCATCTGCATGAACCATCTGCCTCCCCACTGAGACACCCAATTGGCAGTGCCTCTACAGAAGGCCATTGCTCCCTTAGGTGGCTTTCTCCCCTTTGGCTGTCTCCTCTCTGGTTCCCTGTAATTGTGTCCACTTCTTTTCATCTCAAGCTTAGACTGCCTATCAGTCAGGGTCCCAGAAAAACAGTGGCACTCTGAAATTAGGAGGATGTGAGGAGAGTCTAATAAAGAAACAAATTACAGAGATGGGAACTGGCTGTTGGGAACCCACAGAAAATGGTGCCGTGTGCTGGGACTAAAAGCAGCAAAACCGTGTTGCCACCCCGTGGTCTTAAGAGGAAGAAAGGAGGAGCTCCAAGGAAAAACACAGCAGACCCATCGCTGGGAATCAGGTCAGTGTGTGTCCCATCCTCACTCCCCTCCTTCTCTCCACCTCTTAGCCATGCTCACAGCCAGAAGCTAGAGTGCGAGGCAGCCTGTTGTGCATCACACAGACAACAGCTGGGGACACTGCGAAGGTGGGAAGGGTGGAGAGTAAATCCAAAGAGGGAAACGGAAGGAATCCAGCATGGGTGATTAGGGCTACCCACTGCCCCTAACCCAAGGACCGTCATGGTGCCAGTGACTGAGTTACTGCTTCTCACCTTCACACCCACTCAACTGTTCTCTGCTGTATAATGCTGGGGCTGGGCTTCTGCTTTGCCAACTGACTTCCTCTCGGCTTCTGCCAACATGGATTCTAGAAGAAAACTGGAAGCGTGGGAAGGAAGGAGAGATTTGCTCCTTCCCACTTGCTTTTTGTGGGTTTCCTGTTTGCCTCCAGGTCCCACCAGCCTCACCTTAGGCCCGCATCTTTCTCCAGCAGAGGCAGTTCATTCCAGTAGCAGCAGTTGAATCCGGTGTGCAGTTTTCCCAGCACGCACAGAACTAGCTTCATTGTGCCTTCTTGGAGACCCCAGCAGCAGCCAACCAACACCCACTCCTCAGCCAGTCACAGCCCCGTGGAGCCCCACTCCAAGCTTGGGGACAGCAGCAGCAGCTGAATGGCAGCCTCCTTCTCAGATGTCTGCATCTCTGCTCTATGGGAGCCCTCACAAGTTTCAATAATGTCATCCTCTTCTCTTTGTTTCCCCAGCCCCAGGAACGATAGGTTCTTTCTGCTGTGGCATTGCCGCAATTACTTGGTGTTCTCTTTGGGGCACAAAATGAAAGAATCCTGGGTCTCTGAATCGTGATACAGAGGAAAGCTACCCACCAACCCAGGACACATTTACCGAACTGTTATATGAGCAAGAAAGACATTTTGATTGTGTAAAATCACCAAAATATGGATCCTATTTTTTACAACAATGAACTGCACCTATTATGCCTGAAGAACATTTTAAAACATGTTTCTAGACTCCATCCAAAACCAGAATCTTCCAGCACTGTCTAGTAATCTATCATTTTAAAATGTTATTCTTCCTGGTTTGGAAACCACAGTCTAAATTGCCCTGAGCGTATACTTATTAACATTCACCAGGTAGCAACTACCCAAAGCATAGTTGTGGTACTTAGAAGGAATTCATCTATAGCTCAAGAATTAACTTCGTAGTTTTTAACTGCTCTTTTTTTTAGAAATGTCACAAAAAGACTGAGTTCAGAGAAGATCAGCATGAAGTGAGCTGTGGAAGTTTTGCTATTCCCAAAAGAAAAGGGCTTTCAGATATCCTGATTGTCTGCCAGCATTGACTGCCTCTGAAAAATCAGTGTCTTTGCCAACTATGTGACAGACACTGGGCAGATTTACAGGATGAGAGACAATTGCTGGGGCTCCTTTCTATTCTGTTAAAAAGCCCTGACCCAGAGAACTCAGGACTTTCTGGCGCAAAATGGTCTGATACAGATTTTGTTGCTGTCTCAGATTCACGCACTTGCTTTGGTTCGTATGGCTATTTTCAGGTGACAGCAGTAATTAAGGCATGTACTTGGTGATAGGCATCTTCTTGCATGGGTCACCCCACAGGGTTTGATTCCCAGGCCAACTGGCAAGATTTCTGAAAGCAAGTGACAGCTTGTAAGAGGGGTGAAGGAAAAGGCAGAGCTGGCCGGGTGGCTGTGTCCTATGACAAAGGATTACAGTTAATGGTGCTGAGGTCTGGCAAGCACCACGACCCTGCCTGGCTCCCAAGCTGCTCTGTCTAAATGATCATTGTTGATTATGTGTCTATACCTAGGCAAGAGAGTGGGACAGCATGACAGAAAGCAGCTTCTTGACAGGCTCCAGAAAATTTCCTTTATAAGGGCTTTACCTTTAATAGAGAACTCGAGAGGTCAAAAATGTTATATTAATACTTTGTCTTCAGACAGGCTGCCCATGTAAACAGTTCATGCTGCTAGACAAAACGAGTCTTAGGAAGCTTAAGGGCATGTTTCCACAGCAGCCTGGTATGCCTAAATTAGCAGTAATTATGTCTAAAGAGAGAAGCATAGTTTAAAAGAATTATGGCTATGACTTTTGGCACATGGAATGGAATGGAATCAAATCTTTTTTTGTTTTTTAGTTTCTTTCTTTCTTTCTTTCTTTCTTTCTTTCTTTCTTTCTTTCTTTCTTTCTTTCTTTCTTTCTTTCTTTCTTTCTTTTGAGACAGGGTCTTGCTGTGTTGTCCAGGCTGGTGTTGAACTGCTGGCATCAAACAATCTTACTGCCTCAGCCTCACAAAGTATGGATTGCAGGCATGAACTACCACACCCAGCCAATTTTGGAGTCAAATCTAAAAATCTTTGGGTATTTCAAAACCCACAAAGGTTTCTAGTTTATTGACAAAAGCACTTAGAGCCTGGCCTAAGACAGACAAGGATTATTTGAAATGTAAAACCACTCTTGAGACCCCAAGTAGGAAACAGGCAGTGAATGCAGCTAAGCCACCAAAAATGACCTGTTTTACAATGCCCCTGTAGAAATGAGCAAGGGAGATGATGAGAACAAAAGGATCTTCCAAAAAGCAGAATCAGAAAAATAGATTAGAGAACTATTCCCAGGGAGCAGAACCTGGGCTGAATCAAGAAATGTTACCTCTTTCCAGAGCAAGGAAACTTGGTAACATTGACCTAGGAGGTTTCAGAATTGCTATGGATCAGTAAATGCATTGCACCTCACATCTTTCCCCTGTTGAAGGGGAGTAATTATCCTGTCTCTGGTTTACCTTGAATTTCTGGTGTATGTGGGGCAATTAATTAGACTTTTTAGTTCATAGATCTTTTTATCCTACAATTTGAGATATTCCCTGTGGTTAGCAGAATTTTAAAGATGTCCTCCCAAAATTCCTGTCACCTGGTTATTCAATCAAATGCTAATCTAGTTATTGTCATCAAGTGACTTTACAGATGTAATTAAGAGTACAGCTCACCTTAACACAGGGAGATTATCTTGTATTATATGGGGCTCATCCAGCCTAATCAGATGAACCCTTTAAAACAGAGAATTTTCTCTGTCTGAAAGCAGAAATGAGGCAGAAGGGGAGTTGAGAGAGGCTTAAAACGTGAGATGCTGGCTATGAAGATGAAGAGGGCCAAGGAATGCAGGCAGCTTTTACAAACTGAGAACAGGGAGCTCTTGAGCCAGGTGTGTTGGCACACAATTTAATCCCAGCTACTTAGGAGGCTGAGATGGGGGTATGACATAAGCCCAGCAGTCTGAATCCAGCCTGGGCAACCTAGTAAGACCCTGTCTCTATTTTAGTAAAACAAACAAACAAGAAAACCCAGGGAGCTCAGTTCTATAACTGCATGGAACTGAATGCTGCCAACAACTGAATGAGCTTGGAAGTGGATTGAGCCTCCAGAAAGGAGTGCATCCCTGCCAACACACTGATTTCAGCCTTATGAGACTCTAAACAGATGGCCCATCTGAGCCATGCTGTACCTGGACTTCTAACGTAGAGAACTGCAAGATAAGAAATTGGTATTATTTTAAGTAACTAAATTTGTGATTATTTGTTATGGCAGCAATAGAAAGCTAATACACTCCCTCTCCCATAAATGAACTTCAAGAAAGAGGCTTTAGGTCTAGTCGGTTCACTTAAAACTCAACAGAGCTGCAAATTTAGATTAAGAAAGATGGGTTTACAACCCTATCCCTACATGGCGTAAGAAAGATCCAAGAAACACTGAATAAGTCACAATTCTGGTCTCAGCCACTAAAATAAAGCCTTCCGCTGTTGTTATTAATATATGAGAACTATGAAGTCTTTAAATTTGGGGAGATGGCATAAAGGTAAATATGTTGGCAGATGAGATTGTGTACAACTGTCAGATCTATATGTTTATGAGGAACTGAAGAGCAGAATTTGAAACAAATTGCTTGAATTACATGAAGCCCACCACAGTGGAAAAAGTACCATGTAAATATCTCTAAGCCTCATTTTTCCTTCCCTTTTTAACAGAGATAAAAGTATCTCCACCACAGATTATATATCTTGCTCTGTAAGGTGAGCCTAACCATATTTATCCAACTTGAGTCATCCAATTATCACTTTTGTAATTTTTACCATATCTTCATGCTACCTATTCTATTTACCTAATATTTAACGCAATTTGTATTTTTTGTACTTTTTTTTGTGTTTTTGTTTGTTTATTTTTGAGACACAGTATCACTCCATCACCTAAGCTGAAGTGCAGTGGCGTGATCTTGGCTCACTGCAACCTCTGCCTCCTGGGTTCAAGTGATTCTGATGCCTCGGCCTCCTGAGTAGATGGGATTGCAGGCATGCACCACCATGCCCGGTTAATTTTTGTATTTTTAGTAGAGACAGGGGTTTCATTCACCATGTTGGCCAGGCTGGTCTTGAATTCCTGGCCTCAAGTGATTCGCCCACCTCAGCCTCCCAAAGTGTGGGGATTACAGGCATGAGCCACTGTACCTGGCCTCTTTGTGCTTTTTAATGCACAATAAAATAATCACATAGCCATTAAAATGTAAAATCTTCATTTGTGCAATTCCTAAAATCATTTCCCGTACTATTCTTTGAGAAATCATAAACTAAGATGATCATAATTCAGTAAACAATAGACAATCTTATACAAATGAAAATGTTGAGGTATATATTTTCAAGTATTATTCAGGAAGTTCATTTGGGGATAATAATTTAAAAACAAAACAAAACAAAAACTTCCAGGGCCAGATATATATGTTCATAGTTTCCTGATTAACTAAGGTTTGTACATGCATTTGTTAAACAGATACCTCATGAGCATATAGTGTCTGTTAAACACTACATGGCTCTTGAAACACAAAAATGAACAAAGCAGATCTGCAAATCCTGCTATCCTCTGCAAATCACAGCCTAGTGGAATAATAGAAATTCAGTAAGAAATTACATGAACAATTATTTAATTATAAATGTTTCATGAGTGGCAAAAATCTTGCATTTCTATATATTTGGAACCATCTCCCCAGTTATATTAAAGGTACACTAACCTTAACATTTTGTGGTAGTTCAAACCATGACTGCACATGTTTTTGACACTCATTCTATTGAGTAGTTACATCAGTGTCTCCTTCTCTTGAATCTGGGCTGGCCTTAGAAACTCACTCTTAGCCAATAGAATGCAGCCAATGATGCTATATGACTTCTTGAGTCTAGGTGTATCAGTCATCTCTTGTTTCACAATAAATTACCCCAAAACTTATTGGCTTAAAGTGATCAATATTTATTACTCACAGTCTCTATGGGTCAAGATTTGGGGGATGGCTTAGCTGGCAATTCTGACTCAGAGCCTCTTACAAGGTGTCAGTCAAGGTATCAGCCTGGGCTGCAGTCATCTGAAGACTTGACTGAGGTGGGAAGATGGGTTTCCAAGATGGCTCGCTCACATGGCTTCTGGTGGAAGTCTTCAGTGGGTTTCTGGCTAACGACAGGGGGCTCAGTTCCTTGCCCTGGGGTACTCTTCATAGGATTGCTTGACTATCACAGGAGCTGGCTTTTCCCAGAGCAAGTGACTCAAGACATAGCAAGAAGGAAATCATAATGCCTTTATATCCTCATCTTGGAAATCAAATATCATCACTTCCGCATTATTCTACTTGTTAGAAATGAGTCACTAAGTACAGTTCACATCTGAGAAAGGAGAATTAGGCTACATCTTTTGAAGGAAGAGTATCAAGGTATTTGTGGATCTATTTTAATACCACCATACTAATCATAAAAAGTGATGTAGCTTCCTGGTTAGGAAGATGTAGCAACCTAATCTTGCTGGCTAGGCAGATGTTGCATAAAACACCTTCTCCCTAAATTGCCATGTAAAATGTCCAAAAATTCTAAGGCTGCCATGCTGTGAGGAAGCCCAGCCCACATGGAGCGACCACATGTGGGTACACCAGTTGACAGCCCCACTGAGATCCCAGCCAATAGTCAACGTCAACCACAAGAAATGGGAGTACTATGGACTGAATGTATTCCTCCCAAATTCATATGTTGAAAGCTAATCAATCTTCAATGTGGGAGTATTTGGAGGAGGGGCTTTTGCAAGGTAAGTAGGTCATGACAGCAGAGCCCTCATGAACGGGATTAGTGTCTTTATAAGAAGAGGCCACAGAGAGATCCTTCACCCCTTCTGCCATATGAGGTTACAGCAAAAAGATGGCTATCTATGAAGAAGTGGGAATCACCAAACACTGAACCTACCAATGCCTTGATCTTGGACTTTTCAGCTTCCAGAGCTGTAAAAATAAGTTTCTGTTGTTTATAAGCCATCCAGTTTATGGTATTTTGTTATAACTGCCCCAAAGGACTAAGACATTGGGCAAAGATGCCTACAGATGATTCTAGCCCCAGCTGTTGAGACACCTTCAGCCATCCTCTCCGTGAGCCATTGAATCTTCTCAGCTTCCCAGATACAAGTCATCACTAATTTTAGGATCAGATGCCTCTTCTTAACATAGCTTCAAAGGGGACACAGCATAGCACAGTGATTATATGCAGAAGCTCTGGATTTCAGGGTCAGTGTCAACTCTCTCTTGTGCTGCTTCCAGCAACATGACCTTGGGCAATTTGCTTTAATTCTCTAAACCCCAGGTTCTTCATCCTTTAGTTACGAAAACAAAAGTGAGTAGGTGTTGTTTCGAAGACTGAATGGAGTAATGCATTCAAAGTTCTCAGTACATAATTTATGCTAGGTGTTGGTATTATTTTCACTATTATCATTTTTATTTTCATTAAATCTGCTTCTCTTCCAGGATTTCCCATATTATTGGTTTATGTCATGAAAATCCTAAATCACCCTCAGGCTCAAAATTAAAACTAAAACAACAAAAAATTTTCCACTCTTCCTTCTATTTCACCAAATATTTATAATAAATTTTCAAGTTCCATTGATTCTACCTCCATAGTTTCTGTTATCCTTCCACCCTCAAAGCCAATTAAGGGATAGGCCAGGAGGAAGTGGCCCCGGGACACCAGCTGAAATGGAAAGTAAACAGCACCAGGAACACTAGCACAATGGAGGAGCAGGTATTTACCAGAAGAAGAGTGTGAACATAGTTGGAAGGAATGCTTGGTTAAGTCAGTAGAGGTAAAGTCATGTGATAAGTCCCCATCAAAAGACTGTGAGTGGAAATGTTTTGTGCAACTTCTGTCTCACCTGTTTAAAGGAAAGGACTTGCCTGGACTTATTCCCTTTTCTCCTACCTGTGATCTGGAACACGAATATGCCTCTGCTTGACTTTGACCATGGAGAAGAAAAAATATTTTAAAGGATGGTGGAGTAATAAGATAAAAGGCACCTGGTTCCCTGAACGAATTCATGAAGCAGTTTGCCCATCAGTCCAGGCAGAGCAGATGATAACACTGAAGAGATTTCAACTTCTCTCTGGTTGGGAGTTTGTTTGTTACACCAGCTTAGTCATTCTGCTAAGTAATACAGGGGTCCCCTGTCTTGTTCCTCTCATTGGTTGAGGGAGGATGGGCTAGGGGATGCTATAGGGGGAAGACAAACCACTTTCTCATATGAAGTGTTGGTGGGCTTTAAGATCCCAGAGTAGAAAGTGTGCAGAAATCTAGACAGACAGCCTGAAACAGCCACATATAGCACCCTCACCCGGGTAACGAGCAGGAGCATTACAACCATTCCATGTCCCCCACGGGGTCATGGGAGTAGCCTAGAGAACAGGAAGGAGCCTGGCTGTTGGAATCTATGTGGGTGGCCACCCAAGATCAGACAGGAGTAACGCAGTTTGGCAGATACAGCGTGGAACATGAGGAGCCTCCTGAAAGTTAGAATTAATCTCAGGGTAGGAAATCTGAAATGACAGAAATTAAGTTTCTGCTACCCCTAAAAATAAGGACTTAAAAAAAAATAAGATCAGATATAGAAACATAAAGAAAGTTGAATTTATTGCACACCAGAATTTGACAACTAAGATTTGTATCCACCAATAATTATAAGAGACTTAGCCATATTGAGAGCTGGCCATGTGCAAGACTGTGTGCTAAGCACCTCACGTGGGATACCTTGCTTGGTCCTCTCAACACCTCAGTTCTGTTGCTATTATTACTTGCGCATTTTATGGATGAGAAAACAAAACCTTAGAGGTGTTAAGTAACACAGCCGTGATCTCCCAGTTAGCAAGTGGCAGAGCCAAGATTCCAACCCAAGCCATTCACTCCAAAGTGCACCCTCTTTGTAAATTAATTAATTTTCAAGATTAAACACAACTTGAGGTTATTTGTTCCAGAGGTGCTGTAATTCGAAGCTGGATTACTATAGAGGGTTGCTAGTGTATAAACATTTTTAATATCTAATATACACACAGGAAAGTGCACATGAGTTTACAGCTCCCTAAATTTTCAAAAACTGAATGTACTCATATAATCAGCACTGCAAACAAGAAAGAATATGAGCAGAACCCCAGAAGTCCCTCAATCTCATCCCTTCAGTCCTTATTCGCACCCCAAGGGTCATCATTATCCCAGAGCCCACTATTCTGTATGCCACAGAATCAGAGGCCGATTCTTGCTGACTTCATTTATGGATCTAGCTCATGGAAAGAGTAATTCGCACTTCTTTTTTTTACAAATATTTCACCAGAGAGAAGAAACCAAAGCTTCACATGCTCGACTTTCCAGTTTTCCTCTTTCTTCAGGGGATTTTTAGGTCAATTCAACTTAACAAATATTTATTCAACTATAAGCTGGACACTTACGTTGAGCAATGAGTTAGATAAACAAATTAGGCCATCTTATCTCTATCTCCTAAAACGGCAAGGGAATGCAATTGGTACCTGTGCCCTGTTAAACTCTTTTGGAAATTGTAAGGTGCTAAATAAAAGCAGGGTGGCCTTATGGATTTTATCTGGCTGATATTGCAGCTGCCTAATAAGGTACTATTTGCATCTTAAGGTGCCTGGGCCGAATGATTTTACACAAATCCCCAGATCACCTGGGTGACACTGGATTAGAGAATAGGTTCAGAGGTAGTTTTTATTATAACTGTGTGGACATATTTTTCAAGAGAGTTGATGTTAAATTGTTAATGTAAAAATTGTCCTTTGTGTTTTCCAAAAGTTCTCATGTAATCATGAAAATGATTTAGGGGCAGGAACTGGGCCTAGACGTAGCCACCCATTGTCTGATAGTGAGTTTCCTGAGTGTATTAATCACTGTCCCATTAATTCTATAGGTAGGGGAATTTATATGGAGTAGCCATATGTGTGTGATATGTGTGTCTGGGTTTGTATGGGTGTGTCTGCAGAAAAATAGACTTTATAGACACACACTTTTCACTTTAATTTTCACATTTAAGAAGAGTCTTTTCCTCTGTTTTCAGTTTTTAAAAGTCCTGCTTCAGGAACCATTACTTCCCAGAAGACAGAGCCCACATTATTTCTGTTCTTTTTTCTGAAAAGCAGTTGACCTGTTGATCTGGTTGTTCACCAAACCCACTCTCCACCCTGTTCCACCCTTCTGTGTGCCCCAAGAGGTCAGCTCCATCAACAGGCCCTCTTGCTTTCTGGCTTTGCAGTTGGCTTCAGACCATGGGAAGCAGTGCTCAGAAATCAGAGAGAGGGAGGAGAGAAGGGAGGAGGTATCTGTTCCCTGGCTCTCAGCTCCCTCCCTGCTCCACCCACAGCCCTGGCTCCTGTCAAGCTGATCTCTCCAGAGAACAGCTCAAGTTCTCTTTCGCTCTCATCTCTCAGTTTTGGTAACTGCTCCTTTCTCTCCTCCCTTCAGGCTGAGGGATGGTAAAGTGACCCATCACGCTATTCTGTTGTCCCTTCTATAAAACTTTCCTTCAATTACCCAGTCTGAATGTGCCAGCTATTTCCAGCTGGGATGTTAACTGATACAGCAACCAAATCTAGGACTGGTAGTATATCTAGCCTGAATGCAAAACATGGCCCTTGAACATCACCATTCGCATTTACGGTTGGTCCCTTTCTCCCAGTCTTGTTTATAATGACAGTATCAAGTTTCTTTAGGAATTATTTTGGGGGCTATTTGGTCCTCATAAGAGTCCAGGCAAATGATGCTATCTTTCTTCTCCATTTTGATGAATTTATTTTTTCATGGATGGGGTAGGTTATGTTTCACGTTTAAGAAGGGACCCACAGACCACAACTAGCTTTCATGAGATTTTATGAAATTTTGAAACTTCAAAAAAAAAAAATACAGAGAAAAGCAGACAGGAGCCTGATGGATTTTTTTTTTTTTTTTTTTTTTGAGACGGAGTCTTTCTCTGTCGCCCAGGCTGGAGTGCAGTGGCATGATCTTGGCTCACTGCAACCTCTACCTCCCGGGTTCAAGAGATTCTCCTGCCTCAGCCAGATCACTTTAACTATTAAAACTTACTAACGCCTTAGGGCTTGAATTTTTGTACATCTTCTAGTCTCTGCAGTTGCCACTTTCCTGATGTTCTGGCCTTACCATGTTAGTGTAGCTCCCTCTCATGTGTGCCATGGGCTCCTCTTCCAGGGTCATATGCATGACACCACCATGAAGAGGGGCTCAGCAGCCGTGTTACCAGCCTATAAAACTGCCACCCCAACCTACAGGAATTTTCAGCTAGCAAGTACACAATAAGAGGTTGCAAGTCCTTGAACTCAGGGTTATCTCAGTGAATATAATAAAGGACTATGATATAAGTCTACTGGGATTATTAGATTTCTGGAATATTCTCGCCAGGTGCGGTGGCTAACACCTGTAATCCCAGCACTTTGGGAGGCCGAGGTGGGCAGATAACGAGGTCCAGAGTTCAAGACCAGCTTGGTCAACATGGTGAAACCCTGTCTCTACTACAAATTCAAAAATTAGGTGGGCATGGAGGCGCACATCTATAATCCCAGCTACTTGGGAGTCTGAGGCACAAGAACCGCTTGAACCTCAGAAGCAGAAGTTGCAGCGAGCCAAGATCATGCCACTGCACTCCAGCCTGGGCAACAGAGACTCTGTCTCAAAGAAAAAAAAAATCCTGGAATATTCTTTTTTATCACTAAATCTTTCTTAGAAATTATTCCAAAGCATCATTGACCATCTGAATTGTGCCAGCATTTTGGGGTTTTTGAAAAGTAAATTCATACCTGAATTGGGTAATTATTAGGGTTGTATACTATTGAGGCTCCATTCAGGTCTATAGATTTATTAATATTTATATACAATGATAGGCTTTTTAAAAACTCTCCTAGTTTGCAAATTGTCTTTAAGAAACTAATCCATGATAGCAGTATATTTATATTTTTTATTTTCATGAGCTCTTCTAGAAGGAGGAAGGAGGAAAAGAACATACGTATTTAAAAGAAATACTCAGTAAAGAACATTTAGTAAATTGACCAAAGCAGGCGGAATGCCACCCAAAGTCCCTGCCCCAGTAAAACCACTCTATTATTTTACTATTGTTGTATTCAGATTTTTCTAACTGTAGGTGTGTGTTTCTCATCTATACTATAAACTGCATCTGCTGCCTGTTTCCAACATTTCCCACTTCATTAAACATTTGCCTTTTATAAGATACTCATAATTTAGATTTTAATAATTTTAATACTTTATAGTCAGATATTGTGATTCTATTCTAATTTTTTCTATTAAAGATGCTATTTTCATGAACATCTCATGCAAAAAAAAAACACCATTTTTTATTTTCTTTCTTTACAAATCTTTTCTTAGGAATCATCCTTCCCCTTGCCCACCCCTCCCCAAAAGATGAGCTCCAAATATTATGTTCTTACAGTTCCTTTCACATCACAATCTTAAATGATACATTTAAACTATTACTCGATGAATGTCTGTTGTGTCTCCTACACTATAACCTCCTGAGTGTGGCACTATCTGTTTTACTGATCCTTTTATTTCCCAGTGCCTCACACAGCACCTAAAGCATAGCAGGTGCACAATAGATATGATATTGGGACAAGGAATTGGCAGATGGGTCAACAATGCAAAATAGCCCAGAAAACAAACCTCAGTATGTACAGAGACCTAAATAGATATTTTTGTAATGTTAACATGGCAACTAGACAGCTATTTTAAAAGAAAAAATTTTAATTAGATCTTTACCCATTGCCATATGTCATAATAAACCAGAGATAGATTGAAGAGTTACATTTTTAAAAAGTCAAGCCACATACACACAAATAAAATATGAGTGAATGCTTGTCTTTGTCTAAATTATCTAATAATGGAAACATCTCAATGGGTAAATCTTCCATACCATATGAAAATGTAGAGCTTCTATGTGTCAAAAATATCACAGACAGAATTAAAGAATAAGTAAGATTCCTAGAATAATACTTGCTTGAGTATGGAACATTAGGATTAATATCCTTCCTCTAGCGATTGTCTGCACACATCTATAAGAAAAAAAGATTTTGAATCCAACTGCTGAATGAAAAAAGGACATGCACAATTTCAAAAGATAAATTACATGTGGAAAATAAACAAGAATAAAAAATATTTAACTTCAATAATAATGGAATAAAGGCTGGCTAATCAGTCACCATTTTTCACACATTAAGACTAAAAATAGCTGTTAATGGTCAATGTTGATGAAAGTATGCTACAAGAGACAGTCACATAATTTGCTATAAGGAGTGGACATAGATAAAATCTTTCAAAATCTTCCAATTTCACTGTATCTTATTTTGATGATCAAGATAAAATAAGAAACATAACTGACTGAGGCTCAGAATGATTCTCTTTTTGTTTCTTTCTTCCTAGAACACACCCAAGCATTGTCCCGTAGCATAAAACCAAGGGATGTTGTTTTTGTTTTCATCTATATCCCCAAATAGATGGCCAGCTTCTTTGAAGACAGGGACCTTACCTTACTCATTTTTTTAATCACTCAAGGTCTGCAGGCAGGGCATGTTGGCTCACACCTGTAATCCCACCACTTTAGGAGGCTGAGGTGGGTGGATCATCTGAGGTCAGGAGTTCAAGACCAGTCTGACCAGCATGGTGAAACCCCGTCTCTACTAAAAATACAAAAATTAGCCAGTGTGGTGGTGCGGACCTGTAATCCCAGCTATTCGGGGGGCTGAGGCAGGAGAATCGCTTGAACCCAGGAGGCAGAGGTTGCAGTGAGCCAAAATCTCACCAGTGCGCTCCAGCCTGGGCAACAAGGGGAAAACTCCATCTCAAATTAAAACAAACAAAAAAAAGGGCTGCAAATAGTAGGTGCTCAAGCAGTGTTAGTCAGAATGGAATTTAAATATGATGGATATGCAGAAAATAAATAAGGACCTCGGCCCAGGTGTGGTGGCTCACATGTGTAATTCCAGCACTTTGGGAGGCCAAGTTGGGCAGATCGCCTGAGGTCAGGAGTTTGCGACAAGCCTGGCCAACACAGTGAAACACCATCTCTACTAAAAATACAAAAATTAGCCAAGCATGGTGGCACGCACCTGTAGTCCCAGCTACTTGGGAGGCCGAGGCAGAAGGATTGCTACCCGGGAGGTGGAGGTTGCAGTGAGCCGAGATCACGCCACTGTACTTCAGACTGGGTAACAGAGTGAGACTCTGTCTCTAAATAAATAAATAAATAAAGGACCTCCTGGATAAACATGAATACCAATTTCAATTCTCTCTGTAATCATGCTTTGAAAATTACAGGTTGGTTTATTCAAAATCTTAAGAAGAACATTGTTGGATGCATGCACACAACCACTGCCTTCCCAGAGCACACATTTGAAGTCAAGTTCAAGATGGAAAGCATTGCCAGAGGAAGGAGTGTTTTGCCATAATAACAATGTCAGTGTTGCTGTTGGAAGGATTGCCTTTTTCATGACAATGAATATAGAGTGACAGCATGTGTGTGGGGATTTCATTTAAGCATCCAAGTGATTTCCAACAAGGAATTCTTGGTCTTATTTGACAGATCAGGAAAATAAGCACAGAGCAATGGAGTGGTTTGCCCGTCATCAGGCAAATCATTTGGATGAGCTGAAAATAGAAGCTAAACCTCCAAACTTTCCTAGAGATTAGTTTCTGAATATGTCTGGAAACTGGCCAAGTCACCACCTCCGCCATTCTCCCTCTGTCCAAGCCCCCACCACGCCCTGCCTGGATTATTGCAGTGGCCTGTCTACTTGGTCCCCTTCTTTCACTCTAGACTTGTACATCCATTCTCCACTCAGTAGCCAGAACTGTTTATGTAGAACACAAATCACTCTTCTACTCAAAACCCTCCATCTCATCCAGATTATAAACCAAAGCCATTAAAAGGCCCTACAAGCCTTTAGAGGATCTGACCACAGTGGCCTCTAGGGTCACATACCACCGGCTTCCCTCCTCCTTGATCGCTCTTTTCCAGTTATGTTGCCTCCTTGGCTGGCCTTCCAACAAGTCAGCCCTGCTCCACTGCTTAGGGCCCTCGTGCTCCACCCACATGCCTTGCTGCCTCATTTCCTTCAGATTTCTGATCGGATACCGCTTATCAAAGAGGACTTCTCTGACCATCCTCCAGGAAATATCAGATCTCGTGCTCATTCTGCCTCCTCTTTCCATTACACTATTCCTTTATAGTCCTTGCCATAGCCTGGTATATATCTGTTTACTTGCTATTGTCTGTCTCCTCTGCTGAAATGTAAGCTCCAGGGGGGCAGAGACTCTCATTCAGTTTTTGCCAGTCACTAGATAACACACACACATATATTTTAAAGTCAAACAAAAAAACTTCTATTTTATTTATTGTCAGAAATGGGGTCTTGCTATGTTGCTCAGGCTAGTCTCAGAACTCCTGATTTTAAGTGATCCTTCCTTCTCAGCCTCCTGAATAGCTGAAATTACAGGCATGAGTCACCATGCCCGGCTTATTTATTTATATTTGATTACTGATTCTGTTCTTCCTCTTGAGTGTCATCATCATCCTATCCCGTTTCTATTTCCAAAGCCACACATCAGCTCAGTTGATCACCATCCCTTGCCTGCATTACTGCAGCAGACTTCTTAAGAGCCCCACCTACAGTCCTGCAGTCTAAAATAATCTAACTCCATACACTCTTTGTCAAGTCACCTTACTGATTAGGAACCTACTATGTCAGTGTAAATTGATACTAACTCTATGGAGGGCAATTGTCATTATCTTTCAAAATGATGTGTCTACCATTTGACTCATTTGATCCATTTCTAGAAATTCATCTATAGATAAGTGGGAAACAGCATATATACACAACTGTTGCAGCATATTTAGTAGTAGCAAAATATTAGAAACAATCTAAAAGTTTCTCAATAGAGTACAAGTCAAATAAATTTGGTACATCCATAAAATGGTGTTGCATGCAACCATTAAAAATGAGCCAGACCAAATATATATGGATATATTAAGTAAAAAAAAAGAAAAATAGAGGGCAAAATAGTGGAAAGGGATGCTGCAATTTGTGAATAAAATGTTTTTGGATATCCACACATAAAAGAAGGAAGGTGGACCCCTACTTCACATCATGAACAAAACTTAAATCAAAATAGATTATAGAACCAAATGTAAGAGATAAAACTGTTAAACTCTTAGAAGAAAATATAGGAGTAAATATTTGCAGTCTTGGGCTAGGCAAAGTTTCTTTGATAGAACACCAAAAGCATAAGAACAAAAGAACTAGATAAATTTGGCTTCATTAAAATTTAAAATTTTCGTGCTTCAAAGGACACTATCAAGAAAGTGAAAAGGCAACACACAGAATGGGTGAAAATATTTGCAAATCATCTATCTGATAAGACACTTGTATCCAGAACATATAAACAACTCCTGCCACCTAATAACAAAAAGACAATTCGATTTTTCAAAATAGGCAAGGGATTTGAATAAACATTTCTCCAAAAAAATATCCAAATGACCAATAAGCGTATGAAAGCATGCTTAACATCATTAGTCATTGGGTAAACGCAAATCAAAATCACACCCACTAAGAGAGCAAAAATAAAAAGTGACAGACAATAAATAACAAGTGTGGGCAAGAATTAGAGAAATTAGAGCCCTGATTCATTACTGGGGACATTGTAAAATGGTGCAGACATTTTGAAAAACAGTTTGGAACTTTCTTGAAGGGTTAAACATAAGGTTATCATATGACCCAGCAATTTTACTCCTAGAAATATACCCAAGAAAATTGAAACATTTGTGTCTTTATTTATTTATGTATTTATTTAGGGACAGAGTCTTCCTCTGTTCCCCAGGCTGGAGTGCAGTGGTGCTATTATGGCTTACTGCAGCCCCGACCTCCCAGACTCAAGCGATCCTTCCATCTTAGTCTCCCAAGTAGCTAGGACCACAGGTGTGCACCACCACACCCAGCTAATTTTTGGATTTTTTTTGTAGAGATGGGGGTCTCACTATTTGCCCAGGCTGAGCTCAAACTCCTGGGCACAAGTCATCCACCTACCTTGGCCTCAGGGATTATAGGTGTGAGCCACTGCACCCAGCCAAAACATTTGTGTTTACAAAAACTTGTACATGAAAGTTCATGCAGCGCTATTCATAATAGCCAAAAAGTAGAAGCAACCCAAATTTTTATCAGCTTATGAATGGACAAACAAAATCTGTAATGTCCGTACAATGCTATATTATATTAGCTATTTGTTGCCTCCAGACCGTCACTCAAGTCATTTCACTCACCTGAGACTTCCTCACTTTCCTTTCTCCTTTTCACTTCGTTCTTCAACATCTAGCCCTGAACTCATCTTCAAGACCATTATTATACCCACTTTGTGTCTCTAAGCATTTATAGATGGTATTTTTATCATCATCATCATTATTACTTTAATTCATGCCCACTGACCCCAGTCACCATCTTCAATGCACGTGCACAGCAATGGTCTCCCCTCAGAGTGAATTCCTCCAGATTTTCCACCTGGCTGAAAAGAAGGGGCTCTTCTTTGCAAACAACATGGTATCTTTATGGTAGGAGGGATGCAGGTGATAGCCTCAAGGAGACGTGTCACTTGTCCCTCCAGGAAGCACTTTGGCCATCATGGATCCCACCATCCTCCAGCCATATCCGAATTCATGACAGACACATATTTTAGATATTGTTCTCAGTTTTCTGACACACTATCTGAAAAGTGTCTTACTAATTAGCGCTGCCTGTTGGATCTATTTGTCATCTCCTCAAACAGGCTTACACTGCTCAAAATAGCAGTGGAGTGGCTTTGTACTGCATCAACTTTGCTAAGCTGGGACTGTTTCCTAGGTTTCCATTCTATGTATGGTTCCAGGGTTAGCACTAAATACTGGAAAAATTCTCACAAGATTTAATGAAGACAGAACATCCCCATGCATTCCAGCTGACTTCATTGGCCCTAGTTTGTCCTTGGAGTTCTCATTTGTCCTTGCTCACCTCCACCAACCCCCACAGTTGTGTCATGACTATCCCTTTAATAAATCCCTTGTTCTGAACAAGTGTTGGCAAGGGTGCAGACAAAAGAGAACCTTTGTACACTGTTGGTGGGAATGTAGAATGGTGGAGCCAAGACGGAAAATATTATGGAGGTTCCTGAAGAAGTTAGAAATAGAACTACCATATATGACTTAGCTATCCCTCATCTGGGCATATACCCAAAGGAAATGAAATCACCAGCTCATGAAGATATTTGCACTCTCATGTTCCTTGCAGCATTATTCACAATAGCCAAGGTATGAAAACAACACCTGCCCACCATCCAAGGAGCAACTGACATCACAGACCTGGTATATATACATATATATGTACTAATATATATATATATATATGTATGAGCATCACTATAAACACATCACACCAGCATCACTATAAACACATGAGTAATGTGTTGCTACAATGTTAAGATGGCCATGAGGTATTAAAAAATTTTCTGTTCCATTTTAATCTTGTGGGGCCACTGCCACGTACGCTGTCCCTCATTGACTGAGACATCGTTACACAGTGCATGACCGTACAGATTGAGGTTAAGGGATTACTACGGTTAGGCAGACTAACATACCTGTCATATATATATATATATATATATATATATATATATATATATATATGTGTGTGTGTGTGTGTGTGTGTGTGTGTGTGTGTGTGTGTATGTGTTGTATTTTGGTCTTTGTTTAGAAGTTTGATAATGTTTTTGTGACCACAAATATGCCATAGGAACTTCACTTTTGTTTATATCAATTAGCCTATGGGAAAATTGGTTTTGTTTTGTCATTCTGGTTAAACTCAACAGTTTCCAAGAACCTACCAACAATGTGAAGTGAGGACTTACTGGACCATGAAAAGAAATAAAAAGGAATCTTCATTCTGTATCACTTTGCATTCTCTGATCAAACCCTGACTACTTTATCCTGTCCTCAGTGTTTCGGGTCCCCCTCTTCTCCCCAACCCTAATGCTTACCCCATAGTTTCCACAACATATAACCAAGATTTTCTGGGATTCTTCTCATTTCATATAATTTTTAACAATGAAGAAGAGGCTTTTTTTTTCAGTGTATCATTAATTGTTAAATAATTTATATTCTTTTTATAAGGTTTTTCACAGAAGTGAATTAGCAATTTAGAAAATTTCCTGGCCGGGCGCGGTGGCTCAAGCCTGTAATCCCAGCACTTTGGGAGGCCGAGGCGGGCGGATCACGAGGTCAGGAGATCAAGACCATCCTGGCTAACGCGGTGAAACCCCGTCTCTACTAAAAATACAAAAAATTAGCGGGCGCCTGTAGTCCCAGCTACTTGGGAGGCTGAGGCAGGAGAATGGCGTGAACCCGGGAGGCGGAGCTTGCAGTGAGCCGAGATCGCGCCACTGCACTCCAGCCTGGGCGACAGAGCCAGACTCTGTCTCAAAAAAGAAAAAAAAAAAAAGGAAAATTTCCTTTTGGTCCACTTAATTGGAAAAGTAAGGTCACTGTACATATGTCTTCTGGTACGTGGATTAGCAAGTGCACACTCCAGAATAAATAAACAAAACAAGTCAGAGTGTTCCCCCCCTCCCGCCCCGAGAGCCCAGGTGACAGCTTCCATCTCAAATAATATGTGTTCAGATGCACAGAGGGAAAATCAGACTGGATTAAAAGGAAAACAAACAATAGGAACTGTATCAAGATCCCAGCAGAAGAAATCATTCAACTCAGGTGGTTTAGATGAAGAGAGTTTAATCACAGAGGTGCACAGGGTGAAAGGAGTAACCAGATGATGAAGACCCAGAGAGGAGCAACGGCAGGAAGCTGCTACCTCCCCTAAATCGGAAGAAACGAGAGAGGAAATGGAGCCCGGTGAGGCCTGGAGCCATGGTGAGGCCTCTACCAGAAGCGGGAGTCACAGAGTCACTGCCAGAAGCAAGGCTCAAAGCTGGGAGGGAGCATGGGGGACAGGACACCCTGGCATCCTCTGCCCTCCACCCTAATTCTCTTTCCTCCTGCCCTCCATTCTCCTGATGGAGCCTGGCTCTGATTCTACCTAACAAGAAACCAAGGCAAGGGAGCCAAGGTGATAGGATCCAAGGCTCAGACCAGGGCAGAGAGGAGGTTAGAGCAGGTCCAGTTGTGGTGAAGGAGGGGCGTGGCAAATAGTTTCATCTTTGTGCTTTGTCAACACAAAGACTAAACTAGGTCTGGGTGCGGTGGCTCATGCCTGTGATCCCAGCACTTTGGGAGGCCAAGGCGTGGATCACCTGAGGTCAGGAGTTCAGACCAGCTTGGCCAACACATTTTCCACTTATTTTCACCACAAACAGCTGTATTATCAGCATTATTATTTTTGAACTTTGTCAGTCTTGGTAACATAGAAATATTTACTTATAATTCCTTGGTGAAGTAACAGGAGTGTTGCTGTTACCGGAAAGGGGTCTGGATCCAGACCCCAAGCGAGAGTTCTTGAATCTTGTGCAAGAAAGAATTCAGGGCAAGTCCGTAAAGTGAAAGCAAGTTTATTGGGAAAGTGAAGGAATAAAAGAATGGCTACTCCATAGGCAGAGCAGCCCCGAGGGCTGCTGGTTGTCCATTTTTATGGTTATTTCTTGATGATATGCTAAACAAGGGGTGGATTATTCATGCATCCCCTTTTTAGACCTTATCGGGTAACTTCCTGTCATTGCCATGGCATTTATAAACTGTCATGGCGCTGGTGAGAGTGTAGCAGTGAGGATGGCCAGAGGTCACTCTCGCCACCGTCTTGGTTTCGGTGGGTTTTAGTCGGCTTCTTTACTGCAACCTGTTTTATCAGCAAGGTCTTTATGACCTGTACCTTGTGCTGACCTCCTGTCTCATCCTGTGACTTAGAATGCCTAACTGCCTGGGAATGTAGCCCAGCAGGTCTCAGCCTTATTTCACCCAGCCCCTCTTCAAGATGGAGTTGCTCTGGTTCAAAAGCCTCTGACACTATTGTTCTCAGGTTTTCAGTTATCCTTACCAAGCTTTCTTTCAGAAGCCTCTCTCTCAAGACGCCCTTGTGTCTTGTGACGTGAAATAGGAGGAGAGAAAGTGGAAGAAGCTGGGTGGAGAAAATGAAGGCAGGAGCCCTTCTTCTTACCAATAGAACAACTGTGGTTTAAAAAAAAGGAAATGGAATGAGAACTATGGAGGGAATTTTGCAGATAGGTTCTTAGGCTCTCTGGGACTAATGACATGGAGTGAAGGAAAATGTTTGGTCTTAGAGATGGTAAACAGGTGACTTACACAGAACAAAGAGATGTGATAAAAGAGGAAGTGTTAAGGAATTTGAATTGAGTACTGACAAAGACTGGTACTGTTGTCCTTATGCATTGGGCAAAGTGGGCTGCAGAATTGCTCGACCTTCCAGGTGAAGTTAATGTTGGCCGCTAGGTGGCAATCACATGTCTTCAATAACCGAAGACATCGCAGGCCTGAGTAACTGGCCTTCCTGGTGAGTTTCATCAGTCCATCCACTGTCAGAGAATTATAGTTTCAAAGTCTGCTTGGATGCATTTTAATATTAAATCAATTTGTGAGTGCTCATTATGATTCGTCAAAATCATGGCCCCAAGCAGCTACTGTTTTCAAAGTAAGTGATGTGTGGTTTTCCTTCCACTGTTTGGGTGTTTACACTTAGAGCTTCCTCCTACTTCTTCTCCTTAGGAACTTGACACTATTTCTGCCATAGAAATGATGTTCCAGGCAACTATTTCTTACAAAAACAATAAATAGAACAGGTCTTGGGTCTGAAACAATTGGCCAGCTGAGATTTTGTTTTGTATTCATTTGGTTTTCCTGCTTGGTAGATTTAAACAAAGCTTTCCAACATTTTACTTTCGAAGCAAGATTCACACTGAAAAAACCATGTTACAGCACAATGTTGTAGACGCTAATCTATTCTGATGGATGTGTTTTTTATAGGTCTTCATTTGATTTAATATATATTTAAAACTGAGTTTGTCTGCCTGGTGAGAGATGAAGGAAATACAAATATAATCACTTTACAAAATAAATGCCTAAGATGGGGAACACTCAGCATATAGTGTTTATATATATTCACACACCAAGAAATAATCAAATATAATGATGCCAGCATTGATCGTAGATTTTCATAGCCACATATTTCTTGAGTGGTTTGTGCTAGCAAGGGAGACCCAGAGAGTCAGATGCACTCAAGCTTTTGTAATGAGGTGGTGCAGCATCTTCAATCCCCAGGGTATCTCCTATAACTTTCTACAGGATCTGATGCCATGCTAGAGAGTTGCGAAGCTCTGAATAGCTTTGCTTACATAGAGTGTTGGGTGTTTTGAGATTTATTTTGGAAGAGAAAGGAGAGAAGTTTCTCTGAGACATAGCAGGTCATATGTGGCTGAGCCTACAGCAAGGCCAGTGAAAGTGATTATGAGTCACTCATAGCCTAGGAGTGTGTCCCAACAGATATTTCTGATTTGGCCCCAGGCCACCATCAGACTATGTTGTCTTAAGTTGTCATATCTGGTAACTGCAAAAATAAACCATTTTAGTTGTCATATAAGATATTGTCATGTAAGTATTGACCTCTTCAAATGAATAATCATCTCAAGACCTTCAAACAAGAAGTGGTTCTAAGGTTGCATATAAGCATTACATATCGATGAAAACATTGATCACAGACATATTACAGCTGAGTACCAAGTGCTACTGGAGTCACAGCAACATCAGTTCTGGATTATCAATGTTTATGTCCAAAGGGGAGATAAATTGTTGACAAGGTAGTAGTCAGGGTAAGTCAATAGTTCAGTGGGAAAGCATTAGGGACAGATCTTTTTAGCTTTACCCTCTTTACCCACCAAACACTCATTTTTAATTAGGAACAGATTCAATGTGAAGGATAGGCTCACTCATCACTGTGGTGAGACATTGTTCTCATGTCCTTCACTGCCCACACTCTTTTTATTTTTATTTTTTTATTTTTTATTTTTTTATGAGACGGAGTCTCGCTCTGTCGCCCAGGCTGGAGTAAAGTGGCACAATCATGGCTCACTGCAGCTAAGACCTCCCCCGGCTCAGGTGATCCTCTCATCTCAGCCTCCAAAGTAGCTAGGACTACAGGCACCTACCTGGCTGATTTTTCTATTTTTTTGTAGAGATGATTTTGCCTTGTTGCCCAGGCTGGTCTCAAACTCCTGGGCTCAAGAGACCTGCCCGCCTCAGCCTCCCAAAGTGCTGGGATTACAGGCGTGAGCCACACCACCCGGCCATTGCCTACACTCTTTATCCAGAGTTTATTTGGTGATTTTCACCTCATTTTTGTGCTCAGTCTTAAGATCTGATTAATGCCAAAAATAAATAATCTAATTTCAAAATAATATAAGTTCATATTACGTATAGACATGTTTGTGCACATATGCATATGATGAGCTTCACGTATACAACTATTCATACATTTATATTTTTATCATTCATATATGCATGCATGTGTGTAAGAGGACTTGGCCTTTCTTATTTAAAACTGATCATATATTAATATATATAAGAAGGACAGAGAATGGAAGGCCATACACCTCCATGTTAGCAGTAGTTATCTCACAAGGGTAGAATTACTTCCTTTGCTGATTTCTCTTCTATTCTTTTTTTGTCTGTGATTTTCATGTTTTCTGCAATAATCAAATATTACTTTTATAAATAGAAAAAACCCATAATGTAATGGTTTTGGAAAAGTGTATTTGACTTTAGTAACAAAGTAGTCTGTTCTAACAAAAAAGCAAGGTAAAATTGGTCTTAGGGCCTGACAGCTCAGGTGACCCTTAACTCACTGCTTAATTGGCACTGACTTGGCCAACATCACCTCAGTGTTTTCTCATCTGAAGCAGAGAAGATATTTGCTAAGCCCTATTCAGGGCTGTTGAGGAATCAAATGAGAAGGTTATCCGAAAGCACTTTGTGATTAGACTGCATATATAAAAACATGCTGACTTCACTGTGACAGTTGCATTTTCCGTGAACTGGCTGTGCACCTCCTGTTATAGGGAGTTCCCAGGAGCCGGGTCATGCCCGAGCCTTCCTGTGGAACTCCCCGAAGAACTTGGTCCCTCATTTGGGAACAGCAACAATCAAGAAGACCTGCCAATGTCAGAACTGGAAGAGTACCAGATTCCCAGATTTAGTTCCAACAGTCAAGAGTCAAGGTTTGTTTCATCGGATATCCTGACCATGGAATTCCACAGGAACTAGGGTGGTTGAATCAATAATAGGACACTCAGGTACATTTGAATTTCAGATACAGGTACATAACAAATAATTTTTAGTATGAGTATGTCCCAAATATTGCACAGAATTCATGTACATCAAAAAACATTTGTTGTTTATCTGAAATTCAAATTTAACTGAGTTTCCTGTCTGTATTTTTTTGTTAAATCTAGTCATCCTAATGGAAACTTTTACCCCCTCTCACTAGTTTGGTTGGTTGGTTGGTTGGTTGGTTGGTTGGTTTTTACTTATTAACTTCAGCTTCTTAATGAGAATTTAGGTTTTACAAATACAGTCGTCCTTTGGTGTGCATGGGAGATTGGTTCTAGGACCTCCCTCAGACACCAAAATCCACAGATGCGCAAGTCCTTGATACAAAATGGTGCAGTATTTGCATATAACCTATGCACAACCTCCTGTATACTTTATGTCATCTCTAGATTACTTAAGATCTCTAGATTGCTAATATAAATGCTATGTAAATAATTGTTACACTGTGTTATTTAGGAAATAATGATGAGGAAAAAAGTCTGTACATGTTTAGTACAAATGCAATTTGTTTCCAAATACTTTTTATCCATGGCTAATTGGATCCAGTCATGGAATCCACAGATACTGAGGGCCAACTGCATATGCTCAGGGCCTTTCAGATAAGGCACCCTCTGTAAGTGCACCTGACATATGCTAAACAATGATAGGCTATTGCAACAGCATCAGCAGGGCTGGCAGGGTGCTAAGGAAGCACACAGGTGACTGTTGGGGCACCCACCAGCATTCTTTCAGAACATTGTAAACGGTAGAGAGCTTCAAGGGTGACTGTCTGGGTCACATCTTGCCCTTTAATTGGCCTGGCTGTTGTGCAAAGGAAGCACCTGCAGCCATCAGCGTGTTCAACCACCAGTAGACTGGAGTCATTTTTCATTCTTGGATGTGAAATTGGCCAGGGGCAATTAAGAATTGGGAAACTAGAAAAGGCAGCCCGGTGTCAAGGAGGTCAAGATTGGGCCACAGCCTTGCTTCCCACAAGGTCTGTCTTGTCTCTGGATAGTGGGAGAGTTGAGGCAAGGGAGTCTGGAATTATTATAAAAGGCAGCTTTTCTTGAAGCAAACAGCCAGCCAGGCAGCACAGCTTCCAAGCTGAGAGTCTGAAGGGCCTGAGCCAGTGCCCCTTCCCAACAAGCCAGATACCCCGAGGCCCCACCACTGGCCTCACACTCTGGGGACGCCTAAGCATTTCAATTAGACTATAGCATTCTCTGTCCTCTGCTAAATTCATTACCAAAAGAAAACAGAATCGAGGATAAAAGAAGAGACATGGTGGCAAGTCAGGAGTCCTGGCCATGTGGACTTAGTCATGGCTTCACTCCTCTGAACTTCAGTTTCTTCATTTATAAATTAAAAGGTAGAACTCCATGATTGCTGAGGTTACATCCAACTCTATAATGCTGGTGTATAAGGGAGATGCAGGATCAATAAGCTTTGGTAAGGAAACAGATTTTCTCACAGCTTAGAATATCAGACTCTGTTCAGGATTCTAGATTTGTTTTAGAATGGGGCCCTAGGTTGCCAAGGGGGTACAGTGAGACCACCTGGGAGTAGCTGGAGAAACAAGAATAAGGAAGGGGCCAACACCTCTGCGACTTACCACTGACACTCTTCATTCCACTCCTGATAAGGCCCAGCTCTTAAAGATAAGGCCATTGTGGCCCAGCGCAGTGGCTCACGCCTATAATCCCAGCACTTTGGGAGGTCGAGGCGGGCAGATCACTTGAGGCCAGAAGTTCAAGACGAGCCTGGCCAACATGGCAAAACCTCATCTCAACTAAAAATACAAAAATTAGCTGGACATAGTGGCTAATTTTTGTGGTCCCAGCTACTTTGGAGGCTGAGGCAGGAGAATCACTTGAACCCGGGAGGTGGAGGTTGCAGTGAACTGAGATCTTGCCACTGCACTCTGTCTCCAAAAAAAGAAAAGATAAGCCCATTGTCCTATATGGGAGAAACTGATTGCAAATTCAATGACCATTTATTGTGTTCTTTTTCCAAGCCAGGAAAAGTCTAGGCTACTAGAGAATAAATTGTAAATAGTTGCTAGTCTGTGCTGAGTTTCCTTTATTCATTACTAATTCAATTAATGTTTATTGAGCATCTGCTCCATATCAGGACTATTCTAAGCTCTGAAGATGCTGTATTGGAAGCCTTTCCCCATCCACCAGCAGAATATGAGGAAATAGTCTGCAAAATGTAACTGCTTCTCCAGCTGCTAATTGCACAAAAGCAGGTACCGTGTTACTCTGAGGTTTAGTTCTACCTTGTTCCCGGTCTTCATTGACCCATCTTGTTTTGAATAATCATGAGAGAAGCAAGGAGAATGTTATTAGCTGAGTTGTGTCACCCCAAAATTCATATGTTGAAGTTCTAATCCCCAGTATCTCATTTGCAGATGGGGTCTTTGCGGATGATTAAGTTCAGATGAGGTCATGGGGGTAGGCCCTAATCCAATACGATTGTGTCCTTATGAAAAGGGAAAATTGGACACAGAGACAGACATGAAGTTGGAGAGAGCACCATGTAAAGATGAAGGCAGGAATCGGGACAATTTTCAAGCCAAGAAACACCCAAGATTGCCAGGAAACCAGCAGAAGCTAGAAGGAAGACATGGAACAGAATCTCCTTCACAGTCTTCAGAAGGAGCCACCCCTGCCAACATCTGGATGATCTTGGACTTCAAGCTTCCAGAGCTGTTCAAGCCTCCGAACAATACATTTCTGTTGATTAAGCCATGTAGTTTGTGGCACTTTATTATAGTAGCCCTAAGAAATGAATACAGGGCCAGGTATGGTGGCTCACACCTGTAATCTCTGCACTTTGGGAGGCTGAGGCAGGAGGATCACTTGAGACCAGCCTGGGCAACATAATGAGACCCTGTCCCTACTAAAAAATTTTAAAACAAAAATTAGCCAGATGTGGTGGCACATGTAGTCCCAGCTACTCAGGAGGCTGAGATGGGAGGATCACTTGAGCCAGAGAGGTCAAGGCTGCAGTGAGCCGTGATCGCACAACTACACGCCAGCCTCCATGACAGAGAGAGACTCTGTTTAAAAAAATAATAATAAAAGAAACAAATATAAAGAGCTTTGGTCATACTGTGCTACTCTCATTGCTTAGGCTACAAGTGGGTATAGTGTCCCATGGCAACTTCAGGATGCAAGGCCTATAATGCTCTAGGGCCAGGGCCCAGAACCTTTTGAAGAGTTGCCAAGAGCAAGTCAGGGCCTAAGGAACTGCCTAGGGCTAGAGTTCTGGGGCCAGCCTGTTCTTCACACCAGCCGGCTCTGACTTCTCACAGGGCCCAGTGACTTTCTTCATGCCCTCCCCTTGCTCCTCATGGATGTAGGAGGGCCTGTCCTTGGGCCTCTCCAGCACCTCCCAGCCCAGCCCAGGCCACGGCCCCACTCCACCTCTGTTTTGAGGACTAACTTTCATTTTTCATTGCATGTTCTTCTGACCTCTAATTTTTGGCCCAATCCGGATTTTGCCTTTGGCTCTCTAGATTAGACACAGAGCTCATGGAGGCTGTGCTGCAATTTGAACCAGGGATAGGACAAGAATGTCAGAGGCTGTTTAGGGATCGTGGAGTGGGGGAGGGTTATAGAGAAAGAATGCATTTGGCTCAGATCATATTAAAAAATCAAAACAACTCATACTTTGAGTTTCCCAAGTGCTTTGGTGTATATTGCCCTTGAGCTATACAATGCAGCCCCTGGGGGACAGTTAAGATGGGTGTCCTTATTATTTTATTTACATCTCCATGTTAAAAATGAAGGAACTGAGGCTCACCCAGGTTACACAACTTGACTGAAATCACACAGTCCATGCGGGAGCCAGCATTTGGTTTTAAGTACAAGTTCTTTCTGCTCTGCCACGCTCTCCCCGCATAGATCAGCGCTCAGAAGCTAAAGGAGGATGCAGAGCCTGGACTGAGAGGACACAGGCAGACGCAGACCAGACATACTGACTTGGCTCTCCCTCCTCAGCAAGTAGCAACTGGCCAAATACCACACACGAATAACAAACACCTTGCATTTATATAACACCTCACAATTGACAGTGCTTTTACAAGCATTGTCTCATTCCATCCTCACAAATAAACCCATGAGGTAAGCAGGATGAACTCGGTTATTCTTTTTTTTTTTTTTTTTTTTTTGAGACAGGGTCTCACTCTGTCGCCCAGGCTGCTGTGGCGCAATCACAGCTCACTGCAGCCTCGACCTCCCGGGCTCAGGTAATCCTCCCACCTCAGACTCCCTGAATAGCTGGGAGTATAGATGTGCACCACCACACCTGGCTAATTTTTGTATATTTTGTGGAGATGGGTTTTTGCCATGTTGCTGAGACTGGTCTTGAACTCCTGGGCTGAAACAATCCACTCACTTCCATCTCCCAAAGTGCTGGGATGACAAGTGTGAGCCACCGCACCCGGCAAACCTGGTTATTCTTATTTTAAGATGAAGCAACTAAGGAAAGGCAGGTTAAACTCCTGGCCCATAGTCACAAAGTCAGGAGAAGTGGGACTCAAACCCAGTGTTTCTCTTTAAGTCCATCTTCTTTCTTACTTCTCAGGAAGAGAGTACAATCCAGGGACCGCAAATACTTGGCACGCATACAGTCTTATCTTTTCCCACACCCAAGACAGACATTACTAATTGATCACAGCATTTTAGCCCAGATTTGGCCTCAGGATCCTCAGTATAGTTCTCTGGGCAGCCCTTGTCAGCCAGAACAGACAAGCAAGATGAAGACCTTTTCCAGCCTGCTCTAAGCAGTACCTATAACTGGCTCAAGTCACAGATACCAAGTGTACAAATCCATCTGATTAGAAATCTGGCTAAAAATAAGAAGGACAAAACAGACGCTGGGGTCTACTTGATGGGGGAGGGTGAAAGGAGGGAGAGCAACAGAAAAGATAACTATTGGGTACTAGGCTTAAAATCTGGGTGATGAAATAATCTGTACAACAGACCCGCATGACATGTGTTTACCTATGTAACATGCCTTCACATGTACCCCCAAACCTAAAATAAAATTTAAAATAATAGTAATAAAAATAATTTTCATAATGAGATGAAGAATCAGCTAAATCAAATAATATTTTTAAAACTCATTTTATTCATTAATTATACAATACATGTTAAACACACATATAGTTATAAAGTATATAACATAAGGAAATATGGTTCAAGATCTAAGAAGAGCCTAAATTTGTTTTCTCCTACCTGTTAATTTACAACCAGCACAAAAATAATAATAGCTAACATTGGCTGGGTGCAGTGGCTCAGGCCTGTAATCCCAGCACTTTGGGAGGCCAAGGCGGGTGGATCACTTGAGGTTAGGAGTTCAAGACCAGCCTGACCAACATGGCGAAGCCCTGTCTTTACTAAAAATACAAAAATCAGCCATGCATGGTGGCAGGCACTTGTAGTCCCAGCTATTCAGGAGGCCGAGGCAGGAAAATCGCTTGAATCTGGGAGGTGGAGGTTGCAGTGAACTGAGACTGCACCACTGCACTGCAGACTGGGCAACAGAGCAAGACTGCATCTCAAAAAAATAAAATAAATAAATAGTAATAATAAAAATAGCTAACATATTTTTGAGTACTTACTCTGTGTCAGGTGCTATATTAAGTACGTCTTCTGCATTTCCCTAAAAAGTAGATCTGATTCTTCACATTTTAGAGATACGGGAATTGAGGCTTTGAGGACTTAGGAAACTTGCCAGATGCAACCTTATACTGCTGAATTCCACGAATCTTGCTGCCTCATTACACTGTCTCCCAGGCTGCAGACCAGCACTTTCTTGATTCTTTGTAAAGGGAAACATGTCTTACTTTTCCAAATCCTTGAAATCAACTGCTTGGATAGGGAAGAAAACAATAAGGGATGTAGATACCAACAGTAAAATTGTCGAGCAAAGCAGGCTCCACGAGGCGTGGCCAATGGGCAGCTGTTGGCAGTGGCGGATGGGGGTTGTACAATATGAACAGGGCTTGGACATGTGAACCAGAGTGTCCACATGTGTAGGCAAAAAGGCCTTAGCTGTGCAGGACAGCAAGACAATGGTGGAAAGAGACTGGGCTGGAGACTAGCTCTCCCCACAATGCTGCACTCTGACATGGACTTCAGAGGGGTCCACGAAGCTAAATTTGACCCTGGATTTGTACATTTGGTCTCTATGGCCTGAGCCAGTTATAGGCACTGCTGAGAGCAGGCTGGAAAAGGTCTTCATCTTGCTTTTCTCTTCTGGCTGACAAGGGCTGCCCGGAGAACTATATCGAAGAGGATCCTGAGGCCAAATCTGGACAAAATGCTGTGATTAATTAGTAATGTCTGTCCTCGGTGCAGGGGTGGAGGGTATGATAGGACAGTATGTGTGCTAAGTGTTTGCCTTCCCTGGAAGTCCACATTGTTATGAAGGTATATTTGTCAAAGTAAAAGGGTGTGATATACCTTATTGAGCAGTTTGTAGCTTGGTTTGTAACTTTCAGCTGTCGAGATATATGGTAAGTTGGCCTCCATTTGTACTTCTGTGCCTTTCCCTGCATTTGTTAGAAGTGGGTCTAGTGAAAACCAGGCTTTCCTGCTTCTGCTGTTTTTGCTGCTCCTGCAAGCAGGCCACTCATGGAGGTGTCTGTTGTCCTGTGGTGGTGGGAGAAGTTCTAGCCTCTGACTACTAGTTTTCTGAGTGTGAGAGTGTGTGTCATACATTCATTTTAGTAATGCCAATTGCAGCAGGTGCAGCAAGGGTCGGAGTGGCAGCAGCCTCCAGACCATAGGAGCCTCCTGATCTTACCAATGGCAGGGGCCTCCAGGGCCAGCCCCCTAGTTTGGAAGGCAGCCTCCCTAATGCAGAAGAAACCATGGCTTCTTTGGGGGCCTGATTCTTTGGTGTCACTTAGGGAGTTGTTCCTGAAAGCTTAAGTTCGAATCTGCTTCTTCAGCCTTCTCGATGATTCTATAAGGCATATAAATACCTGAAATAAATCCTTTCTATATAAAACTACTAGAGTGGATTCTGTTCTAGGCAACTGACCAGCACAGGGCACTTAGCCTCCCCTCCAGGAACAAGGGAGACTCTGGTGACCTAGGAAAATCACTTTTGAATGCATTCTAGGGCCTTGTCACTCCATTGAACTTACTGTCTTTGGTAAGGTTTTCTCCGTTTTTATTCTGTACCTGGGTTCAACCTCTCTACTACGGACTGAATTCCTAAAATTCATATGCTAAGCTCTATCCTCCAATGTGATAGTGTTTAGAGAGAGCCTTTGGGAGGGGTTACATGAGACCATAAGTGTAGGGCCCTTATAATGGGATTAGAGCCCTCATAAAAAGAGACACCAGACAGCTTGCTTTCTCACTCTCCAACCATGTAAGGGCATAGCAAGAAGGCAGCCATCTACAAGCCAGGAAAAGTAGCCTTACCAGGAACTAACCAGACTGGCACCTTGACTTCCCATTCTCCTAAACAGTAAGACGTAAATTTCAGTTGTTTAAGCCAACTAGTCTATGGTATTTTGTCATAGCAGCCCAAGCTGACTAAGACACTCTGATCCTCCTTCGGATCATCGACCCCCCTCTTCCCCATCTGCCTGACTTGTATAGATGTAGTTCTGGAGCACTGTCACTCAGGTCTTCCTTGGACCATCAGAGTCCAAGGGCCAATATCGACACCACCCACCCCAGCCTGAGCTTTAAGAAACCTCAAGTCTAGCAGCTCTCCAAGCCCAGCTGTCTCAGACAAAGAAGCTGACAAACATATGTTGAGACTCTCTATGCAGCACAGTTTGGTGAGAGCTATTTGATAATGGTGCATTGGGATTGTACAGGAAGAGAGGGCAGGAAGAACAACAGAAATAGTCTTGACCTTGTTGTCCACCTTAAGTATTGAGAATGGCACTCATCAAAATTCAGAGAGAATGAAAAGCAAACAGAAAGTGTTCCTTGGTTTTCAAGTTCTTATACAGTTTTTCTAAGAGTCTTTCAAGGGCTTGAGTGAAATCAAGTAGTTTCATTTTACTACAAGTTCTTGCAAGACAATCTCCAAATTCCAGTGGCCTGGTTTTACCCACTCTCTCCTCTCCAAGTTTGAATGCTCCTGTACAGACTTACTGCAATTTCACTTGAAGTCATTTCTGTCTCATCCAGTTTCATCTCCCAGCTCATGAGCTCATGGGTTTTGCATGATTTCAATATGAAGTCATCAGCCAGGCCCAGCTTCCTGTACAGACTTTAAACCCTTAGGATGCTTTGAATAAACTAGATGTAAGCCCCACAGTTTGCACTGAAACATGAAACCCAGAGTTTCTCCCAGGTTCTCTCATATATGTGTATATTACATGGTTCACATCTTTCTCTGTTTCTTAAACACTGAAACCTTCCATCCTGCCTCTCCTCTTGTCGGCACGTGCACTTACCTTCTCGCAGGAGGAGGAGGCCCAGAAGGAACTCAGAGGAGTCAAGTGGTCAAAGCTCAGGAAATACTAGAGCTCTCTGTTTTACACAGAATTATGTAAGTACATGTTGGAACTAAAGCAACACTGAGCTTCTGGAAGATGAAGAAAAAGAAAATTCCATTCTAAGTCAACTGCATAAATAATGGAAAATTATATATACTTCAAGTATCCATTAATAGAGTCCACATTCTGAAATCAAGCCAAAACGTGTGGGCCTGGAACTCTGGAATGCATATTGACTGAACATTCCTTATTTCCAAAGTCATAGCCAACAACAAAAATCACATTGTGGTATCAGAGCCTCCATTCTTTCTCAAATACTCATGTGTTCTTTTTGAGCAATGGCCATAAAAGAGTTTATAAAACAACAGCAACAACAACATGAAAGTCATGATAATGACAACTTGAATTTATAGTCTGAGTTTTAAAAATAAGACAAAAACAATTTGATCATATGTAAAAATCTACATAACTCTCTCTAATTTGATTCAAACAAGTATTATTCATTGAGATCCTATTATGCCCCCACTACTGTGCTAAGTTCTAAGAAATATGATAAAACTATATTAAATAATTTCTTTTCTCATAGAGTAACAGAAGCAAATATTGAATGTGTGAGATAATTGGAGAACAACCAAGGGAAAATAATCTGAGCCATGTTGCTGCCATTAAACCTGATAGGTAGTCAACAATAGAAAGATCAGAGAAGGTTAACAGGTAGAAAAGTATTAATTCAAGACAAAGTCATCAAAATAGTCCTTGATGCCTGGAAAAGGTCTGGGAGGTTTCTGTTCTAGTGCTAATGTAGATGACTTTGATCTGAAAGGGGATAAATCTAAATACAACTTTTCCCAAGGAGAGTTTAGAAAATGGCCAAATGGAAAGGACTACTCAGAACTCATCACCTTGATAGATTAAAGCTGCTCCAGGTCTGGAAAGCCTCCAGAGGAGCAGACTAAATCACGTAGAAAAGCTGAAGGGAAAGCCAGTGTGGGTGATTAGCCATGGCAAAGTACCAGATCCAGTTTATCAGCCACCTTATCCTTGCTCTCTGCCTCCATTTGGAGGAGATGCTGTTAGGAAGAATGTAAGAGGCTAGGCTGAGGAAGGTAAAAAAAAATCTGGTTGTGAGAAGTAAGCAATATATGAGAAGTCTGGGTGGATATATACCATTTAAAACAACTTCTTCACTACTCTTACAGACATTAAGAAGTCTAAAATGGAATGACTTCCTTCCTCCATAGTCTTCCAAATCTGGTCATCTTTCTATGTTGCTGATTTTATTCAATGCCACTTTCATTACTCTAGCCACTTTGAAAGGAAATTTCCCTCTTCACTTGTGGGAGGGAAGAAACATTTCTTTCATTAACTGTGTTCAGTGACTGGGACCTGTGAATTAAACTGACAAAAGACAGATTAACAGGAGAAAAAGTTTATTTACACTTGCAATGTACATACATACTGGAGTGCTCAGTGATGAATAACTCAAAAGTGTGGTTAGAGCTTGGAGCTTATATACCTAATTTAGTCAGTAGGGGAAAGGTAGGGAAGAGAAATGGCTCCTATGGGAAGAAAAATAGGTTTCTTTAGGAAAGACAAATGAGTTCTTTAGAAGAACAAATAGGAGATAAGAAAGTTTGAGCATAAAGTTTATACATGTATGAGTGTTCTTTCCATCTTCAGGGACATAAAAATTCCTCAAAGAGAAAGTTTATGCAGATTTACTCTTAGTCACTCTTCTGGGGACAGACCAAACTCAAGAGTATTTATAACAGTCTTTATTTCTCAGAAATTTTTGCATATATTCAGATAAGGACAGAACCAAAAGACTTCTTTCTGTATCTGTTGAATCTCAAAAGTCTTCAGCTTAAAATAATCTTTATACCAACTCTGGCGTTCCAAGGACGCCCCCACACCTGCATCTCTGCTTTCAGTCCATGGCCAAATCTTCTGCTAAAACTACGAGTTTCTGAAGAATTGTATTAATCATTTTTGTTCCCAGAATCTAGAGTAGTGCTGGTACATGGCTTATCCATTCATGAAATACTTTTGAATGAATTAGTAAATAAACAGAGTATTTTTTTCCTTATATTTGCAAAAGAGCAACAAACAAAAACCATGATACCTACTAGAGGCTAATTCCCTAACAAAGATACATCTTGAGTCCTGATCTGTCTCCTGAGATACCCACCTGTATTCTCAACTTTTTATGAGGCATTTCCACCAGAAGGTTTCATAGGCATCTCAAATTCAACATTTCCCACAAAGAACCCCATTGTCTTTCCTGCTCTTCATATATTTTCTAATTGAGTAAACAATGTTACTCAACTACCCAAGCTATATAAATGTTACTTGTCATTGACTCCCTCTTTCTCACCCCTTATCATCACCCCTTATCATCACCCCTTAGTGAATTATCATTTTAGAGGTAGAGTGAATCTACCTCTAACATATCTCTGGAATGAGCATAGAAGTTTCCTCAAAAATTAAAAATAAAATTATTATATGATCCAGCAATTCCATTTCTGAGTATATGTCCAAAAGAATTGAAAACTGAATCTTAAAGAAATATTTGCACACCCATGTTCAATGCACTCATAACAGCCAAGAGGCAAGAGAAACCTGAATGTCCATCAACAGATAAATGGATAAAGAAAATGTGGTGTGTACATATGATGGAATATTACACAGCTTTTAAATAAAGGGAAATTTTGTCACATGCTGCAACCTAGAGGATATTATGCTAAGCAAAATAAGCCGGTCACAGAAGGACAAATACTGTACGATTCCACATATATGAAGTATCGAATTTAATCTAAATCATATAGAAAAGTGGTTACCAAGAGCTGGGGAAAGGAGAAAGGGGAAATTCGTGTTTTTTAGTGGGCACAGAGTTTCAGTATTGCAAGATGAAAAAAATCCTAGAGATCTTTTGCACAACAGTGTGAATACATAACAAATTAATTGTACACTTAAAAATAGTTAAGATGGTACATTTAGTAAGGTATGTTTTTTACTACAAGGTTTTTATTTAACGGCAGCAGGGCTTATAAATTAGCCTGAAGACATCTCATTGAGCCTGTTCTATTCTTGTTGAGCTAAATAACAGCTACTAAAGAAGTAATCAGTTATAGATTGATCCAGATAAAGTCAGCCTATTTTAGATGGCTGATGTTTAAGGATGCCACCTAAAATAGGCTGACTAAATGAACACCATTTTTTTCATTCTTGCCCCAGTGGGGCATTGCCAGCCAGGGGTCCCTGCAATGTCACTTTGCAAGCCAGGGACCCCTGACTGACAACGCCCCACTGGGGCCTCACTCAGCCATCCTGACATACCCCAGCACACCTGTGTTATAGCTTATACCTGCGTTCTGCTGTTCCCGAGCTCTTGTACTGTGCCCAAGAAGAATGAGGATGCACAGGACATTGGAGGGTGAGGAGGGTGGAGAATAATTTTATTGAGTGATGAAAACAGCTTTCAGTGGAGAGGGGACAGGGTGATGGCTCCCCCATGTGGCTGGGTCTGGAGCCTTTTATGGACTCAGAATGGGGAGTGCATGCTGATTGGTCTGTGAGTATGCAAAAAAGTTTAAAGCAAAGACACCACTTAAAGGTGAGCAAGAAAGTGTACAAAAACCAGTTAGGAAAGAGTAGGTATATGTAAAATAGGTGAAGGGTGGGGACCAATCAGAGGAAAACATGCCAAATGGGAAGACAAGTTCCCAATCTGGTCAGAGGATTTAACTTGCAGCTTGGCTTTCAGGCTTTAAACTGTCTTCGGCTTGAAGGTGGGGTTTTGCCATGGGCCCACCCCTATCTGCCTAGGCATTTGTCTGCCTCTATCAATGTCAGAATGAAGACTGGGAGACCTGCTGCTCCTTCCATTGGTAAGAGGACAGTAACAGTGTTTTTTCACTCCTACAGCTTCTATTTATCTCTATATTGGTTTTGTTTTGGAAGGGTAAGAACTGGTTTTCTTTTTATTTTTTCTACAGTGAAAATATTTTTAAAAATTTTTAATATAAATGACTCATGTAAAAACACTCAAATGATACCATTTAATTTTTATCCTGATGACATAATCAGAAACCTTCTGGACCAGTCATTTTGCTTCCTTCCATCGTTTCTTATGAACAATATATACTAGCTTTCACCCTCATTCCTCCTAAGAAAGCAATTACACAAAGCTAGTATTACAAGAAAGCAATGTGAAGTATAGCTATTTTAAAAAACAAGGAAATTTTTGGGGGGGTGATGTGGGAATTACCTAGCAAATTTTGATGAACCCTAGGGATGCTGCTGGTCAACTAGACCCAGCAAAACAAAATACACTCTTCAATTACATCTATGTGTCTTGGCTTCAAGGAAAAGAGAATGGGTTTTGGTAATTGCAGTGTTTTGCTTTGGTTTTTTGTTTGTTTGAGATTTTTTGTTTGTGTTTGGTTTTTTGTTTTTTTACAAATTTGTAACATTTTTGAGATTGTTTTCTAAAACAAAAGCAGACCCAAAAAACCCACTAGATTTTTGTTCTCAGTTCCAGGGAAAAAAAGTCAGCCTACCCTCAATTTGAACCTGTATCCATGGGGTCATAATTAAATGCCTCAGAAGAACTTAAAATCATCAGAAAACATCTAATCATATTGTGACATGTCCAGCTACACATACTAGAATGTGGCTGGGCAGCAGTTTGACATTTTTGAAATGGCATCCGTAAAGGATAGGAAGGAAGTGCTGAGTAAGCACCAGGAGGAAAGTAATAAGGAAGGAGATTATTTTCTTTTCATCATATACCTGGGTCCAGGTGCTCAAAAACTATACACAGAATGAACTTGAAATTGTAACTGGAAGAATTCAACAAGGTCTCTAAAACATCCTGGAGACATGTAGGATGCTGCTTTGACCAGATGGAAGGAGCTAGGAGGAGGAAGTTAATTACATTTGTGGGCAGTGGCTGAGGCTTTATTGTAGTGGTAACGTATGAGAGAAGTCTTGAAAGAAAGAGAAGGATTTTGAGGGGCAGGGAAGTGAGGAAAAGACCTAAGGATGCAGGATGAGACCTTTACAGCTGCAAAGATGGACTGGGTTTCCAGTTTGTTTGCCAGACAAGGAGAAGATAATTGATATGGTTTGGCTGCGTCCCTGCCCAATCTCATCTTGAAATGTAGCTCCCATAATTCCCATGTGTTGTGGGGGGGACCCAGTGGGATATGACTGAATCATGGAGGCAGTTTCCCACATAGTGTTTTCATGGTAGTGAATAAGTCTCACAAGATCTGATGGTTTTATAAGAGGTTTCCCCTTTTGCTTGGCTCTCATTTGCTCTTGCCTGCCCTGTGTAAGACGTAACTTTCGCCTTCCATCATGATTGTGAGGCGTCTCCAGCCATATGGAACTGTGAGTTCACTAAACCTCTTTTTGTTTATAAATTACCCATTCTTGGATATGTCTTTATCAGCAACGTGAGAATGGACTAATACAATAATGCAGGGGTTTGTGTATGAGGGAAACACTCAGACTCCTCATATTTTTAGACCAATAATACAACACAACAACAAACAGCATAGAGGATGATCTGGAGAGGGAGTGGAAAAAATGGGTTATAAAGTTAATGCAGTGAACTGTGGCAGAGACCAAAGGGACAGAAAGGAGGATGGCATGATCTATACCTTCTAAAGTGTTCCATAACACAGATTAATTCTGTTTATATGAAGCTAAACAAAATTTTCTTCTGTTAACTAAAAAAAAAAAAAAAAAAAAAGAGAGAGAGAGAGAAAGAAAAGGAAAAGCTTTTATATGCTATAACTTGATTGCTTATAGAAGTTGCAACGTAAAAACAGAAAATAAACGTATGCAGACCCCAAAGTAGGAACAAGCACTTTTTTCACCTTGGAGCAATTGCTGCCCCTGTCCACTGCCAACTCCCTGCCCGACCACCCACTTCTCAAATGACACCTTTTGTTTCTGGACCTGCCCCCACTGCCATGCATGGAACAGAAACCAGGGAAATTCTTTCCCCACAAGAGCAGGAGGGACCAGAGGAGGTCACATTTAACACCACATTGCAGGAACAGAATTTACCCCTACGTTGCAAGAACAGAAAACAATGTCACTGGCGTGCTGAATTTTAACTCAAAATATATTTATTTCCCTCCTCCACTCCCACTCCTCAAAGAACCAGTGGGATATATATTAGTTCTGTTCTAGATTACTACTTATGGACTATTTCATTGCTTTATAAAAGTCGTTAGGCTCTCTTTCTAGCGTGTTGAAAGGGTTAATAGGGGTTGCTTCAATGGCTAGAAAAAGGTATGCAATTCAAATAACTGCTTTCCAAAAGAACTTCTAACATGTACCCGGTGTATATGGTGGTGGTAATACCACAGGCTTTCTGGGTCAGGCCCACTTTGCCACTTCTCCATTTAAGCCCGTTACTTAACCTCTCTGTGCTGTTTCCTCCTGGGTAAGTGAGGGTGATGGCAGTACCTCCCCCAAAAGGTTATTAGGAAAATTAAGCAGGTTAATACTGTATATGTAAAACACATGAAACAATGTCTGGTGCAGAGTTAAGTGCTTAATAAGCATTAGTGATGACCATGATGCAGCAAAATTCATTTCTTTTTTCCAAAATGAAAAGAAGAATGAGGTAAGAGAAACTCTTAGCAGGGTGGTGGTGCTAATGCTGTAGACACAGGATCCTAGGAGGTAAGGGGGAAAGAGAATCACCACTGCATTCACAGACAGCCCTCGTGGTCTCAAAATGGGGCAGCCCTTGGGCAGGGACACCGGGTGGACGATTTGGTACCACAGATGTACAAGACTCCATGATGCGTAAACTATAGATTGGTGTTTTCACTGGGGGACAAACCTAACACTACACATACAGGCATACCACAAAGACCCTCCTTCCCAGCAGAAAGAATATATGTGAGATATTCCAGGTTGCTTAAATGGGAGAGTTAAGAGAAAGAACAATTCTCCAAATTAATGGCCAATCTTCCCATGGAGCTAGGAGACAAAGAGCCATTCGCCTGCCTCACTTATGTTAAGATGAGGCATCCACCTTGTAACTCATGAGTCTCCCAGTTGTGTAACCACCCCATGGGTTCTTCTTGCCTGCTGCCCAGGTAAAGCCAATTTATCAAGACACGGGGGGTTGCAATAGAGGAAGAGCTGGCTAAACAGGTGACAGGTTTTATTATTACTCAAATCAGCCTCCCCAGAGGCCAGAGGTTTTTAAAGATAGTTTGGTGGGCAGGGGGCAAGGGAAGGGAGACAGCTGATTGGTTGGGTCTGGGATAAAATCATAGGGAGTTGAAGCTGTCCTCTGGCATTGAGTGAGTTTCTGGGTGGGGGGCCACAAGACCAAATGAGCCTGTTTACCAGACTGGGAAAAATACCTCAAACACCAATCTTAGGTTTGACAATAGTAATGTTGTCTATAGGAACAACTTAGGAGGTTACTGATCTTGTGGCATCTGGCTGCTTGACTCCTGAACCATAATTTCTAATCTTGTGGATAATTTGTTAGTTTCACAAAGGAGGTCTTGTCCCCAGGCAAGGAAGGGTTTTGTTTTGGGGCAGGCTGTTATCTTTGTTTCAAAGTTAAACTATAAACTAAATTCCTCCCAAAGTTAGCTCTGCCTACGCCCAGGAATAAACAAGGGCAGCTTGAAGGTTAAAAGCAAGATGGAGTTGGTTAGGTCAAAACTCTTTCAGTGTCATAATTTTCTCACTGTTAAACAAGTTTTGCAAAGGTGGTTTTACTTGGAGCCTACTCTCAGTGAAAACTGAAAATGTTTTCCATACCCCAGCAATCTTTAGTGCAATGTTTCCTAAATAATTAATAAAATTAACTTTCTGAAAGGTAGAGGATAACAATTATAGAAATATTGAAGCTGCTTGTATAGAAGCACATAGAATCTTCTAACTAGAAGGAAACTGAGTAATCCTTTTTGTGTGCGTGTGGACTAAAGTAATTTTTTTAGCAGAGCCCTTTATTTCAAACAAAATTCTTCTTGGAATCTTACACATAAAACAGATTTTAAAAACAACTAGTGTGGCGCAGCAGTGCTGTACGAAGGTAGGGGTCGGCGGGATCAATCCACCTGAATTATCTGCCCAGGTCATAGGCAATAGGGGAGTGCATTATTTGTAGAGAATTGAAAAAAAAAGAAAAAGCCAAGCAAGAGTGAGTCTGATTTGTATTACCACCATGCACTCAGTTTTAAATGGTGTCAGTGGTAGAATATTCCCCTCCACCAGGGTAGACCACTTGGTAGTTATGGGGTAGAGTAAATGTGAAGTGGGGCAAGTGTGTGATTATAACCACCCAATGGGTTCATCTTGCCCACTGCTTAGATAGAGCTGATTTACCAAGATAGGGGAATTCCAACAGAGAAAGAGTAATTCACACAGAACTGGCTGTGCAGGAGACAGGAGTTTTATTATTACTCAAATCAGTCTTCCTCAGCATTCGAGGATCAGAGTTTTTAAGGACAACTTGGTGGGTAGAGGTGAAGCCAGTGAGCTGGGAGTGCTGATTGGTCAGGTGAGAGATGAAATCATAGGGAGTTGAAGCTGTCTTCTTGCACTGAATCAGTTCCTGGGTGGGGGCCACAAGATCAGATGAGCCAGTTTATCAATATGGGTGGTGCCAACTGATCCATCAAGTGCAGGGTTTGCAAAATATCTCATGCTGTGTGTTTCATGATCTGCCAGTTTATCTCCCAACCATGGTCCCCAGGGGGTCCATGGAATGTATTTTGAAAACCACCAATCTAGCCCACTCTGCTCACCTTTGAAACCTAGAAAAGTTAAGTGACTTCCAATGTCACCAAGGTAAAGCAACTCATACAAGTAAAATTAGAATCCAGGCTCCATGCTTTCTGTGTGTCTACTTCCCAAAGCTACTGTAGGGACCAAGGGAAAACTTCCCCTTTGCCCTCTTGCAGGTTCACTGAAAACCATCTGACAAAAGGCAGATTCATAGGAGAAAAGAGTCATAAAAAATGTCTTTAATGTGCACATGTAGGAGTCATACAAAATATGAAAACTTGGCTGGGCATGTTGGCTCACACCTGTAATCCAAATACTTTGGGAGGTTGAAGTGGGAGGACTGCTTGAGCCCAGGAGTTTGAGACCAGCCTGGGCAACATAGTGAGACCCCATATCTAAACAATAAATAAATGAGCTGGGAAGGGTGGCACACACCTGTAGTCCCAGTTACTCAGGAGGCTGAGGTGGGAGAATCCCTTGAGCCTGGGAGGTTGAGGCTTCAGTGAGTCATGTCATGCCTCTGAACTCTAGCCTGGACAAGAGAGCAAGACCCTGTCTCTGAAAAAAAAATTAAAAGAAATATGAAAACTTAAGGAAAGGGCCTGACGATTGATGCTTTTATACCATCTTGAAGTTACAGAAAGAATAGAGGCTCAGAGCATGGCAAGACAGGTTATGGGAGGGAGAGAAAAGAAGATAAGGTAAGCAAGGGTGATCTTGTTATGCAGATGAAAGTCACAGGTAACACATACCAGAAAGAAGAGACGCAGCCTGTGGTTAAGTCTAGATCCGGACAGGCCCTCCGACAAAGCCTGGATGTTTATTTTGCTAATGTAGATTTTTCTTTACAGATGCAAATCTCCTCCACAAAAGGCAGGTTTTCAGGGTTATTCCAGTTTGAAACCCTCTGGAAAAACATCTCAAAAGATGTCAATGAAGTATATTTTAGGTTGAAATATTTTTGGTTTCCCTTACCACCACCTTGTTTCTCAGTCTCCCTGCTTGATTCCCTAGTGTTAAGGGTTGAGTTGTGTCCCCTAAGATTTGAAGCCATTGTCACGGAGTTAACAAGAATTACAGACAGAAATATAGTTTATAATTAAGCATTAATCAGGCTGAGAGAAGAAAAAGGAAGAAACCAGTCAGGCAGGCAGTTAGGGTGAGTCCTCAGTTGAATTCTTTCAAACAAAACAACAGCCTGAAAAATTGAGCTGCAGACACAGATAAGGAAATTTGCACAGGGGGCCTTGGCTAAGATATGCCCCCAGCCACACAGAAAAGAAAGGCTACACAGATGCCCACATATGCCCACAATGGAAAATTCCATCCCCTGACACATGGCCAGTAAGGGGAACAAAGCAATATGGAGTAACTCAAGATAAGGGCCTGCATGCGCACTGGGAGGACTGAGTGGAGCTACCAGAAATTTGCAACTTATGCAAATGAGACATGCAACCCTCATCAGTTTCTTATAAAAGCCTTTTCATTCAACTGTAAAAATGGCAACCTCTTTCAAGCCCCCTCTTCGCAGTGGAGAGCTTTCTTCTTTTGCTTATTAAACTTTCACTCCAACCTCACTCTTGGTGTCTGCACTCCTTAATTTTCTTTATCATGAGACAAAGAACTTTGGGTGATACCTTGAGCGGTGAGAGACTGCTGCACTGTGGTGCATTGGCAAGATTGCAATAGGCTGCACTGTTGTTACTGGCAGCAAATCCATACGGATCTGCGGTAACCTCAATTCTTGCCTCCTCAGAAGAAAGAATTCACCAAGAAGAGACCAAGGCAAGTTTTAGAGCAGGAGTGAAAGTTTATTAAAAAGCTTTAGAGCAGGAAGGAAAGTACACTTGTAAGCAGGCAACTTGAGAGATCAATGTGCCATTTGACTTTTGACTTGGAGTTTTATGAGTTGGCATGCTTCCAGGGTCTCACATCCTTTGTCCCCTGATTATTCCCTTTGGGTAGGCTGTTTGCATGCACAGTGGCCTGCTAGCACTTAGGAGGTGAGTATGTGTAGTGTTTACTAGAGCCGTATGTGTGCTCACTCAAGGCATTCTTCCCTTACCAGTCAAACGTCCCTAGAAGGTCATATGCCAGTTAAACTCCACTATTTTGCCTCTTAATGTACATGTTTGAGCCAATTCACTCAATTCCTGAGATCTTATCAGGAAGCTGCTGATCACCAGTTTCAAGTTTTTCTATCTATTGGGGGACTGCCCTTCCCTGGGGCCAACTGCACCCGATTATTATCTTAGACAGACAGCTTAACAACTGCCTGACCATCATCTGATGGTCACCTGACATTCCTGGTGGGTGTACGGTGGGGGAAGCCCTCTGCTGCTCTGTTTATGTCTGACCAGCTACCTACTATAACACTGTGGCCCACTTCCTTATAACCAAAAGTGATATAGCACTAGACACTGACCATTTGCATCCACACTGTTTCTATAGATAGGACTTCTGATGTTAGAATCACAAGGCTTTTGCTTAAGAATTGCTTAAGCAGAACCTGAATTCAAGCAGAACAGATGACACAAACCACTTTAAAGACCCCCACAGAGGGACCAAATCAATGTGAGAATATAGTTTCTTCATCTCCCTGTCCCATAACTTCACCCAGCTCTCCTCCACCAATCAACAATCTCCACACTTTAGCCCACTCCAAAACTCTTTAAAGCTCTAACCCCACACTCCCCAGGGAGATGGATTTGAGGCTTCCTCCTGTCTCATCTCCTCATTTAACAGCCTTATGATTGAACATCTTTCTCTGCTGCAACCCCATATTTTGGCATATTGACTTGTTGAGTGTACTAGGCAATGAATCTGTTACATTTACAAATGTATATGTTGAAGTCCTAAGTCCCTGTACCTCAGAATGTGACCTTATTTGGAAATAGGTCACAAATGTAAGATTGCAAATGTAAGTAGTTAAGGTGAGGTCATTAGGACAGGCTCCGATCCAATATGACAAGTGTCCTTACATAAAAAGGAAATTGGAGGGCAGATGCACACAGGGAGAATGTCATGTGAATATCAAGGTAGAGATCAGGTGATGCAGCTACAAGCTGAAGAATATCGAAGATGGGCCAAAAACCAACAGAAGCTGGGGAAGAGACCTAGGGCACATTCTCCTTCAGTGTCCTCAGAAGGAACCAACCCTGTTGAAACCACCTTTGCAAAATTACGACAGTAAGAGAAATCAGATATAGCTGACTCCATTTTGTCTGTAGCTTCACAGATTGGCTGCATTTGCTCATTCCTGGGTATGGGCCAAGCTAATTTTAGGAATTTAGTTTATAGTTTAAGTGATAATAGCCCTTGCCAAAAACTAAATTGTTCTTGTAAAACTAATGAAAGGCCCACCAAGTTAGGAAGAGAGGGGCTTGAATTCTAAACAATTACCAGCCATTATTCTGGAGGTCAAAAGATTTGCAACTTCCTCAATTACTCTTGAAAATAACCTCACTATTGTAGAACTTAAGATTGGCCTTTTGAGATGTCTTTTCAGGTTTTTGCATTTCTGACAACTGGATGGCCCCACCTGGACCCGCCAACCCATCCTATGATCTCTTGAAATGACTCAGCACAGGAGGACAGCTTTGATTTCCTATCATTTCTTCTCCAACCCAACCAATCAGCATGTCCCCATCTTACTCCCTTGCTCACCAAACTCTCTTTGTAAGCCCTCACCTCCAAGACTTCAGGGAGATTGATGTGATTATTAGCTCCATCTCATGTCAGTTAAACTATTTCTTTACTGCAATGTGATGGTCTTGGTGAATCAATTTTGTTTGTGCAGTGGGCAGGAAGAACCCATCAGGCAGTTACATTGTCAACACATTAATCTCACACTTCTAGCCGCCAGAACTGTAAAGGCAACACATTTCTGTTGTTTAAGCTACATAGTTGTGAGTACTTTATTTTGGCAGCCCTAGCAAACTAATATGCCTAGTAAATCACAAATCAGTGGCCTGTCAACCTAAAATAATTGAAGTGATCTCATTGCCTGAGGTATCACCTGAAGTTCTTTGTCTCATGACCAAGAAAACTAAGGAGGGTGGACACCAAGGGTGAGGTTGATGCAAAAGTTTAATAAGCGAAAGAAGAAAGTTCTCCATTGTGGAGAGGGGACCCAAAAGAGGATTGCTGTTTCACAGTTGAATACAAGGACTTTTATAAACAGGCTGGTGGGACATGATGCTTTATTTGCATAAGGCACAAAAAAACTGGTCAGGACTAAGTGTTTCATTTGCATAAGGCACAAATTCCTGACAGTTTCACCCTGTCCCTCTAGTGCACATGTAGGCTTTTAGCCTGAGTTACTTCATGTTGTTCAACTTTCTTTTTTGCACATGTGCCGGGGGTGGAATTTTCCATTGTGGATGTGCCTGATTCTGTGTATCTTATCTGTGAAACTGCATATTTAGGCATATTTTAGGCAAAACCCCTGTGCAGGTTCTCTTATCTGAGTATGTCCAAAAAAGGGAAGGGATGTGCTCACTGAAACCCACTGTGTATATGTAGAACTTGCTGGCTACACAAAAGGCATTTTTTTTTTTTATGTTGGGCCTTGCTTCCTTATCTATGCATGTAGCTTGATCTTTCAGGCTGCTCTTTTTGTTAGAAAAGAATTCTTCTGAGGACTTGTCCTAACTATCTGCCTAACTTGTTTCTTCCTCTCTCCTCTCTCATAATCACAAAGGTCAGAATCTAATTTCAAAAGAGTTTATTCAAGTGCAAAGGTAGAGGACTGCAGCCTGGGACATACTCCCAAGTTGCCTTTGCGAGTGCTCCTGAGAACAAAAGAGAAGCTCACATTTTTAAAGAAAAAAAGGGCAAATCAGGAGGGGGGCAATTGTTTGACAGGAATTCTCATTGGTTCACAGAAATAACATTGGTTAGTGATTATTCAACTATAAGGTAGATGGCATTGCATAGCTACTCAGCTATAAAATGACTTGGTTGTCTAAAGCCCACATAGCAAGTGCTTAAAGAGGTAGTAGTTCAAGGTAAAAGCTTAACGGTGATGGCTATTAATTTTCAATGCCTTTCTGGGCCTGATAACTTAAAGGGGCTCGCATTCCTCAGTTAAAAGTTTTTTTCTTTCTTAGGCACTCTGTAATAATGGTCACAGATGTGTCTTTACTTGAGAACAAGGCCCTTGAAATGGCACTACAAAGCTATAATCAGAGTCAGTGCACACCATCAAGCTGGCATATATGAGGAAAGAGCCACAGAATACCTTTAAAAGGATTGAATAAACCCTCCTGAATGGTTTCTAGTCAGTTGCAAGTGGCGAACCCAACTCCACGCAACTGAAAGAGCAAGTTACTGTCTCACACAACCAGGAAGGACAGGGAAGTGACTGGGGAAGACTACAGCCTGGGCCCCAAGGTCTCCTGGGCTTTTTCCACCACTCTCTCTGCTGCCAGCATCATTCTTTTCTACCCACATGACACAGAGCATGACCCCAGACCACTGCTAACAACTTTAGGCACCAAGAGACAAAAACAAGCTTTTTTTTCAGCAGCCCCAGCCAGGAAAATCCCTGGGGAGGCTTCAGCTTGGCCCAGCCAAGTCACACACCCACAACTGTGGTCTACAGAAGGGGTGGGGGCTACTGGACCAAGCAATCACCATTGCTACTGGACATCCAAGGAACCCATAGTATATCACCTACTGCATGTTCTGTGCACTTTAGATTCCAGGGACCAGTACACTGTTCCCTCTGGAGAGGAGGGGAAAAAATATTTTTTCTCTGCCTATCTTAGGTCCTCCGGATGGGGCCCTATAAATTAGGTTCACAAGAGACAGATCAACAAGAAAAAAACAAACAGAAGTTTACTAACACGTGGATCATGTCTCCACAAGGGCACACCCAGTGACAAGCAACCCAAAGTGGTGGTGAAAACTTGGACTTATACAATATATCATCTTAAGGCTAAACAAGGCAAAAAGGAATTGGAACCTTGGGGCCGGGAAGGCAAGTTATGAGAAGGTAACCAGCAAAAGTATGGTAAACAAGAATCGTTTAGTAAGGTTGGTTGTGCAGATTGAAGTCAGTGCCATCTCTGATGATAAGAGTTAAGAGTCCTGCTCATCCTGGTAGGTGACACCTTTTAATATAAAAATCTCCTTTATAAATGTAATTTTTATTTATTTATTTATTATTTTTTTGAGACGGAGTTTCGCTCTTGTTGCCAGGCTGGAGTGCAATGGAGCCATCTCGGCTCACTGCAAGCTCTGCCTCCTGGGTACAAGCAATTCTCCTGCCTCAGCCTCCCGACTAGCTGGGATTACCGGCACCTGCCACTATGCCCAGCTAATTTTGTATTTTTAGTAGAAACAGGGTTTCGCCATGTTGGTCAGGCTGATCTCAAACTCCTGACCTCAGGAGATTCACCTGCCTTGGCCTCCCAAAGTGCTGGGATTACAGGCATGAGCCACCGCGCCCAGACGTAATTTCTTTTCTTTTTACAAAAAAAAAAAAAACTTGTACTCCATTTTTAAAGAGCTTTTTACCATGCGTGGTGGCTTACGTCTGTAATCCTGCACTTTGGGAGGCTGAGGCAGGTGGATCACCTGAGATCAGGAGTTTGAGAACAGCCTGGCCAACATGGTGAAACCCCATCTCTACAAAAGAATGAGCAAGGTGTGGTGGCAGGCCCCTATAATCCCATTTACTTGGGAGGCTGAGGCAGGAGAATCGCTTGAACCCGGGGAGTGGAGGTTGCAGTGAACCAAGATCATCCTACTTCGCTCCAGCCTGGGAGAAAGAACAAAACTCCATCTCAAAAAAAAAAAAAAAAAAAAAAATTGGAGCTTTTCCTAGGTCTGCTCATTCTCCATGGTTTTTAGTTCAAAATAATCTATCTGCCAAAGATCCAAAGATGCGTATTTAGGGGTAGCACATTTTGGTTCCCTTCACCACACTAGGATTCATACTTGGAACCACTGATCCTCCCTTGTGGAAGTAATTACGGTCACACTTTTTTCCTTTCTTAGAAATATGCAGGAAATGATTTAGGCCATTTGGACCACCCATGAAAGCCATCTGCATATGGGAGGAGTAGAGATGTCCACACAGGTGCTGATAGCATGACTTAGAAACACAGAGCACAGAACCTGACCAAAAGAACTCCTAACTGGAAGCTGCACTCTCCTTCCTTGTCATGGATGAGGAGGGGTAGCTTTATCATAATTCTGTAGCCAAATCAAGGAAGTGCCTCCCAAACAGCATGTGGTTAAGAACACATACTCTGAAGCCTAGGTTCAGATCCTTCAGATCCCAGCTCTGGCCCTTACACACTGCGTGACCTTGAGCAAGTTCCTTAACATCTCTGCATTTCCATTTTCTCATCTGTAAAAGGTAGACTTTTCTCATTTTTTTTTTTGTAAAAATTATAGGAGTTGATTCCACATACCACCCTTAAACAAGTGTCTGGCACACTATGTAAATATTTGTTGTCTTATTATTGATGTTGTTATAATTCTGAAGAATGTGGACTTTGGAGTGGGATGGCCATTGTTCATACTGCAGCTCTGCGTCTTACTAAATGCAGCCTTGGGCAAGTTACTTAAGCCATCTGCTGCCTCAGTTTCCCCGTCTCTAAAATAGGAGTAATAATAGTTCTTTCCTTGTGGCATTGCTGTGAGAACTGACTGAGATCATACATGTAAGGTGCTAAGTAGTATGGTGCCTGGCACGTAGTGAACACTCTGCAAATGTTTGCCATTGTTATCCTGTGTTTAAATATATTCAGCCCTGTCAACACATGCAGTTGTTAATACTTATTACATGCTCTCAATTGCTGGGGCTATGCTGGGGAATACAGGAGAAATTAGGGCTGGAAGTGACCTAGGAGACCTTGTCCAACTTTGTTACTTGTTGGATTTTATTTTATTTTATTTTATTTTATTTATTTTTGAGACAGAGTCTCACTCTGTCACCCAGGCTGGAATGCAGTGGTACGATCTCAGCTCACTGCAACCTCCCGCCTCCAGGGTTCAAGCGATTCTCCTGTCTCAGCCTCTGAAGTAGCTGGGACTACAGTTGTGCACCACCACACCTGGCTAATTTTTGTATTTTTTTAGTAGAGACAGGATTTTGCCATGTTGGTCAGGCTGGTCTCGAACTCCTGACCTCAGGTGAAAACGCCCGCCTCGGCTTCCCAAAGTGCTGGGATTACAGGTGTGAGCCACCGCTTCCGGCCGCGCCCGGCCACTTGTTGGATTTTAACTCCGAGCTCTGAGCATCCACATCTTCATCAGCCGAAAGGGACTTGACCCGTCGGCTGGCTCCCAGGAGCAGCATCAGTGGCAGCAACTCAAACACGAAAACACTGGTTAAGAGGGTGGTTCATGTTATACCTCAAAAGTGTCTGGGTTTGCAGACAGCAAGCAACCAATTACTTGAAAAAATCTGGGAGGAGGCAGATCAGTTAGTATCTGCATAGTGAGGGAAAAGCACACTGCAAGAAAACGTCAAATCCATATGGGATTGGAGACGCATCACCATTAGGCAAGCTGGTCTCAATGTAAAACAGTTTTGCTGGATGAGATTTAGTGGGTGTACTGGTGAGCCAAAGAAGGCTTGTGTTTTTCACTTCCCTGCTTTTTTTACTCCAACTTCTGTTGTTAGTTAGCATACGGTGTCTCAGATGTCTGAATGAAGTGTAAATTGCATTTGTGATATCTACAGCTAGAAATGATCTATTTAGGAAGGAGGGAAAAAAAACTGACACAAAATAGGATAGAGACCTGGTGCCTTTAAAAGGAATTGCCTTCAAGGTCCTGCAAAACAAGCTCTGACATTCAGGTGCCTTGCCAACCATGATCCCAAGCTGCTGTTCCACTTCCACACTTGGCAAAAGCCAGAATGAACAAAGGCAGCAACCCAACTGTCTTCATTCTTCAGTGGTTCCAACAGATGACATCATCTGTGACTGCGTTCCCCTTTTCTAATTATGGAAATCAGACTTAGGAAATCAAAATCAGTCAGAATTGGCTACTTATCCAAACTCCTCTCTCCTATCTATAAACGTACACAACCAGCTCTCTTAAAAATTATTTTATTTTTAAAGAGTGTGCAGTGCTGGAGTGGTGTAAGAGAGCAAAACAATAAAATATCCAGAAACAAAAATCCAGAATGGCATATGCTTTCCTGTGTGACCCTTTTGGGCCTGAATAGTGGCTCTTGTAAAAAGCTTCAAGTTTCCACCAGGTGTCCTGAATTTTCAGTCTCATTGGATTTTTTTCTTAATGTGGAAATTATTGTTTTTCATCTTACAAGAGAATACACTTAAAAACCAGTCCTCAGTACCCTTTTTGGAGATTGAGAAAACAGAGCCAGTGTGGCTTAAACAATTCCCTTCTCCCCAAAATGGAGGCCGGTGAAGACCATGTGACAGTGGGTGTCTTCAGCCTGACACGTGATATCCTACTCCCAGTGACAGCATCCATGAAACAGAATGGCATGGAGAGCATCAGCACCCTGCATAAAGGACAGCATCCCTCTTCATCAGCAGTGTCTAACCATTCATTCACCCAGGAAAAACTTACTGCACACCTACCTTCTCCTCAGAACTAGAAAACGATGATGAATCAGACCTGGTTCCTCCACTGTAGTGAACAGAAAGGCCCATCTGTCTCCCGCCTCCTAGAATAGACACTAGGCTTCCAGCGGCTTGACTGTCATTGTTACTGTCTATGGTAAGCATTTGTCATTCATTTTTGGCAGCTCAGCATCTGAGCCATTCTTCAATATTATGGGCAGCCCCTTTTGATGTCTTGGTGGGAAGCATGAGCCACTTCCAGTGACAGACTCTTGCTTTTTTAGCCTCCTTTGCAACTTGAATTAAGACACCTACAAGATGCCTAACCAGAGCATCTGTACTGGAGAGTGACTCAGGAGCTTCAGGGTCCACTGGCATCTACCCTACTGCAATGGAGGCAGAGGTGATGGTGACCTCCAGAGACAGTCACAGCAAGGTGGTGCAAGCAGCGGAGTCTTCTTAGGAATGGTTCTGCTGTGATATGGGAGGTTTATCCTGGCCACATGGGCTCCAGTCCTAGCTCTCTGGAGCTCCTGGAAATTTAGTTAATGACCTAATATTTTAATACACTTCTTACTGCTTAAATTGGCCAGGCTTGGTTTCAGCGGCTTGTGCTAAGATCTCTGACAAATACATCCCCTCAGACCCAAGTCTACAGCAGATATCTCTCAGCACCTAAGTATAAGAGATAGTAATGTGGTAGTGTGGGCGGCAGAGAGATTTGGGCAGAACGATGCAGAAAGCAAACCTTTATCTTTCTGCAAAATGTGTCAGAAGCTGACTCTACAAAATGGAAAGCTCTATTTGGCCTCAGACTTTCCATGTGACAATGCAGACATATGGCATTGGCCATAATACAAACATAGCATCCTTCAAGTTGCATATATTTAAATTAATCAAACTGCATTTTGTAATTCCTGTTGGTCCAGTAATCCTATTTCTAGGAACCTATTCCAAATAAATGAGCTATTGTTTCATTTCAAGAATATTTGTATTAGTCAAGGTTCTCCAGAGAAACAAAACTAATAGGATATAAACAGATATGTAGAAAGAGATTTATTGTGAGGAATTGCCTCATTCAATGATGGAGGCTTATAAATTCCATGATCTACCATCTGCAAGCTGGAGGCTTGGGAAAGCTGGTGGGATGGTGCCTCATGCCTGTAATCTTAGCACTTTGGGAGGCCGAGGCAGGTGGATTGCTTGAGCCCAGGAGTTCAAGACCAGCCTGGGCAACATGGCGAAACCCTATCTCTACTAAAAATACAAAAACTGAGATGGGAGGACCACCTGAGCCTGGAAAGGTTGAGGCTGTAATGAGTCGTGATAGTGCCACTGCACTCCAGCCTGGATGACAGAGTGAGCCTCCCGTCTCAAAAACAAACAAACAAACAAAATAGAAAATATAAAAAATACATTTTGGTTTCAAAATATGAATTTTGGGGAACAGAAACACCCAAACCATGGCAACATCGAAGCTTCATTAGTAATTCTTAAAGATTAGTGGCAATGTGAAGCCTGAAACCACATCAATGAACATTTATCCTCTGTTATAATAAAACCCATTGGTCTACATGGACTTTGAGTGGCTCTTTTACCTGCATAATTTTGTAACACAATGCACTGGTCATTTGGAAAATTTTGATCTTCAAAATGTTGGCACATTTTATTAATCAATATTTTAAAAATCACGTTTGTTAATATTATCATGGAGTTCATCCAAAAAAGGCTTTAATTATTTGTAAGCTGTCAAGCTCACAGTAGTGGATACAAGTTTCCCAAAATTCTTGTTTTTGCTGGAAAGCCCCAATTTTATTTTTGGCAACAAATACCGTCAGCTGGTTTTCCTGAAGTAATGGACACGGTTCATTTCTGAAAAAAAAATATTAGCCGAATATGCAAGTCTGAATAACCATTGTTTGTCCATCAGTTGTTCTTTCAGATAAAAATGCCGTTCTATGAAAAAAGGAGCAGTTCAGCTCACAGTTCAATGGCACAAATGCTGTTCCTCTAGACAACCAGTGAATATCAGTATGCAACCAAAGTGCTTGATGCGTGTCTCCCATTCCATCACGCAAAATATTTTAAAATGTGCATACTTTAAGGTCAAGGTTTAATACAGTTACTGATTTTTTATTTCATTAACAACACTCTTATGTGACACTGGCTTTGTTTTTTCTATGAGTGAGTGGTGGTGGCTGTTTGACTATTACCCACTATTGCATTTGCACCATCAGTGCAAATGTTAACACAGTGAAAAAGGCAGACAGCATCTTAGTATTATTATGAAAATAATTCTGACATCAGGATATCGTGAAAGAATCTTGGGGTCCCCCAGGGGTCAATAGACCTACTTTGAGAACCACTGCTCCAAACCTTGAAACCTTAAAGGAAGGGGAAGACTTTGACAGGCATCAAGAAATGAATGCCTGTGTCACAGTGGCCAGTTAGTGGAGGGGGCAGGACAAAGGCTAGGAAGGCAAGTAGATGCTAAATCATAGACAGCCTTTCGTACCAGGGAACAGAGCTTGGATGTTATCCTTGCAGAGTTTTTTTGTTTTTGTTTTTGTTTTTTTTGAGATGGAGACTCGCTGTGTTGCCCAGGCTGGAGTGCAGTGGCATGACCTCAGCTCACTGCAACCTCCGCCTGCCAGGTTCAAGAGATTCTCCTGCCTCAGCCTCCCAGGTAGCTGGGACTACAGGCACACACCACCAAACCCGGCTAGTTTTTGTATTGTTTGTAGAGACAGAGTTTCACCACGTCGGCCAGGCTAGTCTCAAGTAATCTGCCTGACCTCAAGTAATCCACCCGCCAAGGTGCTGAGATTACACGCATGAGCTATCACACCTGGCCTATCCTTGGAGATTTTAATAGCCATAGTTATCATTTGTTTATCACCAACTACGTGCCTGGCATTTTGCACACAGTAATTTGCACTTCACATTAATCCTGTGAGGCAAGTATTATCACTTCTATTTGGTGGAAGAGGAAGCTGAGAGTCAGAGCAGTTAAGTAACTTGCCCTAACTTGCAAAGCTAGCGACAGTAGAGAAGCCCAGGTAGATGTGGCTGCAAAGCTTGGATGACTTCCTTCATTCCCAACTTCCTCCCAAGCCATGTTTTTTAACCCTACTGAGTAGGATCCTGGAACATGTATGGTCCTAAAACATTTAGTCTGACATCAAACACTATGACTGTAAATTTTGTGTATTTATTCTGGGTTCCCTAAGGGCAAGGGTCAGGTCTATTTATATGCCCAGCATGCTGTGATCACTTAATAAATCTTTAACCACAAAGGTAGTGATTTTTATGGAGCCCAACTCCTCCTAGATTCCTTTCAGCTTTCTGTGAGTTTAAAATGTACACACCTGAGTGAGAAGATTTTTTTTTCCCCAGGAGGGGCACGGACACCCATATTTTCTAAACGGTGACTGTGTTCCTCAGTGACCACACAGCTGCTTCGCCACAATCATTCCTGCATAATTGTAAGGTAAGCAAATCTTGTCTTCTTCACCTTTTCACTTCCCCCTTCTTGAAGGAATGAATCTTACTCTGGAAGGAGATTGGACTTTGGAACAGGCTGACCTGAATTCAGATCCCAGCTCCACCACTGACAAACTGTGTAACCACTGGCAATGAATACAACCTCTCTCAGCCTCCGGTTCCCTATCAAAAACACCGTGGTAATACTGTTATCTTCAGAAAGTTGTTGAGAAGATTAAATAAAATTGTGTTAATAAACCAAAGCTCCTGGTGCCTTTTCTTTCCTCCACAATTCTCTCCCATCACTCAAACTATTTTTCAATCCAGCATTATCTATCTATGCTCATACCATGAGTTAGCATGCTCACCTTGCTATTACTTTAGAAATTATCCAATAAGCTAATAAAAATAACAAATGCAAAGCCTTGTTGATAAAGCCTGCGTTTCACCTCAGTGGGAACTCTAAAATGTGTTCCTCGATGCAAAAGGTTTTAATGGGTTCCCTGGTCAAATAATTCTGAGAAACACTGCAAACTAAATCTTCCTTTATGGATGGGCCAGGTTAGCCTGCTAATGACTCTGGGAAGTCCCAGAGAAAAGAAAACCTGTTTAACTTCATAGAACAGCTAAAAAAAATGTATGTGCACTGTTGAAGACTCTTTCCTGGTACAGTGGTCCCCTCTAACCGACGGTTTCCCTTTCAGTCACTGGCAGTCAACCCCCATGGAAAAATAAGTAAGCACAGTACAATAAGACATTTAGAGAAAGAGAGACTGCATTCACATATTATTATAATTGTTCTATTTCATTATGATTTTATTAATCTCTTACTGTGCCTAGTTTATAAATTAAACTTTATCGTAGGTATGTACATATAAGAACAGCATAATATACATAGGGTTCGGTACTATCTGCGGTTTCAGGGATTCACTGGGGGTCTTGGAATGTATCCGTTGCAGATAAGCAGGGACTACCATAATCATCCCCCCACCCTCACGAAAAGTTTCCCCTTAACACCATTTTAAGAAGCACTATCTTACTCCCAAACCTGTGATTCCCAAATGATGACATCTTAGGCATGGGGCAGTCACCAAGTAGACTAAGACACGTTAGCTCCCTTCTTGGGAGTCTATTGGCTCTGGATCTAAAAGCAAACCCCTAAAGGCTGGTACAGGTTGGACATCACATTGGTTTGATTGAAGGATAACTCAAATCTAAAACCTAAACATTTAAAGCACTTTTCAGTTTACGAAGCATTTAAAAACACATCATCTAATTCAAATATGTTATTTCAGTTTTCCCCTAGAAAAGCCCTTAGATAGCAGTCAAGATATGGTTATCTCCTTCTATGGGTTATGATGTTAGGGCTCAGAGAGATGAAATGATTCCCCACATCCCTCAGTGAGGAAGTCACAGAGCTCAGGCTAACTGCAGACTTCTGGCTCGACTCCTGGGCTAATTCTAAAGAAGCCAGTACAAAAACCAAAACACACAACAACAAAAAGCCAGAAGAGAGGGAGTTGAGGGAAAGGAGGAAGAAAGGACAGATGCATGCAATGCTGTGTGTCTTCCAATCTAGTCATGAGCGCCATGTTGACATGCCTGTCTACCTCAGTGGCTTTTTCACCACCAACAATGCTCTTCTCCCAAGAGATGAGTAGCCCCAGAAGGCAAAAACAGGACTCAAGAACTGCCAGGTTCCTGCTCCACCTGAGACCCCAAGCAGCCCTGAGGGCATTGGAGGGAGAGGGGCTCCATCTCTACCCATCACAGCTGCTAGCCCTGAAGGTGAGAAATCAGCACTGATCAACAGTTACCTCCAAACCTTCCCAAATCGTGGCTCCCTCCCTTCCTTTACAGCATTTTCCCTGGCTCCCATTACCCTTGGCCAATGGACACCAAAAACCAGTGCACTGTCAGCCAGAACCATGTGAGTTCAGTACTCAAGACCTTATGTCTCTAATTCAAGTGTTAGCTGTCTTCTTCTGGATCATCAGCCCTCTTCCTAAAAGCCAAGAGAGGAAGGAGAGAAGAAGGAAAGGAGGAGAAGATGGGAGAAGAGAAGTAGTGATTATCTGTGGGTGGGACTCATTTCTTCCTTTTGATCTCAAGGGCATTTTCAGGATTTTGTAAACTCTTCGTGCTTACCGCTCAATGATGTCCTCTCCTTCCAATGCTTTATGTGAATAGGGCTCTGGCGTTACTTGTCGTAAGTCTTTTTTTTTTATTATACATTTTTTTATTTTATATTTAGATTATCTATTTTAATATTTTATATGTATTGGCCTTACAACAAAAATCTGAAGTCGCCCTCCCTGCTTTAGCAGTCTCTAGGTCACTCTCACCTGTTGGAATAAACTGTGATTAATGTAATGAAGAGAAGAATGCACTGCAAACATGGAAATTCTGACTTACGCTATCTCTGAAAATAAGAGTCCTGGTTCTAGGCTCTGCTGGGCTTGGGTGCTCGCCCAGAAACTTGCCATTCCTGAGAGAAGAGATTTCCCAATAAACTTCACCTTACTTTTTGTGTTAACAACAGCATACTTTTCTGTTCTGGTTCTTGTGACAAAAACTCTGGGTTTCTTTCCACGTAAGTCAGGGTAGGACAGTTAAAAAATATTTAGAAACATTGTTAGCATGACTGAAACTCACATTTTCAGGAAGCAGGGAGTGACTCTTTGTCTGGATAACAAGGTAGTTTCTTACATGGTAATTAATAAAATGTATTGTCACCAGGGAGGTAAGTCAGATGTTTACATTAATCAAAATATATCTAAACCTAGGAATGAGCAAAAATTATGTATTGTTAATTTTCCCACTGTAATTTTTTTAAAACCCACTATATCAAATTTTCATTCGCTTTCTACATTCTAATATACCTATTTCGCACATGGAAAACATTTGCTATGAAATCAAAGAAACATACCATTTTTATTTTATTTATTTGTGAGCTCAGTGTCTCCTAAGGAACATGACTAAAGAACTGAAGAGTCTTTTGTCTTTGTTTTTGTTTTTCCCTCAAGTTTATAAGAATTTTTATAAGGAATTGTATTTTTTTGCTAGGGCTGCCATAACAAAGTATCACAGATTGGTTGACTTCAGCTATAGAAATTTTTCACAATTCTGGAAGCTAGTAGCCTAAGATCAAAGAGTTGGCAGGGCTAGGTTTTTCTGAGGCCTCTCCTGGGCTTAAACATGGCCATCTTTTGCCTGTGTCTTCAGATGGTCTTACCTGGGTGCATGTCTGTGTCCCAGCTTCTTTTGCTTTTTTTTGTTTGTTTGTTTGTTTTTCTGAGATGGAGTCTTGCTCTGTCTTCAGGCTGGAGTACAGTGGCGCAATCTTGGTTCACTGAAACCTCCACCTCCCGGGTTCAAGTGGTTCTCCTGCCTCAGCCTCCTGAGTAGCTGGGATTAAAGGCACCCACCACCATGCCCAGCTATTTTTTGTATTTTTAGTAGAGACGGGATTTTGCCATGTTGGCCAGGTCGGTCTCGAACTCCTGACCTCAGGTTATCCGCCTGCCTCCGCCTCCCAAAGTGCCAACTTCTTCTTATAAGGACACCAGGCATATCAGATTAGGCCCACTCTATCAACCTCATTTCAACAATTACTTCTGTAAAGGCCCTGCCTCCAAATACAGTCACTTTCTGAGGTCCTGGGGGTTAGGACTTCAACATATGCATTTAGGGGGCACACATAATAGGAGTCATTGGTCATAGGAGGCCTTGTGGGTGACAGCAAAATGGAATAAGTTAAGTGAGAAATGGCAGAGGCGACTAGATGAGGAATCAGAGCACCTTTGGCCTCAACATGTTATTTGCTGGTTATGGGACCTTGGGCAACTTTCTTACCCTCTCTGGGTAGCTGATCTTCAAGGTCAAGTGAAGAAAGAAAAAATGAACTAGAAAACTTCTGAGGCATTAGGCAAGTCTATCCATTTGTCTCAGTTGGATAGTAATGCAAGGAGAGGCAGAAGCAACAACATACCACACTGATTCTTTGGCAGCCTGAGAGAGAAGTTTGCTTCCCAAAAGTACCATGAGAAACCGTTCCCTGTTTCTTCCAAATGAACACACCCAGGATCAATACTTTGTGTCTTTTAATCCAATCAAGTTGACACTCAGTATTAACCATCACAAGTCCACCCCTTGTCAATTTGAACCCACACACATCTCCTGAGATCATACATAATCTTCAAATAAAGACAATAATAAGATCATAATTATGGCTAACAGAATACAACTATCCTTCATACAATCAGAAACGCACCGATCCCCAACCCAAATACTATTACATAAAGTTAACAATACTCAAATGCTGACATGAAGTCAACAAATATTAAGTCACATGATAAAGGAAAAGGAAATAAAGTGAAGATATTTTCTTAGTACAAATGTATATATGCACAAACATGTTTTTAACAAAAGAAGGAGGAAATACTCATGACAATTACAGTTCTCATTTCTGCAGCTGGTTATGTGGTTGTAGCTGGTATTAATAACTACCTTCTTCTACTACCCATTCTGTATTCCCTTTGCCTTCAGCAAGCACCTCAGCAGGTCATGGTTTTTTTCCTGGTGGAGGGACCCAAACCTTCATTCCTGAAGGGTCTGGGCCATTTGTAGTCCTGCCTGGATTGAGCTGTTGTAGTTTCCCATTGACCTTAATCACAGGGCATGGTAATACTAATAGATGCCCTAATGGATCTCCTGTATTCCATGCATACTCTTCCTTACCTCTGTTGTGGAGTAGACTGATTTCATCCTGATAGTCTAAGTCGATCACCACAGCCAACACTGTAACTCCCTTCTTAGCCTGTTGACTTAAAGGTAGGAGGAGCCAAAGGTGTCCAGGTGGTAATCCTAACTTGCAGTTTAATGGAATCGTTGTTGTGTCTCCTGGTGGCAGCCTTCCTCCCTCTGGATCTAAGACCTCTAGGCCAGCAGAATGTAATGCTGTGGAAACAGGAAGCAAAATTTTGCTAGTGGATCACTAGAGGTGATGGTGAGTGGTGGCACTTCCACTTCTACCCTTTAATTCCTGGACCCGTGAATCCTGGCTATGGGAGAAACAGTACCATATATTGGACACTGATTCAGAGCACACATAGCCTTCTGGATAACTTAGGCCCAGCCCTGCAAACTATTGTCACCTAGTTGGTGTTGTAATTGTGACTTCAAAAGGCCATTACACCGTTCTATCAATCCAGCTGCTTCAGGATGATGGGGAACATGGTAAGACCAGTGAATTCCATGAGCATGAGCCCACAGTCACACTTCTTTAGTCATAAAGTGAGTGCCTTGGTCATTTTGTGAGTCCACAGATAGTAATCTTGGCAGAAGCATTGCATACATGATAGGCAATCCCATATCTGGAGTAAGTGTCTATTCCAGTGAGGACAAACCTCTGCCCTTTCCATGATGGAAGAGGTCCAATATAATAAACCTGCCACCAGGTAGTTGGCTGATCACCCCGAGGAATGGTGTCATATTGAGGGCTCAGTGTTGGTCTCTGCTGCTGGCAACTGATTAGATCGTGCCCACCCAAATTAAGGGTGGGTCTGCCTTTCCCAGCCCACTGACTCAAGTGTTAATCTCCTTTGGCAATATCCTCACAGACACACCCAGGATCAATACTTTGTACCCTTCAGTCCAATCAAGTTGACACACAGTATTAACCATCACAGATGGCAACCTGTAGGAGCTGCAAGGTGGTTATTTTAGTCACCCTGCTGAAGATGAGGAAGACATGAAACTCAACCAAGGCAGAGAGAGGGGGGCTGTACTGGAAGTAACATTAAATGTACCTTTCCTCAGAGCCTTGGTAGAGGCTGGCTAACCTGAGACACCAAGCCATGCTGATCAGGCCTTAATAAGGGCCCACTCCCTGGCCTCACAAAAGTTTTGATGCTAAGAGTGGATTTTCAGAAATGATGAAAACAGCAGCAGATAAGCCTTGGATGTGGGCACAACATAACTTTCATCTTTGTGTCCTTTTCCTGAAATCCAGACTGCCAGCCTCCCAGCCTTTGCACCTGGAAGCAGACAATAGATGTTTGTTTCTAGTATTGTTGTTTTCTCATATTCATCAATATCTATCTTATAGAAGGTTACCAAGGCAGAAATGCATGTGCCACTTTGTTGTATCTAAGTGATTTCTCATTTTATTTGTCTTTTATGTGTAAATCCAATTAGGGAGAATAGGAAATAGTCCCATTAACTTACTGAACATAGTGTAAAAATAACCTTTTCTGATGTCTTGGAGTTCAGGACAGTGGTCCCAAAGTCTGAGGACAATAAACTAGGTGCCAAATATGCCCATATCTTAAAGGGAGCTGTTGGATCATCTACACAAGACGTGCTGAGTGGCTATAAGGCCAAATCTACCCTCATCATGGCATCCAACAGCCACTTCCAGGCTATCAGTCAGAAGGTAAAGCATTCCTTGGAGGCCAAAGAGCACATAGGGAGGGCGGTTCTGCTGAGAGCTGTCGATCTGCTGCACATGTTCCTCCTCCATGCAGTAACAGACGAGTTCTTCCTGCATACTTTGAGCCAGGTGGGAGGGGGCTCCCAGACAACATCTCACAGAGCCTGGACAGCTGCCTCTTGGTGTTTAAGGAACACTGGGACTGAAACCTGATTCCTACCTGGGTAATCTAGAGGTTGTGGGGTGTGGTGTTCTTGCCAGGGGACACAGTGGTGGGAGGTGACCACAATGGAAACAGCAGCACTTCCAGAATCATATGGGCCAAGGATGCATGTGTCTTTCCCATAGACCAGCTGTGAAATTAGAGGGCTGAGGGCAGTGGGGGTTTAATCACCCATAAACTTGCCCCATGTAGTAAAAATCAACCTCCAACACCTGCCATGTCCAAAGGCACCGGCCTTGGAATGCATAGGCAGCAGTCAGGTTCACCTCAGCCTGCCCACCGCCTTCCTCTCCGCCCTGGTCCTGGGCCAGCCCACCTAGGGGCCAACAGCAAGGCAAAGCAAGATGAACCCCCACCCACACGCCCACATACTCTGCAGGCTTCCCAAACTAAAGTAGGCCCCAGCTGGGTGTAGTGAGTTAAATGGTGCCTGCCCAACACACGTGTTCACACCCTGCCCCCCAGAACCTACCTATGTGACCTTTTCGGAAAAAGGATTTCAGACTTCTCCCCTCCAGAACTGTGAGAGAATACATTTCAGTTGCTTTAAGCCAGCCCATTTGTGGTCATTGGTGATGGCAGCCATTAGACACTAATACACTGAGGAAAGAGAGGGTGCTCTAAACCAGGTACTGTGTAGAGTTTAGATAGCACATTGGATTTCACCTGCAATCATCTAAGCTTTTCTGGAAAAGTAATGGGTGTTGCCTGAGATCCTCTCTGGAGGTAGGAAATGCACTATTCAAGTTTCCCGAGGAGGGCAGGAATGAATCAAGTTGCTTTTTCTCATATCCAGTCAAGTTGTGCTTATTTCATAAACTGGTTTCATTTACTCCAAGGAATGAGTCCCGGGGTGCCCGGCGCTGTTCCTTCTCACTGCCCTTGCTGTCTCTGTGCGGTTAGCTTGGCCAATAGCCCGGAAACTACAGCCATGACTCCACCAGGTCACTGGTGAGTGTTCCTGACCCACGGTGCAGGGCAGTGATTCTAAGCACAGGTTTGGGATGTCGGTGTGCCAACCCCAGCTCCACCCCACTGCTAAAGCTTAAGCTCTCCCCTCCCCCGTTAAGCTGTATGACCTTGAGTTCTTTGTGCCTCACTGTCCTCATCTGTCAAGTGAAAATGCTCCCAGTCCCCACCTCCGGGAGTTGCGTGGGAGGCACACATGAACACCAGGAAAGTGAGTTTATGCAGCCCGGGCCAGGGACTCCGGTCTCTGCCTCTGCCCTAATCCCCACGGCCTGGGGGAACGTGCAGGGCTGAGGAAGCGCAGCCTCTCCTTGGAATCTCAGCGGAAGCTCCTGAGGCCACCGTCCCCCACCCCTCCACAGACTCCCTAAGAGAAGCCCCCCTCTCGGCCCTCAGTTCAAGCAGCTCAGACAAGAGGTAGGGCATCTTGTGCTTAACTTCCCATCACTCTGCTTAGAGAAAATAAAATCTGTTTCCTTACAACTAAGAATAGCCGCCCTGTGTGGGAGGGAGGGGAAGAGTCTGCTGGCATATTGCAAATAGGCCTTCTGAGTTGTGCGAGGTGTCCCGTAGATGCAGAGAGCATGGGGTGCCCTTGGCTCAAGTGAGTTTACAGAAAAGACAGGGAGCGTCCCGGCAGTGCAGTGCAGAGACAACACGGGCCGCGCTATACTGTATCAGGCTGAGAGAGGCTCTGTGACCACGGCTGAAGCGGCCACATCCTGCCATGAGGCATCCTACCTAGTCAAGGAAACAAAAAAGTCCTGATCTGGGTCTCTTCTTTCCCAGAGGATGTTGATCCTGGGCGTGTCGGGTCATTGTGTCTGACGCACTTCTTTTGGCTGGGAATCACCAAATTTCCAAAATCCATGACTCCAACCTTGACCAGCTTTGTTAACAAGCGGGTGTTTCCTTCTGACAGCATCCCCACTCCCAGCCACCAGCCTGCCTGGTGTTCCTTTGGGGTCCCCAGGTGGGAGGCGTGCACCCAGCGTTTGCATCCTCTCCTCTGCTTGTGGAGTTTTGGGGAAAGAAGCTGGTCCTACAGAGGCCCTTCCGGGTCTCCTTCCCCATCTAGAGTTTGCACTTTGGAGCATTAATTTAGCCACAGGGTCCTCATCATATGCCGGAAGGGCTGCCCAGAGGAAAAAGAAGGGGTTTGCGCGGCACCCTGCCATAGTGTTCAGCTGGCAGAGGGGAGTGATTCTGTTTGGCAATGCCATGGGGTACCACCCAGCTGGCCCCTTCAGGACTTTATTCTCTTTACTCCAACTACAGGGAGTGTTGGCTACTGATAGCTCAGAGTTGAGTCCTGCTTCAGGAATTGCCTTCTTCTGAAGGACATGGTCTTGCTTAAGCCTATGCTGTCTTCTGAGGGCAGCCTGCATGCAAAGACTGTTTGATGAGGGGTACAAAGCCCCATCCCCCTTGCCTCAGTTGAGACATCTCTGCAGGGACATTCCAGCTCTAGAGCTCCCTGTAGGACCAACTGAGGCCTCTGTTCCAACCGCATCACAGCTCAGCTTCTCCTTTTGCCCAATTCAGCCCCACTCACTCTCTAGCAGGATTTATTCCCAAAGCACTCCCCAGTGAACCTGTGTGCCAAGTTCAGCATCTCAGAGTCTATTTCTTAGAGACTACAACCTGCCCCAGTGTGGCTACCTGGAGCCTCATTAAACCTCTTTCTGCAGCCAAGTTTCATTCAAGTGAGGATGAAGTATGTCCTACTAGCTGCACCAGAAGGATCTTTTTCTACTTCTGGGCCCGCAAGACTTTAGCAGGGCTGATTTGCGGGGCTGGATCACCTGCTTGGTGCAACGTACAGGCGAGTCCCTTCTGATTGATCTGTATCAGTGGTGTGACTTGGCATCATTCCTGTTTCTTAATGCTTAAGCCTCATTCTTTATGATGGGCTGAGGCCTGTAGGGGCAGCTTCCTGAATTCCCATCACAAATCTGGAGAGCTCAGTCCAGCTATTGTGGTGTCTGAAACGAAGTGCAGAGTCCTGCAAAGTTCACATTCCAAAGTTCCAAGTGTGCTCCAAGATCCAGTCCTACATCCTCAAGGGTTTATATGGAGCCATTCCACCTCCACACCCCACTCTTTTCCCAGACCCATCTCACCTTCCAGCCAGCTGTGAGACCCTGGACACATCATCTTCCTCACTAAGCCTCAGTTTCTTCATTTGCAAAATAGTGCTAATGAAGAACACTCTGTTTCTAAGCACTTTTCAGAATCAACTCATGCAATACCACTGAAGGCTGGAATTCTCTTGAACAACCTGGCTAGCCAGCTACTGATTGACTGCTCTCCTGGACCTTAGCATCTCCTAAGGCCTCCCAGTTTATTGTTGGAAGCTCTAGTTCTTAGGACGTTCTTTCTTGCAACAAACTGGAATTTGCTTCCCTGTACTTCCTACTACTGGCCCTAGTTCTGCCTTCGGAGCTGTCTAGCAAATACATTAAAGCTTTGTTCTATATGGAAATCCATCAAATATCTCTTCCCCTACCCACCACTAAATACTAGGTTTCTCTTCTCAGAGTAGCTTCCCCCAGTCCCTTTTTCACATGAGTTCCAGATTTCCCATCACCCTAGTTGTTTTCCTCTGGGAAATTTCCAGCTTCCTCTTTAAATGCAGGACCTACAATGGAACACAATACTCAAGATGTTCTCTGGATAATAATTTCATTCACGCGTTTGGAATAAAATTCAACCTACAGCAATTTTATTTACATGCATCTTTTCAGGAAGACATGTTTTATATGAAGTATATCATACCTACCCAAAGTTAGTGATTTTCTTAGACTCATAAAGTTTGATTGAGTTAGCAAGCACCTGGCTGCAGGGACAACTAACATGCCTAAATAACAGCGGCTTAAGAAATGAAGATCTTTAATTATCTCACAAAATGAAATGTCTAATCAGAGATTGGTGATCCAGGTTTGATGAGGGGCTCATCACAGAGACTGGCTTTGGTCTACACAGTGGTAAGATGGCTGCTGGACTTATAAGTGGCATATTTTTACATAATCAATTAAAGGCAACAAAAAGAAGGAGGCCTCCTTGCTCTCCCTCCTTTTATCAGGGAGAAAAATTAATTTCCGAGAAGGCTTAGAAATTAACCCAGCTGAATTCCTCACATAACTTATCAGCCATAACTGGCCACACGCCTGCCACTAAACCAATCAGTGGTGAACAGAATTAAAATCATGTACTTGACTAAGACCAATTAGGGTGTATCCTGCCCTCACTGCACCCCATCCCTGACTGGAGATAGGCCCTTATTTCCTGAACATGCTACCTAAACAGGAAGGGACTATGGCTGTGGGCAGACACACAACAATATCTGCCATAATGCATTAGAATGCAAAGTCACTTTTAAGTTTACGTAGCCTAACCACCTTTCCAATGATCAAGTTCCAATGTTCTACTTAAATAAATGAGGACACTATTTTTCAAGAGACTATTAAAAAGTAGATTTTTGGCTGGGCACAGTGGCTCACATCTGTAACCCCAGCACTTTGGGAGGCCGAGGCAGGCGAATCAGCTGAGGTCAGGAGTTCTAGACCAGCCTGGCCAACATGGTGCAACCCCATCTCTACTAAAAATACAAAAATTAGCCAGGCGTGGTGGTGGGTGCCTGTAATCCCAGCTGCTCAGGTGGCTGAGGAGGGAGAATTGCTTGAACCCGGGAGCTGGAGGTTGCAGTGAGCTGAGATTGCGCCACTGCACTCCAACAGAGTGAGGCTGTGTCTCAAAAAAAAAAAAAAAGATTTTTTTGTTTGTTTGTTTGCTTTTTGTTTGTTTGTTTTTGTTTTGAGACAGGGTCTTTCTCCCTCACCCAGACTGGAGTGTAGTAGTGCGATCATAGCTCACTGCAACCTCAACCTCTCAGGTTCAAGCAATTCTCCTGCCTCAGTCTCCCAAAGTGCTGGGACTACAGACGTGAGCCACGCACCTAGCCAGGCAGTTTATTCTTTAAGTTATTCTTTATAATTTAACTCTAATATTTTCTCTATGTTTCTCAGGCCATCTAGAATAAGTGGACTTTCTCTTTCAAAAGTAGTGGCCAGTCCCATTACTGAAAAGCCTTTCCTCCAGGTTGAAACATGCCCAATCCTTTTTCCAGCCTTCATTATACGGTTTTGAGACCTTGCCCAATATTAGCCATTCTCCTGCAAATGTCCTCCAGTTTTTCTTTCTGGTGCCCACCGAATTCCTGTCTCCAGTATGGTTTGACCAGTGTGATATAGAACCTATCACTTCCCTTGTCTTAAGTTAATCTAACTTTAATTACAAAAATTATATATATTCACTGTAAAAATATTTTTTAAATTCTAATGAGCTTTTAAAGAGTTTATCCTCCATCAAATACCTTCTTTGCCCATCTACCCTGTCTACCTGTATCTTCTATTTCATTCTCAACTTCTCATCCATGTTATATCTCCTCAAACCCCACCGTTTAAAGTCAATGCAAGACAGTGTATGTGTTTCCAGAAAGAGTGTTAACCCTAGCTTTCGGAAACCTTCTACAAGACTAGTGGATTTGTATATCTAATTTTTTTCTCCCTTTGACAATTTTAGAATTGCTTTCCCTATTTTAGATATTTTTCTATTAATGCAGCCTGAGATCCCACTGTCTTTTTTTTTTTTCTTCTTTTTTGAGACAGAGTTTTGCTCTGTTGCCCAGGTTGGAGTGCAGTGGCATGATCTCAGCTCACTGCAACCTTCACCTCCCGAGTTCAAGTGATTATCCCACCTCAGCCTCCTGAGTAGCTGGGATTACAGGCACCCACCACCATGCCCAGCTAATTTTTGTATTTTTAGTAGAGATGGGGTTGCACCATGTTGGTCAGGCTGATCTTAAACTCCTGGCCTCAAGTGACCCACCCGCCTCAGCCTCCCAAAGTGCTGGGGTTAGAGGCATAAGCCACCACACCTGGCCCACACTGGCTTTTAAGGCACCACATTTTTTAATCTCCTGCTCCACCTCCCCCCGTCACTTCACTTGATTCAGTTTGAGCTTATCACGGACAAGTTTTGATGTGTGCTGCTACTTAACTGAGTCTCCTACTTCTTGTAGAGTTTATTCAGTTGGCTCTTTGGGCCAAGTATGGGACATTTAATTTATGCCTACAACATTTCATCTTCTTGCATTTGACCCATTGCTAACAAAAAGATCTGCTGCCTCCTCCTTCTGCCTTACTGAGAGGAGTAGAACTGTCAGGCATGGGTACCCATAGGTAGCTTTATCCTCACCTGTTGGGTAGTAACCATTAACTAGGCCTGGAAGCAGAACCACCTACAGTGCAATTCCAGATAGCACCGTTCACATTATAGCCTGTGTAAATAGTGCCCTTTGTGGTCTGCCTGGAAGATGGGATGTATGTGTGTGTGTGCGTGCATGCACATGTGCACACACATGCCCACACACACACACACCCTTACACTTCCATTCTTTTTGTTATGGAGATTTATTGAAAAGGGAAAAGTACACACTCAATAAAAGGGAGTGTGGGTGTACTCAAGAGAGAGACATGCCGTATACCTCTACTCTGTCTGTTGGAAGATGACCTTAAATATCTCACATCAGGTCCTTGATCACTCTGGCCAGAAGTGCTCTTTTTCTTCCTCTGAAGCTGTGAAACTGCTGTTTGTTCTTCAGTTAAGGCAGTCCTAATTGTAGTCACTCTTGCCTTTGTCTTTCAGTATTGGAACCTCTTTGAGGCCAGGTATCTTAGTCAGGTCAGGTTGCCATAACAAATGACTATCTGTTGTTTAAGTCTGGGTGGCTTAAACAACAAATATTTATCTCTCACAGTTCTGGAAGCTGGAGAGTCCAAGATCAAGGCACCATCAGAGTCACCGTAGGTAAAAGCCCGCTTCTTAGTTTGCAGAAACCTGTCTTCATGTTGTATCCTCACAGGGCAGAGAGCAAAGAGGAAAATCCCATGTTTCTGCCTCTTTTTATAAGGACAGAAATCCCATTAATGAGGGTTCCACTGTCATGACCTACTGACCTCCCCACGAAAGCCCCAACTTCAACTACTATCACATTGTGCGTGAGGCTTCAGGATATGAGTTTTGGTGGAACATAAGCATTCAGTCCACAGCAACGGGGTTAGATCCTACAAGCTTTTGTGTCCCTGGTACACCTCATAGGATGCCTTTCCTTTTTTATTTTATTTTACCTTTTTTTGAAATGGGGTCTGGCTCCGTCGCCCAGGCTGGAGTGCAGTGGCACAATCATGGCTCCCTGCAGGCTCAACCTCCCTGGCTCAAGTGATCCTCTCACCTCAGCATCCAGAGTAGCTGGAACCACGAGTAAGTGACACCATCCTCAGTTCATGTTTTGATTTTTAGTAGAGACAGTGTTTCACTGTGTTACCCAGGCTGGCCTCAAACTCCTGAGCTCAAGCGATTCTCCCACCTCAGCCTCCCAAAGTGCTAGAATTACAGGCATGAGCTACCGCACCTAGCAGGATGCCTTTCCTGTAGTTGGCCCTCAGAACAAGGAAGACGTAGGTCTGAGCAGCCTGGTAGTGGTGTTTCAAATCCCATAGCTTGATGATTTCAGCACCCTTTAGGATTTATTCAAAGTAGAGTTAAATTCCAAGCCCACAAACAGTGGGAAGAGAGGAAGGGCGGTAGATGGTAAAAAAGGCTAACAGTTGCTGGTTCCTCCCAGTGTGTCTCTGAGGACACTTCTTTTCCCCATGGGATGATTAATACAAGGGTGTATATTCAGAAAACTTTTTCTGAAGGTTTAATGCAACCAGGGTGGGGAGTTACATCATAGTCTCACATAGCCAACTTTAAATGGAATATCAGCCGTGCCTCTTCTTAAAAGACCCATGGCCAAGCCCACCAACCAGGGACATCTCAGGGTAGCCTCTCTGAATAGCATCTGGGCCTCTCTCATCACACTGTGCTCCTTCTTCCCTGCCCCTTGGCAACATCTAAGCAGAATTTCTTATTCTCAGTCATGCCAAAAAATTCAGCAACCTCCAGCCTCTTCCTAAACCTAAACTTCAGCACATAACTGTGCTGTCAGTGAAATACTTTGCTGACCAGGCCATTTGATCCAGGACTCCACCCCAAAGCATCACAGCAGACGTTTGAAATTATAGTTCTCTCTTTTTCATAGACCAGTTCGAATTCCTAGGCTGGGATGACCTCTCTAGCTCTCCCTTCTTCTCCACACAAAAAAGAGGCAAAAGGAAGTGCACATTTCCACTTCACAGACTTATTGGTTGATTAATGAAGATGGGCTTTTCAAGCAGTCTGCCTTCTGGGATTGATTTCACTTTACCAAGAGATAATGGCCCATGGGACCCTCTCACTCTTTCTTAATCTGAGTGGGCTGGTTTTCCATGAGGTTTAATCAGAGAAAAAGGAAATGAGCTCATGCAAAGCTAAACCCCCCTAAAGCCTCAGATTCTTATGTTTTTGAGTCATCTGTGCAATACTTCCCTTCACTTCACTGGAAAGCAGAGAACAGAGAGAAAGAAGGTGTATTGATTTCCCAGGGCTGCCGTTACAAACTATTGCAGACTGGGTGGCTCAAAACAACAGAAATTTATTTTCTTACAGATCCAGAGGCCAGAGACCCAAACCAAGATGTCAGCAAGGTTGATTCCTTCTGGGGGCTCTGAAGGAGAATCTGCTGCATGCCTTTCTCCACTGCCTGGTGGTTTGCTGGCTGTCCATGGCATTCCTGGGCTTGTAGATCCCTCATTCCAATCTCTGCCCTTGTCTTCACATGCCCTTCTCCCCTGTGTGTCTACGTTCAAATTTCCTTCTTATAAGGACACATGCGAGATTGGTCAAGTGTGACCTCATCTTAACCAATTACATTGTCAAAGACCCTATTTCCAAATAGAGTCTGTTTCCATTCTGAGGTTCTGGGTAGACGTAAATTTTCAGGTATACTATTCAACCCGCCACAGACAAGAAATGGTGTGTCTGCACAATTGGGCGGCTGCAGAAGTCTTCTCTTCTTTCTTACCTGCCAGTGCTCATCCTAAACATGCATTTAAAAAGCAATAGAGCAGGCTGGGTGCAGTGTGGCTGAGGCCTGTAATCCTAGCACTCTGAAGGAGGCTGAGGCAGGCCAATCACTTGAGGTCAGGAGTTTGAGACCAGCCTGGCCAACATGGTGAAACCCCGTCTCTACTTCAAATACAAAAATTAGCTGGGCGTGGTGGCATGTGCCTGTAATCCCAGCTACTCAGGAGGCTGGGGCAGGAGAATTGCTGGAATTTGGGAGGTGGAGGTTGCAGAAAGCCAAGATCATGCCACTGCACTCCAGCCTGGGCAACAGAGCAAGACTCTGCCTCAAAAAAAAAAAAAAAAAAAGAACGAAAGAAAGAAAGAAAAAAGAAAATGCAATAGAGCAGACTGGTTTAGACTCTGGGCTCTCAGTCACGGCATCTGTGTGCACAACTCAGCCCTGCCTCTCACCTATGTGAGGTTTTACTCCTCTTTTGCTTCTATCTCCCCATCTACAAAATAGGGATAAAGAGAGTCCCAACTTCAAAGTCTTGTTGTGAATATTATGTATATTAATCAGTGTGGAGTGCTTGGAACAGTTCCCGGCACATAATTTGTGCTCAATAAATGTTACCAGCTGCCTATATTTTCTGAGTACCTTTTTTTGCAGGAGCCATTGGAGGTACTAGGGATATGAAACAATTAACCAAAACTTTTGCCCCAAAGGTTGAATAGTGCAGACTTTAACAAGGTAAGTGGCAATATAAATGTGTACATGCAAATACTAAGTGACAGGTGGCTCTTCTGGTTATTGTGTGCCGGTAAATTGGGAAGAAAGACAGCCTGTATATTGGCAGCCTGTGGCATCCCCACTTCTTGGAGCATAATTCATTGAACCTCTTTCTACAAGGAGCAATGCTCTTTAGGTCTTGACTGGGACAAACAACATATAACATTTGTACACAACTTAGCAAGTGCTTTGCTGTGGTTTGAATGTGTTCCCCCAAAGTTCATGTGTGGAAACTTAATCCCCAATGCAATGGTGTTGAGAGGTGAGACCTTCAAGAGGTAATTAGGTCCTGAGGGCTCCGCTCTCCTGAATGGATTGGGGTCATTATTGTGGGAGTGGGTTAACTAGGGCAGAAGCGGGCTCCTGATAAAAGGATGCTCTTGGCCCCCTTCCCTTCTTGCTCCCTCTCGCCTTCTCTTTGCCCTTCGGCTGTGGCATGACAGCAAGAAGGGCCTCATCAAATGCAGCCCCTTGATCCTGGACTTCCCAGACTCCAGAACCATGAGCCTAATACATTTCTGTGTATTATAAATTATCCAGTCTGCAGTATTCTGTTATAGCAATACAAAAGAACAAAAATATGCCTGCCTACAGATCATCTCAGGCAGTCCTCACAATGACTTCATGATACAGGTGGTGCTAGGTCTATTTTGAAACTAGAGAAAAATGAGATTCAGAGAGGTTACTAACTGATTTCTCCAAGGTCACCTAGCAGATCCAGGTCTCAAATCCAGCACTCTTTGCCTGATGCAACTAACTGACTACTTAGATGGGCACACTTGGGGGTCAATTAACTAAACAACTGCACTAAAGAAGGATATGTCATGGGGCCCCAGGAAGGCTGCATCTCCTGATGATGACAACGACAACTTCGAGGATGATGTTGTGCCTCAGTTTGTGTCTGCTTTGGGATTTTAAAAGTGGTTTGAGGCCAGGTGTGGTGGCTCACGCCTGTAATCCCAGAACTTTGGGAGGCCAAGGTGGGCGGATCACCTGAGGTCAGGAGTTCAAGACCAGCCTGGCCAACATGGTGAAACCCCGTCTCTACTAAAAATTCAAAAATTAGCTGGGCATGGTGGCGTGTGTCTGTAATCCCAGCTACTCAGGAGGCTGAGGCAGGAGAATTGCTTAAACTCAGGAGGTGGAAGTTGCAGTGAGATCGCGCCACTGCACTGAAGCCTGGGCAACAGAGCAACACTCTGTCTCAAAAAAAAGAAAAAAAAAAAAGAAAAAAGAAAAGAAAAGTGGTTTGAGAGTTGCTGAGAAAGCTTTAAAACTAGGTTTCAACCTGGACTTGGTTGTTCACCTTGTTATTGAATAAAAAGTGGCTGTCTTATTGAATAAACCATTGAATTCTGAGTGCATCCTGGCAGTGGGAAAAGGGAATGCTAATCACCTTGCCAGTCTTTATGTTACAGAGGTGTTTTTGAAAAGTCAAATGCAAATGATTTTGAATATCAGATTATCTTCTCAAGAAACTCTTCCTTCAGGTTTGAGGACCAACATTTCTTAAAATTTTAACTTGGCCAGGCACGGTGGCTCATGCCTGTAATCCCAGCACTTTGGGAGACCGAGGCAGGCAGATCGCTTGAGCCCCGGAGTTTAAGACCAGTCTGACCAACATGGTGAAACCCATCTCTACTAAAAATACAAAAATTAGCTGGGCATGGTGGCACATGCCTGTAAACCCAACATTTTGGGAGGCTGAGGTGGGAGGATCACTTGAGCTCAGGAGGTGGAGGTTGCAGTGAGCCAAGATCACACCACTGTACTCCAGCCTAAGCACCTGAGCAAGACTGTCTAAAAAGAAATTAACTTTAAACTGCTTCATATTCAGCCTTCCTAATCATTCACGATATATAAACAAGCTTGTAAAAGTAAAAGGGCCTCTGCTGTTGACTTAAAAGAGGGTTGTTGTATAAGTATAAAAATCTTTCCATAATCACTAACTCTGATTATAGTCCAAATTCCAGCTCCTTCACTTGAACTATTTGTGTATAACATTCTCCCTTATCTACAAAATAGGAATAATAATATCTACTTCTTAGATATTAAACCAAGGATTCAACAAGGTAATATAAAAAGACTTAGAATACTGCTGGACCCTTTATTAGTGGTGAACCAACTATTATATTTTATTACAGGTGGTGGAAACAGTAGCTGTAGTGCACTGTTTCATAAGGTCCTGGGGTTTTCTAAAGGGAGGCAATGTGTGGTCTTCTCTCCAACCCTTTTCCTGCCACCAGCATGGTTGGCATGAGCAAGTTGCCTTGGTAACCTGAGAGCAACAGTTGTTGACTTCAGGACTTCTACATACAGCAGAACGCTGCCTGGTTCTATTCCCTTCCCTGGGAGCATTTATAGGACTTGGAATCACGTGGTCTGCACACCTGACTTGATGAACTACTTGTTTAAAGAGCTGGAAAAACCCAAAACAATAAGGAGAGCAAAAGCAATGTGAGAAGAAAGCTGCCTCAGGTACGGGCCTTTTGCTCTCTGAGGTTGTTTGGCTATCACTTCCTCCACATGCACATAGGAGTAACAACCTAATGAAATGCTCAGAAGGCTGCCAACACCCATCTCCAAGGCTCTGGAGGTGACTTCAATGAGACCCACTTAAGGAGCCCCACAGGCTCTCCTGAACACTATGCAGATTGGCTAATGAAATCCATCACCCCTCTTCTTTGACAGCTTCTTAATTAACCATCCTTTTAGTAAATCCAGCTGTGTACAATGCATAAGCCATGGGCACATTTCAATGAACTTTAAATAATGATTTTTATAAAATTGGTGAAAAAAAATTAAATGAAAACCCTCTGCCTAAGCCTTTTATCTGCAGCAATTAGCAAACATTACCCCAAGTTGCCTGTCTAATTTATAAGGTCTTGAGGACCTGATCTTTTTTCTGTCCCCACTAGGATTGCACAGATAGGTTTTAACTTCTGCAGAGAGGTTCTTAACTTAGGGACCAATAGACCCACAAGTGTTCCAAAGAGAGAATTCAGCAAGTCCATGAAGTTGGATGGAAAAAGATTACAACTTTATTTTTGCCAGCCTCAAATGGATATTTAGCATTTCTTTCAATTCAAAAGGCTGTCAGCAAACTACAATTCTGTACTTACAGCAGTCCCTACTTTTTTACTAGTAAAAATCAGATATTTTCATATCAAATAATAATTGTTGCAGATACCTTGAAATAGCATTTACTAATAGCACTACTTCTAAATTAAAATAATCAATAGAACTGCCACTAGGTCTTATTTAATGCATTAGGAAAAAAAGCACATACATTATTATATCACAAATGTGTACTTTAAGCATTTTGATAACTGTATTTTAATATTACTACAGTCTGCTGTGGAATTCTATGAATTTTATTTTATGCATTTTAAAATATTCCTCTGAGAAAGGTTCCACTGGCTTCACCAGGCTGCTGGGGGTTCCCATGGCATGAATAAAGTTAAAAACCCTGGAGCAAGGGGCCCAATTCCTGGCCCTCCTGCTGATCAATAGCACACCCTTCTTCTGTCATCCTCATCTTCCACTCTTTTTTGTCCTTCTAGTTACCCCCACCTCCTTCCCAGCCCTAGGCACTGCGTTGCATTTCATTTCTGATAACTCTTCCTAAAGTATGAACTAAAAGCATAAGGCTGGGCTCTCATGCCTGTAATCTCAGCACTTTGGGAGGTGGAGGTGGGAGGATTACTTCAGCCCAGGAGTTCAAGACCAGCCTGGGCAACATAGGGAGATGCTCATTGCTACGAATAATTTTTTTAAAAAATCAGCCAGGTGTGGCAGCATACATCTGTGGTCCCAACTATTCAGGAGGCTGAGGCAGGAGAATCGCTTGAACCTGGGAGACAGAGGTTGCAGTGAACCAAGATCACACCGATGCACTCCAGCCTGGGCAACAGAAGCAAAACTCCGTCTCAAAAAAAAAAAAGCCACTTACACTTATATGTCCTATGGTTGCATAGGCACCCCTGATTCCCTTCTCCCATAAGAGCTTGTGGGGGCCTCCCACTCCCTGCTCACTGTGAGAAGCGCATCGCCCTGCCAGAGGCCCCTGTGCCACCATGGAGCTTCAGCGGGGCGGGTTCACCGTGGTGCATTACAGAGTTTTCCTAAAATGACACCCTCCATCCTGTGGTTGATACTGTGGTTTGGAGATTTTTAATGAGCCCATAAACTATCTTTATAGTTGTCCTTGTTTGTTTTTAAAACATTGGAGTTATCAGCAGGATCCTGAGTCTCATTTCACTCTTCAAGCAGATTCTATTTTTGGCTTGGCAAACTTTGAGAGTGGAAGCCTTTTCCACGAAGAAGAAATGGAGCCAAAAAGAAATGGCTTCCTAAAAAAGCTTCATGTGCTTCTGGAAGAAAAATGATGTAGGAGGTGGAAGTCCAACCTAGAAATAGAACAGAGGCCAGAGGCAGGAGTCCTCCTCATGGGAGCATGACCTGTGGTAGCTCTGGGCTGGGCCTGCAGAAGGCGCCATGCCTGGTGAATGCCCTGCTCCCGCCATCTTGAGATGAGATGCTTCTCAAGTGTGGAAGAATCAGTTCTGCATTTTCATTTTGTACTGGACCCCACAGATTATGTAGCTGGTGCTGGCCAGCTGGGCTGTGTTGTGAGTAATACCTCCTTGTGTTCTCAGAGGATAAGAAGGGAGCTCAGTGGGGGGAAATGGCACCTAAGTTGTAAGGGTGCGTGAAGGCTTATTTTAAACCTCAACTCGACTGAAACATGCGGTGTCCAGATTAAATATTATTTCTGGGTGTGTCTGTGAGGGTGTCTCTGGATGAGATTAGCATTGAATCAGTGGACTGAGTAAAGCAGACCGCCCTCCCCAGTATGGGAAGACATCCTCCAGTCTATTGAAGGTCTAAGTAGAAAGCGAAGGTGCTGGAAGAGGGTATTTGCTCTCTCTGCTTGACTGCTTGAATGGGAATGTTAATCTTCTCCTGCCCTTGACTGGGACATGTACCATCAGCCCTCTGGCTCTCAGAACTTGACCACCAGCTTTCCCGGGTCTCCAGCTTTAAGATGACAGACCGTGGGACTTCTCAGCCTCCACAATTGTGTGAGCCGATGCTTCAAAATGAATCATATACATTAGATTTTATTTTATTTTTTTTTGAGATGGAGTCTGGCTCAGTCACCCAGGCTGGAGTGCAATGGCGCAATCTCAGCTCACCACAACTCCGTCTCCCGGATTCAGGCGATTCTTCTGCCTCAGCCTCGCAAGTAGCTGGGATTACAGGCACCTGCCACCACACCCAGCTAATTTTTTGTGTTTTCAGTAGAGATGGGGTTTCCCCATGTTGGCCAGGCTGGTCTTGAACTCCTGACCTCAGGTGATCTGCCCACCTCGTCCTCCCAAAGTATTGGGATTACAGGCGTGAGCCACCGCACGCAGGTTCCATTTTAAACTGATTGGATCTCCCCTGGGAGAGCAAATCTGACCTAGAGCAAAGGCCTTGTTCAGCCTGGGGTGTCCTGTTGGGTCCAAGCATTCATGAAGCTACATCTTTCAGACCCTTAGGTCTCAGGAGCCTCCTTAGAGAACCCAGAATTAGAGTGTGCCCATGAACTGTATTCATTTGCTACCACTGCTATAACAAAGTACCATAAACTTGGTGGCTTAAAACAACACAAGCTTACTCTCTTACAATTCTGGATACCAGAAGTCTGAACTCATCCTTATAGGCCTAAAATCAAGGGATCTGGAGGCCCCAGGAGAGAACCTGTTTCTTGCCCCTTCCAGCTTCTCATGGGTGCCAAGAATCCTCGGCTCATGACCTCATTACTCCCATCTCTGCCTCTGTGGTCATTTTGTCTCCTCATCTGTGTTAAAGCTCCATCTGCCTCCCTCTTATAAAGACACTGACAACCACATTTGAGGCCCACCAGGAAAATCTCTCCATCCCAAGGTCCTTAACTTAGTTGTATCTGCAGAGTCCCCCTTGCCACATAAGGTAACATTCACAAGTTCCAGGGATTCAAGCATGCATGTCTTCGGTGGCCATCACTCAGGCTACCATAGGAGCTGTTGTGAAAGTTTGTGCTCAGCCAAGAAGCCCAGTGTCTTCCTGCAGCCCCAGGCCACTCCAGCACTTCCCTCACTGCTCTCCACTCTGGGCCTGAACTTCCAGAAGGCTCCCTGAAGCAGATCCACACCTCTGCAGCACCACTTCCCCAACCTTACCAAAGTGTGCCTGTGAACAGATGCTGCAAGAGGAGAAAGGAGAGGGGGAGGAAGGAGAAGGAGAAAGGGTAAAGGGAGGGAGGGTCACTCCAACCTTGCCTGCTGGTTAATGCAATAAACTGAATTGGACCAAGATGTCGATCACCTCTAATGATGGCATACATACTCTTAATACTTAATTTGACTCAAAGAAGAGACTAATAAAATAATTCCAGGCCCTGGAGAGGTCCACAGGGAAGACACTTTTGTTCAGGCACTGAAAAATAAACTATATCCATTTACCAGTAGGCTGGTCTGACCACTGGAACCAATGAACGACAGCAGTTCAGGCATTTTATAAACCCAGAGCACTGGCCAGGGATGAGCTCTGCAGCAATGGGTTTGCCTCTGTTTAGCCTCAGAACCTGGCTGACAACAGAACAGGGCCTGCGGGAAAACAAGGACAGGTGGCCAGTTATCCAAAGGGCTTCCTGCTCCACCATCTCCTACTCTCTCTGGACAGTTCATACACCAGAGAAAATGGCCTAAATATACGAACCAGATGATATGAGTCCCTTGGGAATGGGACTCATAAATACCACTCTGGGTGGAATTTAGCACAAATGGGATGGTGTGCAGAGCCATCCCTGAGCTCCCGTGAAGTGAGTGGAGTCGTCCTCTTTGTTATTCTCCCCTAAAGGCCCCTTCTGTCTTTACCCTGCCTCATAAAACTCCCCACACATTCAGCCCCCAGGGCCTGACACTGTTTCTGTCTTTGCGGCCCTGTCAGCAAGGGTTCAGGGGATAGTGGAGGAACATAAACACTTTTTTTTTAAAGAGAAGGTCCCACTCTTTTGCCCAGGTTGGAGTGCAGTGGAGCAATCATGGCTCACTGCAGCCTTGACATCCCATGCTCAAGTGATCTTCCCACATCAGGTCCCCCAAGTAGCTGGGACCACAGGCATACAACATTATGCCTGGCTAGTTGCTTTTCTTTTAATTTTTTTGTAGAGACAGTGTTTCCCTACGTTGCCCAGGCTGGTCTCACACCCCTGGGCTCAAGCAATCCTCCCTCCTCAGCCTCACAAAGTATCGGGATTACAGGCATGAGCTTGCTATTCCTGGCCCTAAACACATTTTTTTTTTTTTTTGAGACGGAGTCTCGCTCTGTCACCCAGGCTGGAGGGCAATGGTGTGATCTCGGCTCACTGCAACCTCCACCTCCAGGGTTCAAGTAATTCTCCTCCCTCAGCCTCCTGAGTAGCTGGGATTACAGGCGTCTGCCACCACATCCAGCTAATTTTTGTATTTTTAGTAGAGACAGGGTTTTGCCATGTTGGCCAGGCTGGTCTTGAACTCCTGACCTCAGGTGATCACCTGCTTCAGCCTCCCAAAGTGCTAGGATTACAGGCGTGGGCCACTGCGTCCAGCCCTAAACACATTTTTAAAAGAAAATATGAATAACGTGCTAAAAACCAAATGGGTGATGCACATAATTTGTGTTGAAATTCAGAAGGGAAAGAACTTTGTGAAGGAGGTGATGCTTGGATTTGGCCTTGAACCCGTGAGCCAGGCACAGGCAAGCAGAGGATAAGGCCAGTGAGTGGGAAAACTCACGGAAGAATTAAGAAAAGCCACATGAGAGAGTCATAGAAAGGCCACGGGCTGGGGTCAGGGACATCTGTGATGCACCCATTAGAGCTATAGTCTGGTCCAGAGGGGACAGGGCCTAAGCTAAGGTGATGATGATAATGAAGGGCAAAGCCTGGTAATGGAGTTAATGTGGCCAAAGAGAGTTAGTGCTCCACCCACCCAGCCCCAGTGTGGACTCCTGGCCTTCCCCATCTAAATGCTACCACTCTCCCCATAGCCAGGAAGCCCCACAATTCTTTTATCTTTTGCTCAGAGCCCCATAGCTAAACACTATTGACTTTAATTTTCAAATATATGTCCAATCAGATCAGTTCTAACCACCTTCATTGGCACCTCTCCAGTTCGACACCATCTCTTGTCCAAGTTACTGAAACAGCCTCATGGCTGCCCTTCCTTTAAGCATTTTGCTGTATTACAATTCATTCTCCACACAGCTGCATAAATACAGGCAAGCCACGCCCCTGCTTAAAGCCCTCCAAGGCTTCCCGCAGCATCGCAGCATCGGGAATTAGATCCAAACACATTACCAGGGACAAAAGGCCCTCCTTGTCCTGCTCTGCTTTGCTGTCTGACTTTGTAAAACCATCCCAGAGATGAAGTGGCTCTACTCCGAAATGGTACCAATTGTCCTAACTCCTGGTAGACGTTTCCTATGTGCCAAGGATTCTTCTAGGTTCTTCATAAGTAGTAAATCATTTGATTGCCCCTCCTCCCCCTAAATAACACTAGGAGTTAAATCCTATGGTCCCTATCTTACTGATGAAAAAATTGGAACACAGAAATCTTACATAAGCGGCCGGACTGGGGTGAGACCCCTGACTCCCCCATTATGCTATACCCTTCCCCATCTCCTGTGGCCAGTGGAAGTGATGATGCAGTTTTGTAAGAAGGAAAACTGTGGCTGTGCTGGAAAGTGAGAAAGGCATGTGTATCCATGCATACACATACATACCTTTAAATATGTGACATGTTCAAACACACGTAGGAAAGAGTGTAAAAGGATATCAACAAAATGTTAACAGTGATTATCTCTGGAAATGAGAGAATGGGTGCTTTCTATTGTATTTTCCTGAATTTACACCTTTTCTAAAAAAATTTCTAAACATAAAATAGGTATTGCTTAAATGTCATCCTTTTTTAGTGAGGCTTCCCTGAAGACCTTTACATCCCCCTTACATGCTCCCTCCCTCATTTCTGCTTGACTGTTCTCCACAGCACATACCTTCATTCAATATACTATACATTTTACTTATTGTAGTGGTTTTATGCCTCCCTTTTAGAATATAAATACCATAAGTAGGGAATTATCACCTGTTTTGTTCATTCCTGTATCCTTAGACCCTAGAATAGGAAATTCATAGTAAGCACTCAATCTGTTGAATAAATAAATGAAATCAATGAATTAAAAGAAAAAGTAGGTCATTTTTAGGAGCACATATCATAGGCAACCTCTTCACCTAAGGCTGACCCAGAACAGAGGCTGGCACTCCTGTGGGTCACATGTTCCCACTAGTTTGGGAAAAAGTGTTTGCTATCTCAGCATCATGCTCCCCTCATCTGCCACCCTCACAAGGAAGATCACTACCATTGGGCAGCCAGCCATTGTTCTAGTTGCCTACGATGCTACCTGCTCTTCTTGTCTTTACTCTGTTTGTACAAAGCCTACACTCCCTGGAAATTTCACTCACGGCTAGTTCTGTGTTAACTTTGCTTACTCCATTTGTGGAAGTGGTCCAGCTCTCTTCCCAGCCATGGATAGAACAGCTGGTGGGGACAGCTTAAACAAAGTCAGGTGCTAACTGCTTCCCGCCCAGTAGCTGGTGTTCAAAGACTTAGCTCAGCCCTTGGCCCCAAGACTCTGCTGTGCAATTTGCACACCTCCCTCAAGAGGCTTGGGAGAGAAATACAGTCCCCATAGCCATCCCCTTAGAGACAGACTGAGAGCCGAAATTCCCTTCTTGCAAAAGAATTTGGGGACAGTCCTGGCCCCATCAGCTGAACAGACAGTTTGGTTTTATAAAACAACTTGGGGGAAAACTAGATAACTCTTATTTTTTGATTTCCTGGGAAAATAATGTGATTATTTTGTGTATAAGTGTTTTTAATTTGACTTTTTAAACTATTAAAATATTATTGCATGCCCCTGTAGTCCCAGTTGCTCGGGAGACTGAGGTGGGAAGACCACTTAAGCCCCAGAGGTCGAGGCTGCAGTGAGCCATGATCATGCCACTGCACTCCAGCCTGGGCAAGACAGAGACAGGCTCTGCCTTGAAAAAAAATGCTCTAAGCAGAAATGGGCAAGGGGAAGCTTTCCACCCAGTATTTGATGAGAATCACTAATCTAGCAGTCCTCCTGTTGTTGGATACTTGAGCTGCCTCTAATGGCTCACCAATATAAATAAGGCAACAACAAACATCTTCAAATATATAGTTTTTTATCTTTGGAATTCCTTCTTGAACTTGACCCTTCTACCTGTTGGTTTTAGCTAGTATACACCCAGCATCTGGTAGAAAACACTTTTATGTTATATTAGGCTGAAAACCTGGGAATCCTATGATTTGTGTGGGCCACACCCTTGTTTCTGTAAGAACTGTTGTGTTTTCACAGGAAATGTTAGTAATACAAGTGGTGTTAAGCAGTGAATAGATGTTCATTTACTAAAACAGGAAGAACCAAAGTAGTGTTGAGAGGCAGAATCCAGACAACAGGAAACAGTCACAAGATGCAGAAGGTTCTGTGAGTTCTGAGGGTCTGTGCAAATTTGACTCTGTAATAAGGTAGATGGGCAAAAAGTGGAAATATCAGGTCTGAGACATGAATGCAAGAAAGATCCTGTGGACAAAGAGTCTAGTATAGTGATTAACAAATATGGGTTCGGAGTCACACATATGTTCAATTTCCAGTTCTACAGATTAGGTGTGTGACCTTGAAAAAGTCGCCTAAACTCTCCAAGCCTTGGTTTCTTATCTCTAAAATGGAAATTGTAAATGATACTACATTGACAGGGCTCTTATGCCCTCAAACTTCCCTTCGGGCTTGGCCAATACAGAGCCCCAGCTGATGAGAGGAAGGAAAGAGAAGGAGGTCAAAGTATATATTCTATAAGGTACCTCCTTGTGAGGTTGTGGCTGTGTCCCTCAACAAGAAAGCAGCACTCCTTTTCAAGTGGCGTGCTCTACAATACTCCTTTTCCCTTCAGGTTTCAACAACCTCTTCTTCTCCTTATCTCTTTGGCCCTAGAGATAGCATCTTAGTTCATCTTCTGTAATTTATAACAGAATACCTGGAACTGGGTAATTTATAAGAAACAGTTTATTTCTCATAGCTTAGGGAAGTCCAAGGTTGAGAGGGCCATCTGGTGAGAACCTTCTTTCTGGTGGGGACTCTCCGCAAAGTCCCAAGGTGGTGCAGGGCATCATATAGTTGGGGGGCTGAGTGGGTGAACTCAGGTCTCTCTTCCTCTCCTTATAAAGCTCACTCCATGACAACCCATTAATCTCTGAATGGATTTATCCATTCAGGAGGGGAGAGCCCTTAGGACCCTTAAAGGTCTCATCTGTCAATAATGACACATTGGGGATTAAATTTCAACTTGAATGTTGGAGGAGACAATTATCAAAACCACAGCAGATGGTAACCACTCTGAAGTCCCCTGTGGTTCCCCTATTCTCCCCCATCTTTGTAATTTAGCTCTTAGTAAATCAACCCTGCTCAAATTATTCTACTTTGAGTGTGCTGTCTGATTTCCATTGGGACCCACACCAATACAGTATCCTTCCCCTGCTGTTTTATCTATTACATTCCTTAGGCCCTCTGGCTTCCAGATGGATTCAGTCAATAAGGACCCTGGATGGTGGAAGGTGGGGACTTGCAGGCATGTCTGTTTTCAGTGATGTCTCCTGTGGTTCCAGCTTTGAACAGTGACTGGCCCCTGGGCTTCAATAACACAGCCCGTTCCCTTTTGCTCTCTGCTGTTGCTGATCTCAGCTGCCTCACCATTGCTGTCTGGGTTCTCTCCTCTTCCTTCACCTGCATAACCAATTCCCTGGATTAAATTTCCTTTGGTTAAAATACTTAGAAGAAGTTTGGTTGCCTTGGTTGGACCCTGACTGATATATTCTCTAAGTCGCAGTTTCCTCATCTGTAAAACAAATCTAACAAATAATACCTATCACCAAAGGATAATGTGAGAATATTAATGTAGGAAAAACCCATGATAACTGCTCAATAGATATTAACCATTAGTAGTCTTTTCAGAGCTTCTGGTGGTCCTTGGGATAAAGTCCATCCTCTGTAATATGATTTATAAAATATGGCTCCTGGTGGGGTGTGGTGGCTCATGCCTGTAATCCCAGCACTTTGGGAGACCGAGGCAGGTGGATCACCTGAGGCCAGGAGTTCAAGACCAGCCTGGCCAACATGGTGAAATCCCGTCTCTACTGAAAATACAAAAATTAGCCGAGCATGGTGGTGCACACCTGTAGTCCCAGCTACTTAGGAGGCTGAGACAGGAAAATCTCTTGAACGTGGGAGGCAGAGGTTGCAGTGAGCTGAGATCACACCACTGCACTCCAGCCTGGGCACTGGGCAACAGAATGAGACTCTGTCTTAAAAAAAAAAAAAAAATTCTGGCTTCTGGTTTCCCTTCCAGTCTCATGTCTCCCTCTCTGTCTCATACAGATTCCCCAGCCCTATATAAAGTCTTTCACTGTTCCCTCTACTAACTCTGGCATAATACCTATTCCACTTTATTATAATTACTTATCTCCATCCATCTTCTCTGCTAAAGCTGTGGGGTCCCCAGAACTTGTTCATAGCTTACTCACACTAAATCCTCAGTAAATGTATACAAATAGAAGGAAGGAAAAAGGAAAGGGGAGGAAACAAGAGAGGGACAGGTAGTAGTAAGAAGTACAATGACCTAGAGATCCTGGCAAAATAGTGGGTCAACAATCTAGACCAGTGAGTCAGGGGTAAAGGCATAGACAAAAGCTACTTGTTGCTAGGAGGCAATGGGTCAGAAATCTAGATGGAAAACAGTACAAGGCTGTACAAACAAAGGAACCAAAGGTAAACATGAAACAGAAGTTTCCAGCCCCACCAGGAGCTCTTATTCACCTCCTGCTGACTCGGGAAGCTGTTCCACCATCCATCACGCAAGGTAAGAAAGGCGAATGGCAGCACCTGGCTGGAAAAGGAGTGAGGGGAAGTATGGGTGGCTGATTGTGACGGAAACACAAGGCTGTACAGCACTGGCCATGTTCCTTGAGTCAAAATGATCCAGGTGGCTTTCAAAAATCTTAGTACATGAGAAATACCCCATGGCCCACTCTCTTATTTCCCCTTTCACCATGGAAACTCGCCAAGCTGAGTTTCTTGACTGGGCTACCTGCACGACCAAACCAAACAGGCACCTAATCTCTAATCTTACTGCTGGGCTCTGTCTCAGACCAGATGAGCAGAGTTCAGGCTGGATATCCCACAGGAGGAAGGCTGAATACCCCTCTCCTCACCAAAGTTGGTTAAGGTCTGGGTGAGTTATGTCTCATGTTCCTGTTGTGAAATGGAATGAACAAACAGGGGATGTGATTCATGTCTGTAGACACGTAGTATTCCTGAGAGCTAATCAGGAAATGCCATTTCATGTCTGGTCTTATAAAGCCTCTTCAAAAATTTGATAGAGGCTAAAGGGGAGCAATCATTTTAAAGTGAGCTCTTGTTATCTCTTCAACCACCTACGCCACACGCCCACCACTAAGTTCTGAGAAAACTTTACACCCCCCTCTTCTTCCTCTGCCCTAGTCCCTCTCCCCAACCCGTACCGCCAACACACACACCTGCATACACATGCACATGCAAATTGTTTGAAAGAAACATCATATGGCCAGGTACGGCGGCTCACGCCTGCAATCTCAGGACTTTGGATGGCTGAGGCGGAAGGATCTCTTGAACCGGCCATAGTGGCTCATACCTGTGGTCCCAGCCACTCAGGAGGCTGAAGTGGGAGGATAGCTTGAGCCTGGGAATTCCAGGCTGGGTGAGCCGAGATCGCGCCATTGGCCTCCAGATCAAGTGACAGAGCCAGACCCCGTCTCAAAAAAAAAAAAAAGAAAGGAAACATCATACAACATGAGGCATACTTTACACTGAAGTAAGTTGTTGTTTTCAAGGCAAAATGAGTTTCCCTTAATTTATAGGAAATAAAAAGAAATATTTAAAAGACTAGTAAGAACAAATAAATCCAGTTCTCAGCTGGTGATCGATAAATAAGAAAAAGAAAGACAGATAAGGAGAAGATTCACCTATAAATTAAGTGCATTTAACAACTTAAATTATTACTTCCCCCAAAGGAAATGAAAATGGACCCTCTGATCAGAGAGATAAAGTATGTTTTATTTTAGTTTTTTAATTAATTTTGCAGGGAGACACCTAAATTTACCAAAAAAGGGAGCTAATATCAGGGAAATACAAGATCTTAATGGAAAGATTATGGAATTCACAAGTTACTGGTGGCAACAGTTTGGACACAATTAGACATCTTAACGATAATGAAAGTATATAGTTTAATGAATCTATGTCAAGGGAAGCCTTGAGTATAAAACCTTTACAGGGTCCGACGAGATGAGGACTTTTGCTCAATGAGTAAATAGTGTTTGACCAGTTGATTAGTAAGGATGTGTTTTTGAATTCCTCGAGATTTAACAAGATGACAAATCGGACTTGTTTAGATTTCTTTTTCGGGCTAGCAAGAACACTTTGACACACTAAGTAGGAGGAGTCCCCTCAACCCTCTGTGAGACTCCTAAGCCCACTAACCCTGAAGTCACACACAGCTCAAGACACACAGAGGGGGCCTCTAAGCTGAGAGACGTTTATTCAAAGACTTCTCTGATCTATCAGAACTGGTGATCTAGGAGCTTTTTGTAAAGCTAGGTATTCTTCCTCTCCAGAAAACAAAAGCAAAAACAAAACACTTTGCTTCTCTATCAGAGGGATCCTTTTCATTTCTTTTCGGGGAAGTCTTCTTTCACGTTTAAATGAGCTCAATTTATAGATGACTCTTCTCCCTGTCTGTTCTCCTTGTCCCCTTTATCAAGCATGGTGAAAACTGTGGAGTCATCCTTGTCTCATCTGCTCTGACTAATTTGTTTACCATATCTGGCCAGTTCTTCTTTTGAAGGGTGGCTGCAATTTTCTCTTTCTTATCTCAGTTGTTGTTGCTTTGCATTAGCATGTTTTCATAGCCTCTCCTCCTCTCAGTCCCTTCCCTTCCTCCTGAAATCTAAACCTTTCTGACACTCTTTCATCTGGCACTGCCCCCTCACAACTGTTATGAGTTCCTTTTTCTCCCACATTGAGTCTGAATTCCTCTCTATGGCTTTCAAAGACTTTCTTATTCTTCCTCAACCCTCTTCATTATCTGCTACTCCCTAGTGCTCCCTTCTCTAGTGAGGTCAATATTCTCTTCCACTTACTGGGCTTGTTTCTCTTCTTCCTTCTCTTTACCCATCAATTGCCCTGTCCATTGGCTTATTTTTTTTTTTTTTTTTGAGAAAGGGTCTTGCTCTGTCACCCAGGGCAGAGTGCAGTGGTGTGATCTTGAACTCCTGGGATCAAGCAATTCTCCTGCCTCAGCCTCAGCCTTCCAAGTAGCTAGAGTTATAGACGCATGGCACCATGCCCAGCTAATTGTTTTTATTTATTTATTTATTTATTTATTTTTGAGATAGGATCTCACTTTGTTGCCCAGGCTGGGTTGAACTCCTGGGCTCAAGTGGTCCTCCCTCCTTCACTTCCCAAAGCGTTGGGATTATAGCCTTGAGCCACCGCGCTGGGGCCGGCATTTCTCACTTCTGTCTGCAGAGCATGTCTCCTCATCAGAGACCAACTTCTTACAAAGTCCCACTCAATGACTGAGATTCTTCCCTTTCTCTAAGCTCCCACAGCATGTAAAGTTTGTGGCACCTGGCTTGATACAGGTCTGGATCATTTTCAAACCGCTCTATTTGTGTGAATCTTGTCTCCCACAAAAATGATACACTTTTCAAACAAAAAGTCCATTTTCTCTGCTTACATGCATTTTGTGTCTATAGGAAAAGTTTAGAAGAGAAAGCATGATTTACATTGGATCCGTTGACATCATCATGTGATGGAGAGGCCTTTGGAGTCAGCCAGACTCATCTCAACTCTGCCACTTACTCATTGTGTAGGTGAAACTTCTGAGTCTCCATTTCCTCATGTGTAAAATGGGGATACTAATTCTTGGCAGAGTTGCTATAAAAATTAAATGTCATAAGATATGGAAAGCTTCTTAGATACTATTTGGCCCATAATTATATGCCCAATAGATAGTAGCAATATCTATTATTAAATTCTGGAGGAGGTAGGTGGCAAGACTCAATTCTGGAAGTGAGTTGGACTCACTCTCAGGTGTCCTTAGATCCTAACTGATAGGGAGAGAGGAAGCAAGAGCAGACTTCCTATCTGCTCAGCCTGGATGTGGTCAACTTCTGTCTGGGATGGTGTTTAACTGGCTGGAGGAGTTTTACTTTCTAAGATGAGAAGGAAAGGTTGTCCAGAGGGACCAGCATTCCAGAGGCTCATTTCCTGGGCCCAACTCTGAAGCTCCTTTCCTCAGAGATGATGCAGGACCCGATTATAGAGGTAGACACTGTCATACAAGAGCAATACCCCAGGGATGAGAAGCAGACATTTGGCCTTGACAGAGAGAGATTCTCCTGGTGACAGGAGCTGGACTGGTGCTGAGCGCATAAGGAGTGGCTCAACCAATCCTGCAGCAACCTGGATGCTAACAGGCACAGAGAGATATGAGGGATACAGTAATGTAACAGACTCTACTACAGTGCTTACTAAGTATGTGTCTGCATTGATCTTTGAGCTTTATGTTGTAATATTAATCTTCACAACAACACTGTGAGGTAGCTACCATTCTTGAGCCCCATAGTCTCTATCTATCCCTCTAGATTCCTTGTCTGCCCTCCTGCACTCTGCTCTGGGCCCTAGGAAGCTAGCTTTGATGGATGGCCTTAGCCTGCCTCCTTTGCACTCTGTATCTTAGTTGGGTTCAGCCACTGGGGGCTACTAACAGGAGGCACAAATATCCAGGAATGGGAATAAAACATTGGGTCTGAAAGATGGCAGGGTCAATGTTCCTCCACTGAGAGCCACAGCTATGAGTACACAGCCCTTTCTACAGGCAAATCCATAGTTACTCTTCATTCTCATAAAACCTGTGGGCCTAAGGGCAGAATTGGCTTCCTGATGTTGCTAGCTCTGGGGTGCTTCACTGCCCCATGCTGGTTTCCCCTAATCCTGCCCACTTTGGTGAGTAGTCTCTTTATTAAACCCTTCTCAATTTGAGAACACATCTGTTTCTTGCTGAGACCCTGACTAATATAATTATTGTCCCTCTTTTACAGATGAAACGCGGAAAAGTTCAGTAAAACCACCAAGTAAGTGGTGGAGCTGGGACTCAGTCCAGGCACCCAGACAACCTGGTTCCAGAGTTGGGCTCTACATTTTACTGCCAATGCAGTTCATGGAAATAACAAAGATGTGACCTGGAGAAATACCCATGACTGTAGCTTTGTGCTTTCACACCCAACCAGGCTACCTCCACAAATCAGTCTGGCCAGTGCTCACTACTCCAGGCCCCAGAGTCAGATTTTGTCATAGTTGCTTATTGTCAATTTCCTCCTTCTCTTAAGGAGACTGCAAACCCCTTCTCAGGCCAGTGTCTATTCAGGGTGGTTTTTGCTCACCCCAGTTCAGACTCCTAACCGGAGTACAAGGCGTTAGAAAGGGGTGGACCGAGGACAGAGGAAGAATGGTAGGCTCCACAAACCTAGTGCAGAAAGGTAAGACATGCGATCATTTCTTGCTTTTTTTTTTTTTTTGTGACAGAGTTTTGCTGGAGTGCAAGTGGAGTGCAGGCTGGAGTGTAGTGGCATGATCATAACTCACTGCAGCCTAGACCTCCCAGGCTTAAGCAATCCTCCTGCCTCAGCCTCCTGAGTAGCTAGGGCTACACATGTGCACTACCATACCTGGCTAATTTTTTTATTTTTGTAGAAATGGGATCTCTCCATGTTGCCCAGGCTGATCTCGAACTCCTGGGCTCAAGCGATTCTCTCGTGTCTGCCTCCCAAATTGCTGGGATTACAGACGTGAACCACTGTGCCCAATTTTCCTGCTTCTTCCTAATCTCTTTTCCTCCCTCTGAGGATGAGGATAATTCCCAAAGATGCTAACAAAGCTGTGAATGTGGAGGAACCAGAATTTTGCTCTGCGTCTAGGGCAACGTTTTATTTGGTTGTTAGAAACACCTAATTAATATACACAATTTTACTTCACGTGCCTGTTGTTTCTTGAAAGGCGAGGGGTTCCTCTTTGAGTATCATGCAATCCCATCTTTATCAAATGTTATTTGAGAAAACTGCCACTGAAAAATCAATAAAACAGTTATTGGAAAAGAATCATCCCGATGAGTGTCCATTAAGTCTCTAGCAAAGATTGATTTCAAATAAAGGACTGTTGTATAAAAAACTAACTCTTGGCTATAAGAGCTTATAATGGTGGAATAGTTTTTGTGTCTGCTTTTAAAAGCTATTTGGATCATTTTCCTCCTTGTCAGCACTCTTTATATCTATGGGATCATTCTTTAATGCAAACATAGTAGTTCAAGGCATAGAATCTGGAGCGAAATTATTTGGACTCATTTCTGGCTTGGTCACTCTCTGAGTTTGGGTTTGCTCAAAATTTGATGAGGATTTGGGTGCAAGCAGCTTATTTGAGAGGTAACAGCAGGAAGTGCCAGTAAGGAAGTGGGGAAGTGATGCAGGAAAGTAAAGACAAACAAGATGGTGGGCATGAAGGAGTGGGCACTGCCGGGTATCTGGGGACCATTCCCGCAGGCATCCACTGGGAAACTACAGAGCTCATGCTTCAGTGGTGCGCTACCCCAGGAGTGAGAAAGCTGGGAATTCATCTACCAGCTCCCATCCTGCATTGGTTGAGGGCTACTCCCGAGGTTGTGAGCTTCCTGGAATTTCTAGCCTGTCCCTGGGCAAGTCGAGCCTGCTCCTGTGGCCAGAGCAGCCCGCTGGTGAGAGTTGTGCTGGCACAGGACCAGTGGGAGACAAGAGAATATGAGAGAGGACCAACAGCATCTGCTGCAGCCCAACCCGTCACACTCAGATCCACTCATGAAACTGTCCAATCAATGATTTCTCAAAGCATCTGGTCATAGTTTCCAAGGAAGAAAAAGATTTATCACAGGCATATTCGTGAGACAAGCTACAGCCCCTTCTGCTGCAGTTAGTCCAAAGGCTCTAACTCTACTCTTCATCATCTGACTCTTCTTTCTCCCACTCTAGGTTCCCCCGACCCCCATCCTGGCCTTCGCTGGTCTAGGTTGTGTGCCCAGTGAGGTAACCTAGACCTTCACCCCTCATTTCCATGTCTTCATCAGCCTATGGTTGCTGTAGTTGTCCGTTCACCATACAGAAGCACCAAGAGGGGACCCGGCTGTCCCCTGAGTTCCAGAGATACTTCCTCTCGCTCCCACTGTGTAGAAGCAAGCCTGCCTCCTGTGACATCCAACATCAATGATCCCTGCCAGGATAGAATTTTTTTTCTTTGGCTTGCTGGACTTCTAGCCAAAGGAGTTTAAGATGACCAATTGACAGGTGTAATATTAGATTCAGTGAAATCTTGACTCTATTCCCTGATATAAGATTCCCTCCACCTCCTTCCCCCTTCCCCACTGCCAATTCACTTTGGGAACCAGGATCTTTAGTTTAGCAGAAAGCAAAGTTAAAGAAACAGGAAGTACAAATTCCCCAAGCCAGTCACTAGGAATGAAAATGAGAGGGTCACTTTCTACTTTTATTTCCTACCCCCGCATATTCTACCTACTAGAGACATAAGCACCATATAATGATGTGATGCATATACTGCATCTTAAAGACCAGTGTCCGAACCCTGTGGTGTATCATTCCCAGCTGGCATCTTAGCTAAGTCTTCATGAGGCTTCATGGCATGTGCTGTAACAAGCGGTCAGTAAATGAGAACTGTTATAGCTGCTGATGTTGATAAATACTCTCCTATAGGATATACATTCAGACCTTAAAAACTAATGTGGAACTTCATATCATGGAGCCCAGAGTAAGACAACCTTTGTTTTTAGGTTCAATTAGGCTGAAGCCTCCAGGTTAAGGAACAAAGCCATGGGGTTGTCTTCCTTTGCAAATTAGGTGACTGGGCTCCCAGAAAAGAAGAGGGGAAAATTACATAAGCAAATTATAGTTTCTCAAGACATATAAATCTTCACTGTGGGGCAAGTCTTACAACGTTGGTGGAAAGCTCTTAGTACTGCCAGTGATGTTCATTCCTTCCCATCTTCCTACCACAAGGCCATGTGGACTAGGTCAAAGCTGTATAAGAGGCTGGGCATGGTGGCTCATGCCTGTAATCCCAGCATTTTGGGAGACCTAAGCAGGAAGATCACTTGCATCTAGCAGTTTGAGAACAGCCTTGCAACATAGCAAAACCTTGTCTCTATAAAAAGTTTTAAAAATTAATTGGGTGCAATGGCACGCACCTGTAGTCCTAAGTCCCAGGTTAACTGAGGTCAGAGGATTACTTGAGCCCAAGAGTTCGAGGTGGTGAGCCATGATTGCACCACTGCACTCCAGTTTAGGCAACAGAGTGAGACTTTGTCTCAAAAGGAAAAAAAAAAATCTGGTATGCGAGATGGAGGTTAGAAGACGGAAGCCCCTGCTCTGCCATCAATTCATCATCAGACATTGGGTCCATTTCTCAACATCTCTAGACCTTAATTCTCCCATCCATTAACTGGATAAAATACTGGCATTCGTTACCTTACTGATAAATAAGATGGTATACATGTGTGAAGGAATTTTAAAGTTAAATACTATTTAATATAAGTTTATATGAAAATTGTCAGCTCTGTAAGAGATGGAACCTGGGCCTTTGAACACAGCCTTCAAAGCAATGCATCTGTAGGAATTATCTGTGGCCATGTATTAACCAGGGTTCTCCAGAGAAACACAACTAATAGGATATATATAGATACATAAGAGGAGATTTATTATGGGAATTGGCTCATGCAGTTATGGAGGGCTGAAAAGTCAGCTGTCTGTGAGCTGGAGAACCAGGAAAGTTGGTGGGGTATAGTACAGTTCAAGGCCAAAGCCCTGAGAACCAAGGAGGGGTGTCCAAAGGTCTGAGAACCAGGAGCACAAATGTCCACGAACAGGAGAAGATGGATGTCTCAGTTCCAGAAGAAAGAGAAAAATTGGCCTTTCCTCTAACTTTTTGTTTCATTTGGCCCTGCTATGGTTTGAATATTTGTCCCCTCCAAAACTCATGTCGAAATGTAATCCGCAATGCACCAGTATTGAGAGGCGGGGGCTATAAGAGGAGATTAGGTCATGAAGGCTCATGGATTCATAAATAGATTAATGGATTATCATGGGAGGGGAACTGGTGGCTTTATAAGAGGAGAAAGAGAGACCTGAGCTAGCACACTCAGCCCCCACACCATGGGATGCCCTGTACTTACTCAGGACTCTGTAAAGAGTTTCCTCCATCAGGAAGGCCCTCATCAGATGTGGCCCCTCAACCTTGGGCTTCTCAGCCTGCATAACTGTAATAAATAAATTTCTTTCCTTTTTTAATTACTCAGTCTCCAGTATGTTCTTATATGCAAAATGAACTAAGACAGGCCCTCAGTGGATTAGATGATGACCGCCACATTGATGAGGGCAATCTCCTCTACTCAGTCTATTGATTCATATACTAATCTATTCTGGCAGCACCCTCACAGACACATCTAGAAATGTCTTACCAGCCATCTGGGCCTCCCTTAGCCCAGTCAAGTTCACACATAAAATGAACCGTCACAGGCACTGGCTTCTTACTTACACTCTGGTCCCTGACCCCTAGTCTTGCTAACCTCTTTTTCCCTTCTCATCTTCAGCCAACTCCCCCAGTCTCTGTCCAGATTTCTATCTCCTCACTCTAGTCACTGACTCTGTTTCTACCTCTTTAGTCCATCTGTGCTTGGCATAATGCCTAGTAACACCTTTTGCCACCTTCTAATGACAATTCTCCCTTGAATCTCCAACTTTGCCCTCTGATTTGACCTTGAAGGTCCTGGCTCCCTTCCTGCCTGAATTCTTCTCCCTATGCCCGGTCTCCCAAACTAAGACAATAACTCTGCTGTTATGTGTTTTTTATAAATGTAGATCAAAGATTGGAGAGAGAGTGTGTGATTTTTAACCAGTCCATGTGAACCACCAGGGTCTCATTTTCAAGTTACAAAAAAGTAAAATTAATCAATTAAAAGAAGGGTCGGGGTGGTTTGTAATATTTTGCCAGCCACAACTGCCAGGATTTTGTTTAGCTTCCAAAGCATCTCGACACATAGCACACAAAGGGAACCTATACCTCAAGGTAGCCGAAACTTAAAGTCACAGTAAAAACTCAGTAATTCTAAATCGATTCCAAATTAGTAAACAATAGAATCTAGTGCAAAATGCATGAGACTGGGTGCCTGGCAAATAACCGGGGCCCAAAAAATTTGCTAATTGATGGAGTGAGAGTCCTAATAGATTATTTTTAGCTCAAGCTTTTTTTATATTTATGCACCATATGGCTCTGAATAAGGGACTTAAGTTCCCTGGGGCCTCCGTTTCTTCATTATAGAATGTTGGCTCTGCGGTTCCTTCCAGATCTAAAATTCTATTCTTTGCACCATCAATGAGATAGAAGTTTCCCTCAGTTCTCTGCTCAAATGTCTCCTTGTTAGAGAGACATTTCTTGGTAATTCTGTATTAACTAGGGTGTGTCTCTTCCCTGTCCCTCTCTATACTCTTACTTTTATTTTTTCTTCATGGTACTATTATATATGTATTCATCGTTTGTCTATTGTTTGTCTCCTGCCACTAGAGTTTAAGTGTCTTGAGAGTGGAGATGTTATCTGGTGTGTTCAAGGTTTTATTGCCAGCACCTAGAACAACGCTGGGCACGATAGGATCACAATGCACAGTCAATGAATTAATGCAGGATTTAAATAAATCATAAAGAATATCAATTTGAGGCTGGGTGCGGTGGCTCACGCCTGTAATCCCAACACTTTGGGAGGCCAAGGCGGGCAGACACGAAGTCAGGAGTTCGAGACCAGCCTGACCAATATAGTGAAACCCCGTCTCTACTAAAAATACAAAAATTAGCTGGGTGTAGTGGTGCACACCTGTAATCCCAGCTACTCAGGAGGCTGAGGCAGGAGAATCACTTGAACCCAGGAGGTAGAGGTTGCAGTGAGCAGAGATCGCGCCACTGCACTCTAGCCTGGCGACAGAGAGAGACTCCATCTCAAAAAATACATATATAAATTTAAGAGGAATATGTACTCCATTTAAGAAAGCAAACTTTTTGAGTACTCTTAGCTCTGTTTCAGAAGTATTCATTTGCTTCTAAAAGAATGTAATTAACTGCAAACTACTCCTGTCCTTTCTAAAACTATCTCCCCTGAAACAGTCTCCCAGGCAATGCTTTCCAATCCTAGTCCTAATTATTTTTCACCTTGAAGGTAATCCATCTGCACATACTTATAGTTATTAAAATTTAGTTTTGGCCAGGTGCGGTGGCTCATGCCAGTAATCTCAGCACTTTAGGAGGCTGATGCACGCAGATCACTAGAGGTCAGGAGTTTGAGACCAGCCTGGCCAACATGGTGAAACCCTGTCTCTACTAAAAATACAAAAAATTAGCTGGGCGTGGTGGCACACACTTGTAGTCCCAGCTACTTAGGAGGCTGAAACAGGAGAATCTCTTGAACCCAGGAAGCAGAGATTGCAGTGAGCCAAGATCACACCATTGCACTCCAGCCTGGGCGACAGAGTGAGACTCTGTCTCCAAAAAAAAAAGAAGAAGAAGAAGAATTAGTTTTATTTGTTCAGGCTGGCTTTCCCTAATTACAATAACCCAATCCCACAGGTTTGGTAGTAGATGGTTTATCATCATATGTCATGCTTCTACTCCATTTGAGGACATGTTTTAGAACACATTATTAAGTGTTCTGTTTCTGTATTGAGATTTCCTGAGTTTGAATCTTGGCTTTGCTACTTCTTAGCTGTGTGATTTGGGACAAGACACTGAGCCTCTCTGGGTCTCCAGTTCATCATTGGTAAAATGGGCACAATAATGATCCTGGTTTTTCGCCATTTGCCCTTGCTATTCTCTATCCTGCTCTGTGTCCCAGGAGGCTGACTCTCAGTCCTCAGCCCCGGGGATCCCTAGGAATGGAACACACAGACCCTGGGCAAGAGATCCAAGGGCAGTAGGAAAGGGGGTGAGAACATTCATCTTCCACTCCCTTCCTCCTTACAGGATTTTGGCAGTGTCTGTCTTCCTTTACCCATGGCCACAGCACCGAAAAAGTAGCCTCTCTGCCATGGCTAAAGATATCATCAGGTTCTGGTGACTCCGCCCTCTCCCTTTGCTCTTTTGGGCCTGGGATGCTAACAGTTTCCTGTTCTTGCTGGTTCCAGATGCATTCGTATTCCTTGAAGATTCCCTTACTACTGTGTACACTTCTGAAAGCAGTCCCTTATTAAAATCCCTCCAGTTAATTCTTTGTTGTGCTGTCTGCCTTCTTCCAAATCCGAACCAAAGCAGCATAAATACACTGCCAGACACTAAGGGAATGAATACATGCACAGCAATTAGAACATTGCCTGACACATTGTAACTTCTCAACTCATGTTAAGCATTATCTACATAAGTCAATGAGGAAAAAATGTACAAGACAGCATATGTCAGCTTATGTGAAAATACATTGTTCAGAATTGACATACCTTCTGTCTAGTAGAAAAAGCCCTACATTTGGGCTTGGCAAAAACAGGCATTATATGCAGTCTTTTGTGCATCGTTTTGAGCAAGTTAAAAAATTTCACTGAGACACATATGGTTGCTGTGAGAATGACAGATGATGTATATGACAATGGTAGACACAATGTCCATTTAACAGCAGGCATTCATATATGTTAATCAAATGAGCAGGGCAGGGGGGTGCTTGGCCAGCTGCAGGGTATCCAAATCCAACCATGCTTAGCAGGGGTCCCCTACTTGGTTTAAGGCTTTGCAGGCACTGTCTCTAAATTCCTAATAATTTTTGAGGAAAGGGGTTTTGCATTTTAATTTTGTATTGGACTCCACAATGATGTAGCTAGTCTGGGAAGAAGGGTTCGCTTTATTTTTCAATTCAGTGATGTTACTCTGTAATTGACTATTTATTTTTGCATCAAACATGGATTCATCACCATCTATCTGAAAGAAAATGAGACTCTTAAAAGATGGCATCTGTGTTAAGACTGTATTAATTAATGAATAAATATCTGCCAAGAAGCTGGTATGTGTTAGGAACTGTGCCAATACTTCTTTGAACCTAAAATGTCCTGCTTTGCAGTTCCAGGCTGAGCTGATCCACATGTGACAGGATTGGAATTGACCTCGCTGTGAACCTTTCAGTCAGATCTGTGGTATCTGAGTCTTGAGAAAAAAAAAGAAAAGAAAAAAGTTTCTTATTTCATCACAGCACTGTGACTCAGATTTGGACAGTGAATCATATAAACTCAATTAGAAGAACAGGCAGTTAAATCCTCCAATTAGAGGATTTTAAAATCTGGGAACACCATAACAAACTTGGAATGACTTAGGGGATGATGCACCACTATTCCAGGATCCCAAGTCTACATAATTAAAATGCACAGAAGCAGCCAAAATGATTACCTCCTCAGGGTAGTAATTGACACCCAGTAGGTGTGCTCTGACCTTGACGGAGGATGGAGTAAAAACAGAACAAACAAATTTGAACCTTTAAGGAAATAATGACTCTGCCAGCAGCAGGGAAGACAGAACCACTTCCAACGCATCCTGTTGGTAGCCTAATAATGTGTGCACCCCGTAGAAATTTATCTAGGTCATTCAACAAGAAGGGATACATCCCGAATGAACAGGCAGCAAGGGCATCAATCCACACATGCTTATTTCTCAAGTGAGGCAGGAAGGGCTCTTTCCTTCTGAGGGTCTTAAATGTTTAGCTGGAATCTAAAGGGGGTAAATGGAGCAGAATCTAGGAGCATAGCTTCTGTGGCAGGGGACAGGCTTTCCTTTGCTAAAGTGAACCACTAAGTGAGAGCATTTCTCTCTTGCTTACATATTCTCACACACACACAAACACACACACACACACACACCCCCAAACCCAATACATCCACCTTTACAACACTAGTTAATACCATCTCTAAGATCATAGTAAAGATATAGACTCTATAGAGAATTAGGGCAGATATGGAGGGCAGGGAGGGGAGAGTTGACAGAGAAGGTAGCTCTTGATTTATATAAATAGTTCTAAAGTACAGAGGCTGGTATTTGTCTTTATTATTTATAAGTTTGCCAGGTTATTTTCCCATTGGGCTGTGGACTACTCAAGGTCAATGCTTAGTACAGAATTGGTCTCAGTATGGGTTTAGGCTGGAAGAAAGAATGAAGGAAATGCAGTGACTTTTCAAAGTCCTATAAGCAGGGCTGAAACTAGTCTATAACATCTTTTCCCCTTCAGATTGCCTTTGATGTTCTAATGCAACTGAATACAAATGTTGAAGGAGAGGAAATGGATGCAGAGTGTGATATGTTCTGTGCTCCAAACCCCCTAGGTAGCCAGAGGATGTGTCTAAGCAAGCTCATGCTATTGCTTACCTTAAACAGCTATAGGGAGCAAATACTGTGAGGAAAAAGAACCCTGACCCAGATACAAATCACGGAGCATTAGTCTTGGGAAACCCCAGAGACAGACAGGGTGGGGAGCTCTCATGGACCAAAGATCAATGGTGAGTCAAAGAGGCAGCCTCATCAACATGGCAATGGCCAACAGATGTTTATTGCCAGGACTATCAGACTCTGGTTGTGGGTTTCTGTGATGTACAGTGGGAGATGGGTGTGACTACTGCTTTGTATGTTAATGAACCATCTGATAATAGAGAGTGCAGTAAATATTTGTTGAGTGAGTGTCATTGAGTGGGCAGGTCTACAAGGATCTACATGTTTATTATTAAAAATAATAATTTGGCACTATAAGTCAATGCTTGTCATAAAGACTGGAGTACCGCGCCCTGGGTCAGAGGCCACAGATTCGAAGTCTACTTTGCCAGAGGGAAACAGTCCTTGTCCTTGTCACCTGAGTATTCTTTATTCACTTCATCCTTATAACTTCTTATCCCTTGTAAGAGAGAAGGTAGCATCACAAAGTCACAGTTCATTTTACCCAAAAAGCATAGAGAAGGAAGAAGGACCTGCCATTATCTCCACATCTCTTCCTCATCCTGTCTATCCTGCCAACTCTCATCCCTATGAACTCCATCTTCTCCAGCATCTCAACGTCTACCCTCTCTTGTATGTCCTCTTGTTTTTCTATTCCTATCTCCTCTCTATCTGACAATGTTCTATCATACTCAATGTAAATGTTGCTGATACAGCTGAATAAAAAATGTTATCTGAGCATGCAGATTTTACATTTTCCAACAAGTCTGATATTATTATTATTTGAGACAGGGTCTCACTCTGTCTCCAGGCTGGAGTGCAGTGGCGTGATCTCGACTCACTGCAAGCTCCGCCTCCCAGGTTCAAGTGATTCTCCTGCCTCAGCCTCCTGAGTAGCTGGGACTACAGGCATGCGCCACCACGCCCAGCTAATTTTTGTATTTTTAATAGAGATAGGGTTTCACCATGTTGGCCAGAATGGTCTCAATCTTTTGACCTCATGATCCGCCTACCTCAGCCTCCCAAAGTGCTGGGATTACAGGCATAAGCCACCATGCCTGGCCAAGTCTGATATTATTTTATCAATGCTAATACTTCAATATATTTTCGGGGGGGGGCAGCAACCCTCCTTTTCTGACATCCTGGGATGCATTTACTGATCTTTCATATTATTTCCAAACTCTGGTATTATAGTTCCTGTCATCAAGCAGTTTCTCTGAAACCAACTTATTTTGCTCCTAACTATAAGCTGTTGTTATATTAAAACCTTAAAACAGCTGGTGACAGAAACAATAAGCACTATGAAAGTTTAAAAGAAGGAAAAATTGTTACAACTAGGAAGCTTGTAGAACACTTCACATAGATGGGCAAAGTGGAGTTGACCTTTAAAAACGTGTAGGAGTCTAGCAGGCCAAGAAGGGTAAGAAAAGTATTTTAGGGCCGGGCATGGTGGCTCATGCCTGTAATCCCAGCACTTTGGGAGGGAAGCCGAGGCAGGCAGATACCTTGAGGCCAGGAGTTCGAGACCAGCTCGGCCAACATGATGTAACCCTGTCCCTACTAAAAATACAAAAATTAGACGGGTGTGGTGACGAGTGCCTGTAATCCCAGCTGCTCGGGAGGGTGAGGCACAAGAATCACTTGAACCCAAGAGGCAGAGGTTGCAGTGAGCCAAGATCACGTCACCGCCCTCCAGCCTGGGTGAGGAGAGTGACTCTGTCTAAAAAAAAAAAGAAAGAAAAGTGTTTTAGGCAGAGGAAATGATGTGAAACAAGGAAAGAGCCAGAAACCTATAAGGTGTGCAGAGGTAGAAATTCGGCTGGTATAAAGGAAGCTCCACACAGAATAGCAGAATATGAAGGTGAGAACAATGCATGACAGCCACATGGGGGTTGGTCTTGAATACCAAGCCAAGGCTTTGAACTTTATCTTTGAAATCAAGGTGATTTCAAATACAAGTAACTGAAAACTTTTCAAACCACCATAAACCAAAGGGAGTAACTTAAAAGGTTATGGTCAAATGTGTTGACCCATGCCTGTCGTCCCAGCTCTCCAGGAAGCTGAGTGTGGAGGATTGCTTGAGGCCAGGAGTTTGAGAAGGTAGTGCACTATGATTGCGCCTTTGAACAGCCACTGTACTCCAGTCTGAACAACACAGTGAGACCCCATATCTGACAATATTTTGGCTTCCCTGGGCCACATCGGAAGAAGAAGAACTGTCTTGGCCTACACATAAAATATGCTAACACTAACAATAGTTGATGAGCTAAAAAATAAAACTGCAAAAAAATCTCATGTTTTAGGAAATGTTTTAGGAAAGTTTATGAATTTGTGTTGGGCCACATTCAAAGCTGTCCTGGGCTGCATGCAGCCTACGGGCCGCAGGTTGGACAGGCTTGCCATATGAAGAGCCAACAAACAGGCATGGTGTGGTGGCTCATGCCTATAATCCCAGCATTTTGGGAGGCCAAAGTGGGAGGATGGCTTGAGTTCAGGAGTTCAAGACCAGCCTGGACAACATGGCAAGACCCCATCTCAGAAAAGGAAAAAAAAAAAAGCAAATAAAATTTTGAAAGCAAACAAACAAATAAATAAATAAAAAGATCTGGAGGAACTCCAGGACAGAATGGGCAGCTAGGTCTCCCCAAGCCTTGGAACCCAGTATGAAAAGCTCTCAGGGACTAGGGATGCAAGCTTCCTAGTCTTAATCCCTCAATTCCACCCATCCCTCCACCACATACTTTCTCACTTTGGCTTCTGTGCATATTTGCTTCATCCTTTCTTCTCTGCACAATAGATTTCTCTGTTGCCCATGAATATGGTGTAAGACAATCCACTCCACAACTCCCAAGTTCCTATATCCTCAGTTCAAATGATCTGCAGAGGCTACTGGCTTCTTTGGCTTCCAATTCCAAATTTCCAGGAGAGAGAATTTGATTGTCTCTTCCTAGTGCAACAACAGAAGTGATGTTATATGAAATAAACATGGCTTCTGGGCCCATCTCCAGGACAGAGCAGCTCTCAGAGATAGAATGTGGAACTGCAGGCTGGGCGGATGCACTCAAGGGTGTCTCCAATAGTTTTAGGCCCAGATGAATATTTTGGAGGTGGGGGAGGAAATAATGAAAGTGATCTTAGGAAGCTTCAACAGGGAGCAAAATGGGTTAGAAGGGAAAAGATCATGGAGGTGGAAGACCAAAGAGGCGCTGTCGGAATCTAAGCATTGAAAGCTTGAAATATGTGGCTATGGCTGGGTGCAGTGGCTCATGCTTGTAATCCCAGCACTTTGGGAGGTCAAGGCAGGTGGATCACTTGAGGCCAGAAGTTCGAGACCACCCTGGCCAACATGGCAAAACCCCATCTCTACTAAAAATACAAAGAAAAATAGCCAGATGTGGTGGCGGGCACCTGTAATCTCAGCTACTTGGGAGACTGAGGCAGGAGAAGAATCGCTTGAACCTGGGAGGCAGAAGCTGCAGTGAGCCGAGAGCACATCACTGTACTCCAGCCTGGGCAACAAAGAGAGACCCTGTCTAAGAAAATAAAGAAGAAGGGAAAGAAATAAGTAACTATGGTCAATCTGACCACTATTCTCTGGAAAAATACACTTGGTTCAAAAAAAAACTTCATATTTAGTCATGAAAGGGACATTTCTTATTTCATAGCTTGGAGCCAACCCTGAGCTGTTTGATTATAAATATACATATATATATATAATCATATATAGGCTACGTATATGTTGATGGTGGATTTCTCTTTATTCAGTGGTTACCCAACTTCCTGCTTTGAAGTTAGGACCTGGGATGGCCTACATTAGTAAGGGGAAGCCTATAAAATGAGGTGGGTCCCATGCTATCCTACTCTAGCTAATATACAAGGCATTATAAATTCTCATTCCCTGAAGCTGGTCAAAATTTGTTTCTTCATCTGTTGCTAGTTAACTGGATTGGTTAGCTGAGGTCACAGTCGCTGGGCTAAGCCCATGCCTAGGACACTCAGCTCCACTGTGGTTCTTGACCACAACCATATCCTCATGAGGCTCCGTATCAGGTCCAGCTATGGGTGGATTAGGAGAGGAGAAAGCAAGGCTCTACCTTGGTGTTTAGAAAAAACATTGTAAATGGTACCCCTCCTCCAACATTTTCAGCTTTCTCCTGCTACCCCTTGTGTTTATGATAATGGTACTTGGGATTATCCTCCCTGGTATTCTGATCTTTAGTGTTAGATATTGTAGCTATATCTCCTAGCCTCAGAACTTGCTTTCATTTATAATAGAATAATACGGCTACAATATCTTTTTTGTGTTTTTAACAACCCTGTTAGAATTAAACAGAAAACTCCACTCAAGTGACCTAAAACAAACAAAAAAGTCGTAAGGCCTCATATACAATATGAAGAAGTCCCAAGGTAGGGATACGAATCAGTTTGCTAGGGCTGTGATTACAAAATACCATAGACAGGGTGGCTCAAACAGTGGAAGTTAATTTTTTCACAGTTCTGGAGGCTAGAAGTCTGAGATCACGGTGTTGGCAGGTTATTTCCTCCTAAGGCCTGTCCCCTTGGCTTGTGGAAGCCACCTTCTCTGGCCATGTGCATCCCTGGTGTCTCTCTCCATGTGTCCTAAGCTCCTCTTCTTATTAGGAGACAAGTCAGATCAGATTAGGGCTCACCCAGATGACTTCATCTGACCTTAATTACCTCTGTAGAGGCCCTATCTGCAAATACAGTCATGTTTTAAGGTATTGGGGATTAGGACTTCAACATATGAATGGGGATGGGGGGGCACTGTTCCGTGTATGACAGGAAATTCTGTGGTTGGTTAATTTAGTGATTCAGTTAAATCCTCAGGCCCCAGGTGTTGCCATCTCTGCCCAGCTACCCTTACTTAACATATGGGTTTTATCCTCAGGCTAGCACCCTCATGTTTTAAAATGACTGCTGCAGTTCCAGGTACCACATCCAGACATGAGAAGGCCCAGGAGAATAAGAAACCATCTTTTTCTGTGTATCTCTCTTTACAAGCCTTTCAAAAGATTCCAGAATGCACTTCTCTTGTCTCCCTGAGCAGATCTGTTAATGTGCCCATGCCCAAACTAATCACCAGCAAGAGAAAAAGACAGCATGATTGGCTTGGGCTAATCACAATTTATCCCCTGGGTCTGGGCCAACCTCCCTAAGAGCACAGGGTTGCTTTAAGGAAGACGGGGTAGGGGCATGGTCCTGCACAAAATCAGGGTCCTATGATGAAAAAGGAAAGGGAGAAATGGAAAACAATAATGTCTTCTGCAACCATTCGCCATCTTGCTTCCCTTATAATTGTTATTCTAGGATCTGCTGGTAAAACCAATCTTTGCACCTGCAATCAAGAGCCCTGTTAATAAATATCAGCTTGCCTGGGCTGAGCCACTGAGAGTGGCAGTCTTCTCCAGCTTACGTCTTCTCTTCCCACCCCCATGGCCCCACCCCAAGTTTAGTTGCCTCTTTTGAACACAGCCAGCATCTTTTACTCAACTAGCAACCAGATCTCAGTTGCTATGCAGAAGATGTAACTACCCTTTCCCTCCCTAGCCATTTTGCAAATATGTATCATTGAGAATAAGAGGAATTGGATAAAAGAACATGGATCACTCAGTGCACACTCATCACCAAAATGAAGAAAATAACTTGAAAGCTATATCATACAAATGGTGGGTTACTAACTGGGATAGTCTTTATGTGTGTCAGTTCACAAGGGCATGTATCAATATTATTCAGAAGCTGTTTCTAAACTGAAGATAACTTTTTTAAATTTAGAAAAGCTTTCTAATTTCTCATTGGTTTCATTATTGTACTGCTTGCATCAAAAAAGGAGAATCAGATTATTGTGCTCTGTTTTCTCCCCTAGATCATCCAAGAAGAATTTAAAAATTTAATATGTGCAGTAAAAACCCATGGTCTATGTATTTTTTTTTTTTTTTTTTTTTTTGGAAACAGGGTCTCACTCTATCATCCAGTCTGGAGTGCAGTGGTGCGATCATGGCTCATTGTAGCCTCAACATCCTGGGCTCAAGTGATCCTCCCACCTCAGCCTCCCAAGTAGCTGGGAGGTGCCCGCCACCATGCATGGCTAGTTTTTGTATTTTTTGTAGAGACGGGGTTTCACCATGTTGCCCAGGCTGGTCTCAAACTCCTGGGCTCAAGCAATCTGCCCATGTTGGCCTCCCAAAGTACTGGGATTACAGGCATGAGCCACCTTGCCTGACCCACAGTCTATTTTTTGATCTTCCGTGAGTGTCTTATTCTTTAACAGTTTATTTATTTGAGTTAGAAATGGCTTTGCTTCCAAGATATAAAGGTTATTTTGTTTTGCTTTTTGATGAGCAATGTGTGAATAAATAAGACAGAGAGAAAGGTTTTTTTTCTCCAACAATTTCTATTTAATATTACTAATTCTTTAACAATATGTGCTTGGTGTGTCCCTGATCACTTATTTAATATCGCATTTCCTACCCCAGCTCTCTTTCAGTGAATGAATGCTACACTAGATGTGATTCACAACTGTAGCCTCCTGCTTTGGGCATTTGCCTCTGATAAGCATGGGCAGAGGGATGAAAGGGGCCTTTTTCTGGAATGAATTGGGTCGGGATCACAAGAAGCACTGATCATGCTCTCCTGGCTGGTGAGCCACGTGGCAAGAGAGGAGACGATAAGGGATCTGGGAACCCAGTCATGGTATTAAGCAACCAGGGAGGTTAGCCTTGAGAAAAGAAGAAATGGAAACCCTTACAACTATCATTAGCTGTTTTTAATGAAGAAAAAATAAAGCAATAACGTAACAATAATAGTAGGTAATTTTACTGAGCACTTACTAAGATGAAGTCTCCAAAAAGCTAAATTATGCCTAATCATGAAAAACAAATATAGCCATCTGAGACCCAAATGGGCTTCCTGGTAAATTACATTGCCCTCTGGCCCTGGAGCATTCAAATGCAAGCCAGCTGCTAATCTGTCAATAATGCCCCAGAAGGAGGTTGTATTGAGCCGAGATTGCACTATTGCACTCCAGCCTGGGCGACAGAGCGAGACTCCATCTCAAAAAAAAAAAAAAAAAAAAGGCTCTAGAAAGGACTGCTCTCTCTCTCTCTCTCTTTTTTTTTTTTTTTTTTTTTTTTTTTTTTTTTTTTTTTTTTTTTTTTTTGAGACAGAGTCTGGCTCTGTCGCCCAGGCTGGAGTGCAGTGGCACAATCTTGGCTCACTACAAGCTCCACCTCCCAGGTTCATGCCATTCTCCTGCCTCAGCCTCCCGAGTAGCTTGGGACTACAGGCGCCCGCCACCACGCCCGGCTAATTTTTTGTATTTTTAGTAGAGATGGGGTTTCAGCATGTTAGCCAGGATGGTCTCGATCTCCTGACCTCACTATCCGCCCTCCTCAGCCTCCCAAAGTACTGGGATTACAGGCGTGAGCCACCGCACCCAGCCCAAGACTGCTCTCTTGAAGTGGGATTTGTGCTAAATGATTTCTAACATTCCTTCTTCATGCTGAATCTATGATTCTTTAAAAGTCAGGAATGCTATTTGATTCATGGCGTTTTCTTAGGTAACATTTAATCCAATCTCCCTCACAATATGGAAACACACTCTGCAGCATCTCTGGTGCTCTGCCTCCTTGATTCATAGCACAGTAGGTGCTCCATATCCGTGGGTTCCACATCTGTGGGTTCCACATCCATAGATTCAACCAACCGCGGATAGGTAGTATTTGAAAAAACAAAACAAAAATAGATTGTTTCACCTGTACTAAACATGTACAGACTTTTGTCATTATTCCCTAAGCAATGCAGTGTAACAACTATTTACATGGCATTTGCATTGCATTGGGTATTATAAGTCATCTAGGGATGATGTAAAGGATAAGGAAGAATGTGTGTAGGGTATGAGCAAATACCACACCATTTTACATCAGGGACTTGAGCATCCATGGATTTTGATATCCAAGGGGAGTCCTGGAACCACTCCTCCATGGATACGGAGAGACAACTGTACTAAAAATATGCCTCTTCTCTCATTCATTCATTCACTCTCCATAAATGCAATGAACTTCTACTATGTGCTAGGTTCTGTGCTAGACATGGCAGACATAAAAATGAATAAAGACACAAGCTTATCCTTAGGTTGCTCAAGGTCCATTATAGGAAGTAGACAAATAAATCAAGTAAATATATAAATCACACTGCTTTAAATAAGTAAAGCAATAGAAGCATGCACCTGGCAGAAGCATGAATCCTCTATCTGTGGGTTCAATGAAAACTTTCTGAAGAAGATGAGAGCTAAACTGAGGTTCAAAAGACAAATCCAAATATTCCAGGTAGACAGGGGAATAAGGTATTCTAGCTAGAGGGAACAGAATGATCAAGGAATCAGGGATGAAACAAACACTGAGGTGGAGTAGAATCTTTTTTTTTGTTGTTTGTTTTTTGAGACAGAGTTTCTCTCTGTCTCCCAAGCTGAAATGCAGGGGCGCAGTTTTGGCTCACTGCAGCCTCTGCCTTCTGGGCTCACTGGATCCTCCCACCTCAGCCTCCAGAGTAGCTAGGACTACATGTGCCACCAAGCTTGACTCATTTTTTAATTTTTTGTAGGGACAGCGAGGTTTCATTATACTGCCCAGGCTGGTCTAGAACTTCTGGGCTCAAGCCATCCACCTGCCTCAGCCTCCCAAAGTGCTGAGATTACAGATTTGAGCCACCATGCCTGTGAGTAGAATCTTAATAGTCCACTTTGCCATTGCGAGAGATTTGGAGCTCATCTTGCAGAGAATGAGCAGCCATGGCCAGACCTGCATTTTTGGAACTAATGCCCACTGAGCCCACTTCACTTTGCCCAAATCTCCCAGGCTGGCTCCCTTTCCTGCCCCCTTCTAGTCTTCCCATGCCCAGCATTGACAGTCAGATGGCTCAATTCTTTCCCCTAGACATACCGACCTTTCACCACTAGTCCAGGCATCACACCTTGACAAACTTTCTTTCATGATAAACCTTGTTACTCCACTAGACACTGACGAGATTAAACTTCAAGCACAATCTCCATAACTTTCCTATAGGTTTTCCTGAGTTTTATGGACCGGCCTCCAATCTGTTATTTCATTGAAGAAATAACTGCTACTTTATCTCAGAAGATGTGCTCTGCTGCTAGGTGATATGTTCTATAGTTTTTCAGCTAGTTAGAAAAGAAATTTGCCAAGTTCATGATCAGTGTGGTTGCGTGACTGATAATTATAAAACCAAATTGAAGGGGTAATAGAAAAATGTTCCAGAAGAGACTCTTACCATGGCCCCAAACAGCTGGGTCAGGATGACTTCATGGGCTATTTAACTTCTAATTTCTAGATTACAGGATAATTTCAATAAAGGCTATGCTGGCCAATTACTGAGTCAGCCACACACTTGAGTTACTGCCATTTCAACTTTTACAACGGAATGGAGAGGTGAGTCACATTTTATTAGACAGCAACTGTGTCTGATAGAGCTTCAATGTACCCCACCATAAAAAAGTCAAGCACAAAGAAAAAATATACCAAGGAAGCCACAGTAGAGGGAAATAGTAGTGAGAATATCCCCTTTATCTCCAAGCAGTGTTACATCCCCCCAAAAATTCTCAGCCTATATATGAATGTTTTAGAAGGCAAAAATTATTTCAAAATGTGAAACATATTGTCAGCCTAATTTACTGGAATATGCAGTAAGGCATTTTCTTTCTCTTCTTCAAATTGGCAGATTCTGTTACTTAAACCTTGTGTTAGATCTCTCAGTTGTGAACGAATGCATAAAAATAGCATTCCAGTCTATAGTTGGGTCTAAGCCAATTAATGGGAATGAGGAAATGACTCACTGGAGAGTCTGAGATACTCTGTCTTTTAGGATTTATATTATCCTTTCCCCAGCACACTCATTTAAGAATGGACTTGAGCAAGATCTCAAAAAGCAAAGGCTGTCCCCCTCACATGGATATATATGTTCTAGAGAGTCTCCCAGAGTGAAACAAGTTCCGTGATTAAAGACTCACAAACAGCTGGGTGTGGTGGCTCACGCCTGTAATCCCAGCACTTTGGGAGGCTGAGGCAGGAGGATCACTTGAATCCAGGAGTTTGAAACCAGCCTGGGCAACGTGAAAAAACCCTGTCTTTACAAAAAAATATATAAAAATTAGCTGGGCATAATGGTATATTCCAGCTACTCAGGAGGCTGAGGTAGGAGGATCACTGGAGCCCAGGAGGCAGGGGTTGCAGTGAGCCAAAATCCCACCACTGCACTCCAGCCTGGTCAACAGAACAAAGCCCTGTCTCAAAAAAATAAAAAATAAAATAAAAAAGCAGAGTGAGTTCTTCACCATGCACGCCACATCTTAACAACCATTCACTGTGGCAGAATTCTTTTTCAATGCCCCTTCACATTCTTTTCATTCCACAAGCGAGAGAGACATTAGGGGTGATAGTTTGAGGTTAACACCTCCCTTTAAACATCTTCTGGGTTCTGATTAGCAAATGATATGGTTTGGATCTGTGTCCCACCCAAATCTCATGTCGAATTCTATTCCCTAATGTTGGAGGTGGGGCCCGGTGGGAGATGATTGGATCGTGAGGGTGGATATCTCCCTTTGGTGCTGTTCTTGTGATGGTGAGTGAGTGTATTATTGTGAGGTCTGGTTGTTTAAAAGTGTGTGACACCTCTCCCTCTCTCCCTCATCCTCTTGCTCCTGCCATGTAAGACACCTGCTCCCGCTGTGCCTTCCACCATGAGTCAAAGCTCCCTGAGGCCTATGCAGAAGAGATGCTGCCAAACTTCCTGTACAGGCTGCAGAGCAATGAGCCAATTAAACCTCTTTTCTTCACAAATTACCCAGTCTTGGGTATTTCTTTATAGCAGTGCAAAAAATACAGACTAACACAGTGAGTTTAGGGCTACCAATTTCCTTTTTGACAAGCAGGGTGAATGCCAGCTGAAAACATCTGTAAATGGCAGAAGCAGAGAGAGAAAGAGGTGACACTAGTGATGAGGGGCTTCTTAATGTTCAACAAAGCAACACTGAAAATTCAGAACAACATAGCTTGAACCTACATATCCCTGGTGTGTTCTATACAGAGCACAAAGCTGTTCTTTGAGCTGGGTTTTGCAAGAAAGAGCTAGGGATCCTATTCAAGGGAGGCAGTCATTTAGGATAAGCTGAAACTATATAGTGGGCAGTTTCCTTTTTAAGCATGAGAAGAAAAGGCTTCCTTCATTTTAATCATGCAGCAAACCTCAGTGAAATGTGACAGGCATGGAGAGAAATTAGACCATTGAGAGAAAAATGGAAATAAACATGGTTTGGTTGGGGGGAGGTGAAAAAAACAAGGGAGAAAAAGCTAAGCAAAAAATCAAAACATAAAAGGAAATGTGTTGGAGTTGTTACAAAGGAAACCAAAAAGAGATGTGTACATAAGCTCTTAAGGCAAAGAAAAGTATGTAGGCAAGGGGTTGGAAAAAGAAAACAGTGGTGTGTAGACGAGAAAAGGAAAGAAGACACAAGATGAAAGCAAGAAAACAATATATACTATGGTTAATGGTAAATGGTTCATTTATATTTAATACATTTTTAAAAGGATAAGCCATCGTACCATGGGAATTCTAACACTGCCCACTGTAAAGGTTATATAATCCATTGCACTTTTGTGTAGGAAAATAAACCACAGACCCAAGCCACTAGTCCCTGAAAATGACTGCCAGCATGTCAGTGGGTAATGGTTCTTCCGGACATTAGAATGTATTCTTGGAGCATCATCTACAACCCACAGGGGAGATCTGTCTTTAAAGATGTTGTACATCACACATCCATTTAATAGGAAGCCTCTGTGCGATGGAAAATAATTTCTCAGAATTTTGATTCTTCTCTATATGTATAACCTCTATGCCACATAATAAAATCTTTGCTGATTTTTAAAAAAATGTGAAGGCTTCTATGATTGACTGAGCCTCTAAATTCCAGCTGTGCTTCTAGTAGGTTTATTTGTGTTTCCCTCTTACTGATTTTTTCCAGGAGCCCAGGTGCGGGCCTGTTTTATGGAGGAGGATTATTTATGGATTCCCTAAAGAGAAGTCTGATACACAAATAGATGTGGGGATTATGAGGCTCAGTGTTTGTAAACATCAAAAAGATTTAAGCTGAAATTTTAATTTACGGAAGAAGCTGGAGTGTGAGGAATTTACTTTTGAATGAGCTGACATGACATATGCTTCTCTATGTGACAAAAAAGAAAAATCTTAAGGGTAGCTGGAAGAGGAGAGGGATAGGGAACCCAAACAAGCCAATAATTCCTACTGATTGAGTAAGGAGCAAAAAAAAAAAAAAAAAAAAAAAAAAGGCTTGTTTTTTATTTTCAAATTACAGGACTTGGTTTTAGTGCAATTTTTATAAACCCTGATTCAGCACTATGCGATCACGCTGTTACATATAACCATAAGGTGCAATTAGAGGCTAATAGAACCTCTGGGCAACCTCTTTCTTGGTCGTAATCCCTTTAGGATAATTTTCGCCCCACAGCGGTTGACTAGACTACAAATTATAAAAAACTACATCCATTTGCACCCCATTTTATTGACCACTTGGGGTTCTAGAAACTCCCATGACAGTCAGGAAATTGCCTCTTCTAGGTTTCAATTGCAACCTCTCATCCACCCACAAAACCAAGTCCCCATAAGATTCTAAGAACGCTGCCCAAACTCATAAACGCTGCTGACAGGGATGGAGATTGGTTCAAGATTTCTGTGAGGCCACTGGACAAGTATCTCTCACTACATTCCTATCTTTTACTCAGAAAATTCACTTCTAGAAAATTATTCTAAAGCAATAGTTACGGATAATTTTGAAGGTAGCTCCACATCTGTTCGTCACAGCACCATTTAAAATAGCAAGAAATGATAATCAGTCTAAATATCAAACCATACGAGTTAGTTCGGTAAGCTATAAACTTTATTAAAATTATCTGACAGACTGTACGTGATGTAATAGAACATGTAATGACATGGGACCACGTTCTCAAAATCCTAAATGAAAGAAGCAGCAACTTTGTGATACCATATAGAGTGAAATAGATCATAATCTTGTTTTGTTTTTCTCTAAGGTATAGTCATATGCTGCATAATGATGTTTCTGCCAACTATGGACCTCATATATGATGATAGTCCCGTAAGATTAAACTGGGGCTGCAAATTCCTATCACCTAGTGGCGTTGCAATCATGATAATGTCCTAGCACAAAGCATTACTCATGTGTTTGTGGCAATGCTGGTACGAACCCACTGTGCTGCCAGTTCTATAAAAGTCTAACACATACAATTGTGTACAGCACATAATACTTGATGATAAACTACTATGTTACAGTTTATGTATTTACTATTCTACACTTTTTTTTTTTTTTTTTTTTTGAGACGGAGTCTCGCTCTGTCGCCCAGGCTGCAGTGCAGCGTTGCGATCTCGGCTCACCGCAAGCTCCGTCTCCCGGGTTCACGCCATTCTCCTGCCTCAGCCTCCCGAGTAGCTGGGACTACAGGCACCCGCCACCATGCCCGGCTAATTTTTTTGTATTTTTAGTGGAGACGGAGTTTCAGCATGTTAGCCAGGATGGTCTTGATCTCCTGACCTCATGATCCGCCCACCTCAGCCTCCCAAAGTGCTGGGATTACAGGCAAGAGTCACCGTGCCCAGCCTATTCTACACTTTTAATCATTATTTTATTATTTTATGTATTTATTTATTTGTTTTTGAGATGGAGTTTCACTCTGTTACCCAAGTTGGAGTGCATTGATGGGATCTTGGCTCACTGCAAACTCAGCCTCCCAGGTTCAAGCGATTCTTCTGCCTCAGCTTTCTGAGTAGTTCAGATTACAGGCGCCCACCACCATGCCCAGCTAATTTTATATTTTTAGTAGAGACAGGGTTTCACCATGTTGGCCAGGCTGGTCTTGAATTCCTGACCTCAAGTGATCCTTCCGCCTCGGCCTCCCAAAGTGCTGGGATTACAGGCGTGAGCCACCACACATGGCCTAATCATTATTTTAGAGTGTACTGCTTCTATTTTTTTTTTAAGTTAACTGTGAAACTGCCTCAAGCAGGTCTTTCAGGAGTGTTCCAGAAGAAGGCATTGTTATCAGAGGAGATGGCAGCTCCATGCGTGTTACTGGCCCGAAGACCTTCCAGTGGGGCAAGATGTGGAGGTGGAAGACAGTCATATCGATGATCCTGACCCCTGTGTAGGTGTAGGCTAATGTGGGTGTTTGTGTTTTACCTTTTAACAAAAAAAAAAGTTTGAAAAGTAAAAAATAAAATTTTCAAATAGAAGAAAGCTTATAGAACATGGATATAACAAAAGAAAATATTTCTGTACAGCTGTGCGATGTGTGTTTTTGTTTTCGTTTTTGTGTTCTTGTTTTTGTTTTTTTGAGACAGTCTTGCTCTGTCACCCAGGCTGGAGTTCAGTGGCATGATCTCAGCTCACTGCAACCTCTGCCTCCCGGGTTCAAGTGACTCTCCTGCCTCAGCCTCCCAAGTAGCTGGGATTACAGGCACCCACCAATACACCTGGCTAATCTTTGTATTTTTAGTAGAGACGAGGTTTCACAATGTTAGCCACACTGGTCTCAAACTCCTTACCTCAAGTTATCACCCGCCTCAGCCTCCCAAAGTGCTGGGATTACAGGCGTGAGCCACTGCACCCGGCCAGGAAAGAAACTATTTTTAATAAACTTTAGTGTAGCCTAAGTGTACAGTGTTTATAAAGTCTACAGTAGTGTTTAGTAATGTCCTAGGCCTTCCCATTCACTCACTTCTCATTCACTCACTCACTCACTCACTCACCCAGAGCAACTTCCAGTCCTGCAAGCTCCATTCATGGTAAGTGTCACCTACAAGTGTACCATTTTTAATTTTTGGATTTTGTGTTGTTTGTTTGTTTTTGTTTTTGTTTTGTTTTTGAGACAAGGTCTCTACTCTGTTGGCCAGATTGGAGTGCAGTGGTGCAATCACAGCTCACTGTAGCCTCAACCTCCTGGGCTCAAGAGATCCTTCCACCTCAGCCTCCCAAGTAGGCAGAAACACAGGCATGTACCACCATGCCTGGCTAATTTTTTTTTTTTTTTTTTTTTAGAGACAAGTTCTCCCTATGTTGCCCAGACTGGTCTCAAACTCCTGGGTTCAAGCAATCCTCCCACCTCAGCCTCCAAAAAGGCTGAAACTACAGGTGTGAAACACTGCACCCAGCTTCATTGTTTATCTTTTATACTGTATTTTTACTGTGCCTTTTCTATGTTTAGATATACAAGTACTTACCACTGTGTTACCATTGCCTTCAGTACAGCAGCAGCTGTACAGCTTTGTAGCCTGGGAGCAATAGGCTATACCATATAGTCTGGGTGTTTAGTCAACTGTACCATCTAGGCATGAGTAAGTACACTCTGTGATGTTCGCACAAAGATGAAATCACCTAATGGCACATTTCTTAGAATGTATCCCCATCATTAGGTAATGCATGACTCTTCATATATGTGTATATAAATATATATGTTCATTAAAACATTAACAGTGATCATCTCTAGGGAGTAGGACCATGAGTGATTTCTAAATTTTTTTCTGCTTATCAGTAATGAAATGTGTTTCTTGAATGTAATTTATAATGAGTAAAAAGATTAACAATTTTAAAATGAAAATGCTTTCTAAAATAAAAGGGCAAAAAAATCCCAAAGTTTGGATATCGATTGTTGGATATTGACCGTTTCCTGTCTGCCTGTGCAGCACTCTCAATCAAGAAACTACAGTTTGCATTCCTGAGGACATATCTTCCTGGCATTTAGAGTGGGGCATCAGGCCTCGCTGGCTTCAACTAAGAGAGAACCCCTCTGCCAGGTGGTGGACAGCATCCTCTGTTGCTCACACACAATGAGGCTTTAAGTCCACTAGGTCCTGCTCCCATGCTTTTTTGGATCTGTTAGCCTCATATTCACCTATCCCCAGGCTTTTTGGGGAAACCTAGAATCTGGTAGCATTCTGACTTGGCGGGATCACTGTCTCTGAAGCTGATACGTTAAGCCACCAAGTGGGACCAGCCACATAATTTTAAGGGATCAGGTGTTAAATGGAAACGTGGGCCCCTTTGTCAAAACTTACTGAGAATTTCAAGATGATGAGAGCAGAGCATTAATCAGGTGCAGGCCTTTCTGAGCATGTGGGCTTTTTCTACTGCGCAGGTAGCACGCCTATGAAGCCACCCTGGCACCAGCCTCCTTCTTATGTCCTATCAAGTATGTTCAACTATAAAATGCAAACAAGTTAGTTTATTCGTGACCCTAATCAAGAGAGGCAGTTGAAATGGGGCCAAGACGAGTGTCAGGTAGACAGGACTTATCTTCTACCATCCCAGGATAATGATGCCATTATGGCCACATTGTTCCAGAGTGTGTCTGTGTCCATTTATCCTCCTGGTACCCAGAGGGAGGAGAGGAGGAAGGGAGGAAGGGAGAGAGGGAGGGAGACTGCTGGGTGACCAGGGCAGAGGAAAGGAAAACTTTGCAACTATCAAATCATGCTCTTTTCTGCCCTCTACCCCACTAGAATGGCCAGTTGTGGGTCTCACACATCTTCGAAATAAAAGAAATAAACTTCCCATTATTTAGTAGCCTACTATCCAATGGGAGTATTATCTTGGCCAATTTGTTAACAAGTCAAATTAGAAATTTGTTACTAAGACGTTTTATTTTATTTTATTTTATTTTATTTTATTTTTTGAGGGTCTTGCTTTGTCACCCAGGCTGGAGTGCAGTGGCATGATTTGGGCTCACAGCAAGCTCCACCTCCTGGGTTCAAGTGATTCAAGCCTGGCTCATTTTCGTATTTTTTGTAGAGACAGGGTTTCATTATGTCACCCAGGCTGGTCTCGAACTCCTGAGCTCAAGCGATCCACCCACCTCGGCCTCCCAAAGTGTGGGGACTACAGGCATGAGCCACTGTGCCTGGTGGTTACCAAGACTCTGGTGGCAATTAAAGCTCAAACATTTATTATGCATTTATGCAGCGAACAAAATATCACATGTACTGCATAAATATGTACAAATATTATGTATCAATAAAAATAAAACAAAAATGAAAAAAGCAGTATGTAATTAGCACTTTCTCTTGTTCCAGTTTAAATGTTTCAGAAAATTCTAACAAAAAGATCACATGGTGAGTGGCAGAGCTTGTGCTGCTGGCACTGCAGAGCCTGAAAGTGTAATTGTGGGTCTTTGTTTCTGAAGGGCCAGTGAGTGGTCTGGGACATGCCACTTAATTGATCTGTGTCTCAGTCTCCTCAGTTGTAAGCAAAGATAACAATATTCACAGTATTATTAGGAGAACAAGATAAAATAATATGAATTAAGAACTTTGCAAATGGTCTCTTTTTAAAGCCTATACATAAAAGTATTAATGAGCTATTACCTTAAATAATAGCTGCTGGGACATGCTGGGAAATGAGCAGGTGCTAAATATATAGCCTGGTTTTTTTCTACAAGAAAATAGTTTGCTTTCCTGTATCTAGATTCACATTGTACACTGCACAAAATGTTTATTTAAAAAAGAAAATAACATCCCTTGTATTCTTCAGCCAAAGGTATGTGACCATCTTTTGTTCTGCAAATGTAACAAGCCTAAAAATACCTTCCTGTTAAGTATCATTATAAGAAACCATAGGCTAGGGAAAAGATTGCTGCTCATAGTTGTAGCTCATTTATTTCAAGTGCTGTTTTATGTTTCAAACTACACTACACCAGAAGGCTTCAGACGTAACCTTGGAATATGACTTAACTCATACTTAATCTGATTCTCACAGATACTTTTCCTGAGTACACACCTAGATAACACACACTCAGCCTCTGTGCACAAATAATTCCTGGATCATTTAGGGGTATCCAAGGTAGTATCAAAAGACACAGGCTGTGCTACCATCAACATTTTGAAACCTGGGAAAGAAACAACTAAATCTGTCCATGATGAGGCTACACAGGTAAACTGAAACATGGAGATCCTCTGCATGAGCGGTTCATAAAAATGCTAGTTATGGGCCGAGCACAGGGCTCATGCCTGTAATCCTAGCACTTAGGGAGGCTGAGGAAGGAGGATCACTTGAGATCAGGAATTCGAGACCAGCCTGGCCAACATGGTGAAACCTTGTCTCTACTAAAAATACAAAATTGGCAGGCATGATGGTGGGCACCTGTAATCCCAGCTACTTGGGAGGCTGAGGCATGAGAATTGTTTGAACCCGGGAAGCAAAGGTTGCAGTGAGCCAAGATCACACCACTGCACTCCAGCCTGGGTGACAGAGTGAAACTCCATCTCAAAAAAGAAAAAGTTTGGGGGCTGGGCGCGGTGGCTCACGCCTATAATCCCAGCACTTTGGGAGGCTGAGGCAGCCAGATCACGAGGTCAGGAGCACCCCAAATACCTGAGGGCGGTCAAGTGGGACACACTCTGAACTGGTTTTCTCCTCTGCAAAATGAGGGTCATTTATCTAAGAGCTCCACAGGTGTAAAAATTAAATGAGATCAGGAATTCACACTTCATAATTCTGTAAACTGTAAATATAAGGTATAGAGTGATTGAGGAAGGAAAAGAGTCTCATATTTGAAGGCTGAAATAGCATGAGATGAAGAAACTTTGAGCCAGTTTGGATAATCTGAAGGGGTGTGTGTGTGTGTGTGTGTGTGTTTACCTGTGAAAATTTCACAAGACATTTACAGAAGTTAACTGGCCCATTCAAACCTCCATTAAAAAACATACTTCTTTCTGAAGAAAAAAAAGAAAAAGATAAAAGCAATTGCATCAGATGAATAAAAGCATTTAAATTCCTTTTAAGGTGAACTATGTTTCTAGAATTTAGTGTTTCTAGTAATAAATATCAGAGGGACATATTTTGGAATTCTAGGTTGATGTAATATCCTGCCTTAAGAACTAAAAGAGAGCTCAAAGAAAGGCGAGTAAACTTGAACCACACTTGGAGTCAGTTATCTTAAAAAAAATCAGAAAATTTGTGAACAGAGATTCAAAATATGAGTTGCTATAAGTGACTTGGCTGAATAGTAAGGTATAGATGCTACAACCAGACTTTCAAAAAGGCAACTATTCATAGCAATATAATTTCCATGGTTTCATGTTGATCATTTGGTGCTGGGAAATTCTCATGGTGTGTTAGATCCTGTTTAGAACACATTCCTCTTATGAAAGCTGGTACGAATTTACAGAGGGGATTTTCAAATAACAGGGCTGGAAATGAGGGGACTTCCCAAAAGGCATGGGTTTAGAGTCGAGCCGTTTGGGAAATGGAGCAAGCTTTTGTTAAGTTCTGAAAGATGACAAAGGGCTAAATAATTTTAGGATTTCAGTTGTTTGACAAATATGCATTAACTACCTACTGCATGTTGGCACTGGGCTAAGGGCACAGAGCTGATCAAAACAAAGTCCCTCACTGGGCTCAGTGGCTCACATCTATAATCCCAGCACTTTGGTTGGCTGAGGCGGCCAGATCTCTTGAGGTCAGGAGTTCAAGACCAGCCTGGCCAACATGGAGAAACCCCATCTCTACTAAAAATACAAAAATTAGCCAGCCATGGTGGCACATGCCCACAGTCCCTGCTACTCAGGAGGCTGAGGCAGGAGAATCGCTTGAACCCGGGAGGCAGAGGTTGCAGCGAGCCAAGATGGCACTCCAGCCTGGGCAACAGAGCAAGACTCTGTCTCAAAAAAAAAACAAAAAATAGGCCAGACACGGTGGCTCACGCTTGTAATCCCAGCACTTTGGGAGGCCAAGGCGGGCGGATCGCAAGGTCAGGAGTTCAAGAACAGCCTGGCCAACACAGTGAAATCCCATCTCTACTAAAAATACAAAAATTAACTGGGAGTGGTAGCGGGCACCTGTAATCCCAGCTACTAGGGAGGTTGAGGCAGAAGAATTGCTTGAACCCAGAAGGCGGAGATTGCAGTGAGCCAAGATCGCACCACTGCACTCCAGACTGGGCGACAGAGCTAGACTCTGTCAAAAAAAAAAAAGTCCTTGTCCTCATGACATTCCAACTGTTACAGGAGACAGAACAATAAGCCAGAAAAAAAAAAAGAAGAAACAAATGAGAGAACTGCAATTATTAAAAAGCGCTGAGAAGAAATGTTCGGGGAATGTGGTGGAGGGTGATGGGAGAGGAATTTGCCGCACTGGATGGGAAGGATTTTCGGAAGAGGTAACATAGGAGCTGGAACCTGAGGGTAAAAATGGTGAAAACCCAGGGAATTCTATTTGGGCAGAGGCAACAGCGAGTGGCAAGGTCCTAAGGAGGGGAGGAGAGAAGGTGTGTTCCAGGAAGAGAGAGGAGAGAACTCTGGTTGGAGCCCAGAGGGCAGGGAAGAGGCTGCTGGGAGATGAGGTTGGAGGGGCAGTCACAGCCAGCACTCACAGGGCCTTGAAGCCTTAGATGAGGAGTTTGGGTTTGATTTCCGAGCACGATTGCCAGCCATTGAAGGGCCTAAGACAGGACATTGATTTCTGGTGTTCAAAGATGACTTTGGCTTTGGGTGGTTGGGCAGGGAAGGTGAGCACAGAGAAGAGGGGAAGGAAAGAGACAGGTTGAGGGTTACAGCAGTAGCCCAAGTGAAAATGCAAATGAACAGCAGAGGCCATTTAGGTGTCAGCCATATGGCCACCGGAAATCTGCTCTGTGCTGAAGCCATTAGCCTGTTTGAATCTCTCGTGCTCTGTACTGGCCGCCCAGCCTGTGACTCAAAGACTCCACTGCAGGAATACCCAACCTTTTCCTGACAATTTCCCAGAAACTGTGTCATGTTGGGAGTGTGTATCAAGAAGAGGCTGGCCAGTGATTGCTAAGAAAAGCCGTAAATGGGAATAATGGACAAAGTGTGGCTACAGTTTCAGGATTTTTCCAGCGCAAAAAATTCTAGAAACCCAGGGAGTGGAGCATGGTGGAAACCCCAGGCTGGAGATCCTCAGTGTCAGGTTCTGAGGTCAACGTGTAGATCAGAACCAACATGAGGGGCCTCTGCACAGTGTCTTGGGGTGGAGGGCGTGAGTGGGGGTGAACAATGGCAGGATCTAGAAATGCAGATAATTTGAATCCACCCGGAAGTGACTGCGTCTCTAACATTACCTTCATTTTTCCTTTGTAATTAACTTTAATTTATTTTTACTGGTTTGTAGACTACCCAGAGACACTGTGGGAAGATTTGTCAGATAGAATTCTAAAATTCTCATTCATTTCTTTTTATTTTTTATTTTGTAGAGACAAGGGTTTGCTTTGTTGCCCAAGCAGGTCTTGAACTCCTGGCCTCAAGTGATCTTCCTGCCTCTGCCTCCTAAAGTACTGGGATTACAGGCATAAGCCACTGCACCTGGCCTCATTTCTGTTTTTTTTGTTTTGTTTTGTTTTGTTTTGTTTTTTTGAGACAGAGTCTTACTCTGTCGCTCAGGCTGGAGTGCAGTGGCACCATCTCAGTTCGCTGCAATGTCTGCCTTCTAGGTTCAAGTGATTCTCCTGCCTCAGCCTCCAGAGTAGCTGAAATTACAGGCACCTGTCACCATGCCCGGCTGATTTTTGTAATTTTAGTAGAGACAAGGTTTCACCATGTTGGCCAGGCTGGTCTCAAACTTCTGACCTGAAGTGATCCGCCCACCTCGGCCTTCCAAAGTGCTGGGATTACAGGCATAAGCCACTGCACCCAGCCTCATTTCTGTATTTTCAATATACTTTACCTAAAGCTTATTTCACTGTAGGCTGGCAAGTTTCCTGGACAACATAGCATGAGAAAAGAATGTAAGTTTTGGAGTCAGAGAGGAATTTGCCCAAAGTCTGGCTCAGCCGTATTCTAGCTCTATTGTTTTGGTCAAGTCATTCGAATTCTTTCAGCCTCAGTTTCCACATCTGTGTAATGGGAGTCATAAGGATTATAAATAATAGTTGTAAAGTGCCTGGCTCCTACTAGACACCTGATAAATATCAGAATTATAATCATAGTGCCAAGGAAACATTACTTTCTCATATGAACTAGGGGACTTATACAAAATAAAAGAATGCCCTTTTCCACATCTGCAGGTTGTATCAAGTCCTGATATACACAAGTGGTCACACAAAGGAGTTCAAGGTTAAAGAATGAGGAGACTGAGCACCAACCCTTCCCTGGGTCCCTGCCGTTGGCACAACTCACAGCACTGCTAACAAAGGCTCAGGAACAACATCCTCATCACACCCATTCATCATTTTTCACCTTCCTTTTTGAGGTTAGGGATGGAAACTATTAGAGTTAGGAAAATGACTGTAATATTTTCCCCCAGTCATGATATTCTATCAATATGAAAGTTCCCAGAATATTCAACAGCCTCAGAGCTCACCAGGGTGGTAAGCCTAAACTTATTTGCTTTTAAAACATAAATGAAGTTGGTTCTGTAAATGTAACTTCTCACTGAGCCCAGAAATGAAAAATTCCAGCTTGTCACTGATCTCTTACAAAACTTGGAAGGAGCAATCTCCTTTCGTAGGCAGGATTCATATAAAACAGCCCAACTCAGTTCTTGTTTCTTTGTTTGCTCCATGTTTGGTTATAATTAAGTGTTTCATTCTTGAGGTTTCTTATCCACAGAGCTTCCCTGTAGAAGAGTTACCAGAGAATTATTTCTGCCTTTGCAAAGCAGGGAAGAGGTTCCCCCACCCACCTCTGTCTGAGCATTAAATCCCAGACACCAGCAGTTGGACTGAGCCCCACTTTCCAATCCTTTGATATTCCTTCCAATATTTTAGGGTGCAAGTCACCAAAACCAGAAAATCTTTATTGTAATTTTTTAAATTGCTGTTTGTTTAATTGATACCGACAACTAGTATTTCCTTCTTTAACTTTTCTATTTTAGGTTAGACCATGGAAGTTAAAGCAATGTGTGGAGGAAGAGTGTTGTGAGAAAAGAGAATATTAGAAGTAACTTTTATTTTTGGAGATTTTGAAAATAAATAGAGGGAAATGAGATAACCTCATGAAGGAAAGTAAGACTTAAGATCTGGAAGAGATTGAGTAGTTTCCTCATGTAAGGAAACCATAAACATGAAAGGTATCATGGTGACTTGAGTTGGGTTTTGAGAATGAGAAACTTGCTTTCCTCTCGGGCCTCCCCCACAAGTTGGGGAAGCCCACCTGCATTTTCAGGATGCTGGTCCCATGCCCAACCCAAGCATGTAAAATGGAAGAAATGAGCCCAAAGGGGAAGATTGGAAGCCCCAAAATGATCCAGGCTTTTCTCACAACTTAACTTGGTACATCGTGGCCCCAAATGAGAGCATAAAGTGAACCCAGACAACCATTTAAGTGGTAGACCTTGAAAAGAGCATGCTGGCTCCAGATTTTCTCACAGCAGCCTGCAGTTCTTCCCAAGGCTCTTTTCTGTGAGTTAGCTCATTCGAACTTCCTCCTAAAATGTCATGAGCTATCTGGGAGGAGTACATCGCAATGCCATTATTACCCATTATAATTTTAATTTGACTTGATTTCTCACATCATGGGTGCTGTGGACTGAATGTTTGTATCTCCACAAAGTCGATAAATTGAAGCTTTATTTCCCAGTGTGATACTATTAAGAGGTGGGGCCTTTGGGAGGTAATTAGGTTGTGAAGGATGAGCCCTCATGATGGGATTAGTTCCCTTATAAGAAGAGACATGAGGCCGGCTGCAGTGACTCATACCTGGAATCCCAGCACTTCGGGAGGCTGAGGTGGGAGGATCACTTAAGCCCAGGATTTGAAGACCAGCCTGAGCAAATATAGTGAGACCCTCCTCTCCATAAAAAAATTTTTTTGGCCAGGTGTGGTGGCTCATACCTGTAATCCCAGCACTTCGGGAGGCTGAGGTGCGTGGATCACAAGGTCAGGAGATCGAGACCATCCTGGCCAACATGGTGAAACCCCATCTCTACTAAAAATACAAAAATTAGCTGGGTGTGGTGGTACATGCTTGTAATCCCAGCTACTCAGGAGGCTGAGGCAGGAGAATTGCTTGAACCAGGGTGTCAGAGGTTGCAGTGAGCCAAGATAGCGCCACTGCACTCCAGCCTGGCAGCAGAGCAAGACTCTGTCTCAAAAAAAAAAAAAAAAAATTTTTAAGTTAGCTGAGTGTGGTAGCATGTGCCTGTGGTCCCAGCTACTTGGGAAGCTAAGGTGGGAGGATCACTTGAGCCTGGGAGGTTGAGGCTGCAGTGAGCCCTGATCACACCACTGCACTCCAGCTGGGTGACAGAGTGAGACCCTGTCTCAAAAAGAGGAGATATGAATACGTACAACTAATATATAATCAATTTTTTAATTATTTATTTATTTATTTTTATTTTATTTATTTGTTATTTTTTTTGAGATGGAGTCTTGCTCTATCGCCAGGCTGGAGTGCAGTGGCACAACCTCGGCTCACTGCAACCTCCGCCTCCTGGGTTCAAGCGATTCTACTGACTCAGCCTCCTGAGTAGCTGGGATTACAGGAGCCTGCCACCATGCCCAGCTAATTTTTGTATTTTTAGTAGAGACGGGGCTTCACCATGTTGGCCAGGATGGTCTTGATCTCTTGACCTCATGATCCGCCCACCTCAGCCTCCCAAAGTGCTGGGATTGCAAGCGTGAGCCACCGTGCTGGCCAATTTTTTTTTAAATAAGAGATATGAAAGAAATCACCTGTTTCTCTGCCACATGAGGAAACAGCAAGAAGGCAGCCCTCTGCAAACCAGGAAGAGAGCCCTCACCAGGATCCAAATTGGCCAGTACCTTGATGTTGGACTTTCTAGCCTCCAAAACTGTGAAAAATATTTTTTTGTTGTTGTTTAAGCCACTGGTTCTATGGTATTTTTGTTATAGCAGCCTGAACTAAGGTGAAGATTATGGGGGAGAGTATAAATAAGAGGAACAGTGGACTGCTGTGTTTTAATATCATTGGTAGGCATGGTCTGAGAGTGGCTGGCTGCAGAAGAGGCCCTGGACAGACAGGGGTTGTCCTGCTCAGAAGTGTGCACACTGCTGGTCTGAAAGCGAAAGATCATCCATCTCTCATAGGATTCACAAGTCAATCATTAAGCAAGCATTTACTGAGGACCGATATGATGTGCCAGGCACAGTTCCAGGCACCGTGAACCCAAAGAGTTCTCCAAGATACATTCCTCAGGTAAACAGGTAATTAGGCCACCACATGCTAAGTGGGAAGATACAGATATACACAGGAAGCTACAGGAACACAAGGTGTGGGACTGAGCCCAACTCAGAGGGAGTGCTGGAAGATTGTTAGGACAGGCTCCCTGGAGGAGGTGATAGCTGAGCCAAGGTATTTTCCATAGCAGAGATTACCATATTTCACCGATTATGAGATGCACTTTCTTTTCCACATTGTAACATCTCTAAAACTGGGATTCATCCCATAATTGATGGAGACTTGCCATAGCTCTGATTGTCATTACCTGCACACAGGTAAATTCGGTCATTTTGTCATCAATTCATTTGAGTTATTTGCAACATTAGTACTACGCAAGTGGAGTTTAATCGCCATTTAAAATATCTTCAAAAACATTAGATATAGTTTGGTGTTACAGCAAAAAAAAAAAGTCTACACAGAAAAGTATAGGAATAAAGGAGCTTACATTGGATATTAACAAAGCAGATATTTATGGAGGAATGACCAGAGTTGTGTATTTGTCACAAGTATTTTAATAGAATCAAGAAGAGAAGATACCCACAAGTATGTGAAGCTGTGTTATATTTTGTTACTAAGATACCAAAAAAAAGAATTGTCTATCACACACTAAGCAACACAGCTAAAGGCAGGAAAGTTGCCAAACCCAGAGGAATATACACAGGGAAGTATCAAATGAGCAAAGGCTGGTGGCACTAATTTCATGCACGAGCAGGACTGTTCTTAAAGCATTATATCACAGTTTAATGGGCAGAGTGGTGTTTTTCTTTTTTGGTGATAAATAAACCAGCCAATCAATGGTACCTTAATTTGATATATAGTGGGACATTTGGATCAAGGGACAGAAACCCACCCACTTTAACTTAAACCTAAGGCAGTGGTGTGCTAGAGCCAGCTCGTGTAAGCTCACAAAAGATGAGTATATATGCACAAGTCTACATGTAGTGATGTTACAATAGCGTAAAATAGATCATGGGGGGAGTATTTACATCTTGGAAACTGGCAAGTGCTACAAATCAAGGCTTTGTTATTTGTTTGTTTGCTTTTTAAGAGCTGTTTTACCAGCACACCACTGCCAGAGGGGAATTTGTGGATTATACAGGCATAGCTCACGGAAGCTTTACTAGGGTTTGGAACCAGGTAATGTAAAGTTATCAAGAACAATGACAAATCTTTTCTATGTTTATTTTCCTCTTGGTGTCTCTGGAGCCACATGGTGTCTCTTGTCTTCTTAGATCTCTTTGGTCTTCTCTCTCGGGAGAAAATGGCCACCTCTGGAACAATCAGGTTTGCGTAAAATCATACAGTCAGGCGTCACATAATAACACTGCAGTCACTGATGGACCATGTATATGACAGTGCTCCCAAAAGATATAATGGAGCTGGGAAATTCCTGTCGACTGATGATGTCATAGCTGCCCTAACATCTAGCACAACACATTACTCATGGGTTTGTGGCGATGCTGGTGTAAACAAACCTACTTTGCTGCCAGTCATATAAAAGTAGAGCACATACATTTCTATACAGTACATAATACCATAATACTTGATAATATAATAAACGACTATGTTACTGGTTTATGTATTCACTATACTATACTTTTTGTTGTTATTTTAGAGTGTACTCCTTCTACTTATTTAAAAAAAAAACAACAAGTTAACTGCAAAACAGCCTTAGGCAGTTCCTTCAGGAGGGATTCCAGAAGAAGGCATTGTTATCATAGGAGATGATAGCTCCATGCATGTTATTGCCCCAGAAGACCTTCCAGTCAGGCAAGATGTGGAGGTGAAGACAGTGATATTGATGATCCTGACCCTGTGTAGGCCTAGGCTAATGTGTGTGTTTGTGTCTTCATTTTTAACAAAAAAAGCTTTTAAAGTTTTAAAAAACTGTTCTTAATAGAAAAAAAGCTGATAGAATAAGGATATAAAGAAAGAAGACACCTGTACCTCTGCACAATGGGTTTGTATTTTTCTTGTTTTGTTTTTACACTCCTGCCCCTCCCCCAGGTTCTGTGTTTGTGTTTTAAGCTAAGCGTTATTACAAAAGAGTAAAAAAAAAAAATGATGAGTATCTCAAGTTCATTCTTTTTTTTTTTTTTTTTTTTTTGAGAGAGAGTCTCCCTCTTTCTCCCAGGCTGGAGTGAAGTGGCGCGATCTCAGTGTGATCTCAGCTCACTGCAACCTCTGCCCCCACATTCAAGCGATTCTCCTGCTCAGCCTCCCGAGTAGCTGGGATTACATGTGCCCACCACCACACCTGGCTAAATTTTGTATTTTTAGTAGAGACAGGGTTTTGTCATGTTGGCCAGGCTGGTCTCAAACTCCTGACCTCAGGTGATCCACCCACCTCAGCCTCCCAAACTGCTAGGATTACAGGCGTGAGCCACCATGCCCGGCTGAGTTCATTCTCAAAGGAAATTGGTTAGGGTGAAAAAGTGAGCTAGAAGTGTGTTTCAAGCTGAAGGAATAGAAAATACCAAGGCACTTAGAGTCCCTAGAGCAAAAATTGGAAACTAGGCATGGTAGAAGATGAGGCTGAAGAGGAGGGCAAAGGCCAAGCATGAGGGCCTCATATCCCATGTTGAGGAGCTTGGATCTTATTCTGCACATGACAGAGTTTCAAAGACCAAAGATATCAAGCCTGGGAGACCTGAGGTCTAGATCTATGTTCCCAGTAGGCACACAAACTCCTGCAATGTATCAAGCTGCAATGAAGAGAACTGTCAAGGCAATTGGAAGCTTGAAATGTAGACATGCCCATCAACTGAGTCGTTCCATAATGTGAGCAAGTCATTTACTCTCCCAAAGCCTCAGTTTCTTCGTCTACAAAATAGAGGTAGCTAATACCTACCCTCTCACTACCTCAAAGGGTTGCTGGGAAGGGAAATTACATAATTTGTGTAAAAACCCTTTTAGGAGAGTAAAACATGGTTCAAGGATAAGGTACCTACTCATGTGTAAAATGAGGGGGTTGGCCTTGATGGAATCTAATGTTCTTCAACTTCTAAAGTTTTACAACTCTGTTATTATCCTTATTATCTGATGATCATGATAAAATTATGGGGTTTATGGACCTGAAACACCCTCCTCTCATCTTGCCAAGAAAACTGAATGTGAAGCTCTTAGTCTGGGAAATACCACTTCCTACGTGGTTGTTTCCACAGAGACACCAGTAACCATAAAGTTATGCAGGAATGTGAACTGTTTGGGTTTGAATAGGAAAAGGAAATTGATTTATAAACCAGGAAGATAACCAAACCTCTAAAAAAGAACAAAGGTTTTCTCTCTGTACATTACATGTAAATATGTAACAGAATCCCCCATTTGGTAACCTCTCTGCTTTTTAAAATATTACATATCATGCTACACTGAAATGCCAAGTGACTTAACAGTAGCTTTAGAAAAGTGTGGATAAAACTTAGAGGTTTAGAATGATGAGATCCGGAGGCTTTTTCCTTTCCTAAATTGCCCTTCAGCCACAGTGTTTCACGTTCATTAACTCTTGTGTCTTAGAAAGGGAAAAAGGAAACAATCTCCTTCCTAAAGATATTTCATCCAATGTGGTACAGTTGATGATCAATAATAGATTGGAACCATTGCAACACGCCCAGAAGGCTTCTTATGTGTTAGGCACCAGGCTGACTGCTTTATTTGCATTCCCTCACGTAGTCCTTACAAAATCCCTAATGAACCATGCACTTTATAACCATGGCCCCATTATACAGATGAGACACTGAGGCTCAGATAGGCTAATTGGCTTGCTCAGGGTCCCATAGCCAGCAAGTGGTGCCACTGGAATTGAAAGTCACAGAGCCAGAATTCATCAACCTTGCTATCACCTTGTGATAGCTTGTCTCTGACTGTTTAAATGTGATTCCCTAAAAACAATTTTTCCAGAACAAAAATTAACTTCCTGACCCGTATGGAGGGTGGGGAGAGTGGTTGGAAAAGGATCACAATAGAAATAGAGGCTCTGTGACAATTAATTTGTAACAGTTAAGAAAGAATGAGTGGCATGTTCAATGTTCTCAGTAGATACAAACAATCAATGTTTTCCAGAACAAGCCAGCCTGAAACATCAGAGGCATTAAGTCTCAGGAAAGGCTCAGACTTTCAAAAACCCCTTTGCTCCATAAGTAGATGGCAGGCCTCCTCATCCCAGCTAGCAAGGATTTGAGAGAAGACAGGAATTCTTTATCCAAAACCTGGTCCCTCTCTTAGTGGTTGACCAAAATATCAATTGCAGCTGTTTCTTCCTATAGTCCAGAGTGATAACATTTGTGGAAAGTGAATGAGACCCTATGAAAAAAATTTTCTCCTTATTTTTCCAAGCAAAACCCTCTAATCAAATATCTTTCTTTCACATACATTTAAACAGACTTTTAAAATACACTCAGAGAAAACCAAAAAAATCACATTAGATACTCCTTTTCTTTGGTTAACCATAAATATTTGTGAGGCATAAAAGCCCATAGTAGAGAGGAAAGTAATAATGCAGCTCAATAATTTACTGCTATTTCTAGAACATAATTTCCAAGTAAAGAGATTAAGTGGCATGCATTTATTGAGCATTTACTAAGTACCTAGCTGCATGGGATTAAAAATAAGGGCAGTAAGATCTTAATTAACTGATGTCTGGGAACTGAATTTTGTAAAAACAAAGGACCAAACAAGATTTTGATATAAACTCTGCAAGCAAAACTGCCTAAGGGTAGGAAAGAACATTTTATTTTATTTTTAATGTAATTTAAATTTTTTTAAGACACAGGATCTTGCTCTGTCACCTTTGCTAGAGTACAGTGGCATAATCGTAGTTCGCTGCAGCCTTGAACTCAAGTGATCTTTCCACCTCAGCTTCCCGAGTAGCTGGGACTACAGGTCACACCTTTATGCCCAGCTAATTTTTAAATTTTTTATAGATATGGGATCTTGTCATGTTGCCCAGGGTGGTCTCAAATTACTGGCCTCAAGCAATCCTCTCACTTCCATGTCCCAAAGTACTGGGATTACAGGCATGAGCCACCACACAGAACCAGAAAGAACATTTTAAAGGGATGAAGATTTGCAAAGTGACCCTCTCTTACCGAGTTCGTCTTTGGGAGTTCTTCCACCTCATCAGAGAAATACCTGTATCTTTTCTCAAATTCTCTTTGCTTCTCTTTCACTCATCAGATACTGTAGTGGGCTCCCTGAAACTCTGGCTAGGAGCAGAGAATGCAAAGAGGCAATGGAGGCCACTGATGAGCTATGCTTGTAACCAGTATTAACATAAGCCCTATCACTGCCCTCCTCTCCCCACCTCCCCAGTCAAAACAGAATATGATAACCAGTCATTCACACTGATGAATGGATTGGCCAATTACAAATCAGACAAAGTTCATTCACACTAAAATGTGATCTCCACCATGTTTTGCATTTTAAGTCTGTTTCTTCCAACTTTGGGAAAGGAATTTCAGACACCACAAAGCAGGCTTTAGGATGAAGGAAAGGAGCCTAGAATCCCCCTGTCCTGCTTATCTAGCTGGCCCTGAAAGTCTCAGCTCAAGTGTCACCTCTTCAGAGAACCCTTTCACGACACTCTTTCTAATGTTGTTCCATTACATTAAACTGTTTTATTTTATTCACAGCACTTATCATTATTAGAAATTATCTTGTCTATTTCTTTATTGTATCTCTCTGTACTTTTCTCTAAATCGCACGACAGCATTGACCTTGTGCTATGATTTGAATGTTTGTGTCCCTCCAAAATTTATGTTGAAGTTTTGATGTGATTTTTCTATGTCCCCACCCAAATCTCACCTTGAATTGTAATAATCCGCATGCGTCAAGGGCAGGGCCAGGTGGAGATAATTGAATCATGGGGTTGGTTCTCCCATACAGTTCTTATGGTAGTTGATAAGTCTCATGAGATCTGATGGTTTTATATATGGGAGTTCCCTGCCCAAGTTCTATTGCCTGCCACCATGTAAGACGTGACTTTGCTCCTCATTTGCCTTCTGCCATGATTTTGAGGCCTCCTCAGCCGTGTGGAACTGTGAGTCAATTAAACCTCTTTCCTTTATAAATTATCCAGTCTCAGGTATGTCTTTTTAGCAGCATGGGAACAGACTAATACAAGCTTAATCCCCTGTGCAATGGTATTAGGGGGTGAGGCTGTTAGGCAGAGATTAGGTTGTAAGGGCTCTTTCCTCATGCATGAGATTAGTGCCCTTATAAAAAGGCTTGAGGGAACTAGCTAGTCCCTTTTGCATTTCCATCTCTTCTGTCATGCGAAGACACAGTAAGGTGCCCTCTTGGAAGCAGAGAGCAGCCCTGGCACCAGACACTAAATCTGCTGGCACCCTGATCTTGGACTTCCCAGCCTCCAGAATCATGAGAAATAAATTTCTGTTGTTTATAAATTACCTATCCAAAGTATTTTGTTATTGCAGCAGGAGCAGACTGAGACATCTTGTCAGTTTTGTTTCCCACTCTGTCCCCATGGCATATCATGCTGGCTAGAACACAGAATGCTATCAGTATCATTGTTGAAGGAAAGAATAGATGAATGAATAAACAAGTGAATACATTAGACAACCTGACTCAGTTCCTCCAGTATGGTTGGCATGGGTTTAGAGATCTGAGGGGTCAGATTTGGGTCTTTATGCCCCAGATCCAGAGCACAGATAAATTTTGATAAATAAAGTTTTATTGGAACACAGCCACATCCATTAGTTTACTCATTATCTATGGTCACTTTTGAGATCCAGTGATAGAATTCAGTGTTGCAACAGAGCCACATGATCTGCAATTTGAAAATGTTTAATATCTGGCCCTTTTAGAAAAAAATTTGCTAACCCTCACCCAGTCTCACCCCAGGAGAGCTGAACTGAAACTGTGAGAACCCCAGCTGGTGAGCTGTTGGAAATAAAGGGTCTAGTGCCTCTTCCTCATTCAAACATGTTTAGTCCCCTGCATTAATATGCACGATCTTTCAGAAAACAATGGTTTTTGTTCTTTCCTTTTTTTGAGACAGAGTCTCGCTCTGTCACCCAGGCTGGAGTGCAATAGTACAATCTCAGCTCACTACAACCTCTGCCTCCCAGGTTCAAGCGATTCTCCTACCTCCGCCTCCCAAGTAGCTGGGATTACAGGCACCTGCCACCACGTCCAGCTACTTTTTGCATTTTTAGTAGAGACGGGGCTTCACTGTGTTGGTCAGGTTGGTCTTGAACTCCTGACCTCAGGTAATCCACCCACCTCGGCCTCCCAAACTGCTGGGATTACAGGCATGAGCCACTGCACCTGGCAGAAAACAATTTTAAATAAAAAATCTTTTTATTTAAATTGTTTAAAAGTTTAATGACTTGAAAACAATCTATTTATTGTATTACTAGTCAAGATAGGCTAGGTTGTGCTCCAGTAACAAACAACTTGAAAATCTCAACAGCTTAAAAGGCCAAGTTCATCTCCTGCTCACATTACATTTCCCATGTGGATTGGCAGCGACTCTTCACATTGTAGTTACTGAGGAACCCAAGGTGGATGGAAGCCCATCTCTGCTCTATGATTTCCAAAAACGAGGTTGGGAGTGGAGACCATAGTGAATCGTACACAGAACTTTTAAAGCTTCTACCTGAAACAGACACACATCACTTCTGTTCACATTTTCTTGCCCAAAGGAAGACTATGGCTGCATTTCAATTCAACAGAGTGACTGTATAATCCTTCTACAGGGGTAAGCACTAAATATTTATGGAACTTTATATTTATTTACAGTTAATAATAAAGGTATTAACTTAAAGTACTTCAGTTAGGAGGAGAAGTACTAGTTTAGGACCACAGTTCTAATCCCCAGTAGCACTGGATCTGTGGAAATTATACAAGAATGAGGGGCCCCTTTCCTGAATCTCACCACCTGGGGTACCTCAAGAAACCACAGGCTCCAAGTACTATTGTCAAAAAAGAAACCACTAGAATTTGAGATAGGCTATAATATTCTATTAAGCATATTACTAACTTTAACATTTAAAACTCTATTGAGACCAAAATCATCTAGCAAAAACATTAAAACAATACTCAGTCATTTAGAACTTTTTGCATCGCTTTACATTTTTCTGTAGCTCTCAAGGATACCAAAGCTCTTCCTTTGTCTCCATGTAGTAGGAATCCTCTGCATTCCTTCACATCGCTGCAGCATAAGAAATGTTTGTCTCCCAGAATTTCCATATCTGGGGTAGGGAACTGTCTGGCCTAGGCTTTCGACGTCTTTTTAATCTCACTCTTAGGAATCAATGCAGGCCCTGGAGCCAAAAAAAGTAAACATCTGGGGCATGGATAGTTCAAGGAGCAGAGGTCACGGCACAGCTGGGAAAATTCGTCTTCTGTTCTTAGGGAGTCTGGGTGAGAAGAGCACAGGAGCGATTCTTTGAAAAGAAAGGGAGATCTTACTCAATGATCTGGCTCAACCCCAGGGGTGACCTTGGTGATGGCCAGGCAGGCAATATAATTGACCATTTGCTGGTGCAAAGCAGCCCTCCAGCCTCTTAGAGGAGTCCGAAGGGAGTACCTCAGTCTGTTGGGACCACTTTATGCCAGTTATTCAGAAAATGAATTTTCACCTGGAAAAGTGAAAGCTTTATATCCAGTGACAAAAAGCAGAACTTTTAGATGAGTATTGGAGGGGAGGTACGTCCTGAAAAGAGAAAAGTGAACTGTCTTAGTTTGCTATGGCTGTCATGACAAAAATACCATGAACTGGGTGGCTTAAACAACAGAAATGGATTTTGTCACAGTTCTGGAGCCTGCAAGTCCAAGATCAAGAAGCCAGAAGGGTTGGTGTCCTCTGTGGCCTCCCTCCTTGGTTTGCAGAAGGCCACCGTCTTGCTGCCTCTTTATATGATTATTCCTCCGCGCACATGTACCCTGGTGTCTCTCTGGGTTTCCTAATCTCTTCTTATGAAAATACTAGTTGGATTGCATTAGGGGCCACCATAATGGCCTCATTTTACCTTAATTACCTCTTTAAAGGCCTTATCTCTAAATACAGTTGCATTTTGAAGTATTGGGGTTTAAGGCTTCAACATATAAATTTGGGAAAAGGACACAATTCACCCATAACATGGACTTCTTGGCACATATTAAAAATAAACGGGGCTGGGCATGGCGGTTCACGTCCGTAATCCTAGCACTTTGGGAGGCTGAGGCGGGCAGATCTCTTGAGCCCAGGTGTTCAAAACCAGCCTGGGCAACATGACAAAACCCCATCTCTACAAAAAATAGCCAGGCCTGATGGTGCATGCCTGTAGTCCCAGCTAATAGGAAAGCTGAGGTAGGGGGATTGCTTGAGCCCGGGAGGTTGAGGCTGCAGTGAGCCAAGATCATGCCAGTGCACTCCCACTTGGGTGACAGAGTGAGACCCTGTCTCAAAATAAATAAATAAATAAAGTAAATTGAATCTCCTCAACCTGCTCACAAATCAACAAAAGATATTGAGTATGATTGCCCTAAATTTCCTACTCTTCACAAAAATCTCCACCAGCAGATCCTTCCCAACACTGTGTGTGTGTGTGTGTGTGTGTGTGTGTGTGTGTGTGTGGTGTTAATGTATTGTCAAAAAAACCAAACTCTAGGCTGGACACTGTGGCTCATGCCTGCAATCCCAGCACTTTGTGAGGCCAAGGCGAGTGGATCACCTGAGGTCGGGAGTTCGAGACCAGCCTGACCAACATGGAGAAACCCCATCTCTACTAAAAATATAAAATTAGCCGGGCATGGTGGCGCATGCCTGTAGTCCCAGCTACTCGGGAAGCTGAGGCAGGAGAATCGCTTGAACCCGAAATGCGGAGGTTGCAGTGAGCTGAGATCACACCATTGCACTCCAGCCTGGGCAACAAGAGCGAAACTCCGTCTCGAAAAAATAAATAATAATAATAATAAAAAAACAAACTCTAAAAAGGGGAGACAGGGCAAAATGAATGGCTAGAATTTAGAGATAAGCACCCAGAGTCATCTAACCGAGCTCTTTCTTTCCAGGGACCCATCAGCCTAAATAATTTTAAAGATGCTGCCAGTGGCATCAAATGTCAGCACAGTACTGCCTATAATTTTTATAACCGTAGAGATTTGTGTGATAGAAACAGGTATAAAGGATCCTCTGAAGAAGCTAAGGAGTTCCCAGAGTATGAGGATATCTTCCCATATTCTTCTGAAAACGTCTTTGTTTTGCCCCTAGTCTTGGATGACTGTTTAGTAGGGTATACAATTCCAGAGTGACTTATTTTTTCAGCACTTTGAATTGTTTCCTTGGATTCTGGATTTTCTTGCTCCTGTTGAAAGGATTGGTGTGTAAATTGTTGTTCCTTATTAGGAAATATCATCCTTTTCTCTGCTTCTTTTTATGATCGCTTTGTCTTTAGTTTTCTAAAGTTTCCTTATAGTGTTTGTAGTAATGCATTTGTTTTTATTTGTGTTGCCTATGACTTGGTATACTTCTCCAATCTGAGAAATCACATATCTCCCCAATTCTGAGGATTCACGTTTTTAAAAATTATTATTCTACTTTAAGTTCTGGGACACATGTACAAAACATGCAGGTTTGTTACATAGTTATACACGTGCCATGGTGGTTTACTGCACCCATCAACCCATCATCTACATTAGGTATTTCGCCTAATGCTATCCCTCCCCTAGCCCCCCACCTCCTGACAGGCCCCGGTGTGTGATGTTCCCCTCCCTGTGTCCACATGTTCTCATTGTTCAACTCCCACTAATGAGTGAGAACATGTGGTGTTTGGTTTTCTGTTTCTGTGTTAGTTTGCTGAGAATGATGGTTTCCAGCTTCATCCATGTCCCTGCAAAGGACATTAACTCATCCTTATGGCTGCATAGTATTCCATTCATATTTTTCAATAATGACTTGAGTGTTGCCTGTACTTCCTTCTGCCTATTCTCTCCTTCTGGATTTTCAGTTAGATGCATTTTGAACATCTAGCTTGTCCCCTTTGTCTGTTAGCCTCAGTTTCATAGTTTCCATGTCTTTACCTCCCTGTACAGTGTTATAAGTTGATTATTCAGCCCTCTCTTCCAATTTACTAATTATTTTAGTCCATTTGGGCTGCTATTACAGAATACTTGAGGCTGGGTAAAGAAAGAATTTATTTCTCCAGTTCTCGAGGCTGGGAAGTCCAGAATCAAGGCCCTGGAATCTGATGAAGGCCTTCTTGCCGCATCATCAGATGGTGAAAGGTAGAAGAACCAAAAAGGAGTGAACTCTGTGTCCTTACATGGCAGAAGAGCAGAGGAGAGAGAACCCACTCCCATAAGCTTTTTTACAGTGGCATTAATCCATTCATGAGGGCAGATAAGCACACATGACCTAAACACCTTCTACTAGGCCCTACCTCCTAACATTGTTGCACTGGAGGTTGAGTTTTTGTTGTTGTTGTTGTTGTTGTTTTGAGACGGAGTCTTACTCTGTTGCCAGGCTGGAGTGCAGTGGCGCCATCTCAGCTCACTGTAATCTCTGCCTCTCGGGTTCGAGCGATCCCCCTGCCTCAGCCTCCCGAGTAGGGGTTGAGTTTTTAACACATGAATTTGAGGTGACACATTCAAACCAAAGCACTAATTCTCTCTTCAGTTGCAATTTATCTGCCATTTAATCCATCTAGTACATTTTATATTTTAATTGTTATATTTTACATTTCTAGAAATTCTATTTGGTTCTTTTCAAAACTGCAGTTATTCTTGATGGTCTTTTGTTCATTCCTTAGAGTCATCATTCCCTCTGTTACTTCATAAACAGTTTAAGCATACTCATTTTACATTCTTTTTTAGATAATTCTATGCCCAAAAACTTCTTGGGGTCTAATTTTGCCCACAAATTTGTGCTGAGTGGTGGTTTATTTTATGGGAGCTTATTTTCTCGTGTGTTTGTAATTTTCTGTTCTTTGTTCATATAAAGTTCCTCTTAAATGTAGGAATCCTGAAGAGTCTGAGTTGAAGGTGCTTCCCACCAGATGGCAGGTATTGCGGTGTTATGAACTAGAAATACGTTTCAATTAATTGTTTTGAGAGAGAGGGTCTTGCTCTGTCACCCAGGCTGGAGTGCAGTGGCACAATCTCTGCTCATTGTAGCCTCAACTTCCCAGGGCTCAAGTGGTCCTCCCACCTCAGCCTCCTGAATAGCTGGGACTACAGACACATGCCACTGTGCCTGACTAATTTTTTTTTAATTTTTTATTTTTTGTGGAGATGGGGTTTTGCCATATTGGCCAGGCTGGTCGCAAACTCCTGGGCTCAAGGGATTCTCCCACTTCGCCCTCCCAAAGTGCTGGGATTACAGGCATGGCTTACTATTAAAAATAATTTTTCTACTTGGGGTTTCCTGGACCATGTCAGTAGTGTAGGCACTAAATATCCATGGGGATAGGCTTGGGATTATAAATTCTCAGGAAAGTCTCATTTTTGTTTTTGTTTTTCATTCCTTTGACCAATGCCTGAGACAAACACATTTCCTTGTTGACTTCCTTTTGCCAGAAGATGGATTTTATTTTCCTAACCCAACTTTTCACTTGAGGGAGTTGGTATTTGGGACCCCTAGCTCCTTCCTTTACCCTAATTCTCCCACTGAAAACCAGGTTCCCAGGATCAGCAGATGCTCTGTGCTTCCGAGTTTTCACACCATTTTATTGCAACATTTTATTTCCTTTGAATCTCACTTACTTTCTTAGAAGTGTAGTTGTGCATTTGGCCAAATGTTTGGTGTGTCTTATCCAGTAATTTTTTGTGTTTGTGGAGGGGAATTTTTTTCAGAATTTCGCCAGCTCTGTTGCTAGAGGCAGAAGGTTTTCTCAGGCTCTGGAGGCTGGAGCTTCTGCAACCACTTAGACCTTCATCAGTCATGTATGAAGCAACTGTGCTCTTGCTTCAGTTTAGGGGAACACAGTGCCTCCTTTCTCCTGTGCTTCTGTGAATGAGGTTCCAATAACCCAGGGACATAGTCTGTTGTAGTGTATTAGTCCATTCTCACATTGCTATAAAGAAATAAAGAGACTGGGTAATTTACAAAGAAAAGAGGTTTCATTGACTCACAGTTCCACATGGCTGGGGAGGCCTCAGGAAACTTACAATCTTGGTGGAAGGGGAAGCAGGCACATCTTACATGGCAGCAGTCGAGAGAGAGAGAGAGAAAGAGAGAGAGATGTGAGAGCAAGTAGGGAAAACTTTCTGACAAAATCATCAGATTTTGTGAGAATTCACTCACTATCACAAGAACAGCATGGGGGAAACTGTCCCCATGATCCAATCACCTCCCAGTAGGTCCTTCCCTTGATACCTGGGGATTACAATTTGAGATGAGATTTGGGTAGGAACACAGAGCCAAACCATATCATGTAGCAAACAGATCCTGAGGCTAGGACTCAAAAAACCAGAGTTCTGCCGGCGCAGTGGTTCTTGCCTGTAATCCTAGCACTTTAGGAGGCCAAGATGGGTGGAACATCTAAGGTCAGGAGTTCAAGACCTGTCTGGCTAATATGGTGAAACCCCTTCTCTACTAAAAATATCAAAAAGTAGCCAGGTGTGGTGGCGGGCGCCTGTAACCCCAGCTACTCAGGAGGCTGAGACAGGAGAATTGCTTGAACCCGAGAGGCAGAGGCTGCAGTGAGTCGACATTGCACCATTGCATTCCAGCCTGGGCAACGAGAGCGAAACGCCCTCTCAAAAACACACACACACACACACACACACACACACACACCAGAGTTCTAGTTTTGACTCTTCTCTGTAGACAAATACCTAAGACTCTCTGAAACTGCTTTTCAAATCTGCAAAATAAGGTAGTAATTATTGCCTTAGGTTTTTTTTATAAGTAGGAGGGTAAAAATATGACAAGAGGATGTGAAAGTACTTTGTTAACTCTAAAGAAGACTGGTATAAATGCAAGCTACTCTGTAACTGACCCAAGATAAAGTACCAAGCATTCTCTCTGAAGAGCAATACTCTATGCTCAGATATGCCTGCTCCTAGGGTAGTATCTACCTATTGAGGGTCTTCAGAATCATTTGCCAGGACTAAAAATATATCATATTTTAGTAAACACACATATTGTGTAATATCAATATCTTCCTTTTATTTATAAGCAACACAAGGCTACAGTAGTAAAAAGGAGGGGTTGAAAGAAAACGAACTCTTAAATATTATACAAATTGTATACTCTTGCACCTTAGGTGTTCAGCCTATCTAAATATTTGTGCTCATTTAGTTTCATTTGTTTTGTTTTCATTCCTTGAATTTCTTCCAGATCTTTTCACATCATTTGAGTACCTTAGGCCAGATTCATTAGAAAAACATCTGCCCATTTGTCTCACCTGGACCAAAGGAGCCCACTCTGAACATCTCTAAGCTTTCCCATTTGCCTCTAGACTGTGTCTTTTTCAATGACCTGCCCCTTTGGAAAGGGCAAAGTGTAGATGTGCAGTGGGCATCTCCACCCTCATCCCCCCACTGTTTATGTTTGCCTCTGCATTTTGCAACCCAAAAGGGTTTATTTTTTTCTCCAATGTTTTAAAGATTTACTACCCACAGTAGTTCCTTAGATGAGCAGCTTCACAGAGAGCAGAAAAGGTACAGTGTTTTCACTGTGTCCAATATAAATTGAAGATGTTTCTAGCATGTTAGGGGCACTCACTTTTGACACACTTTGTCCAGCTGTAAGTTCAGTAAATTTCATTTTTTTCTCTTTCACAAATTCCCTTGGAGGATTCCTTAAACAAGTCTCTAGGTGTCAAACTTCTTCCTTAGGTTTTCCCAAGGGCAAATATATTCATTCCACATTTCCTGCCTAATGTGTGCCTTAACCTTTGCCTTCCAGCTGTGTACACTTCATGAAGATGGTCCCAACATTCACTGGATCACCTGACAAGGCAAGCAAGTGAGCACTCTCTCCATACAGTTGTCTGTTTTGAATCTGGTGGGCAGAGATATCACACTTTTCTCTGTACCTCCTGGAGGACGGGGAGGAAGGATAATGACATGAAAAACATGAAAAATATTTCTTTAATGACTATTTTAGTGGCTCCCATCTCCCTGTAACAGAAATGTGCTCACAAACCTTTATCCATGCTAAGATGGCTAGATGCTTACCTATGGTGGGCTGTGACTTTTGTGTCCCCAGTGAACCACGCTTCCCAGCATTCATGCCTGTGTACAGCCCTTCCCATGTGGACCCTGGCCTTGGCCATGTGACTAATTTTTGTCCATGGGATGTTGGCAAGCATGATGTAGCAGAGATTGATAAGCACTTGCACACTGGGGTGCATCCTTGTGGAACACTCCTTCTTGGAATCCAGCTGCCATTTTATGAGGAAGCCCAAGAAACTATGTGAAGGAGAACTGAGGTCCCAGCCAACAATCTCTAGCTGACTCCAGCCAGGGACCACCAGCAGCTACTGAGTGTATGAGTGAGGCCATTCCACATCTTTCAGCCATCCCAGGATCCCAGCTACTACCACATGAAGCAGAATGATCAACCCACAGAATTATAAGAAATACCAAGAAAATCACAAATACCTCACCCCTGACATCATTGAGTCAGTGATCCAAAGCCACCACTTTTCAAAATATGAGGAAAACAAGCCCCTATTTTATTAAAACCACTGTTATCTCAATACAGGCAGCTGCTTTGGATGCTAATCATGTTTCAGTGACCACGTTACTAGCATGGAAGCTCTGTAGTATGGTGTCGTTCTCAACTCTGGCTGCACATAAGAATAGCAATCTCTGTGAGTGGAGAAGAGTTTACAGTACTTATATTTTGGTTCCTGTAGCTTCATAAGATTTCAACAGAGTATTATGCCTCACATTTTCTTTTTTTATTATTATTATACTTAAATTCTAGGGTACATGTGCACAATGTGCAGGTTTGTTACATAGGTTTACATGTGCCATGTTGGTTTGCTGCACCCATTAACTCTTCATTTACATTAGGTATTTCTCCTAATGCTATCCCTCCCCCTGCCCCCGATCCCATGACAGGCCCCAGGGTGTGATGTTCTCCACCCTGTGTCCAAGTGTTCTCATTGTTCAATTATCACCTATGAGTGAAAACATGCAGTGTTTGGTTTTCTGTCCTTGTGATAGTTTGCTCGGAATGATGGTTTCCAGCTGCATCCATGTCCCTGCAAGGGACATGAACTCATCCTTTTTTATGACTGCATAGTATTCCATGGTGTATATGTGCCACATTTTCTTAATCCAGTCTATCATTGGTGGACATTTGGATTGGTTCCAAGTCTTCGCTATTGTGAATAGTGCTGCAATAAACATATGGGTGCATGTATCTTCATAGTAGCATGATTTATAATCCTTTGGGTATATACCCAATAATGGGGTTGCTGGGTCAAATGGTATTTCTAGTTCTAGATCCTTGAGGAATCACCACATTGTCTTCCACAATGGTTGAACTAGTTTACAGTCCCACCAACAATGTAAAAGTGTTCTTATTTCTCCACATTATCTCCAGCATCTGTTGTTTCCTGACTTTTTAATGATCATCATTTTAACTGGTGTGAGATGGTATCTCATTGTGGTTTTGATCTGCATTTCTCTGATGCCCAGTGATGATGAGCATTTTTTCATGTGTCTGTTGGCTGCATAAACGTTTTCACTTGAGAAGTGTCTGTTCACATCCTTTGCCCACTTGTTGATGGGGTACTTTTTTTCTTGTAAATTTGTTTAAGTTCTTTGTAGATTCTGGATATTAGCCCTTTGTCAGATGAGTAGATTGCAAACATTTTCTCCCATTCTGTAGGTTGCCTGTTCACTCTGATGGTAGTTTCTTTTGCTGTGCAGAAGCTCTTTAGTTTAATTAGATCCCATTTGTCTATTTTGGCGTTTGTTGCCATTGCTTTTGGTGTTTTAGACATGAAGTCCTTGACCCTGACTATGTCCTGAATGGTATTGCCTAGGGTTTCTTCTAGGATTTTTATGGTTTTAGGTCTAACGTTTAAGTCTTTAATCCATCTTGAATTAATTTTTGTGTAAGGTGTAAGGAAGCGATCCAGTTTCAGCTTTCTACATATGACTAGCCAGTTTTCCCAGCACCATTTATTAAATAGGGAATCCTTTCCCCATTTCTTGTTTTTGTCAGGTTTGTCAAAGATCAGATGGTTGTAGATGTGTGGTGTTACTTCTGAGGCCTGTGTTCTGTTCCATTGGTCTACATATCTGTTTTGGTACCAGTACCATGCTGTTTTGGTTACTGTAGACTTGTAGTATAGTTTGAAGTCAGGTAGCATGATGCCCCCAGCTTTGTTCTTTTTGCTTAGGATTGTCTTGGCAATGCAGGCTCTTTTTTGGTTCCATATGAACTTTAAAGTAGTTTTTTCCAATTCTGTGAAGAAAGTCATTGGTAGCTTGATGAGGATGGCATTGAATCTATAAATTACTTTGGGCAGTATGGCCATTTTCATTATATTGATTCTTTCTATCCATCAGCATGGAATGTTCTTCCATTTGTTTGTGTCTTCTTTTATTTCATCGAGCAGTGGTTTGTAGTTCTCCTTGAAGAGGCCTTTCACATCCCTAAGTCTGATTCCTAGGTATTTTATTCTCTTTGAAGCAAGTGTGAATGGGAGTTCACCCATGATTTGGCTCTCTGTTTGTCTGTTATTAGTATATAGGAATGCTTGTGATTTTTGCACATTGATTTTGTATCCTGAGACTTTGCTGAAGTTGCTTATCAGCTTAAGGAGATTTTGGGCTGAGATGATGGGGTTTTCTAAATATACAATCATGTCATCTGCAAAGAGAGACAATTTGACTTCCTCTCTTCCTATTTGAATATGCTTTATTTCTTACTCTTGACTGATTGCCCCGGCCAGAACTTCCAATGCTATATCGAACAGGAGTGGTGAGAGAGGGCATCCCTGTCTTGTGACAGTTTTCAAAGGGAATGCTTCCGGTTTTTGTCCATTCAGTATGATACTAGCTGTGGGTTTGTCATAAATAGCTCTTATTATTTTGAGATATGTTTCATCAATACATAGTTTATTGAGAGTTTTTAGCATGAGGGGCTGTTGAATTTTGTCGAAAGCCTTTTCTGCATTTATTGAGATAATCATGTGGTTTTTGTCACTGGTTCTGTTTATGTGGTGGATTATGTTTATTGATTTGCGTATGTTGAACCAGGCTTGCATCCCAGGGATGAAGCCCACTTGATCATGGTGGATAAGCTTTTTGATGTGCTGCTGGATTTGGTTTGCCAGTATTTTATTGAGGATTTTCACATCGATGTTCTCAGGGATATTGGTCTAAAATTCTCTTTTTTTGTTGTGTCTCTGCCAGGATTTGGTATCAGGATGATGCTGGCCTCATAAAATGAGTTAGGGAGTATTCCCTCTTTTTCTATTGATTGGAATAGTTTCAGAAGGAATGGTACCAGCTCCTCTTTGTACCTCTGGTAGAATTCGGCTGTGAATCTGTCTGGTCCTGGACTTTTTTTGGTTGGTAAGCTATTAATTATTGCCTCAATTTCAGAGCCTGTTATTGGTCTATTCAGAGATTCAACTTCTTCTTGGTTTAGTCTTAGGAGGGTGTATGTGTCCAGGAATTATTTCTCCTAGATTTTCTAGTTCATTTGTGTAGAGGTGTTTATAGTATTCTCTGATGGTAGTGTGCATTTCTGTGGGATTCGTGGTGATATCCCCTTTATCATTTTTTATTGCATCTATTTGATTCTTCTCTATTTTGTTCTTTATTAGTCTTACTAGTGGTCTGTCAATTTTGTTGATCTTTTCAGAAAAACAGCTCCTGGATTCGTTGATTTTTTGAAGGGTTTTTTGTGTCTCTATCTCCTTCAGTTCTGCTCTGATCTTAGTTATTTCTTGTCTTCTGCTAGCTTTTGAATTTGTTTGCTCTTGCTTCTCTAGTTCTTTTAATTGTGATGTTAGGGTGTTGATTTTAGATCTTTCTTGCTTTCTCTTGTGGGCATTTAGTGCTATAAATTTCCCTCTACAAGCTGCTTTAAATGTGTCCCAGAGATTCTGGTATGTTGTGTCTTTGTTCTCATTGGTTTCAAAGAACATCTTTATCTCTGCCTTCATTTCATTATTTACCCAGTAGTCATTCAGGAGCAGGTTGTTCAGTTTCCATACAGTTGTGCGGTTTTGAGTGAGTTTCTTAATCCTGAGTTCTAATTTGATTGCACTGTGGTCTGACAGACAGTTTGTTGTGATTTCTGTTCTTTTACATTTGCTGAGGAGTGCTTTACTTCCAACCATGTGGTCAATTTTGGAATAAGTGCGATGTGGTGTTGAGAAGAATGTACATTCTGTTGATTTGGGGTGGAGAGTTCTGTAGATGTCTATTAGGTCCTCTTGGTGCAGAGCTGAGTTCAAGTCCTGCATATCCTTGTTAACCTTCTGTCTCCTTGATCTGTCTAATATTGAAAGTGGGGTATTAAAGTCTCCCATTATTACTGTGTGGGAGTCTAAGTCTCTTTGTAGGTCTCTAAGGACTTGCTTTATGAATCTGGGTGCTCCTGTATTGGGTGCATATATATTTAGGATAGTTAACTCTTCTTATTGAATTGATCCCTTTACCATTGTGTAATGGCCTTCTTTGTCTCTTTTGATCTTTGTTGGTTTAAAGCCTGTTTTCTCGGAGAGTAGGATTGCAACCCCTGCTTTTTTTTGCTTTCCATTTGCTTGGTAGGTCTTTCTCCATCCCTTTATTTTGAACCTATGTGTGTCTCAGCACGTGAGATGGGTCTCCTGAATATGGTACACTGATGGGTCTTGACTCTTTATCCAATTTGCCAGTCTGTGTCTTTTAATTGGGACATTCAGGCCATTGACATTTAAGGTTAATATTGTTATGTGTGAATTTGATCCTGTCATTATGATGTTAGTTGGTTATTTTGCCCGTTAATTGATGCAGTTTCTTCCTAGCATCGATGGTCTTTACAATTTGGCATGTTTTTGCAGTGGCTGGTACCGTTTGTTCCTTTCCATGTTTAGTGCTTCCTTTAGGAGCTCTTGTAAGGCAGGCCTGGTGATGACAAAGTCTCTCAGCATTTGCTTGTCTGTAAAGGATTTTATTTCTCTTTCACTTATGAAGCTTACTTTGGCTGGATATGACATTCTGGGCTGAAAATTCTTTTCTTTAAGAATGTTGTATATTGGCCCCCACTGTCTTCTGGCTTGTAGAGTTTCTGCCGAGAGATCAGCTGTTAGTGTGATGGGCTTCCCTTTGTGGGTAACCCGACCTTCCTCTCTGTCTCCCCTTAACATTTTTCCTTCATTTCAACCTTGGTGAATCTGACGATTATGTGTCTTGGGGCTGAACTTCTTGAGGAGTATCTTTGTGGTGTTCTCTGTATTTCCTGAATTTGAATGTTAGCCTGCCTTGCTAGGTTGGGGAGGTTCTCCTCGATGATAACCTGAAGAGTGTCTTCCAAGTTGGTTCTATTCTCCCCATCACTTTCGGGTACACCAATCAAACGTAGATTTGGTCTTTTCACATAGTGCCATATTTCTTGGAGGCTTTGTTTGTTTCTTTTTACTCCTTTTTCTCTAAACTTCTCTTCTTGCTTTATTTCATTAATTTGATCTTCAATCACTGATACCCTTTCTTCCACTTGATGAAATCAGCTATTGAAGCTTGTGCATGCATCACGTAGTTCTCATGCCATGGTTTTCAGCTCCATCAGTTCATTTAAGGTCTTCTTTACACTGTTTATTCTAGTTAGCCATTCGTCTAATCTTTTTTCAAGGTTTTTAGCTTCCTTGCGATGGGTTCAAACATCCTCCTTTAGCTCGGAGAAGTTTGTTATTACCAAACTTCTGAAGCCTACTCCTGTCAGCTCGTCAAAGTCATTCTCCATCCAGCTTTGTTCCTTTGCTGGCAAGGAGCTGCGATCCTTTGGAAGAGAAGAGGTGCTCTGATTTTTAGAATGTTCAGCTTTTCTGCTCTGGTTTCTCCCCATCTTTGTGGTTTTATCTACCTTTGGTCTTTGATGATGGTGACCTACAGATGGGGTTTTGGTGTGGATGTCCTTTTTGTTGATGCTGATGCTATTCCTTTCCGTTTGTTAGTTTTCCTTCTAACAGTCAGGTCCCTCAGCTGCAGGTCTGTTGGAGTTTGCTGGAGGTCCACTCCAGACCCTGTTTGCCTGGGTATCACCAGCAGAGGCTACAGAACAGCAAATATTGCAGAACAGCAACTATTGCTGCCTGATCCTTCCCCTGGAAGCTTGGTCTCTGCCTCTATGAGGTGTCTTCCCCTGCCTCTGTGAGGTGTCAGTTGGCCCCTACTGGGAAGTGTCTCCCAGTTAGGCTACATGAGGTTCAGAGACCCACTTGAGGAGGCAGTCTGTCTGTTCTCTGAGCTCAAACACCATTCTGGGAGAACCACTGCTCCTTCAGAGCTGTCAGACAGGGAAATTTAAGTCTGCAGAAGTTTCTGCTGCCTTCTGTTCAGCTATGTGCTGCCCAGAGGTGCCCCCAGAGGCCTTGCTGAGCTGCAGTGGTCTCCACCCAGTTCGAGCTTCTCTAGCTGCTTTGTTTACCTACTCAAGCCTCAGCAATGGCGGATGCCCCTCCTACTGCCAGGCTGCTGCCTTGCAGGCCGATCTCAGACTACTGCGCTAGCAGTGAGCAAGGCTCCATGGGCATGGGACCCGCTGAGCTAGGTGCGGGATACAATCTCCTGGTGTTCCATTTGCTAAGACCATTGGAAAAGCACAGTATTTGGGTGAGAGTGTCCTGTTTTTCCAAGTACAGTCTGTCACTGCTTCCCTTGGCTAGGAAAGTGAACTCCCCTGACCCCTTGTGCTTCCCGGGTGAGGCGATGCCCCGCTCTGCTTCAGCTCACCCTCCATGGGCTGCACCCACTGTCCAACCAGTCCCAATGAGATGAACCATGTACCTCAGCTGGAAATGCAGAAATCACTCATCTTCTGTGTCCATCACACTGGGAGCTGCAGACCAGAGCTGTTCCTATTCGGCCATCTTGGAATGGACTCCCCTATGCCTCACATTTTCAAGGGCACAGCTTGCTGGGCAACAAGGCTTGGCAAAACTGCAGAATAGCACCAAAGGACTAGATAGCTGGCTTGGTGTGGTGGCTCACGCCTGTAATCCCAACACTTTGGGAGGCCAAGGCTGGTGGATCACCTGAGGTCAGGAGTTTGAGACCAGCCTGTATAACATGGCAAAAACCCACCTCTACTTAAAATACAAAAACTAGCTGGGTATGGTGGTGGGTGCCTGTAATCCCAGCTACTGGGGAGGCTGAGGCATGAGAATCACTCGAACCTGGGAGGTAGAGGTTGCAGTGAGCTGAGATCGCGCCACTGCACTCCAGCCTGGGCAACAGAGCGAGACTCCATCTCAAAAAAAAAAAAGAGCTAGATAACAACATGAAGTCAGTTGCTGACTTCTTTTGTTGACCATCTGTCCATGAATATCAATATGCCATCTCTCCAATCTCTCCAGACAGGACAGAAGCTCCTTGAGGGTTGAGAACATCTCATATTTCTTTTTTGTGTATGTGTGCAATGTTGTATCTTACATACCAGTCAATAAATAAAGTTTCCATTTAAAACTTAGCAAATGGCATCTTAGAAATGTTAATCTTTGATCTATGACCTTTTTAAAGACAGTTGAATTAATTTCCATAGATACCACTCTCTTATTTCCCCTCAGACTTTACAACTGTCTTATGCTTCTCAATGTTAGTAATATTTACTGATATTATTTATTTAGTTCTTACTCTGTGCCAGACACTATTGTACAGGCTTCGTATATATTAATTATTTAATCTCCAAAATAACCCAAGAGGCAGGTACTAATGTTACCCCCATTTGGCAGATAAGGAAAATGAAGCCAAGGGAGATTAAGTAATCTGCCCCCAAAAACACAGCTACTAAGTGGAGAAACTGGGGTTTAAATTTACTACCTGATAGAGGACTTCTTGTTTCCCTTCTTAAAATAAATTCTTTCATTTTTTTTCTTTAGTCCATATTTAAAAACAAAGAGAAGAGTCAGGCACAGTGGTGCATGCGTGTTGTCCCAGCTACTTGGGAGGCTGAGGTGGGAAAATCCATTGAGCCCAGGAGTTTGAGACCAGCCTGGGTGACATAGCAAGACCCTGTCTCAAAACATAGTTAATAAAAAATACATTTTAGTCTAGACACGGGGGCTCCCAGGACTTTGGGAAGTCAAGGTGGGAGGATCGCTTGCACTCAGAAGTTCGAGATAAGCCTGGGCAACAAAGTGAGACCCTATCTCTATAGAAACAAACAAACAAAGTCCCACAAGGTAAATAATAACAATACTAATAAATAAATACAATATTTTTAAAAAGAGAAAATAAAAGTGATTTTCACCATGAATGCTGCCCAGTAGCTGACAACTGCTTGGGGGTGTAGAAGCCCACTCTTGAGGCCATGCTAGGAGAACCCCTGCCTGGGTGTGCCTTCTTTGTTCTCACTGACCATCTGCAGAACTGGTCTCACTCACACCATTCAAAAATTTATCCAAAATACCACTCTAAACTCTAATGATTTTCCATCCCTCTCAAACAAACATGCAAATCAGCTTGGCCAGACTTGGAGCAGAAGGCAGTGTGGTCAGGAAGGGAGAATCCAGATGAGAAGGAGCACACAGGATGTTCTCATAATTTACATTTGTTCATATGAGCATGTTATGTTGGATGTAAATGGAGAGCGTCCTCTTAAGACACACAGTTTAAGTAAAAATATTTCAAAATGCTTCCCAGAAACCCACAAAGCAAACACGAGACCCACTCAGACCTCTACAACCCTCTCTTTGACCTTGATCCCTGAGTCTTTTGGTGGCAAGTTTCCCAGGCTCACTCGGTGCCACCTTACTTTGTTTTCTGGTTCTCTCCAAGGGCTTCCAAAATTCCCTTCCCTGTTACATAATCTGAAAGGACAAACTTCCCTCTGGTTGGCCAAAAGTGACCTGGATATCCTTAACACCAGAATCTTCCCTCCCCACTTTTGTGGTCTATTATCCTGAAGTCAGTATGTCTTCTTGGCTTTTGTGTTCTCAGCCTTCCAGGAATCCACAAGTGGAAGTCGCATGGCCTCTCTTCCTGCTTCTGGTGGCTTCTGGGACCTTCCACTCTAAACTCTAATCATTTAGAAGGAATGCTATTCATGTGGAAGGAATATTTTCACAGCGGTCTCCCTGACTCCCACAGTTCCATCCCTCTCCTCTTTTCTGGTTCCATGTTCTGGCATGTCACAGTATAGTCAAGCACATTTTCACAGCCTTCATCTTTTTATTCTGGAACTCAAACCAGAAGTCTAAGACAAAAAACTACATGGCTCTTTTTGAAAGAGAAGGCAAAAAAAGAATAATAATTTAGATAGAAGAATTCTCATCCTGAATGTGAGAAACCTGCTTAAAGTGCATAGCTGGATAGTTACAAAAGTTTGTATTAAAGCAAAACAAAGAACTTGTGGAATGTTTTCAGTATCTTCACAGTAGGCCGGGCATGGTAGCTCACACCTATAATCCCAGCACTTTGGGAGGCTGAGGTAGGCAGATCACTTGAGGTCAGGAGTTCGAGACCAGCCTGGCCAACATGGTGAAACCCCATCTCTACTAAAATACAAAAATTAGATGGGCATTGTGGTGTGCACCTGTAATCCCAGCTACTCGGAAGGATGAGGCAGGAGAATCGCTTGAACCAGGAGGCAGAGGCTGCAGTGAGCTGAGATTGCCCCACTGCACTCTAGCCTTGGTGACAGAGTGAGACTCTGTCTCAAAAAAAAAAAAACTATATATATAGATATAGATACATATCTTCACAGTAGTACAGCCATATGTCTTAAGCATGACCAATCTGCTGTGAAAAGTGTCTCTTAAAACTGTGTTCATGGTCGAGTGTGGTGGCTCATACCTATAATCCCAGTACTTGGGAAGGCCAAGGCAAGAGGGTCACTTGAGCCCAGGAGCTTGAGACTAGCGTAGGCAACATGGTGAGACCCTGTCACTACAAAAAATAAAAAATTTAAGTGAACATGGTGGCATATACTTGTGGTCCCAGCTACTTGGGAGGCTGAGGCAAGAGGATCAGTTGAGCCCAGGAGGTCGAGGCTACAGTGAGTTGTGTGCCACTGTGCTCCAGCTTAGGTGACAGAGTGAGACCATCTCAAAAAAAAAAAAAAAAAGAAAAGAAAAAAAATGTTCACTCATACAGTACAAAGATAGATTTTTAAAACTATGTAGTCTACTAAGGATTTTAAAGAAAGCAAACAAAAAATGGAAGAATGAAAATGAATAACAGAAGCCAAATGGATACAGAGCCTTTGAAAAACATGAACAAAGCCGGGTGTGGTGGCATGTACCTGTAGTCCCAGCTACTGGGGAGGCTGAAGTGAGAGGATCACTTGAGCATGGGGTTGCAGTAAGCCGAGGTCGCACCACTGCACTCCAGCCTGGGCGACAGAGCAAGAACTTATCCAAAAAAAAAAAAAAAAGGCTGGGCGCAGTGGCTCATGCCTGTAATCCCAGCACTTTGGGAGGCTGAGGCAGGTGAATCACAAGGTCAGGAGTTTGAGTCCAGCCTGGCCAATATGGTGAAATCTCTGTCTCTACTAAAAAAAAATACAAAAATTATCCAGGCGTAGTGGTGGATGCCTGTAGTCCTAGCTACCCAGGAGGCTGAGGAAGGAGAGTCGCTTGAACCTGGGAGGCGGAAATTGCAGTGAGCTGAGATCATGCCATTGCACTCCAGCCTGGGTGACAGAGCGAGACTCCATCTCAAAAAAAAAAAGGAAAAGAAAAACATAGACAAGAAACCATTAATAGATTTGAAATAATTCATCAGCAAAAGTAGTACACAGATTTACTACCGGTGCACTATTTGGATAAGAAAGAACACAAAATATCTCATAAGCAGAAATTGACCTCAATGAAGAAAACAGGAATCTCAGAGGGCAGGTTTAACTCCATAATAGAAAACAAATGTACCAGAGAGATACCAACAAAAATAGCAACTCAGTTTAGAATCACTCTGTCAAGAAATCTTTCTGGAGCATCAACTTTTGCAAGGTCCATGGCAAGAACCACCCCACCCTTTTTACCTAATTTCCCTCTGCTTGCAATGCTAAGTCAAGAGCCAGATGCTCTGACATGGCTGGGACAACCAATAAAGCAGTGGCCCCATTTAATGATGATCTAGGGAAAGACTGTAAAATACCAATGCTTGGGCCCCACACCAGACCACTTTAGTAAGTATCCTAGGGTATGGGGCCAAGGCAGTTGGTGACTTTTAAAAGCAGGTGATTCTAAATGGGCTGCCAAGATTGTGATCCACTGTAGAGGAAGCAAGAAAAGCTGCACCTGGTGTACTTGTGGCTCCAAACACCACATTATTGCTTCTGACTCTGTGCTTTGTGGAAACCACTTCTCTTAGTCTTCTGATAACCCATTAACTGCCTTCTTGATGTTCATGAACTCCTCATAATACCCTCCTCCAGCACCGTAATTGGAGAATATTTTATGGAATTTCTGATATGCATAGCCGAACAACCAACTTGGCCATACTGATGGCTATTTGGATCTTAAAAATGTCCTTTTGAAGAAGAGAAGGCCACCAAGATTAGCTTTCCATTTTTATTTGCCTGTTCCAAGGCTGATGTCGCTTGGGTCCTAAGTGCTCTCATAGCAGTCTTCTGCCTGCAGAACGGGGAGAAGTAATGAGGTCAATATCAGAGTTTGTAAATACAGGCAGCCTGAAGACAATATACAGAGGAGTGTTTCAAAGGTCCACTCTGGTCAGGCATCCAAGCTTTGATTCTCGGCTCCACTCTTTCTGGTTTTACGACTTGGGCAAGTTGCTGGATCTACTTGAAACTCAGTTTCTGCACCTGTGAAAACAGGGTAATACTACATCCAAGTTGCTGTGAGGATTAAGAAAAATCTCCCACCTACTAAAATTTCAATCCTATGTTAGCTCTTAGCAGAGAGTGTTGCACAGCAGTTAAGAATGATGCCTCTGGAGTCAGCTTACCCTCGTTTAAATCCCAGCATTGCTACTCACTAGCTGAGTGGCTTTGGGCAAGTTACTTAATCTCTCTGTGCTCCAGTTCCCTCTTGTGCCCCAAAGGGATAATTATACCTACAGGGCTGATGTCATGATTAAATGACCTAACATTAGGACGACCTGACATCCCAGTTTGCTTAGGACAGTTCCAGTTTCTGCCTTTAGTCCTAGTGTTCTGGCTGGCTTAGAAGTTACCCATCCTCTTTCACTCTCAAAATTGTCCCAGATTAGACAATTAAGTAGACAGTCATCATAGTTAATATATACATGGCATAGAAAAGTACTTAGTATAGAATAGCTGCTAAATATGTGTTAGCTGCTAATATTAGCTCCTACAGCAGTACTAACCAATAGAAATATGTAAGCCATGTATACTTTTAAATTTTCAGCAACCACATTTCTAAAGGTAAAAAAGAAATAGGTGAAATTAGTGTTGAGATTTAACCCAATATATCCCAAAATTATTTCAATGCCTAATATAAAAAGTATTAGTGAGACATTTTTTTCATTTTGTAAAATACTAACTCTTTGAAATCTGGTGTGAATTGCATTTACAGCACAGCACAATTCAGACTAGCAACATTTCAAGTGTCCAGCAGCCATGTGTGGCTAGCAGCTAACATGCTGCCCAGCACAGCTCTGAGGATTTATATTCCTCCCGTGTGATGATGGACCAGAGAGTCTTACAGCCTTCTCAGGTCTGTAATGCCGAGTTTGAGATGCTTAGCTTCTCTGCCACACTCTGCAAGCAGGGCACTGATGCAGGTCTTCGGAATGTATTTATTGCCAAAGATCTTAGCCTCGTTTCCTCGGCAGGTGCCCAACCTCACTGAGAAGAATATTGTAGTAGCCTCTTACCCTTGGAGAAATCTCTGCTGACTCCCTGGCAAGTGGAAAAACCATGAGCCAATTAGTGTTTTGCAGGCTACTTCATTACTATGGTCTTACTAATTATGAAAAGGAATGCCAAGGTTATTTTATTAATTTTCCCATGTTACAGTTTTCTTCTATTTGGAAACATCCCCAGGAAAATACAAAAAGTGTTTTTTCTATGAATATTTGGACTTTTTCTGGTAGATTATCTCCCTCCAACCTTCTGATTGTGTTATTGCATTTTTATTCTATTCTCTGGACTGGGTCCAATATCTCCACATTCCTCTAAATCATGCTGCCTCTAACTAGACCCAGAAGTACAGTCAGCTCCTGACCAAACACCAAATAAAGTGGAGAATGACTTTTTGGCTGTGGTGTGATATCTATCTCTCCTTCCTCCTGCAGGGGCAGTTTCTTGTTATCCCAACAAGTCTTAGCTTTGGTTCCTCAGACTTGGGCAATCAAGATACTCATAATCTAAGAAGAACCAGTATTGATGAAGGATGAGCAAGGAAAAAGGGATGATATCATTTAATCTCAAGAATAAAAATTGAGCCCACTCAATCAATGAATTTCATTTGTGATGTCCTGGATGGCAACACTCTTTGGAGTTTACAATTGTATTGCTTTGACAAGACTGACCTGCTAGTGTGATCAGAAAACAATGTTTCGTCATGAAATGACAGGGCAGTTTTGCTTATGAAGGGTCTACAAACTAAGAGAATAGGTTTAGGATGTCAGAACTGAAAAAGATCGGGTATGGTGGCACATGCCTGTAATCCCAGCACTTTGGGAGGCCGAGGCAGGCAGATCGCTTGAGCCCAGGAGTTCGAGACCAGTCTGGGCAACATGGCGTAACCCTGTCTCTACCAAAAGTACAAAAAAAAAAAAAAAAAAAAAATTACCGGGTGTGGTGGCCCACACCTGTAGTCCCAGCTAGTGAGGTGGGACCTGGGGGCTGAGGTGGGAGGAAAGCTTCAGCTTGGAGGTTGAGGCTGCAGTGAGCCATGATTGTGCCACTGCACTCCTGCCTGGGCACCAAAGTGAGACAAAGATAGAAAGAAGACAGAGAGAGAGAGAGAAAGGAAGGAAGGAAGGAAGGAAGGAAAAAAAGGAAAAGAAGGAAAGAGAGAAAAAAGAAAACAAAAGAAAAGAAAGATCTTGGAGGTCATGTACTTTGATGTTCCCTTCTACTAATGAGGAAAGGGGGAACAGGGGAAGTTAAAACCCTTGGTGAAGGTCAAATGGCAAGTAAGCAAAAGAAATGGGTCAGGAAACCCAGTCTCCTTGCTCTTGGTGCTCATGGCACTACATATTACACTGCTGTTACCTTGATATTTGGATAAAGGAATGCAACATACTGCTCCTCCCAAAAGGTTTTACTACTTTACACAGGTTAGCTGGTCATTTTATTTTTGCTTCTTTAACTCAACCCCTTTCACCTGGGCCTAGTTCTCATCAAAGGGTGGTATTCAATGTATCCAATGAACCCAATTAGCATTTCTAAAACGCCTGGGCAACACAACCAATAAGAAGATGCTATTGAACCTCTTACTTCCCCACTAATCCCCCTGCAGTTGGCAGAACTTAGCTGCCATGCTCAGTCTACAGACTACAAAGTTGCTTTGAGTTTCAAAAGTGGGGATCTGGAAAAGGATCTTGGCACAGCCCAAAAAAATAAGAATACTTTCACAACGATCCCTCATCCAGAGTTAGACTTGCTGACTTTAGAGGGTGGGAGTGTAAACTAAGGAGAATCATATACAAACCACCTATGGGAATCTAAGAGGTGATAGGCTGGTAGGCTCTTTGGAGGTGGCTGGGACAGAGAAAAAAGAAGAGGGACAGGACCTCTGTGAATCAAAGTCAGATGTGCCTGCCTTAGACAATCATTGTTTAATGTTGTCTAATATTTTAACTCCTTCAAAATGTCAACTGTTCCTACAGAATACACACATGTCAAATTTCCAAGACAGCATCATCTACCTGTACCATGCTCCAAATCCCATCCTCCCAGCTGCCCCTACTTGAACCAGACTGACCTGCAAAAATAGAGCAGAAAACTCACAGGCAGTAATGTTCCCCTTAAATACCCTACAATATGTCATTAACAAGAATCACGATGAAACACTATTGTAGAAATTGCCAGCATTAAACCAAAAGAATGTTGGTCAGTTCATGTTTCTTTTACAGTGTGACTTTGTTTGAGAGGGATAAAGGACAGGAAGAGGAGTGTACATCTTGCTTTAGCTGTTCCTCACTTGGCTAAGGAACTTTTGCTGTAGGAAGTGAAGACCCTGCACCTAGTTACAAGGCTTTTGATGCTTGTTTGTCAAGTTCAACTGTTAAAGGGGAGATAGGCTCTTCCCTAGTAGGGAGAGGGAGGAAGGAAAGGGGGATGGGGCGGGGGGAGGGAACAGGTAATATCTGCCATATAAATATTAGTATGTAGCTGACACGTTATAAACTGAGCTGTTAGGGTGAATTTCAATTTTGTTGGAATCGACCTTTTTTCCCTCTTAAGTTCAATTGACTTACAGTAGATCCCAGAAAGAACTCAATACGTTATTTATTCTAGAAAGCTTTCTTCCCTGAGCAAAGGAGGCAGAGCTAACGAGGAGAAGGGAGGAGCTTAGGTGAACAGAACTGAAGTCACAGCTGGTTAGCATGACTAGAATGCATGGAAAAGCCAGCCCAAATTAGATGAGTGGGTAGATAGAGAGCTTTGAAATCCTTGGAATTAATGGTGGAGTCCATCGTAATTGAAAGGTCGGGCCTTAGTGGGCTGGGATAGGGAGAGAAGCTGTCGGGGACCTGGGGCAGTGAGCCTGTACCCCGTGGCTTCTCACACACTATTTTGAAGGCGTTCCCATGCGCAATCTCGCCTGTCAGTTCAGGCTGTAGGTTTCTCCTTTCTAACTCCTGAGCAGAACAACACTGAACGGTGGTAGTCTTGCCTTGCCACCCAATGAGTGCTAGAAAACAGTCACTTCAACCAATTGGTTCAGTCCGGAGAACGTGAGCACATTCTACTTTACTTTCTGTTCAATGATTTTGGAAAACAACCTTTTAGATTCTGGTCAGAAGGGGCTTGGATCCGTGACTTTGAAACACTCGCCACTACCACAAACGACTTTGGAAGTTAATCAGAAATAAACAGTATCTGGGATCTCATCCGTCCTAAACCCAGGGGTCAGAGCGTGGGGGGCTTCCACTAACTTCAGGTTAAGAGGATGAAACAGATCCGCGGAGAAGGGTCCCACGATCCCTGGAGACTAAAAGCAAGCCACGAACAGCCGGGACGCGCGGGCCGGGGAGATGCGCCGGGGGCTGGAGGGCGGAGAGCACCCCCCGCAGGTCCCGGCCAGAGCCCGGGGCCGGGTCACCTGACTCGCGGAATTTGGGGCCGCGAGGGGTGGAATGGGAGGGGAATGGTTAGCGCCTCCCTTCCCGCTCCCACTGGATCCAGGTCGGCGGGGGCCGGCGCCCGGCGGCCACGTGGTGGTGCTGCCGCTGCCCCCGCCCCGCCGGCCTAGCCCGGGAGCTCGGCGCCCACTGACCCCCGCAGCGGGGGAGGAGGAGGGACTGCGGCGCAGGAAGCCGAGCAGGAAGCGAGCCCGGCGGCCGCGTTTTCCTGGGGAAGCGGCGGGCGGGGTGGAGCAGCCAGCTGGGTCCGGGGAGCGCCGCCGCCGCCTCGATGGGGTGAGTGCGCGGCACGGAGTTGGGAGGCTCCCGGCGCGGGGTCCCGGGCTCGTGTCCCCGCCTTTGTGTCTGGAGCTCGGGCGCGGGAGGCGCTGGGGACGGCGCCCGGGCGGAGCGGCTGAGCGGGCTGCAGCCGGGGTCCCGCCACCTCTCCCTGGTCCACCGCCGGCAGCCCACTGTCTGCGGAGAGCAGATCTGGGGACAAGAGGAAGGAGAGGAAGGTGGAGATGAGGGTAGAGCGGGAAGACCCGGCCAAGTTAGGAGAAGGGTTCTTCCCGGGTCCTCCGCGACTCGCAGGCCGGCTGGGGCGGGGCGCGGGGCAGGGGCCGCGGCGGAGGGAGCGCGGGTGGGAATGAATGAGCAGACCCGGAGATGCACCCTGGAGTCTGCGCCGGGTCCCACCTGTTTCGCCCCGCGCGGCGCCTCGCTGCCCCCGCGTCGGTGCTGCTGAGCCCAATCCGCCTCCCGGCTGAACTTGGAGGAGGTGGGGAGGGAGGTGCGAGCGGGAGACTCCGGGTGGCTCCCAGGACGCGGGGTCCGCTATTGTTCCTCCTCTGACTCCAGGGAGCCCCTCGGCCGGCCCAAGGGCGGGGGCGAGACCCCTCTGGGCCTGCCCCTGCCCCCTACCTTGTTTTCCCCGCCGCAGCTCGGGGAGAACGGATGCTGGAGTTGGGGCAGACTCGGGGCCGCCGGGACTTCGGGAGTAAGGAGGACGTGGAGCCACCAGAAAGGCGCCCGCCATCTCCCGCGACCCCTGCCTGGTGGGGGGTGGGGGGTGGGGTGTCGTCCTCAACCACCTTCGCTGCCTTCTTGGGCAGGTTGGTGTCGGTTTAGTTTCTGCGGTTTGCAGGGTTGACATCCTAACTCCTTTGAGTTTCGCATCCCCCTTTTGTGGAGGGGGCTCAGAGCCTGGAGAAGCAACAGACGGGGAATTAAGGCAGATGCAGCCCAGCACAGCGTGGAGGGGTCCGAAGTGGCCTCACGGGGGCCTGAGCATGGCTGTCTTTCCAGGCTCCTCTTTATTTGCCAGGAGCCCAGCTAAGCCCAACTTTACTCCCAGAAATGTTGAGGGGAATCTGCGGACTCGAGGCCCCTCGCCTCGGGACCAGCGGCTTCTCTTCGCCGCAGCTCACGCATGATCGGGGTGGGATTCCGTCTTCCTTCCGGGAGAGGAGAATGCCCAGCTGCCTGGGATGGGGAAACGTTGCCGGATCTCTGGGGAATGTGGTCTCAAGGCTGCAGGGGCCTGGCAGAGAGGAACTGTCCATCACTAGGACATAGCCGAAGCTCGCCTTAGCGAAGAGAGTCTCACCTCCTCGGGCTTTGCACAGAGTTGGAGAAGAGGTCGGGAATCACAGGGAGGCTGGATTTTGGCTGCTCTGTCCCCAGCCTGCAGGTCCCTGTTCGCCCTGTGGCTCGGAATTTTATTACTGATGTATATAATCTGATAATCTTTTCTTAATGATGCCTAACAAGTGTGATTTTTTTCCCCCTTGGGTTTGTAAGACAGTTGATTTTATGTGAGGAGATTGATCCAGTTCTTATATTTTAGCCAGTGCTTGTCTAACAGAGATTGGGAGAGCTATCCCGTGCTGGGCTGTTGCACAGTTTTCATCTCCATTCACTGAGATGCTTCAGTAATGAATTTATTGTTTTATGGCTTTTTGGAGATGGTGGTGGTGGTGGTGTGATTATAACCCTGCTGGAAAATCTTATTACTGTTATCTGAATTGAAGAGACAGAAAGGATGCTGAGCCCCCTAGGGATTCCGTAGGGGAATGATGTAGTGTCCCGCCCACCAGTAGTGAACCTGACAGTGAAATTCTCTCTCCAGTCTGCTAGTTTTCAAAGCATGTTCTAGGCAGGTACACGTACTATCACCTAGGCTTTAAAAGTGAAGAAGCAGATTTGGAGGTTAAGAACAACTGGGCCTTGGAATTAATAGAATGCAGTGGACAACTTTTGCCTCTCCTTCCTCCACCCCCTCCCTCCCTTCCTTCTTTCCTTTTTTTTCATCCTTTAAAAATAAAAATAAGGGCCAGGCATGGTGCTTATGCCTGTAATCCCAGCACTTTGGGAGGCCGAGGCAGGCGGATCATGAGGTCAGGAGATCGAGACCATCCTGGCCAACACAGTGAAACCCCGTCTCTACTAAAAATACAAAAAATAAAAATTAGCTGGGCGTGGTGGCACGCACTTGTAATCCCAGCTACTTGAGAGGCTGAGGCAGGAGAATCGCTTGAACCCGGGAGGTGGAGGTTGCAGTGAGCTGGGATTGCGCCACTGCACTCCAACCTGGCGACAGAGCAAGACTCTGTCTCAAATAAATAAATAAATAAATAAGTATGAAATATTTCTAACATACATAAAAACAGAGTATAGTAAGCCATTTTGTCTTCTACTTCCTAGGTTTAATAGTTGCTAATATTTTCATATTTGATCCATACCTCTCCCCCCCCGGAAAAATAAACTATAACTTAAATATTTGATCTATTCCTACTCCTTTGCCTCCATCCTCAGGTAACCTCTAATGTGAAGTTAGCGCACACAGTTCTCAAGCATGTTTGGAACTACACTGTATCCACAAAAAAATACATGTGAGTTTGTGTTTAACATTTTACATAAATGGCATAATTCTACCTATGTATAGCTTGCATTTTTAACTTACTATGTTTTTGAGATACATGTGTTAATAGATCTTTATTCACTTTAGCTGTTACAGAGAATCCCAGTGTATGAAAAAAGTATAGTATATTTACTCCCTTGCCAAGAGTAAGTTAGGGTTTCTGGTTTTTCACTGTTTTTTGTTTGAGCTGCGGTCTCGCTCTGTCACCCAGGCTGGAGTGCAGTATCGTGATCACTGCTCACTACAGCCTCAATCTCCTGGGCTCAAGCAGTCCTCCTGCCTCATCCTCCAAAGTGGCTGGGACCACAGGCACATGCCACCATGCCTGGCTAATTTTTTTCATTTTTGTAGAGACAGGGTCTTACTATGTTGCTCAGGCTGGCCTTGAACTCTCAGCCTCAAGTGAGCCTTCTACCTCAGCCTTCCACAGTGCATGAGCCACTGTGCCTGGCCTAGTTTTTCACTGTTACACTTTTTCTGCTGAGTGACACTCTATTTCCATTTTCATTTTTATTTTTATTTCTTTTTACTATAACAGTTTGTACAATAAACATCCTGAGATGTTTTCTTGTGCACACATTTTTCTGTTACACACTTATTTAGTTAGTTGCTGGGTAATGAAGTTTAGGTAATATTGCATTTATTATTCATTCTTCAACAAATATTTAGGGTGCTTGTATGGTCTTGGCTATCTGTTGACTAAAAAAGTGAAACTGATTAAATTCTAAGAAGATTACATAGTTGGCTGGATTATTTTTTTCTTTTTTCTTTCTTTGTTTTAATTAAGAAAAGTGGGACTGGTGTAGTGTTGCATGCCTGTAATCCCAGCACTTTGGGAGGCCAAGGCAGGAGGATTGCTTGAACTCAGGAGTTCAAAACTAGCCTGGGAAACATGGTAAAACCTCATCTCTACAAAAAATACAAAAATTAGCTGGGTGTGGTGGTGTGCCTGTGGTCCTAGCTACTCAGGAGGCTGAGGTGGGAGGATTGCTTGAGTCCTGGATGTCAAGGCTGCAGTGAGCCTAGATTACACCACTGCATTGCAGCCTGGGCGACAGAGTGAGACCCTGTCTCAGCTCCCAGCACTTTGGGAGGCCGAGGCAGGTGGATCACCTGAGGTCAGGAGTTCGAGACCAGCCTGACCAACATGGAGAAACCCCGTCTCTACTAAAAATACAAAATTACCCAGGCGTGGTGGCGCATGCCTGTAATCCCAGCTACTCGGGAGGCTAAGGCAGATGAATCGCTTGAACCTGGGAGGTGGAGGTTGCAGTGAGCCGAGATCCCACCGGCCATTGTACTCCAGCCTGGGCAACAAGAGTGAAACTCCAACTCAAAGAGAGAAAGAAAAAGAAAAAGTGGCTCTTCATTGTAAAATTGAAGCATGAGACAAATCCATGGTGCTGTTTGGGATTCTTGTGCAGAAACCTTTTCTCAGCTACTCACTGGCCGTGTGACCTTGGATTACTCACCCAACCTCCTCTTCCTCATTTCTTTGGTAAGATTAAGGGGTAGGAGTAAGCATTTACAAAGGCACATTCCTGTTCTAAGAGTCTGTGAAAATGTTGCTGTGTTAGTGACGCATTTTTACCCTAATGGTAACCACTCAGGCTGAAAGGAGTTTAAGGCATTTAAACACATTGGCGTCCTCATTCCTTCAAATTGCTGGGCACATTCTTTTTTTTTTTTTTCCCTAAGTTCATGTCAGACACATGTTACACATGCAATCATCATGCTCGTGAATTCTGCAAAAGGATCACCAGGCGTCTTGCCTCAGAGCCTTTGCATGTGCTCTTCCCACTACCTGGAAAGCACTTCTCTTAGACGTCTACATGGCTGTGTCATCCCTTCAGGTGTTATGTTGAGACACCTCCTTCCAGTCCAGCCTGCAACCTCATCCCTGCTTTATTTACCTCCAAGGCACTTACCACCTTCTAGCTTGCCGTGTATAGGTTGAGTATTCTTTATTCCAGAATGCTTGGGACCAGAAGTGTTTCAGATTTTGGATATTTTTAAAATTTTTGGAGTATTTGTATTACATGGTTGAACATTCCTGATCCAAAAATTTGAAGTGCTCCGGTGGGTCTTTCCTTTGGTGTCGTGTAGGTGCTCAAAGAGTTTTGGACTTTGGAGCATTTCAGATTCAGATTCAGATTCCTGGTTTAGGGATACTCAATCTATAATTTATATCAGTATTCTGTACTAGATTATGAGCTCTACAAAGGCATGGGGTTTGCCACTCTTGTTTACTGTTGTATTCATGGTGTCTAGAACAATGTTGACCCCTAGCAGGTAAACAGATGTTTGATGAACAAATGGATATGCTTTTTGTTGTTATTTTTTCTCTGTGGAATTTCGCCTTTAACACTTACTGGATATCCTAAATGGTGCTGGTATGTGCACCATATCTCATATTTACAGATTCCTTCAGGGTAAGAAAACTTATGTCTTCTAGGGAAACCACTCCTTTTAAATCTATGTGATTTATCCTATAAGCCACTTAATGTCTTCAGACTTTTTTTCTCCCAACATTTTGCCTAATCCTGAATTTAGAGGAAAACATAAGTAACACGGTGCTTGGAAGCACACCCATCTTTCCTTTTGTGATAACCTGGTTTCCAATGCGATGAATGTGGAAGATGCATAACCAGTAGATGCTGACTGTATTCCACACGACATCTGCAGTAACAGGCCAGCAGCCATCCCAAGCAACATGAAGCACACTGCATTTCTTTCTTTTTTCTTGAGATGGGATCTTGCTCTGTTCTGGAACTCCTGGGCTCAAGTGATCCTCCCACCTCAGCTTCTCAAATAGTTGTGTCTACAGGCGCGTGCCAACACACCTGCCTAGTTTTTCTTTTACTTTTTACAAAGACAAGGTCTCCTTATGTTTTCCAGGCTGGTCTTGAACTCCTGGGCTCAGAAGGTCCTCCTGCTTCAGCCTCTTGAAGTGCTGGGATTACAGGCATGAGCCACTGCCCCCGGTCCACACTGCGTTTCTAAGAACAAACAGTGTATTTTGTTGGATTGTTGCAGAGTGTACATCATCATTGCCCTGACTTTGTGCTTTTATCTATGAGGATTTTTTTGGAGGGGGAGGAGGGATGTATTTTTCATGATGGAAGGAAAATGAGAACCTTAATCTGAAGATGTTGGAGCAACTAATATGTAGAAAGGTCCCTAGATATACTCTAAGAATTGCCACATCGTACAGTCCTTAATTCATGGCACAAAAAACATTCACTATTATAGCACTAATGCATTGTTTCAGTAGAAGCCAACTGAATTTTTTCTACCTTGCATGATGAGTATAGGAGTTGACAAAACAAAGCTAAATATATCAGAGGCCTCTTGGATGCATTTTATATGGTGATAGGGAAAAGGAGTCTAGATTTTTTTTCCCAGTGAACTATATTAGGTATACGATACTGATGATATCCTTTAAAACATTACTAGAATACTGAAGTACACCATTTACATTTCTTATTGTATCCTCTGTAATAAAATGATATTGAAAGAAATCAGTATATTATGGATCCAGATAGGGTTAAACTTTAAGCTGAAAATCATAAACATAGAATTATATGATTATTAGTAAAATGTTGCACAATTTAAACAGATTTTTTTTTTTTTTTTTTTTTTTTAGACACAGAGTCTCACTCTGTTGCCCACGCGGGAGTGCAATAGGGTGATCTCGGCTCACTGCAACCTCCGCCTCTCAAGTTCAATCAATTCTCCTGCCTCAGCCTCCTGAGTAGCTGGGACTGCAGGTACATGCCACCATGCCCGGCTGATTTTTGTATTTTTAGTAGAGATGGGGTTTCATGTTGGCCATGGCTGGCCAGGCTGGTCTCGAACTCCTGACCTCAAGTGATCCACCTGCCTTGGCCTCCCAAAGTGCTGGGATTACAGGTGTGAGCCACCATGCCCAGTTTAAAGATATTTCTTCCCTTTGTAGTTAGTCATGAGCTGAAAAGTACAGGTGGTTCAACAAAAGATAAAAATTGTTCATCAAATGTCAATTTTCTAGCTCCAGCCATCTACAATGAACAAAAAAATTAGCCTCGTCTTTGACATCAGGCCCACTGAGAGATATCAGCAAATCTAATCAGTATTTTAAAAAGTAACTTTTGGCCAGGCATGGTGGTTCACACCTGTAATTCTAGCACTTTGAGAAGCTGAGGCAGGAAGATCACTTAAGCCCAGGAGTTAAGAGACCAGCTTGGGAAACATGGCGAAACTTTGTCTCTAAAAAAATACAAAAATTAGTTGGGCATGGTGGTGCATTCCTGTAGTCCCAGCTACTCAGGAGGCTGAGGTGGGAGGATCACCTCAACCCATGAGATCGAGGGTTGCAGTGAGCCAAAATCTTACCACTACACTCCAGCATGGGCAACAGAGTGAGACCCTGTCTAAAAAAATAAATAAATACAAATAAAAAGTAACTTTACTGACTTAACCATGTGTTTAAAAACAAAGCAGTACCTTCTTCTGTTTAACTGAAGGAAGCATGCCTTGTTCTTCAATTTTATATTCTATGTGTCCAGTAGAGTATCTGCCACACAGTAGGAGATTAACATCTCTCAACTACTCCTGCCTCAGAGGTCATTAAGCCCCTCATGGCGGTCATCAGATATAGAGTTGTCCTAGTCTAGAGGAGAATTAAACAATAATCAAAAGGCAGAAATCAGCAACAAAGTGCGAAGTCGAAGTTCAGAAGATGTGAAAGAAACACTTTTCCTCCTTATCCACTCTTTGCGGAAGTTTGTGCATTGTGTCTTGATTGATTCACCAGCTGGGTTTTTGTGATCAGTGTCACCTCATCTAACCTTACTTGCGATCTAGGCCAGTCCCTTCTGTAGTGAATGGCATTCACTGGAAATTAGTCTTGCCGTATAATTCCATGACCATATGTCACACCGGGGCAAGGGGACACCTTTGGGAAGTTCTTCATGATTTGCTAATCCCTGCTTCTAAATAAGCAGAATCTAGTTGTGAGAAAAGGTGGTTGTAGTCCAAGAAGCTTACTGTACAGTGGAAGGAAATACATGGGCTCTTTTTTTTTCTTTCCTTATTTATTTATTTATTTTCTTAAATTGACATTTAGGCCAGGCACAGTGGCTGCTGCCTGTAATCCAAGCCCTTTGAGAGGCTGAGGAGGGCAGACCACTTGAGCTCAGGAGTTCAAGACCAGTCTGGGCAACATGGCACAAAACCCCATATCTACTTTAAAAAAAAAAAGTATATTTATATTGCAGTGAGCCAAGATCACACCACTGCACTCCAGCCTGGGTGACAGCGAGACACTGTCTCAAAAAAAAAAAAAAAAGGAAAGAAAAAAATTGACATTTAGTGAACACCAAAGCTTATTATCAAGGAACCAGTTTCCCTTACACTTATTTATTATATTACCTTTTAAAGCTCAACTTAATTTTTCATATCCATTTTAGGTATTGTTATCGATAAGATATTCTGTTTTCTTATGATCTAGATAAGTTCAATTTGCTTAATTAATTTATTTATTAAATTTTTTATTTCCATGGGTTATTGGGGAACTGGGTGTTTGGTTACATGAGTAAGTTCTTTAGTGGTGATTTGTGAGATTTTGGTGTACCCATCACCTGAGCAGTATACGCTGCATCCTATTTGTAGTCTTTTATCCCTCACTCCCTTCCCACCCTTTCCTCCTGAGTCCCCAAAGTCCATTTTGTCATTCTTATGCCTTTGCATCCTCATAGCTTAGCTCCTACTTATGGGTAGGAATGTACGATGTTTGGCTTTCCATTCCTGAGTTACTTCACTTAGAATAATAATCTCCAATCTCATCCAGGTCACTGTGAATGCTATTAGTTCACTCCTTTTTATGGCTAAGTAGTATCCATCATATATATATATATATGTGTATATATATATATATGTGTATATATATATGTATATATATGTGTATATATATGTGTATATATATGTGTATATATATGTGTATATATATGTGTATATATATGTGTATATATATGTGTATATATGTATGTGTATATATATACACATATATATGTGTGTGTATATATATATATACACACATATATATATGTATATATATACACACACCACAGTTTCTTTATCCACTCATTGATTGATGGGTATTTGGGTTGGTTCCACGTTTTTGCAATCAGTTTGCTTAATTTAGCTGTTCTTTTCAAAGAGATAATAACTCTAAAACTAACAAGCAGCATCTACCTCTTTTCACTTTCACTAAGTCTGTCCAGTTCCTTTTGCTGGCTGAAGTGATAGACACTCAGAAAACAGGCAGTGTTAACTGATGGAGAATAAAAGGCCAGAGAAGCCTCCTTTTGCACTAGGGCAGCACAGAGTAAAGTGTTTTCCATTTTTTTTTCTTTTTTTTTTTTTTTCTCTAAGAGGAATCCATTTGCAAACCAGAGAAAACCATCCAGCAGTGATTCTTAAATATTCGTGAGGCATAGATGGACACTTGCAAATCTGATGGGGGTTTTGGACCATTCTTCCTTGGAGAAACTGATGTATGTACAATGATGCTATAAATTCATAATTTTTATCAGTCTCATGAGTTTCATGGAACTCCTTGCCCTAAGGCCATTTATAAACCTCCTTGGAATACCCAGGTTAAGAACCCACAATGACCACCTCTCAAAGTTTGAGAATACAATTACAAGGGCTCTATTTTTCTATCATGTGCCGCTATTCCCCACCCCACTGCCACCCACAGTTCGAAAACCTATCATACATGAGTGAAAAGTAATAATTGTGGGTTTTATACTCTCAATTTGAAAACTAGTCATCGGTTGCTATGTCAACCAGTCAACATACTATTGACCATTTTTAGGATCTATTTCTATTGGATGTAATAAAATGCAATTTATATGCAATGAAAAGGTGGTTTTGTAATATGACTATTTCACAGAGACCTGATGAATTCTAAGGATGAGTCTTAAGTTTCTCACCCCAAGGAGTTGGGTCTGTTCTGTCTTCAGCTTTTGGTGGCAGCAGTTTCCCAGTTTTGCTGTTAACAGGAAGGAATGGAGATGTCCCAGGCCCCACCTGACAATTCTTGTAGTCTCACAGGAGATGTCCTGCGCCCCACTTGACAATACTCCTAGGCTCACAGTAGGTGTCCCAGGCAACCCCTGACAGTACTCCTAGGCTCACAGATGTCCCGGCCCCCCGACAGTACTCCTAGTCTCACAGTAGGTGTCCCAGGCACCTCCTGACAGTACTTCTAGGCTCACAGGTAGGCCTTTGGCTGCTCAGCCCAGTGGGGGAAATATCCCCAACTGGCTCTTCACTTTGCCTTTTTCTTCTTGGCCCCCCAGCCTGATGTGGCTGTCTTGATGGGGACCTGAAGAAGACAGGGCCACACTTTTAGTTGAGGAACTGACCCTCAGCTGGAAGCCTGCTCTTCTGGAGGAAAACATGCTTCTGTGGGAAGTATTGTGCATGGGGGAAGGGACTGCCACGTCAGCTGTACTCAGAACTGCTAATATCAGCATTCACCTTGGGTGACGTCCTCAAGCCATTTCAGTCAAAAACCAAGCAAAAAGGGCTGTGGATCTGCCTGTAACAGGCTGCCTGCCTGACCTGACAGAAGCTCTTCAGATGGGTCATTGTAATTGACTTGAGCACCTTCTCTGCCATAGGCACTTTGCTGCTGGACTGTCCTCGAATAAGGTCAGGGCTGGCCGTAGTCATTGTCAGGTTTCCCATTACCAGTATGTGTTGATGGGATAATTGGGTATTAGAAGATCTCTGGATGAATGACAAGCCCTGCCCTCGGGGACTTAAGAGTTTTAGCCAGGTTAGATATGGTCGCAATCTGCCACAGTACAAGGCGACTGTTAGTGGTGGGAATGGGGTGGCGGTGGTGGGAGGGAATTCTTTTCACAGATGAGGCTGAGGCCTAGAGAAATGGCCCCTTGGAAAGGGACAGTTAATGAGAGGCAGAGATGGATGAGACCCTGGTACTGGCTGCTCAGCACTGCACTTCTACACATTATACTTTTCTGTTTCTCTCACAGGTCAACAGTGACCTTGAGACTCCTGTATGTAGCTAATTATAATTGTTATTTGGAATTGATATCATTTTTCTATTTTGAGAAAATGTTCACGTTTCTCTTTTTTTCTGAGACAGGATCTCGCTCTGTCCCTTAGGCTGGAGTGCAGTGGTGCAATCTTAGCTCACCGCAGCCTTGACCTCCTGGGCTCAAGCAGTCCTCCCACCTTAGCCTCCCTGGAGCTGGCACTACAGGTGTGTACCACCACTCCTGGTGAATTTTTGTATTTTTGTAGAGACAGGGTTTCATCATGTTACCCGGGCTGGTCTCAAACTCCTGAGCTCAAGCAATCCGCCTGCTGTGGCCTCCCAAAAGTGCTGGGATTACAGGTATGAGCCACCATGCCCTGCCTGAGCCTTTTTTATTATTATTATTTTTTTTGCATTGGAAAAAAACTATTTAAAACATAGGCATAGAAATTATAGCCAATAACGGTATATTTACCATCCAGAATTTCCTTGGGCTACTTTTGATTTTTGAGGAAAGACTCCTAAGTCTTAAGTGCAGAAGACTTGTATAGACTTGGACAATTCACCTCGAAGAAGAGGGTAAAAATTGGGAGTTCCAGGGGAGGCCAATGGCATTGAGCAGCAGCACGAAGGTCAGAAAAGGTGCAGGACCCAGGCCCTTGGCTGTGAGAACCGTGTAACAAATGTTTGTCAGGCTTTGTTGGTGAGCTCACAGATTCCATGCTGAGGCTCTTAATCTGACAAGAATGCTCAAGTAATTTGAACATCTCCTCCCATGAAAGCTGACATATTGGTGATTGATCCTTTTTCAAAAATGAAAGGAATTACTTCTGTTGCCGAGACAGGAGAGGCATACACAGTGGCCTCTTCTCAGCCACCCAGAGGATGTGGGAACTTGTGAGACAGGAGGCTCATGGACAACCGGCTGCATTTTCTTTCTTCTCTAGGAAAGACAGCCAAGACAGGGGTGGACTCACGCGTATAATCCCAGCACTTTGGGAGGCTGAGGCAGGTGGATCACTTGAGGTCAGGAGTTCAAGACGAGCCTGGCCAACATGGTGAAACCCCATCTCCACTAAAAATACAAAAATTAGCTGGGCATGATGGCGCACGCCTGTGATCCCAGATTCTCGAGAGGCTGAGGCATGAGAATTGCTTGAACTCGGGAAGCGGAGGTTGCACTGAGCCGAGAGTACACCATTGCACTCCAGCCTAGGCAACAGAGCGAGACTCTGTCTCAAAAAAAAAAAAAAAAGGTGGGCCCCACGAAGGGTTCAGTGTCCTTTATTTAACATGTTAGGAGGCCATAGCACCAGGCAAGGTGCTGAGTATTTCATCTTTCTGTCTCCAAGCACAGGCCCACTTCAGACCCAGTTTCTATTTATCATGGGTGCAAGTTGATTCAAATGCTCTCACAACCTTCTTGGGTCTTTGTTTAAAGAAATAAAAAAATTTCTTAGATTTTCTTTGGAGTTGATATCATTTTTCTCTTTTGAGAAAAACATTTCACATTTTTTATGAGCTTTTTTAAATTGGGAAAAAAAAACTATTTAAAATATCGGCATGGAAACTGTCATCAATATCCATATACTTACCATCCAAGATTTTCTTGGAGTGTGTTTTTTGAGGAAAAACTCATGTCTGCCGCTAACTTCATGATGTATACAGCCACTCAGCAATCTTGATAAATTCCTAGGTAATTAGGTTCTTTTTTTTTTCTTGAGATAGAGTCTCGCTCTGTCCCCAGGCCAGAGTGCAATGGCATCATCTCGGCTCACTGCAACCTCTGCCTCTCAGGTTTAAGCGATTCTCCTGCTTCAGCCTCCTGAGTAGCTGGGACTACAGGCGTGTGCCACCACGTCCAGCTAATTTTTGTATTTTCAGTAGAGACGGGGTTTCACTATGTTGGCCAGGATGGTCTTGATCTCCTGAACTCGTGATCCTCCCGCCTTGGCCTCCCAAAGTGCTGGGATTACAGGCGTGAGCCACCACACCCAGCCAGTAATTAGGTTCTTTCTGTGCTATACAACTTTTCACAGTGTTGGGTGTGCTATTTGTTTCCTTTTGCAACTGCTTTTCTTCTACAGTCTCTAAAAGCCTAATGAGACAGGCACACGATGCACTGATTTCCTCCAGGTGATACCTATCTCAAGCCTGTCTCCCGGCCAATCTGTTGATGGCTTTGTTACTGTTTGTGCCTTGTTTGGCAACAGGCTTTCTTTCTGTCTCTTGTTTAAACCAACCCCTGATTATTTTTAAGTGCATAGTCCCTACAACAAAGGGTATTTGATTCTATGCCTCTTTGACCAAATAAATTGAAAGTAGGTGTTTATATCCACTGTGGCAAAAGAAACAAGGAGCAGCTCACCCTGTCCTGGTGATAAGTGCTACAGGCTCGGGTGGCAGGCCGCTGGCTGTGGGCGCTTTTGTGTGTGGCTTCCCGAACAGTAGCACTGTGCACCTCTGCCCCATTCTTGTCTCACTGGGTGATGTTTTTCAGGATTCCATTTGTATAATATCAGTGTTTAGATTGTCCTGAAGAATTGCAGTATTTTCTTTTTTATAGGGTAGAGAGAGTTGTGCAGGATGGAATAATTTCTTAAGGAACAGAAATGTCCTAATGTTAGAGAAGTACATAAGTATCTAAACGTTCTGCTTTTCCAAATTGTTGCCAAGACATGGAAACCTCCATCTCAGTCTGCTGTCAGCCCAGGCGAACGTAAAAATAGCCACTTCACTTGTCTATAATTCTCTTTATATTTTCTCTGTTATTGACTTTGTATCTTTAGCAAAGCTATATGGAAGAGGATTTGTTGACTCCGTGAATTTAATAAAGTTATTCCTTAAGCATATGCTCTACATGTGAGAACAAAGAAATAAAGATGCTACTCCATTCCAGTGAGGCAGGGGTGCGTGAGGACACACAGCCAGAAGGAATGGAATGCCTTTTGCAAATTGGTCCATTCGTATTTCCTAGAGGGACCTCTATGTGCCAGCAGTAATTCTGAGGACTCGTTCCGTCTTTGAAGGCAACTGAATTTTTTCTATTAAGTACTAAAAAGATTGGTCAGTTGGCCAGACTTTTAAAAATTACTGGTGTTGTCTCACGTGCAGCCCAGTGTCACGTGTTGGGCTTGGAACTTGAACCTTAGTTTAATCTAGCCTCCTCTATTTATAAGCTATGCCCCTTTGGCTAAATAAACTTTCTCTGCTGCAATTTCCTAGTCTGGAAGCTGAGAATAATAACAGTAGAATTTAATTCTGAAGTGCTTGTGGGCATTAAATGAGATGACATTCATTTATAATAAAATAATTTAAAAAATAAAATTTTGCAAAGTAATCTTTAAGGATAGCTATTGTGGCTGTTATTATCATTGCTAATGTCATCATGCTCTTTATCACCCTGCCTTTAAGGAACTGCTGATATATTGGCCAACATGATTATTCCTGCCATTATAATCTATAGCAATAAAGAGAGGTTGCCCCATATGTTATTGTTAACACATCTGCCTTGCATCTTCTGTTCAATTTGCAACTGTTTCTCTGTATTAGCATTCTCCCTATTTACCTTTCTATTATTATGTCATTGTGTAATGTGAACGATGTAAAGATGTAGTTCTTTTATTAGTCCCCAGTCTTATCTTATTCCAGATTGCATTAACAAGGTCCTCAGTCTCACCAGAGAACTTGTGTTGCTTCAACCGTAATCTAGACACAGAGTAGTAACGTCTTGGTTAAACTGAAAATGGTAGCTCTTAGCATGAAGCAATGGTATAGTTAATTCCCTATTGATGTTTTTGGAAAATTTTCAGACATGTTTTCTGAATAGTATATAACAGGGTAATAATTTTTTGTTTTTGTTTTTTTGGTTTTCAGCCTCCACTACAGAAAACTTGGGGCTAGGATAAGCTAACACAGTCTTACTTTGTTAGATGCTGTACAGCAAGTAAAAGCTATAGCTTCTTAAGAACAATAAGGAGGATAAACGTAGCCCCATGGGTGCACCTTGTCAGCCCTAATTGAGGATGGTCTTTTGGCACCAGGTAAAGGGGGTGAGAATACAGGAGAGTCCCTGAGTGGTAAACTAGCCCTTTCATAGCAGACATCGTCTTCTCGGCAGCAGGATAATAGTTGAGTTTGCACACACTAGGAGTCCATCAGCCTTTGAGTGAAATAAAATTGTGGGTTAATTATCCCTTCTACGTGTGGCAGAGTGAATCTTTTAAATTACTACTTTCATTGTTTAATTATTAACCTCCAGTATTTGTTAGACTTGTTTTGTGATCTTATGATAGTAAGTGAATGTTAAAGCTGGGAGCGTATACATTTTCTGCTTAATTTTACATCTGCTTTGTTAGTATTAATAATAAGATGCTATGTGCTTGAAGGGAAAAATCTTAATCATTACTGTCTAATAAAAATGCAAGCAAACCACTAATACAGGCCACATAAATCATAGTAAATTATCTAGTGGCCACAATAAAAAGTTTTTTAAAAATGAAATTAATTTTAATAATTTTATCTAGTGTATCCAAAATATTATTTCCAATATGTAATCCATATAAAACTTACTAATGATGGAGTTGACATTCTTTTTTACTAGTGTTTGAAATCCATTGTATAAATCCCATTTACAGTGCATCTCAATTTGCACTAGTCATATTTCAAATGCACAGATGCCACATGTGGCTATAGTATTGGACAGTACTGGTCTAAATAATATGTCTTCTTATAAAGACATATTATTCTTATAAAGAAGACATATTATAGGTCCTGTAACCCCGCTCCACCTGACATCTAGAATGTCCTCAATAAATGCATATTTGATTAAGCTCCTTCTTACCCAGTTAACTAGGATTTTGCCCTTAGCTTTAAGCATTTCTGTAGATAATTACAATAGCTTCATCACAAACTAATTACACATGGGATAATGGACATTTGAGTTTTGGGTTTACAAATCCATATCTCTACTTTTGTGCAAGTGCATTAACCCATGTGGACTTTTTATTTAAAAAAAAACTGAATGATTTTGTAGGCTGGGGTCCTATGGTCCATATTTCTGTATCACCTGTATACTTGGCTTCTAGTTAAGATTCAGTGCATATGACATGAGTAAGAAATTAGAGGCTTCTTTTCTCATAAATTGTAAGTTCTTGAGTAGCCTTAATGCTATTACCGTGTAAAACTCTTGCATTAGATGCAAGGTATGTAGGTTTGTGGATATGTGTGGGGTGTGGGGGGGGAGCATATTCAGTCTTTACTGGTTAATGGAAGCATTCCCCATCCTTCATGTTAGTGCTGTTTGCTTTTTATGCCTGCACACAGAAAGTGGTTGAAAATTGAAAGTCTAGGGTTTCAAATTTAGTTAACAGGAGTTTGTCTTTATCAGGCAGGAGGATCTAGCTGCCTCCATAGCCCAGGCATAGAACAGCCTGCAGTGTTCTGTGACAGAAAAATATCTGAAGGGCTTTTCTATTTGTAGTGTGGCAAATCCAGGCTGGCATGGCCCCTGGGGAGTGATGCCTTGGTTAGGTGGTATCTCTTCCAGGTGTCTTGTTTAGAATAAATTAGGGTGACAGTGTGTTTTCATATCATACCTTCACCACTATTCAAGGATTAACTGCTATTCATCATTAGGCATTGAGGTCTACTGGTCCAGCTGAGCCCCAGCACCCCTTCTCACCCCATACCCCAGGGAAACTTCCCCACCGTCTGTCCTTCTCACATTGTTTCTGCCTATCCTGAAGGTTTTGTTTTTCCTATTCCTCCTTAGCCTGTACTCAAGGGAAACAAGCTTCCTTGTTTCCCTCCTTTGTACTCCCTCAGTTCTGTGGAGTCAAGTCCCAGGAGAGCAGAGAAGATAGGGTCCAATGCTATTTCCAGACCCCAAGCACCATTTCCTCTTAGACCCAGCTGTTACAGTGGCTTTTTATTTCTTGAGGGTTTAAAAATCATTTAATGCTATTCACTTATAGTTAATTGTGATTGTTTTCATTGTTGGCCTGGTTTCTATAGGAGACCCAAAGAGCAGTACTTACTTTCAGAATGGAAATAGCCCAGAAGACTCACACTTGAATTGCCAGCAAGGTCTCCTTCAGTGACTGCACTGATGTTAGAGGAGGGTAATGAATGGAGGACTTATGAGGTGAGGCTGTGTGAGGGCAATGGGGCAGGACAGATCCACAAGCAGTGAATAGCCAAACAAGTGAATGATAAACATGCCCTCCTTAACCTGCAGATTCAAAGGGGACATTGTAGGTCATCCTATTATATATTTCACTTCTGTAGCTTCGTGAAGTAAATTTAGCTGCTGACTTCAGGAATGGGCTGAGCAGACCGAAATGCAACCTGCAATTGTGCTGTTGAAGATCTAGGCACCTCTTTTACTGTGGCATCTGAGTTGGGTCTCTGTCACTTGCAACCTAAGAGTACTGACAAATACTTTGGTGCCCGAGGGCAAGTGTCAGAGACCCAACTTGAAATAGCTTAGGCTAGAAGGGGCGTGCCTTGCCTTATGTGACCCCACATCCTGTGCCAAAAGAGTGTGGCTATAGCAGGGCCTCAGGGATCCCTGGAATCAGCACCCCTCAACCCCATTCCCACCCCTGCCTCTGTCCCCTCTCTCAAACCAGCTAGAACTGGGTCTTGGGCAGCTACCAGGCTCCTGGTTTCCCAATTCTCACCCAGAGAGGAAGGTCTACCTCCCCTCCCCCAACTCTAAAAACCCCAGAGTCTCTGAATAGCCCTGATGAGGAGACATTTCCACCTCTAGGGGAGTAGCTATTACCAGAATGACCTGGTTGGAGTGGGTGGGGAGGGTAGGAGGGAAGGCTGTGCCCTGTTGATCAGACCACTTATGGATCCACTACTGGAGTACCAGGCCACAGCGTTCTGCTCAAGGAAATGGGAGGCCTACCTTCATGTGAGCCAGCACCCCCTCTCTGTTGGACTGCAGACAAAAAAAAAATCCTTTTTTTGAATACACAGTGTTTGAGTAATGTCCAAATATGATAGTTGGGACAGCAGAAATAATTTCTGGACTTTCCTTCCACTCCCTTCTAGGGCATCAGAGTTCACAGAATCTATGTCATTAACATATTTATATATTCCTTATTCTGAAAAGTATTAAGACACTGGATGCCTGGGTAAGGAAAGAGATTCACAAGCCAAGTGACACCACTGCGATCATTGTAAATGACGTCTCCAACATTCCAGAATGTGAGAGTCCAAGTTTCCTTATTTCAAAACTGAGTCAAAGAACCAATGAATATGTAGTAAGCCAACTTCTGGCAATTCATTCTTTCTAGGTTAACAACAGGGATTAAATATAGCCATGAATAGAACCTGTTCTCTTACTCACTCTAAAGATATTTTTCATAACCAATTCCTTTGTATATGGGTCTCCCTTTTGCTTTTTGAATCGGATCTTTTGTTTTTTTTTTTTTTTTGAGGCAGAATCTCCTTCCGTTGCCCAGGCTGGAGTACAGTGGTGCGATCTCACCTGACTGCGACCTCCGCCTCCCAGATTCAAGCGATTCTCCTGCTTCAGCCTCCCGAGTAGTAGCTAGGATTACAGGCATCCGCTACCATGCCTGGCTAATTTTTGTATTTTTTAGTGGAGACGGGGTTTCGCCATGTTGACCAGGCTGGTCTTGAACTCCTGACTTCAGGTGATCCGCCCATCTCGGGCTTCCAAAGTGCTGGGATTACAGGCATGAGCCACCATGCTCAGACTTCATTGGATTTTTTTTTTTTTTTTTTGAGACTGAGTCTCGCTTTGTCACCAGGCCTGAGTCCAGTGGTGTGATCTCAGCTCACTGCAACCTCCACCTCCTGGGTTCAAGTGATTCTCCTGCCTCAGCTTCCCAAGTAGCTGGGACTACAGGCATGTACCACCACACCCAGCTAATTTTTGTATTTTTAGTAGAGATGGGGTTTCACCATGTTGGCCAGGATGGTCTCCATCTCTTGACCTTGTGATCCACCCACCCCTGCCTCCCAAAGTGCTGGGATTATAGGCGTGAGCCTCCCGTGCCCAGGCCACTGGATCTTTTTAAGAACAACTTCACTGAGTTAGAACTTACTTTCTGTAAAATTCACTAATTTTAGTATACAATTCAACAACTTTTAGTAAATTAACAGAATTTTACTGTCATCACCACCATCTAGTTTTAGAACATTTCCCTCACCCCAGAAAGATCCTTTATGGCATTTGCAATTACTTCCTGTTAGCGTTCCCAGCCCTGGACAACCACCAATCTACTTTTTGTCTTTATAAATTTACCTTTTCTGGATGTGTCTTAGAAATAGAATCCTGGCCAGGCGTGGTGGCTCATGCCTGTAATCCCAGCACTTTGGGAGGCACAGGCCGGAGGAACGTTTGAGGCCAGCAGTGCAAGACCAGCCTGGGCAACACAGAGACTCTGTTTCTACAAGAAATACAAAAATTAGTTGGGTGTGGTGATGCACACCTGTAGTCCCAGCTACTCAGGAGGCTGAGGTGGGAGGATCACTTGAGCCCAGGAGTTTGAGGCTGCAGAGAGCTATGATGGTGCCACTACACTCCAGCCTGGGCAACAGAGAAAGACTCTGTCTCTTAAAAAAAAGAAAAAAAAAAAGGAATGGAATCATATAATGTGTGGTCTTTTCTGTCTGACTTTCACTTAACAAAATGTGTTTGAGCTTCATCCATGCTTCACCATGGATCAGCTTGCTATTCCTTTTTATTGCTGGGTAGTATTCCATTATATGGAATTGCCACAGATTATTTACCTAGTTGACAAACATTTCTGTTTTACTTTTTCCACAATTACAAATGCTACTTCTATAAATATTCGGTCTTTGTGTGGACATATGTTTTCATTTCTCTCGTAGGTGGGAATAGCATTGCTGAGTCATGTGGTAAATGTACATTTAACTTTGTAAGAAATTGTCACACTGCATTTCACAATGACTATACCATTTTACATTTTCACCAATAATGTTTGAGGATTGGATCTCTATGTTTAAACTTGATGGGCCCTTTTGGGTTTCAAGATAGGTGAAACTTAAGGAATGGACTTTGGAGGAAGATGTGAAGGGGCTTACCCATACACGGTCACTTGGGGTCAGTTGCTGGGCACTCTGTGAGGTGGTTTTTCTCTTCAGAGGTGAACACGGTGGTGTGTTTAGACGGTGGTATTGTAATGAACATCAAAAGATAAGTAACACAGAACAGGACAAGCATTTTAGAGATCATCTTAAAAATAACCTCGATTTAAGGGATAATTGCATGGAGTTTCTTAGTCCTAGAGTGATTTTTATATTCCAGAGGTAGCTTGTTTTGATTAAGCCATGCTTTTTAAATTGAATGGAGTTAGGGCAGGAGGTAACCTTGGGACTTTTCTTTGGTAGGCTTATTGGAGCATGTGAGTCGTGGATTTGACAGACCAGAAAGTAGTGCTGCCAGAACCACAGCCAATTTTGTGTCAGTCAGTGCCGCTGGCTCTGGCTGATTCATAGACTAAGATCAATCCTGGTTGATGGCAGGTTTTATTCTCAAAGGAGAATGATATATTTGGTTTCCAAGAGAAATGTCGTCTCCTGGATAAAGGCAAGTTGTGAATATAGGAGATGAATGGTCTCAAAAGAGTTTTACTACGTGATCATTATGATACAGTATCTAAATGACATTTATGGTTTAAAAAGAATGTGCTCATTTATTTTCTTGGAAAAAAATCTGAGATTTTAAAGTATTTTAGAAAGGATTCATTGCCAAGATGACATTATTGTTATGTCTTTCCCCCCCTAACTTTATCTGGGCAGTCTTTTAACAAACCTGTACCTTTGTTAATTCATAAAAGAAAGTTTACTTGTTTATTCATTCATAACGTATCTGGTTTGCTGAATAAATAAGATTTATAAGATAGTAATCATAAAGCAGCTTTGTTTTGTATCCCCCTGTCTGAAAGTTATAATTGTGAGGTTAGTATATTCCTTGTCTCTGGATGAAATCTATGACATTTCTATTTTTTTTTTTTTTTTTTTTTGAGACACAGTTTCACTCTGTCACGCAGGATGGAGTGCAGTGGCACGATCTCAGCTCACAGCAACCTTTGTCTCCTGGCTTCAAGTGATTCTTTGCCTCAGCCTCCCCAGTAGCTGGGATTATGGGTGCGCACCACCACACCCGGCTCATTTTTGTATTTTTAGAGGAGACGAGGTTTTGCCATGTTGGCCAGGCTGGTCTTGAACTTCTGCACCCGCCTTGCCCTTCCAAAGTTCTGGGATTACAGGCGTGAGCCACCACACCTGGCCGTTTCTTTTTTTTTAAAATGGGGTCTCACTCTGTCTCCCAGGCTGGAGTGTAGTGACAATCATAGCTCCCTGTAGCCTCAAACTCCTGGGCTCAAGTGATCCTCTTGCCTCAGCCTCCCAAGTACCTGGGCCTACAGGTGCTCGCCACCATACCCAGCTAATTTACTTTTATTTTTGTAGAGATGGGGATCTCACTATGTTGCCCAGGCTGGTCTCAGGCTCAAGTGATCTTCCCATCTTGGCCTCCCAAAGTGCTGGGATTATAGGCATGAGTCACTGCACCCAGCCTCTGACTTTTCTGATTATTCTTAGATTTTTAAAAAAAGTTCTGCAGTCAGTTTCAACTGCTAAATACTCTTAATTCAGAATTTAGAGTCCTCAATGTTGGTGAAAAAGTAATCGTGGTTTTTGTTATTTTAATGGCAAAAACTGCAATTACTTTTGCACCAATCTAATAACAATAAAAAGTTGTAATTTGATTTAAAGTTAAATAGCTGTCCCTTTTCTCTTTGTCCCTACTTCACCCTGCTACCCGGCCTCCTGCATCTTCCTATCACAGTTTGAAATCCCTCTAGGGATCGCTGTATGGTAAAACTGGGGGTAGGGCAGAGGAAGATAAGAAGTTAGAGGGATAAAAAATTTTGTTTTGTTTTGTTTTTTTTTTTGAGACACAGTCTCACTCTGTCACCCTGCCTGGAGTGCAGTGGCACGATCTTGGCTCACCGCAACCTCCACTTCCCAGGTTTAAGCAATCCTCATGCCTCAGCCTCCCGAGTAGCTGGAATTACAGGTGCCTGCCACCACATCCAGCTGAAAATTCTTATTTGACTGGTACTACAGCATGATAGTGCCATGTTCTGAGTTTGACAGATGTTTGTTTTACTTTTAATTGTGGGTTATTTCTGGGAATGTTACGGACTGAATTGTGCCCCTCCACCCCATTTCTAAGTCCTAACCCCCAGTTTCTCAGAATGTACCTGTATTTGGAGATAGGACCTTTGTAGGGGTAATTAAGGTAAAATAAGGTCATATGGGTGGACTCTAATCCAGTATGACTGGTGTCCTCATAAGATGAAGCAATTAGGATGCAGACACACACAGAAGACCATATGAAAACACAGGGCGAAGGCGTCCATCTACAGGCCACGAAGAAAGGCCTCAGAAGGAAACCAACCCTGTTGACACCTTGATCTTGGGCTTTATTTTGTGTTGTTTAAACTACCCAGTCTGTGGTACTTTGCTGTGGCAGCCCTGGCACACCAGCAGAGGGGCCCCTTGGAGATCTCCCTCTTCTCACTCCATTCCTGGACCATCACTGCAGACCCCTCTTCTGCAGTTCCCTTGTTGAATGTCATGTGATTGCCTCCAGTTTGTTGCTTCTCCACCAGGGAATCCGCTTCCCTCTGCCCTCTTTGTCCTTCCAATCTACCCTATTACACAGAATCTAACACCACTTATTTCCCTCTATTGTGAGTTGCCTACTCATGCTCCATAGGAAACACATATTAATGCACAAATAAACTCCAGCACTCAGGCTGATAACAACACAACAGCAAGCTCTCCTTCATTTCCATCCTTGAAGCATAGGCCAGTTTCTCTCCATTTTAGATTTTTCAGGTGTGGATCAGACACCCGTCCAACCTCTTCAGCCCTGTAAGCCTCTCATGAGGTTGAGTAGGTGTGGTAGGAATCATTGCATAGCTCTCTCTAAAGGAAGACCCTCCCACAATCCACACACATTCTGACCCTTTTAGACCTGGATGTGAGTAAGAGCCCTGTTACCAGTTTTCAGCTGAATCCTTTGAAAATTTGCACCATGGGCTAAAATGACTGTGGTATGTCTGTGTTTCCAGCGTAACCGTAGTGCTCATTCATTCATTCATCATTGATTCATTCAGGCAGTGCAAAGTTTCACTAAGTGTTGACTATGAAGAGAGCCTTGCTGAGGCCAGAGGTGAAACCCTGACCCTGCTAGGATGGTCGTTTTCTGTCTTGAGGAGCTCCCTGACTAGAAGGGGAGTAAGGTCTCACATGAAATAACACAGCAGCCCTGTTGATTTGTGGGGGGAATCCCTGGCTTGCCCATAGTTCTAGAATCAGGCTGAGAAAATCTCTGTCCTAAGAATTTGCCTCCAGGGTACTAGCTGATGATCCTTGCTCTCCTCTGACCCTAACGTTGCATTATTGAAAATGGTCAGCATCTTCAGGTAGGCTTAGCACGTGACTGGGGGGATGCTGCACAAGGACAGCAGTAATGAGAAGGAAGGGGGCAGGTGGGAAGGAAAAAGGAGGGGCATCCTGGTAAGATTTCACAGGCCAAATGAGCTGGGTTTTTAAAAACCTTAGTGCTTTTCTCTTGTACATGGTGAAACCCAATTACTATGTTGCGTTTGTACAAATATCCCAATGACGCTAACCCGTGTCAGAGAGCTCACCCTCCTCAGTACACCTGGGATCCACGAGAGCCTTGCTGAGGTCAGAGATGAGGTCTAAAGTCTATCCAAGCACTTTATCCTATATCTTTGTTCTGCGTGTTCACCTGTAAAACATTTATTGATTATATGCCAATGGCCAGGGCTCAAGTTCAGGCAAAATGAAAATACTCTATTCCAAAGTAAGTAGGTAGTCTGAGATGTAAATTTTCAAATCGGCTTAAAACTGATAACACGGTTCTTGAATCTCTCACTCACACCCAGGGTCCAAAGGAGTCAGACTGGGGGAGGGTCTTTCTTTGCAGAGAACTATGAAGTGATTCCTACCACCCCTACTGTCTTAGTCCATTTTCTGTTGCTATAACAGAGTACCAGAGACTGGGTAATTTACAGAGAAAAGAAGCTTATTGGGTTCATAGTTCTGGAGTTTGGGAAGCCCAAGGACATGGTGCTGGTCCCTAGCAAGGGACATCTGGTGGCATAATGTGGATGCGAAAGAGACCACAAGAGCAAGCCTAGCTCACTTTTATAATAACGGGCTCTGGCAAGAACTAATTCACTCCCGTAATAAAGCATGAATCCATTCAGAAGGGTAGAACCCTCATGACCCAATCATTCTTAAAGTCTTCATCCCTTAATACTATTACATTGGCAATTAAGTTTCCAGCACATGAACTTCTGGAGGACACATTCACACCATAGCTTACGGGACCACTTGGGGAGATTGAACAGGTGTCAGACCCTTACCTGGAAAGTCTAAGAAAGGAGTCCCCTATCTTGTGAGAGAGATGGACAAAATGCCCTTTCCTCCTTCACCTGTCCAAATCCCGTGTTTCCTTTAAGTTCAGTTAGAACCCTGCTCCCATTTAGGAAGACTTCTCTGATCTTTTTCTAGCACTTCAAGATTCTCACTCTTTGAATTTCTACAGTATTTAACACCTACTTATAAGATGATTTTTTAATTATTCTTTATTCATATCCTCAGTTAGTTTGGAGTCCTCTGGGCCTACTCATATAAGCTGAGTGTTTGTATGTATTTAAAATTCTGTCTTTCTAGAACAGTACAAATCTGCTGTAAAGTAAATTGGGCAAGAGGGAACAGTACCCGTTGGGCCCTGCTTCCCATTTTTATGTTCTTCCAGAAGCAGCAACATAACTCACAGCATAGCCCTTGTCTGAGAGGCAGAGATTGAAGCAGCTTCCACCCACTGGGAGGAGTTTGGATGGCGTGAGGTACTGTGTTGTTAAGGTACCTTCATTAGGAAGGTTGGTCTGGAGAGACCTTTGACAGAATGTATTTGTTTTGCTGGATTGAGAGAATTGAATGTTTATATAGCTTTGGTTAAAATTCCATTTTTGTTGCAGAGAGATTATTGTCTGAAGAAATACTCAAGCACTTGAGTGAGAAGAGGTAGATGCTGACAAGGAGAGAAGGAGTGTATTTTAGTTTCTTATGCTTGTTCAGAACTTGGTCTGTGGTATGGATTTTAAGTCTGATGTCCTTTTTAACTTGGAAGAAAATGTCCTGAAGTCTATTTAGGGGCACATGTTAGTTAGTGTTCTGGTTTGGCTGAGAATTCTGTAGATGTATTCCTATATTCCGTGATGGAATATTATTATTATTTTTTTCGAGATAGAGTCTCACTCTTTCATCCAGGCTGAAGTGCAGTAGCATGATCATGGCTCACTGTAGCCTTGAACTCCCAGGCTCAAGTGACCCTTCCACCTCAACCTCCTGAGTAGCTAGGACTACGGGCATGTGCCACCACCCCCGGCTAATTAAAAAAATTTTTTTTTGTAGAGACTGGGTCTCGCTCTGGTGCCCAGGCTGGTCTTGAATGCTTGGTCTCAAGCAGTCTTTCCACCTCAGCCTCCCAAAATGTTGGGATTACAGATGTGAGTTGCTGTGCCCGCCCTGCTGCATTTCTTTTTTCATCAGTCTAGAGGTTTCTAACCTGGAATTTTCTTTCTTTCTTTTTTTTTTTTTTTTGAGATGGAGTTTCGCTCTTGTTGCCCAGGCTGGAGTGCAGTGGCACGATCTTGGCTCACCGCAACCTCTGCCTCCTGGGCCCAAGCGATTCTCCTGCCTCAGCCTCGGCAGTATCTGGGATTACAGGCATGCGCCACCACGCCCGGCTAATTTTGTATTTTTGGTAGAGACAGGGTTTCACCATGTTGGTCAGGCTGGTCTTGAACTTCCGACCTCAAATGATCCACCCGCCTCGGCCTCCCAAAGTGCTGGGATTATGGGCATGAGCCACCGTACCTGGCTAACCTGGAATTTTCTTAATCCTAAAGAGTGGAGAATGTAATAGAGATTATTAAGCTTTTAAAAAAAAAACAGCTTTGTTGAGATATCATTCATATACCATTCACTTCACCTCCTGAAAGTGTACAAATGAATGGTTTTTAGTATGTTCACAGGTTGTGCAGCCATTACAGCAGTAAATCTTAGAACATTTTCATTACACCCAAAAGAAAACCCCATATCCATTGTAAGGGTTTTTTTTTTTAAATACTCAAAGAAGTTTAACTTTTTTGTTTGTGATAAAGCTGTACAGGCTAATATCAAGGTTTTAAAATTCAGGCTAGGATTGGGAGTTAAATTATTTTTTTAAAGGGAAAATGAACTGATAATAAACAATGTTACATCCAGTCTTTCAAATGAGATGGAAACAAGCATGTACATCTCTGCTTTGCTCCATCCTCATTTATCAACGTAACATCCATTCTGTGATGAGTGGTGGCCAGTGATGATTGGTGGCCAGTGATGGATGCCATATTTCAGGGACTTATTTTGAATTAAATGGGTAATAAACTGACTAATATTTCTGCTCAGTGGGTAGGTGTGCTTTATTCTGTTTGAAATGGGAGAACTTAGTTCAGAGAACTTTTTCCATAGATGCATGATCCTTTTTGGTACATACTCGAATTAGGCTGTTGTGCAGCTAATTCAGCTTTGCTGTATTTCTTTTGAAGTAAGCATCCTGATTTAATGGCTTTTCCAAGGACTGCCTTTAGTGTGGCCTTGCTAACCTGATAGATGTCACTTTACTCAACATAGGTTGTAGCTCAGCCTGGGCTTTAGAAGTTTGGGATTGAAAATGAGACTGTAAGATCCCAGTTGGCCCAAGGAAGGCGAGTCCGTTTACTCATGATTCATCTTGAGGAAGAAGAGATGCTGAGACAGCTGGCACCTGGCGTTATTCCAGGGGCCACATTACTTTCCGCCAGCCATGGCTTCCAGGTGTTAGATCCTTTCATGAATACCAGGAAAGCAGTGATCTATTAATAACTTTACCCCAGCTACAGTTCATGCTTCTAGAGTTACCATTGTGTGGATTTCCAGAACTTCTTTTCCTTTGACACTTATCTTTATCATTGTGGAATTATGCCCATGGGCCACCCAGCTCTCACACACCCAAAGCCACGGACTCTAGGAAGACACTCAGTTTGGCGGTTAATCCCTTCCCTTGGGAACTTTTGGAATTATCACTTTATTTATCTAATCCTCTTCAAATAAGAGTTTGTATACTTTTCACTGCATGCTTAAAAAAAAAAAAGAAAAGCCAAAGACAAATACACAGAAAAACTAACACAACACCCACGAAACCCCCATGACCTCAAACAAAAATCTTACCCACTGTTGCCTAAGACTTTGTGCTCTCTGAATATGTGAACGAAGGAATGCTTTGAGTGGCTCTGCTGTGGGGAACTGCACAGTTTTGGGTTATCCAATATATGGCCTTCTTTTCTCCCTTTCCTGCTGGACTGATTTGTCCTGTTTCCTTAGTTATTAGTACTTCCACAAGAAGGGGGAAGGAATTAAATTTGAAGGGCGATTCCCACCTTTTTTTTTTTTTGAGATGGAGTCTCACTCTGTCGCCCAGGGTGGAGTGCAGTGGCGCGATATCGGCTCACTGCAAGCTCCGCCTCCCGGGTTCACGCCATTCTCCTGCCTTAGCCTCCCGAGTGGCTGGGACTACAGGCGCCCGCCATCACGCCCGGCTAATTTTTTGTATTTTTAGCAGAGACGGGGTTTCACCGTGTTAGCCAGGATGATCTCGATTTCCTGACCTTGTGTTCCGCCGGCCTCGGCCTCCCAAAGTGCTGGGATTACAGGCGTGAGCCACCGTGCCCGGCCGGCGATTTCCACTTTCTAGCAACAGTTGGCGTAGAAACCCTGGCCCAGCCAGCGACAGTTAGCCAGCGACAGTTGGGGAATATCTGTTTATCGTTATTTCTACTTTGATTCCTCAAAAGGTGATTCTGTTTTGACGTGAAAAAAACAACCCAACTTTGGTTTATGAACCAGCCCAACTCTGACAAGTGTGTTCCTGTTCCGCCTACATCAGTTCTAGGTTCTCTAACTTCAGTGTGCAGAAGATTCAACCAAGGAAGTTCCTGGGCTCTACCCCTTGAGATTCAGTTTTAATAGGACAGGGGCTAAAAGATTGCATTTAGTCCCCAGGTCCTTCTGATGTGGATTAACTAGGGGCTGACTTTGAGAAACACTGCCCTGGAATGTGCACTTGCTATTCAGGTACCAGCCCAGCCTTTTCTGTGACTAAATGCTTGGCAGTTAACAATGTATAATTATGGTGTGTGTCGTTTCCAAGGCAACATGCATCTGTCACTCCCGCTGAGGCTGGGAAGATTGAAAGGGGCCATGGAGAGGCTGCAGTCACAATGAGGCCTCCAGATTCATGTCATCAAAGTGCTTCATGATGACTGGATTTTCACACCATTTATCCAAGGGCCCTAGTCAATGGCAGCAGCAAGAATGAAAGTAGACACATTGGAAGCTAGAGAGTCACTGGGTGACTTTTGGAGGTAGCAACAAGCTCATGAAGAAGGCATTCAGTGGCTTGCACTCCCCACCCATCCTCTCAAGTCAGTTTTGTTTAGAATAATTAGGATGTGGGGGAATGTGAGAGGACCTGGCAAGGCTTCTGAAAACAGTGGTTAACTGTGGTAAACGTGTGCCTGCTATTCCTCAGTTCTCCTCTGGGATGGTGCTGTTAAAGGTCACCTGTTCTCACTTGCAGTGGGCTTGACGTGACATTTATTTAGCACTTACTATGTGATGGAAACTTTCACATAGATTATCTTGCCTTTTTGACCTAAGTGTATTTTCATTTTTTTTTAGCTACATGCGAAGTTTTCACATCTTGTACATTTCCAAATTTAATGAAAAAGGTAGAGTCTGTACATGTTTGCTGGGCACAGTGGCTCATGCCTGTAATCCCAGCTTTTAGGGAGGGAGAGGCCAGAGGATAGCTTGAGCCCAGGAATTCGTGACCTGCCTGGGCAATATAGTGAGACCCCATTCGCCACAAAAAAGGAAAAAAAAAAAAGATAAAGTCTATACATGTTTTAGCACAGGATTTGGCTTTTTGGTTTTAGTTGTAAAACTGTATAGGGCATTGCTGGATGGAACTGGAGGCCGTTATTCCAAGTGAAGTAACTCAGGAATGGAAAACCAAATACCGTATGTTCTCACTTGTAAGTGGGAGCTAAGTTATAAGGATGCAAAAACATACAGAGTGATACAATGGACTGTCAGGACTAGGTTGGGAGAGAGGTGAGGGATAAAAGACAACATATTGGTTGCATTAAAATCTCAGAATTCATTGCTAAGAAATTCATGTATCAAAAAACTACCTATACCCCCCAAACTATTGAAATTAAAAAAAAAAAAACTATATAGGGCAGTGAAAACATTCAGCCACTAGTCAGGCCTTAGGGTCTGGTTCTGAATCTCATCATGAATAGGCTTTGTGACTCAGGCAAGTTTCTAAACTTGTCTGAGGCTCTGTTGCTACTTCTGTGAAATGAGGCACTTAGACTAGATGAGCAATCTTGACTTTTGAAGGGTGGCAACTACCTTGTAGAATCCAGTGAAAACTCAGAACCTTCCTCCCTGAAAAATGTAAATGTATACTTGCTAAAAGATAATTACATTCCATTTCCAGGGGACCACAGACCCATGTTAAATGAAGTGATTGCTTAAGATTCAGCTCAACTCAGAATTGCTGAGTCCCACAAGACCCTGAGAGTCTTGCATTGTTTAGAGAGGCCCCCTGAGGAATGAGCTATTTGATGAGGGAGGTTTTGTTGTTCCTGGCATTTTTCACTAACTGCCCTGTGCATTCTGGGGAGGGGAGACGGGAACAAACACTGAGAAAAATAAATAGGGAATGAGTGGCATCTGGAATATGAACTGTTTTCCTCATCACTTTTCACAAGGAGGTGGATGGCATGATTGCAGCACAGAAGATATGTTGAGGAATGACTTGAACATAGAGATACAGCATTTTGTACAGTGACAGTTAAGCAGTAACTTAGACTTGCTCTACTTTTAATGTTTGAGAACTCACTGATATAGAAATCTAAGAAGGTCCAGTTCAGAGAAGCAGAGAACAGAATGGAAGTTACCAGGAGCAGGGGTGGGGATGTGGGAGTGGGGGGTTGGGGGAGGTGGATGGGGAGATGTTGGTCAAAGGATGCAGCGTTTCAGTTAAGAGGAATAGATGAAGAGATCTATTGTACAACATGGTAATTATAGTTAGTGTATTGTATACTTGAAAAATTCCTGAGAGTAGATTTAGAGTGTTCTCATCACAGTGAAATAATAAGTATGTGAGGCAATGCATATGTTAATTAGCTCAATTTAGCCATTCTACAATATATGCATATTTCAAAAGTCATGTTTTACACCATAAAAGTATATACAATTTTTATTTGTCAATTAAAATAAATATTAATAAGAAGGAAAAAATTAAGGTTTTGGTTAATTTGAAAATGTCAGAAGCTTCTAGGAAGTATATCGTAAGTGGAAATATGTTATTTACCACTCCTCAGCTGTTAACTGACCACCTTCCCAACGCAACCCTGCTCTGTCTCCTTCCCATGACCCAAGTTGTAATCCAATCAGGAGAGAATACCTTATTTGGAAACCTACATATGTCCTTTTTTTCTCTGCTTAGGTGTTGAAAAGTCTCCTCTAGAGCTTTGGAAGGCTGAATGCACTAAACATGAAGAGCTTGAAAGCGAAGTTCAGGAAGAGTGACGTGAGTATGCGGTGACTCACAGTCTGGCTGTTCCTTCTTCTCCATGGAGCTGCAGAAACGCTCCTCCCCACCTTGATAAGGCGCTGTTGGGTTAATAAACTACAGACACTCAAGTGCTCTTGGCCCCAGCTCAGGGTAGCTTCTGTAGATGGCATGCTCTAGGTTCCTTGCTGTTTGTGTGCATAGCTTTCAAAAACAATGTTTTTTTATTTTTATTTTTAATTTTGGGGATCTGTGCCTTGTAGAGAAAGGAACCGTCACATTAAACATCTTCAAAGGAAGAATCAGTAAAAACCTCAACATTTCTAAAGTTGCCAGAAATCCTGATTCAGAATGTCGTTTTTAGAAGAAGCTAGTCTCTCTCATGCGGGTGGTTTAGGAATGACATATTAGCATGGTTCATCTTTGGCTTTAGGAAACGTGTTCAACTCTCTGTTAAGGGTTTTGTGGTAAAATGGTATCTACTGCTGCCCGTACCTTTCCTCCCCCCGAATTCCAGGGACTCGTACTCATTTGTTATCTAACCAATCCATAAAAGACTCTGGATTGGAGGAAGCAGTTATGATGTCAGAGTTATGAAATAAAGTCTCCCCCAGGAGAAGAGGGAGAAAAACATAGCAGAGGGGTTGTACACGATAATATTTTTTTAAAAGGTCACCCCATAAACCCTTCTATGATCCCAGTCTTGTATTAGCTGCATTCCAGATACTTTGAGCAGAGTTGTGGAGTGGGAGAAATTAATGGAAGGGAATTAGATGGAAGCCAAGGTATGTCACTCTCAAAATGGGCTTGTTCAGCTATCATTTCAGGCGAGGTAATTAAAGATGAACCTGGATTTTATTGCTTTGCCGTGAATTATATTTTGACAGCTTGGCACAGCTGCATTTTTGCAATAAATGGAGGCTGTGTCTTTTATGGCTGATATGTAACTTGCATACCTACTTCTGGCTGAAGCTTATCTCCTGAGGCTGCATCATGACATGTAACTTACTGCCCTGATAAAACCCAGGCTAGATGAGATGCTTATGGGATGATGGTAAAATACCGACCCACTTAAAGAAAGAACTGGGAAGCGTTATGAAAAAAGTTGATCTTACCTTCTTATCCTTTAGGTAAATTAAATAAAACTCATAGAGTGCAAAGAGACTTCGACAAAGACAGAAAACTAGCTGTTGGCCAGAGTGAAAGTCCTGGTCATCCGACTTCCGAGAAACCTCCTTCAACCTCATCGTCTGCTGGCTGTATGTTATGCAGCCTACATATCTCCCGTGGCTTTCAGCTAAGGAGAAAAAGGCAATTAAATGGAAAATGTTGCCCAATTCAGCAGATAGGGGTTTCTAAATTTTGTGACCAGGTTAACAAATGTCTTTTTCTATTCCAAGGGAATCTAGGTAGCTTTCATTTACATAGGTTAAGATTATTTTTAGCAAAATTTCATCAGTCTAGACTTCCATATATATATGAACAGGGGCCCAGAGGAATGATAGGCACATAAACTTTTGGTTTAAAAATCAAAAACTGGTGGCAGTAGGGAGGGTGTTGCTGGAATCTAGTTAGAAAAACTGAAATATTTCCATGATTTAAAAAAATCCACTGTAATAACACTAGTAAAAGCTCTGGGATTTGGCAGCAGAAAAGGCTATGATTTTGGCAGTTAGTGCTAAGAGAAGAAATGTTGAGAAGCAGACCTGGGGGAGGAGAGCCTGGGGAGGAGGAAATTGGTATAATGGAGCCCAACAATTTCAAATGGCTCTCCACATCCAAATTGTTTCCCCAAGCACAGAACCGTACAGCTAAATGGAGGGAATAAAAAATGACAACAACAACAAAAACATTTCAAAGCCTAGTTTGTTAATCAACCATATGATAATAATGCTAATAATAATTAACCATTAGGAAGTATTAACCAAATGTCCAGAGGTATACTAAGCTTTTCATGTGAAATTCATTTAATCTTGCCACAAATCTTATGTGGTGGGTATTACTATTAAGCTCATTTTACAGACGAAGAAACTAAGGCCTTAGGGACATGCAGTCATTTGTCTGGGTTCTTAGAACTTTACGTTCTAGAACCAGTTTTTGCACTAAGGCAGTCTGATTCAAGAGCCCATGTTTCCTGAAAGAGGAATTTTGGGTGGAAAGTCTATTTTAAGAAACTAGGCAATCTGCTGGCACGGTGGCTCACTCCTGTAATCCCAGCACATTGGGAGGCTGAGGCAGGAGGATTCCTTGAGTCCAGGAGTTCAAGAGCAGCCTGGGCAAACATGGTAAAACCCCATCTCCACAAAACAATTAAAAAATTAGCCGCCTATGGTGGGGCACACCTATGGTTCCAGCTACTCGGGAGGCTGAGGTGGGAGGAAGGCTTGAGCCCAAGAGGTCAAGGCTACAGTGAATTGTGTTCACGCCACTGCACTCCAGTCTGGGTAACAGAGCAAGGCCCTGTCTCAAAAAACAAAAACAAACTGAACAATCTAGGGAGTAGCTTTAAAAGCGACTTAAACTCGGACCTAGGTTTGTGGCTCTGGACAAGTCTCTTACTCTTCTGAACCTCAGATTCCTCACTAGAAAAGTGGAGGAAATGATATTAGCCCCGTAAGACTGGGGTGACAGTTAAATGCATTAAATGAATGTTGGCCGGGTGTGGTGACTCACACCTGTAATCCCAGCTACTTGGGAGGCTGAGGCAGAAGGATCACCTGAGGTTGAGAGTTTGAGACCACCCTGGCCAACATGGAGAAACCCCGTCTGTACTAAAAATACAAAATTAGCCGGGTGTGGTGGTGCATGCCTGTAATCCCAGCTACTTGGGAGGCTGAGGCAGGAGAATAGCTTGAACCCAGAAGGCGGAGGTTGTGGTGAGCAAGAGATCACGCCATTGCACTCCAGCCTGGGCAACAAGAGTGAAACTCCATCTCAAAACAAAACAAAACAAAAAAACAAACAAAAAAAGAATGTCAAAAATCTTATGGCCTGGTGCTCAGGAGATGCTTAGTAAATATTTGTTTCTTCCTCCTAATTAGCAACCCGTAATAAAAAGTAGGATTCAAAAAGTTTACACGGTCTGGAGGGTAGAATACTCTGGTAACAGTTGCTGCTGCCGAACAGGGAAACTGAGAGCTGGGGAAGAGAGGCTTGTTTTTCAATGTATGCCTTTGATTTTGAAGTTTTTGATACACGTACATGTGTATCATGCATATATATGTATTGTTAAGGAAAAGCAAGCTTACAAACATTTACATTCAGTTGAATGAAGCAAATTATAATTTTTTTTTAACCTGAAATGTGTGGTCTGTCTCAAAATATTTTAAACCATTGGGCATCATATTCCTGCTTGTCTTTGTGTGAGGGAAAAGGAAGAAGAAAGGATTCTTTGTATTTCTGGGGGGTAGGAAGAAGATAATAGCAGATCAGGTTCTCGCGCTTGCATAAAGAAGACAGGTGACCCACTGGTGTGATCGCATTTCAGCCAGCCTGTGTCTGGGAGGTCTGTGGCCAAATTGGTTTGTGGCCACTGTGAGCAACACCCAGGAGTAAACATAGGATGAAAGTGGCCCAAGGGGGCCTCCTATGGATGGCCTTCAGGTCACTCTGTGACCCGAGAACCATCACTTGGGTAAAGATTGAATGGGAGTGTCGTTTCCGGAAGACTTGACAACTGGCACTGTGTCAAAGGCAGATGTGAGTTTGGTAGGGAATGAGCCTGACTCTGCGGGCTGTGGTTAGACAGTGACATTGTCCGGTGGTTTTGATTCTTAAATCTATTTGGGACCCTGCAGATAACCCACAGAGAATAAACAGCATTATGGAATTTCTATGGTGGATAACCTTTTTTACTTCGCATTTATAACTTTATTTTGGGAGTTCTTAAACTTGAGTTGTTAGATAGTAGATAGGATACAGGAGAAATGCAAATATGGTTGTTGTCTTTAAAAGGTTGATAAACCTCGGTGGGAGGAGAAAAAAACATATAGGAAATAACTAGAGCAAAATACAAGCAGTATAGAATATAGATACTCAAGGTATCTTTAAGATGATATAGCTAACTAGTTGTTAAGTTATAAGGCCTGGTGATAAATGCTGCAGATTTTGAGATGGCTGAATCACTGGGAATGGGAGAATTTGGGGAGCTTTATGGAGGTGGAGCTTCATGCAGGCCTTGAGGGATAGGTAGGAGTTGGAAGGATGGTTGGGAAGAGGGGGAAAGGTCAGAAGGTCAATCAGGGGAGACAGCTTGCAGCACAGCGGGTTAACTCAGTCTCAAAAATGGCCCTTGACATAGAAAATAGTAATATTAATAGTTCAGGAGCCCAGGAGAGTACCTGTGGCATGGCCCTGAGTATTTAAAGAAGAATACTATATAAAGTTTTCATCCTAGTTTTAAAAATGGATAGATTGACTTTTATGCTTATTAAGCGAGCGCAGAGTTCTCAGTCATCATTATTTGTATCTTTTATGACCATAGCTTGAAAAAGTGGCTTCTTTACCTCTTTAAATATTTGCAGCAGCTAGTATGTGGTTCCACATGGAAAAATGAGCTGTCGTCATGAAAAATGAGGCCAAAAAGGCTGGGATTTCCCTTTGCTAATAAAATGCTCAGGCTTCTGGAATTTCTTTGTAGATGCCAATTTTTAGTGACTTGAGTGAAATGGGTGGAGGTTGAGGGATGGGAAATGGGGTTGAAAGATCTTTGTAACACATCTTGAGAAATGCCACTCAAACGTGATCGAGGGCTTCACGGTTTACTTTGAGGGTGTGTGCTTAATTTTACGAAAGATTTATTCCCAATTATATATTTCATTGTAATAGGGAAGTAGCGGACATTCCATTAAAAAAATCAAAACAGCCAGTTTAAAGTGACAGTCTCCATGAGAGATTAAATTGATGGTATACCTTTACATAGCATCTACTAACTACTGTAGCTTTCAGCCAAGGAAATGCACACACCCCATGAATCTTAAAGAACCAGGCATATCCTGCTCAGACAGAGGTTTGAGTTTCTTGCCTATTAAGATAACAGTTGGCGGTGGGGTGTGGTGGCTCACACCTGTAATCCTAGCACTTTGGGAGGCCAAGGTGGGTGGATCACCTGATGTCAGGAGTTCGAGACCAGCCTGGCCAACATGGCAAAACCCCATCTCTACTAAAAATACAAAAATTAGCCAGGCATGGTGGTGCATGCTCGTAATCCCAGCTACTCGGGAGGCTGAGGCAGGAGAATCGCTTGAACCCAGGGGGTGGAGGTTGCAGTGAGCTGAGATCACACCACTTCACTTCAGCCTGGGCGACAGAGCGAAACTCCGTCTGTTAAAAAAAAAATAATAATAAAAGATAACAGCTCTCATGAGGATCAACAACCAACTCTACCAACGTATTTTTTTCAAGGAGTTTTTAGTCATTTATAATAAGTTTTTACAATTGCTCACTCCTCCTTTCGTCACCACACATACATGCACATACACACAATGGGAGTATTTAAAATCCAAGTCTCTGGCGTGAACCTGGGAAGCGGAGCTTGCAGTGAGCCGAGATCACGCCACTGCACTCCAGCCTGGGCGATAGAGCGAGACTCCATCTCAAAAAATATAAAATAAAATAAAATCCAAGTCTCTCTGTAGACATAGGAACTATGGCCAAATCTATTTTAAGCTAAGCCTTTTTTTTTTTTAATAGACATAATTTTAAAAAAATCAGCAATGACCCCACTGGGTGGAGGTAGGAGACTTTACTAAAGTTCTAGAGAGAAATTTGGTCAAATTTGTGCCGTGCTACGTGTTTTCTAGGTCTTTTCAGCCTGATTTAAATGGAGAATCTGCTCACTGCCTGATTTTGCCTGGTATTAGTTTGCTAGGACTGCCATAACAAAGGGTACCACAAACCAGGTGGCTGAAACTAAAGAAATGTATTGTCTCAGAGTTTGGGAGGCTAGAAGCCCAAGATCCAGGTACTGGCACGGTTGGTTCCTTGTGAGGGCTGCGAGGGCGAATCTGTTCCATGCTCTGACCTAGATTCTGGTGGTTGGCTGGCAGTGTTTTTGGCTTGCAGAAGCCTTGCCCCGATCTCTGCTTTCATCTTCAGGTGGCATTCTCCCTCTGTGCATGTGTCTGTGCCCAGATTCCTCCTTTACATAAAGACGCCACTCATACTGGATTAGGGCTCGCTATAATGACCTCATTTTAGCTTGATTACCTCTGTGAAAACCCTATCTCCAAATAAGGTCACCTTCTGAGGTTAGGGGGAGAATTAGGACTCCAACGTATGAATTTTTGGGAGGACACAAGTCAACCCTTAACACAACTCCATGCCCTTCCATCCTAGAACAGTTACACTGAAGCCCTGGCATCCCCCCACTGAGCTGGCACTGTCATAGACCTTAGCTCCACTGTTCATCCTTGGGACTGTTTTCAGCATCTAAGAGAGTGAGGCTGGAGCATCACAGTTTTTCAGTGGGTGCCACTGCATAATATTAATAGCAAGAGTGAACACGTATGGATGGCTGACCTTCTATTACAGGAATAAGGAGTTCTCATGTACTGAATGCTCACTAGGTGCCAGGCACTGTGCCAAGCCCCTTTGCATGCTCTTTGTCATTTAATGCTTACAAAACTCTATCCAGTAAAGACCATTGCTACAATGCATTTGATAGAGGAAGAAATGAATGTTGAGGACAGGTAAGTAACTTGGCCAAAGTCGCACATTTGGTAAATAACAGAGAGATGGTAACTCTCCTGGTTTTTCTGGATGGGAGAGTGTCGCATGCTGTCAACCGCAGCACACGCTTGCTAACAGGTTGCTGGTTCCTAAATTGTGAAGCTTCAAACTGCATAAAATAGATGTTACACTGTTGCTCTAAGCTTAAATAAGACCTCCACAGTGATTTTACATCACCACAAGTCCATCCATAGTGGCAAAGCTCACCAATGTCAGCATTATTCCTCCTGTGACAGGGCAAGATTCTTTGTTTCCTGAGAGCCAAATGCATTTCATTTCTGAAGGGAGGAAGAACAGATGCTGCTTCTGCTCTTCCAGTGGTGCCAGTAAAACATCTCTGTCTACGTGGAGCTCCACTGTGGGCTAAATGGGTCATAGCTTTATTCTATTTACCCCAGACCATAATTCTCAGTTAAACACAATACTTTTCCAGCTAGAAACCAATATGAAACCGAGGGCCTGGCCCTTAAACTTGGGGAAATCTCCTAGTCTACACAAGCAATGAGTCATTTAGACCATTATCTCTTACATCTTTATTCTGCATTAATTACCTGATCATTTTAAATGAAGGCTGTTGTTGTCCTACATGTTTTTAGTTTGACAAATTCTTCTATGAACTTCTCCTTGGGACTGAAACAGAAATTGCTTCTGAATCAGCCTGTGGATATTTTCAGTTGAGTTTCTACTTAAAGATCTTTGCTGTGTGGAGGTGGTTATTTTCAACTATATGGCAATACAGGGGCCAGCGTTGGCCAAAGGCTCAGTATGTCCATAAAGATGAGGTTAGTGACTAGACTTGGCTTTCTTTTTGTTTGAGTCCCTCCCTCCTTTTAAAAAAGGAAAGTCAGTGTGTCCTGGTCAACTTGATTATTCAACTATTAGAGTAGTTTTTATTGTATTCATGAAAATGCTTTCACTTTTTGGGAAGCACTGCCTGAAAGGATTTCATTTTTATTTTCTTAGGAGGCTGAATGATCTGATGGTCTCTAGCTGGCTCCTGCCTCCTGGGCTGCCCAGTAGGCTGGTTAGCTGGAAAGTGTAGAGGTTTATAACGTAAGAATAGAACAAGAAAAAGTTTAAGGAATCACATATTCTCCTTGGATATGTTTGTTCTAAGATGTATTTCCCAATGCTGAGAATGTTTCTGTAGCAACTTTTCAGATTTAGGCTATGGTTTTGGAAGGGGTTTTGATGAGATTCAATGTGAACTCATGAGTCTTTTCATTTTGTCTGGGTGTGTGTATGTGTGTGTGACAGAGTCTCGCTCTGTCACCCAGGCTGGAGTGCAATGGTGTGATCTCAGCTCACTGCAGCCTCTGCCTCTGGAGTTCAAGTGATTCTCTTGCCTCAGCCTTCTGAGTAGCTGTGATCACAGGCGTGTGCCACCATACCCGGCTGATTTTTTGTATTTTTAGTAGAGAGAGGGTTTCGCCATGTTGCCCAGGCTGGTCCTGAACTCCTGACCTCAGGTGATTTGCCTGCCTTGGCCTCCCAAATTGCTGGAATTATAGGTGTGAGCCACCGTGCCTGGCCTGTTCATTCTTTGAAGGGTTGCTTCATAACTGAGAAGCTGCAGGGTCCTTCTGTGAGGTCCCAATGGGTGTACTAATTAGGTATATGATAAGCTGTAATAACAAAATACCCTATACAGTAGTTCTAACAAGGTAGAAGTTGTTTTCTTCTGAAGTAAATGTTTAAAATAGTCTAAGAGCCAGTGGGGCAGCTCTGCTCCATAGATTAACCCAGGAACCCCAGCCTTTCTCTGGCGTCCTCTGTTACCCTCTAGAGCTGCTCTGTGCAGTGTGCTAGCCACTGCCCACATGTGGCTCTTGAGCATTTGAAATGTGCTAGTCCAAACTGAGGTGTATACTGTAGGTGTAAAATACACACTAAATTTCAAAGACATTGTACCAAAGAAAGACTGTGAAATATCATAATAATTTTTTATAATTACACACTGACATGCTACTATTCAGGACATAATTGGATTAAATGAATAGAATAAAATTTATTTCACCTGTTTCTATTTACTTTTTTAATGTGGCTACTAGAAACTTTAAAATCACATAAGTCTTTGGACAGTGCTGCTCTAAGAACCAGAAAGAAGGAAAGTGAAAGTAAAGCAGAAGCACTTTCCTTTTTTTTTTTTTTTTTTCTGTGACAGTGTCTTTCTTAGTGTCTTCCTTTGTGGTCCAGTCTGGAGTACAGTGGTGTTATCATAGCTCACTACAGCCTCAAACTCTTGGGCTCAAGCAATCCTCTTGCCCTGGCCTCCCAAATAGCTAGGACTACAGGCACATAACACCATGCCTGGTTAATTTTCATATTTTTTGTATAGAGACAGTGTCTCACTATGTTTCCCAGGCTGGTTTTGAACTCCTGACCTCAAGCAATACTCCTGCCTTGGCATCCCAAAGTTCTAGGATTACGGGAGTGAGCCACCACACCCATCTAGCATTTTATTTATTTTTTATTATTTTTTATTTTTTTGAGACGGAGTCTTGCTCTGTCACCCAGGCTGGAGTGCAGTGGCACAATCTTGGCTCACTGCAACCTCCGCCTCCCGGGTTTCTGCCGTTCTCCTGCCTCAGCCTCTGAGTAGCTGGGACTACAGGTGCCTGCCACCACGCCTGGCTCATTTTTTTATTTTTAGTAGAGACAGGGTTTCACTGTGTTAGCCAGGATGGTCTCGATCTCCTGACCTCATGATCCACCCGCCTCAGCCTCCCAAAGTGCTGGGATTACAGGCGTGAGCCACCACGCCCGGCCGCATTTTACTTTTTAAAGGATGTGAAACTGAAGGTGCACAAATCATTGCCCTCACAGGGAACTGGTTAGAGCTTGCCCCAACCTAGCTGCAAGGAAGGCAGGAAAACATATTCTCTTGCTGGCAGCCTCGAAACCAGTTAAGCCTCAAGGGAAAGGGGAGAATGGATACTGGGGATGATTGACTCAGCCACAGGCAGTTTCCACAGAAGGTCTTGTTTGAGACTTGGATGATAAAGGTGTGCACAAATGTTCTTAAACCTTAGTGACTTTTACAGTTTTGACTCTTTTTACGCCAGAAGTTAACTATTGATGGCTGCTTTCCCAGGACCCATTGTCCTATTGGTAGAAGTCTGTTGCAGCATGCTGCTGTAGGTGAAGTTAAATGCTTTTCAGTGTTAGAAATGGAAACTGCTGGCTGGGTGCTGTGGCTCACGCCTGCAATCCCAGCACTTTGGGAGGCCAAGGTAGGTGGATCACATGAGGTCAGGAGTTAGAGATCAGCTTGGCCAACATGGTGAAACCCTATCTCTACTAAAAATACAAAAATTAGCCAGGCATGGTGGCATGCACCTGTAGTCCCAGCTACTCAGGAGGCTGAGGCAGGAGAATCACTTGAACCTGTGAGGCAGAGGTTGCAGTGAGCTGAGATTGTGCCACTGCACTCTAGCCTGGCCGACAGAGTAAGACTCCATCTCAAAAAATAATAATAATAATAAAAAGGCCAAGTGCGGTGGCTCACGCCTGTAATCCCAGCACTTTGGGAGGCCGAGGTGGGTGGATCACCTGAGGTCGGGAGTTCGAGACCAGCCTGACCAACATGGAGAAACCCTGTCTCTACTAAAAATACAAAATTAGCTGGGTGTGGTGGTACATAACTGTAATCCCAGCTACTCAGGGGGCTGAGGCAGGAGAATTGCTTGAACCCGGGAGGCAGAGGTTGTGGTGACCCAAGATCGTGCCATTGCACTCCAGCCTGGGCAACAAGAGTAAAACTCTGTCTCAAAAAAAAAAAAGAAAAAAAAAAAAAGAAATGGAAACTGCTCTTGAATGTTAACAGCTGGTGACATTAGGTAACCAGTCAGGCTTTTCCTTTTATGTCCTGTAATATATTGGTGACCTGATCTGATAAGGTGTGGGATGAACAAGGGTTTGTTTTTAAGTACACCATTTTACCGTCATAATCTTGAGGTTGCTTACACAGATAGGGACTATCATGACCTGATCTCACAGCTTCATTGAAAAGTTTGGGAATGGTGTCAGCCTGTAAGTTTATGTTATAAGCTTAGCTTTAAGTTACTCTTTAAAGCAGTGTATTCAGTCAATATGTAATTTATAAAATTGTGCAATATGAGGATTCTTCATTATATTGATTAGTTTAATCTGAACCTACATGACATCTGACTCTCAAATTTTAGGCCTAGAATTCTGAGCAAAACTTTAGAACAAATCTAAAAGAATATTAAAAATGGTAGAATGTCCACTTCCTAGACATGTAACTTTATTAATATAACCTGTGATCTTATTCACATTTTTGGTTGCCATATTGTCCTTTTGGTTCATATTGGGTTTATTGCTGATTCTTTTCTCCCAGTGTTGCTTGTAAAGCCTCCCTTCCCCACCCCTCCCCTTTCTCCCTCCCTTTCCTCCTCCCCTCCTCCCCTTCCCTCCCTTTCTCCCCCCTCCCCTCCCCCTCCCCTCCCCCCTCCCCTCTCTGCCTCCCTTCCTCCCTCCCCTCCTCCCTTCCCCTCCTCCCTTCCCCTCCCTCTCTCCCTTCCCCTCCATCTCCTCCCCTCCCTTTAGTTTTCTCACCTGTAAACTGAGGCTGAGGCCAGCACTTCCCTTTAAAGCATCATCATGAGGATTAGGATAAAATCTGGCACAAAGAAACTTCTCAATAAATGGCAGCTGCTGATATTGGTTACCCCTGGTGCCTAGCACAGTGCCTGGCATTTGTAGTACCTAAAATTGTGTGTGTGATGGATGAATGGTCTCAAAACGTCCCATCTAGTTAAGGTCTTATGACTGACACACATGAAACAATTAAGGCAGTGCCAGGTTTGTGCCATTCACAGTGACTCTGGTGTGTGGCCATTCAACATCGCAGGAGTTTAGAGAAGACTTCATAGAAGGTGAGTTAGGGGCTGAGCCATCACGATTGGGTAGGTTGGGATTAACAGAGGAAACCAGTACTAATGAGTAGAGGTGGGGTGAAGAGACTCTAATGGAGAAGGATATATACATGGGCAAATAACAGAAAATCAAGTGTGATGGGAGGTATGGGCCTCTCTATACGTCATTGAAAGCCTGGAATGGGTGGGGTGGGTGAAATAGAAGAATGAGGTTTCAAGTTGATTACATTTTCACTGTAGGATGATTTGGGGTTTTGAGAGACCGTAACCAGAAAAGGGGGCCAGGACTAGGGCCAGGGCTAGGCTGGTGGCTGCTGTGGGGCAAGAACGACGGGATTTGAGTGTGCGTGGGGATGAAGAGCAAGCAGGGAGGGAGCCTAGATTCCCTGCTGATACACCAAGGAAAGTCTCTCCCTTGCACTGCCACACCCTGTCCTGCCGTGCCAGCCAAGTGTGAGTGCCCCTCATCTCCTGAGAAATCTGGCGTGGCCTTAGCATTTCATTAGGCAACTTGGTGGGAAGACACACTAGAAAACATGAAAGGTGAGATCTCTTTGATTAAACAAGAATGTTTGGGTACAACTATTTACCACTAAAATACACTTAGCTACTAGGCATCATTCTAAGCAACTTAACAAACTGTGATTTATTTATACCTCTCATTAGAGAAGTGCTGTATGTATTCCCAGTTTACAGATGAGAAAACTGCAACATGGTATCTTGCTATGTTGGTTTCCAAAAGTGGCTGTAACAAAGTACCCTAAAGGGAGTGGCTTAAACCAGAGGTCAGCAGCCTCAGCTCCTTCTGGGGCTGTGAGGAAGAATCAGCCGTGTCTCTCCCCAGCTTCTGGTGGTTTGCTGGCAATCTTTGGTGTTTCTTGGCTTATAGGAGCATCATCCTGATCTCTGCCTCATCTTTGTATAGCGTTTTCCCTGTTTGCATGTTTGTTACCAAATTTCCCCTTTAATAAGGACCTCAGTTGTATGGGAGTAGGGGCCCACCTTATTCTTAACTAATTACAGCTGCAGTCCCCCTATTTCTAAACAAGGTTACATTCTGAGACATTGGGGGTTAGGGCTTCAACATATGGATTTTGGGGGAAACACGATTCAGCCATAACTCTTGTCCAAATCACAAAGCTAAAGTAGGGTGCAGAACTTGCACCTGGGAACTCTGGGTGCGGAGCCAGTGTCCTGCCACTGCTGGTGCACACGGGTGTTTGCTGTCAGGAGAACAAAATATGATGATTCCAGCCGGCCAAGTAAAGGCCTGGACTTGAATTTCAAATTCCTCATTCCAATTTCCAGTGGAAACTGACAGATAGTAATCATGGGTAATCTTTGACCAAAACATGCTTCAGTGACAGGGACGCCTAGGAGCCAGGTACTGGATTAGCTTTCTGAAAGCTTCTGGTGCTAGAGATAAGGAGGGTGGGGAGAGGGGCGGAGAATATGGAAATCAAAGCGGTCAGACTTGTTTTGAGCTGGGTGGGGCCTGGAGAAGAGGCCCAAAGCGCAAATTGGGAACTGAGACTTCAGGTAGGTATGTTTTAAAATAACAAAAAGTACATTTTTTGTTTTAAAATAACAAAGGGTATGATTTAGCCTAGGTTGGCTGTGCTTGTGAAGGTTTGGTGCACAGTTTTCCCCTGGGTGGTGGTTTCTGATGCTGGGTTCAGGTCTTTGGGAGTTGTAGGTGCCTGGTGAATAACTGGAGGGCGGACTGTTTTGTAAGCTCTGGTCAGTGTTCAGTGAGTTAAGTCCAGCAGTCATTGGAGTCTATTGCTGTAGACTCTTGCCTTTTTAGGTGCATTTGGAAAATCCACCTAAGCCCTTTCCCCATGGTGAACAAGTGGCTTTAGGTGGCAAGTGGCAGTCTTGGACACAGTAGGACATGTGGGATACTTGTCCTTGCTCTCCCTGCAGTTCCAGCCCAGTTCCTACACTAGTCATTGTGTTGAATGAATGAGTGACTAAATGTAAAATGGAAATACTGACAGTTTATCGTCAACACCCTGTGGCCCCTCTCTGTTCAGCATTTACCACTTTATCCATGTAATGGACAGAAATAAAAGGTCAGTAGGGTTTTCTGGATGTGTTTCCTTTAGGATGCTCTGCATGCCCTCTTGGCCATGTCTGTGCTGTGTGAAATTAACAAGTATCATTGGAGGCCTTGGCTTGTTACCTACAATCTACCTGTGTGCTTATTTTGTACCCAGACTGTGAAATTATTTTGTATCTATAGCTCATTAGCTCAAGTGGTTGAAGAACCACACTAAAGAGCCACAGTTATGAATTTAGACCTTGTGTAGGCTAATTAACTAGCCTGTGTTCCTTGGGCAGAAAATTACCTAAATTTAGACCCAATTTAACTGACTGGCATCTGTGTCTGTGGTCAAAAAAGAGACTGACTTCTTAAGAGCATTGCAACTCCTTACCAGAAACATAAGAAAAGACAGTCCTTCGGTCCTGGTTTTGATGGGGCAGCTATGTCAACCTCATGTAAAGGACACTATTGAGGACGAAACTCTGATTTTTTTATCTTGCACAAATTCCTATGTAGGGGGTCTGGGGAGTCATGCCCTACAAACCATGAATTCCCATCAGATGGGTTTTATTTAACCCTATATATCATGACTTATTTTCCAACCTGACTCTGGCATAACATTACGAGACAAGGAAGAAAATTAAAATATTTTACCCTAAAATATGTTTATTTGCCATATTTTGAAATGGCCCTGCAAAGCTCCTTCTTTGTGGGGGGAAAATGTGCATCTGTAAAGAATCTCTGTTAACATAGTTACATCTTTTTCTTCCAGACCCTCCCAAATTCTAAAGAGATTAAGATCTGAATAGGAAACATGTGTCATCTGTTCCCTCTAAGGACAGCCACTGTAAGACTTCAAAAGAACTTTGGTCTCCACAATCTTTATCTTAACCTGAATGTTCCCTTTCTACCAATCCCAAGTCTTTAGACAAACTCAACCAATTGTCAACCAGAAAATGTTTAAATTCACCTACAGCCTGGAAGGCTGCTCCCCCGCCCGCCTTACAGTTGTCAAACTGATGTATTTCTTAAATGTATTTGATTGATGTCTCATGCCTCTCTAAAATGTATAAAACCAAGCTGTGCCCTGACCACCCTGGGCATATGTTCTCAGGACCTCCTGAGGGCTGTGCACAGGTCATGGTCACTCATATTTGGCTCAGAATAAATCTCTTCAAACATTTTACAGAATTTGACTCTCCCTTTTTTTTTTTTTTGAGACAGAGTTTTGCTCTTGTTGCCCAGCATGGAGTGCAATGGCATGATCTTGGCTCACTGCAGTCTCCACCTGCCGAGTTCAACTGATTTATCCTGCCTCAGCCTCCCAAGTAGCTGGGATTACAGGTGCCTGCTACCACGCCCGGCTAATTTTTTGTATTTTTAGTAGAGACAGGGTTTCACCATGTTGCCCAGGCTGGTCTTGATCTCCTGGCCTCAAGTGATTCACCGGCCTTGGCCTCCCAAACTGCTGGGATTACAGGCCTGAACCACCACGCCCGCCCAAGAGTTCAACTCTTTTCGTCAACACTATGATTTCATTATTCAGTTCTTACACATTTGTGAGTCATTTATCCATAGTTTGTCAGAAAGACTCTAGACAACCTCCTCCTAGCTAGGGAAGAAATTCTCCAGAATGGTCAACCAACTCTCAAGACAGAAACAAGTCTCAATTCCAGCTTGGCCAACACAGTGAAACCCCGTCTCTACTAAAAATATGAAAAATTAGGCTGGTGTGGTATGCGCTTGTATTCCCATCTATTCAGGAGGTTGAAGCAAGAGAATCGCTTGAACCTGGGAGGTGGAGGTTGCAGTGAACCTAGAACGAGCCCCTCACGCCAGCCTGGGCGATCAAGCAAGACCCTGTCTCAGGCGGGGGGCAAGTGAGCGGGGGAAGAAACAGGTCTCAAATATTTAATCAGGTTAAAAGCAGTGAATGTTCAGTATCCCAGGCTCTGTTACCTTAATCAAGCCCATTATGGACCCCGTTCACATTAGCATCTCACTTCTCTACTACAAACCTGTGCTTTATAAACAATGCTCGGGTTGGCCACTGTTATAATTTTGGACACACTTAAGGAAAGCTATGGCAAGTAAATAGTCTTTTTGTTTTTTTGAGATGGAGTTTTACTCTTGTTGCCAGGCTGGAGTGCAATGGCATAATCTTGGCTCACCATAACCTTCACCTCCCGGGTTCAAGCAATTCTCCTGCCTCAGCCTCCCAAGTAGCTGGGATTACAGGCATGCGCCACCATGCCTGGCTAATTCTATATTTTCAGTAGAGACGGGGTTTCTCCATATTGGTCAGGCTTGTCTCGAACTCCTGACCTCAGGTGGTCCGCCTGCCTCGGCCTCCCAAAGTGGTGGGATTATAGGCGTGAGCCACCATGCCCAGCCATAAATAATCTTTAAAAAGGAATTTATTGTAGTATTATTTATATTAATGAGAAACAAAGTGTAACCCAGATGTTGGGAGTAAACAAATTGTTATATCCACAGAGAGGAAAGTTTTAGAGTCATTAAAAATGTTAAGCTTAAAACTATGCAGCAACTGGGAAAATGCGTATAATAAAATAAGTGGAGAGAAATTCAAGTTACAAAATTGTACATTACATTATAATTACAACATATAAAAAATGCATATGGTATACATCAACACCTCTTCTTAGAAATACTAGGGAAATAAGGATGGGCATAAATATTTAGCTTTAAGGATATTCAGCATAAAAAAGACCTAAAAATTAGAAACCACTTAAGTAAAAATTTGTTGAGTATATTTTGGGTATGTATTCCACAACCATTTAAAATGTTGCAGAAATTCATTAAAGAAAGCTGTTTTATGTATTATTACTAAGAGACAAAAGCAAGTTCTAGACATGCTTGTGATGCTTAAAATGCTTTCAATGTGTTTCTATTTCTTAAAAAACAACTTGGAAGATATAAACAAGGGTGAGAAGTCTCCAAAGACAGATCCAAGTTTTGTGGAGCCTGAGGTTTATATAAAAATCTATGGGAATCCTTCTTTAAAAACATCTTACTTTTGCAAATTTTACAACAACAACAACAGAAAGAATATACTATGTGAGCATATTGGTAGGCCTTGCAAGGGGCCCTGAGGTTTAAGCTTTAGTTGCTTTATGGGAAATTTTCTCCTGGGCTGTAGGTCTGCATTTCGGGGGCATCCAGCACACTGCTTCAGATTCTAGCAGTTACCTTGTAGGCACTCAGCTGATAAAGATACAAGCCTCGTAAATTGCCCTAAAGAACAAGCTCCTTTAATGTGATGGTTCTTTTATTTACCTCAATTGAGTACATCCATCTTTGTTGTAGTTCAGTGTTCTCCGAGTGTGATGCCTGGACCATCAGTATCAGCATACTTGAGGAATTGTTAGAAATGAACATTGTGGGGCTCCACCCCAGAGCTACCTAATCTGAAATTCTGGAAGTGCGGCCCAGTGATCTGTGTTTCAAAAGCACCTTCCCACCTTAGGGGATTCTGATGCAAATTGAAGTTTGAGGTCTAATCCGGCTCAGTCGTTGCCAGCCCTCATTACAATACCAGGAAAGCTTCTTAAACTACTGGTTACTAGCTTCTGCATCCAGAGGCTCTGTGTCCAATGAGAGAGAATGTTAACTCACCATGGCAAGCAAATAATTTACAGATTATGGCACTTTGAATAGAAAGAGGTTTAAATGGATGGCTGTAGAGATGAACACTTCCGTCCGGGTACTTTGTCCTGTTTGTCTTTCCTAAACTCCTCCAGATAGTCAGTATCCTTAATTACTTGACTGAATAGCTGGACAGTGTTTTCTGCACAGGTCCACAATTATTATCACTAAGAGTTAGTTTGGTTGATTAGTTAACCTCAAATTCTGTATACCCTACTTAACTATCTTTAAACCCGCTGACGTTCTGTTTCCTTATCAGCAAAATATAAATTTTAGAAGAGTACATCCCTCTTAGGGATATTGTGAGGATTAAATAAGATAGAAATGCAAAAGATATTATTCACTTCCCCTTTTCCAGATACTCTCTAATTCTGTTCCCAGTTATATACTCCTATCTATCAAATCTTTTTAAAAAATCATTATTTCTTCCATTTCTCCATTCGATAAGCAGAATCTCATGAAGGTTTAAATGATGAAGAAATTGTTACCTTTATTTCCTTATAGGATGACTTCAGTTTTCTTGCCACACTTACATTCCGTAGGAAGTTGGAAAAAGAAATACTCTTTCTGTGAGGATGGGACAAAGATGTTAGCTTTGTGCTATCCACTCTTCTAGTCACTAGCTACATGTGTCTGTCTAGCATGTAAAATATGGCTAGAGCTACTAAGGAACTGAATTTTTCTTTATTTCTTTCTTTTAGAGACAGGGTCTCCCTTTGTTGCCCAGGCTGGACTCGAACTCCTGGGCCCAAGCAATGCTCCCACCTCACCTCCTGAGTAGCTTCGGACTATGGACACATGCCACCATGCCTGGCTAATTTTATTTATTTTCATAAATTTAAATTTAAAAACAGATACTCAATGCAAATATTGGAAAATGCTTAAGTTTGGAACAACTTGGGTATGTGAATTTGTTTTTTCAACTCTAAATCTCCTGAAATCTAAATAGATGTCAAGTATTTGCAATAAAAATGTAGCATGGGAATTGAGATGTACAGTAAGTTTACAGGATTTTTAAAACCTAGTATGAAAAAAAGTAAAATATCCCAATAAGAGTTTTCATGGTGATTTCATGCTGAAATCATCATATTTTGCCTATATTGTTATTTTAAAAATATATTATTAAAATTAATTTCACCAGCTTATTTGTACTTTATAAAATGAGGCTATCAGGAAATATAACATGTGGCATTATATTATATATCTCTTGGATAGCACTATGTTAGATCCTAAAAGAAAACTGAAGTGGAATGATACTGGTTACATACTGCTCTCTTAATTAACATAAACAGATGTGAGCCTTTATACCCAGGAGTCACCAGCCCCCCTGCATTTGCCTTTGTGGACAGATGTGTAACCAGTTTCCTTTTTTCTTTTTATTTTTTTTGTGACAGAGTTTCACTCTTGTTGCCCAGGCTGGAGTGCAATGGTGCGATCTCAGCTCACTGCAACCTCCGCCTCCTGGGTTCAAATGATTCTCCTGCCTCAGCCTCCTGAGTAGCTGGGATTACAGACATGCACCACCACATCCGACTAATTTTGTATTTTTAGTAGAGATGGGGTTTCTCCATGTTGGTCAGGCTGGTCTCGAACTCCTGACCTCAGATGATCTGCCCACCTTGGCCTCCCAAAGTGCTGGGATTACAGGCATGCGCCACCACGCCCAGCCCACTTTCTGTTTTTCTTTAGGTTTATGCAAACATCCCCTGTATTTGCTCTCTGTCCTCTGAAGCTGCTGATTTAACATCACTGATTTTCCGTATGGAGCATCTCAATGAAATGCATTTTTAAATGCTGTGATTTTGGACTTTCTGTGTTTTTTTTCTGTGAAGGTTTTCCTGGCATAGGAATGTAATTGTTCTGCCCTAGTGTTATTCTCTGTCCATAGAAGGGAGTTACCATTCTTGGAACTCAGATTTATAACCACTTTCTTATTTTCGTAATGCCTCCTAATATACTTTTTAAAAGGGACTTAACCTTCATATAATTCAGTTTTCCTTAAAATGTTTAATCACCCACTTTAGCAGCCTTGGCTTTGTGTGACTCATGGAATATGTGTATCATTTTATTTTTAAAACTTACTCATTAAACTGAGGACAATGAAGATTTCTTAAAAGGTAAATATAAATAGAATGTCACTTAAGGATTATTTTCTGCTTTTATATGGTTTTTCCCATATTTTGAGGGTTCTTGCTCAAAATATCTCAGGCTGACTAATGAATTTTAGGCTGATACTTAGACATTCATGTTAACATTTGAAAATGATACTCGAACCCGGAGTTTGGGACTTAATGGAAGAAATGTTTTATTTCGGAACTTTATTACATTGATGTTGGGCCTATTGTGTGATTATACTGTATCACAGGAGATTGCAGGCTTTTTATTCCTGATCTGTATAGTTTATTCTTTGTTGCTGCCTCCTATTACTGCAGGAGGGGTTTTCTCTGCTTGAAACACCAAGTTATCTGGACCATTTTAAGGGCACAGAAATAATACTTGTGCCCTTTTTGTATATGCCTCATGTGACTCCTTGACCTTGAACTTTGTATGATGGATGGCATTTCATGAAAAATAGCCCTTTTCTACCCCAGAAAAGTTTTTCATCTTCCTTAACAAGAGGCAATAACTGAGTCAAGACCATCAAAACTTGCAGCTCTTGCCCTACCCCGCATCAAATTGCAGCATATTGAGAGATGATAAATATGTAAAACATGAAGCCAGAGAGGCAAAGACGTCAGCTCAACATTTTACTGTTACTTTCAGATAGCATCAAAACTTGGCACATGATGTTGTGGACAGAACCGCAGGCTATATTTACTGATCTTGGTTCTGCCAATTACTTGTGTGTGACTCCTGCAAGTCAGTTAGCCTCCCTGGGTTTCCACATGGGTGAAATAAGATGCTCTTGGCTGGGCACGGTGGCTCACGCCTGTAATCCCAGCACTTTGGGATACCAAGGCAGGCAGATCACCTGAGGTCAGGAGTTCGAGACTAGCCTGGCCAACATGGTAAAACCACATCTCTACTAAAAATACAGAAATTAGCCCGACGTGGTGTCAGGTGCCTGTAGTCCCAGCTATTTGGGAGGCTGAGGCAGGAGAATCTCTTGAACCTGGGAGGCGGGAGGTTGCAGTGAGCCAAGATCACGCTACTGCACTCCAGCCTGGCGACAGAGCGAGACTCCGTCTCAAAAAAAATGCTCTCAAAAGTCTCATTAAGCTTTAAAATTCTGTATTTCCTGTTCAGGTCTCTTTCCAAGTCCCTCTGCTCCTCATCCATCTTTGTGTCCACTGATAATTGCTTCTGTAAGAGAGTACAAAAGCAGTTCATTTATTTTTACTGGAGTTGTGCAAAGTCCCCCAGGCATCTGGGGGAAAAAAACCACACATCTTAATTGAAGTGTATTCAAGTCTCCCCAGTACCTCGTCAAAATTTATCATCTTCTACTCTTCTATGACATTTCTTGTAATCTCTACTAATTGAGAACAAACAACAGGGAATCTGGTCCTACTGTAAGTTATGATTATAATAACCTTTCCTTGAAATAGACAGTTATTTTTTCACATTTCCTTAAGCACATGGCAGAGCTGTAGACAGGAAATCCTCAAGCCTCTGACCCTCTCTCCAAGGGGAAAATCAAAGCTTTGAAAAAATGGCAGAAGAAGAAAGAGAGGGAATGTTGATACAGGGGCGGGAAAAGAGAAAGAAAGGAAGGAAGTGAAAGTCTATGTCTTTATGTGTCTACTGTATTTATGAGTTTGCTTTGTTTCTAAAGTGGAGTAAGGAAAGGTTATCATGTCAAGAAACTAGATCGTATGAAAGCTAAGCTGCTCCTGAGTGTTATCTAAATATAAAGATATAATTTAATATACTCTTTAGAACCACATTTGAAATAATAAAACCTAAGTATAAGGGAACTTTGGGTTTTTGTTTTTTTTTTTTGAGACCGAGTTTCACTCTTGTTGCCCAGGCTGGGGTGCAATGGCGCGATCTCGGCTCACTGCAACCTCTGCCTCCCGCGTTCAAGCGATTCTCCTGCCGTAGCCTCCCGAGTAGCTGGGATTACAGGCATGCGCCACCTCGCCCGGCTAATTTTCTATTTTTAGTAGAGACAGGGTTTCTCCACGTTGGTCAGGCTGGTCTCAAACTCCCGATCTCAGGTGATCCGCCCGCCCCAGCCTCCCAAAGTGCTGGGATTACAGGCGTGAGCCACCGCACCTGGCCAAAGGAACATATTTTTAAGAAGTCTGCAGAGTTCTGACAGTATAATCATGTCAGCAGTTAAAAAATTGTCAACTAATTAGCCTGCGTCTTTTGTGAAAACAACAAAAAAAAATTTTTAGCTTAAATTTATTTAAAACATATTCCATAGGTTGTGGGTATCTTTGCATTTATATATTTGGATGTTTTGCCAAGTTATAACAGTGAAAATAAAATGTCAGTAGTTAAAAAACCGTGATAAAATTTAAAACCATGGGGGTAATTGATTATAAAAGACCATTATGCCACAGATAAAATAAGTTGCCTGAGAGCCTGCCTGGAGCCATTAGTTAAAACATTGCCAATCTAATAATGATAGAACTGGGCAGCCATGGTGGCTGATGCCTGTAATCCCATATCTTTGGGAGGCTAAAGTGGGAGGATCGTTTGAGGCCAGGAGTTTGAAACCAGTCTGGGCAACATAGCAAGACCCTATCTCTATAAAAACTTTAGAAGATAACTGGGCATGGTGGTACATGCCTATTGTGCTAGCTAGGCGGGAGGAATGCTTGAGCCCAGGAATTTGAGGTTACAGTAAGCTATGATCATGCTTCTGCTCTCCAGCCTAGGCAACAAAGTGAGACCCTATCTCAAAAAAAAAAAAAAAAAAAAAATTCATTCAGAAATTCAGTTTCTAATGCCAGGCTTGCCTGTAATCCCAGCAATTTGGGAGGCCAAGGTGGGCAGATCACCTGAGGCCAGGAGTTTGAGACCAGTCTGGCCAACTTGGCGAAACCCCGTCTCTACTAAAAATAAAAAAATTAGCTGGGCATGGTGGCATGTGCCTATAGTCCCAGCTACTTGGGAGGCTGAGGCAGGAGAATCGCTTGAACCTGGACGACGGAGGTTGCAGTGAGCTGAGATCATGCCACTGCACTCCAGCCTGGGCCACAGAGCAAGACTGGTCTCCAATTAAAAAAAAGAAAATCAGTTTTTAAAGTAAACTTTCAAAAGTCTGTAGCTACTTTGTGTCAATTCTGCACAAGATGGGTTTTCCTAGTATTGGAATTTTGGAGGGTCTGCCCCTCTCTGTTGACATTTGGAAAAAAACAAATCTTCATTCATATAATCTCAGACAGTTCTTAACCCCACTGCACATTAACATTACCTGGGGAGCTTAAAAACAAAAGTTATTCCTGTTCTTCACCCAACTCCCATACAACTGAATACAATTTTCTGGAGAGGAGCTGGGTTGGGTATTACTTAGGCTCTTTGGAAGATTTTCCTGAGCAGAAAATGTTTAGAAGCACTGATCTAGGATAATAAGCAATCATCTAGGAGGGAAGCCGTGTAGATATTTTGTTTTGATCTCAGAGGCATAAGAATGAATTAACCACTCCTCATTCCCCCAGAGATAATGTGTGGAAAAACTTGTTTTCAAACCATCCCGAAGAAAAGCAAATGTGATTTAAGGCCAGATTGTTTCCAAGTGGCCTTTTGCAGTTCCTTTGTTCTGCATTCAGACTGAGTTGTGCGTGGAAATAGTTTAGGTATTAGTCCATGAACATGGAATTTGACCTTGGTAAGGAAATACATCCTCCGCTTTCCTCACTAACCAATTGTATTCATTTGTTAGGGCTGCTGGAATAAAGTGCCACAGATGGGCGGCTTAGAACAACTGAAGTATACCTTCTTGGGTCTGGAGGCGAGAAGTCTGTGTAGCAGGGCCATCCTGCCTCTGAAGTCTCTGTAAGGAAGAGTCCTTCCTTGCTTATTCCTAGCTTCTGGTTTTGCTGGCAGTTGTTGGAATTCCTTGGCTTGTAGGTGCATTATTCTAGTCCTCTGTCCTTACATGGTCATCTTCTCCCTCTGTATGTATCCGTCTTGGTGTCTAAATGTTCCCCTTTATAAGAACAGTAATTTCTTGTAGTGAGACTGGCTTGTTCCCTTCCCATGGCATAGGCTCTCTGTCAGATATTACCTCAGTATGTGAAAGAACTTGCATGCCTCTTGCTTCTCAAGGCTGGATTGGACTGACTCTAGGGCCCTTAGCCTCAGGCATTTGCTGAGGGGCCACTAAGTGGGTGGAAGATTAGATTTTAGTGTTTCCAAACTTTGTTGATGATGAGAATCACATAAGTTGCTTGTTAAGAACAGGGATTCCCAGGTCCTCTCCTTGAAGATTCTGGTTCAGTAGGTCTGGGTAGAACCAGGGAGCTGCATTTCAGTGAGGATCTCCCTGCACCATCCCTCCACCACCCAGCTCTTGCAGGTGATTCTTATCAATGAGTGAGCTTCAGAAACATTGGACTAAGTGACTTCTGCTCAGCATGCCAAGACTGTAAAGTTTCTGACATGTGTTCTTCCAGCAGAAGAGATTTCTAGTAGACTATTCAATATCTTTCCTCTCCTTTCTTAGTAAAAGAACCTTATCTTTTATTTGGGATGCAGTGAATTCAGTTAAAAGAGTTTCCTAGCCTTCTTTGAACTACGTTTGACTGACTAGGTTTGACCTGGTCAAAGAGAAGTGATGGGGGGTGCTATGGACTGAATGTTTGTGTCCCCTCAAAATTACTCTGTTGAAATCCTAATGCCCAAGGTGACTGGTATTTAGAGATGAGGCCTTTGGGAAGTGATTAGGTCATAGGTTTCATGCGCGTCCGTGTGAAGAGACAACCAAACAGGCTTTATGTGAGCAACATGGCTATTTATTTCACCTGGGTGCAGGCGGGTTGAGTCCGAAAAGAGACTCAGCAAAGGGTGGTGGATTTTCATTAGTTCTTATAGGTTTTGGGATAGGCAGTGAAGTTAAGAGCAATGTTTTGCCGGCAGGGGGTGGATCTCACAAAGTACATTCTCAAGGGTGGGGAGAATTACAGAGAACCTTCTTAAGGGTGGGGGAAATTATAAAGAACATTCTTAAGGGTGGCAGAGATTACAAAGTACATTGATCAGTGAGGGTGGGGCAGAAACAAATCACAATGGTGGAATGTCATCAGTTAAGGTTATTTTTACTTCTTTTGTGGATCTTCAGTTACTTCAGGCCATCTGGATGTATATGTGCAAGTCACAGGGGATGCGATGGCTTGGCCTGGGCTCAGAGGCCTGACAACAGGGATGGAACCCTCATGAATGAGATTATTGCCCTTATTAAAAAGGCCCCAGAGAGCTACTTCATCCCTTCTGCCATATGAGGACACAGCAAGAAGACAGCTGTCTATGAACCAGGAATCAGGCTTTCACCAGACACCGACTCTGACGTGATCTTGGACTTCCCAGCCTCCAGAAGTGTCAGAAATAAATGTCTATTGTTTAAGCCACCCAGTCTGCAGTATTCTGTTACAGCAGCCTGAACTGAGGTAAAACAGGTGGAAGGCCCTGTCAAAGCATCCTTGTATGCTGCTGAAAGTTACACCGCCTCTTTTCCTTATTCTATTTTTTTTCCTTTTATTCTATTTTTTTTATTCTATCTGAGATGAGGAATTGATGGTTAGCATGCTTGCTGCCGTCTTGAACCTTGGGGTGATCTTGTTAAGTCAGTGGAACCTATAGATTGAGGGAGCCCCAATTTCAAATTTCCTTAGGGCTATCATGCCAGCTCTGGGCTGACTCCTCTAAGCCTCTCTTTATTTGTGTAGACTTATCTCTAGTTAAAACCACTTTATATGGGGTTTCCTTTTATATACAGTAGAACCTAATCTTTATTGATATATCCCCAAATTTGGAACTTTATGAGTTTCGTTTAAGTTATAAACATCACTAATCAAATCACCTAAATTCTGTCTTCAAGGTACATTTCCTGAGCCTAAAACTTGCCTTTCTTTCCTTAAGAGGAAAAGGAACAATTTGGAGTTTATATTTAAAAACTCTCTGAGTTCCAAGATGATTGGAACAAGTCTCAATGGGAGGAACAGGTCAAGTCACATTGTACCTTTAGTGTCTCCTGGTGACAATGAAAGGGAGCTTTCAGTTGACACGTGCATGAAGGAAGGAAGGAGTGCTGGGTGAGAAGCAGCATAGGACTAGAGGAAAGCAAGAGAGTGATTGCTTTTCGTTATACTTTCCTACTTTTCAAGTCTGTTTATTGAGGGAATTCAGTTGTAATGATGTGTTGAAAGTGCTTTTTAAATGATAAAATGCCTTATGTATGTTATTTACTGAGCACTGAGTTATATATAAGGATGTTCAGATACACTACGACAGTTTTTCCAAGTGACAACTGCTAGATATTAACAGGTGTCATAAGCAAGAAAAGTTTGTGACAAACGGGTTTGGGAAATGTCATGTCAGGTCTCTTTATTACAGGACTTCTCAGTGCCTTTAACGTATTAATGTACATTGTGAGTATCAAAGAAAAAGGAAGGTTGTGGGGAAGGGGATATGCCATGCGGTATTATTTTTTAATATTAAAAATATGGGTGTCTTGAAGAATAGAACAACCTTGGAGAAAGGCAGCTTTAGGAAGAATTATGTAAAGATGTAAGAATACATATTTAGTACCTACTAGATGCAAGGTTCCAGAGCATACATAAAATGAGACACATTGTCCTTGAATTCTGAAAACAAACACTTTTTATGGGTTGGTGGGGCGCAAAACATTTACATGTGGAAGAATAATATTTAGGATAGAATCTAAGTGCCACTTGTACCCAACATTGTACCCAATAGGTAACTTTTCAACCTTCATTCAGTCCCTGTCTTCTGAGAGCTTATGATGTAGGGCTGGTGAGGATGGTGGATAAGGATGAGGCCAAGGATAACATGGAGTGGGATTAGAGAACACAGGCAGTGGTGAAGAGGTTCAAAGAAGACAATTGTCACACCCAAGAGAGGGATTACGGAGGGGAAGGAGAGACTCACTAAAGGGAGGATCTCACAAGATAGGCAGAATTTCAAGAGAGATGGGATTGAGGTCATTTTGTGGGCTGAAGCTATCCTCCTACTTCAGCCTCCTGAGTAGCCGGTCTTGAACTTCTGGACTCAACAGTACTTTCTAATACTGGAGTTATTAGAAAAAAAAACAAACCCAAAACTTAAAAAGGAAGACCCTTATCCTTCACTGAGGATCTGTTTCTTTTTTAAAAAAATTTTAAACATTGTTTTATAAAGATAATGTCTCACTGTGTTACTCAAGCTGGTCTTGAACTCTTGGTCTCAATTGACCTTCCTTCCTCTTGACTCCCAAAGTATTGGGATTACAGGCGTGAGCCGCCGTACTTGGCTGAGGAGCTTTTTAATGGGAAATTCTTAGATGGCTTCATTGTCTATGGGTGTAATTTCCTGAGACAGTCCTACTATCCTGGTCTTTATTGCTGTATTTGAATTTCTTTTCTTTTCCTTTTTTTTGAGATGGAGTCTCGCTCTGTCACCCAGGCTGGAGTGCAATGGCACAATCTTGGCTCATTGCAACCTCTGCCTCCCGGTTTCAAACGATTCTCCTGCCTCAGCCTCTGAGTAGCTGGGATTACAGGCATGTGCCACCACGCCTGGCTAATTTTGTATTTTTAGTAGAGACAGGGTTTCACCATATTGGCCAGGCTGGTCTCGAACTCCTGACCTCATGATCTGCCCGCCTCGGCCTCCCAAAGTGATGGGATTTCAGGCGTGAGCCACCTCGCCCGGCCTTTGAATTTATTTTCTTTTGAGTAATAGGTACAGTTCTACTGTTCTACATGAAGAATGAGTTTACATTCTTCACATAAATTTCTAAGTGTCAACTTATAAAAGCTCTATTACCATATTTCTAATTTTTTTCTGTTCATTAATGTCATTTTAGACTTCTGTTTGATGGTTTCTGTTCCTCAACTCATTGTTCTCAGAATAGCCTTTGAAAGTCACATTAAACACAGATGAGATGTGCAAAATAACTTCAAATTTTTAGAGAAGAAACCACATAAAGGTGGCGTTGGGTTATCTGGGACAGGGATACGGAGGGAAGCAAAACTAAGTATATGTGCCTTCTAGTGGGCATTCCAGCAAAGAAGCCAGATTGATTTTCTATTTGATTTCTTCTGAGTGGTTTCACTCCTTGCTGGAGTCAATGTCATATGATCTTGATCATTTGCCAATATAAGTAAGAAATCTAAGTGTAATTATTGGACAGGAAGGGAAGCAAGAACTCTTCAGCTTTAAAATCCAATGGCATATAATAATAATTAACCCTGTTTTGTGGAATAAAATATCAGCAGGAATATTTAACATGAAGCATACTGTTTCCCAATACCTTCGTTGCATTGTCAAAAAGTTTTAGCCCCAGGATTCTGTTTTTTATTTACTGTTTCTGTCCACCTCTCTGCTAAGGAACTTGTTGGTCTGCTGATTCTATTAAGATTAGCATTGCAGTAGCCCAACCTTGAAAACAGCTATGCTGGAAGGATCAATGACTCTAGCCATCAAAGTGGACAAGGGAAGGGAACCTCACTTGCAGTTCCTCGGTCTACCTGCCCACCTCAGCTTCAGGGCCTTTTGATATGGTGGGCTAGAGGAGGTCCAAATGCTGGTGGGATCTCAACCTCACCTGGTGTCCAGGTGCTTGACACCATCCCAAGAAGGAATTCATGAGTCAGAAAATTGTAGAAGTATGGAGATTTATTGCAAAGGGAAAAGTACACCCTCAAGGGGCAAGGGGAGCGTGGGCATACTCAGGAGAGTTGTGCGTGTGAGGGGGTTTGGGGCTGCTACCTTTATGGGCTTCATTCACCAAGGTGGGGAATATTCATGAAAATTCCTGGAAGGTGGTGGAGATTTCTTGGAACTGTGGTGTCACCGTTTTTATACCAAATGTGGGTGTTCCTGAAACTATCATGGCACTCGTGGGGGAGTTGATTAAGTATGCTAATGAGTGCATAATGAGGTTCTAAGAGGAACCTAGGTCAGATCCAGCATCATTTTGGGTCCAGTTGGTCTTAGCCAGCTTGGTCCACGCCCCAGTATTTCAGGGTCTTATCAGTCCCTAGCTTCTGCAGGTAATTTCAACAGTTTCTTTTTACTAGTCATGTGAAACTCCTGCCTGGAATTTTCTGTTCTCCTGAACCACTCTGTATTATTCCTGTCTCGCTTTGACTTGGTGTTCCCTGCCCCAAAAGGCTCTTTGCCTGGTCTCTGCACAGTTGCTACCTAAAAAGTCTTTTCCTGACACCTCCCACCCCTCGAGTAAAATCACACATTCTTCTGGCTTCCTATTCTTTCATTTTAACTTTTTAAATACTTCTCACCCTTCATGTGTTACCTGTTTGTTCATGATGTATTTGTTTGTGAACTGTCTTCTCCCTAGAGCAGTACCCTATCAGGACTTAGGCTCTGGGGATTTCACTGCTCATTCTCCAGCCTGGCACATAAGAGGTGGTCAGTAAAACTGTCGAATGAATGAGTGAATGAGTGAATCACAGTTAACCTCAGTTATAAAGATGTAATCATCAGTCTTCCCAAAATTCTTACAATACTGGACACTTTAAAGGAAATGAGGCTTTTTTAAAAAAAGAAAAAGCATTTCCTGGCAGGAATTTATGTATTTGTATGCAATATGTGGGTAGTTACAGTACAGTGCAAGAAAAACAACCATATTTCCTGTCCTCTAGGAATTTGAAATCTGTAAAGAACTCTAACATTGGAAATGCCTGATAACATACATCTGCAGTTATTTGTGGCAAAAGACAAGGCAAATAGGCAAATATTCGGTATTATAAAAAATGCACAGATTTCAAAGGACAAGTATAGGTGGATTTACATGCCTACATCTTTTGAGGTGAGTGGAAATTTGTACATGATAATCTAGGTGAGGCTGAGGCTCCCTGGCTGTGACAGTTCCCTTTGGGCTATTCCCCTGTACCTCCTGGGTCAGCTGATCTGCCTCCATCCAGAAAAGATGCTGAGGAAAGTCAGGAGTGGTCAGTAGCTTTTGTCATGTGGGTAGCTAATTACAAGTTTTGGGTTAATTTTTTTTTTTTTTAATTGAGACAGAGTCTCGCTTTTGTTGCCCAGGCTGGAGTGCAGTGGTGCAATCTCGGCTCACTGAAACCTCCACCTCCTGGGTTCAAGTGATTCTCCTGCCACGGCCTCCCAAGTAGCTGAGCCTACAGGTGCGTGCCACCATGCCTGGTTAATTTTTGTATTTTTAGTAGAGACAGGGTTTCGCCATGTTGGTCAGGTTGGTCTTGAACTTATGACCTCAAGCGATTCACCCACCTCAGCCTCCCAAAGTGTTGGGATTACAGGTGTGAGCCACTGCGCCCGGTCAAGTTTTGGGTTAATTTCTCAAAATGTCTTCTCTCGCACGTTTCTTATCTTTTCACTCTTTTCTCCTGCTTTCTAGGTCTTTCTTCTTTGAGAGGAAAGGGAGAGACCCTGGTTAGGCCAGAAATCCATGGAGAAGAGTTTTCTTCCTCTTCTGCCTTCCACTGTGGTTGGTAGATTTTCAAGATTTTAGTGGAGATTGATGGAGGATCCTGCAGGCTGCAGCCTCATCCCCCTCACAATGTATTTTTTGTAATAGGTGAAATGCTGCTTCTTTATTATGGTCAGGAGAAATGTTCTCTCACTGCTGGTGGCCAGTATATAAATCTTAACTTGTATGTTTATATATTCAGCATTATGTATGTGTATGTGCGCATGTGTGTGTGTTTGTGTGTAATGGATTTTAGTTGTGCATTTAGTAGGATAAAACACATGCATTTCTTTCATTTATGACTTATACTGTGACTAATTGTGGTTCATTTTAAGACTATTTATTTTAAAGAGTTACCGCAAAAAAGTCTTTGAATTGTTGGCATGCTAAAGTTAATGATAATAAGAATCAAGATTTTGAAAAGCACACTTCTTAATTTCTTCTTTCCTCATTTAACCAGAGCTGAACAGCTTACAAGTAGAAATCATGGGTTTTGGTATATAGAAATATAGGCTTAAAAATATGGATGCAATTTTAATACAATGCAGTTTTATGAGGCGGAATATCTTAGTTGTTTGACCCTAACCGACTTCATTAGGATGTTGTAATTCCCCTCCTTTAACTTGCCCATTTTGGGCGGGGGGGAATCCTTGTGGAATGCAGTGATTCAAGAGCTTAAGGACAGCAAGAGAGCAGGGGTAGGGATGGTTACAAGGTAAGACGTGTAGTCCCTGAGCAAGGCCTCCTTAAGGATGTGAATTCTGATTACTGCAACTGAAGAAGACAGATGTGGGAAGAGAGTGCAAATCCCAGTCACCCCACCCATGCCCGTCTTTTGCTGGCTGAGGGGTGGCTCTGTGTCTTTTGCTCCACATCCCCTGTGAATGTGAGGGCAAAGAACTCTGCTGAAGTTGTTGGTCTTTTGTCAGAAGAAGGCTTTAAGTACTGGCATTCTTTCCTCATGAGCACAGATCCGGCTCCTGTTTCTCAGGGAGGGCAGTGAACTTGCTCTACATTCCTCATGGGTAATGAAGTTGTTCCCAAGCCTGTCACCACCACATCCTTCCAACCCTGCTCTTAAGCTTCTTTTTCAGAGGGAAGCAGAATGTTTACTCAGTAGGACATCCTAAAGGACAGAGGCAAGGCAAGGAGAGGATGGAGAAAAGCTCATTCTCTTTTGACCACAATCACTGTCACTGGCTGCAGGGTGTGGAAAATGGGAAGGCACAGTATATCATCATTTCCTCAGGACGGAATGCTGGCCAGTGCCCGATGGGAACAACAGCTAGCAAATTAGTGAATTGTGGCTGCCCATTATTTAAGAGAGAACACGTGGTAACCACCTTCAGTAAATAAATGCAGATGAATTTGGTGATTTACAACTCTTGTGTTTTCTTGTGGTAACACAGTTGTCCAACTGATCAGGCATGAATGTTAATTTACACACCATAAGGTACGTGGTTAGTGGTTCTCAACATTTTTAAACATGAGAAACCTGTTCTAACATACACAGAGTTCACAGATCTTTAAGAACTTTTAGCTGTTCTGTTATCTGTTGGTTGAGAAGACACATAATGGTGAGATCAAAATGTATTAAGTGGATTTGAATTACAATTATCATGGAACTTACTATATTTGAAAACTGTGTGTATGTAGCATATTACACACAATGGTGCTCAGGGATTCAGGATCTTTTCTCGTCCCCACCAAACTGAGGACCCTCCTCTGCCCTCCCCCGTTCTCAGTTCAGGGCCAAAGCCCCCAGGTTGGGATCTACTGGGAGAATCAAAAGATTGTGAATTTTGGGTCAGGCAGAGAGGGGATCAAATTTCAACTCTACCACATCCTGTATGATCTTGGGTAAGTTACTAAACCTTGCTGTGCCCCAGCTTCCTCGTCTTTAAAATGGAGATCAGTTCCTATGAAGACTTAACCTCCTAGGGGTTTTGGAGGAATTGAAGTTTTGTTGTACCATGAATAGTGCCTGCGCAGGAAAGGTGGCACTTAAAATTTTTTCCCCACTTCTTGCCTACTCTCCCCACCTCCAGGACAGATTCAAGACCAGTAATGCACAAGATGAAAATCAATAAGTTAATTCTTTCTGCCTCTGAGCATTCATTTAGCCGGTACTGTATGTTCTAGTTAGTAGAGCTATTTGACAAATGACTACTACTTTTAGTGGCGTAAAACAAATCTTTATTACACTCACCAATTCTCTGGACAGGGTACAACAGGGACAGCTCGTCTCTGATCCGTGTTGTGGAACTTCAGCTGGGCAGACTGAAAGGATGGGGGCTAATTACCTGGTGGCTCATTCCCTCAGCATCTGACGGATAATGCTGGCTGTCACCTAAGACCTTAACTGAGGCTTTTGGCCAGAACGCTGGTGCCCCATTGGCCCTGGCTTTCTCACAGCATGGTGGCTGGGTTCCAAAAGGAAACATCCTGAGAGAGCTAAACGGAAACCTCATCCATCCCCTGTCATGGTCTAGCCTTGGAAATCATACAGCATCGCTTCTGCCACCTTCCATCCATTGAGATTGTCACAACATCCCGCTCATATTCAAAGGGAGGAGAAATAGATTATGCCTCTTGATGCAAGGTGGTTCTGGAGAGTATATGGGAACAGAAATCTTACCGCACCCTTTGTGGAAAATCTCTGCCACGGTATGTGAGCAGTTTGTAAATTTATAGAAAGGGACTCCTTGAATGTCCTTGCACTGCTCTTCCCTGAGTTACCGTGGTTGCACGCTGGACTAAAAGCTAAGACCTTAACACAAAGACCTGAAATATAGTATCTGAACTCTGTCCCAGGGCACGTGTCACCTTCTAGCTTTGAACTGGAGCCTGGGTTTTCATCTAAAAGCTGGCTTTTAGATGTCTGGTCAATGGCATGTCAGTAACTGAACTCTGCGCTATATGCTAGGTGGTAATATCAAGGTGTAAGACGCACCAGCGAAGCCAAGGGCTGACTTTCTTTCCAATTCAAAGATATTTTTTGTGGTAACTCTTTAAAATAAAGTCTTAAAATCAGCCCTAACCTGATTTTATTTCTGGACAAGAGCCATATTACCTGTACCCCACTTTGTCTCCATTACTAAAAGTTCACCAATTACATTGTCTTCCTAAGATTTAAAAAAAAATTTAAATAATTATAGAAAAAGTTGTAGTGTTTGGAAAGCTACCTTAGAAGGAGAAGAATTGGCCTCTAGTTAGGAATGAGAATTCTTCCTTATGATATTATGACAGTTACTTTCCCCAGTAAATATTTATTTCTTCTCAGAGCTTATTTGCAAGTGAGATATACTTAAAGCTAAACAAACGATTAGCTCACAAAGTGTTAAACCAAAAAGAAGTTTCGCAGAAAAAGAATGGACACATAATTTTAAAAATGTATATGTATCATATAGTTTGATTATGTGTAAACCAAAAATTTAAGGGAGGATGATGGGTTGTTTATCATTTATATGGAGTCAAGTTAGTCTATAAAATGTTCAATCGCTTCCAGACTCTGAAAGTCATTCTATGACCCTGTCTCAGATTTTTTTTTTTTTTTTTTTTTTTTTTTGAGATGGAGTCTCGCTCTGTCGCCCAGGCTGGAGTGCAGTGGCGCAATCTCGGCTCACTGGAAGCTCCACCTCCCGGGTTCATGCCATTCTCCTGCCTCAGCCTCCCGAGTAGCTGGGACTATAGGCGCCCGCCACCACGCCCAGCTAATTTTTTGTATTTTTAGTAGAGATGGGGTTTCACCGTGTTAGCCAGGGTGGTCTCGATCTCCTGACTTTGTGATCTGCCCACCTCGGCCTCCCAAAGTGCTGGGATTACAGGCGTGAGCCACCGCGCCCGGCAGATTTTTTTTTCTACTTGACTAATAAAAGTAATAGCGCTTTCATGAGGTCTCACTGGGCTGTTTGGAGTATGTGAGGGATAACAGAGGTGAAAAGTTTTTGGAAATCTGCATGTGCTATTCACATGTAAAGTTCTGGCTTTTATTTTTTACTTTTTTTACTTATTAGAGCTAGTTCTCACTATGTTGCCCAGGCTGGCCACAAACTCCTGGGCTCAAGTAATCCTCCGCGCTCAGCCTCCGGAGTAGCTGGAATTACAGGAGTGCACTGTAATTTTTGTTGTTGTTGCTATTATTAGTCAGAGGTGGGACTCCATGACAGCCCACAGAGAGGGGAGGAACAAAGACCTGCCTTCCCACATGGGTTCTCTTCCCCTATTTCTTATATTTCCCCTTCTTCCTTCTCCTCTCTTAAGTCTCTTTCTTCCCATTGCCTTTTTTTCCTTCCCTGTCTTCTGTAAGGTCTTCGGCCTCCCGTTGTTGTCCATAGATATTGCTTCTGGTATCTGGACTCTGAATGCCTTGTGATCAAAACTATGTTGTTTATATAGATATGTGTGTGTATGTATGTAGATGTAGATGTGTATATATATATATATATATATATATATATATATAGATGTGTATGTATGTATATTGTATACATACATATAAAATATGTACATATATTTATGTACATAAATATGTAGATATGTAAAATATGTACATATGTTAAAAATAATACAAGGATCTCACATCATGCCTAGTCCAGAGCTCAAGAGGGATGTAGCAACTAAATGTATTATGACCATCTAGATTGCAGGGAAAATCATTAGCCAGGCTCAAAAAAGTAAACCTCTGCTGCTTTCTAGATTGAGCAATACACAAGATATTGTTCATGTGGCAAATCAATGCCAGCAATTCCGTGTCTGCCTTTATGGCTTGGACTTAGGGCTTTTATTTTAAATGATTTCTTATTTTCTCTGCCAACTGGTCTCTAAATATAAGTTCGTGTTTTTCTTGAACGGACACTTTTTTTTTTGAGGTGGAGCCTTGCCCTGTCACCCAGGCTGGAATGCAGTGATGGAATCTATGCTCACTGCAGCCTCTGCTTCCTGGGTTCAAGCGGTTCTCCTGACTCAGCCTCCCAAGTAGCTGGGCTTACAGGTGCGTGCCACCACGCCCAGCTGTTTTGTAGTTTTAGTAGAGCCAGGGTTTCACCATGTTGGCCAGGCTGGTCTTGAACTCCTGACCTCAGGTAATCCACCCACCTCGGCCTCCCAGAGTGCTGGGATTATTACAGGCGTGAGCCACTGTGCCTGGCCTTGGCTGGACACTTTTAACTGCTCTAGAAGAGAGCTGTTCTTTTGGTGTCTCGCCCTGAAAGTGAGTTTTATGTATGCCATGTAGTCTATATGTAGATCTTTTCAGATAGACCCTTTGTTATGAGCTGAGTTGTGGCCCCGCCCACCCCCAAAGTGATATGTTGAAATCCAAACCCCCAGTTCCTCAGACTGTCACTGTATTTGGACATAAAGTTAACATGAGGCCTTTAGGGTGGGCCCTAATCTAGTATGACTAGTATCCTTATACAAGGAGAAAATTTGGACTCATGAAGAGACACACACAAGGGATGTACATGCACAGAGAAAAGTCCATGTGGTGACACAGTGAGCAGCTGTCTGCAAGCCAAGGCAAGAGGTCCCAGGAGACATCAGCCTGCTGGGTGACACTTTGATCTTGGATTTCCAGCCTCCAGTCTGTGGGATTTTGTAATGGCAGCTCTAGAAGACTAACATCCCCTCCGGTTTTAGTGAAAATTTGTAAAGCATTGTTGTGTGATGTGGTGACAAGCAGAGAAATACAAACTTAATCTCTGCCAGGCGTGATGGCTCATGCCTGTAATCCCAGCACTTTGGGAGGCTGAGGCGGGCAGATCATTGGAGGTCAGGAGTTCGGTACCAGCCTGGCCAGCATGGTGAAACCCCGTCTCTACTAAAAATTCAAAAATTAGCTGGGTGTGGTGTTGTGCTCTTGTAATTCCAGCTACTTGGGGGGCTGAGGCAGGAGAATCACTTGAACCAGGGAGGTGGAGGTTGCAGTGAGCCAAGATTGCGCCACTTTGGGAATCCCAGCACTTTGGGAGGCTGAGGTGGGCAGATCACTGGAGGTCAGGAATTTGAGACCAGCCTGACCAACATGGTGAAACCCCGTTTCTACTAAAAATACAAAAATGTATAAATAAATTAAAAAAAATACAAAAATTAGCCAGGCATGGTGGTATGCACTTATAATTGCAGCTACTCAGGAGGCTGAGGCAGGAGAATCGCTTGAAACTGGGAGGCAGAGGTTGCAGTGAGCCAAGATTGCACCACTGCACTCCAGCCTGGGCGACAGAGTGAGACCCTGTCTCAAAAAAAAAAAAAAAAAAACCCACTTCATCTTATTTTATGGATCCACTGTGGAGTGATGGTGAGGGTATATATTAGAGTTCTCCAGAGAAACACAACCAATAGGATGTTTATCTATATACCTATATATAGATGTGTATATAGGATGTTTATTTATCTATAGAGAGAAAAAAAAAGGAGATTGATTGATTCTAAGGAATTGGCTCATGTGATTGTGGGCTGGCAGAATCGGAATCTGTAGGGCAGCCTGACAGGCTGGAGACTTCAAAGAAGAGTTGGTATTTCAAGTCAAAATGCAGTTTGGAGACAGAATACCTTTTTTGTGTGAGATCTAAGTCTTTTGGTCTTCAACTATTCGGATGAAGCCCACGTACATTATGGAAGGTGCTCCTCTTTACTCAAAGTTTACCGATTTAAGTGTTAATCATATCTAAAAAGTACATTCACAGCAATATCTAGACTGGTGTTTGACCAAATAACTGCACCGTAGTTTAGCCACCTTGACACATAACATTAACCGTCGCATAGTGGAGATGAGGAAGTGGTAGTCTGGGCCTACGTTATATAAGAATAGTGAAATTTCACCTGATTTAAGGAAAGCTAAATGTTAAATGTTAACAATGTGTTTTTACATGTATAACATCACTTAATTATTTGAATCAACCTTTTGTTTTAATACATGAGTGAGTTGACCATATATTTAGTTTTAATATACTCATCACCCATAAATTTCTGTTGATGATATAAGCATTACGTGTGATATAGGCTGTGGACTGGTATTTACATATGCTTCAAAATTTCAATACTCATGCTAGGAAATTGCTTGGTCTATGCTTTTTTGCCTTGGTGTGACTTTTTGCCTTAAGTATTATTATTATCTTTATTATGGCATAAAGCAGTATTTTATACACTAACTCCTTTTATTTATTTATTTTTGAGACGGAGTTTTCACTCTGTTGCCCAGGCTGGAGTGCGGTGGCGCAATCTCGGCTCACTGCAAACTCTGCCTCCTGGATTCAAGAGATTCTCCTGCCTCAGCCTCCTGAGTAGCTGGGATTACAGGCATGCACTACCACATCCAGCTAATTTTTGTATTTTAGTAGAGTCGGGCTTTCACCATGTTGGCCAAGCTGGTCTTGAACTCCTGACCTCAAGTGATCCACCTGCCTCAGCCTCCCAAAGTGCTGGGATTACAGGTGTGAGCCACCACACCCGGCCTAGTTGTTCCTTTCTAGAGGACAGATCCATATCCTTTAAATCTGCTTGATAAGATACCCATTTCTATCCAGATAATGAAATGTTTTGGTTATTAAAGTATGCCCGGTATTTGGGCAAAACTAGAATCTAATAAATTGTAACCCACAAATCATATGTGGGCTATCAGTGAACACTTTCCCCTAACTCCCCATGGCGTGACAGGAAGCCATGGAGAATAAGAGTAAAGTGATAAAACTGGCAAGTGGACCGAGAAATCCAAGCCATGAGAATTCTGAGAACAGAGAGCAAGAAACAGCTCTCTGTCAGCATTCAAGGACAGAACTGAAGTTCAAATAGGAAAAAAGGATGCTGCTTCAAGGATCAGGAGTTGATTCTCAGAGACTCTGATGCATTGCCTTGGTGTCTTAACCTGTAGCTTAGTTTTCCTTGGGACTTTGCACCACAATCCTACTCAGCTACCGTGGGAATTCTTGCTTGAAAGTAAATCTAGGACTATAGTTGTGGTAATATTTGAGCTTTACTTTTCTTCTGTTACTCTTGTCCATTTGATTGAGGCTAAGAAAACTGGCCCTCTGTTAAATTGAAGTTGCTTTTCTAAGGCAATAGGCTCTGGGAGAATGGAGAGGTGGGGTCTCCTAGGTTACCAAGCTTGTGCACTCCCATGAAAAAGCCTGGGTCTCTGTAAAATATGTTGGTAACAGTTAAAGCAGAAGCCATTGGAGAGAGAGAGAGGGAAAAAAAAAACCAACTTCATTATGATTTAAATTAATCTCTACTTTTTATTCTTAGATAGAACTAATTAAAGTTCTAATTATTTTGAGTGCTTTAAAACTAGGTGACAGGGTTTCCCTTTCTCTAAAAGGGATTGGAATTTTTCTTTAGGAACAAAATTGATGGGTAGTCTGCAAAAGGATTCAAATTGTTTAGAAATATATGACCATTATGAAGCATTATTTTCTGTCAGTGTCTATGATTTAGGGGTCGTAGAAGACCTGAATGTAATTAGTGATGTGGTGACTTTGTGAAGCTAGAAAAAAAAGAATTGAATTTTCATTCTATCTTTGAAGGAAGAAAGACATTGTGAGCTTAGAAGCAATAGAAGAAGTCACAAAGTACACTTAAATTAGAAAGCTTAAGTTTATTGTGTAGTGGATAGTCAAGAGGGAAGACTCTCCCACCCCCTTCCCTCTTGGTAGGCAAATACCAGACAGAAAATATTTGTAGCCAAAATGGCTACCAGTCTTTATTGTAAGCGCATCAACTCAAAGATAAAACAAGCAGAGGACATCAGAAGACAACTCACAGCTACTAACTGAACATGAAGAATACGTCACCGATAACCAAGTGCTGCAATTAAAATAAGATGCTGGCCAGGCATGGTGGCTCATGCCTGTAATCCCAGCACTTTGGGAGGCTGAGGTGGGTGGATCACTTGAGGTCAGGAGTTTGAGACCAGCCTGACCAACATGGTGAAACCCTGTTTCTACTAAATACAAAATTTAGCCAGCAGTGGTGGCGTATGCGTGTAATCAGCTACTTGGGAGGCTGAGGCAGGAGAATCGCTTGAATCTGGAAGGCAGAGGCTGCAGTGAGCTGAGATTGTGCCATTGCACTCTAGCCTGGGCAACAGGAGCGAAACTGCTTCTCAAAAAAAAAAAAAAAAGCCACAAATACATTACAATTTTAAAATGTGAATACTTTTGTTATTTGATAATATTAAGGAATTATTCTTAAAATATTTAGACGTTATACTAGTATTTTGTAAAAGATTTCAGAGAGGCCAGACACGGTGGCTCATGCGTATAATCCCAGTGCTTTGGGAGGTTGAGGTGGGAGGATTGCTTGAGGCCAGCCAGGAGTTTGAGACCAGCCCAGGCAACATAGCAAGACCCTTGTGTATTAGCTTCTTCCCACACTGCTATAAAGAACTATTGGAACTCAGTAATTTATAAAGAAAAGAGGTTTAATTGACTCATAGTTCCAAAAGCTGTACTGGAGGCATGCCTGGGGAGGCCTCATGAAACTTATGGTGGAAGGGTGAAGGGGAAGCAAGCACGTCTTCACATGGTGGCAGGAGAAAGAGTGAGTGAAGGGAGAGGTGCTACACACTTTCAAACAACCAGACCTCATGAGAACGCACTCACTATCACAAGAACAGCAAGGGGGAAATCCGCCCCCATGATCCAATGACCTCCCACCAGGTCCCTCCCCTAACACTGGGAATTACAATCCAAGGTGAGATTTGGATGGGGACACAGAGCCAAACCATATCACCCTGTGATACTTGGGTGAATTGTAATAATCCCCATGTGCCATTGGAGGGACCTGGTGGGAGGTAATTGAATCATAAGGGCAGATTTTTCCCGTGCTGTTCTCAGGATAGTGAATAAGTCCCATGAGATCTGATGGTTTTATAAAGGGGAGTTCTTCTGCACATGCTTTCTTTTTGCCTGCCACCATGTAAGATGTGCCTTTGCTCTTTTTTGTGTTCCGCTATGATTGTGAGGTCTCCGCAGTCATGCGTAACTGTGAATTCATTAAACCTCTTTCCTTTATAAATTACCTAATCTCAGGTATGTCTTTATTAGCAGCATAAGAACAGACTAATACAGTAAGTTGGTACTGCAGAGAATGAGGTACAGCTGTAAAGATACCCAAAAATGTGGAAGTGACTTGGGAGCTGGGTAACAGGCAGAGGTTGAGACAGTTTGGAGGACTCAGAAGAAGACAGGAAGATGTGGGAAAGTTTGGAACTTCCTAGAGAAGCCTTGTTGAATGGCTTTGACCAAAATGCTGATAGTGATATGGACAATGAAGTCTAGGCTGAAGTGGTGTCAGATGGATTTGAGGAGCTTGTTGGGAATTGGAGTAAAGGTCACTCTTGTTATGTTTTAGCAAAGAGACTGGCAGGATTTTGCCCCTGCCCTAGAGATCTGTGGAACTTTGAAGTTGAGAGAGATGATTTAGGGTATCTGGTGGAAGAAATTTCTAAGCGGCAAAGCATTCAAGAGAAAGTAGAGCATAAAAGTTTGGAAAATTTGCAGCTTGATGATGCAATAGAAAAGTAAAACCCATTTTCTGGGAAGAAATTCAAGTCTGTTGTAGAAATTTGCATAAGTAACAAGAAGCCGAATGTTAATCACCAAGTCAATGGGGAGGATGTCTCCAGGATGTGCCAGAGACCTTTGTGGCGCTCCCTCCCATCACAGGTCCAGAGGCCTAGGAGAATAAAATGGTTTCCTGGGCCAGGCCTGGGGCCCCCTTGCTGTGTGCAGCCTAGGGACTTGGTGTCCTGCATACCACCTGCTCCAGCCGTGGCTCAAAGGGGCCAAGGTACAGCTTGGGCTGTGGCTTCAGAGGGTGCAAGCCTCAAGCCTTGGCAGCTTCTGCATGGTGTTGAGCCTACAGGTGCCCAGAAATCAAGAATTGAGGTTTGGGAACCTCCGCCTAGATATCAGAGGATGTATGGAAATGCCTGGATATCCAGGCAGAAGTTTGCATGGGGGTGGGGCTCTCATGGAGAACCTCTGCTAGGGCACTGTGGAAGATAAATGTGGAGTGCGAACCCCCACACAGAGTCCCCACTGGGGCACTGCCTACTGGAGCTGTGAGAAGAAGGCCACTGTCCTACAGAGCCCAGAATGGTGGATCCACTGACAGCTTGCACCGTGCACCTGGGAAAGCCACAGACACTCAATGCCAGCCTGTGAAAGCAGTGTGGCCTGGGTGTGAGACTTGTAGTCACAAGGGATCATCTTAAAGATTTGGCTCCCCCTCTGGATTTTGGACTTGCATGGGGCCTGTAGCCCCTTTGTTTTGGCCAATTTCTCCCATTTGGAAGGGCTATATTTACTCAATGTCTGTACCCCCACTGTATCTAGGAAGTAACCAACTTACTTTTAATTTTACTGGCTCATGGATGGAAGGGACTTGTCTTGTCTCAGATGAGACTTTGGACTGTGGACTTTTGAGTTAATGCTAAATGAGTTAAGACTTTGGGGGGCCGTTGGGAAGGCATGATTGGTTTTGAAATGTGAGAACATGAGATTTGGGAGGGGCCAGGGGCAGATTGCTATGGTTTGGCTTTGTGCCCTAACCAAATCTCACCTTGAATTGTAATAATCCTCACTCCATGGGAGGGACCCAGTGGGAGGTAACTGAATCACGGGGCGGTTTTTCCTGTGCTGTTCTCGTGATAGTGAATAAGTCACACAAGATCTCATGGTTTTATAAAGGGGAGCTCCCCTGCACATGCTCTGTCTTTGCCTGCTACCATGTGAGATGTGCCTTTGCTCTTCCTTTGTCTTCTGCCATGATTGTGATGTCTCCCCAGCCATCTGGAACTGTGAGTCCATTAAACTTCTTTCCTTTATAAATTACCCAGTCGTGGGTATATCTTTATTAGCAGCATGAAAACAGACTAATACACCCTGTTTCTACAAAAAAAAAAAAATGTTTAAAAATTAGCCAGGTGTGGTGGCACCTGTACTCCCAGCTACAAGGCTGAGGCTGGGGAGGAGCTCTTGAGTTGAGGAGTTTAAGGCTGCAGTGAGCCATGATGGCGTCACTGCACTCCAGCCTGGGCAACAGACTCTGTCTCTAAACAGATAGACAAAAGATTTCAGAGATACACACTGAAATATTGAGAGTTGAAATTATAAAATGTCTGAATTTTGCTTACATAATCTAGGTTTCTACAGGGAATGAGTGAGGGCATCGATAAAATAAAGGTGAGGCAGATAAGTGAGTTATTTGATAAAGCTAGTGAGGCAAGGTGTGGTGGCTCATGCCTAGCACTTAGTAGGTATATGTGGGTGGATCCTTTGAGCCCAGGAGTTCAGAACCAGCCTGGACAACACAATGTCTCTACAAAAAATACAAAAATTAGCCAGGGGTAGTGGCACACACCTGTAGTCCCAGCTACTTGGGAGGCTGGGGCAGGAGGATTGCTTGAGCCCGGGAAGTTGAGGCTGCAGTGAGCTGTGATTGCACCACTGCCCTCCAGCCTGAGTGACAGAGCAAGTGCCTGTCTATACACACACACACAAGCTGAAGGGTGAATACATGGGGCTTCATTATATTCTTTCCTTTTGTTTGAACTTTTAATTTTTGTAATTTTTATAATAAAACACTAAAAATATTAAAAATCCTTGAAAGACCCCAGTGACTTCAAGAAAAGAGAGAAGCCACCAGACATTTTGTGCTTCCAGATGGAAGTACGCGCTACCTTCTATGAAGTATTTATTGTTGCCAAAATATTCAACTTGAATCTGGTCAGCCTCTAAATCCTATTGCCAATTAATGCGAAATACTGAAGATAGGAAAACATGTTAAATGTCATGGTGAGATAGGATCAGTCAGAATCAAGAGCATGAGCCACTCTAGAATCCACCTGGCTTCTTCAACAAGTAGATTAAAAGAAAAGGGGGTTGGGGCAGGAAGAAGAAACTCATAAATTAAGAGACTCATGAGACAGAGCCACCATTTGCAATGTATGAACCTCATTTGTAACCTGATTTCATCAAACCAAGAAAAATTCATGAGACAGTTGGGAAAATTTGGATACCAACAGAATATTTGATGTATTAAGGCACTAGTATAATTTTTTCTAAAGATGTGTTATTGTGTTCATTTTTTTAAAAAAAGTTCTCATTGTTTAGAGACACATACTGAAATATTTATTGATGCTGTGCTATGTGGTCTGGGATTAATTCAGATGATCTGGCAGGCAAGGGTCTAAAATGGGGTTACAGCTGAAAGGCACGAGACTGACATGAGTTGATAATCATTGAAGCAGGATGATGAATTATCCACTCTATTTTTGGATATATTTAAGTATTTCCATAATAAAAATACTAGTTTTCACCTATTGTTATCGTGGTAAGCATTTTCTACAGTGATTGATATCCAGTGCTCTCATACTTTGCTGGTGTCTTTATATGCACAAATGTAGTACTAGCCATGTCCTGTGTATCACTTTCCTAAAAATAACCTACATGTTAACAAATGAATGTTGAGTTAAATAAGTATAAAACTTTATGGAATTTTATGTATCTTATAAAATAACAATTTATTGGCCAGGCATGGATGGTGGCTCATGCCTGTAATCCCAGCACTCTGGGAGGCTGAAGCAGGCAGGTCTCTTGAAGCGGGAGTTCAAGACTAGACTGGTCAACATGGCGAAACCCCGTCTCTACTAAAAATACAACAATTAGCCAGGCTTAGTGGCATGCACCTGTAGTCTCTGCTACTCGGGAGGCAGAGACACAAGAATCACTTGAACCCGGGAGGCAGAGGTTGCAATGAGCCAAGATCCTGCCACTGCACTCCAGCTTGGGAGACAAACTGAGACCCTGTCTCGAAAAAAAATAAAAAATAAAAACAGGGCCAGGCATGGTGGCCCACGCCTGTTATCCTAGCACTTTGGGAGGCCGAGGCAGGAGGATCACTTGAGGTCAGCAGTTCAAGACCAGCCTGGCCAACATGGTGAAACCTAATCTCTACTAAAAATACAAAAATTAGCTGGGCGTGGTGGTGGGCGCCTGTAATCCCAGCTACTCTGGAGGCTGAGGCAGGAGAATCGCTTGAACCTGGTAGGTGGAGGTTGCAGTGAGCTGAGGCCGTGCCATTGCACTCCCAGCCTGGGCAACAAGAGTGAAACTCCATTTCAAAAGAAAGGAAGAAAAAACAAAAGCAAAAACAAGAAAAACAGAACAATTTATTGCCCCATAAGGCTACCTTTGATGTATCAGAGTAAAAGAAAGCAGGACAAAAATCAGTTATGCTAGAAAAGAGATAACTTAGGGAAGTTCACTTAAGGGAAATACAACAAAATGCTCTTTGTTTTTAGTAGAATATTAAAGTATGGGTGTGGATTTTTATCCCCCTTCTTACAGTGTTTGGTTATGTGGTTATGTTTTGTTTCTAAGGCCTTAAAATAAATAGATAAAAATGTATACTATAGTAAATTGAGAAAATATACTCATATACATATATTTAAATTACATACTTATCTTCACCTAAAATAAAGATACTTTGTCTAACAAAGTAATATTAGGGATTTATTTTATGTTTTAAGTGAATGATAAATTATCTTGCAATGATATACCTCAGATGAACTCTTCTATTAAACATCTGTGTATTTGTGCATCTACTTATTTACTTTAGAACGGGCAAGAGAAAATGGCCTTGGGACTTTTGACCTGTGGAAGTTTTGCATTTTCCAGCCTGGATATGTGGAGGCTGTGGGCAAAGCCATCTTACTTCCACATTGTTTTTCTGTTTCCCAGTTCCTGGGCACTCAGCTGCCTAAGTGCTTCTCTTTTGCAGGAACAAAAAGAAAAAAAGGTAATAAGCATCTCAGAACTCATCTGGGGAAAAAAAAATAAAGAAATGAATAGTTAATTTGCTGCTACTGTGATAAACTTTCTTTGTAAACATTGTCATCTCAACTTCTGTTTTGATAGAGGACAGTTGAAAACACTGTGCTTGCACTGGCTGGCTGAAGTTTACACTTATTCAAAGCAAGGCAGTTGAGAATTAACCCAAAAACGAATGACCTGACCTTCCAGGAGTCCTGATGCGGCCAGGGGGCCATGTGCTCAGGGAGGCTTTGCAGGGCAGTCATCCCAGGAGCTCGGTGGAGTGGAGGGAGAGGTCAGGAAAGGGAATGCCTCGGCCTCCTGCTGTCTGTTTTCAGTCTCCTAAAGACTCCTCGGAGATGACCACAGGCCCTGGAAATGGGAGTGGCCCCTGGAGTTGGGGTGGTCAGAAAAAGCAGAAGTGCAAGTCCAACATGGGATCAGCCAGCATTGGGCATGCCTAGGGACAATCAGTTGTCTAGGGACTGCCCAAGAGGCCTGGGCTCCCTGCTGCCAGGGAAGGTGGTGTTTCTGTTCTGCCATGGGTTTCAGCTGCAGCCAATGGACCCTTGCCCAGGAGGGGTTTTAATCACTACAAAGAGCCAGACAAATGTGGCCCATGGACTCGACAGTATATATAGAAAGAGCAATGGCAATGGGTGTGCAGAGTCACTGTCACTAATTTTACCAAGATAGTTCTAATCTTAACTTATACAGGTACTAGCTCTTACCAATAATCTTGCAAAATATTTACCATGCTTGATTTTTTTTTTTTTTTTTTTGACAGAGTCTTGCTCTGTCACTCAGGCTAGAGTACAGTGGCGTGATCTTGGCTCACTGCACCCTCTGCCTCCCGGGTTCAAGCAATCCTCCTGCCTCAGCCTCCTGAGTAGCTGAGACTACAGGTGTATGCCACCATGCCTGGCTAATTTTTGTGTTTTTAGTAGAGATGGGGTTTTGCCACGTTGGCCAGGCTGGTCTTGAACTCCTAACCTCAGGTGATCCACCCTCCTGGCCTCCCAAAGTGCTGGGATTACAGGTGCCTGGTACCTGCTTGATATTTAAAAGTCATATATATGTATACATATATATATTATATTTATGATATATATTTTAAAGTCATTTATGTATATATATAATATGTATATATATTTTTTCTCTAATAGGATTACTTCGAGGATTTTTCCCCAGTACACCTAGAAACAATGATAATAAGGCTATAATTAACACAAGGCAAACTATTCCTGACTTTCTCATAGCCACTATCCTCACTCTGTCCTGAGAGCCTGGAGAGTAACTTCTCTGTGTTGAGAAGCCTCAGTGTGACTTGTACTTGTGTTTCTGAGACACAAACTGATCTGCTCAGTTTATTTGTTTGAAGTGTATGTTGCTTTGAGAAAAAAGATTGTTTTATTATATTCTATTTCCATGATTTTTAGGAATGGATCAGAGGAGGAATATCAGAGCAAGATTCCATGAGAAATCTGAGGCACAAGGTTAAAGAAATTCTCCAGAATTATATATACACCTGGAATTTAACTTCCCAGAGCACAGGGCTTTGTAGTTCTTGTTCACAGGCCTGTCCAATGCATAGAAGGTGCTCAATGAATACTGCTAAATAAGCGAATGAATGAACAAGCCAGGATCTGAGCCCAGGTCTGTGTTAGTACTCGAATGCTCCTATTGAACATATGCATTTAACCATATTTGAGATGTAATTGATTTATTGAACTGCTCAAGTTAATGAGGTGTACATTTGAAAGGGTCTTTATTTCTCTCTAGTTGCTGATTTCAACCATGCCAGGTAGAACCTCCTTTTCCTGTCCCATCACAATGTTCAACCTCCATAAGCTTTCAGAGTAATCCAGTTCAAAAACTGAATCTCAAACTTGATTTAAATCTCTCTTTCACCTAGAGCATCTGGACCCTTCTCTAAAGCACCTGAAGGGAGAGAAGAGATAGAGGGCATTCTGTCCTTTTTCTCCTTCTGCCTCTTTCTCATCTGGGATCAACCTGTCTCCCGCAAAGGTTGGGGACAGAGAGGAAGCACTGGGGTCACAGGGAAGGTGAATGAACACCTCTCTGCTCAGCTGGATACAGATGCTGTCCTCTTATTGCTGCTCAGATGTTAGCTCAGTGTCCCACATCTCAGCTCCGTGACTCGGGCTCTGCCTTCAGTTGGAACTTTTCCCACTCTTCCTGCTGCCCTCCTACTACTGCAGGGGTCCTCTCCCCCAAGGGCAGCCATCTTGGTTGGGGTACAGGCAAGATAGCACAAGTCAGGCTTCATAACGTAGTGTCCCAGGAAACTCACTCATCCCTGCCGCTCCCAGCTGGGGGTACATAGGCTGCTTCTCTGGAGCTACCACCGTGCCACGCTTTTCTCTCCAGTTCTTTTCTTCTCTGTGGCTCAGAGGAACACAGAGAAATCAGCAACCTACTGCCTTAGCAGATGAGCAGCCAGTGAAAGTGATGTTGGTCTTCCCCTCTTTAGGCCCGCCCCCCTGGTCTCTGTGTGATTCCGTTGATGACCCCACCAGTTGGTGGGCAGGGGGTGGGGTCAGTGAACTGGGGGGGCTGGGGTGCCTGAAGGAACGAGCACTGCTCTTCCCTTGAGGGATTCTGATTGCCCGCTCCCCAGTGTTCTGATATAGTCTAGGAAGCTGGTATTAGCAGGGCTACCTCTGTTATCTTTTAGTAACTTCTAAAGGAGGTATATGACCCCCCTCTTTCTGAAGGTGGTAACTTTGTGGTTCGCTATCCTCAGCAGTAGGCTTTTGTCTCTAATGCTGGTGCAATAGAAGACATACCAAGGCTTTTATCTCAGCCCCTAAAGACTTTTTAGTAGAAGGAGTAGAAGGAAAAGGATTTCTATTGAATGATGTCATTAGTGATCTCAAAGATTAAAAAAATTATAAATGTATGAATTGGGGCATTAACTGGCAGGCCAGGAAGATTCCAGCAGTATTTGTGCATATCTCATTTATTCTTTCTTTTTTTTTTTTGACAGAGTCTTGCTCTGTTGCGTAGGCTGGAGTGCAGTGGCGCAATCTCGGCTCACTGCAAGCTCCGCCTCCCAGGTTCAAGCAATTCTCCTGCCTCAGCTCCCGAGTAGCTGGGATTACAGGCACATACCACCACGCCAAGCTAATTTTTGTATTTTTAGAAGAGACAGCGTTTCACCATGTTGGCCAGGCTGGTCTCGAACTCCTGACCTTATGATCCGCCTGCCTCAGCCTCCCAAAATGCTGGGATTACAGGTGTGAGCCACCACACCCAACCATCTCATTTATCCTTGAAGTCACACTATACTACACAGACATGAAGGTTGAAAGATGCTAGAGGTGGAGCTGCTTATAATGAAAACCTGGTGGCAACCTAGATGTTTAATATCGTTTAGCTTTAAAGAATGTTGATGCAGCTCTTTATTGATAGGAAGAAAGTTCAGCATATGTTACTTGGTGAGAAAACTGGGCTGTTGAGCAAAATATTTGCTATATGCATAGAAAAAATATGGACTGATAGAAAAAATGGGCAGGGTAATTCTTGAGTGATAGGACTGATAGTGGTTTCATTTTTATTTTTAAATTTTCTGTATCTTTGAAACTTGTTTACGGTGAATCTTGTTTATATATGCAAAAGTTTTGTAAAGAAATTATACTATCAAACTTAATGAAAAGCTAGAATATATACTTACACCAGGTCTTTAGCATTTTAGGTGTCCTATGTCCTTAATTACTGAAGATTTTTTTACATTTTTCATCATCTCTGAGTGTTAAAGTCTCTGTACGTAAAAGCTTTTAGTAAGTTTCACAATCTGGCTTATATTTCAACAACTGAATGCACTAAATATTACTTGGCATTTACAAATGCATGTGGTAATTTGGAAAAGTGCCTTTCTTACAACATAAATCTTCCAAGTAACTTTGAAAGTTGTTGTAGTCATCATCTTGAAAACTAGAAAATGTGAACACTCTAACTTGTATAAAGAAATTCCAAATGTTATTCATCTTATGGTCTATTTTGTAATTTGTTGGAATCATTGAAGTGCTTCAGGGAAATTAATTCGGCAGGGTTTATTTAAGTGCCTAGAGCTTGATAAATTAGAGTGGAGTTTTAGCATGCAGAGAAATGGTGCCGTCATAGGACTGCATCTTTTTGTCTGTACAATTCCAGTATCAGCCTATAAGCTCTGCGAGTTAGGAAACTTGGCTGTGGTTTTCCTGTGGTACTCATAGGACCTCACAGAGTGCAGAATACGTGATACAAGTGATCATGACAAAATAGTGAACTTTTACTCAGCAGTTAATATGTGCAAGGCACATACTATGGTTTTTATGCATTATCTCATTTAAACTTCACAGCAGGTCTCGATAGGTGGTTTTCAACCTTTTGGTAGGGGGCAGGGCTGGACTGTGCTTTGCAATGTATAAGAAAAATTCAGCTGGGCGCGGTGACTCACGCCTGTAATCCCAGCACTTTCGGAGGCCAAGGCGGGCGGATCACCTGAGGTCAGGAATTCGACACCAGGCTGGCCAACATGGCGAAGCCCCGTCTCTACTAAAACTACAAAAATTAGCTGGGCATGGTGGCGTGTGCCTGTAATCCCAGCTACTCAGGAGCTGAGGCAGGAGAATAGCTTGAACCCGGGTGGCGGAGGTTGCAGTGAGCCGAGATCGCTCCACCAGGCACTCCAGCCTGGGCAATGAGTGAGACTCCATCTCAAAATAAAAATCAAAATGGCAAGTGTTTTTTGTTTTTTTTTTAATTCCAAACTGCCCTAAATTTCCATAGTTATGGAAATGCTTTGTAAAGCCGTTCATTAAGTAGACTGATATTCAGGTTAAATTAGAGCATTTTCTTAAAAGTCTGTGTCAATTGTGGGTTAGCTTTTTTGTTTGTTTTTGACAGAGATGAGGTCTCACTGTGTTGCCCAGGCTGGTCTCAAATTCCTGAGCTCAAGGGATCCTCCTGCCTTAGCCTCCCAAAGTGCTAGGATTACAGGCATGAGCCATCATGCCCAGCCAGAATGTGGGTTTGAACAAATTGAGATAACAGTGAGAAAAAACACCAGAGTTCTTTAGGGTTACATCGACAACTTTCTTTGTAAGAATGATCTTTTCAATGTTTGCCATGTTTTACTTTGCTGTCTATAATGTGCAGAATTCCTGCTAGTGATTGAGTAATTCAGGAATCCCCAGTCCCTGGGCCACAGACTGGTATTTGTCTGTGGCCTGTTAGGAGCCAGGCTGCACAGCAGGAGGTGAGTGGTAGGCAAGCAGGCATTATCACCTGAGCTCTGCCTCCTGTCGGATGAGTGGCAACATTAAACTCTCATAGAAGAGCAAGTCCTACTGTGAACTGATCATGTGAGGGATCTAGGTTGAGTACTCCTTATCAGAATCTAATTGCTGATGATCTGAGGTGGAACAGTTTTCTCCCAAAACCATCTCCCCCGGCCCCTGGTCTATGGAAAAATTGTCTTCCATGAAACTGGTCTCTGGTGCCAAAATGGTTGGTACAGCCAGGATACTAAATAGAACAATTCAGAGGCCAGGTAAGCACACAGATACTCCTAATGTAGTGCAGGATGTGCTGAGGCTGAAGGTGCTGGCATTTATGCTGGGCTTGAAGGATTTTTGACAAGTTAAGGAAAGTAGTATTAGCGTAAAATTTTGAAGGAAGGTCTTGAGAACAGATTGGTTTTTAAAAATACTGTGGGTAATTATGGAGTTATTGGAATTACTACCTGTTACTCATTCCAAATAGATCACCACCTTTAGGAGAAAGTTCTTTAGATGTCTTGGCACGGTGGCTTACACCTGTAATCCCAGCACTCTGGGAGGCCAAGATGAGGATCGCTTGAGCTTAGGAGTTTGAGACCAGCCTGGGCAACACAGACCTCATCTCTACAAAAAAAAAAAATTTAAAAATTAGCTGGGCATGGTGGCTTGCACCTGTAGTCTCAACTACTCAGGAAACTGAGGTGGGAAGACAGCTTGAGCCTAGGAGGTTGAAGCTGCAGTGAGCTATGAGCCCACCACTGCACTCCAGCCTGGGTGACAGAGTGAGACCCTCTCTCAAAAACAAAAAACAAAACCAAAAAAAGCTTCAAAATTATCTGGATTCCTCAATCTGCTCTTTGCTGCTTCCAACACATTTTAAATTTGGCATATTTCTGATTTCAGATTGTTTTCTAGAGCAGTGTCATGGACATATTTTTTCCTGAATCTAATTGAAAGCACACATTAGAAAACCTGTCTGGTTTCTTAGAGTCATTCTGTTTTGCAGGAACAAATGTTCTCTGATTCCTCAAAGAACTTCTCTTCTTTTGGACTGCTAAAGCTTTTCTTAGGAACTGTGCCATTTCTGTCTGCTCATATTTATAGAGGGAGGGCTATGGAATTGAGGAATGAGATGGGGTCTATTAGAAGTTGTAAGATTTGTATTCAAATATTTTAGTCCAGGCCGACCACAGTGGCTCATGTCTGAACCCCAGCACTTGGGGAGGCTGAGGCAGGTGGATTGCTTGAGCTCAGGAGTTTGAGACCAGCCTGGGCAACACGGTGAGATCCCATCTCTAAAATTTAAAAAAACAAAAACAAAACCCCAAATATTTCTGTCCAAAATAAAAAAGCGGAAGGAAAAGCTGTAGTTATTGTTCTACAGTTTGCTATTTCTACACTTTGCTAATTCAGAATTCTGTCACCCAAGGAATATGTGCATTGGAGGTGACTGCCAGATGCTCTTTTCCTTGCCAGGAGCAGTGTGGAATTCATGGGAGCAGTGCCCTTTTCTTGCTGGGCACCTTGGCACTGGCTGCGCACACCTGTACTCTTGGCCTCCCTTGTTTGCTTGGTGTGCTGTTGGTGTGGTGCCTTTTGTGGTGACACCAAGTGGGAATCAGGTAGACTTGACATACCCTCACCATCACCCTTTATTCCTCTGAATTAGGAACTGTGAATGGGATTTTGTTGGGATCTCTTCCAGACATTTTCCTGGCAGACAAGAAGGCAGCTTGTTGACATCACTGGTCCAATTGGCCTTCCTTCAAATTTGTCCCCTCTGACTTAACACTCTAAGAGATATCCTGAAATTTCTAGCTTGAGGATACCATCTTACCACAGTTTCCTATGCAGATACAAGTTTTCCCTTAATTGTATATTCTGCAGTTTATTTTGATGGGACATCGATACATTGCTCAAGATATGGATGAATTTTCCCCTAAGTTCAAACCTCCTTAGTAGCTTAAAAATCAGTTATTCTCTGGATAAGTATGGTGGCAGCTGAAGCTTCTGGGCTTGTATACAGCCTGCGGTATATCTCATCTGTGCTGTAGACAGTCTGTAAATCTGGGTTTGGCCATGAAAGTATATTGTGAATATGAACATCAGCTAATTCTAGAGAAAAAGAAGCGCTATTCAAAATAACGGAGTGGAATTTCCCATGGGTCTTTGAATAATAACCATACCAGCTAACACTTACTGAATGTTTACCCTGTGCCAGACATGGTTTTCAATATTTTATAAATATTTGATTCATTTAATTCTCACAACAACCCTCTGATAGAGGCTACTCTTATTATCTCGTGTCTTGCAGTTGAGGCACACAGGGGCAACTAACTTGCCCGAGATAATAAGTGGTAGAGCGAGGCTGTGCACCCAGGTGGTCTGGCTTCTGGGTTCTTGCTTTTAAGCACTATATTATACTGCATTTCAAAAGGCGGGACTGAGATTAGAGATCTGTGGTCTTCTAATGCTAGTATAAAGAGTTTGGATTTGCTAGAATAGACAGAAGGGAGCCAGTTTATTCTCAGTAGTAGAGAGGTGTCAAGATGAAACTGTCAAGATAATAACATTCAAATAGTTGCAATGGAGACATAAAAAGGATATTTTGGGGGCAGTTGGGGCAAAAGGAAAAGTTGTGAAAGCTGGCTACTTCCTCAGTGTTTTAGTAGCAATATTATCTGTTAAGCCCAGTGTTCTGCTTGAGTCTTTTCCTCAGGCAAGCATTCATTCACTCAGTAAACATTTATTCATCACTAGCCTTGTGTCAGCCCTTGTGCCAGATGCCTGGGATACAGACGTAAAAGCCATGGTCCCTGGCCAGGTGTGGTGGCTCATGCCTGTAATCCCAGCACTTTGGGAGGCCGAGGCGGGCGGATCACCTGAGGTCAGGAGTTCAAGACCAGCCTGACCAACATGGTGAAAGCCCATCTCTACTAAAAATACAAAATTAGCCAGGTGTGGTGGCACACACCTGTAATCCCAGCTACTTGGGAGGCAGGAGGCAGGAGAATCCAAGAGACAGAGGTTGCAGTGAGCTGAGGTCGCACCACTGCACTCCAGCCTGGGTGACAGAGCAAGACTCTGTCTCAAAAAATTAAAATAAAAGCTACAGTCCCTGTTCTTGAGCTCTCAACTTATGTGACACTACTAGGTATACACCAAGTGACTTTCAGTAAAAAATGTAAGTGATAAGAAGTTGTGTATAGGATGCCCTGGAAATAAAGTTTCAGAATTTCAAAAGCATTCATATTATTATTTCATTGTTTTAACAATAAATAGACTCATTGCTTTTCAGTGTGTGGGGTCAAACTGCAGATTGCTGACAAATGTCTTAGATTAAGGCCTGAATCCATAGCACAAGACCACACGCTAGAGTTCCAGTATTACTTGAGTCGAATTTTCCTGCTTTTGGTGATTTGTGTGTGTGTTCACTGGCTACTTGGCATCTAGTTAAATCACAAAACTCTAAGCCAAGACGGTTTTGGAGAATCCCTTGTGATCTTTAAAAGGGTAATGAATGAGGCTTCCCATATGGGAACCTCAATGACTTTTCCAAAGTTCTCCATATCTGCCAGCATCCTTGGTTTGGCTCCTCTGTTGCTTTTGTTAAGAAATGTTCAGTTGCAGAGTTCAGCCTTCATGGGCTTGCCTTGGAGGCCTGTGTCTTCTGGGGGCTGGGGAGACCGTGATGAAGAGGGCCATCTGTGCACATGCTCGTCTGAAGCCCAGACCAGACTGATACTGAATGTCATGGCCCCTTGTCTCATGCTTTTAAAAAATGCTGACCTCTGCCTTTAGACACCAGGCAGAAGTGATTTCTTGGAACTAGATTTTTCCCCCTGTGGGTGGATATTAGCGTTTATTTTGGGCTTGCTATTATTGGAGTGTAGGAAGGCTATAACAAATATGCCCTTTCTTGAGAACTATAAGAGTTCTGTTTTAAATAAATCAGTGGTGTCTCTTGCCTGAAATATACTAAACTATCCAGACTACTTAAAATTAACCTCTGATAACATTAGACATCGTGCTCATATGTGTGTAGTATTTTGATTATTTAAGTCACTCTGTTTACTAAGGCTTCCAAACCCACTTACATTGCTTATAGAAACTTGGAATGACAATAATGAGTTTGGAGCATTGTGGAACATCCCCTCCAAGCCAGAAAAAATTCTATTTTAATGGAACAATTCATTCAAAAATATCTGGATAGATCTACCAGGAAGGGCATGGTGGAAGAATGTGAAAGTTTCTGCCATTAAGTACAATCTGTTTGGGAATTCAAATATGTTAAAATGTGCTGGCATCCCCTATTTTACAATGGAGAAAACAGAGGCATGCGAGGTTAAGTAACTTCTCCAGGGTCACACACATGGTAGAGCCAAGATTTGAACTCAGGAACCCAGAATCCAGGCTCTTAGCCCTACACTGTTCCCCTCTCTGTAAGCAGATATGAAGTGGGAGCACCATATACTTGGAATGCTAGTGTAAAGCTTTGTTGAAATAGATGGCAGGGAGCAACTTTATGCCTAGTTGGCAGAGAGATGGCCAGATAAAAATGGGAGGAAAAAGTACTCGTAGTTACAATGTAGAAGAGGACAGAATAACTTGGATTCCAGAATCAAGAGCTTGGCTGAGGCAGAGCATTTGTGTGGCTTATATGGCATGGCCCAGAGGGAGCGCTGGGCAAAGAGGGATTTAAGGTTTGAAACTGGATTAAGAAAAGCCTTGAATGGGGGCATGGAAGAGTGTGGGATCTCTTGTTGACCATGGACAGCCACGGATGGTTTTGAATAAGGAAGTGAGCCACAGCAGTGGACAAGAGTACATCACTATGAGGGAAGTTGGCATGGGAAGAGGGAAGAGGGGAAGTGAAGCAGGGAAGACAAGTTAAAAGACAATTGAAATGTCCTAAACAATGATCAGTGTCAGAACCTCTTCCATGGTTTTATGAAGAATCCACACGTGTCATTGTGCCCCAGGAGCTTGGCAAAGAGGAAGTGTCTAGCACGATGCCTGGCAAAAGTAGGAACCAAAAAGGTGTTTGTTGAACCAAATTGGACTGAATAAGAGGATTGGCCATAGGGATGGAAAAGAAGTCAATGCCAGGGAAACGAGAGACGTGGCGCTGACAGTCTTTGATGAGTAATTGGCTGGGGAGGTGGAGGGAGAAAAGATGAAGCTTCTCCAGCTTGGGTGGCCTCGTCGCTAACCAAGGCAAGGGGCTTATGACTCGGGGCTCAGCAAGCCTGGTTCAGGTCCTTTTCTCTCTATGGGGCATCTTGATTGCCCATTGGCATGTATTAAGTCTATATGTGCTGAGTGGTGTGAGTGCTGAGATTTAACCTCTCGTCTTGGTCAACATTTTAATAAATACAGGCGTGGTTAATATCAAGCCAGTGTGTCATCTTCATTGTTGGCAAGCGAAGAGTAATTTTGGCCGACAGTAGAATCGTAGGGAATACCTAAAAGCATTCATACTTTTTTCAGACACCTAGGTGATTCTAATGTGCAGCCTTGAGCCATATTCTTTGAGAAACATTGCGGTAAACAATTGCTTTTTTTTTAATCATAAAAATGTGTTTTCTTTAAGAAATGTGAAAAACATAGAGAGGTAGATTTAAAAACATTTGACGTGTGCAGCAGCCTTGAGCTAAGTGCCATACACTACTGCAGTTTGCTGTTTTTTGTTTTTTTTGTTTTGTTTTGTTTTGTTTTTTAAGATGGAGTCTCACTCTGTCGCCCAGGTTGGAGTGCAGTGGTGCGATCTCGGCTCACTGCAACCTCTGCCGTCCCAGTTCAAGTGATTCTCTTGCCTCAGCCTCCTGAGTAGCTGGGATTACAGGCGCCTGCCACCACACCTGGCTGATTTTTTGTATTTTTAGTGGAGAAGGTGTTTCACCATCTTGTCCAGGCGGTCTTGAACTCCTGACCTCGTGATCCACCCGCCTTGGCCTCCCAAAGTGCTGGGATTACAGGCATGAGCCACTGTGCCCAGCCTGCTGTTTTTAGTGTCTATACCCAAAGCACCACCCGGTGATTTTGAACAAACAGGAAACAAATCAACGTAGCGTGTGGTTCCTGCAGAAGGCTGCTGTCAGACTGCAGTCAGTAGGGGTGGAGTCCTCTGGGGATGTTTGTGCTGGTTGAGCAAACCCTCTCCATGTGTCACCGCATCAGTTTCTTAGGGCTGCCATAGCAGATTACCACCAGCTGTGGCTTAAACAATGGATGCCTCTCGCAGTTCAAGAGGCCAGAAGTCCAAAATTAAGACATCAGCAGGGTTGGTTCCTTTTGGACATTCTGAAGGAAAAACTGTTCCATGTCTGTCTCCTGGTTCTGGTGGTTGCCAGCAATCCTTGGTTCCTTGGCTTGTAGGCACACCACTCTAATCTCTGCCTCCATCTTTACATCGCCTTCTTCCTCATGTCTCTGCATCCTCTGTTCCATTTCTAAGGATACCAGCTGTCAGATTTAGGGTCTATCCCGAGTCTAGAATAATTTAATCTCTAGAACCTTAGTCAGTTACATCTGTAAAGACCCTATTTCCAATTAAGATTGCATTCTGAGGTTCCAGGTAGACATGAATGTTTGGAGGACACTATTGAACCCCCACAGTCACTTAGGACTTACATGTACGTAGGGCTAGCCAACACCAAGTATGGGAAGCTCTCTTGGACTCCTACCCTAACCTTGGGGTCCCCAATTTTTTTCTTAGTGTTCAAACAAGAAACTAGTCATAGGCAATTGAGATACCCTGGGCCTGGGGTAGACCCCAGCTTCATAGAAGATCCCTTCTTTCACATGTTGAACTAACTAGTTCCAAAAGGGTGTGTATGGGGCGGGGGTGCAGAGAAAATACAGATTAATTAGCACTCACGTAGAATTTATAACTTGAAGGACTGTTTCCATGGCATGTGAATTTCTTTAGCTATCTCTTTGCCCTTTGTTAATTCTTTAACATCTGTAAAGGGCATGATCAGGACAGGAGATTACTTTGGTCCTCGACTCTGACTATTTAGACACTTAAAGTGCACTTAAGCAGACTTTGTGGATGAAATCATTTTGTCTGGATACTTCATGTGAAATGTGTAATGTATCGCTTGGGTGAAGGGCAAAGCTCAGGAGTTGTGGCTGCTTATGATGCTCAGACACATGCCAGGAATACTTTTGGAGTGTCCTTGGATAATAGCCAGACCTGTCTCCAAGTGTCTTGTCTGTGGGCAAGGAAGCCTTGCTCAGACCCTAAAATATTCATTGTTACATGCGTACCTCCCTTTAAGCAATGAATGAATGTTTGAGTAGATCAAATCCTATATTTTTTTTTCCGCAAAAGCTTGCTATTCACAGAGGCCTTATGAACATGTTTATAAAGCAAATAATCTTGTTTTAAATGCTTTTGTGTAACTACAAATTTTATATTTAATACTGAGTTTTCTTTAGGTGTGGTTCCTGTGTTTAAAAGGCACTTATTCAGACCTCAGAGTTCCCAGTCTTGATACCAGCAGACTGAGGTCTCTCCCTCGCCCCAGTGACCACTGTGCTGTGATCTGCTGTTCTCTTCCAGTTGGCTTGGTTTTTTGGAAGTCTTCTCAATGTGATGGGCATATGCGGGAGGCAGGAAAGTGCAGTGATAAGAGCATTGGAGTGCAGGGTTTGAATTCCAGGTCTTCCACTCTCTGACTTTGTAACTTTAGGCAAGATGCTTATATTTTCTTTGCCTCAGTTTTCTCATCAGTAACATGAGGATAACAATATCTGCCTCAGGATGGTCTATCAGTTTCCTGTGACCGCTGTAACAAATGACCACAAACTGGGTGGCTTAAAACAACAGAAATGTATTCTCTCAACAGAAATGATTCTCGAAAATCAAGGCATTGGCAAGGCCATGCTCCCTCCCAAGGTTCTAGGGAAGAATCCTTCCTTGCCTCTTCTAGCTCCTGGTGGTTGCTGGCAATCTTTGGTGTTCCTTGGTTAATGGCAGCATAATTCCAGTCTCTGCCTCCATTATCACATAGCCTTCATTCTGTGTCTCTATGCCTTTGAGTCTCTCTCTCCTTACAAGGACACCAATCATTGGATTTTGGATCCAACTTAAACGAATATGACCTCATCTTAACTTGATGATGTTTGCAAAGACCCTATTATCCAATAAGGTTACATTCTGTGGTACTGGGAAAATGTGCATTTTCTGGGGACACTGTTCAACCCAGTAAAGGTGGTTATGGTGATTTAAATGAAATAAATTATTTATGGCACCTGGAAGGTACTAGCACATACTCAAAATTCAGCAAATCACAAGAAGCCACTTTGTCATAAGGCTTGACTCATTTTCTGTACAATCTCATTGCTCCTTTTTCATTTGACATTTGCTGCTCTTGCTTATACTGGGCCACCCTCATCTCATGCTTTTCACCATATTTTGGGGACATCTAAGTGGCTCCCTAATATTTCACCAGGATTTTTCCTTTCTGCCATCATTCTGGGAACTCTAACATTCACATCAATGACCCATCCAACACCTTGCCTCTGATCTATAGGACCAGTCCCTGGACCTTGTCCTTACCTGTCCCCAATCCCATAGTCATTGCAGGTACTCTCTCACTGCCACTTCTCACCCTTTGACCCTGGAATCTCTGCTTCACTCTCTGTCTTTTCAGTCTCCCATGATAGATCAAGCCAACTGCCCCTTTCTCCCATCCTACCCGATGCCTCCAGTGAAAAATCATGTGACCTTACCAAATGGTTTCTCTATGGAGTTACAAATGCTGCTCCCAGCTGGACCTTTGGAGCTGTTCAAAGACCCTTATATTTATTTTAAGCAGGTTTCCTTACTCACTTCCCCCCGGGAGCTATTGGAGCATTACCATGTGTAGGGCTTCTTGGCCCACCACTGACCGGGCTTACTCTGTCTCCCATTTCCCCAAGAAAAGGTAAAAGCCATAAAACACCAACAGTGACTTCTTCTCTGCCACTGCATCTCTGCTCATGCTCCTCTTCCTCTTTACTATTTCAGAGGTAGAACACGACCCCAATTCACAAAGATCAGCCTTCTGCCTTGGTTGAATCCTCAATTCTGCCACCTCCCAGCCCCTTTCATCACACCTCCTCCCCTTATACACCACCCCCTCCCCCCCCCGCCTTTTTTTTTTTTGTTTTTTTGAGATGGAATCTCGCTCTGTCGCCCAGGCTGGAGTGCAGCTGCGCGATCCTGGCTCACTGCAAGCTCCGCCTCCCGGGTTCACGCCATTCTCCTGCCTCAGCCTGCCAAGTAGCTGGGACTACAGGTGCCTGCCACCATGCCCGGCTAATTTTTTGTATTTTTAGTAGAGACGGGGTTTCACTGTGTTAGCCAGGATGGTCTCGATCTCCTGACCTCATGATCTGCCTGCCTCAGCCTCCCAAAGTGCTGGGATTACAGGTGTGAGCCGCTGCGCCTGGCCTTTTTTTTTTTTTTAACGGAGACAGACTCTCGCTCTGTAGCCTAGGCTGGAGTGCAGTGGTGTGATCTCGGCTCACTGCAACCTCTGTCTCCTGGGTTCAAGCAATTCTCCTGCCTCCGCCTCCCGAGTAGCTGGGATTACAGGTGCATGCCACCACACCCAGCTAATTTTTGTATTTTTAGTAGAGACGGGGTTTCACCATGTTGGCCAGGCTGGTCTTGAACTCCTGACCTCAAGGGATCTGCCCGCCTCAGCCTCCCAATCCTTATACCTTTCATGCTATCTCTGTCTCCACTGACTCCTTTGCTTGCCCCAGTGTATGAACACATTTAAACCCCCCTAAAAAGTTTAAACATCCTAAAAAGTTCCTGATATGTCTTGGCTGTGTCCCCACCCAAATCTCAACTTGAATTGTATCTCTCAGAATTCTCACATGTTGTTGGAGGGACCCAGGGGAAGGTAATTGAATCATGGGGGCTGGTCTTTCCTGTGCTATTCTCATGATAGTGAGTAAGTCTCACGAGATCTAATGGGTTTATCAGGGATTTCTGCTTTTGCTTCTTCCTCATTTTTCTCTTCCCACTGCCATGTAAGAAGTGCCTTTTGCCTCCTGCCATGATTCTGAGGCCTCCCCAGCCATGTGGAACTGTAAATCCAATTGAACCTCTTTTTCTTCCCAGTCTCAGTTATGTCTTTATCAGCAGCGTGAAAACCAACTAATACAGTTCCCTCCTTCATTTTCCTTTGAATTGCTTTGGCTTTCTCCTCTGGAGAGAACCAACTATATTGTAAATGGAGTGACTGCATATGTTTTTTAACTTCTTTGTTATTTTCCTTATCTGTAAAGGGCTAATAATAGTACCTACCTCATAGGGTTATTGTAAAGGTTAAATTGTAATATAGTACAGCTCCTCGCACTGTACATTTTAATTTTAGTAGTAATGGTATCCTCTTTGGGCTTTCATAGGACTGAGTCCACAGCACTAGTCTAGCACGGATAAACAATGACATAAGTAGCTATTGGGTATGTTTCTCTTCTCAGAAGTCTGAAGGCTCCTCAAGGAACAATATTCCTGTCAATCTTTCTATGCCAAGCACTTCACATAGTACATAAGATAAACACACACATACTCTCTCACTCTCTAAATAATGAATATAAGTAAATGAGTAGTTGAAACCAATAGAATTGGATGGGATAATTTTTCTCCATGAAGGAAAAAATTGGCTTCACCTATTTTAGGCTTATCTCTGCCCCCATGAGACTGTGCTTTGACTTCTTGTGACATGGTGGGTCTTTAAAATTATTTAATAATTTAAAATTCTTAAAGAGGTTAATTAATAGTAGCTCCCAAGGTAGAAATGAGAAAAACAAAGCCTTTCCATGCACAGCTCTGAACTGAGCCCCTACCATCCAGTGGGCAGTGGGCAAGGGGCATGGGGCTTAGTGGTGAACGAGACAGATGCTAGCCATTGCCCATGCCCTGGAAGTCTAGTCCAGTGGAAGGTGGACAGACCTTTACAGATACTTTGGAAATACTATTTAATTACAACCATGCCAAGGCCTATGGAAGAGAGCATGGGGGACCCCAGCAAAGAGAACTAACCTGGTCCTGGTGGCCATGAAGGGCTGGGGAAAAGGAAAGCAATGAGGAGGAGGAGCTTGCTGAAGTGGGTAGGGCAGAGGGACCAGCCTGTTTCTGGATGGAGGTGTTTATGTATTATGTACACGCCACAGCACTCGGCAGTTATGTAGAAAAGACCTCAGGAAGTGCTGACACTCTTCATTTAGGGAGAGTGATGGATTTCGGGGTGAATAGCAGGGACAGTGTAACCTGCATGTGTGAATAATCTTAAGCAAAAATGTAAGTAAAGGGAAAAGACATTTTAGATAAACTCATCAGGTATTGGTCTGAAGTAACGAACATTATCTGGAACACTCTTTTATGAAACTGCTGGTTAGGTGCTTGCCGTGTTGTATTGGTAATTTTCTGGTTGTAAGGTTTCACTTGTATCAACTTGTTGTTTATGCTCTCTACTAAATACATCCTGTATGTTTCAATCCTTGTGTCTTTTCTTCTCTCCTTTAATTTAAATATTACTTCTTGCAAGGACTGGTTCACAATCCAGTCAGGAAACTCCCTGCTTGCCCAGCTGAGAGTTGTCTTTCCTTGCTAGTGTGTCAATTCACCATTTTGCTCACTTTGCCACTTCTAATATCCTATTTTGCATTGTTGGCGTATTTCTGGTATTACCGTATTTGATCTCTGCAACTATATAGAAAATTTGGGAGCCTCATGCCTATAATCCAGCCCTTTGGAAGGCTGAGGTGGGAGGATCCCTTGAGCTCAGGAGTTCAAGATCAGCCTGGGCAACCTAGGGAGACTCCGTCTCTACAAATTAAAAAAATAAAAATTAAAAAAAAAAAAAGAAAATTTGGGAAAGGCTATACTGCATGTAAAACACACTTATTTGTTGAATAAGTGAATGAATGATAGGGATTAGATCTCACTTATCTGTGTAACAGCTATAGAATCTTCTTTATTACCCTGCACCTAGTAGATACATATCCGTAAGTACTGGTGGATATAGTCAACTGGGGAAAATATTATTTGAGACTGAAGCTTGCCTGTTCCTTGTACCCTTTCTTAAAATGATGAGGTGTGCGCAAGATTTTTTCCTGGACAATGTGAATCTGAAACCTTCCCAGTGAAAACAGTTTACTTTGTCTTTCGTCTTAGACTTGCTGATTATATTGGCAAAACAGTCTCCTCACCGAAAACTGGAGCAAGAAATGCAGCTTTTCTCAAGATAATCTCAGATAGATTCCTCCAGATGGCTGCCCGAGCAGAGGCACAGAACAAGAGCATTCTAATTGGTGATGGTTAGGGTTTTGGCATCTTTTCTCAAGAAAGTCAAAGAAACTCTCTTCCTGGCTTATTCTGTGCCACTGGATTATTTTGATTGAGTTGATATGTTTGAAAACTCAGAACCTCTTGACTAGCCAGATGTCTGTGACCACTGAGTTCCACTGGTTTTTCAGGTCCCAATGATTAAACCAAAATAAAAGAAGGTGATGCCATGTCTGGCCAAGGGCAGACACTGCCGGTTGCCAAATCCCCAGCGTTCATCACCCGGTTGACATGATGTTTGCTATTCTAGATGGAGGCAGGCAAGGCTTCAAAAAGGCCAAGCTTCAAGAGAAAACCTTTAAGTAAGTCAGTGTCATTTGGAAATGATTTGATGAATAGGAAACTTACCGGCCAGCCAATATCATTTGTGATATATTAGCAGGAATGTTTGGAGCCCATATTGAGGGTAAGGGCTCTTTCCCACATGCCGCCCTTCATAGCTGACACATTACACATGTCTCTGCAGCATAACATATGGCTTCCTGAACTTGCAAGTATGGCTTAATGTTCTCTGTTGAAATCGTGTCTGTTTAAACAGTCTCTTGGAAAAGTGAGCCATATTCAATAAAATCATTAATTTCATGTCTGTGAATGTTTCTCTAGAGCCCTTTAAAATATGATTTTGAAGGAGCATAGTAGAAAATTTGCATTAAGCTGTTATCAGCCTCTAAAAGGGTATTGGACTATCAGTCCTAAATTGTAAATATTAAAATATTCATAGAACATTAGTCAAGAAGGAACAGTGCAGCTCATCAAATTCCAGAAGAATCACCATTTTAGGTACCTAGTATGTGCCTGGCTGTTTATGTATGCTGCATCTGATTCTCAGGATAATTTACAAGTAGGGGGGATTTCCTGCCATTTATAGATAAGGACAGGGAGGCCCAGGGACACGGATGACCACCTAGAAGTGATGGAACTGGAATTTCAACTCAATAGCACCGAACTCTGAAGTCTGTCTCTTCTTTTCTACACCAGGAATTTTAAACTTGGGCTTAGGAGTGGGCTGGGTGGGGGTAGATATTTAGGCCAGAAATCATATGCAAGTTTTTGTGTGGATGTGCATTATTCTGAGGAATGTCTGTAACTGTACCAGATTCTCCAGGGGGTCCATGAGGCCTCCAGAAGATTAAGAACCAGATTTTGGCGCCACTCTGCCTTTTTTTTTAAGCGACGAGGAAACAGCAAGTGAGACTGAACCGTTCGAAGGCGTTTGACCTGGTGTTGACCAAAAACTGAAGCACAGGACTTCTTTCTAAATTCTGTGTGTATGTGTTTTGTATGCCTCAAGGGGGATGGTGAGGGAAGGAGAAGGAAATAAAAGAAATAAATCACATATGGAGAAAAGTACACAAAACCATGTACGTTCTAACAAGTAGTTATAAAGTGAGCATCTGAGGAGCTGCTAATCAGACCCTAAAACAGAGCAAGTCCCAGAATGGCCCCGGGTGTCCCTTCCTGATAGGATGCCACACCTTCACCCCTAATCATGACCCTTACTTTTATACTGACCTTATCCTTACTTTGCTTTATCATTTTTTTTTTTTTTTTTTTTTGAGGTGGAGTTTTGCTCTTGTCGCCCAGGCTGGAGTGCAATGGTGCGATCTCAGCTCACCACAACCTTTGCCTCCCAGGTTCAAGTGATTCTCCTGCCTCAGCATCCCGAGTAGCGGGGATTACAGGCTACGCCACCATGCCTGGCTCATTTTGGATTTTTAGTAGAGACAGGGTTTCTCCATGTTGGTCAGGCTGGTCTCGAACTCCCGAACTCAGGTGATCCGCCTGCCTTAGCCTCCCAAAGTGCTGGCATTACAGGTGTGAGCCACCGCGCCCGGCCATAATTTTTTTTTTTTTTTTTAATTTGAGATGGAGTCTCCCTCTTGTCGCCCAGGCTGGAGTGCTTACTGCAACCTCTGCCTCCTGGGTTCAAGCGATTCTCCTGCCTCAGCCTCCCGAGAAGCTGGGATTATAGGTGCCCGCCATGCCTGGCTAATTTTTTTGTACTTTTAGTAGAGACGGGGGTTTCACCATGTTGGTCAGGCTGGTCTCGAACTCCTGACCTCAAGTGATCTGCCCACCTCGGCCTCCCAAAGTGTTGGGATTACAGGTGTGAGCCACCTCACCCAGGCTATAATTTTATCATCTGTATATACATCCCTAAACACTATGGTTCCATGTTTCCTGTTTCTATCTTTATGTGCATGCAGTCATACTATTGTGGGTTTTCTTGTGTGTGTCTTGCTTCTTTCAACAGTACTGTTTTTAATACCCATCTGTGCTGTTGTACCTAGTTGTAGTTTGTTCATTTTCATTGCTGTGTGTTATTCTGTTGCTTGACGACGTGATAATTTATCCGTCGTTTGTTATTGGAAATTTGGGTTATTTGTAATTCTTGCCTGTTATGAGCGATGCTTTCGTTGACATTCTAATGCATGTCTTATACACAGGTTGGGGAAAGACCAATATTTACTCAGCTTTTATGGGAAACAAAATACCTAGTTCTACAAGAAAATAGTGAAGAATTCTTCTCTTCACAGGCCTGCTTCCTTAATGCCTTGTGGAAGAAGAAAATTCTTTCAAGTGAATTCTCCTGTTAGTCTTAACATAGGTTCCAGTTGTCCTCAAGTTAGCAATAAAAATCAAAGGATGCACTCGTTGAACCTAAGTGATTCCAGGGCTCCACCCCAGACTCCTGGGGTCAGAGTCTGCTAGATGGGGCTTGGGAGTCTGCAGATTTAACAAGCACCCAGGTGATTCTTGTGACTGGGAGACATCGCGTTCACCCTGATTGAATTTATAAGGCTGGGCTCCTTAGTTGGGAAGAGATTTGAAGAAAGTATTTGCATGATTAAAATCTTGGAAAATTGGCCTTTTAAAAAAGTTAAGGGAGTTGGATTTATTTAGCCTATAAAAAAACCTGAAACACGATTTAATAGTTGTTTGCAAAAGAATGAAACTTTTGTAAATGAAAAAACAAATATTTGCTAAGTCGAGAGTGATTTAGGCCAATCAACCTCCTGCTAAAATCAGCAGCAAATACTGAGCACCATGGGGGTAAGAAATGAAGACTGTTCTCAGGGCCTTCAGGGAGCTAAACACAGGAGAAAAACCGTAAGCTCTCGAACAAAAACCAGGATGCGATATTTCATCAAGTCTAGACTGTGGGCTTCGGTTGAGATGAGCGAGTGGATGGCCCCCAGGGACGCAATGGAGTAGAGAAACAGAGAGAGGCCACCAGGAAAGGGTGGAGAGGGCCCGCGGGGCTTGAGCTAGGCTTTCGAAATACGCCTTTGCTTAGGCAGATGGGGTGACAGAGCATTCTGAAGCAGTGGCTGCCAGTGTTTTTTCTTGTGATCCTCCAGTAAGAAATATCTATATTTCTTACATATATGTGTGTGTGTGTGTGTGTGTGTGTGTGTGTGTGTGTGTGTGTGTGTATATATATATATATATGTATCTTTTCTTTTTTTTTGAGACAAGGTCTTGGGTTGTCGCCCAGGTTGGAGTGCGGTGGTGCAATCTCGGTTCACTGCAACCTCCACCTCCCGGGTTCAAACGATTCTCCTGCCTCAGAATCCCAAGTAGCTGGGATCACAGGCACGAGCCACCGTGCCCAGTCCAGAAATGTATTTTATATCAGTCAGGATACACATACATGTAATAAATAAAAGCTTCATAAGACATTTAACTTTATTAAAGGTGGTACATCTGATGTTTTCTATTTTATTTTTTTAACATGTGAGGTTAACCGATAAACTATACAGCTTTCATAGAGTTGAAAACTATAAGAGGACCAGAAGCCCAGGGTGGAGGCAGAATCAGTCCTGTCCTATGGAGGGCATGCTAGTTAGAGGAGAGGATTTTCATGGAAAGTGGTGAGAGGTAATTTTGTTAGTTTGATGGTGGTCTCCAAAAGCCTTCTTTGATTCTAGAGTATGAATGAATTACTTTGGGATGTTATGATAAAATTTCAAACTTTACCTATTTATTTGACCAGCTCTACTTTTGGACAGTAGATTGACCAAAGTGACTTTTTGAGATTTTTTTTGATGCTTGGGGGTGGGGGTAGGGGAGAGGATTTGCTTCTGGATTCCAAAGAATGACTCAAAGTGCTTATTGAACATCTGTTTTGTCTCATGTTGTGATTGGCTATGGGAATTTTGGTATAGAAAATGGCACTGGAGCCAGGCACGGTGGCTCACACGCCTGTAATCCCAGCACTTTGGGAGGCCAAGGTGGGAGGATCACTTGAGGTCAGGAGTTCAAGACCAGCCTGGCCAATGTGGTGAAACCCCATCTCTACTGAAAATACAAAAATTGGGCCAGGTATTGTGAGTCACACCTATAATCCCAGCACTTTGGGAGGCCACGGTGGGCAGATCACGAGGTCAAGCGCTCAAGACCATCCTGGCTAACATGGTGAAACCCCACCTCTACTAAAAATACAAAAATTAGCTGGGCGTGGTGGCATGTGCCTGTAGTCCCAGCTACTCGGGAGGCTGAGGCAGGAAAATCGCTTGAACCCAGGAAGCGGAGGTTGCAGTGAGCTGAGATTGCACCACTGCACTCCAGCCTGGTGACAGAGCGAGACTCTATCTCAAAAAAAAAAAAAAAAAAATTAGCCAGGCATGGTGGCAGATGCCTGTAATCCCAGCTACCCAGGAGGCTGGGGCAGGAGAGTCGCTTGAACCCAGGAGGCAGAGGTTGCAGTGAGCCAAGATCGTGCCACTGCACTCCAGGCTGGGCAACAAGGTGAGACTCCATCTCAAAAGAAAGAAAAAAAAAAGAGTATGGCACTGGATAGAATAGTTTTATAGGAGAGGATGAGAGGATGTAGGAAATATCTCCGTGGGCAAGTTTAGGAAGGAAAACTGATGGCCTCTTTATCACTGTGCTTCTGGAAGGAGCATGATATGGCCAGTTGTGCATATCAGAGCTAATTGCAAGTATGATTAGTGGCCTGGCCCAGGACTAGACAACTCTGCTATTTGATCAGAATCCAGATTCCTGGATCAGACGTCTAATTGGGACCCTACTTGGCCTCTAGTTTTAGCATGCTTGTGAGAATTTTAAGAGCAAAACTCTTCTTAAAATTTTTTATTTTTAGAGATGGCGTCTCACTGTGTTGCCCAGAGTGGTCTCGAACTCAAGCAATCCTTCTGCTTTGGCCTCCCCAGTAGCTGGGATTACAGTTATGAGCTACCACGCCCAGGCTCTTACCTTCCCTCCTCTTTTCCCAACCTAGCTCTGCTTACTGTGAACCCCATCTGCAGCACTTCTTGAATGGTGTTGTGGATTATTTATTGAAGATTTGCTTGTGTAGCCATGTTCTCTTCATCTGCTCCAAGAGAAAAGTAAATTCTGGCCTGCACTGAAAAGAGGCTCTAGATAGAAGAGAGGCATTTCAGACCACTAGGAATGTTGCATTGACCTTGTCTTCCAAAGAGCAGGATAGGGAAGATCTCTCCTGCCATGTCTTATAGAAACTGAACTCCCTTAAAGATCCATGTGGAACGAATTTTAGGGAACCCCTGCAATCAGATTTTTCTCTACCTAAGAGTAGAGTGCCTTAGCAACGTTGAAAAGGAAAATCCTTTCATGCGGCCGTTCCTTTGCTTGAATACTTTCAGTCCTGTCCTCTGAGATTTGATCATATCCTTTTGATCTTCCCAGTCCAGTTTTAATTTGTTCAGTTTAGGTTAGAAAAGGATTTGGAAAAACAATACTTTTCTCTTTTAGGATTCTATAGGTAGGGATCATTGGTCCTAAATGTTCTTCCCTTTTTTCTTTGCTTGTAAAGTGCACTCTGGGGGAATAAGCTGCACTGTGTTTCTTGGGGCTTGATCATTTGCTGTAGTTGTTTGTACAGTTGTTAAGTTACGCTTTCTATTCTACTAACAAATGATGGTGTGAGGAACGCCATATTTCTTATGTTTCCCTTCAACAGGAAGCTTGATTGGTAACTAAAGACAAAAATCTCATTTCTTTGTGAGTAAATTGCTGTAGTAGGAGCGTGGCTGATGTTGGTCCAGACACATTCTTACTTTGTTAAACCTATGAGGAGAGTCATCAAGGAGAGCTGCACTGGTCTACATGGTGGCCTCTGGCTAACGTCACGTGAAGTCTCGAGGTTAAAAATTCACTTCTTCAGTAGCACTAGCCACATTTCCAGTGCTCAGTAGCCACAAGTGGCTCATGCAGTATTGACATTTTGGGCCAGATTATTCTTGGTGGGGGTAGGAGGACTGTCTCATGCATTTGTGCATTGTAGGACTTTCAGCAGCACACCTGGTCTCTACCTACTCAATGCCAGTAGCACTCTATAGACATAACAACCAAAATGTTTCCAGAGATTGCCAAATGACCCCACAGGGGCAAAACAAATCCTGGTTAAGAATCACTGGCTTTGTGGCTATAGTATTTGAAAGCCCAGATAAAGAACATTTCCATGACGGCAGACAGTCCTGTTCTAGAGTAATCCCTAGCAGAGTTTGGGGAATTTTATATAATAAGAATTTTGAGCTTTGGTGGAATCACAGTGGACATCCAGTCCAAAGCCTGGGGAAACTGAGGCACAGAAAGATTATGGGTGACTTCAGGTCACACAACATGTAAGTGTCAGTCTGGAGTTCTGGACTTCAAGTTCACGCAGCCCAGAGAACAAGCTGCTGATTTTTGTTCAAACCTGCTTCATTCCTACTGTGCACCTGCACTCAGTGTTGGTGGGGGAGGACAGAGTCCTAAAAACTGGGAATGGTTCAGTCCTGAGACGTTCAGAGATGCAAATTCTGAACACATCTCTTTTATCCCTCCCTGGCTTAAGGCCCTACATATGGGCTAGGGTTGGGAGGGTGACTGAGACATCTGATGGACAAAGACTTGTTGGGTTTCCTCATTTCCATCAGTACAGAGATTGGGAACATACTCCCGGGGCCGTGGAAGACTGTCATCCTGTAAAATTTCTTCTTTTTAGTTTTTAAATCTACAATATCTCCTCTGTCTGCTTCCTTTTAAGGGTCGATCGTAAAGCTGTTAATACGAAATACCTGGAGGTTCATCCCTTCAGAGGCTGCAAGGAAGCAGAGTCTATAGAAAGCTTTGGGAAGGGAAAAGGAGTCTCTCCCAGGGTGTGGTGTCCACAGCCGAAGGGGCCAGAAAGTGGGCTTAGCTCAGGGGCCGGGCGCAGGAGACGACTGGAAGGCAGCCCGGGCTTGCAAAGTGCCCAGAGCCTCTGATATGCTCAACATCTTTCCTTCCTCCCCTCTTTCCCTCATTAATCCCACGTGCTTCAACACCTCCCAATGACTCTTCAGTCACTGGTTCTATAATTCTCTCCCTCCTCTGCTCCCAAACCTTCAGTGGCTCACTGCTGCCTTTCATGTCTTTCTTAGTCTTATATTCAGAGCCCATCTGCTCTTATATAGAAATCGTCTCTTTCCCTCCTAAGTGTAGAAATCAGTTTTGCACATACGAGTGCCTTACTGTTACTGTGGTTTGCAGAATTATTCAGTTGGGGTTTGGCATTGACAGTGATTGAGGCTTTGCTCAAAGCTCTTTGACGTTTAAGAGCTTGCTCAGGAAGAAGTTTTGTTTCTGGTGAGACTTTGTTGAGTCGGTAGCCTGGACAACTACTTAAAATCAGTATCCAGCTCAAAATTCAGGGCCTGGTAAACAGACCAGAAAGAGAGGCAATAAAAGCAGATGAAAAATTATGTGTCTGTAAACCTCGGGTAACCTTGAGCTGCTGGTTTGGTTCTGTAACACGGTGGACAGAGTGAGCTGTGGATGAGGTCAAAGGCCAACGTGCTGAGGAGCAGCTGTCTAGTTCAGCGAGAAATTAGCTAATGTGTAAACTGGCCTTGAGGTCTTTTTACGTTGCTTCATATTCCTAGTGTTAGTTAAAAGAAGTAAATTTTATCTCAGAGTTTGGTGACTAGCCGTGATTTCATTGCACTATTTATGTTTTCTTTTGGGAAAGCGGCCTTCTTGGGTGTCTCCATGGTGAAGGGGAAGGTATTTTAAAACACACTCATTCGGGAGCAGGCTTTAATTTGAGTGACAGGAGGGTGGGGGCTGCGAGGACTGCAGCCCTGCTGGTCAGTGCGGCTGTGGCCAGTGTTGTTCATGACCTCTGTTTCTTCTCTTTCTCTACAGACCAATGAGTGGAACAAGAATGATGACCGGCTACTGCAGGCCGTGGAGAATGGAGATGCGGAGAAGGTGGCCTCACTGCTCGGCAAGAAGGGGGCCAGTGCCACCAAACACGACAGTGAGGGCAAGACCGCGTAAGCTGAAACACTGGTTTGCAGATATGCTGGTTCTGGGTTTTTGGGGTGTTCTCTGGAATCCTTAGTATCCATAGGGGAATTTCACACGTGCTCCCTCTCCACTCCCATGTTGAAATATGTAAGAAGATATTTTAATCTAGTGCCTTTCTCTCCAAATTCCAAGTCACATATGGAGCTCTACCTTGAATGGGTATACATGTTCCCAAGTATAAGCAAAGGTTTTACCTCCTAAGATTGCAACCAATTGTAGATGAGACATGAATTCTCTCTTCGATAAGAAATAGCATAAAAGAGAAAAAAGTATTTTCCTATAACCCTCAAACCTTACTGTGTATTTATCTTAAACTACTTGTTTATTTATTTGATCTTCCTTAACATAGATCATTAAGTACATGAGTAGTATGATTTTGCTTTATGGTTTGCTGTATGTAGTACTCTTCCTTGCCATAATTAAAGCTGTATATTTGATTAAGTATTTGTGTGTGTTTGTGCATGAGCATGTATTTGTTTATATCCATTCTTACGTTGGCAGTGTTGTGGAGAGAGCACTGACTTTGGAGCCAGATAGACATCTCACAGGAACTCTATCACTTACGAGTTGTGTAATCTCTGAACCTCAGTTTCCTTACTATAAAATGGAGATGGTATTAGTTAACTGTTAGAGTAGTTATGAGTATAAAATGAAATAATAATGTAGGTTGGGTGCCCTCAGAAGCAGGCTCTGAGACAAGGATTTAAGTGCAAGTAGTTTTATATCTTTTCTTTTTTCTAACATGTCAAATGATGGTTATTGTGTAATTACTGTGAAACACAAAGTGGTAATATATATTACTTAGGGATGTATACACACATACAATGCAAGTAATTTCTATAGCCGGTGATCCCAGGAAGCGTAAGAAAGGAAGAAACCTCTATTTTTAAGGTGTGTTATTGACAGGTTCCAACTTTGTCACTTTTTCTTGATGAGGATTCTGGGAATCTGTTTAGACCTAGAGCAGGGTTTGGCTATGTTACCGAGGCTAGACTTGAACTCCTGGGCCCAAGCAATCCTTCTGCCTCAGTCTCCCAAATAACTGGGACTACAGGCATGTGCCACCGTGCCTGGCTGTTGTCTGATTTTATAAATAAAGTTTTATTGAAACACAGCCATACCCATTCATTTAGGCATTGTTCGTGACTGCTCCCACACTACAAAGGCAGAGTTGAGTAGTTACAGCAGAGACTACATGGCTCACAAAGCCCAGAGTATTTATCTGGCCTTTTACAAAAAGGGTTTCCTTATCCCAGGTTTATAGTATGCCTCAGAGTTATTCCACCCAAGGGGTAAGAAACCTGGGGTATCTGTCCCTTATCTCCTCTCCCTCAAAGGTTGAGTGCCGACTGGGTACAGTGGCTCCCGCCTGTAATCCCAGCACTTTGGGAGGCCGAGGCGGGTGGAATCACTTGAGGTCAGGAGTTCAAGACCAGCCTGGCCAAAATAGTGAAGCCCTGTCTCTACTAAAAATAGAAAAATTAGCCAGGTATGGTGGCAGGCACCTATAATCTCAGCTACTTGGGAGGCTGAGGCAGGAGAATTGCTTGAACCTAGGAGGCGTAGGTTGCAGTGAGCTGAGACTGCGCCACTGCACTCCAGCTTGGGTGACAGAGCAAGACTCTGTATCAAAGGGAAAAAAAAAAGGTTGAGTGCTACTCTAGGGGACACCAGGGTCATGGCCAGAAAAAGTCTAAGGGGTCCCCAACTCCCAGGTCACAGACCGGACTGGTACTGCTCACAGCAGGAGATGAGCAGTGGTTGTGCAAGCAAAGCTTCCTCTGTATTTACAGCCACTCCCCATTGCTCGCATTACTATCTGAGCTCCGCCTCCTGTCAGATCAGTGGCAACATTAGATTCTCATAGTAGCACAAACCCTACTGTGAACTGCACATGCGAGGGATCTAGGTTGTGAGCTCCTTATGAGAATCTAATGCCTGATGATCTGTCAGTGTCTCCCATCACCCCCAGTTGGGACTGTCTAGTTCCAGAAAAACAAGCTCAGGGCTCCCACAGATTCTACACTACAGTGAGTTGTATAATTATTTCATTCTATATTACAATGTAATAATAATAGAAATAAAATACACAATAAATGTAATGTGCTTGAATCATCCCAAAACCATCCCCCGTACCTGGTCTGTGGAAAAATTGTCTTTCACAAAACTAGTCCCTGGTACCAAAAAGGTTGGGGACTGGTGGTCTAAGGGGATTTGGGAATGGCACCTTCAGCTGTAGGTGCTCTATATAAAGAGTGGCACAGCACCCAGCCCACAGTGAGCGCTTGATAAAGCCAGTCACCTACCCTGCTCGTCCTAGATTAGTGGTTTGCAATCTTGGCAGCTTCTGCGTTCGAATCACCTGGAGTGCTTCTTTGTTGTTGTTGTTGTTTGAGATGGAGTCTCTGTCACCAGGCCGGAGTGCAGTAGCGTGATCTCGGCTCACTGCAACCTCCGCCAGGCTGGAGTACAGTGGCGTGATCTTGGCTCACTGCAACCTCTGCCTCCTGGGTTCAAGCTATTCTCGTGCCTCAGCCTCCCGAGTAGCTGGGACTACAGGCATGCACCACCACACCCAGCTAATTTTTGTATTTTTAGTAGAGACGGGGTTTCACCATGTTGGCCAGGATGGTCTCGATCTCCTGACCTCGTGATCTGCCTGCCTCAGCCTCCAAAAGTGCTGGGATTACAGGTATGGAGTGCTTTTTAAAAATATTGATGCCATGTTGATCAGAATCAACCCCAGATGCTCTGAATCACTTGGTCTGGGGAGAGGCCCAGGAATCTATATTTTTTGTTCTGAGGTGTTTGGTGGTAAATGTTGGGGCTTTTGGTCTCCCTTTTGAATCACTACTCGGCCTTCTTTGTCCCTGTTCTCCCTAGTCCAGGTTTGCACATGTTTGTGCAAGACAACCTCTTCATGTCATCCCAGAGAAAGGGGAGAGAAAGGTTTATGATAATTTTGTCCAAGATAGTACTTACTAAAGAGAAGACAGAAAATTTAGATGAGCAGCTTAGCTACAATTGTGATCACCTTAACAAATTTGAACCTTTTGATCATAAGATATTTATTACATGTGTTCTCTTTATTTATTGTGGTAAAATGCGTATAACATAAAATTTACCATTTTAACCATTTTAAAGTATACAATGTAGAGGCATTAAGTATATTCACAATGTTGCACAACCATTGTCACTTTCTAGTTCTAGAACTTTCTAATCAACCCAAAGAAAACCCCGAACCCATTAGGGAGAAACTCCCCAACCTCCCCTCCCCTTCCTCTGGCAACCATGAATCTGGGTTCTGTCTCTGGATTTGTCTGCTCTGGATATTTTTTATAAATGCAATCATATAATATGTGGCCTCTTGTCTCTGTTCCTTTCACTTAGCATAATGTTTTCAAGGCTCACCCGAGTTGTAGCTTCTGTCAGTACTTCATTCTATTCTCTCTTCATGGTAGACATATACATAGCAGTTAGGTAAGAGTCACCACCTCCCTTTTGCAGATAATAAAACTAAGGCCCACATAACACAGCTCTTCCTGAATTTACCTTTTTGTGTGCATGTGTGTGAGACAGGGTCTCACTCTGTCACCCAGGCTGGAATGCAGTGGTGCAGTCACCGCTCACTGTAGCCTCAACCTCACAGGGTCAAGTGATCCTCCTGCCTCAGCCTCTCAATTAGCTGGGACTACAGGTATGCACCACTGCACCCAGCTAATTTTGGTTTTGTTTTGTTTTGTTTTGTTTTTGTAATGATGGGGTCTTGCTGTCTTGTCCTAGTGATCCTCCCATGTCAGCTTCCCAAAGTGTTGGGATTACAGGCATGAGCCACCATTCCCAGCCTTCTATTTTCTAGAGAGCTTTCGTGGTAATTTTGCGCTGGAATCTACAGTTGCCTGTCTGTCTAGAGGCTTGATTTTGGCCTTCAAGGTCTTTCCTCTGGCTCTGCCCCACTTACCTACATCCTGTCTCCCCGCTGTTTCTTCTGGAAGTGGAGCTGTCTGCTCCCGCCCTCCCCACAGGTCAGAACGTCCACCTGTGCACCCAGGTTCTATGTCCAATCCAAAATGCCACCCTCCCTGGTTCTCTTCCGCCTTTTTGACTTTTCTTCTCTTTGAAATACTAGAAATCTTGATTTAGAACCCATTATATTCGATTATTTTATTCTATTTATTTAGAGATGGGTCTTGCCATATTGCCCAGACTTGATTTGAACGCTTGGCCTCAAGTGATCCTCCTGCCTCAGCCTCCTGAGTAGCTGGGACTATAAGGCATGCACTACCACACCCACCTTTATTCTATTATATCAAATGAACAGGAACGACAACAGAAATGTCTCCATTCTAAGAAAACCTTTGTTTTCTGAAAGACTTGAATCCCGTAGAGTACAGTAAAGCTCCCTAAGGACAGGGATGGTACAATCTTATTGTGTTGGTCTTTCCCATTGTTCTAGGCCCAAAGGAGGCCTTCATTTGGGATTTGTGTAAATAACTTTTCAGTGTGTTCTTGTGGAGAAAACATTCTTTTTTTGCTGATAATATCTTATGGGTAAATTGCTTAGGGGTGAATTAACTTGGATTCAGAGGGGAAAGAATTCTTCTGGTGAACATCACAACCTGACTTGGCCCCCAAGCTTCCACGGCAATTTAAATAGAGAAGTACTCAACCTTTACCACCTAGAGAGCCAGGCAGTCTAGAAAGTCCCAACAATGTGGCAACAAAGGCAGCCATCTCCACAGACGTTCTCCAGAAGCCTCCATAACCCAAGGTCAATAACCAGATGGGTGGTTGGGTAATGCCTTAGACTTTTGAGTTTCTTTCTGGAGTATTTTCTTTCAGGGAAAGATGAGAATGCATGCCAGGAAATTTTCTTCCTCTAAGACTGATCAAAGAGGGGTTAAAAAAAAAGTAAAAGCAATTGAATGACTGGAATTCATTTAGGAAAAGAATAAAGGAAGGGTGGTGTCTTGGGTAGGAAGGGAACAAAATAGAGCAGAGCCAAGAGTTATAGCTGCAGCCTGTGTTTATGGAGTCAGGCCTGGCGTGCCTCTGCCCAGCTGTTCTCTTTCCATGGTGGATGTGAGGAAGTGGGAGGAGGTCAATGTCCTCAAACCTCTTACCGTAGAAGAGTCTAATTGTTTCAAGATGGGTTCCCTACATTTGGATGTGCATTTAATTAAAGTTATGTGTGTTTGTCTTACGAACAACCAGACTAAATAAAATCACTGCCGGCACTGTAGTATTTGAACAAATACCACCTGGGCATGTGTGTGTAGATATAAGGAGTGTGTGCATGTGTGTGTGTGTGTGTGTGTGTGTGTGTGTGTGTGTGTGTGTGTGTATGTGTCTGTATCATTTTATGTTGCCCACTTTTCAGAAACCTGATCTTTTTGGCTATGAAAGCAAGAATTTGTGAGAGTATTTTTAGATGACTCTGTGGAGCTTGACTATAAAGTGGGAGAGGCAGGCCTTGAACTTTAGAAATCACTATAATAAGGGCTTCTCTGGCTGGTGGTTTGTTGCACATTCTCCCTTCCTGTTTTCTCAGTATAGGGATGTATTAGATATTTTACACCAGCAGTTCAGTCTTGGAAATCGAGTTATACCACCTGATCAGCTCTCTCCAGTTCTTCTCACGTACAGCTGCCAAATTAATTTACCTAAAACCACTACATGTTATTTGTGCAATTGCAGCCTCCTACCTTCCCTGTGAAATCACCCTATGTCTTTTCTAAGACCTGTTGATATTTGTCAGAGTGATAAACTGAAGAATGTAATTGCTATATCCACTCTGCTTTGAGTCATTTTTGAAGTTGAGATAACCTCTTCTTATACTTTGCAAATATGCTTAAATGTTGTGTTTCATTAATCTAGTTGGGAGGTACTCCCTGGGTCCAAAATGTTCCAGACTTTTTCATAAGTAAATACAAAAGGAGAAAATATGCTCCTGGCCTCAAGATGCATAACACCTAGTCGGAAAGACAAGGCCAATGAAAATACTGGAGAATAATCAGATGCTAACCTGTAAAATACTGCATGTAAGGGGTTCAGGACAGAAGAGCTCATGAGACACTGGAGATGCTAAGAAATGCTTCCTGCCTGAAGTGTGATATGAGGTCGGCCTTGTAGAATGGAACCAGTAGTGGATTATACTGTAACCAGGGTGGATACAGGCAAATGGGGTTCAGGTAACAGCATGAACAGAGGCCACCCTAAATTGATTGTTTTGGTTTGGTTTTTTGAGACGGAGTCTTGCTCAGGCTAGAGTACAGTGGAGTGGTTTCGGCTCACTGCAACCTCCTGCTTCCTGGGTTCAAACTGTTCTCCTGCCTCAGCCTCCCACATAGCTGGGATTACAGGTACCCACCACCACACCTGGCTAATTTTTTATTTTTAGTAGAGGTGGTGTTTCACCATGTTGCCCAGGCTGGTCTCGAGCTCCTGACCTCAAGTGATCTGCCCGCCTTGGCCTCCCAAAGTGCTGGGATTACAGGCGTGAGCCACTGCACCCGGCAATCACCCTAAATTAAAACAGGAACAATGACACCATGGCCATGCTTTCTTTCCCTTCTTTAAGAGCTCATCAGAGCAACTTGAGTTCAGGGCCCCACTCACTAGATCATTGGTTCTCAGCTTGGCTCCCATTAGAATCACCTGGGCAGCTTTGACAAATGCTGAATTCCACCTGCAGAGATTCTGGTTTCAGTGGTATGGCGGTACTCCTGGGGATGGGGTTTCAGAAAGCACTTTAGGTGATCTGAATGGTTTGTCCAAACAGAACCACTGAGCAGGACAGGATACAGTGAGACCCTGCATTTCCTAGCCCAGAGCGTTCCAACAGGTGCTACATCGTGATACATTATAGGTAGGCTGAGGAAGGCCCAGGAAGCACAGGTGAATTTTCTCTCTCTCTCTCTCTCTCTCTCTCTCTCTCTCACACACAAATACATCCCTGTATACATGCAATATATGTATATAAGACTTGTACACAAAATAGAATTGCAATGAAAGGTACATTTTTGCTTAAAGTAAATTATATTAAAGTAACAATTCTCGAGTTTTTTTTTTAAAGGAAGCAGTGTTGTATGTTAAAGCTGAACTTAATTTATTGCAAAATTGTGCTTTAGAAGGAAGACTTATAACCAAGATTGTGGTGCAAAATTGATGAGAATAGATTTGGAAATTAGAACTACATTGGTTAAAATATTGGTGATATGGTTTGGCTTTGTGTCCCCACCCAAATCTCATCTTGAATTGTACTCCCATAATTCCCATGTGTTGTGGGAGGGACCTGGTGGGAGATAAGTTGAATCCTGGGGGCAGTTTCCCCCATACTGTTCTTGCGGTAGTGAATAAGTCTCACGAGATCTGATGATTTTAGTAGGGGTTTTTGCTTTTGCTTCTTCCTCATTTTTCTCTTGCCGTTGCTATGTAAGAAGTGCCTTTCACTTTCTGCCATGATTCTGAGGCCTCCCCAGCCATGTGGAACTGTAAGTCCAATTAAACCTCTTTTTCTTCCCAGTCTCAGATATGTCTTTATCAGCAGCATGAAAATGGACTAACATAGTAAATTGGTACCAGTAGAGTGGGGCATTGCTGAAAAGATACATGAAAATGTGGAAGTGACTTTGGAACTGGGTAACAGGCAGAGGCTGGAACACTTTGGAGGACTCAGAAGAAGACAGGAAAATGTGGGAAGGTTTGGAACTTCCTAGAGACTTGTTGAATGGCTTTGCCCAGAATGCTGATAGCGATATGGACAATAGGGTCCAGGCTGAGGTGGTCTCAGATGGAGATGAGAAACTTGTTGGGAACTGGAGTAAAGGTGACTCTTGTTATGTTTTAGCAAAGAGACTGGTGGCATTTTGCCCCTGCCCTAGTGATTTGTGGAAATTTGAACTTGAGAAAGATGATTTAGGGTATCTGGCAGAATAAATTTCTAAGTAGCAAAGCATTTAAGAGGTAACTTGGGTACTGTTAAAGGCATTCAGTTTTATAAGGGAAGCAAAGCATAAAAGTTTGGAAAATTTGCAGCCTGACTATTAGATAGAAAAGAAAAATTCATTTTCTGTGGAGAAACTCAAGCCAGCTGCAGAAATTTGTATAAGTAGCAAGGAGCCTTCCCAAGACCATGGGGAAAATGTCTCCAGGCCATGCCAGAGACCTTCACGGCAGCCTCTCCCACCACAGGCCAGGAGGCCCAGGAGGAAAAAGTGGTTTCATGGGCTGGGCCCATGGTCCCTGTGCTGTGTGCACCCTAAGGACTTGGTGCCCTGTGTCCCAGCTGCTCCAGCTGTGGCTGAAAGGGGCCAACATAGAACTTGGGCTGTGGCTTCAGAGGGTAGAAGCCCCAAGCCTTGGCAGCTTCCACATGATGTTGAGCTTACAAGTATACAAAAGTCAAGAACTGGGTTTGGGAAACTACACCTGGATTTCAGAAGATGTATGGAAACACCTGGATGCCCAGGCAGAAGTTTGCTGCAGGGGTGGGGTGCACATGGAGAACCTCTGCTAGGGCAATCCAGAAGGAAATGTAGGGCTGGGATCCCCTCACAGAGTCCCTACTGGGGTACCAGCTAGTGGAGCTGTGAGAAGAGGGCCACAATCCTCCAGCCCCCAGAATGGTAGATTCACCAACAGCTTGCACCATTCACCTGGAAAAGCTGCAGACACTCAACACCAGCCCGTGAGAGCAGCTGGGAGGGAGCCTGTACACTGCAAAGCCACAGGGGCGGAGCTGCACAAGACCATGGGAGCCCACCTCTTGCATCAGTGTGACCTGGATGTGAGACCTGGAATCAAAGGAGATCATTTCGGAGCTTTAAAATTTGATTGCCCCGCTGGATTTCAGACTTGTGTGGGCCCTGTAACCACTTTGTTTTGGCCAATTTCTCCCATTTGGAATGGGTGTAATTGCCCAATACCTGTACCCCCATTGTATCTAGGAAGTAATGAGCTTGCTTTTGATTTTACAGGCTCCTAGGTGGAAGGGACTTGCCTTGTCTCAGATGCGACTTTGGACTGTGGACTTTTGGGTTAATGCTGAAATGAGTTAAGACTTTGGGGGAACTGTTGGGAAGGCATGACTGATTTTGAAATTTGAGGATTGAAATCTCTCCACATGAGATTTGGAGGGACCAGGGGCAGAATGATATGATTTGGCTCTGTGTCCCTACCCAAATCTCATCTAAAATTGTACTCCCATAATTCCTACATATTGTGGGGGTACCCAGTGGGAGATAATTTGAATCATGGGTGTGGCTTCTCCCATACTGTTCTTGCAGTAGTGAGTAAGTCTCACGAGATCTGATGGTTTTAGTAGGGGTTTCCACTTTTGCATCTTCGTCATTTTTCTCTTGCCACCACCAAGTAAGAAGTGCCTTTCACCTCCTGCCATGATTCTGAGGCCTCCCCAGCCATGTGGAACTGTAAGTCCAATTAAACCTCTTTTTCTTCCCAGTTTTGGGTATGTCTTTATCAGCAGCATAAAAACAGACTAATACAATTGCTAAGATCACAGCATTTTTCATTTTAGAGCTATTTTCAAAGTTGGATTAAGTATATTGAGAACAAAGGATTTTAGACACTTAAATGGGTAATTGTTGCCCAGGGTCAAAGCTCTTTGGCTTTGCTTTTCCTCTCTCTGTTCCCTCCACTGGCTGGACCTGCCCCAAATGCAGAGGTCAGGAGAGCCTGGGAAACGTAGTTGGCTGTGATAGACAGCAGAGTAAGGGAGGGTGGAGATGGATCTCAGAACCCACAGCAGCGAGCGACCTGCACTCAGCCGCTATCACACTGGGGCTGCTGGAGCGGGAGATTCTCATGCTGAGCAGCAACCAGCCTGCTCAGAGGCTGGGGTACATGAGATCATTAGCGTGTGCCAGTTCTTTAGAAGCACTTCTGCTTTCCCTGCTCAGTTCCTGCCTTCCAAGATGCTGTCGCTGCCACCGCCACCGCCCCCACCACCCCCACCACCCCCACCACCCCCCACCCCATTCCACCAAGTCTGGCGTATCATTCAAGGCCCAATTTACCATCTCTTTCCTGAAGCCATTTCTAAAATTTCCTGAGTGAGTGCTGTCTTGCCACTGCCTCTCTGAAATCACCTAGGATTTGGTGGGTTTTGGTTTCCTACGTACTTGTCTGATTTCTGTTATCAAATTATCAAGGCGAGAGCCCAATCTTTCCTACTAAGAAAGGAATTGTTTCTTATTAATTATGTTAATACTGAATGTCCCAACACCGGGCTAGGTTCTCATGGAGAGCCTCTGCTAGGGCAGTGCAGAAGGGAAATGTAGGGCTGGGACCCCCTCATAGAGTCCCTACTGGGGCACCACCTAATGGAGCTGTGAGAAGAGGGCCACCATCCTCCAGACCCCAGAATGGTAGATTCACCGACAGTTTGCACCGTTCACCTGGAAAAGCTGTAGACACTCAACACTAGCCCGTGAGAGCAGCTGGGTGGGAGGCTGTACACTGCAAAGCCACAGGGGCGGAGCTGCACAAGACCATGGGAGCCTACCTCTTGCATCAGTGTGACTTGGATGTGAGGGACTCTGTGAGGGGGTCCCAACCCTACATTTCCCTTCTGCACTGCCCTAGCAGAGGTTCTCCATGAGCACCTAGCCCAGTGTTGGGGCATTCAGTATTAACATAATTAATAAGAAACAATTCCTTTCTTATTAGGAAAGATTGGGCTCTCGCCCTGATAATTCGATAACAGAAATCAGATAAATACCTAGGTAACAAAAACCGTGTCATTCATTCAGCCAACAGTTTATTCATTCAACTTAGAGATCTCGTCAATTTCCATCAGGTGTTTCCCATCTGATGCTCTCAATCACCCTGAAGTAAATTTACGAAGAGGGAAGTGGGGATCAGAGAAGTTCTGAAATTAGTACAAATCGCCTGTTCTACATACTGGAGTCTGGGGGTGTGTCAGTGAATACAACATAGAAATCATTTGCCCTAATGGAGATTTCATAATGCCCAAGTACCATTTCCAGACTATCCTTATGAAGCCAAACAATCCTGAAGAAAAAGAGCAAATGCTCTGGTTAAATGTCGTGGGCCCCGGGTGCGGTGATTCACACCTGTAATCCCAGCACTTTGGGAGGCCGAGACGGGCAGATCGCTTGAGGTCAGAAGTTCAAGACCAGCCTGGCCAACATGGTGAAATGCCGTCTGTACTAAAAATACAAAAATTAGCTGGATGTGTAGATGCACGCTTGTAATCCCAGCTACTCGAGAGGCTGAGGCACATGAATCGCTTGAACCTGGGAGGTGGAGGTTGCAGCGAGCCGAGATGGTGCCACTGCACTCCAGCTTGGATGACAGAGTGAGACCCAGTCTCAAAAAAAAAAAAAGGATGAGGGGTGGTTCCTCAGTCCTTGAGTATGTGATCTTCCATCTCAGTGTCCTCTCCCTCCTGTTCCTCAGAAGTAGTACTGCTGATTCTATTAATTAGCACATCACAGGCACTTAAAGGATAGTAATCCTGTTTTTTTTTATAGCATTCATTTTTTACATGCCAGTCATTTATTATACCTTTTGAGCAGGGAAAGGCAACAAATGTTTCCATCTCAAACTTTCTGCTACATCAGTTCCTAATAGAAGCAGTGATCAGCTATTGCAGCTGCTTTTGAAATCACTGAAAGCCGGGCAGCCCATCACTTTTCTGCTGAAAAGATTTGTCTCTGGGCCAATAGAGTTAATTCTACAGAGTAGAATTTAGTTTTTCAAGGCTTTTATAACTAAAGTTATAAGATAGTGCTGCCTTCCTTACCCTCAGTATAATCTGAAATGGGAATCCAGACCTTTTAATCCTATTGTTAGGATTGGCCTGCTGAAATATTCTGTGTGCGCTAAGCCTCATTTGAACTCAGTGACCTAGAATTTAGATATTGCAGCAAATGAGTGCCATAGAACACTTGGTAGGCTGGAATGGAATCCTAGACTTTTAGAGGAGAAAAGGCTTAGTAATTCTGTAGATCAGATGAGTACACTGAAGTAAGTGAATTTGAGTGGCTTTAAATTGTCCCATAGCTTGGGGTTGGCAGAGTTGAGACCAAAATCAAGGACTAATGACTTTTAGTTTGTATATATTTTTTAAGACAGACTCACTCGGTAGCCCAGGCTGGAGTGCAGTGGTGTGATCTCAGCCTCACTGTAACCTCTGCCTCCTGGATTCAAGCAATTCTCATGCCTCAGCCTCACGAGTAGCTGGGATTTCAGGCATGTGCCACAATACTTAGCTAATTTTTGTATTTTTTAGTAGAGATGTGGGTTTCACCATGTTGGCCAGGCTGGTCTTAAACTCCTCACCTCAAGTGATCCACCTGCCTTGGCCTCCCCAAGTGCTAGGATTACAGGGATGAGCCACTGCGCTCAGCTCCAGTTTATACTTCTTTCTACTGTGCCAGTGGTCCTAAAAATCGAATGTGTATAAGAGTCATCTCCCGGGTAGGGGAGCTTGCAGGGCTTCTCCCCTGGCGTCAGGACAGGATCCCGACATTGCGCATGTCCAGCCCATTCCCCGGTGATGCGGATGCTGCTGGCCCGGAAACCATACTTTGAGAACCACTGCACGACACTGTTGGGAAGCAAAATCGAGCTCATGTCATAAAGGACACAGCTTTCTCTCCTAAGAATGTAAATTACAACCTGAGAAAAATATCTGTTTATGCCAGTATATAGGTGTGCCTTGACGTGAGAAAACTCAAAAAGTTCAGGCTAAAAAAGCAAATTCAAAACTAAAGATTTACATGACCTAAAAATTAATTCTGTGTGCTAGGAAAATAAAGTCTCTGCCTTCATGGTACACACAGTCTAATAGGGCAGACAGACAATAAACAGATACCTCTTTACTATAATGTCAAATACATTCAAGAAAATAAAGAAGACATTGGACTGTGCGAATAAACCTGGAGAAGGAAGCCCTCTCAGCAGATTCCTGAATGGAGTGAGGGATTCAGCTGCGTACTTTTCTGCAGGAATGGCTCTCCTGGTGGAAGGAACTGCAAGGCAAAGGCCCTGAGGTGGAAGGACGCTTGATGTGCTCAGGAAACAGCAGAGAGCCCAGTGAATAGGGAGAGTCCTAGAAGGTAGGTCAAAAGGGAGCCAGGACACTGCGTGTAGAGCCTTGTATGCTACAGGAAGGAATTTACCTAATTTTAAAAATATGATCTAATATTAAAAATATTTTAATCCTGTTTTTTAAAATATTATTTAATATCATTAGTTTTTTTCTCTCCAGAAAGACATCATATAAAAAGAGTACAATAAAAATATAAGCAGTTTGAGGTGGTCAGGATACAAGGCTCCTGTTGCAGAACTGAGATGCTGAGGCTCTCAAGGGATTGTGGGAAAGTTGTTATGTACCATGAAGTATTTGAGTCTCTTCCTGATCACAGTCACTCCTTTCTTGGAAATGAAGATTTTTTAAAAGGAAAGAAGGGAGTCGTGGGTGTATTAGGGAGAAAATACCCTTGGGGCAGGGCAGTGATCTTTGACACATTTCCTAACCTCTCTGAGCATCAGTGCTTCCATCTGTGAAATGAAGATGTTGGACCAGTTATTCTTCTGCAACGTCCTAACACTCTGGTATTCTGGGGTGTGGCTAATGCTGGTAGGGTCGTGTATGGTCATTTCTTTGTGTGAGCGTTGGTGGCTTGCTTCATTTGGGGAAGTGAATATTGGTTGCAGAGGCAATGGAAGGAACTGATCATGGTAACAGACGCCCTGGTGGTGAAGAAGGCAAGAAAGACTGGTTTGAGAGAAATTTTCAGTGAATGAATATGCCTGAGAAATTGAAGTCTTGTAAAAGTAGCCAGTGAGTTTGTATTTCCTCCCAATATCTATTTCAGCCGGTAATCAGAAACCAGAATAATTGTGTTTGTTATTATTCTGAAAGATAGAAGGAGCTTTCTGGGTTATAACTTAAGAGTTTTTGAATAGCAACAGTTCAAGCCTCCTTTGGCTTAAGAGCCTTGAGAATTATCCCAGCCTTGTCCCATGGTATTTATTTTGGGAAGGTTTGCACAACTTGTTGAGTGGTTTGGTAGGAAATGAAACCTCTCTTGCAGGCTCTGTTTGCTTCTGTGCTTGGGTTATATCCCCATCTATTTGAGAGCCCTGGCAACCCTAATCTGTCCCACTGAGAACACTGTTTGCTTTTTTGCCAAATACTTCCAGATTTTAGTTTAAACTTTGATTTTTAAAGACTAGCACAACCAGTAGGTTATATTACATAGGGTGTCACTGTTTTTTGTTTTTTGTTTTTTTGGGACAGGGTCTTGCTCTGTTGCCCACGTTGGAGTGCAGTGGCACGATCATAGCTCACTGCAGCCTCAACCTCTCAACCTCCTAGGCTTAAGTGATCCTCCCTCCTCACCCTCTCAAGTAGGTGGGACTATAGGTACGTGGCACCTCACCTGGCTAATTTATTTTTGTACTTTTTGTAGAGATGGGGTTTCACCATGTTGCCCAGGCTTGTCTTGAACTCCTGAGCTCAGGTGATCCACTTGCCTCAGCCTCCCAAAGTGCTGGGATTACAGGCATGAGCCACTGCCCCCAGTTGTGTGCATAGTGATTTAACAAATGGTGCCGTTTCTCAGTAAAATGATAAAGAACCAGCTCTAATTGCAGAATGCCTGGGTTAGAATCCAGAAATTACTTGTAATTTCTGGGACTTTGGGCAAGTTATTAAGTTAGTGCAAAAGTGATTGTGGTTTTTGCCATACTTTTAATGGCAGAAACCACAGTTACCTTTGCACTAACCTAACAGCAAACTTCTCTGCCTCAGTTTTCCTCGTCTGTTAAATGGGAGTAATAAAGTTTACTCCAACCCCTCACAGGCTTGTTGTGAGGATGAAATGAGTTAAAACTTAAGATGTTCCTAGAGTGTAATGTTTCCATAGAGTACCTGCTATTATTATTGATGTTGTTGTTATTCAACTGCCTCAGATTGGTTTAGAAATGAGGGAACTGAAGTTAAGCACTGTAGCAACAAGGCAGCTGACCAGCCTTGTCACCTGGGCCTCCTGAATCACCCTCCAGCCTCCTGGCATGCTCCCTATTGTGCCTCCGTTGGTCCCTCCATCATTCATTCAGGCTGCCACCCGGCTGCTATTTGAGGCTGCTAGGGACATCAGTGAGTTGACTTTCTCTTCAGGAAAAAGAAAATGAGAGCGAGAGAAAGAGAGTGCACTACAAAACTCTTATTAGCACTGAAACCTTGGAATCTTTCCAAGTGACAAGAGTAGGGACATTCCAAATATCAATAAGCAGCAAAGGGATCAAAGTCATTTTGTGTAAATCTTCAGGCTGCTTATTTGTGCCATTTTGCTACATTGCTGCTGAAGGGCCCCAGCTGAGTTTTATAAGCAAATCTAAACATTTCCTATTGTAATGAAATGTAAAACAGCAGATTCCTTTATTTGTGGAACATATCCATAAAATTGTTTTTATGGCTAAGTTTGTTTTCAAACAAACTTTGAAACAATGGGTGCCTTGGCAAAAAACGATGGTGTGACCCTCTTCAATAAATAGTGTGGGAAAATTGGATATCCATATGTAGAAGAATGAAATTGGACCCTCCTCTCTCCCTATATACAAATATCAACTCACAATGGATTCAAGACTTAAATGTAAGACCTGAAACTGTAAAACTACCAGAATAAAACATAGGGGAAACACTTCAAAACATTGGTCTAGGCAAAGATTTCATTGCTAAGACCTCAAAAGCGTAGACAGCTATAACAAAAATAGACAAATCGGATTATATTAAACTAAAAAGTTTTGGCACAGCAAAGGAAAGAACAAAGTGAAGAGACAACCTGTCGAATGAGAGAAAAATATTTGCAAACTATTCATCAAGGAACTAATATCCGGAATACACAAGGAACTCAAATAACTTGACCATCAAAAAATAAATAATCCCATTAAAAAGTGGGCTAAGGACATGAATAGATATTTCTCAAAAAAAGACATACAAATGGCCACAGCTATATGAAAAAAAATACTCAACATCACTAAGCATCAGGGAAATGCAAATCAAAACCACAATGAGATGTTATCCTACCCCAGTTAGAATGACTATTATTACAAAGGAAAAATAACAGATTCTGGAAGGATGCAGAGAAAAGAAAACTCATACACTGTTGGTGGGAATGTAAATTGGTTAAACTACTGTGAAAAATAAAATGGAGCTTCCTCAAAAAATTAGAACTACTGTACATCCAGCACTTCCACAACTGGGTGTTTATCCAAAGGAACAGAAATTGTGAAGTCCTAGCTAAAGCAATCAGACAAGAGAAAGAAACAGCATCCAAATTGGAAAGGAAAAAGCCAAGTTATTCTTGTTTGCAGATGATATGATTTTATATTGGAAAAAAACCAAAGACTCCACCACAAAACTATTAGAACTGATAAACAAGCCTGGGCGCAGTGGCCCACATCTGTAATCCCAGCAGTTTGGGAGGCTGAGGTGGGCAGATCATTTGAGGTCAGGAGTTTGAGACCAGCCTGGCCAACATGGTGAAATCCTGTGTCTACTTAAAAAAAAAAAAAATAGCCAGACATTGTGGCACCTCCCATAGCAGGCACTGTGCCTGTCATCCCAGCTACTTGGGAGGCTGAGGAAGGAGAATCTCTTGAACCCGAGAGGCAGAGGTTGCAGTGAGCCGAGATTGCACCATTGCCCTCTAGCCTTGGTGACAGAGTGAGACTCTGCACAAAAATAAACAAACAAACAAAAAAACTGATAAGCAAGTTCAGCAAAGTTGCAGGATACAAAATCAACATAAAAAATCAGTAGCATTTCTATATGCCAACAGCAAACCATCTGAAAAAAAGTGAATCAAGTAATTCTATTTACACTAGCCACAAATAAAATAAAATACCTAGAAATAAAGTTAACCAAAGAAATAAAAGATCTCTACAATGAAAACTATAAAACATTGATTAAAGAAATTGAAGAGGACACACACAAAAATGGAAACATTCTTTAACAATATTGATTCTTCCAACCATGAACATGGAAGAATGTCCATACTATCCAAGCAGTCTACAGATTCAATGCAATCCCTATCAAAATACCAATGACATTTTTCACAGAAATAGAAAAAAAAAAAACCTAAAGTTCATATGAACCCACAAAAGACCCAGAACAGCAAAGCTATCCTGAGCAAAAAGAGCAAAACTGGAAAAATCCCATTACCTGACTTCAAATTATACTACAGAGCTATAGTAACTAAAACAGCATGGTACTGGCATGAAAACAGATACACAGACCAATAGAGCGGAACAGAGAACCCAGAAACAAATCCATACATCTACAGTAAACTCATTTTTGACAAAGGTGCCAAGAACATACATTGGGAAAAGGACACACTCTTCAGTAAATGGTGGTGGGAAAACTGGATCTCCATATATAGAAGAATGAAACTAGACCCCTATCTCTTGCCATATACAAAAACCAAAATGGATTAAAGATTTAAATCTAAGACCTCAAACTATGAAACTACTATAAGAAAACATCGAGGAAACTCTGTAGGGCGTTGGGTTGGGCAAAGATTTCTTGAGTAATACCTGACAAGCACAAACAACCAAAACAAAAATGGACAAATGGGGATCATATCAAGATAAAAAGCTTCTGCACAGCAAAAGAAATGATCAGCAAAGAGATAACCCACAGAATGGGAGAAAATATTTGCAAGCTACCCATCTGACAAGGGATTAACAACCAGTATATAAGGAGCTCAAACAATTCTATAGGGAAAAAAATCCAATAATCTGATTTAAAAATGGGCAAAAGGTACAGTTGCAGTGGCTCATGCCTGTAATCCCAGCACTTTGGGAGGTCAAGGTGAGAGGATTGCTTTAGCCTACGAGTTCAAGACCAGCCTGGGCAACATGGGAGCCCTCATCTCTATTTAAAATGAATGAATGAATGGGCAAAAAGATCTGAACCGACACTTCCCAAAAGACATACAAATGGCAAACAGGTGTACGAAAACATGCTGAACATCATTGATCATTAGAGAAATCCAGATCAAAACTACAATGAGCTAACTACTATGAGCTATTGTTGCACCCCAGTTAAAATGGCTGACATCCAAAAGACAGGCAATAACAAATGTTGGCAAGGATATGGGGAAAAGGGAACCCTCATACACTGTTGGGGAGAATGTAAATTAGTGTAACCATTATGGAGAACGGTTTGGAGGTTCCTCAAAAAACTAAAAATAGAATTACCATATGATACAGCAATCCCACTGCTAGGTATATACCCAAAAGAATGGAAATTGCTATATTGAAAAGATATCTGCACTCTCATGTTTATTGTAGCATTATTCTCAGTAGCCATTATTTGGAAGCAACCTAAGTGTCCATCATCAGATGAATGGATAAAGAAAATGTAGGACATATACACAATGGAGTACTGTTCAGCCATAAAAAAAGAATGAGATCCTGTCATTTGCAACAACGTGGTTGGAACTGGAGGTCATTATGTTAACTGAACTAAGCCAGGCACAGAAAAACAAACTGCCTATTCTCACTTATTTGTGGGAGCTAGAAATTAAACTCATGGAGATAAGAGCAGAATGATGGTTACCACAGGATGGGAAGGGTAGTGGGTTGGGGGAAAGTGGGGAGGTTAATGGGTATAAAAATATAGTTAGATATTAATAGAATAAATAAGATCTCGTATTTGATAGCACCACAGAATGAGTATAGTCAACAATAATTATTATACATTTTAAAATAGCTGAAAGAGTATAATTGAGTTGTTGGTAACACAAAGAAAGGATAAATGCTTGAAGTGGAGGATACCCCCATTTACCCTGATGTGATTATTCACATTGTATACCTATATTAAAATATCTTGGCTGGGCACAGTGACTCACACCTGTAATCCCAGCACTTTGGAAGGCTGAGGCAGATGGTTCACTGGAGCCCAGGAGTTCAAGGCCAGCCTGGGCAACATGGCAAAAACCTGTCTCTACAAAGAAATAGAAAAATTAGATGGGCATGGTAGTGTGTATCTGTAGTTGCAACTATTCGGGAGACTGAGATGGGAGAATCGCTTGAGCCAGGGAGATTGAGGCTGTGGTGAGCCAAGATTGCACCACTGCACTCCAGCCTGGGTGACAGAGTGAGACCCTTTATTAAAAAAACCCACCAAAACTCATGTGCCCCATAAATATATATACCTACTATCTTCCCATAAAAATTAAAAACAAGGAAAAGAGCTGGGTGCAGTGGCTCATGCCTGTAATCCCAGCACTTTGGGAAGCCGAGGTGGGAGGATCACTTGAGGTCAGAAGTTCGAGACCAGCCTGGCCAACATGGTGAAACCCCATCTCTACTAAAAAAATACAAAAATTAGCCAGGCATAGTGGCATGCACCCGTAATACCAGCAGGAGGCTGAGGCAGGAGAATCGCTTGAACCCAGGAGGCAGAAGTTGCCATGAGCCAAGATTGCACCATTGCACTCCAGCCTGGGCAACAGAATGATACACTATCTCAAGAGACAACAACAACAACAAGAAGGAATTCAGTATATCAAAAGGATATCTGCACTTGCATTATTTACAATTCACAATAGCAAAGATATGCAGTCAACCCAAGTGTCAATCAATGGACCAATAAATAGATAAAGAAAATGTGGTACCATATACACAATGGAATACTATTTGGCCATAAAAAGAATGAAACCCTGTCATTTGCAGCAACATAGATGGAACTGTGGGTTATTATGTTAAGTGAAATAAGACAGGAACAGAAAGACAGATGCCACATGTTCTCACTAACATGTGGGAACCAAAAAAACAAACAAAAACAACAAAAACCTGATCTCAGCTGAGCGTGGTGGCTCACACCTGTAATCCCAACACTTTGGGAGACTGAGGCAGGTGGATCTTCTGAGGTCAGGAGTTTGAGACCAGCCTGACCAACATGGTGAAACTCTGTCTCTACTAAAAATACAAAATTAGCTGGGCTTGGTGGTTCATACCTGTAATCCCAGCTACTCAGGAGGCTGAGGCAGGAGAATCGCTTGAACCCGGGAGGCAGAGATGGCAGTGAGCCGAGATCGTGCTATTGCACTCCAGCCTGGGCAACAGAGCGAGACTCCGTCTCAAAAAAACAAAACAAAACAAAAAAACCTGATCTCATGAAGACAGAGAATAGAATGATAGATATTAGAGCATGGGACAGGTGTGTGGTGTGTGTGGGGGGGGTGTGGATAAAGAGAGTAGAAACATAGTTAGAGCTACAAATGAATAAACCCCACTATTAGATAGACTAGGGTGACTATAGTTAGCAACAATGTCTTGTCTATTGTAAAGTATGTAGAAGAGAGGACTTTAAATGTTACCCATACATGGAAATGATAAATATTCAAGGTGATGGATATCCCAAATGCTCTGACCTGAATTATAATCTATGCATGTAACAAATATTCACATGTACTCCATAATAAGTAAAATATTTTGTGTCCAAAAAAATTTTAAACATATTTTTAAAAGGAAAAAATGACAGTGTGAAGTTTTTAACTTATTCTATGTTTAGTGTAGTGCTACTCAAACTTGGATGTGTACATGGAACCAGCTCGGGATCTTGTAAATGCAGCTTTTGATTCAGTAGATTTGGAGTGGTGCCTGAGAGTCTGCATTTCTAACATGCTCCTGTTCCCCAGGCCACTCTTTAAGTTAGCCAAGACTTAGGCTGTCAAAGTGTTATTTCAGCTACATCAGAATCTGGATAGTACCCTGGCCGGGCATGGTGGCTCACGCCTGTAATCCCAACACTTTGGGAGGCTGAGATGGGAGGATTGCTAGAGTCCAGGAGTTGGAGAATCTGGTTAGTACCTGCTATCCCAGGTAGTGACCAGCATCCCTGTCACTGGGCTTGAGTTAGGAAGTAGATAAAATGTTTTTATACTCTTCGCATCTCCACAGCTCCACTGCATTCTTGACCTATCTAAATGAAGATGTAGGCGGGTTTGGTGGCTCACACCTGTAACCCCAGTTTGGGAGAATCGCTTGAGGCCAGGAATTTGAGACCAGGCTGGGCAACACAGTGAGACCCCGTTTCTGTGATTTTTTTTTTTTTAAAGAAAGGAAAAAAAAAAACTATCTTAATGGTATAAATATATTGGCATATAGACTTTTGAATGACATTTCGTGTCTTTGAAAGGAAAGCCCACACTTCTTAATCCGTAACTCATTTTATGAGGCCAGCATCATCCTGATACCAAAGCCTGGCAGAGACACAACAAAAAAAGAGAATTTTAGACCAATATCCCTGATGAACATCGATGCAAAAATCCTCAGTAAAATACTGGCAAACCGAATACAGCAACACATCAAAAAGCTTATCCACCAAGATCAAGTGGGCTTCATCCCTGGGATGCAAGGCTGGTTCAACATACACAAATCAATAAATGTAATCCATCATATAAACAGAACCAAGGACAAAAACCACATGATTATCTCAATAGATGCAGAAAAGGCCTTTGAAAAAATCAACAGCCCTTCATGCTAAAAACTCTCAATAAATTAGGTATTGATGGGATGTATCTCAAAATAATAAGAGCTATTTATGACAAACCCACAGCCAATATCATACTGAATGGGCAAAAACTGGAAGCATTCCCTTTGAAAACTGGCACAAGACAGGGATGCCCTCTCTCACCACTCCTATTCAACATAGTGTTGGAAGTTCTGGCCAGGGCAATCAGGCAGGAGAAAGAAATAAAAGGTATTCAGTTAAGAAAAGAGGAAGTCAAATTGTCCCTGTTTGCAGATGACATGATTGTATATCTAGAAAACCCCATCGTCTCAGCCCAAAATCTCCTTAAGCTGATAAGCAACTTCAGCAAAGTCTCAGGATACAAAATCAATGTGCAAAAATCACAAGCATTCTTATATACCAATAACAGACAGAGAGCCAAACCATGAGTGAACTCCCATTCACAATTGCTTCAAAGAGAATAAAATACCTAGGAATCCAACTTACAAGGGATGTGAAGGACCTCTTCAAGGAGAATTACAAACCACTACTCAACGAAATAAAAGAGGACACAAACAAATGGAAGAACGTTCCATGCTGGTGGATAGGAAGAATCAATATCGTGAAAATGGCCATACTGCCCAAGGTAATTTATAGAGTCATTGCCATCCCCATCAAGCTACCAATGACTTTCTTCACAGAATTGGAAAAAAACTACTTTAAAGTTCATAAGGAACCAAAAAAGAGCCTGCATTGCCAAGTCAATCCTAAGCCAAAAAAACAAAGCTGGAGGCATCACACTACCTGACTTCAAACTATACTACAAGACTACCATAACCAAAACAGCACAGTACTGGTACCAAAACAAGAGGTATAATACCAATGGAACAGAACAGAGCCCTCAGAAATAATACTACACATCTACAACCATCTGATCTTTGACAAACCTGACAAAAACAAGAAATGGGGAAAGGATTCCCTATTTAATAAATGGTGCTGGGAAAACTGGCTAGCCATATGTAGAAAGCTGAAACTGGATCCCATCCTTACACCCTATACAAAAATTAATTCAAGATGGATTAAAGACTTAAATGTTAGACCTAAAACCATAAAAACCCTAGAAGAAAACCTAGGCAATACCATTCAGGACATAGGCATGGGCAAGGACTTCATGACTAAAACACCAAAAGCAATGGCAACAAAAGCCAAAATTGACAAATGGGATTAATTAAACTAAAGAGCTTCTGCACAGCAAAAGAAACTACCATCAGAGTGAACAGGTAACCTACAGAATGGGAAAAAATTTTTGCAATGTACTCATCTGACAAAGGGCTAATATCCAGAATCTACAAAGAACTCAAACAAATTTACAAGAAAAAAACAAACAGCCCCATCAAAAAGTGGGCAAAGGACATGAACAGACACTTCTCAAAAGAAGACATTTATGCGGCCAACAGACACATGAAAAAATGCTCATCATCACTGGCCATCAGAGAAATGCAAATCAAAACCATAATGAGATACCATCTCACACCAGTTAGAATGGCAATCATTAAAAAGTCAGGAAACAGGTGCTGGAGAGGATGTGGAGAAACAGGAACACTTTTACACTGTTGGTGGGACTGTAAACTAGTTCAACCATTGTGGAAGACAGTGTGGTGATTCCTCAAGGATCTAGAACTAGAAATACCATTTGACCCAGCCATCGCATTACTGGGTATATACCCAAAGGAATATAAATTATGCTGCTATAAAGTCACATGCACACGTATGTTTATTGCGGCACTATTCACAATAGCAAAGACTTGGAACCAACCCAAATGTCCATAAATGATAGACTGGATTAAGAAAATGTGGCACATATACACCATGGAATACTATGCAGTCATAAAAAAGGATGAGTTCATGTCCTTTGTAGGGACATGGATGAAGCTGGAAACCATCATTCTCAGCAAACTATCACAAGGACAAAAAAAACCAAGCACCGCATGTTCTCACTTATAGGTGGGAATCGAACAATGAGAACACTTGGACACAGGAAGGGGAACATCACACACCGGGGTCTGTCGTGGGGTGGGGGGAGGGGGGAGGGATAGCATTAGGCGATATACCTAATGTAAATGACGAGTTAATGGGTGCAGCACACCAACGTGGCACATGTATACATATGTAACAAACCTTGTGCACATGTACCCTAGAACTTAAAGTATAATTTAAAAAAATAATAAAAAAAGTAAAAGCTTATGTAGAGACAAAGCTGAAGGATGTTTCTAATTTGTTTTGCATTCACTCTGTTATATTCCTTTAAGTGCAGATTTCAGCTGATAATTAACCAAAAGAACTACCTCAGAGGGCTCACTGAGAAAGATCTAAACGTTTTACATCTGGACATTTAGGTTGTAATTCAAATTCTCATCTCTTAAATTTTGCAGAAGATAATAAGGCTTGGCTAGGATGTGGAGAAATTGGAGCTCTCATGAATTGCTGATAGAGATGTTAAATGGTGCAGCAGCTTTAGAAAACAGGTTAGCAGTTCATCAGAAAGTTCAACGTAGTTGCCATATGACTGAGCAATTCCACTCCTCGGTATGTACCCATTAGTACTGAAAAATGTGTCTACACTTGCTGAGACCAGCTTGATCATGGAGACCCTAACCCAGCAGCACTAGAGGAATTAAAGACACACACACAGAAATACAGAGTGTGGAGTGGGAAATCAGGGGTCTCACAGCCTTCAGAGCTGAGAGCCTCAAACAGAGATTTACCCACATATTTATTGACAGCAAGCCAGTCATGAGATTTACTAAAAGTATTCCTTATGGGAAATATAGGGATGGGCGGAAATAAAGGGATGGGTCTGGGTAGTTATGTGCAGCAGGAATATGTCCTTAAGCCACAGATCACTCATGCTATTGTTTGTGGTTCAGGAATGCCTTTAAGCGGTTTTCCACCCTGGGTGGGCCAGGTGTTCCTTGCCCTTATTTCGGTAAACCCACAACCTTCAGCGTGGGTGTCATGGCCATCACGAACATGTCACAGTGCTGCAGAGATTTTGTTTATGGCTAGTTTTGGGGCCAGTTTATGGCCAGATTTGGGGGCCTGTTCCCAACATGTCCCCCTTGTCTTTTTTTCTTTTTTTTCAAAGTGATAAAAGCAAAGGCAGCATTATCACGGTGAGCTACTTCTCCCAGGAGTCAGGTTCCGCATCTGCAGACTATACAGAGACAACACAGATTAAAAGCACAGTCATCATTGAAATCACAGAGCTTTTAAGTGTTTTTATGCATTTTAATGGGTTACTAGCTCCTAATGTGTCTGCAGCTCCTTCAAGCACTCCAGTTCCTGGCATTAAGTTCAGGTGTGCCTGGGATGCTTTAAATATTTGTTCTTTTAGTTTTGCAATATCCAAAGACAAATTTGTAGAGTGTCCTTCTAGATGCTTTTTTATTCTTTCCCAAAATTTGATCTTATTAACAGCTATTAATAGTGTCTACAAATCCTTATGTTTAGCTCCTACAGTGGGCCATATCATTTGAGGTTGAGGTGCCACTATACCTCCATGTTTCCAGATAATAGGAACTTTTGCCATATTCCTTATCATTTCTACCATCTGACCATTTTGTTCAGACCAGCTGAACATAGTGTGGCCATGACACACAGACTGAGAGGTGCAATTCAAGCTAAACATCTCCATAGGGGAATAATCAATGATGATTCCACAGGAATCGTTGCACAGCATGTCTGCCTGTTCTGCAATGCAATCTTCCCAAACAGGTACGTTCATTATTTCTGGCCAGGTCCAATTCTGTTTACAAATAGGTTTTTGAGGGTAGTATGCCTCAATTATAGGAGCAGATTTATAATGGTAAATACTGAGATCAGAAAGCATGTGTAACTGTGTCAGATCGATTATATCCAGGCATTATTGCCAGCCAAGATTGATAAATATGCCCAATAAGTATAATTGTTCTCTGTGTCAGCCCTTGCTAAAGGAATACTCAAGGCAGTGGTGATCACTGCTATCGCAGCTACCATTAAATTACTCATTGTGACTGGTTGTCCCGCTTTCCTCTGGTTTTCTTCTGCCATTTGTGACAGCTTCTTGTTCTGTCCTCAAGTAGGTGGCTGTGTTCAATGGGTGTTGCTCATGACAGTTGGGGTCCTCCTCAGCGTCAGTCTTGACATGGCTGCAACCGGGGGGTCCTCGGGATCCTCCTGGTATCTCTTCCTCGGCATCTGGCTCATGATAAGGTTTCAGGTATCTTGATGGTATCCAAATTGGCTGCTGGTTCTGGCCTGGAGAAACACAAGCATAACCTCTACCCCAAGTTATTATTTTACCTATTTCCCAAGTTTTTGTTATTGGATTTCTCCCACCAAACCAGTTGTTCTGCTTCTGTCTTTGCAGCTGGTTTCTGTAGATGCTGTTCAGCTGCTGACAGCATCTGGCCTTTAGGCAGGCTCAAAAAATTTTAAGTCAATAATACGAGATTCAATTGCATATGTGGTGTTCTGTACTCCCTGTTTTCCCCCCTTAGCTCTTGCAACTGCTGTTTCAGGGAGAGATTCATTCTTTCCACTATGGCTTGTCCTTGAGAATTATATGGGATGCCAGTAATGTGTTTAATATTCCATATAGAGAAAAATGTAGCTAGAGCTTGGCTAGTATAGCCTGGGGCATTATCTGTTTTAATAGAAGCTGGAATGCCCATCACCGCAAAACACTGCAAAAGGTGACGTTTAACACAGGCAGAAGACTCTCCTGATTGGCATGTAGCCCAGACAAAGTGAGAAAAGGTGTCCACACATACATGTACATAAGCTAGTCTCCCAAATGAGGGAACATGTGTGACATCCATTTGCCAAAGAGAATTAGGTTCCAATCCTCGAGGATTAACTCCTCCTGGAAAAGATGCGGAATGCACCATTTGGCAAGTTGGGCGTCGCTGGATAATAGCTTTAGCTTCTTTCATCATTTTCAATTAATTGTGTGTAATGAACCACATATGAAGAATCAGAAATCACATTAATGGGCATATTAAAAGCAGTCAATACCTCAATTACAGCTACAAGCTCTGCTTTTTGAGCTGAAGTATAGGGTGTCTGGAAAACTTTATCTTTTGAGCCAGAATAAAAAGCTTTACCATTACTAGACCCATCTGTAAAGACATTTTCAGCACCTTCAATTGGTTTAAATTTAGTTATACTAGGGAGGATCCAATTAGTTAATTTCAAAAATTGAAACAATTTTGTTTAGGAAAATGATTATTGAGAATACCCACAAAGTCAGCTAAATGGGTTTGCTGAGTAAGACTATTTATAAAAGCTTGCTGTATTTGTGCCTTTGTGAGAGGGACAGTAATTTTTCCAGGATCATATCCATGTAATTTAACAATCTGAGTTCTCCCATTTCCTATCATAGTAGTGATTTGATCCAAATAAGGAGTTAGAGTCCATGAATTAGTATGTGGAAGAAAAAACCATTCTACTAAGTCCTGCTCATGGACAATAACACCAGTAGGTGAATGCTGAGTTGGAAAAATTAGCAAATCTAGAGCCTTCTCTGGATCTATTCTATTTATTTGAGCTTTATAGACTTGCTTTTCGATTAGCTGCAGCTCTGGCTCAGCTTCTTTTATTAATTGCCAAGGGCTAGTGAGACTAGGATCTCCTCTAAGAATAGAAAATAGATTACTCATGGCATAGGTAGGAATGCTTAGAGCAGGTCGTATCCAATTAATGTCCCCTAGTAATTTTTGAAAGTCATTTAATGTTTTCAATTGATCCCTACCTATGGCTACTTTCTGTGGCACAATTGTAGTGTCATTTACTAAAGTCTCCATAGGTTGTATAACTGAATTAATGGCTCATAAATCAGTTAACATTCTCCATTTACCTTATTGTTTCTTAATAACAAAGACTGGAGAATTTCAGGGGGAAAATGTTGGAGCTATGTGTCCTTTTCCTAATTGTTCATTAACGAAGTCCTCTAAAGCCTCCAGTTTCTCTTTACTTAGCGGCCACTGTTCTATCAAAATTGGCTTATCTTTTAACCATTTTAAAGGTATAGGTTCTGGAGGCTTAACAATGGCCACCATCAAAAATGATATCCTAAACCTTGGTGGGAACTTTGTCTTTCTGCTTGAAGTGGTTCCTTCAAACCTTGCAAATTTTTTCCTAGTCCCATACCAGGGACATACCCCGTTTCATGCATCATATGTTGACTTTGAGGGCTGTATAATTGTTCTGGAATCAGAACTTGTACTCCCCATTGTTGTAATAAATCTCTTCCCATAAATTTATAGGTACAGGAGTTATAATTGGTTGAATAGTCCCAGGTTGTCCATTGGGCCCTTCACAGTGCAAAATATGACTACTTTGATATACTTCAGGGGTTACCAACTCCAGCTATGTTAAATTGAATGGGTTGAATTGGTCACGTGGACGGCCAGTGCTGTAGAGAAGTGATTGAAATGTCCACTCCTGTATCTACCAAACCTTTAAATTTCTTTCCCTGAATAGTTATTTCACAGGTAGGATGTTTATCAGTAATTTTATTCACCCAATAAGCTGCTTTGCCTTCTTTATTTGTGCTTCCAAATCCTCCTGTTCGTTTAATTTCACTTTTCCCCATTCCCACATACAGCACAATCAGGAGCTGTACTATATGCTCTCCTGGCTCTGCTTTCCAGGGAACAGAAGTAGATAAAACAATTTGAGTTGCCCCATTGTAATCAGAATCAGTGACTCCTGTTTGTATTTGTACCCCTTTTAAATGTAAACTAGACCTTCCTAGAAGTAATCCTATCATCCCCGCTGGCAAGGGTCCACAGACTCCTGTTGGGACCTTTTGCAGGGTTCCCGAGGCAGAAGGCTCACAGCTTTTGTGCAGCATACATCTGTGGCACTACCATCTGTGGCAGGGGACAGACATTGTAAGGGGTGAGGGAACGGCCTAAGCCAGAAATGCCCCGGTTTGGAACGGGGCCCGGGATGGGCCCCTCATGCCATTTCCCAAATTTAAAAGGAAAAGGCTCAAATGTAGCTATAATATTGCCCTGTTGATCTGGGGGGGTGTATCCTAACAGGGAACTGCCAAGCCTCTAAATCACCCTCTTGTCTAGCTTGCTGAATTCCTGCCTGAATAGAACTGAGAGCAGTCGCTCAAGGTGCTGCTCGAACAGTCACTGGGGCAACTACTTTTTGCCCAGTGTCCTCTGGAAAAGAAAGATCTGGAGGGTCAGGCCGTTCTTTTTCTTCAAAATAAGAAGGGGGTGCAGAAGAGTAGGGATGAACTTCTTCCTCCTTTGCCACTTTAGCTTTAGCTGGCAAACAAACCGGCTCTGTTACTTCTTCTGTTACTTCATTATACTCTCCTCCTTCCTCATCATTTGTGAAAAGGTTCCAAGGTGGAACGAACCAGAGCCCACACTTGTCCAGTTGTTACCCTGATGCTTCCGAGCTCCCCTTCCTACTCACCACTGGGATTGCTTAAAAGAGTACTTGGGTGTCCTCCGCTTGGTTCCACATTTTCCAACTGTTGCTCTGGCGACCCTTCGACCTGGGTTTGAGCCTCCACGTTGGGCACCACTTGCCGAGACCAGCTCGGTCGTGGAGACCCTAACCCAGCAGTGCTAGAGGACTTAAAGACACACACACAGAAATACAGACCGTGGAGTGGGAAATCAGGGGTCTCACAGCCTTCAGAGCTGAGAGCCTTGAACAGAGATTTACCCACATATTTATTGACAGCAAGCTAGTCATAAGATTTACTAAAAGTATTCCTTATGGGAAATAAAGGGATGGCCTGAAACAAAGGGATGGGCTCTTGTTAGTTATCTGCATCAGGAACATGTCCTTAAGTGCAGATCGCTCATGCTATTGTTTGTGGTTCAGGAACGTCTTTAAGCGGTTTTCCGCCCTGGGTAGGCCAGGTGTTCCTTACCCTCATTCCGGTAAAACCACAGCCTTCAGCATGGGTGTCATGGCCATCACGAACATGTCACAGTGCTGCAGAGATTTTATCAGTTTTGGGGCCAGTTTATGGCCAGATTTGGGGGCCTGTTCCCAACAGCCATATGACTCAGCAATTCTGCTCCTCAGTATGTACCCATTAGTATTAAAAAATGTGTCTACACAACCACTCGTACATGAATGGTGGGGCATGATAGTAATCCCCAGTAAAAACAACTGAAATGTCCAACAGACAATGAATAGATAAACAAAATGCAGCATATCCATACAATTTATTATTAAGGAAGGAATGAAGTACTAATGCATACTGCAACATGGATGAACCTTGAAAACATGCTAAATGAGAGAAGCCAGACACAAAGGAGCATGTATTATACAATCCCATCTTTAAAAGGAAATGTCCAGAATAGGCAAATCCATAGAAACTGGAAGTAGATTTGTGGTTTCCTGGGAGTTGGGGAAGTAGGGAAATAGGGAGTGACTGCTAATCGATACAGGGATTTTTTTGAGGAGGAGGTGACGAAAATATTCTAGAATTAGGTAATGATGTTGTTGCCAGCTTTGTGAATATACTAAAAGCAACTTAATTGTGCATTTTTAAAATGGTGATTTTTATGGTTTGTGGATTATAACTCAATAAAAAGATTAAATTCTCATTTATTTTGTTTTTTGGTCTTTGTTTAATTTGTTTTTATAGAATTATGTTTTTAGTATATACATTGCCTTTAATGGTTTATTACAGGGTTTCTTAACCTGGATACTACTGATTTTTTTTTTTTTTTTTTTTTTTTTTTTTTTTTTTTTTTTGAGACAGGGTCTCACCGTCACCCAGGCTAGAGTGCAGTGGTGGTGTGATCACAGCTCACTGTAGCGTCTACCTTCCAGGCTCATGCTATCCTTCCGCCTTAGCATCCCGAGTAGTTGGGACTACAAGCATGTGCTACCACACCTGGCTAATTTTTTAAATTTTTTTGTAAAGACAGGATTTGGCCATATTGTTCAGGCTGGTCTTGAACTCCTGGGCTCAAGCAATCTGCCTTCCTCCGCCTCCCAAAGTGCTGGGATTGCAGGTGTGAGCCACCACACCTAGCCCACTACTGATATTTTGGTTTGGATAGATAATTCATAGTTGTGGGGACCTGTCTTGTGCATTGTAGAGATGGTCAGCAGCATCTCTGGCCTCTGCAGATTAGATGCCAATAGAATCTCCCTCCTCTCCTTCTTCCCTAGTCCATGATAAAAAATGTCTCCAGACATTGCCAAATGTTCCAAGGATGGGGTGCAAAAGTACGCCCAGTTGAAACCATTGGTTCTCTTTAGTCTTCCTGCTAAAAGCCGAGCTCCATAAAGGCAGGAACTTTGTTTTATTCATTATTGTTTCCTTAGAACCATGTCTCACACATAGATACCCTAATATTATAGTAAATATATGAATGAGTACTTCTGGCTATAGAAGTAGCAGTACTTGTAAAAAATATATAACTATAGAAATATCAAAATGATACCATACTTGAGTTAATTCCAATGCCTTAGGATTAACATTGTTAAGAATACCATGTTTGGCTGGGCATGGTGGCTCACGCCTGTAATCCCAGCACTTTGGGAGGCTGAGACGGGTGGATCACTTGAGGTCAGGAGTTCGAGACCAGCCTAGCCAACATGGTGAAACCCCGTCTCTGCAAAAACACAAAAATTAGCCAGGCATGGTGGCACATACCTGTAATCCCGGCTACTTGGGAGGCTGAGGCACGAGAATCGCTTGAACTCAGGAAGTGGAAGTTGCAGTGAGCCGAGATTGAGTCACTATACTCTAGCCTGGGCGACAGAGTGAGACTGCATCTCAAAAAAGAAAAAAACTATGTTTAAAGAGGACAAGTAAGTTTTATCAACTTACTGCCCTGGCCCCCTACCCCATCCTAATCTGTAGGCTCTTTTTATTTAGAGTTGCCAGCTATCCAGGACACAGGCCATGAGAGGGCACCAGTCATGCTCTTAATGAGTCATGTGCTGGCCTTGGGCACCATCTGCTTCCTAAGCCTGAGATGACCCCACAGATGCCTTCCTGCCTGCCATCTAGATAGAGCGGCCCCAGCCCTTGAGGATGCTGACATTTATCAGTCACTGCATACATAAGAAGGGAAATCTACCCACCATCATCTACATATCAGGTTCTGTCACTGACTGGTCATGTTTTTCTACCCAACAGAACCTAACTTTCCACTTGAGTATCTTATTCAAAGTTGGCTATGCTTCTGGTTCACATTCCGAGGCTAAATGTTAATGGCTTGCTGCTGCCAAACCCTGCTTTGGGGATGATCACTTCCGTGAGAGGTGCCAAAACGTTAGCTGCTCAAGTGTGGGCGTTAGACAAGGCTGGTCTTGGATGGTTTATTGTGGTTTGCTACTTGTCTACAACTTTGTTCCCAAGTTTCCATTCAATGGAAACACACATAGCTTTTGCCCCTCCTTTCCCCTCTCTTCGTTTTTTAAGCAGTGGTGGTTCTGATTTAACTTCTGCTACTTCTCCTTTCTGAACATTGAAACAATCCCTTTTATCAAGCAACATGTCACAGACTCTGTGCCATGCTTTGTGTTGGTGAGGATACAATAATTGGTGGCATGTTTTGAGTGTTTATTTCACGCTTCACCCTTTATGAAGTGCTTTTACACATAATTCTTGTATTCGTCAACAACCCATTTTACTGATGTGGAAACTGAGATAGAGCCTAATAAGTAAGGAAGCATAGATTCAAACCCAGATAGTCTGAGCCCTTAAGGTTACCAGCACTACCTCCTTAATATCCTGCTTCTTGTTATACTTTACCATCTGACTAGATGTTTTTGTCCCTCTTCTAAGCTTTGATAAAGCTATAAGGTTGGAAGCTTTAATTTTTCAAAATCACAGACATTAGGAATAAGAACCAGAGACCCTGAAGTTAAAACATTAAGACTTGATATCCAAATTAGATACAGAAAAGAAGTTCATAGTGTGGTTTTCCCACCCTGCTCTTCTGTACATTGGTGATTAATAACTGCTTCTAGGCATAGGGTGGGGGAATGAGACAAAAGGAGGCAGGGCTCCTATTTCTAGGAGCTTCCTTTCTCTCTGAGGGGAATAAACTGAGTGAGCCTGCTCTTTCAGTTGGTTGTTTGAGTGTAAGATACCCAGATTGAATACATAAGTGCTTTCATAATACACAGGAGATGGGTTGTTAGGGAACTGCCAACAAAGTCATTTCGTTGTCTGATTTGTGCCTATTTCTTCTGCATTTGCACAGCTTTCATAAAAACAGGACAAAGCTAAAAGAGTGCACTGACCATTTTGGTTTTCTTTTATGTGATAACTCATTGAGCAAACTCTTTCAGGTTATAGATGCTATGTTCCAAGTTAAGTAGTAAAATGATTTTCTGACTAAAATTATGGCAATGATTCACTACTTTATTATATAAAAAGTAAGATATTTTAAAGAGTTAGAGCAAGCAATAGAGATCAAAATGACTTTCTAGATAGTTATTCTTTCTTATTTTGCATTTTTTTTCTAAACCTAGCCTGCACATTTTTTAATAGTAGAATATGGTACAAGGTATTATATATATAAGATGTATAGTGTGTATATGGGTGTGTGTGTGTGTATATATACATATATATATATATATAGTATATAGTATAGAATATTTAGTAAATTTTATTTTACTTCTAATTCATTACTGAAGAACCCTCATTATTACACAGGATATGCCTACAGAACTTATTGAGAATTTCCCCATTGTAGACCACAATTCTAGCATATACTTCAATGAGTAATATGTCAGTGACTCTGATAAAATTAAGTAATTCCATTAGAGTCTGCGTCAAGTAGAATGAATGAAACCTCAGCATGATGGGAGGGTTCAGGAGCTGATACATTTTTGTATTTTCTGAGAGTCTTAATTACATTTTACAAATTACATGGATGGTTGGGTTGGTAAGAAGTATGTGAATTTTGATGGCTTTTTAATTTTGTTTTTGTAGCAGTTGTTTGTATCCATGTGTGTTGGTGCCCATATGTATTGTTTGGGGTTTGGTTATTCTCTCAAAACCAAGTTACCGTAAAAAGTTTGAATTTTAATATTTCTTTATTGAGTAGTGGGACCGTCTAGACTGTGTGCTGGCTCTTACTAAAGTCATTTGTTTTTCTTACCCGTGGAGAGGTGTATTCTTGAACCCTTTAAACGGGTCTCTACTTTGGCCTAAGACCATATTAGAAAACTTTTTTGAAGTCACTTATTATATGCCATATAATTAAAAAGTTATATGGTATATTCTCCCATTACATTTTAGCCACAATGCCCGTATATTAAATAAGCAAACAAACTATATGTGGCAATTAAAACTTAAAAAAAAAAGCCTGAATTGGCTCTTAGAAATATTTAATCAAGTAGTATCCACTAGAACTTAACATTTCATCCTGTGGATCATCACACACAAAATACCCAACCCTGCTGTCATTCAGGGTCCTAGCAGGAACAGGTAGCATCAAATAGGATAATTGATGAGAGCTTAAGAAAGGAACTATTTACAAATATGTGGCCAGATTAGGGGAAACCAGTAAGGTTGGGAATGCCGCCCAGGATTCTAACAAGAGTGAGAATCTATTTCTACTCTTGACCTAAAGGGGCAAGGAGGGAAAGCTGCAGCTGTGGCTGTGGGAGAGCCGGCCTGCAAAGCTGTGGCCTTCACAGAGGAAGACAGCCACTGCCGAGGTATGGCTAGGGAAGGAGGGGAGGAGATGATGCCCTGAACCCCATCGTCATTCTCACTGGGCAAGCCCAACCAGGAGCCAAAGCACAGGGCAGCCCATTGGATGCAGTTCATTAGGGGACTGCCTCTGGGTAGAGGGCAGACCTGGAGGGGCAGAGAGAATGCACAGCGCTAGTGACTATCTCCTCAAGAGCAGACTCACAGACTGTGTTTCCTGGCTTTACTTCCATTTCCCAGAAGCGCATACCCAGTGAGAGGAATGATGATACACAGTGGAGCTCCTTATCTGGAGAGTCTGGAGAAATGAATCATACACTTCTAGCTAAAATGATCAGTTTTTCCCTTTCCTGCTTTTCTTTTCTTTTTTCTTTTTTTTTTTTTTTTGAGACGGAGTCTCTCTCTGTCGCCCAGGCTGGAGTGCAGTGGTGCAATCTTGGCTCACTGCAAGCTCCGCCTCCCTGGTTCACACCATTCTCCTCTCTCAGCCTCCCGAGTAGATGGGACTACAGGTGCCCGACACCACACCTGGCTAATTTTTTTGTATTTTTAGTACAGACGGGGTTTCACTGTGTTAGCCAGGATGGTCTCGATCTCCTGACCTCGTGATCCGCCCACCTCGGCCTCCCAAAGTGCTGGGATTACAGGCGTAAGCCACTGTGCCTGGCCCCTTTCCTGCTTTTCAAGATCATTCCTATGCCTGTGTGTTTTAGAAAGCAGAGCAGAAGCTTTTGTGTGACATCAGAACACAACAAACACCTGGATGTTAGAATTTTCTTGCAGAAACACCTTGAAATAATGTTTAACTGAATCACATGAACTAGCAATGGTTTTACTAGCAAAAAATATGGTATTAGATGCATGCAGTGTAAAATCAAAGCCAAGACTATCTATCCTTATAGAATGAGCTGTTTCTAGTTATTTATATTTGTTTGTACTTTGTCTGTTTTATCTGTAAAAGCAGTAAGTGATGCAGCTTTAGGTAAAATACATGAAGAGAAAATAATGAATTTGGAAAATTCTGTCATTCTGTTTTCTCAGCAGGACACAAGCATTCTGCAGCATAATAGTTGGAAAGTCCCCAGAATAGAGAAAAAAAGTCACTTATTGATCTAAACTCTCAATGGGAGAGGGAGGACAAAATAAAATCTCTCGCTATCACACGATTTATTAAAGCGTATGCAATGAAGCTTTAACTAACTGGATCCCTGAAAATGTATTTCAGCCATCAAATATATAAATTTAGGTTGATATCAGGGATTTTCTTTTACAAAGCTATGTCTAAGAAAATTCTTTTGTGGGACTGGAAATTGAGCGCAGCTTCCTAACACCTCACTTCTGCCTTGTATTGATCGTGGGCCTTCCAAGTGATGATCCTGAAACTCTGCATTTCCCAAATCATTTGTAGAATATCATAACACGTTCATCAGACTGCATTTACCAATGTACAGGAGTGGCCTACAATAATGCTTCACTGTCAGATGGTCTGCAGTTCCAGCCACCCATAAAAGACTATGTAATCCAGAGGTAATCCAAGAAGCCTCAGAGTAGAAAAAAATAAAAATATCACATGGGGAAGGGGGTTAGTAACTAAAAGGGGCATATGGAGAACTTCTGGGGTGCTAGCAGGAGGGTTTTGGGGTCTCTGACCACATTCTGTTTCCTGATTAGTATGAAGGCAAAATATTTCAGTTGCAAAAATTTAGCAAGCTGTACAATTATATGTGTAGCTTTCTTTACATGTTATATTTCAATCAAAAGTTAAATGTAGATAAATATAATTGATTGATTGATTGATTTGGGTGTGTGTATATGCACATGGGCAGTAGACACTTCCTGGTATGGTTATTTTTAGAATGGGATATGGCTACTCTCTTATTTAGATACTTTTGATTTAGTTTTCCTCTTGTCATAGGAGATGGCATAGTGAACAGCTTAGAAACAAACACAAAGACATTAAGAAGCTAAATATTAATCAATTTTAGGGCTTAGTAATCCAGGGGCATTTCAATTAGTATCCCTAAACATGCAATTCAATAATTGAGGAGACTCCATATTCCCAAGAGCAATTAATTATGTTACATGCACTATTACTAAGGCTGGGAAACTTTTAGAAACCTTCCACCAAGATTAATAAAAGACTTACTGCTTAAAGGTGGACTTATTGTAAAATGAAGCTATTCCAACAATGTTGAGAAGTGGAGGAATTATTGCACTGCCAGTATAGTTTGGTTAAGCTATATTGAATGAGGAATTCCATTTAAACAAGTCACTATGGCCAGGCATGGTGGCTCATGCCTGTAATCGCAGCACTTTGGGAGACTGAGGTGTGTGGATCACATGAGGTCAGGAGTTTGAGACCAGCCTGGGTAACATGGTGAAACCCCGTCTCTACTAAAAATACAAAAATCAACTGGGTGTGGTGGCACATGCCTGTAATCCCAGCTATTCAGTAGGCTGAGGCAGGAGAATCACTTGAACCTGAGAGGCGGAGGTTGCAGTGAGCCAAGATCATGCCACTGCACTCCAGCCTAGGCAACAGAATAAGACTCCATCTCAAAAAATATTCAAAAACAAAAAAAAGTCACTACACTCCCAAATCATTGTATGCAAAGTTTTATTGTAATGTGAAATCACTTATAAAATAAATTTTGACTGTAAATAGATATTACACATAGATTGCTGCACAAATACAGAAATAGTTGCGTGAGTAGAGCCAGGTAAGCTAAAATAATTAAACGTTAGAGCCAAGGGAACCATTAGAAATTATTTGACTTGATCCCCAGCCTTTACAATGGAGGAAATTTAGGCACAGAGAGGTTAAAATGACTTCCCAAAACACACAGATAATTATGTTATGGCTGATTTGCAACTAGTACTGAAGTATTCCTATTTGTTGATATGTCCCCCTCACTCAGCCAGGTTATTAAGAGGTCTGGAATCAGACCAACTTGGGTTTAAATATCAGCTATCGGACTTTCCAGTTGAATGTTACCCTGGATTTCAATGATAGATCCTTCCCAGCGAGAAAATATTATCTGGGCATTAATTCAGAGGTACAGACACCAAGGGACTTCATGAGAGGTATCCTGAGGGCACATCCCTAAAACAGGACTGACTCAGGAGAAGAACTAGAAGGCTCATTAACCTCTCTATAGGATGGCAACTGAGAGAAGGGAAACCTGCCCAAATTTTGCAGCCATCTTGGCCTCTGGGCCTGACCACCCAGTGGAATTGTGCTTTGCTTCTTTCTGCATGCAAAAGTGCCCTTCATCCCGGGATCTGGAGGGATGATTGAATTGGCATTTGGATGTTATCCCTTCTTCTAGTGACCAGTCTAAACATGCTGATCATGGTTTGTGCTCCCAAGTTTCACTGAGTTCTGGAGTCTTAATGGTGGGCTTTCTCTAATGCTGTTTGCACCAGAGTATAGACACTTGCCATCTAATGGAGAAAGTAATAGAACTCACCTTAAAGAGCTGTCATAGGAATGAAAAACAATGCATAAAAGTGTGTAGTCAGATGCTTGACCCACATTAGGCACTTACCAAATATTGCATGCAACTATTGTTACTCAGATACAACACAACAGTGGGCATTGAGTTGTCCAAGAACCTTGGCCACTGTTTGACTTAGACAAGATTTTCTTTTTAGAGCATATCACTTTAAAATGGTGAAACAGCTGTGGTGAAAACACTAGACAATAGGAAAACATTGATAAAGACATATTACTTAGAAATTCAACCTAGTTGGGACTTTCTGATTTGTTTCATCAAGAGACAAATATATGGCTGAATCTTACTTTTTTCAAGCCTGGTCTTTGGGGTTGGAAGATCAAACTCCTGCTCCATCCCTTAACTAAAGCTGTCAACGAGGAAATTATCAGACCATCCTGAGCTTCTGTTTCCTCCTCTTTAAAGTGAGATTGATAATAATGCCTAGTCAGTGGGTGCTTGTAGAGCTCAAGGAAGAGAAAGTGTACATGAAATGGCGGGGGGCGGGGGGGAAACTCTGTTGGAGATGAACATTAAAGAGTAGAAATCTCAAGGAGATTGTGTTTACTTCTCTTTCCAGTTTCCATCTTGCTGCTGCAAAAGGACACGTGGAATGCCTCAGGGTCATGATTACACATGGTGTGGATGTGACAGCCCAAGATACTACCGGTATGTGGTTTTTAGTCTCTTAAGTCAGCAGGCCAGCACCAGATTAGGTATCAAAAAGTAATACATATTCATTATGGAAAATTTAAGGCCAGGTGTGGTAACTCATCCTGTAATTACAGCACTCTGCGAGGGTGAGGTGTGTGGATCACTTGAGGCCAGGAGTTCAAGGCCAGACTGGCCAATATGGTTAAAACCCATCTCTACTAAAAATACAAAAAAATTTAGCCAGGCATGGTGGCATGCACCTGTAATCCCAGCTACTCAGGAGGCTGAGACATGAGAATCACTGGAATCCTGGAGGCGGAGGTTGCAGTGAGCCGAGATTGTGCCACTGCACTCCAGCCTGGGCAACAGAGCGAGACTCTGTCTCAAAAAAAAAAAAAAAATTAGAGTCTACAGATAAAATTTAGAGTCCAAAAGAAGAAAAGAGAATCACCTCCAATAGCAAGACTCTGACATGGTTTTGTTGTATAGCCATACTTCTGAGTTTTCATCTTTCATGTGGTTAGTCAACTAGAGACTGTATGCTTCTTATCCTCATTTTTTATATTATTTTCTAAGATTATATGTACAGACCAAGCAATAGTCCCTAATTTTTGTTTTTATGAATCATTGTGTGAGGTGATGAGTGAGTTACTCAGGAGCTCATTTCATCAACTGAGATAGGCTCTGTAGATGGAAGCCTTGAACTTCATCTGGACCAGCTGCCCACGATTCTCACCCCTTGCTGTACTTCAGGGCATCCAGTTCACCTGGGAACTTGAAGGAAGGGAAAAGAGAAGAATAAACAGTACACACACACACAAACACACACACACATACACACACACACAAATATATATACCTACACTTTACCCTCTGAGATTCAGATTCCATTGTCTGGAAGTTGCCAGTCAACTGGTATTTTTTTAAAGCTCGCTGGGTGATTCTAATGTGAAGCCAGTGTTGACAAAAGATGAACAAGGCAAATGGAGAGAAAAGGTAGCGTAGTCTTACCTTGTATAAAACACTGTCCTATAAGAAGGAGCCCCTGGGGTCTCCAGCCTGGGATTCTGCCCCTGCTGGCCACCCCAAAAGACCAAAGCAACCACTGATGGCTTTTCATTTTTCGATTGTACTCGAGAATTTTTGGCTTCTAATAGGTTTCTATTAGTGTTTACTGGGATACAAAATTAGCCTAACTCCATTGCCTTTATCTAGGCTTTTCGTGAATCCGTAATGGATCCCTTTCTTTTCTCCCATCCCCAAAATTGGCCTCTTCAGACTAGTCATCTTGAGGGATCAGCCAGGTATTGCAGGAATGCTATTATTACTCAAAATATGGTTGGGAACAGGTTTAGAATTGTTTTCATTGTGTGAGGACTTAAAAAAAAGAATCTCAGTGGTTGGGAATCTTTATCCTTTGAGAATAGGGTTTTTTTTTAGGGCAAACCTAAGAGCCCTAAAAAAATTTGATGTCAAGTCAGGTGAATGATGTTTCAAACTGGTAAAACCATTTTTGGTCAAAAATAGGGAGTGATTGAAATAACAGAATGATTTTTCTGAGCAGTTCCACAGAAAGTTCCAAAAATATTTTGAGAAATGGCAACACCAATATAGGGGGATAAATGGTTTCCTTAAGTGACTGCCTTGAGGGAAATACTAATTTATGTTTTTCCAATTAAAGTCATCTTTAAACTCAAGACCCAATTATTGTGTTTGTTTTTAAAGTTCATTGTCATTGCTCTTAAAGTTATGCCATAAAACCACATGGTGCAGTATGATTTGCTAAAATACCCCTAATGAGATGTATGTCCTCTTAAGTAGGAGAAGTTTCCCTCTAAGAAACCCATAATCTGAAAGCATTAGCTCAGAGTGAATAAACTGGTGCCGTCACACGGTTTTGTTTCATTGTACTTGATATTAAGAAATAGATTAGACAGGACTGTAGTTATTTTCAGCATAACCAAAATCTTCCCTCACGTCTTTTTATTGTAGGGAAAAATAAGTTGGTTTTTTGTGTGTGTTTTTTTGTTTGTTTGTTTTTGAGACGGAGTCTTGCTCTGTTGCCCAGGCTGGAGTGCACTGGCACGATCTCTGCTCACTGCAACCTCCGCATCCCAGGTTCAAGTGACTCTCCTGCCTCAGCCTCCTGAGTAACTCAGATTACAGGCACCCACCACCACCACGCCCGGCTAATTTTTGTATTTTTAGTAGAGGCGGGGTTTCACCATCTTGGCCAGGCTGGTCTTGAACTCCTGACCTCAGGTGATCCACCCGCCTTGGCATCCCAAAGTGCTGGAATTACAGGCGTGAGCCACCAAGCCCGGCCAGAATAAGTTTTTTTTTTTTTTTAATACATGCTTATTGTAGAAAAGTTGAGAAATATAGTAAACTATAAAGAAGAAGATAACTCAAGTTCCTACTCCTATCAGAAAGAAAAAAAATATTTCTATTTTGTTGTATTTCCTTCCAGATTGTCCCAATACATTTTTACATGCCTGAGATCACATTATATAATAAATTCTATATCCTGCATTTTAATTTATTAAATATCCCGCCAGTTTCATTTCCCCCATTAAAGGCTCTTAAGAAGCATAGTTCTTGGTGGCCTCATAACACCCTGTGGGTAGAGCTCATATTTACCACCAGAGCCCTAACCCAGTTCCTGAGAGGCTGGTGCAGTGCTGAGCAGGAAGACCTGGATGCCCCAAGGCAGTGCCCACTTCCTGCAGACTGAGATGGTACCACTCTCTAAGAAGCAACACTGGAGGGAGTGCTGTGGACACAGCCTGGATATTTCCCAGGATTCGCCAGTGGGAACCAATTGAAATTGGTGGAATCCACAGCACTTTGGGGCCACAGGACATTGTCCAAACATTCCATGGGTTGAAGATGTCTCAGAGCTCCCGTCACTTCCTTCTCACCTGATATTTTTAGCCATGATTCCAGCACTTCCCTCCTTGGGCTTCATCGTTTTATTTTGGCCTGAAGGAGGTACCAGCTTCTTCCCATGATTTCTTGAAAGCATGCAAAGAGAACACGGGAACAAAAGAAGAACACTGCATGGAAAAAAGTGCATCTAGAAAAACACTTCTCATTTTTTTCTGTCCCAATAAACAGGTTAAATTGTAATGGCTTTGATTGCCCATGCCTGTGTCTTACCTGTTGGCTATAATACCCACCTATTCACTCTCCCTCTCAAGAAAGCATATCTGAATACAAGGGAAGGATGAGGTTACGTTAGTAACAGTGCTTAGTGGTCATCACTAGTCCTAAACGTTTGTTGTGGTGGTTAGGGGATGAATTAAATGGCTTAGCTTTTACAGGTATTGTCTTTCCATGTGGAACCTACCTTAAGTTTTGCCACTTTATTACTGAGATGCAGTCACCTTCAATCTGAAGATCCAGTGAGAACTGGTACAAAGATCTGTTACCATAAATCCTGCCCTGTAGAATTTTTGAAAAAAACAAAACACACACACAGACACACACACACACACACACACACACACACACACACACACACACACAAAACCACCTTTCAAAATCTATTACACTGGCTCTTTTTATTCTTTTTATCCATGATTAATGTCTTCAGGATGGTCAAATTGGTATAATTTCCTACTTTTTAAACTTTTGACTGAATTTAAGTTATAGAAGCAAGAATCTGTTAGCATTTTTTTTTTTTTTTTTTTTTTGACACGGAGTCTCACTGTCTCCCAGGCTGAAGTGCAGTGGCACGATCTCGGCTCACTGCAAGCTCCGCCTCCCGGGTTCACGCCATTCTGCTGCCTCAGCCTCCTGAGTAGCTAGGACTACAGGCGCCCGCCACCACGCCTGGCTAATTTTTTGTATTTTTAGTAGGGACGGGGTTTCACCGTGTTAGCCAGGCTGGTCTTGATCTCCTGACCTCGTGATCCGCCTGCCTCGGCCTCCCAAAGAGCTGGGATTACAGGCGTGAGCCACCACGCCCGGCCAGCATTTTTTAAAGCTATTTTTGCAGATGAAATACTTGGAAGTCTGAGAATTTTTATGGATGCTTTACAAGCAATTTTAAGAGCAAAACCCTGTCAGAAGATAAGGCCTTGGATGTGATTATAGTGCAATATCAACTGTCATGTCATTTTAGATTGATACTACTTAATTCTTCCCTGTTTTTTCTAGCTATCTTAAGAATTGAATACATGGTCATAGTCTGAGGTAGTTTTAGGGAAAGGTGCCCTGTGGCCAGAGCAGTTGGGCCATTCTACTTAGATAGCCTTTAAGTAAAAGGGTTCTTAGACTACTTGTAATAGTCCAAGACTCTTAATTTATAAATATCACTAGTCTTTTATTTGCAGGTGGAATTCTGCTGGAAGGCACTTAGGATTGCCCTTGTTATTTGCCCACAGGGAAATTGCTTCCTGATACTCTAGACAGATCCACAGCTATATGGGAGTCAGAGATGCATTGTCTCATCATAGTTGGATTCTGTCACTAAAATAGTATTTCGTCCAGAAAATTTTGCATTTGGAGAGAGAATTTGGTGTTAATAGTAGCAATGAGAGACATCTTACTTCAGTGTTATAGTGTTCAGGGAATGATGCGTCATTCGGATTTTGAGACTATTTTTAGTGAAAAATACTTTTCTGCTGCTCGTTAGAAAAACATCACAGGGCTGGGGAATAAAAGAATTTTTGCTTCTATAGAAACCCGGCACTTCCAGGTATGACTAGAACACTTACTCAAAGTAAAAAGAAAACCTGTTATTTTATAGTAAGTTGTTTACATCTCCCAACCATCTTGTCTTTGGAGAACCAGGTCTTTTTCCAGTGGGTGTTGCTTATGCAGAACAGCTTTTGTTCACAGCAGGGACAAGTTAATGCATTGCGTACACGACATAAACGGTCTCCATCTTACAATCAGGATGTGTTCCAAACCTTCATTTGTAAGGCATTTGTTTAAAACTCAGAATGTGCTTGTCCACAGAAACAGTGGTATAAGTGATGGTTGGAGGGCCAAGCTACTCCACCAAAGCCTATTTAATGCATCATGTAACTAAACTCATACACAGTTATGCTTCATACACTCTGGAAGGAGGGATCTCATATAATATAACAGGAGGAGGAGGAAGAGAAAATCTTTGTCTTCTTACTTCCAAGAATCTCTCTTCCTTCATTTTTAAATTTTGTTCATCCTCCTCCTTTTGGGAGGGGACAGAGGGATTCCTGTCTCTCAGTATCCTATGCTGATGAAACAACTCTCCCCCACACCTACCCTAAAAATCTCTCCGTACAGCTGAATTCAAAATAGAAGGAATCGGATCATTTGACTTTACACATTTTTATGCCATTCACCATAGCCCTATGGCCCACTAGTTTTTAAATACAGTGTTTCCTAGCTATATGATTCTCTAATTAGTGAATTTCTGGTCAGTGTTACAGACTGAAGACTGATTTAGAAAGAAAAATGGGGCCGGGCGCAGTGGCTCATGCCTGTAATCCACACTTTGGGAGGCCAAGGTGGGTGGATCACCTGAGATCAGGAGTTCGAGACCAGCCTGGCCAACATGGTGAAACCCCATCTCTACTAAAATACAAAAATTAGCCAGGCCTGGTGGCACGCACCTGTAATCCCAGCTACTTGGGAGGCTGAGGCAGGAGAATCGCTTGAACCCGGGAGGCAGAGGTTGCAGTGAGCCGAGATGGTGCCACTGCACTCCGGCCTGAATGACAGATAAGACTTTCTAAAAAAAAAAAGGTATTTGGGGCCTGGGCCACCATCATATAAAGAAGTTGTTGGCCAGGAATGGTGGCTCACGCCTGTAATCCCTGCACTTTGTGAGGCCGAGGCAGGAGGATTGCTTGAGGACAGGAGTTTGAGACTAGCCTGGGCAACATAGCAAGACCCCCAGCTCTACCAAAATTTAGCCAAGTGTGGTGGCATACACCTGTGGTCCCAGCTACTAGGGAGTCTGAGGTGGGAGGATCACTTGACATCAGGAGATCTTGGCTACAGTGAGCCATGCTTGTGCTACTCCATTCCAGCCTGGGCTCAGAAAAAAAAAAGAAAAGAAATTGTTCCTCGAAGTCAGTGGTTCTGATGAACTGGGCTTGATATTGCCCCCCAGGGGACATTTGGCAATGTCTAGAGACATGTTTGATTGTCACATTTGGACCTCTAGTGGATAGAGGCCAGCGATGCTGCCTAACGTCCTGTACTGCATAGGACAACCATCCACAGCAATTATCCAGCTTATAAGGTCAATGATGCTAAGGTTGAGAAAGTGCATCTACGGCCATACCACCCTGAACACGCCCGATCTCGTCTGATCTCGGAAGCTAAGCAGGGTCGGGCCTGGTTAGTACTTGGATGGGAGAAAGTGCTTTAAACATGTCCTAAAGTATGGGAGTTATCTACAGGTGTTATATTATGTCAAATAGCTTGGGAAATCCAGGATTAAGAGTTTACTAGGTGTGGTGGGGTGTCTGGTAGTGGTCAGGTCCTCTGCTCTGACCCTCTCCCCAGGTCCCCCCATCCAGACATTTGAAATTAGCATACCCTCTAATTCAGATGGACAGAAATGTATTGAGAGCCTACTGTGCAGCAGCAGAGTTGTCAATACTAGAGATACAGCAGGGAATCAACAGGGGTGTCTGTCCTCACCAAGCTTATATTCTCATGGGGGAAAAATAATTAACTATATAAGTGTGTGTCTGTATAGAGAAAGAGGTAAAAGGGAGTGATAGAAGCTGCTAAGTGCTATGAAGGATAAAGAAATAAAGCAGGGAGTGGGGGTAAAAGAATTAGGGAGAAATTGGAATTTGAAACGAGAAAGTCAGGAAAGGCCTCATTGAGAATTTTACAACTCTCTCCCTTCTGTATAAGAACTTTGAAAATCAGAAAACTCCAGGTAATTTCCATTCAGGGCTGGAGTACATTGAGAGGAGAGGGAAATGAGATGTCAAGAGTAGGGGCTGAAGTGTGTGGATCTTTGATGTATTCTGCTGGCTTGTGGGTTGCCTTCACTGGATTCCTCAGCCTGTGGTGGGCATAGCCTGGCATGGCTCTTATAGACACAGGATGTTTGGCAAACATATTGACAGCTGAAAGCAGAGCTGCTGAGCTGCATTATCATGAATCCACCGCAAGTGTCTAGCCTGGAGCTGCTTTTCACCCCAAGACAACAGCAGTTGGAACCTGTGAATGTCATCCAGTAGGTGGGATAGGGCATGGGGGATGCTCGATTCTTCCCACTCGCAAGAATAACAGTTCCAGCCCAGGCACAGTAGCTCATGCCTGTAATCCCAGCACTTTGGGAGGCCAAGGCAGGAGGACTGCTTGAGCTCAGGAGTTCGAGATCAGCTTGCGCAACGTGGCGAAATCTCATCTCTACAAAAAATACAAAAATTACCCAGGTGTGGTGTCATGCTATTTGGGAGGCTATACTCCCAGCAACTTGGGAGGCTGAGGTGGGAGGATCACTTTAGCCTGGGAGGTTGAGGCTGCAGAGAGCCATGATCGCGTCACTGCATTCCAGCCTGGGTGACAGAGTGAGACCCTGTCTCAAAAAACAAAAAAACAAACAAACAAAAAAACACAGTTCCGTCTTTTTTGGATAACAACCTATTTCCTTATAGCTGTCTTCTCATATATAAGAAAGAGATTTTTTTTAAAGTGTGGCCTTTTTAAAAAAAATTATTATTTGAAAAAATCCATTTAGGACACAGCGCCTTACATCTCGCAGCCAAGAACAGCCACCATGAATGCATCAGGAAGCTGCTTCAGGTAAGCTGGTGACAACTTAGAATTATAAATGTGTCGGTTTTACAATTTGAAAGTAATCATATTTGTGAAAGAACAAACACACCCTCCATACACACTCCTTTAAATACTGTCCCCAAACCTGTGTTTCCTAAGAAGCTTCATGATTGAAATGATAGCCAAGGAGAAGACTGTCTCCATAGCAACTCCACTGGCAGAGAAGAGGATCTAATCAAAATTGGAGTGTCTTTTTTGGGATCTAGCCTTTTTCTCCCCTTTATTTGGTTCCTTCTTTTCTTTGCTGAAGGACTTACACCCTCTAAATAGTGTAAGTTTTTAAAACATCGGTTTCTAAGCTGTTGGAGATCCTTACCACACAGGATCTCCAGTATCCTAGTATTGTGAAATCATCAGTAGAATGCAGCTCTTCTTTGAGAAGCAAACTTTCAACCATTATTTCCTCATATGTAACTTGATGAGCTTCAGTTCTTGGGTTTTGTTTAAGTCCTTGGTTTTATTCTTCTTTATAATTTTCAGCCAACTCCCTGGTTCAATAATCTTGCCAGGAAGTTTGTAATGATCCCTTAAAGTGACAACTTCCATAAATCTTTAAAGATGAATATTTAATGAACTCCCAATAGCCATCCATACGGTAACATCCAGTTGTTGCCAGTCAAAATGCAAACTGGCTGTTTTCAGGAACAGCATAGAGCAATAAAATACGTGTTTGCTTGTACTGTCTGTTCTGTTGAACTGTTGTCTTGGCCTTCACAAGCACTATTTGGGACCCAGCATCTTGCTTTAATTTGGCTTTGAAATTCTAATGCAGAAATGTGATCACATTCTTCAACTTGTCCTGTGCTGTTGATCACACAGCTTCTTGTCTTGCGTTACATGATGCAAGCTATTGCCAGTTCCAAGAATGCTTAACCTTAACAGGTCTTTGAAGCTAAATTCAAGAAAAATAGATTAATGTCTGTGATGTTGTATTATGAGGCTTCCCTTTGAAGACAACTAAAATAGAACTTTTCTTACCTGCCTCTTCTGGGACCAGACACTCTGGATAAGTGAAAATCATTGCTCAAGCTCTCTGCCTCCATATCCTTGGCCCTACCTCAATTTTTAAGTAATTGATTTATGTTTTAAATCTCCATTCCCATTCTGGCTTGGCTATCCAGACTTTGCATCTGACTCTGATTTTAAGGAAGAATTAACCTGACAAGCTGGATGTTCTCGTGGGCAAGAACCAGATATTCTAGTCTCTAATGTAATCTTATATCTGGTTATGCAAATGGATTGGTTTTTCTTCGGAATCTTTGAAGCCTTTAAACAGTTCCTTGTGCTGCTTTAAAATTAGGCCAAAGCATGGTAAGTCGTAACTTAATCTCCATTCTTCTTACCACGAAAGGGCAGACATTTCACTAGCGTGGTAGTGTGTTATTACCTCCTCTCACTGCCAAACCATTCAGATTGTTCTTCTTCCTGGATGGTGGTTAAAACCTCAGCTGTGTCCTCCTGTTGGGCTGTTTTCCCAGGTCCTGTTCCTCTTTGCACTCTAGCCAGTTCTTCACCTCTTGTCTCAGTAGCCCAGGCTCTCTGTGCTGTGATCCCCATTACCTCCTGCTGCCCCCCACTCCTATACTCTCTGCATTTATGGATCTCCCTGGGCTCTCCAGGCTTTTGCTCTTATTGCCCGTCTGCTGGAGCCATTCCCCCTCTCCAGTGGCTACCAAGGTAAAGTTCTTCCTTCTCACGGCAATGAGCACAAATAGAGCCTTTTGAGATTCTTCAAATAAGCTCTCTCAGGCTGGGTGCAGTGGCTCACGCCTGTAATCCTAGCACTTTGGGAGGCTGAGGCGGGTGGATCACCTGAGGCCAGGAGTTCGTGACCAGCCTGGCCAACATGGTGAAACCCCATCTCTTCTAAAAAATACAAAAATTAGCCGGGCGTGGTGGTGCATGCCTGTAATCCCAGCTACTCGAGAGGCTGAGGCAGGAGAATCACTTGAACCTGGGAGGTGGAGGTTGCAGAGAGCCAAGATTTCGCCACTACACTTCAGCCTGGGTGACAGGGCGAGACTCCATCTCAAAAACAAACAAACAAAAACAACAAAAAACAAATGAGCTCTCTCCCTTCCCGAACCCTCAGCTATTCCTCCCGCCCTTTCTCATACTGTGTTTCTTGGGCACTGTGCACCGTGTCAAGCAGTGACAAACAGCAGCCCCTATCCCAGTGGAGCTCCCAGTCTGGTAAACAATCCACAAATAAACATTACAGATTGCACAGCAGTAAAAAGGAAGCTAACGGGTTACTGTAAGAGAGGAATCAGAGGTGGAGGTTCATGGAAGGCCTCGTGAAGGAGGTGATATTTAAGCTGAGACCTCCCAAGGATGCAAAGAGCCACAAGGAAAGCATTCTAAGCAAATGGTACAATGTGTGCAAAGGACCTGAGGTCACAAAGGTGCTGGCCAGGGAGGGAAGAATGCCAATGTGTGGGCCTGGGGCAGAGCAAGTAAGGAGGAAAGCAGCACAGGATGTAGGGCCTTTTGTATGTCATGATGGGCTTGACTGCAGTTCATCCTAAGTACAGCATGGAAGTGTGAGGGGCTTTTAAGTAGACAGTGAGAGTCACAGTTTTAAAAGAGAATTCTGTTTCTTTAGAGAATTGATAAAAAGGGGAAAAATGCAGAACTGGGGAGACGTGCCAGGAGGCTACCTTAGCTGTTCAGGTGAGAAGACGCTGTCCTAGAAAAGGGTGTCGGGAACAAGAAAGGGAAGAGGGTAGAGTGGAGGCGAGTTTTGGAGAAAAAAGTTGACAGGGCATGGTGGTCCACTACATGTGGGGTGAGGAAGAGGGGTCGGGGAAGGGGGTGGAGGATGAGGAGGAATCAAAGCTGAATCGCTGGTTTCTGGCTCAATGTCTAGACTGATGATGATGCTGTTGATGGAGAAGGCAGTCAGGGAGGAGCAGGTGGGGCACGGGGGAGGGGAAGCCAGAGATTTTGGCTGGGCCTTTGAGATGCTAATAAGACATCAGAGCAGAGATGTGAAGTAGGCAGTGGGTTATCAAGCCTAGCGCTTGAAGATGACAACTTTTGTGTATGAGTAAGAATACAGGCCCTAGCCCAGCCTGTCTGAGTTTGAATCTTGGCTCTGCCATTTACTGCGACTTGAGCAAATTATCAACTTTTTTGTGCCTCCGTTTCTTCATCTGAAAGTGGAAGTAATGATAGTATCCACCTCGTGTTGTTAGGGGACATAAAGCAGTTCTTTGAACAGTGCCTGGCACGTGAGAGCTAATACTTACATAGCACTTATTGTTGTCACTGTTAGGACCTCCGCATTTGGGAGTCACTAGCGTTCATTCTTCTAGATGATATTTCAGGTTGTGGGTGTGGAGGAGCTTACCAGGGAAAAGAGCTTAGAGGAAGAACACTGAGGAGCCCTGAGGTTTTCTGTTTGGCTAGAGGAGGAGCCGCAAGAGGAAAAGCAGAATAAGATGAGCCAAGCAGGGCTCTAGGAGCTGAGAGGTTGGAGAGAGGAGGACAGAAATGTTTATCGTCATTGGAAACATGAAGGTTTTTGGTGACCTTGACCAAGGCCATCTCCTTGGACTCGAGAGGGGACACCCAACTGCAGTGGTTTTGGGAGTGAATGGAGGTGAGGGTGCGTGGACTGCATGTGGGTAATCCTTAAGAGAAAGCTGGTTTCGTGAAGGGGGACAGAAAGGGCAGGAGATGGGGGAAAAGAAAGGATTAAGATGAGAGAGCCTAGAGTATGTCTATTAGCTGGTGGGGTGCTGGAGTGATGAGGGAAGGAGAGGAACAGATAGGTGAAGCAGCAAAGAGGGGAGAGTTTGCCCATCCCAAAGACATGAGTCTCCTTCCCCATAGGAGACTGTAGGCCCCTGGAACACAGCAGCTGGGGCTTATTTATGTTAATAGTCTTCCTAATAAGTCACATCATACCTTGCAGGAAAAGTCTGAACTGAATAGAATTGGGGCAGGGTATTTTATTATATGGATGTATTTATTTTTGTCTTATAGTCTAAATGCCCAGCCGAAAGTGTCGACAGCTCTGGGAAAACAGCTTTACATTATGCAGGTAACTTTCATTCTCCTATTTGTCTTCTTCTGCCATTAGAAACACCAACTTTTCTTTTTCCTTATTCAGGCCATTAACCTTCCATACTATTCCTGGTGCTCTTTTCTGTCATCATTTCTAAACATTCCCATTTTACTCTGTTTGTAAAACATACACAGTTTTACCGAGGCATATGCCTAGAATTCATCAATTCCTTTGCCACCTAACCACTGAAAATTATCACGATTAATATATTTTAACTAATTTAAGGTTTCTTTTTAAACTAAGAGATATTCTAAGCATTTGTAGATTTCAGGTAATGTGTGATACAGACTTTTTGATTTGAGGATTATTATGAACATCAGTCAATTTTATTTACTAATATTTTGTTTAGTATGATTACACAACTTGAAGTGACAAACGTTGACACTGAACTATGAGTGATTAGATTTACACATGTGTTTTATTGCTAGTTGTGGAAAAGCTAAGTCCTGTGAAAACCTGAGCCAAATATTTGCCTAAAGGCAACTGGCAGTCATTGGCTTTAGGCCTGCATAACTCTGAAATTAAGCAGTAATTTTAAACACCTCACTCCTAACCTTCCTAATACCATTTCTCTTCAATGCAACTAGAGTGAATATATGTAGAGTGGGTAGAACATGAACATTTCCTTCCTGAAGTATCTGATACCCCTGGTTGTGAATAACTGTGTGATTGGCTGTGGTATTTATATTTTCCTTCCCCCAGCGGCTCAGGGCTGCCTTCAAGCTGTGCAGATTCTCTGCGAACACAAGAGCCCCATAAACCTCAAAGATTTGGTAAGTACCAGGTGGTCACTAGAGGCAGAGGTAGACATTGGTTTCTAGAGCTCAATGGGATACCTCTAGAGTCACTGAGACTTTAGACTAGCAGTCTCCAACCTTTTTGGCATCAGGGGCTGATTTTGAGGAAGATAATTTTTCCATGGATGGGGGTGGGGATGGTTTCAGGATGAAACTACTGCAGCTCAGGTCATCAGGCATTGGAGTGCACAACCTAGATCCCTCACGTGCTCAGTTCACAATAGGGTTTGTGCTCCTATGAGAATCCAGTACTGCTGCTGATCTTATAGGCAGTACTGCTCACTCGCCTGCCACTTACTCCCCGCTGTGCAGCCAGATCCTAACAGGCCACAGACTGGTACTGATCTGCAGCCCCTGGGTTGGGTACTCCTGTTTTAGACAACTAAGTATTGGGCAAATTCTATTGCTTTTCAACCTAGATTCTCTTCTGCAAAATGGATTTATGTATTACTCTTAACCCTTTTCCCATTTGCTCCAAGAATACTCACCAGTGGCGTTTGGGGATACAGCATTTACCTCAAGATAACTTTGCCACGAAATATCTCATTTTTATTATTATTATTTTCCCATCACTCTAGTGTATTGACTTTGGAAACAAAAGACATCATTCTGTTTATAGCATTCTGTTTTTAGTAGTGGTATTTCCATTTACAAAATGTAGTAATTCTCGACCACTGAAAATGTCAAATCCTAGAAAACGTAGCATTCCTATGTGTGATGTTAATATCGTTCTCAAAGAGATCTTGGCTGAAGATTCATTTGATGAATCCGATTTTTCTGAGACAGATGATTCTGGTGTTAGTTCTGTTTAGAAATAACTCCAAGAACAGTTTTTATATTTTATTTTCACATTGAAAATCAGTCAGATTTTCTTCAGCCTCAAAGAGTGTGTTTATATAAAATTAAATGAGCTCTGGCAGAGAGCTGCACTTTTTTTTTTTTTTCTAAACTGGGAAGAAGGTTAATTAGCTTCTAAAACATTAGTAAAACATTTTGCAGCATATATTTCCTATATAGGTATATTTATTTCTACGGCTATACATGTTTTCTACCATCAATGTAATTACAAATAAAGCTTAATTTCTTGATTTTTAAAAATAAGTCTAAATAGAAATTTTACTACTTTCTTTCTGCACTTGGATAACTTCTACGTAGAATCTCCCAACTTTGAAGACCATTACTAGGCTATTTTAACTTCACCAGGCTACTTTGAGAATAAATTTATATACCTATCACATGGTTCTGTCATGGGGTTATATTTCATGTTGCAGCATGAGAACTGACATGCATACACTTATATTTGATGGAGATGCTGTGAAGTGACTAGATAGAATCTGTAAATAAATTCATATTCCTTGAAGTTCAGTACTTCCTAAGCAGAAAGTAGTATAACTTCACAGAGATAGTGCCCAGAAATCTATCTGAAATTCTTTATGACAATACTCAATCTTTAAGTAGCACTTGTATTTTTAAATAGTTGGATATATTGTAACATCTTTTCCCTTTGCCTATTGAATGCTTCTACCTTAAAACTCACTGTCGATGGATTTATAGGGTATATTCCAGAAAAAAAACAAAATAACAACTTCTCTTTATGGTTTGTGTCAGACCTAAGATTACAAAAAATACTTATGTATATTCTTCTAGTATTTTTCATCATTTGTTTTATATTGTAATGTTTAAATGCTTAATCCACCTGACATAGTTTGTATATGAGTTGGAGACCTAGATTTCCTTTTTCCCAAAGGGGTTGCAATTGTCATGACATAATTATTCTTTCTATCCATTTCTTTATCTAGTCATGTGTTAGTAACAGACATAGGCTCTTAATTTATGTTATATTTTGATACATAGCAAGATTACTAAAGGGTACACTTTCGGTAAAAGTGGAATGGCAGGATATATAATGATTAGTGCACTGGGAATAAGCTGCCTACAGGGCAGTGGGATCTTCTGGTGTCGTGCGGAGACACGCCCTTCCTTTCTCCAGCACCGTCCCTCAGTATACCCGGTACACTTGCCTTGAGCCTTTACACACTTTGTGTTCTGTCCTCTCTCACAGTCACCCAAACAGTGATAGCCAAGGGCATAAGCAGCCGCAAGAAGCTGGAGCTCCTATGTAAAAGCTAGCATTCAGTAAAATTCCATAACAAGAGTTGTGCCAACATACAATCGTGACTCTATAGGGGTACAGAATATCAGGTTGGACCAGATACTAGATCAGCAGTCAGCAGTCCAAGTCAGGAGAAAAATGTGCAAAAAACAGGGGCTGACTTTTGCAATTCTGGCATTTTGTGCCTGAGGTAAAATCTAAATCTGAATTTGTCTCCTAGGATGGGAATATACCGCTGCTTCTTGCTGTACAAAATGGTCACAGTGAGATCTGTCACTTTCTCCTGGATCATGGAGCAGATGTCAATTCCAGGAACAAAAGTGGAAGGTACTCCAGAATTAGGCAGAAATCATGTGACTTCAGTGATACCCACATTCTGAGAGTATTTCAAAATATCACAGCTATATTTTGGATCATTTGTTATAAGGGATTTTTAACTTCTTACCTTTTTAAAGTTCTACTGTTTCTGATAATCAAGAATCTATGTTGACTTTAAAGCAATTTTCCCCAGACATCTGTGGACATCATTGCTGGCTAAGTCTGTGAGGAGACTATTAAATGCTAATGTGAATAAACAATTTCCTGTGACTTTCTATGCAAAATAAAACAAACCTATTGGTTGTTTTGGAGAAATGGTCTTAGAAATATATATGTTATTTAAAATGCTTGAGGTAAAACAAGGATAAGATTCATGCCAGTCATATTAAATCCCATCATATTATGCCAAATAGTATAGAAGATTGTGTTGTTTGACAAAATGTGGTTTAATGTTTTGATTTAATCTGAAGTTTAAAAAAAAAAAAAACCACCTAATTTCATCTTGATTGCATTCCACTTCGAATTCCCTGAAGATTAAGTGTAATAAAGGTTTAACTGCACTTAATCTTCTTTTCTCTTTTTTTAAGACAACTGATTTCCCAAGAAAGACTTTTTACATTCTCTTAGTACTAATTTTGTGTCTCTTTTTTCCTTTAGAACTGCTCTCATGCTGGCCTGTGAGATTGGCAGCTCTAACGCTGTGGAAGCCTTAATTAAAAAGGGTGCAGACCTAAACCTTGTAGATTCTCTTGGATACAATGCCTTACATTATTCCAAACTCTCAGAAAATGCAGGAATTCAAAGCCTTCTATTATCAAAAATCTCTCAGGATGCTGGTATGTAAAAGAAAATAGCCAATGTTGTTTTAAGTTTATCCACTCCATTTTCCCCAAAGGATAAAGGAATGTGTGCAATATGATATATTTTATTATTCTTTTAAACATATTCTTGAAAAAAAAAGGAGTGTTAAAAAATATTGTATATGGTGTATGTGTGTGTATCCCCCCACCCAAAGTGAATATGAATCATTATGCTTCTTATAGTTCTTTTTTTCACTTTTTCCTCTATAGATTTAAAGACCCCAACAAAACCAAAGCAGGTATTTATCTTTGGGGGAGGCTTCTATGTTTCATTTATGCTTGTGGGAATTTAAAAATGTTCAGATTTAACCACTCTGGTCCACTAGTAAAGTAATAAAGACTATATTGAAAATACTTAGGGACTGAAATATCTTTGAATAAATAAGTCATTGTTATAAGGTGTTAAAGGTTGCCAGGCCGGGCCGGTGGCTCACGCCTGTAATCCCAGCACTTTGGGAGGCCGAGGCTGGTGGATCACCTGAGGTCGGGAGTTCAAGACCACCCTGACCAACATGGAGAAACCCCGCCTCTACTAATATTACAATATTAGCCGGGCATGGTGGTGCGTGCCTGTAATCCCAGCTGCTCGGGAGGCTGAGGCAGGAGAATCACTTGAACCCAGGAGGCAGAGGTTGCGGTGAGCTGAGATTGCACGATTGCACTCCATCCTGGGCAACAAGAGTGAAACTCCGTCTCAAAAAAAAAAGGTGGTAAAGCTTTCCTTAATAATTTGCTTTATTTCAAAAGCATGTAACTTTAAACTTGCTACTTATATGTTCATCTTTTTCTGAAATGTACTAACTCATACTTCCTATTGGTGTGAAAATGTTTGATGTGGCTTAAACTCTGTGACTGAATAACACTGTTTTAAATACTTGTAATATCACATGAGCTACAGAGCTTCAGCCAGAAAATGTTAGCTATTTAATGAAAATAAGAGAATTTAGCCTTTTCTTTTAATTAGGGTTTTTCTAGAACGTCATGTGGTGTTACACAAAGTAGAAATTGAGTTTGCCCTGTTATTGTGTAGTTTTTTCTAAAAATATATTGTCACTATCTGTTTTTTTGATGAACAGTATATGTTTGGTTGTTTATTTATTTACACATCTACGTTCTTGAAGAAATCATAAACAGCAAATACTCAATACTAAATTTATGTGCTAACTGTATTACTTACCAGTAACCTTCAAAAATGAAGTTATCCCTTTCCCTCATATTTATAGTCTTTAAAAAAAGGAATGGAAGTAATGCAGACGTGTGGGAAATACCATTGCTTTTCATTAATACAGAAAGCTGGCTGTGATTGTATTCTGGATTCTAAGTTGTAGTAGACCTCAACCTCTACTTTCCCAGTTCTCCACACCAACCTAATCTGGTTTTGTCTCATGTGTTTTTATTTTCTTGCTATTAAAGCATGGGCTGCTAGGAGAATACTTGTGCATGCATATTATTTATTTTTATGTTGGTAGCAGATTTCAGATTTTGATAAAGTAAGAAATGTATGAACTTTTGAGGTTTTTCTCATGTGTTTGATAAAGCTACTTGCCCAGACTTTACTAACCAAACTAACCCACCTCCATTCTTTGGACTGTGATAACTTTCAGCATGACCAAGTCTCTAAAATAAGCTCAGAAAGAAGTGGAACTCCAAAAAAACGCAAAGCTCCACCACCTCCTATCAGTCCTACCCAGGTAAAAACAAAAGCAAACCAACAATCAATAAACGCACCACAAGAAAGCCATAAATTTGTCATTTTGTTTAGGCCAAAAAGGAATGTTTTAGAACTGACCTTTAAGTGCATATTTAAAATTTTCCTTAGCAGTTTTAAATTACAAATTGTGGTAAGAAGGATTGATGATTAGTATGGAAATAATGTTGATTCTTATCTATTTTTAAAAAAACAGTAGAATCGAATAGCCTCTTTTTGAAAAGTCTCAAGGAAATTTCTCAAAATCTTATCACAGAAACTTTCCCTTAAGATAAGTTCAATTTATTTTTAGTTCCTTATGTTAAAAGATCTAGTAAGGACTGGGAGAATGAGTAGCCATTGAGGCAATTAGTTGAAAATGAATTTCAGTTCGTTTCTTAAAACATTGCTGCAATACATTTGCCTTTTTAATTGCTTTTAAGGTTGGCTAATATTAAAAGTAGTTTTCATTTCTGAGCTTTATAGTGACGGTTGCATAGAGGAGGAAGCTCAGTAATCTATGTAATGGCAGGTAAAAACACATCGAAATTTGTTATTTAAAAATTCATAGGCCATAAAGAGAATAATCCATATTTAAATAGTAGAGAGGAATAGCTCATCTCATAAGTATTTTTTAAATGTATGTTAGCATACTTATTAATATTCTTAACCTGCAATAGAAGTTTTATAGATTTTTAAAAAAGTGATTCTAATATAGGAGCACAGTTATATTCTGTAAACTTTCAGAAAGTATTTGAAGTAGCTGAATTGCACTGAAAATATTCTACCCGTGAATTAATTGATGCCAAGGATACTTACTGTTAGATTTCATTGCATTGGTTAAACAGGTTGATTCTTCGGCACTGGAGAAGAGGAGTTTGAAGATACATTCTTTATTAATGATTTTCATTTTGTTTCTTTTTTAGTTGAGTGATGTCTCTTCCCCAAGATCAATAACTTCGACTCCACTATCGGGAAAGGAATCGGTATTTTTTGCTGAACCACCCTTCAAGGTATTTCCTTTCTGTATTCAGTTTTGTTACTGTATTTTAAGATACATGATAGACTTGCTTTAAGTTATATAACACTGGGAAAAACAGAATATACTTCTGAATCATTGGTTCACAACCTTTTCACCATGAAGTACCCCTTGATTATTTTTTCTGGCATGGACCCCATAAAGCAAGAATGTGTACAGCTAGTTTGTATCCATAATAATTTAAAATTTTTAAAAAATCATTGAGTGAATAAATTAAATTTACAAACCAATAATTGATTTTCTTCATTTAAAAAAAAAAGAGACAAGAGGGCTGGGTGCAGTGGCTCACACCTGGAATCCCAGCACTTTGGGAGGCCAAGGTGGGCAGATCACCTGAGGTCAGGAGTTCAAGACCAGCTTGGCCAACAAGGCGAAACCCTATCTCTACTAAAAATACAAAAACTAGGCCGGGGTTGGTGGCTCACGCCTGTAATCCCAGCACTTTGGGAGGCTGAGGCAGGTGGATCACGAGGTCAAGAGATCGAGACCATCCTGGCCAACATGGTGAAACTCCGTCTCTACTAAAAGTACAAAAATTAGCTGGGCATGATGGTGCGCACCTTTAATCCCAGCTACTTAGGCGGCTGAGGCAGGAGAATCACTTACACCCAAGAGGCAGAGATTGCAGTGAGCCGAGATCGCGCCACTGCACTCTAGCTTGGCAACAGGGCGAGACTCCGTCTCAAAAAAAAAAAAAGAAAAGAAAAAAATACAAAAATTAGTTGGGCCTGGTGGCAGGCACCTGTAGTCCCAGCTACTCAGGAGGCTGAGGCAGGAGAATTACTTGAACCCAGGAGGCAGAGGTTGCAGTGAGCCAAGATCGGGCCACTGCACTCCAGCATGGGCGACAGAGCGAGTGTCTTGTGGTGGGGAGCAGGGACAAAGTTTACTTATATGGAATCTAAAAAAGTTGAACCCATAGAAGCAGAGAGTAGAATGATAATTGGGGGAGTGGTGGGAGGTATTGGGGAGATGTTGGCTAGACGGTACAACATTTCATCCAGATAAAAGGAATAAGTTCAAGAGATCCATGGTACAACATGGTGACTATAGTTAATAACAATGCATTGGATTCTGAAAATCACTCAGGGAGCAGATTTTAAGTGTTTTCATCACAAAAAATGATAAGTGTGTGAGATTAATTAGCTCCATGGCCTTTTCACATTATGTACGTATTTGCAGACATCATGATGTACATGGTAAATACATACAACTTTTATTTGTCAACTAAAAAATAAATTAATTTTTTCAAAAATAAGGTGTGGAAGTTACCAGCTTCTACCTGTTATTCTCCTCATTCTTTCCTGAATGCAGAATATTGAGGAAATGCCAAAAATTATATTTCAGGAACTTCTCTATTTATAATGAAATATTCTAGATTGGATCCTGGGACAGAAAAAGGCCATTATTCGAAAAACTGGCGCAATTTGAATAAAGTTGTAATTTAGATAGTAGTAATTTACCAATTGACAAATGTATAATGGCTACATCTGTTGTAAACATTAGAAGAAATAAGTGAAGGTTTCTATCTTGCAACTTTTTTATAAATCTTAAATTGCTCCAAATACAAAGTGCTAAAGTTTTTTTAAAAAGAGACAAAGATAAGAACTTACTAGATAAGCAGTCTTCTTACCCAATTAAGTTTATATTAATTCCAATCAAAGAGACAGAAACTTGTGTTATTCTCTGTTGTCTTACTGAGAATTGTATAGTTAATTTTTTTCCTGACTATAAAAGTAATATGTATTTATTTTACAAATGTTAGAAAATCCATTAGGTTTTATCCACCTGGTTCTGTAGATTTGTGGTTGCAAAACATTTTAAGGAAGTGGGAGGATATTTCCATTTAATATCTGTTTAATATACTGAGAAATTGTACTCAAGGGGGAAATAAAATTTATAATTGTTAACATGAAATTTCGATATTTTATATTTACTTACTTTCCCTTATTTAGAATTATTAAAGATGTTTTTTTTTAACTTGGATACACATTAATCTGAAACAGATTCTATCAACCTATCATTTCCCTCACTTTAGACTTTACTAATAAACTCTTCAGATGAATTTCTATGTAAGACAAGGCAACTATACTCTTATAGTTAGTACGATAATATCTTCTGATATGACTGTGCCTCAAAGAAGCAGTGCAATCCGAAGAATATCACAAATTATGATTTTTCAGAGGTAGAGTATAAGACTGTCATTTCTGAAAAAACAACAACAAAAAAAAACAAGATAAAAAGTGACATTTATTCCTACGTTAGCTTAGGGAGGAGACAAAAGTGATATCTAGGCCAGGCTCGGTGGCTCACAGCTCATGCCTGTAATCCCAGCACTTCGGGAGGCCAAAGCGGGTGGATCATGAGGTCAGGAGATCGAGACCGTCCTGGCTAACACAGTGAAACCCCGTCTCTACTAAAAATACAAAAAATTAGTCAGGTGTGGTGGCGGGCACCTGTAGTCCCAGCTACTGGGAAGGCTGAGGCAGGAGAATCGCTTGAACCTGGGAGGCAGAGGTTGCAGTGAACCAACATTGTGCCACTGCACTCCAGTCTGGGCGACAGACACTCCATCTCAAAAAAAAAAAAAAAAAGAAAAAGTGATATCTATTTAAAATGGCTAAAGTTTAAAAAGACTGATACTACCAAGTGAGGATTGAGGATGTTGCAGAACTAGAACTCCATTTCCTGCTGGTGGGAATCTAAAATGGTATAACTATTACCAGTTTGGAAAGCTGGAAGTTTCATTAAAGTTAAATATAAACCTAATATATGATCCAGCCATCCACTCATAGGTGTTTACCAAAATAAATGAAATTGTATGTTTAGACACAATCTTGTATGCAAATGTTTGTAGCAGCTTCATTCACAACCTCCCCAAATTGGAAGCAAACCAAATGTCCATGAACAAGTGAATAAAGATAATGAGATATACCCATATAATGAAATATTATCTGCCAATAAAGAGGAATGAACTGTAGTGCAAGTAACAACATAGTTGAATCTGAAAAGTCATCATGCTGAGAGAAGCCAGCCACCAAAAAATTCATATGGGATGACATTCCATTTATAGGAATTCTAAGAAATGTGAAAAAAAGAGTTGTGGTTGCCTAGGAATGATGCGGGCAAGGACTGGTTGTAATGAAGCATGAAGAAGCTTTTAGGCATAATGAACAGATTCTCTATCTTGACTATAGTGTTGGTTCCATAGGTATACATCTGTCAAAAACTCTTCAAATTGTAAACTTGGCTGGATGCAGTTTATTATACGTTATATAGTGGAAAATATAAAAACAAGTAAATTTGTTATAAAAGTGAAAGGACTGCTTTTTGTAAAGATAAGCACTTAACTAAAAATAAGCTACTTTATTATTTAGCATTTGGGCTTTTACAAAGGTATCTCTGCTGAAAAATTCTCTTATCATTGACTGGCTCATTCGGATGCCACATTGTAATTTTTAGCAAGTCACTGTAATGTTTTGAAATGAGATTGTGGCTTTGAAGTTCCAAGAATTTTTATGGTATATTAACAGATATTCAGGGACAAAGCATTAGAGAAAATCTTTAGGGAATCTATTGCCAATCTGAGACCATATGATATTTATTACCATTTCCCTTAGAAAAGTTAATAGTAACTTTAATAGCAGATAACTTATAAAATGATAAAGCTAAAAAATCTGCTTTAAAATATTTCAATCAATGTATAATGCAGACATATAGAACTTCTCTTTGACTTCATTACGAAAGCACTATTTGCTGTCTCAGTTTTTAGTACATAACTCACTAAATTAGCAATTACATAAAATTATTGTGATCTTAAATATATTTGCATTGTACTCACTAAATGAAACTTCTGAAAAATATTTAGAGAATATGCCCTCTGGAACTTCTAATGTTTTAGAAATTAAACTTAGTAGATAATTGTCACTTTTACTCATTTATAGCTTAAAATATCTTCTTTCTTCGAGATTTTCTAGCTGCTTTTCTAGTAGGATCATACCAGATCTGCTCTGCGTAAGCTCAAGGAGGAAAGTCTGCTTGATTCTTTTGTGTAATGTTACATTTAGAAATGTTCTTTAAGTCATTTTTGTGTTTCAATAGGCTGAGATCAGTTCTATACGAGAAAACAAAGACAGACTAAGTGACAGTACTACAGGTAAGACAAGGAAGCATCTGTTTTTTTTTTTCCTTCAACCAAACTATTTCATGTCCATTTAAAGAGAGCAAAGGCCAAGCTGGGGTACTGTGTAAAAATGTCACAAGCCAGCATGTCCACACAGAGCTGCCAGTAATGCACAAGCTGAAGCGCTCTGTACTTCAGGGTGCCTTCTTCACCTGCATTTTAAAGAGTCTCTGAATTTGAATTTTGAAAAATACATCTTTATTTTCATTTGTCCCAAACTACATGTTAGCAGTTCGTTCAATTATGAGTACAGGCAATAAGCCTCAGTGGTATTAGCAGACCAGTGATTTTGTCACCAAGAGAATTCCTATCACCTTACTGTTATTGCAGATATCTTGAAATATTTACAATATTGCTACTAAAAATTATGGCAGTTATTAGACCTGCTGCCAGATCTTGTTATTGTTACCAAATAAGCTCTTAAGTTACTGTAGCCTATATATTTTATCTTACCCATTTAAAAATATCATGTTCAGATGAGGTCCATAGGCTTCTGCTGTCTGCTAAACGCGTTCTTTGCAGCTGAGCAGCACATTATTTCATGAAGGGAGAACCCACCATGCCACCTCCATGACTGTCCCCATCTAACTTTTCTACTTTGGATTTCAAGTAGACACACGCAAAGACAAGAATGTTCATGAAGTCATATGTAATCATATTGTCTTTATGATCATAGGGTTTAATTCATTGTGTCTCTTATAAAAGAGTGCCTCCTAAGAATTTACCCTTTAAGAATGTAATATAGTACCTTCAGAATCCATTTAAAATGTAGAAGAGACAATTTCAAAGGTCCACTTTTGCTCCAGCATTCAGTGTCTTAATCTGTTGTGTATTTCATAGGTGTTTGGAGCCTTTAATTTGCAGAACTTAGAAATATTTTTTATTTATGTATTTATTGATTTATTTTAGAGATGGGGTCTTACTGTATTGCCCAGACTGGTCTCAAACTCCTGAGCTCAAGCGATCCTCCCACCTTGGCCCCCCATAGTGCTGGGATTATAGGCATGAGCCACCACACCCGGCCCTAGAAACATTAAACTTTCTAATTTCTGGCAGAGATCAATGTTAATATAACTAAACAAATGTTACATTGGGTACTTTAAAAACCATTCACTGTATCTTAGAAGTAATTTTTATTTCTTAGAATTGCATTTAGGCTCCCAGTTCCCTAGTTCATTCCACACTCACCAGACTTCATGTCAAGGAAACTCAGCTGTGATTTAGGCATCAGACTTATGATGAGAAGCAAGGATTTCTATAAAGAAAGGTCATTTTGCATCCTTCCAAGTTAAGATTAAAGTTTTCATCTTTGCATTAAATGGCTGTGAGAAAATAAAAAGCATAGCATTAAAAATTTAGATCAGTGCTTTTCAAAGTGTGGGTAAAGTATTTACTAGCTTATAATAATTAAGGAGTTTGAGCTGGGTGTGGTGGCCCACACCTGTAATCCCAGCACTTTGGGAGGCCGAGGTGGGCAGATCACCTGAGGTCAGGAGTTCGAGACCAGCCTGGCCAATGTGGCAAAACCCCGTCTCTACTAAAAATACAAAAATTAGCTATTACATAAAATTATTGAGATTTTATGTAATAGTTAATTATTGAGCATGCCTGTAGTCCCAGCTACTTGGGAAGCTGACGCAGGAGAATTGCTTGAATCTGGGAGGCAGAGGTTGCAGTGAGCCGAGATCGTGCCACTGCACTCCAGCTTGGGTGACAGAGCAAGACTCCATCTCAAAAAGTAATAATAATATTAAGTTTGGACCAGAAATTCACACAGTTACTTCACTAAGCACATTGTTTTGTTCAGCTGACATATCTTTTGTAGGACTTTCTAGATGAAGGAAGCAGTACATTGCATTGCATTCTGGAGGAAGTTTGCTATCTCTGTGAGCACCTTGAATAGCACTCCTTAAGTTGCAATTTCAGCATGATAATCAGTAGGATGTCCGAAAGTTGTGGTTTACCAACAGGGATTACTGTGGGATTCAGAGAAGAGAAGATAGTTTCATGCTAGGGTGGTCTTTGAATGCTTTAAGGACTGGGCAAAGTTTGACATGATGCTTAAGAATTCTCTAGGCAGAGAGATTCTGCAGGGCAATCCTGTGGATAAAGAATGAAAGAATCAGCCGTGTGTTGAGAATGTAGAGGGTGTGATGGGAACCATGAATCTGAGGAAAATAGGAATCTAGAAAAGTAGCAGTGTCATGAACCTGAAGAAGTAGACTGGAGCCAAATCATAGAGGCCTGAACCCAGATAAAGGAATTTGGAGATTATTTTTGGAGGGAAAACAATTAAAGCACTTGACCCAGAGGAATGACCCAATCAAAGTATGTTTTAGGAAGACTGGTCTGACGTTGCTGTGCAGGCTACAGTTTCACTGGGAAGAAGAGAGAGGCAGAGATTTGTTGGGAAGCTGTTTGCAGAGTTTCCAAGTAAGGTGATAAAGTCTTAACTACAGTAATGGTGGTAGGGGGAAAGAAATAAACCAGATTCCAGAGACATTTCTAAAATGATTCACATAACTGAGACTTACAAGGCACAGGGAAGAACCAAAAACAACCAAGATATGACACTTAAGCAAATGAATAGGAAATATATGACCAAATTCATCAATTTTCAGATTGCCTTGTGTACACATGTATCTAGTATTGTGCTAGCAATACCACAGTAAGGAAACCCCAGTTTCCTTTCTATATAAAATGAAAATTTTAGTTCACCCATCCAGCTGCTAGGGCGTTTTATAATTAGGGCCAGGAAGAAGAACTGGATTAGGCTAGGAAGTGAATTTGTCTCAGGTTAGAGAAATAAGAGTTTAATTGTTTTATATTTTAAATGGCTTTCTCTTTCCCAAGGTGCTGATAGCTTATTGGATATAAGTTCTGAAGCTGACCAACAAGATCTTCTCTCTCTATTGCAAGCAAAAGTTGCTTCCCTTACCTTACACAATAAGGAGTTACAAGATAAATTACAGGTATATAAATAGATTGCTATCATGGACTATTCTGTAGAGTCAAGCTCTTGGTCTTTTCAGTAGTCAGATGTATTTTGTTTTAAATGTGTACATTAGTTTCTTTTTAAATATTAGCTTTAAGCATCTTATAGTTTCAGATTATTTGTTTCATGAGAGTGTTATTCATTAACTCTTTCTGTAAATTATTCAACTGGTAAATTATAAATAATTATACACATAGTATGATCAGTATTAAATATTCTATATGTTTAATAAATTATATAAATAAAACAAAATTTATAGAAAAAATTCTATATAAAATATACTATATGCATAGAATGATGCATAATATATAATTTTATATTTTGATTTTATATATATTAAAATTTTACGTTTTAAATTATATATGTATGTGTGTATGTATATATATATATATATATATATAAAATATTATCCATTTAGTAAAGTTGATCATTTAACAGGTTTAAGTACTTGATAAGAAATGGCTGTACCAAAAAATAAGAAGAAGAAATAGCTGTACTATATATCCATTACCCCTCTTGGCAAGTAGAATGATATAAGAAATAAAGGAAATTTTTGAATTGGAGGCTTTGTAGAGAAAACAATTTTAGTGTTTTCAAAGTGACACAAATCGTCTGTCCCAATAGAACCCAAAGCAAGCTTTGTGTCATTAGTCCCACTCATGTCCCAGACTGTCTTTTTTCATGGCATGAGAATACACAGGCAAAGTGATCATGCTACTCTCCCGTACCAAAGTTGCGGATTTACTCCTCTCATTCTAGTTGCTTGCTTAGCTAACCACGCCTTTGGTATCTTTTTTTTTTTTTTTTTTTTTTTTTTTTTTTTTTTTTGAGACGGAGTCTTGCTCTGTCGCCCAGGCTGGAGTGCAGTGGCGCGATCTCGGCTCACTGCAAGCTCCGCCTCCCGGGTTCACGCCATTCTCTTGCCTCAGCCTCCCGAGTAGCTGGGATCACAGGCGCCCGCCACCACGCCCGGCTAATTTTTTGTATTTTTTTTTAGTAGAGACGGGGTTTCACCGTGTTAGCCAGGATGGTCTCAATCTCCTGACCTTTGATATCATTTAATTCTTGCTTTTTTTTCCTAGGCCAAATCACCCAAGGAGGCGGAAGCAGACCTAAGCTTTGACTCATACCATTCCACCCAAACTGACTTGGGCCCATCCCTGGGAAAACCTGGTGAAACCTCTCCCCCAGACTCCAAATCATCTCCATCTGTCTTAATACATTCTTTAGGTAAATCCACTACTGACAATGATGTCAGAATTCAGCAACTGCAAGAGATTTTGCAAGATCTACAGAAGAGATTAGAGAGCTCTGAAGCAGAGAGAAAACAGCTACAGGTCGAACTCCAATCCCGAAGGGCAGAACTGGTATGCTTAAACAACACTGAGATTTCAGAGAACAGCTCTGACCTCAGCCAGAAACTTAAAGAAACTCAGAGCAAATACGAGGAGGCTATGAAAGAAGTCCTTAGTGTGCAGAAGCAGATGAAACTCGGTCTTGTCTCACCTGAAAGCATGGATAATTATTCACATTTCCACGAGCTGAGGGTCACGGAAGAGGAAATAAATGTGCTAAAGCAGGATCTGCAGAATGCATTAGAAGAAAGTGAAAGAAATAAAGAGAAAGTGAGAGAGTTAGAGGAAAAACTGGTAGAGAGGGAGAAAGGTACAGTGATTAAGCCACCTGTGGAAGAGTACGAGGAAATGAAAAGTTCATATTGCTCTGTTATTGAGAATATGAATAAGGAGAAAGCATTTTTGTTTGAGAAATACCAAGAAGCCCAAGAAGAAATCATGAAATTAAAAGACACACTAAAAAGTCAGATGACACAGGAAGCCAGTGATGAAGCTGAGGACATGAAAGAAGCCATGAATAGGATGATAGATGAACTCAATAAACAGGTGAGCGAGCTGTCACAGCTGTACAAAGAAGCCCAGGCTGAGCTGGAGGATTACAGGAAGAGGAAATCTCTAGAGGATGTCACAGCTGAATATATCCATAAAGCAGAGCATGAGAAACTGATGCAATTGACAAACGTGTCCAGGGCTAAAGCAGAAGATGCACTGTCTGAAATGAAGTCTCAGTATTCAAAAGTGTTGAATGAGTTGACCCAGCTCAAACAACTGGTGGATGCACAAAAAGAGAACTCTGTCTCTATCACAGAACATTTGCAAGTGATAACCACGCTGCGGACTGCAGCAAAAGAGATGGAAGAAAAAATAAGCAATCTTAAGGAACACCTTGCAAGCAAGGAAGTGGAAGTAGCAAAGCTGGAGAAACAACTCTTAGAAGAGAAAGCTGCTATGACTGATGCAATGGTACCTCGGTCTTCCTATGAAAAACTCCAGTCATCCTTAGAGAGTGAAGTGAGTGTGTTGGCATCGAAATTAAAGGAATCTGTGAAAGAGAAAGAGAAGGTCCATTCAGAGGTTGTCCAGATTAGAAGTGAGGTCTCACAGGTGAAAAGAGAAAAGGAAAATATTCAGACTCTCTTGAAATCCAAAGAGCAAGAAGTAAATGAACTTCTGCAAAAATTCCAGCAAGCTCAGGAAGAACTTGCAGAAATGAAAAGATACGCTGAGAGCTCTTCAAAACTGGAGGAAGATAAAGATAAAAAGGTTGGTGAAACTGTATTGCTGTTGGGTTTCTAGCAATAAGTCTTAGTCTCTTTGGCTTTTACTATATTAAATATTTCTAGTGTTGGCACTAAACTGGAGTGAATGCTCAGAGGCTCTGCACATGAACTTTATCTGTCACCAAAGCCACATTAAGAATAGTTTGTTGGGTCGGCCGGACGTGGTGGCTCACGCTTATAATCCCAGCACTTTGGGAGGCCGAGGTGGGTGGATCACTTGAGGTCAGGAGTTCAAGACCAGCCTGGCCAACATGGTGAAACCACGTCTCTACTAAAAATACAAAAATTAGCTGGGCGTGGTGGCACACGCCTGTAATCCCAGCTACAAGGGAGGCTGAGGCAGGAGAATGGCTTGAACCCAGGAGGTGGAGGTTGCAGTGAGCCAAGATCAGGCCACTGCACTCCAGCCTGGGCAACAGAGTGAACAGACTTCATCTCAAAAAAAAAAAAAAAAAAAAAAGAATAGTTTATTGGGTATTTGTATTTTAAAAACACATCTGCTGGGCATAGTGGCTCACTCCTCTAATTCCAGCAGTTTGGGAGGCCATGATGGGAGGATGGCTTGAGACCAGCCTCAGCAATATAGTGAGACCCCATCTGTACAAAAAATTTAAAAATTAGCCAGGCATGGTGGTATGAGCATGTAGTCCCAGCCACTTGAGAGGCTAAGGCAGGAAAATCACTAGAGCCCTACAAGTCAAGACTGTCATGAGCCATATCAACACCACTGCATTCTAGCCTGGGCAACAGAGTGAGACCCTGCCTCAAAAAATAATCAATAAGCAAACATCAATCTTCGGCCACTTCTCCTTATACTAAAGCATTTTCATATATCTGTCCTTTAAAAATCATTTTACAGAAGCTTTGCCAGTATTGGGGATCAGAAGTGAACCTGCAAACTGGAAAGTATTTGTGATCCACCTCAAACTTCAGGTTCTTTTTTTGGATTCAGAACAGATTCCTCCATAATATGAAACTAAAATACTCCTAGACTTAATCCTGTTTCCCTAAGGTCCATGAGCTTCCCCTCAAGTCACTGTAAAAGCTACCCTCGCCGGTCCCTCCTTTGACAGGTATATAGGAGAGGAAGGGGGAGGAATGTGGGGAGCCGGCAATTTGAGATGGCGCTGGACACAAGAGATGGTGCTGGCCGTGCTGCTGGAGGAAGGAGGGAAGCAAAGGGGAAGTTCAGGGGGATGGTTCCACGCCTCAATCGGCTCTGCATCTCTAGTCCCCTGTCTCGGAGGTTCCGAATAGCATTCATGAGAGACTACTTGTCTTTATTCTTTTGTAATGAGTGTTTCAAAAGAGCTTTATCATCCAGGGGAACAGGGATTAGGGAGTGGTGGGGTACGGTGAGGAGTTAGTTGTGTTTACTTTAAAGAAAGACGTCCAGAGATATCAGGCTTCCTAGACCTTATTCCTGATCACCCATGTCAGCAGTATTGGACAAAATATAGCTGTCTCCAAATAAAAGCGGAAATCCTAATTCTGATTTTTTTTTTCAATCATACCCATTTTAAGAGTAAAAGTAGGAAACCAACATCACAGCTTTTGTTACCGCCATCACCAAAACATAATATGTAATTCAAGGGCCTTTATCTGAACCTAATGGATGTAGCGGGCTTTGTTAGTTTGCCTGATTTTGTCATCCATTTCATTTTATGAGTTTTTTAATTTAAATGTATTAAAAAGGAATTGTTCCAAAGTCTTAAGTCCCAGAGGCCAAAAGAGATGACTATGTTTGAGGCTTACAAATATATGAAATTTTGCTTTGTAGACATGTTACTGTCTGCTAATACCATTTTCCTTTGCCCCTAGATAAATGAGATGTCGAAGGAAGTCACCAAATTGAAGGAGGCCTTGAACAGCCTCTCCCAGCTCTCCTACTCAACAAGCTCATCCAAAAGGCAGAGTCAGCAGCTGGAGGCGCTGCAGCAGCAAGTCAAACAGCTCCAGAACCAGCTGGCGGTGAGTGGGCTTGTTTCTGCTGCCTGGTTTGGGGTGGAGGGCCTGGCAGATTTCCTACCATCTCAGCTGCTAGGGCAAGTGGGCGTGAACAAAAAGATTCCCAGCCCAAAGGAATGTACTTCAATGAGCAGTTGACTGATTTCTTCAGTGAGGGCAAAAGAGGGAGCCACTGGTGGAATTCCTGGTCGTTATCAGCAATGCAACGGGTCAGATATTCACTGGGAAGGAAAGAACCGACAGGACAGTAGGAGGAGGCTATGTGCTCACTCATACCCTAACTTTTTACCCCTTCTCCTTTTTCTGCAACAGTCTTTCCCCATCTCTGGCAGTGGCAAGAGCTTTTTCTTGTTAGGGGCCAGGATCTCTAGTAGTTGCATCTCTATATATCTGAAGCTGCTTCTTGGCCCCTCTCCTTATTTCACCCAGGAAAGCCCTTGCTTATCTAAATTTGTTTCCTGGGTCCATTGTAACAAATCACCACAAATTTGGTTTAAAACAACATGAGTGTATTATTTTACAGTTGCATTGAACTGAATTCCAAAATCACTTTCACTGGACTAACTTCAAGTTGTTGGCAGGGCTGGTTCCTCCTCGAGACCATAGGAGAAAATCAATTTCCTTGCCTTTTCCAGTACCAGAGGCTGCCTGCATTCTGTGGCTCATGGCCCCTTACTCCATCTTCGAGGCACATCACTCCAGCATCTGCTCAGTCTTCCCATCTCCTCCTTCAGCCTTTGATTTTCTTGCCTCCCTCTTATAAGGGCTCTTGTGATTACATCTAAAGCCCACCTAGATAATCCACGATAATCTCCCTCTCCATCTCAAACCCTTAATTTCATCTGCAAGATGCCTTTTGCCATATAAAGTTTAACATTCACAGGTTCTGGGGATTAGGATGTGGACATCTTTCAAGAGCCATTATTTAGCTTACCACAATATCTGTTAAGGTTTGAGTTGGCATGGGTACATTCCGTTTTCTACCTAAAGTCCAGGGTTAGTCTGTCCTGGACTGTCTCTAGCTTCCATATACAAACAGAACATGGATTTGATGATTTCTTCGGAATAGACCTAACTGTAGTGAATTCAGGTTTCTGCAGTCCTTACTCTGGCTGGCCACAAAGTTCAATGCTAGCTTTGGAGGAAACAGCTCTAGAAATGGTGGATACTTAGGAGAAGCTGCTCTTTACTGTGTTCTGCAGGTCATTCTTCTCCTGATAAAATGGTATTACAGACTTGTAGATAAAGTGCTATTGGTTTATACAGTAATTCTTATAATTACGCAACATGTGTTTGTTGAGCTCTTACATCAGTATTATACATGGGGCTGATGATATAAAATGAGTAAGACTCAGTCCCTGCCCTCAAGGAGTTTATACTCTATATAAGTTATCAGCAAAGAGATGCCCAGCATACCGTGGGCATACAAAGGAAATGTGTCTACCCAATCTTGCTGAGTCATGAAAAGGTTCCTACGGGAGTTACACTTGTGCTGAGTCTTGAAGGCCTGAGTAAGAATATGTTGTTACTTAGCAAGGACTGACATATGGCACTAGCTGGCTTTTGGGAACCTTGGTGAGAACCATTCCAGTGGAGTGGGGAGGAGGGTAGAATCTGGACCGCAGTAGACTGGCTGCTAGAGAAGTAAGTAAGTAGATAGGTATCTGGTGGGGCTAACCAGTCGCAGTAGGGGTTGGGGGAAGCCTGAAGCAAGCTTGCTGGAAAGATGGGAAGTGGTGGTTAGGGTGTGGGATGCTTTCAGTTGAGATTTCAGAGGTGGTAATGATAGAGGCAGGGCTACAACCATGACAGGAGTTGCTGAACTGAAGAGGAGCATGTTATTAAAGCTGAAGTTGAGGAACTGAGAGGTCCAGGTGTTAGATGGATCATTCACACAGATATCAAAGCCAAGCGAATGATGACAGAGGCAGTGATAGAAAGGAAGCCAGATCAGAAGATAAAATCATAAATAATTGAGTAGAGGTTGCTGAAAGGTGGGGAGGGAACAACACAGAGAAATGCCAAATGTGCCTTCTTATGATGTGAACTTAAAGGACGGGTTTTAAAATGTCCCTTAATAACAGGAAAGATACCTCATACTCTGACACTGATGGGGGGAAGGAAGAATGGGTATTATGGACTTTTGTACATTTTTGAAGTAATCCATATATGATGGTCTCAATTTTCATGATGAATTAGGAGGACAGGTTCTTAGAACAAGAGTTTCAGAGATAAGACCCTTGAAACAGCCACTGAGAGGAACTGGAGTAATAGCTCAACAAGGAGAAATAGAAGCATCAGCGGCTGTATTGAGGAACCACTGGAGATTGGGGCCACCACCCTCTTTGCCTTCTTAGTACACTGATAGCTAAATAATTGAGCTCCCCAAGGATTATACAATGCTGGCCATATAGTGGGTAATCAATAATTCCCTTAAAAATAATAGGCTTTAAAAATTAAATTAGTACATATTTGGTCATTGTAGAAAAGTTGAAAAATAAAGAAAACTCTAACAAGTTCCTATAAATAAAAATTTTCCATAATTCAATAACTCTGAGATAATCACTTTTTACATTTGATATATTTCCTTGCAGTATTTACATTTAATGTAGCTGTATTTGCATAAGTATATGTACATATATACACACACATATATACATATATACACACATATATAGACACACATACACACACACACACATACACACACACATATATATATATATTTTGAGACAGAGTTTTGCTCTGTCACCCACGCTGGAGTGCAGTGGCGTGATCTCGGCTCACTACAACCTCTGCCTCCTAGGTTCAAGCGATTCTCTTGCCTCAGCCTCCTGAGTAGCTGGGATTACAGGTACTGACTACTACGCCTGGCTAATTTTTGTATTTTTAGTAGAGACGGGGTTTCACCATGTTGTCCAGGCTGGTCTCAAACTCCTGACCTCAAGTGATCCACCCACCTCAGCCGCCCAAAGAGCATATATTTTTAAAACCAAATGTGGGGTGATAATAACTCCTTTTTATACAGTTTTTTCTAGAGTTGACATACCAAGACTTTTTTCCCTAAGATGATTGACAAGTATTCAGAAATACACAAGCCAGTAAGGCCACAACAATTTTAGAAGCTTCCAGTGCTAGCATAAAGTGGAGGGGACCACTTGGGTAGCATTTGGCTGCAGCTTTCTCATAGTTTTTTGTTTTTGTTCTTTAAAGATCTCTTAAGCTCATTAATAATGTGAAATATTCCCTTTCTAGGAATGCAAGAAACAACACCAGGAGGTCATATCAGTTTACAGAATGCATCTTCTGTATGCTGTGCAGGTATGGTTATGCCCCTTGAAGTATCTGGACATCCTAAAGAAATACGGCAGCAGATGTTGACAGAACTCCCATCATTTAACTAGGAGAATGAACAAGAATTAGAGGAGAATCCTTTTCACTGGAAAGCCTGAATATGCCTTTTGCATTGCTTTGGATTCTGTGTCAGGAGCCTTGTGCCCTGTTTACCAGGAACAGCCCCATCTTTTAAAGCAGGGCCTCACTCTGTCATGCAGGCTGGAGTGTAATGGCATAATCTCGCCTCACTGCAGCCTCGACCCACGGGCTCAAGTGATCCTCCCACCTTAGCCTCCCAAGTAGGTGGGATTACAGGTACCCACCACCGTACCTGGCAAATTTTTGTATTTTTGTAGAGATGGGGCTTTGCCATGTTGCCCAGGCTGGTCTCAAACTCCTGAGCTCAAGCAATCCACCCGCTTCGGCCTCCCAAAGTGCTGAGATTACACGCATGAGCCACCATGCCCCACCCTCCCATCATTTATTGAGGAATGAGGGATGATGTGGTCCTCCACTGGGAAGACGGGGGCTTTATTTTCCAGCAATGCTGATCTTCTTAGTTACCAGTGCTGCCTTGGCTCTATGATGCTTGGTGTTCTGGCTGCTGGACTCACATTTGCAACTGAGACCCCAGATAGCTTTTGCTGAGGGTTTTGGTAGACACTGCCACCTCATCTTCCAGCTGGATAAAGGCAGGGCCCTTTCTTTGACTCAGTTCCTCATAGAAATTTGGGAAATGATAGGGCTGACATTCCTGTGAAAGATGTGGGAATTAGCCCAGGTCTTCATTGCAGTCAGCCATCTCATTCCCCAGAGAAGAAAGTGCCATGGCTTAATTTAGGTTCTAATGAGTATCTTGTGTTTGAATATCCTAGGGCCAGATGGATGAAGATGTCCAGAAAGTACTGAAGCAAATCCTTACCATGTGTAAAAACCAGTCTCAAAAGAAGTAAAGTGGATTCCTTGGCAGGACACTGCCCCTTGTCATCTGTCTTTGTGTTAGATCCAGAGTTGTCGGCAGCCGCTGCCATTGTTCTCATTCGTGGTATGCACTGTGGCCTAGCGTAGCTTCTTCCCTTTCCAAAGGTTTCTGAGGACTTCTCCCAGGAGAAGACTGCCCGCCTCAGAACTGCTTAGAGACTTCAAACCAGCAGAGGTGAAAGTCCCTGTCATCCCTTCAGATTCCAGAGCTGGGATCAGCCATGCCCAGAGGTCTGGTCCTGATGCTGGCAGGGGGGCCCCCTCCTCCATCCCTGACTGGCTGAGTGGCTTTATCACCACCGAGTGATGTGCTGAGGCCTCCTGCAGTGAATGCTCCTTCCATTCCTGTACTCGGGCAGTGCCATTCAGCACAGGAGAGCTCTTTTTGCCTTTGGCTTTCAATTCCAAAACATGATTTAATTTCTAACTAAATTAGTATGGCACTAGTTATGAAGTATCTGCTTAAAACCCTTCATCATGATATCCTGTGGATTTAAAAACTCTAATTCCATGTTTTCTTCCCATCTGCCTTATATATCTCATCACCCTGCTTATCAATATTCAGTTTGATGAGCACTATTAACTAAAATATGAAACTTAAAAACAAAAGCAAGTTGTCCTTAAAAGTTCTTTTTTTAAGTAAATTGTTGACATACTGCAAATTTTCTATGCAAACTTGCCTCCTGCTGTTATCTGTGAAGCTCAGGAAATCCAAACATTTGTGTTTCAACAAGGGACAGTAAACTGTGTGTTTACAGCCAAAAGAAATGCCTCATAGTTCTTAACCTCAACTTTTGTAGAAGTATTTTTTTCTCTGTAATATTTTTATTGGCTCATAAAGATGTTTTCATATCTGAACTCCTAAATAAGTGAAATTACAGTAGATTATATTAACAAAATACTTTTTAGGTAGCCATGCTTGAGACTTTTTAAAAATATAACTTTTTCCTTAAAGTTTTCAGCTATAGCAAAAGGTAGTTATGTATGCCAGACCTAATATGAGCTGCCACCAACACCCCTAGAACTTTCAGCCATGGTGTCTTCAGAATTGTAGCGCATTTCTGAATCTAGCAAATCCTCCTTTTACCCGTTGAATGTTTTGAATGCCCTGACTCTACCAGCGCCCATAAATGATCTCTAGAAGGACTGTTAGTACCAATCTGTTTTTCAACTTTGAAGCTAAAAACCCTGATATGGTAATATTATGGTGCATAGCAGAGGTCTCGGAAAAAAAATATTTCTGTTCACTTTACTTTCAGGTTAAAAATGTTTCTAACACGCTTGCAACTTCCCTTATGGCATTAATCTTGTTGAGGGAGAGAGACAGAATCCTGGACTCTCCAAAGTATTTAACTGAAAGTAGGGCCTGCTCTGACAGGGCCCATGTCCCACAAGGCTGCTTGGCCTCAGTGGGTGCTTGGCTGTGCTGGATGATATGTTGATCTGTATTGGATAAGGACCAATGACAGCAAAGCAAAAATGGCTTTAAAGCTTGGTGTTACTTTTCTTAAGTTGTTTAATTATAGTTAAGCAATTTCAAAAATGCTCCAAAGAAATGTGAAAGGACCTTTTGTCACAGCACTTCAGAAAATACACAACAGCCCCTTCTGCCCCCGCACAGAAATGCTGCAGAGTATATAAAACTTGAGACATTTTTGTAGGATGCCTGACGAGGTGTAGCCTTTTATCTTGTTTCCGGATGCATATTTATTACGAGTACTCTGGTTAAATATTGAAAAGTTATATGCTGTAGTTTTTAGTATTTTGTCTTTGTAATTTACAGAAGTTATTGGAGAAAATAAACTTGTTTCATTTTGCATTTCTGGTGTTGATTTTTGGTGTATTCAGAAGCATATCTGCGTGGCTTCTGAAGATCAGTTCAATAGCATTTCAGTGTAATAGGTTTTCTAGTCTGTGCTATGCTCAGCTGGTATGAGTTGTCCGCACTGTCTCACACAAAGTCTCACATCATTTCCTTTTCCCAGCTCTTGGATTCGCCCTGAGCTCTGCCCTGAGTATCAGCCGCTTTGGGGCAGTTGAATCACAGTTGCCTTTAATTCACAATTGCCTCTCATTTAATCTGCAGTCTGTTTAACTGTTTGGAAGCCTCCGCTGGATTTTTTTTCCCTCTTGCTTCTTGCTTTTTTTGAAAAAGTAATACATACATATGTAAAAAAAAAATCCAGATACATTTTCCTGCCCCATTACAAAGACAATTCAATTAATTCCTGACAAAACTCTTGTCAGGTGAATTCTGGCAAGGTTAAAATCATAATTAAAATTGTTGCAGGTTATAATCATAATCAAAATTACATGAAATAGGTACAGCTACTTAAGAAGTTAGCATTGTTTATCATACTCCAATGTAACAAGGCCATTTCCCTTCACTTACAACATGATTCCACCTCTACTTCAGTTTCATTGTGCCTTCCTACTATACCCTGAAACTTTATTTCAAAGAAAGCATGTGTGTGATACTCAACTGAACCTTTTATTTCAACTGTGGCCAACCAGACAACTCAGAAGGTGACTTCATGGGGACACTCAGCTGGAGAGGAAACTGAGATAAACCCAAACCAGTCATCTCTGATGGACAGAAACGCCTCATAAGGCAAAATTGGGATATGAAAAGAAACTCTCCTGCCTCCACAATTAGATAGCAGCTGAGATTGTAGGACAAATGAAAGGAACCACAAATAAATCTTTCTCTTACTCCCCAATCCTTAGTGCATCTACCCAGAAGCAACATCTAGTAAGTTTCTTCGGTGACCTGAGACATTCTCTGTCTATATGTACATGTAGGCATGTATTTTTCTTTCTTCTTTAAATATCTTGGATATTATTCTCTGTCAGCATACACATCTCATTCTTTTTAACTGCTGAATAAAATTGCATAGTATGGTGCTATATTTTATCTTGATAATTCCACATTATGGACATTTAATTGCTTCCAGTATTGCAGCTACAAAAATGATGCAATTGACTATCCTATGTATGTATGTATATCTTTACACGTGTAAGGATTTTTTGAATTTTCAAATTGCTCATTTTTACATTAGCTTCCATCAAGATATGGGCAGAAAAAAAATGAATAGAATATTGTTCGTATCATCACATTGAGAAAGAATGGCCTTTCCCTTCATGTTGTTTGAATAAGAGTCATTAATTTGTTTTCCTTACATACACTTTAAGACAAACTCCAAAGCCTTTAATAATTAAACCCACCCATCTTCAGATAAACACATGATACGCTGTGAGGGGAAAACACTCCCTGAACATGTTGAAGCACAACATTTTGCAATGCAGCATAACAAGAATATTGAGTGCTGACAGTAGCAGAAACATTATGCAACAAAGATTGGGGTCATTTTTTGAGCAAAGTTAAGCAGCAGACTGCAAGGCCAAGAGTGAGCTGGAAAAAGCCACAGACCAAAGAACTAGGGCTTTCACAAGAGTAGCAATTTTCTATTCACCAGATCAGGGCAGAGATTTGTCAAGCATTATGGGAGCGTGTGACATATTTGAGAAACAAAAGAACAAGGACTCAGCCATAGGAGCTGGGCAAGGGAACAATCAACATAGGTTCCAGCAGATGGAAAGGCTCCTTTGAGAAGTAAAGCCCCCACGAGGCGAGTAGGAGGAAAGCAGAGACATTCCTGCATACTTACTATAAAGCAGGCTCTAAAATGGGAAGAAACAGCATATTCAAGAACCGTAACTGGATGTACCAGATTATAAAGTGGAGGATACATAAGAGTATTAGTCCGTTTTCATGCTGCTGATAAAAACATACCCAAGACTGGGCAATTTACAAAAGAAAGGTTTCATGGACTTATAGTTCCACGTGGCTAGTGAGGCCTCTCAGTCATGGTAGAAGGCAAGGAGGAGCAAGTCACGTCTTAAATGGATGGCAGCAGGCAAAGAGAGAGCTTGTGCAGGGAAACTCCCGTTTTTAAAACCATCAGATCTTGTAAGACTTATCCACTATCACAAGAACAGCATAGGAAAGACCCACCCTCATGATTCAATTATCTCCCACCACGTTCCCCCCACAACATGTGGGAATTCAAGATGAGATTTGGGTGGGGACACAGCCAAACCATATCAGTAAGGGATGGAAAGAAGCAGGACACAGTCAAATGATGCAAGCTGCTAACAGCCAGGAGAAGAGGGCTCCTTATGTGTCACCTCCATATGTTTTTAAAACCATGCATTTAAGTTACACACTCTAGTAGGCAGAATAAGTCCTCCCAAAGACATCCATGTCCTAATCCTCAGAACCTGTGAATATGTTAGCTGTGAATCTAACCTGTGAATAAGTTACATGACAAGGAGGAATTAAGGTTGCTGATAGAATTAAGCCTGCTAATCTGCTGACCTTTAAATAAGATTATCCAGGTGGGCCCAGTATAACAAGAGGGGTCTTTTAAAAATGGAAAGAAGGGTCAGAGATTTGAAGATGCTGCATTGCTGCTGGCTTTGAAGATGAAGAGAACAAATCAAGGAATGCAGCCAGGCTCTAGAGGCTGGAAAAGGTAAGAAAAAATTTTCTCCTTGAGCTCCCAGAAGGAGCCACCCTTGCAGACAGCTTGTCTTTAGCCCAGTGACACCCATTTCAGACTTTCAACCTCCAGAATTATACAATAATAAAGTTGTGGTTTGTTAAGCCACTGAGTTTGTGGTGACATTACAGCAACAATAGGAAACTGATACACACAGGGAGAATCTCTACTAATGGAGTTCCTAAAGGTCATTTGTAGTTTATGTGTTTTTTTTGTTTTGTTTTTCTTTTTTAACACTGATATATCCCAGGCACTGTGCTGAATGCTAAAGGCTCAATGATAACAACTCCTGCTCACGAGGAGCTCATAGCTGGCCAATCAGGGCCTGCTACCTAGCAGGTATTCTGTATTCACTGAGTGGGTAGATGAATATTTAGACGGATGAATTGCCTATAAGGCCCTCCATGACCTGATGCCCCACCACTTTACTGACACAGTCTTTTGTCTCTTTCCTCCTCATTCTTACTACCCTTGGCTGTTCTTTGACCCCATTAAACTTGTTCCTGCCTCAGGGCTTTTGCACTTGCTGTTAACATCTTAGAATGTTCTTCTCCTAAATATTTGCACAATTTGTTGCACGATTTGAGGTATCTTCTCAATGTCATCTTGTCAGAGAGGCCCTGTTTAACTACACTATGTAAGATGGCACACCCCTCCCGCCATGGCCACATCACCTTCTAAATCCCTTACCTGGTTTTATTTTTCTCCATAACTGTTTATCATGTTTTCTTTTTCTTTTTTCTTTTTTTTTTTTTTTAAGATGGATTCTTGCTCTTGTCACCCAGGCTGGAGTGCAATGGAACAATCTCGGCTCACTGCAACCTCTGCCTCCCACGTTCAAGCAATTCTCCTGCCTCAGCCTCCCAAGTAGCTGAGATTACAGGCACCCGCCACCACACCCAGCTAATTTTTTACTTTTAGTAGAGATGGGGTTTTGCCATGTTGGCCAGGCTGGTCTCGAAATCCTGATCTGGTGATCCACCCGCCTTGGCCTCCCAAAGTGCTGGGATTACAGGCGTGAGCCACTGTGCCCAGCCCACTTTTTCTTAAGGTGACTCTTCTGGCTAAGGGAGTCAGTGAGTCCTGAAATCCAGCCCACTCTCTGTTCCCAAAGCTGTACTCCTTAGCAGGGGTCTGAGTCTGGCTGGAGGAAAAGGCTTTTTCCAAATTCATACACTGTCACTGCATACTCCCTAAGCCTTCTGCCTTTTTGTAACTTGCAGAGACACCATACTGTTTACTAGCAGCTCTGTTTTTCTTCATCTAGTAGAATATAAATTCCTGGAAAGCAAAATCATTATCTTATTTGTTCACTTTTGCTTTCCTACTGCTTAGAACATTATCTGGCACATAGTAGGTATTCCACAAATATTTTTGTCTGGGTGGATGGATAGATGTATGGAGATTGGAGAAACTTGCAAATAAACAGAAGTGCCAGTACAATGTGAGAGTCATGATGAGATTGTGGACAGGGTACTGCGAGGGCTCAGAAGCAAGGCATCTAACCCTCTCTTGAGAGGCCATAAAAATGTGTTCCAAGCGAAAGTTTATTTGGATTTCCTTGCCTTAAATTTCACAGTTCCTGGGATAAGAATAGCTTGGAGATAATCACATTTGATTTGGGGTTGTTAGAGCCTAGAAAAACCCCCCATACTGCTTCCTCTATGCAATTTCTGCAATAGCAATGCTTGCCACCTCTACCTCCGGATCAGGGGAGGGAATGTGAATACACACGGTGGAAACGCACTATCCACTTAGATTAGTGGGATGCCATTCTAGAGTTAGTGAACAAACCTAAAAGTGTATATACTACAACTAAAGCTTACATTTGGGGGACAGGGTTAACATGACAAGGAAAGAAATACCAAAAAACTTCAAGAGTCCTCAAAGTTCTGGCTGGACGGTGGCTCACACCTGTAATCCCGGCACTTTGGGAGGCTGAGGCAGGCAGATCACCTGAGGTCAGGAGTTCGAGACTAGCCTGGCCAACACAGTGAAACCCTGTCTCTACTAAAAATACAAAAACTAGACAGACAGTAGTGGCACACATCTGTAATCCCAGCTACTCGGGAGGCTGAGGCAGCAGAATTGCTTGAACCCGGGAGGCGGAGGTTGCACTGAGCCAAGATCACACCACTGCACTCCAACCTGGGCCACAGAGTGAGACTCTGTCTCAAAAAAAGAAAAAAAATAGTCGCCAAAGTTATTTTATTTTGATTTATAATTTTTACAGATGCAGGCAACATGCTTCCGGTCAGAGCTAATGAAATGGAGGCCGAATTAGAGCGTTGGCTTTAGGAATGGGAATTCAGTGCCTGTTCTGGTTCTTCTCTCCACAATTATCAGCAAAAGCAAAGGTTTAGAAAAGAGACATTACCTTTAATATACTTAGAAACAATCTCACAGCCATTTCCTAGAATGAAAGAACATTAAAACCTTTCAATTTGATGACCAACTTAACAAGGGGTAAAAGAAATAAATGTTGGAGAACAGGAAACAGGTTCTTCCTTTTTACTCCCATACATGTTAAATACTGTTCATAGAGTCACAAAAATCGTTTACCCCTTACAGAAACCTGGAACCAGAAGGCGCTTCAGAAAGCAAGTGGTACAAAAACTTTCACCGTATAGGCAAGAAAATTGGGACCCACTGGCCGTGACTCGGCCCAGGCTACAGAGTCAAAACCAGAACCTTGACATTCTGAAATCAGGTTCATTGCTGTCATCATTGTTCCATGCTGAGAGTTTTCTTAGGAAAAAGAATAAAGTGGGGGAATCTTTCCAAAATTGTGACTATGGAGCTCGAAAGTACAGATTTAAATCTTGAGTTAACAGACCATACAGGTTTTACTTAAGAGATATTCAAGCAAACTCATTTAAATAACTCCTCCAACCTAACTCCAAAAAGGCTTTCTTGGCAGTCTTGGATCAATGGCAATTAAACTTCCAGCCTAGAGCTGGAAATAACAAACACCAAACGTAAACACCATCTTTCACATTCTCAATGTTCTCCTTGTCTCTCTACCTAGTCTGCTCTTTTCTGAAAACAACTGGGACACATTCACTCCAACTTGACTTGCCATAGGCCTAGTCTATGATAGGGTTCATAATAACATCCTTCAACATAGCGTTGCAAGAGCTGGCGCTGTTTCTTTGGGTATGGCCACAATTGCCTCTGCACCTTGTGTGTATTACACACACTGTATTCCATGCCAACGAAAGGGTAAGATATGGCTGCATTATTTAGGGCTAAGTGCTAAATAAATAATGAACAGCTAACCATTAGCAGATCTAGTAGTCGATTTCTTACCCTACTCTCTTCCTGCAATCAGCTTTCCTAACCATGCCTAGCTCCAATCTTACTGGGTAACACAGACGGTGCCAGCACAGTCAACAGCCATATCTAAGCCTTTCCTCTGGGGTCCATAAAAACAAAACTCCCGAGGAGCTGTGGGGGTGCACCGTGGCCAGGATCGTCGCCGAATACAGCCCGCACACGTCGCAGCTTTAAATAAGTAGGGCCGTGGGGCCCGGCGCTCCCTTCCATCCTTGGACGGAATGTATCTTCTCTTCCTACGCCTTCACCTCCGAGGGGTAAGGTCTCGTGAGATACAATATGCAGAGGCCAGTTTTGGGGCGAGCCGGAGGCCGGGCGCGTCTAACCTGCGGGGAAGGGAAAGCGGAGGGTAAGGCAAGGGCTGCTGTAGGCGCCAGACAACAGGGACTCTCCGAACCGGAAGTGCCCCGCGTCGCCATGGCTACAGGCGCTCCCAGCAGAACCCGTAGCGTTCCGTTCCCATGGCAACGGTATTGTCTCCTTGGCCGGACCTGGGCTGCGGAAGGTAACTGGGGACGTCGCAGGCTGTGCAGCTTTCGCGAGGCACCGCTTTGGCGCCCGGACCGAGGTGCGCCAGGGTCAGGAGGCCGACGCAGCGGGAGGAAGCCGCGCCGTCGGGCTCAGGGAGCTGGGAGGCTGGTTCCGGGGCGTGGTTTCTCCGCCTTGAGCCAGGTGCCCTTTGCGCACTCGCGCGTTCTCTTAGAGCCTCCGCGGCAGAGAGGCTCTCAGAGCTCGACCTGCGGCGTCAGGGCTTACAGACTTGCCGCAGAACCACAGCGGGAAAAGAGGAGCGATTCGTCCTTGAGGGGCTCAGGGCCGTGCGGAACGTCATAGGAACAGAGTCCGGGAGTTTGAGAGATCAGAACTCTTTGCTGTGGGCATAGTGTTTAAAGTGGAGGTTAAAAAGAGAAATTAGTGACTCTCCCTTTCTGATTTTCGGATAATGGATGCTCTGGAGCCTGGGTCAGAAAGCCACTCAGGGCTCGGTGGGAATTAGTGATTCTGGAGGGTGAAAGGAGAGGCGACTTGGTGGATGTTAACATTCAATAAGTAACTGCGTTCGATTTGGGTTTGATTTAAGCGACTGGCATAGCCTTCCTTGAGAGTTGAATTTCACAAATACTGTATTTAGAAATCACATTTTTCGTTTTGTGCTTCCGAGGTTTCTCCTATCATCTAACAGCAACAACTAAAACAGACACATGAATTTCATTTTATTGTTTTATTTTATTTTGAGACGGAGTCTCGCTCTGTCGCCCAGGCTGGAGTGCAGTGGCGCGATCTCCGCCTCCCGGGTTCAAGCGATTCTCCTGCCTCAGCCTCCCGAGTAGCTGGAACTACAGGCGTGCACCACCACAGCCGACTATATTTTGTATTTTTAGTAGAGACGGGGTTTCACCCTGTTGGCCAGGCTGGTCTCGAACTCCTGAACTCGGGTGATCCACCCGCCTCGGCTTCCCACAGTGCTGGGATTACAGGCGTGAGCCTCTGTACCCGCCTCGTGACCCCTGTACTAGAATCTGCTATTAATTAGTGAAATGACCCCGGGGGGGGGGGGGAAAGCAGAATTAACCAATACACTGGCTGTGCTTCGTTTACCACTGAGAGTTGGTTGCTTTGCTTAAATCCAACACGCCGTCAGACCTGCAAAAACAATATCTGAGTTAAGTAGGTGACCATAGTTTTGATGACCCAGGAACTGTAAATGTGCTTGCTTTGAGACATAAAGGCCAGGGATTTTGGAGAAGTAGGGTGGAGTTGAAATTAGGGGAAAGAAATTTAACTTAGACATTTAATTTGGCAAATGTCTGTTTTCCAGCGGTCTCCATATCTAAGTATGCGTAGTCTGTGGATTTAGGATGGGTTATATATTTGAGCAGTTTTAGTTTAATGTTAATAGCAAACCAGAGGGGGAAAATAGAACAGACACCCAGCCTTTTCTCTCAAAGCTGACCTTACCTGATTCTTGGTAGGAAGAAGATGCAAGCCAGCCCCATCCGTATCCCAACTGTTAGCAATGACATCGACTGGGATTTCTGCTTCCATATGTAAGTATCACAGCATTTTGACATCACAGGTACTTACTGGGCTGAAACACTGGGACCTCCTGCTTAAGGCAAACCTGGGTGAGGAGCTTTGCATGAGAAGCGTTCACGACCAGCCTGACCAACATGGTGAAACCCCGTCTCTACTAAAAATACAAAAATTAGCTGCGCGGTAGTGGCACGCGACTGTAATCCCAGCTACTCGGGAGGCTGAGGCAGGAGAATAGCTGAACCCGGAGGCAGAGGTTGTGGTGGGCTGAGATTCCATCACTGCACTCCAGTCTGGGCAATAGAGACCCTGTCTCAAAAAAAAATAAAATAAAATAAAAAAGAAGGTTGTGTTTCTGATGTGCTTTAATAATGATTCTGCTATAATATCTGTTTGTATTTACAACCTATGCATGATAGAAGATTGCTTTTTCCCGACTTAAGGAAATTTTAAAAGTTTTTAAAATAAAAATAGGTTAGTTATAACAAGATTGGCAAAATTGTAGAGAGTTAGCTATAACAAAGTTAATGAGAAAATTTTTATGAAATAGAGTAAATAAAACTTTCGTATCGTCTAATACTTATTGAGCACATACTATGTGCCAGGCTCTGTTCTAAGTACCTTAAACGTCTTAGCTGATTTAATCCCCCCAAGCCCTGTGAAGGAGTTACTGTTATTGGTACATTTTATAGATGAGTATGAATCAAAGAGATGTTAGGGAGTTTGCCCAAAGTTGCAAAGCTAGTAAATGGTATTTAAACTGGGCATTCTGACTCTAGAATCCATTCTTGTTTTGTTTTGTTTCGTTTTTAGAGACAGCCTTGCTCTGTCACCCAGGCTGGAGTGCAGTGGTGCAATCACGGCTCACTGCAGCCTTGGCCTCTTAGGCTCAAGAGATCCTCCCACCTCAGCCTCCTGAGTAGCTGGGACTACAGGCACACACCACCATACCTGCCTAATTTTTACATTTTTGTAGAGATGCGTTCTCATTATGTTACCTAGGCTGGTCTGGAACTCCTGGGCTCAAGTGATCCTCCTGCCTCAGCCTCTCAAAGTGCTGGGATTACAGGCATGAGCCACTGTGCCCAGGTAGAGTCCATTCTTTAACCATTCTCTATAGCAGGGTTTCTCGGTCTCTGCACTGTTGACATTGGGGTTGGATAACTGTTTGTTGTGGAGGGCTGTCCTATATGTTGTAGGATTTTTAGCAGCATCCCTGGCCACCATCCACTAGATGCCAGTAGCACTAGCTCCAGTTGTGACAAGCAAAAATGTCTCTAGATGCTGCCAGATTTCCCCTCGGGGCAAAGTCATCCTTAGTTGGGAACCATTGCTCTATACCAGTGTCATCAAATAGAAATATAATGCAAACCACATATGTAATTTAAAATTTTCTGCTACCCATATTAAAAGGTGAAATGAAACACATGAATTTAATTTCAATACTATATTTTATTTCAATATATACAAAATATGCTAAAATTATTAATGAAATATTTTATCTTTTTATACTCTTTAAAATACAGCACATATTTTACATTTACAGCACATCTTAATTCAGACCAGCAATATTTCATGTGCTTGATAGCCACATGTGGCTAGTAGTTACCAAGTTGGATAGCATTTTTTTTTTTTTGAGACAGAGTTGTGGAGCACCAGATTCTGTTGCTGTTTGGGGGGCCCCTATGTAACCTGCCACAATCCCTGGTGGACTGAACAAAGGAGGGGTGAATGTGGGAATAAAAGACAAGAGACAAAAGAGTATACTTGGAAGAAGGGGTCAGGGGGCACCTTGCCTCTAGTGGACGAAGGCCCTGAGCTGTACACAGCCCTCTGTATTTATTAGGCAAAAGAGATGGTGAGAAGGGGGGTGGAAGAAGGGGTCAGCTGCTTAGTCCAGAGTAGGCTTGCAAGACTTCATTCCTCAAACAACAGGCTCTAGATGTCACAGTAGATAACCTCAGCGCTAGGGAGTGATTGCCTCCAGCAAACCCTCTGTCGGCAGGAGCACTCGTGAGTTTGCTCACATCCTGCATTCATGATAAACAGTTTGCTGTTTGATCATATCGTCTCCAGTGGAATGCTGAGTTGGTCACATCCCATGGGCCTTCGGCTCCCAGCACAGAGTCTTGCTCTGTCACCCAGGCTGGAGCGCAGTGGTGTGATCTCAGCTCACTGCACCCTTCGCCTCCTAGGTTCAAGCCATTCTCATGCCTCAGCCTCCTGAGTAGCTGGGATTACAGTCTCACTGTGGTATTTTTTAGGAGATACAGGGTTCCACCATGTTGGCCAGGCTGGTCTCGAACTCCTGACCGCAAGTGATCCATGCACCTCGGCCTTCCAGAGTGCTGGGATTAGAGGTGTGAGCCACTGTGCCTGGCCTGGATAGCATAAGTTTAAATTCATAAAATATCTTAAGGTTAAGGGTTATATGACTATAAAAATTGAAGTTCATAAAAATGTCAAGTTCACAGTAAAATATCTGGGAAATAATCGGATAATTTATATCGAACATTACTAATCAGAATTCCTATTCATGATGGTAACATATGGAATCAATTATAAACCTGGCAAGGCAGACCTTCCATTCAACCTCCTATTCTTTTTATTCTGACCATCCTTTGAGATGTCTGACTGGTCAGGATTCTCCAGCCATCTTTCTCACCTTCTATAACATGATGTTCAAAGCTAGTTCAGGGATTTACATTCTCAAATCATTTGTCAAGACCTCAATGTTTCTCATTCCTTTGAAGTCCCTGAGGTTGAAGCTTGCCACCTTTGGTCTTACCTTAATGTTATTCAAGGCTTAATTTAAAATATTTCGGGCTTATAATTTTTACTATCCATAATTAGCAATCTGGTGACTCCAATAGATTTAACTTCTGCTCTAGGTCTGTGAAATATGCAGCTTAAGCAAAATTTGCTATTGAGATATGATCTCTTTTTTTTTTAACTGCCCCTTGCAGAACAGGGCTAGCTCATAGGCAGCATGCCCAGAGTCAGCCGACTTATGATCTCTTGCCACAGATTTCCTCTCTCCTCAATATTTTTCAAACATTCTAAAGACTGCACATTCTTTTCTCATTCATTTATTCATCATTTAACAGGCCATTATTTGTTTTTACTATGAGCCAGATATCAGGTTTTCAGAAACAAATGAGGCTCAGCCCCTGCCGTATTGGAGTTTACTTTGCCAGCAGGCAAAGAAGACTCAGAAACAAACCAAAGAAACAACAATAAAAAAATCAAACAACAATAAAAAAAAATCACAGTGTACTAGCAGTTTGGGGGAAATTTTTGAAAGCCCTTTGGAGGCTGCCTTTATTGCTACTCCAGTGAAAGACTTCCAGGAATGATGACATCTGAGTTGTGTCTCGAAGGAGGAGTATGGAATTCACCAGGCAGAGAAAAGGAAGTTCATCACCTGTCTTCTGATCAGGTCACATCCCCAACCTTCCCTGGCTGTCCCATCAAATTAGCTTGTCTACTGAAAGCACACTCGTCTGTGGGCAGAAGGCAAGCCTGCCTGCGCTTGGGCCTCAAGAAATGTTGCTTCCCTATCTACACAACCTGGTTTGCCCACGTGCCTCTTGATAAGTTAATTAGAATAGAACTCTAGAAGGATATTAGCATGTCATTTTTCAAACCTGGTGTAAAAGATTACAGTTGGCATACAGCTCTTAAAGGTGGCACAGACCCAAAGAGTGAGCAGCAGCAGCAAAAAAAAAAAAAAAAAGGTTACACTTGGCAGTTATTTTCTTCTTGTGCTTTTCTGATTTTTTTTTTATTTAAACATTGAACATTCACTCTTTAAGCTTTTTGTGCTTTTCTGAATTTTCTTTTTATTTAAACATTGAACATTCACTATTTAAGCAATCAGTGGAAAAGAAAAGTAAATTTTATTTTAAAAACTACTCAGTGGCTGAACTTTTGAGTTATTGTGAGTATAAAGATGAGTCCTTTGGGAGACTTATTTATACTTAAAATTTCTACCGTTGCTCCTAAGATCTCAAAATTCTGTTTCTTCTGTAGCACTTTATTGATTTTTCTGGTGATGTTAGGATATAGTTCTTTTTAACACAACTAGGGATATTTCTCCTCTGAATCTGCACTTGATGTAGCGTGGGGTTCCCTCCCTGTCTCTGGTGGGACCCGTGTCCTCTTTTCTTGGCCACCACATGTTGAAGCTTTTAAGATATGAGAAGACATGCAAAGTCCAGCCTCAAAATGTTGGTTTCCTTTCCCTTATTTCATTGTATCCATTTTCTTTCCTTGCTTGGATCAGAATTTTAGAACACAGATATTCCTGGGGATCCTCCAGTTCAACACCCTCATTTGTAGAAGAAGAAGCCCTGTCCTGGAGCTAATGATATACTAATAGCTAACATGAAAGGAACACTTAGTGAATGTCACACACTGTGCTGATTTATGAGTATTATCTCATTTAATCCCATAACCTCATCAAGTAGGCATCCATATTCTCATTTTACAGAGAAGTAAATTAATAACTTGGTTAGGGTCATGTGATTAGTAAGCAGCAGAGCTGTACCTCTATAAATCGGCTTCTTCTGAACTACCACATTGCTGTCTTAATGCTAGGCTTTGAGGGCGACGTGAGTTTACTGCCTAGCTTTATTCCTTCCGGTTTATGTTAGAAATCATGTCCCTATCCCCTAGTTGGGAGAGCTATGCCCTTCAATTTTACCTTGTTTGAGATGGAGAAGGTTAAATCCTGAATCCTTGCCTCTCTCATACCTACAGGTCACAGCAAACCGAGATCCCAGCTCACCAGCAAACAGATGAGTTGTATCCCACTGGTGGGTGTGGAGAGAGTGAAGAGGAAACTAAAGCTAAAGAGAAGGAGAAGGCCATAGACTGTATGTCTCATCCCAAAGAGAAATTAGCCCAATCCCAGAAGAAAGTAGCTCAGCTGATTAAGGAAAAAATGGTAAAACAAAAAACTCACTAAAATTTTGTTTCCATTTAAAAATATGTTCCTGTTTAGAGAAGCTTTGCCTTCGATGCAGATTGAAGCATATGAAATAGAGGAAGGTGTCATATTTCTTTGTAAGTAGCAGAAAACAAAGCAGAGCCTACTTAGGTAGCCAGCCCACCTTCTGGTTCCATGCATGGTTCATTGTCTGTTCCTCCTTGGGGCATTTCTGGTCCTAGCTTTAAACTAAAAATTAGGCCAGGTGCAGTGGCTCATGCGTGTAATCCCAACACCTTGGAAAACCGAGGCGGGAGGATCTCTTGAGGCCAGCGTGAGTAACATAGTGAGACCCTGTCTCTACAAAAAAAATTAAAAATCAGCCAGGCATGGTGGAGGGAGCCTGTAGTCCCATCTACTTGGGAAGCTGAGACAGGATAGCAGCTTGTGCCCAGGAAATTGAGGCCACAGGGAGCCCGTGATTGTGCAACTGCACTCCAGCCTGGGTAACAGAATGAGACTGTGTCTCTAAGAAAATAAAGTAAAAATTTGAAAAACCTAAAAATTATCATTTGATTGTTTTTGTTGCTGTTACCTTTAACTTAAAATTAAAAAAAAAAATAGCTGGGCGTGGTGGCTCACACCTGTAATCCCAGCACTTTGGGAGGCCAAGGTGGGCAGATCACCTGATGTCAGGAGTTCAAGACCAGCCTGGCCAACATGGTGAAACCCCATCTCTACTAAAAATACAAAAATTAGCCAGGCGTGGTGGCGCATGCCTGTAATCCCAGCTACTTGGGAGGCTGAGGCAGGAGAATTGCTGGAACCCAGGAGGCAGAGGTTGCAGTGAGCTGAGATCATGCCATTGCACTCCAGCCCGGGCCGACAACAGCTAGACTCTGTCTCAAAAAAAAAAAAAAAATATATATATATATATATATATATACACACACATATATATACACACACATATACATATATACGTATATATACAAATACATATATGTGTGTATGTGTGTGTGTGTGTGTGTGTGTGTGTGTGTGTGTGTGTGTATCCATCCTGGAAGGTTTCAGGATGCTATCTCTTAGGTAACAAAAAGGCTGGGATAGTAAGGCAGGAGGTTGAGAACAGGTAGGCAGGCAGGTCTAAGCTCTGGCCTGGAAAGGATATGGGTAAGATGCCCTTGGTTACAGTGGAATCATAAACAAACCAAAGGGCCAGAAACAGAAGGTAGCAGTGGAGGTCAAAGATTCCAAATATGCATTTCTAAGAGCAAGTCAAAGACTTGAGTCAAAGATCTCAGAGCAGGTTTGTAAGCATGAGTATTCAAAATCCAGGAGACTGAGACAGCAAGACGTCGACTCTCATTATTAGAACACAGGCACCAGCCTGCTTCCAGAGCATGATTTATCAACAGAAGAGCTTGTACCTTGACTTCCTGGCTCCTCCTAGCCAAGGGGAAAAAAGTAATCTAGAGAGGTTTCATTTTCTATCATTTGCCTCTGAAGTATCTCTCTAGATGGATATTTGTAAATTTATCTCTGTAAATGACCCAAGGACCTTGCAAAGGACAGTCATCCTGGCCTGGACCCATTAGTGATTCACAAATCCAGGCTAGAAGGATCATTTCTAAAAACACACAAGTACCATCTGCCATGGAGTGTAAGTGGGGGTTTTCAAGGCTTAAAAACTCCTTGGCCAGATTGGATAATGACAAAGATTTAGATCTTAGGAGAGAAATCTGACTCAAATCCCAAGCTCATCAAATTGTATAAAGTGAACAGGTGCAGTTCTTTGTATATCAGTTATAGCTCAATAACGCTGTTTTTTTTTTTTTTTTTTAAATCAAACCCAACCTAGTACTCCTAGCCCTGAAGGGCAGGGGATGCCACATCAGCAGCAGAAGTGCTGGGATGACATCTGGAGCCCGTATTGGTTGTCCCGGTTTCTCCAAGTCAAGGAGTTCGAGGATGAATATACAATGTCCAGAGCCAAAGCTTTGGTCTCCCATTCCAGTGATTTTTTCATGGCATGATGCTTCTTCCTCGAAAGAGAACTTAGTATTTGCTGTGGTCAGCCCATGGTGAACTCTAAAAAATGCTGACTAAATGGATGTTTTGGAAGCATCAGGGGAAGTTTCCTTCTACCATTGCTTGCTTCTGTATATTTGAGCAGGGGGCAGGTAAAACATGAAGTTGGGTAGGAGATAGGAATCAGTAAGGAGTGTATTCCTTGGAATAACCTATGGTACTGCTGTATCTTATCTAACATTACTCTTTAAATGGGTTACTTTGGTTACCTGTACATTATTCTTCAAACGGGTTACACTTAGATCTGACCTAACAACACTGAATCATTTGGACACTATTTTTTTTTCCTTACAGTAACTCCATGAGGTAGATGGTACAGGTTTCCAAACCTCAGAAAAGGAAGCTGAGATCAAAGTGGCCTGCCCCAAAGCAACACAATCAGTAAACAAACATTAGAACCAGGGCTGAAACTTTAGGTTTTTGGTTCCTTGAAGTGCTATTTTCACTTAACCAGGAAAAAAATGCCTGACCCTATCGACTCGTTCAGCCAATAATGGCTGTGTTTGTAAAGTCACTGAAATATATGACTTGAAGATACAGTTCGGTGATTTCTTAGAGAGCTCTACCTGTCATTTCTATAGGGGTAGAGGATTATTTTCCCCAACCCATCTTTAACCTTGCTAATAAATGATTCATTCAGCAAATATTGAATGTGTTACACCTGTGTGTACTGGGCAGATAACAGCGAACATGAGGAATAAACTTCTGTCCTCAAGGGACTTATCTTCTATTTGGGGAGATAATAGACAAACAATAGTAATAGCTAATAAAATATTAGATAGAAGTAAGTACTATGAAGAAAAAGTAAAATAGGTAATGGGATATTGAGTGATGAAGTGGTGTCTATTTTAGATAAGGTGGCCAAAAAAGGCCTGTTGATAAGAAAAGTGAAAATGAAATGAGAAAGTGAATGACATGGAAGAGTGTCCCAAGCAGTGGGAGCAGCACGTGCACAGCCCTACATTGGAAGTTAGCTGGTGATGTTCAGGAACCGCTGGTCAGTGTAGTTCTAGCAGACAGAGTAGGAGGAAAGGGTGGTAGAAAATGAAGTCCAGAGGTGATTGGCATTGGGTCAGATTATGCAGAGCCTTGGAAGCCATGGTGAGGACTTTGAATTATATTAAGAAGAAAAAGCGGGAAGCTGTTGGAGGATTTTGAACAGGAAAGTCATGATCTAATTTATATCTTAAGATATAAACACATAAAATACGTTTTAAAATCCATAAGTTTCTAATAATAATAACAAGCTATTTGATCACAATTAGAGGATGCTAGTGAACAATTCATTTTTCTGAAAGCTAGTAAAGGGCAAGAATAAACCATGTGTCCTGCCTTTCCAACATGAACTGTACTATTGGGTAACCAAAGAGTGGAGGAGGAGAAATTCTCCTTACAGAATTATTCCAGCTAATGTATGAAGAAGGAATGATAGAATTAGTATATTTGCATTTTATAATCTTTTGTTAATTTTCCATGTAGTTTTCCTAATATCAGAGAAAAAAAAGAAAAAACAACCAGATAGTAGATGTATTCTGCTGGAAGAACATACCAGTAGCCATGAAGTCGTTTTGTAAAAAAAAGAATTCAAAGCTGAAATTAACCAAACTTCTAAACCCAACTACTAATATAAAGGCAGAACAGAGAATGGAGGGACATGATGAGACACCATGAGGACGCAGTCATCAAAATTTATGTCTGTGGGAAATACTAGACCAAATGACTCAGCTTTTTCAAATAATTCGTAAGAAAAAGAACTAGAGATGGAAAAGTAACCTATAGATGAAAAGAGACTGATCTCACAGTGTGGACAGTCAAACAAATTATTTAAAAAATTCCATTTCTGTGATTAGATAAGGAATTATTGTTAATATTTTGGTGAGATAATGATTTTGTGGTATGTTTCTAAGTCCATATCTTTTAGAGGTATTTACGAAATGTTAACAGAGGCAACAATGGAATGTCTGATTTGCTTCAATTTAAGGTGAGGATGGGTGGATGAGGGGTCTAGATATGAAACAAGATTGGCCAGGAGTAGATCACTGATCACGCTACATATTCATTTTTCATGCTGTCTGTTTTGTATATTAATAAAGTTTTTCATGATAAAAGGTTAAAAGAAGTCACTCTGGCTATTATGTAGAAAGTAGACTGTGAGGGCCAGAGAGGAAGCAATTGGAAGGGGCTGCTGTGGCCAGCCAGGTCAAAGGTGAGGGTGGCCTGGACTAGGTACTCATGGCAGAAATGAGGAGAAGAGCTTGGTTTTAGGATTTAGGGGGAATGTGGATCCAACCAGACCTGATGGATTAGACACAGGATGAGAAGGAAAGAGAAGAGAAAAAAGATGACAGGTGAATTCAGTCCTGTGTTCCAGTGATAAGTCCATGGGGTAGAGACTTCTCTTCCTTTCCAAAAAGTATAATCACTTCTGTACTCTACAGAATACTCAAGCAAACAAGGAGCTGATTCGATGTGTCATCCTTTCTCGGATTATTTTTGGGGACCATCACTGGAAATGTGCACGAGCTCTGGCCAACCTAGCTTATGGCTACTTGACACTGAGAGGTACTTGGTTTTCCCAGCTGGGTTTGGGTGGCCAGCCTCTGAAGGCTGAACTGACCCACACAACCTCAGTGAGGATGGGCATGACTAGGAGGGCCCCTTCTTGCCCCTAGCTCACACATTATCAGGAAGGAAAGTCCATGGATGAGGGAGACAGTGTGCAAGGATCTAAGTAATAAAGATAATAATGATGATGACAGTTATTGAGTATTTAGCATGTGCCAAACTGGTCTCATTAGTCCTCACAATATTCCTTGGAGGGAGATACTATTAGTAACCTCAGTTTATGGATGAGGACACTGGAGCACAGTGGGCAAAGGGCAGTATCAGGGGTTCCAGCCGGAGGACAGTAGGGGAAGGACAGGCAGGGATGTACACTCAGCATCAGGGAGGCAGACCCAATAATGGGACTTGAATTCCAAAGGTAGAACTCAAGTTCCTGGAAGGTTTGGCTTAGTGAAAGGTAGGACCCTCATCCTAGAGAAATGGTACTTCTGGAAGGTACTCTAGTATAAGAGAATAAGACAAGAATCTATTTGCTAAAACTGAACCCAAGTGAAAGTTCCTTGAGAGTAGAAAGTTTGTAGTACAGGCTGAATAAATATTGGGTGATACACTGAGGCGAGAGCGCATTTCAGGAACCAGGGACATAGCCAGCTCAAGACTCTCTGTTCCTTGACCAGCCATGTCCCCCTGTGTGGTCTGCATACATTTTCACCGTGGAACTCATTGTACTGTGCTCATATATGCTTTAAATGCTTCTTCCTCTGACATAGAAGCTCCCTCAGGGCGGGACTGGTCTCATTTGATCTAGAACAGTCCTTTGTACACAATATGGTTTGGCATATTACTGCTTATGAACTGAGCCACTGGCCTAGGGGTTGTTCAAGTACCTCTGGGACCTCAGTCTGAAGGGGGGCCTAACTTGTAATACAAATTAAATGCTTTATGGGCTTAAGTGATTTGAAGGCTACAGGAAAAGGGAAGCAATATATTTGGGCCATAATGAGGCTGGATATCAGCAAAGCTTTTGAAAAAATTAAAATTGAGTTCACTTCTCAGTTATTGATCTCAGAATATATTCTCCTTCTTAGGGCTCTATAGGCCCTTTTACACCCATTTATTTTTAATGCAACTTTAGATTCATTTATTGATGTGGCAAGATCACAGGTAGCTGAGATCACAGCATTAGGACAGTGATGCTGTGGGTCACAGTGGGGGCACAGCGAGGCCCTTTTATGCTTTAAGAACACGTGTTGTGTTCTGAAAGAAGGTGCTATGGCTAGGGAGAGGAGAATGTCCTTATGTACTGGCAGAGCAGGCAGCCACCTCTATGAAATTTCAGAGTGACCAGGAAGGATCTTCCCCTAGTGGCGTTCCGTGCTTCCTTACTTGGAATCTCTCTATTCCCATCAGACTGATTTTCTCAAAAACTTACTGCCTTCATGATAAGAGTCAAATTTAGGGATTTACTCCTTCAGTACTTATGGAGTTCTTGTTATAAGCCTGGTGGCACTTGCAGTCAGTGCTGGGGATACATAAATGAATATTGGTGGTCCCTATGCTCTAGGAGCACACAGGGGTCTTATGATAGGTACCATTCTAGAGGTAGGAACAAAATTCTGGGGAGGCAGTTCAGTGGTATTGCCATTGAGGAAAGTCAGGGAAGGCTGCCGAGAGAAAGTGATATTTGTCCTGTCTTTGAAGAATGAGAATAGGTTTATCAAGTAGATTTTTTTACTTTTTATATTTTTATTTTTGTAGAGATAAGGTCTTTCTACGTTGCCCAGGCCGATCTCAAATTCCTGGCCTCAAGTGATCCTCCCACCTCAGCCTCCCAAAGTGCTGGGATTACAGGCGTGAGCCATGGCACCTGGCCCCCAAGTAGATTTTGAGGGGAGAAGTAGAGAGTACAAAGTTGGTCCTTTATATATGTTGATCTAAGGCATAGGAAGTGAGAGGAGGGCACTCTGTATAAAACTCGTTACACAGAATATTGTAGCTTCTCTGTAGACCCAGGGGGTTAAGGTAGGACGGAAGACACCTTAGGACAGACAGCTCATGTTTGGAAATGGGACTGAAAAGGTAATTTGGGCCCAGATATCAGGGAGTGTGGAGAGTTATTAAAAGGTTTGAAGTGAGGTGGTAATAATCAAGCTTGTGTTATAAAATGAGAGACTCCAGGATGGGTTGGACTGGGTAGAGAAAGAAGAGGCAAAGACCAGTTAGGCCGTTATCCTGCCCAGATGAGAGTCGATGAGGGCATTGGGTATGGCAGTTGGAATGAAGAAAGATAACCTAAAATGTAGAATGGGTGACATTTAGTGCCCCATTCAGTATGGAGTGGGAAGGACAGGGAAGAATTGAAGTTGAAGTAGGCATGACCTGGACAATTAGCTTAAATCGAGAATGAAAGGGAAAGACCAAGTGGTGGGGTGTATTAGTCTGTTTTCATGCTGCTAATAAAGACATACCCAAGACTGGGTAATTTATAAAGAAAAAGAGGTTTATGGATTCACAGTTTCATGTGGCTTGTGAGGCCTCACAATCATGATGGAAGGCCAAGGAGGAGCAAAGGCACATCTAACGTGGCGGCTGGCAAGAGATCATGCAGAGGAACTGCCGTTTATAAAACCATCAGATCTCATGAGATGTATTCACTATCACCAGAACAGCATGGGAAAACCCTGCCCCTGTGATTGAATTACCTCCCACTGGGACCCTCCCATGACACGTGGGGATTATGGGAGCCACAATTCCTGGTGAGATTTGGGTGAGGACACAACTAAACCATATCATGGAGGAAGGGGGAAGAAGCTACTGAGTTTGGTTTCTGAAAGCAGGTCTAGAGCTCAGGAAAGATGTTAGTCTGGGAGAAATGAGCACATAGGAGCAAGTTGAGGCCATAGGAGTGGATGAGCTTGATCAGAAGTAGTGTGTAGTGGCTGGGTGTGGTGACTCATGCATGTAATCCCAGCACTTTGGGAGGCTGAGGTGAGTGGATCACTTGAGGTCAGGAGCTGGAGACCAGCTTGGTCAACATGGTGAAACCCCGTCTCTACTAAAAATACAAAAATTAGCCAAGTGTAGTGGTGTGTGCCTGTAATCCTAGCTACTCGGGAGGCTGAGGCAGGAGAATTGCTTGAACCAGGAGGTGGAGGTGGCAGTGAGCTGAGATCGCACCACTGCACTCCAGCCTGGGCGACAGAGCGAGACTCTGTAGTAGTGTGTAGAAAGAGAGGGGAAGAGAATAGAGGACTGAAGACTGGAGAGCAAGAGCTTTAAGAATGGGTAGGGTAAAGGGGGGCCAGCAAAGAAAATAGAAGACTCAGGAGGACCCGTGTCATCAAAGCCAAGGGAGGAGAGAGGGTTTTGAAAAGAAGTACAACAGTGGTTTCAACAGTTCAGATGGTAGAGGAAGGTCAAATAAGGTAATGGCTGAGGAGAGACCCATGGATTTGGCGGTTGGTAGGTCATTGCAACTTGGTTTGGTAGAGACAAGTACACTCCTTGGGCCCTGGGAGAGCCCAGATTCACAGAGACTAGCTAAGGGTTTTTCACTGGAATTCAAACTTGAGGTGATGAACTTGAACTGAAGAGGAAGGCATTTGAGAGGGAGATTTCTCTGAAACTAGGCAAGGCCAGATGCTGCCCTCTCTGTCTTGCCTTGAAGATGACTAGGGTAGGTCTAGAAGGAGGTTGGCCTAGATCTTCTGAAATCAATCCCTTCCATAATGAGCCACAAACTGCCTTTGAGTTTTACTTTTCCAATTAGATTCCAAGTTAAGTCAAGATAAGTGAACAGGTTATACCACAAAACATGGTGATAAATCCTTTTCTCCCTAACTGACAGTTTTTCCTGCTGCATGAATAGAGAACTACGTTGGGGCAATAAGTTGGAGGAGACACAAGTTTTCCTGTACGAGAGACTTTTTTGTTTGTTTTTCCTAGATGGGAAAGGCAGCTTGCTGGTCAGATGAAGTGTCCACATGGTATAGTGGAGCCTAGACTTGAACCCAGATTTTCTGATACCAGCCTAGATTTTTTTTTAGAATAGGTTGTGACTGTAAGCTTTCTTTGAGAATAGCCCAGTGCCTCTTTGCTTTCTTCACTTAAGCTTTTATTTCAGTTTCTTCACTTCAGCTTTTTTAGTGTCTGGTCCATGGAATAAGTAAGGCTTTGAAAAATGGCAGATCTTCAAGAGAGATGAAGTGCTTGCTCAGCTCCACTCAGTGTTGTTGTCATTCATCCTCTAACTGCTTTAAAGTGGACAGAATATATAAGCTGGCCTCCTGTGTAGGCGGATGTGTGTGTCTGTGTGCGTTCATGCCTCACTGCACCCATTCATGTTTTATAGTCATCAGCCCTGCTTTGCTCATTTCACTTTGAGCCTTTTCCAGCAGCCAAAAGGCTAATTTCTCTCAATAAACAGTCATTCAGTGAGTAGTGAGAAACTTGTATATGTGAAATGCCATGATGAACACTTTGGGAAATGTAACATAAAGAAGCCCTCAAAGGTTTTACAACTTAGTGTGGAAGGTGAACTACCTGGGGACATAACTATGAGGGAAGGCAGTGTAAGGTAAATGCCATGTAATTGATTTAAATAATGGGCTTCGGGAAGGTTGAGTGAAATCATTTCTGGCAGAGATGATAGATTCAAGGGGGAGGTGGATTCAAGGGTTGTAAAGAAGGAGTAGGGTTTGGGTAGGTGGAAGAAGGGGTGGGCATTTCTGATGAAGAGGAAGGTGTGGGCCAAGGCATAAGGAAGGAAAGTGCCACGTCTGTGGAGACAGCAGTAAGCAGCCTTGTCTGGCTAAGGTTAGGACTGGTAAGATGAACCTGGAAAGGAGAAGGGTACATTGGGCAGGCTAAGGTTAGGACTGGTAAGATGAACCTGGAAAGGAGAAGGGTACATTGGGCAGGCTAAGGTTAGGACTGGTAAGATAAACCTGGAAAGGAGAAGGGTACATTGGGCAGGCCATGGTGTGGTTTTAAATACAGGCTAAGGAATTTGTAATTTATTTGATAGGCAAAGAGCACTAGTGGAGATTTTCCAGCAGGATGATAAAAATATCAAAGTGTACTTTTGGCAGGGTTAATCTAGCAGTGATGGAATGGAAGCCATCTCAGTCATCTAGGTCTAAAACTAGGCTGCCAGAGAGAATGGGTGAGAAGGTAAGGATTCAAGAGTCTACGAACGACAGATACACTTATTTTTAAACCAGAAACCCACTTCTGGGAATCTTTCCTAAATACACACTGATAACATGGACAAGATTATTCTTTGCAGCATCATTCATGATAGGAAAAGATTGGAAACAAGCAAGTATCCATCAATAGGAAACTAGTACATACACACAGTGGGATATATGGAGTTTTAAAAAGAACATGAGGAATCTCTATATCCTTCTAGGGAAAGATCTCTTTAGGGAAAAGAGAATGCACAATGCAGTATGGTGTTTATAATACGCCTCTTTTTGTGTAAGAGGGAGTAAGAAATGAGAATGTAGGCTTATTTTTATATAAAAAACACCAAAGGGTACACAAGAATGAAACAAAAAAAGTTACTTAGAGGGTGGTTGGGGACAAAGGGAACAAGATTGGAAGTGAGACCTCTCAGTGTTTACTTTTTCTTATAATTTTTAACTTTTCAACGATAGAAATGTGTTACCTATTCAAAAATGATTATTAAAAGACAGAGACCATTAAGAAGGAGTAGGCAGGACATGGTGTTCGATTTGGGGTTGAGTGACAGTGAGGCCCAAAGATGACCATGATGTTTTGGGCCCCTGAAATTGCCATTTTCAGAGAGAAGTAGGTCAGAAAGGAAGTGGACTGGGAGAGGAATGCTGAGTCCAGTTTTTGATGTATAGATTTTGAATTGCAATAGAGAATCCACAAGTTGAGAATCGCTAATCTGAAAATCTGAAATCCAAAATGTTCCAAAATCTAAAACTTTTTGAATGCTGATGTGACGCTTAAAGGAAATGCTCACTGGAACATTTTGGATTTCAGATTTTCAGATTTCAGAGATGTTCAACTGGTTATCTGCAAATAATCCAAAAACCTCCCCCCATCCAGAACAAAATCTGAAATCTGAAACACTTCTGGTCCCAAGCATTTTGGATAAGGGATACTCAACCTGTAATACATTTTCACTTGTGCTGGAAATTTGGGACCAGAACTTGGGAGGAGAGAAGGAAAGGCATAAGCATGGAGGAATGTTTGAGACCAGAACTAAAGAGGGGAAATGGTAAATTATAAGCATGGAAGCCAAGGTTGAAGTAATAGGAGTTGATAAAACTTCCAAGAGGGAAAGAGAGAAGTGGAAGAAACAGAAAGATTTGGAAAATGGACACATTAATGGTAGAGAACAAAGGACCTTGATAAAGAGTTAGCAAAGAATCAATTACAGAAGGTTTATAAAGGAGAAGCAGGTTGGTGCAGTGCCTTGGGAGCCAAACAGGTAAGGGTATCTGATGCTGCAGTGAAATGCGGACTGAAAAACTGCAGTTGGATTCATTTATTAGGATGTTTTTGAGGGGACCTCAGAAGAACAGTTTCCCCATAGTGGTTGGAGGAGAAGCCAGATCCCAGGGATGAAGGGAAGCAATAGGGACCGGAGGCTAGTGAAGATGATTTTACAAGAGAAGGAGATGCAGGAAGATTTTAGGCAAAGAGGAAGGAGCCAGTTAGAAGAGAGGGTTTAAAGATGTTTTTAATGGAGTAATTGATGGAATGGGATTCACAAGAGAATGTGAGGCTTTTGCAAAGCAGAGTGTATAAAAGTTGGTTCGCTTGTTAAACAGAACAAGTGACACTAGAAGTGGACCTCTATGGCCCACTGCCCTGGTGATGATCCTAATGAGCCTAGTGATCCAGCAGCTGAGAAAGGGCAGTCGGAGATCACCATGGTAGTTTGGTAACTAGTGGTGAACTGTTTTCAAGTGTTCAGGAAGGAAAATATGGTAACGTGGACAAGCAGTTTTCTGAAATTCTGCTTATTAATGAAACAGTACTTTAGTCAGCCTATTATTACTGGGAATCTTCCAGGTACTGGGGCTCTGTTACAAATGTTGCAAAATCCAGAAAAAGAAGCCTAAGTCATGCTTTCTTTGTCTAGTTGGTTAAAACAAAGACACAAAAACTGGTACAGAAACAACAGGGAATGATAAAAACCGGGTAATCTGACCCACAAGAAGCCTGATACCTACCTGAAGTGAGTCTGCATTTGAGAATGCAAGCCTTTTACAAAGATTCTGTAAACAGTGCTATGAAAAATGTTGAAAATAAGTACAAATATAGTAAATTACTCAATAAGAGAAATGGACCTTGGTAATAATAATAATAATGGCTAATATATCTTCAAACTCACTTCATTCAGGTACTATTTAATCCTTTTTTTATATTAAATTAATCCTTGCGACAACTCTACAGGATATATTTTCATTACCATTTTGTAGGTGAATAAACAGGCACAGATAAAGTAACTTTTTCAAGTCATAAGGATGTTCAAGTCATAATGACTAAACAAGGATTTATACCTGGAAAGTCTGGCTCTAGACCCTGCTCTTTTAATTACCGTGCCACAGTAACTGCTTAAATATAGATGCTGATCAAAGGTGACTGCTTTCTGGTGACAATAACAACCTCCAAAGATTGGGTAGCTCTGAGCAGATTTTCTCTGGCCTGAGTCAGTGTAGCAGAATCGATGATAGAATCCCAACCCAAACTAAAGCAAAATGATTGATATGTTTGTTGGACAATCTTTGGACTCATTTTGCCATCTCATCAATATTTCCTTGTAATTTCTGAATCTTGGGCTCCAGAAGCAGGCCTTGCTGCCCCTCTGCCTTGTACCTTGAAAACTGCTGCACTGTCAGTGCAGGTAGAAGGGTGGTATCCTTGGCTTGGGAGGGCAGATACAGAAAAGTAACTTGATCTATGAAGCATCCTTCATAGATATATACAATAATAAATCTTATATACAGAGAGTTTTTACATGAAAGAGGACGTACTTAGACTTAGTAAATGTAAATTCATTTCAAAGTGTTGCTGATACTGAATTCATAGTACTTTTGTCATTATGAATTTTTTCAAGTAGTATGTGCTATGAAAATAATTATCACAAGTGGAGGAAGCCTTGTGGTTTTTTTAAAATATAAAAAGAGCTCTTTCATACTTGAAAAGGTTGGAAAACATTTGTCTAGGCCAGTGGTCTCCAAACTCAAGAGACAGCTCCCTTATCACTAAAAGAAACTTAAGCAAACAATCAATTACTTTTTATACATGTATTTTAAATAGATTGTGTACAACAGTATTGATGTGTTATGTAATATTATAAATAGTAATAAAAATAGAAAAAGGCTTCAGATAAAAAAAAAATAGAGAAGTTTTGATTTCCCCCTCACACTCTTACGGCATCTTGCATACCTGTAGAGTTCATGCACTCCACTTTGGAGATCAGAGAGGATTCTGGGAAGGTGAAAGAAGTTTTTTCCCTTTAGGGCTTAAAATATAATAAATTGTTTTAAATCAAGATCCTTGTTCAGTTTGCTTAAGCCCCTTGTGGCTCAGCTTTTCCATCAGAAGGCCCACAATGTGGGGCCTAGTCGTGTGAAAGCAAGGAACTCTATGATTGATTAGCTGCTGAGCAGAGAGGAAAAGTATTCCTCCTGGGAATTGCACAACCAGCATGGGATATTTTGCAGGGAGGGTGCAGGCTTTCAAAAGCCTCAGGGACTGCCTCAGAACAACTTTCTTGAGTGGTAGTTGTTTTATTTGACATTCACAAGCCCAGAAGGAGTGTCCGCTCATTTGGGGTGGTTTTTAGTAGCTCCTGCAGTTTCACCTTTCTTCTTCCTAAGGACCCAGGGAACTGTCTGAATTTGGTTTTTATAGTCCTTAATGACACACTCCTAACGGCCCACCTACTTGTGGAAAATGACCTGCTTGATCAAAACACTTTCTCAGTTTTCTACTTTGTTTTCTTGGTCTAAAGTAGCCATCTCGGCTTCCAGTATCCGAAGCAGAGTTTTCTGTGACCTAACTAGTGATGCTGCCTTCTTCCTCCAGACCTGTGAAGACTCCCTGTTACATAACAGATCTAATTCCCCCTCCTCATCTGGGCATCTGCTATGGTTCGAGCATGTCCACTCCAAAGTTCAGGTGTTGCCACTGTGATAGCATCAAGAGGTGGGGCCTTTCAGAGGTGATTAGGCTATGAGGGCCCCTCCCTCATGAATGGGATTAAGGCCGTTATAAAAGAGGCTTTTTGTGGTGTTTGGTTCTTTTTCTCTTCCGTTTTTCATCATATGTGGATGCAGCAAGAGGTCCCTCACAAGAAGCTGGCGTCTTCATCTTAGACTTTTCAGCCTCCAGAACTGTGAGAAATTTCTGTTCTTTATAAATTACCTGGTCTCAGGTATTTTATACCTGACATACAAATTAAGACATCATCCAAGATTTTTTACATATTCAATGCATAGCTTATACGTTTTTCTTTTTTTTCTTTTCTTTTCTTTTCTTCTTCTTTTTTTTTTTTTTTTTTTTTGAGACGGAATCTCACTCTGTTGTCCAGGCTGGAGTGCAGTAGCGTGATCTCGGCTCACTGCAAGCTCTGCCACCCAGGTTCATGCCATTTTCCTGCCTCAACCTCCAGAGTAGCTGGGACTACAGGCGCCCGCCACCACGCCTGGCTAATTTTTTGTATTTTTTTTTAGTAGAGACAGGGTTTCACTGTGTTAGCCAGGATGGTCTTGATCTCCTGACCTCGTGATCCGCCCGCCTCGGCCTCCCAAAGTGCTGGGATTACAGGCGTGAGCCACTGTGCCCGGGCTGCTTATACGTTTTTCAATTCAGAGTTTCCCTTCAGTCATCTTTCTACCTTCCCTAACCATCCTGTATCCACCCAACCTCATCCCCCAGTGCAGCACACATACATACACACACTTGCTTGTTCTGTCTTCAAGGCCTCAAGCTATTTAATCCAAGGGGAAATCCCTCCTTGTATCAGTCAAAATCCTATCCACTCTTGAAAAACAAGATGAGTCCTACTTCTTCGATAAAGATTTTACTAACTATGTATTTCTCCAAGTGTGGTCCTCAGACAACCTTGCATTATTACCAAGATTAGTTCTTACAAATGGGAATCCTTGGTTACCACCTGAAACATGGTTGCTTGTTTTAAATGTGTATTCTTGGTTCTTATTCCAGAACTTGTGAGCTGTAACTACTGGAAGTGTGGGACAGGAATCTGCATTTTAATAGGGTGCTTATAATGCACAGTGCAATTTGAAGGCCACCCTTAACTTAGGACACAGCCCTCTCCAGAGTCCATTTTTCTCTTTAGTTGAAACCTATGGAACAGATATTTCTGAGTATTCTGCAGAGACTTCTTGTCTCTGGATCACTTTTATTTATTTTTATTTTTGCAGTTTTTAATGAAAGGTGTATATAGGGATACTTTCCCCCTACATCTTCTCGAATGTTTCTTCCTCATATCTACTATTTTTCTTTCCTACTAGGTGAGATTTGGCTTTCTGCTCAAGGATCTTTTTCTGTTCTTTTCCAGTTTTAGCCTAGTGATAGCTGCCTTGTTGGGGTCAATGCCCACATGGATAGTTGTGCCGTTAGCCTTTTCCCACTGCACCCTGTCAGTATAGATGCCCTTTTTTTTTTGAAACAGTCTCACTCTGTCGCCAGGCTGGAGTGCAGTGGTGCGATCTCAGCTCACTGCAGCCTCTGCCTCCCAGGTTCAAGTGATTCCCCTGCCTCAGCCTCTCTAGTAGCTGGGACTTCAGGTGCACACCACCATGCCCAACTAATTTTTGTATTTTTAGTAGAGATGGGGTTTCACCATGTTGGCCAGGGTAGTCTCAATCTCCTGACCTTGTGATTCGCCCACCTTGGCCTCCCAAAGTGCTGGGATTACAGGCGTGAGCCACCACGCCCAGCCAGATGCTGTATTTCTTCTGGTAAACCTGGATTACTTTGCCAGTTTGCTGACCTTTATAGTGTCCTTGCACAATCTGAACTTCATCATCCTATTTGGGGGGCATGGATCAAGCATTGTACTTTTGTCTCAGCTCTTTGGAAAGAGGGAAGACATAATCTTGTGAATTTGGAAAGGTGCATTTGAAATGCTTTTTTATGGTTCTTGCTTTGGTCAGAAGTCACAAAAGAACTGAACTTTATTTTGACGACTGCTGCTTATATAATGGTTGCAAAAGGGAGAAGGGACCTGGGTCACCTTTAGAACTCTCCCAGGGAAGACCATGTTCCCTTTCATTGCTATAACTCATTCAGGAGGTGCACTTAGAACACATGAGGGCTGCAGGTATCAAAGACAAACTTTTAAATTTATCCTTATTGCCATTGACTTGCACCCATTCTGTGAAACTAGGCTTCAGGAGCCAAAGGCAGCTTGCTGAGTAGGACTGGGGCTGGTGGTGTGAAGTGAGGATTAGGGGCACAGTGGCCTACTTGGCAGGGGTGAATGTGTTTACCAGCCCCTAGGTACCTGCAGAGAGAGGGCTGAAAGTGAACCCTACCTGTTGTTTTCAGTCTTCCCAAGTCTACCTCTGTTGACTGGACAAATAGCAGCTTGAGTAAGTGCCCAGGAACACCAGCAAAAAACAAGGGGACAAATGAGATGTGGCTGGAAAGGGGGATGCCCTTTCACCCTTCATGCAATGCATATTTGAGGGGAACCTGGTGCTAAATCATTAGATAACCTGCTTCTGGGTTAGGGTTTTGTATGTAGCAGAGCAGCTCCCTCACTGCAGTCTATGGAAAGTCAGCCCTGGACACAGGTTTGTATTTTTAAATCTTTAAAAAGAAAAGAAAAGAAAAAACAAGGGGAAAAACCCCACCAGTTCTGTCTAGCTGGGGTCTGGCCTTGCCTTTGTCTTCTTAGTTTGGGGCCTCCCTGCATTTAGCAATTGCTTTCTTTTTATGTGTGTTGTGTGACCAGTTAGTATCACCAGATTCATCTTAGATTGAAAAAAAAAATCCCCAGATGGAAGTAATTGCATTCATAAGCCCTTGTATTTATAGAATGCCTTTTCCAGAACACTCAATGCACAGCATTCTATGGCATAACCTACTTTGGTCCTGGACTATCTCTGTGTGTTTGGTAAGGGTCAGCTTCTATAATTATTATTGTTGTTCAACAGTTGGAGGATGGAGAAGCGTTGTGGGTTGAAAAGGTCACATGGCATTAGTAGTAGAATCAGGAATAGGATACTCACCTTCCATTCCTGTCTCTGTCTTGAGTTCCAAACTGAGGTACGAAGGCTAATGTTGAGAGGGCTGAATAAGAACCACTTGTGGTGCAGATTAAAATTAGAGATTCCTGGACCCCAATTCTCTAGAGATTCCCCACTCAGTAGGTCTTGAGTGGGGCCCAGGAACCTGTATTCTTTACAAGCATTTCCAATAATTCTGATTCACAGCCAGATTTAGGAACCAATGCTATAGACCATACGACAACTGCACTGCCCACTTTATCCCCTCCCAGGAATGTTTTTGACTGAAGCATGCCTTTTTAATGTCTGTCTTCTTGCTCCTCACCCTCTAACTCCCCCAGGCCTCCCAGTTCAGGCCAAGAAACATGCTACATCAGCCAAGAATACACTGTTGACCTGGAAGGCAAATACGACCTCAAATAAGGAGAAAGAGGAAATCCTGGAAGCTCTGGTCAAGCTGTACTACACTCTGGGCGTGGCCTGGCTCCTGCAGAACCGATATCCTTCCATTCCTAGCTGCGTTTAGTGTTCGGGGCCACAGGCCACACATGCCAGATGGGTCATCTCATACAGGAGGGTGGGAGATGGAACCAAGGCCTTGTAGATCTGTTCCAACATCAAGGCCCTCCATGAGCCTCTCCTCTCCATCTAGAAGGGTGTGTATTCTCTTCCTATGTCTATTCATATAAGCTCTGAGTTGAGCCACGGAAGAGATTTCACTAGTCACATATTACCTAGCCAGCTGAAGGTTTTCTGAGTCTGTTCTGCTCTTCATTGAGCACCCAAGAAAATCAGTGTTAGCAATGAGGATGAGGGTGGTGGTGGTGGTGGTGGTGTAGTGATGGAGAGAATGGGTGATAATTTAAAGCACAATTTGGCAAACTAGGCTGCACATTGTAATCCCCTGGGGAGCTTTAAGAATTTCTGCTGTCTGTTCCTGCCCCAAAGATTTTGACTGAGAGGCTCTGAGGTACATCTGTTCATTGAAATTTTTAAAAGCCCTCCAGAGATTGTAATTTGCAGCCCAAAACCACTGATTTAACTGATTCTCGATCATTTTAGTTTTTTGAAATGCTCTTGTGGATACTGCCCATGAGGCTGGAGGCCAAGCAAAATAGACAAAACAAGTAGTTCTATAAATCCCCAGAGGGGTACTGTTATATGTGCCTTTCCTCAGAACTGGGGATTCTGACAGCCTGTTGTACCATCTCCACTGGAAAGATGTTAAGGGCATTTGATGTTCACGCATCATCATGAGCACTCTTTGAGCCTATGTGTCCCCAGTCTCCTCTCTACACATCCCCCTCTCTACTTTTTTGGTCCTAATGTTCAACTTGCAAAATCTGATATGTGGCCTTCCTCTGTTATACCCTTAGCAGGGGGCTATTGAAAATGTGGGAAATAGAAGAATGTTTGGGAATTAAGGGGATTTTTGCTTTTCTGCTGTTTGCCTTTGGCCCAAAACCTGCTTTGCTTGGACTTTCTAAATGACCCAGAAAGTTCCTTTCAGCGTAATTAGTTCCTCTCTTTTACCATTCACAGGAACAGGCTTGGGAAAAATGAATAACTATTGTCATGCAGTAGATGCCTCTAAAGGAAATCGAGTGTAATTTACAGTTTCCGCTCACTCCTGCAAACACTGCCTACCTACTCTAGTCTTGGATTCAGGCAACCACCACAGGAAACCCAAGCCCCTGTTCCTTTTCTAAAGAATTCTTGCTTCTTGACAACATAATACATGGAAAATAAAGAACATAGTTAAGTACCCATTTTTAATATTGCTTCACTTTTCCAAGAGCCCCTTTTGTTTCCTTATCACCTGCTGTCCCTGTGCAGTGGATGTTAGTTTGAGTGCTTGCCATTTTCCTTGACTATTTCACTGGCAGAGAAGCCTATTTCAACCTGCAGAAGGCAGAGAGAAACATGAAGGAGCTGAAAGAATTATATAAAGGAGGTGTTTGTGAATTACAAGTCTCTGAGAACGACCTAACACTTGCTTTGGGCAGGTAAGATCTGGGCTTGGAGAAGCTGAGGCTTTTATGAATGAGGCTTGGAATTACATGATATAAGGGAGAAAAATATTTAGAGCAAAAAAACCCAGAAACTCAAATGATAATAAAAGAGGCTCATATTTACCAAATGGATACACTGGGCATTTTGTGTACTGCCCCATTTAATCCTCACAACAGCCATTGAGGTAGTTGGTATGATTATTATTTTATTAAAGGGGGGTGGTCAAGGAGACTGAAGCTGAGGTTAAACAAATTGTCCAAGATAACATAGCTTGTAAATATTGGATCTGTGATCTGAACTCACTAACTCTTAGTCTTCCTTATACTTGCCTCTCACACTCACTCTAATATTGTATTTTTCTCTGAATTGCCACCTATTTTTGTCATGACATGTGACATTTTAGATGAAGGAACACTTAATGAAGACAATTAACTGGAAGCTGTGAAAGCCATGCACAGCATGTACATTTTTAAGGAAAGTTCTGTTCCATATGAAAACAAAGTTCATGGAATTGGTTTAAGCCAGAACAAGATTTAACTGTCTTGCTGTTGACTTAGGGATCCTCTGAGAATCAGAATATTTAGAAATGAATGTGGGCCCATCAGATTATTAGAAGAAAAAGAATAAAGAGTTTACTGTTCCCTAGATTTTTCAAATATCTTTACATCCTTGAAAGCAATCTGTTTCCAAAACTGTAAGCACTTGGCACAGTAGGGTATATGACTGAATAGTAAGTAAATGAAATACATGCGTCATGTCTGCGTCCTCTAAACAACCATGAATCTAGAAGTCAGATGGGAAATGGGGAGATGTTGGAATGTCCAGAACTAAATCAAACTATTGACTTAAGTCCACAGGGCAATAAATTACAGTCTGGTGAATGTCTACTCCTGTCACATAGGGCCTAAAGTTTTTCTGCCTTATGTGAAAGATAGTCTTATTCTTTTTTCAGAAAAACTCTGGTGCTCATTTTGTTCATCCATTCTCCAGTATTTATTGAATACCTTTTTTATGCATGTCCTGTTCTAAGTGTTAGAGTGCCTACTAAGTATAACTACATACTAGACACTGTTCTAAGTGCTTTACATAATTTATTTTACTTAGTCCACATGACAGCCAATGAGGGTAGGTATTTCTATTATTTTCATTTAGATAGTTTTTCATTCTGCCACTCAGGCTGGAGTGCAGGGTGCAATCAGAACTCACTGAAACCTTGAACTCCTGGGCTCAGCCTCCTCAGTAGCTGAGACCACAGGCAAGACACCACCACACCTGGCTTACACATATATTTTTAATTCAACTTAGGAATACAAATATTGGAGTCAGGAGGAAGGAATATTGATTGTATATCTACTATATGTTAGGTGATTTTATACTTAATATTATTCTTCACAACAAACTTGCAGTATAAACTCAATTGTTTTATTTAGAAGGAAATGTAGGCTTATAGAGTTTGAGAAAGCTCATAATTACCAGAACCAGCTTTGAACTACCCATGATCTCATTTTACCTTGCTGTCTCTGGAAAGATAAACCTCAATGAGATATTGTTTTATCCTCATTTAAAAAAATTATATTCCCAACTTTGTTGTGGAAAATTTTGAAAATACAGACAGGTATGAAGAACGAATAAGCCGATTGTGATACCACCACACAGACGTAACTGCTATGAACATTTTGAACAGATATATATGGATATCAATAACTATATCTCTATGTGGATCACAGTCTAAGTGCAGCTTTATATCTTTTTCCTTTTAGCACATTTTTAATATCTTCCCATATCTGTCTAAAAAGAAAACATGACTTTTAATGTCTCTAAGGTATTTTATTGTATGATATGCTATAATTTATTTAATCACTCTCTTGGGGGAATATTTACATTTTTTTTTCTATCCTCATTTTTAACTGAGGAGGAATTCGCCAAATTAAATGGAACAAAACAAAGCAAAAACTTTCTTTGGCCTGAAAGAGAGGGAATCAGAGGTAATAAAATTTTATTTTGATTTTAGAAAGTCTATGTTTATGGGTGAATTATCCCATCTTGTGAATTCCTGGAAGCCATTTTTCCATTTGCTTTTTAAAAAAAATTAGACAACAGCACGACATAGTAATGGGTTTAATGAGTGGTCGTCAATGAAATCTGATGGGTAAAATGCAGGATAATTGGAGTTTATTTACAGCAAGGCTAGATTTTTGAGCCAGCTACCAAGATGATGGGCCTGTGAAGGCCAAATTCTTTAATTCTTGGAATCAGTTCCTTTTGTGTCTGCAAAGTAAGTGGCCTCTCTGTGACTTTCTATTTTCATCCCTTTTCTTGCAGAGCCTCCTTGGCCATCCACAGACTGAACCTAGCTCTGGCATACTTTGAAAAGGCAATTGGCGATGTTATTGCTGCCAAGGGTGATAGGACGTCAGATCTGATCAGCCTGTACGAGGAAGCTGCTCAGATAGAGCAGCTGAGGAGGAACCACAACCAGGCCATCCAGTACTTGCAGCAGGTCAGTGGGTTGGCCAGAGCCCAGGCTGGGTTGCCTTGTTTGGCCCCAGGCTTGGTTCTCAGGGCCAGGGAAGCATGGGCTTCTCAGAAGAACAAGGGCTGGAATTGATTCTGTTTTAACCCTGACTTTCCTCCAGATCCACCTAAGAGCCCTTGATCAAACCTTAAATGACCAGGCCAGAGAACACTGACTCAGGTGGGCGAATGTGCTGTGTCATTGGCTGTGCAGACAGCACTTCCCCCTCCCCCTCTTATCTCTGTTGGTGCTGTAAAAAAGAAGCAAAATGTGAGTCTACTCCAAGGAAAAAAGATACAGGGACAACCGAACTTAAATCTTCAGCAAAAACAAAAGGCCTTTTTAAATGAAAAATCATGGTATTTTAGGGTAATGCTGTCATTTGTACTTTAAACTAGTCTAGCTGATTATATTTCCAAACCTAAGGTTAAACTAACAAAAGGGTGTTTCACTTGGAGGTAACTAACTTGACAAATGCCCGGGGGAAAACAAAACAAAACATAGGAAGGAATGGTGAGTCTATTATATTAGGGTACTTTTATGTATCATGTACTTGAAGCTGCTAAATTCACCTTTTCTCTCTCCGAAGGAGAATGCTGCCTGTGGCTTCAGGTATCTCCCACAGTGACAAACATCAAAATACTGGATATCCTGTATCATAGAAAAGGTGCAATGCAATCTAACAGTATACATGAAAACAGACTCTGAAGAAAAGGCATTGCAAACAATCTGACAGTCCACAATTATAAACATCACACAGTGGAGAGATGTCAGAGAATGCTGCTGTGAAGGCAGGGAGTCCACTGCTTACAGAGAAAGCCAGTCTGGTTTTTGTGTTCAAGACTTTCTCAAAGCAGTGGTCAGATCAGAATGAATAAAACAATAAATAGCAGTGTTTCCCAAAAGCACCAAAAGATAAGAGTTAAAATGTATGGAATGCTTTTTCTACGTTCCCTAGAGGATATATCGATTCATTTAATCTGTACAATAGCTCTATGAAGTAGGTACCATTATTATTTTATCTCATTTTAAGGATGAGAAAACTGACGCACAGAGTTATAGCTAACTCAGCTGACATTGTATAGCTAAGAAATAGTAAAGCAGGGATTTGAACTCCACATCTGACCCTACAGCCTGTATTCATAACAACTCTGCTCTGTGTCTTGGCTCCAAAGTCTTCTCTGATAACCCCTCAGCTCTTTGAAACACCTCACAGTATTTGGCCTATGAAATATTAAGCACAGGTGGTTCTTTTGTGGCTGGTGGGTGTGGACTCAATGTTTTTCTCTTTCTCTTTTCTAAGTGTTACTCCTTCCATTTTAGCACAAATAATATAAAATCTAACACTTTTTTAGTGCTTACTATATGCTGGGTGGTGTTCTAACCACTTTACATATATTAACCATTAATTTATTTAATATTTACAACAACTTTTTATAACAAATACTATTCTTATTATCCCTGATTTACATTTACAAGACTGCCTTCAAGACTGGAGTTCAGTCCAGTGAGACTGAGCTAAGGTTATGACTTTATTTTTGCTATGAAATCTAATAAAAATTATACTAGCCAACATTTATTGAGAACTTACCACGTGATGAGCACCGTGCCCTGTGCTTTGCATATACCATCTCACTTAATCCTTCCCAAACCCTAATCAGTGGGAATTATATATTCCTTCTACGAATGAAGGTGAAATTACTTGCACAAGACTCATAGCTAGGAAGTGGCAGAGCTGGGACTCAAACTCACCTCTCATCTAAATCCACAGTGAACACTGTCATTGGGTGCTTACCTTGTCATGATTTTCTTTATTCCAGGCTCATTCTGTCTGTGTTTCTTTGTTCACTGAAGTCAGCCCCAAAACTGCAGAAATGAGTGCGTTACTGGCCAAAGCTTATGCCATGTCTGGAGAGGCCCAGCACAGGGGTAGGTAAAAGAGGTAGCCTTGAAGTTATTTCCCAGTCACATGAGGGAAGCACATTGGCAAACAGCCTATCTAAGATTCTAATTAGCTATTTATTCCTGTAATGGAAAAATTAGGTGGGTCACAGTCTCATACAAAATCAATTACACATTAATTTAAACCTGATAATATACCCCCACATTCGTTGGAATGTCAGTAACAAATAAATCATCTGATTTCTACATCCTCTATTTATTTTGAATCTCAGTGAGATTCACCTTCTTAACTAATAGATATCACACATACTGTGAATGTGGCCTGTGCAGTATCGGTTGATAAGGACATCCAGTGATAAATGGGTAGAGCTTTACCTCCTCCACTTTCAGTCTCCTTGACTCTTTTCCTCTGGCTGACAAGAGAGAATGTTTGTTAGCAGAATTTTCTTGACCCATATTCAATAGTTAGATACTGGGGGTTGCAGAGAAAGCCAACTGATTAATTTATGCTTCAACAATAGTTCTTTGTCTGGCAAGGTCATCTTTTTGAAAGTGGGTGGCTTTGGGAGAGACACAAATGAACCAATGAGGGAGGACAATGTATCATTCTGTGCTGGCTTGATCAGATTAATGGACACTGATGGATTCAGTGGCCTGTCAGGAGGAATTTAGGCTTCATGAAGAATATAATTTGATCATTTTAAAACTGTCTATTTTCTTTGCTTATAAAAGTAACCTTTTTGTGTATGTTATTTTCCAGTTAGAGAGAGGGACAGAATTATAGAGAAAGCTTTCCATCCTACTTTTTTCAATGCTTGTATTCCCCATGTCATTAAATAAACATTTTTTTTCAGTTTGCAAAAGTTTTGATCTTTTAATTATTTTTTAAGCATAAACATCCATTGAAGACTTCCTGATTCTTTGTTTTTCAGCTAATCCTCTTTCTCCTTTTAAGATTTCCTCGTCTATATTCACAGTATATATTCTCCATACAACTTGAGCTTTTTAAGAGTAGTCTTTGTGGTTACAAGAAATTTAGTCTGTAAATATGTACAAATTTTAGCTTTTTTTTAAGTGAGAAAAAACAAGCGTTTATGTTTATAGAGTTGAGAGATTTCAAGGCCACCTCATTATTTTCTTATATACTAATTTTTAACTTTAAAAATATAGATTTTTATATTATATCATTCACTAAATTCCAGGTGGATTAACATTTTATGCACCAAAACTAAAAAAGTAAATTAATGAGAAGAAAATACAGTACTGGAAAACAAATACTAAAATTAAAAATTGGAGGAAAGAATTTTTCTAAGCACACAAAGACATACCATAAAAGAAGAGTTTGATAGATTTCATTACAAAAAGGTCTAAAGTTTCTATCTGTCACAAAGTACCATAAATAAAAGTGAAAACAGTGTAGTCAAGATGAACAGATAACCTGAATAGACCCATAACTATTTCTTTTTAATAAATTTGTAGTTTATCTTTTAAGAAAGAAATCTCCAGGCCCAGATGATTTCACCGGGGAATTCTGTCTAGCATCTAAAGAAGGAATAGCACCAATTCTACATAATCTGTCTCAGAAAACAGAAGAGGAGAAAACACTTTCTATGAGGCCAGTATTACCCTGATATCAAAACTGGGCAAAGACATTACAAGAAAAAAGATGACTACAGTTCAAGACCTTTCATGTGTGTAGATGAAAAAAGCAACAAAATATATAGCAATATATAAATAACATACCATGATCAAGTGAGATCCAGTGTGTTTAGGGTGGTATGGTCACAGACCTCCGTGATCAAGTGAAGTTTTTTCTTAAGGATGTCACACTGGTTTAATATTCAAATCTCAGTCAGTTTACCTCTACCATATTAACAGTCCAGTCATGGAAAGCTCATGATTTTATCAGTTGTTGCAGAAAAAGCATGTGACAATATTCGACATCCATTCATGATGGAAGGAACTTCTTTAATCTGATAAAAGGCATATACCAAAAACCCTGCAGCTGATTTCATGCTTAGTGGTGAAAGACTGAGTACCCCTTAAGATCAAGAACAAGGCAAGGATGTTCACTCTCACTGCTCCTATTCAGCAGAGTACTAGAAGTCCAGCAAATGCAAGAAGGCAAGAAAAATAAAATGGTCCCTATTTGCAGTCAAAATGATTGTCTCTGTAGAAAATGACAAATAATCTACAAAAATCCTAGAACTAATATGTTTAAGTGTAGCAAGGTCACAGGATACAAGGTCAATGCACAAAACTTAATTGTAGTTCTATATAGTAGCAATGAACAACTGGAAACAAAAATTTAAAAAAAATCACAATAGCCCCATCCCTGCAAATGAAATATTTAGGTATAAATCTATCAAAATATGTACAGTATTTATGTGCTGAAAACTACAAAACTGATGAAAGAAATTAAATATGACCTAAATAAATACACATACTATGTATGGATTGGAAGACAATATAGTAAAGATATCAGTCTTCCAAGATTGATCTGCAGATTTAACATAATTATAATCAAAATCCCAACAGAAGCATTTGTAAATATAGACAAGCTGACTAACATTTGTGTGAAAAAGCAAAGAAATTAGGATAGCTAAAATGGTTTTGGAAAAGCATACAGTTGGAGGAATCATAGTACTTGATTTTAAGATTTACTATAAAGCAGTAATCAAGAGAATGTGGTATATTGGTGGAGGGACAGATACTAATAACATATCTCTCTATAATCAGACACCAATAATATCTCTAACAGAGATAGAGTTATTGGAACACAATGTAGTACAGAAATAGACCTGTATAATTATGGCCAATTAATTTTTGATAAATGTGCAGAAGTAATTCAATATGGAAAGGATAGTCTTTAAAACAAATGATACTGCAACAACTGGATACCACATGCCAAAAAAAAATTGGACTCTTACTCATGCCATACACAGACATTAATAATGGACATTGTCCTAACTGTAAGAGCTAAAATTTATATTTACATAGAAAAAAATAGGCTTTAAAAAAGTACCAAGGCCTGGATACAAACTAAATACAGAGGCCAAGGTGAGAAGATCACTTGAAGCCAGGAATTTTATACTGGCTTGGGCAACATAGTGAGACCCCATCTCTACCACAAAAAAAAAAAAAAAGAAGAAGAAGCTGGGTGTGGTAGCATGTGCCTATAGTCCTAGCTACTCAGGAGGCTGAAATAGGAGGATTGCTTGAGTTAAGGGTTCCAGTCTACAGAGAGCTATAAGCGTGCCACTGCACTCTAGCCTGGGTAACACAGTAAGACCCTGTCTCTAAAAATAATAAGACCAAAATTCATGTGGAAAATAAGTTTAAATCATACTAGTAATTACAAAAATAAAAGCAAAGTTACTCTTTTTGTCTAACAAATTGTCAAAATTTTAAAAAATGATAACACCAGGATTGATGAGATTTGATAAAAACTCTGGAGAGCAATTTGGCAGGATGTCACACATTTTAAAATGGTATGTATCTTTAAAAATGCAAGATCAAAATTTCACCCATCCTATGTGAAAATTTTAAAAATTTAAAAATATATAGCAGTTGGCAAATTCATAACTAGTAGGAGTGAGTGTAAATTGATATTAAATTTGGAGTCTAATTTGATAATATCTAGTAAAATTTAAAAGGAAACATGAATAAAGATGTTCACTGTGTCACTGATTATAATTGTAAAAAATAACCCAAATATATATATCAATAAGTAAAAGGAAACTTTGGTGTATTCACTACATGGAATTTTGTAGCTGTTAAAAGAACCGGACTTGGGCTGGGCGGAGTGGCTCACGCCTGTAATCCCAGCACTTTGAGAGGCCGAGGCAGGTATTTTGCCTGAGGTCAGGAGTTTGAGACCAGCCTGGCCAACATGGTGAAACCGCGTTTCTACTAAAAATACAAAAATTAGCCGGGCTTGGTGGCATGCGCCTGTAATCCCAGCTACTCAGGAGGCTGAGACAGGAGACTTGCTTGAGCCCAGGAGGCGGAAGTTGCAATGAGCCGAGATCGCGCCATTGCACTCCAGCTTGGGTGACAGAGGGAGACTCCGTCTCAAGAAAAGAAAAGAAAAAAAAAAAAGGACCGGACTATATCTGTAGATATCAAGGTTAATTTTTTAAAAGTATTAAGGAAAAACAGTTGCATTTTTAGGACATACAAAATAATACTATTGTTTATAGTTACATTTAGGTAAACATTAAACTACAAAGTAAGATTTCATTAAAATGTAAACAGAATATGACTTTGTGAAGAGATCTGTAAATCATATCCACACATACATGCAGTCACACAAACTGTATAAAATGGTCATAACTATTTGATAGTGCTGGAAGTAGATAAAAAGAACAAATTGCAAAGCATTTATTTTGAAAAAACTGCTGGAGCTTTGAGTAAAGAGAAAATCAGTGGCCCTCCTGCCTGGGGCTGCTTCCATCCAGTGCCCCAGGTCGGTCCATGAGAATTGCAATGTTATCACCACGGGCCGCACAGGAGAACCGGCAGCTTTGCTGGCATTGGAGGCAGACTTAATATGATGAAAGGGATAAAAACACACAGGTTTATCAGATAAAGGGGGCAAACTCTGGAGGAAATGAAAAGAGGATCGCCTGCATGTTGACACTAGCCTGAAGTTGCTGTTCTGGTTGGTGTGAGTGGCATCAGAAATTTTAATGGGGAGACCACAGAAGGGCTAAATGAGCTCTCCCCACATCCCTGGATACCCACAAAACTACATACATGTGTAGGGGATACTTGAAAGCCTAATAAAGAGTAACAACCAAAGAAGACTTGAAATGTGTGAGAGCTTGGAATGCATTTTTGTCTACATACAGAGCAGTTGACAGGATGGGCGACGTATAGGCTGAAGGTATTTAAGCACAACCTCTGCCCAAATCAGTAGGTCAACACTAAGCTATGCAGACACAGGAGTGAACCCCAGAAATCCAGATTAAAAATAATAAGCACTAAAATCTGAGCAGAAACTTCTGGTTTCTGGTCTGGTATATAAGGAGTTTGGAAGTCATCACTTTATCCAAACAACAAGTAAAAAGCAAAATGAAATATTAACTCCTCTTAGATCTGTCACAGAGAACTAAGGTCACATGGCAAACCAGTGCCCCACAAATTGGAGAGACAGCAAAATAAAGAGAATCACAATGTACCAAAGTAGAAATCTATCTCCACAGGAACCAGTACCACAGACTTGACGTAAAGAAATATTAAAAGAAGTTCTTCAGAGAAAAGGAAAATGATACAGAAATTCATAGGCACATAAGGAAAGGAAGCTCACTGGAGAAGAAATGTGATCATAAAATAAAAAACTCATTTTTCCTATTCTTAATCTAACAAATAACAGTTTGTTCAAATTAGGAGCAGAAGGCAGGGATTAGGATTATTTTGTTATTATAAGGTACTATATAGTGTTATTTGTAAGTGAACTTGGAATGATTGTAAATGTATATTGAAAACTCCAGGGCAACTACTAAAAAGAGTTTTTTAAAAAAGTGTAACTGATATGCTAAAAAGAGAAACTGGAATATATGAAATGCTCAATTTAACAACAAAAGGAGCTGGGTGCAGTGGCTCATGCCTGTAACTCCAGCTACTCAGGAGGCAGAGGTGGGGGGTTTGCTTGAGCCCAGGAGTTTGAGGCTGCTGTGAGTTATGATCACACCATTGTACTCCAGCCTACGAGACAGAATGAAATCTTGTCTCTAAAAAAAAAATAAATAAATAAAATTTAAAAAGCAAAACCACAAAAGGTAGGAAAAGAGTGAAAGACAAAAATATGAACAAAGAAAAAGGACCAACAAATAGAAAAGTAACAATATGGTAAATGTTAATCCAACTATATTAACAATTATTTTAAACATCAGTGGTCTAAATAAGCCAATGTAAAGAAAGATTTTCAGAGTGATCAAAAAACAACGCCCAACCATATGTTGTCTACAATAAATCCACTTTAAATATAAAGACACATAGATTAAAAGGAAATGGATGGAGACAAATACACTATACTAACATTAATCAAAAGAATGCAAGAGTAGCCGTACTAGTTTCAGCCAGAACAAACTTAGTGCAAGGAAAGTTATCAGGGACAAAGAGGGGCATTACATATGATAAAGGGGTCAGTTCTCCAATAAGACATACAATCCTTAATGTGTACGTGCCTAACAAGAGTTTCAAAATATTTGAGGCAAAAACTGATGGAACTGTAAGAAGAAATAGATGAATTCACTATCATAGTTGTACTCTTCAACACCCCTTGTATTAGTCAGGGTTCTCTAGAGGGACATAACTAATAGGATAGATACATATATATAAAGGGGAGTTTATTAAGGAATATTAAACTCACAGGATCACAAAGTCCCGCAATAGGCCATCTTCAAGCTGAGGAGCAAGGAAGCCAGTCCAAGTCCCAAAGTCTGATGTTTGGGGGTAGGAAGCATCCAGCACAGGAGAAAAATGTAGGCTGGGAGGCTAAGCCAGTCTAATCTTTTCACATTCTCCTGCTTGCTTTTATCCTAGCCACAGTGGCAGCTGATTAGATTGTACCCACCCAGATTAAGGGTGGGTCTGCCTCTCCCAGCCCACTGTCTCTAATGTTAATCTCCTTTGGCAACACCCTCGCAGACACACCCAGGATCAATACTTTGCATCCTTCAGTCCAGTCAAGACACTCAGTATTAATCATCACACCCGTGTATCAGAAATGGACAGATACACAGGCAGAAAATCAGTAAGGACATAATCAAATTCAACAGCACCATCAATCAACTTAATAAAATTGACATCTATTGACTACTGTATCCAAACAATAGCAGAATGCACATTCTTCCCAAGCTCACATGGAACATTCACCATGATAGACCACATTCGGGGCCATAAAACACACCCTAACAAATTTAAAAGAAAATGTACAATGTCTGCTCTCAGACCACAGTGGAATTAAACTAGAAATCAATAACAGAAAGATACCTAGAAAATCCCAAAATACTTGGAGATTAAACAACACATATCTAAATGTGTGGGATAAGAAGAAATCTCAAGAGAAACTTTAAAATGTTTTGAATTAAGATTTTTTTGAAAATGAAAACAATGTAAAAATTTGTGGGATGCAGCAAAAGTAGTGCTTAGAGGGATATTTATAGCATATTAGAAAAGAGATCTAAAATCAGTAATCTAAGTTTCTATCTTAGGAAGCTAGAAAAAGAAGAGCAAATTAATTCCAAAGTAAGAAGAAAAAAATAATAAAAATTACAGTAGAAATCAATGAAATTGAAAACAGCAAGTCAATGAAGAAAACAAAACCAAAAGCTGATTCTCTGAATAGATTAATGAAATTGATAAAGCTCTAGCCAGGCTAAGGAAAAAAGACAGGACACAAATTACCATTATGAGAAATGAAACAGGAGACATCACTACAGATCCAATGGACATTAATAGGACAATAAAGGAATATTATGAAAAACTCTAGGCTCACAAATTCAATAACCTAGATGAAATAGGTCAATCTTTCATGAAAGATACAATCTGCCAAAACTCACATAAGAAAAACTAAGCCATTTGAATAGATCCATTTCTATTAAAGAAATTGAATCAATAATTAATAACCATCCCATGTGGGTTCACTAGTGAATTCTACCAAACATATAACAAATTCTTGACAATCTCTTCCAAAAGATAGAAGCAGAGTAGCCATTTTTAAGTCAATCTATGAAGCCAACATTACCCTAATTCCAAAATTAGACAAAGATATTAAAAGAAAACTATAGATCAGTGAGATCACATGGACACAGGGAGGGGAACATCACACATCAGGGCCTGTCGGGGGCTGGGGGGCTGGGGGAGGGATAGTGTCAGGAGAAACACCTAATGTAGACGACGGGTTGATGGGTGCAGCAAACCACCAAGGCATGTGTATACCTAGTAACAAACCTGCACATTCTGCACATGTACCCCAGAACTTAAAGTATAATAAAAAAAAATTATCAAGATTTAAAAAAAAACAAAACTGCAGATCAATACATCTCATGAACATAGAGGCAAAAATCCTTAACAAAACATCAGCAAGTTGAATCCATCAATGTACAAAAAGAATTATACACTACAGCCAAATGGGATTTATCGCAGGTATGCAAGGCCAGTCCAGTATTTGAGACTCAATCAATGCATCACACCAACAGGCTAAAGAAGAAAAATCACATAATCATATCAATAGATGCAGAAAGAGCATTTGGGAGAATCCAACACTCATTTATGATTAAAAACTCTCAGCAAACTAGGAATACAGGGGGATTTCCTCAGCCTGATAAGTCACATCTACAAAAAACCTGCAGCTAACACCATTGTTCTTTTTTTTTTTTTTTTTTGGTTCTCCTTTGACTAACACTATTATTCTTTTTTCTTTCTTTCTTTCTTTTTTCTTTTTTTGAGACAGAGTTTCGCTTTTGTTGCTCAGGCTGGAGTACAACGGTGTGATCTCAGCTCACTGCAATCTCTGCCTTCTGGGCTCAAGTGATTCTCCTGCCTCAGCCTCCTGAGTAGCTGGGATTACAGGCACCTGCCACCATGCCTGGCTAATTTTTGTATTTTTAGTAGAGACGGGGTTTCACCATGTTGGCCAGGCTGGTCTCGAACTCCTGACTTCAGGTGATCCACCCACCTCGGCCTCCCAAAGTGCTGGGATAACAGGTGTGATCCACTGTGCCCAGCCAACACCATTATTCTTAATGGTGAAAAACTAGAAGCTTTTCTAAGACTGGGAACAAGACAGTTTCCTCTCACCACTCCTTTTCAGCATCATAATGGAAGACCTAGCTAATGGAATAAGAGAAGAAAAGGAAATAAAAACTATACTATAATATTTGTGAAGGAAGAAATATAACTTTTTATTTGCAGATGACATCGTCTGATTAGAAAATTTGAAAGAATCAACAAAAATATCTGGAATTAATAAGTGATTATAGAAAAGATTCAGGATACAAGTTTAATATGCAGAAGTCAATACTTTCCTATATACCAGCAATGAATAAGTAAAATTTAAAATTTAAAACAATACCATTTACATTAGCACTCCAAGAAAATTTAAAACAATACCATTTACATTAGCACTCCAAGAAATGAAATAATTAGGTATAAATCTAGCAAAGTATTTGTGAAATATATGTGAGAAAAACAACAAAACTCTGATGCAAGAAATCAAAGAACTAGCCAGGTATTGTGGTGTGTTCCTGTAGTCCTAGCTACTTGGGAGGCTGAGTTAGGAGAATTGCTTGAGATCAGGAGTTTGAGACCAGCCTGGGCAACACAGTGAGACCCATCTCAAAAAGAAAAAAATAGAAATCAAAGAACTAAAATAAACTAAGATATCTTTAATATCTATTCCATGTTCATGGATAAGAAGACTCAATAAAAAAATATAAAGTTCTTCCAACTTGATTTATAGATTCAACTCAATTCCAATAATAATCTCAGCAAGTTATTTTTTGGATATTAGCAAATTGATTCTGAAGTTTACATGGAGAGGCCAGAATAACCAACAACATGGAAGAACAAAGTTGGAGGACTAACACTACCCAACTTCAAGACTTACTAAAAAACCACAGCAATGAAGACAGTATAGATGAGAAATCATCTTACTGTAGTCACAGTGGCTATTATGAAAAAGACAAAAAAACAAAAACAGATGTTGGTGAGGGTGCAGAGAAAAGGGAACTCTCATACACTGTTGGTGTGAATGTAAATCAGTACAACCTCTATGGAAAACAGTACGGAGATTTCTCAAATAACTAAAAATAGAATGACCATTTGATCCAGGAATCCCACTATTAGGCATCTACCCAAAAGAAAAGGAAGGTATATATCAAAAAGATTCCTGCACTTGTATGTTTATCGTAGCACTATTCACAATAGTAAAGATAACAGAATCAGTCTAAGTATTCAGCAGTGGATGATTGGATAAAGAAAATGTGGTACATATACACAATAGAATACTATTCAGTCATAAAAAAGAATGAAATCATGTCTTTTGCAGCAAAATGGATGGAACTGAAAGTCATTATCTTAAGTGAAACAAGCCAGACACAGAAAGTCAAGTATCAAGGTTTCACTCATAAATGGGTGCTAACAAATGTGTGCACATGGGCTTAGTGCAGTGTTAGATAATGGAGACTCATAAGGGTGTGATGTGGGGTGGATGATGAGAAATTAATGAGTACAATGTATGTTATTTGGGTTATGGATACTCTAAAAGCTGTGACTACTATGCAATTTATACATGTAACAGAATTGCACTTGTACTCCATAAGTTTACACACAAGAAAAGTATGGTATTGGCAAAATTTTCCCATTGTTTCTGTGTATTTTCTAGATTGATATAAACGTATTATGTTTGGAAAGACACAACATTAAAATTAAATTTTCAAGCCATAACAACTATATATTTAAAATACTTATAAAATCACAACTTACTCCCTCCCAGCACCCCCCAAACAGGAACCTTAGTAAACATTACTATCAGAGTTTTATTTAGCTAAAAATATAGTCTTGCAGTATACCTGGGAGTTTAATATGGTAGTTATTTGTAGTATTAGCATAATAAGATTATTCAGACAGAAGCTTTCTTTTTTGCTACAAAAAATTCCATGGATTTTATAAGGAGAATAAAAACCAAAACATCATCTGATGTCATTAAATCACATTTTAGGGCTCGGTGCGGTGGCTCATGCCTGTGATCCCAGCACTTTGGGAGGCCGAGGTGGGCGGATCACGAGGTCAAGAGATTGAGACCGTCCTGGCCAACATGGTGAAACCCCATCTCTACTAAAAATACAAAAATTAGCCGGGCATGGTGGCGCACACGTGTAGTTCCAGCTACTCGGGTGGCTGAGACAGGAGAATCACTTGAACCCAGGAGGCAGAGGTTGCAGTGAGCCGAGGTTGCACCGCTGCACCCCAGCCTGGCAACAGAGTGATACTCTATCTCAAAAAACAAAAGAAAACAACAACAGCAAAAAAACCACACATCTTAGACTTTTAAAGAGTCCTTATGAGACCTGGCTTGAGAACAAGCATGGACTTTAAGCATGAAAATGTCAATTGAGCCAAAGCTGATATTAGACATTTGTAAAGGTTAGCAGCTTGCCTTAAATAATTGTTTCAATTTTTCCAGATGCTGTTGAGATATATTTCATAAGAAGTATCAATGCATATCGAGCAACATTGGGCTCAGAGGATTTTGAAACACTGAGCACCACTGAAGAATTTTGCAAATGGCTTGTCCAAAATGGAGAAAAACAGGTAAATATGATCAATGCATAAACAGAATTGCTAGTTTGTTTATTAGATCACAATAGCATTTTTCATCTTACAATTCAGATACTGGAGATCAGATAGGTCCCAGATAAAACTAGGCAAGAACCACATTGTTTCATTCTTTGCTAGCATTAACCGAATTATTTTTTTTTCAGATTGGTTTCATTCTTTTGATGAAACTGAGCAACTCTGTCCGACAAGATTTAGTTTGTACTTGGAAACTGCAGAGTAGGCTCAAAGTATTTTAGAGGGACTCGATATTGATGGCAAAAGAAAATTGGCAGCCATATGTTTGCTTCTAACGGTTCCCTCTCTGACAAACTTTTTTTTTTTTTTTGAGACAGGGTCTCTGTCACCCAGGCTGTAGTGCAGTGGGGCGATCTCGGCTCACTGCAACCTCCGCCTCTTGGGTTCAAGAGATTTGCCTGCCTCAGCCTCCCAAGTAGCTGGGATTACAGGCATGCGCCACCATGCCCAGCTAATTTTTGTATTTTTAGTAGAGATGGGGTTTCTCCATGTTGACCAGTCTGGTCTTGAACTCCTGACCTCAGGTGATCCACCTGCCTTGGCCTCCCACAGTGCTGGGATTACAGGAGTGAGCCACTGTGCCCCACCAGCATTGCCTTTCTTGTTTGAAATTTTACAGCTATACTTTGTTGTGTAATGTTATGGTTCCCTTTCTGTAAAATGTTATTTTTGGTGATCTAAATAAAGCCTGTCTTGTTTGGAGAAAAAAATAAGAATAAAACTAGGAATAATACACAGGGCTTAGGTGGCTTGGAATATTAGTAAAAAAATATTTTTCTTGTATCTTGATACATGAGATCCTTCAAATCCAGCACACATGATCTCTGGCATTGTAAATTTAATATTTTAAGTCAAAATTGGCTTCCATCTTCGGATCTAGCTACTAGTTCTTTTCTTTTGCAGTAGTGGTTTTCTCTTGATCTGATAGGTTTTTATTAGCCACAATCTTGTTTTCACATTTAAAAAGTTATAGAGAATAATTGTTATTGCTGACCTTTTTACTTAGAAGTCCCATGAGTCTAAGCTATCATTCAAAACCTTTTGACTTGAACTTTATATATTCACTGCAGCATGAACACAGTGAAGACCTTTGTCTGTCATAAGATCCCACATGACTTTGATCTGACCAAGCCAACTTTATACTTCCTCAGAAGAGTGAGAAATATGGATAGATTTGACATGGTCTTATTGGCCATGTAAAAACCAGTTTAAGAGTAGAGTTACAGGCACATAATAAGTAAAAATTTATTTCCAGGAATGAAGAACAGTTTTTTTTATATCATATCTAAACATTTTTTATAAATGATGACGTTTTCTTTATTTCAATTTTAATTGCCATTTGTAAAGACAAAAACCTTATAATGATTTGCAACCTTTTTTCTGTGGCCATGATATTTTCTGTTGGTTTAGAAGACTGTTTTTTTTTTTTTTTTGAGACAGAGTCACTCTGTTGCCCAGGCTGGAATGCAGTGGCATGATCTCAGCTCACTGCAACCTCTGCCTCCCAAGTTCAAGCGATTTTTGTGCCTCAGCCTCCCGGAACAGCTGGGATTACAGGCGCCCACCACTACACCCGGCTAATTTTTGTAGAAACGGGGTTTAATCCTGTTGGTCAGGCTGGTCTCGAACTCCCACCTCAAGTGACCGCCCGCCTCGGCCTCCCAAAGTGCTAAGATTAGAGGCGTGAGCCACAGCACCCGGCCGGTTCAGAAGATTAACATGAGATCCCAATGCCATGGGTTGATCTAATAACTTTCTTTTCAAAGATGTGAAAATACGTTACCAGAATTTAATACCTTATCCTTGTTATATTCTGGTGCAGTGAATACCATGACCTTGGTTGTGACAAACCACCAGTACCACCACCAGTACCAATGCCTGATAATCCTCCACTTCTAACCAAGTACTTTCTAGTATACCAAGCTCCTGGACAAAGCCACCAAAGGACCTGAGTGCCAGGTGGCTCCAAATCTAAACCATAAGCAGGACGGACTATGGACAAGTCAGCTTTACCATTAGGAAGCAAGTGCCATGAGGGCAGGAATTTTTGTTTGTTTTGTTCACTGCAGTGTCCTCACTGCCTGAAACACTAACTGGCACATAGAAGATGCCTGATAACTTTTGAATGAAACTGCTGAATTTTATAACACATTTCCCATATTTAAAAGTAGCTCGTTCTCCTGCCTCCAAGCTTCATGTGAGGCTCTAGGCCTGTCCTAGAGGACCATAACAGAAACTCACAAGACTTGGGAATTGTTCCCATGGACTACACACACACACACACACACACACACACACACACACACACAATATCTTTTGATAAGTAGTTTAATCTGCCATGGATAAAAAATAAAACTCATTCATCTGGAACCACCTTCTTCCAGTAATTCATCAAAATGACAATCACGGCTGGGTATGGAGACTCACACCTGTAATCCCAGCACTTTGCGAGGCCGAGGCAGGAGGATTGCTTGAGCCTAGGGGTTTGAGACCAGCCTGGGCAACAAAGTGAGACCCTCATCTGTAAAAAAATTAAAGAATTAGCCAGGTGCAGTGGTGCATGCCTGTGGTCCCAGCTACATGGGAGACTGAGGCAGGAAGATCACTTGAGCCTGGGAGGTTGAGGCTGCAGTGAGCTGTGATCATGCCACTGCACTCCAGCTTGGGTGACAGAGACCCTGTCTCAAAAAACAAACCAGAAACAAACAAACAAACAAAACAGAGAAAAGAAGAGAGGCACCCCTTACATGTTCTCTAGGGCTTTTAGAAAACATGAAGATGTTCCTCTGGTCACATACATGCAAATCTATAAGAAAGGTGATACTGTGGAAATCAAGGGAATAGGCATTGTCCAAAAGGGAATACCCCACAAGTGTTACCATGGCAAGACTGAGAGAGCCTACATTGTTATCCAGCAAGCTGTTGGTGTTGTCAACCCAAGATTTTTGACAAGATTCTTGCCAACAGAATAAATATGTGTTTGGTGCATATTCAGCACTCTAAGAGCTGGGATGGCCTCATGAAACTTCTGAAAGAAAATGGTTAGAAAAAAAAGGAAGTCAAAGAGATAGTTCCCTGGGTTCAACTGAAATGCCAACCTACTTCATCCAGGGAAGCACACTTTGTGAGAACTAATGGGAAAGAGCCTGAGCTGCTGGAACCTGTTCCCTGAATAGCTAGATTCACTCAAAGGAAAAGAGAGAAGACTAAAATAAATAAAATCAGAAATGAAAGAAGAGACATTAAGCTGATGCCACAACAATTAAAAGGAATATAAGAGACTACTATGAATAATTATATGTCAACAAATTGGATAACCTAAAAGAAAAGGATAAAATTCTAGAAACATATTACCTACCAAGACTGAATCATGAAGAAATAGAAAATCTAAGTAGACATTTAATCAGTAATCAAAAACCTTCTTACAAATAAAAGCCCAGGACCAGATGGCTTCATTGGTGAATTCTACCAAACATTTAAAGAAGAATTAATATTGCTAATTCTTTTCAAACTCTTCCATTTTCTGGAAGAGGAGGACACACTTTCAAACTCTTTTTATGAGGCCAGCATTACTCTGACATCAAAGCCATAAAAAGACACTACAAGAACACTACAGGTCAATATCCCTGAATGCATATAGATGCAAAAATTCTCAACAAAACACTAGCAAACTAAATTTAACAGCACATTAAAAGAGTCATGCACCATCACCAAGTGGGATTTATCCCTGGGATGTAAGAATGGTTTGGCATACAAAAATCAATCAATGAGATACACCACCTTAACAGAATGAAGGATAAAAGTCAGATGATACTCTGAGATGCAGAAAAAGCATTGGACAAAATTCAATACCTTTTCATGATTAAAAAGAAAAACTGCCAACAAAGAAGGAATAGAAGGAAATTACCTCAACATAATAAAGGCCATACATATATGCAAAGCCTACAGCTAATACCATACTTAATGGTGAAAAACTGAAAGCTTTTCCTTTAAGATCAGGAACAAAAGAAGGATGCCCACTTTTGCCACCTCTATTCAACATAGTACTGGAAGTACTAGCCAGAGCAGTTAGGCAGGAAAGATAAATAAAAAACATCCAAATATGAACAGAAGTAGAATTATTTCTGTTTGCAGAATGACATGATGTTATGTAGAAAACCCTAATGATCACATACACACACACACACACACACAAACACACACACACAACCTGTTTGAACTAATAAACTCAACTAAATTATAGGAAACAAAATCAGCATACAAAAATCAGTTGTATTTTTATATGCTAACGTTGAACAATTTGAAAAAAAAAGTAAGAAAACAATCCCATTTACAATAGCATCAAAAAGAATAAAATACTTAGGAATAAACCAAGGAGGTGAAAGACTTATACACTGAAAAAAATAAATAGGAAAATAACAAATTATATGCATGCTTTCCTACTCTAAAAAATGCAAAAATATTACAGTAGTAGCCTTGAGATTCCTGATTTATTGGCAGTGTTCTCTGGAAAGCAGCAATTGACATCCCTTTTATGTTTGTTGTTCTGACATGCCACATTAGGGATGATGATTACATGTTCAACCCAATTATGAAGAAATGTCTGTTACATCTGTCAACATAGATAATTCAGGCAGTGAGTGGGTGATGTACAGTTCTTGAGGGAGCCAGCAATAATACCTCTTCACCTTCCCTAAAGAAAGCACATTGGGAAGGCAAATGAGTACAAGCACCTTTGTCCTATGAATAATTTCCAGTGCATACTTAATTTATTTTTGCTGTATAGTAAGTAGTTAACAGTGAGAGCTTTGCTGAAAGACAATTAGCCTAGACCTTTTAAAAATGTCAATGTTATGAAAGACCAAAAGGGCAGGAGAACTGTAACAGATTAAAGAATCATGAAAACTAAATGCAATACATGATGATTAGATGCTAGATTTTAAGGAGGTGTAAAGAACATTACTGGAACAATTGGGAAATTTGAACATGGAGCTTGTATCAGGAAACGCTGTTGTATTGATGTAAGATTTCTTGAATGATAATGTTATTGTAGATATGTAGGAAAATGTTCTTGTTCTAAGAAGACACATGCTTAAGTATTTAGTGGTGGCCATATGCGATGGCTCATGCCTGTCTGTAATTCCAGTAATTTGGGAGGCCAAGGCAGGAGGATCACTTGAGCCCAGGAGTTCATGACCAACCTGGGAAACATAGTGGGACCCCATTTCTACAATAAATAAATAAATAAATAAGCTGAGCAGAGTAGTGCACAACTATAGTCCCAGCTACTTTAGAGGCTGACGTAGAGGATCATTTGAGCCTGGGAGGTCAAGGCTACATGAGCCCTGATCACACCCCTGCACGCCAGCCTGAGCAACAGAGTGAGGCCCTGTCTAAAAAAAAAAGAAAGAAACCATTTAGGAGTAAAGTATCTTGATTACCTACAACTTATTTTCAACAAAAATATGTGTGTGTATGCATGTATATTTATATATAGAGAGAGACATTACTTTTTAAGAAGAGAAAAATAAAGCAAACGTGGCAAAATTGTAGCAATGTGTGAATCTAGGCGAAAATTGTATGGGTATTTATTTTACTATTCTTTTAGCTTTTCTGAAGGTTTGAAAAAAATTAAAATAAAAAATAGGTGAACAAAAAGAGTGAGGGCTGTGGAATTCAGACTGCCTGGTGTTGGAATTCTGACACTGCTAATCATAGGCTCTATGATCTGGGGCAAGATCCTTAGCTGTTATTAGTTTCCATTCCTTCATCTGTAAAATGAGTATAATAACAGTTCCTCTCTTGTAGGGCAGCCATGAAGATTAAATAGTATTATATGAATTAACTATTATTAATTACAAGCTTGGAACTTTAATTCTTAATACAAATTACTTAGGTGACACATCACAACGGACTGATCCTGGTGGGTTATGTCATTGTTGGGTACAATGCCTTCTCCATAGAGCTCAGGGAACAGAACCAGCATGCTCCTTCGGAATTGCCAGGCTGATTTAAAAAAAAAAAAAAAAAAAACGTTTTATCCCTCAGGAGGCTTACAGACTGCTAAAGGCTTCATTAAAGTCCCAGGTATTCAGCTACAGTGACTATAGCAAAAATGTGGCTGAAACTTTTCATAATACGGGCAGGATCTGCTTTGCCAAAGGAGAGCCCAGAAAGGCAATTCAGCTGCTGAGGAAGGCGACTTTTGGCTGGTTTCGTTACATTTTCCCCTGGGCTTGTAAGCAGGATGTGAGGAGGGATGTATGTACATATGTATGCATGTATATATGTATTTTCCCTTCCCTTCCATTTCATTCCATCTCTCCTTTTCTCTTTTTAAGTGATGTGTTATCTTTTGAAAATTGTCTGCTTTGTTAGATATGCTGAGGGAGAATATGATACAAAAACTTTAGTTGAGTCCCTATCTGGACAAGGGTCTTAAAAGAGTAACACCCTAATCTTGAAATCCAAGTATGATAGTGGCAGCATCTCTTGAAAGCACTTCAAGGTTGAGTGGAATTAGTAATACCTTGTTTAACCATCCATACCCAAGTACTCATTTCCCTTCCAGAGAGCTCATTCCCTTGCAGTGGGGTGTGGCAAGAGGTGTTCAACCAGTCAGTGTACTGACAGAATGAATCTAAAGGCTTAGTAAAATAGGTGGGGATGTCTCTACATAAAACCTAAGTTTATTCAAAGTCAGAGGAAAAGTTGGTAAAGATCAAGTAATACTCAAATGAGCAGAGGGTGGAGTCAGAAGCAGTCTACATCAGGTTCGCAGGGAGTTTCATCTGATTTCAGGGTAACCTAATGTGATCAGAAAATAGTAAATAACAGAAGAAAGAGGAACTCATTTTGAAGATTCAGAGAAAAAGCCCCCTGAATGTAAGTTATAGGAGCCAGAATAGCTTTTCCAGGGAAGCATGAACACGCGGATGACATCTGGGTAATGGGGGCAGAAGCCTGAAAGGAGAGAAAACTTTGAAATGAAAAGATGACAATCTGAGGATAAGAAATGAGATGAAATGGAAAATGATGAGTGAAATGAGCAGGGGTTCCAGGGAAACAAGTCTAATAAAATTCAAATCCACACTGAAAATAATGAAGACTCTTAACATGGAGTGATACTGGAGTATTGTTTCTCAAATCTAGAATTGCAACACAGTAGGAAACAAAACAAAACAAGCAAAAAACAAATTCCTGAGTCTCACCCCAGACCATCTGAATTAGAAGTTTTAAGAATTGTGTACAGAATCTGTTTTTTTAATAGTTCGTGAGGCAGTTTTAATATCCTGCCAATTTTAAGAATCAAGATTGATAAACTTAAAAAGCTCTCTTAGAACGCAGAGTGAAAGAAGAGAGGGGTCTCATGAGAAAGTAGTTGGTATGCAGGACAAAGTAGAGATTCAGCCAAATAATTGTATGTATTTCTGAAGAAATTATGATTGGAATAGAAGCTGTAATCAGTGATATCATTGAAGACAAATGTTCTGAAATAAAAAAAGACCATAGCATATACATTGTAAGGATTTACCATGTTTCACACAAAGTCAGTGTAAGGAGAGGCTCATTTAGATTTTTACCTGGCAATAAATTTTTGTTGGCATGTGCAGTAGATGGAATGCTTGTGTCCCTTCAAAATTCATATGTTGAAACCTAATCTTCGATGTGGTGGTGTTTGGAGATGGGACCTTTAGAAGGTGACTAGGACTCAAGGTGGAGCCTTCATGAATGGGATTAGTGCCCTTTTAAAAGAGACCTCAAAGAGCCTCCTTGCCCCTTCCACCATGTGAGTTTACAGAAAGAAGATGGCTGTCAATGAATCAGGAAGTGGGCCCTCACCTGACACGAAATGGACTAAGACAGCATGGCTACATCCTCCATTTGTAATAGGGATTCAACTTGCAGATTTAGGATGCCATAAGCCTAGGTAGGGGCTACATCTTTGTTATCAGCTTAGGAAACAAATGAAATGTAGTGCAGGTGTTTGAAATGTAAACTTGTGACAAGATCTCAGTTCCGCTGGTCCTTTCCTGAGTTTGGTTTGCAGTTAAGGTGCTTGCTATCTGATTCTCTTTAACCTGTTGTTTCTCACCTCACCTAGTGTCTGATGATTCAAATCTTTGTATATGGAGGTGAACACAGTAGAAGTAGGGAGACAAAGAGCCTCCTTACCCTGTGGCAGAGGTGAGTTCTGGCCCTGGCCATCAGCCATGTCATCAATGTGGATATATGCATGGCATGGCCTCTCCCAGTTCAACCAGGTAGGGGTGATTCACTTCTATCAGTCTTGCTAGTAAGGCAAAATCCTACCTGTGTATGAATTTGACCAAATCCTATACTTGGGGAAATTAGTTGATTTCTTACAGTCTCATAGAACCCAGTATTAATAGGGTCTGCTGCAGTAATATTTAGTATTTATAATATCCCTTTCAATGCTGAGCATTATAGAAAAGCCCCGCAAGACAAGGTTGTTGTTGATCACAGTGTGATAGTTATGATATGGATTCAGAGAAAGTAAATGAGTACCTTAAAATAATTTTTCTTGCTGAACATACAAAGTCTAGGTCCCTAAACATAAGGCAAGTTTTTTTAGGATACAGTTGTCTCCAAAGTTAATAATGACAGAACCTCTTCAGATTCTTTTTTTAAATGTTTAGAATTTAAGTCAAAGAGAGTTTTGTATAGACTTGTCTCAGTCTTTAACCTTGACGTTATCAATGACGCTTATCATTGACATTTGTTTGTCTCAGAATAGTATTGACCTCGAACTGTTCTCTTCTAAGAGGGAAGAGAACAAAAACTTGTTGAATTTATACCAAATTCATAAAACTGAGCTAGGTCCTATTCATAAAGTATTTAATGTAATCCTCACAAATACCCGGTGTGATAGCTCTCATTTAACAGAAGGGAGCTTGATGTTTTATAATGGAATTTGCCTAAATTCACTCAGTCTTGGAGATTTGGACTCAAATAAGTGTGACTCTAAAGGCCATGTGTTTTTCCCTGAGAGCCCTCTAACAGAGGTGCATTGCTGCTGAGAGTTAGGACCCTGAATGTGTTCACCAGCGGTGGCTGATAATTGGTCCCCTTCTCAACAGGTTCACTATGCTAGACAGGTGGGGAAGATCATGCCATGGAGAATACATTGAGCCCTCCTATCCACACCCCCTTCAGTCAGAGCCACACCTGAGGTGGGCCCCACAGGAGACTATCTCCTGTTTTATCATTACCCAGAGGAGGATGTTCTCCAGCCTCTGTCAATAATTCCTGTGTTACAAGGATACAGAGGATCAGCCACAGGACAAAATGGGGAACTTTGCTCCCTGCCTGTTGGTGTATATGAAAGCATGTTTTCTTAATCAGTAACTGTAAAAATATTAATAACTATAATGTAGAAGTTTTTCCATTTCCTTGGCACTGTATTATACATTTAGATATACTTTTTCTGATTTATAAACCACATTATTAGGTGGGGTTTTTTTTTGTTTTTGTTTTTGTTTTTTTGAGACAGAGTCTTGCTCTGTCGCCAGGCTGTAGTGCAGTGGCGCGATCTTGGCTCACTGCAACCTCCACCTCCCGAGTTCAAGTGATTCTCCTGCCTCAGCCTCCCGAGTAGCTGGGACTACATGCGTATGCCACCACGCCCAGCTAATTTTTGTATTTTTAGTAGAGACGGGGTTTCCCCATGTTGGCCAGGATGGTCTTGATCTCTTGGCCTCGTGATCCACCCGCCTCAGCCTCCCTAGGTGAGTGTTTTTATCTTCCATGTTCAGGTGATGAAACTGAAGCTCAGAAAGTTTGGGTATCTTGGCTGGGCATGATGGCTCACACCTGTAATCCCAGCACTTTGGGAGGCTGAGGCTGGTGGATCACTTGAGCTCAGGAGTTCAAGACCAGCCTGGGCAACATGGTGAAGCGCCATCGCTACAAAAAATATAAAAATTAGCCAGGTGTGGTGGCATGTGCCTGTGGTCCCAGCTACTTGGGAGGCTGAGGTGGAAGGATAACTTGAGGCCAGGTCAAGGCTGCAGTGAGCCGCGATTGCACCACTGCACTCCAGCCTAGGTAACAGACTGAGACCCTGTCTCAAAAAAAAAAAAAAAAAAAAAAAAGGTTGGGTATTTTGTTCATAAGATAGCTGGTAAATGTAAGATTTGAATCCGGGTTGATCAGATTTCAAAAATGCCATTTCACTAATGTAATACAGATTCTGACTTTGATGAATTTGAGTATACGTATGAGGATACCTGTTCAGCAGGCAAGGCTCCAGAACCCATTTTACATGTGGGAAAACTGAAGTTTTATGATTTACTGAAGTTAACTCACCCAGGAAGAGACAAAGGTAGAATTTTAATCTGGGTCTCTCTGACTCCAGGATCTGTACTCCAGGAAGTGTAGCTTACAATCTGAAGACAGACTGCCTGGAGTTTTTTTTAAAAGATGAGGTCTTTCTGTGTTGCCCGGGCTGGTCCAAACTTCTGTGGCCGGTCTTCTTGCTTCTGCCTCCCAAGTAGCTGGGATTATAGGCATCTGCCACTGCACCCAGGATTGCCTGGATTTAAAACTCAGGCTCCATCACTCAGCTCTCTGACCTAGGTGAAGTGACTTAACTCCCTCAGCCTCTGTTTATTCATCAGTAAAATATTAGTACTTTCCTCAAAAAGTACGTTTTCTGAAAGTTAATGAGATGATAAATAATACAAGACTTAGATCAGGGCCTGGAAGGTCTTAGCAGGTCTTAAATGCCCAATGAATGTTGAGATCTTAATAACAAAATAGTAATAATAACAATTCTCTATCTGAAGTACAAGAGATAATATGTCAGAATGTTAAAATAAGAGGCTTCTTTGTATCACCGTATTATTGTTTTATATTAAGAGTAATAGGTACAGAGTATACATTACTGGAGTCTGACCTGTGATCTTAACCTGCCTTTTCCACTCACAAAGTATGTGACCTTGGGCAAATGACTTAACCTCCTTGAACCTTGTTTTCCATTGCTAACATCCAGATCATAGTAAACCACAGAGAGTTGTTGTGAGTTTTAAATAAAATCATGTCTATAACATGCATAGTACAGTGCCTGGCAGAGTATGCGCTCAATAAGTGTTCGTAAAACACCCTTCCTTCCCCTTCTTCACAGAAGATTGCCTTTTGCTTTCAGGGCAACAGTTCAGAATATTTGAAATCAGAGATGATTGTTAGCCACTATTACCATAGGTTAGTTTTGAGATTTTGAATCTTTGAACATATCTAAAGTATATTTTGTGCTCTGAAGGTAATAATAATGAAACTAAAAGAACAAAATGTATAATTTCAGAGAAAAAATGCATGATGTTTCCTCAAAACTGAACAGAAGTTCTACTCAGCTTGTATTTAAAAATAGACACTTCAGAATATCTGGAATGAATCTAATTCTTCGGTAGCCTGAGGTTGCTTTGCCTTCCAGTATTTACTGTGTCTTTTAGGTGATCTGAAAAGATTCATAGAAGGAGGAAAAATTAGGAGATCTAATTCAGACCTTAGGTGGTATGAGTTTCTTTAGGTACTTGGAAATTAATTTTTCTTTCTGTAAATTACAACGAAACCAAACCTACCAAGAAAGTCCATATAAGGGGAAAAGAAGAGTCTTTTAAGGACTTTGCTGTGGCAGAAGGTTTTTCTTTCCCTGAAACAAGCCCATATCTCATTCCTCAAGAACTGCTGAGCAAAACCATGGGGGTAACTGCCAAAGCCAGATGTCAAAACCTGGTACAACGATTGCTGTCTCTTTGCAAACTTCAGCATCTTGCTGGAGTAATCAATCCCAGATGTCCTGGAACTCTGCTAGTTTTCCGATGTACTCTCCTGCTTCTTACCTCACCTCTTCCGGAAACTCGTTGACTACACTCACTGGACTTTCATTGCTAGGAGCCCGAATTCTTGGCTTTTGAAGCCTCTGCAAAAAAGCTAAAGTAGAAATGGCTCCTTGAAATCAGAGTTAATTTCAAGGTTAAATGATAGTTGCAAGGGCCTCAAATAAAATTTTGGTGTACAGAAAGGGCATACAAAAATCTCAGATTTAAACTTTCAGGTTGGTTAGTCTAACTTTTACCTAAATGTAAAATGTACTTCTTTTGTACATTTCTAGCTCATTTAAGCACTAGAAATACTAGTATGTTTAAGATATAGTCCCTTACGTGAAAACAGACATGTATGACCAGATTACAAGTTAGTCTGTAGTAAGTCTTTAGTAGAAATGTAAAGGAAAAGGGCAAGTAATAAATCATGAGGTTAGAAATGTGGGTGGAAACTCTGCGTAGGTTGGGGGATGGGTTGCAGGTTCTTCGAAGAAAAGTAGCCATTAGCAGGTAGACAAGAAGCTAGAGGAGAGTATTCCAAGTTGCATGAACAGAAGCATAGTGGCGTAGATACCCGATATTGCTGAGGAAAAGCAAGTGGCCTCGAGTGGTTGTAGTTTAAGGTACCTAAGGAGGGACGTGCTGGACATGAGTTTGGAAAGACAGACTGGGGTGAGATTATGGAATTTTTATGTACTGCGCTAAGGCATTTGGGATTTATTTAGTAGACAGAAAGCAACCATCAAAGAGTTTTGGGTAGATATGACATGATCAATTATTAGCTTTAAAACATTAACTCTGACAGCAATGAGAAGGATAGATGGTACCTAGGGAGAAGTGGGGAGAGCAGTTAGGAGGTAGATCTGATAGTCCAAGGGAGAGATGTTTAGACCCTTAATTATCTAAAGCCGTAGTAGGAAGAACGTGTAGAGGACAGATCGAGAAGCTATATGGAGTCTGTATTGACAGACCGTGGGACCAGTCAGATGTGAGGTTTAATAGAGGCAGGAATCAAAGGTAACTTTGAAGTTTCTAGCTTGGGCAACTGGGTGAATGGCAATGCTATTAAATAGTATTGGCAAGAGGAATAATCTTGGAGGATTTCTAGGGCGCCTGAGGGAAGATGGTTTCCACTTTGGATATGTTTGCAATACCCACAATACATTCACCTGGCAATGGCTGTTAAGTTGTTGGCTGTATGGGCCAGGAGCTCAAAGAAATGATTCTGAAGCTAATGGAATGGATAAAATAACCCATGGAATACATACATGTGAAACAAGAAGGCTTAGGAAAGAACTTTGGAGCATGCTTACACTTATTTCAGAGAGAATATAATATGGTGATTTGGTAGCAGAACAGCTGGGGCTCAAATTTGAGCTTTCCCACTTATAGTGAGACTTCCTAAGGCTTACTTTCTTCATCTGTGAAAATGCACAGAAATAGAGCACTTCATTTTAAGTGCTTTACTTAGTGTATGGCACATAGTAAGCTTCTGTGAAATGTTAATTATTGTAATTATCATTATTGTATTATTTAGGGATCACGCAGAAAGAGGAACTGAAAAGGAGTCTCTGAAAAAGTCCTTGAGAATTAGGAGAGTCAGGAAAAAATAGGAAATCAGAGGACAAAGTTTCAATGAAAGAGAGGCCAGTGTCATTGTTACGAAAGACACGAGGAGACACTTCAAAGAGGAAGAAATGCATATGACCAATAAACACACACACACAGATTTCCAATCTCAGGCAGGATTCAAAACATAAAATGCCATTTTTAACCTATCGTTTTTGTGGTAATGAAAAATACAGGCAAGAAAACCCAGCTCTGTCAAAAGTATGGGGAGCTCAGCCTTCTCAATACTCTATTTATATGGGACTGTATCTTGATTGCACCTTTTTGGTGGATATGTTGGGAAAAGTTAATAGAATGTTTAAATGCCTGTAACCTTTGACTCTGAAAGACCACTTCTAAGAATTTGTCTTTTGAAATCCTTACACAAAATATGTATTTATAAATATAAGTATATATACAAATATACACCTATACATACATAAATATATCTTTTAGATTTGTTTATAATAGCAAACAATGGGAAAAAAATGTCTACCAGTAGAAATACTAGTACATTTTTATTGCCATATAATATGGTCATTCAAAGGCATGATGTAGAGCTTTAAGTGTCATGGAAGAATATTCCCATATATACTGTTAGGGCTAAAAATATGAAAAGTACACATTAGTGAGCAATATATATAGCATAACTCATAAGTATATGTAAATATGTAGTTAGTGCAAAGGACAGTAATTATCTCTAGGACAGGATTATGGAGGACTTTCAAATTCTATGTTATGTATTTCTGTGTCATTTTACTTTTTACAATAAATATTGTGATGATAAAAAAGATACATTTTAAGAGTATGGTATATGTGTCAAATATTAAGAGAGTGCCATGTAGTGGTAAGGAATGGACTAGTGCCAGATGGCCTGGGTTATAATCCCAGCTCTGTCTTTAGCTGTGAGATCTTGGACAAATCGCTTTACTTCTCAGTTTCCTCATCCATAAAATGGGGATGATAATAATATAATATCTACTTCATAGGGTTGTTATGAATAAATAAGTTAATGTAAGTAAAACTGCAAAGAAAGGTGCCTGGCACATAGTATGTGCTAATTAGAGATGATGAGAGTGTTAATGATGATGATGATGATGATGATGATGATGATGTTAATGGTGATGATGAAGATGACAATGATTGCAGATGGAAAGGGAAGGATGACTAATCAGAAGCCATTATATTGGCAAATAGAAAATAATCACTGACATCACTGATATTAGCATGAGCTGTATTTGTAGAGAAGACCTTTGAGATTACTGTTTGTCCAGTACCTGATTAAATACCTCCCATAATCAGGAATTTACTCATTATCTCTCAAAATGGCCCCTTCCTTCCATTACTGGACAGTTCTGATTGTTAGAAGAATGTAGTAGTTAAGGTCATAGACTACATTTAAAGTTAGACATATCTGTGTTTGAATCCAGGCTCTACCACTTTCTATGTGCCATTAGGCAAGTTATCTTAAGCCCCACTTTTCTCTAATGAGGATTAGAATAGTATCTATAATGTAGAAACATAATGAAGAGTAAATGAGATTATTTACATAAAGCACTTAGCACAGTATCTGGTATACTGTTAAGTGCTCAATAAATATCAGCCATTTTAACAACTCTACCTAGTCATCAAACTTACTGGATGTATGAAAGCATGAAGTTATCAACTTTATCTTTCTATCTGTCAGATGTCTCTGGAACAGCTGCATACCGAAAAGTTATTTTGATATACCTTTTGATGGGTATAAAGCTGTAGAAACCAACAGAAGGAGCAGGGAGAACCATCCTTTTCTCCTCATAAGAGGGGAGTAAGGAAGGTGCCTCAATGCCTATTAAACTATTAGTGATATTCAGTCCTCTTGGTCATATGAACAAAATGGAACAGCCTCTTTTGGGCTGAGGGGCTGGAGAAGGAAAGTAGGGTGGAGATGGGGATTTGGGAGGTGATTATTTCCAGAGAGAAGTGAGCAAGGAAAAAGAAAGGAGGTGATATGCTGCAGTACATTTTGTATCAGCCAGACCAGTCTTGGGCAAGACCTTAGTGATGAAATGTATGTTCCATAAGCTGGGTTGTTTCCAGGCTGCTGCATTCATCTTCTTTTCCTATTATTTATTAGTAAACATTCCAACACTCCATCTACAAAATTAAGGAGGAAATATCTGGCCAAACCTTGGTATGAGTGAGTGAGGAGCACAATCTGCTCCACCAGAGCCAGGTAGCCAAACAAGGGGCAGCAGCTTTTCCAAATCAGGATTCTAGGACTAGCTGGAGGCATTGGGGCAGGTAGAGAAGTGAAAACTCAGAAGCCTTTAGTTCCCTGCTTGAGGGTCTCTTTTATGGGGAACAAGGGCTGCTAAGCCACAGTGAGCCAGCTCAGTGTACCTTATCTTTAGCAGAGCAGTGGGGAGCTCTGCAATCCCCAGCTACTCTGCCACGCCCACAGAAATGGTCTGATAGGAGAGGATAGCATGGAATAGGGCAGGCAGAGCTTGAGGTTCCAGAGCAAAAGGCTGGGTTTGGTGGAGCTTGATTATTAGTGTTGTCTGCCCTGGGGTACGGGTGGGGGAACAGCTGGACTTCTACCACATACTTGCTGTTCAGGTATAGAGAAAGAGCACTGTACTCTGAGTCAAGGCACCTTGTGTGTGAATCCCAAAAACCATGCGACCTTAAGTCACTTAAACATTGAGTCTCAGTTTCTTCATCTTCATTCATTCCTTTAACAAACATTTTTTGAGCACCTACTAAGTGCCAGGTGCAGTTAGAGCTGCAGGTGGTAATAAAGATAAATAAAACATGGTCATTAATCTTAAGGGGACAACATTCTAGTGTAAGAGAAAACATGAAGAAATAATAACATGAAATTTAAGTTCTGGAATAGCATTCTCAGTGCAATGAAAGGAGAGACAATCTATGAGAATTGGAAAACACTTCATAGAGAGGGTGACATTTGAGCCATTTCTTAAAGGACAAGTAGCAGTTCATCCAGATGGAGAAGAGAAGCCATTCCTGGAAGAAGGAACTCTACATACAAAGGCACAGAAGCATGACAGAGGGCAGTGTATGGAGGAATGGTAAGTACTTTACAGCTGTTGTACAGGGCAGCATGTCCTGAAAGGGGCTGCAAGAAATGCTGATTCCAAGGGATGTGTGCCAGTTCTCTGGGGGAGGAAGAAAGGCTCTGTAGCAGAAAGACAAAAATCATTTAAGGAAAAAAAAAAACAAAAAAAACAGGTTTAAACAAAGTGACACAGGTTACTTTTCTGAAGGGCTTCTCAGGACTTTTAATATACAAAACCTTCGGCTGGGTGCTGTAGCTCATGCTGTAATCCTAGCACTTTCAGAGGCTGAGGCAGGTGGATTGTCTGAGCTCAGGAGTTCGAGACCAGCCTGGGAAACACAGTGAAACCCAGTCTCTACTAAAATACAAAAAATTAGCCGGGCGTGGTAGCATGCGCCTGTAGTCCCAGTTACTCGGGAGGCTGAGGCAGGAGAATTGCTTGACCTGGGAGGTGGAGGTTGCAGTGAGCCGAGATTGTGCCACTGCACTACAGCCTGGGCAACAGAGCAAGACTGTCTCCTAAAGAAAAATAAAAAAAAAATTAAACATTAAAAAAAATACATATATATACAAAACCTTCCTTATTGGCATGTTGGGAACAAATCAGGTTTTTAACATTTTTATTTTTATATTTTAAATTTGTAGTGACGAGGTCTCACTATGTTGCCCAGGCTGGCCTCCAACTCCTTGGCTCAAGTGATCCTCCCGCCTCAGCCTCTCAAAGTCCTGGGATTACAGGCATGAACACACCATACCTGGCTGCAAATCAGTTTTTTAGAAACCATTGTATTTTACATACCTAAAGTCTTTTTGAAATGATCAGTGATTTAAATTTTGGCAAATAAAACCTTGCCCTGTCTTTAGAATCAAAGTAGAGAAACTAAGGTTTGGTTTTGTTGAAAGCAAAGGGTGTAGTGTATACTTGCCCTGAGGGTATACATGAATACTTTTGCAGTTTGGTAAGGAATTTTGGCCCCACTTTAGGACATAAAGTCTTTATGAACTATGATTATCTCATCAACTATTTAATCTGATCATAGAAATATGACTTCAGTGCATCCCTATGAATTAATCTTTTTGATTCATGGTGGTTAAGAGCTGTAGTTCTGGAGACAGGCAAGCCTGAGTTCAAACCCCAGGACTACCACTTTCTAGCTATGGGCAATCCTGGTTTCTTCATCTATAAAATGGGGATGAAGTATAGTACCTATCTCAGTGTTGTTGTGAGAATAAATGAGATAATGCATTATATGTAAAGTGCTTAGCAGAGTGCCTGGCCCCATAGTAATCATGTACTAAGTAACAGCTATTTTTAGTTTTACTGAAAGCTGGTCTTTGACTTTATTACCTTCTACTGGCACCACTGTTGCACGAAGCAAACGGAGATAGGGGCTGAATATTTTGAAAAGCTACTACCAAGCTGATGTGGAAAATATTTTGCTGGTTAACATCTCGAAAAAGATATAGACTTATCAGGTTCTGGAAACACTGTTAGTCTCATAGACAAGCAGTCTGACACAGTCACCTAAACTCAAAGATAATATATACACTATGGAAATCAGTTGTCCTTTCAGGTTTCAGACAAGGGGAATCCTGCCACCTTGTGGTGCGACAGAAGTAGGCCCGAGGCTGATTCCCACTTACTATCCCTAGCAGAGATGCAGCCCTCTTACAGTTCTTTGCCCACCTCTGAATTTATGAGACCCCTGGGCAACTAACTTAATCTGTGCCTATTTCTTCAGCTAATTTGGAATCTCATTATCTCCTGGTTTACTGCAAAGGAAGTTAAAGTGCCAGATAGCTTTCTATATTTTATACAGTCCAGTAATAGAGAATGAGCCTGTCTTTAGTGCAACTTGCATAGAAACCCCAAGTTCATAAAATTTTGTATTTCATATTCTACAGAACAAATATTCTTTTCAAGTAAAAAAAGGGCTATGAAAACCACTTTTTTCAGGCTTGAGGTAGAAATAGGAGGTGACTAAAGAACACTTAATAGTAACTGTGTTTCTGGAGCAGTCTTTTGGATCATAATACATCAAATTCCTGCTCAGCTCCTTCAGTAATGGGAAATCAGAGGACAGACATCTCAACGGCTAGAAACAAGCAAGAGAGATCTTTCACAGGGCCTCGGGCTGTAAGTCTCCGAGCTCGTGAGAAGAAACCACTTGAAAATCATCAACTATATAAAAGGCCCTAAATTAGATAAGTTTTCCACCTGGGATTTAAACAATCCAGGTGGCTCAAATATCCCTGGTTTGCCATCTGAATCAAGGGAAGAGCTCCCTGCTGTTTAGGAAGAAAACCCGAGACTCTAGTAAGATTTTAGAGGCCTATTAGAAGAGCCAGCATTTTGAGAGTATAGTCATGTGGTGGAATAATGGTGACACAGTCGCCTCAGGCTAAGTTCAGCCTTTGGCTCAGGTAAGGCAATGAGATCTGCTGCTGGGGGAGGCAGGGCCAGTTATGGAGGAAGAGAAGGCAAGAACCAAGAAAAATGCTCAAATGGTTTTCTCCTTTCCTCTAGGTCTTCTGTTATCAAATTGAAAACCTCTATACAGGATAGCCAACAATAAAGACAACCTTGTTGATGATAAAAATTCTCGACCACAAAATGTTTCTCAACACTGATAGCAGTGGCAGATCTAAAACAACGGTTTTTTATTAAGGACTCTGGGAAAAAAAGGTCCACTTAGCAGCAGCATTCCAGGTGAAATACCCAAGAGCCATTAGAAACTAGGATCCTGGCTGGGCGCGGTGGCTCATGCCTATAATCCCAGCACTTTGGGAGGCCGAGGCAGGCCAATCATGAAGTCAGGAGATTGAGACCATCCTGGTCAACACGGTGAAACCCCATCTCTACTAAAAATACAAAAAAAATTAGCTGGGCGTGGTGACACATGCCTGTAAACCTAGCTACTCGGGAGGCTGAGGCAGAAGAATCACTTGAACCGGGGTCGGAGGTTGCAGTGAACTGGGATCATGCCACTGCACTCCAGCCTGGCGACAGATAGAGACTGCGTCTCAAAAAAAACAAACAAAAAACAAACAAACAAACCCAACTAGGATCCTGATCTATGACTTGGGGGAAAGAAATCTTTTAGTCACATGCTTTAAGTTAGTTTTTTGTGTCACTGGAACTCCATTACCTTCCATTTCCCTTTTTCTAACTCTATTCCTTTCAGTTCTGACTTTTTAAAAAATTCTGCGATACCTAAGGAGTTTATTGGTGAACACTTTCATGTACTACAGTTGACCACTGAACAATGCAGGGGCTAGGGCTGCCAATGCCTTGTGCAGTCAAAAATCTTTGTATAACTTTGGATTCCCCCAAAACTTAACTGCTAATAGCCTACTGTTAACTGGGAGCCTTACTGATAAGCTTAACAGTTGATTAACACATATTTTGTATGTTATATGTATAGTATATAATATATTCTTACAATAAGTAAACTAGAGAAAGGCAAAGGTTATTAAGAAAATGATAAGGGGCCAAGTGTGGTGGCTCATTGCCTGTAATCCTAGCACTCTGGGAGGCAGAGGAAGGCAGACTGCTTGAGCCCAGGAGGTCGAGGCTGCAGTGAGCTGAGATTGTGCCACTGCACTCCAGCCTGGATGAGAAAGTGAGACCCTGTTCAAAAAAAAAAAAGAAAGAAAATAAGGAAATACATTTACATTACTGTATTTATTGATTCCGTTAAGTTTACATTGTCTGTTTACAGAAAGAATCCTGGGACTGAAATGAGGGGCATCCACAGCCACAGACCTCAATCTTTGATACATATCAAGCAATTCAGCTTTTTCTTGTAATGTCATGACTTCTACTTCTTGAGAACACTTCCAGCATCACTAGTGGCACTTCATATGGGTCCCATGGTATTATATGAGGTTTATGGTGCACTAAACATGATGAAAAATACTTAAGAATCTCGAGAGAGTACTTTTTTCTGCCACATGAAATTTACTGGAGAGTTGAACTGCTCATGCAGAGATGATTAGCATCACATAGCGTTTTGAGTGGATATTCACAACATCTGCGCGCACTGCCGCAGCAGTAGGAGGCAGCTACAAAATGATTGCAGTACAGTACGTACTCCAGTTGGTTTTATGTGGCTATGATTTAACCTTGCATCTTTACATTTGTTTACATTTCTCTGGACTGTGAATGGCACCATGTACTGTATATGTGTGTAAATTTTGAGAAAATTTAGCTTTTTATAATAGATTTGTGCATATTTTGTAGTAGCAAATGATAAAATAGACTAGTATATACATATATTTTATGCATTCATACCTTTTAAAATGTTTAAAAATATTTCTAGGCAACGCAGTTTGTGTTTTTTCAAATTGTCAAAAAACTCCAAAAAAAAAAACTTCCAATGTATTTATTGAAAAAAATCTGTGTATAAGTGGATTTACACAGTTCAAACCCATGTTGTTCAAGGGTCAACTGTATTTGGAGGTGTTTTTAGTCATAGCCTGTTTGAGGTCACCAAAACTGCCTTGGGAGGAATAGTTTGAACCTTCTGAAACACTTACCCTGATCTGATTTACTGAACTCGTCATAACATGTTCAAAGTCAGAAAGGACCATTTTATTTTATAAAGAAACTGGGGACGGCCGGGCATGGTGGCTCAAGCCTGTAATCCCAGCACTTTGGGAGGCCGAGGCAGGCGGATCATCTGAGGTCAGGAGTTTGAGACCAGCCTGACCAACATGGAGAAACCCTGTCTCTACTAAAAATACAGAATTAGCTGGGTGTGGTGGCGCATGCCTGTAATCCCAGCTACTCGGGAGGCTGGGGCAGGAGAATTGCTTGAACCTGGGAGGTGGAGGTTGCGGTGAGCTGAGATCATGCAATTGCACTCCAGCTTGGGCAACAAGAGCAAAACTCCATCTCAAAAACAAAAACAAAACAACAACAAAAGAAACTAGGGACAAGAGAGTGATTTGTTCAAGGTCAGCTTGGTAATTATAAAGCAGACTTCCTGGATCACAGATGATTACTCTTTCCATCCCACTCTGCTGCCTCCACCAAACTGGATTAAAAAGGCTTGTTTTAGGAACAGAATACTCACTGTGGTTGTTTATGAAGAAAATCCTTAGACTCTGAGCAAGTGTATATCTAGCGAAAGAATTTGCAATCTTGAATAATATTCCTTACTTTCTTGTGAATTTAGCGACAGAGAAATCTCATTTGGGTTTGCACTATAAATAACTTTAATTTTTCTCTCTTCATCTTTTCCCAGTTGTCTAACTTGATTTAATACAGCTCAAATGGCCGGGCGCGGTGGCTTAAGCCTGTAATCCCAGCACTTTGGGAGGCTGAGGCAGGGGGATCACCTGAGGTCACGAGTTCCAAGACCAGCCTGGCCAACACGGCTCTCTACCAAAAATACAAAAATTAGCTGGGCATGGTGGTGGGTGCCTGTAATCCCAGGTGCTTGGGAGGCTGAGACAGGAGAATCACTTGAACCTGGGAGGTGGAGGTTGCAGTGAGCCAAGATTGTGCCATTGCAGTCCAGACTGGGTGACAAGAGCAAAACTCCCTCTAAAAAATAAATTAATAATAATACAGCTCAAAGACCCTGTGTCTTTGGGGATCCAAGTGTATCACTATCAACATCTATATCAACGCACTCAGTGCTTACAGAACCACATTTTGGTTCTTCATTCAGGAAATTATTTCAGTCATTTGTTCAGCCTGTAAAATCTAAGAATCAACCAGTACCCAAGGTATAGTGAGTTGTGTTCTGCTGTGGCAGAAGCACACATATACTAACTAAGCCAAAGCCTTGTCCACTGACTGGTAGGCCTTCTCCTGGCAGTTGCCGACTAACTCCCAGGATGCTTTAGGGTTGGCACTCAGGATCAAGGTCCCACATTGCAGACCTGGCTGAAAGCAGCTATATATTCCATTGCCCTTCTCTGTGGTGCTTATTAACTGGTCACTTGGCCTATCATTGTTCATTTTAGCCCTTTCTGGAGATGGGGCTGCTGTTCTTCCCCAGAATATTCTGAATTGATTACAGTAGCATCAGAAGAGTTGCTTCCATTTTCACATACGTAGTTGAAAATAGCTCTTCAACAATGACTGACATTAAAAAAAAAAAAATACCAGAAAGAAATGGCCATTCAGACTCCATTTTGGGTGGCACCAAAATTTATAAAATGTTACTATTTTGCAATCCTAAGATCTCCAAACTGACAAACCTATATCAATAAACAGTAGCATAACACTGTGAAATAAAATTTTATGGTGTACCTGTTCCTGCATTTGGATTGTTTTTAATGTTTAAAGTTTTTCTTTATTGTCAGTGTAAGGTTGCCATTGTCTGAGGTTTTGATATTAAAATGTTTTATAAAATGGTGGTGATACTGAATCATATAATTTTAACATCCTTATACCTAGTAAAATAAGTTGGCACCTATGTTGGTCCCCAAAGTTTTTCCCAAAGGCATTTTTAGAGCAGTTTTAGGTTCATAAAAAAAATTAAGGGAAAGCTAGAGATTTCCCATTTACCCCCTACCTGCACACATGCCTAGCTTCTCCCTTATCAACATCTCCCACCAGAGCGGTACATTTGTGACAACTGATGAACCCACACTGACACAGCATTATTACCCAAGTCCATAGTTTACATGAGGGTTCACTCTTGGTGGTATACATTCTGTGGGTTTGGAAAAATTATAATGACATATATCCACCATTATAGTATCATACATATTAGTTTCACTGCCCTAAAAATCCTCTGTGCTCTGCCCAAAAGTTTTAAAATTTTACTATTTTGGTGAAATCCCAAAGTCTTAACAAGCCACATTAGAAATATAAAGTTGCATTCTCACTGCAAAACCACAGAAGCTACTTTCTAAATTCAACCAATCTGGATAACCCAATCCAATCAAACACCTGACATTTCTAACAGATCTGAGCTAACATACAGAGCTCTTACAATTCTTCTGAATTAGCTAACAAGCACTGACATTTTTGAGGTGGATGAGGATTAGCTATTTTCCAACAATCTCTGTACCAAGTTAGAAAAAAAAATAATTCAAGCCCAGATCAAGCTGTCTCACATACAGATTTCAATAAATATTGTTATTTTTATTTTATTTTTTGTTGAGACAGGGTCCCACTCTCCTGCCAGACTGGAGTGCAGTGGCATGACCATAGCTCACTGCAGCCTTGAACTCCTGGGCTCAAGCAATCCTCCCGCCTTAGCCTCTGGAGTAGCTGGGACTACATGCATACTCCACACCTGGCTAATTAAAAAAAAAAAATTTTTTTTAGAGATGGAGTCTTGCTATGTTGGCCAGACTAGTCTCAAAACTCCTGGGCTAAAATGGTCCTCCTGCCTCGGCCTCCCAAAGTGCTGGGACTACAGGTGAGAGCCACCACACCTAGCTCAATAAACATTTTTTAGCAAGCAAACAAAAAAGTTTATGTAAACGGCTGGGTGTGGTGGCTCACACCTGTAATCCCAGCACTTTGGGAGGCTGAGGCAGGAGGATCACAAGGTCAAAAGATCGAGACCATCCTGGCCAACATGGTGAAACCCCATCTCTACTAAAAATACAATTATTAGCTCGATGTGGTGGCATGCACCTGTAGTCCCAACTACTCGGGAGGCTGAGGCAGGAGAACCGCTTGAACCTGGGAGGTGGAGGTTGCAGTGAACTGAGATCGCACCACTGCACTCCAGCCTGGCAACAGAGTGGGACTCCATCTCAAAAAAAAAAAAAAAAGTTTATGTAACCTGTTCTGTATGTTCAATGACGTACTACCTGCTGATTTGGTAAGTTCACCCACCACTGCATTAAAGGTCCACTTAAGGCAGGCTTGACAATATTCCAGAAATAGTACTGTCCTAACGTAGTCAGCCACGGCAACCAAAATCCTTGGACAAAATGGCAGGAAGCAAGACCATTTTGGAATCAAGTGTCAGGCACCATGCCTAAGGGTACAGGCCACAGGGTTTACTAGATTGTTACTTCCTTTTTACTTTAGTATGAGGAAATACTCTGAAATAATTTAGTAAGTTCACATATCCTGAATACCTCTAGTTTTGCCAGTGAGAGCCACTACTAGTATCTATTATAATGATCAACAAGCTATGAATTTCAAAAATATATTTCACACATTTACTCTGCTGATTATCGAAATCTCTGGACGTGACTGAGATACAGATACGAAAAGCACTTGAAACCGCTGCTTTTGGTGTTTCTGTTTAGAACACTAGCTGTCCACTCCTGAGAGGGAAATTCTGTTAAAGCTAATGACTCCTCCTGGGGTGCTTGTAACCTGATTCTAGTATAAAAGCAGCACTGCCTATTCCAAAGAGAATGAAAGCAAATTACAAACATAATTGGGAAAAGAAAAAATACTATACACTCCGATTTCTCAGGACCCAATAGATTTTATTTCAGGTGGGGATAAGGGACAAGCAATGTGAAGACAGGGAAGGAAAGAAGGAAGTCTCTATGTTCTGAAGGACTGCCTACCCCACTGTTGAGAGTGCCACATTCTGCCCTTTTAGCAATTTTAATTAATTTTTACTAGGACTTTGGTAACACCACAGAAACCCTGTGGCTTCCTGTTAAAATGACTGTGTTACATGCCTTATTTTTATTAAAGTGGAATTTAACAAATACTTTTATTATTTTGAAGCATTTCATCAATTCTCGGTGGAAGCACTACATCATCGAATGGGAAATCAACAAATGAAAAATGAAAAAAAAGATTATCCATTCACAGTAAGCACCATTTTACTAGAAAGAGAGATAAACTTCAAAAAGACAGAACTAAAAGTCTTTAAATATAAGACTGTATTCTTCTATATACTACACATCAATTTGTAGTGGCACCAAAGTGTCGCCTGCTCTGCCTGAGGGAGCACTCCCCCTAGTGATTTTCCATAGGAAATAAAGTTAAACTTTTATTAAAGTAAAAATTCCTGGGTCAATTAGAACACAAATAAGGAGGAAATTCTTTATAAAATAAGTACCTTGATGTTAGGGTGACTTAGAAACAATTCATTAGTCTTTGAATTCTAAATAGCTGAAGACATGCAGCTAAAACAATAATTTTTATTTTAATTTTTTTTGTTTTTGAGACGGAGTCTTGCTCTGTCACCCAGGCTGGAGTGCAATGGTGCAATCTCGGCTCACTGCAACCCCCGCCTTCCAGTTTCAAGTGATTCTCTTGCCTCAGCCTCTCAAGTAGCTGGGATTACAGACACCCACCACCACACCCAGCTAATTTTTGTATTTTTAGTAGAGGTAGGGGTTTCACCATGTTGGCCAGGCTGATCTCGAACTTCCTGACCTCAGATGATCCCCCTGCCTCGGCTTCCCAAAATGCTGGGATTACAGGTGTGAGCCACCACTCCCGGCCTAAAATAATAGTTTTAAATGTACAAAAATATCCATCCTTACTGAGCTGATTTATATTTGTTTTAAATTCTTTTTAGATTCAACTTTTAAAAAATACATTAGGCCAGGCATGATAGCTCACGCCTGTAATCCCAGCCCTTTGGGAGGCCGAGGCGGGTGGATTGCTTGAGCTCAGGAGTTCAAGATTAGCCTAGGGAACATAGTAAAACCCCATCTCTACAAAAAATACAAAAATTAGCAGGGCATGGAGGCATGCACCTGTAGTCGTAGCTATTTGGGAAGCTGAGATGGGAGGATTGCTTGAGCCTAGGAGATTGAGGCTGGAGTGAACTGTAATCCTACAACTGTACTCCAGCCTGGGCAACAGAGCAAGATCTTGTCTCCAAAAATAAAAATAAAAAAACTGAGATCAAAATAAATTTAGAGCTAAATCATCAGAATTAAGTAGTGACTAATAAGATGCTAAAAGAAAATCTGAAATTGGAGAGTCTTTCATCTAACAGAGTTACTAAATGCCCATTATATGTTAGGCGCCGTTCTTTGTTCACACTAGTAACAAAAGACAAAAAATAACTATGCTATTTCACATTTAACAGTCCTTAGAATGTTGACTGATTAGATATTTTCCCAAGTATCTTTTAGGTTTGTTCTGTTCTTGGTGGTTATCTAAACAAAAAATACTCTGACAACATTTAGTAAATTCATTTGTTTCCTTCTTGAATACAAACATTTTAGAAAATTCCAACTTCTTTTGTAGTCACTGCTAAATTTTGTATGCTGAGATTGAGACACTTACTAGTTATCAGGTGCTGACCCTGGCCACCTCCCAGAATTGTCCATATGCCTGGGAAGCAGTGCCTGCCATTGTGCTGGAGTAGCCTCCTTGCAGCACACTTTGCTGTAATACTCTCCAAACCAATTTTCTCTAATGCTATGTGACCTATATTAAGGTAGGGCATTCCAATATATCCTCCAATTTTGGTGAATACAATTGAATGGTTCTCAACAATGAATAGTTTGGCACACTTTTATTTGGGGGAGGTGGGGTGGTCACAATGACTAGCATCAGTGGGTAAGGGCCAGAAAGGCTAAATGAATCCTGCAATGGGATGACAGGTTTTTATCCTAAAGAACTGTCTCACTCAAAAGGCCAATAGTGACTGTCCATGGAGGGACACTCAGCTGTTGTCACCTGGTACAGTAACAAAGACAGAAGCTTCACTTTACTCATGTAATTTTTTCTACTAGACAGGAAGATAATTTTTGCATTTTATTAAATATATTTATATGCCACAAAAATTATTTTAGTGACAACTACCAGGAAAGTACAAAATCACTTAATAACTGGTTTTCTACACCTTGATTTGTCAAGAAACTCATAAGCAAATGGAAAGTAGTAAGTACTGATTGCAGTTACTTACAGCAAACAGTTTTGAGAAGAAGAAGAAAACCTGTAACACTGAAAATTGCTTTATATCCCATTCATAGATCTCTTCAAAAGGTCTACTTTAAAAATAAATCACATAAAGAATTGTTCAGACTTGTTTGGTGATGCCTCAACTTCAGAACATTTGCAAGGAAATCACATGTAAAAGCAATCATCTCATACAATTAAATGCTATTAAAGAAAAAAAAAGTTTCCTTTAAAACAGTGGTTCCCAAAATTTAGCAGGCATCAGAATCTCCTGAGGGAAGCTTGTTAAAATACAGAATGCTGGCCTCCTCCCCAGAGTTTGCTACAAGTTTGCAGGCCATTCTGATGTTGGTGCGGGCACAACACTTTGAGAACCACTACTTTAAGATCTAGTCTCTAGAATTCAAACTAATAAGCAATGCCCATATGCCTTTGCTTTTTCTAATAATAAATAAATAAAAGATCATTTCAGGTAGCTGCATCAAACTTTAAGCCTTTAGACTTTTTTTTTTTTTTTTTTTGAGGCAGAGTTTTGCTCTTATTGCCTAGGCTGGAGTGCAATGGCGTCATCTCAGCTCACCACAACCTCCGCCTCCCGGGTTCAAGCAATTCTCCTGCCTCAGCCTCCCGAGTAGCTGGCATTACAGGCATGTGCCACCACGTCCGGCTAATTTTTTGTATTTTTAGTAGAGATGGGGTTTCTCCACGTTGGTCAGGCTGGTCTCGAACTCCTGACCTCAGGTGATCCGCCCACCTCGGCTTCCCAAAGTGCTGGGATTAAAGCCACCACACCCGGCCACCTTTAGACTCTTGAAATGTTACGCTGACTCACAATTATTCCCATGAGTTCAAAAGACAGAACTAAAGGACAGTCCTGAATAATCTATGACTACAGGAAAACATTTATTTACATGCCCTCTACAAAATGGATTTACAAAACATAGTAACTATTAGGGTACATGACCTTGCTCCTATCTTCCCCATTGTGCTTCTTCTCTATAGAAAATCCAATATGAAATGACAAAGAGTACTGTACTCAGAATAAGAACTTCATCTATCATAAATGTACACATAAATATCAGTGAATTGTCATACTCAAGACTCAGATTCAGGAACTTCTTCATCAGGGCAGCAGTAATATTCCACAAAACATATTTGTCCATCTTCATTTCTAATCATATACTGTAATGAAAGGAAGCCTCTGTTATCTGTCCGAATAGATACCTTACAAGATAGGACTAATGCCTTTGTAGAGGGTTTCAGTAAGGAAATCTTGTATCTGTAGAAGAAAAAATAAAACGCTGTTATATCAACACAGTGAACACTGCTCAGAACTCCCAAGTAAAGGATAAAAAGTAGCAAATCTAAGAATAAAATCAAGTACTTATCCAATTTGCTAATATTTTCTGTTTTAAAATTCATTCACTGTTAGAACCCTACATCCCCTAGTAAGTCCAGCACTCTACTATTCATTTTTATAAAATGCTGTGCATTTTAATTAACAGATTGAAAGTGTTTTTATTTAACAGAAATCTGGTATTTAACCTCCTCTTTATCACCAATGACAACCTCTATATTAAGAACTGACCTGTTGACTTGGGTCTGATTACAATGAAATGCTTCCATCAAATCAGAATCTTTGGGATAGTCAAGGTGGGAACTTCCTGCATTTCCAAAAGTAGATAACCTATAGAAAATGATTACCTCATTTATTCATTCATCCAAAAATAAACCACATTAGGATCCAAATAAAGAAAACACTTCCTTAAGAAATTCATACTAGTGGGTGAAACAGACATGTACACAAATGCTTATAACACACGATAACAAGTACCATAATAAAGCTCCCACTGGAGTTCAGGACAACTAATCAATGGGTTTGAAGAAAATCAATTGTAAAAGGAAAAGGGTAGGGGACACTTTAATTTCATTACCCTAATCCTACTCTGAAAATGACTTTTCCTCATCCTTAAGTCAGAAATATATAACAGGCGAGAGAATTGAGGACTCATGGAAGACCTTGATCTAAGTCTACTGCAACCCTTAGGTCTGTTCCCAATCCTACACCTAGGAATTACAGCTTTTCTGTATCTTAGACTGCTCTTAAGGCTATTGCATGGTTTTCCTCACTTGGTAATACCAGAAGTTATTTGTAGACAATTTATAAGTGTTAACATGCTGATTTAATTTGCAAGAACTCCTGGAACATTTGCTGCAGGATTAGCACGTTGCTAAGTATTATATGAGCATGGCGATAAGATCCAGGTTGGTTTTCCCTAAGCTCCATTTCTGCCTCCCATCTTCCAGGTGTGGTTTTCCTGGGGTCCATCTTTTCTTTCTTCTAATATAATCTCTCTCTCTGACCCGTCTCATCCATACCCAGCCATGATGATGGTTCCCAAATCTAAATTTCCAGTCTAAATGGATCTCCTGAGCACCATAACTACATATCCAGCCACTCCCTAGTGTCGCAGGTACTTAAAATTTAACATATCCAGGAAAAAATTTCAACTCCTACCTCCCTACCACCAAATTGTTTCCCATCCTGGAGATGAAAGATACCATGGTCCATCTCGTTACCCAGGCTGAGAGAGATCACTGAGGAGATCCCCTGAAATACTGTTTTAAGTACCTGAATTTTTTACTTCATTCCACTGCTAAAGTAAGGTTTCCAATTTCCATTTTGGTTAACTTTCTCAGACCTTGAGCCAAATTTTTAACTCCCCAAAGTCATGACAAGGGCCTGTGATTCTTTTTCTTTTCTTTTTTTTTTTTTGAGACAGATTCTCACTCTGTCACCCAGGCTGGAGTGCAGTGGCGCAATCTCAGCTCACCGCAACCTCCACTTCCTGGGTTCAAGTGATTCTCCCACCTCAGCCTCCCAAGTAGCTGGGATTATAGGCACGTGCCACCACGCCCAACTAATTTTTCTATTTTTAGTAGAGACAGGGTTTCACCACATTGGCCAGGCTGGTCTTGAACTCCTGACCTCAAGTGATCTGCCCACTTCGGCCTCCCAAAGTGCTGGGATTACAGGTGTCTGCCACAGCACTTTTACAGCCGGGCCTGTAATTCTTCTAAAGTAGTTACAAAAAGAATACCTTATTCCTTTTATTCCATATGTATTTAGGGGCTTTAATATTCTGAAATATTTCAAAAAGAGAATATTTAGATCCTCTCTCTAAATTGCTAGAATCTCTGAGTCTAATCCTGAAAAGAGACTTGTGTTAAACTATCAAGAACAGCTTTTTTGACATTGTACTCCTGCTGAAAACTGCCCTCCCTTGGGAAGCCAGCCTTGAGCAATCCTCCCTAAATCCTTATACAGCATTTCCCAGGTATCTGTGTGTGCTATCTTGGTACTTAATGGTTTGCTGTTTCACATTTTCTTGGCTTCACCTTGGTTTTAAGCTGTTCTTCCCACAATGCTTAATAAGATGAATAAGCACACGGTAGGTGATCAACAGATACTTAGTGAATGAATGAGCCACGTGTAGAAAACATCTTCTTCTGCATCCTGAACTAACTTGAAAAAGATACCATAATACAAACACCCTTTCCAAACACTTAAACCCAATTTTCCTCATGATGTAACCTGATCTATGAAAGTAAGGAGTAGTACAATGAAAACACCACCAGTTTATAAATTAGAGGACTGGGCTTCTCATCTAGATGCCACCACCACCTAAATATGAAATAGTGAGTTAATCTTCCTGGGTCTTAAGTTTCTTGATCCATAAAATTATGAGGTAAGAGTACAAGCTGTCTAAAGTTGTGAAAACTCTAAAAATGTGGATAATAAAAATTTTGCATCCTAAGCAAATGTCTAAGTGGGAAGATGGAGTACAGACCACATTAACTATAACTGCACTGCTCTCAAGTACCTGAAATAAGGCTTGTCAGGAGACATGGTAATTTGTAGGACTTCACTCGTCATATCCAATTCAGAAAATGCTTCACGGAGCCCCTCTGACTGCAGAATAATTTTATTAATAACATTGGTGCTGCAGAAATCAAAGTCCAGGGTCTCCTCAGGTTCCTGTGTATTGATTTTGCAGACTGTCACCACTCCTCCTTCTTCCAGGAACAGCATCAAAGGGTAACCATAACCTTGGTAACACATTCGAAGTGCAGTTAAAGTCCCTGCAATGGAAAGAAGTCATACTTGGCCTTAGCTTTATAGTTCTGGGTTCAGCTTCTCCTCGAAATGATACATAAAATTTCTCAAGAATAATTTATTCCGCCCAATTTCTCACATATATGTATCTCCTCATAAAAAGGGATGACATCTTCCCTGATGACAGTTGTGTGTAGAGAATTCCAAAACTACAAGAAAATTGGGAACCAGAACAAAATGTAACATAATTCTTTGGAATCATTTTCAGGTTGTCATACACACCTCAGAAATAGCTTGTTGATTTTATATATGTACAATTTCAGGGTAGAGAATCTATATGGATCAACACAGCAAGTAACTAAATTGCTGCAGAACAGGGTATGCTATTCCTTGAAGGTTCAATGTGTGTAACAGTGGATTGCTGTCATCTGTACTGTAACGTCAGTGTACTCACTATGACAAGGATCCTTCCAACTTTTCCAACTGGGAGATATTCTTTATATTTCCTCGAATTTAAAAATCAAATTGAGAGAAAAAGAGGGTTGTTAATGGTGGTGTAAATTTTAACTCTGCAAACCACTAGAGGGAAGGAGGAATATGACAGGATATTCAAACTCCTTCTCCTTACTGGATTGAGAGCCACAGTGAGGAATGGAAGATGACAGATGCTTCTGTGAAAAACTAGCTGGAGAACACTGTATTAGAAAATGTATAATTAATAATAGTGGAATTGTCTGTGGAAACGTAAAATACATTTTTCTGGAGAACTATATTGAATTTTTCCTAGCTAATCTCCAGGTTGCTTTCCTATGAAATAAAATCATTCTTCTGGGGATTCCTTAGTTTTATACCCACAGCAATTCAATTTCACCATTCTTAAAAATTCCCTTAACAAATAAAAAAATATATATTTTAAAGAAAATCATTCGGCAACCGGTTGCGGTGGCTTATGCCTGTAATCCCAGAACTTAGAGAGACTGAGGCGGGCAGATCACCTGAGGTCAGGAGTTTGAGACCAGCCTGGCTAATATGGTGAAACCCCATCTCTACTAAAAATACAAAAAATTAGCCGGGCGTGGTGGCACGTGCCTGTAATCCCAGCTACTCGGGAGGCTGAGGCAGAAGAATCACTTGAACCCGGGAGGCAGAGGTTGCAGTGAGCTGAGACTGTGCCATTGTACTGCAGCTTGGGCAACAAGAGAGAAACTCTGTCTCAAAAACACCACAAAATCATTTGGCAAAATAGACATAACTTATAAAATATGGCTTAAAAGAAACAAATTTTGAACATAGTAAACTAGGAGTCAGAACTGGCTTTTGTTTTTCTCTGCCACTAACTAGCGGAGTAATTCTGGACAAGTTAGGAAAAAGAAGCAATTAAAACATTTCACAATGCTAAAAATATTTAAGACATGTCCAAAGTATTCTTTTGGCCAGTTCGAATTTACAATCCCTCAAAGCCTTGTAAATTAAAAAAAAAATGCAAATACTTTTACAAATATGAAAAGAATTATAAACACACTTGCAATTAACATTGTGAAATGTTAGAACCCATGACTGTGGCCACTGAAAAATGAATTGGCATTAGCTTTCTGAACCAATGTTTATGTTCCAAATAACTTCCTGTATTTTTCTGACCACTATGTATAACACTTTTATGTCTTTATACTGATCATAGTTTACCTGGCATAGGACTTGATCCAAAAATAGATAAACAGTCTAAAAGGACAGTTAAATTAATTCGAAAAGTAACAGACTCTTCCTGAACTTTAAACTCCTGAAATATTCCAGCCTATGAAAAGAGTAAAAATGAAAATTGTTACATAAAAGAATAAAAACTAATAATATAAGGTCCTAGATTTCACTTTATACGTTTAAAAAATACAATACTGTGCTAATCCCATGAGAATAATTTCTGATTAGCAATCAAAACATCTTAGAGACATCCTTTGAAGCATCCTTATCTCCATTCCTGGATCTAAAACTATCCCTCTGTGACTCTCCCTTGTCTCGTTTTTGTGCCTATCACTACTGCTAAGGTCACTTGGAAAATAGACGAATGACTTGATAATGCATGAGCAACATTAGTTTCAACTTTTATTATGATTTTTTATTGATACGGGGGTCTCACTATGATTACCCAGGCTGGTCTTTAATGCCTGAGCTCAAGCGATCTTCGTGCTTCAGCCTCGGTCTCCTGAGCAGCTGGAAATACAGGTGTGAGCCACCATACCATGCCCCTGCATGAGGACAAGAACCGTGTCTTATTTACCTCTCTATCCCTGAGATCATGCTGTGCACTTACGTGTTAAAAAACGCTTAGTTGAACTTGCAATCCTATCTGAACCACACAAATATTACTTTGGAAGAACAAAAATTCTATTACAACCAGTAAAGGAAAAAAATACTCTTTAGTAATAGCATATCGCAGTGGAAAAAAGAGCATATATTCTGGAAACAAATATTCAGCGTTCTTATCCCAATTCAGCCACTTACCAGCTGTGGGACTGTTGGCAAATCACTTAAAATTGTGCCTCGTTTCCACATATATAAAACGGGAATAATAACAGAACCTACCTTACAGGACTATTGTTAAGATTAAATAAGTTAAACAATAAGAAGACTGTAGCCTAGCCAATAGCCTAGTTTAATAAACTTTAGTCATTACTAACCATTATCTCTGTAAAACAAGATGGGAAAAGAATTTGTTACCGGGAGAGAAAAAAAATTCAAGTAATGACGTTTTGTTCTCTAACTTAAGACTATTATTTATTTATTAAGTTATTTATTATGACTATTGACAAGTTATTATGACTATTAAGTTATTTTGTCTACTGAAACCTTCCGATTTCATTAAATTACATTTAGAGTATCTATGGCACAGGCTTAAAGGCGCCTACTTCCATACCTGAATAAAAGCATTTGCTTGCACACACTTTGCATTTTCCACTGTTACTTTGATACCATTTTTAGTTGCGAAACACGTGGCATGTTCTCGGAAATGAATAGCTTTCAAGATAGTGGAGAGATTCCTAACGTTGTCAAGGCTGGCCACAAGGCTGTACTGATCATCCTCGTCTTGGATCTGTTGGGTCAGAAGGGGCATCGTCCACTGCGCATTCGGCCCCGAGGGATGCTCCTGGGGCCAACAACTTCTCGGCGGATCGCCAAACACCTGAAGGGATTAGACAGTAAAACTCCCATCAGTGCTGGCGAGGTCCGGCGAGCTCCACCTGCGCTGAGAGGTGGAAAGGGGCTGGGAGGCTGAACACGGCTGACCAGGCCGAACCCCACCTATGTCACTTAACTATCTTTGTAATTCTGGAGGAAAATTATCTAAGCTACGGTTTCCTCGTCTCCGTAAGAGGACAATAACGTGAAAAGTTGTGAAGAATGAAGACACGCAACTGACACGGTATCTCCCGGCCAAACAGGAGCTACAAATCCGCGGGGAGTCGGTTTTGTGCAGCCCGCGCCACCAGCCCCGCCTCCAACAAAACAGGCGATGGCGGGGCGGGCCCGGAGTGTCCAGATAATCCTCCAAGAGTCCCAGACAACCCCATTCACCAGCCCGCCCGCGGGACAGCATCGCTTACTAGTCTCGGGGTCCCCGAGTGCGGAAACCCTACCTTTGCGGTGGGGTCTGGACGCCCGAGAGCCCTTCTCAGCAAAGTCCCTGAAGAGGAGCGAGGCGGCTCCGAGGAACCGCGGAGGAAGTGAAGCCAGTCCCGCCACTCTTCAGACCGGCCCTCCACCTCGGCCACCGTCACCACAGAGCTGAAGGAGGCCTAGAGAGCCGCGCGTGCCGCGCCACCGAGACCGGAAGGAGGCGGCACAGACCTGGAGGACGACCGCGGAGCTGAGCGCTTAGAGCCGCCGAACCATAGAGATCGGAAATAGGAGCGAGCGGCAGCGCCGGAAAGGAGGCCAAGAGCGCGGGCGGCGAGGCAAGATGGCGGCAACCAAGAGGAAACGGCGTGGAGGCTTTGCAGTTCAGGCGAAGAAGCCAAAAAGAAACGAAATAGATGCGGAGCCGCCAGCTAAGCGGCACGCCACAGCAGAGGAGGTGGAGGAAGAAGAGAGGGACCGGATCCCAGGCCCCGTTTGCAAGGTAGGAGGGGATGTCCCCGGGCTACACCTGCGGCGGCGGCTCTGTGCGCCTTTTCTTGGGTTACTTACTTGACTACAGCCTTGCTTAATTTCAGAGTAGCCCGGGTGTTAACGGTAGGTCGGTTTTAGCAATTCTCCCGGCCAGACTGGGCACGGAGTTTGCAGCTAATCCTTGTGCACGTGGCCGTCTTCCTGGAGGCGGCGGGTTTTAAAACCTTTACCCGGCCCACGGGGAAGCGACTTACAGGGTGCTCAGATCCAGCGTTCTTTCTTACTAGTTGTTCAGTTGTTTTTTTTTTTTAATGTTTTTGGAGAGTAGTGCTTTTCCTTGGTTATTTCTCGCTATTATTTCTCCAGTGATTAGTATGCCCATATACTGCCATAGTCAGCCACTCTCAGTCAGGGATCCTGAAGTACGTTAGGGGAGCCTTTAAAAAGTTGTTGCCCTTGGGACTGTGACTCTGACTTGTTAACCAGGTCATTAACTCAAGAGATACTGAAAAATAGACTAGGTAGTATGAGCTTTACTTGTATTCAACAGACATTGAATGTGCCATGCACTGTACCAAGTTAGGCTTCCTTTGGGTTTGAGATTGCAAAGATGACTAGAATGTGACCTCTTCCTCCTGAAATGTTGGAGTTTAGGAGGAAACTTAAGAATTCAAATAAGTTGATGGTTTTTATTCAAAAGAAGTGCACACAAGTTGTTAGAATTAGCTTTCATTCAACTAAGAACTCTTCTTAAGCTAGACAGAATACTGTGAACAAGGATTATCTTTGACATTAATTTTTGCGTCCTCCGCACTTAGCATAGTACTCTAGCGCGGAGTAGGTGATAAGTAAATGACCCCGTGTGGTGTGATGGCAAGCTCTAAGAAAGAAGTGAGCTCTGTGGAATGAAAGATAAGTGTAAATTCTAGCCCCGTTATTAACAGCAACATTCTGTGCTCTTTTCTGACCTGCAGATTGGGGGGCAGGGGGAGGGAATATTTACTTTTTATGAAAAATAAGCTGGACTTGTACACTTCCAGTAAATGTTAGTGTTCTCACTCTTCCCTTGAGCTAGGTAGTATCTATAATCTGAGCCATACTTCGATACATTCTATGGAAGTGCAGGAGATATAGATTATTTTTACCCTAGTATAATAAGATAAAGAATCATGAAGGATTTAGCCCGTAAGCTGCATATCAGAGGAAGTGTAGAATTTTGACATTCAAAAAATGAGAGGGAACACTCCAAGGGAGAAAAAAAAACCGATGAAAGACTTTGAAGTAGGGAAATGCTGAAAAATGTAAAAAATAGAGCCAGATTGGATTGCATTAGGCTTCATTTGGGGCAATAATGATGTAGACGTGAAAATCTATTTTAAAATTCAGTGTCAAAGCTATGTCATTTGAACTTTGTTTAGAAAACTCTGGGAAGTAAGGATGTGATGGAAGTATTACTTTAAAAATGGTCCAGCGTGGTGGCTCACGCCTGTAATCCCAGCACTTTGGGAGGCCGAGGCGGGTGGATCACTAGGTCAGGAGTTCAAGACCAGCCTGGCCAAGATGGTGAAACCCCGTCTCTACTAACACTACAAAAAAAAAAAAATCAGCCAGGTGCAGTGGCGGGCACCTGTAATCCCAGCTACTCGGGAGTCTGAGGCAGGAGAATCGCTTGAACCCGGGAGGTGGAGGTTGCAGTGAGCCGAGATCGCGCCACTGCACTCCAGCCTGGGTGACAGAGTGAGACTCCATCTCAAACAAACAAACAAAAAAAGTAAACTGTTGAAAAAGCTAGTCAACCATATCTATTGGAGGTGCTCATGTCTGGGAAGGTTAGCCATTTAGGAGTTTTGCAGTTAATATAAGACTCTAAGTAAGTGCAGTGTGAATAAGAAAGGATTAAGAGTTGTGGGAAATTATTATGAGACATCTGTCATGGAGAGCACAGAAATAAGAGGGCTAAGAAAGAACTTTTAGGGTTGGAAGGAGGAATTGGAGAGATTGAAGTTGAAAAACAAAGAAACCAAGGAGGGCATTTCTGGGTGGCAGATGTGGTCAGTGAATGTTGGTGAGAGATGAAATTAAAGGAGTCAGGATGGTTTGACTTGGTTATGAGCTACTTGGAAGCTCATAAAAAACAAACAGGGCCAGGTGCGGTGGTTCTTACCTATAATCCCAGCGCTTTGGGAGGCCAAGCCACTTGAGCCCAGGTGTTGGAGACCAGCCTGGGCAACATAGGGAGACTCCCATCTCTACAAAAAAAAAAAAAAAAAAAACTAGCTGGACATGGTGGCACATGCCTGTAGTCTCCAGCTACTGTAGATGCTGGGGTGGGAGGATCACTTACTTGAGCCCAGGAACTTGAAACTGCAGTGAGCCGTGAGCACTTCAGCCTGGGCAACAGTGTGAGACCCTGTCACAAAACAAGATCAGTTCAGTATAAGATTTTAAAATCTTTTAACATTTTCTTTTTCTTTAGGGAAAGTGGAAAAATAAGGAACGGATTCTCATCTTTTCTTCCAGAGGAATAAATTTTAGAACAAGACATTTAATGCAGGACTTGAGAATGTTGATGCCTCATTCTAAAGCAGGTGCCTTTATATCATATACTTTAGAAATTTCTATCTATAAACTTACCTATTTTTATGTTTTCACTTATTTTATATATTCTTCATTTGTTCAGTGTTCTCACGAAAAAAACACAATGCCTTTTATCCTTTCAAGTGCCACAATTTTTCCAGTTAACATTTCGTAAGAAATTCTTTAGATTTCATTAGGTAGATTCTTTACTTTTTAAAACAGGTGTCCTAATATTATTGAAACATTTCTTGAAGGTCCAGGAATGCCTTCACTGTAATGCTTCTGAAGGTCCTGAGATAGGTGGGATGGTTTGTCCTAAGTGCTAAGGACTGCCACATGTTGCTTTTTGGGCCTTTTTTTTTTTTTTTTTAACTGTTTTTATTGAAAAATGGACCTGGGATAGAATTCAAAGCACTTTTTAAGTTGGAGTCAGAGCCTATTTCTAAATGCCAGGTTATTTATTTATTTTTAAGCAGTGGGTTATTTTACAGGCAAGAACAGTATGGCCGGGCATGGTAGCTCATGCCTGTAATCCCAGCACTTTGGGAGGCCGAGGTGGGTGGAACACTTGAGTCCAGGAGTTCCAGACCATCCTGGGCAACATGGTGAAACCCTGTCTCTACAAAATAAAAAAAAAAAAAAATGAAAAAAGTAAAGTAAATTAGCCAAGTGAGGGGGTCACTTGCCTGCAGTCCCAGCTACTCAGGAGTCTCAAGCAGGAGGATGGCTTGAGCCCAGGAGTTCAAGGCTGTCATGAGCCGTGATTGCGCCACTACATTTCAGCCTGGGCAAGGAGCAAGACCCTGTCTCAAAAAAAAAAAAAAAAAAAAAAAAAAGTTTGGAACAGTGGAGTGGCAGCGCCATCATATGGCTGTTGTTGTGCTTATGTTGAGAGGTGCTTTGGGGTTTTTTTGTTTTTTGTTTTTTATTTTTAAAATTTTAACTTATTTTAGATTCAAGGAGTATATGTGCAGGTTTGTTACACGGGCATAAAGTCAGTTTTCTTTGACACCTAAGATTAAAAAGTGAAAGATATTTTCATTGAAACTGGTTTCCTTTAACACAGTCTTTGGTTTGTGAGAATTTTCCCATTTTTGAAAAGGATTCCTAGAATACCTAAATATTGAGAAACACTGCTTACACTATAATTTCTAATTCTTACAGACTATATTTTACTTATTTTCTTTACATTTACAAAGAGTCAAGATTTTTGAGCGATTGTTTCCAGCTCTTGTTTTGAAAATTAGTAATAAAATCTCCTTTAAACTGAAGAGTGTAAAAACACTTTATTTTCTGGATAGCATATGTGGTTTGATTGAAATAACTTTGAAATCACCTTTAATTTACTTGCTTTTTCTTTTTTTTCTTTTTCTAGATACTAAAATGGATCGTAAGGATAAGCTATTTGTGATTAACGAGGTAATTTTGGAAAGTAATTGCAACAAAATATTTTTAAAATGTTAACAGTGGCTTATTTCAAAACTAAGTCATTCAGTGACTTTAAAAATTATTTTGTAAAAACTATTCAGACACATTTTATTAACTCTTCAATAACTGGTCTTCCAAATTTTTATCTCTCACAGTTTAGTGCTTCATTCATTTCTGTTTGTTTTGTCTGAACAAGCATATTGAAATTTCCTCAGGAGAAGGATTATGTCCCATTTTTTAACCCTGTAGTGTCTAGTATTATGCTAAATCCATAGTAGGTACTCAAAAAATTATCAGTCAACATATATAAAGTAAAATAAGTCCATTAAACATATATATATATAAAACCCACATGGTAAAAAGTGTTTTGCCAGTATTAAAAGTGATTTGTGTGGAACTGGCTATTAAGGTATTACAAACTGAATAGGTTACATTTTCAAAGTATTGTTTAAGATACTACACTTAGGTATTTTTTTTAACCTCTGGAAGCACAGAACATAAATTTACATTTTAAAGCAAAATTTTCAAAACTTAGAAGAATTAGGATCATTTTTTCACTATTAGCCTTCTTTAGAGCACAAATTTTTGAACCTCTGCTGTAATACCACATTATTCTATGTGCTGTAGAAACTGTTCAACAGAGCAATGTCCCTGTCATTATGGAACTTACATTCTAATGGAGACAGGCCATAAACAAGGTTTATAATTTCAAGTAAAGACAGGAGAAATAAAGCAGGTTATAGGTTTTGGACAGCTGAGGCTACACCGGAAAAACCTGTTCAAAGGGATGGTGTTTAATATTTGAGCAGAGACGTAGTGAAGGAGAAATATGGTAAAAGACCATCTAGCTAGAGAAAATGGCAACTACAAAAGCCCAGAAGTGGCACAAACTTCCTATTTTTGTGTTTATTCTAAGACCAGTAAGAAACAAAAGTTTTGTTTTTTTTTTTTAAGTTGTTAGGGTTTGTTTATTTGTTTAACTGGTTTTGGAGACAAAAGTCTCTCTCTGTTACCCAGGCTGGAGTGAAGTGGTATGATCTCAGCTCACTGCAGCCTCTGCTTCCTGGGTTTAAGCAATTCTCCTGCCTCAGCCTCCCGAGTAGCTGGGACGACAGGCACACGCCAGTATGCCCAGCTAATTTTTTGTATTTTTAGTAGAGATGGAGCTTTGCCAGGTTGCTCAGACAATTCACCTACCTCGGCCTCCCAAAGTGCTGGGGTTATAGGCATGAGCCACCTCATCCAGCCATAAGTTGTTAGGTTTAAAGTCTTAAATAATGTGGAGTTTAAGAGTACTATATTAATTAGAGTTTATGAATACTACAGTAATACAAGCCTTCACTCCTGTAATGTTTTTGTGTCTTCTCAAGTGTGACTTTTGTAAGCCTTCAAGACATTGAAGTTTAATTTGAAATAGGTTTGATATACTTAGGCTTTTCACCCAATCCCTTAGTGATTTTATAGAACCAAATCACCAGAAATGATAGTATAAATGAAGAACAACTTAAGTTTTGTGATCTTAGAATCAAAAAGCTAAAAAGTTAAAAATCAAAATAATCATTAAAAAGGATGTTTTTAGTTCTATAAGTACTGCATTTTCATAAGATTGGCTAAGAAGATTGATTATGAAGGATTAACATAAGAAGATTAGTTGTGGTATGCTTTATCCGTAGGGCATCTATTTTTAGTCTTTGTAGTTTGTCAATGGGACTATGGGCAGAAGAGGTTCCTGGCCAGGTGAGGTGGCTCACACCTGTAATCCCACCACTTTGGGAGGCTGAGGCAGGCAGATCACCTGAGGTTGGGAGTTCAAGACCAGCCAGACCAACATGGAGAAACCCCATCTCTACTAAAAATACAAAATTAGCGGGGTGTGATGGCACAGGCCTGTAATATCCCGGCTACTCCGGAGGCTGAAGCAGGAGAATCATTTGAACCTGGGAGGTGGAGGTTGCGGCGAGCCGAGATCGTGCCATTGCACTCCAGCCTGGGCAACAAGAGCGAAACTGCATCGCAAAAAAAAAAAAAAAAAAAAGGAGGGAGGTTTCCAGTAATCAGAAGTGAGACCATTTTAGATGCTAGGCCCAAAAATATGATAGATAATTTCACCCAAGATATGGGCAGAGCATCTAGTTTACCTTGGGTAGAATACCTAAGAGGAACTTTAAAGGTTCCTTCTGTGAATAAATACATGTTTAGGCCTTTGTAGCCTATTAGCCTGGTTAGGTATTTTTGAGATAATCTGGATGATATTAATCACATATAATTACTTTAGTTCTCATTTATATTATCTACTTCATTTTCCTATACTTTGCTTCCTTTAGGTTTGTGAAATGAAGAACTGTAATAAATGCATCTATTTTGAAGCTAAGAAAAAACAGGATCTCTATATGTGGTAAGAGAATGTATTAAGATTTTGGTTAAACTCATTTAAGTGGATTTGTTCTTTGTACCTTTTATGTTATAGACTCCTAGTGTTTCATGTTAAGGGTTGAGAATGAAGCAAACTTTTGATTTCACGAAACTTGATACCTTTAAAGAAAATTAAATGTATAAATATTATAAGCATATTATTTATGGTGAATAGGTGGTAAGCATTGACTACATTTGCTAATTAGTTGAAAAAGCTTACTCCATATCTTTCAGGCTTTCAAATTCACCTCACGGACCATCTGCTAAATTCCTTGTTCAAAATAGTAAGTTGACTCAATAAATTTTTTTAGATGAGGAAATTAAAAGTAATCTTTTGAAATAGTTGTGCAAAAGTTACAACTATTTTTGTTTTTGTTGTAATTTTTCTAGTTCATACCCTCGCTGAACTGAAGATGACTGGAAACTGTTTGAAAGGTTCTCGGCCCCTTTTGTCTTTTGACCCTGTAAGTTTCTCATTCAGTGTATGAGGTCTAATTTTCTTATCTGGCATGGTTGTTTTTAGTAGATATAGTTGTGTTATTCAATTTAGTTTCACCCCCACCTTGGTTTTATGGATTATCAATTCTTTCAGGTACATTTATAATGAGGTTATAGCCAAGTTATAGAAACAAATGAGCAAACAGTTTTAAACAAGGCAGTCTACTGTTAAATAATATGCTTACCTTATTTTTATAGGCTTTTGATGAATTACCACATTATGCTTTGTTAAAAGAACTCTTAATTCAGGTAAATATCTTTAAAATTAGCTATCCAAAATATACATGATATATCTTGGAATAAGGAACTAACATACACTTTTTTAACTAGATCTTTAGTACACCACGGTATCATCCCAAAAGCCAACCATTTGTGGACCACGTGTTTACTTTCACCATTTTGGATAATAGGATATGGTTTCGGAACTTTCAGGTAAGCTTTACTTGATTTTTAATTATACCTTTTTTTTAATTGAGTTTATTTATTTATGTTTTGAGACAGAGTCTCGCTCTTGTTGCCCAGGCTGGACTGCAGTGGCACAATCTTGGCTCACTGCAACCTCCACCTCCCGGGTTCAAGCTTCTGCTCCCTCAGTCTCCTGAGTAGCTGGGATTACAAGCACCCATCATCACGCCTGGCTAATTTTTGTAGTTTTAGTAGAGACGGGGTTTCGCCATGTTGGCCAGGCTGGTCTCAAACTCCTGACCTCAGGCCATCTGCCCGCCTTGGCCTCCCAAAGTGCTGGGATTCCAGGCGTGAGCCACTACACCCGGCCTAATTTTTTTTTTTAGAGATAGAGTGTCGCAGTGTTGCCTAGGTTGGCCTTGAACCTCCTGGCCTCAAATCATTCCTCCTCAGCATCTTGAGTAGGTGGGATTGCAGTTGTGAGCCACTGTGCCTGGTCAATTTTTAGTTAAACTTTTAGATAAGGATATACAGGGTTTGCATACACAAAAAATGCAAATAATTCTTTTGTTTTAAATAGCTTCCTTTTCCCTAAAGAGATTGCTGCAAGTAACTATGTACTGTCTTATATCTTAAGTGAGCTCTACCTACTTCTATTCATGACTGTTAGTTGATACAGAGTATGGATTTCCTAATAAGCCATTATATATTTAACTTTATAGAAAGGGAATAACTTGAAGATCCATGAGATACTTGGGTTCCTAATTTGTAGAAAGTGCTGTAAAGGATACAGTAAAATAGAAGTTTCTCTCTCAAAGCTTAGAAGTTTCTCTCTCAAAGCACCTCAAAGGTTAAGACCTAGCAAAATGTAATTGCTCTAGAAGGCATTCAATGGCAGCGGTTAGATGATGAGTCACACAGTGACTCATTCAGGAGAAAAGAGGAGGTGACTCTAGAAATCTTGAAGCAGGAGTTTGGCACGATAAGTGCAGAAAGATGAAGAGGTGGAAGAGAACAGCAAGAACAAAATTTTAGACAGTATATGACATAAACTGAGCTCTTTTCTGCATATTTTATATTGGATACCTGGCATGTGAGTTGAACACATCATCCTAACCTCTGAGGGTAGACATGCCTGAACTAATAGATAACATAAATATTTGTTGTTCGGAAGTTGCCTTTTAATTCCATAATCAGTAGCTATTAAATAAATTTGACTACATATCCTTTTAATCTAACTTGAATTAGATTTATAAAAACAATTTAGGGATTGATTTAAGTTTCAAGAGTTCCCCCATAATGTGCTTTAATACATTTTGTTAATAGTGGTTACTGTTTTAAAATCCTGTTTAACCAGTTTTTCAAGGATATATGCATTGTGACAAGCAAGATGTGAACCAAAATCTAATTACTCAATTTTAAAAGAACTCACTGAAAAAACATTTTTCCATGACAACTTCCTATAAGTACTAATAGATTTCAGAAAATATTGATGATTTGCCATTTACCAAGTTTCACCCCCACCTTGATTTTATGGATTATCAATTATTTCAGGCACATTTATAATGAGGTTATAGCCAGTATACCTTTTGGGAATAACGTAACCAAACCAAAATGAAATGTTTCCTTTTTATTAAAGATCATAGAAGAAGATGCTGCTCTTGTAGAAATAGGACCTCGTTTTGTCTTAAATCTCATAAAGATTTTCCAGGGAAGTTTTGGAGGACCAACTTTATATGAAAATCCTCACTACCAGTCACCAAACATGGTAAGCGGTTGTGTCATTCAGTAGTCTTCAATGTACCAGAACCCTTTGGCCAAAATGATTCTGTGAAGTAATTGCTGTTTTATTACCTGTGAAACTGAATTTGGTTTTTGCTGCATAGAAACTTGGAAATTACTCCCTTTTTTCATGACACTGGCTGAAAGGATATATGGTTCATAACTGAAAGTCTTTGCCTTATATAAAATGTTTATTTTTATTTCAAAAGCATCTAATCTTTTTTTTTTTTTTTTAGCATCGGCGTGTCATAAGATCCATCACAGCTGCAAAATACAGAGAGAAACAGCAAGTGAAAGATGTGCAAAAACTGAGAAAGAAAGAGCCGAAGACTCTTCTTCCACATGATCCCACTGCAGATGTTTTTGTAACACCAGCTGAGGAGAAACCAATAGAAATACAGTGGGTAAAACCAGAGCCAAAAGTTGATTTGAAAGCAAGAAAGAAACGGATTTACAAAAGGCAAAGAAAAATGAAACAGAGGATGGACAGTGGGAAAACAAAATAAGTCAATGGAAACCTGATTTGTTTTTCAGTTACTTTATATTTATTTTGTATTCAATGTGTAAATACTTTTATTATCTAATACTATCTTACGTCTAATTAGTGTAGCATTTACAAGAAAGAAAAATTAAGATCTTAAAATCAGTGATTATCTTTTTCTAAATAAAATATCACCAGAATTCATCAGTTAATTTCTGATTTCTTTTTGAAGTTTGTGTTGCTAAAAATGTAGCACACTTAATGTAGCCTGTTCTCTTGGGTTGGAATTTTTGGTTTAGCAAAGCTGAAATTCAGACATTTATTAGGTCATATTATTTGTAAAAGCATTCAACACTTCAAGAGCATCGGTTGTGGATGGTAAAGTAGGAGTAGACTGGTAGAAAGGAAGGCATCTCACTGAAGTTTACTCAGTCATCAGTTAATGAAGCCATGGAAGAACCAACCCCTGATCTGTCACTTCAAAAAAGAGTATATTAAAATGTTGAGGTTTTGAGAATCAAATGCATTAATGGCTGTGTTGAAAGCACTTTGTAAATTTTTTATTTTATTATATTTTATTTGTGAGACGGAGTTTCGCTCTTGTTGCCCAGGCTGGAGTGCAATGGCGCGATCTCGGTTCACCGCAACCTCCACCTCCCTGGTTCAAGTGATTCTCCTGCCTCAGCCTCCCGAGTAGCTGGGATTACACGCATGTGCCACCACGCCCAACTAATTTGTATTTTTAGTAGAGTTGGGGTTTCTCCATGTTGGTCAGGCTGGTCTCGAACTCCTGACCTCAGGTGATCTGCCCACCTCGGCCTCCCAAAGTGCTTGGATTACAGGCATGAGCCACCATGCCCGGCCAAATGACATACTTATTTTAGAAGCAGTGTGTATAGATTACTTATTTAGAAAACTAATAGTAAAAGGAGAGAAAAATAGGACAGTTGTTAAAGGGGATACCAGAACATTTGAATTTTTCCCCACATGAAAGAGAAACTGCCTATTGTGTAAGGGGGCACTAGGCTTAAGATCTTATGGGTAAATTAGTAACGGAAAGAAAAGATTCTGAGTACCAGTGACCATGGAGGTAGGTGGCTGCTGACATGGACAGATAGAAATACAATAAAATATATATCTAATGAAATGACACATGCTGTTTCATCACCTGCTTTTTTGACTTCACACTGATTGTTTTTCTATGTGTTTGTTCCACATGTTTACTTGCTAACTGTTAACTGTAGTATTCTGTGTACCATAGCTATGTAATCAGTATTTTCAGTTTTTCCTCTTTTTTTTGCTGGTATCGATGCTTGTAGTGAATACTTATATAGATGTGTTACATGTCTTTTTACACAACACTTGGTTTCCTAGAAGTGCAACTTAGGTTAAAGATTATGAACTCTAGGCTTTTTGCTTGTTCCCTCCACCACCATAACCTCACTAGAGGCTATTAGAGGGTTCATTTCCTTGTCCCCTTACCAGTTTCACTATGCATGAAAGAATCTGTCAATTCAATAGGTTAAAAAAAAAAAACCACCTTTTTTTTTTTTTAGTTACTGGTTTATCCTTTTTGACTGGACTAATCATGTTTGTTTTTCTGTGGTAGGATTGTCTTTTACTGATTCTATAAGTGCTTTTATATAGTAAGTTTATTATAGAGATCTTTCCTAGTTCACTTACATTTTAATTTTATGTCTTTATTATTTTAAGTATTTAGGCAGAATGATCAATATTGATGGTTTTTTTTTCCTTAAATTTTTTGCTAAGAACGGCCTTCCTGAGTGCTTAATTGGCCTTGAAATAGTCTAAATTAGGAAACTTGAAATCTTGAAGTCATCTAAATTATGCAGGTAATTCAGGTGAGAGGATCACTTGAAATACTTGTATGTGACTAGGGCCAAATCTAGTTAAATGGAAAAAAACCAAAGTGGCCGTTATTTTATTTAGGCAGTTGAATATAGTCTTGGATAAAAATAAGACAGCCGTATTCAGAATTTGTTTTTAAACACCCACATCTCAGGAACAAGTTAATTATAGGTTATAAACTAGATCAACAAATTGTAAGTTTTAGTAGAGATACAAACTTGTACTTTTGATGTGTGCATTGTGGAGTTTTGGTGTAATTTCCAATTTCACAATTTTCAATTAACAGTTTCCATAATAGAGATATCCTTATATCTCAAATTCCCTTTCACAATTATATGGATATCTTATTTGAGAATTCTTCTGGAATGGATCATCTCTAAAGTCTGGTCATTTAAAGGGCACCAGTTTAATAAAAGATGTTCCTTTATTTATTAGCGGCAGGGTCTTGCTCTGTCACCCAGGGCTGTAGTGTGGTGGTGTGGTCATAGCTCACTGCAGGCTCTAACTCCTGGGCTCAAGTATTCCTGCCTCAGCCTCCTGAGTAACTAGGACTACAGGCCCACGCCACCATGCCTGGCTTTTTTTTTTTTTTGTAGAGACAAGTTCTCGCTATGTTGCCCAGGCTCGTCTTGAACTCTTGGGCTGAAGGGATCCTCCTGCCTCGGCTTCCCAAAGTGCTGGGATTACAGGCATGAGCCACCACGCCTGGTCAAGATGTTCCTTTAGACTGAAATTTATATCCAGCATAGTTACCTTTAATTATACAATGTTACAGGCAAAAATCCTTCTTACTTCAGAAGGTAAAAGAAGTAAGTGATTCCTACAGGCTGTATCCAAAACCAAATCAAGTTGGAGGGAGAAAATACTCCAAATTAAGTTGGAGGGAAAAAAATACTTTCCCTTTCCGTTTTTTTTTTTTTTTTTGTCCCTCCCTTCCCCCCGCCCACCATCCCAATTCTGTTCTCAGGAGGGGAAAGGTTTCATTCTCCCCCAAACTCAGACTTCTCAATCCTTATCCATTACCAATTTACCAACTAACTGAGACTGTGTAGAATCTTCCTCTGGAAAAAAGGGAAGTGTATGAATTCTGAGTAGTGAGTTGGTTGGTCAGTGGCGTGTGAAGTAACCTGATGAAGCTTAGCGTGGGTTTTTTATTTTACTGGGGGCAGCATATTGGGGAAGAGAAGGATAACCTTACTAAACCGCTTGGGTACGCCAACCCTGTGCAATAGATATTAGCAACATAGCTAACCATACATGGTTAGTAAATACAACCCACACCTAACTGATGCATGTAAACATTCCACATTACAGTGAAATATATTGGTGTATTAATGCATTTTAATAATTATGGTATTATTTTGATACCTTTCAAAGTGTTTGGAATAATTGTGCAGATAGTCAGATCAACCAAAACCTACCAGTTAAATACTATCCTTTAACTGCTTTCTTAACCTAAACCAATCTTGGAAAGGTAGGATTAGAGGCCAGAAAGTTAGGATTAAAGTGTGTTGGATGGATAGATCAGCACAATTTCATCCATGTTGGTGGTAAGGCTTTTCATTAAGTGTGTTGATGCTTCCCTTTTAAATTGTTTCCGCTTAAATAATCTAACTGTCCTTTCTCAAGCATATTGGTCAAGATGATCAATACCAGATATCTTAAGTGGCAGCTGAAGAGAATTAAAGAGATTAAAAAAAAAACCTGATATTCAGTCCAACCGAATTCTGCTACTGTATTAGCTGAGGAGGCTTGAGCCAACCACTTGACCACTTGGAGTCTGAATCGCCTTATCTATAAAAACGGGGATCCATTGAGAAATTATAATCAGATATTTTCCAGAATCCTCTCCCATCCCAGCTCCTATCTCCCCCTTCAGCCCTCAGGTCGGCTGCCACTCACACTGACCGCCATCTGTGCCCCTCACAATGACACCAGCGTGGCCCTGCCTCCCTTCCGCGCGGCCCCGCCTCTCGCCCCGCCGAGGCCCCGCCTCTCACACCAAGGTCCCGCCTTCCTCCTGTTCTTCCCGGCCAAGGCCTACCTTCCTCCCACGCGGCCCGCCTCTTTCCCCGCCAAGCTCCCGCCTTTCTCCTGCGCGGCCCGCCTCTCTCCTCGCCAAGGCCCCGCCTTCCTTCCTCGGGGCCTCGCCTCTCACCCCGCCGAGGCCCCACCCCCTCCCGCGCGGCCCTTTCCGGCACAGAGCCCACCCCTAGCCCATGCGAAGCGGCGGCCGCCGGCACCGCCCCCGCCGCGCTCCCGCTTGCCGCAGCCTGCGTCGTCTGCCGCCACCGCGCGCCTTCACTGACCTACACCACCGCCGCCGCCGCCGCCGCCGCCGGGCTCGCTGGCTGGCCCGGTGCGGGCGGCGGACTCCCGCCGGAGAGGACTGCCAGCGCCGCCGCCGCCGCCGCTTCGGCCCGGGCCCGGGCCCCGACCCCGTCCCGGGCCCCAGCGCCGGCCGCCCGCCCGGTCGGGCGATGAAGTGTCACTATGAGGCGCTGGGGGTGCGGCGCGACGCCAGCGAGGAGGAGCTCAAGAAGGCCTATCGGAAGCTGGCCCTGAAATGGCACCCGGGTAAGTACCTGTCCCGCAGCCCCCGCGGCCACTCGGAGAAGCCCGGCCCTCCCCGACCTTCCCTTCCCCCGGGCGGACTCCGCGGAGCCAGCAGAGAGGGACCTGGCGGCCTAGGAGCTCCTTGCCCCGCCCGGCCAGTGCCCGGAGCCGCCCTGCCCGTCTCGGTGGGCGAAGCGCTCTGCCCTGGCGCACCCCGGCTCACACCCCATCTCCTCATACCCGCGACCCCGGCCCCGCATCGCCACTGTAGGGGGAAAACTGCAGTCCAACAACCTCACTTGCTCCCGCTACCGGGTCGCAGACACCACGAGGGAGCAGTCGGGAACTCGGAACTCAGACCTGCCCCAGGCTTGCTTTTCCCTGCGTCCCTTGCAGCGCAGCCTCTCGGTGTTTTTCCTCCGCTGCCCTCCACCTCGTCCGGGAATCCCAGATACTTCAACCTGATGTATGGCTCTTTTCGTTTCTTAGTTAAGAAGTTAAGACACGGGAGCTAGTAAAATATCTTTTCAATAGGGATGCGCTTTTTTCGCTGTTTTTTTTTTCTTTTAATAAGCTGTTTAAGCAGACCTTGTACTTCACTTTGGACATGATTCTGCCGGGGAAGGTTTTAATCAGGCGGCTTCCCCAGTAAAGTTTGTATGTTTACTTAGAAGTATCCTTCCTTTGGATGTTTCATTGGTCTGTAATCCAGGCCTGTGTGACTTTTATGAAGTAATCTGATCTTCCAGGCTGGGAAACTAAGAGAGTAGTTGACTTTCAGCTTTTTGAGGTTCATATGAAGAGGCTTTCATATTAGCATTCATCAGTAAACACGGTTACAGAGTATCCAATATATGCAAGTCACTGCACTCTACTAAGTAGATTTGGAAATGCTGAGACAGGGGTCTTAGAGTCTTGTTAGGAAAACAACTTTCTGCCTTACACAAATGAAAAGTTAAATACAACTGCCAGAAAAAAATCGCAACATACATAATTGGTGGTTAGATTAATGGAACAACTAATATATGCTCCAGGAATTCAGGGAGGGAGTTACCATTTTGTATTGAGTCTTCCCCTTCTCAGAGGAGTTTGGACTGGATCGTAGAGGAATGCAATTTGGAAAAGTGAACTCAACAGTATGGAGGATAGCATGGTGGAGGACAAAAGATGTTCCGGGGGACAGTTTGACTGAAGGTGGTGTGTATTGCAGGTCTGAAAAATAGGGATTATGAGAGGAGTGGAAGGAAAGGTCAGGGACCCAAAGTCAAAAGGGAATGGCTATGGTGATGGAGTGAGAGATAGAGGTGTGGGTCTGTTACTTAAAGTTATGCTTACCAACAGAGGCGTGAAAAAATGTGATTATAAATATATTAGAAGAGCAGAAGTAAATGAACTGATGTTCATCATAGCAGTAAGTCAGAAGATACAGCCAAAATTAATAAATGTAAAAATAGTGTAGAAGTATATTCTTAGAGTTTGGGTTAGTGTAGAAGCATATTCTTAGGAGTTTGGGTTGTTACTGTTAGAAATCAAGTTAGGAATTAGAAGGAAGTTCGGAATTCCTTGACTTTCTAGGTGGGAAAGGGTAAATGAAGTAGCGAATGCTGTGACCAAAAGCGTATGTAATTTTCTGAAGAGTGATTTTAAATCAGATTGTATTTCTTGAGTACAAGAGTAGTTTGAAATCAGATTGTATTTCTTGTAATCTTGAATATTAGCCCAAGGACTGTGAAATTTGCTTCGCTAAATAAGGGAGAGTTGTGGCTGGTTTTATTAAGCTGCCATGGGAGAGTACTATGAAGGCAACTTAGTGGATTGAAGAGGGCTGGAGACAGAAGTTAGGGAGAGTCCGCAGTGGACAGACAGGTAAGGGCCCAAGCCAGGCTTGGGGTCAGCGGGAGGGGGAAAGCGCAAGGGGAGGAGATGTTGGGAAGGAAAAATGACCAGATTTGGTGATTAATTAGAAATCAGTGCTAGGAAGAAGCATGCAAATATGACTAAAGTATCAGTTAACTCCTTTGAAACCAAACCTGTTAGGAACTGAATGCAAATATCTTCTCTAAATATCATCATAATTTATGGCATCAGTGTGATGGTATCTGAGAATGGGCAGCAGGAAGCCCTGAAGAGCCATGTTCTAGGGCGGCAAAACTATTTGTAGATAAGACATTGCTGTCATGTTTTCTTGTAACTTCTTAGAAGGGAAGTATTGAGCTGTAGCTTAAAGAACTTTAGTGTGCTCCGGCCAGGTGCGGTGACTCACACCTGTAATCCCAGCACTTTGAGGGGCTGAGGTGGGCGGATCACCTGAGGTCAGGAGATGGAGACCATCCTGGCCAACATGGTGAAACCCTGTCTCTACTAAAAACACAAAAATTAGCTGGGCGTGGTGGCGCACGCCTGTGGTCCCAGCCACTTGGGAGGCTGAGGCAGGAGAATCGCTTGAACCCAGGAGGCAGAGGTTGCAGTGAGCCAAGATCGCGCCACTGCACTCCAGCCTGGTGACAGAGCGAGACTCCATCTCAAAAAAAAAAAAAAAAACGAACTTTAGTGTTCTCCATAGTCAATTCAAAATGCTTTACGTTCTGAATATATTAGTTGTCTATTGCTGTGTAACAAATTACCAATACCTCAGGGCTTAAGACAACAAACAACAAAAACAGCAAGCCTATGTTGACTATATGGACTCCCACAGTTTCTAAGGATGAGAATCTGGGAGCGGCTTTGCTAGGTGGTTTTGGCTTTCTCATTGTCTGAAAGAACCTGCTTCCAGCTCACCAACTCACCAGCTCACCAACCACCAACTCATGTGGTTGTGGCAGGCCTCAGTGCTCTGCCGGCTATTGGCCTCCTTCACCCCATGAGCTTCTCCAGCTTCTCCATAGGCAGCCTGAGTTGCTCATGCTATGGCAGCTGGCCACTCCCAGAGTGATCAAGAGAGAGGGAAAGCCCAAGGTAGAAACTGCAGTCTTTTATAACCTCATCTCGGAAGTGAGGTACCATTACTTCTGCCATCTCCTGTTGGTCACACAGACTACCCTTGCTGACACAGAAGGGACTGCACAAGGTGTGAATGCCAGGAGGCGGGGTGCTGTCTTGCAAGCTGGGTACCACCCTGAGGCAAGGACGCTTTCTGAATTCCATGGTTCAGGAAGCACAGCTAAGGAAATAATAACTAATTAGTGTATATTTTTTAAACTTTATGAGATTTCTTTTGATATACATTGATGAGAAAGAAAAAAACAATGTCAGCACTAAACATAATCTAGTACAAAATAAGTCTTTCTAGAACTGATTTTATTTATTTTACTCCTTTTAAAAGTAAAATTTATACTACTCAGGTTTTTCCTTTTGTGGATATCCAGTTGACTTGTTTTACTTTTATTTTATTTTATTTTATTCATTTTAGAGATGGAGTCTTGCTGGAGCACAGTGGTGCAATCTAGGCTCACTACAACCTCTGCTTCTTGGGTTCAAGTGATTCTCCCACTTCAGCCTCCCGAGTAGTTGGGACTACAGGCATGCGCCACCACACTGGGCTAATCTTTTGTATTTTTAGCAGAAACGGGGTTTCACCATGTTGACCACCAGGCTGGTCTCAAACTCCTGACCTCAAGTAATCCACCTGCTTCGGCCTCCTAAAGTGCTGGGATTACAGTGGGCGTGAGCCATCACGCCCAGCCCAGTTGACTGTTTAGTGATGTACCAAGGCTTAGGGAAAAGCCTGAAATTTCTGCTTAGATTGTTGCTTTTAACAAATCCTGATTATTGACTGTTACGTGGAGTCTTTCTGCTTGGCCCTGGTTGTTTCTTGTTTTGTGCACGTCTCATCTGTTTGTGGCATTTCTGATGGAAAATGTCTTATTTAGATTCTGTCCTGTACGTTTTTGATTGACTTAAATTTCTGTGACTTTAACAGATAAAAATCTGGATAATGCCGCAGAAGCAGCTGAACAATTTAAATTAATCCAAGCAGCATATGATGTGTTGAGTGACCCTCAGGAAAGAGCATGGTGAGCATCACGCTGTCCTTCCCATCCTAGTTTATGATGTTGGGAGCAGTTATCAATATAGGTGGTTGTTTTTTCAAATTTAGTACATTAAATGGTTTTTGGTGTGTTCTGAAACATCTGTCACCTAGTCATCACATAAAATCTAACGTTTGGGTCAGAAGGAAGCTTGGAAATGATTGCTCCAATTATCTGATATCATAGGGGGTGAAACAAAGTTTGGTGATATTATATAGTTTTAATTTTGATACTTTAGGTGACTTCTCATTAAATACCCTTTGGTGTATGATAGATTTACTGATATCAGACAGGTAGAAGGTTTTCGTTTTTTGTTTTTTTTTGAGACGCAGTTTTGCTCTGTCACCCAGGCTGGAGTGCAGTGGCGCAATCTCAGCTCACTGCAACCTCTGCCTCCCAGGTTCAAGCGATTCTCCTGCTTCAGCCTCCTGAGTAGCTGGGACTACAGGTGTGTGCCACCACACACCTGTATTTTTTTTTTTTTTTTAGTAGAGACGGGGTTTCAGCATGTTGGCCAGGCTGGTCTCAAACTCCTGACCTCAAGCAATCCACCTGCCTTGACCTCCCAAAGTGCTAGGATTACAAGTATGAGCCACTGTGCTCAACCAATACAGTGTTTTAATACAAGAATGGTAATCCTCAAAACTACTTTATATGAAGAAATTGAATTAAGCTTCTGCATCTGTGACAGATATTACTAATGATGGTGTGATCATTTAAAATAATTTCCAGATGAAAATTACTATGTTGAAGTTCTGAGTTTTCAGATTCTCAATTAACTTTTTGCTACAAGGAAATAGGTTTTAAGCTTTGACATAACTGTGCAAGATCCTGCTCTTACAAAGAGCTACTGTGCAAGTCATCTTTCTGTTAAACAGTGTACAACCAGGTGGTTGTCAAGAAAGAAAGGCTGCAAAGAAAATTCTTACAAAATTGTGTTTCATAAGAAACTCAGAGAGAGGATCCTGAACATTTCTCTACTCAAGGAATTTGGAGATCTGGTCTTAGAATTGCTTTTGCCTTCTTCCCAGAACTTTGAAATTCTTTCCTGACTTCCTTTTGCCTACTCTCTTCTCAAGATCTTGGGTTGTTTTCTGATCCTTGGGATTCCTTTGTCTTTTTAGTCAAAGCTCTTGCCTAGTAACTCTCTTTTTACCTGGAAGCAGTACCGTGTAGTGGCTAGGAGCTGGTCTTCCCAATGTAGGAGACCTGCTTCTGAATTCAGACTTTGCTGGTTACTGGTTTTATTATTATGGATGACAAATTATGTAATATCACTGAGCTTCCATTTCCTTTTATATCAGATGGAGATAATAACTGCCTTTACAGAGTTATTATGAGAAGCAATTGTGTGTGTGTGAAGCTCCTAGATTAAGTTGACATAAATTTAGGAAGATTCTTATTCCAGTGCATCTTGGTAAATTTCCAAATCACAGATGTGTAATGATTCTGTGGGCCAGATTTCCTATGTCCTGTTTTATGTTTCTTTCCTGTGGAAGTACGGGACTCAGAGACAGTCATGGAAATTCCTTGGCTTTTTAAATTCCCCTGTTCATGTGGGCTAGCATTGTATAATGTATCAGAAGTTGCAGGCCTAGTTATAATTAACAGTTCTGTGAAAGATTATGAACTCTTTTCATGTTAATATTTCATTAAAAATTTTTGGTTATGGATTGGACATATCAACAACCAAAAATGTACAATAATAATATTCAAAAGGAGCAAGAAATCCTTTTGAATTCTTACTTATTCAGCCTTCACAATGATGCTAATTTTTGTTTTTCAGGTATGATAATCATAGAGAGGCCCTACTTAAAGGTGGGTTTGATGGCGAATATCAAGATGACAGCTTAGATTTGCTACGCTATTTCACCGTTACCTGTTATTCTGGTTATGGAGATGATGAAAAGGTAAGATAAATGAACTCACCCTTGATTTCTCATCAAGTACTTCATTAAGACTCACATACAAAGAGAATTCTTAAAACTATTCTGTAATAGAAAGTGAAGCAGTGTTCATTTTGAAAACTGAAGATGCATTGCCTTCATGTTTAAGCTGTCAGTGTATAAAAACCTCTAGTTGAAATCTAAATGTATTGCAGGGACTGAACTTTGTCCCAAAATTCTTCAACATTAAAATTTTTCATTTTGTATTTTAAAATCTTTTTCTGTGATCAGGCTGCAAAAGTATTAAGAATTTGTTTTTGTTACTGTTTTTTAGGGATTTTACACGGTGTATCGTAATGTTTTTGAAATGATTGCCAAGGAAGAACTAGAATCTGTGTTAGAGGAAGAGGTTGATGATTTCCCAACTTTTGGAGACTCCCAGAGTGACTATGATACGGTAAAATAAAAATGCATTGTTCTATAATTAGTATTTATCACTGTGTCATTTTTAAATTTTATTTTACTTTTTGAGATGGTCTCACTCTGTCACCCAGGCTGCAGTGCAGTGGTATGATCATATCTCACAGCAGCCTCAAACTCCTGGGCTTAAGCAATCCTCCTACCTCAGCCTCCTGAGTAGCTGGGAACACAAGTGTGCGCCACGACATCTAGCTAATTTGTCAATTGTTTTGTAGAGATGGGGTCTTGCTAAGTTTCCCAGGCTGATCTTGAACTCCTGGCCTCCCTCCTTGGCCTCCCAAAAGATTGGGATTACAGGCATGAGCCACAGCTCCCAGCTTCTCATTTCCTTGTTTTAAAACAATTGGTTCTAGTTCTCGAACCTATCCCATGACCTCTCTTTGTCTCTCTTCCTTTCTGAAGTAGCTTTTCGATCTCTTGCAACCTTCCCCCTTTACTTTTCCCTTTTTATTTTTTATTTTATTTGTTTATTTTTTTTGAGATGGCATTTCACTTCTGTTGCTCAGGCTGGAGTGCATTGGCACCACCTCAGCTCACTGCAACCTCAGCCTCCCGGGTTCAAGCGATTCTCCTGCCTCAGCCTCCCAGGTAGCTGGGATTACAGGCTCCCACCACCATGCTCAGCTAATTTTTGTATTTTTAGTAGAGACAGGATTTCATCATGTTGGCCAGGCTGGTTTCAAACTCCTGACCTCAGGTGATCCACCCACCTCAGCCTTCCAAAGTGCTGGGATTACAGGCGTGAGCCACCATGCCTACTTTTCCCTTTTAATTTACTAATTGTTTACTGATTATTTACTAATCACCATGGTCCCATCTAGTGATTAGTAAGGCTATTTTTATTTTCTCATTAAGTTTATTTTGAAGAGTGATTTTTTCTGGAAAGCCTTAAAAGTACTGTCTTCTCCAGAGATTATTAGAAGTGTTATATACATGAAAAAAGAAAGGTAAAAGATGTTTCGCATCAGTAATATTTACTGCTTTTCTAAAAAAAAATCTTAAAGCGCAGAAGTTAATCTGTTTTCTTTGTCACTAGGTAGTCCATCCTTTCTACGCTTATTGGCAGAGTTTCTGCACTCAAAAGAATTTTGCATGGAAGGAAGAATATGATACACGACAGGCTTCAAACCGCTGGGAAAAACGAGCCATGGAAAAAGAAAACAAAAAGATTCGGGACAAAGCAAGGAAAGAGAAGAATGAGCTTGTCCGTCAGCTGGTAGCTTTCATTCGTAAAAGAGATAAAAGAGTGCAGGCGCATCGAAAACTTGTGGAAGAACAGAATGCAGAGAAGGCGAGGAAAGCCGAAGAGATGAGGCGGCAGCAGAAGCTAAAGCAGGCCAAGTGCGTAGCGTGCGTGGGGCCCTCTTCTCAGTATCGGTGGGGGTCAGAGGCAGCACCAGAGGTACCTTACATGTTCATGTTGGGTTCAGTCATCAGCCTGGCTTTATCCTGCTTTTTCTTCTTTTTTAAATTGTGGCATTGGATAGTGTTTTTTCATCTACTGTGTAAAAATTATTATTATTTTTGGGACAGTGTCATTCTGTCACCCAGGCTGGAGTGCAATGGTGCGATCTCGGCTCACTGCAACCTCCGCCTCCAGGTTCAAGTGATTCTCCTGTCTCAGCCTCCCAAGTAGCTGGGATTGCAGGTGTAATATGCCACCATGCCCAGCTAATTTTTGTATTTTTAGTAGTGACGAGGTTTCACCCTGTTGGCCAGTCTGGTCTCGTACTCTTGGCCTCAAGCGATCTGCCCGCCTCAGCCTCCCAAAGTGCTGGAATTACAGGTATGAGCCACAGTGCCTGGCCTAAAATTTTTATTTGAATTGGATATTTTCCTTCAGAGACCCTTTACATTTGAGAGATCCTTTAGACTTTTGTAAAACTTAATAATTTTAATTAATAACTAGCGTTAATTGAATTCTTCCTCTGTGCAAGGCCACGTTCTAAGTGCCTTCCTCACAGCAATGCTGTGAAGTACTTATCCTCCTTGTTCTTCTGAGGAAACAAGGCTGACAGGCCTGAGATCACAGAGCCAGTAAATGGTAGAGTCAGGAATTGAACCTGAGAATTCTGACTCCAGACTTTCCTGCTTTAGCCACCGTGCAGTACTGCCTTTTGGTCAGTGTACCCTGAGATACTCAGTTCATTTTAGTTCCTCTAAAGTTTTGTTATTAAAAAGTTACTGTAAATGCATTGTGTCCAGAGCATTATAGCATACTTTTAAAAATTATTCACTTCTTAAGAATTCTACTCATCCCACCCTCATCTTTTGAAAATTAACACTTTACCTACATGACTTAAAATCATCTGAAGACTTTTAATAAGTTGCTGAGTTTCATGTTTCAAAACCTGTTATCTACTACTGGAGCAATTAAAATTAACCATACAACAGGTAACAGGTTTAAGTGACTTTGCCTTGGTTTTAACTAAGCACAGGTTTTAAGTTTGTAAGCGTGGATAGGTTGGGAGCAAGCTCTCTAGTGGGAATGGATTTTAAACCTAAGTAGTAAGTGAAAACCATGCAGAGGCGTGCTTGTCGCTGTGAGACTGTGCTGTATGTGTCTAGACTGGTGGAGCAGTACAGAGAACAGAGCTGGATGACTATGGCCAATTTGGAGAAAGAGCTCCAGGAGATGGAGGCACGGTACGAGAAGGAGTTTGGAGATGGATCGGATGAAAATGAAATGGAAGAACATGAACTCAAAGATGAGGAGGATGGTAATATTATTTTTATTTTATTTATCTTTTTTGTTTTTTAAGTGAAGCTGGAAATCTCCTTGCTTATTTGACATCTCCCAATTTTTAAATGTGGCAAATAATTAAAAATAATGTTGTATGGGCCAAAGGTAGTCGGCTGAGCTAGTCTAATTCAAGTAATTTGATTAACAAATTCTTTTCTGACCATGTCCTAAACAGTGTGTACTTCTAGCTGCATAATATGACAAATGGACATGTTTACAAGTGTGACTATTTTTTTTTTTTTTTGAGACGGAGTCTCGCTCTGTCGCCCAGGCCGGACTGCGGACTGCAGTGGCGCAATCTCGGCTCACTGCAAGCTCCGCTTCCTGGGTTCACGCCATTCTCCTGCCTCAGCCTCCCGAGTAGCTGGGACTACAGGCGCCCGCCACCGCGCCCGGCTAATTTTTTGTATTTTTAGTAGAGACGGGGTTTCACCTTGTTAGCCAGGATGGTCTCGATCTCCTGACCTCGTGATCCACCCGCCTCGACCTCCCAAAGTGCTGGGATTACAGGCGTGAGCCACCGCGCCCGGCCAAGTGTGACTATTAAAGAAAATTCAACTAAGTGATAGGTCAAGTTTTAATAGTAACTATTTCTAGAAAAGCTGATATTGCATGAGAATCTATGTGTTGTGTATAAATTCTTCCTCTCCCTTGTGACTTTATAGAAGGGCTCCTCTTGGTGTGCCAAAATGTTGTTTTTTTTTTGCCGCTATCATTAGAGCACAGGTATTTGACTACCTTAAAAGGCAAGGATTAGGCATTTTTGAGAATAGCTGTATATCTGATTTTCCCCACTGTCTCTATAAAATTGACCCAGTTTTACCTTATCTACAAATGTGATTTTTCAGATTCGTAGCCCAAATAATAAAATGATAAACTTTTATTTATTCAAAATGACTAGGAAGTGAAGCGTTTTATTAATGAATCAGAAGTAATACTTTTGAAAGTACTTTGAAAATTATAAATCACTCTATAAATGTGAGGTGGCCTAATTTCCATCGAGTTTTACAATTTATAAAGTCCTTTCACGTACAAGCTCTCACTGGATCGTCACACAATCCCCCTTACATGGAGGTTTTGCTCATGGAATCGTCTCTGTTTTGCCGTTGTGGAAACTAGGACTCTGAGAAGCTATGAGATGTGCCTGAGAATGTATGACCATTTTTAGATCCAGAGTTTTTGCTTCAAATCCAGTATTGTTAACTATTCGATTAATTAAAATTTCACATACATGATATATTGAAAGTCTACAATACCATAATGGAAAATTAACACCATATATTAAACATTAACACTAGATAGGGTATATTTTGATCATTTATGATTTCAATGAGACAGTCCTTCAAAATCATACTGACATCACTTATAAATAACCAACATGTAGAATATGGAAGATACCTTGAGATATTTATTGGTCCTATAATAAATCCCAAATGACAGTTTACATGTTTGTTTCTTCAAAAATAGAATACGGATTTGTGAAAATAATTTCAATTGAGCTTTTTAGTCAGTTGGTTTTTGTGGACTATACTGATAGTAATTATTCAGTTGTAATAAAGCCAAAAGCTTATTAAAAAAAAGTTTATAATGTTAAACTTTACATGTAATATGTTAACTTATGGCCTATCCGTCTTACAGTGATGGAATGTTATAAACTTATAAACTAAGTTTATTAAGTATTTAAGAGTAAGTCACAGTTGTAAATGTGTTTGGACCAAATCTTGCTCAAGAGGTAAACTAAGAAAAGACCTTTTTTGAAAAACTGCTTCGTGGTAGAACTATGAAAGTGGGATTTAATTTTTTAAACTTAGCTGACATCCAAGACTTTAAAGATGTTTTATATCTTCTTCTAAGTAGACTTAGGAAAAGAACTTGAAAGTTAAGGTGCTTTATTTGGAGCCTTTCCTTATAGTACAGTGCTGCTTTTAAAAAGCCAACTCAAATCCTTAGGATTATTTTTTTTTAGGTAAAGAAATAAAAAAATTTAATTTCTAATTTGTTAGCATATTTTAGATTTGTGCTCTGATCAAAGAGGGTTCTTACTGTAGGCTTCCCTGTCATAGGTAAAGACAGTGATGAGGCCGAGGACGCTGAGCTCTATGATGACCTTTACTGCCCAGCATGTGACAAATCGTTCAAGACAGAAAAGGCGTAAGTTTATTAATTTAATTTAATTTAATTTTGAGACAGGGTCTCACTCTGTCACCAAGGCAGGAGTGCAGTGGCACAGTCATGACTCACCACAGCCTCGACCTGTTGAACTCAGATGATCCTCCCATGTCAGCCTCCCAAGTAGCTAGGGCTACAGGAACCTGCCATCATGGCCAGCTAAAAAACTGCAGTTACTTTTGCACCAACCTAAATATTTTCTTTGGAGATGGGGTTTTGCCATGTTGTCCAGGTTGGTCTTGAACTCCTGGATTCAAGTGTTCCACCTGCCTCAGCCTTTCAAAGTGCTAGGATTGCAAGCGTGAGCCACTGCATCCAGTTAAAAGGAGTAAGTTTAGTATCTCTGAACTTGTGTTTTCTTTTTTTTTTTTTTTTTTTTTTTGGAGACAGAGTCTCACTCTGTTGCCCCGGCTGGAGTGCAGTGGCACGATCTCAGCTCACTGCAACCTCCACCTCCTGGATTCAAGCGATTCTCCTGCCTCAAGCTCCCGAGTAGCTGGGACTACAGATGCAGGTCACCGCACCCAGCTAATTTTTGTATTTTTAGTAGAGACAGGGTCTCACCATGTTGGTCAGGCTGGTCTCAAACTCCTGGCCTCAGGCGATCCACCCACCTCGGCCTCCCAAAGTGTTGGGATTACAGGCGTGAGCCACAGCGCCTGGCCCTTGTGTTTTTTTTTGAGGTGAAGTGTAACATTTTGAAAGTTCTAAAAACAATGTGCTTGTAGCAGTTGATAACTAGCCCCACATACTGTCTCGGGGGATTCCTTTCCAGCAGGGTAGAAAGAGGTATTTGTACCTGCCATTAAACCTGTTGTACTGATTGTCACTCATCCCAGTATTCCTATAGCTGCTTTTAAAACACATGCACTGTCTCCAGAAGCATTGCTTGTTTTGGCAAAGAAGACATAGTCACATGGGCAAAAAGTCTAGACCGTGTCTAATCATCTCCCTCCATCATTGGTGTCAGACTCACTTCCCACCATCATTGTCCCATGCAGGCTGATGCTGCCAATATAGGGGCTTTAAACTTGTCTGGCCCAGAGTATCTTTGCTGAAGTGGAAGAACTTTATCTTAGGGGAACAATGATGAAGAAAGAAGTATTAAAACGGATACCATTATTATAAAGGAGGGAGGAAACAACACGGGAGAAAATGGGAGTAGAATCAGCAAGGGAAAAAAAGCAAAATGGGCAATCAGAGAGAAAGGAGGCCAAAGGATGAGAATGGCGCTGTGAGAGTCATAAATGGTATTACCATATGACCTCAGGGAGAAATGACAGAGTACTAGGGGAAGTGGAAAGAGGCAGAAAAATTAGAAACAAGCAAGAAAAAGGTCAACAATGAAGGAGATTAAAAATTTTTTTTTATTTGGAAATGACACACTTAAAGGTAAATTGCAAGAAGAGAATATAGTGTGTCTGATTGACCTGTTACTAACGTTTTGCACAATTTGCATGTCCTCTTTCTCTCTACACGCTCAACACACACACAGTATTTTTCTGAATAATTTGAAAGTAACTTACATATATAGTGTTCCTTTACCTCTAAATACTTCACTATATCTTAAGAATAAGGTTATTCTCGCTGGGCGCAGTGGCTCACGCCTGTAATCCCAGCACTTTGGGAGGTTGAGGTGGACAGATCACCTGAGGTTGGGAGTTTGAGACCAGCCTGACCAACATGGAGAAACCCCGTCTCTACTAAAACTACAAAATTAGCTGGGCGTGGTGACGCATACCTGTAATCCCAGCTACTCAGGAGGCTGAGGCAGGAGAATCGCTTGAACTCAGGAGGCGGAGGTTGTGGTGAGCCAAGATCGTGCCATTGCACTCCAGCCTGGGCAATAAGAGCAAAACTCCGTCTCAAAATAAAAAAAAAAAGTAAGGTTATTCTCTTATGTAACCATGCTACAGTGACCAAATAAAAGAAATTATTAACATTGATATGGTATTTTTATCTAATTTACTACCTGCATTCCAATTTTGCCAATCAATTATTTATTAATATAGAATTTTTCTCCAATACAGAATGCAGTCTAAGAACATAATCTGGAACAGCTTGTGTTGTCTTTTATGCTGTTTACATTTTAGAAGTACACTGTTTTCACTTTTTTCATAGAATTCTTCTCATTTTGTCTTTGTGCATTTCCTCATGATTAGATTCAGGTTATGCAGCCCCAGGAGGGACGCCGCACAAGCATGTTGTGCTCTCAGGGATTCATAGCTGGAGACACGTAAAGTCCTTCTACCCCTCATTTGTCGTGATAATTTTCATCACCCAATCAAGGTGTCATCTAATTTTACTACTATACTACTAATTTTACTATAGAGTTAGTATTTTTTCCCTTGCAACAGGTTTTCCCTTGTAACATGTTTAATCTGTGAGGAGACACTTTAAAACTATGCAGATATCTTGCTTCTCATAAAAGTTTTCCTCATAGCTTTAGCATCTGTTGATGGTTTTAGCTTGCGTCAGTCTTTTTTATGATGGTTGCAGAATGATGCTTTTCCAGTGCCAGTACCCCCTCAAGTTTTTATCAGTTAGCACTTGGCCTTCTGCTGTAAACAGGAGCCTTCCCTTTTATCCATTTATCTATTATCAGTTTGAATTTATTTCTTTTTTTCAGTGTTTTATAATTCATTACTGACCTTTTCATGCTCAAATTTTTCCAGAATTGGTTAGTGAGCATTCCTTCAAACCACCCTTGTGTCCTTTTGACATGTGCTTATAACTTTTTTGGAGGACTTACTTTCAGACACAGGATCTTCCATTATCTCCAGGGCAGCTTGGTCTCAAGGAGAATTTTAGTAGGAAAGAAAAACAGCAACTAAAACTATAATACCAAAAGCCTGAACAGATGAGATGAAGTAGATAGTTGACAAAGTTTCCTGCTTTTTAGTTGATATAACTCTTGTAGCTTATGTTGTCAACCCTGTTTTGTTGAATGCTTTTTAGTTGCCTGTAGGTGTGCTGAGACAGACATTGCCAGCAGGGTTTTGAACACAGGGATAGAGATGTGTCTGAATGTACGTTACGGTGGTGAGAGTGAGAAAGGAGACCTCTCCTGAGAAGGTGAAAAGCAGCTGTTGAAAAAGCAAGAGGCAGTAAACTGCTCTTGTATTTCAAGCCTTCCCACCACCATTTCTCTAGTCCAGGGGGCTCTTCCTTTTAACATTAAAATGTGTGTCTTCTAATTTCCCAGTGATCCCTCCAAGTCTGTGGGATGGCCTGGAATGTAAAAACACTTAGCAAATACTTAGTGATTAAAAGAAAACAATGGCGGAAGCTTTAAGAATTGAAAAATCAAAATAATAAGTAGAGAATTTGTCCAAACCTCCCCCTGCCGACATTCCCCCATCCCCAGAAAGGAAGAAAATGTATGTAGATAAAAGGACAGAGAAAGACAGGGAAAGCTGTGGTACGGAAAGAAAGAGTGTGGCCACGAGCTTCCAGTATGCTCACTGCCAAGGAATCCTGACACGTTCTGTTTCTCTGTATAAAATCATGAACAAATAAAAAAAAAGAAAAAAATAAATAGAATCAGAAACGTTTTGCTTAGTGGGAAAAAAGCTAATTTTATCTTGGTTGCAGTTATCCAGCAACATTATCTGGACACGTGAACTAATTTTAGCGCAGCTGCTCACGTCAGATTGCTCTTTCAGCATGAAGAATCACGAGAAGTCAAAGAAGCATCGGGAAATGGTGGCCTTGCTAAAACAACAGCTGGAGGAGGAAGAAGAAAATTTTTCAAGACCTCAAATTGATGAAAATCCATTAGATGACAATTCTGAGGAAGAAATGGAAGATGCACCAAAACAAAAGTACTTCTAAATATTAAATGTCACTAGAAATACTTATCACATTCAGAGATTGCATTAAAAGGTTTTTTTTGAGATGGAGAATCACTCTGTTGCCCAGGCTGGGGTGCAGTGGCGCAGTCTCAGCTCACTGCAACCTCCAACTTGTGGGTTCAAGTGATTCTCCTCCCTCAGCCTCCCAAGTAGCTGGGACTACAGGCACACACCACCACGCCCAGCTAATTTTTGTGTTTTTAGTTGAGACAGAGTTTCACCATGTTGGCTAGGCTGGTCTTGAACTCCTGATCTCAGGTAATTCACCTGCCTCAGCCTCCCAGAGTGCTGGGGTTACAGGTGTGAGCCACTGCGCCCGGCCTTAAAGGCTGTTTTATCCCAAGGAAGTTATTCTAACTAGAAAAGATTGTCTCCATATTTTCTAGTTAATGGAACTTTATAGTGTTGAAGTGGATACAGACGTCAACTATAATATTTATAGAACATATTATCACTATATTAAAAGCAGTTTTTATACCTGGCAGTTGATAAGCTAATTACTATCCATTGAACTACAGCCTTGTGTTATTCTCTAAAATGACAATGTGAATACTTTATTTTCCTTTTAATGCTTTAAGATATTAAATATTTTTAATCTTTTACTTCTGTTTTACTACTTTATCACTAGTGTTTCAACTTTTTTTTTTTTCCACTTACTCTTCACAGAGTCAAGTATTTGACATTTCGATTTATATTTGCTCTTAGGCTTTCTAAAAAACAGAAGAAAAAGAAACAGAAACCAGCACAGGTATGTTAGAAAGGTTTTGTTAACATTAAATGCCAACGATAAAGTTGCAGTGCTCTTATTTATTCAGTGTAGTCTGTGTTAAGGAGAGAAACTTATACTCCATAATTTTATGTTGATTGTAAGATTGATTAAAAAGGAATTAGAAATATTTTCCTTTTTTAGTGCTTCCCCCCCCTTGTATGTATGTAATAACAAACTTAATTATGACTGCCAGTGTGTTTAACAAGTATGCATGTAGAATTCCCCTGGTATGAATTAGCTGAATTTTCAGTATTTTAAAAATCTGAATACATCTCACAAAAGGCTTTTAAGTCAAGACAACAATTAAAATCTTGAAATAGGAAAATCTGGGATTGGTCATTTTTTTATCTCAGTTTATTCTGCCAACAACATAAACATTGCAAAAGGAACATTTGGTTAGAAACTTGTAATGATTGTGAGTCTTGAAAAAATGTTTCTATTTTTCTGAAGTTTAAGTAATTTAAATATTTCACAGCTGAAGTCCAAATTCATTCTCTGTCTTAAGGACTATTTTTAAATAAAATGGTATTATGTTGTTATACCTATAAAAATAAAGTGAATTTGTCCATTTTACCAAGGACATTTGGATTTATGGCATTTTAGTATAATCTAGTTATATTAACTTACATTAAGTATTAAATATTTTTAAGAAAACACATTAATGCTTTTTAATAAAACTTCAGATTTGGTTTATTTATCCAAATGGTTATAATAATATATTTAATAGTCTTTTTTAAAATCAGTTTCCTATTCAAAAAATGATATATGACACATGAGTTAATCACTTAAAATTGTAATTTGGAACTTTTTGCTTCAGTTATAAAACCGCATAGCAAATATGTGTTCTTTTTATAAATTGACATCTACCATCATCCATCCAAACACCTTATAATTATTAGTTTGGAACACTTTCTCTTTCCTTTGTGTATGTCAGTACCATTACAGTAAGGACAAAATAAATGGAGAGAGATTTATGTTTAACCTGAGCCTGTATTACCTTGATTAATGGAGCATAGATTCTATTGATTGCAACCATAAACACATACGTTAGTATTTTCTTACTGATGAAAATGCTTCAAATGAACACCCCATCGTTTCTCTCAAAAGCTATATTCCTTTATAGCATCTCTCGTTTATGATTCCTGATTGTAGCAAGTTCAGACCTAGCTTGATGTAACACTTTTCCTGATATTTTCTAAGCTCTTTTTGAAGGGAAGGGCAGTGTGGAGAAATGTACTGATAGATTTAAGAGCAGACGGCAGCAAATAATGAGTATCTTGAAACTTGAGATTGGGGAAGTTTTCTGTATGGCCAGAAAAATTCCATAACCAACAAGGAATTGTACAAGAAAACCCTCCCAGATTAAAACTGAATGTAAATAGAAAGAAATGACCCTGACTGACAGGAAAGAAAATTTAATTCAAGTAACTCAAACATAGTACTCTGACTGAATACCTTCCAAGGGATATAGTTGAAAGATAAAATTAACTGCCAAAAAAGTAAGTCCTGAATTTAGTATGTTTTTTGGTGGTATTGGTGTGGTATTTTTGAAAGTAAATGAGTATATTTTCACCAATTTCATAGAGGAGGCATTGATGTGCAGAAATGTTGAAGTATCACGTAGTTAAATTTTTCTGTTCTTTGTTAATCACATATTTAATGTTGTGTCTAAGAAAATGGTTCCAAGACCCATGTCATTTCTTTCCCCTATATTTTTTCTAAGAGGTTTGTTAGTTATTTTTATGTGTAAGTATTTTATTTAAAATATTTTTTGTATATGATTCAAGGAGAGGATCCAGCTTTATCAGTGTAGACATGCAGTTTTCACCATGTTTTTTTTTTTTTTTTTGAAGAGATTATCTTTTCTCTATCATGTGCTCATGGCAACTTTGTGGAAGATCATTTAATCATATATAGAAGAGTTCATTTCTGTGCCGTATTCTGTTCTGTTATCTGTTTTTCTGTCTTTGTGTCAGTACCACATTGTTTTTGTTATTGTAGCTTTTAATATGTTTTGAAATCAGGAAGTATAATGCCTCCTCTTTTTCGTGAGTGCTTGGCTAGTTATAGTTCATAATCAAATTTAAAAATTTTAAGCAATAGTTCTGTAAAAAAAAATCCTGTGCTATTGGGATTTTTATAGAAATTATATTGAATTTGTTCACAATGTAGGTTGTATTGACATCTTAATAAAATTAAATTATTTGATCCTTGACCCCTCCCCCAAAAAAAGGAATTAAATGAATAAATTGTAGCTGGGAACCATATTCTTTTTGTGGGAAGAGGGAAATACAAATATAAATTGAGGAAAAGAGAAGAAGAATACTGTAGAGTTGGATTGAAGTGGAGATGTTGGTATGAGCCCATGATTTAAAGAAAGTAAGTGTGTGAGCAGTGTGCATTGTGAGGACCTAGAAGCAGTGACACCCCTAGCAGTGAGTACACCTAATGCACACGTTTTGGTTTTTAAGTTCACTTTTCCATGAAAAGGAAACAGGCTTGCTCTTTGGAGAAATACCTGATTTCAGGGCTGAGACTAGGAAAGTGGAACGTGAGCCTAGAGCATCTTATACTAGAAACTAAGGAAGTGCTCAAAAACTGATGGGGATACGTTAGAAGTACTCAAGATCCAGCTTGCGGGGCCTGCCAGTTAGGGAAAACTTGAGTCATCAAAAGGAATAAGGGTAATAGATCTTCATACATTGCATTTGTTAAAAAGAAATTTATGTATCTATATTGACTTTTAAAATAGTGAGAGCTGGCCAGGTGCGGTGGCTCACGCCTGTAATCCCAGAACTTTGGGAGGCCAAGGCGGGTGGATCACAAAGTCAGGAGTTCAAGATCAGCTTGGCCAACATAGTGAAACCCCATCTCTACTAAAAATACAAAAATTAGCCGGGCGTGGTGCCATGCGCCTGTAATTCCAGCTACTCAGGAGCCTGAGGCAGGAGAATCGTTGGAACCTGGGAGGCTGAGGTTGCAGTGAGCTGAGATCACGCCACTGCACTCCAGCCTGGGCAACAGAGCAAGACTGTCTCAAAAAAAAAAAAGTTGGAGAAAGGAGATAGGAAAGCTTTATTATTACAGAAAAATATTAATTAGTACAAGTGCAAATGACACAAGTAATAGAGGGAGAAAATCACTCTTCTACATCCACCAGTATATAAATGTTTCAGGCAAGAATCATTAATAGATGCCAAGTATATTCGGTAAATGGTCATGGGGACAGGATATTCACACAGTCTCAGAGTCACACTCTGCAGATTACTTATTAATTTAAAAAGGGAAAACATACTTTACAGTTGAAAAATCTGGCAATACCACCCTAACCAAATGATCAAACTTAATAATATCACTGAAAAATGACAAACTCATTTTGCTTCCCGGGATTATAGTATTATGCTAGAAATGTTTAACCTGAATCTGATCATTTGGAAACAACCAAACAAAGCCAGATTATGGGACACTCTACAAAACATCAAATTGTCAACATCATGAAAGACAAAAAAAAAGTGGGGGAGCTGCTCTAGAATAAAGGAGATTAAAGGTACCTGACAACTAAATGCAACATGTGATCCTTGATTACACCCCCTATCCTGTATATCCCTATACAGGAAAAGGAGTAATTGGTAAATTTGAATGTGGGTTGTGTAACAGATAATATTAGCATTAGATTCTTGAGTGTGAGTATTGTGCCAGAGAATGTTTTGATTCTTAGGATGTACCTGGCAAAGATTCATATCTGCCTGCAGCTCACTTTCAGATGGCTTGGGGAAAAAAGTGTGTGTTGGGAGAGAGAAGAGATGGAGAGAGCGAGCACAAATGTGCCAAAATGTTGCTTGAAAACAGACAGGTACGCTTAGGATATGTTTGCCAGGCGTCTTTCTTTTATAATGCCTGTTTGTTGTTGCCATTGTTTGTGACTGTAGAAGAATAGTTGCTCATTGCTTATCATTTGGAATATGGAAAAGTATCATCCTTAATTTTACCTGTAGAGATTACTTAATAAAGAATTAAATTGTGATTACACTATGTATAATTTTCTTTCTTCTACTTTTGCTAATATGTTGTAAGTATTTTTTCACATAATTGAGTATCTTTGGAAACATGATACTTAAGCACTTCAGAATTTTTCTTCATATATTCAGCCATTCACTTTTTGAACATTTGGATTCTTTTCAGATTTCCCTTAATTTACTATCACTGTAATGAGCATCCATGTTCTTAACTTACCTGCTTCTCCTTTTTATTTCCCGAAGGTATATAACTATTTGGCAACATAACATAAAAAGCTAGTAGTAGTATTATATTTATTTTGTAACGGCACATATGTTTTATTACCTAGAATTATGATGACAATTTCAATGTAAATGGACCTGGAGAAGGAGTAAAGGTTGATCCAGAAGATACTAACTTAAATCAAGACAGTGCCAAAGAATTGGAAGATAGTCCCCAGGAAAATGTCAGTGTCACAGAGATCATTAAACCATGTGATGATCCAAAAAGTGAAGCTAAAAGGTAAGTCAAAGTTGCATATTATTTGTAAATTACTGAATATTGATAGTAAGGATGTAGCTTTTCATATATCAAATAAAATCTTCTTTCCCATGACTGACCAGGTAATTTAGATGTATCTGTACATATTTATGTATAGATACACACACACATATGTATACAGATGAAGAGCGTTGAGAAGAGGATGCTAGAGGAATGTGCCCACACACATCTCAGCAGCATGGCCAAAATCAGAAAGATGTCACTTTGATCCAGTTCTTGTTTACCTTATCCTGCTGTGGCGCTGATTTTGTCGTGGATCATTAACACTTGACACTCACATGAGAACAAGACTCCTGCTGCGTCCCTGGAGTGTCACTAAGCAAATCTCCATGCTCACGACAGCAGCCTGTGTTGGGCCCCACCATGTTGTGAGGACACATGGCAGCAGCTGGGGCCCTTCCTGCTCAGAGGAGCCCTGGACTCTTGGTGCTGCACAAGGCCATGGTGTGGACTAGGAGGAGGTCTCACCCAAGGGAGGTAGCCAGTCCTGTTCTCTCCTTCCTCCTCTTGTCTGACTTTCTTTTCCCCATCCTCCTCGGTTCCTCTAGAACAGAGAATCATTTCTTATTTCTTGAGGAAAGATCTGATAGTGAGGAGCTTCAAGTTTCTGTCATTACAGAACCCTGAAAAGAATTAAAGTGAGAGAGCAAAGTGGGAGCATGACGTGAAAATGCTAACACTGGAGCAACAGTGATGGGGTGGGGAGTGTGTGTACTTCGGAGTTTAAGGCACTTAGTAGTAGGAAGGAGGAAACAGATGTGGGTGAGACCTACAGTATGACTCTGGCTATAGAAAAAGGTATATAAAGAACTACACAAACTGGTAATGTTGAAGCTTTGAAGAACTTTGGAGAGTTGAAGCCTAGAAAGGGAAATTCACATGTATTTCACTCTGACACCAGGTGTTTGTTCCCTTTCTACAAATGGGGAAACTGAATTTCAGGTTAATTGTCCAAGGACAAAAGCTATTGAGTAGAAAGGCTGACACTTCATTCCATCTGCCTGACAACTTGAAGGCACCCAGATCATCTGACTCCATGGAGCCTGTGTGTCCTGTGGGATGGGCACAAAGAGTGGGCCAGGAGGTGGGGCTCTGGGCCCCTGAACCCCTTTTTCATCTAAAACTAAAATGTTTTCCATGTTACTTCTTTTTTTTTTTTTTTTGGAGATGGAGTCTCGCTCTGTTGCCCAGGCTGGAGTACAGTGGCGCAACCTCGGCTCACTGCAACCTCCGCCTCCTGGGTTCAAGCAATTCTCCTGCCTCAGCCTCTCGAGTTGCTGGGACTGCAGGCATGCACTGCCACGCCTGGCTATTTTTCTGTATTTTAGTAGAGACGGTTTCACCATGTTGCACAGGGTGGTCTTGAACTCCTGACCTCATGATCTGCCCGCCTTGGCCTACCAAAGTGCTGGGATTGCAGGTGTGAGCTACCGTGTCTGGCCTCCATGTTACTTCTACATGAGAATTGATCTGGGGAGGAAGAAGGGTTCTCAGGCTTGGGCAACCACTGATATAGTTCAGCTCTCTAATTTCACTGATGTGAGGAAAGGATTCAGAGAATTCAAGTGACTTCTTCACAGCTGCAGAATGGCAGAGCTAAGATAGATACATTATACCCAGCACCCTCCCCACACCACTCTGCTGTCCCCTGGATCCAGGGCCTTTATGCTGGCAGCTCCTCTGTTGCTTCTCTGGAGTGGTGTGGACACTGGCCACCTACTGAGAAGTGTTTTTTTAAAAAATGTGTGTGTGTGTGTGTGTGTGTGTGTATAGTATTTTTAAAAAATAAAGGTCTTAGATATCAGCTTCAGAGATGTAACTGTCTTTCATAATATAAGTGATGTTTGCCAGGAATATTATCCTAAATTTGTTAGACATATTTCTGACATATCTGTGATGATAGTTTGAAAATTAGTATGTATTATTTGTTGCCTTTTATGCCATTGTGTCCTTTTCTTGATGTTTTCAAAGCTGGCTGAATCCTACACAATATGTTACACTCCTAATCTGCATTTTTTAAATGCATAGGCCGTTTAACTTAGCACAGACTATTGGCCTCTGCTTGAAGAATAGTATACCTATAAACTGGAAGCATTATCATCACTTACTCATTATAACCCATCCTGTCTGTTCTGTACAGTATAGTTGGACCCAGATTTTTACCCTATGAATTTGGTTAGCACAAATGGGGGAAAGTATGAAATGCCAAGGAAAATTGAAATTCATGTAGGAGATGAGTAGAGGAATGTTCAGGAGTTCAAGCAGAACAAGAGGAACCCAACTATACCGTTTCTGATCTAAATGGTATGGTGGGGAAAAACCATCAGATCAACAGAAAGGACATAATTTTTAAATAAAAGTAACTTCCTTATATTGAGCAAATTTAATTTTATGAAAAATGCATTACAAAGTCTTTGTTTCACTCATTTCTCTGTGCGACTATTGAAGTGTTTGTTAAACTGGATCACGTCCAAGAAGTTAATGTTAGGCCAGGCAGGGTGGCTCACGCTTATATTCCCAGCACTTTGGAAAGCCAAGGCGGGTGGATCACGAGGTCAGGAGTTCGAGACCATCCTGGCCAATATGGTAAAACCCTGTCTCTACTAAAAAATACAAAAATTAGCTGAGTATGGTGGCACGTGCCTGTAATCCCAGCTATTCGGGAGGCTGAAGCAGGAAAATCGCTTGAACCCGGGAGGCAGAGGTTGCAGTGAGCCAAGATCGCGCCACTGCACTCGAGCCTGGGTGACAGAGTGAGACTCCATCTCAAAAAAAAAGTTAATGTTTTTGGGGAACCACACTTCATGTCAGATCATTTATGATTACCGTTGGTTAGTTTTGAAGATGGTTTGCTCCTTTAAATGGAGTATTAAGTGCTTTGTGCTTTTTTTTTTCCCCCTGAAACAGTCTTACTCTGTCACCCCAGCTAGAATGCAGTGGTGCAATCTTGGCTCACTGCAGTCTCCACCTCCTGGGTTCAAGTGATTCCCCTGCTCCTCCTCCTAAGTAACTGGGATTACAGGTGCCTGCCACCACGCTCAGCTAATTTTTTATATTTTTAATAGAGGCGGAGGTTTCACCATGTTGGCCAAGCTGGTCTCGAGCTCCTGACCTCAAGTGATCTCCCCGCCTTGGCCTCCCAAAGTGCTGGGATTACAGGTGTGAGCCACCGTGCCTGGCAGTGTTTTTATGAAAACACTGTATAAAACATTCTGTATAAAACACTGTATTAAACACTGTATAAAACATTTATCTCTGTATAAAACATTCAGAGATATTTTAAGGACCTTGTTTTAACTTTGTTTCAACTGTTTTAAGGAAATTCCTTAATTTTTGTGCCAAATTTGATATTCAATTTGATTTCTGAAGTTGCTTTTTAAAGATGTTCATTTAAGATGTAAAGATTATTTAAATTGCCTTTAAAATTAATGAATTAACTTTTAAAGTGCAGTTCACTTTTTTGAGTGTTCTAGAGAGCACTCAAATAATGATGGTTAAAAGGAGTATGTTATTTTTGGATTATGCTGAATTATTTATTTTCCAGTGTTCCTAAACCCAAAGGAAAGAAAACCAAAGATATGAAAAAACCTGTCAGAGTACCTGCTGAACCACAAACAATGGTAGGTCAAAATCATATTCATATCTCTTTAGCATATCTTGCTGTTTAAGCAGTATAATGATCTAAAGATGGAAATGTGTATTTGGTGAGCCATTCCGCAAAGAGCCTGCAAAGATGTGGATCCATCAACAGTTTTGTTTGATATAATGTATCTTTTTTTTTCATTAAAATAAAAAGAAGCACATTGGAAATGCTAGACTGTACCAGAACAGTTACTGTTGTTTTCTATTACTTTTCAATCTAAAGCCTTGGTGATAAGAATTACATGTGTCAAGTTCTGGAGATTAATTGTGAAGCATAAACTCTTCCTCTTTTTTAGTCCATGAGGTACATGCTATTGAAAGTCTCAGGACCCTTAAAGTTAATCGTGTTGATTAGTGGGATTTAACCTCCAAGAACATCTGCCTTTGTTGAACGTGTTTATTACCTGTCCACTCTGTTAAAACATCTTTATTTTACAATTGTTTGATGCTTAATCTTGATATTAAAACCTAAAACACTACTTTCAAGTGATAACGCTTACTTTTATTTATGATTTTTTGCCCTTCTCAGAGTGTTCTTATCAGCTGTACAACCTGCCATAGTGAATTTCCATCTCGGAATAAACTTTTTGACCATCTAAAGGCCACAGGTCATGCAAGAGCACCTTCATCATCGTCTTTAAACAGCGCAACAAGTAGTCAAAGCAAGAAAGAGAAACGTAAAAACAGATAGAGATTCTGCCTGTGCTTTTGTTTGACTGTCTCTAGATTTTGAAACCAAAAAACTGAACTGAAATCATCTAAAGAGTTAAAATTTCAGTGATCTGCAATTAATTACATTGTGGAAGATTATTTTTTATCTTGTAAAAACACTTTTTTGGTTTAATATATATTTTTAAAACATTTCACTAGTGATTGAATTCTACTTTTGCCATCTGAATTGACTTGAATGTCTTAAAACAGGTAAATACTGTAAAGTGTGTATTCTTGATGTTTATTGGCTCATGTGGACAGAAATGTACAGGGAGAATTACATTATTTTAACACACAGAAGTGCAACTTTCTGCTTTATTTTCTGAATTTCACATTACTTTTACTTAATGCTTTTGTGTTTTGTTAATACTTCATAATATGTGAAAAACTCGGATCTTTTAAAAAGCATCATAGATCATTTTTCCATATGACACTGGTTCCGATTTTAAAAATTATTTTTAAATAACCGATTATTGATTACTGTATTTTTTTTCTCAAGAACAGTGATAGGTAGAAACTAATTGAACATTTGGTAGTCTTTCAAGAATAGTGTCTCTTCAAGGTTTTACTTGATTTAATTTGATATTTTACTGGTTTACCAGTAAGGTGTATTGTTCAGTTTTTTGCTCCGATTTGAATTGTGGAGGTGGAAGCAAATTAGTTTACATGGCATGTCCTCCCTAGGCACAGTGACAGCTGTAAAGTATGACGGAACAAGGTAGCAGATGGTACAGAATTTATACTATTTAAGAAGAGATGTGGTGTTCTTCATTGAGTTTTTTTCTTCACTATTTTCAGAAGTTTTTGTTCTTTTTTTTTTTTCCATCACTCAGTGGAGAAAAGCTTTGTTAATGAAAGATTTTGTGATAGAGCTGATGCTTATACATCTATTCTATAACAGTGATGAATATTAACACAAAGGAAATATGGAGAACTGTTATAACTGAGTGTTAGAACAGTCGTGTACATTGATCAGTATTGAGTCCATTTTTAGGATGGATTAGTCAGTTCTTTTCATTGGTCTTGAAAGTAATTTTGGCTGGTCGCGGTGGCTCACGCCTGTAATCCCAGCACTTTGGGAGGCCGAGGCGGGCGGATCACGAGGTCAGGAGATCGAGACCATCCCGGCTAAAACGGTGAAACCCCGTCTCTACTAAAAATACAAAAAATTAGCCGGGCGTAGTGGCGGGCGCCTGTAGTCCCAGCTACTTGGGAGGCTGAGGCAGGAGAATGGCGTGAACCCGGGAGGCGGAGCTTGCAGTGAGCCGAGATCCCGCCACTGCACTCCAGCCTGGGCGACAGAGCGAGACTCCGTCTCAAAAAAAAAAAAAAAAAAAAAAAGAAAGTAATTTTAAACTCACTGGCTTGAAATGTGTGCTTTCTGTACAATGAAGTTATTGCTTTCCATATATCCTTGAATCTTCAGATTAACGAAATGAACAAATTTTCGGTTACAGATCAGCTCTCAAACACTAAAGTCCTTAATGGCAAGGTCTTTTCTGATAGCTTCATGGATAGTATTGATGATCAGATTTCTTCTGTGTTATTGTCTTAAAAATAAGCATTTGAACCTTAATTTAAATTCTTTTCTTTTCCATTTAGAGATATGTTTTTTTCTTTACCTTCATACCTTTCTATTTCTTGCTAATTTCTATCACTAATTCCTTATAATTGTCCCTGCTCCCCTTCTTGATCTCTTCAGGGGGAATACTAGGCAGTTTTGTATCTTCTGATCTCGTACCCTGAGACTTCATCTGAATGTGCTCTGCCGCCTTCTTATCTGAACTAGATGAATTGGCCATAATTATGAATAGGAATATTAATGAACCAGAGGACATACTAGTCACATGTTATTATACACTAAAAAATAGGAAGTCATCTTGAAAGGCAGTTAATGTACTGCAAATGTCCCTATGACTTCTTTGCTTTCTCTTATACCAAACATGCAGGTATTTAATTTGTTTAATGAGGGTTGAGTGGAGTTATGTGTCGCTTTTATTCGGATTGACGAAAATCAACCATAATTTTCAAGGGATCTTCATGGGTTGTGACTGGAAGCTGACCTTAGTCTTGCGTCTCATCCTTTATGATGTTGAGAAATCATCTAATTTCTCAGAACTTTTTCTTATCTCTAACACAGTTATTACCATAATAATATTGTCTCCATTTATCATACAGGATCATTATGAAAGTAAAATGAAGTAGTATATATGAAAATGCTTTTTAAACACAAAAGCTTTATACAAAATATTGTTGAATTTAAATAAGGTAAATCTTTTTTAGTTTATATATTTGCAGACTATACATGTTGGATTAAATGGGCAATTAAGTTTTATAGGAATTTGCTTCCTAAGTCTACTTTTGAAGAGGAAAACAGGAACGTACCATATATTTTGCTAAGGGTAAAATATTTTTGGTGAATTGCAGACATTTAATTTCACTTGTCTGAGGTAAAACAATAAACTAAAATACATGGGCATGCATCTTACACTGATCTTATTAGAGGTCAGTGCTAAGTACCCATCTTGATTGAAGTTAGCTCAGATGTGGAGATTCATAGAATGAGGGTCCAGGAGAAGAAAGTTAGGGGAAATCTCATTTTCTTTCTGTAATTCATTCAGTGGTGCCAAAGCTGGGGGTTCCCTACAATGGCTATTTAGACTTTCCCTGCTTCAAAATAAGAGCAGTATCCTTAGCTCTAGCCAAGCATTTTTCTAATTCCTGCCTTTGGTCACAAAGAAGGAAAAGCAGAGCTGTGAATGAGTTAGTGGAGGTCAAGTCACATCAGAGTTCATGACCTAGTGATTGCTGGTGAAGTAATATTGGAATTTTGGTACCATGAGAAGACTTATAAAGGATTTCATCAGAAGTTTTCATTTTTTCTAAATCCTCCCCTACAAAATTTTCAGATTGGAAATTACTCTTGTATTTGTAGAAGATTGTCTCTAAAATTGTGGTTTAACTCACGCAGGAAGTAAAATTCCTATAGCAAGACATAGTTTCATTTTAGAGGACCCCCAAAATCCCGTGAATTCTCTGGTGATGATTCTAGCCTAACCTTCAACATAAAATAATGAAGAGAACTTTTAAACTTTTTTATGAATTCCTAAACATTACCATTTATGTGGCAGAAGTTCTGTTCCCTATAATCTGCAATGCTGAAGTATCTCTATTCAATTCCCTTCCTTATCTGTTAAATTTAATGTCTTTATACTAAAAATATAGGCTCTTGGGATTGGAGAGGAAAAATTAGAGGTGATTTTCAGATTTCTTGTTCTATGGAAGAGGAAGCTGAGCTCAGGGAGATATGAGCTCCACAGCCACAGCTGGTTAGGGGCGGCTGCCAGTAGAACAGGGCAGATGCCTGGACTCCCAACTCAGTAGGCCTTCTGTTACACCTCAAAATGTGTTACATGGGAAGAAAAAGATTAAGAAAAAGCAAGATAATTTTGAAGAAGGACGAGAGGAAGAGGCATGAACTTGTCCTAACAATGTCAAAGAATATTTTAAAGGTATACCAGTTAAAGTAGTGTGTGGCTGGTGCCAGTAGAGGTCAGTCAAGGGATCCCTGACGAGAATAAAGAGCCCAGAAACAGGTCCATGTTTATATGGGAACTTGATTTTTGACAGATACGGCAAGCTCTATGGGGAAAACAATATGTACTACCTTATACCCTTCCCCAAAAACAAAGGGATTAAAGACCTAAATATGAAGACAAAACTTTTAAATGAGAATCTATAAGGTTATTTTCATGATTTTGCAAATGGGAAGGATTTCTTTAAAGCAAGACACAAAAGCATACACAGGAAAAAATGATGCATAAAAACATGGCTTCTGTAGAACAATAGAGACTGTAAAAGAACAAGCTACAGACAAGGAAATGTTTGCAATGCATGGAACTGTCAAAGGATTCGTATCTGGAATACATTAAAGAAGCAAAAGAACCTCATACAAAAGTCATTGAGTAAATGACAGCCATGCATTAGAACAGCAATTCTCAAAACTTTTGGTCTCAAGATCCCTTTACACTCTTCAAAAGTGAGAACCCCAAAGAGTTTTCATGTATGTGGGTTAAATCTATTGATATTTTCTGTTAGAATTTAAAAATTATGTTAAAAAAATAAGAAGAATGACTATTTTTCAAAACAAAAAATGAGAAGAGTGGTATTGTTTTACATTTTTACAAATCTCTTTAACATTTAGCTTAATAAAAGATAGCTGGCCTCTCATACCTGCTTCTGCAGTCTATTGCTGTGTGTTTTGGATGAAGTATGTGAAGGAGAAAATCAGCCTCACATGGATAGGTAATCGTTAAAAAAAAGGGACCTTGCAGACCCACTGAATGGGTCTCGGGACCGCTAGGGTCCTTGGACCACACTTAAAATTGCTGCATTAGAAAAATGGATGAATTATATGAACAGAAAAAGCCTGAATAGTCAAAAAAAATGTGGAAAGATTATTACTGTCCTGATAATCAGTGAAATGTGACCTAGTTTTTTCATGCTTTCAGATTAGCAAAAGGTAAAAAGTCACAAGATCTAGTGTTGGTGAGAATGGAGCAATAGGAACACATTCACTACTTTTGGAGTAAAAACGGGTTCAATTTGATGATGTCTAAGAAAGTGAGGTTTGCATACTCTGTGACCCAACAATTCTAGGTATACACTTAAGAGTCTCACTTCCCAAAGTGTGGGCCACAGAGCAGCAGCATGGGCTTCACCTGGGAAGCTTGCAACTCTCAGGTCCTGACCTGGACTTGCTGCACCAGACTCTGTGGTTAAGATTTCTTAGGTGACTCATGCTCATGAAACCTTGAGAAGCAATCTTCTAGAGAAACCATGCACATGTGTACAAGGAGATGTACAAGAAGCCTCACAGCTGAACTGTTTGTTTCCAGGAAAAGTTACCTAAATGCTCATGAGCAAGAAAATAGATAAGTAAATTGTGGCCTATTTATAGATGGTAAACAATTGAGCAATTAAAATGAATGAACTTGATCTGTAATGTGGATGGCCCTTGAAGAAATAGTGAATGAAAATAAGCTGTCGCAGAAGATGAAATGCATGCCATTTATACAGTTTTTTAAAAAAACTATGTTGATTGTTATTTATAGAGAGAAAGTATAGAAACATAATGAGAAAGCAGTTGCCTTGAACTCAGAGGAGAGTAGAACTGCTTGTGGTTGCAAAAGGGGTCTCTTCTGTTTCAATTTTTTTTTTTTTTTTTAAAGATCTGAAGGAAGATGTAAGCATTTGTTAAATTCTGGATGGTGGGTCCATGGGGATTTGTTACTCTGGTTCTAACAAAATACTTCAAGTATCAAGAAAAGTACAGATGAATGTCTCACTTTGCTAGCAGAATATACACTTGAATGAAGGGGAAGATGAAGGGATTTAAGTTCTACTTTTTATTCTTGGCATACTCATTAAGCACACTGGCAGAGGCTATGGTCTCTCAATATTCATCCTCCCTTTTAGAACTCTGATTTTCAGATAAGTGCAAGGCCACCCAGAATATAAGGATTACTTTCCCAGCCTCACTTGGATTCAATCAGATCTGGCTAGTGATCTGAGCAACGTTTGGGACATGTCCTTAAAGATAGGAGCATGTCTTTATTCCTTCGCCAGCCAAAATGCAGAGGTAATGTTTGGAGCTCTGGCCCCTATCTGGGATCGTGAAACCACAGAGGGCACAGCAACAAAAAACATAGGAGCTTCTACTCTTGACACCTCAGAGGGACACTAGGAGCCCCAGATTGTCTACGTCTGCACTGGAGAGAAGAAAATTTCTACGTTTCTGAAGCCACTGCTGTTTTGACCTGTCACAGATAACAAAATCCTGACTGATTCATGTTTCCACATGTGTACAGTTAGCTAAGTGAGAGGTCTAGTTTAAACAGGGGCGAGGGCATGTGGGCATTTAACTCTCAGATCTTGCATTGAATTCCAGTCTTGTGTTAGCATACGATTTTAAGCAAGTCATTTAAACACATTGAGCAATGTTTTTTTAAATCTGTAAAATAGAGGTGAGACCAATCTGGCAGAATTGTGAAGATTAGAGTCTTAAATGTGTGCACAGTGCTTGGCACGTAGTAGGCATTCAATAACTTAGCTTTTGTTTACTTCAAAAGTTTCACAGTATTCTTGCTTCATTTAACTGTTCACTTTGTTTTCTGAAAGAATCCCAACAATGGAGTAATCTGGAGAGGTATCAGTGATTAAATTGATCCTGTACTGTATTTTTTTTTTTTGAGACAGTCTCACTCTTGCCCAGGTTAGAATGCAGTGGCGTAATCTCCACTCACTGCAACCTCCACCTCCCATTTTCAAGTGATACTCCTGCCTCAATCTCCCAAGTAGCTGAGAGTACAGGCATGCCACCGTGCTACTTGGGAAATTTTTAAGTAGAGATGGTTCCACCATGTTGGCCAGGCTGGTCTCGAACTCCTGGCCTCAAGTGATCCACCCGCCTCGGCCTCCCAAAGTGCTGGGATTACAGGCCTGAGCCACCATGCCTGGCCCTGTACTGTATTTTTTAAGATACTGTTACATATATGAAATTCTTCTGGCTCAAATGGAAGAAAATTTTTAAAGGCTAAAGCTAGAAGCTGTCTTGAAGATCAGTGATCCTTAATTACCTTAGAAGGCTCAGTACATTTTTACTTTGCTGTTAAAACTAGTTAGAGGGCCCCACATCAGTGATGTCCTTTTAGATACCATGTGCCTTCTGAAAATAGAAAAGGGTCAAATTAAATTATTCTTTGCACTGCAAATCATTTGAATGTTACTTAGGGAAAATTTCTTTTCTAACAATTTCTGAAAATGAAAAGGCCGTAGAAACTCGGCATTTAGAAAAAGTGGTATATAGTTTATAGCTCTCTTCAGATACTTATTTTCAAATTAAATAAGAACTCATACTTTTGTGAGTCCAAAGGTTACAGTTATCTCAGCATATTGTGAAGCAGAATTCCCAACCGTTCCATCCAACAATGGAATCGGTATCAGGATGTGGTTAGCTCCCTGTACCAGCGAGTGTACAGTCAGAGACTGGCCAGTCCCCTTGTTACAAACACTGTAGAAGAATGTGACAGCAGCTGCTGTGGCCAGTAGATTGTCTACCTGTAGTTGCAGAGAAGCCCAAGAGTTTGATGATGAGGCAGCAGATTTGAAATCTTTCTACTTTTTTTTTTTTTTTTTTTTGAGACAAGGTCTCACTCTGTCACCCAGGCTGGAGTGCAGTGGTGCGATCTTGGCTCACTGCATCCTCTGCCCGGGTTCAAGCGATTCTCAAGCCTCAACTTCCTGAGTAGCTGGGATTACAGGTGCATGCCACTGTGCCTGACTAGTTTTTTTTTGTATTTTTTGGTAGAGACAGAGCTTCACTATGTTGGCCAGGCTGGTCTCCAACTCCTGATGTCAAGTGATCCACCCGCCTCAGCCTTCCAAAGTGCTAGGATTACCGGTGTGAACCACCATGACTGGCCTCTTTCTACTTTTTTGACATAGGCTTTTACTGCTATAAAACCTCTCTCTTAGCACTGCTTTTGATGTATCCTATAGGTTTTGGTATTTTGCATTTCCATTTTCATTTGTTTCAGTTTTTTAAAAGTTTATTTAAGAGCATGTTGCTTAATTTCCATGTGTTTGTATAGTTTCCCAAGTTACTCTTGTTACTAATTTCTAGTTTTATTCTGTTGTGGTCTGAGAAGACATTTGATATTATTTCAATTTTTAAATTTTTTTTTTTTTTTTTTTTACTTTTTTTGTGGCCTAACATATTAGGAAACCTTAAATTTGTGAAAAAATGGAATTAAAAGATTTTTAAAAATGTAAACTATATTTCTCAAAAGAAGCTCCTTTCTGGCCAGGCGTGGTGGCTCACGCCTGTAATCCCAACACTTTGGGAGGCCGATGCAGGCGGGTCACTGAGGCCAGGAGTACGAGACCAGCCTGGCCAACATGGCGAAACCCCATCTCTACTAAAAACACGAAAATTAGCCGGTTGTGGTTCTGTGCACCTGTGGTCCCAGCTACTTGGGAGGCTGAGGCAGGAGAACCACTTGAACCCGGGAGACAGCGGTTGCAGTGAGCTGAGATCAGTCCACTGCACTCCAGCCTGGGTGACAGAGTGAGCCAAAAAAAAAAAAGTCTCCATCCTGTTCAAGACACTTTTGTAAGTGACAATACCAGCCATTTAGTTCAACCCTAAAGAACTGAGGAACCTGGGAATTTAACCATGTCAATGCAGTCTTTTTTCAATATTAGCTGAAGAAAAATAGATGTCTTTTAGATTTTTTTTTTAAGATTAGCAAACAAAAAAAAAGAAGGAGCCAAATCAGTACTGTGAGGTGTATGCCTAATAATTTTCCATAGAAACTCACAAAATTCCTCTTACTAGTTGGAGAAATCATCAGAAGCATTGCGGTGGAGAAGGACTCTCTGGTGATGCTATCCTGGGCATTTTTTGACTGAAGCTTTGGCTAACTTTCTCAAAACACCTTCATAATAAACAGGTGTTATTATTCTTTGGCCTTCCAGAAAGTCAACAAGCAAAATTCCTTTACCATCCAAAAAAAACTGTTGCCATGACCTTTGCTCTTGACCAGTTCACTCTCGCTTTGACTGGACCACTTTCACCTCTTGGTAGCCCACTGCTTTGATTGTGCTTTATCTTCAGGATGGTACTGGTAAAGCCATGTTCCATCTTTTGTTATAATTTTTTGAAGCTAGGCTTTAGAATCTTGATGCCACTTAAAAAAATTCTGTTGAAAGCTTTGCTTTTGTTTGTGCCTGATTACAGTGCAATGGTTTTGGTGCCCATCTGGTGAAAGTTTGCTCAACTGTAATTTTTCAGTCAGAGTTGGTTGAAGTCTGAAACAATTGAGATGTCTGTGGTGTTGGCTATCGTTTCTTCTGTTAATTGTTGGTCCTCTTCAGATAGGGCACAGACAAGATGAATTTTTTTCCTTGCACATTAATGTGAATGGTCTGTTGCTGCAGGCTTCATCTTCAAACTACCTTGTCCTTTCTTAAAATGAATTATCCATTTATAAACTGCTAATTTTGTTGGGGCATTGTCCCCATAAACTTTTTGTAAAACATGAATGATTTTATCATCTTCCACCCAAGCTTTACCGTAAATTTGATGCTTGTTCTTCCTTCAATTTTAGCAGAATTTATATAGCTCTGATAGGCTCTCTTTTCAAACTGATGTCTTATCCTTCTTAGTGCCTCAAACTAGATCCTGTTCTGCTATGTTACAGTAAGTTAGTACAAGTTTTAGTGCAAAAAATTTTGACATCCATGTATAGTTTCCTCACGATATACATTTTTTCATGAATTTTGATTACCCCTTGTGTGGTCTCTTCTGGAAAATGTTCTATTTGTTGATGAGAAAAATGTATATTCTGCAGTTGTTGGGTGAAATGTTCTGTAAATGTTTGTTAGGTTGTTAGATTCATTTGGTCTATAGTAAAGGTTTGTGTGTGTGCTTTTTTTGTTTGTTTGTTTTTTGTTTTGTTTTCTTTTTTGAGACAGGGTCTTACTCTATCACCCAGGCTGAATTGCAGTGGTGCATTCATAGCTCATTGCAGCCTCAACCTCTCAGGCCCAAGTGATCCTCCCACCTCAGCCTCCTGAGTAGCTGGGAACACAGGCATGCACCACCATGCTTGGCTAATTTTACTTTTTGTAGATAAAGGGCCTCCCTGTGTTGCCCAGGTTGGTCTTCAATTCCTGGGCTCAAGTAATTTGCCCTCCTTGGCCTCCCAAAGTGTTGTGATTACAGGTGTGAGCCACCATGCCCAGCCTCTAGTGAAGATTAAGTCCATTTTTGTTGCTAATTTTCTGTCTTGATGATCTTTCAAGTGCTGAAAGTGAGGTGTTGGCTTCTCCAACTATTATTATATTAGAGTCTATATTTTTAGCACTAATAATATTTGTTATATATATTTGGGTGCTTTGGTGTTGGTGCATATATATTTACAATATTATATCCCCTTGCTGAATTGACCCCTTTATCATTATATAATGATATGTGATCATTGATGATCATTGTATATATTATTATATGACATATATAATAATATAACCTTCTTTCTTTTTTTGTTTTTATTTTTTTACTTAAATTCTATATATATTTCTTTTCTTTGTTGAAACAGGGTCTCAGTCTGTTGCCTAGGCTAGAGTGGAGTGGCATGATCATGGCTCACTGCAGCCTTGATTTCCTGGGCCCAAGCAATCTTCCCACCTCAGCCTACTCAGTAGGTGGGACCACAGGCATGTGACACCATGCCTAGCTAGTTTTCTTATTTTTTGTGGAGATGGGATTTCCCTATGTTGCCCAGGCTGGTCTCCAACTCCTGAACTCAAGCAGTCCTCCTGCCTTGGCCTCCTAAATTATTGGGATTATAAGCATGAGCCACTGCATCCAGCCTTATATTTTCTAATAAAAGTATAGCTCCTCCTGCGTGTTTTTGGTTTCCATTTGTGTGGAATATTTGTTCCATCCCTTCAGTCTATGTGTGTCCTTACAAGTGAAATGAGTTTCTTGTAGGCAGCTTATAGTTAGATCTTGTTTGGTTTGGTTTGGTTTGATTTGATTTTTTTTTTTTGAGACTGAGTCTTGCTCTCTCGCCCAGGCTGGAGTGCAGTAGCGCAATCTAGGTTCACTGCAACCTCTGTCTCCAAGGTTAAAGTGATTCTCATGCCTCAGCCTCCTGAGTAGCTGGGATTACAGATCTGCACCCCCACATATGGATAATTTTGGTATTTTTAGTACAGACAGTGTTTCACTATGTTGGCCAGGCTGGTTTCGAACTCCTGACCTCAAATGATCCATCCGCCTCAGCCTCCAAAAATGCTGGGATTACAGGTGTGAGCCACTGCATCTTGCTGGGAATTGTTTTATTAATTCATTCAGCCAGTCTGTATCTTTTAATTGGGGAATTTAAGCCATTTACATTCAAGGTTGCTATCGACAGGTGAGGACTTACTCCTGACATTTTGTTGATTGTTTTCTGATTGGTGTATTCTTTGTTCTCTTCTTCCTCTTTTATTGTTTACCTTTACAGTTGGTGGATTTCTGTAGTGAATATGTTTGAGTCCTCTTTCTTCCTCATTTTCTTTCTCATCTGTTCTCTCAGTGAGCTTTATACTTTCATGTGTTTTCGCGATAGAAAATGTCCTTTTGCTTCCAAATGTAGGACTTCCTTAAGCATTTCTTTTAAGATCTGTAGTGGTGATAAATTCCCTCAGTTTTTGCTTGTCTGGGAAAGACTATTTCTCCTTCATTTTTGAAGAATAGCTTTTCTAGGGATAGTATTCTTGGTTGGCAGGGTTTTTTTTCTCTTTCATTTGAATATAGTGTCCCATTGTCTCCTAACCTATAAGGTTTCAGCTGAGAAATACACTGTTAGTCTGATGGAAATTCCCTTATATCTGACTTATGTGACTTGATGCTTTTCTCTAGTGGTTTTCGGAGTTCTCTCTTCATCTTTGATTTTTGACAGTTTGATTATAGCATGCATTGGAAAAACATCTTTTTGGATTGAACCTACTTAGAGATCTTTGAGCTTCCTGTATCTGGATGTCTATATTTCTTGCAAGACTTGAGATGTTTTCAGCTATTATTTCATTAAATAGGTTTTCTATGACTTTGTCCATCTCTTCTTCTGGAACTCCTAAAACTTGAATATTTTTATGATTTATAGTATTCCGATATATCACATAGGCTTCATTCTTTTCTCTCTCTTGTTCTCTTTTTTTTTTTTGTCTGAATGAGTTATTTTAAAAGATCTCTTATCAAGTCCAATTTTTTTTCTGTTTGATCTAGTCTATTATTGAAGCTCTTGATTTTATTTTTTAATTCATTGAATTATTCAACTTCAGGATTTCTGTTTGGTTCTTTTTTATGATACCTATCTCCTTGTTGAATTTCTCATTCAGCTCATAAATTGTTTTCCTGATTTCTTTGTATTGTTTATCTGCATTCTCTTGCAACTTGCTGGATTCCTTTAAGATCATTATTTTGAATTATTTTTTAGACAAGTCATAAGTTTTATTTGGGATCTGTTGCTAGAGAATTATTGTATTCCTTTGGAAGTGTTATGTTTCCTTTCCTTTCCATGTTTTCTGGTGTCCTTATGGTGATTGCTGCACATTTAGTGTTACTTCTTCCAATTCTATCTATTGACTTTCATAGGGAAAGTCTTTATTCCTATACATGTATAATGGTGTTGGTTGGGAAGGGTGCTTTGGCTTTGCTTCTGGGTAGGCACATTAGCGTAGTCTTCATAATGACTTCTTTGGCTGTAATCAGCATCAGTGATAACTGTGAGTTCTTCATTGGCTTAGGTTGCACTTGTTGGTAGAGGCTGGGGCAAGGCTTTGTTGGGATCAGGGACACTAGGCAGCCACTCCTCAGGCACCAGTAGTGGTGGCAGTGAGTCAGATGTGCCAGTCTTCACATGCCTGGGTAGCATACACAGATACCAGTGGTGGCTGGTCTGGGTGGGCTGGTCCTTGAGCCTCCAGGTGGCATGCTCAGGTGCTGGTGGTGGCAGTGGTAGGCTAGGCAGGTAGGTCCTTGGGCCCCTGGACAGTGTGCATGGCATTGGTGGTGACAGGCTTGAAACTATCATTGCAAAATTATGACTGAGACAGTAAAAGAGATCTGACCTAACCAACTCCATCTTGCTTCTAACCTCCAAGCTGTCCTTGTTCATTCTTGGGCATAGGCCAAACTAACTTTGGGAGGAACTTAGTTTATAGTTTATGGTTGAAACATAGATGATAGCCCTTTCCAAATAAGCCCCCTTCCTGCCTGGGGACCAGACTGCCTATGCAGGACTAACAAATTAGCCACGAGATTAGAAATTATAGTTTAGGAGTCATGCAGCTGGAGACTGCAATATTCTAAACCTCCCCAGTTGCTCCTAGGGATAATGTAACTATTGTAAAACCTAAGATCAGAGCTTGAGATATTTTGCAGACTTTGTACTCACTGGATCAGCTGGCACCACCCAGATCGATAAACTGGGTCATCTGGTCTTGTGGCCCCCAACTAGGAACTGACTCAGTGCAAGAGGATAGCTTCAACTACCTGTAATTTCATCTCCAACCGGACCAATCAGAACTCCCAACTCACTGCCCCACTGCTCACCAAACTATACTTAAAAACTCTGATCCCTGCCAGGCACGGTGGCTCACGCCTGTAATCCCAGCACTTTGGGAGGCTGAGGCGGGCAGATCACGAGGTCAGGAGATTGAGACCATCCTGGCTAACATGGTGAAACCCTGTCTCTACTAAAAATACAAAAAAATTAGCTGGGCATGGTGGCGGGCACCTGTAGTCCCAGCTACTCGGGAGGCTGAGGCAGGAGAACAGCGTGAACCTGGGAAGCGGAGCTTGCAGTGAGCTGAGATCGTGCCACTGCACTCCAGCCTGGGCGACAGAGTGAGACTCCGTCTCAAAAAAAACCAAACCAAACCAAAACAAAAAAACAAAACAAAACAAAAAAAACTCTGATCCCTGAATGCTCAGGCAGACTGATGTGAATAATATAGTAAAAAAAACTCTGGACTCTTGTACAGCCAGCTCGGCATGAATAACTCTTTGTCTATTGCAATCCCTCTGTCTTGATAAATTGGCTCTGTCTAGGCAGCAGGCAAGGTAAATCCATTAAGTGGTTACAGTATTGCTGGAGGACAACCCTTGGACCCTCATACAGTGCATGCACATGCCAGCAGTGGCAGTGGTGGCCTTGGTGGGCTAGTGTCCAGCACATGGAGGTACTGGTGGCAGTTGGGGTGGGTCCATCCTGGATAGTGCATGCATGTGCTGGTGGCGGTGGGTAGGGTAGGACTATCCTCAGGCCTCCAGACAGTAGGTACAGGTGGTGGCAGTGAGCAGGAGGAGCTGGTCTGTAGGCCCCTGGAAGGTGTGCATGGGCGCTGGTGGGTGGCAAGCAAGGCAGATTGATCTCCAGGTCCCCCAGTGGCATGCATGGAGACTGGCTCTAAAAGGGTTTTAATCACAGCACTTTTTTTGTAAAAGAAAAATATTCTAAATAACCTAAATACCCATGGATAGCTAATAAGTTATGATACAGCTACAAAATGATTTGCAAGATATAGTATTAAGGTAAAAAAAAGCAGGATGTATTTGTGTAATATGGTGGTCGAAGGACCACTAACAGTGACTATCCATGGTGAGGTAAACTGGGTGATGGAGAGAAGAGATAAGGGCTGGAGACTCTTTTGCTATATCACCTTTTGTGCTTTTGGAATTTCATACCAGCTTCACATATTGGTTATTTCTAGAATTTTATTATTGTGGTAGGCAAAATTTAAAAATTCCCCTCACCTGAGAGTTCTTGTCCTGGAACTCAAAAATATGATTAAAATATCACCCCTCTAATTGTTACGTTATATGGCACAGTTGACCTTAAATGGGAAATTACCTGGAAGACCCATGTAGGCCCTGCAAGTGGGCTTTGAGTCATGTGGGCAGGCAATTCTGGGGTTCTGGGTATCTGGATTATGGTCTAAACCACAGGGCTTTGTGGATTCCTTGTTCCCTAGGAAGGGACATGGCAAAAGGAAGGCTAAGTGGGGGCTCTGGAGGAGGCAAAATTTCCCTTTCCTCTTAGGCTCTCTGGCTAGGCTTGAGAATTAAATTGACATAAGATAGATGAATAACAGAAAAGCATACATACTTTATTTAGTAATTTTTACTTGTACATGGGAGCCCTCACAAGAAAAACGAAACTCAAAGGAGCAATTAGGGCTGAAAGCTTACCTAACAGGCTGGACAAAGAATAGTAAAGTTTGAAAACATGACAAAGAGGTTTGGGGTAGAACACTTAATTGTGGAAAAGTGGCTAGGCAGATAAGGGTTAGTTTAATAAGGTTTTTTGGTACCCGTTTCTCTCTCAGCTTTGACACCCCATCTCTGAGAATAAGAGTGTCTTCCTTCCTCCTGGTCAGGGAGGGTACCTTTCACATGAGAGTTTTATCTCTTGCTTTGAGGAAGAAAAAGGAAGATCAGAATGCCATTCTTGCACCTGCTGTTTCTTAAGTGCCTTTAACTCAAAGTAATAGATATGCCAAAATGGCACATTTTGGGGTGGCATGCTCTTTATCCCTACAAAGCCCGGTCAGGGACCCTGCTACCTGAGCTTTAGGGCAATAGTGTTTACATGACTTCTTTTCCATGAAGCTTTCCTAATATCTCCTCAGCCTGAGTAAGTTTTTCCTCCCCTGAACTCCTTTATCACTTAATTCTTACCATATGTTGCCTCAGGAAGAAGACATTGAAGCTTTTAGAAGGATAAACTCTACTCATGAATAGTTGCATCTCAGGAACAGGAGTAGAAGGGGTAGACAACATGTGTTGTAAATTTCAAAACAAACTTTCAAAAAGCATACATTGCTTCCCATTGTCAGGAAATGTTTCATATGTGTAAGTCACGACTTCTGTACTAGACTGTAAGCTTCTGAGGACAGCAGCATATTGAATCCTTGTATCTACTATAGGACCTAATATGTGTATAAGGATGCTTAATGAATATTCATGAAGTGTATGTGAGTAAGTCAACCTGAGACAGAGAATTCTATCTGCATCTGTGTCAAATAGTATGTTTTTGATGCAAGAAACAAAATTTCTAATGAACTTAGTTAATAAGGAAGTATATTATCTCCCAAAACAGTTAAAAGAAATTGTGCAGGCTCTGGAAACAATCCATGGGGGCTCCAGTTCCATTTGTCTGCTAATATATTTGTCTTCCCTATCTCCTGTGCTATCTTTGTCCTCAGGCAGCCTTCCCTCATGGTCAAAAAATGGATGCCAATATCAACTGGGACAGAATATTGTCCTCTCACACTGTCAGGAGGGGGCTTTGGAGTGGGGGGCTCAGAAAAAGAGAGAGAGAGGGAGGGAAGGAGAGAGAGAGGAAAAACCCTCTTCACCCATCATGAAAAGTCCCTCCTTTCAGTCTGAAAGGGCCAACTTGAGTCACAGGGCCTTTGAAACCTGTAGCCATGGGAATGCCCCAGGAGGACTGACTTCCCACAAGTGGGATGGCATTGCTATAATTGGCTTAGAGTATCCAGGAACCTACCCTGGAGTTGGGGATGGAGTTAGCTTTTCCTGAGTCACTTGGGGAACACTGAGCCAAATCCCAGATCTCTTAGCAAGAAACCTGAGCAAAATCTCGTTATCTTAGGAAGGAGGAAGCAGGAGAGTGGACGCTGGGAAGGGAACCATTAGGGTAAACAACACCATCTAAGAGAGATTAGTCTCCCTCCTTTGCTTCCTTTCTTACCTGCCCTAACCTGGATCTCCCAGGATAAAGAACTAGGACCTTATCTTAGCTTCAGTAAAAGGGCTGTTTTATTATGGTGGCCAAGAGAAATGAGGGGGACTCCAGGAGACAAGGAGAGGCTTTGTAGATAAACCCTTTCAAGGCTACAAAGTAAAAAGAGAATCACTAGAGGAAAGTTCCTGAATTTTTAGGCAGGAGATTAGGTGGTATCCTTGGTAACAAATGAATCAAGTGAATTCTGCAGAACAGGGGATGTTGAATGTAGAATCTGAGCATTCCCACCCTTAGGTTTTTGTTTCTCACCAAGAGGCCAGATCACCTCCCTGAGCCAGCTCTGCAGACAGGACCAACTTCATGGGCATGCGACCCATGCAGACGGTCACCCAGGGCCTGTGCTCAGAAGGGCCAGCCCTTGAGTTTGACTTAATGCTCTTTCGTCACCACTGGCAATTTTTTTTTTTATTGTACTTTAAGTTCTAGGGTACATGTGCACAACGTGCAGGTTTGTTACATATGTATACATGTGTCATGTTGGTGTGATGCACCCATTAACTCATCATTTACATTAGTTATATCTCCTACTGCTTTCCCTCCCCCCTCCCCCCACCCCACGACAGGCCCCAGTGTGTGATGTTCCCCTTCCTATGTCCCAGTGTTCTCATTGTTCAATTCCCACCTATGAGTGAGAACATGCAGTGTTTGGTTTTTTGTCCTTGCGATAGTTTGCTGAGAATGATGGTTTCCAGCTTCATCCATGTCCCTACAAAGGACATGAACTCATCCTTTTTTATGGCTGCATAGTATTCCGTGGTGTATATGTGCCACATTTTCTTAATCCAGTCTATCATTGATGGACATTTGGGTTGGTTCCAAGTCTTTGCTATTGTGAATAGAGCTGCAATAAACATACCTGTGCATGTGTCTTTATAGCAGCATGATTTATAATCCTTTGGGTATATACCCGGTAATGGGATGGCTGGGTGGCAATTTTTAATTTTTGAACATAAGCCCCCACATCTTCATTTTGCTTTGAACTTTGTAAATTTCATAGCTAGTCTTGCTTGTAGGCGAAACCACTCAGTTTCTCTATAAGGAGGTGTAACAAATTCTGCCCTCATAGTTCAAAATACCTTAGCTAGCACACAATAAAATTTGGGGCAATAAATTTGAGTTTTGTTTTTTTTCCAGTTTGTTGGCTTTTTTTAAAATTTCAATAGGTTTTTGGGGAACAGGTAGTGTTTGGTTACATAAATAAGTTCTTTAGTGGTGATTTCTGAGATTTTGGTGTACCCATCGCCTCAGCAGTGTACAATTTACCCGGTGAGTAGTCTTCTATCCCTCACCCCCCTCCCACCCTTTCCCCCAATCACCCCAAAGTCCATTATATCTTTTTTTTTTTTTTTTTTTGAGACGGAGTCTCACTCTGTCACCCAGGCTGAAGTGCAGTGGCACGACCTTGGCTCATTGCAGCCTCCGACTCCTGGATTCAAGTGTTTCTTGAGCCTCGGCCTCCTGAGTAGCTGGGATTATAGGCGCACACCACCACACCCAGCTAATTTTTGTATTTTTAGTAGAGACAGGGTTTGGCCATGTTGGCCAGGCTGTTCTTGAACTCCTGACCTCAAATGATCCACCCACCTCAGCCTCCTAAAGTGCTGGGACTACAGGTGTGAGCCACTGCGCCCGGCCTCATTATATATCATTCTTATACCTTTGTGTCCTCATAGCTTAGCTCCCACTTATGAGTGAGAACATACGATATTTGGTTTTCCATTCCTGAGTTACTTCACTTAGAATAATGGTCTCCAATTCCATCCAGGTTGCTGCAAAAGCCATGATTTTGTTCCTTTTTATGGCTGAGTAGTATTCTATGGTATATATATACCACATAATAAATTTGAATTCTTTTCTACCAGGCTTCCTGATGAGTTTGCAGGTTTTAAAGTACATTATATGCTATGCTGTGTAGTTCTGCTGGTGAGTGCAAAGGCCTAATGATGTGTGGTGTGAAATTGCATTTCAATGTGTGTTCTTTTCCTGCACTCTGTTTTCTGCCCTCATTCCTATCTCCCACTGCATCATCTGAGCCTTAGCCACTTTCTCCAAGGAGTGAGAAAGTGTGGAGGATCAGAGCAGATGTTTCTCTATATCTGTAGAGATAAAGCAAGGTACAGGTAGGTGCTGGGTCAGCAGCATTTGCTTCCTACACAGAGACAAAGGATTCCATGTGATGCACTGAGTTTGAACACAGTTCCTGTGCTTAGCATTGATTTGTTCCCATAAGCATTTGTGAACAACTCGTAGTACCTTGTTTATAGTAGAAGCTCCATAAATAAAATATTAATTAATCAATTTGTTATTTACTCATACATACATTCATTCAACACATTCTTACTGAGCATCTACTGTGTGCCAGGCACTGCTTTGCTTAGCTGTAAGAACATAAAGATAAAACATACAGTTGCAGGCTACAAGGAGTTCCTTCCCTAAAGGAAAACAGCCCTGTGATGAGTGAGGAGGTCACAGTGCTCCATGGAAACACAGAAAGGGCACCTTACCCCAGCCATGGAAAGTGGAGGAGAGGGAGAAGTAAATGCAAGGGGGAGAGTCATAGAAGCCTGGGGTGGGAGAACATCCAAACTGAGACACTGAGAGTTTATGTTTCTATACAAAGAAAGCTTTTTTTTGTTTTTTTTTTTTTTGAGATGGAGTTTCACTCTTGTTGCCCAGGCTGTAGTGCAATGGCATGATCTCAGCTCACTGCAACCTCTGCCTCCCGGGTTCAAGCGATTCTCCTGTCTAAGCCTCCTGAGTAGCTGGGATTGCACGCACATGCCACCACGCTCGGCTAATTTTTGTATTTTTAGTAGAAACGGGGTTTCACCATGTTGATCAGGCTGATCTCAAACTCCTGACCTTAGGTGATCTGCCCACATCGCCCTCCCAAAGTGCTGGAATTACAGGCTTGAGCCACCGCGCCTGGCCATAAAAAACAGTTTTATTGAGATATGATTCCCATACATACAATTCACCCATTCAAAGTGTACCATTCAATGGCTTGTAGTACATTTAAAGAGTTGTGAGGCTGGGTGCAGTGACTCACGCCTGTAATCCCAACACTTTGGGAGGCCGAAGTGGGTGGATCACCTGGAGTCAGGAGTTCGAGATGAGCCTGGCCGATATGGTGAAACCCCGACTCCACTAAAAATACAAAAATTAGCCGGGCATGATGATGCATGCCTGTTACAATCCCAGCTACTCAAGAGGTTGAGGCATGAGAATCGCTTGAACCCAGGAGGCAGAGGTTGCAGTGAGCCGAGAATCACGCCATTGCACTCCAGCCTGGGTGACAGAGGAAACTCTGTCTCAAAAAAAAAAAAAAAAAAAAAAAAAAAAGTTGTGTATCCATCACCACAATCAATTTTAAAGTGTTTTCATTACCCCAGAAAGAAACCTTGCATTCCTTAACTGGCACCCCTTAATAACCCCATGTCCCTCAGCGGTGCCAGGCAAACTGATATACTTTTTTTTTTTTTTGTCTCTGTCGATCTGCCTATTCTGGACATGTCCTATGAATATAATAATACATCATGTAGTTCCTTTTGACTGGCTTCTTCCACTTAATATAATGCTTTCGAGGTTCATTGATGTTGTACCACCTCAGTGTTTTATTCATTTTTATTACCCAGTATGATTTTGTTGTGTGGATATACCAATATTTTATTTATCTACCTTTCAGTTGATGGACATTGGGTTATTTCCACTTTTTAGCTATTATTGAATAATGCTGCTATGAACATTTATATATAAGTATGTGGATATATGTTTTATTACTCGAGTATATACCTAGGAGTGGAATTGCTGGATCATATCATAATTCTGTGATTAACCATCTGAGGAACTGCCAGACTGTTTTCAAAAGCAGCTGTCCCATTTTACATTCTCACCAGCAGTGTACAGGGGTTTTGGTTTTTTACATCCTCACCAAAATGTATTATTATCTTTTTGATTAGACATCTTTGTGGATGTGAAGTGGTATCTCACTGAAGTTTTCATTTGGATTTCTTTGATGGCTAATGATGTTGACCATCTTTTTGTGTGCTTGTTTGCTATTCGTATATCTTCTTTGGAAAAATGTCTATGCAAATCTTTTGCCCATTTTTGGAGGGTATTGATCTTTCTGTTATTGAGTTTTAAGTGTTCTCTACATATTCTAGATACAAGTCTCTTATTAGATGTGTGTTTTACACACATTTTCCCCAATTCTGTGGATTGTCTTTTCACTTTTTTGATGGTGTCCTTCCTTTGAAGCACAAAAGATTTGAATGTTGATAATATTCAGTTTAGCTACCAAACTGAGTTTTGAATGATGAGTCAGGGAAGTGAGGACAAGAGGGAATAGCATTCCAGGTTTAGAACAAGCGGTAGTGCAGAAGCACAAAGATGTAACAGCATAGTTCATTTTAGTCATTCTAGGTAGTTTGGTTTGCCTTGACAAAAGGGCTGTGGGTGAGAAATGGTGGACAAGAAATCAAACTCATACAAAGTGGTCAACCATGTGAAGATACTAGATTTTATTCTATAATCAATAGGGATCACTAAAAATTGTTAAGTAGAAGATATGAAAATCAGATTTGCAATTTAGAAAAATCCCTCTTGTGGAGAATGCATGGGAATAGAGTAATGTTAGAGATAGAGAAGTCAGGGGCACTGATCATGGTGACAAATGATGACTTGAACTCCAGCAGAAACAGTGTAAATAGAGATTAAGGAATGATTTGAGAGATACAAAGGAAATAGAATGGAAAGTACCTGGAGGCCATTGAGATTTGGAGGATGAAGGAAAGAATAAAAAATGATTCCTCAGTTTTTGATCTGGGTGGCTTTGTTAAGAAATACAGCTAGGGAAGATAGTGGAAGGGAATGGGAGTGAAGAAGGTGGGTTCAGTTTTGCAAATGTTGGGTTGAGGTTCCTGAAGAATATCCAGGAGAAGATAGTGTTGCAAGTTGGTTTCTCCCAGAAGCTGACTCTGGAAGGGAGTTAGTATGCAGAATATTTATTAGGGAGTCTTTTTGGGACCACCCTGTGGAAAGGAAAGGAAGGAAGCAGGATTGGGCAGAGGGAGAAGTCAGGTGACAGTCCTGGCCCAATGAGAGCCCTGACAGATGGCTCATCAGCATTGTCCTTTGATAAGCTGAGATGGCTGAGCCTGTATATACCTGGCCGGATCATCTTGGGAAGGATGTGAACTTGGGCAAGGCTGCTCTCTGTGCTTGAGGCAATTCTTAAAGGAGCTGACAGCTGGAGGCATTTCCTGACCACACCGCCTGCTGCTGGGGCAACAAGTCCTTTCTTAAAAGGGAATCTGCAGGGTCCACGTCAGTGTCTTTTGCACATATGCAGTAGGCAGCCCTGTGTGTGTGGATCTGGAGAAAGGTACTCACAGAAGGTGGGCCTGGGACAAAAAAAGAGAGTTGGAAGTGGTCAGCATGCATGGCATTCTTGGTGTCACATGACTGAATAGCATCCCTGAGGCAGAGAGTGAAAAATGAGAACAGAGTGGACGAATGCTACTGGGGTGCTTTCGAACACGCATAACAGAATTCCTCATTTAAAATAGCCTAAGCCATAGGGTTTTCTGTCTCAGATAACAAGAAGTCTGGAAGTGGGCAGTTCTGGCATGGTTCATTTGGTGGCCTGGGAATGTCACCAAGGACCCAGGTGGATTCTTCCATCTGTTCTGCCATGCTCAGCATGTAGGCTTTTATCAGACTTGTCCCATCACAACCACAAGATACCTGCCTCCATTCTGGAAAGGAAGGGCAGGATAACTGAAAAGGAAAAAACTCACTGTTTCCATCTGCATACTCACATTGTCTACACACTCAGGAACACCAACTGCGTGGGTTTTTTCCATACCAACCAACTCTCGAACTATCTGGACACCAACTGGACATCCTATAATTCACTCCTGACATTGGAATTAGCACAGACCCCACAGGTTAAGGACTCGGTCCCACAAGACTGATCCCCACTTCAGACACCAGGTGCAAGTAATGAGTCTCCAGGTTACTCAATTTTTGTCCAACTTAGCTGTAATTTGGGGGTTCCCACAAACCCCTCTTCAGGTTTGATAATTTGCTAAGACATCTCACAGAACTCAGGGAAACAAGTTTACTGTTTTATTACATAAGAAAGGATATGATAAAGAATACAGATGAACAGCCAGAAGAAGAGGTGTACAGGGCAAGGTCTGGAAGCGTCCAGAGTGCAGGAGCTTCTGCCCCTGTGGAGCTGGGGTTCCACTAGGAGTGTCATCAAGGACCCAGGTGAATTCTTCCATCTGTGCTGCCATGCTGGGGTGTGCTACTCTCCCGACATGTGGATGTGTTCAGCGACCTAGAAGCTCTCCAAACCCTGTCAAACCCTGCAGCCATGATCAGTTTATTAATTTCTAGCCCCTCCTCCCTCCCTGGAGGATGTAGGTGGGGCTGGAAGCTTTAAACTTCTAATGATGGCTTGGTCTTTCTGGTGACCAGCTCCCATCCTGAAGCCATCCAGGAGTCCACCAAGAGTCACCTCATTAGGACAAAAGATGCTCTTATCACCTTGGAAATTGCAAGGGACTTAGTAGCTCTGTGCCAGGAACTAGGGTCAAAGACCAAATAATAGAAAAAAAGGTGCTCCTAGCACCTCTATCACTTAGGAAATTATAAGTGTTTCAGGAGCTCTGTGCCAGGGACCAGGGATGAAGACCAAATGTATATTTCTTATTATATCACAATATCACAATAACTTTAGTCATTTCTCTCTTTTCTTTTTTTAAACAGGAATTGGGTATGAAGGGAAGTGGAGTGTCTTTTCCAGAAGCTTCCCACTCCACCCCCAGCAGCCTTCTCCTTACATCTCATTGGCCAGGGATAAATAGGACTACCATGGTGGTTAAGGATTTGCCCTTGGGGCTGGGGATGAGGCAACCTCCGCTTAGGATGGATACCTGAACAGAAGTGGGAACAGGAATAAAAGTAGATAAGTCTGTTGAGTAGGCAGCCACCAGTGTCTGCTACATTGGTTAACACTGATTTTCAATGGAAACAGAAACTGAAAAGGTAAGGGAGACCAAGGGAGAATAGTCAGATAACTAGAAAAAATAGAATTATGAAATCCAAAGCAAGAGGGAATTTCAATAAGGAAGGTACAATCAATTGTGGCAAAGGCTGTAGAAAAAGTTAAGAAAAAAAGCTGTGTAGGACCGATGTGTGCCCACTGGACTGGGCAATTCAAAGGTTACTGGATGTGCCTGTGAACCAGTATCAGTGAAGCTTGCAGGCAGAAACCAAATTACAGTAGATTGAGGGAGGGAAGGTATCAGGACAGAAAATTATTAACAGAATGGGGTTGTTGATGGCAGGCAGAAGGGGAGAAGTCAGAAAACCCCCTGGACAAGGTAAGGCTATAGCAATAAAAATAGATCAGTGATTGCTGGGGCTGGGGGCAGAGGAAGGGGGTTCATTACAGAGGGGCCCATGAGCATTTTAGAGGGTTATGGAAAGATTCTATTCTTGAATTAGGGGTGGTTACATGCCTCTTTGCATTTGTTGAAACTTGAAGAACTGTTCACTTTTTTAAAAGGGTGCATTTTACTTTACATAAATTATGCCTTAATTTAAAAAATGAAAAAAAGAACACGACCCCCACAGCTCCTCTCATTGGGGTCTGAGCCCCCTCTTTGAAAACTGAGCAGTTTGAATGACCACTGTCCCGACCACAATGTCACTCTGCCCACGATGCCACACCCTGCCCAGACACAGTAACCTCAGAGATACACCTGGCAGAGTCAGTGCTGAAGAGCCTGCCCATGAAATCATTCAGCACTGGAGGGAAAGTGGTCAGTTATAAATACTTAGTGGAGATCATTGTCTGTTTTGACTCCATTATCCATTTCCAAATAAAAACTTCAGCTTATTAGACCCAAGTCTAATTTTTTTTTTTCTTTTTTGAGACGGAATCTTCCTCTGTCACCCAGGCTGGAGTGTAATGGTGAGATCTCAGCTAACTGCAACTTCCACCTCCTGAGTTCAAGCTATTCTCCTGTCTCAGCCTCCTGACTAGCTGGGATTACAGGCACCTGCTATCATGCCCAGCTAATTTTTGTATTTTTGTAGAGATAGAGTTTCACCATGTTGGCCAAGCTGGTCTCAAACTCCTGACCTCAAGGTGATCCGCCCACCTCGGCCTCCCAAAGTACTGGGATTACAGGCATGAACCACCGAGCCTGGCCTTAATTTTCTTTAACATTTAATTAACATCAAGTTTAATTCTCTATTTTAATTCTTTGTCATCCTATCAGTATTAACACAGCGATACTTCGGGGAGAATTAGACAATGCCCTCCTCACTCTGAAGTTTTCACCCTTTGGGAGGGGGCCCTAAAATATCATTATATGTTTATGTTTTTCAGTGAATCTATTTTTTTGGAGTTTTAGAAATTTTTATATCATCTCACCCCAGTTGAAATGGCTTGTGTCAAAAGGACAAGCAATGACAGATGCTGGTGAGGATGTGAAGATTGGGGAACCCTCATACACTGCTGGTGAGAATGTAAATTAGTAGAGCCACAATGGAGAACAATATGGAGTTTCCTCAAAAAGCTGAAAATAGAGCTACCATATATCCAGCAGTCCCACTGCTGCATATATATCCAGAAGAAAGGAAATTAATATGTCAAAGAGATGCCTGCACTACCATATTTATTGTAGCACTATTCATAATAGCCAAAATATGGAATCAACCTAAGTGCTCATCAACAGATGAATGGATAAGGAAAATGTGGCATATATGCACAACTGAATATTATTCAGCCATAAAAAGTAATGAAATCCTATCATTTGCAGCAACACTGATGGAACTGGAGGCCATTATGTCAAATGAATAGCCAGGCACAGAAAGACAAATACTGCCTGTTCTCACTCATAAGTGGGAGCTAAAAAAGTGGATCTCATGATGGTACAGAGTACACTGGTGGTTTCCAGAGCCTGGGAAGGAAAGGGAAAAGGGGGTATAAAGGGAAAAAAGGGATGTAAATATATTTATTACCATTGAACTGTATACTTGATAAAGATAAATAGTTAAAAAAATACACACTGACAAATATAGGGAGGAATTGTTAGGGAAGGAGAGCCAGAGTAATACCATTTTAAGTTCAGCTCCATCTTGAGAATAACAAGGCACATTCCTTGCCAGTCATGACCCATAGCCATAAGATGTTTATAGTTGAGGAAAAGCCTAAAGATACCTATAAGGATATACTCCTACAACAGCAGAAAGTCCAGATGTCCCAATACCCATAGCGGTATATGCTTCCAAGATAGTTACAGTTATGCTTTGATGTATTTACACAGTAGAATGTCAAGGACAGTTTTCTTGAAATCAGTAGAATAATAAATTTGTCATGCTGTCTGCCCACCTGCACATAGACACAGGTTAGCTTAGCATTTACATAGACAAAACCCCTATATAAGAAAAACTTAAAGATGAGGCGTTTCTCTGTTTGTTTTCTGAGGATGCCCTACTCTATATCTGAGTAGCTTTCAGTAAACTATCTCTTCTCACTGCACTCTGCAACTTGCCTGAAATTTCTTCCTGCATGAGATCCAAGAACTCTCTCTTGGGGTCTGGATTGGGACCCCTTTTTCCAGCAACAGAATGACATAGAAAGTCCTTATAGACCAAAGGCTACCACTGCTAACTTTCTGGTGTTTTTCTTGTATATCGTTTTAATCCAATATCATATATAATTTCGTTCAAAATGGAATCCTATACATTCCGTTTTAAAACTTGCTTTTTTTTTCATTTCTTGTGTCTTTCTCTAACTCCAATGGTTTTAAAAACCAGACAAAAATATTAAACAATTAGCTAACAAACCTTAAAAAAATGACCTAAAGCTTCATTGTTAAAAAATGCATAGTAACTTTATTAAGCAAAAGTTTCCTTTCATCTTAATCATTTATCATTAGCACCTGGCATTTACGAATTTCATCACAGGGTGAAAAACAATGTAATCATTGGGTACACATGGACATAAAGATGGGAACGATAGACACTGAAAACTACTAGATGGGGGAGGGAGGGGGCAAGTGCTGAAAAACTACCTATTGGGTACTATGCTCACTACCTGGGTGATGGGATCATTCATACTGCAAACCTCAGTGTCACACAATTTACTCATGTAACAAGCCTGCATATGTACCCCCTGAATCTGAAATAAAAGTTGTAATTATTATTATTATTATTATTTTTTGAGACAGAGTCTCGCTCTTTTGCCCAGGCTGGAGTGCAGTGGCACGATCTCTGCTCACTGCAAGCTCCGCCTCCCAGGTTGAAGCCATTCTCCTGCCTCAGTCTCCCGAGTAGCTGGGACTACAGGCACCAGCCACCACGCCTGGCTAATTTTTTGAATTTTTAGTAGAGACAGGGTTTCACTGTGTATCAGGGAACCTGCCCCAATAGTCGCGTAGGTTCTTTTCTATTTTCCCTAAGCATCGGCCGGCTTGAGAAATAAAGGGACAGAGTTCAAAAGAGAGAAATTTTAGAGCTGGGTGTCCGGGGGAGACGTCACATGTTGGTAGATTCCATGATGCCCCACAAGCTGCAAAAACTAGTAGCAAGTTTTTATTAGGGACTTTCAAAAGGGGAGGGAGTGTGCGAATAGGTGTGGGTCACAGACATTAAGTACTTCACAAGATAATAGAATATCACAAGGCAAATGGAGGCAGGGCGAGATCACAGGACCACAGGACCGAGGCAAAATTAAAATTGCTAATGAAGTTTCGGGCACCATTGTCATTGATAACATCTTATCAGGAGACAGGGTTTTGAGAGCAACCGGTCTGACCAAAATTTATTAGGCAGGAATTTCCTCTTCCTAATAAGCCTGGGAGTGCTATGGGAGACTGGGGTCTATTTCACCCCTACAGTCTACAGACCATAGGAGATGGCCACACCTGGGGTGCCATCTATAGGCCTATACCCCCAGGTGCATATTCTCTTTCCCAGGGATGTTCCTTGCTGAGAAAAAGAATTCAGCGATATTTCTCCCATTCGCTTTTGCAAGAAGAGAAATATGGCTCTGTTCCGCCTGGCTCACTGGCTGTCAGAGTTTAAGGTTGTCTTTCTTATTCCCTGAACAATTGCTGTTATCCTGTTCTTTTTTCAAGGTGCCCAGATTTCATATTTGTTCAGACACACATGCTCTACAATTTGTGCAGTTAATGCAATTATCACATGGTCCTAAGGTGACATACATCTTCCTCAGCTGACAGGATTAAGAGATTAAAGTAAAGACAGGCATAGGAAATCACAAGGGTGTTGATCGGGGAAGTGATAAGTGTCCATGAAATCTTCACAATTTATGTTTAGAGATTGCAGTAAAGACAGGCATAAGAAATTATAAAAATATTAATTTGGGGAACTAATAAATGTCCATGAAATCTTCACAATCCATGTTCTTCTGCCATGGCTTCAGCCGGTCCCTCTGTTTGGGGTCCCTGACTTCCCACAACAACTGTGTTAGCCAGGATGGTCTCAATCTCCTGATCTCATGATCTGCCCATGTTGGCCTCCCAAAGTGCTGGGATTACAGGCATAAGCCACCACGCCCAGCCAAAGTTGTAACTATTTTGAAGAAAAACAATGTAATCTAAGAGCAGACTGGCAGAATGTCGACCAGCCATCTTTGGTACATATTTGTTGAGGTTTTCTCTGTGCCAAGCCTATGCCTGGTAGTGTAGAGCATTCAAGAAAAGCCCGAGATATTTATTACTGCCCTCAAAGAGAAAGTCTTCCATATTCCCAGATCTGAGAAATTTCACTCTCAAGTTTCCCCTGTCATGAGCAGCACTCTGGTGTCCTTACAGTCACTTGCAAGCATGCCTGTTCTCAGCAGACCTTAAGCCTCTGTGCTGAACAGTCACAGGGCTTAAGGACCTTCAAGAACTCACTTCAGTAGTTTCCAGGAAAGACTATATTGAGGTCCTCTTACTGTGCCCTGCTGCTGCTTTAAAATATCAGAAAGTGGAAAATGGTAGTGTGGATGTGGACCTTCGTTTATCTATCTCAAGCTTGTCCAACCTGCGGGCCGTGGGCTGCATGCTGCCCAGGACAGCTTTGAATATGGCCCAACACAAATTCATAAACTTTTAAAACATGATGAGGATTTTATTTTTGGCGATTTTTTTTTTTTTTTTTTTTAGCTGATCAGCTGTCCTTAGTGTTAATGTATTTTATGTGTGGCCCAAGACAATTCTCCTTCCATTGTGGCCCAGGGAACCAAAAGATTGGAAACCACTGATCTATCTAGTTCAACCTGCTCATTTTACAGATGAAAGAACTTGCTTTAGGGAGATGATCCTCCACCTACTTTGTTAGGGTGCTTGGTGAACAGTGATCATGAACCAGGCATTTTTGCTGGTATTTATACTCATTTATATATTGATTGGTATCTTTCCTTGTTCCAAGAAGGATTTAAGACCAAATGTCTGGCATTAAGAAACCCACACGTAAAGAAAACAGATGAGCTCTCAGTGTGTGCTACTGAGAACATTTTTTCTCACCTAGATAGGAAGTGGGGCTATTTTCTTCAAAGCAACTAAATCTGTCATTTATTTATATTTATTTATATATTATTTATACAATATGCTATTATTTATTTATGCAATCAAAATCTCTATATTAATCCTTCCCTCTGCCCTCATTGGAAGAAATATTCTGCATACATGAATATATCCTTTAAAAATTTTAATTAAAAAAACTTGTAAAACTTATCATTTTAAGCATTTTAAAGTATACAATTCAGTGGCATTAAGCACATTTGTAATGTTGCACAACCATCTCCACTATCCATTTGCAGAACTTTTTCATCATCCCAAATAGAAGCTCTGTACCCATTAAATAATAATTTCCCATTCCCTCCTCTCTCTAGAAATGAAGAAACAGTTTCTCCATTCCTTCTCTCTATTATACTTTCTATCTCTATGAACTTGCCTACTCTGGGTACCTCACCCATATTAGTGGAACCGTACAATATTTGTCCTTCTGTGACTGACTTATTTTACTAAGCATAATATTTTCTTTTTTTTTTTTTTTTTGAGACGGAGTCTCGTTCTGTCGCCCAGGCCGGACTGCGGACTGCAGTGGCGCAATCTCGGCTCACTGCAAGCTCTGCTTCCCGGGTTCACGCCATTCTCCTGCCTCAGCCTCCCGAGTAGCTGGGACTACAGGCGCCCGCCACCGCGACCGGCTAATTTTTTTTGTATTTTTAGTAGAGACGGGGTTTCACCTTGTTAGCCAGGATGGTCTCGATCTCCTGACCTCATGATCCACCCGCCTCGGCCTCCCAAAGTGCTGGGATTACAGGCGTGAGCCACCGCGCCCGGCCAAGCATAATATTTTCAAGGTTCATCCATGTTGTAACATGTATCAGAATTCCCTTCCCTTTTAAGGTTGAATAATATTCCATTGTATGTACATAACACATTTTGTTTATCCATTAATCCATTGGTGGACATCTTGGTTATTTCCACCTTTTGGCTATTGTGAATTAGGCCGCTATGGACACGGATGTGCAAATATCTGTTTGAGACCCTTTCAATTCTTTCGTGTATATGCTCAGAAGTGGAATTCCTGGATCATGTGGTAATTTTATGTTTAACTTTTTGATGAACTACTGTACTGTTTTCCACAGCAGAAAACATTACCACCAGCAATGCACAAGGGTACAATTTCTGCACAGTTCACCAACATTTGTGATTTTCTGTTTTTTGATAATAGCCATTCCAATAGGTGTGAATTGATATTTCATTATGGTTTTGATTTGCATTTCTGTAATGACTAGTGATATTGAGTATCTTTTCATGTGCTTACTGGCCATTTGTATATCTTTAAAAAAATGTCTATTAAGTTCTTTGCCCATTTTTAAAGGATTTTTTGGCCGTTGAGTTGTAGGACTTCTTTATATATTCTGGATATTAATCCCTTATGAGATATATAATTTTTTTTTTTGAGACAGAGTTTTACTCTTGTTGCCCAGGAGGGAGTGCAATGGCATGATCTTGGCTCATGGCAACTCCGCCTCCCAGGTTCAAGTGATTCTCCTGCCTCAGCCTCCAGAGTAGCTAGGATTACAGGCATGGGCCACCACATCCGCCTAATTTTGTATTTTTAGTAGAGACGGGGTTTTTCTATGTTGGTCAGGCTCATCTCAAACTCCTGAGCTCAGGTGATCCACCAGCCTCAGCCTACCAAAGTGCTGGGATCACAGGCATGAGCCACTGCACCTGGCCCAGATATATAGTTTGAAAATATTTTCTCACATCTTAGGACTGACTTTTCATTCTTTTAATGGTTTCCTTTGATGCACAAAAGTTTTAAATTTCAAATATGCTCAATTTATCCTTTTTCTTTTGTTGCTTCTGCTTTTGGTGCCATATCCAAGAAATCCTTGCCAAATCCAGTGTCATGAAGATTTTCACCTGTTTTCTTCTAAGAGTTTATCCTAATCTTTGCTCCTATATTTAAGACTTTAATCCATTTAGGTTATTATATATAATACGGGAAGGGTCCAACTTCATTCTTTCGCATGTAGATATCATTTTACCAATACTATGTGTTAGAAAGACTGTCCTTTCCCCATTGAATGGTCTTGGCACCCTTGTCAAAAATCAATTGAACATATATGTGAGAATTTATTTCTGGGGCTTCTATTCTATTCTATTGGTGTATATGTCTGTCCTCATGCCAGTGCCACACCGTTTTGATTATTGTAGCTTTTTAGTAAGTTTTAAGATGAAGAAAGTGTCCTTCAACATTTTCAAATATATATTTCAATTGTGCATCTAGACAGCATGCATTTCTGAAAGATATTTTCACAAGTGGCAAAATCTGAATCTTCAAAACTTTAATACAGAAATTAAACTGTTTTCCTTTTCTTTACTCACTTAAAGGATTGAATGAAAATATATCTATCTTACTTCTTTCTACAAAAACCCACCACAAACTCTCCCCATGATACCCTAGAAGAGTTAGAGGAGTCAGGGAGGAGTTGATTCTGAGTTCACAGATTCTCCTTGAGGAAATATGAGAAGCAGTGGCAAAGTAGAAGGAGGCATCACTCCTGGTCAGGGAAGGAGCTCCCTGCTAAAAAGAAGAAGAAGGGTGGGATATCGGTAAAAGAAGGAAGGTGGGTTTACTGTAAATGGCTCTCAAGGTTTAGGAGTTGACGCCAGGGATTTTTCAAAAATAAAAAGGGCACTCCTGCTCAGGTGCGTGAAACTAGCACAGAACCACCTGAGGAGTGTGAATCAGGGTCCCACTGTGGCAGGTCTTGGTAAGTACAGGTGCCCAATGGATCTAGCTAGAGACCACCTCAGCTGAGATGATGGTTATAATAACACACCTACTATTGTACACTTACTATATTGATGTCCCTTATCCCTAATGCCATTTTAGGAAGAACAAATTAAAAAACATATTTTCTTTCTGGCATAATTTCCACTCTCCTCCTACCTCCTTGCTTTTAAAAAAATTTGCTTCAAGTAGCAATCAGTGATGCCTGCAAGTTGCAGCATTGCACTGGAGCAGGGAAAGAGATAATAGGAACAGTCAAGTGCTTAGCTCTTGCATGGTTGAGGATGACAAAAGACATTGGATCAAACAATATCTCCCACAGCCAGGAGTTAATATGCCCTTCAGAGAGGAGGGTGAGAATGCAGTAGGTATCCAGGGGAAAATGTTCAGGCAGTTGGTTGTTGACTATATGAGTCTGTAAGTTCAGGAGGAGGTACCCTGAAGGAGTACTTAGAATCCTCAGCATCTAGACAGTAAAGCCATCATGGAATCTGATGAAATCACTTCAGATAAAGTGTACAGAGAAAGGGAAAAAAAGAGGTCAAGGTAAAATCCCTGGGGCACACCAGCATTTGGGGAGTAAACTAAAAAGAAACTAATAGTTAAGAATGGAAAGGATCTAAGAGGTAGTAAAAGAATGTGTAACTGCCTGATGGCTTCTTCCTGCCTGCTGCACAAATAAAGACCATGGCATTGCAGTAAAGAAAGAGTTGAATAGACACAAGGCTGGCCATGACATGTGGGAGACAGAGTTCATACTCAAGTCAATCTCGTCCAAGTCTTGTAGGTTAGGGGTTTTTCAGAGGCAGGTTAGGGAATAAAAGAAGGGGGTGGCTTGGAAATTGGTGCTTGCTGCTGATTGGTTGGGATGGAGATTAAATCATAAGGGGTTGAAGCTGCCCTCTTGAACTGAGTTGCTCCTGGCTGGGGCCATAAGAGCCATCAGGTCCAAGTGGAGCCATGAGTGTCAGATATGAAAAACATCTGAAAGGATATCTCAAAGGCCAGGCTCTAATAGTGATATGAACTGCAGGATCCCTGTAATAATGGCTACGCTTAGCAAAAATCAGACTTCTTTTCTCCTCCAGCCTGATGGCCTTTCATTAGGTTTACAAAGGTGGTTGAGTTTTGAGGAAGGACTCTTATCATTTACACTATAACCTAAATGTCTTCCAAAGTTAGCTTGTCCCAAAAGCCCAAGGTTAATTAAGGGAAAGGCAAGCTAGGGGTAGTTTAAATCAGATCCATTTCACTGCCATAATTTTCTCACTGTCACAATTTTTGCAAAGGTGATTTCAAAATAAAAGACTGTAGAACCATTAAAAAAAAAGTAGGGAGGGAGAGAATTTCTGGAATAATGTGACAAACAGTCTCAACTGTCACAGAGATGTCAAGTAGGATGAAGGCTGAGGCATTTCTGTTGGATGTGGCAATGAGAGGGTTATTCGGCACTTCTTGCAAGAATTGGTTCACAGGAGCCAGCCTGCAGAGTACAGAGAGAGTAGGAATGAGGGAGTGACATAGCAGAGCCCCTGACAGTTTTCCCAGCAGCATCACTTTTTGAAAGGAATATATGTTTGAAGAAAGTGTTTTCTTTTTAAATGGGAAAGACAAGCACATTCATAGGTAAGTCCCAGAAGGACATAGAAGTTGAAAGTCTAGTAGAGAATGAATAATTTATGCAGCAAGGGCCAGGCGTAGTGGCTCAGCCTGTAATCCCATTACTTTGGGAGGCTGAGGTGGGTGGATCACTTGATGTCAGGAGTTTGAGCCGAGCGTGGCCAACATGGTGAAACACTTTCTCTACCAAAAATACAAAAATTAGCTGGGTGTGGTGGTGCACACCTGTAATCCCAGCTATTTGGGAAGCTGAGGCATGAGAATCACCTGAACCTGGGAGGCAGAGGTTGCAGTGAGCTGAGATTGTGCCACTGCACTCCAACCTAGGTGACAGTGGGAGACTCCATCTCAAAAAAAAAATTATGCAGCAAGATCCTGGAGAATGTACAGGGAAAGGCAAATGTTTACATAAACAGAAGCCTGACTGTGAAAATGAATATAGGCTCTGTGAAGGGTGAAGGGGGCATCAGTTAGTGAAGCCTGGGACTTGGTGGGGGTACTCTTGCAGAGCCCTGCGAGAGGTGGGGATACCAGCAAGACTGGGGAGATGAAGCAGATAGCTGGGAAAAGGCAGGGAGGCACCAGCTGGTGCCACAAGCAAGAGACAGACAGCAGGATGGTAGTAGCAAGTGTTACCCAGGAGAGTGATATAATGTGAATTCCTGTGGACACTTTCATTGTTTTTCTGATAAATTAAATGCAAAATCATTTATTGAGGGTGAGAAGGACAGAGATGTGAGATGGGGTCTGAGGAGTGCAAAGTTTGCAATACCCCCTCGGGGAATGAATAAGAGATTTCCGGGAAGCCTATAGATTCTTCCTGTGGTTATGATGACCTTCTCACAATTCATCTAAGAATGGCTTCTTTTTCTTTCTAAAATAATAGTTGGTACTTAATTACCTAATATTCTAAATATACATATATGTCTAAATACATATTTCTAACTGTGTATATTTCTAAATACAGTCATGTGCTACCTAACAATGTTTTGGTCAACAATGGACTGCAGATAAAACAGTGGTCCCATAAGATTATAATGGAGTTGAACAACTCCTGTCACTCTAGTGCCATCGAGCTATTCTAGTGCAATCATCACTCCCCTGTTTGTGGTGATGCTGGTGGAAACAAACCACTGCACTGCCAGTCATATAAAAGTGGGGACTAAACTCTGACCTGTTTTTTTCTTCTCTTGCCCAAATTCCTATCTAAGGGGCCTGGGGAGTCATGCCCCACAAACCATAAAGTCTCATCAGAGGGGTTTTATTTAACCCTATATAATGTGACCTGCTTTCCAACCTGACTCTGGCATAACATCACACGACAGATAAGGAAGGAAATCAAAATATTTTAACCACAAGTATGTTTCTTTGCCGTATCTTGAAATAGCCCTTCAAAGTTGTCTCTTGTAGGGAAAAACCTACATTCTGTAGATAATTATCTTTCCTTTTTCCAGGACTTTTTCCTGATTCAAAGAGAATCAACTGAGTCTGACACCGTTTTAAATCTGATAAGAAACATTTACAATCTATTCTCTCTGAAGCCTGTTACTTGGAGGCTTCATCTGCATAATAAGAACCTTGGTCTCCACAATCCCTTTTCTTAACCCAGACATTTTCTTTCTATTGACTCTAGGTCTTTAGATAAACTCTTTTAATAAATTGCCAATCAGAAAATCTTTGAATCTGACTATAACCTGGAAGCCCCCACTTCCAGTTGTCCCACCTTTCCAGACTGAACCAATGTACATCTTACTTATATTGATTGATGTCTTATGTCTCCCTAAAATGTATAAAACCTAGTTGTAGTCCAACTGTTGGAGGTGTTTGAACCAGAGCGACTCCATCTTGAACAGGGGCTGGGTAAAATAAGGCTGAGACCTCCTGGGCTGCATTCCCAGAAGGTTAGGCATTCTTAGTCACAGGATGAGATAGGAGGTCAGCACAAGATATGGGTCACAAACACTTTGCTGATAAAACAGATTGTGGTAAAGAAGCCTGCCAAAACCCACTAAAACCAAGATGGCGACCAAAGTTACCTCTGGTCATCCTGACTGCCCATTACATGCTAATTAATAATTAATTAGCATGCTAAAAGACACTCCCACCCATGCCATGACAGTTTACAAATGCCATGGCAACATCAGGAAGTTATGTTGTATGGTCTACAAAAAGGAAGAACCCTCAGTTCCAGAAATTGCCCACCCCTTTCCCTGAAAACTCATGAATAATCCACCCCTTGTTTAGCATATGATCATGCTAAACCGTAAGTATACTCATAGAAATAATCAAGAAATAACCGTAAGTATACACAGTTGAGCAGCCCATGCTGTTGCTCTGCCTATGGAGTAGCCATTCTTTTATTCCTTTACTTTCTTTTTTTTTTTTTTTTCTTTTTTGAGAAGGAGTGTCACTCTGTCGCCCAGGCTGGAGTGCAGTGGCACAATCTCGGCTTACTGCAATCTCCACCTCCTGAGTTCAAGCAATTCTCCTGCCTCAGCCTCCCGAGTAGCTGGGACTACAGGCACACACTGCTGTGCCCAGCTAATTTTTTTTGTATTTTAGTAGAGACCGGGTTTCACCATGTTGCCCAGGCTGGTCATGAACTCCTGAACTCAGGCAATCTGCCCACCTCGGCTTCCCAAAGTGTTGGGATTACAGGGGTGAGCCACCGCGCCTGGCCCCTTTACTTTCTTAATAAACTTACTTTCACTTTACTCTATGGACTCACCCTGAATTCTTTCTTGTGTGAGGTCCAAGAACCCTCTCTTGGGGTCTGGATCAGGACCCCTGTGCAGTAACATGACCACCTTGGGCACATGTTCTTGGGGTCTCCTGAGGGCTGTGTCATGGGTCATTGGTCACTCCTATTTGGCTCAGAATAAATCTCTTCAAATATTTTACAGTTTGACTCTTTTCGTTGACAAAAGTCTAACACATACAATTATGTACAGTACATAATAGTTGATAATGATAATAAATGACTATGTTACTGGTTTATGTATACTTTTAAACACTATTTTAGAGTATATTCCTTCTGTTATTAGAAAAAAGTTAAAACTGTAAAACAGCCCCAGGCAGGTCAAGTCCTTCATGGGGTATCCAGAAGAAGGCATTGTTATCATGGAGGACAACTCCATGCCTGTTATTGCCCTTGAAGATCTTCCAATGGGACAAGATATGGAGGTGGAAGTCAGTGAAATTGATGAACCTGACCTTGGGTAGCCTAGCCTAGTGTGTTTATCTTAGTTTTTAATAAATAACTTAAAAAAATTAAAAACAGACATGTTTATAGAATATATAAAATATAGACATGTTTATAAAATATATTCTATGTTTATAGAATAAAGACATAAACAAAGAAAATGCTTCTGTAAAGCTGTGCAATGTGTTTGTGTTTTAAGCAGTGTTATTACAAAAGAGCCAAAAAGTTAACAAAAAGTAAGTTTATAAAGTAAAAACAGTATAACAGTAAACTAAAGTTAATTTATTATTGAAGAAAGAAAACTTTTAAAAAGTTTGTGTACCCTGAGTGTACAGTGTTTATAAAGTCTACAGTGGTGTACAGGAATGTCCTAGGCCTTCATGTTCACTCACCACGCACTCACTGACTCACCCAGAGCAATTTTTAGTCCTGCAAGCTCTGTTCATGGTGAGTGCCCTAAACAGGTATACCATTCTTTATTTTTTATGCTGTATTTTGACTATATGTCCTCTATATTTAGATATGTTCAAATATACAAATACTTGCTATTGTGTTACAACTGTCTACAGTGACAGAATAGGAACATCACCATCTTGGACAAGCACTGCCATTCTAAAGTTCACCTTGATCAAAAATCACCTAAATCCAAAGGACATCAGCCTAATGGCTAAGGTCAGCATGACCATAAACCACAAATAACATCTCCAACCAGAAATATTTCAGACCTCTCCCCAACCACAGACATGCCAGACCTGAGATAACCCCACTCTGGCTGGAAAGATGTCAGCCCCAAGATAACCTCCCCTCTGCCTGGAGACATTCCAACCCCGCCATAAAACTTCTCCCCCACACAGAAACATTCCAAGCTTGTGATAAGGCCCCTTGCCCTAAAAACAATATATACTGTTAGTCTGTAAGAGAGAATACTCCTGACCAAAATCAGACAGAAGTCCCTCTCAGGTTTATTTCTCTAAAATAAACCTGTTGACTGTTGAGCCACATTTCATGTTTCTTTCCTGTTTCTTTAACTCTTACATACAGTATTCAGTACAGTGACCTGCTGTACAGGTTTGCAGCCTGGGAGCAGTAGGCTATACCACAAGGCCTAGCTGTGTGGTAGGCTCTACCATCTAGATTAGTGTAAGTACGCTCTGTGATGTTCACTCAGTGACAAAGTCATCTAAGCATGTATTTCTGAGAATGTATTTCCAATTAGACGTTACTTTTTCCCTTTCTCTGAGGAGCACTGTGTTAGGCACTAAGCATAAGAAAATAAGAGAAGGTCGCCCTGCCAGTAGTTAGAATTCAGTTAAGGAAATAAAACATATGCACAGAAATAAACATTGGCTCAAGATGGTGACAACCAAGTGCCAACTAAGGGAGTTTCTGGGTGAAAAGGCAGAGAATCCTAAGGAGAAAGTTATTATTGGAGAAGCTGCCAGTGTATTCTTTAAATCCTCACAAGGGTTCAAGGGGGTCCATATGATCGTCTTTTTGGATACAAGGAAGCTTCAGCTCAAATCCAATGGAGACTTTGTGTGGATTCCTTCCACTGCATCATGTTGTCCCCTCCAATTTAAAAATTTGTTTTTTCACTAGCTGCTGTCTGCAATGACCATCCTGACCCTGTTCTTGATTAAACTGTGTTTTTGAGATCTTTTCTAGGGGTGTTTTCCACCATGGGTTCATCTCACAATGTCTTCAGATCTACCAAACACTCCCTACATCTGCCACCAATCAGACCTAGGTTTATCTCCTTTATTTTCATTGAACCAAAAAGGATTAATATAATAAACCTTTTGTTTCTGTGACTTCACTCGTTTTAAGTTCAGTGGTCCTTTGGTTTCTGTTGAGATACTTTGGGGTGTGTATTTTACCATCAGCTTTTCCATGGGGCAAAGCTGTGCCATTTTTACCGATTGTGTCTCAGTTGGAAATGAGCGTTCAGCTTTAATTAACCAGAGCAAAAAACTGATGCAGGGCCCAGCAGTCTTCAACACCACTTCTGAATGATGACTATGATGCTCTGATTTCAACACTCTGATGAGGAAGAAGCAAATGCTGCCATGTTTTCTATTGTCTTTTGTTGTTCCTTGCAGGAAAGGTGAGACTTAAGTGAAACTTAAAGGTGGAAGAAGAATTAAGTCCTCCCATAGTTTAGAGATACCTTTTGAGATTAGCTTGAATTTCCAGAAAGTTAAAAGTTACACCGACATACAAGTTGGAGTGTTACAATACAAATAGGACTGTATTTTATAATAATAAAGTATTACTAATTTATAGGTGTTATTTTACAATAATTAGTGTTGTATTATTACAATAATTAGTAATATAGGTGTTAATTAGTATTACTAATTTATTAAATTTATTTAATTAGTATTACTAATTTATTAAATTTATTAAATTAGTATTACTAATTTATAGGAGTATTACTAATTTATAGGTGTAATTTTACAATAATTATTATTACTAACGATATAAACAAAGCTCAATATGATGGGCTTTTAAAAAATTACTCCCAGCTGGGCGCAACGGCTCATGTCTGTAATCCCAGTACTTTGGGAGGCCAAGGCGGGCAGATCACCTGAGGTCAGAAGTTGAAGACCAGCCTGGCCAACATGGTGAAACACCGTCTCTATTAAAAAAATACAAAAATTAGCCAAGTGTGGTGGCGTGTGCCTGTAATCCCAGCTACTTAGGAGGCTGAGGTGGAAGACTCGCTGGAACCCAGCGATTGCAGTGAGCCGAGATCGCGCCACTGCAATCCAGCCTGGGTGACAAAACGAGACTGTCTCCAAAAAAAGAAAAAAAAAATTTACTCCCTCCTGAGTAGATTGGCATCTGAAGTGTTTTTAAACAGTTGCCAACATTTTAATGCATATTCTAATCACATGATTGACTGTCAATATGTTCCTTGTGTGAAAAAAGTTTACTTGAGCTGAGTGTTCATTATCTTCACTTTAGACAGTCTTAACAAGAAAAAAGTTTTTAAAAATCTTGGCAACAATGTGGGCTCCTTGCCTTATGTAAGCTGGCTCGCATCCCACTGCCTGTGGGGAGAGCAGAAAAAGGAAGGGAGAAAAATGGGGGTGCTAAACCCCTGCCCACGACTCCAAATGGAAAGAGGGAGGAATCTATCATGATTATAAGCCAGTGAAAGAAATGAACGGCCATATGCATTCTATGGCCACATTTTTTGCCCTTCCTACTCCCATGCTTCTGATGATTTGCTCATCTTTAATCTCCAACTGCTTTTCAAGAAAGAGTTGCAGTTTATTCTGATGAGCAGGAACTGGGGTACAGCCATGTAGCCTTCGTAGTCAAGAAATGAGACTCAGGACCTGGCTACCTTTTGGAATTTCATTTCTGACTTTTTGACATTAATATGTCCCTTGGACATAGGAAACTAGCAGGATATACTGTTAGGTATATAAAAGAGTCTGTAGGACTCAGGGAACCACAAGGAATACGTTGTATGAATTTACCTGAATGACTAAATCTCCCAGCTTCCTACTTCCTGGAGAGGATGTCCTGGCACTAGCAAGGATCTTGGCCAGAGACATTTGTTGTTGTTGTTACTGGTTTTAAGTTTGAGTTTCATTGTTTCCTCTTCATATTTTACTAAATTCATAAATTGTGTTTTCAGTGTTCTTCCCTTTTCCTTTATCTTAGAGGAAAAGGAATGTTGGAAGTAGAGGGCTCTGAAGAAGAACTGGAAAGTAAGTGTTGACTTTCTTGTTCAATCTCCTTGACCCTGTAATTTTCACTGGCAAAGAGAAGAACATTCCAGGCAGAGTGAACTACAGAAGCAAAGAACTAAGGTGCATGACATGGAAAGAATGGTGGAAATAAATCTCAAAAAGCTTGTTTGGAGACAAATTGTGAAGGCTCTGGAATGCCATAATAATTGGAGTTTGGACTTTGTTCTCTGGGCAATAGGAAACCCCAAATGCTTCAAGAGACAAGAGACATGATCATATTTATTTGTTAAGTAAAGGACTTTGGTATCAATGTAGAGGAAGGATGGGAAGAGGTCCAGGATACCAGTTAGAAGGCAGTTTAAATAGTTCAGGGAGATGATGGTCCAAATTAAGGCAGTTTTGGTATAAATGGGTCATACTGGAAAAAATTATGTCAGAGAAGGTATTCATGAGACTTAGTCATATAAAGGGCAGAAAGATAACTTGGGGGAAAAATGATCTAAATCATTATGAGCCTGAGATTAAAAGGGTACCATTAATAAAGAAGGGATTCTTGGAGGAGGTATTTAGTAGAGTTTGTGTTAAGTCTGTTGAATTTGAAGTGTTCCTGTGACATCTAAATGACAGAGTCCAGAGAGCTAGAATTTTGGGGTTAGAGCTCAGAAAAACGGTTGAGACTAGAGATAAATATTTGGAAGTCTTCAGCATAGTCAAGATAGGTGAAATTTCAGAAGTGGACAAGGTTGCCTATAGGGAGAGAGTATAGCATGGAAGAAGAGACAGCTCAGGACGGAACGTTATAGTTGAGGAGTTGCCAGAAAAGAGGCTGAGAAAGCCATCCGAGATAGAAGGACCACACTGCAGAAGCTAACGAAGGAAGTAGCAATTGTTCAGAAAGACCGTTTAAAGGAAACATTAAGTTTCGATTATAAAGAAGTCACCAGGTGCCTTCTGAAAAGGCATTTCCAAGGAATGAGAAACAGGAATGAAATCCTAGTGGTTGGGGCTTGGGTAGGAGGCAAAGACGTATAAGTGAGGCACAAAAACTGCTCTTGAGAAAGATTTTGTAGTGAAGGAAAGAGGAGAAATGTGGCTTGAAAGGAAGAAGTTTCTATTTCTCTAGGTCATTGGTTTGCAAAGCACTTTTACATCCACGGGGTCACTTTATTTCCAAGGCAACTCTGGAAGGTAGGAAGGGCAAATAGTTTATACTCTTGGGAACAAACCGAGGTTAAAAAGAAGTTAAAAGGCTGGCCCAAAGTCAATTATAGCAAATAAGGGGAAGAACTGGATTTAGAATTCAGGTCATTTGACTCTTATTCCAATGATCTTTCTACTGTGCCCAAACAGAACATTTCTAGAGTATTTGCTCTATTTGGATATTGGATACTAGGCAGCATTGAGCTCCTTGTTAAAGGGTTTTGACCTCGTCTGGGGTTAATGGCAAGCTGCTGGAAGGTTTTATGCCAGGGAATGCTATGTTTCAGTTAATGCTTAATGGAAACAAATCTGGCAGTGAGGTGTAGGATGTGTCAGCAGAACAGACACCTGGTGGTGGGGGGGTTAGAAAATGAGGACAATTAGCTTCAAACAGAAACACAACTTTTGATACGCATTCAATCACATGCTGAGAAAGTGATTTCCCTTCAGGTCTCCAGACCCTATTCTATTTGTATTCTTCAAGAGAAGGTCTCAGTTTGCCAGTGTATTTTTAACATGTTTCAAATACCCTCTCTCTCTCTTTTTTTTTTGAGACAGACCCAGGCTGGAGTGCAATGGCACGATCTCCGCTCACTGCAACCACCGCCTCCTTGTCCGCAAACAAGCTTTTTGAGCTTTGTTTCCACCATTCTTTCCATGTCATGCACCTTAGTTCTTTGCTTCTATAGTTCACTCTGCCTGGAATGTTCTTCTTCTCCTCTTTACTGGTGACAATTACAGGGTCAGGGACATTGAACAAGAAAGTCAATACTTACTTTCCAGTTCTTCTTCAGAGCCCTCTACTTCCAACATTCCTTTTCCTTTAAGATAACGGAAAAGGGAGGAACACTGAAAACACAATTTAGGAATTTAGTAAAATATGAAAAGGAAACAATAAAACTCAAACTTAAACCTCCCGAGTAGCTGGGATTACAGGTATGCGCCACCACACCTGGCTAATTTTTGTATTTGTAGTAGAGACAGGGTTTCACCACGTTGGCCAGGCTGGTCTTGAACTCCTGAGCTCAAGTGATCCGCCTGCCTTGACCTTCCAAAGTGCTGGGATTACAGGCATGAGCCACCTCACCTGGCATTTTGAGTACTCTCTAATCTCCCTTTTGAACAAAGAAAGAACAGGACTCAGGCTGAGAATCTTTGCAAAAACTTGCATCTTGCTAAAACTGAATTACATTGTTTTCTGTTCACTCTGTTTTTATGGTTACTTTCTACTTACGACAAGTAGGATTGATTTATCATTTATTGTAATTACAGAAAGTTTACTACACATCTTGGTAAAAAAAGTCAAATTGGCTGGCTGAGGTGGCTCACGCCTGTAATCCCAGCACTTTGGGAGGCCGAGGCAGGCAGATCACGAGGTCAGGAGATTGAGACCTTCCTGGCTCAATCTCTACAGTGAAACCCCATCTCTACTAAAAATACAAAAAATTAGCTGGGCGTGGTGGTGGGCACCTGTAGTCCCAACTACTAGGGAGGCTGAGGCAGGAGAATGGCCTGAACCCGGGAGGCAGAGCTTGCAGTGAGCTGAGATCGCACCACTGCACTCCAGCCTGGGCGACAGAGGGAGACTCCGTCTCAAAAAAAAAAAAAAAAAAAAAAAAGTCAAATTAAGGAAAAATAAACCTAAGACAAATGGTGTGCCTCTATGGAGAAATTATATAACTGTGTATTCTAATGACTAAAGTTTGGGAAATTATGGTCTTGGAGAGTATTGCAATAGGAGTAATAAGGGTTCAGACCACAGTGGGATGTGGTAGTAGGTAAGGACCAGAAAAGAAGGCTCTGACAGATGTTTTAAGGGAGTTAAAGGAGAGGGAACTTGTTCTTTCTTTGGGAGTATTTTCTGCCTCATTTCTCAGTATGCTTTTGACCGTAACAGTGAAAAATAAAAAAGCCTTATACAGAACAATGAATTTATTACCTCAAATATCAAGAGGCCCTGAGGTAGGGTGGCTCCAGGAATGCTTAAGTGAGTGCTTCTTTGACATCACTAAGCACTTGGCTTCCATCCATCTTCCAACCTCACCAAAAAGGGTTGTCCTCATGACTACAAGCCGGCTGACATGGTGCCAGGAATCTCGTCATGAACATATGGTGTTCTCAGCGCAACAAGAAGACATCTCTTCTTGAACTGAAGAGTGAGGGTGAAGAAAACTTTCCCTGAAGGCACCTCCACCAAAAGATTTTTCTTCAAGATTCACTGGACAAAAATACATCACATATTCATGCATAAACCAATCACTGCAAAGGGGAATCAAATTACCATACCTAACATAAACTAATTAGGATTTATTCTCTGAGCTAGGGAGATCCTTTCCCTGAAGAATGGAGTTCTCAAGATAAGAGGGGCTCTGCTAACAAATATGGTTGGTAGGCAGTCAACCATGACTTTTACAGCTCCTGTGGAGAGCTGCAGGCTTTCTCTGGATACCAGTGGTTCTGAAATTCTTCAAATTCACCCTTGAACATACGTGGCAAATTCTTGAGACTTGTGGTTTTATTTATTTCTGACAATGTTACTTAGCTCTTCTTTCCATGTGTTGGGTTAAGGCAGAACGAAATACTTCTACTGCAAAATCAACTTCTGGTTTAGTGATGCACATTGAGGGCGCAATGCGAAATGTCTGAGGAGACACCAAAAAATAAGAAAACAAATCATCAGAGAATCAAATATGACTTTGAGGAAATGCACTAAACTAAAAATCCAAAACCTTGTGTTTAGGATGTTTCTCATGTTTCTCTCAGTTTGGTTCCTCCTCCATCCCCAATGCTGAATCCAGGCCATTCACCCTCCAGTCTCCATACAAACCCTTGTACAATTTGGCTCTGCCCCTTTTCCTTTTTGTCATACATTTACCTCCTGGTCATTCTACACCTTCACTGAAGTCTTAGGCCCCTCGCTATACTCCATTTCTGCCCAGGGTGACTTCCATGTCCATATGTGCAACCCAGCAAACTCACTTCTCACTGCCCTTATTGCCACAACTCCCAGAATCTTTATGTCCACCCTTCTGCAACCATTCATACCCATGGCCAATGCCATGAGCCTCCTCTTCACCAGGAACAACTCAATTTCTGATTCCCACTACAGCTTTCCTTTTCATGAAGACTTCAGAATCCTCATTCACCCATTGTTTTCAGGTCTATTGCTCCACTCAGGTCTCCTCCTTCCTTTCTACCCAGCTCAGAACGCAGAGTTGAATGAAGTAGGCTCACACTTGCCCCTCATTTTGCTTGCATTTCTACCCTTTTTCTGCTGCACCCACACCACAGCCAATCCCAGCGCTAATGAAATATTTTATTGAATGGCTTTTTTCTAATCTAGATGGCTGAGAAGAGTTAGAGAAAAATCACACAGCTAGGCTGAGTGATGCCGCTAGATATTCAGGGTCTCCAACTTCTGTGGGTCACCCCAACTTTTCTTGTTCATTGTCAGCGTCCTTTCTCAATCTAAACCTTTATCATTCCTCTCAATTTCCTTACTCAACTCCTGCGCCTCTCCCTCTATTTCATAGACAATCATGCCTCATACTTCTCAGAAAATTGAAGCTGCCACGCAAGACAAACTTGTTTGCTCTCACATCCATTTTTATAAACTTTCCTAAAGGCTCAGAGAACAAGGTGTATTTGCTGTTCAACTCCAAATTGTCCACCTATGCCCTTGACCCTGGATTCTCCCATCTCCTTCACTCCAGGAAACGCCCCTTCAACTTCCCCTTAGCCTATAAACAAGCAGGCTTAAAGCTCTCATAACCCCAATCTAGACCACACCAAATACAAATCTTTGTTGACCCCCTTGTCCCCTATGGCTACCTCGCAAATGCTTTCTTCCTGCTTTTAGCCACATCACTAAAAAGACTGGTTGGTGCTTATTGGCCATTATTTATTACTTTGCCCTTCCCCCATTCACATCTCAATTGGTTGCAGTCTGACTTCTGCCTCATCAACCACTCTACTAAAGTTACCTGCAAGTGTGGAATCCACTGGTCATCTTCCAGCCCTCATTCTCTCTGGCCTTCTCTGCACTTGACTCTTTGGAATTCCCCCACTTCCTGAACCTCTCCTGTCTCTTTCTTCCATGACTTCACACTCTTCTTATTCTCTTCATACCTGTCCACGCTTTCTGCCTCTACCTGGGCAGCTTTTTCCTTCTCCTGCCTTTTATTATTATTACTGTTATTATTTTTATTTTATTTGAGACAGAGTCTCACTCTGTCGCTCAGGCTGGAGTGCAGTGGCACAATCTCGGCTCACTGCAACCTCCGCCTCCCAGGTTCACACAATTCTCCTGCCTCAGCCTCCTGAGTAGCAGGGATTACAGGTGTGTGCCACCACACTCAGCTAATTTTTTATATTTTTGGTAGAGACAGGGCTTCACTATGTTGGCTAGGCTGGTCTCAAACTCCTAACCTCAAGTGATCTGCCGCTTCGGCCTCCCAAAGTGCTGGGATCACAGGCGTGAGCCACCGTGCCCGGCCTCTCCTGCCCGTTAAAAGTCAGTGTTGTGCAGGTTTCTATCTTCATCTCACTGAGCTTCTCATCTAGACATTAGACTTCCTGGGAGATTTCCTCATCTCACTGTGTAAATGCTGATGACCTATAAAACATGATCTTCAGTCATTTCCTCCGAGCTACAGACTTCTACAGATGGTCCCTGACAGAATATTTTTGACTTTACAATGATGGGAAAGTGATACACATTAGTAGAAATTGTACATCAAGTATCTATACAACCTTTCTGTTTTTCAGTTTCAGTACAGTAGTCAATAAATTACATGAGATACTCAACACTTTATTATAAAATAGGCTTTGTCACATGACTTTGCTCAACTGTAGGCTAATGCAAGTGTTCTGAGCACATTTAAGGTATGCTGGCTAAGCTATGATGTACAGTTGGTTAGGTGTATTAACTGCATTTTTGACTTAAAATATTCTCAATTTAGGAGGGGTTTATCAGGAGGTAACCCCACTATAAGTCAAGAAGCATCTGTAGATAGAGTGAGATGTTTATGAACACCTTGAATGGAGCATGCTCAAAGCTGGACTCATTCTTGCCCACTCCAAACCAACATGAGAGCTTCTTCCTCGACTCTCTCTGGTTCTTCATATCCACAGTCTGTGCATTTTCCAGGATTATCCTCAGAATATCTCCTCTATCTCTACTACCACAGCTCAGGTTCAAACAGCCTCCTTGGCTCCCAGAGGGACCCCCTGTCTCCAGTCTTGTCCCCTTAGATTTGTCTTCCTCAGAGGACAGATTCTGAAATCAGACTACCTGAGTTTGGATCCTGGTTCTGTCATTACTTAACCTCTCTGTGTGTCTTTTCCTTTATCTGTAAAATAAGGATAGTAATAGTACTTATTTTATAGGCTTGTTGGGAGCATTAAATGAGTCAGTTCATGCAAAGTGTTAGGACAGTGCCTGACAAGCAGGAAGGGCTTCATACCAGCTCCACTGACTACTCAAGCCTTTGCACCAGCCACATCTGTGTGGTGTGATGTGGTGTGCAAAATTAGTTCTTTGTACTCTGCCACATTTCATGCACAGTTTGGTTGTTTATCTCATTATTTAAGATTCTGCTACCCAGAAAGCCTGGCCTAGAAGTCCCTTCTCTTTCCCCCTTGAATATCTTTTAAAAAATATTTATAGATGAGCTTACTACATTATATTGTAATTTTCTATGTATTTGCCTTTCTCTCCCACCAGCTCCACGAAGGAAGGACCAGATCTTATTTATCACCGTATTAGGTTGGTGCAAAAGTAATTGCAGTTTTTGCAATTAAAAAAAATCACAAAAACTGCAATTACTTTTACAGCAACCTAATAGTTTCAGTTTCCAGAATGACACCTGTTGCTTAGCACATAACAAATTTTGCCAAATAACAAAGGAAGAGCTAAGCAAGTACACAAGTATCTCATGTCTTTATAAATTGCATGTCTTACGATTCATAATCATTAAATTATGTTATCTGGTTTGTACAGAAAAATATTTATGACCTGGACTAGAAAAAAAATCACAGAGCACATCCCAGCAAAAGTGCTCATTCTGGCTTTGTTGTTTGGGCTGGGAGAACTTTAAGTCTGTTTTGTTTAAAGGGGAAGGGGAAGTTGGGGAAAAATTGAAGATGCAAGAAAACATGGGGGTTTCCTTGAGTGAAGGTGGAGGGAGCTTGGAGAAACAAGCACACAGATGGAAGATCTAGATTTGAAAAGGAGAAATGCCTCATTTCTGGAACCTTCAGGGAAGGAAGTGCTATGATCTGGACATTTGTGCCTCTACCCCTTGAATTCCTATGTTGGAACCCTAACTCCCAAGGTGATGGTCTTGTGAAGTGGAGCCTTTGGGAAGTGATTAGCTCAGGAGGGCAAAGCCCATGAAGGCCCAGGGAGCTCTCTTGCCCCTTCTGCAATGTGAGGTCACAGCAGAAAGATGGCCGCTTAGAAAGAGCGCCCTCACCAGACACTGAACTTGCTGGCACCTTGATCTTGGACTTCTCTGCCTCCAGAACTATGAGAAATGAACTTCTATGATGTATAAGCCACCCAGGCTATGGCGCTTTGTGATAGCAGGCTGGGGGGGGGGACTAACACGGGAGGAAAGAATAAATGCGGGGACCGATGAGTTTATATAGAGGTTTTGCCTGATAGTTTCAATTTTATCTGAGAAGTATGAGGCAAGAAGCAGATATTTCAGTATCCACTGAAGTTGTGAGAGGCAGGGATGGAGCAGGGAAACTGGGAAGGATGAGGAATGTTTAAAATGGGAAAGAAAGTTAACAAAGGACAGGACAAATTAGGGAGGAGCAGAAGTTACCTTCTCTCTTAAGTCTCCACCCTGTAGCCCATCCCTGGGGAGAGGCTGTTGCTGTGAGGGGCAGCCTCTCGGGCAGTGTGTGCAGGGCAAGCCAGGGTCCTGACTGTGGAGCTGGGCATGGCTTTTCAAGGAAGGGAGTGGGGAGGGCTCGACCTCTGAATCTCCCAGCCTAAGGGTGAAGGACACTGGCTCTGGCTGATTTTGAGTTTGGCAATGGGGGCTATGCCCAGGTGGTCCTCCATCTCTCCGACAGGCGTCACCCGGGCCTGCAGGTGCTGTCGTGTTGCTCCCAGCCACAGAGGCCACTAAGGCTTAGCAGGGTCACCAAGTCAGAGCCCTGGGCTGAGCTAAGAACGGCCAGAATTGCTTTCACAGGGGTTAGAATTAATTATACAGGAGATAGATTATTTACTGCATGACTGTGATGTTTATCATCCATACTGTTAGTTGTCCGCTTTGACCATCCTCTGTCTGCCTCTATCTTTACCCCAAAGAGCCGCGACAACCAAACCATTTTCACTCAGCGCCCCCTAGTGGCCTGAGAGCTGCACTGTCTCCGCCTTTTTTTTTTTTGTACCCGAGCTTCATCCCTAGATGACATGTGGCTGGGTACCTCGGCACAGTTGTGTAAAAACTGCAACCAGCATTAGGACATCTTCACAGCTGTGAAGAAACTGTGACCAGCATTAGGAAATCAGAGAGACTCCTACCTAGAGCGATAGGTAAAAACCAGTCTTTCTCTTACCTGAGAAAAAATGCTGCCTCTGCCAACGAGGAGTCCCATGTGCTTGCAGTCCTCATGGATCTGATTTACTTCTTCACGGGGAAGAGGCCGACAGCTTATCTGTAAATATATTTTTAAAATTCTTTCTATTTGGTGTTGGAATGGTTAAAGGAATTATTTGCAAGAGAGGAAAAAAGAAAAACCCTTCAGCCATCAATGCCCCTCTTTTTTTTCTCTCTCCCTCTTTCTCTCTGTCCTCTCCTTCCCCTGTAATTAAATGAAGCTGCTAATTGCTGAACCAGATTTTTGGAGGATGTTATTTAAAATGTTTGTTTCTAATCCGAATTCATCCCAAATTCCCAAAAGACAAAATGAAGTTCTGTGCGGATAGCCAGTGAATCTTAGCTTTGCTAATGGCTGCCTTGGGAGTCTGGTTCCTTAATAGCTAAATTTGGAGTCTGTTTTATGTGGAAATTTTCCTTAACTCTTCACTTTGTTCTGCCCATGGAAAGGGCTCATTTCAAAGGCCAGGAAATGGCTCAGAAGTTGTACAAAGGCACCAGCAGCCTGAGCTTTCCCTGGGCAGCGCAGTGGGACAGCTGAGGAGGGGCCGGTTTGTCCTAATTTCCCTGCTTGTAGGACTTGCTCTTTCTCCCCCAAGACTGCATCCTCCAGGGTTAGGAAAGGTAAGTGCTCCAGGAGCCGAGAGCCTGTGTCAGATCCCCAGCCATTCAGAGCAGGTCCCCTCCCTGTGGGGTCAGACATTGGGCTGACTTGCATCCTTTCTGTGCGTCCCCTGTCTTCCCAGTCTGTGAGTACAAACGTCTCCCTCTGACTTAGTCATGTCACACCTGACAGCATGTCTGCATTACCTGGAAGGCTTTCAAATGACAGATATTTGGGCCTCATGCTAGGCCAATCAAATTAGAATATTGGAAGCAGGGCTTAGGCATCTGCATTTTTAAAATGGTCCTCAGGTGACCGGGCTAAGCGAGCTAAGTGAGGTAGACGGGGCCCCTCTAGTGTGCCCAGTTTCATTACATCCTCCACACTTCCTACCCACCCTCAGTCTGGGCTTTGCCATCCACTTCCTTCTTCCCACCAACCCCAGATCCAACTCTTTCCCCAATCCTCCATTTCTTGTAAGGTGTCATTGTCTGAGAACAGAATAAGATGGGACCTCCTAGAGAGATATGTGCATTTTGTTCTGTCTTAAAGCCTTAACATAAGCAAAATACATATTCAAACTTTCAGACTATTGGATCAGAAAGGACCTGAGGGAGAGGGAAGGACTAGAATCCTCTCATTGACTTCAAAATGCTATCATGCATTCCACTTACGACTGATTGGAAAGAGACAATGAAAATAATTTAGGGCTAAACTGTGAGAACTAGAAGGGCATTAAATATGATTTGAGAGGCCAGAGGGATTGGAGAGTAATCCGGAGGGAAGGTTGGGTTGGGGGGGTCAGTTCTTTTGTTGTTGTTGTTGTTGTTTTGTTTTCTGAGTCAGAGTCTCACTCTGTTGCCCAGGCTGCAGTGCAGTGGTGCAATCTTGGCTCACTGCAACCTCTGCCTCCTGGGCTCAAGTGATTCGCCTGCCTCAGCCTCCCCACTAGCTGGGATTACAGGCACCTGCCACCACACCTGGCTAATTTTTGTATTTTTAGTAGAGATGGGGTTTCACTATGTTGGCCAGGCTGGTCTCGAACTCCTGACCTCAAGTGATCCACCTCAGCCTCCCAAAGTGCTGGGATTACAGGTGTGAGCCACCGTGCCTGGCCCAACAGGACAGTTTTGAATGGGTGGAGTCTGTGTGGCTTCACCCCGACCTTGCTCTGGGCCAGCACCCTCTTGGCTCCCTTGCCCATTTTATCCCTCCCTGACCTCAACTGCTATGGCTAATTGAACATCTTGTATGCCATCCTCAGGGAAAAAAAGCAGGGTCTGAAACTCTGCTGAGGCTTAAGCCACAGCGCAGCCTGCCGAGGCCCTTGTGCCCATGCCTGTGCCCCAACTGCTTGATAATGAAGTGGGCATGCTAGTAATTAAACTTCTTGATGAATGTATAATGGACCATCGTGTTTATCTCTTTTGGTGAATCTATGTTTAAAGAATTATAAATTTAAAATTTGAAAAAAATTCAAATGTTCTGGAAGTGCATAAAGTAAAACGAGAACATTTCCCCACTTCCTATCCTATTCCTAGGGACACCTTCTATTGACAATTTGGTGTGAAACAGATACTTTTTCTATGCATGCAAATACATCTATATGCATGTTTTAAAAAATAAGTCATTTAATAACGTTTGGCAATTTCCTTTTAATAATATATGGTATATCTTGGGCATCTTTCCATGTCAGTATATTTGGACTTAGTCTTCTTAAACGTTACCTAGTATTTCATTGCAGTAAGTTGTTCAACCTCCTAATGTTGAGCATTTAGGTTGTTTCCAATTTTTCATGATTATAAACAATGCTGCAAATATTCCTATTCATACATATTTTTAGACAGTTTTGAGGGTATTTCTTTGGGACACACTTCTAGAAATTGCCAGGTATGTTAGGCCATTCTTGTGTTGCTGCAAAGGAATACCTGAGACTGGGTAATTTATAAAGAAAAGAGGTTTAATTGGCTCACAGTTCTACAGGCTGTACAAGCATGGCTCCAGCACCCGCTTCTAGTGAGGGGCTCAGGAACCTTACAATCATGGCAGAAGGCAAAGGGTGAGCAGATGGGTCGTGTGGGGAGAGCAGGAGCAAGAGAGGGAGTTAGGGAGGTGCCATACATTTTTAAACAACCAGATCTCAGATGAAGTCACTCGTCACCAAGCCATTGATGAGGAATCCGCCCCCATGATCCAAATACCTCCTACTGGCTCCACCTCCAACACTGGGGATTACATTTCAACATGAGATTTGGAGGGACAAACATTCAAACCATGTCACCAGGTCAAAATGTATAGATATTTAAAATTTTGAGAGCTGCAGACAAATTACTGTCCAAAGGGCTGTACCTCCTTACCAACAGAATATGAGAGTACCTATCCTGGGTGATGCTGGACAGCATTATAGCAAAGTTCTTGGGTATTATAACTATGCGACTGTGGTTTGATGTGTTGCAGGGGCCTGAAATTAATTGAGAAACACAAAGCACTTACCATCTGTATGTTTCCTGGCCTCAAAAGTGTAAACTTATTTAGGAAAATAAGGTATTTATACATAAAAGGTGAGTCAACAAATACAGGTTAGGTGACACAGAGTGAATGTTTGTGTCCCTCAAAATTCATATATTGAAACCTAATACCCAAGGGGATGGCATAATATTGGGAGGTGGGGCCTTTGAGAGGTGATTAGGTTACAAGAGTGGAACCCTCATGAATGAGATCAGTACCCTCATAAAAGAGGCTCCAGAAAGCTCTTTTGCCTCATTTACTAGGTGAGGGCACAGCAAGAAGGCACCATCTATGAACCAGAAAGTGGGCCCTCGTCAGACACCAAGTTGGCCTGCACCTTGTTCTTGGACTTTCCAGTCTCCAGAACCATGAGGAATACATTTCTGTTGTTTATAAGATATCCAATCTATAGAACTTTGCTATAGCAGCCTGAATGGACTAATATAGTGGAAAAGATCTTTTCAAAGCAGCTCCTTAGACAGTGAGTACCAGAGGAATTCTCTGAAGGGTGGATCTCCTGGATAGAGGAGAAGCAAAGGCAAGCTTTAAGGAGATGCGATGGAGAGCTTGATCTTGAAAAAGACTAGGATTTCCATAGGTAGATATAGAGGGGAGAATACTGTGTTCCATGGTTGAGGAAAAGCTTGAGTGGCATTTGGATTTGGAGAGTAATTGCATTGAGGGGACAGTGAGTAGAATTAGGGGATGTAGGAGCTGGGATTTAAATCCAGGTGGTCTGCCCTTAGAGCCCATGCTTATACTAACAAATGGTTCAGCGAAGAGAAAAAGAGCCCCTTCTATAGATACTATTTTATAACCTTGCTATAGTTTGGATATTTGGCCCTCCAAACCTCAAATGGAAGTTTGATCCCCAATGTTGGAGGTGGGTCCTAAAAAGAGGTGCTTGGGTGGTGGGGGCAGATCCCTCATGAATGTCTTGGTGCTGTCCTCTCCATGATGAGTTGTCACTCCATTAGTTCCTTCTAGAGCTGGCTGTTGAAAACAGCCTGGCACCTACCAACCCCTAATCTCTTGCTTTCTCTCTCTCTCTCTCTCCCTCATCAGTGACCTCTGCATATGCCAGCGCCTCTTCCCCTTCCACCACGAACAGAAGCAGTCTGAGGCCCTCATCAGATGCAGATGCTGGTGTCATGCTTCCTGTATGGTCTGCAGAACCATGAGCCAAATAAACCTCTTTTCTTGATAAATTGCCCAGCCTCAGGTATTCCTTTACAGCAACACAAATGGACTAAAAAAACCTGTTTCATTGTTTCCACAATATGGCTTGCACATATTTCCATGTCAAATATATATCTATGCCATTATAGTGGGGATATGCCACAAGCTAGCTTGCTTTGTATGAACGGTCATCTGGGAGGGGGATTCTGGTGTTTTACTAAGACAAAGTTGTGATGAACATCTTTGTTCATATGACTTTGAGCACACAGAGGTTGGGTTCAGAACAGAGAAAAAGGAAGAACTCCTCCTCTCTCATTGGGCTTTCCTCTCTCAAGTCTACACTTTGAGGAGTATAGATAACTTTCAGGGAACCCCTTGGGTGGAGATTAGGATGAACTCTTCTGAACGTTACAACAACTCTTGTACTTGTCCACACACTGAAATACGTTATGACTTGTGAGCTCTTCTCCATTGTAGAATGCATGTTGGGGTCAAAACAAATAAATAAATAAAATTATGAGCTGGGGACCTTAGTCTCATATTACCCTTTGTTTATTTTACTGGTGTCTTCCCTTGGCTTTCAAATCTTACTTAAACATCCCAGCTTTGTACTGGCTGTGACATGTGGTATGAATTGAAGAGTCTTATACCATGTCTGGTCTAAAAAATTGAGCATCAATCCTTCTAAAGTAGAATGGTGGTAAAACCAAAGAGGTAGAAATTGCTAGGGAAAGCTGGATCCCTGTAGACATGAGGTTAGTCTGGCTATTCCTCCCTACTCCCAAGATTCTCCTGCTCTTTTCAGGCTTTGATTTTATGGAGGAAAGGCACAATTTCCTACAGGCATTTACTATAGGGGCTGCAGTAGAAACAAAGGGAAAGATTTGAGAGACATGGGAGAGAAGAGATATCAATGAGTCCTGTTGTTAGAAACAAGGGAAGAGGAGGAGTCAGATGATTTTGTGCTATTGAGGCTGAGTAATTGGGAGAACGGTGGAGTGTGAGAAACAAACAGTGATCTTGGGAGAAATATCTGGTTTGGGGGAAGATGCTAAGTTCAATTGCTGTTATGATGAGTTAGAGGTCTCAGTGGGCAACATTCCTCCCTGGTTACTTGGGAGGTTGAAATCCATTCACAAGTAACAACATTCCTCCCTGGTTACTTGGGAGGTTGAAATCCATTCACAAGTAAGCATGCAAACAAACAAAACTCAATATAGGCCAGGCTTGGTGGCTCATGCCTGTAATCTTAGTACTTCAGGAGGCCACGGTGGGCAGATAACTTGAGGTAAGGAGTTTGAGACCAGCCTGGGCAATATGGCAAAACCCCATTTCTACTAAAAATACAAAAATTAGCCAGGTATGGTGGTGTGTGCCTGTAATCCCAGCTACCCGGGAGGCTGAGGCTCGAGAATAGCTTGAACCTGTAAGGTGGAGGTTGCAGTGAGCCAAGATCGTACCACTGCACTCCCAGCCTGGGTGACAGAGTGAGACTCTGTCTCAACAACAACAACTCCTAATATATATTTAACCTCCTCACCCCAAACCTTCACCATAACATTTTCCTGGCCCTTCTTTCTTATTCCTTCTGTTTCTCCCCAGATAATTTCCTCCCTTCCCTGTATTTCTAAGTATTCGGTCATTGCCTATGCTATTTGCCTAGGATGGCAAGGATAATGTTGGTTTCTTTTCCCAGTGCTCTCCCTCATCCCTCTAGAATTCTTGATGATCTGCCAGCATTTTGTTCATACTCAACACTCTCTACTAATCTCTAAAGGGCTTTGCTGAAATCTTGCTGTTTGTGTCTGCTCTCTCCTTGAGAGTAAATGAAGTTTAGCTGATGTTTCCTCCTATATCTCCTGCTGGCTCCAAGCAGCTGAGAGAGAGGGGCAGATTAGCACCTACCTTATCCTGCACCATTTCTATGCCTATCATGAGACCTTTGCCTCGGACGTCTCCAACAATTTCAAATTCATCCCGCAGCTTAGCAAACTTTAGTAACATGTAGGTCCCAACTTCTTGACTGTTTTCCTGTAGATTTTCTTCTTTAATCACCTGTTAAGAGAAAGCCCCAAATGATCTTACATGGCAGAAGTTCTAAGATTGACTGAGAATCGTGGAGAAGTCATTTGACATGGCCCTCTTGTAACTTAACCAAACAGAATGCAGAACAAGTCTAGTGTGACCACAAGGACTACAAAAAGATCTGTTGTAAGGAGAGAAGAAAAGTCTTAGGGGAGGGGATATGCTTCTGCCCCCAACTCCCTCACCTTCAGAGGTGGCTAAGTATTTAGGAAATAATAGGCCAGGCATGGTGGCTCACACCTGTAATCCCAGCACTTTGGGAGGCCAAGATGGGTGGATCACAAGGTCAGGAGTTCGGGACCAGCCTGGCCAATAGGGTGAAACCCCGTCTCTACTTTAAAAAAAAAATACAAAAATTAGCAGGGCTCTGTGGGGGGCGCCTGTAGTCCCAGCTATTCGGGAGGCTGAGGCAGGAGAATTGCTTGAATCCGGGAGGAGGAGGTTGCAGTGAGCCAAGATCGCGCCACTGCACTCCAGCCTGGGTGACAGAGCGACACTTTGCCTCAAAAAACAAACAAAAAAGAATTTAGGAAAGAATAAAGGTGTGTCTCAATGCAGTTGAAAATGTAGATTCTGAAATCCCAAGGCTTGTTATTGTCAGGCTTTGCTGAGAACTGGGATATATTTGTGAATAAGATGAATGCTCTGTGGAAAGAAATATCACAGATGGTTTCCCTACTGGAAGATGGTGACCTTTGCTCAGCAGGCCTCAGCCAGACATGGACTCTCATAGCCAAGCAGCCTGGTCTGAGGCTCTGGCCTCTTTGGCTGAGCCCAGAGCCAGGGCACCAGAAGATATAAAAGGATTTTTACCTCAGTTTTACTTACAGCAAACACCTGTGGTTCTTGACAAGATACATGAAATATACTATATTTTTATTTAGCTGACAATAATTGCATGACTCCAGGCAAACCTTGTTATTTTTATAGACCTATTTGTTCACCTAAACCTTCTTGCCTTCTAAATTGGTTGAGGTAACAAAGCACTTTTTAAAAGAAGTTGGCAATGTCAGCTCATGCTTGTAATACCAGCACTTTGGGAGGCTGAGGTGGGTGGATCACTTGAGGTTAGGAGTTTGAGACTAGCTTGGCCAACATGGTGAAACCCCATCTCTACTAAAAATACAAAAGTTAGTTGGGCATGGTGGTGCATGCCTATAATCCCAGCTACTTGGGATGCTGAGGCATGAGAATCGCTTGAACCTGGGAGGCAGAGGTTGCAGTGAGCCAAAGTTGTGCCCCTGCACTCCAGTCTGGGTGACAGAGCAAGACTCTTTCTAAAAAAAAAAAAAAAAAAAAAATTGGCAATGTCTACAAAGTGAAATAAATGACACATTCCTACCCATACTTTCTCATCTCATGACTTAATTGTAGTTGAAAATAACTATTTAATTAATAAAGGCAGTGTTTTCTTATTTATTTTTATTTAAAATTTTTTTGGAATAGGTAAATCAAGTTCATGGTCGAAAATCAGTGAGTGTAACTGCTAGTGGGACTGTAAATTAGTACAACCTCTATGGAAAACAGTATGGAGATTTCTAAAAGAACTAAAAGTAGTTCTATCCTTCGGTCCAGCAATCCCACTTCTGGGTATCTACTCAAAGGAAAAAAAAGCCATTATATCAAAAAGACACCTGCACATATATGTTTATTGTAGTACAACTCACAATTGCAAAGATATGGAACCAACCTAAGAGCCCATCAATTGATGAGTGGATAAAGAAAATGTGGTGTATACACACACACACACACACACACACACACACACACACACACACGCCATGGAATACCACTCAGCCATAAAAAAGAAAATAATGTCTTTCACAGCAACTAATAAGTGTTCTCACTTATAGGTGAGAGCTAAGCTATGGGTACACAATAGACATTGGAGACCCAGAAGCGGGGAAGCTGGGAGGGGGGTGAGGGATGGAAAATTACATATTGGGTACAATGTACACTACTTGGGTGACAGTGCACTAAAGTCTCAGACTTCACCACTATACAATTCATCCATGTAACCAAAACCGACTTGTATCCCAAAAGCTATTGAAATAAATAAATATATATACATATATAAATATATATGTGTATGTATATATATAAATATCAGCAAGTATAAAAGTATATACAGCAGAATGACCCTTGTTGACCCTTGGCCCCCAGCCACCTAGTTTTCCTCCCCACAAAAAAAACCATCATTTACTTCTTAGACATTCTTCCAGAAATTTGTTACAGTTCTTTAAGCAAATGATATTAGGCGTGTTAACAAGAACATTAAAAAAAATCTTTTTTTAAACAGATGCGATCCCAGGCTAAATCAATGGTGTAGGGGTGAACAGCTGAATTACCTTGCTGTAAGCACGTAGAACTCAGTGTCTCCTTAGTCATTCAATTTATAATAGTACAACAAAAGGAAGGAAGAAAAAATACACAAGAGAAGGCCAACATGAAACTAAATACAAGGATAGCAGTTAACATCTATAAATCACTACCAAGATAACAAAGAAATTTCAGCTGGCTAGGAAAATTCTTATATTTCCCATGTATGTGAGGTTTATTATATATTATTTCTTATCCAATACTTTCAGCACCCAAAGTAGGTCTTTAAAAAGGGAGAAGGCAGAATAATAAATGGAAATCTAACTTTAATGGATAAACTATGAATTAACTCTCCCCTTTAACAACTCAGCATGATAGAGTTCTGCTAATGCATGTGTGGTTTTGAAAGAGTCATTTGTGAAATGAGTGAGGTTAATGTGGCCGCTGGAACCAACCTCAAGCACAGCAGATCCAATGGCACAGGCCATGGGGTTCCCTCCAAAGGTGTTGAAGTGCTGCAGGCATTTCGCCAAAGATTTGGCAATCTCTAGAGGGAGAAAATAGAAGGTGTGGAAAGAGGGACACATTCCTGTCCACAATCTCTCATCGCGCCATTTGGACTACAGTTACTTCGTGTTGTAAATGGCATCCAATCCAATTCATCCTTCATTCAACTGATAGTAGATGTTAGGGACTGAATTGTATCGCCTCAAAATTTATATGGCTGAAGCCTTAACCCTGAATAAGACTGTATTTGGAGATAGTGCGTTTAAGTAGGTAATTAGGTTAAATAAGGTCATCAGGGTGGGGCCCTATCTAAGCCCAAGGAACTGGTTTTCTTATAAGAAGAGGAAGAGACACCAGAGCCCTCTCCCACCCCTCTCCTCTTTCCATCTTCTCTCCCTCTTCCATATACCTCAAAAGTGTGGTGGAACCCTGAGTTTCATCATAGGCATGGGAGAATTAGTCTTCCCTACAGGTAGATCAGAATGGGCTGGCTTTCGGATAGGGGTGCAGTGGCTCACGCCTGTAATCCCATCACTTTGGGAGGCCAAGGTCAAACACCTGAGGTCAGGAGTTTGAGACCAGCCTGGCCAACATGGTGAAACTCCGTTTCTACTAAAAATACAAAAATTAGCTGGGCGTGGTGGTGCGCACCTGTAATCGCAGCTACTCAGGAGGCTGAGGCAGGAGAATTGCTTGCACCTGCGGAGGCAGAGGGTGCAATGAGCCAAGATTGTGCCACTGCACTCAAGCCTGGGTGACAGAGCAAGACTCTGTCTCAAAAAAAAAAAAAAAAAAGGGCTGGCTTTCTTCCAACTGTTTCACAGTCAGGCAGACAGACTGTTTCTCTCTTTCATTTGCTTGGGAAATGCATCATGTGGTTTCCATGATTGTCTCCAATCTACACAAGTTCCAACACACGTGTTATACCATAGCCCAATGTACGAGGCCCAGAAGCAAACACAAACTGCCTGTGGGTCCTACCTGGAGTGGTTATGACTGCTGCCATGGGAAAGCCATTCCCAATCCCTTTAGCCATGGTGACAATGTCAGGCAGGACATCGTGGGTTTGGAAGCCCCAGAAGTGAGAGCCCAACCTTCCAAATCCTGTCTGCACCTGGGAAAACAAGTTCAAAACCATTGGAAACCCTTCAAGAAATGCTGTTTTCGACAGGGCGCGGTGGCTCACACCTGTAATCCCAGCACTTTAGGAGGCTGAAGCAGGTGGATCATGAGGTCAGGAGTTCAAGACCAGCCTGGCCAAGATGGTGAAACCCTGTCTCTTCTAAAAATACAAAAAATTAGCCGGGCACAGTGGCAGGTGCCTGTAATCCCAGCTACTCGGGAGGCTGAGACAGGAGAATCGCTTGAACTCGGAGGGCAGAGGCTGCAGTGAGCCGAGATTGCACCACTGCACTCCAGCCTGAGTGACAGGGTGAGACTCCATCTCAAAAAAAAAAAAAAAAAAAAGAAATGCTGTTTTCTTCTCTGTTCTCTTCCCTTTCTTCTTTCTCCTCATCCTCATGATGGCCATCATCAGCCATTATCATGAGCATCCTGTAGTATCATGGACAAAGCGCTTAATTTGTGCCTGAGCTATTAGGCATCAAGAGTCATTTCCTAGCTTTGTGCAATTCTGGGTATGTTTCTTAAGTCCTTGGAACCTCTGCTAACTCATCCGTCAAGTAGAAATACAACAATATGTCACAGGCTCCATGAGGGTCATACAAATATTATGACAGGGATCATTATGATTAACAATCTTTGATGAGCGTTTCCTCTGTGTAAGAAAGCAGGATAGAAAAGTAGAGAAGCTGAGTCTGCCCCAGGATAGATGAAGAGGGAGTTACTGTCAGTCAAGTGGAGCTGGGGCACTTGCTCCAGCCCAGTTAAACTGGTCATCCTCTTCCCAGGGATGCCTTCCCCTTCCTGAGAACTGTATCATGAGGAGGACCCAGACGAGGCAGTTAACTCAGGGTTGAACTCCTCTAATTTAGGAATTGTGGTTTGGACTAAAAGTTGACCTTAGTTTTTTTGTGCATGCTGTTCGCTCTTTCTAGAAGACCCTCTTCTTGCTGCTTTGTCTCACCGACTTCTTCTGTGCTTCAAAACAAACTTTGCCATCACTTGGTTTCTGAAGGTTCTCCTGAGCCTTAGTTAGGCTCCCTCTCAAGGTACTCTGGGAAGGCTGCCATAGAGACTTTCATAGAGGACTGTTATCACCAGTGGGCATGTCCGATGGCAGGGACTGTGTCTTATTCCATTCTGTATCCATAACACCTAGCACAGTGCCTGATACAAAGTAGACACTTAGTAAGCACTTGTGGAATGAATGACAGGGTGGCAGAATTGCCTGATTAAATAAAGCCATACAAACTTCTCCACGCACATTTCTGCCAGAGCCTTTCTGGTGAAGTCTCCTCGATTTCTTTCTGGCTCTCAGTCTCCCTGCCTGTCTCTCTGTCTGTCTGTCTCTCTCCACACATACACAAAATGCAAAATGGGGGTTAGGGATGTGGGCACTAGAAGCCGATTCTGAAATGCACTTAAAAGAGTGAGCTTCCAGGCTGGGCACGGTGGCTCATGCCTGTAATCTCAGCACTTTGGGAGGCCGAGGTGGGTGGATCACCTGAGGTCCGGAGTTTGAGACCAGCCTGGCCAACATGATGAAACCTCATCTCTACTAAAAATACAAAAATTGTCTGAGTGTGGTGGCGGGAGCCTGTAGTCCCAGCTACCTGGGAGGTTGAGGGAGGAGAATCGCTTGAACCTGGGAGGCAGAGGTTGCAGTGAGCCGGGATCATGCCACTGCACTCCAGCCTGGGCAACAGAGTGAGACTCCATCTCAAAAAAAAAAAAAAAAAAAAAAAAGAGTGAGCCTCCTTTTCAGATTCCTTTCTCATTTTCAAGGACAGATTCCAGGGGTTAGAATTAGATGATAGTGACCAGTGTAGGAGAAGAGCTTAACCTGGGAGTCAGACAGACCTGGGCTGGAATCAGAGCTTAATCTGGGAGTCAGACAGACCTGGGCTGGAATCCTGGGTTGCCTCCTTCCTACTAATGAGCCTCTGGGCAGCTGATTGATTTTTCCAAATGGGATAATGTACGAGGAGCTCGTGGAAAATCCATCCATTTTGTCTTCCTGCGTGTCTTTCTTTTTCACTCCATCTAAATACCATACATAAATGGCATAAATGGTGAAAAATCAGATTGCTTGGACAATGTGTAACAGTGAAAAGGAAGCCTAGCATGACTTAATCCATTTTGCTCCTAACCAGCTTGCTCTCATCCTCCCACTGTGATGATGTCTTTTAGGTTAACTGCTTTTGTTTATCTCTGCATATAGGCTAAGCTAACTATGGGAGGAATTTAGTTTATGGTTTAACTTTGAGGCAAGGATGCTTTAAAAAGAATCCCTGAGGAGATAAGAAGGATGAACACACAAGTAACAACATTACATTAAAAATTTATAACAGTATTGTAACCTGACCAAGGATGAAAGTTTATCCTTGCTGCAGCCCAAACGTCTGTGGTCACCAGTCACCTTTTGACCTCAACCCCCTCCCTCTTCCCCTTTCCCTTAACATAAAAGGAACCCACATATGCTTAAGGTGGTTCTTTAGGACATGAGCCTGCCGTCTTCTCGGTTTGCTTGCTCCCCCAAATAAAGTGGTCTTCCTTGCCCCAACATCTTATTGCTTGACTTACTGACTGTTTTGCAGCAAGTGGTACAAGCTTTGGACTCAGTTACAAATGCATGGAATTATGTAAAACCATAAACCATGTTTAGTCACTGAGGAAGTATCAGTTTCATAGACTCTTACAGTAGTACAGAGATGGATCATTCTAAGGTCCACAAACTCAACTGTCTTTGGAGATGAGAAGCATATGTTAGGGACAGAAGCAGGCTGGGTCACAACAGCAAGTGGGGTGGGGACTACGGGTATGCATGTCTTGCAGTCAGTTTCAAATTCAAAATCAGTCTATGCCAATATGGGCCCAGAGGTTTCAGTTTTCTAACTTTAATCCAGATTCCACATTTTAAAGAAAAGAATGCCACTGATTGTTAATTAAGATGACTTGTGTAAGACTGCTCCTTGACAGAACTGGCCCTCTGCACTCAGGTTTTTCTGTCCTCTGTTCCTTCCCTTTCTGCCATGATTTGCCCTTTCTACACCACGCTCTGTCATTTTGGAGGGGCAGCTTGATACGGTGGCTAGTCATGTGGTTTTGGGAGCCTGAGTTTGAGTCTTGGACCTATTCCTACTAACGGCATAAGCTTGACAGGTTGTTTAACCACCTTGGACCTACATTCACTTATATTTAAAATGAGATGATATGGTTTGGCTGTGTCCCCACCCAAATCTCATCATGAATTGTAGCTCCCATAATTCCCACGTGTTGTGGGAGGGACCTGATGGGAGATAATTGAATCATGGGGGTGGTTCCCCCATACTGTTCTCATGGTGGTGAATAAGTCTCACAAGATCTGATGGTTTTATAAGGGGAAACCCTTTTTGCTTGACTCTCATTGTCTCTTGTCTGCTACCATGTAAGATGTGCCTTCTGCATTCCGCCATGATTGTTAGGCCTCCCCAACCACATGGAACTCTGTCCTTTAAACCTCTTTTTCTTAAACTGGAAACTCTAAAAAGCAGAGCACCTCTCCTCCTCCAAAGGAACGCAGTTCCTCACCAGTAACGGAACAAAGCTGGACGGAGAATGACTTTGACGAGTTGAGAGAAGAAGGCTTCAGACGATCAAATTACTCCAAGCTATGAGAGGACATTCAAACCAAAGGCAAAGAAGTTGAAAACTTTGAAAAAAATTTAGAAGAATGTATATCTAGAATAACCAATAAAGAGAAGTGCTTAAAGGAGCTGATGGAGCTGAAAACCAAGGCTCGAGAACTACGTGAAGAATGCAGAAGCCTCCGGAGCTGATGAGATCAACTGGAAGAAAGGGTATCAGCGATGGAAGGTGAAATGAATGAAATGAAGACAGAAGGGAAGTTTAGAGAAAAAAGAATAAAAAGAAACGAGCAAAGCCTCCAAGAAATATGGGACTATGTGAAAAGACCAAATCTACGTCTGATTGGTGTACCTGAAAGTGACAGGGAGAATGGAACCAAGTTGGAGAACACTCTGCAGGATATTATCCAGGAGAACTTCCCCAATCTAGCAAGGCAGGCCAACATTCAGATTCAGGAAATACAGAGAATGTCACAAAGATACTCCTTGAGAAGAGCAACTCCAAGACACACAATTGTCAGATTCATCAAAGTTGAAATGAAGGAAAAAATGTTAAAGGCAGCAAGAGAGAAAGGTCAGGTTACCCTCAAAGGGAAGCCCATCAGACTAACAGCAGATCTATCGGCAGAAACTCTACAAGCCAGAAGAGAGTGGGGGCCAATATTCAACGTTCTTAAAGAAAAGAATTTTAAACCCAGAATTTCATATCCAGCCAAGCTAAGCTTCATAAGTGAAAGAGAAATAAAATACTTTACAAACAAGCAAATGCTGAGAGATTTTGTCACCACCAGGCCTGCCCTAAAAGAGCTCCTGAAGGAAGCACTAAACATGGAAAGGAACAACTGGTACCAGCTGCTGCAAAATCATGCCAAAATGTAAAGACCATCGAGACTAGGAAGAAACTGCATCAACTAACGAGCAAAATAACCAGCTAACATCATAATGACAGGATCAAATTCACACATAACAATATTAACTTTAAATGTAAATGGACTAAATGCTCCAATTAAAAGACACAGACTGGCAAATTGGATAAAGAGTCAAGACCCATCAGTGTGCTGTATTCAGGAAACCCATCTCACGTGCAGAGACACACATAGGCTCAAAATAAAAGGATGGAGGAAGATCTACCAAGCAAATAGAAAACAAAAAAAGGCAGGGGTTGCAATCCTAGTCTCTGATAAAACAGGCTTTAAACCAACAAAGATCAAAAGAGACAAAGAAGACCATTACATAATGGTAAAGGGATCAATTCAACAACAAGAGCTAACTATCCTAAATATATATGCACCCAATACAGGAGCACCCAGATTCATAAAGCAAGTCCTGAGTGACCTACAAAGAGACTTAGACTCCCACACATTAATAATGGGAGACTTTAACACCCCACTGTCAACATTAGACAGATCAATGAGACAGAAAGTCAACAAGGATACCCAGGAATTGAACTCAGCTCTGCACCAAGCGGACCTAATAGACATCTACAGAACTCTCCACCCCAAATCAACAGAATATACATTTTTTTCAGCACCACACCACACCTATTCAAAAATTGACCACATACTTGGAAGTAAAGCTCTCCTCAGCAAATGTAAAAGAACAGAAATTATAACAAACTATCTCTCAGACCACAGTGCAATCAAACTAGAACTCAGGATTAAGAATCTCACTCAAAACCGCTCAACTACATGGAAACTGAACAACCTGCTCCTGAATGACTACTGGGTACATAACGAAATGAAGGCAGAAATAAAGATGTTCTTTGAAACCATTGAGAACAAAGACAAAACATACCAGAATCTCTGGGACGCATTCAAAGCAGTGTGTAGAGGGAAACTTATAGCACTAAATGCCCACAAGAGAAAGCAGGAAAGATCCAAAATTGACACCCTAACATCACAATTAAAAGAACTAGAAAAGCAAGAGAAAACACATTCAAAAGCTAGAAGAAGGCAAGAAATAACTAAAATCAACAGAACTGAAGGAAATAGAGACACAAAAAACCCTTCAAAAAATTAATGAATCCAGGAGCTGGTTTTCTGAAAGGATCAACAAAATTGATAGACCACTAGCAAGACTAATAAAGAAAAAAAGAGAGAAGAATCAAATAGATGCAATAAAAAATGATAAAGGGGATATCACCACTGATCCCACAGAAATACAAACTACCATCAGAGAATACTACAACCACCTCTATGCAAATAAACTAGAAAATCTAGAAGAAATGGATAAATTCCTCAACACATACACTCTCCCAAGACTAAACCAGGAAGAAATTGAATCTCTGAATAGACCAATAACAGGATCTGAAATTGTGGCAATAATCAATAGCTTACCAACCAAAAAGAGTCCAGGACCAGAAGGATTCACAGCGGAATTCTACCAGAGGTACAAGGAGGAACTGGTACCATTCCTTCTGAAACTATTCCAATCAACAGAAAAAGAGGGAATCCTCCCTAACTCATTTTATGAGGCCAGCATCATCCTGATACCAAAGCCGGGCAGAGACACAACCAAAAAAGAGAATTTCAGACCAATATCCTTGATGAACATTGATGCAAAAATCCTCAATAAAATACTGGCAAAACGAATCCAGCAGCACATCAAAAAGCTTATCCACCATGATCAAGAGGGCTTCATCCCTGGGATGCAAGGCTGGTTCAATATATGCAAATCAATAAATGTAATCCAGCATATAAGCAGAACCAAAGACAAAAACCACATGATTATCTCAATAGATGCAGAAAAGGCCTTTGACAAAATTCAACAACCCTTCATGCTAAAAACTCTCAATAAATTAGGTATTGATGGGACGTATTTCAAAATAATAAGAGGTATCTATGACAAACCCACAGCCAATATCATACTGAATGGGCAAAAACTGGAAGCATTCCCTTTGAAAACTGGCATAAGACAGGGATGCCCTCGCTCACCACTCCTATTCAACATAGTGTTGGAAGTTCTGGCCAGGGCAATTAGGTAGGAGAAGGAAATAAAGGGTATTCAATAGGAAAAGAGGAAGTCAAATTGTCCCTGTTTGCAGACGACATGATTGTATATCTAGAAAACCCCATTGTCTCAGCCCAAAATCTCCTTAAGCTGATAAGCAACTTCAGCAAAGTCTCAGGATACAAAATCAATGTACAAAAATCACAAGCATTCTTATACACCAATAACAGACAAACAGAGAGCCAAATCATGAGTGAATTCCCATTCACAATTGCTTCAAAGAGAATAAAATACCTAGGAGTCCAACTTACAAGGGATGTGAAGGACCTCTTCAAGGAGAACTACAAACCACTGCTCAAGGAAATAAAAGAAGATACAAACAAATGGAAGAATATTCCATGCTCATGGGCAGGAAGAATCAATATCGTGAAAATGGCCACACTGCCCAAGGTAATTTACAGATTCAATGCCATCCCCATCAAGCTACCAATGACTTTCTTCACAGAATTGAAAAAACTACTTCAAAGTTCATATGGAACCAAAGAAGAGCCCGCTTCGCCAAGTGAATCCTAAGCCAAAAGAACAAAGCTGGAGGCATCACACTACCTGACTTCAAACTATACTACAAGGCTACAGTAACCAAAACAGCATGGTACTGGTACCAAAACAGAGATATAGATCAATGGAACAGAACAGAGCCCTCAGAAATAATGCTGCATATCTACAACTATCTGATCTTTGACAAACCTGAGAAAAACAAGCAATGGGGAAAGGATTCCCTATTTAATAAATGGTGCTGGGAAAACTGGCTAGCCATATGTAGAAAGCTGAAACTGGATCCCTTCCTTACACCTTATACAAAAATCAATTCAAGATGGATTAAAGACTTAAACGTTAGACCTAAAACCATAAAAACCCTAGAAGAAAACCTAGGCATTACCATTCAGGACACAGGCATGGGCAAGGACTTCATGTCTAAAACGCCAAAAGCAATGGCAACAAAAGCCAAAATTGACAAATGGGATCTAATTAAACTAAAGAGCTTCTGCACAGCAAAAGAAACTACCATCAGAGTGAACAGGCAACCTACAAAACGGGAGAAAATTTTCGCAACCTACTCATCTGACAAAGGGCTAATATCCAGAATCTACAATGAACTCTAACAAATTTACAAGAAAAAAACAAACTACCCCATCAACAATTGGGTGAAGGATATGAACAGACACTTCTCAAAAGAAGACATTTATGCAGCCAACAAACACATGAAAAAATGCTCATCATCACTGGCCATCAGAGAAATGCAAATCAAAACCACAATGAGATACCATCTCACACCAGTTAGAATGGTGATCATTAAAAAGTCAGGAAACAACAGGTGCTGGAGAGGATGTGGAGAAATAGGAACACTTTTACACTGTTGGTGGGACTGTAAACTAGTTCAACCATTGTGGAAGTCAGTGTGGTGATTCCTCAGGGATCTAGAACTAGAAATACCATTGACCCAGCCATCCCATTACTGGGTATATACCCAAAGGACTATAAATCACGCTGCTATAAAGACACATGCACACGTATGTTTATTGTGGCACTATTCACAATAGCAAAGACTTGGAACCAACCCAAATGTCCAACAATGATAGACTGGATTAAGAAAATGTGGCACATATACACCATGGAATACTATGCAGCCATAAAAAATGATGAGTTCATGTCCTTTGAAGGGACATGGATGAAATTGGAAATAATCATTCTCAGTAAAATATCGCAAGAACAAAAAACCAAGCACCGCATATTCTCACTCATAGGTGGGAATTGAACAATGAGAACACGTGGACACAGGAAGGGGAGCATCACAGTCTAGGGACTGTTGTGGGGTGGGGGGAGGGGGGAGGGATAGCATTGGGACATATGCCTAATGCTAGATGACGAGTTAGTGGGTGCAGCGCACCAGCATGGCACATGTATACATATGCAACTAACCTGCACATTGTGCACATGTACCCTAAAACTTAAAGTATAATAATAATAAATAAAAAGAGAGAAGTAAAAAAAAAAAAAAAGGAAAAGAAAAGAAAAAGCACAAGGAAAACCTAGAGCCCTTCCCTTTAGAATATGCTATAATATTAACCAAGTACCAGAGGGAGACAGAACTCTGATAATATTGTTTTTCTTCTACATTTTTCTATGAAGAATACTGTAAACTAGAAAAGGCAGAGTAGTAATTGACGCCCAAAAAGGGAAAGTTAGCATAAAAGAGTCTTGGTGATTTCAATCACTGGCTCCTAAATGTTTGTCTTCTGCAAATTTTTTTTTTTAATTAGTGAGTTTACTTTACAAAACTATTTTCAATTTAAAAGAGTGCCTTTTATTCCGATATTGTTTTATTCATTTGTTTGTATAGGTTTCACATATTCTTTGTCTTATTTGCTTCATTTTTAATAAAATTGTGGTGATGGCAGATGTAAAAAAAAAAAGAAAAAAGAAAAAAGAAAAAAGAAAAACCTCTTTTTCTTTATAAATTACCCAGTCTCAGGTATTTCTTTATCAGCAGCATGAGAAAGGACTAATACGTGGGAACAGCAGCAACAGGGCATACTATAGAACAGTTGATAGGTATGAACTGAGTTAACACATGCAAAGTGTTATGAACAGTGTCTGACACATAGCAGGTACTCAGAGAGTTCCAGCTATTCTTATTTTTACCTAGTCCTCGCGATAGTCCTTCTTGAGGATTGCCTGTGTTAGATAGTTTTCAATTACATTGTTTGAAAGTCATAAAACCACAAGACAGAAAATTTTGAAATTCATATTTCCTTTGAATTCAGCCTACCTTCTCTTTAATTAGTCTGACTGTGACAGCTTCACTATGTGCTGATTTGGAGGCCAAAGTTTATCCTTTTTACTGATGTAGCTAATTTCAAGCTGACTGGATATACTCATTTTTTTAAAGTAGCAGATTAACTTTCTCCAGCCTGGACTTCGATCAGTTTGTGGGCAGATTGGAGAAGGGAGGATGGTCTCAGCAGGAGCAGGCTGGCCCAAGTTGCCTGTGGTACACCAGGGACATCCAATACACCTGGGCATAACAGAGACCCAGCTGCCCAGGCAGAAATTGCAAAATTTCTGCTGATGTGACAGCTCAGTGTCAGCTGTAGGGAATATTTATTTATTTATTTATTTATTTATTTATTTATTTATTTATTTATTTTGAGATGGAGTTTTGCTCCGTTGCCCAGGCTGGAGTGCAATGGCATGATCTTGGCTCATTGCAACCTCCACCTCCTGGGTTCAAACATTCTCCTGCGTCAGCGTCCTGAGCAGCTGGGATTACAGGCATGCACTACCACACCCAGCTACTTTTTGTATTTTTAGTACAGATGGTGTTTCACCATGTTGGCTGGGCTGGTTTTGAACTCCTGACCTCAAGTGACCGGCCTGCCTCAGCATCCCAAAGTGCTGGGATGACAGATGTGAGCCACTGCGCCCAACCTAGCTGTAGGAAATTTTTAGTTGAGGAAGTCTATTCCAGCAATGATGGCTGGACAGAAATAGGTGTGAAACATACTTACAGGTTCTCCACCTGTCCTTGGCTGGTCTAACCACCTGTTAGTCCAATCATGATAGTCACCCAGCAGTGAGACATGGCTTCGGTGGCCCTAGTGATCATCCTCTGGTCTTTTAATCTCCATAGCTACTCTCAGTAGACAGAGGACTGCTTTATTTGATACACTCTAATATGAGGTGTGATTATAAGTAAATTAATCCCTTTTGAAAACACACAGGCTAGAGCTCACATAGCCAACGAATTTTCTTCCCATTAAAGTAATGCCCTTGGGAGTAGTGTGCTTTAATGCTTTAATGCTGCTTTAATTCAACCTATTTTACAATTTTTGGGGAACTATTTTCAAATGCAGTACCTGCAGTTGGTGGTACTCCTCTAATTTAGAGGCTGGATTATTATTATTATTTTAAAAACATTATTTCGGCCAGGCGCGGTGGCTCATGCCTGTAAACCCAGCACTTTGGGACGCCAAGGTGGGCAGATCACCTGAGGTCAGGAGTTCGAGACCAGCCTGACCAACACGGAGAAACCCCAGTCTCTACTAAAAAATACAAAACTAGCCGGGTGTGGTGGCGGATGCCTGTAATCCCAGCTACTCGGGAGGCTGAGGCAGGAGAATCACTTGAACCTGGGAGGCAGAGGCTGTGGTGAGCTGAGATTGCACCACTGCACTCCAGCCTGGGCAACAAGAAAGAAATTCTGTCTCAAAAAGAAACAAACAAACAAAAAAACCCACATTATTTCCAGGCAAGTTTTGTCAGAAAGGTATATGCTGCCAGGTTGGTAAATACTATTTTTGCAAAAATAAAGATTAAAAACTTGGCTATCAGGCCTGGCACGGTGGCTCACGTCTCTAATGCCAGTACTTTGGGAGGCCAAGGCGGGCGGATCACTTGAGGTCAGGAATTCAAGATCAGCCTGGCCAACATGGTGAAACCCTGTCTTTACTAAAAATACAAAAATTAGTCAGGCTTGGTGGCACATGCCTGTGGTCCCAGCTACTCGGGAGGCTGTGGCAGAAGAATCCCTTGAACCCCAGGAGGCGGAGGTTGCGGTGAGTCGAGATTGTACCACTGTACTTCAGCCTGGATGACAGAGCGAGACTTTGTCTCAAAATAACCAAACAAATAAAAACAACAAAAACCTTGGCTATGAGATTAAATTTCCTATGATGTTTGTCAGCCCCTGAAACAATCCCTAGAAAGGAATTAAAAAAATATATTGAGTCACGGTCTAATAACATCACATATGGCTGTTAGCAACTTATTTGATAGACATCAATTTGGAGATTTAAGTTCTGTTATACTTGTTAAACTGATCAGCGAATGTACTAACAAATCAACCAGCCCACTAGCACAAATTTCATTCATTTGTAGGCAAACTTTGGAATTCACAGAGCAGAGGCTTTCTGCCTGGAACACAGAGGAAGTTTAGGAGGTTTCTGTCTGTGCATCTCCTGTTCCCACTGCACTCAATGGCACCCTTACATGCCACTTACTTCATCTGCAATGCACACGCCTCCCCTTGCTCGCACCAGCTCAAAGGCTTCCTTTAGAAACCCCTTTGGGTACTGGACAACTCCATTCACACCCTGCAAAAGACCAGACCAAGAAGACCTATAATAATAGCATCAGCCCTTTCAAAGTATATAAAAAAGTTAGATCATCATTATCATCATTATCATGACAGTAACACTAGCAATTTTAACAACAGTCTGTAGAACAGTTTCCACTGTGGGTGAAAAGAGGACTTATTACTCTATACCATGACTTCTGGAAAAAAGATGCAAACATTGATTATTTTCTGAGATTAGAAAACAGTAGAATAAAAGAAATTGGTGAGACTAAAGAAAGAGTTCTTTGGACAATGCGGATGTTATTAAGCAGCTAAAAATGGCCAGGGTTTCCTCTTCTTAAGAATTTTAGGAGTTCGGTAGTTTCATCTGTCTGGTGAGAATGGAGGAGAGGGTTTTTAAAAGGTCATTTGAAAGTCAGCGTCTTCTTTTTTCAAGGAGACCAAGAGAATGAATTTAGAGAGGGACACAGTGAGCACTTAATTCATTTGGAATTCTCTAGAATATATGAGTTAAAACTTTCTGATAATTGAAGATTCAGCTCCATTAATGTCTAAGGTTCATATACCCACTTGAATAGGTTCTGCGAAAAATCCAGCAATTGACTTGGCCACAGATGTGCTCAGCGTATCTTTGAATTGCTCAATATACTGATCTTTAGCTTGGCAGCAGTCTGCAAAAAGCAAACAACAAAACAAAACAAACCACAGCATTTGAAAATGTGAGCCTGATATTTAGAAACATGGGGAAAAACAGGAAAAAAAAAAAACAACCAGACAGGGTAAGTTAATCAGGGACTTCAGAATACGGTAAACTGGGGTGAGGATATGCATTTCTGAAGGGGGAATGTTCTCTCTGAACAACTTGTACTTTGGTTCAAGGAGGGAGATTAAGATAGCCATAAAGGCATAAACAAACCACTTCAGTTCTTTCCATCTGGGGAAGAAACGTCCCAAAGTGTCATTGAGCTGGTATAGATAGCTGTTTCACCTAAGGATGCCCGTCCTCTCAAACAGGTGGATCTAATTCAAATGTAATTAGAGCGATTTAATTTATTTGAAAATAACTCTATTTACCTTTCATTGCCATTTAATCTGATGTACCGTTTTAAAGCTACAAAGTGTCTTTGTCTTTAGAGTTAGTAAATATGCTTGTAGAACAATTAGAATTCAGTCTAAAGAGAAATGTTCGAGAGCTAGGTGGCTTCCATCCATCGCAGCCCTTGGCACTTGGTCCTGTGCTTGTTTTTAACAGGACTTTCTCCGATTAATCAGGAGGTTTTTGTGGGCAGGGACTATACTTTGTTCATTTCTAAAATCTCTGTGGCCAGGCAAGCTGTTTGGTACACTGTAGGTGGTGCTCAGTAAATGTTTAACGCATTAAGAAGAAAATATTAACAAATAGTAGAAATCATGGCTGGAGTGAGACATTGAGCAATTTTGCTTGAAGGCCTTTCTTTCTTTCTTTCTTTTTGGAGATCTTTCTAATGGGGAAAAGCAGTAAAGTGTCCTTGTTGAAGTGATCTGTCTTTAATTCATTACTTCTCCTTTTGGCTGCATCTTACTGCTGATAAACCCACATGCTGAGTTTTAAATTTCAATAATCACTTTTATATTACTAGAAGGCATATTTGCTTTTAAAACTTGCTTTCTTATTCTTCACAGTGTCCTATCCCTTTCGCATATTTTCAAGCTTATATTTGATTTTCTTTAAATGTATTAAACATATTCATTTTATAGCCTATCTGATAATTCTGTTATTTGAAATCCTTGCTGATCTTTTTCTTGATTGCGGAGTTTTGTGTATTGTATATTTATTTTTGACAAGGGGCAGTTTATTTTCCTTGGAATTTCATTTGTGAGAATTCTTTGAGGCCCAGAATGAGGTAGATCCCTCCAGAGCCTATCTGAGTTTGCAGCTTCCAAGTGCGTAGGGCATTAGAGTCTAAGAGTCCTTTAAATTATGAGCTTGAGGAAGTGAGCGTTCACAATGCAAAGCCTTGGAGGGCCAGTCTGCAGGTGAAACTTTCAGTGGTGGCTCCTCCCAGTCCCTCCACTTCCATTCAGCACCAGAATCCTTGCAGGCCCTTTGGCCTGTGAGGGGTAATATGTTCTTGGTGGTGTATTTAATTCTAGTTGACCCATGGATGAAGATGTGGCCTCTTGGGGGCTCCAGCTTTGTGGCAGGGGAGGGTTTCCTATAAGATCCCTTACTTTGGCTGGGCCCTGGACTTCGTCATCTCTTCCCTGCACTCCACAGAGCCATCAACATGGAAGCTCAAGGTTACCAGGTTCAAGAAATTCTCTCAGGGTCAAAGGGGGCTGCAGTGCCGTAATGATCTATTTGCGTTTCTGAGAATTCGTGCTTTCTTGTATCCATGCTTTGAAGGGAATGCATTTCATTTTATCCAGGATTTTTTAGTTGTTTTCCACTGGAGAAAACCCAGGCTATCATGTTACCAGTACTAGCTGTCCATCCAGCTCAGTTTTCTTAGCACTAACCATGTCTACTTTCTAATCCTGCTTAAAGATACTAGAAACATTTCTGCCATGCTTCACTAGCTGCAAGCCTCACCACACAGACACACAGGCATGAAATCCTGTGGATGGGAGAGGACTAGAGATGAGTGGGAAGATTGCCCAGCAGACTTGCCCAAGCTCCAGAAGCCTTCATCTGTGTGTCAGAATTGGAAGTGGGAATCACCAAGGAAGCAGGAAAGGTGAGAGAGAGAGAGAGAGAGAGAGAGAGAGAGAGAGAGAGAGAGAGAGAGAGAGAGAGAGAGAAATTCTTCTACTCTGGAATAACAAAGGTCCCAGGTCAACTGTATCCATACATGACTGAATCTTCAGAATTTTTATCCACACCTGTTATTTGGTTCTAAACAGTACCATGCAGTCTCTGAACTTAAATTTATATCCATAGATGACCAAAGGAGTGCAGAGAAAGATGTGGAAGGGATGGAAAGCCTCAACCCGAGTGACAGTGAAAGCAGTGTGGGACAGGGCTCCCCACCTACCATCCCAGTGCTTGCTTAGAGGCATGGATGCAGTGCTGTCTCCACGGTGCTAGACAGAAGGAACAGAAACCTTCTGCAATCACCATCAAAACCGAATTTTATACCTCAGCTCTTCATTAAAAGTGAGGAAATACTAGCTGGCCCCAAACATATTTTTAGATTACATGTGATATTCGGAAAAGTTTGATTGACAGAGGTACCTGATATCTTTGGTTAGCTGGAGGTTGGAGGTTAAGGGTGTGAGAAAGGAAGAAATGACAAGTATATGAAACCCTGAAAATATGTTTTTGGCATCACTTGTGTTGTTTTGATGAGAAGAATATAGTAGACAAATAAATCTATGCCTCTAGAGACAGAAATTTCCCGTTTTTATTGGGAAAGGAAGAGAAAACAGCTTCAGATGACCCTAAAAGATGGATCAGACCTATGTTCAAGAGAAGTAATTTGGAAATTTAACAAGCCCATTTGTAACTGGAGAAATCAAAGAGTGGAGCTTAAATTTGGGCAGAACCAAACCAAAAGGTTTTGCCTGAACCTATGCTAGACCTTTCATGACTTTTTTCCCTCTCTGCCCACATGCTCAGCGATGAGAGAGTCATTGACTGTGATGAGCTTTTTACTTTATTTCGCACTAGCTGCATTGACTCATTGATGTAACCCTAGGTTAGGCCACTTCTGCAGAGGCTTGGCAGGAAGAAAACCCCAAGCGGGTGGAGACAGGATGTTCTGTTGGATACTACAACAGGATGACGAAGGAAGAATTTATTCCAGCTAGTGGTACAGAAAGAGTTAAGCTGAGTGAGGAGCCAAGAAAGAACTACAATTTTTAAGAAAAACAAAACTTGCCTTTCAAAAGAAGAAGAATGACATGATCAGTACGAGGTTTGGAACATTGTGGGGGCAGTAGGTGATGAGGAGTGAATCTCGTCATGGATTACACTTGAAACTCAGGGCCTGGAATGAACCCCTGGGGAAAAAATCCTGGGAGGTAGATGGAGTAGGACAAATAAATATACCATATAAACATCTAGATTAGACTCACAAAATGGCCCCCTGCCTCTGTTGGGAGGGATGACATATTTCTGAGATGAGAAAAATCTCTACCATGGTTGGTGCCTCAATTCCTCTTAAGGTATTCCTATCAATAGGTTAAGAGGAATTGAGAACAGGCAACATCTATAGTCAAAGAACTGTACATGTTTGGATGCTTTTGTAAACATATATGAATATTCCAGTTTTACAGCAAAGACCAAACCCTTCCCAGGTCCTAAAGGCAGTGAAGGAGACTGGGGTCTTTCTTTTGTATTCCAATCCTGTTCAAAGATTCCATAAATAGTCTTGTCCCTTGAAGATGTGAGTTAAGAAAACAGCTGGCCGGGCATGGTGGCTCACGCATGTGATCCCAGCACTTTGGGAGGCCAAGGCGAGCGGATCACCTGAAGTCAGGAGTTCGAGACCAGCCTGGCCAACATGGTGAAACCCGGTCTCTACTAAAAATACAAAAATTAGCTGGGCGTGGTGGCAGGCACCTGTAATCCCCGCTACTCGGGAAGCTGAGGCAGGAGAATCGCTTGAACCCGGGAGGCGGAGGTTGCAGTGAGCCGAGATCGCGCCATTGCACTCCAGTCTGGGGGACAAGAGTGAGACTTTGTCTCAAAAAAAAAAATACATAAATAAAAAAGAAAACAACTGACTTCAGATATGCCAAAGGCAACAGTTCAGAGCAGAAATGTACGCCTGTCACTATCATTTAGCCTCTAGATGCCACTAGAGAGATGACCATGGATTTCTGGTATTGTCAAATTGGCTTAAGTAGTCCTATAGAAGGCCTTATAGTAGGCTTGTGTCTCTTCTATGTGGAAAGAGGAACATATAGCAGGAAAAGAAGGAAATGACCACCTTTTAGTGCTTCCGTCTACTAGGCTCTGTGCTGGTGGTTTTGCAGTCAGACCAGGGTCTGGGAGGTGCATCAAACTGATTTTAGTTCTTGATGCCTTACAGATGCAATATTCAAATACGGCTTTACCAGGCATTGCTATGGTCTGTTTTTCTCTACAAAAGTTCTCCGTGCCTCATCTCATGAAGTGCCGTGATGGTGTTGGCAGCAGCCAGATATTGCTGTCTCTGTTTTACAAATGAGAAAACTGAAGCAAAAGGTGAAGCTTTTGCTCATAGCTGAACCATGCCAGGGCTGAGAGTGGAATCCATCTCTTGACTTCATGCAGCTCCTCAGTCCTGGCCTGTGGAATAGGAATGCTTTTTCAGCTTGGGTTTATCTTGACGGCACATCAGTGTGGATGAGGATGGCTATAGGAATTGGGAGCACTGGCTTTGGAGTCAGAAGACCTGGGGTAAAATCTTAGCTCTCCAGTCTCCTCCATGTGAAACTGGCTTTCCTGATGTTTAAAGTGGAGAGTTTGATTTATAGCTTTACATTTCCTTCTGGTTTTAAATTCCATGAGCGTGACATCTTGTCTTCTTTCACTACTTACTCTTTCATTCTCTTACCTCCATTTTGCTATTATGTCATCTGAATTTTAAGACGATGGTGAATTTTTTTCCTTTCAGAGCTGGTTTTTAAGACTTCTGTTTTGTATTTTTCCTCTCAACCCAGTGATTCATACTATTCCATTAAAAATCACTGGGCTGAAGCATTTAGTTATTTCCTTCAGAAGTACTAAGGAGCGGCTATTAAAAAGGTTGTGATGACAAATCAGAGGCAGGGCTTGTTGATTAGCAAGGAACAGATGATGTTTCCTGCCTCCTCTCCCTCCTGTTAAGCGTAGGTAAAGAATGCGAATAAAAATGTGATTGGTAAATGGAAGTTCTCCTTGTGAGAAAGCCTTTAAAACTTTTGCCAGGGTTGTCAGCAGCCTGTAGGAAGGGCAGCCTTGTGTTTTGTTTGACGGATGCTCTCATTTTGGCTGGCAGTCCCTGGAGAACTTTTTGACTGGAGTTTTGAGATTGCCAAAAGCATTATTTTCCCTCTTTCCACTGGTATGGGTTAATAATCCCACCCATCTTGATTTCTTGTTTTTTTTTTTTTTTTGGTTGTTGTTTAGTTTTTTCATTTTAGAGATGGGATCTTGCTTTTTTTTTTTTTTTTTTTTTTTTTTTGAGATGGAGTCTTGTTCTGTTGCCCAGGTTGGAGTGCAGTGGCGTTATCTCAGTTCACTGCAACCTCTGCCTCCCAGGTTCAAGTGATTCTTGAGCCTCAGCCTCCCGAGTAGCTGGGATTATAGGTGCACACTACCATGCCTAGCTAATTTTTGTATTTTTAATAGAGACACCATTTCACCATGTTGGCCAGCTGGTCTCAAACTCCCGACCTCAGGTGATCTGCCCGCCTCAACCTCCCAAAGTGCTGGGATTATAGCTGTCAGCCACCATGCCCCGCCGGGCCTTGCTCTTTCATGCAGGCTGGAGTGCAGTGGCATAATCATGAATCACTGCAGCCTCGACTTCCTCAGCTCAAGCAATCCTCCCACCTCAGCCTCCCGAGTAACTGGGACTACAGGCATGCCACCACGCCCAGCTTGTTGTCTTTTAAAATTGACACCAGAGCTATTGCTATTATAATAGAGCTAATAGAATGCCTTGAATCAAGTACCAGCTGATAGTCGTTTTTTTGAGCTTGGCTCTGATAGCGTGAGATGCTTTTCCTACATGGCCAGACAGATGGTCTGAGAGTGAAGTGATAGCAGACATAAGCGTTGATTCAATGAGGAATAACTTGGTTACTTTCCAGTTTTGCTTCCTCTGGCTTTTCCCTTTTCCATGTTTTCAAATTCAATTGTTCCCTCAGGGATGGGTCTGCCTTTATTCGTGTCCCTTCCAACTTCCAACACTCCACTGGCACCCCCCTTGCCCAGTCGGACCTGGTGCACAGCTGCACTTCCTGATTGTTTGCACTGGAGAATCTCGACAGTGGCTTCCTCCCCAAGGGCCACGAAAAACATCTGGACACATTGTCTGCAAATGACAAAAGAAGGAGTGTGGCAAAGCATGAACACAAGACAGCCAAGTTAGGGTAGCATATGGCTGCCATCAAGACAAGAGGGCTTCTTAGTTTTCCTCCCTCATTCTTCCCCCACTTAAGATGAAAATTGAAGGATCTGCTTTGAAGAGATAATTTTTTCTTAGAAATCAGCTATGTGGGCCCTCTACAAAGGAAACTGATTTCAATGTTAGCCTGGAAACAGCTTGCTCAAGGGTGCAGTGGGTAAGGGCATCTGAAAGAATAAGAATAATTAGGTATCTGATTCAGATGCTGAAAATGTGGGTACAGTAAGTGGGAACAGAAGGTGAGTACAGTGATGACTGCATAGAAGTTTTGTGCATTCAAGATTCTCAGAGCCTTGCAGTTTACTTGATTTTATTTAAAAGCAAAATACATTTTAAAACTCTGTCATTAATTATTACTCAGACTCGGAAGGCCTTTCTAATGGTGTCCTCAAGTGGTCTCCAATTCAATTAGGTCAAATTGAGCCCCTGATTAATGACAGGCTTTATATTAGTTTCTAATCCTTATACCAGGAAAACCTGATCAACTACTTCACATACCCAGCAGTCTTTAAAGAAACAAGAGAAAAATCTCCAAACTCACTGGTTGGCAACCTGTCCCACCAGGGAGTTCCATCTTGTAGGTCCCTACGTTTGTCAAGCCAAGTGTGTAAGGACTGCATCCATGGTAGGCTCCTCTGCAGAGAAGAAACAACAGGAGGATGGGGTCAAGTTCCTGGTCCACTGAGTAGGACAAAAGAGAAAACCCAGGAAGGCTATGAAGATGAAATAGAACATCATTCGCATTCACCTCTGATTTCTAAGAACGCATCTAAGCTTATGTCGGATCAATGTACTTAATAGTCTTTTCTAACTGTTGTTAGAAAACAGATTTGAAACTGTGAAAGGAATTTTGGAGAACATTTGTCCAAGAACTCCAATCTTAGGACCTTCCCTACTCTATTATTCCATAGTAATGAGACTCATCTTTTAGCAACAACATACCAGAAATTGTATGTTCAATGAATACCAGTCTTCGAAGTAGTCGCTTTGGGAAGCCAAATATTTTTTCCTATGATATACCTGTTGTTCAATATCTTTAGGGACTTACACACCTTATAAATCACCTTATTCTCCATCTAAGAAACACAGGTTTTGTTTCTTTTGAACGTGAAACAGTCATATTTAGTATAAATGCTCCTAATCATCAGTGTAAGCTTCAAATGAGTTCGAACAATTTCCCATATCAAAATCACCTTTAAACAAGGATTTAGGACCGTTAAGACTATTCAAAAGAATGGTTGTATTAGGTTGGTGCAAAAGTAATTGTGGTTTTTGCCATTACTTTTAATGGCAGAAATCTCAATTACTTTTGCACCGACCTAATGTATCTTGAAAAAGGAGACAAAATGTGTGTTGAACCCTGGTAGTACCATGACTACTTAATACTTACCTCGACACACATATTCTGGAATGTCATTTAGGTAATACATCAATCACAATTCTTTATTGTCATATTTCTTATTCCTGTAATAACAGCATGCTCATTTGATATGGAATGTGCAGTATTGAATGTGCTGTCATAAGGATTAAATAAAATCTTCTTTTGAATTCACACAGAAATTATAACCAGACAGCTTAAAAATGCAACTGTTTATTCATTCCATCAACTTTTACCATAAGCCACTCCTGTCTTTTACATTAACTTTACAGGAGTCTGTTTAAATATGCTGTATACAATTACCCAAGGGAGGCAACTGTAAGCAAAATGCATAGTTTTCTATTATTTTTAGTGCTAATGTAGCCATTAAGGGTTTATTAATGAATCTATTATCAGTGCTCAAAAGTCACTGAAAGAAGCAGAAATATACAGGGTTATATGTTCATCCTCTGAACTTAAGGAGAATAAAAGGTAAAAAATGGGTGCAGCTGGCACTATGAAATCAGTGGACAGCTCCTTATCATAAGCAGAAATTAAAATAGGCCGGTATTTTTTGGTAGAGCCTTGATCTTCTAAGGTGGGGAACAGTCATTTACCACTTGGTATATGGTGTGGTCCCCGCCACATCTTCAAAGTTAAAAAACTGTCATGTGGGTTTCTCTTAATGTCCACAGGAGGATCTATGACATAATGAGGACTTCAAGCTGGTCGTGACCAGTTGGGGCCCCCTCTCTTGTATCAGGCCAACTTGAATGGTGTTATCCTGTCATAAAATTCAATTGACCTATCCTTCCTTAAAACTTAACAACTAGAAAAATATCCCTGAGAAAACCTCTCTCCCACTCCATGCTACAATGTAAAGCTACACATTTAGAATGGGGGTAAGTCAGTGTTCCTAAAGTTGAATATTCCAAGTTGTGATTACCTGAAAGAAATGATGTCTATGTTGTTTGAGTGCGCCCTGGCCATCAGCATGGCCAGCTCATTGGCTTCTGAGCCACTGTTCACCAAGAAAATGACCTGGAGAGGAAAGGAAGACACGTGGCCTCATAATTTATTTCCTTATTACCCATTCACTTAAAATTGCTGAAGGGCAGGTGTCCAGCCCCTGAGTATTAAGGAGAGTTCCCTTCAGACCAGCTCGGGTTACCCAGCAGTTCCATCATTTAACCACAGTATGAATTCCATAGCCCTTCCTCCAGTAGCCACTAAGTGCCAGACATACAAAAATGGCTAAGAGATTGTCTCAGCTGTGCAACATTCCTGGCTTTTAATGGCTTTATTTGATGGTCTGCAAAATGCCAAGGGAGACTTGCTGAGGGGCACGCAGTGGTGAGTAGCTGATAGATCCAAAGGTTGGGTTTCTTGGCTCCTAACTCTAACCCAGTCACCTGATTCTAAAGGCTTGGAACAAGACAGGACCTCTGACTCTGCAACTCCAGGGGTTGTCCCAGCCTGACTATGCTGTGTGTGTGAATGTTGAAAAAACAAGTAAACAAGCCGGGTGCGGTGGCTCACGCCTGTAATCCCAGCACTTTGGGAGGTTGAGGCGGGCGGATCACTTGAGGTCAGGAGTTTGAGATCAGCCTGGCCATCATGGTGAAACCCCATCTCTACTAAAGATACAAAAATTAGCCAGGTGTGGTGGTGGGCACCTGTAATCCCAGCTACTTGGGGGGCTGAGGCAGGAGAATCACTTGAACCCAGGAGGCAGAGATTGCAGTGAGCCGAGATTGCGCCATTGCACTGCAGCCTGGGTGACAGAGTGAGACTCCGTCTCAAAAAGAAAAAAAAAAGCAAGTAAACAAAAAATGCAGCTCAGCCTGGACAAAAGAATGGGGAGAATGAAAGAGAACTGTGCCCTCCAGACTCAGGGACTGGAAGGCATGTGTTCATGACTCTGCTGACTCTCTGCTTCTGCTCTTCTGTGAACATCTGGGGCTGAACTGAGGTTGCAGCTCTTCCATGTTTCTTTATCTATTCTAGGTAATGTAGAGAACATGGTAAAATAATAATAGATAACACTCGGGACTGAGCATTGTTCTAGGTTCTTCACATGTATTAACTCGTTTAATGTCTAAATGGAAATCTTGGCCAACATTTTAACATCTTAGTTCAATTTAAAAGATCAGTCATTTCAGATGCAGAAAAACAGCTCATGTAGAAAAAAATATCTAAGTGTAATTTGGACCAAATGAACCAAATGGCACTTATTAAAAATGGTTTCACTGTTTGTAAAAGAAATGCAAATAACTTTGCAGAAAGGCTAAGGAGCGATGAGATAAAAACCTCTTGAGGACATAGATGAGAACATCAAGAGGCCTACGGCTCCTGGGAAGTGATTTCTGCTAAGATATGGTGAAGAGAGCAACCAAAGAGAGGCAGAGGCTCAGAGGTGACACAAGGGAACATTGGTTTGTTTCGCCAGCAATTCATAAATTCCCTTCTTCTGTCTGATTGCTTTCAGATGTAGCTATCAGATCACCACTACAGATGTTCAGTGCACAGGCTAAATTCCCTGCCCATGTCCCTGCTTCCTAGGGACGCTCCCCTAGAATCATAAGACTCCTGTCTCTTTGAGCTGGGAGCATCATACCTTTTTTTTTCCCCCATAACATTCACCTCCTGCAGGAAGAGCATTGTACCTTAAGAGGCTCAGGAAGAAGTGCGGCAAGCTTCTCTGCATATTCATGCATTGGAGGGTGGAAGAAGACGGTGCTTGTATGCCACAGGCGGCCGAGCTGCTTTTGTGCCACTGCATTCACCTTTCTGGATAAGCAGTACAGCAGAGTTACCTGCACTGCGTGCCACGTCCCTCCTGCACACACCCTGGTCATTGGACCCAAATATACTGTTTTTTCTCAAAGAGTTTCAAGAGGCAGATTTTATTTACACATGAGAATAAACTCCTTTAACCACTAGAGGTGTCCAGAAATGGGATGTGTTGACTTAAAAGGTAATGAATTCCTCTCCAAGAGCAGGGTTCAAAAGGAGACTCATTGATTACAAGGGATTTTAGAAAAGAAATGCCTAGTTTAGGAGGAAGTTTGGGCTTAGAATTTCTTCTAGCTATGCTTTCTTATTAACCATCTTTTGAAGAGTTTGGAAAAAGAGATGACTAGTTGTAAGCCTGAGTTCTTTCCATTTTATTTTTCTAAAGAAGAAGAGATTCATCAAGCACATGTATGCCAGATCAGTAGTTCTTCCCTCCCTCCCTCCCTTCCCCCCTTCCTCCCTTCCTCCCCTCCTTCTTTCTTTCTTAAGGGATGGGTTCTCACTGTGTTGCCTAGGCTGGAGGGCAGTGGCTATTCACAGGCACAATCATAGTGCACTGCAGCCTCAATTCCTGGGCTCAAGAGATCCTCCTGTCTCAGCCTCCTGAGTAGCTGGGACTATAGGTGCATGCTACCACGTCTGACTAAGATGAACAGTTTTTCTGCAGGGAGATTCTAATATCTGAGTCTGAACAGTGGTTAGTGTGGATGAATATTTTGTAACTATAAAGCCACATTCTTTGAAAGATTGGGCCAACCTTACAGGATTAGAAGGTTCATACTGAGAGATAATAGGGGCTAAGGATGACAGATTTGTGGAACCTGACTTGGCTTTGAAAACACAAACCAAGTTGTCTGAACTTGCTGTAAAGGACATTAATTGCTACAGTTTGTTACAGGCCAATTTTATTTGCTGTTAATATCTTTCACATCAGAAAAAAATCAATTTAGTGGGTAAATATTTTGAGAAATACCAGATTATACAGATTTCTTTACTACAGACATTTTAGTACCTATAATAGACTAGTGTACGCTGTTTCTCTTCAGAAGGGAGATATAGTTTAAAGTGTTTCCCAAACTTATTTTCTCATGGGACCCTTTTCCACGGAAACTCCTGTGATCAGTGTTCCATGAAACTCACTTTAGAAAATTGTGGAGTATCAGTAAATCCTTGAAAAGAAGAGACATTTGACAAAAACATTGTTTAGCAAAATATATGAGAGTCACAGGAGGGGTAGAAAAGATGGCCTCCCATTTCCAGGGAAGACTGTCAATGTTACTGGGAAGATTCAGTGAGAATGTTTGAACTCATTTTCTATTCCATTTTCTCTACTTCTTTCATGTATGTTTGTCCTACGTTTGAAATTGCATCTGAAATTTGTTTTGGATACTTCTTGTGACTTTGCATGGGACTAAGGTCTCCTGATGATGGAAGAGGGTAGGAGAAGTGAAGGGGAGGAAAAGATGAGGGCTGGGCCCCTGAGGCACACTCACTCCTTACCTCCTGACAGCTGCCTGAGGGGGGGGACTCTTTGCCTCCTGCTTTGATGGAAGGGCCCACATCTATTCAGTTTATTTTAGACTTGCTGCTTTATTGCTTTCCCCTAACTTAGTGTGAGGTTGCATTGGTCAGATTATTAAAGAAAAGAGAGAACAGACATGAAATGAGAGCACTGCATGGAAACCAAGAACGCTCCAAGGGTATCTGTGTGGGCGAGTATACCGTCAACACTGCAGACAATCTCTAGATTAATTGATCCATACATTTCCAGGTAAATTTCCAGCTAGGATTGCATCTGTCTCTTATCATTCTTCTTTTCCTCTTCCATCTCTCAGAGGCCATGAAGAAGATTCTCTAGGCTAGAAGTTATTTCTCATCTCTCATCATCCCTCGCCTGACAAGCCTGTCATGTGTTTCTCTGAGAGCCGCCTGCCTTTCTCTTCCTTTCCCTGAATGCACCCCTCTCTTTGGAAAGCTGTTGCTAATGAGAAACACACACAGCAAGACTCCAGTCACATGGTACATGCCACACTACATGTGCCATGAGAATAACAAAATCTTGCATTGTCAAGAAAGGAAAAGTAAGGGTGTCAAGATTTTGTACTCAGGAAATAGCAGGGAGTATGTCAGCCACAATCTGTCATAGATATTTTTAAACCAAGATAAGCAAATCAAGAGTTCAGAGTCACTAACATAATTGTTTTCCATGCATTCTTTTGGAATAAAAATCTCCAGATTTTAAGGATACTCACGGGTGGCAATGGCCAACACTGACAGTAACAATCCCGGAAAAGAAATCCAGGTATCTGCTTCCTTCAGCATCAAAGAGCCACTCCATGTGCCCCTGGTGGAGCAGCAGGGGTTTCTGGAAATATGCCGTCACCACAGGAGAAAGATGTTCCTTGTGGATTTCCAGGACACGGTTGTAGCCAAGGGACTGTAGATAAACAAGATTTAAACCCACACACTTCTTACAAGATCAATAGCAGTCAATCTATGAGTAACAGAGCCCAGGCTCTCTAGTGGACAGAGAAGAGGGCTGCTGGCCTGTAGAGGCTCAGAAGTGCGTGTACTTACCCAATATCGTCCCTGCAAGAAATTAAAGCCTTTTCTCTTAAGGAGGTGAATTATTATTTGTAGCCTTTCGATCTCTTTTCAGAAAAGGGCTGGAATTTCTACCTAGCAATGAAAAGCCTTGGCTCTGAGTTGATTTTAACTATGAAAAAAATAGACTTCGGAAGTAAATGTCTGAACTAATAAGCAATTAGTCTGAACTAATAAGTCATTTTTGTTGTGGTAGTGTTTTAAAAAATTAAAATACAATGAAGTGCTAGTCGTGTTTGTATCTTTATTTATAAAATATCTCTCCTGTATTTCTCTTCTTTGTGGATCCCTCATAAATACCTATTGATTCTACAATTTCTAACCTGTAAGTATCATGTCGAATAAAGGAGTTGCCGTGTGTGTGTGCATGCACGTGTGCATGCATAACAGAGAGAGAGAGAGAGAGAGGGAGAAAGAAAGAGAGAGAAAGAAAGAAAGAGAGAGAAAGTAAGAGAGAAAATGCCAGCTGAATTTTTATTAGCCTGAGAACAAAAATATAACTATAATTTTTGCTGGAGTACCCAGGAAGGTCAGATGGCCACATGAGTCAGTTAAAACAGGAGCAACATTTACTTTAAAGCCTATGTGTGCCATCACATTTGTGATGTGTGTATATCTCCCTGCAGTACATATATTAATTATCATGTGTAGTGTGCTTCTTGTACTTTCTTTGCCTCTGTCTGTGTCTCTATCTCTCACACATGGACACCAATTTATACACTAGCATTAAGGGATTAAGAGGGTTTCAGATGCTTCCAATGACTTAGAGGTACAATATCTGGAATGAGGTAGTTTAGTGGCAAGCAGGGCTATTTTTGTGTCATTCTTAAGGAAACAATCATTTGAGACCTCCCCAGAGAAACTACCTCTTTGAGTTTTCTTAAAGCCCTGAATCTCACCTGGTATCTTTCAGGCATGAAGTCACATGGAGGCATTCTGGGCTTTGTATGAAGACTGAGCTTGGTTACTGATGTCCGGGAAGTACCTACTGAAAGTGAAGTGAGTTAGAATCCTCAACTAAGCATGACATAGGTCTGTTTGTGAAAGTCACCTATAGTTATCCAAATAAAACTGCTTAGATAATTTTATTTCTTAGTTAAAAAATCATGCTAATCAGCTTTTAGTTTGGATTTAAAATCTGAGTATCTCAATAATGAGTTTTCTGGAGGAAAAAAATAGTTCTTCTCAAATATAGTCTGGAAAAAAAATCTACGGCAGTCCCTCACAAACTTGGGAGGCTCAGTTTAGGCAAACTCTCCATGTTACCCTCACCGTGTCGATTCTCTCATCAGTAGGCAAAACTTCTGCTAGTGCAATGCGTTGTTGGAGTCCATCCCCTGTTAATAGAGGTGCTTTTTAGGCTTCAAGCTGCCTAGTGCCTGAATTCTAGTGTGTAGCCAGTGCCTGGTACCTGGTTAGCTCTCAATACACACGGCATTAATGACTGTTGACTATTCTTGTAGGGAATGAGGAGAGGCAGGTGTTAGACAATATACTAGACTAATAAATACATGCAAATAGACCCAGAAGACAAAACCTCCCCCCGCCAAAAAAAAAAAAAAAAAAAGGCTGCCAACATAAGACTGTGATGAAACAGGGATAAGCTGAACCAGATTCATTAAATATTTGGAGCTAGGAGGGACCTTACATTTGTGTGTGTGTGTGTGTCAAAATGCATACTTTATAGATAAGGAAACCAGCGTAAAGTGGTAAATTAATCTGTTTAAGGTTATCAAGCTAGTTAGGTGAAGAACGGGAACAAAACTCCTCTGACTCCTAGCCCAGTAGTCTGTTTTGCTCATTCCTCAACCATTTCCACCCTTCCCTGCCAGCACAGACTTTGGCCCCCCTGCAGCAGTGGGATGGAATAATGGAATCAGAACGTCAGAGCTGGAAGAGTTGTCTAGAGACCTTATAAGTACTCCTAGGAAAGATGCTCCTAATTTTGAAGACTGAAGGTCAACATTAAGATAATTTTATAGGTGGAGAGAGCTAAGGAAATTATGTCTCTTTCTCAGCATGAAGGTTTGAATGCATGAAAGAAGTGTTAGTGCTTTGTGTGGCTATGAAGTCACAGTCCTGAGAAACATAATGAACAATTGTGTTTTTAAATGAAGATGGAAAGTAACAGTTCTGAATATATCTTCTTTCAAAGAGATATATTCAAAGAGATATATATTTCAAAGAGATATATAATCACTAATGTCATTAATTTGCTTTTACTTGAAAAGCAAGTGACTTTTGGTTATCCATGCATAGAAAGGACCAAAAAAATTGATAGCTTTAGTTTTCTGAGAATTTCACCTTTTAAAAAGCTTTTCATTGTGTCTCTCTGCATTCGTTGTGCTTCTGAGATGGAAAAAAAATTCTGAGTGTCTCTAAGAATTCAAAAATCCTTTCGTTTCTTCAGTCTCATTTTTCTATCTGCAAAATTGGAGTTGCCCATTGAGGAGGTTGTAAGCTGTCTTGACTCCAAGGTTATAGGATTTATGAAAGTAGGCTGGAGGGGGAAGGGAGTTGGAGAGAAATACTTGACAAAGAAAAGCTTGAATTTTAAACAGTCAAGGCAGTTTTATTCATTCATTTATTCACAAAAGTCATAAGCACATGATGGTGGAGTGAGGGCTTCAAATGAAATACGTGAAATTCTGCAAGGAAGAAAGAAGAGGAAGAAAGGAAAGAAGGAGGAAAGAAAGAAGAAAGAGGAAGGAAGAAATAGAGACAGTAATGAGCAAGTAGGAGAAAGAATAATAGGAGTCAGTAAGTGAAATAAACCTGGATAATACCTCCAAATCTATTGACTGTCATATCACTCCTCTTAATAAATAACTAAAACTCAAAAATAATAGTAATAATGTTGATATTTGATGGACAGAAAGAAACAAAACTACTTTGGTTTTTATTATTTGCCAGAAAAAAAATGAAAATCTATCTAGATAATTGCATGCAATTTTTATTCAAAATAGCCTGTGTTTTGAGGATGATGTAAGAGTTGAGGGTTCATAAAGCTTTTTTGGGGGCTCCTGGAAAGTGTGTATGTGTATATATGCATATGCATACCTGTGTGTGTGTGTGTGTGTGTGTGTGTGTGTGTGTGTAAGAGATGGAGGTGGAGGGGAAGGAATGAATGAGATTAGGATTAATAAAACTATATCCAAGGTCTATTTCTGAATAGGTATTTGTTTTGTTTTGTCTTATTGTTTTAACTAATCGGATAGTGCCTTTTTAGGCTAACCAGACGACAGCTAATGATTTTCATCCAATTCACCAGTTTTCACTTCAATTCACATGAGCAACTTGAGACATTGAAAGATGGAATTCAATTTGGAGAACAGCATCGCTTTTGCATAATAAATGCCAAGTGGGTAACTAGTGAGCTTTCATTTCCAAGCTGCCTAATTCTCACAGAGTTCTATAGCAGACAGTTCACTGCAACTTTATTTTCTTTCCCCAAAATCATAATATCGAATGACAAAAACTGTTGGGCAAAGTAAATGAGAAAAATCAAATTTTTTTGGCATTTGGAAACTCTAGGGAAAATTCTCTTTGTAATGATAACGAGTTTTTCAGTATTCACAACCAGTTTTCAGCCCAGAGGGAGTATTTATTAAGGGCTTCCTCACCCTTTAAAATGAAAAAAAGATTCTAAAATATTTGAAAATATGCAGTGGACACAGTGTGATTTATTAAAATGCTAATTATTATTATTACTGAGACAGGTCTGGCTCTGTTGCCCAATGCTCATATAATGTGTGAAAATAATGACATGCTATCTCAGCTGCAATAATTTTAAAAATCAAAGAAAAGCTTTCAAAATAAATTATGGCTTTAATTTACAGATGCCCAGGGATGATTTCTTTCTTTTTTTCTTTTTTGAGACAGGATCTCCTTCTGTCACCCAGGCTGGAGTACAGTGGTGTGAGCATGGCTTACTGTAGCCTCGGCCTCCCAGGCTCAAACAATTCTCCCACCTCAGCCTCTTGAGTAGCTGGAACCATAGGCACCAGCCACCATGCCCAGCTATTTTTCTTTTCCTACTTTTAATAGACATGGGGTCTTACATGGAGTGCAGTGGTGGAATCTCTGCTCATTGCAACCTCTACCTCTCAGGCTCAAGCGATCCTTCTATCTCAGCCTCCTTAGTAGCTGGGACCATAGGGGCATGCCACCACACCCGGCTAGTGTTTTGTATTTTTAGTAGAGATCGGGTTTCTCCAGATTGCCCAGGCTGATCTCAAACTTGTGAGATCAAGCCATCTGTCTGCCTTGGCCTCTGGAAGTGTTGTGATTACAGGCGTGAACCACTAAGCCTGGCCCAAAATGCCAATTGTATCTCATTTCTGTATAGCATCTTAGGTAACTTGAAAAAAACCTTGTCACATTTGCAATCTCATTTGATACTTGGGATTGCCAACGAGTTAGGAAAGGAAGATTTCATCCTCCATCCACCTTAGAGGACATCAGTGACAGATGGAATTCGAGGCCTTGGCAGTTTTGAAGTCCCTCACTGATATTGACGTTTGAGACACTGCCTCCCATGGAGGCCTGCTGAAGCTGTGTTGGGGTTTGGACGCCTGAGGGACAGTGTCTGGTCGGTAGAGAAATTTTTCTCCTCTGCTTCTCTGTGCTGGAGCTGCCAGCTTGGAGACTCCAGAGTGGTCGTTTTCTCTTCACACATGGGGCCGCAGTCTGCAGCACGCTGCTGAGGACCCTCACCATTGCTGTTCGGTATCATCCGCTCCGGACATGATCTCTCACAGCCTTCTCTGTGGAGGTCCCCTCTGTCCCATGCGTGCTCTGGGTGCAAGGATGATGGCAGTGAATGCCAGGTGCCTGCATCCGCTAAGCAAAGCTGCTAAGAGGCGGTTCCTACCAGAAGTTACTCTACTCCTGCCTGGCCTTCCTTGGCTTCTTTGCGTGTGGGGTCCTGTCCACGTCCTCAGCCTCCTGTTGATTATTTCAGCTGCCCTCCCTCCTTCCCTCCATTCCTTCATAACCTTCCAGTATATGCCCTTTTGCTGAAGCCACACAGGGGCAGTTGTGGCTGTCCACAAGCAAGAGCACTCCTCGATTCCTGATTCTGAGGTGGGTGGGTCTTCTTCCGCACGTTCGGGAGTAGGCATTCTCTGTGATCACCCTTCCTGGCCCTTGGCATGTGTTAAATCAGTTCTGACTGTGGCAAGGCTGCCTGGAGGGGTGTAGATGGGAGGCCCCCCTTTAGGGCAAATTTTAAATGTTTTCTTAAAATAGGCTTGGCAGGAATGGAGAAACATCTCAGCTGGAAATAGATGACTTTTTGTGCCCTCCTTCCTTTGTGGGAGAGCAGGCATATATTAGGAAATTGGTACATGGGAGCACATACCCCAGCCACCTGCAAATGTTATATATTTCAGTCATTAGCTAATTGTAGGAAAGAATGCCCCACTGAGATATTTCTCCACACTTTTGTACTGAAAACAAATTGCTTCCATAACTTTGTATACACAGTTAGCCCAAAGTGATTGTGCATATCAAAGTGTAAACAAAGCTGAACATTTTATGCATATGAATATTGTACAGTAACTATGTAGATACTATACAAGAATTGTGACTTATTTATTTTTGCATATAAAACAACACTTAAAACGTGGTGACCTCCCTATCACAGCCCCTCCCCTCACCCCCATTATATTTTTCTATTCCCTTTCCAGATTTGGTTTTATTCATGGCATGTGTCTCTATTGGATACATACATAAATACATACATATTCACACACATATATATTTTTACATATTTACTTATTCATTTATGTCTATCTCCTTCCTGGAATAGAGGGCAGGAGCTTTTTCTTGCTTATTGTGGCTAAGTCTGCAGCACTGGTGCATAATAGATGCTCAAATATTTTGCCTGAATGTATATATTGCACATGGCAGGTGCTCAATAAATGTATGTTAGTGAGTGTGTGTTTGGATGAGCAAGCACAAACAGGCACAGACCTAGGTAGAGTAGGTAAGAAAGTAGACATAAAAGTCCCAAAGGTTTTTGCAAGGCCAGGTGATGAGGATAGCATTCAGTCTAGGTAGTGTGGTTTTTTTCTTTTTCTTTTTTCTTTTTTTTTTTTTTTTTTTTTGAGAAGGAGTCTCACTCTGTCGCCCAGGCTGGAGTGCAGTGGCGCAATCTCCGCTCACTGCAAGCTCCGACTCCCGGGTTCAAGCCATTCTCCTGCCTCAGCCTCCTGAGTAGCTGGAACTACAGGCGTTCGCCACCATGCCCGACTAATTTTTTGTACTTTTAGTACAGACAGGGTTTCCCCGTGTTAGCCAGGATGGTCTCGATCTCCTGACCTCGTGATCCGCCCGCCTCAGCCTCACAAAGTGCTGGGATTAGAGGTGTGAGCCACCGCACCCGGCCAGTGGTGTGGTTTTCCAAGACTGCTTCCCTGTAGTGTCCTTGCTGGGCCTATGGTAAGGCGTCGCCAACGAGTTGCTCAAGATCTCTAGGTACTAGGCCTCACCTGCCCTCTCTAGGTTACCTGCTGCTCCACTGTGCAACTCCACAATGTTCAGAGGTTGGGGTAGGGAAGGGGAGGGGGCAGTCTAGGGCATTTCTCTTGCTAGGTCAACAGCTGGTACTTTCAGCATAATTTCCTCCTCACTGAGCATAAGACTGGTTATAATTTTACCTGCTTCTGAGAAAATGTTGGAGTTAGGTGATGTTCTGGCAAAAGAAACTCATGACCAAGGGAAAAGAGCAGTCCAAACAGGATTGGAAGACTAGGGGAGGATAGACAGGGCCTGGTAGAATCTCTTCGAGTTCGGAGTCAGATAGACCTGGCTTTGAATCCCAAGTTATCACATACATGTTTCTGCCTTTGACCACATTTCTTAGATATTCCTTATTCTCTTGTCTCCTCATTTGTGGAATGAGATAATAGTACTCACTAACAAGTTTGGTTGAAGATAAAAGGAGATAATGCATTTAAAGCATCATGCATGTGTCAAGTTTCAAAAAACTGCAATTTTCAGGGGTAAGAAAGCGAAGAGGAGAGGAAGGAAGGAGGGTGAAAGGGAAATATGAGGAGAAAATGAAGGCAAAGTTGGTCACAATGGGGAATGTAAAATGGTCCCCTGTACCTGTTTACGGCCCGTGAAGCACAGGCACATAAATGTACAGACAGTTGCTTAATCTCATGTTTGCATGAGGGAATTTGCTGAGGAGGAGGTGAGGCTCTCGTGAAACAAGATCCATGTGAAAATCACAAGCATATAGGATATTACTCATAAAGCCACCAATGTCTGGTTACCCCACATCTCCTCATATTTTCTGTTCTTGCTGCAGAGAGGAGAGTCTGAGTAGATGGGGAGGGCCTGGGGTCAAGCCCTGGCTTGGATGACTCTGGGTGAATCACAGCACTTGTTGGCAATTGAGAGCGTGGTCTCACTTCCTAGAGGCATGATGAAAATTCATGCAGATGCTTTACATCTTTTAAAATAGTCATCCTAGCCTGGTGCAATGGCTTAGGCCTGCAATCCGAGCACTTTGAAAGACTGAAGTGAGAGGATTGCTTGAGCCCGGGAGTTCGAGACCAACTTGAGCAACATAGTAAAACCCCATGTCTACAAAAGTTAAAAAAGAAAAATAGCTAGGCATGGTGGCATGTGCCTATAGTTCCAGCTACTCAGGAGGCTGAGGTGGGAGAATTATTTGAGCCTTGGAGGTCAAGGCTGCAGTGAACCATGATCACACCACTGTACTCCAACCTAGGTGACAGAGGGAGACCCTGTCTCAAAAAAGAAAAAATAGAAATCATCCTTGGGCATCTGTAAATTGAAGTCACACTCTATTTTGATTGCTTTCCTTTGGTTTTTAAAAATATTGAAGCTGAGATAGCATGTCATGTTGAAATTGTGTATAGTCGGGTTTCATTATCCACGAATTTCATTTCAAAACAAAAAGGAGCATTACAAAATATTGGCTATGAAAATGGGGCATTGACTCAGGGTGAGAACCTGTGTGTCAAAAACATGCCTCATCTCTAAGACCTCACCCAGGTCTAACATTCCAGAATCCCAGGCAGCAGCCTTCGGAGCTCAAGTCTTACCCTCTCGCTGATCCTCTACTGACCCACGTCCCCCTGGTTTCCACTTACGGCTCAGGAAAGGATGCATCTCAAGGATCCTGGGAGCGGAAGTGACCAGGCACAAGGGTCTCAGCAAATGTCTCCAGATTAGAGTCATTTCTCCCACTCAGAAAGCCAACCCCCATGGAAGCAGATTGGAGGCCGGGCTCTAACTGCTCACTATCCTGCTGGACTTTGAGATTAAGATGGGGAGGAGGCGCTAAAAGGGGAATCCTGGAGTGGTGACTGCCCATGGCTTCAGGCAAGCCCCAGAGCTCTCTATTTCTAGTAACAGTGCCTTCAAGGGGGAGAAAAAGAGAGTGAGGAAAAGAGATAGAATGAAAATAGGAAGGAGAGAGAGAAGAGGAGAGAAAAGAAAGGAAAAGAAGAGAACAGAAGGGAAGAGGAAAGAAAGCAGGCAGATAAAGCAAAGGTCATCTGACAAGTTCTGTTAGTTTAATATTCCATCGGAGTTTCATCCGGGTACACTTTTCTCTGCAGGAGGGTGGTGCTGGGTGTGGGAGAAGGATCAGGACATGGTTGAAGGGGTCGGAGATTGTGAAACGAGGTATGTGACTAAGAGAGGAAAAAGGAAGATATGCATGAAGTGAATGAACAAATAAATTGGTTTTGGGGGTCTTAGAGAAAGAGAGGAGAAAACAATGGGGAAGGAGCCATTCCAAAGAAAAGCTGAGAGTACCAAATAGCTAGGTAAGGTTCTGGACAGCTGTGGATCATCTTATGTGTCTGAGGAAGGCAAAAGGTTGAGAGCTAAGGAGTTAGTGTGCCTTATTTTCATTATTTCTTAAATTCCTATTTATCCCACTCCAGCCTCCCCTTACCTTCAATCCCCATAAGCAAGTATTTAGCATGCTTATATATATCCTTTTGTTGGAACGCATTCTTGTAAAATGTGTATTGTTTAGGGTGAATGCAGTTTTAATTTATGTAAATATGTGTAATATGTCTTTTTTCTTTTCAGTTAGAACCATGTTTTTAAGATCCAACCAGGTTGCGAAGAGTACATCTCTTCTAGGTTTCCCACTGCTTCAGAATGGGGGACCACGTGCTTTACATGGCAGTGCCTAAGGGGGACAGTGACAAAGCTGATTGCAACTAGGGGGTCGAGGGACTGGGGATGGGTAGATATCATTAATCTTGGGTCACCCTGTAAGGGAGACAACTGACTTGGCCACATCCTTCACAAACACCTGCATAACAACCTTTTACTCCAAATGCCCATAGGAGGTGAAGGCACTAGGTAAGCAGAGGGAGTATGTTACATTCAATATAATTGTCCCTTTTTGTGTGGGTTTCCAGCTCCCAGTCAATTCTGCTTTGGGGGCAGTAGGGAGTGATCATATGAGCTGGCTGGTCACGTGCTGCAGGAGTAATCCAAGTCAGTGAGGCCAGTGGACACACAGCATCTCCCTGGGGTGCACAGTCTGTCCTGTGGTTGGACAGAGGGGAGAAAATGTTGAGTTCCTGAATTCTGGTATATGCTCTTCAGCTCTACTGGACTGTGGTCAATGTTGCCTTTGTGAACACCGCAAGTCTTCCTTGACTTGAGATTTTTCTTGGTCTGTAAGATTTGAGATTTTTGTAATGAGAGGCACCCAACATCAAGGGGTCACCTGGAGTGGGGAAGAAAAACAGTACATTCTGAATAACTTCTAGAGGGAAAGTGGGAGGTTATACCTCTTTTATTTAAAAAGAAAATAAATTATTCGGATTACCATAACATAATATGTACTTCTGTTAAACAAACTCAAGCCTAGAATTGCATAAAGAAGAAAGAAAAAGATCACAACAAACCTGACCATTATATTTCAGTAAATTTCCTTTCAGAAATCTTTCTCTACATGTGTCTATCTGTGTATACACATGCTGTTTCAGAAACTGAAAGTCTTCATATTTTTTGTTTAATAAGTTCCTTTTGATGGATAGCTGTATTTTCTCTAGCATCCTAGGACAGAGAATTTTCTGTACTTGACTAATTATTTTTTTCTTCAGATAAGTTCCTTGAAGAAGGATTCCTAGGTCAAAATGTGTGTACATTTTAAATGCATCTCAGTAAGATGACATCAATTTATAATTCAACTAAACTAACATTGCACGAAACTACATTCTTTTTTTTTTTTTTTTTTTTTGAGACAGAGTTTCGCACTTGTTGCCCAGGCTGGAGTGCAATGGCATGATCTTGGCTCACCGCAACCTCCGCCTCCCAGGTTCAAGCAATTCTCCTGCCTCAGCCTCCCAAGTAGCTGGGATTACAGCTACTCCATGCCCAGCTAATTTTGTATTTTTAATAGAGACGGGGTTTCTCCATGTTGAGGCTGGTCTCGAACTCCTGACCTCAGGTGATCCGCCCGCCTTGGCCTCCCAAAGTGCTGGGATTACAGGCATGAGCCACTGCGCCCGGCCGGACAAAACTATATTCTAAGATGTTTGTTCTTTTGAACTCTGAGGAATTACGTGATGTCCACAAAATCTGAAAACTGGGATGAAGAGGAAACTTAGACTGCCTCTAGAACTTCATTCTCAGCCTAGGAGTCATTTGGAATATCAATCCAAGATCCTACCCTACCTTCACAGATAAAACTCCAATTAAACAGATATTATTTCTGACTTATAAGTGACACCTGCTGAGTCTCTCTTCTCTCTCCTTTGAGCAGATCAGGTATAATATTCTCCATTTTACATAAGACTAGAGAAGATGAAGAACTATCTCAGTTTGCACAAATGGTAAATAGCAGGGGAGAAGCCTTTCATCAAGTAGGAAAATATAGAAATTTCTCCTTGAAAAAAATACTTCACAAATGGGGAAACTTGGAAATTCTGTTGTCATGTTAGTAATTATCGGGGAGGATTTTTGCACACAGGTTCACCAGTGATTTATCAGTTAAGTCCTGAGTGTAACTGAACTTTGCTCTGCCCCAGGCCTCTGTCAATAATAGAGTCCAGTAAGGCTCTGAAGATAATTAACAGCTTTTCCAAAGTAATTCTTTCCCTCTCTTAACTAATTTAGGAGTTGTGAAATTGAAGGAAAGGAAAATTGTTTTGGAAGGATTTCAGATAAATTTATACAATTTACATGAAACTTCATATTACAGGTGTTCCATTTCACAGTTAATGGATTATGAAGAATGCTGTGTGCAGAGTGTTCAGACTGAGGTGCAGAGATTAGCAGATGTGTAAGAAGAGAATAACTGCTTAAAGATGCGGCTCAGATACTGTAACCCTTAGAATTTCATGGAAAACTGATTTTCTTGAAAAATAATGCAAGGTCAAAGTCCTTTTGTTTATTTATTAGGACTCTTTGAACATGTCTCATCGGAATTATTGGACTTACCGTGTTTTAGGAAGTAACATTCTGGAGAAAGCTAGGGACACATGGATTACCTTAGCCTTCCCACTAGACTGTAATCCCCAAGAGGCTGGAGAGCACATCCGTACTGCTAACTGCATACCTGGCACAGTGCCTGGCATACAGTGTTCAAGTATTATTCAATAATGTATGTGGTAGAATGATTGACAGATAATTTATGTGGGGAAGATTTGTGTTTAAATGGGAGATCCTGAAAATACAACTCAATCTCTTTTTGGTAAAATGTATGGCAAAATCTTTTTGAGCATAGGCCCTTCTCTCAGCAGTTGGGATTTTCTAGTTGTTCATTCTCTTGAACTTTACAATCAAGGCTTAATTATTGTTTTCAATCACAGTGAGATGAGAATCCTTAGAGTCTGGTTCACTATGACTGGGATTGTTCCTGTATGGGGGAAGAGCTATTCCCAAGCTTAGGGCTCTCAGTTACAGTGAATTATCTCACAAGGATCTTTAATTACAAGGACCTTTAATTATATCCTGTTACTATAGTGATTATTACAGAATTGGCTGATTTAAATAATTCAAATTGCAAAAGAAAAATGAAGGAAGGGTGCATCAAATGAGAAGGAGAGAACTGTTTAGCCACCAAAAGGAAAATATTCTCAACCAGAAGAAAACAAAATCTAGCTTATGCTGTTTTTAAAAGACACACCTAAAACATAATGACACAGAACAATTAGGAAGTAAAGGAATGAAAAGAAACTTACCAGAGAATTACCACTCCCAGGAAAATCCAAATTAGCAATATCAGTATCAGAAAAAATAGGTTTTAAGACAAACGTGACCATTATAAATAAAGGGGATTGTATGTAACAATGAAAAGAATAATTTATTTGGAGGATTGAACATTTAAATCTATATACGCCCAATAATACAGCTTCAAAATATATAAAGCAAAAACTGATAGAATTATAATAAATAGAAACTTACTTAATCCTAGAAGATTTTAACTTACTTATAAATCACCTCCAAAAACGATATCTTAAGCAGCAAAAAAGATGAACCTCATTAATGCAAAAATCCTAAATAAAAGTTTAGCAAATTGAACCTAATAATGTTTGCAAAAATACTTCATGTATAAGTGAGGTTCATCTCAAGAATGCAAGGGTACTTTAACCTTAAAATATACTCTCTAAAATAATTTTCTGTAATAAGTTACACATTAATTAACAGAGAAAAGCCATGTGAACATATCAATAGATGTAGAAAAAAATTTGAGAAGTTTTAAAATCAGTTAAGATAAAAAATTGTTAGCAAACTAGAAATATAAAGGCATATCTTTCACATAACTAAGGGTATCTGAAAAATTGTAGGGGCCCAGCAGCAGTTCTCTTTGACCTGCTGCCCTCCTGTCTGGTCCCTCATTCTCTCCAGAGCCTGGCCATAGAAACTGGAATCTCACTTCCCCAAGGCAGGTCATGGAAACTGGAACCCTCTTGCCCCAAAGTCAGCTTTACAGTCTAAAAATATTACTATAACTTTACACCAGACTTTCTGTGTAAAAACTGACTGTAGATAACCTGACCTATCTTGTTTGACTGTAGGTCATAAGACCCCCTTTCCAGAGAGGGTCCTGCCCCATACCCAGAAGGAAGGAATGGTGAGAGGCATTCCTACACAGAGAGGCTAAGAAAAATCTAGACAGACAGGCCTTGCTAGGTTTTCTCACTCAGTCTGTCGGCATTAGGTCCAATCATTTTCCTACAAGGCTGTCCGTACTTTGTTGAAACTAAGCATAAAAATGGACAGTTTCCTCTGTATCTTTGGGTCTTCATTCTGAAGGCTCCCATGTCACATAAAACTATAATCAAATAAATTTGTATGCCTTTTCTCCTATTAATTCAACTTTTGTCAGTGACTTTTAGTGAACCCTCGGAGGGCAAAATGGCAGCTTTCCTTTCCCCTCTACAACACCTACATGATGCCTTATATGTAATAGTGAACTTTTCATAGCATTCTCACTAAAGTCAGGAAGAAGAAAGGATGCCCATAACACGTTTCTATTTAACACTGTCCTGGAAGCCCAATAAAATAGATCAAGAAAGAGACATAAGAGGTATAAAGACTGGAAAAGAAGAAACAGTGTTGTTAGCTTGTGGTGATACCGTTGTAAAAATTGAAAATCCAAGAAAACCTACAAATTATAAGAATGTTAATTAGAGTTCAGTAAGGTTACAGAATGCAAGATCAGTATTAAAACATCAGTGGGACTGGGCATGGTGGCTCACGCCTGTAATCTCAGCACTTTGGGAGGCCGAGGCCGGCGGATCACCTGAGGTCAGGAATTTGAGACCAACCTGCACAACATGGCAAAACCTCGTCTCTACTAAAAATGCCAAAATTAGCTGGGTGTGGTGGTGTGGGCCTGTAATCCTAGCTACTCGGGAGGCTGAGGCAGGAGAATCACTTAAACACGGGAGGTGGAGGTTGTAATGAGAGGGTACCTAGGGATGAATCTAATAAAACATATGCAAACATTTATAAAGAATAATGTAAAGTTTTATTGAAGCCCAATGTAAAGGAAATGATATACCATGTTCAAGATTAGGAGGCACAATATTATAAAGATGTAACTTCTGGCATTAAAACATAAATTCAATCTAGCTCCCAACACAATTTTTTAGGAGACCCGATAGGCTCATCTGAAAATTCATATGATGAGTAAATGGCCAAGAATGGCCACAACAATTTTGAAGAAGGGTATGGTGGTGTGAGAATTAATATACCAGATAACAAGACTTTGTATAAAATATGGTAATAAAACAGTGGAGCACCAGGACAGGAATAGATACACAGAAAAATGGGCCAGAAAAGCCTGGACTAACATTTGGGCATATGTAGACACTCAGAAGATGACAAAGATGGCATAAAAGATAAGCAGGAAAAGGATGAGTTACTCAGATACAAATGGATTCATCAGGGAAATAAAAAGTAAAATAACAATGCATCATTTTATGCTCATTGAATTGTCAAACATTAAAATATCTGACTGCATCAGGTAGTGATAAAGATGACGAGAAATGGAAATACTACACTGATGGCAAGGGTACACATCAGTAAAACTGCTTTGGAGAGGAAGCAATTTGTCAGCATCTAGGAAATATTAAGATATGCATTTTACATGACCCAACAATTCCACCTCTAGGTGTATATTTTGGAGAAACTTTTGCACATATTCCAGTGAGACTGGCATAGGAATGCTCATTGCATAGTCATTTATGGCAGTGAAAATCAAATGTTGCTAAATAGGGGGATTAATAAATAGTATATATGTGTAAAATTATAGCAGTGGTATACACACAACTTTTGTCATTTATGGCAATGAAAATTAAATGCTGATAAATAGGGAGATTAATAAATTATATGTATATGTACAATTACAGCAGCTATATGCATAAAGCAGTGAAAATTAGATGTAGATAAATAGGGAGATTAATAAACTGTATATGTGTATACAACCACAGCAGTTGTATGCATAAAGCAGTGAAAATTAAATGTTGATGAATAGGGAGTTTAATAGATTGTATAGATGTATAAAACTAAGCAGCTGGAGCTATTTGTATCTCAAAAACCCAATGCCGAATGAAAGAAAATCAAAGTGCATAAAGATATCTGCTATTTTTTATGCAAAACTCATAAATACCAAAGTAATTGGTCATATTATTTAGGGATAGATAAATATGAGGTGAATGCATTTTAAAAATAGCTGGGAAGGATATGTAATAACTTTAGGATTGTAGTTACTGCTGAAGAGAGAGGTAGAGAATTTGGTTGTTGAGGGATGTAAATACAGCATCTGTGATATTAAATGAATCTTTGTTAAAGAAAGGAACAGACAAGGCAAAATATGAATATTTAAAGATTTGGATGTGGGTAAATGAGCCTTTGTTATGTTTTTCTATATATGTTCAAGTATTTGTGAAATATTTTATGCAATAAATAAAAGATCACAAATGGATGATGAACTCACAGCTGGTTTTAAGTAAAGACTGAATAATTCCAGTCAGGAAAACACGAACAAAAGAAAATGTGAAACTTTGGTCCTGAGATTTGTGGCTTGTTAAATGAAAGTTGATCATATCTCAGGTTTGGAAACATGGGAAAGTTGATCGAATCTCAGGTTTGGAAACTCTCCTTTTGATTGTTCTTTGTTGTTCCCAGGAGAAGTTCCAAGAAACTTCTGGGTGCTTCCAAGCATGCTTGCATTTTTAAGGCTCGAGTCTGGCAGATGAATAAAGACTGGGGAAATGTGTGTTCAGTTTTGATTTAGAATTAGTAGGAAAATAAACTCAGAGGTGTTCAAAGATGAGCACAAAAATTTCTGCCTGAAAAAAATGCCATGGGTGAGTGTCCTAAGATAAATGTTTTCGCATATGTCTGCATACTTTATTTCCGGAGTTAAAATGCAGTTCCCCCTCCTTCTTTAAAAAAATCTATTCTAATAAATTTTGTTGTGGCAAAGAAAAAAAACTTGTTTCAAGTTAAATTTTTCATGTAATGCATGTTTCACATACATATATAAAGACCCTCCAAAAACCATTGCTCAGGTAATAATTTATTAAGTCAATTTAAACTAAACATTACTACCATTGCAAAAGCATTTGCTCTGAAAAGGGACTGAAAAATGCATCATAAAGTTACATAGTTCAGCAACAATATCAATATTGATTATATAAAGTAAAACTACTGGCAAACGTCATTTAAGCTTACCCTGTAATTTTTAATAACTTTATAAGGAGCAAATGTGTCACCTTAAAAATGTACCAGTGGCATTTACAAATTCCTTCAAACTCATTTACAAATACAGTAATAAAAATTCCTGAGCTCCCTTTTCTTACACCAGTATTCACCAATCAACATCCATGCGGTGTTTTATTTGACCCACATCCTCTTTCCTTTTCTTAAGAAAATATTTTATCACATTCGTAAAAGTATCTGTGCTTCAAGTCAGTTTGTAAGTATCTGTTTTTAATGTGAACCTGATGATAACAAGAGAAAAATGCTTAACATTAGCAGGGGCAGCAGGAATTGAGGGGTGGTGTGGGGGACAGTGGAGGAGATGTAAATACAAGAATTCCAGTTTAGGTGTTGGGACTTCCAAGGTAGAATACATCTGACAATATCAAAAACAGACTCAGTTTCATCTGCATAGTTTCGAGGGACTTTCAAAGGTGAAGCCAGCAGGAATTACTCTGCATATTCTGGCCAGGAAGGTCCCTGGTGGGGGCTTTTCAATAATTCTATTTCTTATCCTTCTCCCTAGTCCCCCCACTGCTCCCTTACCCCAAGATTTCAAAGTTTCTATTAAATGGAAGTTGCATCTTCCAGCCCCAAAGAAACTGGGGAGATTTAGAATGTATAAAACTTGATTAGCAAGTTGTAGGAAACCTGACAAAGTTAAGGTGTCAGATGGGATTCTGGCAAGATGTGGCAATATTTAATTTCTGTTTTCTTTCCGGAAAGTATATTCAATGCTTTTGAAAAATTAGCTACATATTACTTCTCCAGCTCATCATTAATTGTATAGAACCTGTGTCTGGTGACTGAGACTTCAAATTTTGCACCTTAAAAATATAAGAGGGCCCAAGAATTAAAGGCAGTTGGCTTCAATATAAGCACAGGAGAGCCAGCGTTTCTGTGACTGAAGCCAAGTTTTTTAGAGCATGATACTCAAGTAAGAAAGAAATTTCTCATTCTTCTGTAAGACATGGAATTAGAGAATTAAGAGGAGGCAGAGAAGAACTTGGAAAGCAAAACCACACACCATTTCACAATTCTGGAACACGGACATGAACAGTAAGTGAAACTTTCTAGGTTTAGATCCATTAAAAGATTATCCATTTACACTTCATCTGATGGATTTTGTCAGAAAAGATGTTGTTAATAATATGGATAAATAATAACTGTTCAAAAGGATTCCCCACTTAAAAAAATGCTTTGGTTCTTCCTTTATTTCACAATATTTAAATAAGCTTCTCTTATTGGATCTCCTTGTATCTGGTTCCATCTCCCCTCATTTTTCTCAGCCTCCCATGTTATAGGGATGAGGTAAAGGAGGGAAATTTTGTCTTGCAATCATAGGAAGGGTGGACATAAAGGGGAAGAATTTTTTTTGTCCAACTTACATAAACAATGTCCTGATTATAGATCTTTTGGTAACAAGAAATGTCCAAAAAATTGCTTCAGCCATGAATGTGTTATTTTGCTCATCTCCATTTCAAATAAAAAAATAGAGCAAGAGTAGGTAAGGGAATTAAACATTTATTAAGCCAGGCACTGAGCTGGGTATTTTCAATAATGATGTGAATAGAAATATAACTAACATATTATATTGGGATGTCTAAGATTTTGTTTGGCAGGCATTGGTTTTGGCATGCAGTAAAAATGAAGATGTTATGATAATAGCAGTTAGTGTTATCTCCAATACTATTGACAAAGATTTAACTACCCATGTTGTCCCCTCAAAATAGGAGGAGATAAATGAATAAAACCATGGAAAACAGAGAGCACAATGTGCCATAAGCAAAGATTTACAGAATGAAAAATGCAAAATAACAAATCAGATAACTATAGTCTTCTATAAATCTTTAAGTCTAAAAAAATAGACATTACAATAACTACATATAGAAATGAGTTTTTAAAATCAAAATAAGATAATTTCTGGTAAATGGCTGACTTTTCCCATATCATACTATGTTTGATGACTAAAATCAAATAAGGAAAAGGGTTATTTCTAGGGGGGTTACAGAAGTCAATTTGTAAGAGATATCATTATCATGGCTTTGGACAACTATGAGGTGACTTATAGTTAGGAAAAAATCTGCACTCTATGGTTTTGTTGGTTTTTCATATGATGACTTACTAAGTATTCTTTCTGAATCTTTCTTGCAGCCGGTTTTTATAAAATATAAACATGTAAGAATGGTTATTCAGAAACTCTTGCATAACCCTACAAAGTGATGAATTAGAAGGTGTTAAAAAAAAAACCCAGCAACTTAATTATAAAACAATTACTTCTAATTTCTCACTTAGTGTTGGGGAATTTTGCTTGGCATTTTCTAGGGAAAGAGGAAAAGCAGAGGTAGTGGTAGCTTTGAAAATGTGGAACCTTATGCTATTATGTATAACTTCACTTCAATATGGCTTTACAGAAGACACAGTCACCCAACAGGCTGGTTCTAGATTGCTTTGGTTTCCACATGAGACTTTTCAATTGTTTAAAATGAACGATGAAGCACAAAATCCAGCCTCATTATGCAAAGAACACTTGAGAAGTGTCAGCAGTCACATGAAACAAAGCCGAGAGGCTGACTTTCAAACAACTGTTGGATTGTACTTTAAATGTGTAACACCCCAGAGCAGCTGTACAATGAATGACATAGAATCTTTCTTCTAGACAAAGATTAGGAAAAAATTAGTACATTCACGCTTTCAACAGAAATACATTACATATTTTTTCAGTTTTGTTTTACAGTCATAGACACAATCATATTGAAACTACATATGGATAAATTGTAAGTTATTAAGTAATGATTTTCATTTGTATTACATGATGAGTTTCACAACATGAGGATTACATATTTCAATATGGCATATACTATTTTTGAACCACATAAAGCAATATAGTACAAAATAATGTAACAGTTACTGTAAAGTCAGTAATGCCACTTGGCAAATACATCAAATATGCCACCGAAAACCAGTCAAAGCATGAGACATGACATCTTTCATTTCTAAACTATAAGCAGCTTTGAAGGAAGGACATTAGGACACAAAAGGGAGGTAGTTACTTTAAAAAATTCAAAATTAGCTTTTCAGGAATTTCATAAAACAAATTATTTTTCAGCGGTATCTTCGCCATATAGTTTTTCAGATAACGTGGAAAAAAGATTTTTCCCCCAGGATTTGTGAAGTGTGCACAAAAAAACTCAGACTACATTTTGAGGTTTATCCAAGTGAAGCGTAATTTGACCATAACTATTAAAGGTTATTTTTTATATTACTACTTCAGTTGCTGAAGGTTTTAGGGTTTTTTTCTTTTTAATCAGCAGCAAGCAGAATGTTAATTAATAGTCTAAGATGATCTGAGAGTTAATTAATAGACTAAGATTATCTGTGGTCTATTTATTGACCACACCTTATAAACAGGATAGGTTTTTCCTATTTTGAGACTTTACATGTCTCAGTACTTTCTAAATTGAAATCAGAGCATTAAATCAAGGGAATTGATGTGGACAAAACAGCTGCCAGCATGATAGTGTTTGTGAATTATGTACCTCTCTTAGACATAAACTCTTAGACATAAACTCATAAAATCTGTTCAGAACACTGAACAGATTTAGATTTACCATAGCCAATAAAATTTGGATTTAGTGGGTTAGTCTCAGCATTTCATGGAATCCTGAGATGCCCAAATCTCTGGAAACTTCCTATTTCCTGTTTTACTATCTTTTTCCTTTTATCAAAATGGGTGCCATGAGGGTCCCAGACCAAAACTCACCATCCTGAAAAACAAAAGTCTGGGGAGAGAACTCCTGTTTTATTTTCAGATGATATATTTGCTAATCATAGAATAAGTTCAGATCATAATTATAAATAGGATTTCTCTGAAGCAATCAATCTGTATTTTTAAAGCTTCTCCTTCAGACCTCCAGTATCTAGTCATCGAAGTAACTTGGGTTTATTTATTGAGACAAGGTCTTGCTCTCTCACCCAGGCTGGAGTGCAGTGACACAATCACGGTTCACTGCAGCCTCGACCTCCTGGGCTCAAGCAATCCTCTGGCTTCACCTTCCCAAGTGTCTAGGACTACAGGTACGTGTCACCATGGCTGGCTAATTTTTAAAATTTTTGTAGAGACTGGGTCTTACTATGTTGCGTAGGCTGGGCATGGATTTATTAATGGCTTTTGAATTAACTAAATAATTAATGAACATGGGCTTAATCTCTAAGTATGCAAATCTCTAAATGGGATATACTTGTGATCTTCAACTTGGCCTTGGATATCTGTGTGACTGATTTAACCTTTGACTCAGTCTTTTGCAGTGCCAAAGTCATTGTTGATGAATAATTTCATTTCTTGTGGATCCTATGGTTGCTACTAACTCTTAGGAAAATAGTAGGCTCTGGAGAAGGAGTAAAAACCCTACAAATATGTAAAGCCAGGAAGGAAAAGGAGAAGCAAGGATGTTAAATCAATCTGAGTTGGAGGAACAGATCTCTGTTTTTCTCTGAAGCGTTGTCACACAATCTCATGTGCTCACTGCTTCAGGCCAAGGGTGTGTCAGCAAGGCTTTCTTGCACTGCACCAGGGACACTGACCTGAAACCCTGGATTTTACCTAGATCATGAGAGGTCTTAGAAACCTTTTAGGCCAACCTACTTATTTAACAAGTAAGGAACCTGATGGCCAGAGTTTAAAAGACTCATCCCAGGACATAGTGCCTACTTAGTCGTGGTGATGTGATTTAGTCTTGGACATTGAGTGCTCAGTCACTGTCTCAGTGACAGCATTATTGTGCTTGAGCCAAAAAGGAAGAAAAGGAAATTTGTTCACTCAAGAACACATGAGACTTTCGTCAATGGCACATCTACGTTAGCAATGCTTGGGATGGTAATTCAAAGTCATTTATATTTTTCTGTTTGTGTACAAAGTTCCAATGTGCATGCATTGTTCTCTTCAGGTTTAGGCATGTAAGCCAATGACATTCAAAAATGTATCAATAAGTTTTGGTATGGAGAGTCTCAAATCACAGGGTGGCAGGTTTATCCCCAAATCACAGCCAGCCTCAATTTCTTATCAGGCAAAGTAAGTCACACTATTCACAACAGCTCTGTGTTGATTCAATTAAACAATACGTAAACATTCACTGAACATTGCTGGTTGGCCCTTAGACCATTTTGTTGTGCCCTTTCTGGCTTCTTCTCATCTCTCCATTCATACATATCTATATCTATATCTATATATATATATAATCCCTATAAGGCAAATGTTACTTTCTAATCAATACATTTTTCCTTGCAAAATGAAAACTTTAAAAAAAAATAGAGGAAGGCACTTTGTAAAATGTGCACAAATCTGTTTCTTTCTTGTCTACTCTAAGGAGATAGGGAAGTTGCTAAAGGCAGGGCCAAGTCTTTCTGCAAATGATGGGCAGTGGTGGACACTTGAGGAAAGAGAAAGCCAGAGTTTCCCCAGAGCTAAACTGCAACTTGGAATGCAGGGACCTCTGGTTGCTCAATAACTCATAGGCTTTTCACATTCAGCTGGGTCATCACAAGACACAGAGCAAAACTGCCCAGATCTTGTACAGGCAGTAAAGGATTGACCCCTTCAGACCAAGCCAGTTAAAGTGAGTCTTTTGTACTTAAGTGACTACCAGGATTGGTCTTAGGCACTTAGGAAAATGTAGAGTCTGTTATATAGCTAATAAATGTAGGATCTGTTAAATATCTGACACAGCTGATATAACTTGTGCTTATACACATCTGTTAGAATGAATTGGAACATCTTGCTGTTCAGGTTGTAAGCTACACAAATCACCCGTTGCCTAGATTCAGTTTCCATGCGCCTTAAAACTTGAATATTTAGGTATTTGTTTATAAAAATACAACTTATTATAACTCAGAGTGTAAGGATACATGAGCCAACTGTGCAATGGTTGTTAACAATCTAGGATGGTGCAAGGAAAAAAATTAACAGCCAAATATAAGAAAAGAGATTTGGGGCTGTTGGATTCAGCAAGGAATGAGCATGGCTTGATTCAGTAAAAGATCATTTTTCTAAAGATTAGTGCCTCATTCAATATGTCTCTTCTCAATCTCCTGCCTCTTTTTTTAAATGCCTCTTTCTACACATATATTTGCACATAATCTTAGAATATGATTCTGTACACATTTCACTTATAAAATACTTGTGCAATATATTAAGACCAACTGGAATGGACGGTTTAAAAAGCAAAGTATAAAGAGCACATCACTGAAGATTACTTTGTATTTCTATGATGAAGAGCAATTTTTTGTTAGATTAGGATAGAAGGCATTGGTTGGGATTATCTTTGCAGAAAAATATTCAGTGAGTCATGGAATCAAGGAGTCAGTTTCAAAGGACCTTAGAGGTTATCTGGTCCAACATCTTCAGAGGAAACTGAGGCTTAGAGGGGGGAATTAATCTCTCCAAGGCAAAGCAGTTAGGACCAGAATCTAGGTCTCTTCACCGCCCCCCTGCCCCACATGTATCCTTCCATTTGAACAGCTGTCTCCTTGATAGACCACAAAAAAACTTTTTGTTAGACCACAAAAAAGCTTAATTCAGATAAACAGTGCTAATTGATCATAGAATTAAAGTCTTGGCCTAATGAGTGGCTAATTGTTTTTTAGGGATTTAATTCAAGTCCTTAGCTGTCACATTTTTTCATACGTATTATACAAAATTATATGTCAAAAGCAGATTACTTTTATGTTTAGGTTTTCAGACTATAAGAGTGACTGATACATATCTTCTCTATTCTTAGAGAATAGACTATGTTAGGAAAGATTTAGTCTGCATTGGCTTTGAGGGTGACTGTCTTTGGTTAATGTCTCTCAAGGTAGATTATATTCCTTGGCCTTTCAGAAGTTGTGCGTAGTTTTGCAGGTCATTCTTTTATGTGAATTCATATAAGATTCAGCATAATGTGAATCTTAAACTACTGATATGTTTCTTTTTTTGCCTGCTTACATGCAGTGTTGTTCATTGCAAGTCAAACAGACTTGATCTGTCCTTTCCAAAAGAGGATTGTTACTATGAACTAAAATAACCTTTAGTGGAAATGGTTGTCTAGAACAATGCTTCTCAAACTTCAGTGTGCAATTGAATCATTTGGGGATCTTAGTAAAATGCAGATTCTGATGCTTAAGATTCTGCAAATGGAATTTTCAAACACTGCCCAGGTGATGCCTATGCAGTTGGTTCTCAGACAGTTAAAGTATCGAGGATTTAGGGGACTGAATGAGCTTGGACAACTTTCCCACACGCTTCCCTTACTCACATGATATTGTTTATATATTAGAAAAATGGAGCTTCGTATCTATTGCTTTTGCCATTCTCAAAACATTGGCAATGTGTTCACTTTCAAACAGGAGGGGGACCTCTGAGTCCAGTTGCTATCAATATGGGATAGTTGGGGTGGAATATTTAACTCCCAGAGGTGAGCTCAAGTTCTCTATGTCCAGCTAGTAAATGGACATATAGAATGGATTTACCATCAAGTGAAGGGAAAAATAGAGAGGGGCTGCTAGATGAGTCATGGATGCGCCCTTTAAAATGAGGATCCAAGCTTTGACTTCTTTCAGGAAGCCTGGCACTGGAATTGACCGGGAGATTCTCATTACCTTACTCTGACCTTTGGAGCTATTCCCATTGCTCTGGGAAGCAAATACCTAGTTTCCCAGAACTTTTATTTGGACACTTCTGATATGAGCCATTTCTGCCTCTGCCAAGATTTTGCAATTGAATTTACTTCAGAGAGACACTAACTCCTGGCTTTGCTTAAAATTTTTTTGTGGCCCAAGATTTCTCACAAAAGCAAAACCTCTCTCTTTTAAACAGCTGTTAGAAATCGTCGCCCTCCCTTTTTATGGTAGCTTTAGGAAGATTCACCCATTGATGAACAGGAGTCCCAGAGGAGCCTGAAACTCAAAGGAGAAATAATTTCTGGTCTGTGGAGAATCCTAAATCCCTAGGTTGGTGGTGGTGGTAGCAGTTGTTTAAAGTGTCCTGGAGATCAAAAGAATCAGATAAACTATACTATATTGCGTTGAAAACTGAATTTTGTCATTCACTTCATATTTCACAGTGGGCTTTGGGTTGGTATGGCATTTTACTCCACAAACGGGAACTTTATATACTACTATGTACTGTAAATACACATTATAACCTTGCAGCAGAAAATACTGTACCCACTGAATACATAAACAGCTGTACTGGGAAAATAGAAAATAGTCTTTTATTTTACCTAAGTCATAGAAAAATAGTCTTCAAAAATACAGTTAAACTTATGGGTTTATATTAAAGTAGAATTTGTATGTACAGTAAGGCAGTAATTCCATTAGCATCCTGCTGTGGTTTTCTTTTCAAGTTAGTCTTTAGGGAATTTTTTTTTAACTAAGGAAAGACTAAGGTGTATAATAAATTATCTATCATGCTGAAATGAAGGAGGAAAACATCCTAAAGGGATTCACATGAAATTCATTTGCCCCTTGTGTAAGAACATTTTTATTTCCAAACTATATTTTATAGAAGCTTTAGAGTAGAATTTAGGGGGAAAATCCATGCTTAACATATCTAAACTATTTTAAGAAAAAATTGGAGGCATTATTTCTTACTTGCATATCAGCAATGTGTCAGTAAGGTATAGGAACTTATGTAAACAATTTGTTCTGGAATGCATTCTTTCTTTAAATGGTTATATTTGGGTAATCCTAATAAAATGGACGAGGAGTGTAAAGGTTATGCAGTTGTTTTTCAAAAGCAATTTTCATGGCATTTTCCTATGTGGAAAATTTTCTTTTGTCATCTTTCTATGGTAAACAATTTTGACAATTTCATTTCCGTCTGTCCCATGCCAAATCATGAAAGCCTTTTCCAGAGGATATACCTATTGGCATTGTCCCTCAAGAATACTAAGCAGTGTGCTTTTATTTCATTGAACACATAGTTTTATAACTAACAGCAAAAAGTAAATCTACAAATCACAGTTAGGAAACATAATGATTTGTTCTGGAATCAGCTGCTGGAGAAAGAGGCAAGTGGTTAAAAATGGAGCATGAAAGGAGCTGGGAGCTTTAGTAGTGTCAGTCTGACTACATTCTTGAGCATTTCACGTACTCTGTAGTGTTACCTGAAGAAAAATCACATTTTAACCAATCATTCCATTAGTCAAGCTATCAGTGAAAGGAGTGTGTAAAACATGCGGGATCCAGGTAATCCAAACCACCCAGCTGGAGCCTGCACTTGCTTGATGTTGCAGTGAAGTTGGCCAGGGCTTTCTCAGCTTGATTCTGTTCAAGTGATGGTGGGGCCTCTTTGGCTGATTCTTCAAAGCAAGCCACGTTTTTAGCATGTGGATCTGGCACCAACACCAGGATGTTGTTATCCATGACCCCGGACACCTTGGCATACTCCTTATTGTTCTCAGGAGTCCCGGGCTTCTTGGGCTTGCCGCTGTTCTCTCTCTGTTTTGGTAGCAATGATAATGCACCATCTTTGTTGACCTTGTGAATCTCCACATAATCCAAGGGTTTAGCGGAGCCAAAGGGGGTTTTCTCCTGGGGCAGCAGCCAGGGCGTATCCTGGTCAGTCTCAGAATGGAAGCTTTCTACCTCCCTCTGCTGGGTTGCCTTTCCCTCTTCTCTAGACTTAATGGTTTGAGAGGATTTTAAAGCATCTTTACCTGCTTCATTCAACAGAGTGGCCGGTGCACCTGCAGGGCCCACAGCCAGCTCACACACATCAGTAATATTGTGGTAAGAGGATCTGGGGTTGTGCTGGCTGGGCTGTGGTAAGGGCCATGTTGAACATTTGGATCCACCAGCATGAAAATAGGGGATTTTGCCTTCCATGCTTATGCACTGGGGGTCCCAGGTGTGGGTTGTTTCAGGATTCTCTGGCTTCTCAATGACCTCAGGATCATAGAATGTGGAGGGATTGGCCTGGGGTTCCTCACACTTTTCAGACAAAAGGGAAGGGCTGTCACAGCTCCCCCGGCCTGAGTCAGTGTCAGGATCCAGGTATGTGGGTTTCATACCTTGACTTGGGTGTTCTTTTGAATGGACTGACATTAGATGCTGGTCCTCACTATCATCTACTTCTAAATACTCCACCAGCAAGTCCTCATAGTCAGAAGTGGGAGGAAAGTCTTGGCATCCCAAGGCACTCAGTAGTTCTTCAGACTTGCCCTTCTATTAAAACACAGACACAAGAAGAGATGGCTGTTAGCTTCATAACATTCCAAATCAGCATCCCTGCTAAGTGGTGCTGTTCATTGCCACAAGCAGGTGGGAAGATCTCAAACTTCAGACATTTGTGTGCCAGGCCATCTAGAATCACCTTCTGGATACTATTCAGCAGATTTTTTTTTTTAAAGTCAACTCAGGATATTTAACGTAGTCTCTCTCCAAGCAATAATAATCATGAGTTTAATGGGCAAGTAGTATATACACATACAATAATAAACAGATAACTATAAAATGAAGGTTTGTGAAACTTCTAAACCCACAGTGCTTATGCATGCATCTGACACTGCGGCCCACTGGCAGAGGTGTGGTTGCTGGCCTGCTAACTTCCTCTATCACTTTCTAGAGTCTGGCAATAGTAAGTGGATTCTTGTCTTTTCCTTCTGTGGTTCATCTTCCTTCTCTCCTTCCTCTTCTTATTTCCCCTTCCCTTCTCCTCCCTCTTCCTAATCTACTGTTTTCTTCTACTCTACTTCCTCTCCCTCCTTCTCTTCTCCCCCTTCATCACCCTATTCCATATTTCCGCCCTTCCTATTATTCTCCCTGCTTCTATCCTTCCTTTCCCCCTCCTATTTCCTCCTGCCTCCTCCTCTCACTCTTGCCTCTTTTTTTTTTTTTTTTTTTTGAGACGGAGTCTCGCTCTGTTGCCCAGGCTGGAGTGCAGTGGCATGATCTCGGATCACTGCAAGCTCCGCCTCCCGGGTTCACGCCATTCTCCTGCCTCAGCCTCCCGAGTAGCTGGGACAACAGGCGCCCACCACCACGCCTGGCTAATTTTTTACATTTTTAGTAGAGACAGGGTTTCACCATGTTAGCCAGGATGGTCTTGATCTCCTGACCTCGTGATCTGCCCGCCTCTGCCTTCCAAAGTGCTGGGATTACAGGCGTGAGCCACCGCGCCCGGCCTCTTTTTTCTTATCCTCTGACTTGGGTCAGGTACTGACCTAGGTCTTGGCTTTATCACTTATTATAGGGTATGTGACTTTGGACAAGCTGCTCTCTGAACTTCAGCTTCTCCATTTTTAAAAGGTAGAAAATAATATTAATACTACCCATCTGGGAGGGTTCTTTTGAGGATTAGAGGTAATATCATTAAGAATACTAACACATATTTTTGAGACAAAAGTAGCTATTTTATCGTTAAGTCTCTGTGGCTAGCAGGTTAAATTGTGAGCTGGACAGTAACTAGTTTAGTTTGCTGAGACATTCATGCTGGTTCTATCAGGCCAATGCTACACTGGATAGTGGAGGAAGAGCACTGGGTCAGGAGCTGGGACTCCTGGGCTCTAGTCCCTGCTTCGATATTTGCAACCAAAGTGAACACAGACAAGCCAGATTATCCAGGACTCAATTCTTCTATTCTTACACTGTCAGACCCAGAGCAGCTGGGTCAAGTATTTGCCTTAATGTACAGCTAGTTGCTTTTATATATGTCAGTGTTAAGCTTAAAAGCCAAACTGAAACTATTTATTTCAATTTGGAGAAAAATTTAAAACTGTTCTAACCTCTCTTTTCATTCAAAACACTCATTATTTAATTCCCTCTTGAATCAGCCCAAATGGGTCCTGGCAAACAGATGGCCCCACAGTACTGATCTGGTCTCAGCTGAGTGCCCAAAGTGAGAGATAATGGCAATGGGATATTCTGTTACTATGGCTTTATGTAAAGAACATTCAAGTAGAAGCTTTTACCAATGTATGATTGAGGGGGTGGTGGTGGGTCCCTGTTTTGCATTAATCAAAATATTCACTCTCTTTCTAAATTGATTATTTGTATAAAATGTTTATCTCTATGCTTATGAGTAGATCTGATAAATCAATAAATGTGTTTCCATGTTTTCTTGGCTTTCTCTCCTTGCCCTCTGACATTTAGTGTGTGAAAGTAAGTACCCTCATCCTTCACACAACTTTCTGTTAACACACATGCTGACCAGGAGAGACAGTCCAAAAAGGCTGGCTGAAACTACCAGGCTGAACTGACGGGGACTGTGTGTGAGTGTGTAGAGTTAATTACTACAGAGCAGTGAGTCACACTCCATTTTTTTGCCTCCTGTACTTACCTCCAACAGATGAGCATCAAATCCTTTTATTTTTGGCCCAGGAACTGGCGGAAAGATGCAGGTCACCATGCTATAAAATAATTCATGAGATTGGCTAAATGACTCATTTCTGACTTTGTAATTTTTGAAAGGTTAGTATAATAGCCACTATAGGGACTGTGATAGAGATAGGACTTGGTTTGGCAGCTCCATGAAACAATCAATGATGAAAATAAAATTACAGAGGCCTATATTAAAATTAACTTTAGCTAATTAAGGAGGCTGATTTTGAAGTTAGTGGATTATCTGGACTATTTGCTTCTCTTGATTTTAGCTACTCTTGCCAGATTTTTACTGTTTCACAACTAGGAATCTCTGTTTCATAGAAAGAACATCAGCCTGAAACGAGTCAATTTTTCTACTTTTTATAGCACTGATAAAAGATTTTTTTTATGGGCAAACACACTACATCTAATGGCTAAAATGAGGATTATCTACAGGTTTCCATCATCTTTGTATTTTTTTTTTTGTCATTATCCTTGACTATCATGATTGGGAGGAAAAGTTGAGAGACAGTGAAGTACCTATAGCCCTTCAAAGCCACTGCCCAGACAATAATCAAACAGATGACAGCAGAAAGGACAGCCACAGAGATCCACACGGTTGTATCATTCATGGTGAAGTCTAAAAAACAAACAGCCAGAAAGCTTTGATCACGTACAGCATCATTAAAAACAAACCAACCTAATGAATGAAACTCTTAAACCCAAGAGTGTTTTCCTCCATTCATATATTTTTTTGATTTGAACAGCAATCCAAAGTATCATCAATGACAGGGCTATTCTCTTTTAAATATTATTAATATGTTAATATGTTGCGTATATTTTATAGTACTCTAAAAATTTAAAAATCCTTTCATTATTCTTTTTAATTGATCCTTAAAGAGGAAATCCAAGGTCACATGGTCGTTTGCAGTAATAATAATAAAAGCTAACATTAAGTTCTTACTAAAAGCCATCAATGGTGTTAAACTCTTTGCCTACATTGCTTTGTTATAAAAGATAAGAAAACTGGGAATCAAAGAAAGATTTACCAATGGCCACATAACTATAGTGTTGCAGGCTGGGATTTGAACTCAGGCTTTCTGCCTCTAGACCCTGTGCTTTTGTTAAGCAAGAGTCAGGAGTGGACTAGATGCCTGCCTGATTTGCAGTTCAGTGCCCTTTCCAGCATGCCAAGCCAATGAAAGCCCGATACTTTGGTCAGGCAAGTTGTTAGAAAAGCTAGACTTTCCTGTGTGGTTTTGGAAAAGACTCCTAACTTTGCTGAGGTTTGGTTTCTTCACTTTTAATTTTTAATGATAATCATATTCTCTGAATACCTGGGAGGGTTGGGAGGACCAAATAAGGTACAGGCTTTGTAAGCTGTAAAGCATTTTAAAAATGCAAGATGGATTGTTCCCTTATAGAACACAAGCTACTGAATTAAGGTGCTTTGCTGGAGCTGTCTATCTTATATCCTGTGTCTTCACTAAGAGACAAGGTGCCAAGTGTAATCCATGGCAGAGACTGAGCCTTTGAGACACGGTACTGCCTTATAAATTCTGGAAGAACTAGAGGATGACCTTGACCAAATCCTCTAAATGATGGGAATAGGGAAGATGGTGGGAGCATAATAACTGCTCATCAAGCCCCTTGGGGCATCAGACCCATGTCTGTAGCCTTATCCTAAAATTGTTCTCCATTGACAGTAATCCAGGGTGCAATGCTGCTTTTCAAAATGTCTTCGTATTGGGCAGAAAGATTATAAACCCACCTCTATTGTTCTGGCTAAGGCTCAAAATGGTTTCTCTATTAGTAGTTATTATATGCAAATATACCATTTAAAACATATTTAGGGACATAAGCAAAAAAGAGCCAAGACGCTCACCACTAGGTATCTGAATGAAGGTCGCTGGACTCCATGCACTCCAGTATCCATGGTCTGGTTTGCAGCGAACCTGGACAAGGTATTTCTGTCCTGGATGTAGGCTGAGAATCTTAAACTCTGTTTGCTGCCCAGCAAAATGGATCTAAGGTAGAATAAGGAAAACAGAAGTCAATTCTAACATTTGTTGTGAAGAAAGAGAGTTTTCCCCTAAAAAATAAACTAAGTTAGGCTGAACAATCATATACAGAGAATTCCCTGCTGTCACTACTCCACTGTCTTAGCCCTATCTTTTCCTTCTCTTAAAATTGCTCACACAAAAATTTAGCAGGTTTTCTATCTCTCCATTTGGGACTCTACTTCAGAAAAGTCAAATATTCTGCCTCCTTCCCACTTTATGAAAAACAACTACTTAATAAATGTAGAAAGAATAACAAAATTGGCCAGGCATGGTGCCTCATGCCTGTAATCCCAGCACTTTGGGAGGCCGAAGCAGGCGTATCACCTGAGGTTGGGAGTTCGAGATCAGCCTGACCAACATGGAGAAACCCTGTCTCTACTAAAAATACAAAATTAGCCAGGCATGGTGGCACATGCCTGTAATCCCAGCTACTTGGGAAGGTGAGGAAGGAGAATCGCTTGAACCTGGGAGGCGGATGTTTCAGTGAGCCGAGATCGTGCCATTGCACTCCAGCTGAGTGACAAAGCGAAACTCCGTCTCAAAAAAAAAAAAAAAAAAAAAAGAATAACAAAATTAAAGAATTGTTAGCCTTTAAACCCTAATGAAATAACTGATTCAATAATAAATTGGTGTTAAAAACATGAGGTGAAAGAGAATTGGGCATTCATGTATGGTAAAGTAGTAGTATACAAATTAAACATGACCTTACAATCAAGGGATCAGTTTGTCATCTCCTCAATTCAGGGGCCAGTTTTAGCATCACTTATGGTGGGTCAACCAGATAGTTTTTGACATCTGATTAAATACAATATAGAGTACATAATATCACCTCTGAATTTACCAATTCTTGGTAAAAATTGTTCAACCTACATCTAATCAAGTCTGGTTACAGGAAATGGAGGCGTAGAGAAATTAGCTAAATAACCCCACAAAGAACTGATCAGAGAAAGGTACAAGGTGGGATACTCTATGGGACAAGTGGCCCAGTCTCCTCATTACACTGAAACTGAAGGATATAACGACCAGTTACAATGTGTGGTCTACGAGCAGATTCTGGTTTGGACAAAGTAGCTGTTAAAGATATTCGGAAACATTGGGAGGAATTAAACTAGGGACTGGGTATTAAACGATATTAAGGAATTTTAATTTTCCTATGTGTGATCCTATTATTTTGGCTATGTTTGGAAATGTGCCTTTTTAAAAGAGGCATATACTAAAGTATGTAAAGATGGAATATTGTACCACCTGCAATTTAATATTATTTCTTTAGGTCAAAGTATTTTATTTTATTTTTATTTTTATTTATTTATTTTTTGAGACGGAGTCGCTCTTGTCACCTAGGCTGGAGCACAATGGCATGACCTCAGCCCACTGAAATCTCTGCCTCCCAGGTTTAAGCAATTCTCCTGCCTCAGCCTTCAGAGTAGCTGGGATCACAGGCACTCACCACCATGCCTGGCTAAGTTTTTTGTATCTTCAGTAGAGACTGGGTTTTGCCATGTTGGTCAGGCTGGTCTCAAACTCCTGACCTCAAGTGATCCACCTGCTTCTGCCTCCCAAAGTGCTGGGATTACAAGTGTGAGCCCCTGAGCCCAGCCTTTTTTTTTTTTCCAAATGGAGTTTCATTCTTGTTGCCCAGGCTGGAGTGCAATGGCGCGATTTCAGCTCACTGAAACCTCCGCCTCCTGGGTTCAAGAGATTCTCCTGCTTCAGCCTCCCGAGGAGCTGGGATTACAGGTGCCCGCCACCACACCTGGCTAATTTTTTTGTACTTTTAGTAGAGATGGGGTTTCTTCCTGTTGGCCAGGCTTGTCTTGAACTCCTGACCTCAGGTGATCCACCTGTCTCGGCCTCCCAAAGTGCTGGGATTAACAGGTGTGATCCACTGCACCCAGCCTGGTTGAGGTATTTTAAAGTAAATAAAAACACAGCCATTGACTATGGACGGGATATACTGAGACTGCCCCCTCCCACCTTGTGCCATTTAAGTACTCTTACAAGGGTCTAGATCTAAAATGTACTAAGGGAGGCAGGTTGGAAACCTGGTCAAGTGTCTGAGCAGTACAAGAAACTAGCCCGAGGAGAGCTGTGAAGATGAGCCCCCATCAATCCCAATAGAGGGGAAAAGGGCTTTTCACATCTGGGTGGGTCACAACTGCATTGGAGGCCAACACAGTGACCCAGTAATTAGGAGGAATGACCTGTTTTCAGTTGTGAGGGCTTTATCCTTGCCAAAGGCCATAGTTCCTTCAAAAAGCATATGGATCACTCACCTCCCACTCAGCTGCTTTCTCGGGTTTTAATCGAATTTCATACAGGAGCGTGAACCAACCAGTTTTTAAGTCAATCAGGGTAGGTGGAGACCATTTAATCCACAGGTAGGGTTTTCTGTCTTCTGGCTGTTTTACTTCCACAGCCAGCTCCAAAGGAGGGTCTGGCTGAACTGCAGAAATACAGCAAATGCCAGTAGCACTCATTGCTTGCACCTTTTCTTTGGCTTTACCATTTTCTATTAGGAATTCCTTTTTCTGTTTATCATCTCACTCTTCCCACTGTACTATAAGCCCCCCAAATACCCGGGCCTTTTGTCTTCTACCTCTTAGTATGTGACCAATCATATTTGTGCATACAGATGAGGTTTACATGGTAAGAATAATAAGCAGCTGGTATTTCATTCTCCGCATGTTCTCGCTTTTCATCAGTTAGAATCTCATAGCTATCCCCATAATTTTCATGATGACAGAGACCAGGTGATAAAAACTGGGCTGGGATTTGCAAGTGGGAGTTGGCATGGAAGACTATAGGGAAAGAGATTTCAAACAGCTTATTTCCCTCAGCTGGGCATGAGATTCTCCTTAGTTACACACAGTTTTTTGTAAATGAACTATTCATAATCATAACTCTGCAGATAACAGGTTTACAGATTCCATCTTCGTTTCAGCAATTACATCTTATATTCAACATACATATTACACCCTGTGGTAAATGAGATCCACTCTCCCATAAGCTAAATGGAGGTTGAGCTTTTTGGCAATGATCCTTTTGGTGATTTCATAACAGCCTGTTGGCCCAGTCACTCATTCAACAAATGCTTAGCGAATTCCCATTAGCAAAATGACAGCTAATGTTTCTCGAGTATTTACTACATGCCAGGGACTGTATAAAATACTATCTCTGCATCGTTTCTTATAATCCTCCAGCAACTCCATGAAGTACTATTATTGTACCCATTCATTTTACAGAGGAGGAAACAGGCTTAGAAGAGGGAAATTACTCGCCTAAGGTCACATATTTGGTAAAAGTGTTATTTGAACCCATAACTATGTGACTTAGAGGAAGTGGTCTCTACTATTTCACTCTACCATGGTTGTAAGACATTGCGTTTGATGTCAGGTGCTGGAGAGCAGGCCTGGGATTAGGCTGACGTGAGTGAAGTGCATAGGATACAAAATTCAAGGAGGGACAAATGGCCAAGAAGCACATGAAAAGATGCTCAAGGTCATTAGCCTTCTGGGGAATGCAAATCAAAACCACAGTGAGATACCATTTCACATGTACTAGCATGGCAAGAATTAAAAAATGAAACATAACAAGTGTTGGTGAGGATGTGGAGAGATTGGAACCCTCAATACTGCTGGTAGGAATGTAAACTGGTGCAACCACTGTGGAAAACAGTCTGGAAGTTCCTCAAAAAGTCAAACTTAGAGTTGCCATATTGCCCATCAATTCCACTCCTAGATATAGATTCAAAAGAATTGAAAACAGATGTTTAAGAAAATCTTGTATGTGAATTTTCATGGCAGCACTATTTATAATAGCCAAAAGTGAAGAAATCCAAATGTCCATCAGTTGATGAATGGATAAAAAATGTGGTAGAGGCCAGGCACAGTGGCTTATGCCTGTAATCCTACCATTTTGGGAGGCTGAGGCAGGTGGATCACCTGAGGTCAGGAGTTTGAGACCAGCCTGGCCAATGTGGTAAAACCCCATCGCTACTAAAAATACAAAAAATTTGCCAGGCGTGGTGGTGTGCACCTGTAGTTCCAGCTACTTGGGAGGCTGAGGCAGGAGAATCACTGGAATCTGGGAGGCAGAGGTTGCAGTGAGCTGAGATCGCACCATTGCACTCCAGCCTGGGTGACAAGAGCGAAACTCCATTTCAAAAAAAAAAATGTGGAACAGCTACATATTTTTTATGATTCCATATATATATATATATATATATGAAATATCCAGACGAGGCAAACTCCCAGAAACAGACAGTCATTGCCAGGGCTTGAGGAAGGGAGAAATGAGAAGTAACTGCTTAGTAGTGGATGTGAAGTTTTCATTGAGGGAGGTAAACGTGTTACAGAACTAGATAGTGGTGATGGTTGCATAAAATTGTAATAAACTAATGCATTCAATTGCATACTATAAAATAGTTGAAATGGTGGATATGTGTTTTGTGTTTTTGCCACAATAAAAACAAATGAAGTGGCTTCCTGCTGGCAAGAATTAAAAAAAAAATGAAGGAGGCATTTACTTCTGTAGGCTCCTGTAGGTACAGGCCTTGTGAGTACCTTCCTAAGACTTAGGTGCTGGGGTGCTGGCTTGCCTCATCCCAGTCTCAGTTCTGCTGTTCAGTGACATTTTCTCCATTCATTTATCACCTCCTTAAATCAATCTCTGTACCAGATGGGGAAAGAGTGACTGTAACTATAGTGTACTTGGCATTATGAGTTACATTTGCCTAAAAACCAACTTTTAAAAATTTGCCATCCGTGGTCTGGTTCCAAGATGGCTGAATAGGAACAGCTCCAGTCTACAGCTCCCAGCGTGAGCAACACAGAAGACGGGTGATTTCTGCATTTCCAACTGAGGTACCAGGTTCATCTCACTGGGGCTTGTTGGACAGTGGGTGCAGTCCATGGAGCGTGAGGCGAAGCAGGGCAGGTCATTGTCTCACCCGGGAAGTGCAAGGGGTCAGGGAATTCCCTTTACTAGCCAAGGGAAGCCATGACAGATGGTACCTGGAAAATTGGGACACTACCACTGTAATACTGCGCTTTTCCAACAGTCTTAGCAAATGGCATACCAGGAGATTATATCCCATTCCTGGCTCAGAGGGTCCCAAGCCCATGGAGCCTTGCTCACTGCTAGCACAGCAGTCTGAGATCAAACTGCAAGGTGGCAGTGAGGCTGGGGGAGGGGTGTCTGCCATTCCTGAGGCTTGAGATTGTAAACAAAGTGGCCAGGAAGCTGGAACTGGGTGGAGCCCACCCCAGCTCAAGGAGGCCGGCCTGCCTCTGTGGACTCCACCTCTGGGGCCAGAGAATAGCTGAACAAAAGGTAGCAGAAACTTCTGCAGACTTAAACGTCCCTGTCTGATAGCTCTGAAGAGAGTAGTGGTTCTCCCAGCACAGAGTTTGAGATCTGAGAACGGACAGACTGCCTCCTCAAGTGGGTCCCTGACCCCCGAGTAGCCTAACTAGGAGACACTTCCCAGTAGGGGCCGACTGACACCTCATACACCCAGGTGCCCCTCTGAGATGAAGCTTCCAGAGGAAGGATCAGGCAGCAACATTTGCTGTTCTGCAATATTTGCTGTTCTGCAGCCTCTGCTGGTGATACCCAGGCAAACAGGGTCTGGAGTGGACCTCCAACAAACTCCAACAGACCTGCAGCTGAGGGTCCTGACTGTTAGAAGGAAAACTAACTAACAGAAAGGACATCCACACTAAAACCCCATCTGTACGTCACCATCATCAAAGACCAAAGGTAGATAAAACCACAAAGATGGGGAGAAACCAGAGCAGAAAAGCTGAACATTTTAAAAATCAGAGCACCTCTTCTCCTCCAAAGGAATGCAGTTCCTCGCCAGCAACGAAACAAAGCTGGACGGAGAATGACTTTGACGAGCTGAGAGAAGAAGGCTTCAGACGATTGGTAATAACAAACTTCTCTGAGCTAAAGGAGGATGTTTGAACCCATCACAAAGAAGCTAAAAACCTCAAAAAAGATTAGACAAATGGCTAACTAGAATAAACAGCATAGAGAAGACCTTAAATGACCTGATAAAGCTGAAAACCATGGCACGAGAACTATGTGATGCATGCACAAGCATCAGTAGCCGATTTGTTCAAGTGGAAGAAAGGGTATCAGTGATTGAAGATAAAATGAATGAAATGAAGTGAGAAGAGAAGTTTAGAGAAAAAAGAGTAAAAAGAAATGAACAAGGCCTCCAAGATATACGGGACTATGTGAAAAGACCAAATCGACATCTGATTGGTGTACCTGAAAGTGACAGGGAGAATGGAACCAAGTTGGAAAACACTCTGCAGGATATTATCCAGGAGTACTTCTCCAACCTAGAAAGGCAAGCCAACATTCAAATTCAGGAAATACAGAGAATGCCACAAAGGTACTCCTCGAGAAGAGCAACTCCAAGACACGTAATTGTCAGATTCACCAAAGTTAAAATAAAGGAAAAAACATTAAGGGCAGCCAGAGAGAAAGGTCAGGCTACCCACAAAGGGAAGCCCATCAGACTAACAGTGGATCTCTTGGCAGAAACTCTAAAACCCAGAAGAGAGTGGGGGCCAATATTCAACATTCTCAAAGAAAAGAATTTTCAACCCAGAATTTCATATCCAGCCAAACTAAGCTTCATAAGTGAAGGAGAAATAAAATACTTTACAGACAAGCAAATGCTGAGAGATTTTGTCACTACCAGGCCTGCCTTACAAGAGCTCCTGAAGGAAGCACTAAACATGGAAAGGAACAACCGGTACCAGCCACTGCAAAAACATGCCAAATTGCAAAGACCATCAATGCTAGGAAGAAACTGCATCAACTAATGAGCAAAATAACCAGCTAATATCATAATGACAGGATCAAATTCACACAAAACAACATTAATCTTAAATGTAAATGGGCTAAATGCTCCAATTAAAAGACACAGACTGGCAAATTGGATAAAGAGTTAAGACCCATCAGTGTGCTGTATTCAGGAGACCCATTTCCCATGCAGAGACACACATAGGCTCAAAATAAAGGAATGGAGGAAGATCTACCAAGCAAATGGAAAACAAAACAAAACAAAAAAGCAGGGGTTGCAATCCTACTCTCTGAGGAAACAGACTTGAAACCAACAAAGATCAAAAGAGACAAAGAAGGCCATTACATAATGGTAAAGGGATCAATTCAACAGGAAGTGCTAACTATCCTAAATATGTTTGCACCCAATACAGGAGCACCCAGATTCATAAAGCAAGTCCTTAGAGACCTACAAAGAGACTTAGACTCCCACACAATAATAATGGGAGACTTTAACACCCCACTGTCAACATTAGACAGATCGACGACACAGAAAGTTAACAAGGATATCCAGGACTTGAACTCAGCTCTGCACCAAGCGGACCTAATAGACATCTACAGAACTCTCCACCCTAAATCAACAGAATATACATTCTTCCCAGCACCACATCACATGTATTCCAAAGCAGACCACATAGTTGGAAGGAAAGCACTCCTCAGCAAATGTAAAAGGACAGAAATTATAACAAACTATCTCTCAGACCACAGTGCAATCAAACTACAACTCAGGATTAAGAAACTCACTCAAAACTGCTCAACTACATGGAAACTGAACAACCTGCTCCTGAATCACTACTGGGTACATAATGAAATGAAGGCAGAAAGAAAGATGTTCTTTGAAACCAATGAGAACAAAGACACAACATACCAGAATCTCTGGGACACATTTAAAGCAGTGTGTAGAGGGAAATTTATAGCACTAAATGCCCACAAGAGAAAGCAGGGAAGATCTAAAATCGACACCCTAACATCACAATTAGAAGAACTAGAGAAGCAAGAGCAAACACATTCAAAAGCTAGCAGAAGGCAAGAAATAACTAAGATCAGAGAAGAACTGAAGGTGATAGAGACACAAAAAACCTTCAAAAAAATCAGTGAATCCAGGAGCGGTTTTTTGAAAAGATCAACAAAATTAATAGACCACTAGCAAGACTAATAAAGAAGAAAAGAAAGAAAAATGAAATACATGCAATAAAAAATGATAAAGGGGATATCACCACCAATCCCACAGAAATAGAAACTACCATCAGAGAATACTATAAACACCTCTATGCAAATAAACTAGAAAATCTAGAAGAAATGGATAAATTCCTGGACGCGTACACCCTCCCAAGACTAAACCAGGAAGAAGTTGAATCTCTGAATAGACCAATAACAGGCTCTGAAATTGAGGCAATAATTAATAGCCTACCAACCAAAAAAAAAAAGTCCAGGACCAGACGGATTCACAGCCGAATTCTACCAGACGTACAAAGAGGAGCTGGTACCATTCCTTCTGAAACTATTCCAATCAATAGAAAAAGAGGGAATCCTCCCTAACTCATTTCGTGAGGCCAGCATCATCCTGATACCAAAGCCTGGCAGAGACACAACCAAAAAAGAGAACTTTAGACCAATATCCCTGATGAACATTGATGCAAGAATCCTCAGTAAAATACTGGCAAACCGAATCCAGCAGCAAATCAAAAAGCTTATCCACCATGATCAAGTAGGCTTCATCCCTGGGATGCAAGGCTGGTTCAACATATGCAAATCAATAAATGTAATCCATCATAGAAACAGAACCAAAGACAAAAACCACATGATTATCTCAATAGATGCAGAAAAGGCCTTTGACAAAATTCAACAGCCTTCATGCTAAAAACTCTCAATAAACTAGGTATTGATGGGATGTATCTCAAAATAATAAGAGCTATTTATGACAAACCCACAGCCAATATCATACTGAATGGGCAAAAACAGGAAGCATTCCCTTTGAAAACTGTCACAAGACAGGGATGCCATCTCTCACCGCTCCTATTCAACATAGTGTTGGAAGTTCTGGCCAGGGCAATCAGGCAGGAGAAAGAAATAAAGGGTATTCAATTAGGAAAAGAGGAAGTCAAATTGTCCCTGTTTGCAGATGACATGATTGTACGTTTAGAAAACCCCATCATCTCAGCCCAAAATCTCCTTAAGCTGATAAGCAACTTCAGCAAGTCTCTGGATACAAAATCAATGTGCAAAAGTCACAAGCATTCCTATACACCAATAACAGACAAACAGAGAGCCAAATCATGAGTGAACTCCCATTCACAATTGCTTCAAAGAGAATAAAATACCTAGGAACCCAACTTACAAGGGATGTGAAGGACCTCTTCAAGGAGAACTACAAACCATTGCTCAATGAAATAAAAGAGGATACACAGAAATGGAAGAACATTCCATGCTCATGGATAGGAAGAATCAGTATCATGAAAATGGCCATACTGCCCAAGGTAATTTACAGATTCAAGCTACCAATGACTTTCTTCACAGAATTGGAAAAAACTAAAGTTCATGTGGGACCAAAAAAGAGCCCGTATTGCCAAAACAATCTTAAGCCAAAAGAACAAAGCTGGAGGCGTCACACTACCTGACTTCAAACTATACTACAAGGCTACAGTAACCAAAACAGCATGGTACTGGTACCAAAACAGAGATACAGACCAATGGAACAGAACAGAGCCCTCAGAAATAATACCACACATCTATAACCATCTGATCTTTGACAAACCTGACAAAAACAAGAAATGGGGAAAGGATTCCCTATTTAATAAATGGTGCTGGGAAAACTGGCTAGCCATATGTAGAAAGCTGAAACTGGATACCTTCCTTACACCTTATACAAAAATTAATTCAAGATGGATTTAAGACTTAAATGTTAGACCTAAAACCATAAAAAAATCTAGAAGAAAACCTAGGCAATACCATTCAGGACATAGGCATGGGCAAGGACTTCATGACTAAAACACCAAAAGCAATGGCAACAAAAGCCAAAATTGACAAATGGGATCTAATTAAACTAAAGAGCTTCTGCACAGTAAAATAAACTACCATCAGAGTGAACAGGCAACCTACAGAATGGGAGAAAATTTTTACAATCTACCCATCTGACAAAGGGCTAATATTCAGAATCTACAAAGAACTTAAACACGTTTACAAGAAAAAAATCAAACAACCCCATCAAAAAGTTGGTGAAGGATATGAACAGACACTTCTCAAAAGAAGACATTTATGCAGCCAACAGACACGTGAAAAAATGCTCATCGTCACTGGCCATCAGAGAAATGCAAAATCAAAACCACAATGAGATATCATCTCACACCAGTTAGAATGGTGATCATTAAAAAGTCAGGAAACAACAGGTGCCGGAGAGGATGTGGAGAAATAGGAACACTTTTACACTGTTGGTGGGACTGTAAACTAGTTCAACCATTGTGGAAGTCAGTGTGGCGATTCCTCAAGGATCTAGAACTAGAAATACCGTTTGACCCAGCCATCCCATTACTGCGTATATACCCAAGGGATTATAAATAATGCTGCCATAAAGACACATGCACACATATGTTTATTGCGGCACTATTCACAATAGCAAGACTTGGAACCAACCCAAATGTCCATCAATGATGGACTGGATTAAGAAAATGTGGCACTTATACACCATGGAATACTATGCAGCCATAAAAATGGATGAGTTCATGTCTTCGTAGGGACATGGATGAAGCTGGAATCCATCATTCTCAGCAAAACTATCGCAAAGACAGAAAACCAAACACCGCATGTTCTCACTCACAGGTGGGAATTGAACAATGAGAACACTTGAACACAGGGTGGGTAACATCACACACAGGGGCCTGTCATGGGGTGGGGGGAGGGGGGAGGGATAGCATTAGGAGATATACCTAATGTAAATGATGAGTTAATGGTTGCAGCACACCAACATGGCACATGTATACATATGTAACAAACCTGCACGTTGTGCACATGTACCCTAGAACTTAAAGTATAATAATAAAAAAAATTTGCCATCAATTGCAAAAGGACTCATGTTCACAGTCTATGCCATCACTCCACCAAGACTGTTAATGGCCCCTCTGGGAAACTGTGGTGCAACAGCCGTGGGGCTTTCCAGAACATGATCTGTGCATCTGTTGGTGCTGCCAAGGCTGAGGGCAAGGTCATCTCTGAGCTGAATGGGAAGCTCAATGGCATGGCCTTCCATGTCCCCACCATCGTGTCAGTGGTGACCTGACCTGCCATCTGGATAAACCTGCCAAATATGACATCAAAAAGGTGGTGAAGCAGGCATCGGAGGGCCCCTTCATAGGCTGCAGGGTTATACGAGAGTTCCGTGGGCACTTCTTTTATGATTTTGAAAAATATGGTCCAACATAGTCTTTCACCAGAGAATTTGTTTTCCAGAATCAATGAGAATCTCATATACACTTGATTTCTCTTTTTAAACATACTACTTTTCTATAGTGATCCCCTTTTTTGTGGATCACATTTATTAAAACAGTTACTAATTTCAGAACATTTCTTGCTTTCATTGTTTTACCTTCAAATATTATAATGCTTGAGGGTAAGGCAATACACAAACACACACACACACACACACACACACACACACACACCCCTCCTGGGCTACACTAAGCACCAGGCTGTCTCCTCTGACTTTAACAGTGACACCCCCTCTTCTACTTTTGGGGCTGGCATCGCCCTCAACAACCACTTTGTCAAGCCCATTTCCTGGTATGACAGTGAATTAGGCTGCAGCAACAGGGTGGTGGACTCATGGTCCACATGGCCTCCATGTAGTAAGACCCCTGGACCACCACCCCCAGTGAGCACACAAGAGCAAGAGTGAGACCCTCAGCTGCTGGCGAGTCCCTGTGGCACTCAGTGCTCCACCTCAGTGAGAATCTCCCCTCACAATTTTTATGCAGACTCCCTGAAGAGCAGGTGCTTAGGGAGACCCACTTTGCCATGTGCCATCAATAAAGTCCCCTGTACTAAAAAAAGAAAATTGCCATCAAGTCTAAGCTAATATGTTACTGAGTAAATACCTAAGAAAGATTATTTTGAGCACATTTCCTAAACAAACAGCAGCTAATTAATATATGTTTTAAGTTAAATACATACTAAACAATGCTTCTGATAAAAAATTATACAAAAACGCAAATAAAATGTTGAGGATGTATCTTTTAGAGCATACTTTCCCAACCTCAGCACTACTTGCATTTTGGACTGGATATTTCTTTGTTGGAGGGGGATGTCCTATGCTTTGTAGAATGCTTAGCAGGATCTCTGGGCTTTATGCACCACATACAAGTAATACCCCCATCTCCCCACTTTCCTAGCTTGTGACAATCAAAAATGTCTCCAGTCATTGCCAAATATCCTGTGGGAAGAAAAAACAGCTCCCAGTTGAGAACCACTGCTTTTAAGTGTTTTCAATGTAACTAAATATTACTCAACAACAAAGAACTCTACTCCTGAGCAATTATCTTTCAATGTTGTCATTCTGTACTGCAGGTTATTGCTGGATGAGAGTCGAAGTGTCAGAAAATGTACCGTGCATTTTAAAATGAACTTCCGTGGCCTGTCCCAACACTGTAGGCTGCAGGGTTATAGGAGAGTTCTGTGGACACTTCTTTTATTATTTTGAAAAATATGGTCCAACATATTCTTTCACCAGAGAATTTGTTTTCCAGGATCAATGAGAATTTCATATACACTTGTTGATTTCTCTTTTTAAACATATTACTTTTCTTTAGTGAGTCCCTTTTTTTGTGGGTCGCATTTATTAAAACAGTTGCTAATTTCAGAACATTTCTTGCTTTCATTGTTTTGCCTTCAAATATTATAATGCTTGAGGGTAAGGCAATACACACACACACACACACACACACACACACACACCACACTTATATAAAATTTGTCATTCATCATGGAAGGACTCATGTCCACAGTCCATGCCAGCACTCCATAAAGAAGACTGTGAATGGCCCCTCAGCGCAACTGAGGTACAACAACCATGGGGCTCTCCAGAACATTGTCCCTGCTTCACCACCCTCTTGATGTCATCATATTTGGCAAGTTTTTCTAAAAAGCAGGTCAGGTCCATGACCGACACATCTGTGGTGGGGACATGGAAGGCCATGCCAGAGAGCTTCCCGTTCAGCTTGGAGATGACCTTCCTGCAACCTTGGCAGCACCAGTAGATGCAGAGGTGATAAATCTCTCTCTCTCTCTCTTCCTCTCTCTCTGTGTGTGTGTGTGTGTGTGTGTGTGTGCACAGACCATTGGTAGTTTTTAACATTTAAATTCTTTCTTTTCTTTTCTTTTTTTTTTTTTGATGTGGAGTCTCGCTCTGTGGCCCAGGCTGGAGTGCAGTGGCATGATCTTGGCTCACTGCAACCTCCACCTCCTGGGTTCAAGCAATTCTCTTGCCTCAGCCTCCTGAGTAGCTGGGATTACAGGCACGCACCACCACAGCCGGCTAATTTTTGTATTTTTAGTAGAGATGGGGTTTCACCATGTTGGTCAGGCTGGTCTTGAACTCTTGATCTTATGATCTGCCTGTCTTAGCCTCCCAAAGTACTGGCATTACAGGCGTGAGGCACCGCGCCCAGCCTACATTCTTTATTTTCTTGAACACCATGTTTGTCAAGAATTACATGGCACCACCTCATATTATCTTATGTTATAAAAGTAACATGATTACTTTGTAAATGTTTAGTAAAAAAAATTACCAATGATGTATATATATATATACACACACACTAATATATATATCGCATATATGCAACATATATATGTACACACACACATATATGAGTTTGGGGCAAAGCAATGGGAGCAATTGCTGTGGGTGCAGAATCAGATGAACCCTTCTAAGAACTTCTTCTTCATGGAGCAGCTCTGTCTTCCATGAGGAGAAATAAAAGAAATCCCAGCTTGCCAAGGAAGAAGCGGACATCAATTGCAAGGGCAGGGCAAGAAAGAAGAGTTGGCAAGGGAAACATACATAGAACATTTGTGCTGAGTGCAAGAGGATGAGGGTCAAGGGAAAGCACAGGAACACAAGGATCCCAAGTGCCAGCCTTAGTGTCATGAATGACTTGATAAAAAATGATTTGAACTGTTCTGTTGACAAGCATATCGTGAGTTTTCTCATCTTTCTTTTTGGGGATCCATCCAAAACCCAAGAAGACTCAAACTGAGTGTGACTATTGGCTAATACATAGTGGAGTAAGAAATTCCTCACCCACTTTCCTTCCCCTTACCTATGTAAGTCACGTCCACATAAAGTTCATCCGAGAAACTGCTTCCCATCTGGTTAGTGGCATTGACCATCATGATGTATGTCCTCCACATGGAGGTGTACTGCTTGCCAAAGTGGCAGGAGTTGGGGCCACCGGTTATGTAGTCTGGACATTCATGCATGAGTGTCTCTCTGCAATAAGTAATGTATTAGGAATGAATAAGAAAGTAATAAAGAGAGTCTAGTTTTTTTCTTCATAGATCAATACCACTGGCCTTTGGGTATCAGAAATTCCAAGCGCAAAACCCAGAGCTGACAAATGGTTCCTTAGGCTTCCATGTTCTGCCCATTTCAGCTGGGAGTGAGAGAGGGAAGAGCATGTTGGAAAGGTTATTTTAGGGCCTCAAGTATTCTTCTTCCATCAACCCTTCCTTTCTATAAGTGTTCTTGTGGGCTCGGGGACCTATATTCCCTGCTGATAAACACTCGAGCTTTCAATGGCCCAGGCACCACCATACCCAGGTCATGCCCATTGGGTTGCCTCAGGAAATTGGAACTTTCACCTGTCCACACACAGAGGGGTCATGCACAATGCAGCAGCTATTTCACATACGTGTTGAATTACTTTTCGTTTTTTAAAAAAGGGTTCAAGAGGACAAAAACTGATGTTGGTCCATTTCAGACTGCACCAAGTCAGCAATAAAGTGAAGTGACGTTGAGAGGAGGTATTTCAAGCCCACGTGGCTCAGTAGGCTGCTCACATTTAGACTCAGGAACCTCAGCTCAAGATACACTGCACAGGGGTGGAGGCTTGTTCAATTCTGGTTGCATCTGAGTTCCTGAAATCTGTTTACATGATGTCCCTTTGGATTTCAGCCGGGATGACAGTTTTGTGTACAACAAAGTGCAGTCATTGGAAAGTGGGCCAGCTGTCTCTACCAGCAACTAAATATTTTCCTTTCTGAAGAAGAATGCAGCTCTCCCATGATTTTCAGGAGGGTCTCACTGTCAGCGTAACAAAATGCTTGCACAGAGATGATCTGGTTTAGCCCTCATTTCAACCTTAGGTCCCAATATGTCTTCTAGGAGATGGTGGCTCTTGGATGAGCAATGTGCTAAGGAAAAAACCTCACCTTCTTTTCCCTACAAGGTTCTTTATTTTCTTGAACATGAAACAAGTTTGAAAACCTAATATACCACATTTGTCAAGGATTGTATGGTACCACTTCACACGATCCTACTTATTTTGCAAAAGTGACATGTTTAGTTAAAAAAAATACAAATGGCATAAGAATTATAGATGAGCATTTAAGATTAACTAGCAATTAAGAAACACTTCTATGGGGCCTCAGGCTGCAACCTAAGCTGTGAGAGGGGATTTGAAACATTACATCAATATTGGGTCCATTTAACCATTTGACCCTTCTGCTGGTGACAGAAACAGATTGATGGGACCCAAGCAAGTGATGAAGTCTCAGGGTGAGGAGACCTAGGGTGGATGCTCAGAAATGCCAAGCATCAGCATCCAGTAACACTGATATTGTACTGCTATGGCTGGTAACCTTATGTATATTGACACAGCTCTTAACAGACATTAACAGGAGAATGTGGGCATGGACCTTAGACTCCCCTTTCCCCGGTGGTATGAACCTTACTGGTGTAAATTCAGGGATGTGCTGTCACTCAGAACCAGTGTTTCTTTGGCCTGGAGAATGGGAGTACTCATGTGGGGTTTCATAGGAGAGAAGGGAACTTCTTACCCTTCCCTGTGGTAAGTCAGTGAATAATTGGTAGGAAGTCCTCCATCTGTCCCAGGCCTCCACCAGCAGGTGAATGTTTCCTTATTGGGAGAACGACATTTAAAGATCTCAGGTTTTCCAGGAGGTAACTGTCCTAGAAAAAGCCAGAAGCCACTGCATCAATATTGAGGTCCATTTAACCATTTGACCCTTCTGCTGGTGACAGAAACAGATTGATGGACCAAAGCCAGCGATGAAGTCTCAGGCTGAGGAGACCTAGGGTGGATGCTCAGGAATGCCAAGCATCAGCATCCAGCAACACTCCTCTGTGGGCTGCCCTGATGTTGGCATTGCTCTTAGAGAGCATTTTGCTGGTGTGTGTGTGTGTGTGTGTGTGTGTGTCTGTGTACTTTGAGATGGAGATAACAATAGCCTAGTGACCAACTGCAAAATTTCAACAAAGAATGAGCCTTGAATGCAAGATAGACACATATTGGTTGAAGAGTGTGTGGTGGCCCTTTTGTAATCCCACAAGGTCTGTAAAGCTGATACCCTCCCTCAGCCTAAGGGAACCATACAAAGAATCCTTCCCAGGTATGAGCAATCCGCAGACACTCTGGCAAAACACCGCTCTATGGCACTTCTCCACTCAGCTCACCAATCTCCATCTTTCTGCCATCCCCACACAATGAACTCAACTTGTTCCTGATCTTCTGTCCGTTCACTACATCGCTAAAGCTCCCTGTATCTGGGCATCCTTTCCTTCCTCTTTCCCCATCTTCTCCTTTCCTTCCCCTTTCCCTTCACTTTTTCTTGATTTTTTTTGGGATGGAGTCTCACTCTATCGCCCAGGCTGGAGTGCAGTGGTGCGATCTTGGCTCACTGCAACCTCCACCTCCTGGGTTCAAGCAATTCTGCCTCAGCCTCCTGAGCAGCTGGGATTACAGGTGCACACCACCACACCCGGCTAAGTTTTTGTATTTTTAGTAGAAATGGGGTTTCACCATGTTGGTCAGGCTGGTCTTGAACTCCTGACCTCGTGCTCTGCCCACCTTGGCCTCCCAAACTGCTGGGATTAAAGGCATGAGCTACTGCACCTGGCCACTTTTCCTTGATTTTATTCAGCTTTGATCTTGTGACCCAGACTCACAGTCTGTCTCCTCATCCACCCCATCCCCATTTCTGAATCTTGGTTTTTAGTCCTTTTTTTTCTCTTAGATTTTCCTCTCTTTCCTTTGTGTGTGTGTGTGTGTGTGTGTGTGTGTGTGTGTGGTGAGGTTGCAAAGGGCTTCCTTTGGATACGTAGGGCTTCAAGAGTGTGTGGCCCTTTTGTAATCCCATAGGGTCTATAAAACTATAATTTGATGGATCTTTTTGGGGTAGGAGGTGTGGTAAGAGGTAGGAGAGTAGCCAGCTCCTCTCCTGGTTCTGAGCAACCACTGTTATCTAAGAGCTGTACCCAGTTCCAGACTGGATGCTAGAAGGTCTCAGTGAGGTGGTGTGAAAATATAACACCAAGAGTGTAAAATTTTTTAGTTGCCAAATCCCCAAAGCTCTTGGCAAGCGGGCTCCCATTTCTCTTGCTTGGATGTCAGGTTCAAAGAGGGACAGCAGAGCCCTGGGAATTTGCCCTGATACTGTGGGGCTGGGAAGCCACCATGCTCGCCTACATGACTTCAGCTGATCCTCTTTTTTGTCTAGCTGGATGCCCTAGCATTGAGTTTAGGATATCAGGAGCAGAGAGGAGCGCTTTCAGATATGGGTCAGCACCTCCGGGGGTTCTCTCTGTTTTCTCCTCTACCCCTCATGCAGGCTCCAAGGCCAGAGTTTCTAGCTGAGCACCAGAGCAGAAACAGCAGGTTAGGAGGAGACCTCAGTGAGGAGAAATGCGTGGGAAGAGGATTCTCTAGGCAGAGCTGGCCAGAAAGAGGAATTTAGTGGAATGGCATGCTGTGGGACACAGGCTGGAGCCCAGGACACCAGGCTAGTAGTGTCAGCTGAAACTCACCTACCCTCCTGCTCACAGGCCCTGCTAAAACCCGTCCTTGCCAGCCCGGGTCAGCTCTGCCAATATTTGTAACATTGCTCATCCTCTAGGAACAATTTATTCAGGATAATGTGTTGCTGGGAGTTACAGCAAGAATGCAAGTTTTTGTTTTGCTTTGCTTTTGTCATGAGTGGGGAGAAGTGTGTGAAGTAGAAAGAAAAGTTTATTTAAAAAGTTTAAAGCCTATGGTTCCATAATGAGCACACTCGGAAGCCAATTAGGGTGATCATTGATTTCTTGAGTATTTAGTTTCTCTTGTGGGTCATTCTGACCTCTGCTTTCCCCTTTTTCTCTCTCTGAAAGCTTCTCTTTCTTATTTTACTGTTTATTAATAGTACCTTCAGGAAGCTCAAGAGAGGAGGGTAGATTTGTAAAATTACAATTAGACAAATGTTTCCTTCATCTGCATTAGAGGAACAAGTTAACATTAATGGACTTTCTCAATGCACAGAAACACGGAGAAAACCACACAGGAACCACATATACAGGTATGTAGATGCCCACACAGAGCCCGCATCAAAAGTACACACACCACACACACACACAAAAATATACACAGGTGCATACTCATGGAAGTACATACTTGTATGCACACAGGTACCTGCAGAGAAGTGTGCACATACGGATATACACAGAACACACACAGACATACATAAAAGTATATACATACAGGTTCAGACAGAGAGACATTTGAAATCAGGTCCATATAGAAAAGTTAATATATACACAGGTACATATAGAAGTCTGCACACCCAGAAATGCACATGGGTTGACATACAGAAGTGTATAGTCACAGGCACCCACCCTCTCATTTAGCTGTGGACTTCATTTCTCCTGTTAGCACAGATAATAGAGTCGGCTGTACCTGCTTCCCGCCATGTAACAGCAACCTCTTATATCCCATTATGGTTTTTTAAAGAGTTTTCATATACATTATTTCATCTGCAGTAGAGGAAACATCACTGTCCTCACTTTGAGAATTTGGAAACCCAGAGAGTTAGGTAATTGGCTCTAGGTCACACAGCTAGAAACTGGCAGGACCTGGATTAGAACTCAGGTCCTGTCTTCTTCAGAGCTGTTTCATTACACTCCTGAAATGAGGACAAAAGGCAGAGAGCACAGTGACAAGATTTTGCATTAATTGCATTAATTTTTCTGCATTAACTTTAATGCAAAATATTGCAAATAATTTAACAGCAGCACATAACACAGCATTTTCATTTTTCATAATGGCATTGCAAGAAGACTGCATGGACTCTCCACCCTGTTGACAAACACCCCAGGCAATGAAAGAGAGCGTGATAGCCTCTTACTTACCATTCAGAAGGCAGGTGTTGAGAAAAAGTAGCAGAGTGAAAACGGTTGCAGATGCCACATTTTCCTTCATGTTGGCTGCCTTCTCTTGCTGCAGGAAATGTATCAGAAGTTCACTGGAAGAGAAGGTAGCAGGTAACTTTTGTGAAATGGCAGTCTGGTCAGGCACATCCACCACTTTATTCTGGGTATTTGCAACTGATTGTTGCTCCTTGCTTAATGTGAATGACAAAATAGGAGGAAAGGAATGTAGGAAAATGTAACAGGGTTGGATGGCTTGGCACAGAAACATCAATTCACACACGCTGGGAAAATTTCCACCACCAGAGGTCCTCAGATGACAAGGTAGAGAGTTCAAGGGGCAGCAAGGCAGTCAGTTCCTTTGCACACACCCCAGAGAAAAATTGTTCTCTTTCCACCCCATAGCCACCTAACAATATATCATCCATCTTATGTAACATAGATTGTATGTCCTATGGGAGAATCCTACGAGGGCTCTTGCTCTGGTCCATCAGCCAAAAATTGTCCAGGCTGAAAAGTCAGTACCCTCAGTACAATCTCAACATAACCATGCTGATTCCACCAAATTAGGGAGGCTTTGAAGGTTCAAGCTGAGAAGGTTCTGGAAGTCTTCTGGGTTATATGCATTACCGCAAAGCGAACCACACAATGCACTCTAGTGAACCTCCACGTGGTTTCTTTCTCCTGTTTGGAAAGCCCCATAAACAAAAGGTAATAAATTCTGGTAATAATTTAAATTCCTTGGGTTCAGAGTATTAAGTAAATTCTGAACCTGCAGGGGTTGGGAGTTTGGAATAATTTATTATTAATACTAATATTATTACCCTTGGAACAACGTTCAAAGCCTCTAAATGGCCTTGTAAGAAAAAAGGATTTTTAAAGACATTTGGAAAAAAAGGCTCATTAGTCTTGTTGGACTTCAAACAACTGAGAAAACAATAGATTTAATGAACTAAGTGTAAATTCTTAGAAATGCACGGCCTAAATTTCTCTTTAAATTTTTATTGTTTCATTTTGTTGTTGTTGTTGTTGTTGTTGTTTTAATCAAGGGAAGAACATTCAGGATCAAAGCTGCCGATCTTGGGACATTTGAAACGTCTGAGTGTGTTTGATGAGCCCCTGAAAGACCAGCTTTTGCTACTGCTCCTTGTGGGACGTACTCAGACATGGAGAAACGATAGCAACAGTAGAGGTTTGGGCACCCAGGTACCATCAATTAGCTCTTTTTTTTTTTTTTTTTTTTTTTTTTTTTTTTTTTTTGAGACAGAGTCTCGCTCTTTCGCCCAGGCTGGAGTGCAGTGGCGCGATCTGGGCTCACTGCAAGCTCCGCTTACTGGATTCACGCCATTCTCCTGCCTCGGCCTCCCGAGTAGCTGGGACTACAGGAGCCCCCCACGATGCCCGGCTAATTTTTTTTGTATTTTTAGTAGAGACGGGGTTTCACCGTGTTAGCCAGGATGGTCTCGCTCTCCTGAACTCGTGATCCACCTGCCTCGGCCTCCCAAAGTGTTGGGATTACAGGCGTGAGCCACCGTGCCCGGCCAAGTAGCTCTTTCATAATGAGGCTCCAGCTTCAGTAAAGGATCCCGGTCCAGTGGTGGATCCTGTGAGGTGACCCGTATTTTGTTCTTTTGGGGACCTTCTACCTGCTCCTACAAGATTCCTTCCAAGCAAATGCCCTCCCAGGGTGCACTTTCTAAATCACCCACTGCATCTCACCCCTGAGGGTCATCTAATTAAAATCAAGTGGTTAAAGACTCCTACTGGGTTTAAAATAATGCCTAACACTTCTGGAGCATCTATTATGGGCAGGCACTGGGGAAAGTTAAGTACCTTAATCATGTAAATTTCATTTTGTCATCACAACAGCCCCGTGAGCAGCTACAGGTTTTAACAGATGAGCAAATGGAAGTACAGAGATTTAGTAGATTGTCAGTCAAATGCCCATGGGGGAAAGATACTTGGGAAACCTGAGAGCCACTGAGAGATCATCCTGACTTGTGGAAAGTCTGTGATGGGGGTGCAATTATTCCCCCTCTGTGGGAGAGACGGTGGAGACAACAGCCACTGACCCACAGTGAGCAACATCAAGCCTTGGGTGAGTGTGGCATTCTGAGTAGGGGCAGGAGAGCCAGAGCCGAGAGAGGCCTTCTCAGCTACTGCCCTACTTACGCCCAAGGACCTTAAATACTGTTGATCTCATGAATCCAGCCTCATTAGGTACATATAGCCCCAAATAGTTCTTTATCCTGCTGATCTGGTGATCTCAGCCTGGCTTAGAGATGAGAGTCTATCCACTGGCTGAAGACTTTCTATAATATCCCTTTATTGAGACTTCCTTTCTCTTTTGGGCGTTGCACTAACATGCTTAAGATCAACATGCTATAAATCAGACCTTCCTGGTGAGGTTGGGTGCTATCTAGAGAGCTTTGTCGAAGCAGGGCTCCATGCGTTTTGCAAAAGAAACTCTGGGATGGGAAGCAGAGTGGGTCAGGCAGCAGTAGATATTAGATATTGTCATCTGCTTACATGTTCTCATGTGCTAGTACAGGATCAAAGAAACTCTCCTAAATAAAGTTTTCCTATAATAATGTCTTCAGGAAGTATTCTATGAATGAAAAAAAGCTTCCCTTTGGGATTTCCTGAGACACATCCTGGAATCTAGTTACTATTATGCACTTTCTAATGCCTAAAACCCCCATGCCAGGGAATTAGACATACTCACAGTGGTGTCACGGTTGTGTTTCAACAGTGATTTTCCAACTCATCCTGCATTTTCTTCCCAGGAAGGCAAACATAATGGAGGTAATTTAACCTTTAGAGAAAGACAATCACAACTTCTCACCCCTAAAGGGGCTATGCTAAATGTTAATTAACTCTGAACACACAAGGAGATGCTTCTCAGCACTAGGCACATCTCTTGTTTATCCACCGACCTTTTTTTTTCTTTTTATGGCTGGCAGACACTAAGCTGGGGATAAATTAGGTTTTTGTCTCTCTGAGTCCACCCTGCATTGCACTCAAGATCTTGATCGAGGGCAGGCGTGGCCCTTCTTATTCTCTCCCAATTGGGACTGGAATATCCAATGAGGGGCCTCATCTTTTTAAGATGTTATAGCAGCAAATGGCTCCAAATATTTGCAGTTCAGTTAGCAAAAAGTCAGCCCCACACATCCTGGGGACTATCATCTTAGGCATCACTCCTCAGCAGCTCCTTGGTTTTGACTGAGGGTTAAAAATGCAAGTGGTGGATCTGAAGAGCAGGTTTATAGCAAGTTTGCAGCCCCCACACCTTGCCTGTGGCTAGCTGCCTTGGTTTCCTTGCTTCCCAATCTTCAAAGACTCTCTTACCCTTAAGCTCCTCCCCTTACCATATGCAAATATGCCTTCCCACCACACTGTGGCCCACCGTGGTATGAACGCCAAGAAAAGTCCCTTCTCCCTTGTGTTGCTTGGCATCAATGCTGATCCTGTTTAGGCCCTCTCTTTCCAAAAGCCTCTCTTCATTCTCCCTTCCATTAAGCCAAGTCTCTTCCACGTAGGCCAACAGTTGAGAAAAAGGTCCAGCAGCTTGTGCTTTTGAGAAACTAGAGCCAGTCTCCCTACATGGAAAATCGGGGCCACACTCCCATGGCCTGGGCTGACCATACTATCCACATTAGGAAGGGAATAACATAGGAGAGGAGGCAGTGTGGCCTCATGAGAGTTAAAAATAAACCAGATCTGAGCTCCCAACATACCACTCCCCACTGTCAACCCCTCATCCTCTGCAATACCCTCTCTTAGACTTCACCTTTATGTTCTGGCCTATGCAGTCCCCAAGCCAATCCTGCCTGCCAGCAATCTCAGCCCTACCATTCTGTGGAACTTGCTCCCAAGACTGGTATCTGGTGATCCCCCTGAGTACAGTCCCCAACCTGTCCTGCTGTATCTGTTGCTGCAACCTTCTACTCAGGTTTTTGACTCAGTTTTCCTAACTCCAGAAATGGACCTACCATTAGGGTCCAGAAATGGACCCTGCCATCCCTGTTAGGCAGGGATTCTGAGGTTCTTTTTAGCTCTTGCAAACTCAGTTCCTGGATAATCAAGCAAGGCCCAATCCAACATTTGAACTTTAGACTATCATACATATGACATGCACAAATTGTAAGTACAGTCATGTGCCACATAATGACATTTCAGTTAATGATGGACCATATATATGATGGTGGTCCCATAAGATTATAATGCTGTATGTTTACTGTTCTTTTTCTATGTTTAGATATATTTAGATACACAAACACTTACCATTCTGTAACAATTGCCTACAGTATTCAGTTCTGTGACAGCTGTATAGGTTTGTAGCCTGGGAGCAATAGGCTATGTCATCTAGCCTAGGTGTGTAGTAGGCTATACAATCTAGGTTTGTATAAGTATACTCTATGATGTTGGTACAACAATGAAATCTCTTGACACATTTCTCAGAACTTAGCCCTATCATGAAGCGACACTTATGACTGTATTCTGCTCAATGAAGTATCACAAAAAGAATATATCTATGTTACCACTCAGGTCAAGAGATTAACCACCAGTAGCACCCCAGAAATCCAACTTGCAACTCCTCCCAATCTCTACCTACTCCTTCCTGATAGAAACCATTCTTCCCACTTCTAACAGTACAGATTAATTTTACCTACCTTTGAACTTTATATAAATAGGATCATACAACATGCATTTCTTGAGTGTGTGTGTGTGTGGCTTCTTTCATTTCACATGGGTGTAGGATTCATCCTTGTTGTTACATGTAGTTTTACATAATTCATTTTCATTTCATCTCATTCATTTTCATTCATGTTATATTGAATGAAATACCATAACTCATTTATTCATTCTACTGTGTTGATGGACATTTGAGTTGTTTCCAGGTTTTGGCAAACTTTGGGTTTTGCTGAGATTGATCAAAACTCGAATGGCAGGGAAGCCCTGTGCATTTCATAATCACTCTGTGCTACCCGCCATATCTCCTGTTAACCTAAATTAAATTTCAAGTGCTTTTTTTGTCCTAAAAAGGCAAAAAGTCTCATTTCTTGCAAACAAATTTTGAATACATTCATCCGTTGTTTTCAGTATTAGGCATTGTGTTAAGGGCTTCCTTCGGGGTCCTTGGCCCACTGGGTTTCCTTACCTGCCTTGTTCTACCTGGGTTAGATGGCCTGAGGCTAACATAACAGGGAGAAAACCTCACATCAGGTACCATTTGATTTCCAGGAGTTGGGCTTTTTTTTTTTTTTTTTTTTTGAGACGGGGTCTTGTTCTGTTGCCCAGGCTGGAGTGCAGTGGCATGATCACCGCTCACTGCAGCCTGGACCTCCCTGGGTCAGGTGATTCTCCCACCTCAGCCTCCTGAGTAGTGGGGACTAGAGGCACGAGCCACCAACACCCAGCTAATTTTTGTATATTCTGCAGTGATGGGGTTTTGCCATGTTGCCCAGGCTGGTCTCAAACTCCTGAGCTCAGGAAATTTACCCGCCTTGGCCTCCCAAAGGTCTGTGATTACAGGCATGAGCCACTGCACATGGCAAGAAGTTGGAGTTTTCTTTCCAGTACAGAATGCCAACACTTAATCTGGAAAGTAAAGGACATAATGTGCTCAGGGCGGGAAGAGGAACAGCAGGGATTAGATATTACATACCAGGCTAAAGATTAAGACTGTTATACAAGCTCTGCCCAATGTCAACAGTCAATGATTGTGAATAAATGAAGCCCAAAAGGTGAAGAAAACAGAAAAAGATTCTAAGACATGGGACAAAACTCTGCATATAGGAAGACTGGTCCCACGCTGGTATTTCAAACACTAGACTTACAGCCAGCATAGTTTTCAGTATTTGACAGGGGAATCTAAAGAAGTTTTAAGGAGAACATGGCAGCCGCTCTTTCAGGAAGACATTGAAAACTGAGGATATAGTGCCAAGAGAACCCTGGCCTGCAGGTGGGGAGATGAAAGTTCCAGCTGTTCTTGCTCTGCCAATAATTAGCTTCACACAAACATGTGCCCACAATGAATGTTTATCTGCCCATAGTCCAGGCAGCATATCTATGCATTTGTCTGTGAAAGTTCACAAGAGGACACTTGCTCGTGTGGTCATTCATTATTATTTTTTTATCATCACCATTATCCAGTTTACATTTTGCTGTTTCTTGAGCAGGTTTCCATCTTGTACCCTGTTTTGAGGTACCCATTGGGGAAAACATCCAGAACTTTCCATAGTGAATTACTTTTATATAAAACGTTTATCACCTGGCAGTTTAGTCAGGTGAACGTAATTAGAAGTAGTTTAGAGGCTGCTGTAAAGTGTTCACCTCTGATTCCAGATATTCCCCTGCCCCTCTCCTAGAAATCCCAAAGGTTCCACTGAGGAAAGAACTTCCTGAAGACTCTGCACTCTGTGAAGATCATCAAGAGGAGCGCATGTGCTGTGCATGGTGATGGCTGCATTTGGTGAGAGGTAGATGATCAGCAGAGATAGGATTTGTCTAAACGAGAGCTGACTTAGACCTTGGGCCACTCAGGAATACCTGTGAAGAACCATCTCCTGGCTTCTAACCTAGTCAGGGCAAATTACTCCAATACGATATATGTGCCTTTGCACTGGAGTCACTTTAATAACACAGAACACCGATGCTTCCCCATGGCTGGAAGTATTGCTTCCAAATCTAATCACATTAACTCCACTCACTCACTACAGCTTCCTCATCCTAGCAACATCTTTTATCCCAAGGAGGCTTGTTTTCGAGCAGTCTTTTTGGCTTAAAGGCAAGAATAGGAATTGGATGAGTTTCAATTTCCCCCAGCCAGTGCACATGTAGGACAGATGGTGGAAAACCCACGTTGGCCTGATTTTCAGAGGAACTAGTCCCTCATGAGATCATCAATCAGTTACTAACAATCAAAAAACACCCATAAATCATACATTATGTTTTGCAGTTTACAGAGCTGTTCTATAGACATCAGTGGTTTCTAATCCAGGATTCCCATTACAGTCCAAGGAGTGTCTTAAAATTTCTTTTCTTTACTTTCTTTTTTTTTTTTTGAGACAGAATCTTGTTCTGACACCCAGGCAGGAGTGCAGTGACACGATTTCAGCTCACTGCAGCCTCTGCCTCCCAGGTTCAAGTGATTCCCCTGCCTTAGTCACCAGAGTAGCTGAGATTACAGATCTGCACCATCACGCCTGGCTAATTTTTGTATTTTCAGTAGAGACGGGCTTTACCATGTTGGCCAGGCTGGTCTTGAACTCCTGGTCTCAAGTGATCTGCCCACCTCAACCTCCCAAAGTGCTGGGATTACAGGCGTGAGCCACTGTGCCCGGCCTTAAAATTTTTCATTTCTTTGTTTTGTCCCTGGACATTCTCACTAATTGGCTCAGAATTGAGCCCACTTGGAAGGACATGGGCATTTTAAAAAAAACCTTTCTAGATGATTCTAAATTAAAGCTGGGGTTGAAAACCACTGACTTACATGCTATCACCTGACACGTAAATTCTCTGAGTCCTCTAAGGCAGCCTTCCTCCTGATAACAGCTGACTCAGCATGCTCCCCATATAACACCTCCAATAGGAGGCAACTTTATCTCACAAGCCTCCCATGTTCTCAGACCTGTGTGCCAATAAAATCAGCAAACCCTTGTATAGAATACACTTATAAATACATAAAAACATGTATAATATCACACATGAAATGTTTATATGTGATCCACTGCATGCCAGGCACTGTTTTGTTAACTCGCTTCACCCTCACAAGAAGCCTGAGGTGTAGGTATTATTATTATTCCTTTCTAACAGATGAGGACACTGAGGCCCAGAGACGGTCTGCGAGTTGTCCAAGGTCACACAGCTAGTGAGTTGTCCAAGGTCACACAGCTAGTGAGTTGGATATGGAGGAAGAGGAACTCAGGATTTGATCTCTGGGGTCTGTGCTAACTATCACACTTTCAAACGTGCAATGACCCTCCTTCAAGGAGCTCCAGAAGTACAAAATCCATGCTGGCTGTGAGGAGTGGGGACAGGTCAGAGGACCTTGGGGTCGTAGATTCTGAGTCCTCTAAGGCAGCCCTCTTCCTAATAATGGCTCACTCAGCATGCTCCCCCAATCCAAAGGCAGGTCTGATGCTGAAGGCTGTGGGAACCGGGGAGAGCTCTTCAATAGCAGTAGGTATTCCTGGGGCATCATGCCTGGGCACCACTGCCTACTTCAGATCATATGTGTCAAGATCTTTGGAAAGGGGGGCCCTAGGAAGGGGATTTTTAACAAGCACTTAGATGATTCTTATCACGCTCAAGTTTTGGAGCCTGAGCTCAAGCTGAGAGGGGCAGGAAAGGAAGATGCAGTGGAGGAGGCAGAGTGGCTTCCTCTCTACGGGAAATGTTGTATTTAGAACTTAGATAGAGGCATTGGGGGTGTGATCTGTTGGGTTATTGTCCCCAACTATTTGCTTCCTCCCAGCCATAGGATTGCATATTCCTACCCACTGTCATGGGAGGTACTCGTGCATTCTGTGAGAGGAGTACATATCCCACCTCAATCACTTTGGACTTGGCCATGTGAAAAGCTATGGCCCATGGGATGTGAATGGTCGTGATGTTTTTTGCCGTGTTTAACCTGAAGCTTAAATGCAACTGGATGGTTTGTCTTAGGTCTCCTTGCTTTTGTTCTCCACTGCCCTTAGGATGTCACAGATAGTGTCTATACCCTTCGTTTGGGTTTTAAAATGAGAAGACAGGTGGAGCCCCACTGAGAGCCCAGCTGAACCCAGCCAATTCTAGCAGAGCCACAGCCAATCTGCTGCTGACTCACAGTCCCCATGTAAAGTGAGCGGAGAGTAAATGTTGTTCTAAGCCACAGAGATGTCACGGTTGTTTGTTTGTTACTAATTGCAAAACTAATACAGGGCAAGAGTAGGAGGAGGACATAAGTTTTGCAAGACTTCAAACAAGATTATTTTTTCACAGATGGAGCTCTGTGTATATTATATACGTGTGTGAATGTGCTGTTCATCCAAACACAAAATAACTTTACTTTGCCATAAAAGTCACTACTGTATTCATAACAACTTTGTCTATTGTTATATATTAATATCTAGAAACTCAAGCTTTGAAGGTGAGAAGGAAAATTAAAATAAAACATAAATTATTGGCATACTGGCACTGCTTATTTGTCTCAGGGGGAAGGGAACATCAGGGGAATCATACAGAATCATTACAGAATCATGGGATTTTGGATCTTTAAGGGGCCCAAAGACTTGAAAGGTATTCTAATTCAACCCCTCACTTTAACACATGGGGAAACTGAGGCCTGGAAAAATGAAGTGCCTTGGCCAAATGCCTTGTGGGAGAATCTTTGGAGCTTGAGGATGGGCACAACTGAGAACACTGACAAGTCTAAGAAAAAACTCTCAAGAATGTTGCTAAATGTATTTTCCCACTCTTATTCCTGCTTTCCCTACCCTCTCAGAACCTTGGAATACATTCATAGGAATAGTAAAAACATCAGATGTCCATCAGAATTTGGTTTTCTTTTCCTTTCTGGCCACACAGTTAAAGTTACTTCATTGCTTCCCCTGTCGTTAGATGAGGTCAGGTGATGAAGTGGTGGCCTCTGAAAGTGGGTAGAAATAACACACAGTAACGCACTGAATGACAAACTTTGCCCACTGTAGACTGCATATATGGTGGTGGTCCTATAAGATGACAATGGGGCTGAAAAGTTCCTATTGCCTAGTGATGTCAGGGCCATTCTAACATCGTAACGTAATGCTTTACGCCGTGTTTGTGGTGACACTGGTGTAAACAAATCTACTGCACTGCTAGTCGTATAAAAGTAGAGCGCATACAATTATGTGCAGTATATATACTTGATAATAACTATGTTACTGGTTTGTGTATTTACTATACTATACTTTTTATTGTTATTTTACAGTGTACTCCTTCTACTTATTAAAAAAAGTTAACTGTAAAATAGCCTCAGGCAGATCCTTCAGGAGGTATTCCAGAAGGCATTGTTGTCATGAGCTGACAGCTCCGTGCATGCTATCATCCTTGAGGAACTTCAAGTGGGACAAGATGTGGAGGTGAAAGACAGCAATAGGGACGATCCAGACACTATGTAGTTCTAGGCTAATGTGAATGTTTGTGTCTTAGTTTTTAATGAAAAAGTTTAAAAAGTAAAACAAAAAAACTTTTAAAAATAGAAAAAAGTTTATAGTATAAGCATATAAAGAAGGAAAATGTTTCTGTACAGCTGAACAATGTGTTTGTGTTTTAAGCCAAGTATTATTACAAAATAGTCAAGGCCAGGCACGGTGGTTCACGCCTGTAATCCCGGCACTTTGGGAGGCTGAAGCGGGCAGATCATGAGGTCAGGAGTTTGAGACTAGCCTGGCCAACATGGTGAAACCCCGTCTCTACTAAAACTACAAAAAAAATTAGCTGGGCCTGGTGGCTGGCATCTGTAATCCCAGCTACTTGGGAGGCTGGGGCAGGAGAATCATTTGAACCTGGGAGGCGGAGTTTGCAGTGAGCCGAGATTTGCAGCGAGCCATTGCACTGCAGCCTGGGCGACAGGGCGAGACTCTGTCTCAAAAAAAAAAAAAAAAAAAGTCAAAATGAGTTTAAGAAAGTTTATAAAGTTAAGTTACAGCAAGCTAAGGTTAATTTATTACTGAAGAAAAAAATTTAAAAAAAATTTGGTGTAGCTTAAGTGTACAGTGTATATAAAGTCCACAGTAGTGTACAGTAATGACCCAGGGCTTCACATTCAGTCGCCACTCATTCACTGACTCACCCAAAGCAACTCCCAGTCCTGCAAGCTTTATTCATGGTAAGTACCCTTTACAGGTGTACCATTTTAAAAAATCTTTTATACTGTGTTTTTACTATACCTTTCCTATGTTTAGATACACAAATACTTACCATTGTGTTACAATTGCATGTAGTATTCGGTAAAGTAAAATGTTGTATACGATTGTAACCTAGGAGCAATAGGCTATCCCATATAGCCTAGGTGTGCAGCAGATTATCCCATCTAGGTTTGTGTAAGTACACTTTATGATGTTCAAGCAACAACAAGATAACCTAAGGATGCATTTCTCAAAAAGTATCCCCATTGTCAAGCGATGCATGACTGTACTTCTAGCCTAGTCCTGGTCTTTAAAGCTTTTTACATATTCCCCCCTCTATTTCTCTCTCCTCCATTACTGGCCTGAAGAAGATGAAATTGAGGACTGTGAGGTCCTAAAAGCTCAGTACAGCCAACAGATGAAAGGCTCTTGAGTTCATGCTGACCACCAGCAAACTGTCACATGGGTGAGAAATAAACCTTTGGCTGTTGTGCTCTGAGCTAAGAGGCTGGGTGTTATAATGGCTAGCTTTATTTAGTTGGGCAAATCTAGGGACAATCCAGAGACAACCAGTACAGCCTACTGCAGATGGTAACTACTACATTTAACCAAGTAGAAGAGCAGTGATTAAGACGGAAGCCTCCAACGCCTGACCCACTGCCATTGTCCCGTCTGGAATACCATCATCAAAGTTCCAGAACAATCTCAGTTTGGCTTCATCTACATATTCAGCCCCCTACACTGTCACCTGTAAACATGTCTACAGGTGTTCAACAACACCTGTTGGGTGACTATTTTTATAAAGTCATATAGAATGCAGTATTCTCATGTACAGATCCACGGAAACAGCACTTGGCCTTGAGTTGTGCAACTCTTTTCCATTAATCAACAGGCTCTCCATATTCCTAAGGGATAGGTTCTGAGACCTTCTTGATTCCTCCAGTAACCTCTTTGTGTGCATTAATTTGAACTCAAGGGCAGATGGATGATGAAGCCCACTGAGATGTGGCTGCAAGGTGGTTGGGTTAGTAGCTGAAGTGAATAAAAATCGCAATATCAGAAATCAAGGAAATGTGGAGACTTCAAGAACTGGGACAACCTCCATTGTGAAATCTTCAACTAGCAAGGCAATAATAATTCTCAGCCCATTCTTCCTTTTCCTTCATAAATGCACACAATTAAAACATATTTTTCTGGCATCATCATGTCTAAATATCTAAAGCACACCCTTTCAGGAATGAAAACACATATATATATAAAAACATACATATATAAATATAAAACATATATAAAACATATATATAACATATATACATATAAAACATAAATATACCTTATAAAACATATATATAACTTATAAATAACATATATATGTTTTATATATTATATATATATATATTTTTGAGATGGACTCTTGCTCTGTCACCCAGGCTGGAGTACAGTGGCGCAATCTCGGCTTTCTGTAACCTTTGCCTCCCAGGTTCAAATGATTCTCCTGCCTCAATCTCTGGAGTAGCTGGGATTACAGGTGCGTGCCACCATGCCCAGCTAATTTTTTTGTTTTTTTAGTAGAGACAGGGTTTCACCCTGTTGGCCGGGGTGGTCTCCATCTCTTGACCTCGTGATCTACCCGCCTCGGCCTCCCAAAGTGCCGTGATTACAGACGTGAGCCACCACGCCCGGCCAAACTTTTAATCTATTGGGTGCACACTTCTAAAAATGAGGCGCTTCTCTGATTTCCTAATTGAAACTTTTTATGGAGTACTGGGGTCATTTATGAACATAAAAATTATGGTGTGATATGGTGGATATAGGATGTGCTCAGCTGCTCCTAGAGATCAAGGCTTGTTGCCAAAATCAAATGCCTAGGACTTGAGCATTTTAAGATTCTGAGTCTTCTTTTTATAGCCTCCTTCCCTCGCTCCATCCTTTTGCCCATCTCTCCTCTCTCCTTTCCTTTTTAGTGTCTTTTTCTCTTTCTTTTTCCTTTTCTTTTCTTTGCTTTTCTTTCCTTTCCTGTCCCATCCCGTCCCGTCCCGTCCCGTCTCCTCTCCACTCCTCTCCTCTCCTCTCCTCTCCTCTCCTCTCCTCTCCTCTCCTCTCTTTTCTTTTCTTTCTTTGACGGAGTCTTGCTCTGTTGCCCAGGCTGGAGTGCAGTGGCCCAATCTTGGCTCACTGCAACCTCCAATGCCCGGGTTCAAGAAATTCTCCTGTCTTAGCCTCCCGAGTAGCTGGGACTACAGGCACACACTACCATGCTCAGCTAATTTTTGTGTTTTTAGTAGAGATGGGGTTTCACCATATTGGTCAGGCTGGTCTCGAACTCCTGACCTCAGGTGATCCACCTGCCTCGGCCTCCCAAAGTGCTGGGATTACAGGCGTGAGCTGCCACGCCCGGCTTTTTTCTTTTTTAATGTCTTTTTCTTTACATTCAATTTAACAGCTAATAGTTCTCACTTTTGTTAGCTGACTCCCTTCTAGATCACTCAAGATAGTTTCTTCTAGCCCCTTCCACTCTATTGTTGCTTCTGATCTGATGTGAATTAAAAAACCCAATAACTAAATTTTAGAAAATTAAGGTGGTTTCAAATAAGAATAACTAGGTTCTGAGTGATGACTGAAGGAATTTCCTACCAAACCTGTAGGTAAATAGATTTTGTTATATCTATTTTGCTCAAAAACCTATTTACCTTGCTTCCTGGATCTCATATATGTTCCAGATAGTTAAGGTTGCTGGATAGGTGAGTTTTAAATAGTGATGCATTTCTGTGTCCCAAAGTAAGACTACTGAACTTAGAAAAATATGGTATAGTATGTTTAACATTTTAAAAGGTAAGCGCTATTGTCAATTATAAAAGGCTCTCTCTTTTTCTTAATAAGTCCTCCATACCACTAGTGCATATCAGCAAAGGGTACAGCTAACTCCCCGTTGGTTGCTAGGCTTCCTGGGCCAATGGAAGTAGAGTGGGCTTCTGCAAATGTCTGCACATTTGGCCACTAGAATATTGGCTTGGCAGATCCCAGTAAATCTTCATTGACTCACTGCTTTACAATAAAAAGAGCATCACTTTGTACAGCATATAATCAATGATGTGTCTTCCAAACATTCCTCTCTGAAATCATTAATGTTTAAAAAAAGAGATTGGGAAGTCAAAACTCAAAATGTTAGTCAATTTCTTTTTATCTGTGTAAACACTCTTCTTAGTAGTTTACCCATGATGGTTTTTCATCCTTGGCCTAGAAAACATCCTATTGTCACATATCCATGCCTCTACACTCAGTTTGGGAGACAGAAATTAATATTACCATAAGAACAATAGAATTTGGAAGGGAAGTTTGATGCTTTGCCAATGCTCTCAATTATAGCAATTGCCAGTTTATTTGCAAGTCAAAATATAAATGGCTTGGGATGCTTTCATGGGTGTGCCTAAGCAGAAGGCCTGACAAACATCTGAATGTGTTTTTGAATGTCTTTGATTGCCTAAAAGATCCTATTATAATATTTTCCTTTTTTTTTTAAAGCTGTGTAAGTGCATGTGCCCAGGCGAACAGAGCCCAAGTAAGGCTAGTGGGTCAGTATGGGGAGAGCAGTAGATTGTGTTCACTTTTATATCCCGTACAGTTCAAAAGAGGGGTTCCCTGCTTAGCACAAACGTTCTGAGAACACAGTAGCACTTAGCTCCTTACAGAATGAAGGATGAGTAACCAGGCAGGGCTGCCTCTAAATGGCAGCCTTCACTCTCACCCTCCGTCCACATGTAGGGCACACTGAACTGTATGTCACTTGAGGTATTAATAAGAGCAAGGATAGGGGTTCCAAGACGGCCAAATAGGAACAGCTCCAGTCCACAGCTCCCAGCGTGAGCAATGCAGAAGACGGGTGATTTCTGCATTTCCAACTGAGGTACCGGGTTCATCTCACTGGGGCTTGTTGGACAGTGGGTGCAGCCCACGGAGTGTCAGTGGAAGTAGGGGGGTGCATCGCCTCACCCGGGAAGTGTAAGGGGTCGGGAAATTCCCTTTACTAGCCAAGGGAAGCCGTGACAGACAGTACCTGGAAAATCGGGACACTCCAACTCTAATACTGCACTTTTCCAATGGTCTTAGCAAATGGCACACTAGGAGATTATATCCTGCCCCTGACTCGGAGGGTCCTATGCCCACGGAGCCTCGCTCACTGCTAGCACAGCAGTCTGAGATCGAACTGCAAGGTGGCAGCAAGGGTGGGGAAGGGGCGTCCACCATTGCTGAGGCTTGACTAGGTAAACAAAGAGGCCAGGAAGCTCGAACTGGGTGGAGCCCACTGAGCTCAAGGACGCCTGCCTGTCTCTGGATACTCCACCACTGGGGGCAGGGCATAGTGGAAAAAAAGGCAGCAGAAACTTCTGCAGACTTAAATGTACCTGTCTGACAGCTTTGAAGAAAGTAGTGGTTCTCCCACCGCGGAATTTGAGATCGGAGAACAGACAGACTGCCTCCTCAAGTGGGTCCCTGACCCCCGAGTAGCCTAACTAGGAGACACTTCCCAGTAGGGGCCGACTGACACCTCATACACGCAGGTGCCCCTCTGAGACGAAGTTTCCAGAGGAAGGCTCAGGCAGCAACATTTGCTGTTCTGCAATATTTGCTGTTCTGCAGCCTCTGCTGGTGATACTCAGGCAAACAGGTTCTGGAGTGGACCTCCAGCAAACTCCAACAGACCTGCAGCTGAGGGTCCTGACTGTTAGAAGGAAAAACTAACAAACAGAAAGACATTCACACCAAAACCGCATCTGTACATCACCATCATCAAAGACCAAAGGTAGATAAAACCACAAAGATGGGGAGAAACCAGAGCAGAAAAGCTGAAAATTCTAAAAATCAGAGTGCCTCTTCTCCTCCAAAGGAATGCAGCTCCTCGCCAGCAATGGAACAAAGATGGACAGAGAATGATGTTGACGAGTTGACAGAAGTAGGCTTCAGATGATTGGCAATAACAAACTTCTCTGAGCTAAAGGAGGGTGTTCAAACCCATCGCAAAGAAGCTAAAAACCTTGAAAAAGATTAGATGAATGGCTAACTAGAATAAACAGTGTATAGAGAAGACCTTAAATGACCTGATGAAGCTGAAAACCATGGCACGAGAACTATATGACGCATGCACAAGCTTCAGTAGCTGATTTGATCAAGTGGAAGAAAGGGTATCAGTGACTGAAGATCAAATGAATGAAATGAAGTGAGAAGAGAAGTTTAGAGAAAAAAAGAGTAAAAAGAAACAAAGCCTCCAAGAAATACGGGACTATGTGAAAAGACCAAATCTATGTCTGATTGGTGTACCTGAAAGTAACAAGGAGAATGGAACCAAGTTGGAAAACACTCTGCAGGATATTATCCAGGAGTACTTCCCCAACCTAGCAAGGCAGGCCAACATTCAAATTCAGGAAATACAGAGAACGCCACAAAGATACTCCTCGAGAAGAGCAACTCCAAGACACATAATTGTCAGATTCACCAAAGTTGAAATGAAGGAAAAAATGTTACGGGCAGCCAGAGAGAAAGGTTGGGTTACCCACAAAGGGAAGCCCATCAGACTAACAGTGGATCTCTTGGCAGAAACTCTGCAAGCCAGAAGAGAGTGGGGGCCAATATTCAACATTCTTAAAGAAAAGAATTTTCAACCCAGAATTTCATATCCAGCCAAACTAAGCTTCATAAGTGAAGGAGAAATAAAATCCTTTACAGACAAGCAAGTGCTGAGAGATTTTGTCACCACCAGGCCTGCCTTACAAGAGCTCCTGAAGGAAGCACTAAACATGGGAAGGAACAACTGGTACCAGCCACTGCAAAAACATGCCAAATTGTAAAGACCATCAAGGCTAGGAAGAAACTGCATCAACTAATAAGCAAAATAACCAGCTAGCATCATAATGACAGGACCAAATTCACACATAACAATATTAACCTTAAATGTAAATGGGCTAAATGCTCCAATTAAAAGACACAGGCTGGCAAATTGGATAAAGAGTCAAGACCCATCAGTGTGCTGTATTCAGGAGACCCACTTCTCATGCAGAGACACACATAGGCTCAAAATAAAGGGATGGAGGAAGATCTACCAAGCAAATGGAAAACAAAGAAAAGCAGGAGTTGTAATCCTACTCTCTGAGAAAACAGACTTGAAACCAACAAAGATCAAAAGAGACAAAGAAGGCCATTACATAATGGTAAAGGGATCAATTCAACAAGAAGAGCTACTATCCTAAATATACATGCACCCAATACAGGAGCACCCAGATTCATAAAGCAAGTCCTTAGAGACCTGCAAGGAGACTTATACTCCCACATAATAATAATGGGGGACTTTAACACCCCATTGTCAACATTAGACAGATCGATGACACAGAAAGTTAACAAGGATATTCAGAACTTGAACTCAGCTCTGCACCAAGTGGACCTAATAGACATTTACAGAACTCTCCACCCCAAATCAACAGAATATACATTCTTCTCAGCACCACATCGCACTTATTCCAAAATTGACCACATAGTTGGAAGTAAAGCTCTCCTCAGCAAATGTAAAAGAACAGAAATTATAACAAACTGTCTCTCAGACCACAGTGCAATCAAATTAGAACCCAGGATTAAGAAACTCACTCAAAACCACACAACTACATGGAAACTGAACAACCTGCTCCTGAATGACTACTGGGTAAATAAGTAAATGAAGGCAGAAAGAAAGATGTTCTTTGAAACCAATGAGAACAAAGACACTACATACCAGAATCTCTGGGACACATTTAAAGCAGTGTGTAGAGGGAAATTTATAGCACTAAATGCCCACAAGAGAAAGCAGGAAAGATCTAAAATCGACACCCTAACATCACAATTAGAAGAACTAGAGAAGCAAGAGCAAACACATTCAAAAGCTAGCAGAAGGCAAGAAATAACTAAGATCAGAGCAGAACTGAAGGAGATAGAAACACAAAAAGCTCTTCAAAAAATTAGTGAATCTAGGAGCTGGTTTTCTGAAAAGATCAACAAAATTGATAGACCACTAGCAAGACTAATAAAGAAGAAAAGAGGGAAAAATCAAATAGATGCAATAAAAAATGATAAAGGGATATCACCACCAATCCCACAGAAATACAAACTACCATCAGAAAATACTATAAAAACCTCTATGCAAATAAACTAGAAAATCTAGAAGAAATGGATAAATTCCTGGTAACACACACCCTCCCAAGACTCAACCAGGAAGAAGTCGAATCCCTGAATAGACCAATAACAGGCTCTGAAATCGAGGCAATAATTAATAGCCTACCAAGCAAAAAAAGTCCAGGAGCAGACGGATTCACAGCCGAGTCTACCAGAGGTGCAAAGAAGAGCTGATACCATTCCTTCTAAACTATTCCAATCAATAGAAAAAGAGGGAATCCTCCCTAACTCATTTCATGAGGCCAGCATCATCCTGATACCAAATCCTGGCAGAGACACACACAAAAAAGAGAATTTTAGACCAATATCCTTGATGAACATCGATGCAAAAATCTTCAATAAAACACTGGCAAACTGAATCCAGCAGCACATCAAAAAGCTTATCCACCACAATCAAGTTGGCTTCATCCCTGGGATGCAAGGCTGGTCCAACATACACAAATCAATAAACGTAATCCAGCATATAAACAGAACCAACAACAAAAACCACATGATTATCTCAATAGATGCAGAAAAGCCTTCAACAAAATTCAACACCCCTTCATGCTAAAAACTCTCAATAAACTAGGTATTGATGAAACATATCTCAAAAAAAGAAGAGCTATTTATGACAAACCCACAGCCAATATCATACTGAATGGGCAAAAACTGGAAGCATTCCCTTTGAAAACTGGCACAAGACAGGGATGCCCTCTCTCACCACTCCTATTCAACATAGTATTGGAAGTTCTGGCCAGGGCAATCAGGCAGGAGAAAGAAATAAAGGGTATTCAATTAGGAAAAGAGGAAGTCAAATTGTCCCTCTTTGCAGATGACATGATTGCACCTTTAGAAAACCCCATCGTCTCAGCCCAAAAGCTGATAAGCAACTTCAGCAAAGTCTCAGGATACAAAATCAATGTGCAAAAATCACAAGCATTCCTATACACCAATAAGAGATAAACAGAAAGCCAAATCATGAGTGAACTCCCATTCACAATTGCTTCAAAGAGAATAAAATATCTAGGAATCCAACTTACAAGGGATGTGAAGGACATCTTCAAGGAGAACTACAAACCACTGCTCCATGAAATAAAAGAGGACATAAACAAATGGAAGAACATGCCATGCTCATAGATAGGAATAATCAACATCATAAAAATGGCCATACTGCCCAAAGTAATTTCTAGATTCAATGCCATCCCCATCAAGCTACCAATGACTTTCTTCACAGAATTGGAAAAAACTACTTTAAAGTTCATAAGGAACCAAAAAAAGATCCCACATTGCCAAGACAATCCTAAGCCAAAAGAACAAAGCTGGAGGCATCATGCTGCCTGACTTCAAACTATACTACAAGGCTACAGTAACCAAAACAGCATGGTACTAGTACCAAAACAGAAATACAGACCAATGGAACAGAACAGAGCCCTCATAAATAATACCACGCATCTATAACCATCTGATCTTTGACAAACCTGACAAAAACAAGAAATGGGGAAAGGATTCTCTATTTAATAAATGGTGCTGGGAAAACTGGCTAGCCATATGTAGAAAGTTGAAACTGGATCCCTTCCTTACACCTTACACAAAAATTAACTCAAGATGGATTAAAGACTTAAATGTTAGACCTAAAACCATAAAAACCCTAGAAGAAAATCTAGGCAATACCATTCAGGATATAGGCATGGGCAAGGACTTCATGACTAACACACCAAAAGCAACGGCAACAAAAGCCAAAATTGACAAATGGGATCTAATTAAACTAAAGAACTTCTGCCCAGCAAAAGAAATCACCATCAGAGCGAACTGGCAACCTACAGAATGGGAGAAAATTTTTACAATCTACCCATCTGACAAAGGGCTAATATTCAGAATCTACAAAGAACTTACAAATTTACAAGAAAAAAATCAAACAACCCCATCAAAAAGTTGGTGAAGGATATGAACAGACACTTCTCAAAAGAAGACATTTATGCAGCCAACAGACACATGAAAAAATGCTCATCATCACTGGCCATCAGAGAAATGCAAATCAAAACCACAATGAGATACCATCTCACACCCGTTAGAATGGCAATCATTAAAAAGCCAGGAAACAACAGGTGCTGGAGAGGATGTGGAGAAATAGGAACACTTTTACACTATTGGTGGGACTGTAAACTAGTTCAACCATTGTGGAAGACAGCGTGGCGATTCCTCAAGGATCTAGAACTGGAAATACCGTTTGACCCAGCCATCCCATTACTGCATATATACCCAAGGGATTATAAATGATGCTGCTATAAAGACACATGCACACATATGTTTATTGCGGCACTATTCACAATAGCAAAGGCTTGGAGCCAACCCAAATGTCCATCAGTGATAGACTGGATTAAGAAAATGTGGCACATATACACCATGGAATACTATGCAGCCATAAAAATGGATGAGTTCATGTCCTTTGTAGGGACATGGATGAAGCTGGAAACCATCACTCTGAGCAAACTATCACAAGGACAGAAAACCAAACACCGCATGTTCTCACTCACAGATGGGATTTGAACAATGAGAACAGTTGGACACAGGGTGGGGAACAACACACACCAGGGCCTGTCATTGGATGGGGGGAGGGGGTGATAGCATTAGGAGATATACCTAATGTAAATGATGGGTTAATGGGTGCAGCACACCAACATGGCACATGTATACATATGTAACAAACCTGCATGTTGTGCACATGTACCCTAAAACTTAAAGTATAATAAAAAAAAATAAGAGCAAGGATATTGTGAGTAGACAGGAGTGAGGGGCTCTATAGAACATTTCATAGCAGACACTTGGCAAAATTCCTTATTAAGCATCTTTGTATTTGCCCTCAAAGTTCCTCCCCTATCAGTTGTCATATCTTGCCCCTTCATCTTTCCTCACACCGCTCTAAAATCCCCTCTAAAATAAAATAAAATTCTCTCTATAGTCCCAAGCAATCCTGCAATCAGCATCAGCTTGCATATCTCACTCACCAAGAGCAGGCTCATTTCTAGAGACATGGTAACCATCTAGTGTTCCTCAAAGTCAACCCCATGGGGAATCTTAGCCTTCCCACCATGTGGCCTGTTAATGTCTTTTTCCCACAAAAATTGCTGTCTTTCTATGCAGGAATATAGCTGCCAGGAAAATGTGATTTCTCCATACTGTTTCAGAAACAATAGGAATTGCCACATTGTCCCCCAACAGAAAGCTGGGCTGCTTCTCATGCTAACTTTCAGATTACCCTCTTTCAGGCATGGACATCCCTGGGTTCTCCAAAGCTGGATCATGCCCTGTCTACAAAACACCCAGAACCTGACCTTACCGTGGCACTGATAATGAATCTTGACCTATCTTTCTCTGTACCCCCACCCCATCCCAGGCTAGTAGCTCATTGCTGTGTGTGTGTGTTTCTTTCATATCTCCCATGCTTAATGCAAAACTGGAAACATAGAAGGTATTCAATAAATGGTTCTGAATAAATGAAATATATGTGGTGTAGTTGTATTTAGAGGGCAACTGGTAAGAATTTTATGCTCTAAAGAGCTGTTAATCATTGGAATATGTGATTGAGGGAGGTAATGCCTTTTCCATCTTGGATGGTTTAAAAATTGATAATAATGGCAACATATATTTTAATACAATTTTAGTTTTCAAAGTATTTTCATATAAAATATTTTATTTAATTCTCTTCCCAACCCCGTGAGATTTCTGGATGGTAACACTGAGTTTGTAAACACTTCTGGCTGCTAGATGGTAGAGGTGGGACAGATGTTTTATCTTTTGAATATAAATTGGTGTATCCTTTTAGGGTAATATATTTTAAAAGCCGTAAGAATGTAGATACACTTTGAATCACAAAATAGGCTTCTAGAAATTTATCCCAAATGAACAGAAACAAAAACAATTCTGTACAAAGAGAACCCTACCCTCCTACTTCTAGAATCCAATATTCTGCTTTCATTTTGGTATTTATAAAAACAGAATCATGGGGAAGAGATCTAAATATCAAACCATAAGGGATTGTTTACCTAGATCGTGTTACAGTCATATAATGAAATATTATTTAACCTTTAAAGTAATGTGATAAACCAATGATATAGAAACATGGAAAAAGTAAAAAAGAAATTGAATACAGAAAGTAGATGTTTTTGATCCCAATCTAATATACATATCTCTATATGTGCACAGAAGAAAGACTGGAAATATATATTGGGAGTAGTTGTTTCTGGGAGGATGATTCTAAAATAAAATGTGATTACTTTTGTAATAAAATAAAAAGCTATTACTATCGTAATCGAGGAGGAAAATCCCAACAAAAAATTTTAACACCACAAAACAACTCCCAAATGAAAACCTGGCATTCAGTGGTGCAAATACATGGAAAAGCTCCCCTCTAGGTTAGAAGATAGAAATTACTTGTATGTTTGTGGCAAAATTTTCAGCAGTTGCTGACAGCCGACCTCCCTGTGTTAATCAGGGTGAATGGCTGAGCCTGTGCCCTGCTTCTTAGCCTGTGTTGAATGATTTAAAATGCTTTTGATACTCATGGCTTGCCCACTTGTTTTCCCCTACTTCTCTGAATTCCATCACTGTGTCTGTCTTAGGGTTATTTGAAATACCTAAGGCTGGCCATTATTTTTTGTTAAACTTCTGATAAGTGGGTAAAAGGCAATTTCATTGAAAAACTCATTTTTCAGAGCCTCAAAGAAGGGCTGGGTCATCTTATTAAAAAGGCGTTTAATAAATTCAGTAGGGCTCTCTCTGAGAAGCTGGGTGCTTGTTTTACTCTGGCCCCGGGGCTTCTGCTAGTCCTTGTCATGCAAAGCAAGAGGAACCGGAAATTGAAAGAGTGGTAAACCGGGAAAGAGGGTAGAGAAAGAGGAGAAAGCAGGAGGATGTGGAAATTCAAAGGCAGGTGGGCTAGGGGAGGGAAAGCACTGGGCTCAAGGTGAAAACTCCACTTCTTTGCCTATTGCCAGGGGTTTGAGCATCCCTACCACCTCCTGACATTACTACCAGTCCCAAAGTCCCTCTCTCCCTCATGACTTTGGTCCATCTTGTACCAATACAGCCTGTGTCTACCTGATTTAGTCACCTCTCATGAACAATATGGTCTTTCAGACTTGCTTCATTCAAAACATCTGGGCTATTTATCTAGCAAGATAATTGCTTGTCTCTCTTACTGGCTTATATTCATTCTTTTTTTCCCCATTTTATTCAGCTTCCCTCAGGAGCCCTTTCTTTGCAGAAAAGTCATCTGTCCAACCAGAGTATTAATAGTCAGGGCCCTTAGCGAGGCTGGTCTGGGAGTGGGGCAATTCATACTCCCAGAGCAACTTGTGGGGAAGAGGGAGGGAAACCACGATCCAGCTCTTTACAATGCATTTTGAGAAAATGTAGAGTTGACCTATGTAGTGGCTGGAACATCCATCCACCCACCCATCCATCCATCAACCTACCCACCCATCTTTCCATCAATCCATCAACCCGCCCACCCATTTATCCACCCACCCATTTATCCATCCATCTATCCATCCATCCCTCCATCCACCCACCCATCTATCCATCCATCCATCCATTAACCTACCCACCCATCTTTCCATCCATCTATCAACCACCCACCCATTTATCCACCCACCCATTTATCCATCCATCCATCCATCCATCCACCCACCCATCTATGCATCCATCCATCCATTAACCCACCCACCCACCTTTCCATCCATCTATCAACCTACCCACCCATTTATCCATCCATCCATCCATCCATCCATCCATCCATCCATCCATCCACCCATCCATCCACCCACCCACCCACCTATCCATCCATCCATCCATCCATCCATCCATCCATCCATCCACCCACCCACCTATCTATCCACCCATCCATTTATCTATCCATCCATCCATCCATCCATCCATTCATCAATCTACCACCCACCCATCTGTTAATCCTTCAACAAATATCAACTGAGCATCTGTGATGCAGGGGTAGGGTCCTAAGAATACAATGTTTTGCTGAAACAAACCTCCTAGTACTTCCAGTCTCCTGAAGAGAGGAGCTAATAAAACAGTTCAATGTAAATGATGCAAGTGCTAAGGAGGACCCCTGCAGGTACCATGAGAACCCATAGCGGGCAGATTTGACCTGGCCTAGGAGGCCAGGAGGGGTTGCCTGGGGAGGCTGCTTCGGGAGAAGGAGGAGTAGAAAGCCCCTCTTCTTTATCATAGCCCTGAGTATAGCTGGGTCTGGCAGACACTGCTGGTTGCTTCTCCAACACCCACTTCTGCCTTCATTTTTGTTAGGTATCTAGTTTTGTTAGGTATCAGGCATCTAGCCCCAGGGGATGAGGAGGTATCAGTCTAAGCTAACCATGGTGATCTCACTTGCCTTTTGCCTGTGATTGGTTTAGGAATGTTCTTGACATTGAGGCCTAGCAGAAGTCTTCAAGGGCTCGGTTGTCAGCTTGGAGTTGGATGTGAACTGACTTTGCAGCATGATCCATGGGTAGGCACACACTTTGGAGCTGACACATTTAGGGACTTGGACAGGTACCAAGTAACCCCATCGCTTGAGAGAGACAGAATAGGTGGTTGTTTTCTAGAGCTGGTCCTGTCATTCATCAGCCACATTGAATTTGGCATGTCTTTTCCTCTTTCTGAGCATGAGTATCTTTTAATGTAAAGTGTCGAGAGGGTCACATGTGCCCTGCTTTCCTCAGTCAACTGTTGTGAGGATGAAATAAATGATATTTTTGTTCAAGCATGCCACATGGCTGCAAAGTGCTATTGAAGCGTGAACCACTGTCATTGGCAAGGCTTGATAAATGCTCCACCATCATCAGTTGGGGTTACAATTGCTCCTTGGAACCCTCCAGGCTCCTCAGATTTTTCTGAGTGGAGGCCTAATTTCAGATGGACAAGATGCTCCTCTTCCTTGAAATGTCTTTTGACTTGGAAACTCATTGCTCTAAGTGGGCTCCGGGAGACTGCCTGGCTCCTTGTGTCACTAGGGTGGAGATTTCCCTTTGTGTGGGAGCCCAGTGGCTCCCGTATGTGAGTGAAACTCTGAGTCCCTCTTGCCTCAGGATTCAGGATGGGGTCTTTTGCTTCATCAGAAGCCCACAGAACTCAGAGGCCATCCAATGGAGGAAATGGGCTACAAAGCCGACCCCAGTGGCTCCTCTCTTTCCATTTGTTAACATAAAGAGTTTGGGTGCGGCAGATGCATGTTTGCTCAGGGCTGGGCCTGAGCTTTGGCTCCCTTCCCTTTTGGAATTCGGTTCCTTCTACTCTTCTCTATCCCTGCCCACAGAGCTGGTGATGTTGGGCTGCACCTCTTTTCCAGAACTCTCTGCTGGAAGTACCAGCCTCAGTCTCAAGACATGGTATTCAGTAGAACTTTCAATCACGATAGAAATGTCCAATGGATTTCCTTTGTCCAGTGGTGGTAGCCACAAGCCACATGAGGCTGGCAAACATTTGAAATGTACTCAATGTGACTGAGGCATGAAATTTTTAATATCATTTAATTTCAATTTATTTATATTTAAATTGCTACAAGTAGCTACTGTATCAGACAGTACAGGTCTAGAGCTCAATATCCCAATCGTTTCAGTCTCTCCACTGCAATCAAAATTAATTTGTCCTGTGTCCCAATCCCAAGGCTCTCTTCTTAGAGAAGCACCAGCAAGACAATCTCATAAACAAATTGCTGTCTATAAATTAAGGCCTTTCTCCCTTAGGTACATGTGTAGGTTTTGAGTAATGCCACAATTTAGTCAAAGCAGAAACTCAAATGATAGGAATTTGAGAAACTCTAACAGGTAAGTGGTGGGGAAAAATATTATAAGTATAGAGCTTTAAATGAACTTCAAAACACAGCCTATGGGTGGACACATCCTCCCGAGGACCCTGGGCTGCTTCTAATCTCCTCTTGGCTTCTTGCAGTCTGGAGAGAGTTAAGGGCAGAAGTGTGCGGATGGGGGCCTGGGAAAGGGCTGGAGGTGGGAGGGTTGGAATGGGCAGAGCCTGAAGGATGCCAGGGCTCTTGCAAAAGAATCTGGTATGCCAGGCAAAGACAGTTTGTTCCACCCTGGGTGGGTATGGGGCACGAGGGAGTGATTGTTAGGGAGTGATGATTACCACTGGGACAGGACTGGAAAGTTAACAATTAAGTTAGAGAGACCAGACATCATATAAAAGGCTGCAAAATGGACTGCGGCACTTTGGGTCAAGTCTTGGACAGGAATTGCAATTTTACTCTTAACTTTTAATCCCCTCTTTTAAGGAGGGTCCCCCCCTCTGAATTCTTCTATGAATATTGCTTTCTGGATGTTCTTTTCACCCTGAAACTGAGCTGTGTTTCTGTTTCTCTTGGATGACCATGCAACTGCTTTCAAGTTCCTGCCTGTGATTTCACAGATAGCCACTGGAATCAGAAGTATCTTTGTAATCCAAACACCAGGTTGGGAAAGGGTGGAGGATGATGGAGGCTGGGTGCAGGGGTCAGGGAAGATCAATCAGAGGAATAAAAGGTCCATGAGGTGCACTTAAAGATGAATAGGAAGTGTGTGTACAAACCCTAGGGCTTTGGAATTTCCTTTTAGGGCCTTGGTTTGCCAATTGGTACCACAGATAAATCTGCTACTGCCACCTTATCTACTTTATACTATTTGGTTAATTTTTTTTAAAAAAGGATTTCTGGTTAAGCCACTCTTTAGAGTGGTGACCTGTTTGCTGTAAAAAGTTAAAATTATATAAAGTGAAGTGGAGAATATGTCTCAAATCTTTTGAGCAATAATGTTGTCTATGAATACATGTCTATGAATAATGAATACACACACAAATACAAAGTAGCGGCCAAATTTTCCGGGAGCTTTGCAACACAGCTCTGACTACTGGGTGCTTTCTGACCTCTTCAAACTCTTAAAGGAAAGGTCCACTCAGTACTCAGCATTGCCCTGTTCTCCTTCATTTGCCTTTCCTTCCAGTAAATAGCATGAGGCATTTGGCATGAAGGGGTAGAAGCCAAGACGGGAGAAAGCACAGAGAAGTCTGAATGGGTCGATTCACCACTTCCAATGTTACCAGATGCTCCTGGGCAGGGCTATTATGCTGTGGGGCACTCTTGTACCCAGAGCGTTTTGATGACTGATGACACTTCTTCTGCAAGTATTTGCTAATGTTATTGTGAACACTATAAATTTCAGTCGATTTCCATGAAAAACAAAAGCTTCTGCTGGGCTGAGGCAACTTAAAGCAGTGGTTTTTGGTAGGATAATTTTGTCCCCACCTGGAAGACATTTGGCAAAGCCTGGAAACATTATTTTATTGTTACTTCTGTTGGGGGGAGTTTTGTCCTCCTTGGAACTGTCTGGAGATGTCATTGGTTGTTAGAGCTGGGGTGGGGTGGTGTCCTTCTGGTATTTAGTGGGAGACACCAGGAATGCTGCTGAGCATCAAATGATGCACAGAGGAGCCCCACCACCCAAAACGATCCGACCCAGAATGCCTACACTGTTGTTTGAGAAACCCTGGCCCAGAGGGCAAGTTCAGGCTCAGAACTTGACACCAAAGCGGCATGATGGCTCTCAAGGGGCTATCATGTTTCAATGTGGGAAGACTAGTAAGTTTCCCTAGATGGCCCCAAGAAGTCCCAGGAAAATTTTGTCTAGGATTTTCTTCAACCAATAACTTCATTGTTTTCCTATCTTCCTGGCTCCTTAACTTCCTCTGAATGAGAGAGTACAGCCTCAAAGTCGTACATGTCGAGCTCATCTCAGTGGGTCCAGATCCCATTTGCCTGTAGTGTAGACAGAGGGAAGTCAGGGGGCTTGGTTTCTCCATCTGTAAAATGGAGTCGTAATACTTCATGATCTATTTGCTAAGCAGTCCTGGCAGCCTAGGGTTTCCTTGCCACTGGCAGATGAGAGAAGACCCAGAGCCTGTCACACATGAGTCCTGCCATGAGGGCTGGGAGGAAGGAGACACAGCAGTAACATTACGGGGCCCAGAAAGTTGTGGCAAGAATTTATGTAGAGTTGCTTAAGAAAATAAAAGCAAGCACAATATTTCTCTCTCTGATTATAGAAGTAACATAGTCATTGTCGATAATCTCTCAATTACAGAAAACTACAAGGAGAAAATAAAAATCTCTCATGATTGCACCACTAGGAGATATCAGCTATTAAAAGCTTTGGTATTTTCTTTGAGAAAAACAGAAAAGGATGAACATCAGTTTTTCTGAGCTGGACAGGCTGGGGAGACTGAAACAGCCTTTGAAGACAGCAGAATGTGCCAGTGTAGACATTGACTGGTTTGAGATGATATTCTGTAAACCAAGATAGTTGAGCCCCTGCCCTGGATGAAACGGACAGTGGGGCAGATGGGTGGTGTGACCGAGGGGCATGAGAACAAGTCCCCCTTACCTTCAGGGTTCATGTGGAAAGCATCCTCAGTGTTCGCCTCCATGAATAGGAGAGTTCTTTAGCTGAAAGAGGAAATGATTCATTTTAGCTCCAAGATGACAAAACGGGAGATTCCATTTCTGGCTCACTCTGCAGTACGTAGCATGGCTGAACATTGGCCCCTCAGTGATAGGCATGAGACAGCTCTAGTGTTCTGGAATTTGTTTTTTGGCAGCTTTATTTTGAAGTAATTTTAATCTTACAGAAAAGTTATAAAATAGTAAAAAAAAAAAAAAAATCTCATATACCCTCGACCCACATACCTCAATTGTTACTATTTTACCACATCTGATTTATAATCTTTCTTCTCTGTATATAAAAGTTACTTCCTAATTATTTGTGAACTAGTCACAGTCATGATGCATGTTTACCCCTAAATATTTCAGTGTGTTTTCCTAAGAACAAGGACAATTCTCCTACATAAATGTAGTACAATAATTAACGTAGGAAAATTAACATCGACACAGTATTATTACCTAATCTATAGAGCTTACTCAAATTTTGCCAGTTATCCTAGTTGGGATTAGATTTCATAAAATTTGGTCCTGGAGACTTTAATGAAATTTCTTAACAAATTCTGACATAGTTATAGATGAACTGGAATTCTGGGTTTTGTATAAGAACTTTCAGACTCTGGGGACTGACTAGCCTGAGTCTCGGAGGCATGAAGGGACAACTGTTAGAGGTATGGATCTTTTTTTTTTTTGACAGGGTCTTACTGTGTCTCCCAGGCTGGAGTGCAACGGCGCAATCACAGCTCACTGCAACTTCAACCTCCCCAGGCTCAGGTGATTCTCCCATTTCACCCGCCCCCTGCCCCAAGTAGCTGGGACTACAGGCACATGTCATTACACCTGGCGAAGTTTTTGTATTTTTAGTAGAGATGGGGTTTTGCCATGTTGGCCAGGCTGGTCTCAAACTCCTGGCGTCAATGATCTGCCTGCCTCGTACTCCCAAAGTGCTGGGATTATAGGTGTGAACCACCATGCCCAACCTACAGCTACTTTTTAAAATGGGCTTCGATATATATGAACAGCAATTCATAATTTAATGTCCAGTTTTGTCTTGCCCATTCCAAGCAAAGGCAAATAATCTAACCAGAGTAGCAGACAAAATAATGCTTTTTCTAAGTCTTCAAAATCCAGAATCTTCAGGATTATTCCTTGAGGAAGCCAGTGCTGAATATCCTCCATGCTGACTCAATGGACAGAGGAGGAGGTGACTGGCAGGAAGCTGTGGTTGGCCACTAGCACCCTCATGCCATTGACAACCTCTCTCTCTCTCTCTCACACACACACACACACACACACACACACCACTTTCTCAACATTGCTGCTGTTGGCATGATCAATCAAGAGCCTGGAAGTCTTTACAATCAGAGGCTACCATGTGACAAGGGCCATCTGAGCATAAGACAGCCAGCCCCAAGGCATTTGATAATAAGGGGTCTGTTGGATCCAGAGCCTCTGACACAGATGTCTGGGGCACGTTTCTTAGGAGCCACTCATTTTTCTCCATAGGGTGCAGTGACACCAAATTTTCTGTTTAAAAAAATTTTAGATTCTAAGAATTATTTTAGAACTTAAAGTTCTCTCTTTGATTAGAGTTGTCCTGTTCTGTTCAGAGCAAATCCTGCTCCGTTCTGTCATCTCCAAAATAAGATCCAGACTGTTTTTACACTCTTGGCAGAAACACTGAGGGGTCAGCGAGGGAGTGGAGAACCAGGACAAGGGCTGTGCTGGGGGTGGGACATCTGGAACAGCAGATAGCAGCAGTGAGGGCTTCGGGGCAGGCGGGCATAAAGGGATGGCTTCTGCAGTTCAACAAACACTTATTGAGTGACAGGCCCTGGGCCCACTTGGTCCATTCATCTACTATTCATTCAGCATTTAGGAAATGCTTGGCTTACCACTTAGCCCTTGTCATCCTCTGCCCTGGCTCCCACGTCTATTCTTTACCTGCTCTGTGCCCTGTGAGTCTGACTCCTGTGCCCTCCAGCTTCAAGTAGGGTTCTACCCACAGTGGGTAGAGCATGGAGATGGGCATATCAGGGTATCGATTTCCCTCCCTCCCTGACTGCCTCAGAGAGTGGTGCTAGCCGTGGTTGTGTATCTTTTACCACAAGACTAGTTAAGCAGTCATGACTCCAGCTATCACTGGGCCCTGGCAAAATTCTTCCCTCTCCACTCTTCTTTATGCAGATAGGGGGGTGACAAATTCCCTTGTTCTTCTAACCCTACCCCTGGGCATGTAAAGAGTCTCTACATTCTCTTCAAAATCCTAGCTGCGCGTGCCATCCTTTTTCTGTCTGACCCTAAGATGGCCCTTGAATATGTGCTAAATTGTGCCTGATTGCTCTGGACAAGCAAGAAAGGTGTAAAATTTTGTATATACTTCCTAACATGAGGATATACCATTATGGGGTGGGGTCCCAACATGAGGATATACCATTATGGGGTGGGGAGACATAATTTAATAGAAGCTCCTGGGGGAAATAACTCACAGATTTCATCTTTTATATACTTGAGTATTGTGTGTCAGTCAAAGACCAACCTGATCTCTGGTCACATTATTTGAAGTATGGCATCCAGAACAGGGGAGGTGATAGTACTACTTAGTTCTGTGAATTCTACATTAGCTCCCACTTGGAGTACTGTGCTCATTTCCCTGCTCCTCACTTTAGGAAAAAGCATGTTGTTTATCTCCAAATTCTGTCACATAAAGCAGAAGTTGAGAGAGTTTTTCTTCAAGAGCCAAATAGTAAATATTTTCAGCTTTGTAGGCTGAAATGTTCCAAGTACTCTGTTACTGTAGTACAAAAGCAGCCGTAGACAACATGTACATGAATAAGCTTGGCTGTGTTCCAATAAAACTTTATTTATATAAATAAACAGGCTGGATCTGGCCTGCAGGCATTACTTTGCTGACCTCTGATAGAAGAGTGCAAAATGAATTTATTCTAGAGGTGCCCAGAAGGCAGAAGTTTGATCAATGTGTAAAAACCATGGGGGGGTAGATTTGTGCTAATTTTAAGATCATTCTAGTGGTGACTACTGTTCCCAAAGAGAATCATCTGTTTCATAAGTCAGTGAGTTTCTTGTCATTATAGGGGTTCAAAGCAAAGGCTGAGTGTTTTAGAAGAATTTTCTGCAGAGCATGGAGAGTAAGTTGGATGATGTGGGAGGTAACACTGCCTCACATTTCTGTATCTTCAGCATGGTACAGTGCACACATAGTAAATCTTCTCAGTTCTACGTTCCTAGAGGGAAGGGGCTGTGTCATATCCATCCTTGCATCCCACCCCCTCCTGAAAGCCTAGTATAGTGCTTTAAATATGGTGGGTGTGACCAATACATTTTTTTTGTCAGCCTGACTCTTTAAATCAAATCTTGCTGACAGACTAATTGTACTAATTTGTCTTTAGTACAATCATCACTACCAGCCATATTAAATAATTCAATTACCTCTGATAAGCTTCAACATTTGAGGACTTTCACCGAAAATAATACACAACATTTACTAAGTTCTTAAAATATGCCAGCTATCATGCTAAGAACCTTACAGGCATTATCTTATTTAATGCTCCCCAAAATCTATGAGGTAGGCACTATTATTACCCCTACTTTATTGATGAAGAAACTGAAATTCAGAGAAGACTCATAGCTAAGAAGTTGCATATCCAAAACTTGAACCGAGATCTCTTTGATGCCAAAGGCTGTGCTCCAACCACAATTCCATTCTGCTTCTGGGTCATTCATTTATTCTTTCATTCACTCAGTATTCAACCAATAACAATTGGTTGCCTACTATTTGCCAAATAGTATTTTAGGTGCTGATGATAGAGCTGTGGATATAAACAGGTCAAGTCCATGCTCTGAAGAAACTTACATTCTGGGTGGAATAAAGTGGGAGTTGATACACAATTAACAAATGAGAAAATAATACATGGTAATTCATCACAAGACATGAGGAGATTAAAAAGACAATAAATATTTCTTGTCACACTAGAATCACAGATATCATCCTAATTGATGAATTTAGCAAGACATGGAGATTAAAAAGATAATAAATACTTCTTGTCCACACCAGAACCACAGGTATAAACCTAATTGATGAATTTACTGAAGTTCTTTCTTGTTTTTTTTTCTTCAACTTTTAAGTCCTGGGGTACATGCTCAGGGTGTGCAGGTTTGTTACATAGGTAAACATGTGCCATGGTGGTTTGCGCACAGATCAACCCATCACCCAGGTATTAAGCCCAACATCCATTAGCTATTCTTCCCGATGCTCTCCCTCCCCACGCCCTGATAGGCCCCAATATGTGTTGTTCCCCCAACCTCCTGCCCTATGTGTCCATGTGTTCTCATCGTTCAGCTCCCACTTATAAGTGAGAACATGCGGTGTTTGGTTTTCTGTTCCTGAGCTCTTTCTTGTTTACTGACATTAGCCCAAGGTTAGTCTTTTGTCCTGACAAATTGTCAGATAAACTGACGTTAGGCCAATGTTAGTCTTTAGTCCTGACAAATTGTCAGATAAACTCAGATTCAGAAAGAAATCTGCAAGATTTCTGGCAATTGATAGAGATTACATATGGCAATTTATAGACATGCATGTGGAGCTCTTGAATGAAAAGGAAGTTTATCCAATAAAGCACTTGGGAATCACTCTTTTGGGGCAGGCTGAACTTGAGCAGAAGCAAGCACATCCACTTGAGTCAAAGGCATGGGCCTTGTTTAGGAGTAGAGGTACCAGGGTGGCTGAGAGTGGAGGAACCAAAGGGGAATTACAAAATCTTGATTGAGATTGAGATGGAGACAGAGGGAGCAAGATAAATAGGGTAAAGTCAAGTCAACTGTCAGGTCCAATTGGCAAGTGTTGACTGGGAATGGGAGACAGTGCCCAAAGGTCAGGGGTGGAGTAAACACAAGCCCAGATGAGGAAGCGAAAGAATCCAATATTTTGTTTGTGTCTTGATGGGTGCCAACTACAAGGGGTAGGTGTGGGTGGCCTAGTTACAGGTGAAGGATAGGAATTGACAAATAGTAGTAATCCTTTTGCAATTCCAGAATTCCTTTCGTTAGTGGATTGTAAAGTGATTTTCAGAGTAGAGACTCCTGACAGCATCAGCATAATCTTACTTTTAAAAATGGCTAAAAAACAGAAAGACAGCAATTAGTTAACATTTATTGGCTGCCAGACATTGTTTCTAAACACTTTAATGCTTTATTTCATTTAATCTTCATAAGTACACTTTGAGAACCAAGCTTCTTAATAGGGAGCTAATTAAAGAATGACTAAAAACATAAGTGACATTTGGAGGGAACTTGTATAATGTCATCATTGAAAATGAGTCCTAGTTATTCATGTACTGATTTGTCCACTCACATATTTATTCAGCCTATAATAATTGGGCACCTAATACATGTTGGGTGCTATTCTAGGGCCTTTGCCTGGATGATGTTATTGATTTCATTGTTTAACAGAGAGACAGTGGAGGGAGCAAGGGATTTTGAGTCAGAAAATCTAAGTTCTGTTTCTAACTCTAACTGGTCCCGTGGTCCTTGGAAAAGTCAGGCTGCTTCTCTCTTTAATGTGTTCTGATGTAAAACAAGGAGCTAAGCTGCTTGAGGTCTTTTAGAATTTACTGTTAAAGTATTCAGTAGCTTTATAGTACATTGACGCTTATAATAAATACTCACTTATAGTCTGTCATTCTACCCTCCCACCCCCATCAGGGAAATCATAGTATTTATGAGGCTTTAAACGTGGAAACTTGTCAGGGATTGGACCAAGTTCCTCTGCTCTTTTCACTGAATTCCTCTGCCTTCCATGTAGGAATTTGTGTTTAATTTCTGAAAGAATTATAACAGAGCTGGGGGAAGATGTCAGAGGAAAAGGGAAAGATATAGATGATATAGAAGACAAGGAGAAGTTAAGACTGGGAAGGACAATGTACTAGCTCTCAGGAGCTTTGTGCTCTGTCTCTGAAATCATTCAGGGCTGCTATAGTCATCAAAAAAATGTATCCAAAGGCACAAGAAGAGAGACCTTCCAACTGGTGGAAATTACATTAAGGCAAATTTGGGTTCAGTAAAATGGTAGAGGAGTTCTTTACCGGACATTCCGATTGCCCATGGCTGGGCAGAGCTAAAACAAATGGGTCATATTACAAGGCAAAGTAGCTTTTTAATTTTAAGGCCCACCAGTCAATAGATTGCTACGGCCAAGGATGAAATGGGCCACTCTGGTAGGAGGTGAGCTCCTCCTCATGGTGCATGCTTATGCTGAGACAACGTAAAATCCTAGAGGGGTTAGCAACTTGGATCAGGGCTACAAGACCAGAAAAGGGACTTTCAACTCCGAAATGCTATGACTGTAGGAGGCAGGAGGCTTACAGTTTTATCTGTAGTCTATAACCCCTAGTCCAGAGTTTAGATATCCTTATAGTAATCTACTGGGGAATATTGAAGTCCCTTTTGCAGGCACTGACATCCAGGCCAAATTCCTTAATTTATTTATTTTATAAAAGAAGTTCCTTGTACGAATTTTTGACAGAATACTCACCCTAACTCCTATTTTTGGCATTTCTGACCTCTCGTTCTTGACAAATAACCATGATGGCAGACTTCTCTGGGAGCCAGAATTGAAGTTAGAGTTGGATCAACACCCTGAAATTCTAGGCCCACCAGTCAATAGATTAACAGGGTTACCTTTGAATTTGTCCAGAGCCCTTATTTTCCAAAATGTTTTTCATCTGCTATCTTTATCAGAAGTGTATCAGTCAATTGGTGTTCTCTGAGGGTAATAACTTTAACAAGAGAAGGTGTATGGAAGTGCTTTGTAACAGTGAAACACTCTGAAAAGTTAGAAGTTTTATTATTGTTATAACCTGCCAAGGCCACAGTACTGGTTATTAGCAGATCTATATCTAGAGTGGGTTACTTAGAATCCTTTTGGAGGTAAATAAATAACACTACTGATAATTTAAAAAGAAGCAAAGTCCAAGTCTCCTTGATTGACCAGCAAGCAACAGTAAAGTTTAGAGCTGGATTTTACAAGCATGAGAGGACCAAATCAGCATCACTGAAACACAGGTGGTTGTTCCAGTCCAGTGAGTAACTTTGGCCTGAATGTGAGTCTGTAGAAATTGGCCAACGATCATCTTGATTGGGACAATGATGGGTTGGACATGGGGATGAGGTGGCCACCAGCAGTGGACCTGAACGAAATGACTTTCTGCTTAGTTTAGTTCAGAGGTCATGAGTGTAAATCCATCTTTCCCTGATGGTGAGGGGCATTTACAAGCTAGGGCTACACTAATAATTTAAAGTGAACTGGGAACTAGTGATTAAAAAATACCTCCGAGTGATGAAAAGACACTGTTTAGACTTCTAAAGGAAATGGTTTAAAAAATAATTCCCAATTCATTGCAATATTAAGAACATTCTTAAAATGTTATCTTTGTCCTGATCTCTTAATCCCCATAAGGGGTTTTCTGTAAAGGTTCTTTAAGCATTTGAAGCCACTAATACCATGAGTGGAAAAAGAACACACTCTTTTAATTAAAGTGGAAAATTGCTATGTTCATGTTAATTTCAATTGAGAACATCTAAAAGTATAAGAGAATACATATTTCCTGGTCTTAGTATCCAGGGCTTAGGATTATTTAAGATCAGTAGCCAAAATTGTTCCTATTTTACACTGCATAATCAGGAAGACTGTTGAGAGGGGAATGTTAGCAGGCGATGGGTTTTAGTTTTCCAATTATGTCAGCCTGGTTGGGGAACATCTAAATGCCATTTGTCCTTGACCTTTGAACTGTTTTCTCCCTCACTCTTGGGCAACACAGCAAATGACCCTTACGAAGCAGCAAATTAGTAGCATGTGTCAAGGCTGACACTTCTGTTTTTCAATCTAGTTGTCTGTTTTGCTATCCAAAGCTGCCTTCTTCAGGGGTAGCTGCACTTGGCAGAATGATAAACTGTGCTTCTGTTTACTCATTTTTCCCAAGGCTAATTTAAAAGTGCTGTGGGTAGGTAAGTGATGTTGATAATGGGAACATCTTAAGCTATTAAGTTGAGAACTGAAATATTAGCATGGGCAAATAGACTCATCTCTAGCTGATGGAAATGAGTCCATGTACTGTTTTTTAGCCCGAGAGTGCCATGTGTAGTTTCTTTTGGTCTCCATAAGCCAGGGGATCTGGCTCCCCAGAGCTGGGAAGATTATAGCATTGAGCAAATAATGTGCTTTGAGATTCTTTAAGGCCCAAATTTGTCCCAATTGCTTCATCCCAGGTTCTCACTTTTATTTCCCCCTCATCGGTTTTGGTGACATTATTTTCCAAAGTAGTCCAATTGCATCAATCATTCATTTTAATTTTAAAAAATTGGAGGATTTTTTTTCTTTGTGTTACTGTGTGTGAATATTGGCCCACCCGATTCATTACATATAGGCAGCATGGTTCACTGGATGTGTATAGGATTCTGAATCGGACCAAAAGGGATCTAAATACGACTTGTGCCACTATCTAGTCTTGTGACCTTGAGCAAGGCATGTAAGTTCCTTGAGTCTTATTTCTTCACCTGTAAAGTGGAAATATCTATTGCTACCTTTTGCTACCTTTTTGGATGATTGTGAATGTACACAGTATCTAGGAAATAGCAAGTAATTAATATATGCTAATGATTATTAACAGCTAACATTGATTGGACATCTGGTACGTGCCAGGAATTATGGGAATCCTCAAAACATCTCTAGGAAATAAGAACCATTATTATCTTCACTTGCTGATGAGAAAGAGATGGGCTAAATACTGGCTCAATGTCCCAAAGATAGGAGATGGCCATGCCAGGATCGTAGAGCCTTCAGTCGGCCTCTACTCCTCATGTAAGAAGAATGGCTGTGCAGGGTTTTGCCACCTGGAGTAAGAACTGCCTAAATATGTATCCCAGGGAGGATTCTAAGACCTGCAGAACTCCTTGCTCCCAGTCCCTCCTCTTTTTCATGCCTTCTCATTCATACTTAAGCCAGAAGCTGTGAAGGGCAAATCTGATGCCAACAGACAGGACCACGTGGCAAGTAGACCCCTGGAAGACCTGCTGTAGCTTGGCTTCACACTCAGCTGTGAACTTGTCAGCTGAACACACAACTGCAGGTGCAGTGTTCCATGTGCATGCCATTAAGAAAACTCCAGTCATTCAAATGTTATTTTATTAGAAGGGAGGAATGGAGTCTTAAATACAGACCCACTCTATTAAGATAGTTGAAAAACACAGATGTAAATATCATGACATTATTGTGCTATCACCATTACATCATCCTGCAAACCCCAACTCTCCACAAACTTAAACAGAAGTCATTTTTATTATCAATACTAAATACGCTTAAATCTAAGATATTAAGATCAGAAACTGTCATAGTAACTCATGTACAGCTAAAAAGGTGTACAATTCAGATTAAAGAGATCATGGCACTTTGCTCTTTAGTTAAAATACTAGTGTGTTGTCCATCAACTGATGAATGGATATACAAATGTGGTATAACCCTACAGTGGAATTTTATTCAGCCATAGAAAAAAAGGAAGCACTGATACATGCTACAACACGAATAAACCTCAGAAAACAATATCGTAAGTGAAAGAAGCCAGGCACGAAAGACCCCAGATAGCATGATTCCATTTACGTGAAATGTCTAGAAAGCTAATCTATGGAAACAGAAGGTGGATGAGTGGTTGCCAGGGGCTGGGGATCAGGAAGAAAAAGGAGTGGAGAGTGATTGCTGTCATGTACTTCTTGGGGTGACGAAATGTTCTAAAATTAGATTATAGTGATGGTTGCACAACTGTAAATACAGATGGTCTCCAACTTACTATAGTTCCATGATTCCTTGACTTTATGAGGGTGCAAAAGAGATAGGCATTCAACCTGCTTCTTGATGAGGTTAGGTCCAGATAAACTATACGCTGAAAATATCATAAGTTGAAAACATCCTTTTGACTTAAACAATATTTTTAACTTTCAACTTGCAATGAGTTTGTTGGGATCTAACCCCACTGTAAGTTGAGGAGCATCTGTATACTAAAATCCATTGAATTGTATACAGTTGTCCCTCAGTATTCATGGGGGATTGGTTCCACATACAAATTGGTTATATGCAAATACTATAGCATCTTCTATCAAGGACTTGCGCATCTGTGGATCTAATGAATACTAGAATACCAGATCCACAGATGCGCAAGTCTTTGATACAAGACGTTGTAGTATTTACATAAGACCTATTCACATCCTCCCATATACTTTAAATCATCTCTAGGTTACTTATAATACTGAATACAATGCGAATACTATGTAAATAGCAAGTGAATATTTGTTACACTATATTGTTTTACATTTTGTATTATTTTTATTGTATTATCATTTTTTTTCAGAATATGTTTTATCCTTGATTGGTTGAATTCATGGATGTAAAACTTGCGAATACAAAGGGCTGGCTGTACTTTAAACAAGTGAACTTTGTGGAACATAAAGTATATCACAATAAAGCTGCTTAAAAAATACAAGCCTATTATTTCCTCTAATTATTTGCAAAAATGATAATATTCTTTCATGTTCAGCAGCTCTTTTTGAATAAATAGCAATGAACAAGAAGGCATTTCATTCACCTCCTCTGAGACTTGATAATTAATCTTGTCCTCACCTCCTCACTTTTTAACCTGCCCATCAAGTATTTGACTGCTGGGAAGGTGGAGTTGCAGAGATAATTGGCTCTCTGCTTATCAAGCACAACTCTCAGGCAAGACCTGTAAATCTGTCTCCATCTCTGCCTCCTTCCCCGTATTCCCTCTTTTTCCTTTCAACCCTTACTGCTGAGCACCCAGTCAGTGTTCAAAATCAGAGCTGAACTGACTCAGAGCAGGGACTTCTGCCTCTGTGGGTCTTCACTGCAAAGGGAACCAGAGCCATTTGTTAATGACTAAAAAGCAGAAACTGGTGGAGATAAAAAGAGATGGTGTCAAATTCTCTCCTTTCTGGATGCTGGTGGTGGTTATGTAGGCAGCTTTCATTTCTGTAAGTGTGCACTACAGTAGGAGTGAGACAGGAACCAGGATGCCAATTGAGAGAACTAAGAAAAATTGTGATTGGCATTTAGGCATCAAGAGAAAAAGTTCTCTTAGTGTTATTGACGTGCTCAATTTACTGTACAAGCAACTAAGGTGATGGGCAAATTGTATCCTTTGGATTGAAATCTCAATCCAGTTTCTAAATATTGAGGGAGTCTTGTTCTCTGCTCAGATTTCCTGCATCCTTAAGGTATTGGCCAGATGAGTCACTGTGGAACTGTACAACTCAGAACCCTTACTCCACATTCCTCTGGCCTAACAAAGTTGGGAGGATTTACACAAAGGTCAAGGGATCAACCACAGCAAATGTGGGGTTGAAACTTAACTGGTCTCAAGACAGGAGGTGGACCTCAAGTCTGAAAAGATTCCAGAAGCTTTGCCAAATCCACCCTCTCTATCATTCAGAAACATCACCACTGTAGTGATAGGTTTTAAGCACTGTAATCAATTTTTTTTTTTTTACTCATTGGGTACCTATTTCTCATTTCTCCCATTTTCTTCTTCCCTTTACTGTCCCTCCTCTGCCAGTGACAGAGTAACTTTACTCCTTCCCACTTTCCCTAAAAGTGCCAAGCAGTAGGGTGGGAGTGGGCACAAGGCATGGATTCTGCAAACATGCTTTCTCTGCTATCCCCTTGAAGGACCTAGTCCTGAAGCAGAGAAAGAGAAGTGAGCTTGTGGCACAAGGATATCTGTCCAGAATCCAAGAAGCCAGGTGACTTACCCTGGGCATGTCGCAAGCCTGTCAAAGTTTGAATGCTTGCTTCCGAATGCAGAGGGTGAAGTCACAGAGCCTGCCAGATTTACCAAGGGTGCCTGCTGGGGTTTGCTCCTGGCACCGAATATCCTCAACTACCAGTCTGTGCAGCTCTCATGAGCACCAACCTGTTTGCTGATTACCCGTTGGCAAGCTGACTCTTCAGACAGATTAATATTTGCCCTGGGATATACAAGGCTTTTATGACCCCTCCCCATTGCAAAGAAAACAAAAATTGACTAACTTGCTTTTGATGGTGGTTGGATTTGTTTGATGTGGCTTGATTTGGTTTACAGCTCATTTGCGGCAGAATCAAAATGGCTCGATTCAAGGCAGCTGTGGTTTCAGCAAAGCAGGAGGAATAAGGAGTTGGGAGGGGTGGGGCAACCATAGCAAGGGCAAGCTACAGGGTTGAGTCATGAGTCCCTTTCACTTAAAGCTGTAGTCTATGCTGTCATCCCTGTGTCGCCAGCATCTGCTCACCTGGCTTCTTTGGAACATGGCACACAGGATGGGACAAGTGATTCTGAAAGGGCAAGCAATGGCCACAGAACTCGAGTTGTGATCTCAATCCTTGTCAAAAATCACTTTTCAGACAGGAAGTAAATTTTTAGCTCTAAATTATGTAAAATCAGGAATCTAACCACAACAGAGGACAAAAATGGAAACCTTCTCATAATGTCATTTGTTTGGATGGTGTTATGGGTTGAATTGCATCCTCCCGAAAGAGACGCTGAAGTCCTCCAGTACCTTAGAATGTGACCTCATTTGGAAATAGGGTCCTTGCAAATGTAATTGGTTAAGATGAAGTAATAATGGAGTGGGGTGGGCCCTTAATCCAATAGGACGGATGTTTTTATAAGACAGAGAAGAGACACACGGGGAGGACACCTTGGAAAACAGCGGCAGAGATCGGAGTGATGCAGCTACAAGCCAAGGAATGCCAAGGAGTGCTGCCACCACAAGAGGCTAGGGTGAGGCAAGGGAGGACTCCACCCAGCATCTCAGAGGGAGCATGGCCCTGCTGAAACCTTGATTCCACACTTGTTGCCTCTAGAAGTGTCGGAAAATACATTTTTGTTGTTGTAAGCCATCTAGTTGTGGTGCTTTGTTATGTCAGCCCTAATAAACTAATACAGATGATTTATATGTGAGTCAGCTGGATTTGCCTACAAACACCTTTTCTGCAACTTCTTATATGAACCAATTTAAAATTTAATAGTATTTTTAATCAGTGAAAAAAGTTGGATGGTATGGGATTTTGTTGGCCTAATGTGGACACAGCACATGTTTTATTCTAGTGTAGCAGTGATGTGCTGAATCCCTATCAACTCCAAAGGGGATGGCACTAGGTTCAAGAGGCTGAAGAAGAGATCCAGAGCTAGAAAATGAGACACTGGGGTTTTACTGGGGGTTTACATACAGGGGAGAGGGTCTAGTGGTGGCGGGCTGGACAGGAGAACTGCTGGTCCAGTGGCAGTGGGCTGGTAAGAAGAACCACAATCGCTGGCAAAAGGCATGCAGTTTATAAAACATTTTCACTTAACACCCTCCCCCTAGCAACCTCAGCCTGGCAACCTTCATTTAACCCCAAACAAAGGATGCTGATCCCCTGTATGGCCCACATTCCCTGGGACGGGCTGGGGTTCAGATGTTCCTCATAGATAAGGAATGAATCTCTGGGATGGCCACTTCCAATTCCTTAGCTTGGAACTCTGAACATATATTTGGGTGCATCTGCCACACAGGGTCATTCTCAGGGTAGGCTCAAGTGAAGTTATCACAGTCAGGAGCACCTACCATACAAGCATCCCTGACCCCTCCAGTGAGAAAGTTGCTCATGTCCTGTGAAAAGCCAGTGATAGTGCTCTGAGTTCACTGCTATGATGTCTTGTTATTCTTTCTTTAAAGGAGAGCTCTGACCACTAGAAAGAGTTTTAAGAATGAATAAGGAGATACAGGACAGACACAGAAACCCTGGAGGACAAATGGTGCCAAAAGGATACTTATACCTTTGGCATTTCCCCAGCAGGAGGGGAAGGAGGAGTAGAGGGAGGTAGTCATAGTACCTCACCCTTCAATCCTCACTCTGGCTTTGATGTTGTCATTAGCATGTATCCCCAGAAAAGTCACTTATCTCTCTCAGGGTTTCTATTTTATTCAGGGGTAATTGATTTCCACTTACCAACCTATCCAAAACACATGGAGGAGAAAAAGGGAAATAAATTAAACCTTCATGTTCTAGGTCTTTAGGAAAAGCATTTTGTGGTCTCTAAAGTCTCTAGTCTCTTGGTTCTGTGTACAGAACACTCAATACCATCAACATCTGCATACTCTAGGCTCCTGACCCCTCTTTCTAGAACACAGGCACTATATTCAGAAACCTTTCCAGCCCAAAGGAAATCTTGTGAAATCTGGATATATATTATTTTATTTAAAAAAATCCCAGACATCATGTTATTTTACTCCTACCTATTTCAGTATATATCTCTAGCAATTATGACCATATTCTTATGTAACCCGTGTTCTTTTCACATCCAACAGAATTACTAATTTCTTGGTATCAAATATGGATATGTTTATATTTTTTGCAATTCAAAATAGGAAACACATTAGTCCTATTCAAAATAGGAAACACATTGGTGAATTACTCTAAATTGTTGAAGTTGAAGGGACCTCAGGGAAACAATTTCTGTTAGTACCTAAATTTCTCAAGGCAGAAGGCTACATGTCCTATTGTTAAATATCATAGGACATTCGTATGCAATGAGGGACTTTGGGGATTATCCAGCTCAACTTCTCATTTGATAGATGAGGATGCTGACACCCTGTGATGGCTAATTTTGTGTCAACTTGACTGGGTTAAGGGATGCCCAGATAGCTGATAAAATATTATTTCTGATGTGTCTCTGAGGGTGCTTCTGGGAGAAACACCCAGTACACTTGGTATTGAATCCATAGACTGAGTAAAGAATGTCCACCCTCACCAATGTGGGTGGGCTTTATCTAATCTACTGTGGGCCTGAATAGAACAAAAACATGGAAGGGGTGAAAATTTTCCTTCCTTGAGCTGGGACATCCCTCTATTCCTGCCCTTGGACTTCAGACCCCTGGTTCTTAGGGCTTTAGACTCTCAGACTTATACCAGGCCTCTCTCTTGTTCTCAGGCTTTGGCCGTGGAGTGGGAGCTACACTATCAGATCTCCTGGTTCTCAGGCCTTCAGAATAAGACTGAATTACACCACTGGCTTTCCTGGGGCTCCAGCTTGCAGACGGCACATAATAGGACTTCTTGCCTCCATAATCGTGTGAGCCAATTTCCATAATAAATCTCCTCTCATGTATACCTATATATATCCCATTGGTTCTGCTTCTCTGGGGAATGTTGACTAACACAGGCCCTGAAAAGCCATGTAACACCTGGTGAGTCAGAGACCAAAGCAGAATTGTAACCCACCCATTTCTGACTCCCATTCCACAGCAAACTGATTCTTTAGGAATGGAGATGCCATAGACTTTCTTAGCAGCCAAATTTGTTATTTAATTCCAAAGTTATTGTCTCTGGCTCACTATACTCCCAATTAACTGCACTTTAAGCTCACTTCCTCCATGGAAATAGAGACCAACTAGCTTGAATGTTCTTCCTTCTAACCTGTCATAGTTTTGAAGACCATCAATAAGTTGTGTTTCAGGCTTTTCCCATCAGATTAAGCAGTTTTCAATCTGATCCCTTCCTCACAGCATGTTTTCTCTCCTTAAAGACTGTAAACAAACAAATGAAGAACCTGTGGGCTACCAAAAATACATCTGTTGGGAGCAAAAAAATGTCACAGTCTCATTTTTGCCAAGTGGTCATGAGAATGTGCTGGCAAAACAGACCACACTCAGAAACAGGCCCTACTGACCTACTATAGCCTAGTCTTTTCAACCATGTTTATTAAAAAATGAACAACAAATGGAAAACCAAACATTGTATGCTCTCACTCATAAGTGGGAGCTAAACGATGAGGATGCAAAGGCATAAGAATGATACAATGGACTCTGGGGACTTGGGGAAAGGTTGGGAAGGGGGTGAGGGATAAAAGACTACAAATTGGGTTTAATGTATACTGCTCGGGTGATGGGTGCACCAAAATCTCACAAATCACCACTAAAGAACTTAGGTAACCAAACACCATCTGTTCCCCAAAAACCTATGAAAATAAAAAAAATAAACAACAAACAACAAAACCCTTCACATATAAAGAGGAAAAGAAATCAGGAAGCTGAGATTGGGACTTGGGTGAGCTCTTGAAAGATTTACTGAGCAGCTGAGATGTTGCTTGAGTGGCTTGATGGCTCCTCTTTCCTTGGATTATCACAGCAAGATCTGGCGCTGTGAAGATCATATTGCTTTCTGGTCACTCTGGTGAATAAGGGCGGGGAGTGGGGGAGGGGGTTGGTGGGCAGTAAATAAGTCCGGATATCTCCAGGGTCCAAAGTTGTGTTTGGATAAATTTAAACACCAAGTTACAAAGTTGAAGATTAAACTAACAACCACTCATCAGTGGATAAAAACATTGCTTGACTACACGATGCCAAAATGCTGGTCTGTTGTTTTGACTGAAGTAAGCAACTACCCGGCTGGTTGCCTTCTGGCATGAAATTAGAGCACAACCTCAATGAACTGGGATTTAATTTAATTAACTGAAAAATAAAAGGTGTCTTTTGTTACATTCTACTGGTGGAAAAGTAAAGTGGCAAGAAAGCAAGCAAGGATCAGGGCTTTATTAAAATCACCTCCTAGACAGTGAGTCTCCAGTGATGCACATTGGAATCATCTGAGAAACTTTAAAAACTACGGCTGTTTGGCTCCCATCCCTAGATGTTCTGATTTAATGGCGTGGGGTGCCGCCTGAGGGTTAAAATTCTAATGTGGAGCAAAGTTTGAGAACCACTGCTCTAGATATTTCCTGGTGCTGGTGTAACGCAGCCCAGTCATCTAAGCCATCTATAACATTGGACTGAGGAACATGTTTTTTTTCCCCTTTTAAATCTACTGACTGAAAGTAGAACAATCCATTCAAGGCTACATAAATAAAAATGTAATTTAATGTCATTTAGAGATTTGTGTTTTTTTTTTTTCTTAGAGAGTTCTATCCTGTTGCTTTTGAAATGAAGACTTAGGAAACAAATACTTCTTTATCATTCAGTCCGAAAAAGAAAATAATTCTGTCCTAGGGAAATCAGCTAAGGAAAAGGCATGAGGAAGGGAAAAAGAGACAGAGAAGGAATGCAGAGAGAACCAGGGCACAAGACACAAACCAGATCTCTCAGACCTGCCTCCTGTCCTGCTTCTCGACTTCCCCAGCACACGCATGTCCCACTGTCTTGTCCTCGCGGCCTCTCCACTCAGCGTGTACGCGTTGGCTTCTGGTGAGAGAGGAGGGGAGAAAAGGCAGCCAGAGGGAGACACAGCTGCCTCACCTTTGCTGAGCTGTTGGGTTTTATTGATCTGTTTTGTGTCTGCACTTCGGCCTGTTCTGTCCTGATTATGTCCACTGCTTTGAGTCCTGACCCTTATTTCTGGTCCCTGAGTTATTTTTTCCTCGTGGTTCTGCAAAACCTCCTCTTAGGCTTCTGAGGGTCTACATGTGTTTGCCACACCCTGGAGTTTCAGATTGACTCCAGTATCTTCCTGTCTTTCCAGGTGCTTTGTGGCTTCTCTAGCCAGAACCTAACCCTAGGGTTTTCTGACCATCTTTGTTAGACGCGGCAATCACGATGCCTGCCTCAGCCAGTGCCCGTCCTGAGGGAGCCTGCCTTGGGCAGCCATGTTTTGTTCTGGGTGACATTGACTCCCTACTGGCCTTCCTCATCCCATGGGGGACCTGACCAGAACCCAGGGCAGCTGTGGTGTGGGAAGGCCAGGGGCCTATGAGGTTGTCTGGTGGGAAAAGCTTTGTCCGAATAGGGGAGAGCAGGATAATCAGATTCCTTACCTTCGGAATTCGAACTGGGAAATATGGCCACGATAAGAAAGCAGCAATGTGAGAAGCAGCTGAGAAGTTATGAAGTAGAAAAACGGCAGTGTGGCAAAGAGAAGTGATGAATGAGCAGAAAATGTGAGGTAGGGAAATCATACGCAGAATGAACATAGAATACAACCTTTGAGAATTTGATGAAAGCTCCCTTCCCCAACAGGCAGAATAAATACATACACAATAACAGAATTGTGCAAGTTTGTGGACTCTCTGAGGCCCATGTATGAACCCATATAAGGTTCAAAAAAGCCAATTGAATTTCTTAGGTACAAGGTAAAGCCTTAGTTGGTGAAGGAAAAAGAGACGAGCAGCTTGGGAGGACAATCTCTAGAAGAGGCTTCCTCAGCCTCAGCACTGTGGACATTTTGGACTGGATAATATTTTGTCATAGGGGCTGTCCTGTGTACTGTAGGGTGCCTAGCAGCATCCATGGAGTCTACTCACCAGATGCCAGTAGCAACTCCCCAGTCATGACAATAAAAAGTGTCTCCAGACATTGCCAAATTCCCCTGGGAGGCAAAATTGCCCAGGAGAGAATCACTGCCCTAGAAGTTGACTGAGTCATGCATGGGAGAGGCAGCATCAGGGTGAAGACTCATCAACTGCAGCTGCAGAGGTCCTCAGATCTGGTTTCCCTTCCTTGAGAGGCCCAGTTCCTATTCGTTTCCTGTCTCTGCTACTGACTACCTCCGCCCACCCTCAACCTCACCGGCTCCCACTTTAGCTGGCTAGCCCACGTGAATCTCTACTTTTTACAGTGGTTCTCAAACTTCATCAGAATCACCTAGAAGGCTTGAAACATAGATTGCTAAGCTCCACCCCCAGTTTCTGATTCACAGTTCTGGGTTGGGGTCTGACATTTGGCATTTCTATTAAATTCCCACTCGATGTTTATGTTGCTGGTATCGAGTCCACACTTTGAGAACTATTGCCTTCCAGAAAGAAAAAGAAAAAAAAAAAAGCCTAGCTAATACTTTTTCCTGAGCTCCTCTAACAGAGGCAGATGAGTAGAAGGAGACAGAAAAAAAGAAAAAGTGATGCTTCAATAATGTCTGGTACTCTTCAATTTCTAATGCAGAATACTATCAGCAAACGTTTACTGAGGGTGAGGACGCATGCAATAACACTCTACTTTTTAATCCTTACAGCGACTCAGAGATAACAATAGACATTACGATCCTCATTCTACTCACAAAGAAAACAAGGCTTGGAGAAGGTTAGGGATTGGTCTAAAGACCACATGGGTTGTAAGTGACTGGACTGTAGTTTGAATCCAGGTCTGTTTAAATAAGTCTGAACTTTCTCCACTTTTTAAGACTTTTTTTTAAGCAGCATAACTTTCATTACCTTATAGAAAATCTCATGGAGGATCTCCAAACAGAAAAGAGATAAGAGGAGCTGAAAGGGTACCAGAAGGAGCATGCAGTGAGTTTCAGCCATTTGGCCTCCTGTCCTTTGTGGACATGCTGGAGGCATCACCAGAAAGGTCCAGCGTTCCTAGAAATCCAGTAAGAAAGTTCCTGTCTTACAAATTCTGTCTTCCCATTGGTTCATATATTTCAGAATAATCTCCTTTAACAAGGATATGGTTATCTGATTCATCTACACATTTGAGTGCATATCATGAAAGGTTATTCTCTGATGTCAAAGAAGCATTCAGTCATTAAATAACAAGGCAAGACAAGAAAAGAGATATGGAAATGACACTGTAGTGCTTGGGCTCTTTTAATGGAAGGACACATGCATTTTAGTGGGAATCAACCAGGAGGAAACATTCTTAAATATTAACGTGTTAAAATATTCACGAGGCTGAGGCAGGAGAATCGCTTGAACTCGGGAAGCAGATTCGCTTGAACCCGGGAAGCAGAGGTTGCAGTAAGCAGAGATGGCGCCATTGCACTCCAGCCTGGATGACAGAGCGAGACTCCATCTCAAAGCAAAATAAAGGGTTAAAATATTAAAATGTTTAATTTCATTAATTTCATTTTATAGACTGAAATAGCCATTTGTTCTTATACACACATACTTAAAGAGAGTATAGTTTGGAAAAAATGTTTAAAAATTTAGTGGTCCAGTCTGGCCTGGGTTAGGGCTAAATCTCAGGCTTGAGGCTTAGAGCTATTTGAAAATGTTCGACAAAAATTAGAAGGGCTGCATAGCTAAGAGCTAGAGATGAGCTATTTCAATTCTATGCGAGAATTCTTCAGTAAGAATGGCCTTTTAAAAGATACTTTGGAAGTTTCAGTTTTGCAAGATGAAAAGATTTCTGGAGATGGTTGCAAAACAATCCGATATACTTAACACTGCTGAACTGTACACTTAAGAATAGTTAAGACAGTAAATACTATGTTATGTGTATTTTACCACAATTAAAGAAAATGTCATCATGGTAAAACCACAACATTTTCATTGAGGAGATGGGCAGTCAGGAAGTTTTTTATTTTTTGATTTGTTTGCTGTTTTGTGATGGAATTGCTGTGGAGAGATTGGAATTTATGGAAAACAGGACATGCTTCAAAATGATGCACATTTTGGTTTCATTAGTCATGTGAAAGGCACAAGCCAGTGAGATTCAACTGTGTGATTGAGAAAAACACCCTGTGTAGAGAATCAAAAGGAAGAATATCTATATACTTATTCTGTCTTATTTTCCAGTTTCAAAGATTTAAACTTCATTTTGGTGAGGATACAATAGGGCACCAGTCAAAAACAATACATGGTTCACAGCAGGTTTCTGGATCATTCAGAAATTCTTCAAAGGACACTGTCACTGTTGGAGATTACTTTATTTCAATGCATCTAAGAAGCTATCAATTGTTTTATCTGCTGCCATTACTTTATTTACTACCAAGAAAAAAAATCTTCCAGTTAAATCATGATATGCCCAAAATTATAAGATGTATTCCAATTTCAAAGATAATAAAATGTATTTAAAAAGTTCTTGTCAGGGACTGAGGGGTAGGAGAAAGGACAGATATTGGTCAAAAGGTACAAAAAATAAGGAAAGAAAAAAATACATAGCTTTTTGAAATTTGATATGGGAGAGGGAATATTTTCCATGCAGTTAAAAGGTAAATTTTGTAGGCAGTTGAGCTATAGGAGGTTTGAATAAACATATTAGCCCTATAATTTTATTTTCTTTTTATTTTTTGAGATGGAGTCTCACTCTGTCATCCAGGCTGGAGTGCGGTGGTGCGATGTCGGCTCTTTGCAACCTCTGCCTCCTGGGTTCAAGTGATTCTCCTGCCTCAGCCTCCTGAGTAGCTGGGATTACAGTCGTGCGCCACCACACCCAGCTAATTTTTGTATTTTTAGTAGAGACAGGGTTTCACCATGTTGGCCAGGGCTGGTCTCAAACTCCTGACCTCAGCCTCCCAAAGTGCTGGGATTACAGGCGTGAGCTACTGCACCAGGCCAGCCCTACAATTTTCAACAAGTGCTAATAATAAAATGAATCCTGGTCAACAATTATAAACAAAGAAAAAAGTTCCTCTTAGAATTGAAGATGTGTGGTAGAAAGAAAAAACCCCACATACTATAAAATAATCCAGATACAAACATAAAAATAGGGATTTTCCTAGAAGACGACAGATGTAAGCACATACTTCAAATATTAAAAGGAACCAAACTAAAAGGTTAAAGATAAAGTAATGAAACAAAATGCCCATTATAGTCTAACTTTTATTACTCCATAGAATAATTTGCATCTGAGAGGTGTTTTAATGGAAATGATTTCTCAAAAAGATATGTCTTACCAAAGCCAGTTTGGAAATTGGATATTGCATGTATGTATTTTTTCTTGGTAGCCCATTATCAGTTCTCCTAATAATTTAGGATAAACTTGCATCTCAATTCAAGATTTGCATGGAATGGAGAATAAACTGGAGAATTAGAGCAAATAAAAAATATAGATGTTAAAATATCATTTAGAAATGAGCAAGTAGAGAAAATAAAAGTCTTTGAAGTAATTACATTGGTGAAAATTAAACCACAAACATTAAAAATGTAATTTTTTAAAGAATTAGAATTAACACATGAATTTTCCAATTGACCTCAAGCTTTTAAGAAAATTAAATTAACTATAATGCTCCATCCCAACTTCTGAGCATTATGATTACTCAAGATCTGAGTGAAAAGAAATGATGCGCTATTATGTTCATTATAGGCTGGAAGAACCAGATGCAAGTCTTTAAGGAACTGACTTGATTTGATTATTGGGGTGGCTCCTTATTAGTTTTATTCAATGTAATAAATGAAGAAAAAGGGCTACTGAACTCTATTATTCCTGAAGCTTTTCACTGCAGGCAATACTTTTTCTAGTCTGTAATAATCCTTTTGAGTAGCTGTAAGAGATTTGAGCAACCTTCAAAGTCCATCTGTATTGGCCAGGTTTATAATCAATTGTGGAATTTGGGAAGATACAGCCACCAATCACATAAATCATTCATTCCTGAGAAAATAGACTAGGTAATAATTTGAACACTTCTTGGTTGGGTTGTCTCATCCCTGGATTACAATTTGAATAATTCAACAATTAATTCTCTTTCACAAAAGTGAACACTTACTCTGTGTGAATCTTTCTTGAGAGCTGTAAAGAACACATGCAAAGTGTAATCCTGTCCTTGATGGACTTAGGCCTTATGATGTGGGGGGAGGAGAGATGACAACTGTATACAGTAACTATAATGCAAAGCAGAAAAACATCAGGGCTGCCATTCAGCTGGCTATAACATGCTGGCCAGTTTCTGTTCTGATTGGTCAGTGGCTATGCCAGAACTGTTTTAAATATTTTGAATGTTACATCTGAATAAACTTCAGTAAACAATGCCAGTTGCCTGTCTAACATCCCTTCTCTGTTTCTTCTTTATCAGTACAACCCTCATTTTGCTTAGTATATTAATGTACCCAACTGAAAAAAAAGAACATCTTCCAGCCTCCCCTCCTACATCTAGGGGTGGCCTATGACATAGTTCTGGCCAATAAGATTTAAATAAATTCCACTAAGAACTTCTGGGAAAGCTCTTTCAAACTAAGCCAATTCAGCTGGCCCTTGATTTTGCCTTTTTTGCTATCTTTCTTCTTGCCTGGAGTACAGACTTGAAGCTGGAGATGGGGCAGCTATCTTGGGAACAGGGATGACTGAGAACAAAGATAGAAGGAGTCTGGGTCCCCAACACTGTTGTTTGGCTATTTCATCATTCATGTATTGCTTACATCTGGATTCCTTAATACCTGAAAAAAAAAAACAAACCCCTAATGTGCTTAAGTCCTTGGTTAATTAGGTTTGGTAACTGACACAAAGTGTAACACAATTCTAACAGACACACTATCCTAAGGCTCAGAATTGGGAAATGCCGCATGAATCTATGGGGGTCATGAAAGCACTATGACATGGAAGGGGTTTAAAAGGTAGAATTTCAGATGAGGAGAGAACCACAGACATAATTTTGTTCAATATCCCTATGGAGATGAAAAGACTGAGGCTGAGCAAAGTAGTTTGTCCAAAATCCCACAGCCGGTTACTGGCAAAATGAGGAAAGATTGGTTTTCTTGCTATCTTGAAACAAAAAAGCAACCATGAAGAATGAAAGAATGTGTGGCCATTTGAACAGACAGGTATCAACTTCAGGTGTGTCTAGAAACATATACTGAAAAAAGGCTAATAGTTCAACCAAATGTAAATGATGAAACCAGATGTCATCCTTGAATCATTGATTTCCAATCCTCCCCCTCCCCACACTCTAAGTCTAGTCAATTTTACCTTCTAAGTCTATGCTTTAGGGAGCCTTTCTGGACTATGCCCTCCCACCCCCAACTCCTCATTGGATGCCATGCCCCTGGACCACTCTATCATCCTGCATTCATGACAGCACTTGTTACATTGCGTGTTCATTTTCTCTTAACTGGTTCCCGTCTCCTCCACTCTGTGAGGGCAGGGATCCTGCCCACCTGTGTGATTAGGTACTGCTCAGCACCATGTCATAACTCAATAGCTATTCATAACCCACACTCAGAGTTGGAAAAAATGGCAATTCTCGAATGTTTAATTTTTTCACTGGATGTGAAAATGTTTAAGTACAAGTGACTTTTGGAAGCTTACACCAACCTTCGGCAAATCTCTTCAGCCTATTCAGAAGTGAATAGGTTGGCCAAACAAAAAACCTAGAAATATAGATACCTTCCAAAGAAATTAGCAGATATATAGTATCAGGGCTAGGGCTAAGTGTTTGATGCCTAGGTTGAACTGAATATCACAGAATTGGGGCTTTCTGAAATGGACTTTTCAGGTGGGTTTGCACAGGTTGTGCCAAGCATATCCGGGATTTTTGTGGAATCACCTGGCGATTTTAGATGGGGATGCTGAAGTTATGTTGGGGTTTTAGGAAATGGGGAGAAAGGGGAAGGCAATATTTGCTCTAATGGCACATCTTATAGCCACAACAAGAGAGAAGGCTGCAGAATTATCTAGTGAATTTAATAATGAGCACTTCTAAATATCTAAAGAAACAGTCTTGATTGCCAGTGTGAGCAGGACCATTCTTGAAAGCACCAATTATCTACCCAAAGCTTCTTAATGAAGCTTGAGAGGAAATTACTTGGAAACCTTCTTCATATTCTAAATGCTAAGCAAGGAATAACAGTAAAATTTGGCTCCAACACAAATTCTAAATTCTTTGGTGCAAGATGGTGCACGATGCTTCTTCCTTTTGCAAATTAGGAACAGATAGGCAGTATTAAGCGGCAGATCTATTATGGTGGTGAGGTTACAGAATATTAAATGACAGAGGCAGTTTAGAATAGTGCTATGGCCAGGTTGTCTGGTTTTGATTCTTGGCTCCACCATTTACTTGCTGTGTGAGTTACTTAACCTCTGTGTTCTCATTTTCCTCATCTATAAGCTTGAGTGATAATAGCACCTACCACATAGGACTGTTCTGGGCATTACCTGTAATGCATTTCATGCAAAGTACTTGAGTGCCTGGAACATAATCTCACCCAATAAATGTCAGCTGTCTTCACTAGGTATATTTTAACAGAGTTTCTATAAATTGTTGATATGAACTTACAAGTCTAAAAACAACAAAATAAAAAATACAAAAAAGTTATGATTATGCAAATAAGGAATTTAGAGCCAGAGTCGGCAAACTTTTTCTATAAAGGGCAAGATGGTAAATATTTTCAGCTTTGTGGCCCATAGGGTCTTTGTTGCAACTATAAAACTCTGCTATTGCAGTATGAAGACGACTATAGGAAATATGTTAAAGAATATGTATGGCTGTGTTTCAAAATACTTTATTTACAAAAATGGTTCTAAAACTTTATGAAAATAGACCACTGGCTGTATTTTGCAAATCTGTAATTTAGATAAATGTATACTGCTATTTTCCAGGCAGCACTATCTTCTGGAAACGATAGGTAAATATTCTGTTTCTGTCTGACATTCCTCCCCTATCATCATGATTGACTCCCTCTGATCACCTTATGCAAAGTACCTCCTTACAGACACACAAACCTCGTTTGTTTTCTTCATGGCACATATTGCAATTTCTAGTTATCTGGTATATTTGTTCACCTATTTGTTTTCATTGTCCTCTCACCTAAATGTAAACTTGAGGGCAGGACTCTTAATTCCCAATGCTTATAACAATGACTGATTGATCCATGGTAGCAAAAGAAATATTTGTTAAATGAATGAAAGAATTACTGACCACAAAGAACTTGTATATTCTGACAGTTTAATACATATAAATTAAGTCCTACTCTCAGTAAAACATGTTTATGTATTCACGCATTTCTAAGAAAATGGAGCTATGCATTTGCTTTTAATATGCTAAGTTTATAAAACAGATTTTCTTTCTAAAATCAATGGGCCTTAGAATAATATGAGTATGACAAAAACAAACAAAATTTTTAAAAAACGACAAAAAAAAAATCATGGGCCCGATCATAATTTTTTTCCAGCTCATCCGTTTACTCACTGTTGTTAATTGAAATCATGTGTTCTGTAGACATTTTGCCTTCTCTTAGCTCTAACACTCATTATTAATACATTTCTATTTAAGGCACCAGTTTTGCATTCTTTTTTGTTTTGTATGATGCCACAGATTTTCAACAAGCTTCCAAAAAAAAAAAAAAAAAAACCCAGAACAACAGAACAACCAGTCCCTGAATCAGATACTTTTATCTTTCTTTTGTTTCATGCTTAAGATTTAGCATACTGCTTGACACACAGTAGGTGCTTAATAGATATTTGTAAATGAACAAATGAATGAATCTTTATTGGGGTATTGTAGAACATTCTATAGTAACAGAACAAGTGAAAGGGGCTTTGTTCCCTAGAGATGCAGGTAAACATAGAGAAGAATGTAATTTATGTGTTGTATGGGCACCAGAAAGTGAGAATAGGAGGAATGTAAAATCAAATTTTTAAGTAATTTTTTATTTTAAATTTTAATTTAATTTTTTTGAGGCAGAGTCTCGCTCTATCACCCAGACTGGAATACAGCAGTGGCACAATCTCGGCTCACTGCAACCTCTGCCTCCCAGGTTCAAGTGATTCTTATGCCTCAGCCTCCCAAGTAGCTGGGATTACAGGTGCACACCACCATGCCTGGCTAATTTTTTTTTTTTTTTGTATTTTTAGTAGAGACAGGGTTTAGCCTGTTGGCCAGGATGGTCTCAAACTCCTGGCCTCAAGTGATCTGCCCACCTTGGCCTCCCAAAGTTCCTCCAATTACAGGCATGGGCCACCGCACCTGGCCAAATTTTTAGGCAATTTTTTTTAAAGACATAGGGTCTCACTGTGTTGCCCAGGCTGAACTTCAAGTCCTGGTCTAGAGCCTCTGTCTCTTGAGTAGCTGGGACTACAGGTGCGTGAGGTAACTTTGCCTTTGATTTGCAGCATTTAGAAAAGACAGCCAGAGTTCTGGGAATAAAAAAGAGCAATGGGAACACTGTGTCTCTCAAATTACCATATGCATATTATTTACCAGGGTGGTGAGACAAGTAATGAATATATTAGGAGAATGGTGCTCATCTCCTTTGTATTCGTGATAAAATATCAGCCCTGTCAAATCATCCCGGAGTGAATATTATGAACTGTGGAAAGCTAGTTCTCACATCAGCCTGGTTCAGCAGGCACTGAAAATTGATTTTCACAAACGTTTTATGCTGGAAAAGGGCACAGGAGCCTTCTGACTGCACAGAAATACCCATCTGTTTTTTCTATAATCTATTGCTGGAGCATCCGGTTGTCCTGTGGGTGATTTAATAAAAGAAGAACAAAATGAAGACAAGAAGAGATATGTTTCTCTCCAGGGTCTGCTCCTCCATTAGATGAATCATTGCAAGAAAAAGTGGACGGCCCCTAATTTATGTCTACTGCACACCAAATGACTTCTTTCCTTTCCAGCTAAGGGAAGAAGTCCCTACTCTATGAAACCTTAGGATTGGATGAATCTTTGGAGGTTGCCTTTTCTTACCAAATGCACCCTTTGAAGGTCCTTGTTGTGGTATGCCATACATTAGAGGACTCTTTGAACTTGGCTTGAGGATTTCCATGGCTTTCTCTATGCTTTTGCCCTACTATGTACACACCACCATTGTTGCATTATTGCAACTTAAAAAATGTGCTTGCTTTGCCCGCATGAGAATTAACACAGGGGTCTTAATTTACCTTTGCATCTCTAAAACTTTGCCATGTGCCTAGCTCATGTCAGGCCCTCAACAAATGTTCACTGAAATGAAAGAACAACTAAGAGCTTAATATTTCAAAATAACACCTTTCTTCTCTGGTTAGAAACTTCTTTATAAAACTGCATACAAAATAGTCTGCATTTCTGTTTGTCTATCAGTGACTCAGGCAATTGGAGTTTTTCAAAACATGGCTAATGCAGAGGGTATTTGAATGCTGTTGAGTGGAGAGAGACTTCCCTCCAAATTAATTGTCCCTGCTAATTGCTTTAAGCAGGACTGTTCCCAATAGACGACATATAGTTTCCTTAAGTCACTGGTGGTGTGAACTGGTTGACAAAGAACCTCCATAAATCCTAGTACAACTTCATCATGACCCTCAAATCTACGATGATGGCATTCTTATGAAGCTAGACCTGCTTGGTCACTTCCAGAATCTGGTTCTACCAACCAGTCCTTGTAGGCATTTGATTTGACATATTTAGTAACAACTATTTAGAAAGGACTGCACTAGCTGTCAGGGTGGGGGATATCAAAGAGAGTATATATAGATAAAACAAATGAATTTCATGGCCCCAAGGAGCTCATAGTGTAGGAAGAAACAGGCATCCAAATAAATCAATTGCAATGCAGATTTGTACGTGTACTCTTGGGTGTACTTATTGTTTTCATAACATCCATCTCCTTGTAATGTGTGCATCGTTTTATCACACTGGAGATTAAGTTCCTCTCGTAAAGGCCTTTACATTTTTGAGACTCACTTTTAACAGAGCTCTTTCCAAAGCACTATTGTGTTCAGTACATGGGTGGCTGCCTTACTTCCTAACCGAGGGCTGGGGAGGACCTCCATGTCTCATGCATGCATCATTGTCATCGTTATAACTCCTTCTGAGAATAGGAAGTCAGGAACACAATGGGGCACCCCACAGACTGTCAATGGTTTAGAAATGTGGAGACTTAATTCCTCTCTCTGCAGGAGAGGATGGAGGTTTCAGAATGTCTAGACTTAGAGTGATGAAAGACAACCTCAGTACTTTTTGGAGACAAATGCTTTTGCTGGAGTGACAGCTTAATTACCCAGGCAATCAGGTCAGTTTTCAGAAAATCCAGTTTGTGCTCTTATTTAGCCCTCTAAACCTTTTTGAAGCAAGGCTTCTTTCATTCTTTTGCAAATGAGCTGGAGAAGATGCAAGGAAGATAGATGGAAGTGGAGTTATCTAATTGGGTTGGGAACAGGAATCTACCCACTTCACCACACACACACATACACACACACACATGCCCAACTCCTATCTAAACTCAAGGGCCAAGAATGGGAAATGATGTTGAGGAGGAGAGTAGGATGCTGAACTGAGCTCCACTCTCTCTTCCCAAAATTATCCCATCTACCAAGCCATTAGAGGTCAGTCCATTTTGTCCTACCATAGGTAACTGCTCATACAATTTTATGTTTAATAATTTCTTAAATATCAAACCAGCCAGAAAGGACAGCAAAGATTTAATGCAATAAATCCCACTTTTGTGAGGCCAGTTACTGTACCACTGAAATCTCCCTGAGATTTGCTGCATACTCTAGTATCATTGCTTCCAATTGTTCATGAGCAATATCATTGCCACTTCTCCCCTCATTTCTGGAAGCATGAAATGCCTTCTCAGATTCACAGAGGTCTGCTATATTTCCATCTCAAGAATTATAAAAACACAATTTTAAACAGCAAATTTCTTGCTTTGTTGAAATGAACTGCATATTCATTTCATTCAACCATTTTTCACTCAAAGTAGGAGTTGATAATCAGACAATTTATGTCTTGCAGGACAGAGCTTAACTGGAGGCCAAAGGGTAATGGGACTCATGATAGCTAAAAGCTATGATTGTCCAGTGTTCTCAGGATTCGTTGAGAAAAATGTTTTGTGAAAAATCAGGGCCTCAAAATAAAGAATAAATCCTAAAACAAGAGAGGCAAACTTAAAACAACCACAGTTTAAAAGAACCAGAATATAGAAGAGATTCAAAGTACTATTAATTTTCAGAAGAAAGGCCTTGGTTTATACATGCACAAATATATTCTAGTGCTCAAGAAGCATAGGCAATGATATGCAGCAAAAGAGAAAAACAAACAAAAAAACCAATGATTTGTCAAATTCATATGGTATTTTTCATGCAATCAAATGGAGAACAAGATTGTCACAGGGTAGACGTGTCGGTGGATTCACTATGGTGAATCCATAGAAGAAATTAGAAGAATTAGAAGAAAATTGCTCTTGAAATCTCAGGAGGACAATATATAAAATATATTTATATGTATAATACAGATAGAAAAACAACAGGGAATTAATCATAGGTTTAAGTTTTATACTCATTTGTAAGGCAATGAACTTCAGAGGTGTTTTGGCTAAACTCCCTGAATATGACTACCTTAAGTTGGATAATTTTGCAATCTACCCTTCTAAATATTTCAAACTGTCTTTTAAAAAAATTGCAGTTATTTTTGCCTTAATTATCTAGAAAACTGCTTCAATCTCCACTTCACTTTGTATAATTAATTTTTAGATGTGGGTTAATTATTCCATACAAACCAACAATATTCCAACCATTCAATTTGTGTTGAACTTGGGAGTATAGGGTTTTTGAGAATTGGTGATTTTTGTGCCTGTGTGATGCCAATAAAGGGGGTAGAAGATTCAGTTTCTAGCCTCTCCTAAGGAAAAAAAGGCTTAATTTTATCTGGGGTAGATAGCTACTGTTTTCTGAAAGCTACTATGTGAGCTGAGAAGGGGCAAGGATGGAAGAGAGTGAGCTTTGATACTGAACAGATTTGGGTTGGAATCCAAGCTCTCCTAATTGGTCATGTTAACTTGGACAAACTTTCATTTTAGAAGGTTTAGATTTTTCATCTGTAAGAGAAGAATAACAGCGTTTACCTGATACGATTGTTGCAAGGATTCAATAACTGTAGATGAGCACCTGGTATGAAATACATGCACAATAAATCCTAATTCCTTCCTTCTCTTAGAAACGAAAGGATCTTTGAAGCCATTTATAATAGTTCAAATCTTAATTTTAGGAGACTTTTTTAACTCAATATTTTACAAAAATTTGATATTGCAAACAAGGTAATTCCTAGTTTTAAATGTATCACTAACATTACTTGTACTTAAGTATAAAAAAGAAACAAATTACAGGTACCGTGTAAGTTCTAAGGGGTCTTGGAAGTATATATAGATACAGAATTTTAAATATCAAATATATATATACACAAAAATACACATTTACAGAATTTCTTATATTTTTGAGGACAGATGATCCCTCTTAAGTTTTAGAAGAATGCAAGAAGATGGCCTTGAGAAATACAGCTTTAGGCTGTAAAATAGTGCCTTGGACTCTAAAGCACCAAATAAATAAAGTTCATAATCTTTATCTGAAATTCTTGGAAATCAAAATGTCGAGTTGCTTAGTAACTATTTTAGTATAATTAGTAAGCAGCTCTGTGTACATCTGACCAACTTTAAAAGACCCAAGATTTATTACTGTGGGAGTTAAAGTTATCAGAATGTCTATTATCAGTTTTGTTTGTGGTTTTGAGAGCATCTTTATTTCTTCTGACTCAGCCAAATGTGGTACTCCAGATCTGAGGGTTAACTGGCTGACCTAGTTTGGAAGACCTAAGGAAGCTGTATAGTTTTAGCAAATTAAAACCTTTGATAATAATAATATTGTTATTAATAAAATTGTGCTCCATTTGATAATAACCTTTGATAATAATAATATCCAGTTTTCATGCAGCTCACACATATGATACTGCAATAGAGTAGCAGACAACTAAGCTTCTTATGGAATTTCTGATAAGTGTTGTTGCCATTTTAAGGTGCACTTCAAAAGGTAAGGGTCTCTGCTAGAGAGTCTTAGTGACTCTAATTTATAGTTTTATCATCTACTTGTTTATTTAAACACATCTTAAAGATACTACAATATTTGTAGTGTGTGCCTCCAATAAATGCCATTGTATTTCCTACTATTTGCCTTCAAGTCAGAACTTGACCCAAGATATCAATAATTTAGACCTTTTCAGTGGGATATTTCAAAGCATGATTTGGTACATAAATTAATCGAGAGTAAGAGTGATTTTCTACATAGCCAAAACCACCCAGGAAGATAACTACCTAGTCTTTTTTTTTTTTCTGAGACAGAGTTTCACTCTTGTTGCCCAGGCTGGAGTGCAATGGCGCAATCTCAGCTCACTGCAACCTCTGCCTCCTGGGCTCAAGCGATTCTCCTGCCTCAGCCTCCCAAGTACAGGCGTGAGCCAGTGCGCCTGAGTAGCTGGGATTACAGGCATGCGCCACGACGCCCAGCTAATTTTGTATTTTTAGTAGAGACAGGGTTTCTCCATGTTGGTCAGGCTGGTCTCGAACTCCCAACCTCAGGTGATACGCCCACCTTGGCCTCTCAAAGTGCTAGGATTACAGGCGTGAGCCACCACGCCCGGCCACTACCTAGTCTAAAATAGTATTCTTGCTTCAGTCTATCATAGAGCCCACTTCTTTCTCTTTATTCTTTCTTACCACAGAGTGAGGATTGTTCTATGGTTTTCCATCAGAAACACATTTTTTTCTAATTGAAGACTAAAGCACAAACAGGCCCCAAACAGCTCCTGATGGTTTTTGTTGCGGTCATTGTTGAAATGCAACGATGGGCTCTGCTTTTGGAAAATAAGAGCCTTCTGCCTAGACTTACGCATTCTTTGCAGCCTTGATATCTAAATTTCCTTTAAAACAACAACAAACAGAATTGTGCTGTCAGACTAATTATGCATGATAACTCTAAGATGGATTAAAATGATTTAATTTATAAGACAGTTAATTGCCATGCAGTATTGAATTAAACCATCTACATTTTCTGGAAATACAGCTGCGTGCTTAATAGTGGGTCATAAAGTTAAGGCCTACAAGGGGAAAGATATATGATAAATATTGGAAAGATATTGAAAGACATATGATAAATATTTGACTGACAGTAGTGCATGAAAACCATAAAATGGGACCATAGGAGGTAAGAATAGGAAAAAAAAATCTTATTTCACATGCCTTAGAGGAGACAGGACAAAGTCGGAGCTGAAAGAGACATTTTCTCCCCACAATAATCAATGACAAAGCATCTGAAATTTTAGTTTTCTAGAGTGAATTATATGGTGTTTTGGCGGGGAGCAGCTGCATTCCCTCCAGGAACAAGCTACTGATAGTTGCTAATAGTAGGCATATAAAACATCTTTGTTGGATGGATGAAGGAATGAATAAAATGATTTGATAAAGGGCAAAAATCAGAATTGAGGGGAATTATAGGGTTTCACCACGAGGCAATATCTCTGAGGCTATGGTAAACAATATTGCTATTTACCAATATTTCTAGCTCTCCTTCCTTTCTGGGTACACAGGAGGGCCATGCTTGCTCTACTGAATTTGGGCATGGCTATGTGAGCCATCAAATGTAAGCAGGAGTGATATAATTCCCTTCCAGCTGGTGGTTTCTAAGAGTAGTGTGTGATCCTCCATACTACTCTTGCCTCGTAGCAATGGTTGTGGAATCATGAGTTGATATGGAAAAGCTGTAAGATGGAAGCAGCAGCTTGGATTGCTAAGCCAACAAAAGAACAGCTGCTCTGGAGAATTGCCTAGATTCACAGCAGACTTTGAGCAAGAAATAAACCCTTGTTGTAAGTCAATGCATGGAGGAGGGTATATTTCATAGATGAGCAAGATGACCAAGAATAGCTTGCATACAACTTCTGTGTGAATTTGACACTCTCCCATCCACAGGTGGAGTCTGTCTCCTCTTCCCCTTTGATCTGGGTGGCAAAAGTGATGCTGCATGACCACCAAGACTAGATCAGAAAAGGCCAAGTAGCTTCTCTTAGAGCATCCATTGTCTTGGAATTCTTTTCTCTGCATGCTCCCTCTCAGAATCCAGCCACCATAGAGCCAAGGCTCCTGAGAGGGTTCATGTATAGGTGCTTTTGTCAAGAGCCCCAACTAATCTGAGTCATCCCAGCCAGGCACCAAACATATGAATAAGGAAGCCTCCAGCTGATTTCAGTTTCCAAGCCATTTGAGTGTTCACAGCTGAGAACCCAGACATTACACAACAGACATAAGACCACTGTGTTGTGTCTTATTTCCTAACTCACAGAACTTGTGAGCACAATCAAATGATAGCTGTTTTAAACAAATTTTGGGGTGGTTTGTTATAAAGCAACTAGTTGACCGGAACAAACAGGTTGGGCTTGTTTGTTACCACACCGTAATTTATCCCATCATAATAGAAAGGTGTTTTTCAGAAATTCACAAAGGGTACATAACAAAGTAAGATGAAAAATACTATTTTCAGTTTTTTGGTGTTAATATCTTAGTGGTATCAACCTTCTAGGGAAGTTATACAGGTATAATCCGCGTGATCCATTCTCCTTAACTATAAACCACATTTCCAATGTCTCATTCACGTATGTAAGCTTTTGTAAACTGAATTCACTGGGGCATAGCAATTTTTACTATTTTATCCAGGCAGATTTATGCTACAAATAACTGTCCCTCAAGGAAATAAATGGTATATTAAAAGATATTTATACATGGTAAGACGCATGAATAAAACTGGGAGGCTTATATTGTGGGATGATTTATGTTTCAGAAATAGGTGGTGCCTAAGCTATTACTACATTATAAGCAGGTTTCAGATATTGCCATGTAGGTTGAGAGACTTAGTAAATATTGCCCCTCCCACCTTCAAATCATCACAAAAAATTTTAGCATAGGAGATTGCCAATACTGTACACAACAGTAATAGTGATTAATTAGCTGACTTTCAAGGTTCTACACCTCTAAAGACAAATGGACAACATGAACCCACACTAGTACAAGTATTGTCTAAGTAAGCTCTAGTTCACTGCTTCTTAATTAAACTTTGTAGGCCAGTTTCATTCTTCACAATATATTGGGAGTTATGTACCCAAGAGAAACTAGAGCATGCATATTTTTAGTTTGCAGAGAAGTCAAAATAAATATCCAACAAAAGAGAAAAACAATCCAGAGCAAGGAACTAACCATCCTCTGAAGACAGTGATATACATGATCATTTCATGTCATTTATTTCTCACTCACAGCAACAATCCAGGCAAAATGAAGGGAAGTGGATAAAGGCCTCTGCACTGGGGTGATGTGTACATTTCCTAAGTATCACATGACTTAACAGGTGCAAGCTGGCAGGCATGGGACTTGGTATCCGTAAGACCTGGAATGAAATTGCAGTTCCTCTTACCATGCTGTTTGACCTTGAGCAAATAACTTTTGTATGCCTTAGTTTCCCTCTCTTTGATATGGAGACAATAATATTGATCCTTCAGGGTTATTCTGAATAAGGCAAATCATGTATACAAAGTGCCTGGTATATCATAAGCACTTAATAAAGGATGGCTATCATTATCATATTTTAATAAAAGAGATGATTAGTAGCGATCCTTCCAACACAAAGCTAAACAGATTAAATAATCTTTGGATTACAAAATCTAGCAGTTAATTTGCTTCTTGATAACTTGCTGAGAGAACTACAATTTGGATTCTAGGTGAAGTCTTTACAATGTTCTTTTGTCTTGCCTTCTCATGTTGCCCCCCAGGCCAATTCGTCTGGGATTGTCTCTCTCAAAAGATATGTAATGATCAGCTTGAAATCTGCCTGTCCAGATCTGTGGGCCAGAGATTTAGACCCTCATCCTCAAGGCCTTATTCCTCACAAAAGCCATATGTAAAACTGGCTGGTAAGTGGTAATTCCCTTCTGGGCTTTCGTCAGTGACACTGAAATGATTGGTATTATATAACAAGCAAATAGAGGAAGTGATTTGCAAGCCAATTATTCATACACACAGCTAGTGTTGCATTCTAAGAAATTCTTTGATTTGCTCAGGGTAGGTTGCTGCTTTTCTGAGTGTCGTTTCCCATTTCTTGCTCATTGCTCTGCCAACTGTTCCCCACCATTGTACACACACACACACACACACACTGCACACACTACACACACTACACACACACACACACACCCCATTGTTATTTCTGCAAGGCTACAGGAAGTCAGCTGCTTTATGCCAGTGCAGTCTTCTAGACCCAAAGATGATGGGTGCCCATTTGGTCCTGAGAAGGATCCCAACCCCAAATGTCATCCCAGTTTGCCTTATTTGCAGCAAAGTCTCTTGGTAACCAGGATCCTTGCCTCCAGAAAGAGCCCACTGGACAGATTTCAAAACCAATCGCACAAAATAGATGATTCCTTTAATTGGTTTTGATAATAATTTTCTCAGATCCCAGAGGATACGTCAACACCTTCAAATAACAGCAGCTTACCAAAATGGGATTCCAAAGTTTAAGATTAAATAAAATATACTTGAATATATTTCCTAACTGAATGGAAGGAATAGTTTCTAGGTAGAAAACTCATAGAATTATAGAACTGTCAAGCTCAAAGACCTCTGAGAAGTCAGAGGCAAAGGTATCTGACTTCTTGTTTTATATTTAAGGAAGCAAGGACTCTGAAAGCTTGCACTGGATGCTCAAATAATTCAAGGCATAGAAACTCTTGGAGGCTCTGAAAATGATCTCTCAACTATTTTAGTGCCTAAATACTTTTTGATACATCTCTAATTTTGTAGTTATTTAGTATCACACTGTCCTTCCTATTTTTTAACTTATCTATTTATGTATTTATGATCATCATAAAGGATCTGAGGTCAAGTCCTTCATATTTGAAGAAATATTACTGACTCTAGTGAGGTTGCAGAGAAAAAGGAAGGCTTTTATGCTGTTGGTGGGAGTGTAAATTAGTTCAACCACTATGGAAGACAGTGTGGCAATTCCTCAAAGACCCAGAGGCAGAAATACCACTTGACCCAGCAATTCCCTTACCGAGTATATACCCAAAGGAATATAAACCATTCTATTATAAAGATACATGCACACATATGTTTATTGCAGCACTATTCACAATAGCAAATACATGGAATCAAGCCAAATGCCCATTAATAATAGACTGGATAAAGAAAATGTGGTACGTATACACCATGGAATACTATGCAGCCATAAAAAAACGAGATCATGTCTTCTTCAGGGACATGGATGGAGCTGAAAGCCATTATCCCCAGCGAATTAATGCAGGAACAGAAAACCAAACACTACATGTTTTCACTTATTAGTGGGAGCTGAATGATGAGAACGCGTGGACACATTGCAGGGACCAACACACACTGGAGCCTGTCAGGGGAGGGGGTTCAGGGGAGGGTGGGCACCAGGAAGAATAGCTAATGGATGCTGGGCTTAATACCTACATGATGGGAGGATCTGTGCAGCAAACCACCACGGCACATGTTTACCTGTGTAACTAACCTGCACATCCTGTACATGTACCCCTGAACTTAAAATAAAAACTGAAGATAAAAAATATTAAATCATATGAATAAATATACATTTACAGCTTTTATAAAAACATGTTACTAACATGCGGGAATGCTTGTTTTTTGAACTGCTTTCTCAATAACAGTGATAGATCTACACTCTCTTGTCTGATTCATGTTGTAATCAATTCTACTCATTTGTGAAGCTGAGGTGAGGTGTGTGGCCAAGAAACAGAGGGAAGTTAATTTGTATACACATGCAAAAAGAACACCTTATTAATTTCAGAATATAACCAATTGAGCTAACTTGTTTCACCTCTTTGATCACATAAGCCACAGCTAAAAAAAAAACCCATCGACTATTGGGAGCAAGGAAGAACAATGAATAAGGGTATGAATTATAATACCCTTGTAAAACCAAATATTTGTTTAACAAAACTTCTGTTTAAAATGGAAGCCGTTGGTTCTTAACGATACCTGGGACTTGGATGCCATTTCACAGTTGATGAAATGGGCAGCCATCACCTTTAAGACATAGAAAGTGAGAATTCAAAGGATTAAAGGAGTTACCGGAGATTCCAAAGCTAATAGAAGTCACTCCCAGGGCGTGAAGCTAGAACCAGGGCTTATTCCATTGCAACATGGTAGTTTTAGGCTCTCACCTTTAGAAAAAAGGTACAATGGCTTACAAAGGTACTTCTAACTCATTAATAAAATAAAATTCAAACAAAAGATAATTCATGATTTCACAAACAGTTCTCTCCCGCTGTAAATATTAATGACTGAAAAATATATAAATGCACACAGTTTTACAGATTGTTTGCATGGGCAGAACAATACAAGTTCATCTTCCTTACTTTGTAATTTTTTTTAAACCATATTTCAAATCAGCCAGGTGCTTATTTTGATTGCCACCTGTAATACAGTTTATAAGTGTGTTTACTGCCATGTTACCAAAGAACAAAGTAATTTAAAATGTTGTCTCCATCTCTCCAGTTGCTCAAGATAAAAAAAAAAAACAAAAAAAAAAACAAAACCAACTTTGAATCATCCTTGATTTCCCTCTCTCTCTCATTTACTCCAATCCAATCCAATGATGAATCCTGTTGACTCTATCTTTAAATGAGATTTTTATAAATGCAATTTCCTCTCATTTTCCTTACTTGCACCACCGAGGTCTAAGTGATATTTGCCTGGATAAATGTCTGCGTTAGCCTCCCAATGGGTCTCTCCACCTCTCTCCTTGCCCTTCAGTTTATTTTTAATACAGGAGCCAGAATACTTCTTTTAGAACGTAAGTTAAATCATACACTTTTCTGCTCATAAGTGCTTACCATCTCATTCAAAGTAAAAGTCAAAGTTATACAATGACCTACAAGACTCTCCAGGATCTGGCCTCCAGGCATCCCTCTGAAATCACCTCCTACCAACACTTTCCTCACACTTGTGCCATTTGGCCAGTATGGTCTCCTTGATGCTCCTGAATGTACCGGGCAGGTTCCTGAGGTCAGGGCTTATGAACTTGCTATTCCTGTTGTCTACAATGCTCTTCCTCAAATGACTTCCATGGATTGCTCTCTCAGATATTGTGCTCAAAGTTATCATGTCTGCAAGTCCTTTACCAGTTCTGCCTTTTGACCTAGGTTGGAAGGGATCTCTCTCCTCCAAACTTCTAGACAACATTCTGAGTACCAAGAGCTCCTGCCCCTGTGGCCCTAAGCCCACTTGCAAGACATGCAGACTGTGAGATGAAACCTCATGGAAGAATTACACATGCTGGGTGGGTCTGCTTTTCACTAAAGCTTCCTCAAGTCTTGTGACTATACTATTTCTCCCAGGATGTCTCGTTGCATCCTTAATTTAGCTCCTAATTCAGAGCTAAGCTCATGGTCCAGAGCTTGAAACAGTCCATGAGCTTGGCTTTGAATTAGGAGCTAAATTAAAGATGCAATGAGATATCTTGGGAAAAAGAGTGTAGTCACAAGACTTGAGGAAGCTGTTGTCCTGCCTGAGAGTTCTGTCCCTAGATACATCAACACGAGGCTATTCTTTTCCTGCAGGCAGTCCTTCAAAGTTTTCCTTTATGGAAACTGTATGTAGCTGAGGCCAGAGCAATATCTTATATCTGAAATATGCACTTCTTACCAGGTCTGAGGGCAAACTCACTGGTGGTCCAAATTTATATCAGCACAATATCCTCTTGACTTCCTATGGAAGGCCTAGATTTTGTGGGGAGTGGACATCAGGATACTTCAAGGGGGCTGAGGTATAGATGCTACTGTATCCATCCTGACCACCATTTCCTGGTTGATGAGACAACCCCTTCCAGGGAGGACTTGCCCTCCTCCCTTAACAGAGCAGAGTTTTGTGGCTCTTCGGGGTTGCTTATGCCATATTCAATGTAAGCCCAGAACACAGATGAGGAAGCTCAGCACAGGGTTATGGCATGTCCACACTGGACAGGGCCGTGGGTCCTCATTCATTCAACACTTCCTTCTACTCATGGAAACCTGAAGTTCCAAGAAGACACTCTGGCATCTACTTTAAGCACACATACCCTCATCCCCTCGAAGTCAGTGAAAAGCCTGAAAAGGCAAGGGAAAAAACAAATAAATAAAATTCTCTTTCATACTCGGAACTAAAATTTCCCGTCTTGAAAAGACATCTGTCTTCATATTTGAATACTACTTTGGGTGAGTTTTGGCAGCCTTTAAAAGGGCACCTTTAAAAATACTTTTTTGTGTGTGTTCCAGCTAATATCTTCTTCCCAGCTGAGAAATCTGATTTTCAATTAATACATTAAAAATTTGTTCCTTTCTTGCTGTGTTCTAACCATGGTATGAAGCTCCCTCTATAAGCCAAATTTATCTGCTAGCCTCACACTTTGAGTATTTAGAGAACCTGTGGGTTGTGCTGAAAATGGCGGTCCTTTTCTCAAAGTCAGGTCAGGCAGGGATGTTAGCACTGGCATCCAAGTCTTTGCACTGTCTATATTCTCACAATAGCAGAGGAAGATGAATGCTCTTATTCCTGTTGTCTTTGGTCCATGAAAGGTAGACCACGAGCACCCTGGGCAGGCATCACAGTCTACTGAAATTGCTCGTATGCCTGCTGTTTATATGTTGTCTTCCTGAACTAGACCATGTGTGTATTGAGAGCAGGAGAGGGTCTTTTTGGCTTGTGTTATTTCCACTTACAACGCAGTGAAAGGAAGGAAAGAAGATTATCAGGGAATAAAGAAGGAATCCAGAAATGTCTAGAGATAACTGATGATTCACAGGGTGGCTTCTGATTTGCTTACTGTTTATAAAAGCCATATTCATATTAAGTACACAAGAATAATTTACTAGCATAGTGCACAGCTTTGAGTTTTATGTCTGTCCCACATTCTTTCATTTTCAGAACTTCCTTTTGCTTACTCCCCATGATTCGAGTGGGACTGTTAACAGGCTTACCTTGCCCAATGAAGGGTGAATATGTGCCCCTTGCTGGCACGTATTGAGAGTATCCAAGTGAGAGTATCCAAGCCCCTCTGGACTCTGCTAAGTCCAAGAGTGAGAACATGACTCAAGCAAGGACGGTGGCTTCTTTTTATGGAGACAGATGCTGGGAGACAATCTCTTTCCTTCTGGGACCGTGAGCTGCAAGGAACTTAGGAGCCTGGAAAGGCTGGAGCCCGTCTTTCATTCCACATGGAGAAAGCTTATCAGAGCAGGATGTTAACACAGAGGAAAGCAGAGATAAGAGAGAGGAAGGGAAGGAGAGATGGTAGCTGCTGCTTGAACACTGCATGCAATTATGTCTGAAGATCAATCCAGTGAGTTCAGACTTTTGAGCTAATTATATTTATTTATAGATTTATTTTTGCTTAGCTCTGTTTGAGTTAGGTTTCTGACACTTACAACCAAAAAGTCTTGATAACAATGACTACTATAACAAGTAACAATGAACCAGCACAAGTGATTGAGTGGGGTGTCATGTTCTACAGCATGGAAAAAGCAATACGAATCAGGGTTCCTGACCTCATGGAAGAGATCTGGATTACAGTTCTAGTGACACACTCATAGCCCCTCATTCTGCACTGGCTCCAGCCAAAAGTCACCACTGTGACAATTTTTGGCATCCTTCGGCCTTCTTTTGGCCTCCAGAGAACGATTATGGCTCTCCTTTTCCTTCTAAGGGTACTCCAATCAAGATAGGAAAAAAAAAAAAAAAAAGGAAATAAACACGAAAAAGAAAAAAGCATTTTCCTCTTGGCTTAGACCCATTGGCCCCATCCAAGTCAGAAAAACTACAGACCTGCATCTGCTTATAACCCAGAAAAAACTAGAGTGTCACCAGAGAGCCCTCCACTCTACTGATACAAATAAACAGTGTCAGCGGGACAGAAAGTCCTTGAATTTCAAGGGAATGTTTGGCCGTTAAGCAAGCATGTTAAGTTAGCAAACAAACCAGGCCTATCCAAGCAGTGGGCCACCAGAGCTCAGGCAGACCCAAGGAATGTGGCAAATTCCTTGAGGCAGCTGTTTTTATAGAAACCCAAGTAATTCCTTTCATTGTAACAGTTTAGTTCATGATCTTAGCATGGAGTTTGGGGGCATTTTCTGTATTTTCCACTAAAGCTATGTTAACAAGCAAAATTTATACTTTCTTTTGCCCTCTGTTATCAAGTGCAACCCAAGCCACCAATACTTGGGACAATATCACTGGCATTTGTGGCTGGGTCCGCATTTGTCAGAAGGAATTCTTCTCTTCAGTCCTTTTCTAAGTTAGCCCTGGAACTTTAGTCATACCTAGAATGACTTTTATTAAATAAGGCATGTTAGAGATGAAATATAAAAGTGATCCAATTTTACAGTCTAATGTGACAACACTCTTGCAGGGGAAAAGTGACTGAGGTGTAGAAAGGAGCCAGAGAGGAAGAGCATTACCCAAGGTACAGGATCAATTCTCTCATGGGCTCAGATGTGTTACTCTATAACAGAGGCAGGCAAACTACTGCTCTGGACCAAATCCAGTCCACCACCAAGCTAAAAATGATTTTGACATTTTTGAATAGTTGAAAACAATTAAAAATGAAATATTCTGTGACATGTCACAATTGTATGACATTTCCATTTCAGTGTTAATTCATAAAGTTCCACTGGAACACAGTCATGCCTATTCCTTTCTATGGCTGCCTTCATGCTACAATGACACAGTTGGGTAGTGGGTGAAAATGCCTTTGCAAAAATTGTATCAGTGAGAAAATTATGGCAGTGAAGGAGATCTGATTTAGCCATCTCTGCTCTTACCTTTAGTGGTCAAGCTGCCTTAATTACTCCTGGGCTGAGGCCAAGATAACTTTGGAAGACTTTTAGGTTATGGTTTAAATGATAATAGCCCCTCCCCAAAAGTCAACCACCTTTGTAAAGCCATGAGAGAGCCCCAGTCTATGGGGAGGAGAGGAGCCTGAATTCTGCTAAGGTGTAGGCTGGTCACAAGATATGCAAATTCCCCAATTACTCCTGCAGATAACATCACTATTGCAGATTGGCCTTTTGAGATATGTTTTCAGGTTTTTTGCATGTCTGACATGGTTGGCTCCACTTGTACCAGATGGCTTCACCCGGACCTGCCAAATCACCCTTAGGGCCCCACCTATAAGTGAATCAGCTCAAGAGGACAGCTTTGACCCCTTACGATTTCTTCTCCGCTTCAACCAATCAGTGGAAAGCACCCATTTCCTAGCCACCCCCACCTCTTCCCCTAAACTGTCTTTGAAAAACCACTAGCCCACAAGCCTTCGATAAGACTGACTTGAGTAATAACTCTGTCTCTCACATGGCGTGGCCGGCCTTGTGTCAGTTAAACTCTTTACTGCAGTGCTGTGGTCTTTGTGTAGTGGGCAGGAAGAACCCATTGGGTAATTACATTTTATAGAGGCCATTTAACCTGCAAAAGCAAAACTACTTCTATCTAGTCAATTACAAACATAATCTGCTGACCCTTTCTCTACAAAGATCTTTCTTTCAAGACTATTGATTATATTGCTATCCCTTGGAAGACATCAGAGAAGCATAAGATACAATGAAAGAGCAAGTAGAGTTGTCATCCTGGCTTCATTCCCAGTTACCTGCGCAACCCTAGAAAGTGATTTAACTCTTGTCGGTCCTTACTTCCCTCCTGTAGTACCTTATTTTAGAGCTGGTAATAACTTCATTTCAACTCTAAAAATTATTTGATCTCACAAAAGCCTGGTTGCAAAGGGATAGGTTGGATGGTTGGGAGCACATTCATCATGACCAAAGATTAATACTAGGAAAGAGGCCTAGGCAGGATCTTGTTCTACAAAAGAATACAGCATTGTTGTTTTATGAGGCATCCTGATCCCTAAAAATCACAACTCTATCCACATGACTTTATTTTCAAAACTGTGGCCATAATCACAGAAGCAAAGTGAATTCAAAAATCAAAGGACCCAGCTGGATTCCAACTTGCCAAGTACTTTGTCTTGAAAATATCTGATCATGGTGCCAGTAAAAGGAGATGCATTAATCTGGAATAATCGGTGAGGTTCCTTGCTTCATCAGGCAAGTTACTTTTTGTTTTCTCAGAGGGTAGTGTTGGCTTGCATTATCTGGATAAATGCCCCGACTGTCTTTTTGGATCGGCTAATGAAGATCTGGCTAGAGCCAGTATGCTTGGCAGCCCAGATACACGTTGGAAAATAAAACTTGCACAGAAGATAATTTTACAAGTGTTAGATTCTTTTCCTTGTGAGCCTTAAAACACTGTCGATCCTAGTTCTTTTCCAAAAGTCTTGTGAGACAGAAAAAGCTTGAGGTTTGTCAGGTGATACTTTTTAAAGCCAATTTTCCAAGGCTTTAAAAAACTTGAGCTGCTATGGATTTAGCACTTAATCATATTCATCTGTGGACGTGATTCACAGTCACAATAAATAGCTGCCGCTTTTCCAATGAGTCCTGTGCATCAAGAAAAATCCTGGGCATTAAATTCTAACATTTGTCACAAGACCTGCCAACCCTTATCCTTTCCAGTAACAAAAGACTTGTCAATGATTATGGTGAATTAAGTTCTGGTTACAACATAAGTGTGGCACACAAGAAAATCTATCTATCTTAGCATTACTATTTTGTAAACTTCAATGTGATTTCACCTTTCTGCTGGATCAAAAAATATTTTATATTCAAGATTGGCTCCCAAAACAAACCACAAAGTTTGAGTAGCTCAAATTCATAGGGCTCAACATTCTTTCTACCAAAAGGAGCTTCTTGGCCTCTAGGGTGTATTTTGTATACTTTTTATCCATAATTTGAGGAAATATGTACAAGGATTTTCCATTCAAAATAAGTGGGAATACAAAAGTAGCATAAGAATGAATTTTACCGGATTCTTATGAAACTATGTGAGCACACTAAGTACGTAATCACATACATGCCCTCCGAAGAGATTGCTACTTGGGACTGCAGTCTCAGAATGCAAGCCTTCTCCAACAGGAGGGTCAGAGCTGAGCGGGATCTCAGAGATAAGCTGGTCCAGTTGTTTCATACCCCAGATGAAGAAAGGGAGGCTCTGGAGGGGAGCAACAGGTCTGAGTGAGCAGCTCACTGGCTGCAGAACTGGATCCAAGGTCTACCTCTCCACATGCCTCGTCCCTGTGTCTCCCGGGCAGTTTCCTCTATCCTGTCTCCATTGTGACCCCTTGTAAGTAAAATGATTCACTGTTTTAGAAATCATTGCCTTGTGAGTGGAAGGGGAGTACGTTGATATATTCCAATGGACTCCTTGAGTTAATTTGCCTCTATTTTCTGCCAGTGGATCTTGTTGAATCACACATACCTCTGCAACTGGGAGTCCTTTTGAGACAGCCAGGTGGGAAGGCGGTTCCCAGAAAACTCCAACCGACTTGCGCACTGGGAGGAATACACACTGGGGTGGAGCCACAGAAGTTTGCTCTGCTGGCAGAGGGGAGGAGTCTGGCCCCTCCTCTTCCTGGGTGGCACCTGGGATTCAACCTGTGAGGTGGGAAGTACTCTAGCAGGGACTCTGGCTTTGGAGAGGGCCCCTGTTTCTAATTTCCCCATTTTTGCCCAATAAATTTCATTTTTCTCCCCCTCGAAATCGTCTGTGAGCCTAATTTTTCATGGCCGTGCGACAAGGACCTGGCTCTTCGCTGAACTAAGGAGGAAGTCCTACCACACTTTGCTGTTATTTGCACTAGCAGACAACGAGTCCCTAAGTCTTCCTGAAAGCCTGCCAGAATGATGTGGGATTTACTTTGCCTGAACATTAGGACTCAGCAAATCCAGAGGAATGCCATTTCATGAGGAGCAGCTAGGATGCGAGATAATGACAAGTGAATTGTGCATTCAGGCTGCATAAAAGAAAGGCTTACATTAGAACATGAGTGGAAGGAGTGAGGACAGTGGCTTTTTAAATTTCTATTCACTGCTGGTATTATCAGAGTGGAATTTGCAAGGCAAAGGGTCAGAGACATGGTAAGTGCTACAGGGAGATGTATTTGACTAAAGGAAGTATATGTATTGCTGAAATTGTACATGTAAATTGAATAATAGATTTCAATGATAAATTCAAGGAAGGCTTATGTTAATTTCTTAATCCTTCTCAAGTGCCTACATTTTCTAACTTTTTAAACATCAACTTTCTCTGGCCCTAGCATTCCTGAGAAGTTCATTTATTCATGCATGCAGGCATCAAGTATTCACTGATTGCTGACTATGTAGAAGCAGTGTACTAGAGACACTGTGACAAATAGATGGACTTGGCTGCTGATGAAATGCAACCCAAGTAAAGGTACCAGGTTAAGGTAGACACACTATATGACTAGTTGGTAGGAAGCTCTGGCAATTCATATACTGAAAACATGTGGCTGAAAGCCTGCTTATTGAAGCTGAGGTTTGAGATAGAACTAAATAAGTTTTTAGCTATTTTAAGCCGTCAGTCACGTCATTTTTGCTTGGAATAATTCTTCAGATTGGATTAGATATAAATAACTGTCCACGTCTCCTTGGCCACTTGCCTTAGTGGCTTTACTAAGTACATGATTACTATTCAAAGACTATATAAAGAATGGAAACTTATACAACCAATTAGCTGATATCTGGGGCTTACAATCTAGTGGAGGACACAGGCAAGAAACAAGTAAACCTGATGACAAACATAATAATTATAGGCAGTGGTAAGTTCCAATAATACCCAACAAAGCCAAGAACAGTTTACTAAGGGTGCTCAGGGAAGGGATCTCTGAATATGAACCATGTAAAGCTTATACATAAAAAATGCAGAGGAGTCAACTGCTTGAGATTCTCAGAAAAGGCATTCCGGGCAATGAAAATAGCAAGCACAAAAAGTCTCAAATCGAGAAAGCACTTCGATTGCTTGAGATGTTGAAAAGGCAAGCATGGCTGCAATATATGAGAAATGGAGTCTGGTATAAGACTGGGGAGGCAGGTAGGGGCTGAATGCATCAGGGTCTACAAGTGTGGATTTTCTTCTAAGTACACTGAAAAGCCACAAGCGTTTAAATTAGTGATACAGATTTTAAAATATTATTTTGGCAACTGTGTGTACAATGAAATGGAGAGAGACAATGGAAAAAAAATAGAAGCAGTGGAACCAGGCTGCTGGAGGACTCAGTCCAGTTCAGAGTTGATGCCAGGATTAGGATGGTAGCGGTGGAACTGGTGAGGACAGGTAAGACTTGAGATATATTTCAGGGACAAAGATTTCAGGGATAAGATTTGCTAATAAGATTTGATAAGATTGAAAGAGAGTAATCAAAGATGATTCCTAAGTTTCTGGTTTGGGTCTCTGTGTTGAGGATGGTCCACTTACGAATGAGAGGGAAATAAAGAGTCCCCTTAGTACATTTACATTTAAAATGTCAGTTAATGGGTGACTTATTAAAGTTTTATAACTGCACATTTCCTGAATTAGTTTTTACCTAAGCAGTTCTACAATGTGAAGACTTAGAGACTCAAGGAGAATTCTGCTGATCTTTTCTTGGGATCAAAAATTACTCTGGATGACTTTCCCAGGTGTTCTGCTCTTCCATCAACCACCACTTTGCCCTGCCCAAATCAGTGCAGCATCCTACTATAGGAACAAAAACAAACAAGAACTCAAAGCGGGTAAAAACACCAGCAATGAACACCTGCATTCCATGTAGCTGCATAACAGAGACTCTCTGATTAACTCTATCGTTCTTTACCGAATGGCTCACCTTTGAACAGTTTCTCTGCATTGTACCAATAGGCAAGGAGATAGCAAGTTACACCATTCAAAAATTGCTACTGAATGGAAATAATGATTTCTTCTTTTACACAAAGGTTCTTTAGGTGTTCTCAGGAAGTAGAACCACCTATTTCATTTGAGATGTCTATTGAAAGGGGTTTTTGATGGTTCTGTTCAAGCCAATTTATTTCTATGGACTTATTTTCTTAGGTCATAAACAAATAATGCCTGGGTAACCATTGGCCTTTGGAATCTAGTGATTCGGGCTTATTTACAGTAGTACGATCTTACCTTGGGGTAGCTCCAGAGTTTACAGAAGAGGCTAATTCTTATGGAAGAATATGTGAAGTATTTACTGAAAGAATTATATGCCAGGGATAGTCTTATTTGTCTTATAAACCTTTATAAACATATGGTTGAAAAGTTTGAGAAATTAAAACAATACTGTTCCATGACTATTTCAGCAGAACTGAATTCTGCTGGTGAACGTGGAATTCACATTCTAGGAGAGGAGAAACCTGGGACTTGTTAAGGGTTAGTCTCCATGGACAAGCTCTTTCAGACAATCTTTGAAACATGTCCAATATTACCATTTGGTTGATAGTAATAGTTTCTATCCTCATATTCCTACACACAACTTAACTACACATAGGTCCATAGTCAGAAATGATACCATTTAGCATTCATGTGTTGCAAATAATGATACAGAGCTTTGATTGTTGAGGCCAAGGTTTGAGACAGAACAAGACATGCTTGGAGACACTTTAAGATTGAGTCCTCCATAATCATTCTTTTTTGTTTGTTTTGCCTCAGAATAGTACTTCAAACTAAATATGAATTATTGTCTAAGGCTTCATGGTCATGTCCCCTAGTGGTCAATTCTAGATTGTCTGATACGTGTTATAGCCCTTTCACATCTTTTCAATATTGGAATAAATTTCCAGCCACAATCAACTCTGCTTTGGATAGCATGGCTTGTTTAATGTGACAACTGGATTTTGTAATAACAATGTACACAAAAGACACTCTTGGGGAAAAGAATTCATAACTGGAGAATATCTTGTTTTTTCAACTGTGTAATCTTTATTTTTTTCAAATTTCTTCCTCTCTTACATCCATTTAGATTTGGTAGTCCACAGAGTTAACCAGGTAATTTAATTAGCTGGGATGGTTGAGCCTTTGGACTGATTTTGCCAATATCTTGGAATACATTATTGCAGATGTTCAGAGAATCAGCATTCAATATTCTCCTTTCAATCTTGAAGACAAATAGGAGAAGAAGCTCTGATACTCCACAAAAAATGAGGGTAGACTTATTCTTAGATAAAAATTCTCAAAGGAAGCTTACAATGAATACAAGTTGTGAGGCACACATATAATGGCCACACTGCAGAACTCTTACAATCCTTGCAATAAGAGCAACAGCTCATATATCAATTGACTATATTTGCTTTCCCTGTGTATTATATTGCTTTTTAATAGTAATTATTGGTATGTCAGCATCATCTGGAAGTTTGTGGCTAAATTGGTTCCAAATACACACCCTTAAACATATGATAAGAAATAGTGGTTTCTGTTTTTTGTATATGCTAGAGTCTTAGGAGTTCAATTGGCCTGACATTCAAGAATGGCTATGATGGTAAATTCAATTCTATACAAACTTTTTCTCTAAGAAGAAATTACTTCTACCTCTAGCTAAAATGGAGTAGCTTATTCACACTAATGCTGCTGCTAAAAATAACATCAATCTGTTTGTCTATCATCTATCTATCTATCTATCTATCTATCTATCTATCTATCTATCTATCTATCATCTAACTCTTTAAAGATATTGGTCAATGAGAGGGATCCAAGATCCCACAGAAAAGGGAAGTAGATTGAGGCGAGTCTCATACTGGCTTCTCTTCATTTCTTCTTGAGGCATTTGCCAATTTTTGGAGCAAGAATAGATGTGGCATTAAATAAATTGTTCTGGGATTTGAGACAGTGTCACTGGGCTAGGGGCTGCCAATATGACTGAGTTTTGAAAGTCAATAATCCAGGGATGAGAGAATCACAGAAAGTGAGCCCAGACTAAAACTGAGAAAATACATACCAGCAGCTCTGAACTAAAAGAAATATTAATAGGAGTTCTATAGGCCAAAAGGAGGTGTTCATGGAAGTATGTAATGTGGGAAAAAAGAAAGTTCATTGAAAACAGTAAATATAGGGTACATTTTTTAAACTGACTATTTAAAACAACAATAAAAATGTCTTATAATTTTAATAATATATGTAGAATTAAAACGCATACAGTAGTATGGAAGACAGAAATGATGCTAACTAAAGGACTAAGTTAACTTAAGTAGACTGTAATGAGTGAAAGATGGATGCTATAATCCCTGGGTTAGCACTAGGTGAATTACAACAGAGGCCTAATTAATAAGGTAACAAAGAAGATAAATGAAAATGTTTTAAAAATTGTCATTGTTTAAAATTTTTATAAAGCAGGGATTAAAATAGAAACAAAGAATAGGTGAGACAACAGAAAAAGAAATACTAAGATGGTAGGTTTAAATTCAAATAATCCAGTAATTACACTAAATGTAAATGGATTAAATACTCTAATAAGGACCAAGAAGGTTGAAAATAAAGATATGGGAAAAAAAGACCATCATAACACTAACCTGAAGAAAGTTGGTAGAGTTATACATAATATCAGATAAATTAAAACTTAATGCAAGAAATACTATTAAATATAAAAAGTGACATGTCATAATGATAAAAGGGTCAATTCATCAGGAAAATAAAGATCTACATTCATCTAATTACATAGACCCAAAATATACAAAGCAAAAACTTCCAAGACTAAAAGCAGAAATAGACAAATACACAATCATAGAAGATGTTAGCGCACCATTCTCATATCTGATTAAACATGAAAATAAAAAATTAGTAAGGGCATAGATGATTTCTCAACATGATTAAGAAATGACTTAATTGACGTTTATATAATAAAACACTACAGCCAACAACTGTAGAATGTATGTTCCTTTTAAGTACTCATGGAATATTCACCAAGGCCATATCCTGAATCATAACATTGTTTCAGCAAATTTCAAAGGGTTGAAGTCATACAGAACATGCATTCTGACCACAGAGAAACTGAATTAGGAATCAATATCAGACAAGTAACTAAAATATCCCTAAATATTTAAAAATAAGCAATATACTTTTAATAAACCCGTGGGTCTAAGGAGCAATCACAACAGAAATTTAAAAATATTTTGAAGTGAATAGTAATAAAAGTATTTCATTCCAAAAGGAGCAATGAATAGGCTGAGCAATGATTGTTCTTTGTGAACAAAAATCATGGAAGAATTAAATAGCCCTGGGAAGTTTGAAGATCTTGTTTTATTTATGGTGCAGGTACATCATGGATTTCACATACTGCGAGTTGATAAAACGATACTACAAGTTCTAACTTTATTTACATTTTTCTTTATTCATTTGATATATTACTAATATAGGACTTCAGTACAAGATCATCCTGTTCATTTCCTGATTAGGTTATAAGTGAATCTGGATCCCACACCTCAAACCTGGAAAGCAGGATCTTCATGAAGCTGGGTGATTATGGGGCAGAGGAAATACTTTTCTGAAGTGCTTAACTGAGAATCATTCATTAAATGATGATTGGCCGTTTTCCCGCAGTAGCATTGCAGCTAATTAGTTTCATATTAACTTCATTAATGCTAGGTTTTGTATAGGCTTTCATTCCAGCAAGAACAACGAAGAACTGAATGACTCAAGGCAAGGAACTGGATGCTTGTCAAACATAGATTGACAGTGTATTGGACTCGACACCTGATTATTTAGCTCTATTATCCATATCTAGATATGTGTGGCTTGCGGAAAGACCTTATTTTATGAGATATTCAAGTTCTTTCTTATTGGTTTATCAGTAAGGCAAAAATATACTTCAGGCTTATAAATATCTGGGTATAATAGTTAGGTCAAAATGAAATATGATTAATTTCTGCATTCTAACTCTGGTTTCTGAGAATGGCCCAGGAAATCTCAAGAAAATGCTGATGGAACAGCAGGCATTCTAATGATGTAAATTAATATTGAAAACAGGACTTCATGATGGTGGAAACTGGATCCCTACCAAAAGGTTAACCAAGGAGCCATGTTGCATATCCCTTCATGACTTCAACAGTTTGTGTTGTTTGACTATTGCAATCTTGGGAGTCTGTGTAGTCATTACAACAATTTTAGCAATGATTCTTATGAGGAAATATCATGGAAGATCTCCAATTAATTATTGATTTACCAACACCCACGAGGGTTAGCTTTTATCTTGTTCCTTACCCTAGACTTTTTGAATTATACGACTTTTGGACATCACTCAATATTTATTGGAAAGCCAAAATTGCTGGTGGTATGGAAGTTTCTCTACTTCTATATAGATCTCTCTAGGTGGCTGGTTTCTTGCATAGTCTGCGTTTAGCATTCTATAATGCAGATAACCTGAGGTGGCTCTCCAAATTCATCTACAGCATGAGTTTCCTGTGTGCTGCTTACTGTTTTCATATGAGGCTCGGTCTCTGTGATGGAGGGAGTATTTCTTTTAGAAGCTACCACGTAATTTTCTTTAGTATAGCATTATAGAATCTTACTAAGTAAAGCTGTTTCATGGAGGTTTATAAAAATGCAAATTTTGGTTTAGTCAAGAGGCTTCACTGAGAACACATTATTGTCATCCCACAATCCATCATGTAAGAAATCACACAAATTGAAATGGTAAAATAGATGCTATGTGCTGCAATATAAGCAGCCGTGTGTACACTGTGCATTTTGATTGCAAAATTTGAGTCTGAGGAAAATAACTGATCCTGCTGGTGGAAATATAATTCAAGCATCATTAGAAGTTTATCATATGCCTTAAGCAAAGGGGGCCACTATGAAGTCTGGAGTTAGTGGACAGTCAAGAGCAGAGGACACTTCTTCCTAGGACTCTTTATTCATTTGCATCATTTTGTTTGCTTCAAAATAGAAATAAAGGCAGGAGGATAGCTTGAGCCCAGGAGTTTTAGACCAGCCTGGGCAATGTGGCAAACCTCTGTCTCTACAAAAATAAAAAAATAAAATTAAAAAATTAGCCAGGTGCAATGGCATGTGCCTGTAGTCTGCTAGTGAGGAAGCTGAGGTGGGAGGATTGTTTGAGCCGAGAAGTTTGAGGCTGCAGTCAGCTATGATCACACCACTGCACTCTAGTCTGACTGGCAGACACCACTGCACTCAAAATGCAAAATGCACTCTAGTCTGGGTGACAGAACAAGAACCTACCTCTAAAAAAAGAAAGCCCCTTTGCCTATAAATTCCATAGAGATGAACTGACTTCAAAATTTAATATGCCCTAAAACATCTATTGTGAGCACAGATTTAGCACAAGGGTCAGAGCCTGAGTCTAGTTTATTTAATCAGTTCATTAAATAAACATATATTGAGGGCCAACTATGTACCAGGCACTGTAATAGGCACTAAGAATAAAGTATTGAACAAACGGACAAAGTACTGTCTCTGATGAAGGTTTAAAATTTAGTGGTAGGGAAGAATTGCTTATCAGTATTAGAGGGTGAATTTAGTTTCCTCTTTTCCGGCTTGTTTCTGTTTGCTGTTTTTCCCTGTTTTTTTTTTTTTTTAATAGGATCTAATTTTACCCCTATAATTTGTTGAGTGATAGAATTAAGGAGTAATGAACACTAATTCTTTCACTGATGCTAAAACCACTCTGGAAAAATCCTGCCATAATTACTGCAGCAAACACTCCAAGATCTCAAATGAGCCACAGCAGGGAATCAAAGAGTAAACAAATCATGACAGCAACCCTTGCTGCTATGTAACAACTTGAAAGTCCCAGGATCTGTCATCTGAGAGGTTTTTGGATTCATTTCCAGAGAAATTTACCATTGGATAGAGGTGTTATTCAGCATGCTGAGTCCTAAAACTTGAGCCTGCCCAGCAAGTTGTGAGCTAATGGCTCCTACAGAGTGGCCTGTGTTTTTTTATTTGCAGTTGAGGACCATCATCTCAGTAACTCCTGTGTGAGCATAGGTGATGGTCAAACTGTTTAGCAACTGGGCTGTTTTGGGCACTGACCACTCAGAACAGATGTACCTGGCTGTGCTAGACAGGGGAAAGGAGATGCTTTCATTGCTGGCATTTTAATGGGGTCCAGGACACTATGGGGAGGGGATTTAGGAAGAAGGCTAAGCCAGCAGTGGAAGACATTTGGAAGCTTGGGGCAGTGGAATTTGCCAACTGAAACAGGAAGTATTTGGATAAATTGAAGGTATGGGATGATGGGGTATGCCTGGGTTGTAGGACATGGAAGACGTGAGTCTGGGGCCTGCTTAAGTTCATCCCTCAAAATGTCTTGCCTAGGGACCACTGTGATTTTCTAATAATAGCCCTTAATTCTACTCTAGATGATATCTTTTAAAGAACCTTTACTTTTTGAAAAAAGTAAAAACTTATTTTTTTGTGATGCAAAAAAGTCTCACTTAAGTGTGTATTTTGTCAATGTTGAATGCAAATGTATTTATTTATTTTTTGCCCAGTCACAGCCCTCAGGTTGTTTAACATGAGGGGCTGGGGCAGCTTTGTGAAACGAGCCCCTAAAACCTCTAAACCGAGGAAGAGGTTAACAGTGCAAGCTACATGGTTTCAGAAAATGTGAGCATGTCCCGTGAGACTCAAGGCAGGCTCTTTATCTCAGAGGCATCTTAAATGCTGAAAGCAGGACACAGTGAACATTCAGTCTGTACTACAGTGACTGCAGGCATGACAGGGCCGTGAGCTGGAAGACCTGCCCAATGTCTTCCCTTTGCCTCTCCTGTCTTCACCCTTCCTGACCTGCAACCTGCTCTGAACTATGTGGACTGCATCTAGGGGCTCTCTTGCCTTCTGACTCCCAGGATGAGCTTGACCCACAGGGAGGCTTGGTAGGAGGTTGGAGGAAGGGAAGGAGTGAGGCTGAGGGTACTCATCTCCTTGCTGCCTGGCTGTCACCTTGGGCTGACTGAAGGTCACTGCTTCCCTCCAGATGGCCCTTTCTACAGAACTCTCCCTTCTGGGGTTGTGGTGACTGTCCCACCCTCTGACCCTTCCGACATGGGTTGGCTCTGGAACCGTACAGTTGCTAGCCCTGACACTCAATTCTCCTGTGGTTTTGAATACTCTGCTGACACCTTTGTAAAGAGTTCCATTGTCAAGCCCTTCTCAGTTTGTCCTGTTTCCTGTAGGGATCCTGCCCTGTGGAGAAGACAAATCCCTCCTCCCGACTGATGCGGCAGCATGAGCTCCCTGTCCTCCCACCAGGCCATGCTACCTCTGACAACAGTGGAGACTTTGTGTCTGTTTTTACTGCCGATGTACTTTGTCTTCTGGGGTTATAGAGGGGACTTGATTTGTTCTGAGGAAAATTTTATAGTATTTATTTAAGGAGAAATGAGTTCCGGCCCAGGAAATGGTTCTGTGAAAATGTAATAAATTCATTTTGACTTTTTAACCATATGGATAAGAAGATGGTTTCTGATACTTAGGCTGTTGGGTTTAGATTTTTTTCTTTTTTTGGTTTGTGTGCTTTTTGTCTAGTGTTGCAATTGTTCTTAAGATGGTCTCTAGAAAAATTAGCCTTGAAAAACTTGTCTGGTTGGCAAAGCACATCTTGTTCCCACCCTTTGCCTCCACATTGTTCACTCGTTTTGTCCTGATTCAAACGTTCTCCTATCACTCTCCTCCCACTTGCCCCAGCCCATTTGTGGTATAATTTGCCAAGGTCTTGTTTTCCATGGACACCCACATACATGTTGGCTGATAAAATTCAACATCTCCCAGGAGTGGCTTCATTTTTACAAGAGCCTCTTACAATTTAGAAAAGCTTCACTGTGATGGTAGAATGGCAGGTGGAGAAAATGGAATTACTATTTTGGGTATAGGGTCCATTCATGCCCTGCTTTTTCTCTTCCTCAGCCTTGATCTTGTTCCCTGGGGAGTGAGTCAGTTTGGTGCAGAGGAAGTCAAAGCAGGTCTTCAGGACCCCGCACAGCTCAGCTGAAAGAATCTGGCAGAATCATTTAGCAGCTCAAGGGGCAAGACTGACCTGAAGTCCAGGGCACTTTATTTAAGGAAAAAATTGGCAAACAAAATGCAAAACCTTGCCCTCCTCCAAGGCCTCTGGCAAGAGTGACCATCCAGTTCAGAAGCTAAATTCTTCCCTGTTTCTCTTTATTTTTGGCAACCAAAACTTTCCTGCCTCTTATGTCTTCAAAACACATCACATCCAATTGAAAGACACACTGATGCTTCAGTAAGCAAACTGTGAAATGAATGTGAAAGAAATAAATTATTGTTTATATGCATTCCTTTAAAGGGTAGTTTTTTTTTGTTGTTGTTTCTTTTCTTTTCTTTTTACTTTTTTTATTATACTTTAAGTTCTAGGGTACGTGTGCACAACGTGCATGTTTATTACATATGTATGAATGTGCCATGTTGGTGTGCTGCATCCATTAACTCATCATTTACATTAGGTATATCTCCTAATGCTATCCCTCCTCCTTCCCCCCACCCCACAACAGGCCCCGGTGTGTGATGTTCCCCTTCCTGTGTCCAAGTGTTCTCATTGTTCAATTCCCACCTATGAGTGAGAACACTGGGTGTTCGGTTTTTTTTTTTTTTTGCTAAGAGACGGAGTCTCACTCTGTCACCCAAGCTAGAATGCAGTGGCGCGATCTCGGCTCACTGCAACCTCTGCCTCCCAGGTTCTAGCAATTCTCCTGCCTCAGCCTCCCAAGTAGCTGGGACTACAGGCGTAGGCCGCCACGCCCGGCTAATTTTTTGTATTTTAGTGGAGACGGAGTTTCACCATGTTGCCCAGGCTGGTCTCGAACTCCTGAGCTCAGGCAATCCACCCGCCTCGGCCTCCCAAAGTGCTAGGATTACAGGCGTGAGCCACCATGTCTGGACACTTTGGGTTTTTTTCTACATCGACACATGCAGCTCTGGTTTATTAATTTCCTCTGCTGGAAATCTCACTATTTGAAAACACCACAATTAAATTATTCACACCTGCTGATAGACAACAAAGTGTTTTCCATGCCTTTCTCTTTCAAACAACACTGCTGTGAACATTCTCTAGCTTGATGACAGGCCTGAATTAGATGCTGTCCTTTGCCTTATCCACCATTACTCCCTGTCTTCTACCTAGTTTTTCAATGAAACCCTCCCACTTGCCCCACACCCAAGTCCCTCTACTTGGGCTCCTTGCCTCCTGTTGTATGACCAGAACCTTATTCCTATGACCTGTCTGGGGACCAGCCACCTTGACTTTACCCTTGTGAACTCTTTCAGGATGAATTTCTTGTCTCTGCCTTTCAGCTTCTGGGAGGAAATGTTGGGTAAGACCCCCACCCTGAGTACCACAAAGCCTGTGAGACTTGCTCTACTTGGACCAACTCCTTCTGGCTCACACTTGACAAGAGTGTAAGCTCAGAGAGGCAAGAATGGGTCTGACTTAGACAATATTATGTGCTCAGATCATGTTAGGTATAATATAAGGATGGTTTAAAAGTTATTTTGTGACTTAGCAAATGAAATTCCCATACTTTTAGGTATCAGTTGTCTTGTAGACGTATCCCAATTAAAGATAAATGGATGGACAGATGGATGGATAGATAGATAGATAGTTGATATGGTTTGGCTCTGTGTCCCCACCCAAATCTCATCTTGTAGCCCCCATAATGCGCACGTGTTGTGGGAGGGACCTGGTGGGAAATAATTAAATAATGGGGGCGGGTATTTCCCATGCTGTTCTCATAATAGTGAATAATTCTCACAAGATCTGATAGTTTTGAAAGCAGGAGTTTCCCTGCACAAGCTCTCTCTCTTTGCCTGCTGCCATTCATGTAAGACACAACTTGCTCCTCCTTGTCTTCCACCACGATTGTGAGGCTTCCCCAGCCATATGGAACTGTAAGTCCATTACACCTGTTTCTTTTGTAAATTGCCCAGTCTCAGGTATGTCTTTATAAGCAGCGTGAGGACAGACTAATACAATGATGGGTAGACAGATGTGTGCTAGGTCCAGTATATAGTGACTTACGGAGAGTGTAGATGTGGATGCCTTGGGAGAATCTGCTAAGCAAGGAGGAAAAGGCCTTTTGTAAACTTTGCCTGAAGAGTTTCTAAGAACAAGTCTCCTAAGCCTTAATATTTCAGAGGTAGTCCTGTGCCAAACTGTTCTGCAAGTGATGCCCACCTTGCTCTATGCATTTTTTCCAGTGTGAAGACTGGTCTTCTCAAATAGGATGCTATTCGTAAGGAAGACTTCACAAACTGCCCCCACTTCCTCCATATAATCAAGAATACACTTTCTCTAGCAACATCCTTCCACACTCACTTTCTTCTTCTTATTGTTCAACTATCAATGATCTTAGCACACAAAGTTACAAGATACTGAGAGGCCAAAGGGGGAAAGGATCTAAGTCACCTGAAATCCCACTAAACAGGGACAGCTATTGTTAACATTTGGTGGTATATTCTTTGAGAATTTTTCCAGTATGAATATATATTTATTATATGTTATAATATTTCATGTAATATCATGTGTGTATATTAGATGTAAATAAACATATACACACATACGGATGCACATGCAGCCCCCATGTTTATCTGCCTGAGTGATTTGATAAAACTCAGTTGAGTCTTTCTGTACTGTCCCTTGTTATCATCTATTTGTCTCCCAATTTTCTGTGACTCATTCATCTCTTTGTTTATAACTTCTCCCACTTACCATTTTTTAAAGGCTTTTCCAAAAATCAAGGACTAATTTCAGTAGTTACTAATCTGCTTCAAAAAAACCATCATTAATTCCAAGTTTAACATTTTTTAACTTTCTTTTTTATTTTAAAAATTCAGATAAATTTACATACCACAAACTCACCCTTTTACAGTGTACAGTTCTGTGGGGAAAAGCAAGAGAGATCAGATTGTTACTGTGTCTGTGTAGAAAGAAGTAGACATAGGAGACTCCATTTTGTTCTGTACTAAGAAAAATTCTTCTGCCTTGAGATTCTGTTAATCTATAACCTTACCCCCAACCCCGTGCTCTCTGAAACATGTGCTGTGTCAAACTCAGAGTTAAATGGATTAAGGGCGGTGCAAGATGTGCTTTGTTAAACAGATGCTTGAAGGCAGCACGCTCCTTAAGAGTCATCACCACTCCCTAATCTCAAGTACCCAGGGACACAAAAACTGCGGAAGGCCGCAGGGACCTCTGCCTAGGAAAGCCAGGTATTGTCCAAGGTTTCTCCCCATGTGATAGTCTGAAATACGGCCTCGTGGGAAGGGAAAGACCTGACCGTCCCCCAGCCCGACACCCGTAAAGGGTCTGTGCTGAGGAGGATTAGTATAAGAGGAAGGCATGCCTCTTGCAGTTGAGACAAGAGGAAGGCATCTGTCTCCTGCCTGTCCCTGGGCAATGGAATGTCTTGGTATAAAACCCGATTGTATGCTCCATCTACTGAGATAGGGAAAAACTGCCTTAGGGCTGGAGGTGGGACCTGCGGGCAGCAATACTGCTTTGTAAAGCATTGAGATGTTTATGTGTATGCATATCTAAAAGCACAGCACTTAATCCTTTACAGTGTCTATGATGCAAAGACCTTTGTTCACGTGTTTGTCTGCTGACCCTCTCCCCACAATTGTCTTGTGACCCTGACACCTCCCCCTCTTCGAGAAACACCCACGAATGATCAATAAATACTAAGGGAACTCAGAGGCTGGCGGGATCCTCCATATGCTGAACGCTGGTTCCCCGGGTCCCCTTATTTCTTTCTCTATACTTTGTCTCTGTGTCTTTTTCTTTCCTAAGTCTCTCGTTCCACCTTACGAGAAACACCCACAGGTGTGGAGGGGCAACCCACCCCTACACAGTTCAGTGGTTTTTGGTATATTCACAAGGCTGTGGATCCATTACTACAATCAATTTTAAAACATTTTTTTCACCACCTAAGGAAACTAACCATCAGCCAGTCATTCCCCATCCCCACCTCTCCCCAGCCCCTGGCAAACACTCATCTACTTTTTGTCTGTATGGAATTCCCTATTCTGGACATATCATACACATGGAATCATAAAGTATGTGGTCTTTTTTGACTGGTTTCCTTTACTTACCATAACATTTTTGAGGTTCATCTATGTTCTAGTATGTATCAGTACTTCACTCTTTTCTATGGCTGAATCCTCGATTGTACAAATTACCACGTTTTGTTTATCTATTTATCCATTGATGGATATTTGAATTGTTTTCAAGTATGTGGACAGTGTGAATAGGGCTGCTATAAACATTCATGTACAAGTATTTGCTTGAGTATCTGTTTTCAGTTTGGCGGATATATAGCTAGTAGTGGAATTGTTGGTTCACCTAGTAACTTTATGTTCAACCTTTTGAGGAACTGCCAGAATGTTTTCTGAAATGACTATTTCATTTCGCATGTCTACCAATAGTGTATGAGGGTTCTAAATTGTCCACATCCTTGCCAACACTGGTTATTGCCTGTCTTTTTTTTTTTTAATCATAGCCATCCTAGTGACTGTGAAGAGGTGACTCATTGTCGTTCTGATTTGCATTTCCCTAATTAGTAATGATGATGAGTATCTTTTCTTGTGCTTACTGGCCATTTCTATATCATTTTTTGAGAAATGTCTGTTCAGATCACTTTGCCCATTGTTAAACTGGGTTATCTTTTTATTATTGCAAGCTTAACTTTTTGAAACCAAATTTTTGCGACTCAGTTGCAAACTAGGCCTTCAGGAAAGATGATTTAAGAAGTATTTCTACACACAGTAGATCTTCTTTGTCTTCTCACTTGCTCTTAGGAGCTGAGTATACTTGACTCTTATGTGTCATATACATATACTGAGTATCGGCAGTTTGCTCTGTAATTTACATGATTCATAGGGACTGAAGATAGACATATGGCCTATGAAGCAACTAGCTTGTAATCAGAATACACACTGGTAGAATTTGTCTGCGTGTAGAGAACTGCAAAATGTACACTGTATGTTCCTATAGAAACATTATAGGGAAGAGATGGTTGGGTTAACGGTATTAGTTATTACACTGTCTGCCATTACATAAAATGTAATGAACAGATGAAAACTAGCAAAGTTTGCTCTATGATAAATTTAGTATAACTGAGTCCCATTACCTCACTGAATTACGAAATGGAAGTATAGTCTGTTAGAGAAGATTTCTGTCTGTGAATAAATCAAAACCACATTTTAACAATGCACCAAACCTTTTTAGAAATACCATATTTTTTAAAAGTTATATTTATGAAAAAAGTCACAAAGTACTATCAATATTAATATACTAGTTAAGTAAAAATTTAACAAAAAAGTGCAAATATAATCCAGTCCTGGAAATTCTATCTGTGTAAATACAGATCTCACTTTTCTTGAAGTTTTGAGATAGGATTTCTTAAAGTGTTTGTAACCTGGCTAAAGTTTTCAGGAATGGACATCTCCTCATGATGTCATAGGCACTTCTGAGACCTTTAGAGTGACTTTTTAACCTTCCTTAACATAAATTCTTTTGTTGATTTTCACTATCCTCACAACAAAGGTCTCAAGGCTCTCTACACCTAAGGAGCCCTATCCCTCACAGAATCCCAACTACTCCTGATCTCAACCACATACCTCTTCATCTCACTACATACAGGCTGATCTCAAAATCTCTCCAGTTTTGAGAGAGAAAAACACCAATCCACACAGAAATGTGCCCACAGTGTCTAGCACATAGTGAGGGATCTGCAAATGTTTGCTGGGCAAATAAAAGGATATATTTGCCACGCGAAGCCTTGTTTCCTGTCTTGATTCATCTGTTCATCCCATCATTAAATATCCATATCTAAAAATTTTGCCCACCTGTCAGTATTTACTTTCTTTCTGTAGCTTCATCCATGCTGTAATTTTTTACTGATTGCTAGCTACAGGCCACGCGAATAAGGCAGTTGTGGTAATAGATGCGACATGGGCCCTGCTCTCATGAAGCTCCCAATTCAGCATGGTGGGACAACAATAAGCAAGTGAGCAGGTACATTACTACCTGTGCCTCATTGCGAGTGCTCAGTGGGTCACACAGTGACTTGATAACAGCACCTCTCTATGTTCCTCATACATATGACATTTGACATTTATTGCCTATCACACTGTACAGTTATTTAATTGCTTTTATGAAGGTATTGATATAGTTTGGATGTGTGTCCCCACCCAAATTTCATGTTGGATTATAATCCCCAGTGTTGGAGGTGGGGCCTGGTGGGAGGTGACTGGATCATGGGTTTGGATTTCTTATGAGTGGTTTAGCACAACAGTTCCCAAAGTTTTTGGCACCAGGGATTGGTTTTGTGGAAGACAATTTTTCCATGGACTGGGACGGGGCAGAGAGGGGGTGGTTTTGGGATGATTCAAGCACATTACATTTATTGTGCACTTTATTTCTATTATTATTACCTTGTAATATTTAATGAAATAATTATACAACTCACCATAATGTAAAATCAGTGGGAGTCCTGAGCTTGCTTTCCTGCAACTAGGCGGTCCCATTTGGGAGTGACGGGAGACAATGACCGATCACCACGCATTATAGTCTCATAAGGAGTGTGCAACCTAGATCCCTCACATGTGCAGTTCACAATAGCGTTTGCACTCCTATGAGAATCTAATGCTGCTGCTGATCTGACAGGAGGCTGAGCTCAGGCAGTAATGAGCGATGGGGAGCAGCTGTAAATACAAATGAAACTTTGCTTGCTTGCCCGCCACTCACCTCCTGCTGTGTGGCCTGGTTTCTAACAGGCCATGGACCAATACTGATCCGTGGCCTGGGGGTTGGGGACCTTGGTTTAGCACCATTCCCTTGGTGCTCTCTTCGTGATAGTGAGTGACTTCTCATGAGATGTAGTTGTTTAAAAGTGTGTGGCACCTTGTTCTCTCTCTCACTCCTGCTTTGGCCATGTGACATACCTGTTGCCCCTTTGCCTTCTGCCATGATTGTAAGTTTCCCGAGGCCTCCACAGAAGCTGAACAGATGCCAGTATCATGCTTCCTGTATAGCCTGCAGAACCGTGAGCCAATTAAACCTCTTTTCTTTTCTTTTCCCCCCTTTTTTTTTTATTATACTTTAAATTCTAGGGTACATCTGCACAACGTGCAGGTTTGTTACACGTGTATACATGTGCCATGTTGGTGTGCTGCACCCATTAACTTGTCATTTACATTAGGTATATCTCCTAATGCTATCCCTCCCCACTCTCCCCACCCCATGACAGGCCCTGGTGTGTGAGGTTCCCCACCCTGTGTCCAAGTGTTCTCATTGTTCAATTCGCACCTATGAGTGAGAACATGCGGTGTTCTGTCCTTGTGATAGTTTGCTCAGAATGATGGTTTCCAGCTTCATCCACCTCTTTTTTTAATAAATTACCCAGTCTCAGATATTTCTTTATAGCACTGTGAGGATGGCCTAATACAGGTATGGATCTCCTACCTTCTCAATTCAAGATTGAAAGTGTTTTTGAAAGCAGTTGTACATAGTAGGTATTTAAACATATATTGGTCATTAGTATGTCCTTGAGTAAAAGTAATGAGCAGCACATTTAGTCCTAAAATGGCCAATTCTCAAGGCTCTGTGCAAATGGAAATTTGTCCTCATAGCTTCCTGGTATGTATAGTTAAATATCTAGCAACCAGCTAACCTCTGCTGACTTTACATTGGAATTCCACTAGCCATTCAATTTATTTAACCAAGGATAATCTCATTAGGGGTTAAAACTTATCAGAATCATGCTTAATAATCCTGGCATTGTTTTACATTAACTAGGCATTAGAGTTTAGCTCTTAGTCTAAAGAAGGGTGAGCCACATGTTGCAGGTGAAGTAAAAGGGAGAGAAGAATGATTTGGAACCCTTAATTTCAATAAGGTTATGGGGAGAGGTGCTGTGTGCTTATATTAATTTTGAATTATATCATGTGTCCATTAAGTTCAGAAACATTTCTAGGTAGATGTCTATTAAGTGAGAGCTGCCACTCAGACTACGTTATTCTTTTAGAAGAGTCCTTCTTCATCCCTTAATAGACTTAATAACACAATTTGCCATATCCAATTTTCATAACATCAGAACTCATTTACAGATTAACTGCAATTCTTTGTGAAGTAAGGCATAAAGAGGAGGCTAAAATAATTTAGCCCAGCAAATCCCTTTTTTATGATTAATGGGAATAGATCCTCAAGCCTTCTTAAGCAGAAAAGGCTCTTAGGAGAGAAATACCTGTGCCAATAACACAGGCTCTATGTGCCTGTGCTTCTAAGTAGAAGTCGTCTGGGTTGCTTTCCTCCTTGGTCCACACAAATGTGAATGTTTCTCCAGGTTCTTCTGGAGACATGATTCCAGTAGTCCTGATAGCTGTTTGGAGGTCTTCAACTGTTGTTAGGTAGAGTTGGCCAATTATCACACATGATTGAGTGTGTACTTTAAGGATATTGTACTACCTCAAACTCATGACTACCAACTCCCACTGCATTTGTTGATGATTTTTTTTTTTACATGAGAAAGACTAACATGTTGGTCCACGGTCTCATGACAAACAAGGGGCTTTGATGGTACTCTGACCAGATCAGTACTTAGAGTCTTCCAGACAAATGAAACCTTTGTGAAGAGAATTTTGCTAAATTTAACCACCATCTATATATGTGCTAGGTCAAATAAGGAACAACTCATAATGGCTGACCTAAAGAAACTGAGGCACTGATTCTACCTGAGCCTAAATCCCAGAGTTAGGTGGCCAAATAGTGCCTCTTCCAGTGAAATGTTACTGCCGACAAAAATATTTTCCCCTCTGTAAATTGTGATGTAGCGTTCTATATAGCAGATAGATTTCCACACAGATAGATTTGACTGTTAGTGTTATAAACAAGAGAAGGAAGGAACAACAGAGAAAGAAGCAATAAAGAAGAAGGCAATCAGAAGAAGCAATTTCATCTTAAACTTAAACTACCATCCAGAGTAGTCTATGGTCTTGTATTTACTGGGAGCATGAAATAAGCTCATTCTGTCATATGCAGTTGATCATTTAGCACTGGGATGGAGCTGCTTTATTTCACACAGAAACAAAGGACTGGAAAACATTTTGCTCAACAGCAGGAGGCCTTTGCTGTTTCCACAGTGATAGATTTCATTTAGATAATTGAGCAGGTGGGATCTCAAGGGCTGAAAAGTGAAGTCTTAAATAAGTGAGGGAATCTGTCCAAGTTCACAGAATCTAAGAAGGGCAGAGGCAGGATTTAAACCCCTGTGGGCTCAGATTCCACAAACCACGCTCTTAACCTCACTGGGCACTGCCTTTGGGATACAATGATCTCTCAGAAGTATTTTTAAATTATACTGCAACCTTGTTAGCATTCCTGTTTCTCAGATTTTCCATATATGAAACAGTTAATGTGGGAAATAATAGTTTGTGGAATACAGACACCATAAACACACTCTTCTTGTTTACCCACTTTTAAACAATTATAAAACCATGCTCATAGTTAGCAACAACCTGAGACGTTCTCTAGCCCCTCTCCCACCCAAGGAAAAGAATTCCCTCTTCAACTGGAAGTTGCGACACCTACTTCTAGCCGTGGTGTGAACACATCAAATGCGGAGTAGGCACTACCCTGCCAAGTGTCCACTCACTGCAGAGAGCTCCAATTGCTAGAAAAACCCGGCCACCTTATAAGCTCATTTCACTGCTCCTAGTTTTGTCATTTGGAGTAAGGAAGAATCTCCTTCTCCTGCTTTCATATGACAGTCCATTAAAGAACAGACAGTCACCACGTTCCTCTGAGAATTTCTCTTCTACAGGAAACAACATGTAATTAGTTGTCACATTCTCTGGTTTCATCAGTCTGTTTCCTTGTCGCCCCCCAATGGACACCCAGTGAGTTGCCAATGTCTCTTGTCAAAGGTATTAAGACATCACAGAACTGGGTACAGGGCTCTTGATATATCCTGGCCTTAAGTCTCAGGTTCTCCAACAAAGCTGGCAGCCTGTGGTATGCCTTCTGGGGCCAGAGAGTGTGGCATGATCCGAGGTCCTGAGTCTCTCTCTCAATGAGCCCATCATATTGGCTTAACCAAAGCCAGTGGTCTTCAGGACACGGAAAAGGGAGTCCCTTAGGCTCCAGGTTTTTTTCCCTTCAGTTCACACTGGGAGAAGGGTCACAGAGCTCCAGTGAAATCTGGTCCTGTTAGATCATTTGTGGTTGGCTGCAGATGCACATGTGGGCATGTGATAGTTTTGATTTAGATAAAAAGCCCACAACTGAGTGGAGTGTTGAAACCTCAGGGTTATAGACTGGTGTATCTGTGAGAAAACCACAACAAGTATGGTATTTGAAGGACCCTAACATTTTCTTTTGCCAAGTTATTCATTCAGAGCCTAAAAGTTTTCAAAGTATTGTCCCCAACTGAAAGAAACCCTGTGATAACTTGAATTTATTTGTATAGAAGTAACTCTACAGTCGATCAGACTAGATGTCAAATGACCATCTCTACTTAGGGTCTGAATTCCAAGGCATCAGAAAGTTTGCCCTTACCTATAAGACCTTGCTCTTTTAGATTCCTGGGATGATATAAAGAATTCCTGATAATTGGAATAACTGGAATTCCTGATAATTGAGATTCATGATAGTTGGCTGATTAAAAGGTTATCCTCAGAAGAGTATTTGAATTTAAGTGGGAGACCCTTAAGCTTTCAAGATAAAAACTGGCCAGGCACGGTGGCTCACGTCTGTAATCCTAGCACTCTGGGAGGCTGAGGTGGGAGGATTGCCTGAGCTCAGGAGTTTGAGACCAGCCTGGGCAACACGGTGAAACCCCATTTCTACTAAAATACAAAACATTAGCCAGGTGTGGTGGCATGCCCCTGTAGCCCCAGCTACTCGGTAGGCTGAGGCAGGAGAATTGCTTGATCCCGGGAGGAAGAGGTTGCAGCAGTGAGCCGAGATTGAGCCACTGCACTCCAGCCTAGGCGACAGAGTGAGACTCCATCTTATAAAACAAAAGAAAGAAACAAACAAAAAACAAAATAATAACAACCAACCAGACAATCCTACTCAACTAGAATGACTGAATCAGGCATGTGCATGGGATCCATTGCACCACATGGACCCTCGCCTGTTGTGTCTACCTGTAAGGTCAACTCTGCCTGTTTCTTATCCTCTTCCCCTCCTCACAGGGAATGATTCTACTTGGCCAAAGCAGGGACTCACCAAAGCTGTAGGTAAGATGAGGTGGTAGACTTCTAAGCATTTTACATGTGTTTATGCAATCTTTCAAATAACACAAGTATCCACAAGGCAGCTGTGAAGTCACCTGACTGTTACACATGAGGAAAAGGGGTAGTTAAGTTTAGCATAGTGCCACACATATAGTAAATGCTCAACAAATATAGGTGTTACTGGTTTAGAATGATAATATTTTGGCATGACTTAAGCCAAAGTCCACCTCTAGATTATAGCAACAAAGGAAAGTTTTGTTTTGCATAAACACAGTTTCAACCGCTGGAAGGACTTTAGAAAAACAACTTGTAGGACATTGTGAAGCATCCTTTAGCTTTCAGCTCTCCTTGGGCAGGAAGCCCACAGACCAGTGAGTCTTTAGTTTTGCTCTCTAGGCTTGGCCCTTCTCTTCATTTCTGATGCTTCGTCCATACACTGAGAAGGACCAATTTCCATATTCTTCCATCTAAATTCCAGAATGTGTTAATTTCATAGTGGGTATATGTAGCCAGTAGATCAAGTCTCCTAAGAGCTTACCATTATTTAGAGTTATTTTATACAAGGAATGAAATTCTCTTTATTCCACAAGTCTGGCCAGATGACCCCAGTCCCTTCTAAGGTAGTATGCTTTTATTCTCCCCAAACACCTGTTTGATTGAGATGTCAAATAGGAAAGGTAAGTTTCCTAAAAAAAAAAAGCTTCCAAATGAGTTCCCTGAGGTTCTAGGCTTGGGCCTTTTCTAACTAAAATTATGGGCCCAGGGTTTGTGTATCTATCTGTCTGGGGTCCTGAGGAGGAACCCAGTGGGGACAAAAATCCCCATGGCAACGTACTTCTAAAAAACACAGGAGCCTTACAGCAAGACCTAGCTCTGGTTCACTGTGAATTTGCTAATAATTAACTCTAGATCTCTGAGCAGGAACAGTCACATTAGTAGAAGGCAGGAATTCTATCTATACACACAAACTGCTGAGAATTACAGGTGGAGGCCTACTAGGAAATAGAGCAGGTTTCACCAGCCTTGACTAGGTGTCTTTGTCTGAGACCAGCCCATTGATTGCTTGTGGGGAGGGAGTCCGTAGGAGGGAGAGAGTCGTGATTGTATTCTGTGGCGTCTCTTTCTGTTCAGACTATGGGGAGCAAGATAAAAGTGTTCCCAACCATATTAGTGTTCTCTGATTCGTCGAATGTCGGGGTGGAACGGGACCTGAGAGACCATGGACCTCAAAACACCCACTGAGCCTTGCTGGGCTCATCTATCTAGGAGACAGTCGCCATATATGGATCTACAGCCTTTAAGTGCACACTGGGCACGGGATGTACCACATAGACCCTCGCCTATTGCACCACATTGAGGTGCACTGTCAGAGTGAAATACACACTGAGTATCAAAGACTTTGTATGAAAAAGGGAATGGAAAATATCTCACTAATAACTATATTATCACACATTGAAAGGACAATATTTGGGATATATTGAAACAAATAAGATCTATTAAAATGAATTGCACTGGTTTCTTTAAAAAAATTTTTTTTTGCTAGAAAATATAAAGTTACATTTGTAGCTTACATGCTATTTCTATTGGGTGTGCTGTTGTAACAAGTACACATTCCCTCTCCTCGAGGTTGTCCCTCAGCATGACGCTGACTGATGTTCATCAAGACTTACTGTCACACTGGCTAGTGCTGCCAAGCCATCTAGACTACAACTTATTCTAGATTCACCCTGGAGAGATCTTAGAGGGCATATCTTCTTCACCCAGAGAAGGCATTTATGCCTTATTGAGGCCTCAGTTTACCCAGAGGAAACAGCTCTTCCCTATGACCCTGAGAGGTGCTGGTGCTACTCAAGGCACCTGTGTTCTGGTGCACCTGGCCCTTTAACTAAAAGATAATGGGGCAAAGGAGAGGGTGGGGAGCAAGTGTAAATACCTCATTGTGGAGCAGAGGCAGCTACCACCCCATCTGAGCTAGGGTGGCCCTGGCTAACTCATTTTGCTCCACCCTTGATTAAGCAGATTTTTACAATGTTCTTGCTTAAAAATCTATTTGATTCACTGAAAAGTAGTTATAAGTGGTTACACTAGGAAGATGAATACTACTCTTCTGCACCCCGCTGTGTGATAAACCTGCCTGCCCTCAAGAAGCAGATCCTGGCTCTTGCTGGGTGGGGTTGGTGCCAGCCTACACTAGAGCACCCGCGGTGGCATGTGGCTAGGATTATCAAAGGGAGATTGGAGGCAGCTGGTGTGTACCAGGAAGCGCACCAAACCAGCAAAGTTCTGGCCCCTCTATTCAGTAGCTGCAGGATCCTGGGCAAGCCGGTCTCCTGATCAGTAAAATGGGTATAAGAGTGCCTACTTCAGAAGGGTGCTGGTCAGGCATGGTGGCTTACACCTGTGATCCCAGCACTTTGGGAGGTTGAGGCACGTGGACCACTTGAGGTCAGGAGTTTGAGACCAGTCTGGCCAACATGGTGAAACCCCATCTTTACTAAAAATACAAAAATTAACCAGGCTTCATGGTGCATGCCTGTATTCCCAGCTACTAGGGAGGCTGAGGCTGAAGAATAGCTTGAACCCTGGAGGCAGAGGTTGTAGTGAGCCGAGATCACGCCACTGCACTCCAGCCTGGGTGACAGAGAGAAACTCCGTTTAAAAAAAAAAAAAAGAAGAAGAAGGTTGTTATGGGGAGTAAATGTGAGAATTCTAACACTATCAACAGATGAGAGCTCACTATTACTGATAAAATGTGTCCCAGGTGGGAGTCAAGACGCCAGAGTTCTAGGTTCTTTGCCCCTCATTTAGCTCTATGGCTGGGTGCAAGCCCCTGACCTCTTCAGCCTTAGGTTCCTTATCTACAAAATGGATTATGAAGATTCCTCTCAGTGTGAAGAGTTCATGATTTCCATGACCCCAAGCCCTTCAAATAATAGTGAAAATCAAGGAAACTGAGCCCAGAAAGGTCAAACCACTTGTCTGAAGCCGCATAGCTTTGGGGCAGCAGGATCAGAGTAGACATCCTGCTTCCCAGTCCAGGGTTTTCCTGCTGGAGCACAGGAGCCTCCCTGTTTACCCAGTGAAATGAGATGCAGGAATTCAAGAGGCAAGAGGGAGAGAGCCCCATTGCCTTGGACTTGGAGGTAAGGGAGTCCATGCTTCTGAGGTGAGTCGGTCAGCGGCAAAGTCAGCCCCATCAAAATCTCTCTGTGGACACAAATTCTTCTGGTATCTCCCTCAACTGTTAACTGCATATCCCCAATCATTTTCCCTTGGCAGCTCAATTTAACTTTGGCCTATTGTGTCAGCAACCTTTTTTGTCAGGCAGGTGCTGTCTCCTTAATCTCCTGCTACTGCAGTCACCTGGGGCAGCCACCCAGCTCCGTCAGGAACTTGCTAGGAAGAAACTAGCCGTGCCTGGAAAGTCGGGCTTTTCGAGTTCAGCTCTTGCTAATTTCAGCAGCTTGCCTTCTGATATTTTATTCCTCTTTACCTGGAATTCATTTTGGGCCATCTGATTTGTTTAATCATCACATAAAAGATCAACATACCTTATTTATTTTTTAAAGGACTGATTCTAATCGGTGAGCAAACACTTTTACACTCGTCAGCTGCTCCTTGGGCAGCCTGGGATCAGCCCACGTTGCACATTCTCTAAGAAGCTTTGTCTCCAAAGCTTAGCGTGAAGGCTCTGCTTCAGCCCACTGAGTGAGCGACAGACATGGAGAAGTTTGCTTTTGTGAGCTCATCAGGACAAGACCTTCATTGGTTCCCCTTTAAAAGAAATGGCAGTTGTTTTTCCCTGGTTGGGGCGACTTGCATGGTTCTGTGTACACAGCTTGGAGAACGGGAAAGAAAAATCAGAACCCACAGTATCTACTCCTTGCACCTTTTAGCTAGGAGTATTATTCAAAATATTTACCTGGTATGGCTTAAGCCCTGACCAACCAAAAAAGATAGAAGATGTAAATTACTGGCGAGGCCACACTAATACAAACCGGTGGAATCTCAATGCCGTCCACTGTCCTGGGAGCTTTTTATTTATACCCAGCATAATGTAACGTTTACTGAGAGCTTTCTGAATGTCAGACACTGTTTTAAATGCTTTCCAGGAGTTAACTCATTTACTTACTGTTGAAAACTTTATTAGGTAATGTTTGGGTTGAATTGTGCCCTCCCACCCCAAATTCATACGTTGAAATCCCAACACCCAGGACCTCAGAACGTGGTGTTTTTTGGAAGTAGGGTTATTGCAGATATAATTAGTTGAGATGAGATTATGAGGGTGAGCCCTATTTCAATATGATTGGTGCTCTTATAAAAAGGGGAAATTTGGACACAGATACATGCATGCAGGGGCAGCACCACACAACGATGAAAGCAGAGATCGATGGTGCTTCTGCAAGCCAAGTAACACTAAGGATGACCAGCACACCACCAGAAGCTAGCAGACAGCCATGGCACAGATTCTTCCTCACAGTACCAGAAGAGATCCAACCCTGCTAACCGACACTATGCTTTCAGATTTCTGAAAGCACCTACTTCAGAAGGGTGCTGGTCAGGCATGGTGGCTTACACCTGTGATCCCAGCACTTTGGGAGGTTGAGGCACGTGGACCACTTGAGGTCAGGAGTTTGAGACCAGTCTGGCCAACATGGCAAAACCCCATCCTTACTAAAAATACAAAAATTAACCAGGCGCCATGGTGCATGCCTGTATTCCCAGCTACTAGGGAGGCTGAGGCTGAAGAATAGCTTGAACCCGGGAGGCAGAGGTTGTAGTGAGCTGAGATCGTGCCACTGCACTCCAGCCTGGGTGACAGAGAGAAACTCCGTTTAAAAAAAAAAAAAAGAAAGTTGTTATGGGGAGTAAATGTGAGAATTCTAACACTATCAACAGATGAGAGTTCACTATTACTGATAAAATGTGTCCCAGGTGGGAGTCAAGACGCCGGAGTTCTAGGTTCTTTGCACCTCATTTAGCTCTATGACTGGGTGCAAGCCCCTGACCTCTTCAGCCTTAGGTTCGTTATCTACAAAATGGATTATGAAGATTCCTCTCAGTGTGAAGAGTTCATGATTTCCATGACCCCAAGCCCTTCAAATAATAGTGAAAATCAAGGAAACTGAGCCCAGAAAGGTCAAACCACTTGTCTAAAGCCGCACAGCTTTGGGGCAGCAGGATCAGAGTAGACATCCTGCTTCCCAGTCCAGGGTTTTCCTGCTGGAGCACAGGAGCCTCCCTGTTTACCCAGTGAAATGAGATGCAGGAATTCAAGAGGCAAGAGGGAGAGAGCCCCATTGCCTTGGACTTGGAGGTAAGGGAGTCCATGCTTCTGAGGTGAGTCGGCTTCCAGCACTATGAGACAACACATTTCTGTTGTTTAAGCCACCCAGTTGTGGTACTTTGTTATGGCAGCCCCAGCAAACCAGTACAGGGGGACAATATAATTATCCCATTTTACATGTGGAAACCAAGGCACAAAGAGATTAAGTTCTTCCCCAATGCCCCACAGCGAACACTTAGCAGGCAGTTTGCTCCAGAATGTGCCCTCTTAACTACAGTACTAAAAATAATTCTGGCTGGGCATGGTGGCTCACACCTGTAATCCCAGCACTTCGGAAGGCTGATGCGAGTGGATCGCTTGAGGTCAGGAGTTCAAGACCAGCCTGGCCAACGTGGCAAAACCCTGTCTCTACTAAAAATACAAAAATTAGCTGGGCATAGTGGCAGGTGCCTGTAATCCTAGCTACTCGGAAGTCTGAGGCAGGAGAATCGCTAGAACTGGGGAGATGGAGGTTGCAGTGAGCCGAGATTGTGAGATTGTGCCACTGCACTCCAGCATGGGTGACAGACTGAGACTTTGCCTCAGGAAAAAAAAAAAAAGTTCTGCTTTGGCCTAAGCAATCAGTTGCTTTTTCGTTGAAACAATTTTTAATTTCAACATAATCCTATCATAATCAGAAAAGAATAAGTGTACACTTTAGGGGTGAATGATCTTTCCCTACTGAGCCCATCTTATTCTGCTGCACTGTGCTAGAGCATCTTGACCACTGTGTATCTACTTATAACCAAAGACAAATCTTCTTTCCAACAGAGGCTCTGGGGAAGAGCCACACAGACAGGTCCTTGAACCTGGTAATGAGCAAATACTATAAGGAAGCTGGTAGGGTTATAGACACACAGTGAGCTTTTATCAGGAGGAAATATTTACATAATGGGGATTTTATACTATGATGACCAAAACAAAGCCCCTACAGACATTGACCACACAGAAATGATCCAATTAACAGATGTGTTATTTTCTTTTTTTTTTTTTTTTTTTTTTTTTTTTTTTTTTTTTTTTGAGACGGAGTCTCGCTCTGTCGCCCAGGCTGGAGTGCAGTGGCGCAATCTCGGCTCACTGCAAGCTCCGCCTCCCGGGTTCACGCCATTCTCCTGCCTCAGCCTCCCAAGTAGCTGGGACTACAGGCGCCCGCCACTACGCCCGGCTAATTTTTTGTATTTTTAGTAGAGACGGGGTTTCACCGTTTTAGCCGGGATGGTCTCGATCTCCTGACCTCGTGATCCGCCCGCCTCGGCCTCCCAAAGTGCTGGGATTACAGGCGTGAGCCACCGCGCCCGGCCCAGATGTGTTATTTTCAAGAAACCTCTCTCCCCAGCCTGCCTTCCCCTTGAACAGGAAGTCTGAGGTGGCCAGGTGTGCAGGGAGAAAGGGACTTCTGAGGAACATCATTTCTAGCCTATTTTATTATAACAGCGTCCTAAGTGTTCTCCATGTCATCTGTCTTGTCCCCTCCAAACTGCTCTGCAGATTTCAGCCAGAACTTTCCTTCTGCTAATGCAGATCTAATCATACATCTCTCCTGCCAACAGACCTTCCATAGTTCTTCTTAGCCTCAGCCTTGTTACCTGGCCTCAAAGACCATCTTTAGAAATTCTGTTCTGGTTAGCACTCAAATAACAGACACCCGAAGAAAACAGATTCTTGTGAGACACAGACACTGTATCTTTCATATAGAAAGGTTTGGATACAGAGATTTGGCTCTGCCCCCCACCACGGGTCTCACTTCTCCCTAGGCTGCACCCTTACGATTTCAGCTACTTGAATCCCAGTTTTCCAGTGACCACCAGGCTTCCTCAGTGCCTTTGCTCTTGCAGTGGGCTTCTTCTGCCAGGAACATGCTACCCAGAACTCTTCTCCTTCCATCTCTACCTTCAAGTTCAGGAATCAAGTCCAGAGGAATTCTTTCTAGATCCGCCCAGTTGGGTTCCAGGCCCTCTCATGCAGGCCGTGGTCCAAGTGTCCCTCAGGACCATGGACTTCATCACGCTTGACATGACCATCATTGGTCCATGTGCCTGTCGTGTCCACATACTTCTTGGGGACAAGGGGTATGTTTCATTCATCTTTGTATTGCCAAGACCTACTCTGTTACATAATTGGTGCTCAATTCCAATGTTGAGAGAATATATGAGTGAACGAATGACACATAGTTCAACATTACAAACAATTAGGGCAGAGCTCTATGCTCTGTCATGAGCATCTGTTCTTTAATGTCCCTGGAAATTCAGGGCTCCTTGTGAATGAGCTAGTGCCATCCTCAGCTCTGTGCCCTCCTCTCTCCCCCACCTCTTAATTCTCTAAGGACTCCAGCATATTTAAATGTGCTCCAATGTCTATGGCTGAAAAGTACCCACCAGTGTGGGTAGAAAGAAAGCGTGTAGGGTAAGATAAAAGGAGCTAAGCCTAAAAAGGGTTCTGGAAAGTCAGGGAGAAAAAGTGTGAATGGGAGGATTTGGGAGGTGTGAGAGTCACATTCCCAGACAGAGGAACACAGTCCAGAGCTTTCTCTTCTCTTTCTCTCCACTACTACCAAATGCTGGATGTTGCCCTGAATATTCAGGACCAGTCCCTTCCATGTAGCACAAATGAACAAGAAAATAAGATGGGAATTCTGTTTTGGTTAGCTGCCAAATAGCAGATGCCCCAAGAAAACAGATTCTTGTGAGACACAGATGCTGTATCTTTCACATAGAAAGTTTTGGATACGGAAAGCTTAATGGTAGGAATTCTGCTTTTATTTGGGGTCCTCTGTGTGGAAGAACTGCCCTGAAGACATCCAGGTACAGCAGAAGCAGCCAGATGCTGCTGCATTAGGAAAGGCCAGCTGTCCCCAAGACTGATGCTGTGCTGAGATCTGAGTGTGGTTTTTTCCTGCTTGCATTTGCAGTTACATGGAACTCGCTGGGCCACTTCTTGTGGTTTGAAGAGTCTGAGCCTGGCACATTAGGAGCAACAGAGTCACCATGGGGCCCTTCTCCCTGTGGACATATCCTTCTTCTTCAGAGATGCCATTTAGGAGACTTCGAAGTGGCAAGGCAGCTATTCCTTGCCCAACCACTGCCCCCATCTCTACCATCTGTGTCTGTGTATAGTGACCCTCAACTCCCGTAGTTATGCAACAGCAGTGGGGACAAGGAGCAAAATATATGTCTCTAGATAAGCCCCACACTGAAAAATAGCCTTTGAGCAAAGCAGCCCCCAAGTTCTTTCCCTTAGGTAAGAAATTCTCAAGAGCTCTCTACCCTTGTACTGACTGTGTAACTCATGTGAGCACAAACACGGGTAAGATATGAACAGATCCAAAGCAAAGCACTCTATCATCTTACTGGGTTCATTCTCTGTCTTCATTTCATCCAGAGAAAGTAAAATGGACACCATGCCTTGGGAGGACTTGATTTTAAGCAGTGATGTTGCACCAAGACACAGGTCTGGCTGATAAGCTCTCTTGCTTGGAGGGCACCACTGAGCTAGGAAATTCTGACTGGCAGGTTCCTATTGGTCCTGCAATCTTTAGGTGAATTGTCAGACCCTCTGAGAGCTACCCCCTACCACCCAGATTGCTGTACCCCTTAGGCTGGGTTCTCACATCAGTGCATGGGAGCTACTGCTATTGTTGCACAGATGTTCTCTCCGAACATCTGGAGGGCACAGCTGCCGCATCATCCTCTCACAGCTATTTCTTAGCACCCAAATCACCCTGCTTGCTCTTCTTGTCCCATAGAGGTCATATGGGCTAATTCTGATGCCTTGTGATTGGGTTGAAAGACGAGTGCATGGAGAGCTGGATTCTTACTCTGAGGCAAGAATGCCTTTTTTTAAACTGGCATGTTAGATTGGCATGCATCTCCTTTGGTTTTTCTGCTTCCCTGCAGCACGGCTCTGGTTCTGTCCACGGAGCATCTCCCAAGCCAGGCAGAGATGGTGGCAAAGTGGTGAATTCCTGGCTCAGGAGGTGTGTGTCAGGCAAGCTTGATGCTGCCCCGTGGCATGGAGGGTTCAAATAAGCAACCAGCTCACAACTGCCCGAGATGACTGGCTCAGGGGCTGCTAGGCCATTTGTCTTCTGGTGTCTGGGAGAACTTGCTTTTTTAGAAGAGACTTTGAAGGTTTCATTGGTGTAATAAATATTTATTAGATGCCTACAAAGTGCTGGGCTCTCAGGATGAAGCTGACATGGTTCCTGCCCTCATGACCTCATGACACTCTGTCTATAAAATCAGGAAAGGCCTGGTGCAGGTCAGTGAGGGGCTGCCTCTCTCACTGAGCGTTGGTTACAAGGCCCTGCCTTACCCCAGGTTAGGCCTCTGTGCCTATCTCTCTAGCTTGTTTTTCCACTTCTCCAAAACCTTCCTGCTCTTGCTTCTATCTTGTCCTGTGTTCCTTGCAGTTTTCCCTTCATCCACCCTTTCCATTGCTTCTGCCTTCTATCTTGCTGGAAAGTCTGCCCAAATGGATAAACAGACTACAGTACATCCATACAATGGAGTATCACTCAGTGCTAAAACGGAGAGAAGCTACCAAGCCCTGGAAAAACATGGAGGAAGCTTAAAAGCATATTGCTAAGTGAAAGAAGCAGTCAGAAAAGACTACATTCTGCATGATTCTGACTACATGACATTTCAGAAAAGACACAAGTATAGAGACAGTAAAAAGATCAGCAGTTGTCAGAGATTTGCAGGAAGGAAGGGAGGGTGATTTTTAGGGAAGTGAAACTATTCTGTATGATACTGTAATGATAGATACAGGTCATTATACATTTGTTAAAACTCATAGAACCATACGACCCAAAAAGTAAACCCTAATGTAAACTCTGGACTTGTTAGTTAATAATGATATATCAACATCGGTTCATCATGATAAACATACCACACGAACATAAGATGTTATTAATAGAAGAAACTCTGTGGGGGAAAACGGGTATGTGGGAACTGTCTGTACTTTCTGTTCAATTTTTCTGTAAGCCTAAGACTGCTGCAAAAAATGAAGTTTGTTAAAAAAATCATCTCAACTCACCCTGATGTCACCCTGGCACAGGCTGTGGCAGCTCTTCAGAGTTCCCTGTCTGGCCTCTCTCTGCCTTCCAGTGCGATCTAGAGATGTTCTCAGCTCCATGCCAAAGCAGCCTCCTTGTCTCCCAGTTCACTCCAAGGACTGGTCTGTCATGTGACCGGGCCAGCGTGTTATTGAGCCGCCCTCCTGATCTTCGATCCCATGCCTGAACAACACTGTCTCCCTGGAATTCCTACGGTCTCAAATGAGCCTCGGTGTTGGCCTTTTAAGTTAATACGCTGTCTCCATGCTCATCTCTTATTCAACATGGCCCTGCCCATAAGACCATTTTTACCACCACTGATGCCCCAAACACACCCCACCCCTGCCATTCCCAATCACAGATGAGAAAGATTGAAAGGAGAGAATCAGAACTGACAGCAAAAAGAGGAAGGGGACCTGAGTATCTCACCTGTCGCCTTTGGGCAGCTGGACACCTCACCCACGCTTCAGGCTGGAGCCTTCCTCATCTTTATTAGGTGTCTTAGAGGCAAGTGCCGGAGGTAAATCCTCCTCTGCATTTCCTACACTGACAAGGAGAATGCTGTGGCTCTACGCAGTCATCCTTTTACAACCTGGTGAAAGGTACAGCCTACTGTTAATAATTGATCTGCATATTAAAGTACAGAGTATTTTTGTAGGCAAGGCAATTCCTTGCTGGAAAATGCAAGGATACATTTTGTTTCAGTTGGTTCCAGGGGCTGGAGCTTCGGGTCAGGTGACAACTTGCTCACATGTGTCTATTGGGTTTGGCTGGGAGTAGAAGGGACAGAGAGAGGGCCTCAGTCTTTAACAGGCTCTAAGCAAAAAAATGAAAACGATTTTGAATAAAAATATGAATTCTCAAGTTTCCAGGCAAAGCAGTCCATCAACTCTTATGAAATATCGGCTCTCCCTAAATAAAATAAAATAAAATAAAATAAAATAAAATAAAATAAAATAAAATAAAATAAAATAAAATAAAATAAAATAAAGAGAAATATTGGCAATGATAAAGGCCAGGAGAATGGTTCATTCTGAAACTGTGTTTAGCAGTCCTGTACTAAACCTGCACTCCATGAAAGGCCAAGCTGGCAAGTTTGGACTCAATCCTATAGGCTGTGAAAAGGCAGGGAGGTGACACTAGGCTTTCCAGGCAAGGAGGTGACAAATGTATATGGTAAGGTAAAAGGACAGGGAGTGAAGAGGGAAAATAACACAAAGAAAAAGCAAAGGGAATAAAAAATAGTCCTATTTTATGAAAGGTTCTCATGCATGCACTGTCAGCCTGCTCAGAATCTGGCATCAATAGAGAAGGGTGTGTTTTGGGATCCATAAGGCCAACTAAGACTCTTAAAGGAATTCTCCAAAGCCTGACTCCATCAGCCAGGGGATTAGGAGGAAAACAAACATAGGGCAGGGGACAGGTTTGGACCTTCAATGAGCACAAGCAGGACAAGAAAGTTAGCTAGTAGGAACTGCCTCCTTGGGAAGATTGCTCCTGCAGGAATCCCCCTCCTCTGTCTCCCAGGCTGCTACATGAACATTGCCATGGGCAGGACACTCCAGTGTGTTTGCAAACTGGGCTAGGTGAAGGCTAATCAAGACCTTCCCCGAAGGAATCGTTCTCAGGAGTGTCTTAATCAGTTCAGGCTGCTATAATAAAGTGCTTTAGACGGAGTGGCTTATAAACCACATAACTTAATTTCTCACAGTTCTGGAGGCTGGAAGTCTGAGATCAGGTTGCCAGCATGGTCAGGTTCTGGTTAGGGCTCTTTTCTGGACTGCACACTGCTGACTTCCTGTTGTAACCTCACATGGTGGAAAAAGGTGAGAGAGCTCTCTGGGACCCTTTTGTAAGCGCACTAATCTCATTCATGAAGCCTCCCAAAGGCTCCATTATATTGGGGGTTAGGATTTCAACATATGAATTTTGAGGGGAACACAATATTCAGTCATTTCAGGGTAGAGAGGTGTAGGTTCTTGGAAACCACTTTCTCCTGTCCCCAACTTTTTTATTTTATTTTAATTCTATTTTATTTTTAAATCCAAAGTTTAATCCAATTTGCCGAGGACCTTAGCTATGATGTGGAATCAAAAGTCACAAGTGGGAGAATGGGAAAGTGAGGCCAGATCCACCCGTGTGTTTGGCTATAGGATTTCGGGGAGGTCACAGGCTCATTGGGAGTGTCTGAAACTATGATCGTTTTCTGTTTTTGTTTTTTCTTTCTCTGAATCTTAATCAACTACAGGTTCAACCCCTTTCCTTCTGGCTGCTCCCCCAGGTCTACCCAAGTGCGGGGTTCCCCCTGGGAAGTTTCCCTCATTGCTCAGATCTGGGAGTGACCCCCGATTGGTGCTTAGGTGAATGACTGAAGCTCAGCCAGATGTCATTCTTGCTGGATTTGCACAGGTGCCAGCACTCCTCAGCTCAGCTGCTTCCATCACTCACACTAGTCCTTCCTCCCACCTGTTCAGTCCTTGAGGCTGATATAGTAATTGATGGACCTACAGGCCTAAGTTTGGGTGGAGGCTGAAGATGACCCAATTAACTGGTAGCATCCCCAAGAGAGGACCCTCAGGCTGTGGCTGAGACCCACTCCACAAAGAAGCCTCCCCAACCAGCGACTGCTGCTCAGATCATGCACCTCAGTATAGTCGCTGACTGCAGCAGATCTCTGAGAGGATGAGATTCAGCATTTTCTCCCCACTTGGGTTTGCCACCCTGGATCAGCACCATCCCCTGAGGGCATGCCTTGGACATGCAATTGCATGAGGAGAGGTAAGACTGGCAAGCCCAAGGAGTGATGCCCATCCTGGTTAGAGGGAAAACCGCCTCTGATGGCTGTCCTGACAAAGGCAGGGCAGTCCTGGAGTATTGTGGCATGGATGCCGATGGCACCATTCCTCCAGCCAGTCCAGCCCTTCAATCTCTTTTACAATATCTTTCAGCCTCCCTCAGATTCCCCAGCGACAGGGCAGCATCCTGGGCAGCTCCGTTCTACTTCAGCCATTTGCTAACACTGCTGACACAGTTCATCATCCTTTTGTTGACACCTCAGTGCCGCTCCGACTGCAATGCTGCTGGCAGGAAGATTGAGAAGGCTTGCCCCAGGAAGTCTCCCTTTTCCTACTCCAGCAGTGCTGGCCCTGAGCCCCAGCAGAGTATCGCTTAGCAAAGTCATCTTCCACTTGCCAAAGTAAACAAATGGAGCACTTTATAATAACATGCCCTTGACTCTATGGAGCATTGCCCCAATTCTGAGTGAAGCTGCAAAGCTGAGTGCCTTCTGTGGTTCCCATGGCACTGGACAAAAGGCAAGCTTCTGGGGATGCCTACAGTAGCCTCTGTTTATTTCATTGACTGGATATTGGCATTTCCAGTATCTTCTCTTTGCCTCTCTCTTTCCTCAGATGTAAGAGTCTGAAATCTTGACCTTAGTTTCTTCGCTCTGCTATTTAGCAAACCGGACATTTAATCTTATTTGATCTTATGTGTTGTAGTTTGTGGTTAAGTAGGAGATACCAATCTTCTAAACAGAAAAATATGTTAGCTGCTGAAAGAAATATATATTTTTTTTGTTTCCACCACTTGGTCTTTGTTCTTTTTCTCTCTGCTCCTTTTCCACCACTAGAAAGCACTTAGTGTCTGCTTGGTTTGGGTCATAAAATTGCTCACTTGGACTGTGTTCACAGCAGCTCTGACAGTGTTTCAGCCACATGTCCTCAACTTTCTCTCAGTAAGCTGTTAGCAGATGATCTGCCTACAATGAGAAGCTGAAACCCTCCCTACAGCCAGCTGATCTGCTCTCCGTGAAGCCTTTGCTCTTAAAGGACAACCACAGCATGATTAACAACAGCCAAGTTCAAAGGAGCTGAAGATGGATTTCTGGCTCTCCGGATCCGGCTGCTGAGAAAGCAGGGTCCCTTGGCAGGAAGCTCTTGCAGGGCTTCTCCTCCGAAGCAGGAAAGACTAGGGAAAAATGCATAGAAATGCAGTTCTGAGCTTCTCACCCTCACCAGAAGGTTACAGAGGCTCATGCAGTTCCCAAATCTATGAGCTCTTCTTAATTATAAGGAAATGCTATAGGAGGAATGCAGATCAGCTGAGTGAGAGACAGAATTCGATGCAGGCCCTAGTTCTTTTCTCCCCCTGAGCCAGGCCGTGTAATGCTGTGGACATTTTCAGTTAAGATATTCCAGATGTGGAAGCGGTTAGATTGTGAGATGGACCATACATCTGATCGAAAATCAAATGACATTTTCTGAAAGAAACAGCTGTGATCTACTTTATGATGCTACATGGCTGAGAATATTAATAATTCTCACTCTCTCCTATGATTATGACAGAAATGTTTCCAAGGTGCCATTTTCACAGCTATCAATTTACCTTAAAGGGAGTGAAATGTGGGAGAAATTCTTTAAAAGTTTTTAAAAACACGTCATTCTTCAAAAATTGGAAATTGAAAAAAAAATCATCATCTAAAATATATTTCCCCCTTAAGTTGTACCTTTTATAGTTCTCTAAATAAAATCTGATTATTAAATGAGTACTACAGTAACCACATAACCTACTTGATATCCCCAAATAAAGTGATTGTAAATCTGTAGAGGAGAGGGAAAATTAATAATTTATATATTTCAATTTCCATAACATTTTGTTACTCCCTTATCCTCCATAGATTCCAAATTTGCACCCGAAGGTATTAAAAATTCAAAAATGTATCTATTATCACAACTAAATAGAAACTCAGGACTGAGTGAATATAAGGAAAAAATGCTCTGATAAACTGTCATAAAGAAAAGAGTAGGAAATGGGGTTGATCTCAATCTTGTCCCCTCCAAAGTGTGGGTGTGAGTTTTAGAAAATACAAGATTTCTTTTTTGCCAGCACAGTCCTCCAAGCCTTGAGTGGCTCTGATGATTGCCAAGAAAGAAGAGGTAGTGCTGGACAAAGCCGCACATTGTAACCAGTTGGTTGTGTAGAGCATGTTCTTTCTGGCATGTCTCGCAGAGCCTCATTTCTTCCTTTGTAAACCAGGGATAAAAATACTTCACAGACTTATCTTGTGGTTTAGAAATAATATAGTTAACACGCCTGTCCTATACACCAAGTATCAAAGAGGTGGTTGATAAATGGCAGCTCTCCTGATAATCATGACTTTGGACACAAAAGCAAACCAATTCTATCGTGGCTACATGCTGCCCCAGAACCTGTCCTCTGAAAGCCCTGTTGCTCTAGGATGAGAGAAAGTTGCTAGTCACTCTCAGAATACAAAAACTCTGAGGGCAGACTCAATCTACCTGGTTTGTTGACTGACAAGTGCTTTGTCCAGCAGTCAGTGGGAGGGCTTTCAATTATATATTCTTCGTGAAGGGCACTCTAATTTTACTTAATGTGAAACTGCAACGAAATAGAGATACTTTCATGGATATACTCCCCAAGAACAAGGCTTTTCTTAACCAAGCTGTCCTGGCAGCTGAGGAAGGAGTATGGGATTGAAGGAAGAGCCTAGGGTTTCTGGGTATTGGTATGAGGTGTCAGGACACTAGGGATGTAGTTTCAGTCCTAACACTAAGAATGGTACCATGTCTTTATATAGGGCTTTCCAGGTCAGAGAGACCCTACATACGCCTGGCCTGACTGAATCTTCCCCTGTAAGATATCAGGCCAAATAGCACCAGTCCCATTTTATAAATATCCAACAGTTTAAAGAGTTAACAGACTTTGCGAAGATCACACAGATGAACGGAGGCAGGGTTAGAATTCAAACCCAGATCTTTCCTTTACAGAGTACTTCATCTGCAGATTGTTCATCCTTCTTGCTCAGGACTCTATTCATAAGGCTCTACTTTTTCCTTCCAATTTTTAGTTGTATGGAACTAGAAAATTATTTGGCTTAACACACAAGTTCTGTGGTAAATTCTGTTTCTACCAAGCTGTGTAACTTTGGGCAAGTCACTTAAGCCCCCAGAACCTTAACATCTTCATTAAATGGTGACAATAAAGATAGTACTCAAAATTATGAAGATTAGAAGCAATAATGCATGCAGAGTTGTTATTATGGTATATGCACTGGTTCTAGCCTTTGGAGTAACTCCTCCCCCTCCCCCTTCACAATAAATCTTTGATGTTGAAATTCCAACAAATATTGATGTCTAGTAAGGGATTTGAGGGCTATAGCTTTTAAAACATAGTATATTTGCAAAACCACAACATTCAAGTGATGTTGTGAGAGTACGTTTATTATTTGTGTGTCCAAGGAAAATGATATTTTACCCCTTTGGTAAGTGTAAAGTAAGAAGACAGCCTTAAGGCCTGTTTGGATGTTATGAATATCAATGCATCTAAAGAAACACTTGCAGGACCTGTCTGTCCTGCTGTGACTTCATCCTACATGCCAATGTCTTTTCCATTTTCTCCATGAAGACTTAAAACAAAACAACCAATATTTACCAGGCACATCATAATTCTCTTAGATTTACAGCCATTAACTTGGATAGTAAGCACAATTGCAATCTTTGGAGCATCTCAGAGATCTCGGTCAAATCCTTTAATATTTTTGCAGATACTTTTAGTTCTCTTCTCTTCTCTTCTCCTCTCCTCTTTTCTTCTGTTCTTTTTCTTTCCCTTAATAGGGTGAGGCTGCTTGGTTCCAGATATCTGGTCTCAAATTCCCATAAATTGGTAAAGAAAAAAGTATTTAGAGACAGGATGGGATGAATTCCTTTCACTCCTTGACCCCAAAACCTCTGTTATCATGGATATTAATTTTTCAGTTTCAGACTTGGCAATTTATCAAACCTATTCTGGAAGGGAATCTTTACTCACCAATACCAACGTAAGTAGAATGCAGACAAATGCATAAAGACCTCTAGATAAAGAGAGGCTAAATTGTTGTAGTTAGGACTAGTGACTCTGGAGCCAAATTGTCTGGGATCACCTAACTAGCTGTGTGACCTTGGACAAGTTACTCAAGTTCTTTATACTTCAGTTTCCTTATCTGTGAGATGGAGATGATAATAAGAGAACCTACCAATTGCTTCTTACAGGAAATTTACATATTTCCATTGAGAGATCTTTGATCAAATTCAGTGTGGTGTCCACTAGCATTTGGAAGGATAAGTGCAATCTAGCAGAGAAAAAACATGACCTTTGAGTCAAGAGACCTGAGTCAAGTCCTCTACCTGATTCACGGATCAAACCGTTCAGCACAGTATTCAAGGCTTTTTACAATTTGACACCAACCTACATTTTCAGCCATGCTTGCTGTCACTTCTTCTCCTTGTGATTTGGTCATCAAACTATTTGCAATTGCCCAAAATATCAGGGATGTACAACTTACCCTCAGTCCGTCCGTACTGTCTCTCAGAATCCCCTCCCTACTCTCTGCCTACTTGTTCATTAACTGCTCCCCCTTCTGGCCATGGCTGCATTTTGTCTGTCTCCTCCACTAGACTGTGCTTAGGGAGACCAGAGAATACTCACCTTTTCATATTGGTGCCTGGTATACAGACTGGCACATAGTGGGTGAGCAACAGCTATTTTTAAGTAACTAAAAGATTAAATTAGTGTCTTTTAGTTAAGTCTCTTAAGAATGGTGACCATAATATGTCTCCTTTCTACTTTAAAAAAATATGTGAGGGCATCTGAAAGTAAAGTAATAATATACTTTATTGCCAGTAATATAATGACTCACTAAAGACATGAATGTAATTTAGCCTTAGGCCATTCTTACATTCCTTTGAAAGCCTGGAAAAACGTTCAAGTGGCAATTACTTGATGTGTCCCTGAAAATACCAGTGCAAATTCCTTTGTTAATAGAGTATCTGTCCTCTGACAATCAAATAGGGACGTGTTGCAAAGTGAGCCCCCCATTGGCCTTGTTCTTAGACAGGTTGTAAATCCCTGAAGACTTCTCATAGTCAGCTGTGTCTGGGTAAATCTTGTTCCCATAGGACACTGGGGAGAAGAGAATGTCTGAGCTGGCCATTTCCTCCAACTGGCTCTGAAAGGAACACCAATTACCAGTCCACCTTGTTGACATGTTACCTCAAATGCTTTCTTGTTTGAGAACAATTCTTTCAGAAAGACTGAGCTGTCCTTTTCTATAGGCAGTAGAGAAGTGGATGGATTCTTATGCCATAGAACTTAGGATCTTGGCAAAATATGGCTAAACTCCTTTAGGTACCTTTAAATATCTGGTTATGCCAAGGGTGATAGTGGCTACAGCAGATGTCTTGCTCAGCAGAACATTGTGTTGAGTGTGTAATTAGAAAGACCAACTGGATGGAAGAAAAGAGACAAGGAACCAAGATTTCTTGAGCTTTCTATCATGGCCAGGGAAAGATAGTTGGAATTATTACCCTGAATTTGAAATCATCACAGGAAGGCAGACATCATTCTTTGTGCCAGAACTTTGGACCCAATGTCATTCTTCCTATCTGTGGCCTGAAGGAGAGGGGTAGAGAAACCTACTTAATGAAACTCCAGTGGTTGGAGGTGTTAATACAGATCTGATGGGTCTCTGTGCTCATCGAAGACTGCTTTGCTAGTAACTTGTCAAACATCCATTACAAAGCAATAATTCATAGGAAAGAAGCAAAGTATTAATAAGAATTATTTCTTGAATATGGTTTACTAGTAGCAAAGCTCCCCTTTTCATTTAGTGGGAAAGCATGAGAATTTTGAGCCATTACCAAAAGCTCAGCATTGCTATACTAAATATTTAGGTAGTTGAGCTTTCCCTCATTGAACCATTCTCTTTGTTTGGTAACCTTGGTGTTGCAAATCAAGATCGAGAAAGTCGGATTGATTTTTTGAGGGTCACAGTAGTCACCAAAAAACAAAAACAAAAACAAACCCAACAACAAAAACAACACAGCTCTAATTTTTATTGGTGGTAACAAGAAAAAATCATTGTGGGAGGGACATGTGTGTTTCTTAGAAATATTGTTGTATGGGACAATGTTTTCATGGTACTTAAAGGAATGTGTATTTCAAAGGCTAATTGTGTGAAACTTTTCTCTCAAAAGAAGATCAGAATGTTGCGCCGTTGTATTCCAGCCTGGGTGACAAGAGTAAAATTTCTGTCTCAAAAAAAAAAATAATAAATAAAATGAAAAAAAAAACATAAAAACACACACAAGAAGATCAGAATGTAATGTTATCTTACTCTTGAGTTGGAAAGTATCCTGGCCTGAGAGTATATAATACTCAAGTGAGAAGTTGAGATGTTTAGCTATGCCTTGCATCTTATGATGAGGATGGGGATGGGCCGCTTTCCTAAGGGAGCAGGGCTTTGGGATTTCTAATAAGCAGCAGAGGGTACTTACAGGATGCCTTAAGAGCTGTGCTGAAGATTCAGCCTTAGTGTCTGGGTTATTTAGCATTATTCTTCAAAGACACTCCTACCTTACCAATCCTATTACCCCAGTGGAATAATGCAATCTAATTCCAGTTTCAAAGGATTTCCTGGTAGCCATAAAGAACATAATTCTAAGAAATAGAAAAAATACATTTGTGAGAATCAAAAGATTTTTTAAACAACCTGGAAGAATCTTCACAAATTCCAAAGACTCAACCCACCAGCCTTACACATGACAATGCTAGCAGTAGAAGAAAGACCTTAAATTACCCACTGAAAAAGATCATGTCTTATGCATCTCTATATGTCGACTTTCTAGTAAGGCACCTGATACAACATGGGGTCTCAATAAATATTGACTTGAATTCAAGTGATACTCAAAGATGATAACATCACATCTTTGGAGACATATACTTAATCACCCTTTGAAGAAAGTGACACAAATATAATAAGTTTCCTGACACCCTTCTTCCCCAGGACACTTGGTTATCTATTAAAGGATTTTCCTGGTGAGAGAGCACTTACAAATGCTAAAGGCTGCCAGAGAGTTCATTATGTGTTTGAATTTCTGTATGTGTGTAAAATCGGGAAACATGTTATTTATTCATACTAACTTGGACTTTATTAAATGAGAAATTCAGCCAAGATTCACAGGAAATATATGTAATATATATATAAAATATAAGATAAAAATCTTAAAACCGGAAAGGACTTATGAAGATGCTAGATTTCTGGGAAGAAGTTCCAATCTTCAACTATGCTAAAAGATAAGAGGTGGGGGAGGAGGGAGAAGGAAAATTCTAGATAATACCAAACTCCAAGACCTACAGTTAGTCCATAGCCAGAAACTTGGAAGACATGTTATGACTAACATTACCCATGTCACTGTAAACCACAATTATTAGCCAATATATTATTTGCTGTTGGCAACAAAACCAAATTGTTGGCTTCTTCAAAGAAAGTAAGTAGACAGTTCATTCTTTGCCTAAAAACTGTTCGGCTATCCTCTGCCAAATAGAACCATTTCAAACAAGCACAGCATCCCTTCTATATCTGTATGAAAATTCTCAACTCTCAGAAAACAATGAAATTGGATGTTAGAAGACTGGGCAGTGGTGAACTGAATCCTGGAACACACATCTAGCAAGTAAGGACTATGGGGGTTGGGCTGGGAGAAAGAAAAAGCCCCTAAAGAAGAACATACCAAAGATGATGACTTTTTATGTTCTCTATTTTGCCTCCAGGAGAATAGGCAATGGAAGAAAAGAAGATCCTATCTCAGTGCAGAAAACTACATCAGTAGCATTCCTGTTAGAGGCTGATATTGAACTAGGACATGTCATTCTGCCCTCCAGCTGTAGGCCAGGACATTTAGAGCCCAGTACATATTGAACAGGTTTAAGAACACATTACATATGCTCAGTGTTCAAAAATATTGGGTCTAAGTAGATTGATTTTTATTCCTAGACGAGTAATCATGAAAAATAAGTAGCTTAGACAGTGAACAAAATTGTCTAACAAGAAAACTGAAACATCATCTTAATGTCAATGTCAGAAAACTGTTTATCATCTTCAACTGAAATAGAAAATACTGTGGAAAAGGACAGGTAGCCATTATGAGATAAAAGTAAGGAAGGAAAAGAGTGCTGGGTTAGATTAAAAGGGGTTGTAGAGGAGCCAGAAATGAAATAATAGTACTAATTTGTCCACTGAAGGCAGTAAGGGGTAAAACTGACACTATAGTAAACAGAATCAGGCACTTCTCAAAATGTAGATGACCTACATTATACACCCTAAAAGGATAAATGGGATAAAAGGTGGCGAATCTTAAGATATTAAAATTAAAAAGTAAAAAAATGAGAAATTTATGGTATAAAAAGACAATAGTTATGGACACAGAAATCAGATAACCATAGAACTGCTCAGGAATGTATTGTAAAGGATTATGTTGCTGAACAGATCACATAATTCACAAAAGAGAAGTCATATAATATAAAATATTTACTGACAGTAACATGAATAAAAAATGTTAAATTATTCTTACCAATACTGAGGAAAGGTTGGAAGGAAGTAAAAATGGATTAAATTTCTTTTGATGGGGTTATTCAAAGATAACATTTCATTTTGAAGTTGATTAGAAAACTGTATGGTCATGTCTTTGACTTTGCTAAGTATAAGATATGGATAGAAATGTCTTGGAAACTTTAAGTGTAACCACTTGTAGAAATAAAAAGAAGGGTGACGAGCTTCTCAATTATTGAAAAAAATTAAAAGTAAACCCAAATCATAGTCCATATGGCAAAAGAGAGATCAAACAGAAAAGACAAGAAAGTATGAAAATTATTTTTCTAAAAAAAGAAAGAAGATCAAATTAATATAATTTTGACTGTCATAACTGATGTAAAATTCTAAATGAGGGAAAAATACTTCCATAGTCAAATACATTTTAGAAATACTGGGTTAAACTCAGTTGAACTCATCTCTTTGTTGCAGATCTCATCTTAATATGTTAATATGAATTAAGAATGCCTGGGAGAGAGAATTTTCATTTGTCGCATTTCCCAAGTTTATTTTATTAGCTTCCACATAACACACTTTTAAAAATGTTATGTAAGAGGTGTTCTTCTTGAAATTGATATTAAGACAGGACGCTCACTATTATCATTGTTATTTAGTATTAGAAGTTACGATCAATGCTGTAAGACACCAAATAAAAATTAGATGCAATTTTTGGAAGGAGAACAATTATCATTATTTAAAGACACCATGATTATAAACTTTTATAATTAACTATGAACACTTATAATTAATTATAATCAGTTAAATAATCAGATAAAAAGTAAATATACATCATTAATATTTATCCTGTAGTCCAGTAATACCAGAGAGGAGATAATGGAAGAAAAATCCATTCATAATTAAAAGCTAAAATTATAAAAGAAAAAAGAATACCCCGTCAATAAATATGCAGGACCTATATGAGTAAGACTATAAAGGCTTAAAAAGAAGTATAAAAGAATTGAGTAAGTGGGAAAACATTCAATGCTTCTTGATGGGCTGACTCAATATTAAAAAGAATGTCTGTTCTCCTGATTTAACACATTCCCAATCAAATTACCAATGGGAGATTGTGTGTGTGTGTGTGTGTGTGTGTGTGTATAGAGAAGTCATGTAATATAAAATATTTACTGACAGCAACTTGAATAAAAACATCTTATTCTCCAAAAACTGAAAAATGGTTGGAAGAAACACACATACACATATATACATGTATTTACACACATGCATATACACACACGTATGCTTTTGTGACTTTTGAAATTATTTTAGAGTTTACTTGGGAGGACGCATTGGCAAGAATAGGTAAATCAATTTTGAAAATGAAAAGTGATGAGAGGATGCATGCATTACCAGTTTAGACGTTTCATTAAACTCAAAACCAGTGTGGTGTTGGCCCAAGAATTGATATAGCAATAAAACTAATTAGATTATTCTGGAATAGACGGTATGCTATGAATAAGAACTTAATATACACTGAAGCATTGCTTGTCCAGTGAAAAGGGATGAGTTATTCAACACATCCTCTGCCCAACATCATTGTCTTTCTCTCGGACTGCCGCAGCCTCCCCAGTGGCCTCCTGCTCACACTTGACCACCACCCTGCCCTGCTCCTTCACACACCCACGCGCGCGCACACACACACACACACACACACACACTCCATGTTCTGGGGAAAGAGGACCTTTAACATTTAGGACACTGAACAACACTTTCACACATACTGTTTCCTCTCTCTAAATTCATGTTGCCATTTTCCTTCATTCTCAGCTAGAAGGTTGTTTCCTTCCAGAAGCCTTCCCTTATCCCCCAGGTCCAGATCAGGTACTTCTTCCCACCTGTATTTCCTCTTGCATAGCTTGTAGTATACTATTTTATAATGACCTGGTTTTGTTTGTCTATCCCCTCATTAAATTGTAATCTCTAAGTGGCAAAACCACCTGCACCTTGTTTTTCTGTCTTACCTCTTGTGTCTCGCTTAGTGCTGAACACAAAACACTCAATAAGGATGTGTTGAATCAACAACTAAACTGTAATCACAAATGAAAAAAATGAACAAACTTCAAGCCACAAAAACTTATTTATTTGTCAAAAATACTTTAAACAAAATTAAAAGACCAACATCAAACTGGGGAAATATTTATAACAAGTATTATGGAAAATAGATTGCTATCTTTAAGATGAAAAGGGTTTATTTTTTAAAAATTAAGAATTTTTTTACATCTATTAATGATAAAAAAATTAAGAAAATGTTGAGAGTCAAATAGAAATCTTAATAATTAACATAAAAAGGAAATCAATAAAAGAAGTATGAAGGGTAGTGAGTGTATGAAAAAATTAATTATACCTAGTAGTCAAAGAAATGAAAATGAATATTATTTTAAACTTAACAAATTAGCAAAATCAGTACATCCATATGACGGAATGTTATACAAGCTTAAAAAACAAGTTTTCAGGAATGATTTATTGCTACTTACATACACATATATTATTGACTATCATATAACACTAAGTAGAAAGAATTTGAAAAATATGTATACAATCTATTCCTGATTCTTTTTAAAAATGAGAGAGGAAAATATTTCACCATGTATCAGTGTTTTTTTTTTCTTCTGGGTGATGAGATCAAGATGATACCGATTTTCTTTATTTCATTCTAGAATGCCAAAAAAATTATAAAAATTTTAAGCCTACATAAGAATCCATTTTCCTAACCTTTCAGCAAATTTAGAAATCTATTCTGTAATATGCTGGACAGCTGGCATTTATATTCTTATGTAAAGTTACTTTCTTCCATCTCTTTAATGTACCAAATGAAATAAGCCTTTCTTAGATTTCACTTATCAAAGAAATGACTACATTTTTTCTGGGGCAAAATGAGTAGAGAGGTAGTCAACAAAAATAAAAAAAAGCCTTCAAAGAAATCCAAAGAGTACTTAAGACCCACTGTTCAGAACTGAGCAGTCCTGGAGGATAAACCAACTAGCTTTATCACTGGAAAGAATTCATGGAGATGAAATACCAAGTAGATGTTAATGAAAATTATGTCTATGGAATTCCTAAACAGAGGTTAATTAAAACTCCTTTCTCATCTTCTGAAGTATGTGCCAGAGATCCCACAGTATTAAAAGTCATTGGGGAGTGTCAATCAAGCTGTGTGGCACAATATTCATTTCCACGATCCAGAAGGAAAACGTATTCACTGTGCCATGATGGTATATGGGCTTGGGCCACCTTCTAGCCTATAATCTAAAAAGCATGTGAGGTAAGCTACCATCATTGTTTATACTCTTATCAACTGCCTTAACCTCTGTATAAGTCTATAGGCATCTACTCTGGCCTCCCACAATATTCTCAAAAGAGTAGCCTGAGTGGTTCTTTTAAAAACTACGCACGAGATCATGCCATCCCTCCACTTCAAATGCCGAAAAGGCTTCCTCTTGCTCCTTGAGAGCTTGGGGACTGGTCTCTCTCATTCTCCAGCTTCTTCTCATGTTTTATTCAGCTTGGCTCATACACACTGGGTTTCTTCATTTCCCTACATTGGCATGCTCCCTCCCACCTCAGTGCCTTTGCAGGTACTGAGAAAATTTTACCTTCCCATTTTGATCTTAAATCAGTCATCACTTTGACAGGGTTATTCTCCTACAGAATAATGTCTCTCTCCTTTGTTGTCCTTACCATACTTATAAATGCAATTGAATTTGATTGAGATCTCTTTCCTCAATATATTAGAAGCTCTGTGTAGGCAGAAACCACTCAGCTCACTATTATTCCCTTAGCCTCCAGCACAGTGTGCCTTAGGGTTTCAGAGATCTTTGTTTTATGAATTTTGCAGAATCATTCCCAAAGATGACTATGATATATTTTAATGTGAACTTCTGTACAAGACTTTCAATGACACACAGTTCCTTCTATAACTAATCTCAGTAAATTCATGCAAACTTTTCTCACAGAGTCAGGAGAGAAGAGGAGAGAATTCAGTGCAAGGGTAGATCTTCCCAGATCACAAGTAGAGTCCTGTCTGGGCAGCGAAGCTCAGTCTAGAGTTATTTAGCTCATTATGCTAAATTATATCCAAGATTTTCTCATTCTACAGAAAGAATGTGGTTTGTGTAAACTACTTGCATGGTTAGTATCCATCAGAGACAAACTCTAACCAGAGATCTCTTCCTCTTTTTTTTTGAGACAGGTCTAACTCTGTTATCCAGGCTGGAGTGCAGTGGCGTGATTATGACTCACTGCAGCCTTGACCTTACAGGTTCAAGTGATTCTCTCCCCTCAGTGCCCCCAAGTAGCTAGGACAACAGGTGCGTGACACCATGCTCGTCTAATTTTTTAATTTTTTTGTAGAGACAGCATTTCGCTATGTTGCCCAGGCTGGTCTCAAACTACTTGGGTGCAAGCAATCCACCTGCCTCAGCCTCCCAAAGTGCTGGGACTACAGGCATGAGCCACTGCGCTCATCCTAACTAGAGATATTGGCTCTAAGTTACTGCAGGATAATTTCTATACAAAGAAGGATTTTAGTTTTGTTCTTATTCCAACACACCGGAAAGCTTAACTGCGGTTACAATTAAGGTTTAAAGAATTACGGAATGCATTTGTAGCCAGTTTAGAGCACTTTGCAAAAGTCAATGTTTTCTTTTCCTGTAGTCCATTTTTCTCTCCCCTAAATCCCCTGCACTTTCTCAATTTCTCCCCCACTTTCACACTTCTGACTTTGTTTATTCCTTGCTATAGTCAAAAGGTACAATGGGGCATCATTAGGAAGAGGTGATGTGACCAACCTGGAACACCATGTTCCAGCCTAGTCACTGCACTTCAAGGACTCACAAGACCTGAAGAGACAGTGATGGAGGCATAAAATGTTCAAGAGGATGAGGAAGTGGGGGTTGTTTAAGGACAAATCATGAAGATTTGAACTATTCTGTCTGCAAAGATAAAAGCTATAACAGAATATGGTTAATACGAAGACAGATAGGGACAGGATAAATAGACTTACTTCCCAATACCATAATAATGTAAAATCCCTTGTAACAGAAAGAGTTACAAAAGGGGGAGAGGATCTGCTATATAACCTGATAGTTAACTTAAGATACTTGCTTATTGATGTTATTCACAAGTACGCTAAATAAGGGAAATTTTTTAAGAAATCTGTATATGACTTGATAACAGATTCATGATGTAGTATTAATATTGAGTAAATATTCATGAATTAACCAAATGTTCAGATAAATTCATGTATAATATGATACCAGATTCATAAAATATTAATGTAATATTGACTGACATATTAATAGGTTAAACAGATTTGAGGATAAATTAATTTGTGTTATTCCAGCAAATACTTGGCATTAAGAGAGTCTAGTTTTATTGAAACACAGCCACATTCATTCACCTATGCATTGTCTATGGCTGCTTTTGTGTGACAAGAGCAGAGTTGAGGAATTGTGACAGAGGCTATATGGCCCAAAAAGCCTAGAAATATTTACTATCTGGCTCTTTATGAAAAGTATTGCTGACTCCGGTCTAGAACACATTAGGAACATCCTTAATATTTGAGGTCCACATTAAGTAGATGAATATAAGTTCTTCTACATAATACCTCTTCGTAGGTATACAATTGGCCAGGGCAGCCATTTCTGATAATCATGTAGAGTCTGAAAAAATACCCATTAACCAGTCATCTGATCATCATGTCTTTGGAGATTCAGCAATCAAGTTAAAGATACTTCCTGAATTTTAGAAAGCTGGTGAGTTAGCAGGTTTTTGGTTATATTTAGCTGTTTTTGATGCCTTTCAATTCTGGGTTCCCCACCTACTAAGAAACATGAAATTGTTGGGAAATGAAACTCTGAGTACAAAATGATGTCATCAGATTAGTTGAAATTAAGGTCTGGGGCTTCTGATTTTTAGAACATAATACCATACTTTCCTGTACACCAAAGAGATTAGCAGTGCTTTACTCAGAAAGAAACCAAAATCATAGTTTTCACAAATAGGGACTTCCCTTTTTTCCCCCCAGTGAAGTCCCCTGGTATGAAATTAATTTGTATACATGTACTATAACATGACTTTGGTAATCATGTCAGTTATACTGCCTAAATGAAAATAATAATATAGAAGCCTATTCCATTGTTTGGACACTACTGTTCCCATTTTGCATAACCAAGCATGTAAAACATTGAATCCCCTAGCGAATTTAAAGTTTCTCTCAAAACTGAGGGTGGGAGGAAGTCATAGCAGTTCAGGGTCAAGATCTAAATTTTGAGGCATCATAATTAAGCTCTTCAAGTACAGGGCTCTGGCTCAGCAGCCAAGTCCAAGTATGAGATTCATTAAAGCATTTCATTTTCAACTGTCATTAACAGTGATCAGCGTCATTCCCCTACTCCCAATGAATGCTTGCCATTGGTTGGGCAAATTCACCCACAAAGAGAAAGTCTCAACAGCAGCTGCCTGCTTACACAGAAGAAAGATTCCAGAGTAGCTTAATGCTTTGCCACTGAATAATGCCCTAGCTGCTTGAATAATCAGAGCTACCTATCACATTGTACAATAATCATATCCTATCTAAAATTCATTGCTTCCAAAGGAATATATCAGTGAAAAATGTCCTGATCAACGACCACTTTGTAAAAGGAGATCCCCATGAAATACCATTGTGGGAAGTTTTACATTTGTACATGGATTTGCCAAGTCTTTATATAATCGGTCTTAGTGACAACACAGCGAGAATCCATAAGCATAGCTTATGCTTCAGCTGATGATTTCCCAAAGCCACATGTAATTTCTACTTTAAAAGAAATCCACAACCTTTTAGGTTATCACACTTGGATTATGCCTTTGATTTCAAAGCATTCCCTTTACATTATTCCCTTTACATTATGGATTCTCACCTTAACAATACAACTCAAGATATTTGGAGCTCATGTTACTGCTGTTTCTTTAGCTATCTGAGTTTTTTTTTCTGGGAATTTCATTATTAAATTCTTATTACACACTTTGCTCACAAATGAACGTTTCCTTTCTATACCACTAATCACAATAATATTTGAGGAATTAGAAGTAAATAGACAGAACCAAAACTGAACAATGAACAATAACAAGCATCTAAACCTCACTGTTCCTTTTGGTGCAGCCACCCCAGACAAGTGGCACACAGCTACTCAAGTCTGAGGGCCCCTCCATGTGGCTAGAAGAAGCCAGGCATCTTGCTTTTGTAATTGTTTGGCCTTCCAAGTGGTTTAGTGAGTCACAAAACCCATATCATTTCATCTCTCACAAATGGAAACAGGTATGCTTTGTTGGGCTGGTTTTCAGTCCTCAGTGCCTGGGGCCCAGTTCCTGCAGAGCACAGCTCCCGGTCCTGGAGGCCTTTGTCCAGGCTGAGGTGTGTCTGCAGACTCTCTTCTCCAGCAGGTAGCTATGCGTTGACCGGCAATGTGATTTTCCTCAGCACATTTCCAGCCTTCCCCGTTGTGCCTCTTGCTAATGGTGCTGATATATTTCTGAGCTTTTCCATTTGCCTTGGTTTTGCTAGAGGAAAAACAGGTGCTTCTACCCTTTCCTTATTTCTGGGAATTGTACACTGCCCAGCTGGCTCTGGTTTGCCTGCTGGCATCAAATGTGGGACAAATGGAGAAAGTATATTCTGCTAATCTCCTAGCTTCATCTCCCTTGAGGAGTTTTCCTCCATGCTTATCAGATCTGGGTTCCAAAGGCTCATAACCTAGCTCTTCAGATAGTATTTGGCAAGGACAGTGGCCCTGAAACTGTGCCATTTGTGGGTGAATGTACAAAGCACCAAATCAACAAACTATTTGTCATCATTCCATTGCCTTTCCTCCATGTGTTACGCACTGCTCGAACCATCCAAATACAAAGCAGTGCCACAGGAAAAGGGGCAAACGCATTGAGGATCAACTATAGATGAGAAGTTTCTCAACCATTGTCTTCCTCCACCCTCAAAAGGGCCTAGAATGCAGGCATTGATTTCTCCATTGTTACAAAGATAGAGCCTGAGGTTCAAGAGAAGTAAAACTTCCCTGGATCACCCAATTTCTCAGTGGTACAGGCTTGAAGCAAACACAGCAAAAAGAAGAAATGTATTCCTCTTGTATTCAGAGATGTGTAACAGTGGGAGAAATATCACATAGCTGACTCCATCTTGCTTCTAACCTCACAGGCTAACTGCCTTTGCTCATTCCTATACATAGGCCAAGCTAATGATGGAAAGAATTTAGATTATAGTTTAACTTCAGAACTAATGACCATCTCTCTTTTGAAACAGACCCCTGAGGAGATTAGAAAGTATGCACACAAATAACAATGCCATCTTAAAAATTTATAGAAACAAGGTCAATCTGGAAAATAGTTGACCATGAACAAAGAAGTTTTGCAACCTCCTAGATCCCTGCTGATGCCCAGATGCCTGTGGTCACCAGTCAACTGTGGACCTTAACCCCCTACCTATTCCCCCTTCCCCTAACATAAAAGGAGCCTAACAATCTATCAACTTAAGATGGTTCTTTAGTACATCAGTCTGCCATCTTCTAGGATTGCTGGCTCCCTGAAAAAAAGTCATCTTCCTTGCCCCAATATCTTGTCTTATTGGCTGTCATGTGGTAAGCAGTTAAGAGCTTTGGACTTGACTATAGAAGGTAAATTCTTTTATAAGGGCTGCCAACCAGAAGCATGTTGCTGGTTTGTTGGTGAAGTACAAGAAGGGTGTGAAATAGAACTGAGTGGTCAAGGATGTTTTAGGGCCTTTGAGGCTCATAAATTTCTACTGAGCTCAGACTCAACACTTGCCCCACATCCTTAGCATTTTACCCTGTTGACTGTACATGTGTTGGTGTCCCCCAGTAAATCATGAACTCTTGGTGAGGATGATAGTAATTACTCCCATGAATTGTGTGCTTCCTTGGTGCCAAGTGTTGTACATACCTTGTCTTGTCTTTTTCTCCCAGCAACCCTGGAATGTATGTTTTAGTAGCCTCATTGTACAGATGAAAAAGTGAGACAGAGAGGTAACTCACTTGCTCCACAGCTTCACTCCTGGAAAATTAGAGCTGAGATCTATGTTGTCTGTCTGATTCTAGCAAAAGTTCTCAGTTGCAAGATGTACAAAAGACCCTCACCCCTAGGGCAAGTTCTGGGTCCTTGGAAGAGTGGAATCCATTGCTATTTAGAAATAGAAGTAAGGGCCGGGCACGGTGGCGCATGCCTGTAATTGCAGCACTTTGGGAGGCTGAGGCAGGTGGATAGGCAGGAGTTCGAGACCAGCTTGGTCAACATGGTGAAATCCTGTCTCTACTAAAAAAAAAAAAAAAAAAAAAAAAATTAGCTGGGCTTGGTGACGCACATCTGTTCCAGCTACTCAGGAGGCTGAGGCAAGAGAATCGCTTGAACGCAGGAGGCAGAGGTTGCAGTGAGCCGAGATTGCGCCACTGCACTGCAGCCTGGGTGACAGAAAAAGACTCTGTCTCAAAAAAAAACAAAAGGGAAAAGAAAAAAAAAAGAAATAGAAGTAAGAACTCTGGAACTGAGGACTTTCTTTTCACTTAGCTGGATATCAACAAGGCTTCTGGAAATTGTAGTATTACACAGGCACCAGAAGAAGCTACTATAAGGTGCTATTGGAGGTTCCCACAGGCTCTCAAAATGTTTCCCTCACCTAGATCACAGTGACATTTCCACCAACAGAGACTTGAGGTTGAACCAAGTGCTCATTTATTGAACTATAGTGGGCTGAATGGTTTATTGAGTTCTTTGGTATATTCTCAGGAAGGTTCAGTTTGGAGGAGGAAGGGGTCTGACAGAAGAAAATAGACAACAAAGTGGGAGGGGGACAAGAAAAGGAGTTGGGGGCTTATGTGGGGCATCTTAGTAGAGTAAGCAGAGGTAAAAGAAATTCTTCCTGAAACACAGTAGGATGACAGTGGAGAAGTGAAATAAGCAGGTAAACTTATTCCTTGGGCCTAGCATACCACTCTGTGTGATCCTCTAGATGAAATACATACAAGTGGTCATTAGTGTGTGATGACCATGGACAACCTGGGACATAGGTCAACACCAAAGACAGTGTGCTGCCTTATAGTTTTGAGTCCAGACCTATATAGGTAATTAGAAAACTTTCATTTCTTTAGGAGACATGGACAATGATTTGGTTTGGCACTAGTTAGGCTGAGAAGGACTTGGTTTTTAACCATCTGTTATCTGTGATTATTTGAAATATTCAGTTTCAAAAGTTTAACCCACTTATTGAACATTCCAATTCCAAAGACACTGTTAGGCACTGGGGCAGGGTAAACAAAGGAGAATAAGTCATAGTCCTGCCCTCAGGTAGCTTACAGCATAGTGGTCTTGACCAAGAAGTCTATGTTTGACACAAGGTGATAAATGAAGGTGGTAGGGTAATGTCATGAGTGTAGTAAGTACATTCTAGAATTCCCCTTTAGGTGACAGGTTTTGCCTTCCCTCATCCTCTTCCCAAGTCTTAGCAAGCCTCTAGCTCCACTGACTGATGTTTAACTCCACGTATCCTTCTGGACATCCAACCCATGCAATCCTTTTCTGTTGAGAAACTTCTGAGGCCTGTGATGACCTGAGACAAATGCAGAGAGGAACTTATACCTCCAGCCTCCTGAAAGTGGGTGTACATGCCAACACTGGGGGCCTAAGTGAACCCCAACATTCCCAAGTTCCTGCAGAAGACTGAACCCATGCAGGCTTAGATCCTAGGACTCTTAAACCTGATACTTAACTCTGTCTAGATTATTTGTAAACTCACTGCTGAAAGTACATGCCCACCAATACCCAGATGTGTGCATCTTGTGTGATTTCATCTGTTCTTTTATACTTTTCTCTGAAAATACTGCTGTTCATCCCTAAATAGCCACATTAAATATACACTTGAGTTTAGAAAGGAAGCTCCAGGGCCACTAAAGAGTCACTGCTACTACTACTGGGGGATCAGCAATAGTCTGTAGGCTCCGGCTTCACACAGTCATAGCATCTTGCGTGTGAGATAACTTTAAAAGGGTATTTAGCCCATATTAATATATATGGTATATTTTTGTAAAGGCTGGAGGACAGGAGAGGGGGACATTTTTATGAATGCTCTTTTATATCTTTGAATTTTAAATGAACTAAATGAATTTTAAACCATGCATAAAAATAAATAAAAATTTAAAAGTCACAGATATGAACACTATTATGGTTTCAATGATGTCCTTTGAAAAGTAAAATAAGAAAAGTTGCTAAGAGAAAAATAAAACTCATTGAATCAAACCCTGAGGGAGGAGATAGACTGATTCCTGTGATCACATAACTGCCATTAATTGCTCTGATCTTTAAATGACTTGATTTTAGCTTAGGACATACCTATATCAAATATATATTCACCCTTACTTTCTGCTAAATATTTAACCAAAATCATCCCAATAAAGAAGAAACTTACATTATTGGTTTGAAGATAAATTTTTTTAAATATTTAGCTTTTTGTAGGATTCTGAGTTATTTGGAGAATATGCAAAGATTTGAAATAGCTTTCAAACTTTAATTCACTGATGTTGCCACTGCAATCTTCCAAAATTGAGTATAGTTTACTGCAACTATATGTATGGATTTCTGTTTTCTTTGCAGTTTTAAATTTGGAAGTCAACCGTAAGAAATACCTGACACATATCATATAATATTTTAAAATAACATTTTTTTGAAAATTAAAGTTGAATAAACAAATTGATGATTTGATTAGGTAAATTCAACACTTCCAATGAACGCATGTTAATCTCTGTTGAAAATTACCCTATGGAAACTGGAGCAAAAAAATTGCATCTTATATAATTAAAATATATAACTAGTTTAAACATATAATATAGAAGACAAATCATCACAATTACTGTCTTTATAGCCATTGCTGAATAGTTCACTTACTTAAGTTAAAATCTTAATGCATTTCCTTATATAAACTTCAATTCTGTAAATCCCTTGTTGTTACTATCATTAGGAAGGAAGGAAGGTCTGTTACTTTCACGCTAGTTATTGAGAAACCAAGTAACTTGAGAGAAGACATTTTTGAAGGTAGATATGCAGTGAAAAGCAGAGAAGACAGAATGAAATATTGTGTTTCCTAGGCTTATTTCGCTTCTACTAATAAAACACTGGAAAGAAGCCACCAGAATTTTAAAGCAAATAATGTGGTAACAAATAAATTAATATGACTCTCTTTTTTTAATTTTTTTTTTTTAAGTTTCCAAAGGCCAGCCTCAGATGGCCGTGGGGAGCAATTAGAATTTGCTTCATGGCTTGTTGAATAACTTTGGTTTCTTCAGTCTTTGATAAGTGGCAGGTGGGTGGGTACAACACAGAAACTATGAATAGTAGGCAGAAAGAGTTTGAGGAAAAGAGAGGGCATTTCATCAAGACTCCTCTGGTATTGGCAACTTTCACCAGCCAGTGCCCTGTTGGCGGCGGGGTGGGGGGTGGTTTATCCTCCCACCTTGGCAGATGGCAGGTGGTTTAGATGTGAGGCCTTCCTGGAGGGGGGTTGGATCATTCAGCCTCTAGATTATGCCATCTCCCCACCAGTCCAACTCCCGGAAGCCCGGCCCAGTTTTAGTGTCTCCTAGTGGTACCTTGGGGTTTTTGCAGGAGAAACAAGTCTACTTCTGAAGGTGGCAGCTTCAATTACATAGAAAAGTGGCACAACATAGTTACTAGGAACCCAGAGCTGTACAGATGGATTCAGTTCAAAACCTGGCTTTACTACTTACCAGCTGTATGATCTTGGGCATATGACTTAACCTCTTTTTTTGCCTCAGTTTCCTCATCTATAAAATGATAATAAGAGTACACACTTTTTATTATAAAGGGTGGCTGGAAGGACTAAATGAGTTAAAACATGAAATTCTTAAAACAAGGCCTTGCATACAGTCAGTGCCCACTAAATGCTTGCGATTATATTAGCACTTATATGGAGAAACTGATCAACTGTAGAAAGCCCCATGTAAATGTCTGACAGCAGGAAGGCCTTGGTAAACACAGCCAAAGTGTCAAAACACTCAGAAAAGAGATAAACTAGTAATGCGAATGTGACCTTTCCAGCACTTACGAAAAGCACAGTAATCAAAAACAACAAAAGCCATCAGAATAGTCTTACGAGACAGGATGAAATTTTTATGGTTAAGAGGCAAAAGCAGCAAACAGAAGTTTCTCCCCAGGCAGGGATTTGTTTTGTTCTGCTTAAACAAGTTAAGGTTAAAATTCCTAATGTTTTTAAATAGCACTAGATATTATTCTGTTTTAGTTCAAAACAAGGGGTCTAAAACAAGGGTAGGGCAGGAACAATCATCTTGAGCAGGACTAGGTTTTCCAGCACTTTCGCTGGTCCCCTCCATCTGAAAGCCATGCTGGCCATACCTCCAAATTCCATCCTGAATCCAACACCTCTTCCACCTTGCTTGCTGTCACCTTGGCATGATCCACCCTCCCCTCTTGCTTGTACTTCCGATCAGCCTCCTACAAACCCTCTGCTTTCAGTCTTCAAGCCATTCTCCACACAGAAGCTGGGAAGAGCTCTCAAAGGCAATGCCAACCATGATCCTACCCTGCTGAAAACCTCCCAATGAGTTAGGATGTTAGGCTCTCAAAGCACTTAACAGCCTAACTCCATCCCATGACCTCGGGCCCTCCTTGCTCTTTTCCCACCTTTCCCTCATTGCTTCTTACCTCGGGTCCAGCCACAATGGTCTCATTTCTGTTTCCTGAACAACTCAGACCTTTTCCAGTCTTAGGACTTTTGCTGTTGTTCTTTCTGCCTGAAGCCTTCTTTCTGCCAGCTCTCGGCATGCTTTTCTTTTTAGTACTGATGTGCTAGCTTGAAGGGCACCTCCTCAGACAGTGCAACTTGTACAAGCTATTGAAAGCAGCCTTCAGCAAACTCTATTCCCTTCAGTTCATTGCATTTTTTTCATAGTACTGACTAATTTATTGGGTTTTATTTATTGTTTGTTTTTAGTGTGGATATCTGTTTCCTCTTACTGGAATCTAAACTACACTAGAGTAGGAACTTCATCCTTCTATCTCCAGCTCCTATAATGGGTCCTTGGAACAAAGCAGAACCTCCATAAACATTAGTTGAGTGAATAAAGAAATTCTGATGCCCATGATAGTTGACTAACAGGAGGCCTCTGTCCATCGTTCTCCCCTGCGATCTTTTTTCTTATTTTCTCCTAATCCCACAATCTCAGCACCCCAGAAAACAAAATGCTACATCACCTTCTGTCCCCCAGCCTCTTCCATCAAATCTAATACAAAAACCTGGTTTCTTTTTGTTATTAATACAACCTTCTGAGGATCGGTGTATCAGACTTGGCTGGACCCTGGATAACTGATTCCAGAATCATTCTCAAAATCACAGATTCTTCCACATTTAGGATGACTTGGAATTGGCTTTTTCCAAATCCAAATTTATGAGTACCCCAGCCTACTCTGATACTAAGTAGCTTCTGCAACCAAAATGATTTCCAGGGTCTGAGAGGGTGTTACACAGCCTAGTTATTTCTTGGCTAATTTACCTTGGTAAAGCCTACCCAATGACAGTCCCTGGAGACTACTGCTGTAATTATATTTTTAATAAGGGTGTGAACAGGAACAGAGTTAATTGGCTTTAAAATGGCTGAGACAAGAAAGCAAGTCTTGGTTAACTAAAGATTAACATAGCAATTGGGAAATCTAATATATAGGTGGCAGGAAAGCTTAACCTTTATCTTTCAGTCTCATAATTAATTAGCAAGCTTCTGGCAATGTGATTTCTAAATTGCACACAGAAAATTTTAGTGATGAGGCTACTGAGTGTGAGGTCTCTCTATAGAAGTAGCAAACTTAAATTATGCTCAAAATCATGTTTTTTAAAGAACAGAATGATGAAATTGCTACTCAACAAAAATATAGTTTGATGGTTTTCTGGGCCATGAGACTCTAAAACAAGGCAAAAGAAGAAATACAAATAAGTAATTAAGATTTGGATCATAGCTGACCAGTAGTAGCTCTTAGCCCTGGATGCACATTATAAACCTGGAGAACTGTAAATAAATACGAATGTCCAGGCCCCTTCCCAGAATATTGATTCAGTGAGTCTATAGTTGTTTCTAAAGCTCCCTAGGTGATTCTCACGTGCAATCAGTGTGGAGCAACACTGTTTAAGAGGCTTGCTTTTTGCTATTGCTAAAGCTTTTGGAAATTGTTTTAAATCAGTAATGGATTTTGAGACAGAGAAAAGAAAACCCAACCATTTGGGAATGGTACAAATTGACCTATCTTTTTGTCTAAAGAGGCTGTATTGCCAAGACTCTGGCTTTTTCCCCGCACTGTCCTTCAGAAGAACTTCCGTCCCCACCCCTAGTCTCACCGTGGGCAGTGAACCCAGAAGCTCCCAACACATATAAAGGATTCTTTAAAATGTAGCTGTTGGCCGGGTGCAATGGCTCATGCCTGTAATCCCAGCACTTTGGGAGGCCAAGGCGGGCAGATCAGGAGGTCAAGAGATCGAGACCATCCTGGCCAACATGGTGAAACCCCATCTCTACTAAAAATACAAAAATTAGCCGGGCTTGGTGGCGCGTGCCTGTAGTCCCAGCTACTCGGGAGGCTGAGGCAGGAGACTAGCTTGAACCCGGGAGGCAGAGGTTGCGGTGAGCCGAGATCGCGCCACTGCACTCCAGCCTGGAGACAGAGCAAGACTCCATCCAAAAGAAAAAAAAAAAGCAGCTGTTTAAAATGCTGGGCTTTCTCCTCTTTTTTTCAGGGGTGTAGCAAAAAGCTGATATCCTTTCAGTGAACAAGAGCTTCAGAGAAGGGAAATCAGAACAGCCGTAAAGTGTGGGGCTAGGAGCAGTGGAATAGCAACCAGAGTCTTCACTTCCCAGATGTTAGAGTGGATAAACTATAAATATGCAAGGCCAAACTTCACTAGACTGAGAGCTCCCAGGCATCAGGGACGGGGCTCTCGGGACCACTGTGACTGCCTATGGGTCATTGACACTCAGATAATCACAGTGTTGGCAGCTTAGGGAAACCAGTCATCTTCACCTACTGATCTGTGACACTGATTCATTCATGTAAGAAATAACATTCTAACACCAACAGGAGAGTGGGTAGACTCACTTTGGGAGTTTAATAAGGTATGTGGAATTCAGTAGCTGGAAATTCTAATTTCACCTCCCTGAGAATTCTCATTTCACCTTCATCACCAGCTAGTCTCCTGGCCCAAGGCAAGTAATTAAACTCCATTTCTCAATTTGTAAAGTTGGAGAGGTGAGGGAAGATTGCAGATGCTTATAAAATAGCTACTGTGGGCACTATTAGGCATGATAATAAAGCCCTTGGCAATGATTACAAAAAGCCTGGTAGAAACAAGCTCCTGTGAGATGCCCATTGTGCCCCACTTAGCTAGGATCCACTATAGGACACCCCCAAAGTACACAGAGGACAAGAGTAGGCAGCTGGTTACAAAGGCTTTCAGCCACATCATCCAAGTAGACAGAATCACCACGAGGAATTATCTGTGAATTTAAAAGACTACATACAAATGTGCATGTATATACAGTTTCTACAAATTAAAGGTCACACTCTTGGTTGTCCATTTAATCTCCTTTAAAAGATTACTTCTTTCATTTTATGTCCCATGATTATGATATAAAAATCTTGGTTTTTGCTCAGTGATTCTCAACTCTGACTTCACATTAGAATATTCTGGGAAATTGAGACAGAAACAAAAACAAAACAAAATCAATCAGAAACACCACTGAGACCAGTCCCCAGTCTTAAACTAATTAAATGGAAGCTCTGGAGTGGGGCTGAGGCATTTGTAATTTTTAAAAGCTTCTCAGGTGATTCTGATGTAAAGCTCAGATCTGGAGCCACTGGATTAAGCCAACTGTTCTTTTCCACATCACGCACCCCCGAACCCATGTACATTTCCACTGCCACACCACTGTGCATTTTTTCTTATGTGAGGTGGCTCTCTCCTTCTCTCCTTGTGTCTTTAGGCTTCCAGCCCTCAATGCCCATTTTCTACTTTGTCTTTCTTAATATACCTTAGAGGTTATGGGCATGCTGCCCTCCAGAATTGCAAAACTTTGTTTGCATCATTTATGTAACACTTAGAAAATGTTCTTTACATGCTACCGGTCTTTTATGTTTCTGTCCACCTTCCCAACTAGGAACTATGCTCCTCCAGAGCAAGAACCATGTTTTATTCTTCTATTTTCCCCGTGGAGTCTAGCATAGATTTCCTGGCTTACACAATGCTGAAAAATATGTGTTGCTGTTGATGTAGAAATATTACCAGGGCAGCCCTAGAGAAATAGCTGGGAAAGCTCATTATTTTCTTAAATTGTTATCTTCCCTAGTTTCTTTATCTATAGATACTCTTGCTTAAAGAACTCCAGATGGCCTGGGATGTCGCAGGAGCTTGGTGATCCTTTGCCAAATACAAGAGGCCTGCAGGAAACCAGTGCAAACCAGAACTGGCTACCCCTTGTTCCGTTTAGGTCATTAACATAGCGTTACAATGCTGGGCTCCCCATCCCTAGAAGAAAACTGCCGCCATTTTCTCTCCATAGGACGCATGGAGAAACATGTTTATCTGTGTCTGTGCCTCTGTACTTTCTCCCTGCATGTGTTTACATAGCTCCCCGCCCCACATCTAACTCATCACAATCCTGCAGCTTCCCACAGCTAGGGAGAAGGTGACTTTTTAGAGCAAGAGGTCTCTCATTTTCCATTTCTGGCCAGTGAATAAAACCAGCTTGTCCTTTTTCAATTGGGTGTTCTCTCTCTGGAACCTATACAGACTAGAGAAAGAACTCAGTCTACCAGTGACAGATACACTAAGATTCATTCTTGTCAGCTTCTTTACTGCCATTTCCCCCAGATTTGGATTTCAAGTGGAAATGAACAAATGTTATTCCAAGAGAATCTTACATAATGTTTTGCTCCAGCTACATAAAGGCAACTCCTCCCTGCAGGCACATGTCTAGAGATGCCATTTGTATTCAGGTTATCAATCATAACCATGGCCAATTTGTACAGCACATTTCACCATTAGCATTTTTTGTGGCATTATCTCATCAACACCAAACTTACTACAGGAAGTAAGGGAGAAAGTTGGGGGAAAAAAAGGGAGAGAGAGGGTAACATGCAAACCAGTAGAGTACACAAAAGCAGAATCCAGGTCTTTGCTCTTCAGAGGCTTTCTCCAGCAATACCAGAATCTGACTGCTCTTTTTTTTGAAATAAATGAAACTGCAGGAAAAAAATTATATCTTTATTTCATTGACATATTTGAGGGCCACTTTAGCTAGTGGACAAAAGAAACCAAAGGTGGTCTTTTGTGATGCCCCTGGAGTAGCCCTTCTGGCAACTGGGACTACTTTTTGTTCATGCTGTTTTAAGCAAGAGGACAGGGAGAAACATTTATTACTGCATGAGATTACTTATTTAATGAGCTTTGCACAAAAACATGAAGCTCTAGTTGTCTCCTCGTCTGATTTTACAAAGTGCCCAAAACTACAAAGACAATGTACTAGGAAGTGATTTAAAGGTAAAACTTTAAATCCAGATTTAAAATGACCCTTTCATTGTAGGACGTTTGAAAGCCTCTTGAGATTTACCTGAGTGAGAGGATTGGTCTTGGTGATGAATATAATCACTGAGTCTATTTTATCAGATCCCAAAGTGACATGGTATAGTGGACTTCAAATGATCACCTGCTAACCAGCAGCATGAGGGTGGGGGAGAAGGAAGAGGGACCTCTTTTCTCTCGTGCTTCACCAAATAACTGAATATGGGGGCAGATGAGAAGGAGCCTGACACAAGAACAGAGGAAGAAGTCACGTTTGGAAGAAGGGGGAAAAAGGTCCTATCATGTATTTGTCAACTTATTAGTCTAGATCAGTGCTATTCAACGGAAATATCATGTGAGTCACATATGTAATTTAAACATTTCTATTAAGCCACATTAAAGGAAAAAGGTTAAATTAATTTTAATATATTTTATTTAAACTAGTATACCTAAAATATTATCATTTCAACACACAATCAATATAAAAATTGAGACAGTTTACTTTTGTTTTTGTTTTTGTTTGAGACGGAGTCTCACTCTTTCACCCAGGCTGGAGTGCAATGGCGCAATCTTGGCTCACTGCAACCTCCGCCTCCCGGGTTCAAGAGACTTTCCTGCCTCAGCCTCCCAAGTAGCTGGGATTACAGGCACCCACCACCATGCCTGCCTAATTTTTGCATTTTTAATAGAGACGGGGTTTCACCGTGTTCCCCAGGCTGGTCTCGAATTCCTGAGCTCAGGCAATCCACCCGCCTCGGCCTCCTAAAGTGCTTGGATTACAGGCATGAGCCACCACACCTGGCCAAGACAGTTTACTTTTTGGGGGGAATACTAGGTCTTAAAAATCTGGGGTGCGTTGTACATTTACAGTACATCTCAATATGAAATAGCCACATTTCAAGTGCTCAATAGGCACATGTGGCTAGTGGCTACTGTATTGGACAGTTCAGTTGTAGGTGCACTAACTGGAATTTGGGACATCAAATACAAATCGTTGTCAGCATTCAGCTACTTAATTTACTTTTGATATTCTCCTTCTATCGGCTTCCTTACTTTCTCCAAAAGACATTATCTCAAAGCCCACATGCTGTGTTAGCAAGTAGTTGTGGGCTTTGGAGTGAAATAGACTAAGGGATTCAAATACCAGCTTCATAACCTTGGACTAGCTCCATAACCTTGGACTAGCTCCTTAACCTTGATGACTCTTGGTTTCTTCAACTGTAAAATAAAAACAAAAATAGCTAACTCACCAGATCATTGGGAAGATAAACAGAGTATACAGCACAGCTTAGAATAGTACAGTAGGCATTCAAATAATAATTCCCCCTATATACAAGTCAACTTCTAAAGGGCCCATCTTCAGACTTTAAGCTTTACTGCTTCATTTACTCCAATTTAAGAACTTTCTCTTGAGAGTTCTGCTAAGGTAGCCCTTTCCCTAGACTTTCACAGGGCTGGCTCCCTTTTTGAAAATGCGGGTTTAAGTTCAAGGGTATCCTTTGTATGGCAGTCTTCTCTGACTTCCCTGTTGAAAGTTGCTCCCACGCCCTGTCCCTCTGTAGCCTTCAGCCTCTATTTTCTTCATAGCATTTATCAGTATCTGAAATGATTTTATTTATGTATTTGTTCACCCGACTGTTTTCTGTCACTCTCTCTGGCATAGAAGCTCCACAAGGGCTGGGATCCTGTGTGTCTCATTCCCCACTGTGTCATCAAGTGCCCAGCACAAAACAGAGCTCAGCAAATGCTTGTCGAATAAATGAATGAAAACGTGCTCAGCACAGGGAGGTAAAGGTAAGTGGTGTTCTGATTCTAAAGGTGGTAGAGAATGAACATTCCAGAGCTCTGTTTAACTAAAAGGATTACCAAGGAAGTCAGTGACAGAGCGCCAGCCTCACCTGCTAATGTTGGATATTGCCAATCTTGAGTCTAATGGCTGGGCTTGGGAAGGGTCAGGAATATTATCCTCCCATAGGTGATCTTGTTGTTGCTACCCGTTAATATGTATCACAAGCCAAGCACATGTTCACACCACTTAAAAGCACCCACTAGATTTGGCTATTCCTGCCTTTTAGAAGAATCTTAATCCGGTTGGCTGATGCAAGTGCCTGATATTGGGGAGCTTGGGAGCACTGGGTAGTGGAAAAAGAGTGGGTGCCAAAGTCAGACAGACCTGGGCTTGGATCCTGGTTCTGCCTTTCCTGAGCTAGGCGGATGTGGGGTGTGGGGTTGGGGGGTGTATGTACATTTCCATGTTTCAGTTTCTTTACTGGTAAAGCTTTAAATGATAACTCATACTCTGCAATCTTGCTATGAGAATTAATTGAGGCAATGTGTGAAAGTGCTTAGCACATCTTAAAGGCTCAGTAAATAGTAGGCATGAATATTGCTATCTTTGCATGCAGGAATACCTCACCAAAGTATACTGATAGATCTTTGGCTACTCTGTGGATATCCAATTTCCTTTTAAGTTTCCGATGTTTCCTTCTTTCATTGCTACATCATCTGACCACTTGCAATGGAGGCACCAGGACCCCATGGAGAGAGAGTACATGCTGAGTTGGCTACATCTGTGCCAAACTGTGAAAGATGACAATGGAGATATTTCTCTCTACAGTTTCTGAAGATGGACCCAGCCACAACACTTCTTTCCATGCCTGGCTGTTTTTAGCTGCAGGCACAGCACTAGCTGTTTTGTACTCAAGATTATGGGTCAAAAGAGAACTGAGAGACAGGTCAAGTATCCACGCCGGTCTGGACATACTTTACTTGCCGGCAATACATAGTGCTCTCCTTGACACTGCACAATTCGAACAGCCAGTCTGACTCTGTATTCTGAGGCCACCACTCCTTTTTGTGCATAACTAGACCAGAACTAATTTTACTCATTCTTCTACTAATGTAAGCCCCATAGGAGAGAGAGAGTAAGCTGTTCTTAAAAGCATGAGACTATTGAACACTTATTTATGGTGCCACATTAATATTAAGAAAAAGTTTATCATTGACTATGGGCTAGGCATGATTCATAGTATTTCCATTCTCCCAACAACCATGCAAAAAAAAAAAAAAAAAAAAAGCAGCATTATTTTCATTGTGCTGACAGGAAAAGTGAAGCTCAGGAAAACTCAGAGGCTTGCTCAGTGTGGGAGTCAAGATCTGAAGCCCAGTCTGTTGAGCTCCAAAGCCCTGTGTGTTTTCTGATGTGCCTTGCTGGCACTGCTAGTGGAACACCCAGGGTCCCCAGAGATGTGAGTCCTTAGTCCTCTAAAGGCAAAGTACAGAGGTTCAAAAGAATATGGCTGCCTACTCATACTATGCCTCAGGGAGCAAAGACTGCTTCATTTCCAAACAAAGCCTTGGCCTCCCTGCCATCCAGCTAGGTGACCTGAAGAGCACTCTGATTCAGACAGCGATCCTCTTTAGATGGCTCTCCAGGGTTGGTGGGACTGAAAATTCTAGGGGTAAGGACTGTCGCCTTAGGAGAGTCATTAAAAAGGGTTGTGAGGAGGGGTCCCCTGGAGTCAGAGGCTGGTAGAGCTCTGGAGAGAGCATGTGGGGAGCTCACCCATGACAGGGGAGCTGTCTCCTTCAGCAGCGTGGCTGACTCCAGACCCCCAAGAAGGCTGTGGATTACTCCCACAGTCAGCCCAACCAGCAGCAAGGAGTTGGCTGGGTGGTCTTGATACAGGAGGAGGAATAAGGGATTGTCACCTGGGATTCAGGCATGGCTTTCAGGGAGTATCCACAAACCCTCAGGGATTGCATGTAAAATTTTATGTACATGCCATATGCATTTTGCCCCAGGAAGAGGACTCACAGCTAATTCTCAAAAGGACCTATCACCCCTAATTTTTAAGAACCACTGAAATTAATATTTTCATCTGCTCCTCTCTTGCACTATTCAGCACTTCCACCTCATTAAACATTTATATATATATTATATATATTTCTATAATATATATATATAATTAATTAATTCCCTAAACTTTGCAGAAAAAAAATCGAAGCCCAGAGAGGGTAAGTATCTTGCCCAAGTTTGCACAGCTGATGGTCAGGATTGGGATTAGCAGCACTTCCCTGGTCAAGTGAAGCACGATTTCAGGTGGGAAATCTTGCCCGGTCAACTTGACAAATGAAGACAAAGTGATCCCTCCAGACTAATAATAATGTTTTGCAACCATTTTCAAGTCCAGTCATAGAATCCCCTACGTTGCTTGTTTTCAGGGCAGTGTGGGTTGCTTCCCCAGGATACAGGTAGAGGTCACTAAAAGGATAGTTTTCTACTCAAAGAGCCAGAACTCCAGCCCTTGCCTTCCCCTGCCGTAGCACTCGGGCCGGCCCTCCAGTTACCTGAGTTTGCCTGACTTTAACCAACTCCTCTTCCCTTCCCTCCTCCCTTCTCCAGCGGGCTCTCCTTCCAGCTTCCTCCCGGGCTGCAATTCCTCTGCCTAGGTGCCTCCGTCCAGCTCCGGCTTCTGGCCCGGAGGCTGCTCATCTGCCCCTACCCCCGCTGACTTTTGGGAGGAGCAACACCTTTCAGGTCAGCATTGCTAACCCTAAACTTTCCCCGCCGGATGCCCGCGAGGCTGCTGCGGCGGCGGCTGCTGCTGATGGGAGAGTCTCGAGTCCGGCTTTCATCACATCACCTGTCTGCGCCCCTTCCCCCTCCCCGCTCTTTTTTTCTTTTCTTTTTATTTTGACGCAAATAATTTGCATTCTGAGAATCCCACAATCAACGCCGAAACTCATGCTCAAGGATACAGGTGAAGATGCCTTTGACAAAGGCGAATGCGAGCCGAGTGCAGTTTGTAAAAGCTGGGGTTGGGGGCAGTGGTGGAGGCAAAGCACCTTAAGAGTATTTTTTAGCCCCTCTGAGAAGGGACATCCGGGCGGGAGGCGGGCGGATCCCGGGCTTCCCCGCCGGCTGCCGACTCTGGCTCCTGGCTGGCGTTCTCTCCAGGAGCCCGCGCCGGTGGCCCCGCTCTCCCCTTCAGCACGCGGGCCTCGAACCCGCATCCCGGAGAGCGGCCGCCCGCGCAGCCCCTGCCGCGCGCCGTCGGAGGCGGCCTCAGCTCGCCATGGGTACTCACTTTTGCCAGGGAGCAAAGTCTGCCACATCAGTCGATGAGTACTTCCTGCACGAGGACATGAAGCTCCATTGTGTGGAAAGCTGTTTCGCGAACGGTCGGTAAAATCCAGAAAGAGGGAGAAGGAGTGAGTAAGGCAGAAAGCCCAGCCCAGAAAACCGGCGTCTGGGGATTTCAGCCTCCGCTCCCCGGTCCCCAGCCCGGTGGCTCTGTGAGAAGAAGCTCAACTCGGTGCACTTGTTCACTCTTTCTTCATGAGAGGAGGAGTCAGTGTTGCAACATTTATGTTCCTTGCTGGAGGCAAAACAGTGATTTTCTTCAGCATGCAAAACGTCCAGAGCCTGCCAGTTTTAGAAGGCGACGGAGGTAGTTGGGGGAGCTGGAATCCTGCGAAGACCTGAAGAAACAACTGATTCCCCCCAGATCGGTTTTGCATGATTAGGGCCACATATCTTTCATTGAGACTGTACCAGAAAATAGACAGACAAAACAATAATAAAAATGACTTAGTGAGTTGAATGACCTCAAAGATGATATTTTTCCAGGCAGCCAAGATGTGGAGTGTCTCCGTGTCAAATTTCTTTCCTTATTTCTGAGTAACATTGAACAGCAGCTATATTTGAGAGGTTCTCCAGGGATTTGAATTGCACCTTGCCTGAGGAGTCAGATAGAAAGGAGCAAAAGAAGATAGTCAGTGACCTAAGAAGGTTTTGCTTTTTTTTTTTTTTAATACCCAAAGCGCAAACTTCTAGTGTGCTGTGTTTATTCTCTGCCATATGAATATAATAAACATTGGCGGTGCCTAAATAGCCCCACTTCTGTTGTTTTCCACAAATAAAGAATTTATCTTTTCTAATGGGCTGCATGTTGTTCTGACTTTTCTTCTTCTTGAAACCACACACAACCGCCTTTTCTCTTGCAAAAACAAAAACCCCACATTTAACAGTGCTGAAACAAATAATAGCACCTGCCTGAATCAAATAGTTATTTCTGACTATGTATGTTGCTGGTGTCATTTGATGCCATAATAATTAATGCATCCGATTGTTACACAACCCAGAGGGCCACCAAGGAAATACTTTAAACCAAGGTTACTGAGTTTTTTTTTTTGTTTGTTTTTGTTTGTTTTTTTGAGACAGAGTCTCGCTCTGTCGCTCAGGCTGGATTGCAGTGACCCCATCTCGGCTCACTGGAACCTCTGCCTCCTGGATTCAAGCAATTGTCCTGCTTCAGCCTCCCGAGTAGGTGGGACTACAGGCGCGTGCCACCATGTCCGGCTAGTTTTTTGTATTTTTAGTAGAGATGAGGTTTCACCCTGTTAGCCAGGATGGTCTTGATTTCCTGACCTCATGATCCACCCACCTTGGCCTCCTGAAGTGCTGGGATTACAGGCGTGAGCCACTGCGCCTGGCCGTTTTTTTTTTTGTTTTGTTTTAAGTTATTGAAACATGAGGCTTTCCCCTTTGATTTGACTGCTACTCTGGATAACTGGGAAATCACAGTTAGCAGTGAGCATTTGCCAAGCCACAGGAAGCCATTGAAAATCCCATGATGCTTTGGTGATCCTTTTGGACTGGAATCCCAGAAGCAACTACCTAGGCATAATAACCTAATACTTCCTGATCAATAACACGTCCTTATTAAAACATAGACTCCACCTGGTTCTGTTAGCTGATGGGAGATGCATCTTTCACGTGCAGACCGCACATGCTTCCTGTGATGATTAGGGTATATTTACTTTCATTCATGGGTGTCCATGAAGGTACGCAACTTCTATTTATTTTCAGAACCACTGGGCGACATGAGATCCTCAGTGGCAGAATATTTCTATATGACCTTTGCAAAGCAAAGGGTCACTCAATTCTACAATAGTTGTTCTAATCAGACTATTTTAACAGTTAGTGAAATAGAAGATCACTCTGGGTAACTCCAGACTGTCAGCTCTTAGAAGGCAGGGACTTGGCTTTTCCTCCTTGTGGTTCCCACTCAGCTGCAGGCAGCTTGGCTCGTCTGTACTCCTGGCTTACAGACTGGTCGTTGCGTGGCTAATCCATACCTCACTGGTAAGAAGGGCAGGGCTGGCTTTCTGCTCTGTTGTGTAGCACACAGGCACTGTCACAAAGCCACGGGTACTCATTGTCAGTGAGTTACCTTGCCCCAGCTTTCCTGAGATGATGAAATCCGCAGTGAGCCACTATATTTTCCTTTTCTGCCCCACAGTGGTTCTTTGACTATCTCCTTCTCTCTATGCACTGATGTGCTCCAGCTTCACAGCTTCTTTACTGATGTCCTCCTCTAGTTCATTTCTGCATCTCTGTCTTAGCGGACGTGTTCGTCCTTTGCAAGCTGACTCCCTACCTGAGTCCTGGACTCCATATCCGTTTACTTCCTCCAAGACCTTGCTTCTCAGCCTGATGCAGAGGAAGAGCCCAGCACTGGCACTGGGTTAGGTCCTTGCTATTCTTGGTTTCTCACTGTAAATTGGACACAGTAGCATGTGCCTCAAAAATCCAGTCAAATGAATAATAATGGTGATGGCATATGTAAAATGTGTGCCATCTAACAAAGTCTAGAAACATCAAGTTCCTTTCTTTCCTTCCCCTTTCCTCTACCTTTCTTGCATATTTAATCTTTTCTGCCCCATAGGCTTCTTTATCTCAACCTACAACTTCTACATCTTCTTTGACCCTTTTGATGGCTTTACAGTTTAATTCACTCATTTCTTTACCTGCCAATCTTAGTGAAAGAATGACTTACGCACACCAGCTTTCCTTACTTACTTCCCTCTCAGTGCCTTAACTCACTGGTTCTCAACCTTGGCTGTGAACAAGAATCACCTGAGTGTTTAAAATGTACTGTGTCTGGGTGTCACTTGCAGAGCTTCTAATGCAGGAGGTTTAGAATGGGGCTCTGACTTCTCTGTTTTTACAAAAATGCACAGGCAGGGTGGAAAATGGCTCCCTTGAATTCTTTGCACCTGGCTTTCATCACTACCACTCACTGGCTGCTCTCTGGGAGGGCCCTCCAGGCCTCTCTGCAGCACTGGGCTTCGGTTCACTTCCTCCTCTTGAAGTTCTCACGCCTTGGCTTCCAGGCCTCTGCCATCCTCTGGCGGGAGCCTCCCCTCTGTCTGTGGCATTCCTCTGTTGGTTTCTGCCGTGGCTCCTTTTCTCTCTCCTCCTTCTCAAATAGGGAAGGAGTTTTATCATTGCTACTTCATTTGTCTTCTTTGAGAACCACATTTCTTTTTTTTTTTTTTTTTTTTTGGTTTTAAGGAGTGGAGAGGTTAATAGGCAAGAAGGGTCAAGAAGGAAAGGGAGAAGGAAGAAAGAAGAAGCTTCCCTGTACAGAGACAGAGGGAGGGGGGCGCTCCAAAGCCAAAAGAGTAAGTCCCCACTTGCTGCGGATACCAGCCAGGTATATAAGCAGAGGCTGGAGGAGGCGGTGTTTGATTTGCCTAGGGCTCAGGGGATTGGTTTGACTAGGCACGTAATTCACGTAGCCCATGAAAGAGCTGGCCCTCCCACTCTAGCCTTTTAATATGCAAATGCGGGGCGCCATGATGTTCTACACAAATAGGGATATGTGGGGGCGGCCATGTTGCCAGGAACATGTGGGGCAAGGGCAAGAAGGTCCCTGGAATCGGCATGTTTGGGTGAACCCAGTTTCTAATGGCCTAGGTTTGCATATCAAAGGTTGCCCGCCTGGCTCTAAAAGCCGGGGTTTTACAAGAAACTTTTCTGGAGATACTTTAAAAAATGAAAACTTCCCAAGGACCCCTTTTACTCTCTATCTGCCTAAAATAATTTCTTGATAACTCATGCCACATTCCTCCCTGTGGCGATATCACACTAACTGCTGTTAGGGGGTTTTGGGCAAGGACTCTTTCTGGCTACTTCCTGCTGAAAAGGGGCCTCTAATGGGGAACAGCAGCTAGGGCTCCTCCTGGGGTCAACTTAAGCATCCTCAGAAGAATGGCATGTCCATATGTGGGAGAACTATGTTTCTTTCTTTAGAAAAAAAATAGAAAACTGCTAAAAATATCCAAAGATTAAAAAACTACCCCAAATCCTAGCACTGTTAAAAAGAAATCTACATCTTTATCTATACAGTAAAATATAGTACTTCCAAATCACACATCCTCCTTCCTTCATCTAATCCTGTCTCAGAGGTAACCACCATTGACGTATTGGTGGTTGCCTCCTTTTTTACATGTGTATATAGTCATGTCTCTGTATGCACATGCAAATATTTTAAAAATTCAAAATGCAATAATTTCTGTGACTTTTCTTTTTTAAACTTAATGAAATCACATATTCCAGGTAACTATGTATAGATTTACTCCATTTTTTTTTAATGGTTACATAGTTTGTAATATATTCTACCATTCTTCCATTGTTAGGTCTTTAGTAATTCCAGCTTTTTATTTTAAGAAGTGCTGCTAGGATTGTCTTTGCATGGACTTTAGGATAGATACTTAGAATGGCCTGATTGGCAGGCAGGTTGGCTCGCGTCTGCCTGTAATCCCAACACTTTGGAAGGCCAAGGCAGGCAGATCACCTGAGGTCAGGAGTTCCACACCAGCTTGCCCAACATGGTGAAACCCTCTCTCTACTAAAAATACAAAAATTAGCCAGGAGTGGTGGTGCACGCCTGTAGTCCCAGCTGCTAGGGAGGCTGAGGCCAGAGGATCGCTTGAACCTGGGAGGCAGAGGTTGCAGGGAGCCGAGATAGTGCCATGGCACTCCAGCATGGGCAACAGATTGAGACTGTGTCTCAAAAAAATAAATAGATAAATAAATAAATAAATAAAATAAAAAATAAATGACTTGGTTGGCTCAAAGAGAATGAACATTAAAATTTTGATAGCTACCAAATTGCTCTCCAAATATGTTGTTGGAGAAAGCCCTAGAAATGAGATTACTGAGCCACAGGGTAGGAACATTTTAAATTTTCATATATACCTCCAATTTTTATCCACAAATGTTTCAGTGTCCACTCTTACCAAGGATGTTTACTCACATTTTTGCTAGCACTGGACTTTATCAATCTTATCTTGCTAGTCTGATAAGCAAAATATGATAGCTCATTGTTGTTCTAATTCACAGTGTTCTGATTGCCTTCAAGGTTGAGTTCATGTGCTTATTATATTTTGACTTTTTCTCTTATGTTGTGGCTGTTCAATCTTATGCCTGTTTTTCTTTTGAGATGGAGTCTTGCACTGTCACCTGGGCTGGAGTGCAGTGGCATGATCTCGGTTCACTGCAATCTCCACTTTCCAGGTTCAAGCAATTTTCCTGCCTCAGCCTCCTGAGCAGCTGGGATTACAGGTGCCCACCACCACGACCAGCATTTCTTTCTGTTTTTAATAGAGACAGGGTTTCACATGTTGGCCTGGCTGGTCTTGAACTCCTGACCTCCTGATTCGCCCACCTCGGCCTCCCAAAGTGCTGGGATTACAGTTGTGAGCCACCACACCTGGCCCGTATATATATATATTTTTTTTCTCAGATGGAATCTTGCACTGTTGCCCAGGCTGGAGTGCAGTGGTGCAATCTCGGCTCACTGCAAGCTCTGCCTCCCAGGTTCACGCTATTCTCCTGCCTCAGCCTCCTGAGTAGCTGGGACTACAGGCGCCTGCCACCACACCCGGCTAATTTTTTGTATTTTTAGTAGAGACGGGGTTTCACCGTGTTAGCCAGGATGGTCTCAATCTCCTGACCTCATGATCCACCAACCTCAGCCTCCCAAAGTGCTGGGATTACAGGCGTGAGCCACCGTGCCTGGCCTCCATATTTTTTAAAATTAATTTTTGGCATCTCTTTTATTATTAAACATACTAACACTTTGTTCAATGTATAGCAAACATTTGTGCCTGTCAGGCTTCCTTTGATATTGTTTATGGACTGTTTCATTGCACAAAAGTTTTTAATTTTCATGTACTCAAATCTGTCAATTATTTTCTGTTACAGCTTTTGGGTTTTTTGTATTGCTTCTTTGCAATTAACTCTGTTAAATTGTTTTTTTTTTAATAGATCTTTAACTATTACATAAGGTAGACAGTTAATTTTCTCCTGAATTTTATTTTTAATTTTACCCCTTATAGAAAAATTCATAATTTCTCCACTGATTTCTAGTGTCACATATCATGTGTTACATTTTGATATATATTTATATGAATTCGGGACACTACTCTGTTTCTTTGAGATGCCTATTTATATGCCAAAAATATAGACTTTTGTTTACTGTAACTGTAAAAACAGTACAATACCTGTTAGTGCAAAGCACACTGTCACTTTCCTTTTGAAATTGTCTTGATAAGTCCACTATATTTATTTTTTCATAAAATTTTAGGGTCAATTTGTTCAATTCAAAATCTTTTTTTGGCATTACATTACATTTATATATTAATTTGAGAAAAATTGATATTGTTAGGGCATTAATTCTTCCCATCCAGGAAATATATCTATTTATATCTTTTTAAAAGTATCCTTCAATTTTTTAATGTAATCTTATCATTATAATCTTTTTGCACAATAATTTATGTAATCATTCTATATTATGAACATTTAGATTGTTCCCAAATTTTTACTCTTATAAATAATGCTGTAATAAACATACTTATGGGAAGTGTAGAAAAAAAAGTTGCCTTTGGGAATTAATTTCCTTTGTCTAAAACACCAGGTGAGGCCCAACTAGGTCAAAGGGCATGCACTTGTTTATGGGCCTTGAGATATAAAAGCTTATTATTTTTTTTTTATGGCTTCAACTGTCAGTGTTCTCTCTGTTACACTCTACATCCAATTAGGAATGAAGTCCTTCTGGATTAAGAAAATGTGGCACATATACACCATGGAATACTATGCAGCCATAAAAAATGATGAGTTCATGTCCTTTGTAGGGACATGGATGAAATTGGAAATCATCATTCTCAGTAAACTATCGCAAGAACAAAAAACCAAACACCGCATATTCTCACTCATAGGTGGGAACTGAACAATGAGATCACATGGACACAGGAAGGGGAATATCACACTCTGGGGACTGTTGTGGGGTGGGGGGAGGGGGGAGGGATAGCATCGGGAGATATACTTAATGCTAGATGACGAGTTAGTGGGTGCAGCGCACCAGCATGGCACATGTATACATATGTAACTAACCTGCACAATGTGCACATGTACCCTAAAACTTAAAGTATAATAAAAAAAAAAAAAGGAATGAAGTCCTTAAATATTTTTGTCCCTTCCACTGTTATTGCCTCAATTTGTGCCTTCATCATTTTTTACTTCTTCCTCTTCAATAGCCCCCCTGGCTGGACTCATCTTCACCAGTCTTGCCTACATCAAACTCAAATGCTTTCATGGTAAACTTGATTACATTAGTCCCTGAATTAAAAATTTTTAATGGCATCTACTTCCCACAGAATAAAGTTAGAACATCTTTACTCCTGCTGATTTCATTGGGCTTTAGAGTAGTAGTAGCTCAATACATATCTACAGTGTGTTTGAATCCATCCTCTCTTCTTGGAATGTTATTTCCCACCCTTCATCTAAAAACCTTACCCATTCTTGATCTTCAGACTCCATGGTACTTTCTTCTTAAAGCTTTGCCTGATCACTCCAACTCTGAAAGAAAGCACTGTGCTTGCTTCTGTCATGTAGCACTTGCAAATGGGTTTATAATACATCTGCTTTGTTCTACCTCCAAAGGTCATTGTGAGGCTGATATGAGTTGACATTTGGTTAATTATAAACCATGTGTAAATATAAGGCACTGCTATTATTAGACAATGTGTCCTTCCTTCTAAGGAAACCCACGCTGGTGGATAAGCAGTGACCTAAGTAAAATCAGCTTTTATGAGCATGGGAATGGGAATCATTTGCTCCATGGGAAGATGCTAAGAGAGCTGGCCTATTGACTGATAAGAATTCATGTCTCCCAAACCCAAAGAGGGAAAACTGAGTCTGCTGAATCAAATGCAGCAGTTGTTAGTCTCTATAATAGCTGCATAGATGTCTTCGGGCTACTGTGGTCTGAGTCCTGCTATTCAAAGTATAGTCTTAGGGCCAGGTGCACTGGCATCATACTAATTATCATTTTAACCCTAGGCCTAGTCTATGAGTGAACCCGGAAGGTATTAGAATGAATTGACTTGGTAATTAGTTTAAACCAAAACAAATGATTTCAACTTATTAGATTAATCATAATCTTATTAGAAATGCAAGATCTCAGACCCCATCCCTACTTTGTGAATCAGACTTTGTATTTTTTCTTTAATTTATAAAGAACATAAATTTATTTCTCACAGTCCTGGAGACTGGGAAGTCCAAGATCAAGGTGCCAGCATTTGATCTGGTGAGAGACTTCCTGCTGCATCAGACTTTATATTTTAACAAGATCCCTAGGTAGTTCCTACGTACATTAAATTTTGAAGAGTTATTTTCTAGAGAAGTGACCTCCAAAGTTTTCTGTTTATCATCTTAGCAGTAAAATCATTTTTAGCATGCCTTTCCAAATACATATGTATTTTTAGTCATAAATTATATATATGTACTACTGTATTATAAATGAATGAAAGTAGAAATTTTAAAAGAATGAAATAAGATGAAACAAAAATTTGACCATGGAATACTACACAGCCATAAAAACCCCAAATCATGTACTTGGCAGTAAGATGGATGCAGCTGGAGGCCATTATCCTAAGCAAATTAATGCAGGAACAGAAAACCAAATACCTCATGTTCTCTATTATAAGTGGGAGCTAAACTTTGAGTATGCATGGACGTAAAGATAGGAACAATAGACAATGAGGAATTCTAGAAGGGAAGGGAAGGAGCGGGGCAAGGACTGAAAACTACCTATTCGGTACTGCGCTCATTGGATGACGTGATCATTCATACCCCAAACCTCAGTGTCATGCAATACATCCATGTAACAAACCTGCACACGTACTCCCGAATCTAAAATAAAAGTCAAAATTATTTAAAATAATAAATAAATAATTTTATTTTTAATGGTATAAACCATTTAGTTCTGAAATTATTAATTATCAAAATTTTAATGAGAATAATGTGATTAAGTATGCTTTTTTTTAAAAAAAAGATGTTGGCTTAACACTTTGAGACACAGTGATATGCAGATCTGGTTCTAAGTTTAGTTTATTTTCAGTTTTTAGTTTTACACCTATTATGGCTGAAAAATATACTGCATGAAAGGTGGTAGAAATTTTCTTTTTGTTCAGCAAAACTTACTTTTTTTTAAGTGAATGTTTTTAGGGTGTAACTTGCTATAAAATTCATACTCATTAGTGTATATCTCTAGGAGCTTTGACAAATGCAAAAAGTCACATAACCATCACAATGTAGGTGTAGAATGGTTTCATTACTCCCGCACACCCCACCGCCCCGCAGCCCGGCCCCTCAAAATACGCTCATGCTTCTGCGTAGCCAAACCCTGTCCCTACCCTGTCCCCTGGCAACCATTAATCTGTTCTCTATCCTTATAGTTTCCCTTTTCCAGGCTGCCATGTAAGTAGAATTGTACAGTATGTAGCATTCTTTCACTCAGCATCATGCATTTGAGATTTACACTTTGGGAACAATTATCGTTTTGTAAAAGGAAATGGACAACTCATTTTTAAATCCAACAACTTTTTTACTACTTCGTCATGAATTAAACAAGAAACTTCTGTGTGGTACCAGACATTTTCATACTCACTCCCTATTTTGTCAAGTTGCATATTCTAAAGGTCTTGCTTTTATAAAATAAACTGCATTGATGAAAACCTGTAGCACATAAATGGCAATCAAGCAGTGGAGGTACCATGGCAACCCCTGTGTGTTTGCTGAACTCTTTTTGATTCTGGAGATTATCTTGTGTAGTTTCCAGAACTTGTGTTGAGCTAATTTGAGAACTCAGTGAAGGCACTATTGTCAATCTAAATACCAGTAAAGATTAGTTTCTTTCTTAGAAAAAATACCCCAAATAACTACTATATTATTTTCATACTTCAACTCACTGGATCATCTTGTATACCTAGGTATGTACTTCTTTCTTGGAGAGCTTTGCTTTAGAGCCATAATTCTCAAACATAGCTGTGCATCAGAATAACATGAGGTGGCCATTAAAATGCAAATTCCAAGGCCCCATTGCAGGCCTATTCAATATGTGTCCCTGGGGAAGAAGAGCCTAGGCAATTGTATTTGATATGTTTTCCCAGAAGACTCTTATGCAGCTAGCCCAGCACTTGACGGACACAAGGGTTCAAAGGCCAGTGGTCTAGTGCTTCACAACCCAGAGCTGGATCCAGAAGCACCACCTGAGAGTTTGTTGGAAATGAGAACCAACACCTGGCTCCACCTCAGAGTCACTGGATCAGAATCTGATTTTTAACAAGAACTCCAGGTGATTACATGTATGTAAAAGTTTGAGAAGTGCTGCTCTAGTGCCAGAGTTCCTAAACCCCAAGTGACTGTAAAGTGAATGTTCTTCCTGAAGTCTCCAATTGGCACCCAGGGAAACTGACTCAAATTTATGGGCGTCTCCAACTCTAACTTGTTAGGGGAGATATAAGGGCAGGCTGATGTCACAAATTCCACTTACCAGATTGTAACACTGAAGAATCATATGACTGAGAACACACTGTCAGGTAAATTTCCAATGAGGTCTCTGATATGTAGTGAATATTCTTTGTTTTTTTTTAATTGTAATAAGAACATTTAACATGAGATCGTCCCTCTTAACAAAATTGTAAGTGTACAATACAGTACTGTTAAATATAGGCACAATGTTGTACAGCAGATCTCTAGAACTTATTCATCTTTCATAACTGAAACTTTCTACCTGTTGAACAAAATTCCCCTTTCTTTTGTCCCAACAGCCTCTGGCAATCACCATTGTACTCTCAGCTCCTGTGAGTTTGAATATTTTAGAAAACCTCATATAAATGTGATCATGCATTATTTGTCCTTCTGTGACTGGCTTATTTCACTTAGCATAAAATCCTCCAGGTTCATCCATATTGTCACATATGGCAGGATTTTCTTCTTCTTTTTTCTTTTTTCAAGGCCGAACAGTATTCCATTGTATATATATGCCACGTTTTCTTTATTCATCCATTGAGGGACATTTAGGTTGTTTCCATATCTCGGCTATTGTGAATCATGCACAAGGAACATGGGATTGTTAATATCTCTTTGAGATCCTGATGTCAATTCTTTTGGCTATATACCCAGTAGTATGATTGTGGGATCATATGGTAGTTCTATTTTTAATTTTTTAAAGAGCTTCCATACAGTTTCCCATAGCGGTCACACCAGTTTACATTCCTGTCAACATTGTACAAGCATTTCAATTAATCTACATCATCACCATTGTTATCTTTTGAATTTTTTAAATAATAGCTGTCCTAACAGATACGAGGTGATATCTCATTAGGGTGTTTATTTGCCTTTCTCTGATGATTAGTGGTGTTGAGTATCTGTTGCAAATAGTGACGATTTTACTTTTTCCTTTCTGATTTGGATGCTTTTTATTTCTTTTTCATGCCAAATTTTCTGGCTAGAACTTTTAATACTACGTTGAATAAAAGTTGTAAGAGTGGGCATCCTCATCCTGTTTTCTGATGTTAGAGAAAAATATTTCAGTTTTTCACAAATTAAGAATGATGCTAGCTTTGGGCTTTTCATATATGGCTTTTATTGTGTTGAGATGTTTTTCTTCTATTCCTAGTTTGTTGAGACTTTTTGTTATGAAAGGGTGAAGGATTTTGTCAAATGCCTTTTCTGCATCTGTTGAGATGATCATGTGATTTTCATCCTTCAGTCTGTTAATGTGGTGTATCACATCCATTGCTTTGTGAATGTTGTACCATCCTTGCATCCCAGGGATAAATTTCACTTGGTCATGGTGTATGGTCCTTTTAATATGCTGCTGAATTTGTTTCACTAGTGTTTTGTTGAGGATTTTTTCATCTATATTCATCAGGGATATTAGCCTGTAGTTTTCTTATCATTTTATCTGGCTTTGGTATAAGGGTAATGCTGGCCCCATAAAATCAGTTTAGAAGTGTTCTCTCCTCTTAGATATTTTGGAAGAGTTTGAGAAGGAAAACAATAAATAAATGAAGCTTTCACCACTGAATTTTCACCATTTGAACAGCCTCAGGTGACAAGACCCTGTGGCTGGAGGCGATTGCTTCCTTCTGGCTTCAAGGTGAAGACTTCACTGAGCTTTGTTTTCACTGGTGCCTGAGGTGTGGGAATTAGGGAGAATCCCAGAGTCTTTTCTAGAGTAAGACTGTTTTGATGTCTTTGCCACTGTTTATTTTTCTAACTGAACTTACAAATAGGGAAGGTTATTTTTAGTGACAGAAGCAAAAGCTCAATAGTTCTTCTGGGATTTAGATGTGGGAACTCTGTTCCTCCTACTTCTCTCTCCCTAAGCTCCCTCTCTTTTCTCCCAAGGACATTTTATCTGCACTCAAGATAATGTGATATGGAGGAAAAAAGCACTGGACTGGGACCCAGAAGGACTGAGTCTTGTCTGGACTGACACCAACGAGCCATGGGTTTGCTAGAGCAGAGGTGGCAGAGTGGAGTGGTAGTGAGTAGCAGGAGCGCTGCAGACAGACTAGCCACTGAGTGTCTGCTTCCACTACTTACTGGTTATGTGTCTTAGACAAATTACTGACCTTTGTGTTTTATATTGTCCTTAAGTGTAAAATGGGAATCATAAATGTACCTACTTCGTAGGACTGCTTCAAGTGTAAGATGAGGTAATTGACATTAAAAGCACTTAGAACTGTATGAATCATGCTCTTACCTTTCTGGTTCATACTGTTGCTGACAAGCCAATCATCTAAGTGATGTCCAAGTGCTGGAATCTCATCACATGCAGAACATTCTGTAGACCTGAGGATCATCTGATGCAGAAAAAAGAAGGCAAAGTAGGCTGGTGTTCTTCAGTCGTATAAAGGATTGTTGCACAAAAGAGATGTTTCTTCTGAGTTGCTTGGAAAGTTCGTTGAAGTTTAATTCAAAATACTGGAAATAATCCGTAGTGTTTCTATACATTAGTAATGAATTATCTGAAAAATAAATCAAGGAAACAATCTTGTTTACTATAGCCTAGCAAAAAATACTTGAGAATAAATGTAACCAAAGAGGTGAAAGATCTGTACACTGAAAACTGTAAAACATTGAAGAAGACAAAACAATGAAGAAATTCTATAATCAATGGAACTTGGGAATGAAAATCACCATTTTGCAAAACAGTGAGTCTTCATAACTGAAATAATTCAAGCCAAAACAGGCTCTTTGTTTGGATTAGCGTAGAAGGTATTCTCTTCTTTAAAATGTGACTCTAGAAAAGCAGAGAGATTCCTCTTCTCCCTGTGACAGCCTAAAAGTTATTTCTCAGTCTCCTTACCACTCTTACTGCTGTCCTGATCCCAGCAAGGGGAATAGTTCACTTCTTTTCCAAACAGACATGATGGTGTCAGTTGTGATCAGAGCTGGTAGAGCTATCTTTCAGATGAGGAAAGTGATGCCAAAAGTCTTGTATTATGTTAGAAACAGCAAGTTAAAAGGGTGAGATCAATAAATGGTTGGAAACCTAAAAGCTAGGATATCCTTGGAGCAATAAGAGTTAGTTAATAATGGAAAACCAGGAAATTAACACAGAAAGCTTAGTTTAATAAAACCACAGGTAAGCGTTGGTAGGCTATGGAAATATTCACACACAGTGCATGCATACTGCTATCTCTGTCAGTTTCTCTGCCTGCCATTACCACATTTCTTGACTTTCAGTGGCAAGATGTACTTGTGAATCAGGTTTCCAGCTGTGGCAATCCTCAATCACTAATGTGTAGTCATAATATCAAATATCTCTCATCTTCTATCCCACTAATCTATCTTTTCCTGCTTATACCACTGGTTTTCATAGTCACTTTGGGCTGCTATTACAGAATACTATAGAATGAGTGGCTTAACCAACAAACATTGATTTCTCATAATTCTGGAGACTGGGACTGTGAGATCAGGGTGCCAGCATGGTTATGTTGTAGGTGAGGGCTCTCTGTGTGGTCGGACAGCTTCCTTCTTGGATCCTCATGTGGAAGAGATATCTGTGGTATCCTTCATCTCCTTATAAAGACACTGATACAATGATGGGGGCTCTGCCCTCATGACCTCATGTAAACCTAATTACTACACAAAGAACCAACCTCCAAATACCATCACCTTTGGGATTAGGACTTCAACATAAGAATTTTGGGAGGATGCAAACATTCAGTCCATAGCACTGGTCTAGTTACTCTTGCCTCTGAACCTTGCACTGGCTCTTCTTGTTGCCTGGAACATTCCTCTCCCTCATATCCACACGTCTCTTTTCTTACCTCCTTCAGGTCCTTTTTCAAATATCACTTGTTTCCTCTCAGTGATGACTTCCCTGACCTCCCCATTTAAAATGACCTCCCATGGCCCTCACTGTCCTCTTTCTCTATTACTGTATGCCATAGCACTCATCACCTTCTTTCACAGTTTTAGTTTCCCCAGAAGTAGATCTTGTGCCAGGATTTCAAGTGTAAGTGGTTTATTCAGGAGATGCCTTATAGTTATTCCACCCAAATGGAGAAGGAGCTGGGATATTTACATGCCAGCTTCCATTAGTCATAGATTGTGGGCTCTTTGGGAGTGGAGTATTGATTTCATGGCACTTCTCCTCAAGGTGGGCAAATAAGCCTTCTGTAACTTTGGAAAAAGACCTAAGACCTGATGTAGATGCTGATCCCTGGAATATCAGGGAGTGTACCAGAATGCTGAGGTCCAAGGATGTGGGTGGAGCACTGACAATATCTGCTATATCATCTGATATACTATATAGCTTACTATTTATATCTATATATGTGTGTGTATATATATGACATATTTATATCATATATACATACTTCCAGAATGTAAGCTTTATGAGACAGATATTTTTGCCCATTTAGCTCACTCCTGAACTTAGAATGGTGACCTGGTACATGTTGGTGTTTAATAAATGTTTGCTGAATGAATGAATGAATGAATGAAAGATGTAAATGAGAGATTTTAAGCTGTGAGTTGTGATCCATCCAACAGGTCATAAAATTAATTTAATGGCTCCTGACCAGCATTAAACAGATAGAGAAACATAAAAAAATCAGAGTATACCGCAGGTGGTAAGGGTAATACTATTGTAAAAAATATTTCACTGCAGTTACTTAATATGCATTTTTCTTTTTTTTGAGTCAGAGTCTCATTCTATTGCCCAGGCTGGATTGCAGTGGCGCGATTTCGGCTCACTGAAAGCTCCACCCTCCGGGTTCACGCCATTCTCCTGCGTCAGCCTCCTGAGTAGCTGGGACTACAGGCGCCTGCCACCATGCCCAGCTAATTTTTTGTATTTTTAGTAGAGACGGAGTTTCACCATGTTGGCCAGGATGGTCTCAATCTCCTGACCTCATGATCTGCCCGCCTTGGCCTCCCAAAGTGCTGGGATTACAGGTGTGAGCCACCGTGCCTGGCCAATATGCATATTATAATTATTAAATTAAATAAAAATATACATGTTATATCTATTTTGAGTCCTAAAGTAAAATGTGTTTTTCACTCTAGGTTGTGATACTTGACCACCATTGATCAATTTGCTCCTTTTAGAGACAAGGAGATCAAGGCCCGGAGAAGTGAAGGCTGTTCCCAGGTCACAAAACGGCCCAGGCAAAACAGGCCTCATGACATCATAGCTCTTCTGGCTGTCTAGCAAATGACAGACATTGGAAATTTATTTTATGGAATAGAGGCCTCCAGTTAGGTCTCCTGAGCCAAAGGAAAGCAGATCCTTTGTATACATCCAAAAAGCCAAGTTGCAAACCCGTGAGTATCTGCTGTTCTATGGGTGGCTGAGAGATTGGCCTGGCTACCAATATGGCTTCAGTCATAGCATCTGCTTGCCAGTGTGCCCGTGTTCTGTGCATCAGAGTTGAGCTGGCTTCGCTATCTGCATCTGAGCACAAAACACAGTCTTCCCAGGGCTTGCCTAGCTTGCACTGCCCTCAATACAGTCATTAAAAAAAAATTGACATGATGGGGTCATGTCCCATTAAAGAGATTTTCTAAAGCATTATCTTTATTATTGTTTAATTCCACTTTTAAAATTCAGATTAAGAGCAAGAACCTGCTCAGAGCCAGCCACGCTTCTTGCTTGTCATTTGCTCCCTTCTCTTACACTTCCTACACAGAAAAACAAAACAGGTGGAAGGCATTTTCCAGCCTCAGGGCCATGCTTCTGAGAGAACAATGCCTCCTATATTGCCATCTACAGGGTGTTGTGCAGGTTTGCTCTGTAAACCGGCAGTCCTTTCTGAAGCCAAAGGAGGAGTTGCTGGTAATAATAAAGTCCATGAAGTCACAGCAGTGTTCTGCTCATTCATGTCACAAGGAAATGTTTGGGGGTTTTGTGGAACACATTTCCAGCCAGGACCAGAGGCACAGGGGAGCTCCATTTAATGCCATCTCAAGGTGGGCTGGGGCTAGGGTTAGGGTCTTCTTTAGGCAAAAAAGGAATCAGAGACACCTTGGAAACCCAGTTCATAGGGACCAAAAGGGCCAGAATGGGCCGTTTGTGAAGTGAATATATACTCCTCAAATGCTCCTTTCTCTCCGGTATTACAAATCCATTAATCTTCAATGTTCATGAGTAGAGAAAGAAGGAAATGGGGGAAGGGGAGGGGAAGGGAGGCAAAAGGAGGGGAGAGGAAGAAAGAAGGGGAGGGGAGGAGGAAGAGCAGAGGAACAAATGTGTTTATCTTTCTTATTTAGCTGCAGCCTGCTGCCCTTGCTCCTTTTGGTTGGCCTCTTTTTAGGTCAGGAATGCAGACTCGGGTCACCACATACAGGGGCCCTCAGTCCCATCTTCTTTTATTCCAGCCATCCATCCCCAGAATTTCCCTTGTTCCTTAGCATGTGGTTGGGGTGGGGTAGTGGGCAGTGGGTGACAGGAGGCAGAGGGAGTAGAAGTGCTTTCGGAGGCAATAAAACCTTGTCACTCACACCCTCTGAATAAACCATTAGCATTGCTGGTGACCTAACTAGAAACTGAAAACGATAAGACAAAAGCTAGGGAATTAACCTTTCATCCACTGTTCTTTCTTTTTAAAAAAATTTAATGGGAAGGTAGACTTTCTCTGGCTAACATACAGTGTGCTGGAAAAATTGCTTCCTTATGGAGGAAGAAAAGCCACCAGCAGGGCTGAGAGTAGCAGAGCAGCTGCCTGGAGACTTGGCAGGCTGGGCGCCTTGTCAGTTCCTGCCAAAGAAACCATGGCCTGCATCGCCTCCTGGCCCTTCTCAGGCCCTCTTCCAGACCTGTGGACTTCCTTTATTGGCTGAAATCATGAAACTAACTTTTGCTCCATACGGTAGAAACAGGGAGGTTTAAGCTAATTTCTACCTTGACATTTCCAATGAGAGAAACACATTAATGAGTTAAACGGAAGGATGATTTTCCCCTTGGCCTCTTTACCATATCTTTTGCCTCCTGCTGACTAATAATGCAAGGGCAGATCAGGTGATTCACAGAAATCCTGTGTGCCAGGGCTTCTTGCATGGGGAGGATGTGGTGCCAAGAGAAACACACCATGCTCCATTCAGACCGAAAGGCACACAACGTCTCTCATTGTTTATATGGTATGGAGGACCTTTGCGCTGTCCACGGAGATCCATCAGACCCACCTTCAAGTGTATTTGGGATATACTGATTTATTTTCCTGTAGTTGTAGAATATGTCTTATATGATGCAACATTTAAACTGGTTTAAGCTATTTAATGCTTCTAGGCCAACGCAAATTTATTTCTTTGCTTGAGTCAGTTGACTTATGCCCTTCCTGAATTCAAAAGGCAATGAGTTCTGATCATCAGGGGATATTGCACGTCTAATGTGAAGTCGGGCTGGTCTCAAAATTATCCTGCTGTTTCTCCTTTTCATGAACACATTTCTTAAAAGGAGAGAACAACCATCTTCAACTACACAAATCTTCTAGGAATTCATATTTTTCGTAATGTTAACTTTTAACCCTTCTATTGCAATTTAAGCCAATCACATATTTCAACTTATAATGTTTTCATTTATATATAAAGCAAAGGCTATATAAATGGCAGCTATAGCACTGAAGTTGAATGAAGCTCATGGACTTTTCCTTTTTTTTTTTTTTTTTTGGTCCAAAATTGTTTGGGTCAAAATTTTAAAATTAAGAGATTTTACTATAAAATCTGTATCTGCAGCTCTTCTTGAAAATCCATGTTTGTCGCTGTCTGTCTGTTCATGCTGCTATAACAAAATGCCTTGGATTGGGTAAATTATAAATAATAGAAACTTATTGCCTGGGTGTGGTGGCTCACGCCTGTAATCCCAGCACTTTGGGAGGCTGAGGCAGGTGGATCAGCTGAGGCTAGGAGTTCGAGACCAGCCTGGCCAATGTGGCAAAACCCCGTATCTACTAAAGATACAAAAATTAGCCAGGCGTGGTGGTGGGTGCATGTAATCCCAGCTACTCAGGAGGCTGAGGCAGAAGAATCACTTGAACTGGGAAGGTGGAGATTGCAGTGAGCCGAGGTCACACCATGGCACTCCAGTGTGGGCAACAGAGTGAGATTCCATCTCAAAAACAAACAAGCAAACAAAAAGAAACTGATTGCTCACAATTCTGGAGGCTGGGAAGTCCAAAACCAAGTATCAGCAAATTCAGTGTCTGGTAGGGGCTGGTGACTTATTGCTGTGATCTCACATGGCAGAAGGAGCAAGGGTGCTCCTTTAAGCCTCTTTTATAAGGATGCTAATCCTAATTATGAGGGTGGATCTGTATGACTTAATCACATTTCAAAGGCCCCACCACTTGATATTGTCACATTGAGTGTTAGGTTCTAACCTATGAATCTGGTGGGGGGATACCCACATTCAGACCATAGCAGTCGCCATGGGACTCACATTCTCGCCTGTCAGCAATCTATTTATGCTATCCTGTGGCTTCTCTATGAAGTGGTGCCTGCCCTCTCCATTCTCTTAGAGAGAGAGTTCACCCCAGGCTCCTCTCATTATTTCTCTACCCTGAAGCCACATGTCAGTTGCTTTGTTATTTTACTTGTATTGTTGTTTTTCTTAGACTAGAAAAATATTTTTCTGTGCCCAGATGACTATTAAAAGTGGGAAAAACAAAAGTGAAACTGGAAAAAGCTCCACATTTCTAAGAGGACACATGGAGAGATTCTAATTGCCAGAGAGAAAGTAACTTTTATCCTTGAGCTTGCTTCACTCAGAAAGATTGCCTCTGGCTGTTGTGTGCATTTGTGATTGAAACCCCCAGTATATCCTGTTTCTAACACCCTCTCTACACATTCTGTGGTAGCAGCCCATCCTCTGTCTTACTTTCTGTTCTCTAACTGATTTCTTTTATAATACCACACATAAACGAACGTTAGATGATTCAAGAAAATGAGAATCCAACTGATCGAAGGTAAGAATTAGAATTTCATGGTCATAAGCAAAGGGTAAAAATAATATGTAGAGATAATAGGAGATATGTGTTTTTTTCCTTATTGCTAACTGGTTACAGAGGCAGAGGTTGAAAAATCACTATTGAGTCTCATAAAGGACAAATTTTACTTTTTATTTCCCATAGATATAGTTTTTTATCTTCAGGATTCACATATATAAAAAATCAAGTATAAAACTTACTTTCTCTTTGGCAATTAGAATCTCTCTGTGCATTCTCTTGGAAACAAGTAAGCTTCTACAAAGCTATCCAAGATGGTGGCTCTGAATTCCCTAAGCTTTCTACAAAAGCTTCTCATCAGAGACTTTAGGAAAGTTCCTTGAGGTATAAGGCAGTTTCCAAAACAAAGCCACAAAATGTCAGATTTAGACATGTAATAATAAATGTCTGTTATGAAAAAGCCAATAAAAGATGAGAGATGGGAACCCAGATATAATGATATTGAAGGAAGGTGGATTTTTTCACTAAATTTTTCCTCGATATTTACTAGAACTCCAGGAGAATTTTATAAATTTTTATAAATTTTTTTAAATCCCCAAGGTGCTGCAGACTACCTCTATGAAGTGAATCTCTGGGGCAGATAATCTCTTTTTACCACTTGCCCCAGCAAATAGCACCTTAGTGAGCAAAGCTCATGAAAATTAGGCAAACCCTCTCTGGGTCATTCTCATTCAGAATGAGCCATGAGGAAAAATGCAGTTTTTAAGAGAATGTAAGCTTTAAGAAAATGAACTGTGGAGGTTGGGGGTTAGAGGTTGGAGGAGGTTGGGTGAGAGCTTAGAACCTCAGAGATGTAATTAATCTGTTCAGGATTTAAAATGAATGTTACTTTGCAAGAATTATATTCAAGTAAGCATGTGAGAGAAATGGGGGCCAGGGAAAGACTCCAAGGTAAATGGCTTAGAGGGGATTGCTCTCTAGATTTTAGAGAGAGAGAAATCTTCACACACACACACACACACAGACACTGACACACATACAATTATTTAACATTTGCCAAATTTGCTTTATCTATGTGTATATGTTTTATGCTTATAAATGTGTATATATGATCACTGTTTTATCTGTGTGTGCGTGTGTGTGTGTGTTACACACACACACATATATACATGTTCTGAAGCATTTGATAGAAAGTTGCAGATAGCAGAAATCTATTCCCTTAAACATGAAAGAACACAGATATTCTTCTGTATAATCACAGTAGCATAATGACATTCAAGAATTCTTTTTTTTTTAAGACGCAGTCTCACTCTGTTCCCCAGGATGGAGTGCAGTGGCATGATCTCAGCTCACTGCAACCTCCACCTCCCAGGTTCAAGTGATTCTCCTACCTCAGCCTCTCGAGTAGTTGGGATTACTGGTGTGTGCCACCACACCTGGTGTGATGTCTAATATAGAGTGTCGACTTGATTGGATTAAGGGATACAAAGTATTAACCCTGGGTGTGTCTGTGTGGGTGTTGCCAAAAGAGATTAACGTTTGAGTCAGTGGGCTGGGGAAGGCAGATCCACCCTTAATCTGGTGGGCCCAATATAATCAGCTTCCAGTGAATACAAAGCAGGTAGAAAAACATGAAAAGGAGAGATGAGCCTAGCCTCCCAGACTACATGTTTCTTCTGTGCCTGATGCTTCCTGCCCTGAAACACTGGACTCCAAGTTCTTCCTTTTTGGGACTCAGACTGACTCTCCTTGCTCCTCAGCTTGCAGACAGTCTATTATGGGACCTTGTGATTGTGTAATTTATACTTAATAACAAACTCATCTATCTATCTATCTATCTATCATCTATCTATCTATCTATCTGTCATCTATCTATCATCTATCCTATTAGTTCTGTCCCTCTAAGAGAACCCTGAATAATACACCCAGCTAATTTTTGTATTTTTAGTAGAGACAGGGTTTTGCCATGTTGGTTAGGCTTGTCTTGAACTCCTGGCCTCAAGTGATCTGCCCACCTTGGCCCCCCATAGTGTTGGGATTACAGGTGTGAGCCACTGTGCCTGGCCCAAGAAATTTAATATTGAGATAATGTATTAGTCCATTCTCACACTGCTAATAAGAACATACCTGAGACTGGGTAATTTATAAAGAAAAAAAGGTTTAATGGACTCACAGTTCCACATGGCTGTGGAGGCCTCACAATGATAGCAGAGGGTGAAGGAGGAGCACAGGCATGTCTTACATGGTGACAGGCAAGAGAGTGTGTGCAGGGGAACTGCCCTTTATAAAACCATCAGATCTTGTGAGACTCATTCACTATTATGAGAACAGCATGGGAAAAACCCACCCCCATAATTCAGTTACCTCCTACTTGGTCCCTCCCACAACAATGTGGGGATTATGGGAGCTAAAATTCAAGATGAGATTTGGGTGGGAACACAGCGAAACCATATCATTCTGCCCCTGGCCCCTCTGAAATCTCATGTCCTCACAATTCAAAACACAATCATGGCCTTCCAACAGTCCTCCAAAGTCTTAACTCATTCCAGCATTAACTCAACAGTACAAGTCCAAAGTCTCATCTGAAACAAGGCAAGTCCCTTCTGCCTATAAGCCTGTAAAAATCAAAAGCCAGTTAGTTATTTCCTAGTTACAATGAGGGTACAGGCATTGGGTAAATACATCTGTTCCAAATGGGAGAAATTGGCCAAAACAAAGGGGCCACAAACCCCATGCAAGTCCAAAATCCAATAGAGCAGTCATTAAATCTTAAAGTTCCAAAATGATCTCCTTTGACTCCGTGTCTCACATCCAGGTCATGCTGATGCAAGAGGTGGGCTTCCATGGCCTTGGTCAGTTCTGCCCCGGTGGCTTTGCAGGGTCCAGACCCTCTCCCAGCTGCTTTCACAGGCTGGTGTTGAGTGTCTGTAGTTTTTCCAGGTGCAGAATGCAAGCAGTTAGTGGATCTACCATTCTGGGAGCTGGATGATGGTGGCCCTCTTCTCACAGCTCCATTAGGCAGAGGACTGTGTGTGGGGGTTCAAACCCCACATTTCCCTTCTGCTCTGCCAGGAGAGGTTCTTCATAAGCGACCCATCCCTGCAGGAAACTTTTGCCTGGATATCTAGATGTTTCCCTACATCCTCAGAAACCTAAGTGAAGGTTCCCAAACCTCAATTCTTGACTTCTGTGCACCTGAAAGCTCAACACCATGTGGAAACTTGCAAAGCTCTGGCTTGCAACTTTTGAATCCATGGCCTGAGCTGTACCTTGGCCCCTTTTAGCCACTACTGGAGCAACTGGAACACAGGGCATCAAGTCCCAAGGCTGCACACAGTAGGGGGGCCCTGGACTCAGCCTATTAAACCATTTTTTCCTCCTAGGCCTCAGGGCCGGTGATGGAAGGGCTTCCAAGAAGGTCTCTGATATGCCCTGAAGACATTTTCCCCATTGTTTTGGTGATTAACTTTCGGCTCCTGGTTACTTATGCAAATTTCTGCAGCAGGCTCAAATTTTTCCACAGAAAATGGGTTTTTCTTTTCTATTGCATCATCAGGCTGCACATTTTCCAACTTTTATGTTCTGCTTCCTCTTGAATGCTTTGCCACTTAGAAATTTCTTCTACCAGATAACCTAAATCATCTCTTTCAAGTTCAAAGTCCCACAGATCTCTAGGGCAGGGGAAAAATGCTGCCAGTCTCTTTGCATAGGAAGAGTGACCTTTACTCCAGTTCCTAACAAGTTTCTCATCTCCATCTGAGACCACCTCAGTCTGGATGTTATTGTCTATAACACTTTCAGCATTTTGGTCAAAGCCATTTAACAAGACTCTATAAAGTTTCAAACTTTCTCACATCCTCTTGTCTTCTGACCCCTTTAAGTCTCCAGGAAGTTCCAAACTTCCCCACATTTTCTTGTCTTCTTCTGAGCCCTCTAAACTGTTCCAACCTCTGCCTGTTACCCAGTTCTAAAGTTACTTCCACATTTTCGGGTATCTATACAGCAGCGCCCCACTCCTGGTACCAATTTACTGTATTAGTTAGTTCTCACACTGCTAGTAAAGACATACCAGAGACTAGGTAGTTTATAAAGAACAAAGGGTTTAATGGACTCACAGTTCCACATAGCTGTGGAGGCCTCACAATCGTGGCAGAAGGTGGAGGAGCAAAGTCATGTCTTACATGGCAGCAAGCAAGAGAGTGTGTGCAGGGGAACTGCCCTTTATATAACCATCAGATCTCATGAGACTTATTCACTATCACAAGAAGAGCACAGGAAAAACCTGGCCCCATGATTCAATTATCTCCCACCTTGTCCCTTTCACAACACATGGAGATTATGGCAGCTACAATTCAAGATGAGATTTGGGTAGGGAAACAGCCAAACCATATTAAATAATATTTAACACATAGTTCATACCCAGACTTGCCCCCAAATGTCCTTTATTTATTATTAGTTTTGGAGTAAAGTGAAAGCAAGTTTATTAAGAAAGAAAAGAAATAAAAGAATGACAACTCCATAGGCAGAGCAACTCCCCAAATGTCCTTTATAGCTATGCATATACACGATTCCCCCAGAACAAGATTCACTTATGAATCACGTTTTGCATTTCAATGACATTTTTCTTTAATCTTTATTCTGGAACAATCACCCTGCTTTTCATAACATTGATATTTTTGATGAGCCCATACCAGTAGTCTTGTATCTTCCTTTGTTTTTTAAATCATGTGTGCATGTGTATTTTGTACTATTGGGCAGATCTTATTGTTTAAAAGTACACACTGTGAAAAGTGGTGGCTTCAGTTACCACCCTAGGTCTATTTATTAGCTTTAGGCTCTTAGACGTTATTTAAACTCTCTGTGCCTCAGTTGCATCTAAACCATGGTTATAAGTTACCCGAATGTTCAGAAGGATACCAAGCACATCCAAATGGTCAGCTATTGCTGTTTGTTTTATGGTATCATTAGAGAATATATTCTGATTTGATCTTGGAGCAGGTGGGATAGTTTTATATGATTACTGATACTCCAGTTGCAGTGAAAACAATTTCTTCTTAGCTTAGAATAATAGTCACAGTAGTATATCCTGACTTCTTATCAAAGATAAAATCATGTTGTCTCTAATTACTGTATATACTGGTTCAGATTTAAGTTATGCCAATATTATATGGCAAATTATAACACTAACTAAGAGTATACATACAGGTTAATTGTGTGGGCTTGGGAGTAAAAATACCTGGATTTGCTACCCTGCTTGGGCACTCATGAGCTATTTGAACAAATCACTTATCTCTCTGAGCTGTTATTTCCTCACTCACTAAATGAGGTTAATAACTATCTCAGAGATATGTTTGCAAAACACGTTCCTTTCCTGGCACCTAGGAAACCCTTTAAAATCTTCTCTAGAACAACAACAACAACAACAATAAAATCACTTATTAACTTGCCTTCAGGAGATATTACAAACATTTAATAAAATTACTGAAATTATTAAACATCAGTGATTTTCTTAATGATAACACCTAGGACAATTTTGCTTAAAATTAGCCAGGCCATTCTCTTTGTTCCACATTTTTAAAGCATCTGGATCCTCTTTAGATGACACATACACCTATACTTTAGATAGTAAAAGTATTTGAAAAATTACAGTAACTTGTGGAAGTTGTTTTGTCTTATTTTATCACCTTTACTTAAAAGTTGGCAAGCATTTTGAGGAAAGGCAAAGTAGTGTTGTGGGAAGGACATGGGCTATGTGGAGAGAGAACCTGGCCCTGCCCCCTTCTAGGTACATGGCATTGGAGAAATAACCCAAGATTTTTACACTCTAATTTTTTCTTTTGTGAGAAAGTATATAATACAGTGCCTAAAACACAGTGACTTCTCCATCAATGGTTCCTTCCTTCCCTCCTTCCTTTCTTCCTTCCCTGCTTTTTTCTTTCCTTTCATCTTCCACATCTTCTTCCTCTTTTCCCCCTTCTTCTCATTCTCCTTTCATAAGTACATGAGCTTATGGTGAGCATGTAAGTTGAGAGTGTCCAAAGAAATATATTTACAGACCTTTGAAGTAAGATCTCATCCACTCCCGTTCCTCACTTGGGAAATACTACATACATGTCCTACACATACCTCTGAGCTTGGCAAGGACTTTATGTGCACCAGTGCAAAGGAAGTACTGTGTCTGCCTGATTTAGCAATGTCAGGGTCTCCAGAAAACTCTCTCTCCCTCACAAATTAGATGGAGCTTGGCATTTTCTTTTTTTTGAGAGAAAATTTTTTTATTTTTATTTTTATTTTTTATTACACTTTAAGTTCTAGGGTACATGTGCACAACGTGCAGGTTTGTTACATATGTATACCACACAACAGGCCCCAGTGTGTGATGTTCCCCTTCCTGTGTCCAAATGTTCTCATTGTTCAATTCCCACCTATGAGTGAGAACATGCGGTGTTTGGTTTTTCATTCTTGCGATAGTTTGCTGAGAATGATGGTTTCCAGCTTCATCCATGTCCCTACAAAGGACATGAACTCATCCTTTTTTATGGCTGCATAGTATTCCATGGTGTATATGTGCCACATTTTCTTAATCCAGTCTATCATTGATGGACATTTGGGTTGGTTCCAGGTCTTTGCTATTGTGAATAGTGCCGGAATAGACATACCTGTGCATGTGCCTTTATAGCAGCATGATTTATAATCCTTTGGGTATATACCCAGTAATGGGATGGCGGGTCAAATGGTATTTCTAGTTCTAGATCCCTGAGGAATCACTACACTGTCTTCCACGATGGTTGAACTAGTTTATAGTCCCACCAACAGTGTAAAAGTGTTCCTATTTCTCCACATCCTCTCCAGCACCTGTTGTTTCCTGACTTTTTAATGATCGCCATTCTAACTGGTGAGAGATGGTATCTCATTATGATTTTGATTGGCATTTCTCTGATGGCCAGTGATGATGAGCATTTTTTCTTGTGTCTGTTGGCTGCATAAATGTCTTCTTTTGAGAAGTTTCTGTTCACATCCTTCACCCACTTTTTGATGGGATTGTTTGTTTCTTTCTTGTAAATTTGTTTGAGTTCTTTGTAGATTCTGGATATTAGACCTTTGTCAGATGAGTAGATTGTAAAAATTTTCTCCCATTTTATAGGTTGCCTCTTCACTCTGATGGTAGTTTCTTTTGCTGTGCAGAAGCTCCTTAGTTTAATTAGATCCCATTTGTCAATTTTGGCTTTTGTTGCCATTGTTTTTGGTGTTTTAGACATGAAGTCCTTGCCCATGCCTATGTCCTGATTGGTATTGCCTAGATTTTCTTCTAGGGTTTTTATGGTTTTAGGTCTAACGTTTAAGTCTTTAATCCATCTTGAATTGATTTTTGTATAAGGTGTAAGGAAGGGATCCAGTTTCAGCTTTCTACATATGGCTAGCCAGTTTTCTCAGCACCATTTATTAAATAGGGCATCCTTTCCCCATTTCTTGTTTTTGTCAGGTTTGTCAAAGATCAGATGGTTGTAGATGTGTGGTATTATTTCCGAAGCCTCTGTTCTGTTCCATTGGTCTATATCTCTGTTTTGGTACCAGTACCATGCTGTTTGGGTTACTGTAGCCTTGTATAGTTTGAAGTCAGGCAGCGTGATGCCTCCAGCTTTGTTCTTTTGGCTTAGGATTGTCTTGGCAACGCGGGCTCTTTTTTGGTTCCACATGAACTTTAAAGTAGATTTTTCCAATTCTGTGAAGAAAGTCATTGGTAGCTTGATGGGGATGGCATTGAATCTATAAATTACCTTGGGCAGTAGGGCCATTTTCACGATATTGATTATTCCTATCATGAGCATGGAATGTTCTTCCATTTGTTTGTATCCTCTTTTATTTCGTTGAGCAGTGGTCTGTAGTTCTCCTTGAAGAGGTCCTTCTCATCCCTTGTAAATTGGATTCCTAGGTATTTTATTCTCTTTGAAGCAATTGTGAATGGGAGTTCACTCATGGTGTGGCTCTCTGTTTGTCTGTTATTAGTGTATAAGAATGCCTGTGATTTTTGCACATTGATTTTGTATCTTGAGACTTTGCTGAAGTTCCTTATCAGCTTAAAGAGATTTTGGGCTGAGACGATGGGGTTTTCTAAATATACAGTCGTGTCATCTGCAAACAGGGACAATTTGACTTCCTCTTTTCCTAACTGAATACCCTTTATTTCTTTCTCCTGCCTGATTGCCATGGCCAGAACTTCCAATACTATGTTGAATAGGAGTGGTGAGAGAGGGCATCCCTGTCTTGTGCCAGTTTTCAAAGGGAATGCTTCCAGTTTTTGCCCATTCAGTATGATATTGGCTGTGGGTTTGTCATAGATAGCTCTTATTACTTTGAGATACGTCCCATCAATACCTAATTTATTGAGAGTTTTTAGCATGAAGCACTGTTGAATTTTGTCAAAGGCCTTTTCTGCATCTACTGAGATAATCATGTGGTTTTTGTCTTTGGTTATGTTTATATGCTGGATTATGTTTATTGCTTTGCGTATGTTGAACCAGCCTTGCATCCCAGGGATGAAGCCCACTTGATCATGGTGGATAAGCTCTTTGATGTGCTGCTGGATTTGGTTGGCCAGTATTTTATTGAGGATTTTTGCATCGATGTTCAACAGGGATATTGGTCTAAAATTCTCTATTTTTGTTGTGCCAGGCTTTGGTATCAGGATGATGCTGGCCTCATAAAATGAGTTAGGGAGGATTCCCTCTTTTTCTATTGATTGGAATAGTTCCAGAAGGAATGGTACCAGCTCCTCCTTGTACCTCTGGTAGAATTCGGCTGTGAATCTGTCTGGTCCTGGACTTTTTTTGGTTGGTAAGCTATTAATTATTACCTCAATTTCAGAGCTTGTTATTGGTCTATTCAGGGATTCAAGTTCTTCCTGGCTTAGTCTTGGGAGGTTGTATGTGTCCAGGAATTTATCCATTTCTTCTAGATTTTCTAGTTTATTTGCATAGAGATGTTTATAGTATTCTCTGATGGTAGTTTGTATTTCTGTGGGATTGGTGGTGATATCCCCTTAATCATTTTTTATTGTGTCTATTTGATTCTTCTCTCTTTTCTTCTTTATTAGTCTTGCTAGTGGTCTATCAATTTTATTGATCTTTTCAAAAAACCAGCTCCTGGATTCACTGAGTTTTTGAAGAGTTTTTTATGTCTCTATCTCCTTCAGTTCTTCTCTGATCTTAGTTATTTCTTGCCTTCTCCTAGCTTTTGAATGTGTTTTCTCTTCTCTAGTTCTTTTAATTGTAACATCAGGGTGTCAATTTTAGATCTTTCCTGCTTTCTGTTGTGGGCATTTAGTGCTATAAATTTCCCTCTACACACTGCTTTGAATGTGTCCCAGAGATTCTGGTATGTTGTGTCTTTGTTCTCATTGGTTTCAAAGAACACCTTTATTTCTGCCTTCATTTTGTCATGTACCCAGTAGTCATTCAGCAGCAGGTTGTTCAGTTTCCATGTAGTTGTGTGGTTTTGAGTGAGTTTCTTAATCCTGAGTTGTAGTTTGATTGCACTGTCGTCTGAGAGAGAGTTTGTTATAATTTCTGTTCTTTTATATTTGCTGAGGAGAGCTTTACTTCCAACTATGTGGTCAATTTTGGAATAGGTGTGGTGTGGTGCTGAGAAGAATGTATATTCTGTTGATTTGGGGTGGAGAGTTCTGTAAATGTCTATTAGGTCTGCTTGGTGCAGAGCTGAGTTCAATTCCTGGATATCCTTGTTAACTTTCTGTCTCATTGATCTGTCTAACGTTGACAGTGGGGTGTTAAAATCTCCCATTATTATTATGTGGGAGTTAAAGTCTCTTTATAGGTCTCTAAGGACTTGCTTTATGAATCTGGGTGCTCCTGTATTGGGTGCATATATATTTAACATAGTTAGCTCTTCTTGTTGAATTGATCCCTTTACCATTATGTAATGGACTTCTTTGTCTCTTTTGACGTTTGTTGGTTTAAAGTCTGTTTTCTCAGAGAGTAGGATTGCAGCCCCTGCCTTTGTTTGTTTTCCATTTGCTTGGTAGATCTTCCTCCATCCCTTTATTTTGAGCCTATGTGTTTCTCTGCATGTGAGATGGGTCTCCTGAATACAGCACACTGATGGGTCTTGACCGTTCATCCAATTTGCCAGTCTGTGTCTTTTAATTGGAGCATTTAGCCCATTGACATTTAAGGTTAATATTTTTATGTGTGAATTTGATCCTGTCATTATGATGTTAGGTGGTTATTTTGCTTGTTAGTTGATGCAGTTTCTTCCTAACATTGATGGTCTTTATAATTTGTCATGTTTTTGCAGCGGCTGGTACCGGTTGTTCCTTTCCATGTTTAGTGCTTCCTTCAGGAGCTCTTTTAGGGCATGCCTGGTGGTGACAAAATCTCTCAGCATTTGCTTGTCTGTAAAGGATTTTATTTCTCCTTGACTTATGAAGGTTAGTTTGGCTGAATGTGAAATTCTGGTTGAAAATTCTTTTCTTTAAGGAAGTTGAATATTGGCCCCCACTGTCTTCTGGCTTGTAGAGTTTCTGCCGAGACATACGCTGTTAGTCTGATGGGTTTCCCTTTGTGGGTAACCCAACCTCTCTCTCTGACTGCCCTTAACATTTTTTCCTTCATTTCAACTTTGGTGAATCTGACAATTATGTGTCTCTTGGAGTTGCTGTTCTTGAGGAGTATCTTTTTGCTGTTCTCTGTATTTCCTGGATTTGAATGTTGGCCTGCCTTGCTAGGTTGGGGAAGTTCTCCTGGATAATATCCTGAAGAGTGTTTTCCAGCTTGGTTCCATTCTCCCTGTCACTTTCAGGTACACCAATCATAGATTTGATCTTTTCACATAGTCCCATATTTCTTGGAGGCTTGTTCATTTCTTTTTACTCTTTTTTCTCTGAACTTCTCTTCTCACTTCATTTCATTCATTTGATCTTCAATCACTGTTACCCTTTCTTCCAGTTGATCAAATCGGCTACTGAAGCTTGTGCATTCATCATGTAGTTCTCATTCCATGGTTTTCAGCTCAGTCAGGTCATTTGAGGACTTCTCTACACTGGTTATACTAGTTAGCCATTCGTCTAATCTTTTTTCAAGGTTTTTAACTTCTTTGTGTTGGGTTCGAACTTCCTCCTTTAGCTCAGAGAAGTTTGATCACCTGAAGCCTTCTTCTCTCAACTCGTCAAAGTCATTCTCCATCCTACTTTGTTCCTTTGCTGGCGAGGAGCTGCATTCCTTTGGAGGGGGAGAGGTGCTCTTATTTTTAGAATTTTCAGCTTTTCTGCTCTGTTTTTTCCCCATCTTTGTGGTTTTATCTACCTTTAGTCTTTGATGATGGTGACGTACAGATGGGGTTTTGGTGTGGATGTCCTTTCTGTTTGTTAGTTTTCCTTCTAACAGTCAGGACCCTCAGCTGCAGGTGTGTTGGAGTTTGCTGGAGGTCCACTCCAGACCCCGTTTGCCTGGGTGTCAGTAGTGGAGGCTGCAGAACAGCAAATATTGCTGAACAGCAAATGTTTCTGCCTGATCGTTTCTCCGGAAGCTTCGTCTCTGAGTGGTATCTGGCAGTGTGAGGTGTCAGTCTGCCCCAAGTGGGGCGTGCCTCCCAGTTAGGCTACTCGGAGGTCAGGGCACCACTTGAGGAGGCAGTCTGTCCATTCTCAGATCTCAAACTCCATGCTGGGAGAAACACTACTCCCTTCGAAGCTGTCAGACAGGGACATTTAAGTCTGCAGCAGTTTCTGCTGCCTTTTGTTTGGCTATGCCTTGCCCCCAGAGGTGGAGTCTACAGAGGCAGGCAGACCTCCTTGAGCTGTAGTGGGCTCCACCCAGTTCGAGCTTCCTGACCGCTTTGTTTACCTACTCAAGCCTCAGCAATGGCAGACGCCCCTCCCCCAGCCTTGCTGCTGCCTTGCAGTTCGATCTCAGACTGCTCTGCTAGCATTGAAGTGGGCATTGGACCCTCTGAGCCAGGCAGCGGATATAATCTCCTGGTGTGCCGTTTGCTGAGACCATTGGAAAAGTGCAGTATTAGGGTGGGAGTGACCTGATTTTCCAGCTGCCGTCAGTCACCCCTTCCCTTGGCTATGAAAGAGAATTCCCTGACCCCTTGCACTTCCTGGGTGAGGCGATGCCTCGCCCTGCTTCAGCTCACACTCAGCGGGCTGCACCCACTGTCCTGCCCCCCATGTCCAATGAGCCCCAGTGAGATGAATCCAGTATCTCAGTTGGAAATGCAGAAATCACCTGTCATCTGCATCGCTCACACTGGGAGCTGTAGACTGGAGCTGTTCCTATTCGGCCATCTTGGAACTGCCGGCATTCTTTTATCAGAAAATATAACCTTTCATTTCAAAGTGAGACAAAGGTTTGGAGTGCCAACCCCTTTGGTAACGGGAAAACAATGACTTCAAGATTGCCCTTTTCAACATAAAACAGGCCTAGGAAGCCTGAATGGTTGAGAGACTGTGTATAGAAAAAAGAGCTTAGGTTGCCACTCTCCTCCTCAACCATCACCTCCACCATCAACAAAGACCAAAGCCACTTTTCCACTGTCATGACTTTTTTAAGGGTATCTCATCAGATATGCTTGAGAAGGCAAATGTATATTTTGCAATTTTTGGTATGTGGACATACCAAACTTTTAAAAGTTTTCATACTTTTAAAAGTCTCAGGACCTTCTGTACTTAAAATTATCGAGAGCCCCAAATAACTTTTATTTATGTGTATAGTATCTATCATATTAGAAAATATGATAAAATATTTAAAAAATGTTTATTAAAAAATTCACCTAAAATAACAAAACTTATACATGTTAACATAAATAATGCATTGTTATTTAAAAAAACTATATTTTCCAATACAAAACCATTGTGTGGAAAGTGGCATTGTTTTGCATTTTTGCAAGTTTCTCTTAAGTGTGGCTTAATAGAAGATAGCTGAATTTTCATATATGTTTCTACATTTAAACTGTTGTGACATGTTGCTTTGATTGATGTATATAAAGAAAAGCTAGCCCTAGACAAATTTATAATTGGAGGGTATATTTTAATATTTTTTAATGTAAGTTTAAGCAATTCTCATGCTTTAGCCTCCCAAGTAGCTGGGATTACAGGCGTGCACCACCAGGCCCAGCTAATATTTTCTATTTTTAGTAGAGACAGGGTTTCACTGTGTTGGCCAGGCTGGTCTGGAAATCCTGACCTCAAGTGACCCGCCTGCTTTGGCCTCCCAAAGTGCTGGGATTACAGGCATGAGCCACCATTCTGGGATGCATTTTGAATGTTTGTATCCATGTTGTGTAATTCATGCATTGATCATTTTGAAAATGTTGGTTCACTGAGTTATCAAGCTCTCCCAAGTAGTGACACATTTCATTATACAGAAAAAAAAAACCATATTTGTTAATATCATTACATCTTCATGTATTGGGGAGCTGTCACTCTCACAGTGATGGATTTTCAGTTTCACATTTTCTCTGGAGAGCTCAAATTTTATCGCTGGCAACAAATGCTGTCAGTTGTTTTTCTTGACCTGGCAGGCTGACTTTGTTTATTTCTGAGATAATATCTATCACATTCTTGAGTCTGAATGGCCATAGTTTATCATTTTTTTTCAAGTGAAAATGGTGTTCTCTGAAAGAAAAAAAAAAGCAGCTGGTTTACTTTGCCAGACAATCACATGAGTGCTTTTCCTTTCACAACTGGTATGAGAAAAGGTGTTATATGAACTCATTTCATCACACAGTATCAGATTTGTACTCAAGGTTTGAAAGTTCATAAAATTAATACATTTTATTGCTTCATTAAGGACATTCTTAAGTGAACTTGCTTTGCCCCCACTCCTTTTACCTGTGAATCTGTGTCTGTATAGAATACAATGACTATTGACACAGTGTGGGCCCTGCCTTGATTTATACTAATGTGACAGCAGTTTCACCCAGGATAGCTTTTGCACATCAGTGCAAATGTCCACATAGTGGAAAAAAGCAAATACAATTATTACTATTATAAAAATCCATTTGATCTTGTAGACCCAGCTCTGAAAGGGTCTCAGAGACCCCCCAGAGGTCCGTGGACCACACATTGAAAACATTGTTAAAGGATATGGGTCAATTCAGTTTTAATCCTGCTGGTATGCTTTCTGCAAGGCTTCAGTGAGAATACTAAATCATCTGAAATCTAGTATTGAGGAGCTAAAAATCTAGTGGAGAAAATAGACACATACACAACTAAATAAAACCCCCTCTACACACAGGGGGCTATGGATGCTGAGGAGAGGGCAAAACTTTTGGCTTGGGGATAGGAGAAGGCTCATCAGAAATTATCATTCTGGGCCTTGCAAACCACCTGTGATTACCCAGTTCCAAGAAGAAACATTAGCCTATACACATACAGCTCTCTGAACCTTTAGGGAATGGCAGGGGGGCTGGACTGGCTGGGGTGTAGGGTGCTTCAGAGTAGGTGACCGCATAGCACTGGAAAGGTGGGTAGGCAGCACGTTTTACAGGATCTTGAGAGGATTGACAATACACCACCTTGCTTGTTTTATGTTATATTGAGCAGACATGTTAATTTATCCCAGAACAATCATTCACAAAGTGTGGTCCCTGAGCCAATAGCATCAGTGTCACCTGGGAACTTGTTAGAAATACAAATTCTCAGGCCCTACCCCTGGCCTATCAAATCAGAAATTCTACAGTGGGTTCAGCAATCATGTCTTTATATGTCCTTCTTTTAAGAGTCTGATGCTCACTAAAGTTTGGGAGTGTGTTTCTTTAAAGAGTGGTCCTACCTGCATCTGCATCACCTTTGGGGAAATGTGCATGTGGGGGGTTGCTGTTTGCCACATCTGCATATTCTTGGGCTGCACCTCAGAACAACAGAATCAGAACAGAATGGGGCCTTGGACCTGCATGTTTGCAAGCTAGCTGTGCAATTCTGACCAAAGTACAAGTATCACTGCCCTAACAGAGCCCAGGCTAAAGGAAAAACTTCTGATTTTTTTTAAACCGAATATTATAGTTTGGAGGAAGGAATGTAAACCCAAATTTTATCGCAAGTAACTATCTACTTGTTTGCATTTTTACAGGATTATAAGTGAACCAAAAATTCTCTGTAGATTTACCATGCTTTTCAAAAACATTTTAGTATATTAATGATCATTACGATTAGTGTATTGGATGGTGGGATGAAGAAGGTGACTGCCTGAATAAATAGTTGCAAATTATAGTGAGATCTTGTGGCAGAAAAGATTACCAGATAAAGATACACATTATAATTATCTAAGGAAAGTTTTATCTCCTGGTAGTTTCTAAGAGCATCTAGATGTCTAGCTTTGTTTTCCTTCAAGCTAAGTATACGTTAAGAGACACCCACAACTTAATTCCTTTAAGTAGTTGCTCTAATCAGATGTGTTATTTTCTCAATTTTTACAGTAAATTTGAGGTAAATATAATTTAACTGGATGCTAAATGGACACTAATTTGCCAAGTGCTTCAAAATTATAGGGTATCCCACATAGATCTTTGGGAGGTAAGGATGCATATGTTGAGAGGATTTAGTTTATGTATTGGAGCCTAGAAATCCAACACGAACATAGGGGACTTGACCTAAGTAAGTACTGTTGGAGACACCCTGTGCAACTGTACAAGAATGGATCAGGAAGGGGGGAATAGGTAGAAACAGCAGAAGGTCAGAATTTAAGGTGGGGGGGGAGATATTTGAATCTTGCAGATTATTTTGAAAAGCTTTCTTTTTTTTCAAAGGAAAATAAAAGCCTTTTAAAATATGCTTTTTATATATAAACCTTATAAATAACATAGCAATAGAAGGGCTAGTTATTCTGCAGTGATTGGCTAGTCTGAAAGTGGCTGGATTTTTGTTCTCTGTGTTTTATAAAGTACTTTGAGATGAATATTTCCCTAAAATCAGAAAAAAAGAGGCAGGACTATATATTCAATTCCCAAGTCTTTCTCTCTACTCTATTTGTCACAGACCATTTAAATAAAAAGGTTTTTGTGGTTATATACATTTAAGAGAAGTTCAGTGTTGTTGGGGGGGGGAAGTTTCACATGAGCAAAGCAGAATCTTTAAAAAGTTCCAGCAAACTGAATTTAATTTAGGCTTTTAATTTAGGCCTCCTATAATGTAGACAACAAGTGTTGTGGAGGTGAGAGTGGGAAAGGGTATCTTCAGACCCCACCTCGAGATCTTTCCATCAGAAGTGTATGCTTCTCAGAGATACTCTCTGGGGCTCTTTTTGTTGGGACACTGGTTTCTGAAGTGCTTTTCAGAAAATTAAACTACCCCACCCAGTGTTTTAACTAATTCACAGATGTTGCAAGCACCTGCAGAATGCTGGAGTTAGCCCTGGGCAGGGCAGACCCTACCTAAATTTACTGAAACTGGCCGAAGGGCAGAGCTGGATCGGAAAGCACAGTTCACGGCCTTAACATAGGAGAAGGGTCTGTCTATGACAGTTGAGAGACATATTTTTAAAAGGAATCATTTGGAAAGACTTGCCTGGCCATTCATCAAGGAAAGCAAGTTTTACCTGATGAGGCCTTCCAGGCTTCTCTGTGTTAAAATTATTCGTGCTGGTAAGACTGGCCATTTCCCAAGTGGGAAGAAATGCTGTTTCTTCTGATAGGCAGAAACCTCTCTGATATGCACTATCCATCTGGAAGAAGCAGTTTAAGCAAGCATATGCCTGATGTTGCTTTCTTGCCAAAACCTGCAGTGCTCAAACGAGTATCCCCTTAACATTTCATAACATTATGAATACACCCTTTCAAAGTAAGCTAACATTGATTGTGACCCTTCATATGCAAAACATTGCATGCTCTAGACTCAGTGGAAAGATTCAGGAAAAGGATCTTTCGTTCCCTCCCTAGGGAACCTCTGATTTAAAGGAGAAGGACGAATAAGTGTGTAAATAATTCTAATACAAAGAAGTTTTTGACAGGTGCTATAATAGAGGTGAAGAAACAAGATCTCACACATACATAAATCCACGCGTGAAGTATGCACACACTCACAAACACATGCACTAAGTGGGCTGTACATTTCTAAAGCAAGTCCTATTAATTCACATTATATATCCCCAGTACTTTCATTACAATTTAACTGAAGGAGAGTGTGACATATTCTTATAATGAATACCTGATTTATTTGGAGCATATTAAAGCATATTCAGGAGATTTATTTATTATTCAAGGACACCAGAGAAGTGTCATTTAAAACTCCAGAAAATTTTTATCACACATTATTGTGTTCCGTAAATTAAGATCCCACACAGTCTTTGTCAACACAGATGCAAAGTGAATGTAAGTGGGGTTAATGAATGTGAAACATTCAATGAGACATGAATAAACATGAAGTGGAACCTAATGAGGTCAGCTTGGTGGGAGCAAGGTGAATGGGGAGATATTTGGAGTTGTTTTTCAGATCCCTTGGAGTGTTCCAGGAGAGATTCTCTAAGACTGAGACATTCTCAAGAGCCTCAGCCTCACTAAGTACTCACTAAAGGCTTCTCAGTATCTCATATAGTGTATTATGTAGTGTATGTAGGGTAAGCCAATTTTACTTCTCCTCCGAAGTCTCCCAGTATACTGGGGAAATGGACCAAAGTGTACCAAAGGACAGACAAATAATGTAGGTGACAAAATCCCCAGGAGGCTAAAGGTAGGAGAGTTTTCCAAGAACAAGGAGGAGTTGGGGAGAGCAGCAGCTGGGAGAAGGTTTCTAGAAGGAGGTGGGATTTGAGTTGGGCCTTCACAACCAGGTAGGAATGAGACAGGCAGAAAGGAGGGGGCCAGCATTCCAAGCAGAGAAATACTCAGGTATTTTTCTCCAGACACCCGCAACCAACCCACATTTTGCATGTAATTTCAGGGGATATTATCAACCCCTTCTAACCACAGACCAAGGTTAGGACGCCCTGCTCTAACACTTATGAAACTGCAATAGAGCATGCTTTTTGAGCAAAATAGGATTCCTTTCTTGCTAATAGAGTAGGAAGTAACACACAATACCGAGTAGTCAAAAGAAAAACCCTCCTGCCACCTAAATTATTTAATTATAAGAGCTAATTACTCAAACACAAAAACACCTCTGTGGATGTGCCCCATTTTCTTTTCTTTCTTTATTTCATTTTTTGAGACAGGGTCTTGCTCTGTCACCTGGCTTGGAGTGCAGTGGCCTGATTATAGCTCACTGCTGCCTCAACCTCCTGGGCCTCAGGAATTCTCCTGCCTCAGCCTCCCAAGTAGCTGGCACTACAGGTGTGTGCCACTATGCCAGGCCAATTTTTTTTTTTTCTTTTTTTTTTTTTTAGAGACAGAGTCTCACTCTCTCGCCCAGGCTGGAGTGCAGTGGCATGATCTTGGCTCACTGCAAGCTCTGTCTCCCGGGTCACGCCATTCTCCTGCCTCAGCCTCCCGAGTAGCTGGGACTACAGGCACCTGCCACCACGCCTGGCTACTTTTTGTATTTTTAGTACAGACGGGATTTCACCACGTTAGCCAGGATGCTCTCGATCTCCTGACCTCTTGATCTGCCAGCCTCAGCCTCCCAAAGTGCTGGGATTACAGACCTGAGCCACCGCACCTGGCTGCCAAGCTAATTTTTAAATTTTTTTTTGTAGAGGTGGAGTCTTGCTATGTTACCCAGCTGGTCTTGATCTCCTGGGCTCAAGTGATCCTTCTGCTTCAGCTACATATCAGTCTCAAGAAACTAGTGTGACATGAGTTTCTTTAGGACCGTACTGTCTCATGCGTCCACGTGAAGAGACCACCAAACAGGCTTTGTGTGAGCAACAAGTCTGTTTATTGCACCTGGGTGCAGGCAGGCTGAGTCCAAAAAGACAGTCAGCAAGGGTGGTGGGATTATCATTAGTTCTTATAGGTTTTGGGATAAGCGGTGGAGTTAGGAGCAATGTTTTGCAGGCTGGGGGTGGATCTCACAAAGTGCGTTCTCAAGGGTGGGGAGAATTACAGAGAACCTTCTTAAGGGTGGGGGAGATTATAAAGAACCTTACAGAGAACCTTCTTAAGGGTGGGGGAGATTATAAAGAACCTTCTTAAGGGTGGCAGAGATTACAAAGTACATTGATCAGTGAGGGTGGGGCAGAGACAAATCACAATGGTGGAATGTCATCAGTTAAGGCTATTTTCACTTCTTTTGTGGATCTTCAGTTGCTTCAGGCCATGTGGATGTAAACGTGCAGGTCACAGGGGATATGATGGCTTAGCTTGGGCTCAGAGGCCTGACACATACCACATAATATTATGTAATACTACAGTTAGCAGATTCAGTGTTCATGGGACTGCATCTCCACAAAAGGACAGCCTCCATTTCCTTACAACAGAACTCTCCTTTGAGAATTCAGTATGTCACTTATCAGCACCTTGAAGATCTGGGTCACAGACCAATTGCCACCATGATGATTCATCGCCTAGAAAATGGCTACTAATAGGAAGACACTCAGTGTAGTGACAAGCAATGCAATGTGGTAAGAACAAAACCATTCTCCTCCTTCACCCCTCCCCAATCTTAGGATTCTATTAATATGAGGAACAGATAATCTCACACTCATCAAGTAAGTCAGAATCAACATGGAAAGTCTGGAGTATGCACAAGACTAGCTACTTAATTTGTGGGTCCAGTGAAGAATAAAAATACAGAGACCCTTGTTCAAAAATGATTAAGAATTTCAAGAGAGCAAGAGCAGAGCATTAAACCAAGCACAGGGCCCTTCTAAATGCAGGGTCCTATGTGATTGCCTTGGTTTTCTCTGTAAAATCAGATAATGGAACTAGCCAATCTCTAAGCAATTTTCTAATTTCAACATTCTGCCATTCTCACTATAGCTTAATTTATAGTGTAGTTCTCTACAGTCATTATATTGAAAGATAATTTTTCCTAAAGCCATTTTTCCTATCCACTGTCTACTGATATTTCTATCATGGCCACCACCATTCTCATACTTTCTTAGAGCCATCTTGGTTTATTTCTTTTCCTCAACTTCTTTGTTCAATAAGCCACTAAGTTTTACACCATATAATATTTTATGTTTATTTATTCCTTGCCAATCCCATAGCCAAGTCCATATGTCAGGTCTTAGGTTGTTTCAACCACTTTTTGGCTAACCTTACCATCTACATTAGTTTATCTAATGCTGTGTAACAAATCATTCCAAAATTTATTATTGCAATTTCTGTGTGCAGAAATTTGGGAATCTGTTAACTGAGGAGTTCTGGCTCAGGATCTCTCTCATAATGTCGAGTCATGATATCTCCAGTGATGCAGTCATCTGAAGGCTCACCAGACCAGAGGATGTGCTTCCAGGGTGGCTCGTTCACACGAGCTGGTCAGTTGTGACTGGTTGTCAATGAGATGTCTCATTTTACTCCCTACATAGGCCTGTCCACTGGGCAGCTTGAGTGTCCACCCAACATGGGCCTGGCTCTCCCCAAAGTGAGGGATCCAAGAGAAACAGCAGACAGAAGCCACTCTTTTGACACAGAAGGCACGGGTCATCTCTTCTGCCATACCTTATTTGTTAGAAGTGAGTCACTTAATCAGGCTGCACGTTCAAGGGAGGAAAATCAGACTCCACCTTTTGAAGCTTCCTTCCAAAAAGTTTTTAAATATTTTTTGACATATTTAAAAATCATTACACCATCTTATATGTTCCTTCCAAATTCAGCTTCCTAAACAAGGCTTAAGTTGATTCAGCTCCCTGATCAGAACATGTAAGTGAATTAAAGTGGAAAAAAACAAGTAGAAAAAACTCTTCTTGTTCTAGTGAATACATCTGCTGCGCACCCTGCTTCAGCCAGGTCTGTCCACTCACCAACCCAAAAGACACCTGGATCTTTCTCAGGTGTGGACATCAGGTCTTTTTCTTCACTGTTTCTCCCAGTTCAAATGCTCTCTCCCTTATCATCTTCTAGGTTCAGAGCAAAACCCATTCAGTCATCATTTTAAGTTTTCTGTAAGTCTTCTGCAATACAATAACACACAGTATTTCTCTCTTTACTTTCACTTTTTAGCCATTCAGTGGGCCTCTACCTGCCAGCACCCAGGGAATGTGCTGAGGAGTGGGGATATAAAGGCAACTTGTTTTAAAGTTTGCATGTACCTATCTAACGTTCACAGGGTCTCCTTTGAACTTTCCTTTTGGAAGTTTCTTGAGGGGTCTTCTTCATTGTGCATAGCTCAGTGCCAAGCAAATGCTGGGTATTCGATAAACATTCCATGAATAAATAAGTAAATGAAGATGATAAAAATCAACAGGTAAGCCTAATTCTTTCTACTGAGAAGTGGCCATTTTGCTCTTTTTCTCCTTAAAAATGGTAGCTATTTTGAAGCATTTGAGAAAATTAAACCTATTTTGTCTTAGGCTGGGGTTATAATATTTGAACACTAACCTGATTACAATAGGAACAAAGGTAATAGCTTCAAATTGATTCTGCTACTTCCTTCAGCTCAACCTCAAATCTGGTTATTGTATTGTCATCCTAACATCTATTTTTGATATTTAAACTATCTCTTTATAAATTCTGAATTGTCATACAATGTAACCAATATTACAAGGAAAAGTCCCCTCTCTGAAAGCTTTATGAATCCCTCCCTAACACCCTACCTGAACAGTCCTGCGATTGGCTGCCAAGCACTTCTTATTTTGATTTTCTATAGATACTTAATGAGACTAAGGAGCAAATCTTTGTAGTAAAACATTTCAAATGGCCCAGCTCTGCCTCCATAAATGTGCACCAAAACCTTAGAAACCAGTCATGAGTCTGGCTCCAGGAAAACATTTGGTGACAGGTGTGTAAATTACTCCTTCTAAGAGAAAGAATAGGGGGTTGAACAGTAACTGCCTGATTCAGAGCTTATGAAATTCAAGGGATTTTCTGTTGGGGAGACTTGAATTTTGTTTTTTAAAATCTATACCTGAGATGAACATCAATAAATAGGGGAAGGTGACATTATTTGATAAAAGAAAAAAAAATAAAGCTAGAATCAGATCTGGATCCTCCAGTCTACTACATGGGGAATCTTGTTTGACACTAGAACATCAGGCTGTGTTGACTTCCCATGCCTGTTTATTGCTGGAAGAGAGAAATTGAGAATTGAGAGATCAGAATCATCAATATTTCTGAAATTAAGGCTTCTTCACTACAGCCAAAACAACCACTGTGTCTTCTGATTCTCTCACAGGGACTGTTACATGGTGATCTTGTCCACACTCACCTTCATCTTGTTAAAAAAATCAACTATTCAACTAAGAAATGACTTGATACTCTTTTAATGCTCTGCCTCTACAAAAGCCTTGTGGAGTTGAGTTGTTTGGTTTTCAAATGCATCCTTTCAACTTCCAGTGGGGTCTAGAATAAGCTTCTTAGTTCTTAATGAGCAAAACCCTGGAAAATTTGTAAAGTTGGGTTTTATGCATCTTTAAAAAATTCCAGGATAAATTCTTATTAAATGGGGCAAGTTACAATATGGTCTTTTCTACAGGCAGAGGGAAGCACTAGAAACTTCTTTCAGAATGTGGCTTGATCATTCAATATACCCAGGTAACAATTCAGGCACATGTACCACCTGAATCTAAAATAAAAGGTGAAAAACAAAAGAAAAGCTCAAGTGCTATGTAAACACTTTAAATGCAATGTATATATATATAAATTTGTTTATATATATATAAGTTTTACAAAGAAAATGTCAAAAACTGCAATGATATGTATAGAAGACAAGAAAGATTACATTTTAGAGGATGAAGTGGGAAAAATGTGAGGTCTTCCATGAGAAAGGATAAGAGAAAAGAGCTAAATTTTGATAAATAGTTGAAAAAAGAAAATGCTGAAAACTACAATAATGTGTATAGAAGAAAAGAAAGATTATTTTTTTGAGGATGAAGTGGGAAAAAATGTGAGGTCTTCTATGAGAAAGGATATGAGAGAAGAGCAAGAATTTTCATAAATAGCTGAAAAAAATCTAACAACATTACATGGAGCAGTAAACTGCTAATGCAGTTCTTTAGATATGTACGTAAGAAGTAAGCACAACTCCTGCCCTCAAGAGGCTTCATGCTACCTGGGGACACTAAACAAAGACAGGTTCAAAAATACATGAGGATGTTTCTGGAACAATATGGGATCAATAGCAAATTCACATTACAAATACAAACAAGCACGGAGAACATGCAGCAAAAGGTAGAGAAACAGTTCTATAATTCACCTCCTGCAAATCAGGTAGTTAAAGTAGAAGGAGATCCTGGAGCAAAGGCATAAAGGCCTTTCAGGACCCAGAAGTATATTTTATTCTCCTCTGAGAATGGTGTTAACAGACCCAGCTGCCCTAATTCATTGGTTCTCCTGTTAGAAGCATTCTTAAATATCCCTCCCTATCCAGTTACCTCTGCTTCCATTTCCCTGCTTGCCATTACTTGGTTTTGACTCTGATTTTACTTTTTTCTAGAATCTCAGTTTGGTAAATGTTGTGGACTAAATGTTATGTCCCCCAAAATTTATATTTGAAGCCCTAATCCCTGGTGTGATGATCTTTGGCTATGGAGCTTTGGTGGAAGTACTTAAGAGTTAGGTGAGGTCATGAAAATGTAGCCCTCAAGATGGGATAAGTGCCTTTATAAGAAAAGACACCAGAGAGCTCTCTGCTCCCCACCCCTGTGTCATGTGAGGCCCAGTGAGAAGGTGGTCATCTGCAGGCCTAGGAGAAGACCCTCATCAGAAACCAATCTTGTTGGACCTTGATCTCAGACTTTCAGCTTCCTAAACTGTGGAAAATCAATTTCTGTTGTTTAAACTTAAAAAAGAAAAAAAATGTGGCTTGATGAAGACCTCATAAAAAGTAGCCAGTTTTACTGCATTTATAAGAATATGTCATAATCCTTATAGGTTTTCTCTTTCTCCGAAAACAGACTGCCAACCTCCAGTTGTGACCTATCTGGGTTATCTAAAGAGAGGCTTCTATGACCAGATACCTAAGCTTTGGTAATATGATAAGCACACTTGCAGGTGTTATATAACCAATCCTATAGCCTTGGGCATCAGGCCTTCCTGGGCCACTCCTCTATCCACAGTTGGAGAAACAGGAGCTGGGCCTCTTGCTTCCTCTGCCGGGCTAGGCAGCTTTGACTTCTGACCTCAGGCTACAACCATGGCTTCCACCTCCTTGCAGAGATATTTGACCAGAGAGGCAATATTCACTGAGGACATAAAACAAAGGTTCTCAAACCTTTTCTGAGGGAGACCCACCTGATGGATGACAGGAAAGTTACCTGCAGGTTAACCTCTCATGGGATTTGTGGTTTTTTAAAGAAAGGTTTTAATTGGCAGTAGAATAGATAAAAGCTTGTAGAAAATTTGAGGTATAGTGTGGCTATTACTTCACTCTGACCCTCCCACTGATCTGGGTCATAGTCACCTTCTTGAGAATCCTTACTAAGCAATACCTCATTATTTATGACAGGCGTTACATTTGCCCCAGAGACATAGGGTGATGCAGTGAGCTGGGCTTCTGTGAATTTTCTAGCTCTAAAAATTATTAGATAATTATTAGTCTAATAATCTTGAGGGGAATAATAAGAAAATATTACAACATAGGCCCACTGGGACCAATACATCTTGGGGGTCTACTCCCGTCTCTGTCACCGGTTAATGGCGTGACATTGAGTCTAAATCAATCAATTTCTTATTTTTCTCCTTTATAAAATTGAGAAATTGGACAAGATGATCTTAAAAGTTCCTTCTCTACAATCTTTTGAATTTATACATTTGCACAAAGATTTAAAAAAAAACTTTTACAGCTTTTGATTTTCATGACTATGACAAATTTTTCAATGAAGAAAATTTCCAATATCAAATTTTAGTTTACTTAATTTTACCATAAATCATCCTATTACTTTTTAGAAAGGCTATGAAGAAAATAAAATGAACCTCAAGAGATTCACTTCCCCTTCAGAATGTTCAGTGATTAATTAAGAGAATATACAAAAAGTGCTTAGTGCAGTCTCATGCATTTGGTAAATTCTCAGTAAGTGGAAACAATTCTTATTGTTGGTATCATGATCATTTCTTCATTCAATAAATGTTAGTGCATATATCAGCTAATTGGGATAGAGAAAATGTTGAACAAGACAGGCAAGTTTATTATCTTCACTATTATTATTTACTGAGCCATAGGGATTCCCCAAGCTGACCCAGGCAGTTTGAAAACCTGATGAGCAAATATTTGTTGAAGCCAAATAAAATAAAGAGACAAATCCCTAACTTTAAAACGTTTTATTTGGGAAGCAAGAATTGCAACTCAGGGCATACACATGCACTGGATGGCCTTCAGTATGTCTGAAGAACAAAGAGAAGGTTGGAAGTTTTATAAAAAAAGACAAAAGTTTGAAAGACAGTTCATTGGCACTAGTAAGGATTTGGGGAGCTGGCAACCTCTGATTGGTGGATGACACAGTGGGTAAAGCTAGTCTTAGAGTTGCAGCAGTTTCGTTCAGTAGTTATTAGATAAAGCTGGTTTCAGGTTACAGCAGGCAGTTTCAGCAACTGAGCTTGTGTAAAATTTATTTCTTGGAGCAATATTATGAGCCCTGAGTGCTTTTCTCCCCATCTTCTAGATTTTTTAAGTTGAATATGACAAGAATGACTCAATTTGCATGACCAACTTTCACAGGTTCATGACCTGAAGTGCCTGCTTCCCTTTGGATGGAGTGGTATGGGATGCTGCATCAAGGGAAAGAACACTCCTTTGCTTTGATTTGCCAAAAAGTCACCGGGACAGTTTCCCAGGTTTCTTGCTCGGATCACCCAACAAAGGGCATCAGAAGCTTAGGTTAATGTCTTTAGTCTTCTCCTCTCCCTTTCAGAGTACAGTGGCACTAGACTTGGTTAAGGCTATGTGACTACCCTCCCATCAAATTATTTACTCATGTTTTTTACGCTCATTAGGAGGCAAGAAATAAAGTGTAAAAAGTACAGGAATCCCCCTTTTACCCAAGGGCAACTGTGGTCTGAAAATATTAAATTGAAAATTTCAGAAATAAACAATTTAATTAAATAAGTTATAAATTGCATGTCGTTCTGAATAGTGTGATGAAATCGTGCGCCATCCCACTCCAACCCAACTGGGATGTGAATCCTCCCTTTGCCCTCGGGCTTTGCCAAGTAGATGCTACTTGCCTCTTAGTGACTTACTGGTCTGATTGAGAAAACATAGTATATGTGGGGTCAGTACTATCCACGTTTGTGGACATCCACTGGGGGGTCTTGGAACATATCCTCCAAGGATATTGGGAGGTGTGATGGAAGAAAAGCACTGGAGAGATGTAGAGACAAGGTCCTTGAACTTGGGCAAACTTGTTTGCATGCCCACTTTGCTACTCGTTTTGCCATTGAGCATTCACTTATGGAACTTACAGTTTTCCATAAGCTGTGGTGGACATGAAAATGCATCAAGGACTGTAAAAAAAATTGTAACTAATACAATATAATGTAATATAATACCTTCTGTCAAACATTTATTTGGACATCTGTTGAATTCCTACTATAAGCCATTTTCTGTGCTAGGTGCTGGCAATACAAAGATTAAAGACATAGGTCTAACTGTTTATCATAAAATATTAAAAACAGTACAGATAAAATGCCTTGGAATCTTAGGAAACACAAAGAGTGTAAAGAATCAAAGAAAGTTTTTTTTTTTTGAAGCAAACTTCATGCTGATGGCAGAAATAAAATTATAAAGAGGTGAATGCAAAAAGTGTGCCCAAGGCCATGGATATTAAAAATAAAAGCAAGGGTCATCGTTTTTATAAAAAATAATCTTCGTTATATATGCTTCGCAGTAGAAGACAGAATTATTTAAAAAAATCATTAACTGTAAAGTAGCTATAGGTAATATTTACTGGAAGTGCCCAAAACTAAGTAAACAAAGGTCATAAGTCGACATGAAAAGGAAACATAGGTACTTGTAAATTTTAACAAATCTCTGTGAAATGAGACAAATATTAAAATAAATTTTTATTATGGTAACAAACAGGGGCTTAGTCATGGGAGACATGGAATCATCTACGATGAAGACAAACACACATCCTTCTTACAATTGTTAGCAATTTAACCAATTAAAACTTCGGTAAAGTTCTTGGATACAGTACCTAAAGCACTCCTGTGGGTAGAGGTTCTTGAAACTCTTTCCTAAGCTCTCCATCACACTCTGTCCTGCACAGAAGAGCCAGTTTCACTGGATCCTTCCATAACACCTATTACTAGAACAATATTCAATTCTCACACTGTATGGAGATGGAAAATTCCATTTAGAGAGGATGATTGCTTTGCAGCACAAATCTTGTAGTTTTGTGTTTGATGGTCCAAGAATTGATGACAACAGTTCAATGTGCTTGGTCTTGCCTAGTAGCTGGCACATTGTGCTTCTGTAAATCTCTTCGTATCCAAATAGGAACTGTGAAAGATTCAGCAGACTTTATGGTTCTTAGCCTCTCACTTTCCTGACAAGGAATTTGTTGGCATTAGCAATGGGAAACGCTAATTACACCTTTATCCAATTCTCAAGCCAGAATGAAATCACTATTTTTGGTTGCAGCATTATTAAGTACTTTATTACATCTTGCACTAGAGAAATAATACTTAAACTGCTGATTTTGTCCTATATTTACAACCCAAGAATCTCTGCCTTTTGCCTTTCTTAAGAGTAGGTTATGTGTATATGTATTTTTATTTTGTTTTTAATTGACATAATAATTGCACATATTTATGGGGTATAGCATGATGTTTTGATACATATATACATTGTATAAAAATCAAGTCAGTGTATTTAGCATATCTATCACCTCATACATTTATCATTTCTTTGTTAAAGCTCTTTTTTCTAGCTATTTTGAAATATACAATACAATATTGTTAACCATAGTCCCCAGCCTACTTTGAAACAGAATACCAGAACTTACTCCTCCTATCTCACTGTCACTTTGTACTGGTTGACCAACCTCTCTTTATTCCTCATCCCCAGCCCTTGTTAACCACTATTCTAATCTCTACTTCTATGAGATCAACTTCTTCAAATTCCACGTGTGAGTGGAATCCTGTGGTATTTGTCTTTCTGTGCCTGGCTTGTTTCACTTAACATAATGCCCTCTAGATTCATTCACATTGCCATAAATGACAAGATTTTATTCTTTTTTTATGGTTGAAAAGTATTTCATTGTGTATATCTACCACATTTGCCTTATCTATTCATCCTCTGATAGACACTTAAGTTGATTTCATATCTTGGCTGTTGTGAATAGCGTTTCAATAAACATGGGAGTGCAGATATCTCTTCAATATACTGATTTTATTTTATTTGGATATATACCCAGTAGTGAGACTTAAACTTTTGAGGAACCTCCATACTGTTTTCTTTTTTTCTTTTTTCTTTTTTTTTGTGATGGAGTCTCGCTCTGTCACCCAGGCTGGAATGCAGTGGCGCAATCTCGGCTCACTGCAAGCTCTGCCTCCCAGGTTCATGCCATTCTCCTGCCTCAGCCTCCGGAGTAGCTGGGACAACAGGCGCCCACCAACACGCCCAGCTAAGTTTTTGTATTTTTAGTAGAGACAGGGTTTCACCGTGTTAGCCAGGATGGTCTCGATCTCCTGACATCGTGATCCAGTCCATACTGTTTTCCATAATGGCTGTACCAATTTATATTCCCATCAACAGTGTATAAGAGTTCCCCTGTCTTTATATCCATGCCAGCATTTTTAGTTTTTGTCTTTTTGATAATAGCTATTTTATTTAATGCAAGGTAATATCTCACTGTGGTTTTAATTTGCCTTTCGCTAATGATTAATGATGTTGAGCATTTTTTCATGCACCTGTTTTCCATTTGTATGTCCTCTTTTGAGAAATGTCTATGCAGGTCTTTTGCCCATTTTAAAATCAGATTATTTGATTTTTTTGCTATTGAGCTGTTTGGATTTCTTATATAACTTAGATATTAAACCAAATTAATATCCTGGGTAATTAACCCTGGATACAGATGCATCATTTGCAAATATTTTATCTCGTTCTGTAAGTTGTCTTTCCACTCTGTTGACTGTTTCCTTTGCTGTGCAGAAGATTTTTAGTTGGATGTAATCCCATTTGTCTACTTTTGCTTTTGTTGCCCATGCTGCAGAGGTCTTATCCAAAAAATTCTTCCTCAGATCAATGTTATGAAGCATTTTCTATATGTTTTCTTCTAGTAGTTTCATTGTTTTGGGTCTTCCATTTACGTCTTTAATCCATTTTGAGTTGGTTTTCGCATATGATGTGAGATACAGGTCTACTTCATTTTTCTGCATGTGGATATCCAGTTTTCCCAGAACTATTTATTGAAGAGAGTGTCCTTTATCCATTGTGTGTTCTTAGTCCGTTTGCCAAAAATTGGTTGGTTGTAATTGATTTATTTTCGTGTTCTGTATTCAGTTCCATTGGTCTACATGTCTATTTTTATGTCAGTACCATGCTGTGTTGCTTACTGTAGCTTTGTAGTGTATTTTGAAGTCAAGTAGTGTGATACCTCCAGCTTTGTTCTTTTTGTTAAAGATTGCTTTGGTTATTTGGGATCTTTCCTTCACTGCAGAAGTCTACCAAACATTTAAAGAACTAATGCCAATTATACTTAAACTATTTCAAAAATATGAAGAGGAGAGAGTACTTGCAAACTCATTCTAGAAGGCCAACACAACCCTGATGTGCAAACCAGACAGAAATAAAATGAAAACAGAAAACTGCAAATCGATATCCCTTAGATGCAAAAATTCTCAGCAAAATACCAGCGAACCAAATTCAAGAGCAAATTAAAAGGATTATTCACTGTGATCAAGTGGAATTCATCTCAGTGATGCAAACAGGGTTCAACATATGTAAATCAATAAATGTAACACATCACATTAACAGAATAAGGGACAATAACCATATAAGCATTTCAATAGAATCAGAAAAAATATTTGAAAAAATTCAACATCCCTTTCCAATAAAAACTCTCAATAAATTAGATATAGAAGGAATTTACCTCAACACATTAAAGTCCATATATGACAACTAACTTTTCTCTGAGTGGAGAAAACTTGAAAGCGTTTTCTCTAAGATCTGGAACAATTCAAGGATGCTCACTTTTACCACTTCTATTCAATGTAGTACTAGACGTCCTAGCCACAGAAATTAGTTTAAGAGAATGAAATAAGTCATCAAAATTGGAAAGGAAGAAATTAAATTGCCCCTATTTGCAGATGACTTGATCTTATACATAAAAACCCTAAAAATTTCACTAAAAAAACTGTTAGGACTAACAAACAAATTCAAAATGTTACAGAATACAAAATCAGCATAAAATTAGTATGATTTCTATACAATTATAATTGATGGACTATTTGAAATAGAAATTTTTAAAAGTCCCATTTACAATAGCTACAAAAAATACTTAGAAATAAATTTAACCAAAGAGGTGAAAGATCTTTACACTAAAAACTATAAAACATTGATAAAAGAAATTGAAGGAGACACAAATAGATGGAAAAATATTGTGTTCATGGATTGGGAGAAGTAATATTGTTAAACTGTCCATACTACCCAAAGCAATCTACAGATTCAATGCAACCCTTATCAAAATGCCAGTGACATCCTTTATGGAAATAGAAAAGAATCCTAAAATGTGTGTGTGTGTGTGTGTGTACATATATATACATATATTTTTTTGCATGTATATATATATATATGTACATATATTTTAGAAACATGCTCATGAGCTTTATTGGTTTTAGTCTCTGTTCTCTCTTTATTTATCTGAATAATAAGTGGTTTGTGTAACCAAAGGGATCAGGAATAACCTGGATTGAGGAAAATTCAATGGGAAAATTGATGTCTGTGTCCCTGAAATTGCACATTGACTTTAAAGAATAAATAGAACAATATTTCATCCAAATTGGCTTTGGTCTGCTAAGCTTAATGTAGTTGGAACTTAAAAGCACACAGAAGATAGCAATTCTACCATTTACCTAGGATATTTTGGTCATTAAAATATCTGTGGGTTCATATTTGGAAGAATCTTAATTGACCCTCAAAGGCATATTGGCTATGGTCATTGAAATGCATTTAAAATGGAAAGTAAGAAAAATCATACTTTTGTCAAAATCCAATCATTTTAGAAAATCAGGCTTAAATATAGACACCACTCTCTTCCTGATGTGATAATTTTTTTTTCTATTAAGGTGATAGATTTAAGAGTGTTCTAGACAACTCTTAAATGAGCTGACCACTTTAGTAGTTAGGTGGTTGTTCTGATATACCTCACTTAAAGCAGATGTTATTTATGAAATTTGGATTTAAAAAATATAGAGAGATTATATACTCTACAAAAATCTCTACTTTATTCCTTTATTAAACATTAATCTCCTCTTATGTGTCAAAAATATTATTCAGACTTTCAGAATAAATTTACAGGTTAAAACTTGATTGATCAGAAACCGACAATTAGAACTTTAAACTGTTTATGATTTTTTTCTCTATAGTCTAGTTTTATAACAAAGAAGAAATTGCAGGAAAAAAAACACTGATTTCAGGAGTTTACTTATACATTGATTTACATTTACATATTCCATTACATATTTACAAAGCAGATTGGTTTATGCCTAATCTTTCTCCTTTCCCTATTTTCCTTCCTCCCTTCCTTGCTTTCTTTCCACTTTAGTCTTCCGAATTCATAAATATTTACTGAATCTCAACTGTGTCCTAAGCCTGTGCTACACATCAGGGATATAGTGGTAAACAAGACAGGCCAAGTTCTAGGCTGGATGGTGGCTGGGGTCTGCTGGGGTATAAACAAGCCATCTGGGAATTCTCTACTTCTGTCCTCCTGTCCTGCTGCAAGAAAAGTACTGAGTGCTCAGGGACTATAAAGAAGAAAAACCTTACTTAGAGTTGGAGGTTAGGTCAGGTCAAGCTGAGGTCTGAGGTAGGTCAGGTCAAGCTGAGGTCAGTAGCAGTTGCCTGCGAGGAAGTTGCCTGCCAGGAAGTAGCACTTGCCTGCCAGGAAGGGCAGAAGGGAGTCTTTAACCAGGAGGGCATGGCAAATGTAAAGGCCCACATTTAAAACAGAGAATACAGCTTTTGCGGAATTGCAAACACTTAGATAAGATTGAAAGAAAATTCTGGAGAGTCAGCAGGAGGAGGGTAAGAATGGAGACCAGGAGATTAATTTATTAGAAGGCTGTTACAGTTATCAGAGGAGAGATCATACGACCTTGACCTGCTGTGGTGGCAATTGGGATGGAGCCTAGTAGTTGACTTCCAAAGGTAGAATCAATAGATGTCTTCGAAGAGTGAGTTCATGTGTATGTGTATTTTGGGCCTATGGAAAGAGAGAGGAGAGGGAGGAGTCAAGGATGGCTATAGGATTTCTGGTTTTGGTAAATGCGATGATATCATGATACCTGAGATGCAAAACACAGGAGGAGCAGGAAGTGCAGGAGAAATTGTGAGTTCAGCTTAGTGAGAAATTAGAGTCAAAATGAGTAGGAGACAGTTAGCTATATGATTCTGAAATTAAGAAGAGAAATCATGATTGAAAATCAGAACTGGGGGTCATCAGCATAAAGATGTTTATTAAAGAAATGAGAGTGAGCAAGGCCACTTAGGAAAAATGTGAGAGTAAGATGAGGATATAACTGGATACCTGTTCATTCTGCTCATCAGTGAATTGTATACACTGATACTTCCCACATCTTCCAACACATGTATACAAGGAATTGCCAACATTCTTCTTATGGGGCTTCTTCCATATGTAAATGTAAATATGAAGATGTAAATGTAACCTGTAGAGATTTCAGATTATGACTCCCACCACCATGATCTGTGCCCTAGGACCTTCCGTAGTGTATTGTAGGGAGGGCTACTTTGGAGAACTTTCCAGATGCCTGCCTAGGTGAACACAGGGTCCTGGCCCCATTAGTGACTGGGCTCAAGCCACACAAAAAGCATGTTGACAGAGTTCTTCACTGAGTTTTTTCCTGAGTGTCACAGAGGTATGGAGAGTTTTAAAAAGACTCAAACTCTTTGGATCCAAGTTTCTTTTAAAACTGCTGCTTTCCCTGTGCATGGTAACAGCAGTCACATTCAGTTATCAGGTTTCATCCTGGAAAGAGAAGGTAAGATGATCTCTGCTTCCAAGTTCATGTAAATTGACCATTCTTTTTTCTATAGAATTCCTTTCTCATGGTCTGCTAACTTTTAGGGCAAAGTGCCAGACTTTTAATTTTAAACTCAACGTCAATTTATTCTAGCAAAAAGCTAATGGCACACATGCATGTGTAGGACAGCAAGATGCACATGCATGTGTAGGAAGATGTGGGAAGGGCACTGCACTTGCTAACTATAAAACCAACCAAGTTCATAGTAAATAAAATTGCCCACCTTTATTTCTTGAAAAACTTACATGTTTTTGAGAACACACAAAATTGTTGAGAGAAAGAAAATAGCTCATTAGTAGCACTGCTAAAAATATCAACCAGAATAAAAGGCAGCCGTTTCTTGTGGTTGCATTCATTCAAGTTTCCAGACAAATTACAAACTATACAGTGATTCCCTTGGGACTTTTGCCTAAACTGGAGTTTGAAAATTCATTTTCGGGAAAATGGCTTTAAAATACTGTGAACACTAAACCAAGACTATATAATCCAGGTTGGTAAAATAAGTATTCGAAAGATACATAGCCAAATAAATTCAAAAGGAATAACTAAAAGTAAAAAGAAATGTAAAAAAACAAGGAAAAGTGGCTAGGCCAGAAAATGGTCAGGAAACTAGGATTTTGCTTGCATGACAGTAAACGTTGCCAGTTAAATTACATTGTCTGTTCAATTCCAGTACATGTCTACCTCAATAAAATGCTGTGAAGATTAAAATGTGTGTGTTCAAATCCTTGCAAAAAGCCAAGATGAAAGGTACTGTATATAAACAAAGCATTTGTATTGTTTAACCATGGCTAAAAGCCCAAGAGTGTCACAAAAAAGCATCTTCCCACAGGAAAGAACTTTAACTAACTTCAAAGAAAGAGATACAAGTACTTAGCATAACTGACACATCCCCAGTTTTCCTCTTCTATAGGTTTCCCAATGTTCTTTTAACAATTTCCTGAATTCCTGAACAATTAAAGAATATTCTCTACTTTAAAAAATGAGTTTGTTTTAAACATACCACTGGATTCAGTGTTTTTCTTTTAGTTCTCTACAGTGCAACAGCACACTCCTTTGGAGCTGTTGGAGGAATTCCTTGTATTGCCCAGACCATTCACAAGCATATCCAAGGCCATTCAGATTTTATGTGGGGATAATAAACAATGGAATAGAACTCAGAGCTCAGGGCATCTAAGTATAGGCCAAGATTATTAGTGCTATAGGGACCAAAAGTCCCAGCTCCTTAATTTGTAATTTGGCCAATTGTAGGTTTATAACATGGAATCAAGGATAGAGCTTTGCCACCTGGTACCTGGGCACAAGGTGATTTAATAGTAGTAAACTTGACTACTGCTGGGGCCCTGTTAATAATGTTCTGCAAGGGTGGTATTTGTGCTGAGTGATGTTCTTTGTTCAGTGTCCAACCAGGAAGGGAAGATTCTTATAAGAGGAGTTTACACAGGAGAGTGGATAAACCAAAGAGAGCATGCCACCAGTGAAGGCACAGGTAGAAAACATTTAGGCTAGAGAGAGACAGAGAGCTGCAGTATCACATGAACATGCCCATTAACTAATAAGGGTAGTGGCCAGCTTTTCCAGAATGGATTAGGGGAAAATAAAATCTTTTGCAGAAATTAGTGATAAGCACTCTGAATGTATGAAGTTGATGAACTGTGGGTGATGTTAAGGTCTCTGAGGGAAGAAGCAGATATTCCTACAAGATGACATGATTACAAGAGAGTTGAGGACAGCCAGGGGACAGGCTCTTCTCTTAGGCACAGGAGATATGGGACATTATGAGATATTTAGGGGAAAGAAGAGTACATTGATGTAAAACTCCTTTATATTTTCATGAATTATTTTTTAAAAGTATGAATCTTGATACAGAGTGTTGTTGAGGCATTCTCACAAATCTGTTAAGACCTTGTTTAAATACAATGACTGAATGTTCCCTAAACCATTATTCAAAAGAGATTATGGTGGCCAGTGGGGATAGAACTAGGTAAAAAACACCCTATGAAATTCTGTGTTAAGAAGGTATGCTTATGAAGGAAAGAATTAGGCATTTCAGTCAAGTCCTTTTCTCTTTTCTCATCTGCAAAATAAATTTGGAAAATGGTACTCACCGAGTGACTATTGTAAAGATCAACAGAGATAATGCACATAAAGCTTAGCAAAGAGTGAGCATTTAATAAATATTTGTTATGATTACTCACTGTCACCCTCCCACACATGTTGAGTGCATTCTTAAGCATAGACACACAAACCATAACCCAGTTTTGTTTTAGAAAAAAGAGTGCTGGACAAGAAACTATGGATATATACATGAACTATGGATATATACATGAAAGCAGTGTATAATTGGTTTTGAAAGAAATAGGGATTATTTTTCTTCTCCTAACACAACAGATTGAATTAACTTATTTCAATGATGCATAAAGACAATAAACTGCCTGTGGTATTTTCCATTTTGAGGAGCGAGTTCTACCTTTGAATGGTATCTGATTAATTTATGGAAAAAGCGTTTTTATTCCCTTCATATGTATTTTTTATTTACAGTGATTCTATCTCATGCCAAACTAAAAAACATTAAATAGTCAACATTCCTGTCAGATAAGAGAATTCAATTGTAAGATTCATATCCTGGTTATGTTAGCAGCAAGAAAACATTTTTCAGAGCCTGTTACTCACATTACACATAACCTTTAAAAAGCTATGCCCATTTTGTAGCAAGAAAACTTGGTAGCAATTTGTGCTGGAATTAGCATGGACGATATTTTGTGTTCCTCAGGCTATCTCCTGGCATTTTCCCCTGTTCCCTACTGGGTAAAAAGTTTTCTTTGGGCTATAATAATTGAGAAGGAAATTTATTACAGCACAATTGAGTCTTCCTTCATCAGTTTTCACTGAGACATGGCTATATTTTCATCTTCTTCTCTGACTCTCTGCCAAATATAAACTCAGTTTACATGAGAGATTTAGAAACAATTACAATCCATATGCTTTTCACTACAGAAGTTGGTAAAGGGCTTTGAAGGAGAGGGTGGCTGCTTAGTCCTAACAAATAGCTCCTCTATTCATTCCCTTTAACAGCAAGAACTGGTCAGTGGCTGCTCAAGGCATATTACATTAATGGCATTAGGATTATTAATTGACAGCACAATATTTCTACTCAGCATATTCCTCCTGTGTTGTACAAATACCTGCTGGCAACACAGAGTTTGCAAAGGTTGCTGGCAGCAGCTGCCACGTGTGATTGAAAGAACAATCCCAAGTTGCTATTCAGGGACAATGATTTGAAATGGGACCCAGTAAAAAAGCTAAAGCAGTTTGAAGGTGGCAGACAATAGCAGTTTCATGTGTATATAATTGTATAGCCAGTAATCCCAGCACTCAACTTGTATGGAAGGCAACAGGGAATGTCTTAGTTCATAGCCTTCACCTGATTTTTCAGCTGGGTAAGAAAATTGTCCAGCTACCTAGTTTAAAGTCGCAACAGGTGGTAGAAAAAGGCTTACCTGTACCTTGCAAAATCAGCGTCACTAACAGTGATGATTTATTCAGCCTATAAATAACCTTTTTTTTTATTGTTTCTCACTGTGAGTTTCACATCATTTTCTGAATTTCTTTCACGATATCTACAGATTTTCCAGTATTTAATTAAAAGAGCTTCACATTTCTATGGTGTACATACTCCCAGGTGCCTGGGCATCAAGAGGGTTTGGAAGGGTCTAGCGGAACAAAAAATTATTTGATTCTTGTGCCAAACCCTACAGTGCCTTGCCTCAGCAAAAGTAAATGGAGGTAAATACTACAATAAGCTCCTTTGACTTTCAAGGAGAGACCACTCTCCGCTTCTGTGGTTAAAGATAAGGTATTCTGAGGAAACGTTGTCATAACATCACAAAATAATGATGACAATGGATACTTGCTGAATTCTCACTAAGATTCAAAATGAATACACCTTAATGCTCTGAGTTATTTAAACCTTATGGGACGTCCATGGTGAGAACACTTTTATTATTCTCATTTTACATATGAGGAAACTGAGGCTAGCAAGAAACAGAAAGAAAGACAAAGTTAAGCCAGACTAGCATTGGTGCCTATATATTTAGTCATTTTTGACCTGAGTTTCTGTTATATTGGACTGCAAAACAGAACATGACTACTCATGATTGCATTTTTGCTTGGCAGCAGAGATTACATAAACTATCTTCTACTTCCTATTTGTAGAAATTTGAGGACATTAAAATTAAGTCAGCTTAACCTATGAAGTTTGTTTAGTTCTGCCCATAGCACACTCAAGATTCTTAAGGGCATTTCTGTAGCTGCTTATTTTTTGGTAGCATATACAAGACAGTCTTTTTTAGCAATGCTTTTGGATAATGACACATAAATTGTGAGGACAAAGGGCATAGAGAATGTGTGAAACAATGGTTGTAGGCATTGGATAACAGACAGTGCATGACAGTGATCCCAGAGAAAAGGGAAACAAATAAGGTGAGCTCTGCAATTGCCCCAGCTTGCTCCCTAGAGAGAGTTTCCAGGTCATAGTGCAAGACCCAAAGAGAGTCCAGAAGCCTCCTCAAAACGAATTGTGAATTTGGGGAGATCAAGATGGCTAGAATTTTCAGGCACAGTCCTAGAGTGGAGAGCTTCAAGGATAGGAAGAGACTGAGAGAAAGAGAAAGTGGGGAGAGCTATTCTGGAGATGTGCAGAGTGCTACCTTCAAGTCTTTAGTTGAGTATTAATGCATGCAAGTGAGAAAACTACCAAGAACAGGGAAAGGAGGAGGAAGAATAACTTCTGTAGTTTCTAACACTTTTGAGGACACATGTCATTGGCTTTAGGGCCCACCCAGATAACCTAGGAAAATCTCATCTTGTGATCTTTCACTTACATCCATACAGACCCTTTTAAAAAATGAGGTCACATTCGCAGGTCCTAAGGAATAAGCATAAACATTTCTTTTGTGGGGCACCATTCAACCCATTACAACTGTATACTGTATGATTCTATTTATATGAAAGTCTAGATAAGGCAGAACTGCAATGATAGAAAGCTAGCCTGTGGTTCCTGGGAACCAGGGAGTTGGGGGAAGAGATTGACTGCAAAGGGACATGGGGGACATTTTTAAGGTGGTAGAAATGTTCTTTATCTTGATTGTTTTGGTTGTTGCATGTCTGTTTATAGTTGTCAAACTCATCAAATTGTATGCTTAATGTTGGTGAATTTATATATATATATATATATATATATATTCTACCTTAATAAGGCTGAACAATACAATGAAAATACAAACAAACAAAATACCCAACATCATAAATACCATTCACGAGTCGATAGAAATTGATCTGAGAGTGCAACAAGTCAGGGGACTGACTCTAGAAAAGTCAGGGAAACTTTTAGGAATCAGAAGTATTTGACCTACTGTTCAAAGAAAAGTAGGTGAAAAAGAAGTTGTAGTAGAACCTTTGGCAATAGATGCACCTCTCCCTGAGTGGGGATTATTCCTCTCTTCCCTTTTTATAAATTTTAAATTTTTGTAGGTACACAGTAGGTGTATATATGTATGGGATACGTAAGATATTTTGATACAGGCATGCAATACATAATAATCACATCAGGATAAATAGGGTAGCCATCTCCTCAAGCATTCTTTGTGTTACAAAGAATTCAATTATACTCTTTTAGTTATTTTTTAATGTACAGTTAAATTATTTTGACTATAGCCACCCTGTTGTGCTATCAAGCACTAGGTCTTATTCATTCTAAAAATTGGGTTTTGTACCCATTAACCATCCTCACCTTCCCCCATCACTCCCCACTATCCTTCCCAGCATCTTGTAACCATCTTTTTATTTTCTGTCTCCATGAGTTCAATTTTTTGATTTGTAGATCCCACAAATAAATGAGAACATATGATGTTTGTCTTTCTGTGCCTGGCTTATTTCACTTAACGTAATGACCTCCAGCTCCATCTACGTTGTTGCAAATGACAGGACCCCATTGTTTTTTATGACTGAATAGTACTCCATTATGTATCAGTACCACATTTTTTTTATCCATTCATTTGTTGAGGGACTCTTAAGATGCTTGCAACTCTTGGATATTGTCAACAGTGTTGCAGCAAGCATGAGAGTGCACATACCTCTTAGATACATACTGATTTCCTTTCTTTTGGGTATATACCTAGCAGTGGGATTGCCGAATCATATGGAAGCTCAATTTTTAGTTTTTTTGAGGAACTTCCAAACTGTTCTCCATAGTGGTTGTACTAATTTACATTCCCACCAACATTGTACCAGCATTCCCTTCTCCACATCCTTTCCAGCATTTGTTATTGTCTTTCTTTTGGACAAAAGCTTCCCTTCCCTTTTGATGCTGTGTGTTTGTGTGATTGGCTTTGGCTAACTCCTAGTGAAAGCTTCAGTACATGGTGTAATCTGCCATGCTCTTTTTTCTCCTAGTTCCTTCAACAAACAATACTTCAGATAATGCCTATTCTATCCACCTGGGGCCCAGAGTAAGAATGAAAGTGTTGCAGAGCTGGGCCCCTGGTCATCTCATGATGGCATGTCTCATGAGTGAGAAATAAACCTTGCTTAATTTCAAGCCACTGAGATTTTTGGATTATTTGCTTCTGCATTTTAACTTATTATATCCTAATTGATCCATCATGTAAGAGTGATCTAGGAAGAATGCCAATGAAGGCAAAGAGGTTTGGAGATTAAGGAGTATTAAGTTTGATGTGTTTGTAGTGTAGAAGCATGGAGCACGGTGGCAGGGAAACAAACTGTGAGATTCATTGAATGTCAAGTTAAGTAATTGCAATAATTTCTTTTTCTTGAAAATGGGGAGCCATTCAAACTTTTAATCAGAAAAATAAAATTAAAAAGAAAATGTTAACTAGCGATAGTGTTGACAATGCCCACAAAAGGAAAACAAAGGTTGAGCAGTTCTCCATCCAGTAAGTTGAAGGTTGGAAGTGTGTGTTTGTGTGGATCATTTTAGCGTTCACAAGAGTTAATACAGATGTATGAACTTTATATTCTATAAATTTTCTATTATATATATTTCATAAACTTTTTGCCTGCACAATTTTTTTCATTTTTATGTTCTCTTTATCTCTGTGTGTGATGGTAATAAAGTTGAGTTTTCAAGGCCATTTATCTCATACCTCAGGATTGTAGCAAAATTTGGTGACTCTCTCTCTGGTATTATCAATTATTAAAAACATTTCTAAAGTATTATTAATGCCTAAAATAGTCACTTGCTATCAATTATATAAGTCAAAAAGAATATGTAAGATACATATTGATATGGTTTGGCTTTGTCCCTGCCCAAATCTCATCTTGAACTGTAGTTACCATAATCCCCATGCATCATGGGAGGGACCCAGTGGGAGGTAATTGAATCATGGGGGCAGTTACCTCCATGCTCTTCTAGTGATAGTGAGTGAGTTCTCACGAGATCTGATAGTTTTATAAGGGGCTTTTCCCTAACTTCACTTTGCACTTCTCCTTGCTGCTGCCATGTGAAGAAGGATGTGTTTGCTTCCACTTCCACCATGACTGTATGTTTCCTGAGGCCTCTCCAGCCATGCAGAACTGAAAGTCAATTAAACCTCTTTCCTTTATAAATTACCTAGTCTTGGGTATGTCTTTATTAGCAGTGTGAGAACAGACTAATACCCATATACTATGTTGTTATGTATATTTACAGTTTATATATATATATAGTTTATATATATAGTTTACATATATAGTGTATGTGTTTGTGTATATAGTGTCCATTGGCAGCCCCTGCCGAGGGACTCGGCACTAGATTATTTCTCATAGAGAGATTACTGGGCTTTAACTAAAGCCTGGTTATTTTGCCTCTCTGGATGTAGCTGATAAGGCTACAAATGTGCACCTGGACCAACGGCAGCAAATATGGCCAGGAGCCCAAGGGGAGGATGGACATGACAACTGAGACTGACTGTTATTTCTTTGCAGATCATTATTTTTCCTTTTCTTTCTAAATTTTATTTCATTGTGATTAGAACACTCAACCTGAGATCTACCTTCTTAACACATTTTTAATTATAGAGTACAGCATTTTATTGACTACAGGTGCAGTGTTATACAGCATATCTTTAGAAAGCATTCATCTTGTTTAACTGATATTTTATGACAATTCATTAGTCACTCCCCATTTCCTCATCTCCTTCAGCCCCTGGTATCCTACTCTTTGATTCTATGTGTTTGAGTATTTTAGATGTCTCATGAAAGTGGAATCATGCAGTATTTGTCTTTCTGTAACTGGCTTATTTCACTTAGCATTATGTTCTCAGGATTCATTCATGTTGTCACATATGAGAATTTTCTTCTTTTTAAAGGCTGAATAGTATTACCTTGTATATATTACCATATTTTCCTTACCCATTCATCTGTTGTTGGACATTTAGGTTGCTTCTACATCTTGGCCACTGTGAATAATGCTGCAATAAACATGGGAGTGCTAATGTCTCTTTGAAATCTTAATTTCAATTCTTTTGGCTAAATACCCAGAGAGGAACTGCGGGTTCATAGAGTAGTTCTATTTGTAATATTTAGAGGAATGTTCACTTCCATGTTCTTTTCCATAGCAGGGGCACCATTTGCATTCCCATCAACAGTGTACAAAGGTCTCAATTTCTCCACATCTTTTTTTTTTTTTTTTTTTTTTTTTTTTTTTTTTTTGGTAATAGCCCTCCTAATAGGTATGGAGTGATATCTAATCATGGTTTTGATTTACATTTCTCTGATGATTAGTGATTTTGAGCACTTTTTCCTATATCTGGCCAGTTTGTAAGTCTTCTTTGGAGAAATATCTGTTGTTCAAGTCCTTAGCCCATTTTTTAATTGGGATGTTAGTTTTTTTACTATTCAGTTGTTGAATTTCCTGATATATTTTGGACATTAACCCTTTATTGGATACATGGTTTCCAAATATTTTCCCCCATTCTGTAAGTTCCCTTTTCATTTTGTGGATTGTTTCCTTTGTTATACAGAAGATTTTAGTTCAAAGTAGTCCCACTTGTCTAATTTTGCTTTTGTTGCCTATGTTTTTTGGGGTTGTATCCAAAAAATCATTGACAAGACCAATGTCATGAAGCTTTTCTTCTTTATGTTCTTCTAGGGGTTTTATAGTTTCAGATCTCATATTGAAATCTTTAATCCATTTTGAGTTGATTTTTGTGTATGGTGTGAAATAAAGATTCAGTTTCATTCTTTGGCATGTGGACATCCAGTTTTCTAAACACCATTTGTTGAGGAGATTGTCCTTTCTCCATTGTGTATTCTTGGGCCCGTTGTTGAAGATCAGTTAACTATATGGTGTGAATTTATTTGTGGGCTCTCTATTCTGTTACATGGGTCTATATGTCTATTTTTATGTCAGTACCATATATACACACCAGGAGCTTTTTTCTTCTTTTTCAAGATCATTTTGGCTATTAGAAGTCTTTTGTGATTTCATATAAATTTGAGGATTGTTTTTTCTATTTCTGTAAAAAATGTCTTTGGTATTTTGATAGGAATCACATTGACTCTGCACTCTGTAGATCATTTTGGATAGTATGGGTATTTTAATAACATTAAGTCTTCTAATCCATGAACATAGGGTGTTTTTCCATTTGCTTACATCTTGTTTAATTTCTTTCATCAATGCTTTTCAGTATATAAGTCTTTGATCTCCTTGATGAAGTTTATTCCTCAATATTTTCTTGGTGCTGTTGTAAATGGGATTGTTTTCCAAATATCCTGTTTAGATAGTTCATTGTTAGTGTATAAAAACACAACTGATTTTTGCATGTTGATTTTGTATCCTGCAACTTTATTGAATTCATTTATTAGTTCTAACAGATTTTTGTTTTAATGGAGTCTTTCGGGTTTTCTATATATAAGATCATGTTGCCTGCAAACAGGGTCAATTTTATTTCCTGCTTTCCAATTTTGATGCCTTTTATTTCTTTTTCTTGCTTAATTGCTCTGGTTAAGACCTCTAGTACTATGATAGATAAAAGTGGCAAGAGTGGGCAGCCTTGCCTTGTGTCTCATCTCAGTGGAAAAGCTTTCAGTTTTTCACCCTTGAGTATGATATTAGCTGTCATTTCTCATATGTGACCTTTATTATGTTGAGGTATATTCCTTCCATTTCTAATTTGTTGAGAGTTTTTATATGAAAGAGTGTTGAATTTTGCCAAAATTTTTTTCCTTATCTGTTGAGATGATCATGTGACTTTTATCCTTCAGTCTGTTAATTGATTTGTGTTTGTTGAGCTATTTTTTCATCTCAGGGATAAATTACACTTGGTCATTGTGTGATCCTTTTAATGCTATTAAATTCAGTTTGCTAGTATTTTGTTGAAGATACTTTGTGTCTATATTCATCAGGGACTGTAGTTTTCTGTTCTCATGTCTTCATTTGGCTTTGGTATCAGGTTAATGCTGGCCTCATAAAATGAGTGTGAAAATGTTTCCTTTTCTGCAATTTTTGAATGGGTTTGAAAACGATTGGTGTTATTTCTTCTTTTAGTGTTTGGTAGAATTCACCAGTGGAGCCATCTGGTCCTGGGCTTTATTTTTGGGAGGTTTTCAATTACCAGTTCAACCTCCATCCTAGTTACAGATCTGCTCAGATTTTCTCTTTTTTTGTAATTTAGTCTTGGTAGGTTGTATGTATCTAGGATTAATCCATTTTATCTGCAAAATTTTCATTTTTTATGTCTATTTGTTCATAGTAGTATTTAACAATTATTTTTATTTCTGTAGCATAGGGTATAATGTCTTCACCTTTATTTCTGATCTTATTTGAGTCTTTTTTTAAAGTCTAGCTAAGGGTCTGTCAATTTTGTTTATATTTTCACAAAAATAAACCAACTTTGTTTTTTTGACTTTTTCTTTTTTAAAATTTTCTATTTTGTTTACTCTAATTTTCTTTTTTTGAAACAGTTTTGCTCTGTCTCCCAGGCTGAAGTGCAGTGGCATGATCTCAGCTCACTGCAACCTCCGTCTCCTGGGTTCAAGCAATCCTCTCACCTCAGCCTCCCAAGCAGCTAGAATTACAGGTGTGTGCCACCACGACCAGCTAATTTTTTTGTATTTTTAGTAGAGATGGAGTTTTACCATGCTGGTCTAAACTCCTGACCTCAAGTGATCCGTCTGCCTTGGCCGCCCAAAGTGCTGGGATTGCAGCCATGAGCCACTGTGCCCAGCTGTCTACTCTAATTTTTGCAATTTCTTTCCTTTTGCTAACTTTGAGGTTTGGGTTCTTTTTTTCCTAGTTCCTTGAGGTCATTTGTGAAACCTCGTAATTCAGCAAATGTTCTAGGGGTTTCTGTGGTTCAAGGTGGTCATGGCATCTATTTAGATTTCCGTTTTTACAATATTCAAACTGTGAAATAATTATTTAAATGAGTTTTCAACTTAAAAATAGAATACACGGGCTGGGCAGAGTGGTTCACACCTGTAATCCCAGCACTTTGGGAGGCTGAGGCAGGAGGATCACTTGAGGCCAGGAGTTTGAGACCAGCCTGGCCAACATAGAGAGACCCTATCTCTAAAAAGAAAATTTAAAAATTAGCTGGGTGTGGTGGCGTGTGCATGGGGCCTCAGATGCTTGGGGGACTGAGGTGGGAGGATCACCTGAACCCAGGAAGTTGAGGCTGCAGTGAGCTGTGATCATGTCATTGCACTCTATTCTGGGTGACAGAGCAAGACCTCATCTCAAAAAAAAAAAAAAAGAATACATAGTGATTAATGAAGATTGGATGATTACACTAATCAGTTCATAACCCAACTGAACATCTCTGGTCAGCATGGTGATTTTAACAACTCTATTTTTTTGAAAAAAGGAAATATACTATTATTTTTGTTTTGTGTTGTAATAAAGGAATACCAAATGCTGGGTAATTTGTAAAGAAAAGAGTTCATTTGGCTTATAGTTCTGATGGTTTGAAAAGTTTGTGATTGGACATCTGTATCTGATGAGTGCCTCAGGCTGCTTCTACTTATAGTGGAAGAAGAAGGGGAGCTGTGTGTACAAAGATCACATGGTGAGAGAGGAAACAAGAGGTGGGGAGGAGCCAGCTCTTTTTAACAACCAACTCTCAAGGGAACTAATAGAGTGAGAACTCACTCCCAAGGAGCAAATTAATCTACTCAGGGAGGATCTGCCCCCAGGACCCAAACACCTCCCATTAGGGCCACATCCAACATTGAGGATCAAATTTCAACATGAAGCTTGAAGGAGACAAATATCGAAACCATAGCGACTATATAAACAAATGAGTATAGAAAAGTCATTATTATCTGTTTTCAAATAGTATCAAATGGACACAAGAGTACTTGCCACCAAGGTTATGAAATAGAATGTTAACATTCTTAATAGAACATTAATATTTTTTTAAGATACAAGTATGCCCCCCTCCAATCACATCTCCTTTCCTATCTGTCTTATCAGAGAATAAGCACTATTCTAAGTTTTGTGTAAATTACTCATTGTAATTAAAAATAATTTAAACAATTTAACATACATATGTGTATGTCTATATATGTACATGTACACATTTATGTACATACATTCATACTTAAACATATACATACTTCTACATGTGCATATATATTCTTAAATATTGTTCAATTTACCTATTTTTGAATTCTTTAGGAATAAAAACAAGCTTCACGTATTTTTCTATGACTTGCTTTTTTCCTTTACATAATGTGATATTTTTGAGATTCAATCATGTTTATGCTGAAAAAGCTCATTTGTTTTCACTGTTGTTCTACTAGATGAATTATGATATATTTGTATATTATACTACTAATGGATATTTATATCTTTGCTTTCTTTATGAACATTCTTGTGCCTGGCTTCTAGTGTTTATGTACAAGTATTTCCCTTTTATTTGGGAGTGAAGTAGCCAGGTCATAGGATAAGTGCATATACAACTCTTTAGGGTAGTGCAATGCTATTTTCCAGAATGCTTGTAGTATTTTTACTCTCAACGTTATGGATGAGAGGTCACATAATTACATATATTCACCTATACTTTTTATTGACCAACTGTCTAATTTTTACCAGTCAAGTATGAAATATTATCTGATAGTGGTTTGTGCTGCTTCTTATATGCAGGGATATCATTTGCCTTTTTTTGGTGAGGGGAGGCTGTGTTATTTGCTTTTTTCTTATTGATTCATCGAAGTCATTAATACTAGTCTTATTTTGTTTGTATAACGTTCAAATAATATTATTCAGTGTTTGGCTTGTCTTTTTACTCTTTCTGTGGTATCTTTTGAAGATTTAAAGTTCTAAATTTTAATACAGTAAAATTTATTAATATTTTTCTGTGTGGATTAGGCCTTTTGTTTCTTAATAAATGTTTCCCTAAAGTAAATATATATATATTCCCCTATTTTTAATTATAGTACCGTGTAGTCTGTAGGGTTTTTTTCATGTTAAATCTTAAATCCACATGGAATTGATTTTATACATTGTTCCCAACTGTTTCAGCACTGTTTGCTGTTATAATCCATTATTTTCTCCCTTATCTGTAGGTCACAATTATTTTTTCATAAATCATTTACATTTTACATGGGCTTGTTTCTGGCTTTTCTGATATATTGTATTCTATTGATTCTATTTATTCAACCTTGTGTTGGGACTCACTATCTTAACTGTAGATTTATAATATGCCTTCGTGGCTGGCAGAAGTGTATTGGCTAATTTGGGTCTTATCTCTTTCATATTAATTTTAGGATCAGGTTGGCAATTTTCAAGAAACAATCTATCAAGATGGATCATAACTGCTATGAATTTATTTAGAGAGTACTGATAATTTTATGATATTGAGTCCTTCTATCAAGGTCATGGTGCTTATATCTTTTCATTTGTCTACTGTCTTTTACAAAATTTTATATTTTTTATCAGGCCTTGAGTATTTTTGTTAGAATTATTCCTAAGTATACCATGTTACTGTTATTGGGATTAATACCTAATACTTAAAGTTACCTTTTTAAAATGATTATTGCTGGAATATAAACATGCCAATAGTTTTGGTACGTTGCTTTTGTATTAAGCAAACTAACTAAACTCTCTTATTTACTCTAATAAGTTATCCTTAGATTTTTGAATTTTGTACGTAGACAATTTTACAATCTGCAAATAATGATAGCTTTGTTTTTATATCTCTAATCCTTCTTCTTGTTTTACTGTCTAGACTTTTTAGAACCTCCATATAATTAGTGATATATAGAATCTTTACATTGTTGCCAGTCTTAAAGGAAATGCTTTTAACATTTAATCGTTAATAATTATGTTTGCTGTGTCTTGTTTTGTTTTTTACTTGTTTGTCTTTTTGTAGATGTCTTTTAATGAGTTGTATCAATTTGCTAGTGCTGCCAAAACAAAGTTTCACAGGCTGGATGACTTAAACAACAGGAATTTGTTTTCTTATTGTTCTGGAGTGGAGATGTTCAAGATCAAGGTGTTGACAGGGTTAATTTTATTCTGTGGCCTCTCTCCTTGGCTTGTAGAAGACCATCTTCCTGCTAGTATCCTCAGTCTGTACTCTGTATGTGTCTATGTCTTAATCTCTTCTTATAAAGACACCAGTCATATTGGATTAGGGCCTGTCCTAAAGACCACATTTTAACTTAATTACTTCTTTAAATTATTAATTTCCAAATATGGTTACATTCTGAGGTCCTGGAGGTTAGGACTTCAACATACAAATTCAAGACGGAATACAAGTCAACCTGTAACAAAGGTTAATAGCATATGAGCTGGAATTCTGAAGAGTATTGAATGAAAGAAAATTTATATAGGCATAGACAGAGCTAGGGCAATGAATAGCGTATGGTAAAGCACGTAATAGGAAGCTGTTTATCTTTTCTAGACCTGCTGTTACTATACTAGTGAGAGCTGGACTTGGAACAAGGGACTGTCTAGTAGGAGTTGTAGTTATATAGCCTGAGCTGCAGCATTCATCAGGGAAGGGAGGAAATACCCTGACTTTCTTCTCATCTCTTCCCACCCTTGAATTTCTTGCTCACATGCAGCTAAGGGTAAGGCACCTAAGTGATGCAGCCCTTAGGGGTTGGACTCCCAGATGCCAGATCAAGGGAGAGGTAGGCAGAGGATAGATCTGCAAGGCAAAAAGGAAATAAAGAGCACCTCTCCAATTCCTAATGTGCTGAGAGATTTTATTGCAAATGAATTTTCATTTTATTGAATGCTTTTTAAAATATCTTTAAAAAATAACCATTTAATACAGTGAATTACAAATAATTTAACATAGTGAATTACAAATAATTAGTTTCCTGTTTTCCTAGGACAAATCCCAATTGGTCATGAAAAATTATCTTTCATATTATTACTGGTTTTGGTGTGCTGATATTTTACGCAGAATTTTCCCACCTGTATTCATGAGTGAGACTGGCCTTGTAATTTTCTTTCTTGTACTACTCTTTGAATTTGATGACAAGGTTAGGTTGGCCTCATAACATGATTTGGGGGATTTTGTTTTTCTTTTTTATTTTCAGGAAGATTTTGTGTAAGCCTGGAATTATCTGTCTCTTGAATGACAGGACTGGCAGTAAAGCTATGTGGACCTAGTAATTTTGTGTGTGTGAGAAAGATTTTACCTACCAATCAATTTTTTTTACACATTGTAGAAATATTTCTTTTTAAATGAATTTCAATAAGTTGTATTTTTTTCAAAAAATTTATCCATTTCAGCCAAAGTTAATCCATTTCTGACAAAAGTCTTTCACTATGTTCTTTTATTTTCTGTTAATTTCTATAGCACCTTTTATCATGTCCCCTTTTTCATTTCTAACACTGTTTACTTGTGCTTAACCTTTTTTTTTCTTCTCTTAATTAATATTTCCAAAGTTTGTCTCTTTTACTGGGCTTTTAAAGATTCAATTTCTGGCATTGCTGATATCGCTGTTATGTCTGTGTTTTTAATTTCACTAATTTCTGGTCTTACCTCTAATTTTTATTTCCCTCTTTCTTTGGATATATTCTCCTGTGTTTTTTTCTGTAAACTATTTTATGAGATGTTTGTAACTCATTAATTTTGAGAATTCGTTTCTGATGTGAACATATAGGCTGTAAGTTTCTCTCTCCAAGTGCAGCTTTAGGTTTAATGAACACATTTTTCTGTTTGTGATTTTTTTAAAAATTATTTTTAGATGTTACTAAGATGTCTTTTTAAATATCAATTAAATAGAATTATGTGTGTTTTTCAAATTTCCAAATAAAGGTTATTATTTGTTAGTTAATTTTTTATTGATTTTTTAATTCAATTGCCTTGTAGCGAGAAAATGTGATCTGTGGAATAGCCAATCTTTAGAATTTATTAATATTACCTGTATAGTCTAACATATGGCTAATTTTTGTAAGTGTTCAATATATGCTTAAGAAAAATGTGTATTCTCAAATTGTTGGGTACAACAAATTAGTTGAGATTTAAAATTTTTCTTTTAAATAATCTATATCTTTTAGATTTTTTTGTCTGCTTGATCTTTAGATTGCTAATATAAATGTTTTCAAATCTCTTGTTATGTTTGTGAATTTGTCAATATCTTTAGCTCAGGAACATGTCGCTCTGCATATTTTGAATTTATATCCTTATGTACACACAAACTTAGGAATTTTACATCATGTTTCAGTGAATGTCTTTATTTATAGCAATGCTTTTTTGCCTTGAGGTCCATTTTGTATAATTATTCAGTTAATTATTACCTGGCAATTTTTTTCATCCTTGAACCTTTAATATTTCTGTTTCCTTAAATAATAGGTGTGTCTCTTATTAATAACATGCAGCTGAATTTCTAAAACCATTTACTTGAGGCCTTTGAGGAATCGTCACACTGTCTTTCACAATGGCTGAACTAATTTACACCCCCACCAACAGTGTGTAAGCATTCCTTTTTCTCCACAACCTCACGAGCATCTGTTATTTTTGGCCTTTTTGATAATAACCATTCTGACTGGTGTGAGATGGAATCTCTTTGTGGTTTCAATTTGCATTTCTCTAATGATCAGTGATGTTGAGCTTTTATTCATATAATTGTTGCCTCCATGCATGTCTTCTTTTGAAAAGTGTTCGTTCATGTCCTTTGCCCACTTTTTATGGGATGGTTTGTTTTTTCTTGAAAATTTGTTTAAGTTCCTTATAGATGCTGCATATTAGACCTCTGGCAGATGTATAGTTTGTGAAAATTTTCTCCTGCTCTGTAGGTTGTCTGTTTACTCTGTTGATGGTTTCCTTTGCTGTGAAGAAGCAGCACTATTCACAATACCAAAGACATGGAATCAACCTAAATGTCCATCAATAGTAGACTGGATAAAGAAAATGTGGTACACCATGGAATACTATGCAGCCATAATAAAGAACAAGATCATGTCCTTTGCAAGGATATGGATGGAACTGGAGGCCATTAACCTTAGCAAACTAGCACAGGAACAGAAAACCAAATACTGCATGTCCTCACTTATAAGCTACATGATGAGAACACATGAACACATAGAGGGGAACAACACACACTGGGGCCTTTTGGAGGGTGGAGGGTGGGAGGAGGGAGAGGATCAAGAAAAAGAACTAATGGATACTGGGCTTGATGCTTGGGTGATGAAATAATCTATACAGTAAACCCCCATGACACAAATTTACCTATGTAACAAACCTGCACCTGTATCCCTGAACTTAAAAGAAAAAAAAAACCCACTTACTGAAATTTAATCTACATTCTACATACAGTAATATGCATAAATCATAGATATGTCACTTAATGAATCTTTACCTACTGGATTCAGTTGTGTAACCAAAACATTGATGGAGAAAGAAAATCTCACTACCTCCCAGATTCCCGTCCTTCTAGTTTCTACATTTTCTTCCTCCTCCTTCCTCCCTCCCTATTTCCTCTTCCTTCCTCCTCCCTACACCATCTTTATCTCTAAACTATGAATTTGTTTTGCCTGTTTGTTGTGCTTCATGTAAATGGAATCATACACTAGGTTGTCTTTTGTGTCTACCTTCTTTCACTCAACATGATGTTTAAGAGACTCACCCATATTGTTGCATGTAGTTGTAGATTTTTCATTCTCATTGCTGCATAGAATTCTCTTGTATAAAATAAACAATAATTTATTTTTCCATTGTACTGTGGAATAGGTGTTTGAGAAGTTTCCAGTTTTTGGCTATTTTGCATACACTACTCAGAACACTTGAGTACATGACTTTCTATCAAGTAGAATTTCTGTTGGGTACATATGAGGAGTTAACTTGTATTATTTCTTTTGAATACTTATATAATGGAGTCAATTTCTATCAGCTTACCAGGTGTCTCCTACTTGTATCACTTTTTTTCTAATTTTCCCCCCACTCCTTCCTTGCCTTGTTTTCAATTCAGTTCCCCCCCACCTCTCACACCTCTGCCTCCAACTCCACACATTTTCTTTCCTCTGTTTGTTTGGAATTTATATGTTCTATATTCACCCTTTATTTGGTTACCTTGGCTACTTTAACCAGGTTAATACTTACTCAATACAATAAAGTCTGTCTTTACCTTTCTTTTGAGTAATATAAACACAAACTCTCATGATCTCCCTATGCAATTTACAAACTCCTACTGTGAAGTATTTTCATTTTGGCCTGTGTTTTATCTACTGTGTATTAGATATTTTTATTGGTTTGTGTGCTGTCAATAATTGCTTGGTATTATCCATATATCTTTGTTTATTGTTTCTTTCTTTCCTTTTTGTATCACAGACTTTCCTTCTAGCATAATTTCCTTGACCTTAAAATGCATTCCTTAAGATTTCTGTAAAGAAGTCTTTCTAGGCCGAGTTGGGTGGATCACGAGGTCAGGAGATCGAGACCATCCTGGCTAACACAGTGAAACCCCGTCTCTACTAAAAATACAAAAAATTAGCCGGGCAAGGTGGCAGGCGCCTGTAGTCCCAGCTACTCGGGAGGCTGAGGCGGGAGGCTGGGGCAGGCGAATGGCGTGAACCCTAAGGGGGCGGAGCCTGCAGTGAGCCGAGATCGCGCCAGTGCACTCCAGCCTGGGCAACAGCGAGACTCCGTCTCAAAAAAAAAAAAAGAAGTCTTTCTGCGGTGAACTCCCTAGCTTAATGATTGTGTGAAAATGCCATTATTTTCCTCTCATTTCTGAAAGTTAAATTTGCTGGGTGTCTGGTTCTTGTTTGCCAAGAATTTTGTCACAGCAGTTGAAATAACTCAGGGACATATGTTAGGATATTATCTTTAGTTTTTACAGGGAAAGCAACTATCTTTGGACTTCAACTTTTGTGACTACTGTTTTAGGCTATTACCTTCTTGCTTAACAAGTTACTTATTTACTTTTTAGGGGCTACTTAGCTATCTGGATTTTTTTTTTGAAGGAACTCAGGATTTTCTTTTTTTTCTATAGGCCCCTAAAGAGGGGTGTTTCTGTTCCATCTTAATCATAAAACATAAATTTAAAACACAATTTATGTGAAAGCCATCTTGAAAAACTAAATTCTTTTTGGAGATTTCTTCTTCATCTGGAACTCAATTTGAGAAAGGCAAGTTCCCACACTGTCCTCTTTTGAATGTCTACATTTATTTCTTGTTTCACTCAACACTGAGAGTGTCACCCTTTGAGGTTCCAGGCTTATGTGAAACTCTTTTCTTAGATTCAGTTAAGTTTTCCCATCTTCTGTACCCTGTACATGGTGCAGATAATCAAGCCCAAGGGGAAACCCTAAGTCTCTGTGGTGTGAATGAGTTTTCTCTGTGCAGCAGGCAGGAGGAAACTGTCTATAATTAAATTAGGGTAGCATTTTTTCTCAATATCAATGCAATGAAATGACTGAATTTAAACCTGTACTTTTATACCTGATACCAAAACCAAATATTCAAATGTTCTTTGAAATGAACTTGTCAATAAATGATGTATTTATCTTCATTGGTTTAAAGCACATTAATGCATCTGCCTATCTAATTATCTGTGGAAAGTCATTTTTAATGTCCTTATATATTATATAGGTCAATTAGGTAATCTTTTAAAATCTGGAGTATTTTTATTTAATCACATTGAATAATTTTCATTGTAAAAAGACATGATTCAAACAATTTGTAATATGGTTCACAGGATTATGTAGAGCAATGAAACGTGTCTGAGAACTAAAACAGGGTTGAACATTGCTGTACTTGACAGTCCCCAGCTGAACCAGTTAGAACTTTTCTCTGACAGGCAGAAATTGAGAAGCAGGGCCAGGCATGTATCCAGTCAGAAGAAGCAGGAGGGGTGGGGAGAGTCACAGAGTCATCCCAAAGGTGGAAAATGAAACTGCCTTCTGTGCATGCCCGCAATGAGAGAACTCAGTCAACAAGACAACTCAGTTGCTAGAACTGCATGGATTGCACTGTATCTTGATAAATTCTCCTGTTCCCCCAAAACTTTATTTTCCATGTGGGTGAGCAGTAGGAATTGGGGGACTAGTTAAGCATCTGCCACTCCTATCTTCCTTATTTCTATTCTTTTTTTTTTTTTTTTTTTTTTTTTTTTTGAGGCAGAGTCTTGCTCTGTCACCCAGGTTGGAGTGCAGTGGTGCAGTCTCAGCTCACTGCAACCTCCACCTCCCAGGTTCAAGCGATTCTCCTGCCTCAGCCTCCTGAGTAACTGGGACTACAGGCACGCCCCACCACGCCCAGCTTATTTTTTAGTAGAGACAGGGTTTCACTGTGTTAGCCAGGATGGGCTCGATCTCCTGACCTCGTGATCCACCCGCCTTGGCCTCCTAAAATGTTGGGATTACAGGCATGAGCCACCACCCCTGGCCCCTTATTTCTAATCTTTACAATAGACCACCATTACTTTAATTTAACCCAAATGTGTCTTTCTTATTTTATTTTACTTTATTTTATTTTATTTTATTTTATTTTATTTTATTTTATTTTAGGAGTCTCACTCTGTTGCCCAAGCTGGAGTGCAGTGGCGTGATCTCGGCTCACTGCAAGCTCTGCCTCCTGGGTTCACGCCATTCTCCTGCCTCAGCCTCCTGAGTAGCTGGGACTACAGGTGCCCGCCACCACGCCTGTCTAATTTTTTGTATTTTTAGTAGAGACGGGGTTTCACCATGTTAGCCAGGATGGTCTTGATCTCCTGACCTTGTGATCCACCCGCCTCGGCCTCCCAAAGTGCTGGGATTGCAGGCGTGACAAACGTGTCTTTCTTTTTTGTAAATTTAAGAATAGTTCAGGAGAGGTTAAAAGAATGAGATTTATGTAGAAAGTTTAAAAGAATCCAGAGAAAAGAAAAGTCATGAGAAAACAGGATTGCTGGCAGCCTGTATTGTTTAGTGCATTACTTAATATATTGCTTAGCCAAAAGGAAGGACATTTCTTTGGGAATACCAGGCACTTGACATGAAAATGTTGTTAACCTGGACAACAGAGTTGTCTTCTTAAGCCAAAATGATGTTTAATAAGACCCAAAGGGAGGAGAAAGACCTATTAAGTCTTCTACCCAAACAGCACCGTGCAGTAGCAATTGCTTCCAGCTTTCTGTATGTGATCCAGATTTACTAAAACTTTTCATATCTCTGTCATGTAAATATAGTCTGTTAAAGCTGCCTGCCTGAACTGTTTTTTCACCTCTTTCCAAATCCTCTGTGAAATATTCAGCTGTTTGCCAATGTGGAGATCAGCTAGGCTCTGTTGGGGCTCAGAAAGCAGTACCCCAAAGACAGGGACTTTGACATCCTGAGAGACCTTAGAAGCTGCCTCAGAATCGAGGTCACTGTAACCTTGTCTCGCCTCCCCAACTTCTCCACTAAGCACTGAGACAGATTTTCTGGAATTTCCTAATGTGAAATTTCCTTATCCTTATTTCCAAAAGAAATGGAATTGTCTTAAGACCCCCTCCCTAGGGATCTCATCGAATAACCGGTAAAGGTCAACCACCAGAGAAGAGAAGAGACTGGGAGTAACCACCACACCCAGATGGAATTTTCGTCTGTTCTCCAAGAGATTACCTGACACGTTTTATCTGCACAATAAGACAACCCTTGTTCCTGTGTAAGTCTGCCCCTCGCCTTCCCATAACGTCTGTTTCCCACTTCTTAGATCCATACATCTGTCCTTCTTTGAAGAGAGTATTTAAGCATCAACCAACTGACCCTCTTTGTATTCACATTTTGTATAACTTCTGTGCCCAGGTATGCACATATTCATGATAAATTTGCTATGCTTTTCCCTTGTTAACCTGTGGGTGTTTTTGTTTGTTTGTTTGTTTGTTTTTGCTATAGTGGTGTCAGCCATGACTCTTTGCCATAGGGAGAAAAGAGATCATTCCCTTTCCACTTCTGTTCTCATTAGAGGTCGCCAACACATTTGTAAAAGTTTCAGTTTGTGCTTTCAGGATAGAATAGGCAGGACAAACAGAATTTCCTTCTTCACAAAAGGCTTACTGTTTACATTTTTTTCTATATTCCATACCCTACTACATGAACTATAAGAACAGGTTTTCCTTTGTGCTAATGGAAGATATAGTTTTGGAACAAGACTGCAATGAGTGTTTAGTTAGGTCAATAAGAAAAGCCAATATGAAAAGTGTCTCTGTTTTTTTTTTTTAACAGTCTGTCTAAATAGAATTTTCAATGTTTAATGGCTAGAACTGCCTTTTAATAATTGGTGGAGATTAAGAATTTGGTTAGCAGTCATTTCCCCATGGGCAATGGCACACAGAATCTCATTCCCAGAACTGGGTGTTTGCATGAACCTCAAAGATGTGGGCTCATCAGACAAGAAAATGAAGGAAACATCGTGAGTCAAATTGGCTGTATGCCACTTTTGTTATGGAGTGGGACTCAGGTGTTAGGGTGTTTGTAGTTTGAAACTTTTCTCACTTGAGAAAACAGAAGTTTCTTCCAAATGTTAGAAACTCAGCTTGTTAGACAAGTGCTGTTCAATAGAAATATAATGTGATCTACATATGTAGCTTCATATTTTCTGAAAGCCACAAATAAAGCTAAAAGAAACAGGATAAATTAATTTTTAATAATACCTTTTATTTACTGTAATATATATTAAATATAATTTCTTTTTAAAAAATTTTATTTTTGAGACATAGTCTTGCTCTGTTGCCCAGGCTGGAGTACAGTGGCGCCATCTTGGCTTACTGCAACCTCTGCCTCCCGGGTTCAAGCGATTCTCCTACTTCAGCCTCCCGAATAGCTGGCATTACAGGTGTGCACCACCAAGCCCAGCTAATTTTTGTATTTTTAGTAGAGACAGGGTTTCACCATGTTGGCCAGGCTGGTCTTGAACTCCTGACCTCAAGTGATCCTCCTGCCTTGGCCTCCCAAAGTGCTGAGATTACAGGCATGTGTCACAGTGCCTGGCCTCATTTCAATGTGTAATTAATATAAAAACTTGAATGAGATATTTTACACTCCTTGTTCTAAGTCTTCAAAATCCAGGGTGTATTTTACACTTACAGAATGTCTCCATTCTGCCTAGCCACATCGCAAGTGTTCAGTAGGCACATGTGGCCAGTATTTACCAGGTTAGACAGTGCCTTTTCAGCCCTGAACTAAAGACCTTTTCTCCCACTGGTTCCAGAGGAATCCTGATGGTCTAGGTTTCCTTCCCCCAGTGAGATCTCCAGTTCACTGCAAGAATACAACCTACCCCTCTGATATAAGTAATGAGTTTCCTGCTCAGATGGAGGCAAAGGACTAAGGTTAGAGAACTGTCGGGGGCAGCCAGGCCAGTAAAACTGGATGACTTCAGTATGAAAGATGTCAGAAGACCATAGCCAGTGGGCAGAATAAATATGCACATGTTTACTTTGGAGCTATGTTCTTTTCAGCTTTTGAAATTCCTCTGCCCAGCTTCTGACAACCTGCCTGGGCCACTGTGCTAGACTTCCCATATATCTGAAAACACATGTGTATTCTCCTTGGGGCTCTCTGCTGTGTGTGAATCTGTCAGATTTGACCTGCCTTAGCTTGATTTTCTGATTTTTTTTTTTTTTTGGCTGTATCCCTACTGTCTTATATTACAACCTCAACTCTTGCTGAATCTTGGCTTCTTGGGTCAGATTTCTGATAACCTGAGACAGTCTCTGGCCAATTCCCATAAAGCCTATATTAGTACAGCCCACCCATTTTCTAGTCAGGTTGATACAACACAGGAGACAAGTATAGATAATTATGCTTATTAGGTTAAACAATCTGAAAGCCTTTAAGTTAAAATGGCTTAAACAAGATAGAAGTCTCTTGTGTAATATGAGAAGTAGGTGGTACAGGGCTGGTATAGTGGCTGTACTCCATGAGGTTGTCAGAAATTTATTTGTGGCTCTACTATCCCCAGAGTATTGCCTTTGCCCACTTGATCTAATATGATTTTGCACCAGGATTATTTTCAAGAGCAATATAAAGGCAGGGAGAGCAAAAGGGCAAGACTTGTGCTTCAAGGACACAATTTGGAAGTTGTTTCCATAACTTCTGCTCCTATTCCTTTGGCCAGAATTTAGTAATATGGCTATATCTAGCTTCACAGGAAGATGGGCTAAGTGGTCTTTATTTCAGATGGCCTTGTGCCCAGTTAAAAGTTGGGAGTTCTATTACTTTGAGAGACATTGGAAGAATGGATGTCGAGGGACAACTGGCAGCTTCTGTTTTATGTAAGGATATGTATTCTGCTATAGGTTTGTTGTTGATGCAGCATATATAACATCTTTAAATACTTAAAGATCATCAGCCTTATTATACAGATGGGGCAAATAATGAAGAGATGCAAGATATAGATATCAGCAGTGATCCCTTGGAGTTTGAATGGGTGGGATAGAGAGCGACTAAAATTAAGGCAAAAGAGACTTTAATTTGACATAAGGAAAACTTATTGATCATGAAGTGCCATTGCAGTGGATTAAGAAAAGGTTTCCTATATCTTCTCTCTATGATTCACATTTGTTTTTGCCCTTTTGATCTTCTTGAGTTAAACTCTCTTTCATGGTGTCATCCAACTGTTTTATTTGATTACATTCAGTGGTATTTATATATCATTGTCATCATCATAAGCTTAGTGAGAGGAAGGTAGGTCTTAAAGAAAAAAAAAGCTCCAATAGCCTTTTTTGAATCAGGTTGTTAATACTTTGGATGGGTAAGCACTCCAATAGAAAGTTCCTGAATGATTGTCTTATATTGCGTTACTGTCTCACAGCAGCAGCACTTGATTCTCTATCTCTGATATCTCAGGGTGACCTGTGACATTGCAGGGCAGGAATGAGAGCTGCTCTTCATGAAAAAGGAACCTCAAACGCACTCACCTACCCCTTACCCTGGGTTCTGTGCACCTGTGGCTCCATTTATGACTTGCTTTGCTCTCTTCCCTAATGGAAGTTACTCCCAGGGAAAAGTGACCTTCCCTGGGGGCTGGTACCAGAGATAGGTCCCCAAGGCTGCCTTCATCGGAGTGCACCCTCCCAGTCACCATCAGTCCTGCCTGCTGGCTCTCCTCCCTCCCTCCTGCAGCAGCCTGCGGTTGCCATGGCATTGCTGGACTGTCTCCACTTCCTGTTAGATTGATTCTGCTGCAGTGCCAGAGGTAACAACAGCCTTTGTGGCTGTCTTGCCAAAGCTGAGACCCTTAAAAGCAGCCCTTCTTCTTTTCTAGCTGTAATGAATTGGGATGTTGCCCAAAGGCCTCTTCCCTGGGTGGTTTTCTTTTATTTTTTTTCCTATATTGGCTTTGGTGGGTTTGGGTGCCTTTGGTATGCTGCCCTGCCCATCTGCCGACCATCTTGCCTTAAACTAATTTGGCCCATTGGTAATGAGAGCCAAAAATGACAGTTGTGAAGCAGGGGGTTTTGATGTTTACTTGTACACTGCAATAGACTACAGATTGAATGGAGCCCAGCAGAAAGTGTCTTCTTCAGATTACTTAAACATCCATTCGGAAAGTAAAAGCTATTGTCATGCTGTCCTTCCATCCCTGCTGTGTGATGTAGCTGTGGAACTGAGAAAGACCCAACACATATTTTGCTGTGAAATGCATTTGGGACACCAGACTTCCCTAAATATATTTGGAAGTTTTCTTAGTTTTATCTGTTAACCTGGAAAAAAACTATTAAATTTTTTTTCACCCGTTATTTAGACACTAGTGAGATGAGTCACCTTTACTGAATACTATTTAGATATTTCTAATGAATACATGAGCTCATTTAGAGTATTGTTTGGTTTATGTTGTGCATTATCCCAGTCTTAATATTATAACCATTTTCAGCATAATTTCATTAAGAGAGAGACTTAAAGATTCAAGGCACACTCCTGGAATCAATTCTGTTGCTCATGTGGCTTGGCAGCTTAGGCAAAAGGCAGTGTATTTTCCAGATTCGTAAACTCAAATATCCACAGAAAGAGTGGTAGAATTTAGAAATAATCTACTTACCTTTCCAAGGGACATAAGTCATCAGGTTTGACTCATTCTTAAAGAGCAAGTTGTCCTTGGAATGTCAAGCTGAAATATACCAGTTAAGTTAATAATAAATTCTCATGACACAGCCACATGACATTGATTATTGTTTGGTAAAAAAATAAATTACTCAGTCATTGCATGTCTTGCAATTAAATCATTAGATCATCAGAAGCTGAAATGAAACTCTTTCTTCAATTATAAAAGTATTTTATGTTGTTAGCAATGTTTGGAACTTCCCCTCGGTATAACTATGCTATTATTTAATAAAACATAAATCAGTGTCGCGGTTTTGTTAAGCCCAAGGGCCTTTAATTCCAAGCTGGTTCTATCGTTATGTTTTGTGTATTTTAGGTAGTCCCTGGGTTGATAGTTTTCTGCTTTTCTACATTTTATGTCTTTACTCAAGGGAGGACAGAATGGAAAGCTAGAGCCTTGGGCTGCCAGTTGGGAGAACCGGTCTTCCTGTTATCAGTGCCAAGTGTGGCTTCTTAGAGGCAGACAGCATGGGGAAAGGTAGATGGGGCTGAAGACCCAATGATCTTACTGTTTCTCCTTGTGTGACCTTGGGGAAATCACTTCGTCTCTCTGAGCCTCATTTTGCTTTTAAGATTTGTAAGTCCAGAAAACAAAGACAAACAAGGGAGGTGAGCAAGTATAGAAACACAAATCAAGATGGAAAGAGAGTCACATTCATTCATTTCAACTAAGGCAAGAAGGAACCAGTTGAAAAAACAATCCAAGCAAGAAAATGTTACATCTGATAAGATGATGTGCCAGAACTTGGGAAACTAAATGAAAAACGTATTGGAATCCAGACCGGCAATCTCAGCCAGAAATGAAATGAAGCCAAATAATATAGGAGAAAAGCCAGAATCTAGGCAAAGGTCTGAATATTAGGCAGGAGGCACCATAGCCTGGAGGAGGCCTTGGACCAAGCTGTTGTAAGACATAGGCTTCTTATTTCCTTGAGGGGATCTTGGTGCACCTGTGGCCTGATCCTAAGTAAGAAAGGGTGGAAAGGGGTGGGACACAGGCTGTTCCTGACAGCCAGGGAAGAAACAATAGCTTCCAGATTCAATGCTCCCTCTATAGAAATCAAATCCACTTCTGAAGCAGGGGTGGCAGTGGGTATTCCTGGTAAAATAATGTGTTGAAAGTATATTCTTCCAGCTAAATATTTGGTAAAATCAACAATTTGTCATTTTACCTGAAGTTATAGTACTGCATGTCTGTGTGAATTTCTGTGATTCTAATCATAGTATTTTCATAAATGCAGTATAATTTGGGGACTGCTTTTTTCTCTCCTTTGTATTGCTTTTAGTGGGCAAATGCAACAATTAATAAAGTTTTCAGTTACCCAGACTCATAGAACATAGAACAAGTAAATTAGGTTTGGTAATGATTTATATGTACCTTTTATATATACTTCTATTTAGAGGAGTGAATACAGATCTCTTTTAAACCAAGAAATCCTTTTATAAAGGGACAAGAAGCTCACTAACATCTAATTTGTAAATCTGGATGCTTACATATCTGGTAAAATATTACTTATCAACATGTCCTCAGAACATTTAGTCCTATGGACATCATTTAAAATATTAAGCTGTGCAAAAGATCAGAGTATGGAAATATGAAGGCAGACATTGCTGATCTTTACAATAAATATCTTACCACTGTGAAAACTCAAAAATTGTGTTTGTTCTTGCCACTGACGGCTTTCAGTCTTGCTTTCTGGTGCCCTTCTGGGCAACTCCAGCAGAAGTGAAAAAAAGGCAACAGAATTTCCTAGTGGTTGAGAAAGGGAGACATTTTTGGATAAAAAAATTGAAGTGCTTTTTTTTTTTTTTTTGCAATGGAGGGCTAAATGTTTTCAGCATCTATTTCATAATCAGTAAAGTGAGGGAAGCAAAGTCATAGTTCTAGGGAGAAGGTAGTTTTGATAAGAGCTAGTTTAGGCAACATCAAAGAATGCGTAATTCAGCACTACCCTAGATCTCTAACTCTCAAACGCTCCACAGAACCTATCACACACAGAAACCCATCATTTGAAAGGCATAGGAAAGCCACACTGATGAGACTCAATCATATGGATTTCTCAATTTACATAGGTATTGATCATACAGATTTCTCAATTTGCATAGGTATTGAGACAGTTTTCTCTCAGTTTGTAGGCTCAAAACTAGAGATTGTTAGGTGGAATCTTATTTCACTTAGCCCCGTATGGACACCATTTTTAGCTTTGAAACAACTCTAGTTCAAAGGGCAAAATGTGCTAATTCATGAGACTCCATTTATGCCATCCATTGTAATAGTCAAGTTTAAATTAGTTAAAATGAAATAAAGTTAGAATTCAGTTCTTCAATTGCAGTAGCCACATTTCAAGTGTTCAAAAGCCACAGGTGGTTAGTGGCTACTGTACCAAACACTGGAGAAATAGAACATTTCCATCATTGTAGAAGATTCTCTTGGACCGTGCTGAGTGTCTAATTTTATGAGCACATTATATAAGAGTACATTTTAGAACTAAAGCTTCATCATTAAAATGTGTGGACTTTTGGTAAGATCTTCATCATTAATACTTGCATTTTAGGAGACTGAAGTCTTCTTTGAACTTGGATTAGTGAAACTCTAAGGGCAGTTAACTCTGAGGATGAAGTTATCAAAAAACTGAATAATATCATCTATGCCTATAAAATAGATGCAAAATGAATAAATAATTTCTAGAGAAGACTTTGTAAGAAGTACCTAACATATAATTAAGATCAAACTTTGAAACAACCTAAATTTTAAATAGTTCAAGCTCTGCAGGATAAACCCATTGAGGGCTGCTGCCTTGAGTTAGAGATCTTAGAGATTGTTAAAGGAAAGTAATCAGCATTTTTTCTTTCTTTGGTCACAGTATTTCAGGCACTGCATATGGAAATCATTAATGCATATTGGACATGTAATCTTTTGTCCTAGATGCTAATGGTTCAGCTCAGATATGTGGTCATCCTCTCTTCCTTCATCATTGACTGGTTCATTTGTGAAGAATAAATTGTGAGTAAAGAACTCTTATGGAACACAAATTACCTAAACGATTATAGTTACTGGTATCATTTTCTTTTTAATTTTATTTTTATTTTTGAGGCAGGGTCTCCCTCTGTCATCCAGGCTGGAGTGCAATGGTACAATCACAACTCACTGCAGACTCGATCTCCTGGGCTCAAGTGATCCTCCCGCCTCAGCCTCCCAAGTAGCTAGAACTGCAGGCATGCACCACCATGCTCTGCTAATTTTAATTTTGTGTAGAGTTGAGGTCTCACTATGTTGTCCAGGTTGGTCTCGAGCTCCTGACCTCAGGTGATCCACCTACCTTGGCCTTCCAAAGTGCTGGGATTATAGGCATGAGCCACTGTGCCTGGCCAATTTTTAATTTTTTAAATTGACAAATAAAAATTGGTTTATTTGTGGTGTACAACATGATGTTTTGAACTATGTATACATTGTGGAATGGCTAAATAAAGCTAATTAACACATGCATTAGCTCACATACTTATGGTTACTGACATTTTTAATCAACAACAACAAAAAAAGCATGGAAATAAGTTTTTCTTTTCTTATCTTCTTCTCCTCAGTGATACAGCCATTTATTTTCATTAGAGAATTATTTCACAAAGTTACAGGGAACTTTGCAATGAGTTAAGTATACCCAATTTTCTTTTCAGTAAATAGCATAGAATTGAAAAAGATTTCACTAGGTGACTTCTCAAGTCATCGACCTCTGCCTAAAAGCTGCTTTGACAGAAGAGGAGGTAAATTGGATTCGGTTGAGTAGAGGATTTCAAGCTAACACACAGCTCAGGGAATTAAATATTTGAGGCCCAGGGCCATGCTTCTTCTGTGGGATAGCTGAAGTCAGGCAGAACTTGGCATTGTCTGCATGTTAGGAATATATTGCAAAATTGAGGAGCAGATTTGAAACCACAAAACTCGTACTGTCAGTTTATTTAGCCACAATGAGGATTTACCAGGGAGACATGAGGGCAAATGAGTCATGCTCAGTGTTTGCCTCTCATATAAAGAGAAAAGTGGCACTGAAGGATGGTTCAGGCACTTAATTTTTTAGGTTCTAACACTCTCTGGAGGGGCAGGTGTAGAGGTTTTTCTACTTTAAATAATTAAAGCATTAAGAGGAATTTATTGAGATGAATTCATTTTAGCAGATGATACATTTAAAATGACTTCCACTGTCATTTATTTTTGTCTCAATTCCAGTTTAGCATTTTGATAAGATTTGTATCAACAAATTAATGAATTGTGGTCATGTGTATATGTTTGTGTGTCTGTGTATGACCCAATCCTTAAAGAAAAGCCTTGTGAACCAATCTCTATAGCTAACAGGACTGTGAAGTCTTTTCCAGCATATATTCTTGGAATAAAATCTTACGTGTTATTTGAGTTGGTTAAAAAAATTTCTGGCCTTGCACTTTTAGAAGACAAAAACAGTTACTTTGGGGTATGTAGATTTAAGGAAATCAATGATACAGCATGAACTTAAAATAATTTAAGATCAGGAAAGAGAGGGTATTAGTTTATCTACCGCCAGATAACAAATTTCCCCAAAATGTAATGGCTGAAAACAATACATATTTATCTTATAGTTTCTGAGTCAGGCACTATGGAGCAGCTCAGTTGGGTGTTTATGGTTCAAGGTCTCTCATGAGGTCGTGATTGAGATATTGGGCAAGACTGCACTCAAGGCTTGACTGGGCTAGAGGATCTACTTCCAAGCTCACTCATGCAGCCATTGGACTTGGACTCTTCAACTCCTCACTGGCTCCTAGCCTCAGTTGCTCTTCACACACAGGCCTCTCCATAAAGAAATTTAAGCGTCCTCACAGCATGGTAGCTAGTGTCTCCCAGCATAAGCAATCCAAGAGAAAAGGCATGAGGCAGAAGTCACAGGTCTTTCATAACTTATCTTCGGAAGTAATACACCATCATTTTTTCCATCTATTATTGGTGACATAGATCAACCATGGTAAAAAGTGGGAGGAGAAATGCACAAGTCCATGAATCCCAGGATGTAAGAATGAGTGGGGCCATGTTGCAGGCTGGCTACCACAGAGCCAATAATCTGGAGTAGCGGCCAATTTGATTTTAGTAGATGTGGATGGTCCAGTTTATTTGGCTATAGGACTGTGAGTTAAGAAATTGAAAGTCAAATTTTATTTTATTTTATATATTCTCAGTGAACACACTCATGGATTGAAAATTTATTTTGTATCTAAACCAATAGATTTATGAGTGTCATCATTCTTTTCCCCTACCTCATAGGAATGATACTGTAACAAATTGTCATACTAGTGTGTGTTGGCATTATGAAGGAAGGAGATATTTTACTATCTTTTCTTTTAAAAACTATGTGTAGAGAAAGTTCAGAGTCCCCCAATGACTTGGCGTGTACTAGCTATCAGTAATACCTGCATGCTGGTTGGTTATTTGCTCCATTTTGGATGACCTTTTCTTTACAGGTCTCTTGAGGCTTAATGAGTGTACTCCAGTAGCGTTGTGGGTTGAGTGGATTGACTGATTACGTAGTCCTTAGATTTCTTTCTGGAGATTTACTCAGTGTAGGGTGAAAGTGAACTGAACAAAATCAGATGTTGTCTTTATTTTATTTTATTTTTTTTGAGACAGAGGCTCACTCTGTTGCTCAGACTGGAGTGCAGTGGCACGATCATGGCTCATTGCAGCCTCAACCACCCAGGCCCAAGCTATCCTCCCACCACAGCCTCCTGAGGAGCTGGGACTAGAGGCATGCACCAGTATGCCCAGCTAATGTTTAAAAGTCTTTTTTAGAGAGTGGGTGTTCTCCCTCTGTTACCCTGCTGGTCTTGAACTCCTGGACTGATGTGATCCTCCCGTCTTAGTCTCAAGTGCTGGGATTACAAGCATGAGCCACTGGGCCTGCCCAGAAGATGTGGTCTTGCTCTAAGTGAAAAATCATGTCAATTGATTTTGTAGGGTCCAGAACCATTCTCATAATTCCCAGTGCTGGAACATTGCATGGATACAAATTTCAAACAATTATATATCAAAAAACATGACAAAAGTAAATAAAAAAATACAAAAGTAGGCATGAAAGACCAACCCAGGGTAGTTTATTTCATATTTTCACCTTTCACTAGTGCATGGAAACACACTTCCTGAACTGCTACTTTATTCCACATTGTCTTGGATGCGTCCAGCAAGAGACTTAGAGATCAGAGATCTACATGTGCTCATCCTCAGGGTGTCTTTCTGTCTCAACATGACAGATTTTTCAGGGCAGAGTTCAGAGGCCACCTACCGTGGATTACAGGATATCAAATCGTATCTGAGGCCTCCTCTACCTGCCCCCCGACCCCCAAGCACCCTCCTTTTCCCTTTGTTTAGGCAAGGCTTGCTGCGGATTTGCAGGGACCCTCCCTACTTTCTTTGGCCTTCATATACTTTCTGAGGAAACTCCCCACTACATGGCAGTGGAAGGCTTTCCCTGGTAACATAGTCAATACCCCAAATCTAGTGCCTGTGTGAGTTTTGGGGACAAAAATGATTCTATCATCAGCTGAAAGAGTGAGGAATCAAGGCAAAAGAAGTTGGCAGAGCCAGTCCACTTCGGTTCCATGGAAACACCAGGAGGAAGAGATTCAGCTGAGCCACTGAATTGCTTTTTGGGAGACAGTGACTTGATTTTCTTATTTCTTATTTACCACAGAACCAGCATCAAGTTGATACTTTTATAGGGACAGCTCAAAGCAATGAATACCTTAGACAACTTACACAGGTCAGGAGGTCAAGAGAGACATAAGCACAGCCTGACAAGAAAAACTAAGAATTCATTTGACAAGCCTTTTTCTCTAGGCCATTTTTGGAAAGCCCAGGGATGGTGCTGGTCATATTGCTTTATATTCAGAATCTTAAGCACCAAAGCATAGTGGGAGGGGATAATTTTCAATTTTGAGGGAGCAACAGTGTGTCAGAAATAACTGAGATTGGGAAACGGGTAGGTAGGAAAACCCCACCAAATGCCTACAAAGTAAGAGAAAGGCCTGTAGAGTGGAAGAAAGAATTTAGAAGTAATTGGGGATGTTTGGATTGCATTTGTTATTTTGTGGTTTGAATATTTTCTATACATTCTCCAGCTGTTGTGATGAATAAAACAAAATTTGCTTTTCTTTTTTTGTTTACTGCCAGCTGTAGAAAAAACCCTGAACACCTGATATTCCTGAGAGCTGCCTTGTGAGAACAGCTGTCCCATCAAAGACCCTTGGCAGGGTGTTATTCTAGATGAGTCCATTAGCTATTGCGGAAGCCAACACACATGTGAGGGAAAGATTTTCCATATTTTGCAAGTCCCGCCTATTAAAGCTTTCTGTAATGACAAGATGGTATTGCTGAGTGACTTTTTAATTGTTTTTCCTAAGCAACTGCCAATGTTTAATTAGGCTTCAGCTAACACGCTCTAAGTTAATTTAAGACAAATGGCTGTGGTGTGGCTAATTGTTAGAGTATGGTGATCTGGGAGCATCTGACTCAAGCGTGAGTCTGTGCTCTGCAGATATGTGGTGGGTGGCTGAATGACCCAGACAGGTCTGATTGCCCCTGCTGGGAAACACCCAAACCACCTGTCTGGGATGAGTAATCTCCCTGACACACTACCTAAATTCACACCTCCATACTTCAAGCTAAACCAGTATGGATTTAAAGCCTGGAATTTTATTAAATTAATCACTAATAGCTTTTATGTGTGAATTTTATTATCAAATGAATCAACAGTAGCTTTTACGTATGAAAAGCATGCTTGTATCTATTGTATTAGACTGCCTTAGAAAACATCCATTAGAGCTGGAACAGACCTCAAGAAGATTAACTTCAATGCCGACATTTAAATAGGAACTAATAAGGGACGAGAGAGGAGGAACAACTTGCCCAAAGTCACCTAGATTTTAGGACTGGAACTAAAGCCTCAGCCTTCTCATTTTAAATCTTCTGCTTGTTTCCCCCTTCTGCCCACTCTGCCCCCTCAACCCTCACCCCAAATTGTATTAAGTTCACCACTTAACTCCAACTCTTTCAGGACAGGAAGTGGAGGTACAAGGATGAAGCTGGGAGGTGGGAATGAACATTTTTGATGGGCTGATACTTATGGCTCATGCTGCAGACAATGGACAGGGCCTGGCAGGTGGTAGGGATCAGCAGAATGCCTTTGATAGAGTTTGGCTCTGTGTCCCCACCCTATTCTCATCTTGAATTGTAATCCCCATGTGTTGAGGGAGGGACCTGGCGGGAGGTTATCAGATCATGGGGGCAGCTTTCTTCCTGCTGTTCTCATGAGAGTGAGTGAGTTCTCACCAGGGCTGATGGTTTTAATGTGTGGCACTTCCTCACTCTTGCTCTCTCCTGCCACCATATAAGACGTGCCTTGCTTCCCCTTTACCTTCCGCCATGATTGTAAGTTTCATGATGCCTCCCCAGCCATGCGGAGCTGTGAGTCACTTAAACCTCTTTTCTTTATAAATTACCCAGCTTCAGATAGTTCTTTATAGCAGTGTGAAAATTGGCAAATACAGCCTTGTAGCATAATTCCACAAAGTTGAAGGACACCCCCACCCTAAGTCAAGCTTCCATTGCTTCGGCCCTCTTGAGGCTTCCGTCTCCTTGAGTACGAGTTCTTTGGCTTTATTCTTTTCAGTCATTCCCTGACACCAAGAACCTTGCTCTCACCCTCCCACTCTGTGCTCAGTCCACTCTTGCATGGTCTTCCATCTTTGCTTCTTCTTGGTTGTGTCTCCCTTTAGTTCTTACGCCTTCTCTGTGTTTCAACATCTTCTCTATTTGTAGCTTAAACCAATGGGTTTTCTGATCTTCCCAGGTCTGTTATGGTGGTAAAGTGAGTTAAAACATGGCAACATTTGAGAGGAATGTCTGACACATAATCATATGATAAGCACACCCTAAAGAATGGTAATCATTTTCTTTATTATTATTCCGCTTGATTTCTTATATTTCTCTTGCTCTGCCAAATTATATTTTTATATTGTACTCACTTAAGAAACTCTCACCGTGTCCTGCTGAGTGGAGGTCTCCCTGCCACATAGGACACTCCATCCAATGTCTCCCCTCTCTTGTAGACCTGACATACTAGGGGCAAGCTGCTTTTTCCAGAGTTTCCTCATCTCTCTTCAAAAGACAAAGTAGATGACGTTAAGATATTATTTCAACAATTCCCTTATAGAACCAAAAAAGCTGTATTTTATTATAGTTGCTTGGAAGTGATATACCCTATTCAGCACTGTTTTGATTATAAAAATACATTTTAGCCCTCTTTTGAAACTTTCAGAGTTTATAGAATATTTATTTCTAAAAAGTCCATAGGAGTATAAACCTTGAAAAAAACCCAAAAAAGTGTAAATATTTGGGGGGAAAAAGACATTCAGAGAACTGATAAAAAGGAAATGAAGTGGATAACTTTTTTTTAGATAAAAATCTTTACTTGTAAATTACTTACAGAGTCACTTCAAATATTCATCATAATTGGGAAGATAGGCTTATTGCCAGTTACCCTAACAACATATGAGATAACAAACATTAAAAAAAATTTCATGAAAATTAAGTATGTCTTTAATATACAGGTAAGATAGGCATAAAAGGAAGAAATTTCTGATTTGGGGCATATGTGAGAAAAACAGAATACAAAAAGCAAAAGCACGTGCTGAATAAATTTAGTTAAATAATATATTCTACTTCACAGTCATTTTATTTCCACTAGCCCTAGTTTGCCAACATATTTATTATTGAAAATGAGATGTATGTTCTATGTATATTGCTCGAGGCTGATTTAGACAGGACTTTGTGTGCATTGCTGACCACAAAGAGAGTTTCAACTGAAGGCCAGAATAAAAATGGCATGGCTTACAATTTCACCACATTTGTTTTCAAAAGCAACGTGATTTCCTTTTCTAAATTGCAAAGCAAAACCAAACAAAATGGGCTAGTTATTCTTGAAAAACTTTGGCCATCCTTAACTCTCAATTGCTAGCAATATTTCAGATTCCTAATTAGTGTCTGAAAGAAAAAACATTGGCCACGAAAGAATAAAGAATAAATGATTTTATTTGATAAAAAAGCATTATAAGCAAGGTGAATGGAAAGTTTGTAGAATGTGTCCAGATGGTAAAAAAATTGTGAAAAATGAAACTCAAGAGAAGCTTGAAAGAAATAAGGAAATGTATCACTCTGTGTGTCATTACAAGTTTGGCGCTGGGCCAGTCTGCAAAAAGGGAAGTTTTAAGATGGTTGAAGCTTAGCTGTTTCTTAAGTAGCAAGACACAAAGGCTGCATCTATTAAGTACTCTGTGGTTATGATGATGTCATTTGGTGATTTCCACTGTCCTGATTGATTTATAGAAGATAAAAACTCTACTTTAGTCCAACAGAGATAGCAACCAAACTCTTAGATTCAGCTGGTGAACCAACTGGAAAATTAAAGTAATTCTGTGCCTTGGACACATTTCATTAATCTTCTTGTGGGACTTATTTCAGTTTTGTGAAATTGTTTGTTTAGAAATGGTAATAGATTCCATTTCAAGCCAACCAATAATCTATTCCTTTCTGCCACACTGGACGGAACTCTGGGTTACTTTAGTAAGAAAAACATCGTAATCTTCTCTCTGAGAAGGTTATAATTGACCTAGGTGGAAGGTTAGTCAGTGTAGACTTGAACTATAGTGCCTGGTTGAATTTGGGCTCCACCTTTCTTTCTTTGTGACTGGGAGAGTCAGTTAATCTCTGAAGCGTCTCCTCAGTTTTCTAATCCATGACTGGAGTGCATAAGCCTGAATGTGTATTAAATAAGATGATACTTGCAAAGCAATGACAATACTTGGCATGCAGTAACTGCTCCATAAATGTCATTTAGGTGGAAGATGATGTGAGAACCTTCTACAGCCTCTCAGTAGTGCCCTGTGCTTCTCTTATAAGAGCATTTATCATGCAGTTTTGCCAGTGCTTGCTTAATTGTCTCCTTTCACAGACTTTAGGTTTCACGAATGTGAGGGAAAGTATATCTTATTTCATAATTGACCATCAATTTATCTCAGCTCCTATCAAAATGTGTGGCACATAGTAGGCTCCAATAAATAGTTTTCAATGAATGAACACTTGTTACATGATAGTTTAGGGAAGACTTCCATTTGAATTTTAAACTGGTAAGTTGGCATTTAGATTTTATAAAGATTTTTTATTCTCCAAAGATAGTTTTTTTTCAATAACCTACAAATCCATAGTAGAAAGAAGAAGGAGGCAACATTGATGTGAAGCAGAAACTGCGCTAGATATCAGGATAGGTGGGTGGGAGGCCCAGTTTGGGTACTACTCATTGTGGAGCCCTGAGGAAGTCACCCCATCTCTTTGAGATACATGTACCTTAGCTGTAAAGTGGGCATAAGAAACTTGAGCTAACTAATGTAAAGTTTATGTGTGTGTGCTTATGTGTATTTTTTTTTTAAACTAAGGTAGGTGATAGGCTAATAAAAGGGAGTATGGCAAAGTGAAAGTGGCAAGTAAGAATTTACTTCTAAGGGCCGGGCGCGGTGGCTCACGCCTGTAATCCCAGCACTTTGGGAGGCCGAGGCGGGCGGATCACGAGGTCAGGAGATCGAGACCATCCTGGCTAACACGGTGAAACCCCGTCTCTACTAAAAATACAAAAAATTAGCCGGGCGCGGTGGCGGGCGCCTGTAGTCCCAGCTACTCGGGAGGCTGAGGCAGGAGAATGGCGTGAACCCCGGGGGGCGGAGCTTGCAGTGAGCCGAGATGGCGCCACTGCACTCCAGCCTGGGCGAAAGAGCGAGACTCCGTCTCAAAAACAACAACAACAACAACAACAACAAAAAAAAAAGAATTTACTTCTAAGAATGGGTTGTAATTCTCTAGATATAATCAGTCTCTGTTTAGTTCTAAAGCTTAGCTTTGTTATGGCCCTAATGCACGGTCAACTTTAAAAAGACCTGCAAACCAAAAAAAAAAAAAAAAATTAAAAAAAAAAAAAAACCTCTCTAAGCCTGAAAAATCTCCAGATATTCCCAAATTGGGGAATATTCAGATTCATGTTTCTCTGAAGGACAGTGCAAGGTCATCTACAGTATCCACCATCAATGTTTAACAACCTGTGGCTGGTGGACAAGCTACTTGAGATTCTCAGATGATAGAAATGGGTCAGGCCTATCAGCAGATGTGTTCGCATAGTAGGTTCACTTGATAGATGTCACCTTATCCTCCTAGACATTTCCTCTGCTGGAGAGCTCCATGTTCATCTTGAGATAGCCAAAAGTGGACAAGACTATTTTTTCCCACTCCCAGCTGCTTTCAGCAAGACAGACAGACACTTCACCTCCTTAGCTCTGCTTCTCTCCAGTGCTGTGTACCTTAGGAAAAAAGCAGTAACTGGTTATTGTAAAGTCACTATTATAAAATATTAAGGTCTTGAGGCCGTGTTCTAAATTAAACACAAGGAGGTTAAGAAGGAAAATCTTAATTAGAATTAAAAGTCACAGTTAAAACAAGAAGTGTTACTTCTTCTAGACAACATATATTTGAATACTATTTTCCTGGAAAATTAATTTCACAGAATTTATTCTTTGCATGATATGCAAGTAGAGGTATAGACCACACACATGGCTAATAGTATACAATGGTCATGCAGGAAGCAGAAGATAGTTGTAAAATAGGTGTTTTGTAAAAACAAAAAAAATAGTTATTTAACACTTGACCGTAACCCACTTAAATGTCCAGCGGAAGCAGTGACACTACATTGATACACACAACAGTACATTCGAGGAAAATAATTAAAATGGTAAATGTCTTGAAATGCTAAGTAAACTACAGAAATAATAAAATTCCCTATTGCATTGTGGTACTTCCTATAAAGTCTGACGAGAGCAGTTTGCTTTAAACAAGTAAAGAAAACTCTTTCACATTCTGGTAAGAAATTCCTTAGAGACAGAATTTAAAATAAAAATCACAATCCCCTTACTGGATAAAGCATATAATTTTCCTCCTTAGGTGCGTGAATTAAAAACAGCTGCCAAGCCTACTTAATTATGGGTGCTCAGAGTCAAACTAGACATGACAAATTTTCATTTTGATAGCAACCACATCGAGTGTTTACTTAGCAAGTATGGATAATTATTCCAGTTCTTATTTGAATTTTTTTTCTGGAACTGGTTGCATATTGTTAATAAAGGCTGTGATCACAGATCTCAGCATTTCAGAGCCTCTCTTTTTTCCCCATTTTTTTTTGTGTGTGTATGTATGTGTGTGTTGAGACTTTTCTCTGAATTTAAAAAGTGATTTCTCTACAACTGGTACACAAACACGAATTCTATCTCCAGAGAAACAGATGTATTAAAGTGTTGATGAAAAAACATTATTATGTTTTAGGCAGAGGTCTGAAAGTAAATCCTGGTCATCAACTCAGGGGATCACTTTGGTGACCAAAAGTTCTCATTCTAGTTGTTTAGTCTTTACTGTGAAGGGCTGAATCCACAGCAGTGGTTCTAGGAGACTGTGAATTTAGGAACGGTAAGGGATGCAGATGCTCACAGGCAATCTGCTCATCTGTGGGACTGGCTTTCAGAGCAAGGAAGAAGGCAGAGCATCAGGTTCCTAAATTCACATATATGCAAATAACAACTTTCTATTATGGGAAGCAATTTCATTTTATTTATCTTGTTTGGACTTCACAACAATAATTACTAAGATAGGAAAGAAATTCTTATCTCTATTTTTACAGATGAAGAGGCGAAGTCCCAGGGATGGTAAGTGTTTTGGTCAAATTAAACACCTATCATACATTGGGTGCTAGATCTGAGGATCAGAACTCCTAGTGCAGGATTCTTTGCAGTGTGGCTATAACTTCTGGTATCTTACTGGGGTGGCATGGTGCCTTGGAGCTACCAGATAAAGGGAGAATCAGGAGGACATGTTTTATAGTTTCCAGATAAAATATAGGACACCCAGTTAAATTTGAACTTCAGATAAACAAGAAATATTTTTCTAAATGTAAATATGTCCATGCCATATTTGGGACATATACTAAAATTATTCATTGTTTATCTGAAGTTCAGGTGTACCTGGGCATCCTATATTTCTATTTGCTGAATCTGACAATCCCAATCTGTTTTCCTTTCTGATAGGGCAACCCAAGTTAAAAAGTTAAAAATACCTTAGGGCAAGATGACCAACTGGACTCAGCCAGGTGGAAGATCTGCCACCAAGGGACCAAGACAGCTGGCATACTTCCAACAGATCTTCAGAGGGAAGGCACCACCAGTGGACAGAGGGAAGACACTGAAGTGGGCTGAATGGGGAGGAAGCTGGGAACCCTACATGGAGCTAGAGGCTACCATGCACCAGTACTCATGCCTGATCCCCAATGACTCCAGAGGAATGGGTGAGTTGAGCTGGCAAGGAGCAACTTGCCCTCATCAAGGCCTCTCTGGGACCCCAGCAGACGGAGACCCCTTGACCACTATGGACACTCAAGTTGTCAGGGAGAGCTGCTTAGAAAAGTGGTAGGGGCAACAAGCCAGTTGATGTAGAGCCCAGAGCATCTATAGTGGAGCATGCTCAGGGATTGCCAACTCCCCTTGGCTCGACTTGCTCCCATAGGAGACTAGCCCTATGGGAGCTGTGGGGCGTGAACTCTGCAGGGTAGTCTTGCCTATCAGATGGGGCTAGTGTGACTCAAGCACCCCTTGGTCTGCTGGCCCGTTCTGGGGCCCAGGTCTGGCCACGCCTGCTTGCAGGGCAGCCTCGGATGCCCCAGGGGCTCACATCACAGCTCTTGCCCTGGCAAACCATGCCTGACTGGTGAAGAGCTCCAGTGGGGCAGCCCATGCACCAACCCATGCACCAGTTCATCCATTCCCACCCCACACTGCAGCTTCCCCCAGGCCCACAGCAACTCCCCACATCACTTTGCCAACATGTGTGTGGATGGGTAGCTTCTGCCTTCCTTGCCCCACTAACATGTGTGTATGTGTACATCTTGTCCTGCCTCCACTGACCACCATTGCAGTCAGAGCCTTGGTGGGCAAAGAGCCTGCCAGCCAGGCCCTTGCCAGTGCCCCACCCTTGTGCCAACACTATTGTAGGAATGAAACTAGGCACAGAGAACAGTGGACCCTCCCCCACCCACTCTGAGCAACCGCCTCTGCCTGTGGCACACAGAGAATGCACACAGACCTGCGCCTGCCAGCACCCTGTCCCTGTGCCAACACCGCCACCAGCATGACTGTGTGCAGTCACCAGCAGGGGAACCCTGCCCCCCTGCCCTACTCCTGAGCTGCGTTGCCTCTGCCATTGTGGTGAATGCCAGCATGGAGGCAGGCACCCCAGCACCCACTAGCACCCTGCTGCAGCTGACAAGCATGCACCCCACTGCACCATGCTGCCATTGCTGCTGCTGCTGGCACGTTCTGGGGCCCAAGTCTGGTTTGCTGGTGCAAACGAGGATGGATACCACTGTCACTGAACTAGGAAATGCTTTGGCTGATACTACCCATCGGAGTGTAATGACCAGTGGTCAGGGAGTCCCTCAGCCACTCTAAGTCAGTGAATTCCTACCCTTGAGGAGCCAGAGAACAAAGTCAGGGCCCAGTACAAGTTCCCCAGGGTTAGAGCATGCAGTACAGGAATTGGGAGTTGAGAACTGGCCCCCTAAAACCTTCCAGAAATGAAGCCAGTTGGCTGAATCCATCTTATACCATGATGAAACCCTCAAGGTCATCAAATAAGTTAAAAGAAAAAAAAACCCCAAAGATTAGCAACTTCAAAGATTGAAGGAACATCAGCTCACAAAGATGAGAAAGGACCAGCACCAGAACTCTGACAACTCAAAAAGTCACGAGTGTTTTCTTCCTCCAAATGACCAACTCTCCAGCAAGGGTTCTGGATCAGGCTTAGATGGCTGAAATGACAAAAATAGAATTCAGCACATGGATAGGAACAAAAATCATTGAGATGCCAGAATACATTGAAACCCAATCCAAAAAAGCTAAGAATAAATTAAAATAATGCAGGAGCTGACAGACAAAATAGCCAGTATAGAAAAGAACATAACCAACTTGATAGAGCTGAAAAACACACTACAAGAATTTCATAATGCAATCACAAGTATTAATAGCAGAATAGGCCAATGGGAGGATAGAATCTTAGAGCTTGAAGACTGGCTTTCTGAAATAAGACACAGACAAGAATAGAGAAAAATAAAAAGGAATGAATAAAATCTCTGAGAAATATGGCATCATGTAAAGACACCAAATCTACAACTCGCTGGTGTCCCAGAAAGAGATGGGGAGAGTGCAAAAAACTTGGAAAACATATTTCATGATATCATCCATGAGAACTTCCCCAACCTAGCTAGAGAGGCCAACATTCAAATTCAGGAACTGCAAAGAACCCTAGTAAGAACTTCACAAGAAGATGATTCCCAAGACACTTAATCATCAGATTCTCTAAGGTTAAAATGAAAGAAAAACTGTTAAAGGAAGCTAGAGAGAAAGGTCAGGTTGCCTACAAAGAGAAGCCCATCAGAATAACAGCCGACCTCTCAGCAGAAACCCTACAAGCCGGAAGAAATCAGAGGTTGATATTCAACATGTTAAAAAACATTCCAATAAAGAATTTTATATCTGGCCAAACTAAGCTTCGTAGGTGAAGGAGAAATAAGATCCTTTTGAGACAAGCAAATGCTGAGGGAATTTATTATCACCAGATAACCGCTGCCTTAAAAGAATTCCTGAAGGAAGCCATAAATATGGAAAGGAAAGATCATTACCAGCCACTACAATAACACACTGAAGTACATAGACCAGTGACACTATAAGGCAACCACACAAACAAGTCTGCATAATAACCAGCTAACATCATGATGACAGGATCAAATCCACACATATCAATAATAACCTTGAATGTAAATGGGCCATATGCCCCAATTAAAAGACACAGAGTGGCAAGCTGGAGAAAGAACCAAGAGTCTTTGGGATACTGTCCTCAAGAGATCCAGATCACATGCAGTGACACACATAGGCTCAAAATAAAGGGATGGAAAAAAATCTATCAATCAAATGGAAAACAGAAACAAGCAGGGGTTACAATTACAATTTCAGACAAGACAGACTTTAAACCAACAAAAATAACAATATAAAAGAAGGGCATTACATAATGGCAAAGGGTTCAATTTAACAAGAAGACCTAACTATCCTAAATATATATGCACCCAACACAGGAGCACCCAGATTCATGAAGTAAATTCTTAGAGAACTTTGAAGAGACTTGGACTCCCACACAATAATAGTGGGAAACTTCAACATCCTACTGACAGTATTAGACAGATCATTGAGGCAGAAAATTAACGAAGATATTCAGGACCTAAACTGAGCCCTGGACCAAGTGGACCTGATAGTTATCTACAAAATTCTCCACCCAAAACACCAGAATATACATTCTTCTCATTGTTACATGGCACATACTCTAAAATTGATCAAATAATTGGACATAAAATACTCCTCAGACAGTGCAAAAGAACTGAAATCATAACACTCTCTCAGACCACAGCACAATCAAATTAGAAACCAAGACTAAGAAATTAGCTCAAAACCATACAATTACATGAAATTGAATAATCTGCTCCTGAATGACTTTTGGGTAAATAATGAAATTAAGGCAGAAATCAGGAAGTTCTTCAAAACTAATGAGAACAAAGATACAACATACTAGAATCTCTGGGACATGGTTAAGGCAGTGTTAAGAGGGAAATTTATAGCACTAAAAGGCCACATCAAAAAGTTAGATAGATCTCAATTTAACATCCTAACATCACAGCTAAAAAGCTAGAGAACCAAAAGCAAGCCAATCCCAAAGCTAGCAGAAGACAAGAAAGAACCAAAATCAGGGCTGAACTGAAGAAGACTGAGACATGAAGAACCATTCAAAAGATCAACAAATCCAGGAGCTGGTTCTTTGAAAAAAATTAATAAAATAGATAGACCACAAGTTAGACTAAAGAAGGAGAGAGAAGAACCATATAAACACAATTAGAAATGCCAAAGGGGATATTACCACTGACCCCCACAGAAATACAAATCACCATCAGAGAATATTATGAACACCTCTGTGCACATAAACTAGAAAATCTAGAAGAAATGGATGAATTCCTGGACACATATACCCTCCGAATATTGAGCCAGGAAGAAATTGAATTTCTGAAAAAAACCAATTATGATCTCTAAAACTGAATCAGTGATAAATTGCCTACCAACAACAACAAAAGCCCAGGAGCAGAAGGGTTTACAGTCAAATTCTACCAGATGTACTAATATGAACTCGTATCATTTCTGAGGAAACTATTCCAAAAAATTGAGGAGGAGGGACTCCTTCCTAATTCATTCTATGAGGCCAGCATCCTCCTGATACCAAAACCTGGCAGAGACACAATAAAAGATAACTTCAGGCCAATATCCTTGATGAACACTGATGCAAAAATCCTAAACAAAATACTGGCAAACCAAATCCAGCAGAACATCAAAAAGCTTATCTACCGTGATGCAAGGTTGGTTCAACATTCGTATATTGATAAATGTGATTCATCATCTAAACAGTATTAAAGACAAAAACTACATGATTATCTCAATAGATGCAGAAAAGGCTTTCAATAAAATTCTACAAACCCTCATGTTAAAAATTCTCAATAAACTAGGTATTGAAAAAAATAGCTCAAAATAATAAGAGCCATCTATATGACAAATCCATAGCCAACATCATAATGAATGGGCAAAAACCTGAAACATTTCCCTTGAAGACTGGCACAAGACAAGGCTGCCCTCTCTCACCACTCCTATTCAAAATAGTACTGGAAGTCCTGGCCAGAGCAATCGAGCAAGAGAAAGAAATAAAGGGCGTTCAAATAGGAAGACAGGAAGTCAGACTATCCCTGTTTGCAGATGACACAATCCTTTACATAAAAAACCCCTTAATCTCAGCCCAAAAGCTTTTTAAGCTGATAAACAACTTCAGCAAAATCTCAGGTTACAAAATTAATGTGCAAAAATTACTAACATTCATATATAGCAAAAACAGTCAAGGTGAGAGCTAAATCAGGAATGCAGTGCTATTCACAATTGCCACAAAAAGTATAAAATACCTAGGAAAACAGCTAACCAGGGAGATGAAAGATCTCTACAAGGAGAACTACAAAACACTGCTCAAAGAAATCAGGAATGACAAACAAAATGGAAAAACAACAGAACAACAAATGAAGAAACATTCCATGTTAATGTATAGGAAGAATCAATATCAATAAAATGGCCACACTGCCCAAGGCAATTTATAGATGCAATGCTATTCCTATTAAACTACTAGTGACATTCTTCATAGAACAGAAAAAATGGTTTTGAAATTCATATGGAACAAAAAAAGAGCCTGGATAGCCAAGGCAATCGTAAGTAAACAGAACAAAGCTGGAGGCATCACGCTATCCGACTTTATATTACAGAGCTACAGTAACCAAAAGAGCATGGTACTGGTACAAAAACAGACACATAGACCAACAGAACAGGATAGAGATCCCAGAAATAAGGCCACACACCTACAATTATCTGATATTTGACAAAACTGACAAAAACAAGCAATGGGGAAAGAAATCCCTATTCAAAAAATGGTACTAGGATAACTAGGTAGCCATATGCAGAAGATTGAAACTGGATCTCCTTTTTACATCATATACAAAATTTAACTCATGATGGATTAAAGTCCTCAAACTATAAAAACCCCGGAAGACAATCTAGACAATACCATTCTGGACATAGGAAAGGGCAGATATTTCAAGATGAAGACGCCAAAAGCAATTGCAACAAAAGCGAAAGTTGGCAAATGGGATCTAATTAAACTAAAGAGCTTTTGCACAGCAAAATAAACTATAAACAGAGTAAACAGACAACCTACAGAATGGGAGAAAGTTTTTGCAAACTATGCGTCTGACAAAGGTCTAATATCCAGCATCTCTAAGGAATTTAAATTTATAAGAATAAAACAACCCCATTAAATAGTGGGCAAAGGACATGAACAGACACTTTTCAAAAGAAGACATGCATGTAGCCAACGAGCATATGAAAAAAAGCTCAGCATCACTGATGGTTAGAGAAATGTAAATGAAAATCATAATGAGATACCACCTTACACCAGTCAGGATGGCTGTTATTAAAAAGTAAAAAAATAACAGATGCTGGTGAGGTTGCAGAGAAAAAGAAACACTTATACACTGTTGGTGGGAGCGTAAATTAGTTCAACCATTGTGGAAAACAGTGTTGCAATTCCTGAAAGATCTAAAAATAGAACTACTATTCGATCCAGCAATCCCATTACCCAAAGTTAATATAAATCATTCAGTCATCAAGACACATGAACACATATATTCATTGTTGCACTATTCACAATAGCAAAGACATGGAATCAACCTTAGTGCCTATCAATGGTAGACTGGATAAAGAAAACTTGGTACATATACACCATAGAATACTATGCAGCCATAAAAAACAATGAGATCACATCCTTTGCAGGAATATGGATGGAGATGGAGGCTGTTAGGCTTAGCAAACTATCACAGGAACAGAAAAACCAGATAAATACCATATGTTCTTACTTATAAGTTGGAGCTAAATGGTGAGAACACATGGACACATAGAGGGGAACAACAGACGCTGGGGCCTGTGGAGGGATGGAGGGTGGCAGGAGAGAAGGAATCAGGAAAAGTAACTAATGAGTACTAGGCTTAATACCTGGGTGATGAAATAATCTGTACAACAAACCCCACAACACACGTTTACCTATGTAACAAACTTGCACGTGTACCCTTGAACTTAAAATCAAAGTTAAAAAAAGAATAATGCACCTTAAACCTACAAATTAGCAAACTGTTTTAGGCAAGAAAGTTTTATAAAGTAAAGAAAAAAAAGTTGAAAATGCCAACATCTTGCAGTACAACCTCTGGGTGGAATTATGTCCCCCATAAAAAATACGTTGGAGTTCTAACTCCCATTTGTACCACAGAATGTGACCTCATTTGAAAATAGAGTCTTTACAGAGGTAATCGAATTAAAGTGAAATTCATTAAATGGGCCCTTGATATAGTTTGGTTATGTGTCCCCTCTAAATTTCATGTTGAAATGTAATCCCCAGTGTTGGCGGTGGGGCCCAGTGGAAGGTATCTGGGCCCTGAGGGAGGATCCCTTATGGCTTGGTGCTGTCATTATGGTGAGTGAGTTCTCACTAGGTCTGGTTATTGCAAAGTGGGGTACCTCCCCCACTGCCTTCTCTTGTTCCTTTTCTCACCATGTGGGAAGCCTGCTCCCTCTTTGCATTCAACCATGAGTAAAAACCTAAGACCTCTCCAGAAGCAGATGCTGGTGCTATGCTTCCTGTACAGCCTGCAGAACCATGAGCCAATTAAACCTCTTTTCTTATACATTATGCAGTGATATGGTTTGGCTGTGTTCCCACTCAAATCTCATCTTGAATTGTACTCCCATAATTCCCATGTGTTGTGGGAGGGACCCAGTGGGAGATGATTGAATCATGCATGCGGTTCCCCCATACTGTTCTCATGGTAGTGAATAAACCTCACGAGATCTGACGGCTTCATCAGGGGTTTCTGCTTTTGCATCGTCCTCATTCTCTCTTTGCCTGCTGCCATCTATGTAAGATGGGACTTGCTCCTCCTTGCCTTCTGTCACGATTGTGAGGCTTCCCCGGCCACATGGAACTGTAAGTCCAATTAAACCTCTTTCTTTTGTAAATTGCCCAGTCTTGGGTATGTCTTTATCAGCAGCATGAAAACAAACTAATACATGCAGTCTCCGGTATTTCGTTATAGCAATGTAAGAATGGCCTAATACAGCCCTAAGCTAATATGACTGGCATCCTCACAAAAAGGGACAATTTAGACCACAGACAGACATGCACACAGGGAAGAAGCTGTGAAGACACACAGGGAGAAGGCAGGCCATGTGATTGCAGTGATGCATCTACAAGCTGAGGATCACCAAAGATTGCCACAAAACACCAGAAGCTAGACGTCAAGGCAGATTTCTCTCCTAAAACCATGAGAGAGAGCATGGCCCTGCTGGCACCTTGATTTTGGACGTCTAACCTCCAGAACTGTGAGACAATAAATTTCTGTTGTTTTAAGCCACACAGTTTTGAGGACTTTGTTATGGCAGCCCTAGGAAACGAATATGCCCAATATAAGTGGCCTATAATTTACATCTCTTACCTTCTCATTCTTACAGGCTGAAATTCTGAGACACCTCCTGGTCGTACTTAGTGTATATATTTTCACTTAGAAACCGATTTGAATGTTGCAAAGGCCTATGCTGCCTGTTAAGCATTGTAATCATGTTGAATCACTATGATTTTATATTATTGCTCCATCCAACGTCTTCTTGGGGCTTCGGATCCTCCTTCCTTTCTGTACCCACACATGAATGATTCTTCTCCCATTTGAAAATATTGTCCACGTGTCACACCACAATGTGTAAAAGAGATTAACCAGGGAGGATCACAAACAAACTGGTTTGAGCCTTAGTCACAAGTCTGAGCAAAATCTCCCCTCAAATTCCAACTAGTTTTCAAAATATCTGGTATTTTAGAATGGCATAATCAGAGCCATAAGAGGGTGCAAAATGTGGCAACAGGAAGTAGCAGGGATCAAGGTACCTCTGGTTTAATGACACTGTTCTGTGTAGCACTGCTTCTGCTCTGTTGTAAGTCTAGTCAGTCTGAGTTCAAAAATGCTGAGCAAATTACACCATGCAGTGCCCCAGCAACCAAGTAATGGCTTGGATTGCTTTGTTCATTAAAATATCATTTCTTTTTTTCCTCCTCATTGAAGCTTAATGGAGAGGGAGCTTCCTTTGAAGTTAACACATGGCAAGAAACAAGATAGGCATAGTCATCTTCTGTGTCCCTTGCCCTCCCATTACCTCGGAATCACAGAAAGACACACATGAAGCACATTTTATCAAATCTATACGAACAAGTTGATGACTAGGGACATTATAATCCTGAAAGACTGCTGAGTGCCACAGAATCATCCACACTATTATTAAGCTTGAGACTATGTGAGATTTGCTCAGAGTTGGCAGGCTCCCTTGTAAGGCATTCAGCCCATCATCTTCCCGGCAGGCATCCCTGAACTTCCAGCCCAGGCACTTGTCTTGTATTTGCTCTTGTCTGCTTGTTCTGCTGCTCTGCAGATCTTCCCCATCATTCTGGTCTCAGCTCGGATGTCGCTTCACCAGGGGTCTTTTTGAATTCCCTTCATTCTCCTTTCTTTTTCCATTGCTTTGTCTTTATTACCCTGTTCTTTCTTCTCATTGCACTTATTACTTCTACAATTTTTGTTTGTATATTTGCAAATATATGTTACAATTCTCACAAATATATATATACACACATATACAATTCATGCAAATATACATATACAATACAATTGCATATACAATTCTCATTTGTATATTTGTATATTCGTCGCCACTCTCCAGCATAATGGAAAGCTCCACAAAGGCACCTAGCTTCCCATCCATATGTATTTGCTGAATGAACACACAAATAAATGCTTACTAGCTCTGTGACAATGATAAATATTGGGTTGTCTCATATGTAAAATTGGGACAAAAATGGTCTTATAAGGATACGAGAAGAATTAAATCAGATAATGATTCTAACAGCAAGAACTTGTATCTTTTATTTATTTTAATTTTTATAGGAGCTTTTGAAATTAAGTACTAAAATACTACCTCCATTTTACAACAGGAGAACCAAGGTTCAGAGAGGTGAATTAATTTGCCAAAGGCCACAGAGCTGGCAAATGTTACAGCCAGCATTTGGACCCAGGGTTCCAGATTTCACAACCCTTAAGCTGTTTTTCCAAATTGCTGACAAGCGATACAGAAACAACTTGAGAAATCACAAGGATATTCAGGTCTGGATTCCGTTTCTTCTATTCTGGCCCCTGTCTAATCTAAGTCTTGTCTTAGTAGAAAAGTTCTGGGGACAGGACAAAATGGGAACAAATCCTAGAAACTGGGATCAGCATATTTATGAGAGAAAAAGAGAAAATAGCAAGATTTATTTTACGAAACAAATTTCTATGGGCTAATATTTAAAGATATATTTTGGAATTTTGCAAAACCTGCCATATTTGAATGAGTTAGAGAAAGGATGTAGATACAAAGGAAAAGTATTATGCAATTTTGGGAGATGTGATGTGTTGACCTAGTGAAGCCTATAAACCAGTCACATAAAACCACATGAGCTAGTATTTCCACCTATTTCTAATGATCGAAAACACATTTAACAATGAAAGTCACTCAGTGTTTCTGAATAGATAAGTTAGATGGTGATGATGATGAGATAGTTCAATGTCACATACACATACAAACATATACACACACATATATAAATTTGTTTCATCAAATTTATGTGTATATACACACATATATACACACATATATATACACATATATAAAGAAGGGGGAAAGTAAAAATAAGCAAGTTTTATTTGATGAAACAAATTTATCTATATATGTGTGTATATGTTTATAAATTTATCTATATATGTGTATGTATATGTGTGTGTATATATGTACATATATATGTACATATATACACACACATATACATACACATATATGTATATACACATATATACACACATATATATACATACTCTTCTTGTGTTCTTAAAATAAGTCATAGAAACAGAATAACACTACCTTTTCATGTCTATCTAAAAACATTTGCTGAATATTCTTTTTTTTTTTTTTTTGAGACAGAGTCTCACACTCTCGCCCAGGCTGGAGTGCAGCGGCGCTCTGCTCACTGCAAGCTCTGCCTCCCGGGTTCGCACCATTCTCCTGCCTCACCCTCCCGAGTAGCTGGGATGACAGGCTCCCGCCACCACGCCCAGCTATTTTTTTTTTTTTTTTTTTTTTTGTATTTTTAGTAGAGACGGGGTTTCACCATGTTAGCTAGGATGGTCTTGATCTCTTGACCTTGTGATCCGCCTGCCTAAGCCTCCCAAAGTGCTGGGATTACAGGCATGAGCCACCGTGCCTGGCCTAAAGATTCTTATTCTTGGCAAAGCACCTTTGTCAGGCTTTTAAATGGCTAATTTGGAGAGCTAATACACATTCTCCAACAACTAAAACTTTCATTACATCAATTTTAATATTTGCATATAAAGAAATAGAGAGCAAATAGGTTAAATTTTCTCTACAATAAGCTGCCAAAAAATTAGAAGGAACAAGTTATTCCAAAGACAGTAAAATTAAGGGTTTTCTTATTTTTAAAAATTAGCTCCTTTTGGATTTTAGAGAGAAAAAAATACACTCAATAAACTTGTGGTATCAATATTTTATGAACTGTAATGGAAGATGCACATTGGCCTTCATTCATTGGTTCATTCATTTACATTCTGTCAGTCTTTGTACCCTGTTGTGTTCCAAAAAGGTGTGTTGAGGTGTGTCAAACCCATATAATGAGCCATTTCTTCAATATTTATGGCGAGGAAAAGTGTGCCTTCTCTCATGATTCACATTGGTCTCCTTGCTCTTCCTTGAACACGACAGGCATGCTCCCACCTCAGGGTCTTTGCCCTTGGAAAATTCACATCCTCTTCCTGGATATCCACATGGCTCACTCACTTGCCTGTGGGTCTTTGAGACATTCCTTGACTGAGCAATTTAAAAATGTCCATGCTGCCTCAAGTCATGCTATATTTTCCTTAACTTCCCAACCCCCTCTTCTGCTTTCTTGATTCCATAGTACTTCACATCACTTAACATATTAAATATTCCACTTCTTTTTAAAAACAGTTTGTTTAAATTCCAGGAGGGCGAAGATTTTTTGCCTGGTTTGTTCACTGCTGGTTTCCTTTGGAAATATTTGTGTCTAGCACATAAATATTTGTCCAATGAATGAGTGAGTGCACATGTAAAATATATTCTCTATTACCATGAAATTATCAAACTGTGATATTGACAGACAGAGTGGGATTGGCAGCTTTTAATAGGAAACATCTTGGAGAACAAGTTTCAGCACTATAAGGCATCCATTTTCAGCCTTTCAAGCAAATGAGATTCTGCCTGTGAGAATGGGCCTAAAGCCCCCTCCTTTTGTCATCGTACACAGAGGCACTCTCATCCAAGACAGAACACTCAGCTTTGACAGAGAGGGCCATGGCATTGTGTGGCCATTTCTGGAGTTGATGATCAAACAGCGAGACCTTTCAGCGATCAGCTGAAAAAAAAGGAGCCAACATTACATACCTGCCAGCCAGGCTGCCCAAGGTCAGAGCCACGTAGGACACCCTTAGGAAATAGTGGACCATGCCAGATCTGTTTCCTTAGGTGCCCTGGTCACCAAGTGTTCCTTAATAAAGAGAAATTAAAGGCTAACATACCATTCTTTGAAGCCTTCTAATTTTAGGTATTTTAAGGCCTTGATTACCACCTATTTCATAGAGTTATATGATAAATAATGGAAGTAAAAAGCACATCAAGATGGCCAGTACTTATTGTGGCTATCATTTTATTATATAAAACCTTGTATATAATATGTCAGAAAGAGTCGTGAAAAACCTTGAAAGGGAAAAAATAAAAACTAAAAAGAAAAGTTGCTGGATGTTTTATCTAACGCCCCTTTCCAGATAATCTGTGAATTTCAGCGTCTTTAAGCCATTTTACAACTCTGTAAGTTATACAAAACTGTAGTAATGCAAATTATCCTTGTCCACAAAAATGCAAATGAACTTTCCCCTACAGAGTTACAACTGACTCATACCCTGTGGATATTGATCAGTTCTGCGTCTGTTAACAAATTTGTCTCAGCATTTTTAATTGCCCATAAATGTGTCTGCTCTTTGGATTCCCCTCTGAATAGGTTGTGACTTATCACCAATTCCCTTATTATTTATATTTAATAGTTTAAACAAAATCTTTGATGTGTTCATTTTCTATTTTTATGAAGATGATTTTATCCTTTCAAATATATTATTTAACAAATATATAGCTACTGTTATAGGCTATAGATTCAGTCATAAGCAGCAAGTCATTTTATTGTTTTCATCCACTTTCTAGGTATGTGTGTTTCTTTTAATAAATATGCAGAGTGCATATTCAGGTGTTAATTTGTGTTCATAAAATTGCTTAAAACTCAATTTAAATATTTTGGAAAATGGTGGGAGAGGAAGTGAAATAGATACAGTGGTGGAGAATATCAAAGGAAGGAAGAATGTAAAAAACTAAGATTGTGAAAGACCTGATGTGCTAGACTCCAGAGTTTGGATTTGGTTCTGAAACTTCCAAATTCCATTTGAGGTTTTAGGGGAGGCTAACCCTAAGGACACTGTTGCAGAACTTTTTATCAGTTTAAGGATATCACAGCTCTGTCTAGTGCTGTCCTGTTACATTTTTTTTTCCAAGCGGATCAGGCCCCATGGATGTGGTTAAGTTATTTATAATGTAAAGCCTGTTACATGTTGCCCACTGGCAAGAGAAAAGCTCACCAGTACTTTTTCCCTCCTGACTTCAAGTGAATGACTGATATCCTATAATTAATGGGGATAGATTTTTCTTGGGATAAAAAAAAGAAAGTTGAATTGTGTAGACTGGACGGCCTTGATGGAGTTAAGATTCAGGTGCCCAGAGTGGGCAACCAAAGACTGGGCTATTCCAGAACTATTTCATTAGCTGCCCTGGTCAACAACTGTTCCTTCGTTAAGAGAAACTAAAGACTGATATAACCCTTTGAAGATTTATAATTTTTATATTTTAAGGTCTTAATACTGTCAATGAAAAGGAGTCAAGCTCTGTAATGTATTTACACAGGTTCATTCTGAGGGAAATATGAGCGACCAAGGTCCAAGGCATAGTCTCAAGAGGTCCTGAGAACATATGCCTGAGGTGGCTGGGTTATAGCCTGATTTCTATACATTTTAAGGGGACAGAAATTATAGGCAGAGACATAAATCAATACGTGTTAGGTATATATTGGTTTGGCCCAGAAAGGCAGGACCTCTCACAGTGGAGGATTCCAGGTCAAATGTAGATTTAAAGATTTCCTGATGGCAACTGGTTGAAAGGGTTAAGCTCTGCCTGAAGAGTTGAAATCAGTAGAAAGAAATGTTTGTAGTTAAGATAAAGGGGACTATGGAAACCAAGGTCCTTGTTATGTAGATGAAACCTCCCGGTAACAGGCTTCAGAGAATAGATTGTAAATATCTCTTACCGGGCCCTGGAAGGTGCCAGACTTTTAGTTAAATCTCTCCTGGATCAGGAAAAGACCCAGAAAGGAAAGGGAATTACCTATAGAATGTAGATTTTCCCCACAAAAGACAGCTTTGCAAGGCCGTTTCAAAATACGTTATAAAAATATATTTTGGGATAAAAAATTTCATTTTCTTTCAGGGCTTGCTATCTGCTATGTGATTTTATACTAGAGTCAGGTTGGAGTTTGGTATCTTATTGCTACAAAGTCTGTTTTTTCAGTCTTAAGATCTCTGTTTTAATGTTAATGCTGGTCAGTTGTGTCTCAATTCCAAAGAGGAGGATAAAATGAGGCAAGCCCTCCTTCACATCATGGCCTGAACTAGTTTTTCAGGTTTACTTTGGAATGCCCTTGAGAGAGGAATCCATTTAATCAGTTTAGGAGCTTAGAATTGTGTTTTTGGTTTACAACTACTGTATAGAGTTGTATGATAATTAAAATAAGACAATTTGAGTCACTATAGTAGCTAGCCCCTATTGTGGCTATTATTTATTTAGCCACATCCCTTACCATCACTCCTTAGAGAATTGTGTCCTTACAAGTTTTTTCTCTATTTGAGTATATCACATGTTACACAAACAAGGTAAAAACACATGGTTTATAAAGAAAAACAAAGATCTCGAAATACTTGCCATAAATTAGTTTTACAAAGTTCCACCAGAGTCAGGATACTCCATTAAATTCCTACAGTCCACAGTGCAGGGAAGTCCCTAGGCCCAGGATACAATCGCTCCTGATTTTGAGGGCATGTATCCAAACACATGGCCTACTGAAAACAAATGCATTTTAATCTCAATGACTCTCTAAGATTAAGGCTTTGAAATGACTTTACTATTCTTAAAATCATGGCATTTTCCCTCCTTGCACCAGGTTGAAGGATGGCCCTTCTGACCCTGCTGGCCCTAGGCAGTCCCTCCTCCATGGGGTGCAGACTTGGCTCATGATCATGGTGACCCCTCACCACCACGAGGCCAGCCCAGAGCCCACCAGTTCTGGACTCCTCCCTAAGCAAGGCAGAATAATGTGGTAGGCAGGATAATGGCCCCCAAAGATATCTGCTTCCTCATCCCTAGAACCTATAAATATTACCTTATATGGGAAAAGAAACTTGGCAGATGTGAGAAAGTTAAGGATCTTAAAATGAGGAGGTTATTCTGGATTATCTGAGTGAGCTCTAAATGCAATTACAAGTACCCTTTAAAAGGAAGGCAGAAGAGTCAGAGAAAGAGATGTGATGGTGGAGGCAGAGATTGGAGTGATGCAACCACAATCCAAGGAATGCCAGCAGCTGCCAGAAGGTGGAAGAAGCAAGAAACAGTTTCTCCCTTAGAGACTCCGGAAGGAGTATGGCCCTACTAACAGCCTGAGTTTGGACTTCTAGCTTCCTGCAACTTTGAGACAATAACTTTCTGTTGTTTTAAGCCAAAATAAATAAAACACATTAAATAACAAACAAACAAACAAATAATGATTTTGAAATGGGTAGATGTGTTTTTTGGCTATTAATAAAATCATCCATGTGTTTTAGTTCAATAGAAGTGATTTGAATGGAATCTGAAATGGAAAGCAGATGGCAAACTCCACATGATTTAAAGTCACCAGGAGCTTCTGCAGTGGTAACCCCTTGAATGCATTAGGCCTGGGGCATCTAGCTTAAATGATTCTAAACTCCCAGTTTCAACACACCAAGGTTCAATCACTACAGCTGTCATGCATTTTGCTTACTTTATGGCAGAACTCTAGAAACATGAACATCTGCCTTTACAGAAGTTGGCAACATAAACAACATGCTATGTAGGAACATGAAAAGGTAGCAAGATGATCCATTGGCAAGTAAAAACAAGGAAGACACAGAGTGCCTGGCATCTTCTTGAAGTAATGAGGTTAAAAGAATCTTCTAGGAAGAGAAGAATGTGGGCTGTGTCCATTCAAGTTTCTTCCTGCTCATAGGCACGTTTTCCAGTTGAGATAGCTCACCAATGGGAGGTATAATGAGATAAGCAGCCAGAAACTGGGTCATAGTGCCTTGACTTAAATACATACTTCAGTCTTTAAACTTGAACCCTGTCTAATTCTACCATGTGAAAAACTTGAAAGCTAGCTCTGTAGATTCTAGTGTAAATCAATCCAATGATAACAGTAACTAACATTTACTTAACACTTTCATCCCTTTTCTCCTATAGATCTCTCAACAACCCCATGAGATAAATACTTATTATCTGCAATTTGTAGCTGAGGTTACTGATGTTTTGGGAACTTAAGTAATTTGTCCAAAGTAGTCACAACACTTGAGAAGTAATAGAATTGAAATTTAAGCCCAGGCAGCCCAATTCCAGACCCCATAGCTTGATCACTATTGCCTAATTCCACTGGATTTGGGGGAAATGTAACCACCAGATGTTGTAAAAACAGACCTAAACACTAAAAAAATGCTCACTGGGGCTGGGTGTGGTGGTTCATGCCTATAATCCCAGCACTTTGGGAAGCCCACAGGGGCAGATTGCTTGAGCTCAAGAGTTCGAGACCAGCCTGTGCAACATGGTGAAATCCTGTCTCTACCAAAACAAATATAAAAATTAGCTGGGCGTGGTTGGATGCACCTGCAGTCTCAAAGGGAGGCTGGGGTGGGAGGATTGCTTGAGCCAGGGAGGCCAAGGTTGCAGTGAGCTGTGATGGTGTCATTGTACTCCAGCTTGGCCAACAGAGACAGACACTGTCTCAAAAAATAAATTAATTAAAAAAAGGAAAAAATGCTCAGTGGGATAAATCACATATATTAAATACAAGGCAAAGAACACATAATACATCCTTGAAAATCTCCTTTCCCCCCCTCATTCATTTAAGGGCTATAGTTTAACAGAAAACGCACAGTAAGAAAGAATCCAGTCTGCATGCTTCAACCAAAATCATCCCAGTAAGTGCTCAGAATTCTCACCAGCAGCGTTTAAATATAGTAGCTTGATACTACCAGTTAACTTGCTGAAAATAAGCCACTGTCCCAAGGACTTTACATACGTTAATACATTAAGTATTCATAAAGTCCCTGTGGAGCAGGCATTCTTAGTATTCCCATTTTACAGATGAGACACTTGAGGTACAGAACTCATACAAGCAGTTAGGGGCATGGCTTGGATTTGAAACTCCTAGGCTGACTCTAAAGTCTACATATTACACTATTCTGCTGTGCTCCCTTTTAAGAATATGGAGTGCTGTCTGTTTTACCCTATACATGCTATTAACAACAGTTTTTCACAGCCAATTGGATGCTCAATATTTACATCTGTGTGTATAGCTCTTCTGAGTATTTGCAAAGAAGTTTCACATACCATATGTTATTTGATAACAATATTTCTATAAGGAAGGCAGTGCTGTTGCCAGAGTCCCTGTTTCACAGATGAGAAAAACAGAAAGCCAGAGGGACTAAGTCATTTGTCTGAGGTTACACAATTCAGAAAGGCAAGAATGAGAATTAGAAACCAAGCCTTTTTGCTCCTTGTTGATGGCATCATATTATTTGAATGTGGTTAACAACAATATAGCGGTGTTTTGGAGTTCACATATGTTTAGTTTTTAGAGCAGGCTTTCAGCTACCATATTTCTGCATCAAGGGTACTGCCTCATTGCCAATAGCTGGAGCAAGAAATCTGTATACATGATTGATTGTAGAGATCCATTACACACCCAAAGTGTCTTGGTCCTAAGTTAAGAGCATACTCTATGGGTGACTTACAGATATATGAAAAAAAGGTGGGTCTGTTTACTGGTTTAGTGTCTAGTTCTTTTATAAACAGGAAAATGTTTCCTAAATTCCAGTCATTCACCTACCCACCTTTGTGATTTTGCCTTATCAATGTATCACCTGTGCAAGTTTATGCAATATACTTTTTCAGTAGATTTGATAATTTCATTTAGCCTAAGCAATAAAATATGAAACTACAGGTTTGATATATGAGTTATATTTTTTCAAATATGCAATAAAATAAATACAAAATGATAACCTAAAGCCATGTCTCAAGGAATAAGGAGAAGTTTAAGGTGGACTGTCAAGGAGAGCTTGGCAGTAAGGATCGTACCAGTGAATTCAAGGGTTCTGGCTATGAATGTTGATTTGCCCAGATATTAATAAAGAAAGCTTCTTTTCTTCTTGAAAAGTTTAATGAGATGGAGGGAAAGTTTCAGTTGTTCATGGCTTAATATAGAACTATGATGGGAATTCATTAAGACAGTCAGAAGCAAACAGTTCAGAGGTGGTAAAACAGTACATAGGCACAAAATTTATTCTTAGATAAAGGGCAAGAGACTCTAAGATTTTGCCAATCCTTTTGTCTTTTGGTGCAGTGGGGAGGGGATACTGGTTGCTGGATTTCCAGAGAGATGTTGGATTTTTCCACGAGTATTTGAGGGCCATAATATAACCCTCTCTTACGCTTCCCTCCCAACTTCCATCTCACATTTATAGTTAAGCATGATTCTTATTTGAATTATAGACACAAACTGCATCAGATACACAAGTGGGGGATTTTCAAGGATGGAAACAGCATTATTTAATTTAGTTTAATTTAACCATTGCAATAACCTCCTATCGTTGTACTGTCATCTGCATTTTGAAAATGGAAAAATAGGCTAACAAATTTTGTAACTTGCTCTTAGCTAGAAAATGGTAGAGTTGTGATTTAAATCTACATCTCTGGAATTGATTTAAAGATGGCCACAAAATCTTTTCTACTCCTTCCATCAAGGGGTGAAGTCTAATTTTCCTTTTTTGGATTAGGCTAGACTTAGTGACTTTAAAATCTTTAGTGGATTAGGCTAGACTTAGTGATGAATAGAATCCAGTGGAAGTTATGTTCTGGAATTTCTGAGCCTGAGTCATACAAAAGTATTGTAGCTTCTGCTTGGGATTCTGGAAAAACTTGCTCTCTGGACATGCCCTCTCAGGATATTTCCCAGTGGAAGTCAGCCACCATGCTTTGAGGATGCCCAAGTGGCCCCATGGAGAGGCTCATAGGGAGATTGATTGAGGTCCCCAGTGGGCAGTCCTGGCTGAACTTCCAACAGCCAGTAGCAACTTGCCAGTAATGTCATTGAGTCATCCTCAACATCTAGCCCAGTTGAGCCTTCAGATGATTCTAACCCTAGCTGATATCTGACTGCAACTACACAAGAGGCTCTAAATATAAAAATGTTTATTCTTTATCTTTGTTCTCACTAATTTCTTGGGGCCACTCCAAAAATACAGACTAGTTCTTGGCATGGAGTATGAAAATACATCCTGAACCATGGAAAGAAATAGCTAAATTGGCATCAGTCACCTACATGCTACCAGTCTTGCCAGAAGAAAGATTTCTTTGGCATGTATGTGTACATGTGCTCTGCATTACGATCAACAGCACAGTCATTATGTTAGCAAGTGTGCTCTCTATTATAGTTTAATTAACTAAGGCAGAGATGGAGAATTAGCTTACTAGATATACCTGTCTTGGACTTGATATATTCAGTGGGCTGATCTAAAATCTAATCCAAAGGATTAATATTATCTTGCTCATTGTTTTTTGATATAACAATTTTCCCATACCTAATGGTTAAGTCATTAAGAACAGAGCATTTAAAGAATAAGTGCTAAAAAGGAACTAGAGAACTGAGAACAATGATGTATTAGTCTGTTCTCACACTGATGATAAAGACATACCCTAGTCTGGGCAATTTATAAGAAAGAGGTTTAATTGGACTTACAGTTCCACATGGCTGGGGAGGCCTCACAATCATGGCAGAAGGCAAGGAGGAGCAAGTCACGTCTTTCATGGATGGCAGCAGGCAAAAAGAGAGCTTGTGCAGAGAAACTCCCATTTTTTTTTTTTTTTTTTTGAGAAGGAGTCTTGCTATGTCGCCCAGGCTGGAGTGCAGTGGTGCAGTGGTGCGATCTTGGCTCGCTACAACCTCCGCCTCCGGGGTTTAAGCGATTCCCCTGCCTCAGCCTCCTGAGTAGCTGGGATTACAGGTGCCTGCCACCATGCCTGGCTAATTTTTTGTATTTTTAGTAGAGATGGGGTTTCACGATATTAGCCAGGATGGTCTCGATCTCCTGACCTCATGGTCCACCCGCCTTGGCCTCCCAAAGTGCTGGGATTACAGGTGTGAGCCACTGTGCTCAGCTGAGAAACTCCCATTTTTAACACCATCAGATCTCATGAGACCCATTCACTATCATGAGAACAGCATGGGAAAGACCAGCCCCCATGATTCAGTCATCTCCCACCAGGTCCCTCCCACAACAGGTGGGAAGTATGGCAGCTACAAGATGAGATTTGGGTAGGGACACAGAGCTAAACCATATCAAATGACTAAACTGCTTATTTCAAATGATAGAAAATAAAGGGTAAACATTTTCTAAAGCCACAGTCCAAATGAAGAACAGAGTATGATGAATGAAATTGCTCAATCATCTCCCTCTTGTCCAACTTCTTTTTAATATCCTTTCTATGCCTCCTTTTCCTTTCAATGCATATGTCTCCCTATTCCATTTTTTGGTACCCTATCTCATCCTTGGTCTGTTAACTTTCCCCAGTGTCTTTTGCCCTTTCCATTTTTCATCATAACCCAATGGCAATTTACAAACAATTACAGTATTTTTAAAAATGTGTATAGTATTCACTGAATGACTATTTTTCTAGTTCTTAATTATGTAATAGTTATCTCAAAAGGAAATATAAAATCACCTAACTAAATTATATTATTATTTACTTCTCTGTGTCTGATAATTCGGACAATTTATTTTTGCCTCAGGCCTACTATTGATATAATGTTTTAGGTTATATGCTTAACTATGGTTTATTTATTTATTTAGATACATGGTCTAACTCTGTCACTGAGACTGGAGTACACTGGTATGGTCATAGTTCACTGTAACTCTGAACTCCTGGAATCAAGTGATCCTCCTCCTGCCCCAGCCTTCTCAGTAGCTAGGACTAGACAAACACACCACCACACTCAGCTAATTTTGTTATTTTAAAAAACTTTTTTTTAGTACAAAAGGACATTAAATATCATATCCTTTTTAAAAAGATAACACACTTCATTAACTGTTATTAATTTGGAAAGACTCATTTTGAATTAGTGAAGAGCCTCGATTACATTTGCACGTGTATTTTTTTCATGAAGTTTTAAATATTTTTATCCTAAGAAGAGAAAATTGTAGGCCAACACTGTGTACTTAGTAGAGGTCTTTGGAGACCGAATGGACAGAAATGATAATGTGTATGACAGTTTGTAATAAAGTTTAAAAAATAAAAGTTTACTCACCAGAAACTTTCCTCAAATATTTATCAAGAGAAAAGTATTTGAAATGAAAGAAGTATGCTTCCCAGTGTAGACTTAATGTGCTGGGAAATTGGGAGGAAATCTAGGTAGTATGGAGTGTCTGAGTCCTCCAGCTGTCCTAGAGTGACCCCATATGGTCTTCAAGCGTAAGCAGAGTGTAGTTGCCCCATGGGTTCTTCCTGCCTGCTGCACAGACAAAACCAGTTCACTGAGATCATGGTATTGCAGCAAAGAAAGAGTTTAACTGATGCTAGACTAGCCACACAGAAGATGGAACTATTACTCAAATCAGTCTCCCTGAAGGCTTGGAGGTTAGGGTTTTTCAAGGATAGTTTGGTGAGCAGGGGACTAGGGAATGGGTAATACTAATTGGTTGCGGATGCATTCATAGGGGTGTGGAAAACAGTCCTGGTGGGCTGAGTTTGCTTCTGAGTGGGGGCCTTAGGACTGGTTGAGTCATGAGTCCCGAGTCTGGATGGGGTCAGTCAGTGGCCAGAATGCAAACGTCTGAAAGATATCTCAAAAAACCAATCTTAGGTTCTACAATAGTGATGTTATCTATAAGAGCAATTGGAGAAGTCAAAAATCTTGTGACTTTTGGCCATATGACTAGAGCTGGAAGGAATTGTAGAAACTATGCCTACATTTTAGCGAATTCAGACCTCTCTCCTAATCCTAATCTTGTGGCCTTTCATTAGTCTTACAAAAGGAGTTTCAGCCCCTGAACTTGGAGATGATCAGATTTAAGAAGGTACTATTCTCATCCTTGCTTCAAGGTTAAATTACAAACTCAATTCCTCCCATGGTTAGATTGATCTACATCCAGGAATGAGCAAAGACAGCCAGACTGTGAGGCTAGAAGCAATATGGAGCCAGCCATGTTAGACTTCTCTCACTTTCATAATCTTTGCAAAGGCAGTTTCAAGATCACAAGAAGTTACTTGCAGCAGGGATGTGAGGCTGATAGAGTTAAAGGTGTCTACCTCTATGGCATAAATGGGAGAACAAAAGACAAATCAGTAAAATAAAGCAATACCTACAAAAACAAGCCTATAAAGGATGCCAAGGCAGATATATATGTGAGAAGATAATAGAAAGACTCAATGTTCATCATGTGACCTGAATACCATGTTTTATGGCCCAGCAAACTATCTGTAATGCTCCATCTGTCCCAAAGGAGGAGAACCTCTGGATACTCCTTCAAACAGATTCCTTTTCCCTCAGTATTAAAAAATCTGGTTTTAAGGTGAATCTCATCTTGCATTTGAGCATTATTTTTATAAGAAAGAAATGCATTTTTCCACCAAACCTCCACCAATTCAGATAATTTCTGAGTTTAGATTTATGTTTCCACTATGAACAAAGACACTTCAATGAATGATCATTACAAAGGCAAAATTCAAAGGTTAACTAAATCACCAAATGAAGAAACTTGTCTCCTTGTTATTCTAAGAATTGCCATTTAGGCAAACAAAAACAATCTCAATCTACATACCTTATATATGCTCAATAAATATTGCTTAAGTTAAATTTGCTAAAATTCATAATGTATGTAAGATGCACACTGAGATGGAGAAAAACCCCATGATGAGTGCATTATTTCACATATAGCATGAGAACAACCCAGTTATATGCTAAAAGAGGCTCTCTGAATTTTCACAAACTTTGTTTTCTTTTGTGAGGATTTACAGTGTCATTTACAGTACATACAAGAGACCACTTTCCTAACCCACAACTTAGAGTGTACCTCAGGGCAATTGTCATTAGAAAGTCAAACACAGAGTAACCAGCAGGGGGTTATAACAAGTAAATCACAAATAATAGTAAGCTGCAAACTCAAAATGTCCAAAACTAAATTTGGCATGCCTTCCTCACCCCTTCTAAATTTGACCCTTGTACTAAGCCCGCCATTATAACTGGCCAGAGAACTCCAAGTCTCATAATGAGCTTCTTGATTTATACAGCATCAGTTAATCATGAAATCCCCTATTTCCTTAGTTTTATCTATTTCCATTTCCATGATTTATATCATTATCCTCTTGTATCTGGATGCTTCAGACAGATTCCTTTAATCCAGCCTCAACTTCGGTCAATCAAACCTATCTCCTGCTATTTAAAATCTTGACTTCATTGTGTCATTCCCTTACTTACAACCTTTAGTGGCTCTCTATTTCCGAGCACTTTGAGTCATTGTTCTCTGCATGGTTTCAGGAATCTTTATTCTAGCTATGTGTACATCTCTGTTGCATCTATCACTTCTCCTCAGCTTGGAATCCTCTATACTAGTAAGGCCAGTCACCAACTTTTTCTACAAATACATCACACTTCTCGTTTACACTGCATCTTATATCATCCTGTTTTCAGAAAATTTCAACCCTTTCCATCTCCATTTATCTCTCCTTCAAAGAAAAACTCAAGTCCTGCCTGCTTTCTTGATCCTTCTAGCTCTTACATATCCCCTATGGCCTCCCCTTTTGAGTTATTTACTGTAGTTGAACTTAGAGGGCTCTCTATAGCTTCAGATGTGCTCACTTTGTTTCTTCGAGTGAGCTGAAGTTTTTTGAAAGCCTTTCTCAATCACACCTTCCATCTCCAATTAAGTGTAGGCCCCAAAATTGTCTGCCTACACTGTACCTTGCACTTCTCCATCATGGCACTCACCATATTTGCAGTTGTTTGTGTTTCCCTGCTGGGCCATTAACTTTTTCATGGCAACAGTCTCAACCATCCAGTCGGTGCACCATTGTGTCCCAAAGGTCATTATGTCCTTCAGTGCATGTCACACATAAATTGCCTCAGAAACTTTTTTTTTTTAATACTTTAAGTTCTGGGATACATGTGCAGAACGCGCAGGTTTGTTACATGGGTATAAACGTGCCATGGTTTACTGCACCTATCAACCCATCACCTACATTAGGTGTTCCTCCTAATGCTGTCCCCTGCCTAGTTCCCCACACTCCAACAGGCCCCGGTGTGTGATGTTCCCTTCCCTGTGTCCATGTGTTCTCATTGTTCAACTTCTGCTTATGAGTGAGAACATGCAGTGTTTGGTTTTCTGTTCCTATGTTAGTTTGCTGAGAATGATGGTTTCTAGCTTTGCCCATGTTCCTGCAAAGGACATGACCTCACCACTTTTTATGGCTGCATAGTATTCCATGGTGTATATGTGCCACATTTTCTTTATCCAGTCTATCACTGATGGGCATTTGGGTTGGTTCCAAGTCTTTGCTATTGTGAACAGTGCTGGAATAAACATATGTGTGCATGTGTCTTTATAGTAGCATGATTTATAATCCTTTGGTTTATATACCCTGTAATGGAGTCGCTGGGTCAAATGGTATTTCTGGTTCTAGATCCTTAAGGAATGGCCACACTGTCTTTCACAATGGTTGAACTAATTTACACTCCTACCAACAGTGTAAAAGTGTTCCTATTTCTCCACATCCTCTCCCCAGCATCTGTTGTTTCCTGACTTTTTAATGATCGCCATTCTAACTGGTGTGAGACGGTATCTCATTGTGGTTTTGATTTGCATTTCTCTGATGAGTAGTGATGATGAGCTTTTTTTTTTCATATGTTTGTTGGCCACATAAATGTCTTCTTTTGAGAACTGTCTGTTCATATCCTTCACCCACTTTTTGATGGAGTTGTTTTTTTCTTGTAAATTTGTTTAAGTTCCTCGTAGATTCTTGATATTAGCCCTTTGTCAGATGGATAGATTGCAAAAATTTTCTCCCATTCTGTTCACTCTGATGGTAGTTTCTTTTGCTGTGCAGAAGCTCTTTAATAATTATATCCCACTTGTCAATTTTGGCTTTTGTTGCCATTGCTTTTGGTGTTTTAGTCATGAAGTCTGCCCATACCTAAGTCCTGAATGCTATTGCCTAGGTTTTTTTCTAGGGTTTTTATGGTTTTAGGTCTAACATTTAAGTCTTTAATCTATCTTGAGTTAATTTTTGTATAAGGTGTAAGGAAGGGGTCCGGTTTCAGTTTTCTGCATATGGCTAGCCTGCTTTCTCAACATCATTTATTAAACAGGGAATCCTTTCCCCATTGCTTGTTTTTGTCAGGTTTGTCGAAGATCAGATGGTTGTAGATGTGTGGCGTTATTTCTGAGGCCTCTGTTCTGTTCCATGGGTCTATATATCTGTTTTGGTACCAGTACCATGCTGTTTTGGTTACTGTAGCCTTGTAGTATAGTTTGCAGTCAGGTAGCATAATGCCTCCCAGTTCGTTCTTTTTGCTTAGGATTCTCTTGGCTATACAGGCTCTTTTTTGGTTCCATATGAAATTTAAAGTAGTTTTTTCTAATTCTGTGAAGAAAGTCAATGGTAGCTTGATGGGGATAGCATTTAATCTATATATTACTTTCACCTATTCATGAAATGGTATGTTTTTCCATTTGTTTGTGTCCTCTCTTATTTCCTTGAGCAGTGGTTTGTAGTTATCCTTGAAGAGGTCCTTCACATCCCCTGTAAGTTGGATTCTTAGATATTTTATTTTCTTTGTAGCAAGTGTGAATGGGAGTTCACTCATGATTTGGCTCTCTGTTTGTCTATTATTGGTGTATAGGAATGCTTGTGATTTTTGCACATTGATTTTGTATCCTGAGACTTTGCTAATGTTGTTTATCAACTTGAGGAGATATTGGGCTGAGATAATGGGGTTTTCTAAATATACAATCATGTCATCGGCAAACAGAGACAATTTGACTCCTGTCTTCCTATTTGATACCCTTTATTTCTTTCTCTTGCCTGGTTTCCCTGGCCAGAACTTCCAATACTATGTTGAATAGCAGTGGTAAGAGAGGGCATCCTTGTCTTGTGCTGGTTTTCAAAGGGAATGCTTCCAGCATTTGCCCATTCAGTATGATATTGGATGTGGGTTTGTCATAAATAGTTCTTATTATTTTGAGATAGTTTCCATCAATACCTAGTTTACTGTAAGTTTCTAGCATGAAGCACTGTTGAATTTTATCGAAGGCCTTTCTGCATCTACTGAGATAATCATGTGGTTTTTGTCATTGGTTCTGTTTATGTGATGGATTACATTTATTGATTTGCATATGTTGAACCAGCCTTGCATCCCCAGAATGAAGCTGAGTTAATCATGGTGGATAAGCTTTGTGATGTGCTGCTGGGTTCAGTTTGCCAATGTTTTATTTAGGAGTTTTGTATGTTCATCAGGGATATTGGCCTGAAATTTTCTTTTTTTGTTGCATCTCTGCTAGGTTTTGGTATCAGGATGATGCTGGCCTCATCAAATGAGTTAGGGAGGAGTCTCTTTTTTTTTCTATTGTTTATAATAGTTTCAGAAGAAATGGTACCAGCTCCTCTTTGTACCTCTGGTAGAATTTGACTGTGAATCCATCTGGTCCTGGGCTTTTTTTGGTTGGTAGGCTATTAACTACTGCCTCAATTTCAGCACTTGTCATTGGTCTATTCAGAGATTCGACTTCTTCATGGTTTAGTCTTGGGAGGGTGTACGTATCCAGGAATGTATCCATTTCTTCTAGATTTTCTAGTTTATTTAAATAGAGGTGTTTATGGTATTTTCTGATGGTAGTTTGTATTTCTGTGGGATCAGTGGTGATATCCCCTTTATCATTTTTTATTGTCTCTATTTGATTCTTCTCTCCTTTCTTCTTTAGTAGTCTGGCTAGCAGTCTATCTATTTTGCTGTTCTTTTAAAAAAAAAACCAGCTCTTGGATTCGTTGATTTTTCAAAGGGTTTCAGAGGGTTTTTCGTGTCTCTATCTTCTTCAGTTCTGCTAGCTTTTTAATTTGTTTGCTCTTGCTTCTCTAGTTCCTTTAATTGTGGTGTTAGGTTGTCGATTTTAGATCTTTCCTGCTTTCTCCTGTGGGCATTTAGTGCTATAAATTTCTCTCTAAACACTGCTTTAGTTGTGTCCCAGAGATTCTAAACAAAGATCTGAACAATGATCATTACAAAGAAGACAAAATTCAAAGGTTAACTAAATCACCAAATGATTCTGAACAAAGTTTGTCTTTGTTCTCATTGGTTTCTGAGAACTTATTTATTTCTGCTTTAATTTCGTTATTTACCCAGTAGTCATTCAGGAACAGGTTGTTCAGTTTCCATGTAGTGGTGCGGTTTTGAGTGAATTTCTTAATCCTGAGTTCTAATTTGATTGTGTTGTGGTCTTAGAGACTGTTTGTTATAACTTCTGTTCTTTTGCATTTGCTGAGGAGTGTTTTACTTCCAGCTATGTGTTCAATTTTAGAATAAGTGTGATGTGTTGCTGAGAAGAATGTATATTCTGCTAATTTGCAGGGGAGAGTTCTGTAGATGTCTATTAGGTCTGGTTGGTCCAGAGGTGGGTTCGAATCCTGAATATCCTTGTTAATTTTCTGTCTTGTTGATCTGTCTAATATTGACAGTGGGGTGTTAAAGTCTTTCACTATTATTGTGTGGGAGTCTAAGTCTCTTTGTAAGTCTCTAAGAATTTGCTTTATGAATCTGGGTGCTCCTGTATTGGGTGCATATATATTTAGGATAGTTAGCTCTTCTTGTTGCATTGATTCCTTTATCATTATGGAATGCCCTTCTTTCTCTCTTTTGATCTTTGTTGGTTTAAAATCTGTTTTATCAGACTATGATTGCAACCTCTGCTCTTTTTTGCTTTCCATTTGCTTAGCAAATATTCCTCCATCCCTTTATTTTAAGCCTATGTGTGTCATTGCACATGAGATTGGTCTCCTGAAAGCAGCACACCGATGGGTCTTGACTCTTTATCCAATTTGCCAGTCTGTCTTTTAACTGGAGCATTTAGCCCATTTACATTTAAGATTAGTATTGTTATGTGTAAATTTGATCCTGTCATTATGATGTTAGCTGGTTATTTTGCCCATTAGTTGATGTAGTCTCTTCATCATGTTGGTAGTCTTTACAATTTGGTATGTTTTTGCATTGGCTGGTACCAGTTGTTCCTTTCCATGTTTAGTGCTTCCTTCAGGAGCTCTTGTAAGGCAGGCCTGGTGGTGACAAAATCTCTCAGCATTTGCTTGTCTGTAAAGGATTTTATTTTTCCTTCACGTACGAAGCTTAGTTTGGCTGGATATGAAATTCTGGGTTGAAAATTCTTTTCTTTAAGAATGTTGAATATTGGCCTCCACTCTTTTCTGGCTTGTAGAGTTTATGCAGAGAGATCTGCTGTTAGTCTCATGGGCTTCCCCTTTGTGAGTAACCCAACTTTTCTCTCTGGCTGCCCTTAACATTTTTTCCTTCATTTCAACCTTGGTGAGTCTGATGATTATGTCTTGGGTTTGCTCTTCTTGAGGAGTATCTTTGTGGTGTTCTCTGTGTTTCCTGAATTTGAATGTTGGCCTGTCTTTCTAGGTTGGGGAAGATTTCCTGGATAACATCTTGAAGAGTGTTTTACAACTTGCTTCCATTCTCCCCGTTACTTTCAGGTACACCAATAAAACCTAGGTTTGGTCTTTTCACATAGTCCCATATTTCTTGGAGGCTTGGTTTTTTTCCTTTTCATTCTTTTTTCTTTAATCTTGTTTTCATGCTTTATTTCATTAATTTGATCTTTACTCTCTGATATCCTTTCTTCTGCTTGATCAATTCAGCTATTGATACTTGTGTATGCTTCACAAAGTTCTCATGCTGTGTTTTTCAGTTCCATTAGGTCATTTATGTTCTTCTTTAAACTGGTTATTCTAGTTAGCAATTCCTCTATCCTTTTTTCGAGGTTCTTCGCTTCCTTGCATTGGGTTAGAACATGCTCCTTTAGCTTGGAGGGAGTTTCTTATTACCCACCTTCTGAAGCCTACTTCTGTCAATTTGTCAAACTCATTCTCCGTCCAGTTTTGTTCCCTTGCTGGTGAGGAATTGTTGTCCTTTGGAGGAGAAGAGGCGTTCTGGTTTTTGGAATTTTCAGCCTTTTTGCGCTGGTTTTTCCTTATCTTCATATATTTATCTACCTTTGGTCTTTGATGTTGGTGACCTTCGGATGGGGTTTCTGTGCGGATATCCTTTTTGTTGATGTTGATGCAATTCCTGTTTGTCAGTTTTCCTTCTAACAGTCAGGACCCTCTGCTGCAGGTCTGTTGGAATTTGCTGGAGGTCCACTCCAGACCCTGTTTGCCTGCTTATCACCAGCAGAGGCTGCAGAATAGCAAAGATTGCTGCCTGTTCCTTCCTCTGGCAGCTTCGTTCCAGAGGGGCACTTGCCAGATGCCAGTTGGAGCTCTCCTGTATGAGGTGTCTGTCAACCCCTGCTGGGAGGTGTCTCCTAGTCAGAAGGCAAGGGGGTCAGGGACCCACTTGAGGAGGCAATCTGTCCCTTTGCAGAGCTCGAGTGCTCTGCTGGGATATCTGCTGCTTTCTTCACAGCTGGCAGGCAGGAAACTTCAAGTCTGCTGAATCTATACCCACAGTTGCCCCTTCCCCAAGGTGCTCTGTTCCAGGGAGATGGGTGTTTTATCTCTAAGGCCCTGACTGGGGCTGCTGCCTTTCTTTTAGAGATGCCCTGCCCAGAGAGGAGGAATCTAGAGAGGCAGTCTGGCTATAGAAGCTTTTCTGAGCTGCAATGGGCTCCGACCAGTTCAAACTTCCCGGCAACTTTTTTTTACACTGTGAGGGGAAAACAGCCTACTCAAGCCTCAGTAATGGCAGATGCCCCTCCCCACACCAGGCTCGAGCATCCCAGGTTGACTTCAGACTGCTGTGCTGGCAGTGAGAATTTGAAGCTAGTGGATCTTAGCTTGCTGGGCTCCATAGGGGTGGGATCTGCTGAGCTAGACCACTAGCCCCCTTTCTAGGGGAGTGAATGGCTCTGTCTTGCTGGCATTCCAGGTGCCACTGGGGTATGAAAAAAAAAACTCCTGCAGCTAGCTCAGTGTCTGCCCAAACGGCCGCCCAGTTTTGTGCTTGAAACCCACAGCTCTGGTGGTGTAGGCACCCAAAAGAATCTCCTGGTCTGTGGGTTGCAAAGACAGTGGGAAAAGTGTAGTATCTGGGCCAGAATGCACCGTTGCTCATGGCACAATCACTCACAGCTTCCCTTGGCTAGGGGAGGAAGTTCTCTGACCCCTTGTGCTTCTCAGGTGAGGCGATGCCCCACCCTGCTTCAGCTTGCCCTCTGTGGGCTGCACCCACTGTCTAACCAGTCCCTATGAGATAAGCCAGATACTGCAGTTGGAAATGCAGAAATCACCCACCTTCTGCATTGATCTCACTGGGAGCTGCAGATCGGAACTGTTCCTATTCAGCACCTTGCCAGGCACCCAGAAACATCTTTTGACTTATTGTTAATCTGAAGGCAAGGATCATGTCTTGAGGTTTTTTGTTTTTTTTTTTTTTGCATTCCTCAGAAACAGTTGTTAATGTATAAATTAAACATTATAAGAACTTATGTTCAAACATGGAAAAATTATTCATAACAATTGGGTTTATTCTTCAGGGAACTGGGATGGGGCAGCGTTTAAACCCACTTTAAGAAGGAAGTTGTAAGCATTAATTTAAAAAGCATCTCCTCAGTAAACCACAATGGAAAACAAGCCAACAAATCCTGAGGAGCCTTGACTCACTTGAGGTGTGGCCTGAGCCTGCCCAACCCTGGAAGGGTGAAGGCAGATACTGATAATCCCTCCCTCCCGTAGTTACCAGTAAAGAACATATTCTCCTGATCCTAGCTGAGCACACTGTCTTAGGGGAAGGGTGGAGGCAGGCTATGAACACTGAGATGAGGACTTAGGCCGTCTAGCATTCATGACTCTGAAGTAACCACGAGCCTTTCTGGGCCTGGAATCCATCACTTGAAATACCAGCACAAGGAGCAGCAGTGCCTCATTTGTGGCTGGAATCCTTCAGGCATCCCCCAGTCCTGGGCAGTCATCCTAATAAAGCAGCATGGTCACAGGATGAGCCAGCCTGAATCTGCAGCTTCTTCGTGCAAAACCTGAGTTTCTGTGTCTCTTTAATTAAAACGATTTGCAGCTCTTCATTCCTTTCACAGTTTTTTTTTTCCTGGACTCAAGCAATCCTCTCACCTCAGGAGGCCCCCCAAATAGCTGCGACTACAGGCGTGTGCCACGATGCCCGGCTAATTTTTTGTAGAGATGTGGTTCTACCAGGTTGCCCAAGATGGTCTCAAACTCCTGAGCTCAAGCAATCTGCCCGCCTTGGCCTCCAAAAGTGCTGGGATTACAGGTGTGATCCACAGTGCCTGATCTCTCTCTCTCTCTCTCTCTCTCTTTTTTTTAACCCAAATCTCATCCTAGGGTTCCTGGTTATAACTGTCTGCTTTAAACTCTGTGTGTGTGTGTGTGTGTGTGTGTGCGTGTGTGTGTGTGTGTGTGTGTGTGTGTGTAGTGGGGAGGGAAGTGGAGAGGCTACAACTTCTCGAGAACTTTCTACACATTCGTCACTCCTTTCATTCTCCTCGTGCTTTCTAAATTCCTGAGCACAAGTTCTTAATATGGAGGTAATGGCTAGACTTGCAGATCTTTGGATATCTGTGTGTGGAACTATCAAAAATTTTATAGAAAAGCTGTCTACATCTTTCACTGGATTCTTAAAGAACCAATGACCCCAAAAGAATAGGAATTACTACCCTATAGGTTTATATGCTATCTTCAGGCTCCATCCCTTGCTAGCCTTCTTTTCTTGATGATCAAAGTATTCAATCTTAGCAACTAACCTATACGTTGGTATCATATACAATAGGATCACTCATTCATTGGTTCAACAAATAAAGAGTGCTACCACGTGCTAGGCATTATTCTTGGTAATGGAGAGACAAAATGGATACAGATACTTTATTTACAGAATATGTACTCTGTGCAAAGCACTTGCCTAAGTGATTATCTCTTTTAATCTTAAAAACAAACTTATAAAATAGGTACTATTATTATACTAATTTTATAGATGAGAAAATTGAGGCAGGAACTAAATCCAAGTTCTCACAGTTCATAAGTAATGGCTCCAGGAGCTGGAAGCATCTCTTTAAGTGACCTCTGCAAATTGTTTGAGGGATACAAGGTTAAGTCTGAAGTCCAACAAGCCTGACAGTCGCGTTCCACGAGAATAATCAACTATTTACTCAGAAGACCAGTCACCTTCCTTTTCTACACATACATCGTGCTGCTTCTTTTTCTTAGACAATTTTGCTTCCAGGTGAAATGTGGGATTTGGGAATAGAGAGCCTCATTTAGACGTCTCAGCGGGCGGATCACGAGGTCAGGAGATCGAGACCATCCTGGCTAACACGGTGAAACCCCGTCTCTATTAAGAATACAAAAAATTAGCCAGGCGTGATGGCGGGCGCCTGTAGTCCCAGCTACTCGAGAGGCTGAGGCAGGAGAATGGCGTGAACCAGGGAGGCGGAGCTTGCAGTGAGCCGAGATCGCGCCACTGCACTCTAGCCTGGGCGACAGAGAGAGACTCCGTCTCAAAAAAAAAAAAAAAAAAACAAAGTCTCAGTGTCCTGTATATGAATTGTGGACATGCCATCTTTAGCCACTTTTTCACCCTACCCTCACAGTCATGGATTCTCCGATCACTTATCAACTCCCTTATTTTTCCACCTCCTCACATACGTTTCATTATTACTTATAGGAGGATAACAAGTCCTGCCAGCATACAGCTGTATTTTTAGCCAGGCTCCATTGAAGACGCAACACAAAGCCAGACTGTATTAGTCATAACATCCGAGCAATACTGCAAACTCCCTTTTCATTCAGTTTAATCAAATGTATTTACATATATTTACAATTGTCTCTGCTCACCCAAAAATGATCTCTTCTGGGCTTAGTCACCAAGACATTTGGTTGAATGTCTGTATATTCAAATCAGCTTTAACTCTTACTTTCCTCTAACCACCTATAATGGAATTTCTTCCTTTTCCCTTTCCCTTTCTTCTTTCCCCTCCTTCTTCTCCATTTTGTCACAGACATCTCCCATTTGTTTGCTTCTTCCTGCTGTTTTCAGAGGTTCAAGCTTTTGTATATTTGTTTATTGGTTAGATTTCTTTAGGTCTATAAAAATATTTAAAAATAAGTGCCATTTTCTTTGACATCTGTTTACCAAAAGTCATCTGAGAAGTCTGGAGATTTGAAAATTAAACAGAGAGTTAGAATCTAGAAATGGGCTGCCCAATATGGTAGCCACCAGTCTCCCTGGGCTATTAAGGACTTAAAATGTGAATAGTGCCACACGTGATATGATAATATTTTTATATGTTGGGTTACATTAAAATTAATTTTATCCATTTCTTTTTCGTTTTCAATATGGCAACCAAAACCATATACAATTATATATGTGGTTCACATTATATTTCTATTGAACAGCATTGGTCTACACAGAGCAAGTTCCTTTTTATCCAATACACAGCATAGCAAAAGAATGCCAATCTGATAAGAATGCTGAAGCTGGATTATTTGCCCAGTGTTGATCTTCTCTTAAAACTGACACATATTTCAATATTGATCTCATGAAACAGAACCAGTGATAAAGAACCAATTCCAGACTGCTGAAAGGAGTTTTCAATTATTTATGAATTATGACCACATCACAAATCCACATTGGAAACCATGAGTGTTCACAGAGCTAATGAACCCTTGATGCTCTTTCCATGAACATATATTGGTAAAATACAAATCCACAAGCAAATTCTCATGTACCGTTTCCTTGTGTTCTGGAAAAATTGAGTCCTTTGATTTTTTTCACTCATAGACAACTGTACATGAGCTTGAACACATCAGATTCAAATAGGTCTAATCTGATGCTGATGTGGTATATTATTCACACACCATATGCGCATACACACACAGACATTACGCACATACCACATGTACACAACACCACATTAACCCGGAAAATTGGGCATTCCTGACTAACCAACAGACATTAATGGATTCCCTATTGTTTAGCCTGCCCTAGGCATGATGGCCTGTTATGATGGCCTTTGCTTTAAAGGAGCACCTAAATTGCACATGGACTTTATATTTCATTAATGTCCAAATGAAGCATACCCTCTGCCCCCTCCCTACCCCTTATCTGTACATCTGTATGCTGCCTTGGCTCCCCTAGTGCCTCAGCTTGGAGAAAGAAGGACAAACCAATGGCCATTGAACAAACAAAAGAGGCTTTGGAAATTATAGTCTTGGCTTCAGCCGTGGCACCACAGGTGGCAGCAAACTCATCTTGGACTAACATTCCAGGAGCCATTAAAGACTAGTGTTCAAGAGCACCAGCTCACATGTCAGATACTCTGGTTTGAATGCTGGTTCCAGTTTTTACTAGCTGGGTGGTCCTAAGCATGTTATTTACCTAATCTCATATCTTGTTTCTTTCTTTGTAAGATGAGGATACTTATAATTCTTATCTTTTACACTTATTATTAGGATTAAATGAGATAGTGCCTATTAACTCTTTTGTTTAGCACAGGCGAATTTAAGAAAACAACAGAAATTCAGCTACATCATTGTTCTGCCCAGCTGCTGCTTCACCATGAGGCCCTCATCACCAAGTAATCATCTTAGATTTCACATTGCAGGGGCTGCCATTGGAAAAGTTTTCCTTTGCCTATGAAGTTTGTGGCCCTTTACCTTTTAACTTTCTTTTCCCTCTCCTTTTAAAAAATCAATATGACTTATATAATTAATTTATGGCTAGGTAATTCTCTCAAGGACATTCTTAATTAAAAATTAATAGCTTACTTATTTTACTTGGTTTGAGCATTGATTTGAATATTATGAAGATTTCTCTTTGAAAGCACAAATATAGTGTACCTATAACATTCTCAAAAAACAAGACCAAATACTACATGGCTCCTTGTGACTATATGTGCATATGCAATAAACAGTGTATAAACACACTAGGATACTCACCAGCATTATACAATATTATGGTTTGGTTTTCAGTTCAGGTATATTTTCAATTACAACAAGGATTAAGTATTTTAAGATATCCAGAATAGCCAGGCGAGGTGGCTCACACCTGTAATCCCAGCACTTTGGGAGGCCGAGGCTGGTGGATCACCTGAGGTCAGGAGTTCAAGACAAGCCTGACCAACATAAAGAAACCCCGTCTCTACTAAAAATACAAAAATTAGCTGGGCGTGGTGGCGCATGCCTGTAATCCCAGCTACTAGGCAGGAGAATTGCTTGAACCCAGGAGGCAAAGGCTGCAGAGAGCCGAGACTGCACCATTGCACTCCAGACTGGGCAACAAGAGTGAAACTCTGTCTTAACCACAACGACAACAAACCGATATCCAGAATATCCTCCCCTCTGCCTCTGATCTATCACTCAATTTCTTCTTGCCTCCTTTAGATGATAGGGTCAATTATTAGAATGCCTTTGTAGTAAGTGAAACAGTAAAAATGTACCAGTTAGTAGTCCTTTTTTAAAACCAGAATTTACCAGATTCATCTGCTCTACAGCTACATTAGGATTTTTCAATCCAATGGTTGTCTTAAGGGAACTTATGTGAATGTATTTTACACTATAAATATTTTAGCATGCACACACACACATGTACACACTTAACATGAGCAGCCATATTTATCCAATACTAACTTTATATGGATTACTTCCTTGCTGGATTCTTCGTTACCTTTTTCAGCAACAGAAGTTATCTTGTCTAAAAATGTTTGGAACAAAACTGTATGCTATCTGATGTTTTTTTTCCCAGTTGAATATTTTGCAGCCAGTATATTCTTTTTCACTCTAAGTGTGGTGAACAGAAAGATGACTCTAGAATCATTCTAAATTTAGTGGGACAATCAACTCTCTGACAGATGTTTCTACACAATCTTTCAGCTAACCAGTGTAACCCACTGAGACCTCATTAGACTGTTGTCACTAAATGCCATATGGTTGTGTTGGGTGGTTTTCAAATGAACCAGTAGTATCTAAACATCAAATTTAGTTCTCTTCCAACAACATTATGTCATAAGAGGGCTTATAATAGTTTTGACAGTTACTACAACCAGTAGGGAACTGTTCAAAACTCTTTAGAATCTCCCCACCCCGCAGGCTTTCCATGCTCGGGGGGTGAATTAGGAGCCTCCGCTGTTTCCTAGGGCACTTGGATGCAGAATATTTTGAAGAAGGAGAGTGAAACTTGAGGAGGGAAACCCTTGACATTTGAAAAACAAGCAGCTTAATCTGTCAAGATGACATTTCTCCATTGCTCCTTTCAGTCATTGTTTCTCTATAATGTTGGAAATGTCAGGAAGGGGCCAAGAACCTGGATTGTATAGTGAGGAGGTTGTCACAGAAAGAGGGGGCTGCCATGGTGTCAGCAGCAGAGACCTAATTTTTGCCATTTCCTAGTGCTGATTTCAAGTGTCTGTTTTAGAGGCTATCTAGCAAAAGAGTGTGATATAGTAGCCTCCAAAGTGAACTATCAAACAGGTAGTCTTCAAGCCTGAGAATGAAAAAAGAACACTGTACATTTTGGAATGAAAGACAGGATATAACCTAGCTACATAGAGTATATCTGGTGGCAAAGACTATTCAACAGGCTCAACAGAGAGAGGCAGATTTTCGTGCTGCAGGCAAGAGGTGCATACTAACCCCTGGCTCCATTTGGTGAGCAGCAGGCTGGCATTCAGCTCAAGGAGATGGAAAAAACAACTGCAGAGGGTATCAGGGTGAGTAATTGCCAGATTACTGAATCAGTCAGATGTGACCCGGTTCTCTTGCCAGCCAGTGTCACACTACCCAAAAGAGCACAGAAACCCAGGAGGAAAAACAGCGAACCTGAGCTAGGAAGATTCCAACAGCATCACATGAAGAAAAGGGGAGAAGAGAGCCAAATAACAAAGTGATGATAATGGCATCCCATAGCAGATACCCACTTGCAGAGAAATCAGAAAATAATTAAATAAAAATACATGCTGAGAGTATACAAATGACAAATTACCTGTAATAACAAAGCTAAGCCAACGGACTCTTCAATTGTTCAACCCCCACCAAGTCACTCACCAGGTCAAATCTCTTTTCTGCTTGGTTCCAGGACCAGCCACTTACTTGGGTAGCTTTTAGGATTCAGAGATACAAACTTTTTCCTCTCTTAGCTCCCTTTGCCTGGTTTGATTTCAGTTCATTTTTACATCTTTCATTTTTGTTCTTTGAGATGTTTTTTTGGGACACCAACCTAGTTTTTCTAATTAGACTTCGCATGTGGCTTGTTATTTCTCCTTAGAATTTGCACCCTCGATTTTAACTTCAGTGTGGCCTTTGAGATCCAGGGCACACTCCTGCCTCCTTTTTCTAGAGGACCTGAGTCTGGGTTGGGCTGTCTTGCCTGTGCACTGCACCATTATTCATTCTGCCTTGCTGACTTGCCCGGGCCCACTAATGCTCCCCACGGAAGTTATACTCACTTGGGTCACTTCCCTTGATAATCTATGTCATTCCCATTAACCTAATGGAAGTTCCCAGAGGCATACCCTGGAAACAGGTTACAGGTGCAAGTGGTTTATTTGAGAGGTATTATCAGGAAAAATTAAAGGGAGATGACAGCAATGGGAGGTAATAGAGGAAGCCACCAAGCAAATTACCACTCCAGGCAACTGGAGCTGGATATTACTAGGGAAATCTGGGAAACTGTATGGAACATACATCACAGTGTCATCCCACCCAAAGGAGCTGGATATTTATGCATCAGTTCCTCTCTGACTTTGCTTGAAGGCTGTTCCTAAGGATGATTATTCTCCAGCACTCTAGTTTGCCTCACATATAGGTTGAACAGACTCTGATGGGCAAAAGAAGTCTTCAAGAAAAGAGTTGCAGGGACAGCCAGCTGAAAGTTGGTTTTCTCCATGGTAAGTGCTAAGGAGAATGGTATCTACCTGTCCCCAACCCTGGGCCCCACCCACCATATACTTCTTTCCCCCGGAATGGATCAAATCTTATACTTCAGCCATACAAGCTCTATTTCCAGCTTTGACTTTGATTTGAACTCCAGTTGCACACTCATACTACTCATACATGTTCATGTTCTTGATTTTGTACTAAGTGCTAAGGATTCCAAGATGAATGAGACATGTGTCCTCCTTCAGGAAGTAAGCTATTTAGAGTTTAAAATGATCTCCTCCCCTTTTCTACCTGCCAAAAGAAACCCACTTCGATATTTCCTTTTTGCATAGTGTCCTCATTTCCCTAAGACACTCAGGTTCACTACTATACTCTCAATATATATTCGTTGACACCATTATCTTCAAGTGATCTCTCTTTCCAGTCTACCAATAAGCACCTTCTTTCTTAATGTTTCTACCTTTGTTTTTTCCTTTCCATCCCACTGCCATCATCCAGGCAGGCTTTCCATTATGTCCATGATGTCAGTTTTGGTTTTTTTTTTAATAGCCTCAGTTATAACAATTCTACATCCCCACATCTTAAACCCCTACCCCAAAATGAAATTTATCCTCCACACCATGATAATATGATGAATCTTTCTAAAACATGTCATTTTTCTGCTGAGATGCCTTTCAGTTCCTTGATGTTTTATGAAGACTCAAGACCCTCCCCATTTTTCTCAACCCTACCTCTGCAACCTTCTGTTCAAGCCAGATAATCTACACCATGTCACCTGAACAAAACATTTTCAGTGAGTCTCCATACTCACCACTCACACTTTTCCAATTTGTATAACCTTCTTCTCTTTCCTGTCCCAAATCCTATCCTGACTTTTAAGACAGAGTTCAGGTCCTATCTTCCGTGAAAGATTCTGACCACGTGACCCATGCTAATCTTTCTTAACAGAACCTGTCATTGCTTGTACTAATCACTTGACATTTTGTCATTCTCTGCAATTTGTGACATTATTTGTATCTAATTTATTATATCTGTTTTAGTAATCATAACAGCAGTTATCAAACACATGCCAAGATCCTTTAAAAATTTATCTTTTAATATTCCATAACAATACAATGAGATAACTATTATTTTCCCTATTTTAAAATGAAGAAACTGAACATCAGAAAGCATAAGGAGTTAATCCAAGAAAAAACATAACTTTTCAGAATTAGAATTTGAAGCCAGATCTGCCTGACTCTTAACAGCTATTGTATCTTTCCAATAAAATTATAAATTCATTAAGAATAAGATCAATCTTATTTCTTCTTTATAGAAAATGCTTTATATACAGTAGGAGTTTAGTCAAGTCATATATTTAGATTTGGGGAAAAATTTTTAAATAACTTTGAAAATCACTGGAAGGGAATTAGCTGCAGTTTGTTTTATTTTGCTTACTTAGTTCCAGAAAAAGCTAATAACTAAAAAATTGGCTCTGCCTATGTTTGGTGAATCCAATAGTCTTTAAATTTTGTGAAATCGTGGACACTGTGTACTTGTCCATCAGTGTATTTCTGTGCCTGCTACAAAAATTATGTGTGAGTCCAAATGCCCATATAAGGGTAGGCTTATATTAAAATTTTTTAGAATATGAGCCACGCCATAAAGATATGATATGGTTTCAAAAGGATTATAAATAAATACTCATAGAGCTGAACAACTCAAACCAGAGAAAACAGGATGTTCTTTTTGCCCTGAGGGTTTGGCTTGGCCTGGGCTGGTGCTTTAGCAAAAGATGTCCGTGGTTACTTACTCCCAACATGTAACATTTGTGAGCAGAAAAACTCACTCTGCCTTACTTTGGGTGAAATAATCTATCATTCATTGCTCATTCCCTAGTGATAGCCGTATCAAACAGCCTTTTCCTTGTTAATTTGCCTTCAAATCAATACCTGAACTGATGATACAAATAGGCCCATCACTGGACAATGTATGCCTCTTTATGTCAGAACTTCTTAAACTCTCATCCCTGGGTGATCTTCAAGGTCCTGTGAACTCTTTAAAATTGTCTTCAAAATGTTAGATGCATTTGCATTTTGTTTTCTGAGGAGAAGCTTTTATGACTTCAAAAGATTCTCAAAAAGTCCCACGACCCTGAAACAGGTTGAGCATTATTACTCAATGTAAAATAGTGAATTATTATCTGGCTTATTACTTACTTATTAGATGGAAGCTGTAATTTGTAAATACTTTTCATGTCTCACGTCCCTGGCACATTCCTGGTACAGGATAGTGAGAGATGCCAAAACTTGCAAATACATTTCTTGAATGTCTAATTAATAATATGATCATTTTGGGGTTTAGTCTCCTTCAGATTAGCTGGTAATTACATTTCTGATCTGTAAGGCAGAAACTTGTTGTTCTTGTCCAGCAATAACTAAGCCCACGATCTGATCACCACTATCCCTAATTCACAAAACTTGAGACATCTCATGTGTTATGAATCTCTGTTCCAGGGGTGTGAGCACATTGCCAAACCACAGTGCTGGTTTCCTAAATACAGCTGTCCTTCACATACCATTGACTATCCAGTCTCATAAAGTCACCTGTGGATCAAGAGCATCCAAAGGCAAGTGACTACGTGGGTTTAGAAGGAAGGGCTGTGTCAAGACCTACAGGGAGACCAACTGACCCACATGAAACTGAATTTATAGGTTTAGCCCACTACTATTATGTGTTAGCCCAGACATTTAGATAACTGTGGTCTTTGATGTTCCTGTAGGCTTGCAAGATTTCTGCAGGGGATTTCACAAGCAGAGTTATACATTTGGCCTTTGGTAAAATTCCTAATTTTTAAAAATTAGATCTGAAGGACATAATTCCTTTTTTTCTCTATTGCTGAATTATACTTTCATCATTACTCACTTACTCATTACTGCATTTGTTCAAGTGTAATAACTACATTACAGTACAGACATTGCCAGTGTTACCACCTATAGGCCAGAAATGTATTTCTTTTGTTTATCTATGATAAGGATAGGATTAGAAAGAAAGATTTCTATCTCAATTTCAACAACCTCCCATCTCCAAGTTTACCACTTTAATATCCAAATCTTAATTTTGTATTATTCTCTTCTTCCTTGTTAATTTTTCCTCCTTTCTTTAGAATGCCTAAACAAAAAATCTTAATTATAAACTAATGTAAAATAATTTTACTTTATTATTATCTTCCTTAGGCATGTCATCATTATTTTGTCATTTGATTAAAGTATACGGATTTTTAAACATAAATATTTTCATGCTACAAAATAATAAAAACAAAAGAACTGACTTGTTGCAGATAATCTTTTATCATGAAGTAATCTCTCATTTTATCATGAAAAAAATCTCTTATTTCAGTATGTTCTATCATAAATATTGGACAAAATAAATAATTTGAACATGTAAGGAGGTACTTTTGTACCAATGACACAAAAGGATATTAGCAAAGAAGTCTTAACTGGGTTTATGCTTAAATAACTCATTCCTTTGAAAAACCTGTTGAATTGAGAAAAACAAGAATTTTGTGGCCTGTCTTCAAAAATATTCAAGATTCCAAATCAGTTCACCTTGTACCCTCTGGTGGGTTAAAAACTAGATAAACACATGCTAATTAATGTTTTCCTGTTGATTTAAAAAAAATTTTTTAGATCTGTCTAAAACTATCACTGGTGTAAAAACTAAAATTCTGAAATGTCCTCATTACTAAAAAAAATGAAAATCTTTAAAAATATTTACCAAGTTAAAGAAACTGACTATTAAAAGAACTCATTTTCTGTTTCTTAAACAGTCTCTCTAGAAGAATTTTTGCCCACATACTAGTTAAGCCTTTCAATCTCCCATGGAGGAAAAATTCCAGGAAGAATGACCAATGTGTGTTGGAGCAAAGCTGACTGGCTATAAATCTTAGCTGGAGGCCGAGTGGTATAGCAGAAAAACATGGCTTTGTAGCTATTAGGCGCGATCTAATCCCCAGTTTCACCACCTAGTAGTTATGTAACCTTAGAGAAATTACTTATCCTCTCTAAACCTCAATTTTTCAACAGAACAAGCTGAACAGTAAAATTAATGTCTCAGATTTTTAATGGTTAAAGACAATACATCTAAATCGTTTAATACAGTGCGAAGCTATGTTATAGGCTGAACTGTATCCACCTCCCTACCCCCTCCCAATTCATATGATGAAGTTCTAACCCTTAGTGACTCAGAATGTGACTGGATTTAGAGATGGGGCCTTCAAAGAGGTCATTAAAGTAAAATGAGGTCATATTGTATGGCCCTGATCCAATCAGGTGTCCTTATAAGAAGAGATTAGGACACAGACATGCATGCCCACGGAGAGGAGACCATGTGAAGACACAGTCAGGATGAGACCAGCTACAGACCACAGAGGGAGGCCTTGGAAGAAGTCAATCCTGCCGACACATTGATCCAGGACTTCTTGCCTCCAGAGCGGTGAGAAAACACCTTTCTGCTGTTTAAGCCACCCAGTCTGTGATATTTTGTTATGGCAGCCCTGGCAAACCAATACAGGCTTGCAACAGACCTTGATAGATGAAGGTTATTATTGTTACTTTTTCCATTGAGACACCCAGATATAAATGTGTAAGCTGGGTAAAAAGGGCTGGCTTGTAGTTGATGGTGACTAACCATCCACTGAATAAATTGAAGAGCATAACAAAGGATGAATCCTTAAATATCCCCAGCCAGCATGCCACAGCGCTAGAAATTCCCAGCTCATTTATGTCAAAGCACTGATAGGTCCTTTTAAGATTCATATTAAGCCATTATCCTCCATTAAAGTCTTTAGAGAAATAATTTAGAAGATTATAGGTCATCTTAGAGACCAGGATCTTGAGAGCATAATATCCAGAGCAAATAAGGTCCAAAGGGCTAAGGGAGAAGGAGACCACTAGGATACAGGGCACTGTGGGTGAAGAAACTCCCCCAGAGAGTTGACAAAGATATAACAAAGAGATGTGCCTATGTGTGGCCCCTGAGTCCAAGGAAGGCAGGCACTCAGACAGAGTGAAGGTGCTGATAAACTGCCACTGAAGACAAGTTTTCTTAAATGATAGATTTGTTTCCGGCCTATAGATGAGATTTGTTTATCCCCAGGAGACACCATCTGTGTGTATGTATGTGTGTTTGTTCTCACACAAATTCACCCTGCAAAATCAGAATGGCCACATAGGATTCTGAATTCAAATTCAGACATTGAAGGTCAAAGGATGTCTCAGCTTGGTTACAATTAAGACACTCATGAAGAGAAGAGGATGAGTTTATAGAAGGTTAAAAAGAGAACCGAAGAAGGGAATGAGGAAATAAATTGAAAATATGAAGAAGGCATAATAGGTACTACCCACAAGATACTAGAGACAAAGGAAATCTTAAAGTCAGAAAAAATCAGACTGAGAAAACTCAAAATATCTTTTAAAAACCTGTTATTACAATTCTTTCTTTCCAATGTTTCAGCCAATTCCTTGTCAGTGCAAATCAGCTAAGTGAGGACTAATTAATGGCCTTCTCTTAATAACTCTTCATGAACTTTCATCATCCTTTGACTTAGAGGAGGCTAAAACTAAGTGAACTAAAGAAGAAAAATAAATTAAAGCAAGTGAATCAAATCCCACTAAAAGCAGACAACATTTACTTCACTGCAAGTCAACACTGATGCCAAACCAGTTAGTCAGATTGGTTGGGCTGTCAAGAAATACGCAAATCTGAAATTTTAAGTGGAAGAAAACTTCCAGACCTCAATTTCCTCACTGACAAAATTATAGAGTTGAACTAGATGACTCTAATTTTCATTTCAGCCATATTATTTTTGTGATTTTGTAATACAATAACTTTCTTTAAATTTTTCTGCTTATCAGATATTAGCAAAGGTTGCAATGGCCTATTAAGGATAAAAGGAAATGACTTGAAGCTTATAATTCTAAAGGTTCTATTATCAAAAACATGAATGCTAAATCAGATAATTTTCCAAATGTTAAGTTCAATGTTCTCCATTTGGCTTTTATTTTTCATATGACCAGCCCAAAATTTAAGTGTGAAGTCATTTCTTGGACAATGACTTCTTTTATGTTGAGTTTGCCAAAGCTGAATTTTATTTAAAATTCTCTTAGTTGCCCATTTTATGACAGTTCCAACATATTCACCAACAACACCTTCTTTATCTGGTAGAAACCGTGGAACCAAAATGCCATGAGACAAATGATCATGATCCTTCTGATGGAAAAACTTTCCATTCCAGTAAAAATGTCTAAGGTAGTATTTTATTTTGATTATTATTATTATTTTTTAAATGATGGAGTTTTGAGGCTGGGCATGATGGCTCATGCCTGTAATTTTAGCACTTTGGGAGGCCGAGGTGGGTGGGTCACCTGAGGTCAGGAGTTTGAGACCAGCCTGACCGAAGTGGTGAAACACCTTCTCTACTAAAAATACAAAAATTAGCTGGGCGTAGTGGCAGGTGCCTGTAATCTTAGCTACTCAGGAAGCTGAAGCAGGAGAATTGTTTGAACGTTAGAGGCGGAGGTTGCGGTGAGCCGAGATCATGCCGTTGCACTCCAGCCTGGGCAACACAGCAAGATTCCATTTTTTAAAAAAGGAGTTTTTCTATGTTGCCCAGGCTGGTCTCAAACTCCTGGTCTCAAGTAATCCTCCTACCTCGGACTCCTGAAGTATTGGGATTACAGGCGTGAGGCACTGCATCTGGCTAAGATGCTGTTTTATAAACTAGTAATAATAATAAAAAAACTCAGCAATAGCACATTCATGTTTGCAAAATACCAGTAACAAAATACATCTCAAACACTCCAATTGTATAGCTTGCTTTAAAAACAAAACAAAACAAAAACATGCTTTGGATCTTAGAGTTAGCAAAATAAAAACAAGAAAATACATGATTAACACCTATTAAAGTCAATGGAAGGTAAACTTTCAGTTCTCCTTGGGTTTTGTTGGAAATGAAGTTAGAAAAGTTGGTGATTTTTAATTATTGCTTAAGATGACTCCACAGCACCGAAGATGAAGAACCACTTTAATCAAACCTAGTTTGTAAGTTTCTTGAAAGCAATAGTCATTTTTGGTTCATCTCTGTATCTTCCATGACATTTAACATAATACATAATAGGCATTTTATATACATTAAATTAAATACATGAATGAAGGGGCTACTTTTCTGAATTTGAACAGATCAGAAGCATTAGAAATTCATCTAACTTGAGCTGATTTGTGAAGGGTAATTTTCCTTGGGAGAAGAGTGGGTCTTGTCTTATACCACCCAGGAATGGAAACATTAGTAGAAGAGAATGAATTAAAAATGAACTTGAAGAAAAGGAATAAATACAATTCAAATAGCATTAAAAGCTTAATCATTTGTATGCCAGGTGCAGTGGCTCACGCCTGTAATCCCAGCACTGTGGGATCACTTGAGGTCAGGAGGTCATGACCAGCCTGGCCAACATGGTGAAACCCTGTCTCTACTAAAAAATACAAAAATTAGCTGGGTGTGGTGGCACACACCTGTAATCCCAGCTACTCAGGAGGCTGAGGCAGGAGAATCGCTTGAGCCCGGGAGGTGGAGGTTGCAGAAGCCGAGATCGTGCCACTGCACTCCAGCCAGGGCAACAGAGCAAGACTGCTCCGTCACAAAAAAATACAAAACAAACAAACAAAAAAAACCTTAGTAATTTGAGCTTTTTTTTTTCTTTTTTTGACATGAAATGTACTGTGAAGTATGAAACAGTTCAAGTAAACAACAAGAGTTAAATAATATATGGTTCGGACACATTTGCATATTAGATTAAATAATCATACATAATGTACCTATGAACAGCTAGTAAAGCGTCACTGAAAGAGGAATTACTTTTGTCTTTTTTATGAATGGGCTGCTCAGTCTTGGCTCATCATTTCATGCTTTTCAGCTTGAGAAAGTTAACAAGCAGCTTTCAGGGCTATAGTTTACTAGCCCAGTTTTAGGAAGGAAGTAAGCAAGGAAAGTCATAAGCCCTTTCAAAGACATTGCAGGCCGGTGTAGACGTAGTTTTGATTTGTTTACTGCTGCTGCAAACTTGGCATGACATATTAATTTGAATGGTGATACTGTTCTTTATTACCATCCTTCATGAGAGTAAAAACAGTCAACGAAAGAGATGGAAATTGTCTTCTGGGTCCCCTGGGGTTTCCAATCCATGTCATTGATTGGAAATCTACGTATTTTACCCCTTCAAAATGTTTAATTATCACAACATTCATATTATGCATGCTGTACACTCTGCTTTCGTAACAATGCTCATGGATAATTGAAATCAACAATCTACTTTAAGAAAACCATGCCATCTAATACATCAAACTAGAAGAAGGATTCAATTGTTTGAATAATCCAAGTTTGACATTTAAATCAGGTACATTATGCACATTTTCCCCTCCCTGCTGAGGGGCACGTGCAGGAAGAACAGACAGATCTTGTTGCTCCCTGATAAGGTCAGAGAAGCTTAGCTAGATTGTAGTGATGCTTAAAGCTCATTGGTTTTGCCTACGGAGCACAAAGCTGTTACCATGACTACAAAACTGCTGTTGCTAAGGCATCCACAGGCTCATCTGATGTCAGGGCTTCCAGGTGGCCCAGCACAAAAGCTATTACTTTATGTTGTTGTCAAGAAGTCTTTGAATAGTAGTATATAGCTAAAACAATTCCAGGTAAACAAGGTTTCCTATACTTTTTCATGTAGACAGAGGATACTCTTCAAAGTGGAAGTAAATGATTGGAAATGAATCTATTTCTCCTAATTAGCCCATCAGAGAAATACTAAAGTTGGAGGGAGAAAAGTATGCACAGCCTGTATTAAATTACTGCTTTATTTGTCATTTCCTAAATGTAAATTTAAAGGTAATGGAAAATTTTTAAATAACCTCACAAACATTTGTAAAGCATTTCGATTGGCAAGTCGAAACAGCCAACTCACTGATAAGAATTGGCAGTGTTACAAAGCTGGAAAACACAGGGTCACAAAATGCACCAGAGGGGGCAATTCATCCACACTCTTGTCTCTGTAATAGACAGCATCAATTAATTATGTACCTATGCCAATGCTAAATATAGCCTTTTGGGTGTGACAGTCATATAATGATATTCATGAGTACTATTTTCCTAGTGAGGAAAAGATAGAGAGAGAGAGAGAATAGAAGATAGATAGATGATAGATAGACCTTCTTGGGATCTTAACTTTGAGGTCAGTTGAGCTGCTATGCTACATTGTCCCTTTATCTACCACCTTCCCCTCCCATGAAGCTTGTGTAGCAAGCCCCCACCACGTCTGAGTGTAATGCTACTTCTGATAGTGTGCTTTAGTTGGTAGACAGGTAGGGCTAGGATGAGGTTAACGAGGGAGAATAATAGCTAAAACATGAGTCTTTATTATTTGGCAGACACTGTGCTAGGCACTTAACACCTATAACTTCATTTAGTACTTAAACCTTTACCATGAGGTAGGTAATCTTATTTTCTTATTACAGATAAGGCACCAGGGAAGTTAGTACAAGATCATATAGTAAGTGGTTGGTCTGAGATTGAAACCGATGTATATATGATACCAAGTCTGTTCATTGGTCTGCTTTAGTATGCTACCTCAGGAATGTTACCTAAACTGTGGATGAATATTTACCTCTATTAAATAGAGCTTGAAAAATGAGTGGTGGAAGGGTTCATGGCATCACAGTGGAGCACCCAGAAGGGACTTTTAAAGATCTTCTAATCTAGTCCCTGATGCTGGAACCACCTATCACCTCTACATAAGTCCCACTTATAATATCAACCAGACAGAACTCCTCTACTAACCAGGAACTCATTATCTCCTCAGGCAAACATGTATGTTAGAAATGTATTCATTTTATTGAGCCTGTCTCCCAGCTGGTGCTGGGATCTGGTAGAAAGCCAGGTTTTGTCTATTTGGCTAAGACCTGGGCAAGGCTGAGCCTATTGTATTCAGTGTATTATATGCAGGCCTGGGTGTGGATGGGACAAGTAGAGAGGCTCTTGGAGTAACACTGCAAGAATGGTGAGAGGTCTAAGGTTTTACCCTTTACTTGTTGGCAAACAAGTGAGTTGGCCAATTTCTTCCAGGATGCTGGCAGAAAATGTGAGATTCCTGGTGCCGAGATAGGAGAGTTTATTACTCAATGCAATAGCAGTAGCCAGAGTATGAGCATTTGTGCTGGTTCTCTGAGCCCCAATTCCTGCAGGGCAATGTGAAAAGTGTCAGCTGACACCTGCACATGCAGTGGCTTGTGTCATAAGGGAGAACCTACAAGCTTAGGGAATATAATATTTTATAATGGATAGTAAAGCTTGCCTGAACTTTGTCCCAGAAGGAGAAATAATGTCTGTCTTCCACAGTCATTATATATATGTTGCTATACAAATATCCTTGGAAAATAGTCCAGAATAGAGGCAGCTGGTATATCTGCTGGAAAGACGTGCAGAAAAAAGAGAAAGTCATAGAAAATTATCTTCTAACAAATACCTCTTTTGCTGTAACATTCTTGCTATGATATGATCTAGGAACTTAAGTTTTTTTTTTGTTTTTTTTCCTGGCCAGCCACACCACACTGTTACCTCATACTGAATCTCTACTGACCAGATCGCCTTGCTTTCTAGCATAGCTGCTACAGCTACACCACATTGCCTCAAGCTTTACTTGTGTAATTAGACTTTTTTAAAAAATTAAAATTCAACCTTTATATTTCTTTCTATAACCTTCTTTTTCAGAAGAATAGAGGGAACAGCATCCTGGCCCAAGCTGAACTGTGGCAATAGCCTCCTAACCGGGTTCTCCACAAAGTACCCTGCTTGCTTCTCTTTCTTTTTTTTTCTTCTTCTTCTTTTTTTTTTTTTTAGACAGAGTCTTGCTCTGTTGCCCAGGCTGGAGTGCAGTGGCACAATCTTGGCTCACTGCAACCTCCGCCTCCCATGTTCAAGTGATTCTCCTGCCTCCTCAGCCTCCTGAGTAGCTGGGATTACAGGTGTGTGCCACCACACCCAGGTAATTTTTGTATTTTTAGTAGAGACTTAATTTCACCATGTTGGCCAGGTTGGTCTCAAACTCCTGACCTCAAGTGATCTGCCCACCTCAGCTTCCCACAGTGCTGGGATTACAGGCGTGAGTCACCATGCCCGGTCCCATAGTTGCCTCTCATGATTTCAGTCCCTAACCTGCAGTGAACATTATGTTTTAGCTATGCAGTACTTATCATGTCCTAATTTCTGACTTTCATTTTCTATAAAATAAAACTATTTTATAACTTCTCTTTTAAAAGCTAAAACCTGAATAACCGGGCTGACAGGGTCCAGTCTACATTCCATCCTCACCTTGAAACACTCTTCTTCCCCTTTCTATTCCTGCCATAAAATTGTTTGAAGGGGCCTTTAAACATGCCATGCGTCAGAGCCTTCGTACTTGGAGTTCTCACTGCCTGGAATGAGCTCTCCTCATTGCTCCCTTTAGCTTAACTAATTTCTATTCTAACTTGCAGGTTTTAGCTTCTAAGTTATTTCTTCATGGAAATCTTTCCTGACACCCATACTAGATTGTTTGCTTATGTTATATTTCTAGAATGTGCTGTCCTTTGTAGAACTCACCACCCTTGTAACTAATGTCAGTCTTCACCTTTAAATTCCAAAGGGCAAGTCTGTTCTGGCTCCATCACCCAACAAAATGCCCATAACAGTGTTCAACGAACATGTGCTAACTGACTTCCCAAATAAGCTTCACATTTTCCAGCTTGCCTCAACTACATGTTCATGGGATGAAATAATGGGAAACGAGTGAGGGGTATACTGTCTAGAATCTTCCAAGCAATACTGAGGCATTGGCCAGGTGCAGTGGCTCATGCCTTTAATCCCAGCACTTTGAGGGGCCAAGGCAGGAGGATTGCTCGAAACCAGGTTTGAGACCAGCCTGGGCAACATGATGAGACCCCATCGCTACAAAAAATACAAAAATTAGTCAGGTGTGATGGTGCACACCTACTGTCCCAGCTACTTGGGAGGCTGAGGCAGGAGGATCACTTGAGCTCAGGAGGTTGAGGCTGCAGTGAGCTGTGATCATGCCACTGCATTCCAGCACGGGCAATGGAGTGAGACCCCCATGCCAAAAAAAGAAAAAAAAGAATGAGGCATTTATACACTGTTCAGTAGACAAGGGGGAGACAGTGCAGGATTGTGAGCTGTGGTGTGAACGGGTCAACCTGGAGTGTATTGTCATGGCTTCCTCTTTGGAACCAAAGATAGCCCAGCCAGGCACACTGGGTTTGTTTGTCTTTCTGCATTACAACTTCAGCTCTCCAGAGTCACAGCTATAAGTGCTTAGAAATACAGACTTGGTCACATAATCATTTGGGATTTAGAATTTCTCCAAATTCAATTCATAAATTGAAAAACATTCAAATTCATGAATCCTTTAGAGAGCTGTGGAAGTAATGATGTCTAGAAGAACTAAAATTCCATGGAGGAAACACCATTCAATTTTTGTCTGAGGATCAGCAGATTTTATTTTTACTGTGAATATTTGCTATTTCTGGGCATGAGATAGAGGTTGAATATTGGGGCTTGATCTAAACCTTCTGTAAAGCAGAGTGAAGTCACCTGCAGGCTTACAAAGCAGTGACCTTTGTGGGAGGATGCCTGAACTAAAGCACCTGCAGGTGATTTGCCAAGGGGTCAAAGGCCACCAGATTATCAACAGAAGCCCTGGAGGAGTCTAAGTAGAGTGATGAACTATAGGAAGAAAGACTGAGTTTCACCAAAACTGTAACACTACCCTGAATTAGCTCAGTCTGATTGGATTACATGGATCATACAGCTACCCTATCTGCCTATTAGAGGAAATGTTAAATACTATCTAGGGAAGATAATATCATCTGGAAGCTCTATAATTCATTTGTATTCAATATTTAAAATAAAATAAAAATTACTTGACACAAGATGAGAAATGACAATTTGGTTAGTAACCAGATTCAGAACTTGAAGTTAGCAGCCTAGAACTTTAAAAATAATTATGATTAATATGTTCAAAAAAACAAGAAAAGACAGAAGAGATATATGAAATCATAAAAAATTTAACAGAATTGAAATCTATAAAAAAGTATCAAATGCACATTCTATAATTTAAAAATACAACATTTAAAGTTAAAAATTTAGTGGATGAATTTAATAATGGATTGGAAGACTGGATTAGTAAACTGGATAATAAATTAATAGAAAATGCCCAGTGAAGTACACGGAGGGAGAAAATAAGTAGACGATAAATGGACATAAGTGTAAGAATCATGTGAGGTATACACAAAATTCTAATATTTTTATAACTGATTCACAAAAGAAAAAAGACATAGGCTGAAGCAGAAGCAATTTCTGAACATGTAAGAGTAAAGAATTCTTTATAATCAATGAAAGAACTCAGATCACAGACTTAAGAAGCTTAGAGAACCCCATGTAGGAAAAATGCTAAGAAAATCATACATAGGCACATCATAGCCAAACTGGCCGAAAATCAGACCCAGAGAAAATCTTAAAAGTGACAGAGAAGAAGGACACTTAACATTGAAAGAAACCACAATAATACTGGCATCCCCTGAGAAGTGATAATAAGCCAGACACATTTAAAGTGAATATGACTTATTTAAATTACATATTTAAAGCACTGAAAGAAAAGAACCACCAACCTTGATTTCTATGCACAGTGACTTCTGAGTTATTTTTTCATCAATAGGCTGACTAAACAAAAACAATAAAAGGAGTTGTCTACGCAGAAGGAAAAGTAGGCTAGATAAAAACAAAAATGTCAGTGGGAAGAAAGAACATGGGAGAGAGAAAATATATGGGTAAATATAAATGAAATTGACCATACAAAGCAGTATCATAATATTTCTGGTGATTAAAACATACACTGCATTCAAATGCATGACAACAATAATACAGACGGCAGGGAGGTGGGAAGTAGATTTAAAGTATTCTAAGGCTATAGCCTAATGAAGGAAGTGGTAAAAAAAATTTTGCTTTATTAGCAAGGAAGCATGATTTCAATTCTGCAATTGTATTTCCTAAATAAAGCCTAATGAACATGGTTGACTTTATACCCAATGTTAGTGTCCTTTTATATTACAAATTCCATTACCATATTGCCACATTCTTGCAAGCATCCTTCCACTTCCATATTCTCTATAAGTTTTTCTTGGCCAGAATTAAGGCCAGAGTAGACCCAAGTCTTATTATTTCCTCTACTTTCTAGGCAATTAACCTTCAGCAAATCAAGAATGTAGAGGATCCACTGCCTGTTATTTTATTTTTTTGAGACGGAGTCTTGCTCTGTCACCCAGGTTGGAGTGCAGTAGTGTGATCTTGGCTCACTGCAACCTCCGCCTCCCAGGTTCAAATGATTCTCCTGCCTCAGCCTCCCGAGTAGCTGGGATTACAGGCATGTGTCACCATGCCCAGCTAATTTTTGTATTTTTAGTAGAGAGGAGTTTTCACCATGTTGGCCAGGCCTGTCTCAAACTCCTGACCTTAGGTGATCCGCCTGCATCAGCCTCCCAAAGTGCTGGGATTACAGGTGTGAGTCACTGCGCCTGGCCTAGGATCCACTGCCTTTTAGAAGAGCAAGGCCACCAGCTGATGTCTAGATGTTCACCTCATCATCCTTTTAATATGTTGCCTCTGTAATGTGCACCATTAAAATCTTTTATCTGGCTGGCTGGCTTGTAGGAATATCCCCTCAATTATTTTACTCATTTACTTCTTTTCTTTTATCCTCAACTCCGTGTGCCTCCTCTCTACCTTGCTGATCTAAGAAGCACTAATATTTTACTTCTAGTCCTTTTCCTTTTCATTTCAACCTGTTTCTTTTGAACAAGAATATCCTTTCAGGGACATGTTCTCATTCCTTTTCACCAGGTCTGTGAGATAGTGATGATCCTCTGTTCATGTTTATTTGTGGAAATTGATATTTTATTTGTGGACTAGTCATTATCTTGTCCTACCCATCTTTTCCTTTGTTTCATTTCCTAGGAATTTCAAACTATTTCCTTCTCTCTCAATAGTGATGTAGATACAACCCAGACCTGAGCCAGATTCCCTTGCTTCAAAATCCCAGCTCCAATAACTGCAGGACGACCATGGTTGTTTTTCTTAACTTCTCTGACTTCATTTCCTTATCTCTAAAACGACAATGAAAATAATAGTATCTACCATTATTTGAGATTTGGAGGGTTTTGCTTGAGTTAATGTAAATAGAACTCTTAATCACTTGTGCCAAACTGCTTGTTCCATAAATGCTGGCTTTTGTTCTTCCTCCTTCTTTGCTTTTTCTTTTCTTTGATGCCCTGCTTTATGGTTTTATGCAATTTAAAAAATTTTTCCTTTACATTTCAGTTTAGAAATCTTTCCAGTCTGGCTAATCTTAACACAAATTTTATTCCTGTATTGACCCAAAATTTTCTGCCTCTGTGCATGCCTTCCACGTGTTGCTCTACTTCTGCCCTGAAAGGCTTCAGAAAACAGAGTTGCCTTTTCCACATAGAAGCTCTTCCAAAAAACACCTGTTTTATCTCCCGTAGGGGGTGTCATCTGTAAACTAACTGCTATCATTTCATCTCTCCATTCTTCAAGAAACATTTCTACCCCTGGATTATCACTTTCTTGTCTGGCAGGGAAGGTGAAGTGTATCTGCAATGCTGATCATCTTGGGACAATGCACATTGCACAAATGCACATACAGCTGATCCTTTGAACACGTGGATTTGAACACGTGGATTTGAACACATGGATTTCCTGTTGCTTCTGCCACCCCTCAGAAAGCAAGACGAACTTCTCCTCTTCCTACTCTTCCTCAGGCTACTCAATGTAAAGTTGATGAGGATAAAAACCTTTATGATGATTCACTTCCACTTAAAAAATAGTAAATATGTTCTCCCCCTTATGATTTTGTTAATAACATTTTCTTTTCTCTAGCTTACTTTATTGTAAAAATACAGCATATAATACGTACAATATAGACAGTGTGGTGATTCCTCAAAGACCTAAAGACAGAAATATATTCAACCTAGCAATCCTATTACTGGGTATATACCCAAAGGAATATAAATTAGTCTATTATAAAGACACATGCACACATATGTTCATTGCAACGCTATTCACACTAGCAAAGACATGGAATCAATCTAAATGCCCATCAATGGTAGACTGGATAAAGAAAATGTGGTACATTGACACCATGGAATACTATCCCACCATACAAAAGAACAAGATCGTGTCCTTTGCAGGAACATGGATGAAGCTGGAAGCCATTATCCTTAGCAAACTAACACAAGAACAGAAAACCAAATACTGCATGTTTTCACTTATAAGTGGGAGCTAAATGATGAGAACACGTGGACATATAGAGGGGAACGACACACACTGGGGCCTGTTAGAGGGTGGAGGTTGGGAGGAGGGAGAGGATCAGGAAAAATAACCAATGGGTACTAGGCTTAATACTTGGGTGATGAAATAATCTGTACAACAAACTCCCATGACACGTTTACCTATGTAACAAACCTGCACGTGTACCCCTGAACTTAAAATAAAAGTTAAAAAAAACACCAAAATATATGTTAACTGACTACATTATCAGTAAGGCTTTCAGTCAACAGTAAGCTATTAGTAGTTACATTTGGGGGGAGTCAGAAATTATACATGGATCTTCAATTGCGTGGCGGTCAGTATCTCTAAATCTCTAACGCTTGCATTGTTCAAAGACCTCCAATATCCTGTGTTCCTGATTTTAAAAATTGCAACCTACTTAGATCAAGTTATCGGCCTTGACATACATAAGTAGCCTAAGAAAAAGACCTAAAAATTAAACTGAGGAGGGCAACAGGAGAGTGCAAAGCTGGAGAGGAAGGTGTAGGGTGGCCTATACCATGGGGAAACAAAGTGAGGCTAGGCATGAAAACCAAGTTACCTTCCCATACCAGCCCAGAGCTTGCCTCAGTACACACAGCGACACTGGGAAAAAAAATGCGATTTATTTATTTATTTAGTGAACACTTCAAAAATGATGACTTAAATATTTGGGATTTGGTTGGCAAATTGAAAACACTCTAACAAAACATATTTAGTGAACACTTCAAAAATGATGATTTAAACATTTGGGGTTTGGTTGGCAAATTGAAAACACTCTAACAAAACACTTTTACCCTTCAATGTCTAATCTCTCTGAAGGGTTTTGATACCTTCTTATTTCTCTCACCGACAGTTTCTTAGAAAGCCTTTTGATGTCAAGAAGATCTTCCTATGTGACTCTTGAGAGTACTCGTTGTTTTTTCCTAAGAATCAGGAATTTACTCACTTTCTTTGAAGTAAGCAAACAAAAAATATTAAAAGTTACTTGTTTTCAGTTCACAACTTCAACCCCCAAGTAAAGCAGACAACTCTAGCAGTCTTTATCTTCTACCCTACACTACCAGCCCATTTAGCAAATGCCTGGCTGTTTCCATCAGACCCTTGGCTGGTAAGATATCATATTAGTTCTAATCAGAGCTGGTGTACTGCAAGGCTGGCTGAGTCTTTTTCTCTTGGAAGAATTCAGGAGTTATTCAACTGATTTTCCTACCTCAACTCATCAACTTTCAAAATGAAATACATTATAAATGGTCACCACATAAACCAATAGTAAAACGCTTGGGACAAAAAGTATTTTGGATTTTGGATTTTTTTTCTTTTAGATTGTGGAATATCTGCATACACATAATGAAAAAACTCAGGGACAGGATCCAAGTCTAAACCCAAAATTCATTTATGTTTCATAATACACATATACACATAGCCTGAAGGTAATTTTATATACTACTTCTAATAATTTTGTGCATAAAACCAAATTTTGACTACATTTCAACTGCGACCCATTGCATGAGGTCAGGTGTGTAATTTTCCACTTGTGGCATCATATTTGTGCTCAAAAAGTTTCAGGTTTTTTAGCATTTCAGAGTTTTGATTTTCAGATTAGGGATACTCAGCTTGTATCATTGTATATGTAAAGAAGGAACCAATATTCTTTAATATTCAATATCCATTTGTGGTGGGTGATACATGGAAAAGCATATTCATATCCTTTATATATAATGTTGTTTGACCATGCAGCTTGTTGGGGACAGGGTACATAGTAGCCATCAGATGCTCAGAGGGGTCTTTGAAACTTTATTAGACATGATAAGCCAGTAATGCTGCAGTATTCAATGACTTATGATATGGTTTGGCTGTGTCCCCACCCAAATCTCATTTTCAATTATAACTCCCACAATTCCCATGTGTCATGGGAGGGACCCAGTGGGAGGTAATTGAATCATGGGGGCGGGTTTTTCTCGTGCATTCTCGTGATAGTGAATAAGCTTCATGAAATCTGATGGTTTTAAAAACAGGAGCTTCCCTCTTCTCTTTGCCTGCTGCCATCCATGTTAGTAAGATATGACTTGCTCCTCCTTGGCTTCCACCATGATTGTGAGGCCTCACCAGCCATTTGGAACTGTGAGTCCATTAAACCTCTTTCTTTTGTAAATTAGCCAGTCTTGGGTATGTCTTTATCAGCAGCATGAAAATGGACTAATACAACTTAGCATACCAAATTTTAATTTCTTGTTTATGAGTATTTATGCAATGTACTTTTATTGAGGGGAAGAAGCAGAGAGAAGAGCTCTGTTTCTCACACAGTCTCTCAGGATCCAGGCTCACAGAAGCTGCCTCATCTTACAGCCTCACCCTCTGGATCATAGCCTTCTTTGTTACTACAGCAGAGGATAAAATAGCATGGATATCACTCATCTCTTCTACTACGCTTCTTCCCAGAAGGGATACATGCCTTTCCCACTTACTTTAGTTCATTGGCAACAACAGGTCACATGGCCCAATCTAACCATAATAGGTCTGGGAAATGTAATTTTTTGTGTGTCTAGAAAGATAAGAAATCCAGATCTTGATTTTGCTAGAGAAACATCTACCATAGACCTTAAATAAACTTGGGTTATACTAGGATGTTTATCAAATAGTTTTATCAAAAATCAATGTCATGATTGGTAGCTCGGACTCTGAAGGATAGAGACAATATTACCTGTATATGATTGATAAATAAATATGTAAAGGATCTGTAATTTAGTTATGGAGGTCTCAGGATCTTGTTTCTTAATAATATTTGAACTTATGAACTGAGAAAAGAGAGGACAGAACACAGAAGTGCAGGATAGGAAGTACCAACAATGATGTCTTTGGTCACGTAATTCCACTTAGGAAGACATAAATCCTTTCAATGATGTACAGCATTTTAGTAGAAAAACAACATATTTTTGGACATAAAAGCATAAAATGATTTGAGTCACAGCAGAAATAGAATGTTGACATGCGGAAGTGCTTTAAAATTTCACTTATATCATTAGGAATTAAAGCAGAGTAGAGTGCACTGGGAGAGTGGATTTTTAGGTCTGTGCAGCAGGGCATTTAGTCTTGTCTTGCTGAAGTTCATTGTCCCACAGCTACTGGCATTAACTCATCATGTTCTTCTACTGCAAAACGTTTTAGGTCCTCATCAAGTGCAGAATGAAGTGCAATCTCCCTAGCACACACTCGAGAGTCTTCAGTCGTCTTACTCCTGCGCACTTCTTCAATTTAAACCTCTACCATGACTTTTCCCTTACTCCATTCTCTTGGAACCCGAAACATCTTCACCCAGACTATGCTCTGTTGGCTTTGGGTATTTTATGTGTATTTAGTAACCACTATGCAGGAGAAGAATTAGCAAAAGCAATTACTAGAATATTTTAATTACAATCCTATCAAAGACAAACTTTGGTTTAACTGCAGTATGTTTTCTTATTTGAAGTGCAAACAGACAAAGAGAGAAAATTCATGCTTGAATTTTCACAGATACATTTGGATTTCACATTCTGTTTTTTAAAAGCAGAAATGTGGACTGGTTGATAGCAATAATTAGAGCACTGGGCTTTTATAAGATTTTTGTTTTCAGTTTTGAATGTTATACATGCTAACAATAAGTGAAATTCAAAAGTATATTAGTAATAATATATAATATATGTGGTAATATTATACTAATAAGTTGATTAGTAATAATTTAATAATCCTCTCTCAACTTTCAACTAATTTCATTTCTATTCCTTTGGGAATCAGTATAAACAATCTGTCATCACGTTATTCTTTATCTTTTTCCACATTCACATTACCAAAATATGTAATGTATCCATAAGGTTTTTTTTTTTTTTTTTTTTTGTTTTTTGTCAGAGTCTTGCTCTGTCACCCTCCTGGGTTCAAGTGATTCTCCTGCCTCAGCCTCCTAAGTAGCTGGCATTACAGGTGCCCACCACTACACCAGGCTAATTTTCATATTTTTAGTAGAGATGGGGTTTCACCATGTTGGCCAGGCTAGTCTTGAATGTCTGACCTCAGGTGATCGGCCCACCTCAGCCTCTCAAAGTGCTGGGATTACAGGTGTGAGCCACTGCACCAAGCCAATAAGGGCTTAAAAAAAAAAAAAGAAAGAAAGAGAAAACCTAACCCAAACTCATTTGGGATGAAAGAGCACATGTAGCTCCAGGTTTGACTTGAATGATGTGTTCAGGATTCAGCTTCATTCCATCTCTCAGTATGGCTCTACTGTCCTTTATGGGTGAGCTTCATGGTGGTGGCTCAGTGGCTCTACCAGTGGAGGTCACATACCCTTTTACTTATGTCCAAGTCCTGTAGGGAAGAGACTGCCTCTGCTTTGTTGCCCCAGCGCTCCTAGCATTGTCAGCAAAAAAGAGTTTTATTAGATTTTATGGAGTTGGATTGCACTGATTGTGCTCTTGAGCTCAGCATGTTGCCACCTGGGTCATGTGCTCCACGCTGTCTTGAAGATGGAAGCCCACATGGAGCACGTGGACTAAGATGGGAGTGACAGGACCTTAATGAAATTTAGGGGTTACTATTCACAGTCTAATAAACGGATGGTGGGCATAGAGTTATACAGGTCATCGTTTGCCCATTGCTCTCCTCCAAGTCAGAAATTACAGCTCATTCCTTTCAGCAGTTTAATAATGTCTTATGATCTAGAATTATGACAACTTTTTAACCTACCAACGGACATTGAGAAATTTCCTGATTTATTTTCTATACCACAATGTTGCAACAAACATTCTTACATACTGTTGCTTTTACTTTTATATGTTGTGTTCTTCATTAATGTCTCTCTTGTATATCCTTTTCATATCTATTATGTTCTTTATTTTAATTTGCTAAAAATTCTTAGTTTTTTTCAGAGAGGTTGTAATAATTCACACAAAATTTGAGAGTGCTCATCTCCTTACATATGCATAGGACTAGATGTTTTAGTTCTTTTTATTTTTTAGGTGAAAATGCCATCTTGTTTTTATTTTTTTCTATATTTTCCTTACAAGTAATGAGATTATCTTTTCAAATATTTATTTAAATAGGTTCATATATTTGTGTAACTTTCTACTAGAGTATGTATATGTGTGTGTGTTTAGTAAATTTTCAAACAATGTTTTTTCTATAGAAAAATTAAATACCTGACTGATTTATGTGTTTATTTATGTGCATTTTTCATGTTTTTCCTTTGATTTTAGCATATTCTTTCTTCCTTGGGGAAAAATTAAACTCCATATGGTCAAATATATCAATCTTCACCATATTTCTTGAGCTTTCTGTTTTGCTAAAAAAAAAGTTCTCCTTACTACAGGGTTTTGCAAATCTTACCCTTGATTTTGCCAGATAATTATTATTATTTATATTTATATATTTAATCCATTTGGAATTTCTAAAAATATGATATGATATAGAGGAGGGAATTTAAAGTTTTTATCAATTGGATAGAGCCAATTTACTACAGGCATTTATTTAAATTATCCTTTTAATAAATAATTCAAATTTTAATTAATTAATAAACATTTATTTAAAATATTATTTTCCTACCCTATTGGCATTTTCTTTTTCACATTATTAAGTTTCCATACATATATACTTACATGTGTTTCTGGAATATTTCAGCTATTCTACTCTTCTATCTTTCTGTCCTTATACCAATGCCATACCATTTTGTGGTAAGTTTAATATCTGTAAGGCAGTTCCTTCTAACTCTTCTTTTTAAAAAATCTCTTGGGGTGAGGGAAAGATGGCTGACTAGACATAGCCAGGTGGAACAGCTCCCACCGGGGGACCAAGAGGACTGGGGTGCTCCCAACAGATTTTCAGAGGGAAGGCACCAAGAGTGGATGAAGGGAAGTCACAGAAGCTGGGCTGAAGGGGAGGAATCCTAGGAACCCTGCACGAGGTTACCATGCACAAGACTCGTTTCTGGCCCCCAGTGGCTCCAGGAAAATGGATGAGTTGAGCTGACAAAGAGCAACCTGCTCACCTCACAGGCCTCTGGAATCCCGGCAGGAGGAGACCCCTCAGTCACCACAGACACTCAGGTTGGCAAAGAGAGAGATGCTTAGAGAAGTGGTGAGGCAGCAAACCAGCTGATGTTGAGCCCAGAGCATTTGGTGCGGGAGCATCTGTAGTCGAGCATGGCCAGGGACATCCATTCCCCAGGCTCCACTTGCTCCCATAGGAGGCTTTAGCCCTAGGGAAACTGTGGGTACTGAAGTCTGCAGGGTGTCTTGCCCATCAGATGGGGCCAGTTTGACCTGAGCACCCCTTGGTCTTCTGGACTCTCCCGGGGTCCCAACCTGGCCACATCTTCTTGCAGGGCAGCCTTGGGTCCCATGGAGGCCCACACCATGGCTTCTGAGCTGGTGGACCATGCCAGACTGGCAAAGAGCTCTAGTGGGTTGGCCCCTATGGCCATGGGCCAGCCCACATACTCCCTCCCCATACTGCAGCTTCACTTGGGTCCATGGAAACTCCCCACATCACTCTGCTGGTGTGTGTGGGCACAGGCAGGTTTTTCTTTCCTTGCCTTACTAGTCTGCCCCCATTCCCCAGGCAACCGCCATTGCAGATGAAGTCTTGGTGGTCACAGAGCCAGCCAGCCCTGCCCCTACCAAGGTCCTGCCCTTGTGCTAGCACTGTGCAGAGAACAGATCTTCCCTCACCCTAAGCGACCACTTCTGCTTGTAGGGCACAGAGAAGGCACTCAGACCTACACCTGCCAGCACCCCACCACTGAGCCAACACCACTGCCAATATGACTAGGCACACAGTTGCCAAAAGGGCCCCTCACCGCTCCCCCGAGCTGCGTTGCTTTCTCCACTGTGGTGTAGGCCTGCAGGGAGGCAGGCACTCTGGCACCTGGTAGCACTCTGCTGCAGCTGCTGCTACCACTGCTCCTGGCCCATGTGAATGAGGATGAATCCTGCTGTCACCACAGTATGAAACGCTTTCGCTGACACCACCCATCAAAGTGTAGTGACTAGCAGTCAGGGAGCCTCCCCTTTGCAGTGGATCCCTAACCTCGAGGAGCAAGAGAACAAAGTAAGGGCCCAATACAAGTCCCTCAGAGTGAGAGCACACAGTCCAGGAGTTGGGAGCTGAGTGTTGGCCCTCTAAAGTCTTCTGGAAACGAGGCCAGTTGGCTCAATCCACCTTACACCACAACCAAAACCTCAAGGCCATCAAATAAGATAAAAGAAAAAAAAATTCAAAAATCAGCAATCTCAAAGAATAAAGGAGGATAAGCCCACAAATATGAGAAAGAATCAGCACAAGAACACTGGCAACTCAAAAAGCCAAAGCGCCTTCTTTCCTCCAAATGACTGCACCAGCTCTCCAGCAAGCGTTCTAAACCAGGCTGAGATGGCTGAAATGACAGAAATAGAATTCAGAATCTGGATAGGAACAAAGATCATTGAGCTACGGGAGTACACTGAAACTCAATACAAGAAAGCTAAAAATCATGATAAAACAATGCAGGAGCTGACAGACAAAATAGCCAGTATAGAAGAGAACATAAACAACCTGACAGAGCTGAAAAACACACTACAGAAATTTCATAATGCAATCACAAGTATTAATAGCAAAATAGATGAAGCACAGGAAGCAGAGGAAAGACTCTCAGCTTGAAGACTGGCTTTCTGAAATAAGACAGATAAAAGTAGAGGAAAAAATGAAGAAGAACAAACAAAACCTCTGAGAAATATGAGATTATGTGAGGAGACTGAGTCCCTGAAAGGGATGGGGAAAATGGAACAAACTTTGAAAACATATTTTAGGATATCATCCATGAGAACTTCCCCAGCCTAGCTAGAGCGGCCAACATTCAAATTCAGAAAATGCAGAGAATCCCAGTAAGATACTTCACAAGATTATCCACAAGACACACAATCATCAGATTCTCCAAGGTCAAAATGAAAGAAAAAATGTTAGAGGCAGCTAGAGAGAAAAGTCAGGTCACCTACAAAAGGGAGCCCATCAGACTAACAGTGAACCTCTCGGCAGAAGCCCTACAAGTGAGAAGAGTTTGGGGGGTCAATATTCAACATTCTTAAAGAAAAGAAATTCCAACCCAGAATTTTATATCTGGTCAAACTAAGCTTCATAAGTGAAGGAGAAATAAGATCCTTTTCAGAAAACTAAATGCTGAGGGAATTAATTACCACCAGACCTGCCTTACAAGAGCTCCTGAAGGAATCACTAAATGTGGAAAGGAAAGATCGTTACCAGACACTACAAAGATACACTGAAGTACACAGACCAGGGACACTATAAAACAACTATATAAACAATTCTGCATAATAACCAGCTAGCATCATGATGACAGGGTCAAATCTGCACATATCAATACTAACCTTGAATGTAAATGGGATAAATGCCCCAATTAAAAGACACAGTGGCAAGCTGGAGAAAGAACCAAGACCCATTGGTATGATGATGTCTTCAAGAGACCCATTTCACATAAGCTCAAAATAAAGGGATGGAAAAAAATCTACCAAGCAAATGGAAAACAAGAAAAGCAGAGATTGCAATCCTAATTTCAAACAAAACGTGTTTTAAACCAACAAAGATCATAAAAGACAAAGAAGAGCATTACATAATGGTAAAGAGTTCAATTCAACAAGATCTAACTATCCCAAATAGATATGCACCAACATAGGAATACCTAGATTCATAAAGCAAATTCTTAGAGAACTTTGAAGGGACTTAAAGATTCCCACACATAATAGTGGGAGACTTTAACACCCCACTGACAATATTAGACAGATCATTGAGACAGAAAATTAACAAAGATATTCAGGACCTGAACTCGGCACTGGAGCAAGTGAGTCTGATAGGTATCTAAAAACTCTCCACCCCAAAATAAAAGAATACACATTCTTCTCATTGTCATGTGACACATACTCTAATATTGATTAAATAATCAGACATAAAATACTCCTCAAACAAGCAAAATAAATCAAATCATAACAAACACTCTCTCGTACCACAGCACAAACAAATTAGAAATCAAGACTAAGAAATTAGCTCAAAACTATACAATTACCTTGAAAGTGAATAATTGCTCCTGAAAGACTTTGGGGTAAATAATGAAATTAAGGCAGAAATCAAGAAGTTCTTCAAAACTAATGAGAACCATGATACAATGTACCAGAATCTCTGGGACACAGCTAAGGCAGTTTTAAGAGAGAAATTTATAGCACTAAATGGCCACATCAAGAAGTTAGAAAGATGTCAATATAACAACTTAATATCACAACTAAAAGAACTAGAGAACCAAGAGCCACCAATCCCAAAGCTAGCAGAAGACAAGAAGTAACCAAAATCAGAGGTGAACTGAAGGACACTGAGACAGGAAAAACCATTCAAAAGATCAATGAATCCAGGAGCTATTTTTTTAATTAATAAAGTAGACTTCTGTCTGGACTAATGTTTATTAGTCTTAATAAATATTTTTAGATTAATAAAGATTGTTAATCTTTATTGAAAGAAAAGAGAGAAGATTCAAATAAACACAGTAAGAAAGGAAAAGGGGGATATTACCAGTGATCTCACAGAACTACAAATAACCATCAGAGAATATTATGAATACCTATATGCCCATAAACTAGAAGATCTAGAAGAAATGGTTACATTCCTGGACATATACATCCTCCCAAGACTGAACCAGGAAGAAACTAAATTCCTGAACAGACCAATAATGAGCTCTGAAAATGAATCAGTGATGAATAGCCTATCAACAACAACAACAAAAAGCTAGGACCAGAGAGATTCACAGCCAAATTCTACCAGATGTACAAAGATGAGCTGGTGCCATTCCTGCTGAAACTATTCCAAAAAATTGAGGAGGAAGGACTCCTCCCTAACTCATTTTTTGAGGCCAGCATCATTCTGATACCAAAACCTGGCCAAGAAACAACATCAACCAAAAAGCTTCAAGCCTATATCCTGCTAAATATTGATGCAAAAATCTTCAGCAAAATACTGGCAAACCAAATGCAGTATCAGATCAAAAACCTTATCCACCACGATAAAGTAGGCTTCACCCATGGGATGCAAAATTGGTTTAACATACGCAAATCAATAAATGTTATTCATTCATCTCATAAACAGAACGGAAGACAAAAAGCAAATGGTTATCTCAATAGATGCAGAAAAGGCTTTCGATAAAATTCACATCCATTCATACTAAAAGCTCTCAATAAATTAGGTATTGAAGGAACATACCTCAAAATAATAGGAGTCATCTGTGACAAATCCACAGCCAACATCATATTGAATGGGCAAAAACTGGAAACATTCCCCTTGAAAATCGGCACAAGACAACGATATCCTCTCTCATCATGTCTGTGCAACATAGTATTGGAAGTCTGTCTAGGACAATCAGGCAAGAGAAAGAAGTAAAGTGCACCCAAATAGGAAGAGAGAAAGTCAAACTATCCCATTTTGCAGATGACATAATCCTTTATCTAAAAAATCCCATAGTGTCAGCCCAAAGCTCCTTAAGCTGATAAACAACTTCAGCAAAGTCTCAGGATAGAAAATCAATGTGCAAAAGTTACTAGTATTCCTGTACACCAACAACAGTCAAGCCGAGAGCTAAATCAGAAATGCAATCTCATTCATAATTGCCACAAAAAGGATAAAATACCTAGGAATGCAGCTAACCATGAAGGTGAAAGATCTCTACAAGAGGAACTACAAAACACTGCCCAAAGAAATCAGAGATGACACAAACTAATGGAAAAACATTCCATGCTCATGGATAGAAAGAAGCAATATTGTTAAAATGTCCATACTGCACAAAGCAATTTAAAGATTCAATGCTATTCCTAATAAACTACCAATGACATTCTTCCTAGAACTATAAAAAACTAAAATTTAAAATTTAAAATTCATATGGAACCAAAAAATAGCCTGAATAGCCAAGGCAATCCTAAACAAAAAGAACCAGAGCTGGAGGCATCATTCTACCCAACTTCAAACTATACTACAGAGCAAAAGTAACCAAAAGGGCATGGTACTGGTACAAAAACAGACACATAGACCAATGGAACAAAATAGAGGACCCAGAAAGGAGGCCACAAACCTACAACTATCTGATCTTTGAGAAACCTGACAAAAACAAGCAATGGGGAAATGATTCTTTATTCAATAAATGGTGCTGAGATAACTGGCTAGACATATGCAGAAGATTGATTCTGGACCCCTTCCTTATGCCATACACAAAAGTTACTCAAGATGGATTAAAAACTTAAATATAACAACCAAAACTATAAAAACCCTGGAAGACAATATAGGAAATACCATTCGGGACATAGGAACAAGCAGGGATTTTTATGGCAAAGACACCAAAAACCACTGCTACAAAAGTAAAAATTGACAAATAGGATCTAATTAAACTAAAGAGCTTCTGCACACAAACGAAGCTATCAACAGAGTGAACAGACAATCTACAGAATGGGAGAACATTTTTGCAAACTATGCATCTGACAAAGGTCTAATATCCAGCATCTGCAAGCAACTTAAACATATTTACAAGAAAAAAAAACAATCCCATTAAAAAGTAGGAAAAATACATAAACAGACACTTTTCAATAGAAGATATACATGTGACCAACAATCATATGAAAAAAAGCTCAATATCACTGATCATTAGAGAAATGCAAATCAAAACCACAAAGAGATTCTATCTCATACCAGTCAGAATGGCTATTACTAAAAAGTCAAAAAGTAACATGTGCATTGCAGCACTATTCACCGTAGCAAAGACATGGAATCAACCTAAATGCCCATCCAATGGTACACTGGATAAAGAAAATGTGGTACACATACACCATGGAATACTATGCAGCCATAAAAAAGAACAAGATCATGTCCTTTGCAGGAACATGGATGGTGCTAGAGGCCATTATACTTAGCAAACTAACGCAGGAGCAGAAAATCAAATACCACATGCTCTCACCTATAAGTGGAAGTGAAATGATGAGAACATGTGGATGCTTGGAGGGGAACAACACGTACTGGGACCTATGGGAAAGTGGAGGGTGGGAGGAGGGAGAGCATCAGGAAAAGTAACTAATGGGTACTAGGCTTAATACCTGAGTGATGAAATAATCTGTACAAACCCCCATGACACAAGTTTACCTATATAAAAACCCTTTATATTAATTAAAAAAAATAAATAAAATTTCTTGTCTGCTTTTGGACACTCTTCTACATGAATTTTAAATTCGCTTTATCATTAGATTTTCCTAAAACACACACACACGTGAGTGCTTACACCCATATACACATATACATCTCTCTTATGTTAGGATGCTTCTAGTGGGTGTAAATATTTTATTGTGTTTTTAATTTGCATCTCCTTGATGCCTAACAATATTGAGCAGCTTTTCTTTTGTTTATTGATCATTAGCATATATTATTTCCTGAAGTTTTGTTCAAGCTGCACATATTTTTCTTGGGTTGCTTGTCTTTTCATTGACTTGTAAACATTCTTTATACATTCTGAATGCAAGTCATTTATTAAATATATATGCATTATAAATTGTGGCTTGCAATTTCATTTTCTTAATGGTGATTTTTAAAGAGCAGAATTTTTTTTTTTTTTTTGAGACAGAATTTCACTCTTGTAGCCCAGGCTGGAGTGCAATGGTGTGATCTCGGCTCACTGCAACCTCCGCCTCCCGGGTTTAAGTGATTCTCCTGCCTCAGCCTCCCGAGTAGCTGGAATTACAGGTGCCCGCCACCATGCCCAGTTAATTTTTTGAATTTTTAGTAGAGATGGAGTTTCGCTATGTTGGCCAGGCTGGTCTCGAACTCCTGACCTCGTCATCTCTCCTCTTGGTCTCCCAAAGTGCTGGGATTACAGGTGTGAGCCACCACGTCCCGCCAAGAGCAGAACTTTTAAGTTGCTATAAGATGCAATTTATCTATTTTTTCTTTTATGATTAATACTTTTTGTGTCTTAGCTGATGATTTTATGCTAATCTTGGGATCATGAAGATTTCCTCCAATTTATTTTCTAGAAAGTTTATAGTTTTGCTTGTTGTTCAGGCTACAATCCCCTGAGTTGTTTATGTGCATTATGCAAGGTAGGTTTTGAGACACCTAATTTCTGTCTGGCCTTGTGTCTGAGTTCCAGTCTGAAAATTTGCCTGGCACATTGATCCTTCTAGAACTGGCATCCACCTTGCTTTGACCTGTACATCCACCTATCCATCCCACTCTGGGAAGAGACTTCTAGACATGAATTTCTGCTCAGACCCTATTCCCACTTACAGATTTTGTGGGACCTACTTCTCATCTCTGGATAGTGCCTGCTCCTTGATTCCTTTGCCCATACTTTCTCTACTTGCCTCTCAGCAGGCCCTGCTGCTGCATGTTCCATGTATTTGCTGCTATTTGCAATACTGCACTAACACCATTGCCAGTATTCTTTTCTCCAGCTTTCTTTGCCTCAGACTAGACATCCAGTTTCAAGTCTAGTATCTCCCATTCTGTGCCATCCTGGGCAATTTAACTGGACCATGCCTAGCCATGTCCATGATTGTTGCAATAGTTCTTTTTGTATATCTATGATTATTGCTTCTCCTTAGAGGCAGGGATTTTATCTTACCCATTTACATACATCCCTTGATCTTCCCCGTAATGGTTAATTTTATGTGTCAACTTAACTAGATCATGAGGTACCCAGATATTTGACTAACCATTATTCCTGTGTGTGTCTGTGAGGGTGTTTCTGGATGAGATTAGTATCTGAATAGGCAGTAAGCAGATGGCCCTCCCCAATTTGGTAGGAGATCATCCAATCCCTTCAGGGCCTGAATGCAACAAAAAGGTACAAAAAGGAATTCTCTTTCTCTCTCTCTCCTTGACTGAGTTGGAACATTAGTCCTCTACCCTTAGATTCAGACTTATACCACCAGAGTTCCTTGTTTTCAGATATTTGAACTTTGACTGGGACTTCACCACTAGCCCTCCTGGGTCTCTGGCTTGCAAACAGCAAATCGCAGGACTTCTATATAAAGAGAGTGGGGGAAGGGAGATTCATTTTATATCTATATATATAGATATATAGATATAGATATAGATAGATAGATATATAAATGGACTTAATGGACAGTACACTGCATTACCTTTATAATCCAAAAGAAGGCTGGTAAAGGCTATAAAAATGTATAAAATTACATATACCCACACACATACATGTTTGGGTGTATATATAGATAAATAATAAATCTCCCTCCCCTTCTACAGCTCAGAGTTAAAAAAACAAACACTTTGAAAAACATATGAATTTGCAAATAAATCTAAGTTTTATAAAGAATTTTTCCAAGTTACAAAATATTTTACAGAGTCTTATGAGTAAAAAAAGAATAAAATCTGTGATATGGATTGCATTTTCAAATTGAGGTAAAGATGCAGTGGCTCACAGGCTGATTTGCTTTAAGCAGAATTTATTTTCTTTCAGACAGTAGCTTTATGAGCCTATGCTGAGACTGGGCAATTCAGAAATTTAAGGGCTGCTCAGACATGCTCTCTTTGACCAGGTCAGACAGCCTGTAAGTCTTTGTTCTCAATGGACAGTACACTGCATTACATTTATGATCCAGAAGAAGGCCGGCAGAGGCTATAAAAAATATTCTTTGCAAGAAAGTTTCCAAGCCATTCAACTGTATAAATTACCTAGATATCTCGCTCTCTACTTAAGGAAAGAACATTTCCCTCCCGCAAAACAGATTACTTTTTCATTCCTGAATGATTTGTTTTTGGATATTTATTTGCTGGTTTAATTTTTGAATAGGTGTTAAATTTACACAGTCTAAATTTTAAAAATATACATTGAATGAAACAACTTTCTTCAGTCTCACTCCTTCATCTACCTGTTCCCCATCCTCACCAAAGATAAAACATGAAACCATCATTGTTTCTTTCTTGTGTGTCCTTCCAGAGGTTTTCTATGCATATAGAAATGAATATGAGTGTATATTCTAATTCCCACCTCTTTTACAGAAAAAAAAGGGGCTAGACTTAGGAGGACCGCCAAGTGTCTGTTAGCCCAGGACTTTCCCAGTTTTAGTGCTTACAGTCCCCTGTCTCTGGAAACGTTTTAACTCTGAGCAACTAGGATAGGTGGCCACTCAAATGTCCTTCTATACACTGTCTGACGCCAATCTATTTCAAAGATGTTTTCATCTCCATACCAAAATCTTCTCATTCCTTTTGTATATCTTCATAATTTTATAGATACTCCACTATATATTTAATTATTCTCCTGTGGATAGATATGTGAGAGGCTTTTTGGGGTAATCTTTGGCTATAACAAACAGTGCTGCAATGAATAAGTCTCTACAGAAACATGCAAAGGTATCTTTAGGTTATATTCTCAGAAGTGGAGTTGCTGAGTGTATTAGTTTGTTCTCATGCTGCTATAAAGAACTTCCCAAGACTAGGTAATTTATAAAGAAACACGTTTCATTGACTCACAGTTCCGCATGGCTAGGAAGGCCTCAGGAAAGTTACAATCATGGTAGAAGGGGAAGCAAACACATTCTTTTTCACATGATGGCAGAAAAGAGAAGTGCTGAGCAAAAGGGGGAAAAGCCCCTTATAAAAACATCAGGTCTCATGAGAACTCACTCACTGTCACAAGAACAGCAGCATGAGGGTAATGGCCCCTGTGATTCAATTACCACCCACCGGGTTCCTCCCACGACACAGGGGGATTATGAGAACTGTAATTGAAGATGAGATTTGGGTGGGGACACAGCCAAACCATATCACTGAGTAAAAGGAAAAATGTGTTTTCTGAGATATTGCCAAATTATCGTCTATAGGGGCTGTGCCAATAGGCACCCCCATAGAAGTACATGAGAGTGCTTTTCCCCATGGTCTTGCCAAGAGATACTGTTTTAATCCATTGAATTGGAAAAAGTCTAGAAGTTTGAAATACCAGTAGAGTTTTAACTTTAATTTCATTTTTCATTAAATTGGAAAATATCTAGAAGTTTGACATACCAGTAGAGCTTTAATTTCATTTTTTAATGGTAGAGGTTGAGCTTTCTTTGCTAGAGAACATTTCGCAATTTCTGTTTCTGAGAACTCTTTATATCTTCTATCTGTTTTTTTTTTCTAATGAACTTTTCCCTTATGAGAAATATAGCATATTTTTAAGGCAATTTACCATTCCTAAAACTGTTAGTTTCAGAATTTTTTTCAGTTTATAATTTTGTTTTGATTTTTCTTATTTTTTAATGCAGCTTTTTAAAAATTTTTATGTAGTCAAACTTATCTACCATTTCTTATGGCTTATAGGTTTTGAATCATAGGAAGGCTACCTTTACTCTCAAGGTTATAGACAAATTTTTTCATTTCTTTCTTTAATATACAATGGTTTGATTTTTTATAATTTAATCAATCTATCTGGCAATTATTCTCATGAATAGTGGTGTATGGTTCTAACATATTTTTTTCCAGATGGCTACCTAGTTGTCTCAGCACTATTATATTAAATTATCCCACTTTCCTCACTGATTTTAAATGTCACTTAAGCATATACTAAGTTTCTGTATGTATCTGGGTCCTTTCCTGAAGTTATCGTTGGTTCCATTGGTCTGCCTATTTATGCTCTGGTATAATATCATTTTACTTATTGAGGTTTTATCATATATTTTAATATCTGGCAAGGCTATTTGTATCATGACTAGTTTGTTATTCTAGAGTTTTCATGGCTATTCCTAGGTTTTTATTTTTTACATGAATATTAAAAACTCTAGATACATTAAAAATCATTATTGTGTTTATAAGGATTATACTACATTTATATGTTAACATAAGGAGAATTAAAATTTTTATGATATTGAACCATTTTTGACCTTAATTTATTAAATTTTAAATCTTCTCTTGTGGCTTTGGCAAACATTTAAGGTTTTCTTTATATGCATCTTGCACATGAGTTGTTAACCTTATTTCTAAAAATTTTACTTTGATTCTATTATGATTATAGAATCAAAGTAAAATTATAATTATGTTTACTTTTTTTTAAGACGTTATATATCATCCAACTGGTGGTTTATGTGTGTGAAGTTGACAATTAATTTTGTAGCTTCAAAACTTATGCAATCTCTTATTATTCAAATACTTTTTATCTGATTCTTTTGAGTTTTCTGGGTATGTAATTATACTAACTGCACTAGGAATAGGTCAATTTTCCCCTTTCCAAATTGTATATCTTTATTTCTACTTTCTAATTGCTTTGGCTTTTAATCTTCAATAATAGTGGCAGTAGTTGGATTCCTTGTCTTGTCCTGAATTTACTGTTTTCTCATTAATTTTGACACTGTGATGGACATAGAAAGAGTGTCATACTCAGCAATTCCATTATTGGGTATGTAATCAAAAGAAAACAAATCATTCTACCAAAAGACACACGCACTCACATGTTCATTGTAGCATTATTCACAATAGCAAAGACATGGAATCAACCTAGGTGTCCATCAATGGTGGGTTAGATAAAGAAAATATGTCACTCCTCCAGTAGAAAGTAAAGTGGGAAGATGGCCAAATAGGAAAAGCTCCAGTCTACAGCTCCCAGCATGAGCGACGCAGAAGACAGGTGACTTCTGCATTTCCATCTGAGGTACCGGGTTCATCTCACTAGGGAGGGCCAGAGAGTGGGTGCAGGACAGTGGGTGCAGTGCACCGTGCACGAGCCGAAGCAGGGAAAGGCATTGCCTCACTCAGGAAGCACAAGGGGTCAGGGAGTTCCTTTTCCTAGTCAAAGAAAGGGGTGACAGACGGCACCTGGAAAATCGGGTCACTCCCACCCCAATACTGCACTTTTCCAACGGGCTTAAAAAACGGCGCACCAGGAGATTATATCCCGCACATGGCTCGGAGGGTCCTACGCCCATGGAGTCTCGCTGGTTGCTAGCACAGCAGTCTGAGATCAAACTGCAAGGCAGCAGCGAGGCTGGGGGAGGGGCGCCCACCATTGCCCAGGCTTGCTTAGGTAAACAAAGCAGCCGGGAAGCTCGAACTTGGTGGAGCCCACCACAGCTCAAGGAGGCCTGCCTGCCTCTGTAGGCTCCACCTCTGGGGGCAGGGCACAGACAAACAAAAAGACAGCAGTAACCTCTGCAGACTTAAATGTCCCTGTCTGACAGCTTTGAAGAGAGCAGTGGTTCTCCCAGCACGCAGCTGGAGATCTGAGAATAGGCAGACTGCCTCCTCAAGTGGGTCCCTGACCCCTGACCCCTGAGCAGCCTAACTGGGAGGCACCCCCCAGTAGGGGCAGACTGACACCTCACACAGCCAGGTACTCCTCTGCGACAAAGCTTCCAGAGGAACGATCAGACAGCAGCATTTGCGGTTCATGAAAATCCGCTGTTCTGAAGCCACCGCTGCTGATACCCAGGCAAACAGGGTCTGGAGTGGACCTCTAGCAAACTCCAACAGACCTGCAGCTGAGGGTCCTGTCTGTTAGAAGGAAAACTAACAAACAGAAAGGACATCCACAGCAAAAACCCATCTGTACATCACCATCATCAAAGACCAAAAGTAGATAAAACCACAAAGATGGGGAAAAAACACAGCAGAAAAACAGGAAACTCTAAAAAGCAGAGCACCTCTCCTCCTCCAAAGGAATACAGTTCCTCACCAGCAACGGAACAAAGCTGGACAGAGAATGACTTTGAAGAGTTGAGAGAAGAAGGCTTCAGGTGACCAAACTACTCCAAGCTACAGGAGGAAATTTAAACCAAAGGCAAAGAAGTTAAAAACTTTGAAAAAAATTTAGACGAATGTATAACTAGAATAAGCAATACAGAGAAGTGCTTAAAGGAGCTGATGGAGCTGAATACCAAGGCTCGAGAACTACGTGAGGAATGCAGAAGCCTCAAGAGCCGACGCGATCAACTGGAAGAAAGGGTATCAGTGATGGAAGATGAAATGAATGAAATGAAGTGAGAAGAGAAGTTTAGAGAAAAAAGAATAAAAAGAAATGAACAAAGCCTCCAAGAAATATGGGACTATGTGGAAAGACCAAATCTACGTCTGATTGGTGTACCTGAAAGTGACGGGGAGAATGGAACCAAGTTGGAAAACACTCTGCAGGATATTATCCAGGATAACTTCCCCAATCTAGCAAGGCAGGCCAACATTCAGATTCAGGAAATACAGAGAACGCCACAAAGATACTCCTCGAGAAGAGCAACTCCAAGACACATAATTGTCAGATTCACCAAAGTTGAAATGGAGGAAAAAATGTTAAGGGCAGCCAGAGAGAAAGGTCGAGTTACCAACAACGAGAAGCCCATCAGACTAACAGCGGATCTCTCGGCAGAAACTTTATAAGCCAGAAGAGAGTGGGGGCCAATATTCAACATTCTTAAAGAAAAGAATTTTCAACTCAGGATTTCATATCCAGCCAAACTAAGCTTCATAAGTGAAGGAGAAATAAAATACTTTACAGACAAGCAAATGCTGGAGATTTTGTCACCACCAGGCCTGCCCTAAAAGAGCTCCTGAAGGAAGCACTAAACATGGAAAGGAACAACTGGTACCAGCCACTGCAAAATCATGCCAAATTGTAAAGACCATCGAGGCTAGGAAGAAACTGCATCAACTAACGAGCAAAATAGCCAGCTAACATCATAATGACAGGATCAATTTAGAACATAACAATATTAACTTTAAATGTAAATGGATTAAATGCTCCAATTAAAAGACAAAGACTGGCAAATTGGATAAAGAGTCAAGACCCATCAGTGTGCTGTATTCAGGAAACCCATCTCATGTGCAGAGACACACATAGGCTCAAAATAAAAGGACGGAGGAAGATCTAACAAGCAAATGGAAAACAAAAAAAGGCAGGGGTTGCAATCCTAGTCTCTCATAAAACAGACTTTAAACCAACAAAGATCAAAAGACAAAGAAGGCTATTACATAATGGTAAAGGGATCAATTCAACAAGAAGAGCTAACTATCCTAAATATATATGCACCCAATACAGGAGCACCCAGATTCATAAAGCAAGTCCTGAGTGACCTACAAAGAGACTGAGACTCCCACACAATAATAATGGGAGACTTTAACACCCCACTGTCAACATCAGACAGATCAACAAGACAGAAAGTTAACAAGGATACCCAGGAAATGAACTCAGCTCTGCACCAAGCGGACCTAATAGACATCTACAGAACTCGCCACCCCAAATCAACAGAATATACATTTCTTTCAGCACCACACCACACCTATTCCAAAACTGACCACATACTGGGAAGTAAAGCTCTCCTCAGCAAATGTAAAAGAACAGAAATGATAACAAACTATCTCTCAGACCACAGTGCAATCAAACTAGAACTCAGGATTAAGAAACTCACTCAAAACTGCTCAACTACATGGAAACTGAACAACTTGCTCCTGAATGACTACTGGGTACATAATGAAATGAAGGCAGAAAGAAAGATGTTCTTTGAAACCATTGAGAACAAAGACACAACATACCAGAATCTCTGGGATGCATTCAAAGCAGTGTGTAGAGGGAAATTTATAGCACTAAATGCCCACAAGAGAAAGCAGGAAAGATCCAAAATTGACACCCTAACATCACAATTAAAAGAACTAGAAAAGCAAGAGCAAACACATTCAAAAACTATCAGAAGGCAAGAAATAACTAAAATCAGAGCAGAACTGAAGGAAATAGAGACACAAAAAACCCTTCAAAAAATTAATGAATCCAGGAGCTGGTTTTTTGAAAGGATCAACAAAATTGATAGAACACTAGCAAGACTAATAAAGAAGAAAAGAGAGAAGAATCAAATAGACAGAATAAAAAATGATAAAGGGGATATCACCACCGATCCCACACAAATACAAACTACCATCAGAGAATACTACAAACACCTCTACGCAAATAAACCAGAAAATCTAGAAGAAATGGATAAATTCCTCGACACGTATACCCTCCCAAGACTAAACCAGGAAGAAGTTGAATCTCTGAATAGACCAATATCAGGCTCTGAAATTGTGGCAATAATCAATAGCTTACCAATCAAAAAGAGTCCAGGACCAGATGGATTCACAGCCGAATTCTACCAGAGTTACAAGAAGGAACTGGTACCACTGCTTCTGAAACTATTCCAATCAATAGAAAAAGAGGGAATCCTCCCTAACTCTTTTTATGAGGCCAGCATCATCCTGTTACCAAAGCGGGGCAGAGACACAACCAAAAAAGAGAATTTCAGACCAATATCCTTGATGAACATTGATGCAAAAATCCTCAATAAAATACTGGCAAAACGAATCCAGCAGCACATCAAAAAGCTTATCCACCATGATCAAGTGGGCTTCATCCCTGGGATGCAAGGTTGGTTCAATATACACAAATCAATAAATGTAATCCAGCATATAAACAGAACCAAAGACAAAAACCACATGATTATCTCAATAGATGCAGAAAAGGCCTTTGACAAAATTCAACAACCTTCATGCTAAAAACTCTCAATAAATTAGGTATTGATGGGATGTATCTCAAAATAATAAGAGCTATCTATGACAAACCCACAGCCAATATCATACTGAATGGGCAAAAACTGGAAGCATTCCCTTTGAAAAGTGGCACAAGACAGGGATGCCCTGGCTCACCACTCCTATTTAACATAGTGTTGGAAGTTCTGGCCAGGACAATTAGGCAGGAGAGGGAAATAAAGGGTATTCAATTAGGAAAAGAGGAAGTCAAATTGTCCCTGTTTGCAGATGACATGATTATATATCTAGAAAACCCCATTGTCTCAGCCCAAAATCTCCTTAAGCTGATAAGCAACTTCAGCAAAGTCTCAGGATACAAAAACAATGTACAAAAATCACAAGCATTCTTATACATCAATAACAGACAAACAGCCAAATCATGAGTGAACTCCCATTCACAATTGCTTCAAAGAGAATAAAATACCTAGGAATCCAACTTACAAGGGACATGAAGGACCTCGTAAAGGAGAACTACAAACAACTGCTCAACGAAATAAAAGAGGATACAAACAAATGGAAGAACATTCCATGCTCATGGGTAGGAAGAATCAATATTGTGAAAATGGCCATACTGCCCAAGGTAATTTATAGATTCAATGCCATCCCCATCAAGCTACCAATGACTTTCTTCACAGAATTGGAAAAAACTACTTTAAAGTTCATATGGAACCAAAAAAGAGCCTGCATTGCCAAGTCAATCCTAAGCCAAAAGAAGAAAGCTGGAGGCATCATGCTACCTGACTTCAAACTATACTACAAGGCTACAGTAACCAAAACAGCACGGTACTGGTACCAAAACAGAGATATAGATCAATGGAACAGAACAGAGCCCTCAGAAATAATGCCGCATCATCTACAACTATCTGATCTTTGACAAACCTGAGAAAAACAAGCAATGGGGAAAGGATTCCCTATTTAATAAATGGTGCTGGGAAAACTGGCTAGCCATATGTAGAAAGCTGAAACTGGATCCCTTCCTTACACCTTATAGAAAAATCAATTCAAGATGGATTAAAGACTTAAACGTTAGACTTAAAACCATAAAAACCCTAGAAGAAAACCTAGGCATTACCATTCAGGACATAGGCATGGGCAAGGACTTCATGACTAAAACACCAAAAACAACGGCAACAAAAGCCAAAATTGACAAATGGGATCTAATTAAACTAAAGAGCTTCTGCACAGCAAAAGAAACTACCATTAGAGTGAACAGGCAACCTATAAAATGGGAGAAAATTTTCACAACCTACTCATCTGACAAAGGGCTAATATCCAGAATCTACAATGAACTCAAACAAATTTACAAGAAAAAAACAAACAATCCTATCAAAAAGTGGGCAAAGGACATGAACAGACACTTCTCAAAAGAAGACATTTATGCAGCCAAAAAACATGAAAAAATGCTCACCATCACTGGCCATCAGAGAAATGCAAATCAAAACCATAATGAGATACCATCTCACACCAGTTAGAATGGCGATCATTAAAAATTCAGGAAACAACAGGTGCTGGAGAGGATGTGGAGAAATAGGAAGACTTTTACACTGTTGGTGGGACTGTAAACTAGTTCAACCATTGTGGAAGTCAGTGTGGCAATTCCTCAGGGATCTAGAACTAGAAATACCATTTGACCCAGCCATCCCATTACTGGGTATACACCCAAAGGACTATAAATCATGCTGCTATAAAGACACATGCACACGTATGTTTATTGCGGCACTATTCACAATAGCAAAGACTTGGAACCAACTCAAATGTCCAACCATGATAGACTGGATTAAGAAAATGTGGCACATATACACCATGGAATACTATGCAGCCATAAAAAATGATGAGTTCATGTCCTTTGTAGGGACATGGATGAAATTGGAAATCATCATTCTCAGTAAACTGTCGCAAGGAGAAAAGACCAAACACCGCATGTTCTCACTCATAGGTGGGAATTGAACAATGAGAACACATGGACACAGGAAGGGGAACATCAAACTCTGGGGACTGTTGTGGGGTGGGGGGAGGGGGGAGGGATAGCATTAGGAGATATGCCTAATGCTAAATGATGAGTTAATGGGTACAGCACAGCAGCATGGCACATGTATACATATGTAACTAACCTGCACATTGTGCACATGTACCCTAAAACTTAAAGTATAATAATAATAAAATAAAATAAAATAAAAAAAGAAAAAATGGCACATATACATCATGAAATACTATGCAGCCATGAAAAGGAATGACATCATGTCCTTTGCAGCAACATGGTTGTAGCTGGAGGCCATTATTTTAAGTGAATTTGTGCAAAAGCAGAAAACCAAATACCACAGGTTTTCATTTATAAATGGGAGCTAAACGTTGAGTACTCATGAACATAAAGATGGCAATAATAGACACTGACTAGGGAGTGGGGGAAGAGCTGAAAAACTAACTGTTGAGTAATATGCACACTACCTGGGTGATTGGATCATTTATACCCCAAACCTCAGCATCATGCAATATACCCAAGTAGCAAACCCGCACCAGTATCCCCTGAATCTAAAATAAAAGTTGAATAAAAAAGAAATAATTTGTCATAGTAACTATCTATTCTTATTTTATTGAGTGTATTTTTTAAAAAATCACGAAGCATTGTTGAATGTTGTCAGATGCCTTTTTAGTTTGCTTGCAAATGATCATATGAATTGTATCTTTAAATCCAGTAATATGATATATGAATTAATTTTCTCATATTGGGCCTTTATTGCATTCCTTGAATTCATCTCCACTTGATTGTAATGTATTATCTCTTTAAGTTGCTCCTAGATTTTTGTTTCTGCTAATTCTTTATTTAGAACTTTTGTTTACCAATTTGTTTTTCCTGTAATCTTTGTCAAATACTGATAAAAGATTTTAGATCGTTTCCTTTTTTCCAATGCTTTTCTAATTAAATGCACTTGAATTCCTCAGGATGTAGTATAATTTCTCTAGGTTTGGTGCTTTTTGGGGGTAATTTTCTTTGAAAAATTTCCCTACTTTTTCTTATTTTCTGTGTGTTTGCCCTTTCACATTGTCTGCTTCATCTGGAGTTAGCTTTAAATTACATTTTCCCAGGAAATTATTTGATTAATCCAGATTTTCAATTTATGTGTATGAAATTGTACAAAGCCTTTCTCATAATTATTTACATTTCTCATGTTTCATTTTTACTTGCTATCTCATGTTTTTGTACTTTTTTTTTCTGAAGGTAGCTAATGATTATATATTTTATTGGGTTTCTGAAAGAACCAGTATTTGGGTATGTTTTTCAGTTTTATTGTTTTTCTATTTTCTAATTTCTTAGTTTCTGCTTTCATGTTTTAAAGTCTTTCTTTTTGCTTTTTTCAGTATTTTAGTCATGGTAATTCATTCTTTTTCTTAGTTTTGTCTCCTATTAAGTATTGAAGACTCTGAATTTTTCTTTTCATGTTAATTTTCTTGCTTTCCATAAATTTGATTGTTTTCTAGAAGTTCTGTAATTTTAGCTAGTTTTTCCTCTGTGACCAATGATTGCTGAGTTAGGATTTTTATAGCTCTAGGTTGAAGACAATTTTTGCAAGAAGGTCAAACAGGCACCTCATACAACAGGAAATACAAATGGCTGATATGTATATGAAAAGAGTCATAAAGGTATTGTAAATTAACACCATGGAATATCATCATATGCCTACTGGAATGACTAACATCAAAATAAAATGGCTGAAACAGCCAAGGTGAAGGAGCAATGGGAACTCTCATCTATGACTGGCGGAGGTATAAACTAGTGCGAACACTTCAGAAAGGAATTTGGTAATATCTACCAAAGTGGAACATACACATGTCCTATGACCTGGCAACTCTATTCCTAGTATCTTACCCACCAGAAATGTGTAAAAATGTTAACCAATCATATATATGAATATTATAGATCATACTAATATTACACATAGTAGCACAGAATAAGAGACACAATCAAAATGTCCACCACAGTGGAATGAATAAACTGATTGAGTCACATAATTGAGTAGTATATGGCACTGAAAATGAATGAACTACAGCTACATATTACAACATGAGTAAATCTCACAAACAGTATTCTCCAAAAGAAGCTTTATGATTCTGACTATGTTGGTTCAATAACAGTCAATATTAAGCTTTTGTGTTTAGGGATTATTCTAAAATGGTAAAAGCAAGGAAGAGATGACCACATAATGAAAAATATTCGTTATATTTAAGAAGACGCAAAAGGTTTGTAATTAGGGATGGATTGCAGAAGGCTTCTAAGATGCTGACAATGTTCTACTTATTGATCAGGGCGATGGGTATACCGGTGCTTTTTTTAAAAAAATAATTTGTTAAATTGTTTTATGCATTCGTAGGTGTGAAAAGAGCAGTTAACTCACAGGAATTTATAGCTACAATAGAAACATATGGCCTAACCTCTGCTCTACTTTTCTTTGTGCTATATTTTCTTTGTGTTTGTTTCCTTTTATTTTGTATGACAATATGTATGGAAAATAATATTTAATTCTGTTCTATTGCCTTTAATTTTGCCAAATATATATTAAACCCAACCTATATTTTTATAATTTTCAATAGACCGTAACTTTTCATTGTTCCTCCTCTATAAAGTGATAGGGAGTTTGGCAAAAATTTACCTTGTTCTGTCTTCTCAGCGCTTCATCACTTTCCAGTATTACTCATTTAATCTGGAGCTGTGAGCCAGTTTATCCTCTGCATTTTTTACAACCACCAAATACTTATTTCAGAATTGGTCATGGTTACTTGCATTTAGTGTCGTAACCAGACTGCAGCTGACCCAGTACGCTACCATCCCTTGGAACTCCACGACTGCAGTGAGCTCCTGCCGACTTCCGGGTTTCTGACTGCTGGACGCTGCATCTACCAAGCGATGGGGGGAAACAGATGAAGCACCCACTCCTGAATCCCCAGCCAATGCCTGGTGAGCCAATGACTTGATGTATAAACTTTCCAGCTCTCCTGCCCTTGGGGTGCAGTAACCCTCCGAGTGCATTTTGCAGGGTGTGTCAAAATTTCCCCACGGCATTAAACTCCAGTTACCCTCCTGGTAGCTGGCTTGACAATCTACCCTTTGTTGGTTGCTTTCCTTTTCTTTCACGTTCTTCTACCTGTTCCCGACAACCTAAATCAATATACTTGCTCTGGAATCCTTGTCTCTGGGCCTACTTCTGGAAAAACTCAAAACTAAATACAGATTTAGGAAAAAAATTGTACTTAACTCTACATTTTAAATTTCTTTCAATATTCACTGGTAGACGTTATATAAAACAATTTTTGCATTCTTGATGGCTTGATTTGGATTAATTTCTTAGCCAGATAGAGTACATTTCAAATAGGTTCTCCTGCTCCCCCAGAAAGAACAGATGAGCAGCAAACTTTTTTTGTTACTTGAGGATGTTACTTGAATGCATTTATCTCGCTTTGGCAGACAACGATTTCGAGCCCCCTGCATTTTCCCAGGAATGTTGAGAAACTATATTCTGCAATAATCTTCCATCTTTAGGGTTGACAGTCATCTATCATCAGGATGATTTTTGTTCTTTTGTAGGCAACCTATTTATTTTATTTTTGTACTTGAATAAGTATAGGATTTTTTCCCTCTTTACCCTTAAAAGTTTCCTGGTGTGCATGTAAACATGATTCTATTTCCATTCTTCTTCTTCTTTTTTTTTAATGGAATTATGTGTGGCCTTTCCTTTTTAATCTTGAAAGAGTTTCTTACATGGACAATAAAGTTCATGGTAATTTCCAATCTGCCTCTCTCTTTTCCCCCCTTGATTCTGCATTTCTTCAGCTGGTTTCATGCTGGGTGACCATGCAGTTGCACGGCGCCTTTCGTTCACAAGGATCCAGAGTGGGCTCCACTGTCAGTCTGAAAATTCTTAATTTAAACTTTAAAATTTCATTTTGGAAGTGAAGCCCAATGGGACCATGGAGCATGTGTCAGGGTCTTCAAGCCCAGCTCATGGCTAGTCCGCTTCTCACGGCCTCCCCACGCTCGGGACTGGGGTCTCGGCCACCTACTCCCATGGCCACACTCAGCTACCGCAGCTGACCCTGTGCCACCCTCCGGCTCCTGGCACCTGCACCTGGGAGGGAGGGTTGGACGCATAGGCTTTGCGTGCGGTGTCGCCTAAGGAGGTCCCAGAGCCTGTGAAGCTCTGCAATCTCCCTGGGGGTATCCCCGCACTTCAGGGAGCGCAACGTTAACAGCAAAGAAAAAACACATGGAGGTGGAGAGAGAGGGACAGCAGAAGAAAGAAAAACACATTTTGCCCTGCTTGTTGAACAGTGAGACCCCATTTTCATTTTGCACTGGATCCCACAAATGATGCTGCTGGCTCTGGCTGGCCATCTCATAATCACAGAAGGTGTCTCTTCCATCATGTTTTTTTTTTTTAGAACTCCAATCCTTTTCTTCCTTTTTAATATCAACAGTAAAACTTTTATTTTTCAATTTTTTAATAATTTCAACTTCTGTTTTAGATTCAAGCGGTACATGCGCAGGTTTGTTACAGGGGATATTGCATGACACTGAGGTTTGAGGTAGGGATGATCCTGTTACTTAGGTAGTGAGCAGAGTGCCCAATAGGTAATTTTTCAGCCCTTGTCCCTCTCTCTCTCCCCCACCCCAGTAGTCTCCAGTGTCTATTGTTGCCACCTGTATGTCTATGCATACCCAACTAGAACCCCAATCCCAAATTGATTCGTACAGAAAATATTCCCTGGATGATACCTACTGACTGCACACTGCTCTCCCCTGCCTCCCTCTGTACCCCATTATCGTACATGCTTGACTAGTTTGCTTCTTCCTCATACTGGTCCCTGTTGTCTGTGAGATTGTGTGAACTGAATTGACTGCTTTTCTTCCTTTTCTGTTCTTCTCTCCATCATCTCTGGCTTGTCTAAATGCAGAAGGCACTTTAATTAATTGATTCTCATTAATGAAAGAATCAAGGCAGAAGGGAATAAATAACAGAATGAATGAAGGAACAAATAGTAGAAGCAGGCAGGGTTCTCTTTGTCACTGGGATTGTCGTTGGCGTGTTACTTATTTTTCTCTGTGTTAATGGTAGCTTTTCCCAATTGGACCAAAGGATATTTATTTAGTATGCCTTCAAAAAGTGTATTGGATATAAAACTACCTTTCTAAACAGTGGACTCCATCTACAAAAAAATAGATCCATCTACTGAGATTTTGATTAAAGCTGTTTTCTTTCCCCAGCACCCTATTCTGGTAGGACAGAATTCTCAGACTTTCTGTTAATCACTTTAAGCCAATATCTTCCTAGTCACTTTTGTCACTTTGAACTGGTGGTCATCCATAGTCCCTAACAATGTAAAGTGTTTTGTATTTCCAAATCAATAGTATTTTCTTTGCCTTGACAAAATATTCCATTTCTATAGTGCCCCTAGAGTTTTTTAAAGTTCCACTTTAAAGATACACATCCATATGTTATAGATACATTGCCTTACTGTATGTTGATATTTGGGAAATGGGCAGTTAATAATTCCAATATGAACAGGGGCATACAAATTCAGAGACTGGTAGGGTAATGCTTTTAGATCTGTTTTCAATCTTCTTCCTAAATTTCTCTGTGGCTAAATAATGTAAATCTTATTTTCCTATTATAAATTTAAAAGCAACTTGGTTCATTTGGCAGAGTAGATGTACTCATGACCCAACTTTCAATTGATATCATTTTTATCTGCAGCTTCAAATAGGTCAGATGTTTGAAATTAAGCTACTCTCACTCCTCACATAATTACTGAGACAATATAACAGGTTATTATCAGAGATGCTCTCATACTAAGTGGAGTTTAATGTATTTGTATTTTATCTGTGGAAGAGGACAGAGATGACCAGGGAAGTGATCTGAGTACCTACATTTATTCTAATTGAATTTTATAGAATTATTATTTGTTATTTCCATCTTTTTTCCATGGGGATTTTCCAGTGCCACAGAACAGCCAAATATGTAGTCTAATGACTATCGCAGGAGAAGATCTGTTTGTGGTTAGAAGAATCTTGGTAAGTGACTTAAAATGCACTTAGGTTTATTAAGCATTCCTTTAGTGTTTCAAAATCTTTAAAAAGATTGTGTGGCTAGAACCTATTTAAAAATCAACCATCCAGTAATATCATCAGCAATTTCTACTTCAGTTCACATAACAAAAGAAGTAGCCCCCAAATGGGGAAATAAACCCTTCCACCAAGGAACTTGTAATAGCCTACAATTCATATTCCTAGGTTGCAAAATATTCGTTGCAAAATTATTCTTCTAGGAAGAATGTTGAGAAAGTGTTAAATAAAACCATGGCTAAATATTCTTATATTTATCTCCATTTCTAAATATTATTGTGTTTTGTTCAACTATGTTTTAAAAGTCACTTTTAAAAAGCGATTTTTAAAAAGTCACTATGTTTTAAAAGTCTCTTTTAAACTGTGTAGTTAGAGGTCTATGCCTTATTTATTCTTGTATCCCTAGTGACTAGCAGAGCTTGGCATGTAACATATTTGTATAACATAACATGGTTTACAAAATACACTCAGATAAGCTAGGTTTATCCTCTCATAGCCATATTAATAAATTAGAGCAATGTTAGGCTACCATCGTTTTACACATTAGGAAACTGAACATCAAAGAGGCTGTTTATTTCTACAAGACCCATAGATAAGTAAAGGGGAGAATTGAGACTTGATCAATCCAGGTCTTCCAATCTGTAGCCTGGAGCTTTTCAACTGCCTCCCAGTAAAACAATTTTGTGACTATATGCTCCATGGAATAGGGGAGGCTCAAGTCCTTGGATGGGATAATTACTCACTCTCTTTGGATTGGTGAATAATAGATCATGAGAAGTCATCCCATATGGTATGATGATGACTTAAGAGCCATTTTTTAATTTCTTCTTTTCCTTTACCCTCTGTCTTAGTCCATTTTGTGCTGCTATAACAGAATAACACAGACTGAGTAATTTATAGTCGACAGACATTTATATCTCACAGTTCTAGAGGCTGGGAAGTCCAAGATCAAGGGACTAACATCCGGTAAGGACTGTCTTGCTGCATAATCCCATGGCAGAAGGAGAGAAGGAAAGGCAGAGGAATGAGAAAGAGAGAGCAAGAGGGGGCCAGACTCATTCGAAGCAACCCAGTCCTGTAATAACAAACCCACTACTACCATAACGGCATAAATCCATTCATGAGGTTGGTTCCCTGATGACCATTATGCCATTATGCCATTATGCCCTAATGACTACCTCCCAACACTGCTGCTGCATGGGAGATCAAATTTCTAAAACACATGAACTTTGGGGGACATATTCAAACCATAGAACCCTCCAAAAATTAATTATATTTTCTGAATATCTTTGACAGTGATATTCTTCTCATCCTGATCATAGGCCTATCCTAATTCAGGTTCTTTTCCTGTTTCACTAGGATGACGTCATAGTCCACCTACTGATCATTCTGCCTTTAGTGTCTTACCCATTCTTATCTTCATTCAGTGCATTTTGATAAATACTAAGTATCTACTACTTGCCAAACACAACATTAGGTAACAGGGAATCACAGGTAGATGAGAAAAACATCTCTAGCCCTTTATAAGAATCTGACTGCCTAGCAAAGAAGACAAACAACATAAACAGATTATTGTAACTCAGCGTTGTAAGTGCAATAAACTGTCTTCCACCCCAAACAAGCCTGCCATGAGCGGGGATCTTGGGATTGAGCTCTTCTTACTCCACTGCTCAGAAAGCTTCCATTCAGCTGTCCCCAGCCTTGACCCTCTTCTGTGCTGGACTTCCACTCACCCACCCTTTTCAAGTTTAGATAGCATTTCAGCTGCATTCCAAAAGTAACAAAACAATGCCTAATATTAAGTAAGTAGTCAATCTGTGTGCTGTGTTTGTTGGTTATGTTGAAATCACAAACTCCAGAGGAGCAAAAGGGTTTTTCAATGTCCTTTACTTTCAGAAACAGAGAATATAATATTCTCCCTGAGGCCTTGAATTGATTTTTTCTCATAAAATCATCTAATAAGCTAATTTTTAAAAAGAAATGCCGTTAAGTATGTTGCATTGTGGTTTAAATTTCCTAACAAGTTCTGGAAAGAAAAATAATATTTGATTTTTAATCTTAAATGTTTTTAAAAATTAAACTCAAATGGGCATGAAGTATAAATATTTTGTTTCTTTATGGAGGACATGTGGAAAGGATTTGAAGTTTTGGGATGGAAGAAGTATTTTGCAGAGCTATCCATGTCCAAATGATTTTTTAAAAATAATAAAGGTATTTAAGCGGTGAAAAACAATACAAAAATACATATAATGTACTACAGGAATGCAAAGGGCATCTTAACATTGCTACCAAGGTTTTCTTCCCAAAGCAAATATTTTTGTTTTTGTTTTTTTGAGATGGAGTCTTACTCTGTCACCCTGTCTGGAGTGCAGTGGCATGATCTCAGCTCACTGCAACCTCTACCTCCTGGGTTCAAGTGATTCTCCTGCTTCAGCCTCCCAAATAGTGGGGATTACAGGCATGTGCCACCATGCTTGGCTAATTTTTTTGTATTTTTAGTAGAGACAGGGTTTCACCATGGTGGCCAGGCTGGTCTTGAACTCTTGACCTCAGGTGATCCACCCACCTTGGCCTCCAAAGCAGATTTGATATGTAAAAATCCTTCAGGCTGGGCGCAGTGGCTCACGCCTGTAATCCCAGCACTTTGGGAGGCCGAGGCGGGTGGATCACGAGGTCAGGAGATCGAGACCATCTTGGCTAACATGGTGAAACCCCATCTCTACTAAAAATACAAAAAATTAGCCGAGCATGGTGGCGGGTGCCTGTAGTCCCAGCTACTCGGGAGGCTGAGGCAGGAGAATGGCGAGAACCTGGGAGGCGGAGCTTGCAGTGAGCCAAGATCACACCACTGCACTCTGGAGCGGGAGAGAGAGGGAGACTCCGTCTCAAAAAAAAAAAAAGTCCTTCAATGGTAATCACGTGCCTACAACAGGGGTTACAAACACAAATGTCTAGGGGTGTCCAGCAGGTACAAATATGTGGTGAAACGGACAGATATAACACATTAGGGAAAGAAGAGAGTTTGTAGACTATGGTGGACTGAAGGATACATGCCCAGACTAAAGGGTCAGCAACTACTCAGTTCTAGCCAATTGCAGTGAGATCCAATGTGGCAAGATGGTCAAATCATTTGTTTACGTTTTAGGTTTTTTGTTTGTTTGTTTTTTGTTTACCACAGAGAAGCTGGATGTCTAGAATTTTATGTCAGGTCTGTCTCCCAGTCTTTTTAATGTTTTAATTTTTGTAATTCAAATTACAAGTAATGATAATAATCTAAATACATACCAAAAAAAAAGCACTATGAAGCCAACTAAACACATCTGATGGCTTCTGGTTTGTTACCTTTGGCCTATAAAAATAGAGTCAAAACTATTTAGCAAGACATCCAAGGCTGCATAATCTGGAGCCAATATACTTTTCCTTTTAAACTTCTAGGTTTCTGGGCATGGTGGCTCATGGCTGTAATCCCAGTACTTTGGGAAGGCTAAGGCAGGAGGATCGCTTGCATTCAGAAGTTCAAGACATAGTGAAACACCATCTCTACAAAAAATACAAAAATTAGCTGGGCATGATGGTGCATGCCTGTAGTCCCAACTACTCAGGAAGCTGAGGTGGGAGGATCGCTTGAGCCCAGGAGGTAGAGGTTGCAGTGAGCCGTGATTGCACTACTGCACTCCAGCCTGGTGACAGAGTGAGACCCTGTCAAAACAAAAACAAACAAAAAACTAACAAACAATAATAAGCTTCTAGGTCATCCCACACCAAACACACTGTAGTTTTTGGAATACACCTTTCATCCTCATGCCAAATGTCTTCACTTTCTGTCTGCAATGCTCTTCTTTCCCTCATCAACTTGGTGAAATTTCATTCCTCTTTCAGTCCCCAGCTTTCATGTCAACCACTATTTAAAATTTTCCCTTGTATGCTCACATTAAAGCTAACTTCTCTCTTCTTTTTTTCTCTTGGAACATTTTGTTACCACTACTCATAGAGAACTTGTATCTGGTTCAAATTCCCATGAGTTATGGGCTTTTTTCTTCCCTGGTTTTAAATTCTTTTTTAAAAAATTTCAACCCAACAGATTTTTGTTTTCTTTCATTAAAGCTTAGTTATATAAACTGTAAAGGCCTGTAACATTTTATCCAGAATCCAAAGTGATTGGCATGAAGTTTGACTGTTTTACTCTCTGTCTGCTATGTGGCTAGAACCTATTTATTTTCCCCAAGTATTGGTATTCTACAATATCCTGATAGCATCTGTATTTATTTTCTATTGCTGCTGTCACAAATTATCTCAAACTTAGTGGCTTAAAACAATACAAATTTATGATTTTTCAGGTAAGAAATTCCACATTCATCTCAATGCACCAAAATTTAGGTGTCAGCAGGGCTGAATTTTTTTCTGGTGGCACCAGTAGAGCCTGTTCCAGCTTCTAGAGGCTGCCTACATGGTCCCCTTTTGTATGAGTCTGTTCTTAGGCTGCTAATAAAGACATTCCCAAGACTCGGTAATTTATGAAGGAAAGAGGTTTAATGGACTCAGTTTCACATGGCTGGGGGAGCCTCACAATCATGGCAGAAGGCAAAGAAGCAAAGGCACATCTTACATGGTGGCAGGCAAGAGAGCTTGTGCAGGGGAACTCCCATTTACAAAATCATCAGATCTCACGAGACTTATTCACTACCATGAGAATAGTATGGAGGAAAACCACCTCCATGATTCAATTATCTCCACCTCGCCCCAACCTTGACATATGGGGATTATTACAATTCAAGGTGAGATGTGGGTGGGGACACAGCTAAACCATATCACCTTCCTTGGTCTTCAAAGCCAGCAATGGCTAATTGAGTGTCATATTGTGAAAGTGTGACTTCCTTTTTATATCTCCCTCTTCCAGGGGCTCACTCTGTCACCCAGGCTAAAGTAAAGTGTTGCAAGCTTGGTTCACTACAGTCTTGACTTCCAAGGCTCAAGCAGTCCTCCCATTTCAGCCCCGTGAGTAGCTGGGATCACAGGCACTTGCCACCACAACCAGCTAATCATTTTTTAAAATTTTTAGTAGACATGAGGTTTTACTATGCTACCCAGGCTGATCTCGAACTCCTGGGCTCAAGTAATCCTCCCACTTTGGCCTCCCAATGTGTTGGGATTACAGACATGAGCCACCATGCCTGGCCACAGCTTCTATATTTTAAGGTCAATGGATTAGCAAACTTAATTCCATCTGCAACCTTAGTGCCTCATTTCCATGTAATGTAACATGTTCATAGACTCTGAGGATTTGGCCAAGGATATCTTTGAGAGGCCATTATTCTACCTATCACCTCGTCCATCTGATAGCAGTTTACTCTGCCATCAAGGAAAGTACATGAAGAAGAAGAGGAGGAAGAGGAGGAAGTTCTCAGCATCCAATCTTTATAAACTCAAATCCATAAAGTAAAGAATAATGGCTTGTTTTTCTAATTGACCTTTGTTGGGCCTTACATATTAGACTGTATAGAGAACATAGGCTACACTTGTATTTGTGCAACCAAATACACCTTGCCTCAAAAGAGCAATGGATATAAACATATCTAATTGAAAAAAACTTTATCCATTTCACACTTTTAAGGCTGACCAAATAAGTTTATTCTGTGAACCTACAGATATAAAAAATCAGTCAAAACCCAAAAATTTTTAATTGAATAACTGCTTTTAGTATTAACCTACAAATGAAATATGATGTATAATCTATTCTACTAAGTTTTAAGGAAATATCACTATCCTCAGTGAGGATTAGATTTTTCACATTGTGCATCCGTATGCCAATGATATCCCTTGCCAATGTCTTCAGGATACAATATATTTATTATAATAATTCAAACTAATTTCTCCTTCCCATTTTCATATTTTATTTGCTTGGTACCATGTAACCTAATCAGAGTTCCTCTCCAACAGCAGATTATGTCAGGTTGAGCTTTAAAATCAGAACTATCTGCATATTCAGAAACTCAAAAATACATAAGAGGTAAAAGTTATTACTACATCTATTATCATTTGAGAGGACAAAAACAAATAAAATAACTTGAAATATTGCTTGGAAAGAAAACTTATGATCTGAGAATGGCTACAACTTTCCCTTATTCAATTTCCTCATGGTGGTAATGAATATAATTGCATTCTTAGACTGGACTGCTTCCATAGTCATAATACTCTACCTTTAGATAAAATAATATTTTAGAACAAGTAATGTTAGGGACAATTGCTGAAGCATAGGACAATTGGTTAACTGATACTCAGGATACAATGTGAATTAAATAGTGCTTTTTAACTGTATTACTCTCCATGGCAAAAACTACAATCACTTTTGCACCAACCTAATAGTAGATCATCTATTTTTACATGCAGATATTCCAAACTTACTGTATTAAAACAACAAATATTTAGCATTTCACAGAATGTGTGTCAGAAATGTGTTAATGGTTTAGCTGGGTTGTTCTGACTCAGAGTATCTCATGAAGTTATAATCAAAATGTCATCAATGACTGCAGTCATCTGAAGACCTGACTGGAGCTGAAATACCCATTTCTAAGCTTACCCATACAGCTGATAGAAGGGCTCAGTTCCTATCTACATGAGCCTCTTCACAGGACTGTCCATGACATGGCACCTGGCTTCCCCCAAAGCAAATGGTTAAGAGAGAGGCAAAATCTATGATACTTCTTCTAAAAACCTAGCATTGGAAGTAACACATCATCAGGTCTGCCATATTCTATTGGTCACACACACCAACCCTGATAAAATGTCGAAGGGAGCTACACAAGGGCACAAATACTAGGAGAAATGGATAGTTGTGGCCATCTTCAAGGCTGGCTACCACAATCTGTTCTACAGCCCCCAATTAATCAAGTTTCTCCCACATACAAAATACACTCCCTCCCTCCAAAAGCCCCCAAATCTCATCCCATAACAGTATGATTTCAGAGTACAGAGTATCATCATTTAAATATGATTTAGTCATGAAAGAGGTTTATTGTGTGTAATTCTTTAACTGTAGATTCTTGATTATTGTTTATTTTAATCCAAAGATTTACAAACAAAAGAAGCAAGTTATTTTCCCCCAAACATGAAATACACAATAAGGGCAGGCACAGGACAACTGATACTGACATTTATAAAGAAGGAAATAAGAAGCACAGGAGTCTCCAGATTATAGCAATTATGAAATCAGCTGGGCACAAGCTGGCAGATTCTTGATTAGGATTTATACCTGGGAATAATCCTCTATGGCTTTTAGCCCCATGCTATTAATCTCTTGATTCTACCCTCTGAGTCATCCTTCATTTCCTCATAATAAGTAGCATGTGTTCACATGTGAGTAGCTTTTTCACTCTCCTTATTGCGTGTACAAATATGGAAATCCAAAGCCTATTTTTCATTTTGTAGTGTCTCTATCCCTTATAGTCCAAGCTTGTGGTGTTTCTGTGAATACGATAATCTTAAGTACTTTGTGAGTTTTCTGTGAAACTCACTGGGATTCACTCCATTAAATAAAAGCCACAGCCACAAACATCTTTGACAAAAGTCCTTCTCTACCTTTGTCTTCTGCTGAGACAACTATAAGACAAAACTCAAGCGTTTTAAATTTATTGCTTGAGAGTATCTGTGAGACACGCCCTTAGGAAAGGCTTTATAAGTATTAAACAATTACTCCAAGGCACGAGCTTTGATCTTGCTGAAGTCACATCAAAAGATTGTGTAGTTCGACCCTGTTCTTTACCAGAAACCACCGTGTCTTTTATAACCTAGTCTCAAAATTATCACACTATACCTTCTGCTGTATTTTATTGTTCACACAGACCTAATATGATAAAAAGGAGAAATGTGTAAGAGATCATGAATATTAGGAAGTGGGGAAATTGGGAACCATCTTTGAAGATGGCTATTTCAAGAATTATTTATTAAAAATAAAATGAACCACACACAGCAATTTATATATTGTGGATGAATGTATAGAGCTCATGTATGTATCCATCTGATCTCTAAACTGATGATTATTAAAATAATAAATTTTCTGTCTGAGTGGAGTTCCTTTATCTTTTCCCAACTTCTGTGGGTCCTCAGACAACTATCTTTCAATCATCAGTAGTCAATAGCATGCAGGTTTTTTTCTTTGTATTACATGTCTTCAGAGGACAGGGTAATTGAATCCTTACTAAAAAAAATTTGGGGCAAAAGTCATATGCAGTCTAGCCAAGTCATGATACTAAAACATTAACTTTGACTCCAGTGACTGCTATTGACCACACATTAAAGGTAAAGTTTGGGTCAGCTATCTTTGAGCTAATGGAGATGCAAAGGAGTGTCAAACTGAAGTCATTATCTTTCATCTACATTTTGCTTTCTTCTTGCAGAAGGAATCAAAATGCGTTTCATGGGCCCCGCAAACATTCAGTTGATGTCCAGGCCATAAGACTGCAGTTCTGTTAGCTTACGTTGGCTTTCACAATCGAAAACAGGGTTGCAAAATGATAGTAAACAATGTTCTCACTGAAGATCCATTTTATCGGTCTTTCCTGATCCCACTGGAATGTAATCATTTTGATGCCAGCCTAACCAAAACAAAGTAGCAGACATGCCCTGCAATAAGCCTCAGCTGAGCAGCTGGAGACGTGATAAACACCTGGCTTCAGAAGTTAATAAAAAGCTTGTATCAGCAGCTTTACTGATCTTTGTTAACAAGGGTATGTGTGGCTTTGCATCATCATGTCAGTGTTCTAAACAAACAAGGATATGGGCAAATCCAGAAGTCACATGCAAAACGCAGACTCCTTGTGCATCTACCCCAAAGATTTATGATTTTTTTAAAGCTAGAAACTCATATTATTCGAGGAAGCGAAACTTTTTAAAGCAAATATCAAGTGCCTTATTTGCTTTGGACTCCAGAGACAGAAAGAGAAACAATTAAAATCAAATAAAAGTATCAAGTAATGACTCTCAAATTGTTGCAATAAGCAGGTGACTTCAGTACATATTAGCCAAGCAATTATTGGGTCTCAGTAACATCAGCTCTGACTTGCTGACTTCCCAGGGCAGCTCTGAGGCCAGTGTTGTAGAGGCTTCTCCATTGTGAGCCTGTGCGTGTTTCTATCCGCAAATCTTTTTGCTCTAACTTTATAAAGTTAGGAATAAGTGGTACTGAGTTGGTTGTGATTTTTTTTCTTGTAACTTCTTGGAACTCTGTTCATTCTTGTTTTGATATTTTCTCAGCATATCACAGAATAATAAGAGCATTCTCCCTTACTTTTCATGTCCTTCCCTTTCCGTATACCCTCCCACTTGTTTTGCTATAAAGTTTCCCCATAACTTTTCTCTTTCCACATCCTCTGTCAACATGAAATTCTAACTTCGCATTGCTTCATTCATAATCTTTATACCTGTACCTCCTCTATGTGTTCTTTAAAAAGCCAAAAATACAAGCATCTTTCCAAAAATTAGAGAACTTTAGGGTCTTTTAGAGAGCATTTGGTGATGTCCATACTTTTGTTTTAAGCGGGACTACACACATATTATTACAATTAGATGAAGAGCTATTCTGTTTTAAACAATCTACAAAGAAGACAATTCTAGTTTATACTTATTGATGCTAGCTGCTTATCAAATCCATTTTCTCCTCCCCGGAAATGGGGCATATTTCCTAATTTCCTTTGCAGTTAAAGTGGCCTTGTGACTGAGCTTTAGCCAGGGACCATGTATAGGAAAAAGTTCCACTCATAGTCCTGGACCTTATAAACTTTCCATAAATAGACCTCCATTCTCCTCCTCTTCCCTCTGGCTGGGATGGAGAAGAGTCCCAGGATGACCCTGGAAAACATCTGTTGAAAACAACAAAGCTTCCATCACTCTGTACTTCTGAATGATTGTGTTGAAAAGTGTCAATCAACCTTTCTTCACCCATTTAGTAAGCATGACTAACAAGTATGTCTATATTACTTTCAGGCCAGAATACATTTCTGCCTTATTTGTAATAAAAGCTAGCATTATTCTAATGAGTACAATAGCAGCTTAATATTAAAACTGTCATTCTGTGAGTCATGTGTATCATTTCATTCCACTGATCTAAGCTTATGAAACAAATGCTCTCTCTTTGACATGTCTTAGAAATCTTTGCTGATAGTATAAAAGGCTTTTTGACTTTCTTTCCTTTCTTATTATCTTAAATTCACTTTTATTTTACATATAAGATTTAAGGTCTGTACAGAATCCATGATTTTCCTATCAAATTCTCCATTCATTTTTTATTTCACTACCACCACCACTATAATTTTCTTTCTAGACTTTTTCAGCAGCAAGTTAAAATTTTTATACATAGTTAAATTGTCTGTTTTCTCTTTCATATGTAAGAATTGGCTAAGAAAAAGTATAAGGAGCAATTTTTTAAAATGTGGAATCCCAAGTGTATATACTATGTAACTTTATATTGAAAAATTAGCCCACTTTTTGACTTGGCCAAAACATTACAACTAGCATTTCACTTTATACAATATCTTGTTTTTAGAATTACAATATTAGGTCTTCTTTTCCAAACACAAAATACCTCTAGGCTGCTTTCTTTTACTCTTTGGTGACAGGTGCATTAAGAACATGTTATTACTTTAGTTTTTTCTTATAAAAGTAAAATATGCTTGATATTTTATTAAGCCATTCTTCCATTGCTGTAAAGAAATACCTGAGACTGGGTAATTTATAAAGAAAAGAGATTTAATTGGCTCATGGTTGTGCAGGCTGTATACGAAGCATGGCACCAGCATCTGCTGCGGAAGCTTCGGGGAGCTTTTACCCATGCAGAAGGCCAAGCGAGAGCTTGCACATCACATGGCAAAAGCAGGAGCAAGAGTCAAGGGGCAGGTACCACACACACTTAAACAACCAGATCTTGCAATAACTCATTCACTGCTGTGAGGATAGCACCAAACCATGGGGGATTTGCCCACATGACCCGCCACCTCCCACAAAGGGCCACCTCCAATATTGGGGGATGACATTTCAACATGAGATTTGGGGAGATAAATATCCAAACCGTATCAGATATTAGAAGTCAAACAATACAGAGTTCAATAAAATAGAAGTAAAATTTGACTTTCTCTCCTGAGATTGAGTTCATGTAAGGTCCAATGCCCACTGCTCAAAAAACATGAGCTACTAGATTACATGTAACAGAGATATTGAAATAAGGTGTGGTAAACAGCAACAGTGCCCTATTGAAAATAAAGTGTCCACATTCTTCAAGGACCACATCAAAGAAAATCTTACTCTTAACATGAGACTGGATATTTGTCCTCACATGGGAGACAGACCAAATAGATTAGAATGCTATTGCCCAAGAGAGATATAAGAGGAGTAATGGGGAAGGCCATAGGGTCTTTGTTTAGGGTTAGCAGCATTTGCAAACTGAGAAAATTGCTTGTGATGTCTATATGCAAGAAGGGGAACTCATACCTTGCTCCATGGTTGGAGATTACTAAAATAGCATGGTTTCATGTTTGGGAAGCAAAGCTAAAAGGACTGCCTCCTGAAAGGAAAGGAAGATAGATCCTATTTGAGTTTGCAGGCCCAGTGTTGGGAAAAGAAGGTACAAAAATATGATGGCTGCATCATATATTGGTTCTCTCCAACATGAGGCAAGGAGATGTGTGTATCAGAGGAATTCATGTGGGATGCACACAGTTGGGATCAGTTTGGATATGTAACCTAGTCTCAAAGAGTTGGGTGGTACCTTGAAATCTCTTTGAGATTGTATTACATCACTAGGACCTGTTGGGCCTCACTTACCTGAGACCTAGACAAAGGCCTAGGTCAGTTGTGATGACTAACAGAAATGTGACGGCAAATTCATGACCACCAACATAGAAGTTCACATAAAAGACATAAATTGAAGTACAGAAGCAAACATTTAACTTGCAATGGAAAGCCCTCTTCCAGCACCAAAATGAGACTATTAGCCACAGAGGAGGGATGGGGTGAGCAATAGGAGACTAAGTCCATGATATTTTTTTCCTACCCCTCAACACCCTTCACACACAGAAACTGACAATGGACCCACATCTTTAGTCTTGAGGGGGACAGGGCATTGGTGGGCTGGTAAATGTTTAACAACTGGTTCTCTAGAAGGAAAATGTGACTTGTAATATTTGACGATTTCCATAGTGTAAATACTCCCATCATGGCCAATGTCAAGCTCCAACAGCACATCACTGAACTTTGAGTTGGAAAGAAATATGCACACTAGGCTTTTGTGAGCTGTCTCAAGCTGGCTTCATCACATTAGCAGGAAAGGTAAGAGCTGTGGGTATGAGATTATAATTCTGTAATGAAAAATCATAAGAATTAGTAAAAATGAGATCATTTTATTAATTGAAAAGTGATAACATCAGATTGAGGAGTTTTCAAAGTTTCTGATAGATGTCCAGTGGGAAAAAGGATTGGATACAACACAATTAGTAGCAGTTATTAAAAAAATAAAAGTTGTTTGTTGTTTCTAACTTACGAAGTGGGGATTTTTAATCAACCCAGTCATAGAATTCTTGGATACACAGCCAAGCAGTAAACTAAGAGAGGAAATTTACCACAGGGGGAGCTCAAAGGTAGCATAGCGGAGCTAGATGTAAAAGAATTAAAGTTGCTGTGTATAAGTCTTTAACCTCCTTGGTTTACTTTATACCTAAGCATGCTATTATATGAAATTGTTTTCTTAATTTCCTTTTTAGGTGTTCATTATTAGTATATAGAAATACAACTGATTTTTGTATGCAGATTTTGTATCCTATAACTTTACCAAATTCACTTATTCATTCTAATAGTTTTTTTTTTTTTTTTGGAGTCTTTAGGGTTTTCTACCTGTAAAATTATGTAATCTCCAAACAGAGCTCATTTTACTTCTTCCTTCTTGGGTAGTTGCCAGGGGCTGGGGGGAGGAAGAAAGAGAGGGTTGTTTAATGGGATAAAGTTTTAGATGAATGTGTTCTAGAGATACACTATACAGCATAGTGCCTATAGTTAACAACATTACATTATGAACTTAAAAATTTGTTAAGAAAGACCAATGACACAGAAGAAAGAACCCAGAAATAAATTCATTTATTTACAGTCAGTTGATCATTGACAGAGTTACCAAGAACACACAATGGGGAAAGGACAGTCTCTTCAATAAATGCTGAGAAAACTGGATATCCACATGCAGAAGAATGTAATTAGACCCTTAATTCATACCACATACAAAAATCAACTGAAAGTGGATTAAAGACTTAAACATTAGATCTGAAACTGTAAAACTACTAGAAGAAAACATAGAGAAAAAGCTTCTTGACATTGATCTAGGCAATAATTTTTTGGATATGACCCCAAAAGCACAAGCAACAAAGCAAAAATAGACAAATGGGATTGAATCAAGTTAAAAAGCCTCTCCATAGCAAAGGAAACAATAAACAGAGTAAAGAGACAACCTATGGAGTAGGAGAAAGAACTTGCAAACCATATTCCTGATAAAGAGCTAATGTCCAAAGTACATAAGGAACTCAAACCACTCAATTGCAAGGCAACAAACAACCTGATTTAAAAATGTGCAAAATACCTGAAAAGATATTTCTCAAAAGGAAACATATAATGGCCAACACATATATGAATCACTCTTATTCACTCAACATCACTGATTATCAGGGAATTGCAAATTAAAATCACAATAAGATATCTTTTCACACCTGTTAGAAAGCTATTATCAAAAAGACAAAGGATAACAAGCGTTGGCGAGGATGTGGAGAAAAGGGAATGCTTGTACATTTGTGGGTAAATTGGCACAGCTATTATGGAGAACAGTATGGAAGTTCCTCAAAAAATTAAAAATAGAGCCACCATATTATCTAGGGATCCCACTTATAGGAATACATCCAAAAGAAATGAAATTAGTATGTTGAAGAGATATTTGCACTCCCAAGTTCATTGCAGTATTATTCACAATAGCTATGATATGGAATGAACCCAAGTGTCCACTGATGGATGAATGAATAAAGAAGATGTGGTATAAATATACAATGGAATACAATTTGGCCTTATGAAAAGAAAATCCTGCCATTTGTGACAACATGGATAAAATTGGAATACATTATGCTAAGCGAAATAAGCCAGGCACAGAAAGACAAACACTGAAAGATCTCACTTACATGTGGAGTCTAAGAAAGCCAAACTCATAGAAGCAGAAAGTAGAATGGTGGTTGCTAGGGTTAAGGCAGAGGAGGGAGAATGAGAACATGTTGGATAAAGGGGGTGTGAACTTTCAGTTAAATGGATAAATAAGTTCTAAAGAACTATTGTACAGCATGGTGACTATAGTTAATAATAATATATTACATACTTGAAAATTGCTAAGAGAGTGGATCTTATGACCAAAACATATGTGAGGCAATAGATATGTTAATTAGCTTGAATCAATCATTTCACAAGATCTATCTATCTATCTATCTATCTATCTATCTATCTATCTATCTATCTATATGTCAAAACATCACATTATATACTGTAAAATATATAAAATTTTTATTTGTCAATTATACCTTAATAAAACTGGGAGAAATTGTTAAGAGGATAAATCACATGTTAAGTGTTCTCACAGCAACAAAAAGCAGAGCAAAACAAAATGAAACAACAAACAAGAAGCACAAGACAACTTTTGGAGGTGATGAACATGTGTATTACTTTGCGGTGATGATTTCACGGGTGTATGCCTATGTCCAAACTGATCGAATTGTATCTATTAAACGTGCAGCTTTTTGTATATCAATTATACCTCAATAAAGCTTTTTTTAAAAAATTGACTAATGGTTGTAATATATTCTTTATGGCTGTGGCTGGGGTTCTACTTCCCATATGTAATATTGGTTTAGGGGTCCAGCCACAAACTCTTTGCATGTGGGGATTATCAAGTCTAAAACCAGCCATTCATAACTCTATGAAAAGGGCATTAGAAAACCCCAATCCTCCCAGCCTGGAAAGGAGGCAAAGAAATATGCTGTCAGCTTGGAATCTTTGGAAGAAAAAACCAAGCCATGAAAAATAATGTCTAAGCTTAGGCTCTTCGCATTAAAACTAATACATAGCTGGTGCACTCCCAGGGGCTAAGTGAGGCAGAGCAAAAACAACTGTGGAGAAAAATGTGCACAGCTCAGGGCACACAAACTTTCCACCAAATATAAGCCCTCTTGGGATAGATCTCACAGACATCACAAAACACTCAAGGAAATGAATCACTCTGGGGAATAAATAGCAGATGACAAATGGGGGCAATTGTACCCCCAAGAACTAAAAAAATTAAACATTCTAAAAGAGACTTTAAGAAAAATTTAAATGTTTGATAAGATGAAGGAAGGTGTAGAACAAATAGACAAGAAAAGAAAAATATGAGAACAGGAAACTCAAATTTTGTAAAGGACCAAATGGAACTTCTGGAATAAAAGTATAGTCACTGAATTTAAAAAAAAGCTCAATGAGTGTGTTAAGTAGTAGATTAGGCACAGAATACCATATAATTGGAAGACAGAACTGAGAAAATTATCCAAAAGGCAGCCTAAGAAGAAATAAATGGAAAATATAAAAGGATCAGAGACATGTGGTATGGAATGAGAAGATTCAAACAGCACACAGAAGTTCTAGAGAGCAAAAGTAGAAAGAGGAGAAGACAAGCAATGAATAGCAGAATGAGCAGATAATTTCCAGGAGTACATGGTATTATGCCTAAAAGACTGGTCCTGTCCTGTTCATTTTTCACCTCTTTTTCTCATCTGTGGTAACTGCACTAATTCCCTGGTGATAAATACTGTATTTATGACTGTGGCTCAAAAATGTATATCTTTAATCCAGACTTTAGTTTTGAATTCCAGACTCATATATATACACTTGATTATATTCATTTATATATTTCACAGGCATCTAAAAATGAGCTGGTTGAAACCTGAATGTTTTATGTTTCTAAACCAATGTTTCCACGTCAGTAAACCATCATCTCCATTCACTCAAATGCTAAAGAGAGATATCTAGGAATTATTTTTGAAACCTTCCTCTTTCTTTTGGCCCTGATCTAATCCTTCACCAAATTCTGCTCACTGAACCTCCAAAAAGCTCTGACACCATCATCTTAGTCCTCTGCCACTGCTTGTCCCTTAATAGTTTCTTAATTAATCCTCCCATTCTCACTCTTGTCATTCTCCAATTGATTCACCACATAGGAGCCAAAAAGGATGTCTTAAAAACACAAAGTAGATGCTGTCACTCTCCAGCTTACAATTCTCCATTGGTTTCTCTCTTTCATTGAAAAATTCAAGCTCCTTTGCATGGTTAATGTAGACGCAACAATGTCCCCCATCCAAAGATCCAGAACCTGTGAATATGTTAGGTCACATGGCAAAGGTGAATCAAGGTTTCAGATGGAATTAAATTGTTAATTAGCTGGCCCTAAAATGAGGAGAGAAGCCTGGATTTTCAAGGCGGGCCCAGTGTAATCACAAGGATCCTCAGAAGTGTAAGAGGGGAACAGTAGAGAGAGTGATGGATTGTCAGAAGGACTGAACCGACTTAACCGCTGCTGGCTGCGAGGATGGAAGGGGGTTATGAACAAAAAAAGGCAGGCAGAAAAGGCATCCTCCTCTAGGCTTTTAGAAAGGAACATAGTCCTGCCAATGTTCTGATTCTAGCCCAGAAAGACCTGTTTTGTACTTCTGACTTCCACAACTGTAGGATCATAACTTTATGCTGTTTTAAGCCACAAAGTTTATGGTAATTTGTTACAACAATAGAAAGTGATACCTCAGCTTCCAGGACCCTGGCATCATTTGGCCGTTGTTCCCCTCTTCAGTCCCCCCGCGGCACCCCCCTGCTCATTGTGCTCTGGCCACCCTGCCTTTCCTCTGCCCCTCTATGCTGAGCTCTTGGCCAGGATTAGAGCTTTCTTATCTCCCTTTTCCTCTGCTTGAAGTACACTTCCCCTGGTGTCTTAGTTCAGGTTCTCCCAGAAGCAAACCTTCATATAAGTACTTGAATTCAAGTTATTCATTTGTAAGGTTGTCCCAGAAACACAGGTAGAGGAATAGGAGACTGGGTCAAGGAAAAACAAATAGCCAATAAGGAAACACTAATGAGCTGGTCACCACTATGGACAGCTGGAGTTTACTCCTGCTGGGGAATTCTGTAAAACAGCAAAGACTAACTCTATTTGGAATATCACGGTACACACAGCACCTATTTTATGCACTTAATAGATATTTGTTTCATGAATAAATAGAGAATAAATTAATAAGCCAGCTAGCACATGAATAGTGCTCACTATGTGCTACCTGGAACGTGATGAACTTTAATAAATTTTTGCTGCTTTGCTATATTTGCAGGTTTGTTAATTCTGAGGTCGTCTTTTTTCTTTTATATGCTATATAGCCTCAAAGTAGCCACTCAGACTTTCTATTTAATCATCTAATGCCTTAATGCCAACTGAATTTGTAATGCTCACTCCAAGAGAAGGAGTAGAAATGAAGGAGCCTCTATGATCACCTGGAAAATCTTTCGGTAAACACATAGAGGTTGGAAAATGGGGATATACTAAGCTGGAGGGAAGAGGTATATGTTCAATGGAAAAATTCCCTGAGTGATTTTGATAGTGCCTTCTCATTACGACAATGACATGAAATGAGCCAAATCATTCTCACAATTTCATTATTCATTTCAAGCAATTATTGTTTTGATTTTATTTTTCAAATGATGATCGCTTCTGGGCACGAAGCACTTGCCATCACCTTTCCAGTTCAAAATTCTTTTTTGCACCATTTAAGTTTTTGGTCTTATAAAAGCATTGACCTTTCTTAAAAGTAGCTTGTTAAAATCATGAACTAAAGTGTTCAAGTGTCATTCGGTTACAAGTCTCACAGATACTGTGTGGCATGTGGCTTTTGCTCACAAAATTGTTCAAGTAATGGTACTTGAGTATTTATTTTATACATGCTAGGAATCAAAGAATACCAAATAACAACTATACCCTTATTCAGTAATAAGGTTAGATAAATAAAGATTCATTCTATATTTCAGTTCTGTATGAGATGTGTGTGTTTGAGGGGGGGTAGAGAATAAGAATTAACTGAATAAATCATTCAAGCTGTTCCTTACACAGGAAGCACTGCCATAATGGGCCACCATTAACTATAGGAGTATACTATATCGTTTAGGTATGTTGGGATGGACACAAAAATGAGACCTGCTTTATTAAGTCATACCAAGATTTGTGTTTTTAGCTCAACAGTGCATTGTATAATACTGGTCTGGCTTGTGATGTGTTCAACTGAAAACCAAAAAATTATGCTTTGTCCTCTAACATACAATCTTTGTGAAGAAAAAACAAAGCTACAAATAATATAAGCCATTTATAAAGATGGCCTTGGAGATTCTCAAGACATGGGGTGAATATATCTGTCAGTTTGATGTTTGTCCACTACACTTCTTATGGTGAACTTTGAACTAATTTTTAATGGTTAGAATTGGTGACATAAGAAATGGTAAACTCTTCCTCTTCTTGGAGTCTGTGGCAGACCAGGGATCATGAAAAGTTTGTGTAAATAAATGTGCCACTCACTATTAAAGTTAATTCTAGATTCCTCCCAGTTGATTTAAATATGAAAATACATCAGAAGCTGTAGAAATAACTTTAGTTATTGAGGCCCCAACATACTTTAAATATTGATTGACTTTAATTAAAGAAAGAGAAGGTAGACCTCCATCTTTGATAAAGTAATAGACTGACCTAAATGAAAACGAAGGCCCTACAAGAAAAGTAAGAACCATTTTGGGTGCTAAGGTGATGAAAGAGGGCTACTAAAGCATGTGGTAGTGAGGCCAAGTGGTCTAAGAGGGCTCAAGGCTCAAGAGTGGGAATGTTTGTGAATGTTGAATGATAAACTGGAGAGTGAGAGAGGTAGGGCATATGTAACTAGTTACCAGTTCTCTTAGGAACTGATATGGAAACCATATGGAGAAACCTTTTAGTGGAGTGATTCAAAATATATTGATGCCTTCTGCCCATCAAGGTTGTCCTTTTACTGGGGCTGCTGATCTCTTAACAGCATGGTAAGAGCAAGTAATACCACAGGAGGAAAACAAGCTGCTCTATCAGAGCAAAGGATAGGGAGAGAATTGGTAGGGGAAGGCAGAAGGCAATTAGATATCAGAAACCACAGAAACGTTTTGAGGACTGTGATCAACACAAAAGAGGGATGAAAGGAATAGAGGATTCCCAGTTCTAAACCAAACGAGAAAAAGAGAAATGCTTTTGTTGCAAACTTCTTTTTCCTTAGGGTACACCTAGAGGAATATATTCTTTCATTTTAAATAATTCATTAATTTAACAAGTTTATTAGGAGCCTACCATGCACCAGGCACTATGCCAGGAACCGTAGTTCTTCCAAAGAACTAGACAAAGTCTTTGCCCCATGGAATTTATATTTTAAACAAGCTAGTCAATCAACACATAAAAAAGTAATTGGATCATAATAAGAACTATGAACAAAATAAAACAGGATGAAAGTGAGATTGATCAGGGTGGGTTGAGGTCATATTAAAGAAGGGTTCAGGGCCGGGTGCAGTGGCTCACACCTGTAATCTCAACAATTTGGGAGGCTGAGGCAGGCGGATCACTTGAGGTCAGGAGTTCAAGAGCAGCCTGGCCAACATGCTGAAACTCCATCTCTACCAAAAATGCAAAAATTAGCCAGGCATGGTGGTGTGCTCCTGTAATCCCAGCTACTTGGGAGGCTGAGGTAGGAGAATCACTTGAACCCGGGAGGCGGAGGTTGCAGTGAGCCAAGATCACACCACTGCACTCCAGCCTAGGCACACAGCGAGACTTCGCTAAAAAAAAAAAAGAAAAAAAAAAGGGTTCAGGCTGGGCTCAGTGGCTCATGCCTGTAATCCCAGCACTTTGGGAGGCTGAGTGGGGCAGATCACCTCAGGTCAGGAGATCAAACAGAGTGAAACCCCATCTCTACTAAAAATACAAAAATTAGCCTGGTGTGTAGTGTGTGCCTGTAATCCCAGCTACTCGGGAGGCTGAGACAGGAGAATTGCTTGAACCTGGGAGGTGGAGGTTGCAGTGAGCTGAGATTGCACCACTGCACTCTAGCCTGGGTGACAGAGTGAGACTCCATCTCAAAAAAAAAAAAAAAAAAGAAGCGTTCAGGAAAATCTTCTCTAAAAGATAATATTGGAAGAGTTTGGAAAAAGCAGAAGCAGCCTGCTTTGCAAAGACCTGGAAAGGCATTCCATGTAGAAGCCTAGCAAATATTCCAAAGGGTGTTCCATTCATGGATTTTTGTCACTTATTTGTTTGTGGAAGGAGTGTCAGTTGAGGGCCTACTAAATATCAGGCACTGTGCTGGGTGGTGTAAAATGCGTTGGTCGACAAACCAGCATAATCCTTATGCTCATGGATCATGATCTGGCAGAATTTTATAAAACTTCTCAAGGCCTGATTCAAACACTTAGCCTACACACACTTGGACAGACACAAAAACTGAATGCTAGAATGGCACAAACACCTGACCTTTATGAGCAGGAAAATATCTCTTGTTTTTGGGTAAAGAGATGGCAAGAAACCTCCTTAAAGTTTTGTCACTAGCCAGTCTCGGAGTTTTCCTACTTTCTGCATTGTGTCAAGAGCTGTTTTATGACCTTCTCTCTGCTCGCTAGCAATTAGAGGAACACAGGTTTTGCACACTTAGACTTACTAATATTCATATCTGCAGGTCAATTTGAGTGACAGCATTTCTGGTCAGTAGAAATACTGACTGTGATTCAAGAAAAGAAATGACTAGATTTAAGACTATACTTTCAGGGATCATTTCTATAGCTCATTACTAGAGAAGTTCCCCTGAACGTGTAGAACACTGGCAACCATGAGGAGGACATGCAGTGTTCTGTCCTGAGTGTGAAGCTGGGTCTTGGTGTTGCTTTGCTGCAAGTACCATTTGCCACTGATGATTGTTTTTGTCTCCCTCTGGGACAGTAAGGGAAAGGACACAGTCTGAGTGATTATTATTGAAAGCGGGAAAGAAACAGAGAGAAGAAATGAAGAGAAAGAAACAAAGAAGAAAGAGAGAGAAAGACAGAAAGAAAGAAAGAATAAAGAAAGAGAAGAAAAGAGAAAAAAAGAAAGGAAAAGAAAAGAAAAACTACCAGATTTTTCAGTGTTAGCGCCCACAGTTCCTAATATCCCATTCCTACCAGTCTCTGAAATCACTTTCCCTGGATGTCTTCCTGAGTTTGGCTACTGCACCCACTGACAGTTATACAGCAATGATAAGAGAGGGGTGACACAAAAGAATGCTGACAGCCTGAAGCCACTGACAGGCTGTCTCTGCTGGCAAGTATAGCATTCCTGATATACTTAATTAACTAATATCATTAAGTATTACTAATTTATATATTAATATAATTTTGGCTATCAACAATAAATCTCCTCTGGTTTAATAGGCAGATGATTGATGTTATTTGTCTCTTTAGAAAGCTCTCTGGAAGAAGCATAAACCCATGAGGTCTAGAGGGAGCAGATAAAATGGCCAGAGTGGTGAACATGACAACAGAGTTAAGATAATCAGCAGCATTTGAAGAGGTCCCCAAGCAGAAAAGGATCTAGCAGACCAGGCTGATATTTTCAAAAAGTTGGCTGATACTTAACTCATTCTGTTAGACACTTCTCTTTGGAATAGACTGGAGCCTGTTGGGCTGAGGTGGGAGGAAGGCAAGAAGGGCTGGGCATGGCATCCTAGATGTGGATAAAAGTGGACAATCCCTTCTCATAGTCTCCTTTCCTGAGAGAGTTTTAATAATTCTATGATGTTTCCCATCCTCATAAGAATATTAGACAGCCTGTTTACCTTGCCTGTAGCCCCTGCTTACTTTGAGCTTCATGTGTCCTTGAAACCATTGTCAAGGCTGGTTAAACTAAATGTCAGTCACCGCTTTCCACCTGCCCTGCTGTATGCCGTTCTCTGCCCATGCCTCCTCTTCCACCTGGAGCCCTTAGATTCCTACTCAGGAAAGAAAACGTGTGGGGTGTGTGTGTGTGTGTGTGTGTGTGTGTGTGTGTGTGTGTGTGATAAAGAGGAGGTGTTCTTATTTGCCCTACTTCTGTTTACTACAACATCTTTTTAAATGTGCCTTTCAACTATTTGCCTGAGCTAGATGCCTATGCAAATGTTTAGGAACCAAAGCTCCTCCTGTGACTCTCATCTCCCACGTGGAATTTCCCCTTTGTGAACAGTTGTAGTGGTAGCTGATAGGTGTGTATTCAGGCTGAAGGGAGATGGATAGTAATGTAGTAGAAAGGGCCTTGAGCAAGAAGTTACAAGACCGGTTTTCCATCACAGCTCGGCCATGTGACTCAACATCAGCTTGGGTCTATTGAATGGTTCAATAAATATTCACTGAGCACCTACTACACAGTAGACACCAAGCCGCAGTTTTCTCATCCAACTAAGGATAATAAAACAGGTAATAAAAGGGGTTTTATAGGATAATCTTTATAGTCTCAATTTTGTTACAAGTGTATGAAAGAATAAGTCAAATATAAACTAGAAGAAATAAAGACTCAAACTCCCCATTTCTGAGTCTAGGAAACTATTCAAGTCATGGTGTGTGTAACTGACTTATGGTTTATGAAATACCAGGAAAGAATGTTTCCCTGGGTGAGAGCAAGAATCACCTGACAACAAGACAATGTTTCATGCCTTAATGAAAGCCAGGGTGTGGCACTGAGCCCTGGTCTATCAAACAGGAAACTCAACTTCTGTTAAAGAGAGGAAACTTCTTGTGATTGATTGCCTAACCAATTAGGCTCACACACGGTATTGTTTATTTACCATCTCTCCTCTTCATTGGGAGTACAAAATTTAGCTCAATTAGTTCCAAGACCTACAGACAAAACTCCCCAATTAGGAGGATACCGACTTAGCACGTGGCACAAAACTGTAGAGTCTAGTAAGTATATATTCTGAGGTATTCAATCACCAGGTAAGGCTTATTGATATGCCCAGGGCTGCTTTTAGTTATTTCTTTTGCCATTACAGAATGAATTATGGGAATAATCAGCTAGAAGAGCATGTCTTTCTTCTGTGGTTGCAATAACAAGAAGTAGGAGGGGGAGAAGGAAAAGGAGAAAGAGGAAGAAGGAGAGGAGGAGGAAGAAGAGGAGGAGAAGAAAAAGTGCCACTGCCAACCTAGTGAATCCGATAAAAGAGAAACTTCTGATAGATTGACATGAAAGAAAGCTGTCATTTAGGATCAATATCCTAAGTGTTTATTTAAATGCTTTATGGATGAGCTGTTGAGTCTTCTGCTCTTCTGGTGAAAGAATTAAAATCTAGCAATGTTTCCAGACTCCTTTTTGACTTGACTCTGATACCTACTATCAGGTGTGAGTGGGTTATTCATTTATTCTTTTTGGATCTCAGTTTTCTCATCTAAAGATAGAGAAAGTTGGCCTCCATCAGTAATTTTCCTTTGTCAGTATTGCATTTTTGGCTTTGTTAAAATAAAGCTTACAAAATCAGATACTGATAGAATTCCATCACTGGGCTTGCTTTAAAGAATGAATGAAACGACATGGGGAAGGTTCTTATACTTGGCAGATAGGAATTGGTTGATGAAGTAAGACCGCTAGATTGTGCTTGCTTCTCCCCTGATGCCCATGGTATTATCACCCCATGTGTCCTCTCACATACTAAATCAATGTTTTAAGCATGTGTCTGAAGGTCAGTGAGAAACCTAGTTCCCCTCCACAAATATCTGTGTGGATTGTTGGCCAGGGGAGGGGCAGGAGCACCGAGTCACCCCTCTGGTCTTTTCTCATGAAATGTTCTGATCTCATTGGATTCTCAATCCCTGTGTGTCTGCCTCAGCCACTGCTGCCCTACCTATGAGCTTGTGAATTTTCCTCAAAATGGAAACTGAACCCAATGCTTTCTTCACACATGCACATTATACCTAAACGCTCCATTCCTTTTCCCCCTTAAGTTCCATTAGTACAAAGCAATTGGACAAAGCCAGCTTTCAACTGAAGGTTTGGGCTAATGGAGGGAAATATCCACATATACTAGCACAACATGGTCACTAATTTAAGATGGAATATTAAACAACGCTGCTCTAAACCCACGGTCTTTCTCTGCCTCTGGGAATGTCTCGTAGGTAGGTTCCGATCCCTGAGGGTTTGCCTCCTCAGACCTTTCTCTCTCTCTTACCACCTTAGCCTTCAAACCTCCAAATTTCTCATAAATTAGAGTTTCATTTTCTACCCCCTACTCAGATTGAGCTCGGATGATCTGCTAAATGAGAACCAACTACATCACACCTCCACAGCACAAAACACAGGTAGAAGCTTTGAAATTACTGTTTCTCCTTCCATCTGATTACATTTTTAGGCTAAGCTCCCATCTCTGTAGACAATTTAGGGAAGAAGGAAAAGTAGAAAGGTATAAAACCAGTATAAGTTCTCTCCCTACTTTGAGAGAACGATTCCAGCATATGACTTTCTTTTCTACTTCCCAATATAAATATTATCATTGTCAGCTTTATCGTACTATTATCTATCCTGCTGACACCCAGCACTTAGATTAACAGTGCGCTATTCTGAAACAAGAGATGAGACCCTGCGTCCCTATACCCTGGCTCCTCAGTCTAACTTCACATGTCCCAGGCTGTCCCCTGGGTATTTCATTACGACCAAAAGGGCAGTTCTTCTTAAACCATGTGAGGAAGGAATACTTAAATTTTTTTTCCAATTTCTCAAGGACTGATAATTTTGTAAAATCAAAATAGATTACCAGAAAATAAAATTCAAAACAAAAGACATACAAATTCAATTCCCAGGTTTTTAAAATTATGAGATACAAAAGATAAAATAACTGTCAAATTGCTGTATAAGTTTCTAAATGCATACTCTTCATTTCTGTGCTCATCTTTGTGCAGATAGGTTAACAATGGTTCTTGGGATCAGTTGATTTCTGAGTTTATATCCAGCTCTAAAACTGTAACATTCTCCTGTGAAATCTTCATTCTCAGGTCTGACATGTAGAAACAGAACCACAGTAGGTGTGGACCTGCAAGCTAAAGGAAATTTAGTTGTGAAGCATCTTTCCAGCTTGCAACATTGTTATGAATTTATTTGCCACATTTAGCACTATGGTGTCACATTGATGTACAGTACCAGTGGCTCTTAAGCAGCACAGAAGCTAGATGACATTATTTCAATTCTTGCTAAAATGGTTTATTTCCCAGAGAACGTTGGGTTTTGTTTAATGTATTCTGGGCTCCAAGGCTAGACTCCTGTAATAAATTAGCATAGCCAGATTTGCTTTTATGGAATTCAGTTATTTCTTTTTTATTTCTTGAAAGCTGAGTAATTTTGAAAGTAATACAGAGTATAAAAAAGAGGCCAGGTGTGGTGGCTTATGCCTGTAATCCCAGTACTTGAGGAGGCTGAGGAGGGAGAATCACTTGAGGCCAGGAGTTTGAGACCAGCCTATGAAACAAAGTGAGATCCAATCTCTACGAAAACAAAACAAAAATCAGCAGGACATGGTGATGCGTCTGTAGTGCCAGTTGCTTGGGAGGCTGAGGCAAGGGATTGAAGCTGCAGTGAGCTATGACCATGTGCCACTGCACTCTAGCCCGGGCAACACAGCAAGACCCTGTCTCTTTTAAACAAACAAAAAATTAATTTAAGAAAACACAGAAAAAAAAAACTACAGCTACTTCTAGTGAATCTTCCTCATAAATCAACTATTTCCAAAAACTTAAAACAAGAGAGTATCTTCAACCTTGAGAGTTCTGGCATTTAACAGACTGTTGAGAGCTTTCTTCTTACTAGTGTATTTGTTGGCAGTAAGTACTAAGGTGGGAGGTGTAGGGCAGGGACTGACATTTCTGTTCTTTAGTGGGCATTAAATTCTTCAAGGAGTCTGTGGAGGCTTTTTTTGTGGTACCATCTCATCTTCCAAACTTGACCTCTTCCTTGTTCTTCAATTTCTACTCGCAAATTTTCCAGTGGTAGAAGAGTTGGAAGAAAAGAGAAAGATCTGGTTCAATTAAGACTGAGTAGAGCCTTGACACATTTCAATTCTTTCTTTTTAAAAAATTCACTTTAAATTCAATTTAACTGTCTAGCTTAGGTTTTCATTTTAAAAATGGACTTGGGGGCAGATGATTCCTAACTTCATTATAAATACTTTCAGACTTGCAATAATTTTATCCCATATTAGACTTCTTCAGCTTAAGTGAGAAACATAAATCTGGTTTATGCCTAACAACTTGTGTTTTGTAATGCTCCACAAAAGACCTTTTGATGAAGTAGATCAGGTTTAAGAAAAAAACCTCTTCCCCAGGATTTTAGTTCCTGCAATTCATCAGGTCTGCAGAAAAACTCAGAAAGTTCAATTGTGGATCAAGACTTAACATGTAGACCTCAACCGTTCTTTTTCTATTCTTTGCATCTCCCCAAGTGATCCATGTCTTTCTTAAACATGGTGCTTCAGATTAGCCACTCTATGCCTGTCAGATTCAGTTCAGTTCTCATTTGTTGACCTCCTACTGGGTGCTAGATGTTGTGTTAGGCATTGACAATATAAATTTGTCCCTTCCCTTGAGGATTTCATGGAACTTCATCTGTTTGTTAATTTTTGTCATTCAAGTTCTTATCCATGTCTGTAAAATACGTAAGTAATTCTCACCAAAAATCTATTTTTAAAAATCCATTGTTATTTTTGCCTGTTTTTATTAAGGATCTTAAAATACCAGAAGTTAAAATAATGATATCTTACTTAAGACAACTTTCTTGTCTCACATAGACTGGGTTGGGCATTTCTCTTATGCATGTTCATAGCACTTTGCTCAAATATAGCATAGTACATTTGCATATCTTTGTAAATGACCTCTTTCTCTGGCATCCTTACTAGACTATGAGCTTTCTGAAGACAGAACCTATGTCTTAGCCATCATTGAATCTTCAGGACCTAGAATATTTCCTAGCACACAGTAAGGCTCTATAAATTTTACTGAATTATTGAATAAATAAAAGAAAGAAAAGAAAACCTCCACTTATTTGGTCTTCAAGTAACTCATAGCTAAGCTGCTATTGAAAATAGGATCTTTATAAAGTCTGGCTATGTATTCATTCAACTGCCAGGAGTTTCATGTTGATTTATTAATGTGAAGAATCAAAGAGCTCTTTGAGACCAGCATCTCACCTAATTCACCTTTAACATGAGTTTCTTGGCTTTGAGCATATGATTGCAGCAATGTAGCTGTGACAAAATGCATATAGCATTAATATAAAGCATTAATATAAATCAATGTAAGCCCCCACACCATGCCACCCCACTGAAGCAGTTTTCTGTTGTATTTGAGACACCAAATATATAGAGTCACACTTCCTGGCTCTATCATATGTTACCTGCATGACCTTGGGAAAATGGCAATCATTTTGAGCCAGTTTCTTCATCTGCAAAATGGGATAACAAGAATTACCACATAGTGCTGTTGTGGTTGATGTTAAAAGATAAACTTACACATTAACATTTTAAAGAGCTTATTTAAGCAGATAGTGATTTAGGAATCAGGCAGCATCATACCACAGTTTAGGGCACCACTGAGAGGACCCAAGGGGAAACGTTTTGTAGGGTGTTCTTGGAAGTCAGACAAAGAGAACATTTGATGGGCTAAAATGGAAAGTCCCTAGTTAGAAGTTAGTTGGCAGTTTGTGATCCTTAATATTGCTGCTATAATTATGGTAATTTGTTGATTTTGCTTAAAAAATTAGATGATAACACATTTGAGCTTAAGCTTAATGGCTAAGCTTAAGTTTCCTTTTCATAGCTATGACCATTCACTCCAGGTTGGCTTTCAGTTACTTATGTTGGAACCCAAAGCGTGGGAGCCCTCTCAGCCTAATGGTCTCCCAATTACTATTATTTTTAACAGTAGTTAGAAGTTAGTATTTATAAAATGCTTAAAACACCGTCTTGCACATAAGTGCTTAATTAATGTTAGCCATTGTGAAAGAAGATGTTTACATTGCTCTGTAAAGACATTTATTTTGCAATTACTGAACATCAAAGGAAACACTTACTGGAATTTGTTCTTCACTTACAAATGTATAATTCTTACTAACTGCAATTCTCTGTAGCTCAGCTGTAGATTCTTCAAAGGAAATATAAATGCAAAACTCTATATGCTGCTTAGGGTGGCAGCGGAATTGGAAAATGGTTTTCCTTAGTGATCATAACAATTTCAATCAATGTCTGGTGGTTACATCTGAGTCAGCCGCACGATTTCATTGAGAACAGAGGTAGCTTGAACCTTCATAACTGGTATTATTGTTCACAAGCAAGCTCCCTCTGCTGCCCCCTAAAGACCAGATCATATAATTTCTGAAGGGTATTATTCTCTGACCTATATTTTCTTCTATTTTTTAAGGTATGCCAACACAATTCATTTTCGATTAAGCTAAGCACCATGGCAATAACTAAATAAGTACTATTAGATACACTGGATTTCATTTACCTTTAGGATAATTTCTAAAATGCTTCAGTGTTTGATATCTAGTAAAAAATTAAGACTTCCCTAAGTTCTCTGAATTCATACCATTTGACATACAACTATCCGACAGTACTGAAAAGCATTAACTGCATCTAGACCCAAAAACAAGCTAAAAATGGTAGAGGAAATTTTACATTTGCCAAAACATAAAATACAAAATTGAGAATGAGCTGCTTGTGTGTTCTCAACAAATAAGGAATTTTTTGACTCGCTCTAAAAAACAAGTTTTCATGATTGCAGTTACTGAATTTTTTGGGAAATAATTGCTGGTTATTTTGTCACATTTCCTATTGAGTTCAAATGTGCTTTCATCTATTTTTTAAGCAAAATCAGTAAATTACCATAATTGTAACAGCAATATTAAGGATCCCACAATGCCAATGGGTGTAAAGAATCCGATTCATAGCAGATTTCAATTACCATAATTCTGTTGCAATTCTCAAGGTCCATCCTTCCTTTAGTAACTTTCTTCCAAAAGAAATCTTTGTAAAGGAGAAACACTAAACTTCTTGGGGATTCACAACAAATAAAGCCATCACTCTTTTGATATGGGGGCGCATGTGCTTATTTCTTATGTAATTGGCTGAGTTTACCCTGGAGCAGATTTACTGAAGTACTCACCCACCAACATCTAAGTCAAAAAGGTTTTGAATGGCTCTTACTGTCTAACTTTTCATTTTATGGATTGCTAGATGCTGGACAGTCTCTTTTATTTGCTACAAAGGCCTAGAATTTCTTTTTCCTTAAAGTATTATGTGCTGGGTTTTTAAAAAATTGTATTGAAATACTACCTCTCCGCAGTCTCTGATATGATTAATAGGATCCAGAGCCTATTCATTTGCTGTTTGTTTTTAGCTTTAGGAAATGCACTGCTGCTCCCATTTTCTCTTCATAATATTTTCAATGGACCATGAGACTTATTGAAGAAGAAATGTAGTGACTCATACAGCCACTTGATGATAGTATATAAAAGATTCCAGACTAGAGCGGAGTGTACACATTTCTGCAACTCGGAGATCATGGTTGTCTGTCTTGTCTCCTAAAAACTGAAAGTAATTTCAACTACCACATGTATACCGCTAAACTTGCAAATAGGCAGGCTATTATGAGGTTCAAAGTTGATATTTTTTCAAAGAGATTTTTAATATTATAAATAAAAATCATAACCAGTGTTACCTTTAATACATTAATATCATATTGCTAGTTTGTCTAATACCGTACTGGGGTTTAGAAATTTGCATGCAGAACTTCTATGAAATCTTTCCTTTTGAATAGTGGAGAACTTCCATGAAATCTTTCCTTTTGAATAGCAATAGAACTATTGTAAACAATGCTATTAATTTCTGAAATGGGTGCCATATTAATTTTGTATTGTTGCTGTAACCAATTATCACAAATTTCGCAGCTTAAAACAACACAAATTTATTCTTACAGTTCTCAAGATATCAACAAGTTATATTCCTTCCTAGAAGATCTAGAGGAGAACCATTTTCTTCCTTTTTTCAACCTCAAAAGGCTGCTTGCATTCTTTGGTTCATAGTCTTCTTTCTCCATCTTAAAAGCCAGCAATACTACTTTTCTCTGACAATCCTCCCATAGTCACATTTCCCTCTGACCACATCTCCCTCTGACCACATCTCCCTCAACCAGGAAATATTCTGTAATGTTAAGGACCCATGTGGTTAGATTTGGCCCACCAGGAATCCTGTACGATCTTTCATCTTAAGTTCTGCAACATAACCACATCTTTAAAGTCCTTTTTTGCCTGTAAGGTAACATGTTCACAGGATATAAGAATTAAGACATGGACATCTTTGGGGAGCAATTATTTTGCCTACTATGGATATTATTTTCATCACTAGGAAAAATTGAAGCACAATGTGTAATTGCCTAATGGGTACTTCCTGCATGCTACACAGACAAAACCAATTCACTGAGACCATGGTATTGCAGTAAAGAAAGAGTTCAATTGACACAAAGCTGGTCACATGAAAGATGGAGTTATTACTCAAATCAGTCTCTCTGACTGCTCAGAGGTTAGGGGATTTTCAAGGATAGTTTGGTGGGCAGGGTGCTAGGGAATGAAGAATGTGGAATAGTTGAGAATGAAACCATAGAGGTGTGGAAAACGGTTCTTGTGAGCTAACTCAGCCTCTGAGTAGAGGCCACAGGACTAGTTGAGGCATGAGTCGCCATCTGGGTGGAGTCAGCTGGTCTCAGAAATGCAGTAGTCTGAAAAGATCTCTCAAAAGTCTAATCATAGATTCTACAATAGTGATGTTATTTACAGGAGTAATTGGGGAAGTTACAAATCTTGTTTCCTCCAGAACAATTGCTGGTTATCATTTAACGATCCCTGCATCTTAGCAGAATGCAGGTCCCTCTCATAGCCCTAACCTGGTGGTTTTTCATTAGTTTTACACAGGCGGCTTAGTTTTGGGAAGGACCATTATCATCCTTGCTTTCAGATTAAACTATAAAGTAAATTCCTCCCAAAGTTAGCTTGGCTTATGCCCAGGAATGACCAAAGACAGCTTAGAGATCAGAAAATGGATGGAGTCAACTATGTAAAATTTCTCTTACTTAATTTCGCAAAAGCAGTTTCAATTGCATACACAATATGGTCTCTAACAGTAAATAAATAACAGTAAACCTATTATTTCTATTGACTTTCTTCAAATCCTCAACTCCGTAGTTTCCTTTCCACTAAAAAACAGAGGACTAGAAAGGCATATTAAAATTACTTAGATTCATATTAAGAAGTCTTAAAATAACTGTGATTGGTGTGTGTGTGTGTGTGTGTGTGTGTGTTTTCTCAGAGATGATTCGAATATTTTCTCTTTCAAAATATCTTCCTTTGTGACTGTACTCTTTATTAGCTGGAGCTGATTCAAATAATCATAGAATGGATGCTGGTGTCTGATCTGCTTTTCTCCTGACTCTCAATTTCCCACCATGACTATTACCGTATCTCATTAATCATCAGGATAGAACACCTCAGGTTGTTAAGCTCTAAATGCATTCTGACAACTCTCAGAGATGATCTGGCACTGAATGTGAGAAAACAGATGACCATATTCAGAACTAATGGTTGGTTGAATACTTTATTTGTAACCATTAGACTAAGTTACTTTTCGTAAGTACATAGGTCTCAGTGCTCCATTCTCAGTGCTCCCCAACTCCTGACATCCCCAAATAGAGAATGTTGTCATAAACACCAGATGAAGAAGGAGAACCTGCACTTCCTAAGATCAAGCAGGCCGACCTCTAAGAAATGCCAAATCATGCACCTTACCTTGGCTAAATATGCCTCACTCTTTACACAGGACTTTGTTTTTAAGCAATCCTCACAACAATTTTGTAATGTAGGCATAATCCTCCCCCACCACCAGAACTTCAGAAGAATTGAGTAAAGTATCCAAGATCCACAGCTAAAAAGCATTAGAGTTCACTTGATTTCAATAAAAAAATTACAAGGCATGTTTTGGCCTGTTAAGGCAAGAAAAAAACAGTCTGAAGAGACAAAGCACTTACCAAACTCAGATGTGACATAGATGCTAGAATTATATAGGTTAGAAACTTGGATCTACATAAGGAAAGGAAGAACATTAGAGAAGGAATAAGTGAAGGCAAAATAAAATCTAAATTTTTTATTATTCGTAATGCTTCTAAAAGATGTATGTTTGTTGAAGCAATAATAGTAGCAATGTATTGGGTGATTAGAGCATATGAAGTACTGAAAATGAATGACAGCAATGGACAGAAAAGAGGAACTGGGAATACTACATAACTGTTCGAATGGCTAAAATTCACAATACTGACAGTACCAATTCCTGGTGAAGATGCAGAGCAACAGAAACTCTCCCTCATTGTTGATGGGAATGCAGAATGTTATGGCCATTTTGGAAGACAGTTTAGCAGTTTCTTATAAAGTTAAACATACTCTACCATACCACCAATTCCCTTCTTAGGTATTTATCCAACTGATTTGCAAACGTATGTAAACACAAAAACCCTCATGTGAATGTTTATAGTAGCTTTAGTCATGATTGTGAAGAGCTGGAAGTATCCAAGATGTCCTTCGGTAGTGAAGAGTTAAACAATCTGTGGCACAGCCATACAATGGAATACTACTTGGTAATAAAAAGAAATAAACTACCAAGCCACAAAAAGATGTGGATGAATTTGAAGTGCATATTGCTAAGTGAAAGAAGGCAGTTTGAAAAGGCTGCATATTCTATAATTCCATTAGTATGGGAAACTGGAAAGGCAAAATTATAGAGATAATAAACATATCAGTGGTCACTAGGATTTGGGGGTAGGGAGGTTAATAGCACAGGGGATTTTCTAGGACAGTGAAACTATTCTCATATAATGCTGTAATGATAGATATATGACATGCATTTATCAAAACACAGAACCTTCCAGCACAAGGAGTAAACCTTAAGGGATGCAAATAAAAGAAAAAGTTTAGGAGGTTGGGGAATCCAAAGATGGAAGAATGCAGAATGTGACAAGATAATCTAACTGTATTACAAATGTACAAAATAACCTCACTAAAGGGGAGGGGATGAAATGGTGCTGACCTAAGTGACTTTGGAAACGAGTGGAATCTGTAAGATAAAAAGCAAAAGAAACTATAAATAAGCAGTGTACTCTAGTAAATAGAGTTTCTTCCCATGAGGGTATGGGTTTACAATTCTGAAACCACTATATGTGTACACTGGAAATGAACAATAAAGTAAATTTATGGCAGATGTTGGAAGACCAGTTTCTCACAGTTGGAATGTGAGGCTTATAGATAAGCAAGAGGAGCAGGAAACTAGAACAATCGATGTAGCAATGGATTAGAGTTGGAAATATCAGTATAAACTCATTCTTAGCTTAATATAAATATACTGGCTAAATATATACTTATTTATAGACATACATATATACATGTATTAGTATACACACATATTTTTCTTTCTCTTAGCTGAGAGGGCCTGGAAGGAATGAACATACTTAGCACCCAGAACTTGGTTACTAACACTAGATAAACACAAATTTAAAAACTGAGATCTCTTTGGAGAAATGGCTGATTCTATACTGGCAGAAAATATAAAAGATAAGCTTTGAACATCTTGAAGTGGCAGAAAGTAAGGAAGTGCTAAAAGCATAAAGCCAAAACTAACAAAAAACCAAAATGACATAGGAGCCAGCTGAAAGAGTTCCCACTGGACAAAGCTAGAACAATCTGAGCAGCAACATAAAGTACTATTGAATTATAACTCACACTATAAAATCAATATCCATGAGTCCACACTTACTTAAATAAATAATTGGACGGGTAAGTAAGTAAATGGGGAAAGAATAGAAAAATTTCCCATACAGAAGAATTCCAAATAATTTGTTTTTATAGATACTTGGCCTTCAAGGAGATGAAGCATTAGAGCATAACTCCTCATTCCTTAAGTGTGAGCTATGCTTTGTGAGTTCCTTCCAAAGAGTATGGTATGGAGAAGGAAAAGAAAGAGTAAATTTACAGTGGAGAAGCCTTACAGACACTGCCTGATTCAGCTGATCAAGGTCAACATCAACAAGTCATGTCAGTAGTATGTACTCTTGATATGATGTGATGAAAATGCTACTGTGGCCTCCCTCTTCAAATTCCACAATGCTAATCTAGTTATAGGAAAGCATCAGACAAAGCCCAATAGAGGATCACTCTACAAAATACCTAACCAGTACTCCTTAAAACTTTCAAGGTCATCAAAAATAAGGAAAATTCAAAAAACTCACAGCTAAAAGGAGCCTAAGGAGACCTGATGACCAAATGTAGTGGTATCTTGTGTGAGAGCCTGAAACAGACACAGACGTTAGGTAAAAATTAAGGAAATGTAAAAAGGATGGACTTTAGTTAATAATGTATCAATAATTTGTTCACTAATTGTGACAAATACACCATACTAATGTAATACATAATTAATTGGGGAAGCTGAGTATGGAGTATACAGGAACTCTCTGGACCATCTTTGAAAATTTTCTGTAAATATAAAACTATTTTAAAAGGAAGTATTTTAAAAAATAGAACTTATAATGAGATGTCACTACATACATTCCTATCAGATGGACTAAAATAAAAAGTTATGACTATACCAAGTGCTAGTGAGCACGCAAATCTATTAGAATATTCAAACACTGTTGATGGGAATGTAAAACATTACAGCCATTTAGGAAGTCAGTTTGGCAGTTTCTTATAAAGCTAAACAAACATTTACCATATGACCTAGCAATCTCATATCTAGATGTTTACTCTAGAGAAATTAAAACTTATGTCCATACAAAAACCTGTGCACTAAATTTTATAGCATGTGTATTTATAATCACCAAAAACCTGGAAACCCATTATCCCTCAATGGATAAATAAATAAATAAATTGTGGTGTATACATACAATAAAATGCTGCTAAAAGAAATCTCAAAAGTTTAAATACCTTGCAATTCAATTTCTATAGTATAGAATTTTAGGAAGAAAATGGCAGATAGGAGACAGGGCTAACATGTAGTTCCCACTTGTATAGACAGAACAGCATGTGGAGACACACTGTGAACTTTTGCTCCAAGAACCACCACAGGAATGTACCGGGAAAACTGAAAGAATTCACAGATCCTTTGAAAGAAGTGGCATGCCACTGCAAATTCCCAAAGACGGGCAAAAAACTGTGAGCTCCCAAAATGTGAGCGGGGGAAAACCTGCCTCTAAACACATACCCCCACTGGGGAATCTGAACATCTGGATTACAGGAGAAGGATTTAACCTTACCTAGTGCTTAAACAGATTTAGAGAGCCGCATGAAATATAAAAGTAGAAGCAGCAGTGGAAAGAGCCTTGTAGGTACTCCCAGTCTCCCTCTTGAGCCCAGGGAAGCCAACCCTGACTCTATTCCACAAGGGCCTCAGGGAAGGCAGCCAGCAGAATTAAGGAGGGCACACAGGGTGAAGGAAGCTTTCAACTAAATTAGTAATAATATCGACAGGGCATGAATTTTCCTGAGCAGAATATGGGCGTTGAGTGGGAACTGCTGCAGATACGAGTGCAGGAGCCACCACTCACAATGTGGGCAGACTGGGAAGGATGAGGTCTGAAAGACATGCTTGCTTTCTCAGTGGGGAAGCTCACAGCCTGGGGCAAGTTCTCATCAGGGCACTGTGGGATTGAGATTAGCCTTGCCAACTGAGTGGGAGTAGAGTGAGGCCTCTCACTACCGGCTATGCTCCACTTCCCTTGTGAACTATATGACAAAGCAGAGGCAGCCATCATCCCCTCTGGAACATAACCCCACTGGCCTGAGAACCACCCCTCATACCCTACAGTGGCTGCAGCAAACCCTACCCAAGGAGAGTCTGAGCCCAGTGCTGTCTAAACCCGCCCACACCTGATGATATTTCTATACCTAATCTAGTAGCTGAACACAAAAGACAGAAACACTTGGGAGCTTTATGGCCCCACCCATTGCCTGAGAAATCAGAATACTTCCCCTGACCAACTTGAGGCAGGCTCATATTCCTCTACTACTACAGCAGCTGGTGCTTTCTTGAAAGTGCCACCTGCTGGCTGGAGGCCAACCAACTCAGGCCATTACAGCAACTCATGACAGAATAACCCAGCTCCTAGGAAGGAAGAAATAACAGCTAATTCCACAGCCTGCAACATCCTGAGTAAACAGAGGTCCTGAGTGTCTCCACATGAAAACTAACCTCTGAGAAAGCCAGCACACTAAACCTATCTACAACCAAGGATTCCCATAGAGTCTATTTCACTCCCCTGCCACCTCCACCAGAGCAGGTGCTGGTATCCATGGCTGGAAGACCTGAGACAGATCGCATCACAGGACACTCTGCAGACATTCTCCAGCACCAGTCCAGAGCCTGGTAGCCCCTCTGAGTGGCTAGATACAGAAGAGAAATAGCAATCATTACAGTAAGGCTCTAAGGAAGCCCCATTCCTAGGGTAAGGGGGAGAACATCACATCAAGATATCACCCCATGAAACAAAATCTGAAGAGCAGGCCTTGAGTTTCAGAACTTTCCACTGAAATAGGCTACCCAAATGAGAGGGAACCAGAAGAGTAATTCTGGTAATATGGCAAAGCAGGGTTCTATAACACCACTAAAAGATCATACTAGCTCCTAGCTCCTAGCTCCTAGCAATGGATCCTAATGAAGAAGAAATCTCTGAATTGCCAGATAAAGAATTCAGAAGGTTGATCATTAAGGTACTCGAGGAGATACCAGAGAAAGGTATAAAAAAGCTTAAATAAATTATAGAAATGATACAGAATATGGATGAAAAATTCTCCAGAGAAACAGATATCATAAAGAAAAAACAATCACAACTTCTGGAAATGAAAGATACACTTAAAAGCAATGGCAACAAAAGCCAAAATTGACAAATGGGATCTAATTAAACTAAAGAGCTTCTGCACAGCAAAAGAAACAACCATCAGAGTGAACAGGCAACCTACAAAATGGGAGAAAATTTTCGCAACCTACTCATCTGACAAAGGGCTAATATCCAGAATCTACGATGAACTCAAACAAATTTACAAGAAAAAAACAAACAACCCCATCAAAAAGTGGGCAAAGGACATGAACAGACACTTCTCAAAAGAAGACATTTATGCAGCCAAAAAACACATGAAAAAATGCTCACCATCACTGGCCATCAGAGAAATGCAAATCAAAACCACAATGAGATACCATCTCACACCAGTTAGAATGGCAATCATTAAGAAGTCAGGAAACAACAGGTGCTGGAGAGGATGTGGAGAAATAGGAACACTTTTACACTGTTGGCGGGACTGTAAACTAGTTCAACCATTGTGGAAGTCAGTGTGGCGATTCCTCAGGGATCTAGAACTAGAAATACCATTTGACCCAGCCATCCCATTACTGGGTATATACCCAAAGGATTATGAATCATGCTGCTATAAAGACACATGCACGCATATGTTTATTGCGGCACTATTCACAATAGCAAAGACTTGGAACCAACCCAAATGTCCAACAATGATAGACTGGATTAAGAAAATGTGGCACATATACACGATGGAATACTATGCAGCCATAAAAAATGATGAGTTCATGTCCTTTGTAGGGACATGGATGAAATTGGAAATCATCATTCTCAGTAAACTATCGCAAGAACAAAAAACCAAACACTGCATATTCTCACTCATAGGTGGGAATTGAACAATGAGAACACATGGACACAGGAAGGGGAACATCACACTCTGTGGACTGTTGTGGCATGGGGGGAGGGGGGAGGGTAGCTTTAGGAGATATACCTAATGCTAAATGATGAGTTAATGGGTGCAGCACACCAGCATGGCACATGTATACATATGTAACTAACCTGCATGTTGTGTACATGTACCCTAAAACTTAAAGTATAATAATAATAATAAAAAAGGCAAAAAAAAAGAAAGAAAAATTTCAACAATAAACTAGAACAAGAACTTCAGAGCTCAAAGATAGGCTTTCGAATTAACCTAATCAAACAAAGACAAAGAAAAAATAATTTAAAAAATGAACAAAGCCTCCATGGAATTTGTGATTATGTTGAATGGCCAAACCTAAGAATGATTGGTATTCCTGAGGAAGAAGAAAAATCTAAAAGTTTGGAAAAGTTGAGAGAATAACTGAGGAAAACTTCCCTGCTTTTGCTAGAGATCTAGATATTCAAATCCAAGAAGCTCAAAGAACACCTGGGATATTCGTTGCAAAAAGATTATCATCTAGGCACATAGTCATCAGGTTACCTAAAGTCAAAATGGGGCCGGACATGGTGGCTTATGCCTATAATCCCAGCACTTTGGGAGGCTGAGTTAGGCGATTACTTGAGCTCAGGAGTTCCAGACCAGCAACACAGTGAAACACTGTCTCTCTAAAAAATACAAACAGCCAGGCATAGTAGTGCATGCCTGTAATCCCAGCTACTTGGGAGGCTGAGGTGAGAGGATTGCTTGGGTCTGGGAGGTGGAAGTTGCAGTGAGCTGAGATCATGCCACTGCACTCCAGCTTGGGTGACAGAGTGAGATCCTGTCTCGACAAAAATTAAAAAAATAAAGTCAAGATAAAGGAAAGAATCTTAAAAGCTGTGAGACAAAAGCATCAGATAACCCATAAAGGAAAACTTATCAGATTAACAGCAGATTTCTCAGCAGAAATTTTACAAGCAAGAAGGGATTGGGTTACATCTTTATCCTCCTTAAACAAAACAATTACCAGCCAAGAATTTTGTATCCAGTGAAACCAAGCTTCATAAATGAAGGTGAGATAAAGTCTTTTTCAGACAAATGCTGAGAGAATTTGCCACTGCCAGCCAGCGCTACAAGAAATGCTAAAAGGAGTTCTACATTTTGAAACAAAATCTTGAAATACACCAAAATAGAACCTCCTTAAAGCATAAATCTCACAGGGCCTATAAAACAATAACACAATAAAATAAAACCAAGGTATTCAGGCAACAACTAGCATGATGAATAGAATAGTATATCACATTTCAATACTAATGCTTAATGTAAATGACTAACTGCTTCACTTAAAAGATACAGAATGGATACAAATCCACCAAGCAAGTAACTGCTATCTTCAAGAGATTCACCTAATACATATAGACTCACATAAACTTAAGGTAAAGAGATGGAAAAAGGTATTCCATGCAAATGGAAACCAAAAGAGAGCAGGAGTAGCTATTCTTTTTTTTTTTTTTTTTTTTTTTTTGCAGCAGAGTCAGGCTATGTCTCCCAGACTGAAGTTCAGTGGCATGATCTCCGCCCACTACAACCTCCACCTCTCATGTTCCAGCTATTCTCCTGCCTCAGCCTCCCAAGAAGCCGGGATTACCTGTGCACACCACCACACCTGGCTAGTTTTTTATATTTTTAGTAGAGATGGGGTTTCACCATGTTGGCCAGGCTGGTCTTGAGCTCTTGGCCTCAAGTGATCTGCCCACATCAGCCTCCCAAAGTGCTGGGATTGCAGATGTGAGCCACTATGCCCAGCCAGGAGTAGCTACTCTTATATCAGAGAAAACAGGCTTTAAAGCAACAACAGTAAAAAAAAAAGACAAAAAGGGATATTATAAAATGATAACAAGATTATTCCAACAGGAAAATATCACAAATCTAAATAGATATGCACTTAATGGGGAGCTCCCAAATTAATAAAACAATAACTACTAGACTTGAGAAATGAGATAGATGGCAACACAATAATATTGGAGACTTCAGTACTCCATTGACAGTGCTAGACAGGTCATCAAGACAGAAAGTTAACAAAGAAACAATGGACTTAAACAATAACCTACAACAAATGAACTTAACAGATATTTACAAAACATTCTACCCAACAACTGAAGAATAGACATTCTTTTCATCAGCACAAAACATTCTCCAAGATAGACCATGTGATAGGTCACAAAAGAAGTCTCAATAAATTGAAGAAAATCAAAATTATATCAAGTATCCTCTCAGACCACAGTGAAATAACACTGGAAATTAACTCGAAATGAAATGCTCAAAACTATGCAAGTAAATTGAAATTAAATAACCTGCTCTTGAGTGTTCCTTGGGTCAACAATAAAATCAAGATGGAAATTTAAAAAATTCTTTGAACTTAATGATAATAGTGACACAATTTATCAAAACCTCTGGGATACAGTGAAAGCAGTGCTAAAAGGAAAGTTCAGAACATTAAATGTCTATATCAAAAAGTCTGAAAGAGCACAAATAGACAATCTAAGGTCACATATCAGGAAAATAGAGATGCAAGAACAAACCAAACCCAAACCCAGAAGAAGAAAAGAAATAGCAAATATCAGAGCAGAACTAAATGAAATTGAAATAAAAATAATACAAAAGATAAATGAAACAAAAAGCTAGTTCTTTGAAAAGATAAAGTTGATAGACCATTAGCAAGACTAACTAAGAAAAGAAGATCCAAATAAGCTCAATTAGAAATGAAATGGGAGATATTACAACCAATACCACAGAAATAAAAAAGATCACTTAAGGCTACTATGGACACCTTTATGCACACACAGTAGAAAATCTAGAGGAGATGGATAAATGCATGGAAATATACAACCCTCCTAGATTAAATCAGGAAGAAGTAGAAACTCTGAACAAACCAATAACAAGTAGAGAGATTGAAACAGTAATTTAAAAAATACCAACAAAAAAGCCACAGGCATTCATAGAAGAATTGGTACCAATCTTACTTGAAACTTTTACAAATGATAGAGAAAGAAGGAATCCTCCCTAAATCATTCTATGAAGACAGTATCACCCTAATACCAAAATCAGGAAAGGACATAACAAAAAAAGAAAACTACAGACCAATATCCCTGATGAACATAGATGCAAAAGTCCTCAAAAAAACACTAACTAACTGAACCCAACAGCATATCAAAATGATAATATATCATGATCAAGTGGGTTTCATACCAGGAACGTAGGGATGGTTTAACATACACAAGTTAATAAATGTGATACGTCACATAAACAGAATTCAAAACAAAAATTGTATGGTCATCTCAATAGATACAGAAAAAAGCATCTGACAAAATCCGGCAATACTTTATGATTAAAATCCTCAGCAAAATTGGTGTAGAAGGGACATACCTCAATAAAAACTGTCTATGACAAACCCACAGCCAACCTTATACTGACCAGGGGAAAATTGAAAGCATTCCCCCTGAGAACTGGAATAAGACAAGGATGCTCACTTCCACCACTTCTATTTAACATAGTACTGGATGTCATAGCCAGAGCAATCATGCAACAGAAAGAAGTGAAATCGGTAGAGAGAAAGTCAAACTGTCACTGTCTGTTGATGATATGATCATATACCTAAAAAGCCCTAAAGACTGGACCAAAAAGTTTCTAGAGCTGACAAATAAATTTATAAAGTTTCAGGATACAAAATCAATGTACACAAGTCAGTAGTTGTGTACACTAACTATAACCAAGCTGAGAATCAAATAAAGAACTTAATCTTTTTTATAACAGCTGCCAAAAAATAATAAAATCCCTAACCATGGAGGTGAAAGTGCTCTGTAAGGAAAACTACATAACACTGCTGAAAGAAATCATAGATGACACAAACAAATGGAAACACATCCCATGCTCATCGATGAGTAGAACCAATATTGTAAACATGATCACACTACCAAAAGCAATCTACAGATTCAATACAATATCATCAAAATACCATCATCATTGTTCACAGATGTAGAAAAATATCCTAAAATTCATAAGGAACCAAAAAAGAGCCCTGATAGCCAGAGCAAGACTAAGCAAAAAGAACAAATCTGAAGGCATCATATCACCTGACTTCAAACTATACTACAAGGCTATAGTTACCAAAACAGCATGGTACTGGTATAAAAATAGGCATGTAGACCAATGTCACAGAATTAAGAACACAGAAATAAAGCCAAATACTTACAGCAAACTCATCTTCAACAAAGCAAATGAAAACATACAGTGGGGAAAGGACACCCTCTTCAACAAATGGTCCTGGGATAATTGTTAAGCCACACGTAGAAGAATAAAACTGAATCTTCATCTCTCACCTTCTACAAAAATCAACTCAATATGGATCAAAGACTTAAATCTAAGGCCTGAAATCATAAACATTCTAGAAGATAATTTGGAAAAACTCTTCTAGATATTGGCTTAGGCAAAGACTTCATGACCAAGAACCCAAAGGCAAATGCAACAAAACCAAAAATAAATAGATGAGACCTAATTAAACTATGAAGCTTCTGCACAGCAAAAGAAATAATCAACTGAGTAAACAGACAACCCACAGAATGGGAGAAAATATTCACAAACTATGCATCCAACAATGGAATAATATCCAGAATCTGCAACGAACTCAAACAAATCAGCAGGAAAAAAATAATAATAATCCCATCAAAAAGTGGGCAAAGTACATGAACAGACAAGTCTCAAAAGAAGGTATACGAATGGCCAAAAAACATACGAAAAAATGCTCAACATCATTAATTATCAGGAAAATGCAAATTAAAACCACTATGAAATACCACCTTACTTCTGCAAGAATGGCCATAATTTAAAAATCAAAAAAACAATAGATGATGGTGTGGATGTGGTGAAAAGGGAACACTTACATCACTGGTAGGAATGTCAGCTAGTACAACCACTATGGAAAAAAGTATGGAGATTCCTTAAATAACTAAAAGTAGAACTGCTGTTTGATCCAGCAATCCCTCTACTGGCTACCTACTCAGAGGAAAATAAGTCATCATACGAAAAACTAATTTGCGCAGGCATATTTATAGCAGCACAATTTGCAATTGCAAAAATATGGAACCAGCCTAAATACCCATCAACCAATAAACGAATAAATAAAATGTGGTATGTATAAGCCATGGAATACTACTCAGCCATAAAAAGGAATGAAATAATGGCATTCACAGCAACCTGGATGGAGTTAGAGACCATTCTATTCTAAGGGCAGTAACCCAGGAATAAAAAACCAAATATTATATGTTCTCGCTTATAAGTAGGAGCTAAGTTATGAGGTCACAAAGGCATAAGAATGATACAATGGACTTTGGGAACTCAGAGAAAAGGGTGGGCGCAGGTGAGGGATAAAAGGCTACACATTGGGTATAGTGTACACTGCTCAGATGATGGGTATACCAAAATCTGAGAAATCACCACTGAAGAACTTATCCATGTAACCAAACACCACCTGTTCCCCCAAAACTATTGAAATTAAAAAAAAAAAGCCTATAGTGATGAAGGCATATTCATTGTTACCATGGGGGTTAAGAGTTGATGGAGAGTATGACCATAATGGAGTAGCATAAGAGTATTTTTAGGGTGATGCAACTCTCCTGTATTTTGATGTCGGTAGCGTTTTCTATAAATTTATATATGTGTTAACGTGCATAAAACTGCACACCAAAAGAGTCAGCATTATTGTGTGTTAATTTTACAAATAAAAAAATCGAGTTTAGATCCAAATCCAGGTCTACTAAAACAACAAAACAATAAAATGATTATATATCACATCTCTTATAACTCTTTGTCCTTCCAACCTTACTAAATTCTTTCCTTTAGTCTCCCTGTCTATAAAGTATTTATTGGTCAGGGTTGGAAAATATTAAAACTTTTATAGCAGCCCCAAAATATTTTATAAGTATTTCCTGAATAATCTAGTTATAAAAATCATATTTAGAGTTCAAAGTATTTACCAGTTTTCCTCTTTCCTTTTCCTACATTTCCATATTGCTTTTCAAATATAAGAAAATAAAAACTTCTCTCTAAACTTTTTCACCGACAGAAACTATAGGGAAGAAAGTATATTAAAAACAATAGAAGAGAGGCAGAAGTATTACATTTTTAAAATTAAAGTGATTTAAGTTTTCTGAAATGTGAGCTGCTATCAATTTATGAATGGCTTTAATATATCTTTATAAATGCAGAGGAATATGCTAGCCAAAAGGTAGGAAGAAGCCAGAGAAAAGTAATAACTGCTTAAAAATATAGCAAATCATAGTGGATAAATCAGTGCTATGGTTTGAATGTCCCCTGCAAAACTCATGTTGAAACTTAATCAATGAGGCAATATTGAGAGGTGGGGATTTTATGAGGTGATTGGGTCATGAGAACTCTGCCTTCCTGAATGAATTAATCCATTCAGGGATTAATGGATTAATGGGTTATCATGGGAATGGACCTGGTGGCTTTATAAGAAGAGGAAGAGAGTCTGAAGCTAGCAAGTGAACATACTCAGCTCCTTCTCTATGTGATATCCTGAGCTGCCTTGGGATTCTTCAGAAAGTCCCACTAGCAAGAAGTTTCTCACCAGATGTGCCCCCTTTGACCTTGGATTTCCCAGCTTCCATAACTGTAAGAAATAAATTTCTTTCATTTATAACTTATGCAGTGCAGTTTCTGTTATAAACAACAGAAATGGACTAAGACAATCAGGGTTTCTCAACTGTGACAGTTTTGATAGTTTGGGCTGAATCTTCCTTAGTCAGGGAGTAAAGGTTGTGTCCTGTGCATTGTAAGATGTTGAACAGCATTCTTGGTCTCTACCCAATAGATTACAGTAGGCTTCCCCAGCACTTGTGACAACCAAACAGGTCTTCAGATATTGCCAAATGTCCTTGTTGGGGTCAGTGAGGCAAAAATCACTCCCTGTTGAGAACCACTGGGATACACCAAGGGACTTGCAGGTCAAAGTTAGAATGAAACTTGAGTTCATTCTAACTTTCCCAATTACTAGCTCAGTGCTCTTGAAGAAATCATGTAACTTCCCTGACTGTTGGTCTCATGCAGGACTAAAATAGGCAGAGCCAATATCATAGGAGTTCTGTGATAGTCAAATGAGTCAATATATGAATTTTGGGGGCCTGACTGAATCTTTCTCATGTTATTCTCCTCAGCCATTTGTTGTTAAATATTTACCACCTCACTGGTAAATATTTTATCTCTGAATTACCCAGGGATGTAGCTGAAAATTCAGAGAACTCAGGAAAAATATGTTTGGAGTATTTTATGTTTATTTCATTGCGGACAACACTTTCTAGTCTCCTTGCAACTCAGGTGATCTTTAAGTGCTGTTCATAACCATGGAGTGTGAGAAAACGAGAATAACCAGTAAGATGTTTCTATTCCTCATCACTAGGACGAAGTTACTACAGTGGAGTTGGAATGATGCATTATTCCGATTTTTGCTATGAGTTCTCCTCAACTACCTAGCTTTTAGTATTATACAAAAGATCTGGGAGAGTCTTGGCCAGAAGCAAATATTTGATAAGCTGAGTTTCTGGAGAGCAATAAGTTACACATTGGTATTGGTGATCTGTTGCTGCAATAAAAACTACCCCAAAACTTAGTGTCTTAAAACAATAAATATTTGTTATCTCATAGTTTCCTTGAGGCAGAATCAGGGAGCTGCCTGGCTGAGTGGATCTGGCATAAGGTTTCTCCTGAGACTATGGCCAAAATGCCAACCAGGCTGCAGTCACCTGAAGGTTTGACTGGGGCTGGAGAACACTTCCAGAATAGCTCACTCACATGGCTGGCTGGTCAATGCTGATTGTTGCAGGAGGCTTTAGTTCCTCATCATGTGATCCTCTGCAGATATTAATATCCTCATAATGTAGCACCTGGCTTTCCCTAGAGTGATCCAAGAACAAAACAGATGCTGCAATATCTTATTGACCTAGCCTCAGAAGTCTCACACAGTCATTTCCACAATATCCATGAATATCAGGAGGCAGAGTTCATTGAAGGTCATCTTGGGGCCATCTTAAAGGGCATCTTGGGGCCTCCTTGGACATTAGTCATGTCTAATGGCATTCAAGGTCTTCGATAAGATATATACATAATTTAGTAGTAAAAATCTTGCACGAATATCTAAATATGACTTGTGAAGAATGGAATTTTAACCACCAGCTTACAAGGATTCATGAGGCTACCCCAGTCTAACCAAATTCCACATGTTCCTGCAATTTCCTTTATCTCACGAAGGTAACTGGATTTCTAGAAGACCTATGCCTCAGTCAAATGACCTTGAAGTTATTATGTGTGCCTGTGGTTCTGTCTTAAATTCATGTATCTTACATCCTTGAAGTTTGAGAAGAGTTTCCTATTTAGAAAAGCAGTTTGGAATCAATATAGATTGCTATTCTGAGAAGTAATGTAAATGGCAGCCTGTTGTAAAGTGAGGCACCTCCCTACCACTCTCACTCTTGCTCTTGCTCCTGCCATATGATATGCAAGCTCCAACTTCACCCTCCATCGTGAAAAATACCAATACTTTTTTTTTTTTTTTGAGACAGGGTCTCACTCTGTCACTCAGCTAGAAATGCAGCTGAGTGATCAGCTCAGTGCAGCCTCAACCTCCCAGACTCAAGCAATTCTCCCACCTCAGCCTCCCAAGTAGCTGGGACTACAGGCACGTAGCACCATGCCTTGCTAATTTTAAAACATTTTTTTGTAGACATGAGGTCTCACTGTGGTTTCCAGGCTGGTCTCAATCTCCTGGGCTCAAGTAATCCTCCCACCTCAGCCTCTCAAAGTGCTGGGATTACAGGCATAAGCCACCATGCCTGGCCATCAATACTTTCTAAATTTGTTAAATTGGTTTGTTCACATAACACAGTACACACAGCAACCTCCATTTCCAACTGCATGTCTGTATACGTGTTACCATGTTTCAGTCTATATATAGTATTACCAACTATTAGATGGAGTTTATATTTTACCAAAACCCTGCATTCATTTCCCTTTTAGAGTATGCTCTATTACAGAGAAGATTTTTAAAGGCCATAATGTTCCAAAGGTACAATTTGTTTGCAAAAGATCCTTTCTATGTTCCACTGGAATGACACACAGCATAACAGGCTTTCAGCTTATGTGGTTTGGGTGAAGCATTTGTATAAGCCAAGTGGAAAAAGATAATAACTTTTAGTTGCAATATCAGATGGTTTAGATTCAGCTTTTTCACCTCAGTGTCATCCTGACATCTTGTTGCCAGGTTGACAGGCCTGCTGCCTATGTTTCCCAGATCCTTGATAACTCCACATTTTTAGAGCCTTTGTTTCCAATGTTTTTATGTGCTGCTTTAATGAGGTATTTATTTGGTATCTGTATTCATTCATTATCAAACTGCTATGAAGCAATACCCAAGACTGGGTAATTTATAAAGAAAAAGAGGTTTAATTGACTCAGTTCCACATGCCTGGGGAGGCCTCATAATCATGGCGGAAGGCAAAGGAGGAGCAAAGTTATGTAGTTATGTCTTATATGCTGGCAAGCAAGAGAACGTGTGCAGGGGAAGTGCCCTTTATGAAACCATCATATCTCATGAGACTTATTCACTGTCACAAGAACAGTATGAGAAAAACCCATCCCCATGATTCAATTACCTCTTACTGGGTCCCTCCCACAACACATGGGGATTATGGGAGCTACAATTCAAGATAAGATTTGGGTGGGGACACAGCCAAACTATATCAGTATTATTGAAGTCACCCAGCACAATAAAGCATTCAGAATGCCCTATGTTTAGGTCACACCTATTTTCAGTTACCAACTAAAAGATCATTATAATATTTTTGAACTCTGTCTCTAAGAGCTTCAGTTTTGTAGTATAGTAGATACAATGTCACAGAAAACACAATGGAAAGCTATGATCTTAGAATCTGATATAATTTGAATATAAGTCCCCACCAAATCTCATGTTGAATTATAATCTCAGTGTTGAAAGTGGGGCCTGGTAGGAGATGTTTGGTTCATGGGGGCAGATCCCTCATGGCTTGGTGCTGTCCTCATGATCGTGACTGAGTTCTCGAGAGATCTGTTTGTTGTAAAGTATGCCACCTCCCCTAAGTCTTGCCTTTGCTCCTGCTCTTGCCAGGTGATATTCTGGCTCTTGCTTCACCTTCCACCATGAGTAAAAGTTCCCTGAGGCCTCTCCAGAGCAGATGCCAGCTCTATGCTTGTACAGCCTGCAGAACTGTGAACCAACTAAACCTCTTTTCTTTATAAATTACCTAGCCTCAAACATTTCTTTATAGCAATGCAAGAATGGTCTAATATAAAAAAATTGGTACCAAGGAGTGGGGCACTGCTGTAATGATACCTGAAAATGTAGAGGTAGCTTTGGAAAGAGGTAATGAAAAGAGGTTGGAAGAGTTTGGAGGGCTCAGAAGAAGACAGGAAGATGAGGGAAAGTTTGGAATTTCTCAAAGACTAGTTAATGATTGTGAACAAAATGCTGATGGTGATAGGGGCAGTGAAGGCCAGATTGATGAGGTCTCAGATGGAAATGAGGAACTTCTTGGAAACTGGAGCAAAGGCCACCCTTGTTATGCTCTAGCAAAACACTTGGCTGCATTCTGTTCATGCCCTAGCGATCTGTGGAAGTTTGAACTTCAGAGTGATGATTTAGGGTATCTGGCAAAAGAAATTTCTAAGCAGCAAAGTGTTCAAGATGTGGTGTGGCTGCTTCTAATTGCCTATGGTCAGACATGGGAGCAAAGAAATAAAGTTGGAATATATATTTAACGAAGTAGAGCATAAAAATTTGGAAAATCTGTAGCCTGGCCATGTGTAAGAGAAAGAAAAAGCTTTTGCTGAAGAGGAATTCAAGCAGGCTGTGGAGCAACTACCTGCTGGAGATAATTGCATACCTAAAGGGTAGCCAAGTGCTAATATTCAAGATAATGGGGAAAAGGCCTCGAAGGCATTTCAGACACCTTCACAGCACCCCCTCCCATTACAAATCTGGAGGGCTAGGAGAGAAGAATAGTTTCCTGGGTCAGGCCCAGTGCCTGGATGCCCTATGCAGCCTTGGGACACTGCTCCCTACATCCCAGCTGTTCAGCTGTGGTTCAAGGGGGTCCAGGTACAGCTTGAGCTGCCTCCTTGAAGAAAGCAAGCTATAAGCCTTGATAACTTCCATATGGTGCTAATCCTGCAGGTGCACGCAGAGTGCAAGAGGGAAGAAGGCTTAGCAGCCTCTGCCTAGATTTCACAGGCGGTATGGAAAAGCCTGGATGCCCAGGCAGAAGCCTGCTGCAGGGGCAGAGCACTCACAGAGAACATCTACTAGAGAAGTACAGAGGGAAAATGTGGGGTTGGAGGCCCCACACAGAGTCCCCACTGGGGCACTGCTTAGTGGAACTATGGGAAGGGAGACACCATCTTCCAGACCCCAGAATGGTAGATCCACCAGCAGCTTGCACACTGCACCTGAAAAAGCCACAGGCATTCAACTCTGATGTGGTTTGACTCTGGGTCCCCACACAAATCTCGTCTCAAATAGTAATCCTCATGTGTTGAGAGAAGATTCTGGTGGGAGGTGATTGGATCATGGGGGTGGTTTCCCCCATGCTTTTTTCATGATTGTGAGGGAGTTCTCATGAGATCTGATGGTTCAGAATTGGCAGTTTCCACTGTACTCTCTCTCCTGCCATCATTTAAGACTTGCCTTGCTTCCCCTTTGCCTTCCGCCATGATTGTAAATTTCCTGAGTCTTCCCAGCCATGTTGAACTGTGAGTCAATCAAACCTCCTTTCTTTATACATTACCCAGCCTCAGGTAGTATCTTTATAGCAGTGTGAAAATGGACTAATACAAACTCCAACCCATGAGAGAAGCTGCAAGGGCTGAACCCTGGAAAGTCACAGGGCAGGGCTGCCTAAAGCCATAGGAGCACACCTCTTGCAGCAGTGTGCTCTGATGCGGGACATGGAGTCAAAGGACACTATTTTGAAGCTTTAAGATTTAGTGACTTCCCTGTTGGGTTTTTGAACTGGCATAGGCCCTGTAACTCCTTTCTTTTAACCAATTTCTCCCTTTTGGGATGAGAATGTTTACCAATGCCTGTACCCTAATTGTATCTTGGACATATATAACTTGTTTTTTATTTTACATGCTCATAGGTGAAAGAGACTTGCCTTGTCTCAGATGAAACTTTGGACTTTGAACTTTTGAGTGATGCTGAAATGAGTTGAACTTTTGAGTGACTATTGGCAGGGGATGATTGTCTTACGCAATGTGAGAAGGACATGAGATTTATGGGGCCAGGGAAGGAAAAATATAGTCCGAATAGATGTCCCCACCAAACCTCATGTTGAATTGTAATCACCAGTGTTGGAAGTGGGGCCTGATGGGAGGTGTTTTTCTCATGGGGGTAGATCCTTCATAGCCTGGTGCTGTCTTTGTGATAGTCAGTGAGTTCTCATGAGATCTTGTTGTTAAAGTGTGTGGCACCTCCTTCCCCACTCTCTCTCTTGCTCCTGCTCCCACTATGTTAGATGCCTGCTTCCCCTTCACATTCTGCCGTGATTTTAAGCTTCCTGAGGCCTCCCCAGAAGCATATGCGGGTGTCATGCTTCCTATACAGCCTGAAGAATCATGAGCCAATTAAACCACCTTCCTTATAAACTACACAATCTCAGGTATTTCTTTACAGTAATGCAAGAACAGCCTAATACAGAATCAAAATGAAGCAGCACTTGTAATCTGAAGGGCTTTCTTTTCCTATCATAAATTGTCACCTTGATATAGCACAAATACCGAAGAAGCAAGCCTTAATTGACATCATGGCAAGAGGCCAAGCCAGAGCTTGTACATGCAGAGCAAGGCACTTAACAACTGCCAGACTGAGGTTGTTGGTACTTGTACAAGTCTAAAAGGTTAGCTCAGGATTTCCAAGCACAGAGGGTTGTAACTCATAAAAACTTAAGGCTCATGTGAAATGGTGTAAACCACAGCATTCACTACAACAAAATTTAGTTAGTTAAATTTACTCTACTTTGTTTTTCTGAGGAAATTATCTAATGAATTTCATATGCATGTATTTAATTGGGATAGTTTAAAGATAATTTAAAAACTCTAAATGCTGGTGAGTTTTCCTTGGGGAAATATAATCAAAGTTATGCCTCAATGAGAGTTGTAATTAGTATTACTTCCTAAACAAGCAGTAATTTTAGTTACAAAGGTTGAACAGCATTTTATAAAGAAAAGTAAAGGTAAATAATAACCCAGATCCATGCAAGCCACTTATTAGCAAAGATACCCATGAGAAATGCTTAATGTCTATGAAATTTAGACACTTTGATCAATTATTATTAAATTTTAGTAAGAAACAAACTAGTCTGTGATACGTCGTACTTCACATTCATTTTATTTATTTATTTATTTATTTTTGTTTGAGACAGTGTCTCGCTTTGTCATTCAGACTGGAGTGCAGTAGCATAATAACCGCTCACTCTAGTCTCAACCTCCTGAGCTCAAATGATACTACCACTTAGGCCTCTGGAATAGCTGGGATCACAGGTATGTGCCACCATGCCTGGCTATTTTTTATTTTTTGTAGAGACGGGTTAGGGGGGTTGTCATGTTGCCCAGGTTGGTCTCAAAATGCCTGGGCTCAAGTGGTCCTCCCACTCAGCATCCCAAAGGGCTGAGAATAACGGCACGAGTCATCATGCCCACCTTTCATATTCATTTTAATTGATGCCTTCTTCAGGGAAGCAAGTTTAGAACTTTTGTAAAATTGAAGTGATTTTCCTGGATTTCTGTTTTATTAAAAAAAATAGAGAATTAATAGGGAGATGATATGTCTTTATAACTGAATACATTGGTAAAAGTAGTATAGCAGTTTACTGAAGTAATATAAAACCACACAACAAAAAAAAAACATTGCAGTAATTATATTAGGGTTTTCCCTGGGCATTTTGCAATCAAATAAAATCTGTTCCATTGAAGGCTTAATCAAATGAAATCTCAAGAGTGTAGCAAAACCTCACATACTGATTAAGAGGAGGATGGTGGTGACACTGGTCTGATTTATCAAAATGCATGGATTATGGATTGTACATAGCTATAATACAAAGCAAATGAAACAGTTTTAAAGACATGCTGTGTGGCAGGAGATAGCATGCTGTTTAAACGAGAGCAGATGAGGAGTGAAAAGATGAACGATTTGTCCTGATTTCATTGTGTCCTAGCTTGTGACCTTGGACAAATCTCATTATTTCTGACTCAAATTTTTGTTTTGCAGAGCTGATATAAAAATAGTTTCTTTGCCTGTCTTGCAGGGCTGGTGTGATGAACAAATGAGATAATGTACATAGAAGTATTTTGTAAATTCTTAAATGCTGGGCCAAAGTAGGTATTGTTATTGTATTCAAGTATATACAATAGCATCCTAAGCTAATAAAGAGTTGCTTGGTGCTGATCCTCAGGGAACTTACTTTAATGAATACTTGACTATGATTTAAATTTAACACGTCAATTATACAATTACTGCTTACTGAGTGCTCAAAAGTTGTTTCTCTTGAGTAAGCCATTTTCTCATGGTCTTTCATTTTTATTAATGCATATGACAATCTCTTTATGCATTAAAAGAACAAAACAAAATTCCAATGAACTACCTATCCCTACAGTTTTATCAATTTATTTATAAACTGAATTGTTACTATGTCCTAAATCTACAGTAGATAACCTGGTTTGTCTTTCCTTCAAAGAACTTTGACCAACAGGGACATAAATTACGATTGTACATAACTATAATACAAAGCATATGAAATAATATTTATAAAAATGGCCCAAAATTCTGTGAAAACTCAAAGGAGAGACTTTATTTCTATAAGAAGATTTAGAAAAGTTTTATACAGAAGGTGGAATTTCATTAGATAGATTTGGTTCAATAGTATATTCCAGAGAAACAGACATAAAACGTACAAGTTAAGAGTATGACAACCAGTCTAATTTGGCTAGGAAACACATTGCATGAGAGGAGTAGAGGGGAATTACAGCTAGATCAGGAGGGATTCTGAAAGCAAAGCCAATAAGAAGAGGGACATTTCCTTTTACCTTAAGAGTTTGTGTTTTATCTTTTTTCTTTTACAACAAAAGCAATGCTCACAATACAACACAAGCAAAAGGAGAAAATCATTTAAATTTCACAATAACTCTGTTGTGTTCTAATCCTCCCTTTACAGTTTAAGAAATTCAGTTTAGAGAGGGTCAATATTGTCCAGGCTCATTGTCATAGACTGAATTGTGCCCCCCTCTAAATGCATATGTTCAAGCTCCAACCTCCAATGTGATAGTATTGGGAGATGGGAGGTTATTATTATAGGTTTAATGATGTCATGAGCGTGGTGCCCTCAGGATGGGCTTAGTGACCTGCCCTTATAAAAAGAGATAGCAGCGTTCCCCCCACCTCTCCTCTAACACAAAGAAGTCATGAGATAACAAGCCAGAAGGCAACCATCTACAAACCAGGAAGAGGGAACTCACCAGAAACTGACAATGCTGGCACCCTGATCTCATACTTTCAGCCTCCAGAACTATGAGGAGAGGAATGTCTGCTGTTTAAACTGTCCAGTCTATAATATTTTGGTGATGGAGCTGACTAATACACTCATGCATCTAATAAGTGTGAGTTAAAACTGAGACTCACACTTTTAACCATGACATTAAATAAAAATAACACAATCTATTCCCCAAAGTTTAGGTGAATAATAATAGCTGCTAAAAAATGCTTTAAATGGCTTAACTCATTATATCTTTACTACAAAGTTATAAAGTTGTTTTTATGATTATTTCTTAATACACTAATACAATAACTTAAAAATACATTATAAAAACAAAATTCAGTCCAGGCACTGTAGCTCATGCCTGTAATCCCCAAACTTTGGGAGGCCAAGGCAGGAGGATGGCTTGAAGCCAGAAGTTCAAGACCAGCCTGAGCAACAAAGTGAGACCTGTTCTCTACAAAAAGTTTGTAAAAATTAAAAAAAAAAAAATAGCCAAAGGCTGTCCACTTGTAGTCCCAGCTACTTGTGCGGCTGAGGTGGGAGGATCACTTGATCCAGGAGGTTGGGGCTACAGTGAGCTGTGACCGTGCCACTGTACTCCAGCCTGACTGACAGAATGAGATTCTGTCTTTAAAAATGAAATAAAATAAAACCAAAAATGATGAAATTCAAACCTCAAAGCAAACAATAGGGAAAGATTAATTGCTCAAGTTGAAATATTCTTTTACAATCATAGTTTGGATTCAATATACATAGCCTTACTATACACAACTCTAAGTGGGGTTTTTAATTTGGTTTTAGTTTGTTTTCTTTTGCTTATAATTAATTCCTAAGTCGACAGTGTGTTCCTAGAGCAAAATTATTGTAATCTCATGCTTTGGATACTCATGGTGAAAAATTATAATGGTCTTGAAATAGAAGAACTTGAATGTATGACAGGCATATCCATAGGAGACATGAATATGAAGACTGCCTGGCTCTGAAAAACGTTTATTTGTTTAGAAACCTAAACTTGAAGTTTTGCAAAAACATTTACAGTGGGATACCTGACTATCTGGTTATTCTGAAACACACATAGCCATCACACATTATTAATGATCTATCTAGAGAATAAATTATCTTATTTAAGTAAAGAGCTAGTCACGATGTAAAAATGCCAAAGGGAAAAGATTCCCACTTATTTATCAACCTGGAAGGATCATAAAAGACCAAGAAAAGTATAATTAGTGGCAATTGAAAAAATAATATGAGGGAATGAGTGAAAGGACAGTACAGATAAAACGGCAATAGCTTTGAGAAAGAACAGTATGAAGGACCAATTCAAACTGAATAAATGTAAGATTTACTTACTCAAACCCACTTCTCCCTTCAAGATTTCTTCCACCTACCTGCAAATTTCATACATCCTTTGGTCCTTTTATGTTTTTTAATCTCATAATTCCTTTCTCTTATGTCATCAAAATTTTTTATTTTGTTTCAGAAAGGCAACTATTTTAATTTTGAAAAGAAAATCTCATACCAGGCCATTTCTCCAATCCTACAAAATTAGTTTTCAAAAATTAAACAATAACAACTATAATACTTATGTAAATTTTACATCTGATCCATCTTTTGGTGTGATACTAAGTATAATCAAACATGTTAAGCCCCTAGAAATTAATAACCCATTCAATAGTATCCATCAATAAGGTGAATCTCTAACATTCATAAAATGCATTTAATGAATGCATGGAGTCTTGTTAGCAAAATCAGATTAATCATAAAACAAAACATTAATATAATAATATGAATTATATTTATAGAGATGTCTTCAAGTAATGGATACAATAAAATACTTCCTGCTTTCCAACCTAAAGTCTAAAATACTCAAGATAAGACAAAAGGAACAGCAGACAGAGACCCAAATAACTCCTTTGGTAAAAAGATTGCTTTAGAAAATCTGGCATTCACCTGCTGGCATGTGAGATTCCTCATACTGAATCCCAAGATTAGGCAGACCTACTGGTCAGCCTGAAACTGAGGAGACCTCCCTACCTGCAGAGGTGGGGCATGTCCCTGGAGAAGCAGAGCCAAGATTGACTCTTCACAGGCAGTTAGCTCTTAAGAAAAAAAAAGGAAAGTCAGGATCTCAAGCTCAATCATTATTTATATCTGAAAGAGGACAGATTGGTTAGGAATGTTAAACTGTGTGATGTGGAAGGAAACATCAGAAGTTAGGAAAAAGTGTTTCCCTGCTCACAGTATATACACTGCAATAATTTTTGAAATATAATCTTACTACATGATGCCTAAATCATCAACCCAAATAGTTCATCTAGTCCAGGTACTCACCTTCTATGTCATGTGAAAGGCAGCTATTCTATCTTTTTTTTTGAGACAGAGTCTCGTTCTGTCACCCAGGCTGGAGTGCAATGGTGCAATCTCAGCTCACCACAACCTCCGCCTCCCGGGTTCAAGGGATTCTCCTGCCTCAGCCTCCTGAGCAGCTGGGATAACAGGTGTGCACCTCCTCTTCTATCTTACTGGAACTCTAGCAACAAATATTTAGTGACTCCAAAGGTATATTAAAAAATAATCAGACCACCTCATACCTACTAGGATGGCTTTAATAAAACTACAGAAAATAACAAGTGTTGGAGAGGATGTGGAGAAATTGGACCGTGGTGCATGCTAGTGAATGTGTAAACTGGTACGACCACTGTGGAAAACAGTTTGGCAGTTTCTCAAGAAGTTAAACATAAAATTACCACATGATCCCACAATTATATTCTTAGCTAGATATGATGGTTAATTTTATGTGTCAATGTAGCTAAACTATGGTGCCCAGTTATTTGGTCAAACACTAGTCTAGATGTTCTGTGAAGGAATTTTGTCAATGTGATTAACGTTTAAATCAGTATACTGTGGATAGATGGACTTCATTCTATTAGTTGAAGGCCTCAAGATCAAAGACTGAGGATTCCCAAAGAAGAATTCTCCTCAAGACTGCAACATGGAAATCCTACTTGAGTTTCCAGTCTCCTGGCCTGCAGAATTTAAACTCAAGATTCCATTGTGAAAGTTGTCAGAATCAAAATGGAGTCACTTATGTCAAACCCTAACAAAACATAAATAAATAAAGCCAGGATACTAAGGTGGGAGGGCACTTATGCACACCTACCTATGATAAGAACTGTTACAGAGACTCTCTGCAGGGCTCTTATGCACAAATGCCTGTACAAGAGCTTTTGCCAAGGACATTTTAAACTGCAGCTTGCTACATGAGTCACAAGGACAGCTAGCCAGATGCATAAGTACACTTGCCTGACCTACTGTCTTCGTTAACGAACTGGCATCAACTCCTGTGATAAGCCCCTGGAACCAATATTCTCTTTGTTTTAAAACAACTTATTGCATACTTTCTTTCTTTTGCCTTTAGAAGCTTTTCCTTGCCTCAACCTCTTTGGATATGCTTATGATTCTCATAGCCTGCACATTACAGATTTGCAAATCTTCTGTGCAACACCGAACAAACTCATTATCTTTGGAGAATCTCTCTCTGTTATTTGGTTGACAGCATCAACACTTGCCTGCACTTGTCAGCCCCCCACAATCATGTGAGCCAATTTCTTAAAATGTCATCTCTTTCTCTCTCTGATATTAATTGGTATGATATATATATTGTGTGTCTACTTCATATAACAGTGGCACTGACATTGCATTTGTGCTACACTAATGATTTTTGGAGTGGTTTCCCATGCAATGCTTTCTTTGGATTGTTTGAGTCCTAGGAGGTGGCATGAGAAATTTGAGACTCAAAGCAATACTTTGTCTAAGGCTACTTGTATTAAGGGGCAGCCTGGTCACTTCTCATCTCAGCCTCCATGCTCCATTCTTCTATTTTAGATTAGAATTCATTTTATAGTCTGTCTTGTGTAATCAATTCAAGCCTTTTCATTTCAACGTGGCCATTGACCCAGTATCAAGTTCTTAAATATTAATAGAGCTATTTTGCAATGCAGTAAATTTAAAAATCTATTTGCATCATAGAGTTACTTTGCATAAATAGAAGATTTTAATTTAGTTGAATGCATGCTGCAGGATTTTATGAACTATGACAAGTAAATTTTGGGTTCATGGAGATACAAGTTGGAGTAATAGCAATCATTTTTGACATTTTTATTGCCAATAATTCTTTTCTGTCTGGAACTAAAGTCAGAAGTTTCAAACCAGCACCAATTCTAACTTTTACCTGCTGTATAATCTCACGCAAGGCCCACTATCTCCAGCCCTGGGTCAATATGAGAGGGTCAATCATCTCTAGGATCTTTTCTAGCCATGGCAGTTTATAATTCCATTATCTATTTCACTTTGGAAGGCCTGTTCAATAACTCTAAGTTTGCTCTGTTTAGACTTTGCACACAAATAACTATATTTTGTATTTGTATATAGAATATACAAAAAGGCCCATGTTGTGTTTCTGTAAAAATTACAGCTATGGAAAAAGTATTCAAAGCCTTTATCCCAAGGGCTTCTTCGACACTCCAAATTATATTCCAGATATGGTTTTTTGCTTAGTAAAATCTCTATATGTTTTGTATCACAACACTTTTTCTTTTAATTTTTTAACACATGCATAGTCAACAGGATGGTTAATCCATGTGTTTTTTGTTTATTTGTCTTTAGCTCATATTATTATATAACTCATAACAATGTACAAATCTCTTTCAATGTGTAAAGGGTGTTTTACAAAATTCTTTGTTTTAGAAACCAAAGTAAAAATTTTGCGAGTAATTAACTCAAATCCTCTTCCAACTTCTATACTCTCTCAAAGGAATCAAATACAATGGGAGATAAAACTAGCCAAAATCTGTTTTCTCTTTTCTTTAACACATGTGATTTTCAGAGGTGGTCAAAGCAATTTCTCTTTCTCAAGCCATTTTTCCTCTATCTCAGCATGCCAGACACAAGAGGCTTTGCTATAACCAATGGAAGACCTTTTTTTTTTTGTATCTTAATATTCCAGTAGAACTTTTTTCAAAGAAATATTTTGAAGCCATAGTCATTTTAAAACAAACCAAAAAAAAAAAAAAAAGAGAGCAAAGTAAATCAAGAGTAAGAAGCTTATTTAAAGTTTACTTTCGAAAACAGAGTTCCGTATTATGAAGAGTCAGTATAAATAAGTATGGCTAAATTAGTAATTAGTTGGGTAACCTAAAAGGACATGACCAAGGACACCAGGCACAGTCACCACAGTGACACCACAGTGACAAATCTCTGAGAATAGAATTGTATGCGATACTTGGGATAGAATGTAAAAATGTGACATTGAGAGGCGTTTTTGGTGAAATGTCAAGGATGTGTTGAGTAACAACAATACATGCGATTTTGTAAATTCACTCTCATATCTCATTGAACTTTACTGGATTTTTCTCATTTATGGTGGACTTTTTCAACAGTGATTCTTCCCCCCAGTTCAAGTCAGCCAACATTCACTGAATGGCAGATATGTGCTCAATATTTGCTGATATCCAGTATTATCTATTATTAACAAGCACTGTGTTTAGTTTCCAAAGATATAAAAATGCAAAAGCCACAGTTTCTGTATTTCAGGAATGTATAGTCTCGTGGGAAAATACATAGCGTCAAGTTTGATGTATCCTCAAAATACCAAATCTGAGCATCCTTAGGATCTGTTTTTCATAGCATCTCCAAGGAACATTTTGTGGGGAACGTGACCCTCAAAGGTTATATGGTTCAGCTCTCAAATTGTCCATAACTTGTTATGGATCTGCCTTCTAATAATTAAAGCATGTTCTGTATCCTTTTTCTTGGGTTATAATTTCCTTAAAGTTAACATTTATTTTATACATCAATATCTTAGGTATAGAGGTTTTCTTGTTCTAAGATTATCCTCATTTCTGAAACTTTGGCCCTTGTTAATGAGTTTCCTCAGTCTAAGTGTCAGAGATATGAGGGTAAACAGTACTGGAGTCTTCATTAGTAGGTTCATAAGCTTTAGTATGCACAGAATCAGCAGAGAAATCTGGAGACTGGCTGCTTTGGATCTGCCCCTAGAATGCAGCTTTCTTAGGCCCGCAGTACAGGAAATTGGAATAAATGCCTTGGAAATTTCAATAAATGCCTTTGGAGTTTCCTATGTACATGTGTCCAAAGGCCACACTTTGAGAAACCTTGTTCTATGAAAATGTCTTTCAGCCTGAATAGGTATTAGAGAAGATAGCTCCCTTCTGATGTTTCTTTTTTGTAATAAAATACATTCATTAAGTGTAGTTGCTTGAACAGTGTCGTAACATCCAACTCTCCCTCAGAGATATGGGAATTAACGTCAATCCAGCACATAGTTATTTGGAATGGAATTGAGAATTAAACTTTTGAATTAAGCTCCTTATTTTGTCTACCAGGCAGCTTTTTCTTCTAACAGTGTTACAAGGCCTCACATGCCTCAGTGAGACTCTATTATCCTTTGGGTAGAACCATAAACAAATATAATATTAGTAGTTTTTTATAGAAATATCATTGTGGAAAGAAAAATGGAAAAGCTTATTTTGGAGGTTAAAATAACAAGTGCATTGACCAGTATTTTTTCCTGCATCTTTAGAAATAAGGGAGTGGGGCAAAGTCTGGAATCTGTGAGTTAAAATACAAGAGACTGTCCAGGGGTGGTGCTCACGCCTGTAATCCCAGTACTTTGGGAGGCCGAGGCGGGCGGATCACGAGGTCAAGAGATGGAGACCACCCTGGCCAACATGGTGAAACTCCGTCTCTACTAAAAATACAAAAATTAGCTGGGCTTGGTGGTGGGCGCCTGTAGTCCCAGCTACTCAGGAGGCTGAAGCAGGAGAATCGCTTGAAACTGGGAGGCGGAGGTTGCAGTGAGCTGAGATCACACCACTGTACTCCAGCCTGGTGACAGAGTGAGACTCCGTCTCAAAACAAAACAAACAAACAAACAACACCAAAAACAAAAACAAGAGGCTGGAAATGCATGGAAAATGAAAGCATCGGGCACTTTCAACAATGCTAAGAGTAACTGGAACTATTTACTTAGCATTCTGTTTACTTAGCATCCATATATCTCCTTCTGTAAATGAAGAATTCCTGAGGACAAGGAGCTTTGTCTGTTCTTGGTCCCCTGGGGTGGCTTATAGTGCTTGGGACCACAGTGTTTTATGATGCCATCAGCCTCAACTCCTGGACTAGGTGTCTCCTTGGCAGGCCCTATGAAGGCAACCGCTGCAACAATTTCAGGAGATGTCACGCAGGCCTCTGGCATCCTCTGTCCTCTCACAGGGGGCAGGGTAAAGCTCTTCATCCAGAGAACAAGCGAGGGTCATACTGCTCCTCTGGCCCTGGGGCCACCTGGCCTGGTTAGGAAGCTGCACAAATCTGTTGCCTCCTCTCCATTCCTACCATGTTGGTCTCCTCATGTTTTATCTGAATAACTGAACATCTTCCTAACTGCCTCCAGTTGGCCAGCTCCCAACCCATTCCTCAGACGGAATGGACTTTTTCTGAAACAAATTTGGCCATGTGAATGACTCCCTTTAGCAACACTACATCACCTTCACCACCATTCCTTCAATTTGGAGAAGTAGAAGAATCTGTTGGAGATCTGGTTAAAGATACAGGTGCCCAGTCCTACCCTAGACTTATAAAATCAATCTCCGAGGGTTGGACCTACAAGTCTGCATTTTTAAGATGTTCACCAGGTCATTCTAATGCACATACTTTAAGAGAAACACTAAGGTTTAGTTTCCTTAACACGCTATATAAGATAACTCTAAAAGAAAAATGCGTATTTTCGCGTACCTCTCCAACCTAATCTCCTGGGAGGATCTGGCTGCCATTGCAGCAGGAATGACAGTTTGTAGTTCCAGGAATTCTCACGCTGGTTTCTGTATTCCTTTGTCTTTATTGGGGGCTGCTACACACAGTAGTGCAGGTTGTGCACTGGACAACTCCAAGGATTGCCATTCATGTTGTAGCTGGAGTGATGGATGTCCTGCCTTTGTTTTATGTCTCCGATGCTGGGAACACTCATTTGCTTTCTTTTTGCCTGGCTTAGTCCCTAGTTATCTTGTAAGATACAGTCTGGCACCAATACTTTTTTGAAATCCAGGAATATTTGTGCATAGCTCTCTCATCACATTTGTCACATTGTATTTCCATGTTATTTTTGTGCATCTGTATCTTCTAGCAGATGTAAACAATTTGAGGGCAGGTTGTTATATATCCACTTACCCTCAGGGTCAAGTCTAAGCCCAAAGTGGGCAATCAACTAAGGCTCATAGAATGAAGGAATAAAATTTGATGATTTGGCCAACTTTTATTCGTTCATTCATTTATGCATTCACTCATTCATATGAAACTCTGTATGTCTTAGAAAATTTTTGCTATATGTTTACATTAAAAGATAACAATTTAAAAACCATCTAGACAAATTATACATTTTAAGTCCATTTCTGTATTTTTATAATGTTTTAGTAGCAAGTAAGAAAACTGAATGGTCTGATATAACAAAGACATTTACTAGGTCTCATAGGAGGATATTCTAAGGTAGGACGCAGTTCAGGTTTAATCCAGCAGTTCATAAATGTCATCAAGGCTGAGATTCCCCTCTGCTATACAACCATCCACAGCATCAATTGATTCCTCTCAACTGTGGTTATAGGATGGCTGACTTTTTCATGTCCCGTGAAGCTGCAGCCTCTAACAAATGCTTCTTGTGCCAGATTGGGTCATATGTTCATGGCTGTGCTAATTCCATTAAAGATGATGAAAAGACCTTGTAACTGAGCAGGCCCTCTCTTAAACTAAGGTCAATTCTCTAATTCTCCTAAATGCAACTTAATATCCAGTGGAGAGGTATGGTTTGGATATGTGGGAGACAACCTCAGTATGCACCGGAGGTCAATCCGCACTGATCATGGCAGCTGTGTTCTCTGAGACGCGCAGCTCTGCCACAGTGTGAGTAGGAATACAGGAAGAGAGGAAGTCACAGACATCAGGTATTTCAGCTGTTCCTCTTTCCCCGTCTTATTTTCAATTTAGGGTAAATTAGTGGTTTGGCAAATACACCTGCCAAACAATTCCAAGAACCAGTGATTTGTCAGCAAGTCAGAATCACAGTATTCTTACTTCTGGCCTTGAGAGGCTTCCTCTCAGCACAGGCAAAGTTAGCTGGATGTAATGAGAGCAAGGCACAGGCGGCCTGAGCGAGGAGTGGGATGATAAAGAGAGAAGTGGTCCTCATTAGTCTAGACCTGAGTGTCATTGTGGAGTCAACCACCACCTGCTGCAGATGATCTGCTCCCTTTCTAGGGACCATGAGAAGTTCCTGGAACCTGTGTGAAGCAAGGACAATTCCCAGAGCAGAATGAGTAAGCCACCAGGAATTCAGCCATGAGAGCAAAGCACAGAGCAGCCCCTGCACAGGGTTTTCAGCCCTATGCATTTCTCCTTCTCTCCAAAGATTAAAGCAGGGGAAGATTCATTTTTAAGTGAGAAAGTATTTTTCTCAACCTGGTATGTGCTGAAAATCTGCCATCTCTTACCGTCCTTCCATTTCATGTTCATGTGAATTCAACTTTATATCAACCCATCTGGCCAAACCCAAAAGCTCGTTAGTTTATGTTTACTACATCATGGCTTTCAGGTTTTTCTAGGTTCATTTTGACTTTTTGTTGTCAATTTACTTCTGTAATCATTATTTTCCATGGTTCCCATTCAATTTCTCCTTAGTCAGAATAAGAGAGAGTGAAAAAAGGTGGAAAATTATATTTTCCTGTCTTGTCTCGCCTTTCTTCTTGCTATTAGTGTTCAAGAGTCTAAGTACCAAAGAGGAAAGGCACCTTAAAATGAATATATAAATGGTATTTTAATAACTTCTGTGTGCCAGGTACTGTTAGAACTGTTAGAGGCTGAAAAAATATGTATACTTATATTTATATATATTACATAGAAATTAAGAGGTATGTGTATCATTTAATCCTCACAACAATCATAATATATAAACATTATTATAATATATTTTATTATTCCTCATTTTCTGATGAGGAAATGTAGGAGAGAAAGGTGATGTTTCTTATCCATACCAGGCTAGAAAGTGACAGAGACAGGAAGCAACTCCACAGAGCCAGGTTTCAGAACCCATGGTCTCAGAGCTAATCTATGCTGTGCCACCATTTAGGCTTTCGACAGTGGACCTTCACCACCTCTCCTAAGAGTGCCAGCTTTGTGTAGTTGGCAGCGTCACTTCCCAAATGCCCCCACCTGTCCTTTCCTCCATCCCTCCATTCCACATCCTTCAGCCATCCGGTAGTCCTCACTGAGTGTCTACTCTTGCCAGGCTGCCTGCTAGGCACTGGGGATATGAGGGAAACTAGACCAACAGTGTTCCTGCTTAGCCCTCATGAGCTATGTGTTCTCCAGGCCAACCATGACAGACTCCAGTCACGAGTCCTTCTTCAAACATCGCCCCTTAGACTTCTCTTCCTTAAGCAGAACATTATCAGTTCTAAGAACATTTCTGTTGTTACTAAGGGAATGCTGGAGTTAAAGTAGTTTTCTGTACCCTGAAGGCACTCACAGAATATGCACAATCTGTGGGAGAAATTAATAGAAATTAATAAACACAATCTGTGGGAGAAATTAATAGAAATTAATATGCACAATCTGTGGGAGAAATTAATAGAAATTAATATGCACAATCTGTGGGAGAAATTAAATCTATGATTACATGAATAGCCAGATCTTCATCCTGAGGATGTCCGAAGTTAAGGGTAGGGATTTTTTAAAGTGTTCTATGGAACAATTTGCCTGGTTTAGGAAGTCCCCCTACACATTGTTTTATCATTTTCATAAGGTGGAAATTTCACACATTCATCACTTGAGTTTTTATTTTCTTTAAAATGTAATCTTTATGATAGAATTGAGTTATATAGTACAATAAAAATGACAGTGAAACATCAGTCTGTGGTCTGTCCTCTGACATCAGTCAAGTTCACGTTCATCTCTCCATTTGTCTTATAGGACTTCATTCAGTACATTACTGTGAAGCACCAGTGGAGACGTGGAAATAGGATATAAGAGACTGTGAGAAGGATGATTATAATGTTCTAGAAATAGTTCAAGTCCCTAGGTCACTTCTGAGGCCCTTATTGTTCTGCCCAGTCTTTACCCTTTGACCTTATCTCCACCTTTGACCTTAACTCTTGCCCTTGCCCACAGATACCCTTCACTCCAGCTGTGCAGAATTCGTTGCACTTCTTCAGGTGGGGCATGTTGTTGTTGTTGTTGTTGTTGAGATGGAGTCTCGCTCTGTCACCCAGGCTGGAGTGCAAAGGCACAATCTCAGCTCACTGCAACCTCCGCCTCCCGGGTTGAAGCAATTCTCCTGCCTCAGCCTCCCGAGTCGCTGGGATTACAGGCAAGTGCCACCACACCAAGCTAATTTTTTAAAAAATTTTTAGTAGAGACAGAGTTTCATTGTGTTAGCCAGGATGGTCTCAATCTCCTGACCTCGTGATCCTCCTGCCTTGGCCTCCCAAAGTGTTGGGATTACAGGCATGAGCCACGGCACCCACCTGGGACATGTTTTATCCCTCCAAACTTTGTTCAGCTGCTCCCTCTTGCCTCAAGGCCCAGCCCTTCACCTAACCTATTTCTAAGTTATCCTTCTACACTCAGCTCAAGTCTTCACTGACCCCAAGTACAATCTAGATACTTCTTTTCTATGTCCCCTTAGCAGCCCATGTTTAATTCTATTTTAGCAATTCTCATGCTGCCTTACAGACCCACTCCACTATTCAGTGAGATTCCTGACATGAAGGACCTCATGCTGATCATTTCTTTCTTTTGTTTTTTTTTTTTTTTGAATATTTGAGGTAAAAATTGTATTACATGTGTAGTAAGTGTTCATAGTAATTTAGGTCTCATAAAACCCTGCCTCCCCCTACGGTATCCTCTTACTCAGATGATAAAACTTGAATGCAACTCCGTGTTCTGTCACAGACAATTGAAATCTGAGGATTCAAAAGAACACCCTTGCCTATTTCTGAGCAAGCACAGTCACTGCCTGTTCATTTCTGTATTTCCAGTTCCTGCTTCATAACAGATGCTCAACAGATGTTTATTGATTATGAAAAGGATCCCTGAAAAGCTTTCTCCTGGAATTAGACTCTCAGCCCTAGAATAGAGCAAGCCTGCAGAAACGAGAACTGGAGGCTTGAAAGTCCTCCATAACTGGGTTGAAGAGAAACCATTTTCCTGTAATCTTTTTTTTTTTTTTTTTTTGAGATGGAGTCTTGCTCTGCCGCACAGGCTGGAGTGCCATGGCCTGATCTTGGCTCACTGCAAGCTCCACCTCCTGGGTTCACGCCATTCTCCTGCCTCAGCCTCCTGAGTAGCTGGGACCACAGGTGCCCACCACAACGCCCTGCTAATTTTTTGTATTTTTAGTAGAGACAGGATTTCACCGCGTTAGCCAGGATGGTCTCGATCTCCTGACCTCGTGATCCGCCCGCCTCGGTCTCCCAAAGTGCTGGGATTACAGGTGTGAGCCACCGCACCTGGCCCTTTTCCTGTAATCTTAACATCAGAAAGCACAACTGTTCCCTCTTAGAACTCCTAGGCATTCTATTCCAGGCATTCATCTCTTCCTGCCTTCTAACATGCAAATGTATGCATGAGCCCTCATGGTCCTCAGGTTGAAATGTCCTTAGGTTGACTATCAGTGTGTTGCACACACCCAGGACAGGGATTGTCCCTAAGAAATATTCCCCAGGTTTCTATAACTTCACAACAAACTCAAGCACATTACCTGATTATATCCCTTTATTCCTTCTTTTCCTTACCCATTGTGCACCTATCTTACCACTCTATTCTGCTTTTTACTAAATGCTAGTTTTGATCATCTTCTCATTTTAGAATAGTTTTAGATTTTCAGAAAAGTTATGAAGGTAATGCAGAGGGTCCTCATATACCCCACATCCAGCTTCCCCTATTATTAACATTTCACATTAAAATGGTATATTTGTCACAAGCAACGAACCAATATTGATATAGTATTATAAACTAAGTCCCATACTTTATTCAGGTTTGCTTAGGAGGGGTGCGTGTGTGCGTGTGTGTATGTGTACTCTTTTTTCTGTTCCAGGATCCCATATAGGATACCATATTACGTTTTGGCTCCTCTTGGATGTGACAGTTTCTTAGACTCTTTTGTTTGTTTGTTTTGGATGACTTGAAATTTTAAGGAGTATGGACCAGGTATTTTGTAGAATTTGTCTGTTGTTTTCTCAGGAGTGGGGTTTCGGCAGAGGAAGACCATAGAGGTAAAATGTAATTCTCATTGCATCATATCAAAGATGTATACTATCAATACGACTTATCACTGATGATGTTAGCCATGGCCACCTGGCCGTGGTATGGTTGTCGGGCTTCTCCACTGTAAAGGTACTCCCCCACTCCTCTCCATAATACCTTTTTTTTTTTTTTTTTTTTTTTGAGACGGAGTTTCACTCTTGTTGCCCAGGCTGGAGTGCAATGGCATAATCTCGGCTCACCGCAACCTCCGCCTCCCGGGTTCAAGCAATTCTCCTGCCTCAGCCTCCCTAGTAGCTGGGATTATAGGCATGTGCCACCATGCCTGGCTAATTTTGTATTTTTAGTAGAGACAGGATTTCTCCATGTTGGTCAGGTTGGTCTCAAACTCCTGACCTCAGTTGATCCGCCTGCCTCGGCCTCCCAAAGTGCTGGGATTACAGGCATGAGCCACCGCGCCTGGCTACCATAATGCACTCTTGAGAAGGGAGTTACTATATGCAGCACACACTTATGGAGTGGAGAGTTATGATCCACTTCCTTGAGAGTAGAATACATAAATTATTTGGGATTCATATTCATGTAAGTACAGATTCATGAATATTTATTTTACATTTTGGTTTATAATCCAATACTACTTTATGTATTTTGTTTGCTCAAGTTGTTTCAAATTTGACCATTGGGAGCTCTTTCCATTGGTTCCCATTCCCCCTTTGACATGTTCCTATCAATGGGTTTCGGTTTTTGTTGAGCATGTCCTCACTTTCAGGTACTAAGAGATGTTCCAGGTTCATATGGTATATTTCCTATCCCGGTCCTGGATCAGCCATTTCTCTAAGGATCCTTGTTTTTCAGTTTATTTGTTTCCATTTCTGGGAATGGCATTAGAAACCAAGATGTGGGTATTATAGATGCAATCTCTGTTTTTAATAGTTAAAACTTCTGTAACAGTTGTTAATTTTTCACAGACTACTTTTTCCCCCAATTTTAAAAGGGAACTTTGCCTTTTCTGGGCCAAACTCCCACTCAGTTTCATGTAGAACCTGGAAGGATGGGTGGTCCCCACTTAGTAGACTTCTGGCCACATCTATTTTTGGTTAGGATGTGCTGTTGCAATTCAGAGATTTCAATTCTAATTACATGGATAGTTTCTAACATATGTGGATGTTGGGTAATATGAGGCCAACTGTTATTAACGTTTCTGTGTTCTGTCTTTTTGATCGTTCTAAAAGTAGGAAGTTACCATTTTGTAATCAGAGGGAGTCATATTTGTAGAATTCTAAGCCCTTTATCTTCTGAAGCACTAATGTCTTTTTCTATTAATCTCTTTTGGCTTCTGTGGTCCTGACCCTGGCAATTAATTTCACTGCAGATGCATGAGCCAGGTACACACAGACACAAACTGTAGTATCAACTATATAGAGAAAGATGTTAGCCTGAGAGCTGTGCAGCTACCTGAAAATCAGAGGTGAAATGAAGGAGAACAGTCTACATTTTAAAATCCCTAACAATTGTTTATACCAACTTACTGTTTCAGAGATACCCCTGGTTTAAAACTGTTTTGGATAATCATTTAGAAGAGGTTTTCTCTTTCCAGTTCATACAAGCTGTAATACATCATGCAAACGCTATTCCCAAAGTGATTATAAGCATGTTTTACATCAAATCTGTAAGTTTTTCTGTAATAAAGATTTTCTTAGGCTACTGCTGAGGGCTTTTTGAATTCCTAGCTTGGGCTGTTTGCAAAGCTTATTCCAACACTGTCTCAGAGCACTGTTGAGGTCATACCTTCAGGGTAATTTAAATGGAACGAATAGGAAGGTCATAATCTGAATCCAATCAACAGTCTGGTGGGAGGCCAGTGACTGTTCTGAAACATGGCATTGAGAGCCCAGATAAAATGTGTTGATTTCTGGTCTGCTTTCTGTTATACCCCAGCCCTGTAAACACCAGGCAAATAAACCTCAAGCACAACAAACTTGAGGCAAAACAGACAAAATTAATTTTATATGGCTATTTATTTAAAGGCAATTCTGTGTGCAAGAGATCTGTCTAAACATGCTTAAGGAAGTAAATCACATTTGTGGGGCATCTTGACCTCCCTTTCTAGCTGGAGACAGTTTCATAGGAACTAGCCTTTTAGTACTTGGTGATGTGTTTTTTAAGGAAAAAACCAAGTTTAAGGGTTGACTGTGTCTTTTAATAGAACATAAATATTTTGTCAGTTTTTATTATTTTCAAAAGGAGGGAGATCACATTTTCAAGCAAGGGAGTTTTGTTTGTCTTCAATCTGATTTTTAATATGCTTAGATAGGGACATTTCTAGGTGACTAAAAGGAAAAGAAGAAATCTATGCCAGGCTTAAGAAGTATATCAATATATATTGATACATATTTGTTTTGGAAGCTATAGGGCCTTGGACAAAATTACTGTAAAGTTTCTATAATTATGAAGTCATTTTATCTATTTGCATCCTAACAAAGGTATACTGTCATCAAAAGCTCAGTGGACATATAAGTGGATGAAAACAAAGTCATTGTGGCAAGCACAGTTTGTGAGAGATGCTGTCATGCTGTAGAAGAAACATTACCCTTAGATTGAAAAGTTTTCTGTCCTTATCCATCCATGTTCTTGCTTTTTGGCCTTAGCTCACCACTTCACCTCTTTCAATCTGTTTCCTTCTTTGTAAAATAAAAGCTTGTCTCCTAAGAGCTCTAAAAAGTCTATCATATGTGTTACGGTTGTTGAGAAACAACCTAAACATGTTATTGAATGAGTCCAGCTGCTCACCTAAGTGTAGTCCCACAGAGTCTTAATGCTCAAGTTTGAAGTCAAGAAACTCTGTTTCTGTTTTCTGTTTTGACACCATAATTAGAGAGGTTGATGGAGCTGGGGGCTCAACCAATACTCTCCAGGCTCAATAGAGAAAAAAGGATAAACCACATGCCAGCATATGAATTCACAGTGAGAAAAATAAACACTAAGGGCACTGGGATGCAAAGATGTTCTGGCCAGTGCACTCTCTTAGTATTGAAATCTCAGGGGAACTCCAGATTACAGTAAGAAAACTGAGCAATGATTATGGACCTTGAGCCAAGTCTTGAGATAGTCTTCAGAAGACTTCCTCCAGTTCATGATGAAGCCTGGTGGCTCCTCTCTAACTCAGAGACAAAAGGCTTTCTCTTTTTATCAGACATTTATTTTTTCTCTCTCTATTTCTCTCCTGGACAGTCAATGCTTAGTGACAATAACAGGATTTTTTGTTTGTTTGTTTTAGACAACATAAAGTCTAAAACTAGAGAGAAGGCATAAATAGACCTGTTCACAGGCTTTTCTCAGCCCTACTACAATGTCATTGAGTAGGTTTCAATGTTTTGATTACTAACATATTCTAGTCTTGCCCACCTGAATTGCTCCTCACTTGCTTTGGATGGCTGACCTTGAGTGTTCCCCTCTCCTCAGTTCAAACATTTATAGACAAGTTCCTTTGTTACTTCACCAGATGGCGTCCCATATATCATATACGGGATTTATTAATACTAGTTTAAGAAGATAGCCTTATTCAAAATCCTTGTGGAAACCTATTGACTTGATAATCAAGTTGGAAAAATATCCATAAGGACTCACTGATTGGGATTGATAAAAGAAAAATGTCAATGAGAGACAGACCAGATTCTCTGAGGTGACAGTTATCATACTTTAGTCCTGGGGTCCATGTTAAAAATGCAGGTTCCCCTGTCAGCCACTGAGATTCTAGTTCAGTAAAAATTTTGTATTCCCAGATGATTTTATATTAGTGGCTGACAAAATCCCTTTCTTCTAAGATTTCTTATTTGCAAAATCAGCTTGGATTTTGATTCATTTCTTTAGGAAACAATTTCATGTTTTAGGAAAAAAAAAAGCCTCCAAATAGAGGCAGGCTTAAGTTCATGGCTTAGAAGTACCTTAGCACCAAAAGCTCAAGTACTGAGTGGTCCCTGCCAAAGTTTTAGAAAGAGCCATACAGAGGTACAACCCACTTCATAGCCATACTTGATGGCTACTGTCAGCTTTATACAATCTCTGCGTGTTTAAATCTATTCTATTAAAATTAAATTTGAGGAGAAAGGACTCTCCACCACCCTCCTTTCAGTTCTATTCTTTCTTTCCTATTCATCACTCCTTTCTTTCCTATTCATTACTGTATCCTTAACGCTCAGCAAAGTGAGTAGCATATGGTAATGATTCAAATATTTGTTGAATGAACAAGGGAAAAGTGAAAATGAAAATGAAACTACACAGATACTATGCAACCAGGAAGCTGAATTCCTTCACCAACACCAGCAAGTTCAACCAATGCTCTACACAAAGGAAACTTTTATTCTCCTCTCACATTCTGTCCTTCTGTCAAGACTCAGAATGTCTTGTTTGTGCCGATCTCATAGGGTATATTATCGAGGCTAGAGCGGGGAGGGAAGTTCTATGCAGAGAACAGGGACTTTGGGGAAAGAATCTGGGAATTTCAGAAGTAAAAGCTTCTCTGTGAAAGATCAGGCAGTTGTCCCTGAACAATGAATGTACACAGGGCTGATTACAAAAGTGACACTTAAGAAAAAAAAAAAAAGACTCTCTTAACAGTGTGGTGACAAATCCTCAAAATAAGAGCTTTGTTTATTTAAGGGCCTGGGAAACACTGAAAATATTGAGTTTTTAGCTAATGATGAACTGCAAATGCAAAGCATTGTGAATTACTCTACTGTCAATCTTAGGTTAATTTTATACTGCTGCAGTACTTGCTAAGTTAACTAGAGCAGTGGTTATTAATCTACCTGCACATTAAAAATCTCTGAAATGCTTTCAGCAATTCTGGTAATCAGATCATACTTCAGACCAATTAAAACCCACTATCCAGTCAGTGAGATTCAGACATTTGTATTTATTAAAGCTCCCAGATAACTCTAATGTGTAGCTGGTAATGAGAATCACAGTTCTATAGGCAAAGGCCTAATTCAGATATCTTCCTAGATTAAATGGGAGTAAGCTATATGTCCAAAGAAGACACGATTATTAGAATGAATGGCCCTTGGAAGGTTTACGCTGGCCTTGCTCTTGGCTATTTCAGATTCTTCCACCATGCCAACAAGGCCTACTTTCCTTTAAATGTTTCTTTCTATGTTTCAAAGCAAATTCAAATACTTTCTTTGCACTCTTCATGAGACAGTTTTCCAAAAATACATTCCTCTTGTTTACTTAAATGGTTCCTTTAATTTCACCTTCACTATAGAATCTACTAGAAAATCTGGAGGAGGGATGGTTATGTTTCTTTTTTTTTTTTTTAACTTTAAAGCAAAGAATTTTAATTTGAAAGTTGAGAAAATATAGCAGAGAAAACTAGTCATTTGGAATGTTATGAGAGAATTTGAAAAAAATATTATAAATGTTTTAAGATAGATGTGGTTGAACATTTAGAATTGGGAATCATTTTCTGATAGTTTGGGACCTAGTTTTCTGTGCTTAAATTTTAATTCAGTACTACTTACTCCATGGTCTTCTGGTGGTGTGCAACTTGAGGAATCAAATAAGCCAAGGTTTTTACAACCCTTCTCTAGGTCATTAAAGCATTTCTGCTATGTGCCTCAATATGTCTTTGATTTCATGCATAAGAAATATTAGATGCTCCATTCTCCTTCTTTAGAAGAAATAGTAACTGAATATGTTGGATTCTTCTCTATTTTTGTTGTTTCTCTTAGATTTTTAACCACACTTGCTCAAGACTAAGTTTTGTATTTTAAGTTTAAATGAGTAAAGTAAAAGGCTGGGAGCGGAGTGTGTGGTGATGCTGCTTCTTTTTCCCTTGAGAACTGAAGGCAAAAAAATTAAATTTATTATAAAAATTTGTTTTTGTCTTTTTTAATGTTTGTTTCCTTTTTCTTTCTTTTTTTTATGCTTTAAGTTTTAGGGTACTTGTGCACAATGTGCAGGTTAGTTACATATGTATACATGTGCCATGTTGGTGTGCTGCACCCATTAACTCGTCATTTAGCATTAGGTATATCTCCTAATGCTATCCCTCCCCCCTCCCCCCACCCCACAACAGGCCCCAGAGTGTGATGTTCCCCTTCCTGTGTCCATATGTTCTCATTATTCAATTCCCACCTATGAGTAAGAACATGCGGTGTTTGGTTTTTTGTCCTTGCGACAGTTTGCTGAGAATGATGGTTTCCAGCTTCATCCATGTCCCTACAAAGGACATGAACTCATTATTTTTTATGGCTGCATAGTATTCCATGGTGTATATGTGCCACATTTTCTTAACCCAGTCTATCATTGTTGGACATTTGGGTTGGTTCCAAGTCTTTGCTATTGTGAATAGTGCCGCAATAAACATACATGTGCATGTGTCTTTATAGCAGCATGATTTATAATCCTTTTGTTTCTTGTGCAGGAAAGACACTACATTTATCTTTCTCCTTGTTTCAATACTGTGAGCATATACATGTTAAAAGAGCTTTCTGTGTTTCTCATCACAATGTCCTTTCCTCAAAGCATGAGACTAAACCTGGTTTCCTGGAAATCTTGTGGGGTGCAGATTCTTGGATTGCACTCCAGGATGACTGAATCAGAGTTTTTAGGGGTTGGGCCTGGAAATTAGCAACATTGTGGTGGCTCATGCCTGTAATCCCATCACTTTGGGAGGCTGAGGCAGGTGGATTACCTGAGGTCGGGAGTTTAAGACCAGCCTGGCCAACATGGTGAAACCCCGTCCTTACTAATAATACAAAAATGAGCCAGGCATGGTGGCCCACACCTGTAATCCCAGCTACTCAAGAAGCTGAGGCAGGAGAATCGCTTGAACCCAGGAGGCAGAGGTTGTAGTGATCATGCCATTGCACTCCAGCCTGGGTGGCAGAGAGAGACTCCATCTCAAAAAAAAAAAAAAAAAAGAAGAAGAGGAAGAAGAAGAAGAAGAAAGAAATTAGCAACACTTACAAGCATTTCAGGTGGTATTATATTTTCCTGAGTACATTCAACTGGGAGAACTACTAAATGTAAACTTTCTCACAGTGAACTGCCACCTTTGTTACAGCCTCCAGGAGTCTAGGAGCAATGTCTGTTTCTATGTTTTATACTGATGAAGTGTTTTCTTATCAGAAGATTGGCCTTTCCTTGCTGTTTATTATTTTTGTTAAGATTTTAATTTATCAAGCTCCATGAAGATTAATTTTATATGTCAACTTGACTGGTCAGGGATGCCCAGATTAAGCACATCTGGGTGTGTCCACGAAGGTGTTTCCTGATAAGATTAGCATTTGAATTGGTGAACCCAGTGAAGTAGACTGCCTTTCTCTGTGTGGCTGCGCATCAGCCAATCCGCTGAAGGCCTAAATAGAACAAGAATTGGAGGAAGGAGGAATTTTCTCCTTTTTTCTCCTCCCAGCCTCACTGCTTGTGGGATGTTTTATCTCACCCTCACCAGGCCTCAGACTGGTATTTACATCATTGGCTTTCCTGGTTCTCAGTCCTTCAGCCTTGGGTGAATTACAGCACCCTCGGCTTTCCTGGTTCTCCAGCTTGCAGATCGAGATCATGGGAATTCTCAGCCTCCTTAATCACATGAGCCAATTCCTCATACTCAATCTCTCCCTCTCTCACTCTTGCTGTTTTATATATGTGTGTGCATATGTATATATGTATATATATAGATGACACAGATATAGATGATATGGATATTGATATAGATATATAGATATATCTTCCTAATGGTTCTGCTTCTCTGGAGAACCGTGACTAAACAAGCCCTAAATTATGTGCCACACAAGCAGTTTTCACAGAGAAAGATAGACTGGCACTGTGTGTTAGGTAGATAGACCAATATTGACTGGTGATGAATGTTAAGATGGAAAAAATAAAATTAGAAAACCTGGAAAATCATAGATAGTAACGTATTAGTGGTTGGTCCCATGGAGCAAGGGCCAGAAACAAAAAATAAAGTCAGTTGAGTTTGGATGGAGGAAATTGGTAGAGCCTGGGAGCAAATGTTAGTATTAGACCAGGGCAAAGGAAATGAAAGCAAGCTGGAGAAAATCTCTTTGAATTGTGTAACTTGTTGCACATTCTGCAAAGCTATGTGCAAAATTAATTATACTAGTAAAAATAAAAGTTCAGAAACACACAGCTAAAGGCAAAAAAAATAGCCTTCTAAAAAATCAAAATAAAAATAAGTACACTCTGTGGATTAAGTAAAACAGCATGACTGCCATGGCTTTTATGACTGTTAGAATTTTGAAATTATTGTGTGTAAATGTTTTAAATCATGTAAATATGCTTTGTGGTCTGGGGTTAAAAATAAAATTAGTAGTAAACTTTAAAATGAAGTGAAACACATGCTAAACAGAAAACAGTGGCTACAAAAAAGACATAAACATAACCATGGAAACTATGACAAAGGAATGTGGAAACATTTGAAAAAAAATTATCAGCAAGTAAAAATAAAGAACTTCCTTTTTGTATATCTGAGACTGAAATACATTTTTGTTGTCTTAGAATGTTAACTCAAATGGCCTTTTATATTTTTAAAAGTTAAATTAAAATAAAAAAGGAAATAGAACATAGGCAGTGTGATTCCAAAGCCAATGTATGATACAAATAATCTCCCCAAAAGAAAATTGTCACAACTTAACAGCCTCTGCTTAAAAAGTCTCAGAAGCTTGTGAGGCTAATAGGCAAGAACAAAACCTTAGTAATTAAATTGGTTAAACTTTTCTCAACTCAAAAAGGCTGAAGGTCTTTTCAACTCTAAAAGGTAAATTCAGTGTCCAGGGACCCTCAGCTGCTCCTAACTATTAAAACAAATAATGAATTATTAATGAAAGCTAACTACACATTTGTTAAAAACAGTTAATGAATTATCAATGAGAGCTAAATATCTTCCAGAAAGGGAGGAAAGACTAACTCATGAGAGCTAGTCTGCTGAACGAATGAAAAGTGGTCATTTAGAGAAGTGTTTGCTCAAGTGATTTTGAAATAGTCCCAAGTCCAAATGCAACTTTGAAGAGTCTGTTCTATGGATCTGGACAAAATAGAAAAGCAGAATGAAAAGAAAGCAAGTTCAGGCAATAGATGTTACAAATTAGAAATGTATCGTTAGGACTGGAAAACAAATCCACTTTTGCAGATACATTTATAACATAGGACAAAGTTTTTCACAAGTTTACATGCTTCCTTCCCCCATATATACTAAGGAGAAATTCTTAGTATTTAATATATATTGAAGGTGTTCAAAATCAGTATCAGAAATGCTCAGAAAATGCTGGAAAGATAATAAGAAACTCATAACAGAGGCTTCCCTGGAGAGAAGAACTACAGTATGTGGCTGCAGACAGGAAACAAGACCAAGGCCTATTCTCTCTGAAATGCATCTGCCTGGCCACATGAGCTGAGGCCTCACTGACCTCTACCTTTTCTTAATTTTGAGAGCAGTGTTAGTCTGAAGAACACTGCATTTGTTATACATTGCAGCATAACAAATTGCCACAAACCTAGAGCTTGAAACAGTGAACACTTGTTACCTCATACAGTTTCTGAGGGCTGGTAACTCCTGCTCAGAGTACAACAGAGGTTGCCATGAAGATGCTGGCTGGGGCTAAGGCCTTCTGAAGGTTACCTGTTCTGCAGGATCCTTTTCCAAGTTCACTCATGTGGCTATTGGTTGTAGTTCTCACTTCCTTGCCTGCTGTTGGCCAGAGGTTTTAGTTTTTCACCCGTGAGCTTCTCTATAGGGCGGCTGACAACCCTGTATCTGACTTACATTCTAAGGGGAAAAAGAGAATGAGGGACCCAGATGGAGGCCACATATTCTTCTGTAATCTAATTTCAGAAGTGATGCACCATCACCCCGTCATGTCCTATCAGTCGCGTAGACCAACGCTGGTACAATGTGAAGGGCATAACACAGGATATGAATACCAGGAGGTGGGATTATTGGGGACCATGTTGGAAGGTGCCTCCCACAAATGCCATCTGACACTTAGAACTCTTTACTAATCTCCCCCGTTTGGGTTCTGAAAAACGCTTTTTAAATTCTGTAACAACAGCAAAGGTCAAAAATTCTGTTAAAACAAAGTAAATTATTTTGGATTCTAAATTTACAATAAACAAAGGGTGGATGACTATATACCTCATAACTTAATAAAACCAAACCAAGAAGACACTGAAGGAATTAAATGGCTTCACATTTTTAAAGCACTTTTATCTTTTTCAAGACACTTTAAAATTGTCATTTTATCCACTCAACAATCGAAGAAATTGACACTTAGTGCTAATTGTTTCATCCTTCCTGGTTCCCATGACCCAGACACCTTACAAACTACCATTTTTGTTTAGACCATTGCCCTTGTCTATTTATATGACTCAAGAAATAATCTTCTTATTCCTCTTATCCACATAAACTCAAAACCTCTTCTATTTGATTCTTATTCATGTTTCTCCTCTGAATAATTTTAAATCCTTGTTTTTGTTTATTTTTCTTTACCTTCTCAGATGATTTTGAACTTGAAATAAATTGAGGCCAACACTTTGTGTTGTTGATGAACAAAGAAAAGATCCTCCAGAGAAATTAAGTAAATTGCCTGAAATCACAAATAGTAGAGTCCAAAATGTTGCAACTATCATGTGGCTTCCTAATGATAAAATAATGATCTAATCTGAGTCTATATTTATCCAACAGAACTTTATTCTCTTAGAGCCACCAAGCTGTCTGTTAAAAGAATATGATAAAAATTAAGACAAATTATGAAACCACCTTTGCAAAAATTAAAATAGTGAGAAAATAATAGCAGTGAAAGAGATTTGATTTAACCAACCCCTGATCTTTCCTTTAGCCTTCAAACTGGCCTTAATTATTCCTGGGCTTGGGCCAAGATAACTCTGGGAGACATTTAGTTTATATTTTAAATGATAATAGCCCTTCTCCAAAACTCAACAGCCTTTGTAAAGTTAATGACAGACTACCAGGCTAGGAGGATGAGAGAAGCCTGAATTTTGCTAAGGTGTAGACGTAAACTATTGCCAGCCATTATTTGGGAGGTCACAAGCTACACAACTTCCCTGATTACTCCTGCAGATAACATCACAATTGCAGAACCTAAGATTGGTCTTTTGAGATGTCTTTTCAGGTTTTTTTGCATGTCTTACTACCAATGGCTCCACCTGGACCTGCCAACCATGGCTCCATTTGGACCCGTCTACTGCTCCTGTGGCCCCACCAGAGGTGACTCAGTGCACATAAGGACCATTTCCACAGCTCTATGATTGTACCCCCAACCAATCAGCAGTAAGCACCCATTGCCAAGCCACCCCCCACTTCCCCCAAACTATCCTTGAAAATCCCTATCCTCTGAATTTTCAGGGAAGCTGATTTGAGTAATAATAGAACTCCAGTCTCTTGTTTAGCTATATATGTGTAAAATATTTTATTGCATTTCCCCTGCCTTGATAATTTGGGTCTATCTGGGCAGCAGGCAAGAAGAATCCACTGAGCAGTTGCATTTACCCTATCAAAAAATAATACCACTATCTAATATTGATTGAATGACCATCCTTTACCAGGTAGTTTATTACATGCACTAGCTAATTTAACTTTCACAAGAATGTTATCAGACGAGCAATTTTTATTATCTCATTTTTCAGATGAAGAAACTGAGGCGCAGAAGAATTGTCTCTTGTCCAAACTCATGCAGCTGCTAGGAGGTATCTGTAGGACCTGAGCCTTCCACCCATGTGTCTTCCACCAATATCCACATTAAAAGGATGAAGCATGAGCTAGCTTTTGCTTCCTACCAAAAGGATTAAATAAACCCAAAGTGGACCATTTGGAGGCATACATGTTGTCTCCAGTGTGGAATGAGAGGTAAAGGAAATGTTTATAGTATAACACAGATAATTACTTTGTTTGGGTGATGGAGATTGTGGAGGAAAAACAATTCATGGATGAGAGGCAACATATTTTCTTTCACAAAAAAACAAGTGAGAGAGTCAGGATGGAGAGAAGATAGCAGCTGTGTCTCAGATGAGAGTGGCGTTTCTATAAAAGGGTTATTAATGAAGTCACTTAGGCTGGGTTCTGGCTGAAGGAGTGAGCATTCCCCCTACCTCCACCCTAAACACCATGTTGGGATTTTTTGTTTGTTTGTTTTTTTAATGCCCCTGAGTTTTATAAGGTGTGTGCACACACAATAAGAAAGGGATATTTTTTAGGGAGAATTGATTTATATGTACAATTTGCAATGGTAATGATACACCATCACTTCTGCAGTATAAATGTAAATGTGCCTGCATGTATTCTAGACTACATAAATTACCCTTTCCTATTATCTTAATGCTGACTCAAATGTAAACTCATGAGGGGAGCTGGAATGTGAGCTCATGACTTATCCATATATTTGACTAACCACTGTACTTGCAACTCCTCGAGAACGGTTGAGCACATATATGTGTTCAATAATGTTTTAAGTAATGACTTTATAATTGGATTCTAAGAAGGGATTGGCTGTGATTCTGCTTGACTTGAACAGCAGATAATTCTGACAGTGTTTAGAAATGATGGCTGGGCTGGCACAACTAAGCTGGTGATCAGGGCAACCTCATTGGAAAAGTACATCTCGTAATAGTAATTTAGTCTGATTTATGTGCTTTCCGCTTTTCAGAAGACATTACTAGCTTTTTGTCTCAGTTGATTTGGCAACAACTCTATAAGAACAGTATTATCTTACTTACTGGGTGGATAAATAAACTAAGGCATAGTAGGCTTGAGGGATTAGCCTAAACTCATAGAACTGGTAAATTGCATAACTTGGATAAAAAACAGGGCTTCTAACCCCTGCCCTTCCCACAACCCACTATAGTGATGTAATTTAATGAAATAATAGAATACCAACACCAGAAAAAGCACAAACAAGGAATTCGTGGATCTTTATAGTCATGTTGTTGGATTAGAACCAAAAGAATAAAGCACTAGGACACATTTGCTCTTCAGAAGCACAGTGAAATAAGCACAGTGAAAAAAAGAGGGTAAAGAAAAAGCCACCAAGATTAAACTAAAGAACACATTTGGTAATTCAAACCCTGGCATGAATGGTGGGGGGACTGAAAAAAACAAACCTTGCAAAATATGATGAGAACTCTCAGGAGGTAACTCATAAACACATAAAATGAATCTGCAAGTGAAGAATTTATGAGTAGCTATGCCAGTGTCTCAGCATTAGATCTTTCTGTAAATAATAAAAACATCTTGTGTGTGAAACTATCAGCCAAATTGTGTGTGGAGTAAGGGAAAAGGAAGAGACAAAACAAATAGACTCTTCAGGGGAGATAAAACGGGAGAAGATTGAAGTAACAGCTTTTAAAAGCATGTACCCTAGATAATCCTTCTGTTTTCCCCAAATGAAGCCCCTTCACCCTCTGACTTTGAAGGAATTCTTATCAGTAAGCACTTTGGGAAATGAATTCTTCTGACTGCAACTTCCTAAGAGAGGTGAAGCCACATGGTTGACAAAAATACTGTCTGACTTCCACTGAGACCAACAGGAAGGTGCTGGAAGCACATATTGCATTTTTCTTTAGCTCTCCAACCTGGATGAGAAATAATTATTTTCAATTTACATTTATGAAGGAACCTTTCAGGGAAAATCAACCATAGCATTGCAACATATTATTCTATTTTGTTTGCCATGCTCCATCTACTCTTGCATGTATTCATTAATTCAACAAATATTTATTGAGTGCCTATTATGTAGGCAATTAGGAATTAATGAACACAACAGACAAACACATGTTCTCATTAAGTGGGTGGAGATAGACATCTATAGAGCAAAATTTGGTAATAATATAAGCCACTTTTTTTTGCATGTATTTAATCTTTATCAGAATCATCTCTGTCTGACTCATTGTTTTGGTGCTTCTCAAATATTGCCATGCTTCCTGTCCCTTTCACCACTATCAAACAGCAGGTTCCTTCTTCTTCATTCCCATATGGCCTGATCTTTGAAATCTCGTAGGAAGTTTGTTGCATATGCCACTCAATTTGCATTCCTAGGGCTAATATTGGTCTGAAATTTAGCCAGTGATGAACTTGAGCCACACCTCTACGCTATAAAGGGACTTCTTTTCTTAAGCGGAATCTATACTCATGATTAGGTGATGTGCTCATTGTGTGCAGTTCTATACAGGATCAAGTACTCAGCATCTTTTTTTTTAATGGGGTAAATTCTAAAAAAACAAGACTAAGACTTGGACATGATGGCATCTAGGAAGTAGAATTCCAGGTGGGAACAGAGGTGGCTCACTGTTTCTCTTGTTACAAGAATTATAAACACTTGATTTATTTTCTCTTATTTCAAAAACAAAAAAATATTTTTAAAATTTACAGTAGACTATTTCAGACAAACAAAAGGAATAAAGATTTACATGGTATAATGGATATCTTCCAACAAACTTAAAAAATATTATTAATCCACTTTCCTTATATAATTATACAAAATTTATCTTTTAAAAAATTGATGGTTATGTAGGTCATTTCCAACTTTTTTGCTATTACAATGTTATAATAAAGATTATAGTTTATTTTCCTTTCCACAGATGTGAAAAATCTCTAGCTTACATCTGTCTATTAAAAATTACAACTTCCTGAACCTTACACACCAGTCTAGCTACTGCTTTTCCTTCTCACTTATAGGCAGCTCCTTTAATAGACTACAATTGTTGTCTACATTTTCTTATCATTCATTAGCTTTTCAGTCCTCTCATATTAGGTTTGCACAATCAATACTCCACAAAAAGCTATTTTCAATGACTTACTTGCCAACATGAAAAGACATATTATTTGACATTATCATACTTGATCACTTTTAGACTTTTAGGTTTTATATGATTAGCCTCCCTTCATGCCATAAGGGTGTTTTTCCTTGACCCGACCTTATTTTAATTCTGTTCTATCTAATTTCTCTATATCCATCTCCTTTACTAGCTTGTCTCCCTCCACACAGCTTTTTCATTGGGGATGACAATTAAGAGATTCAAATATATGGCACAGCTGATCTCCATCTCTCTCCCTTTCCCCTACAACTGATCCAGAGGCTAGATGTAGAATGAGAATTCTTCACAATAAAATGATCTGGGCAGCTATCACCAATTGACATAAGGTGCACCAGATATTGTTCTTCCCCAGAATTTTGTCCTGTGCCAATCTTCACTTCTCACACCCTCATCTACATACTTTTCATCATGCTTTCATGCACAGGAAAAGAGATCTTCCCCAAGAAATACATGGAGAAGTTATAAACATTTCTGCTGTCATGATAATGGATGAGATCATTAAGGGAAGGAAGACTAGAGAGAAGACAATGCTATTGTTTTTGAGAACCCACTACAAATGCAAGACCAGACAAAGAATACACATGTTATCTTTGAAACTTATAGAAAATTCACCCATCTGGATATCTGAAAAAAATCGCCATGTGTGCTATATTGAATACCTATGCAACTGCTTCTTAGCAACACCTAAGAAATGCCACCTCCCCTCCCCTCGTCTTCATCCTAATTGCAATGACCAAAGCTAAGTTCATACATCATGGCCCTCACCTCTCTCATTACAACTGAATGGTTCAGGGATGGGCACTTGACCCAAGATGAGCTAATTGGGTAATAAGTTTCTTACTCAAAGTTTGCTGAGTGAAGGAATTTTTGATTGGCTGCCTACCTTTTGTCAGTGAGTAAAGGAAAAACTGAACTCACTGGTAAGAATCGACATAAGGTGACCTCTATGACTCTCGATTCTATGAATTCTTCTTTCAGCATTGTAAAAAGTATCAGAATATTTGACTCACTCAAATTTGTCTGTCAGAATACCTTGATGTTTATATGGGTGGCTTTAATGCGTCTGGACCCATCCAGTCAGCATTCTATTATTAGGTCCATGAGGTCACTTTTTAGATCCAGGACAATTCCTAGGGATTTATTTTCCTCTCTGAAGTCTCACCTCAGAGACAGCCTGATTTCCTATTGTCCTTAATACTGATATGAGCCATTCTATCCCTTGGGATTCTTATCCCTACTTTATTCTGGAATATTGGGTATAGACACACTTACCAGAACTCCTCATTTCTTTTCTCCCTTGAAAAAAAATACAACATATTCAGGCAGAAATAATTCCATGAAACCAACAATTTAAGGGATTACTGCTTGTCATGTTTTGCTCTTTGTATCAGTATCAGAAGCAGGTCAAATCACCTATAATGATGCCTAGAGGGATTCTTCAGCTCAAAACATTTGAATACAACAAAAATAAAGCTCTAGATTTTCTATCTTTATAGTTAATTTATGCTGAATAACTATATTCTTCACAGAACCAATGTCATTTGATATTAATTTCTATTTCCTTCTCATATAAGAAAATGGTTTAAAAAACAATTATTAAGAAAATTGTCCCTGTAATTTTTGGATTCAGTTTTTCCTCCAAGTTTTATTGATCTTTTGAGTTCCCAATATTCTCTTCCCAGCAGTCTGAACCAGCATGTTGTTCCTTATTTCAGCCTTTGTAATCACTTACAAAATGTTCTTAAGTTTTTGCTTATGCACTAATTCAAAAGTATATTCTTTTTGTGAAAAGAGTACAGCTTGTGGTTCCTCCTGAGCCCTTTGGGCAGAACTAGAAGCTGAACTATTTTTAAGGAGAGCATCATTAGACATTCTCTTTGAGCAGAAGGTCAGGACTGTGATGGTCAGAATTTAGTTGAAGCCACTGTAGTACAGGCTACAATACAAGCTACACCAGTCCACAGGCCTTTTGCTTTTAACAGGTTTTCATACTAATCACTGTGGAGAAGTAGAAGAAAGCAAGGTCTCAAAGATTAAGAAGTTACAAAACTAATCCACTTTACAAAACTCTTATAGCTATAGTTAATTATTTTTTATCCCACGCACATTGGTAGCTAGAAATTGCCCTTTAACTTCTGCTGCCTTCTTTTATTCTTGAGGGCAGATCTCACTAAATACTATTCCTTCCCATTGACTCCCATTAAATGAAAGTACACATCTAATTAGAGAAGAACTGGCATAAGTCAGCTCACGAGCTGTTGTTTAAATGAGTTATTTGCATTTTTGAGACTCTCCAGAGGGGTGAAACCTATTTCAGTGATCCATCTGGGCTCTTGCTGTAGTTTCTTAGAGTATCTGGGTTTTATTTGACAACCTAGAGAATAGTTTAGCACGGTACTTATTACAAGCTTTCACCTGAGCACTTTTAAACACAGAGGAGAATTAACTACTGTGTGGTAAGTCTATAGAAATAGCCCAAAGGAATACACACTCCCACACACAGGGGAACATACATTCATTCATCAATTCAAGGAGTTCTTCTTCCATAAAGAGAACTATATTTTTGGATCAAGTCTCTCCATAAATGTTCCCTAATCTGATTTGTGTCCTAATATAAAAGACAGTGAGATGGAATACATGAAGAACCTGAGCCTTATGTTAGATGGTCTTAGATTCAATTCATGGCCCAATAATTTGCTACCTATGTGGCCTTGGACAGGCAGAGTGAATTGCCTAGCCTTGATCTTCTCAATCTGATGATCTCATGGAGATTATAATAATATCTTATTCCATTGGGTTATTATGAAGATTAAATCAGTGATAAAATATGGGATTATGCCTAAGATACAGTCTGGCATGTTTTAGGAACTCAATAAATATTAGATTCTCCTCCTTGCATTTTTTTTCTCAGAACTTTAGAAACCAGAGGTAAGAACATCACAAAATAACAGATGACTCTGCTTACTCCAATATGTGCCAAGAAGCAAAAATGCCCAAGTGAACAATCTTATTTAGTAAGATACTGAAAGGAGATTCACCGTTCGATTAATGCAGCATGGATTTGTAAATACCCAGTTTACGCTCTTCTTTGGTCACTATCAAGTAAGAATGACATCACTCTTCACTTTGAACAATTGGGGGATATTTGGTTCACAGCTTTTAGACAAACCAGTATCTTTCCCTGAGGTCATTTTATGAAGAAAAACTTTAAAAAATAAAATATTTTTACTTTCAAAAACCATAGAAAGATATACATCTTATATGTGTGTGTATTTCTGTGTTTGTTGAGTGTATATTATATAAGTGTATATATGTGTGTGTGTGTTTGTGTATACACACACACACACACAGAGTTGACACTTTAGCAATGTAGGGCTTATGGGTGGCAACCCTCGTGTGGTCAAAAATTTGTGTATTACTTTTGATTCCCCGAAGACTTAACTACTAATAGCCTGCTGTTACTGGAAGCCCTATCAATAACATTAACAGTTGATTAATATACATTTTTATTCTGTGTATATTATATACTACAGTCTTACAATAAAGTAAGCTAGGGAAAAGAAAATGTTATAGAAAATCATATGGAAGAGAAAATATATTTACTATTTCTTAAGTAGAAGTGGATCATCGTAAAGGTCTTTATCCTCTTCATCTTCACGTTTAGTAGACTGAGGAGGAGGAGGGGTTGATTTTGCTGTCTCTGATGGAAGAGGTGGAGGAGGTAGAAGGGAAAGCAGGAGAGGCAGGCACAAATTGTGTAAATTTATGGAAATATATTGTATTTTCTCTTACTTTTTGCTTCTTCATTTTCCTAAAAATGTTTCTACATGGTATCAATCCTTCTTCAACTGTTTGCTTTAGTTTCAGTGTCTGTGTCCTAGAAGGGTCCTTGTTGTAAAAGAAGTCAAAAGCCCTCTTGAATAATTGGACCCCTTCTGCTAGATTGTCTAATGTCAGTTTGTTTTCTGGCACTGCATCTTCTACATCTTCCTAATCATCTGGCACTTGTTCAGAAGCACTCATCTCCATCAACTCATCTTTTGTTAATTCCTCTGGTGTTAAGTGTATTAGCTCCTTAATTTCTCCAATATCCATATCTTGAAACCCTTTACCCCCTACCTTTTTGGCCATATCCACAATCTCTTTTATGGTTTCCTTGATTGGCTCTGTTATAAATCTGCTAAAGTCATGTACGACATCAAGAAACAGTTTTCTTCAGCAGAAATTTATTGTTTTATTTATTGACTTGATGGTTTTCATAGCTTTTTCTATAACAATGATGGCATCGGTGGGGGGGAGCCAAGATGGAGGAATAGGAACAGCTCCCGTCTACAGCTCCCAGCGTGAGCGACGCAGAAGACGGGTGATTTCTGCATTTCCATCTGAGGTACCGGGTTCATCTCACTAGGGAGTGCCAGACAGTGGGTGCAGGACAGTGGGTGCAGCGCACCGCGCGAACCGAAGCAGGGCGAGGCATTGCCTCGCTCTGGAAGTGCAAGGGGTCAGGGAGTTCCCTTTCCTAGTCAAAGAAAGGGGTGACAGACGGCACCTGGAAAATCGGGTCACTCCCACCCCAATACTGCGCTTTCCGATGGGCTGAAAAAACAGTGCACCAGGAGATTATATCCTCACCTGGCTGGGAGGGTCCTACGCCCACGGAGTCTCGCTGATTGCTAGCACAGCAGTCTGAGATCAAGCTGCAAGGCGGCAGCGAGGCTGGGGGAGGGGCGCCCGCCATTGCCCAGGCTTGCTTAGGTAAACAAAGCAGCTGGGAAGCTCGAACTGGATGGAGCCCACCACAGCTCAAGGAGGCCTGCCTGCCTCTGTAGGCTCCACCTCAGGGGACAGGGCATAGACAAACAAAAAGACAGCAGTAACCACTGCAGACATAAATGTCCCTGTCTGACAGCTTTGAAGAGAGCAGTGGTTCTCCCAGCATGCAGCTGGAGATCTGAGAATGGGCAGACTGCCTCCTCGCTTTGAAGAGAGCAGTGGTTCTCCCAGCATGCAGCTGGAGATCTGAGAACGGGCAGACTGCCTCCTCAAGTGGGTCCCTGACCCCTGACCCCCGAGCAGCCTAACTGGGAGGCACCCCCCAGTAGGGGCAGACTGACACCTCACACGGCCGGGTACTCCTCTGAGACAAAACTTCCAGAGGAACAATCAGACAGCAGCATTCGCGGTTCATGAAAATCCGCTGTTCTGCAGCCACTGCTGCTGGTACCCAGGCAAACAGGGTCTGGAGTAGACCTCTAGCAAACTCCAACACACCTGCAGCTGAGGGTCCTGTCTGTTAGAAGGAAAACTAACAAACAGAAAAGACATCCACACCAAAAACCGATCTGTACATCACCATCATCAAAGACCAAAAGTAGATAAAACCACAAAGATGGGGAAAAAACAGAGCAGAAAAACAGGAAACTCTAAAAAGCAGAGCACCTCTCCTCCTCCAAAGGAACACAGCTCCCCACCAGCGATGGAACAAAGCTGGATGGAGAATGACTTTGATGAGTTGAGAGAAGAAGGCTGCAGACGATCAAACTACTCCGAGCTACAGGAGGAAATTCAAACCAAAGGCAAAGAAGTTGAAAACTTTGGAAAAAATTTAGACGAATGTATAACTAGAATAAGCAATACAGAGAAGTGCTTAAAGGAGCTGATGGAGCTGAAAGTCAAGGCTCGAGAACTACCTGAAGAATGCAGAAGGCTCAGGAGCTGACGCAATCAACTGGAAGAAAGGGTGTCAGTGATGGAAGATGAAATGAATGAAATGAAGTGAGAAGGGAAGTTTAGAGAAAAAAGAATAAAAAGAAACAAACAAAGACTCCAAGAAATGTGGGACTATATGAAAAGACCAAATCTACGTCTGATTGGTGTACCTGAAAGTGACGGGGAGAAGGGAACCAAGTTGGAAAACATTCTGCAGGATATTATCCAGGAGAACTTCCCCAATCTAGCAAGGCAGGCCAACATTCAGATTCAGGAAATACAGAGAATGCCACAAAGATATTCCTCAAGAAGAGCAACTCCAAGACACATAATTGTCAGATTCACCAAAGTGGAAATGAAGGAAAAAATGTTAAGGGCAGCCAGATAGAAAGGTCGGGTTACCCACAAAGGGAAGCCCATCAGACTAACAGCGGACCTCTCGGCAGAAACTCTACAAGCCAGAAGAGAGTGGGGGCCAATATTCAACATTCTCAAAGAAAAGAATTTTCAACCCAGAATTTTATATCCAGCCAAACTAAGCTTCATAAGTGAAGGAGAAATAAAATCCTTTACAGACAAGCAAATGCTGAGAGATTTTGTCACCACCAGGCCTGCCCTAAAAGAGCTCCTGAAGGAAGCACTAAACATGGAAAGGAATAACCGGTACCAGCCACTGCAAAATCATGCCAAATTGTAAAGACCACCAAGGCTAGGAAGAAACTGCATCAACTAACGAGCAAAATAACCAGCTAACATCATAATGACAGGATCAAATTCACACATAACAATATTAACTTTAAATGTAAATGGACTAAATGCTCCAGTTAAAAGACACAGACTGGTAAATTGGATAAAGAGTCAAGACCCATCAGTGTGCTGTATTCAGGAAACCCATCTCACATGCAGAGACACATATAGGCTCAAAATAAAAGGATGGAGGAAGATCTACCAAGCAAATGGAAAACAAAAAAATGCAGGGGTTGCAATCCTAGTCTCTCATAAAACAGACTTTAAACCAACAAAGATCAAAAGAGACAAAGAAGGCCATTACTTAATGGTAAAGGGATCAATTCAACAAGAAGAGCTAACTATCCTATATATATATGCACCCAATAAAGGCACACCCAGATTCATAAAGCAAGTCCTGAGTGACCTACAAAGAGACTTAGACTCCCACACAATAATAATGGGAGACTTTAACACCCCACTGTCAACTTTAGACAGATCAACGAGACAGAAAGTTAACAAGGATACCCAGGAATTGAACTCAGCTCTGCACCAAGCGGACCTAATAGACATCTACAGAACTCTCCACCCCAAATCAATACAATATACATTTTTTTCAGCACCACACCACACCTATTCCAACATTGACCACACACTTGGAAGTAAAGCTCTCCTCAGCAAATGTAAAAGATTAGAAATTATAACAAACTGTCTCTCAGACCACAGTGCAATCAAACTAGAACTCAGGATTAAGAAACTCACTCAAAACTGCTCAACTACATGGAAACTGAACAACCTGCTCCTGAATGACTACTGGGTAAATAAGTAAATGGAGGCAGAAAGAAAGATGTTCTTTGAAACCAATGAGAACAAAGACACAACATACCAGAATCTCTGGGACACATTTAAAGCAGTGTGTAGAGGGAAATGTATAGCACTAAATGCCCACAAGAGAAAGCAGGGAAGATCCAAAATTGACACCCTAACATCACAATTAAAAGAACTAGAAAAGCAAGAGCAAACACATTCAAAAACTATCAGAAGGCAAGAAATAACTAAAATCAGAGCAGAACTGAAGGAAATAGAGACACAAAAAACCCTTCAAAAAATTAATGAATCCAGGAGCTGGTTTTTTGAAAGGATCAACAAAATTGATAGACTGCTAGCAAGACTAATAAAGAGGAAAAGAGAGAAGAATCAAATAGATGCAATAAAAAATGATAAAGGGGATATCACCACCGATCCCACAGAAATACAAACTACCATCAGAGAATACTACAAACACCTCTATGCAAATAAAGTAGAAAATCTAGAAGAAATGGATAAATTCCTCGACGCATACACTCTCCCAAGACTAACCCAGGAAGAAGTTGACTCTCTGAATAGACCAATAACAGGCTCTGAAATTGTGGCAATAATCAATAGCTTACCAACCAAAAAGAGTCCAGGACCAGAAGGATTCACAGCCGAATTCTACCAGAGGTACAAGGAGGAACTGGTACCATTCCTTCTGAAACTATTCCAATCAATAGAAAAAGAGGGAATCCTCCCTAACTCATTTTATGAGGCCAGCATCATCCTGATACCAAAGCAGGGCAGAGACACAACCAAAAAAGAGAATTTTAGACCAATATCCTTGATGAACATCAATGCAAAAATCCTCTATAAAATACTGGCAAACCGAATCCAGCAGCACATCAAAAAGCTTATCCACCATGATCAAGTGGGCTTCATCCCTGGGATGCAAGGCTGGTTCAACATACGCAAATCAATAAACGTAATCCAGCATATAAACAGAACCAAAGACAAAAACCACATGATTATCTCAATAGATGCAGAAAAGGCCTTTGACAAAATTCAACAACGCTTCATGCTAAAAACTCTCAATAAATTAGGTATTGATGGGACGTATCTCAAAATAATAAGAGCTATCTATGACAAACCCACAGCCAATATCATACTGAATGGGCAAAAACTGGAAGCATTCCCTTTGAAAACTGGCACAAGACAGGGATGCCCTCGCTCACCACTCCTATTCAACATAGTGTTGGAAGTTCTGGCTAGGGCAATTACACAGGAGAAGGAAATAAAAGGTATTCAATTAGGAAAAGAGGAAGTCAAATTGTCCCTGTTTGCAGATTACATGATTGTATATCTAGAAAACCCCATTGTCTCAGCCCAAAATCTCCTTAAGCTGATAAGCAACTTCAGCAAAGTCTCAGGATACAAAATCAATGAACAAAAATCACAAGCATTGTTATACACCAATAACAGACAAACAGAAAGCCAAATCATGAGTGAACTCCCATTCACAATTGCTTCAAAGAGAAAAAAATACCTAGGAATCCAACTTACAAGGGACATGAAGGACCTCTTCAAGGAGAACTACAAACCATTGCTCAATGAAATAAAAGAGGATACAAACAAATGGAAGAACATTCCATGCTCATGGGTAGGAAGAATCAATATCATGAAAATGGCCATACTGCCCAAGGTGATTTATAGATTCAACGCCATCCCCATCAAGCTACCAATGACTTTCTTCACAGAATTGGAAAAAACTACTTTAAAGTTCGCATGGAACCAAAAAAGAGCCTGCATCGCCAAGTTAATCCTAAGCCAAAAGAAGAAAGCTGGAGGCATCACGCTACCTGACTTCAAAGTATACTACAAGGCTACAGTAACCAAAACAGCATGGTACTGGTACCAAAACAGAGATATAGATCAATGGAACAGAATAGAGCCCTCAGAAATAACGCCACATATCTACAGCTATCTGATCTTTGACAAACCTGAGAAAAACAAGCAATGCTGAAAGGATTCCCTATTTAATAAATGGTGCTGGGAAAACTGGCTAGCCATATGTAGAAAGCTGAAACTGGATCCCTTCCTTACACCTTATACAAAAATTAACTCATGATGGATTAAAGACTTAAATGTTAGACCTAAAACCATGAAAACCCTAGAAGAAAACATAGGCATTACCATTCAGGACATAGGCATGGGCAAGGACTTCATGTCTAAAACACCAAAAGCAATGGCAACAAAAGCCAAAATTGACAAATGGGATCTAATTAAACTAAAGAGCTTCTGCACAGCAAAAGAAACTACCATCAGAGTGAACAGGCAACCTACAGAAGGAGAGAAAATTTTTGCAATCCACTCATCTGACAAAGGGCTAATATCCAGAATCTACAATGAACTCAAACAAATTTACAAGAAAAAAACAAACAACCCCATCAAAAAGTGGGCGAAGGACATGAACAGACACTTCTCAAAAGAATACATTTATGCAGCCAAAAAACACGTGAAAAAATGCTCACCATCACTGGCCATCAGAGAAATGCAAATCAAAACCACAATGAGATACCATCTCACACCAGTTAGAATGGCAATCATTAAAAAGACAGGAAACAACAGGTGCTGGAGAGGATGTGGAGAAATAGGAACACTTTTACACTGTTGGCGGGACTGTAAACTAGTTCAACCATTGTGGAAGTCAGTGTGGCGATTCCTCAGGGATCTAGAACTAGAAATACCATTTGACCCAGCCATCCCATTACTGGTTATATACCCAAAGGATTATAAATCATGCTGCTATAAAGACACATGCACACATATGTTTATTGCGGCACTATTCACAATAGCAAAGACTTGGAACCAACCCAAATGTCCAACAATGATAGACTGGATTAAGAAAATGTGGCACATATACACCATGGAATACTATGCAGCCATAAAAAATGATGAGTTCATGTCCTTTGTAGGGACATGGATGAAATTGGAAATCATCATTCTCAGTAAACTATCGCAAGAACAAAAAACCAAACACTGCATATTCTCACTCATAGGTGGGAATTGAACAATGAGAACACATGGACACAGGAAGGGGAACATCACACTCTGGGGCCTGTTGTGGGGTGGGGGGAGTGGGGAGGGATAGCTTTAGGAGATATACCTAATGCTAAATGACGAGTTAATGGGTGCAGCACAGCAGCATGGCACATGTATACATATGTAACTAACCTGCACGTTGTGCACATGTACCCTAAAACTTAAATAATAATAAAATAAAAAAATTAAAAAAATTAAAAAAAAATGATGGCATCTTTAATGGTTTAATCCTTCCAGACTTTTATGACATTCTCTCTACTGGGGATCTCTTCAATAGTGTTGACAATCCTTTCCATAAAGTATCACGTGTAATGAGTGAGCCTTAAAGGTCCTTATGGCCCCTGATCTTGAGGCTGAATTACAGACATTGGTTTTGAGGGCAAGTAGACCACTTCCACACCTGTGCTGTTGACCTTATGACATTCTGAGTGGCCAGGGGGGCATTGTCCAATATCAAAAAATCTTTAAAAGGCAGTCTCTTACTGGCAAAGTGCTTCCTGACTTCAGGGACAAAGCATCAATGGAACTAATCCAGAAAAAGGGTTCTCACTATCCAGGCCTTCTTGTTGCCCATAAAAAAAACTTGCAGTTGGTGTTTATCTTTTCCCTTCAAGGCTTTTGGGTATGCAGCTTTATACATAAAGTCAGTCTTAATCATAAATATTATTGCATTTGCACAAAATAGTAGAGTTAGCATATCCCTTTCTGCCTTAAATCTTGGTGCTTGCTCCTTTTCCTTATTAATTTATGTCCTTTATGGCATTTATATCCAGAACAAAGCACTTCCATCTGCATTTAAACCCTGTTCATGCAGATATCCTTTCTTCTCAATGATTTTTGTAATGGTATCTGGGTACCTGCCTGCTGCCTCTTTTTCAGAAGAAGCTGCTTCTCCAGTTATCTGACATTTTTAAAGCCAAACTTTTTCTAAAATTATTAAACCATCCTTTGCTGTCATTAGATTCTCTAGCTTTAGATCCTTCATCTTCCATTTGCTTTAAATTGTCATATAGTGACGCCACTTTTTTCAAATCATATTAGTGTCTAGGTATGCTTTTCTGATACCAATCCCATACTTACATAAAAATGACAATTTCAATATGAGATAAAAATGTATTTCCCCAAAAGTACAACATTTTCATGCCTACTGGCATAGCTACAGCAAAGGCTTTATGAATTTATCTTTTTTTACAGTGATCCTTGTGCTGGATTCATTTATCTTGAATGGCAGCAAACCACAGCTTCAGACCTCAGTCTAAGGTACATATCAAGAAATTCAACCTTGTATTGTAATGTCATGACTTCTCTATGCTTCCTGGGAGTACTTCCAGCATCACCAATGACACTTTGTATGGTCCCTTGGTGTTCTTCAAAGTTTATGGTATTGCACTAACCATAATGAAAAATATGTGAGAACAGCAAGCAATCACTTTTTACTGATTCACAATTTGCTAGAGTGACTGCTCACACAGAGATGATTAGCATCACATGGCATTTTCAGTGGACACTTGCAACAGTTGAGCTCATTGCAGTAGCAACAGGAGGTAACTATAAAGTTATTAGGGTAGTGCAGTATGTACTTAATTTTGTGCAGTTATGATTTAATACTGTATCTTTCTGTTTATATTTCTCTTGACTGCTAGTGGCACCATGAATGGTCTATAAGTACTTTTAATGAATTTCAACTTTAGATAACAGTATTGTGTGCATTTTATGGTAGTAAATAGTAAAATAGACTAGTATCTACATATATTTTCTGCATTCATTACGTACTTAACTTTTTCTTATTTTTTTGTCAATATTTCTAGGGTAAGCAGTTCATCTGTAAGTTTTTTCAAATTGTTGCAAATCTCCATACAAATTTCTAGTATATTTATTGGAAAACATCCATGCATCAGTGGATCCACACAGTTCAAACCCATGTTGTTCAAGGATCAGCTGTATATCCGTTTGGATTTCTCTGTTTTTCCCTTCATCTTGGCTTACCCCTATAATACACATGAGGCTCACCACAACATTAAGATCAAAGTTGATCTCATAAATACTCCAGGCTTCATTTTCTTGCTAAGGACTGTGATTATACTACAGTAGCTCCTGTGCCCGCAAGCCAACTAATTAGTTAGTTCATGGCCAACAATTTTAGCAAGAAACAAGAAACTCCGAAATGCATTGACCACAGCTGCTAACACTGAGAATAAGGAGGACGCAGTTGGCAGGAAGACAAAATAAACAAACTGACCATAATTGGGGAAATGTTTTTAATCTCGAAAGATAGACTTCCCTAACTCATGGCAAAAGTTAATAGGGCAGCATACTAGGCAAAAATCCTTAGCAAAATTCATAACCAAGATGCCATCAGTTATATTGCAACTCCTCTGGCCAGAAGATGCCATAGATCCCTGCTTATTCAAGTGTGGCCTAAGGATTATCTTAATGAGACTCTCTTAGTTGACTTAAAAATGCAGATTATATGACCTAACACCAGCCCTACTGCATGAACACCTCTTATGGGTGGTTCTGAAGTATGCTGAAGTTTGAGGACCTCAGCAATGAATAGGTAACTAAACAATGACATTCAGATCTCATTTCTTTACCATTGACTTGCTTTGGCACTTTGTTCTGTGATATGCTTATCCAAGTCCTCTCAAAAATCAGAAGGTGCCCAAGTCACTTCCAGGTTTTGAGATCCCAGAATATTAAAAGTAATGATATCAAAACAGGGTTACAAAAATGAGGAAAATTGTGGTTGGTTTGATTTAAAATCAGTTAACACATTAATAGCACTTTCATACATTAGTAAAGCCATTTAATATCTGTCATAAAAATTAGATATCATTGGCAGTAGCAACAAGAATTATATATTACTCAGAAATAAGTTGAACAAAAGATGTGTAAAACTTGAATGGAGACAATTACAAATAACTTTTGAAGGGCAAAAAGAAAAAGATCTGAGTACATTGATAGATGGGATGGAAAAATTCATTATTGTAAATATGACAATACCCACCGAAATTAATTAATTAATTCAGTGCAATTTCTATCTGAATTTCAAGAAATTTTTGGGGGGGATTTTACCTAGTGATTTTAAAGGGATATAAAACAAAGACTTAAGACAACATAAAAAATAAAGTAGGAGTATATACTCTAACAGAGATCATAACTAAGTATTCTGCTTTAGTAACTGAAACAGTGTGATATTGGTTAAGGAAGAGGCAAATCGGTGAAAGGAATTGAATTAATTGTCCTTAAAAAGGCCCATGCATCTCTGGGAACTTACAAAAGTAGCATTGAAAGGCAGTGGAAAAACGATATAAAGATAAACTTGTCAACAAGTGCCTGTAGGACAATTACCTATCTATTTGGTAGAAAGATAGAAATAAAATTAGAGGATTGACAGCAAGATGACAGAATAGGAAGCCTCAGACTTTATTCTCCTACAGAGACACCAACTGAACAAAAATATACAGTCCAAAAAGTCTTTATGAGATCTTCAGATACCAGTTAGGAGGTAACAGTACCCCCAGGTAAGCTCAAAGCCAAGGACAGCCCTGTTGGAATGTGTAAGAGAAGCTGTTTGATTTCAACTGCATCATTCCTTTCTCCAAGCCACATGACTCAACACAATTAGGAGAAAAATTGTAATTCACACTTTCTTCTTTGGTGGAAAATAGAAGAGTTAAATAAGTTAAATTTGGTTATTTCAGGGTGTTGTCTGATAGACTGATTTCTACCTCACTTGACATGTATCTCTGATGGAGCTGACATATTTTAGGTGCCTGGGGTCATAGAGAACAAAAAAGAGCTCAGCAGTTTTTTGTAGCACCAGAAATCCTGCAGTACCCCAGACAAACACTAGATAAAGAAAGATGTTACAAGCTGAAAAAAGAAATTGACAAACCTTTCTAATTGGGAAGTTGGATACATAACCCCAGTGAAGACACATCCCCATAAAAGGGTTGAGAGGTTCCCAGATTCTCTAGCCAGGCTCATTGGTGAAGTTCTTATTCTATACAAAGCCAGCCCATATAACTGGGAGAGGTGGCTGTTTTTTCAAATGCACAAATCACACAAGAAAAATAACAAAGCACATGCATACACATACATGTATATGCACACACACACACACACGAATAAATATGGTCTAATCAAAGGAACAAAATAAAATTCCAGAAACCAACTCTAAAAAAATGGAGATCTGTCGGGCATGATGCCTCACGCCTGTAATCCCAACACTTTGGGAGGCCAAGGCGGGCGGATCATGAGGTCAGGAGTTTGAGACCAGCCTGGCCAACATGGTGAAATCCTGTCTCTACTAAAAATACAAAAGATTAGTGGGGTAGTGGAGCATGGTGGCAGGTGCCTGTAATCCCGCTACTCAGGAGACTGAGACAGGAGAATCACTTGAACTCGGGAGGCAGAAGTTGCAGTGAGGTGAGACCATGCCACTGTACTCCAGCCTGGGTAACAGAGCAAGACTCTGTCTCAAAAAAAAAGAAAAAAATGGAAATCTATAAATTACTGGATGAAGAATTCAAAATAACCATCTTAAAACATAATGCACTACAAGAGAATGAAGACAACCAAATAAAATCAATACAACCATGCATAAATGAAATCAGAATATCAACACAGAGACAGAAACTATTTTTAAAAACCCAGAAATTCTGGATCTGAAGAATACAGTAACTAAATTGAAAAAAAAATGTACCAGAGGGGTTCGATTGCAGACTTGATCAAGAAGAAGAAAGAATTAGCAAACTCAAAGACAGGTAATTTGAAATTATTGAGTTAGAGGAGCAAAGAGAAAAAAGAATGAAGGAAAGTAAAGAAAGCTGAAGAAACTTATGGAAAGTTTCCTATACAAAGCCAGCCCACAAAACTTCATATAGGATAAGCTTATGGAAACCTGAAGAAACTTACCATCAAGCAAACCAGTATATCTATTGTGGGAGTTCTGGATGCAGGGCATTGAGATAAACAAGTAGGGAACTCAGGTAAAGAAACAATGCTCCAAAATTTTTCGAATCTTGAAAATAAAGTGAACATTGAAATTCAAAAATCTGAAAGGACTCTAATGAATTCAGAGTCCCACATCAAGACAAACTATAACTGAAAAGTCAAACAAAAAAAACCTTGAAAGAATAATAATAATTTAAAAAAGCAACTCATCATATACAAAGAAGCAACCATAAGATTACCAGTTGCTTTCTCAGCCAAAATATTACAGGACACAAAGGAGTGCGATGATATGTTTAAAGTGCTGGGGAAAAAAACCCTGCCAACCAAACGTACTATATCTAGCAAAATTGTCCTTCAGAAATGAAGAAGAAATAAAGACTTTCCAATATGAAAGCTGAGAAAGTTCATCACCAATTGACCTGCCTCACAAGAATTGTTAAAGGGAATCCTTCAAGTTGACACAAAACAATGCTAGTCAACAACATAAGCATAAAAACATATAGGCCAGGCCTTGTGGCTGATGCCTGTAATCTCAGCACTTTGGGAGGCTGAGGTGGGTGGGTCATCTGAAGTCAGGAGTTCCAGACCAGCCTGGTCAACATGGTGAAACCCTGTCTCTACTAAAAATACAAAAATTAGCCAGGCATGGTGGCACACGCCTCTAATCCCAGCTACTTGGGAGGCTGAGGCAGGAGAATTGCTTGAACCTGGAAGGAAGAGGTTGCAGTGAGCTGAGATTGTGCCATTGCACTCCAGTCTGGGTGACAGAGAGAGATTTGGTCTCAAAAAAAAAAAAAAGACATATAAAAATATAAAGCTCTCTAGTAAATCTCTAGTAAAGGTAAATACATAAACAAAGACAGAATCCTGTAAAAAATGCAATGATGGCATATAAATCACTTTTAATTCAAGTATAGAGTTTAAAAGATTAAAACATAGAAATTATCTATAACTGTAAAACTGTGTTAATGGCTATGAAATATAAAAAGATGCAATTTGTGACATGCAATTTATGATAACATAAAATGTATGTTGTGGGGAAATGTAAGGGAGTAAAGTTTTTGTATGCAATTGGATAGATGTTTTATGCAATCCTCATGGTAAACACAAGGAAAATATCTATAGAAGATGCACAAAAGAAAATGAGAAAGGAATCAAAGCATATCACTACAAGAAACAATGAAACACAAAAGAAGGCAGCAAGAGAAGAACACATATATGAAGTAACTACAAGACATACAGAAAACAATTTTAAAAATAGCAATAGTAAGTTCTTTCATATCAGTAATCACTAAATGTAAATAGATTAAATTCCCCATTCAAAATACAAATGGAATAGTTGAATGGGTTAAAAAACAACAACAACAAGATTCAAATACATGCTGATTACAAGAGACTTACTTTAGACTTAAGGATATACATAGACTGATAGTGAAAGTATGGCAAAAGATATTCCATGAAAATGATAACCAAAGAGAGCAAGGTAGCCATACTTATGCCAGACAAGTAGACATTAACTCCAAAACTGTCACAAGAGACAAAAGACATTTTATAATGATAAAAGAGTCAATTTGCTAGGATGATATGAATATACATGAACTTAGCAACACACCATAATATTGTTACATGAAGCAAACACTGACAAAATTAAAAGTAGAAATAGAGAGTAGCACAGTAATAGTAAATTTTAATGCCCCACTTTCAATAATGGATAGAGCAGCAAGATAGAAAATCAATAAGGAAACCAAGGACTTGAAAAATACTATAGACTAATTGGACATGACAGGCATAAACAGAACACTCCACCCAACAACAGCAGAATATGTTCTTTTTTTTAACTTTTATTTTAATTTCAGGGGTACACGTACAGGTTTGTTATATAGGTAAACTTGTGCCATGAGACTTTGTTGTACAGATTATTTCATCACCCAGGTGTTAAGCCTGGTACCCATTAGTTACTTTTCCTGATCCTCTCCTCTTCCCACCTTCCATTCTCCAATAGGCCTCTGTGTGTGTTGTTCCCCTCTATGTGCCCATGTGTTCTCATCATTTAGCTCCCACTTATAAGTGAGAACATGCAGTATTTGGTTTTTTGGTCCTGTGTTAGTTTGCCGAGGATAACAGCCTCCAGCTCCATTCATGTCCCCCCCTGCAAAAGTCATGATCTTTCTTTTTTATGGCTGTATAGTATTCCATGGTATATATATAGAATATTTTCTTTTTCCAGTCTATCAATTTAGGTTGATTCCATGTCTTTACTACTGTGAATAGTGCTGCAATGAACACACACATGCATGTGTCTTCTTCATAATAGATCAATTTATATTCCTTTGGGTATATACCAAATAATGGGATTGCTGGGTTGAAAGGTAGTTCTGTCTTTAGGTCTTTGAGGAATCGCCACACTGTCTTCCATGATGGCTGAACTAATTTATACTTCCACCAACAGTGTATAAGCATTCTTTTTTATTCATGACCTCACCAGCATCTGTTATTTTTTGACTTTTTACTAATAGCCATTCTGACTGGTGTGAGATGGCATCTCATTATGGTTTTGATTTGCACATCTCAAATTGAGAGACAGGACCAGCTGGATTTCCTAGGCCAACTAAGAATTCCTAAGGCTAGCTGGGGAAGGTGACTGCACCCACCTTTAAACACGGGGCTTGTAACTCAGCTCACACCCAACCAATCAGGTAGTAAAGAGGGCTCACTAAAATATCAATTAGGCTAAAAGCAGGAGGTAAAGAAGTAGTCAAATCATCTATCATCTGAGAGCACAGGGGGAGGGACAATGATTGGGATATAAACCCCAGGCATCCGAGCTGGGAGTGGGCAACCCCCTTTGGGTCCCTTCCCATTGTATGGGAGCTCTGTTTTCACTATATTAAACCTTGCAACTGCACACTCTTCTGGTCCATGTTTGTTCTGGCTCGAGCTGAGCTTTCGCTCACTGTCCACCACTGCTGTTTGCCAGCGTTGCAGACCCGCTGTTGACTTCCACCCCTCTGGATCCAGCAAGGTGTCCGCTGCGTTTCTGATCCAGTGAGGCGCCCATACCACTCCCATTTGGGCTACAGGCTCGCCATTGTTCCTGCGTGGCTAAGTGCCCAGGTTCATCCTAATTGAGCTGAACACTAGTCGCTGGGTTCCACAGTTCTCTTCCGTGACCCACGGCTTCTAATAGAGCTACAACACTCACGACATGGCCCAAGGTTCCATTCCTTGGAATCCATGAGGCCACAAACCTCAGGTCAGAGAACAAAAGGCTTGCTGCCGTCTTGGGAGTGGCCACCACCATCTTGGGAGCAGACCATCACCATCTTGGGAGCTCTAAGAAAAAGGACCCACCCAGAACAAAATAATCAGTGATATTGAGCTTTTTTTCATATGATTCTTGGTGACATGTATGTCTTCAAAGTGTCTTTTCATATCCTTTGCCCACTTTTTAATGGGGTTGGTTAGTTCTTTATTTTCTTGTCAATTTAAGTTTCTTACAGATGCTGGATATTAGGCCTTTGTCAAATGCATAGTTTGCAAACATTTTCTCCCATTCTGTATGTTGCCTGTTTATTCTTTTGATAGTTTCTTTTGCTATGCAGGAGCTCTTTAGTTTAATTAGATCCCCTTTGTCAATTTTTGCTTTTGTTGCAATTGCTTTTGGTGTCTTCATAATGAAATCTTTGCCCATGCCCATTTCTTAGATGATATTGCCTAGGTTGTCTTCCAGGGCTTCTACAGTTTTGGATATTACATTTAAGTTTTTAATCCATCTTCAGTTAATTTTTGTATATGGTGTAAGGAAGGGACCCAGTTTCAGTCTTCTCCATATGGCTAGCCAGTTATCCCAGCACCACTTATTGAACAGGTAATCCTTTCTTTATTGCTTGTTTTTGTCAGGTTTGTTGAAGATTAGACAGCTGTAAGTGTGCAGCCTTATTTCGGAGTTCTCTTTTCTGTTTCATTGGTTGATGTGTCTGTTTTGTACCACTACCATGCTGTTTTGGTTACTGTAGTCCCGTACTATAGTTTGTAGTTTAGTAGCATGATGTCTCCAGCTTTGTTCTTTTTGCTTATGATTGCCTTGGCTATCCAGGTGTTTTTTTTGTTTGTTTGTTTGTTTGTTTTTTGGTCCATATGAATTTTAAAATAGTGTTTTCTAGTTCTCTGAAGAGTCTCAATGGTAGTTTAATGGGAATAGCATTTAATCTATACATTGCTTTGGGCAATAGGGCTTTTAACAATACTGCTTCTTCCTAACCATAAGCATGGAATGTTTTTCTGTTTGTTTATGTCATCTCTGACTTATTTGAGCAGTGTTTTGTAGTTCTCCTTGTAGAGATCTTTTATCTCCCTGGTTATATGCATTCCTAGGTATTTTATTCTTTTTGTCACAATTGCGAATGGGAGTTTGTTCCTGATTTGGCTCTTGGCTTGACTGTTTTTCATATATAAGAATAACAGTAGAGTACATTTTTAAGCTTACACAGAAGATTCTCCAGGCTTGCTATGGTCTGAATGTTTGTGTCCCAAAAATTTGTGTTGAAGCCCTAACTTTCAAGATGTTAGGGACTATTAGGTAATATTAGGAAGTGGGGCCTCTGGGAGGTGATATAAAGGATACAAATCCCTTACAAATGGGATTAGTACCCTTATAAATGGGATTAGTGCCCTTATAATAAAATATATCCCAGAGAGAGCACTCATCCCTTCTGCCACATAAGATTACAGTGAAAATATGGTCATCCAGGAAGTCAGCTGTAGCACAGCAAAGAAAACAGGCAAGAAGGTGAAAAGGCATCCCATGAATTGGGAGAAAATATTTGCCTTCCACATATCTTATAAGAAGTTTATACTCAAAATATGTAAGGGACTCACATAACTCAATAGTAAAACAAAACAAGACAAAACAAAAAACTTAATTAAAAAATGAGCAAAGGACTTAAATAGACATTTTTTCCAGAAAGGACATAAATATGGCCAAGAGGTATATGACAAAGTGCCCATTATCACTAATCATCAGGGAAATGCAAATGAAAACTGCAATGAACTATTACCTAACACTTGTTAGGAGGACTATTATGAAAAAGACAAAAGATAACAAGTAATGGCAAGGGTGTAGAGAAAGGGGAATGCTTGGACACTGTTGGTAGGAATGTAAATTAGTGTAGCCATCATAAAACAGTATGGAGGTGTGTCAAAAAATTAAAAATAGACTTACCATATGGCATAGCCATTTCTCTGTTTGGTATATAACCCAAAGAAATGAAATCAGCACCTCTTAGAGATATCTGTACTTATACATTCATTGAAACATTATTCATAATAGCCAAGATATGGAAACAACCTGAGTGGTGAATGAATGAATGAAGAAATTGTCAGACACACACACACACACACACACACACACACACACACACCTATGCATTTCATCTTGTTTCTTGTTTTCTTTGCTCTGCTAGGGTCACCTTCCTAGATGGTCACATTTTCACTGTAATGTCATGTGGCAGAAAGGATGAGTGATCTCTCTGGGATATCTTTTACAAGGGTACTAATCACACACACATACAATCATTTTATATATATATATAAAATTCCTATATTTTTATAAAATAAAGTTTTATTCAGCCTTACAAAAGGAGTACTGCCAATTCCAACAACATAGATGAGTTAGGAGAACATTATGCTACATGAAATAAGCCAGACATGGAAACAAAAATACTCTATGATGTCACTTATATGGAGAGTCAAAGAAAATAAGTTAAATCTATAGGAACAGATAGTAGAACAGTGATTACCAGGTGCAAGGGGGGAAGGAAATAGGAAGAAGTAGGTCAAAGGGTACAAAGTTGCAGTTATGTAGGATGAGTAAGTCTAGAGAGGTAATGTACAGCACGAGGACTATAGTTAATAGTATTGTATTGTACACTGAAAATTTGCTAAGAGTAGATTTTAGGTGCTCCTCCCACAGCAAAAGTAACTATGGAAGGTGATGAACATGTTAATTTGACAGTAGCAATCATTTCACTATGTAAATGTATAACAAAACATCATATTGTACACCTTAAATATATAATAAAATAATTTAAAGACAAAACAAAATCTATCACATGTATTAGAGTGAAGTCACTTCATCAAAATAAAACAAAAACACAAAACCTAAATGTACATCAACAGATGAAAGGGTAAAGAAACTGATACATATCTACAATAAAATATCATTCAGCCCTATAAAAGGAGAAAGTCCTATCATATGCTACAACATGGATGAGTCTTGAAGACATTACGCTAAGTTAATACGCCAGTTACAAAAAAAGTCCTCTTCAGCACCTGTTGTTTCCTGACTTTTTAATGATTGCCATTCTAACTGGTGTGAGGTGGTATCTCATTGTGGTTTTGATTTGCATTTCTCTGATGGCCAGTGATGATGAGCATTTTTTCATGTGTCTTTTGCCTGCATAAATGTCTTCTTTTGAGAAGTGTCTGTTCATATCCTTCGCCCACTTTTTGATGGGGTTTTTTTTTTTCTTGTAAACTTGTTGGAGTTCATTGTAGATTCTGGATATTAGCCCTTTGTCAGATGAGTAGATTGCAAAAATTTTCTCCCATTCTGTAGGTTGCCTGTTCACTCTGATGGTAGTTTCTTTTGCTGTGCAGAAGTTCTTTAGTTTAATTAGATCCCATTTGTCAATTTTGGCTTTTGTTGCCATTACTTTTGGTGTTTCAGACATGAAATGCTTGCTCATGCCTATGTCCTGAATGGTATTGCCTAGGTTTTCTTCTAGGGTTTTTATGGTTTCAGGTCTAACATTTAAGTCTTTAATCCATCTTGAATTAATTTTTGTATAAGGTGTAAGGAAGGGATCCAGTTTCAATGAATCATGCTGCTATAAAGACACATGCACACGTAAGTTTATTGAGGCACTATTCACAATAGCAAAGACTTGGAACCAACCCAAATGTCCAACAATGATAGACTGGATTAAGAAAATGTGGCACATATACACCATGGAATACTATGCAGCTGTAAAAAATGATGAGTTCATGTCCTTTGCAGGGGCATGGATGAAGCTGGAAACCATCATTGTCAGCAAACTATCGCAAGGACAAAAAACCAAACACCGCATGTTCTCACTCATAGGTGGGAATTGAACAATGAGAACACATGGACACAGGAAGGGGAACATCACACACCGGGGCCTGTTGTGGGGTCGGGGGAGAGGGGAGGGATAGCATTTAGAGATATACCTCATGTTAAATGACGAGTTACTGGGTGCAGCACACCAACATGGCACATGTATACATAAGTAACAAACCTGCACGTTGTGCACATGTACCCTAAAACTTAAAGTATAATAAAAATATTTAAAAAAACAGTATAGAGGTTCCTAAAAAATTAAAAATAGAACTACTATATGGCCTAGTAATTAAAATAATTAAAAATAATTATTACAGTAAATTTTAAATTATGTGTTTTCTACCACAGCAAAAATAAATAAAATTAGGTATCATGAATAAAAAATTATTTTGTATTTTAAATATTTACTTTGAGTAATTTAATGCTTTGGCACATGCATGCATGTAAACTTTATCTCTGTCTTTCTGTTCTCCCTGTTTTTGTTTATCTTTCTGTCTGACTCTGTATAATATCCATTCAAAATTTTAATGGTGAGATACCATCTTACACCAGTCAGAATGGCTACTATTAAAAAGTCAAAAAATAACAGATGCTGGTGAGGTTGCAGAGAAAAGGGAACACTTGTACACTGTTGGTGGGAATGTAAATTATTTCAACCATTATGGAAAGCAGTACGGTGATTTTTCAAAGAGCTAAAAGTAGAACTACCATTTGACCCAGCAATCTCATTGCTACGTATATACCTGGAGGAATATAAATCATTCTACCATAAAGACACATGCACATGAGTGTTCAATGCAAAACTGTTCACAATAGCAAAGACGAAAGTCAACCTAAATGCCCATCAGTGACAAATTGGGTAAACAGAATGTGGTACATATACACCATAGAATACCAAGCAGCCATAAAAACAAACGAGTTCGTGTCTTTTGTGGGAACATGGATGGATCTGGACACTATTATCCTTAGCAAACAAACACAGAAACAGAAAACCAAATACCACATGTTCTCACTTATAAGTAGGACCTGAACGATGAGAACTATGAACACAAAGAAGGAAACAACAGGCACTGAGGTCTACTTGAGGGTGGAGGTTGGGAGGAGGGAGCGGAGCAGAAAAGATAGCTATTGGGTACTGGGTTTAATACCTGGGTGATGAAATAGTATGTACAACCCCCCCGTGACACAGGTTTACCTAGGTAACAAACCTTCACATGTATCCCCAAACCAAAAATAAAAGTTAAAAACAAATAACAAAAACATTTTAATGGTGCAAAAATCATAAACCAGCTTTGTAGAACTGCCCCACTTTCTTCATCCCCCTACCGATGGACTTGACATTTCAGTGTAGCAACTGTTTTTGCTTCTCTGGGGGAGATATATGTCTGTGTTACAGAAATCTGTTAAAAAACTATTAGTGTTAGTAAGAGTGAAGCACTTTGGCATCAATAATTTAGCCATTCAGGCTTTCAATATTGCTTGAGAAAAATAGACTTGACCTTTGTCCAAGGACTGCTGATTCAGACTTTTTAATGACTTCTCATTTATTTCATTCCCAATGCAATTCCATGACTATGCAATAACTTCAGCATCTCCAAAGCAGAGTCTGTAAATTAGAGATTATTTCACAGAGAACTGAGATTTGCAAGGACCTACATGGTGATGATTCAGAGCAGGTCATAGAAAAACAATAAAAAGTTTTTCTACAACTTGCATACCCTTTTGTATAATTTGTTCCTGATTGGCCCCCTATGACTATTTGAACATATGACCACAAATAATTTGACACTCCTCCCATTGAGAAGTGAAGTCTGTGTTTCTTTCCCTAGAATCTTGAGTGGGTATGTGTCTGCTTTACCAGCAAAGTATGATGAAAGGATATTAGAAGCCCTCTGAGGTTAGGTCATAAAAGACCCTGCTGCTTCTTCCTTGTTCAAGGGGATGGTCCGTCTAGAGCACTCAGACTCCACTGAGACCACATGCTGTACAAAAGCCATGACTTGTGAAGAGGCTATATGCGTGCTCTCTGGAAGATAGCTTCAGTTGAGCCCAACCTTTAAGTCATTCCACTACAGGCACCAGATGTGGAGAAGAGGCCAGCTGTGGGGCTAATTAGCAGCCAACACTCACAGCAGTAGGTTTACATGGTCATATGGTATATTAGTCAACTTTCACACCGCTATAAAGAAATACCTGAGACTGGGTAATTTATAAAGAAAAATTTAATTGACTCACAATTCCGCATGGCTGGGGAGGCCTTAGGAAACTTACAATCATAGTGCAAGGTAAAGGGGAAGCAAGGACCTTCTTTTCATGGCAGCAGGAGAGACTGTTTGTCAGCACAGGAAAAACTACCGTTATAAAGTCATCAGACCTCATGAGAATTCACTCACTATCATGAAAACAGCATGGAGGAAACCGCCCCGCTAATCCAGTCACTTCCCGCCAGGTCTCTCCCTAAACACCTGGGAATTACAATTCAAGATAAGATTTGGGTGGGGACATAAAGCTTAACCATATCATATGGTCATAGTTTTTTTTTTTTTTTTTTTTTTTTGAGACGGAGTCTCGCTCTGTCGCCCAGGCTGGAGTGCAGTGGCGCGATCTCGGCTCACTGCAAGCTCCGCCTCCCGGGTTCACGCCATTCTCCTGCCTCAGCCTCCAGCGTAGCTGGGACTACAGGCGCCCGCCACCACGCCCGGCTAATTTTTTTGTGTTTTTTAGTAGAGACGGGGTTTCACTGTGTTAGCCAGGATGGTCTCGATCTCCTGACCTCGTGATCCGCCCGCCTCGGCCTCCCAAAGTGCTGGGATTACAGGCGTGAGCCACCGCGCCCGGCCGGTCATAGTTTTTGCAACCTTTGCAAGAGTAAAATATTTCAGTTCAATTGGAAAAATAAAAATCTCTGTGTATTGTGTTCTGGTATTGTATTCAGGAATTTTTTTCCTAAGAGAAAGCCCCTTAAATCTTCAAGGTAAATATTACAACCTTCTCTTGTTACTGTAGGTAGTCAGGCAGACATGAGCAAGGCAAGAGAGGGCCCCCACAACCAGGAACATCAGGTGACTATCAAGTGATGGTTGTTAACTTTTTCTCTAAAATAATAATTGGTTGCAGCCAACTCCAGGGAAAAGCAGTCTCCCAATAGATAGAAAAAAACTAAAACTGGTAGTTAGCAGCTTCCTGATAAGATCTTAGGAGTTCAGCAAGTGGGCTCAAACATGTGCATTAAGAGGCAAAATGGCAGAGTTTAACTAGTATATGACCTTCTAGGGATGTTTGACTGGCAAGGGAAGAACACCTCAAAAGAGCGTGTGTACAAGCCCAGTAAAGACACTGCACATGTGGCCCTCTCAAGTGCTGGCAGTCCACTGAGCATGCGGACAGCCCACCCCAAGGGAAGTATCATGGGAGAAGGAATGCAAGACCCTGGAAGCATGACAACATATGAAACCTCAAGTCAAAAGGTCAAACTATGCACCCAATCTCTCAAGTTGCCTGCTTGGCCCAATTCCGAGTACACTTTACTTCCTTTTGTTTCTGCTCTAAAGCTTGTTACTAAACTTTGATTCCTGCTCTAAAACTTGCCTCACTCTCCTACTCTGCCTTATGCCTTTTGGTTGAATTCTTTCTTCTGAGGAGGCAAAAATTGAGGTTGCTGCAGACCCGTATGGATTCACCGATTCACCAAAATTGTTCCTATGGGTAACAATTTTACATACAGGAAACAAACTCTAAGATCAGCAAATGGTGCTCCTAATTGAGCAGCAGTAAATAAGGTAGGAACAGGGTTTCAAATCCAATTTTTATTACCACAGAGTTTATTACCTTCATAGAATGCTGCCATTTAAAAAACAAATAGAGAAAATATGGAAACAACAAGTATCCATGAATGCTGTATGTAAACATTTATGTGTATTTTTGTCAGGTTTGTTGAAATACTAATATTTAGGGCTACTACATTTTCATTTTTGAGCCCTCAAGTTTTGGACATTTGATACTGCAGTGAAAGGTTTAAAGAACTGCAGAAAACTGAAAAGAAATCTTGAGGTAGTTGGCATAAACTGGAAGCTGGGGGGGTTGATTTTCAGGAGTGGTGGGATGAACTACAGGCTGATCTTAGCTAGTTTGACAGACTGGAAGTAGATTGCTTTAATTAGGTGAGAAACGAAATGAAAGAGGCTGCCTGAGGCAAACTGGGGGTAGGGAATGGGGAGGAGATATAGATAAAAGTACCTTATACCAGAAGTCTCCAACCCCTGAGCTGTGGACTGGTCCATGGCCTGTTAGGAACCAGGCCCCACAGCAGGAGGTGAGTGGTGATGGATGAATGAGCATTACTGCCTGAGCTCCACCTCCTGTCAGATCAATGGGGCCATCTGATTCTCATAGGAGCACAAACCCTATTGTGAAATGTGCACGCAAGGGATCTAGGTTGTGTGTTCCTTATGAGAATCAAACTAATGCCTAATGATCTGAGGTGGAAGAGTTTCATCCCAAAACCAACCCTCCCAACCTTCCATGGAAAAACTGGCTCCCATATAACTGGCCCCTGGTGCCATAAAGTTTGGGGACTGCTGCCCTACACAGCTAAAGACCTAGACCCAGCCTAGTGGTTGAGTCAACATAAATCTGAGGTGGAGGTAAGGGGTGAGAGAGAAGTAGCTACCGTCAAGGCAACATGAATGCCCACACTCCTGCCTATCATACAATGCAGTTGATCATCTTCCTGAGGCACCTACCAATGCCCAGTGCCCTGCCCCAGATGGAGGAAGCTAGGGATGACCCAGGCACAGAGGCAGCAGCAGGGTCATTGTTGGAGCAGCAGCCCAGGCCTTTTCTGAATGGGGCACAAATTTTCTGGTCCATGACGATCACACAAAGGAGATTTTTTGCAATCACACACAAAAAGCAGGGAGATTAAAATTGTGAGATATCCCAGAGCCCTAACTCCTAACACCCCCCAAACATGTTTTTCAGACAGGAGGAGGATGATGGAATGTCTGAGAAACTGAAGAGCTCTTGTTTTTCTTGACCGACCCTACCTCCATGCCTGGAGAAATAGGTTCAGTTTCGTGAATCTGAACACAGCACCACATTTTTGCATTCTTCTCTCCAGAGGGGAGGACTGCATTGGTCACCCCTTGCTTTATCTCAGGAATCTTGAGAGATCGGAGAGTTTTACGGGCAATAACCCACCCCCAATTTTTTGTAACTCTAGTTTTATCAGCTGCTCCTGAAGAGGACTCCATAGGGTCTCTTTGCTTCTTTCTGTCTCCTTGAGCCACATGTAAAAGCCTAGGAATTTGCCCAGAGTTTGGAGTAGACATAAATTCTGTGATAATCTCCACAGATTAGGATTTGACCAAGAGGTTAGTTGTGAAAAGGTTCCCAATAACAAGAGGGTAGTGCTGTATTGTACAGAATTTAGAGAGTGAAAATTTTTCCAAGCTTCGAGTCGGGGCTACAGGCAGAATGAAAATGCAAATTTCAGACTCCTAGCCCAGATCTGCTGGGTCTAATTAAAAATGCATTTATTATTGACTTGCCTTAAGGGAAAAGAGTACAATATATAATAAGTCTCTCTTTGCCAAGTCAGGCATCAAAGATATAAAAAGGTAACCCTGGGGAAAGCTTTAAAAATTAACAATGCTGAAATGAAGAATGTTTTTAGATATTTCCATGTGTGTTTTTGCACCAACCTGATATACGCTAAGTAACTGAAAGTCTTAGGAAGGCTCTGAAAGTGTCAGGATTGGAGATGAACTTAATACAATGTAGTAATAAGTAATATTCTCAAATAACTTTTATTTTAAAGGGTATTTGAAATGATCAATGCCAAATACATTGTCCTACTTTCTGTAAGAATGGTTCAGTCAGAGCCACCACTAACCTACATAGTGGCTTTCTGGGAATTAGAAAATAATGTCCCTTGTGGGTGAAGGCAGCACATGTGGCACTCAGCTGGTGATGGGCAGCAAAAGCTGGTTTCAGTTCCTCATTTGGCCTCAGTGTGCTGTTGCGTAGCAATATGTAACAGCTCTGGTTAAGTTAAAGTAGGTTAGGAACTTACTCCTGAGTGGGTGAAACTTAGGTGTGAAGTCTCAAGAAATGTGTATGATTTGGTTTGTGAAGAAATCTCTTGATTCTGCAGAAGGCTTCATCAATGCCAGCCTTGGACATATTACTTAATGACTGTATCTCTAGTCCTCAAATAATTTCTCCCACTAACTTTCAAGAACTTTAAAAAATATTTTTCCAAGTCCATGGAGGAGGAGAGTAAGGGCCAAGGCATAGGCTTATAGTGTCCTGATCAGTTATTCATTTACCTCTCAACAAAGATTTCCAAAATGGAATTTGCATTGTCTTGGGTACTTTACTTGCTTTCAAACACAGAAGAGACTCTCTTGAAAGAGGCTATCACACAGATTTTACAAGTCAGAGGTGTTGCCTTTGCTAATGTGTTTTCAAAACAGGGGGGAAATGCAATCCTCCCTCCATCTGGAACTTCAGGTAGAATATGAGAAACAGCTGAAAGCATAGAGTAAAAATCAATGTTAAAAGTAATGTGAATGGATGGATAGCTGATATTTTAATAGTTCTTTGGGGGCATATTTTATGCCTATAAACTAATGCATAATCATGATAAAACCTTCAGACAATAGAAAATTTGTATGGTAACAAAGGAAACTCCCTTGCACCATTTCCCAAATCCTACTCTTCTCACCAGAGGAAAGCAATATTAAATGAATGAATACTTCTAGATTTTTTTCTAAGAAATTACACACACATATCTTTAGATACTATTTAAGTAAACATTTGTATTAAAGTAGAACATACATATACAAAAGTATACATATCATAATTTATAGATCAATGAATTGTTACAAAGTGACCACCAATATAATCATCACCCAGACCAAGAAACAGAACAGTATCAGTACCTCAAAGGCCCCCAAATGTTTCCTTTCTATCTATATATAATTTTTATATATAAATGCAATAATAAGGTACACATTTTTGTGCCATTTACTTTTTCCACTTAAGATTTTTATGCCAAGAACATATATACTTGTTACAACACTGTATAATTTTCCTTATGGACTTAATATAAGTAATATTGCCTCATTAACAGATATTTAGTTTATTACATTGATCTTGTATGAAATTTTAAGCTGAGAGTTTTCAATTCTTTATTTTACCAAATAAAAATCATTCTTTTGAATCTTTATTAAAAAAAACTCCAACTTTGCTAACTAATAATTTTTCAAACATAAAAGTGCAATAACCCACAGATCAATAAAGGACTTCCAGAAGCCATTCATGGCTTCCTCTGAGTAATCTTTGTAAATACTGCTTAGTGACAAGACAAGCAGATTTTCTTGGTTCCTTGTTTCTCCCTCTCTCACAGGGGCAGGAGTGTCTGGCCAGCGCATGAAGAATGCTAACCCATGCTGCAGGTTGAGTCTTAGAGCCAGTACTGTCTGGGAAAGAAGATTCTGATTTGTAGCGTTTGCCAAATGCTGTGATATCTATACTCCCACCATGACTGATTTCAATTGACCAACTTGAAGTCACTGAACGTAGAGTTGGGAGAAGATGCAAATAATTAGCTCTTAAGAGCGGCTGCAAGATGCCTTCAACATGCCCCTGCCTGGGGTCCGGAGAGAAGAGAGCAAGTGTAATCACCTGATGGGTTCTTTCTGACCACTGCACAGACCAAATTAACTCACTGGGACCATGGTACTGCAGTAGAGGAAGAGTTTAATTGACACAAGGCCAGCCCGTGCTGGAGAACTGGAGTTATCACAGAGGTTTTCAAGGATTGTTGGTGAGCCAGAGAGTAGGGAATGGGTGCTGTTGATTAGTCAAGGATGTCATCACAGGGTTGTGAGAAATAGTCCTTCTGTGCTAGGTCCACCTCTGGCTGGGGCCCCAGGACTGGTTGAATCATGAACCGGGAGTCCAGGTGGGGGTCAGCTGATCTTCAGAAATGTAAAAGTCTGAAAACACAACTCAAAAGGCCAATCTTAGGTTCTGCCATAGTGATGTTATCTACAGCAGTAATTGGGGAAGTTACAAATCTTGTTAATTCCAGAACAATGGCTGGTTATTTTGTCGTTTAACTATGCCTACATCTTGGCAGGCTCCTCTCCTAATCCTAACTTTGTGGCTTTTCATTAGTTTTACAAAGGTGGCTTAATTTTAAGAAGGACTATTAATATCTTTGCTTTAAGGTTAAACTATAAACTAAGTTTCTCCAAAAGTTAGTTTGGCCTATACCCAGGATTGACCAAGGACAGCTTGGAGGTTAGAAGCAAGATGGAGTCAATGATGTCAGACTATTCTTACTGTTGTAATTTTGCAAAGGTAGTTCACAAGGAAAAGCAGGAAAAAGAGCCAAATGGACCATGAATGAGTGCTTGTTTAAAACAGAAAATAAAATAATAATAACAAAAGGAGTAGAATGGAGATCGGAAATAATTTTCAACGGTAAATTGAAATGAAGAAACTCCTTGGGTATTGCTTTGAACAGGAGTGGAGTGTCCAAGGAGTGCCTTTTTGTTCTAATCAGTCACATGATACAGGGTACATGAGTGCTTGAGCTGCCCACTCAACAGGTCAATTTTAACTTTCTATCAATATAATAATCCTGGGTTATAGAGGAAATATGTATATTGTGGAATTTCCCTTCTTCATGCCTGTGACAATCAGCAGAGAAAAGAAATAACGTCACCCCAACCCCACACACAAAACAGAAATTGAGACAAGGCAATTGAATAGAGTGTTTCTCCAAACGAACTGCCTTTAGTCGAGACAAATTTATTTTGTGCATACCATATACCAAGGGCTGTTCTTGATGTTCAGGGAAACTGGTAATCAAGAAAGAGCAAGTTAATAGAAGAGAGCCTTGAAAAGTAAAGCAAGTTTGGGAAGGGGAAGAATACTTGTTTAGCACCTTATCATTAAAATACGATGCTATCGGAAAAAAAACCTTCTAGACATTGGCTTAAGCAAAGACTTCATGACCAAGAACCTAAAAGCAAATGCAACAAAAACAAAGATAAATAGATGGGACTTAATTAAACTGAAAAGCTTCTGCACAGCAAAATAAATAATCAACAGAGTAAACAGACAACACACAGAGTGGGAGAAAATCTTCACAAATTATGCATCCAACAAAAATCTCCAGAATTTACAAAGAACTCAAACAATTCAGCAAGAAAAAAATGAATAATCCCATCAAAAAGTGGACTAAGGACATGAATAGAGAATTCTCAAAAGAAGATATACAAATAGCTAACAAATATATGAAAAAACGCTCAACATCACTAATTATCAGGGAAATTGAAATAAAACCACAATGCGATACCATCTTACTTCTGCAAGAAGGGGCATAATCAAAAAATAATAGATGTTGGTATGGATGTGGTGAAAAAGGAACATTTTTATACTGCTAGTGGGAATGTAAACTAGTACAACCACTATCAAAAATAGTGTGGAGATTCCTTAAAGAACTAAAAGTAGAGCTACCATTTGATCCAGCAATCCCACTACTGGATATCCACCCAGAAGAAAAGAAGTCATTACACAAAAAAGATACTTGCACATGCATATCTATAGCAGCACAATCCAGAATTGCAAAAATATGGAACCAGCCCAAAGGTCCATCAATTAATGAGTGGATAAAGAAAATGTTGTATATATATATATAATCTCCAGATTATATGTGTATATATATACATGCCATGGAATATTACCCAGCCATAAAAATCAATGAAATAATAGCATTCACAGCAACCTGGATGGAACTAGAGACTCTTACTTTAAGTGAAGTAACTCAGGAATGGAATGGAAAACCAAGTGTATGTTCTCACTCATAAGTGGGAGCTAAGCTATGATGACCCAAAGGCATAAAAATGATACAATGGACTTTGGGGACTCTGGGGAAAGGGTGGGAGGTGGGTGAGGGATAAGACTATACATTGGGTACAGTTTACACTGCTTTGGTGATGAGTGCCCCAAAATCTCAGAAATCACCACTAAAGAAGTTATCCATGTAACCAAACACTACCTGTTCCCCAAAAACCTATTGAAACAAATAACATGATGCTAGACTGAGTGAAGGAGCAATTGATGGCTAGTGTAGGGACTTAAAGCCTTCTAAGCAAGACGTAAAATCCAGAAGCCAGGAAAGAACTGATACATTTGATTCATAGATAAAATTTCTAAGTTGAAAAAGTATACTGTCAACTAAGTGTAAAAAACAAACACACATATTTCACATTGCAAGGGTCATTCTCCTGTTGATAGCTCTTACTAACTCTATTACTTTTCTGTCACTGCCTGTATTCATTTGCCAGTGCTACCATAACAAATATCACAGACTAGGTGGTTTAAACAATGGAAGTTCGTTTTCTCACAGTTCTGGAGGCTAGAAGTCCAGGATCCAGGAGCCAGTAGAGTTGATTTCTGGTGAGGCCTCTCTTCTTGTTTTGGAGACAGCTACCTTCTTGCTGTTTCCTTACATGGCCTTTTCTCCAAAAATAGTCACTTTGGAGGCTAGAGATTTAATATGTGAATTTTGTAAGGACACAATTCAGTCTATAATGCTGCCATAAAAATTTACACAAACTTAGCAGCTTAAAACAACAAAAATTTTTTATCTCACAGTTCTGTGAGTCAGAAGTCTGGACTGGCTCATCCAGGTTGGTTTCTCTGCTTGGGGCTTCACAAAGATGAAATCATGGCACTGTCTTGCTGGGCTGTTATCAAGAGGCGTTGGGAGGTATTTCCCAGCCCAGCCAGGTTGTTGAAGAACCCAGTCCCTTGTAGTTATGGTCCACTGTTTCCTTGCTGGTTGTAATCTAGGGGCCACTCTTGGCTTCTACAGGTTTCTGTCAGGTCCTTGCCTGTGGACCCTCCACATTGGCACCAACAACAGTGCATCAAAGCATTCTCATACCTGGAATCTCTTTGATTTCTTGTTATATTTTTATGGTTTTAAGGGATCATGTGATTAGATTGGGCCCACCTATGTGAACCAGGATTATCTCCCTATTTAAGGTCTGTAGCCTTAATCATATCTGCAAATTCCCTTTTGCTATGTAATATAAAATGCTCATAGCTTCCAGGGAGTAATACATGAGCATGAACATACAATAGGGGGCCCATTATTTAATTTACCATAATAGCATCTATATTAGAGCTTCAACAATGGTGAGCGAAGAATTTAATTTGTTCCTGACTTATGAGAATAGCTCTAGCATTTCCTCATTCAGCATAATGCTGGCTTTTGACTTGAAATGTGTGTGTGTGTGTGTGTCTGTGTGTGTGTTTGTGTGTGTGTGTGTGTGTATCTGACTTCTCTGTATTAAAAACATTCATTTATTCCTATTTTCTATTTTTTTAAATCAGTAATGGATGTTCAACATCATCAAATGCCTTTTTGGCATTATTACACTTACTTTTTATGTAACTAACCTATTTGTCTCGTTTATAAGTTTTCTTGTTTGTCATTGGAATTAATCCTTTCTATGTTCTGGAACTATTTACTAGTTACACTAGTTATCTGTTGTTTAAGAACTTAAAAGAACTAATCTTTAAAACCATTAGGGCTTGGCACATTTTGAGGGAGAATTTCTTTGACAATTTTCCTAATTTTTTCCCTCTTTTTAGGTCTTGTTATATCAGTGCTTCCTTTGAAATAAAATTTTAAAAAATCTAGTCTGTTACTACAGTTTTTCATATTAAACATCTATATACATACATTGAATGCACATGATAGACATGTATATCTATCTATCTATCTATCTATATATATATATATATATATATATCAGTATTTAAAGGTTTTAATGTGTCCAGTGGACTTTCTTCTTGCCCACTTTTTTTCTGGGTGAGATTGACAATACTACTACCCATATGGGGACAAAGTATGTCTACACTGTTTTAGTGATTCATAGTAGAGAAACATGTCTCTCAAAAGTATGTTCATGGTAATGGAAATGAGATGTTAAAGCAATTTCATCAAGTTCTTGGTATTAATTTTTAACTTTCCCAAAAGGATGAAAATAAAGCTATATTTTCAAAATCTATCTTCAATTTTTCATTAGTATTCAATTCTAACAACTTATTCTTTAAGGTTATACATTTATAATACTTTTTAAAAATGTTTAATTAATTTTTTTTTGAGCCAAAACCTCACCATGTGCTTGCCCAGGCTAGTCTTGAAATCAAGTGATCCTCCTGCCTTGGCCTCCCAAAGTGTTGGGATTACAGGAATGAACCACTGTGTCCAGCCTATAATATCACTTGATGAAAGACATAGATTCAAAACTAATCCACTACCTAGAATGGATCTTCTTTTGACCCAAAAGAAAATTCAAAACATCTTATCAAGTTTGGAAGGTATTTAGTATGATAACTTTTTGCAAGTGTGCAGTATTCAGATTACTAACGTACTTCATGGTTACTTATTATTAAATTACGGAACACATAACAATGGTCTGTAGAAACAATTCTTCCAAGCTTCTAGCTTTCATTTTTGCTCTTATGGTTTATCTCCAACTGAAAAACTGCATTTTTTTTGTCACATGGAAGTATTGAAATCGTAAACAATTCAGAAGATATTAGAAAAAAGAAAGTCCGGCTGTCTATTTTGCATCTTTAAAACGTTGAGCCCAAAATATAAAGAGAAATTTTTCGTATCTCAAACATTCTCAACAGCTTCTTCCCCTCGATAACCATGTATGTCATTATGCAATAACATTTATGATCAACAACTGTGGTAAATTTTTACATAATTCACAATTTTTACTGCATCAGTAAGCATACTGATTAGGTCAGCTGACATTTTTCACAGCAAGACTTTCTCAATGAAGGAAGCAATAGATGTATATCCTAGCATAGCTTCTTAACCTACTTCATGGTTACTTATTATTAAATTATGGAACATGTAACAACGGTCTGTAGAAACGAGTCTTCCAAGTTTCTAGCTTTCATTTTTGCTCTTACGTTTTATCTCCAATTGAAAAACTGCATTTTTTGTCACATGGAAGTATTAAAATTGTAAACAATTCAGAATATATTAGAAAAAAGAAAGTCTGGCTGTCTATTTTGCATCTTTAAAACGTTGAGCCCAAAATATAAAGAGAAATTTTTCATATCTCAAACATTCTCAATAGAGTTTCTTCCCCTCGATAACCACGTATGTCATTATGCAATAACAATTGTGATCAACAACCCTGGTAAATTTTTATATAATTCACAATTTTTACTGCATCAGTAAGCATACTGATTAGGTAAGCTGACATTTTTCACAGCAAGACTTTCTCAATGAAGGAAGCAATATGTTGATGTATATCCTAGCATAGCCTCTTAACCTGGAATGTTTTCCTGTCATTGCAGCTGCATCACCAAATCATCCTCCTGTATAGAACTTACACTCCAAACCACATTTGTTGACAAAAAATAGACAATTAAAAATAAAAGTGATTACAAAAAGGAATACGTTATAAAAGAAATAAATGCTTACATTTTTCTCATTTTTTGAATACATTAGGTTGCAGTTGATACATCTTAAAATATCACAAGTTGTAATACACATTAATTTTCTTTTAGGCCATTTTTAGTAGAATTAATTATTCCATCCCTGATCAATAGTATTTTAAATAGGTTTTTGGGGGTTGACTAGTATATGTTCATTTCACCTACAAATAATAAGTGCGTCTTTTTAACATTTGTATTTCTCATTTCTTTCTCTTTCCTAATTGTATTGAGTGCCACATCCAGAATAACATTAAACTAGAATTTTTCAGCACTAATGCCATTAGGGGTCAGACAAGATTTGTTGTGGGTGCCAGGGAGGGCTGTTGTATTCACTGTAGAATATTGAGCAGCATCCCTGGCCTCTACTTAGTAGATACCAGTAGCAATATGACATGATCAAAACATGAGTTGGAAGTAAGTGAGAAAGCAAAGACAGTAGATTTAGAAAGTGAATATTGAAGGGTAAGATATTGGTGAAGTATAATCCATTACTAAGCCACTTTGATATTATTTTTGAATTATGATATGTATTTACTTACTTAGGTATCAGCTATGTAGCACAATTTTATCTATTAAAAATCTGCAGAGATAAAAACTATAGCAAAAACTATCAAAGTTGTTATTTCTGAGTGTTGAGTTCTTAGAAAGCTTTTTAACTTTTAAAATATCTTTATATTTAGTTGAATTCATTTTTTGTAATTGAGCATACATATATTTATAAATAATACCATTTAGAATATTAATATACATCATTTTGTAGGTGTCCCATAGTCACAATTACGTTAAAAGCTGGATCATTAGAATATCAAATAAAATATTAAAGCTCTTCATTTATGGATTATAGAAATGTCTTCTTTATATTTTCTAAATTTTTTGCAATATACATGTATTATAATGAAAAACAAAGTTACTTTTAGAAAGGAAATTTTTTGGAGATGGACCTTGATAAAAAGCCCTGAGGAATGATTTTGGAAGTAAATTGTAGAACAGAGTTATTATCTCTGGAAGTATTGTTGGGTGACAAAAATCTGAAAATGTCCTAAATTGCCTTACAGCCAGTTTTATCTCATAGGAAACAGAGACAATGGATAGATTGTTTCCTATTATTAATACAGATTGGTGCCAGAACCAGCTACACAATTTTCAGAGCCCAGTGCAAAAGAAAATACTGGGCCGTTTGTTCAAAACTTATTAAGAATTTCAAGATAGCAACAGCAGAGTATTAAAACTAAGTGGGTGGGGCCTTCTGAGCATAAGACTCTGTGCAACTGTGTAGTAAGCCACACGCCCAATAAAGCTAGTCCTTCCTATATAGGATCATTTGTTTATAAAAAAAGAATTGGTGGGACCTGGGAGAATACATTCATTTTACAGTTCATGGTAGCCAATGAAAAGTATGCCATAGATTTTAGAGAGATGGTCATTAAAAAAATCAGAAAAAGTATGTATGAATTCATAGCATGTATCTTAGGCCATAGAGAGACAGAGAGGAAGTTCTTGAAAACTTTAATTTTCATTTCAAAATTGCATACGAGAAAACATAGGGCAGGTATACGAAAAAAAAAAGCTGATTATAGTGGCTTTCTCAGATGAGTTCAAATTTTAAAGAACTTGTATATGAGAGAAAAACAAGGGCATGAACCCAAAGGTGAGTGTCACAGGGTACTATAATTGTACAGAACAAGACCAGGCTTATCAAAGTTCAGAATGATCTGAGTCTTGGGGAAAAGTTTCACTCTCACACACACACACACACACACACACGTGGGATCTTTGTAAGCTCTATTAGAACAAGAGCAAGGAAAGGATGTCAACCGCAAGTTAAGGAGTTATAGGCATAAAATGACAATGCCTGGATGGTAAAGTAGCAGGGATGCTTTTGCTCCTGTCTGACTAGCTAAATTGTGAGAGTGCTGGGTAGTGGATAGGAGGTAGCCTGAGAAAAATTTTCGGATACATTTTCCAAAACTCTTTTCTATAGTCTGTTCTTCACAACATATCAGTGACTTACATTGAGATAAAGTGGTGAATTACGTGAAAGTTTCTTGAAGCTGAGAGACAGCTAGTATTTTCAGTGAAGGAACCGTTATCTTACACAATCTTAATAACTAGAATCATAGGTCAAATTGGATAAGATGAGTAAGAATCAGTGCAAAGTTCTAATGTTTGGTCAAAAAAATCAACTGCAAAAATATAATACAAAAGAGACGTGACTTATCAACAAAGACTTAGGTTTGTCCAACATCGATGTGATTAGGTTAATCATAGATGTATGCCATTGAATAACAAACGAGAGGACAGTGCTGTGGGCAGATCACACCTGATGTCCTGGGTATAATTCTGAGGGTCAAGATGGAAGACAGTGACACCTGTAAATTACAGCCACAAAGAAGAGGCTGAACATATGACTAGACTAAGCCATGGTGTGTATATGGGGCAAGAGGAACTCTCATATCCTGCCTGGGGTGCAATCACTTTAGAAAATAGATTGATCTTATCTTGTAAGGTTAAAGACATGCACACCCTATAAGACAACATTTCTGCTCCTAGATGTATACCTTGGAGTAACAATTACCTGTGGGCACCAGGATACATGATCTGAAAGGTTCCTAGCAATGTTGTGCATAATAATACACCACTTGGAAAGTTCCCAAATGTGCCTCAATTGCAGAATGGATTTAAGAAACCTGTCATAATTCAGTAATAAAAACAAAATATAGCTACACACATCAATATGCATGAATTTTATAAACAACATGTTGAGCAGAGGAATTAAGACACAAACAGACATATGTGTGTATGTGTCCATTATACAAAGCTAAAAAAAAATACAGGCAAAACTAAACTAAAACATTTAGGGATATATAGTTATGTGAATAAACTACCAAAAGGAGGGGGAAAAAAAGAAGCAAATAAGCAATTACCTCAAAAGTTAGGATAGCATTTTGGCTGGGCGCGGTGGTTCATGCCTGTAATCCCGGCACTTTGGGAGGCTGAGGTGGGTGGATCACTAGAGGTCAGGAGTTCGAGAACAGCCTGGCCAATATGGTGAAACCCCGTCTCTACTAAAAATACAAAAAATTCAATGGACGTGGTGCGGGCACTTGTAATCTTCACTCCCCGAGAGGCTAAGGCAGGAGAATTGCTTAAATCCAGGAGGCAGAGGTTGCAGTGGGCCAAGATCACGCCACTGAACTGCAGCCTGGGCGACAGAGACTACGTCACAAAAAAAAAAAAAAAAAAAAAAAAGATAGTATTTTTTTCTCCGGGGGTCTACAGGACATGAATAAATTAGAGAATTTGAAGGTGCAGGCAATATTCTGCTTGCCATCCTGGGTAGTGTTTAGACAGGTGTTTATAATTACACATTATGCTAATCATTTATAGGGCTGTACATTATATCTAATATTCACAAATTTGGAAAGGTTAAAAAAGATAAGGGCTTCACAGCTGTGTGAAGATGTTAAAAAGTATCTTAAAGTGTAAAACCCAGAAAAGAGAAGACTCGCTGAGAGCCTGACAATTATCTTCAGTTATTTTGAAGGATATTATGCTATAGTGGAAATTTTGTTTTTGTTTACTTCACACTCTTCTTTCTCTGGGTTCTGAGACCTGTTTTCCTGGAAATCGCCCCTTCCACTTTTCCCTTCTCATTTCAATCCCATGGTTGACAGCACCCACTTCAATACTGTGTGATCCCCTCCTCACCCACCTTTCCCTCTCCCTACCCCACATAGCCACCATGTATTAGTTGAGAGAATACCTGACTCTGATTAGGTCATGAGAGTTCATTCTCTATAAATTTACATTCAGGATCCAATAGGGCAACTAGAATTTATTGACTGAGTCAAGGTAAAATGTTTGACTATGTAGAAACAATTACAGTGATACTTTCTCATAAGGTACTTACTGCCAGCTGCTTGAAGGTGTTTAAGTATGGCCTGAATGTCTAAGAAAGAAATGCAAATGAACAGAATATAGGAATAGCTTTGCAAAAACAAACAGAAAAACTCCTGTGAAAGTTCTTAAACACGCAATATGGATATATCATCTTTTTTTTCCTATACATCCTCTTTTTTTTGAGACAGAGTCTCACTCTGTCGCCCAGGCTGGAGTGCAGTGGCATGATCTCTGCTCACTGCAAGCTCCGCTTCCCAGGTTCACGCCATTCTCCTGCCACAGCCTCCCAAATAGCTGGGACTACAGATGCCCGCCACCACGCCCGGCTAATTTTTTTATATTTTTAGTAGAGACGGGGTTTTATCGTGTTAGCCAGGATGGTCTCGATCTCCTGACCTCGTGATCTGCCCGCCTTGGCCTCCCAAAGTGCCGGGATTACAGGTGTGAGCCACCGCACTCGGCCTCCATACATCCTCTTTTACCATTAAATGCCTTTATTTAAACATAATGTTTCCCTAAATTTAAAGTATTTCATTCATCTCCGCAAACTTCAGGAAATATGTCTGATATAAGATTAATTTGTACTCACATTTAGATTTAAAAATGTTACAATTATACTATGTTGTCCCCTTTATTGTTTAATCTCTGTCTATATATGTGTGTGTGTGTGTGTGTGTGTGTGTGTATAAAGATTAAACACACATATATGGACAGAGATTAAACAGAATACATACTTATATATGTATTACACACACATATTTATATTTTAATAAGCCTACATCATGCCTTGATCTCTATATTTTTATTTCTTGAATTCAACTGTGTGAGCATGTTTGTCATTTCATGTGTTGTATCTTCAAACTCCCAGCACCTTTTTCTATCTTGTACCTTTTAATTATTTCCTTAAGAAGGAAAAACATGATTTATAAACAGGCATAACGTGCTGACTTTAAATACCAAGATTATATTTTCTAAAACAAGAAACCAACATGGTAGAACTACCACTGACTAAACAACATTAATTGTTGATGACAGGTTTCTTTTGGTGGATGGGCACAGAATTCTTCAGGTAAGAACTCTCATTAATCCAATGGAAAGACTGTGCTAAAATTTAGATTGTTACTCTAATGATAAATTATTATCATTAGATAAATAATGATAAATTGTTACTCTAATGAAAAATTATTCCTATGTTGTGTTCCATTATTTGAAAAAGGAAAGAGAGAAATATTAAGAGATGGGAGAAGTGTACATTATGTGTTATCCATTATTTAAAATAATCAAGCAGTTCTTGATTATTTTAAATAATGTTATCCATTATTTAAAATAATCAAGATCCCTACTTGCTGACGTTTGTGCAGTATTCACTCTCTTGAATATGCGCTGCACATATCAACTCATTTCTAATGACCAGAATATGGCAAAGTGACATGATATTACTTCTAAGATTAGGTTAGATAAAGACTTTGGCTTTCATCTTGTGCATACTCACTTTTTCTCTCTTGGATTGCTTATCTGAGAAAATCCAGTTGTCACGTTGGGAGGCATCCCTGTGGAGAGGCCCAAAAATGAAGAACTGGAGCCTTCCCACAGCCATATTCATGAGCTTGAAAGTAGATCCCATCTCCAACCCAAGCTTTAGATGAGATTATTGCCCTAACTGATACCTTGACTGCTGCTACTGAGAGGTGACAGCGTGCTGGCAGTCCTCACAGCCCTTGCTCGCTCTCGGCACCTCCTCTGCCTAGGCTCCCACTTTGGCAGCACTTGAGGAGCCCTTCAGCCCGCCGCTGCACTGTGGGAGCCCCTTTCTAGGCTGGCCAAGGCCGAAGCCGGCTCCCTCAGCTTGCAGGGAGGTGTGGAGGGAGAGGCGTGAGCGGGAACCGGGGCTGCGAGCAGAGCTTGCAGGCCGGCTGGAGTTCCAGGTGGGCGTAGGCTTGGCGGGCCCCGCACTCGGAGCAGCCGGCCGGCCCTGCCGGCCCCGGGCAATGAGGGTCTTAGCACCCGGGCCAGCGGCTGCAGAGGGTGTACTAGGTCCCCCAGCAGTGCCGGCCCACCGGCGGTGCGCTCCATTTCTCGCCCGGCCTTAACTGCCTGCCCACGGGGCAGGGCTCAGGACCTGCAGCCCGCCATGCCTGAGCCCCCCCTCCCCCTGCGTGGGCTCCTGTGCGGCCTGAGCCTCCCCGACGAGCACCGCCCCCTGCTCCATGGCACCCAGTCCCATCGACCACCCAAGGGCTGAGGAGTGCGGGCACACGGCGCAGGACTGGCAGGCAGCTCCACCTGCAGCCCCAGTGCAGGATCCACTGGGTGAAGCCAGCTGGGCTCCTGAGTCTAGTAGAACCTTACAGAACCTTTATGTCTAGCTCAGGGATTGTAAATACACCAATTGGCACTCTGTATGTAGCTCAAGGTTTGTAAACACACCAATCAGCACCCTGTGTCTAGCTCAAGGTTTGTGAGTGCACCAATGGGACACTCTGTTATCTAGCTACTCTAGTAGGGCCTTGGAGAACCTTTATGTCTAGCTCAGGGATTGTAAATACACCAGTCGGCAGCCTGTATCTAGCTCAAGGTTTGTAAATACACCAATCAGCACCCTGTGTCTAGCTCAGGGTTTGTGAATGCACCAATCGACACGCTGTATCTAGCTAATCTGGTGAGGATGTGGAGAACCTTTGTGTGCAGCTCAGGGATTGTAAACGCACCAATCAGCACCCTGTCAAAACAGACCACTGGGCTCTACCAATCAGCAGGATGTAGGTGGGGCCAGATAAGAGAATAAACGCAGGCTGCTGGAGCCAGCATTGGCAACCCGCTTGGGTGCCTTTACACACTGTAGAAGCTTTGTTCTTTAGCTCTTTGCAATAAATCTTGCCACTGCTCACTCTTTAGGTCCACACCGCTTTTATGAGGTGTAACACTCACTGCAAAGGTCTCCAGCTTCACTCCTGAAGCCAGCAAGACCACGAGCCCACCGGGAGGAACGAACAACTCCAGACGCGCTGCCTTAAGAGCTGTAACACTCACTGCGAAGGTCTGCAGCTTCACTCCTAAAGCCAGCGAGACCACGAACCCACCAGAAGGAGGAAACTCCGAACACATCCGAACGTCAGAAGGAACAAACTCCAGACGCGCCAACTTAAGAGCTGTAACACTCCCAGCGAGGGTCCGCAGCTTCATTCTTGAAGTCAGTGAGACCAAGAAAGAACCCTCTGATTCCGGACGCACTACCTCATGAGGTACTTTGAGCCAGAGGCACACTGTTAATCTCTACCCGTATTTTCAACTCATAGAAACTGTGAGATGATCAATATTTGTGTTGTAAACTACTAAATTTGAGATAATTTGCTATGCAGTGACAGATAGCTAATACATGTGTACCAGCAACATTGAAATATTGGGAGAAGGCATACGGTAGTCTCCCCTTATCCATGGGGGAATATGTTCCAAGAATCTGGTGGATGCCTAAAACCATGCAGAGTAACAAACCCTAGCCAAAGAACACCAAGGTCACCTTTTCAGTTAAAGGAAGCTCTTTATGGCTTCTCTTTAGCGTATTCAAATTTCCAGCATTACTACTCTTCTACTTTGGAGCCATTGTTAACTAAAGAGTTACTTGAACACAGACTGCAATACTGAGATAGTGTGCCTGATAACTGAGATGGCTACTAAGTAACTAATAGGCCAGTAGCATCTACGGCATGGAGATGCTGAACAAAGGAATGATTCATGTCATACACATAATGGAGCAGGACAGTGCAAGATTTTATCATGATGCTCAGAAGAGTGCAAAATTTAAAACTTTAAAATTGTTTATTTGTGGAATTTTCCATTTAATATTTTTGGACCATAGTTGACTGCAGGTAGCTAAAACTGCAGAAAAGGAAACCATGGGTAATAGGAGACTATGGTATTTAATAATATTCTATTTATGATCTACCTACAAAAGTAAGGCAAAGGGCTGAGGAGCAGAAAATTGCCCACCCCGCCCCAGATGTCCACAGCCTAATCCATGGAACCTGTCAATATGATACTTTGCATGGTAAAAGGGACTTGGCAGACGTAATTTAGTTAAGGATCTCAACACGGGAAGACTATCCTGGCTTGTCCAGTGGGCAATGTAATCACAATGGTCATTATAAAATTGAAGCACAAGAGTCAGCATCAGAAAACAAGATGTGACAATGAAAGGAGAACTTGAAGTAATGTGCTTTAAAGAGGAAGAAAACGTTATGCATCAAGGAATGCAGAGGCCTCCAGAAGCTGGAAAAAGCAAGGAAATGGATTTTCCTCTAGAACCTGCACTCGGAATGCAACTCTGCTAACACTGTGATTTCATCTTGGTGAAACTGATGTTGGACTTTTATCTCTAGAACTGTATAAGAACAAGTTTGTATTCTTGTAAACTACTTGGTTTGTGGTAATTTGTTATGGCGACAATAGAAAACCAATAGAGTTTTTTGGTGAACATCTCACTTAATTTTATGTAATTATCTCTGTATATTATTGCATTGGAATCCACATTTTGCACTGGCAAAACTAAGGGTTTAAGACTGCAGATTTGCAGATTGTATAAAAAGTTAAAGTTCAAACGAGACTTTAAGAAATATCACTTCCCTCCCTCTTCTATCTCTAGTCCTGCAGCATCTCACAATTTCTCACTCCAGGACTCAAGGGGTCATAGAAAAGAAAAAAATGTACTGGTGCGGTGGCTTACGCTAGTAATCCCAGCACTTTGGGAGGCTGAGGCAGGCGGATCCCTTGAGTTCAGGAGTTTGAGATCAGCCTGGGCAATGTGGCGAGATCCCATCTCTGAAAAAAAAAGCGGGGGGGAATTAGTTGGGCATGGTGGCACACACCTGTAGTCCCAGTTATTTGGAGGCCTGAGGCAGGAGGATCACTTGAGCCTGGGAGGTCGAGGCTGCAGCGAGCTGTGATCATGCCACTGCACTCCAGCCTGGGTGATGAAGTGAGACCTCATCGCAAAAGAAAAGAAAAGAAAGAAATAGTGATAGAAGCTAAGACTGATGAACACATGAGACTTAAAGCTATGTGAAGGCAAGAGCCATTTCTCTTTTAATCACCACTGTGAAGTCATCCAATAGTACAACACCAGCCTATTGCAATGACTTGATAAATATCTGTTGAACATTGTTCAGTGCACACCCTGAAAACAGAAATTGTCAGAACTTGCATATAATAGTAAGATAGATGGATTTGGGTTGAGAAAACCTATCTAGGCTTTACTTCATGGCACACCCAGCTTTTCCTCTTGAGATATAGACTACCTGAAACAAAACCAGGACATTTTTAACCTGTCCCATTGTGTGCCCTTTGACTCAGTTCACCAGGGAATGAATGCTTTAACCAGATGACTAGGGCAGGGTTGGTCTCTCTTTCACATAGGTCTTGGTTGTTCTTTGTTTGTTTGTTTTGTTGTTGTTGTTGTTCGAGATGGAGTTTCGCTCTTTGTTGCCCAGGCTGGAATGCAGTGGCGTGATCTTGGCTCATTTTAACTTCTGCCTCCCGGGTTCAAGCGATTCTCTTGCCTCAGCCTCCCGTATAGCTGGCACTACAGGCACGCACCACCATGCCGAGCTAATTTTTGTATTTTTTTCTTTTTAGTAGAGATGAGGTTTTGCCATGTTGGCCAGGCTGGTCTCGAACCCCTGACCTCAAGCGATCCGCCCACCTTGGCCTCCCAAAGTGCTGGGATTACAGGTGTGAGCCACCATGCCCAGCCTAGGCTTTGCTTTTTAAGAGACAGAGAAGTGTGCCTTGTTTCTGCCCCTCCTTTATTCTAGGCCCATTTAAATGCAGCAACTCCAAATGTATTATAGTCTCCATGTGCAAATGTTTGTACATTAGGGTAAAGACAGGAGAATTCCCGTAACTCTACATAATGTCTCATGTATTCCAATTTTTCAGACTATCAAACAGTCATTTATGGGATGAGAAGAACAGGGCAAAACTGAAAAAAAAAAAGGTCTACCAAAAATTGATAGTTGATGTATTAGTTTGTTCTTATATTGAACTAAAGAAATACCTGAGAGTTGGTAATTTATAAAGAAAAGAGGTTTAATTGGCTCATGTTACTGCACACTTTACAGGAAGCATGATGCTGGCATCTGCTTGGCTTCTGGGAAGGCCTCAGGAAACTTACAATTATGGCACAAGGCGAAGGGGAGAAGACATATCACATGGTGGAAAGCAGGAGCCAGAGAGAGATGGGGGAGACGCCACAGACTTTTAAATGACCAGATTGCATGAGAACTCACTCACTATGACAAGGACAGTATCAAGGGTATTGTACTAAACCATTTGTGAGAAACCTGCCCCCATGATTCAATCACCTCCCACCTGGCCCTGCCTCCAACATTGGGTATTACAATTCAACATGAGATTTGGGTGGGGACTCACATCCAAACCATAGCAATTGGACTGGGGCTTGTCTTTATCTTACTCTCTAGGTACAAATCTGAGAGTGGAATTTGAGTAGTACAAAGGTAAAAAGAAAATAAAGAAAAGTCTACATCCCTGGTCAAATTGGGGAGAAAAAGGAAAAGAAATCGTATTCTGAAGACTCAGAAGAGAAGCACATTGGTGGAAAATCGTGATCTAATTATCTTAGAAGAACATTTTAAGATGATGTTGGCACTTTTATCAAATTAAATTAGATGTGGCTTCTTTGAAACAGAAATAAAAAGATATAAGAAGAGAATGGACTGAGATAAGAAGGAACAGTTCAATATTAAAAAAAGAGAAGAATAATATAGTAAAATATCTTCAAGAAACTAAAGTATTATAACAAATTAAAACTCATATTGCAGGAAATAGAGACCAAAATGATGCCATGAAAAAGCTAAAACAGGGTGTTGAGATCTAATTTGAGTGACTTTCTTGAAATGCAAAGGCTGGATAAATGATAGATATGAACTAGACAGAGGGAAAATACAACAAAAATACAATTATTATTTATGAGGGAGGACAAAAATATGAAACAATGTTAAGAAACTTTTCAGAACTAAAAAATATCCAGATATGCAGTTTTAAGAGTCAACTATCTTCTGGGCAAACTTAATCGAAGGAAATCTACACCTAAGTACCTCTGACGGTATTTTTATCTAAAGGATTTTTTAACATCTGTAAGACCTCTAGATAAAAACATATCTTTATATCTATGTTTATATCTATACCTAGATATACCAGTCTGTGTCTATGTCTATATACCTACATCTATATCTATAACCAATAAATAATCAAAATTCAGATTGGGCCAAGACTTTTCTTCTCAGAAACATTTGCAAGAAAATCTAGGGCAATATTTACATAGTTTGAGGGTGGGGAGGATATAACCAAACATTGTCTCAGGCCAAATTGATTATCATGTATAAAGGCAATAAAAATTCACGCTTATATTTGGAAGGACTCATAAAGTACATCACCCATTTATTTATCATTCTTCAGCAACTTGAAGAAACACATCCAATGATATAGCAATAAAAGGAAATTAAGCTTATGAGCAAAGAAATAATGTTTTTGAAGTAAGGGCATAGTACACGAAAGCTAATTTTAAAAAATGAATTATTTTAATGTGGATGCACAGCTCAATCAAAATTGCAAAAGTATTAATGAAGAAGACAGCAATTGCTCCATAAGTAACATATCCAAACTATACAAGTATATATTTGTACAAACATCACTAAAAGAATGTACATTTGGCTGGGCGCTGTGACTCATACCTGTAATCCCAGCACTTTGGGAGGCTGAGGCAAGTGGACCACCTGAGGTCAGGAGTTCAAGACCAGCCTGACCAACATGGCAAAACCCCGTCTCTACTAAAAATACAAAAATTAGCTGGGTGTGGTGGTGCATGTGTGTAGCCCCAGCTACTTGGGAGGCTGAGGGAGGAGAATTGCTTGAACCCGGGAGGCAGAGGTTTCAGTGAGCCAAGATCACGCTATTGTACTCCAGCCTGGGTAACAGAGCGAGACTCTGTCTCAAAAAAAAAAAAAAAAAAAAAAGAATGCACATTCAAGATCTATATATTATATTTAAAAATGAAAATACCTATAAATCCACCAATAGAAAAAGAATTAACCCCATTATTATGTGCATCATTGTGATGAAAAATGGCATAGCTCTTAAAAGAGCATACCTGAAGAATAACAGTATGGCTGGAGAAGAGTATGTATGGGGAAATGTACACAATATATTTTAAGGAGGAAAGCAAGTTATAAAACAGTATGCATAAAATAACTATTTTTTTGTGAAAATGATGCATCTCTGTGCATGAAAGTATTCTAGAAAGTTTTACACTATATTATCAGTACTGTTTTTCTCTGGGTAATTTTTTTCTTTTGAGATTTATGCATGTTTAATTTTTTTACCTTAAATATGTATCACTTTTGAACAAACAACATGTACATTCTCTGCTTCTGCAGCAAATAGGAAGATGAATAGTGATGGTGTGGATTTGTGTCCCTGCCCAAATCTCATGTGGAATTGTAATCCCCAGTGTTGGAGGAGGGGCCTGGTGGGAGGTGATTGAATCATGGGGGCAGATTTCCCCCTTACTGTTCTTGTGATAGTGAGTGGGTTCTCACGAGACCTGGTTGTTTAAAAGTGTGTAGCACCTCCTCCTTCACTCTCTCTTCCTCTTTCTCCAACCATATAAGACATATCTGCTTCCCCTTCCACCATGATTTTAAGTTTCCTCAGGCCTCCCAGCCATGCGTCCTCTACAGCCTGCAGAACTGTGAGTCAATTAAACCTCTTTTCTTTATAAATATACGGTGTCACGTATATTTATATATGCTCTTTAAAAACAATGTGAGAACAGACTAATACAAGTACCCTTCTTTATTTTTCATAAGTTGCAGAAACAGTTGAACTTTAGCCACAAATTACTGTCAGAAAGAGCAGCACAACATCCAGTAGGTAAAACTGAAACCACGATTTTGAGGTAGGCAAGCATTCCCTGGCATTTAGACGGACAGTGCTAAATAATTCAGGTCACTGAGTCTTTCAGTTACCTGAGGTACATTTTCTGGTCAATGCCAGCTAATGTGTCCGTTATGATAACTGTGTTATCAGAATCCAGCTATGCCAGGTGCCACATTCAAATTTTTTGAAAGTTCAGTTAGATAACTGTTAAAATCCATGGTTAAAGTCCTCTGTCCTCTGTTTTGTATTCCCTGGAAACAATACCAGTTGACCAGAGTTGACATTCAAGGGATTACTCTTTCCCACCCTAAGGTCATCATTTCAAACCCACATTAATTCATTCATTTAATAGCGGGATTAGTCACAGAGTCTGTCCACAGGAAATAATTATTAAGTGCCAGACATAATTCTATCATCACATTCAGCATGGTAGTGAATAAGACACTCAGTTAATAAGATATCCACTCTCATGGAGTTTCTATCCTATTGTGAGAAGAGGGTCAATAAATAGGTAATACAATTTTTTCATGTTAAAAAAGTGTTTCTACATCTTTTTAAAAAACGTCTACTTACACCATGTGAAAGTGATTTTAAGTGAAAAATGCAATATTAATGGATGCATTGTTTTTATAGCAATATTCAATGTCTTTCCAGTATTACTCTGTGCATTAAGTGTGTATCAGCTCGAAGCACTAAATTTCTCCCACATCAGTGCTAGTGTGGGCTTGGTTTCCCTTAGCTCTTGTGCTGAGGCTTTTTGTTCCACACCACTCCTTCCCACTCTAAGGATTGAGGACCTTGCCCCATGTCCTGGCTGATGACAAGGATATTGTTCTCATGGGGCAGTTTCCAGCAGCATGAGAAGGGGTCCTTCTTGCTGAGTGGGCCACAGAAGACATGCCGGCAGCTGTAGATAAAAGGCCTTCACTTAAAGAGTTTTGAAGAATGAGGTCATGACTCCTTTGTCTAAGAGGATGGAGAAGTCACCCTCGCCTTGCTTCCACCAGGATCCACTGGGCAGGACCTTCTCTCTTAGACTAGTGACCTCTTCCATGTTGATGATATTCACGCGCCCCTAGACAAGGAGCCTTATGGGGTCACAGAGATGGGGCCCAATGCCCTTGCATCTCTAATAACTTCCATGTCAAAAATTCTCCAGCAAGACTTTCCTTTTGATTCTTAGAAGCCTAGTGTGGGACTTAAAAATGACTAAATGACTACCGAAAATAATTGTTTTTCTCCTTACATTTCTGCTACAACAACCCTAGTTCTCCTGGAGGCCACAGGGGTGCCCCAGACTGATGAAGAAAGAAAAGATTGGAAAGAGCAGCAAGAAAGCAATATCTCTAAGATTAGTATCTCAAGAACTCTTTCCACCACACTCAGAACACAAATGTTAATCTCCACACTCATGCTGTTTTCTTTCCTGCCCGAGTTGTCATAACTTTGCTTTGGATCACAGTGGCTTCATTTCAGCTAGGTCTTCTACTGGCAGCTATTGATACTCCCTGCTGCTGATCAAACTTCCGGTTCTTAGATTGTTTATCTCTGGCATACAAGTCTGCTCTTGTAAGCCAACTTGAATTCCTTTGGGAAGTAGACACAGTATAAAAAAATTGATGAATAAAGAAATAACAATCTGGTCTCGGGGCATTGTGTTCTGAGGCAAAAATTTGCAAGTTTCAAATAAGCCTGTGCTCTAAAATGCCACTTATTTAAATATTAATAGTTTTATTTATTTAATGAAGGTGTTAAGCTTTAAAATTTGATTTCATGGGATCATCCTAACCTAACCAGTTTTCAGTTGTATGATTTAACTTCTTCGTTACTTAACACCTCAATCTCCTCCTCAATAAAACAGAAATAGTAGTAATTTTGCTCTGATAAGGTAGTTGTAAATTTACATAAACTATATGTAAAATGCTTGCTATAGTCCCTGAAACTTACTGGGTGTCAGCTATTGTGATTATTGTTATTGTTGTTGGTAGTTATTGGCAATTTTGCTCAAAAAAATTTTAAAACATCCTCAAAGATACATGGAATTCATAAAATCCCATAATTAGAAGGAAGTAAAAAAGGTTAAGAACATTGATAGCTATGATATTCTAGATGATCACTCTGTTGTTATAATAATCTTTGTTATTGAAATTATAATCAATTCTCAAATAATTTTAAAGTTTTTTATTATTAGGGGACTTTTCACTTTCTTATTTCCACTTACAGTCTAAATCAAGATTTTTCCAAATGTTTGGAAGTAAGTAGGCATTATTTCATGCACTCTAAAACACACACATGCATGCACACACACACACATGCACATAGGTATAAATATTGACACTCCAGGGCACTACAGGTCACAAGAGGCAGAATTAGAGTGTCTCCTTAAGGAGTCGTACATATCACTTTTCCAGAGAGAAGGATCTCCTATTAACTTGTACATTAATGTACTTAAACTACCAGAAAACACTGTATATATGAAGCTACTGGAGAGATTTTAAGAAACCCAAATTCCTAAGCCTTATGCCAAACCTACTGAATCAGACTCTGCCAATATGGAAAGTTATTACAAGGCTTTTTCACAACCTGACCTCCCCTGTTAGGATGAACAATAATGTTGATTTATAATAAAAAGGTGTGCTGATGGTTACTACAGGAGGCTTTTTAACAATCCTATTACAGGAAAGCAATAAAGAAGAATCCCATTAGAATTTGATGTCAGAGAAATGATTTCAGTAGACTCAAAATGACAAGGACATTGATAGAAACTGCTAAAGATAATTCTGGAAAGGGATAATAATACTCCTTCCTGTATCAGCAAAGAGTAAATAAAGCTTCACATGTCGATGCTGTTCTCCAATAAAAAATTGTTATTCATACACAATTTCAGGGAGGCAAAAACTGAACTTCATTTTGAATGCAAGCCTTTTGCATGTAAAATTGATAAGGAGAGATATTTAGCCAATTCAATCATTCTCAGTATCTATTTCGTGGTTGCAGAGAATTCTTCCTCTAGAATTGACTTCCTATATACTCGTACCTACTCGTCACCTAGAGACTAGTTCTCCAAAATCAGATTTATGGTTGATGTGAAGTAGATTTGAACCCCTAGATGTCTTTCTCTCAATTTTTCTTCAACTCCAAATTTAAAATAAAGGAATGTACGGGCAACAATTTTCACCTAAATGAAAGGACCACACACTCTGCCTGCTGGTGAGAATGTCCTCCATTCCAAGTGGATTCACAAATTGTTTCTTTTAAGAAGTGACTGACTTCTAGAGTACCCTTTGCTTCCAGGATAGTATTTTTTTCTAATTTTTAAAAACATACCTCTGGACACCAAAAAAGGGCTGCTTAGACTAATAATCCACCCACTTACAGTCTATTTTAATCTGAAATTATGGCTTCTCCTTTAGTCATCCATTAAGCAATTAATGTCTACCAGTTTAAAAGCATTTCTGCTATTTGCTTTTGTGTTTTTCTTGGAAATCAATTCTGTATTTGTATTGCCACAAGGGAAACTATTTAGACTGAAATCCCCATTTGTTTCTATTTAATATTTCTGCCTGTAGCCCCTCTTGCTCCTAGTGTATTAATTCTTTTATCTTAAAAAGGCTATTTTGATGTCTTTTTCATCAAATAAAAGTACTCAGCTGGTCTCAGACATTTTCTGTGATCCAAGAGGAAATTTTTAACTGTAAGAGAGAATAATTGAGAATCATATTGGAAATTTCACAGAGTTCTGCTCTTCTGCCACTGTTCTCACTAGTTTTATCAATAGGCAATACTGAAACCTTGCCATGTGAAGATCACATGCTAAAAGCTTTAAGCGAATCGTCTCATTTACTCCTCCTCACATGCTTTTAATAGAGGTGAGAATATTGGCCCCATTTTACAGATTAGGACAGTGAGGTACAGAAATGTTGACTCACCTGCTCGAAGTTGCACAAGTAATACATGGCACAGCAGGGACTTGAACCCAGGTTGGTTGACTCTAGAGCCGACCTTATTAACCACCACTCAGTACTGCATGTTTATTATCATTATGTGAAAGTTTTAGTTTTGCAAACTCTATGTTTATACCAGGCTGCATTATGTTTCCTAAAGACATCAGGTCCTTGTCTTTGGAACCTGTACATATTACCTTATTTGGAAACAGAGTCTTTGCAGGTGTGATTAAGCTAAGGATTTTGAGATGAGGAAATCATCCCAGATTATTCATATGGGACCTAAATGCAGTCACATGTATCATTTTAAGAGGAAGGCAGAGGGAGACTGAGTAAAGGCAAAGAAGAGATGTGAAGATAGAAACAGAGATTGCAGTGATGTTGCCACAAGCCAAGGAATGTCAGGAGCCATAGGAAACTAATTAGTATTCCAGAGACCATCTGCTACTTCACTGACAATTAGGGTCTACTAAAAATAGAAGAAAAAAATTGTTTCACTGGTGATACCAGCTTTTAAATAGTCTGACATGTTTTTTTTAAGTTGACTCCATATTTCTATAATTCTATTCATTATTTTAAAACAAAACAAAGGCATGCACATTGAATAGTGAAAATGCATGGCCCTAGAAAGCAGATTAGGGGAAGAAAATTAAAATGTGTCTTTCTCATTAATTCTTAATTCCTGAAACGTACTCAATCAGCATATGCCTGTAACTCACCCTATTTTATGTACATAGAGTTACCATCTTTCCTTTCTTGGCTGTGATCTGGTACTTCAGGGTGGTCAGTGTGGTATAATGCTTAAGCAGCTCAGCTTGGCAGTTCCCTGGGAGCTCCTAGCAGCTGTGATTATGAATAATTTATTACAGGGTGTCATACTGGCAGCCTTTTTCATAACTTCCTGCCGAAAGAATAAAATTTCCAAAAGTTTTAACTTCCTGCTTTTCTGAATTATTGATCCCCCCTTCCATGTAGTAGGACTTAAGAGAAGAAAGGCAACTGAATATCTTGATGTCACTGACTGTCTCCTCTTCCTCTTTTTTGCTACAACTTCTGCACCTCATGATCAATTTTTTAACTTCCTTATGTGAAAACAATTCTATATGCATTTATATTATTCCAAATTCAAATTGCTTTCTGAAATAACTTACATTTATAAAAATCTCAGGTGATATCATAAACTATTTTCTAAAAGAGCCTAAAAAATCTTTAAAACATTTAAATAGAAAATTTCTTATGGGTTTTAAAACAGAGTAGTTATTTTGTTACTACTTGCATATTTTTTCATTATCTTCTTGTTCTTAATCTTATCCTACTTATTGTCTTCTTGTTCTTAATCTTAACCTGTTTACTGTCAAATTTCCACTGTATATTTTCTTTTTGCCTAGGAAAGAACAAAGTAGCTTTTTAATATTCTTGCTCTTTCTAATCCATTCATAAGTATAAATAAACTGAGGTAATCAATTATTATGTGTTGAATTGTGTCTTCCAAAAAAGATACATTATGGTCCTAATCCACCTTACCTCAGAATTTAACTTTATATGGAAATAGAATATTTACAGATGTAACTGAGTTACAATGAGGTCATTAGGGTGAGCCCTAATACACAATGACTGGTGTCATTATGAAAAGTGGACATTTGCACACGGACACAGACACACACAGAGAGAGATGAGATGAAGACACACAGGCAGAAGACAGCCATGTGACTTCAGTCACACATCTACAAGCCAAGGAACACCAAGCATCGCCAGCAAGCCGCAGAAGCTAGAAGAGGCGAGGAAGGATTCTCCTCTAGAGTTGTCAGAGAGAGCATGCCCCTGACAACACCTTAATTACAGACTTCTGGCCTCCAAAACTCTAAGACAATACATTCTGTTGTTTTGAGCCACCCAGTTTTTGGCAGAAAACTAATGCATTTATAAATAATGAGAAACAAATAACTAAAAATGAAATTATAATTATTTGGGTTGTTCAGAATGACAGGGTATATCAAATGTCATCACCCAGAGGGATCATCTGGAGGAGAGAAATGAGCGTCATGCTAATAAGAGCTCAGAAGAGTAATTGAGGAAATTCATTACTTCAACCCGGAATGGCTGCCTGTTTCCCAAGATGTCTCGCAAGTTAATTACTCCACTTAAAAAGAGTCCACTGATCTCAGAGTGCTGCTTTTTTAAGGAGTCTCAGAAATCATCTAGTAATTTTTACATTTATCCTTTGAGACTCAGCTGAGATTCACCACCACGATGAAGCCCTTCCTGCCCCTTATCCTTGGGAGAAGTGACTTGTTTGCCTTTTCTGACCCCACAGTTCACTGTACAAACTTCTGTTTATTTCAGCCCCTCTCACAGTATATTTATAATAATTTCTTTCTGCTTCTTTCCCTTCCATGAGTATGATGGTTTCTAAAAGATACACATTGGCACATAAGAGGTATTCAATACATACTTTTGGAAGTTTCAGTTTGCATTGCTGCTGTAACAAATTACCACAAATTTTGTGGCTTAAGACAACACAGATTTATTATCATACAGTTCTAGAGGTCACAAGTCTAAAATCAGTCCCGCTGGGCTAAAGGTAAGGTGTTGGCAGGGCTGACTCCTTCTGGAGCCTCTGAGGGGAGAACTTGTTTCCTCGCCTTATTCAGCTTCTTGGGACCCCATGCATTCCTTGGCTGTTTCCCTTTCCTCCATCATCAAAGCTAGCAGCGTACCATCTTTCAATCGCTTACTTTCTCTTTCACTCTTATCTCTGTCATCACATTTTTTTCCCCCTGACTCTAATCCTCTTGTCTTCTTCTGTTTATCACCTCCACATCTTATTGGTCAGTGGCCACAATAGTCACTATGCTAGAAGCCTTGAGATGTTACTTTTTCACTCTTTTACTCTTACTTTCCTATTCTTCACTTACCCTTATATTAATCCATCTCATATTTTGCTGATTTCACTTCCTAGCAGTTCCTCAAATCTCTCTCCTTCTCTTTATTCCTCCTGCTACATCCTAGATCAGTTTCTCCTCACTTCAAACCTGGACAATGAAATGTTTCCAGTCTGCCTGACACTGGTCACCTCCCCTTAAAGCCATTCTCCTATCTGCAATGCAGGACTGTATTTAATAGCTATGTCTGACCTGTTTAAAACCTTTAATGACTCCCATACAACTATAGGGTAACACTCAGGCTCTTTGGTTTGGCACTCTAGGCCTTCCATGATCTGGACCCTCCCTGTCTCTCCAAGGTCATCTCCCTTTAGCCATTGCCTCATGCTTTATGCTTCGATAAGCCAAACTACTGGTACCTTCCAAAGTAATACACATTGGTTTCTCCAATGTACTTATACTTGTCATGTGAAACTTTGACTGTATATTTGGGGTACATAAGCTATTCTTCAGTACCCTGCAAATTCCCTGGCACAGAGGAGAAATGCAAAATGTATTTAATGAATAAACTAATGAATAGGCACTTTAGTAGCAGAACTGGGAACTATTGACCCTCAGATTTGTTAGTGCTCTTTCTACTACACTGTACATTTCTAATTATTGTATGTATATCTACCATGTTATTATGGAAGACTGTTCTAAGGATATAATGTTTCAGCCCTTGAGTTGCCAACAGTGTAATGGAGGACACAAACAATAAATAGTTTGTAAATGAGTAATTTTACTACAAACACATTTTTAATTTTGTGATTAAAATTGCTAACAGAGTTAAAATAAAAAGTGCTAGGAACTCCTGAAATTACCAAAACAAGGAGATGTTGATCTCTCCGGGTAAAACTTATGCTCCTTTCTGCCTTTCACCTGTTCCTTCCACCCCAAGGAATAGCGATATTGACATGCATGTGCAAAGTTTATTTATTGGACTTTGTACCCAGGAAAGGAAGTGCTTGATGTGATGAGGAAAGGGAGAGAAATCTTGGTATGCCCATGGAAGATTCTTGCTCTGTAACGGTTTTGGGTATTTTTCTATTCTTTCCCTTTTTCCTTTTCCTTTTAAATTATGTTTTATTTATTATTTTTATTCATTGTTTTTTGAGACAGGGTCTCACTCTGTCACCCAGGCTGGAGGGCAGTGGCATGATCACAGCTCACTGCAGCCATGCCTCCCCGGGCTCCAGTGATCCTCGCGCCTCTGCCGCCAGAGTTACTGGGACCACAGATGCACCCCACCATGCCCACCTAATTTTTGTATTTTGGGTCGAGACAAGGTTTCATCACATTTCCCAGGCTGGGCTCGAACTCCTGAGCTCAAGCAATTCACCTGCCCCAACCTCGCAAAATGCTGGGATTATAGGCAGGAGCCACCACTGCTATGATACACTGGGTTTGGGAGCCTACACCTTAGGATGACCTGGAGTAGTGAACTTAAATAAGGTCTGTTCTAAGGCTAATGGTGAAATAAAGCATTGGGAGACATTACTGTGATAAACCTTAACAACATGAAGATGGTAGAGCTGAGAAAAATTCTGAGCTATCGGCAAGGAGAGAGGTCAGGAAGGAGGTGCAGAGGTGCATGTTCTCTTACCTTATATCTAGGGAGTCAGAAATGATGCAAAGGTGGTGAATCCATAAAAAAGATACGAATGCATTTCTGAAACCCTAACATGACAAAATAAAAACATTAACCAATATATAGCTAGTAAACGTTAGCAGAAAAGCAGGGAAGCAGAGGTAATATAAATGAGCTAAATTTCTCAAGTTTTAGGGCAAAAAGTCAATATATATTACTTAGAGTTGATAAAAATATAAATATAAGCATGTCATTTAGTATTATGAAGGAAATCATCAAAAGAAAATAGTTAAGCTATATGAGGAGATAGGTGTGGAAGACAGGAAGAAGACATATTTTGATTTTATCATCTATCTGTGCTGTTTGAATGTTCTGATTTTCAGTGTTTCTCTTACAATAGTGATATGTGAAATATCACCTCTGTAAGTATTATGTCAGAGTATTTTGGTGGCAATCACAGAATTCTTGGGTCGGAGTAACTTCTGCAATTTATCTCATATAAGAAATCTAGAGTATGCTGAGTGTGTCAGGGTTATGGTTCTATTTCTCTCTGATTAGTTTGACCTGCCCTCTTCTCTGTGTGGGCACTGTGTTCAGACACCTGGTAGCTTCAGACATCTCATCAGTAAGGGATGCTATTGGTGCCTTGCCCAGATTCCCTTTACTGGGCCAGCACACTTGTCCCCAAGCAGTTGTGAGAATTGCATTTGGCAAAACAGGACCCACCTTGCCTGAGAGGCAATGTCCTTTCTTATCAGGGTTGGGGAAAAAGGGAGCCAACCAATGACTAGTGATTGACCAACACGGGGTTACAAAAGATCAATCCTTTGCCTCATCATGGGACCAACTCCATGTGAAGTGTTTGTCCCAGAGCTTCCTGTAGGACCAGGCTGAAGCCGTTCTCCACCTGAGAACATACTCTTGCTTAGCCTTCTTCCTGCACTCTATTCTGCTTCCCTCACTCTTCGTCTCCAGGGAATACACCCTCAGCAAATATCTTGCACAAGAATCCACATCTCAGGCTTTTCTTTAGGAAATCCAGCCTGAGATACTCTCTCTAGGTCTCATTCATCCCAGAATCCTCTCTTGTCCATCACCAACTGACTTTCCCTCTTGCCTCATTTGCTAGAAATTCGTGTGTGTGTGTGTGTGTGTGTGTGTGTGTGTGTGTGTGTGTGTGTGTGTGTATGAATGGTCTAGGCATAGATATAGATAGATATAATTGGTCTAGGCATGAATATTGATACAGAGATATACATGGATATGAATATAGGTATATCTCTATATCTAGAATATAGATAGGTCTCCATATCTATATTCATATCCAAACCAATTCTAATCTAAGATAAATGGATGTGACTATGGATATAAATGTAGAGATATATCTATATTCATACACATATATAGAATCCATATATATCTCTATATCTATATTTGTATCAATATATATGATTCATATCCATATATATGATTCATATCCATATAGATTTATATCCATATATAGAGATTATATTCATGTATATTAATATAGATCTAGGTATATACCTATATCCATGCCTAGACCAATTACTAGTTAGAGAAGTGGCATTACTGTTATTCCTTTAGACATCTGGAATGGAGTGGATGTGGAAGAATCAATCACCAAAACCACTGCAAATATTAATGGGTGTGATCTGCTCTGTTGGAGATTTTTATTCTTCCCATGGTTTTCTTGCCATGCGGCAATGGTAAATCAACTTATGTGTTGGTTCCACCAACCTGAATCTGAAAGTGCAGGGAACTGGAATGAGTGCACATTAAATTACTTGAGTAACTATATAAGCTCTTGATAACCTAAGAGAAATAATATATTTCCAGCCCGTCTAATTCTCGACAAAAGAATAATGCTGTATTTCATTATTTTCACTGCACAATGACACATAAAGCTTCAAAGTCGACAAAGAAAGCTTCAATTCTTTGCTGAGTGCAAATCTGCTAGGAAATACTGCGAGACTTAAAAATCAGCCTTGTCCTGAAACCAGAAGGTCAGGACAAAACACACAAATCAAAGCTGTTCAATTCATTGGAAACAAAAATCTTGTAAAATAAATTTTTCCAGAAAACTATGACATCACCAGGAGCAATAAATATTATCTGCTGCTTCAATGTGTGGAGAAATTAGGAAATGGAAGCAAATGGGGTAATAATATGGGGTAGTTTCTTCTTTAATATTCTTTGATTTACCCCTCCCCATATTCCAAGCTATATCCACCCTTGGGATATAGCTCCATATTTTCTGGTTCTTCTCTCTTTGTAAGAAAATATAATGAAGTGAAAAAGAAAAGTGAGCCGACAATCAAGGAGATAAGATGAAGTATTTATTATATAAAAAATAATAAATGGGATTCTTTTTTGCTTTCAATTTTACAGAACTTAAAATGAAGTTTTTGGGGTTTTGTTTTGTTTTTGACTTCTTTGGGAGAAAATATGAAGATAAATGCAAGAATCTGAAAAGTAGAATAAATTTCTTACAAAGAAGGAGCAATTACATATGCCCTTTGTACTCCTATATAGTGTTTGTTCTTTTATATTTTTCCTTTTAGAAAATAAAAAAAAAAGAAATCTAGAAAATACAGAGCTCATGAAGGCTTAGAAAATAGAAAATAAACTCTCTAAAAAATTTAGAGTTTGAGAAAGTGGCAGCAACCACATAAAAGTACATCTCTCACATAGAATGAAAAGCACCATTTGATGAAAAGCATCTTGTCTTGTGGAAGTTTAGAAATTTACGTTCTCTTCCTTGCTTTATTACTTGCTCACTGTGTAACCGTGGGCAAGTAACTTAACCTTCATAGTTTGAACTTTCTTACTTTGGAACATTAGGAAGTAATAATTATAATGCTGTTAATTCTAACATTGATGATATTTATTAGGCACGTACAATATGAAAAGCACTACATGAAATCTTTATTTATACATATGTCTCATGTTCTTTTTTCAAAAAACCTTGATATAGATATTTGAATTCTCATTTTATAGAATTGGTCTATCTATTAAGAGGCCTTTGGTGTCAAGTCGCACAGGAAACCTAATTCAACAGACTTATCCAATAAGAAGAATTGAATATTTCACATAAGAAAGTCTCAAGCTCTGTTAGTGAAGCAACTCGTTACATTGCCAGGGGTCAACGTAATGGCATCACTTCCTTCCCTTGGCATGCAGGCTTTGATTATTCTAGCTTGACCCTTCCTGATCACAAGATGGCTGCCACAGTTCTAAAAATCACATCCTCCTATAGTGATGAGCACTGGCAGAAAAGCCTATTTCTACCAATGGATCTCTTCAAGAACAAGGAAGATTTCCTCATAATCCTTCCAGGTTGATCTCCTCTATGTCTTATTGGCCAGAAATGGGTAACATGTCCATCTTCAAACCAGTCTCCAGCAGGAGGCATGCAATTACCATCATCTATTTGAACCAAGTCTGTCTGATCTTTGGGTCAAAGAAGAACCTCTGCCACACCTAAACTTTGAACACAGTTTCAAAATAGCTACACAACGTTAAGAGTGTGGCATAGTTGTTGGATGAACATTGTGGTATATGAGCAAACAGAGGGCCGAAAAGATAAGTTCTTTGCCCAAATTCAAAGCTAGTGAATGGCAGAGGTAGGACCTAACCCGAAGTCTCTCTGAGAACGCAGTCTAATCTTTTCTGAAATCTTGCCCTGCATCCTATTTTGTCTTGTTCCCAAGTAAGACATTTCATATAAAGTCCAAGTCATTTGCAAGGTACATTTTGGGAAGCTCTACCAACCAGAGCTACAGATGAACTGAATTATAACAGGCTTCTTAGGCATCTCCTGCCTCAACACTTAACTTTGGGAAAACCAGGAAACATTACTGCCCATAATCCCTTTCTCCTCAGTCTTTGTGGTTGAGTATGTAGCCAACTTCAATCCTGGGCACGATGCCACCACCACTAATGGCAGGGGGCAGAAGATGTTCAAATAACCTTCCACAGCACACTTCCCTTGAATCAAGATACCAGTTAACAACTTCACTAGCATGAGAGGTGGCCATGTGAACAAATGTGAATGATGTGATCATTGAAATTAAGTCCTCCTCTGTTTCAGGTAAGGATATTCATTCTTTGAATATGCTAAAGGAAGGATTTAGTCATGGAAGGATTGAGGAAGGGAGAAGTTTGATGAGTAAGCACTGCAAAACAAAAGCACAAAAGAGAGTATTTAATTAAGTACTATTAATAAGAGTAATTAAGTATTAATTAAGTACCATATATTTATTCTTATTTTGTTGTATTTGTTTTTGTTGTATTTGCTTAGCCATAAATTATTTGCCTAGGCCACTGTCCAGAAAAGTTTCTCCTAGGTTTTCTTCTAGAATTTTCATGGTTTCAGGTCTTACATTTAAGTCTTCCTTCCATCTTGTGTTATTTTTTTTTGGGATATGTTGAGAGATAGGGATCCAGTTTCACTCTTCTGCATGTGGCTATCCAATTTTCCAAGCACCATTTATTGAATAGGGTATCCTTTCCTCAGTGCACATCTTTGTCTTCTTTCTCAAAGATCTGTTTGTTGTAGGTATTTGGCTTTATTCCTGGGTTCTCTATTCTGTTTCACTGGTTTATGCATTTACTTTTATACCAGTATCATATTATTTTGATTACTGTAGTCTTGTAGTATAATTTGTAGCCAGGTACACACTGAATAAATTACAATCATTACTCTTAAGGTTAAAAAAGAGAGTATTTACAAGGAATAGTTAGAAAAGTTGATAAGATAAAATATAATTGAATTCTAAAAGCACAAGTGGGCCTGTGAATAATCTAAGATGGGGCAAATATTCTCATTCTGAAGAATGTAAGTTATCAATTACTTTGCCCATTTATAGCATTTAATATGACATCACTACTTCAAAGAAGCCTCAGTTGGAGACACGGAGACACCATAAAATTCAAGGTTTAATGATTATTATTTATATTATAAATATCAGGGGATCAAAACATATTTAGATAATTGGACTGTTTTATCATTCTATTATGTTACTTCTTACATTTCTTTTCATTGTTGTTTTAGTGGTAGTCATATTTAATGAGTTAGCATCTGAACCTGACTAAGGTAAGTTTAAATGAAAAGTGTTTTTACATGTTGAATATACCTGTCACCTATATTTTAGGTTCACTCTTTGCCTCTCTAGTTCTGTCTCATAGATATGAAGATGGTGTCTTAATCGAGCTAATCCTTCTTCTCTTTTCTTCGAAAGTGCTACAATTTCTCAGTAGTAACTATGGCACACCACTATGAGTTATGCTTCTGGGAGTCTATTTGCCTTCTACCAAGCTCAGTTCTCAACAGGGCAATACCTCTGCCTTTAACCCCCCTCCTGCAGGATACAGTCCAATTATTCTCAGAGCCACTCCTGGGGAAAGCAGAAGCAAAAATTTCATGGGAAATAGGGACATCTCTCATGAGAAAATCACCACTTTACAAGCCAGCAGAAATCATATGAGCACTCATTAGTTGCCCCCATGCAGTATAAACCCAGAATTCCTAAGCCCTACTTAAGAATGTGCCTAAACATAGGAATGATACAATGGACTTTGAGGGCCCAGGAGAAAAGGTGGGTGTCAAGTGAGGGATAAAAGATTGCAAATTGGGTTCAGTATATACTGCTTAGGTGATGGGTACAACAAAGTCTCACAAATCACCACTAAAGAACTTACTCATGTAACTACCACCTGTTCACAAAAAACCTGTGGGAATAAAAAATTTTTTAAAAATCCTGTTTCCCTAAAAAAACAAACAATCATAGATTACATTCATTAAAAAGACTGCACTGTTCTTTCATTTTTGTTTTTTTCCCATTATATCTATGATTACATACACCTATTCTTCTGCCATCAATTCATATATGAACACCTTTTGGTAGTTTTAATTGGTTACCTCCCATAAATAGAGACTTATGTTAGAATAAAATGAAACCAATAGATTAAGGTTAAAAAAATAAAATTAAAATGTGCCTAAACATGGTTTAGGTGAGGACCAAAAGGAAAAATAATTTTAGATTATAAGCCTCTAGTATGTCCTATAGTTAGATAGTGCAGTAGATAGATGAAGCCAACTTGCCAGGGTAGGAAGGATAGATTTGGACTCCAGCAAAAAATGGCACAAAATGTTTGAAGTGTTTACTACTGATTCTTGATTCAGTCATGATATAAGTCAAGAATTCCCAGCTGTAACCTGAAACTAGCCTGCCACTTTAGCAACAAACTTTAATTTCAAATTAGAAATCCCTTTATCCATGTGTTAGAGATCAGCACAAGTTAATAGTTGAAAACAGTTGGCCTGCTTTCACGAAAAATAAGTTTTTGTTATAATTTTTGGGAAAACATTTTGCTTTGAAGGAAGCTGTGGCATGATGTCATTTTCAGAAGGGACTTCTATAAAAGTAGCCAACAATGATTTTGTTCTCCCATTCATCAGTTATTGCTTGCTTCTTAGATAACCCTCTTTAGTCAGTTGTACCTGGCCTTTTCATGGGTTCAGGTACCCAAAGCTGTTGCCTTCACTCTACAAATCCTATCCTGCCAGTACCAACAATGCTCTCTCAAATCATTTTTGCTGTCTTTCAACTCAATATGGTTAGTAAGATTTGAAAAACAAAATGAAATTAGGTAAATGACATTTTAGCAATCAGAGATTATTAATATATTTATGATCACACAAAGTTATTGCTAATATTTTTGCTGAATAGTCAATACTATGAAACATACAGTGCAACAGGAAGGAAACAATGGTCTCTGCATACAGAGATTGTGGCATTCGTTGGTGTTTTATCTATTGCTAAAAAAGAAATTACCTCAAAATTTAGCATTTTAAAACAACCATCTTATTTTGCTTATAATTTTGTGGTCAGGAATTTTAAAAAAGCTCAGCTAGGGATTCTCACTTGTTGTCTCTCAAAAAGTTGCAGTTGGATATTGGCTGGGACCCCAGTTATCTGCTCAACTTCCAAAATGGCTCGCTCAGCTGAGGCTGTCAACTAGAGTAATTGAACATAATGTCTTCCATATGACCTGGGTTTCTCACAGCATGGCTGCTTGGTCCTGAGAGCAGTATCCCAACGGGAAGCATTTAGACATCATGGATTTTAGTGGGCAAGGCAGGAACTACACAGTTTCTTCAGACCTAGCCCTAGGAGTTACACAATCTCATTTTCCCTGCGTTCTATCACCTGAAAGGCCACTCCAGTTGCAAAAAAAGAGGGGCATTTGGCTCTCTAATGTTAAAGAAATAAAAAGACGAATGTCAAATGATTTGTGGCTGTCTTATTCTGCCAAAACTACAGAAAATCCAGCTTTTTAGAGTGCCAACAAGAATTTCTCTCAGAAAAAAATATAAAAATCAGTGGAAGATTTTATTTTAAAGACTTCTACTTATCTACTCATAGATTAAAAAAATTAGTGAAGTGATTCTTTCTGCTGGGCTCATAGGAAAAGAAAATAGTATCTTTTTTTCCACATTATTCTGTTTACAGCTGTGCACATAGTGAAATTCTTGCAAGTATCAGAAAGATTTCTTTATTAACATTAATTTCCAGAAGAAAATTTTCCATCTGCTTTTTTAAACTAGGGTTATTTTCCACCGGATGTGTTTAGTATAAGTAGTCAGGAGGTATCATGTTATTTTTCTGAATTGTTCTAGTTCATATATTCATATTTTTTAAAGTATGGTTTTGAAAGAACCCATTTTTATCCAAAAGAAGTTCTGGTAGTATAAAATGTCATCCATATACTATGATGTAGTCAGTGCTTATATAAAGGAATCTGTGTTTTTGTTTAATATGATCTGGTAGATAAAAAGAAGAAATCTTATTACTTGAACAGCATCTACTTCTGACAGGTAATATGTGAGCAATTACCTGTTTGTGACTTTTTTTCCCACCTTTGAATTTTTCAGGAAAACTTCAACTTTGTCTTAATTTGTTTAGTTTGAAATCATGCAGCTGCATTTGCCTCCTTGTCAAAGAAAACAAAATTTCTTTCAGGTTGGGCAGAAAAGCATTATACCAGTTGTTTTGACCCCCAAGGACAGATTTAAATAGGGTTCATCAAATCAAAAACAACAAAGTAAAAGAAAATTGAAAGTGCCTATTGTCATCACTCCTGGCTCAGTGCTTCTCAAGCCTTAATGTACATGTGGAATCCTATGGAAAATGTAAACTGTTGATTCCTATTCAGCAGGTCTTGGGTAGGGTTGAATATTTACATTTTCAAAAGTTCCCAGGAAATGATGCTGCTGGTTAAAAGACTACATTTGGTGTAGTGAAGGGGTCCATTAACTTAGAAATAATTGAATTTGACTCTGAGGGGCACACTGGCAAAGAGAACCAGCAAAGAGTTGCTATATGTTTAAATGGACTTCCAAGAGCAACAAATTTAATGTATTTAAAACTCTCTTAAACTTTTTTTTAAATGTCATTAATGTTTACCAGTGGTAAAATATATAAAATTATGCAAAAATGAAAAAAACTGTCAGGTTTTATTTTATGATGACTTTTAATAAAGCAAATTATTATAGTCATGTAACAAATGACTATAGCTGAGGTTAGAAATCCATTTTCCTCAGAATAAAAACAAAGCTGATTACAATAAATTACTTTGGCTGATATTTTTTAAAATATTTAAAATGCTAATGCAAGGTGGTAAAATAGGAGGTCCTAGACTTCACTCCTACCCCAGAAGAAATTTCAACCAGCCACTATTCACACACGAAAACACCTTGATGAACACCTTAACATGTGGGAATAAGTCTGAGTCACCTGTGTGTTCCACGAAAGTGGAAAAAGGTGGGAGAAACGGTCTGGCTTTGGTTGTATTTCCCCTCCTCCTCTAAGTCAGCACCATGCCACACAGAGAAGATCCCTCAGGGCCCACAGTTTCTATACTGAGAAAAGAGAACCAGGTTGATGGACATCCAGGTTCCCTAGCTTTCTGAGACAGTTTCTAAGAAGCCCAATCCTCATTCTCACCTCATAAGGAATGGGGAACATGGGAGAAAACTACACAGCTAAGCCACTGGGGTCAGAAGAAAATAAAGCAAGAAGGTGGAGTCCACAGAGAATAGCATGCAGAATTTGGTAAAAGCTCAATATACCTGGAAGCAGCAGAGTTCCATCAGAGATATCAGCTAACAGCATAGCTCACCCACAAAGCCAAGGTGGTCACTCCCAGAAGAGGTAGAGAATGTTACCAGGCTTGAATCCCTAGACAGCTACCCTCCAGACCTAGTCTTGGACCTTACCCCAAGATCCTACTCAGGGTGAGAGAAAATCTGTAGCAAGTTCCCATAACAAGCAGATGCTAGATCTGCCACACCTGGAAGTTTAATCAGGGCTCCCCTCAGCTTCAAAGCCTATTTCCAGAAACTTCCTAGGGTGGAAGGCAAATCTCAACCATGCATTTTTTCTGACAATGGCAGTTATTCCATCCATCCTGATCTACTTAACTTGGGGCCCCTTCTGCAACTCTATGCAACTACTGAAGTCAAATAGCATTACCTTTTCTCCATAACTACAGCCTGTGGCCCAGCCAGATCAGAGGCAATAGCAGTGCTTATACAGCAGCTCAGCTTGATAGCAGATCTCAGCCAGGGGTCTTGCTGGACAGCAAAACCTAGCCAGCTACCCCACCCAAATTTAGAAAAAAGAGAGTAGTAGCCCAACCATGCAAGGAACCTGAAAGCAAGCTCTGCTTGCCCAGGGTCATCACCAGCTGGCTCATTCAGAATCATAGGCAAGACTAACGAGGAAATGCTTATCCCTACCAGAGAACTCCTATAAAAGCAGGAAAATGTGGCTGTCTCTTCAAATGCATAAATGCCAATGCAAGGACTTAAGAATTACAAAGATTGAGGAAATCATGACACCTTCAAAAGAAACTAACAAAACCCAAACCATAAACTCTACAAAAGTAGATGTACGAAATGACAGAAAAATAATTCAGAATAATCCTCTTTAAAAAATTCAGTGAACTTCAGAAATATACATATACGAATAAAAAATTAAATGTGATTTGAAGAACAATACCCAAACCACATGAGAAGTTTGACAAAGAAGTAGAAATAATAAGAAAACATCAAATAAAAATCCTAGAGGTGAAGAATGTAATGACTGAACTAAATATTGCAAAAGAAAGCTTTAACAGCTAGCATGATCAAGCTGAAGAAAAAAAAATCAGTGAACTTGAAGACAAAACATTTGAAATTACCTAATCAGAGGAACGACAACAACAAGAAGGGGTGAAAAAGAATGCAGAATGCCTACAAATTTATGGGACATCATAAAGAGACCTAACTCATGCATAGTAGGCATTAAAAAAGGAAAAACAAAAATGAACAGAAAAGTTATTTAAAGGCATAATGGATAAAAATTCCTCTAATTTGAGGAAAGAAGCCAACATTTAGGTACAGAAAGTACAGAGAAAACCAATTAAATTCAACTCAAAGAGAAATTCTCCAGAACATATAATTATCAAACTATCAAATTCAAAGACAAAAAAAATTCTTAGAGAAGCAAAAGATAAGAGATACATCATATACAAAGGAGTCTCAATATGACTATCAGCAGACTTCTCAGAAGAAACTCTACAGGCCAGGAGAGAGTGAGATGATATATTCAAAATGCTGAAGGGAAAACCTGCCAATCAAGAATGCCTTACTAAACAAAGCTATCTTTCAGAAACGAAAAAGTAGTGAAAAGTTTCTGAGACAAACTAATGCTTACTAGGCAAAAAATATTTTATCATCTCTAGGCTTGCCACATAGAAATTTCTAAAGAAGTTTTTTACAACTTAAAGAAAAAGCTACTAATAAATAACATAAAACTTATGAAAACACAAAACCTAATAATACAAGTAATGTATTAATCCATTTTCACACTACTGATAAAGAAATACCTGAGACTGGGCAATTTACAAAGGAAAGAGGCTTAATGAGCTTATAGTTCCACATGGCTGGGGAGGCCTCACAATCATGGTGGAAGGCAAGGAGGAGCAAGTCACATTATGGATGGCAGCAGGCAAAGAGAGAGCTTGTGCAGGGAAACTCCGATTTTTAAAACCATCAGATCTCATGAGATTCATTCACTAAAAAGACAACAGTGCAGGAAATACCCTCCCCCATAATTTAATCACCTCCCACTGGGTTCCTCCCATGACATGTGGGAATTGTGGGAGTTACAATTCAAAATAAGGTTTGGGTGGGGACACAGCCAAACCATATCATTCCACCCTGGCCCCTCCTAATCTCATGTACTCACATTTCAAAACCAATCATGCCTCCCAACAGTCCCCCAAAGTCTTAACCCATTAACTCAAAAGTACACAATCCAATGTCTCATCTAAGAGAAGGCAAATCCTTTCTGCCTATAAGCCTGTAAAATCAATAGCAAGTTAGTTACTTCCTAGATACAATGGGTGTACAGGCATTGGGTAAATACAGCCATTGCAAATAGGAGAAATTGACCAAAACGAAGGGGCGACAGGCCCCATGCAAGTCCGAAATCCAGCAGGGCAGTCAAATCTTAAAGCACCAATATTATCTCCTTTGACTCTATGTCTGACATTTGAATCACACTGATGCAAGAGGTGGGTTCCCATGGTCTTGAGCAGTTTCACCCCTGTGGGTTAGAAGGGTACTGCCTCCCTCCTGGCTACTTTCACAGAAGGCGTTGAGTGTCTGTGGCTTTCCCAACTACATGGTGCAAGCTGTCGGTGGATCTGTTATTCTGGGGTCTGGAGGATGGCAGCCCTCTTCTCAAAGCTCCACTAGGCAGTGCCCCAGTAGGGACTCTGTGTGGGGGCTCTGACCCCACATTTTCCTTCTGCACTTCCCTAGCAGAGGTTCTCTTGAGTGCCCTGCACCTGCAGCAAACTTCTGCCTGGACATCCAGGCATTTCCATACATCCTCTTAAATTTAGATGGAGGTTCCCAAGCCTCAATTCTTGGCTTTTGTGCACCTGCAGGCTTAATATCACATGGAAGCTGCCAAGGCTTGGGACTTGGACCCTCTGAAGTTATGTCCCAAGCTGTACCTTGGCCCATTTTAGTCACAGCTGGAGTGACTGGGACACAGGGCACCAAATCTCTAGACTGCACATAGCACAGAAACCCTCGGCCCAGCCAAGGAAAACAGTTTTTCTTCCCCTCAATGAGAGGGGCTGCTGCAAAGGTCTCTGACATGCTGTGTAGACATTTTCCCCATTGTCTTGGTGATTAACATTCAGCTCCTCATTATTTATACAAATTTCTGCAGCCAGCTTGAATTTCTCCTCAGAAAATGGGATTTTTCTAGCATTGCCAAGTTGCAAATTTTTCAAACTTTTATGCTCTGTTTCCGTTTTAAAACTGAATGCCTTTAACAGCACCCAAGTTATCTCTTGAATGCTTTGCTGCTTAGAAATTTCTTCTGCCAGATACCCAAAATTATTTCTCTCAAGTTCAAAGTTCCACAAATCTTTAGAGCACGAGCAAAATGCTACCAGTCTCTTTACCAAAACATAACAAGAGTCACCTTTCCTCCAGTTCCCAACAAGTTTCTCATCTCCATCTGAGACCACCTCAGCCTGGATTTTATTGTCCATGTCACTATCTGCATTTTGAGCAAAGCCATTTAACTTGTCTCTAGGAAATTCTGAACTTTCCCACATTTTCCTATCTTCTTGTGAGTCCTCCAAACTGCTCTGACCTCTGCCTGTTACCCAGTTCCAAAGTCACTTCCACATTTTTGGGTATCTTTTCAGCAGCGCCCCACTCTTCCGGTACCAATTTACTGTATTAGTTCATTTTCACGTTGCTGAGAAAGACATATCCAAGACTGAGCAATTTACAAAAGAAACAGGTTTAATGAACTTACAATTTCACATGGCTTGAGAGGCCTCACAGTCATGGTGGAAGGCAAGGAAGAGCAAGTCACATCTTACATGGATCGTGACAGGCAAAGAGACAGCTTGTGCAGGGAAACTCCCATTTTTAAAACCATCAGATCTCGTGAGATTCATTCACTATCATGAGAACAGTGCAGGAAAGACCTGCCCCCCTAATTCAATCACCTCCCATCAGGTTCTTCCCACAACATGTGGGAAATGTGAGAATTACAATTCAAAATGAGATGTGGGTGGGAACATAGCCAAACCATATCAAGTAATACAGAACAATATTCAGAATACTTTAGTACTGTAATGGTTGTGTGTAAAGTAATTTCATCCCTTGTATGACAGTTAAAGGACAAAATTATTAGTAACAACTATAGCTAAAATACATTGTTAAAGGATACACATTGCCAAATGATTTAAATTCAGACACCAAAAACATAAAATGGAAGGGAGGATATTATAAACTTGCAACAGACTGTTATAAGAATAAGATGTTCTATTTAGACATCATGGTAACCACAAAGCAAAAATCTATAAGAGATGCTCAAAACAAGAATAAAAATTATTTAAAACTACCAGGAAGAAAACCATCAAACCATAAAGGAAGACAGATAAAGAGGAAGACATAAACAAAGTGTCTTTAAAACAACCATAAAACAATTAACAAAATGACAGTAGTCAGTTCTTACATATCAATAATTACCTTGAATGTAAATGAATTAAATTCTTCAATCAAAAGACACAGAGTGAATGAATGGGTAAAAATAAAACCCAATAATATACTCTCTCCTCCACCTCCCAAAGTGTTGGGTATTATAGGCAGAAGCCCTAGGACCTGGACAGCCCTTCCTTTAAAACACGAGTTTTACAAAGACAAGACCATATTATTGAACATGTTTTGATTTATCATTTGGCATATTTCTCCAGATCTCATAATGTTGCCTCTAGGAACTACACAAGTATTATGGATGCCACTGACCACTGCAGCAACCTCAGCCAGTGTCCACAAAGATGGCACTGTAGCCAATACCATCATACAAGAAAAATGTGCAAACATTTGAAAGGGGAAAAAAGTTAGCTTGTAGGTGATATAATTATGTGCTTAGAAAATTAAAAACAATTTTTCCAATACTATTATAAACATTTTTAAATTCTCCTTTTGCATATGCTCTCCATTTAACTTTTACTCAAATATGTTTTACAAAAAAATTATATAATTGAAATTGCTAGTTCAATGGTGTGCATGTTTCTAATGTCCTTGCATGCATTAATGTCATGTCTAATGTCATTTCAGAAGGGACAATGACAAATTGTCCCTTCTGAAATGTACAAAAGTTTACTTCCTCCAACTCAACTACAAGCTTAATCTCTGACTTTTTGCCATTTGGTAAATGAGATTTCTCAGTACTGGCTATGTTGCAGTGAAAAGGCCACTCTCATACAGAGTTAATGGGAGAGTAAATCAGAACAACATTCCTGGAAAACAATTTCTAGCTAAACATTAAAAGCCTTGAGAATGTCCATACCCTTTGACCTATTTCTGGGAATTTATCCTAATGCAACAATTCAACATGTGAAGAAATAATTGTACAAAATAATGTGTGTCCCATTATGTTTTTTACATAGCAAACTCTTGTAAGCATACAAATTATCTAAAAGATAAATTGTTATGAAAATTGTAACACATAGGCAAAAATTAAAATAATAATAATTTTTATAAATAGTATAAAATATGCATTAAAAATGATGAATGGAAAAGAAAATATCAAGATTATCAAAGAGTAGCTGCTTGATGGAGAACAAATTGACTTTGCACAAGTCATCATTTAAATAGAATACAATCCTGGAATTGTGCAGTGAGACACTGTCAATATTATTGATGCTTCATTCTTCTTGACTACAGGGGATATGTCTCCTTCTGGCCAATGTGAGGGAATGCCCCAAGGAGATGTTCATGAGGAAGACACAAGATGACTAATAGCCAAACAAGACGATGTTTAACTTGAGGATGAATACTCCAAATTAAAGAGCTGAGCATTAGTACTAGAGGTGTTCTGCTGAAAGACAGCTACACTGTGAGGTGAATTTACCACTTACTAATAATAAAATAATTAGTACTGTAAAATAGTGTAACTAGTTTAATCTTTCAGACCACATGCTTAGGGAGTAAAACCTTAATCTCTATGTAAAATCATATTTCACATGATTATAGAAAACCTAGTCCAATCAATTAACAGTAAATTGAATTTATCTCAGTTGCTTTGGGTATAAACTCAGCAAAATCAGGGCTTCCTTTAATCTCTCTGCCCCTCTTCTCCCTGTAAGATTCCTAAACTTTAGCTCATATATTGTCACTGGGAGAGAGGTTGCTAGTCTATGGTCCTTGGCATAGCCCCTGCTGTCTTCCTCCATTGAGTCTCAGTGCATATGCAGGAATATCTCTGCAAGCACAGGCCTGTAAAGATCTGTATCTTCCTCAACCTGAGACGGAGAGCATTCCAGGGCTATGGTCCACTCTCAGCAACTTCCTCTCAATTCACAGGAGCTGGAGAGGACTTTTGCTTATTTTTCTGTACTTTTCTAGACTATTTATATTGTGGGGAATCTTTGAACTTGGGGGAGATGATTTAGGACATCTGGCAGAAGAAATTTCTAAGCAGCAAAGCATTCAAGATGTGACTTGAATGCTGTTAAAGGCATTCAGTTTCACAAGGGAAGCAGAGCATAAAAGTTTGAAAAATTTGCAGCCTGACAATGAGATAGAAAAGAAAATTCCATTTTCTGTGAAGAAATTCAAGCTGGCTGCAGAAATTTGCATAAGTAACGAGGACCTGAGTGTTAATCACCAAGACAATTGGGAAAATGTCTCTAGGGCATATCAGAGGTCTTCATGGCAGCCCCTTCCATTACAAGCCCTGAGGCATAGGCAGTAAAAATGGTTTTGTGGGCCAGGTCCAGGGTCCCTTTCCTGTGTGCACTGTAGGGACTTGGTGCCCGGCATCTCAGATGCTCCAGTTGTGGCTAAAAGGGAAAAGGTACAGCTTGGACCATGGCTTCAGAGGATGCAAGTCCCAAGCCTTGGCAGTTTCCACAGGGTGTTGAGCCTTCAAGTGCACAGAGGTCAAGAATTGAGGTTTGGGAACCTCCACCTGGATTTTATAGCATGTATGGAAACACCTGGATGTCCAGGCAGAAGTTTGCTGCAGGTGCAGGGCCCTCATGAAGAACCTCTGCTAGGGCAGTACAGAAGGGAAATGTGGGGTCAGAACCCCCAAACAGAATCCCCACTGGAGCACTGCCTAGTAGAGCTGTGAGAAGAAGGTCAAAATCCTCTAGACTACAGAATGGTAGATCCACTGACAGCTTGCACTGTGTGCCTGGAAAAGCTGCAGACACTCAACGTCAGCCCATGAAAGCAGCTGTGAGGCAGGCTGTACCCTGCAAACCCACACAGGAAGGGCTGCCCAAGACCATGGGAACCCACCTCTTGTATCAGTATGACCTGGATGTTAGACATGGAGTCAAAGGAGATTATTTTAGAGCTTTAAGATTTGACTGCCCTGCTGGATTTTGGACTTGCATGAGGCCTGTATCCCCTTCATTTTGGCCAATTTCTCCTATTTGTAATGGATGTATTTACCCAATGCCTGTACCTCCATTGTATCTAGGAAGTAACTAACTTGCTTTTGATTTTACAGGCTCATAGGTGGAAGGGACTTGCCTTGTCTCAGATGAGACTTTGGACTTGGACTTTTGGGTTAATGCTGGAATGAGTTAAGACTTTGGGGGACTGTTGGGAAGGCATGATTGGTTTTGAAATGTGAGTACATGAGATTTGGGAGAGGCCGGGGTGGAATGATTTGGTTTGGCTGTGTCCCCACCCAAATCTCATCTTGAATTTTAGCTCCCATAATACCTATGCATTGTGGGAGGGACCTGGTGGGAGATAACTGAATCATGGGGGCAGTTTCCCTCATACTATTCTTGTGGTAGTGAATAAGTATCATGAGATCTGATGGTTTTATAAACAGAAGTTACCCTTCACAAGCTACCATTTTTTTCTGGCTGCCATGTAAGGCTTCTCTTCGCCCTCCCTTTATCTTCCACCATGATTGTGAGGCCTTCCCAGCCATGTGGAACTGTGAGTCAATTAAACCTCTTTCCTTTATAAATTACTCAGTTTCAGGTATGTCTTTATGAGCAGCATGAGAACAGACTAATACAAGCAGAACAGGGTTACTTTGAGAAGCTTGAAAACTCTCTGGAGTTCCTCAAAAAGGAAATGAGATAGGAAGGAAATCTGACCTCAGATTTCCAAACCTTTCCAAATGTCTTATCCTCTACTCCACTCATATGCAGTGATTCAGCCCCAAGAAAGAAAAAAAGATGTGTGTTTAGAAACTTTCCTGTTTGTGACCCCTTATTCCTCCCCTTATTTGGCCCCAAGCTAGTAAGAACATTCCCAGTCTGTGGTGGCAAAACCATCTGGCACCTCATCAGTTCTCTTTCCAATCTACTATTTGTTGCCAAGTTATTTGTAGCAGGGCCTTGAAAATCAAATGCCTGGGCTTTGAAGACTACTGTGCCTGAAAGCAAGAATTTGACCCCTTAGGTCTCACTCCACTTGGAGGCATCTTATTGTCAATGAAGCCTCCACAACAGAAGTCAATATGGTGCTGAGTGTAAGACCACCTCTCCACTGACCACCATTAACGGGGCTCAAAAAGTGCCCTTGCACCTCAAGTAAGACTCACATTGCAGAAGATTACATGACTCCATCAAAATGAGTCAAATGAGAGTCCCCTAAATTTTTCTGCTCCTGTCAGTTCGTCACCTCCTTGGCTGCTCCGTGCATATTCTAAGCATGCTCTTATCTTAAGGCTTAATCTTCTTCCCTCAGATATCTGCTCCCTTACTTCCCTCAGGATTTTCTCAAATTCATCTCCATGAGGCCTTCCCAGGTCACCCTATGTAAAATTTCAAAGACCTGCCTGCATGATTTGAGTGTATCCCTTCCAAACTCATGTTGAAACTTAATCCCCATTATGGTAGTATTAAGAAGTGGAGCCTTTGTGGAAGTGGTTAACCTCTTGAATGAATCAGTACCTATTTTAAAAGCACTGGAAGGAACTAGCTTAAGCCCCTTTTTACCCTTCTGCGTTTTGCCTTCTGGAGACACACCATTTGTCACCTCTGCAGGACACAGTTGCAAGGTGCCATCTTGGAAGCAGGGGATGGGGCTCTCACCAAACACCAGGCCTGCCAGCACATTGATCTTAAACTATCTGGCTTCTGGAACTGTGAGAAATAAATTTCTGTTCCTTAAAAACTACCCAGTCTCAGTTATTTTGTTATAGTAGCAGAAGTGTACTAAGACACTGTCCATATTTAATACCTATCTCCTTTGCTTTAATTTTTCTTCTAAACAATTATCACAAGAGTACAAATATGCTTTTTCTTATTGTCTGTCTTTCCCATTATTATAACTGCGAAGAGGGCAGAATTTTTGCATGCTCTGTTTACTGCTGGAATATCTGTCATCAAAAAAAAAAAAACAAACAAACAATGTGGAATTCAGTACAGACAGATTTTACAACAGGGAAAAGGGACTATAACAACAAGGGCATGGATATCACAATAGGGAGAATACGCCAACCATGAGATCTCAAAGCATCACAAAGGTCAGATAGAAAAAAAAGAAAAAAAACCTTTCTTTTAAAGAAAGGAGTAAATGACACTGGAAAGAACCAGGTGTGAGAAGTAAGATGAGCAGGAGTTAGGATCAATTAGGGATGTTTTCCCAGAGGTCAGCTGATTCTTGCCATTAAAGAGGAAGAGTTTTTCCACATTCCAATGGTCAAGAGTGCACCAAAGTTCAGTTCTTTTCTGAGTGAAGGAGAGAATCTAACTAAAGTTTAGTTAACACAGATAAGTGGGCTTTTTGCCCATATTTGTCAATGGAAACAAGTAGGTCATAGATGCTTACCATTTATGAAGCAGAGAATGGGACTAGGTAAGAAGGGAGTCATCATTGAATCTTATCTAGGGAGTCATCATTGAATCTTATCTAAGTCATATGAAGAAGGATGGCTCTTTGCAGTAAGCTGTTCCAGCAACACAAATAGATGGGGGTGATTTCTTGACCCTTCCTGATTTCCGGGATTATAGAGCTCCAAGAAAGTTGAATATTGTCAGCCAGTGCTTAAAACAGTGCCTGCCATAGAATAGGTACTCAGTCAGTATTAGTTGAATAAATGAATTAACACCCCTTTGGCAAGGAGAATGAAGGTGAAAAGATAACCAAGCAAGGCAATCAGGAAAGGAGAAGAAGCCCAGTTACTGTGTCAGACTTTACCTTCTCAAATAATAATCATCTATTATTGTGGTTACTGATGAGGGCTCACTATGCATCAAGCACAGTGCTAAGTGTGTTATGGTGTTATGTGCACGAGTGATGTCAGTTCTGACTGAGCTGTGACCTTTGGGCTGCTCCTGTCTGGCTTTTGCCCACTGGTGTTTGAAATGGGCTAATTGTCATGGAGAGCAAAAGACTAATTATGTTCTCATCAAAAATCTCCTTTGAAAAAAGAAAAACAGGACAACTTTAACTTTCTGCTCAGGTTTTATGAACTCATGATTAAGCTCTCTATGAAAGTTTTCTTTTAAAAGAATCAAGGGACATGTCTATAGCCTTGTATTTCTTATGATTTAGGCTAGAGGCTATCTAAAAATTTATGTATACAAAATACTTCACAAGCTCTCAACAGAGATGCCACATTGGAAGTACAAGTATTCAATTCAAGTTACTCTCTGAATAAAAGCAAACATCTCTACTTAACTTCTTCCCATTGTTCTTAAAGAGGAGCTGAAAGAAAAAGAAGCCAGTCCCTGGTACTTAGCATCAGGGTTTCTTATGTAATATCCCAGGAGAGGGAATTTATTTGGGGCCTTTAAAAGGCTATGCTCCTCTTCTTTGCTTCTAATAGAAGAGTGTTTGTTTATAGTCATTATCCGTACATTTACTGAATTCCTACTATGTGAAGTGCACTGTCCTAAAAAGCTAGCCTTCTTCTAAAAGTTTGCTCCTGCAATTCTGGAGTTACATAATAAGATTAAAAATGGTGACTCAATTTGGCATTTGGTTGGAAAAGACAATAGAACACTTTGGATTCAGGAAATAATTCCTCCTACCTCAACTAACTAAAGCTTTATAGAAACAAAGGAATTTCCATTGCAACTCTAGTGTAGCTATTCTGACATTTAATTACGGGAAGTTAAATTGTGCCTGATTTTAAAATATTAAATCCATTATTTACTTCTGAATACACAGTGGTCAGAAGTCTTTGTTGTTTAAAAAATTATACAATTATATATGCTAAACTGAATTATAAATTTAACATGTGTTAGCAAGGCCCCATTTTTGAATAAGATTAGTAAAGAGTATATTTAATTAACACAACTATTATAAAGTGCTCAGCAATGGTGCTTTCAAAAGCATTTTGGATTACTTAATGAGATTGGAACAGATTAATATAAATGCCAGAGTACATAAGAGTTCCTTCTATTCAAATATTAATTAAATTTCCCCTGGAAAAAATGTAGTATAACTTTTCTTAATCTCTCGCCTTCTTTGTGTCCCCAAATATTTCAAAGACATTTTAAAGTGCATTAGAATACCACTGGAAATGATCTAGCCATGTGAAATGGTTGTGCGTAAAGTGCGTGATTTGAATGCCATCAAGCGGTGGTGATCATTTGTGATCCCTGGAGGGCAGATGCTGTGCTCAGAGGGTCTGCTTGTACAGGCAAAGCCTCTTTCAGATGTTTGAAAGAAGCTCAGTCTCTATGAAATATATTTCATAAGACTTTCTTTGGACAAATACCATTTCCCTCTCAGATCTAAAGCCTCTTCATCTTGTTGAGCTTTGATGACTTAGTGTGAGGTTTGTTTAAGGACTTATTCTAACTCCAAAGTCTAGTAGAAACAGACTTTCTTCTACTAATAACTCACTCTGATCTGCTCCCAATAGTGTGTTTGCTTCACAGTTCAAATCCTTGCTTTTTCATGGCATCTCACCTGGCGGCTCTGGTTTTACTTATTATAGGTTAGTGCAAAAGTAGTTGTGTGTTTTTTTTTTATTATTATACTTTAAGTTTTAGGGTACATGTGCACATTGTGCAGGTTAGTTACATATGTATACATATGCCATGCTGGTGTGCTGCACCCACTAATTAGTCATCTAGCATTAGGTATATCTCCCGATGCTATCCCTCCCCCCTCCCCCCACCCCACAACAGTCCCCAGAGTGTGATATTCCCCTTCCTGTGTCCATGTGACCTCATTGTTCAATTCTCACCTATGAGTGAGAATATGCGGTGTTTGGTTTTTTGTTCTTGTGATAGTTTACTGAGAATGATGATTTCCAATTTCATCCATGTCCCTACAAAGGACACGAACTCATCATTTTTTATGGCTGCATAGTATTCCATGGTGTATATGTGCCACATTTTCTTAATCCAGTCTATCATTGTTGGACATTTGGGTTGGTTCCAAGTCTTTGCCATTGTGAATAATGCCGCAATAAACATATGTGTGCATGTGTCTTTATAGCAGCATGATTTATAGTCCTTTGGGTATATACCCAGTAATGGGATGGCTGGGTCAAATGGTATTTCCAGTTCTAGATCCCTGAGGAATTGCCACACTGACTTCCACAATGGTTGAACTAGTTTACAGTCCCACCAACTGTGTAAAAGTGTTCCTATTTCTCCACATCCTCTCCAGCACCTGTTGTTTCCTGACTTTTTAATGATTGCCATTCTAACTGGTGTGAGATGGTATCTCATTGTGGTTTCGATTTGCATTTCTCTGATGGCCAGTGATGGTGAGCATTTTTTCATGTGTTTTTTGGCTGCATAAATGTCTTCTTTTGAGAAGTGTCTGTTCATGTCTTTCGCCCACTTTTTTATGGGATTGTTTGTTTTTTTCTTGTAAATTTGTTTGAGTTCATTGTAGATTCTGGATATTAGCCCTTTGTCAGATGAGTAGGTTGCAAAAATTTTCTCCCATTTTGTAGGTTGCCTGTTCACTCTGATGGTAGTTTCTTTTGCTGTGCAGAAGCTCTTTAGTTTAATTAGATCCCATTTGTCAATTTTGGCTTTTGTTGCCATTGCTTTTGGTGTTTTAGACATGAAGTCCTTGCCCATGCCTATGTCCTGAATGGTAATGCCTAGGTTTTCTTCTAGGGTTTTTATGGTTTTAGGTCTAACGTTTAAGTCTTTAATCCATCTTGAATTGATTTTTGTATAAGGTGTAAGGAAGGGATCCAGTTTCAGCTTTCTACATATGGCTAGCCAGTTTTCCCAGCACCATTTATTAAATAGGGAATCCTTTCCCCATTGCTTGTTTTTCTCAGGTTTGTCAAAGATCAGGTAGTTGTAGATGTGCGGCGTTATTTCTGAGGACTCTGTTCTGTTCCATTGATCTATATCTCTGTTTTGGTACCAGTACCGTGCTGTTTTGGTTACTGTAGCCTTGTAGTATAGTTTGAAGTCAGGTAGTGTGATGCCTCCAGCTTTGTTCTTTTGGCTTAGGATTGACTTGGCGATGCGGGCTCTTTTTTGGTTCCATATGAACTTTAAAGTAGTTTTTTCCAATTCTGTGAAGAAAGTCGTTGGTAGCTTGATGGGGATGGCATTGAATCTATAAATTACCTTGGGCAGTATGGCCATTTTCACGATATTGATTCTTCCTACCCATGAGCATGGAATGTTCTTCCATTTGTTTGTATCCTCTTTTATTTCCTTGAGCAGTGGTTTGTAGTTCTCCTTGAAGAGGTCCTTCACATCCCTTGTAAGTTGGATTCCTAGGTATTTTATTCTCTTTGAAGCAATTGTGAATGGGAGTTCACTCATGATTTGGCTCTCTGTTTGTCTGTTGTTGGTGTATAAGAATGCTTGTGATTTTTGTACGTTGATTTTGTATCCTGAGACTTTGCTGAAGTTGCTTATCAGCTTAGGGAGATTTTGGGCTGAGACAATGGGGTTTTCTAGATATACAATCATGTTGTCTGCAAACAGGGACAATTTGACTTCCTCTTTTCCTAATTGAATGCCCTTTATTTCCTTCTCCTGCCTAATTGCCCTGGCCAGAACTTCCAACACTATGTTGAATAGGAGTGGTGAGAGAGGGCATCCCTGTCTTGTGCCACTTTTCAAAGGGAATGCTTCCAGTTTTTGCCCATTCAGTATGATATTGGCTGTGGGTTTGTCATAGATAGCTCTTATTATTTTGAAATACGTCCCATCAATACCTAATTTATTGAGAGTTTTTAGCATGAAGGGTTGTTGAATTTTGTCAAAGGCATCTATTGAGATAATCATGTGGTTTTTGTCTTTGGCTCTGTTTATATGCTGGATTACATTTATTGATTTGCGTATATTGAACCAGCCTTGCATCCCAGGGATGAAGCCCACTTGATCATCGTGGATAAGCTTTTTGATGTGCTGCTGGATTCGTTTTGCCAGTATTTTATTGAGGATTTTTGCATCAATGTTCATCAAGGATATTGGTCTACAATTCTCTTTTTTGGTTGTGTCTCTGCCTGGCTTTGGTATCAGAATGATGCTGGCCTCATAAAAGGAGTTAGGGAGGATTCCCTCTATTTCTATTGATTGGAATAGTTTCAGAAGGAATGGTACCAGTTCCTCCTTGTACCTCTGGTAGAATTCGGCTGTGAATCCATCTGGTCCTGGACTCTTTTTGGTTGGTAAGCTATTGATTATTGCCACAATTTCAGCTCCTGTTATTGGTCTATTCAGAGATTCAACTTCGTCCTGGTTTAGTCTTGGGAGAGTGTATGTGTCCAGGAATTTATCCATTTCTTCTAGATTTTCTAGTTTATTTGTATAGAGGTGTTTGTAGTATTCCCTGATGGTAGTTTGTATTTCTGTGGGATCGGTGGTGATATCCCCTTTATCATTTTTTATTGTGTCTATTTGATTCTCCTCTCTTTTTTTCTTTATTAGTCTTGCTAGTGGTCTATCAATTTTGTTGATCCTTTCAAAAAACCAGCTCCTGGAGTCATTAATTTTTTGAAGGGTTTTTTGTGTCTCTATTTCCTTCAGTTCTGCTCTGATTTTAGTTATTTCTTGCCTTCTGCTAGCTTTTGAATGTGTTTGCTCTTGCTTTTCTAGTTCTTTTAATTGTGATGTTAGGGTGTCAATTTTGGATCTTTCCTGCTTTCTCTTGTGGGCATTTAGTGCTATAAATTTCCCTCTACACACTGCTTTGAATGCGTCCCAGAGATTCTGGTATGTTGTGTCTTTGTTCTCGTTGGTTTCAAAGAACATCTTTCTTTCTGCCTTCATTTCGTTATGTACCCAGTAGTCATTCAGGTGCAGGTTGTTCAGTTTCCATGTAGTTGAGCGGTTGTGAGTGAGATTCTTAATCCTGAGTTCTAGTTTGATTGCACTGTGGTCTGAGAGATAGTTTGTTATCATTTCTGTTCTTTTACATTTGCTGAGGAGAGCTTTACTTCCCAGTATGTGGTCAATTTTGGAATAGGTGTGGTGTGGTGCTGAAAAAAATGTATATTCTGTTGATTTGGGGTGGAGAGTTCTGTAGATGTCTATTAGGTCCGCTTGGTGCAGAGCTAAGTTCAATTCCTGGGTATCCTTGTTGACTTTCTGTCTCGTTGATCTGTCTAATGTTGACAGTGGGGTGTTAAAGTCTCCCATTATTAATGTGTGGGAGTCTAAGTCTCTTTGTAGGTCTCTAAGGACTTGCTTTATGAATCTGGGTGCTCCTGTATTGGGTGTAAACATATTTAGGATAGTTAGCTCTTCTTGTTGAATTGATCCCTTTACTGTTATGTAATGGCCTTCTTTGTCTCTTTTGATCTTTGTTGGTTTAAAGTCTGTTTTATCAGAGACTAGGATTGCAACCCCTGCCTTTTTTTGTTTTCCATTTGCTTGGTAGATCTTCCTCCATCCTTTTATTTTGAGCCTATGTTTGTCTCTGCATGTGAGATGGGTTTCCTGAATACAGCACACTGATGGGTCTTGACTCTTTATCCAATTTACCAGTCTGTGTCTTTTAATTGGAGAGCATTTAGTCCATTTACATTTAAAGTTAATATTGTTATGTGTGAATTTGATCCTGTCATTATGATGTTAGCTGGTTATTTTGCTCATTAGTTGATGCAGTTTCTTCCTAGCCTTGATGGTCTTTAAATTTTGGCATGATTTTGCAGCGGCTGGTACCAGTTGTTCCTTTCCATGTTTAGTGCTTCCTTCAGGAGCTCTTTTAGGGCAGGCCTGGTGGTGACAAAATCTCTCAGCATTTGCTTGTCTGTAAAGGATTTTATTTCTCCTTCACTTACGAAGCTTAGTTTGGCTGGATATGAAATTCTGGGTTGCAAGTTCTTTTCTTTAAGAATGTTGAATATTGGCCCCCACTCTCTTCTGGCTTGTAGAGTTTCTGCCGAGAGATCCGCTGTTAGTCTGATGGGCTTCCCTTTGAGGTAACCCGACCTTTCTCTCTGGTTGCCCTTAACATTTTTTCCTTCATTTCAACTTTGGTGAATCTGACAATTATGTGTCTTGGAGTTGCTCTTCTCGAGGAGTATCTTTGTGGCATTCTCTGTATTTCCCAAATCTGAACATTGGCCTACCTTGCTAGATTGGGGAAGTTCTCCTGGATAAGATCCTGCAGAGTGTTTTCCAACTTGGTTCCATTCTCCCCAGTACTTTCAGGTACACCAATCAGACATAGATTTGGTCTTTTCACAGACTCCCATATTTCTTGGAGGCTTTGCTCATTTCTTTTTATTCTTTTTTCTCTAAACTTCTCTTCTCACTTCATTTCATTCATTTCATCTTCCATCGCTGATACCTTTTCTTCCAGTTGATCTCATTGGCTCCTGAGGCTTCTGCATTCTTCACGTAGTTCTCGAGCCTTGATTTTCAGCTCCATCAGCTCCTTTAAGCACTTCTCTGTATTGGTTATTCTAGTTATACATTCTTCTAAATTTTTTTCAAAGTTTTCAACTTCTTTGCCTTTGGTTTGAATGTCCTCCCTAGCTCAGAGTAATTTGATCGTCTGAAGCCTTCTTCTCTCAGCTCGTCAAAGTCATTCTCCATCCAGCTTTGTTCTGTTGCTGGTGAGGAACTGTGTTCCTTTGGAGGAGGAGAGGCACTCTGCTTTTTAGAGTTTCCAGTTTTTCTATTCTGTTTTTTCCCCATCTTTGTGGTTTTATCTACTTTTGGTCTTTGATGATGGTGATGTACAGATGGGTTTTTGGTGTGGATGTCCTTTCTGTTTGTTAGTTTTCCTTCTAACAGAGAGGACCCTCAGCTGCAGGTCTGTTGGAATACCCTGCCGTGTGAGGTGTCAGTGTGCCTCTGCTGGGGGGTGCCTCACAGTTAGGCTGCTCAGGGGTCAGGGGTCAGGGACCCACTTGAGGAGGCAGTCTGTCCGTTCTCAGATCTCCAGCTCTGTGCTGGGAGAACCACTGCTCTCTTCAAAGCTGTCAGACAGGGACATCTAAGTCTGCAGAGGTTACTGCTGTCTTTTTGTTTGTCTGTGCCCTGCCCCCAGAGGTGGAGCCTACAGAGGCAGGCAGGCCTCCTTGAGCTGTGGTGGGCTCCACCAAGTTCGAGCTTCCCAGTTGCTTTGTTTACCTAATCAAGCCTGGGCAATGGCGGGCGTCCCTCCCCCAGCCTCGCTGCCGCCTTGCAGTTTGATCTCAGACTGCTGTGCTAGCAATCAGCGAGACTCTGTGGGGTAGGACCCTCCGAGCCAGGTGCGGGATATAATCTTGTGGTGTGCCGTTTTTTAAGCCTGTCAGAAAAGCGCAGTATTCGGGTGGGAGTGACCCGATTTTCCAGGTGCCATCCGTCACCCCTTTCTTTGACTCAGAAAGGGAACTCCCTGACCCCTTGCGCTTCCCAAGTGAGGCAATGCCTCGCCCTGCTTCGGCTCGTGCACGGCGCGCGCACCCACTGACCTGAGCCCACTGTCTGGCACTCCCTAGTGAGATGAACCCGGTACCTCAGATGGAAATGCAGAAATCACCCGTCTTCTGCGTTGCTCACACTGGGAGCTGTAGACCGGAGCTGTTCCTATTCGGCCATCTTGGCTCCTCCCAGTAGTTGCGTTTTTTGACATAACTTTTAATTAATGGCATACATTAGTTACAGGTTGGTGCAAAAGTAATTGCGTTTTTTGCCATTACTTTTAATGTATGTCATTAATTAAAAGTCATGGCAATAACTAAACATTTATTTATATGGCACATACTGTGGCCAGGTGCTGTGCTATAAGCCTTTGTCAAATATCAACAAATATTAGCTAATTTTATCTGCATAGCAACCCCATGGGGAAGTTGCTCTTGTTATCAATCCCATTTTATAGATGAGGAGACTGACAGCTGGGGAAATCAAGTAACTTGAAATACTGCGATTCAAATCCAGGCAGCTTGATTCTAGAATTTCTGATCTAAACCTCCACAGCATATACTGACATTGTCATATAGGACTATGTAACAGGACATGTTCTAGTTAACTTTACCCCATTTACACAGATACCATGTATACACCAACCCCAAACACTTAAGACACATAAATTCATTGGGCACTAAACAAATACTATATTTTAAGATAATGATTAAAATACTATATTTTAATACTAATGGAACATTAAAAATCTGGAGTATATACACACATATATTTTTGAGACAGAGTCTTGCTCTGTCGCCCAGGCTGGAGTGCAGAGGCATGGTCTCGGCTCACTGCAACCTCTGCCTCCCAGGCTCCAGGATCCTCCCGCCTCAACCCCCTGAGTAGCTGGGACTACAGGCACTCACCACCATGCCTGGCTAATTTTTGTATTTTTTGTAGGGAGGCAGTTTTGCCATGTTGCCTAGGCTGGTCTCAAACTCCTGGATTTAAGCAATTCTCCTTCTTCGGCCTCCCAGAGTGCTAGGATTACAGGCATGAGCCGCTGCACCCAGCCTAGAGTGTAATTTGATTCCTTTCCCACTTACCCTTAATCTTCATTTTATTATGTCCCGCGTAATGTCATCCACGGTTTTGAATTAAAGTTTGTTACTCACATTTAGTGTAAATTCTTATGGAAGTTGAGAGATTTTCTAAGTGCTCTACTCTCTTCTTTCGGGTTAACTAGGCATTAGGATGCCTCTGGTCCTTTTCTCTGGATTTTACGTGCTTCTATTTCCTAATTTTTTCTTCTTAGCTACTGGAGGAACTACTTAAAGTAATGGTTCTCAGATTTTTGGTTTCAGGACCTCTTTATAGCCTCATTTTTATAAAGAGCTTTTGTTTATGTAGACTGCTATCTATCAACATTTACCACATTAGAAACTTTAAGACTATTTATTAATTCATTTAAAAATAATAAATCCATGACATACTAACATAAAACATCTTTAAGGAAAATACATTTTCCAAAGCCAAAAATATTTTGTGAGAAAAGTGGCATTGTTTTATATATTTGTTAATGTCTTTAACCTTTGGCTTAATAGAAGACACCTAGTCTCATATATGTTTCTGTATTCTATCTGTTGTGATATTACATGTCATGTAGATTCTGGGAAACTCCACTGTACACTCATGGCAGAATGAGAGTGATAAAGGAAAATACTGTCTTAGTATTATTAGGAATATAGTTTCAATTATACAGACTTCCTGAAGGGTGTTTGACAACCCTTTAAGAAACACTGTTTTAAAGAGAGTAGACAGGAGAAAAGGGAGAAAAAGGGGTTCCTCTAGTGTCCTGTTCCCAGTTATCATTCCTCATTTGTACAACGTGATGAAAGAGAAAAATAAAGAGAAAGCTAAAGAATGACTTCTATATTTTGAGCAAAAATGTTCCAGGATCATTTTCTCTAATTATGAAAAGGAAAATGAATTTTCTCTTTTGTTCTACATATAAGAGAAATTAGAGAGCCTGCTGTATTTGTCTTTTACACCAGTATCTTCTTGAGTAAGTGAACATGATATTGATTTGACAAGTAGGTTGTTAGCCAATTTGCCTTAGGAACACTTAGCAGTATACTGTGGCTTCTATAAAATTCCTTAGAAGAAGATTATAACATTTCCTGAAAATGAGTATTGTGAAGAGAGGAAAGATATTTTTGTTTTTAATGCTGGGAATTTAGTCATGAATGAATTCTGATACTAAAAGGAAATAGTATTAGCAAGAGAATCAACTTCACTATAAGTTTTTCAGTACTACTACTAGTAGTAATAATAATAATATTATTAATAAATTTATGTGCTGTGTAATTGTAACTCATCATGTTTCATCATTTCCAGGATTTAAAACAAAAAATAATGGTCCATATCATAGCAGAAGTCTACAAGTTGAGTTTTATATCAGCCAAATTGTTGCCTCAGCCAAGTCTTGAAAAGTAGAATCCTAGATAGATAGATCTGGGTATGGCTTTCCATCCAAAAGCTTTATTTTATATATTAAGTAATGAAGATTTGGCAGAATGAAGTGATTCGCTGCAAGTGACATAGCATCTAGCCTTAGAGAAAAAAAAAACAAACTACAAGACAGATCTTTAGACCTTAAGTAGAGAAAATGTATTTTCAGTACCTCTCTACACTTAAATAATTACAATAATAGCAAACAGTTAAGAGACCTTACTATATACTATATGCTCTTCTAATTTGATCAGCTTTGTTTCTTAAAATAATTAATTTCAATTTTAATATATCTTTTTTTACTTTACTGTTTATTTTTAATTTCTTGAGTTAGAACTTACCTCATTAATTTTCAAATTTTTATTTTCTAATACAGGCATTTAAGGCTATAATTTTTCTGATACTGTTTTAGTTGCAGTATTTTAATGTAATATTTTAATTGTTGCTCAGTTCCAAATATTTTATGATTTCTTTTGTGATTTTGTCTCTAGTGAATTGATTATATAGGGGTGTGTGTGTGTGTGTGTGTGCGCGTGCACCCATGCACCCATGCACCTCTGGTTAATTCCAAGGGCATGTTTTGTAGGGGAAAGGGATTTGTTTGTCTTGTTTATGTGTGTGTGTGTTTTTTCATCATCCAAAACCGATAGTTTACATTTGAATTTACTGTTCACTCTTGGTGTACTAGTACATCCTCTGAGTTTTGAAAAATGTATAACGACATGTATTCATTATTATAGTATCATACAGAGTAGTTTCACTACCCAGAAAATCCTCTGTGCTATGACTATTTATCCCTTCCTCCCCACTAACCCATGGGGCAACCACTGAGTTTTTTTAGTCTTCATAGTTTTGCCTTTTCCAAAGTGTTATGACATTGGAATCACACGGTATACGGCTTTGCCAGATAGTCTTCTTTCTCTTCTTCTTCTTTATTTATTTATTTATTTATTTTTGAGATGGAGTTTCGCTCTTGTTGCCCAGGCTGGAGTGCAATAGCGCGATCTCGGTTCACTGCAACCTCTGCCTCCTGGGTTTAAGCAATTCTCCTGCCTCAGTCTCCCGAGTAGCTGGGATTACAGGCGCCTGCCACCATGCCCGGCTAATTTTTTTGTACTTTTAGTAGAGACGGGGTTTCACTGTGTTGGCCAGGCTGGTCTCAATCTCCTGGCCTCAAGTGATCTGCCCATCTCAGCCTCCCAAGTGCTGGGATTACAAGCATGAGTCACTACGCCGGCTATTGCCTTCTTTCACTTAGTAATATGCATTTACGTTTCCTCCATATCTTTTCATGGCTTGATAGATCATTTCTTTTTAGCACTGAAAAATATTTGTCTGGATGTACCACAGTTTATTTATCTGTAACCTACAGAAGGACAACTTGTTTGCTTCCAAGTTTTGGCAATTGTGAATAAATCATTTATAAACATGTGTACAGGTTTTTCTGTGGACATAAGTTATCACTTCATTTGGGTAAATGTCAAGGAGCACAATTGCTGGATCATATGGTAAGTGTACATGTAGTTTTGTAAGAAACTGACAAACTATCTTCCAAAGTGGCTTTCCCATTTATCATTCCTATCAGCAATAAATGATTGTTCCTGTTGCTCTACATCCTCACCAGCTTTTGGTGTTGTCAATGTTTTATATTGTGGTCATTCTAAGAGGTTCTATGATATCTAGTTGTTTTAATTAGCAATTCCCTAATGACATATATGTTCTGGATTTTTATGTGTTTATATACCTATATATCTTCTTTGGTGAGGTATTTGGTCAGGTCTTTTGCCTACTTTTTAAGTTAAGTTGTTCGTTTTCTTATTGTTGAGTTTTGAGTTCTTTGTATATTTTGTCTTTTACCAGATAAGTCTTTTGTAAATATTTTCTCCAAATCTATGATTTGTCTTCTCATTCTCTTGAAATAGTCTTTCACAGAGGAGTTTTTAATTTAAATGAAGTCCAGTGTATTTAATTTAAATGAAGTCCAGTGTTGTTTATTTTACGGGTCATACCTTTGGTGTTGTATCTAAAAATTCATTGCCATATCTAAGGTCACCTAGATTTTCTCCCATGTTATCTTCTAGATGTTTTATAGTTTCCCATTTTACATTTAGGTCTATGATCCATTTTGAGTTAATTTTTGTGAAGGGTGTTAAGTTCTGTGTCTAGATTCATTTTTTCTTCATGTGGATGTTTACTTGTCTCATCTTCATTTGTTGAAAAAACTAACTCTTTGCTCCATTGTATTTTATTGTCTCCTTTGTCAAATATCAGTTAGCAATGTTTACATGAGTCTATTTCTGGGCTCTCTATTCTGTTCCATTGGTCTATTTGTCTATTCTTTTGCCAGTACTACTCTATCTTGACTACTGTAGCTTTACAGTAAATCTTGCAGTTGAATAGTGCAGTCCTCCAACTTTTTGTTCAATATTGAGTTGACTATTCTGGGTCTTTTGACTCTCCATATAGACTTTAGAATCAATTTGTCAACATTCACAAAATAACTTGGGATTGCATTGAATCTATACCAAGTTGGGAAGAATGAACATCTCAACAACATTGCCTTCCTATCCATAACATTCAATGTCTCTCCATTTATTTAGTTCTTCTTTATTATCTTTCATCAGAGTTTTGTAGTTTTCCTCACATAGATCTTACACTTGTTTGGTTAGCTTTATATCTTAGTATTTCATTTTTGGGGGTGCTAAAGTAATTGGTGTTACATTTTAAATTTCAAATTTTACTTGTTTTCTACTGATATACAGGGAAGCAACTGACTTTTGTATCTTAACCTTGAATTTTACAATCTTGCTATAATCACTTATTAATTCCAGGGGTTTGTTGTTTTGATTCCTTCAGATTTCTACTGTTTGAACAAAGATAGCTTTATTTTTTCTTTCTCAATCTGCACATCCTTAATTTTGTGCTCTTGTCTTACTGTATAAGCTAGGACTTCCAAGGATGATGTTGAAAAAGAGTAGTAGGAGACATCCTTACTTTATTCCCAATACATGAAGAAAAGCTTTGAGTTTCTTGCCATTAAGTATGATGGTAGCTGCAGGTTCTTTGTGGATATTATTTTTCAAGTTGAGAAAGTTTCTCTCTATTCCTATTTTTCTATCATGAATGGACATTAGATTTTGTCAAATGCTTTTTTCTGTGTCTGTTGAGATAATCATATGATTTACCTTCTTTAGCCTGCTAACGTGATGGATTACATTAAGTGATTTTTTTTTTTTTTTTTTTTTTTTGAGACGGAGTCTCACTCTGTCGCCCAGGCTGGAGTGCAATGGTGCTATCTCGGCTCACTGCAAGCTCTGCCTCCTGGGTTCACGCCATTCTCATGCCTCAGCCTCTGGAGTAGCTGGGACTACAGGCACCCACCACAAAGCCCGGTTAATTTTTTGTATTTTTAGTAGAGACGGGGTTTCACCATGTTAGCCAGGATGGTCTCGATCTCCTGACCTTGTGATCCACCTGCCTCAGCCTCCCAAAGTGCTGGGATTACAGGTGTGAGCCACCGTGCCTGGCCAACATTAAGTGATTTTTGAGTGTTGAACCAGCCTTGCAGTTTGGGATGAATTTCACTTGTTTGTAAGTTATAATTATTTTTATACATTTTATACATTCCTGGGTACAATTTGCTAATATTTGTTGAGGATTTTGTATCTATGTTCATGAAAGATATTGCTTTGTAGTTTTATTTTTATTTTTATTTTTTATTTTTTTAACCCTTTACTTGATTCTGAATGTTATCCCATTGTTAGAAAACAGGATTTTTTTATTTAGAGCTGTTGCTGGTCTTGATAGTACCTTTTAATTAACTTTAATTAAATTTAAATATTTCTTTAAAGAAACTTTCAGAGGGACAAACACCTTTTCATCCCTGGGCTCAAGAGCAAAATATATCCCTTTCTTCATAATCCCATGACAAGCAAACATCTTGGCTGATAGGGAGTGGGCTCAACTTCATCAACCTTTCTCCTCCTCAGCTAATTGCCCCTGTGCAATCGACTATTTGGGGTGGCCCTGTCTTTTGTGTATCCTCAGACTTGCTTTGTGGTCAACAATGTGGAAAATTTTTGTAAATATTTTGTGTGCATGTAAAAACAATGTGCATTATACTAAAGCATAAAATAGATTCTGTTATTTCTAGACCTATAAAGTAAAAATACTTTTTTGTCTATATATAAAAAATTATATATTCTTTATACATAAAGAATATATGATTAGCCCAGAGGAAAATAAGAATGAAGAAAAAGGAAGTAAAAAAACCTCAAAGGATTATAAAAATAATTCCCAAAACATCAGAAAAATTGTAATAAAATGAAAATTTGTGTTTCAATATTAATATCAGAAAAATAGATTTATAAACAAGAAGCATTATTGGAAATAAAAAAGGTCATGACTTGAAAAATAAAACAATTTACTAGAAATATGTAACAATTTTTCACCTGTGCGTGCCTAATGACATAGCTAATGACATAGCTTTGTCTATCTCAGTTTTTAACCTTCATCACCCCTCTATTAGTCTGTTTTCACGGTTTTGATAAAGACATACCCAAGACTGGTTAATTTATAGAGGAAAGAGGTTTAATGGAGAACTCACAGTTCCATGTGGCTGGGGAAGCCTCACAATCACAGTGGAAGGCAAGGAGAAGCAAGTCATATCTTACATGGACGGTGGCAGGCAAAAAGAGCCTGTGTGCAGGGCAACTCCCATTTTTAAAACCATCAGATCTCCTGAGACCCACTCACTATTATGAGAACAGCATGGGAAAGGCCCATCCCCATAATTCAATCACCTCCCACCAGGTCCCTCCCACAGCATGTGGGAATTATGTGAGCTACAGTATGAGATTTGGGTGGTGCCCAAATCTGCCCCTGGCCCCTCCCAAATCTCATATCTTTTCATTTCAAAACCAACCATCCCTTCCCAACAGTCCTCCAAAGTCTCAGCTCATTTCAGCATTAACTCATAAGCCCACAATCTGAAGCCTCATCCAAGATAAGGCAAGTTCCTTCCATCTATGAGCCTGTAAAATCAAAAGCAAGTTAGTTACTTCCTAGATACAATGGGGGTACAGGCATTTGGTAAATACAGCTGTTCCAAATGGAAGAAATTGACCAAAACAAAGGGACTACAGGCCCCATGCAAGATCTCCCCTGACTTCATGTCCCTGCAAATTTTCTAAACTTCTATGCTCTGCTTCCCTTATAAAACTGAGTGTGTTTAATAGCACCAAAGTCAGCTCTTGAATGCTCTGCTGCTTAGAAATTTCTTCCACCAGATACCCTAAATAATCTCTCTCAAGTTCAGAGTTCCACACTTATCTAGGGCAGGGGAAAATGCCACCAGTCTCTTTGCTAAAATGTAACAAGAGTCACCATTACTCCAGTTCTCAACAAGTTCCTCATTTCCATCTGAGACCACCTCAGCTTGGACTTTATTGTCCATATCACTATCGGCATTTTGGACAAAGCCATTCAACAAGTCTCTAGGGAGTTCCATACTTTCCCACATTTTCCTGACTTCTTCTAAGCCCTTCAAACTGTTCCAACCTCTGCCTGTTACCCAGTTCCAAAGTTGCTTCCACATTCTCAGGTATTTTTTCAGCAGTGCCCCACTCTACTGGTACCAATTTACTGTATTAGTTCGTTTCACACTGCTGATAAAGATATACCCAAGACTGGGAAGAAAAAGAGGTTTAATTGGACTTACACTTCCACATGGTTGGGGAGGCCTCAGAATCATGGCAGAAGGCAAGGAAGACAAGTTACATCTTACATGGATGGCAGGAGGCAAAAAGAGCTTCTGTAGGGGTGACTCCCATTTTTAAAACCATCAGATCTCATGAGACCCATTCACTATCATGAGAACAGCATGGAAAAGACCTGCCCCCATAACTGAATCATCTCCCACAAAGTCCCTCCCACAACATGTGGGAATTATGGGAGCTACAAGATGAGATTTGGGTGGGGACGTGGAGCCAAACCATATCAACCTCTAACCTAGAATATTACCATGTTTACTTGTTTTCCTTCCTCTAATTACTCCTTTCCTCATCCCTGCAATAGTTGTTTTACACACAGTGATCTGAAAATGAAACTCTTGTCAGTTAGTTACCACAGACACTCCATGGGCTCCCCATTGCAAAGAGTATAGGCACTTTAACATGGTATTCTTGTTATAGACCTTATCTTAATAGCCTCAGCTAAAAGTATTATTACTTTGTGGAAACATAATTAGTGGATTTTACACAGATTACACACATGTATACCTTTGTCCTACTGCATCTACTTTAGAAATAATATCTGGTGTCTTCTGATTGCTTACGGTGTTCTATATAAATGCCTATCTAAGCTACTTGATCTATATTATTTCATTCTTACAACAAACTTATAAGTATTACTATCTCCATTTTATAGCTGAGGAAACGAAAGATTAGGGAGCTCAAGGGTCTTGACCAAAGTTATACATCTTGTGAAAGGTAGTCAGAATTTAAAACCAAACAATCTGGCATCTAAAAATACATACTTAACTACTGTACCTATACTGTCTTTAGGCAGCTAGCATTCCACCAGTATAGTTTATTATATTTTGACCATGAATCATACTAACTCCTTACCCATAATGCAGTGAAAGTAGAGTCAGGCACCACATAACAATGGTTTGATTAATCATGGACCACATTTATGACAATGGTTTCATAAGATTATAATGCTATAATTTTTACTGTATCTTTTCTATGTTTAGATACATGAACGCTTACCAATGCATTACAGTTGCCTGTAGTATTTAGTACAGTAACATTCTGTACAGGTTTGTAGCCTGGGAGAAATAGGTTGTACCATCTACGTTTATGTAGTACATTCTATGATGGTCATATAAGGACAAAATCACCTAACAACGCATTTCTCAGAATGTATCCCCATCGTTAAGTGACACATGACTGTATAGTGAATTCTCTTTAAGAAACAGTGCTTGTTTAATAGTTTCTTAATGTTTCTGGATAAGTTAAGTTCCCCTTAGTAAAGGGAATCAAAACACATATTTATAGAGTGCCTATTTTGCTACATTTTGAGGAAACAAAAACAATCATGCATGTTCCATGCTTCTGTGGAATTGCCTCTGTAACCTCTCTGTAGTATGGACATTTAAAGATGCTAGTGAAATAAATTGCTATTGGTGTCATAATAGAAGTATTTGCACAGTTCTAGAGTGAGGTTAATTTTATAGACTTCATAGAGAAATAGAATATTGAACCGTGTTTTGCAAAATATGTTGGAATAAAGGGAAAAGGGGTATTCTAGACAAAAGTCACAGCATGGATAGTGGAATGGAGGAATGAAGTATGTTGAATTGAGAAACATCCAGAGGGACGATTATGGTAGGAATGGAGAGAGGAGGAAATGGAAAATGTGTTGATACTGAGGTGGGAGAAGTAGACACAGAGAAGATTTTGCAATGTCTTGTACTAAAAGACTTGTATTTTATCTTCTAGGCAACCAGTAGTCATTTCAAAGCTTTGATCCAGGATGCAGCATAGTGAGTTTTACATTTTAGGATGATTCCTCTCATTATAGTATAAATAGTAGATTCAAGATGGGCATATTGGAGTAATAAAAGGACAATTTCAAGACTCTCATAACAGTTCATGTGAGAAGGACTGAATACCTTAACTAAGAATCAGTGGAGATCAATGAATACAAAAGATGAGAGGGAGCTGGTCTTAAGGATCTGTTAACAGATCTTGACCATAGCTCAAACAAGAAGGATAAAGGAATGAAGGTGTCTTGGATAGCTAAGAGGTTTCTGAGTTAGAATACCAATGCCAAAATCTTCTATGACATCCTACCAATCCATAAAAGGTGAGTCTAGAGATTCTCAACAGATATTGTATGGCTGCCCAGATATTTTACTGATGTCCAGTGCAGCTTATATTTGAAAGACGTAAGTTTCAATTAAAAAAAACTATAAGATCTTTCAAAAACACTCAGAAAGTGTTTTATATTCTTCCTGAGTGACAGTTACATTTCAACCATCCATGACATTTTTCATCATTCTTGCAAGCATAGATAGAAATTATACTGGCTTTGAATTGTCATTCTGAATTGCACCAAATGAGATAATGGCTACTCACTCTGATTGCTCTATAGATTTTATAGGCAGCTGATACTACTGAATTTTTAGTTCTAAAACAAGAAAATTGTTAAACTTTTGAGCTAAGAAATTTTGCTCATTTTTGTCTATTTTTCTCTGCTTGCTAGAGTTTTATAAACTCAGGACTTCCTTTACCTCAGCTCTAATGCAATGAGGTTCTTGATTTCCTAAGCAACTAAGCAAGAAACCTTAGAATGTACCTTACTTGCTTCTTACTGTCAAATCACTTAAGAGTGTTGCTGATCGTTAAAGCCTACAACTCAGGCTTTTTTTTTCTTTTTTCTGAAAGGTATATTGATAGAAAGGTCAAGCTGGCATTAACTAATAATTCCATTATTCATTGAGAAATTATGTCTTATCTGTACTGAGTGAAGTGATTTTAGTACAGGAGACAATGTACAAGGATTTTCCTACTTCTGTTGAAGGTGATGTGCATGTGAGTGTTACATACTTCTGCTTGTGGGCTTCAGGTACAACAAATCACTTTGTGTCCCAATATGGTAACCTGTAATTATCCTCAGCTTGGATGCAATAACCTTTACAACAAACATCTTCAATTTCTTATTTTTCACAGCGCTCTACCAGGGGAATGAGTTAAAGGTGGGTATGTTTGTATAAAGGTATCTAAGCAGAATTTGGAGTAGTAATTTGGCAAAATTTTCCAAGACAGTAGTAGTATGAGAAGGGTCATGACAACATTTATGGACTTGAAGATATACTAAGCATTTCCGGTCTGAGTGGCTTCTGCCATAAAGTTGACTGCATCAAGGCAACTGGTTAACTTGAACCACTTAGGAGGTATAGGTGTTATACAAATGCAGTGTACTGTGCTTGGTTGGTACCATTTCTGCTTAATACTACTTACTTCAAATTCTGTATTTTCTTGCATTTGTAATACTTACAGGCTTTCTTTCCTTTAAATGTATATTACTTCTTTCTTGACATAAGAGTTTAATTATTTCTAGGGGTTTTTTATTAGTTGCTGTTAAAACCATCTGATAAATCTAGAAGGTGATTTCAGTATCCTTTGAAATTTTTTTTCATTTTTGCCCTTCAATTAAACAATTAAATGTACTGAATTTTCCTAGGTTATTCTTACATGCAAAACACCATATCAGTCAACATGGAAAACACAAAGTTGTATAAGACATAGTCGCTATCTTCAAGGGTCTTGTAATCTAGTAAGAACAGCAGTGAAGTGCACAAATAACAATAATTAAAGGCATACGGTGGTAAAAAATTGAAGGAGGATGAGGCAGGAAGATTGCTTGAGCCTAGAAATTCAAGGTTACAGTGAGCTATGATTGCACCACTGCACTTCAGCCTGGGCAATAGAGTGAGATCCCGTTTCTATTTTTCTTAATTGAAAATGATATATAAATAAAATGCCATAAAACATAAAAGAATAAGATTAACTATTAGTAAAGATAGGTGCAGGAAAAATGTTTATAGGAGAGTTGACATTTGATGTGGACATTGAAAGATATGCAAAATTTTGATATGATAGCTTGTTGAAGCACAACAAGTGAAGAACAATAGTTGTAGTGATGGGCATAGATAAATGGTAGATTCAGGGAAGATCTTGTGAGTTCTTGAATGCTGTGCTAAAAACTTTGATTTCTATTCTGTTTATGCTTAAAAACAAAAACAAAACAACAACAACAAAAACACAAATATCCCAGGCTTAAGCAAGAAGGTGACATGATCATATCTCTTTTATTAAAAGTTCATTTTGGGGCTTCTGGTTTTACCTCTAACATGTAAAAATCTTGGTAATGTCACTTCCAGTCTTACAACAAGGAAAACACTGCACAAATTGAAAACCAGTTATTTTTCTTGCACCCCTCAGAGAATTGAGGTCACAGGGCAAACTGCACCCTGATATCTGGAAAGACAGGCAAATATAGACTAAGACAGTTTTTCTTCCAAAAATATTTCACTGCCCACTATAATTCTTAGAAGAATCCTCCTTTATTCATCAATAAATGCTTCTAACCTTAAAATAATCTGTCAATGTTTTCTCTTTAGTGGTTTGCAGAGACTAACATAATGCCTAGAATAGAATAGATGCTCAATAAATGTTTGTTGAATGAGTGAATAAAAGACAATCTTTTAAATTAGCAATTTAATTTTTTTCTGAGCTTGCACCTCATCAATTAAAAAGAAATCAGTGATTCTCTATTCTCTATTTATTTATTTATACAAGTTAGACATAATCTACCATTAAATAAAATGCATAATTTAAAATAACTAAAATATAGAAAAATTTGAAGTATCAGATGAAAAGGCATCAATGGAACTTATACCTTTTCTATACCTCCCTGCATTGTGTATTTTATACACCTCACTGTAGGAAATACTGATCTAAGGAAGGATTATTGCACATTATTGAACAATCTAAGGGGTGATTATTCCACCCCTTACACTTTTTTTCAAAGTTCTAGCAAATAAGTAATCATGGACCAGCTCAATAGTAGTAGTTTAAGTCTACTTAAAGTGATTTTTAATATAGTGGTTTTCCTCAAAAACATTTAACTTTAACTCCGGTGATGTAATGTTCAGCAACAATGCAAATCATGAAGATTGTGTTAGAAACTTAAGATCCTCTTCCAAGAGCCCTGAAGTCTGTATGAGGTGCTAGAACACAAGTTCTCAACTACTTTCTTATTTCTATATTATCAAGTGTGAGATTGTCCTCCATGAGTTTCCCTATTTGTACTAAGTAAGGAGTATGACTGTTTTAATCCTTTCTGCCCCTTTTTGAGGTCATGGGAATTTTTAAAAATGTTTTTCGATTGACAAATAAAAATTGCATATTTTATGGTGTACAACATGATGTTTTGATATATGTATACATTGTGGAATGGCTAAATCAAACTAATTAACACATTCAACAGGGCGTTTTTGTTGCTGTTGTTACTATGGCTACCAACACTGTTATTTCCAATACCTTCCTCATAACAAATGAGACCAAGGCATTTCCAAGTGTGATCTTGAATTCAGTAAAAACTAATAAACTTATTAAGGTTTAGAGTTGAAAAGGAGCTTAGAAGTCATCTAGTCCAACTCATTCAACATACAGATGGGGAAACTGAAGTCTAAAGAGGTGTGATGAACTCTAATAAGGATGATAACATTCTTAGGGACAATGCCCAAATGGGCAAATATAATAAATTTTAGTGCTAGGTATCAGGTCTATTTTAATGCAGTTACTGAATTCTGTGGGTTTTAAAATATTTACTGACCCAACCATCTGCATGATCACATTTAATCTATTTCTTCTTCGTATCTGAATTCCTAGGAAGTCTGTGTTCACCTAGTTTTCAAATGCCTCAGCTCTCAGTCTGCACTGTGGTGAAAACTCCAAGGTATTTGTGAAGCACGTTGTTCTTGTTCTCCAATTCCCCCTAAACTCATCTTTTTATATACCCTTTACCAAATGACCCTTAGACATAAGTCTAGGCATTTACCAGTCACATCAAGTCATAATTTTTGGAAACAGTAAAATAAGGGGCAACTTTTATTCTTTGCCACATGAAATAGGGAATTTATTTCCCCATATAGTTTGGACACTTGACAGAAATCATCAATATAAACTTAACACCAACTCTGGTATTACTGGCTTAACTTCACAAAAAGCCTTCCTCATCCCTGGCATTTTGTTACTCTCTCTATATATATGTTTGCTGCTGATGGAAATGTAATTACCCAAACTTTTTTCATTATAATTAGTCTTGAAGTTCTTGTTTTTCTAAGGTATACTGCTTATATTCACAGGAGATCTTATCTAATTCCATCTCTTGGTTCTAACAGTTGCTCCCAAATTGTAACTCAGCTGTAAGTCTTTTTAACTCACAGTAACAATTTCTAATGGATTTGTAATAGCCAACCAAGCAGTTAGGCTATATATTTTTGGAGGTTTTGTTATGTCTGTGGTTTTATCCTAACCATTAAATTCCTAACCAAAAATATATATTAAAACTTAAATTTAAAAACTTTTAAAGCTAAAGCATTTTTCAATGTTAGTGCTTCAAACCACTGATAAATTAGGTACCAAATTAAAATACTTCTCTAGCACTCATGAAATTCAAGTTAATTAAAACAAAATATATAGTATAATACCTATAAAAATATTAAATCATAGTTAAATGAACAAAAGGAAACATTATTTTATAAGAATGCCCTTTCTTCTCTAACTGCATTTTAAGTGTGAGATCTAAATAGAAAAAAGCACACAAAGTTTTCTTTACTATTTCTTTGTGTTAGCAAAGTGACTCTCTTTCTGTAATATCCTACATTTAGGATCACCAAAATCTAGCATATTAACTTCCATGCCTCAATATCACATAAGTCCAGAGGTTATGGATTACATAATCTTTATTCATTCTACTTTCTTCTTTATTTTTCTCTCTGTCTTCCCTCCCTCACACTTCATCCTCCTCACCCTTCCTCTTCCTCTTCTCTATTCTCCTCCTGCTCCCTTTCATCTTCCTTCTCCTCCTCTTCTTTTTAAAAGGCTTCCAAGCCTAAATGTGGTTAGCCTACAGAAATGAAACCACCTCAGCCATCTCTGGATGACAAACTGCCAATACATTTACTTTGGGAGATTTGGAGGAGGAAACACGAGCAGGTGGTGTATTCACTAAGAAAGTGAGGAGTAGCAAGAATTCATGTTATGTAATAGAATTCAGTTACTTGGCATTTTTTCTTGTTGTTGATAATTACATGACCGATGTTTTTGCAAAAAGAAACTCACCCATATCAATTTTTTTGTCTTTGGCTTTTTCTCTCACTAAAAATGTCCATAATATAAGTAAGATATCTAAAAGTCAAACCACATTTTAATTGGGTGAATTTTTAAAAAACTGACAGCTTTTTCTGCACTTGCTTCTTGACGTTAACCTCTCTTGCCACATCTTTTTCTCTTGTATTTGTAGCTATATTAGAGAGGGAGGCTGCATTCCTCGTTATTGAGTTTTTCTGCCCATTCCTTGTCAGAAGTTCTTTTTGATCTCTTCCCACCCTACACTGCATGGAATAATTGATGAGGGTTCAAAACAAATAGCAATTATGGGAGTCCTAATATTATATCTTCTTTAGAACTTCTTTGACTTTTCTGTAATACAGCAGGTCTTTGAATAACGTGAATTTATTCAGCGTCATTTCTTTATGACATTGACAAGAAAAAAAATGGATTCCTGGCTGGGGCCACTGTGTGTATGCAGTGCGCGTGGTCTCCCCACGTCTGCACAGGTTTTCTGTAGGTACTCCAGTTTCCCCCTACATCCCAAAGCTGTGCACGTGGGGTGACCTGGCATGGCTACCTCGTCCCAGTCTGAGTGAGTGGGGTTGTGTATGAGGGCATCTTGCAATGGAATGGCAATCCTGTCCAGGGCTGGTTCCTGTCTGACACCCTGAGTTTCTAAGAGACACTCTGGCCACCTGTCTCCTTGAACCAGCATAAGTGGGTAAATAATAATCTTACTGGTTTTTATTAATCTTTCTTAAACATATGAAGCTCATGAGTATTTTAGTGTTTAATATTAGAAGTATTTTGGTCTTTATTTAGAATTTTGATGATGATTTGTTACCAGAAATATGCCATAAGAGCCTAACTCTTAGTTATATCAATTAGCCTACTAAAATTGATTTCATTATATGTCATTTTGATTAAAGTTGCAATTTCCAATACAATGTTAAATGAGGACTTTCTCTACCCTTGCCCCAGATTGCACCCTAAAAGTCAGACTTAACCTCATGTAAATTTTGAAAGGAATGAAAATTTGTCCCCTCCCCACCTCCCTTATCAGCCCCCCTTTTATTTCCCATTTCTGGAATCACTGTCTCTTTCACTATGCTTAGCTCTTCGATCTACGAGTTCCTGCACCCCCTACCTGCTGACTGCTCCTAAGATGTTAACAGGTAACTTGGTGTAATTGAAATAAAGTGTGAGGTGTGATCCCTTCAGTCTCTGATGATCATCATGGTAATAGGGGGCTCCTCATTTCCAAAAGCTTTGAAGACTCAAAGAAAAGCAGCTTTTACAATGAATTGATAAGCATTGGGTTTCTATTTTCAAAGATTTTTTACATAATGGTGGCCTATTCTGGTTATAAGCAACTGTCCTTTTAAATACTCATGCATTTTCCACCTGCACTACAAGTGAACAGAGTGATTTCCTCTTTTACACTTTGTGTGCAGTTTTATATACACACATGCACACAAACATTTATATTCATGTATCAAAGAATATGGTGTGGAAATTTCTAGTAGCTAGTATGGAAAAGCAAATACAGATTTTTCTTTGGACTTGACTTCCTAATACAGAATATTTCCACCTTTTGACAGACAAATTATGTGTATTCATACCCAGCAGACTTGTCCTCATAAACCTTTTGTCAGAATAAAAATTCTACCTTGACTGATGACGTAAAGGTACTTTCAAAGTAACAGAAGTTAATATAATTATTGGTTGTCACATCATCACTATTTTAGCATACATTACAATCATTAATTTCCTAGGAGCTATTAAAATCTTACCCTGTCTTTGAAGATTCCCCAAGTGTCTTTAATAGAAATTATTTGGTGAGCTTAGCGGGAATTTAATCTGAAATGAGATCCATCTGGCAGAGATATCAAATTAATAGTACTTGAACATTGAGTTCTACTTTTCAAAACTGATTAGGTACAACTGTATCAAATGTCTTAACAAATATAGATGTGTTTTTATTATAATTTCATCATAGGTTGCCTTTCTCACATCTGGATGGTTGAGAATGAAAACTTGTGCAGACCTGTTATCAACTTGGTGAAATAGAGTAGATAATAACTAAGTAAGAAAATGGAAGTTAACTTCATGCTTCATTTAAATGTCTGCATCTCTTTTTGATACAGCTTGATCTAGTCTTCTCAAACTTTTAGAGGATTTGATAATTCAGTAACATGCTCAAGTAAGATACTTAAAAATGTAGAATAGAAACTACCAGTAGCCAGAAGAAAATATAGGACTTACTTCGGATTTGGCTTCCTAATACCATTCAAAATAGCATGATTGAAATGTCTACATTAGTATTACACAAATTCAGCAGTCTCTCAGGAGGTACATAATTCAAAGGCAAACGTTTTCCTCCTTGAGGATTTGACATAGTAAGGACAATGCTCTCCTAAACTGTGGAATTTCCTAGATAAAGTTTGTGGGCATCAATTCTATGCTTTCTATAAAAGATCTTCAAATTCACTTAACATTTGTAATCTCCATGGAAGCCTTAAAATCCTCTAACAACTAAATCTGTATTTCTTCCTAGAGGACATAGATAGATGATACCCGCCAAAAATGGGCAACCACAGATTCTTTGTATTCAGAATGTGCACACGCGTGCGCGTGCACACACACACACACACCTAGCTCTCCAACATTGCAATGAAGGGTTGTAAACACCATGGAGACAGGAAATCCATATCCAAGTAGTGCTGCCTAGGTTTCATGTTTTAAAACAGAGTTTGGCAACAATGAGTTTAATCTATAAAGACGTGTACAAGACTGTCATGATAAAATGTAGGTTTTTCACGTAGCCTATTCTTTGGTTTCAAGAAGTGTCCTTCATTCTCAAAATTAGGGCTTCCTACGTCTTTCAGTGTAATTTTATTTTCTTATGTGAAATAATAGCCGGAGAAGATAGTAGTGTTTGTTTGTATGTTCTTACTTGCAAGAACAAAAAAGAAAATTTGCAACTTTAATTGACATCAAATTTGCTTTTGGAATATTACTAGCTGGTAAAATCCAGGAGTCTAGAAAAAATGCTGCCCAACATGGGACACACACTCCCTTCACTCTGGTTTTAGAAGCCATTTCATAGAAATTCAACTTTATAATCTTGCTTTGGCCATTCAGAGAAGCTCCTCCCCCCACCCCCATAGAAGCTAAAAAGTTAATCAAGAGAGATTGCAACTATAGCGTACTTTTAGCTTATTTCATGGAGGATATACATGACTGAAATTCTGCTAAGATATCAGATTTTTTTACCTCTAATTTCATATTTCTTACGAAATTGGTAATGTGATTTTCATTGAAATGAAAATACTACATGAATTATGTCTATGGTATAGACTTTTTAGTAATCCAGTAAAAAGATTATGAAATGGTAAATATTTTTATTACATGTTTAAAAGGGTGCCAATAAAAAATTAAAAATGTGAACAGATGAAGTTCAAAAGACCAATGACAGTTTAAATTGAATCTAACATATCAAAAGGTCATTACGTTTCCGGTAAGCACTCCAGTGGAGCAAAAACCTGCCATTCTCTAGTGGTTATGTTAACCTTAAAAATGAACATCTAAGTTTGTATTAAGAAGAGAAAACTCTGAAACACTGCAGAGACAGCACTTCAAAATGTCACTGTAAATGTTAAAACAGAAATGCACATTTTGGAGAATACACACAGAAAATGAACACAGTTGTGGATTGCATGGTTGAGAAATCTTTCAAAAATGTTTATAAAACCAGTTGATCGATTTAGTACAGACATACTTCAGAGACATTGTGAGTTTGACTCCAGACCATCACAATAAAGTGAATGTTGCAAAGTGAGTTACATGGTTTTTTGGTTTCCTAGTGCACATAAAAGTAGTGTTTATCCTATACTGTAGTCTACTATTAAGTGTGCAATAGCAGTATGTCTAAAACAATATATCCATTCCTTAATTTAAAATTTATCTTGCTGAAAAATGCTAACAATCATCTGAGCCTTCAGTGACTCATAATCTTTTTGCTGGTGTAAAGTCTTGCCTCAGTGTTGTTGGCTGCTGACTGATCAGGGTGTTGCTTGCTGAAGGTTGAGGTGGCTGTGGCAATTTCTTGACATAAGATGACAATGAAGTTTGCTGCATCAATTGAGTCTTCCTTTCATGAATGATTTCTCTATAACATGTGGTCTTTGATGACATTCTACCCACGGTAGAAATTGTTTCAAAATTGGAGTCAATCCTCTCAGACCTTGCCACTGCTTCATCAAGTAAGTTGATGCAACATTCTAAACAAAATCCTCTGTTGTCATTTCAATAACATTCACAGCATCTTCACCAGAAGTAGTCTGTTTTAAGAAACCATTTTCTTTGCTCATCCACAAGAAGAAGCTCCTCATTCTTTCAAGATTTATCATGAGATTGCAGCAATTCATTCGCATCTTTAGGATCCACTTCTAATTCTAGATCTTTTGCTATTTCCACCACATCTTTAGTTACTTCCTCCACTGAAGTCTTGAACAGCTCAAAATCATCCATGAACGTTGGAATTAACTTTTTCCAAACTCCTGCTAATGTTGATATTTTGACCTCCTCCCATGAATCATGAAAGTTCTGAATGGCATCTAGAATGGTAAATCCTTTCCAGAAGGCTTTCAATTTACTTTGTCCAGATCCATCACAGGAATCGCTATCTATAATAGCTTTAGCCTTACAAAATGTACTTATTTTAAAACTTTTTTTATTTCAATAGCTTTTGGGGTACAAGTGGGTTTTGGTGACATGAATGACTTGTATAGTGGTGAAATCTGGGATTTTAGTGCACTCATCACCAGAGTAGTGTACATTGTATTCAATATGTAGTTTTATCTCTCACCCTGCTTCCACCCTCCCCATTCTGAGTCTCTAAAGTCCATTATAGCACTCTGTATGCCTTTGCATACCCATAGCCTAGCCCCCACTTAAGTATAAGTGAGATCAGATGGCATTTGGTTTTCTATTTCTGAGTTACTTCACTTAGAATAATGGCCTCAGCTGCATCAAAGTTGCTGCAAAATACATTATTTTGTTTTTTTAATGGCTGAGTAGGTATTCCATGGTGCATATATACATTCCCGCTCATTAGTCAATGGGCATTTAGGTTGGTTCCATATCTTTGCAATTATGAACTGGGTTGCAATAAAAATATGTGTGCAGGTGTCTTTTTGATATAATGACTTCTTTTCCTTTGGGTAGATACCCAGTAGTGGGATTGCTGGATCAAATGGTATATCTACTTTTAGTTCTTTAACAAATCTCCATATTGCTTTCCATAGAAGTTGTACTAGTTTACATTCTACCATCAGTGTATAAACATTCATCTTACAAAATGTATTTCTTTCTTTCTTTTTTTTTTTTTTTTGAGACGGAGTCTCGCTCTGTCACCCAGGCTAGAGTGCAGTGGTGTGATCTCGGCTCACTGCAAGCTCCGCCTCCCGGGTTCACTTGGTGTAGCACTTTTAATTTCCTTCAAGAACTTTTCCTTTACATTTACGAAGTGGCTAACTGACAACAAGAGGCCTAGATTTCTTTCTACCTCAGCTTTAGATATGTCTTTCTCACTAAGGTTAATCATTTCTAGCTTTTGACTTAAAATGAGAGTGTGTCTCGTCCTTTTATTTGACTCCTTTTTATTTGAACTCTTATGGGTAATTAATTGGCCTAATTTTAACATTATTGTGTCTCAGGGAATAGGGAGGCCTAAGATGAAGGAGAGAAATTGAGAAAAACCTGACCTGTGGAAAACACACACAACATTTATCAATTAAGTCTGCCGTCTTATATGGGTGTGGTTTGCGGTGCCCCAATATAATTACAATGGTAACATCAAAAATCCCTGATTACAGTTCACCAAAAGAGATATCACACTAATAATAATAAAGTTTGAAATGTTGTGAGAATTACCACAATGTGACACAGACACACAATGTAAACGTGCTGTTGAAAAAACAGTACCTGTAGACTTTGCTCAGTGCAGGTTTGCCACAAACCTTCAACTTGTGAAAAATGCAATGTCTGCAAAGCACAATAAAGCAAAGCATCATAAGCAGGTATACCTGTATTCCTCTACTGTAAGTTTTAGCATTCAGTAAAACTTGAGTTAAGTAAAACACACCTGGGAGTCTTGATTAATCAGATATTTTTTCTCTCTTAGAAGGAACACTGGAATGATGAAAAAATAGACTTACAGTAGGGAGAAAAATAAAAAGTAACTTTTATTTTACGTGTTTTATGGCCATCAAAGAATCAGCCTAAACTTCTATATATTCCGTAGCTCTACTTGTACTATTGTGTAGTTCAACAGCCAGCCTCCAATAGCTGCTGCTTCTCCAAGTGGGTGGTGTGTGGGAAGGGGCAGGGCCAATGAGCCTATGGAATCTTTTTTTTTTCTTTTTTTTATTTTATTATTATTATACTTTAAGTTTTAGGGTACATGTGCACAATGTGCAGGTTAGTTACATAGGTATACATGTGCCATGCTGGTGTGCTGTACCCATTAACTCGTCATTTAGCATTAGGTATATCTCTTAATGCTATCCCTCCCTCCTACCCCCACCCCACAACAGTCCGCAGAGTGTGATGTTCCCCTTCCTGTGTCCGTGTGTTCTCATTGTTCAATTCCCACCTATGAGTGAGAACATGCAGTGTTTGGTTTTTTGTCCTTGCAATAGTTCACTGAGAATGATGATTTCCAATTTCATCCATGTCCCTACAAAGGACATGAACTCATCATTTTTTATGGCTGCATAGTATTCCATGGTGTATATGTGCCACATTTTCTTAATCCAGTCTATCATTGTTGGACATTTGGGTTGGTTCCAAGTCTTTGCTATTGTGAATAGTGCCGCAATAAACATACGTGTGCATGTGTCTTTATAGCAGCATAATTTATAGTCCTTTAGTATATACCCAGTAATGGGATGACTGGGTCAAATGGTATTTCTAGTTCTAGATCCCTGAGGAATCGCCACACTGACTTCCACAATGTTTGAACTAGTTTATGGAACCTTTAGAGCTGTGATGTGCACTGTGATCAAGGCTGTGAAGGCTACAAAAGAAGTAAAGATAAGACTTCTGAGCTTGAGAGATTGTTGATTTTCCTAAGGGGCTGCTTCAGATGCCTGAAAAGTTTATTAAATACTTTGATGATCTACAATTAAGTGCTTACTAAACTATGCATTGAGGACACTTCAATAAGTGAAACATGAGTGTGGCTTGAAGAATCTGGTACAGCTTTGTGAGCCTTGTTTTGAAAGGATCTAAGATGGCCAGCAGATACATATTTATGGAGGGCTTTATAGGTGCATCTGCCTGGAATACCGTTACAGATCTGGTTATCTTAACTAAAGAAAGATACAGTGGAAAAATTATTAGAAGAAGCTGGGAGGTTAGAAAGTAGTATGAGGAAGGACTCATCTATTTCATCTTGAAGGAGCTTTGGTCGTTTGTAACTTTCAAGAAATTTATTTACATCATTAAATTTATTGGTATAAAAGTTTTCAAAAGGTTTTATTTTTGCTTTCAATGTCTGACAGAGCTGTAGTGATGTCTTCTCTACATTCCTATCACTAGTAACTTGTGTCTTATTTTCTTTATAAGTATAGTTAGGATTTTATCTTTTCAAATAACGACATTTGATTTTTAAAATTGTTTCTATTGGGTTTCTTTTATCAATTTCCTTGATTTACACTCTTCTTTGTTTTCCTCATGCTACTTTGTGTTTAATTTGTTTTTTTTTTTAGCTGCTTAAATTGAAGGCTGATATCATTGATTTTATACCTTTATTCTTTTGTCATATACAATGTGAAATAATAAATTTCCTCCTCAACACGGCTGTATTAGTCTATTTTCATACTGCTATAAAGAACTGTCTGAGACTGGGTAATTTATAAAGGAAAGAGGTTTAATTGACTCACAGTTCAGCATGGCTGGGGAGGCCTCAGGAAACTTACAATCATGGCAGAAGGCAAAGGGGAAGCTGGGACCTTCTTCACAAGGCAGCAGGAAGGAGAAGCGCTGAGCAAAGGGGAAAAGCCCCTTATAAAACCACTGGATCTCATAAGAACACACTCGCTAACTTGAGAACAGCATGGGGGAAACCACCTCCATGATTCAATTACCTCCACCTGGTCTCTTCCTTGACACCTGGTGATTATGGGGATTATGAAATTACAATTCAAGATGATATTTGGATAGGGACACAAAGCCTAACCATATCAATGGTTTAAATGGTTTCTGACAAATTTTGCTTTGCTATGTTTTTATTATCATTTAATTTAAAATTTTTCTAATTTTACGAGTGATTTCATCTTTGCCTTATAGGTTATTTAAGGGTGTATGGCTTAATGTACATGTATTTGGGAATTTTCCAGATATATTTCTATTTTCATTTTAATTTAACTCCATTTTGATCAGAGAACTCACTCTCCATGATTTCAATTGCTTTACATTTTTTGAGATTTATTGTGTTACCTAAAATATAATCTTTCTTTAAAAATGTTCCCTGTATACTTGAATTCATATTGTTGGGTATAGTGTTTTATAAATATTAATTGTGTTAACATTGCCGATATAGTGTTTTTTAAAGTTTTCCATGTCCTTAATAAAGGCTTTGTTTACTTAGCATATCAAGTACTGAGAGTTAAGTGTTAGGATCTCTAATAATCTTACATAATTTTAATATTAGAAATTGAGGACAAGATGGCAGATAGGACACAGGGCTAATGTGCAGCTGCCACTTGGATGGGCAGAACAGTGTGTGGAGACTCGCACTATGAACTTTTGCTCCAAGAACCTCTGCAGGAACATACCAGGAAAATCAAAATAATTCATAGATCCTTTGAAAGAAGTGGCATGCTGTTGCAAATTCTGTGAGACAGAAAAAACTGTGAGTTCCCAAAGTGAGAGGGGGAAACCTGCCACTGAACACATATCCCCACTGGGGAATCTGAAAATCCAGATTATGGGAGAAGGATTTAACCTTACTTAGAGCTGAAACAGATTTAGAGAGCCGTGCATAATATAAAAGTAGAAGCAGCAGTGGAAAGAGCCTTGTAGGTGCTCCCAGTCTCCAGCCTGAGCCCAGGGAAGCCATCCCTGACTGTATCTCACAGGGGCCCTCGAGGGAGACAGCCAGCAGAATCAGGGAGGAGTCGCAGGATTAAAGAAGCTTCCAACTGAAATTAGTAATAGTTTTGACAGGGTACAAATTTTCTTGAGCAGAATCTGGAGGTCATACGTGAACTGCTGCAGATACAAGCACAGGAGCCACCAATGACAGTGTGGGCAGATGGGGATGGGCGATGTTTGGAAGCTGTGCTTGCTTTCTCAGTGGGGAAGCTCAGGGTCTGGGGCAAGGTCTGAGCAGGGCACTGCAAAAGTGACATGAGCCTTGCCAACTGCCTAGGACCTAGGTGAGGCCTCTCACTACCAGTTATCCACCACTTCCCTGGTGAACTATATAACATAGCAGAGGCAGCCATAATCCCCTCTGGAAAATAACCCCATTAACCTGAGAACCACCTCCCCTTCCCCCTCAGTGGCCACAGCAAGCCCTGCCCAAGAAGAATCTGAGGCCAGACCCACCTAACCCTGCCCCCACCTGGTGGCATTTCTTTACCCACCCTGGTAGCTGAACATAAAAGACAGAAACTTTTGGAAGGCTTATAGCCCCACCTATTGCCTGAGAAAACAAAATACTTACCTTGGCCAACTTAGGGCAAGTTTAGATATCCCTGCTACTACTGCAGCTGGTGTGCTCTCTTGAAAGTGCCACCTCCTGGCTGGAGGCCAACCAGCTCAGAACATTACAGAAATTCATTACAGAATAACCATGATCCCAGGAAGAAGGAAACAAGAGCTAATTCTACTGCTTGCAATATCTTGGCTAACCAGAGGTTCCGAGTATGCCCACATGACAACTTCACTGCTCACATAACCAGCATTTGAGAAAGCTAGAACACGAAACATATCTACAACTGATATGGTTTGGTTATGTTCCCACCCAAATCTCACCTTGAATTCCGCCTTGTCGTGGGAGGGACCTGGTGGGAGGTAATTGAATAATGGGGCAGGTCTTTCCTGTGCTGTTCTCATGACAGTGAATAAGTCTCACAAGATCTGTTGGTTTTATATAGTGTAGTTTCCCTGCACAAGCTCTTTTATCTTGTCTGCCACCATGTGAGATGTGACTTTCACCTTCCACCATGATTGTGAGGCCTCCTCAGCCATGTGGAACTGTAAGTCCATTAAACCTCTTTCTTTTGTAAAATGCCCAGTCTTGGGTATGTCTTTATCAACAGGATGAAAATGGCTAATACAAAAACCAAAGACTCTCAGAGTCTACTTCACTCCCCTCTAACCTCCACCAGAGCAGGTGCTGGTATCCAGGCTGTGAGACCTGAAGACAGATTACATCACAGGACACTTTGCAGACAGTCCCCACCATCAACAAGGGGAGCCTGGGAGTCCAGGTTGGTGGCTAGACCCAGAAGAGCAATAACAATTACAGCAGTTCAGCTCTCAGGAAGCCTCATCCTTAGGGGAAGGGAAGAGACTACATCAAGAGATCATCCTGTAAAACAAAAGAATCTGAACAGCAGGGCTTGAGTTTCAGACCTTATCACTGAAATAGTCTGTCCAAATGAGAAAGAACCAGAAAAATAATTCTGGTAACATGACAAAACAGGGTTCTATAACACCCCTAAATGATCACACTAGCTCCCCAGCAATGGATCCAAACCAAGAAGATCTCTGAATTGACAGATAAAGGATTCAGAAGGTTGATTATTCAGCTACTCAAGGGGATACCAGAGAAAGGCGAAAACCAACTTAAAATATTTAAAAAAATACAGGATATGGATGAAAACTTCTCCAGAGAAATTGATATCAAAAATTAAAAACAATCACAACTTCTGGAAATGAAAGATACACTTAGAGAAATGCAAAATAGACTGGAAAGTTTCAACAGTAGAATTGAACAAGTAGAAGGAACTTCAGAACTCAAAGATAAGGCTTTCAAATTAACCCAATCAGACAAACACAAAGGAAAAAGAATTTAAAAAATGAACAAAGCCTCCAAGAAGTTTGGGATTATGTTAAACAACCAAAACTAAAAATCACTGGTGTTCCTGAGGAAGAAGAGAAATCTAAAAGTTTGGAAAACTTATTTGAGGGAATAACCAAGGAAAACTTCCCAGGCCATGCTAGAGATCTAGACATCCAAATACAAGAAACTCAAAGAACACCTGGAAAGTTTATCATGAAAAGATCATCATCTAGGCACTTAGTCATCAGCTTATCTAAAGTCAAGACAAAAGAATCTTAAGAGTTGTGACAAAAAAGCATCAGGTAACCTATATAAGAAAACCTATCAGATTAACAGAAGATATCTCAGCAAAAACCCCCAAGTGAGAAGGGATTGGGGTCCTATCCATAGCCTCCTTAAACAAAACAGTTATCAGCCAAGAATTTTGTATCTAGTGAAAATAGGCTTCAAAAATGAAGAACAGATAATGTATTTTTCAGACAAACAAATGCTGAGAAAATTTGCCACTACCAAGCCAGCACTGCAAGAAATGTTAAAAGGAGTTCTAAAATTGAAATAAAACCTTGAAATACACCAAAATAGAACCTCTTTAAAACACAAATCTCATAGGGCTTATGAAACAATGAAACAATGGGGAAAAAACAAGGTATTAAGGCAACAACTAACACAATGAATAGAACAGTACCTCACATCTCAATACTAATATTGAATGTAAATGGCCTAAATGCTCTGCTTAAAAGGTACAGAATGGCAGAATGGATAAAAATCCACCAACTCAAGTATCTGCTATCTTTAAGAGACTCACCTAACACGTAAGGGCTCACATAAACTTAAGCTAAAGAGGTGGAAAAGATAATCCATGCAAATGGAAACCAAAAGTGAGCAGGAGTAGCTATTCTTATATCAGACAAAACAGACTTTAAAGCAACAGAAGTTAAAAAAAAAAGGACAAAGAGTTACATTATATAACAATAAAAGGATTAGTCCAGCAGGAAAATATTATAATCCTAAATTATGAAATTGGGAGCTCCTAACACTGGAGCTCCCAATTTTATAAAACAATTGGTACTAGACCTAAGAAATAAGATAGATGACAACACAATAATACTGGGAAATTTCAATACTCTACTGACTGCACTAGACAGGCAATTAAGGCAGAAAGTTAACAAAGAAACAATAGACTTAAACTATACCCTAGAACAAAATGGACTTAACAGATTTTAACAGGACATTCTACCCAACTGCAGAATGTACATTCTTTTCATTGGCACACTTCTTTCATTGGCACACACATAGGTGACTGCTTTTGTGACCTATTATACGGTCATATGGTCTATCTTTGAGAACATTTCCATTGAGAATGGGAACATTGTCAAATATTCCCATTGAAAATGGGAACATACTCAAAGATAGACCATATGATAGGTGACAAAAGAAGTCTCAATAAATCTAAGAAAACTGAAATTATTTCAAGTGTCCTCTCAGGCTATAGTGGAATAATGCAGAAAATTAATTCCAAAAAGAACCCTCAAAACTATACAAATACATGAAAATTGGCTGGGCGTGGTGGCTCATGCCTGTAATTCCAGCACTTTGGGACGCTGAGGCAGGTGGATCACCTGAGGCCAGGAGTTTGAGATCAGCCCGGCCAACATGGCAAAACTGTCTCTACTAAGAATATAAAAAAATAGCCAGGCATGGTGGTACATGCCTGTAATCCCAGCTACTTGGGAGGCTGAGGCAGGAGAATCGCTTGAACCCAGGAGGTGGAGTTGCAGTGAGCCGAGTTCCCAACATCGCACCCTAGCCTGGCCAACAAGAGCAAAACTCCGTCTCAGGAAAAAAAGAAAAAGAAAAAGAAAAGAAAAGAAACTGATCTTGAATGATCCATGGGTCAACAATGAAATCAAGAAGAAAATTAACTGTTTGAACTGAATGATAACAGTGACAAAACTTAGCAAAGCCTCTAGGAAACAGTAAAAGCAGTGGTAAGAGAAAAGTTCATAGCATTAAATCCCTATATCAAAAAGCCTGAAAGAGCACAAATAGACAATCTAAAGTCATACCTCAAAGAACTACAGAAACAAGAACAAACCAAACTCAAACCCAGCAGAAGAAGAGAAATAACAAAGATCAGAGCAGAACTAAATGAAACTGAAACAAACAAACAAAAACAACACAAAAGACAAATGAAACAAAAAGCTGGTTATTTGAAAAGATGAACAAAATTGAAAGACCATTAACAAGACTAATCAAGAAAAGAAGAGAGAAGATCCAAACAAGCTCAATTAGAAATGAAACAGGAGATATTACAACTGCTGCCACAGAAATACAAAAGATCATTCAAGGCTACTATGAACACCTTTATGCACACAAACTAGAAAATCTAGAGGAGATGAATAAATTCCTGGAAATATACAACCCTCCCAGATTAAATCAGGAAGAAATAGAAACTCTGAACAGTCCAACAACAAGTAGTAAGATTAAAATAGTAATAAACAAATGTTAACAAAAAAATGTCCAGGACCAGATGGATTCACAGCTAAATTCTATCAGACATTCAAAGAAAAATTGGTCAATCTCACTGAAACTATTCCAAAAGATAAAGAGGAAATTCCCCCTAAAGCATTTTATGAAGGCAATATCACCCTAATACCAAACCAGGAAAGGATATAACAAAAAAAAAAGTAAACTACAGACCAATATTCACGATGAACATAGATGCAAAAATCCTCAACAAAATACTAGCTAACCAAATCCAACAGCATATCAAAAAGATAATACACCATGAACAAGTGGATTTTATACCAGGGATGCAGGGATAGTTTCACATACACAAGTCAATAATTGTGATACATCACATAAACAGAATTAAAAACAAAAATCATATAATTATCTCAATAGATGCAGAAAAAGCATTTGACAATATCCAGCATCCATTTATGATTAAAACCCTTAGTAAACTTGGCACAGAAGAAACATACCTCTAGGTAATAAAAGCTACCTAAGACAAACTCACAGCTGATATCATACTGAATGAGGAAAAGTTGAAAGCATTCCTCCTGAGAACTAGAACAAGACAAAGATGCCCACTTTCACTGCTTCCATTCAACATAGTACTAGAAGTCTTAACTAGGGCAATCAGACAAGAGAAATAAATAAATGGCACCCAGATTAGTAAAGAGGAAGTCAAACTCTCACTGTTCGCCAAGGATATAATTTTTATACCTAGAAAATCTAAGGACTCATTGAAACAGTTCCTAGATCTGATAAATTAATTCAGTCAACTTTCAGGATACAAAATCAATGTACACAAATCAGTAGTACTGCTATACACCAACAACGACCAAGCTGAGAACCAAATCAGGAACTCAATCTCTTTTACAACAGCTGCAAAACAAAAAACAAACAACAACAACAAAAACCACTTAGGAATATACCTAACCAAGGAGGTGGAAGATCTCTACAAGGAAAACTACAAAACAATGCTGAAAGAAATCATAGACGATACAAACAAATGGAAACACATCCCGTGCTCAGATGGGTAGAATCAATACAGTGAAAATGACCATACTGCCAAAAGCAATATACAGATTTAACGCAATTCCCATCAAAGTACTATCATCATTCTTCACAGAACTCAAAAAAAATCCTAAAATTCATATGAAACCAAAAAAGAGCCTGCATAGCTAGCCAAAGCAAGACTAAGCAAAAAGAACAAATCCAGAGGCATCACATTATCCAACTTCAAACTATACTACAAAACTCTAGTTACCAGATCAGCATGGTACTGGTATAAAAATAGGCACATAGACCAATGGAACAGACCACATAGACCAAGGGAACCCAGAAATAAAGCCAAATACTTATGGCCAACTGATCTTTGATAAAGCAAACAAGAACATAAAGTAGAGAAAGAACGCTCTATTCAACAAAAGGTGCTGGGATAATTGGCAAGCCACATGTAACAGAATAAAACTAGGTCTTCATCTCTCACCTTATATAAAAATTAACTCAATATGGATCAAAGACTTCAATCTAAGGCCTGAAACCAGAAAAATTCTAGAAGATAACATTGGATGTTGGCTTAGGCAAAGAGTTGCCTTCTAGATGTTGGCTTAGGCAAAGAGTTCATGACCAAGAACCCAAAAGCAAATGCAACAGAAACAAAAATAAAGAGATGGGACCTAACTAAACTAAAAGGCTTCTGCACAGCAAAAGAATCAGCAGAGTAAACATACAACCCACAGAGTGGGAGAAAATATTTGCAAACTGTGCATCCAATAAAGAACTAACATCCAGAATCTACAAGAAACTCAAACAAATCATCAAGAAAAAAATAATATTTCCATCAAAAAGTGGGCAAAGGACATGACTAGACAATTCTCAAAAGAAGATATACAAATGGCCAACAAACACATGAAAAAATGCTCAACATCACTAATTATCAGGGAAATGCAAATTAAAACTATAATGAGATACCATTCTACTCCTACAAGAATGGCTATAATTTTAAAAATCACAAAATAATAGATGTTGGTGTGGATGTGGTAAAAAAAAAGAACACTCTTACACTACTGGTGGGAATGTAAACTAGTACAACCACTATGGAAAACAGGGTGGAGATTCCTTAAATAACTTAAAGTAGAACTATCATTTGATCTAGCAATCCCACTACTGGGTATCTACCCAGAGGAAAATAAGTAATTATACGAAAAAGATACTTACACATGAATGTTTTCAGCAGCACAATTCACAATTGCAAAAATATGGAACTAGCCTAAATGCCCAACAACCAACAAGTGGATAAAGAAAATGCAGTATATATACACCATGGGATACTATTCAGCCATAAAAAAGAACAAAATAATGTCATTTGCAGAAATCTGAATGGAGTTGGAGACTATTATTCTAAGTGAAGTAACTCAGGAATGAAAAACCAAATATCGTACATTCTCACTTATAAGTGGGAGCTAAGCTATGAGGATGCAAAGGCATAAGAATGATATAATGGACCTTGGGGACGCAGGGAGAAGGGTGGAAGGGGGTGACAGACAAAAGACTACACATTGGGTACAGTGTACACTGCTCATGTGACAGGTCCACCAAAATCTCAGAAATCACCACTAAATAACTTGCCCATGTAACCAAAACCACCTGTTCCCTAAAAATTATTGAAATAAAATAATATAACCAAATTATTATTAATTATAATTTATATAATTTTAATTTCCCTTTAGTTCTGCCAGTTTTTGCTTCTGTTACAAGGTATATGGCAATAGGATTATAATGTATTCTTGATCAATTATTTTTATAATTTTATGAAGTGCTTCTCTTTAGTAATTCCTGTTTGAAAGTCTACTTTATCAGAAATATTATTACTTCAGCTTTGAATGATGTTGCTATAAATGATACTTTACTATGAACAATGCTATAAATATTTGGCTATAATGTTTACATTATATATATTTTCTGTAATTTTATTTTTAATTATATGTGTCTTTATATTTAAACTACATTTCTTTTAAAAATATGTAGTTGGGCATTGATTTTCTTAAAGTTTAATTTGGTAATCTATGCATTTTAATTAGAGTTTTTAATTTATATACAATAGATTCATTGCTCTAGTTAGGTTTAATCTATAATATGCTACTTATTTTATAATTGTCTCATTTTTTTCCTTGTGTATTGTTTTTCTTATTTTATTTTTTTCCTTTCCTGCATTCTGTTGGCTTGAGTATTTGCTTAGTTTCCCATAATTTTCTTCATCAGCTTTAGCTATATCATTGATATGATTTGGCTATGTCTCCACCCAAATCTCATCTTTAATTGTAGCTCCCATAATTCCCATGTGTTGTGGGAGGGACTCAGTGGGAAATTATTGAATCATGGGGTCAGTTTCCTCCATACCGTTCTCATGGTAGTGAATAAGTCTCAGGAGATCTGGTGGTTTTATAAAAGGAAACCCCTTTTGCTTGGCTCTCATTCTCTCTTGTCCACTGCCATGTAAAACATGCTTCTTTCATATTAGCCTATATACTACCTATTTGTAGTGTTCTTTCTTTTATGTTGATATGAGTTTCTATTTGGTATCACTTTCCTTCAGCTTGAAGAGTTTACCACCTTTACAATGCATATATCAAATTTCCTCAGCCTTTGTTATCTGAAAATGTCTTTATTTTGCCTTAATTGTTGAGGGATCATTTTTGCTGGGTATGAAATTATAGGATTAATTTATTCTTCTTCAATATTTTAAAGCTACTATCTCCTGGCCTGCATTGTTCTTTATCATATCAGTTGTCATTCTTCTCATTGCTCTCACAATGTCTTTTTTCCTCTGTGTACTTTTAAGTCTTTCTCTTCACTTTTCTGCAATCTTAATCTTTCAACTGGTCTATTTTTATGCAATTTAACAACTTGACATTTGACAGTGTGCCTATTTGAAGTTTTATTGTGTGCTTTTCCTGTTTGGATTTTATCAAGTTTTTGGTTTTTTAATATATATTTTCCATCATATTTAGAAAATACTTGGCTATTATGTGTTTAAATTTTTTTCTGCTTCAATCTCTTCTTTTTCTTCTTCTGGGCCTTTAATTACACATTCGACCATTTGTTATTGTTCCACAGGTCACTGAAGTTCTATTTATTATTTTTAGACTGCCTACTCTTTGTGCTTTAGTTTAGATAGTTACTGTTGTCTTTCTACAAGTTCATTTACCTTTTCTTCTGAATCTCTAATCCGCTGTTAGGTCCATTCATTGAATTTTACATTTCAGATGAAAGATTTGTCAGATGTAGACCTTCCATCTTTTTAAAAATAGCTTCCATTGCACTATTACATTTCACAGCTGTTCATACATTACAACTATATCTTAATTTTCATCTTAAAAATATTTATAATATTTTTATAGTGCTTATTGTCTTTGTCTGCTAATTTTAACACCCATGTCATCCCTGAGTCTATTTCTTTTGACCATTTTTCCCCCTGGTTATGATTCATATGTTCTTTCTTCTTGATTTTATGTCTGACATTATGAGTGCTACATTGTTAAGAGTCTAAAATTTTTTGTTTTCTTTTAAATTTTGATTTTTCTTCTGGCAGGAAATTAATTTATTGGATAATCAGCTTTATCTCACTAGAGTTTTAAAAATTTTATTTTAGGATTTGTTAGCCTTTACACTATGATTAAAGTACCTTTATAATAAAAAGAAAGAAAAAAACCTTTTTCTTTCTGGGTCTTTACCCAAATACTCTGAGTGTTCAATGAAGTTTCTTCACTTAGTCTGATTGAAATTCCAGTGATTCCTAGCATTATACGGCATACAGCATCTCAATAAGCTTCCTATTCTCCTGTGCATGGGCAGCTTTGTATTTGGTTAAAGACTCAAGGAGACTCCAAGCTAATTTCTAGAGCTCCTTCTCATCATAACTTCCTCTTCTGCATTATCTTACCTCCCAAATTCTACATTCCTCTTCTCCATTATGTTACCCTCAGAATTCCAGAAGCCTTACATTCCAATCTTTGCTTCCTCCACCCAGAAAGATCTTTGCTCTCTGCTTGGTGTCTACTTCTTTAAGCCACAGTCAAAAAACTTCCCCAGGAAGAAAGCTGACATATTTGTGCACTATTTGTAGTTGCTTTACATATTTTTTCTGTTTTATAGTTAATAATGGTAGGATGGGAAGTCTAATATACCTTATTTCATCATGGCATAACTGAAAGTAGAACATGAAAAAAAGCAGGTTCTGGTTGGGCACGGTCACTCACATCTGTAATCCCAGCACTTTGGGAGGCCAAGGCTGGTGAATCATCTGAGGTCAGGAGTTCGAGACCAGCCTGGACAACATGGTGACACCCCATGTTTACTAAAAATACAAAAATTAGCCAGGCATGCTGACAGGCACCTGTAATCCCAACTACTTGGGAGGCTGAGGCAGGAGAATGGCTTGAACCCAGGAGGCAGAGGTTGCAGTGACCAGAGATCATGCCACTGCACTCCAGCCTGGGTGACAAAGCAAGACTCCGTCTCAAAAACAATAAAAAAGAATAAAAGCAGTCAGTTTCCATGGTCACATGTCTTTTTGTGATCCTCATTGTTCTAAGTACAAAGGACTGGAATCAACCAATAACACACACACACAAACAAGAAATTGTGCAACATAATACATAGATGTTAAAGTGAGTGGTGTGTGTTAAAAGTCCTGTTGGTATGCACAGATTCATGCTGTATCATTTACTGAGTGAGCATTTGGACAGGCACTGTTCTAGGTTCTGGGTATGTGAAAATGAAAAGTCATCCATGTATTCAGATGTCTTTTTTGCAGAGGGAGGACGAAAGACAGGTGTTCAGATGGGAAAGTTGGGACCTGAGAAAGGAATGTGAACAGGATGTGTAAATGAGTTTGTGGTTTATAGTTAAGGTTGAATTGAGGCTAGATCATGGATTACTTTCAATGGGGTCTTTATCCTCCAACAGTGGGTTGCAAATTTTACTGACGATGACCCACAGGAAAAAAATACTTTTCCCCACATGCAAACCACATACACACATCCACCCTTTAATCACACACACACACACACACACACACAAATATGTACAAACATAACTAAGGCAAACATGTTTCCAAAAAACCACATATGCATTTACCCTTGCTATCTGAAATGCCCTTTGATATTTTTTACTTAATTTCATTCTACATTGCTTCATTTGTGAAGGATTCCGGCATGACTCACTGAAGGAATTACATTAACTTTTACGAGGCTAAGCCCCACAGTAGGTAAACGCTGCTCCAGTGGAGTTCATGGAAGTATCTGGGTAAGGACTAGCGCAGGGCTTTAGGAATATAAACTGGAACCATTGCACAGGACATACTAGAGGGGAAAGTGTGATATTATAATTTACATATATTGGTTTTCATTCACAGTTCCTGGCTTGTAACTCCACAGCCCTTGTTAAAGTGAATAGAATCCCTCCCTCTCTTACCTTCTCCTCCTCTCCTTTCACCTGCCCAAGGCAGGACTCTAATCTGACTATGGGTCATAAGACTCTCATACCATGGAGGAAGGAATGCTGCACAGAGAGGCCAAAAAGAATCTGGACAGGCCCTTCTGAGTTTAAATCATACTCTTTTTGTTCAATCACATTTCTACAGAGTTGCCAATCATGCCTATCCAATGGCATAAAAGGCCCAAGAGGACAGGGTTAGGAGAGTTCCCATAAAGCTAAACATGTAGAGTTTCCTGGATGGTGGCGTACCTGTGGAGGGCATGGAAGCTCTGCACCCCTTCTCATATGCCTTGCCCTACTCAACTCTTCATCTGTATCCTTTTTAATATAATACCTTTTATAATAAACCAGTAAACCTAAGTAAACGTTCTCTGAGCCACTCTAGCAAATTAATCAAGCCCAAAGAGGGAGGCCATGAGAAGCCCAGCTTGAAACTGCTCAGTCTGAAGTTCCAGAGGCTTAGACTCAGTACTGGTATCTGAAGGGGAGGCATTCTTGTGGGGATGAGCGCTCAACCTGTGAGATCTAAGGCTATCTCCAGGAAGACACCACCAAAATTGAAGTGAATTAGAGGACACCCAGCTGCTGTCCACTGCTTGGTATGTGGAGAAAACCCCCCAAACATTTGGTCATGGAAATCTTGTGTTGATTGTTGCATTGGTGTAAAAAATGTTATAATAATTAATAATAATAATTAATTTTTAAAAGAATTAGGTATATTTTTAATGAATTGCATTTTATTATAAAGCATACATTTCCAATCCAACTTGTGGTCTCAAAATAACTATAATTTCTACTTGAGTATTTACAAAAAAGAAATAAAGATTTATAATTAAAATGACAGGTGATGCTTTAAAAAAGAAAGCTTTTAGTTTTATGATTGCTGTGGTAGTTACAATCAGGTGAAGGGGCCAAATATTCTAAAATATTTTATTAAAAAACACAAGAAAGCCATCTCAGGAAGAGAAAGAAAACTGTCAGTTTCTTTAATCTCTTCCAGCTGATTCCTTATGGGAGAACGAACATATCATTGAATAATTCTAAATATTAACATGGGCAGTGCTAGAAACCTTGTCCACAGCTGAGAGTTTAATGGGCACACAGTAGGTTTAATCTTAAACTTGGCTGGGTGTGGTGGGTCACGCCTGTAACCCCAACACTTTGGGAGGCCAAGGGGGGCAGACATGAGGTCAAGAGATCAAGACCATCCTGGCCAACATGGTGAAACCCCATCTCAACTAAAAATACAAAAATTAGCTGGGCGTGGTGGCACGTGCCTGTAGTCCCAGCTACTCAGGAGGCTGAGGCAGGAGAATCACTTGAACCTTGGAGGCAGAGGTTGCAGGGAGCTGAGATCGCACCATTGCACTCCAGCCTGGTGACAAAGCAAGATTCCGTCTCAAAAATAAATAAATAAATAAAATAGCAATTTCAAGTTAATAAGAATTTACATAGTAAAATGCATGTATTTCAGTGATAGCACATTTTTATTGATATTTTAATGTCAGATCATTTTCAAGTTGGATGTTTTGTGAACTGAAATGAGTATCATGCATTTTTTGTAAAATGAATGACTTTGCCTTTTATCTTTTTGTAAAGTATCTGCATCTTCATTTATCCAAATGCTGTATAGACACTCTTTTTCCAAAATACCATATGGGCAGACTATGTTGTTCCAAGCTGGATACCAAAGATGAATAGCACAAATAGCTTTTGATACAAACAACAAACAACAACTAAACAATTCCTATAGATAGGCACAGAAGTATTTCACTTGATGTGATAATTATAGCCCACACATATCTACCAGTGTTTATGAGCTCAGTCATTCTCTACCAATGCTGCTGTGAAGTTTGGTGCTCTATTGTCTATGCCCTTCCCAAAGAGCAATCTTCTCAGCAACCTAGATATCATGAACTTCAATCCCCCAGGTCCTACTGACTAATAGTAGAGCTGGGAACCTCTTATTAAATTAGCTCTGGTCATCAATTTAAACATACTACTAGGATGACAATAAGCAGAACTGCCTCAGAGGCCACCGCATGGTATGTATCCACCCCTTAGAAGCATGCTCAGGGATTCAGTGCTTCCAGTAGACACAGCTGCAGGACATATATTCTCCAAGCTATAGGGGCTTTGTAGAATCTTATAATCTTCCTAATTTGAATAACTCTAGAGTGAAACACATTGAATATATCAGGCTCCAATTTTGTTGGCAATAAAGCTCTCTCAGAATTCCAACTGTAGCCTTGCCTGCTGTATTGGGTTGATTAGGCCGTTTTGCCTCAACCAAAATAATCCATGTTTTTCCATAAGTTGTTAAGATAATCACTCTGAATAAGATCATATCCTGCTTGGACTTCCCACTTCCTGAGATATTGTTACCAAATACAATTAGTTAGTTCTGTAAAATGGATATAGGAAGGCAGACAGCTCTCTGGAGAAGAAACTTGAGTTTACTAAAAGAACATATTTGAAACAGAACCATCAAACCAAAATGACAATGTGTACACATTAGAGATACCAAGGAAACTCATGTGATGGGATGTTTAGAAGTAAAGCCAAGAATGAAATGGCACTAAGTACTTAGTAATGGTACTAAGTTTTTATTCAACGGGAAACCGAGATTAACTTCCGATCAATCTCAAGAGAGATTGGTCTAGTTGGACATTAGTGTTATTGTGCTGATGGTTGAAAAGAATCATAATTCGGTGTATCCAGGTCCCATTGCAGGAATTTTCTTGTATTTACAACATACAATTACTTCTATATTATTGTACATATAAAATAATGCATAGATTTTATATATATATATACTTTTTTCTGCTATTCCATCTAAACCTTTAGAAATTGTTAAACAAAAAATTTTCTGATACTTGTTAAAGAGGGTAAGAAAGACTTTATTCAAGGGACCACTGCAGTGGGGTTTTACAATAGGGGAGAAAAATCAAGCTCAACTCCAAATACAAAGAAAAGTGGGGATTTATAGCCAAAGAGCAGGGTGGTGATCAGTGGATAAAAAATTACTAAGAGGAAACATCAGGATCAGGGGGATTCTAGCTAGACTGACTTGACAGGATTCTTCTTGCTGAAGGCAGGCCAGAGTGATAAGTCCTGGGAATGGTGGGAGATTAGAATCTGATCAGATATCCAGGGTTGGGGATTTTCGCTGAATGAACCCAGCCACATTTTTGCTAAAACTGAATTCAGCATGCCAAGGATGAGTTTTTGTCAAAATACAATTTGGAAATAACTATTTGAAAGGTAAAACTGACTAGAAAAGTAGTTTAATAAAATTTCACCTCTCAAAACAATATAGAGATGTTAATAATCCTAATTGTTAGTTCTGCCACCATTGCCAATAAAAATTATTGAATGCTAGCTGCATGTCAGGTCCTATACTAGGTCTGAGAATAAAAGGAATAAGATGCATTCTATTAATGCAAGGGTAGCCCATATAATATAGCAAGTAAAACTATTTGTAAATCAATGAAAAAACTGCTGCCATTAGAACAAGAGCCTCAATATGGCTTCTTTAAAAAACAAACAAAAAAATCTTCAATCAAGACTCTCTCTGTATTCAACTACCACAGAATACACATTTTTTTCCCAACAGCACATGGAACATTTTCTAGGATAGACTGTATGTCAGGCCACAAAACATGTCTCAACAAATTTTTAAAAATTGCAATCATATTAAGTATCTTCTCAGACCACAGTGGAATAAAAATGGACATCAATATGAAGAGAATCTTTGGAAACCATATAAATCATATAAATACACAGAAATTAAATAACATGCTCCTGAACTTCCATAGGTTAATGAAAAAATTCAGATGGAGGTTAAAAAATTTCTTGAAACAAATGAAAATGGAAACACGACATACCAAGACCTGTGGGATACAGCAAAAGCAGAACTAATGAGAAAGTTTACAGCAATAAATGCCCACATCAAATAAGTAGAAAATTTTCAAATAAACAGTTTAACAACACACCTCAAGGAACAAGAAAAGCAAGAACAAACCAAATCCAAAATTAGCAGAAGGCAAGAAATAATAAATAGAGCAGAACTAAACAAAATAGGGACTTTAATAAAAAAGAAATACAAAGGATCGATGAAATGATAAGTTGGTTCTTTGAAAAGATAAACAAAATTGATAAACCATTATTAGCTAGAGTAATCAATAAAAGGAGAGAGAAAACCCAAATAAAATCAGCAAATGAAAATGGAGATATTACAATTGATATCACAGAAATATAAATGATTATCAGAGACTATTATATACAATTATATGCTAACATACTGGAAAACTCAGGGGAAACGGTTAAATTTCTGGAAGCACTCAACCTAGCAAGATTGAATCAGGAAGAAATACAACACCTGAACAGACCAATAACAACTAGAGAGAATGAATCAGTAATAAAAATTATCCCAAAAAACAAAAGCACAGGACCAGATGGACTCACTGCTGAATACTACCAAACGTATAAAGAACTAATACCAATCTTCCTCAAACTATTCTTTAAAAAATTGAGGGCCGGGCGCGGTGGCTCACGCCTGTAATCCCAGCACTTTGGGAGGCCGAGGCGGGCGGATCACGAGGTCAGGAGATCGAGACCATCCTGGCTAACACGGTGAAACCCCGTCTCTACTAAAAATACAAAAAATTAGCCGGGCGTGGTAGCGGGCGCCTGTAGTCCCAGCTACTCGGGAGGCTGAGGCAGGAGAATGGCGTGAACCCGGGAGGCGGAGCTTGCAGTGAGCCGAGATCGCGCCACTGCACTCCAGCCTGGGCGACAGAGCGAGACTCCGTCTCAAAAAAAAAAAAAAAAAAAAAAAAAAATTGAGGAGGAATGAATTCTCCGTGATGCATTCTTTGAGGCCAGTATTACCCTGATGCCAAAAATAGATAAGAATGCAACCCAAACAGGAAACTATAGGCTAATATCCTTGATGAATATAGATGCAAGAATCCTTAACAAAACACTAGCAAACTGAGTTCAATAGCACATCAAAAAGATAATACACAATGATTAAAGGAGATTTATACCAGGGATGCAAGGATGGTTTGACATACACACATCAATAAATGTTATACATCACACCAAGAGAATGAAGGACAAAAACCATGTGATGATCTCAATAGATGAGAAAAAACACTTAATAAAATTCAACATTCCATCATGATAAAAACTCTCCACAAACTAGGCATAGAAAGAACATACCTCAAAATAATAAAGACCATATATGACAAGCCCACAGCTAACATATTGAATGGGGGAAAGTTGAAAGCGTTTTCTCTAAAAACTGGAACAAGACAAGGATGCCCACTTTCACTACTCTTATTCAAGAGAGTACTGAAAGTCCTAGCCAAATAAGTTAGGCAAGAGAAAGAAAGAAAACATACTTAAATTGGAAGATAGTTCCTTTTTGCAAAAGACATAATCTTATACTTAGAAAAATTTAAAAACTCCACCAAATAGCTCTCATAGCTGATAAGCAAATTCAATAAAGTAGCAGGATACAAAATGAACATACAAAAATCAGTCGCATTTCTGTACACTAATACTGAAATAGCTGAAAAATAAATCAAGGCCAGGTGCAGTGGCTCAAACCTGTAGTCCCAAGTCTTTAGGAGGCCAAGGCAGAGGATTGCTTGAGCCCAGGAGTTCAAGACTAGCCTGTGCAACATAGAGAAAACTCATCTCTACCAATGAATGAATAAACAAATAAATAAATAAAGCAATTTCATTTCCAATTGGTACAATAAAAATATACACCTAGGAATACATTTAACCAAGACAGTGAAAGACCCTACAAGAAAAATTATAAAACACTGATGACAGAAATTGAAGAGGACACAAACAAATAGAAAGACACCCCATGTTCATGAATTGGAAGAATGAATATCATTAAAATGATCATATTGCCTAAGACAATCTATAGATTCGATTCAATTCCTATAAAAATACCAAGATCATTTTCACAGAAATAGAAAAAACAATCCTAAAATTCATATGGAACCAATAAAGAGTCCATATAGCCAAAGCAATCCTAAGCATAAAGAACAAGGCTGGAAACAGCACAGTATCTGACTTTAAAGTATATTACAAGGCTATAGTAATTAATACAGCATAAGCTGGAAACAGCACAATATCTGACTTCAAATTATATTACAAGGTTATAGTAATCAAAACTTCTTGGTAGTGGTATAAAAATAGACTCATAGACCAATGTAACAGAACAGAGAACCCAGAAATAAATCCACATATTTATAGCCAACTGATTTTCAACAGAGGCACCAAGAACTATGTTGAAAGAACCCTCTCTTCAATAAATGGTGCTGGATAAGTTGGCTATCCATATGCAGAAGAGTAGAGCTGAACAGTATTTCTCACCACATACACAAATATCAACTCAAGATGGATTAAAGACTTAAATGTTAGACCTAAACCTATAAAACTACTAGAAGAAAACATAGGGAAAACACTTCAGGACATTGGCCTAGGCAAAAATGTTATGAATAAGACCTCAAAAGCACAGACAACTAAAACAAAAATAGACAACTGGGGGCTATATTAAACTAAAAAGCTTCTGTACAATACATGAAACAATCAACGGAGTGAAGAGACAACCCATTGAATGGAAGAAAATATTTGCAAACTATTAATCTGACAAGGGACTCATATCCACAACATACAAGAAACTCAAACAACTCAACACTAAAAAAACAAACAATCCCACTAAAAAGTGTGCAAAGGACACGGATAGACATTTCTCAAAAGAAGAGGTACAAATGGCCAACAGGTATATGAAAAAATTCATCATCTCTAATTATCAAATGCATATCAAAACCACAATAAAATACCATCTTACCCCAGTTAGAATGGTTATTATTAAAAAGACAAAAAACAACAGATGCTGGAGAAGATGTGGAGAAAAGGGAACTCATACTGTTGGTGGGGATGTAAATTAGTATGACCACTATGGAAGGCAGTATGGAGGTTTCTCAAAAAACTAAAAACAGAACTGCCATAAAATCCAGCAGTTCCACTACAGTGTATCTATCCAAAGGAAAAGAAGTCAGTATATCAAAGGGATACCTGCACTCACATGTTTATCACAGAACTATTCAAAATAGCCAAGATATGGAATAAATCTAAGTGTCCATCAGCGAACAAATGGAAAAAGAAAGAATGGTATATATACATAACGGAATACCATTTGTCCATGGAAAAGAATGAAAACAGGTCATTTGCAGCAACATGGATGAACTGGAGGCCATTATGTTCAATGAAATAGGCCAGGCAACAGAAAGACAAATACTGCATGTTTTACTCATATGTGGTAGCTAAAAAAGTTGATCCCCTGGAGATAGAGAACAAAATTATGAGTACCAGAGACTGGAAAGGATGTGAGGGTGGGAAGGGGAAATGAAGAGAGGTTGGTGAATGGGTACAAACTTATAGTTAGATGGAAGAAATAGGGTCTAATGTTAGCTAGCAACTGGGGTGACTATAGTTAGCAATGATACATTGTATATTTCAAAATAGCTAGAAGAGAAGATTTGAAATGTTACCAACGTATATAAATGATAAATACTCAAGGTGATGGATACCCCAAATACCCTTCTTCTTTTTCTTCCTCTTCTTTTTTCTTCTTCTTCCTCTTCTTTGATCTCTCCTTGTTCTCCTCCTTCTCCTTGTTCTCCTTCTTCTCCTTCTCTTTCTTCTTTTCCTCCTGTTCTTCCTCTTCTCCTCCTCCTCTTCCTCTCCCTCTCCTTCTCCTTCTTGTTATTCTTTCTTCTTTCTTCTTCTTTTTTGAGACAGAGTCTCATTTTGTTGCCCAGGCTGGAGTGCAGTGGCTCGATCTCGGTTCACTGTAAACTCCGCCTCCTGGGTTGATCCTTCCACGTCAGCATCCTGAGCTGGTGGGACCACAGGCGCACGCCACCACGGCCGCCTAATTTCTTACAGAAAAAAAAACGGTTTCTGCTACCTTGCCCAGGCTGGTCTTGAACTCCCAGGCTCAGTCGAGCGCCACCCCCTCCACAAAGTGGTAGGATTATTTGCGTGAGCCACGGAGCCCTGCGGAGACTCTGGTTTTACTTTCTGCTCACCTAAGAAGCTCCTGCTGTGTCCCTAAGTGTTCCCGCCTCGCCTCTCCCCACACCCACTGCTCCCTAACTTCTCTCACAGGCCCCCAACGGCTTCCTCCTGCGCTGGCGCACGCTCAGGTCTTACCCGCCAGCAGGTGGCGAAACACGATTTTCTGTCCTCTGCGGCTGAGCCCTAGCGTCCCCTCTTCTCTAAGGCCTTTCGCCTAGTTCCAGCCTGGATACGCTTCCATAGCAAAGGGTTGCCCTTGGCTACAGGAGGACGCGGGCTGGCAGGCTTGGTTCCTGGCGAGTTTCTAAGCCCCCGCCTGCGGTCTGAGGCACCGGCTGAACCATGTCGGAGATCCTGTGCCAGTGGCTCAACAAGGAGTTGAAGGTGTCCCGGACCGTGAGTGAGTGACCACGGCCAGGGGCGAGCGTCTGAGGGGCTAGCGGGGCGCAGAGCCTGCAGCGCAGCGCAGCGCACTCAGGGAAGGTGGCGGGCAGGGCGCGAGCTGCACAGGTGGGGCACCTGCGTAGCCGGCAGCATCCCACAGTGAGCAACTCGGCTCGGCGGTGCCCCAGGTCCGTCCCGCCACCTCCCTACAGCTCACCCCAGCCAGGGCAAGGCCTTGTCACGTCCCCACTCTGCCGCTCTCGAGTTACCCTTGTCACGGTGGGCCCAACCCGCAGGCATTCTGACTTTGTGATGTGGTTCTAGGCAATCAGAGGGTTTAGGAAGGTCTCCTTTGCTTCTGTGGAGAGGGAACTTTGCTGGACTTTGTAGTCTGACCCCAACGATGCCTCCTTCACATCACCAGAAGCAGAAGCATGGTGTGGTGGCTAGTCGATGAAATATGAAGCCACTGGACAAGTTACAATACCTTCTCTGAATGTGTTTCCTTCTCTATAAAATGGACCTAATAATGCTTTCCATACTTAACTGACCAGCAGGGGAGGGTGGGTGAAAAATAAGTTAATGTAGAATATGTTAACATTTACAAATTTTAGTAAATTTTAAGCCCCAAATCACAAACTAGCTATTTCTGGTCACTATTGGCTCTTGCCCAAAGCTGACCTTATTCACCAACCTAATTTTATCCTAACCATGCAGTTGCCACCCAAAGTTTCCAAGTCTGACAACCACAGAGACAATTTTACATGCTGGCAGCTTCCTTGACTGCCCTGTAATTCTTCAGGAGTTCATTTTTCAGTTGGTTTTGTTTGTCTTTTTTTCTTTTTTTGCTTAAGGGAAGAGGTTTTCAGGGCAAGTCATTTCAGTCCATTTTCCCAGAAGAACTTGCTTAACACCAGCTTGCTACCAGAGAGGCAGTGGTGCCAGTTCAACCTTAGCTTATCTACAGAAGTTGCTAGATCGGTAGTGTTTCTGTGGGTGCAAAGTAGTTATTAATACTCTCAGCATGAGGATCTTTAGCACGGAGCATCTCCTGTTGCATTTCTTGAGGCATAAACCTCAGACTCTTTCTTTGTCAAATAACCATCTACACACTCCCTGTGAACTGCAATAAATTCTTTCCTGGTATTCTACGATTATCCCATTGTGTCTCCAACTGTTTATTTGCTAAAATATGATGGACTGAGGACAATATTTAGCATTTATTGTTTCTTATTCCTGTCTCACCATAGGAGCCAAAATAAAATATCATGCCCTTAAGTTGTACTCTTCTAAAAGAAAAGCAGTTACATATTGCTTAGTTTAATTTAGTTCATTTATTTTATTAGTAAAAACCACACCCGGGCCGGGTGCGGTGGCTCACGCCTGTAATGCCAGCCCTTTGGGAGGCCGAGGTGGGCAGATCATGAGGTCAGGAGTTCGAGACCAGCCTGGCCAACATAGTGAAATCCTGTCTCTACTAAAAATACATTAGCCGGACGTCGTGGCGGGTGCCTGTAGTCCCAGCTACTTGGGAGGCTGAGGCAGGAGAATCGCTTGAACCCAGGAGGCAGAGATTGCAGTGAGCCGAGATCGCGCCACTGCACTCCAGTCTGGGCAACACAGAAAGACTCTGTCTCAAAAAACAAACAAAAAACAAAACAAACAAACAAACAAAAAACACCCTTTGCTGAAGTCCCCAGGACTCTATTGCAACATTTTGAAATACTTTTAGGAGAAATAAATGAAATTAATAAAGATACATAAAATAAAAACAGTAGATGCCATTATAATTTTAATTAGTTTTGGGAATTTAGGTTTTGAGAGGTGGAGGATAAACATAAAAGGGCTGAAGACTAAGTAAGAATTTTAACAACATTTAGGCTATGGATAGAAAATTCCTGGCGTCTGTGCTCCTGAAGTGTAGATCTGGAAGCTAGCAGAGATGCCCCGTTCTAATGGAGTATTCTGCTTTCCATTCACTAGCAAAACGTATTAATTTTTTAATCTCAACTACTATAAGAGAGATAGAGCGAGAGAGTCCTTGAGGAGGTAACCAGATTCCACATTGTAAAAGGTCTTTGGGAACACACTTAACTGTGTTTGTAAGCCAACAAGCTAGGATTTGTGCACTCAAGGAAGCACATTTCCTGCTGCTGCTGCCCCATCATTAGATAAACTGTTGTGTGGTGCACAATGGAAGGCTTTGGATGGTTTGTAGAATCTATCATGGAAGGACTGTGAGTGGGTGCAACCTCTGGGGAAAGTAATCAGGCAATTTCTGGGTAAGGGAAGTGTAAAAAGCAAGAACTTGGAGGTTAGACTGCTTGGAAATCTTTTGGACAAGTTATTTACCTAAATTTCATCATACTTAAAAACAGCAATAATAATGATACCTCATCTGGTTGTATCAAGATTAAATGGGATATTAAATGTAAAGCATTTAAAATAGCACTTTGGACATAAATGCTAAATCCTACTTCTCAGCATCTATCAAATAAAAATAAAAGCACCAATATATAAGGATATTTGAACAAAGACGTTTATTGCTACATGAATTACAGGGGCAAAAATAAAAATTGGAAACAATCTGAGTATCCTTCAAAAGTGTAATGCTTGGATACATGGTGCTTTATTCATACTATGAATTGTTATGCAGTTATTACAAAGAATTAGTTAGCTGCTATAACTTTTGGCTTAAAGGATATTTATGTATTTTTGTCAAGTAAAAACCAAAAGTTAGAGCTTATTGTGACTAGTATAATTATATATTTGTACCAATTAGGAAACACACACTTATGAATATGGACATTTATATGAGCATGAAGAAAAGTATGGAAAGACATATACTGGACTATTGACTTACACATGAATTTTCATATTATGGTTTGCGTAAGTGTAGAGGAAATTGTGGAAGGATATAAACAAGTGTGTTATAGGGATTACCCTGGGGAAGTGGAAGATTGGTAGCTTTTCTTTATATATCTCTGTTATCTGGCTTGTTGTTTATATTGCCTTTGTAATTTGAAGGGAAAATTCAATATAGCATTAAAGATGAAAGATCAAAAGAAGCCAAACATCACATGACAAAATAGGAGAAAAAGAGGTTTAATACTTTAGTTGAAATATCGTAAGCATATTATAATAAAGTATTGTGGGAGCTTGTGGAAAAGTTATATGGAGTTCAAATGAAGTCTACAAATGAAAGAATAATAAATAATTAAAGTTATCACTTATTGAGCATTTATGTGGGTATACCATACCCTGTTCTAAGCCCTTTACATAGATTTTCTTATTTAATCTTAAAAACAACCCTAAGAGGTATTGCCCTGGATGTTCAGGTGAGTCAGGAGGAGAGGGCTTAGTAATTTGTTCAAGGTCTTACAGCTAGTAGGTCGTAGAGCTAGAATTTGAACTTATGCTTTTAGGTCCTATATTGTACATTAAAGTTTTAAACTTAGGCATGAATATATATGTTTAAGTAACTCTCAAATGTATTCACTTGAGCTCTTTTTATAAGGATTATTTTTCATTTGAAGTCACAAGAAATAGAAAAATTCAGCCATCTCGGCCTATTATAATATCATAGGGCATAACCTAATTCCTAGATGGTTAAGTGGCAAAATTGGGTGAATTATTGTTTGTTTAGAAGTGGCCCAGCCCATAGTTGCTTGTTGGGACAAAGAAACAGGAGAGAATGCCAAGCCTGTGCATTTGCTGCCTTATGGGGCTAAATAATGGTTCAGTTGTTGGAGGGGCAGTCAAAGCTAATATGTGCTGTGTTTTACTTTTTCTGATCTAGAGGTGTTTCATCTAGATAGCAGTGACAGGTGAAATTAGATTAGATTAGAGTCAGAATTCCTGCCCCTCTGGCCTACAGTACTTAGGGAAGCCACACTGTTCAATAGTATTTTCCAATGTTACTTCTACTACCAAAAGCTTCTGAAATTACAATAGTTGTGAATTATTCTACTGTTAAGGCATATTCCTATTTTAAATAAGGTTAATTAATATATTAGGATATATTAATCATTGCTTACATGATATATAAAAATTAAATAGATATATTTTTGTGAGTTTTAAGAGACAGTCTATGCTCCTTGTTAATTGGGTTTGGGTTTTTTCCAAGTGGGTTTCCATAAATGATTAATCTTTTCGTTTTATATTAAATCTTAGTAGCATTTGTTTTTGGAGAGTGATATTTTCTACTCTTTGTCCCAAAGTTGAGGGGTATCCTCTCATGCATTAATGACACTTTGTTGATTTGGTCTTTTGTCCTAATATTTTCAGAAGGATCATAGTTTATTTTAAGAAAACATAGAGATATAAAAAAATCCCATTGAATATTTATTTTTATGCAATAGTTCATAACGTATTGTGGTAACCTTACCATATTATGGAATCGTATAACTTTAGATCTGAAAAATAATCTTGGACATCATTTAATTCTTCTTTAGCAGATGAGGAAATCTAATCAGATGTGTTAAGAGCATTGTTTAGGATTATGCACCTAGGTAGTAGCAAGTTAGCAGGAGATTCTGGGCCTGCTGCCTTTTAGTTCTAGTCTTCTTTAAACCCGGAGTCTAAACCTTACACATTTTCTCATACTTAAACACTCAGAATCATTAGAAAATCTATTGCTTCTGACGTAAAGCAACAGATTTTGATATTTCCTGGCTAGCCTCGCAGCGTTTTTCTTGATTAAAACTTGGCTTTCATTGACTAAAAATTAATATAGCAAGTCTAGTAGCAGAAGGCTATTGTGTAAATCGAAGCAAAAATTTTAAGAAATGGAGCTTCAAGAAAAGACTGATGCTCAATATTTTCACAATTAAAGAGGGTTATAATATAGCAATTAAGATTTAGTTTCAGATAATAAATCTCAATTATGATAAAGCCTTCAAAGGATAAAATTGTGAAGACTGACAATCCTATTCTTTTACCAAAGGAAAGAAAACGTCAGTGTCCCCTGCCAAAGATCACAGGACACATCTGTAGTTGAACAAAGTTAGATTTATAGATTTGTTGTAACAAGGGAGAACATGAACCATGAGGACTGCAGGGCATCTCAGTAAGAGGGTGCTAGAAATGACTTGGACTTGTGTTAGGTGTTTTTGAGGAGGGTTCCAGGAAGTGGTGCCTTGCTGTGAAATTGGTTATGTTCAGCTGGAGAATGCCAAGGCGTAGCTGTGAGTACCCAGCCGGTTTCTAGGAACACCACAGCCTGATAGGGCCATGCTGGTTCCAAGCCTTCAGCAGGGTTTGTTTGTTTGTTTGTTTGTTTTTGTTTTTTATCTCAAATGAAAGTAAATTTTCTTGGCTTTTTAAATGTAGTTGATAGTGCAGGCTCGATCTTTCCTACTCGAGTAAAGGAGAAGTAAATGCCACTGAGCATAAAATGGTATGGGTCTGCAGTCCCTTACCTAAAAAATTCTAGAATCCAAAAATCTCTGAAAACTGCAACTTTGTACATTATTCATTTGGCAGCAAAATCTGACCAGAAATGCCATAAGGCTGTTTAGTCCTTATTTATTTCACTGGATGTGTCTATTTAAATATTTTGCTGTAGAAATAGACTGTGTTTAAGTACAGGTGCTTCCCCAGACCAGTGGGGGAGTTATAGCCTATCAGGCCTAAAGAGTGGACCTGTATATGAATGCCAGGAATTGCCAAATATTTGCTTTCTGAGTACTGAATTGTGTTTTAAACACGAATGTTTGTACTGTAATCATTAAAGATCTGTTATTTACAGTTTGTGTAATTAATATGACCTGTTTTCTTAAATTAGAACACAGTAATAATAACAATAAAAATAATCACTGAGCTTTTACTGGGGACCAGGCAGTATGCTAAGCATTTTACATATAAGATTTAATTCTCAAAACTACTCTTATAAGGTAGACCCCATCACTCTCTCATTTTTACAGATGAGAAACTATGGCTACATAGTTGCCCAAGGTGAAGCAGCTTGTAAATGAGCCACAAGTCTAACAGAGAATCTTTCTCCAGAACCTGTGCTCTCCTTATCACCATGTGGAATGTGGATGGCTTTCTGTGCTTCCTCCAGCTGGCTAAGGGCCATTTTGATGGAAAGGCACATAGATCATTTCACCTGCTGTCCCAGCCTAACATTATCACAGAGGCCTGCATCAAAGATTTATTAGAAAAGGAAACTTTAGTGATGGGGACCAGGCATGTGGCTTGGAAGATTAGAGGCAGGGCTGAGAAGATTAGAGGCAGGGTTGAGTTGCTGCTAAATAATTTTAATCCCAGATGTAAGTAATTTTGGGTTTAGGATGAAGATTGTCACTGGGCTCCCATGGTTTATTTACTTATCATATTCCTCCATTGTTCCTTGTTCTGGAGTCAACCTGCCTCTTTTTCCCCCTACAAAATTTCAATTGTTAGTGCAAATTAGTTTATAGAGGTGGGTGTCCTGAAATTAGTCATAGTATTCAGTGACATTTGTGGGAAGAAGAACATGACAAACCAAAGAGAAAAAAATAAGCTTTTTCTTGCCTTTTCTTTTTTCCTCACTGTTTCTCTCTCTCCCTATCACCTTTGTCCTCTCTCAATCTCTCTCTCTCTCTGGCTTCCTATATGTCTTCTTTTATTTTTTGAGACGGAGTCTTGCTCTGTCACCAGGCTGGAGTGCAGTGGCGCAATCTCAACTCACTGCAACCTCCGCCTCCTGGGTTCAAGCAATTCCCCTGCCTCAGCATCCCGAGTAGCTGGGGCTACAGGCATGTGCCACCATGCCCGGCTACTTTTTGTATTTTTAGTAGAGACAGGGTTTCATCATATTGGCTAGGCTGGTCTCGAACTCCTGACCTCGTGATCTGCCTGCCTCAGCCTCCCAAAGTGCTGAGATTACAGGCGTGAGCCACGGCATCCAGCCCTGTCTTCTTATTTTATACGTTTTAGTGTATCAGTCCTAGTGTATACACTTTTTCTTCAGCTTTTTCTTTCTTTGTCTAATTTCCTATATGTATTCTTTTTTCTTTTTCTTTTAATTTTTTTCTCCAAGTTTCCCCTTTATTGCTTTTATCATTTGCTGTATTCGTCACTCACTGTTCTAGTTTCTGCTGATGTGGTACATGGTAAATCTGAAGTGTCTTATGCATAAAAAGCTTCAGACAGATATTTTGATACTTACAGATTTTTTATAAACTACTCTGACAATGAAGTACATTAAGTGTTTACTATTGTTCTTTAACCTTTATACTATAAACACCTCTATTTTATCCATATCATAATTGCCTTATTAATATGCCATGCCATTTCAAAGGAAATGGGTAATGATTTTATTTTTCTGGTGACCTTTTTGTAGAAAATGGTTTGTTACAGACCGTTTGTCAGCCACACTGAAGATGAAGGAAACGGATTTAGTATTCCCCAGTTATTCCTGGGCTAGACTTTCAGCATTCAGTCAACGTGAACAACAGGCACAGTGCAAACCCCAGAGGGAGGCAGGAAGGGAAAGAGATTACCTGAAGGTAACATAGCAACAGCTCTTGAACAGAAAGCAATAAGCCAAAAATTGGGACAAGACCCTGATGGCGTAGGAATAGAAAGACACAGATACATCCATAGATGAATAATGGTTCTATGTCCAGTGGCTCTTTAGAAAACTAAGGGAAGAATAGGGATAGGCTAGGGAGGAGAGAAGGGAAGAGGCAGACAGAAGAAAGCAACAGACAGAAGAGGTGAAAGACACAGCTAGAGCACCCTGGGTGGCACATTGAGGGTCATGGTGGCAACGAGAGCTTTGGGGTCTGTAAGGGAAGGAGAAAGCTGCAGTGACACAGGAGGAGGTGGCACACTTTTGCCCATTGGAGCAGAAGGAACCCTTTGGATTTCAGTTGCTTTAAAGACTACTGAGGTATGAAGCCGGAAGACACTTGCTGAATGACAGATGACATTTAGTATAAGATCAAGCCAATCTTCATTTTAGTAGCATCGAAAGGCATTATGATATTCAAATGGTGTTGCGTTAAAGTCGGAAAAAATCAGTGCCTAGGTTATGAAGCTCAAGCTTAACTTGTGCTGTAAGGTGTTCCAGGCGGTACAATAGATCTAGCTGAGTTATAGAGCTCAGGTATGCCATGAATTTCAAATTCTCCTGCTGGAAGCTTTAGGACATACTCTTCTCTAAGTATATTTTCTCAAGAGTTGCTTCAGTGTTTCACATTAAGACATAGCTTCGGAAGGACAGATATGACTGATAGGAAGGGCATCAAACCATCAACTCTGAAAGAATGTATCATGGGTTTAGAGTGAGATCATTCTGCCCTGAATAGTTTTAAAATGATGATAAAACTGGTCTGTTTGTGGAAAAGCTTACTAAAATCCACTAATAGGTGCCAGACTGTGGACTTTAAGAATAGATGCAATGTGTCTGTTCTCACATGAACTATAGCTGAACACAAGGTTATGTGATTGGAAGCTTTCATTTTCCTAGGGCTTATAAAAGTTTCATTTCTTTACTTGTTGCTAAAGTGATCCATAGACAAAAAAAGCATTGCTTCCCCTTAATGTTTTTTACCTTTTATTTTTTCTATTGCATATAAAAATTATGTAACCATAATTAATAGATTCTAATTCTAGACAGTTCAAGAGCTCACCCTGAGTACATAGAATCAGTGGGAACCATTGACATCTTTTTAACTACCTTTATTATTGTATTGACTCAACTTAAGGATTGAGGTATTACTCTGAGTATAAAGGGTTTTGAGAACAGATATTAAGAAAGTCTTAGAGAAAACTGTGTTCTGGTATCAGACATGCAAAAAGTATTATGATAGGGTGTAATCTTTGGAGTGAGGACTGCACAGTGGCTGTTATGGAGCAACTTAGCTCAACTTCCTACAACCACACAACCAAGCATCGCTTCTACAAATCATGAAGAAATGTTATTTCTTCACTGTCAATTAGCCACCTCATTATTAGTCAGACAGGTAAAATAGAACAATCTGGCAAAACTGAATTTGTGATACTGCAATGACATATAATATTTTAACCGATGTTAAAATATTATATTTAATATAATATGTTATATTATATGTTAACCTGATGGAAGCAGGTTGAATATCTGTGGAGGATTTTGAAGTAATTTGAGAGATGATAGCTTTGGCCTATGATAATATAATTTATTTTGTATATAATCCTTAAATATCATGTAAGTCTATATATTTTACTTTATAAGAAAAATACAAGTAACTCAAAACTAAGAACATTTTTTAAAAAAGCAAATCCTATTGAACACTTAAAAATTTTTTTTCTCGGCTGGGCACGGTGGCTCATGCCTGTAATCCCAGCACTTTGGGAGGCCGAGTCAGGTGGATCATGAAGTCAAAAGATCGAGACCAACCTGGGCAACATGGTGAAACCCCCCTCTCTACTAAAAATACAAAAATTTGCTGGGTGTGGTGGCACACACCTGTAATCCCAGCTACTCGGGAGGCTGAGGCAGGAGAATCGCTTGAACCCAGGAGTCAGAGGTTGTAGATCAGGCCACTGCACTCAGAGGTTGTAGATTAGGCCACAGCCTAGGCGACACAGTGAGACTCCATCAAAAAATAAAATAAAATTCTGCACTTATCATTATGTGCCTACTATGTGGCAGGCATGGCACCCAGCAATTCTCAAACACTGCTGCAAAAGAGAGCTATTAATATTAAATAGCTCTCTGATATAAGATATAGATATGGTTATCTTTGTTCTAGACATGAGGCTGAAACTCAGGAAGATGAAGCAGCTTGCCCAACGTCACACAGCTAGTAAGGGGCAGAGCCAAGATTCCAGCACAGGTATCTCTGGCTCTAAAGTCAGTTTTCCCCTGGGCTATCTCTCAGTAATTGCATAGGACAATAACTGGGCCATAGTGTCCCCTCTGAACCATGAAGGAGAAGTTCGATTATGTTCAGGAGGTTTTATTTAAGAAGGTGCAAATGGCTTTAGTAAACTTTCCATTGTTTTGCAGGTTAAAATGAGGTATTTGTTTAAAAGAAGTTAGCTTTCATCTCACTTGGCCAAAATATGCTGTCATCATAGGTTGTGTGAGTAACTAAAGTATTAGAGTATGATTTTATAAAATATCTTTAAGGCTAGTTTTTAGATCTAATGTTATTTATAAATTTTTTGGTAGCATTTTAAAAAAAAATTTTATCTGTTGTCTTTTCCTTCAAAATTTTGTATTTCATCAATTATTGATTTATATTTATTTGGGAATCTTTATAAAATATCTACTGTTAAATGTCAACCTTTTCCTTTGGTTATTAAAAGATGTTTCTAGAAATATATTCATGGCATTTTGAGTTCCAGTTAAATTGTGTAGTTTTTAGTGTATGTATATTTAAAGAGATCATTAGCTCTATGCGCAACATTGTATTCATGGTTTTTATCTCAATGTTTTGAAACTCAGGTCCCAAGTCATTTGCAAAGGCATTTTCCAGTGGCTATCTACTTGGAGAAGTTCTACACAAGTTTGAACTTCAGGATGATTTTTCAGAATTTTTGGACAGCAGGTTAGTGAGATTATTCCTTTTTGTTGTTGTTGTTGTTTATTTGTTTTGAGACAAGGTCTTGTTCTGTTACTGAGACTGGAGTGCAGTAGCGTGATCATAGCTCACAGCAACCTCAAACTCCTGGGATAAAGCAATCCTCTTGCCTCGGCTTCCCAAATAGGTGGGACTACAGGTGCATGCCACCACGCCTGGCTAATTTTTGTATTTTTGGTGTAGACGGGGTTTTTCCCTGTTGCCCAGGCTGGTCTTGAACTCCTGGGCTCAAGAGATCCTCCTGCCTCAGCCTTCCAAAGTGTTGAGATTACATGTGTGCACCCCCGCTTCTGGACTACTCTTTACTTTTAAGAAAAGTTCATTTCTTTGGCATTTTCCAAAGTTAACTTCAAAGAATCATGAATCATAAGATCCCTTCCAAACCTTGAACACCCAAGCAGACCATTGATATGGAAATTGTTCCTTTCTTGCACATACATTTTTTATTGTCTCAAGAGTACAAAGGAGAGATTGTTATATGGTTGCAGCAAGACCTCATCTCTAAATGGGACTTATTTACACCAGATTACTTTCTGTTTTGTTAATCGATTGTTCCTTTTTTTTTTTTTTTTTTTTTTTTTTGAGACTTGCTCTGTTGCCCAGGTTGGAGTGCAGTGGTGTGATCTCGGCTCACTGCAAGCTCCGCCTCCCGCATTCACACCATTCTCCTGCCTCAGCCTCCCGAGTAGCTGGGACTACAGGCGCCTGCCACCAGCCTGGCTAATTTTTTTTCTATTTTTTTTAGTAGAGACGAGGTTTCACCGTGTTAGCCAGGATGGTCTCGATCTCCTGACCTCGTGATCCACTTGTCTCAGCCTCCTAAAGTGCTGGGATTACAGGTGTGAGCCACCGCGCCCGGCCTGTTCCTTCTTTTAAGAGAAGAAGTGAAACAACATATAGTGCTTTGGGTGGACAATTAGTATGATTATTTGTGTTTTAAAAATATAAAATAGAACTTAACTACTAATAAAAAATTCATAATGGTTTTTGTTTTTAGTGGCTATATTGAAATATAATTTATGTACCACAATTCACCATTTTAAAGCACACCATTCAGTGCTTCTTAATATATTCACATATTTAGTATCTTCACAACCATCGCCACCATCTAAACACCCAGCATCTGGCACCTACTAATCTACTTTTCTGTCTCTATGGATTTGCCTATTCTACACATTTTATATCAATGGAATCACACAATTTGTGACATTTTGTGACTGGCTTCTTCACTTAGGATAATGTTTGCAAGGTTCACCCATGTTAGCAAGTATCAGTATTTCTTCATTTCTATTTATTTTCTCAATAATTTCGATTATATGGATATACCATACCACATTTTGTTTATCTATTTATCAATTGATGGTTACAATCCTCTGTTGGTATTCTTGGGGTATTGGTTCCTGGACCCTCTACAGATATCAAAACCCAATAGGGCAGTCATTAAACTTTAAAGTTCCAAAATCATCTCCTTTGACTCCATGTCTCACATCCAGGGCACAGTGATGCAAGAAGTGAGCTCCCATGGCCTTGGACAGCTCCGTCCCTGTGGCTTTCAGGGTACAACCCCCCTCCTGGCTGCATTCACAGGCTGGTGTTGAGTGTATGTGGCTTTTCCAGGTGCATGGTGCAAGCTGTCGGTGGATCTACCATTCTGGTTTCTGGAGGACGGTTGCCCTCTTCTCATAGCTCCACTAGGTAGTTCCCCACTAGAGACTCTGTGTGAGGGTTCTGACCCCACATTTCCCTTCTGCACTGCCCTAGCAGAGGTTCTCCATGAGGGCTCCATGCCTGCAGCAAACTTCTTGAATGCTTTGCTGCTTAGAAATTTCTTCCACCACAGCCTGTAATCCCAGCACTTTGGGAGGCTGAGGCGGGTGGATCACAAGGTCAGGAGATCGAAATCATCCTGGCTAACACGGTGAAACCCCGTCTCTACTAAAAATACAAAAAATTAGCCGGGCATGGTGGCGGGCGTCTGTAGTCCCAGCTACTCGTGAGGCTGAGGCAGGAGAATGGCATGAACCCGGGAGGCGGAGCTTGCAGTGAGCCGAGATTGGGCCACTGCACTCCAGCCTGGGCAGCAGAGCGAGACTCCGTCTCAAAAAAAGAAAAAAAAAGAAATTTCTTCCACCAGAAACCCTAAATCGTCTCTCTCTCAGGTTCAAAGTTCCACAGATCTCTAGGGCAGGCGTAAAATGCCACCAGTCTTTTTGCTAAAGCATAGCAAAATCACCTTTATTCCAGTTCCAAACAAGTTCCTCATCTCTGTGTGGCTATTAGAATATATAAGTAACACTTATAACTCAATAGTAAAAAGACAATCCAATTTAACAATAGGCAAAGGATCTGAATGGACATTTCACCAAAGAAGCTAACACATAACTAATAAGGAGATGAATAGATGCTCAGCATCATTAGTGTATTATTCCATTTTCACACTGCTGATAAAGACATACCCAAGACTGGGCAATTTACAAAAGAAAGTTGTTTTGGACTTATAGTTCCACATGGATGGGGAGGCCTCACAATCATGGTGGAAGGCAAGGAGGAGCAAGCCACATCTTACATTGATGGTAGCAGGCAAAGAGAGAGGTTGTGCAGAGAAGCTCTTGTTTTTAAAACCATCAGACCTTGTGAGACCCATTCACTATCACGAGAACAGCATGGGAAAGACCTGCCCCCATGATTCAGTCATCTCCCACTGGGTTCCTCCCACAACATGTGGGAATTATGGGAGCTACAAGTTGAGATTTGGGTGGGGACACAGAGCCAAACCATATCAGTTAGTGATTAGGAAAATGCAAATCAAGATCACAAGACACCACTTCATACCCACTAGGATGGCTATAGGCAGAGAGATGGAAAATAACAAGTGATGATAAGGACATGGAGAAATCAAAACCCTCTTACAATGTTAGTGTGAATTTAACTAATTCAGGCACTTAAAAAAACTGTTTAGGTGTGCCTCAAAAGGTAAACATAGACTCTCAAACCCAACAATTCTACTTCTAGATATATACCCAAGAGAAATGAAAACCTATCCATGTGATAACACAACGTTCATAGCAGATTATTCCTAATAGCCAAAAAGTAGAAACAACTCAGATATAGTTGGCCCTCTGTATCCATGATTTCCACATCCATGAATTCAAGCAATTGCAATTCAAAAATATTTGGGAAAAAAATTTCACAGAGTTCCAAAGAGCAAAACTTGTATTTGTCACAAACTGAGTACTACGTTGAATCCACAAGAATGAAGTAATATGCAGGCATTGTATTAGGTATTATAAGTAATCTAGAGATGATTGAAAATATATGAAAGGATGTATGTAGATTATATGCAAATACTATACTGTCTTATGTGAAACCACCTCAGCCTGGACTTCATTGTCCGTATCACTGTCAGCATTTTGGTCAAAGCCATTCAATAAGTCTCTAGGAAGTTCCACACTTTTCCACATTTTCCTGTTTTCTTCTGAGCCCTCCAAACTGTTCCAACCTTTGCCTGTTACCCAGTTCCAAAGTCACTTCCACATTTTCGGGTATCTTTATAGTAGTACCCCACTCTGTCCGGTACCAATTTACTGTATTAGTCCATTTTCACACTGCTATAAATATATACCCGAGATTGGGCAATTTATAAAGGAAAGAGGTTTAATTGACTTATACTTCCACATTGCTGGGGAGGCCTCAGGAAACTTACAATCATGGCAGAAGAGGAAGCAAACACATCCTTTTTCAGAAGGCAGCAGGAGAGAGAAGAGTGAGTAGCAAAGTGGGAAGGGCCCCGCATAAAACCATCATATCTCATGAGAACTCACTCACTATCACAAGACCAACATGGGGGAAGCTGTCTCCATGATCCAATCACCTCCCACCAGGTATCTCCCTAGACATGTAGGAATTATGGGGATTGCAGTTCAAGATGAGATTTGGGTGGGGACACAAAGCTTAACCATATCAGCTACTTTATTATTTCTGTTCTTATTGTCATTTCTGGCCTTCTGCTTATTTTGGGTTTAGTTTTCTTTTTGTAGTTTCTTGTTATGGATAGTTAACTTTTTTATTTGAGATTTTCTTTTTTAACATTTGCATTGATGGCTATAAATTTCCCTCTAAGCACTGATTCAGCTGTATCACATAAGTTTTGGTATGTCATTTTGCATCTTTATTTATCTCAAATAATATTCTAATTTCCCTTGTGGTTTCTTCTTTGATTCATTATTATTTAGGAGTATGTTATTTAATTTCCACATACTTTTGAATTTTCCAAATTTACTGTATTATTTATTTCTAATTTAATTACATCGTCATTGGACAACACAGTTATTTCAATCTCTTTAAACTTAATGAAATTTTTTTTGGTGGGAAGTTTTCTGGTAAAACCTATAAAACCTGCTAGACAAATTCTAAAGGAGCTGCAACACTTATTGAAGCTGTTTTTAAAAATGGTCTAACGTATATTCTCTTTTTGAAAATGTTTCATATGCACTTGAAGAGAATGTATATTCTATTATTGTTCATTAAAGTGTGTATAGATATCTGTGAGGTCCAGTTGGTTTATAGTGTTATCCAGGTCTTACATTTCCTTACTGATCTTCTGCATAGTTGCTGTATCCATTATTGAAAGTTGGAACCAAAGTCTCAAATTATTCTTGTTGAGTTGTCTATTTCTCCCTCTAATTCTTTCAGTTTTTCCTCCATGTATTTTGTGGCTCCATTGTTAGATGCATATATGTTTATAATTGTTATGTCTTCTTGAGGGATTGACCTTTTTAACAATATAAAATATTCTTATTATCAAGTAATACTTTTTTTTCTTAAAGTCAATTTTGCCTGATACTATAGTCACTCTAGTCCTGTTTTGGTTATTATTTGCTTGATATATGTTTTTCCATCCTTTTACTTTCAATAAATTTGTGTCTTTGAATCTAAAGTGTATTTTCTTGTAGAAAGCATATGATTGGATTGTATATTCTGTCAATTCCCTCTTTGTAATTGTAGTTATTTAATCCATTTATTTACAATATAATTATGGAGGAGGATTTAAGTGTGTGATTTAGGTATTTGTTGTGTATATGTCTTATGTCTTTTTTACTGCTCTACTACTGCCTTCTTTAGTGTTAGATATTTTCTAATACCATTTTAATTCCCTTATTGTTTCTTTTACTGTATTTTTTGAGTCATTTTCTTACTTTTCTTAGTTTTTGAGTCAGTTTCTTAGTTTTCATGAAGATTACAATTAATATTTTAATTTAAATCAAACTATTCAGATTAATACTACTTTAATTTAATTAGTAAAGAAAAAAATTTGCTCCAGTGTAGCTCAGTTGTCTCCTCCTTTTTTGTGCTATTGTTGTCTCCTACCAATTACATCTTAAGCCCATCAAGTCAGTTTTATAATTATTGCTATATGCACTTAACTTTTAAATCAGATAAGGAGAAGAAAATAGTTACGAACAAAAATATATTTAAACTATTTTTTATGTTACTCTATGTAGTTACTTCTACTGATGTGCTTTAAAATTTATTCATGTGATTTGAGTTACTGTATATTGTCCTTTCATTTAGGACTTAAAGATTCCCTTTAGTATTTCTTATAGGGCAGCTATGTTAACAATGAGTTATCTTAGTTTTTGTTTATCCTTCAGTTTTGATACATATTTTTACCAGTCATAGAATTCTTGATTTGCAGTTTTTCTTTTTCAGCACTGTGACCATGTCTTCCAGCTGTCTTCTGGCCTCCCTAATTTCTGACAAGAAGTCAGCTGTTTATTTTATAGAGAAGCTCTTGTATTTGATGTCTTCTTTTTCTCTTGATGCTTTTAAGATTCTCTCTGTCTTTGTCTTTCAACAACTTGACTATAATATGTCTAGGTGTAGATATCTTTGTGACTAACCTACTGCAGTTCATTGAGCTTCTTGGATGTGTGGATCCATATCTTTCATCACATTTGTGAAGTTTTGGCCACTGTTTCTCCAAAGATTCTTTTTGTCCCCTTTCTTTCTCTCTCCCATATCATTCTCCAATTATGTGTATATTGGTATGCCTGGTGATGTCCTGTAGGTCTCTGAGGCTTTGTTCATTGTTAAATAAACTTTTTATTATAGAACAGTTTTAGATTTACAGAAAAATCATTGACATAATACAGAGATTTCCTATATTGTACATATCTATTCGTACCTATTGCTAGCATCTTACATTGGTGTGGTACATTTGTTACAATTAATGAGCCAATATTTGTATATTATTATCAAATAAAATCTATATGCCATTTAGGTTTTTTTTTATTTTTTACTTAATGTCTTTCTTGTTCCGGGATCCCATCAAGCATATCATATTGTATCTCCTTAGGCTCTTCTTGAATGTGATAGTTTCTCACACAGACTTTTCTTATTTTCGATGATCTTGACAGTTTTGAAGAATACTAGCGAAGTGATTTTCCCTCAGGTGGAATTTCTCTGATGTTTTTCTCATGATTAGAGTGGATGTATGTGTTTTGAGGTTCTGGTCATTTTTCTTCATGCTTTTTTTTTCCTCCTCTGAATAGGTTTAGTTGACCTGTCTTTGGGTTCTCAGATCTGAGATTCTTTCCTCTGCCAACTCTAGTTTGCTGTTGAACTCTTATTGTGAATGTTTTTATTTCAGTTGTACTTTTCAACTTCAGAATTTCACTGTGTTCCTATTTTTATAACTTCTATTTCTGTATTGATACTCTCTTATTGTTGAAATGGTATTCTCATACTTTATTTTAACTTTAACCATTTTCCCATTTACCCTGAGAACACTAGCTGGTAGTGCTTGCAGCTATAGCATTTACCCTGAGATAACTTTACCATGAAATATCTTGCTTTTATTATTGTTTTTGCATTGCTCTAGTATATTGACTTTGGAAACAAAAGACATCATTCTATTTACAGGATTCAGTTTTTAGCAGTGATATTTCCATTTACAAAATGTAGTAATTCTCAATCACCAAAAACGTCAAATCCTAGAAAACATAGCATTCCTATGTATAATGTTAACACTGTTTTCCAACAGTTGTTGGCCAAAGATTTATTTGGCGAATCCAATTTTTCCAAAATACATGATTCTGATGATTCAGATGATTCTGGTGTTTGCTCTGTTTAGAAATAACTCCAAGAACAGTCTTTATATTTTATTTTCACATTGAAAATTCGTCAGATTTGCTTCAGCCTCATAGAGTGTTTATGTAAAATTAAATAAGCACTGGCAGTGTGCTGCACTTTTTTTTTCTAAACAGGAATAGGGTTTATAAACATAGTTTCTTTTCCTTTCTTTAACATATTTATAATAGGCCATTGAAGGTCTTTGTCCAAGACTTCCCCACGGAGTTTCTATTCACTTTTTTTTCCTTGTGTATAGGTCATACTTTCTTGTTTCTTTGGGTGTCTCATAATTTTTGAAAACTGGACATTTAAAATAATATAATGTGTCAATTCAGATTATTACATATTCCCAGGGTTTGTTGTTGTTGCTGCTGCTTCTGCTTTTTTTGTTTGTTTGTTTGTTTAGTAGCTCTCCTGGACTAATTCTGTAAAGTCTATGTTCCCTCTTGTATACTGCAACTGAAGTCTCTAGTTGATTAGCTTAGTGGTCAGCAATTGAATAGAGATATCTTTCAACACTTTGGACCAATACATTTTCCTTTGCTAAGAAACTCTATGAGTGGATTATGGGATGTTTTCAATGCTCTGGCAGTTTACAATTTTCCCTTAGCCTTTACTTCCTGCTTGTGCAACATCTCAAAGTCAGCCAAAGGTGAGAGATTTGGACCTCCTCATGTCTTTCCTAGGCATCCATACATTCCTACACATGCATATGGCCTCAGAGTCCCTAACAGACATCTCATTCCTAGGTCTTCCTTTTAAGTTTTTGGCCAGGCTCTTCTTTGCTCCAGCTGGTTTTACTGTCTCAGGTAACTGTGATTATAAATAATTGCTATGATTGTTTTTTCCTAACACCCTTGGGATAGGACTTTTTTCAGTGAGTAAGCTCTATCAGGTCAAATAATGACAAGGCCTGAAAATGGGGATTTTCACAACACTACTGGGTAGTCAAATAGTAATACTCTGGGCCGGGTGTGGTGGCTAATGCCTGTAATCCCAACACTTTGGGAGGCCAAGGTGGGTGGATCACCTGAGGTCAAGAGTTTGAGATGAGCCTGGCCAACATGGTGAAACCCCATCTCTGCTAAAAATACAAAAAATTAGCTGGGTATGGTGGTGGGCACCTGTATTCCCAGCTACTCAGGAGGCTGAGGCAGGAGAATCGCTTGAACCTGGGAGATGGAGGTTGCAATGAGCTAAGATTGCGCCGTTGCACTCCAGCCTGGGTGACAGAGTGAGACTCTGTCTCAAAAAAAAAAAAAAAAGAAAAAAGAAAAGAAAAGAAAAGCAACACTCTGAAGACAGGACTTTGGAGGCGCTTCAAATCTGTTTGTCTGCTTTGATGACTGCTAAACTGCTGGTTTTTATAGCTGCCATGGTTGTAAGTCTGCTGCCGGTTTTCATAGCCACCATGGAGCTAGGGAGTGAGGTATGGACATGGAGCAAACTAAAATGACAAAAAGCTCTCTTTTCCTACCACTATTAAGCAGCTTTTCTTAAATAAATGCTCCTTGAGTTGTTACAAGCCTTTAGCTAATTTCCAGAGTTATGAAAAGGTTGATTTTTACAATTTTTATGAGTGTTATTGTTGCCTTTAAGGAGGAACCGATTTTTGGAGGTTCTCACTCTGCCATTTACGAAGATGTACTTCAAATTCATAATATTTTAACCTGATACTTCCTGCTTAAGTACTTCTTATTTTTGTTTGTCTGAAATGATAGGCCTTTATGAAGCTGCACCTGTGTTATAAGACTTCTGAGCAAAAGAACCTCTGATATTTCCATGCTAGAGGTGAATTATTCTTTCATAATCCAGATTATCCTAGTTGTACATATAGCAACTGTATGACACAAAAGAAGCCATGGATTAGAACTACACTGTCATACCAAATAAACCCTTTTTTGCTAATCCCATCTAATTTCTTGAGCTTCTGGTGTACAGGGTAACATCCTAACCCATACCTACATCTCATATCACACATCTCTTCCTCAAGTACATGGCATATAAATTCGTTGTTAGCCCCAGCTGCCCCCTCTTCCTGACCTCTCAGCCCTTCGCTCCCTCTGTACCTAGCCTTGCTGCCACCATTAGAAGCTGGATTACCCTCCAAGGTATAAGAATGCCAGGGTAGGTAGGTCAGTGTCCATGCCCTCATTTTCTTTTTTGTGATTTCTCAGGAGTTCTTATACATATAGATTGATGTGTTATGACTTGCACGTAACCAGATGTCCAATCCTTTTGTTGTTGTTGCTGTCTATCCCTTTATGAAAGTGAGAAACTCAGCCTACACATTTAATTTTTATAACACTGATCACTTTGTTGTCAGTTTCTTTATCTGTGTTTCACATTGCACAGAACACCATGAGGTTAGGGGTATTAGGTTATTTTTCTTTATATCTCTAGGGCTTAACATAGGCCTGGTGCATATTTAGCTTTCAGTCAATGTTTTTTAAATTAATGAATGTCTACATTTCCTAGTAAATTCTACAGATAAAGACCTTGTTTAGACTTCCCAACATGAAGCTAAAACTCTACACTCATATCTCTAGGTATGATATCCCCATCAGCTTAAGAAATTCAAGTGTTCCAGTCTCTCTGTTGCTCTCAAGGTCATGGCTTATAAGGTGCTTCTCGGTGTGACCCTCATTTACCTTTCCAGCCACATTTCCCATCAACGGAGAATCCTAACCAAAGCTTCTGTGGTCCACATACACATCGTATGTTTTTGTTATGCCTTGCACCTTTGCAAATTAATGTTATTTTTTCACTTCTACCATGAGAAACTTGTATTTATTCTGAAATGCCAGCTAAAAATCTACTCCTTCTCTAAACTCTTCTTTTACTTTCTTAGTAGATTTAGTCTCCCTTTTCTCTTTGTTCTAATAAAACTTTGGACATCCCTTTCCTTATTACATTATCATTATCAAGTTATAATTATTTATTTATGTATCAGTTCTTATCAGAGTGCCTGCCACATGAAGGAGCCCAAACAACGTTTAATGAATGATAAATGAATGTTTACTCCTCAACTAGATTGTGAAGATCCTGAAAGTTGCAGCGTGTGTTTATTCTTTGTGCTCCAAGCATTGTCCTGGTCCATAGTAGGCTCATAATATTGTTTCCAATGAATAAATGAGGGATATCAGGGAGTATATCTGCTTAACCATGGAAAAGTTAAAGGACCATCCTGACCAGATCGCAGATGAGTGTTTCAGGTGTACCAAAGTGGCTCTTATTGGCAGGACCACAGAGGGCCTTTTGTGAAATGGAAAAAGGGTCCCCATCTGGCTGGAAATGACTGTAAAAATGCAGGCCTTCGTGAACACAAAGGCCTTTTTACAAGGAAAAAGGAGCCCCATTTTGGATGAAGCAGTCTCATGCCAGGGACAAGGCTTAACAATCTGAACAGAGGGTAGATTTCATACTCTTGTTCCACCTTTGGATAGATGTGTGTCCTTTGTAACAGCCCTGCTTGTCATATACTACAAAGGACTAACTTTCTCTCTCACCACGAGTCATTGCATTCCCTAATGTGGGAAGAGGGTCCTACTTGTATTGAGAACCAAATATCATCCATCTTCAATTCTTGGAACAGCCCATTTTTTCCCCAGGGCACATGGTCTTTTAAATAAGACAAGGATCAGTAAATTTTATGGGCATAACCTTTGTAATGGTATATTTGGTAGGGAAAATAATCCCTTTTTTGTCATAGCCTAATTTTTAGGCAACTGGTGCCAGGGCTCATGATTTGGGGATCTTATCTAACACTTTTAGTTTCTTTAGTTTAAAATGTAAACTGGAAATATATTTTGTAAATAACTTAAAGTTATTCATCTTGGAAATAATTTAATTCTAAGAATACTCATCTAACTCTGAAAGAATTCCCTGATTTTGAATATTTTTATTCCTTCACAAATAGTGAAAATTGAGAAGATTTGTTTTTTTTTTTTAAAGTAAATAGTCAAGACAATTTCTCGGAGGGCAGCTACTACTTACCTGTAAGAAGAGGTATTCCCTCACCAGATGGCAAGAAGGGAAGGAGATAGGTAGTCTCTTAGCAAGCAAGGACTGCTGGTAGAGAGGTCCCTCAGAGGTCATCATTTACCTCATATGCTCTGTCTCCAGAGCAAAGATGTCCCAGTGGTTTTTCTGTGTTCAAAAAACAACTGTTGATTATCCTATCATTCTGATTCTACCCATGCTTTAACAAGAGTAGGCTTCCACCAATTTACACACAAGTTCTGTTCCCCAAATTTGATTGATTAGAAATAAGCTTCCAAAGAGAAGTATTGTTAGACCTGTGTACTTTGGCCAGTTCATAAAATACATTTAAACCCTAGTAGGTAACTGAAGTATAACATTAACAGGCTTATTAACTGCATTCTGGGAGCCACATGATACAATTGAGAGAAAGAGAAAACTCTTCTCTCTTTTTCTTGAGTGCAGGGCTAAGCTTTGACAAAATTTGGAAATGGGTAATGTTTGCTTTTGGACTCTCCCTCCTGAATTAACATGCCCCTAAAATCTGTAGCCCAAGGTTATAACCCAGACCAAAGCTCTGACAGATGGCTCTCAGTTCACATCTTTCCAATTATGTGTAGTGAGCAAAGCACACAGGACTCCTAAAATGGGAAGGGCATGAAAGGACGACTGTGATGGAAGATCAAAAGGGGTGATAGATGCCTTTCTAGAGAATGGAAGCACATGTCATTGATTTGACTATCTTCTTTCACAATCATATTCCTCAAAACATGGTCTGCTTTACCTGAGTCATTTTAGACAAATGTTGTATCTCCAACTGTACGATGATTTGTGGAGAAACAGATTGCAAAACTGGACCTGAGAAGACCTTTAAAAAAGTATATTTAGTCTCATGCTGAGAAGGTTTTCTTGTAGCATGCATTATCTCTTCTCGTCTCCTCCAAGGCCTTTTTCTCTTTTATTAATTTAAAATATTTTATTTGAAGTTTGATTGATGCCGCATAATACACTAAATATATCTTGCTAAATATTTATGTTAAAAGAGTTACTAGTACACAGAGGAAACAGGACAGTAAGTTACACCACATGATCAGAACATGAATTCAAGATATTGCATCACTATTTTTGTTGACATTGGCCATCTCATGGTGCTGGCTCCTCATTTATATTTAGAAATCACTCTTATATTTCCTGAGCGCCACATCTTTTTGGAAGATGGGTGCTTTTAGGTTAGACTGTAAGAGGCTCAAAAACATGCTATATGATGTTATACACGCTTTGTCTGTATGTATAAATGTATGTTTCCTTTTCTGTAAAAAAGTTCCATAGCTGTCAGATTTTCAAAGGTATCTGTGATTCAAAAACAAAAGATTTAGAGCCACTACCTGAATGCAATCTCTTGAGAAATAGTATACTAGGAACAGTATATCAAGTTTAGGTGTTGTGACTTCTGTATTTACTTCTGAAGAAATCCTATTGTCAATTTAGAGCAGAAAAATTTTAGTGTAGCCATTTAAAAGAAATGAATGCATAGAGTTCAGGTAGACATGGTCAATAAAAAAATCTCAATGTAGTTACATTAGAGTGGTTTTAGAGAGGAATGATACAGCTAAAAGGACATGAAATAATTCAAAATATTGGATAATGATAATATGTCTGATATTTGTTGTTTGTCTTTAATTTAATGCTAATGTCTAATTATGTAAAATATTTTACTGTCCAGGGTTTCAAGTGCCAAACTTAATAATTTTTCTCGCTTGGAGCCAACACTTAACCTTCTGGGTGTGCAGTTTGATCAGAATGTGGCCCATGGCATCATCACAGAAAAGCCTGGGGTGGCAACAAAGCTGTTATATCAATTGTACATTGCTCTTCAGAAAAAGAAGAAAAGTGGACTGACTGGAGTGGAGATGCAAACCATGCAACGTCTGACAAATTTAAGACTTCAAAACATGAAAAGTGATACTTTTCAAGAGGTAGGTACATAAAAAAGCATAATAAGCATGTCACAGTGTAAAATTTGATAAAGAGAAATGACAATGATATTGAATTCTCAAAGAAGCCTCATTAGGCATATATATCCTTTATGTATGTTACTGGCCATACTTGGGTTTTATTTTATATTAATAATTTGAATTTATTTAGCCATTTTTGATGTCTCTCTCTATCCTATCCATATTGCCAATAGCTTATCAAACTCTTTTCCTAGTTTCCAGTACTTTTTGTTGTTGTTGTTTTAGAGAGACAGGGCCTTGCTCTTTTGCCCATGCTGGTCTCAAACTCCTGAGCTCAAGCAGTCCTCTGCCTCAGCATCCCAAGTAGCTGGGACTACAGGCCTAATACTTTTTGTGCCTGCTCCTCTCTTCCTGTTTCTACCCCATCATATCTGCTCAGATCTTCTTATCAACTACTGCAGCAACCTGCTAAAATGTCTCTCAATCTTCTGGATAAGTCAATCAACTGCTAAATGAATCTTCCCTAAATTTTACTTTTATTGAGTTCTTCTGCTCAGAAACCTATTTTTACTTCTTTCTAGTCCTCAGCATGGTATTTCTTTCTTCTATGTTAATTGACAGTCTGTCCTTAAATATGACTGTCTATTCCTGCTCTTCCTTCCCTCAAACCCAAACTCACCCTTCTCATCTCTCCTCTTCCCCAAACTGTTCTTCATCTACCGTGCAGCCCAGTACACACGGGTAGTCCCAGTTCTTCCTTTGGAACTCTAGAGCATAAGTAATTCTCACTCTCTTGGTTTTACCGTCCTGATACTGATATTGTTGGCTAACTAGTCATTATTTATTTGTCATATGACCTTACCAGATTTTTAGTACATCAGATTTGATGAATATGTCTAGTACAATGCTTCAAATGTTGTAAGTACTCATTAAATGTGTTATTGACTAATTGATATGACTTTTTAGTTGACAATTCTCTCCAGTTTTTATGCAATTCCTTATGGTAAATGAAGTGCATTAACTTTTACAGGCCTCTGGAATAATCATGAGTGCTGCACTGATGCAAAATAGTAAATATCAATGGATAGAATTATATTTTTAAATTTAAATTTTGAAGCAGCAATGACGTAATAGATATGAGGGCTATCTCCATGTTTATATTTGTCCATTCTTCATGGATATCATTGTAAGTCTGGTAGCAGAATGGACTCAGCGCTCCTTGAGAGCTAGAAATTAGATTAGTCTTAATATGAATAATTTATTATTGCATTCGGCCTCCTTCACTTGCAAGCTGGTTAACATTGAGCCAGCCTCTAAACAACTCTCAGCTTCAATTTCCCCAACTGTAAAAACAGGGATGCTTATTTCTACCTGCCTCAGTGTTCAGAATTGGATGTTTTTGTAGCTTCAAGAAAAAGAGTGGACTAACTGGAGTGGAGTTTATATATAATAAAATGTAAAGCAGTCAACAGTGGCAAGTGCTATAAGAGCTGTGTAGATGAAGACAAACAAGTGCCTATTAGCTCATTTAATGTTGGTCATGGGTGAACTTCAAGCGTCAATAATTCATTCACTGAACAAATATTTATTGGGCTCCTACTTTTTGTCAAGCACTTGCACAACAAATACACAGGAAAAGCCCCAACCCTCTTAGAGCTTACATATTGGGGAGAGAAAAATGTTTCATTAGAGTGATATGGATTGCAGTGAGTTGAGAAGGACTTTGGAGATGAGGAAGAGGGTAACATAGATTATTCTTTCAAGAAATGTGGAGGTAAAGAAGAGAACAGTAGGAGAGAAAAGCTCAAGTGAAGTATGAGATTGCTTGTTTTATGGACCTAGAGACTGGGGCCACTTATCAGTTGAGAAAAAGAGTCAGTGGCAGGAGAGATGAAAATGGTACAAGGACAAGATGGAAAGAGGCCCTCTGGGGACGGAAAGAGGAATATGCAATCAATGGTTCATGTGGAAGAGGTGATATCATAGGAAAGAAGTAGAGATGCCATCTTCTTTGATACTGGATGAGAAGAGGTGCAGGTAATATTAATAATGGTTGAAATTTATTAAACAGCATGCCTAGTGATGTGCCAAGCCCTGTTTCAGGTGCTTTATGAATATTATCTCACTGGATCTTCACAACAGCCATAAAATATAGTTACTTTCATTATTCCCATTTTACAGATGATGAAACTAAGGCACGGATGGATTAGGTAACTCGCCCAATTTTAAGCAGCTAGTAAGTGGTAAAGCTGAAACACAAACCTAGGAAGTTTTAATGTTTCTTCACTTTTTACTAAGGAGTGGCTAAGCAATGGGAAGAATCTAGCTTCTTATATTATCTCTTATATGTTAAAGTTGGTTTAATGAAATTATTTTTGCAAAAAAAATAAATAAAATTTATTTCCAAGAATATAAATACCATTTATTGAAAATTTAACTCAGTGTAAAAAGTTTAACTATAAAAGTATATATGAGGCTATTTTGTAAGAAGAACCACAAAGGATAATGTTTTTATAATTGTGCTTACATCAATTAAGAATATGAGTAATTGGAATGGGGTTTGAATTTAGCTTAACTATCAACAATAGTAATTTAAAGAATTTCATTTTGAAGACAAATTTTATTTGTGCTTATAATGAAAATGTACTCTTTATTCTCTAATAAAATCTTTTGAAATGCTTTTTTCATTTAGAGACTTAGACACATGATACCACGTCAAACTGATTTCAATCTGATGCGGATTACATACAGGTTTCAAGAAAAATATAAACACGTGAAAGAAGATCTTGCCCATTTGCATTTTGAGAAACTTGAAAGATTTCAAAAACTCAAGGAAGAGCAAAGATGTTTTGATATTGAAAAGGTTCTATAGAACTATTTTTTCAGAAATTCATTAGTGCATAGTATACAGTTTGTGATTTATGCGTATAGTACACATTGCATAAGTAGTAGTGGAGCACAAGTTGCACTTCCCTGATGCATGACTTTGTCCTGCCCTACTCTCACCCTTTCTCTCTCTCCCCTGCTCCTTTTCTCCATCCTGACTCTTGCTGACTCTCACCTCTACTTGTGGCTGAGAACAAGAACTGCCATCTTCTGGAGTGGCAAGACAACTGCATTACCTTCACTGGTAGAAATCAATGTTTCAGCTGCTTTAGTGATGGAGGGTTGCTATTAGCTACCCCATTGGTCAAAGGCACATGACCATTGTCACCACTGAGGGAGATAGATCAGACAATGTCCTCTCGCTTTCTCCTCTTTTGCAACCTTCGGTCCTGCCCCATTTCTCTGTTCTTGGAGATGTGAGGTAATTCTTTGCTTGCTTACCTTTTCAATCACCTTGAACAACTCTCAACTTCTTTCTGGCCCTTGCTTCTTGCTTTGACTAACTCTCTGCTCCTTCTCAGATTTCTTTAAAACTCTTTAATGATCTTCTGTGCCTTTGTGGGTGAGAGAATAATGGTACATGAAATCATTAAAGATTTTTAAGAGTATTTCAGGTGACTGGGTATATGGAATGTGTAAACTACAGGCAAAAGAATTATGTAGTTCTTCCCATTGCACTGTAAAATCACTTTTTAAATTCATGGATTTATTTGCAATGATAAGAAATTATATTCTGAATGTAGTCAGCTCTTTGTAGGGAAGAATGGGAAGATGACAGACAAACTGGAAGATCACTTGGAAGCTGGTTAACATTGAGCCAGCCTCTAAATAACTCTCAGCTTCAATTTCCCCAACTGTAAAAACGGGGATGCTTACTTCTACCTGCCTCAGAGTTCAGAATTGAACGTTTTTGTAGCTTCAAGAAGAGTGGACTAACTGGAGTAGAGTTTATATATAATAAAATGTAAAGCAGTCATGTAATTATATGACTTGCCAGAGGGTAAATAAAGGATTATATTCCCCTTTGGTGTTACATGATAAAGAGAGAAAGCACTCTTAAAGTAGTGTTTAAGTTGAGACCAATTGCTGTGACTGTAATTTATGTGGAACCAGCCTGTCTATTAGTGCCAAGCCTAATGCAGACAGTCTCCAAGAATGTTGAGAAAAAGGAAATATGATACCATTAAATATTCTGAAATAAATTATGTTCAAAATGATCATAGGGAACAAATAAGGCAAAAGGAAGACTCTGTGTCTTCCTGGTCTTCTTAAGAAAAAAAGATAAACATATTGCAATTAAATAAATATTCATATTTTGGAAAATGAAGAAAATTGTCTATAATGTATGCCTTTTTAAGGGTAAATTGAAATTTTTTATCTTTGGACATGAGAGCTAATGATCATATTAGTTCTAATATAATGTATTAGTAGTAAAGTCATGATTAGTTTCACATATTACCTCTTAAATCATTTACTTTTAAAATACTTTATCTGATTTTTCAGTCACTTTTTCTTTTCAAATACATTCTCCTGCTTATAGTCTTCTTAAAATAACTACTGCCTACATACAGAAGAGATGATCCAATAATTGTATCACATAATTTATTGTTAATTCAATTTTGAGGTTGCCCCTGAACTCATTGTTTAAGTGTGACTGGGTTTTGGGGAAGTTTGTGATTTTTATTGGGTTTCGCAGGAGCCCTCCTAGAAACTATCTCCTAGATAGAATTTTCTCATTGAACCATCTTCAGAGATAGAATTTTTTTCTTCCCATCCTTGGTAAGGTCATGGCAGTAGGATTGGGAAAGAATTATACACTTATTTATATTTGGGACATCTTTGTTGTCCTTTTAGTATCAGCACACAGAATTAAAATACAGACATTTAATAGATATGATTTGCAGATTCCAGAATTGTGTTTTAATATCATGCTTTTCACAGTAAGTCATATTAACACCTCCTTCTTAATATTACACAGTTGTGACACCTAGTCTCTTGGCTAATTGCTGGGTTCTGAAATTTTCAATAGATAAATTTTATATATTTGTACCTATGAGTGTATTATATTGCCTATTCTGTTATTCTGAATCACTAAACTAATGTATATGGGATATTCAGCAATACTTAAACAGAAGACGACAAAATGAAATAATGGCCAAAATCCAAGCAGCTATTATACAGATTCCTAAACCTGCATCAAATCGTACTTTGAAAGCACTCGAGGCCCAAAAAATGATGAAAAAGAAAAAAGAGGCAGAAGTAAGTGATAATCCTTTAATATTGTGCTGTGTTTATCTTAACTAAAGAATAGTCTGTCTCTGGAACATATAGAGAGACTTTCCAAAACTTCACATTTGCTTTCCAAATTATCTCTGACCTTGTCCTTTCTCATTCAGAATTCTTCCACTATATGCATATTCAACTTATTTTATATTGTTATTTGTTCAGAACGAAGAATGTAGCTTTAGGCCAGCAATGGCAAACTCCTATTAAATGGCAGTCTGGACTCCTGTGTTGAAAAAGATTCTGTGGTCAATAACAAAGTAGGTCAGAATGGGTGCTGTTGTAATGGGTCATGTCTTATCCATTGTGTTGCTATAAAAGAATACCTGAGGCTGGGTAATTTTTAAAGAAAAAGAGGTTTATGTCACTTATGTTTCTGAAGGTTGGAAGATTCAAGACTGGGTATCTGGTGAGGGCCTTAGTAAGGAGAAGGGGGAGGGGAAGTGGAGCCATAATGTGCAGACATTACATGGGGGGAGAGAAAGTGAGAGAGAGGGTGTAGGGAGGGAGAGAGAGAGAGAGAAGGTGCCAGGTTCTTTTTAACAACCAGCTCTCATGGGAATTGATAGAGTCAGAACCCACCTCTAGGGAGGGAATCAATCTATTCATGAGGGAAAAAGAGAGTGAGAGAGAAGGTGTCAGTCTCTTTTTAACAACCGGCTCTCATGGGAACTAACAGAGTAAGAACTCACTTACCCCCAGGGAGGTCATCAGTCTATTCATGCATGATCCACCGCCATGACCCGGACACCTCCCGTTAGGTTCCACCTTCAACACTGGGATCAAATTTCACATGCGGTTTTCAGGGACAATCATCCAAACCATAGCAGGTCATAACTGCCATGGGTACAGCAGGGGCCAGTCAAGGTACACATAGCATATGTATGCCATTCCTACTATATGCTTTTACTCGATTCCTCCTCATCATGCCACACTATTTTTCTATGAATCCCAGGAATGTTAAGTGACTTGTTGCTATCAGTATATTTAAATTTAAGATACCTGTACCAGTGACATTTTACTGGACCACACCAACTGTCAATCATTTCAGTAAGAGGCAATCTCATTATATTTCACAGGAGAGCAATGTTACAGTTCAGTTTGATACAAATTCCTGCAATTCACACTGCATACTGCTACAATGATTGTTTATATTCTCTCATGTGACCTATAAAGATGATTAATAGCTACCATTTATTGAACATGTGCTGTATGTCAAGCTGTGGATTGGGCACTTCACATTATCTTTAATTTGTAAATAACTCTCTAAGTAGGGTATTATTTTTCCCATTTCGTAGATGAGGAAACTGAGACCCAGAGAGTTGACATGTTTTACCCAGTGGTAGTAAAGCAGAGATTGACAGATCTCTCTGATTCCTAAATCCATTGAATTTTACATTAATTCACTTTTTTTTTGTTTTTTAAATACTAACAAAATATTCTGTACTTGGATTCTAAAATTACCACCTACAGAGGCTTTTATCTGACTCCATTTCACTATCTACCTTTCATATGTCCCTGAGTTGATTAAAGTTTTTTTTTTGTTTTTTTTTGTTTGTTTTTTTTCTTTTTTGACACAGTCTTACTCTGTTGCCCAGGCTGGAGTGCAGTGGTAAAATCATGGATCATTGCAGCCTTAACCTCCAAGGCTCAAGTGATCCTCCTGCTTCAGCCTCCTGAGTAACTGGGACTACAGGTCCGCAAGGCTGCTCTCGAACTCCTGGGCTCAAGCAAACCACTGGCCTTGACCTCCCAGAGTGCTGGGATTACAGGTGTGAGCCACTGCATCTGGCCTGATTAAAGTTTTTTAAAAAGTGTTTGTAAAACACAAAGATGACCTAAAGTTAAACTTCAGATAACTAATTAATAGTGTAAATAAAGTTGCATGAGGAATGTTTAAAACACCCAGGACAACCATTTTTAAAGAAATATTTGACTTTGGAAGGCCGAGGCGGGAGGATCACCTGAGGTCAGGAGTTTGAGGCCACCCTTGTCAACCTGGCGAAACCCTGTCTGTATTAAAAATACAAAAGTTAGCCGGTTGTGGTGGCGCATGCCTGTGATCCCAGCTACTCAGAAGGCTGAGGCAGAAGAATCACTTGAACCCGGGAGGTGGAGGATGCCTTGAGCCGAGATCGCGCCACTGCATTCCAGCCTGGGCGACAGAGTGAGACTCCATCTCAAAAAAAAAAAAAAGAAAGAAAAAAGAAAAGGAAATATTTGTATCCAAAAATGTATGTCCTGACTCTTTGATAATCTTTATTCTAATGAAATGCCCTTTGGTGCCCTGTCAAAATCATGAAGTGAATGATTCAGGGGAGGCAATTTTCACATTCTTTTAGGTATAGTTAGCCCAGTCTAAAAGCAACAAATCAAAATTATAAAAAAAATTTTTAGAATGCAGCTTTTCATATCCTAATTACCTTGAATTAGTAGTACTTGTCACTTTATAAACTTGAATGAATGTGTAAATGAAGATTTTTCAATGGTTTTTAGAGGCAGAGAACTGATGATGAATTTTCTTTAAAGGATGTGGCTGATGAAATTAAGAAGTTCGAAGCATTAATAAAAAAGGATCTCCAAGCAAAAGAAAGGTGAGATGTGAGCTATTTTAAGAATTACAAAACCGCATTCTGTTCTACACATAGCTTTTGAATATTTAGAAATAGTTTATCTGGAAGAGCTATTCCAGGATCTTTTCACTCCAAAGAATCTTGATTCAGAGAGTAATTAGGGAAGATAAATGAGCTAAAGTTCAGATTGTTAGCAACTGTTATAAATATCTGAGAGAAAGAGACTATTACGAAATGTAAAGTTGATTTATTTTTCTGTGCTATGTTTATTCTTCTAAGTTCACACATATTTTTTAAACATTCACTAAAATTGTTTCAAGGTACCACTAATTTAAATTTGTCACAGTAAATCCTTTATTAGATTCTAGTTTGGTTTATATCATGCTGTATCCTCAGCAGTTAGCATAGAGACCAGCAGTAAGAAGTTGAGTGAATGAGTTCATTAAACAAATGTCACTAAGACAGTCACTTTGGTGGGTCCATTGAACAAAGTTCCTCATTAACTGGCTTCATCTACCTAAAGATAAAGCTCCTTCACACTTTGTTTTCTATGAGAGGTCATTGATTCACAGAAAATAATTCATTAGGGATGACATATGTAGGAACAACTTGGGTTTTTTTATATTTTTAAATGGAAATGATCCAAACTCTATGCATTTACATCTTACGAAATATGAGATAAATCTCTGTTAAAGAAGGTACTAATTCTAAAGAAAAGCAGAAAAAAATTACATACTTCAGTTTCATATTAAAATTTCCTGACGGAAGGGAGAGACAGTCAAATGAGGAGGAACAAGGAAAATCAGAGCCATAAGGAAGAAATGATGAAGTCAGGTGTAAGAAAGAAAATTAAGCAAAATGGAGAATACTCATGTACATTGCCTTTCCTCCTACCCTCTGCAGAAACTCCTGATGCCCTATTCTGATTCCCACTCCCATTTATCAGTGTTGATCCTGACCTGTAAAAACAACATAATCCAAGTCTCCTCATCCATGCAGCCACCACTTGAACCCTAGCACACACCTACCCTGACCTTGGCCCATGAAAATACCAATTTCTTCTCATTCTTTCACCCATCTCTCTAACCATAGGCTCTGTGGTGATAAACAGTTGGTGTCCACCAGAAAGACCATCTTAAACTACTGAATACTTTGCTACTTGGTGAATGCTACTTTCTGTAGCTCCCTGGCCTGCCCCTTTCCTGGGACCCCTCAATTTCCACACAGTTTAGCAACCATAGTTAAGATGAAGCACAGCACTGTCTCCCAGGCCCTGCACCAGTATCCATGTCTATTGGTTAGTGTCCTTGCCATGTCAGTTATTAAATGTCTTAAAGATCATCCCTGTACATTACAGCTGCAAACATTTACCTGCTCCCTATTGCCTTTGCCAACCCAACCAGACCCTAGGTCTCTATCAGTTAGTTTCAGAAACCCCAAAACAACAGTGAATGAAATTAGAGGGAAATCTGCTTGTCTCTCATGTAATAGAAATCAGAAGGTAAGCAGCCCATAGTGTATGCTGTAGCTCCAGGGTTATCAAGGACTGAGGCTTCTCCTTTCTTTTGCCTCACTGTCCTGTTGTGTGGTTTTCATCCTCAAGGTTACATTCATGATACAAGATGGTTGCTGGGACTCCGGCCACTTGGCCCATGTTCCAGATATCAGGAAGGAAGACAGACAAAAAAGTAGATATCTCCTATCTGAAATAGCTTCTTTCAAAAGCCTTCCCAGAAGTCCCATATAACATTTCTGCTTATATCTTATTGGAGAGCATTCAGTCACATGGCCACACCTGACAGAGTGGGAAGCTGGGAAACGTAGTCTTTAACTGGACACACTGTTTCCCTGCATAAAATTGGGGTTCTATTTTGAGAGAAAAGGGAGGGAAATAGTAGTGTCAGGTCCCTTCTTCACAGAAGCCTTCACTTGGTCCTGCCAAAGATTTCCAGCAGAGGGCATCTGAGATATTGACACCCTCACTTACAGCAGGAGGAGAAGGCCTGGGGCAGCTGAAGTCCCTGGGCCAGTTACCTGTGGCTGTGAACAGCTTCATCTGAGAATCTAAATCCTTTCCAGTGTGTTGCACAAAGTTCGTTTTCTCTTTTGGCCTTAAAAAGAAAAACGTTGGGAAGTGCTGGCCTAGAGCAAACTTTTCAAGAAAACAGAGGCTATGGTTACAATATAGCACCCTTCTTAAGCCATTTCATTAATCACTACTTTTTTTAGTTCATGCTGAATCTTAGCTTAGAATCAAGAATGTTCTGGGCACATTGAAAAACTTCACACTAACTTGACTCCAGAAGGCAATACAGTCTCCCAACTTGAACCTCAGGAGCACTTTCTGCAGCTGCCTTTTTCATAGCCTGCTCCTGAACAGTTTCTCTGGATGCCACCTCAAAGTCCATCGTTTTTCTTTTGTGGAAGAATGAAATAATGTCTCATGCCAGCAATGCAAGAGCCCTCATGGCTGGTTTTTCCCCGTGTAACAAGGTTCCTCCATTTTTTCATTTTTTAGATGAATAATAAATCCTGTCTGCTATTTGTTTCTTTAGCTGGGGTTATTGGCTGCTGTAATTTGGTATTTGGGTTAATATATTTGTCAGAGGCTTTTCCCAGCAACTACTTCTTAAGAAACACAAATTTGACCAAGGTTTCTGCTACTAATAGATTATACACATACAATTATTACATTAGATGAAGGTCTGGCAAGCAAACAGATAAAAAGAAAATATAATCACTGCCCTCAAGAAACCTACATCTAGTAAAATGAATATTTATTCAAGTACATAATGTGTAGTTTTTTTTCACCTTTATTGGAATAAGACAACAGATGGATGGGTTGACTAATTGATAAAGGAGAAGCAATTTGTTAAGTATATTATTGACAGCATAAATATTGTGTTGAGAGAGCTATTAACCCACGCTCAATCCAGGGCAGGAGCTTTTACACAACACACTTAAGTACAAATATAATAAGATTTTTGATGAAAGATCTAAAAGTGTTACGCTACACAATTAAATACTAAATCTTAATAAATAGATAGGGTTAAACTCTGTCTTTGGCCTTACTGAGTGCTTGGTACCTACATAATTTGTGCTCAACTCTTCTCAGTGACAGAATACAATCAAAGGTTGAGCCCCGGCTGATAAAATGATTGGAACTTTAGTTTGATTTTTATGTATGTATGGTGTTTTTTAGCACATTATTTGAAATTTAGCAGACATCAACTATTTGCTGGGCATGCTAGGCACAGGTGCAGGCAGAAGAAAAATAGGATACTTCTCTTATTCACTAGGAGATCAGCTGGGAGGCGCAAACCTCCAAATTATGACCTATACTACAATATGGTCTATATTATAAATATGCAGGTATTACATCATAAAAATTAAACATGAGTTAACTATGTTTTTATCAGAGTACTTGTGTCTATATAAGAATTGATGACAAGTCTCTACACACTTTAATAATATATCCTTATTTTTTGAATAATAAGATTATAAGTAATATTGTAAACCAAATATATTAATTACTTGTAACAAAAGCAATGATTATACATAATATAAAAATTCATTATTTCTAGGCAAGTAACATTATGGTATATCTTGTACTATTGTATTATTCTGTTTACTTTTTGAAGAGGATGCAGATGAGAATTGATGATTATTTGATCTTTGTATACATAAAAATGTATCTTTTAATGATAAATTTGGAATGAATCTATGAATTCTGTACCAAGCCCCCATTTGACTCACTAAATTGAATGTGCTTAACTTTCTGTTGGGAAGACCACTGGGTTCTTCCTGATCCTTTACGTTTTGGACATGAGATAGGACAAGAGCTCTGAGTTGAGTCTTCTCACTTGAATCTCTAGGGCATGAGCAAGAAGCCAGTCAGACCTGTGCTTACATGTGTGGCATGGCAAGCAAGCCAAATTTCAACTGCTGTGTTTTCAATAAGTGTTCAGCGACTGTTCTAAGCAGTCAAAAATTGATCTGAGAGTTGATAGAGTAACTTGCACTTTCATAGATGATGGAAGAGTGTAGTAGATGGAACCATCTGTACATAGAAGTATTCTAGTGACCTGGCATTAATGTGCCTGGTCTGCTGTTGCGAGCTGTGCCTTCCCTGACACTTGGGTTATCAATAGTCTGCCTATTGTTGACTCAAAACAGGGGAGGTCAGAGGCCCAGAGCCAGCAGGAAGAAGAGGAAAAGAAATCCAGAATTTCCGGTTAGAATGAAAATCATAAAAAGTAAGGCCGGGCGCAGTGACTCACGCCTGTAATCCCAGCACTTTGGGAGGCCGAGGCAGGCAGATTATGAGGTCAGGAGTTCGAGACCAGCCTGACCAGCATGGTGAAACCCCTGTCTCTACTAAAAATACAAAAAATTAGCCGGGCGTGGTGGCGTGTGCCTGTAGTCCCAGCTACTCGGGAGGCTGAGGCAGGAGAATTGCTTGAACCCAGCAGGCGGAGGTTGCAGTAAGCCGAGATCGCACCACTGCACTCCAGCCTGGGTGACAGAGTGAGACTCTGTCTCAAAAAAAAAAAAAAAAAAAAGTAAAATAACAGGCTGGGCACAGTGGCTCATGCCTGTAATCCTCAGCACTTTGGAAGGCCAAGGTGGGCAGATCACCTGAGGTCAGGAGTTCGAGACAAGCCTGCCCAACATGGTGAAACCCTGTCTCTACTAAAAATACAAAATTAGCCTGGCGTGGTGGCACATGCCTGTAATCCCAGCTACTCAGGAGGCTGAGGCAGGAGAATCACTTGAACCCAGGAGGCGGAGGTTGCAGTGAGCCAAGATGCGCCATTGCACTCCAGCCTGGGCAACAAGAGCAAAACTTTATCTCAAAAAAAAAAAAAAGGTGAAAGAATAAAAAGCTGATGGGCCTTGAAAGAAGGCTATGATAAGGACCTCACAGAGAATTTAGAAATGGGGTGAAGCAAATGGGATCTGTTGATAAGCTATTGGTATCACACTGATTTCAAATATTTTCTTCAATGCTTGTATTAATAAATTAACAGTGAACTCAAGGGATCCTTCTCCTGAGGTCTTTCTCCATAGTCACAGATAGTGGCATGGGATCACATTATTATTTAAAAATCTAAAATAAAAACTATTATTCTTAGTGCATCCAAGACTTCTTTAGATACAGCAGGCCAGACAACCACCGATTTGTTAAATACTTACTCAGATGACGAGTACATTAAAAAAATCCAGAAGCGCCTTGAAGAAGATGCTTTTGCACGAGAGCAAAGGGAGAAAAGACGGCGGAAATTGTTAATGGACCAGTTAATAGCCCACGAAGCACAAGAGGTAAGATATTTAGATGAAGGTTAAGTAATAGTGCTGGGAATTCTACAAAATGTAGTCTTCTATACACATAATATGTAGTTTATATATGTATTGTCTGCTACTCTGCATCAAATGTCACTTTCACATCCTCATCATAATAGCAAATATACTAGGAAGAAAAGTAGCTATTTACTAAAGAATCTAAAATCTGGTGATAGTTGTACAACATTGTGAATGTAATTAAGACAAATGTATACTTTAAAAATGGTAAATTTTATGTTATGTATATTTTACCTTAATAAAAAATACATTAAAAGGAACCTAAAATCTGTATCTGCCATGTGTACTCTATTGTTACTTTTAGAGGAAAAAGGGAATGGTTTAATGAAAACAATGTGGAAAAGTTGTTCATCCTCTCCTTTTGTTCGCCAGTCTATTCCAGTGGTTCTTTAAGCATGGTTCCTGGACGAACAGCACCAGCATTGCTTGGGACTTTTAGGAATACAGATTATTGGGCCCCACCCCAGACCAGACCTGAAACTCTGGGGGTGGGGCCCAGTGATCCGTGCTAACAGGCTGTCTAGGTGATCCTGACGCCACTGCAGCTTGAGAATCACTGATCATTTCTTACATTGAACACATATTTATTGAACTTCTATGCTTTGAGTACTTGTGATAGGCCCAGAGATATGACAGAGAGCAAGAATAACAAGACACCTGTCTCCCAGAGCTTTCTGTTTATAGGAGCATCTACAAACAGCAAGTACATTGGAGTGTGAAAGTTCTGTGAAGGTGAAAGAGGGATTAGGGTGAATGACACTTAGAGAAGTCCACCTGGCTTGCTTCAGGAGACAGTGTCTGGAGGACAATAGCAGAAGCATGGATAAAGAGTCAGGAGTTAGCTAATTGAAGGTGGGATGGTCGTGGTGGGGTCAGGGTTAGGGGCAGTTTCCAGGAAAGGTGGTGGAAGGTGAGTGTTTCCAGACAAGGGAATATCACATGGAAAGCTCAGTGTTTTTAGCTAACTGAAAGTCATGCCATCTGGCAGGAGTCACCAGAGGCCAAATTATGATGAGCCTTGTAAGATACACAGAAAGAAATAGGAGATTTTGTGATTTCCTGTTTGAATGCAAAGCAGAATAAGAGTGACCAGGTCAGACTTGCCTGTGGAAAGATCACTCTGGCTTTAGTTTGGAGAATAGATTACAGAAGGGCAATCCAAGTCTGTTGTTGCTGTAATTCAGGTAAGAGATTATCCCAGTTTAAATGTAGTGTAGTGGCAATAGGGATTGAGAGAAGTAGCTTTAAGAGCTATTTTGGAGGTAAAATCAATAAGACTTATTGATTCATTAAACAAGGGAAAGTGAAAAAGTGGGATGAAAAATTGGATTTCTAGGTTGTGCACCTGGATGGCTGGAGGTGTAATTTGCTGAGATATGGAAGATGGTAAGAGGAACAAACTTGGGGTGGGCAGTGATTTCAGTTGGGAATGTAAATAGGACAAATCTGCATGTCTACAAAGACCATTTGAAGATGCTTTTATTCACCTACCCACGTCTGGTCTGCTTGTTCGCTGAAAGGAAATAAAGCCTTCATATAAATATGAAGAAGTGAAATTTATTCATGGATTCCACTTCTTTCTTAGTGAAAGTTCAGAAAAATAGCTCTGCACATCTCTTTGTGCTAGAAAGTTATTTCTTCATATTCTGATTTCTTCAAATTTTATCTTTATTCAATCAGTTTGGTTATCTCCCTTTTAATTAGAAGAATTTCAAATTATGAAAACTAGATAGTTGAAAAGTTAGTTTTAAAATACCTACCCATTTCAAGTTTCATTACCTAGCAATGAAATTTTGAACACATTTCTATGTATGTTCCAAAGTACTTGTGTGTTGGCTGCAAGGTTTTTTCTCACTAATTTTCTGCTTGTAATCTAGGTCTGGCGTTTGCCTGGAAAATGGAATAAATGAATTCTTTCTAGATTTCCTCACTTTCCACTAGGATGCTATTAACACTGACTTTTCAAAACTAGAGTTGGAGGTATATTTACCAGTTTGGAAATCCAGCAACCTAAGGGGCCTAAAAAAGAGCCAGGGCTCTATATATTTCCATCACAGGAACCTCATCTTGTGCTGCTGCTTTTCTGTGTGTGGGTGAGCTGCTATTCCTAGAACCAGGCCTGAAGCATATGCTGCATTCCCTCCATTCCTACCACCTCCTTCCTATGGAATGTAGTGAGCCCAGGCTCCTGTGCAACTGACACAAGAGATCCTGGTCCACAGTGGTGGAATGGGAAATTCTTATGTGTACAATGGCTGGTTTTTCCATCCATTCTCCTCTCCTCCAGAGGAAAAATGGTATATGTCAGGGCTAGGAATTCTACTTCCTTCAATTACTTGCTGCTTTTCACAAGCATGACATAAATCCCACATCAGCCCTGAATGTTTTCTTCTGGTGCCATTTGCACTTAATCCATCAGAAATGCCTCAAAATATCTTCCCTAGCTTTCAAGTTGTTCCAGTTTCTCCCTGGAATTTAGGTATTCCTGTTTTAGTTTGGCTGGTGAAGAGACAGCCAGAGACCTGTGCTCAAGTTGATATCTTGCCTACTGATTGATAAATACGTGGAATTATGTGAACTAAATGATGAGATTTAAAGTTATAAAAATCAATTTGACTTTTTAGGGGATAGGTTTTGAGAGTAGGGATGGTAAGAAAAGGATTGGTAGGGAGGGGCTGATGTTGTTCAAGATAGGGGTGGTGTCACTGGGTATGGAATGGAATCGGGGGGGTGGTTTAAAAACATACCTAGGAGGTTTACTAGACTACTTCTTGAACAATTGAGTATTAGGAGTGATGAGAGAGGAGTGAACTTAGGATGGCCCTAATGTCTTAGATCACAGAGTGGATTATTGTAGGATCATCAACTGAGATGGGGAAATATGGGGAGAGGACCAGGTCTGAAGGGGAGTTAGTGAGTTTAGTTTTGGGCTTGTTAAAGTACTTCATAGGCATTTAAGTGTATTCAAACTGGGAACACAGTTTGGCTCCCACCTGGTTTTGTGGTCATATGGCTAGTGTCTTGGCCAATTAAGGTTTGCCCCAAGTCAGTTACCTCTGCCTTCTAAGAATCTTTTCTATGCCATTTCTTTGGAACTGGCATTTGAACGCCAGGCCCTTCCCTCACTTCTTAACTAGAAGACCCTTGAATACTTAGCTGTCAGGTCTTTCCTGCAGTGCCCTATTCCTCTATAGAGCTGCTTGGGCATCTTTGGAAAATTAAATAGTGGTTGTAGACCAGAGTAAGTTCTGGTCTCTAGATATTTTTCTATGTCTTCCCCATTGAGTACTATAGATACCTCCTCTTTCCACATGATGTCTCTGTTTCGAAAGAGTGAGAGAGCTTGATGGGGACTTGGATATTATCTTCCACCTAAACCCATAATTTTACCTAATGAGAAATAGGCCCGAGAAACTGAGTTAATTGCCCAAGGCCACCCAGCCTATTATGATGACCAGGTCCTCTGATTCCCAGTTTAATGTTTTTTTTCCACTGTTCATTTACTGGTCACCTTTCTATTCTCCTCAAACAGCCAAGAATACATCTATCTAGTTTTTCTTTCAGATTATGATCACTCAGATAAGATAAGCAGTAGGTCATTTCCCCCAGCCTCTTCTCCAGGCTTCACATTCTGTCAGTTTGTATTAATAGCTTTTCCTCACGTTGGTATTGTGATATCCTCACGGGGAACTAATCAGATCTGCAGTCTTCAGCTGACAATGCCTGATTTGTTTTATAACTAGTAGTTATGTTAAAATGCGTACAGCATAATCCCAACCTTCTGAAAACATGCTTTTAAGTTTAGAGTTATAGCACTTATTTTTTTTTTAACTTTTATTTTAAGTTCGGGGTACATGTGCAGGTTTGTTATATAGGTAAACTCGTGTTACAGGAGTTTGTGGTACAGATTATTTCATCACCCAGATATTAAGCCTAGTATCCATTAGCTATTTGCTTGTTTTTAAAACCTTGAAAAAAAATCACCTAATTTATTTCTAATAATGTTTTGAATGAAGTAATAATTTGTTTAAAGTAATTGTGAGTTGCAAAGCCATAATGTTTCTAAACACCAACTTTTGTTGGAAATCCTCATTTCATAACATGATTTTTTTTGCCATGTTCAAATTAAGTCAAATGACAGAAACTGATTTAGATGAACATTATGCCTTTTGTATATTGTTTCTGTATAGGCTTCGTAGCTCAGCGGGAAATTTGGACGTCACTTTAACAAATAATTCCCCTGGTGTTTTCAGGAGGCTTATCGGGAGGAACAGCTGATTAACCGGCTGATGCGGCAGTCCCAGCAGGAGCGCAGGATTGCCGTGCAGCTCATGCATGTTCGGCATGAAAAGGAAGTTTTATGGCAAAACAGAATTTTCAGAGAAAAACAACATGAGGAAAGACGACTTAAAGATTTCCAGGATGCTCTTGATCGAGAAGCGGTAAATACCATCTTCCTTAGAAATCTTTCTAAGGTTACTTTTGTTTCTTTCTACCAAGTCGTGGTAAACAAAGCTATATTTTGTTGCCAATCATCTAATAAGATTTTCTTTTGTATGATCAACCTGTTATCTGCCCATTTTTATTTTTGTATAACTCCATCAACAGGGCATGTAGCTGCTACATAGTACTATACTGTCTTCTTTTAATCTTGGTTCTACAAGTAGCTAAGTACTTAATGCTCACCACCAACCCTTATGTCCATGTCTCTCTAGTCATTTTGATTGTCTGAAGCTCTTTCTCCAATAGGTTTCTCATGAAGGGCTCATGGAAACCATATTCCCTGAGTTCTTATAACAGTGTGTGCCTTTTATACTTGATTGTAAGTTTGGCTGTATATAAAATGGTTAGTTCACACTTTGTTTCCTTGAATATCTTAAATATGTCACTCTGTTTTCTTCAAGTATGAAGTGTGCTGCCAAAAAGAATGGTGATAGTCTAACTTTCAGTTCCTTGAGTCATTACTTTTTTTTTAGATACTTTTTTTTTCTTTAAAAGTTCACTAAGTTTACTAGAGTAGGCATTGGTATTGGTTATTCTAGGTAAATATCCTCAGGCAGTGAGAGAACTTTTAAGCTGCTTCCTTTCAACTAGACACCATTAGTCTTTAATCAACAATTCCTTGCCTTCTGAAAAAAAAAAAAAGAGATTCCTCAGGCCCATATTATGCTATTCCTTCCTCAGAATGAGAATAAATGCTTTATCTAGGGTACTGTGGTGCACTGTAGTTGAGAATGGTATACAGAAACTCACATCTGGGCTGCTAGCTGTGCTCTTTGCTACTATGGTATCATTGTGTCTCGGCCCTTTTACAACTCTGAAAATCAAAATATCCAATCTTTTAATTATTTAATAGATTATTTTTGTCCCAAACTTTATGTATATGTGAGTTCTAGTAAAAAAAAATAGATTGATTTTATTAATGGAGTATATGGATTACTTCTTGTCTACTTCCTATTGGGGATGTTTCAGATTTATTTAATCCGTTTGTCCACATTTGATTGAAGAGAACTCCTGTGAGTGGCATTTTAGATAGCCTGTCTTTACTATCATAAGATATTCACAAAACCAGACTGGGCAGAAGAGAAACCTTATAGAAAACAGGAGGGCAGTGTTTTATTTACTAGCTTCATAGCTTCCACTGTGATACCCCATGAAAGTGTAATGTAACTTTTGCCAAAATTATGCAATTTTTAGAAATATCATTTGGAAAGTAGCATATTTTGCAGGGAGGAGAGTGTTGCTTTTGCCTTTGTGGAACAGGCATAGCCTAAACGGTGGGTATGGAATGGGGAGAGAGAACCATACCCCATGAATTTGAGCTGAATGAATGCTGACCTCAATGTCTTCTTTGGCTTCAAGAGCTGAGTTATCTGGATGATTGTTTCATCTCTCTTCTTTGGCAACAATAGACTTGACTAGACTGAGTGGCATTTACTTACATTAGAAATGATGTGTTTATCTTTCTAAGTGCCTATTTGAAAAATATGTTTATTTCACAAGCTCAGCTAAATAGCAAAGTATGTTTAGCTGGACTGGTCTCACAGTGATAAGGATCATCTATTCTTTCTTGAACTGGGGTTGAACTAACTTCAGAGGACCGGAACAGTTGGGCCTGCTAAAGCCTGAGAGACCTAAATTGTGAGGTTCTGAAGCATCTGAAAAAATTATATTTCTTCCTCTCACATGATTACCTTTTCCAACAGCGGAGCTATCTAGTTCCTTGGCATCTCTCCCTTAGAGATGGTTGGATTTTATGGCTTTCATCCATACATGTTGAGTTTATCAACTCCTCCACCAACAGTAGCTGGTACATAAGTAGGAGCTGAATAAATCAATCAATAAATGTTGAATTCAGTTTGCCAAATTAACAGTCACCTCTTCTTTCCAGTATCATTCACTAACTAAACAAAATCCATTTTATTCCCTACAGCATTATCATTCTACTTCTTTTATGTGAAGAAAGGAGGTTTTTTTTTTGGTATATATTATATATATATATATATATATATATATATATATATATATATATATTATACACACATATATACACATATACCAAAGTGTGTGTATATATATATACACACACACATATATACCAAAAAATATATATACCAAGATAAATATATATATATATTTGTTAACAAAAAATATATATATATTTGTTTAACTTTTAAGTTCAGGGGTATAAGTGCAGGTTTGTTACATAGGTAAATGTGTGTCATGGGGGTTTGTTGTACAGATTATTTCATCACCCAGGTATTAAGCCTAGTGCCCATTAGTTATTTTGCCTGATCCTCTCTCTCCTCCCACCCTCCACCCTCTGAAAGGTCCCAGTATGTGTTGTTCCCCTCCGTGTGTCCATGTGTTCTCATAATTTAGCTTCCACTTATAAGTGAGAACATGCAGTATTTGGTTTTCTATTCCTGCATTAGTTTGCTGAGGATAATAGCCTCCAGCTCAATCCATGTCTCTGCAAAGGACATGATCTCATTGCTTTTTATGGCTGCATATTATTCCATGGTGTATATATACCACATTTTCTTTATCCAGTCTATCATTGATTGGCATTTAGGTTGATTCCATGTCTTTGCTATTGTGAATAGTGCTGCAATGAATGTAGGCATTCATGGGTCTTTAAAATAGAATGATTTATATTCCTTTGGGTATAAACCCAGTAATGGAATTGCTGGGTTGAGTGGTATTTCTGCCTGTAGATCTTTGAGGAATTGCCACACTGTCCTCCACAATGGTTGAACTAATTTACTCTTCCACCTACAGTGTAAAAGTGTTCCTTTTTCTCTACAACCTCACCAGCATCTGTTGTTTTTTGACTTTTTGGTAATAGTCATTCTGACTGGTATGAGATGGTATCTCATTATGGTTTTGATTTGCATGTATCTAATGGTCAGTGATGTTAAGCTTTTTTTTCACGTTTGTTAGCCATTTGTATGTCTTCTTTTGAAAAGTGTCTGTTCATGTCATTTGCCCACTTTTTAATGGGGTTGTTTGTTTTTTCTCTTGTAAATTTGTCTGAGTTTCTTATAGATGTTGGATATTAGACCTTTGTCAGATGCATAGTTTGTAAAAATTTTCTCCCATTCTGTAGGTTGTTGGTATACTCTGTCAACAGTTTCTTTTGCTGTGCAGAAGCTCTTTAGTTTAATTAGATCCCATTTGTCAATTTTTGCTTTTGTTGCAATTGCTTTTGGCATCTTCATCATGAAATCTTTGCCCGTGCTTATGTCCTGAATGGCATTACTTAGGTTGTCTTCCAGGGTTTTTATAGCTTTGGGTTTTACATTTAAGTCTTTAATCCATCTTGAGTTAATTATTGTATATGGTGTAAGGGAGGGGTCCAGTTTCTATCTTCTGCATATAGGTAGCCAGTTATCCCAGCACCATCTATCAAATAGGAAATCCTTTCCCCATTGCTTGTGTTTGTCAGGTTTGTTGAAGATCTGATGACTGGAGGTGTGTGGTCTTATTTCTGGGTTCTCTATTCTGGTCCATTGGTCTATGTGTCTGTTTTTGTGTTTTGATTACTCTAGCCCTGTGTAGTGTAGTGTAGTTTGAAATCAGGTAGTGCGATGCTTCCAGCTTTGTTCTTAGTTTTTATTGTTCTTGTCATTTTTATTGTTATTTGAGAGTGGGAGGAGATGGCACATTCTAAAAGTACTTTTAAATCTATTAAGGTCTTTAAGGTTTCTTAACTATGCTCACAAAGTATTAATAATATTTGTATTACTTATTTTAATAGTATTTATTTGCTATTCCATGGCTACTTTCTATTAAGTATTGCTGTGGAAAATACTGATTTTGTTTCTACTTCTTTGGCTGCTCCTTCTCAGGAGCAGGGTCATTGTCTTTACAGGCCCATTGTTCCCTTATATCAAAACATTTATTAACAGATTGCTCAAAGCTTCATCTTTGACTTCCTTATATTCTTTTCTATGTTATTTCTCAGACAATTTCATCCACAACCATGGTGAAGTATTTACTGCAATAGACAGATGACCCATGCAGTTATGCCTCTGTCCTCCAAGATGAAGGGCCATAGTTTTAGTATTCCTTGACATCTGTGGTCATATGTCTCAGAGACACTTCAAATTCAACATGTTCCAAGCCAAATGTATGACCTTTGCTATGAAACTAGTCTTTTTCAATGTTCCATAGCTCAACAAATGGCATCATTATTTATCAAATTGTATAAGCCTGAAACTTCAGGGCCCACCTGAAAGCTGCTTCACCCTTATTCTTCCATACCCAAAATATCCACTGAGTGTTATCATTTTCATGTATTAAATTTCTCTTCATCGTGTCCATTTTCCTCCATGTCTACACTACCACCCCTGGTTTCTACTGCAGTACTACTACTGCAGTGGTTTCCTTTATCCATTTTTAGTGGTTATGAATTGGTGACCAAAAACTGGAGAGTGTAAGAATATAACATTATTTATTTTCCTTAAATCAACCCTAAGTTTTACTCTTTCATCCTACCTCTGCACACAGAGAATGTACAATGCCCCAGGTTATAAGGGCCAAGCCATCTTGGAAACACTACAGTCATCAGGTGCAAGCCCAGTACTATTGAGACCTCAGCTACTGCAGCCAACATGCTACCCTCAGTGGCACAGGAAACTTTGGGGAGGCTGCTCCAGCCTTTGTTGGTCTTCCATATAATCCCCTCTGAGGCTTCATTGCCCCCCTTCATTTTCATTGCCTGGGTTCTGGCCACATTGGTTTGCTCTCAGATCCTTGAACAAGTCATTTCTTCTACTTTGCCCCTCTTCCCAAGTGCCTTCACCCAATTAATACTTGTTTTCAAAGCTCCATGCATATGCCCCTTCTTGTCTAGGTCAGGCCTCATACCCCATGGTCTTGCCCTAATGACACTTGTCATAGTGTGTAATTATACATGTATTTGTGTGGCTTTTTGACTGTTTGCCTATCCCACTGGCATGTAAAGTCCATAAGGGCAGTACCACGTTTGCTCTTGCTCATGAAATAAAGAAAAAAAAAAAAAAGAGGAAAGAAGGAAGGAAGGAAGGAAAAAGAAAAGAAAGGGAAAAGAGAGACGAGGGAAGGAAGGAAGGAAAGAAGGAAGGAAGGAAGGAAAGAAGGAAGGAAGGAAGAAAGGAAAGGCTGACCATGGTGGCTCACACCTGTAATCCCACCACTTTGGGAGGCCAAGGCAGGTGGATCACGAGGACAAGAGTTCAAGGCCAACATGGTGAAACCCTGTCTCTACTAAAAATACAAAAATTAGCCAGGTGTGATGGTGTGCACCTGTAGTCCCAGCTACTTGGGAGGCTGAGGCAGGAGAATTGCTTGAACCCAGGAGGCTGAGGTTGTAGTGAGCCGAGATAACTCCATTGCACTCCAGCTCTGGATGACAGCAAGACTCCATCTCGGGGGAAAGGAAGGGAAAGAAGAGAGAGAGAGAGAGAGAGGGAGGGAGAGAGAGGGAGAGGGAGAGAGAGAGAGGAAGGAAGGAGGAGAGAGAGAGAGAGAGAAAGAGGGAGGGAGAGAGAGGGAGAGGAAGAGGGAGAGGGAGAGAGGAAGGAAGGAGGAGAGAGAGAAAACGAGGGAGGAGAACTTTGTGTTTTTCTTTCACTCTCAATTTTTTGAGCGTTTTTGTTTTGTTTTTAGATTAAATCTGCTAATCTCTTCCTTTGAGACAATTGCAAAACTATTCTATATTAAGACAGTTCCTGATTTCAAATTTCTGTGCTACCTACTATAATTATTGAAAATTCATTACAATAATATTTGATGTTTTTTGAGCTTTACTTTGAGTCAAGCATTGTACTATGTTTGTTACAAGCATGTATAATATAATTCTTTCAACGACCATAAGTGGATGCCATCCTTATTTACATTTAACACATCAGGAAATTGAAGACTAGAAGGCTCAAAGTCACACAGCTTCTCAGTGGTGTAGCAGGGAGCAAGGCCAGCTCTATCAGATTTTAGAGTCCAGGCTCATAACCACGGAGATTTACTACCTCCCACAGACTTCCTTTTTCCTTTTCCTCCTTCTCTTTTTATGGCTGCAACCCACTTAGCTGTAATGAGACAGGAAATTATGGTGGCTTTGGCAGAGGATTGATGGTAGATATAGAAAAGGAGAAGGAAGACTAGACAGCTGGATGAAGGGAGGGAGAGGAACAGAGGGAGGGAGGGAGGGAGCGAGGAAGGGAGGAAGAGAGAGAGGGAGATGCGGAGACAGGCAATGGCAGCAACCAGGGTTGAAAGCTATACTATTACTGGTAGGACCATTCTACTATTCCCTTAAAGGTTTTTTTTCCTCACATCCTAAATATTTCCATGTGTTTCAGAGAACTCTGTAGTAAACCAACCTCATGATCCATTTTTTTTTGTCACTCTTTCCATGAATTCTCATTGGATATTTCTGCTCTCTTAGATTCATTTTTCCTCTGAATTCTTCACTTCATGAATCATGCCATAAAGCTTTGTACTTAAATTGTACTCTTTCTCCATAAAAACAGGGTATACAGAATAATACAAGAATAACAAACTCTGATGTAATTCCTGAATCTGTCAAATGTACAGAACTGACCTTAGTGATCACCCAGCTTAACCCCCTTCCCAACAAAAATGAAATAAGCACACAAAATAAAACAGTAATAGCAAAACAAATGGTGGACCTTACACAGCAATCCATTGTCACACATCTAGTCATTTATGAATAGTATCATAATAGGAAATATTTGTTCTGATGAGATGGTTTGGTAATTTTTTGGGGTATGCTAAGTACTATTAATAACCTGACTTTGAGGAAATGGAGGCACAAGGAGACTAATGACTTGCCCAAGGTCTCACAGCTAGAAATTGAATTCTATATAAAATCTAGGGCTTGAACTCGACCATAGCTCCTCCAAAGCCCAAGTTTACTTCCATTTGATACTCACTGGGTTGTTACAGGAGGGAAGTCTTTTTCCTAGAGCAGGCTAGCACGTAACTGAATTTCTCAAGAAGCTGGCGTAGCTATCTGAAAAGCAATATTTGGTCATTTGAATCCCACTTATTAAGTATTATGTTATCCTCAGCTTGGCTGGACTGAGTTCAACCTTTGTACCTTGTGTGAAGAAAAGATTCCCTAAACAAAATAATAATGCACTAAGGAGAGGGCGATAACAAGCTAAGTGTTTCATTGCTTTCTACATAAATAGATGTTCCTACAAATGAATGCCATCAGTTGTTAAGGCTGTATCTGTAGAGGGTTGTAATTAACACATTTAACATTTGTTGGCAAATGTGTTATATTCTCAAGCCAGTATAATCTGGGACTTTCTAAAATATTTTCTAAGTATAAACCAGTATTATAGAACTCTCCCATTGAAAGACAGAGGGCAATGGCTATAGCAGATGTGTCAAAATTGGCACTTTGGAGGTGGGAGGGAGGGGTCAGCTATGCTTAGGGTCTGGCACAAACTTGCCTGTTTCTCTCCGATCCCTATTTGCAACCGGTGAACTCAGGACTTCTTTTTGAAGGCTTAAGATCCAATTCCTCATTAATCCACATTGGGCTTTCCCCAGTTAGATCACGTCTGACTGTATTATGCTTTGTTGATAAGATAAGCTAAGAGTAGGATATTTCCAATATTGTCTTTGCATTAAGTGCTAATGTATTAAGAAAAAAGTGTTCATTCATGATTAATTTTTTTCCTGGTGTGAGAAGAGGTTTCATTCTACTGAAAGACTTTTTGGCCATTGAAATGATGACATTATTTTTATTTGATTCAATTATAGTGACTTAAAAATATGTTTTTGCCTTTTTAGGCTTTGGCAAAACAAGCCAAGATTGACTTTGAAGAACAATTCCTTAAAGAAAAGAGATTTCATGATCAGATTGCTGTGGAAAGAGCTCAAGCTCGTTATGAAAAGCATTATTCAGTATGTGCAGAAATTTTGGATCAAATAGTTGATTTGTCCACTAAAGTGGCAGACTATCGAATGTTGACAAATAAGTAAGTATTTTTTTTGTAATAACAGTAGAGACACGATAGAGAATGAGGAAGGATAAGATTGTAAAATAGATACTAGGATGATAAGTAAAGAGAGATAAAAATGATTCATGAAAAGACTAAAAGGTGGGGTCCAGGAGACCTTGATTACTGACTTGATTTACTCACTGACTATTTTTATTTAAGATGCATATATGCCTTTTTCCTCACCTTTTATGAAAATTAAAGTGGATCATAGACTTAAATGTAACTCATAGCACTATAAAACTTTGAGGAAAAAAATGGGAGAAAATCTTTGGGTTCTATGACTAGGCAACAAGTTCTTAGACTTGACACCAAAAGCATGATCCATAAAAGGAAAACTTGACAAATTGGACTTCATTAAAATTAAAAATTTTTGCTCTGCAAAAGACAAAACTTTATAAGTTGGACTTCCTCAAAATTAAAACTTTTTGCTTTGAAAAAGATGAAAGGATGTATAGAATAGGAGAAGATATTTCAAACTGCCTATCCCACAAAAGACTAATATCTAGAATATATGAAGTATTCTCAAAATTCAACAATAAAAAATAAGCCAGTTCAAAAATAGGCAAAAGATATGAAAAGACATTTCACTGAAGAGGATATTTAGATGACAAATACACAAGTAAAAAAATTCACCCTTGTTAGTCATTAGAAAATTTCAAATTGAAATCACAATGATATATCATTACACACCTATAAGAATGGTTAAAATTTTTAAAAAAATGAAAACACCAAATACTGGCAAGGATCTGGAGAAAACCACTATTCATTACTGCTGAGAAAGGTGAAATGGTATAGCCCCTCTGGAAAACAGTTTGGCAATTTCTTAAAAAGCAGAATATGCAACTCCCACACAACCTAGCAATTACACTTCTGGGCATTTATCCTAGAGAAATTAAGACTTAAATTCACACAAAAACCTGTATACAAATGTTTATATCACCTTTATTTGTAATAGCTTAAAACTGATAACAATCCAGATATCTCTCAACAGGTAATAGAGTGTGATACATCCGTATCATGGAATATTGCTGAGAAATATAAAATAATAAACTATTAATACATGCCACAATCTGGATGAATCTCCAGATACTTAGGCTGCGTGGGAAAGAGCCAGTCTCAAAATGTTACATGCTCTGTGATTTCATTTATATAACATTCTTGAAATGACAAAGTTATAGAAACTGAGAACAGATTAGTGATTGCCAGGGGCTAAGAATGGGATGGAGGTGAGAGGGAAGTGAGTGTGGCTCTGAAAGGGCAACATGATGGGTTCTGTGGTGATAGAAGGTTCTGTATCTTGACTGTATCAATGTTAATATCCTGGTTGTGATATCGTACTGTGGTTTTGCAAGATATTACAATCAGGAGACACTGGGTAAAGGGTATATGGATCTCCATATTTTAAAAATGTTCCTACTTTTGCCATTTTATCTGTTTCTATCCTCATATCCTTAAATGTGAACAGAATTTTACAGTAAAGGTCAGATAGCTAAGGTTTTTTTCTTCTATAGTTTTTTTCAAAATATGTGGACTACTTTAGTGGGTTGCAATCATGAAGCCATAGAATGTCTACAAATGTCATAGTAAGTCATATTGAAAGAGAATATTAAAAGGTTATTAGGAGGAAACAGGTAATTTTGGAGCTTTTTAAAGCCCTAATAAGTGGTGGAGAAAGCAAAAAGGAGAAGTACCTGAATCTGAGGTTTGTCAGGAGTTCAAGACCCCTGAACACACAGCCTTTTAAACAGGAAACGTTGTTAGGTCTGTAGCCGTTAAATAATAACTCCTCATCCCCTTCAATCCCCAGCCACTGATAATCTCTATCCTACTTGATGTCTCTGAATTTGTCTCTTCTAGGTACCTTATATAAGTGGAATAATATATTTGTCCTTTTTCTGTCTGGCTTATTTCACTTAGCATAACGTCTTCAAGGTCCTTTCATGTTGTAGCATGAATCAGAATGAAATACTACTTTTTAAGTTGTAATTTCAGGTTCTAGTCCAACTGTTTATGATCATGTCAGGACATTTCACACATCTTGTCTTGAAACCATTTTCCCATCACTCTGTCCTTGTTGTCTCCTAAGCATTCCTCAGGACTCAGCTTAGCAGTCATTTCTTTAAAGAGACCTTCCTGGAACCAACAAGTTAAGTTGAGTCATACTGTTGTGCTTTCCCATTGTATAATTCTTATTCAAAACTTTCATTTATGTACGCAATTATTTTTTCCCCTTCTTTCCCAGAGTCTGCTATTTAAGTCCAGGTATTCCACTTGCTATTATATTTCTAATAGCTAGTAAAATGTCCGGAACTTAGTGGGTTTGAAGAATGATTGTTACTTTATGCCACTGGCTCTTTTCACTTTTTTATTGACTGTTTCATAGCAGAACAATATATCTAAAAATATTGAGTACAGTCAGAACACTTAGGTTCCTTAATTCTCAGCTCTGATATCAGCTTACTATGCAACCTTAGGAAATTATTTAAATGCTCTAGTATCAGTGTCCTCCTGTGCAAAACGAACAAACTGAGTGCTTTTCAAGGCCCCTTTAAGAGAAAAGTAGGTTTACATTTTGTAAATTATTTGTAACAGAAAAATCTCATATATATTAGTCTTATTGTCATTGCACATATGGTAACCTTTAAGATCATTTTTCAGTAATTATTTCTGTCTGATGAAAGTGAGCTAATTACATAAATATAATAAAAATACCAATGTTTAAAATCTATATTTGACTAACCATTGATTCATCTCTACCTTTTTTTTGTGCGATAGTCTGATTCCGTATAAGTTGATGCATGATTGGAAGGAACTATTTTTTAATGCAAAACCCATATATGAACAAGCCTCTGTTAAGACACTACCTGCTAACCCCTCAAGAGAACAACTTACAGAACTGGAGAAAAGGGACTTGCTAGATACCAATGATTATGAAGAATATAAGGTACCTACTGATATGAAATAATTAGAATGCTACATAATAAATCCTTTTTCTTTAACATTAATTTTGTGATATTCCTTATTTCATTTCTACTAATAAAAATAGACATGTTTTGTTTGCATTTTCCCTTGTTTTAATTTGTATGTTTGTACTACTTTTTAGATGCTTAAACTATACATAAGCTATTATCTATTGTTCCTAGTAATCTTAGGGGAGTGGTCTGAAAAAACATCAAGCATAGTAATTGTCTGGGTAGACAGATTTCAGAATTTTTAAAATGCTTTAATTTATTTATTAGCATTTTTCTTTGTATGGGCTGTGTACTTTTGCTTCAAAAACCATTGTTAAAAAGTATTTCTTTTGTAATCAATCTAAATAATAGACTTTTTTTACAGGCAAAATGAAAGAGGAGGAAGTCTGGGTTTTATGAATAGCATAGATTCAAACAATCTTTTATTCAAAGATTGAAATAAAAAGTATCGGGTGCCAACTGTGATTTTTAGAAGAACTGTTGTAAAGCCTTTGAGATTAGACAGACTAGAGCTACATTACTGAAATTGCCAACTACTAACTGTGTGACCTTAGGTGACCAGTTCATTAAGGGCTAATAGATTTCCATTTTTCAATTAATGGAAAGGGAATGCTACTATACCTACTTCATTTAAAATAACATGAGTTAAACACTTAGCTGAGTGCACTTCATGTTGGATGCATATAATACATATCCATTTCTTTCCTCACCATCCTACTCTCCCCATCCCACTCCATCTCACCCTTAGAAGTAAAGGTGTAACAATCATAGCTTTTGGATAGAAATTTTGAGTGGATCAACAGCAATGGAATGAGGAGTGAGGCTTTTTATTAGAAAAATTACAAAATGAGTCCCGGAAGGTCAGTAAGTGCAACATGAAAAAAATCTATGAAAAGATTATTTGACCTAATTATTCACTGATAGTACATACTCAACAAAGGTTTGTGGGACAAAGGGTGAATAAAATGAATGAATTACAATGAACAAAGAAAAGTGCAAAATAACACTAACAAGTAAATATTACAAGAAGATAACCTTGTGGTTAAAAGATAAGGAAAAATATGAGATTATGAGAAATTAAATGTATACTATATTTTAATTAAATGAATCTGTATTTGTAGCACTAAGAGAATTATTATTAAGGATTGACTAGAACCTTAAAAGATATATGTGGATGTTTGTTTTGTACGGTTGTAAAATATACTAGACCTATTACATCCACCTAAAGTATAATGCCATGTAAGAAAATGCTTTGACAGTATCAACCTGTGTTAAGGTATTTCTTTCCATTGTAAATTAAAAGTCATTTTATTTGACAGACTTTACTGGTTCATCGAATGTTTATTTCTAAATTACTTGCTAAACAGCTCAATCTCTATTCTTGTTGCTCTTACAAATCAGGAGACCTAGTAGGCTGCAGCTTAGCAAAGATTTTTGTCTCTTTAGCTATTTTCCTTGTATGAGAAATGGTTACCACAGGAACATGCTTGTCTTACCCACATCCTGAAGCAGATGATGCATTTCTTTTGCAGAAAATTGTAAACTTTTGTTAGGAGTTTGTGAGCGTCTAGCAATGTACTTTATTTTGTGTATTGACTTTGCTGTTTTTCTAGAAATGAAAATTACCTTAGGATTTATAATATGTTTTCACAAGCTCCCTTCGACACCATAATGGAAAATATGCCATATACAGGTTTTAGGATATACTGTAAACTATTATACTATCATTCTTTATTTTTAGATCTTTGGTCTCTTCAAGAACTTGTCCTAAATGTTCCTACATACAAGTAAAAAATAAATGTTTCAACTTGTAAAATATATTATCTGGCTTAAATAGTCTATCACAAGAGGCAGCGGAACAATGCATCCTGGCTTATCTAAAAGAAACAGTTGTCCACGTTTGTCATTATTAAATTTGTTCAGGAGTTTTAATGCAAATATATTACTCAGAAATTAATACATTTGCTTGAACATAATGTTCATTATAATGTTATTGAACATAATGTTCATTATAATGTTATTGAACATTATATATAATTCATTATAATGTTATTGAACATAATGTTCATTATAATGTTATTGAACATTATATATAATGAACATTATTATGTTCAAGCAAATGTATTAATTTCTAAGTAATACATTTGCATTAAAACTCCTGAACAAATTTAATAATGACAAATGTGGACAACTGTTTCTTTTAGATAAGCCAGGATGCATTGTTCCGCTGCCTGTTGTGATAGACTATTTAAGCCAGATAATATATTTTACAAGTTGAAACATTTATTTTTTGCTTGTATGTGGGAACATTTAGGACAATTTCTTGAAGAGACCAAAGATCTAAAAATAAAGAATGATAGTATAATAGTATAATACATTTGCTTGAACAAATAGTGTAATACATTTGCTTGAACATAATAATGTTCATTATATATAATGTTCAATAACATTATAATGAACATTATGTTCAAGCAAATGTATTATTCAGAAATTAATCTTCAAAAAGTTTATATTCTTAGCATACTTAATTGATGTCCATACCCTATACCTTTAAAGAACTGACAGTTCCCAGTTTTGAGTTTGTGCTTTTAGAAGCCCGTGTTCTGTTCAAATAAGCTATTATGCTTAAAATTTTTAAATATTGTACCTAGAAATTGCAATTAAAACAGATATTTGCTTATGTACATGTCATATGTAGCTGCCAAAAATTTGACTCATGTCTTAACTTTATTTCCTAAATCATCACACTCTATTTATGTGAGAATGACTGAATGTGAGGGAGCTCTACCCCAGTGGCTAGAAATAACATTTCTCTCTCCCAGGAAAGAGGCAAGAACAGCATCATGGAGCAGTCAGACCTCTCTGGGGTTCCTAGGCAACTACCACAGCATAACAACATTGAGTTATTTAGTAGAAAGTGAGGAAGGGCCCTTAAAGCCCAATGGACCATGGGTAGCAGTCTAAGCCAGGAGGCCTGGTTCCTGTAGTGCAGCTGGCAGCACAGCCCCACACAGCAGCTAGTGGTTCTCAATCATGCAGTGGACTCCTGCCAGTGAACCTCAAACTCCCCCTAATGCAAATCCTTTCTGTGGGTCTTACTAGCAAATGAGTTGCAATTCATAGCGTTTCACTTTTATATAAGCTGCTTACTAGCAATTACTAGTTGAATGAGTTTAAGAGTTACTAAAATTTAGTGTTCATAAACTAAAATTAGCTCATGGCTATGGTTTCCTGAAGATTTGGATTTTTCTAAGAAGTCCCTGCCACAAAGCACTCAACCATTTTCAGAGCTCTACTGTGCATGCCCATAACCAAGTTATACTTGGAATTTCTATAATTTGGGGGAAGGATATTTCATTTCCAGCACATCATCCATGTTGTCTTAAGTTGTTCATGATTTTTAATTGCTGCTATTTTTTGCCTTTAATGGCAAATTAGTGTTTAAGTTCATGATCAGGTGAGTTTGTTGTGGTTATTGGATTAACCCTACAGTGTGTGTTATAATGTACATTTTTATTAACATTATTTTTGGCTTATGATTTTCCGTCAACCAGACTTTAAGATGTGGTTGTATATGTTATGGTTTAACATGTGTACGCCTGTCACTACAGCACATGTATGGACACCTATCCCCCAGTTTTTTTACAATGACCTTTATTACCACCAGGTCTTTTTCCACCAAAGAATAGAAATATGGGACTAAATGAGCCATGGAGTTCTCTGTTTTCCTGTCTCATCTGAATTGTGTGGCCCAAAGACATCCCTGGATAATTGACACAAGCACAGTGATAGATTTTAGTAGATGAATGTTAAGGGCATGTGAATCGATCACTTTTTTACATTTAAAACATATACATTGCATTGATCAGCTCAGGCTGCTATAATAATACACTATAGACTGGGTGGCTTAAACAACAGCAATTTATTTTTCATAGTTCTGGAGACTGAGAAGCCCAAGGTTAAGGTGTTAGCCAGTTTGACTCCCCAGTGAGATCTTTCTTCCTGGCTCACAGAAGACTGCCTTCCTGCTGTGTTCTCACAGGGCAGAGAGAAACAGAGTGAGCTCTTCTCTTTTCGTCTTCTTTTTTTTTTTTTTTTTTTTGGTGTTTCCAAATTCTTTTTATTATTATTATTATTATATTTTAAGTTTTAGGGTGCATGTGCACAATGTGCATGTTAGTTACATATGTATACATGTGCCATGTTGGTGTGCTGTACCCATTAACTCGTCATTTAACATTAGGTATATCTCCTAATGCTCTCCCTCCCCCCTCCCCCGACCCCAAAACAGGCCCTCGTGTGTGATGTTCCCCTTCCTTTGTCCATGTGTTCTCATTGTTCAATTCCCACCTATGAGTGAGAACATGTGGTGTTTGGTTTTTTATCCTTGCGATAGTTTGCTGAGAATGATGGTTTACGAAAACTAATCTCATCATGGGAGCCCCTCCCTCATGACCTCATCTAAACCTGATTACATTCCAAAGGCCTAGCCTCCAAGTACCATCACATTGGAGGTTAGGGCTTCAACATATGAATCTGGGGGAGACACAAACATTCAGCCCATAATATATGCATTTATTCAGGATACTTACAAAATGTCACAATATGGAAACTTACTAATTAAGTATAGGAACTTTTAATTTCACATGAAGTTGCTTGTTTTATGGCCTCTTCTGTTTCTTGCCAAGAAGTCTTAATTTTCTTGTCTTTTGACTATGAAGATGCTTCTACTGATGAACCTGAGCATTAATTCTAATTATTCATTTTAATATAAATGTATATAATTGCATTGTGTAGTACTGGAGGGCCCTGAAAAATATGATGGTTTCATCTTTTATTTTCAGATATGGAGGAATACAGCTGACCTCTAAGTGGACAGAGTAAGCACTTGCTTATATGATGAAGGCTGAGATATTCTCTAAGGCTATTATTCTATTGTAAAAATTCTGCCTGTCATTGCACTCAATGCCTCACAATATCATTCCTTTGAATTAAGACATCAGCACTTCCTAAAATACAAACATTTCTCAAGATAGGCAATAAGAATCATGATCAGCCTCCAAAATAGAAAGGAGCTGGGAAGGAAGATTGATGTTGAAAGAAATATTCTCATATCATTCTAGTTTAGTTTTTAAGAGTGTGCCATTTCATACGTGCAATTTCTTTTCTCATTTGTTTACAGTGTTACCTCTAACTCCCTAAATTCCTTCACTAATGGTAAGGCTATGGCTTTTGTAGACTAAGCCTCATTGTATCTTGGTTGGTTAGGATTCCTTTTTTTTTTTTTTTTTGAGAGGGAGTCTCGCTCTCGCTCTTGCTCTGTCGCCCAGGCTGACGTGCAGTGGCGCAATCTCGGCTGGCTGCAAGCTCCGCCTCCCTCCCAGTAGCCAGGACTACAGGCCTACAGGCGCCCGCCACCACACCCGGCTAATTTTCTGTATTTTTAGTAGAGACAGGCTTTCAACGTGTTAGCCAGGATTCTTATTTGTAGTAATCAAGCACACTGATTCTAACTTAACAGAGCAGAACATCAATGTATTAGTTTTCAAAGAGGGCTCTATTTGCCCTAGGTCCGTGGTTACCAAGAAACAAGGCTATTTTCTAATTGTTGTAGGCCAAGGATTTCAGAGGGCTTGATAGGGGTCTGGGACTTGTGTCTATGGAATAGCAGGAATAGAAGATGAACTTGGGTCATGTGAAGGGTATTTGGCTTCAAATTATTAACACTGGAGACAAGGTAAGTTCATTTGAAAACCATGGTAGAAATTGTTGAATTAAGGTATCAAGTTCAAGACGTTAGACCAGAATTGAGAAATGGTTTCCAAAAAGTTGGCAGCCAGATAGAAGTGGAATGGGATGTGAGAAGGACAAAGCCAAAGAGAGGAGTCCTGGATGCCTGACATGAATAAGATCAGAGTGATTGTCCACCACTCATTTTTATTTGTTCTTGATCACATAGAGAGAAGCCAGCCCTCTTCCAAGCTCCCTCCTCTGTGAGACCAGGGAAAGAGATGGTGGTCAGGGCTTTTCTGGGCTTTCTACTACTGAGTTTTGGGTTTGTTCTCTACCTACTTTGGCAACTACAGGAGCCAGCTTCTATGCATCAAGCCCACTTTCCATTCAATCAATTCCTCGGAATTACCAGCTAGGATTTTAGAGTTGGCTATAAAGTTTTAAATTTTAAAACTATAGGCTGTTTGCGGGGGCTCACACCTGTAATCCCAGCACTTTGGGAGGCCAAGGCAGGCAGATCACTTGAGGTCAGGAGTTCGAGACCAGCCTGGCCAACATGGTGAAACCCCGTCTCTCCTAAAAATACAAAAATTAGCTAGGCATTTTGGCGGGCACCTGTAATTCCAGCTACTTGGGAGGCTAAGGCACAAGAATCCCTTGAACCCGGGAGTCAGAGGTTTCAGTGAGCCAAGATCGTGCCACTGCACTCCAGCCTGGGTGACAGAGTGAGACTCTGACTCAAAAGAAAAAAAAAATGTTTTAAAGCTATGTCTTAACAGATAAATATAGGAAGAACACAATGGGGTTTGTGATCTTGAAAACTTGAATGGATCCAAGAAAGTGTTTAAATTTTAATTTGGCTCAGATATGTAGGACTGAGAACCATAAACTCTCCCACCTAAAAGACACCCCCCACACCACCACCCCTGTCCGGTGTCAGGACTTAGCCATATTATTTGGTACAGTGGGCCTATAGTAGTCTTTGACACATTGATCAATGTCACCTCTAAGCTTTTTGGGGGTGGCTTATACCTCTTTGAGGTATCAATCTTAGCAGTGAAATAAAGAGGGTGGCAGTAGTCATTATAGAAGAGGGTATTCCGTGTGGAAAAATACTGTGTGAATTTTGCAGTTACAAGGTAGGCAGAACAAGTCATAATGCCTATGTATTTTGTGACACCAGAGAAATTCCAACCAAAAGTGTCTTTCTTACTATCCCTGGCTAGGTAATAGCAGTAGACAGGTGAATTCAGATGTAGATACTTCTGGAAACATTCCTTTAAATAGTAAGACCATGGAAATTACTATAAAAGTGATCCTGAGGTAGGCTACCACCTCACTGATAAATAAAGCATAGTTTAAGCAGTTGGGGAATGACATTTACTGTTTTGATAAGGATAGCCACCACCATCAGAATTGTTTGGTGGCCCCAGAACAGGGAGAAATCTGATATGAAGTCCAGGGTGATTCAGTCTCAAGGGCACTTGGGGAGCAATGCAGTGACCTTAGAGTCTTATTTTTTGTTTCTTTGTTTGACCCAGGCAGTTGTGCTTTGAAAAGCACTGGGCTGCTGTAATTCTCAGTGTGCCACATTCAATGCCTTGGAAGGGCCATGGTGGCTTTCCAGGGATAGAGAATGGAACAAGGAGTAGGAACCTATCATTTTGGGGTGACTGAACTACTTTTCCACTGATCTCCTGAGTCACTTCGAGCACAGCTGGAAATCAGAGTGCTAATCAGAAGCCCCTACCTATTGTCTGCATCTGATTGGTCACGGAATTTCAGCAGCACTGAAATGTAACTATTTAAGGGAGAGGATCTCCCAGAATGGCTTAGTGTCAGTTACCCATGGTAATCAGACCTGCAGTCAGCCCAGTGATTCTGGCTGCCTGATATATTAGTAATTTGTAGCTCAGCGTTTCTGAAAAATAAACCTGTCACTGCTGAGCTTTCTGAACTTCTGAATATGTGACAAGCTGGAGTGATTGGATTGCATTGTGAGGTGCCAGGCTCTCTCCAGCGTGGGCCTACAGGCCTTGACAGTGACCATTGTCACACGCTGAGTATTGACCGTGGCCAGTGTAAATTTCCTTCCAAAAACAAGCATAAGGTAGATGCAGTCTACTGCCCTGGGTCTTCTTTTGCAATAGGCTAAAATTAAACATGCCTGTTTTCGTACCATTAGATTAGGGCAGACTGAGGAAGGCTACTCCTGGAACAGAAGTGATCAGATTACTGAGTGAAAGACATTATTGAATCAGGTCAAATTCATTAGATTTCCTGATGATCCAGAATTAACCATGATATAGTTCCATAGGCAAGGCATTGGCCACCCACAATCTGCTTCTAACCAGAACACTCTTCAGCTCAGCATGGGGGTCCACATGGCAGATGAAGTTGAGCTAACCTCTGCCTTTCCCTCGATTGCTCAGACTCTGCATTTCCTGGCAAGAGATGTGACCTTCTCTCTAGAGGTGTACCCACCCTGCAAATGTCAGTGAAAAACAGACACCCCTGCCCACTGGCTCCTCTGGAATCTGAAGGCCAGAGTGTCTGGTAGAAAGATGTGTCCGGGTAGCTAACCATACGCTGACCTGACTGGAGGTCAAGTGACTTAACAAGGCTTCCAGGCTCATGCAACAGGATCAATTCATCTTCCAAAGTTGTTCTGAGGCCTTCTTGAAACTGGGCCCCAACGCAGAGCCCATTCCGTGACAGCTCCTGGATGAGAAGACAGAATTCAGCTGCACTTCAGCTAATCATCCTCTCTTCTCTTTGCCTTTTTGTCTAAGGCAGTATGTGGCAGCATCAATCTTTTCCACTGTCACCTGGCTATCAAACAGGTCCCATACAGTGTTCAAGAAACCCTGTGGGGCTGCCAGATTACACAGCTGAACTCCCCTTAGGGAAGATAAATAACCACACTTTCTGCCTCTTCTAAGAAACCTGGGAAGTTATTACAAATGTTTAAATCTGAATAAAATTTAGGCAGTTCTTCCAGACTTCGTCAGGGTTTGGGGGTAGTTGGAGGACAGAAAGCCCTGGAAGAGATGACAACAGAGGCTCTAAAAGTTAAAGTGTTACCTTACTACTTTCCCATGGAGTATGGCTTCATTCTGAGTGCCATATTACCCAGGAACAGTAACTGGAATATAGCCACTAGACTTTTCATTCTACCCTAGCAATAGGTATACTTCTGTAGTATTTTATTCCCTCTGGTAGGAGACCAGGACAGACCCAGCCGGAAGGTCAGCCAGGAGATACAGTGCCAGGGGTTTAATTCTTAGAACTGGAACCAAGACAGTCAAGATAATTTCCCTGATGTGGCCAGAAACAGGAAGAGACAGAGGCGGGATCAAGCCAAGTCCTTTGAGCATGCCAATGATCAAAACTGAGATTGGGTGAGGACCAGACTAGAAAATGAAAACAAAGCTGGCAGGTTGGAAGGTAGGCAGAACTGCAACAGAACAGGACACACATTAAAGGCTTGGAAGCAAAGTGAGGAGGCTCTGGGCAATAGAGGCCACAAACAGAGCTAGAACATCTGCAGCTTGTTTTTCTCATCTGCCAGTCATGTGGAACACAGCTGGCTCATACTAGTCTAGGACACCCAAGGCAAATACCCAGTTAGGAATATGAAATTAACCAGGTCACAAACAGCTTCTGCTGTAGAGCAGATTGTACGTACCCATTGACATGGGCTGCTCTTCCCCACTCCAGGACTCAGCCCAGGTGCTTGGATTTTTAGGACCTGCCATCTCCTGACTGTTTTAAACCTGACTTATTTCCTGCCTAGTTTTCTGGCATCTTTCAGGCTACTTATTTGAATTTCTGACCAGCTCTAATCTATTGCTACCCATGTTCAAGTGTGACAGATCTCTTCCCAAACATGATTCACTTGGAAAAACTATTTACAACCATAGGATTTTTGGTAATGTGAATATAGTCAATGTTCTCAAGGGATTTATTTTTCCCTAAATGATGTTACCCATTTGTTTTAGGTGATTTGGGGATATTTCTATTTAAAAAATTAAGACATATCCTCCATCTTTCCTCTGAGATAAAACATCAGAAAATTGAAATACTTTAATTTGTTTTTATACCTAAAAATGGCATTACAACATCTCTTTCCTCCCTGTTAAGTCTCTGGCATAGTTTGTTAGAAAGACCCAAATTAATAAACTGTTTTTCATATATTACATCTTAAATGAAATGCTTTTTGCTGACAACAAAAAAGAAATGCCTTAATTTAACAGAGATGCACACTTTAAATCATACGATAGGTTGTTACTTCGGGAGATACTTCCTGTATTAGCTAATTTCATTCATGGTATGTGGATTTTTGCTAGCTTCTGTCTATGAGGATTATGCTTTCTGATCTTGTCCCTAATTTTGGGTTATCCCTATCTTGTTTGGGGGCCTAAGTCATCTTTGTACTTAGTTAAAATTACTAAATTTGAATTTCAATTTAGTCACTCATTTATTCCGTTCACATATATTGAGCCTATAGTATTGATTGATTGACTGATTCAATAAATAGATATTTATCGAGTGCCTACTTCTACCAGCACTATTCTAGGTGTTAAATAAGACAGAGATCCTTCCCTCCCACTGTTCACAGTTTAGTAGGGATGAGAAAAAAACCATTCCAGAGAATGATGCTGTGTGGATACGAATAGGAGGTTATAGGACACATTGGAAGGGATGAAATTCAGTTGATTTGTGAAGTATGAGTAGACATCAGTTGATTTAAAGGTATTAATGCAAAACGGACCTAACCCTATGAGCTGTGAGTTTAGACTCTTCTATCTTTGTATTTTCTCCATGGCTTCATTAAATTTCAAGCCTGTAGACCAAACTAAGCTTAGGAAGTGTGTTTGGGTGTCTGGAGTCACTTCCAGCATCCAGACTTTTTCAATAACCTCTGAAGATATCAATCTTGGTTATTTCTAATAATCTTCCAATGGAAACATGTAGACAGTGCAACAACTTAAAATGCTATAAATGGGCAATCGGCTTGTCCCTGGTTAAGACATCATTTTCTGCCCACGGTGTTTGGGCTTGAGTTAATAAATTACCTAACCTCTCACTAACTAATACTTTTTCTTTGGATACAATTTAACTATTAATTTATTTTCCAATAAGCCTAAAGTTTTCTTGCATTTTGAATAATAATAATGTACCTGTTGATAAGAGGTTTTAGAGATTCACATTATAAAAAAATTTAAGAACAGCAATTGTACAAAATACAGTTTTCCAAAGTGCTAGAAAATAAGTAACTGATAACTAAGATCTAATAATACAAATAAGATCTAGCATATGAGTGAACTGGCCTTTAATTATAACCAATTATGAGAAATTATACTGAGAACTGTATTACTTTAAAAATATACTTTGACTCTCTAACTCTCTGAGTTGAGTGACTGTTAGTATAAAATTAAGAATTACTCTCCCTATTTGAAGATATCTAAAAAATAAACCCAAGATGGTAATTATAGACATGAGATTAGAACTGAGAGTTCCTGGTATCTTGTCCAATGAAATATCTTTTATTATTTGTTGTCCCAAAAGAGGTTGAAACCAGATTGTGAAATTAATTTAGGTCACAACCAGTATTTATTTTAAAAAAGGACAAAATAAATATAATAAAACACAATACAGTAGGAAATAAAGCATATCACAAGTAGTGATGATAAGGATTTCATAAATTTTTTTTGTGCATTTTATATCTACCTGTACAGAAATGCTAGGTCACAATGTAGAATGCATTTTTTTGTTTGTTTTATGGGGAGACCTAGTCAAAAATGTTTGAAAGCCACTATCTTAGAAGATGTAGTCCAAGTGGTAATTGTGCTCCAAGAGAAGCCAGAGAGCTTTAGGAGTGCTTTACAGGGGTTCAGACCAATAAAAATGGACACATCTGGTGAAAAGGACTTCCTGGACGTCTTGAATAGCTAAAGAAAGGTCCATCATGATGAACATAAATTCAAATTTCCCTGAAAATTGAGGATTGTTAATGGCTACAACTACTTCTGAGGCTGCTAGTACAAGTCTTAACTTTAAGTATTACAAAGTGCTGTGCCAAGGGAAAGTGGTGTGCCAAGGGAAAAGCCAGCCAAGCACACCTGCAGAGTGGTAGGCCAAGGGAAAGCTAGCCATAGATCAAGGCAGCTTGAATGTCTTGCCATGGTAGAGTTACAGTACATTGGCTGCCCTCTAAAAGGGCTATAGCCTCATTTTATGGGGTCACTACATATGGAATGTCTTGAAGTCAGTTTGTTAGAAGCTTCTGCCCTAAGTCCTTTGGCCACTACAGCAAGATAATCTGTCTGTTGTTGGGTCTTATCAAATATAGGTTTAAAAAAAGATTGCATTTCAGGAAACCCAAGGAAACTAACAGGTATCAAAAACAGTGTAAGTGTTGTATCCCCTTAGAAGGTCCTTTCTGTCTCTTAGAGGAAAAGGCACTTGCCTTGTCTTTCTAAATGTATCAGTAATTTAATTCTGAAATATTTAGAACATACCAAATTGGGAACATCTGGGACATATCAGGCCATGCAGATGTTGGGAAGTTCTAGTGATCCATGAAGACAAACACTGGATTATATGTACCTTCAGACTAGTACCACTCCTCTAAAAAAGCCACCTTTGAATGTCTCTGCTAAGTATTATTGGTGTAACTCTATTATTTGTTTGTTGAATTTTGTGCTAGGTGCTCTGAGATTTTATGCACTGACAAATATTTCCAAAGGCCCAGATTCTGTTTATTCAAATTGATCTAAGTAAGCCAGCTCTCCCCACTTTTTGAAAGGGTGAATGAGGAAGCTCCATTCCCAACTTGGATGTTTAGAAGTGGCAAGAATGAGAATGAGATGCATGTGGTTTTTACAGGGGTAATCGGCAGCATCATTCAATCACTTGGGCAACGTTACAATCAAGAAGGGAATCCAGTGGACACACGGGAGCTTAAGCTTGCCCTTGAAGTGTGCAACTCAACCCACATTCAAGCATGTTTGCTTCCAAGCAGATTCTGTTTGTAAATACTTGTGATTCTATTAGCCATGATTCATAACAAGGAGACCAAGAATACTGACACATTAGGCCACAAAAAACTAAAAAGATATGAGAGACTGGAAGTAACCAGAATCAGAACTCCAGGTCACCATTAGGCTCCTACAACAGGATATAGAGAGGCATGTGAGTGCTTTGGATCCAGGCTAGACAGCAGAGTGGTAGGCCCACGTGATCTGTAAAGATGGGATCCATAAAAATGGTGGATACTATGGTTCCAGGAATTCAGAATTCAAGTGCTGGAAAGGTCAGTGTAGGTCAATTAATAAAAACAGTGCTAGTGGGCCGGGTGCTGTGGCTCATGCCAGTAATCCCAGCACTTTGGGAGGCTGAGGTGGGTGGATCGTTTGAGTTCAGGAGTTCGAGACCAGCCTGACCAACATGGTGAAACCCTGTCTCTACTAAAAATCCAAAAATTAGCTAGGCGTAGTGACACCTGCCTGTAATCCCTGCTACTTGGGAGGGTGAGGCAGGATAATTGCTTGAACTCGAGAGATGGAGGCTACAGTTAGCCAAGATCGCGCTACTGCACTCCAGCCTGGGTGACAGAGTGAGACTTCGTCTCAAAACAAACAAACAAGCAAAAACCAGTGCTAGTGAACAGGTTGTGACTTTTGACCACGGGCAGAGTCTATTTCCTCTCTGTTGTAATTTTATGATCTCTGTGTGTAAGCAGACAAAAATTCACAGGGAGAGTCAGACCTCCTAGGTGTTGATGGATCCTGAATCTTATACTTACACCTTCTCAAAAATACATACTGATAGTATTTATGCAGGTACAATTAAAATATTACTAAAATCAAGACAGCTTAATAATTATTTCCTGCATGTTCATGACAGTTTACATAAATCAAGGACTAGTACATCAACACAGAAAGAGTATCTCGTTAAAGCAATTGTTTATACCATGTGATATTTACCTGGTTTTGCCCACTCTGAGCGTCAGAGTCTGGGCCTAATAGTCAGATGTCTATTTACAATACCTGAAAGAGTAAATAATATATGTTTTATTATATAAATAATTTAATCATATCTACATAGATAATAAATATGTAAAGTAGAGATCTGATAAAAATTTCTGATTCGTCATTACTAGTGAACTAGTAAAGCTCTTTAGCTCATTGTAGTTAAACTAATAACCATCATTCTAGTCTGAATTTCTTCTTTCTCCAGTTCTTCTGATCTCTTTTCACTCGTCATGTTCTGATTTCATCCCCTTTGAGATGCTTACCTTGACTCAGCCTTTATTTTTGGTCTTTGCTAGGAACTTCATAGGCTTTATTTTGACAGTGATTCTGCTCAGTGTGTTCCACCAAATCCTTTATCTGCTTATCTCACAGGTCAGGCTTCAGTTCTTCTAACCTAAGCATTCTGTTCTCTTCACAGTGACATCCTATTCCATTGTGTTTGGCCACATTCTACAGCTAGTGATGGAAGAGGTCTATTCGGATTTTTTGTGAGGAAGCAGGCCTTTCAGATTGGAGTGCAGCTGGATGTGGCGCTCTTACATGCCTCCAGCAGCTGCCTGAGAACTCCTAAACTGTTTATAGTCAGAGGTTACATAGGCTCCTCACACAAGCATTATTTCACTTAATCTTTACAACAATCTGGTGAAATACATATTGTTATTATGCTGCAAAGATGAATTAATGAGGGTGCAAAGCAAGCAAGTAGCAGAAGCCTTATATAATAGAAACTCAAGTCATCTGATTTAAGCCTAAGACTGTTGCCTTTAAAAAGGGTTAAGTGACTGCACAGCTCAAAATCATTACAATATTGACAACTTTCCACTTCAAATTGGCCTTGGAATTATCACCTTTTTTATTGTAAAATTACATAATTTCTACAGCTTCTGTTTTCTTATTTGGTTAGTTTCTAATTGGCCACATTACATAAAATAATCACCATTTGTCTAATTCGAAGTATAAATAATTCCAATGAATGAAAGCAGAAGCAAGTAATCAACTATAGTGCAACCAATAATTTTGCAGATCCAATTAGTATTTGGCTAATTTTGAACAGTGCAGATTATTATTATGTACAGAGCTCCTAGAAAAAACAAAGGCAGTAAACTAAAAATACTTTTTATAAATACAGGGTAGTATGTATAGAAGTGGCAGTCAAATAGGATTATATTTATATACTAAATACACTAAAATTTATGTATAACTACATTACACCAATTTTAAAGAAAAACTTACTATGAGTACTTTGGGGTTTTAAAAATTTGTTTCAAAAAGTATTTTCTTATCTGCAGTGTTCTCATATCAGAAATTCTGGCACCAAACCAGACAAGCCATTCATAGCACTTACCAAAGTTGACAACTTATATTCTGAGTAAGTGTGTTTTGTCAGATAATGGGTATGAAAAGAATACTGATGAAAGAAAAGCAAGAACACAGGGATATACTTATTTATATATGACATAGCGTAATTATAGAAATATTGTCAAAAGTGGCCTAAACAAACTTTTCTTACTTCAAGTTATTTAAATAAATAACTCCACTTGTAGACTTAATCTGTTACTAAGGGCCACTTTGTCATATTAATCAAGAGTTAAGAATTAAAAATATAATATGGGCATTTATTTATAAGCCAAAAATGTGACTTGCTCATTTCTTAATGATAGTGTAGTAATATTTATAAATCACACATCATCTATTTGACTGAAATGAAAAAAATGTCTTTCAAATTAGTGGTCAAATTTGGCCAATAATTTTTAAACTAGGAAAGAGTTCCCCTCCAGAAAATGGTTAGGAAATGAGCTAAATCATACACAAGAAAAAGACACATACCTTCCTCAAAAAAAAAAAAAAAATCTAACTGACTTAAGGCAATCCAGACTAGCAGAAGTTGGCTGGTGTTTCTTAAAGAAATATAATGAAATATAATGTACCCTGTCTTTTGTTTTGGTTCTCTCTTTGGATTTCACAAGCACCTATTTTGATGAGGGAGTTCCTTTATCTCCCCAAATGGGCATTGCTTATGTTTCTCTATCCCTGATCTTTGGACTGAAAAGACTTACATTAAGATGATTAGGGGCAGTGACATAATACAAGTGCTAATAGAATTGATCATCTGAGATACAATTTTGAGGAGACTTATGTGATTAACAAAATACTAATGTATCTTGAAATTTCTAATTTTCAGTATTCCACTATGATTTGACATCTCTGCACCGCTGAAACAATATTTTGGGGTTTTTGAAGTTTGAATAGTTTAATAAATAGGTTATATGTACTAATTCCAAATAATCTTAAAATATAAATTACATGTATTTCTATTCTTTGTCTTTGATAGAGTGCAAATGGAATAATATCTAGGTAATGAAATTATTACATAATCATGTTACTAAATACATTTTATGTGCACTGAAGATAATTTTTAAAGATCCTCAAGTGACTACAGAAAAATACCATTTTACCTATATGTGTATGTAAATAAAAAATCTTAATTCTTATCTGATTTGTATGTCTTAATTACTTTTATTGTTATGACAGAACTATTACAGCAATTTTGGACACTTTAGAAAACACAATAAATCAATATACTAATTTACCCTCTCAATAGTGGTGAATGAGAAGTATGACTCAATCTTTTGGTTTTAGGCAAAATATGGTACATCATTGCTTTATCTGGATATCTTTTATTACTATGAATTTGAACATTTCTTTATAAACTCATTGGCCATTTTGTTCTACTGTCAAAATTGCCCATTTATAGCCTTTCCACCATTTTTCTGTTATTTTTATTTTTCTGATTACATATTTTATGCACTAAAATCCTTAACCTTTCATCAAATATATATGTATATACACATATATATATTGCAGATATTTTGCTTTTGTTTTTTGTTTTTGAAGTGTGTGAGTGAATTATGTGTGTTTGTGTGTGTGTGCTTGAGGATGTGCAGAAGATTTTATTTTTATAGAGTATAATCAAACTACCAACTTTTTCCTTTGTGGTTTTCAGCTTTGGTGTTATGCTTGGAAAAACAATTGTGGAGCATATAAGTGTTCACCCAAATTTTGATGCTGTTAGATTTCTTGTTTATGTCGTTCATTCTTCTGGTGTCAATTTATTTTTATGAAAGTATAAGGATATCTAACATTATTTTTTCCAAATATATAACTAGTTTTTCAAATACCAGTTGTAAAATAATCTTTCTCTGCTAATGTGAAATATAAACCTTATTACATACGAAACTTTTACATATAATTAGATCTGTTTCTGGAATCTATATTTTTGCACAGTGAATATTCTGTCCCTGCAACTCATTCTTTTCATTACCATATTTTTAAAAAGTGCTTTCGTAACTTACAAGGCAACACTCCCATTACTTTCCTTTTAAAGTATTTTTAATGGATTTTTTTTTTTTGCCCATTATATTTCTTCTTGCACTTTAACATTTTTTTTGAGATGGAGTCTAGCTCTGTCGCCCAGGCTGGAGTGCAGTGGCACAAATTTTTGGATTTTTAGTAGAGACAGGGTTTCACCATGTTGGTCAGGCTGGTTTCGAACTCCTGACCTCGTGATCTGCCCACCTCGGTCTCCCAAAGTGCTTGGATTACAGGCGTGAGCCACCGCACCAGGCCCACTTTAACTTTCAAATCATTTGTCATATCAACCTTTGAGCGATAACTAGGGGAAATGACACTAGCACTTTTGTTGTCATTAAACATTAAGTTAGATTAATTTGGAGGAGAATTAAATGGTTTATAATTTTGAACCTTTTTATCTCACCCTCTATTCAAGTCATTTTTCTTAATAGTCAAATTTTGAAGCTTTCTATATACAGAATCTATACATTTTTTGTTAATTCCGTTGATTTTGTCAGCTTTTGCAAGCAAAAAAAATTGCAAGCAAAAAATTTTTGCAAGCAAAAAAATTTGCAAGCAAAAAATTTGCAGGCAAAAAAATGGACTCTTGTTGAATAAGCAGGAAAAGAAAATACTCAAAATATGGTGGGTGGTTCAAAGAATCCATAGGTGAGCTCAAGAAGTAGGCTCAAGGTTAAACTTCCAAAGAAAATCACCGGAACCATCATAGCAAAGTCTGACAAGAAAATTGTCACTGCCACCACCACCCCAGAGCACTAGCAGCAGTTCAGGTTATAGCTGCCACCTCTGCACCAGGAACTCTGCTCTTCAGCAGCCACTATTACTTCTAGAGACAGTGCTGCTTCTTTCTTTTTCTTATTTTGTTGCACGGACTAGAACTTCCCAAATAATGTGACTAATAGTACTCATGATGAGCAACTTTTTCTTGTTCTTGCCTTTAATGGAAAAATGTGTAGTTTATTTTGATTTACCATTGATCCAGAGAGTGTTAGGAAAGTTATCTTCAATTCATAATTTACTAAGATATTGTTTTATTTTGTTTATTTTTCTTGTATTTTTCAAATCAGAAATAAATGTTGAGTTTTATCAGCTGTTTCACTGTCAAAATGATCATATGCTTTTTTTTATTTTAACCTATTAATGCATATAGTACATAGGCTTTCTAGTATTTAGCCTTCCTTGGATTCATGAAATAATTCTTATTCAGTCATGGTGGGATAAAGTCAACATCATATACTGGATATGAGTACCTGTTCTGGGATCTGACTGCCCGGGTTCCAATCTAGGTTTTACCATTACTCTTTATTATGACCCTGGGAAAATAACTTAGTCGTTGCAATACTCAGATTTTTCTTCTATGAATCAGGAAGATAATAATACTTGTGTAAGAGTTGTGTGAGAATCGTTTGAGATAACGCATGAAAACAACAGTATATGCTACATAGTATGCAGTCAATGTCAATTAGTATCTTCATTGTCTGTTAATATTATGTTGATTTTAGTATTGTATACATGATTTGTGCCAAATATTTCCAAATGAGATTGGCTTGTAGTTTTCTTTTGGGATGTTGTTTTTGTCAATTATCTTTGATATATTTTCTGTATAAGGGTTATATTAGTCTTGCCAAATAAACAGGAAAGCTTTCTATCTTCTTCTGTACTCTAGAAGACTTTTAAACATTTACATTTCTGTTCAGTTAAGGAAAGAAAATTTTTCTGTAAACCATTAGTGTCTTCAATTTTAATAAGTATAGTTCTATGACATCTTTTTCATTTCTTTCATGGCTTTTATCTTTTCAAAGATTTTATTTCATTTTATTCATTTGCACTATCTTAGAATATCATTTATTACCATACAGTTATAAATCCAAATTTATTATACTATAGTTGTACCTAACATTTTCTTTTTCTTCCCGCTTCCTGCTTTTATTAAAATTATACCATGCAATATACTTCTGTAACATTTGTTACAGATAGTTACAGAGGTGTATTGCACAAATATTATGGAAGTATATTGCATGATGCTATGTTTGGGGTATGACTGAACCTGTCCCCAGCTAGTGAGCAAAGTTCCCAATAGGTAGCTTTTTAGCCCTTGCACTCTCCCCATCTCCTCCCTCTAGTAGTCCCCAGTGTTCATTGTTCTCATCGTTATGTCCATGTATACTCAATGTTTAGCTCTCACTTGTAAGTGAGAATGCAGCATTGATTTTCTGCTTCTGCATTAGTTTGCTTAAGATAATGGCCTCCAGCTGCACCCATATTGCTGCTAAGGACAAGATATCATTATTTTTTATGGCTGTGCACTATTCCATGGTATACATGTACCACATTTTCTTTATCCATTCCACCCTTCATGGGCACTTGGGTTGATTCCATGTTTTTGTTATTGTGAATAGTACTATGATGAACAGAGGGTACATTTGTCTGCTGTTACCTTTTTTCCTATTATGTTACAACATTGATACTTACTATTCTTCTCTTTTGTGACAAAGTAGTAGAAATTTCATTATCCATTATTAATAAGGATAGGTTTTAGAATTTTATCAATAAAGAGTATCTGGATAGTTTTACTCTGTAATTTATTAATTTCCATTTTTATTTTTACAAGTTTCTTCTTCCTAGTTTGATTACTTTAAAATTACTTTTGTTCCCTATTTTAATGGCTACTTTGTTTATTTTCCTTCTTTTTTATTTTATTTTTTATTGATACATAATAAACACATGTATTGATGCATTTATAAAATATGTAATAATCAAATCAGGGTAATTGGGATATCTGTGATATTAAACATTTATCTTTTCTTTATGCTAGGAACATTTGAATTGTTCTCTACTAGCTATTTTGAAATATTCAGTAGCTTATTATTTGCTCTGGTCACTCTACTGATTTATTGAACATTGCACCTCGATCAAGGCATTTTAGGCTAAGGGGCATTTTCCTATGTGTACAGTTTGATCTGACCCCATATTTTTAATAAATCTGTTGTTTTAATGTTCCTTTTAGACTTTATAATCTCAATTTACTCTTTCATACAAGAATTATTTTTAAAGAATGCTTTTCCTTTTAAATACTTATTTTTTTCTATATTTCTAAAATCAACTTCTAATTATATTACATGGAAGTCAGAGAATGTGATCCATATAGTGTTTTTTCCCTCCATCTGATCATTTGATCATTTCATCAAGAAGCCTGAATAAAGCGGGAGTTAAACACGGTAGACTTAGAGATGTTGAGCATGAAAATTCTCTTTTATTACTTTAAAATATTATAAAATAAATTTAATACTTGCATAAGATAGCAGAGAAATGATTACTGTCTTTTATCTGCTTACTGGTGATAACATCAATTTAAATGTCTTAATGTTCAACCTAGATTACAAAATGCCTCAATTTATATGCTCACTTTCATAAGCTAAGATTTTTTAGTTTTTTTCTTTGCTTTTATGTAGAAAGCATTTTTCTGCCCTGTAATATGAAACTATTATTAATGTTATTACTCTTTTTATAATATAATTAAAGTATTCATTGGCTTTTGTTGGCTATAATTTGGATTTACTTTTAACATTTAAATATTTCATATACCTAAATTCCACTTTTCAGAATATTTCTGTTTATTTGATCGTTATTTTTACAGAACATGGTTGGAGAGTGGGCCTTACCAGAAGAAATGGTTGACAATTTACCACCCTCCAACAATTGCATACTGGGCCATATTCTTCACAGGCTAGCTGAAAAATCTCTTCCTCCTCGAGCGGAATCAACAACACCTGAATTACCTTCATTTGCTGTTAAAGGATGCTTATTGGGGAAAACATTAAGTGGAAAAACTACCATTTTAAGGTCTCTACAAAAAGGTAGAATTTCTTCTCCTACTCTCCCTGCCATTAGGTCCTATTTACACTGACTGTAGCTGCAAATGTCTATGTGTATAAAAAACATACAAGAAGCACTGCTGATATGTTGGGAAATCTCTGTCATCAAAAGTTTTGTAATTTTCCAGGCTACGATTATTCAGCCATAAAAATGAGTGAAATATTGATACATGCTACAACATGGATGATCCTTCACAACATTATGCTAAGTGAAAAAAGCCAGACACAAAAGGTCACATAGTGTATGAGCCCATTTGTATGAAATATCCAAAATAGGCAAATCCATAGAGAAAGAAGTGGAATTATTGGATGCCAGAGTCAGGGGTAGGGGAATGAGGAGTGACAGCAGTTGATTTAGGATTTCCTTTTAGGGTGATTAAAAATTTCAGGAACAAAATAATGGTGATGGTTGCACACATTGTGAATGTCTAAATGCTACTGAAATGTATCCTTTAAATGGTGGAAGTGCTTAACTTTATGTTTTATGAATTTTATCACAATTTTTATCTTTGTTTTATTTTTATTTATTTATTTATTTTTTCGAGACAGAGTCTCGCTCTGTTGGCCCAGGATGAAGTGCAGTGGCACAATCTCGGCCCACTGCAACCTCTGCTTCCCGGGTTCAAGCGATTCTTCTGCCTCAGCCTCCTGAGTAGCTGGGACTACAGGTGCGCACCACTACACCCAGCTAATTTTTGTATTTTTAGTAGAGACAGGGTTTCACCATGTTGGCCAGGATGGTCTCAATCTCCTGATCTCGTGATCCACCCACCTCAGCCCCCAAAAATGCTGGGATTACAAGCATGAGCCACCGTGCCCAGCCTTATCACGTTTTTTAAAAAGAAGCTTGATCCGGCTGGGTGTGGTAGCTCATGCTTGTAATCCCTGCACTTTGGAAGGCCGAGACGGGTGGATCACCTGAGGTCAAGAGTTTGAGATCAGCCTGTCCAACATGGTGAAACCCCATCTCTACTAAAAATACAAAAATTAGCTGGGTGTGGTGGCATGCACCTGTAATCCCAGCTACTCAGGAGGCTGAGGCAGTAGAATTGCTTGAACCCAGGAGACGGAGGTTGCAGTGAGCTGAGACCATGCCACTGCACTCCAGCCTAGGCGACAGAGCGAGACTCCGTCTCAAACAAAACAAACCAAACAAAACAAAAAAGAAACTTGATCCAAAAGACTGTTCTAGCGGGCCTGAAAGACAGTGTTATAGGACAAAACCAGCACATAAAGACAACAATTTCCATTTCCCAAATGAAAAGCTATTTATAAAATTATCTTTTGTACTTTAGACTTTCCTATACAGATACTTTCTATTGACACTCTTGTCCAAGAAGCTATCCAAGCATTTCATGACAATGAAAAAGTCAGTGAGGTTCTACCAATTCAGAAAAATGATGAAGAAGATGCTCTACCAGTTCTGCAAGAGGAGATTAAAGAAAGCCAGGCAAGTGTGATTCTAGTTTTCTCTTCTGCGCCTAGTACATTAGAGATTTGGAGCTGGATGGAATTTAAAAGGTCTTCTCTAGACCAGAAGTTTCTTCTGTACAGACCCAGAGAGTAAAAGTTTAGGTTCTGCAAAAGTCTAGAAAATAAATATTTAAGTTAAATATTTAGGACAAATTTTAGGCCAAGAGGTAAAATCGAGGATATTATGTGGGTACTTGTATAACAAGAGAGAAAACTCCTGCTTCCCACCAGTTTGTCTGGGTGGACTGTCTTGTGTGATGGGCCCCCTTTGGGTCTAGTAGCCATCAGCTGGAGCCATTCTCCCAAGGAAAGAGCCACTAGCTGGTAAGTGGGGGTGGGTGAAGATTGAATTGTGGAGGTTGGGAGGGTGGCATATGATTGTTTTAGGGGAACTCAAGAAGCCACCAACTCCTGGACTGAGATCCTCCCACTCAGCTTCTGGCAGTTGCTAACATCAAAGTCCCCAGTGTATAGTCAGGGACCAATGCTGGCCCTGGGCAGTGGCTGAGGCAGGTGTTGAATCCCAGCAGGTACAGAGGTAGAGGAGGACTCCTGTCTTTGTCTCCAGTCTCACAGTGGTCGGCTGCTTAAGTGGTGTTCAGAAACTGTATGAAAACTGTCGGCAGGCCTTTGTGGTCTATGAGCTGTAGTATGCTGACACCTGATCTATATTAGTAGATCTCAATTGGGGGATGGCTCTCTGAAAGGTTTACCTGTATCATATTCCCATCAATATTGCATCTCTTTTCATTATTGCATGAAGATTCCTGGGGTGGAGGGGTGAATAGGAAAATGTAGCCCCACCTTCAGAATCCTTGATGTAGTCCAGCTCCTTCATTCTGCAGAGCACACAGTAAAGACCCTAAGCGTGAATTGGTTTGCTTGGAGTCAGAAGGCTTGTCAATAGCTTCTCTATGATTAAGTTTCCAGATTGTAAGTCCACTACTCTTTCCTCTCTCTACCTTATGCTGCCTCTGCAATTGAATAAATTAGCTGATAATCTGATCCAGATCATTTGCATAGCCTGCAAAAATAAATATCATTTAACAATTGATTCTGAAAATAACTGGGAGAAGTTTTCTTTATGGTGGGCTATCTCTTCTTTCATGTTGTAATATCTTTATATTTTAATCAATAAAGTAATAGATAATGTACATTTAAAAAAATTACCTTATGGCTGTGACTGACATCTCTAGGATTGTTCAAGATGGTTTTCCATAAACTTTACCCTTTCCTCAGGTTCCACTATCTTTTCAAAATAGTAGTTGGCATATTTTACATAGTAATTGAAGACCATTCAAAAGACAGATTACATCACAGGTTGCTGTGTATTTCTATAAGTGCAATTATCATCCAATATTGTTTGTTTCTGGAAATAAGAATTTAGAACTGAAACTTTAATCTCCTTTAAAATCATTAATGTTATAGACAAAAAGTATTGTATTTGTTCTCAAACCTTTACTTATAGATATAAAATTAGGAGGATTATTAAAATATAGCAATGGTAAAATCCCTCCCTATGTGTGTTTTCTCTCCAAAGGATCCACAACATGTATTTTCAGCTGGTCCAGTTTCAGATGAAGTATTACCAGAAACAGAAGGTGAAACAATGCTTAGTAAGATCTCAAAACAAATCATCTATTATTTACATTAGAGAGAGAAACAATGAGAGCACATATATGTGAGCACAAACATGCTTTCAGGGAAATAAACGGGAACCAAGGGGAGTTTTACATAGTTGTCTACATATGGCCATTTGACAGAGGGAGCAAGATCACTCTTGCCTACAGCTGGGGATAAGATGAAAATTACAAGGCAATCTTTTCAGCCTCCTTCGAATAGTTGATTAGTTTTGCTGCCATTATGAAAGAATCCAGGATAAATCATCCTCATTCTTCCTGTCTGTGCAAGGAGACAGACAGTCTTTTCTTGTTCTCACCAGTGTGTAAGACTGGGTATATGAGTACAATTGGGGCTTTCTACGTGCTCCTGCTTTGTTTATTGTATTGCAGAAGGCTGTAGGGGCTGGTCTTTTTATCCTGTATGCACAGTGGTTCCTAAATTTATTCTCAGCCTTGGGCACTACCAATACAACTAAGTTTCCCAAACATAACAAAAAGTTATCTCCCTTGGGATCTGGGCTGCAGTCCTTCAGATCCTTTGTAGAACCATTGAAGGAAAACAATTTTAAGTATTAAATATTTTTTCCTGTATGTGCTAGTGAAGTCTTTGTCTTATTAAATAGCTTCCTCGTATTCTAGCATGAAGCCGAGCTCCTCCTGTGCTATCATTATTATTGCCATTACCATTGAACAATGTCCAGGTTTACTATGAGCATACAACACTCCAGAGAGGTTGGACTTGCCTTTCTTAAGAGGACACTATCTGTCCCTTATTCCTGTTATCTGTTTCTTAAGAGATAATTTTAGTTGATTTTTAAAACTATTATAAGTGTTTTATTACATATTCTATTATACATTAGTCTAAGTAATTATAAACAAACTCTTAAAACTTCTGGTTTTTTTTTTTTTTCATAGAATTTAACTTAAAACACCTCTGACTTCTAGAGTCATCTGCTTTTAAGATGTTTATCTGTAACTTGGTAATCCAGGAAAATAAAAGTGTAAAAAAATAACATTTTAACATTTTTTTGAAAAACTTGACCGTCTTCTGAAAAGCGAACCCCGACTGTGTTAAAGTATTCCTAATGATATTTTTATGAGCTCAGATCATGCAGGAAGGGAGCAGGGAAGGGAGGGAGGTAGGGAGGGAGGGGAAACACCAAGACACATAGTGACCAGGATCTTAATGGTGTGAGTGAAGGTAAAAGCTATGCTGTGGTGATTCTATTACTTCCTTCCTCTGAGCATCTCAGGCATAGCTGGATCTGATAACCCTTATGTCCAAAACCATAGATGGTCAAATACTGCTTTGGTTGTTAGGTGTAAATACCAGAAATTTGTTCTTACCACTTTTCCTATTGCTAGGTGCTAATGCTGATAAAACACCAAAAGCTGAAGAAGTCAAATCAAGTGATAGTTTCTTAAAAGTAAGTATTATGATCTAATTTTAGCTACTAACATATTAAAACCTGTCATGATTAATGGTGTTTTGGAGTGTCTTCGAATGCAATGAAATTGCAATGTGCTCTTCTTTGGTTTCAAAGTTAATTTGATGGTATAATATTAGCTCACCTGACTTTACTTAGCATTCTTTGTATTCTCAATATTTATATTGAAAGCAGTGGAAATTATTCTTCACTTTTGCCAGGGTGATAAACTTGTGCTTTTAAAACTTTTAGACAGAGACCAAATTCATTTCATCTTTACCATTTAATTTATGACTTTTATTTCGCTCATACCCTCTTTACCTTTAAATATTTTTTCCAGAATTTATCCTTACTCTTGTTGGTGACTCTTCAGAATTTGTTTATTAATTCCTGAAAAACTGTTTACAACAGTTCACTCACTATTTCTCCTAATGGAAACTAATTGGTCATCAAATAAAATGACCAGACTAAATCAAGTGGAATTTTATCTTTTGTATTATATTTGATTTTTTTATTATGCATCTCATCATGAAAAACAGTTTTATAATATTTTAGGTTTCAAAACTGCTTAAAGATAGAAAAAGTTTTGGAAGGATATACACCAAACTGTAAACAAGATGAGCAATGGGAAGGGAAATGGGTTCAGAAAAAACAGGAAAAGGGGACTTACAATTTTTACTCTGTGAATTTGAAATATGAATTAGCAGAAAGTATGTTTTATATTTACATCTATTGATTTTAAAATCTCACAAATTCCATATTCAATTCAATTCCAAGAGCATACATTGTTTTGTACACTGTTTTAATAACTTGGATATATCAGTGAATACAAAAGACAGGATTTCCTGCCCTTATGGTGTTTACATTCTAATGGAGAGAGACATAATAAACTATGAACATAGAGATAAATATGATATTGAAGATGATGATGAGTGTCATGAGAAAAGGAAACATGGAGTGGAGGAAGGGGAGCAGGAACACAGGCCAAGGGCAACAAAAGAGGCACAGTTGGTCACCTTATGACATCGGGCAGGCCTCCTTGGGAAAGGGAGCCTTAAGCAGATTGAAAGAGGTGAGAGAACCTGCCCACTGGATCTGGGGAAGTGTTCCAGGCCATGAGAATAGTGAGGCAGGAAGGTGCCTGGCCAGCGGGGCCAGAGAGTATTTAGTAAGGGATGAGGTTAGAGACATGGGTGAGAAAGGAAAAGAATCAGGTCAGTCAGGGCCTCAGGCAATTATTAGGACATTTGGAGTAAAAGGGAGAATTTTAGCAGGGTTTGGAATAGAGCCATACCATTTGACATAAAATTCTTACTCTGGTGGCTGAGCTAAGAATAGACTCTAGGGAAGTTCCTGTTTCAGTGATATTGAGTAGCTTGTATTGGACTAACCTATAAATAACAAGTATAAACACTAGGCAAAATATAAAAGATAATTATTTGAGTGCTAAAAGAAGACATCAAACAAGGAAGCAGCAAACAACAGGCAGAAAATCTGTGGAATTTGACCATGGAAAGATGAGAACTTCACTGGTCAAGGGCCATGTTTATATGGGTTTTCCCTAGAGGGCATGCCCCTGTCTGCATGGCATGAGTGGCTAGAGCCCAAGAAGAGAGCTCAATCTTTCTGATTTAAGGTATTAGAGAATTAAGTTTGGGGATGCAAGAGCTGCTGCAACTGAAGAGTACGATCTTGGAAGGGAGGGAGGCTCGAAGGAAGAGCCTCAAATTCTGTGCACACATTTTCCTGAAATGCTTCCCTGACTCCCGAACTGTGCCACATGATCAGTGTCATCATCAGAGAGCCTGGTCATTTAATTAACTTTTCCTCCAAATGTTTGGAATTTGACTTTTAAATTAGCCATCTTCTGTCATTTCTTGTTTATTTTCCCAGCTCACTACACGTGCTCAGCTTGGTGCAAAATCAGAACAGTTGCTGAAGAAAGGAAAGAGCATTCCTGATGTGCTGCTTGTTGACATCATAGTAAATGCTATTAAGTATGTATTGCATTTTTCTTCCTCTCATCTATTTAATATATTCTTTATCACACAAAGATGTATAAAGAATAATACGGATTTTTTGTTGTAATATCTCATACATTTCACTCATCTGTATATGAAAATATACAGCAATGAAAAGGTAGATTTATTTTGTGACTTACGTGCCTATATTCCGCTTCTTCTCCCATACCAAGCTTGACTTCTTTTACCCAGATGTGAATAAAGTCAGGTTCTATTACCTGTGGGGAATTCAATGAGAAATTGAGTAATTGGAAAAGCCAAGGGAAAGACTCAATTGTGTGGTCACAGACCACGGGGAAAAAAGAAGCCAGAGAGACTTGGCTGACAAATGTAATAAAGAGAGAAGGTCAGCAGGCTGGAGAAAACTGTCAAAAAGTCCCCTGAGAAAGAGCTGCAGACAACTTAGAGTAGGTAAGGAAGCAGAACTGAGTAGTGAGATGTGGGATGTGGAAACAGTGAGACCAAGAGAGATGAGGAAGGAGGGCTGAGAGTTCTACTCTGCATCTAGAATGGACTTCCCTTAGTGTTTTCTTAAAAGATGACATTAAAAATTTAAGTTGCTTCTCAATGATGATATATCTAGAAATCAGATCACAGGGCTGCCCAGAGCTAGGAGGGGCCTCACTCTAATAGTTGTAACATTTCCCAGAAGTGGCGATAAAGCATGTTTCAGCCATGGGATTCTTTGCTTCTGCTCCAAATAAAAATGTATATGAAAAGCATCAGATATAAAGCAGTTCTTCACTTTAGTTTCAGTGGAACTGAAACCTCCACACCCCATCGTCAGAACTCCATTACCCTCCTTCCACCAGTACCATCCTCATTGCCCCTGAGGCTCCTCCAGATGACAGTCATCAGTGTGAAATCTTTGATCCAGTCTAAATCTATCGTTTTTCTGTAAGGAAAGGGAGGCACATGACAGTTCAGTGAGGTGCTCCAGTTACATGTCTGGCTAGTGGTATAGCCCCAGCCAAAGTCCAGGTCTCCTGACTCCCCATCATCTCATGTCCTCAAACTACAGCTGAACAAAGGTAGCCCTCACCTCCCCCTTCCTCTGAAGTGGCTTCTGTGACTGTGGGTGGACGAAGGAACTCAAGGAAATTCTCTTTCCCATCTTAGGCCAATGAATCAACAAATTTATTATATGCAGAATGCTTCACCAAGCTCTGGACAAGTTATAAAACCAAAATGAAGTCTTTTCCTGCTCTTAATAACCTAATGAGAGAAATATAGACAGTGACCTGAAGACAGCTTGATACTGTGGAAAGATCATTGGATTTGGGTGATTTTTAGTTTCGTGACTTTGAACAATAATGAAATTTCCTTTAACTTCTGTTTTCCCCCTCCTTCCTTGTTACACTATTGGAAGGATCACATGCAGGCCCCAAAGTAGACTCAGAAACCTTTGGAAAGGGGATTCCATTGTTTAATATAAGTTCTGACAGAAATAAATGAAATTATACCTTTTAATCCAAAGGCCAAAAACACAATTTTGCATAATTTAAGGGCTTAGAAGAACAAAGTCAAAGTTTACGCCTTTCTCACCTTGTTTTCCAGCTGCAAATTAAAACAATAATTATTCAACACCCACTCTCTAAAGAGGACACTGTGCTGAGTGCAAAAACCCAATTGCACTTCAGCGTCCTATAATCTAACTGAGATTTTAAAAGACTCACTTGAATTTGTGTTAAACAGAGAAATATAACCACTTGCATGGCAAAGTGGAAGTCAGAGAAATTCAGATCAGGATACTATGACTCTACACAGGCTTGGGTGGGATAGGAAGAGCTCTCCAGGTTGGCAGTACAAGTATCCAGTACTTGCTAAGCTCTGTGCTGCGTTTTTAAAATGCATCATTTCAGTTCATCCTCACAACTACCTTATGAGGTATGTTATGTTACCCCATTGTATGAATTAGGAAACTGAGGTGCAAAGGAGGAACAGTCTGTGAACACAATATAGAAAATGCAGTTCATACTCATATAACATTGAGGAGATGAGTTTGTTTGAAGTAAATGGTTCAAAATTGTAAGAGATAACAAGTTATAGAGAAATAAAGTGTTGATATGGTTTGACTGTGTCCCCATCCAAATCTCATCTTGAATTGTAGCTCCCATAATTCCCACATGTTGTGGGAGGGACCTGGTGGGAGATGATTGAATCGTGGGGGCGGTGCTTTCCTGTGCTGTTTTCGTGATAGTGAATGGTCTCACAAGATGTGATGTTTTTAAAAACGGGAGTTTCTCTGCACAAGCTCTCGATTTGCCTGCTGCCATCCATGTGACTTTCTCCTCCTTGCCTTCTGCCGTGATTGTGAGGCTTCCCCCACCATGTGAAACTGTAAGACCAATTAAATCTCTTTCTTTGTAAATTGCCCAGTCTTGGGTATGTCTTTATCAGCAGCATGGAAAGGGACTAATACAGGTGTGGCCAGTTAATTTTAATGTGTTAAAGCCTCTGGAATAGATTTGGAGGGCAGCACAGTATCCACAGAAGTATTTTTAAGCAAGGGAGTGATTGTGGCACATCAGTAAACCTAATCTTTTAGCTATGAAGTAATGAAATTCATGCAGTAGGAAGTTATTGTGGAATTGAAAGAAAAAGGAAAGATTCATCATAGTATTTCCAAAGTACTTGTGTCTAACAAAATATTCATGAGTTGTCCTGTTTCAATTTAGTGAGATACCTGTGAATCAAGACTGTATCCTAGATGGTTTTCCAATGACTTTAAACCAAGCACAGCTTCTGGAAGAAGCTCTTACAGGCTGCAATAGAAACCTCACAGAAGTGGAAAGAAAAAAAGCACAAAAATCCACATTGGCTATTGATCCTGCGACTTCCAAAGAAATACCTCTTCCCTCTCCTGCATTTGATTTTGTCATATTATTAGATGTTTCAGATACTTCCTCAATGAGTCGCATGAATGATATTATAGGTAAGCTGGACACCTTTTTTGACACTCTTTTTACAATGAAAACTCTTTGTTCTTTGAATCAGTGAATACTCCCATTTACAATTATAAATGAGTACAAAATAATCCACTTCAGCCTATCAAATAATTATCTAGTTGAGCACAGTTGCCTCTTGCTTTGACTGTTAGCATTCAGCGCTGTGGGCAAAGCCGGGAACTAGTGAATTCCAGTCCAACGGCAAGCATCTCACTGAACCTTTCCATCAACTTGGGAGTTCCCCTGGCATTGGGGTGTTTTTTTGAGACATGCACTTATGGAGGAGTGCTTTGTGGCTGTCTAGCGTGTTTTCGTGGGTCACCCTCTTGAGGGTCATAAACCACATCTGGGCTGTAAGAAAGGATCTGATAACATCCTTTTCTTGGACTGGGTATTAACTCTAAAGAGTGGTATCAGTTGGCTGAAAACTTCACATGATGGGTGAATCTTCCTACAAAAATTCATAGTTTAACTGTTTTTCAACCTTGAAAAATATCCTTTATTCCACAAATTAAATACTTATGGGTAAAAGCACTTATTCTTGAACCTTGGCTTTCTTACATAGAAGGTATTTGACCTTGAGAAAGTTACCTTATTGTTCTAAGCCTTGGTGTCACAACCTATATGATAACATGGCTCATTGTATTGTTATGGGTATTAAATGAGCTCAGAGCTACATGCTTAGGACAGAATCTGGCACATGATAATAAGCGTGTGGTAAATACATCAGGGAAAAATGATGGAAGACTTTGAAATCAACAAATGATTGCCTTCACATCATTTTACTAGAAGGCTGAATATTGCCTCTTGGACCCTTGGGGGTACCTGATTCTATAGGGGTCTGTGCCTCTCACTGGTTTTGACTCAATTCTTCTATAACTCTGTAAATAGTAGGAAATTGATAGTAATGCAAATGATTCGTGTTCTTAGAAATGAAAATAAATTTGGTTCAGCTGAGACAATTTCCACACTGTAAAAAAGATGATTTGAAATACTCGAGCCCAGGAGTTTGAGATCAGCCTAGGAAACGTGACAAGGCCCTGTCTCTACAAAAAATAAAAATATTAGCCCAACATGGTGGCACATGTCTGTGATCCTAGCTACATGGGAGGCTGAGGTGGGAGGATCACTTGAGCCCAGGAATTCAAGGCTGCAGTGAGTCATGATCACACCACAGCACTTCAACCTGGGTAACAGAGTGAGACCCTGTCTCCAAAAAAATTGCATTGCTCTGTAGATAATAGCCAGAATTTAGTGGGGAGAGCAAAGGAATAAGTGTTTAGAAGCAGCAGCTAATGGAGAAGAAGAAAGCCTGGGAGAGTAGTGTCTCATAAGCCAAGGGAGGACAAATCTTCAAGGCAAATGTGTCATCCAATCCCCCTTCCAGACCAGCAGGATCCTGGGCTGAGTGGGAGCCTAGCCACTAGGGTTGGGTGCAACATGCAGTTCTGCAGTGCTCGGGGTCTATGGAGGAACCTGAAGAACATCTTCACAGAGAAACACACTACATCCAAAGCCACGTGGGCTACAAAGTCCTGCCAGGGCTGGGCTGAGGTAAATGATCCAGACTCAAAGCCAATGGGCAGGAGACTGGGGGATGTAAGGAGGGGGAATGGCCATTGTGAGAGTAAAAGGCTGCATTGGAATGGAAGAGGAGGTGACTGCCTCCGCTGTTTAGCCATTGGTCAGCCTGAGACAGAACAGTAATGTTCACATCTGGTGAGAGGTACAGATAGGTTTTGAGTTCAGGCATCAAATACTGACCCTTTGTGGCTAATGGTGACTGAAAAAGAACAGGAAGGGGCTTCTGGGACCGATAATGTTTGTATATCTGGGTGCTGACTGTCTTCAGTTCATTAATTCGAGCAGATGCATATTAGTGTATGCGTTTTTTGGCAAGTATAATGCAACAAAGACTATAAAAATTAAAAAGAAATCCAGAACCTGGAGTCACATTGCCTGGAATCAAATCCCTTCTCTACCATTTATGAACTGTGCAATTTGGAGCCAATTATAGAATCTCAATCCCAATTACAAGTTTTTGTTGAGTATAAAATGACATAATATATGTAACAGCTTTTAAGAATTGTACGCTAAATTTTACCTATAAGTACTACAGAGAAGCCAAAATAAGGACTGAAATGTGTCCTTTGGCATGTTTGGTGACTGGTATGCGAGCCATTTCATGGAGGGTGGGAGAGAGAAGGAAGGATTGCAGTGTATTGAGGTGTGAGTGGGAGAGACAGAGATAGAGAGTGAGTGGAGATAACTCCCAAGAAGTTTATCTCTGAAAGAAAAAAAAAGAGCCATGGTCACAGGATATTTGTTACTTTTTTATTTTTTTTTTTATTCTCTCTTTATTTATTTTAGAAAAGGGTCTCTCTATATATATATGAAAGAGCTCAACTGATTTTTTTTAGCTAGGGAATTAGTAAGAATAAAGGTTGTGTATTTTTATTCAAAGATGCCTACCAGCAAAAGTCTTAAAAAAATGATATCATTTAAGGCTGGTACAGTAAAGGACACAGAAACTGGAGTTGTTAAGAGGCAGGGAGAACTTGAAGTGTTCATTCATGCAGTTTAGGTTTGCTAGAAAGCATAAAGTGAAGTCAGGATAATGCAGATAAATTTGGAAAAAAGGAGGTAGGAATTTAGGGACTGGATGCTAGTGAAGAGATTCATCAACTATACAGGAGTGCTGGAAAGTTTGTGGTAGGAGTATAGGTCTTTAGGATTGCAAAGATGGAGCCATTCAGGGTGATCACAAAATTCATTGGCCATGGTACAGAGTACCACGAGTGAAGGGAAGGGGAAGGAGCACTGCCTGGGGCTTGGGGGTTGGGAGGTTGGAGAGAGAGGAATGCTGATCCATGCACTGAAGTCCTGACAGCAGCGAGGTAGCGACCATGAGATGGTGCATGGGCATCTCCCAATAAGAGCACTCCCACAGTTTTCTTCAGTCACCTATTCCAATGTGATCCTTGGGTTTTATGAATCATTTTAAAGCATCATTCTGTATTCTAAATTCATTTCACCTTGTTCTGTTATGAATGGAGATGAAGAACAACTGATTACTATATCCTGTGAGGGTTCTTCATTTGCTCGAACTCTATTAATTTGCTATTCAATGTTCTCTTGCATTGAGTAATTCTAATTTCTTTTAATCTAGTTCAAGGCTTTCTTTCCTCTTTATGATTTTTTATTTATTCTAAATTGGTAAGTATTCTGGACTTTGTACCATTAATCCAGAATAGGACTCAATCAGAGCTGTTGAGATTGGTTTTTTTGTTTGTTTGTTTTTGGTCTCTTTGGGTCTATTCCTTTATGTCTATTCTACAGGGAGATCATAAATTCTAGAAAGAAACAATAATTTTATTGTATTGCATATAATTTCAAGAAATAATTTGTATGCATATTTGACGTTCCAGCCACCTTGTTCTTTCATCTTAATTTTTACATCACTGTGTTAATTTTTCCTATTCTTTTCAAGTTAGTTATTCATGATGACCCATCATTTTTCATTCTCATCTATCATAGACAATCCTGAGATCCTCTACACTGAAACTACAGCTTCTCTTTAATGTTTACTTATTTTCCCCAATTTCCAAGAAAACAATCGAATTCTTATCTCAAAACTATACTCTTTCAACATCTTTTAAAATATTTTTAAGTAACACTGGACCAAATACAGGACCGTATCTGTTTGGCATCTTTCACCAGTATATTTTAGCAGTAAGTAGCAACTTTGGTTTTGAAAATTATCTAATTAAATAAATTTTATACCATAGCTGAAGAATTGTCCTATAAAACTGCTCACGAAGATATCAGTCAACGTGTAGCTGCTGAAAACCAAGATAAGGATGGAGACCAAAATTTAAGAGACCAGATACAACATAGGTTAGTTTTTAACTAAATGCTCTGCTTCTTGTTTCATGCTTTTTAAATAGATTGACAACAACTTTGGAATCATCAGATCTAGAAGAATATCTATTTCTTAGCATTCAATCTTTTACAGGTAAAAGAAGACTAAGTAGTTTTGACAATAAGTGAAATATTTATGTGCTAGCTTTCATATTTAGAGGGCAAGTCATTAGTCTGAAAAAAAGAAGAATTAAATCAGGCAATACTTCCCTTTACGGTTACATGCACTTATAAGTTAATTATATGGAATCCTGATTCAGCACTCATTAAGGAAATGCTGGTGACGATGGTGGAACTTCAAAAAGTTAGTCATCGGAGTGTAAACTACTTCTATTTTGCTAAAATAAAATTATTCTTCTGGTTGTGTGCAATTTGCCATTGCAAAGGGAAATTTAGACAAAATTATACAATTTTATGAAACCCTGAAAAGTTTAACAATATGAAATGAACCAGGGAAGAGTAATTTGAGCTACATTAAGGCTGTCTACTCTCCAGGAAGAAAAAAACAGTTTCAAGAGTTATTCCAATAACACTTCTGAGTAAAATATATAAGTCTAAACCATCTATACTTACTCAAAGATCTCTTCAATTTCTATCTCTGAGAAAAAAATAGATGGCCTAGGTGCATCAGGCTGTAGCTACCATCCGAAGAGAGTTCAGAGTTATTCTACTATGAGCACAGATGATGTTTTCTTAGATTTTCACTTAGAGACCTGTACTCCTACTAAAAGTTTTCCTGAATCAACAACATTTTCCTCTTTTACTCTCATACATCTCAAAAAATATGTCTTGATGACATTAAGTAATTTCTTCTTTAATCTAAAATAAATAACATTGTTTCTTTTTCAGATACAATTATATTGGCAGCCTGTCTTTTCATTACGCATGTCGGATAATTTATGCTTAATGTCATTCTAATCTTTTGATCAGTATGAGATATTCATATCATATTTTGATTTTGCAGAATTATAGGCTTCTTGGACAACTGGCCTTTATTGGAGCAATGGTTTTCAGAGCCAGAAAATATTTTGATAAAAATCAATGCTGAAATAGATAAGGAATCTTTATGTGAAAAAGTAAAAGAAATTCTTACGACTGAAATAGCAAAAAAAAAGAATAAAGGTATTTACATTTGTTTATAGTTTTGAGTTTAGGCAACTAAAATGTGTGGTTTTTAATGAGTTTGGTAGGAAATGAAGATGTGATTGAAAAGTTCTTTCTTATCTTTGGATTTATACTATCGACAAATATATTCTGCCTCTGGCTTTAGCTTTCTGTTGTATATGTTTCCGAATAAAAGATTTTTTCTCTCTCTTATTTTAATCAAAAAGAGACCATCTCTCTGAAAGCATTGTTTTCACATAAAAAAAAAACAAGAAAAAAACCCAGCAGAGTTAAATTTAAATGTTAATTCACATTTTATTCTCTGGATATTTGTAATCTTTATTTGTTAATTAGATATTTTTAAGTAAAAAATAATGAACATTAGAGATATTGTAGATAAAGGTAAAGGTTTTACTTTGTTAGCTTTAGCATTATAAAGAAACCATGTGAATTCTTTTAGGATGGACACACTAGGCAATTTTTTCTCACATCCACCTATTTTGTTATAAGTTTATTTATTATTATTAAATTGATTATTAATTATATATTAACTTGCTTTCATGTTTTATCTTACCCACATAAAACTGCACAGATCGCCTTCCTATTTCATTCAACCAATGATAATTGCCCACTAACTTTTTATACTATTATTGAAGCTTTTTATTGAAAGAGATTTTAACTTCAGTCCAATATCATATTTCCATTGGGATTTTGCCTTGAGACAAGATTTGAAAAATAAATCTTTCTTTTTTGTTTATCAATTACCCCAAATTATATTGGCAACTACTGTTTCTTAGTATAATAAAAAATGGTCAAAGTTAATAGTGTCAAAAGGATTCTAAAGTTGCCTTGATAGCATACTGTCTCCTGTCGCTAAATTTGTGACCTAACTCCCATAATGTAACAGTTAACTAACATTAAAATTGCCCATAGACATAAACCACAATCACCATGGAAATCCAGGAGCTCATACTTAGAAAGACAAACTCCTACATCTAAATGCCTACTCCAAAAACTACCAGCATGAACCTTTCAAACAAAAAATAATCATATACTATTTTAAGAGGCTTAACATGTCATTTGACAGAATAGCAATCTTACAGAGTCTTGGTTGGGAAGCAAAAACAAACCAATTCTAACTCATGAAGGCTTGAAGCTACGGGTTAGAATCAGTTTGTTTTTGCCAACTATTAGACTCAACTTCAACATTTTCCTAAAGAGTTTGCATTCTAATATTCACTGACTACATTAATAGACTCAGTTATCACTTAAGATTTATATTTCAAACAGGTAATTAACAAATGTTTAATAATTAAAACAATAAACATTAACCTAGCCCAGTGCTCTGTATTAAACTTTCCGACTAAGTTAAAAAACTAAAAGAATGTGGTACTTCTATATTCTGACCACAATATACTGTTAAGTAGGGAAAAGCAGGTTACATATGAAATAGTCTCTTTTAAGGAAAGTGTACATAATTATGTATTAAATACATCTGCACAGAAGAGTCTGGCAGCATATATATACTTGATGATGGGGAAGGAGATAGGACTTAAAGAGACTTAACAGGCAATTCCCTTTTCTACTTGTCTTAATTCTTGGATGTTTAAAGCAATAATTATGAATAACTTTAAAAGTCAGAACTAAAACCCCTAATTTCCACTTCAAAAGAACATCTAATAGAATGAAGCCTCCTAGCTTGCTGAATTGAAAAGAGTAATCTAAGGGTGGAGTAAGCACATGTAAAGAGAAATAGTCATGCAAGAACATAGGCAATCGTCGCCAGTGGTACATTGAGTAGAGCTGTGGGCCTCTGCAGTGTGAAGGGATGGAAAGACTGGGCAGTCAGGGAGGGTGTGCCAGGAAAGGTGAAACTGCATCATGCAAGGCAAAGGGTCATCACAATGATGGGAGCCTAGAAAGACTCCAGTCAGGCATGCTCCATCCCTCCAGGCATCTGGGCTAACCATCTCCCCTGACTGGAACACTCTTTCACCAGAAATACACAAGGCTCACTCCCTGGCTTGCTTCATGTCTTTGCTCAGATGTCACCTTATGGTTGGGCATACTCACCCTGGCAGTCTATCTAAAACTTAAGAAGCTGCCCACAACACTTTGATCTCCCTTACTCTGTTCTATTTTTTTTCCATAGCACTTATCACCATCTTAACTCTTGTATAAATTAACTTATTCATCATATTTATGGTTTGTTTCCTACCACTAGAACGTAAGCTTCATAAGGCCATTGATTTTTCTGTTTTGTTTTACTGTTGTATCTCCAGCAATCAGAACTATTGTTTGCAATATTATTATAATTATTATCATTAGAAATAGTAGTAGTTTTACTTTATTCTTGTCATCCTTCCTTTTCTTCAAGGCATAATTCAGGTTCAATAAATGGTTGTTGCAGGAATGAATGAATTGCTAAGGCTTAATTGAAGATGTATGTACTGTGCAGTATTCTAAGTGCTTTGTATTCACTTTTTAAAGTTAGTGATACACATTTCTTTCCCCTTCCATTTCCTCCTCACCCCACCTCTTGTATTACATTGCCCTTTACCGTCTTTTTACACTTGTTCACTTTGCTTTCCCACTGGACGTTTTCAAACAATCTTTTATTTTTCTCCTCATCTTTATTAGCTACTTCTAGATTATCACTTTTACATTTGACACCACTTGCTAACCCCTTATACCTGCTCCGTACACACAAATACACATATATTCCTCATCACCCCCATGCCAACCACCACCATCACCACTCCTACCATCACCACTACCACACCACCACCATCACTACCACCATCCCCACCACAGACTTCACCACCTCTACCTCCACCACCATCACCTCTACCAGCACCTCCACCACCACTACCACCAGCACCATCACCACCTCTACCTCCATCACCATCACCACCACTACCCATCAACATTACCACCACTGCCATCAAAAGGCAAGGGCAACCATATTTCTGACAAGGGAGAGAAGACTTGAAATCTTAGCTTTAAGGACTAGATGATTTAAGGGAAAGCCCTAAAGCATGAATTAGCTTTAAATACGTAAGATTGTTTTATATTAATTTAGATTTCTCTTAGTTCAAGTGAAATAGTAGATTTCTAGAGTCTCTAATGAAGGTCAATTCTTATCATCCTTTTGAAGTTGAGAAGAAATTAGAAGAAAAGGAAGCTGAGAAAAAAGCAGCAGCTTCCCTGGCTGAGCTTCCACTTCCTACACCTCCTCCTGCTCCTCCTCCTGAACCAGAAAAAGAGAAGGAAATTCATCAAAGCCATGTGGCTTCAAAAACTCCTACTGCAAAAGGAAAACCTCAATCAGGTGATTGACAGAATGATTTATAATCCTGTTTTCAGTTTCTTATTTTTACTCAGTAAAGAATTATAAATTATAGTCTATCTACATTCAGACTTTGGGCAACTTCAATCATATGAAACAAGGCTTTACACTCAGATGGAAGTGGAAAAGCCCTCGGAGTAGCTAAAAGCGTAGTTGTTACAAAGCCCAACTTCTTTGCCATGTAGGAGGAGACATGGAGTCATCACACCTAGGTCTACTGATTAGAGTAAGACCACAGACGAGAAGAGGAAAAGGCACAGAGTAACAGGTAACTTCAGGCAGATCAAGAGGATACACGTCTGTGTGCTGAACTATAGAGTTACATTTATGTAATGAGTAAGAACATCTTAATAAAATAAGAATGAGTATAGCTGGTTTTCCACCAGAATAAGGGAACAAATTAACAGCAACCATTAGAACTAGAATTTATATGTAATTGTAAATCTTCAGGACTATGTGATTATAAAAGTATAGAAACAAGCTCCTGCCATCTCAGTAAACATATATTTATGGACACAGAGATAAAGAGCCTAGATAGAGAACACTTTTAGTTTAAGTTTGTTCTAGATCCTTAACCGCTATGGACCATAAGTCTAGCATTAAGTGGCAGACAATGAATATAATGACAAAAGTGAAGTGCTTAATTGTTGTAATGCATGATATTGGTAGAGTGTCAGTATCCATTTGTGTGTGTATATAAAACAAATGAGGCTCTGGTTTCTAGTTTCAGCTTTATAAATGGCTGACTGTGCAGTTACACCATGTCTACCTAAGTATCTTTGATACTGTGTCATGACCACATTTCTAAACTCTATAGTCTTTCTGCCTCACGGAGATTTGAGATAGGTCTTAATTTTTAAAATTAAACTTATTCATATTAAACAAAGACATATGAAGACTTTAGTAAGATATATTATGATATATTAAAGACCATTCTGCTCCAGGAAATTAGAAATTAACTACAGGCAAAATACACACATCCTAAAAAATGTTTTTATCATGTCAACAATAAAACACAAAGACATGAATTAAACATACACCCTTTTCCCGCTGTCTCATTAGGAAATTAAAAAACAATTCAGAGGTCTGGAGGAAAATGGAAATATTTAAAATGCTTTTTAGAACTGGGGAAGACAGGCCAAGCATGGTGGCTCATCCCTGTAATCCCAGCACTTTGGGAGGCTGAGGTGGGCAGATCACCAGAAATCAGGAGTTCGAGACCCCGCTGGCCAACAGGGCAAAACCCATCTCTACCAAAAATACAAAAATTAGCTGGGCGTGGTGGCAGGCACCTGTAATCCCAGCTGCTTGGGAGGCTGAGGCAGGAGAATTGCTTGAACCTGAGAGGCGGAGGTTGCAGTGAGCCGAGATTGCCCCACTGCACTCTAGCCTGGGGGATAGAGTGAAACTCTACCTCCAAAAAAAAGAAAAGAAAAATAACTGAGGAAGACAGTTTTCACAGTGGGTCAGGTGAGCCTAGAATTATCGAATATCGTCCTTTAACCTATAGCTATGACTCTAGGTTAAAGCTCCTCCTCAGCTTGCTCCAGTCAAGAGTATCTATGTATTTGAGCCATTTCCTGAAACCAGACTCTAGTGTTTCTGATCAGACCAGCTCAGTCTTTAAGTTTCTGAAGTTTGTTTGCTATTTTATAATTATATTCTTGAATACTGTGCATTGAAGAAATAATAAATCTATTGTTGCTTTAAAGAGTGGTTGTACTTGTCTTTTTTTCCCCACCAAGGTCAAGGCTAGTGCCTGATATTTAAGAATGTTTAGAAAGGTTAATCTCGAGAGTCTTAATTGCTGCCACCCAACCTTACTGTGATGGACATTGATAGGGCAGGAGAGCAGACAGCACTGCCCCTGCAGCTCAGGGAAGCTTGGTTAGGCAATTTGAGAGAGGAACATTTATCACAGGTTTTTAAAATGTTTTGTGTAAATAATTTACAAATTTTCCAAAATGGAACATTTTTAGAACTGAAAGCCTGAGGCTTCTGAACATGCCCTACTCAAACATCTAATTACAATCTTCAGCAGAAGTTGAGATGAAAAGAGGAATTATTCACTAAAAAACCAAATGAAATTTTAAAAAAGGGCTAGAGTAGGCATAGTACATTGAATCCTATTTTGTTATTTTGTTAAAAAATTTTGTTATTTTGTTAAAATTTTGTTAAAAAATTGTTATTTTGTTATTTTGTTAAAAATTTTGTGATTTTTGTTAAAAAATTGTTCTATATTTTATTCAGTTCCATATTTTATATCTCCTTCCATTATACTTGGGATTAAATTTGAAAAACTCCATAGTTATGTTCCATTGAAGGGTCTATTATCAAATGCAGTATCAATTGTCACTATTTAATTGAGAATTAGTTCTTAGTATGGCACAATAGAATAATACTACCTATACTTCTATTTAGGTTTTTCTTTCTTTCCCTCCCTCTCTCCCTTCTTTCCTTCCTTCCTTACTTCCCTCCCTCCCTCCCTCCCTCGCTATCATCCCCCGTCTTTCTTCCAAATTTAGTGGTCAACTACTTGGATTTTTAAATATCCATTTAGAGAGATTAACAAAGTCACCTGTCTTATTTCTGTGGAATCTTGGTTATCATGTCTGTGATATTTAATGTAAGTGAAATCTGCTAGGCATTTATACATTCTTATAACTATCACTTCTAAATACAAAAAAATAGGTTAAAGGGAGTCTGTCTCCATCACAGGCATTTCAATTGCCATACTGGTTCATCCTTTAAAATGAAGGAGAAAACTATAGCCCAGGACCAGGGAGGAAAATAATTAAAATCATTTGGTAAATAATGCAGGATGTAGTGAATTTTTTTTAAAGGAACAAACTCATTAATTGGGGCATCTCCAGATCATCAGTTTTCCAATTTCTCCCTTCCAATATATTTCTGAACTATATCCCAGGGAATTTAAGATAAATATACTCACATCATTCTTTGTATTACAATTACAGTCAATGAAAAATGTAGAAGTCACAAGGCAACCAAGAGTGTGACCAAGAGAAGTTCAAGGGTGCAACATATCAAAATAATGTGGTTATTTACCTGTTCTTCAAAGTGTTTGGCCATTATTTTTATTTTATTTTATTATTTTATTTATTTATTTATTTAATTTTTAGAGACAGGGTCTCACTATGTTGCCCAGGCCATACTCAAACTCCTGGGCTCAAGCCATCCTCTAGCCTCAACCTCATCAATAGCCGGGACTACAGGTGCATGTCACTGTACCTGGCTTTGGCATCATTTTTATCACAGATACAGTTGTCTTGTTGTATAGGCACATTCAGTTGAAACAAATCCAAATACAGCCATATGCTCCAAATGGATTTGTGATTAACTTTTAAAAATGCCACAGCTAGTTCCATTAAAGAGTTTATGATCAAATCCACTACCAAATGTTTATATTAAAGTTAGGACTAAACATCTCAATGTGACAGAATAATGCTGCTATTAGAGCTATCATTCCAGAAGTTTCAACCCATAGTCTGTCTTCAGGATAATTTTAACTCAAAGTAAAAACCTGAGCCATTTTATGCAGTTCACAAATGTAACTGTTTACCTATGGGAAATAGCATTAGCTTGCTTACAATCATATAGCCCAGGCTATTGAAGTAAATCATCAATGATTTTTGTGTGTCGAATTTTGTTTAGAAGCCCCGCATGGTAAGCAAGAATCTCTTCAGGAAGGAAAAGGGAAGAAAGGTGAGACCGCACTCAAAAGAAAAGGTACAGCAGATAAAAATATATATAATTACATGTAATTCTGCATTTTATAACTATCTCAGTGAAAATAGCTAGATTTGTATAGTAGTATACATTGACCACTTCTCTCAGGCATTTGTAAATCATAAGCCCTTGCCAAAGAATATAGTCGCAAACTTTCTGCATCCTGGCGCTTACCAAAGGCCCTGCTGAGAAAAGTGATGCTTGCAGGGATAATTTAGACAATATCTAATATACAGAATATCCATTTATCAGAGATATTTTAGCTGTTATCCTTGGACTAAGCTGTGCCATCCGAAAGCTACATACTGAATCAAGTTTTCTTGGACCCCTTATTGGATTTCCTTCACTGATAAGCACTTCGGTAAAAAATAAAATAAAAATCTTACATTACCTTAGAACATTTACAAAACTAAGAAAGGAGCCTTGGTACAATACTGTTAACTAAAGCAGAACATTTAATTTTTGCCATCTATTTTTAGTGGAACTCTTGAAGTTTTTGAGACCTGTCTACATTTTTTTGTAATCCTTTAAGCCAGTAATTTATAAACAATTAAAAATATGAACTGGAGCTGGGCGCAGTGGCTCATGCCTGTAATCCCATCAGTTTGGGAGGCTGAGGTGGGCAGATCCTGAGGTCAGGCGATCAAGACCATCCTGGCCAACATGGTGAAACCCCATCTCTACTAAAAAAATACAAAAATTAGCCAGGCATGGTGGCACACACCTGTAGTCCCAGCTACTCAGGAGGCTGAGGCAGGAGAATCCCTTGAATCCGGGAGACACGGAGGCTGCAGTGAGCCAAGACTGCGCCACTGCACTCCAGCCTGGGTGACAGACTCTGTCTCAAAATATATATATATATTTTATATATATTTTATATATAGTATATATATTATATATAGTGTTATATATTTTATATATAGTATATATGTTATATATAGTGTTATATATTTTATATATAGTATATATATTATATATAGTATTATATATTTTATATATAGTATATATGTTATATATAGTATTATATATTTTATATATAGTATATATGTTATATATAGTATTATATATTTTATATATAGTATATATGTTATATATAGTATTATATATTTTATATATAGTATATATGTTATATATAGTATTATATATTTTATATACAGTATATATATTTTATATAGTATATATTTTATATACAGTATATATATTTTAGAATTTGAATTAACAAATGTTTACAGCTTGATGTAAGTTCTTGGTGTAACTACATACTGGCAACGGATTTTAATGGTTTTACTTTGTTCTAAATTGTATCTCATGCAAGGGATTTTAATTCTTATGACTTGTTTGAGTTTCTTCAGAGAATTTTTCAACCATCAAAGAGTAAAGAGAACCTTGCAAATATTTTAGAGAACTTTGAGTTACTTTCCCCACCCCCAACCCCACTCCCTGCTTTTTTAAAGAGTCATAAGTTCCCTGGAAAATTTATGTCATGCATACACCCTCAATAAGTGAACTTTTAAAAGCCTATTTATGAGGGGTGGTGTCCCTTTTACGGTATTTGGATATGTACTCTGTAACTATTTTTTAACAGTCAGGTACTTTTAAGTTATCTATTTGAGCATTAACAGGTTATTTTTATTGATTTTTTTTATTGAAAATTCTTTTGACCTGACATTCGTATTTGGTATTTACTTTGTATTTTTTTTCTTAATATTACAATTACATGGCCTCAGTTCTGAAATGCAAGCTATTAAGTCCAGCTTGTTTTTAGGTTAGGTTGGTTTGTCTTTTGGGTTTATTTTTATTTATTTATTTATTTATTTATTTATTTATTTATTTATTGTCCCTGACTGCTTCCCTACTGCCCAAGTATCTTACAACTTAAATTAATCTGGTGGCATTGCATTGCTTGCCTTTTTCAGTTAATTGTAAATGCCTATGGCTTTATCCATGCGACACTATCTCTAAAATATCAGCCTTGCAAAATTTTCTTCTGCATAACGTTTGATTATGAAACAATAATGTTTGATTTTAAGTTGTTGTTTCTTGTTTTGAAACAGGGTCTCACTCTGTTGCCCAGGCTGGAGTGCAGTAGTGTGATCATGGCTCATTGCAGCCTTGACCTCCTAGGACCAAGCAATCCTCCCACCCTAGCCTCCCGAGTAGCTGGGACAACAGGCATATGCCACCACGCCTGGCTAATTTTTGTATTTTTTTGTAGAGATGGGGTTTCAGCATGTTGCCCAAGCTGGTCTCAAACTCCTGGGCTCAAGCAATCTCCCCGCTTCAGCCTTCCAAAGTGCTGGGATTACAGGCCTGAGCCATCACCCCTGGCCAATTTTAAGTTTTTTATATAATTGTTTATTGTAAAGAATTTTGTTAAGAACAGTTTTTCTGAAGACTTATGTTTTCACTCAAAACTCACTAATGACTTTCCTTATTTTTCTAATTTAGTAGGCCAACTTTAATGTCCATTGAAATGAAATAAAACTTCCAGTTTTAAAAAAAAAAGTCCTCCACAACTTAACATAGCAGTGGAGGTGAAACTTTTATTATACCAATAATAACCTGGTATTATATTTTCTGAAGGAATATTATGCCCACTACATCATTCCGTGGCCCCTATATGAAATCCTAGGTGATAAATTTCGTTCAGAATCAAGGGACAGGAAAATGTCTCTTCCTCTGGGTGATTAGATAATGGGCGCCTCAAAATGAGAGCATTTTCCTTTGTGTTTTGGCTGACTAGAAGTTCAGAAAAAAACTCGTGGCTCAGGTTTAGTATCTGTGCAAGGACCTAGATCTCCATGTCTGCCTTCTAATTCCTCTCCTGATTTTGAACTTCTACTTTAAGTTATATTTTTCCTGACCCTAGTTTCATTTATGTTCTTTTTTCTATTTTACTTTATTTCTGTGAAATAGGGGGATATAATTTCTTTTTTTTTTTTTTTTTGAGACAGAGTCTTGCTCTGTTGGGGGTATAATTTCTAAAGTAATTGATAGCTGGTGAAAGAAAATCCCAGGCTCTAAAAAGCGTATCAGTTAGATTCATATTGAAGGTGCTGTAGCAATAAATTAACTAAAGATTGAAATGCAGTATGCATGCATGCAATTTACTTCTTCCAGGTTCATTCAAGGGGCATTGTCATGAAGTATGTGTCTTTTTTAAACTGTTCATCACAAATTGCCAGTGCTGTTGCAGTCCAAGAGTGTGTACTGTTCAAAACATAACATGCTAAAATCGATGTTTGGACATTCTCAAATGTCCAAACATTTTTGAGAATCATAACCATGATTCTCAAAGAGAATCTCACCCTTCTCTAATTATATGATATGTTGGGTTTGTATAACTAGAGCTAATTGGTGAGTTAACACTGAGATAAAAGTTTTAGTTAAAATTTTAAGGGCTATAATTTATGCTCAGCTCTCACTTGTTTACTAATAGAATAATTTTCATATTTTACATTACTCATCCCTTTTTTCTCATCAGGATCAAAAAAGCAAATGAAGCATCATTATAGAACCATCGAAAATAGAAATTAAAAAGACATGTATATTAGGTACCAAAGCATCAAATTAGACATAATTAACACATGCTCTAAGAGCATCCTTAATAAAAGCATACGGACTCCAAACAATTCATAAGCAAACACAAGTTCAACAGCAAAATATATACATTGGAGCCATGTAGTTAGCTCAAATTAACTACAAAGACTTCCAAATATTTTTTGCTTTTATTTTACTATTATATTGCATTAAATAATATTTGAAATATGTGAACTCTCAAGATTTAGACATCTTTATGTTACATATAAATCATGTGGTTTTGGACTTCCTTCATGTGAAAGAAATGATTTTATTTCTTAATATTTCAAATTAACTCCATTGCAGGTGAACACCATTAATTGTTCATCTGTTTATTTGATACCAATTATATTTAAAGAGCCTCTTAGTTGAGGAACCATCTATTTTTTCCTTTCTTCAAACTTATTAATTCCTGCTGTCGATGTCTTTGATTCATTTATATTCTTCTCTGCATATTAGATCAATCTCTACCCTTCTCCCTCCCAAGTCTTGACACTGAGATGCCATTAACAATGGTACTTAGAGTGTTCTTAAAAAAGATTTCACCTCCTCTTGAACCCATTTGCCACTGTCCCATTATGTTTCTTCATTAAACAATGGCTTTTCAAACATATAGCCTTACCCAGGAGAGATGTTAATTAGGAGCCAAATTTAGAAAGTTTTCAATAATCAACTAAATTCAGAAAATGCCAAGTTACATCAAGTTAAAATGTTTTTAATTACAGGATTTTTTTTTTCTATAACAATGTGCATTTCAAAGGGAGCAGGAGACACCATATGTAAGATCCCAGGGCATTTTGGCTGCAGAATTCTTCTCCCTTGGAGGAATATCTGTTGGGACCAGAGTTCTCTGGAACAAACACTTGGAAATCATGCCATCTTTAGTTCCGATGCTTTGCCACATGTATTAGTGTTAGTATTGTTCCAGTGCTTGCCTTCTGATTTGTCTTACAGGGTCAATTATTGTAGGTGCTACCAAGCCACTTAAAATAATAAATTTAGTATCAATGTTATAAGCATTAATGTCACAGGACTTTTCCTTAGTTCAGCTAAAGACGGGGTTCTTGTCCATCCCATGGCCATGAAAATTTAGGCTCACAGACGGCTTAAAGGGTGAGTAAAACAGGGTTTTATTGGGTGAAAAGGGAAAAAAAGAGGAAAACGGACTCTCGCAAGGCCAGAGTCCCTCTACTAGAGCCCTTCCTGCCTGGCAGTTTGAATCCCAGTTTCCACACAGGAAAAGGAGGGGCTAGGCTCCTCCCCACCGCAAATGATGTGAACTTCCCAAGGCTCCACCTTAGTGGGCAGGCTGGTTGGAGTTTCTCCAGGGACCCCCTGCCACCTGGTTGTCTCATTACCCTCTCTAAAGAAGTACATCTATCTAACTGTTGTTAGATTAAGGATAAGGACGAAGACCGATCTTAACGCTTCCTGCTGACAGGGGGCGCTGTTTTGGGGAAATGGCAGTCAGAGCTCCCTCAGAGGCCTATTTAAGGGTTCCCAGTAGAAGGGGCCATTGTCAGAGGCTCCAGTTTCATGGCTGTTTATAGTTTGATGGCCTGAAGGCAAGAGCAGACAAATGGAGTTATTAGAAAACATGTATTAAAACAAAACAAGGGGAGGGATAAGGACAGCTCAAGAATTCTGAGGCCTTTTACCAGTTTGCACAGGGAGAGGTAGGCCAAAACCCCAACTGGTTAAAAAAACTCTACTCTTTTGCTGGCATGTCAGGCTTCTGGGTTCCCTTCCCCTGAGCCCAATCCTAAGCCAACCAGTTTAAGGCTTGGGAAATAAACTCTTTCAAGTTTGGAGGATGCATCTGAGGGGAGTGTCCCATAGTACGGAGATGCAATTACCTATCTGTGAAGAGAGGACAGAGGAGGAGAAAGAAAAAAGTAGCACCTTTTAAAGGAGTCCCAGGGGGTCAGGATGCATTTGAAAGGGATACAGAGTGAAGATGAATGACCACCCATCTAGAAAGAGGGGAGCAGGCATCCCTGGTTCCCGTTTCTTCCTAGCAAATAACCAGGGTACATGAAGGAGAGGGAAGTGTGTCTACTTTCCCTCTTCCATACTTGCATCTGAGCGATTTTGGCAGGTCCCACCATGAGTGCCAAAGCACCTTGCACCCATGAAGCAGGGAGGGCCTAGAGAATAGGAATTATCTCCTCTTACCCATGTATGCCTTATCTCCCCTGCTGTCAGTAGCCTTGGAGTTTCCTAGATATCATTTATGTCATGGACACTAACGTGACCTTTATCCATGAAACAGGAAGCTTGGGGTTGGCTTAATCGGCAGGAATCAGCCACTCTCAGTTTTGCTGTGCCTTTTAACCTCTGTTGTCATTTGCCCCTGAATCCCCTAGATCCAATTTTCCTGCCTAGGGCTTTGACCCAAAGCTTGGAATTGAGTTTGGGACAAAAATGTGTCTCAGGGAGTTACATGGACTCCTTATCATAAGCTGAATTTTAAGGTGAGAGGAGAGGAAAGAATGTCTTGTGACACACCCAGATAACTGGTAGCTATAGTTATGCTTACTAAGATTTGGGTGCATGATGCTTGGCTTTGGTTAGCTGCCTTGGTCTTACTTTCCCAAAAAGGAAACCTCCGAGTCATGGGCATCCTATTTATTCCCATCACCTCAGAGGATTTGCAGGATAATTGCTTAGAACTAGAATATCGATCCAGATTTTTACATTACTCATCCCTTTTGTTCTTTTTGACCTGGAGCCAGAAATTGCTGGTTGGTTCACAGAAGCAAGCAGGGTTAGTCTAAAATATAGGGGAAAACTTAAAAACAACTAATGACTTGAGAATTTAACGACAAATGTGTAAGTTTTGAAACATGATTTCTCTCTCTCCCATCTTCATTTTTGTTAAAAAATCATCACAGGACTGAATGGTTTGCAAAATAGATTTTAGTCTTATACTTGGCCTGATTATTTGCATAAAGTGCAGCAAGAATAATTATTTCTGTGTAGGCCTTTTGGATTGGTTTTGATGGAAGTCTGTTCCACAAGGAATCTCAGATAAGACCTTTTAAAGCCAAGCCCAACCATGGGTTTGTATCCTCAAATACCTGTGAGGTGGGTGGCCCTCTTCTCTTATGGTCCCAAGATAAAGTTGGAGCTCCTGAACCTGTTAGAAAGTGGCATTAGTGACTTTTTTTTTTTGAGATGGAGTCTAGCTCTGTCACCTAGGTTGGGGTGCAGTAGCGTGATCTTGGCTCACTGCAAGCTCCACCTCCCAGGCTCAAGCGATTCTCCTGCCTCAGCCTCCCGAGTAGCTGGGATTATAAGCACATGCCACCACACCCAGCTAATTTTTGTATTTTTAATAGAGACAGGGTTTCACTGTGTTGGCCAGGCTGGTCTGGAACCACTGACCTCATGGTCCACCCATCTCGGCTTCCCAAAGTGCTGGGATTACAAGTGTGAGCCACTGCACCCAGCCAGAGAGTGACATTCTTTACTGACCACAGGTCAGGAACCCTGTACAAGGACTGCGTAGACGAAGGTATGAGCCTTTTATTGGCTCTGCAAGTAGAGATTTACTCCTTAAAGGGAAGCATACCCTTCCAGTCAAAGCCTAGGTAAAATAACCACTTTCTCCAATTGTGTCCTGTTGCAAAAGAAAAATGGATTTTTATTGCACTAATGCAAACAACTATATTTCCATAAGAATACTCATAGATAGGTTCTAAATTCTGGAGGAACCAGGCAGAGAGAAACAAACATGCTCCAAATTTTGATCATAGGAGTATACCTTGCTTACTCCTTAATTATTAAAGGCCATAAATAGTCAAAATAAGTTTCCTTGACTCTGAAAAACAAAATAAGGATCAGCAATATTCCAAGCAAAGTCAAAAAGTTTGCTTCAGCTTTCTGAGTTCAGTCCATTTAGTTCTTGCTTCACTTGATATTTATGAACATTTCAGCTATTCATGAGTCCTGTATGTTTTTTTATTCCAGTGTCACAATCTCCAAAGTTATCAGAAACCTGTGTTTGAGAGCATCTGTTAAAATTCTATAGCTCATTATAAACTATCTTTGAAAAGGATTAAAACAAGACAACAATTGTCTGTGGATAGCAAAATGTCCAGGGTAGTTACAGTTAGAAACATGATTGACAAAGAAGTTTGGTTTTCTCCACGGTTTTCAATAACTTAACATAACAACCTTAATTATGATTGATAGCATATACTTAGACATTAGAATTTTAGAAATTTTATACAGTTTTGGAACATATATTAGCATTATTCATCAAGATATAACCTAAAGAAGATTGAGCATCATTTTGGCAATCCCACGTACCTAAACCTGTCAAACAATCCTGTTTACCTCTCTTTTCTGGACACTTCAGGGGCCCTCTGAAGTATTCAAAAAGCCAGGTGCCAGTGAAGATAATTTTGATACTGAAGTTTGATTTTGGGAAGCCTTTTAAATATGTTTAAAGCACTTGATATTATTGAATAGAATTCCAGATTACCATAAACTATTTATTTTGCCAAAATGATGACTCAGAAATTTTAAAGAAGCAAAAACCTTTTATATCCCTTTACAAATTTTGCCAAAGAGCAGATTAGTGCCTTAGGAAAACCTTGTTATGCTTTTATTTCAGTGTTCAATTTACAGGAAAACCATATAATACCCTTTTTGGAATTTAGTTAATATGTTCACACAGAGAACCTTTTCTGCAAGATTAATTTCCACAATTATTCTACCACTTCTTTGAACCTTCAGCTTTTTCCTAATTTCACTCAATACAATCCTATAACCCTAGGCAAAGGTTTACATTTCCATGCCTTCTTATAACTGTTTACTAAAACACACATTTTACTGTTCTTACACATCTTGCATGTAAATCTATTTCTAGTAGTTTCAGTTAACTCCTATCAATTTTAACTTTAAGGTAAAGCTTGGTGAGTTGCTTTAATTGTGGGCTAAGTGTAGCCAAGGTTTGCCTTCTTAATTAAGGGTGTGGTTAGTTCCATATGTGCCCAGACCTTACCAATTGTGAAGCCGCATGTCAAATAGTTCTCAAAACCCAAAAAGCAGTCTGTAACCTTAAAACACTTAGCAAACCTTGCATCTGACCTGGATTTTACCAATAGTCTTTAGGGCTGTTTTTACTTCTTAAAGATTAAAGTCACGTGAAGTGAAAGGTACCACAGCTTTTAACTTGCCTTAAAAAAAGTATTTGATCCAAGTGCTTGTCTTTCTTTAGGCCGAATTAGTTAGAGATCTTTTCACAGACATCACACACAGTACATACATAGACAGGCAGAAGAAAATCCAGTTGCTGGGTGGGGTCCTTTAAGAGACAGAGTTAGGAAAACATGCAGACATTGAACCAGAGAGGGCTCATCCCCTAACACAGTATTGCTAAACAAAGCCTTGCCAAGTGGTTATGCCCCTAGGATGTAAAGCAAGATGGAGGCTTGCAGCACAAACCATACGGACATGAAAAGCACACAAGATTGGCCACAGCCCAAGACTAGCCCCACAAATCCTTTTTCAGAATTAAAGCTTTACAGAAAATATGAACAGTATTAGTTGAGGGCCTGGCCTAGTAAAGGGGGGTAAAAACTTTAAAGGTTAACTGCTGACAGGGTGGAGAAGAGGAAAGAAAAAAAAAAACAGTTTAAAAATGTCTGGGAAAGAACCTCTTACTCTTATGCAAGTTGTTCCTCCACCAGGGAGATGTGTTCAATTACTGTCCAATGGAGTAAAACCCTTTGGCTGGGGAAGGGGAAGGCTGTGGTGGCTTGTGGCTGGGAACCAGCCATCCAGCTGGTCAGGACCCTGGGACCATGCGTCCCAGCCCTGGCATGGGGCAGGGAGCATCGGGGAGCTGATGCTCACCCATCTATCCAGTAGAAAAAACGAAAAGGCCATGAAAAGACATGGGATTCATGGGGGTTGGGGACTTGGTTTCCCCCACCCTCAGAAGTCCAAGGATGAAAAGTCTTAGAAGCAACAGTGAGAGGTTTTTTTTTGTTTTTTTTTTCAAGGTTTTTTTTCTTTTATTATTATACTTTAAGTTTTAGGGTACATGTGCACATTATGCAGGTTAGTTACATATGTATACATGTGCCATGCTGGTGCGCTGCACCCACTAAACTCGTCGTCTAGCATTAGGTATATCTCCCAATGCTATCCCTCCCCCCTCCCCCCACCCCACAACAGTCCCCAGAGTGTGACGTTCCCCTTCCTGTGTCCACGTGATCTCATTGTTCAATTCCCACCTATGAGTGAGAATATGCGGTGTTTGGTTTTTTGTTCTTGCGATAGTTTACTGAGAATGATGATTTCCAATTTCATCCATGTCCCTACAAAGGACATGAACTCATCATTTTTTATGGCTGCATAGTATTCCATGGTTTTGAGTCCCCATTTCACTCACTGCTTCTCAAGTCCCATGTTGGGTGCCAAAAATGTTGCAAGACTTTTCCTTAGTTCAGCTAAAATGGGGTTCTTGTCTGCCCACAGCCATCAAAATTTAGGCTCACAGATGGTTTAAAGGGTGAGTAAAGCAGGGTTTTATTGGGTTAAAACGGAAAAAAGAGGGAAACAGGAACTCTTGCAAGGCCAGGCAGTTTGAATCCCAGGTTCCACACAGGAAAAAGAGGGGCCAGGCTCCTCCCCACACAAATGGCATGAACTTCCCAAGGCTTCACCCCAGTGAGCAGGCTGGTCCAGGGACCCCCTCCCACCTGGCTGTCTCATTAATGCCATTTAATTTGAAGGATCTGGAAGAACAGAGGAAAAAAGACAAAAGTGAAAGGAAATTGAAATAACTAGATCATCTATGAGAGCAGAGGCTCTTCAAGTATGGTTTTGGGACCAGCAGCATCTGCATCTGCATCACCTGGAAACTTGTTAGAAATATAGATACTCAGCCCCACCCGAGACCTACTAAATCTGAAATTCCAGGAGTGGGGACCAGCAGTTTTGTGTTTTAACGAGCCCACTAGAGGATCCTGATGATCACTAACATTTGAGAACTACTTTACTGGAGCCCAAGGCTGACTGCTCTATTGTAGCCACTGGAAAATCAGAAACATTCAATGATTTCTGGTGTATTATTTATAATATACCTCTTCCTCCAAATATTTAAGTTAAATTACAATAAAAAACATGTTTATAATAATGCTGTTGAAATAGAAATAAAAATCCAAAGCCCTGAAATGAGGAAATTAGCACATTCAGCTCAAAGACACAATGCTTATTGTGATGACTCCTTAATCAGAACAACCTGACAAGGTGATGGAGGAAGTATGATGGGTTTAAATTTTAACAGGATTAATTTCTAAAATAGATTTTTATCACCTGAGACCTTTAACAGAGGACAGTATGTGGCACAATATGCAAGGTCGTCATAGATTTATAGCAAATGCAAAATACATTGGGTTTCATTGGAAGGTTGATGCCACACATACAAAAGCTGGCAATTAATTTATGATTGATCACGGTTCTGGTAGCGAAATTCAACCATAGTCTTCTTTTATAATACAATTTATAAGCATAATAACAAACTACCTCTTATAAAGTACCTTTTATGTACCAGGCACTACACAAGATGATTTACATATATAATCTCATTAAGTTCTCACAATCATCTATGAAGTAGAAATTATCATTTTACCATGTCAAAGATGAGGAAATTGAGAGTCAAAATGAATAAAGAAGTGTTTTGTTAAGAACTGTTAACCTATGAGAAGAAAACAAAAAGCCTCTTCACTCTTTGGAGAATATTATCTACCCTCCCACATTAATTTGCACACTAAATTGCTCATAACTTCCCTGACTTTTGCCTCAATAATGTTACAATTGTTTAAATAAATTAAATAAATAATATTTCTGCTCTTAAGTACGAGTCTCTTAATGAATCTGTTTATCAGACTGAAGTTTAAAAAATTTTACCAGAAATTTTCCAAAAAGAAAATTGGTATGCAATATAAATAAAAATAATCTTAAAATCAATGAGCCAAGTAAATAGTAGTATAAGAACTTCTCTGAGTTTGCAAACTTCTAAGTATGAATCAAAAGAACATTTATCAATATGAACTACATCAATAGACACTAAAAGGCAATGAAGTATGACAATCAAAAGCATGGAGTCTACAGCCAGCCCGCCTAGACTGAAATTCTAGCTCTGCCATTTACCATATATGGGTTACCTCTGGCAAGTTACTGTACCTTAATATGCCTCAATTTCCTCATCTGTGAAATGGAGTAATAGGAGTATCTACTCATGTGGCTATTATAAAGAATAAGTACATGTGCAAAAAAGTAAATAGTACAGGGTCTGGCTCAGAATAAACTGTAAATAAATATGGAGTATTATTATTGGCCCCAGACCAAGTTACTAAAGACAGAGGGCAGAAAGGGGAATCCTTTGCAAAGCTGACCTGGAGAGTTCCCTCTTGTTATTGATTATAAAGGTGCTAAAATTAGGTTTTATAAGCAACCCCAGATAACCAGTCTCATTACTTTGTAGTTGTCCACATTCTGTATCTCCAGCTCTACGCAGAGTAACAGCATAAATTTTAGGACAGTAAGCAGAGAAAGCTTTCCCTCCATGAGCTTTTTCAGAATAGTTTTTCAACCGTGAGTTCTGAGAACACATGTTCAGTCTCTGGCTCCTTGCCTAACACCGGACCTCTTCTCTTCCTGGTCATGTTGCTTCAGTCTGGTCCATTTCTGAGCTAAAATTTTCATCTTATTTAAGACACTCTAAATCTCCACTTTGATTGCCATTGTTGGCAGCCCAGGCAGCCATTAGCACTGTTAACAAAAAGTTGTTCTTTGCTGAACATGGTTGACCCCCAAGGCAATAAGAAAGCTATCACTGTTAACTGATCTGGTTTCTATCTAGTGAAGCTGTTAATTAATTTAAGTCCTAGAGGATATATTTTGCAACAGAAAGGTAAAAATAATGCCTTTCTTAAAAGAAAACAACAACAACAACAACAACAAACACATAAAGCAGACTTTCCCTATCTTTTCCTCCCTCCTACAATTCTAACCTCCCAATCCTTTCACCTCCCTGAGGAAGGCCAATTTAATTTGAAAGTGTCTGGTTTTCCTAATGTCCTCTCATCAATTGATCCTCTTATCTTAGAATTAACTGTTTACTTTCTTAGTTGTAAATTTTGGTTCCAGCTCTTGACTTTTAATTACTCAGACCTTCACTGAGTTCCTATTATTATCTCTTTGCTCAAATCTACTGCTGTGTCACTTTGTCTTTGATTATTTCTTTATTTATACATTGATTTTTAAAATCCAGTGTTCTAAAACTGAATTTCTCTTTTTACTGCATTTTATTTTTATTTATACTCATTGCAGTGCCATGGGTTTCTGTGTGATACTATCAGGTTCTTACAACAAAAAAAATTGGTAATATGTACCTTCACCATATGCTAATCCATAGATTATTTTCCAAACTTTTCATCCATGAGCATGAGGAATAGTTACACTGAGGACTCAATGATCCAACTCTACAAGTGAAAGCAAACATCTTATTAGAAAATGAAGCCTTCATATGGTTGCATGGATGGTACTTAAAAAGTAATGCAGCTTGTTACATTTAAGATGTTGATAAAGATTTTGTTCAAAAGTGAATATTCACTAACGCATAGATACATTTTTATTCATTCAAATATTTTGCCCTTCAGTATTTTCATTGTTAAAAGTTACACAAAAGTTGTATGGAATCAAAGCACAATAGTCCAGAAATATTCCGACTCTCTCAGTTTTCACTGAACGATCATGATATTTAAGAAAAGAAAAAGAAACTCATTCCAGTCTCTAATTTATCATTACAAAGTTCTTCTTCTTAGGAATTTTGCTTAGATAAATTCATTTTAAATTGATCATAGAGTTATCATTTGTACTTCACCAGAGATTCAGGTCAAAGGAAAATCATTATTTAGAAAAACATATCAAATTGTGAAAATTGTCAGTTACTGCCTAAACAAAGACTTTCTTAAATTTTTCTAAATTTTATATAATTTAGATATAACTTCAGATCTATAGATAATAGATACTGTTTTTAAATATATAAGTAGAGATCACCTAAACTGCCCACAAGATATAATTAACAATTTCTCCTCTACTTATAATCTACTTATTTTTAACTAACATAAAAGCGGAAGATGTATTTGCTTTTCTAAACAGCATTATCATTAAATAATACTCATTAAAGATATATTTTGGAGGAAGAAAGTGCTCCTGGTTCTACAGGTGTCTGTAAACTGCATCTAAAAATTTCAATAATTAATCTAAAGGTAAGTGGAATTTTAAACGGAGTGAATTTCCAAACTGTAATAACTTGATCTTTTCAGGGAATATTAGTGCTCTCTGAGTTAAGGACCAAGGTTGTTCATACCATAGGGCGCCACTTAACAGATCTAGATTCCCCTCTTGATGTTATCAGGGAAAGTGAAGTGAATGTCCTTTTCGGATTCTGAATTGAAAATTAGACCTCCTCTTTCTCGTTTTCTTCCCAAGCACCCCCCCCCTTTCCTCCCCTCCCCTCCCCTTCCTTTGCTTCCCTTTCTTTTCCTTTTGCTTTCTCTCATGACTTGATTCTGCCAGGCTTATGCCACAGCAACTACCTTCATCTTTATTCCCTAACTGTAGCAAGAAATATAATTTCCCCACAGAAACGCTGTGTCATGTGCAGAGAATGTTCAGGGGCTTCAACAGCCCCTCTTCTCCTCCCCTGCATCCCTCACCTACTCCAGCTGACTCTTATAACATCCTCCTTTCTCTCTGCCCTCTAACCTGGTCTCCAAGGGATACCAAGAGCACCACTCATGTTCTAGCTACCTTCTTTCTCATTCAAGGTGGAGAGTTTAATTTGCCAGTTTTTGAAATAGTAAGTGGAATACAGTTTGTTCTAGAGTCTAAACTTTATAAAAGTCACATGTTCATTCTGAAAGCAAGGACAGATGAAAATAAAATATCAAATATATTAGCCACTTGGATAGGTTGGATTGCTTTAAAACATTTACTATTATTAATATTATTGGTTAATTTGGGGGCTGTGGAGAATAAGGATTTTTTGTAAGACTCCTCAAAAAAGCTTAAAAAGTAGTTAATGAATCACCTGAAGTCCATGGTAATTATAGATGTATTCATCTACCAGAATTCTGTCCCATTCATTTACTTGTATTGGAATAATTTGATATGCATGTTTAAGGTTCTCCTAAAGGAAAATCATCAGGAGGAAAAGTACCAGTAAAGAAATCACCTGCTGACTCTACAGATACATCACCTGTTGCAATAGTGCCACAGCCACCTAAGCCAGGATCAGAAGAATGGGTCTATGTGAATGAACCAGTTCCTGAGGTATGGCCATTTAGAATCAAGCTGGCAGAATTCATTCTTTCTCCTGCATATAGTAAGATTCACACTGTCATTTGCAACATCCTGAAGGCCTTTTACAGCAGGTAATATATATCTATCCATCTGAGATTTTTTTTAGAGACTACTCAATGACCCATATCTCATCCTTTCTCCTACTTGAGTTTCTGAGTCATGCTTTGAACTGCTATTGAGTGCTAAAATGGGGGGAACAAATGGGTTCTGTGAGGAACAATTTTCTTCTCAAGAACACACAGAGATGCAGATTCCTGGAAGAATGACTTCCCCAGAACACATATCCAGCAAATTTCTAGCCTTCTATTCATATTTTAATATCCCCATCACAATGCTTTTAAGTGAAGTTTAACCTTTGACTTTTTAGAAGTAGAAGAATATTTTTGAAGCTAACTAAACCCATGAAAGAACAGACAGCTATCTGACCTGGGAACGTTAATGGGTATGCTGGTGTAAGGCAAGGAGATGTCCCAGAGGAGCGCTGAAAGCTCCGCCTAGCTCAACTCGCAAGGCCCAGTTGCCATCTACTATTTTTAGTTGGCTTGACAGATGAATTCTCAGAAAGTCCACAGAATGGTCCTTCCTTTGAAACTTTTTAAACAGCAAAGAGCTTTTTAAAAGACAAGGTCTCCTTCTCCCTCATTCCAGTCCGCAATGATCTCTTATTCTGATGAACTCAGTAGCAACCATCTGTGCCAGGCATTTGAGACCCAATTATGAAATGCAACAATTGTGGTGTTGCTGTTATTATTGAGCTTTCCTAGGGATATGTCTTCTCTCCCAATTAAATTATAAACTCTTTGGCGAGGGTAGGAACATGGAATAATTCAATGTATTCAACACAAACACAGTAGAGAGTATGTAACAGATTCTTGATAGGTTTCTAATTGATTAATTAGCATTGAGAGTGAAATTAGAACAGAAAATATTTAAAATTGAGAGCATTAAGTGATATAATTATGGAGGTATGTAATTGACCTCACTCAGCCAAACAGAAGCTACTTTAATATATATACTAATATTAATATATATGTAGGTTCAAAAACTTACCATAGAAGCAAGATATAGAAGTGGGTGTTAGGAATAAGATAAAATTAAAATGATACAATATGGTAAGTGATGGGGAATGTGGGGCAAAAACACCTAAATTCATTCTTTAACTCCAAAACTTGAAGCCCTTGTAAGAAATAAATCTATAGAGGACAAGAGAGAAATAAAAAACAGGACTTTTTTTAAAACAAAATTAACATTGAAATATGGCACCAGCTCCATGTAGATCTTCCAGCATTCGGGATTCTATAGAAAACATGATAATTTGAGGAGAGTAGAATAAAAGACTATTTACACATGTGAAGGCAATAAGTATGGCAACCTACAAGGATTAGATTATTCCCTCCCCTCCAACAAGGGACAGCTGGGGGTCACTATGGCCCCTAGGCTGAGGAGGTGCAGAAAGGAAGTAGATCCTTGGGCCTCAAGAGAACTTCTGCACTTAGAGGGCCATCTGACAAGAGCTGTGGCCTTCCCCAGAGGGATGCAGTGCGACCCTGCAAACAGGAGCAGAAAAATACTCTGGCCAAGAAGATGGAGGGCGAGGGAGTTTCCTGAAGTACTTACGTACATTAGCCTCCCCAGGCACTAAGCAAGATGAAGGAAACTGGTGTGAAGGGACATGGAAGATGTGCAACACAGACCTCTCATTTCCTATGTAAGGCCAGGTAGCAAACACCTTTTGCTACAGCAAAACATGCCCAGTCTAGTTCGTTTCCACTCTGGACTCCCCACACGTGAACTGCCGAGTTTACCTGCTGATATGGTTTTGCTGTGTCCCTACCCAAATCTCAACTTGAATTGTGTCTCCCAGAATTCCTACGTGTTGTGGGAGAGACTCAGGGGAGATAATTGAATCATAGGGGCCAGTCTTTACCATGCTGTTCTCGTGATAGTGAACAAGTCTCACGAGATCTGATGGGCTTAACAGGGGTTTCCGCTTTTGCTTCTTCCTCATTTTCTCTTGCCGCTGCCACGTAAGAAGTGTCTTTCACCTCATACCATGATTCTGAGGCCTCCCCAGCCATGTGGAACTGTAAGTCCAATTAAACCTTTTTCTTCCCAGTCTCAAGTATGCCTTTATCAGCTGCATGAAAACGGACTAATACACCTGCCAAGGAAGGGGAAGACAGATGCCCAGTTCAACTTGGATTTCAGTTAAACAAATTTAACTGAGAATCCTGTACTTTATCTGGTAACCCTGTTTCCAGACCTTCTAAGGGCCCCAGGTAAACCTTACTTCAACAGACAAATGATGGGAGAGAGATTGAAAAGAGAGGCTGCTTCCATATAGCATTCAGGTAGCAGCCAAATGTGAGGAGATCCTGGGATCTCTTCCTTTTGCCAGCCACAAGAGAAGGTGCAGAGAGAACGCAGAAGGCAGTTAGAGTGAGAGGTCTTTGCTTCCAGCCTGTAGAGTCACAAGAGCAGCCTCCCAAGACCAGGACTCCACGAAAAGAGGCAGCCATGCCTCGGGCCATGTGGCCCATGTAGTGCCCTCACTCACATTCAACCAACCTGTAGCAGCACTCCTCCCTGAAACTGGGCCCAGGGGCCACAGGGCCATGTGTGCTGAGTTTGGAAACCTGTCCTCCTTCAGGAGGCTGACAGACATAGGACTCTACGGCCAAAAGTATAACTCAGATTAAAGCATAGCTTTTGATCAATTCTCTACTGGCCTTGCTGACAATTTCAACGTTCAAAATATAGAGGGGGCTATGGAGGACTTCTGCTTCGAATTTAGTACTGACCAACAAACATGGACAGTTAGGTAAATGGAAATGATCAATCATTTAGGAGAAAGTACTAATAAAGGAGGTGTAATAGTAAAGGAAGGATCTGGCAGAACATAAGAAACATGTGCCCTAGTTATCAGGAAAGCATATTTCAAACCTATAGTGAAATCATAATTGGCCTCTAAACAGGAATAAGGCTCTAAGAGAAATGGATGGGCTCAAATCAGAAGAAAATTTGCCCTTAAAATCCCGATTATGTACCAAAGAAACTAATGTGATCCCAGGGCATTTTACAGGGGAGAAGAGCAGTAGGCGGGGGATACTCAAAAAATTAGAGAAAATTATGAAAGGATAGGAATTTAGTGAGTGTCTAGCCCATCGTAGGCACTTGAACATTGAAAGAATACAGTCAAGGGTATGTGTATATGTCTCTGCCAAAATGCCAAAAATGAAAAGATTTGTAGTTACATTGTCTAAGAAGATAATAGAAGACTGAAAATGGAAACCCAGCTTGGGTAACCTGAAATCATCTTAAATGAGAAAAGAAATGAAGTCAAATTAATCAATGGTAGTAATAAGGTTTTGTGAGTCCTAAAGACTTGGTGGACCCTCTTTAAGAAAAAAAGCACAAAATTGCAAATACAGAATCAGTCATGAAGTCAATATTTATTTAGAACTGATTTGTATTCAGTTAAGAAATATTTTTATAACTGGAAGAAACAGACAAGCACACAAACACTTTTTAGGTGCCCAGTACCCCTCTATTATTCTTTATCTTTGCAGGTCTTTACATATGACAATGATTTTGTAAGCTCATTTTCCTATAGAGAGAACAGAAAGATAATTGAGGCTTCCCTCTAGCAAGCTTCATTGGATTTTTTAGTATTGATAGTTAGAACATTTTCTTTTAGCTTCATAACTCATTATGGAAGGAAATGTGACAGAGAGGAAGTCAAATTGGAAAAAGACAGAAGACCTGACCAGTGGTACTTGAAGATGAATCTGTTGCTTGTGTGAGCAAATTACTAGGCTCCTCTCAGGAACTTGGATGATGCCTGTGTAAAGTGAGGGTCTCTGAAACTTCAGAGAATACTGCCTTGGCTACTGAATTCCTACTATGATTTTGTGTTCCCTAACAAAGGGAAAACTATTTAATTGCAAAGTACAGCTCTGAGCACCTCATTACATCTGTAAGTTCAAGTTCCAAGACCAGAAAAATTACATCTCAGGGGCTGGAAGAACCTACAGATATTACATTATCCATGACTCACAGAAATCACAGAGGGTACAGGGGATTCCAGAAAACTAGATGCAGGCAAATGCCTAAATACTTAAGAAAAGGCAGTGGGACTTAGTAACATACAGACCAATAATTTATACATTAATTATTGTTGTAATTTAAGAGCAAATTATTAAACACATTACTTTTGAGCACTTATAAAGATGATCATTTGGAGCCTGCACAGCAAGAATAAGTCTTGTTGAGCTGACCCATTCCTGCTCTAGCCTTGAGAGCAAGGCTGGATATGGGGATCAGGGAGTACCATAGATGTAGTATCTCTTGAGTTCAAAATAGTATTTGACAATTTCTTCATGAAATCATTGTAGAGAAATGAGGGCTGTGAGCAGGATATTAATTCAGTTCGACCCATTCTTAGGAGGCAACTCTTCATGCACACAGTGTTGATTAATGGATTGAAGTTGACCAGGAGGGAGGTTTAGTGGTGTGCTTTTTAAAAATGGTCTTTAGCACCACTATGGATATCACTTTTTTTAAGAGAGATTATGACAAACTAGAAACCAGAGAGAGAAGTAGGTCAGGAAAGGGTGTTGAAATAATGTTAGAGGGGCATTAAAAGAACTGTAAATGTTTAATTTAGATACATGAACCCTTAAGGTACGGTTAGACATACGATCTTAGGCTTTTAGAACTATTTGGAGCCATACAGTCTCCAAAAAATTTAATATGATGATAAAACTGGGTTCAAATGAGCCTGGTTATATCCATATTAACATTTATTGAGCACCCATTATGTGCAAATGCTGTACTCAGTTCTGGGAACATGAAAGCAAGCAAGCTGCAATTGCCATGTCCAAGGACACAGTCTACTTGGAGACAGAGGCATAAACAATAGTTGCCCCTTATTTGCAGTTTCACTTTATGATTTCAATTACCCACAGTACAGTACAATGAGGTATTTTGAGTAAGAGAAAGAAAGAGCCTACAATCACATAACTTTTTTTACAGTATATTGTTATAATTGTTCTATTTTATTATTAGTTAATATTTTACTGTGCCTGATTATGAATTAAATTATATCATAGGAATGTATGCATAGGAAAAAACATTGTACATATAGGGTTTAGTACTATCTTCAGTTTCAGGCATCCCCTGTGGGTCTGGGAACATATCCCCCCCTGACAAATGGAATTTCTGTAAGCAACCAATTACAACACAGGTTTTTTTTTGTTTTTTGTTTTTTGTTTTTTTTTGAGATGGAGTCTCGCTCTGTCACCCAGGCTGGAGTGCAGTGGCATGATCTTGGCTCACTGCAAGCACCGCCTCCCAGGTTCATGCCATTCTCCTGCCTCAGCCTCCTGAGTAGCCGGGACTACAGGCGCCCGCCACCACGCCCGACTAGTTTTTTGTATTTTTAGTAGAGATGGGGTTTTACCGTGTTAGCCAGGATGGTCGCGATCTCCTCACCTCGTGATCCACCTGCCTTGGCCTCCCAAAGTGTTGGGATTACAACACAGTTTTGTAGTTTCCTCTATAACAAGACTGTAAACTGTCATAACAACTTAGAGGAGGGAATAATACATTTTATTTAGAATATCAAAAAAGGCCCTCACTGCAAATTACCTTTTAAAGTATGAGTTCATTGGGTAGGGAATATTATAGGAAGAGAGAATCTCAGTCTGAGAGATTGTCTCAGTGCATCAGGAGCAGAAGGTTTAAGGACACAGCTTTAGGAGGCAGTTCACAGGAAGGCAGGTGCCAGATTTAGAAGGATCTTAAAATCTGTGCTGAAGTGTTTGGACTTCATCTGCATGGTAGTGGAAACCACGGAATGTTTTTCAGCAAGAAAGTAACATGTTGGAATAATTTTCACTACAGTAACTCAGAGAGACAGTACAGTGAATTGTTTAAAAAAAAAAAAAGTGGATTGTGACTGGTCTATGTTCAAATCCCAGCTATGTCACTCAGCAGCTACATGACCTTGTACAAGCTGTTTAACCTCTGTTGCTTCAATTGCCTCATCTTTAAATAGTAAGAGTAATAGAAACATATCTTTTAAGTTGTTGTAGGACTTTAATGAGTTAGTCCACATAAAGCCCTTTAAACAGAATCTGGCACAAAGTAGGTTCTAAATAAGTGTTCATTGTTTTAAGAATAGAAGGTAATTCAAGGATATTGAAAGGAATCACAGAGACCTGTTTGGAGGCCCCTATACTGCTCTAGACAAGAACTAATAAAGGCTTGAAGGAAGGCAATGACATAGGGAAAGAGGGAGGAAGGGATAGAATCTGGGAATGGTTCAGAAACTGGGTCTTACCCACTTCTCAGATGTCATCTTTCTCCAGTCCTACTTTGTTTCACCAAGCCCTGCAAACACTAGCCTGCATTCTCTCCGTTACATATGCCAAGAACATTCCCACCACAGTGCCTTTGCATCTGCTGTTCCTTCTGCTCAGAGTGCTCTTCCCCTAAATCAGTGGTGTCCAATCTTTTGGCTTCCCCGGGCCACAAGGGAAGAATAATTCTCTTGGGCCACTCATAAAATACACTAACACCAATGGTAGCTAAGGAGCTGAAAAAAAGAAAATCACAAAAACATCTCATAATGTTTTAAGGAAGTTTACGAATTTATATTGGGCCACATTCAAAGCTGTCATGGGCTGCCTGTGACCCACAGGCCATGGATTGGACAAGCTTGCCCTAAATCTTCCTTCTTCTCAATGCCAACTGCAATGCTGCTTAATGAAGAGGCCTTTCCTGACCATGCTAAACAAAGCAGCACCTCTGTCACTTCACAACACTTAGTATGTGAATTGCTTTCTTTTTTTTCTTTTTTTTTTTTTTTTTTTTTCAGACAGAGTCTCACTCTGTCACCAGGCTGGAGTACACTGCTGCAATCTCAGCTCACTGCAACCTCCGCCTCCCGGGTTCAAGCGATTCTCCTGCCTCAGCCTCCCAAGTAGCTGAGACTACAGGTGCATGCCACCACGCCTGGCTAATTTTTGTATTTTTAATAGAGATGGGGTTTCACCATGTTGGCCAGGATGGTCTCAACTTCCTGACCTCAAGATCCACCCACCTTGGCCTCCCAAAGTGCTGGGATTATAGGCATGAGACACCACGCCCGGCCATGAATTGCTTTTTTATTGGCTAATTAAGTTGCCTAGGTCTTTACTACTTACCTTCTTACTGATTTTCCTAATTACTTATTACTTCTTCACTGTTTCCTATCTTCTATATGAATATAAGCTCCTAAAGCCAGCAACTCTGCCTTATTCACCACAAAATTTCTAGTACCTAGGAAAGTACCTACCTACATAGGATGACCACTTAGTGAATAATTTTTGGTTGATTTACTCATTGGTTTGGACAAAGTAAGACACATAAGTAATGATAGAATGACTTGGATCAGATCTCATGTATCCTGAATCCCAGTCTTACTCTCTCCTCACTAATGTTACCAGTCTTCAAATATCTGACAGGCTGCCATAAGAAAGTTAGTGTGAATGTAGTCTGTCCTTCTCCAAAGAGAATAGCTAGGACTGAGTGGAAATTACAGAAAGACAAATTTCTGCTCAACAGAAGAAAAAGTTTTCCAGTAACATGAGTTGTGCAACACTGAAGGAGGCTGCCTTGAAATTCTGTGCTTGATACATACATGAGGTCCACAGGGAGATTAGATAATGTATCTGTAGCATTTGGCATTTCTTGATTGGAGAGGAAATTAGCCCAGATGACCTCTAAGGTCTCCATGTGTAATTCCCTGAGTGAATAAATGCGCAGCCAATAAGGGAATAATGAGTACAGCAAGAATATACTAAATATAATATGGATCCTCAGCTTTATTCATTTAGATTATTTCTTGGTTTTGATTGTTTATTTGCATTATTAAATAAAATATAAAAGAAGCTTTCTGATTTTCATTATGCACACAGCAATGAAAGAACCTTCTAAATGTAATCGGAGAAATAACTCATCATCACACTGATATGAACACTACGTGTTCTTCATGCTAGACAGTTTCCTAACTGAGACAAAATGTGTCACCTGTGATGATTCAATTTATTCATTCAATAACTATTACTTCAGGGACTACTATGTCCCAAACACTATGGTAATTAAAGAAAAGATGGCATGAGAGGACTTCAAAAGGCTTGTGGAAAAATTGAATTAAAAGATAAAATTAAAAAATAAGCCTTATTTCTCAACGTAAGCTTCAAGATTAAGACACCTTTGTAGGAGATAATACCAACAATGCGGTCCATCCTTAAGGAAATGAGGGTCCCAAGAGTTGAACCAAGTCAATGCAGTCTTTTTTACATTATTTATTAAATAAAATGGATACCCTTTACAGATATTTTAAGATTAAGAAAAAGAAGAAAGATGGAGCCAAATCAGAAATATAAGGTGGATTGTATTAGTTTGTTTTCACAGTGCCATAAAGAAATACCCAAGACTGAGTCATTTATAAAAGAAAGAGGTTTAATTGACTCACACAGTTACACATGGCTGGGGAGGCCTTAGGAAACTTATAATCATGGCAGAGGGGAAAGCAGGCACATATTAACTACATGGAGGCAAGTGACAGAGTGTGTGTGTGTGTGTGTGTGTGTGTGTGTGAAAGAGGAACTGTCAAACACTTATAAAACCATCATGTCACATGAGAACTAACTCACTATCATGAGCACAGCATGGGGAAACCCCACCTTATGCTCCAATCACCTCCTACCAGGTCCTTCCCTTGACACATGGAGATTATGGGGATTATAATTTGAGATGAGATTTGGGTGGAGACACAGAGCCAAACCATATCATGGATGCCTAATGATTTCCCATCAAGAGTTTTACAAAATTGGTCTTGTTTGATGAGGGGAATGAGCAGGAGAATTGTTTTGGTGGAGAAGAACTCTTTGGTGAAGCTTCTCAGTTGTTTTTCTGCTAAAGCTTTAGCAAACTTTCTCAAAATACTCTCATAATAAGCAGATGTTATTTTTCTTTGGCCCCTCAGAAACTTCACAAAATGCCTGGAGCATCCAAAAAAATAAAAAAAAACACTGTTGCCATGACCTTTTCTCTTGACCCAGTCTGCTTTTACTTTGGTTGGACCACTTCCACCTCTTGGTAGCCATTGCTTTGATTGTGCTTTGTCTTCAGGATCATACTGATAAAGCTACATGTCATCTCCTATTACAAATTCTTTGAAGAAATGCTTTAGAATCTTGACCTCACTTGTTAACAATTTCTTTTTTTTTGTCATATCCTCATTTATTAAACTTACGTATATTAAATGTCATTACTCACCACTGTTCTCTCTTCTTTCACCTTGTCTCTCTTATGATTTTTTTTATTATACTTTTAAGTTTTAGGGTACATATGCACAATGTGCAGGTTTGTTACATATGTATACATGTGCCATGTTGGTGTGCTGCACCCATTAACTCATCATTTACATTAGGTATATCTCCTAATGCTATCCCTCCTCCCTCCCCCCACCCCACAACAGGCCCCGGGATGTAATGTTCCCCTTCCTGTGTCCAAGTGTTCTCATTATTCAATTCCCACCTATGAGTGAGAACACGCAGTGGTTGGTTTTTTGTCCTTGCGATAGTTTGCTGAGAATGATGGTTTCCAGCTTCATCCATATCCCTACAAAGGACATGAACTCATCATTTTTTATGTCTGCATAGTATTCCATGGTGTATATGTGCAAAATTTTCTTAATCCAGTCTATCATTGTTGGACATTTGGGTTGGTTCCAAGTCTTTGCTATTGTGAATAGTGCCGCAATAAACATACGTATGCATGTGTCTTTATAGCAGCATGATTGATACTCCTTTGGGTATATACCCAGTAATGGGATGGCTGGGTCAAATGGTATTTCCAGATCTAGATCCCTGAAGAATCGCCACACTGACTTCCACAATGGTTGAACTAGTTTACAGTCCCACCAACAGTATAAAAGTGTTCCTATTTCTCCACATCCTCTCCAGCACCTGTTGTTTCCTGACTTTTTAATGATTGCCATTCTAACTGGTGTGAGATGGTATCTCATTGTGGTTTTGATTTGCATTTCTCTGATGGCCAGTGATGATGAGCATTTTTTCATGTGTCTTTCGGCTGCATAAATGTCTTCTTTTAAGAAGTGTCTGTTCATATCCTTCACCCACTTTTTGATGGGGTTGTTTGTTTCCTTCTTGTAAATTTGTTTGAGTTCTTTGTAGATTCTGGATATTAGCCCTTTGTCAGATGAGTCGATTGCAAAAATTTTCTCCCCTTCTGTAGGTTGCCTGTTCACTCTGATGTAGTTTCTTTTGCTCTGCCGAAGCTCTTTAGTTTAATTAGATCCCAATTGTCAATTTTGGCTTTTGTTGCCATTGCTTTTGGTGTTTTAGACATGAAGTCCTTGCCCATGCCTGTGTCCTGAATGGTATTGCCTAGGTTTTCTTCTAGGGTTTTTATGGTTTTAGGTCTAACATTCAAGTCTTTAATCCATCTTGAATTAATTTTTGTATAAGGTGTAAGGAAGGGATCCAGTTTCAGCTTTCTACATATGGCTAGCCAGTTTTCCCAGCACCATTTATTAAATAGGGAATCCTTTCCCCATTGCTTGTTTTTGTCAGGTTTGTCAAAGATCATTGTTAGTAGCAGACAAGAGCAAAGCTTTCAACAGAAATTGTTAACAAGTTTTGACAAACTTGTTAACAATTTCTATTGAAAGCTTTGCTCTTGTCTGCCGCTAATCTGGGCACAATGGTTTTGACATCCATCTAGGGGAAAGTTTGCTCAACTTTAATTTTTAGTCAGAGTTGTGCAAGCTGAACCAATTGAGATGTCTGTGGGGTTGGCTATTGTTCTGCTGTTAATCATTGGTCCTCTTCAGTGAGGGCACAAAAAGTTAATTTTTTCTTTGAAAATGGATATGGATTGGTCTACTGCTGCAGGCTTCATCTTCAACATTATCTCGTCTCTTCTTAAGATCAGTTAGTAAACTGCTAATTTCTTTGGAACATTGTGCCCATAAACTTTTTGTAAAGCATCAATGATTTCACCATTCTTCCTCCCAAGCTTTACCAGCAATTTGATGTTTGTTCTTGTTTCAATTTTTGCAGAATTCATGTTGCTCAGATAGAGGCTCTTTTCAAACTGATACCTCGTCTTTCTCAGTGTCTAAAACTACATCGTCTTCAGATGTGTTCAAACATGTTATAAAAACTATGCATTAATTTTGAAATTTTGAATTTTGAATTTCAAAATTCATGCATAGTTTTTTCATAATATGTATTTTTCATAAACTTTTTGAAGAGTCTTCTTATAATGGTAAACAAGACAGTTTCTGTGTTTATGGGACTGCCATTCTAGAGATGAGTATAGACAAGTAAATGATGATGTTACAATTAACGTCATCAGTGTTATGATGGGAAAAGTACAGGATGCTAAGGGAGAACCTCAGAACCTCAGTGGATGACCTTGCAGACTTGTTGTATCTGGGTAGGATTTCTGGAATAAACAGTTATTTTTTTTAGATGGAATTTTGCTGTTGTTGCCCAGGCTGGAGTGCAACAGCATGATCCTGGCTCAGTGCAAGCTCCGCCTCCCAGGTTCAAGCAATTCTCCTGCCTCTGCCTCCCAAGTAGCTGGGATTGGCACATGCCACCACACCTGGCTAATTTTTTGTATTTTTAGTAGAGACAGGCTTTCTTGATGTTGGCTAGGCTGGTCTAGAACTCCTGACCTTAGGTGATCTGCCCACCTTGGCCTCCCAAAGTGCTGGGATTACAGGCATGAGCCACCACCACGACCGCCCGCCCCCAATTTCTGGAATAAATAATATCTGGGCTGAGACATGGAGGATTATTTGGAATATGAATTTGCTGGAGTGGGAGGCGTGTGAGAGAAGAGGAGCAAGAAGTCTCACAGGGAATGCTTTATGTAGTTGCAGTTGCATCTTGACCTTTTTGCTTGGGACTGTTCTTTTGACACTATTATTCAGAAGAACTTTCATTTTGAAGTAACAGTTTCTACACTTTACCATTTAACAGGAAATGCCTTTGTTTTTAGTACCTTACTGGGAACTAATAGAAAATTCCTATATAAACACCATCAAAACAGTACTCAGGCATCTGAGGGAAGACCAGCATACTGTGCTTGCTTACTTATATGAGATTAGGTAAGTAATGTTTCCAAAGTCAGAATTTTACAGTTTAGAGGCATGACATATAAAATTTATCTCATTCTATTAATGTCTACAGAACAAGTTTCCAGGAGTTTCTAAAGCGTCCGGATCACAAGCAAGATTTTGTAGCTCAATGGCAGGCTGATTTCAACTCCCTTCCTGATGACCTGTGGGATGATGAGGAAACAAAGGCTGAACTACATCAACGAGTGAATGTAAGGAAATAGTGACCTATTGGGACAGGGTTAGCTGGCTTTCATATCTTGTCCTGCAAAACCCCAACTCATTTGCTCCTTACTTTTGTGAAGTATGAGGATGAGAAAGAAAATGGTTTGAACTATTAACCAGGTAACTTTCAAGAGCAGTGGCTTTTCCGCACTTTGAGTTTAGAATGAGAATACCATAGCAACACTTCTGGAAAGAGGGGCCAAAGTCCGCACTGCGAGAACATTCTGGGCATCTGTCTTGTAGATTTCTAGTCCCTTAGTCTCTTTGTGGGTCAATGTAACTGTGCTTATGCCTGATGTTAATCACATTCCTTTCTTGAGCACAGTTACACATTTTGTTGATAGCAAGGAGAAGAGGAATGAGGGAATGACATGGAAAACCTAGAATTACCTCTATTGAATAGATCTCTTAAGGGCTGGTACTAAATACTACACATCTTTGTATCTCCAGCAAGCACAATTCCTGGTAGTGCCCCAGCAAGCACAATAACAAGCAGATTTTCATAAAGTCATGAGTGAATTATATTACCCTGATGCTTTAGAAAGGGGCCTCTGATGTACAAAAAGCCTGATTTCATTCTCTTGCCCTTCATCTTTCATTTTAAATTGACACACCCCCCCTTATCCCATCAGAGGGATACCTTGCCACTACCTTAAGTATAGATTACTAACAGTCAAAACTGATTATAACCTAAATATTGATTTATGTAATTAAAACATTGCCAATCTCAAACCCATGCCCCATTCATTTGGTCAATAAATACTTATTGAGCATCTATTATGGTCCTAGCACCATTAAAGAGGCTAGGGATTCAGCAGTGAACAAAATAAATCTGTGACCACAGAGTGTTTGTATCCTTGTGTCCAGGAGACACAGAATAAGCAATAAACAAATAAGCATATAGTGAATGTGTCCTTAGTCATAAGAGCTATGTAGAGAGCAAGAAAGCAAAGCAAGGGGAAAAGAACGTTGGATGTACCATTTTGTAAACAGTGGCTGTGGAAAATCTCACTGAGAAGGCGACATTTGAACAGACTGACAACAGAAGTGATTGGGTAAGCCATGTAAATATTTGGAGAAAGGGTGTATGAAGCACATATGAAAGCAAGAGCGATGGCACTGAAGGGGGAGGACACTTGGTGTGTTTGAAGAACAGCAAGGAGGCTGGTATGTCTGGAGCAGAGTGAGCTAGGCAACAGTTGGCTGATGATATGGTCAGAGAGATTGTTGGGTAACCAGATTACCTAAGTCCTTGGAGGTTATTATGAGAATATAGCTATTGATCTGAGTGAGACAGGAAGCATTGCTATCTGGTTTTAAAAGAGTCTGCAGTAGAGTAAAAACAGCAGGAAGACACGTTGGAACCAGATGGGAAACTTTTGCAATAGAAGCAAGGCGTCATTGTGGCTTGGGTGATAGGGTGGTTGCTGAAGGGTTTAACCCAATAGGTATTCAAATGTCCTGGTAAAATTGAAGTATTTTGCCTATTCTTTGACACTCCTCAAAGAGTAATTCATATCTATATAAACCCTACAACTTTTTTTCTGTTTTCTTTTTCCTACCTATTCATAAAGCCAGCCTTCCTGTATACTTCTTCCTCCATGTTAGTCAGGTGATTGTTGGCAGAGAATGAGAGGATTTGGAAATTTAAAATATCTTATTTGGGATTTCCTTTTTCCTAATTCCAAATGCGACATATGTTTATTGTAGATAAATTAGATAATAAGAAGCAAAATTTAAAATGACAAATCCCTAATAGTCAATGGTGGTTGTTTTTACAAAAATTTGATAGCAAAATATGTATTGTTTTGTAACATTCTTTTTAAGTCAATAGAACATGTTTTCTTTTTCAATAAACATTCATCTACAACATCATTTTTATGACTAAAGGATATGACTAGTGGACTATATCATTTATTTTACAGATTTCTATGTTTAGTCACCAGCTTATTAACAGTTTCTTGAGCACCAACATTTTATTACAGAGAATTTTACAGTAAAATTTCATCCAGCTAACTGTTGACCACATCCTTAATTATTTCTATGGGCAAACTTTTTTAAGTGAAACTTGTTTAAGATTATGCTTATTTTTAAGGTTTTTAAAATATACTAAAAATTTACAAATTTGAAAACTTTACACAGTAAGAACTTGTAAATTTTACTCAACTAACAGATTATGCAAATATCAGATTTGTATATTTTAAATTATACAAATATTTTAAATCTAAATTATTAGATTTATATCAAATATTAGATTCTTTTTTGTTAATCTTTGCCAATTTAATGGGTAAAAATATGAATATATTCCTATAATTTACATTTTTTCCTCAATTTACAATGGAAGTTGACCATTTTCTCCTAAGTTTAATGGTCATTTATTTTCCACCTCCTGAAACCTGTTTGTGATTTCTGCCCCTTTTTCTGCTGGAGCATGCTCTGTTCCTTACTGACTTCTAAGATCTTTGTATATGTTAAGGAAACAAGCCATCTGTTGATCATATAGTATATATATATTCCCAGTTTGATGTTTGAGATGAGTTTTAATATGCAGAAGGTTTTTAATGTTTATATTGATAAATAAGGAAATTTCCTTTATAGCTTTTTTTGTGATCAATTAAAAAATACTTCACCCCAAGATTATATAGAAATGTAACACAATTTTAAATAATTTTATAGTTCTTTATTTTACTTTTAAATATTTAAAGTATTATGTTACTTCAATAGGAATCTCATTTTATTTTTTTCAGAAAGTTAATCCAATGATGTGAGAAGACTCTAAAATATATTAACATAGACTTACATATAATATATACATATATATTATATGTGGATATTTAGCTACGTGGTTAGATATGGTGGACACACTCCCTTTTATTTTTCTTCACTTATTATTAGGCATGGAAGAATAGAAATAAATATAACTTCAAAAAGAAGTTAGAAAATAAAGCTGAGGAAAGGAGAAAGGAATTAATGAGGATAATTCTTAAAAACTTGGAATTAAATTTAAAATTTGGAAATAAAACATATTAAACTTAAAATTCAATCCAGGCAATAAAGGCAGAGAAACCTCTAGAAAGAATAGTCAAGGGAAGAAAAATAAACTTTGAGTAGAAATTTGGATATTAGAAAATATCCATGGATACTAGAAAACAACATACAAAATTTCTACTTGGAAGGTTCAGTAAGTTTTGGCCAAATCCACCTTATCAAAGATATGATAACATTTTTAGCAGTGGATCTTCAGCAACAGTATACAGTAGAGAAACTTCTGAAGTTAAGTTAAAAAAATAAATAAACCTGCCTTTGCTTCATGCCCTATGACCAAACTCATTAGATTTAGTATAAATCCTTGTATCACATTTATTTTTAAAAGGGTACAGGTAATTCTGATTGAAATAACCACTCTATTCCTTTTTTTTTTAACATTTTTATAGCTAGATGATCTTGTAAAAACTGGTGAAAGTAAGTGAAAAACTCCTGTGACTATTACATTTCTATCCATTTTCCTTGCTACAGTTTTTGATTTTCATCAGTTTTAAGGCAGCAACAGTAATAGCTAAATGCTGAGCATGCACTATGTTCTGGCACTGTCTTTTTCATCCCCACAACCACCCTCTGAGGCAGGCACTAGTAATACTCCCATTTTATAGATGAACAAATATGGTAAAGAAGCCAACATAGTAAGCAGTAGTGGGATTCTGTGCCCAAGTTGCCCTGTTCCTCATTATGGTATAAAATCTTTGCATCCTAAGTGCTTTTTGTCTTAAATTTGACTTCTACCTGATATCAATACCATAAACCTTGCTTTATTTTTAATTTGTATGTGGTCATATAAGTTTCCACACTGACCTTTTTGTGTCGTTTTGTTTTATGTATCTCTAGTAAGCACCACATAAGTTGAATGTGGGTTTTTACCCAGTGGAAAGTCTTTACAACTTTTGTAAGAATAGACATTTATAATGATTTAGTCTGCATGATCTTCTCAATTAATAGTTATGAATCTCTCTTAAATACGTCTCTGATTTTTCAGGAATACTTAGTAGTTCCCTAATTCTTGCTAAATAAAGTGTGAAAACCAGCAATGTCTCTGGGCAAGTGCATAACAAAACCTCATTGCTTTAATCCCTTTTTATCCCTGGTAATATTCCTTGTTCTTCAATTATTTCATTCCAATCCTATGAAGTTAATAGAGAGCTTCTGCTGTTGCATTGTTCTCATTTTGTCCATTACAAAACTGAGCCACAGACATGATGTTACTTGCAAAGGTTTCACACTGAGTCCGTGGGAGAAAAAGAACTAGAATCAAGGTCTCCAGAGCCCTGCTTTTGTGCTTTTTCCTCTGCTGTGTCCTCTCCTTTCTTTAAAAAATATATAAAGAGGAGAATCGCATGAACCCAGGAGGTGGAGGCCTCAGTGAGCCAAGATCACGCCACAGCACACTCCAGCCTGGGGGACAGAGGGAGACTCTGTCTAAAAAACAAACAAACAAACAAAAAAACTGGATCATCATGGCAGACAGGAGGCAGGACTAGATTGCAGCTCTGGACAGAGCAGTGTGTGGAGGCTTGCACTGTGAATTTTAGCTCCAGATCAACTGCAAGAACAAACCAGCAATCCCGAGAGGACTCACAGACCCTCTGAAGGAGGCTGACTGCTCCTGCGGGACCTGGGAGACACCCCAAATACTATGAGTGCCCTAGTGCGGCAGTGGGAAAGGGAGACCCTCCTCTCCTGAACACACCCCCACTGGAGAAACTGAAAGTCTGTTTCAGTTTCTAACTGATATATTCTAACTAACAGAAGAAGTTTCTAACCTTACCTGGAGCTGAGTCAATTTAGAGAGCTGAGCGAAATACAGGGGTAGAGGAAGTAGCAGAAAGGCACTGGGAGCTCGCTGGGTGCCCAAGCAGCCCATTCCTGCTGGGCATCACAGGGTTCCATTGGGAGGGTGGCCAGAGGAGCAGGGGGTAAAACTCCACAGGGAGAAGAAAATCTCTAGCTGAACCTTGTAACAATTTGAACTGGGCAAGAAGCCTCCCGGCCAGAGCTCGGGGGAGGGTGCACATCCGGTGTGCAGACTCCTCAGGTAGGGGAAGACCCAAGCCCTTTTCTTTCACAGCTCGGAGGTGGGTATCCTTGAACAAGTTCTCAAGCCCATCTCACCCACTGCCTGGAAACAGACTCGGGGCTGTTGGCAGAGGCCCGGTGGGAGTGAGACCGGCCCTTAGGTTTGCATGGGAGCTGCGTGAGGCTGTGACTGCCAGCTTTCCCCCACTTCCCTGCCTCAGCACCTACATGACTCAGCAGAGGCAGCCACAATCCTCCTAGGTGCATAACTCCAGTGACCTGGGAATCTCACCCCCAACCCCGACAGCAGCTGCAGCAAAACCCACCCAAGGAGAATCTGAGCTCAGACATGCTTAGCTCTGCCACACCTGATGGTCCTTTCCTACCCACCCTGGTAGTGGAAGACAAAGGGCATATAATCTTGGGAGTTCTAGGGCCCAGCCCACCGCTGGTCCCTCTCCACGCTACTACAGCTGATGCTCTCTGGAAAGCACCACCTCCTGGCAGGATGCCAACCAGCACAAAAATAGACCATTAAACCATCAAGGCTAAGAACTGTCATGGAGTCCATTGCACTCCCTCACCACCTCCACCAGAACAGGCACTGGTATCCATGGCTGGGAGACCCATAGACAATTCACATCACAGGACTCTGTGCAGACAACCCCCAGTACCAACCCGGAGCAGGGTAGACTTACTGGGTGGCTAAACCCAGAAGACAGACAACAATCACTGCAGTTTGGCTCACAGGAAGCCACATCCATAGGAAAAGCAGGAGAGTATTACATCAAGGGAACACCCTGTGGGACAAAAGAATCTGAACAAGAGCTTTCAGCCCTAGACCTTCCCTTTGCAGAGCCTACCCAAATGAGAAGGAACCAAAAAATCAGCCCTGGTAATATGACAAAACAAGGCTCTTTAACACCGTGAAAAAATCACACTAGTTCACCAGCAATGGATCCAAACCAAGAAATCCCTGATTTATCTGAAAAAGAATTCAGGAGGTTAGTTATTAAGCTAATCAGGGAGGCACCAGAGAAAGGCAAAGCCCAATGCAAGGAAATCCAAAAAATGATACAAGGAGTGAAGGGAGAAATATTCAAGGAAATAGATAGCTAAAAGAAAAAACAAACAAAAATTCAGGAAACTTTGTAGACACTTTTAGAAACCTGAAATGTTCTGGAAAGTCTCAGCAATAGAATTGAACAGGTAGAAGCAAGAAATTCAGAGCTGAAAGACAAGGTCCTCAAATTAACCCAATCCAACAAAGACAATGAAAAAAGAAAAAGAAAATATGAGCAAAGCCTCCAAGAAGTCTGGGATTATGTTAAATGACCAAACCGAACAATAATTGGTGTTCCTGAGGAAGAAGAGAATTATAAAAGCTTGGAAAACATATTTAGAGGAATAATTGAGGAAAACTTCCCCAGCCTCGCTAGAGACCTAAACATTCAAACACAAGAAGTACAAAGAACACCTGGGAAATTTATCACAAAAAAACATCACCTAGGCACATTGCCATCAGGTTATCCAAAGTTAAGACAAAGGAAAGAATTTTCAGAGCTGTGAGACAGAAGCACCAGGTAACTTATAAAGGAAAACCTATCAAATTAACAGCTGATTTCTCAGCAGAAACCCTAAAAGCTAGAAGGGATTAGGGCCCTATCTTCAGCCTCCTCAAACGAAACAATTATCAGCCAAGAATTTTCTATCAAGCAAAACTAAGCATCGTATATGAAGGAAAGACATAGTCTTTTTCAAACAAACAAATGCTGAGAGAATTTGCCATTACCAAGCCACCACTACAAGAAAAAGGAGCTCTAAATCTTGAAACAAATCCTGGAAACACATCAAAACAGAACCTCTTTAATGCATAAATCACACAGGACCTATTAAACAAAAATACAAGTTAAAAAAGCCAAAACAAACAAAAAAAACCAAAAGTACACAGGCAACAAAGAGCATGATGAATGCAATGGTACCTCACATTTCAATACTAACATTGAATGTAAATGGCCTAAAGGCTCCACTTAAAAGATACAGAACTGCAGAATGGATAAGAACTCACCAACCAACTATCTGCTGCTGTCAGGAGACTCACCTAACACATAAGGACTCACATAAACTTAAAGGGGTGGAAAAAGGCATTTCATGCAAATGGACACAAAAAGTGAGCAGGGTAGCTATTCTTATATCAGACAAAACCAACTTTAAAGCAACACCAGTTAAAAGAGACAAAGAGGGACATTATATAACGGTAAAAGGCCTTGTGCAACAGGAAAATATCACAATCCTAAACATATATGCACCTAACACTGGAGCTCCCAAATTTATAAAACAATCACTAACAGACCTAAGAAATGAGATACACAGCAACACAATAATAGTGGGGGACAACAATATTCTACTGACAGCATTAGACAGGTCATCAAGATAGAAAGTCAACAAGGAAACAATGGATTTAAACTATTGCTTGGAACAAATGGACTTAACAAATATATACAAAACACATCACCCAGCAACTGCAGAATACACATTCTATTCAACAGCACATAGAACTTTCTCCAAGATAGACCATATGATAGGCTATAAAACAAGCCTCAATAAATTTAAGAAAATTGAAATTATATCAAGCACTCTCTTAGACTACAGTGGAATAAAACTGGAAATCAACTCCAAAAGGAATCTTCAAAACTATGCAAATACATAGAAATTAAATAACCTGCTCCTGAATAAGCATTGGATCAAAAACGAAATCAAGATGGAAATTAAAAAATTATTCGAACTGAATGACAGTGACACAACCTACCAAAACCTCGGATACAGCAAAGGCAGTGCTAAGAGGAAAGTTCATAGCCCTAAATGCCTACATCAAAAAGATCAAAAGAGCACAAACTGACATTCTAAGGTCACACCTCAAGGAACTAGAAAAACAAGAACAAACCAAACCCAAACCCAGCAGAAGAAAGGAAAAAAGCAAGATCGGAGCAGAACTAAATGAAATTGGAACAAAAAAAATACAAAAGACAAATGAATCAAAAAGCTGGTTCTTTGAAAATAAAATTGATAGACCATTCGCAAGATTAACCAAGAAAAGAAGAGAGAAAATCCAAATAACCTCACTAAGAAACAAAACAGGAGATATTACAACTGACATCACTGAAATACAAAAGATCATTCAAGGCTACTATGAACACCTTTACACACATAAACCTGAAAACCTAGAAGAGTTGGATATATTCCTGGAAAAATACAACCTTCCTAGCTTAAATCAAGAAGAATTAGATACCCTGAACTGACCAATAACAAGCAGTGAGATTGAAATGGTAATTTAAAAATTACCAACACAAAAAAGTCCAGGACCAGGTGGATTCACAGTAAAATTCTACCAGACATTCAAAGAAGAATTGATACCAATCCTTTTGATACTATTCCACAATGTAGAGAAAGCATTACCAAAACCAGCAAAGGACATAACCTAATACCAAAGCCAGCATTACCCTAATACCAAAACCAGCAAAGGACATAACCAAAAAAGAAAATTACAGACCGATATCCTTGATAAACACAGATGCTAAAATCCTTAACAAAATAGTAGCTAACCAAATCCAACAACATATCAAAAAGATAATCCACCATGATCAAGTGGGTTTTATACCAGGGATGCAGGGATGGTTTAACATACACAAGTCAATAAATGTGATACACCACATAAACAGAATTAAAAACAAAAATATGTGATCAATAGATGCAGAAAAAGATGCATCAATAGATGCAGAAAAAGCATTTGACAAAATCCAGCATGGCTTTATGATTAAAACTCTCAGCAAAAATTGGCATACAAGGGACATATCTCAATGTAATAAAAGCCATCTATGACAAACCCACAGCTACCATAATACTGAATGGGGAAAAGTTGAAAGCATTCCCTCTGAAAACTGGAACAAGACAAGTATGCCCACTCTCACCACTCCTCTTCAACATAGTACTGGAGGTCCTAGCCAGAGCAATCAGACTAGAGAAAGAAAGAAAAGGCACTGAAGTCAGTAAAGAGGAAGTCAAACTGTTCCTGTTTGCTGACGATATGATCGTTTACCTTGAAAACCCTAAAGACTCCTCCAGAAAGCTCCTAGAACTGATTAAAAAATTCAGCAAAGTTTCCGGATACAAGATTAATGTACACAAATCAGTAGTTCTTCTATACACCAACATCGACCAAGCAGAGAATCAAATCAAGAACTCAACCCCTTTTACCATAGCTGCAAAAAAAATGAAATACTTAGGAATATACCTAACCAAGGAGTCAAAAGACCTCTACAAGGAAAACTACAAAACACTGCTGAAAAAAATCATAAATGACATAAACAGATGAAAACACATCCCATGCTCACGGATGAGTAGAATCAATATTGTGAAAATGATCATACTGCCCAAAGCAATCTACAAATTCAATGCAATCCCCATCAAAATACCACCAACAGTCTTCAGAGAATTATAAAAAACAATTCTAAAATTCATATGGAACCGCAAAAGAAACTACATTGCCAAAGCAAGACTAAGCAAAAAGAACAAATCTGGAAGCATCACACTACCTGATTTCAAACTATACTATAAGGCCATAGTAACCAAAACAGCATGATACTGGTATAAAAATAGGCACATAGACCAATGGAACAGAATAGAGAACCCAGAAATAAACCCAAATACCTACAGCCAACTGATCTTTGACAAAGCAAACAATAACATAAGTTGGGGAAAGGACACCCTGTTCAACAAATGGTGCTGGGATAATTGGCTAGCCACTTGTAGAGGAATGAAACTGGGTCCTCATCTCTCACCTTATACAAAAATCAACTCAAGATGGATTAAGGTCTTAAACATAAGACCTGAAACTAAAAATTCTACAAGATAACTTTGGAAGAACCCTTCTGGACATTGGCTCAGGCAAGGATTTCATGACCAAAAACCCAAAAGCAAATGCAATAAAAACAAAGATAAATCACTGGGACCTAATTAAACCAAACAACTTTTGCACGGCACATGGACAGTCAGCAGAGTAAAAAGACAACCCACAGAATGGGAGAAAATTTTCACAATCTATACATCTGACAAAAGACTAATATCCAGAATCTACAATGAACTCAAATCAGTAAGAAAAAAAGAATCCCATCAAAAAGTGAGCTATGGATATAAATAGCCAGTTCTCAAAAGAAGATATACAAATGGGCAACAAACATATGAAAAAATGCTCAACATCACTAATGATCAGGGAAATGCAAATCAAAACCACAATGTGATACCACCTTACTCCTGCAAGAATGGCCATAATGAAAAAAACCAAAAACCAGTAGATGTCGGTGAGGATGCAGTGATCAGGGAACACTTCTATGCTGCTGATGGTAATGTAAACTAGTACAGACACTATGGAAAACAGTGTGGAGATTCCTTTAAGAACTAAAAGTAGAGCTACCATTTGATCCAGCAATCCTATTATTGGGTATCTACCCAGAGGAAAAGAAGTCATTATTTAAAAAAGATACTTGCACACATTGTTTATAGCAGCACAATTCACAGTTGCAAAATCGTGGAACCAACCCAAATACCCATCAGTCAGTGAGTGGATAAAGAAACTGTGCTATATATATATATGTATATATATATATACGTATATATATACGTATATATATACACATATGTATATATATATACGTATATATATGTATATATATATACACACACACACACACACATATATATATATATATATATATGATGGAATGCTACTCAGCCATAAAAAGGAATGAATTAACAGTATTTGCAGTGACCTGGATGAGACTGGAGACTATTATTCTAAGTAAAGTAACTCAGGAATGGAAAACCAAACATTATGTTCTCACTGATTTGTGAGAGCTAAGCTATGAGGACTCAAAGGCATAAGAATGATACAATGGACTTTGGGGACTTGGGGGGAAGAGTGGGAGGGGGGTGAAGGATAAAAGACTCCAAATATGGTGCAGTGTATACTGCTCATGTGATGAGTACAGCAAAATCTCACATATCACCACTGAAGAACTTACTTATGTACCCAAATACCACCCGTACCCCAATAACTTATGGAAAAATAAGGTAATTAATTAATTAATTAAAAATATATAAATATTTGATAAGCACAAGTTAGTACTTATTGAATACCTGACAGAGCATTTATGGAAACACCATGAAGATATCAAGATCAGCTCTAAAATAATGATATATTGTTCTGATACTTAGCATATGGCAATAAAAATGGCTTGTGATATTTTCATTTCATGTGCAGGCTCCTCAAGGTAACAAACCAAAATGCAAAGGTAAGAATTCAAAAACAAAGTATTCCATAAACACAATGTCACAGAAATAAAATTCACTGTAGGCATTAAACTGCTTGGGTTCAAATTAATTTCTGGCTCTACCACATTGAAATTATAGGCAAGAAACTTAACCTGTCTGTGTTTCAATGGTCTTGTCGGAAGCCTACTTACTGTGGGGCTGTGGGGGTTAGGAGATAATCAATGTAATGCAGTGGTCCCCAACCTTTTTGGCACCAGGGACCAGTTTCGTGGAAGACAATTTTTCCACAGATATTGGTGAGGGGGATGGTTTAGAGATAAAACTGTTCCACTCAGATCATGAGGCATTAGATTCTCATAAGAAGTACGCAGCCTACATCTCTCACATTTGTAGTTCACAATAGGGTTCAGGCTTCTATGAGAATCTAATGTTGCTGCGGATCTGATAGGAGGTGGAGATCGGGGAGTAATGCTCACTTGCCCACCGCTCACCTCCTGCTGTGTGGCCCAGTTCCTAACAAGCCATGGATGGGTACCACCTCGCGGCCCAAGGGTTGGGGACCCCTGATGTAATGCACTTAACATGATGCTCAACACATAATAAATGTTTAGTGAATTATTATTATTAATTTTTATTGAGACAGGGTCTCTGTCACTCAGGCTGAGGTGCAGTGGTGAAGTCATGGCTCATTGCAGCCTTGAACCCTTGGGCTCAAGCAATCCTCCCATCTTAGCCTCCTGAGTAGCTGGGACTACAGACATGTGCCACCATGAATGGCTAAGTTTTTATTTTTTAATTTTTTATAGAAATGGGGGTTTTGCCATGTTGACCAGGCTGGTCTTGAACTCCTGGCCTCAAATGATCCTCCTGCCTCAGCCTCTCAAAGTGTTGGGATTATAAGCATGAGCCACTGTGCCTGGCCTCAGTGAATTATTATTATTGCAAAAGCTGTCGATTTTTATTTGACTGTATATGTTTCATTAATGGGACTGAAGCCTAATATAGTAGTATATATTATTCAAGACCACCAGTTCGTATTCTGGCTCCACCACTTAATCTTTCTGTGACCTTAGAAAGTAACTTCTCTGTGACTCAGTTTCCTCAATTGTAAAATGAAGGTAATAATACTACCTAGCTTAAGGATGTTGTGAGGCATTAAATGAGCCAATACAAGTATAGTGACTTATGTTCCGACACATAGATACACACTGAAAGGACTCTATGTGATAACTATTTTTATTATATTTATATGTAAATTATTAAATATATATAATGTATTATATATTACTCATACTCTACTATACTATAAATCATCATACTCTAAATGCATTGATACTGTTTATTATGTATTTATATATAAATAGTATGTTATAAATTATTATGTTTATATTTATCATCTTGATTATTGCCCAGTATCTGGCAAGGGCAATCTCTTTACTGCTATCTCTTTAATACAAAGCTTACTTTTAGATCACCCCATTAAACTCAGACAACATTTTTTGGTGAACAATATGTTCCACCTGTAGTATTAATTAACAAGTTTATATTAATTAATTATGTTAATTAATACAGCTGCATATTTTTTTCCACCACCAATTGCCATTTCCCCCCCAAAATTCACTGAAAGGGCTTTTTCAACCAAACACATTTTTTTTTAGGAAGGATTAAAGCACATAAAACATAGCCATTCATGAATAAAGTAAAATGTAGTGGGTTTTTGGTAGACATAGACATATGATGTGGTGAGGTCCTCTTCAAACGTAAGGGACTGACAGAAGAGACTCAAGATGAATATTGGTTGAATGAGCACATACAATACAGGAGTGCAATTGGTGTAAAATTTCTTTAGAGACATTTTTAAGAGAGGCAAAGGATTTTAGTTTTATTGCACCTAGGTGATTTGAGCAGCAATCTAAAGCATAGCCACCATGCCTGTTTTTTCTGTTCAGGATCTGCGAGACCGCCTGTGGGACATTTGTGATGCCCGGAAGGAAGAGGCGGAGCAGGAGCGGCTTGACATCATTAATGAGAGCTGGTTACAGGACACTCTTGGAATGACAATGAACCATTTCTTTTCCCTGATGCAGGTAAGAGCAGCTGGTCACAATAACCCAGGCACTTCCCTTCACAGCCTCATTCCTCAGTCCTTCATATGACACTTTCTTGGGAATATGAGAGGTCTGTTCAGGGCTCATTTTGGTATAGCACTATGCCTGGTATGAGCTCCAACTCACCAAAAAAGCTAGCCGAAATAATACATTTTGACCCAGCCCAAATATGCACCCAAATTGGAAGCATCCCAAGCAACTACCCACCAGCTTTGCTCCCAGGTGGCCTAGATATGTAGAAAGCCACAGTAGAAATAGTGTTTACAACTGAGTTATCTCACCAGACTCTCAAAGCAGACCCCTTAAGTGGACAAAGAAAGCCCAGGAAAGCAGCCTGGCCACAACAAGCATAGGCAAGATCAGACCAGGCAGACATTTGATTCCTGAAAATAAAAAGTTTTCCAATACTGGACTAGAAAAACAGACCATAATCAATGCAACCCGATTAACTTATATTTGCAGCCTATTAAATTTAAAAAAATTGCACAGGGCAAGATTAGAAGACAGGTGCTGATTTTATTCGACACTATTGTCAGCAATAGGGGAGAAAGCACAAACCCAGCTCCGCCAAGACAAAGGGCTAGAGAGTTTTTAAGAGCTGAAGTAGGTTAGAGGGTATGGGTCATAAGCCAACTGTGTTTGCCAATTGACATTACCAGAAGGAAAAGTCAACTTTCTACGAACTTCATCACAGGAGGTAGTTTTAGGACTTGAAGCAATGCACCTAGTGAAATTAGGCTCCTAGTCTCACACAAGAACTGGGAGATAGAGTCCCTGTCTTCCTTGATGATTAATTATATTACAAAGAGATGGTTTTTAGGTCCTTGAGAAAGACATTCTTTCCTGGGTTGTACAACTGGTAGGAGGCTTTTGAAAAGATTTACATCTCAAAGGAACAGTGAAAGGATTTACAATGTCGTTTTCTTAAAGCAAATGCCCTAACAAAAGGGAGGTGGGCCCTAGAGTCAGGAAGCAGCCTGTCTAAAGCTAAGTCAAGCTAAAATAACAGGAATGAAGATAGAGAATGGAAAAGGGTACATTTCTGATCCTTAATTGATTAACTTAGATAAAGAGATACTACAGGAAATGAGAGTACTTATCTGGCAATCCCTACAGCTAATGCATAATAGGTGTTCAGTAAATGTCTTTTCATCAAAGGACCAATACATGCTGGTACTTCCAGCCTTCAAAGGGACAATTCATGGCTCAGGCATAGGCCAGACCACAGAAGGTCTGAAATATCAGCAGAAATCTGAGAGGCAGGAGCAGCCACTCAGGTAGGAGGTTTCAAGAAATCAGGATACCAGGACAGTGAAGACCCCATGCAGCCATGTTAGGAATCTGGATTGTAAAGAGAAGATGGAGTTAGAAAGATGTCATCCAAAGCAGAGGACAAAGCCGGGCCATGACCAGGAGGACAGATCCACATGGCATGGGTTGTATGCAAAGATTAAAGTGAGATGCCTAAGCAGCCTAGACCAGTCTTGATAGCATCCCCACGACATTGGTTTGGGCAAGCAAAAATCAAGTATTATAAACAGTCGTGTCAAAAGCTTATGGCAGAAATAGCTGAAAACCAATAATGAAGGCATAGGGAACAGATAATTTTTATGAATCATTCTTCATTCAGAGCAATACATACCTCCTTTGGAAATGGTATAGTACTCAATATTCCAACAATCCCTAGATAGAGGACTTTTATCTTGAGAAACTGAACCAATATCTAAGACCAACAAGGAATAAAGAGGAAAAAGCAGTAAATAAAATCTAACATTTACTAAGTTCTTACTATGTACATGCCAGGCAGCATTCTAAAGATTTTCATGTAGAATATATTAAAACTTCACAACAAGTTTTCACTCTTGCACCCAGGTTGGAGTGCAATGGTGCGATCTCACCTCACTGCAACCTCTGCCTCCCAGATTCAAGCAATTCTCCTGCCTCAGCCTCCCAAGTAGCTGGGATTACAGGCGCCCACCACCACGCCTGGCTAATTTTTGTATTTTTAGTAGAGACACGGTTTCACCATGTTGGCCAGGCTGCTCTCGAGCTCCTGACCTCAGGTGATCCATCCGCCTCGGCCTCCCAAAGTGCTGGGATTACAGGAGTGAGCCACCACACCCAGCCTACTGTAAGTTCTGTTATCTTCATTTCACAAATGAGGAAATTGAGACAAACACAGGTGAAACAATTTGCCCATCTGACCTCAAAGCCAGTACAGTAGCTCCCCCTTCTCCTCAGGTTTATTTTCCATAGTTTGTTACCCACAGTCCGAAAATATTACATGGAAATTTCCATAAATAAATAATTCATAAGTTTTAAATTGTGCTCTATTTTGAGTAGTGTGATGAAATCTCACACTGTTTCATTCTGTCTCGCTCAGAATGTGAATCATCCCTCTGTCCAGTGTATCCACCCTGTAGATGCTACCTGCCCATCTGTTAGTCACTTAGTAGCCAATTTCGTTATCAGACGAAAAATCATAGTGTATATAAGGTTTGGAACTATCTGAGGTTTCACGCATCCATTGGGGGTCTTGAAACTCATCCCCCATGGATAAGGGAGTGTCTACTGTATTCCTAACCACTGATTTATTGTTCAAATAGTTGAAAGTTTGCCACATAGAACTGAAGGGAGCCTTATTTTGCACTGATCAACAGGATCCTATAAAAACCAGGGGTGAAAATTACAAAAGAGGAGGTTTCGGTTCAATATTTAAAGAAAGAGCCTAATGAACAGCCCATCAAGTAACAGACTTTGGAGGCAATGAGCTTTTTGTCCAGGATGCTCAAAAGCAAAAGTTCGCACATGGTTTTGGAGGACCGGTGGAAAGCACACTAGAAAAAGCCATCAAGAATCTGTGGTGTTGGGTAACAACAGACAGCTAGATAAATGTTTCCCAAAGCGGGTTCCGTAGACATTAGTCCTACAAGATGTTTCACAAAACAAGGACTCTGTGATCAAATGACTTTGGGAAGTGCTATCTACTCTAGCCTTCTTCCCTCTCCCTGGGAGATTGACAAGTGTATCGACATATTTAGACATCGAGATGCCCTGCAGGAAGGAAATCCTTTTTCTATTTCTATTTCTATTTCTATTTCCACACTATTTGACCTTGAGAAGTTTTTGTTTCTTCCCCAACAAGGTACTCATTAACTGCCTATAGGACAAGTTTTCTACAAAATGTATTTTAGAAAATGCTATGCTAGATGATTTTCTAAAATTCTTTTTAAATCTAAGATTCTGTCTCAATTAAAAATCTTGTTTACTATTAAAAATATTGTTTTTAATAACTATTAAAAATATTGTTTACTAGTTATCATAACAATTAAAAATATCGTTTACTAGTTATAATATCATAAAAATATTGTTTACTAGTTATCATAAATGTAACATGAATTTTGATTGATTCTGCCTTTATGAAAATCTTGGATATAGTATGGCATCTTATTCAGATTTAGTTAATTAAATTATGCCTTCTAAAAATAAATTAGTATTTTATATAAGATAATCACTATAATGAGGTAAGCCTAAGGCACAGATAACAGCACTGTCCCAAAAACCAATTGTATAAAAGAAGCTCTACTAAACCTAATCATTATTAAGTAGTTTAGTTCTCTAAGTTAAGGAGGAAATAATTTCCTGATTTCTAAATTTATTTACCAAATAATACAATGCTATGGTTTAATGACTAATAATTTTTATAACCTCAACACACTTATTTTAATTCTCCAAAGTTGTCAATATTCAGTTTGTACAAATTGGGTTTCTATTTGATCCTATTCACCATAAATGTGTCATTCTGCAAGTTCTTATAAGTATAATTTACAAGACTCATTTTTCTCCTCTGTTTTACCAAACCTAAGCATGACAGGTGCAAACACTTATTGTCAAACTGTAGGATTTGTTCATACATGAATATTTTAAAACTTAATTTGGTTGTTTTGCAAGGAAAGAGAAAAAGGTTTAGTTTTTCTTGTCATTTCAAAATGCTAGTTTAAAAACTACTTAAATATATATTTGTGTTTAAAATCCAAGGAGACTATTAAAAATGTTCTATAATGTGAGACAATACATAAATGGTACTTTTATTTTTTAACTTAGATTCAAGTTCACCAAATTAATTTTTTCCTGTTTCAGTCATTTAGTTAGAAAAGTCGAATAGCACAGAAAACAGCTTTTTCCAGGAGCAATTTGGCTTAACCTTTTCTATATCAAATACAGACTTATTGAAACTGTTCTTGTCTTTTGTTGTAGACTGCAACAAAAAACCAGACATTTATTTGTTCTGAACTGTGAATATGGCAGTAAGAGAATATTTCTTGATATTTTACAAAATAAGTGGTGACATAATTGTTTGATAAATGTAGGGATCCCTTCATAAATATCTTTGAGTTTGGTGTAGATAAGGCTTTGAACATTAGGTCAATTTTGTTTTTCTTTTTACAAAGATGCTTTCTGTAATTAACTAGATACCATGGAATTCATCTGTATCAGGAGCTTCAATATTTAGGCCCTCAGGTATTGATTTAAGTAGCCCAGGTGACTAAAGCAAAGTCTGGAGGTCATGTTTACACTAACATAGAGAAGCACAGATATACACCATATTGTCCTAAACCGAATGGGAGACCAGGTCGAAAAATATCATATTCTACATTTGTGTTGTTGGCACTGTGTGAAATCTCACTATGCACACACTTCAGCGTATGCATACCACAAAAGGAAATGACCTGTGCTGACAGGGAGTCACAACAAGGGAATGACCGATGCTCATCTTGCCACCAGCTCTTCTGGGTTGCTACATTTTTCACAAGGTACTTACTGGCAAAGCAAGCAGAAGGGTTTAGCCGTGAGCACTAGAGGAGCTGAATTCTCTCTCTTCTCCACATATTGAACAAGAAAGGAAATTGTGGAAAGAGAACTATTCTTTAAACTCTGTGTTGCTGGGCGCAGTGGCTCATGCCTGTAATCCCAGCACTTTGGGAGGCCGAGGTGGACAGATCTCCTGAGGTCAGGAGTTCGAAACCAGCCTGGCCAACATGGCAAAACCCTATCTCTACTAAATATATAAATATTAGGAGGGCATGGGGTCAGGGCCCTGTAAACCCGGCTACTCAGGAGGCTGAGGCAGGAAAATCGCTTGAACCTAGGAGGTGGAGGTTGCAATGAGCTGAGATCACACCACTGCATTCCAGCCTGGGTGATAGAGCAAGACTCTGTCTCAAAAAAAAAAAAAAAAAAAAAAGTAAAGGAAAGAAAGAAAAAAAAAACTTTATGTTGCCCTTTGTTGTTTCTCCACAGCTAAAGTTGTTCTAGAGAACCAGAACCCAGTGTTTTTTTTTGTATTTGTATTTTGTATTTGTATGTATAGTGTTTTTTGTTATCTCTCAAATCAACTCATATGCTACCTATGACAAAGAAGTTTGCTACTATATTGGCTGATTGAATCTAGGACACAGGAATTGCTAATGTTAAAATAGTAAATAGCATGCACTACTTGAAACATCATACATCCTGTAACTGTCACAATGTCAAGAGGCACAGAAAAGTCATTTTGTTAAATAGAATCATGTTCCGTAAATATAGAGAATGCAAAGTCACTAGTTATCTTTAATTTTAATGAAAATCTTAGATATAGACTTGTAACTAATGTTCCTTCTTATTTCCAGAAAATTATTTTCAATCTAAATGTTTTCAAAATAGTGCTTTCAGAGGCTTATATCGGAAATATGTACAGATCAGCTTGTTCTTTCTTGGATATTAACATTCACATTTGCTATTAAAGGCAGAGCTGAACCGTTTCCAAGATACAAAGAGACTCCTTCAAGATTATTACTGGGGAATGGAAAGTAAAATCCCAGTAGAGGACAACAAGAGATTTACTCGAATCCCTTTGGTCCAACTGGATAGTAAAGACAATTCTGAAAGCCAGCTTAGGTAAGGCAGGCTATTATATCACACTGTAATTGTTTTGAACATAAAGCTTTGTGATTTAAAATTAATTACCACTAATAAAAATCACACTCCTTTATCTGCAAATCTAAGATCCAAAAAAGCTCTAATAACCAAACATGTTTTTTTTTTAACGTTAGTGTGTCATTGACTTAAGACTACTAATATACATTATCCAATTTATAGGGAATATTTACTCATTTTGCTGCAGAGATAAAATGTGTTTTATGACGGAGTCATCCCACAGACTCTGCAGGTGGTATTAGGGAATATATGGTATACACAAATTCTGAATTCTGAAACACTTTTGGCCCCAACGGTTTCTGGTAAGAAATTATGAACCTCCGCCAGGCGCGGTGGCTCACACCTGTAATCCCAGCACTTTGGGAGGCCGAGGCAGGCAGATCACGAGGTCAGGAGATCGAGATCATCCTGGCTAACACGGTGAAACCCCGTCTCTACTAAAAATACAAAAAAAATTAGCCGGGCGTAGTGGCGGGCGCCTGTAGTCCCAGCTACTCAGGAGGCTGAGGCAGGAGAATGGCATGAACCTGGGAGGCGGAGCTTGCAGCGAGCCAAGATCTCACCACCGCACTCCAGCCTGGGCGACAGAGGGAGACTCCGTCTAAAAAAAAAAAAAAAATTATGAACCTCTAACACTTTTATGAAAGGACCAAAGCAGGTGTGTGTGTGTACCTATTGTATTATATAAATGAAAATGAAAATGGAAGGTGTTTTGAGTCTTTTACTGATAAAGACATTGAGAAACAGTAAAGTCTCAGTAGTATGTGATAATGACCTTATGAGAGTGACTGAAAGACCTATTAATAGTCTAACATCAGATTTCTGCCAGCAAAAAAATAAACTTGGTGGTAGGATAGAAGAAAAATTTTATTTTCAGCCAAGCAAATCCTGTGCAATATAAAAGTCTGTAAGTCATTGTTTTTGTAGATCCAATGGGTAGGGGCAAAGGAAAGGCAAGATCCCAAACGCTGAGAAATTCTGAACAGATAGAAAAATGTCTTCTAGAAATGGGAGTTAGGAGTGGTGGTGATTCCTGTGGCATGGTTTCCAACTATAAAACATTAAGAGAGCTAAAAGTAAGAATTAAAATAAAGCAATTAAAAAATAGAAATCAAAATCCTTAAAAATTAAATGAATTTTAATTTGAACTAAATAAAGTATAGTGAAGAATTAAAACAATCCTTTTTAATAATCAGTAGGCAGGCGATAAGAAACAAAAAACATTATATCAGATATGAGGAGGGGAAAAAGAAAGTCAAGTTTAAAAAAATAATATAAAGGCACTGAAGATTAAATTTAAATCTCCAAGGGGATAAGCTATATATTTTATGTTGAAGGCAGTGTACCATATTTTTAGAAGTTTGCTCAGTCAATGCAGGTGTCAGGAGCTGCACAAACTAAACGCAGGATAATGAATATATTTTGAAGTAAGACAGATCTGGTTTGAATCCTAGTTCTGTTACTCAATCATTGTATGTAAATAAATTAAGACAATTTATTTGTTGTCAAGTCACTCCATCTCTCTTAAGCCTCAGTTTCCTTATCTGTAAAGGAGGGTTGTTGTGAAGATTATGGAAAATAAAATCTACAAAGCATTTAGTACCATATTGTGGTATCAGAAGATGAGATTGAGTCCCAATAATGCTCAATAAATGTAGATTATTACCTATTGTATGTTCCTGCTTTGTTTCTTTTACCCTCCCTTGTTCCAAAAAGAATTTGAGATGGCCTGAACACATTATTTTATGCAGCGATCCAAAGCCCATTTTTGTTCTCTCCTGGCTTTTTCCATCTACTCCCATCACATCCCTGTCAGGCCCGTGTGTACACAAGAATATCTAAGAGTAAAAATGTGTCCCCTCTTTTTGACACAAATAGAAGGAAAATGTTCAGCAAGCTGCTGAAAGAGATCTTTGAGATTAAAAACAATTAAAAAAAAATCCAAAGGCGGTATAAACCACTAGAACCATCAAAAGAGGCCAAATTTCAATGTCGAGAGTGGCAGTACATTCTGTTCTCAGCACACAATAGCAAGTTAGGCATAATGGGTAAGCTGTTGATGTTGGTTAGTAGAATGAAACTGGCAAAAGAACATCCAGTTCTTATTTCCTGCGAATAACTCTGCACCAGTCTCAGCCTCAAATCACAGCTTTGGGTACCTACTGGAACTATCAGTCAATCAATATATCAACCAACTAACCTATCAACCTGTCATATATAAAGGGAAACAAGAACAATGTTAAAAATTTTCATATATTTTGTCCGCTTTATTCTTCCCAACAACCCTATAGCAATAATAATATTAGTAGTAGTATCATAAGATTATTCACAATGATAGTAATAACTCTTAGTTAATAATGAATACTTATCATAATAATTATTATATTTGTATTATTCCAAGAGGAACTGAACCTCATAAAGTCAAATGACATGCTCAAGTTTATACCTACTAATAGTGAGAGAGCTACCTACATCAGAGTTCTTTCCAGTAAATAAATTCTAAATGCAAATTCGTTTTCTAAGTTATATGCCACCACTGCTGTCCTCCAAAGCAAGACGTTGAAAAATACATGTTGTACTGTATTAAACATTTAGAAGTGATCGCACAAGCCTTACCCGAACTTATTGAACACATGAATCACAGTCAAACTGGAGTGACAGTGATTTAGCCTTATTTGATTTTTAAAATGTAATTTAATTTGTGGGTAGATGAGTAGCAGATCCTCAATACGCTGCCTTTTTAGGCACGGTAGACTGTGCCTATGATACTGTACCAGTGATTCATTTTTCTGAATCACTGCTCTCTTCTCCAGCAACTTGAGTCTACAAAACCAAATGCTTGTTCCTAGATTACTGATTCTGACTCTCCTCCTCTAGTTTCAACAGAGGCATCCTTGGAGCTGTTCTCTTCTCTTTCCTTCCCCAAGCTGATAGCCCTTTGCACTTTCTATTACTAAAGGGGGATTCCAGTCACAATAAGCATTCTACCTTGTAGATCTTTCCCTGCTTCTGTTAACCTTTGAGATCCTGGGATCCTTCTGGGATAAGATATTCCCAGAGGCAGCTCAAAAATTTCTACACAGGAGCAGCAATAAGGGAAGAGGGAGGGAGAGCTTAACTTTGTGTCCCCACAGCACTTTACAAAACAAAGAGAAAACCTTTGTGGGGGTGGTGCTGTAGGCTACCCCCACCCACCATCAAAACTTAGCTGCCTCTGTGCAGTACCCCCTTTCAGACCTCACATTAGTATTAGTCATGTGTTACTGTCAGAGGAGATCAGGTGTGTTCAATGTGGTATGGCCATGGACAGTCATGTCCTACCTTCAGTTGTGCCCTCCGGGATGCCAGATGATACTTGTCACCTTAGAGAAGTGATGCCCAGTTTCGTTTGGTTTGCTTTTTCACGACTGACTTTTTTATTATCCTTCATGGGAAGTGTATGCTCTGGAACAAATTCCAAAGTCGCTTTTCTTTATAATGGCCACTGTCTAATCCTCTGCTTTATAATTACTGAGAATTAAGTCTGAAAATTATGGGTTTTTGTTGTTTGCTTTGAGTCTCTTCTTATTAACAAGATGTTCTAGACCACAAAAATTTGAATGCAGTGTTTTATAATCTTTTCTCCATTAAAATAATTCTTTCAGGAAAACTTTGAAAATTGAGATTAAACCAAGACAGTAAAATTTACAAAGTAACATGGTCACAAAAACAGAATTTTGTTAAGCAAAATTTTTTATCCTTTTTGCTTGTTTGTTTCTCAAAGAATTCCTCTAGTTCCTCGAATATCCATTTCTCTGGAAACAGTTACACCCAAACCAAAAACAAAATCAGTACTGAAGGGCAAGATGGATAACTCCCTAGAAAACGTTGAGTCCAACTTTGAGGCCGATGAAAAGTTGGTCATGGACACCTGGCAGCAGGCTTCTTTAGCAGTATCTCACATGGTAAGCAGTGCTCGTTATATTTTCTGTTAGTAATACACATTCATTAAGTACCAAGGTTGGTAATATGCTATAAGTGGAAAATTGACACAATGCTCTCAAGCACTGTAGAAAATTGTACCTTCGAAACATTTTTTTTCTGAAAGAAATAGAGAAATGTGATTCAGTCAACAAATATTTGAGATCATGAAACGAACCAACATTTAGGTTATTTTCTGTGCTGGGCTCTGGTTCCACATGCAGGGCCTAAAGGCAGTCAGGAAATGTTAATGAGGTGGGTCAAGTGTAAGACAATCAGGAGGGATGGGTCTGGGGCCAAGCAGAAGTCACATCCCTGCTTGCAGGGGCACATGCAATTGCCATTTAAAAATGAGGTCTGGCATGGCCAGATTTTCCAATTTTCCAAGAAAAGCCAGACATTCAGATTTTTATGTAAAACTACTAATTTTAACATGTAAGAAATGAAATAAAAATTTTTAAAAAATATTCTGCAGAGTCAAGCAAATCACAGTCTGGCCTATAAGGGCTCTATTTGGCAACCCCTCTGCTAGGCATTTTTCCTAAGTTACCTATGGGGTAAGTATTATTATTATCCAATTTACGATGGAGAATTAAGGTTCAGAAAGGCTAAGAAACTTGCCCAAGTTCTCCTAGCAGGTAAATATCCAAATGAAATTTGAACCTAGGTCTATATGACTTCAAAGCTTATATCATTTCTACCCAAATCAAAGGGAAAGGGGAGGCATACACATAACTTTAATCCAAGCAGAAGTGCCACACCATGGGGAAGATACACACAGAATTTAACTCAGGTGATCAATTGCTATTCCCTCATCTGCCAGGTCCTGGGTCTACCAAGATGTCTTCTCTTTTCACAACATGCCAAGCCTTCTTCGAGTTTCCATGAAATATCGCATTCAAACAGAAAGCAGCATCAACTTTCCAAAAGATTTTGTGAAAGTGGTAGAAGAGGACCTTGCAGCACAGATCTCACAGCAAACAAAATTTCCAACTGGGCACTTTCCAAGTCCCTTCTTGGCCTCTCTGCCTTCAGGCTTCTTTTTCTCTGACCTTCTCATACAAGCAGCCTGTGTTTCCTTTCTTCCTCCCTCTCTTTCTTTTGTTCTCCCCGCTTATTTCTTTTCTCCCTCTCACAAGCAATGATAACTCCTCTCATTGTTTCTGCTTCTTTCGAAAAACATTTTAGTATGGATTTTCACATACATAAGGAAAATGCATGAATTATAATTGCATGACTTAATGAACCCACCTAAAGTAAATACTCATGGCACCACTACCTGGAGAGAAATAGAATAAGGGCTGCACCTACCTAGTCATTCTTTGCTCCTTCCCATTTCTAACCCACTTCGAATTCTCTAAAGGGGACCAACATACTGCCTTTTTAGGAATCATTTCCTTGATGTTCTTAAGAGTTTTATTACCCAAGTCTATAGCTCTAAACACTGATGTGTAGTTTTCCTTGCTTTTGAGCTTTAGATAAATGGACTCATATCTTTTGTCTTTTTTGTGTCTTATTTTGCTCAACTTTCTTTGTGAGATTCATCTTATGTTGTTCATTTTTTGTTGCTGTATTGTGTTGCATTATATGAATGTATCACAATTTATTTAACCAGCCTGCTTTTGATAATACCTTTGGGTTTCCAATTTGGTGTCGGTATGGATACTGCTGCTATGAATGCTTGTACATGTCTCCTGGTACCCATGTGCATAGATAACTGTTGGGTATACATCTAGCAATGTGTGCTATCTTCAAAGCTAGTAGACAATACTATACTTAATACCTCAGCTTTCTTAGGTAGTGCTAAACCCTTTCACCGTTTCACCGCACTATCATCTTTGTCATACATTAGATGACCACTTATGTGTAAGTCTGTTGCATTGCTCCATTTGTCTGTGCTTATACCAACACCACACCAATATACCATTTATTTGTTACCTGAATGAGCAAATCTTCCCATCTTGTCATCTGCCAAGAACATTTTGGATTTTCATAACTTTTTGCCTTTCCATATTAATTTTCAAATCAGCTTGTCAAGATTCACAAAAATGTTGGCTGCTGATTTTTAAGGAAGTATTTATCAGATTATGAGCATTCCTTTTCATATCCTGTTTACTCTAGAGGTTTTTTCATGAATTGTATTCTCAAATGCTTTTTCTGCCTGTATTATATAATTTTTTCTGCATTTTCTGTTAATATGAAAAATCACATTGACCAATTTTCTAATGTTAAACTTACATCACATTCCTGGAGTAAGTCCAACATTTTAATGAGACGTCATCTTTCTTAAATATTACTGGGTTTGTTTTGTTAATACTTTGTTTAGAATTTTAGTCTTTGAATGAGATAATGAAAGTGAGTGAGTTCTGTAATTTTCCTTTCTCATGCTATCTTTGATGGCTTGGAGCATCCAGATAATACTAGCTTAATAAATCAAGTCTGGATATATTTCCTCTCTATACTTTGGAAAATTTTGTGGAAGTTGGGATTATTTCTTCTTGAAATGTTTGGTAGCATTCACTAAGAGGCCATCTAGAACTAAAGTTTTATAGGAAGTTTGTAGCAGGAGTTTCTGTTGCCCTCCTCCCACCCAAGAATTCATTATCTTTAATAGATTATGCAATGTTTCTGGGTTTGTTTCTTCTTAGAAAAAACTTGAGTTGTTTTTGGTAGATATTATTTTGCTAAGAATTTTTCCATTTCTAAATGTTTAAATTTATGGGTATGAAGTTATTTAAAATGGCCTACATTTGTGTTAATACTTGCAGTGTCTATGTGACGTCCACTTTGTCACTTCTGATGTTTATTATTTGTGCTTTTCCTCTTTTTTTTAAATCAGCTTAGCCAGATGTTTATCAGTTATACCAGGCTTTCCAATGACTGACTTTTAACTTCATTCATTTATTTTACTATGTGTCTTTTTTTCTTTTCTTAATATCATATTTTCCTCGTGCTATTTTCTTTGGGTTTACTTTGCCATTCTTTCCCTAGGGATTTGAGATAGATCATAGTTTATTAGTATCCAATCTTTTTTTTCTAACATACACATTTGCTACTCTAAAGTTTCCTCTGTGGCTTACTTTAGCTTCATCTCAAAGTTTCTAATATGTTACTTTTATCATCGAATTCAAAGCATTTTAGAAATATATTTTTAATTTTCAAAATAATATGTTGTTTTCTGGCTTGATTACATTTTATTCATGGAACATATTCTCATAAAAGTTTTTGAAGTTGCCTTATGGTCAATTTTTGAAGTGTTACATGTGTACTTGAAATATATTCATTTAAGTGTTTAGTGTACATATTGCACTTCATTGTTTATATACAAATATTTTGATATATTATTTTACTATGTATTTTAAATATTTATTAAATATCATTGTTTAAATCTTATGTTTCTCATTTGTTTTCTCCTTTGAATTATGAAGAGAGTTATAATAAGATCATCTGTACTTTGGTCAATTTGCTTTATATATATTTGAGACAATGAAATTGGGAAAATATAGATTTTAAATTGTGAAATCTTTCTGGTGGAATGAACCTTTTCTTATTATGAAATAATCTTCTGTATATATAGTGCTTTTGTTTTGTAAATTATACTTTTAGAAATTGTTTATATGTCATATCTTTTCATCCTTTCATTTTCATCTTCTCTGTGTCTTTTCTGCTTTTTTTCCCCTCTGTAAGTTTGGTCATCATGTATTCTGTTACTAGTCTCTTAGCAATTGCCCTAGGAATTACACCGTGAATTAGTGGCTCCTCAAAGTCTATTATTTGGTCAATAATTCATGGTGTTATTTCTAGGGTAGCTACTAAGTGATTTAGTGTGTGCTATTTCCAAGCTAACATGGGGGGAAGATGAAATTTAAAATATCCAATCCAAAAGAAGCAAAGAAAAGAGGGCAGAAAAAATATTCAGGACAAGCAATACAAATAGAAAGTACAGAGAAGATAGTAGATTTATAGCCCAAATATATCTACAACTACATTAAATTTAAATGGGCAAAATGAACTAGATAAAGGAAAATAAGTATTAGATTTTTTATAAATGGGATATGATGTGTATAAGGATACTAAAATGATTTTTCATTATTGACCTAAGAGAAGAAGGGGTTAGTGTGATGATCTCCACTTGCCATCATAGAATCTCACACCCTTGACCTTCTTTAGGTCTTCAGTGTTAGTTTCTATCTTGATTCCTGACCAGTTAACTGTCTCTTTCCTGAAGTCCTAGCCATCTGTAATTGTGTGCTCTTTCTAGTCTCATAGCAGTTATTGTCTTTCCTACTCATTTGGCTCTTAGTATCTAGGTGGTTGTTGTTATTGTTGTTGTTGTTTTGTAATCTGTATTTTGTTAGTTGTTAGTCTGAATACTTAACTAGATTCTAAAACTTTTTGTATACCTTGGACCTAGCATAATGCCCACATCAAACATAATATAATAATAAGCCCTCAATATAGTCTTGAGGTGCTGCTGCTATGCTGATGATGCTGATGTCAATATTAGTGATGACGTTAGTGACAATGATGATCATAGCAGAGACCACAACAAGTACCAAGCACCAGAAAGTGGGAAACCAGACGTAGAAGCTCTAGAAAAAAATGAGTTATTCTTATTGTTAAATGAGCAACATAGACATAATCTACAAGTCTTATGAATCCCATTAAAATTACCTGAGAAAATGACACTGAAAAATAGTATGTTCTTAGAAAGGGAGGATCATATAGCTATGCCTCTTGATTAAGCTGATATGATTTTAGGAAAATCACTTAACCTCTCTAATTCTTTAGGCTATATCTATAATATTGGAGATAGTCTATCTTTACTTTATTGAATGGCTGAAAAAATCCAATGAAATAATGTATGTAAAGTGTTTTAGAAACTATATATTTTAACTTATCTCTACGTTAAGAAATGCATTAAACATTGTACCCTTTTCCTTGTGGACTTTAAAAAATCTTATAGAAAGCATAGGAAAATGGACTGCTTAGTAATAATATTACTAACAATCATATTTGAATACTGCTTGACTTTGATATCACACAATCTTAAGGCAACTTTGAATTTCTAATGAAACAGGTGTGATTCACTAAATTGTTGTGGGGCAAATAGCACCAGCTGAGATTAGTGCAACTAAAAATGAGAGCACTTTAACACAGGCTTTTTTCTACACAGCAGTTTTACCAGGAGCTATCCATTTAGTAGACCATGTTAATTTTTGGCAAAACTTTCTTCTAATTAGTGGGTATGCAGTGATTTCAAAGAAACAAGTCATATTTTTAACACCCACAATGTCAAGGCATTATGTCTAAAGTTCTCTCCAGCTTTATAAGCTAGATTGCTGAATGAATTGGGAATTACATTAATTTTTGATAGCAACCCAGAGGTCTTTGAGGGAAGTGGACCAGAAAAATTCAGACAATTATGATGCATAATTATGCAGGTAATTATGATAATTATCATCATCACAAAGTTGTTTACAAGGGAGAAAAATCCAATTTTGAAGAAAATTGCTAACTTACAGTGCTTTGCAGGAACCGATTAAAAATTGAATTGCTTGCAATTTAGGGGAAGAATTTTAGCAAGTCGGCTTTCAGCTTTACTAAGAACTTGCAAGTACAGTATCTGGTATTCATTTTTATCAAAAGGGCATCTGATAAAAAAAAGAAAGAAAAGAAAAAGCAAAGGGAGAAAGAAAGAAAAAGACAAAAAAAACCACAAAGAAATCTGCTTGCTCTCTGAAACCTTTCTGTATTCCTCCAAGATTCTATTGATATTGAAGAAGTTGAGGGTGCATTCTGTGGAATATGATTCTTTTGAAAGAAAGTCCATTGACTATTAAGCACCTACTGGGCATCCCCTTTGAGCACAGCACAGACACTCAAAGCTGTGAAGAATACAAAGAAGTAGGACTGGTTTAGCTCTGGGAAGCACGAGGCCCCTTTGGACAATGGGGCAAGATTTATCACTCATAGAACACTTGGGAAGAGTTACATGCTGCCATGGGGTATGCAGTGTGGCAGAATTTTGGAGAAGGCGGGAACTGGCTGGTCTATCTCACCCACAAAACTGTAATAGTCTTTGAGGGTAGAGATTATGCCTTATTCATTTTTCTATTCACCTTCATTAATCTTTGTCTTCTCATCCCCTCACCCCATTCTCCCCAGAAATTATAAATAATTAAATAAGCCCTCAATAACCCCCATTTTTCACCAATTGCTTTATTGAGATTTTAGAGTTTTAAACCCTGTGTTGCTACTGCCTCCATAATGTGTGTGTGTGTGTGTGTGTGTGTGTGTGTGTGCATGTGCGTGTGTGTGTGTGTGTGTGTGTTGTTTCTACCTTTGGGATTCTTTCCTGGGTTCTCATTTCTTGGGGTGACACTCATAAACAACCTTCGCCTCCCCAGGGGCAGTTGAACTTATTGCAAAATGTCCAGTATTTCTAACTGCAAGTACAACCCCAGTGACACAAGCCTGAAGACAAACGTGTACATATATATAATCTTAATTTACAAATAATAATTGCATATATTTATAAAGTACACTGTGAAGTTTTGATGTCTGTATACATTGTGGGATGACTGAATCAAGCTAATTACCATATCTGTTACCTCACTTATTATTTTTGTGGTTAGAACATTGAAAATTTACTCTTTTAGCAATTTTGAAATATACAATACATTATTATTAACTATAGTCACGGTGCTGGGCAAGATGTCATCAGAGCTTATTCCTCTTATCTAACTGAAACTTAGTACCCTTTGACCAACATCTCCCCTTTCCCTGTCCCACATACTCACCCACCCCAGCCCCTGGTAACCACTCTTGTACACTCTACTTCTATGCTTTGACTTTTTAAGATTCTACAAATAAGTGAGATCATGCAGTATTTGCCTTTCTGTGCCTGGCTTATTTTGCTTAGCATAATGTCCTCCAGGTTCGTCTGTGTTGTCATGGGACAAGGTTTTTCTGCTGCCTGAAGTGCAGAGCCAGCCACAGAGGAGAGGTGGAGGGATACCTGCAGTTCCTGACCCCGTGGGTGGGAAAGGACAGAGCTTCTCCATTCAGCACTTAGAATGAGGTGACAGAACAACTAATCTCAAGCCAGGACACTTGTGAGAATGAAAGGAGGCACTTGGTGGAATGGAGAGAAGCTGAAAGTCAGCCCAGCAGGGAAGCTAAGAACCTTGGGGTTAGCTTGTGGAATGGGTCAACCTCACAAATACTCAGTCTTTTGGGGGTGATATTTAGTGCTCAAGTAGAATAGGAGCCCAGGATTCAACTGTCCATGACCCAATTAACACAGGGCATGCTGTCCCAAAAATTGGCTGTTGCCGAGGGTGATGAATATATGTATGAAGAAACCACAAATATACACCCAGAACATAAACAAATATGCTTCTGCAGTATTAAAATTTTATGAATGCAAATAAAAAAATAAAAAAAAAACTCTGTAGGGGATCAGTTATCAAAAAAGGTTAAGAAACATTGATACAGAGAAATACCCTGGATTGGAAGTCAAGAGATTAAAGGAACTGAGAAGTATAAATGTGTGTCTGAGATTTAAAAGAAAGGAATTTTTGCATAACCATGGAGTTGTGACACTCTGGAGGTGGCAGTGAGGAAACGTAAGGATGATTTGCAGGTGGGGCTTGAGAAAGCGAGCAGCCTCCACATAGATGGTGGAAGGGAAGCCGCATCTTGGGACAGGGCCAGGTTTCCACTTAAGTAAAACATGGTGGGGTGTGTTTTGTAAAGTTCGAGTACGTGGGCACAATTGTTTACAGTGGATTAAGGTTTCAACAGAATTTAGTAATGACTACATCCAAATGGTTGCCATATTTTGTAAATGAGACATTAACTGAAATATTGCTGTTACGCAACCAGGTGGCTGCTGAAATTCATCAGAGGCTTATGGAAGAAGAAAAAGAAAACCAGCCAGCAGACCCCAAAGAAAAATCTCCTCAGATGGGTGCAAATAAAAAAGTCAAAAAGGAGCCACCCAAGAAAAAACAGGAAGACAAAAAACCCAAAGGTATTTATGGTTTTAGCACTCAGAACCCTGGATGCCTAAACCTCTCCTTCGTAGAAAACGAGCATTTAACTGGACACATTATTAGCCTCTAAGCCACTAAAATACTACTCATTAGGTTTAAACTAGAGACCCGGGCTTCTATGATTTGTGGTGTTAGTGGCAAATCATATTGCATACCAAGCCCACCTAACTTGTTTAACCAAATAGCCAGATGTACTCAGGGTAAAATAAACCTCAAAGACAGTTTTGAAATGTTAAAAGAACTTCCAGGATGGTACTATGTCATCTGAAAAGTCTGTGCAGAAAGGCTAACACTGCAGTAACAAAGAGAAGTTTAAAAGCTATGTTTTTAGAAGCTATGTGTATGTTTCAGGGGCAAGTCCTTTTCTCTTGGAGGCCTCCTGCCTAAATCCCTGGCTCAGTAGCATGAGGGAAAACAAAGAGTTCAGAAAATACGTCTTGAAAGAGATCCCTAATTAACCTTAGGAATGAATAGCTTTGGCATCAACATTACCCTCCCCCTCTGAAGTGGAATCCTGGGAAGCAAATGAGCAGAACTCACTCCACTCATAGATTGTCTGTGATATGTTTATTATACACCTGCTATGTGAAATGCTCTAGATGGATGCCAAGAACACAATAGTAAATTAAAAACAAAACCAAAAATCACAACCACAATTCCTGCCCTAATCCAGCTATAGTCTTGCAGTAGAGAGAGACATGTGACCATTGTGCTTTGATAGGGGAGGTACAAGTACCTTAAGAACAAGGTCTCCCTTCTCCATCTGAGGGCGTAGAAGATGCTTCTTAGATAGAGAACATTCAAGCAGCCAGGAATGGGAGTTAAAGGAAAGCACTGAGGATGGAGGAAGGAGTGGGTCAGTGGCACTTGAAGGAAAGGGAAGAGTATTACCTCAATAAAGAACGCACCACTTTAGTCCATCTCAAGTGGCAGGAATAAGGGAAGTGCTTCTGTTGACTTTAATGGAATCACTGTTGGGGTCTGATCCCTTAATTTTACAGATGATAAAACAGAAATCCAGAGAGATTAATCTCTCCTTCATCTGTAACTTACATATACATCTATTATTGCAACATATTACGATTTCTTTGTTTACAGTATCTTCTCTATAAGATTTGAACCCTTCGAAGTCAGACCCTCAAGAAAGATTAGTTGAACTGAAAATAGAGCTATGTAAATGGGCCCTGCAACTAGAATCATATTGCCATAGCCCATGGGTAAATCCTTTGATAAGTACTGACAAATTTATATTTTGTAATTCTCTTATATAATCACTGATGTACTTATAGTTAAGTTCTAATTAAAATATAATTAAATTAGCCAGGAGCAGTGCCTCACACCTGTAACCCTGCACTTTGGGAGGCCAAGACAGGTGGACTGCTTGAGCCCAGGAGTTCGAGACCAGCCTAAGCAACATGACAAAACTCTGTCTTTACAAAAAAATACAATAAAATAGCTGGGTGTGGTGGCACACATCTGTAGTCCCAGCTACTAGGGAGGCTGAGGTGGAAAGATTGCCTGAGCTTGGGAGGTCGAGGCTGCATTGAACCATGAGCATGCAACTGCACTCCAGCCTGGGTGACAGAGCAAGACTGTCTCAAAAAATAATAATCATATTTAAAGAGATTACAGATTCTTGACAATCACCCGCATTTCACCCACATCTTCTTGAGGTTATTCTCGTATCTTCTTTTTTGGTGAAGATCTAGGAAACACTTTGCTAATAGAAGTTATCCCTTATGGAGTGGTAATTCTGCAGGTGTCTAATGGGGTCAGCACTATGTGGGGATTTGCTAATTTCTGTCCCTAAACTCTGGATTTCACTATGTTTGGAAACTGTAACCATTTTTGCACTTGCTACATACCTTATTTTTTAATTATACTACACAAATGGGGCGTTTTTATATGAGTCCAGCCCAGGAACCATACAGAGAATTCTCAAGGAAAAATTCAATATTTCATCACAGATGCTGGGAGGACCAAGGTTTCATTGTTTCCGAATCACTAGAGGTTTATAGCTTAACAAACTTTGCTTTGTGCTCATTCTGTCCAAGTACTATGTGCACACCTTTGTATTTTGTTAGTTTACTCAGCATGTTTCATTGCCCTTTCAGGTAAATCACCACCTATGGCAGAAGCAACTCCTGTCATAGTAACAACAGAGGAAATTGCTGAAATCAAAAGGAAAAATGAACTGAGGGTCAAAATAAAAGAAGAACACCTTGCTGCCTTGCAATTTGAAGGTAGCGATTGAAACGACTAAGATGATGCTTTTCAGTAGAAAGGAGACCAGTAGCCAAACAGCCCACAACTGGCTCATCAATTGCCTCAGACCATGTCTATGAGAACATACAGCAAAGAGGTTGAAAAGCACAATATTCAGTTGACTGTTTTCGTTTGACCACGTGAGGACTAGATTTGAGTGTTGCATGAGTCAGATGTTTTGGCATCACCTAATCAGTCTTAACTGATGACACGATCTCAAAAAGAACCAAAAAGAATTTGGTAATGGGTTAGAAAAAGCAATAGCAGTAATTAAAATCTCATAAAACAGAAACAAAAGAAAATGTTGAAAGTTCGTATGATTTTACAGGTTTAGATAGGGACTACCTAAAGTAAGTGGTTTTATATTACAGTAAGAATAATTTAGGTACCTAATTAGGAAAATAAATTTTAACTAAAGGCTAACAGGCCCTGAAAATGAGTCCTTGGGAACAAAGGCCATAGGAGAGCCAGTCATATATCTATTATGTTCAGAGGTGTTCTTCTCTATAGGAGCTATGACTCCACAAAACATATTCTCCTTATGGCTCTCTGAATTGTCTTGTAATGCAATTCTAAATGAAATCTGAAAAGATCAGGAAACTGAGCAAACATATCCTAAGGGAAAAAAACACGGTCAATATACAAGATGACAAAACCACAAAAATGTGGCATGGGGTATGCCGAGACACCTTTAACTACTCAGTGACTATTAACTACTAAGTATGATTTCCATCCCTTGTTTCTCTCATTTTCTCTCCCCTGTCCTTCCCATCTTACTACCACCCACTTCTAAAACCCCAACAATAAAATCTGAAGTCAGTTGAACACAGGGAGACTGTGGCATCAGGCAAGTCCAGGACAGATGCATCTCCCATATTGCCTGCCCTGCATCTGATTTCAGTGGTTTTCAGTATACTTCATCTTTCAGTTCATTCCATACATGATCCTTAGTGTAGCAAAATTCATTTATGCATATAACAAATGATTATTGACTTTCCACTCTGTGCCAAGTCCTGTGATAGTTGCTGGAGACACACATTTATATGTACAAACATAAACAAAAAATAAAACTCAGTCTCAAGGAAGAGAAATGCAATCACTGTTGCATGTTGACCTGTTGACAGCTGGGCCTGTAGTCACAGCTACTGAAGAGATTGAGGTGAAGGATCGATTGTGTTTGAATCCAGCCTGGGCAACATAGTGAGATCCTGTCTCAAAAAAAAATGTGATATTGGTGGTGGGCATATTGGGCAAAGGGGACATGAGGGGAGTTCCTGACTTACCAACGGAACTAATTCTTGAGCGGAATTGGAAGACTATGGATAAGTTTTTCCAGGGGAAAAATTGGCGTGAGAATGAAGAGGAGTATTACGTGCCATGGCAGAGAGAGGGGTAAGAGGCATATCAGCTTGTGAGTAGCTTAGGACCATGAGGCATGTTCTGGGAAGGAGCGACTTGGGAGATGGGGAGGCCACACCATGGAGGGTTATCTAGGCACTGCCAAGAATGTTCAATTCTTCCCTGGTGGCAACTGGGAGCTAGGGAAAATTATGAGCAGTAAAGTGATTATGATCACATCTGCAGGTAAGACAAATTACTCTGGATAGTGTGGAGGTGGATTTGGATTTGAGGTGGGGGAAGAGAGTTAGAAAAAGTAGGATTGAGGCTATTGCAACAGTTTAAGTGAGAGATAATCAGCACCCAAACTATGCGATGATGATGAAAAAAGCCAAAAAGAGAAACTGGAAAAATTTTGGAGATAAAATCCACCAACCAGATTATGTGCCAGGATCGGTAATAGGCCCAGGGGCACATGGAGTTTGCCCTGATTTTAGTGGTGCTGAGAAATACAATGGCAATGCCACCCCAGGTTCTAAAGTAAGGAGATAAGCACGGTCCCCACTCCCTTTTCAAAATTCAGAAATTACCTATGCGTGTTTTCACATTTCATTTATCAAAGAGTAGATTGCTACAAAGTGCAATAGATAAAAAGCTCAATTATAGTTTTGGTTCAGATAATTTCTCAAATGACTCTACCACATATTACATTTTGCTTTTCAGTGAGATGGATATCATCTTATCTATTCTGGTATATTAAACGTGCACCTAAAGCTTCACAAATTGAAGCACCAGTGGTTTCAAAGTGAATCTGTTCATTAGTAAATGCATGCACTGCAATATGTTAAAACATTCTTATTTCTCTTTGCAAATAGAAATAGCCACGCAATTTCGACTTGAACTGATAAAGACAAAAGCATTGGCTCTTCTTGAAGATTTAGTAACAAAGGTGGTTGATGTATATAAACTCATGGAAAAATGGCTTGGTGAGAGGTATTTGAATGAAATGGCCAGGTAAAGTACTACATGACTTTCTGAAAATATGCTTTGTGTATTCTAAGTACCAAAATTGATGAAGATTTTTAAGGTATTTACAAATTTAAGTTAGTTACAAATATAAATTTTGGCCTTTTAGGAAATCACGTGTATAAACAGATAATATGAGCTTTACTATCATGTTTGTATTAACTCTTTTCTAACAGTAAATCATGCATCAAAGGGTTCTATTGCTATATTAAACTTTGCACAATATTTATGAGTTTAGCTGTCATACTAATCAATGAGAACCTTATTTTACAAGGTAAGATTATAGGTAATTTAAAAATAGTTTTTAGAAGTAAAATAATCCTTGATACTTTTCCAATGGTAGATTTATTATCAGTCAGAGCCAATTAAGGGGAGATTAAAAAGTCATTCACTGGAATGTTTTACCAGCTAGACTGATTCTCTTGTAAGACCAACCCCAAGTTCTACTTTTCTGTTGAGTTCCAAAGACTTCCCAGACCTTTGTTGCTACTGAGGGGCAATGACTCTCATCCTGTTAGTTCAACCTTAAAAGGTACAAAGAGGCAGGTCAGCAGAGTGAGTCATGATTGTCCAGACCAGGAGCCCCATCTTGTCCACAAATTAGTAGCATGCTTGATTGCTCTGGGCCTCATTGGCTTCATCTATACAAGGAAACACTCCAGCCAGGCTATTTCAGAAGTTTACCCTAGATCTAGATTCCAAGATGCACTACAGTTTACAATAAACATTTACTGAAAACTTAGAAGTTGCTACACAAACAGTATTCAAAAGGCAATTATTCTTAGAAGCAACAATTTTCATGTAAAAAGCAGCTGTTATGGTTCGTTTTCTCTGGTCCTTGTCTCATAGTGAAGTTCTTTTGTAAAGTCTTCAGCCTAGTTGTTTAGAACTATTGCTCCATAGTAAAACAAACAAAGAAACATTAAACAGAATAAAAAATACAAACACAAGCATAAGTAAGCTTACTGCAGTAATGCTTAAAATCATTTTGCTACTGGATAACCAAGTCAGTTACTCATCAGCATCACACAGTAATAATATTCATTTCTGTTCTCTGCCTGCTATTTTGAAATGAAAGTCTATCTTCTTCATTTTTGGGACTCATGGCTCCCATCCATGTGGCCATCCAGTGTAAATGCATATTTTAGCAGATGTATTCATATTTCTCAGATTTATATTGTATATGTCTGCCCTGTGAATCTACAGATGCTGTCATGAACTGTGGCCACAAGAAGTTAAAACCTAGAAATGTGATACAAATAAATAAATAAATAAATAAATAAATAAATAAATAAATAAATAAATAGCTGGCAGATCCCTTTGACCTTCAAATCCTGTTCTTATTTTCCTGGCACTTTTTTCCTTCCGTTGTTAAGATTACTCTTAGTAACCTTCCACTAGGTGGCGCGCATCTGTTTTAGTATCCTGATGCCCAGTAAAGGTATTATTCTACTAGTCATGTTTTACAGAGTATCGTGCCGGGCTATGGTTGGGTCTCAATCCACATTTGGAGTCCCTCCTCACTCACGTAAACTCAGCAGCTATCCAGTGACCTCCTCTGTCCCCGAGCACGCAACCACCCTAAAAGCATAAACTAATTGGCTAACACGTATTACATGGACACTTACAAAGACAACATTCTGGAGTTGAATTCTAGAGTATCTTTTGAAAGACAGCAACTAATGCTACTTTTTAAATTTTCAGTTATATGTTCAGTATGTGGTATATTTGGTGCCTATGAATTATATAAAATGAGATCAAATATGCATTTTTCTGTGTTGCTCACTTTCATTGTAATATATAAACAAGATCCTTTCTTCAATACAGCGATAATGCACTTATTCATGTATAAAACTTCTCTAGCCTTTAAAATAATTTTTAAAAGGTCATTAACTATACCCCCAGTACAGTTTAAATCTTTGCCGTATATGAGTTCACATTAATAACCATAAGATAGGGAGTGTTGCGTTGTTGATTCCATTGCAAAGACAAGGAAATTCAGAGAGCCCAGGATCTCTGGCTAGAGAGTGTCCTAGGATGAGAACTCAGATTCCAGCACTCTTTCTACCGCATCATAGTGGTTCCCAGCTGTTGCTGCTTTACCATGTTATCTAGCTAGGAATTGTTATTCTTCATGAAGATAGCAAAGCAATTTCAATGGATTATATACAACAGAGGCTATTCTGACATCTTTGTTTTAGATAACATCAAACTTCTTTGACAGAAATAGAGAAAAGCCACTCTTCTAGAAATACATTATTGAACTTGATTCACTTTATAATTCATCCTAATTCCAAATAAATGTAATTCTAATAGTCATGTTTTACAGAGTATTATGCCATATAACCTTATTCTGGTTCATACTTAGTATGAAATATAACCCTTGATATAGTCTTGCTTACATAGTAAAATATATTCTAATACTAATAAAAACTATATTTAATAGGTTCTCTTTAAGTTCAGTTTTGTGTAAAATGTGTAACTAGTAGCTGTTTAATAAGCATGCATTTTCTATTTAATCTGCATTTATTTATACCCTGCCTTTTTACAAAATAGATTTGGGGACAAATTGAAATTTATAAGCATGCAGATGGAGTTGTCTAAGAGCTATATAATCTGTTTACTTTTGTGTATATGTCTTATAAGCAAACTTTATTAATCTAATAGTATCTTTCATGGGGTTAACGCTATCCATTTTACCACTTTCAGTACAGAAAAATTAACTGACGTAGCTCGCTATCACATTGAAACATCTACAAAAATTCAGAATGAACTTTATTTAAGCCAAGAAGACTTCTTCATTAATGGCAATATAAAAGTCTTCCCAGATCCTCCCCCATCAATACGTCCTCCACCTGTAGAAAAGGAAGAAGATGGTACCCTGACCATTGAACAGCTTGACAGTCTTCGAGATCAGTTCTTAGATATGGCACCTAAAGGTAGGAAAAATAATTATCATGAAAAGAGCACAAAAAAAGGTTAAGATTAACCAGGACAGAAATCACTTGCCAACAAGTAAAATCAGCTCTATGGGATCATGTGGCACTAAAACATGCCCTTGCTTTGTTCTAGTTTATTAAATATTTGTTTCATACAACATAGACCCTAATTAAACAAGCAGGACCCACTGTGAATAATGCTTGAGCAGTGTGGTGGTCCTCATTCCTGGTAATTCCTCTCTCCTGTCCTCCCCGACCCTTGCTGACAAGTTTGTATATTTGAGTATTACTCCACCTGGCAGCTTACAGAAAGACTTTGTGCATACTTCTAGTTTAGATTTTATATTGAGATTATGAGTTTGTGTTTCTGTGAGGGGAGACCAGGCAGTAGAAGATTTCCCTTTTATGTTGGCCTTTTCCCTCAGTGCTTGTAGACCATAAGCAGAATCAAATAAGCTGTTAGAAAATGTTTGCTTAATTAATTAGTCGGTTTGTTCATATGTATGTGTAAATGTTTTCTGCACACAACAATTTTATCTCTTTCACATTTTATCAGCATGGACCTACAGCATCTGCACAGGCTTTTTTTATTCAGCCTTTTCCTACTTCCAGATATTCTTCAATGAGTTCTGTCGATTGATAGCACAAGTAATTCAGACAGATCACATAGGATTATCATCTCCACTTTAAAGGTCTAGATACTGACTCACAGAGGAGTTTAGCAGATTTTTTGCCTATGGTCATATATCATTCAGAACTCTGCAGATCCAAAGTTCTTGCCCCTTCTCACTGAACTAAGTTGCCTCTCATAAGCAGATTTCTTTTACTTTTCAACATATACTACTTATTGGGAAATTATTACTTTTCCCTGTAGCATAGTCAACTGACTTTAGTATTAATACAATGTTACTTTTTAAAAAAGTCCAGTATTTCCAGAAATTCACATCATATATCATTAGTAAAAAGAGCATTACTCTAAGTCCGAAAGCTTCCTTGCCAAGCCCAATAGGTGAAATTGGTGTATGTGTGTGTGCCTGGGTGAACCTTGCGCTTTGATGTGTCAGCTCATCAAATCAGCTAGAGCAGGCTTTACAGCTCCAAGGTATAAAAGCCCACACTTCAGCTGTGGAGGGACGGAGGTGCCATTTGGCAGCATTTGGGCACGAAGGAAACATGGCCATCAGCAGGTACAAAAAATCTCGACTTTACAAATCAGTCCATGAAATTCCTTCAGTCCTTTAGTCAGACAGAGTGCACCCTCTTCTACATGGTGCGAGCTCCACAATGCCCTGTTATTATGTACTTCCCTCTTCAGAGTTGCTTTTTCTCTTCATTTTATCCAGGCCATTATTTTACACATAAAATAAAAAGATAAGTGTAAGTGGATTCTAAACATGACATGTGGTTTGCTTTAATCCTACACTCTGGTGACTGGGAGGAAATCACTCAATTAATAGGTAAAAACTAAAGGCATCTGGGGACACTTGAATAGGTAGAAGTGGATTTTGAAAATTATCATCCACTTACAATATATCTTTCAGCAGGGACCCTAGTATCCATGATGCTAATCATAATACTTTCTTGGATCCAACCTCAAATCCAGAGCTCATATTTCCACTAAAAATTTAAAAATAAATTTTAAAAAATAGCAGCTATAACTTGACATGTGTCTCAGAAGATTAACTCTAGAAACCCTTGGGACACAAAGATGTCAACAGATAAATGTTTTCAGACTATGGGAGAAATAAGAAGGGAGGGAGAGGAAGTAAAGGAAGGGAGGGAGGGAGAAACGGAGTTGTTTTTTTTTTAATTTTTATTTTTTTAAAAGCAGAGTAAAAGGAAACCATTTGCCCTAGGAGCTGAGAGTTTAATTTGAAAAGGCAAGCAAAGAGGAAGGAAATATGAACAACTATTTGAGTTCTTTCTGGGACACAGTATGAATGTTATTCAAGTGCTCAAGAATGCAAAGCATCAGTGTGCCCTGAAATTGGTCAGGGAAAAGTCTGTGGAGCAAAACTTTGGAGGGAGAAATTGAAGAGGGTAAAGAGATTTTGTGGCAAGGCTACAGAGAATGTTTACAGTTAGGGGAACAGCTGCTGGAAACTCTGTAGACAAGAAGCGTGAGGATAGGAGCATGATGTTTGGGAAATGTTTAGGAGACTGCTCTGCTTTTCTTTCTCCAACTGCATGAACTCCAGGCGAGTAGAAGAGGAGGCTTTCTCTGTGTGAGGAACCACCTCCTCCCACCCAAGCTGGAGAATTAACCCATATGCAAGAATAACAGTTGTAATTACCACAGAATTTACAAGGCTATACAATACGGTAGGATTTGGGGATTGTGATGATTCAAAGTGAGTTATGTATGGTCTATGGGCAAACAGTTTAAACTCTTTTCTCTATTAGCTCAATTATACCATTTGAAAAAATATATATTGCATATATTGCTTTTTAGGTATATCTAAAATAATTAATAAGTGTTGGGAATTTGATTGACAGGAGTAACGTTCATTGTTATTATTCTTGCTATTCTTATAGAGGGCAGGGAAAAGTATTACTCCATTTTTCTGCATCCCAGAGTCACAGAATTGGAGGTTCTCTACTGATACTCTTGAAATCAGGCTCCAAACATTGACAATGGCCCTGCCTGAGGAAACCCATTAACTGCCACTCACCCCTTTTCCCCATCTCTTCTGGCCCCACAAAGTATACTCTGGCTTTTTTGTTTTTCTACCCCGGTTTGGCAATTGTTCACTTAAGAAACATGACACACACCCATCCGTCTTTTAAATGAAGGCTTTTGTTGTATTTCTTCCAAGAAATGGAAAACAATCCTTTATGATACCTTCCACTGTATTTACCCTAGAACTCTATAATTTCAAAACACAATCTTAGTGAGTGATAGCAGGTTTGAAAGTGTGGAGGAGCTGGCTGAACATGTGTGTTTCAAATGTGTGATCCTGCAGAACTTCCTGCTCAAACTTGCTATTATTTCTATGCCAAGAAATAAAAACATTTTCCTATATTATTTCATATATGCCCATGCAATCCATAATATCTAAGATGCAACTTTCAAGTTCACTAAAATATATTAAAACAGATGGATTTTTTTGGGAGGGAAGCATACATATTTATTTGCATATAACAGCCATTATGTTACTAGGCCCATGGTAGGATTTTTTAGCAGATTTATAAAAAGCACTGATGTTACTAAATTACACTTTGCATGTTTTAATCATGCCACACAAATACAAGTATTGGATTATTATTTAATCTTTGATTAGAACAATGACTGAATGCTTTAAATACTTGCAACTAGATAGTATCAAGATGTAAATGGAAAGAACTAAAGCTTAAGGGGTTTTCTGCTAAGTATTGGTTAATCCCTTTGAAAACAAAAGTCTCCATTAAAATAGCCCTTACTAAAGATAACATAAAATTGAAAAGCATCATATATTGTAACATATTCAACACTCCTTTTCTGGTCAAATTCTGCCACTTATGATGATTCTACCTCTCTTTTGGTAAAGGTAATGATTAGACATAAAATATTATTTATTGATTATTATTAACACAAATATACCAGAAAAAATAATGACCTTATACATGATAATCAAATTAGATCATGCAAAATGCAATGAAACAGTTGATTACACTTGCATTTTTCCTGCCACTTAACAAAGATCCATACTTTAGAAGCATAAGAACAGTATGAGTAAAAGAAAGCAAACCATTCTTTCCATCACCTATCCTAGGAATCATTCCTATGAGCGTACTACCGGCAGAGTTAGATCTAGTGAATATTTTCTGAATTATAACAATAGCCAATTTGGCATGGTCACTATGTGTCAGACCCTTTGCTAACATTTTCATATGTGAATTCACTTATTATCCACCTCAGTCTATGATGGGATGGCTAGAGTCAAACAGTTCTTTCTCAAGTTCACCTCTTGTCAAAAGACTGTCATATGATCTTGGACAAGTTATTAAATTTCTCTCTGCCTCAGTTACCACATCTGTAAAATGAGAATAATAATGATACTTATTCCATGTATTGAAATAAGGTTGTTATGAAGATTAAAGTAATTAATATATGTAAAGTGCTTAGAAAGAGTATAGCACATAGAATGTGCAATTTAAGTGTAATCATATAAGCCATTGTGACTTGATTATATAATTATAGTAATGTCATATTAGTATATAATATACAATATTGATACAAAGTATTCTATTATCCAAAATGTTAGCTTGGTTTCTTGAAGATGGAAATACCCTAGTAGGCATTTGCAATATTACCCCTGAGTGCTTCCAAAAAAATGTACACCACCTGGTAGAATTAAATCATAAAGTAATGTGGTTTCCTAGGGAGTACAAGCATTCCAAACAAAAGCATTCATTTTGTGTGCTCCAGTAAGTTCTGGGTAGGTACATCTTGTCTCCAAACATCAAGTGCCAAATACATAAGGAAGACAGCCTTTTTCTGATGGAAGCAATTTGGATTCTGTTGAAACTAGAATACTTAGCAATGTTCCTCTGTCTGCACTTAAGCCATAAGAACTCTTTTTCCTTGTAAGCCCATCGGTACTCAATGAAATGCCTGCAGAGATTTGGTGCATAGCTATTTTCGCTTCTGCTGAGAACCTACCTGAAGAGAACATAGTTTAGCAAATTCTACACCCTCTCTTTTTCTTCAAAAGATGCAGCATTTATTTATTCAAGGCCTGTAACATTGCTCTAAGAAGCTGACAAGGACCCCTTCTTTGAACCCCTTTTGGAGACCGATAGATTTTTTTTTTTTTTTTGAGATGGGGTCTTGCTCTGTCGCCCAGGCTGGAGTGCAGTGGCACGATCTTTGCTCACTGCAAGCTCTACCTCCCGGGTTCACGCCATTCTCCTGCCTCAGCCTCCGGAGTAGCTGGGACTACAGGCAAACGCCACCACACCCGGCTAATTTTTTTGTATTTTTAGTAGAGACAAGGTTTCGCCATGTTAGCCAGGATGGCCTCCATCTCCTGACCTCGCGATCCGCCCGCCTCAGCCTCCCAAAGTGCTGGGATTACAGGCATGAGCCACCGCGCCCGGGCGAGATGGATGGATTTAATGACTGGCCTCAGAGACAGAGGGTACACATTCAGAACTTTAGGCTGTAGTGGTTAAGCTAGATCATTCAGCAGCATGATTTTTACAGGAGTTCAAAGGCAGAACTAGCTATTGCTGCCTATGTGAGTCAGCATGAGGGTTAGCCCAGAGGCTTTTGAAACTGAACTTTCCAGGAAGAAAAGCAGGGGAAGGGTATTCCAGGCAAAGGGATGAGCAGCTGTGGAGATTTTGAGGTTGCATGACATATTGAGGGAACTGTGAACAAACAAGAGGCAGGAGGTGGGACCACAGAGAGCTTGTGGTCAGGTTGTGAAGTCTCCAGTGGCTTGCAAAGAACATGCAGGAGAGGATTTTCAAAGGCATTTAGAGCCAAGTGTCATGGAGAATGGATTGGAGCAGGGAAGAGGCTATATGTGTGAGAGAGTGGCAGGCACTGTCAGTCTCTCTGCAAAGCCTCAGAGAACCCAGAGGCAGGAATAAGGGCACCTGAGTGGTTGGTTGCCTGAAAGGAGTAACTAGAAAGTTCTATGGATTTTTCCAGGCTTAGTGCCTCTGAGAAAATTATAAAAATACAATATTATGTATTTGCAGGTAAGTATTTTGATCTGAAAATTGTCTAAGTTAGTCTGACATTTACCCAAATCAAGAAGTACAGAAAGATTTCTTAGAGAAGGGAATGATATAGAAGAATAGGTGTTATTGACAGAATTATCACAGCAAGTGGCAAAATATAGGGATTACAGCAAAGAGGACTATGGCCCCCACCTGCCTTTGCTTCCTTCAATGGGTGAATTCTTTCCACCAGATCAGATTCAGATCACAGAAATGCAGTAGTGGATCTAGAAGGCTTTAGATCTGTTAAAACTGTTTATGAGTAGAGTTTCAAATGTGTCTTCAGAATGAAACACACAGGTATTTTCCTGAAGCCAGACAACTTACGTTAGACAAATGAAAGTATATACTCAGAATTCAAGGTAATATCTTTAGGAAAATCTGTCCATAGAACTAAAATTCTGTTTTGAAACTAGCAAAATCAATATTGGAAATTAAATTTTTTTAATTTTAATTTTAATTTTAAATTTACTTTTTAATTTAAATTTAAATTTTTATAATTTTTTTAAGATGGGGTCTCACTCTGTAGCTCAGGGTAGAGTGCAGTGGCACAATCATGGCTCACTACAGCCTCAGCACAACCCCCCCCCACCTCAGCCTTCCAAGTAGCTGAGACTACAGGTGCCTGCAAGCATGCCCAGCTAATTTGTTTTTTTAATTTTCTTCTCTTTTCTTTTTTTTTTTTGTAGAAATGAGGTTTCACTGTGTTGCCTATTCTGTCTTGAACTCCTAGGCTCGTGATCCTCCCACCTCGGCCTCCCAAAGTGCTGAGAGTACAGCCATGAGCTACCATGCTCCCTCAATGTGTCATGCAATTTCAAAATCTGCGCAGCTGCTCCATTTTCCCCTTTGCCTGGAATACCCTTCCCCTGCTTTTCTTCCTGGAAAGTTCAGTTTCAAAAGCCTCTGGGCTAACCCTCACGCTGACTCACATAGGCAACAGTAGCTACTTCTGCCTTTGAACTCCTGTAAAAACCATGCTGCTGAATGATCTAGCTTAACCACTACAGCCCAGAGTTCTGAATGTGTACCCTCTGTCTCTGAGACAGAGACAAAAAGAGACTTTAACAAAAAGAGACTTTATTTTTTCATTTCTTTATTCATTTATTCACCAGCATTATGTGAGCAGCCCCCAGGTGTAGTGCAACTGGCCTAATACGGAAGATTGACAAGTAGCCCAATGCTTGAGTAAGAAAATGCAGGCAGTAGCTGTCAACTACAAGGAGACTAATTTTAAATGAAATACAGTAACATTTAGAATCGCAAAAATGGGTTCTATTTTAACCAGAGCCGCAAAAAGACTGATTAAAAAGCGAAGGAGAGGCTGGGCGTGGTGGCTCACGCCAGTAATCCCAGCACTTTGGGAAGCCGAGGTGGGTGGTTCACCTGAGGTCAGGAGTTCGAGACCAGCCTGACCAATATGGTGAAACCCCGTCTCTAATAAAAATACAAAAATTAGCCGGGCGTGGTGGCAGTTGCTTGTATTCCCAACTACTCAAGAGGCTGAGACAGGAGAATTGCTTGAACCCAGGAGGCGGAAGTTGTAGTGAGCCAAAATCGTGCCACTGGACTCCAGCCCTGGGCGACAGCGGGAGACTCCATCTCAAAAAAAAACAAAAAAAGCAAAGGAGAAGTTAGACCCAAATAAGGTATGAAAGGCAGAGGCAGGTCAACTAATGTCAAGGTTTTCAGTTAAAAGGGATTGAGATATGAAATCATGAAAACCAATTAGGAAAGGAGATTAATTTTCTTAAACATCTACCAAGTGCTTAGCAGTCAGCCAGACATTATGAAGCACATTATTTAGTTCTAGTCAGAGGGGTCAAACCCTAGAACCATAAAGTATTGACAAAAAAAGAGAATATATGTCATGAAATATTTTAATAAACACATATATTCAATTTTTTATTATATGATAAAACAGGACAACATAATCTAATGATTAGTAGCATCAAAGAATGTGTAGAAGGAACACATATATGTGATCTAGGCTCTCTGCCTTCAGGGAGAAACTGGTATTTGAGGACTTTGTTTTGTGTAGTTTTTAGTTTTTTATCCTTCTGTTCAGATAAATATATGTCCCCTTGTGTGACAAATAATCAAATATGTCTCAAAAATTAGACGTTTGGGGGAAAGAAAAAGATGAGGCATGAGGCACAGCTCCTTTACAAAACCACCTGGCAAGGATTTCAAAGCTTCACACCCTTTTTTTTTTTTTTTGGTAAATTAACAAGTTTGCTGTGGCATTGCAACAGAAGGTAGGACTTAGGCAGGAGGGAAGGGATGTCCAAGGCAGACCTTGCAGACACACTACCATGTATGCTCTATTATTCCTTTTTCTCACCAAGGGAAGAAAATTTTAGCTAAAAGCCATGTCACTCTTATGTATGGAGAAATGGATTCTAAAGTGAAGAAGAGCATAGCACTCCTTTCTTCATACAAGACGCGTGTAAGAGGGAAGTGTACAAACAGGCTGTGGAGTGTCGGTCTACTGGTGTAACTCCGCTCCACCACTTACAGGCACTGCAACATTGGACAGTTTAATAAACCTCCCTGTGCACCAGCTTTCTTATCCATGCAACGGTGATAATAATAGTCAGTGCATTTTCTGAACCATATAATAGGGGTAATGGTTTGTGAGGATTCTGTGATATAAACTAGTTAAAGCACTTAACAGAATGCCTGGTAATTAATAAGCACTCCATAAAATTTTTCAAAAACTAGTGAGCAAATGTAGGGGTCAGAGATTAAGCAAAACTGAGGGTAGAAATTGGGATTACTTAAAATAACAATGTGGAGTTATTTTAAAGGCAGGAATCCTTCGGATGGTGTGAATAGAGTCACCGAAAAGCAGAAAAGGCCGCAGAAGCTTGACCATTATCTTCCAAAAAGAAGCCATCAATTTTTGAAAATTTGGCTTAAAAAATATCCATGGCTTATATATGATGAGCTATTAAATCTTATGTTCTGCGCCTTGTGTCGTAAGCATGGAGTGAAGTCAGGGGGAAGTCAAGTGAATTTTTTTTATGGTACTGACAACTTTAGGACTGAATTTCTCAATGCACATCATCTCAGCGAGGCTCATGCCAAGGCCTCATTAATGGAAGCAACAAGTAGCTCTCCAGTGAACAGAGCCACCACCAAACTAATGATGAGGACCATGAGCAAAGTAACCCTCGGGAGAGTAGAGAACTTATTCAGATCATGCCATGCTATTGCCAAGACCGGACGTCCCCTCAAAGATTTTATTTGGATGTGCAAATTAGATGATATGAAAGGTGTTGATATTGGCCCAGTATTCAGAACTAAAAAATCAGCAAGAATGTTTACATACTTTATTGCTGAAGTAGAACGAAAAAATCTAAGAGAGAAATTAGAAAAAAGTAAATTTTTCTCTGTCATCAGTGATGGAATCATAGACAGTTTAATCAAAGAAGCCGAACTTGTCTATGTGCAGTTTGCACATGCAGGAAAGGTGCACTGTCAAATTGTTGGGGTACAGATAGTAGAAAGAAATGATCCTCTGGCAATAAAAAATGCCATTGAGAAAACTCTAGAGATAAATCTTCAACTTAGACTGTCGAGCCAAGACTGGGCAAAGAAGCTGGTTGGTTTTGGAAGTGATGGTACCCATAGCATAGAGGGAGAGAACAACGAGGTGGCCCTACTATTAAGAGAAATACAACCATGTGTACAAACTGTATATTGCTTTGCACATCACCTTGAACTATCTTACAAAGCGGTGTTCCAGAACATTCCTCTGTACAATGATGTCAAAGACCTCCTTCACAGCATTTATCACTTTTATCACAATTCTCCTCTTCATAAGAGTGCTCTGAGAACTGCTTTCAAAGGCCTTCACCTTCGACCTGTGATGCCTTCTCAAATAGGAGACAGGAAGTGGCTTCATGGATTACAGGCAGCCCTCCAGAACTTTCTCAAGGGATATCCTGCAATTGTTCGGCAACTGCACTCAGTAAGTAATTTTGAAATATCGTATTATTTTGCTTTTTCAGAATCACAGAAAATACTTTCCTTGAGCTCCTTGGAATAATAATTTTGGGAAAGATAACCACTATGTTGTTCCCAACCTGTGTTACAGGCAGGCAGAGGCAAAAGTGACACCAGTCAAAAGAAACCCAAAGAACTTCTGGAGTCCCTTCTCCAAGCTGACATTGTTAAATTTGCCCACTTCTTGTTGGATGTCATGAATGTCCTTAGCATTCTGTCCTGTGTCAATAAGAATAGAAATTCCTCAATTGCTGACATATTTGCCACTTTAGAGTCAATGCTGGAAATGCTCCAAATGTATCAAACAAGGTGAGAGGTTGGGATGATCTGAGGTCTGTCAAACTAGACAGTTTGACTTGCGAAATTATCTGCCAGATGTTTCTTCATTTAATTTGTTAGTTGTTATTTGGGTGATTTCTTTTCTCCCCAGACTAGGGCCAAAAGAACGCATGGTGGATTCAGCCACACACTTTCATGGTAACTGCCTCAGAGGGAAAGAAAACATTTCTGCTGTGAGAAACATTGTTTTAACACATCTTATCAAGAGACTTCAAGGCTGTTTCAGAGATGCCAGCCAAAATGTGGTGAGGGCTACCGTGATTGGAAGTTTTAAATTGTGGCCCACAAAGATAAATCAAGGTAATCTATATGTGCTGACTTTGAACCTATTATTCTCCCATGGTCTGTGTGAGTTTCTTTTATATATGTGACTATTTTTGGCATCTTGATTATAGAATTTGGAGAAAAAGAGGTATCCATCCTGACTGCACATTATGAACCAGTATTAGAAGCTGCCAATGTGAAACTTAGTGAAGTGGATACTGAATGGAGCATGTTGAAATTAGAGATTTATGCCAGGTAAGCAAGAAAGCAAGCTGAGGAAAGTGGTGGATATTTATAAATGTTTGGGTAAAACTTGGGAGTCTCAATCTTTTACATTTCTTCTCCTCCCTCCTAGATTTCAGAACATTCGAAAATTGACCTGGGATTTTGTGAATTCCATTTACTTACACAAGTATCCAAATATCCTGACACTAGTCGACCTAGTGTTGACCCTTCCTGCAAGTTCAGCTGAAGCAGAACATGGCTTTAGTCAGATGAAATGGACCAAGTCACATATGCATGCAAAAATCAAGGCTGAAAGTATGACGGATGTCCTAATTATTCAGTTGAATTCTCCAGACATTAATAATTTTGACCCTAGGAAAGCTATCCATTTATGGAATGCAAGAACACCGTCTTCAACTGGTGACACAAGATCTAATTCAGATTGCTCATCAAACTCAGAAAATGAAAGTGATTAGCAATATGCAAATGTTGACATTTTTGTTGCTTAGCAATGTAGCTCTTTTGCATAGTAAAAAATAAAATAAAATAAATGGTTTCCAGAAGCCTGGAATTTAAAAGTAAAACAGTAACTTCTCTTCACATCAAACAAAAGGCATTTGGCTTCTTCCAAACATACAGAGTAAAAAGCCCAAGATTGTTTCTTCTATAGCTTTCTAACTTCACTTATGTATTCCTGTGTTCTTTCACACTCTTTTGGTGGAGCTGTATGCTGCTACACAATGGTGTTATTTTGATGTCATTTTTTTCAGTTATTCCTAAGGGTGACCAGACTATGATTACGGTCTGAGTTCCCTTAGGCCTGGCATACAATTCATTATTTTTCCTCAATAATTCTAAGTGATAGTTGCATTAGGTAATTAACTTAGAGTCAAATTGAAAGAGAGCTTCTCTTTTCATCTGTGAACAAAATTTATAAGTTTATGTAATTATGTTATTGCAACCATATCACTACATGCTTTGGCCATTTAAGTAACAAAGGCAAATATTAAAACAGTTTTCACATTTCATGCTAAATCCTCAGGTAAACAATTCTTATGTAAACTGTAAGTACTGTCTTATAACACTTTGTTTTGCCCCGTATCCATTAGAGATTGTGGAAATGTATTGCAGCTTACAAGATTTTTAAAATGCTTTGAGCCTCTTCACGGTTTCAGTGGATTCTATTAATGGCTGTAGCTTGAAGAACATAACTAATTTATGTCTGACTTAGCTAAAAACCCACATAGGATCTTATAAACCTCAGTTCACTGAAAATTCTGCTATCTGGGAAAATGCTCTCATGTCTATAAAACTGGATACTCAGGTTTGATGAAAAAGGATACAGAATGTATTTCTGAACAGCCTGCTGGATGGCCAATTATATCAAAGAAGAAAGGTTTCACTCTTGCTACCCAGAAAATTACCTTCCAGATCTCAAAATTGTGTATTTGATTCGAAGCACTGAGATTTTAGAAGGATTATTGCATTTCCCTGGAGGTTAGAGGAAATGATAAAGTTCATGTGGACTTTTAGAAATGCTAAAAACTTTGATGTAAAAAGAAAACCTTGGGATAGTGTGTCTATGTTTCATTCTTTTTATTCCTAAAACAAAGAATAGCTATGTACTCTGGACCTGAAAGATCCCTGGATACACATTAGGAGTCTCTCCTTGTTCTAGAAGGTACCTCTTTGTGTTGGTTAGCCAGACATTTTTTTTTAAAAGCAGATTCATTTATTTTGTTTTCTTATTTATTTCTTAATGCTTGTGCATGCAATTTGAAGTGAAAAACAAGGTAGACATCTCTTTTAAATTGAGTTAAGTAGGTTAGTTCATAAGAGCAAAGATTTTAAAAGGTTAGTAGTCTTTCATGAAATACTTAGGAATACTGAGCCAATTAGGTGACTAAATTAGCACTTTCAATCCAGTAATTTAACAGTTCAAATTTCTCTAGATTTACAAAAGCAAATATGGTCTGATCCAAAAGGCAAGATGTGGATAAATGTATTACCTTGATTGTAGTGGTGATCTGCATGCATTTGGAACACTTTTATCTAATATTTGCCAAAATATTTTACTCTTGTGCCCTACAGCATGTAGGAAACCTTAAAATCATATATATTTTTTAAAAATTTAGCCTATTCTGAGTGAAAAGTCAAAGAAGACTCTAAACTAAAAAGTATACAGTTTTATAATTTTACTCAATCTGGATTTAATTATTACTAAGCCAAAAAAGGCATTTTGACTTAGTTGAGAAACAATAATGAGAGAGCATCAGGAAATTATAATTTTTATATTTCCAAAATGTCTTCTGTTTCTTTAAAACTTACCATTTTATATAATATGAATAAAGAGAGTTTTAAAATACTCATTGCTTCTATTTTAGCAAAAGAAGAGAAAAACCATCACCTAAACCAAGTGACAAAATATTTTTCATTGTATTATAGGCATAATAGGAAATAAAGCATTTACTGACATTCTGATCGATTTGGTGACCCTGAACCTTGGCACAAACAACTTTCCTAGTAATTGGATGCACCTTACCCAACCTGAAGTAAGCTTCTATGTTGTTTGAGTTGTAAAGCTTTAAGCATTCTTATTTGATCAATGCATCAATAGTTCTAAAATAATGAGTACTTGCATAGTGTCTGACATTTAGTAGGCAATCAATGAAATGTGAGTGAATGAAAAATGAATGAACTTCCAATTAAAACATATAATATGCATATGCTCAATATTTGAAGAATAAGTGATGATCTGTCAGTGAAATATTATAGAGACTGTGATGTTCAACCAGTGAGTTTCTATCTAAAATTACCAAATGGAATGATCCTAACTAGTAATAGTAGATAATTCTGGTTGTTCTTGCTTTTCATCATAACATTTTCCTTAAGAATGTTCAGAAAACAAAATGCTTAAAGAGCATTCCCCCATGGGCCACAAAGCCCTTGCACAGGCACAGCTATAATTTTTGTCTCTCTTCTGTTGGAAAGGTACAAAGTTAACTGGAGTGATGTGTGTAATTGATGGTATAATGGTAAGCAAAAATCACAAATGTCAAGGAAGCAAAAAATGAAACACTTTCTAGGTGCTTTCTGGTGTGGATGGTTGGTAGAATAAAGGAAACAAAAGTCAGAACTGATTCTATGTGCCAGTGAAAAGTCCTACTTCTTTCATGGGAAACTCTCACTATGAAAATATGAGCAAGTAGAGCATCAAGATAGATTCATGTAGATATTCCAAAGATATTTCCTGTTTTCTTCTAGTTACAGGAATTAACATCTTTATTAACAGTCAACTCCGAGTTCGTGGACTGGCGGAAGTTCCTGTTAGTAACCTCAATGCCTTGGCCCATTCCCTTGGAGGAGGAGCTCCTTGAGACCCTTCAGAAGTTCAAGGCTGTGGATAAGGAGCAGTTGGGCACCATCACTTTTGAGCAGTATATGCAGGTTGTTACCAGCACCTGATGGCATTGATAACACCAGAACACTTGTGACCTAAGAAGTGAATTACTCAATGATGTTACATTGACAGGTCTCAGGCCAGTGCATTGCTTCTCAGCTCCCCATGTCTAGGCACCCAGAGGCAGCACAGGCAGTGTCAAAGCCCCAGCCAGAAGCCTGGCTTCCATCCCCAGGGAAAAGATCTGAAAAAGTCAGAACTTCCAGGAGAACAAAAGGTTCTGAAAGCAGTTACATAAACTTTATTGTTCTTCTCCTGAGTTCCTAACCAGTAGTTCTTATCCTTGGCTGTACATTAGAATCATCTGCAAAGCTTTTAATAGGTCCAATGTCCAATACTCTAAGCTCCCAGCGTAGAAAGAACAGTGGTTAAAACACACACACACACACACACACACACACACACACACACACAGGGAAAGGAGCAGGTTTTTTTTCTTTGGGGTGAGAGGGTGATGAATGATGAGATTATTTTTGAGAAGCTGAGTTTGAAATATCTGTGGGAAATGAAGAGAGAAATGTCCAATCTAATATGGCCCATACAGAAGGGATCATGAGTCAATATCATGTAAGTGGTTATTGAATTTATGAATGTATGAGATCACTCAAGGAAAGTAATGGATAACCCAGTAGGGTATGTAATAGTTGGCCACTGGACGTGGCAGGTGGCATGTAACCGGTAACCTGTGCTAGAGAAATTTTGGTGGAATAATAAGTACAGAAGTTAGATGGCAGAGGGTTGAGGACATGAATGGGTCTTTAGGAAGTGAGGACAAGAAAAGTCAACTGATTTTTTAGAAGTCTGAGTAAGACAAGAGTAAAAACAAAATTTCATAACTGAGAGGGGCCTGAATTACTTACTTGATTAATGTCATTATATTGCTCACACCATTTCACATTGCTGGTAGACATGAAATAGGGAAACTTTCAGAAGGAGCTAACTTTGAAACAGAGTAATACTTTCCAGGTGCCTGCATCTCACATGAATTTCACCAATCATACCCCTTCCTGTTTCCCTTTTCTTCCTTAATGCATGGCCTCTTTTTTTTTGAGAGAGCTCTGAGGTTTCCAGGCTCATGGAGTTGAGCCAGAAGGAAAAACACAAACTATGACAAGGCTCTTTCAGGGCTGATCAAGACAGGTGTTCAGTTATTTGAGCTCTGCTACATTTATTTTCCAAGTAGATTTACAATTTGTTAAGGTGGTTTTGTTTGAAAACAAAAGCAGCAGAGCAAAACTTACTCTGTTTCCATAGCTGTCTTAAGATTTTTAAAAGTGCGCACTCGTGAAATTACTGACCTTCGCTATTTATTGTATGTGGCAATTAACATAGGATATCAATTTGAACGTCCTTTTGCACAAACATGAGAAGAACAAAGGGTGTTGGCAATTTTCACCAAAGTGCTGAGCTAAAACCAGAAAACTATTTTACCAAAGGTGTGAGTTTCTTAGAGAAAGTTGGATGCTGTGTTTAAGAGAAACTCAGCAATACTTCTTTGAACACTACCTGTGTTTTAGGAACAGTTGTTTTCTGAGCTCTGCCCTCTGCCCTTCCGCCCTCAGGTCCCCCTCCTCTGAAACCCCCATTTGAAAAGGCCCACTTGACCAGCCTGCATGCCTTTCACAGATTGTCAGCACTTGCCAGCTCATTGCCCCTCCCCCCACAATGTTGTTTCAGTGGAAAAATCAAAATAACTTTAGGTCAAAATTTTATAAGATTTGTCGAAAACGCCCCATTAGGACAGTAAAATAGTATGCTTGCATTGCGGAAATGAAGTTCTAATTGGTGTCAGTTATACACTGAGACAGAGGGACGTCATGAATAAGAGGTCACCGAGATCTTGAGTCAGTCATTCAGTTACTTAACAAAGAGTTTTCTAAAACTAGCAATGTACACCAGCACCATGCAAGTCTCCACAAACAGATAGGACATGAACAGGACATAAGGAATATGAGCTATTTTTAATGGGGGCACAGACTCCTCCGAAATATGACTAATGCAAGATTAATACAGGGTAGCAGCCTCCAAGCGTCATCACACGATCCAATCGTTAAAAATAGCCAGCACTCCTAATCTATGGATACTTATTTATAAATTATATACATATACTACAGCACTAATACATTATGAACATAATCAAAGATGTAAAAATAAAAATTATGTAAGAATGAGATAAAAAGAAATGTAAATGGAAGTTCTAGTATTTTCTCCTACACCCCTGTGGTTTCTGCATCCTACTTGGGAGACAACTGCTCTAGAGACAAGATTGGCTCAGTCTCTGTGGCTTTTAGAGGAACATCTCAGCAAAATACATACTTTAACAATTTTCATTTTTATTTTTTATGTAGGCTGGTCTGTGGTTTACAGGAGATGAAGATATAAAAATTCCAGAAAATCCTCTTGAACCCCTTCCATTTAATAGGCAGGAGCATCTTATAGAGGTAATGACTGAGATCTTTAAAACATGTGGCATTATAGCACTAATCATTTTCTTTGTGTTTTCTTCCACTTATGTAACTTGGCTGTGGACTGCACCCCTGCCCCTCAATTCCTCTGCTGCCTCTCCAAAGTGCAGACCTTAAGTTAGCTCACTAAGGAGGCAGTGTAGAGAAGTTCTGGGGAGGAGGCAGGGGCCAGAATCTCAGAGCCTTACTGTTAACTCTCTATGTGATCCTGGAAAATTCCATGGCCTCTCAGAATTCATCTTCTTCGTCTGTCAAATAAGCTAAGTTTTAACACATTTGTCTCTAAGCTTCCTTCCAATTCTAAAAGCTTAGGATAAAATTTGTCATTTTACCAATGTCCATTTCTCTTTGATTTTGACTAATACAGCAAGGGTTTGCCTACAGCATTGCCCATAGCCCATCAGAGCTTGCTGCTCTCACTATTATTATTATCCTCAATAATAGCATCTTATGAGCCTCTATTTCTGAGGCCACAATAAAAAGCCAGACCTTAAAAATCTCAATGCGGCCGGGCGCGGTGGCTCACGCCTGTAATCCCAGCACTTTGGGAGGCCGAGGCAGGCTGATCACAAGGTCAGTCAGGAGATCGAGACCATCCTGGCTAACACGGTGAAACCCCGTCTCTACTAAAAATACAAAAAAATTAGCCGGGTGCAGTGGCGGGCGCCTGTAGTCCCAGCTACTCGGGAGGTTGAGGCAGGAGAATGGCGTGAACCCGGGAGGCAGAGCTTGCAGTGAGCCGAGATAGCGCCACTGCAGTCAGGCCTGGGCGAAAGAGCGAGACTGTCTCAAAAAAAAAAAAAATCTCAACGCTACTCTGACCTCAGTAAGACATGAAAAAAACTGAATGGTAGATTTAGACATCACAGTGAACTCTGTATAATGTATAGATTGTTCAATTTCTAGCCAGCCATTAGTTCCAAATTGCAGTACAAAATTGAGCAAGATTCCAGTTGCAGCCTTAAATGGAGCAATTTCCTTCAATTGGATGCATATTTTTTGAGCACCTCTGCTAGATGCTAGCAGGAGAGCAGGTAAGAGAAAGGGTCAGAGAGTTACCCAAAAGTCCAAGACATAAGGTTGGCAGTTGCAGGGGCAGTATTTTGTGTGTTGTTGTTTTTAATGTGAAACTGGGGGACTGAAAACCAATTATCCTGGAGCGTTTTGGAATGGTCTGTATATGCTTTTATGAACAAATCTGCCATCAACATAAACAGGTTCTTCATTAGTTGGAAGCAACTGGCAGTTTGAATATTATGCCAAGTGAAAAGTACTTTCATTTTCAGCCAGAAGTTTTTTAGAAATGTCAATCAAAGGCAGAATCTTTGAGCTGCTCACTTGGCAGCAAAACAGAAAAGGACCTTTTAGTACTTTTGGAGCAGGTGGCTCCCACCTGCTGCTGGAAGATTACAGGGAGGAAAGGAACAAAGTCAGCAGCAGAGGCAGGACTGTGGAGACTGAGCAAAACATGTTGTTATGGAACAAAGATGGCTGACGGGTGTGTGTGTGTGTGTGTGTGTGTGTGTGTGTGTGTGTGTGTGTGATGTCCATATGACAGAAAAGGTGAAAGAAGTGGTGTTTTCCATCCGCCCCATGGGTGTCTCTGAGACTCAATGCTCAGAAGTTACATAAATCTCAATGTTCTTACACTGGGATAAAAGCACAGATTTCACTGTTTACAAGCTGTGAGGTATCCATGGCATTACCCAACCTCTCTGCGCCTTGCTTTCTTATCCCTCTCTGGTGGGGCTGTTGTGCAGAGGGAGTTCCTGTGTGTGGTACTCTTGGAACAGCGATTGGCACATAATAAGTCCTATGTGTCAGTCAACAAGCAAAACAGGTTAACTATACATGGTTAAACAGTGGTTAATGGTTAACCTGCTTAAGAAAGGTGGGCAAAGATAAAACGTCAAACAACAAAAGATGTTTGTTTACTTATTTGGCTGTAATTAGAATAAGAAATACCAAATCGGAGAGAAATGGACACATTAGAAATCCTGGAGGCCAGAAGCCCTGGCTCTGCTCCCAGTGCTGCCAGGACTTGCTGTGGAAACTTGCACAGATCTGCACCTCCAGGTCCTCCGTAACCTCTTGCCATTTCAGTCAATGGCAACCCTATCCTTCCAGTTGCTCAGGTCAAAAACCCAGGAGTCATCCCCAGTTCCTCTCTTCTCTCAAACTCCACATCCAATACCTTAGGAAATCCTGAGAGTTCTATCTTCAAAACGCGTAAATCCCGAATGAGACCACTTCTTCCCAGCCCTATTGCCATCACCTGGAACAAGCCACAATCAGCTTCACCTAGATGACTGCAACGGCCTCGTGATAGGTCTCCCTGATTATGCTTTGTCTTCACCCAGCTTGCAGATCAAATCACAGCATCCCCCGCTCAAAACTTCCGTGGCTCTGTGTTTTACTCAGAGGAAAGGCCCAAATCCTTACGTGTCCAACCAGGCCTTGTGCATTCTGATCCTGTTGCCTTTCATTTCACCTCCTGCCATGCTCCCTTTGCCAATTCTGCTCAGCCACACTGACCTGCTCATTGTTGATCAAGCATGCAAGGCCTGCCCCGACCTTGGGAGTTCAGCCTCAGCAGCCCCTTTGTCTGTCATGCTCTTCCCCTGGATGTCTTCCCCAGCTAACTCCCTGCCCTCCTCCACGTCATTGGTCAAACTTAATCTCAATCTTGCTGTCTAGCCCCCTCTCCACTCTTCACTCTCAATTTCCCTTTCCTTGGCCTGCTCTTTTTTCTGTGTTTTCATAATCACTACATAGTTTACCTATTTTATTTATTCTTTTATCTTCTTCTTTTTTTTCAGGCTGGAGTGCAGTGGCACGATCTCAGCTCACTGCAACCTCCACCTCCCGGGTTCAAGCAATTCTCCTGCCTCAGCCTCTCGAGCAGCTGGGATTACAGGCGCCCGCCACCAGACCCGGCTAATTTTTGTACTTTTATTAGAGATGGGGTTTTGCTATGTTGGCCAGAGTGGTCTCCAACTCTGTTGGAGTTGGAGTGATCTGCCCATCTTGGCCACCCAAAGTGCTGGGATTACAGACATGAGCCACCACGCCTGGCCTCTCTCATTTCTTTGAGACATTATTTAAATTTTTGTTGGATTTTCCAAATATCGGAAATTATTTTCCCACCTGTTATCTTCATTTATGCCTAGTTAAACCTGTTCATAGTTGTAAGGGTTTTTGGTAACAAATAACATAGAGGAAATACCCTCTGACTCTAGGAACTTGCTTCTCAAAGTATGAGCCAGAACCAGCAACATTAAAAGTACCTGGAACCTTGCTAGACATGCAGATCCTTAGAAGGTCCAGCACCATATACTTAACCAGAATTCACATTTTAAAAAGGTTCTCCAGGTCATAAATATACATTTGAGAAAAGCTAGAAGGTAGCAGTCTCCCCAGACAGGGCTGCTTATGTGCCTGGGTGTGGCCTATGTGTTCCAGGGCTTGGGCCTCTGCTTTGGAGGGCCCCAGAGGATATTTGACTCCCAGGCACTAACTCCTCATGCTGCCAAATGCACAAGACCCTGTGTCAATGTCAGCTCAGGCATTCAGAGTGAGAAAATTGCTGATTTGATATTTGGTGTTTAGTATGCTCTCTGCCTGGATGTGAAGTCAACTAGGGTCAGTAGCTTGAGTATGAAGTCCAGAGCAGGTGAACCAGTTTAAAGACTTTTTAATGGCTAGAATCCCAGTGGCTTTAGGCATCATTTTCTTTCCCTCCTTTCACTCCCCACAGAGACCGATGGAACAGAAGCCTCATATTTAGGACCAGGGCCTAGTTTGTCCGGAGAATGCTGAGGACAGATAGATGGGTCCTTGTGCTTGTGGCTCTCTTTTCCTATTTAATGTGCAGTCCCCCACTACCCTTAATTAGTACAGTATTTCCTAAATATGTTAGTAGCATTAATTAGCACAATATTTCTTTTACAATATTTCAGGGCCCCACTTTTACTGCTTTTTTTCTTAATATTATTCAGTTCATACCATTCATTATATGTTAGCTTTACTAATTCAATCCTCAGAAGGCAACCTTATTCCAAAGCTCCTGGGGAGATTCTTCATTGCATGACTAACTACTGACTATGAGAGTGCACCCATTTTATCTTTGGAATTCTTTTTGTGTGCAGTTTTTCTTTAGGCTATTTGCTGACTATGAGAAGGATCCACCCCAGCTTGACTACACACAGATGCTGCTTTACTTTGCTTGCCACCCAGACACCGTGGAAGGAGTCTACAGGGCCCTCAGTGTGGCTGTTGGAACTCATGTCTTCCAACAAGTCAAAGCTTCCATTCCAAGTGCAGAAAAGGTAATTGCATTCCAGAAATAGACTAACTATAGAGTCTAGAGGGGATGCCTGAAGATCCTAAACTGACAACAAGGACTCTATTATTTTCATCTCCGTATTTTCCTAGGTGTGTAATATGATGCTTTACACATACTAGGTCTTCAACAAAGCCTTACTCAATTGGATTAAGACCTGGGGACCCAATTGCCATCAAAGATTTTTGTGGTAAAATCAAGATTTATTCAAAGTGTCTTGGTGGAATCAAACTTTACTCTATAAAGGATGGCCTTTATTTGGCATGAGTGCTGATCCTGATAAATGAAACAGAAATGGGTATCAACCCAATCCATTTGGGATTCTGTGTAGAAACTGTAGATGAAACAAGTTCAGGTCTACATGCACACCACATATATGGGGCTTGGTAGTGTTTCAGACCAAAGCCCGGCCACTGGAAACCTGCATTTCATATCACCTGTGTCCAAGGACAAAGAAGCTTAATATCTGATTAAAATGCCACCTCACCTTCCCCTTGAGATCTCTCAGGCATTGGCATTCCCTGGCTTTTGGGATGGGATAGTCTCCAACAGGGTGCTAGGTAATGTGCTTCCTAGGTGCCCATTTGTTCTTGGCATGGCTTTTGGTTCTGTTGTTTGGGGGCTGGAGCAGTGGATCCATCTGATGGGATGCTTGGTTCTGTTTTTCCTTTGTAGAAACAGAGGGGAAAAGATTGCTGCCCAGTCGAGACTCCTCAGATGTTCCAGACACACTTCCATCCTTTTCACACATACTTGTTAAAGTAGAATAGTCTGAAAGGAATGAATGGGAGGTTCCTGTAACTGCATTCATGGGAGGGAAGAGATAAACTCTTAAATGCCACCCTAAAGTTTGGCCCTGAGCATGTGGACAGAAAGATCTCCTTCCCATTCCACTAGAGCCAGAGTGAGGCCAGATACATATCTAATGAGCTAACAACTCTTCAAACCAGTGTGCTGTAAAAAGTGGTTCAACACACAGTGGCAGAAAGTTCAGCCTGGAGTGTGTATTTCCATTCAAGAATTCTGCCTTCTTTGACAGTAGAAGCCCAGTTTAAGAGTTTCCCAAATAAGGGGCTGGGTGTGGTGGCTCCCACCTGTAATCCCAGCACTTTTGGAGGCCAAGGCGGGTGGCTCACCTGAGGTCAGGAGTTCTAGACCAGCCTGACCAATATGGTGAAACCCCATCTCTACTGAAAATACAATTAGTTGGATGTGGTGGTGTGTGCCTGTAGTCCCAGCTACTCAGGAGACTGAGACTGGAGAATTACTTGAACCTGGGAGGCAGAGGTTGCAGTGAGCCAAGATCGCACCACTGCTCTCCAGCCTCAGTGATAAAGCAAGACTCCATCTCAAAAAAAAAAAAAATTCCCAAATAAGTGAGGAGTTAGGTATGATGTGCATTCACGGGCACTGCATTTGCCACTTTCCCAGGGATGTTTCTGTATCTCTCTGTAGATGGGAGTTCCCTAAACTAACTCTGGATCTATGATCTAAGCCCAGATCACAGCGTGCTGTGAGGTCTCATTAATGTCTGTCTTCCCTCACCTCAAATGATGTCAGACCCGCTGCTATATGTTCCCATGGTGCACCCTGCTTCCCCTACAAGATACTCCTCACCTGGCAATGACTTCCTTGAGATCTGCTTCTCTCTAGACTCTAAGCACCCTGTGGACCAGGAGTTTGGTGGGGAGGAGGCATCTGTTTTGTTCTGCATCCCTGAAGTTGAGGCAAGGCCTGGTACAGAGCTCAGTAAACATTGCATTCATTAATAGATCAATTAATTAGTTCATTCACTTTGTAAATTATGCTTTTTGCATGGTCCCGTGAGGAACACAAAAGAAGCCAAACTTGCTCTCCTGAAGGGACTCTAATTGGCCTCATTCATATAGAAAAGAATGAATGATGCCCCAAACAGGGGGGAGCATGGAATAAAAGGCAGATTAACGTGAGGCCTTGCCAGCCAGAAGAGGTGTGGATGCCCTCTCCTTTCCTGCCTCTCTGTCTTTACTCTTGTTACTCTCTCCACCTGGCATACTCTTCATCTCATCTCAAAGGATCCGAGGCCTCCCCATTATCCAAGGCCTACAACAATGCCACATCTTTCACGAAGCATCCCCTGACAACACTGAGCACTCTCTCAGCAAGGCCCAGGTTATAACCAGAACTTCCCTGGCAGGGCGGAGCACATTCACACACACACATTCACTGCTTCCACAAACATTTATTGAGCACCTACGTGTGCTGGGGACCACTCTCGATTCGGGGGTATGGCAGTGAACAAAAATTATTCCAGGCAGGAGGAAGACAGGCAATAAACAAATAAGCAAAACAGAGACTACATCGAATGGTGATAAATTCTATGGAAAAAAAAAAGAATGCAGGGGGAAAATACAGGCATTGGAAGAGGGGTTGCAATGTTCATTAGGGTGGCCAGAAAAGCCCTCTCTGAGAAGAGACATACAAACAGAGGCCCAAAGAAGGTGAGGGGGAGAGCCTTGCAAGTCCCTGGGGCATGAGCACTTGAAGTGAGGACAACAGTGAGTGCAAAAGCAGCCATAACTGGTGTGCTCTGAGAACTAGGGCTAGCCAGCAGAGCTGGAGAGGACCAGGCTGAAGGAGAGTAACAGGGAAGGGAAGTGAGAGGGAGAGGACCCTGAGGTCCACTGCAGGGACCTTAGCTTTAACTCTATGCAGGATGAGAAGTCATTGGAAGGGTGCAGTCACCTGGCTTCACTAAGTCAGGATCTCTCTGTGTTGAGGAGAGACTACAGACGGCAAAGGAGGGAAGTAAGGAGACCTAGGCCTTCAGGCAGGGGACCACTTATCTATTTCTACTGCTAAATGGTTCCTGCCTTGAGTTTGGGACACCTTGTTACCCATCTTCATGTCCTCTGAAGTAGCTGCCACATAGCCAGTGCTTGATTAGTATTTGTGAACATGGCCAGGAAAGAAGTGAAGAAGGAAGAGAGGGACAGTGAAATGAATGGAGTTTAGTCTCCATGGTAGAGAGGAGGAAAGCAGACATTGCAGGCAGGCAGAGGCAACAGCGGAGTCCAGGAGGCTGAGATGAGCAGGAAAGGCCAGGAAAAAGGAAGCCTGTGCTAGAGCTGTTGCCATAGCAACAGACAGCTGTCTCCTGAGGCTGGCAGCCAGGCTAGCTAGCACAGGAAGACGCTTAATGCCTTCCATCCCTGAGTGCTGCATTCACTGTGTGCTAGTGTTCCTACCCGGGAAGCAGCTCTCCTTGAGTGCTGCTCTCAAGAGCTCCTTTAAAATCCAAGGACACTGTGGAGGAACTGAACCAAGAACACTGCGCTGCAGAGATTAAGCTAGTGGGTGGGAGGTGGAGCCTGGGATGGAACACAGGGCTCTCTCTCACACACAGGCCTGTTCCTGACTTGGAGTGAACCCTAGGAGCACTTGGAACACAGAAGCCACTCACCTTCTTCATTCTCACTCACTCCTCATCCCACTGTCTCCAACTGTGGCACTCCATTTCTGTGCCATTTCCACTGTGTTCCAGTTTCCTGGGCAACCCTGTCCCAGGAAGCCATAATGCTCAGAAATAACACCTCTAGCAGATTCATATTCACTCCCAAGCCATTCAATCAGATCTCTGCTTTTGCTTTCCCCACAAACAACTGGAAATCTCCCCAGCATTTCATTCTTCTTTACTCTATTTCTGCTATTCATGCTGATTTTATTCAATGCGGCTCAGGCCTTCTGCTTAAAGCCACAGCTTCTTGGGTAATTTAAAAGAAACTTAAAAGCGAGGCATTCATCAGTAATGCCCTAGTCTAGGTGGATCTTTAAATAAATGACATTTGGGAAAATGGTTCGTTCTGCCACCTGTGTGGCGTGGGGTTAGTAAATTGTGAGCTTGAATCTCTCACATTGCAAAAGTCTTGTAAAAACATCTTGGCAAGGAGCGTTTGAGGCCCTGGGGTAGAAACACATACATTTCTATGCTCTTCTGCTCTTTGAGGCTTTGCCCACATTAATCCAAGACCAGACCTCTGTGCTGCCATCTGAGATGTGGGACTGAGCTGATTGAATGATAGAAATGCATGGTCAGGAAGACACACAGGTAGCACTCTGGGGACACATTTGTTGGGAGTCCTGAGAGTTAGCCAAGTGTGACATAGTGCTTGACAGCACCACAGTCTGTTCCCCTGCTTAGATAATAATGTGACTTTTGTAGAGCTTTGATACCACTGATAATTGCTCATTCAAAAGTACTGGCTTTTCTCCAAATTGGCCTCACTGGTTTTGTTCCTGTACCCACATTCAACATCACCAGCTTTCAGAGACTCTGTTGGAGAGAACCACCTCCTCTTGCACACGTTTCCCTCTCTGCAGGACCATGCCAACTTCTTCAGTTTGATCTCAGTCTCTCTCCCTTCCTTCCCCTCCCACTGAGCCACTAAGCCTATTCTATACCAACCCCCTAGAGATCAAAAATAGCAAACATGTAAAAAGAGTCCTCTGACACTAATAAGTTAAGGATTATTCACTCTGACATTTCAAATGTTTACATTGCTACCTCTTAAATTTTAAAAAAAAATCATTTATTCCATTATGCTTACATCAGGCCTTTGGAAAGTAAGTTTCTCCCCCTAATTATGGAAATAGTTACAGAGAGCCCAGGTTCCTTCTTTGCTTAATTTTGGTATCATCTGCTCATCTAAGCAGCTAATTGTTTGCTTGCCTACAGGTTCTATGTTTATCTTGGGTACACAGAACCTATGCTACACTCTGAATAGAAATTTATTCATCCTGGACTCACTCAGAAAGATGTTTTACATCACAACTATGTTCATTTCACTACACTAACTGTTTCATTGCCCTGGAAGATTATTGATGGGTAGCCAATGCAATAATCCCCAAGATTCCTGGGTGGAAATACTAAAGCTCATTTTACATTTCTGCCATGTAGCATTTCCAGATGTTTAAAGTGGACAAAAGCCTGCAGGAAAATTATATAAATATGTATATTTGATTCCAAAATCTTCACCTGTTAGAGCATTCCCTCTGTCTTTTTTTCTCTCTTTCTTTTTTCAAGCTTAAATTCCCAACTTAACAATGGATATAGAGACCCAACTAAGGCAAAGTGACCATACAGAGCTATAGCAAATGTAACCTGCCTTCATTACACTGCCCACTGTCCCTCCAAATTCCTTATAGGGACGTATGACTACCAGAGGCTTAATTTTATGCTGCATCATAATCCTTCCATACATGAGATTTACATGACTATTTAGAAAGAGGTTGCACAATCTATAGACTTGATACTTCTACTGAATTGAATATTTACAGCATTGGCACCCTCCTAAATTAGCATTTTTTTTCTTCCTTGGAATAAAGGAGATCAGATCTCAGATGTTCTGTGACATCTGGCCAGCCAAAAATGCCAAAATGCTCCTTTCTTTCTTGGCAAATTATCAAATATTGAAACATACATACATACACACATGTATGCAGACACATATGCACACAAATTTACTATAAAGAATGTAAGAAGCACAAAGCAAAGGAAATTGTCTATTCCGCTATCCAGAAGTCACCACTGTTAACTCCTTAATGCGTCTGCTTTCCATTTTCATCAATAGAATAGATATATAAGCAAACTGTCCTACTGCATGTACTACTTTGTTTTCTGCTTGCTTTTTGCACTTATTCTATCATGAGTGTTTTCTTGTGTTATTAAGAATTCTGCTAAACCATCATTTTTCATGGCAATGTAATACTACATTGCAGAAATAGAGTTTATTTTACCATTCCCCCATTTTTTGGAATCTTAGGTTTTCTATTTTTGCTGTAACACTGAATGAACAGCCATATACAAACGTATTTGGGCAAATGAATATTTCTTCAGGATCAATTCCTAGTTCTGTAACTACTGGGTCAATGATAGGATACATAAGAAGAATATATACATTCAGGCTTTTGATACATAAGAAATCAAAACAATTTACTCTTCACCATACTCATGAGTGCCTGAGTTCATGGCTTTTGGCCAAATTTCAAAGAGCAGCAGTAAAAATCCCAACCTGATTTTGTACACTGGATTTGTTTTCTATTTTGCCTTCTGAGTGTTTAGTTGGGATATCCTCCAGTGTCCAAAGAAATGTTTCTGAAGCTCTTAGAATCTGTCAAGCTAGAGCAATTGACTTGCCTTAGCCTCTCAATTGCATTCAATTTCAAAAGCAAATCTTGTTTAAAATCTATATACATGTGTATATCTATATCTATATACAGGGGTACAAGTACCTGGCAGGGTAGTCAGCCCAAGAATGTATGAAGTTGTGTAGGACACACCCCACACTATACAAGCTTCTATACACTACAAGTAAAACTGGTCTTGAATTTTGACATTGTAATTTTCAAGGCAGCTAGTGTATTCTCCTCTAGACTGGTTAGCTAGTTTGTGGTAGGCTCTGTCATTCATGAAAAGTGTGTGATTATGAAATTGGTATATTCTAAAAGTCTCCATTGGTGGAAAAAACTTCAGTTTAACTTCATGTTCTCTTCATTTAACTTTGCAGACCTCCTCAACTGATGCAGGTCCAGCTGAGGAATTTCCTGAACCTGAGGAAAATGCTGCAAGAGAAGAAAGGAAATTAAAAGACGACACGGAGAAAAGGGAACAGAAGGATGAAGAAATCCCTGAAAATGCAAACAATGAAAAGATGTCCATGGAAACACTACTCAAAGTGTTCAAAGGGGGAAGTGAAGCACAGGACTCCAATAGATTTGCCAGCCACCTAAAGATAGAGAACATTTATGCAGAGGTTGGTTAAATTATTTTGAAAAAAGTTGGCCTCAATTCTGAGCATATTTTTATGGAATTGCTCTCAAAATATATCATAGTATGAAATTATACAGAATCTCTTTAGTAAATACAACCATTTTTTTTAACATCTACTGGATTGTGAGGTTGATTAACTTCATTTTTTTTCTTCCTTAAAGGGCTTCATAAAAACATTTCAAGACCTAGGTGCCAAGAACCTGGAGCCAATTGAAGTCGCTGTTCTCTTGAAGCATCCTTTTATTCAAGACCTGATTTCAAATTATTCAGACTATAAGTTTCCTGTGAGTATTACCCCAAAGTGCTCTAATTTGGTTGGGCTCCAGTTCAGGACATGCTAGGATGTTTCTAAATGTGAGCTGGCATGGAAGAGAAAGAAGCTGTACTCTGCCAGGCCAGGCCAGAATCTGGAGAAGCTAAGCTGGTAATCACATCAGGCCAGAAAGGTCAGCCTGAAATACCCAAAGGGCAGCAAGCTCAGGCACATTTGATAGGTGGTAGTTAAAGCTGGGTGGGTGACAGTGTTAGGATTGTCATTGTAGCCATGTAATGACCCTAGCCTGTGATTGAAGGGTTTGGAGAATAAGATTCCTCCTGCCAAAGAGAACTAACCAAGACCATGATCTCCAGCCAAGTGCTGACATATTCATTGTACTCTAATCACGCAAGGTACACATCATCTATGTAGTGGAAATGATAGTGTGTGCAAAAGGTTGGGCACCACTTCCATCAGGAAAACAGTGTGCAAGATGGAGAAACTAAGGACAAACCCCAGAGAAACTGGACAAACCCAGCAGAAGAAAGGAAGAACTGCAACTCAGAAATCACATAACCACCAAGCAGGTCTGGACCACACATGCTAAATGTGCATCCACTATGGCGAGTCCCAGGCCTTTAACAGCAGGGACTAAGGAGGGCAGAGGCTGACACCAACCCCCTTTCATACTGTAGCACTACATCCCTCTCAGATACCAGTTTAACACGAAGTCTCCCTGTTTGACTCCTGTGAGTTGTGTATTGAACTACAAAGTGTTTGCTGAGTTGAAAATAAAAGCGCTTTCACTTTGATAGAATGTAGATTGTGTATCTTGACTTCTCAATGATAGCAAGTTACATTTTGCAGTTTTCTTCCTATACCCACAAATGAAACTATTCAGACTTAAATATCTTCCTGTGTGCCTAAACGTTTTTGTTCTAAGTTGCTGATCCTTTTAAATATTAAATTATTAATTAATATTAAAATTAATTTTATTGCCTGTATTAGTATAACTGAAGTTGATTTCTTTTTTTTTAATTATACTTTAAGTTCTAGGGCACATGTGCACAACGTGCAGGTTTGTTACATATGTATACATGTGCCATGTTGGTGTGCTGTACCCATTAACTCGTCATTTACATTAGGTATATCTCCTAATGCTATCCCTCTCCCCTTCCCCCACCCCATGACAGGCCCCAGTGTATGATGTTCACCTTCTTGTGTCCAAGGGTTCTCATTGTTCAATTCCCACCTATGAGTGAGAACATGCGGTATTTGGTTTTCTGTCCTTGCGATAGTTTGCTGAGAATGATGGTTTCCAGCTTCATCCATGTCCCTATGAAGGACATGAAGTCATCCTTTTATATGGCTGCATAGTATTCCGTGGTGTATATGTGCCACATTTTCTTAATCCAGTGTATATATCATAGATGGACATTTGGGTTGGTTCCAAGTCTTTGCTATTGGGTTTTACATATATATACACACACATATATATTTATATGTATATATATACACACATATATATTTATATGTATATATATACACACATATATATGTATATATGTATATATGTAAAACCCAATATATATACATATATGTATGTAACATATACATATATTTTTTAAATATATATGTAAAAAAATTGGGTTTTACATATATATATATATATATAAAACAAGCTAGCAGCTGTTTAGACACGAAGCCTATGCAGTAGTGAAATATGATTACAGCATGTAAGAACACAGGCTCTGGAATCAGGTCATGGGACTGAATCTCAGGTCTACCCCTCAGTAACTCCCTGACCTTAACTTTCTCCTAATCCTGGCTTTCTCGTCTGTTAAATGGGGATGAAACATTCATATTCAAAGGGTGGTGGTGAGGATTAAGTGAGGTCATGCATGTAAAGCACTTGGCATGGTATCTGACACAGGGGAAGTGCTACAGAAATGATGGCTGTTAGGGGTACTATTCAATACTGATCACCTACTACTGAGACCCGTAGTATAAGCTTCCATAGGAGAGAGAAAATTGAGTACATAATTTGGTCACTGCTCTAAAAAAATTTAACTCCTTTTTGCAAGATAATTTTTACATGCAGGAATTGCAAGAAAGTGATATAAGTTAAACCAACCAAGTGCAAAATTATAGGAATTCAATACTTGACATTTTTGTGCTGGAAGTGTGGAGGGAGTCTGCCCAAGAAGGAATAAGCTAGGTCTTGAACGATAGCCAGGGTTTGGGAAAGTGGAGAGAGGGAAAGGGACGTCTACATGGATTTTGCTGTTGGGGTAGGGAGGCAGCAGAGTCCTGGGTGAAGGCAAGGTCTGGGGAAGGCATGGAAGAAGGACTGCAGGAGCCCCACCCCATGAATAGCCTGGGAAAGGTATAAAATGATCCCATTAAATTGGTCAGATCAGGCCAGATTGCGAAGAACCCAGATGTCACAAAGGGAAATGTGGATTCCATTTGAAAAGCAAGAGAGAATGAACAGGCTGCTGAGCAGAGCATGATATGATGTTAATTTCTTCATCCCTAAGCATTCCTTGGGGATATTGTGCCATAATGTCATCCTGCACAACGTGGATTCCATAGGCCCATCTCTCTAGACTGCATTTTAGCTTACATTCCCTGCTCCACATATCAGGGAACAGCTCTCTTACATTGAACCAGTAAAATAATTTGCAAAATCCTTTGGAATTATGTAAAATAGGACTTATTTTATATTGCTGATTACAAGTAGGAGCATAAAAATGATGCCACAATTATTTCCTCTCATACTGGAAAGAAAACTCCCACAAAATCAGTATGACTTGAAAATATCTTCACTCTGAGCAGAGTGATTAAATATGATGAACTTGCAAAGAAGATTCTATTTGACAATTTGCTTGAGAAAAGAAAATAGCCAACAGATGGCTACCTTCAAGAGTTAGCCTTTCCGAATAGGTGTTCTGACTTCCCAGGAAACCTGTCATCCATAAGACTCCCCCACTTTATTTTTTTGAGACAGAGTTTTGCTCTTGTTGCCCAGGCTGGAGTGCAGTGGCATGATCTGGGCTCACTGCAACCTCCACCTCCTGGGTTCACACGATTCTCCTGCCTCAGCCTCCTGAGTAGCTGGGATGACAGGTGCCTGCCACCACGCCCAGCTAATTTTTTGTATTTTTAGTAGAGATGGGGCTTCACTATGTTGGCCAGGCTGGTCTCGAACTCCTGACCTCAGGCGATCCACCCGCCTCAGCCTCCCAAAGTGCTGGAGGACTCCTTTTAAGTTATACATTCCCCTCATTTCTGAAGGAGTGTCAGCAACTAGCAATGTTAACTGAAGTACTATTGGCATTTGGAGCAGCACAGTTCCTCTTTGAGGATAACTGTCCCAAGTGTGGCAGAATACCTAACATTTCAGGCCCTACCCCCTGTATTCCAGGAACATCCTGACATACTGATCTCCAAAACCACCTCTGCCTGCACATTTGCCAAGCTTTCCTTGATGCACAGTACCCCTCTGGCTGAAAGCCACCCAGCAGCAGGGTGTCTGTCTTCTGTTAACCAGTCTCACAATACCTGTAGCACCTGGCATTCTCATAGCAGAGAGTTAGTTAGTGAGTTAGTTCATTGCCAGAATGCTTCTCTAAGATATACCTGAGTCATCTACTTTAACTCTCCCTCCTCAAGTCCTCCACACCTCTTCCTGGTCACTCCACCAAGGAATCTAATTAGAGGCCAGTAAACTACCACCCAGGGGACTCATTTGTATGATGGTCCATCAAGAAGAGTTGTGCCTGTGTCCTGAAAAGTCTACATTCTAATATTTACAGTGAAAAAGGGTCCCTTTCCAGTAAGGTGTTCTATTCTCATTTTTGCTAAAAAAAAAAATAATAAATAATAAAATAAAAACAAAAGAAATGAAGGAATGGAGAGAAAAGAATCTTTGAAGACTCAAACCACTGCACTCGTCCTGTCATTTTTTGCTTCAGATATCCATGTACAAGTAAATAGATCACATTTTTATAATACACTTCAACCACAGTGATGTCATCTGAAGATCTTTCAAGATAAGAAGAGCAAAAGCTAGAGTGTGGTTTTTCAGGTTAAAATGTTGTTTGCTATTATAAACAGTGGGAAGTGAAGGTTGTTGCCTAACAGCTCTATGTTTACAAGGTTCTTGTTTAGAAGTGACAACATTTTAAGATACATATTTGAAAAAAATAAGTATGCATAATTGTAATAATGCATTTAAGGTGTACTGGCTTTTGGTTATGAGAGTGGGCTCTGGAGCTGCACTGACTGGGTTCATACCTATGAAGTGTGTGGCCTTCGGCAAGTGACCTCAAAGTGCCTTGGTGTCTGCATCTGTAAAATAGGGCCAATGATCATAGTCACCTCATGGTGGGGGGGGTGGGGTTTGTACAAATTAAAGGAGATAATACATATAAAGTGTTTAACTCAGTTCCTGGAAGATAGAAAGCACTCAATATATATGAGATACTACTACTACTACTATTAGGTTCGTGCAAAAGTAGTTGCAGTTTTTGCCATTACTTTTTTTTTTTTTTTTTTTTGAGACAGAGTCTCGCTCTGTTGCTCAGGCTGGAGGGTTGGATTGCTGGATTCAGTGGTGCAATCTTGGCTCACTGCAAGCTGCACCTCCCGGGTTCACGCCATTCTCCTGCCTCAGCCTCCCGAGTAGCTGGGACTACAGGTGCCTGCCACCACGCCCGACTAATTTCTCCATATTTTTTTTATTAGAGATGGGTTTTCAATGTGTTAGCCAGGATGGTCTCGATCCCCTGATCTCGTGATCCGCCCACCTTGGCCTCCCAAAGTGCTGGGATTACAGGCATGAGCCACCGCACCTGGCCTCCCATTACTTTTGATGGCAAAGAACCACAATTACTTTTGCACCAACCTACTTCTACTACTGCTGGTCTGTAGTAGTTACCGTGCACAAGAAATTCTGAATCACGTGCAATTATATGTGGATGGACTAGTGAGCTGGCATCTAATCTCTTGAACACATATGTCTTGTCTTTGGAAAAAAAGAAGGACTTTACTGGTGCAGTGCCATGATGATAAAGGGTCCAAATTGAAGTCCCAGGAAGCCTCTGGTCCATACCTATGTGGAAGTTCCAGATTTTGCGTTGGACATTATAGGCATTCAGCTAAAGTCACTTATTTAATTTCCACTTTCATAGGCCTTGTACAAAAAAGTTATTTTCAAATAATGCTCCTAAATTATTAAGAAAATGATTTGTATAAATATAAGAAGATCAGTGAGGATATTGGAACTGGGTTGTTGGTGAACAAAGTCAATTTCCTGTGATAAATATATATTTATAAATGTAAATGAATAAACAATTTTCTCTAAAAACTTAATAACTTTAGTTTCTTGTGATGAACGCAGGCTCAATTATTATACATTCTTTAAAACAAATATGTAAATCAAGCATATTACCTTATAATTGAGGTTTATATTCAATAGGAGATAGCAAGAAATCTTTTAATGTTAACATTAGAATATCACCAGAAAATATCTTATAAACAAATGAATCAGGACCCAATTACATTAGGATAACATACCTATAATTATAAGTGCGAACTGAAGGAGACTTTCATCCCTCTTGTCTTCAGGGCACCTGACTTTAAAATATTCTCTAAGCTTCTCCTTTATCTTTATAACAAAATATGATAGCTGCTTCAGTGCTTTGTGTTTTCAAAGCACCAGTGTCAAACATTTTCTGGCTTTCACAGGCTCTTCTCCATTCACTGCTACTGAAAATTGTGGTCCCTGATTTCAGCTATAAATTTAGCTAAGACTGGTTTAAATATATCTGGAGCTTATCATTTTCCCCTTGCTATGGAGTGTCAGATAATCACAAGTTAGCTTATTCCTTAATCCTCAAATTAACTTTTGATAATATTAAAATGACATTAGTTATTATAAACATACTATATAAAGAAGACATGTTATTAGGAATTGTAGTGGGCTGGGCACAGTGGTTGCCATCTGTAATCCCAGCACTTTGGGAGGCTGAGGTGGGAGGATTGCTTGAGGCCAGGTGTTTGAGAGAAACCTGGTCAACAGAGCAAGACTCCTCTCTATAAAAAATTTTAAAATTAGCTGGACATGGTGACATGTGCCTGTAGTCCCAGCTACTTAGAAAACTGAGGTGGGAGGATTTCTTGAGCCTTGGAGATTGAGGCTGCAGTGAGCTATGGTCATGCCACAGCACTGCAGCCTGGGTGACAGAGCGAAACTCTATTTCTAAAAAAAATAAATAATAAATGGAAGAATTATACTGGGTAAGACTAGAAAAGTCAATGGGGAGCAGCTTTTCTTTTCCACTTGGTTCACTTAGCATTGACCTTTGGCTTTAGGAGATTTGTGTTTTCAAGGAACAAGATCTCTAAAGAAAATGATTCACTATGATTCCTCGCAGTGACTGATAGAAGCAGTGCATATGTCAATTGGCAAGGGTCAGCACATATGGTGAACAAACTCATGTCTTCTCAACTAAAATGATCACAGTCAAATTGAAGCCTTTGAAACTCAGCTCTGAGGAAAAGGAACTTATATTGTTAAAATACTTCTCTAAAATTGTGAAATAAAAAAAAAAACCTAAAAGCTACCTAAATGCAGTTCTGTATTTTTCACATGTTGGTACTCCTTCTACATTGTAATAATAGTTTAAATATATTTTGAAAAATATCTGTGATTTAAGATGTAAGATAGCTGTATAGCAAATGTAAAACAGGTCATTCTTTCCCTGATGTTTTTACAATGAAAGAATGAGACAATTTCAGGAAAGTAATCTTTTGTTTTAAAATTCTACAAATCTATAGACATGATTAATTTAGCATTAGCATTTACTTTCATAGAGGGTGAATACTGGTTTTTTTGTTCATTCATAAGGAAACAATCTTTTAACTTGCCCATTCATTATATGCCAGGTTCTGTGTAACTGCTTTTACAAATGTTAATTAACCTAATATGACAACTCCATTATTAGGTGTGGAAACTGAGGGTCCAAGATCTTAGATAATTTTCCAAACATACAAGTAGTAAGTCTCAGGGTGGGATTAAAACTAAATGGAGAAATTTGCTCAGTGGAAAAAAAGAAATAAAAACTGTTTAATGGTTGCCATGTACTATGTGATCATTTATTAGTATTTGTATAGTATAGTATTGATCATCCTTTATTAGTATTTGTAACTTCTCTTTGAATCTTTTGTCTTAGGATATTAAAATAATTCTCCAAAGGAGTGAACATGTACAAGGAAGTGATGGAGAGAGATCACCTTCAAGACATACAGAGGAAAAGAAATGAAGACAAAAGAGTGTGATTTTTTTAATTCTGCAATAAATCTTCCAAAAATTAAATGTGACCATGGTGTTTGTCATATATGTTACCATTTTAAGTATAGAAATGAACCCTACCAGTTCATTATCGGCATTGAAAATGGAACCTTCCTTAACTTGGAGAATATTTCATAATAAAGAGAGAAAAAAATCCAAAGTAAAAATCCAAAGTAAGCAGGAATGCATTTTGAAGTGATTCTGAAAATGGAAGGCCCCAAAACAAGATGTTCAAAAATAAGTCATGAAAACTCCCTATGAAAGGTATCTACATTAGGCAGATATAGTGAAAATTTCCCCAAAACTCCACATCAGCACAGTGCTTCTAGGTACATCTTACAGTTCTTTCTCCATATGCAGTAAAATTTCCAGGTTTATTTCAATAGCCAAGAAGAAGGCTGCATTATTGAACTGCTAGTAAAGCTTTGTTCCCATCATCTATTCATAATTATTTCTTAATAGAATATATTTCCTTCATAGATAGATGTACAATTTCATCTTTTCGCTTGATAAGTTGGTGACTCAAATTCAATGACACTTATCAATAAACTGTTTCAAGAATGGTGATGTATTCTTGGTGGCTGGGCTGCTTCTATGATAACCCCTGTGGGTCTCCTCATTGGCTGAATCCTCCTCTTCTGCTCAACCTCTGAGTTAGGAGGGCCCCAGGAATCAGCCTTCTCCATCTGCAGTCAAGCTCTGGATGATTCATCGATTTCCATGACTTCATGGGTATTACAGAGGCTCCCAACACTGAAATTTCTATTCCCACCTTCGTCCAAAATCCAAACTTCTCTGTCTTAATGGCCCCGCATTTTCCACATGGATGGCTAATAGTCATCTCAAACTCAGCGTGTCCGAGGTGAATTTCTGATTTTCCTCTTCCGCAAACCTGCTCCTCTAAGTCCTCCTTCACTTTAGGCAACTGTGTCCTCCTGCTGTTCAGACCAGAGAACTTGAAGTCATCCTTGAGTTGCCTCTTTCTCTCATATCCCACCTCCAGCCTATCAGCACATCAAGTAGGATAGACCCTGAAAATGCATCTAGAATGTGATCTTCTTTACTCCTTTGTCGCAGGAAGTCTGGTCCAAGCCTTTGCCATCTCTTGCCTGGATTACTGCAGTATCCGGGTAACCAGTGATCCTGTTTCTGTTCTTGCTCGCCCTACAGGCTGTTTTTAAGCACAGCAGCCAGAGGGAGCCTTTTATAATGCGAGTCAGGCCATGTCACACTTCTGCTCCAACCCTCTATGTCCTATGTCACCCAGAATCCAGCCCAAGTCCCATCTTGATCTTACCCTCCCTGCCTCTTTGACCCCATCTACTGTTCTCCCCTTTCTCACTGCTTAAGTGACAAAACTACCTTGCACATCTTAGAACCCACCGGGTACACTCCTGCCGCAGGGCCTTTGTGCTTGCTATTCTCTCTGCTTAGAATGATTTTCCTCCCACATCTCTGCATTATTTGTCCCACAAATTCCTCCGGGTCTCTGCTCAAATGTCACTTTATCAATAAAGCCTTCTCTTACTACCTCATACAAAATAGAAGCAACTCACCACATCTTACCCCCACTCTTATTTTTTTTTCCCATCGCCCTTATCAACATCTAACAAACTACAGTATATTTACTCTCTCATCTATCACTCCAGTCAGTTGTAAGTTCTGTGAGGTCAGAGTTTTGTGTATTTGCTTTGTTGCTGTGCCCCAGAACCTAAGACTAAAAACCATAGCAGCTTTATGTTATGTTGATACATTTGTGCAAAATATGTGGGAAAATCACATTTAAATTGATCACTAAGTCAATGAGCAGCCCAAGACAATTCTTATTGTTAATGGGAATTCTAATTCTAATTCTACAAAGAGACACATTTCCTAATTTTGCTTCTTGTGGGCTAAAGTTCACTTGAAGCTCTACTCCAAGAGCACTTGTCTTCAAGCTAATGGAGGATACTGACCCAGTCATGTGCTTGGGAGATGGAGAAGAAGCCCTACCTGAGATTACAAAATTTCAATTTGGCTGATTCACATGTGAACCAACAGGGTAATTCTAGTAATTCTACAGAAGGGAGGAGAAGAATATCTGAAAACAGAGTTCAAATCAATAAAATATCATAAGGACATAGGCAGTAAGTGAATCCACATTTCATTAAGAACTGAACGAGACAAGGCAACAATACATTGCAATAGAAAAACACTGAAGCAGAGCAAGCAGCATTCCCATAATAATTTTGTGGCACAATGTTGTTAAATAGGAAAATTGTAGAATCTTTCTTTTGAGGCTCATTAACTCCTCTAAGCAGTGGGATGGCAACCAGCACACAAAGGGTCTCCTGGTCAGTCTTTGCCAGATCAGAGTCTCTTAATCATCATCAGAATGAAGCAGGTATGGTGACTGGGCATGAGCCAGAGTCTCTCTCACTTCTTCCACTGTTTGCACGTTTATCTCCTACCCCTATTTGCTTATCATAGCATGATCTATTTAACACATAACCGCAATCTTATCTGACCTTGCTACTACTCACTTATTTTCACACGTCTTTAGTAAACATCTCATTGCATTTCCCACAAGCTCTGATCCAAATGTCTTTTTTATTTCCCACAATGTTGGTCCCACCTCTATTTTCTTTATAAAGGCAACAGAAATGAGAATAGCATGTACTGAGCACTTGCTATGGGTTATGAGGTGTGCTATGTTGCCTGCATAATTTTCTTATTTTGTCCTTGTAATAATGCTCTGGGTTTGCTATTACTTTCCCCTTTACAGGTGAGGACACAGAGTATCATAGAGGTTAGGTGACTTGCACAGGATTGCCCAACTAGGCTCAGGCAGAGCTGTGATTCAACTCCAGTAGAGACCAATGCCAAAGCCCATGCTCTTTCCTCCACACCACATTGCCTCCCTTCGAGATGGGAATCTCTGAGAGCTGTAAGAATGTCCAATGTGAGCCTTTTCACTTTTCCTCTTACCTCTAACAGTGCCCAGCTTTGCTGCTTCATGTAACCTCTGCATCCATACTTATTCTCTCATCCTTCCCTTCAGTCCCAGAGTACCAAACCTCTTAAAGTCTGTTTGCTCCTATCATGCTATAGGTCCTAATCCCTCCCCAACCTCTAAAACTCTAGTCCATCATTATTTCCAATATTTTCTTTTTTTGGTCTCTCTCCTCTGGCCACTTCCCCTCAGCATATAAACCTGTTCAAGACTTAAAGATATGGGGGAAATCTCTTTCCCATAACACTACTCTAATTATGCCTAGAGTTACTTTTCTCTCTTTCTCTCTCTGTTTTCTTTTACTGTCAGACTTCTTAAAATAATAATTTGCCCTCACTCCTCCTACTTTACCACCTGACAGTTATTTTTATGAACAGATATTCAATTTTGTCAGATAATTATTTTCTGCATCTAAAAAGTTATCATATGCCTTCTCTTTTTTAGAATATTGATATGGGAAATTATTTTGTTTAATTTTGAGTGATGAACCAGTCTTGCATTCCAGGAATGTATTACACTTTTTGTACAAAAATGGATTTCATTTACTAATATTTTCCTTTTTTTTAATTTTTTAAATATATTTTTTGTTATACTTTAAGTTCTAGGGTACATGTGCACAACGTGCAGGTTTGTTACATATGTATATTTTCTTGAGAATTTTTTGGTCTGGGTTTGGGAGAGATATTGGTCTATAGTTTTATTTTCTTATAATATACTTGGTGTTCATAGAAGGTTAATTCTGGCATCATAAACAAGTTAGTATGCATTCATTCTATTTTATAGAAGAGTTTATGTAAAATTAGTTTTTCTTCCTTAAGTATTTCCAATAAAGCCTCCTGAACCAGAGTTTTCTTTGTTGGAAGAATTTTAATTACTAATTCAATTTATTTAATAGCTATAGGATTATTATCTATTTCTTCTTGGGTGAGATATGGTGTCTTTCAAGGAATTTGTCCTTTACATCTAAGTTCCTAAATTTATTGGCAAAAAATTTATAATATTCCCTTACTATTTTAACATTGGTAGGTTCTGTAATGATGACCTCTTTTTATTCCTGATAGACGTTTTTCATCTTTTTTCTTGGTCACTTTGGCTAGAGATTAATCAATTTTATTCATCTTTTCAAATAACCAGCTTTTTAATTTTACTAATTTTTATCTATTATTTTTCTGCTTTGCAGCCAATTTTTTAACCTGTAAAATATCTTGCTTTCTCCTTACTAATCCACTGAAACTTACCTCAGAAATGTCCTAAATGGCCTTTCAATAAACAAACACGGTAGCAATTTATCTCCATATTTGTACCCTATTCATCACTGCCTCGTTTTTAAAATTTTATTTTCCCTTGGATTACAAGAGAGACTACAAACTCTGCTGTCCTTTTACCTCTGTAATTACTTCTCCTTACGTAGTTCATTTTCTCTTCCTATGTCTCATCCCATTCTCTCTTGAGTATTACAACCATCTACTTATCTTCCATTCTCATCGGTATGTAAAGGACTTAAATATTTTTCTTCATCTCTGACTTCTGTGACCTGCAGAAGCTCATACACATCTACCTACTAGACTGAAAATCCTGCAGGGCTTCTTAGATATAATCTCCAAATTTGAGTCATTGTCATTACTTATCTCTTTCCAGATACAGGGCATTTGGACATCAATGGGGCATTTTACAGTTATTCATATCTCCATATATCCTTGGGAACAAGGTAAACAAATATGGCTAGATGCAAAGACAAGTGAATTTGTAACTGGTGAAATAACTTTAGCAAACACAGAAGATTCATACATGAGTTATTCATTAACTGTCTTTCTCAATGGACTGATGGCTATAGGGGATACTGACCACGTCTGTCTTATTCACCTCTGTGATACAGTCCAACAACAAAGATACTCAAAGAGAGGTATAGAATTCATGTTAATTAGAATTGTAGTTGACACAAAGTTAAAAGAGATTGGAATTAAATTATGTTTACTAAGAGAAAGAAGACCCAACAATTTCTTGAAGGATGAGTCCCACCTAACAAGATGGAGATATTAATATTAGGTAACAATAGATAATGATAGCTAGTATTATTGAGGGTTTACTATGAGCTGGGAACTGTGCTAAATGCTCCTTATCTCATTTAGTTCTGATAATTCTTTGAAGTAGGTACCCTTAAGATTGCCATTTATATATGAAGAAATGAGGTTTAGAGAAGTTACGTAACTTACCCAAAGTCACACAGCTGGTAAAAAACAGACACAGACTAAGAAACCAATACTAACCCCAAAAGCCATCCTCTTACCCAGTTGTCTATGCTCAGGTACAAATAACCCACCACACAAACACAGGATGAAACATGGCTTAGCAGTGTTTAAAAATAAAAACAAAGGGCTTTGTTCAAAGTCAAGTGAATCTAATTGACTGTGTTATGTGGCCCCAAGAGAACCCATTATCTTCAGAGAATTAGAGGTAATACAATAGCTCCAATAATGGAGGTGCTGACTTTCCTCTGTTTGTGGTGGTCAGACCTCAACTGCAGTTCTGGATAAAGTTCATGGCCTCATACTTTAATATATGTGCACTCTATGCAGATAAACTGGGATATATGTCAGTTCTATACACATGCATTGTGACTGAAGTGAGGAAACTTCATCTTTGAGAAGAGAAACTTCAGATTTGGGGGACAAGGAAGATAAACTTACTTCAGATTTAGGGACGCTATCACCAACCATTTGAAAAACTGTTTAGATGAAGCATCTTTTCCGGGCCTCCAGGGATGAACTAACACTAGTGGTGAATGATAAAGCATGAGAGATTTCAGCTGACCATTGAAAGCTATGAGCTCCCTCTCTCCAAAAGTGCAGAAGTATTCTGACAGAGGCAGGGTTCACTGTGGCAGGGAAGTTGACAGCCATGGCAGGAGCCCAGTCCTTTACCTCTTTGTCCTGCTCCTCCAGAAATTTCATCTCTACTGAATCAGTTGCTCAGCTCTGCTACCCAAACTTCTATCTCCCCAGTGGACCCTTTCAGCTTATCCTTTATCATGTGTGGTTCTCTCACTTCTCTAGAACACTTTGACTAGGCTTATCACACTGTGAGTATCCCAAATTTCCTTGCACTGGAACTCCAGGCCTCGGAGCCCAAAACCATACCCAGCCACTTAGTTGCTGTCCTATCCAGGCCAGTCTATGGTTCCCTAACAGACGATTAAAGTGGGAGAAGAGGGGATACCGACATCAGATGTGGCATTTGACTGGATGACCTTCTAGCCCCCTCCATTTCTGAGGCTCTACAGGAAAAGCTCCTCCTCCTAACTTCCCATTCTATATTAATGGCAACATCTGTGGTTCTTCTGGTCTCCCATACTCAAAACTTCAGAGCTGTCCTTGCTTCCTCATTCTCTCTCTCCCGTCATACCCAAGTTTTACTGGTTACTCTTTGTAAATATTTCTCACAATTTTCCTCTCCTTTGGGTTCCCACGGTCACTACTGTATTTCAAAAGCTCTCAAAATATTTTTTCTAGACTTGAAATACTCCTCAGTTGACCCCCTCTGCTTTCTGTATCTTCTCCCCAATCCTCTAAATTTCTTTCCCAATACAGTCTCTACACTACTCTCAATGCAATATTCCTGAAACTCTGATTAAGCATGTCACATTTTTGCTTAAAAAACCTTCCTTCTGAGGCCAAGTATGGTGGCTCACACCTGTAATCCCAGTACTTTGGGAAGCCAAGGTGGGAGGATTGCCTGAGGTCAGGTGTTCGGGACCATCCTGCTCAACATAGTGAGATGCCATCTCTACAAAAAAATTAAAAACTAGCTGGATGTGGTGGCACGCACCTGTAATCTCAGCTACTAAGGAGGCTAAGGTGGGAGGATCACTTGAGCCCAGAAAATCAAGGCTGCAGTGAGATATGGTCATACCACTGCACTCTAGCTTTGGCGACAGAGCAAGACTCTGTCTCTACAAAAATATATATATATATATATTTTAGTTAGCTAGATGTGGTGGTGCAAGCCTTTAGTCCTAGCTACCCAGGAGGCTAAGGCAGGAGGATTGCTTGAGTGTGGGAGGTTGAGACTATGGTGAGTCAAACTGCACCACTCCACTCCAACCTGAGCAACAGAGTGAAACCTTGTCTCAGGAAAAACACACAAAAACCCTTCCTTCTGACCCCTCCCTACTAAATGAATTTTGGATTTCGTAGAATGTTATTCAGAACCTGACTCTAATCTATCTTTCAGTGCTTACTCATCTTTTTCTTACACTGAGCACCTAACCCAGCTTCACTCAGTATAGCTTCTGGCACTTGTATACTTAATAAATTTGGAACGAATTAATTAATGAAGAGGGAAGTCACCCACTAAAGGAAATTTTAGGAAGTGGAGACGAACTCTTTAGAGCAGAGATGTTTCTATAATCTTATATGTACCTTATGCTAGATCTATAGAGATAATTGAATTAATGTTTACAGGATTGTGTGTGTGTGCATGTGTGTGTGTGTGTGTGTGTGTGAATGAGTGTGTGGAGGTAGAAAGAGTGTCACTTTTCTTCTCCCCAGCTGGCCCCCTGTAGCTCAGGATAGATGAGACTAGGCACCATGAGGGTACATCTACTAGAGGCTGAAAAGCTCTAGTCTACTACATGAAAGCTAATGAGAACCACAAAGTCTATTATAATCAACTGCTTTTAGGACCTGGAGCCTGATCTAATCCTAAACAGGTCAGCCCTGCAGCTTGACATCCAGGCTGTCTCTACCCATTTCTTACTTAAACAAATGGTGTCCTAACTCTGCCTCAACACCATTTGCAAATTATTTTATCTCCTTTCATACATTACTGAATTTGACTTAATAACAAATTCATGTTGCCTGTTGGCATAGCTCCTACTGTCTCCAGTAGCTTTTCTGCCATGTTCTCTGGCAAAGACATAAGACTTAGCAGGGCATCCTCTATTAGTTACTAGATACATCGCTGAACATTCTTTTGAGCCAGGGACAAGAATATGCACAAGCACATTCACTCGCAGATCTTAGCATAAGGACTGGGTGAAATCTTGTTTTCAAGCTTGTTTCAAAACAAATCTGGAAAGAGATGCCACCAGAGTCTTGTGGCTGCAGTTCAAAGCCCCAAAGGGCCGCACTGGGCTCAAAGCAGCGCCTTGAGCACTCGAGCTCCAAACACATGCTGTTGTGTCTTTGCTCACTTCATACTAACCACACGGAGAAAATAGCGACAGCCTCACCTTGCTGTGCCCCCACAAACCTGGCTGAAACCACAACATCCTTCTCATATATGGCAGACTCCACCATGCGCTCCAGAGAGTGAGGCTCACTCTTCTCCCAACAGATTTCACGGTGAGCCCATTTCATGGTAATGTCCTTTTAAATTAAGGAGAGCTTTGCACCATGCTCCCTCCAAAAGCATCCAAGGGAATAGCATCCTCAATCGGAAAACATCATTTAGCTTTCTGATGCTTCAGGAGCCCTTTACAAATTATTTCGGAATTTAGCTACCCTTTATAAAGTTTGCCCATTGTGCCAGGTGCATGCTTGGCAAGTTCCTTTAAAATACTAAGATGCATATATTGCTGTTTTTTCTTTCAGAGGGCAATTTCCTCCAAGCTGATAAACATGTTTCTAAAGACTGCATTTTCCTAAGGAAGCTGGGAGAAGTAGCGAGCAATAATAAACACTTATTGGATATGTTGCATGTGCCAGCTACTATTCTAAGCACTTTGTAAGAATTAGATCATTTAATCCTCATGTATAGGGAACCTTAAAAGGTGAGTATATCACTAGCCTCGTTATGTAGAAAAGGGAGCTAAGGCATGAAGGGGTTAAGGAGCTCGCCTGATTCACAGCCAGCAAAAGGCTAGGATTCTCACCTAGGAAGGAATCTGTCTCCAGAGTCTTTGCCCTTAACCATCTGACTAGACTGCTTCTCTGTCACCTATGGGCCATGTACAGGCATCATGAGGTATGACCAGGCATGTAAAGTCCCCAAGAGCTTCTCTGAGCTAAGGACTGAGCCTCCTAACCCTCTGCATTTTGAGCATCTGCTCCCTACTACAGAACTTTGCATGGCCGGGCACAGTGGCTTACACCTGTAATCCCAGCAATTTGGGAGGCTGAGGCAGGTGGATTATTTGAGCTCAGGAGCTCAAGACCAGCCTGACCAACATGGTCAAACCCTGTCTCTATTAAAAATTCAAAAATACCCGGGCAGTAGTGGCGCATGCTTGTAATCCCAGCTACTCGGTAGGCTGAGGCAGGAGAACCACTTGAACCCAGAAGGCAGAGTTTGTGGTAAGCCAAGATCGAGCCACTGCACTCCAGTCTGGGTGACAGAGTGAGACACTGCCTCAAAAAAACTTTGCCACTGGGGCCTTAGCTTATGAAACCTGATTTTCTTGAGCTATGTACCTCTTTTGCAGCTACTTGGCTTTTGTCACCTGTGTTCCTAATGTCCCTATCCTCACTCCCTGATTCTGGTCTCATATTTCTGGTCACAGTATTCTTTTGTTTGACCATCTGACCTTGCCCTGGGTCATCCACTCACTGACTAGCCTCCCAGCTCAGCAAGAAGGGTCTAAACTCTTTGTCATTGTAGACACTTTAGACTGATGACAGCAGAACAGATGAGCCCCCAGAATACGCTCCTCCAAATCAGCCTCTCTGCTGCAGAGGGGTCATGATAAATTCAGGTTCCTCTGTAAGCCTAGTACCTGCTTGTAATGGCCCAACGGAGGAGCATGTGCTAGAACTGAATTTCTTCAACTGCATGATTATGAGACACGGGGACGTGGGCTGCAAACACAGATGATGAAGACTTAGCAGGCAATTAGAAAATATGTAGCAGGCTAGACTTTTCCACAAATGGCTTCTCAATCTATTTTTAAACCTTCCCACTTTAAAAAGTGAGCACGAGATAGATTTTGCTTTTCTTTTAATTCTTCTAGAAGAAAACAGAGCACAAGCACTATGATAAACAGCAATGGCTGGGTGCGGTGGTTCACACCTGTAATCCCAGCACTTTGGGAGGCCAAGGCAGGCGGATCACCTGAGGTCAGAAGTTTGAGACCAACCTGATCAACATGGAGAAACCCCGTTTCTACTAAAACTACAAAATTAGGCAGGCATGGTGGTGCATGCCTGTAATCCCAGCTATTCGAGTGGTTGCAGCAGGAGAATTGTTTGAACCTGGGAGGCAGAGGTTGCAGTGAGCCGAGATTGAGCCATTGCACTCCAGCCTGGGCAATGAGAGTGAAACTCCGTCTCGAAAAAAAACAAAAAACCAAACAAACAAACAAACAAAAAAATCAGAAATTGACCTTCATTTTCAGTGCTGGAGAGGCCACAGGGCATGGCAAGGGCTGTCACACATTAACTGGCTGCTACCAAATGTTACCGGGTAGTGCTGTGGGAAGCCAGAAACTCAGACATTTATGTAAAATCTCTTAAATTTTAAGTATTGACAACCAATTCAAATATTTCACAACACTATGTGGTCCAGCTTTGTGTAAATCAAATAAATACGTTCGTGGAGCTTGTATATATGGCCTGTGGCCTACCAATTTTTCAAGGTCAGATTCAAGCAAGTCAGAGAAGGTCTGGGCTTGGCAGTGAGGGCACAGGCTTCAAGTCAAGGCTTCACAGTTTAAAACTATCTGCCCAGGGCCACCACTAGCTCATTCAGGGCCCTTGGGTCTCCTCACAAGGCACTCTCTTGGAGGATAAATGATAAAAAGACATCCCTTCCTTCAGACTGATGTAGCACATGGCAGGGAACAACAGACTGGCTAACAAAGGTTAGCTTCCATTCTCCTCTCAGCTGGTTACATTATTGCAGAGCATAAGCCACCCGACCACATGCAGCTGCCTTAGGTGGCCCCAGCCAGCAAACCTGGACACTCAAACCATATGGGTGAAAAAATTTAAAAATCTGAGGAAGGAAGACAATCAGCAGCCAAGTTCTCCAGTTGTTGCTCTTCAATTCCGAGGCTGCCAGTCATTTGATCCCTGGGAGTCTAGGGGTGCACAGTTGGCAAAATCAGAGCTACAAGCCTCTTGACAGCCTGTTTTCCCATCACCTGCATCTCTGGCCCACGCTAGACACAGAAGGTTAGAAGTGAGATACTGCACAGATACGTGGGATGAAGTTGAGCCTTGAAGAAACCTATAAGTGGTAGAGTAGGACAGGCCCCAAGAATAAGCCTGCAAACACATTGCACAACCTGTTGATTCATTTGCCCACAATTCCTTTGCATTAAGAGGATGTTTAAGCCGGGTCCGGTGGCTCATGCCTGTAATCCCAGCACTTTGGGAGGCCAAAGCAGGCGGATCACAAGGTCAAGAGATCAAGACCATCCTGTCCAACATGGAGAAACCCCGTCTCTACAAAAAATACAAAAATTAGCTGGGCATGGTGGTGCATGCCTGTAGTCTCTGCTACTTGGGAGGCTGAGGCAGGAGAATAGCTTGAACCCGGGAGGCAGAGGTTGCAGTGAGCCGAGATCATGCCACTGCACTCCAGCCTGGCAACAGAGAGAGACTCCATCTCAAAAAAAAAAAAAAAAGAAAGAAAGTGTTTAGCAATGCACCTTTGTGAAACTTTCAATTTAATCTGCAAGACTAAACTGAAATGGAAAAGCCAGCACAGTTTCCTGTAACCACCCCTCCCCTACCACTATTTTCAGGCTACGGTCACTGAGATGGTGATTATCATCTACCCACCTATCAATAGTAATCAAACTGTTGATCTGGAAATCACAGATGGGGGATCTATTTCCAAATTGGCTCCAGGCTCGCTTCACAAGGCACTCCTCTCCTTTCATAGAAATTCTCAGGAACAAGAGAGCATGGGGAGAAAATGTATTCCCCATACCCACCCCACACACGGTTCCCTTTCATGGCCACCAACACATCTTTTTTATTCTTTGGGGAATAAAATAAGATTTCTACTGAGAATAAAATGTGTCTTCTGAGAACCACATTACTGATTCTAGTGGAGCATTGAGGGAAAGCCTCCCCTTTTTTCTCCTCCCAACCTCTGTTCCCTTCCTTCTGTCCCAGGACCCAACCTTCCACACCAGACATTCCCCAGAGCTGAGCTGCGTAAGGCAGCATGCAGCATCACAGAACCTGAGAACAGAGAGCAACCTCCTCCTCACTCCATCATCCTGTGAGGGGCTGGGTGCTGCTCTGTCCCATGCAGAATGGAACTGGTTTCCATTTCCACTCTAGAGAGGGCAAGAAGAGATGATTAAGGTCTAGGTAGGACTGACCTTGCTGTGGAGCCACTGACTGAACAGCTGGCTGGACTCTTGCCCCTGGAAGCTCCTCAAGAGTTTTGCAGATCGTATCTGCTTTGCCATGAAACCCTCTGATTCAGGTACTAGAGCTCAGAGAAGTCCAAGCAATAAACGATTATTTCTTTTGAGTGTAGATTTTTTGCTGTGGATGTAGCAGGAACCCCAGCATAAATTTAATTTGGGACTCAGACGCCCACATGCAGGAGGTATGATCCTGAGACCAAATATACCTTGAACATCAAAGAAAACAGAGCCCAGCAGCTAGATTTTATGACAAGACCATGGCCACAGTGTGTTTTCTGATACTTGGATTTGTCTTCTAGCAAAGCCCCCTATGCCCATGGCCTCAGGAGAGAGGAAGCTGTTAAGTAAATGCCAAAAAATGGTGTTTCACTAGCATCCTGGGACCTGGCCCCTTCATACCCCTAAAGAAGAGAGACTAAGTTATTTCACTTCATCCAGAAGAATGTCATGCAAGCTTTGTCCCCTCCACCCTACACACATGCTAGAACTCCAGTGTCCCAGCTGCAGCTGGAGACAGATGCCCACTGGGAGAAAGAAGCTGCTCTGTAGAAGAAAAAAAAAAATCCTGGCAGGAGTGGCAGGTGCCTGAAAGCAGGGAGCAAAGCCAATGAAAAGTAAGAAATGGCAGATTATTTGATGGCCAACCACATGTTTGTGAACATTAATCAGTACAACTCCCCCCACCCCATAAAAAATCCCCCAAATAGTTAGGCAACATTTTCCAGGCTGGTGGTCCTGAGAGAATGGGTGGGTTTGCGTACATGAGCCAAATAAATTTGCATCATTGCTCTTAATGTAAAGCTATGGAGACCCAAAAGGTTGTGGCTCCTGGAGAAATTAGATTTCAAAGACTGATATATTTTAACCTTCAGAGACCTTTTAGAACTTGCATATATTTTCAATTTAGCCTGCATAAAATATTTCCTAAGAATAAGTTGTATGTACAATGCATCATTGAGGTAGAAGGGGAATTCTTGTCCTAGGAAGATTTACAGGAACCATCCGTGTGATGAGGATGCTCCGTTTCTAACCTAAAAAAGCAGGACTACTTACCCTACTCATTTGAACCTCACCCCCCACTTCGGTGTCAACAAATCTAATTGTGGACCCTGCAACCAAGATGTTCCATACTTGTTTGCCAACTCCTTGATTCACAGCAAACCTGAGAACCCCCATATCCCAAGAAGATAAATCAGTCAGAATTTTTTAGTGCAACTTCCTGATTTGGGGAAGTCTTAGATTATTAAAAATTTAACAGTGGGATGGTGATCACAACTGTTAAACTATGGGAATGTTGCAGAGGAAAGTTTGAAAGTGTTCTGTAACACTGACTCACTGTCTGCCTTGTCAAATGTTCCCTGTCAGAAAAACCCTCATTGACATCATTACATTTTCATATCCTCAAAAAGCAAGCCATGTTGCTTGGAGAATTTTCCTTTACCACTGCATTTTTTTAAACTGGAACACACTAACTGACAATGTGGGCATTAGTGTGTGAGGCGTACACGTGAACCACGGTCTACTATCTGCCTGCAGATTTGAGGGTGGAAAGTAATCACAACATTCGCAAAGAGCTGTTCTTAAAATTTTTCTAAATAGGAATACATGCACATGAAAAAGTTCAACATTATACAAATATTTAGTAAAAAAACAATTTCCATCCAAGTCTGTCTGTCAGTTCCCATCCTCCATCCAAAAGTCAACCACTGTTAGTAATTTCTTAATTATCCTTCCAGAGAAGACAGTTAATAAATATATTCCCAACTTAACAGATTGCAAGTGATTTAAAAACAGTAATTTTTAAATGGTAAAGTGCATATGGATCACCCAAAGATCTTATTAAAATGCAGATTCTGATTCAGTAGGTCTGGAATGGGGCTGCAAGCCTGCATCTCTAACAAACTCCCAGCTGAGGCTGTTGCTTCTGGTCCATGAACGATACTTTGAATAACAAGTACTTTAAACATTATACTTACTCTAATACATGCTGGTAGAAATGTGAATTAATACAGGCTTTTTGGAAGCAAGCTTAGAAAATCCCATTAAAATCAAAAATATTTTAAGTCTTCAACCCAAAAATCTCATTACTGAGGATCTAATCCATAGGAAAACAATAGATAGATAGATAGATATAAATATATTAATAAATATATAGGTCATATATATTTATCAATGCTTTTTTCCCAATAAGTAGAAAACAAAGCCCTACTTAAAGGAAGCAATTGAGTTAATTGTAATATAACTATAACATGGGACACTGTGCTATCATTTAAAAAGAGAATAAGATTTCAGAGATAACTGGTTCGTTTAGAGATTTCCAGAATGTATTGTTGTTGTGTGTGCAAAGCTAGACTCAGGCAAGTATATATTATATAATCCTCTTTTTGCAAAATAAAAGACAAAAAATTAAATGCATTTGTTTGTCTTTCCATATATGAATGTGTGTAGTGTCTATACTCATAGATGTGTATATGCTATATATGATTCTGTCAGCATATAGAAAAATATGTAAGATATGCTCTAAGTTATTAGCCTGAATTTAGAGGATAAAAGATTATTGTGCATGAAAGGGCAAACAAACAAAAAAAATGAGAGGAAAACTGCATTTGAATAGCATGTTTAATATCACATTCATGTAAAATTAGGGGTGTATGTGTATCTTTATACATAAAGAAATTGAGGGCCTAGTGCAGTGACTCATGTCTGTAATCCCAGCACTTTGGAAGGCCAGGGTGGACCGATCACTTGAGGTCGGGAGTTCAAGACCAGCCTGGCCAACATGGTGAAACCCTGTCTCTACTAAATTAGCTAGGTGTGGTGGCTCACACCTGTAATCCCAGCTACTCAGGAGGCTGAGACAAGAGAACCTCTTGAGCCTGGGAGGCAGAGGATATAGTGAGCCGAGATCGTACCACTGTACCCGGGCCTGGGCAACAGAGTGAGACTCCAACTCAAAAAAAAAAAAAAAAGAGAGAGAGAGAGAGAAATTGGAAAACCTTGGCGTTTTTTTTTGTTTGTTTGTTTGTTTTGAGACGGAATCTTGCTCTGTCACCCAGGTTGGAGTGCAGTGGCGAGATCTCAGCTCACTCTAACCTCCGCCTCCTGGGTTCAAGCAATTCTCCTGTCTTAGCCTCCCAAGTAGCTGGGACTACAGGCACATGCCACCTTGCTGGGCTAATTTTTGTATTTTTAGTAGAGATGGGGTTTCACCATATTGGTCAGGCTGGTCTCGAACTCCTGACCTCAGGTGATCCACCCGCCTTGGCCTCCCAAAGTGCTGGGATTATAGGAGTGAGCCACTGCGCCCAGCCATCTTATTCTTTTTATTTTTAAGAAACCTATATATGCCATCAAGCACTATATATATATATATATATATATATATATATATATATATATACACACACACACATTTTAAGGTAAAACATGAGACTTCAATGTCCTCAAAACATGTCCTCCTTCTTAACTTACTTCAAATGACTTTGAGATGAAGGTTTGAGAATTCCTGCTTAGATCATTGCTGCCTACATAGTATCTCTCAGTTTCATTGCTCTGAGTAGAAAAAAGAAATGACAGTGAAGATTGATATTTTAATAATGACCAGGAAGGTGATGATCTGGGATCACCCCATATCAGTTACTTCTAACAGCAGGCACCTTATAGTGTCTATTATTACTTAAGTAATAATAGTGATTAAAGCTCCTTGAGTTCTGCTTTGAGAGTTAGCACCTGACTCCTCTTCATTGAGCTCAGAAACTGCCACCTATCCGCAACACCTTCCTCTTTAATGCTTGTTCTCCCCATTTTACTCCCCAACCCCCACTCCGAAGAAATAAACACCAAATTAGCAGTATCTATATCCCACATCACGGTGCAGAATGTGGGGCAGATTACCAAAGGATGTGAGAGGCACACAGTTTGAAGTCTTTTTATCCTCAGAGTTAAGAAACATTATTTTTTCCTCCCTACCACTACCCACATCTGAGCACAATCAGACAGACAGCCAAAATACACATATGGCAGATCAGCTAGAAAAAAAAATACGGCCATACTTGCATTTTGTTTTGAAGATTTTCAGATAATATCAAAGATTGTTTCCAAGCCACAGTCCCAGTTTTATAGTCCAGGGCAATGCTTTAACCATTTCAGAAATGAAAAACAGCATAGGTTTCCAATTCTTTCTCTTTGGAAGCTCTGGAACAGATCTTAGTTCACTTCAATGACAAAGCTGTTTGATCTAAACAAATACATAATCTGATACATCAGGTGCTGTCACCCAAAATGTTTATTTTTATGAGAAATTGAAAAGTAGTAAGATATCTAGATATCCAAAACATCTACTATGTGCTTCCTTCTCTTCTAAGAAGATTCCTTCCTAAAGGAAGGTTCTAACCATGGATTAGCACAAAGACAGTCTTCCTTGTCTCATTTTTCTTGTTACCTGCAGTAATCTTTCATACAATAGTGTTGGTGGGTAGTATAATATTTACCTACAGTTAGCTAAGGAAAGTCTGCTTCAGTTAGCATTCTAAGGGTTTCAGGTGTCAAGTAAGTGTAAACATTTGCTCTTCCTTGGCAAATAACTTTATGTCATTCTCACTCCATCTTTAGGAATCAAATGTTATCCACCAAGTAGACAGGAAGTACCCAAGCCTGCATGGATGAAGTGGTGATGGCCATTACTAAGAGCAATTAGGAGAACCACAGCCTCTGATCCATAGTAACTTCTCTTTCCAGCCAAATACTGACCTGGAACTAGGCAGTAAGTGTCCAGGCTCACTCTTCCGTCATAAGGCATTAGCCGCTACAAGCTAAGAAGAGACCAAAGAGATAAAGTGTCACTCTATCTCCTCCACAGCTTCTCAAGAATTAAAGGGTCCATTGGAAACATGGATTCTAGTCCTGTTGCTGGCTTCTGGAAATGCAGCCAAACAGTACTGGGGACATAGTGTGAGCCACAGATTGGGCGGGACACCCTGTGATAAAACATCAAATTTGTCACACACGAGACATATGCTTTGCAACATGTGTGTCCCTCTCTCATAACTTCACAGCAATGGCATAAGCAATATAATAGTCTCCAAGAAGTACAATTCTATTGTACAATTCTATTATCTTCAAACATCAAACATATATGATAATAAGAACTAGGATGACAAATGTGCTTTCTGATTAAAGAACATTTTTTCAGAAGATTATTCTTTTCAGAGTTAACATCTTTGGGATTGAAATGAACCTTACAATTAATATCATCATAGGTTAGTGAAATGCAGTAAATAACAATATTAAATTCACATATCAATGTTGTTGGTTCTAAAGCAATTGCAAATACTTGTGAAATAAGTTGATCTCTTAATCATGCTCTATCATGTTTTTTGTTTATTGGTTGGTTTAACTGTGTTTTAACCTTGGAATCGTTTTCTTTATTGCTAGTACCTAATTAAACTTCCCTCTAAGTTACCTGATTTACTAAAATTCTGAATTATTTGATGCCACAATAATGATATTTTGCTTTAAAGGCAATTTCTACTGTTATTGTAATCATCTCATCTGTTTCTATCCTGGCTTGAAGCCCAGCTGTCTGGTCTTCTCATTGTACCTGATTCCATTTGAATGGACTGTAACTTATATTTAATCAGTATAAAGGGAGGACTATGTAGTTCTAAATTTTTTCTCCTTGTTTTCATTCAAATGTTACATAGATTTTTATTTTTAGAACTGAACACCTTTTTAAACAAATATACTCGTGCTTAGCAGGACACTAATCTGACCTACTTCGATGGGAATGTGTTGAACAATTGCAAATCACTTACCAACACTGGCTGACCTATTTTCAATCATATAAGGTTTCTCTGAAACATTTATCAAGAGGGAACATGAATTTAAATCATTATAGAATTGTCTCTTCAATCAAACAAGAGCAAAATGACAGAAAATGCTACTACAAAATCCTATCCTCTGTTTTTCAGATAGTGTCATCTTTTTCCATGATCCTTTTTTTTTTCTCCCTGAGTGTTGACTCATTATCACCAAGAATCAAGTTGCTACTTTAGTAAACTCATCTCCTCTCAGATAACCAATTGATTCCTTTTTACTACAATGATGACTCAAATCTAAACGAACTTTTAAACAAATCTCTGAATTAAAAAGCTGTTTGTAGGATTTGATCAGATTATCTGGTGTTTTATGAAGTATTGCAACATTGCCAGGATATCATGCTTTTGGTATTGAACGCTGCTGCACATAAAATGATCTTTATTTAGGACATATGGAAATGCAACTCAAAGTGACACTCGATTAAGCTTTTGAAGGATCTTATCATTTATAATATCTAAAATTATCCAGATAAACCATACATCCATTCATTTTTATTCTATAATTGCCAATGGGCTGATTGCATGTATTTTGGGTGTTCCCTTATTGGGAAAAATGTTTTTAACACCTATAAACCACAAGTAGAGTGTCAGATTAAACAAAGCTCTTTGTTCCCGTAATTTGTTCAAGACCAACTGTATCCGTAAGCAGAAGTTGCTATCAGCATGATTCTGGCCCAAAGTGCTGACTTAGAACATATGTGGGCTCACAGCTCAGAAGGTAGTGGGTCTACAGAAATAAAAGGCTGAGGGTGAACTGGACTTCAGAAACCAAGCAGAAGAGGGGTGTAGGAAATCATTTTTATTTCAATGCAAAATTGGCTCAAGACTTTTATTGTGTTTTCATTGCCTGGGAAAACAAGACTAATTTCAACTTATCTGAAAACTCAGTCTCACAGAGCACCACTACCTCAAAGTGGCTAAAACAAAGTGAACTTCTGGTGCATCACAAAAATAAAAGCTGATGTGTCAAGACAGAACTGCTATCTAAACTATGTAAATGGAAAACCTAATTTCTCTAAAGTTTCCTACCTGAACACATTTTTGTTGTTGTTGTTCAAACAAGCATGTTGATATATTATCAGGAAACATCAAGATGCTGCCTGCAATGGTTAAAATACTGATTCTTTGACAAAGTAACTTACCACAATATAACCAAGAAAGGAATAGATACAGCCAGCCAGAACTGAGCCAATTGTGAGTTACCTGCAAAAAAAAAAAAAACGGGGAAGGGACCAAGGAAGAAGAAAGATGGGCAAAAACATGTTCAAGATTATGGCTTCCTTTCATTGAGAACTGAAATAAGAATGTGAGGGTAAATCGAACCAGGATGATTAATTAACCCAATCTTTTAAAACTTGAAGTCAACCCATTTTCATTATTTGAAAATTTTAAATCAGAAACTACCTTGTTTCTGAAAACCTGAAAGATTACTTTTTTCTGATTTGTTCCACTGAAGTGGCATCAGCATGTGCATTTGCTCTCCTAGAAGGTACAGGAGTCTTTTTCAGATTATAGAAAACATGGTAGGGCTCTCAAGAGAGTCAGTGCTGAAAGACATTTGCTGGCATCCCAAATCCATGATCTTAAACTAAGCCAGGGCAGAACAACTTGGAGAAATGTTAGAGGAGAACCATTCAGATAGCTAGAGGGCTGAGAGATGACACAGTAATAAAAACATAGAGGATCTGAGATTATTCTTCCTGAAAGAAAGGTGTGTGTGTAATTTAGTAATGTTTTTTCATGTATGTGAAGATGCCTCTGAAAAGCCATGAGTAGCATTTTTTTTATGTTTTACTGACTTCAACAAAAGAAAATGAACTTAAACTACTGCATAAACAAATTAGCTTTACTTTCAAGTTTTTTTTCTTTCTTTTTTTTTTTTTTTTTGAGTTGGAGTCTCACTCTGTCACCCAGGCTGGAGTGCAGTGGCGCAATCTCGGCTCACTGCAACCTCCGCCTCCCGGGTTCAAGCGATTCCCCTCCCTCAGCCTCCCGAGTAGTTGGGACTACAACTGTATGCCACCACTCCTGGCTAATTTTTGTATTTTTAGTAGAGACGGGGTTTCACTGTGATGGCCAGGCTGGTCTCAAACTCCTGACTTCAAGTGATCCGACCACCTCGGCCTCCCAAAGTGCTGGGATTACAGGCGTAAACCACTGCACCCGGCCCAAGCTTTCTTTATTCAGTCAACTTTTATAAGAGATTGAACTAGAAGACCTCAAATGAAGCTCCAGGCAGTTTCGGACATCAAGACTCTCTTCAGTGAACTTCCTACTTACTGAAGGACACAGACTAGAACAGGTCATTGCCCACCCATCCCCATTGTAGTGAGTCCCCAAGAGGCCATGGAAATGCAGCAGAGGGGCAACTAGAATGTGCACCACAGCGGACTATGCGGCATCAGAGTAGAATGCCAGGGAGCCAAAGGAGTCTCTTCCTTGGACACAGGATTGGGGAGTTTTCTTTTACTGAGATGATTTTGAAAGAGTCTTTTCAAGGCCCAGACTAACTTTTAAGGTTTGGCTCCTTCCTACACATATAATTTCGAAGTTGTATTCTCAGAGACATATTCATGTAGTCATGAAGAGCCTGGGTTTGAAATCATATGAACTTACATCTTTCTTAAAATGGCAGTGTGACTCCAGGAATATTATTTAAATCTCAAAGCCTCAGTTTTCTTTCCTAGGAAATAAGGTTGTTGTAATAATTAAATGAAATAGGATGAAGATCCCTGCATGTGTTAGCAATGATGATCGTGATAATGATGATGATGATGACAATGATGACGAGGATGCCAGTGATAGATAGTGAGCCGCATGTCCATGCATTTATTCATTCAGCTCTTTAAGGGGTTGTTGCCAATTTTAAGCCTACTAAGAGTCGCCTTTCTCTCACTGTAACGTAGCCCTTTTGCAATTATTTTTTCACTGATAGCTTTTTGGCCATGAGCTGTTACTTCTTTCTACTGCCTGGGGTCCTTTCCATTACCATTTAGAACTTTGAGATTTTTCTTTGATAAACATTCTCACAATTCTTCCTCAATTCCAGCCATAGCAATTCCAAATTATTTGCTGGCATTCATAATTAAAATTCTTACTTGGCATCATAGTGGTTCCTTCAAATGCCTCATAAACAAACATTTCTTGTAATTGCAAAACATCTACCTAGAAAGTTGAGGGAAAGGAGTGGTGGCAATGGTTTCTTTTTTCAGTGTTAATCAGAGAAAGACTGAAAGTGATGCTTTATGACTAAACTTTTGAAGAAATGAGACTATTCAAGTTGTTGAAGTCTTTGGAATCTGTGGTTAGCGTTAAGCAGACACTTCCGACATTCTTTTTTATTATCTTGACTAAATTTTTAAAATTTAAGTATGCCAAGTGATGAAATTTAAAATTTCTGAATAATTTTAACTTTAAATATCATAAAATATGCACTTAGATCTCATATCCTAGTTCATCTGTGAATGCAAAACATAGCAATGAGTTATCATCTTGATTACCAAAAAGGAGAAAAAGTTCTGAGCAACAGTGAATCAAGATCGGTGTGAACACAAAGAGGGGGAAAAACACTACAGCAAAGTACAGGGAAACAGACAGTGAAAAACATCTATTTTTTTTTTTTTGACCAAATGAGAGTCAATTAAAAACTCACAAAATATAAAAAAGAAAGATCAATGTAACTCAGACCACAGTGAAGACTGATTGCTTTACATACTCCATCTGTCAATAAAATGCGTTTTTGAAATGAGTCTGGAGAGTGAGCAGCCTTGCTCCTCTTCCCTGGCCACCCACTCTTGCAGCCTCCTAGGACCGTGTTAATTTGGGACACAGTGCAGGTGCTCTATCCACATAACACCAGACCGGGTGGCTGACCGGGGAAGAGTTCAGTGCATTGTGTGTCTGATCTCCAAAGAAAGACTGGTTTGATAGTTAATATTTTGAATTGACTGACTTTGGTGATTGACTAGAAGAGCCCAGGTTTGCATGAAATCAAATAAAGGGAGCAAAGTAGGAAAATCAACCTTTGATGCTGAGGACAACAAAGAAAGCACATATCATGGATCAACCAGCAATAATAGCCACCGTTTGCTGAATACCTGTTACGTGCCAGGTTCCTGCTAAATGCTTTAAGGCTCATAACTGCCCTTTACAAAGGTATTATTATCTGCATTTTTGAAATGAGAAAACTGAGGCTGAGTGGAGTGGCTTGCACTGAGTGGAGTGGCTTGCACAGCCAGGTTCTTCCTACCACCCTGTAAATGATCTCTGATGTGATTGATAGCTCTCTAATGGTTATTAGCCTTTCCCATGTTGTATTGTGGTTATCTGTTTTAATTGCTTCATCCCCTCGTATCATGAGCAGATAGATATTTAAAATGTTTGCATATCCTTGAAATCTAGTCCCTGTTGTACAGTAAATTTTTTTAAAAAATTGAATACTACAATTTAAGAATTTTGTCTAGTATAAAGGTTTTTAAAAATTGTTTTATTTGTTTATTTCTTGCTATGTATATTCTAACTGTATGCCTGAGCTGGTTATTTAAATTTCCTAAGTTTTAGATACTTCACCTGTAAAATGAGAATAGTACTACAATTTACAAGAGTTGTAGTGACGCATACATAAAACAATAAATACCTGCACAAAGTAAGCAACAACAAAAACTACTGCTGCAGAAACGCTCCTATCAAAGTGGAAATTGATCAGTATACTGAAAATAAGAAGATAAAGAGTAAAATCATTAAAAAATCATAACCTGAACATTTTTACTTAATATGCATTCATTTCTAATATGTTGGTATAAGACTAAATAGTTTTTCTTTTAGTATAGTTCCTTTTACTGGAGATTGATATTGTTTTCCCTGTATTTCATAAGGCCTCATCTAATAATTTATAGTTTAACTTTCTCTTAAGTGGAGTAATATCCTGTTGTGAAGCTGAGTGAACAGTGCATTTACATGTTTACGTTTTTATACTAATCATTAAAAATTCTCTCATACTTAATCTGTTACAATTTTTTTCTTTCCTTTTTTTGAGATGGAGTTTCACTCTTGTCCCTCAGGCTGGAGTGCAGTGGCACGATCTCGGCTCACTGAAACCTCTGCCTCCCAGGTTCAAACTATTCTCCTGCCTCAGCCTCCAGAGTGTCTGAGATTACAGGTGCCCACCACCATGCCCAGCTAGTTTTTGTATTTTTAGTAGAGACGAGGTTTCACCATGTTGACCAGGCCGGTCTTGAACTCCTGACCTCAGGTGATCCACACTCCTCAGCCTCCCAAAGTGCTGGGATGACAGGTGTGAGCCACTGTGCCCGGCCTCAACTTTACTTTTCAAATAATTCTAACATGTCTTATAGAAATGATCATTTTTATTTTATATTGATAGTTCACCAGTTGATCTAGTACTTAACTTACCTGTATAATTATAATAACAATTACATCTGGTGTAAACAAGTTTGCAGACAAACACAATTTGTCTTTGGTAAATAAACAACTCCACTGGTCAGAGCAGTGTGGCTTGGGTGGTCAGCAGGTCTGAAGAGTCAGTTATGGGAAGGTCAGATAAGATAGTTTCTATTATACATGGTTGTTCTTATTGTCTGTTCTCTCTCTTAACATGTAGCACTAATATAGATTTTTACTGCAGATTTTTTGAGAATTTGGAGCAAGGCTGTTATGTGGTACAATACACACAGTAAGATAGCCCAGGACTCTCAGTTCGCACAAAGATCTATGGCATATGTCACTGCCAACTTGTGCAGCATCCCACTCTCCTTAGTCCCTCACTATGTTTCTTCTCTGGTGACTCAAGCTCTTGGCATCTATACCCATATTTTCCCTACATGTGCACATCAGCTATTTCTTTTCTTAAATAAAACAAAGCATGCCAGTTGTCTATCAATACTAAAACTTGGTTTTTAGCCACACAAGTAGACCCATTGCCTATAACCACACCCTTGAAGAGCCAGCCCCCATTCATCCAACCACGCAATGATCTCGTTCAACCCCTCACACCCAAAGAGAATGCCGCAGTGTCTGGTGGGTCAAATATGCTTTCCAAAACACTTGTAGCTTCTATGAAATAGAGTCCAGTTTCAAAGAAGACAGATCTCTATTGCATGGGCACATCTATGAGTATTTGACAATGTGAAGTAAGAGATTTTCAATCTCACTAAAGTCCCATGAACGACATATAATTCTTCAAATCACATCATCTGCTCTATGATTCACCTCTTCCTGTATTGATTCTGTGATTCTACTTATTCATATGAGAATACTAAAGTATGATTATTTTATTAGTAATGCTTTCTTCAATCAGATATTAGAATGGGACTTGACTTGAACAGATGCTGTCAACAAGATATTGCCCTCCTCTATCCTCTCCTCTCCATGAGATTATATATATATATATATATATATATATATATATATATATAGAGAGAGAGAGAGAGAGAGAGAGAGAGAGAGAGAGAGATAGTAGGTTAGAAAGACATGCCATTGAAACAATCAACAAAATTGACAGCAACCATTAACTAGACCACCCATGTAAAAGAGAGAAGACTCAAATTACTAAAATCAAGAGTGAAAGAGGAGACATCACCACTGACTTTACAATAATTAAAGGAATTATTAAATAATTAAAAAATAATAAAAGGGAATACTATGATCCACTATATGCCAACAAATTAGATAACCTAAGTGATGGACAAATTTCTAGAAAGATACAAAACTACCAAAACTGACTCAAGAAAGAAATCGAAAATTTGAATAACCCTGAACAAGTAAAGTGGTTGAAATAGTAATTTTAAAAATTCCCGCAAAGAAAAGCCCAGGCCTAGATTGCCTCACTGAAGAATTCTCTCATACATTTAAAGAATTAATGCCAATACTTCACAAATTCTTCCAAAATATAAAAGAGGATGGAATACTTTCCATAAACTTTTTATGACCTTTTACCATTTTCTACTAAAGAGCAGATCAAGACTCCAAGAAAACCTTGTTACTCTGACACACAGGCCTAGATGCTGGCCTCGCACCAGCGTGCTTTTGATATTAATGTTTAATTTATAGAAAAACTCTGAACTAATCGTATGCCTCAAAATTGGCCCTTACAGTCTCATGTGCCCATCTCTTTCTCAATGCCCCTGAACTTAGAGGGATTAAATGGTTTTAATTTCTGGCCCTGTGTCTCACAAAAGCAGTTCATTTTGATTGTCATCTTCTCCCTGATCTGAAGACGAAGCTTCAACTGGTGTCAATGCTCAAGATTTAGCAGGGGTCAGTGCCTTTTTCAGACCCAGGAATCAAAGCCCTTTAACCTTAGCACAAGGATTAGTTAATAGAATATTTATACTGCAGAAAGTCCTATGATTCTAACATGTCACAAATTAAAACACTGTGATTTTGTGTTTGAGAGTTACTGTCTGAGGCACTTCAAACCACAGTATTAATGTAGTTAGGTTACTCTCTACATATATCTAATTGCTAGCATTCTAGTGGCAGAACTGTGACTAAAAGCATCAAAAATGTGATAAGTTCTATCTCAAACTTATCAAAGTAAGGCAAGTAACTTTTATCTCCATCATTTAAAAAATGGTAAATGCAAATATGGGTTTTGGAAATTCAATATGAGGATAAATAATCTCCTATCATTTAAATATTATACAACTGTGAACCCCAAATATCTGGGACAGGTCTCAGTTAACTTAGACAGCTTATTTTGCCAAGATTGAGGACATGGCCCGTGACACAGCTTCAGGAGGTCCTGACAATATGTGCCCAAGGTGATTGGGGCACAGCTTCATTTTATACATTTTAGGATGACATGAGACATCAATCAATATATGTAAGATGTACATTCCCATCCAGAAAGGAAGGACAACTCAAAGCAGGGAGGGGGTTCCAGGTCACAGGTAGGTGAGAGACAAAGGGTTGCAGTCTTTTGAATCACTGATTAGCCTTTCCAAAGGAGGCAATCAGATATGCATCTATCTCAGTGAGCAGAGGAATGACTTTGATTAAAATGGGAGGCAGGTTTGCCCTAAGCAGTTCCCAGCTTGACTTCTCCCTTCAGCTTAGTGATTTTGGGACCCCAAGATTTATTTTCCTTTCACACAACAAAAAGAAGGCAAAATAAGAACAAGCACAGAGTAATTTCTTTTCAGCTATTTCAGCCATCATCACATATTTCCAAGACTAGTTTCTAGATACAGTACTGACAACTGATTAGATAACTTTCATCACTAAAATCTTCAAACAAGTGCAACACTTGTACATATTTTGTTTTCAGATACACACATGAAGGTCCATCAGTGATAAACAGCTTGGGACCAAAGATCACTAAATTTTTTTTTTTTTTTGAGACAGAGTTTCTCTCTGTCACCCATGCTGGAATGCAGTGGCTCCATCTCGGCTCACTGCAACCTCTGCCTCCTGGGTTCAACCAGTTAAGTGAATGTCACTTAATTTTAATAATGGTAAACACAACTAAATTAGTTTGAGAAAAATCTCAATCAATATAATTTCCTTAAGAACAAGGCCAATGTTTCCTGACCATTAAAACTTTGAACCCACATCACAATTTTTCTTCATTACCTAAAGGAAAAGATGTGAAACAAACTCAAACTATTGATTGAATAAAATTACCTTGGAAATAAACACCATTTAAACATATTTCTTCTCACCTACTTTTTCAAATAACAAAATGAAGAATACACTATCTCTGCTCAGAACTTGCAAAAATAAGTCTTATTTTTTTTTGTCACAAACCTTAAAGCTCTTGTAGTTCTCTAGATCATCAGAGGTAAGCAAAACCAACCAAATTTTAAGTGACTGGTGTGCTCTATCAGTTTTTGCATGCTTGACAAAGGCAACTTAGGAATTCTAGATATATACATCTAGAATATATAGAGATGTATATATATCTAGAATGTCTAGAATATATATAGATATATATCTAGCATGCTAGATATATATAGATATATATCTAGAATGCTAGATATATAGATATATATCTAGAATGCTAGATATATAGATATATATCTAGCATGCTAGATATATATAGATATATATCTAGAATGCTAGATATATATAGATATATATCTAGAATGCTAGATTTATATATCTAGAATTATATATGTAATATATAGGTAAAACCCAGTTTTATATATATGTAATATATGTAAAATATATGTATATATTTATATATGTAATATATGTAAAATATATGTATATATTTATATATGTAATATATGTAAAATATATATGTATATACTTATATATGTAATATATGTAAAATATATATGTATATATTTATATATGTAATATATGTAAAATACATGTATATATTTATATATATGTAAAACCCATCTATGTGTGTGTGTATATATATAGGTATATATATCTATATATAGGTATCTATCTAGTGAGCAGAGTAATGACTTTGATTAGAATGGGAGGCAGGTTTGCCCTAAGCAGTTCCCAGCTTGACTTCTCCCTTTAGCTTAGTGTGTATATATATATATATATATATATATACACATTTATACACATATATACCTGTATATACACATACATATATATACACGCCTATATATACACACACACATATATGGGTTTTACATATATATAAATATATACATATATATTTGTATGTATATGGGTATGTATATATGTATATATAGGTATATATACATATATATATGTAAAACACAAAGTAGAACAAACAGCAAATAAATGAAAATTAAAAGCAAAAACAAATAAAGAGGAAACCACCCCCAAAGTTTTCTCCTACTCAGTTAACCTTGGAAGCTAAAGTGCCACCCAGAGCCTAAAAAAAGAACATGATAGATATTTCACTCCTGATACACAAATTAATGTATTTAAGTCCACCAATACCACTATGCATTTTGGGCAATTAAGAAATTCACTTTAGGCATATGACCAGTAAGTACCTCAGTGCTAACACTATCTATGCAGAAGTGTAAATACAGTGTGAAAAAAAGTAATGCAAGCATGTATGTGAAATTGGGCTCCATGTTAAATCTGGCTTCATGCTTTAACTATATTAAAAAAGAATTGACTGCCAATATATTTCATTACAATATTTCTTAATTTACCTTCATCAAAACTAAAAGCTTTAACTGCAAGCAATGTTAATTAGCCAAATTTCTCCAATTTTCTATCAGGTTTTAAAGAACATTTTACTACCTAAATTTTTTCAACTTTCTATTTTCTCTGTATGTGCATGAAGATTGACACCCAGAGAAAAAGGAAAAAACTATATATCACTTACACAGACCATCTATGGTATGCCTGGGCTTTCTGTTTTGTCTTAAATTTTCTTTTCTGTTTTAAATAACCAGTCATTTTACTTTAGGACAAAAATTCACCATACAAAATCCTTTCTCATACAAAATTATTCTATTTTCTTTATGACCTTTCTTACTAAAAATACAACTTTATATCCATAACTTTCTTCACATCTGTCTCCTCTACTTACTGGTTTCTTTCTACCTTGTTTTATAAATAACCTTTTCAAGTCTATAATTTGAATCCACCTTAAGATAACTTCTGAGTCAAAAGTATTCTTTTTCTCACTAAGAACACATTTTCTTTGGCGCATTTTATATACAGAATTGTACATTAACTAGAATTTTTATCTTTAGTAACCTTAAATTTCAGGGAATCCTTAGGAAGCAAGAAATCCTGAACTATCAGATATTAGCATTTTATAGATAAGAACAATTTCACAACTTTTAGAAACACATTTCCCCATATCATAACCCTTTCTTAATTGGAAAAGACTCAGGCATCTAATGAGCATCAAAAATAATTTTAAGATTTTAAATTACACAAAAAGTTCACCTATAGCATTTACTCATTTACATTTTATTTGTTTTATCAGTTTATCTAGATTATTTACACATCATTTATTTGTGTTAACCATTTGATAACCTGTCAATATCAGGTATTCACCTAAATAAGAACCTTAAAGTTAACTACATGGACATTTTCACCAATAACTCAGAATATTCAGCTGTTTTCATTAAGCCAACAACATTAATTAGACTTAGTTATCAAAAGAGTCACACAAAGATCATTTTGCTTTGGCTGGGTTTACAGTTTTACAATCTTCTGTGGCAAACCTTGATATCTCAAAATATCTAGCAAAGACAAACATAAAATCCAGACAAAGATGTATGCTGACAATTCTGAAGACATTTCTATTTTTATTTTACCAATAATTTTAAAGACAACTTGTTTAGTAAAGAACATGAATTTGAAAACTGCTTGGATTTATTTATTTGATTTATGAGCACTCTTTTATTTATAAGCCAATTTGGTAGACACAATATATAACAAAATAAATATACACACACATAAACACATCTAGATATGTATACATGCACATGAACCAAAGATCCAATAGCTTTTACCTTGGAACTCTACCCATGAGATAGCAATACAAACTCACCAGTCTATAAACATGTTCACATGGCTGAACTTTGTTAGCCCTGATAGGTAATCCAGTGAAGTCTGTGAATCAAAATTTTGGGTAAAGCAGTTTCCATAGCAGTTTGATTTTTAAAAGTCAAATCTCTCCAACTCTAAAGAGCACTGGGGCCAAAGAGCACCACAGAGGAATACCACCTGAAACCTACTAACCAGATCCAACCCTGCTTAGAACAGCAACATAAAAGCCTGTTCTTTTATGGGAAATCCATCTCACTTTCCCATTCAACAACAAACTTCAGATTCCAAAGAAAACTGGAGCCAAACAGTATTACAAAAAGAATGTCAGTTTACCAAATTCTAATTTTCCATGACTGTATCAAACACACACAATCACCAAAACACAATCCAACTGCTGCAGCAACAAACAAGCACCAAGAGTGTCTCTATTAGTCCATTCTCACACTGCTATGAAGAAATACCCAACACTGGGTAATTTATATAGAAAATAGGTTTAATTCACTTATGGTTCAGCATGACTGGGATGCCTCAGGAAACTCACAATCATGGCAGAAGGGGAAGCAAATATGTCCTTCTTCACATGGTGGCAGCAAGAAGTGCTGAGCAAAAGGTGAAAAACTCCTTATAAAACCATCAGCTCTCATGAGAACTCACTATCATGAGAACAGCATGGAGGTAACTACCCCCATGATTCAATCACCTCCCACTGGGTCCCTCCCACAACATATGGGGATTATGGGAACTACTATTTAAGATTAGATTTGGGTGGAGACACAGCCAAACCATATTACCCTATCCCTGGCCCCTCCCAAGTCTCATGTATTCACATTTTAAAATACAATCGTGCCTTTCCAACAGTTCCCCAAAGTCTTTGCTCATTCCAGCATTAACCCAAAAGTCCAAATCCAAAGTCTCATCTGAGACAAGGCAAGTCCCTTTTGCCTATGAACCTGCAAAATTAAAAGCAAGTTAGTTACTTCCTAGATATAATGGAGGTACATGCATTAGATAAATACACCCATTCCAAATGGGAGAAATTGGCCAAAGCAAAGGGGCTACAGGCCCCATGCAAGTCCAAAATCCAAGAGGGCAGAGATTAAACCTTAAAGTTCCCAAATGATCTCATTTGACTCCATGTCTGACATCCATGTCACACTGATCCAAGAGGTAAGCTCCCATAACCTTGGGTGGCTCCACCCCTGTGGCTTTGCAGGGTACAGTCCCACTCCCAGCTGCTTTCATGGCTGGCACTGAGTGTTTGTGGCTTTTCAACTCATGTGGTGGAGGTCAGCCATCGGTGGATCTACCATTCTGGGGTCTGAAGGATGGTAGCCCTCTTCTCACAACTCTACTAGGCAGTGCCCCAGTGGGGACTTTGTGTGGGGGCTCCAACCCCAAATTTCCCTTTTGCACTGCCCTAGCAGAGGTTCTCCATGAGGGCTCCTCCCCTGCCACAAACTTCTGCCTGGACATCCAGGCGTTTCCATACATCCTCTGAAATCTAAATAGAGGTTCCCAAACCTCAATTATTGACTTCTATGCACCCACAGGCTCAACACCACATGGAAGCTGCCAAGGCTTGGGGCTTGCACCCTCTGAAGCCACAGCCTAAGCTGTACCTTGGCCTCTTTTAGCCACAGCTGGAACAGCTGGGACACAAGGCACCAAATGCCAAGGCTGCACGTAGCAGGGGGACCCTGGGCCCAGCCCACGAAACCATTTTTTCCTCCTAGGCCTCCAATCTATCATGGGAGGGGCTGCCACAAAGGTATTTAACAAGCCCTAGAGACATTTTCCCCATTGTCCTGGTGATTAACATTTGGTTCCTCATTAGTTATGCAAATTTCTGCAGCAGGCTTCAATTTCTTCTCAGAAAATGGGTTTTTCTTTTCTACTGCGTCATCATGCCACAAATTTTCCAAACTTTTATGCTCTGTTTCTGCTTGAACACTTTGCTGCTTAGAAATTTCTTCCATCAGGCCAGGCATGGTGGCCCATGCTTGTAATCCCAACACTTTGGGAAGCCAAGGCGGGTGGATCACATGAGGTCGAGTTCAAGACCAGCCTGACCAACATGGTGAAACTCCATCTCTACTAAAAATACACAATGGTGGCATATACCTGTAATCCCAGCTACTTGGAAGGCTGAGGCAGGAGAATTGCTTGAACCTGAGAGGTGGAGGTTGCAGTGAGCCAAGATCATGCGATGGCACTCCAGCCTGGGCAATAGAGTGAGACTCTGTCTCAAAAAAAAAAAAAAAAGGAAAAAAAGAAATTTCTTTCACCAGATACCCTAAATAATCTCTCTCAAGTTCAAAGTAGTTCCAAAGATCTCTAGGGCAGGGGCAAAATGCGGCCAGTCTTATTGTTAAAGCACAGCAAGAATCACCTTTATTCTGCTTCCAACAAATTCCTCATCTCCATCTGAGACAACCTCAGCCTGGACTTTATTGTTCATTTCACTATCAGCATTTTGGTAAAAGCCATTCAACAAGTCTCTAGGAAGTTCCAAACTTTCCCACATCTTCCTGTCTTCTTCTGAGCCCTCCAAACTGTTCCAATCTCTGCCTGTTATCCAGTTCTAAAGTTGCTTCCACATTTTGGGGTATCCTTATAGCAGCAGCATCCCAATCTCTGCAGTACCAATTTACTGTATTAGCCCATTCTTACACTGCTATGAAGAAATACCCAAAACTGGGTAATTTATAAAGAAAATAGGTTTAATAGACTCACAGTTCAGCATGGCTGGGATGCCTCAGGAAACTTACAGTCATGGTGGAATGGGAAGCAAACATGTCCTTTTTCTATGGCAGCAGCAAGGAGAATTGCTGAGCAAAAGGGGGAAAGTCCCTTATAAAACCATCAGATCTCGTTAGAACTCATTATCAAGAGAACAGCATGGAGGTCAGCATCCCTGTGATTAAATATCCTCCCACTGGGTCCCTCCCATGACATTTGGGGATTATGGGAACTACCATTCAAGATGAGATTTGGGTGGGGACACAGCCAAAGCATGTAAGTGTCCAAACTGAGACAGTTGAGGTGCTTCCTTTATCCCTCAGTTGGGCTTGATCAACCTGCAAAAAAAATTCCTTAGGAATTTCCCAAATTGAAAGGAGCCAATCCCACTGTCTGCTACCCACAAAAGACACTCACTTGCCTGGACACACATACAACATACAGTTACAAACAAGTCCCCAAGAGTTTTCATACTGAAACAGTCAGTGTGCGTCCCTCTCTTAGTCAGTTGGGTTTGTTCAACCTATAAATGGAAATGCCTTTAAAAATGTCCCTGAGTGAATGGAGCAGATCCTGCTGTCTGGATCCACAAAGGACATTCATCTATCCAGATGCAGATGTCATATTTCAAGGGCTGTATTTCCTAGGCAATCAGGAACATGGTTGGGGCCAGCAACAGCAAAGCCTGAGAAAAATGAGAAGTTATCACCAGCCAAAATTGAGCAGACAGCTGCTTAGGAAGGCTTCTGAGACTGCTGACACACAGCAGCCCAGCCATGAGCAACATGGTCATGGTCAGGGAACTAAAATCTGTTACCAAAACACCAGGGGTTCAGTTGAGGTCCTGCTGCTCATCACACAGAAAGCCAATTACTGAGACAATTTTTGCCAAGGAAGAAGGCTTTAATTGGGTGCTGCAACTGAGGAGATGGGAGATAAGTCTCAAGTCCATCTCCCTGACTGACTAAAATTAGAGGGCTATGCAGCAGGGAAGAAATGTAACTATGTATGGGAAAACAGGAGCTCAGGAGGGCTAAGGAAGCAATCATAATGAATGAGGGGCCATTATCTCCTGAGTTTCACGTCTTTGATGCCTTTTGAGAGGACTAAACTCATTGTCTGGCTCTGCTTCAGAAGAAAAGTATCAATTTCTATGTTTATAAAAAGAAATAATAACTGATTATGGCAGATGTCCCAGACTTTTTGGCACCAGGGACTAGTTTCGTGGAAGACAATTTTTCCACAAAGTGGGAGCAGGGGATGAAATTGGGTTGAAACTGTTCCACTTCAGATCATCAGGCATTAGTTAGATTCTCATAGGAAGCACGCAACCTAGATCCCTTGCATGTGCAGTTCACAATAGGGTTCACACTCCTATAAGAATCTAATGCTGCCACCGATCTGACAGGGGTCAGGGCTCAGGCAGTAATGCTCACTCGCCTGCTACTCACCTCCTGCTGTGTGTCCTGGCTCCTAAGAGGCCACAGAGCAGTACCAGTCTGTGGCCCAGGGACTGGGGACCCCTGGTCTATGGGACTATTGGATCTGTTTCAATCAAAGCACACAACAAAGGGATAGGAAGGAAATTCCTTAACCTGATAAAGGACATCTAAGAAAACCCCGTAGCTAAGGGCATGTTTAATGGCAAAAAAAACCTGAATACTTTGTCCGTGAAATCAGGAAAAAGACTGACAAATTCTATTCTACATTGTCCTGGAGAGTCTAACCAGGACAATTAGCCAAGTGAAAGAAGTAAAAAGCCTCCAGACTGGAAGAAAGAAGTAAAACTATCACCATATGCATAAACATGATTCTAGATATAGAAAATTGTCTACATTCACAAGAATCCACAAGGAAAAAAGAAACCCACAAGAAAAAATCTATTAGAACAAATAAATTAGTTCAGAAAAATTGTAGGATATAAGATAAATATACTAAAAGCAATTGTATTTTTATAGCAAGCAACTGACAGTATGAAAAGGAATTAAGAAGACAAATCCATTTGTAATAACATTCAAAAGAAAAATACTTAGGATTACATTTAACAAAAGAAGTGAGAACTATGAAACACTATTGAAAACAATGTTTTAAAACTTTAAGAATGGAAAAATATTCTGTGCTAATGAATTAGGAGGTTTGATATTATAAACGGCAATGCTCTCAAAATTGACCTTCAGATTTAATGGAGTTCTGTCAAATTCCAGCAGCCTTTTTTTATAAATTAGTAAATTAATCCTAAAATTTATATGAAAATGCAAGAGACCTAAAATATGTAAAACAATCTTGAAAAAAAAGGAAAAATAAAATTGGAGATCTTAATTTCCCAATTTCAAAACTAACCATAAAGTTATAGTAATAAGGACAGTGTAGTGCCGCAAGAAGAGTAGATATATAGATGAATGGAATAGAATTACGAATCTAAAAAAAATAACCGTGTATAATGTGGTTAATTGATTTCAGGCAAGAGTGGCAAGACAGCTGAAAGGAGAAAGAGCAGTCTTTTCAACAAGTAGCTTTTCCATCAACTGGATATACACATCCAAAAGAATTAAGTTCCTATATAATTTTTTTTTTGAGATGGAGTATCACTCCGTAGCCCATGCTGGAGTGCAGTGGTATGATCTCCTCTCACTGCTACCTCCACCTCCTGAGTTGAAGCAATTCTCCTGTCTCAGCCTCATGAGTAGCTAGGACTACAGGCACCCACCAGTACGCCTGGCTAATTTTTGTATTTTTAGTAGAGACAGGGTTTCACCATGTTGGCCAGGCTGGTCTTGAACTCCTGACCTCAAGTGATCTGCCTGCCTTGGCCTCCCAAACTGCTGGGATTACAGGCGTGAGCCACTGCACCCAACCCAGTTCTATATAATTTGTACATGATGATATTCTTTCTAGAGAAGTCGTGAGGAGAACCTTGGGACTGCTGGTGTGCTTCGGGTCTCCAGCAATAAGATTTTTCAGTAGGAAAGCCAAAGGCTGCCACCTTCCAGGCCTCGAACGAGGGTACAGCTGGTGAGAAGGTGATGGAAGGGGATGGAGCAGCTGCACAGCCAGGCAGTTGTTCTTAACATCTTTGAGGTCACAGACACACGATAACAAGGAAAAGCTACAAATATCTCTAGAAAAATGGAGAGCAAGTTTTGCACACTATCGTGAGGGGTTTCCTGCCCCTCCCACCCCAATCTATGTTTGGGACCCAAGTTAGAGCACAGATGGATGTGCCAGTAAGAACAATGCTCTGATCTGGTCTGGCTTCTCCAGCAACAGAGCTTCAGGTAATTGCTAAGTCCTGAAGAAGAAATATACACCTTTGGCCATTCATATGGGGCTGGAAATTTAAAAAAAGAAAATCTCTTCTCTTATTCTCACCACAAATTTGTACCTGAGGGGCTGAAGGAACCAACATGAGAGTGCTGAGTGAGGAGAATGGCAACCTCCCTCTGCTTAAATCTGTTTTGTGTTGTGGTTCTCTGCATGGAATTTTGTTTGGAAAGTAAATGAATTCTACTGCTTAAAAAGCTCTGAATTCCAATGAATAGGGCACGCATTTAGAATCGCACTTGGGTCCCAATTCTATTCCTGCAAGTGCCTCTCACCTACACTATCCGAACCTGCAAAATGGGAGAATGACATTACTTTAGAGAGTTACTCTGTGACGGAAGAACATGGTTCAGTGCCTGTCACACAGATATTTGGTGCATGTGAGTTTTCTTCACTATCTGCTTTAATCAAGAAGATAGCAAATATGGCAAGTGATATCAGAAAATATTTAACCATGTTTCTCCTTCCCCCATTAAATTCACCCTTTGTCCCTCTCCCACCAGTTACCCATTGCTCCAAGCAAAAATTGTCGTCCTAGAATACAGACTTTAAATTCCTGCCCTTGGTCTTTGAGATGCATGCGTTTGCATGACCACTAAATATACAACTCTTGCAGAAGCTGCTGCTTCTCTTAACATCCATTCTCTCCTTCTTTCTTTAACTAATAGTACCTCCAATTTTAGTTGGGCATATAGCAAACCTCTCTTCAGACTGTATTACCCTTCATCTCTTGCAGCTAAAGTGCCCACAGTGACTACTTTCTGGCCACAATGTTATGAGCAGAAGTAACTTTCAGATCATGTCCTTAAAAGGGAACCCCGTCACTTTCTCCTTTTTGTCTACTCTCCCAGAGAGGAAATGGGATCATGGTGCTGGTAAGCTAACCTCAAATCAATACGTAGACAAGAGCAGCCACCTAGGAAATGAAATATAGACCGGGTTCCTAATTGTGTGAGCTCACGGAGCTGCCTGCCTGCTGTGGATAATCCACTAATTGAGAGAGCAATAAATTTGCATCCTTGCTAGAGCCGCTATGTTTGTGGGTCTCCCTGTTTTGGCAGCATAGCTCAACTAACACATATAACAAAAAAAAAATCCTTTATTAAATTCCAAAGTTTCCTAAGACCGATGATAAAGTGAAAGCAAAAGTTGGCAGTACATTACCATTTTCTTGGAAAGCCTCTGGAAAGAATGATTGTATCTTAATCACTTAGCCCAGGGGTATGCAGTGTGACCAAAGACAGAGCCCTTGTTCCTGCTTTTTTAGGAACACCTGCTGATTCTCTGTGACAATTCCATGAGCAGTATAACTGAGGGTCGCTTTTAAGGTTGACTTTACTTTTTTTTTTCTTGAGACAGGGTCTCACTCCGTCACCCAGGCTGGAGTGCAGTGGTGCCATCTCTGCTCACTGCAGCCTCAACCTCCCAGGCTCAGGTGATCCTCCCACCTCAGCCTCCTGAGTAGCTTACAGGTGCACACCATCACACCTGATTAATTTTTTGTATTTTTGGTAGAGACAGGGTTTCACCATATTGCCCAGGCTGGGACTTTGCATATTAAGCTTGGGAAATTTTAGGCTAGCAGAGTTGTTCTTGGGGACTCCATTTGCACAGAGGACTGGGTTCTAAGAGAGCAGAGGAAGCTTCAGAGTAGAATTGAGGACTCTTGCCAGTTCTCCCAGTGGTCCAGATTTGGAAACGACCTGCAGGGTGTGGCCACCAACTGTGGTCCCTCAGGAACCACTCTGCAGGAATGGAGCTTACCCTGAGGCAAGTACTGTGTGCAGGGGCACGGGCCAGAACCCAGAATGGGGTTGCTTGATCCAGACTTTTCTCAGAAACACACTGGGGCACTGTGTCCGACAGTGGAGTGGGCAGCCGGAGCTGCTGTGAACTGTTTGTCCGCTGGGAAGGCCAGAGAGGGAGACACTGAGCTGCAGGGACACCACACTGGCTCCCGCTGCCCAAAGGGGCACTGTGACTCAGCCTTTGCCAGAAGGCATACCACTCTCACCACTCTTCCCAGGGTCAGCCCTCTTGTTCACTGTTTTATCAAAATGTGGGCATGTACTGAAATTGAAATACCACTCACTTTCTGGCAGAAATGTCGTCAGCAAAGAGTGAAATGTTGGTACTCAAAGTTTCCATTTTTATTGCATCCAGAGACAGAGGCTAAAATCTCATAAAGGTGAAAATAGTATGACATTTCAAACTCTGCCCAGAAAGAAGACAAATGGCAGCAAGACATGAGGCTGAAGACGTGGGGGAAGGAGGAAAGGGAAATGAAAGAAGAGCCACAACAAGGAAAATGTCATGCTCCTGGAAATGAAACTTCAAGATGCTGGGACTCCCCCTCAGAATCGTAGGGACTGACTCAGCACATGTTTATCAAATGCTAGAGACTATTCATTTAGGACCAGAGTGGCATTAGCTTTCCTACAGCCATCCTCACCTGCTTGACACCCTTGGATGTTGGGTTTTTTTGTTTGTTTGTTTGTTTGTTTGTTGTTTTTTTTTTCCACAGCTCTTGTGGTCCCCAGCCTCTCTCTTGAGCAGGGCTGGCTTTTTTTTTTTAATAAGATAGCTGGTGCCCAAGATTGTTTTCCACCTTAAGGATAAAACCTGTTAAGAAAGGTAAGTTGACAGTAGGTGGGGGCAGGTCATACAGATTTTATGACACATAGAATGTGTTTTCAGTATTTTTCAAACATCAGATTTTACCCAGGATATTACTGTTGCAACATTTACTGCCTGTTATTATTGCTGTTTCACTTATTGTCCTTCAATATATAGTCCCAAGGTGAGTGACTTTTAAATCATCCTCATTTAGGACAAATTGCTAAAGGCTTAAGGACTATTTTATAAGCTTCATCTAAAAACTGAGTCAGAGGAATGCTTTTGTCCTTGAAACAGTTTGTTTCCCAGGGTTCTCATGATACACTGGTATCTGTCCAACTAAATTCATAATTTCTGTAGAGAATAGAGTCAAAATTTCTGTTCCTAATAGATGGATCCAGATAGTAAACACTAGTAATAAGACAAGATGCTCAGCCTGAATTTTCCCAGGAAAACCTTTGTCTTTACTAATCAGAAAAAAAAAAAAAAAAGGAAGATCTGGGCTAGATTTTTATCCAGTTAACAAACAACAAACAACCAAATAATGGATACACCCCTCTAACATTTTAGGATCTCAATCTCGTTAAAAGATAAGTTCTCTTAACTTGCTAGGACTCTACCGGTTATATAGGAACACCACAGAACTTATTGCAATCTGAAGATAAAAGAAAGTCTTTTTTGTGTTTTGCCTGTTGGGCAAATAGCCTGAACAATTACAAAAAAGGAAGAAAAGGAGACTTGGCCAACTGGTGTCAGGAGTCTTAACAAGGTCAGTGTGTTCTGCTTGTGTATGAGAAAGAATCAAATGGCTTTTTTTTTTTTTTTTTTTTTTTTTGAGGCAGACTGTCACTCTGTCACCCAGGCTACAGTGGAGTGGTGCAATCTCAGTTCACTGCGCAATCTCGGTTCACTGCAGCCCTGAGTAGCCAAGACTACAGGCGGGCCCCACCACACCTGACTAAGTTTTCTATTTTCTGCAGAGACAGAGTCTCACTATGTTTACTAGGGCTGGTCTTGAACTCCTGAGCTCAAGTGATCTGCCCACCTCAGCTTCCCAAGGTGTTGGGATTACAGGCATGAGCCACTGCACCCAGCTGGCTTTCCTTTTTAATGATTCACTACATCATACAAACTCATCAAACTGAAGGAAGACAAAGTACAAAAGAGAGACGAGAAAATGTAGCCATGAAAGGAAGTGATGGGTGAAGAGGAGGAGAAGAAATATGGCCAAGTCAGTTGCCACGCCAAACTGCTTGCTTCTACCACAGTCCAATGCTTCCCTCCTGATTTCACATTTGGAGACTTGAGTGTCCCCAAATAGTGTTCCTCATCCTCTTTTCTTCTTTCTGTGCTTGTCTCACAAAAGTAATGACAAAGTAATATAGTAAATGTTTGTTACCTGGGGGATAGGGTGAACTAGGTGGTTCTTCCTCAGCTTTTCTAAGTCTCCAAAGGACTAACAAGACCTGAGTGAGGAAAGAGAGAAGGCACTGTTGTTCCCCCACAATCTCTAGAAGGACTGGTGACGCATGTCATTTTTCTTTGAGCTCCCCACACTTTAGGCTTCTCTCTGAGGTCTTTTCAGCATCTCCTGCCCCACCCAAGAGTAAGCACCCCTGTGGAAATCCCCAGAACAAACCAGCACATGCTGTACCAAAATATTGTGTCTTGGCTTTGTTCTTTTACATCTTCACAACTAAAGGAAAGAGATACAATCAAAATGATAGTCCACTTAAATGATAAACAAGAGAATTTAAAGAGACATAACCCAGTTACTCACCCATGAAGTGACAATCTGTTAGCAGTTTAGGAGATTTGCATTGGTAGATAGATATAATTTGGGATTTCTCCTTGAACATTAGCTTAATTCATGGGAATCTGTAATTATAGCTTTCTTGAAAGGGTATTTAGCTCAGTGTACAAAACATACCAATTTTTGTGAATCAGGCTTACAATTTTCTAACCAAGCTTTCAAAACAAGATTAGAAATGAGGGCATAAATTATTATCGATGCACAAAATTGTCACTCTTTATTTGGCTTGGAAGGGTTTTGAAATGCCCAGAGAAGGCCCTGACAAATGGAGAAGATGGAATATGTCCCCTTCAGTTGGATTCTTGCTCCGAAGTATTCCTTGAGCCTATACTCCAAAGTGTGGCATTATAACTGGTGCAGACGGAGTCTGTCTTAAAACTGAAAAGGAGGATCCAGAGACTGGTACAAATGTCCCACCTCCTTTTTTTGTTACTTCGTTATTGTCAAATAATTGTAATGATGGGACAAGCTAAATCATGAGTCTTTTAAAGTCTCTTCGATTTGCTTTACACCTGGGGGGTTGTTGCTTGTCTCTGCTAATTTTAGCCATTTCACAGGCCCATGGGAGCAATTCTACCTAATGACAGTGAATCCAACAGAAGTTCATAACTCACTGATCACTTAGTTTCTCTGCACTCCTCACCTTATAACTGCAGTCTTGTGGCATTTTTCCAAAAGAGAGCCACTGTGAATCAAGCATAGAGTTTTATGGCCTGAATCCAGGTTAGATTATTTTTTTCAAGAAAAAGAAAAAAAAATCTAACAGTTACCAAGAAGCAGTCAGGCTTTACAAATATCACCACTTTAACCATGAGGCCATATTAGGAAGGCTTTTGACTGGCATTCAGGTTTGGGGGAGTCTGAATTTTCTATGCCATGGTCTCAGATTTCTGCCCCATATACCTAGGCACTAATTTAGTTCATATGTACTATGTGTACCTGAAAAGTTGTGTGGCAATCAAATTTTCACAAATAGAATCCTGTTTTAAATACACTAAGAAAGTACCTACTTTATCCTTTAAACAAGAGGTCAGCAGACTTTTTCTACAAAGGGTCAGATAGTAAAGATTTTACACCTTTTGTACAATACAATCTCTATCTCATCTACTTAGCTCTGCCATTGTTGCATAAAAGCAGCTGTAGATGATACACAAATGGGTGAGGCTGTATTCCAATGAAACGTTATTTGCAAAAACAGGTGGTAGATTAAATTTGGTCCCAAGGCTTACTTGGGAAAAAAAAAGATCTTTTGAAAAAGAAAAAATAAATGAATAATTTTTTAAAAAATTGTTCCCTAGGTCATAGTTTGCCAGCCCCTGCCCTAAACAAATAATTCTTGAATGCCTACTGTGGTGTGTAAGATATGAGTAAATACCAGGGATACACAGAGAACAAAAGAGAAAAACTGCTATTCTTGTGAAACTTGGAAGTTGGAGGTAAGCTATTTAAAATAAACCCACAATAAAGTACTTCACATAGTGCAGACTGTTTCTTTAAATCAAAACTCACTCCAAACAACCAATTGATTCACTTTGTAAGTTTGAATTTTTGTCTTCAGATTCTTTTAAAGTGGGCCCTTAGTCAGGAGCGGTGGCTCATGCCTGTAGTCCTAGCACTTTGGGAGGCTGAGGCAGGCAGATCACTTGAGGTCAGGAGTTCGAGACAAGCCTGGCCAACATGGCGAAACCCCGTCTCCACTGAAAACACAAAAATTAGGCTGGCATAGTGGCATTTGCCTGTAGTCCTAGCTACTCAGGAGGCTGAGGCAGGAGAATTGCTTGAACCTGGGAGGTGGAAATTGCAGTGAGCCGAGATCATGCTATTGTACTCCAGCCTGGGCAACAAAGCAAGACTCTGTCTCAAAAAAATAAAAATTAAAAAAATAAAGTAGCCTCTAGCCTAAGATAGCTTGAGCCTAGGTGTGAATCTACTGCCTTACTCTGATGTAAGCACAGTAAGTGTGGGGGCTGCAGGGAATATCCAGGAGGAACAATAATTTCAGAGGCTCTGTCTCTTCATGTCCTTGACCTCTGCTTACAGCAGCAATACTTTTACTCAGACTTCCTGTTTCTGGAACTTGCCTTCTTTTTTGCTGTGTTTATACTTCCCTTGTCTGTGGTTAGATAAGTATAAAGCCCTAGATCTAAGCTTCTCTGTCTTCCTCCCTCCCTCCCTTCCTCTTACTCTCATTCATTTCATACACACTGGCTCACACATCTACTCTCTCTCTCTATCTCTCTCAGAATGACAATTCTAGGTACAACTTTTGGCATGGTTTTTTCTTTACTTCAAGTCGTTTCTGGAGAAAGTGGCTATGCTCAAAATGGTGAGTCATTTCTAAGTTTTCTTATGGATTTTGGATTATCTGTAGCATGGTTTCAGGTTATTCAGTTCCCTAACAGACCTGAGTCAGGCACTGGGTTTGAATGCAGTTTGAGAATTTCCCACATATTCAGTCATTTTTTTTAATGTTTAACCACCATGACAGGGGGCAGGGGATCAATACTATGGGTGGTTTATAAGACCTCAGTATTCTCAAGAAGGAATGCATTTCACTCCCAAGTGTAGATCTTAAATGTTGAATGATTACTCTGCTCTTACAAAAAGAATGCTCATGTAGATGCTATGACTGTACTTGTAGGAAAATGTCCAAAGTAATTTTACCTTGTCAGGAGATCAAACTGGATTCATTTTGTTTGACTTTTTAAGAAATCCTGAAAGCATAACTTTCAGGATAAGGTAATGTACAGAAGCAATAGCTTTGTCTTCAGTGACCAGTGCTATATCCTCAGCACCTAAATCAGTGGCTAGAATATAGTAGACATCCAATAACTTTTGAAAGTGTTTTCAAAATACTTTAGTTTTGAGAGATTTATGTGAGATTTTAAGTAAATAACTGACTAGAGAAAGATCTAAATGAGTTTACTCATTGAAATACACTGAATTGCCTCCACACCAACAAATTGGCCATATGTAATAATTCTTTTTGGGATCTAAAAAACTTAGTACCGAGAAGCCAACCCTGCCCATACATAAACACATTGTAATTATAACAAAACTAGGCAGAAGCTTCTAACAGCAGCAGGAGGCATGTGGGAATTTAGACCATCAACTTGCTCCTGCAAATTAAGCCCTTTCTCTTTAAGAGTTAAAAACTATTTGGCTATAGACAATATCAAACACATCAGCCTAATGACTCAGCTTATGCATTTTGAGTCATGTAATTACGAAGGATGGAAATCCCTAGAATTTTCTCATTAAGGGAATTGTCAGAGAGTTTGACATTTTTTACAGTATATGACTCACTTTATGGGGGATGATTATTATTCTATGCTAAACTTTGCCTTGGATTTCCACAAAGACTGATGGGAGGCAGGAAACATAAATCTTACTCTCTTTCATGTCATCTATACTCACTAGTTCACCCTGGTGATCATACTATTTTTAAAATATATAAGAATGCTAGTTGAAAGCTGGGTTTTCACTCCAACTTTTTAAGTTTCAGATTTTTTAGAAGATGTATAATTACCCTATTCACATGATTACGTCAAAATACTTCCCAGTTTGGGGTATAGGAATTCACATTCAGTTGCTGCTTGTTGAAAGTTGTCAATTTTCTGATCATCACAAGGATGATCAAGAGAAGAAAGGGATACTTTTTAAAAATCCAAATCATTTACACTATTAATCAACTAACTCCATTCAGTAGGAAGAAGACTTCTAGATGACACTGGCTTGCCTATGATACATATTCCACACAATTTAAATTTTTATGGATAAATATGTCTAGATACCTATTTAAATATGAATAATATTAATTATTGAGCATTTAAAGAATAATAGATTAACTCATTATTCAAAAGCTCTATGTAATTTCAAAACCATAGTAATTATAACACCGTCAATTGACATAAACTTTTTAAAGAGAAGCTCAAATGTTTCATGTATATTTTCAGAATTAGAATTCTTATTTTACCTTTTCATTACTTATTTCTCAGAAAATATTATACTCATAGCTAATCCCTATTAAATCCTTACTGTGTTCTAAGCTACCTCTTTGTAAATATCCATTCAGTGATTGCTCATAGCACGAGTTTACATATTAGAACACATGTCTTAGAGAAGTTGCCTACCTGACAGAGGACCACAGGTAGAGTATCCAGAATTTAAACGCACATCTGTCCAGCTCTAACACCACAGGTCTTAACCACTGTGTACATTAACTACTCTTAGCCAAGAATTTTTCAGCTCACGTCATGTAGAATATTCTTTTTGTAAAATGCCATCACATTTTATAAGTCATTGAAGGGAATTTTTCTTGGTTACAAAGCAACTCTGCCCCATAATATCTACTGAAAAGCCAGTGAGCTGCTTCCTAAAACACAGCCATTTTAGGTGCAGGAAACAGTGTATAAATGGCTCATTGTATATTGTATGCTTTGCCAGACTGAGTGGCAGTGGGAGTCCTTTGTTATGTGGGTGCTGACATCTGCTAGAGTGTGCTGTCTCTATTGAAGAATCGTGAAGACAAAGCCGACCCACAGGATGTCTGAATCCAAATAATAATACATGTTCTGTGTATAGAATTGGTGGAAGAGAAAATGTCAGGACAGTGTGAGGACTGCCATGTAAGGTCAGAACCACTGCATTTAGAAAGCTACCACTGCACAGGGAAGAAATCTAAGTCTACAAAATTAGTGGGCTGTCTCTCATTATTTCGTGCTGTCATCAGAAGGAGGGCCATACCCTGCTGAAACTACATAAAGAGCTTTTGCTGGTGGCAGAACTGTGAACTGGATGGATTCTGGGAATGGCCAGAAAAACAAATGCCTGTGGTTGTGAGCAGTGCCCACACCCATGGTCTAGCTAGGGCTGTTTGAGATTTGTTGCTTTGACTGAACCAACCTGTCATTCAACTGGTTGGTCCATTCACAGTCAGCTTTATTAACTTTCCCATTTTCCCTACTGAGTTATTTAAGTAAAGAAAGTGCTATTCGGACAGCCCTTGGTCTCTGGGACAATCAACTGGGATTTGATTTTAGTATATTCTGTCTCCAGTGTAAAGCCTTGGAAGCATCTAATTTCTAGTACTGATGAACCAAAAATACATGGAAGCAGTCCTAGGCTCACACTTGAGCACTCTGAGAATGGCTTTGCTTACTCCAGATTTTCTCAGGTCCCAGTGGGTGTATATTTTCTGACATATTTATTCCAGCCTCACTTTCTATCATGTAAAACATACATACAAAATGTAGATTTCATTATAGGGTCTACAAAACAGCTTAAGAAACCAAATACTATGTGTGACAGATCACACTTTCCAAAAGTAATAGCAAAAAAAAAAAAAATCTGGTTCCCCACTTTCTTCCAGCATCCTGCTAGAATCTATCAGATACTGCGTCTATAGAAGAATCTATAAGAACAGAAGCAGTATGTACAACATTCACAGGAAGTTTCACCAAATCGGAGTCCTGCCAGATCTAATTTTTTTTCCCTAATCACGTTTGTCTCAGTCAGTAGCTTAAGACAATGGAAATAATCAGTGCCACTTTTAATTGGGATGCCTTTTTAGGCAAGGGAAAGTGACCTCTTAAAAAAGCAAAATTCTGACTGCAAGATAGCTATCATTGTCCTTCATTTAAGACAAAAAAAATACTAGGGAGGGAATAAATTATGATTTGTAATAAAGTGAAAAGTGAGATTAGGTAGCATGGGGATAATGGAAATAAAGTGTCTCTTCTTTGAAATAATATGAACAATCAATGTAACAAATGTAGCAGAAAAAACTCCAGTTTAAATACAGAAAAGAATGTGTTCAATGCCTCTGGTTCTTTAACTCAGAAATATTTGGAGGTTACTTACTCATTATGATGGATTTTTTTTTTCTATTGGAAAACTCTGTTAGCATTGAGCGTTTTTGTTTTTTGTTTTTTGTTGGTTGGTTGGTTTTGAAGCATTTTTCTTGTCTTTGCCCTTGGGCTTTTCTTCCTTGAATACTACATAATCCATTACTATTTCATGTCTGCCACAGAGTCTGCTATTTTATTAAGGTCATGCCATATTTCAAAAGGATGCATTTATTTGTTTCATTAACAGCTGCATGTTTGTTCCTCCCCAGGAGACTTGGAAGATGCAGAACTGGATGACTACTCATTCTCATGCTATAGCCAGTTGGAAGTGAATGGATCGCAGCACTCACTGACCTGTGCTTTTGAGGACCCAGATGTCAACATCACCAATCTGGAATTTGAAATATGGTGAGGGATGGTGGTTTTAATGGTTGCTTAGACATCCTCTGTCTCTCTTTTCATATGCTCTTTTTAATAGCCACAAAAGAAAGAATATGTGGCCTAATTAACAAATGTTAACATCTAAGGAATTCCCAAAGGCCTCCTGAAACTCCTTGTCCTTCACCAAAAACACTCATACAAATCTCCTCTCACGGTTCAGCTTTCAGACCCTGAGACTCAGTCAAATGATGCTCTGGATCTTGGGGATCCCACATCCCTCCCAACTTCATATCAGAATTTAAATCCTGCGTCTCCTACAACACTTCTCACCAAAAATCTGTTTGCCCAACACGAGACAATCCAGTGTCTTCAAGTTGCATCTGAGAGTTAAACTGCCTTGTTTCCAATCCCAATACCAGTGCTTACTAGTTTTTTGACCTAGAGAAAGTTATGTAATGTATCTATGCCTCAGTTTCCTCACCTGTAAAATGAGATAACCTGCCTCACAGGAAGGCTGTGATGGTTAAATAATTTCATCATATAAATCATTCCAAATAGTCGGCCAGTGAATAACGAGTAATGGGGAAGCAACATTAAATTATAATTCTGTGAATATTGACCTAACTTCTACCATCTTGACACAATTTGACTTCAGATGATCCTCTCAATGTAAATTTTCCAAAAATCCACAGGAATAAGTTGGCATTTTGTTTCACAAGGTCTCACAGAAAAGACAAAGGAAAAGAGTCTGGTTTGAAAGTTTACTAAAGGTCTCAGGGAACTTTATCTTCTCCTTCTCCTTCATCCATAAGTCATCTCTTGTTGCCAAGGGTTACTATCTCTGGTGATTTGAGAAACTACTCTAGCTTGAAATTCTGACCTGAGGCTATCTCCAAATTCATATCCGAATGACCTACTTTTTAGTTAGTGTCCTAGTGAGCAAAGTAAATCAAGATCCACCAGTAGTAATAGAAGGCTTCCTACATTCCATAGACACTGAGACAATTCTCCACAGTCTATAGTCCAAACAAGCCCTGAATTCCAGTTTTTGTCAATTTATGGGAGCTTCCTGCATCTATTTATGGAGTGCTTTCTGCTGCAGTCCTTAGATAAACATGCTGTTGGACTTGAGTAGTGTACTGTGTTCTCTGTCTGCCTCTGTTCACTTCCCTAACACATTTTCCAGGAATAAAATATGTCAAAAGAACCTGAACCAGTTCGATGTCCACAATCTAGGCTGGAAATGGATTGCACTAAAACAGCCATAACAACTCATTCAAACAAGGCACTCATTTTCATGGGCAAATCACTCTCCCACACGGAGGTTTGACTTTGGCTTCTTTAACCAGCTGGCTGGTGGGCTGAGTGTTCATCCTGGTTTCTCTTGGCCAAGCTGAGGTTGACCTTTCTGTTCACTTTCATTCACACCATATTTGACCACTTCCTTGCCCACTCAAACATACTTACCCTTTAACATATCTCTTGACTTTTCCTGTCATATTGTAATCTGTCCAGAGCCTCCTCTATTTGGGTTTTCCAATTGGATTCAGATATTTCAGTTGGAAAGGGACTGCCTTAAGAAAGAAACGTTTTCAGTGGAAAATATATGTATGAGCTCTTTAATAGATGAACTCCTGGAGTTCAGAGCCCTTAAAAGGATGCCCAGTTTCACAAGACAGCCATACGGTCATCCTTGATTGTCCATTGCTCATTAATTTCATTCTCAAAATCATGGGAATGAGCTGAGAATACCATTTTAGATCCTCCTTAAATTCCCAACAGTACCAGAAACTTGCTACAGGTTGGGGCCTGTAATTGGATATTTCACACATACTTTCCTTACAAATATATTCTATACTCAAGAATTGAACTAAAAGTTATTGTCCTAGTTTCTCCACATCCCATGTTTACCTAAAATTCAGAAATGGGACCCCGCTCCCAGTCTCCCCTTCTATATTTATTTATCAAATCGTGACAACATTACCATCTTCAGATCTTTCCACCTGATGTTTGTCCTAAGCTTATTCCCTGGTATCTGTCTAGCTTACCCAAAAATTCGGTTTTTATTTTTATCCTGTTCCAAGTTGGGAAAGCCTATCTACCCCAACAAGGAACACAACTCCCTAGTAACTTTGAGACACACACACACATACACACCTACTCTTTAAAGCCTAAACAATCGCACACTCTAAAAGATAGCAGTTAACAAAAGTAACGATTTGGGAGAACAGTTTTAAGGAATGTCCCCAAAATAATCAATACATTTAGCCAGTTAATTAACTTAACATTTCTTCACCAATCTCTAGTTTTCATGACTGTAGGAGCTTAACCAGTCACTCTCAGACCACAATAAACCAAAGGTGAAAGATTCTGTAACAAAAGCTAGGGCACTCTCCCCTGCATTTAACCTCCTGGCCAGCTCACTCGAAGCCAGACAAACAGGTTCCTCTTTTTGTGCAGAGTCCAGGAACCATTCTCGAAAGGACTCATTTGAGCACATGCAGAGAAGAGTGTACACACATCCAGTTCACCAAGGGAAGCCAACACACATTGTGGGTTGTAGGTAGTAAAAGGCCTTCCTAGAACACACTCCTTAGGATTTAAACAAAATTACATCGGTTAATGGAAAGAATTCTTTCATATACGCAAACTTACCCAGAGGAACTTTTCTTCTGCCCAGATCTTCACTTCCAATTTGACCCAGTTATACCTCTTTAGAGCTATTTGGCTGAGCTTAAACAGCACATAGGAAAAACAAATTGGTAACTGTGTTTATCACAGAAGAGGAAAATTAAATTTAGGGTTGGGAAAGGAAAATAACCCTATGATATTACTTTTATTCTACCTTTACAATGAGAATATATACCTTTGTTACTTCTTTAATTTTTACATTATTTACTTATTTTTCTTTGCTTTCTTGTTTGATTACAATGCATTTTAGGGGTAAAATTTATGTGTGGTAAAATGCACAAAAATTAAGTGAATTTGGAGAAATGTCTATGACCTGTAGCCATTCCAATGGTAAAGATATAGAACTTATTTTTCCCCTAGAAGGATGCTTCATGTTCCTTTCCAGTCAATCTTCATACCCCAGGAGCAATCATAATTCTCAATTCTATTACCCTTTGGTTTTTGCCAGTTTCTGATAGTTCTTATTAATAGAATACTCTTTATTCTTTTCTGTCTTCTTTCATTTAACCAGTGTTTGTGAGAGTTAGCCATGTTGATGTCCATCTCATAGCTCATCTTTTCAATTGCTAAGTAGTAATTCCACTGTATGAATATACCACAAATTTTTAATTCTTTCTCTTCTTGATGAACATTTGTGTTTTTTCAAGTTTGAGACTATTATTTTTTAGGTTGCTGTTCACATTCTTGGACAAATCAGTTTGTGTATATATATTTTCATTTTTCTGGGGTATAAAACCTCAGAATGGAATTGCTGTGTCATAAGGTAAGCATGTATCTAAGTTTATAAGAAACCGCCCAACAGTTTTTCAAAGTGGTTATACCATTCTACTCTCCTTCCAGCGATGCATGAGAGATATACATCATTTGCAACGTTTGACTTTGGGATAGTATCTCGTTAGGTTTTTAATTCGCATTTGTCAAATAACAAATGTTGAGCAGCTTTTCATATACTTGGTCTTTTGCCTGTCTTCTTTGGGCTAGTATCTGTTAAAAGCACTGAGTTATTTGTCCTTTTGTTATTGCTGGATATGAGTTCTTTATACATTCTGTATACATTTCCTTTGTCAGATAGATGTATTGCATCTATTTTCTATTCTGAAGTTTGCCATTTTATTTTCTTACTGGTGCGTTTTAATAAGCAAGAGTTTTTTTTTATTTTGATGGAGTCTAATATATCATTTATTTTCTTTTATATGTAGTGCTTTTTGTATCCTTGCTAAGATAACTTTGCCTACTCCCAAAGTTGGGAAGATATTTTCTCATGTTTTCTTTTAAATGTTCTACAGTTTTAGCCTTTATATTTAGTTTTTTTAATTATTATTATACTTTAAGTTCTAGGGTACATGTGCACAACGTGTAGGTTTGTTACATATGTATACATGTGCCATGTTGGTGTGCTGCACCGATTAACTCGTCATTTACATTAGGTATATCTCCTAATGCTATCCCTCCCCCCTCCTTCCACCTATGACTGGCCCTGGTGTGTGATGTTCCCCTTCCTGTGTCCAAGTGCTCTTATCGTTCAATTCCCATCTATGAGTGAGAACATGCAGTGTTTGATTTTTTGTCCTTGTGATAGTTTGCTGAGAATGATGGTTTCCAGCTTCATCCATGTCCCTATAAAGGACATGAACTCATCCTTTTTTATGGCTGCATAGTATTCCATGGTGTATATGTGCCACATTTTCTTAATCCAGTCTATCATTGATGGACATTTGGCTTGGTTCCAAGTCTTTGCTATTGTGAATAGTGCTGCAATAATCGTACATGTGCATGTGTCTTTATAGCAGCATGATTTATACTCCTTTGGGTATATACCCAGTAATGGGATGGCTGGGTCAAATAGTATTTCTAGCTCTGGATCCTTGAGGACTCGCCACACTGTCTTCCACAATGGTTGAACTAGTTTACAGTCCCACCAACAGTGTAAAAGTGTTCCTATTTCTCCACATTCCCTCCAGCACCTTTTGTTTCCTGACTTTTTAATGATCACCATTCTAACTGGTGTGAGATGGTATGTCATTGTGGTTTTGATTTGCATTTCTCTGATGGCCATTGATGGCTAATATCCAGAATCTACAATGAACTCAAACAAATTTACAAGAAAAAAACAAACAACCCCATCAAAAAGTGGGCAAAGGATATGAACAGACACTTCTCAAAAGAAGACATTTATGCAGCCAAAAGACACATGAAAAAATGCTCATCATCAATGGCCATCAGAGAAACGCAAATCAAATTGTGTTTATTTGTTTCTCTTGTCTTATGCATTGGCTAAAACCTCCTGTACACCACTGAATAGAAATGGTGAAAGTGGATATTCCTGTCGTGTCCTGGTCTTAGGGAAACAATTCATGTTCACAATTTCAGCACTAAATATGATATTAACTATAGGCTTTTGTAAATGCTCTTTATCAGATTGAGGAAGTGTCTTTCTATTTCTTATTTGCTGTGAGTTTTTAACATGAATAGATGCATTCATGTTATTAAATTATGCTTTGAATGCATTGATTGATTATAACCAGGTTATTTATGTCTTCTAGTCTGTTAACATGGCAAATTATATTGATTAATTTTTGAATCTTTAACCTGCTTTGGTTTCCTGAGATGTGCCCTACTTTATAATTATGTATTAAAATTAGTGTGTTAGTATTTTCTTGTGAAAGTTTGCTTATACATTTTTGAGGGATATTTGTCTATCAACTTCTTTTCTCTAATATTTTGGCCAGGTTTGGGTACCAGGATTAAGCTAGCTTCAAAAAATAGGTTGAGAAGGGTCATTCCTCTTCCAGTTTCTAAAATAATTTGTGTCAGATTGACACTATTTCTTTCCTTATACATTTGATAGAATTTACCAGAATATAACCATCAAGCATAGAGTTTTCTTTGGGGGGAAGTTTATTGATAATAAGTTTAATTTCTTTGAGAGAAATATAACTGTTGAAATATTCCATTTCTATGTGGGTCAGATTTACTAATTTGTGTTTATAAAAACATTTTCATTACATCTAAGTTATTATATACATTAAAATAGCATTTAAAATTTCCTTATTATACTTTTAACATCTGCATGTTCTATAGTGATATCTCCTCTTACATTCCAGATATTAGTAATTTATATATTTTGTTTTCTTAACCACTCTTGTTAGGGTTCACCAGCCAAAATTACCTATAAAAATCCATTACGTTACCCATCAAGTATATGTGATATTATGTATATAACCCTTTATACTATGTTATCATTTTCTTTAACACTTTTTTTAATCAATATTTTTTACAGCTCTTATTTCTTACATATATTCCTATGGAACATCAAAAAAAGCAATTACTTTTTAATCTAAACAAAGTATTTGTTTTTCAGTGATCAATTATAAAAATATAGAAATTTCCCATAATTTTATAAATATGTCTTGACTATTTCAGGTTCAATTGCATCTAATTCTAAGTAAATCATCACTAAGTATCATAGCAGCAGAAAGCCATAAGATTTTAATTCATTATCTCTCATTCCTGAACATGCCTCCACTCACCCACCCACATACCTATGAACAGAGTTAAAGTCAAACATACATCAATGTGCATATGATACTATTCCACTGCATACAGGAACTCCTACCTGAATCAAGACATATCCCCTTTTTATTCCTACAGTGGGGCCCTCGTGGAGGTAAAGTGCCTGAATTTCAGGAAACTACAAGAGATATATTTCATCGAGACAAAGAAATTCTTACTGATTGGAAAGAGCAATATATGTGTGAAGGTTGGAGAAAAGAGTCTAACCTGCAAAAAAATAGACCTAACCACTATAGGTAAGAAGTTGTATATAAAAGTATGGTTGTCACTTTTGGGCTACCTGAAAACACTGTGTCTGGACATTCTGTAGGTTAAAAGTAGACAAATAGTGGAAACAACTGGCAATAGATAATAGCTAATTCCCTACTGTAAATTTTTATAATAAATGAAAAGCTTGAAATTTATACTTTCCTGCAGTGAAAGAATTCTGAGGATCTTCAAACCCAGGTGTGAAAGATAGTGTTTGTGCAAACCTACATGAAGTGGCTAACTGGAGCTGGGCTTCCTGTCATCCATCACAGGTGTCCTTTCCTTCCTTATCTGTCCTTTCCTTCCTTACCTGTCCTTCTCCCAAATTCCTTGTGGTCTTCTCCCCAAATCCCCACAACATTCTGAGTAAGTTTAGCTAACTTATCAAGTTATTTTAAAAAGCATATATGCCTTCTCTATTAGTCAGAGTTTTCTACAAAAAAAAAAGGGAATCAATAGGAGGATAGATAGATAGATCATTGATAGGAGAGATTTCTATTAAGAAATTGACTTTTGTGGTTGTGGGAACTGGCAATCGCAAAAATCCATAAGGCAAGCCAGTAGGCTAGAAATTCAGGAAAGAGTGCAGTATTGAGCCTAAATTCCGCAGGGCAAGAAACTCAAGCAGATTTTCTGTATTGTACTCTTGAGACAGACTTGCTTCTTCTTCAGGGAACCTCTGTCTTTGCTCTAGAGGCCTTCTACTGATGAGGTGATGCCCACCACATCACGGAAGGCAATCTACTTTACTCAAAGTTTACTGATTTAAATGTTAACCATGTCTTAAAAATACTTTTAGCATTCCCTATTCGCTCCCCCTTCAACCCTCAAAAAGAAAATTAAAGGTAAGAGAGCAATACTCATTAGAGATAAGAAAGAGTAAGAAACCTAGCTCAGCTTTGTCTCAGTTTTGTTTCACTAAGATGATAAAATAGAGAGGTAAAGCAGAAGTTCCATGTGTGAACAATTAACTTGTGAAAAGGCAAATGTAGTAGAAAAGAGACATTAGGCAGATGGCTGTGCATGTTGGCCACACAGAAGCAGCATTGGCCATGACCAGTGTGGGTCCTGGTTAGGGGAAGAGAACTGGCTTTGACAACAACAGGGTATCTCTGAGGTTATAAAAAGTTGGGTTCTGATCATTTGGAGATGAGGTCCCTATGGATAGGGCACCATATCTAAAGGTTCACCATTTACATTGCAAATATACATTCAGTTCTCTGAGAGTGAGCAGAGAAGGCAGAGGTTCTCAGTCTTCTGACAAGGTCCTGGAGCATCAGGGGAGAGCCCATTCTTACAAAACTCCACACCAGCATGCAAGCCCTTACATGCACATAAGCACTCACAACACACCAAGAGCCTCCAGGTGACATCTGCCACCTCCAAATCCCCATATCCCACATGCTCAATGCACTTGCAGTCTCCATCCCCCAGCAGACTGCAAATCTGACATGCCTCCTCCGAACGGCAAGGGGGAGAGGTACGTATGGTACACACACTGCTGATGGCATAGGCCCCTTTGGAAGGGGTAGTGTGAGTCTCTTGGGGCTATGGCAAGCACCCCTGGACAAGCAGGAAGAGAGGTGGTGGAGGCATGTCTCACGGTAGCATCTCCTTCTAGGTCCTAATGGGACACTTCATTAATGGAACTACCATTTAAGTGAGTTTAAACTGGATGCTTCTGATTGAGCCCCAGAGCCAGTGCTCCACTGCCACCACCTGCACCCTCACTTCCCCTTGTTTAAGCATCTTCCAACCCAGTAAGGCTGAAGAGGGAAGCATCCTGCCTTCCCACTTCTCTTAGCAGAGTAGATTGATATGATTATTCAGATTGTACAAGAATCTATTCCCTCTGAAGTATTGCTTGATGAATGAGCCCCTTTTTCTAATTTGCTCAAAGAAATCATTTGAGCTTGAGGAAAACTGTCCAGAGGGCACGAGGACCAGCCGTTGTGATATGTAACAAGGTAGAGAAACAAAAGCTAAATGAAGAAGAGTGAGCCTCAGAATCAAAGAACTGGATTTGGATCCCTTTAAACCATTTTACAGGGGCCTGAATGTAATTAACTTCTCTGAAATTCAGTTTCCTTATCAATATGCTGGTGATAAGTGACTATTGTTTGAAGACAGCATAAGCAAAGCATGCAGTACTTAGGAGATGTGTTCTTCCTTCAATTCCTCTATTATTAAAAGATGGGCACAGGGCAGGGGCTTCAGCTCAGAAGGCCTTGTTGAGAATGGAATGGAGAGCAGGAACAAGAGAGAGGGGCAAAGGCATTGCCAGCATTCTCTGTTCGGCTGTTCTCCACCCACTGCCTTTCCTCCTGCTTCCCTCTAAGTCCAGGGCATTTTCCCTTTTGATAAACTTCCCCTTTTACAACCCATCCAAGGGTGAAAAACAAAGTCATTACTTTTTTTTCAGTACCTCTAAGGCAAAGCAGCAGAAACAGGCAGTCACCACTACGAATAAGTGACTACAACAAGAGCTAGGCCAAACTCTGCCATGTGGGCTGCATTTTATTGGGCCGGCAAGTAACTTTAAATCCCAGCTCACACTCTACTGAGTGAAAGTCTGATGAACCCGCATCTTCTTGTGAACAACTGCGCCTGAGATCAGTCATGCAAGAAGTAGCACCCCCACCCCCAGACAACTAACTTCCCAGGCTGTGACCAACAAGCAGCCAAGAGGCCAGGACAGGGAAGTCTCAGGACCTTTCTAGGAAATCAATACCTTTCTCTGGGTTTGTTCTGCCTGAAATAATACCAATCTCCCTCCAACAGCTTAGCATGTGTGGAGCATTTGATACTAACAGCAACCCTGCAAGGCAGGAAGGCAGTAGGGAGAGGCCCAAGAGGAATTCAGCATTAAGGCAGTGAGACTGACAGAGGGGACCCCCTGAGGACATTCTGGAAGGTCTTAGCCAGGGCCAGGATGCAGACCCTTCATGTCACTGTAGCTGAGACGAGGTGCAAGGTTCACAGCATATAACCTAATTTTATTACAAGAATAAAGACTCAGAGTTTAAATACTCCTGCTTTGGGGCTCATTAGTAACAAGTTCTCCAATATTCAAAAGGCAAAGTGGATGTGTTTTAGTGTAAAATTAACACTAGCTGCTGTAACAAATAAGCCCCCAAACATATGATATCTCAAACACCGTAGGTTTATTTCTCACTCACATCAGAGTCAAAATGGATGTTTCTAACCTGCAGCTGGGGCTTCTCCCAGCAGTATTAGGGGCACTTTCCATCTTGTGGCTCCACCGTCTGTAATGCAGGACTCCAAGTGGTGGAAGAGGACGGAGCAGAGGAGTCACACATGGGTGTGTGTCTGGCCCAGGGTGGAAGTGGATGTGCATTTCTTCTGCCCACCTCACTCACAAGGCCACACCCCACTGCAAGAGAGGCTGGAGAATGCGGACTGGATTTAAACCCAAGAAGAAGAAATGGTTTTCTGAATAGTTGGCCATTTACTGACACAAAAAGGGTCAAAGTGACTTGCAGAGGAGATGAATTTTAAATACTATAATTATTTCCTTGGCTGCCCTTTAGACAGAATTTATTTCTTTTTCTTTTCCAGTTAAACCTGAGGCTCCTTTTGACCTGAGTGTCGTCTATCGGGAAGGAGCCAATGACTTTGTGGTGACATTTAATACATCACACTTGCAAAAGAAGTATGTAAAAGTTTTAATGCACGATGTAGCTTACCGCCAGGAAAAGGATGAAAACAAATGGACGGTATGTAGTTCAACTACATTAATAAAATAAAAACTTATGAATGTTTTCTATTTTGTTGGCCTAGTAGTGCATTTCCCCTGGGAGGGCCCAACAATTTTGCTTTCAAAATCTACCTTCTACTGAAAGAATCTCCCAATATTGGCCCCATGAAAACCTGGATCTTCCCTGATGCATACTCTTCTAGCTCTGGTTGTTTTCTTCTGCTCTAATTTTGGTCTTCAGAATGTTTCTACATTAGTGAGTTGGATAACAATATAGATTGAGGCCAAATTAATCCTCTGTATTCAGGGGCCTCAAAAAGTGTCATGTCTAGTGCCACTTTCATAGGCAAATCAGGCAAAATGTATATCTGCTTATGATCACCAAGTCGTAGCCACATTCTGGCTTATGAGATTCATGGGACCAGCATGAGGTAAAGAAAAGAGGCATAATGTTTGCCTTTGTTTTGTTTTTATTTTAAAGCCCAAGGTCTTTGTTTTTGAAGTAACAGCTTAATTTTTACCCTTCATAATCAGGAGAGTTACTTAGATGCTCTCTTCATGATTTGTTGAGGTTGGAATGATTTGGCAGTCCCTGAAATTTATTTTGGGGAGGAGGTGGCAGAAGAGTGGAGTGTACCAGGTTATGAGATTTCTCTTAACCCACCAACCTAACTTCTGTTCTTTCTGCACCTCAGAGATGAAGAAGAGATGATGATTTCTCTTCCTCAAGTCCTTCTTATTCTTGCTGTCCTGTTTTTTCAGGCCAAGATTGGCCTTGTTTGTTTGCAGTGTGATGCAAGATGCCACTTGCATAAATGTAACAACTGCCCCAAACCACCTGCTCCCTCCTTCTACTCACCCACCCCACCCTTGATCCTGCCATCTTTCATTATTCATCTGAAAATTGCACCAATTGAAAAGCAACTTAGTGGAGAAAGGAAGGATTATGAATAAATGCTGCCAGGACAATTAGTTAACTAAAAAGAAAAATAGATAAATTCAATAAATACATGAATTTTTTTGAGATGGAGTCTTGCTCAGTCATCCAGGTTGGAGTGCAATGGCGCCATCTTGGCTCACTGCAACCTCCGCCTCCCGGGTTCAAGCAATTCTCCCATCTCAGCCTCCCAAGTACCTGTGATTACAGGCACCCGCCATCATGCCCGGCTAATTTTTGTATTTTTGTAGAGCTGGGGTTTCACCATGTTGGCCAGGCTGGTCTTGAACTCCTCACCTCAGGTGATCTGCCCACCTCAGCCTCCCAAAGTGCTGGGATTACAGGCATAAGCCAACACGCCAGCCAAAAATTGTTTTAATTAAAAAAAATTAAACTAAATGCCTAGCCACCTTCATATAACAACAACAAAATACCAGATGATTTAAGGAAATTATATAAAAGTGAAACTCTAAACAAATTAGAAAAATTATAGCCAAATGTTTACATAATCTTGACATGAAGAAGAACATTCTAAGCATCAAAGCTGTAGAAGAAAAGAAAGGATTGAGACATGCAACTACATAAAAAGTGGAGGTTTATATATGTCAACACACACAATAATCAAAAATCAAAAATGCAAATTTAAAAGTAAGCTTAAATTGCCACATAAACAGCTGATAGATGGTTAGTATCATTAATAGATAAAGGACTCTTATAAATCATTAAAAAAACAAATATCACAATAGAAAAATGAGCAAAAAAATTGGGAAAAATCTCATAAAGTATGGAATAGATAAATTCAATAAATATATGAAAATGAACTAATTATCAAATAAATACAGATATAAATAGCAATGGACTTCTTTTTATCTGTCAAATTGATAGAGTGGTTTTTTTTTAATCTTAAAGATAATACACTGTGTGGTGGAGACTTTTGTCTCTTTATCACTATTCACAATGTAAAATGGCGTCTTTCTGGAGAGAAATGATTCCTGCTCACTAACCTAACCTAACCTTTCATCTCCCCTTAATATGTGAAAGGATAGAGAGAAAAGAAGAAGATATTGAAGTGTGGAAAGGGAGATCCTGGGCAGTGCCTAACTCACCTGAATAAGACCCATCATTTCACTCTCCTCCTTGACCACTCACAACATCCTTTATAAGCTCAGATTCTGTCCCTAATTTTGCTGTTGACTCCTTTACGTATCAGAGCTCCTTATTCTAACAAATACGAGACAACTTCAGAGAATGCTTATGGGACTAAAGGAATCCCAATTGAAATGATTTGGGAGATTTAGGCAACACCTCTTTTCCCATCCTAAGAATGTAACTGCACTCTACTCTCTAGCATGTGAATTTATCCAGCACAAAGCTGACACTCCTGCAGAGAAAGCTCCAACCGGCAGCAATGTATGAGATTAAAGTTCGATCCATCCCTGATCACTATTTTAAAGGCTTCTGGAGTGAATGGAGTCCAAGTTATTACTTCAGAACTCCAGAGATCAATAATAGCTCAGGTAAGGAATGGTGGTAGAGTTTTTGTTCCCTCAGAGTGCTTTGCATGTCAAAGTGTGGGAGCAAGTGAGAGGAAGATTGTTGAAACTAACCTGCAAAATAGGACACCCTTGGAGGGCACTCTTACACTTTCTTTGGAGAATGACTTGCCTGCTGTCTTTGCGCCTTTTGTGAAGAACAAGGAAGCAGAGGGAGTGGGGTCCTTATTAGCTGAGAATTAGTACAAGCCATCTGTATTCCTGGAAGCTGCCATACATTTTGAACAAAATCCCCACCCACTACGTCCAGTTAACCAATTTAGCCTGGGACCCCAATGGCTGCTGTCTCTAAGGCCCCTTTAAGAAGCACCTTTATTGGTGTCAGGTATGCAGGCAAGTGCGGCTGTCCTATGTCTCCTTTTCCAGAAGGATGAAGATGTCTTTGGGACTGGAACTGAGAATGTGTAGGAACTGAGACATCTCCTCCCTAAAATTTGCAACAGGGGTGAACATCCCTCTCATCATCTCCTGCTCTGGCTTCTTTTCCTTGGTAGAAAGTCAAGAAGGGAAGAGAGCATTGGTACCTTTGATGCTAGATCACGTTTACATTTCAAGTGGCAGATGCTCTGGGCCTGGTCACCCAAGTCAATGCCTTTTAAACCAAAATCCCTCCATAAAGCTGTCAAATATGTCTCTTAACTGAAAAGCAACTTTCAGGAAATAATAAGTGGGCCCACATTACTAAGTAAATGCAAAGCACCCTGAGACCCTACCCCCACTGCATGGCTACTGAATGCTCACCACAATCTATTCTTGCTTTCCAGGGGAGATGGATCCTATCTTACTAACCATCAGCATTTTGAGTTTTTTCTCTGTCGCTCTGTTGGTCATCTTGGCCTGTGTGTTATGGAAAAAAAGGTGACCTTCTTCAACTAATAAAGAGGGTGATTGTGTGGGATCACGGACAGTCAGAGCTTAAGCCCCATTTATTGATGAGAAAACCACAAAGGGGATTAAGGCATTTCACGAATTTAGTGCCCAGTATCCCTATCTATCCTCAGCGAATTTCCACAGTTAATTTCATAAGAGGCAAAAAGATATTAACTGGACATTAGGCAAACGCTGTCCCCAAAGTAAGAATTCCGTAATGCAATGTTTCCCAAGCTTTTCTTCCAGTATCTCCTAAAGGTTGCAGAAGCCATCATTCATGGCAAATGCACAATGTACTTGAAGTCTTGACTTTAAGCATATAAATTCATGGGATTTTTTATACTAATCCATGCTAAGGCTATGTTTGTTTCATCATAAAAATGATGTTTTAAACATGCACTTGTTAAATTACTTACTATTCTAGGAGAATGCCCTTGGCAGAAGGCTACATATCCCCAGGATTACAAATACCCTAATTTGAAAAGTACTGCCTGGAAAGTACTAAGCAATTTCCCTGGGTAATTTGAAAATATTCCCCCACTTCCACCAAAATTAGCTGCCAGAGTTGCTGTCAGTAAAGAGAAGAAATAAAAAGACAACACTTAAATTGGGAGTAAACAACGGGGTTAAATTTACTTCCATAGCTGCACCAAAATTACCTCCTTGCAAGCCTTGGTGTTCCTTCCCTCTAGGGCTTTTTCCCAGAGGTATATTATTGTCATGTCTTGTTCACAGAATGGATTGATATCTGTGGTCTCTGGTCCAACCCCTCCTTGAATTGATAGGGCCCCGAGGCCCAGAGAAAGCCAGTCTCTTGACCATGGTCACCCACCTAATTGTGTTAGAGCCAAGACTAGAAATCTGTTCTTCTGATTCCAAGCTCAGAATAAGTGGGAAGACTCAGTGTGCCTGTGCCCTCTGCCATTCACTTCATCTATCAATGTTCTCTGATTTCAGGATTAAGCCTATCGTATGGCCCAGTCTCCCCGATCATAAGAAGACTCTGGAACATCTTTGTAAGAAACCAAGAAAAGTGAGTGTTTTTGGTGCTTAAAAAGTGTTGTGTTGGCAACATCCCAGTGGCCAAGAATGATATTCCAGGACAAGGAACAGTTGAACCTCACCTTTTGGTATTTGATTCATCCTGTAACTAGGGTCCCTCCTAAGACCCTAGCTGCAGTAGGGAACTGAAATAAGATACACATCTCAGAACTTCTGGGCTCCCTGGGGCTGGAGGGCACAGCCAGTGGTCACTTCAAGTCTTGAAGTGTCTCAGAAGCTCCAGAAGCAAAGAGTCCATTGAGGAACATGCTGGCAATTCTGTGACATTCCCTGTCAGAAAACTCTATAGACCTACTCCTGAACTGAACATTTGATGGTGTGTCTCTCTGGTGCCATCTTAATACCCTTTCTCCTTTTTCTGTGCAGAATTTAAATGTGAGTTTCAATCCTGAAAGTTTCCTGGACTGCCAGATTCATAGGGTGGATGACATTCAAGCTAGAGATGAAGTGGAAGGTTTTCTGCAAGATACGTTTCCTCAGCAACTAGAAGAATCTGAGAAGCAGAGGCTTGGAGGGGATGTGCAGAGCCCCAACTGCCCATCTGAGGATGTAGTCATCACTCCAGAAAGCTTTGGAAGAGATTCATCCCTCACATGCCTGGCTGGGAATGTCAGTGCATGTGACGCCCCTATTCTCTCCTCTTCCAGGTCCCTAGACTGCAGGGAGAGTGGCAAGAATGGGCCTCATGTGTACCAGGACCTCCTGCTTAGCCTTGGGACTACAAACAGCACGCTGCCCCCTCCATTTTCTCTCCAATCTGGAATCCTGACATTGAACCCAGTTGCTCAGGGTCAGCCCATTCTTACTTCCCTGGGATCAAATCAAGAAGAAGCATATGTCACCATGTCCAGCTTCTACCAAAACCAGTGAAGTGTAAGAAACCCAGACTGAACTTACCGTGAGCGACAAAGATGATTTAAAAGGGAAGTCTAGAGTTCCTAGTCTCCCTCACAGCACAGAGAAGACAAAATTAGCAAAACCCCACTACACAGTCTGCAAGATTCTGAAACATTGCTTTGACCACTCTTCCTGAGTTCAGTGGCACTCAACATGAGTCAAGAGCATCCTGCTTCTACCATGTGGATTTGGTCACAAGGTTTAAGGTGACCCAATGATTCAGCTATTTAAAAAAAAAAGAGGAAAGAATGAAAGAGTAAAGGAAATGATTGAGGAGTGAGGAAGGCAGGAAGAGAGCATGAGAGGAAAGAAAGAAAGGAAAATAAAAAATGATAGTTGCCATTATTAGGATTTAATATATATCCAGTGCTTTGCAAGTGCTCTGCGCACCTTGTCTCACTCCATCCTGACAATAATCCTGGGAGGTGTGTGCAATTACTACGACTACTCTCTTTTTTATAGATCATTAAATTCAGAACTAAGGAGTTAAGTAACTTGTCCAAGTTGTTCACACAGTGAAGGGAGGGGCCAAGATATGATGGCTGGGAGTCTAATTGCAGTTCCCTGAGCCATGTGCCTTTCTCTTCACTGAGGACTGCCCCATTCTTGAGTGCCAAACGTCACTAGTAACAGGGTGTGCCTAGATAATTTATGATCCAAACTGAGTCAGTTTGGAAAGTGAAAGGGAAACTTACATATAATCCCTCCGGGACAATGAGCAAAAACTAGGACTGTCCCCAGACAAATGTGAACATACATATCATCACTTAAATTAAAATGGCTATGAGAAAGAAAGAGGGGGAGAAACAGTCTTGCGGGTGTGAAGTCCCATGACCAGCCATGTCAAAAGAAGGTAAAGAAGTCAAGAAAAAGCCATGAAGCCCATTTGGTTTCATTTTTCTGAAAATAGGCTCAAGAGGGAATAAATTAGAAACTCACAATTTCTCTTGTTTGTTACCAAGACAGTGATTCTCTTGCTGCTACCACCCAACTGCATCCGTCCATGATCTCAGAGGAAACTGTCGCTGACCCTGGACATGGGTACGTTTGACGAGTGAGAGGAGGCATGACCCCTCCCATGTGTATAGACACTACCCCAACCTAAATTCATCCCTAAATTGTCCCAAGTTCTCCAGCAATAGAGGCTGCCACAAACTTCAGGGAGAAAGAGTTACAAGTACATGCAATGAGTGAACTGACTGTGGCTACAATCTTGAAGATATACGGAAGAGACGTATTATTAATGCTTGACATATATCATCTTGCCTTTCTTGGTCTAGACTGACTTCTAATGACTAACTCAAAGTCAAGGCAACTGAGTAATGTCAGCTCAGCAAAGTGCAGCAAACCCATCTCCCACAGGCCTCCAAACCCTGGCTGTTCACAGAACCACAAAGGGCAGATGCTGCACAGAAAACTAGAGAAGGGGTCATAGGTTCATGGTTTTGTTTGAGATTTGTTGCTACTGTTTTTCTGTTTTGAATTTTCTTCTTTGTTCTGTTTTTACTTTATTTAGGGGGACTAGGTGTTTCTGATATTTTAGTTTTCTTGTTTGTTTTGTTTTGTGTTGTCTGTGAATGGGGTTTTAACTGTGGATGAATGGACCTTATCTGTTGGCTTAAAGGACTGGTAAGATCAGACCATCTTATTCTTCAGGTGAATGTTTTACTTTCCAAAGTGCTCTCCTCTGCACCAGCAGTAATAAATACAATGCCATAATCCCTTAGGTTTGCCTAGTGCTTTTGCAATTTTCAAAGCACTTCCATAAGCATTCCTTCCACCTCCTTGATAGGCATTTATGGAAAGCCTGCTACATGTCAATCATACTGTTAGGCACAGGGGACCTAAAGACACATAAAAGGATGGCATTCTGCCTCATAAATTGCAAAACCTAATGAAAGTGACTGCTTGGTAAACAAATTATTATTATATTATAAAATGCTATAAAAGAGCCATATTGAAAGTGCCCTGTTGGAGACAGGGCAAATGCCACAAAAATGATGTAAATTTACATGGAGGAAAAGTAGAATCTGCCTGGTTTGTAGGCAGCAGAAGACATTTTTCATCAGTGGGCAGGTGTTCTTTACCTTTTGTAGAAATGGGAGTCAAGTCTCAAATAGGAGGCTCCACAAAATCTCATGCCAGGTCTCTGATACCTTATTCACAGAAGTTCTTTGAAGTATTTATTGTTATTTTCTTTGACTTATGGGAAAACTGGGACACAGGAAGACAGGTAAATTACCCAACCTCACACGTTAAGTCAGAACTGGGAGCCATAATTTTGTATCCCTGGTATAAATAGACAATCTCTTGAAGAAATGAAGAGATGACCATAGAAAAACATCGAGATATCTCCAGCTCTAAAATCCTTTGTTTCAATGTTGTTTGGCATATGTTATCTTTGGAATTTAGTGTCTGAGCCTCTGTCTGTTACTGTAGTATTTAAAATGCATGTATTATAATCATATAATCATAACTGCTGTTAATTCTTGATTATATACCTAGGGACAATGTGTAATGTAAGATTACTAATTGGTTCTGCCCAATCTCCTTTCAGATTTTATTAGGAAAAAAAAATAAACCTCCTGATCGGAGACAATGTATTAATCAGAAGTGTAAACTGCCAGTTCTATATAGCATGAAATGAAAAGACAGCTAATTTGGTCCAACAAACATGACTGGGTCTAGGGCACCCAGGCTGATTCAGCTGATTTCCTACCAGCCTTTGCCTCTTCCTTCAATGTGGTTTCCATGGGAATTTGCTTCAGAAAAGCCAAGTATGGGCTGTTCAGAGGTGCACACCTGCATTTTCTTAGCTCTTCTAGAGGGGCTAAGAGACTTGGTACGGGCCAGGAAGAATATGTGGCAGAGCTCCTGGAAATGATGCAGATTAGGTGGCATTTTTGTCAGCTCTGTGGTTTATTGTTGGGACTATTCTTTAAAATATCCATTGTTCACTACAGTGAAGATCTCTGATTTAACCGTGTACTATCCACATGCATTACAAACATTTCGCAGAGCTGCTTAGTATATAAGCGTACAATGTATGTAATAACCATCTCATATTTAATTAAATGGTATAGAAGAACACTTTGTGGCATGCCTGTTTTCTCTGGAAACTGTGGTTAGACGGATTCCCAGAATGGACCACACATCTCTTCAGCTCCTGAAAACTCACCTCCCCATGAGTCCATGGAAAAAATTGTCTTCCACAAAACCAGTCCCTGGTCCCAAAAAGTTTGAGAACCACTGCACTAGAAGACAGCCTACTAGTGGTTAAGTCTCAATGTGTCAATGTATTTAACAGAGAGAACAGAGAGTGTTGCTTCACTCAACAGGTGGTTCAGTGGAAGCCCTGCATGGACACCTATTTCACTTGATATACCTAGTCCCTGCAGTCTGCAGAGTAGTGGCTGGAAATTAGGCTTGGCAGAATTGGTGGGGGCCAATGATTAAGCATTTGGCATGCCAGCCTAAGAAGTTGTCATCTATTTTGCAGAAAATAGAGGGGCTTGGCAGGATTTTAATCAGGAATGTGATGTGAAATATATATTTTCTGTGCATGTGTGTATCAGGTTTTAGGAAGGAATCTTAATTCAGTAGGATATAAATATAAAATAATTCTGGCATTTCTTTAATTACTTATCTCCAAAGATGCTCCACTGAAAATCCCTTTCTGAAGTAGATTCCTTTAAGTGACCAAAGCTTAATTCATCTAGTTTTAAGATGCAGTCTTATATTCTAACTAAAGCCACACACACCCTATCATAAGCTTGTGGTGAGGGGAACTTGGAAAGAAAGGAAGATAATAGCTTCTGTTCTCTTGACTCCTCCCCCTTCTTGGCCTCTTCCTCCTCTCTTCTTCCTCCTCTTTCCCTTTCCCCTCCCCCTTCCTACTTTTTCTTGTTCTTGTTCTTCCTCTTCTTCCTTCTTTCTTTTTCTAACAGCTTAAAACACCACACATTTCCTATCTCACAACCTCTGCGGGTCAGAAGTCTGGGCATGGCTTAGCTGAGTCCTCAGCAAGGCTGCAATCAAAATGTTGGCCCAGGCTTGCTTCTCTTCCAGAGGCTCCATTGGCAATGGGTCCGTTTCCAAACTTACTTAGGTTATAGTAGAATTTATTTTCTTGTGCTTGTAAAACTGAGTGCTCCAGCTTCCTGATAGCTCTCACTCTCGGCTCCTAAAGTTCACCCACAGCCTCCTGTCATATGACCCTCTTCATAAGCTTTTGTGTTTTTGTTTGTTTGTTTGTTTGTTTGTTTTGACAGAGTCTTGCTCTGTTGCCCAGGCTGCTGGAATGCAGTGGCACCATCTCAGCTCACTGCAACCTCTGCCTTCCAGGTTCAGGAGATGCCCTGCCTCAGTCTCCCAAGTACCTGGAATTACAGGTGCACACCACCATGCCCAGCTAATTTTTGTATTTTTTGTAATGGAGATGGGGTTTCGCCATGTTGGCCAGGCTGGTCTCAAACTCCTGACCTCAGGTGATCCACCCGCCTTGGCCTCCCAAAGTGCGGGGATTACAGGCGTGAGCCACCGTGCCTGGCCCATAAGCTCTCTTTCAACAAAAGCTTGCTTCTTCAAAGCCAGCAAGGGAGAGTGAGTCTACCAGCAAAATGGTGTCTTATATATGTGATATGACCACAGGCGTGACATTCCATCATCTTGCCATATTCTTTTGGTTAGAAGCAAGTCAGAAGTCCCATCCATACTCAAGAGGAGGGGATTATATAAAGACAAGATTTTCAGGAGTTGGCGATCGCAGGGGCCACATTAAAGCCTGTTTGACACACAAGCTAACTCAGTCATGCCGTTTTTAGTTCAGTCTCTTATTAAATCTTTAGTCAAATTCAGATTTCTTCTCCTCCCATTCTCCTGAGAGTTTTAGATACACGGTGCTATGAATTGAGTTGTGTCCCCCCAAAATTCATATGTTGAATTCTTAACATGCAATAGCTCAGAATGTGACTTTATTTGGAGATAGTTTCTTTAAATAGGTAATCAATTTAAAATGTCATTAGGGTGCAGCATAATCCAGTATGACTGGTGTTCTTATAAAAAAAAAAAGGAAAATTTAGAGACAGACATGCACATAGGGAAAACATCATGTGAAAAATGAAGGCAGAGATCAGGGGTGATATTTTTAAAAGATAATAAGTATCAAAGATTGATAGAAAATCATCAGTAGCTAAGAAAGAGGCATGGGACAGATTCTCCCCCACAGCTCTCAAAAGGAATCAACCCTGCTGGCACCTTGATCTCAAACTTCTAGGCTCCAGAACGGTGAGACAATAAATCTCTTGTTTAAGCCACTCAGTCTGTGGTGCTTTGCTATGACAGCCCTAGAAAATGAATGCACATGGTACTGGGAGAAGGAATCTGGGGCCATGTGACTTCTTTGGACTCCCCTGAGCTCTAGCCTTCCTGTCTTGTCTGTGGATGGTATCCCGTGTTGTGTCTACTGCTAATGTGTCAGGGCCCATCATGTTCCTTTGAATGTGGATGATCCACATCCTGTCTATTAACTGGGTCTCTATGTGTTGTCCAGGAAGCTTCTTTCAGCCTCTAGACTTCTCTGCCTCTTCAAGCATGGGAAGTAGTTGGATCAAATTTCCTCTTTAGAATGATCCCCCTGGTGAAGGAAGAGAATAGGTCATATGACAGCTAGACTAGAGCCAGGACAGATGGACTTTTGTGACCTCTATGCCCGCTTAGGGGATGCCACATCAGGTCCAAGGTGAGCCTGAGGCTAAGGCCAAGTTGGTCTTTGTGCCACCTTTATCTCCTTGTCAGAAAAGCTCTTCCTTCTTTTCTGCCACCCTTCCATCTACCAGTACTTACTAGTTACTAAATATCTGAATATCTGTTTCATTCCAACAAGAACATAGATAGTAGAACTTGTGGGGCTCCAGGGAAATCCCTAGGCCCTGGAAAGAGAAGCTTGCAGTTAATAGCTTTCTGGGTGTCTTCTTACTGATTGGCTGAGAGTTAGATAAGCTAGAGCTTGAGTGAAGGGCTTTTATCCTTTTCCTCCACCTCCACAACATCTTATAATATGGAATCAGCCAGCCTGCCTGTCCCAAGGCCTTTGCTCTTGCCGCTCTCTCCATCTGAAACGTGGTTTCTCTGGATCTTTGTGTGGCTGGCTCCTTCTTATTATCCAGGTCCTAGCTTCTACGTAACCTCCACAGAAGTGGTCATTCTAATGAAAACAAGACCCTCCTCCTGATAGTCTCTATCATGCCTCCCTGTTTATTTCCTCCAAAACTCCTTCCTCAATATTAACTACCAATTATTAATCACTAATTCATTACTAATTATTAATAATTTATTTTTGATGATTGTTCTTATTGCCTCTCTCTGATTCTAAAATTCAAGTTCCATGCAAGTTCCACTTCCTATATTATTCTTGGAATAAAACAAATATTTAGTAAGTACTGGTAGATGGAAGGGAGGAAGAAAAGGAAGAGCTATTCTGACAGAGAAAGATGGCACAAAGAACCACTTGGTCTTAGTCTCAGACTCACCTTTGACCTGGTTGTGGTGTCCCCTAAGTGTGTACAGCAGTCACAAAAGTCCATCTGACCCTGCCCTAGTCTGGCTGTCATATGACCTATCCCCCACCCCCACTGCGAGTATCTTTCTAAAGAGGAAATCTGATCAAGCTACCTCCCTAACTAAAATCCCTTAGTGGCTTTCCAGCATGGCACGTGACATAGCTTGGATTCTTGTCCCCATCCAAATCTCATGATAAAATATAATCCCCAGTATTGGAGGTGGACCCTGGTGAGAGCACCATCCCCTTGGTGCTGTCCTCTCAAGAGTGAGTGAGATCTCACAAGACCTGGTTGTTTTAAAAGTGTGTGGCACCTCCTCCCACCCTTGCTCCTGCTTTCACCATGTGATGTGCCTGCTCCCCCTTTGCATTCCACCATGATTGTAAGTTTCCTGAGGCCTCCTCAGAAGCCAAGCAGATCTTAGCACCATGCTTCCTGTAAGCCCTGCAGAACCATGATCCAACTAAGCCTCTTTTCTTTATAAATTATCCAGTCCCAGGCATTTATTTATAGTAATGCAAGAACGAACTAACACAGCATGGAAGGCTCTTGATGATCTAGTGTATTACTTTCTTGTGGCTCCTGTAATAAATTATCACAAACTTAGTGGCTTAAAACAATACAAATTTATTTATTCTCCTGCAGATCAGGCATCAGAAGTCCAAAATCAGTCTTCTGGGGCAAAAATCCAGGTGTCAACAGGGCTGTGATACTTCTGAAGACTGCAGGGAGAATCCGTTTTCCAGCTTTTTTCATCCACCAGAGGCCACCTGTATTCCCTATCCCACAACCCTAGCCCCTTCCTCTATCTTTGAAGTGGACTATTTCATCCCCTGTTTCTATCATGACAGTGCCTTCTCTCATATTGACCCTCTTGCCTTATAAGATTCCTTGTGATTACACTGGGTCCACCTGCATAATCAAGGCTAATCTCTCCATCTGGAGATCTTAATATAATCACATCTACAAAGTCCCTTTGGCCATTGAAGTAACATATTTATATGTTTTCATTATTAGGATGTGGGACACTTTGTCAGGGACAGGGATTTTTCAGCCTACCTTTTTTCTTCACCTTTTGCCACCACTCTCAGCCTGTGGTCTCAATTGCCAGCCTTTACACTTGCTACCCCCATTGTCTGGGTAGTTCATACCAGTCCCTCAAGACTAGCCTCAGGCATTGCCTCTTCTGGGAATACATCCTCTTACAGGCCAGGATATGACTCATGGGTGCATTCCTAATAGCACTTCACTTATTTCTACTGTCACCACACTGATCTGTAATTACTTGATTTGTCTGACTCTTCTGGGGGCTTGTAAGCATTCTGGCACAGAGAACTATGACTTACTGGGGCTTACATCTCTTGCTAAACACAGTACCTAAAATTTAGTAGGCATTCCCTCATAAACATGAATGAATGAATCAAAGAATGAATAAACATTTAGGAAATGATGTTGTGTTGGTCAACTTCTTTCCTCATCACTGTTAAAGATAAAAGAATGCCAAGCCAGGTTGTTCAGACAGAAGCAAGCACCACATCCCTGAGAGAGCAGCACATCTGGGCAGCCATGTGTGAGAAGTCGGTTGCATTCCCCATACACAGTTGTCTTTGCAGCTGTACTCTTAACCACTGTAACCACAGAAGTGGGGAAACAATAGGGTGGGGTGAAGTGAAAAGAAAATTTTCCAAAACTTCATTTATCTAATAAATACAGATATTTAATTGTGTTTTTTCAGTTATTTAATTTTAGATTCATATGAAATTCTACCCTAATTTCTGAATTTTAATGGCTTGTGGCATTTGTGTGGGCATTTGTGTGTAGCTTGCAATGACACAGCTGTTCAGACAAAGAAAGTGTGATGCACAAAACCTATGAGGTCCAAGGAACACATTCATGCTCCTCAAGACTCAGGTAAAAGTAGTGAAGCAAACAATATGCAAAGCCCCTGAGGATTGAAAAATAAGGCTTACATACTGAATTGTGCTGAAACACTTGAGTTCATCTGGAGGGCCTCTCAATGGTAAATTGTTAGAACCAATTTGCCTTTACCCTAAGTAAAGATTTTTCATCAAGAAGAGGTGGAAAACTTACAGAGACTGAAAAGGACCCTCTTTTTATGATAAATTAGTTCCTGCAAAGTATGAACTGCACTAGTCATGACACAAAAACTATGCAGAATAATCAGAAAACATTTTATTATTAAGCTTATCCACTGATAGACTGAAATATTACTTTTAGAGCCTAAGAAAGCATTAATTTAATTAGAGCTTCAGTAAATGCTATAGTGTCAGACTGATAAACCTGTTTGCTACATAATTATAAACTTTCATGAATTTCACAGTGTGAAGTTCAAGTGTGAAGTTGCCAGTGTAGAACTGAATGATGCTTAAAGCTTTATTTTCTCAAATAAAAAATTTTAATAAAATAAGAGCAGATAAGCTAGGGTCATGCTCAGTGGTGAAATTTTAAAAGTACTCCATTATATTGAAGGATAAGACAAAAGAAATTCTATTGTCACTTCATTTAACATGGTTTTAGAAATTCTAAGAAATTCAATTAAACAAGAAAACACAGTAAAAAGCATAAATATTGAATAGGAGAAAATTAAATCGTCATTATTGGCAGATAAAATTATTGTATATATGGAAAACACAAGAGAATCAAGTAGAAAACACACTACAAGACACAGATACTTTATTAAGGTCTCCGCTTACAATATTCTCATGTTTATTTTTTTTAATTCTTATGGAATCTTTACAACTAAACTATTATTTGGTTGTGTCCTCAAATTAAAAAAAGATAGACATGTAATGTATCAAGTTGAAGATGTCACTTTCTAATCACACTCTTCAGGAATAGTCACATTTAATAAGTGACATTTAGGCTTCCAGATGCTCTTCTGTGCATACACTATTATTCTAAATATCTTGCAGAGAAATAAATGTTGGAGAATAGCCTGCACAATTCCAGAGAAGAAAAGAATTGTGAAGCAACTAACCATTCACGTGGTTTTAAAATTTGATTCAGCAGGAATTCACAGAACTATCAATGGTATAAAACAGAGAATCTGCAAGTCCAGATCTATGTAATTACAAAAAATTCATCCATTTCTAATCAGTAGGGTTAAAGTGGATTATTTAGCAAATAAGATTGGAATAACACACTAGCCATTTGCAAATGAAGAAAGGTAACTGACTTCTTATTTCAAAATAAATTCCACATAACTCAAAGATATAAATAATTTTTAAAATAAAAACAAATGCTAGAATACATGGATCAATCATTTCATATTTTTTGGATGCAAAAAGCGTTTCTAGATAAAACGTAAAACCTAAAAGCCATAAAAGGAAAAGATTGATATGTTTGACTAGATAAAATTTAGAATGCTGGTAATTTCTTTACTAAATTTTAAAAAGTCACAACCAAAAGAAAGATAAAAATAGACTGGAGAAAGACAGTAACACTATGACAAGCAAACTTCTGTTATCCTTATAAGACCCCAGAGTCTTACAAGTCAGCAAGCAAAAGATGAAGAGCCCAAGAAGGAAATGAACACAGCACATTAACAGAAGGCTCACAGGAGAAATAAAACAAACTTTAAAAATAGGAAAATGTGCGTAATCTCATTCTGAATAAACAATGCTGATAAAATGAATGAGATAAATGCTTTGCCCATTAAATTGTGAAAATTATAAAGATCACTAAATTTCAGTGCTGAGAAGGGCATAGGAAAATGGGCTTTATCATATACTGTTAATAGGAATGTAAATTAGGACAATTTGGAAATATATAACAAAAATTTTAATGTGTATACCTAGAAATTCTATGTATAAAATATCTATATATTATTTCTTGTAACTAAGAATTCTAAATCTAAATAAATTATAGTATATTCATATTATGGAATACTAACAAAGCCATTAAAAAATTCTTTTAATGTAAAAAAAAATTTCCTTCTTAGACTCTTCATCTTTTGCTTGCTGAATTATAACACTTCGGGTGTTAAGGATAACAGAACTTTGCTTGTCATAATGTTACTATGTTTTTCCAGTTTCTTTTTATCTTTTCTTTTGGTTGTGACTTTTTAAAATTTAGTAAAGAAATTACCAGCATTGTAAAACTAGCACGGTAGTGCTACATATGCTGATAAAGAAAAATGTCTATGTTATTTTGTCAAAAGCTTCTAGCAAGATAAAACTCTCCAAAAGTCTCCATCTTTCTCTTACTCCTTCCCCCTATCATTTCCATGAAAAATCCGAAATGTGCGGTGTATCTATCAGCTATTGCTACATTGATGCTCAACAACAAATCATGCCAAAACTCAGCGGCTTTAAGCAACATTTATTCTCACAAATTGTGTTGAATGATCTAGATTGGGCTCTGCTGGGTGATTCTATGATATTACTAACAGCTAGGATGACTCAGGGATCTGAAACTGAAGGAAAGTTAGCTGGGTTCAGCTGGGAATGCCTCTGTTCCATAAGTTTCCCGTCTTTCTCCAGAGACAAGCAGGCTAACCCAGCTGCCTCTTTTTACAGCAGGGGCATAAGAGGGCAAGCAGAAAAATGCAAGGCTGGCCTACCCATCAATTCCACTTCATTTTATTGGCAAAGAAGATCACATGACCAAACCCAGAATCAAGGAGTGAAGAAATATATTTCCCCTTGGGTAGAAACTTAAAATCACATGGTAAAATAGGTGGATAGGAGAAAGAGTGAAGAGTCAAGCCATTAATGCAATATCTTACAGTCATACATGAGGACAGCTTAGGTTACATTTACAGAAAGACACAAATGTCACCTCCCTATTTGAGGAAGCTCTTCCTATCTCATCCATATTGCAGCAAGACTACAGCCACATGCTTTCCATTACTTTGTGAAATAAGTTTTGTCTATATGTGTATTGAGAAACTTTAGGGAAGAAAAAGTATTTGGGTCATGCGAGGACTTCAATATACATGGATCTGTTAATCTAATAGCAAAATTATAATCATTTCTTACTGAAATTGTTAACATTAAAAAAATACTGTTCTCTTCAGTGTGAAATGGAAGGTTTTCCCTTTTATATGATTGATCCAGTTGAAATCATATGCATATCTTTGGGCCAATAACAGTCACTAGGAAAATGCCATGAACTTATTGGCTTGGAAATGGCTCACCTTTTCCAGAACTGAGAATGAGATGGGTACCTGGTCAAAATAGGGGTGACAAAGAAGGAAGAAACTGAGAATGTTGGAGAAGAAAACAAGAATGTCTATCATCAGAACGAGGGTTTTTTTTTTTTTTAATTAGAGAGAAAAAGAGGGAATATTAGAATGAGAATATGCTTAGAAAAAAGTTTGGAAGGCAGTGCTCCAAAATGTTTTCAGTGGTTATTGGGGAAAAGAATGGGATGGTGGTGGATGCATGAAAGCAGGAAACTTCCTCTTATTTCTTTTGTCTTCTTTTTTTTTGAGGGGGGTAGTATATAGATGTGTATATATGTATACATGCATATATATACATACATATGTATACATATATACATTCATATGTATACATACATATATGGGAGTATACATGTATGCATACATATGTATACATACATATATACATATATATGGGAGTATACATATGTATACATACATATATGTATGTATATATTATTATACAAAATAAAAGTATAAATTATGTATTAATATAACTCTTACTTAGAATTATTATTCTCATTTTTTCTGTAAAATCTAGACTATAATAACCTTGATAGCAAGATTTTCTATTCTAGAGTCATAATCTGATTTCTCCCTTGTGATGTGGATAGTACAACAGTATATTTCAAGATTTCTTATCCTTCAGTATTTTAAGTAATTAATAAATTTCATCACAGTTTATCAAGGCCTTCTTATTATACAAATTGCAGTGACAAATGCTATGGAACAAGATGATACAACATGTTCCTACAAGTCACATCTCTGCTTCTGCACTTTATCTGCTAAACTGTCTTAGTGAAAAATCACATAATGCTGCCAAACGGGGCCCATATAAATTTGTTTTCCTTTATTTGTGCTTGACAGCATTCTTTTCCAATGCCCTCGATAACCATTGTCAAATACACTCACCTTTTACTCTAAGTCTTCCATTGAACCTTGGCCTTTCTCATTCCCAGAAAATAAGTTTGCCTATACTTTGAAAAAATGTAGACCATAACTCATGTTTTTGCTCTCATTTCCTATCTCCATCTGCAAACTCAAAACTGGATAAATTCCTGCCTGCTATTCCCCTAGTCTAAGAACAAGCTAACCCTTCATCTGTAGAAGACCAAACCAACCATTCAATGCCCTTAACTCTATCTCTATCCGTCTCTCTTCCTCCAGAACCTTGCTTCATCAGTCATTTGATCTCTCTTGTTTCTTTGCTTCTATTGTTCTGTTAATTGGCTTTTTAACGTCAACATTTTCCATTGTTTCCAAGTTTCCAGATGTAAACTTCAGAATCATGTCTGCTAGATTGAACTTCCATGAAGAAGTGTGCTATATTTATATGTTCAAGGCTAGATCCCCAGCACTTAAAGAAGTACTCACTGGTAGCACCTAATATTCGATCAATAAATATATATATATTGGTTCAATGAATGAACATCCAACTGCCTATTGGATTTCTCACTTAGATGGACCACAGATATCTCAAAACAGCTCTTCACCTATCCCACTGGCAGCTTTTCAAAGTTGCCGTTTTCCAGGTGTGGTAGAGAAGTTCCCAAAATTCAGTGGACTTAAGGGACTCTGAAAAGAAGGATGACCTGTGTGAACTCAGGTTACACACTTCCCACTCCTTCTGCATTGGCTCTGCTTCATATCCAAGAACAACAGCACAGGCTTAAGTGGAAATCCCAAGAAAGACAGCCTACATTTCTGCCAGCAAGCTTGAATGGGACAAGACTGCAAAATTTGAATGTCGGAGAAAATAAAGTAGTATTTCTTACACATCTGACTAATGGACTGTGATATAAAGATGCATATACACTTAGCAAAAGAGGCACAGAAATGAAAGAGCAAGTCAATTTTGCTGAAAGGTCGAGGAAAGCTTTGTAAAGGCTTTAACTTTTGAATAGGACCTTGAAATATGAGCCAGTTTTGTAAACAGTGATTGAGCTTGTTATTCTATTTCAGCCCCAGCTAAGTGTACTGCAATTCAATCCTGGCACTCACCACCCAGAGTTAGCAACACTCTTACAAGTTAAAGGAAATAATACTCAACAAGACTATTTTTACTTTAGAAACTTTCCTCTTACTTTGGGGGTCCGCAGGCTATCCATACTTCTTCTGCATTAGTCAGTGTTCTGTAGAGAAGTATAATCCATAGTGTGTGTGTATCAGTGGGGAGAGAGAGATACTTATTTTAACAAATTGGCCACATGATTGTGACGGCTGGCAAGTCTGAGATCCGTAGAGCAAGTTGGCCAGCTGGAAATTCAGGTAAGAGCTAATGTTGCAGTTTTGAGTCCAAATTCTGCAGAGCATGCCAGGCAAGGTGGAAACTCTGGCAGGGTTTCTATATTGCAGTCTTGAATTTACAACCAGCTAGTAAGAAGTACAGGTTCCTACAACCTGTACTAATCCTATTAATGAGAGCTCTGCCCTCATCACCTAATCACATGCTAAAAGGCCCCACCTCTTAATACTATCACCTTGGAGGTTAGGAGTTCATCATATTAAGTGTTGTGGGGAAACAAACATTCCAACCATAGCAAGAGGTATATAAAAGCACTGTAAGGAGATAAACATCACCCCCAGGCAGGCAAGACAGGCCAGATCCTGAGTTGTTACAGGTAGTTTGACAAGCAGGAGTGGGGCAGGAGAGGGCTCTCCCCCACCCAGTAGAAACATCAGGTGATGTTTTGGCAATTATCACATTTTCTTTTTGAAAGTGATAAATTGAGAGCCGGCATCAGGGAGAGGCCATTTCCTGATGGTCTACACCTGTTGCTCTAAAGTGTTAATTGAATGCAGAAACCAAGGAGAAGGAACTTCCTGGGCATGCACAGTAAGAGACAAAATGGTGGAGTATGACCTTCCAGGGGCACACCACCAGAAAAGGGAAGAAAGCCTCAGATGGGCATGCATACAACTCCTAAACACACTATGCGTGCTCACCTCCCAAGGGTAAGGAGGGCACTGTTTATGCGGGCAGCTCATCCTAAGGGAAGAATCATGGGAAAGAGGCCAGCCTGCAAAGTCCTAGGATCAAGGTTAAACACGGTACTTGACCTTCAGGTGCCCACTTGGATCTCTTCCAAGTGAACTTTCCTTTCTTTCCTGTTCTAAAGACTTTCTAAATAAACTTCCACTCCTGCTCTGACAATTGCCTTGGTATCTTTTTGCCTTATGCCCCTCAGTTGAGTTCCACCTTCTGAGGAGGCAAGAACTGAAATTGCTACATACCCCTATGGATTCGCCACGGGTAACTAGGCTACCTTGCACTGGTAACATACTGATTTCAATAACATGTATAATCAATGAATCTAAAGTGTCCCTCCCACAAGTAGTTACTCAGCTATGACATGCTGAAAAAGAAAGGTCAGGGAGGACATGTTTATTAGTCCCCTCTAGGAATTTCGGGAAAAGAGTGTTATGGTCTCACTGGCAAGATGAATGCATTAAACTGTCTGCCTAGTTTCATTAAATATTTAGTCTTCATACCCCTTGTTATAATTCCAGTTACCAAAGAACCTCATAACTATAATTTCTCTTCCAAGAAGAGGTCTGCCTCTACAACAAAAATGTTATTATTTACCATGTGAATAAATAACTTCGTCCTGACTTGTATAATAATGTGTCCGGAATTGGTGGGTTCTTGGTCTCACTGACTTCAAAAATGAAGCCGCGGACCCTTGCGGTGAGTGTTACAGCTCTTAAGGTGGCACGTCTGGAGTCTATCCCTTCTGATGTTCAGATGTGTTTGGAGTTTCTTCCTTCTGGCGGGTTCGTGGTCTCACTGGCTCAAGAGTGAAGCTGCAGACCTTCACAGTGAGTGTTACAGCTCTTAAGGCAGCGCGTCTGGAGTTGTTCATTCTTCCCGGTGGCCTCGTGGTCTCGCTGGGCTCAGGAGTGAAGCTGCAGACTTTCGCGGTGAGTGTTACAGCTCATAAAAGCAGCGTGCACCCAAAGAGTGAGCAGTAGCAAGATTTATTGCAAAGAGCAAAAGAACAAAGCTTCCACGTTGTGGAAGGGGACCCCAGTGGGTTACCAATGCTGGCTCCGGCAGCCTGCTTTTATTCTCTTATCTGGCCCCACCCACATCCTGCTGATTGGTAGAGCCCAGTGGCCTGTTTTGTCAGGGCGCTGATTGGTGTGTTTACAATCCCTGAGCTAGATACAAAGGTTCTCCACGTCCCCAACAGATTAGTTAGATACAGAGTTTCCACACACAGGTTCTCCAAGGCCCCACCAGAGCAGCTAGATACAGAGTGTCAATTGGTGCATTCACAAACCTTGAGCTAAACACAGGGTGCTGATTGGTGTGTTTACAAACCTTGAGCTAGATACAGAGTGCCGATTGGTGTATTTACAATCCCTGAGCTAGACATAAAGGTTCTCCAAGGCCCCACCAGAGCAGCTAGATACAGAGTGTCGATTGGTGCACTCACAAACCTTGAGCTAAACACAGGGTGCTGATTGGTGTATTTACAATCCCTGAGCTAGACATAAAGACTCTCCACATCCCCACCAGACTCAGGAGCCCAGCTGGCTTCACCTAGTGGATCCCGCACTGGGGTTGCAGGTGGAGCTGCCTGCCAGTCCCGCGCCGTTCGCTCGCATTCCTCAGCCCTTGGGTGGTAGATGGGACTGGGCGCCGTGGAGCAGGGGGTGGTGCTCGTTGGGGAGGCTCGGGCCGCACAGGAGCCCATGAAGTAGGTGGGAGGTTCAGGCATGGCGGGCTGCAGGTCCCGAGCCCTGCCCCACGGGAAGGCAGCTAAGGCTCGGTGAGAAATCAAGCACAGCGCTGGTGGGCCGGCACTGCTGGGGGACTCAGTACACCCTCCGCAGCCACTGGCCCGGGTGCTAAGTCCCCCACTGCCCGGGGCCAGCAGGGCTGGCTGGCTGCTCTGAGTGCGGGGCCCACCAAGCCCACGCCCACCCGGAACTCCAGCTGGCCCGCAAGCGCCGCAGGCAGCCCCAGTTCCCGCTCGTGCCTCTCCCTCCACACCTCCCTGCAAGCTGAGGGAGTGGGCTCCAGCCTTGGCCAGCCCAGAAAGGGGCTCCCACAGTGCAGTGGAGGGGCTGAAGGGCTCCTGAAATGCCACCAAAGTGGGAGCCCAGGCAGGGGAGGTGCGGAGAGCAAGCGAGGGCTCTGAGGACTGCCAGCATGCTGTCACCTCTCAATAAGACATAGCTTCAACTCCCCCCAGAAAGGCTTTATGTGGACATAGATTAAAAATTCCTAGGACCCATATTATAGAGGCAATAAAGGACGAGGTGCCTCTGTGTTGTAGCATAAATTTCAAGGCCTTGAATAAAGTCTTGAGGCCCAGGTGACAGGGTTTCTGATTGGAGAGTTGTCACTTTATATAAGTTGTTTACTTGGTTGCTAACATGGCTGAGGATGGAGAGACTTCAGTTTTGCACTCCTCCAAACTGACAAATATCTCACGCCACATGAGCTACTGAGATCACCAAGCATGCACTATAGGCAATGAAGGCTACTACTTCAAGTGGCAGAGATAGCTAGTTGTTGACCAAAATAGTACTTTCTTTCCATGAAGTACAATTTCGTTGGCAAGAAGTTTTCCTGCAAGGACTATTTCTTAGCCACCCCTTCACCGACCTCCACAGTTAGCTGTAATCATGTGACTAGCTACCATCAAATGAAATTCAAGCATAAGTGACCTGTGTCACTTCCAGGCCAAAGCTTTTCAGCAAGCTTTTCAGCATTCTCAACTCCCTGTTCCTCTACAGTCACATGGACTCAGTGACTACAACATCCTAGAAAACAACGGAATCACAAGATGGAGAAAGCCTGAAACTGAAAACCACTACACAGAGGTACTGTTTTATGAATGAAAAATAAATATATAATGTGTTTGAGCTTTTATAAATTGAAATATTTATTTGTTATAGCACATAGCATTATTCTAACATACCATGAATATATCCTCTGTACTGCTTATATCCTCTGTACGTATATCCTCCGTATGGAGAATAAACTATTAAAAGCATCCCTGAACTGAGAACTATGCTGTCATTCTCTCACATCCTCAAATCCAGATCAAGTTCTTTGATCTTATCAGGAAACGTGAGAAGTATATCCTCATTATAGTTGATCAGTGGCTTGACATTCTAGTTTTTGCATCAATTGCTATGAGCTTACTCAACGTAGGTCTTAAAGAGGTGGATCTACTCTTGGAGGGCTGACAGATTCGAATCTTTGATGCTGGAAGGACTCCATCCTAGACTATGAGAAATTCTTCAACTGCAAATGTTATTTTTCATTTCTCTCCTACACATATACACATACCTGGGAGGTACTTTTTTTTTTTCTATTTCTTTCATAAGTTCCCGACTTTAAAGACAAAGGGATAGCCCAGCAATCAAAAAGCACAAACTATTATGGTCAGCCAAAGGTGGGCAAATAATAAGAAAAACACACTGGAAATATACAGGCAGGTATCACTTTACCGCTCGCTACTCAAAAGTGTTATCTGAAGCCAGAGGCATCAACATCATAGAGAAGTTTGCTAGAGGTTGGCTGGGCGTGGTGGCTCACGCCTGTAATCCCAGCACTTTGGGAGGCTGAGGCGGGTAGATCACGAGGTCAGAAGATAAGATAGAGACCATCCTGGCTAACAGGGTGAAACCCCGTCTCTACTAAATATACAAAAAAAAAAAAAAAAAAAAAATTAGCCGGGCGTGGTGGCTAGCACCTGTAGTCCCAGCTACTCGGGAGGCTGAGGCAGGAGAATGGCGTGAACCTGGGAAGCACAGCTTGCAGTGAGCGGAGATCGTGCCACTGCACTCCAGCCTGAGTGATAGAGCAAGACTCCACTCCATCTCAAAAAAAAAATTAAAAAAAATAAGTTTGTTAGAGGCAAAAGTTCAGTCCCACACCCAGACTTCTAAAAAGCAATGGGCAGGTTAACAAGTGATCTATGTGCTCATTAAAGCATGAGAAGCACAGCTTTCACCTTTCATCTATTTTCCCACACTTTTACCCCTTTTCCAAGGTGAACGGTTTATAGGTGTGTGCAATCAAATTAGAGCTGCTTTTGTTACCTAAGAAGCAGTTAATAGAGGAGAGAAATCAGTCAAAAAAACCTGACATCACCTGTCTGGCGAAGGAGCCTAAAAGTGGGTTCAAAACGATGAATTCCCCAAAACAGGTTTAAAGTCCTCCTCTCCAATTTACGCTAAAGCTCCAGAAAGCCTCTGAAGTTTGCAATAGGCACTTCCTTTTTCCCTTGCACTTCCTTTCCTCCTAATAGGTTGAACCAATAAGTGAGACCACGCCATGAAAGCCCAGCCTTCAACCAAGTGGGCCAGCTGAGCTCACCTTCCTTTTCCTACCAGAGGCACTTATGTCCCCTGTTTATGCACATGTGGAAATTTACATTCAAATCTGAAAATCGAAAAACACTCATACATTTCAGAATAAAATAAATCTTCTTTTATTTGTATTCACCAAAATTAAAATAAATAAGTTCAGGACATTTTACACAGTTAGAGGTTCCTCTAATCCCGGTATTATCACCTTCTGCTATGGAGTTCCAAGACTGTAAAGTGAAGGTGTGAGGGAGCAGCTACATTTACACCTATAAGAGGAATATCTATAACAACAAGCAGATTGTTTTACCTAGGAGCCACTTCCCAATATCACTTCATGGTTTTCTTTCTTCCTTTCTCTCTCTCTCCTTCTTTCCTTCTTCCTTCCTTCATGACTTAAAAATATAATCTCAGGCATTGATAAAAATGAACACATTCCAGATAATTAAGTAAGATGACCAAAGATCTATTTATCGCTTTTAAAATTCCAGATCCTTTAGGAAATTTAGTTTACACCTAATCCAAATCCATAGCTTGGAATTCTTTCAGACTTATTCCACTCTGGGAGTCCCTGATTTCCAAAAGAATTAATAGGCAAAATTATAATCTCCAAGATTTTGTCATCATCAAAATGAAATAGGCATCGGTGTCAATAGAAGCACTGACACCTGCATAATAATTCAAAAATTCTTCTTTTGAAACCTGAAGAAAAGAAAAAGGCAAGAAAAGAAAGAAGGAAATGGTGTCAAAATATGTGAGTTATAGTGGAGCATTTTACATTCTCCAAGATATTTTCTATTGAGTGTCATTTGCCACTGTCAAGCAGGTTCGAGTTAGGCAAGGAGAGCCTGGCTTGCCTGTCCCTGCTGAGGTGGCTCACTGAGACGGGACATGTGCAAGGGTAGCCAAAGATTCACCTGCTCACTGGCCAGCTACAGTTCCCTTGTGACCATCACTTTGTACATTAAGATTTCTAGATCTCTACTGTACTATCCAATATGGTAGCCACTAGCCACATGTGGCTATTTGAATTTACACTGATTAAAATATATATACTTACAAATATATATTAAAATATACATGTTTATAAATATATATTTTGTTTTATGAATATATTCATAAAATAGATTATGAAATATATTTTTATAATCTATATTATGAATATATTTTATAATATATTTTATGAATCTGTTCATGTTTTATATTTTATGAATGCATTCATAAAATGAATATGAATGCATTCATAAAATATAATGAAAAATTCAGTTTCTCAGTTGCACTAGCCACTTTTCAACTGTCTATTAGCCGTATGTGGCTAGTGGCCATCATATTGGAGAACACAGATATAGAGCAATTCCATCATTTCAGAAAGTTCTGTGGGACAGCAGTGCTCTAGAATGGACATTGTGTAACCACTCTTGTGACTACACAAGACTACACTTATTAGCATTTTAGGGTGTAGAAATTTATAGCATAAATGAACAGATAAAAAGTGCTTTAGTGAAAGGGAGTCTACACCAAACACACAGGTAGGAATAGAACTAGAGAATGGGTACTTCCCAGAATCCTTGGGCACCCAGAAATACATGATGCCTGACATTCAGTGGCAGAGTGGAGAGGTACCAGCCCTATAGGAGGTACTAGAAGGCCAACTCTACCCACTTCTCAATTTGGCCAGGATACGTGTTAATATTTTAAGGTTGGACTTGTGCTTCCTATACTAGGCAATGAAGTTAAGACCAAAGATGCAAAGAGTAGGAATCAGCCTCTAAATTCCATCTCTCTCTCCTCCCTCTTAACCTCCCCAATTCCTTAATACCAGCATATACAGTCATACTATTCCCCACAGATCTAGAAGCACCACTCAAAAGCTGGGCATTCTGGAAACTTGCTTGGCCTGCTAGATGGAAGTAGTTCATCCCTGCAAGAAAGTAATATTAACATCAAATGTTGGAACTTTCATTCTTGGCTGTCAAAATAATAGTTTTATGAGTAATTATGTTTTGCTCTTTTAAGAACATGAGCGAGTACAATGTGAACAGGGCCTCATAATTTTCAAAGAAGAAACGTTATCACCTGTAACTGAAATACCACACAAATAACATTTTTAAATGATCCAAAAGCACCGTCAAGGAAGTATACTTTTAAAGAAGCATGATATGTTACATGCTTGCTAACAAGAATAAATATCTTTTGGAAACACTTTAAAACTGAAATAGCTAGATGTGTTTTTGTTTTGTTTTATTTTGTTTTTGGTTTTTGTTTTGTTTTGTTTTGTTTTGAGACGGAGTTTCGCTCTTCTTGCCTAGGCTGAAGTGCAATGGCGCAATCTCGGCTCACTGCAATCTGCGCCTCCTGGGTTCAAGCGATTCTCCTGCCTCTCAGCCTCCCAAGTAGCTGGGATTACACGTGTGCACCAACACTTCCAGCTAATTTTGTATTTTTAGTAGAGACGGAGTTTCACCATGTTTGTCAGGCTGGTCTTGAACTCCTGACCTCAAGTGATCCACCCACCTCAGCCTCCCAAAGTGGTGGGATTGCAGGCATGAGCCACTGCACACAGCCAGATGTCCTCTTTTGTTACAATAGTTGCTAATGCTTCAAACCTTAAATTAAATTAGAACCAAGTTAATGGCAAAGTGCTGTCTGATAATTTTAAAAAATGACAAAGCTGGTATTATAAATTAAATAATATCTAACTTTGTAACTCAAGAACCTTTCAATATTTCGTCCCTAGAAATGATATTCCAGCTCTTGCTATTAAGCCAAGTTCTTGCTTTCAGTGCATGTATAGCTTACCACTAGAAACACCTATAGCTTTTCAAATAAAATATTTAAAAATTTATGTCATGAATATCATGAAAATGTTTCCTTATAACGCAGAATGTTGTTTTCAGCTTCAATGTATATTCAATTTCTATTTTAAAATATTATCAAGATAGGATTTACATAATAGAAACACTTCACTATCTAGAAAACAGCTTGAGCTATAGTTGTCCAATAAATCATTGCCAATTAACAATTAACCTAGGACTATTTTAAAAGGTATGCGAAAACATTTTATGACTAGCATACTAATTATATTTATACACAAATAGCTCCAAGTACCTGTAAGATATATATGAATATATTGCAAATATATTTATATGAATGTGTATATGTTTTACAGGTACTTGGCCTATGTAGGCACAGCCCTTATAATCTTTGCATTGCTGACTTCCTTAACAACCTCCATCCTCTCTTTTTTCTGGTACAGATAAAATACAAGTAAACTTCCACTCAAACCCTGTCTAAATGATCTCAATTAGTAGAGCCTGAATTCGTGGTGATTTGCTATACACACTTAGCCACTTCAATAATAATCTTAAGTAAATGGATTTTGAGTAATATTGCTAAATGAGATTTTAAGCATGACTAAGTATGACATTTGTGGAAGGGGCTTTATTTCCCAGTTCCCTTGGAAACAAAAGGAGTGAGCTGGGTTTAGTAAGGTAATGGCTAACATTTGATAATAACCTGCGATTGTGTAGCACTTTATCCCATCAACAGGAAGCACTCTGAGACTCACTATAACTCTGGAAGGAGCAAGTCACTCCGCCATTTGTCATTTTCTCTCAATTCCGGGTCCTCATCCTGTTCTAAGGCTCTCTCGGGTTGCGGATTGTCATCAGTTCCACATGTCGCCTAAGCATTTCCAGGAGTTCAGCAACTCAAACCTTTCAAGTTTAAGATCAAGATGTTCCCAAGTCAATAGCAGGCTCTGAATGCCAAGTATTCAGGTCAGAAAAGAAAAAGTGATCCAAGTCTTTGAGCACAGGATAATAAACTACTATATACTCAGTTCTTGCTTCAAATTTAAAGTGCTTGAGCTCTGAGTCACAAGGTCCCTGGTACATTTATTACAGGGTCTGGAGCAGAATGAAATTGGAAATGAGTGACTGTTATATGGTGGCATAATGTAAAGCTGGATGTGATCCTTGGAGTGTTTGAGCTAAGTATCACACTTCTAGTGCTGGGAGATGGAGCTGGAAGCCCATGGTGCTCACAGGGACTTCGGTGAAACTCACATGGCATCAACAATGTTCAATGGCTGCTAGGATTTTTGAAATACCCCAGAGAAACAATAAATAAATTCCATTAGGAAGAATCAAAAGAAAATCTAATACAAAAGAAAAAAAAAGGCCATTACGTGTTGAGATTTTTTTCCCTGATGAACTCTACCTTTCTGGTCATTGCAAGGTCCATATTAAAACCTTGTCTACTGGTTGGTTGCTTATATTTTCAGTGGGCTTCACTCCTGAGGAGGTTCTTCCACTATACTTTGCTCAGGGGAAAAGATATGGCTTTGGCGAGGCAGGTGTGAGAATTAAACAAGAAGGTCATGCTGTTCTCAGAGAGGAAGAGCTGTTTCACCACAGCCTGTCACCACACCAGCTGAAATGGCAAAAAGAATTCTTCTCACACAGCGATGTTCTCAGAACCCCCATCAATCATTTGTTTATGTTTCTTTCAACATATCTCACCCATCACCTGTTTTAGAACATATAATTTTAGGGGTTAACTAGGTGGGTTTTATTTTTTCGGAATAAAAGAACTAGCTATCTCTATCAAAGTTACATAGTTTTCATTTAAGTGACTTGGAGGAGTAAAATCATGCTGAGAAACATTGGCTTTCAAAAGGATCAGTTACACGAAACTCAATAACATTAAATGACAATCTGTCAGACTTCTGATGCTTTTGTTTTTCCTTTGAGTCATAAGCATTTCTAGGATTTAAAACTTTACCGCTTCATTCAATAGGATCTTAATTTAAAAGAACAATCAATAATCTCCAGGAAAGCAAGTCTGTTGACCAGTTTGGGAATTGGAAAATATGAGGTTCTTCATTTCTGTACTCAAAATAGATATGCATGGTCGGGAGTGGTGGCTCAAGCCTATAATCCCAGCACTGTGGGAGGCCGAGGTGGGCAAATCACCTGAGGTGAGGGATTCGAGACTAGCCTGGCCAACGTGGTAAAACCCCATCTCTCCTAAAAATACAAAAAATTAGCTGGGTATAGTGACAGGTGACTGTAATCCCAGTTACTCGGAGGCTGAGACAGGAGAATCATTTGAACCTGGGAGATGGAGATTGCAGTGAGCCGAGATGGCACCACTGCACTCCAGCCTGGGTGACACAGCGAGACTCCATATCAAAAACATAATAAATAAAAACAATAACAAAACAGATATGCATAAATCCAAAAAAGGTATACTACTCAGAGAAGGTTAATAGAATTTCATGAAGCAGAGGTAGAAGGGCCCCCACACACCATCTGTGAATACATCTGGTAAATTCTATCTCTCCACTTGATTAAACTTCAACATAGACTGCATCTGCAGGTAGTTTAGTGAGAATGGAAGTGTTACCTACTTGTACTCTCATGGCTCAGTGAGACAATCAACTTTGGCCAAGAAAATTAAAGAGCCAACACAATTATCTGCCTCCAAATACAGAGAGGGATTTTCCTTGCATTGTCTTGATAGGCTGTCTATGTCCATGAAATTGACTACGTCACTCCCCGACACAGTGCCACAGAAAGGGCTCCAACTGTCCTGACTTCAGAGGCTGAATGAGATTCTGGGAGGGGAATTTGGGTGCCTGTTCTTTCCCTCCCTCTCTACCCTCTTTGATCTCTTAACAACTGTGGGTTGTTAGTTTGGTTTGAAAGCCAATGGTTTTGCTTGCAATTATTCTAGTTCACTGCTCTGTCCCCATGGCCTAGAAAAAAAGCATGTATCTCAATAAATATTTATTGATGGGATGTATTTACACCTGCAAGCCATGATGTATGCCAAGTCAATCTGCAGCTACTTGGAGAACACCCAGCTCTGCCTTTGAAAAGCTTGATTACGGTATGAAATGTGACTCCATGCCTGCTGTCAAACCATACAGAACAAGTACATGGTCCTCCAAAGTGCCATCTGTGCCTGGGAAGATCCTATCACAGTTTAAATCACTGTGAAAACCAGCCCCACAGACCAGCAGAAAGAATTCTGCCTCAGTCTACAGTTTAGTTTGCATAGCTTCCACATTCTGGGTTTCTCATTTGCACTGTGAATAGAATCCAAGTATGATGTGCACAGCAGCAGAGAGTCAGAGTCTCTGGCCATTCTTGCATGGGTTTGCCTTTGATCAAGTTAGAAATCCAAATTCAGTATTGTTATGGGTGGTTTGTTCTGACAAACTCTCATTCTCAGAATGTTTGCATACATCATTCTTGTTTCATAAAAAGTTGCTAATTTCATTCTCTTTTCTTTGGCTTGTTTAATTTTCTATCTGAGGACCAGACCCAACAGGTGAGGTTTTCCTGAGGGATGTTTTGGCAACTTTTTATTGTGTTTTGCCTTCTGAACTAAGGGCTTATTTTTTAAATTGTAAACGGAGTAAGCTTTAAAATCTGTAAGTTAAATAAACAAAAAATATATCCAGAAGAGTGTTAGCAAATGATTTCTTTAAATGTCTCTTCTCTTTTCCTCCCACTCCTACTAGAAGGAGTAGAGCTAAATAATGCATAATTCGTGACTGTGCCAGAAGCCATAAAGGAGAATGAGAATTGGAGTGCAGTGACCCTTGACCATTAGGTTATTAGCAGATTTTGTTTCCAGAGGGTGAAAGGGCCTTGGTGGAACCTTGCTCATGGGCCCAGAACCCAAACCGCTAGAAGAGAAGCAACTAAATGTGACCAAATACACTATGAAGTATGGGTTATCTGAAATTGGATAGCTGTGCCCTGTGCCCCCATTTGACAGGAAGCAAAGTATCACTGGAGAAGACTAAGCTGATAGCTGCAACCTGGTCCTTGCTCAGAATCACATGCTCACTCTATAGCCTCAGTTAAGCTGAGGCATGAGTCATACCCAGAATCAAAGACAAGAATCTTTCTAGAGCAAAAGCCTTGAAACCCATCATCCCCAGGAAATAGGGGACCTCTCCTTAGCCACAGTCTACAAGGCACAGGCTGCAAAAATATATGGATTTTTTTCTATACATTTCTTCACAATTTCTTCTGGTTTTCTACATAAGTCTACATATTTCTTCATAACACTTGGTATCTTTGGCCTAACCAACCTCTATATGAGCAGAGATAATAAATCCAATACAAAATCAAACTTGTGCAATTGTGCAATTAAGTAAAAAAACAAAAACAAAAACAAAACTAGTTTCTGGTAATACGGGGATACACCATCCTCAAGAAAAAGTTGAGCATCTCAACAAGTTACTTAATAACTACTATAATGCCTATGTAGCAGCACTGGTTTTCACATGTTTTAAATTAATACATATCCGAATCTCAACTTCCAAGCGTATGAAATAAAACCTAAACAGTGAATTGATACAAAATATGGCAAGTGTGTTCAATCCCTAAATCCAGAGCCAATTAAGTATATAAGATCTTAAAGAAGACTATTAACCCAATCCTGTCTGCAAACTGGGGGATGAGTGCAGCTAAGGACAGAGTCAAAAGGAGGTATTTCACCCAGCAGCAAGGTGGGTGGGCATTGTCTCCAGCACCATAACCAGAGGCTGGTCACTGTGCTTTTATCTCTGGCCCTAGATACAGAAGACACAGAAGGAGAGCTGTAGTTTTCTTATCTATTTTCCAGCCTCTGGGCTATCTTTGCTTCTAGTAGCCTTTCATGGGCAGAGTCCTACACATCAACGATATGAAGCCAAAGCTTAGTGCTGGGAGGAGGAGGTGTTAAGCCATGAAGCATCAAGATGGAAAACCTGCTTTGGAATATTATTGAAATCCTAGTCCGTGTCACACCCAACCTCCTTGTGCTGGTGGGAATTTTTGTTTGTTTGTTTGTTTGTTTGAGACAGAGTCTTGCTCTAGGCTGGAGTGCAGTGCAGTGGCATGATCTGAGCTCATTGCAGCCTCTGCCTCCCGGGTTCAAGCAATTCTCATGTCTCAGCCTCTGGAGTAGCTGAGATTACAGGCATGTGCCACCATGCCCAGCTAATTTTTTTATTTTTAGTAGAGACAGGGTTTTCACCATGTTGGACAGGCTGGCCTTGAACTCCTGACCTCAGGTGATCCACCCACCTCAGCCTCCCAAAGTACTGGGATTGCAGGCGTGAGCCACTGCACCCAGCCCTTGCTGGTGGGAATTTCAACACAATTGGCAGAAAGCAGAGAGGGGAGAGATAAACATTCCACCAGGTGAAGGCTTTCTGGAATAGCCTGCCCACACACAGCGCAAGATGTCCCAGATAAAATCTGAGCGCCCAGCCCAGTTTCAAAACTTCAGCCACAGGAGTACCATGAACAGGCGTGGATCTACTGCTCAAAGAAATAGCCTCCTCACTCACACCAGTCTTTAAAATGACTATTAAATAAATCATTTTGAATCTATTTGTCAAACTGCGGCTTCCCTAAACCCTAAGCAGTGAAACTCAAGATTTGCTTGTAGAAATTGAGGCTAACACGTGGTCTTCTTCTGGTCCCCAAATGAGACTGAAACACTTAAAGACTTACAATCAGTCATAAAAAGAGATATATTATCATCTCACCTAGAAAAGGATCATCTAAAAGGAGGTGAAGAAAAACTATGGGTGCATGGGTGAGGGTTTTAATTAAAATACTCAAGCTTTCATTAATGGCCAAGGGATAAAACCTAAAGTTGATTAGACACCTGCATGTATCAGCACAGCACTAGGAGCTTTACAGAGCTCATTTTATTTAAGTCCTATTTTAGAACAAAGGAAACAGTCTTAGGCAAGGCAAACTCACAGTTGGCTACTCAATGTCTTTTATTTCTGCCTGTTTTTTGGCCCCAGAAAATGCAATATTTTGACACAGAAAAAAACATTAGGATGAGTGTGAAATCAAATACGATTCTGGTTTTTGAGCTGACATTTAGTCATTTGGAGCCACATGGCTGTCCCAGGGCCTGGTCCCCAGGTCATGTGCTTAAAGCTTCCAGGCGGTTCTCATCATGATGATGAAGTACACATCAGTGTCAATGGATGCGCTCACACCTGCATAGTAGTTCATGAACTCCTCAGGGGTCACCTGCAGTGGAAAAGTTAGAAACAAAAACGAAACTTTGCTTCTCACTCTGTCAATGGGCGCCCACCTTGTGCACCTGTAAATAGAAGGGAAATAGAGGATTTCTTTGTGTATGTGATCATGGCTGAGGAACTGATCTAAAACAAAAGAACAAGTGAAGCTGAGGATGGTGTGAGAACAGCACCTAGGAAGAGAGAAAGAAAGTCTTGAAAGTTTCTAAGCCAACCTAAATGGAAAGTGACGCATAGGTTGTCATCTTTTGTCTAAGGGTGGGAGCCCGTCGGTTCAGGTAAGGGAGACTGAAACTCAGAGTAAGAAGGAAGTGCTCTGCAACTGTAGTTATTTCTGTCTTTCTGTGACACGTCAGAAACAACATGTCATGTCCTTGTGTCAGGGTAAGTGATGTTTTCCCTTTCCAAAAATGGAGTTCTCTCCTGTGGGTGAAGAAACAGATTTCTAGTTAAACGCTCCCGGGTTGCATGCTTTTCTAACACATAAATAACTCATTCAAGGCCCAGGGTGAATAAAAAGCTTACCCCTGCTTCATGCCTCCCACCCATCCTGGCTTCTCTCCACTCTACACCCATGACCATCTCTTTGAAATATTGACTAATGTGTTTATCTGTGTGGGGATTTTATATTACTTTCCTTTGGGGAAGGAGAAAAGACAGTTATTAGTCTTATTTTTAACAGGTCTAGATAATATGTACACTCTAATTTAATCATGTTGGTTGACATGATCGGTTGGGGACATACCTATGCCTTCCAAGAATCATAAGAGATGACTGACCCACTGGTCCTATTGAAATTATAAGTGACCAGAAAAGAAAAGTCACTGGATCCACAGTTGTCTTTCATACCACCCCTTCCCACTAAAAACATAAGGAAGGGCAGTAGAAAGAAAGGCATTTGAACTCAGCTCATAGTTGAACTGTAAATACACATCTACAATACATGCATAGAGCCTCTGTCAAAATTAGGATACCATTAGCATCCCCCTTTGTTGAACTTCTTTATTCCTCTCCTCCTTTGGATTCCTCAGCCTCTGCTTTTCAATTCCCTCATTAAGGGATTACATTAAGTTTCACACATCATTATTGCCCTCTTTCTATCTTTCTCATGTTGTGTGAGGTTCCAGGGAAATGTTTATCAGTGTGGGTCCACACCACCTGCATCAGGACAACCTGGGGTGTCTGTCATAAGCCTAGGCCCACAGGCTGTACCCCACACCTGCTAAATCAGAATCTCTGAAGCAGGTGGTTGTGGAATTTACTTCTTAAAAATCTAAACATCCCAGTTAATTGTTGTGCACACTACAGTAATTTAACTGGGAATATCAAAGATAATTAAGATAAAGTCTCAGTCCTCAAAAAGTTGCAGGCTGGTGAAATACTCCAACAAAGTAAGTGGATCATTTTACAGCAAATAGCAAGTAAACTAAAAGAGTTACCCACGAGACCCTGAGCCATTTTGACGGTGCACTTTACCATGACAGTTTGAGGAACATTTTTTACAGCTAATTATTTTTTAATTAAAAATTATCAAACTCCCGATATTTTTAGTTTGTTATTGTTTCTATTGTCTGTTTGTTGGCCAGGGATGACAGCCATTGAATGAGACTCCCTCCACATCCACTGTAATAATCCTATCCCTAGCTTTTCTCTCCCACAGAAGTTGAAAAACTCAAAACTCACTTTCCCAGACTCCTCTGCAGCTTCAGCTTGGGATGGCCAAGTAATAGAGTTCTCACCAATAAGATACAAAGGAAATTTGACATGAATTTCTAGGGAAGCCTTTGCTTTCCTGATGCAGGCTCCAGCCCTTTCTCGTTCCCTCCTTCTCCCTCCTTTGTCCTGCTGCCTGAAACTCAGATGTGCTGGCTGAAGTTAGGCAACCATCTTGAGATCATGAAGGAAAGGCCAGGAAAATCACAAAGACTTCAGCTCTGCTCTCTTTAAGCCACTCAAGTGAGAACATCAAGTAGAATAAAAAATAAAACCTAATTTGTGTATTCCAGTGTATAATAAGATTTCCTATTTCTTGCAATTGAAAGCAAACCCTAACTGAAACACCAATACATGATTGAGACTGGTATCGTCACCCATCCTTCCATCCCAAACTCCCCCAGTGGGATGGGGTGACCTGAGTTGAGTTGGCTCTGTTGGAGAATGGAGAAGGAATCCAAGATGGGCAAAAGATAAAGGAAGCATTAAACCTCACTTGGAAGTCAGATGACGTCAAGCCAGAGGTCAGAGCTAATGTATTTGATCATTTCAGAAAAAGCCATCAGTTACTCTTAGCTAGGTGTTTGCTTGTTTTCTGAGACTCAACTTATATTGGGAATGGCCTGAATCGCAAATTCTCTGATCTCCTGTAAATTTGCCCTCATCATAGTAAATTGTTGGTTAGCAATAATCACTATCCTTATTCATTTTATTTGACATTAGAAAAAAATGAGAGACTGGGCACTCCTACTTTTAGCAGGCCTCTTGACTAGGCTACCTTTATGTGACAAGATATATATCATATATACAAGGAAAGGTCCCAGATGGGGGTAATGGAAGTCACAATACAAGCCCTTTTTCTCAGCTCCAAATTCATCAGAAAAATCCTAAAACAAATCTAGGTTACTATTAATACATACACTCAGTAATATACCTAACATATTTTTAATTATTTAAAAATTTTTTATGAGATGGATGAGGCAATAGACTGATATTCCCTGAAGGTCTAAAGTCCTAAGAGGCTTTTTAAAAATATAGTGATGATAAAGTCATATATACACATGAAGAATTCAAAACTTAGATATTAAAGAATAAGAAGTAAATGTCTCACCAAATTGTGGTGGGGTTTAGTGATAGAAAAGGGGTAAGGAAAGTCTGTGTCACAGGTTATCTGATTGCTTCACACCTCCATCCAAATGGCTTCCGGCTGCTATGGGAGTCCAGTGAGGTATTAGTGCAAGATTTATGACATCAAATTCCGTGACTGCTGAAACTCCAGCAACCTTTATGGGTATTTGAGAGTTTAACCTAGATTATCAAGTTTGAACATTACCTTTAGCTAGGAGCTATGCTAAATTTTTTGCATTATTTTAAATTTTGTCTTATATGGGATGTTTTTAACCATAAATGAGCACACTGGCTTCAAGTACAGCTATGCTTCACCACAAGCAATCTTAATATGCAAAATAGTGCAATTTGCAAGAGGTAAATTTTAGAAGCTAATTATTCTTCTCATAAAAGAATTTACCATGGAGTTCCTCTACAACAACAATTTCTTGTGCATTTAAAATACAATTCAGTGTGCGAAAGTTTGAATTACACATCACTTTTCAGAAACACTTTTATTATGTCTATTAAATGAGATATCCCTGGTAAGCCCTTAGCAAATGCCCAGTTGATATGTGCTCAAAAAGTGTTGCCCAGATTCATTATTATGCTAAATGGGGTCATGTGTATATTATATTTAGTAATTTTAAAACAGTTATTTCTGAATCTTTTAGAGCTAAGGATCACAAATACACGTGAGTGTAAGAGTCATCTGGTACACATTAAAATGTAAAGCCTTGGACTCCATCCTCCAAAAAATCAGATTCTGTGGTTCTGCAGTGCAGCTAGGAATCTACATTACTAATAAATCCTCCCTGATGATGATTATGAACAGCCAGAGTTGGGTATCAATACAGGGTCTGTAACATGCAGATGACATCAAGTGCTATAACTGCTAAAAACCTCAATAACCTTTATGAGCTTTTGAGAGCTTAATGTGGCTTCTTAAGATAAATATCAAAAGGGGTGATGTGCAGACTTGAATCAGCCGAATCACAACTGGCTATTTTGACTTTTGTTAGAGAAAAGGGTAGCTGAGGTTTCCCCTGGCAATGAGGAGGAACCACCTGCAGAGAGGAAGCAGACACACTCTAGGATCCACAAAGGGGTGGGCTAATTTGGGGAAATGGCAGTTGGCTATTTTTCCACTGACATCTCAGTGATCAAGGCCAGCAATACTGGAAGAAAACATGTAGTTTTTATTTCTGTCCCTAAGATTTTGGCTGCCCTATTGAATTTTGGCCCTTTTGTAAACCTGCCTCCACAATCCTCAGCCTGAAATAGAGGGTATGTCTCCATCCCTGAAAGGGAAATGTCAGCAGGAAGAACAGAAAGGTCACCTTCCTATCCCCCACCCCTTGCTAATGAGACTCATCATGAAGTTTCATTTAAAAAGTTGGAGCACATTCCCTTCAGAAGAGGAAGGTTTATTTCTTCTTCCCTTAACCACTCTCTTCTTGTCCACTGGGCCACTTATCTTTTCCTGTGCTGTAAAGGGCTTAAGAGACAATGAACCCTGGGGCTGTGCTGCTGCTGACTGTTACTCAAGGGACAATCCCCTTTCCTTATCACCAAAACCCTTAGATCATCTAAGAACAGAACTGGCTCAGGGTTTTTTTTTTTTTTCTAAAAAGTCAATTTAGGGCTGTTGATAAAGGACAGATGACATTTTCATCTCAGCCTAGACACAGTCATGGAGCTATATAATTCCTTACCCTACCAAGCTATGCATTTGTAACTTGAAGATAAAAGTTAATGGAGATGGGCGGTTGATTTTGTTTTCAAATTCAGTGCAGTTTAGAAATGTAAGTTAATCTCAAAGCACACTAAAGAATAAATCAGAGTAAATTCTGTTATTTGACATTCCCTTTACCAAAAACTACCTTTAAATGGCATTTCCACATAGCAAAGTGTGAAGATGAATGAGGATGAGTGTGAAGGCACTAAAACATCCTGAAAGGCCTTGTAAATCTGTTCTCCAAAATTAAATTATGATCTCATTTCAAAGTTAAATATATTTTATTATAATCAGTTCACTGGAGTGCAACTAGCTGAGTATGGTAAATATAGTAACCATAAAATGGCATGTTTAATCAGAACATCACATTCCCCAGATGACAGGTCATCACTTATGTGGATCCCCTACCAATATATTTCAATATATGTCTATGAGTGTGTGCGTGCACAAACATACATTAGGTTTCAACTAAAGTAACATGAAGGTTTCCCCTGGCAATGGAGAAGTTTCTAGATTGTTCCTAGGGAAATAGTTTACTTCTATTTACAACAAATATGGTATCAATGTGTTAACATTTTTAAGAGTTTGGACCTATTTCCCATTTACAATTTCGAATTGAAGAAATTTCCCCTAGATTAGGCTCTTTTACTTACCAATCCATCTTTGTCATAGGGTGAATCAAAGTTATCCAGAAATTTCCTAAATACTTGTTCCTCACTCCATTCCCCATTCTGGTACTTTGGGTGGTGTTTTGCATTATATACTTCACGAAGGTCTTCGATTGTTATAACACCATCTCCAGTCTTGTCTAACTTTCTAAAAGCTTGCATGATTACCTCTTTTCTGGCTCTGGACATTGGAGGCTACAAAAATAGAAGAATACATACAGAGACATACATAAGCAAATGAGCTTTTTTGGTATCCTATGTGATAAAATATCTCATTCCCCTCAACGATGTGAAATAATATTTGTGTGCTATTATGTAATAGACACTACAATTGCTCCAAAAATTCCTAAGTCTGTTCACAGTTTTCTGCTTATCCCCCTCCCCACAGTGTACTAACAACTTGTAAAAACAAAACCTCAAGGTAGCCAACCCAAACCACGTGAAAGCCAAACTCAGCAGATACACTGATTAATGGGGCCACTTACTCTTAATGTGAGAAGAAATTCATTGAAGTCTATTGTTCCATTTCCATCTTTATCAAACCTCCGGAAAAGTTCTTCCACCTCTTCTTTTTCCATGACCACAGCATAATCATTTAACCCTTTCATAAATTCTTTAAAATCAAGGGTTCGATTATTATCGTCATCCATAATTCTAAACACTCTGAAGAAAATACACACAAAAATTCAGAAGAAATGTACAAATAACAGGTGTAAGTGTAAAGATTAAAAAAAAATCCACACTCAAGGTTTCGTCAAATTAAAATACAAAAGTCTTAAATTCTTCTCTGCACCCTCCTTTCCAAAACTGGAGAGCCTCTTCCCACCACACACACACAAACACACACACAAAGTATAATTCTAATTACATGACATTCTGCAAAAGACAAAACTGTGGAGACAGTAAAAAGATGAAAGGTAAAGGAAAGAGTTGAATTGGTGAAACATGGGATTTTTAGGTCAAAGAAACTATCCTTTATAATACTATGATGGTGGATACATGACATTATGCATTTGCTAAAACCCATAGCACTTTACAGAGCAAGGTGTAAACCTTAATGCATATCAATTTTAAAAAAATGATTTAGGAAGTCAGAAAATCACAGTGATGTGGCTATGTTAGGGATATAGGAGCCAACTTAAATAGCTCTCAAGATCAAGGCTGGAACAATTAAACCAATAAAACTATGCTGGATTATAACCCAAAATATAAAAAAGAAATCCCTACATCCATACTGGTTAAATAAATGATAGAGTAAATAAAGATGAAGAAAATGACAAATTTCTCTTGCAGAAAAATTCCAAATAAGTTATGGATATATTCTCCTCTCAAGGAGGGAACATATACTCCCCACTCTCTAAGTGTGGGCTCTACAAAGAGGTTTCCTTCCAAAAAGTACGATATGGAAAAGGGAAAAGGGAAGCAACTTTACAATGGAGAAGTCTGACAAATACTACCTCAATCAGGTGATCAGTGTCAACATCAACAGTAATAAATCATGTTAATCATACATATCCTTGGTATAATGTGATAAAAATGGTGCTTTATGTCTGTGGTCCCTAAAAATAATAAGCCCAGTTTAGTCATGAAGAAAAAAATCAGAGAAATTCCAATAGGTGGGCATCCTACAAAATACTTGACCTCTCACATTCATCAAAAACCAGGAAAGTCTGAGAAACTGTCATAACCAACAGGATCCTAAGGAAACATTACAAGTAAATGTAAAGCAGAGTTCTGGATGAGATCTTGAAACAGAAAAGGACACTAGGTAAAAACTACGGAAGTATGAATAAATTATGGGCCTTAGTTAATAATCATGTGCTGGCATTGGTTTTTAAAGTAGTCTATTTAAAAAATAAGGGGGTGGAGCAAGATGGCCAAATAGGAACAGCTCCAGTCTACAGCTCCCAGCGTGAGCGATGCAGAAGACAGGTGATTTCTGCATTTCCAACTAAGGTACCAGGTTCATCTTACTGGGGAGTGTCGGACAGTGGGTGCAGCACACCAAGCATGAGCTGAAGCAGGGCAAGGCATCGCCTCACCCAGGAAGCGCAAGGGGTCAGGGAATTCCCTTTCCTAGTCAAAGAAAGGGGTGACAGACGGCACCTGGAAAATCGGGTCAGTCCCACCCTAATACTATGCTTTTCCAACAGTCTTAGCAAACGGCGCACCAGGAGATTATATCCTGCACCTGGCTCGGAGGATCCGACACCCACCGGGCCTCACTCATTGCCAGCACAGCAGTCTGAGACCAAACTGCAAAGCAGCAGCGAGGCTGGGGGAGGGATGCCCACCATTGCTGAGGCTTGAGACGGTAAACAAAGCAGCCAGGAAGCTCAAACTGGGTGGAGCTCACTGCAGCTCAAGGAGGCCTGCCTGCCTCTGTAGACTCCACCTCTGGGGGCAGGGCATAGCCAAACAAAAGGCAGCAGAAACCTCTGCAGATTTAAATGTCCCTGTCTGACAACTTTGAAGAGAGTAATGGTTCTCCCAGCATGCAGCTTGAGATCTGATAATGGACAGACTGCCTCCTCAAGTGGGTCCCTGACCCCCGAGTAGCCTAACTGGGAGGCACCCCCCAGTAGGGGCAGACTGACACCTCACACGGCCAGGTACTCCTCTGAGACAAAACTTCCAGAGGAACAATCAGGCAGCAACATTTGCTGTTCACCAATATCTGCTGTTCTGCAGCCTCCACTGCTGATACCCAGGCAAACAGGGTCTGGAGTGGACCTCCAGCAAACTCCAACAGACCTGCAGCTGAGGTTCCTGACTGTTAGAAGGAAAACTAACAAACAGATAGGACATCCACACCAAAACCTCATCTGTATGTCACCATCATCAAAGACCAAAGGTAGATAAAACCACAAAGATGGGGAAAAAACAGAGCAGAAAAACTGGAAACTCTAAAAAGCAGAGTGCCTCTCCTCCTCCAAAGGAGCACAGCTCCTCACCAGCAATGGAACAAAGCTGGATGGAGATGACTTTAACAAGTTGACAGAAGAAGACTGCAGATGATCAAACTACTTGAGCTAAAGGAGGAAGTTTGCACCCATGGCAAAGAAGTTAAAAACCTTGAAAAAAAAATTAGATGAACGTCTAACTAGAAAACCACTGCAGAGAAGTCCTTAAAGGACCTGACGGAGCTGAAAACCATGACAAGAGAACTACGTGATGAATGCACAAGCCTCAGTAGCCAATTCGATCAACTGGAAGAAAGGGTATCAGTGATGGAAGATCAAATGAATGAAATGAAGTGAGAAGAGAAGTTTAGAGATAAAAGAACAAAAAGAAATGAACAACGCCTCCAAGAAATATGGGACTATGTGAAAAGACCAAATCTATGTCTGATTGGTGTACCTGAAAGTGATGGGGAGAAAGGAACCAAGTTGGAAAACACTCAGCAGGATATTTTCCAGGAGAACTTCCCCAATCTAGCAAGGCAGGCCAACATTCAAATTCAGGAAATACAGAGAATGCCACAAAGATAGTCCTCGAGAAGAGCAACTCCAAGACACATAATTGTCAGATTCACCAAAGTGGAAATAAGGAAAAAATGTTAAGGGCAGCCACAGAGAAAGGTCAGGTTACCCACAAAGGGAAGCCCATCAGACTAACAGCGGATCTCTCAGCAGAAACTCTACAAGCCAGAAGAGAGTGGGGGCCAATATTCAACATTCTAAAAGAAAAGAATTTTCAACACAGAATTTCGTATCCAGCCAAACTAAGCTTCATAAGTGAAGGAGAAATAAAAATCCTTTACAGACAAGCAAATGCTGAGAGATTTTGTCACCACCAGGCCTGCCCTAAAAGAGCTCCTGAAGGAAGCACTAAATGTGGAAAGGAACAACCGGTACCAGCCACTGCAAAAACATGCCTAATTGTAAAGACCATCGATGCTATGAAGAAACGGCATAAACTAATGAGCAAAATAACCAGCTAACATCATAATGACAGGATCAAATTCAAAGATAACAATATTAACCTGAAATGTAAATGGGCTAAATGCTCCAGTTAAAAGACACAGACTGGGAAATTGGATAAACAGTCAAGACCCATCAGTGTGCTGTATTCAGGAAACCCATCTCAAATGCAGAGACACACACAGGCTCACAATAAAGGGATGGAGGAAGATCTACCAAGCAAATGGAAAACAAAAAAAGGCAGGGGTTGCAATCCTAGTCTCTGATAAAACAGACTTTAAAACAACAAAGATAAAAAGAGACAAAGAAGGCCATTACATAATGGTAAAGGGATCAATTCAACAAGAAGAGCTAACTATCCTAAATATATATGCACCCAATACAAGAGCACGCAGATTCATAAAGCAAGTCCTTAGAAACCTACAAAGAGACTTAGACTCCCACACAATAATAATGGGAGACTTTACCACCCCACTGTCAACATTAGACAGATCAACGAGACAGAAAGTTAACAAAGATATCCAGGAATTGAACTAAGTTCTGCACCAAGCGGACCTAATAGACATCTACAGAACTCTCCACCCCAAATCAACAGAATATACATTCTTTTCAGCACCACACCACACCTATTCCAAAATTGACCACATAATTGGAAGTAAAACACTCCTCAGCAAATGTAAAAGAACAGAAATTATAACAAACTGTCTCTCAGACCACAGTGCAATCAAACTAGAACTCAGGATTAAGAAACTCACTCAAAACCTCTCAACTACATGGAAACTGAACAACCTGCTCCTGAATGACTACTGGGTACATAACGAAATGAAGGCAGAAATAAAGATGTTCTTTGAAACCAACGAGAACAAAGACACAACATACCAGAATCTCTGGGACACATTCAAAGCAGTGTGTAGAGGGAAATTTATAGCACTAAATGTCCACAAGAGAAAGCAGGAAAGATCTAAAATTGACACCCTAATGTCACAATTAAAAGAACTAGAGAAGCAAGAGCAAACATATTCAAAAGCTAGCAGAAGGCAAGAAATAACTAAGATCAGAGCAGAACTCAAGGAAATAGAGACACAAAAAACTCTTCAAAAAATCATTAAATCCAGGAGCTGGTTATTTGAAAAGATCAACAAAATTGATAGAACTCTAGCAAGACTAATAAAGAAGAAAAGAGAGAAGAATCAAATAGACACAATAAAAAATGATAAAGGGGATATCACCACCGATCCCACAGAAATACAAACTACCATCAGAGAATACTATAAACACTTCTATGCAAATAAACTAGAAAATCTAGAAGAAATGGATAAATTCCTCAACACACACACCCTCCCAAGACTAAACTAGGAAGAAGTTGAATCTCTGAATAGACCAATAACAGACCCTGAAATTGAGGCAATAATTAATAGCTTACCAACCAAAAACAGTCCAGGACCAGAAGGATTCACAGCCAAATTCTACCAGAGGTACAAGGAGGAACTGGTACCATTCCTTCTGAAACTATTCCAGTCAATAGAAAAAGAGGCAATCCTCCCTAATTTATTTTAGGAGGCCAGCATCATCCTGATACCACAGCCGGACAGAGACACAACCAAAAAAGAGAATTTTAGACCAATATCCCTGGTGAACATCAATGCAAAAATCCTCAATAAAATACTGGCAAACCAAATCCAGCAGTACATCAAGAAGCTTATCCACCATGATCAAGTGGGCTTCATCCCTGGGATGCAAGGCTGGTTCAACATACGCAAATCAATAAATGTAATCCAGCATATAAACAGAACCAACGACAAAAACCACATGATTATCTCAATAGATGCAGAAAAGGCCTTTGACAAAATTCAACAACCCTTCATGCTAAAAACTCTCAACAAATTAGGTATTGATGGGACGTTATCTCAAAATAATAAGAGCTATCTATGACAAACCCACAGCCAGTATCACACTGAATCGGCAAAAAACTGGAAGCATTCCATTTGAAAACTGGCACAAGACAGGGATGCCCTCTCTCACCACTCCTATTCAACATAGTGTTGGAAGTTGTGGCCAGAGCAATCAGACAGGAGCAGGAAACAAATGGTATTCAATTAGGAAAAGAGGAAGTCAAATTGTCCCTGTTTGCAGATGACATGATTGTATATCTAGAAAACCCCATCGTCTCAGCCCAAAATCTTCTTAAGCTGATAAGCAACTTCAGCAAAGTCTCAGGATACAAAATCAATGTGCAAAAATCGCAAGCATTCTTAAACACAAATAACAGACAAACAGAGAGGCAAATCATGAGTGAACTCCCATTCACAATTGCTTCAAAGAGAATAAAATACCTAGGAATCCAACTTACAAGGGATGTGAAGGACCTCTTCAAGGAGAACTACAAACCACTGCTCAAGGAAATAAAAGAGGATACAAACAAATGGAAGAACATTCCATGCTCATGGGTAGGAAGAATCAATATCTTGAAAATGGCCATACTGCCCAAGGTAATTTATAGATTCAATGCCATCCCCATCAAGCTACCAACGACTTTCTTCACAGAATTGGAAAAAACTACTTTAAAGTTCATATGGAACCAAAAAAAGAGCCCACATTGCCAAGACAATCCTAAGACAAAAGAAAAAGCTGGAGGCATAACGCTACCTGACTTCAAACTATACTACAAGGCTACAGTAACCAAAACAGCATGGTACTGGTACCAAAACAGAGATATAGACCAATGGAACAGAACAGAGCCCTCAGAAATAATGCCACATATCTACAACTATCTGATCTTTGACAAACCTGACAAAAACAAGTAATGGGGAAAGGATTGCCTATTTAATAAATGGTGCTGGGAAAACTGGCTTAGCCATATGTAGAAAGCTGAAACTGGATCCCTTCCTTACACCTTACACAAAAATTAATTCAAGATGGATTAAAGACTTACATGTTAGACCTAAAACCATAAAAACCGTAGAAGAAAACCTAGGCAATACCATTCAGGACATAGGCATGGGCAAGGACTTCATGTCTAAAACACCAAAAGCAATGGCGACAAAAGCCAAAATGGACAAATGGCATCTAATTAAACTAAAGAGCTTCTGCACAGCCAAAGTAACTACCATCAGAGTGAAGAGGCAACCTACAGAAGGGGAGAAAATTTTTGCAACCTACTCATCTGACAAAGGGCTAATATCCAGAATCTACAATGAACTCAAACAAATTTACAAGAAAAAAACACACAACCCCATCAAAAAGTGGGCAAAGGATATGAACAGGCACTTCTCAAAAGAAGACATTTATGCAGCCAAAAGACATATGAAAAAATGCTCATCATCACTGGCCATCAGAGAAATGCAAATCAAAACCACAATGACATACCATCTCACACCAGTTAGAATGACGATCATTAAAAAGTCAGGAAACAACAGGTGCTGGAGAGAATGTGGAGAAATAGGAACACTTTTACACTGTTGGTGGGACTGTAAACTAGTTCAACCATTGTGGAAGTCAGTGTGGCAATTCCTCAGGGATCTAGAACTAGAAATATCACTTGACCCAGCCATCCCATTACTGGTTATATACCCAAAGGATTATAAATCATGCTGCTCTAAAGACACATACACACGTATGTTTATTGTGGCACTATTCACAATAGCAAAGACTTGGAACCAACCCAAATGTCCAACAATGATAGACTGGATTAAGAAAATGTGGCACATATACACCATGGAATACTATGCAGCCATAAAAAATGATGAGTTCATGTCCTTTGTAGGGACATGGATGAAGCTGGAAACCATCATTCTCAGCAAACTATTGCAAGGACAAAAAACCAAACACCGCATGTTCGCACTCATAGGTGGGAATTGAACAATGAGAACACATGGACACAGGAAGGGGAACATCACACACCGGTGCCTGTTGTGGGGTGAAGGGAGGGGGAAGTGATAGCATTAGAAGATATACCTAATGCTAAATGACCAGTTAATGGGTGCAGCACACCAACATGGCACATGTATACATATGTAACAAACCTGCGCGTTGTGCACGTGTATCCTAAAACTTAAAGTATAATAATAATAAAATTTTAAAAAAAAGCTTATCGTCATTAGAGAAATGCAAATCATGTCAGTTAGAATGGTGATCATTAAAAAGTCAGGAAACAGCAGATGCTGGAGAGGATGTGGAGAAATAGGAATGCTTTTACCCTGTTGGTAGAAGTGTGAATTAGTTCAACCATTGTGAAAGACAGAGTGGCATTTCCTCAAGGATGGAGAACCACAAATACCATTTGACCCCACAATCCCATTACCGGATATATACCTAAAGGATTATAGATCTTTCTACTGTAAAGACACTTGCACACATATGTTTATTGCAGCTCTATTCACAACAACAAAAACTTGGAACCAACTCAAATGTCCATCAATGATAGACTGGATAAAGAAAATGTGGCACACATACACCATGGAATATCAGGCTGCCATAAAAAAAGGATGAGTTCATGTCCTTTGCAGGGATATGGGTGAAGCTGGAAACCATAATTCTTAGCAAAGTAACACAGGAACAGAAAACTAAACATCGCATGATCTCACTCGTAAGTGGGAGTTCAACAATGAGATTACGTGGACACAAGGAGGGGAACATCACACAGTGGAACATGAACTTCAGGGGGTGGAGGGCTAGGGGAGGGATAACATTAGGAGAAATACCTAATGTAGATGACAGGATGATGGGTGCAGCAAACCACCATGGCACATGTATACCTATGTAACAAACCTGCACGTTCTGCCCATGTATCCCAGCACTTAAAGAATAATTTTTTTAAAAGATGGAAAGTTGGAGTAATCAGAATCTAAAGACTTTTAAATGTCCTTAAATGCTAAAAATTTGAACTTTATTAGCAAGTCATTTTTAAAGTCATTAAATGGTTGACTTGAAGTGACATTATCAAAATAATGAGAACTTTACCCATAAGAGAGCTAACAGAACTCTAGCAATAATGGGTTGAATGAATTGGAGGACTGAAAACTTAGGAGCAAAGGAACCAGCAAGAATACTATCATAAGAGTCCAGTGAAAAAAATGTTGAGTGTCTACACTTGAGCAATTGGGATGAAAATAAGAAAAATAAAGATTTCAAGATATTATAGAAATAAAGGAGTCAATATGGTGGGCTAATGAAGATAATTCTAAAGTTTTCAACCCAAAGACCTGGAAGAGTAGTAATACTGTTAAAACCGTAGGGGCTGCAGAAGAAGCTCTATTTGGAAAACAAAAAACAAAAAAAATGACTTTTGTTTTGTTTGGATTGGATACTAAGTCAACTATATAGAGATATTCACTGGTTAGCTAGTATCTTTCCTGATTAAAAAAAAAAATATATATATATATATATATAAAAATTGTGAAATTAGTTTGGATCTCAGGAACGGATAGCATTCCAAGAACGTGGCAAGGGGCCAAGGTACAGATGTGCTAACTCAGGAGTAGCCAAGTTGTCTGATAAATTAAGGATACTAGCAAAAGAATCTTGAGAATTTAGATACTAGAGAAGTATCTACATTTACAAGGCAATTGGAAATGACTAAGAAAGAACGTATACTGTTGAAAACCACAAGAATTTCATGTCAAAAAATGAAGGTGCCAAGGTTATAAATAACAAAGTCATCTTGATCTTGGTCAGGATAAAGACTCAGGGTGGAAAGATGGTGCCGGGAGTCAATGCTTCACAGAATGCTAAATGTTGTGCAGGGGGGATGATGGCAGAGCCTAACCTGAAGAGATGCCCTTCTAAGACAGGATTTATGGGAAAGAAATAAATGAACAAAGGGGTGTGTATGACCTGGGATTTGGAGTTAGACTGAAGGAGAGTGTTCAGTCTTCAACTGACCCTAAGGTAGGAGTGGAGGAGAGGGGCAGCTTCCACTTGAGTTAGGAGTTACTTAGAGAAGGCCAAGGCCAGTAAGTGAGGCAGATGGCACATTCTGCAAAAGGCTTAGGATGGAACGGTGTCCATTGACTGTAGACTGGTTCCCAGTGGAAAGGCTGGTAGAGACGCAGTGTGCAGTGGGTATGGGGTGAAGATGGCACAGGTAGCAGGAGGGATTCCACTGAGTGAACCAGAGAGTGGAAGAGAGGATTCCTCAAGGGTTTGCACTAAGGACAATGATGTGGACCCATGATGAATGGGATAGAGGTGGAAGTGACACAATATTGAGGGCATGGGTGCTGGTCTTCCCATTGGACTGGGGCAGCCTGGCCACCAGGGTCCATATCCCCACTGCCTGGCCTTCTGACAGAGCTGGGCTTAGTCTGAGACTTGGGACTGTTCAGAGTTTTCTCCCAGGCACTCAGTACCTTGCTGGAAGTGAAGCCTTCCGCATCTTCTGGGTCCAAGGCTAGATTTCCCTCCCATTGGCACCCTGTACTTCTCTAATAAACAACTTCTCACACCACTGAGATGCCATTTAGATCACTCATATTGTCCATAGTCTTAGTCCTCCATGGGGGCTTAAGAAGCCTTGTTCACCCACGGGTCCCTGAGATGTGTCCAATGCCTGGCCCATGGCAGGCTCTTGATGGAGTTTCTTATAATGCACAGGACCTGCCCTCAGGAGGCTCACAATCTCCTTTCCCTTTTGGTTTCTCAGTCCTTAAAACTATTCACACTCAGAGGACAGAGGGTGGGAGAACAGGAGCTACCCAGCTGAGAGAACCCCATTGGCAGTGAGCTATCAGTTATCTGACAAGCAATACCAGTGTCCCTGGAAGTGATGGAGAAATGATTGCCCGAGAGCAAAATTCCAAATTCTGCAATTAGGGCTAACTGGCTGTTCCTTCCTCCCTCTTCCACCCTGGCCTTTATTATCACAGCTGCAGAGAGAGTCCCTCTCATTGTCCTGGTAGGCATCTCCATGCCAGGGCACATGCTGCTTCTCCCTTTACCTCATATTTTCCCAGAGCTGCACTGTCTTGTAGCAGATATGAGTCTTGCCGAATCTGGGACTAAGATCCAAAAACTGTCACAAGGGACCTCATAGATCAACTCTTCTAAACTCTACATTTTACAAATAAGGAACTGAGCCCCTAGGAGGAGATGACTTCCCCAAGACCACGTGGCCAACATTAGCCTCACCTGGCAGAGTCATTCCTTCCCGCTCCATTCCCTGCCACTTGTAGCTGGGTCCTACCTGCCAAGTCCTTTGATCCCAGCAGAGCCCCTGGCCAGGCACTGCAGTCGGAGTCTTTCAATGGGGTCGGTGGCCGTGGTGAGCTTTTTCTTGGCCTGGATCGCCATCTCTCGGTCATGGCGCGCTGTCCCTGCCATCTGAGGGGAAGCCATAGCATGTTAGCAAAGTCCAGGCCTCGCCGCTGCCTCTGGCTGGGCAGAGTGACAGAAGCCTCACTGAGAAGGAAATTTACAGCCTTCTCTGTCAGGAAACCTCTCAGAATTTCCAATTTTTCTCTATGCCAACTGTGTGCCTGGCATATTTATAACTTACTTATCTAGTCCTGAGGACATCTGGTTTCTCCAGCCTAGACAATAATCTTAAATATATCACCATTTCCCAAGATGTTTTGATCTTTCTGAAGCCCTCTTCCATCCATAAAAGAAGTGCAATTTCTCTATACTCTCTTTTTTGAACCAACATTATATACCATATTATTTTATGTAGAATTTTCCATATTCCCTTGACCCTCACATTTAATGTTCTCCTCTTTGGTCTAAACATTGATTTTGTTGCTTCTGTCTTGAATGAGATTTTCAGCACTTGATCCTTAATGATTCTTACCAGTAATGGGTATGGTCTCCTTGATTCACAGGTTAGTATCCACTAACACCTAATGAGGTTCTTAGGATGGGTGCAGTGAAGTGCTGTCTCCTGAGTGGTCCCCAAGGGACGTACAAACTCTTGTAGCCACACTTGAGCTCTCAAAGCTTGCACAACAGTGGGAAGAGCACTTAGCTGGGGGCCTGGAGACCTGGGTTATAGTCCTGACTCTTCAATCCCCACCCCTCAACTCCCCCAACCCCTCACCCCCATCTGCCTGGTAACCTGCCTGTGAGTGAATCTCACAGCCTGTTTCCTCCTCTTTTAACTGGGAGGATTGGATAAGATGGTCTTTAAATTCCATCCCAGCTTCAAAAAACACTAATTCTCATAAGTCCACATATTCAGTAAATGGGGGATTCTGGAAGTTACCTGTGAGTCGTGAATGAAAAGAATGAGAGGCAAGAGGCTCGAAGGATGTGCAAAGGACAGCATGCAATGTGCAGAAAAAAAAAAAAAAACGGTATTAGAATGTGGTTCCACCCTGGCTTCGAGGCTCCCTCCCCAGTCAAATTCTGGCACTTCCCCTAAGTGCTACATTAGGACTGAATTATTTTCATCAAAGACAGCAACCTGCAGATTCACAACCTCGTCTATGCCAAGAGTGTTGTTCTCCTATACACCCTGAAAGGTCTCCCATAGAGGGTACTCCTTATTTGACTTTTGGGAAAGGGAATCTCATCAAGCCAATAACTGAGGCCAGAATAGACAATTCAGGGATGCATACACTTAACGTGGCCACTTTCTTGCAGCCTCCACCGAGCCAAGGTACAGGATCCCTCTTTCTTGCCCTGTATTCAGATTCCCAGTATGTGGATGAAGGTGGGAGCAATTCCTTTCAGTTCTCTTGAACCTCGGGTCAAGAAGGAGACCTGTCTACGTCCCAGCTCTTTACTCCACATTAGGAAAAACTTGCTCTGTCTAAAGCTACACAGTCTTCCTCTGCTTCCACTGGCACCTAAGCAGAGGTTCCCTGGAACTCCAGACGGTGGCACACCCTGCGCTTAGAGACTTCCATCTCCGTTCTTGCCAGGCACACACAAGGAGCATGTTCCAATTCTCATCCAACAGGGACACCTGCAGCCAAGACTGTGCCCTTCCTGGCAGCTTTAGCTTTCTAATAACTGGCGTTTGCTTATTACTATTTTGTTACCTGACCTCAAGCTGACAATTCCCAGAGCTCGTTCCCAGCTTCAGCACTAACTGTCCCCTTATTAACAGCCAGAATCCTGAGTCACAGACAAGACCACCAATTCACTCATCTAGCCATGTCCTGCTGTCTTACTCATCCTTGCCTGAGCCATTCTCTTGCCCTGACCATATTCTGCTAGTGGCATGCGCCCCATCCCCACCCCAACCCCTATGGAAGCAGGAACTGGTGTCAACAACATGCCCTTCTCATTCTCTAAACCCACCTCAGAGTCTTGATCCTTCCCAGGACCACCATCATCTTTCCTGACCCTTGACCTTGCTTCATGATACTTGCCCAATGGCTGTCCCCAGCCACTCACCTCCCATTCTCATTTCCCATGACATCTCCCCTACCTTGTCCACCTTATTCATTTTGCTCTGGTTTTTCCCTGCCATCCATGACAGTAAGTGAGAATGAAGAGAAACAGAGACTAAAAACCAGTCATGGAGAGAAAGTGAGATCCAGCTCCTGGATCTGGGACAGATCCCCAGTGGGACCCTCTTTGCACACCTTCAGAATAATATTAAAGGCATCAGTGGTGCCCCCACTAGGTAGTAAGCATGTGTCCAGTTCCCACAAAAACCCCTTGAGTTGAACTGAAAACAGGAACTCAAACAAATGCACATATACCCATGTTTATAGCAGCATTATTCACAACAGCCAAAAGGTAGAAACAAACCAAATGTCCACCTATGGATAAAGGGATAAGCAAATTGTGGTATAGCCATACAGTGAAACATTCTTCAGCCATAAAAAGGAACACAGTACTGATAGATACCACAATGTGGACAAACCTTGGCCATGTTATGCTAAGTACAAGAAGCCAGACACAAAATGTCACACATTGTACGATTTCATTTATGTGAAATATTCAGAATAGGCAAATTCATAGAGACAGAAAGCAAATTAATGGTTGCAAGGGGCTGGGGTGGGAGGGCCAGTGGGGAGTGACTGCTTAATGAATGTAAAGTTTCCTTCAGGGGTAATAAAAATGTTTTGGAACTTGACATAGACGGTGGTTTATCAACATTGTGAATGTAATATACACTTTAAAATTGCTAATTTATGTTATGTGTATTCATCTCAATAAAATAAAACCCATGCACAGATGTTACTAGCTAGATTTAGTCATTCCACAATTATACATACTTCAAAACATCATGTTATACAAAGTAAATACATACAACTTTATCTGTCAATTTAAAAAAAAAATTTAAAGTGTGCTGGGCACGTAGTCATCCTGGTAAATTAGCAAAGGTTAAAAAAGAAAAACAAGCCTATGAGCTAGTTACTACTATTATTGGTATTTCACAGATAAAGAAATTAGGATGCAGAGAAATCAGGTAACTTGCCCAAGTCGCACGGAAACATGACTCACAGTAATCCACATGCTGTTAGAACTGTATGACCCTTGAAGATTCTCTAGTGCAACCTCATTTTGCAAACTTGGAAACTAAGGCTTGGGTTGGCAAAGTGACTTGCTCAAAAGTCCTGGCCAAGACCAAAACAGACGGCTTCTGATTCCTAAGGGCTCTTTCTGCTTCATCATGTTTGTGGTTTGTGAAATAACATATAAGAATCTCAAAGCACAGTTTGATGGTGCTTTCTCATAGGAAAGTGGGATCGAGTCCAGGAAGGCAAGAAACTGCCAGCCCAGTACCTCAGGCTGTCCCACCTCTTGAGGCTGACCCTACCCAGCGATGATGTTGGCAGTTTATTTCTGGAGTCTAATAAATTCAAGGGGAAAAAAGTCCATTCTCTCCTGCTAGCCTACCGTGAAACTTGAAATGCCCATAGTAAGCATCCCTTTTAATCATTGAATCACCCAGTTCACCAACCACTAGCTAACTGTATTGTGTACTCTTTTCGAGGCACTATGCTGGAATAGAGTGTGGGAGTGTGAGGAATTACTCAGAGGAGCAAGCCCTTGAATAGCCTAGAGTCTTCATTAGTTTGAATCCTGATCTCCTGTATTTAAGCAGAAGGGAAAAGTTTATTAAGCACCGGGGCTTTTAAGGAAGGCAGGATTGCACAGGATCTCAAGTGCATAAGGGAGATGCTCAGCTTTGAAGTTTCAATAAAGGCGCCAGGCACCAGGGCAAGAGTCAGTCCCCAAACATATGTCACCGACTTCATAGCAGTGCACAAAGTGTCTCTGCCTGTAGAAGACTCTGTCTGAACCTTAAAGATCCGGTGTGGTGACAACGGAGCGCATCCCTGTGCAAGGCGAAGAGGCTGCGCTCCCGACGCACTTGGCCGCAGCGCCACCACGTGTTCTCAGGCGTCTGCACATTCCCCCGGCCAGGCATGCGGTTCAGTCTCTGCCTTCCACACAGGTCTGCTAAGAGCTCAGGAAGCGCCATGCACTGTGCTAGGGGTAGGATGAAAGCAGGACCAAGACAACGCTTACAGCCTGGGGGCTGAGCAGGGGATGCAATCACAAGAGGACGGGAGGCTTACCTGGCCTGGGAGTGGGGCTTTCTGAGGACCTCTCAGAGGAGGTGATGTCTAAACTTTCATCCTAATGGAAGGTGGTAGTTATCGAGGCTGGGGACGTGGGGATAGAAGGATATTTTAGATAGCAGGTGTACCAACTACTCAGACTAAGGTGAGAGAGAAAACAATATAATTAGGAAAGTACAAGTATTTCAGTATGGTTGGAGAACAGAGGTATGGGTGGCAGGGGGAGATGAACAGTAGTGAAGATTCGGAGGAAGTAGGGAAAGGGGAATTGTGGGTAAAGATGAAACTGACCAGGCGGGCAGCCATCAGATCCCAAAGAGCCTGGGGTGCCAGGGTGGGATTTGGATTTTCTCCTGAGAGCAACAGGAGACCGCAAAGTTTTCTTAAAAAGGGAAAAATTCTTCTTAAAAAAGGAAAAAGTCTTCTTAAAAGGGGAAGAAGTCTTCTTAAAAAACAGGAGACCACAAAAAAGGGAAAAAGTCTTCTTAAAAAACAGGAGACCACAAAGTCTTCTGGCCGGGCGCGGTGGCTTACGCCTGTAATCCTAGCACTTTGGGAGGCAGAGACGGGCGGATCACCTGAGGTCAGGAGTTCAAGACCAGCCTGGCCAACATGGTGAAACTCCGTCTCTACCAATATACAAAAATTAGCCGGTCATGATGGCGGTTGCCTGTAATCCCAGCTACTCGGGAGGCTGAGGCAGGAGAATCGCTTGAACCCAGGAGACGGTGGTTACAGTGAGCCAAGATCGCGCCACTGCACTCCAGCCTGGGCGGCTGAGCTAGACTCCGTCTCAAAAAAAAAAAAAAAAAAACGAAAAAACGGGAAAGGCCGTTTGCATTGTAAAGTGAGAAGAATGGATAGGAAGGCGGGACAGGCTAGCCAATAGGAGACTGTTGTTTCCAGCTATGCTGCCTGGACCGTGTGGACGGAGAGAGAAGAAGAGATAGGAGATGGCCAGTGGCAGAACGTGCAGTTTGAGGGAGAGGGCGGACTCGGGGCTGGCATCCAGAGCTGTTGCTTGCGCTCTCCACTCTCACCCTCCAGTGGCTGGCAGCAAGGGAGGATATTCACAGAAGCCTGGAGATTTGGGGCAGAGGCAGAGTGTAGCTACGGTAGCAATGGTCCCATTAAGGCTGTCTCATTCCACTGTCCTCCCGGTGCACAACCAACTGCCACGCCAAACTCTCTCCCGCCTGGATTTTGCGAATTATTGTAGGAAGGATGTGGAAAGCTGTAAATGCATGGGGTCTGTATCTTCATGGTTCCCTCCGTAAGGTTCAGAGACAGATTTAAGAGGACCCTTGGAAGAGGGAACTGCTCTAGCCCTAGCCTGCATCTATTGACTTGTCTTTGGTGCTCCCTGGTGGCAGTAAGCTGAATTACATCTCTCTTCCTTTCTCTGTTCCTCTCCATCTGCAGCCAACTACCTGCAAACACAGAAGGGGATCTTATTGCTAAAGAGGCAACCCTAGAGATCGTTGATCCAGACACTATAAGGCACCAACGCTTTTACATCCTCTTTGTTGCAAAATCCAATGGAAACTTCTCACCTCACCCTCAGGAAACTCTCCCTCCTTTGACTTCTCTGACCGTACATTCCTGGTTTTCCTTTTTCAGGGAAAAGACCGTTCCTTGAAAGGGAACCGAAGCAGGTTTAGTCAGCTCGGATGAACTTAAGAGAAGAGCAGGGTTAGCCTGCGTTAAAGTGGAGAGGGAAGGACAGAATCAGGTAAATAGAAAGGGACAGCAAATGTGGTGTAGATGACAGAGGCGAGATGTGCTTGAGGAGGGGAAAGGAGGCTTCCCCGCTGGCAGGGATGTGCAGTCGCGATGGCTGGACCAGATTTTGCCTGGACAGTCTTCCTTTGCACCACACTGCTTGAGACAGCACGTACTGTGAGGAAGCTGTCCTGTTGAGGAAGTCCTGCAGGTCCAGCCTTGTGACAACAGCAGCCGTCTGCAGTCCAATTGTTCCGAGCCTCTGTCCCACCTCTTGATGCTGTTAAGCCCATTTTCCCCATAGCCAGACCATGTCATGATTTTTAACATTTTTAGGCATTTCTGTAATTCTTAGATACCTGTGCCATTACATTAGCTATTTTCAATAGCAAGGAACCTGGGGTTGCTATAATGATTCCATGTGCTTTGAAAACATTTTACTATGGGGAGAGAAGAAAGGAGAAAGGTATACAGTAGGCAGCTGTTGATGAGGCTTGTAGGGCATCAAGCTAGTTCCGAGAAGGTGGAAAACATTTGCCTTCTTTTAAATTCTCATCCAAGACAAAACATTCCCTATTTCTTCTAGCTCGGGCTTGATCCTGAGCACTGAGACCAGTCCCCCATAGGGATGGGGAACTTGATGTGGCTTTTGCTCTTTATCTCTGTACTTGGAAACTGGGTATAAGATTGAAATTTTGATTAAGACTTGGTGGACCTTTCAATACTTGAAATGTCATCCAGGTATGAGAAGAGATATACAACAGACCATGTCTGAAGGCAATTAATGGAAAAAATTAAACCATCTGCACTGGCTTTAGTCCATTCAATAAACTAGCTATTACTACACGGTAGATGGCAAAAACCCATAGTTCCTCAATAAGTTTCCCCTTGGAAAATGCCCTTCTAAAATAAATATTGCATTCCAGAGGTCTTAGTACAGTTGTGCTGCTAGAACAAAATACCATAGATGGGGTAATTTATAAACAAGAGAAATTTATTTCTCATTGTTTTGGAGGATGGGAAGTTCAAGATCAAGGTATCAGCTGATTTGGTGCCTGGCAAGGACTATTCTCTCGGCCTTTCAGATGGTACCTTGAACTATGGATCCTCCAGAGGGGATAAATGCTGTGTCTTCACATGGCAGAAGAGATGGAAGGGCAAAAAAGGGCTCAATAATTTGCAAAGCGACTTTTATTAACACCTTAATTTCATTCAGGAGGGATGAGTCCTTGTGACCTAACCAACTCCTGAAGACCACACCACTTAATACTATTGTATTGTGGATTCAGTTTCAACATGAATTTCAAACATTCAAACCATAGCACTAGGTGTTGAGTATAGCCTAGCAGGCGGCTAGGAAGTGAATAAATAGTGATGTCCTCCCGAAGAGACTGAAATTGAAGACTCTGACAGTTTGAATACGTGGCTTCTGCAGTACACAGAAGCCTCAGATAAGAGTGTGTGTCAGTGTTGTTGACATCGTGAGAGTTACTTCACGGAGCCCATTTGAGTTTGAATCAACTGAATGTGCCCTTAGTACCACAAGCTATGCAAGGCACTGTGCTAACTCTTCAGGTGATAATTATAGAGAAGTGCTTCTCAACTGGGTACAATCCCCCCCACCCCCAGGAGACATTTGATAATGCCTCCTGTGAGATATTTTTGGTTGTTGCAATGGAAGTAGGGTAGAGTGTTATTGGCATCTAATGGGTAGAGGCCAGGGATGCTGCTACACATTCTGCACAAGATACACAAGATGGCCCCTGGCAACAAAGAATTACCAGTCAGAGATGTCCGCAGTGCTGAAGTTGAGAAGCCCTGATATAGAGAAAGACCTGGGACCACCGTGGGTGCTGTTGAAAAACAAAGATGCCCACAGCACTCACCAAGCACAGTAAATTAGACTCTCTTGGTGTAGATGCTGCGGCTGGGCACTTTATTGTTTTTAGTTGGTTTTCCTGTATCCCTAAGTTTGAGAACATAAGCTACGGGAAATACAAGGTCACCCTCTAGTAAGAGGAGTAAGGCCTTATTATAACACAACACAGGGCAAGATAAAGGCATGAAGAGAAGAGGTAGTAAATACAGTTGTAACTATGCTGGGGGCCAAGTCCTTGTCTAAGGACTTTACATATATCCACACATTGCCTCATGTGGTGGATTCTATCAAATACTACTGCCCTATTACAGGAAGTCAGCAGAGACCTGAAGAACCCAGGTTACTTGTCTGAGAATGCGCTACCAGGGAGTAGCAGAGCCAGGGTTGAAAACAGTTCCTTTTTTTTTTTTTTTTTTTTTCTGAAACAGAGTCTCGCTCTGTTGCCCAGGCTGGAGTACAGTGGTGCGTTCTCAGCTCACTGCAACCTTGCAATCTCCGCCTCCCGGGTTCAAGCAATCCTCCTGCCTCAGCCTCCCGAGTAGCTAGGAATACAGGCACCTGCCACCACACCCAGCTGATTTTTGTATTTTTAGTAGAGATGGGGTTTCACCATGTTGGCCAGGCTGGTCTCGAACTCCTGACCTCATGATCCACCCACCTTGGCCTCACAATGCTGGGATTACAGGCGTAAGCCACCACGCCCGGCCTTGAAAACAGTTCTAAGTCACTGCATTCAACAGTTACACCATGATGTTGCTTAAAACCGATAAATTGCTTTGGGGACTCAGAGAAGGTCCATGAAGTAAGAGATGCAGGAAGGGAAAAGCTTCAGGGAAAAGAATGCTTTGGAGTGCTGCTAGATTTCATACCAGCAGAGAGTGAGGACCGGAGTGCAGAGCAAATCTGGGCCACTCACAGTCCCTAAACATGACCCCTTCTCCCATCTTAGGTCCTTGCTTGGGTTTTCAAATCCTTAAGGCTCAGTGTAAATACCTTATGGTTAAGAAGAAAAATTTTACTTAGCCTCTTCCTCTTGCAGCAGCTATTTTTTTCTGTTTGTTTTAATTAAAATGATGTGTGAGGGTTTTTAAATCAAACTCAAAACTTCTGCACTGATTATCTTTTATACCATTTACTATTTTCCCACAATTTATTTTAAAAACTTTTTCTAAAATGTATGAATATATGAAACATCTGGTTTTTGTTTGGATTGTCAACTTCCACATACCACATAAAGTATGACGGCATTTCATCTACACTTAAGTGACATAGCATACTGTGGAAATAAGATGTCACCGAAGTCTGGCATCTTACCACATTTTCTCTGTATCAGAATACATTTTCTCGAAATGCTTAAAATGCATGTTGCAGCCACTCTCAATAGGCAGGTTTGTGTAGAGCCCATTTATGCTAAACCATAGTCTTTACTTCTTTCTATTGAGCTTTGAGATGTGAATTCAGTCCTTATTTTAATGTTTGTGATATGGTACATTTTAAAAATAATATTTTATAAATATCATTGTGATAAAGTGTTTACTTCATACATATTCATATTTCACTTTATTCACTGAACCAGGGTTGGGGCTAGGGCTAAGTAAGAGAAAGGCACAATGTTTAAAGAGGCACACAGTCTCAGAATCGTGCAAATGTCAACCATACACTTGCCCAAGCCTGAGAATGATTGTCTCCTTAAATGGTGCACCCTAAACACCTACCTTGCCCCACTCTAGTCTTGGTTCTGCATTAATGCATGTTTATTAAACACCTATTATGTGCCATACAAGAGGAACGGATGAGACAGCCAAGCTTCCAACCCTTGGAAGTTTACATTCCTAGAAGTAGTTTTAACTTGATTAAATTTGAATTACAGCTAATTTTTTAGACACTGCCACCTGGTTGAGACAAAGTCATTCTATTTCCCTTTTTCTCTGCCCTATTCCACTTTCTACTGGGTAGGCACAGGAACCAGTTCTAGCCAAAGGGACCCAAAGGAAAGTGCTGAGAGCTCTGGAATATCTCTCTCATCTCTTTTGCCTTCCTTGTGCCTTGAGTGAGGATGTGATGTCCAGAGCTATGCCAGCCTCTATGCAATCATGAGGGAAGGGCCAAGGGAATCATATCCATGCCAACTTAGAGCCCTGACATCATCGAGCTGCTGAACTAATGTTGGCAACTTCTTGACTTCACGATCCTGTCTTGTAAGAAACATAATCTCTTTGTATTATCTGTTTAATCTGTTGTTGGTCAGGTCTTCAGTCACTTGCTGTCAAAAATATTCCTAACTGATACAGACGGCAAAAAGCTTATTCCTGCAATGTTTGGGCTGACCCTAAATATTGACCTTTAGCTGGGTAAAATAACTAGCAATCCAATGTGAGAAGAGACTCAACTACCCCTGAGACTCATGAGGAGAGAGAAAGTCACTCTATTATAACCTCTTCTCTCAGTAGAATTTTGTCAAGTAACAGCCTCTCCAGCACTTTTGACTATGAAAGAGAGCAAAATAAACAGCTTAGCATAATATTCAAGAACCCATGTAACTGACACAATGTGTTACAAAAAAAAAAAAACAAGGTTTAATAAAATACAGAGGCCCCAAGGTTGTAGGGTCCTTGTCATAATAAGCATCCACTGGGAATGTCAGGGGGCATTCACTCTCCTAATAGCTCTCTCCTTGCTGTCTTCTCCATCTTGCTTTTTTTCCCTTTGCTGTGCCTTGAGTCTCTGGGGTTTTTACAAAGAAATAACTTACAATGTATTCTGAGTTAGGTCAACCTGCTCGATGCAACATCTTAAAGAAACAGAGTAAGAAGCTACCTAAACTATGCAAAGGTAAGCAAAGAGTTAGCTGAATTGCAATATAGAGAAATAAATAAATAAAACCAAGACAAAAGAAAAGTAAAACTTCGGTTGGTTTCAGTGTTTATGTGCTTAAGACCAACCAGGTAGCTTTCAAATATTCCATTTTTGCCATGAAGTCATGACCTCAGACAATTGTTTCAAACCCACTGCAAGGACAAAGCCCAACTGGTACATCTTCTATCACCCTTTTAGATGCAAGTAAAGACACAGCTCTGGTGGACATTTGCCCTTTTGCAGCCATTAGTCATGAAAATCACTTAGTAACTATCTTGCAGTCCCTTAGAATGAATGCTTCTTTTGGAGTCATTTGTCTATTTTAATGTTTATTTTATGGCCACCTAGAAATCTAGTCAATTATTTGTATCCTAGTTGTTCTTAACTGATACTTCCAGAAAACCAAAAAGTGTTAAGGGATAGAAATCCAATGTCATAGTGCCAACATCAGCGTAAATCAGTGTATCAGTTATAAATTGTGTCCAGCGACTCATAATAGAAACAGGTCATATCTCTGAAAATGATAGAGATTTACTTTACTCTCATGTAAAAGAAGACTGGAAGTGCTTCAAGTAGTCATCAATGTTTCCAGACTCTACTCAAAGTTACCTAAAGATACATAATATTCCTACATAATAGCCATAGCAGCTCCAGCTATTATCTCCACACTCCAAGCAAAAGAAAAGAAAAAGGGCAAAAGGCAAGAAGGATGCTCTTCCCAGCGAAATCAGCTCTTTCTGAAGTGGTTCCCAGAAGATTCACCCAATTCCTTCTATGTAAATCTTATCAGCCACTCCAAAGGAGTCTGGGAAACCTGATTTTTGGCTGAATAATTTGCCACCCCTAAGGTTCTGTTTATAAAAAAGAAGACAGTGGCTATTGAGTAGGCACCTTACAGTTTCTGCCTCAGTTGGCAGAAGAAATATTGTTATTCCAGAAAGTAAGAGTGTGAGCATGTCTAAATCAGCTTATTTCACAAAACTATGTGGAGCATGAAGCTTTCTAAACATATGGAGCAACCGGATCACTCTGATGCAGAAGACTAAGGAAAGCCCTAAGGGCAGACGTCAACACATTGATGATTTTTCCCTTTTCACCTCTGTTCACCCAAACCAAATAAGGCTCACTTTTCCACGGGCAGTTATGAAGGATGCCCTCAGTGCAGGCAAACATAACCTAAAATAATCTAGGCCTGGGACATCAGACCACACCAAATGGACCAAATTTGGCCCTCCACCTGGTTTTGTAAATAACATTTTACTGGAAAACAACCACATACGTGTATTTCTATATGGTCTGTGGCGGCTTTCACATTACAACTCAAAAGTTAAATAGTTGCATCATAGACCTTCTGGCCCATGAAACCTAAATTTCCTACTCTCTGGCCTTATATAGAAACACTTTGCTGACCTCCGGGACTATGCAAAAGATAAGAACAACAGTAATAGGAAACATTTACTGCACACTTACTCTGTCCCATGTTCTCTGCTAAAAGGGTGGCCTGTGTTTTGCAAGTTTTTCAAAGTCAGTTTGTTTAGAGCAGAAAATTTGTCTGGTATAAAATAAGTCTTGATAACAATTCTTATAGGTTACAGACATAGCTATATCCACTTTTTACAAAATAAGGAAACTGAGGTACAGAGAGATTTGGAGGTTGTCTCAGTTCACAAATTGGTAGAAAAACCAAGATTCTGAGCAGGGCCTGTTGCATCTGCCAGTCCCCCAGCAGCCTTTTGTAAATTATCCACAACATCTCAGAAAATGTTCATTTTTTAAACAGGAAACCCCTGTGGTCACCACAGGGCACTCATTTATAAAAACTGGGTCAAGCTTATTAGCAATATTGAGTCCAAAGCACACTAAGTAAGAAGGACTGATGCTGTTTGTTACTGAAGAGCATTTGCCTGCTCCTCCCTCGGTGTGAAGAACTCCTGTCCAAGCTAGAGGGGTAACTGCAGAGGGGACACACACTAAGCAGAACTTCCAAAGAAAGTAAGAAGAGCTGTCATCCACCTCTCAACAGAGAACTGTCCTGCTCTCTCAAACTACACTTTTTAGTTTGGGAAATTTTAATTCTATTTGACTTCAGGTTACAAGAAAATATACAAGAATTTTAAAACTATTCTCAGACTGCAGGAAAAACAAGATGCTGAGTGGCAATGGAATTATGGCTAAAAATGTGGGAGACAATCTGCTCTAAAGAATATCATAAATTGAACAAGTGTTCATGGGATTGAGAATCCCGTGAGAAGCCAACACGTGGCCATTTCTACAGTTCAGTGTCTTGTAATGCCATCTTCTCCCAAATGCCATTCTGTTGACTTCTGAAATATAGAAAACTGCTCTTGTGAACCTTGATATGTTTTCTTTATACAAAGCTGTCTGATATCAGAATAAAGAGCAACATGTTACAAGGAAAATTCTTATTTCATTCATCCAGAGATTAAAGCAATGGTTGAAGCCAAAAGTGTTATTCCACGAGCTAAACACTCCCACTCCTTGCTCTTGAGCACCTCACCACCACCTCCACAAGTTACAGCAGACGTTGGCCCTCTTGGGACCAAGCATACCTTCCATCCAGACACCCAGATTTTCCTCTATTCCTTATTCAATTATAAGCCTCCTCATCTTGATCAACTTCTGAACAGCAATCGTCACTGCTGAGCTGAATATTGTTTGCCTGTGTGCTTCTCCTGATCCATTCCCCACCCACATCTGTGCTACAAGAGGTCGACCTCCATAAACTGTGTTAACCACACTTCCTTGCTTGCTGGCTTCCAGCTGGATTCCACCACTGGGAGGCATCAGTAGAAGATCAGAGGAGAGGAGGAGATAGAGGCTGGAGTATTTATTTCCCCAGCTTCCTTTCTGCCAAGCCACAGTTTTTCAGTGACCATATCCTTCACCAAAGGCAGCCCTCCCTACAGAAATGCTTTGATTGAGATATGAAAACCACTCCTCCTTTTGCCCCTTTAAGGCTATGGGTAACACCTTTCTTGTCCCTTCTGACTGTGGCATTGCTGGGTGTCTCATTATGCTTTCTCTATATTCCTTATTCCTACCCACACTTCTGTGAATTGTCCTTCATTAAACTCTTTTCTGTTACTACCTTTGAATGTGCCATCAATTTCCTGCCAAGACACTGATTGGTACAATATCTTTATCCTGGATGGTATCTGATTTTGCATAAGGAAACCTACCCCTCTTGCAGTCTTCTCAGATGAAAGCACCTCTTACCCCAAATTCTAAGTATTAAGGAACCTCACAGATTTTAAGATGCACCCTGTCACCTCCACATCATGACCTATATCCACATCCTTCTTTGAAGCACAGCCTAGCTGGACAAACTTCCTATGTTTCTCTTTGGTTCTGTCAGTTTATAAATCACTGACACTCTGAATGTTGCCTCAGAGATGTACTCTCCATTTCAAGTGGTGTCATCAATCTGGGAAAACCCAGAGCTCATCTAGACAATCCATCCAACAGGCAGCTATGAAGTTCCTGGAGCTCCTTGATTTCTACCAACTCAACTCCATCTGTTTGTTGTCTCGGCATTCCCTCCCAACCAAATCTGGTCTCCTCTGAAAGTCCAAACTTCTTTTTTTTTTTTTCTGAGACAGGGTCTCACTCTGTTGCCCAGGCTGGAGCGCAGTGGTGTCATCATAGCTCACTGCAGCCTCAATCTCCTGGGCACAAGTGATCCTCCCACCGAAACCTCCCGAGTAGCTAGGACTACAGGTGCACACCACAATACCCAACTAATTTTTTCTTATTTTTAGTAGAGACAGGATCTTGCTATGTTGCCCAGGCTGGTCTTGAACTCCTAAGCTCAAGCAATCCTCCCACCTTGGCCTTCCAAAATGCTGAGATTACAGACATGAGCCACGGTGCCCAGACTGAAAGTTCAAAATTCAAGATTGACTTTATCTGCAGTGTTCAGTTCCATTATTCCAACTTGCTTCTGACCTTATGGTACCTCCAGACTTTTGGCCCTACATTTTCACCCCAGCCATTACCTACCTCATTCTCCCTTCTGGATCTACTTCCTTTCTTATCCATTTTACACACTCTGCGCATCTTTCTGACCATCTGGTACCAGTGCCTCCCTTCTTGACCCTCATTTTTCAACCTCCCACCATCTCAGAATAATAGCTAACTTGGTTCAATTTGCCCATGTTCCATGTACTTAACGGCAGACTGAAGTGCAGCTGAATAAACCCACATGCCAGCATGGACAGGTGTCACTGTATTTATTCTTTAACCACAGCTAGGCCTTCTGCAACACACAACTCAACTTTTATATGATGTTGGTCAGGTTCTTATTCCAGTCTCCTCAGAGGCTAATCCAAACTTTTGCCACTCCAGACCTTGCCTTGAAAGACCCAGAAAAAAATGGAACCACCAGTTATGAACAAATTCACATCATCCTCCTCCAAATCTATAAAAGTATAGCGCTCTAAGGGCATCCTGACTTCATCCTCCCTCCTCCCTCCTCCAAGAGATTGCTGAACTTCCTCCCATCTAAGGATGCCCTCTCTACCTGCAACACAGAGGCCTACCCCTCTAAGATTCTCAGCCATCAGTTATGCCCTTTTCCTCCTCTCCAGCAGCTCCTTCTTTTAGTTCATGAATCCGCTGTGGTCCCTCAGTCCTGGACTCCCTCTAGCTATCACCCCTCAAAGTCAAACTATTTTAAAGAATTTCCAGATTTTCTACTTTCTCATGCCCCATTCATACTTCGGTCCATTTCAATATGGTCTTCACCCTGTCATTCCAACAAATATACTCTTCAATAAGTCATTGCTAACCTGATTGCCAACTTCAACAGTCATTAGCCCTTAGTTCACTTCTCCAACTAGTTGACTATTGGTCATTCTTCCTTTTTAACACCCTTTCTCTCAATGGCTATAAATCTAACTCCCTGTCTCTCCTCCTCCCTCTTGGATCTGTCCTATTTTGTTTCTTCCTTGTCTTCACCTGCTTCTTAAGTGCTGTTTCTCAGGCTTCAGTTATCTTTCTCTTCTCACTATTCCACTATCTTATGGCAATCTCAGTCATATCCCCTGATACAATGATGACTAACAAATCTTTATTCCAATGTAGGCACTCTCTGGAGCCAGATTTCTCACAAAACATGTGCACTTGGATGACCTACAGACACTTTCAGTTTAATGTTCCAGAGCCAAATTCATTACCTATCTTCCTTACTCTTTGCTTCAGGAAACAGCAATACCATTTACCTGGGTCATTAACTGACCATTATCCTAGACTCTTCCTAACCCTTTACATCCAAATAGCAGCTAAGTCCTATAGAGTTTCACTACCTTGACACATCCCGCATTTCCATTCCCTCATCTCCATTGCCATGGATACTGACTCAGCCTAGGACATGGTCACTTCTCATTTCCACCATTGCAAATGTCTCCTAGTTGGTTTCCTGCCCCTAGCTTTGCCCTCTGTACTTTGTCTTTCAAAAGACTGAGCAATCTTTAGAAAATGAAAACATGAACTTCATGATATAGTTTAAGACCCTTTGATGGTCCCCCATTGCATACAGGTAAAATGAAAGTTCTTAGCATTGAATTCATGCATTGGCCTTTCCTATGTCTCCAGCCATTTCTAGTAATTCTCCATCCGTTCAAAATCTATCCTGCATCTCTACTCACTCACATTCCCCAAACACACCATAGCATTCTGTATCTCTGTGCCTTTGTACATGTAGTCACACTTGCAGGTACACCTTCTTTTTCCTGTTGGCCCAGAGAAGTCCCACCCATCCTTCCATGATCATGTGGTGAAGTCCAAATAGCATTCACATTGCAAGACAATGTAATTCGTTTTCGAATTACTTGCCCTGCTAGACAGACTATAAGGTCCTTACGAGGTAGAGCTGTATCCTTTGCATTTACTATCACCATATCATCAGGGCTTAGCAGGAGGCTATTTTATTGCTATTAGAATTTATCATTGTCATTGCTATTGGGTAATTTTTATCAGAATATAAATACAAATGTATGCCTGAAATTCAAATCTCAATATTTAAAACTTTCAATAACAAAATAGATTTTTGTGGTTGTAGGATTTGAGGAAAAAATAAGTCAAAAAAAAAAAACAGGTAAGAATTTCATCTACTTAATATGGTTTAAATACTCCCCAGACTGAAGGCAATAGAGATGGCTGCCTGGGTCATTGGTGTTGTCCTTTAATGAGAACGTAAAGGACCCCCTCAAGTCTCTGATGAATCAAATCAACTATTTGATATAATTTTGAACAAGCCATGTATGTACACTTTAATAAGCATCCTGATTTTTATTCTGATTCTCAGTTGTCAGTGTATAGCAGAAATAGCATAAGTTTAAGTATCAGACAAAGCAAGGTCTGAATGAAAGTTGAAATGTTTTATTGCTTTGTGACTTGGAAATGCTGAACCTCCCTGAAGCTCAGTTTTATCAGTGGTCATCAGGATCGTTAGAGCAATTCACCCAAACCCTTCACACTCAAATACCTAGTACCTAATGACTGCTCAGTAATGTTTACTTCCTTCCCCTTTACTGAATGAAATTTATTTTTGTGCATTTTTATCTAAGCATTTTTTTTGCAAAGATTACAAAAATCTTTCCCAGTACCAAGCTCTTTCCTCTTGCACTGACAGCCTAGTGATGGCTTCTCTAGTCCAAGAACTCTCAAAAGACTTTTAGATTTTCTTTTTAGAGAGTAACATCTACTGTCTTCTTTTCTCAGCTAAGACATACCAAGAAAAAAAAAAACATTAAATCATAGAATAGATAAAAACATTGATTTACCTTAAATGCTAACCTTTTGCCACCAGTTGCTTCGAACTGAAACTATGGACGCTGTCTCCTGCATCTAGGAAAACTGGTCCCTCCCAAGCCACCTTAGCCTCCTCCCTCTTACCTGTCTTCCTCAGGGGCCCTGGTCCACTCTCTTAGTATTAATTGGAGGACCTGGGATCACTGCTGCAGATTCACAGCCTGATTGGCTCAGCTCACTGTCAATCTCTACTCTGGTTCTGCCTTTTCTCAAGTTTACACTCCTGTTGCCTAGGAAATCTCAGTGACTGTGAAAGCTCAAGCCATTTGCACTGGGAGAGAAGCCAGCCAGAAGTTTTGCTGGCAATGGTTTGGTTTCTAGAACAGCATCAAAACTTGTCTCCCATGTTTTGTAAGGTAGTATTCAGCACATTGTCTTCTTTCTTTTAGGCAGCACCTTCCTGTCCTTCTGTAGTCCCCAGAAAGCTTACTGCTAGGGTGCCTCATTGCCAGGTGATACTTAAAACCACAACTCTTGGGAGCAGGCAGGGGTAATTATAGGTGATTCAAGGTTCTCCCTCCTTCTCTGCATTTGCAGAGGATGTCATTTCTGCTGTTTTCATCCTTGGTTTCTTCTCTTCTTTTCTCTTTTTGTTTCTTTTTACTTATGTTTTTCACATGTTCCCTAGCAGTTACTTTGCCAGATAAGAAGAAATCTAGTGGCTTATTTGGAGGAAAATATCTACACTATGCTCTCTTTCATTGTGTATCTATGACATCCACCCTATCCTTGTCATTCCCACTCCTGCACGTCCTGCTTTCAGGAGCAGGCAGGTATAATTAGTGGTGATTCAGACCTTACACCTCTCTCTTTCTCTCTCTCTCTCTGACACACACACACACACACACACACACACACACACACACACACACACACATCTCTGTATATAACATAATCCTGGCTGTGTGCAACATCCTTGCAGTATAAGAACTCACAAAACGGAATAGATGCCAGGCACCCAGCTCTGCAGACTACTAGGCAAGTTCTTTCATGGATTTGACAAGGGCTTGGGTCCTTTGCTATATCTGCAGGGAGTATACATAGTAGCTATTTCATCCTTTTATCTGAATTGTCTGAAGAATTGTCCCAGAATTAAGCAATTAGAACTGTGGTTCTTCCAGGGCAACCTCAGATGTCTAATGTTTTCTTTTCAGTGGTTTAACCCACAAGATATCACGCATTTGAAACTTTTAAGAAGAAACTTAATTTCATCTGTGAATGCAGAAGCAAATATGAGGGCATGGGCATTTAAATATGAAGTATTTCTTGAAAGCCACCTACTGGAGAGTAAGTTTGGTGCAATAATTTAAGAAAAGATAAAAAAGAAACAGGAAAATTGGGACAACGGACAGCATGATGGAGCCACCGTGCAAGCCCTCAATAGTCTGCCTCCAGGTTGTGTCAAATAAAGTAAAAAGAACAAAATCTCTGGAGTACTTAAGCAATGCTTTTGCTTGTTTCCACTGCTAGCAACTGGTGTAATTCCAAGGGTTTTACCAGTTCAAAAAACTGGATCTGGGTTTGTGGTATTGGGTTTCTGACAATCAATATAAAATATTGATTATATTTTAAGGCATAAGTACTCTTTCCAGTGGTAAAGAAGACAATGATAGTCTATGGTGTAATACGGTAAAAAGATTTGTAAAATATTACTACTGGATTCCTAATCAAATATTCATAAATGGCAAATCTCTAGGTAATCATGATAGCTTAAAATATTTTAGTCAAACTAATAAATGTAATGAGGATGACTGCTTGTAACTGTGGTAGACAAAGTAAAGAAAAATGATGAACTCAGGGCTTGAAATTCCAAGTTCAAGCTCCACATAAATGATCTGAAACCTTCTATGTCTTCCTGGAGGAACGTACTTATCTCCCATTGTCATCAGCCTGAGGTTTCAGAAAATCAAATCTGGAGTCTCATCCTGAGAGTGGCAGAATTACAGTGCAAATTGAATTCCCAACCAGGCAAAGTATCTTCTGCTAAACTGAGGGAATTGATTAGGAAGGAATGAGATTCTGAAAATCGGAATGAAACCTGTAGGGTAGATCCTGATGAAGCTGAGGACACTTAACCTCTAAATTCTCCTGCATCTTCTTTGCCAGTAGGAGCAACCCTGCTATTCATGTCTGAGAAGGTTCATCCTGATTTTTCAAAGGAAAGTGTACTAGCACCTCTGAGGTATTTTAACTGGAAGACACTGCTGATTATCCTCAGAACCTACTTCCACCAAACCTCTTGGCTTGTAGAACTATATCATCTATATCTATATCTATATCTATATCTATCTATATCTATATCTATCTATATCTATATCTATAAATAAGACTCTAGTCCCAACAGGCTTGAAAGAGAGATTAAAATTGCGAACCAATGGGAGACATACTACATTCCAAAAGTAATGCGTATTTTTTCAATTTATACAGACAGAAATCTGGTGAATACATGTGAGAATGTAAGTTAATAGTGTGAAATAATGGTAGAAGGAACATAAAGTTGACTCAAGGTGAATTTATTGATACAGGCCCACAAAGCACAAATTCTCAATATAGAGTTGCAGCTCGATGGGTTTGGTTGAGTTAAGGATGAAACAAAGGGTGGCCTACGCTAAATGAAGCTGAAATACCAGAATTACCTTGGGACACTGAAGAGGAAGGTATCTAAAGGCTTAGGGAGACTGAAATGTTGGACTGGATTTATCACGCAAGACCTGATTACTAAGGGAAATTGAGTTGCTACTACACATTGATGTAAAGAGTAAGCCTTAAAAGGAACAAAATCATGTGATTTGCAGGGACACGGATGGAGCTGGAAGCCATCCTCAGCAAACTAATGCAGGAACAGAAAACCAAATACTACATGTTCTCACTTATAAATAGGAGCTGAATAATAAGAACACATGAACACTCGGAGGGGAACAACACACACTGGGGCCTGTCACAGGGTGTGGGGAGAGGAGGGAGAGGATCAGGAAGAATAGCTAATGGATGCTGGGCTCAATACCTAGGTGATGGGAGGATCTGTGCAGCAAACCACCATGGCACACATTTACCTGTGTAACAAACCTGCACATATACCCCAGAACATAAAATAAAAGTTGGAAAAAGAGTAGCGAATACTATGTTTTCATCTTCTTTGTAGCACTTGTCACAGCTGCAATCATTTCGTTGGTTTACTGTTATAGGTCATTAAAAAGAAGAGTAAGCCTGGAATAAAGGAACTCTGTTAACACATCACTAATTATGCCCATGCCCTTTTATTAAAGTCAACAAAAAATCTACAATAACCCAATTCAGTAAGGAAAACTAATAACCCCAACTCTTCAAGAATGAATATTTGGGTCCCCTTCCCAATCAGGCAAAAAGTCAATTGCGGTACTTGCTGAGGGCAAAGGTATATGAAATACAAATGCTAGCTATCACCATATGATCAGTTGCAAAAGGATTGTAAATGTTTTGAGTATTTACCTTGTATTTTGTTATGAATTTGTGTGTGTAGAATACTATCGTATTCTTCTCACTTTATCTCCTTAAAATCTAATATATTACTTCACAGTATTTATGTTACAGAATATCAAGAATAAGAGTGAACATCACCCAAGGACCTCCACTCTGGGGAAGAGTTAGTATATTCCCAGTATGCTATAGAAGAGTTGTATAAAACTGTGTTTTTTGACATATGCCATTGTACCTAGTTATTAAATCAAAACCTAATCTATGTGTTGCTCTTATGTTATTTTTTAGACGTGATTAATATCTGCAATAAGTTTCTTTGAAGATATTCTGCCTCAGGACTGGAATATCAGTTCCCACCCAAGAGTTTCCAGCCTGCTGGCCTGCTCTACAGATTTCAGATTGCCAACTCTTAAAATTCCAAAATCATTTATGCCAATTCCTTGAAAAAAAAAGGTACCTTACTGCTCTGTTTTAATGAGGAACCCTGACTGATAGACTTTGCAAAGGAATTGGCTCTATCTTCAACAAAAACTATGGAGTGGTTCCAGCCTAAGAGAACTCAAACAGAAAAAAACAAAGAAACGGTGGACTTAGCTGTGAAAGGCAGTTGGTAGGCGATGGGTAGATTCATTGGAGATACAAGTGAAACTGTAGGGTGACTAACTTGCCAGAGGAAACTGGGAAAAGAGACAGCTGGGAGGGGCCCTTCTTAGGTCCGAAAAAAATCTCAAACATTGTCTTTAAAAACCATCTTTTTAAAGGAATCTGAATTTGGTTGGATCAACCTGTTTTATACTAGATCATTGATAAAAACAATATGGCAATCAGCCGATGATTACTAGACCTAAATCCAGGGATGGTCGGATAAAAGAAAATCACAGTCAAGCCACAACATTCTGTCCCTGCCCTCCAAAAACTCATGTCCTTATCACATACAAATACATTCATTCCAACCCTCTAATTCCAAAGTCTTAACTGGTTTCAGCATCAACTCAGTAGTCCAAAATCCAGAGTCTCATCTGTGAACCTGTAAAATCAAAATAAGGTAACAACTTCTAAGATACAATGGTGATACGGCATAAGACAGACATTCCTATTCCAAAAGTGAGAAAGAGCACCCTTCCATGCTCCCTTTCCCAACAAAAGTAACAGGCTCCAAGTAAGACCAAAACTCAGCAGGCAGACATTAAATTTTAAAGCTAGAGAATAATCTCTTTTGACTCCATGTGCCACCTCCTGGACACACTGGGCTAGGATTGAGCCCTCAAGGCCTCAGGCAATTCCACCCCTATGATTTTGCTTGGTGCAGCCCACATGACAGGGGTTTGTGGAGGTATGGGGGAAAGCCAGGAGAAAACAGCCTAGGAAACAAGAAGTGAAATAGTGAACACATGAAGATAAGCTTCACCAGTTCTTCCATTTCACTTTGGGTAAGCCCCAGCCCAGGTACCTATATTCCAACTGCCCAAATCCCTGATCTGTGGCAATCTTCCACCAAAGATTTCTTCTCTGACTCGTGGTCTCCATGTCAGTGTGATGAGCTTCTTCTCTGTGCTCAGACATTAGGCATGTCTTATTCCAAGATACATGTTGCATTCTAATCAGAGAATTTATGGAGATACTGTGTCCAAAAGAAATAACTGCATTGGTGGAAAATATGGTACAGAGCTGTGAATGTGAGTTGAAGGATTCTTGATGGACAACCAATCAGGGCTATTTCTGGGATCCTTCACTTTGGAATTTTATGTTACTTTAGGAAATAGAAATATAGGAGCTAAAGGGTGAGTCCAAGAAACTTCCATTGGAGGGAGAAATATGTAGTCAACACTTACAGCCAAAATCCTTGAGATTGAAATGTATTAGGTTGGTGGAAAAGTAATTGCGGTTTTGCCATTACTTTCAATATTTGGCAGGATGTTTCTTATTTGGGGCCTGAATTTTGTGCAAAGTTAAATTAGGACATTCAGGAAAATTGTGGGATTGTTCTAGAATGGGCGACGTCCTAGTCTCTCTTGCAACTGTTAGTTGCAAGAGAGACTAGGACGTCGCCCATTCTAGAACAATCTTGGCATCCTAAGGAAAGAAAAGTTTGATTCTCAGGAGAGGTACAAGTTCCATCACACTAATGTGTCAACCTTACATAATGACATTTAGAAAACATGATTAGGTATAGAGTTTATTCAAGTGCAAAACTTGAGGATGACCACCCAGAAAACACTGACTCCAAACAAATGGGGTCAGTGTTCTGAAATGGAGAAGTTAAGATTTCACTTAAAAGGTAGGAACAGAGAAGTTTTAGCAGTATTACAACATTTGCCATACAAGGCCAGTGTATACATTACAGCGATTTGATTGTTTACAGATTGCTACATCCCCAGGAAGATTACTTTGTTACTGCTTAAGAAGGGGCTAGGACCTGAGGGAGTCTTATCTCTGGCACCTCTTGGTCTTCCTAATTATCACAGAAGAATAAGGAAGGAGGTTAATCTATAATCAGAGAAGCATAAATTGTAGCTGCATGCTACTTGACTGCATGCTGTGTAACTCACATTCCTCTCAAGGCTCAGAGTAAGTTAAAGTTTCAACAGCTCTAAGTTTGAATCATTTAATTTTACATATGTCTTCTCCTAAACCATGCTTCAACATGGGCTTTTTTCTTGAATCTAAGAGTCTTGGCAGCAGAGAAAGCCAGATCAGGAAAGAAGGTATGGCAATAGCCAAAAATTAGAAGCAAGTGTTATTTGGGAGCTGAAGTCCCATAGCCATTGGATTCGAAGTGGAGGCTGTGGTGCTAGAGAAATAGTGTGTATCTGTGGGAGTGACTATTTTTAACACCCACACTTGTGTGGTCTGAGGTAATAAGGAATATATAAAGTGAAAATCCCCTACCCCTCAGACTGCCTGCTCTTACTTGCATTTTATCCATGTAAGAAGCAGAGAGAAGGGGTGACCACACATGCATCCATTCATGGTGGGTCTCGAGCCAGAGTGCATTCTAGGACAAACCCTGGGATTTTAGCACCTCACAAACCACATCAACTCCCTCTTGAAGTCTGAGGCAGGGAAACGTGTAATTGAAGAGATGAGCTTTTAATTTCTCCTAATGATCAGGAAAAAAGAACACGCAAAAAAAGATTAACACGGAGTCACAGCTTTCTAAAACTGCTTTTGTTGTTGTTGCTTTGAGATGGAGTGACACTCTGTCGCTCAGGCTGGAGTGCAGTGGCACAATCTCGGCTCACTGCATCCTCCACCTCCCGGGTTCAATCGATTCTCCTGCCTCAGCCTCCCGAATAGCTGGGACTACAGGCATACACCACCACGTCCGGCTAATTTTTGTATTTTTAGTAGAGACAGGGTTTCACCATATTGGTCAGTCTAGTCTCAAACTTCTGACAGGTGATCCAGCCACCTCGGCCTCCCAAAGTGCTGGGATTACAGGCGTGAGCCACCGGGCCTGACTCGGAGTAAGGAATCTTGATTCAACTCCTCATGGGCCATTAGGAAAGCTGGGTGCGCTCTTGCAAACGGTGCCTGCATTTCCTTAATCCTTAGTATCCCCCTTAGGAAAACAAAAGGGAAAGGCCGAATTAAATGAACTCCTTGGTTTCATCCAGCTCCAGGAATCCCAGATTCTCAATGATCTTAAACTGATCTAAGAGAGAGCCCACCGTCCTTTCAGGATGGGCTTAAGAAGGGTCTTGGGGAGCTCCCTCCTTTCCCTTGATATATTTTCTCTTTTATCTTCTATTCCTTTGGGGGTAAAAGTAAAAGAAATAAAAATAGGGGCACAAAATGCAAAACTAACTGCCCCACTTATCCTTCAAAACCTTTCCAGGAGCTTGAATGAAAGATAAAAGGGCTTCCAAAGACCCAATTGTCCAGGGGTCCTCTCGTCGCCCCAGTCAGTTCTCCGGATTTCCTTTGGACGAAAACAACCCCAATTTGCTGTGACACGCCCAGGAGCACGTTTCCTCGGTCTTTAAGAGCCTGAAAATGCTTGCTACAATTTCTATTGACAGCTACCGTGCACCCCCTTAGAAGAAACGAATGAGCAACGAAACGTCTATCCAGCACTGAGGAAGGAGGCCCGGGGCGAACGTATTGGACTGGGAAATTAAATGCTGGCTCCAGCCTTGCGCGACGCAGCGCACGTCCAGAGCTGGAGAGAAGAAAGGAAACTTCCGTTTTCTCCAGAACTGTCTTTTCCACCCTTGGTTAGAGGCCCTTCTTGGCTCCACGGCCCCTGCCAGCCTCTCTCTTCCTTTTCCAGCCCGAGACACCAGCCCAGCGTGGAAAACTACCTGGATGACCCTCTGACAGAACTGCCAGTGCCCATGCGCGGTGCCTGGAACATGCTTGTCTCTGCATTTTCCCGCCAAGCACTCACCCAGTGTCGATGCTGTCAGGATTTTGGCAGCCTCTGAGAGCAGAATCCCAAAGAGAAGGAAGCCCACTAGGAGCAGAGCCCAGCTGCCCAGCCATGCGCACTCCTGCAGAAGCCCCAGAACCCAGCCCTTAGGCTGTGTGCTCTGCACACGCTTAAGGGACCCTGTGCACCAAAGGCACTGTCTATAGGCTTGAGAAGAGGTAGGAGAGGAGAGCCTGTCTATCTTCTCTTCTGTCTGTTCCCTCTCACCCTCTGCCCCTTCTTACTCAATTCATGATCAGTTAGATACCCTATTCTCACTCTCCCAAACCAACGGCAGTGGAAAGGGGGGATTGGTGAACTGAACCCTGAACCCTGCCCTAACCATGTAAGCACCACTCTCCCCTCCTGGAAATCAGTATGAACCAAGAACACTAGGGACCCTAAGAAATCACGTGGATGACAGCTGCAGCTTGAGGTGACGAGAACCCATCTCCCTTTTATGGATCCTTCCTTGACCTTATGGTGCCACACTTCCTTTCTTATTCTGATGACCTTGTCAAACCCAAATAGCTTACATTGAGAGACGCTCTCTCTAAAAGAAACCTTTTGGAGACCTTCTTTAAAAGAAATGGTCATTCCAGTGGGAATACACATGGGCATATTCAGGGAGATAAAGGAAGACAATAAGGCTTTTTAAATGAAAAATGAAGAGGGTTACACAGGTCATTTTTAGACAATTATCCTTGGCTAGAAGCCTCAATAACAAGGGTGACATCAGTCCAAGGTAGGATAGGCAGTTGCTGGACAGATATCCTCACAGAAGTATTCTTTTGTGTAAGGGTGCAGTGGCCTAACCAAGGTTGTAGTTTTTACAGTCTTACGTAATAGTTCTTGTTATTAGGGATACTGTGTGAGAACCTCCCTTCACCGCCTTCCCTGGCTCCACTGATCAGGGTTTTAACACAGGTAACTCCATTTTGATTCTGACAACTTTCGTAACCTTATACTGACATCCCTATGCTTCATTTCCCCCGATACCTGCATAAAATTTCTAGCTAGTGTCGCAAGCTCAAGAACTCTGGAAGCCAATCCCCAAAAGATAATGATCTACAAAGGGGAAATGGCCTACGATTATTACTCAGGCAGCCTCCTTAGAAGATATCATATCCATAAAATGATTCTAGTGTCCAAACGGGTTAAGCCCCCTTGTATTTTCATTTCTTCATTGAAAGCATAAGTCTCTAAAGTTTACATTATAATCCTGAATAAGTATAAAATAGAATTGGTGCTTTTTCCACAGTCTTCTCAGGGACAATTTGAAGACAGCCTACAATTTTACCCCCTTGAAATGTCAGCCCTGGCAAGGGGTGGGCACACTACTCCCAAATATCATCTTTGCATTCCCCATCCTCAATATAATGCTGCCTTTAATAAAGGATTTCAGTGCAATTCTCAAACAGGCAGAGCCAGGCACCATAGCATGCACCTGTCATCCCAGCTACTCAGGAAGCTGAAGCATGAGGATGGCTGGAGCCCAGGAGTTTGAGGCCAGCCTAAGCAACATATTGAGATCCTGTATCTAAAAAACAAACAAACAACAAAATGACAGAGAAAGTCCTTCAATGCCTACACGATAAAGTGGGCCCTTGAATTCTGCTTTGCACTATTACATATCTTCTGTCTATAAGCCTTTTTTTAAAAAAAAAATCTGAATTTAAAGTATTGCATCCTTAGACATTTCTGCAACACAACCATGTCCATTGGTCACTGAGGAGCTGGTGCAGAGGGCAGGGGTAGGTCTTTACCAGGCATCACAAGGCTCCAGCCCATTTAGTATTTTTGGACCTCCAATAATGCATTAGCAAACAGAGAATTTGTTTTCTCATCCTAAACTTATTCTTTAACTCAACAAGCATACTAATAGGTAATCATCTGTGAGGCACTGTTTAGTTGCTGCACGGAGTGCATTGAACAACAAAGACAAAACACCTGCCTCCCAGAACTTACATCCTTGTGGGGGAGTCAAATGATAACAAAATAAATAAATCAAATATGTGGTGTGTTGGTGATAAATAACATGGAAGGACACATGAAGGGTGGGGTATCAGGGTGATTCAACTGAACTCTTAAAAATCTCATATCCCTGTCAGAGAGTTCTGAACAATGAGTATTTGATATTAAGAGGTTACTGTTGATTTAAGGATGTGTTATAATGTTACTGTGGTATGGAAAAAGAGAGACTCTCAGAGATACATTCTAAAATATTTACCGATGAAATGCTATGATATCTGGAATTTGCTTCAAAATTCTTTGGGTGACAAGGAATGGAAAATGAGTGGGGGCACTGAAAGTATAAAGAAAGTTGGCCAACGTAGTAGTCCATTCTCACACTGCTATAAAGAACTACCTGAGACCGGGTGATTTAGAAAGAAAAGAAGTTTAATTGACTCATGGTTCCACAGGCTATTACAGGAAGCATGGCTGGGGGTGCTAAGGAAACTTACAATCATGGTGGAAGGTGAAGGGAAAGCAGGCATGTCTCACAGGGCTAGAGCATGGAGAGAGAAAGAGTGAAGGGGGAAGTGCTACACACTTTCAAACAACCAGATCTCATGTGAACTCATTCACTGTCATGAGAATAGCAAGGGTGAAATCAGCCCCCATGATTCAATCACCTCCCACCAGGTCCCTTCTCCAAAATTGGGGATTACAATGCAACATGAGATTTGAGTGGGGACACAGAGCCAAACTGTATCAGCCAGGAGTTGGTAATCATTGAGGCTGGATGGGAGACACCAAGTACTGCCTTTTTTTTTTTTTTTTTTTGAGACGGAGTCTCACTCTGTCACCCAGGCTGGAGTGCAGTGGCGCGGTCTCGGCTCACTGCAACCTCCGCCTCCCGGGTTCACGCCATTCTCCTGCCTCAGCCTCCTGAGTAGCTGGGACTTCAGACGCCCGCCACCACGCCTGGTTAATTTTTTGTGGTTTTTTTTTTTTTTTTTTTTAGTAGAGACAGGGTTTCACCGTGTTAGCCAGGATGGTCTCGATCTCCTGACCTCGTGATCTGCAAGCTTCGGCCTCCCAAAGTGCTGGGATTACAGGCATGAGCCACCGTGCTCAGCCCAAGTACTGCATTTATAAATATTAGAAATTTTTCACTGTAAAGCTTTTAAAACTCTCTTCACATTATTCAATTTTTTTCTTGTAGTTCTCTGCATTTTTGTGCTATACTCTTTGAAGCCATGGCATTACATGCATACATGTTGACAATTATTATATTTCAGATATTGTAGCCTCCCAGTCAAACAATCTTCATGACGAAGGTACCATTTAGCATGGATATAATAACATTATCTTATCTATAGACCTTATTCAAATTTAGCCAATTGTCCCAATAACATCCAATGTGGTATGTGGTAATATTATTTTTCTGGTGCAAAATTTAATCCAGGATTATTCAGGGCATTTGGTTATCCTGAAGATTTCATCCCTTCAGTAAAGACTGATTTCTCAGCCTTTCTTTGTCTTTCATGTCACTGACATTTTGAAGTATACAGGCCATTTATTTTGTAGAATGGTTCTCAGTTTGGATTTGTCTGATGATTTTTCATTACACTTTGTGTTGTGTAGTTTTGCTGAAAATGCTACAAAGGTACATCATCTCTATCTCAGTGAATCACAGTAGAAGGCACATGACCTGAGATGGTCCCATTATTCGCGATACTGAATTTGATCATTTGGCTAAGGTCATGTCCACCAAAATTCTCAACCGTAAAGTTACTATTTTCCACCTATAATTAGTAATTAATTTGAAACTGTATAAGCATCCTATTCCTTATCAAACTTCCACTCACATTTTATCATCCTTTAGGATTCTTCTCTGAATCAATTATCAAGATGACGGTGACAAATTAATGCTTTTTAAACTCTAACATCCCTTCTATGTTTTATATCACATTTTGTTTTAACATTTGTCTTCAGTCCTATCTATCTATCTATGTAATCTATTTAATTATCAGTATTATCTCTTGAATTCTTATTTATTCAGTAAGATATAAACTATTACTGTCATTGTTCATAGTGTTGCTCCTGTGGAAGCTCCATTATTTTGGAGCTTTTTATTTCTTTCTTGCACATGATGCTCTAGGCTTATCTTGCACTTTCCCTGTCCCAATTTTAGAACCTACAATTTCCTAAGGAAACCTTTTAGTGAGGAGTGATATTCAGAAACAGGGTATGTTGCCTAGGTGTGTTCATTGCTAATGAAGTGCCACTGTTTGTAATTCCTCTTCCATAGACAGAGCTAAGAAACATAAATATATAAATGTGGGTATAAAGAATACATACCTATATTTCTCCCTATACCTATATTTATATTTGTATTATGAAAAATTATAAATTTATACTGATAACTCTAATTCCAATACAACACTACAGGGGTTATTCTAATCTTCCCCTTCCTCACATTTCTAATTCCTTTTTCCAAAATAAGAAACCTGAATCTCACTGTCATTGATGCATTTACTCAATCTTAGCAAGTACAGAAATTAGGTTCAGATACACTAATTTGCCAACTGAGAATAACACAATTACTCAATAGACTACAAGATTCGTTTGGAGTTCTTTTTTTTTTCTGTTGATTGATTGTATACAGTATATAGTAAAAGTACTGTGTTTAAAAGGTAATGATGCTAATTTTTTTCACTACAGTATAGTTACATTTTCATTTGGAAAAAATTGATTTCATTTGTTTCCGTTTGTATTTCAGTTCTTGGCTTTTCTCTCCTTGTTTATTTAAACATATACTTGGTATGCAAAATATTAACGTTTCCAAAATCCAAACTATGTAAAAACATAAACACATGGATCCTTCCACCCTATTCAAACACCACCCTCATAGATAATCTATCACACTCTGGTTTATTCCCTCTGCACTGTTTTTGCAAGGCAATGCACATAGATATGTATTTTTTTCATTATCCCCCATACACATACTTTCCTTTTTCTTATAAAAAAAAGGATACATCCTATAGTTACTCTTACTCTTTGCTATTTTTTACTTAACCATATTGGAATTTGCTCCATATTAGCTTATTCTGCTTTTGTTTATTGTAGTTTAAAGCTGAATATTATTTCAGTATGTATATGTATCATAGGTTCTTTCTTCAATTTTAATAGTTCTTAGTTTATCAGAAATATTAGGTCTATGTGTAAGATATATGCTGCAGCTATGTTTCTCCAACTTTTTAATTTGGATCGCTAATCTTCTTACCATGATTTTTGCCATGCCAAAGTTTTTTGTGTCAAATTAATTTACACTTCTCTTGTTGTATCAGGATTTTTTCTTCCTATTTAGAAAGTCTCTCCCTATACACAGGCTATGGAAAAATTCACTTTTTCTCTTAGACTCAGCATGGTATCATTTTTTGTACCTAGATATCTGGTGTATAGGAATTCAGTTTTTGATATAGTGTGAAGTCTGGATCAAATATTGCCTTTTTTCTCAATATTATCCAGTTGTCCTAGCAGTATTTGTTCCAGGCACTATGCCAGGTTCTATAACAAGATAAATAGGAACCAGTCCCTGTCTTTATGACCTTATGGTTTCTAAATAGGAAACAGATATTGTAATAAATAATTGCGATATAGTAAGAAAAATGCTTCAAAAGAGAATGCAGTGAGCTCCATTTCAGGTGTAGTGGTCAGGCACAGGCTTACCAATGTGAACACAATGACACTGGATACTGACAGATAAGCAGAAGTTTCTCATTCCAGCAAGAATAGGATGGTATTTCTGAGAGAAGGAAGGGCATAGACAAACCTCAGAGGTTAAAAACAGCAAAATGTGTTCTGAGGGGGTGTAGCGAACATTTGGAAAAGAGTGGGAGGAGAACTGCTCCAGGTGTGCCTAGATTGGTAGCCAGGACCAAATCATAGAGCCCTTATATTCCACACAATGGGAACAAAGATTTTAAACAGTGAGGGATAACACCAGATTTCTAGGTTGTCAGAGCCATGCTTGCAGCCCTGTGGAGGGTGCTTGGACAGAGCAAGATTAGAAGCATCATTCTGGCTCATTGGCTGCTTATGATCAGATTTTAGGGATGCAAGTTTATACAAGTGGCATAAAGTTGACCTCAATGAATTACCAAGTGTTAGAGAAAGGCTATGTTCTGGGGTGAGGGGGGAGTTACTGGCCAGGGAGGCTTATCCCTAAGACCTTATGTTGCTCATGAGGGGAATGAAATCATGGCTGTTGATTCAACAGAAAACACAGGGAAGCATCCATGTCTGCCCTTCATGGGAGTATGGCCATCAATCAATTCATGTGGTTTCATAAGAATTACAGCAATAAAACCTTGTATTATACGCACACAGATACACACACTCTAATGTACTTCTGCGTGCTTCATGCTTCTGGCTCTTGTGTCATGAGAACTCACAAAATGGATAGACATCCAGCACTCAGCTCTGCAGACTCGCAAGCAAATCCTTTCATGGAATTGGCAAAGTTTTTGGTGGGGGGCATTCTCTATTTCTGCAGGAGCATTTGTAACAGTTTCATCTTTTGATCTGAATTGTTTCAAGATCTGTTTCACAATTCTAGAATTAAACAATCTAAAACTATGGTTCATCCAGGGCCTCTCCATATGCCTGTTTTCTACTCTGTGTTTTTAACTCATCAGACACCATGCATTTGACAGTTTTATTACAGTGGAATTTCATTTTATTTCAGAACTCTAAAGCAAATAAAAAGGTACAATCATTTGAAGGTAAAATATTTCATGAACACCAGCTATCAGAGAGGTAGTTTGGTGTTACACTAAGGAAGATAAAAAAGAAAAGATATGGGCTATTGATGACATGATGGAGCAACCAACCACAACAGCCCTGAATGGGCTACCTTCGGGCTTTATCAAGAAAGATGAAACAAATGAACAAAAACTCTGGGGGTGTTTACGCCATGGTTTTTCTTGCTTCTGTTCCTAGCAGATTAAGGTAATCTCTAAGGTTTTACCATATAGAAGGGTATTAACTGCCATGTCGGGGATGGAAGATGGACTTTTTCTAAAATCAACAAAGTCTTTAAAACTACCTTAGCCACTGGTACCTGAAGCCACAAAGCCTTACACATGGATTTCCACTTCACTACTTGAGGTTCCCTGTACTCCATTTATAAGACGGGAATCTTAAGAAGACAACTGTAAAAACTGAAATAAAGCAGTATCATCTGTGACCAACTGCAGGCTCCATGTCTGACCAGCAAAGGAGGTGCTCTCTAAGGAAGGGGTCTCAGGCAGTGAGCAAAGGTCTTGGCAGGGGTTCTCCTTCCCTAAATGCAGGAGAGCAGACCAGGTTTCCTGAGCTTTGAGGAGAGCTTATAGGAAGGGCAAGATATCTGCATAAAATGGAAGAATTTGAAATGGAAGATATGTCAAATATTTCCTGAGTTTTTTTATGAAAAGTGATAGAAGGAGAAATGGGGACTGGAAACTGGGAAGTCATCTAAACAAGGAGGATGAAGTTGTCAGAGTCCTGTGTCTAGGAAAAGGGAGAAAGGAGGAGGCAGGGCTGGCAGGTGAAAATTTGTATCTGAGCTGGGGTTTCAAGTCACAAGGGGCAAGTCAAGAAGCCTCAGTGGTGCGTGAAGATTTCTAAACAGAGGCAGAGAATAGAAAGAAGCAAGTTGCAGGATCAGTGGCAGGTGGAGCTGAAGAGAGAACAGAGGGGTGGCGTGTGCTGGGGTGGGGAGAACCTTCAAAGGACCAGGGATGCCCTCCCCTCACCCAAGGCTACACCTAGCCTCATGTCTTCTTCACCTTCCTGGCCCCACGCAGCCACCTGGCCACCACACCCAGCAGCTTCCCACAAAGCCACATAGTGCCCAGAGTGAGCCCCAGCAGAAACACAAAGACATCAATGAGGTACTGCTCATGCCAAGGCTGCTGGAAGGCATAGGGCTTGAGGTGCGTCGCTCCCCCAGTCTGGAGGATGTGGTCGATCCAGCCCACCAGCCGCTGTGCGGGGCTCAGGGGCTGAGAGTGCAGGATGACACTGGCTGCCACCACTGCCGACTTGTACCTGTTGGCGGAGACAGAGAGGGTGTGTTACTGACGTAGCCTCACAAGTCTTACAGACTTTGTATTGCATGAGCACACACACAAGCATACAAACACTTTTCTAACACATGCACCAAGGCTGGGCTGCAAAGAAAATTTGTTGGCATGGCCTTGCCACGGTCTCACTGAATCCTCTTGAAAAGTTCAATAAAAACACCCACATACAAAGACCAATGATTAATTCTAAAAGTGTTAAACTGTAGGAAAGTGATTAAATCTCTAAGAACTAGTCCATATCCCTAGGATGCTTATGGTATACTAAAGGAAAAAATATATATGACCATATATGAGAGAATATGTACCTGATTCAGGGTTTGTGTTTCTGAAACCATAATAAGGTATTCAGTCCTTCTTGATTATAAGATCATTGGCTGGATGGGCAGTAACCAAGAAGGTCACTATGCCGCTTTTATTTCCTCACTTAACTGAAATTCATGGAAACTTATTTTGTGGCAGGCTCTGCAGTAAGCACTGGGAACAGAGTTGAAAAAAAGAGAGAGACATTGCTGTACTTATGAAGCTGACTCTCTACTCTTTTGTGTTGGGGGCCAGACAATTAATAAAAACATAAATAAATGGAGTCATTACAAATCTTGAAAAGTGTTAGGAAGGAAATAGTATATTATGATTAGGCTGAGTGGGAGAGGAGGCTAGTTAGGATTGTCAAAGACACAACCCTGTCTATGGAAGAAACATTGGAGAAGAGACCCAAATGTCATGAAGGAGCCAGTCCTGTGAAGAGAAGGGAAGGGTGTTCTAGGGAGCAGCACAGACGAAGAAGCCAGAGGTGAGAAGAGCAGGCACACTGGGGAAACACACAAAGAAACCCCCCGCTTCAGTTGGAATTCCACTAGAGGGACTCCCAAATATAAGATCAGTCAAAGAGATCATGTGTATATAATTTGTCGCCATCACAGCCTTAAGGTAGGAAAGTAATTCTCAGCATCTAACCTAAATTAGTCTTCCTAGAGACTTACCAGAGAAAACAGGTGGGCTGTTAGCATCACACACATGTTATTCCATGTCACAGAAGTTTCAGCTATTATTGTGAAAAATACATACACAGTATCCCTTGTGTTTTCTATCTTCATTCAGCCTTAGTGACCACATGCTTAGAGAGCCACATACCTCTTGTCTTCTATGACTTGTTTCATTGTAAGTGTCAGTGTGTCGGCTGTGACCTGATTCAACCGGATAGAGACACCATAATTTTTGGCTACTACTCGGACCATGTTTCCATGCTGGTCTCCATTGACTGGTAATCCCACCATGGGCACACCATGACGGATGGCCTCCATTACGCTGTTCTGCCCACCATGAGTGACAAAAAGACGGATGCTGGGGTGAGCTGTGGCAAATAAGAAAGAGAGTGGAACACTTCAGGATGAAAAATTTTGGAATACCAGGTAAAGCAGAAAAGTCAGATGAAACACCAATGAAATCAAGGTCTGTTGAGAAAATGAATTCACTGATTTTGCTTGGGACACACAAGTGTGAACATTCCAGGATACAAGATTCAAGCCTCCCTTTCTGTAGAGATTCCTCACCTCAGCCCCAATCCATCTAAGACTCTGAATGCAGGGAAAGCTGGAGAGAAGAATGATAAGCAAGGCATATTTCTCCATCCATGCAGCCATCCTTCTCTCTTCACCTCATCTCTCCATTTACTTCCTGCTCTCTGTTGCTTCATAGTACCTACACTGTATGTGCTGTTTTCTCCATTTGAAGAATGCTGTGAAAGCAAGGAATAATAAACCATACACTTCTACTTCCGTATTTCTAGTTCCTGTCTGCCTGTCCCACCCTTATTTAGAGCAAGCTAGTGACTTTTGATAATGAAGAGTTAAATCTGTGTTTCTCAACAGAAATGTGGATTCGAATCTACTTGTGTTCCTTTGAAAATGAAAATATTTTTCCTTGTCCCATGTCTTATAAATTAAATATACAGAAACCTGTATCTTAATTTACCAAGCTGACTTTGAGCCATAAACTTAGTTATGAATCTCTGATCCAGTCACTGAGGATGTCAGTGAGAGGTCTCCAAAAAGTATCACAAGGACAGTAAAACCTATTGAACTGTAAGGAGCTCTGTTACCAAATGACTCAATACCTGGCTATGTGATTACTCAGCTTGGCACTAATATTGTGGCACATCCTTCAGATAATGTTGGCATCAATGTTGTGAATGTATGAGTCTTTCACATCCTTAGTAGATAAAAAGATGTATTTATATAGGTATACGTGTGTTTGTGTAATGGCACATTACTAAACAGGTGGTCAGAAGGCCACAGAACAGGGGCAACATACTCCCAGATATATGCTCTTGGAGTTTACATATTATCTTAGATTGTGTTGGGGTGACTCTGTTCAGTGTCAAATGTAGTAGGGTCAAGGCAACATGACCACATACATATCACCTCTGGTTGGAAACTTCAGGCCTCGCTTGGGTTAGAAAGAAAAAGAGAAAGTGGCTGTTTTCACCATTTTTGAAGTACAGCCTGATTCCCAAAGAATTCCAGCTGGCTGTTCTTTTCCTGTCCTCTGAGCATTACCTTTACCTATGAGTAGCTACTACGTAGGCTGATACAAATGCCCAGCTAGAGGTCAGAACACTGACGAGCACCAAAGGCAGGTCAATGGAAAGAGAAGAGCAGACCTAAGCAGTCCTTACCCAGGAGGTCACTCTGAGGAAGCCAGTCCACAATTTTCACATTTGTGGCCAAATGAACATCTCTGGGCCAATGAGAACTCTGACATGTCCATATCACTCCTTGAGGGAGGTGGGCAAAGGCATTGTGCATCTTCTTGAGGACTTCCTGGGACTGATGGGTGTTCAACATGGAGCCAAAGGCCACAAGGACAAACCCTGCATCCCCAAAGTTGGCAATGAAGTTGTCCAAGTCCTAGAGAGAGATGACAAAAGAAAGGAGGTGGCAAAATTGAGAACGCCTAAGTGTCCATGAAATGAAACCCAGTCTATTTACTAAACATACCCTCCCATCAGTGCCTTGTCTTCACTCTCCCGAAGCTATTATTATGGCTCCTGGCACAGCTCAGTGACCTCTGCACTGTGCTCATATTGTGTCTGGATGACCTAGAAGTCATTTTTCTGATACCTGAGGACACGTTTTTGCATATAAATTATAAATTTGTGATTTTTTTAAGTTTTTGTTCCTGTTATTGATGTCTAGCTCATCCTATTGGGATCACAGAAAACGCTTTGATGAGTTCAGTCTTCTGAAATGAATTGAGATTTATATTGTAGCCTAACATACGGACTATCTTGGGGAATATTCTGTGTGCATTTGAGAAGAAGGTGTAGTCTGCTGTTGTTGGGTGGAGTATTCTCTAAATTTCTATTAGGTCCAGTTGGTTTATGATGGTGTTCAAGATAACTCTTTCTTTATTGATCATTTGTGTAGATAATCTTTCCATTACTAAAAATGGGGTATCGAAGTCCCAAGCTATTGCTGTAGTAATGTCTATTTCATCCTCAATTCCATCAATTATTGCTTCACATATTTTGGTGCTCTGTTGTTTGGTGCATATATATTTATAGCTCTTATATATTGTTGATGATATTTCATATATTATTTTTAAATGATACTTATAATATTATAATTATGTGAATGCAAACATAAAATTTTATATTGTGTAATGCCTTTCTTTGTCTCTTGTAAATATTTTTGACATATAGTCTATTTTGTCTGATATTTGCATAGCTACCTAGCCTATTTTTGTCCTCAGGTAATTCTTAAGAAAGATTATGATCTAATGCCCTAAAACTTAGCTCTAGCACTGTTTCATCAATTATTACTTCCAAACATTTCTTCAGACTCTTCCTCTCTCAGCATTTTTGTGACTGTCTCTAGTCCTGAGCCCCTCATTCTACTGGGTCATTGTGTAGGATAACTTGATTCCATCCAGCATAACACTGCCTGAACTACCATCTCAATTAACAAACTGAAAACAGCTTTGTTGTTCTTGTAATTATAAAATCATTATATAAAATCAAAAGAAGCAGAGCAATAATGTTAATCAGCAGCCGCATGCCCTTGTTCTTTCAGAGAAACATTTGAAAATCAACTGGAGACTGACTCAAATGACTCCGTAGAGTTTTGAAAACCAGTCAAAGATACACAGCAAGCAACCAAATGCCCAATCAAGAAAAAGCCACTTTCAAACAGTATAAATTTCTAATCCATTTTATTTACCTTTGCCCTGGAGTGGCAGACCACAGTCCACAGGCAAAAGCTCAATTGTGCATTCTTTCCCTCAGCCAGAAGGAGCAGAATAGAAACTATTTACAACATTCTAACCTGTCTGTTGGCTACTTAGTGACTGGTTTGTCTCACCTAATTCAGAGCTCACACTGGGAATGGTGACATAGCTCAGATTTCAAGCTGACAGAAGTCATAGAAAGCAGTGGTAGGTACCATGACGTATGAAAGCTTAAGGGATACTGCAGACCTATGAAGGCTTGGGTCAAGAAGTTATGGACAGAAGAATATAATAGAACATCTAAAGTCCAAGAAGAGTCTGGGCGAGGTTCATTGGGAAATTAAGGCATTCAAAAACAGTTGAGCATACAGAGGGAATTGGAGGAAGAAAAGCACACACAAAAGTCCAGATGAGACACATAACCAAAAAATACCTGAGAAGACCTTAATCTTGATCAAAACACTCAAAACATGCTCTTCCATGCCAGACTGCAAAGACTGACAGAAGTAACTAATTGTTCAAATGTCCAATTTTCAACAAAAGATCACAAGGCATACAAAGAAATAGTCAAAATGCATAATTTTGAAAAACAAAATAAATATCCAGAAACCCTTCCTAAAGAAACACAGGCATTGGACTTACTACACAAATATTTTTAAAGAAACTCTCTTAAATATGCCCAAGGAGCTCATGGAAAACATGGGAAAAAAACTAAAGTAAACAAGAAAAACAATATGTAAACACATTTAGAATATCAACAAAGAGAAAGCTTTCAATTTAAAACAGGAAATTTTTGGAGCTCAAATATGAAATCATTAAATTGAATTTTTTTCTCGTGGGCAAAAGAAATAATCAGTGAACTTGAAGACAAATTATTTGAAATTGTCAAGTCTGAGAAAGAAAAAGAAAAAAAGAATGAACAAAATGTAAGGGACAATAGGACATTATCATGTGGATCAATATGTGCACTACGAGAGAAAATGAAAGGGAAAGAAAGGCTATTTGAAGAAATAATGGCAGATAACATGATTCTATATATGTAAAACTTTAAAAATAACATACACACACACACACTAAAGATTAAAAATCTATTAGAACTAATAAACAAATTCAGCAAAGTCGAAGGAAAAAAGTCAAGTCTCCAAAGTCAGCTGCATTTCCATACACTAACAATGAACAAATCAAAAAAGAAATTAGGAAAACAATTTCAACAATAATATCAGAGAGAATAAAATAAACTTAACCAAGGAGGTGAAAGATTTTACATTTAAAACATGAACATTTTGCTGAAAGAAAGTAGACACACACACAAAAATGGAAAGGCATTCTGGCTTCATGAATTGGGACACTTATTAAGATGTCAAATATGTACAATCCAAAGGGATGTACATATTCTATACAAACCCTATCAAAATCCCAATAACTTCTTTTGCAACAGAAAAATCATTCTAAAATGTGTAAGAAATATCAAGAACCCTGAATATTCAAAATAATATTGAAAAAGAGCAGAGAAGAAGTTCTCACAATTGCTGATTTCAAAACATATTACAAAGTTACAGTAATCCAAGTAGTGTAGTACTGCCATAAAGATAGACACATGGACCAGTGGAATAGAAGACTGAGCCCGGAAATAGACTTTTGCATTATGGTCAAATAAATTTTGATGACAGTGAAATGGGAAAGTTCCCTGACCCCCCCTCACAGGGTATGTGACAAGGGTGTGGCTTGTCAGTTTGGCCGCAGCCTCCGCTGCTGCTCAAACTCCTTACAGAAGGGGGAGCATGCAGACGGGCAGGTGCATGAGCCTGGGTGAGTGCTTTGGGGCTCTGGCCCCACAGCAGTATATAAGGGTGGGTGCCTGCAACTCCTAAAGCCCACGTGAGCATGGTGTGTGTTACAGTGCACTCTTTTAGCTTTGCAATCTACAGACGGCTTAAGTGTTAACCAGCTCAACGCCCTCTTGGTACCCAGGTTCTTGTCTGGCATCCAGAAAGAACCAGGTCACACATAGACTTGAAGATGGTGAATGTGGGGGTTTTATTGAGTGGTGGGGATGGGATGCATGGGGAGCTGGAAAGGAGACGGAATGGGAAGATGGTCTTCCTGGAGTTCAGCCATCCAGTGGCTGATCTCCTCTCCAATCGCCCCCAGCTGAACTCCTCTTGGTGTTCAGACTCTCCTTCTCTTCTCTCTGCCACACCATTATGCCATTCTTCTGCTCTTCTGTTCATCTCCTTTTCATCTGCTTCTGGAACCTGAGGTCTCAGATTTATATGAGTACAGGAGAGGGGCGTGTGGAGAGCCAAAAGGCAACTTTTGTGTGTGAAAACAGGAATGCATGTTCTCAGTTAGGGCCAGAGGTTTCCAGGCTTGAAATTGGGACCTTTGCCAGGGAACTGCCCTCTTCTACCCAGTATTTCTCTGTCTCCTAGCCGTATCATCTCCCCTCTCTGCAGAGGCAAATCTAACTGCCATTAGAATATGGACGATGGCCAATCTTAGCTAATTTCTGCTGACAGGTGGCACTATTTTGGAGAAAACAGCAGTCAGATTCCTCCCAGAGGTTTATCTAAGGGTCCTTGCAAAAGGGAGCCGTTGTCCGAGGCTCCGGTTGCCTGACCATTTGGAGTTTGATGGCCTCTAAGTGAGAGGAAAAAACAAGTTTTATAAGGTTAAGTAGGCATGGGTTAAACAAGTGTATTATACAAGAAAATAATCTAGTGCCAAAGATCACAGAAATAACAAGTGAAAATACTAAAACCATTCTGCTTTGAGCTGTTTCACCCTGGTGAAAGAAATTAAACCTTGTATAGAAGCGGTTCAACTTTAGAAGAGAGACAACTGTTCTTGCCACATCTGTAGCAATTAACAAGTGTACCCTGGGAATTCTGGGGTTTATGGGCTTGCATGGTGACCATTAATGCTTCTGCCTCTTTCTTGTGTCCCCCATCTCTATTGTAAAAGGCAAAGATGGCCACTTTCAGTTAGACCTCTAAAGTATTATCTGGTCCCAGGGCCCATTTCTGCAACTTCCTCCTGATATCAGGGGCTGTCTGAGTAATAAATTTATTCTTCAGAATTAGTTGTCCCTTCACTGAATCAGAAGATACGGGGGTATGCTTTACCAAGGCCCCTCTTAGCCTCTCCAAGAAGGCAGTGGGATTTTCATTAAATCCCTGGTCTATCATAGATAGCTTGCTATAATCAAGAGGCTTGGTCTTAGTCCTACGTAATCCCTCCATGATGCATACCTGAAAGTATCTCCTCTTCCAGTCTCCCATTTCAACACTGGGATCCATCCCATCCAGGGTCATTTACTGGTACTGCTTCTCTTCCAGTCGGATAAAGTTTGCCCCCTTTCCTGACACTATATGTGAAACAAAGCTCATCCCCAAATCTCTCTGCTACTTGCAGAGCAGCCTGCTTCTCAGTGTTCATCAGGATCTGATTCAAAAGTAACACAATGTCTCTCCAAGAGAGTTCAAATACCTGGGTTAAATTCTGGAAAGCCTCTATCTATCTGTCAGGGTCATGTGAAAACTTGCCAAAAATCCCCCTTAATGTACTTTAAGTCCTGTAGGGGGAAGGAGACCTGCACCTTACTGGGGCCAAATTCACCTGGCATCTGTTGGAAGAGGAGGAGTGAGACTGGGGCTTGTCTAGGGTGAGGATTTCTAGGATTAGGCAAGCGAGAGACTGAAGCTGGATAGAGAGGTTGAGGTGGACCCAGAGGAGCAGAGCTGGAGGGAGCTGGCTTCTCTGCTGGGAGTGCCTCTGGGATTTGTTTCTTTAGTTCCCTGGAATTGCCCTTTGCAGCCTCTCCTGAAATGACAAAGCAGGAGGGCTGGATCAATCCTACACTGTCAGCAAAGATCTAGATTTCCCTGCAAGGTATAAAAAGCCTGCACATGTGGGGCCTCAGGCCATTCGTCCTCACGCCTACAGAAAATGTCCAGCTGCCAGATGGTATCACAATGAATGGTTCCTTCCTGAGACCAAGCCAGTCCTTCATAATTTGGCCAAACCTTTGTTCCGAGGGCTAGGAGGTGTTTTTCCTCCAGATTCTGAGGGTCAAAGCAGACTCAGTGGTTCAGGATACACAGGCTAGGAGGTGTTTTTCCTCCAGATTCTGAGGGTCAAAGCCATCTCAGTGGTTCAGGATACACTCCAGAGGAGAATAAGCTGGGGGTGGTGAAGAGAGCTGGTTGCCCATTCTGAAAGACAGGGAAATAGAGGTGTCCCTCATTTCCCTTCCTTCTTTCAATGAAAACTCAGGGTGTGAGGGAGAGAGAAAGCAAGGGACTTTCTCTTCCATCTGTTGTCCCTGAGTCCTGGCAACTTTATGGATGCCACCCACAGGTGCCACTGTGGTCTGCACCCGTGAAGCAGGGTGGGGCTAGAGAATAGGAATTATCTCCCCTCACCTATGCCTCTATTTCCCCTGCTGTTGAAAACCTTTGAGTTCCCTGGGCCTCATTTATGCCTGGAGCATGGCCTCCCTCCATGAAGTGGGGGTTTAGTCAGCAGGAATTTGTCCTGCCCATTTACATTGTGCCTGTTGCCTGACTTTTGATCCCTCAGATCGGGCAGATCGGGTTTTCCTTTCTAGGCCCTCAGCCTGAAACCTGGAATTGAGTTTGGGACAAAAACGGATTTCAGGGGCTGCATGTATCTTGTTTAGATTGTCTCAAATGGGCCCTGCCGAATTTGCAGTTATCAGCCAGCAGGGGTCGCTCCTCCATTATTTTCTCTATCAGAAGCAGCGTGCTGGGAAAAGGAACCCTCTCGATTAGAAAAGGAAAAAAATAAAAGAAAGAAAAACACAGCTTAAGGGGCAAAAAGGGGAGGTCCTGGGGAAAGAACCTCTTGCTCTGTGCAAATAGGTTCCTTTAATCATTATAGCCTTCCCCCGGTTCAGGCCAGGCTGAACTCCTTGGCCAGGGGAGAAAAAGTTCCACTGGGAGGCGCTGGCCAGCTGGTTCATGGGGCCACAATGGCAGGCCCAGTTTTTTCCCACCCCTTGTGGCTGTTGGGCATGGCTTGTACATGCTGTGGACACAGCCAGGTACCGAGCTGGGAAGGGAGGGGTTAAGGAGAGGTGCTGTGCACTGCTCATGCCTGTAGTTGTCGGAATGGGGGGTGGGGATGGCACCTCTAACAAAAAATGGAAACCACTTTGTTCTGAATCGCACCTTTAGTGGCTGAGCCAAATGCTCATTCTATTTAACATATTGTTTAATGCATAGGAAGTTTCAATTTGGGAAGATAAAAAAATGTTTTGGAGACAGATGGTAACGATAGTTAGTTGCACAACAATATAAGTGTACTCAATGCCACTGAAGCATACCCTTAAAAATGGTTAAAGTGGTATATTTTATATTATAAATATTTGTCCACAATTAAAATAATCAAAAAGAGAAAAAATATTTGAAAACAAGCATCTGTTATCTCATAATCTCAACTCCCATTATTCTCTTCCTAACAATTTCCACAACTGCCCCAATGCGAAGACCTGACCCACCCTCCTGGTAGCTAAGACCTCAATTAAATCCCCATGGTTTTATTCATGCAATTGAATCTTCTACTACACTAATCTAGCCAGCGTCACCCAGAGAACCCAGTGCTATGGCCATCTCACTTGCACCTCCACATGTTAGGTCCCCCGCTCCCTGACCTGGGGTGCTTTCCCTCCCAGCTCCATTCCTAAATACACCTACCACCAATGCAAAGTCCATCTCATCCATAGATCATTCCCCAACTCTTCCTGTTTACTCAATATAAGATCAGGGAAGGAAGAACAGTCACTTTCGTACCTGGAAAGTCCAGGCCAAATCCAGGGTCTCGTGGCCTCTGCACTACACAGTGGTGGGAAGGTCACCTACATCACCTGTGCTTCTGTCCTCCTCCATTAATAAAAATGGAGATGAACACACCTCCCTATAGATGTCAAGATACTAAATATAATAACTTCTGTAAAATGGGAACCCAGTGCTCAGAGGCAACAGGCTGCCAACTCATTTCAGCTCTCCTCCCTTTGAAAATCTTCTATAGCAGTGGTTCTGAGTCTGCGCTGTTTGAATCACCCAGGCAGCATTTACAAATTACAATGGCAGGGGCCCACCCCAGACAAATCAAGTCAGAAAGTCTAGGTGGAACCAGGAGCCAGGGCTCTACAGGCAGGGAACACTGGAGATAACACTGTCAGTTCTTGCTGTCAGTCCCATGCAGTCCCACCCTGCTTACCCCGAAACCACAGTGTTGTCTGTTTCACTGTGAGTAGCTCATCTCCTTAACAATTATTGCATGTAATGGGCACTAACTACGTATTTATTTTACACATAATCACACAACATAAAAATTAAAATGAAAATAGCAACTTTAATTAAAGGGCTCATCCCACTGATTCTAAGACCAGGGCATGGCAAGAGAGGAGCCAATTTAAGGAGATCTCTATCTCAGGATCCTGCAAGGCCTGACACTGTACTTGCCAAACCCTGAAAGTCAGCACTTCCTTTAAGAACGTGCCCTAGGTGCCTCCTTTGCCAATCCCTACTTCAACCTCAGGATCCCACTGGCAGGTGGCAGCCACCAACTATGCACCCAAGGACTCTATGTGAATCCCAAACTGAATGCTGAGGGTTCACTTACTTGTGGTACTGGTTTAATAGGTTTTTCCATCAAGCCTCCAATATAAACAGTGTTGGGAAGCAGGGGCCGGGCAAAATCAAAGGCAAAATCAGAGTTAACAAACCACAACTCTGCTTTCAGTAGAAGATGAGACAAAACTGGCCTAGAGCCTTCTGGGAAATGCTCCTTGATGGTGTTGTCAAATGTAGACTGCATGTCCCATTGGCTCCTGGAGAAACTAAAGAACATCAGAAAATTCTTCACTCGGCCCCAGAAGTCCATGTGATCAGTCAGCAAGGAAGGGAATACTGGAACATAAGACAAGGGGCTTGGTAGCCCAAAATCCAAAGAGCCGAATGTGGTGGGAAGAATGGCCACAAATGGTTTCACAAGCTTCTCAGCAATCAGGAAAGAACAGAAATCAAATGCTTCAACAAATACCAGATCATAGTTCTCATTCTTTAAGGAATCCATTATATCCTTTCTGCTTAGCAAATAACTACATTGAGTCCCAAATATTTCCATTAGCTTTACAAGGGCTTCAGATTCTTTTCTGTAATAAAGAAAATAAATAATAAATATTTGGGAAAGTGTAATTTTACAGTATTTGGGAGAATGTTAGACTCAAAAAAATATTTCAGGTATGTTAAGAATATAACCAGTATCCATCAACCCATTCTACAATGTTTCAACAAATACTCTCAGCTCTGGTCACTCTGGTCCAGATATTTCTGCTCTCTAAAATGTCCCCACTTGCTCCCATCCTATTTCTTCCCCTGATCCAATTCCCACCACCATCAATGCCAATTCAACGTCCTACTCTGGGAGCCATCTCTGACCACAGCAGATCTCAGAGTTATATGTCTCCTTTATAAATCCTGTGATGCTCTGTTAACCTTCATTTATATACTGACTTTTTGTGAGTGACTGTCTTTTCTCCAGAAATCTATGTAAGTAATTTGACAGGCTCCTTAAATATTGATGATGTAGTCTTTTTAAAAATACTGTGTATCTTGCATTTGACAGATTGTCTCATGCAGTGAACTTTTTGATGACAATATTAGAATCCAAAATCTCAGCTGAAACGAGATTTTTCTTCCTAGCCTAGGAGTTAAACAGTAAAAAATAAAATAAAAATAAAAGCCTGGTTTGAAATTTATTATCAGTCTTTCACTTCATGCTGGCTGGAACATGCTAAAGTTTTACTGACACCTAGTTAAGACTCTTCCCTATGGCACTATTCCAGAAGCTACTGCCCTTCAATGTCTTCCCATAATTGCTTGCATGGAAAATGATCCTGTTTGTATAGAATACAGAAGAAGAGATGAAATAGATCCTGAGCAGTGGTAATAGGTACAGGTGCTCTGGAGACCACAGACCTCCTAATCACATGAAGAATGGAAGAAGCAATAGCCCAGCAAGCCTGTAACCCAGACACCATCATATCATGTCACTTCACATAAAGAAGGCCTACAGGTTTAGAACTCATGAGTGATATGCAGATCTCTGCCTGTTCTTAAGAATCAACTTTAAATTACAACAATGGTGATTCTCTGAAATTATCCACTATTTCATTTTTTAAAAAAAATTTTACATAAAGAATGATTTTTAAATATTGTGGATAAATTCAATATATACAGTATGAACTTCCCAAAAGTATAACATTAATCATATTTCAAGTAAATAAATTGAAAAAATCACAGGAAGGCACTGATCCCAGTAACTTAGAAAATATTTAACATGTATCTGGAACCTGTCTTCAAAGAAATCAAGCTGGAAGAGAAGAGACAACACATATACTTTAAAAATATGTAACAACACAAGATGCCATAGACTAAGTATCAAATGAGTGCTATATGCCAGACCTATGGAGGAGAGAAAGTGGTCTTCCAGCTTGAGTGAGGAAGCAAGCTTTATGGAATAATTAGATTTGAGCACCACCTTGACTACTGAGTAGAATTTTCAAGGAAAGCAAAGAGGATGAAGCCACTATAATTAACTAAGAATGGCATGGATTTGTGTTTCTCCTCTTTTATGTGGCAGATGAAGGAGATTCTTTGTATTCCAGGTGAGGGCAAGAAGTCTCAGGCTCATCTCTCATTGTATACCATCATGGCATTTGATTGTTTTTAAGGAGTTTAAAAGGTGAAGGTTCAAGGTGTGAAAAATCAATGTTCATAAGAGTTTTCTCCATTAGTGAATTTATGAGAGGACAAGGAGGGAAAATAAGTGAGAATAGGTGTTTCTTTTTTCTTGACAAACAAAAGAGTTGAAGATCCTAGCTTCTTTGTTGGGGAGAATGCATACAGAGATTATAGGTGAAGTGTTGTAAGCAAGGCTCAGAGGAGCAATCCCCTGCTTTCTATAGAACCCTTACGGTAGAAGAAGGACACTATAGACTCAATTGTTGGGAATGCAAACCTTGTCTACTCTATCCACTCAACCACCCAGCTGTCCTCTATTTCTCCATCCCCTCATTTATCCAACTGTCCATCCATCTATCCATTCATCCACTCACACATCATCTATTTCTCCATCTATCCATCACCCACCCATCTATTTCTCTAAAACTCACTCCAAATATCATGCATCTCTCTATTCATTTGTATCACTAAAATAGTGACTCTTTGCTTCATAGAATGAAAAGAAGTTACCTGCCATCCAATGCTGTTTCTATGTAGCTATCAAAATGCTTCTTAATTCTTTTTTGATGATCTTCAGGTGAAAACCACCTGATAACTTGGTATGATTTTTCCTCCTCTTTAATATCTAAGAAAACACCAATTGGTTAAAAAGGTAAATATATCATACAACATGGATTAACATTAGCATGATGATATTAAAGTTTTATTCTATTAATTTTACATTTATGGAAATGTTTAAAGTTTTATGTTGATTTGGTTTTGTTTTTCTTTTTCATTCATTCAAATGCACAACCTGATAATATTGAGACTTTATCATTATCCAGGCACTTTTATTCAATTTAAAGTTATAAAAGTTTCCACTTAAAGCTTTCATTTAAAGGAACAGCTATTACACTTATTTTATAGATGAGACAACAGAAACTAATGCAGTGTGAGGTAATTTGTCTCCTTTGCACACATAATGAGCTGTAGGGCTTGTGTTTAAATGTAGGTCAGATTGATTTCAGAGCCCATGCTCTTTTCTCTTTTAGAAAAAATCATTTTCAAGACTTAAAATAATACCTACAAATAGGTTTTTATTCAGTCAAAAAGTTCTAAAAAGCAAAATTTAAAAATGGTAGTCCCCTTCATTCTACTTACCAGCCCCACCCCTCCCCCATCACCCATGTGTAATAAGAAGTCTGACTCCATTCTTGGAGTTTGACTGCTGACTCCTTTCCAGCCCCAGCTCCTACTTCACTTTCTATGCCTCATCTGGTCAAACTGAGAAGAAAACTTCAACTCATTCTCCCTTGTTACTAATGAGAACTCCAAACCAAGCAAGCCAGGCCAAAGTGGGAGAATCCTCACCTCAATTCAAGTTTCAATCAGAAGTTTCAATAATTTGCATTGTGAGACAGGAATGACAAACAGGGATCCTCTTTTCAGTAGCCCTGGATCATGTGTCTCAAACCAAAGCTATCTGTATGTCTCAGATGGAATTGTGTTTCTCAACTACAGCATGAGCTGTGGTTGACAGTAACTCAGTGGAATAACTCTTACCCTATGAGCACTGGTTATGTGTCCCAATCATATATCACCTCCCACACACACACCATTGTAAAGAGCACTCAGGGTTAAGACTGACATCAGTGCAATATATGATCCCTCCAAATGGTGTGAAGAATGGTAATCATTGTGTGGCATGCTCACATCCACAATCCTAAAAATAGATGGTCCACTGGGACCTCAGAAAATGCCTTTGCTACTATTGCTGATTATATCTCTGTAGCTAAAAATGCTCCAGATGAACAGAATTATTAGGAAAAGCACCCATGACAACACTATACAGCCAAAGAGATCCTTCAAACCCAATTTAAGCCTTGGGTCTCTCAAAATTACCAGAAAGAAGGTCTCTAACCTTGCTGATACTCATTGGAACTCTCTCAGAAAGAAACTTACAAAGATGAGCATGTTAGAAAGGACACCCATCCACCCACCACCACCAAAGTACACCTGATAACAACCAAAAAGAGAAAGAGAGAATTAGGTTAGTCAAAAGGGGTGGGGAGGGGGACGGGTGGGATGCAAGAACAAAAACTAAAACAAAGGTCTACAACTTAACCCTTTGGAAATTTAACATTTATTTTTTAACAGAAAAATTAAAAGGACACTGATTGGCTATTTTCTCTCTACATTGTAAGTTCTAGATTAACATCAGATCAAATACACCCCTGCGAACCGTAATAACCTTAATCAACAATTGGGCAAAAGTTACAGGTATATCAGAATATTTCACTAAATTTAAGTAATATTACCTCTGTACTCTTAAGGAGTTATCCAATATAATATAGACGGCAAATATATATGCCCCATCTTAAGCATTGGTACTAAATACCTGTATTAGTCTGTTTTCATGCTGCTGATAAAGACCTACTTGAGACTGGATAATTTATAGAGGAAAAAGGATTTAATAGACTTACAGTTCCACATGGCTGAGGAGACCTCACAATCATGGCAGAAGGCAAGGAGGAGCAAGTCATGTCTTACATAGGTGGCAGCAGGCAAAGAGAGAGAGAGCTTGTGCAGGGAAACTCTCTCTTATAAAACCATCATTTCTTGGCCGGGCACTGTGGCTCACTCCTGTAATCCCAGAACTTTGGGAGGCTGAGGCAGGCAGATCATGAGGTCAGGAGATCAAGACTATCCTGGCTAATACGGTGAAACCCCATCTCTACTAAAAATACAAAAATAATTAGCCAGGCGTGGTGGCACACACCTGTAGTCCCAGCTACTCAGGAGGCTGAGGCAGGAGAATCACTTGAACCTGGGAGGCAGAGGTTGCAGTGAGCTGAGATAGCGCCACTGCACTCCTGCCTAGTGACAGAGTGAGACTCCATCTCAAAAAAAAAAAAAAGCCATCAGATCTCGTAAGACTTATTCCCTATCACAAGAACGGCACAGGAAAGACCTGTCCCCATGATTCAATTACCTCCCACCAGGTCCATCCCACAACACGTGGGAATTCGAGATAAGATTTGGGTGGGGACACAGCCAAACCATATCAATACTCCATAGTCTTAAGACTCATTTCCTAAAATATTCCATTGCATTCTGGGCATGGCTACTCTTAACTAACAATTAAAAAACTAACATAAAATTGTTTCTTTGGCACTTAGAATTGGCTTAACAAAAAGGGATGCTGTGGATCTGCTTCAGTATATTAAAATTATTAACAATGCCCAAAATAGATTAAAGCAGGGCCTTTACGGATTAAATTCCATTATGAAAGATCTATTTAGAAAAGGGTTAATTGTCTCCATTCTTTCTCCCTTTAAAATCCCAATTTGGACTATTTTTAAACCTAGCAAGAATTAATGATGCCTCACAACATTTTACTACAGCCTTAATGCCAGGATCCATCACATTTAGAACCTCATACCCATGGTTATTAAAAATTGCTTACTACATTTGAATACTAACAAATACTTTGCAATCATAGATTTGACAAATATGTTCCATTCAAGGCCTATTTCAATAGGATCTCAGTCAGTTTCCCTTTATCTTTAAAAGGCCATAAATCACCTGTAACTGGATGACTGTGGGGAACCTCAATATCCTGGCCCACAATCACTGCCAGCAAGACCATCATCATATCCAACTTTCCCTAGGAGCAGTTATGACATTATAATGAGGATGTCCTCCTTGGAGGAGACTCATCAAGCACAATCATTCAAGACATACACAGGGTGCGCTTATTCAAGACATATTATATATACAAAGGAACGCACAAAAAGGGATGTGCCATTGCCACACACAAAGTAGAAGGCATGGTGCTTCAGTTACATTCCTGAGAAGAATTGCTTGGTAAGTTTAACAATGCTCCATCATTACCAACATTCCATTCCCAGCATAATAGCATGAGTAACTCTCCAGACACTGTTCACACCAAAACTGGTGAAAATGACACACGCATACACACACACACACACACACACACACACATACACAAATGTTGGAAATGGTTCTAGGGCATACAGAAAAAGAAGAAATATTTATTCAAGAAAATCTACCAAAATTCACTGAAAACTGAGCCTAGGGTCTGTGGTATTTGAATGAAGACCCACTCTCTCCCTTTACTCAACCAACCCTGAGAGGCCAATGTCCTCTGACTGCTCCCACCAACTCCCAAACTGCAGCCAAGAAGGCAGGCTCCCTCCCTCTTGCTCCAACCCCAGCTCTCAGCCAGAGAGGTATTTTTCTGGGAGGGGCAAACTGTAAACATTTCTCGTCCTGCCCTTTTCTGCCTGTTGCTGTAGCTAAGTTCTGGCCAAATGTGTCCAAGAGGTGGGGGCTCCCTTCTACCAACCACCCCACTTGTGAAGCATGAGCTCGACCTTGGGCACAGCACTGTTGCAAATAGTGGGGTGCCACTTAACCATGACCCACCATGTAAGTGTGAGGTTTCCTGCTGCGGGAGGAAAGCAAGGAGACCTATGCCTACTGCCCACCCCTCCACATAGCACTCAGATCCCAAAGTAGTGATGTGACTCAGAGAGAAGCGCACCACCCTCAAGTCCAGAGCTGTCGTTCAAAGATTTTTTTCCCAGGCAGAGAAGGAAGCCATAAAACAGAGGACTCCAAATTTGCTTCTAGGATAGTTAGTTTTATTTGTAAGCTTGGCTAGGAGAGAGTACACGGTTAATTAATCAAACACTAATCTAGGTGTTGATATGAAAATATTTTATAGTATGCTTATTATCTGCAATCAGTTGACTTTAAGTAAGATAGATTACCCTCAGTAATGTAGCTGGGTCTTAACCAATCAGTTGAGAGGTTTTAAAAACAAACAAACAAAAAACTCTGAGGTTTCCCAGAGGAAAAAAAAAATTCTGCTTCAAGACTGCAACATCAGATCTTGCTTGAGACTTTCCAGCTTGCCTACCTGACCTATAGATTTTGGACTTGCTAACATCTCAAATTATGTAAACCAAGTCCTTGAAATACGTGTGTGTGTGTGTGTGTGTGTGTGTGTGTGTGTGTGTGTCCAATTGGTACTGTTTTTCTGATTTCCTAGGATTCTGGTTTCCTAGGATTGGTTCTCTATTATGAGAACAAAGTGATTCAAATATTGATTATATTTGAAACCGATAACTCTTTTCAGTGGTAAAGAGGGCACTCATCCTGTGGCATTAGGTGGCAATCATTGGATACTCCTAAGCAAATGCTTCTAAAAGGCAATGTTCTGGGATATTTATATCAAACTAATGAGTATAATGAAGATAGCTGGTTTCTTCTAATTTGATAGAGAAAGCATGGAAAGAAAAGAATGAGATCAAGGCTTTAAATTCCAAGCTCTGTCTCCACATTAATGACCTGAAAGCTTCTTTGTCTGCCCTGAAAAAAAAAAAAATCTCCTATAGCTACTGGGTTGAATGTTTGTGAAAATCAAACCCAGTCTCCTCCTGAGACTGAATTACGGTGCAATTTAATTCTCCACCTTGCAAGGTATTTTCTGCTAAAGTCAAGGCAATGATCAGGAAAGGAGATCCTAAAAACTGAGATAGGGACATATGGGCAGATCCTATGAATCTGGGGCTATTGAACCCCTAACTTCTGTTGAATCTTCTTTATCAGTAGAAGCAACTTTTCTACACCCATCTGGAGAAGTTAATCTCTTTTGCATGAGAAACTGTACAGTCTCTTTCTGAGTTATTTTGCTGAAAGATACTGTTTTAGCATCCCTCTTTATTTTTAGATTCAAAAATAGACTCGAGCTCCAGAAAGTGTCAAAGGTTACCCATAAGAAGGTTCACTATACACCAAAAGAACAATATGTATGACAAAAATCTGGGGTACATGTGTAGAAGAGTATGTGAGGTAATGGTGAAAGGTATGTAAAGTTTGATTAGATTGAATTTATTGATATGAGGCCACTAGACAGAGATTCTTGATTCATCGTTGTAGCCCAATAGGTTAAAGGGGCTCTGTTTGGTTAATTGAATTAAACATGGATGAAAGGGTGGACTACACTAAATAAAAATATAATACCAGATCTGTCTTGGTACCCTGAAAAGTATCAAACAGCTTAGGGAAATGAAGATGTAAGGACTGCTAACCCAGTGCAGGAAGGAAACAGAAAAAGAGGACACATTTTTTTCACCATGACTGTGAGAAACAAATTTGCAAGGGGCTTCCCAGCACCACCAGAGGCTCTGTGTTTGTTCTCCTTCATGGGTCAGAAATTATGATGCCCTTGAAGTGAGATTCCCTAAATATAATGGATTTAATTGCATCTTGGGGTGGCTGGGGTCAAGTGGTAGCACTTAAGCACCAAAATCAAGGTAGGCATGGTTACCATGAGGAATAGTAGAGTCAAAGCAATAATTAGAATAATCTGATTCATGGAGACCTAGAGCATTAGCTAATTAATCATGGCATCCCTAAAAGAAAAGAAGATGAGCAGTTTACAAAATTGTTACTTGATCAGTACAAGCAAAGGAGTCCTAAATAGATTAAACAAAAGTATAACTTCAATTACAAAAACACAGACCTCAGACAGTTTATGGACACAGAAGCCCTGGAAACAAGAGGAGGCAAAGTACCTTGGGAAAAGACCCCACTACACTACCAGAAATATATACTGTTAATCTTTCTCCAGCTTTCTCCAAAGGAACCTACAGCTTTTTACTAGTGTGGCTAGGCATTGGGGAAATAAAAATAATTATATTTTTCAGAGACTGCTGAACATTGGACCTTGAAATTAGACCCTAATTCCAAGGGTCTAATTCCCCAAACTGATTGTGATTATTTCCCCAGATTTGAAATGCATAATTGGAATAGATATACTCGGTATTGGCAGAATAATCATGCTGCTTCTCTGAAGTGTGGAGTGTAAGCTAGCATGGTTGGAAAGTCCAGGTGGAAGTCACTAAAATGACCTGTATCTGGCAAAACAGAAAACCAAAGCAATATTGCACTCTACAGAGATTTCAAAGACTAATGCCACAATTATGGACTTAAAGATTGCAAGGGTGGTGATTCCCATCACATCCCTATTCAACTTGCATTTTTGACCTGTGCAGAAAACACGTGGATCTTGGAGAATGATAGATGTCATAAACATAACCACACAGGAAACTCTAATTGCAGCTGCTCTTCCAGATAATAGTTTCATTGCTTGAGCAAATTAGCACAATCCCTGATACCTGATATGCAACTATTGATCTGGCAAATTTTTCTTGACACCCGTTAGTCAAGTCCATCAAAGACAGTTTGCTTTTATCTAACAAGGTCAGCAATACACCTTCACTCTCTAACCTCAAGGATACATCAATGCTCCAGCCCTGTGACACCATTTAGTCTGCATGAAACTTATTCACATTTCTCTTCCACAACAAACCACACTTGTCCGTTGCGTTGCCTATGGCCAATGGTTTGGCTAGATCATCATGGACTTGCAAGGAACATAACTTAAAAATTGGTGGCAAGAAGTTCTGGGGAAGAGGTATGTTATAAGACCTATCTGAATGGGCAAAACATAAATATATTTGTGTCCTATGTAAATGCTCACTTAAGGGTGACCTCAGCAGACAAGAACTTTAATAATCAAGTGGAGAAGTTGGCCTGTTCTGTGGATAACAGCCAGGTTCCTTCCTCAGCCAACCCTGTCATTTGCCTAATGGTTTCATAAACACAGTGGCCATGGTAGCAGGGATGGAGTTTATGTATGGGCATATCAAACTGGACTTCCACTCACCAAGTTGACCTGGATACTGCCACTGCAGAGTACTCAGTCAGCCAGTGACAGAGAACAACATTGATTGCCTGATTAGCATCATTCCTCAGGGTAACCTAGTCAGCTATCCAGGTAGCAGATTGATTACATTGGACCAATTCCATTATGAAAGAGATAGAGCTTTATTCTTACTCAAAAAGCCACTTACTCTGGATTTGACTTGCTTTCCCTTCATGCAATGCTTCCACCAAAGCTACCATCCATGCACTTACAAAATGCTTTATCTACTGATGTGGAATTCTACACAGCATTGACTCTGACAAAGAAACTCACTTAACTGCAAATAAACTGCAGCATGAGTGCATAATTATGGAATTTGTCGTCTTACCATGTTCCCCACCATCCTAAAGTGGCTGACTTAATGAAACAGTGAAGCATTTTTTTTTTTACTTTTTTTCATTTTATTTACTTATTTATTTTTTTATTATACTTTAAGTTTTAGGTACATGTGCACAACGTGCAGGTTTGTTGCATATGTATACATGTGCCATGTTGGTGTGCTGCACCCATTAACACGTCATTTACATTAGGTATATCTCCTAATGCTATCCCTCCCTGAAGAATTTTTAAAAGACACAGTTACAGCTACAGGTGGTGGAAATACATTGCAAGCCTGGGGCAGTGTTCTCCAGGAGACTATATATGTGCTTAATCACATCTAATATATGATGTTTCTTCTCCCATAGCAAGGATTCATGGGTTCAGGTATCAAGGGGTAGAAATGGCAGCATCACCACTCACTATTTCCCCTAGTGATCCACTATCAATATTTTTGCTTCCTGTTCCTGCAGCCTTATGCTCTTTCAGACTAGGATTTTAGTTCCAAAGGAAGGAATGTTTCCACCAAGAGACACAAAAATAATTCTATTAAACAGAAAAGTAAGAATGCAATCCAGCCACTTTTGGTTCCCCATGCCTCTGAATCAAATGGCAAAGAAAGAAGTTACTGTACTGATTGAAATTGGTGATCCTGATTATGAAGTTGAAATTGTGTTGCTCCTACACATTGGAGGTAGAAAAAGAGTTAGTTTGCATTATAGAAGATCTCTTAGGGCATCTCTAAGTATTAATATGCCCTGTGATTAAAATTAATGAAAAACTGCAACAACCCAATTTAAGAAGGATAACTAATGGTTCATTCCCTACTTTCTCTTCTGGTAAGAATTTTAAATGGTACAGCCACTTTAGGAAAAGTATGTCAATTTTTTAAAAAGTTAAACAATATGATTCAGCCACTGCACTTCTAGTTGCTAACCCAGAGAAAAGAATGTAGGACAGGCATAGTAGCTCATGTCTGTAATCCCAGCACTTTGAAAGGCCAAGGTGGGAGGATCACCTTAGGCCAGAAGTTTGAGGTCAGCCTGGGCAACATAGTGAGATACCGACTCTACAAAAAATAAATTAGCTGGGATTGGTGGTGCACATCTGTAGTTCCAGCTACTCAAGAGGCTGAGGTAAGAGGATTGCTTTAGCCCAAGTTTGAGGCTGCAGTGAGCCATGATTGTGCCAGTGCACTCTAGCCTGGGCAACAGAACAAGTGCTTGCCTCAAAAATAATATGAAAGAAAAAAGAAGGAAAGAAGGGACGGAGGGAGAGAGGAAGGGAAGGAAGGAAGGAAGGAAGGAGAGAGAGAAAGAAAAAGAAAGAAGAAAGAAAAAGAGAGAGAAAGAAAGAAAGAGAGAAAGGGAGAAAGAGAAGAGAAAGAGAAAGAAAGAAAAGAAAGAAAGAAAAAGAGAGAGAAAGAAAGAAAGAGAGAAAGGGAGAAAGAGAAGAGAAAGAGAAAGAAAGAAAAGAAAGAAAGAAAGAGAAAGAAAGAAAGAGAAAGAGAGAAAGAAAAGAAGGAAGGAAGGAAAGAAGGAAGGAAGGAAGAGAAAGTAAGTTATAACAGACGTGTACACAAAACGGTCATAGCAGGTTTATTTGTAATAGTCCCAAACTGAAAATAACCCAAATGTCTATCAACAGAAAACTAAATAAACACATTTTAGTAACGAATACAATAGAATACTAGCAAGCAATAAAAATAAATAAATAACTCATAAACACAATATGAATGAATCTTTAAATAATAATTGATATTCTTTGGATGTTTGCCCCCTCCAAATCTCATTGAAATGTGACCTCCAAAGTTGGAGGTGGGCCTAGTGAGAGGTGTTTGAGTCTTGGGATCAGATACCTCATGGACAGCTTGGTGCTGTCACCATGGTAGTGAATTCACACAAGAGCTGGTTATTTAAAAGAGCTTAGCACTTCCACCCACTCTTTCTAGCTCCCTCTCTCATCATGTGACTAGCCAGCTCCCCCTTTGTCTTCTGCTATGACAGTAAACTTCCTGAGGCCTCACCAGAAGCTGAGCAGATGCTGGTGCCATGCTTGTACAGCCTGCAGAACTGTGAGTCAAATAAACCTCTTTTCTTTATAAATTATGCTGCCTCAGGCAATAGACATTATGTTATAGCAATGTGAAATGAACTAATACAATAACGTTAATTAAAACAAGGCAAAATAAAAGAATACATACCTTATAATCCCATTTACGTAAAATTTAAAAGATACAAACTAACTCATAGTGATATATTAGTGACTAACTAGCAATGGGAGCTGGAAGGTGGGATGACACATAGTGGGGATTGCAAAGGGACAAAAGAAATTTTCTTGGAATGATGGAAATATTCATATCCTAATTATGTTGATGGATTCACAAGTATATACATATGTTCAAACATCAAATTGTACATATGTTTCAATTTTTACTTTTTTTCTATTTGAGACAGAGTCTCACTTTGTCACCCAGGCTGGAGTGCAGTGGTGTGATTTGGCTCACTGCAACCTCCACCTCCTGGGATTCAAGAAGTTCTCCTGCCTCTGCCTCTTGAGTAGCTGGGATTACAGGTGCACACCTCCAGGCCTGGCTAATTTTTGTATTTTTAGTACAGATGGGGTTTCACCATGTTGGCCAGGCTGGACTTGAACTCCTGACCTCAAGTGATCCACCTGCCTCAGCCTCTCAAAGTGCGGGGATTACAAGCATGAACCACTCTGTATTAGTCCATTTTCATGGTGCTGATAAAGATATACCCAAGACTAGGTAATTTGCCAAAAGAAAAGAAAAATAGATCTAATGGACTCACAGTTCCACATGGCTGGAGAGACCTCACAATCATGGCAGAAGGCGAAAGGCCCATCTTATATCACAACAGGCAAGAGAGATAGAGCTTGTGTAGGGAAACACACAAGTTTTTACAAAACCATCAGATCTCATAAGACTTATTCACTATCACAAGAACAGCATGGGAAAGAACTGCCCCATGATTCAATCACCTCCCACCAGGTCCCTCCCATAACATGTGAAAGTGCAAGATGAGATTTGGGTGGGGACACAGCCAACCCATATCATTCTGCCACTGGCCACTCCCAAATCTCACGTCCTCACATTTCAAAACAATCATGCCTTCCCAATAGTCCCCCATAGTCTTAACTCATTTCAGCATTAACTCAAAAGTCCACAGTCCAATGTCTCATCCGAGACAAGGCAAGTCCCTTCTGCCTATGAGCCTGTAAAATCAAAAGCAAGTTAGTTACTTCCTAGTTACAATGAGGGTAGAGGCAATGGGTAAATAGGGCCATTCCAAATGGAAGAAATTTGCCAAAACAAAGGGGCTACAGGTCTCATGCAGATCAAAAATCCAACAGGGCGGTCAAATCTAAAAGCTCCAAAATGATCTCCTTTGAATCCGTGCCTCACATCTGGGTCACACTGATGCAAGAGGTAGGTTCTCATGGTCTTGGGCAGCTCTACCCCTGTGTCTTTGCAAGGTATAGACTCCATCCCAGTTGGTTTCATGGGCAGCGGTTGAGTGTCTGTGGTTTTTCCACAGACATGCCCTGGAGACATTTTCCCCACTATCTTGGGGATTAACACTTGGCTTCTCCTTACTTATGCAATTTCTGCAGCAGCTTAAATTTCTCCTCAGAAAATGAGATTTTCTTTTCTATCACATTGTCAGTCCGCAAACTTTTTGAACTTTTATACTCTGCTTCCCTTACAAACTTATAAAACTGAATGCTTTTAAAATCACCCAAGTCACATCTTGAATGCTTTGCTGCTTAGAAATTTCTTCCACCAGATACCCTAAATCATCTCCCTCAAGTTCAAAGTTCCACAAATCTCTAGGGCAGGGGCAAAGAGTGACCTTTGCTTCAGTTCCTCATAAGTTCCTCATCTCTATCTGAAACCACCTCAGCCTGGACTTCATTGTCCATATCACTATCATTGTTTTTGTTAAAAAAAATTCAACAAGCCTCTAGGAAGTTCCAAACTTTCCCACATCTTCCTGTCTCCTTCTGAGCCCTCCAAACTGTTCCAACCTCTGCCTGTTACCCAATTCCAAAGTCACTTCCACATTTTTGGGTATCTTTACAGCAGCACCCCACTCTACTAGTACCAATTTACTGTATTAGTCTGCTTTCATGCTGCTGATAAAGACATACCTGAGACTGGGTAATTTACAAAGAAAAAGATATTTAATGGACTCACAGTTCCACATAGCTGGGGAGGCCCCACAATCATGGCAGAAGGCAGAAGGCATGTCTTACATCACAGCAGGCAAGAGAGAGAGAGCTTGTGCAGGGAGACTCCCCTTTCTTAAGACCATCAGGTCTCATGTGACTTATTCACTATCACAAGAATAGCACAGGAAAGACCTGTCCTCATGATTTAATTACTTCCCACCAGGTTTCTTCCACAACATATGGGAATTCAAGATGAGATTCTGGTGGGGACACAGTCAAAAACATATCAGACTGTGCCCAGCTTCAAATTGTATACTTTACATATATGCAGTTTATTATTTACAAGTCAATATTACTTCTGTAAAATGCTTTAAAAATGAAGAAAAGGAAGTTCAATCTGTGGCCATGAGGAAGTAATAGAGCAGATTTACCTTCCTACTTTAAACAACTAAAAATAAAGAAGACAGAATCTATGAAAAAAAAATTGTTTCTAAATACTGGACACCAGTCAGTGCAGAACATTTATTACTGACTGGATAACATTTTCATAATAGAGCTCATGGAGAAGGTAGCCACATCTGGCCAGGCCTTCTCCCTAAATGGAGGAGAATGGATTCAGATTTCAGAGAAAACAAGGCAGACAGAATTCACAAAACAATACCAGAGGGGAGAGAGCTGCAGAGAGAAAAGTCAAGTTGGGATCTTCCAGAGAACAGCTCAGTACATATATGTCAGAACACTACCATGGCCAGGAATGACTACCAGAAATAATCAAGTAGAATAATACCCAGACATCATACAAGGCCTCTCTCCAAATCCCTACTCATCTTTGATTCAACTCTTGATATTTAGTAAAGATCTAAAGATAAGCTTTCCAAGCAGCTGGAAAAAGTATGCCATTTTGATCATTATCTGTCTAACTCCTGTCATTATCTATCCATGGGTTCTGATATTCAGAAGAAAGACAATTTTACTTTATTAAGTTCCATAAATCTTAACAATATGAAATTTACTTTACCTTTTATGACAGATAAAGATGTTGTACATTTCACTCCTCAGGGCTATGGTGAACACCACTTATAAAGAGAAAAGCCCAGTGGCTGAATTAGAAATCTGAATTGAAATCAGGGATTTCCTTATATTAGCTATTGATCTGCTCTCCTACCTAGTTACTAAAAAAAGTCAAAACTGACCTGCTGGTCAGGATGAGAATTTTCTGGTCAGGAGAAGAAAATCACTGGCCTGAGTGTTTGGAGTCAGCCCATGAAGATCACTGATGTAACTCGGGCAGTCACCCAAAAACAATGAAGACCTGTTGCTTGGAGAAAAGTATACCAGGTAGATGGTGAGGTACAGAAAACTGTCTTAAAGAAAGAAAGAAAGAAAAAGAGGCCTTCTGGTTCCAAAATGGCATCATAGAATCAAGCTAGCTTCACTCTGCAATTACAGAAAACCAAAAATAAATATACAATGCTGAGATTATCACCAGCAATATCCCAGAACTCAAATATGAGAATGAGACAGTTCCAAGGGCCACAGAAGAGTGGCCCTTGTTGAATGATTTTGACCAAAATGCTGATAGTGATATGGACAATGAAGTCCAGGCTGAGGTGGTCTCAGATGGAAATGACGAACTTATTGGGAACTGAAAAAAGGTCACTCTTTCTATGCTTTAGCAGAGAAACTGGTGGCACTGTGACCTTGCTCTAGAGATCTGTGAAACTTTGAACTTGAGAGAGATGATTAGGATATCTGGCTGAAGAAATTTCTAAGCAGCAAAGCATTCAAGACATGGTCTGGCTGCTTCTAAAAGCCCATGTTCATTTGCATAAGAAAAGAGAACTTATATTTCACTGGGAAATATAGCATAAACATTTGAAAAATTTGCCACCTGACCATGTGGTAGAAAAGAAAAACCCATTTTCTGGGGTGAAATTCAAGCAGCTACCTGCAGAAGTTTGCATAAGTAAAGAGGAGCCAAATGTTAGTAACAAAGACAATGGAGAAAATATCTCTAGGGCATGCCAGAGAGTTCATGGCAGCCCCTACAATCACAGGCCCAGAGGCCTAGGAGGGGAAAATGGTTTTGTGGGCTAGGCCCAGGACCCCACTGCTCTGTTCAGCCTTGGGGCATGGCACCCCTAGCTGTTCCAGCTCCAGCCACAGCTAAAAGAGGCCCAGGTACAGCTAAGTCATTGTTTCAGAGGGTACAAGCCCCAAGACTTGGTGGTTTCCATGTGGAGTTAGGCCTACACATGTGCAGAAGGCAAGAGTTGAGATTTGGAAGCCTCCACCTAGTTTTCAGAGGATATATGAAAATGCCTTCATGTCCAGGTAGAAGTCTGCTGCAGGGGTGGAGCCCTCATGGAGAACCTCTACTAGGGCAGTGCAGAGGAGAAATGTGGGGCTGAAGCCCTCACACAAAGTCCCCACTGGGGCATTGCCTAGTGGAGCTGTCCTCCAGAAACCAGAATTGTAGAACCATCCTCCTGGAAAAGCTGCAGGCACTCAACAACAGATCATTAAAGCAGCCATAGGGGCTATACCTTGCAGAGCCACAGGGGCAGAGCTACCCAAGGCCTTGCAAGCCCACCCCTTGCATCAGCATGTCCTGGATGTGAGACATGGAATCAAAGGAAATTATTTTGGCGCTTTAAGATTTAATGGCTTCCCTGCTGGGTTTCAGACTTGCATGGGGCCTATAGCCCCTTTGTTTAGGACAATTTCTCCCATTTGGAATGGGAATATTTACCTAATGCCTATCCTCTCATGGTATCTTGGAAGTAACTGAATTGTTTTAGATTTAAAAGGCTCATAGGCAGAAGGTACTCGTCTTGCTTCAGATGAGACTTTGGACTTGTACTTTTGAATTAAGGCTGGAATGAGTTAAGATTTTGAGGACTGTTGAAATGGCACGGTTTTGTTTTGAGTTGTAAGAAGGACATGAGATTTGGAAGGGGCCAGGGGCGGAATGACATGGCTTGGCTTTGTGTTCCCACCCAACCTCATCTCAAGTTGTGATCCTTAGTGAAGGAGGAGAGGCCTGCTGAGAGGTGATTGGATCATGTGTGCAGATTTCCCCTTGCTCTTCTTTTGACAGTGATTGAGTTCTCATGAGATCTGGATGTTTGAAAATGTGTAGCACCTCCTCCCTTGCCTTCTCTCTCTCCTGCTCCACCCTGGTAAGATGTGCTTGCTTTCCCTTCACCTTCTGCCACAATTGTAAGTTTCCTGAGGCCTCCCAGCCATGCTTCCTATACATCGTGTGGAACTGTGAGTCAATTACACCTCTTTTCTTCATAAATTACGCAGTCTCAGGCAGTTCTATATAGTAATGTGAAAACAGATTAATACACCAGACTAAAAAATAAAAAGAGAAGATCCAAAAAAAAAATCAGAAACAGAAAAAAAGATATAACAACAGAGACCACAGAAATACAAAGAAGCATTAAAAGTCTCTATATTATTACAAACAACAATATGCCAACAAATTGGAAAAACTAGAAGAAAAGTATAAATTCCAAGGCACGTAAAACCTACCATGACTGAGCAATCAAGAAATAGAAAACCTCAACAAACTTATCATGAGGAATGAAATCAAAGCCATAATAGAGTCTCTCATTAAAGAAAAGCCCAAAACCTGATGAATTCACTGATGAATTCTATCAAACATCCAAATAACGAAACCAATTCTACTCAAAGACTTCAAAACAATTAAAGATCAGGGGCTATTTTCAAACTCATTCTATAGGGCCAGCCATACTCTGATACCAAAATCAGACAAGGGCATAATAAGAAAAAAAAACACTATAGGCCAATATAACTGATGAAGATAGATGCAAAAATCCTCAACAAAATACTAGCAAAACAAATTCAACAACACATTAAAAAGATCATTCACCATGATCAAGTGGGATTCATCCCAGGGATGCAAGAGTAGTTCAACATATGCAAATCAACAAACATGATACATCACATAAACAGAACCAAGAACAAAAACCATATGATAATTTCAATAGATGCATAAAAGCATTCAGTAAAATTCAACACCTTTTTATGATTTAAAAAAAAACCCTCAACAAACTAGGTATAGAAGGAACATACCTCAAAATCATAAAGGCTATATATGACACACCACAACTAAAATCATATCAAATAGCAAAAAACTGAAAGCCTTTCCTCTAAGATCTGAAATAAGACAAGGATGCCCACTTTCACTACTTTTATTCAACATCATAGTGGAAGTTCTGGACAGAGAAGTTAGGCAAGAGAAATAAATAAAGACATCCAAATTGGAAAGGAGGTAGTCAAATTAGCCTTTTTCACAGAAGACATGATTTTATACTTAAAAAACCTAGAGACCCTAGCAAAAAACTATTAGAATTCATAAGCAAATTCAGTAAAGTTGCATGATAAAAAATCAAAGTACAAAAACCAGTAGCATTTCCATATGCCAACAGCAAACAACCTGAAAAAGAAAGCAATAAAGAAATTCCATTTATATGGCTTGAGAATTGATGCTCAGTCTTATTTATATTATTCTATCCCTAGTTATGTGATACTTAACTGTATTGCTCGGTATTTAGCAGCCCATTATCTAATCATTACATCACCCTCATTCTTTCTGAGCTTGTTTCCTTTTTGTGAAATGGGGCTACCATTCAATCTCACAGAATTTTTTTTTTTTTTTTTTGAGACAGAATCTTGCTCTATCACCCAGGCTGGAGTGCAGTGGGGCAAACTCGGCTCACTACAACCTCTGCCTCCCAAGTTCAAGTACTTATCGTGCCTCAGCCTCCTGAGTACCTGGGAATACAAGCATGTGCCATCACACCCAGCTCATTTTTGTATTTTTGGTAGAGACAGGGTTTCGCCATGTTGGCCAGGCTGGTCTCAAACTCCTGACCTCAGGTGATCCACCCACCTCGGCTTCCCAAAGTCCTGAGATTACAGGTGTGAGCCACCACGCCCAGCCAATCTCACAGAATTTTTATAAATTCTAGACAAATTTTTATTTTAAAAGACTTAGCACAGCCCCTGACAGCGTAGGCACTCAATAAATGTGGAATCTGAATCTTACTCAAAGCTAGTTTATATTTTCAAGTCTTCTTACTTTTACTAATGCTGCTTTAAGATATATTCTATAAGTTCAAATGTAAAGTTCTAGATTGGGAAAGAATTTATAATGTGTCTAATAAAGATTGTTAGAGACAAACTTTTAGACTGAACCAATCTACTATTAATGGACTGATGAATCTTACCGGAAAATAAACATAAAATATAAAAAAAAAAAAAAAAGAAATTCCATTTATAATAGCTACAAAAAATATAAAATACCTAGAAATCAATTTAACAAAAGATGTAAAAGATATATATGGAAAACTATAAAACTCCACTGAAAGAAACTGAAGAGGTCACAATAAATAGAAAGCTATTCCTTGTTCATGGACTAGAAGAATAAATATTGTTAAAATGCCAATACTACCTAAAGCAAACGTACAAATTCAATGCAATTATTATCAAAATATCAATGACATTATTCACAGAAATAGAAAAAAATTATAAAATGTATATGGAACCATAAAAGATCCTGAGTAACCAAAGCAATCCTGAGCAAAAAGATGAAAGCCAGAGGCATCAAACTACATGACTTCAAAATATACTGCAAACGTATAGTAACCAAATCAGCACGGTACTGGCATGAAAACAGACACATAGACCAATGGAACAGAAGAGCCCAGATAAAAACCTACACATGTATAGCAACCTTATCTTCAACAAAGAGGCCAAGAACATATAATGAGGAAAGGACAGTCTTTACAATAAATGGTGCTGGAGAATCTGTAAAACTGGATATACGCAAAGAACAAAACCAAGCCACTGTCTCTCACCATACAAAAAAATAAGGTCAGAGTGGATTTAAAACTTAATTCTAAGACTTAAAACTATGAAACTACTAGAAGAAGACATTGAGGAACTATTCCAAGACATTGGTCTCAGCAAAGACTTTTTTAGTTAGACATCAAAAGTACAGGCAATCAAAGCAAAAATAGACAAATGGGATTACATCAAGCCAAAAAGCTTCTGCACAGCAAAGGAAACAGTCAACAAAATGAAAAGACAACCCAAAGAATGGAGAAAATAATTGCAAACTATTCTTTTCACAATGGATTAATAACCAGAATATATAAACAGCTCAAACAACTTAATAGCAAATAAATAGTTAAAAATGGGAAAAAGATCTGAATAGACATTTCTCAAAATAACCAACAGATACATAAGAAAATGTTCACCATTATTTATCCTCAGAAAAATGCAAATCAAAATCACAATGTGATATCATCTCATCACAGTTAAAATGGCTTTTATCTGAAAAACGGAATAATGAATGCTGACACGAAAGTCAAGAAAGGGGAACCCTCATACACTGTAAATTAGTACAGCTGCTATGGAAAACTCTATCAAGATTCCTCAAAAAACTAAAGACAGAACTACCATATGATGCAGCAATTCCACTACTAGATATATAATCCAAAAGAAAAAAAGTCAATATATCGAAGAGATAGCTTCATTCCCATGTTTATTGCAGCACTGTTTACAATAACCAAAGTAAAGCAATCAACCTTAGTGCACATCAGTGGACAATGCATAAAGAAAATGTGATTTAAATCCACAATGAAATATTATTCAGCTATAGAAAATAATGAAATTGTGTCATTTACAGCAATATGTATTGAATTAGAGGCCATTATATTAAGTGAAATAAGCCAAGCATAGAAAGAAAAATATCCAATGTTCTCACCCATATGCAGTAGCTTACAAAAGAGGATCTTATGAAAGTAGAGAGTAGATTGGTGATTACTAGAGACCGGAAATGGTAGTGGACAGGGGATATGGATAGAGGTTGATTAATGAGTACATATCTATAGCTTTACAGAAGAAATAAGATCTAGTGTTTGATAGATCAGTAGGGTGACTATAGTTTACAATAATCTATTGTATGTTTCAAAGTAGCTAGAAGAGAATAGTTTGAATGTTTCTAGAATAAAGAAAAAACAAATATTTAAGGTCATGCATATCCCAATTACACTGATTTGATCCTTACAAATTATATAAATGTATTATCACATGCACCCTGAAAATATGTACATCTATTATGCAGCAATAAAAATGTATAAATTTTTTAAAAAGGAAAAAGAGTCAGAACCTCAAATAATTATGTTCTCCTTTAGGCTGCTATCCTATACGTGAGATTTCAGTTATGAGTTGGAAAAATACTGCGCGTGAGCACAAAAAACCTACACTTCTTCAGTATCCCTGAAGTCATTTATTTATTAAAGTTTTAAATAAGGAAGTGATGGAAACATGTAGTTAACAAATGTACAAGTATTTCAATACACTGATTTGGCTATCAGACTATCAAAAACAACCCAATCAAGTGCTTTTCCTACTTTCAGAGCTCTACCCAAATACTACTGCAAACTAGAAGGAAGAATATTTCATCTCAACCGCAGAAATGTCCAAAGATTGAGGAATACTGAAAGAAACTCTAGAACACTTGAACCCCAACACTTGAACCCAAAGATAAAGCTGAACAGATTCATGAATCCACAGAATCATTTGTAGATTTTGGTGTGCATGGTCTGTTAAAGTAGTGGGTCTATAGCTTTCAGCAGTTTGTCAAAAGCTATTGGAACCACCAAAATAAGATGACCATATATTACTGCTGAGAAATCAGACACTATAAGGCAGATACAAAGGAAAATGTATAAAAAGGATATTCAGTGAACATTCCAAAACTCAATCTAGAAGGTGATCAAAAGTGCATTAAAACTATCTAAACATTAACAAGGCCTGAAGTTTACCTTCAGAATTTTATAATGACTCAGACTTTTTCTCCCAAGATGGTTAATTTTTGATGTTGTTCAAAGCTTCAGAAACCCTCAGATTGAGAAACCCAGAGCCTGAAGACCCAGATTCGCCCAACTCTGTTATTAATTTTTCATTTGACATTAAACAAATTTTTTCAGTTCCCTGGACCTCCGTCTCCTTGTCTGTCAACAGGAATTTATGAGTTTCATTTTAGTTACAATTCTTTGGAGGAAATGAATCAATTAAAAACTTCTGACATCATTATGTACAACTTATGCATAGCTACAAATTTTTCAAGCATATGAGGTCGTGTTAATCATATATTCTCATCTTAGTTAATAATTAAGAGGCTCCCTGGGAAATCTTTCATAAATTTCAAGTCTCTCAAGAATAGAAAGTAACCTGTGGGATAAGAAGAACTTCTATACTTACATAATAAAAGCCTGAAATATGGCTAAACATTTCTGTTCAAAAAAACTTTAAGCCATACCATTGTGTAGTATTCCTCAAAATAATTAATAATAATGTGTGGAGAGTTGTCTAGAATAGAATGACACCCAGGTAAGTGGTAAAATACAGAAGTATGTTATGTGAAGTCTTAGTCTACAGACCCAATAAGAATTCCAATACTTAACATGAACACACATCCACACACACATTTATTCATCCCGAAATAAGACTAGATTCAAAGAAGTTTTTACTATGCAGCTGTATAAAAAATATATTATCACTTTTTGCTTAGAGTAAAAGAATATAAAAATTAGTTTTTAAAAAAGATACCTGGGATCAAAAACTTTCCACTCTGATGAAGCATAGTCACATTATGACCATGCTCTTGAAGAATCTGAGACACCCGGTCCAACAGTAGGTAATGGCTTCCACCTAGAAACAATGCACAATGTCTTTTGTAAAGATGAAAATAGAGTTTCTGATGACAATATGGGAGTAGGCAGGAGGGAATGGAAATTCAGCAGAAAAAGCATAGGGAAGAGGAAATGTGAACAGTGAGAAGATGGAGATAAGCGCTTCCTGTTCCTCAATCTCACTTTGGGTAATGCCCAGTACATGCACCCAAAGCCTTCCTGTCCTATGTTCGGGACCTGTGGCAATCCTCCATCAAAGATTTCCGCTTGTGGCTCAAAGACTCCATGTCAGTGTAATGAGCTTCTCTGTGATTACGCCTGTAAAAGTTGCTCATCTTAAGGTATGTGCTGCATGTTACTTGGGGCCTTAGAGAGATATTGTCTCCAAAATATAACTGCAATGATAGAAAATACAGCACAGTAGTGTGTACATTAGTATGAAGGGTTCCTAATGGGCAATCAGTCAGAGCTATCTTTCATCCTATTTTGGAAAAGTATGCTACTGTAGGAGACAGAAATACAGAAGTTACAAGGTGAGTCTAAGAAACTGCCATTGGACAGAAGCTACTACTTAGAGCCCAAATCTTTGTGATTAAAATGTATTTGGCAGGAAATTACTCAATTTGGGCCAATGTACAACTTATAATTAAGATATTTGAGGACAACTGTGGAGCCCTTGGGGTGGGCCTATAGATCCTGGTTGCACCAGAAACTAAAGAATCACTGATTCTAGGAAAATCCTACCATGCTAAGGAAAGAGAAGCTTGGTTCTCAAAAGAGGTAAAAGTTTTATCACGTTAATATCTTCTCTTAGTGCATGTTCCAACACAGACCCTTCACTGGAAGCTAAGGTTCTCAGCAGCAGAAAAAGAAAGATCAGAAGAGAAATTAATGGAAAAATGCCGAGAGTTTGAGGATGGAGGTGGAAGGGGAGTAGAGAAATAGTGCGCAGCTGTCTGAATGACTCACTCTACTTATACTCAGACTTGAATAGTCTAAAGCAACAAGGGATGTATAAAGTACAAATCTGCAACGGTCTTGCTCACATTTTAATCCATGTAAGAACAGGGACTCAGGAAGAAGGGGTCCTCACAGAAACAGCCACTCATAGTGGGTCTTAAGGACTCAAATGGCTTTCTGGGGCAAAGACCTGGATTCCAGCATCTGGATTCAGAAACGACACCAGCTCCCTCTTGAAGTCTGAGGAAGGAGGGCTGTGTACTTCCAAGAAGTTAAGAAGCTCTGTTGCTTCACTGCTACTAACACTCAGAAAGCGGGGAAAAGACTTCAAATGAACTAACACAGTTTCTTAGTGATTGAGGCGGGCGGATCACGAGGTCAGGAGATGGAGACCATCCTGGCTAACACGGTTAAACCCCGTCTCTACTAAAAGAATACAAAAGAATTAGCTGGGCGTGGTGGCGGGCGCCTGTAGTCCCAGCCCAGCTACTCGGGAGGCTGAGGCAGGAGAATGGCGTGAACCCGGGAGGCGGAGCTTGCAGTGAGTTGAGATGGCGCCACTGCACTTCAGCCTGGGCGACAGAGCAAGACTCCGTCTCAAAAAAAAAAAAAAAAAGAAAGAAAATCCTTAGTGAAAACGGCATCAGAGCGGAAGTTGTGGTGAGCGTGGTCTTGGGGTAAGAAACCCTAAACAATTCTTCATGGGACATTAAGGAGGCCACATGTGCTCTTAAGAAAGGCATCTCACTTCCCTGTCCCTCAGTTGCCCTCTCAGAATATCAAAATGGGCACTAAATTAGATGATCCGTGGTTCCTTCCAGCTCTAAGAGCCCTGATTCTCCGTGATCTAAAAGGAATCCTTTAGCGCCCACTACGGATTAAAATAAAGTCTTGGGGAAGATCGATCCTGGGATCGAGCTCATATATAATTCTCTTTCATCTTCTACTTCCTTTGAAATAAAAATAAAATAAAACTGAGGCCCAAAATGCAGAATTAACAGTCCCATGAATCCCTTAAAAACGGTCAGCGGCACAGGTAAAAGGAAGGAGGCTCCAAAAGATCCGAATGACCTGGGTTCTCTCCTCAGACCTGGGCAGTTCTCCAGGTTTCCCCTGGAGAAAAACACTCCGCTGGCATTGCAGTCATGAAATACCTGCCTGCGCCACCCTGGCTCCATATGCAGCTTCACAACATTTGCAGTGCTGCCCTCAGGAGTGCCTTTCCCTGGTCTCCAAGAGGCTGGAAACGGTCACCACCGTTTCTGCTGGAAGCTACTGTGCACCTCCCGGCCCCATGGAGCTTAGGGTGAGCCTCTGAAAGTCCCACTGCGCTCTAGAGAAGGCAGCCCAGGAACTCAAGCTCTGGTCCTGGTCTCAAATTTCTGGCCCCAGTCCTGCGGGACGGGGAGCGCGTCCTGAACAAGAAGAGAGAAGAAAGGAGAGTGTCTTTTCTCAAAAACTGTCTTCCTCACCTCAGCAATAGAGGCCCCTCTCTGCCCCACGGCTAGATGGGCTTCTCCCTCCTCCAGCCAGGTCCGCAAGCCCAGCCTGGAAAATCGCCTGGATAACTCTGATCAATCGCCGTTCGCTGGAGCCCTGGCAGTGCGGGGATCCGGGACGCGCCTGTCTGGGAATTCTCCGGCCAAGCACTCACCCAGTGTAGATATTGTCAGGATTTTGGCAGCCTCTGAGAGCAGGACCCCAGAAAGAAGGAAGGCCACTAGAAGCAGCACCCGCTGCCCAACCATGCTCACTTCCACAGAAGCAGCGGATCTCAGCCTGGGCTGCGCGCCCTGCGCCGGGCTAAGGACTCTGTGCGCGCCTCAGTACTCCAAAGGCACTGGCTGTGGGCCTAGGAAGAGGTAGGAGACGGATCCTGCCAATTCTCTCGCCCTTCTGTTCGTTCTCTTTCCCGCTGCCCCTCCTCCCTGGGTGCATGCTCCATGGGATAATCTGCCCTCACCCTATCAAACTACCTGAAGTCAGTAGGAGGGGGTTGGTAACCTGATCTGTAACCTTTCTCTGCCTGCGTAATCACAGCTGTCCTATCTGGAAAATCCTTACTAAGAGCCAGGAATGACAGGGGCCTCAGTAAATCACGTTAATGAAGGCTCCATCCCCAAGGAAACCACCTGTCTTTCGTGGAGCTGTCTGAACTTATGTTACTCTGCTTCCCTTCCAGCTGCCTCTATTACCTCATAGTGCCATCTCCATGCCCCCATTTTCCCCAGAAACCTGCTGAAAATCTCTAGCTGGTGTCCCAAGCTCAAGATGTCCCTGAGAGGGAATCCCTAAGGGAAACTGATCTACCCTCTCTGAGGGCCTCTTTAGAAGATAACATTCATGAAGAGGAGCTAGTAGTGTTCTAATTCTGAAAGTCACTCCGGGTCTGTACCTGGAGACTGAAATTCGAACACAGAGACTATGATTCTGAATGTGTATCATAAAATAGAACTAGGGATATTTTGATAATCTCCCCAAAGCACAAACTGAGAATAGCTTGTAATTCTGCCCCCTTGAAGGGTCAACCCTGGGAAAGACAGGGATCACTACACCAGGTATGGTCACCTTTGTACTCTCTATCCTCAAACCAAGACTTTCGGAAAGGCTTTCAGTGCAATTCTAGACAGACAGAGAAATCCTTCAATGGATTATATCTACCGGCTGTAATAGGCCCTTGAATTCTGCTTGTACTATTCTTGCCTTCAGTCTACAGGTATTACATTTTTAATCTGAATTTAAAGCATTACATTTTATTTAAAGCATTACATTTGTGCATCCTTCACCTAGACATGTTCATTGTGGAGAGGGAGGAAATGAGAAAGAGAGAGAGCCAGACAGACAGATGCACAAACATACACACACATACACTCACACACACACACACTGGGTTGGGGGAGCGAAAGGGAGAAGGGGAAAGAGAAGTGTGGAGGGGGGAAGGTTTACCAGGCTTCACAAGACTCCAGTCCATCTATTCTTATACCTTTTATAATGCATTAGCAAAATAAAGGACTTGCTATCAAGCTTCAAGCTCTTCATTTATTCAACAATTATTCTGACAGCTAATTATTACACCAGATATGTTTGCTGGACAGACAGAGGCTAAACACAATAAGAAATGAAATACATAATATATTCATGAGAAATGCTGCCAAGAGAAAACAAACAAGGAAAGAGATATGAAAGGTCAGGTATTAGAAGTGTTAACATATTAAATAGTATGATTTAAACCAATTCTAAAAAATTATAGGAGTATGAGAGAAAAATGAGCACAAAACTTGATGATATTAAGTAGTTACTGTTGCTTTGGAGAATTTTATGTTATTATGAAAGGAAATTAAATTTGGGGACACAAAACTCATTTGACCAAAGGGAAAAGTCAAGCTTGGAACTGGGTCACACAAACCTGCGTCTCCCTTTTGGTTCCTAAATAAGATGGCTACAAGATGGAAAGCTACACACCTCCCCCATATGTTGCCCACAAGGAAATTCCTAGTGAGCTCTTAAAATTTCACCGTGGCAATGCAAATTGATAGCTTATTTTTACAGGTGCAGTCACCCCCAGCCCACCAGACATAAATGCATATCTGCCCAATTTTGTCTATGTTATCTTATGTAAAAATGCAGATTCCCTGCATTTTTTTTCTCTGCTCCATTTGTTTTATATCATCTTATATAAAAAATGCAAGGTGGCCAGGCACGGTGGCTCACGCCTGTAATCCCAGCACTTTTGGAGGCCAAGGCGGGTGGATCACAAGGTCAGGAGATTAAGACCATCCTGGCCAACATGGTGAAATCCCGTCTCTCCTAAAAATACAAAAATTAGCTGGGCGTGGTAGCACGTGCCTGTAATCCCAGCTACTCGAGAGGCTGAGGCAGGAGAATCGCTGGAACCCAGGAGGCGGAGGTTGCAGTGAGCCAAGATCGCGCCACTGCACTCAAGCCTGGTGACAGAGCGAGACTCCGTCTCAAAAAAAAAAAAATGCAGATTCACTGAGCCAGACAAAGGCATGAATGACTATTTTTCCCTACCCACCCCTTACATGAAAATTGTGTACTTCTCAATATCCCACCCTCTCCCCTTTAAATTTAGAACCCTCAAAGTCATCTTTGGAGAAAGGCATAGACCTATCTCCTGGTGCGCGTCCTTAACTTTGGCAAATAAATCTCCTAAAATGATTGAGGCTTGTCTCATCATTTTTCTCTATTGACGTCTAGTAACCATGGAGGGATCCTGAGTGAAAGTGACCCAGCCTGCAGCCTCTCATCTCTCGTGTTTGGTTCCGGCTTGGGCACCTTATAGCCCAAACCAATAGGACAATTTTCTGAAGTCCAGGATCTCTTTCCTCCAGGGATCCCTGATCTTCCAAAGTTTTTCAGGGATCTAGGAGTCTGAGGTTTATATGCTGTTATTAAACAAACAAACAAACAAACAAACAAAAAGCTCCTTTTTTATGGGAGTTTCCACTTGTTTCCTTCAAGGAGGGCGAGCCTATCTGCTTCTGTATCAGGGATCTTGCGGTCTGAGGTTTATTTGCTGTTTAAAAAAAAACTCCTTTTTTGTGGGAGTTTCCACTCATTTCCATCAAGGAAGGTGAGCCTGTCTGCTTTTGTATCAGCAGAAAGCAGACTTCAGCTTGGACCTCCATCACTAGGTAAAGAACAGGTTTGGGATTCTGTCTTACAAATTCTTTTAAATGACTAAAATTAGCATCAACAACCAGCTGGTGTTAATTTCCCACTTACACTTAGAGCACTCAGAAATCATATAATTTGTGTCATTATTGTTAGTTTTGCTTAACGGTTTTGTTGTTTCTAGTTTTGTTTTGTTTTGTTTTGTTTGTGTGTGTGTGTGTGTGTGTGTGTGTGTGTGTGTGTGTGTTTCGGTTCTTTCCCCTATCAGGTTTGACCAACTCCAAACCCTCTAGCTCATGAGGGTGGAATTCTCCACTCTGAAAAACAAATAGGAGCACCTTGCTCCTCTCAGCCTTTTGTGGCATTCTCAGGTGACTGAGAATCACATGAGGGTGATGGAGAGAAGCACTCCCTAAGATGTTCAGTGCCTCTGAATAGGTTTCCCCCTCAGGAGAACATACTTAGGGTCTAATCTCAGCTGACAGGTGCATATAAGGAGCTGACCCCTCCCACACCTTCAGCCCCTGACACATATGCCAGGTAGCCGCAACATGTGTGGACTGAACCAGTTTAGGTTGTGATGGCCCTGAAAAGCTAGGTCTGCAAGCAGCACATTTGGGGTCCAACACACATCCCAACTTGGTGAAATCCAAAAAGGAACTCTAAGTTATGGGGAATAAGGTCTCTAAGACCCCGGAGGAACATAAAGTTCCCCCTTCAGAAACTCCGGATGGGTATTGTGGCAAATAGTCATGCAAATATTTAACCAAGTGGACCACTATAACTAAAGCAGATTCTAAGTTACAATGGCCTAAATGGGGATCTTTTGATATGCCCAAATTAGTGTAACTGTGAACCAGGATGGAAAACGCAGGCACAAAAACTAAACAGCCAGAATGGAGGAGCTACTTTCAATGGTATCTGGAGAGTAGCAAAAGGGAGGAAGACTGAAGGCCAACAAACAACTTAGAAATGCTCATCAAGAACTCTGTAATCTTTTATCTCTCTTAAAGAGCTATTGGCATCTCCCCTACCTCCACCTCCACCCTCACTCTACCCTGACCTCTCTGAACTTCCCAGGTCAGATCTGTTCCCCCCTTCTCCTCCATGTCTACCACTCAACAGTAGTCTGACTTCAAAGACTCCACTCCCTGATGATTCCCTGACAGCCCCAATGGCAGCATCTCATCTGGAAGATGTGAAAATGAGGGACCCTACAGGGACATCTCTCATGATCGCCCCATTTCAGGAACAACCGGTAACAGGTAAGGGATCCCTGCCAATTGTCTACCAACCCTGGTCAAAGGCTGAATTACGAGGCATAGTTAAAGAATTTCCTGACCTCCATAAAGATCCAATTGGTTTTGCCCAAAAATATGAGCTCATTATCAGAACCTATCACCCAGGTCATTCAGACCTTTATCAGCTAGTCTACATGTTGGTCTCAGAAGCTAAAGCTAAGGAATGGCTGGAAAAAGCACAGTGGTCAGACCCTATAGCAGATTTAACCCCTGAAGGCCCAATAGAGCCAACAACCAGCCCCCGAAATCCAGAAGACAGGCATAAAGAGTCACGGGAATGAGTGACTGCTCTGTTAAATATTATTCCTTCAGTGCTCCAAAGGGTTGTGAATTGGAATAAAATCCAACAATGCTGCCAGAACCCAAATGAATCAGTTTTAAATTATTTAACATATTTTGATAAAACTTTAAGTATTGCAGGATGTCAGTTGATTGCTTTGAAAACAATAAAAAATAATACATTATAAAATGCAAATTTCTTAAACAGACTAGATGATGATTTAGCCACCCTTGTAAAATGGCACATGACAAATTGGGCCATGACTAGACTAATGAACTAGTTAACTTAGCTGATCAAATATCCTGCGCTATGACAAAAAAAAAAAAAAAAGGAGAAATAGAAGATTGCCCAGGTTATGCATTTACAGCTAAAGCAATTAACTTCTCAAACCTCTCAGCCCCAGAAAGACTTTAAGCTCTCTCCATCTGAAGACTCTTGCCTCCCAGTCTGTTACTACTGTAAAAGACGAGGATACCTTAAGCGAGGCTGCCTTAGGCTGAAACAAAAGAAAAGGCAGGAGAATGCAACTCAGGAAGACTAGGGATGCTCCGAGAAAGTGCAGGGGTTTCGCTTCTCCAAATATTCTATCCTGACAAACAAATTGGGAGAGATTCATATAATAATAAACCATGAGCTTACAACTACCTTAATTGACACAGGCATGACTATATCTCTGATAAACCCCACCTTATTTAGAAACCTCATTCTTCAGAGTAATAAAATAATTAACATGTTGGGTGTGTCTAATAAAACAATCTCATGTTTTAGGTCAAAACTTGTACCTTATCATTTCAATGGAATCACCCCCTTGACCCAGGCTCTAAGTGTGACACGTTAAGTAGGTCCCATATATTTCTAATATGCCCTGGGGCCCCTGTCAATCTTTTGGTCTGTGATCTCCTCAACATCCATAATGCCCATATCTCTTTTTCATCAAAAGGTGAACTTTTTTAAGAATTGGAGTCAGGGGACCAAAAATACCAAATTAAAAACTGTCCTGACAATGTACCACAATTTAGCACCAATAATGTTAAAACATCATCTTGTGACAAGGAAAGTGAAGTGGAGCAGAGAAGGAAATATTAGGGGAGAAGAAAGAACATTGGAATAAAGAGAAGAAAGCAGTAAAACTCCTTTTAGCTTCCCCAATCTTCCTGTTAACAACAGAAGCAGAGCACTTGCTAAAGGATGTCCCATCCCACTTATGGTCTCAGTCAAATACAGATATAGGGAATATATTCTCAGCCATTCCAATAAAGGTAGAGAAAAACCCAAAGAAACCCCTACTCAATCTTAATATCCTCTATGACAGGGAGCCATAGATGAAACTGTCCCTACCACACAAGATTATCTGAAAAAGGGGCTCATTATTTCCTGCACAAGCCTCTGCAATAGCCCTATATTCCCTGTCAAGAAACCAAGCAGGAGAAGATGGAGTCTTGTGCAGGATGCTAGGGCAATAAACAATGTCATAATACCCAGACACCCAGCAGTCCCCAACCCACACACCCTTCTATCAACTGTACTCACACAGCCAGTATTTCTCAGTTGTGGGTCTCTGCAGTGCCTTCTTTAGTATTCCTGTAGGTCCAGACAGCCAATATTTGGATATTTGCCTTTACTTGGAAAGAACAACAATACACATGGACAGTAATGCCCCAAGAGTATACAGAAAGTCTCACTTACTTTTCCCAAATATTAAAAGCTGATTTAGAGGATTTAATTTTTTTTTTTTTTGAGACGGAATCTCACTCTGTCACCCAAGCTGGAGTGCAATGGTGGATCTCGCCTCACTGCAACCTCCGCCTCCCAGGTTCAAGTGATTCTCCTACTTCAGCCTCCAGAGTAGCTGGGATTACAGGCGCCTGCCATTATGCCTGGCTAACTTTTGTATTTTTAGTAGAGGCAAGGTTTCACCATGTTGGCCAGGCAGGTCTCAAACTCCTGACCTCGTGATCCACCCACCTCGGCCTCCCAAAGTGCTGGGATTACAGGCATGAGCCACAGCACCCAGCCAGAGGATTTAATTTTTACCCAGGGCTCAACACTCATCCAGTATGTGCATGATCTTCTCCTTTGTTCAGACACACTGTCTTCCTCTCAAGAAGATAGTCTATATTTACTCAAACAGTTAGCCATCAAGGGACACAAAGTGTCCAAAGACAAACTTCAGCTATATTTACTGAGACTTAAGTATTAGGGGCATATTATCTCTGTCAAAGGACTGAGTATTAACCCTGACAGTGTAAGAGGAATTTCAGCTTTCCCCATGCCTGTCACTAAGAAACAACTTAGAGGATTTTGGGGCCTGGCAGGCTATTACAGAAACTGGATACCAACTTTCTCCCTTATGGCTCAACCTCTGTATGCCTACCTAAAAAAATGAACAACCTGATCCCATCATGTGGACTCCAGAGGGACAATCAGCTGTACAACAAATAAAGGAAATTCTAACTGATGCCTCAGCTTTAGAAAACCCAAACTACAAATTTCCTTTCTCCCTTTTTGCACACGAAATTGTGGGTACTGCATTTGGAGTACTGACCCAGAAACATGGTGATTATCAGAGACCTATTGGCAATTGTAGCCAACAGCTGGACGCTGTGGCTCAAGGGCTGCCTCCTTGTATGACAGCAATCACAGCAATTGCCCTTCTGTACAAGTCTGTTGAAGAAATTATTATGGGTTACCCCCTTACCATTTTTGTGCTGCATTCTCTGGATACCCTTCTAAACTGTCATCATACTCAAGATCTGTCAGCTGGTCAGCCTCTTATAAATTTTGGCTTTTATTATCTCCCAATATAACTATTTCCCACTACAGTGATCTTAATCCAGCCACTCTCTTGCTGGGACTTTTCGACAAAATCCCTCATGACTATGTTGTAATGATTGACTGACTTGTTACCCCCAGGGCAGACCTACAATAGATGCCACTGGATAAAGCCAAAATAGAATGGTATACAGGTGGATCTTATTTAAGAGGAGAGGATGGAAATTTTAGAGCAGGATATGCTGTGGTTTCCTTATGGAGGTAATTGAAGCCGGTCCTCTTCCCTAAGCCAGATCAGCTCAAGTGGAGTTGCCAAATTGATTGCCCTAACTGACTTGAGCTTGTCAACTGGCAAAAGAGAAGGCTTCAAACATTTACATTGACAGATTTTGGGGTTGCTCATGACTTTGGGATGCTATGGAAAGAGAGAGAATATTTAACCTCCTCAAAGCAACCCATAAAAAATGTACAATAGGCCGAGCGCGGTGGCTCACGCCTGTAATCCCAGCACTTTCGGAGGCCAAGGTAGGCAGATCAGGAGGTCAGGAGATTGAGACCACCCCGGCTAACATGGAGAAACCCCGTCTCTACTAAAAATACAAAAAAGTTAGCCGGGCATGGTGGCCGGCGCCTGTATTCCCAGCTACTCGGGAGGCTGAGGCAGGAGAATGGCATGAATCCAGGAGGCGGAGCTTGCAGTGAGCCGAGATCACACCACTGCACTCCAGCCTGGGCCACAGAGAGAGACTCCATCTCAAAAAAAAAAAAAAAAATGTACAATAAGTGTCAGAGCTGTTAGGAGTTATTCTAAAACCAAAACGTTTGGCAATTATAAAAATCCCAGGTCACTCAAAACTAGACTCCACAGAATCAGGGTAACCAATTGGCTGATGCCACAGCTGAAAGAGCAGCATTCAAGCCACCAGCACCAATCCAGGAAATGCCCATAAAACCTGAAACACTTAAAAACATGTTGAAAGAAACTGAGAGCACAGCTCCATCAAAGGAGAAATCCACTTGGAAACAAGCAGGGGAATACTTGACTCCCGAAACTAAAATATAGTGTGGACCTAATAATAAATCCATTATTCCAATGGCATATCAGGTGCCCTTATGGAATATATTCATAATCAAACCCATTGGAATCCAGATAAAATGAAACCCTGGTGTAAAAAAATATTACTGGAAACCGTCCTTCATGGTGGCAAATAGTTTACTCTTGATGTGACATTTGTCCCAAATATAACCCAGGAAATTCCCTCCATGGGGCCAAGGGTCATTTTCCTTTTCCAGCTGGACCTTTTAAGGTATTGATTGATTTTATCCAGCTGCCATCATCTCAAAATTACAAGTATGTTTTAGTAATGGTCTGCATGTTTTTCCATTGGGTTGAAGCTTTTCCCTGCAGGCAAGTAACAGCTATGGCAGCTGGAAAAAATCTACTAGAAAAAAATTATGCCATTGTGGGGAGTCCCCTGTGAACTTCACAGTGACAGAGGAACTCATTTTACTGGCCAGGTTATTCAAAATATTTGTAAAATTCAGCCCATATGTTAACATTTCCATTGTGTCTACCATCCCTGGTCCTCAGGCCTGGTGGAGAGGCCCAATGGAATAATTAAAACATATCTAAGTTCACGAAGGCATTTCACCTCCCCTGGCCCAAAGCACTCCCCCTAGTGCTGCTTACACCCCAATCCACCACTTTCGGTAAACATTAACTGTCCCCTTATGAAATTAGAACAGGAAGGCCATGTGTATGGAAATGAAGATAACCAATCCAACTTTTCTCAAGGGAGATATATTGCAATATTGTGAGGGACTCATTTATCATCTCTTCAAAAAGCCAAGATTTAGTAAAGAATTCCTTTTACAGTGTGCTCCCAGAAGATGAGATGCCTCATCATGATCTGCAACCCAGAGATTTTGTCTATTGGAAAAGACATCTAATAAAGGATTCCCTTCAACCACAATGGAAGGTCCCATACCAGGTACCATTGACAAATCCATGTGCTGCAAAATTAGAGGGTTTAGACTCATGGATTCACATCTCTCATCTTAGAAAGGCACAACCTCCTGAGTGGACTGTAACTCCCAACAAAGACCTTTACCTCCAGTTTACTAAACATCAATCTTCAACCCAGGATTAAAAGCAGATGACAGCTGTTGTGGACTGTTTAACCCCAAGACACAGGACCAGGCATGTATACAAAGGAATGCCTGTGTTTATTGTACAATAACCATTACAATTATTGTCCATTACAATTATATATAGGATATAACAGCAACTCCTGTCTTAGAAAGAACAGGCACTTAAACTATCTGATTTAATATCCTTTAGTAACTGAAGTGAATTTCACAACCTTGCTATCATTGATCCTATGTCCCTACATCTTCTTGCCACTGCCAATCACAGATGCCAATGAAATGAACCTGTTTCTATAATGGGCTCAGGATTATGCAGACAGATTATAAAAGGACACCTACTGGATATGTGGACTCATGCCTCTTTCCAGTGGCTCTGGTCTACCATGGTGGGTATCCCCCTTCCAAGGTCAGGACTGGATAGAATACCAAAAATTTATTACATCACAGAAAGGGTCTGGTATCCTTAGTAACGGCATAACAAAAGACAATATATAGAATTGGCCCATTAAAAACATGTTTAAGAACAAGGGACATAGGAAAAGTATTTCAATGGGAAGGATCATCTCATTAGCTCTCACTTTAGCATCCTCTCAACAAAAACAGGAAGTGGTAACCACACCCCAAACAACAGCGCATTTTCAAAATGGGATAATGCAAATTTGGGATGGATTTATCTGTCTCACCCCTTCATTTGGCCAATTCAGCCAAAATGCTTCTTTGTACTGGGAGCAAAGAAACCACACGAAGAACCTATGGCCAAAAAGTACAGGAGATATGGGGTGGATAGCTGGAGAATGCTGTGACCACATTATCATATTACGAGACACTGACTGGCATGCCACTGATTGGGTGCAGGGACTAGGTATTTATTGAGTAGCTCCAGATGGGACATATTGGCTGTGTGGCACTAATTTATGGCTGTGGTTACTTCCAGGGTGGTTAGGATGATGTTTTTTAGGTTATGCTTGGGTACAAGGACGAGTAATTCAAACCCTGCCAAAATCAGCAAGCCTTTTTTCTTTAAATCTTGTTGGATACATTCAGTATTCCGATGATATGATCACTTAGCTTCTGCCACCAAGTTCCCAAAGATTCAAACCAACCATTTAACCAATTGATTAGTGAGGGTTTTGGATCTGACAGGTTGGTTATCTGGGTTTTCATATTAGTCATAAGTTAGGTTATGTTCTTAGATTCATCTGGAATATAAACACAACATTCAGTTTTTATGATAGTGCGGGTTCCCCCTTGGGCTGTCTTAAGTATATTTAAAGCCACAAGATTTGGCAGCACAGCTTTCCTCATAAACATGACTTCATTATTTAGCAAAGAGATACTCGTGCAGCTATCATTTAGGGCTTTTTGGGTGTAGTTTATTAATGCCTCTATATGCCATTTAACATCTTCAATACTTATCTGTGGTACAAAGATTGAAGCTAAGTGATCATACCATGGGAATATATAATGTGTAAACTTTATTATGAACTATATTGTGAAAGGGGTGTGTGTGTGTGCACGTGTGTGTGTATGTGTGTGTGTGTGTGTGTATTTTGAGACAGGATCTGGCTTTGTCACCTAGACTGGAGTGCAATGGCGTGATCTCATGTCACTGCAACGTCCCTCTCCCAGGCACAAGCCATCCTCCCACCTCAGCCTCCCGAGTAGCTAGTACTACAGGTGCATGCCACCATGCCTGGCTAATATTTGTATTTTTTGTAGAGACAGAGTTTCACCATGTTTCCCAGGCTGGTCTCAAACTCCTGAGCCTATGCAATCCACCTGCCTCAGCCTCCCAAAGTGCTAGGATTACAGGCATGAGCTACTGCACCCAATCAAATTATATATAACAATAATTTTATTCATCATATATTATTATTTAAATTTTATATTCCCAATGCTTGCTTAGATATATCCATGTATTTTCCATTCCCTTTACTTTTTTTTAAGATAGGGTCTCCCTCTGTTGCCCGGGCTGGAGTGCAGTGACTCATTGCAACCTCTGCCTCCTAGGTTCAAGAGATTCTCCTGTCTCAGCCTCCCAAGTACCTGGAATATCAGGTGCCCGCCACCATAACCAGCTTATTTTTTTTTTGTATGTTCAGTAGAGATGTGTTTCACCATATTAGCCAGACTGGTCTTGAACTCCTGAGCTCAAGTGATCCACCCACCTCGGCCTCCCAAAGTGCTGGGATTACAGATGTGAGCCACGGTGCCCAGCCCATTCCTGTTGTTCTTTGTATTTTCTTTCCACCCTGACCTTCTTCCTGGAATCACCTCTTCCTAAAGTACATCCTATAGCATTTCCTCTATTGAGAATCAGAGAGTGAGAATTTTCTCCTTTTCTTTTCCCTGATAGTGACTTTTTTCATCCTCATAATTAAAAGATAAATTTACTACTTCTTTTTAGCACATTGAAGATATCTTTCCACCATCTTTTTTGTTTCCATTTTTGTGTATCATAAAAAATTGCTGGGAGTCTAACTGGGACTCCATGAATTTAATCTATCTCCCTCAGTCCCCACCCATGGCAGCTTTAAGGATGTTTCTCTTGTCATTGGGATTCTAAAATTTCTGTATAATGTATCTCTTACTTTAAACTCTTGAATCTATGCATTGGTATCATTTTATCAGTTCTAGAAAATTATCCAAACATTTTCATTATTCCTCTACATATTTCTCTGTCCCATTTTATCTTTCCTTCCACACCCATAATGACAGCTTCTCAGGGATAAGATTCCTTTTGTTTTTTTCTTCTCTTTTCTTTTTATGTATTTATCTATTTATCTTTTTTTTAAAACTCCTACTCTGCTCAGCACCAAGGCAGCATGCCGTGCAGATCCATGGGGGTAGGGGAGGAAGGATAGAATTGTCTCTAGTTCACCAGTAATTTGAATATGCAGCCTTTTCATCTCTGGGTTTGACATTTACCCCTTTCACAACCAAAACGTAAGTCCAAGTCTACCGGGGATCAACAAACCCTTGGAGCAAAAGATTCTTTCCTCCTTTTGCCTCCAAGTGTTCCAGCTTTTCTTTTGAATTTGGCTTGGTAATTTCTTATTATGCTGTTAGCTCTTTGATGCTTTTAAGATTTTTTTCTTTTTTAATCCAGTTTTAAAATTTATTTCCTATGGAAAAATGGTCTGAATAACTTGATATGTCAGTTGAACTTCAGTATGGAAGGAGAAGTATAAACCAAAAATAAAATTATAAGGCCCTCCCAACCATCTAAATCGACTTCTTCCTCAGCCAGGGTTCTTTTAAAACTTAACCTCAAAAACTGGTTCAGGCTATGACAGGAAGTGGGGGTCCAACATGCCTCATTATACCTCTCCAGCATTAATATCAACACCGACTTTAAGTCTGAGAAGAAACACGTTAAAACCTGTTCTCTCTGAAGCCTGCTACCTGGAGGCTTGACAAAACTTTGACTTTAAGTCTGAGAAGAAACACATTAAAACCTGTTCTCTCTGAAGCCTGCTACCTGGAGGCATGATAAAACTTTGGTCTCCACAACCTCAACCCGGACATTCCTTTCTTTGATCCCAGGTCTTTAAACAAACTCAACCATTTGTAAACCGGAAAATGTTTACATGTTTCTACATCCTGGAAGCACTATCCCGGCGCCCCCCAATCCCCCACCCCTGCCTCAAGTTGTCCTGCCTTTCTGGACCAAACCAGTGCATTTCTTAATGATGTCTCATGTCTCATGCTTTCCTAAAATGTATAAAACCAACCTGCACCCCAACCACCTTGGGCACATGTTCTCAGGACCTCCTGAGGGCTGTCATGGGCCACAGTCACTCATATTTGACTCAGAATGAATCTCTTTACATGTTTTACAGAGTTTGACTTATTTCATTGACAGAAGTCACATTCAGTTATTTAACTATTCAATTATTCTAACCAAGGAAATTGAAAATAAAGACTTGTTAACCAGATACTGGAGAACTGAGAAGGCAAATGAGAGACACTGAGATATTATAGTTAGTAGCTAAGGAAAGCAACTACCACTCCTAGGCTAAGGAAACAAAAGGAAGAAGAAAGAATTGATAAAAGTTAGAGCGTTGCAGGTGGGGGTTGTGCAAGGCTTGTGGGGAAGGAGAAGAAGAATCCTGCTTAGCTAGTATTAACGTCATAGGAACTCAGAGAGGGAATCCACAGAGCTGAAATTAGACCTCTGAGGAGGGATCACCAGCCTGCCAGTCCTTATATCTGTGCAGGGGCCCAGTGAGGCTAGCTCCAGTTATTTAGAAAAGCTGCAAACAGAAAACAATTCCTGGTCTTAAAACCATCACTGCTACAATTAAAAAAAAAAAAAAACATAGCTGTTGTGTTTACAAGAAGAACAGGGAGCAAGCAAGAAGGAACAAGTCCTTTTTTGCCCCTGAAGCCTTCCAGTATCCCTATATGTCCACTATTAGCAGAGCCCAATAGGGAGTGAGCTGGGATGCAATCTTCAGAGTCTTCCCCCCATGGGCTGAAGATGTAGAGTAGGACATGGAAAGGTGGGATCAAAGCTGAGAGACAACAGCTCAATTACTGACGTAACTGGCCTGATGTTTCTGGAGCCAGAAATCCAGCTAAGTCACTTTGGGCAATATAGTTGTATTAGTCCACTCTCGCACTGCTATGAAGAATTACCTGAAACTGGGTAATTTATTTAAAAAAAAAGAGGCTTAATTGGCTCATGGTTCTGCAGGCTATACAAGAAGCATAGCAGCTTACACTTCTTAGGAGGCCTCAGGAAACTTACAATCATTGTGGAAGGTAAAGGGGAAGCAGCCACATCTTACATGGCCAGAACAGAAAGAAGAAAGGGCAGGGGAGGTACCACACACTTTTAAACTATCATATTTCATTAGAATTTACTAACTATTGTGACACAGTACCCAGCAGAAAATCCACCCTAATGATTCAATCACCTACCACCATGCTCCACCTCAAAAACTGGGAATTACAATTAAAAGTGAGTTTTGGGCAAGGATACAAATTCAAACAATATTATTCCACCCCTGGCCCATGAAAATCTCATGTCCTTCACACATTGCAAAATACAGTCATGCCTTCCCAACAGTCCTCCAAAGTCGTAATGTTCCCGGACCAAACTGAGGGTCAGGCTGCTATTTCTCGTGACCCAATAATGAGATGGAGATGAACTGGGGAGGAAGAGAGTTTTTATATCTGTAACTGGTTACAGAGAGAAGTCCTGGAAATTATCACCAGACCAACTCAAAATTCAAAGTTTTCCAGAGCTTATATACATTCTAAGCTATATGTCTACATGTAACTGTGCATTCATCTAAAGACATAAGTGATTAACTTCTTTTAATCTATAACTAAGCTCTGAGTCCTGAAGACCTTCTTCTGGAGCCTCAGTAAATACTTAATCTAAATGGGTCCAGGTGCTGGGGTGATTATCCTTATCTTGTCTCCTGCTAAATCACAGAGATTTGAGGAGTTCCTTCAGACCCCCAATAAACTTGACTGTGGAGGCCTGGGGGGTTCTTCAGACCCACAATAAAACTTGTTTAATCCTAAATGGGTCCTGTTAAGAATTCCATCATTATTTTGCCATGCTTTAAGGCCCAGAAAAGGCCTAGGTAAAACTCCTGATGGGCTTTCATTACATCCCAGCCTTTGTATAAGGGCACTGGCTTTTAATATTTAACTTAACCACTTAGTACTGAAACAGTTGTTAGTGAGGCCTGGCCTGCCACAGTAACTTATGTCAAAGTTAACATCGATGTTCAAAGTCCAAAGACTCATCTGAGAAAAGGAAAATCCTTCCACCCATAACCCTGTAAAATCAAAAGCAAGTAGTTACTTCCAAGATACAATGGGAGTACAGGCAGGCAGTGGCTAAATACTCACATCCCAAAAGAAAGATCAGCCAAAATTGAAGGTTGCTAGCCCCATACAAGTCCAAAACCCAGCAGAGCAGTCACTACATCTCAAATAATCGTCTTTGACTTCACATCACATATCCAGGGCAAACTGGGGCAAGGGGGTGGGCTCCTAAAGTCTTGGGCAGATCCACCCCTGTGACTTTATAGGATTCAACACCAAAGCCTGCTCTCATGGGCTGGCATTGAGTGCCTACAGCTTTTCCAGGGAAGGGTGAAAGTTGCCAATGGATCTACCATTCTGGAATCTGGAAGATGGTGGCCCTCTTCTCACAGCTCCACTAGGCAGTACCCCAGTGGGGACTCCGTGTGGAGGCTCCAATTGCACATTTCTCCTCTACACTACCCTAATAGTGGTTCTCAGTGAGGGTTCCATCCCTCCAGCAGCTTCTGACTGACCATCCGGGTTTTTCTATACATTCTCTGAAATTTATACAGAGGCTCCTAATTCTCAGCTCTTGCACTATGCACACCCACAGGCTTAACATCAGGTGGAAGCTGCCAAAGCTTATGACTTGCACCCTCTGAAGCAATGGCTTGAGCTGTACCTGGGCACCTTCTAGCCACAACTGGAGTTGGAGCAGCTGGAACGTGGGAAGCAGTGTCCCAAGGTTGCGCAGGGTGGTGAGGACCTGGACCTGGTCCATGAACCATTCCTCCCTCCTAGGCCTTCATCCCCTGATAGGAGGACTGCCACAAATGTCTCTGACATGACTTCAAAGCCTTTTTCTCATTGTTTTGGCTGTGAGCATTTACTTTTTTAATTATGCAAATTTGTGCAGCCTGCTTGAATTTCTCCCCTGAAAATGGGCTTTTCATCTCTACAACATGACCAGTCTGAGAATTTTCCAAACTTGTATGCTCTGCTTCCCTTTTAAATATAATTTCCAATTTCAGGTAATTTATTTGCTCACACACATGAGCATAGGATGTTACAAGCCATCAGGCTACCTCTGGAATACTTTACTGCTTAGAAATTTTTTTCACCAGATACCTTAAATCATTATAGTCAAGTTCAAAGTTCCACAGTTTTCTAGGAAAGGGGCTCAATGCCTCCAAGTTCTTTGCTAATGCATAATAAAAGTTACCTTTGTCCAGTTCCCAATAAGTTTCTCATTTCTATTGAGACCTCCTCAGCCTGGCCTTCACTGTTTATATCACAATTAGCACTTGGTCACAACCATTCCACAAGTCTCTAGGAAGTTCCAAACTTTCCCTTGTCTTCCTATATTCTTCTGAGTCCTCCACAATCTTCCCAACCTCTGCCTATTATCCAGCTCCAAAATCGCTTCTGCATTTTTAGATATCTTTAGAGCAATGCCCCACTCCTCAGTATCAATTATTTTTTTAACACAGAGTCATGCTCTGTCACCCAGGCTGGAGCGCAGTGGCATGATCTTGACTCACTGCAACCTCCGCCTCACAGGCTCAAGAGATTCTCATGCCTCAGCCATCTGAGTATCTGGGATTGCAGGTGTACACTACTATGCACAGCTAATTTTTATATTTTTTGTAGAGACAAGGTTTCACTATGTTGGCCAGGCTGGTCTTGAACTTTCAACCTAAAGTGATACACCAGCCTAGGCCTCCTAAAGTGCTAGGATTACAGGCATGGGCCACCATGCCCCATCAAAATTTTTTATGTTAGAAAATTCTCGTACTGCTATTAAGAAATATCTGAGACTGGGTAATTTTTTAAAGAGGTTTAACTGGCTCACAGTTCTGCAGGCTGTACAGGAAGCATAGTTGTTTCTGCTTCTGAGGAAGCCTTAGGAAACTTACAATCACAATGGAAGGTGAAGAGGAATCAGCCAATAATTACATGGGCAGAGAAAAAGGAAGGCAGGGGGAGGTGCCACACACTTTTAAACTACCAAATCTATTGAGAAGTTACTGACTATTGCAACACAGTACCCAGGTGAAAATCTCCTCTCATGATTCAGTCACCTCACACCAGGCCCCACCTTCAACATTGGATTTACAATTTGACATGAGATTTGTGTAGGGACAAGGCCCAAATTATATCATTCCACCCCTTGACTCCTCTAAATCTCATGTCCTTCTGACATGGCAAAATACAATCATGTCTTCCCAACAGTCCTCCAAAGTCATAACTCATTTCAGCATTAACACCAAAGTTCAATGTCCAAAGTCTCATTTGAAACAATGCAGTCTCTTTCACCTATAAGCCAGTAAAATCAAAATCAAGTTTGTTACTCTCAAGACAGAATGAGATTACAATGATTGGGTAAATACTCATCTTCCAAAATGGAGAAATCAGCCAAAACAAAAACATTAATTGTCCCAACCAAGTCTGAAACCCAACAGTGCAGTTGTTAAACCTTAAAGCTCCAAAATAATCTCCTTCCACTTTATATCACACATCCATGTCATACTTGTGCAAGGGGTGGGCTCCCAATGCCTTGAACAGCTCCAGCCCCATGGTTTTGTGGGGTTCATTCCCCAAGACTGCTTTCCTGGGCTGTCATTGAGTCCCTACAGCTTTTCCTGGGGCAGGGTGCAAGCTGCCAGTGGATCTACCATTCTAGGATCTGAAGGATGGTGGCCTTCCTCCCACAGCTCCACTAGACAGTGCTTCAATTTTACAATTCCCCTCAGCACTGCCTTAGTAGAGGTTCCTTGTGAGGGCTTCACCTTTACAACAAGCTTCTGCCTGGATATCCAGGCTTTTCCATACATCCTCTGAAATTTAGGCAGAGGCTCCCAAACCTCAACTCTTGCACTCTGTGCACCCAGTCATAACATTTTGTGGAAGCTGCCAAGACTTACTTGCACTCTCAGAAGCAGTGGTTTGAGCTGTACCTGGACACCTTTTAGCCATGGCTGAAGCTGGAGCAGCTGGGACACAGGAAGCAGTGTTTGATGCTGCACAGGATGGTAAGGCCCTGGACCTGGCCTATGAAACCATTCTTCCCTTCTAGGCCTCCTTGCCTGTGATAGGAGGGGCTTCCATGAAGGTCTAAGAAACGTCTTCAAGTCCTTTTCCCCATTGTTTTGACTACCGGCATTTTCCATCCTTTTAATTGTGCATATTTCAGCAGCCTCCTTGAATTCCTTCCCTGAAAATCTTTTCTTCTCTACAACATAGCTAAGCTGCAAATTTTCCAAATTTTCCCACAGCTTCCCTTCTAAACATAAGTTCCTTATATAAGGTTTACAAATTAAATTACCTTATAAGGTAACTTACTTGCTTACACGTGAGCATAGGTTGTTATAAGAGGCCAGGTTGTCTCTGGAACACTTTGCTGCTTAGATTTCTTCCACCACATACCTGAAATCATCACTCTCAAGTTCAAAGTTTCACAGTTTCCTAGACAAAGGAACTCCAAGTTATTTGCTAATACATAACAAAAGTTACCTTTGGTCCAGTTCCCAGTAAGTTACTCATTTCTATTTGAGACCTCCTCAGCCAGGCCTTCACTGTCCCTATCACTATTAGCATCTTGGTCCAACCATTTAACAAGTCTCTAGGAAGTTCCACACTCTTCCAATCACTGCCCATTACCCAGTTCCAAAGTCACCTTTACCTTTTCAGGTACTTTTATAGCAATGCCCCACTTCTCAGTACCAATTTTCTATATTAGTTCATACTTGCAATGCTATAAAGAAATACCTGAGGCCAGGATTGGTGGCTCATGTCTGTAATCCCAGCACATTGAGAGGCCAAGGCAGGTGGATCACTTGAGGTCAGGAGTTTGTAACCAGCCTGGCCAACATGGTGAAACCCCATCTCTACTAAAAATACAAAAATTACCCAGGCATGGTGGTGCATGCCTGTAATCCCAGCCTGTAATCTCAGCTGGGGAGGCTGAGGCAGGAGAATTGCTTGAATCTGTGAGGCAGAGTTTGCAGTAAGCTGAGATCACACCACTGCACTCCAGCCTGGGAGACAGAGAGAGACTCCATCTAAAAAAAAAAAGAGAGAAAAGAAAAAAAGAAACAGAAGAAATACCTGAGGCTGGGAAATTTATAAAGAAAAAAGATATTCCATTGATTCATGCTTCTGCAGGCTGTACGTGATGACTAGATGACTTCTGCTTCTGGAGAGGCCACAGGAAACTTACGATTATGGTAAAAGTTGAAGGGGAAATAGGTAAGTCTTACATGGTCAGAGTAGGAGAAAGGGTGAGGAAGGTACCACACACTTTTAAACAACCAGATCTCATGAAAACTTCCTCACTATTGTGAAACAGTATCTATCCAAGGGAAAATCTGTCCCCATTATCCAATCATCTCCCACTAGGCCCCACCTCCAACATTGGGAATTACAATTTGACGTGAGATTTGGGCAGGGACACAGATCCAAACCAAATTAGTTGTATTATATGATAATTCTCCATAATTGCCATTGAAGTATATAGAATATGTAGTTTTATGACTGTATTTGCATTTGAACATGATAAAATTTTACTCACAGCTTTAAACTTTTGAAAATATTGAATAAGGTAATTGTGAGGAAAAAAGATATTTGGTCAATTCCTTTCTTAAAGAACCAATTTTCATAATTTTTTAATTTCTTAGTTTTCATAATTCCAGTACATCCTGATATCTGTTAATGGAATCATTTCCCACAAGCTTAATATTCCATTATACATTTGATGAAAAACAAATTATCAGCATAAGCAGTATATCCTAAATTTGTAAATTTTTGATAGATGTGAAGAATAGGAGACATGAGACTACATACATGGTTGACTGAATTTTTTTAATTGTGGAAAAAGAGTCACTGTTTCATTCATGTTCCCTGCCATAACAGTGAATAATGTATGATAAGGTTTGGCTGTGTCCACACCTAAATCTTGTCTTCAATTGTAATCCCCATAATCCACACCTGGAGGGAGGTAATTGAATCATGTGGGCAATTTCTCCCATGCTGTTCTCATGACAGTGAGTGAATTCTCATGAGATCTGATGGTTTTATAAGCATCTGGCATTTTCCCTGTTGACACTCATTCTCTCACTGACACCCTGTGAAGAGCTGCCTTCTGCCATGATTGTAAGTTTCCTGAGGCCTCCGCAGCCTCCCCAGAAATAAATGAAAACTCTTTCATTTATAAATTACCTATTCTCAGGTATTTCTTCATAGCAGTATGAGAACAAAATAAGTGACAGACAGATATAGATATGTAATGATATACAGAATTCTATAGCAAATAATCTGAAACTTGTGTGTGTGTTTTTACAGTAACAGCTTTTATAGTTGTGATTTTTTTTCATATTTCTTGTAGGAAGAAGTATAAAAATGGCTCTGGAGATTACCATTCCCTGGTGCCCACATCCTGTATTATGCCCTCTGATATGGTTTGAATCTGTGTCCCTGCACAAATCTCATTCAAATGATAATTCCCAATGTTGGATGTGGGGCCTGGTGGGAGGTGACTGTGTCATGGGGGCAGTTTCTCATGGTTTAACACATTCCCCCTTGGTGCTGTATAGTGATAGTGAGTTCTCATGAGATCTGTTATTCAAAAGTGTGTAGCTTCCCCCCACTCTCTCTCTTGCTCCTGCTCTCACCATGTGAAATGCCTTGCTCCCCTTTGCCTTCTGCAAAGTGACTGTAAGTTTCCTGAGGCATCCCCAGAAGCTAAGAAGATGCCAGAATCATGCTTTCTGTACAGTCTGCAGAACCATGAGCAAATTAAACCTCTTTTCTTTATAAATTACCCAGTCTCAGGTATTTCTTTATAGCAATGCAAAAACAGACTAATACAGAAAATTGGTACCAAGGAATAGGGCATTACAACTGAAATGTGGAAGCAACTTTGAGCCTGGGTAACAGTCAGAGGTTGAAAAAGTGTGGAGGGCTCAGAAATAGGAAGATGGGGGAAAATTTGGGATTTGATATGGTTTGGCTCTGTATCCCCACTTAAATCTCATTTTGATTTGTAATCCCCACATTTCAAGAGAGGACCTGTAATCCCCATGTGTCAAGGGAAGGAGGTGATAGGATCATGGGGGTTGTTTCCCCCATGCTGTTTTCATGATAGTGAGTGAGGTCTCATGAGATCTGATAATTTTATAAGCATATGGGATTTCCTTTGCTTGCACTTCTCCCTCCTGCCACCATGTGAAAAAAATTCTTGTTTCTCCTTCACCTTCTGCCATGATTTGAAGTTTCCTGAGATCTTCCCAGCCACGTAGAACTCTGAGTCAATTAAACCTTTTTCCTCTATACATTACCCAGTCTTGAGTATTTCTTTATAGCAGTGTGAATGGACTAATACAATAAACTGGTATCAGGAGTGGGGCATTGCCATAAAGATACTTGAAAATGTGGAAGCAACTTTGGAACTGGGTATCAGGCAGAGGTTTTGGAAGAGTTTGGAGGGCTCAAAAGAATACAGAAAGATATGGGAAAGTTTGGAACTTCCTAGAGACTTGCTGAATAATTTTGCCCAAAATGCTGATAGTGATGTGGACATTGAAGTCCAGACTGAGGTGGCCTAAAACAGAGATGAAAAACTTATCGGGAACTGGAACAAAAGTCACTCTTGCTATGCTTTAGCAAAGAACTTGGAGGCATTGATCCCCTTCTCTAGGAAACTGTGGAAATTTCAACTTGAGAGAGATAATTTAGCATATCTGGTGGAAGAAATTCTAAGTAGCAATGCATTCAAGAGGTGACAGACTATAAAAGTTTGGAAAATTTGCAGCGTGACCATGTGATGGAAAAGGAAAACCCATTTTATTGGGATAAATTAAAGCCTGCTGCAACAATTTGTATAAATAATGAGGAACTAAATGTTAATAACCAAGACAATGGAGGAAAATGTCTTCAGGGCATGTGAGAGACCTTTGAAACAGCTCCTCCCATCACAGGCCTGGAGGCCTAGAAGGAAAAAATGATGACCTGGGCTAGGTTAACAGTCACCCACTGCTCTGTACAGACTCAGGACTTGGTGCCTTGTGTGCCAGCAGCCAGAGCTAAGGGTCCAAGGTACAGCTTGGGCCATGACTTCAGACGATGCAAGCCTCAAGTCTTGGTGGCATTCACATGATGTTGGACTGCAGGTGCACAGAAGACAAAAATTGAGGTAAGGGAACCTCCACCTAGATTTCAGAGGATGTATGAATACACCTGGATGTCCAGGCAGAAGTCTGCTGCAGGGGTGGTTCCCTCATGGACAACTTCTGCTAGGGGAGTGCAGAAGAGAAATGTGGGCTGGAGCCCTCAAACAGCAGCCCCACAGGGGCACTGCCTAGTGGAGCTGTAAGAAGAGGCCCAGCATCCTCCAGAACCCAGTACTATAGATCCACCAACAGCTTGCACTGTGCATGTGGAAAAGCTCTAGACACTCAACACCAGCCCATGAAAGCAGCCAGGAGAGAGGCTTTACCCTGCAAAGCCACAGGGTCATAGCTGCCCAGGACTGTGGGAGCCCTCCTCTTGTGTCAGCATGACCAGGCTGTGAGACAAGGAGTCAAAGATTATTTAGAAGTTTTGAGATTTAATGACTGCCTTTCTGGGTTTTGAACTTGCTTGGGGCCTGTAGCTCCTATGTTTTGGCCAATTTCTCCCATTTGGCATAAAAGCATTTATCCAATGCCTATAATTCCATTGTATCTTGGAAGTAACTAACTTGATTTTGATTTTGCAGGTTCATAGGTGGAAGGAACTTGCCTTGTCTCAGATAAGACTTTGGAGTTTGACTTCTGAGTTTATGCTGGAATGAGTTAAGACTTTGGGGAACTGTCAGGAAGGCAGGCTTGGCTTTGAAATGTATAAAGAACATGAGATTTGGGAGAGGCCACGGGCAGAATAATACAGTTTTGCTCTTTGGCCCCAATCAAATCTCATCTCAAATTGTAATCCCCATGTGTCAAGGGAGGAATTTGTAATCCCCACTTGTCGAGGGAGGGAGGTAATTGGATCATGGGGGCAGTTCCCCCATCCTGTTCTCATGATAGTGAATGAGTTCTCGTGACATCTGATGGTTTTATAAGCATCTGGTATCTCCCCTGTTGCATTGCTCTCTTCTGCCACCAAGTGAATGTCCTTGCTCCTTGTTAACCTTCCACCATCATTGTAAGTTTCCTGAGGCCTACCCAGCCATGTAGAACTGTGAGTTGATTAGACCTCTTTCCTTTATAAATTACCCAGTCTCAGGTATTTCTTTTTTTCTTTTCTTTTCTTTTCTTTTTTTTTTTTCTTTCTTTTTTTTTTTTTTTTTTTTTTGAGACAGAGTCTCCCTCTGTCACCCAGGCTGGAGTGTAGTGGTGTGATCTTGGCTCACTGCAACCTCCACCCCCCAGTTCAAGTGATTCCCTTGCCTCAGCCTCTCAAGTAGCTGGGATTACAGGCATCCACCACCATTCACAGCTCATTTTTGATTCTTTTTTAAGCAGAGATAGGGTTTCACCATGTTGGCCAAGCTGGTCTTGAACTCCTGACCTCAGGTTATCCACCCACCTCGGCCTCCCAAAGTGCTGGGATTACAGGCATGAGCCACAATGCCCAGCCCAGGTATTTCTTTATGGCAGTGAGAAATGGACTGATACAGGACTTCCTAGAGACTTGTTAAATTATTGTGACCAAAATTCAGGTAGTGATATGAACAATGAAGTCCAGGCTGAGAAGCTCTCAGATCAAAATGAGGAACTTACTGAAAAATGGAGTAAAGTTTACTTTTGCTATGCTTAAGCAAAGAGCCTGCTTTAGGGATCTGTGGAACTTTGAACTTGAGAGTGATGATTTAGGGTTACTGGCAGAAGAAACTTCTAAGGAGCAAAGAACTCAACACGTGGCCTGGCTGCTTCTAGCAACCTATGCTCATATGCATGAGCAAATAAATTACCTAAAACTGGAACTTGTATTTAAAAGGGAAGCAGAGTATAAAAGTTTGAAAAATTTGCAGCCTGGCCATGTAGGAAAGAAGAAAAGCCCATTTTCAGGGGAGAAATTCAAGCAGACTACACAAGTTTACATAACTAAAATGAAGGCAAGTGCTCATAGTCAAGACAATGAGGAAAGGCCTGTAAGGCATTTTAGAGACCTTTGCAGCAGCCCCTCCCATCACAGACCCAGACTCCTAAGAGGACTAAATGATTCTGTGGGCCAGGCCCAGGGCCACACTGCCCTGTGAAGCCTTGGGACGATTGGGATGCTGGTACATTCATCCCAGCTGCTCCAGCTCCAGCTATGGCTAAAACAGGCCCAGGTACAGCTCAGACCACTGCTTCAGAGCATGCAAGCATAATCTTTGGCAGCTTCCATGTGGTGTTAAGCTTGCAGGTAAGCAGAGTGCAAGAGTTGAGACTTAGGAGCTTCTGTGTAAATTTCAGAGGATGTGTGGAGAAGCCCAGATGTCCAGGCAGAAGCCTGCTGAAGGGGTGGAGCTCTCATGGGATGGACTACTGGAAACCACTACTAGGGTAAAGCAGAGGATAAATGTGGGATTGGATTCCCCACACAGAGTGCCCACCAGGGCACTTCATTGTGGAGCTGTGAGAAGAGGACCACTGTCCTCCAGGCCCCAGAATTGTAGATCCACCAGCATCTGACACCCTGTACTTGGAAATGCCACAGGCCCTCAACACCAGCCTGTGAGAGTAGTCTTGTAGGCTGAATGCTGCAAAGCCACAGCCCTGCAGTTGCCCAAGGCTTTGGGATCCCCTGGATGTATGATATGGAGATATGGAGTTAAAGGATATTATTTTGGAACATTAAGATGTAATGACTGCCCTGCTGGGTTTCAGATTTTCATGGGGCCTGTAGCCCCTTTCTTTTGGCAGATTTCTTCCATGGGGGACAGGAGTATTTACCTAATGCCTATTCCCCCATTGTATCTTGGAAGTAACTAACGTTTTTTATTTTGCAGGGTCATAGGCAGAAGGGACTAGCCTTGTCTCAGATGAGCCTTTGGACTTTGAAGTTAATGCTAGAGTGAGTTAAGACTTTGGGGGACTGTGGGGAAGTCAGGATTGTATTTTGCAATGTGAGAAGGACATGAGATTTGAAGGGGCCAGGGATGGAATGATATGGTTTGGATCTGTGTTCTCTTCTAAATCTCATATTGAATTGTAATTTCTAATGTTGGAGGCCTAGTGGAAGATTATTGGATCATGGGGGTGGTTTCTCATGGTTTAACACCATCTCTCTTGGTGCTATCATTGTGACAATGAGTTCTCATGAGATCTGGTTGTTTAAAAGTGTGTAACACCTCCCCAGTCTCTCTCCTGCTCCTGCTTCCACTATGTGAAGATGCCTTGCTTCCCCCTTGGCTTCTGCCATTATTGTAAGTTTCCTCAGGCCTCCCCAGAATTTAGGCAGATGGAAGAATCTTGGTTCCTGTATGTCCTGAGGAACTGTGAACTGGTATCAATTGAACCTCTTTTCTTTATAAATTATTTAGTCTCATATACTTCTGTGTAGCAATGTAGGAGTGGACTTATAAAGCCTTCAATTAAATGTAAGTAGAATCTGTGAATATAACAGGACATTACTCATGTTATTATGTCACTTTATATGTCAAAAGAATTTTTCATATGAAATTAATCAGTTGAGTTTAAGTTAATAACAAGGGAGATTATCTTGGATGTGCCTGAAATAATTAAGTGAGTCCTTAATATAGATCGAAAGCAGCAGCAGACACTCTCCTGCTGGCATTGAGGCAGCACCCTATCATGTTGTAGAGTGGGCATGTGGCCAGGAACAGATATCATCCTCTAGACAGCTGAAGGCCTTGGTCCTACAACAGCAAATAACTAAGTTCTGCCAACAACCTAAGGGAGCTTGGAACTGAACATTTCCCTAATTAAACCTTTAAATAAGGATACAGCTGACCAAAATCTTGATTTCACCTGGTGAGACCCTGAACAGATGACCTAACTGAACCATTTCCAGACTCTAGACCCACCCAAACTGAAGTCTGAGTTTATAAACATGAGATAATAAATTTGCATTGCTTTAAGTTCCTAAGTTAGTGATAATTTATCACACAGCAGGAGAAAACCAGTACAGTCTTCTTTTGTTTTACCTATGAAACCTCACTTAGAACCTTACGAAAGTATTAAGTTTTAGTTAAAACTCAAACAAGTACATTTCTCCTTTCATTCACAACAGAGTACTTATTATAACCAGATTGTCCTTCCTACCATCGCTGCCTACAAAACTAGTCAGGTACCTAGCAGACGATTGTTTTCAAATGTTGGACAGCAAGTGGTGCAGAACTATGATGCCTGAAAAGAGGGAAATACTCGAGGAGAGCCTCGCAATGGCTCTCATTTTCTTCCCGGAGGCTCTTTCCAGACTGCTGTGCAGAGAGGAGGAACCCAGGCAGAGTACAGTGAACTTGCAGAACTGGTAAATCAGATATCAAAGTCCAGGACTGCTGGGCAGAAATACCAGTGAGAAAACTGCCATGCATGCATAAATATGTATTCAGGTCTCCTTAAAGCTTAAACCAAATCATAGATTGCAGAAGTGCAGGGTGGGATTTTTATCAAAAACAAATTATAAGCATAGTCAAAATATTCTATAGTTGCTAATTTTTGACAGTTATGAAGCTTAGGAGATATACGAGTCTGTACATGTATTACTAATTGAAGTTTTCAAATTGTGGGAAAAGAGTCACAATTTCATTCATGTTCCCTGTCATAGTGAATAATATAGCTATCAAGTAGTAGACAGATATAGATATCTGTCTATATCTATAAAATAGAGATACCTGTCTATATCTATAAACTTTATAGCAAATAATCTGAAACTTTTGTGTATGAGTATTTCTACAATAACAGCCCTGGAAGATTTGAAATTCTATGAATCTCAGTGCTAAAAAACAGGGAAGTTCCAATGAGCCACAGTGAAGAGACCTCACTCAACAGCCCAATCACGTGATGTCTGTCTGTTCTGATGTTGATGATACTGTTGAACTGGTTTACATTCATTAAGTCCATTTATTGGTAGTTATTATTTTCCCTCTTACAATTACTGAGTGAAGAGATATTTTGAAATTATGAAATATCATCAAATTTGTATCCACTACATTTAGCATCCATGAATGATTCTTGCAAAGTTAGCTATTAGGATGATGGTTGCAAAATGGTGATTTTTCTAAACCCATTATTCCTTCAATATTTATTAGATTAGCATTCAGCTGTAAGGAAGAGCTTCCCTTATCCCTCATCTATCTGTCTGTCAATTCATCTATTTACCTATCTATTTCATATCAGTAGCAAACCATGGATATTAAATTCACTGAATGAGGTATAATATATTACTATCTTTTTTTCCTTTCAATAGGTTTATGGAGGAACAGGTGTTGTTTGGTTACATCAATAGATTCTTTAGTGGTGATTTCTGAGATTTTGGTGCACCCATCACCCTAGCGATGTACACTGTACCCAATGTGTGAGCTTTTATTCCTCACACCCTTCCCAACCATTCCCTTGAGTCCCCAAATTTCATTGTATCATTCTTATGCCTTTGTGTCTTTATAACTGAGCTCCCACTTATGAGTGAGAACGTACAATATTTGGTTTTCCATCCCTGAGTTACTTCACTTAGAATAGTGGTCTCCAATTCCATCCAGGTTGCTGCAAATGTCATTATTTTGTTCCTTGTTATGGCTGAGTAGTATTCCATGGTGTGTATATATATATATATATATCACATTTTCTTTATACACTTGTCAGTTGATGGACATTTGGGCTGGTTCCATATTCTTGCAATTGTGAATTTTGCTGCTATAAACATGCATGTGCAAGTATCTTTTTTGTATAATGACTTTTTTTCCTCGGGGTACATACCCAGGAGAGGGATTGATTGCTGGATCAAACGTTAGATCTACTGTTAGTTCTTTAAGGAATCTCCACACTGTTTTCCATAGTGGTTGTACTAGTTTATATTCCCACCAACAGTGTAAAAGTGTTCCCTTTTTGACTGGGCGTGGTGGCTCACACCTGTAATCCCAGCACTTTGGGAGGTTGAGGAGGGCGGATCACAAGGTCAAGAGATCGAGACCATCCTGGCCAACATGGTGAAACCCTGTCTCTACTAAAAATACAAAAATTAGCTGGGCATGTGCCTGTAGTCCCAGCTACTCGCAAGGCTGAGACAAGAGAATCACTTGAACCCGGGAGGTGGAGGTGGCAGTGAGCTGAGATCACACCACTGCACTCCAGCCTGGTGACACAGTGAGACTCCATCTCAAAAAAAAAAAAAAAGTGTTCCTTTTCACCACATCTATCACATCCATGCCAACATCTATTATTTATTTATTTATTTATTTATTTATTTATTTATTTATTTATTTATTTTGAGATGGTGTCTTGTTCTGTCTCCCAGGCTGGAGTGCAGTGGTGCAATCTCAGCTCACTGCAACCTCTGCCTCCCAGGTTCAAGCGTTTCTCCTGCCTCAGCCTCCCAAAGAGCTGGGATTACAGGCACGTAGTATCATACCCAGCTAATTTTTGTATTTTTAGTAGAGTCGGGGTTTTGCAATGCTGGCCAGGCTGGTCTCGAACTCCTGACCTCAGGCAATCTGCCTGCCTTTGCCTCCAAAGTGCTGGGGTTACAGGAGTGAGCCACCATGCCCGGCCTATTTTTTTTTTATTTTTTGATGATGGCCATCCTTGCAGAAGTGAGGTGGTATCACATTGTGGTTTTCATTTACATTTCCCTGATCATTACTGATATTGAGCATTTTTCCATATGCTTGCTGGCCATTTGTATATCTTCTTTTGAGAATTTTCTATTTGTGTCCTTAGCCCACTTTTTGGTGGGATTGTTTGGTTTATTTCTTGTTAATTCATTTGAGTTCCTTGTAGATTCTGGATATTAGCCCTTTGTGAGATATATAGATTGCAAAGATTTTCTCTCACTTTGTGGGTTGTCTGTTTAATCTGCTAATTGTTTCTTTTGCTGTGCAAAAGCTTTTTTGGTTTAATTAGGTCCCATCTATTAATCTTGGTTTTTGTTGCATTTGCTTTTGGGTTCTTGGTCATGAAGTCTTTGCCTAAGCCAATGTCCAGAAGGGTTTTTCCAACATTATCTTCTAGAATTTTTATGGTTTCATGTCTTGATTTAAGTCCTTGATGCATCTTTAGTTGATTTTTATATAAGGTGAGAGATGAGGATCCAGTTTCATTCTTCTTCATGTGACTTGCCAGTTATCCCAGCACCAGTTGCTGAATAGGGCGTCCTTTCCCCACATTTTGTTTTTGATTGTTTTGTTGACTACCAGTTGACTGTAAGTATTTGGATTCATTTCTGAGTTCTCTATTGTGTTCCGTTGGTCTATATGTCTATTTTTACACCAGTGTCATGTTGTTTTGGTGACTATGGCCTTATAGTATAGTTTGAAGTCAGGTAATGTAATGTCTTCAGATTTCTTCTTTTTGCTTAGTCCTGGTTTGGCTGTGTGGGCTCTTTTTTGATTCCATATACACTTTAGGATATTTTTTCTAGTCTGTGAAAAATGCTGGTGGTGTTTTGATGGAAATTGCATTGAATTTGCAGATTGTTTTTGGCAGAATGGTCATTTTCACAATATTGATTCTACTCATCCATCAGCATGAAATGTGTTTCCATTTGTTTGTGTCATCTATGATTTCTTTCAGCAGTGTTGTCTGGTTTTCCTTGTAGAGGTCTTTCACGTGCTTGGTTGAGTATATTCCTAAGTACCTTTTTTTGCAGCTGTTATAAAATGGATTGAGTTACTGCTTTTATTCTCGGCTTGTTTGCTATTGATGTATAGCAGGGCTACTGATTTGTGTACTTTGATTTTGTATCCTGAAACTTTGCTGAATTCATTTACCAGTTCTAGGAGCTTTTTGGATGAGTCTTTAGGGTTTTGTTGTCAGTAAACATGGACAATTTGACTTCTTTTTTACTGATTTGGATGCCCTTTATTTCTTTCTCTTGTCCTATTGCTCTGGCTAGGACTTCCAGTAATATGTTGCATAGAAGTGGTGAAAGTGGGCATCCTTGTCTTATTCCAGTTCTCAGGGGGAATGCTTTCAATTTTTCCCTGTTTATTATAATGTTGAATATGGGTTTGTCATAGATGGTTTTTATCAGCTTAAAGTATGTCCCTTCTATGCCGATTTTGCTGAGGGTTTAATCAAAAGAAGGCTGGATTTTGTCAAATGCTTTTTCTGCATCTATGGAGATGATCATGTGATTTTTGTACTGTTCATGTGATGTATCATATTTATTGACTTGCAGATGTTAAACCATCCCTGCATCCCTGGTGTGAATCCTACTTGATGATGGTGGATTATCTTTTTGATATGCTGTTGTATTCAGTTAGCTAGTGTTTTGTTAAGGATTTTTGCATCTCTATGTTCATCAGAGATACTGGTCTGTAGTTTTCTTTTCTTTGCTATGTCCTGTCTTGGTTTTGGTATTAGGGTAATAACAGCCTCATAGAATTATTTAGGAAGGATTCCCTCTTTCTCTGTCTTTGGAATAGTGTGAATAAGATTGGTAGCAACCCTTCGAATGTCTGATAAAATTCAGCTGTGAATCTGTCTGGTCCTGGCCTTTTTTTTTTTTTTTTTTTGTAATTTCTTAATCACCATTTCAATTTTACTGCTTGTTATTAGTATGTTCAGAATTGCTATATTTTTCTGGTTCAATCTAGGAGGGTTGTATATTTTTAGGAACTTATCCATCTCCTCTAGGTTTTGTATTTTATGTGTGTAAAGGTGTTCATAGTAGCCTTGAATGATCTTTTGTATTTCTGTGGTATCCGTTGTGATATCTGCTGTTTTGTGTTGGAGTGATCAGATCCAACACAAGGTCCTGGGGGTGACAAAGTCTGGTGGAGTCAAAGGATTCAGAAAAGACAGTTAGATAGAGAAATGTGGGCACCAGGGGGCCATCACAATCATGAAGGTTGCAAAGGCCCCGAGTTCTGGGAGCCCGCGCTATTTATTGGTAATCCAACAAAGAAACAGGTGGTGAGAATGTGGGGGTCAAAAGGGCAGTAGCATGATCTACAGCTGTGACGGTTTAGCATTTATAAGGAACATGTTCTGCTACTTGAGATAATGGGAATACAATCGATCTAGGAGCCTAGGAGGGCTAGAAGCAAGGAGTCAGCAAGTCTAGACACATTCCAGAGGACATTATGTCAGACATGCATGCCTTGCCTCAGTTTTCTCCCCAACACTCAGCTTTTTCCCAACAGTTTTGTTTCTAATTGAACTTATTTTGTTCTTCTCTCTTCTTTTCTTGGTTAATCTTGCTAATGGTCTATCAATTTTATTTATCTTTTCAAATAACCAGATTTTTGCTTTATTTATCTTTTGTATTTTTTTTGTTTCAATTTCATTTAGTTCTGCTCTGATCTTGTTATTTTTCTTCTGCTGGGTTTGGGTTTGGTTTGTTTTTGTTTCTCTAGCTCCATGAGGTGTGACCTTAGATTGTCTATGTGTGCTCTTTCAGACTTTTTGATGTAGGCATTTAATGCTATGAACTTTCCTCTTAGCACTGCCTTTGCTGTATCCCAGAGATTTTGATAGGTTGTGTCACTATTATCATTCAGTTCAAATAATTTTTTAACTTACATCTTTATTTCATTGTTGACGCAATGATCATTCAGAAGCAGGTTATTTAATTTCCATGTTTTTGCATGGTTTTGAGGGTTCCTTTTGGAATGAACTTCCAATTTTCTTCACTGTGGTCTGAAAGAGTACATGCTATAATTTCAATTTTTTTTTAATTTGTTGAGACTTGTTTTGTGGCCTTTCATATGGTCTATCTTGGAGAATATTCCATGTGCTGATGAATAGAATGTATATTCTGCAGTTGTCGGGTAGAATGTTCTGTAAATATCTGTTAAGTTTATTTGTTCTAGGGTATACTTTAAGTCCATTGTTTCTTTGTTGACTTTCTGTCTTGATGACCTGTCTAGTGCTGTCAGTGGAGTATTGAAGTCCCCCACTATTATTATGTTGCCATATATCTTATTTCTTAGATCTAATAGTAATTGTTTTATAAATTTGGGAGCTCCGGTGTTAGGTGCATATATATTTAGGATTGTGATATTTTCCTGTTGGACTAGTCCTTTTATGATTATATAATGTGCCTATTTGTCTTTTTTTAACTGCTGTTGCTTTAAAGTCTGTTTTGTCTTATATAAGTATAGCTACTCCTGCTCACTTTTGGTGTCCATATGCATAGAATATCTTTTTCTACTCCTTTACCTTAAGTTTCTGTGAGTCCTTATGTGTCAGGTGAGTTTTTTGAATCCAGCAGACACTTGGTTGGTGAATTCTTATCCATTCTGCCATTCTGTATCTTTTGAGTGAAGCGTTTAGGCCATTTACATTCAACATTAGTATTGAGATGTGAGATACTATTCTATTCATCACATTATTTGTTGCCTGTATACCTTGGCTTCTTTTTTCTTCATTGTGTTGTTTAAGGAGATTCTACTTTGGTGTATTTCAAGGATTTGTTTCAAGATTTAGAGCTTCTTTTAGAATACAAAGGACATGATCTCTTGAGACTTCTATGGCTTCGCTCACCACCCAATCCCTCCTATTTTACCACAGCTGATGTGCTCTTGAAAGTGCCACCTCCTGGCTGGAGGCCAACCAACACAAAACCAGTGCATTTAACAAAACTACAGCCAAGGACCCTCACAGAGTCCACTTCACTCCCCTGCTGTCTCCACTGGAGCAGGTGCTGGTATCCATGTCTGAGACACCTGAAGACAGATCATATTACAAGACTCTGAAGACACTCCCCAGTACCAGTCTGGAGGCTGGTAGCTTTCTTCAGTGGCTAGATCCAGAAGAGAAATAACAATCACTGCAGTTTGGCTCTCAGGAAGCCCCATCCCTAGGGGGAAGGGGAGAGTACCATATCAAGGGAGCACCCTGTGGGACAAAAGAATCTGAACAGCAGCCCTTGAGTCCTAGATCTTCCCTCTGACATAGTTTACTCAAATAAGAAAGAATCAGAAAAAGAATCCTGGTATTATGACAAAACAAGTTTCTTTTACACCCCCAAAAGATCACGCTAGCTCACAAGCAATGTATCCAAACCAAGATGAAATCTCTGAATTACAAAAAGAACTTAGAAGGTTGCTATTAAGCCAATCAAGGAGACACCAGAGAAAAGTGAAACCGAACTTAAAGCAATCAAAAAAATGATTCAGGATATGAATGGAAAAATCTCCAGTGAAATAGCATAAATAAAAGCAATCACAACTTCTGGAAATGAAGGACACAGATAATTGCAAAATGCACTAGAAAGTCTCAGCAATAGAATCAAACAAGTAGAAGAAAGAACTTCAGACCTCGAAGACAAGACTTTCAAATTAACCCTATTCAACAAAGACAAAAGAAAAAGAACCTAAAAAGATGAACAAAGCCTACAAGAAGTTTTGGATTATGTTAAATGACTAAACCTAAGAATAATTGGTGTTCCTCAGGATGAAGAGAAATCTGAAGGTTTGAAAAATATATTTGAGGGAATAATTGAGGAAAACATCCCCAGCCTTGCCAGAGATCTAGACATCCAAACACTAGAAGCTTAAAAAACACCTGGGAAATATACCACAAAAAGATCATCACTTAGGCACATAGTCATCATGTTATCTAAAGCTAAGATGATGGAAAGAATCTTAAGAGCTATAAGGATAAAGCATCAGGTAACCTATGAAGGAAAACCTATCAGATTAACAGCAGATTTCTCAGCAGAAACCCTGCAAGCTATTAGAAGGAATTGGGGTCCTATCTTTAGCCTCCTGAAACAAAACAATTTTCAACCAAGAATTCTGTATCCAGAGAAACTACACTTAATAAATGAAGAAAAGATAGTCTTTTTTAGACAAATACATGCTGAGAGAATTCACCACTACTAAGCCAGCACTGCAAGAACTATCATATTTATTTTAATGCTAAAATTGTCCCAGGTTTGAGTTGTTGTAGCCTCACAAAACAGGCCTGCCTGTGTGTTTTTTTGTTAGGTTTGTTTACATCCTTATTCTGTTTTTAAGCACTTTCTTACTTTTTAGCCAGAAAAGAAGTTCTAGGCCCTGAAGTGTACAGATACACAAATATATTTACATCTATTTCTATGTATTTATTAAAAACCATGAGTTCATACTAATAACTCAAGTTCCATTATTTCAATTCAATACCACAGGGTTCCTGCCAGTTTTCTTTCTTCCTATATTGTGTCTTCTTTCTGACAGTGAGCAACCTGACTCCTGACATCTTCAATATATTTACACATTTGCTCAATCCTACAATCAGAACACAGAGCCAAATTTTCTAACTCATGCTACTGGTAAAACCAAACCTACTTCCACTTAATGAGGTATGGAGAATAGTCAATTCATGGAGACAGAAAGTAGAATGCAGACTACCAGGAGCTAGGGGGAAGAAGTAAGGGGAATTATTGTTTAATAAGTAAAGAGTTTCAGTTTGGGGTGACAAAACAGTTCTGAAGATAGATAGTGGTGATGGCTGCACAACAAGAAGACTCTATGCAATGCCACTGAATTGTGCACTTTTCAATAGTTGAAGTAGTAAATTCTAAGTAATCCATATTTCGTCATGATTTAAACAATGCTACAACACCGGTTAGACTTCAAGATTTATTTGTACTTGTTTTTGTCTTTAGACTGGGGAGATAGAGAGAGAGAGAGAGAGATGATAGATAGATAGATAGATAGACAGATAGATAGATAGATGATAGATAGATAATAGATAGATTCAAAATCTACATATATTACTTATCTTCTTTTTAAGTATGGTTGTCTTATTTATTGAAATATAGCCAATTTATTTTTATGTTGATTCCATTTAGTCTCCATCCTTTAGGTTTAAAACTACGTAAGATAATAACATAATTCTAGATGTCAAACCTACCTAGAAAGGAAAAGTCACTTCCTCCCCAATCCCTTCCCTGTTTCTACCCAGCCCCTGGAGATAACCAGTCTCTTTCTTTTCTAATTTATCCTTCCTTATTTCTTTTTGCAAAAATAAGCAGATACACAAAAGGTATTATAAATTCTTTCAAAGAATAAACCATCTCCTAGAACCCACAACCCTTCACTCTATAGAAATCTTTCTAATTCATTTACATGGCTGTATAGTATTCCATTGTGTGGCTATGCCATGGTTTCTTCAACTAATCTCCTACATATGGGCATTTAGGATGTTCCTAATATTTTTCAATGTATGGTAAATAATGCTGCAATAAGCAGATGTATTTGGATCTTGTTGGAGATAATCTTCAAGGAAAATTCCTAGATGTGAGAATCCTGGGTCAAAAAATAAATGTTGTGTAGTTTTCTTAAATATTGCCAAATCCTCCTCCATAAGGTTCTACTATTTTGTTTCCCCACCAGCAATGCTGACAGAGCCTGTATCCTCACAGCCTCACCACAGAGTGTTACTAAATCTTTGTAATGTTTGCCAATCTAATGAGAAATGGTATCATAATGTAGTTTTAACTTGCCTTCCTCTGAAAGTGAGCAAAGGCAAGCATCTTTTTATGTGTTTAAGGGTCACTTATGTGATGCATGTGTGTGCACAGACGTGTGTGTAAATTTTATGCTCTCAGATTTTGCCCATTTTTTTCAAGTTTCTTCTCATTTGTTAGTCTATTGGGATATCTGAATAACACTAGTGTCGAGAATCCTCAAAGGAGAGTACAATTGCAGTTAGATAAACAGAGTGTCCAGAAAACAGATGGTCTCTGTGCTCAGTGAACTTGAAAGCTGTGGAAAGCAGACTTGCTTGGACCATCCAAACGCCTACTTCAGCTCAATCATAAGGCCAAGCAGAGTTCAGCGTCCGGCCTGAGGAAGCAAAATCCAGCAAGATTCTGAAACGGGGTCTGGTAGGCTGCTTTCTTCTCAGAGTCACACCATAGCAAGATCACACCTCTCCCACCCTTACATACCCCTAAAACAGAACAGAAGAGAATGGAATAGAACAGACCCACCAGCGTTTAGTTATTTTGTCTTGCTCAACACCAACAACTTTTTTTAAAAAATTATACTTTAAGTTCTAGGGTACATGTGCACAATGTGCAGGTTTGTTACATATGTATACATGCACCATGTTGGTGTGCTGCACCCATTAACTCATCATTTACGTTAGGTATATCTCCTAATGCTATCCCTCCCCTCTCCCCCCACCCCATGAAAGGCCCTGGTGTGTGATGTTCCCCTTCCTGTGTCCAAGTGTTCTCATTGTTCAATTCCCACCTATGAGTGAGAACATGCGAACACCAACAACCGTTTTATGGAGAAGTTAGCAGGGAGCCCGGGGAGCTCCCTGTGACCCTCACATTCCTGACTCCCCATCTCCATCACAGGAATGAGGAGACAATCAAGCACCCCTGCCTACCATCCTGGAGGAGGGAAGGCATTCGTGCCAGCCTGGGGTGACAAAGAAAGGAGGAGGCCTGCACCGAGCCAGGCCTGAGGCCCCGGAAGCCCCCAGTGGCTCCAGCAGGCTCTGGGACATGGTGGATGGCGAGGTGGGCATTCCTGTGGATTCAAGGACTCACAAAGCTCTGGTGGCTGCTTTGTTCTGAGACGTGGTGGCAAGGAGCCTGGCTCCTTGCCCATTTTCCACTTGGGATTTTCCATAGTGCTTTTCCCTCAATTTTAAGACTCTTCTATATGGTAGGGTGGAGTATGGTGAGTTGCGATCTCAATGCGTGGATTTCGCTGTTGGTGATTGGGGTTAGGAGGTTGCATTGTCCAACTTCCTACTTGACTGTCCTCTGCAGAAACACACATTCCCTCCTGTTGCATATTTTTTCTTCATCATCCAGTATCCAAAGAATGCCTCCCCCTTCTCTTTCACCCTTTCCTCCCTCGGAAATGAAGACTTCTCCAGACTGTCACCAAGGGTCCCTAATGTTTTCATGTCCTTTTCCGGTCATCAAAGCTTGGATCTCCGAGGACTTTTTCTCAGAATTTTCATATGCAGTGTAGATTGTCTCTTCCTGGGCATACATTTAACTCATCTGTAGGCCGTCCATGGTCCTTTTCTCTTTTCCTACACTGAAGGACAGTTCTCTAGATGGCCTTGGGCTGATCCAGTTCTCGTATCATGTCTGTCCTGTAGATCTCAAGAATAATTGTAGAATAGTATACTGGGAAAGCAACATCTTGAGACAGGGAGGAACTGGCTGGGACAGCCCAGGCTCTGTTCCCATGCCCCCACCTCTAGAACAGGATGTCCTTCAGTGCCTTAGCCCAGTGTGTCATGTTGCCTTCAGGTATAAAACCCAGGCTGGGCTGCTCTCTGGGGTCACTCATCTGCTGTGCAAGTGTGGCACACTAAATGGAGATTCCATCAACACTGGGCAGCTTTCCTGAGCTCTGGGGAATCAGCTCCCAATGAATCTAGGCCTCCTTGCTGCCTATCTGTAAGTAATAAACCCACTGCATGTCACTTGCTCGAGGTGAAGGCTGGGTTCTGTCTCACTGGACTCAGATAAGTTACTAACCAGTGCACAGTGAACCTGTTTAACAAAATTGGCACAGCAAGCACGGTTCGGTCTGACAGAAGCATGGCTTATTAGTGAAACAGGAGGGGTGATACCCCCCAGTTTCTAACACATGGTGGAAAGGCCAGTCTGGGTTGCAGGGTCTGAACATGCATCTGGATGTTTTCTGGGGATGGAACAGTGAGAAGTGGAACAAAAGTCACCCACAAAGATGTGAACAAGCTGGCTGCATGAACATAGGCAGCAGAAAGGGATGTGGAAATGTGACTGCAGCTCGTAATCCTCTGGTTTGGGGGCACTTATGTAATCGCTCATTCCTGGGGCTGGAAACTTCCAGGAGTGGGAACTCAGTAGCAGCCTGAGGCACTTGAGAGGGAAGAGGAAAGACAGTCTCAGCTGATCCCTGAGGTCTCTGAGTGAGAACCAACATGAGATGTGGGACCTGACTAAGAGGGAGACTTTCTTTTCAAAGGGCAGATACGGAGAAAGCCCAGGGAAGTCTCACACAGCATGGTTAGTGTGGTTGTTTGAAGAAGGGGTAATGCAGACCCAAATGTCTGGCTGGATGGTGCAATTAGGGGTAAGGTTAAGGTCTCCAGGTACCCACCAGAGACCAGTGGTCTTATACTGCTGTCAAGCTAAAAGGAGGAAAGGGAAAAAATTAAACCGATGACATCAGGAAGTTTTAGGATGAACACAGTGACTGAAGGTGTTTATCTGCTTTGGATAAGGCTTTTTGTGCCATTTTGTGTGGCAGTGACTGCAGTTCCTACCCCTGAGTGCATTATTACAGGCATTGACATGTTGGCTGCTCTGGTACAGAACATCACGGCTGCCTGAGAAGCTCTGCCCCTCACAGCCAAGAATTTGAGCCATAACAATGGGACATATCCACTCCTGCCTATCACCTAAGCTACCCAAGTCCCAGTGGGTTATTCAACAAAAGCTGTACCGCATACTGAGTGCAGAAGTGCACATTGCTTTTTTAATTCTGGATTTGATACAAAACATCCTATTGCAATGTAACAGCCCAGTTTGACTGGTCAAAAAGGCCTTCAGGGCATGAAGACTAACAATGGACTGTTGCAGGCTGAATGCCAAGGCCACTTGGCATTTCTTGGTTTACAGATGGCTCTGGGAAACTACAAACAGATGGGATCTCTTGTGGTTTCCCAGATGTAACTTACAGCTGGCCAGCCAGTGAATGGCCATCTCTTGACTTATACTGGACATAGATGTTCTGCCCAATGGGCCAACTTCACACAGTGGTGATGGCCATGCCAGCCACCCCTGCTACCATATCTTAATACATATGTTTTGACTGATGGGCTGTTCACTCTCAGGTCACGAAAATGTCAACCAAGTGACTGAACTATTAAAGGACCTCTGAGTGGGAACAAAGACTACAACCACTCGCTGCCTAAAAGGGAGAAATATCTGTCACTTGTGTGGATGCTGGGACTACCATGGCAACCCATGAAAAGAATTTATATCATCTTTTTGGATACACTGCAGGACTTCACTCTGACCAAGGAACAGTCTGCTAGTGGGATAGTACCCCTATCTGACTAGGGCAATAAGGACACTAAACACTGCTCTCCAGTGCCAGGGAAGCACAGCCCTGAGAGCATGTCGGGAAACATTAGGCTTGGTGAGTGTGGAGGTGGATCAGGCAGCTGCTTGATTAGGCTACACCTGTGAAATCCCAATAACAGTATTCTCAACCGCTCTTTTTCCTTTCTGCCTTTAGAATGCACCTCCCAGGGGTGGCTTGTGGTTTGGGCCTCCATAGTACCCCAGACAGGGCTCACAAAATCTAAACTGGAGATGATGCTTCCACCTGTTAACTCCCCTATATGGAGTCTCATAGAGTAATGGATAGGACCAAGGAATACCACCATGCACAGGTCCCTCTGTTGGCTCCAGGGACATCTGATCTTTCCAGTCGGGTGAGTGGTGTTTTCAGACATGTCAAGTTTTTACAGGGTGTTTCCTCCCTTTCTGGACTGAAAAACAGAGGCTGACAGGTCTAGGTTAAGCAACAAGGACAGTGGGTGCCAAAGAGGTAGTAGCCTCTGGACTGGGTGCTGCACCAACTGAGCCCAACTCCTATCCAATAAGTAGGGAACACAAGATACTCCAGAAGGTGTGGGGGTGGGGCACCAACCTGTCATTCTATTTTCTCCACAAGGACATGGCAGCAGAGGCCTGGAAGCACAATGCCTTCTTTAGGTCCTCCCAAGCTGTGGTCACTATGGGTGATATGGGTTGGATCTGTGCCCCCACAAAATCTTATGTTAAAATGTAATCCCCATTGTTGGAGGTGCCACCCAGTGGGAGGTATTTGGATGTTGGGGGAAGATCCCTCAAGGCTTGGTGCTGGCCTCGCGATAGTGAGTGAGTTCTCACAAGATCTGGTTGTTGTCGAGTGTGGCGCCTCCCTCCAACCCTCTCACTCCTGCTTTGCTATGTGACGTACCTGCTCTCGCTTCAACTTCTGCCCTGAGTGAAAGCTTCCTGAGGCCTCCCCAGAAGCAGATGTTGATGCCATGTTTCCTGTAAAACCTGCAGAATCATGAGCCAATTACATTTTTTTCTTATAAGTTACCCAGTCTCAGGTATTCCTTCATAGTGATGCAGGAATGGCCTAATACAATGGGTCAACTGATGAAGTGCTGGATCGGCCACCCTAGATCTTATTCTGTCACAGACCACAGTGGCCCTCTCATCCTGCCATGAAAGGGAACCAGAGGTGCCCTGTTTTAACTTAACTGGCCTAAGGTAGCAAAATGTCATGACCACAATTAGTAAAGCCTTGGTGGGCTAATAGTTTAACATACTACTTTCTTTTTTTCTTTTCTTTTCTCTCTTTTCTTCTTTTTTTTTTTAGACGGAGTCTTGCTCTGTCACCCAGGCTGGAGTGCAGTGGCATGATCTCAACTCACTGCAACCTCTGCCTCCTGGGTTCAGGTGATTCTCCTGCCTCAGCCTCGCAAGTAGCTGGGATTACAGGCACCCGCCACCATGCCTGGCTAATTTTGTATTTTTAGTAGAGATGGGATTTCACCATGTTGGCCAGGCTGGTTTTGAACTCCTGACCTCTGGTGATCTACACACCTCAGCCTCCCAAAGTGCTGAGATTACAGGCGTGAGCCACCATGCCTGGCCTGACACACTACTTTTATTTGATTACATGAAAGATAAGTGTCCCAGTGGCAATGACGAAAACAAGGACGGCAATAATGCTAGCCCTTTCTGAAGGGACATTATAAACAATAGTGTAGGGTGAAACTGAGCTCATGCAACTATGACTTAGCTGCAAATGGCTGTGCCTCCATACCCATTAGTAGGCCACTGAACAATAAAATGGGATAAAGGGTGCTATGTACCCCTGATAGCTACATATTTCTTTATGGGCAGTCTGAGGGTGACCCAAAAATGGGATGAGCAATGTCTGTGCCTGGAAATCCAGTGGATGGCTGGGTCCTGCATGCTGGGGGTGCCCCTCCCTATATACCACTCCTGGGAATGAGATTCATCATTGGGCCAACAGCCTAAAGCTGTACACCCAGCCAACTAGAGATATATCAGAAGGTATAAGTGACTCTGGGTTTACATTCTTTTTTTTTTCATTGTTATACTTTAAGTTTTAGGGTACATGTGCACAATGTGCAGTTTTGTTACATATGTATACATGTGCCATGTTGGTGTGCTGCACCCATTAACTCGTCATTTAGCATTAGGTATATCTCCTCATCACAATCTGGGTTTACATTCTTTATGAGATCTTTAATAGCATGAATAGGAGTCAGTACTCCTAAAGAAATAATCATAAGCCTGTCCCTGACCATGGCAGATGTTGCTTCCTTTACTGCCACTGCTTTGGTAGCCCAGCAGACATCCCTCAACTCTCTTGGGAAGATTATTTTAGACAACAGAATCACTCTAGACCGCCTTTTAGCCCAACTAGGAGGAGTGTATGCAACTGCCTACACCTCCTGCTGTACCTGGATAAACAACTCAGGTATTGCTGAAACACAGGTAGAGAAGATCTGATTGCAGACAGTGGGGCCACTGAAAGAACCTTCTCTGAGCCCTTTAGCAACTTCTAACCTAGATCCTGGGGATCCCAGGCTAGGTTACTTAGGTTACTGCCCTGGGCAGGCCTGCTCATCCTCCTTGTGGTAGTAGTCACCTTGGGCATGGTAAAAAGTATTGTAGCTATGGTTTGCAGGTCACAGGAATAATGTAGAATGTGCTGGATCAGCAACATCTGGATATAGGGAGAGTCTGGCTGAAACAGCCAGGGCTCTGTTCCAGTCACCCCAAAACAGGAGGTCTTTCAATACTGTAGCCCAGTATGTCATGCTGTCCCTGAGGTACAAAACCAGGGTGGGCTGCTTCCCTGTGTGCCTCAGCTGTGGTGCAAGTGGGGCACAGGCAGATGAGATGCCATCCACCCTGGGGAAGTCCCTGAGCCTTGGGGGATCAGCTGGCAATGAATCCTGGACTTCTGTTGTCCCTTGCTGCCAATCTATAAATAATAGGTCCACTTCATCTAACTCATATGGGGAGAAATGATCTGTTTCACTATACTCAGAAAAAGTGGGAACCAGTACACAGTGAGCCTGCTTCACAAGCACAATATTTACAGACTCATTAGCACTCCATAAAAACTGGCAGCAGGATTTCAGGAGATAGCTCTGCTACAATCTGGTATTTCATCTCTTGGGAAGCTATGGGTTCTGTGGGTGTTATGTGCTCTTCTTGTTTATCTTTATCACACATGCAGCATTTCATTACATGCAGATTGTGGAGGCCCCAGAAGGGAAAAGTCCCCATGGTGTGCTCTTTCCTCCACCCTGACACCAACCTACACATTTTCTAAAACGTAATGCCAGTCAAAAGGGAGGAGGTTAGCAAAGAGTGGGTAGGCTTCACAAGGAAACAGTAAACATGGATGCTAAGATTAATTCTAACACCTATTAGTAAGCCTAAAGTCTCCATTCTCCCGTACATGTGGGGACACTTTGATGTGGATACATACCTCCTACTCATTAGTACAAAATCCTTTGCACCATCCAGGCATGGTGGCTCACACCTGTAATCCCAGTACTTTGGGAGGCCGAGGCAGGGCGGATCACCTGAGGTAGGAAGCTCAAGACCAGCCTGACCAACATGGAGAAACCCCATCTCTACTAAAAATACAAAATTAGCTGGGCGTGGTGGCGCACGCTTGTAATCCCAGCTACTCGGGAGGCTGAGGCAGGAGAATAGCTTGAACCCGGGAGGCAGAGGTTGTGGTGAGCTGAGATCGTGCCATTCCACTCCACTCCAGCCTGGACAACAAGAGCGAAACTCCACCCCATCCTGGACAACAAGAGCGAAAAAAAAAAATTCCTTTGCACTGAGGACTTCAGAGCCACACTGACTGAAAAGAGTCAATTTGCAAATCATATTTTCTACACAACACTAAATAGGGTGTCTTTTACTCTTCTTATATTACTTAGGGTTTAGTGCCCACTGGTTTGTGGTAATGGTCTCTCAAGGAAAAACATGCAGTCCTGTCCTTGGAAACACAGCTACAATTGCATTCCCCCTTCTCATCCACATGGAGCTGGGGCTCTATGATTGAAATCATCTGCTCTGGCTGCCTACCTCAGCATCCCCAACACACTTAGAAAGTCATTGAAGCCAATTCAGTGCTTCCTCAGGTCCAGCCAGAGACTGTAACCAGGAAACAGAAGTGTTTCTTTATCAGCATGCCCATGATAGCTTGCTGCTTAGGTTGCATGAATATAGGCCAAGACTAAATAGCAAAACATTCTGGTTCAACAGGTCAAGCATTCTGGAGGATTTTTGGCCACTTTTCTCTTTCTTCAGACCCCACAGGTTAGCTAACCCTCCACCCACTTCCCGCTGCCTTCATCCTGGCCAGCTGCCAGTGCAAACTTGCCCCATTCCCCGATAGCCTTGAGTAGCCAGATGACAGAATTCTGGGCAATTAGGACAGAAATCTCTTGGCCAATCATTTAGTGAGGTTGGGGAGAGATAACGCTGTAAACTTTTATTTTTCAGGAAATCTGGAAACCTACAGTCTCCAAGCCTGCTCAGCCAAGAAGGAGCTCACTGTGGGCACCAGAGACAGGGACCCAATGTGGAGACCTGTGAGCCTGTGTCCGGCCCTGAACTCTCAAGCACAGGGCAGGCTTCCTGAGCATTGAAGAGAATATGTGGGAGAACAAAACAGAAACTGAAAGAATATGCAAGGTGTCTTTCTTGGATGTTATTCCATGATAGATAGTAGGGGCAGGAGTGAGAGAGGCTGACTAGGTCTGGACATGGAGGCTGGAAGAGTCAGGGTGTGATTCGGAGAGGCGCATGAGAAGGAAGGTGGATTTTAAGGCTGGAAATCTGAGGGTCAGTGGTCCAAGTCACTCAGAGACAGAATCACAGCATAGCCCTTGCTGATGGCAAACAAAGGAGGACAAGAGGACTGGAAAGAATTCTGCTAGCAGGCAGGAGCTAGTAAGGATGAATTTGTAGCAAAATTAGCAAGTGGAAAGGATGATTTTTGGCCATTTTTCCTGTTCTTCAAGAAAACAGGAGATAACTAGAAGGACTAGAGAATGGGGCTGCCAGAACTAGTGGGAAGCTCCCTAGAAATGGTGACATCGCCCACCAAACAGACCCCGCCAAGGCTGCACCTGGCCTTATGTCTCCTTCACCTTTCTGGCCCCACGCAGCCACCAGACAGCCATGCCCAGCAGCTTCCCACAAAGCCATAGAGTCCCCAGAGTGAGCCCCAGCAGAAACACAAAAACGTCGAGCAGGTACTGCTCATGCCAGGGCTGCTGAAAGACATAGGGCTTGAGGTGCGTCGCGCCCCCTGTCTGGAGGACGTGGTCAATCCAGCCCACCAGCCGCTGTGTGGGGCTGAGCGGGTGGGAGCGCAGGATGACACTGGCAGCCACTGCCGCGGACTTGTATCTGTTGAGAGAGATAGAGAGGGGGCATTACTAATGTGACCTCACAAGAGTTAGAATGTATGATCCGTTCTATATGATGCACCAAAGACTGAGTTCCAAGGAAATTCTGTTGGCTTTGCAGTAATCTACCTGGTTCCCCTTGAAATTTAATCATGACACCTACAAGCAAAGATCCATGTATAATGCTAAAAGTCTTAAACTTAAAAAAAGTGACTAAGTCCACAAAGACTAGTCCCTACTCCAAGGAGGCTTATGATGTGCCCTAGGAAAATTATATATGATGTAATTATTATACATATACATGGAGCACCTCCATGTGCCAGTCTCTAGATGGGGTGACAAGTCTCACTCTGGGGAATGTTAGGCACAGGCTAAAGCCTACACATTCCTGCACCATCAGAACATGATGTTGACCAGGGCTGGCTTCCTGGGCTGCAGGCTGCATATTTGTACCACATAATTAGTAGCATCCTGTACTTGGTTTCACCATGTCGAAGTTCTCAAACTTTATAATAAGAGGCTCCACACTTTTATTTTACACCAGGTCCTACAAATTGTGAAGCTGGCCCTATTTATGTACAATGTCTGAGGACCATCCCAGCTCAGAATGGTCATTTTGGGTCTAGGTCATTGAAAAATCCAACGAAAGCTACAAACACATTTTTCAGAAAATGACCAACTGCAATACATGAAATTGCAAATATATAAAATTGATCTGGAGTTAACCAACCCATGGAATTTAATGACTCTTCTAAGTCTAAGAACCATGAGCTACGTGGTTGTTTTAAGTCATCTAGCTAGAACTGCTGAGTGTCTCCTAGTACATGTTAAGCCTTGAGGTCCGATTTTGGTTTGTGCCCTTGAAACTCTAATAAATTATTCAGTCCTTTTTACTTATTACATGAGGTGTATTTTTCTCTTCACATGAGATCACTGTGCTGGATATGCAGTTAGTTACCTTGGAGGTCACTGGGCCCCTTCTATTGCTTCACTTAACTAAAATTCATTAACCATTTACTTTGTGGCAGATCCTGTGCTAGGTGCTAAGAAGATAGCAGAAAACAAGAGACACATGCTGCTGTCCTCATTAAGCTAACTCTCCACTCTCTGGTTGGAAGGTGAGGGGGACAAATAATAAATGAAAACACAAGCTGCGCATGGTGGCTTATGTAATCCCAGCTACTCGGGAGGCTGAATCAGGAGGATCATTTGAGCCCAGGAGTTTGAGACCAGCCTGGGCAACATAAAGAGACTGTAAACAAACAAACACATAAATAAATGAGGTAATTACAGACCTTAAGAAGTGTTAAGAAGGAAATGATGTAACTGGGGTAGGTGGGAGAAGAAGTTACTCAGGACTGTCAGAGGCGAACTCTAAGAAGAAATGAGTTGGAGATGAGACCGGAATGCAACAAAGGAGCCAGTATGTGAAGAGGGAGCACCACAAACAAAAAGCCAAGGGGGAGAAGAGTGCGGAGTATTTGGGTAACAGAAAGGCAATCTCCTGCCTCAGTTGGAATCCCGCTGACCTGAATTCCAATTGACCTGAAACATAGCTCACAGAGACCCCCTGTACATAGTCCAGGTTCCCCAAAATGAAAAGGTAGGAAGTGATTCTTAGCATCTAACTTAAATGCTCTAGTCTTGCTCTCAGAGGACACAGGTCAGCTGTTGGCATCACACACATATTATCCCATGTCCTGGAAAATACAGTTTTAATCTAAAGCAAAACAAAACAAAACCAAAAAAACAGACTCCCATAGTGCCCTTAGTGTTTTTGCCTTCATTCGTCATTATGACCACAACCCCAAGGAGCTGCATACCTCTTGTCTTCCATGATTTGTTTCATCTTAAGAGCCAATGTCTCTGCCTTGAGCTTCTTTAACTGAATAGAAACACCAAACTTTTTGGCTTCTACTCGGACCATGTTTTCAGGCTGGTCTCCAAAGAGAGGGATCCCCACCATGGGCACACCATGCTGGATGGCCTCCATTATGCTATTCTGCCCGCCGTGGGTGACAAACAGACGGATGCTTGGGTGAGCTGTTGTAAATAAGAAAGAGGGTGGGACACTTCAGGATGAAAATTTCAAAACATCAGGCAGAGATGAAGGGGATAAGAAAGTGCCAAGGGGATCTAGTGGTGTGTTGGAGACATTGTATCTAATGACTGTGCTTGGGACACATCCAATGTTACAGTTCCAAGATACAAGATTCCAAGCGTTGCTATCGTATGGAAACATCTTCCCTCAGCCAGAAATTCAGCTAAGGCTTAGAATTGAGTGAATTCTGTAGAGAAGAGTGCTAAGCAAGGCATACATCTCTCTGTCCATCCATTCTTCCTTCTCTCTGTCCTCCCTGTGCCTTTCTTTGCTTCTCTCATCTGTATTCTGTGTGTCTCTCTGTTTCTACCTCCTCTGTCTGCCTATATTGAGCCCTCTTTTATCCACTGACAGCTGATTTCCCTTTTCTTGTATTCCTGACATATTTGTTGACATCACAACTCATATGTCACTCATAAAACTTGTATTGACCGTATGGTGTCCTCAATTATAAGAGAAGTGCCTTGAAAGTAGACTGGATCCTTCGCCTCTGTATTTCCAGTTCCTGTCTTTCCATGCCAGCGTTACTTAGAGCTAACTAAAGTGATGGTTGATAATGACAAGCACATCTCAACCTGGGTCACTCAACTGCAATGTGCATCAGACTCCTTGTCTCTTCTTTGAAATGGGAGGCATATGCCCTACCCCAGAATTTTAAAAAATATATTCACAGAAGTAGGACCAGGAATCTACTTCTTAAATTGCCCAGATTCTTTTCAGCCATGATCTTCGTTGTGAATCTCTGCTCTAGTCAGTGTCTATGGCAGCACAGAGCACAGAGAAAACCTGTTGGGGGTGAGGGAGCTCTCTGGTCCCAGACAACTCGGTAGACCAAATCACCAACTGTGAAGTTGCTAAGCTTGGCACACAGGTATGTTGGCACATCCTAAAGACATCATTGGCATTAATCTTGTGATGGTAGAAGTTGCTCAGACCCTTAGTAAATTAAGAGGATGTGTCCATATTTATGTGTGGATGTGTGTTTGTGTAAGTCCATGTGGTTGAACTGGTGCTCACAAAGTAACTAAAATTTGTGGCACCTCTCCCAACCCCTAGTATATACATTCAGAGTTGATAGGTTGTCTTTAATTTTGTTTGGGTGACCTTGTCCAAGACCAAATGCAGTAGGGTTAAAGAGACTTGACAGGAATATCACATAGGACTGCAGACATCAGGTCTGGGATAGAAAAGAATGAAGGAAAGTTGGCTGCTTTGGCATCTGATCCCATTGGAAGTATAGCCTGGTTTCCCAAGAACTCCAGCTGGCTGCTACTTTTCTGCCCACTGAGCCTTACCTGTACCATTCACCAGTGGGTACAAATGTCCAGCTAAAGGTCAGAGCCGTGATGAGCCCCAAAGACAGGTCAGTGGAAGGAGAGGAGCAGTCCTGGGCAGCCCTTACCCAGGAGGTCACTCTGAGGAAGCCAGTCCACAATTTTCACATTTGCAGCCAGGTGGACATCTTTGGGCCAATGAGAACACTGACACTTCCATATCACCCCTTGGGGTAGGTGAGCAAAGGCATTGTTCATCTCCTTGAAGATTTCCGGATTCTGACAGGTGTTCACCATGGAGCCCAAGGTCACAAGGACAAAACCAGAGTCCCCAAACTTGGCAATGAAGTTCTCCAAGTCCTGGAGAAAGATTACCAAGGTAAAGAGGTGACAAAATTATTGGTGAAAGCCTAGTTGACCAGAAAATGAAAGCCAGAGTATTTACTAACACAGTGCCCTGTCCTCACTGTCCCAAAGCTATTATTATAGCTCCTAGTATAGCTCGATACTAGCTGCACTGTGGTCATGTCCTTTGTGTTGGTGGGAACATCTTTCTTCTTGAAACCCTGACCCTACTATCAGGCCTTTCTTGACCTTCCACCCATTATAGGTCCAGGGAGTCACAGGAGTTTTCTAAGGTCAGACTAGAGGTAATAGTATCTGGAAGAGTACTAGTAGGTGGCCAGGGTCCAACACAAGGAGTGGGACTTCTGGAGGCTGGAATGGAGATGCTGGGAGAACACTTCTGTTGCAGGCAGAAATGGTGGCAGCATAGGGTAAGGCTCCTCTTCATCTACACAAAATGTACCCTTTCAGTGTGTTTTCCTCTAATGTTTTATGATAGTCTCGGTCACTGATCTTTTTGTACACGCTTCATCCTCTACCTCAGTAGTTCACCCACAGGACTGCAAATTATAACCACAGAAAAATATATTTTAAAAGCAGCAATGCCATAGGGAGGTGGAGCAAGATGGCAGAATAGAACCCTGAAGTGATTTTGCCCCCCGAAGGAATACCAAATTAACAACTATCCACAAGAAAACACCTTCATAAGAACAAAAAAAAATGAGGTGAGCAATCACCATTCCTGGTTTTAACATCATACCGAGGAAAAAGGCACTGAGAAGGTAGGAAAGACAGTCTTCAATTACCATGTGGTGCAGAGACAGAATCTGTGTGCTTAGGGGAGGCAGAGCACAGTGACTATAGACTTTGCAGTGGAAGTCAGTGCTCTGCAGTCACAGAGCAAAGCAACACAGGGAAGAATTCAGCTGGCACCCATGCAGGGAGCATTTAGACCAGCCCTTGCTAGAATGGAATCATCCACCTCAGCAGTAGGAACCTCAGTGCTGGTTAGACCAAGCACCGCAGGCTAAAGTGCTCTGGGGTTCAAAATAAACTTGAAAGGCAATCTAGGCCACAAGAACTAAAATCCCTGGAGTGCACATGACCTGGTGAGACACCAGCCAGGGCAGCCAAGGGAGTGCTGGTGTCACCCCTCCCCCAACTCCAGGCAGGGCAGCTCAGAGCTCCAGGAGAGACTCCTTCCTCCAGGAGAGGAGAGGGAAGAGTTAAAAAGTCTTTGTCTTGCAATGTGGGTACTAGTTTAGCTGCAGTAAAATTAAGCACCAAGGAGAATCCTAACATCTCCACATCTAGGCCTTAGCTCCTGGACAACATTGCTAGACATGCCCTGGGTCAGAAGAGAACCTGCTGCCCTGAAGGGAGAGACCTAAGCCTGGCAGGATTCACCACCTGCTAATTCAAAAGCCCTCGGGCCTAAAATAAACATCAGCAGTAGCCAGGCAGTACTTCTCACAGGCTTGGGGTGGGGTGGCCATGGGCGAGACTCCTGCTTTAGGAAGGGAGGGAATAGAGTAAGTAGATCCCTACAATTCCCAATTCCAGGACCCAGTTCCTGGACAGAATTCCTAGACCCAACCTGGGACAGAAGGAAACCTGCTGCCCTAAAGGGAAAGGTAGAGGCTTGAAAGAATTCAGCACCTGTTGACTAAAGAGCTCTTGAGCCTTGAATAAACATCAGCAGTAACCAGACAATAGTTATCATAGGTCTTGGATGAGGTCCAGTGCTGTGTTGGTTTCAAGTGTAATCCAGCACAATTTCAGGGGAGGTGGTCATGAGAGTGTTTGTGTCACCCCTCCCCCAACTCCAGGCAGCTTAGCACAGGGAGAGAGAGAAACTCTGTTGGTATATGGGAAAGTAAGGGAAGAGAACCAGACTCTGCCTGGTAATCCAAGGAATTCTCCTGGCTCTTACCTAAGACCACCAAGGTGGTACTTCTACAAGGCTGCAAGAGTCAGCATGACTGGGCTTGGAGTGCCCCCTAATGCAGACACAGGTGCAGTGACCAAAGACTTAGATCACAACACTCAATTCCCTTTGCACACTTGGAAAGCTTTCTCAAGAAGGACAGGTACAAACAAGCCCAGACTGCAAAGATTAGAATAAATACTTAACTCTTCAATGCCCAGACATTGATGAACAAGTTACAAGCATCAAGACCATCCAGGAAAACATGACTTCACCCAACGAACCAAATAAGGCACCAGCAACTAATCCTGGAGACACAGAAAAATGTGACCTTTCAGACACGGAATTCAAAATAACCGTTTTGAGGAAGCTCAGTGACATTCAAGATAACACAGAGAAGAAATTCAGAATCCTATCAGCTAAATTTAGCAAAGAGATTGAAAGAATTAAAAACAAAAAAGTAGAAATTCTGGAGTTGAAAATGCATTTGACATAACGAAGAATGCCTCAGAGTCTCTTAACAGAAGAATTGATCAAGCAGAAGAAAGAATAAGTGAGCTTCGACAATATAATAAGATATAAATAGAACCAACAAAAACTTAGCGGACTGGGAGATAAAGTGTAGAATTTTTATTACTGTTCTTTTTTGCTTAATTGTTTGTTTCTTTTTGCAATCAAAGTTAAGTTGTCATCAGATTAAAATAATGGGTTATAAGATGTTACTTGCAAGCCTTGTAGTAACCTCAAATCACAAAACTTAAAACAGATACACAAAAAATAAAATTCAAGAAATTAAAACATACCACCAGAGAAAATCATTTTCACTAAAAGGAAGACAAGAAGAAAGGAAAGAAGAAAGAGAAGATCACAACACAACCAGAAAACAAATAACAAAATGACAGGAGTAAGTCCTTACTTACAAATAATAACATTGAATGTAAACAGACTAAACTCTCCAATCAAAACAGAAAGAGTGATTGAATGAATAAAAAAAGAGACTTAACATGTTGCCTCCAAGAAACACACTGCCTATAAAAACACACATAGACTGAAAATAAAGGGATAGGAAAAGATATTCCATGAAAGTGGAAACCAAGAAAAAAGAAGGAGTAGCTATACTTACATCAGATAAAATAGATATCAAGACAAATACCATGAAAAGAGACAAAGAAGGTTATTATATAATTTTATAAAGGTTGATTCAGCAAGCACATATAACAATTATAAATATATAGGCACTCAAAACTGGAGCACCCAGACATAGAAAGCAAACATTATTAGAGGTAAAGAGAGAGATAGACCCCAATAAAATAATAGATGGAAAATGCAACACTTTCAGCATTGGACGCATCATCCAGACAGAAAATCAACAAAGAAACATTGAACTTAATCTGCACTACAGATTAAGTGAACCTAATAATATTTGCAGAAATTTTCATCCAATGACTGCAAAAAAGACATTCTTCTACTCAGCACATGGACCATGTTTAAGTATAGACCATACATTAGGCCATAAAACAACTTTTAAGAAATTCAAAAAAATTGAAATTATATCAACTACCTTCTTAGGCCACAATGGAATAAAACTATAAGTCAATAACAAGAGGAACTCTGGATATTATACAAATGCATGGAAAAAAACAATATGCTCCTGAATGACCAGTAGGTCAATGAAGTAATTAAGAAGGAAATTTAAAAATGTATTGAAACAAATGATAATGAAAAGAAAACATACCAAAACCTATGAAATACAGTGAAAACGATACTAAGAGGAATATTTATAGCTATAAGTGCCTACATCAAAAGAGTGAGACTTCATATAAACAACCTACGGATGCATCTTAAAGAATTGGAAAATCAAGAGCAAACCAAACCCAAAAATAGTAGAAGAAAGACATAAAGATCACAGCAGAAATAAATGAAATTTAAAATTTAAAAAAAAGATCAATGAAATGAAAAGTTTGGTTTTGAAAAGATAAGAAAATAGACAACCCTTTAGCCAAACTAAGAAAAGAGAGAAAACCCAAATAAAATCAGAGCTAAAAAAAGAGACATTACAACTGATGCTACAGAAATTCAAAGGATCATTAGAAACATCTGTGAGCAACTATATGCCAATAAATTGGAAAACCTAGAAGAAATGAATACATTCCTAAACACATACAACTTGCCAAGATTAATCCTTAAAGAAATCCTGAACCTGAACAGACCAATAACAAGTAACGAGACTAAAGTTGTAATAAAAAGTCTCCTAGCAAAGAAAAGCCTAGGACCCAATGTCATCAATGCTGAATTTTACCAAACATTTAAAGAACTAATACCAATCCTACTCAAACTATTCTAAAAAACATAGAAGAGAGGGGAATAAAAGGCCTGTATTACCTTTATACCAAAACCAGACAAATACACATCGGAAAAAGGAAACTACAGGCTAATATCTCTGATGAATATTAAGGCAAAAATCCTCAACAAAATACTAGCAAACCAAAATCAACAACACATTAAAAAGATCATTCATCATGAGCAAGTGGGATTTATCTGAGGGACTGAAGGATCGTTCAACATATGCAAATCAATCAATGTGATTCATCATATCAACAGAATGAATGAAAAAAACCATATGATCATGTCAATTGATGCTGAAAAAGCATTCAATAAAATTCAAAGTCCCTTCATGATAAAAACCCTAAAAAAACTGATTATAGAAGAAACATACCTCAACACAATAAAAGCCATATATGACACACCCAAAGTTAGTATCACACTAAATGGGGAAAAACTGAACACCACTCCTCTAACATGACAAGGATGCCCACTTTTACCACAGTTATTCAACATAGTACTGGAAGTTCTAGCTAGAGCAATCAGAAAAGAGAAAGAAATAAAGGGCAGTTAAATTGGAAGGGGAGAAGTTAAATTATGCTAGTTTGCAAATTATATAATCTTATATTTGGAAAAACCTAAAGACTCTACCAAAATAACTATTAGAACTGATCCACAAATTCAGTAAAGTTGCAGGATACAAAATCAATATATATAAATCAGTAGCAATTCTATATGCCAACAGTGAATAATCTGAAAAAGAAATCAAGAAAGTAATTACATTTACAATGCCCACAAACAAAATAAAATACCTAGGAATAAAGTTAAACAAAGAAGTAAAAGATCTCTCCAATAAAAACTATAAAACATTGATGCAATTAATTGAAGAGGACATTTTAAAAACTGGAAAGCTATTCCACGTTCATGCACTGGAAGAATCAATATTGTTAAAATGTCCATACTACCCAAAGCAATCTACAGATTCAATTCAATCTCTATAAAAATACCAATCACATCCTTCACAGAATGAGGAAAAATAATCCTAAAATTTATATGGAACCACAAAAGACCCAGAATAGCCAAAGCCATCCCAAGCAAAAAGAACAAAACTGGAAGAATCACATTACCTGACTTCAAGTTATACTACAAGACTATAGTAACCAAAACTGTATGGTACTGGCATAAAAAACAAGGCACATAGACCAACAGAACAGAATGGACAACCCAGCAATAAATCCATACATCTGCGGTGAACTTATTTTTGACAAGGGTGCCAAGAACATAAAGACAGTCTCTTCAATGAATGGTGCTAAAAAAAAACTAGATATGCATATGCAGAAGAATAAAACTAGACCTCTATATCTCATCATATACAAAAATCAAATCAAAATGGATTAAAAGACTTAAATCTAACACTTTGGGAGGCTGAGGCAGGTGGATCACCTGAGGACAGGAGTTTGAGGCCAGCCTGGCCAACATGGTGAAACCCTGTCTCTACTAAAAATACAAAAAATTAGGCGGGTGCCTGTAATCCCAGCTGCTCGGGAGGCTGAGGCAGGAGAATCGCTTGAATCCAGGAGGTGGAGGTTGCAGTGAGCCAAGATCGCACCACTGCACTCCAGCCTGGGCAACAAGAGCAAAACTCAGTCCTCAGTCTCAAAAAAAAAAAAGAAAAGAAAAAGAAAAGAAAAGAAAAGAAAAAGACTGAAATCTAAGACCTCAAGCTATTAAACTACTAAAAGAAAACATTGGGGAAACGCTCCAGGATGTTGATCTGGACAGATTTCTTTTTCTTGTGTAATGCAGGCAACCAAAGGAAAAATGGACAAATGAGATCACATCAAGTTAGAAGGCTTCTATACAACAAAGGAAACTATCAACAAAGAGAAGAGATAACCCACGGAATGGGAAAAAATATGTGTGTAAATTCTTCTTCTGACAAAGGATTAATAACTAGAATACATAAAAGCTCAAACAACTCTACGAGAAAAAAAAATCTAATAACCTGATTAAAAAATAAAAGATCTGAATGGACATTTTTCAAAAGACATACAAATGGCAAACAGGCATATAAAAGGTTTGCTCAGTGTCACTGATTATCACAGAAATGCAAACCAAACTACAATGAGATATTATCTCACCCCAGTTAAAATGGCTTTCATCCAAAAGACAGGCAATAACAAGGATGTGGAGAAAGCAAACTCGCACATTGTTTGTGGGAATTTAAATCAGTACAACCACTATGGAAAGCAGTTTAGAGGTTCATCGAAAAACTAAAACTAGAACTACCATATGATTCAGCAATCTCACTGCTAAGTATACACCCAAAAGAAAAGAAGTCACTATACTGAAGAGATACCTGCACTTCCGTGTTTATTGCTGCACTATTCGCTGTAGCCAAGATATGGAATCAATCTAAATTTCCAACATCAGATGAATGGATAAGGAAAATATAGTATATGTACACAATGGAGAACTCATCAGCCATAAAAAACAAAGGGATCCTGTCATTTGCAACAATATGGATGAAACTAGAATACATTATGTTAAGTGAACTAAGCCAGACACGGAAAGACAAACTGCATGTTCTCACTCATTTATGGGAGCTAAAAATTAAAACAATTAAACTCATGGAGATAGCAGAACGATTGTTACCAGACGCTGGGATGGGTAGTTAGGGGCTGGGGGAGTGGGTATGGTTAATGGTACGAAAATATAGTTAGAATGTATAAGGTCCAGTGTTTGATAGCACAACAGGGTGACTACAGTCAACAATAATTTGTAGTATATTTTCAAGTAACTAAAAGAATATAATTGGAATGTTTGTAACATAAAGAAATGATCAATGCCTTGATGTGGTGGATTAAAAAAATAATAATAAAGTAGTAATGCTCTGTCCCAAAAGCAGGCCTGGACAGCTTATATCTTAAAGTCCCCCAGGTAGCTCTTAACAAAGTTAGTGTTTTGAAAGGAAAATAAATCTCAGGATCCCCAAATCTAAGCCAAAGAGAAAAGTCAAGCTGGGAACTGCATCAGGCAAAACTTCCTCCCATTCCATTCCTAAACAAGTGTATGTCGGCTCGCTTCCTCTGTCCTATTGTTTCACTAACCCAGACTAAGGCATAAGTGATTATTTCTGTAAATTGTGCACTCAGTGAAAGGCTAGTCAGAGACTCCAAAAAATGCAGTTGTTTGTCTCTTGTCTACCTATGACCTAGAATCCCCTTCTCCGGCCTTTCTGGACCAAACCAATGTTTATCTTACACATATTGATTGGTGTCTCATGTCTCCCTAAAATGTATAAAACCAGCCTGTGCCCCAACCACCTTGGGCACATGTCATCAGGACCTCCTGAAGCTGTCATGGGTGCATCCTCAACCTTGGCAAATAAAGTTTCTAAATTGGTGAGACCAGCGTCATATATTTTGGGCTCACAATATCTAATGTCTTCATTTTGTGTTTGGCACAATTTTGCCAATTCTTACTTCCAAATATTTCTTTGAACTCTGATTCTGATTCTCTCTGCCCTACAGGGGCTCACCCCAGCTCCCAACCCATCATTCTATTACGTGGTTCAGACTCTACTGGATTCCAGCCAGCATACCACTTACCATTCCCAAGGACTTCTTTAAAACAGCCTTGTCATCATTTTTATACTGACAAGGCAACATAAGACCATTATATAAAAATTGGAAAATGCAGAGAAGAAACATAATTTTTTTTAAGTGTATATTGTCTCACAGCCATTACAACCCTTACTCCCATTGTTATCCTCTTAACAATGTCCTCCCCTTACTCCATGGTGGAGGCCTGATCCACCCACCTGATAGCTAAGGTTTCTGGTAAATCCCCACAGCTTTACTCATGCAATTGAACCTTCTACTCCACTAGTGTAGCCAGTGCCACCCAGGGAAGCCAGCCTTATGGCCATCTCAATTACATCTCCACGTATTGGGACCCCTGCTCCCCAACCTGGGGTGCTTTCCCTCTCAGCTCCATTCCTAAAACTTCCTGCCACAAATGCAAAGCCCATATCACCCATAGGTCTTTCCCCAACTCTTCCTGCTCACTCAGTGCAAGTTAAAAGAGTAGACGCTTGGGTGGCTGCAAAGTCCAGGCCCTTAGGACCTCTGAAATACATGGTGGGGGAAGGACACCTACATCACCTGAGCTTCTGTCCTTCTCCATTTATAAAAATGAAGATGATCACACCTCCCTACAGGTGGCAGGATATTAAATATGATAACTTCTGTAAAATGGGAACCCAGTGCTCAGAGGCAACAGGCAGCCAACTCATCTTAGCTCTCCTCCTTTTGAAAAATTTCTATAGCAGAGGTTCTGAGTTGTGAAATTGCGCTGTGCATTCAAATCACCTGAGCAGCATATGCAAATTACAGTGGCAGGGGTCCACCCCAGAGAAATCAAGCCAGAAGATCTAGGTGGAGCCAGGAGCCAGGGCTCTACAGGCAGGGAACCCTGGAGATAACACCGGCAGTTCTTGCTGTCAGACCCAAACAGATCCACCCTGCTTACTCCGAATCCATAGTGTTGTCATTTCATTGTGAGCAGCTTATCTCCTTAACAATTACTGCATGTAATGGGCACTAACTACATGTTTATTGTACATGTGATCACACAAAATAAAAATGCAAACAAAAAATGAAACTTTAATACAGGGCTTATTTTATCAAGGCTAGGACTAGGGTGTGGCAAGAGAGGAGCCAGAAGAATCCATATAAAGATGCCCTTGATCTCAGGATGGTGCAAGGCCTAACATTATACTTGCACAACACTGAAACTCATCACTTCCTTTAAAAGCATGCCCTAGGTGCCTCCCTTGCCTATCCCGACTTTAGCCTCAGGATCCTACTGGCAAGTGGCAGCCACCAACTATGCACTGAAGGCCTCTGCGTGAATCCCAAACTGAATGCTGAGGGTTCACTTACTTGTGGTACTGGTTTAATAGGTTTTTCCATCAAGCCTCCAACATAAACAGTGTTGGGAAGCAGAGGTCGAGCAAAATCAAAGGCAAAGTCAGAGTTAATGAACCACAACTCTGCTTTCAGTAGAAGATGAGACAAAACTGGCCTAGAGCCTTCTGTGAAATGTTCCTTGATGGTGTTGTCAAATGTAGACTGCATGTGCTGTTGCCTCCTGCAGAAACTAAAGAACATCAGAAAATTCTTCACTCGGCCCCAGAAGTCCATGTGATCAGTCAGCAAGGAACGGAATACTGGAACATAAGACAAGGGGATTGGTAGCCCAAATTCCAAAGAGCCGAATGAAGTGGAAAGAATGGCCACAAATGGCTTCCCAAGCTTCTCAGCAATCAGGAAAGGACAGTAGTCAAAAGTTTCAACTATCACCATGTCGAAGTTCTCATTCTTTAAGGAATCCATGATATCCTTTCTATTTAAAAAATGACTGCACTGCAACGCCAAGTATTCTAGAACATTTAATAAGTTTTCAAATTTTCCTCTGTAAGAAAAAAATGATAATAAATATTCATGGGAAGTGTTAAATTTACAGTACATAAAAGTATCTTGAGATACAAAGAAAATATCCCAGGAAAGCAACAACCTTTCTAGCAGTCACCCACAAATTCAACCAGTTTCCCACAAATACCCTCTGCCATAATTATCCTGGCTTAAATGTTTCTACTCCCTAGAGTGTACCCTTCTCCCTTCCCCTTTTCTCTCCTTATCCAAATCCCAACCACCATCAATGCCGACTCAAGGTCTTCTACTCTGGGAGCCATCTCTCAGAGCAGCAGATCTCAGAGTTCTATCTCATTGATAAATTAGGTGACACTCTGTTTAGCCCTCATTTACACATGGAGTTTTTATGAGTGATTTTCTTATTTATCCAACCAAATTGTGTAAGTAACTTGATGATAGAGTTTATCAATATTGATGATATGTGCTACGTTTTAGCACTATGTGTTTGCACATAGTGAGGCAATGAGAGATTGCCTCAGTCAAGGAACTCTTTGATTATATTACAGCCAAAAATCTCAGCCGAAAATGAGAATTCCACCTTTCTACCCCTAGGAGTTAAGCAATGGAAAAAATAAAAGCAAAAGGAACCTGGTTTTTGAAACGCATTATTTTTTTCTTTATTATTATTCCTTTATTATTGACTTTTATTCGTTATTGTTATTTTACATATTTTATATATTATTTATTTACATATTTGTTTACTTATTTATATTATTATTTTTATTTAATTATTTATTATTATTTCTTTCCACCTCAATGCAGGCTGGGGTATTCAGATAAGATAATGTCAAAGCTTTACTGACATATGCCTATGCAAAGGGACGATTCTTTTGCAATGTATTCCCAATAATGCCTGCAGAGAATATGATCCTATTTTACAGAATTTTGGGGAAATAGATGAGGATGCCTAGGCCAGCTGCAGTAAGTGCAAGAGCTCTAGATATCAGAAACATACTGGCTGCAAGGAAGACTGAGATAATCAATTCCCTGACACACCTGTAACCTGTACATTGCCCTCCAGTTAGAGAAGGTCCCTCACTAGTGATATGCAGATTGGCTGAAGTCATCCTCTGTTGTAGATTTTTAAAGATTCACATAACAAAGGAAAAGTTGCCAAACGTTTTTGAAAATTTCAGTAATGGGCTGGGTGCGGTGGCTCACGCCTGTATCCCAGCACTTTGGAGGTCAAGGAGGGTGGATCACCTGAGGTTAGGAGTTTGAGACCAGCCTGGCGAACATGGTGAAATGCCGTCACTACTAATAATACAAAAATTAGCTGGGCATGGTGGCACACTCCTGTAATCCCAGCTACTTGGGAGGCTGAAGCAGGAGAATCGCTTGAACCCTGGAGGCAGAGGTTGCAGTGAGCTGAGATCGCGCCATTGCACTCCAGCCTGGGCAACAAGAGCAAAACTCCGTCTCAAAAAAAAAAAAGCCAGTAATGTAGTAAGAATGTTTAGACTGTAGTTCATTAATCATATTTAAAATTAAGCTAATAAATTAAAGTATTTTAAGAATGCACTCTTAACTATACCTGTCCTTAAAAATATTAAACTGGGTAAGAAAAGACAAGGCATATGCTCAAAATATATAACTAACTCTGCGAGATGATATAGGCTAAGTGTCAAATGGGTGGATTAGATCAGACGTATAGAGGAGAGAACGTGGTGTTCCAGCTTGGGTGAGGAGGGAGGCTTTATGGAAAAAGTCAGATTTGAGCACTACCTTGACTACTGAGTAGAATTTTCCAGGAAAGAAGAGTAGGTAAGGCCACTGCGATTGACCAAGATAGGCATAGATTTCTGTTTCCTCTTTTATGTCTAAGATTAAAAAGTTATGTGTTCCTTCCCATCGAGATTAAGCAAAAGGAGTCAGTTTCATGTTTCATTTTTACCAGGTTGATTGCTTTTTAAAAGAACTTTGCATGGCTATATGTTCAACTTCTACAAACCCAATGTTCATAAGCCTTCCCTTTATTTATGAATATATATAAGAAGAAGGGAAGACAGTAAGTGGGAAAAGGTGACTCTAATTTTCCCACCAACAGTGAAAAGTTGAGGAGCCTATCCCAATTTCTGTGTTGGGGAGATTATAGGCAATTGTTGTAGGTGAAGTGTTGCAAGGAAGTCCCAGAAGAAACAATTTCCCACTTTCTGCAGAAAAGCACTCATGCTCATAGTGTGTAAGAAAGACGGTATAAGGAAGAATTTCCAGGGACTTTACTGGATGATGTGGCATGCAGTACTCATCTACTCCCCCTGTCATCTGTCTCTCCATCTATCAATCCATCCATCCGTCCATCCATCCATCCATCCATCCATCCATTCGTCACTTTCTCTTATCCTCATTCCAAGTATCCATGCATCCATCCATCCATTTGTATTATGAAAATGGTGACCTTTTTGTTCAAAGAATAAAAAAACAATTACCTGCCACCTAAAGTTTCTTCCAGAAAGAAATCAAAACTCTTTTTAAATTCTCTTTGATGATCTTCAGGTGCAAGCCAACTGATAACTTGATATGATTTTTCTTCCTTTTTAAAATCTAAGAAAACAGCAACGGGTTAAAAAAAAAGTTAAATATGCTACACAAAAGAGTAACATTAGCATAACAATATCAAAACTTATTTCAAAGATTATGTATGTATTTGAATGATTGCTTCAAGTATTTTTTAATGTATGCGTTTATTTATTTTTGAGACAGAGTCTTGCTCTGTCATTTAGGCTGGAGTGCAATAGCACAATCCTAGCTCATTGCAGTCTCAGCTCCCTTAAAAACCACTGGGATTACAGGTGTGAGACATTGGTATAGTTTGTGTTTAAATACAGTACACATTTGTTTGATTCCAGAGCCTCTGTTCTTTCTGTTTTACAAAAACAATCATTTTTATTATTTAAAGTGATACATGCAAATAATTTTTAAATTCAGTCAAAAAGTACTAAAAGACTTCATTAATAGAGTAGTCCCCTACATCTCAACTTGCCTGCTTGGCCCCTTCTTCATTATCCATGTGTAATAAGAAGTCTGACTCCATTTTCACTCTTTGCCTCTTGACAAATGTCAAGCCCCATTTCCCCTTCCCAACCCCATGCTTCATCTGAGTAAATTGGTAAGAAAACTCACACACACCTTCTCTCTTATCCCTGGTAGGAGTTTCAATCCATGCAAGTCAGGACAATGAAAGGAAATCCTCAGCCCATCCTACCCCTCCTCACAGTAAAAACTCAAGCCAGTCATCCCTCCCTGCTCTCTAAAGCCATTTTTCAGATTTGCCTGGGAGCCTGTCCTGCTATTCTGAAAAAAAGAAAAAAAAATACCTCACCCTATGAGTCATAAACCTCTCATATCTTCTTAATGCATGTGTGCCTTCATCACATCCAAATCAAATTTTGTGTAAGGATTGGGGGTATGTTAACAGATAGCCCCACATATTAAGGCCCTCATACTCAAGCTAATTGAAATGAAAGACTCTATCCAAGTATCTACTGGCAAATACTTTGCAGTCATAGAGTTGGCTAGAATGTTTTTTTCCATGCTGATTTTAACAGGCTCTCAGCCACAGTGTGTCTTTACCTTGGAAGAAACACAATGCATGGCTACTCATAGTATACTTCAACAGCCCTACTATTGCCCACAATCTTTGCCAGCAAGAGCCACTGCTTCCAGCTTTCTCCAGGAGTACAGATATAACATTACATTGAGGGTGTCCTCCTCTGAGGAGATTCATTTGCCACACTCATTTAAGACATAGAAACATTCAAAAAGGAGCTCACAAAGGGGATAAGCCATTGTCCCATGCAAAGTATCAGACCCAGTCCCTCACTTAAATTCCAAAGGATCATTTGGTTAGTTGAAGACCTCTCCATCCCCAATACTATTAAGAAACAATTATTGAGCATCTCTGTGCCCATAATGTTACAAGCCCAACATCTTTTAGGCCTTTTTTACACTTTAAAGACAACATATTCCTTATTTATAAATTTTACTTAGGTCCACTCATGTTTATTACTTGAAAATCAGCCCACATTGCATAGGAACCCCTGTAACAGAAGGCTCTAGAATCTGTCCAAGTTGCAATACAACAGGCTCTCTCATTAGTGCCCGCCAGGGACACCTGCACTGTAAAGGCTTTAGCATCCTCCTTTCATGCCTCCTGGAGTTCTTCTGAGCACCTATCATGGCTGTTTCAGTTTCCTATTGCTGCTTTAACAAATTACAACAAACTTAGTTGCTTAACACAACACAAGGTATTGTCTTATAGTTCTGGAGATCAGAAGTCCAAAATGGGTCTCATTAGAATAAAATCAAGGTGTGGGTAGAGCTGCATTTCTTCTGGAGGCTCTGGGGAACGATCCATTTTCTTGCCTTTTCCAGCTTCTCAAGGCTACCTGCATCCCTGGCTCATGGCCCCCTTCCAACAGGCAATCACATCACTCTGATTTCTTCTTCCATCATCACTTCTTTAACTCTCCTACCATCTTCTTTCCTTTATAACAGGGGTGTCCAATCTATTGGCTTCCCTGGGCCACATTGGAAGAAGAAGAATTGTCTTGGGCCACACATAAAATACAGTAACACTAATGATAGCTAATGAGCTAAAAAGAAATTGCAAAAACAATCTCATAATGTTTTAAGAAAGTTTATGAATTTGTGTTGGGCCACATTCAAAGCTGTCCTGGGCCACATGCAGCTGGTGGGCCACGAGTTAGACAAGCTTGCCTTATAAGAACTCTTGCATTTAAACTGGATTCACCTGGGTAATCCATGATAGTCTCCCTGTCTCAAAATCCTTATATTAATCACATCTGCAAAGATCCTTTTGCCTTTCGAACATGTAAAATAGCACATTCATAATTATAGGAATTCAGACATGTATATCTTTGGGAGGGAGCATTATTTGCCTACCACAGAGTGTTCTCTAGATCCCAGACATTCATATACACCCCTCTTGGAATGAAAATGTATTCATCTTGTCCCAACATCCCCCAAAGTCCCAAACAATTATATTATCAATTCAAAGTGAAAAATCTCATCTAAAGCTCATCAGCTCGGAATTCCCAAATCACATCATCCAAATAATCTACATCAAGTGTGGGTGAGAGTCTGGGTGTAATCCATTCAGTGGCAAAATTGCTCTCCTTCTGTGGATCTATGAAACTAGGAAAAAATGACCTGCTCCCCAAAACCAATAGTGGGACAGGCATAGGATACCAATTATAGACATTATTCTAATGGGGGCAAAAAGAAAGTAAAAAAAAAAATGAGGTGCCAGTCCCAAGACATTTTGACTCCAACTGGGCAAACAAAATTAGGTTTTAAGGACTGGAAATAATCCTGTGGTTTGGCTCAGCCTTCTGGGCTAGAAGCTCTGCCATCTGGGCTCATTGCTTCACCTTCAGAGTTTTCCTTCGTTTTTCATGAATCGTTGCATGTGGTTACAGCTGAGTGGTTTGTCAGTTTATTTCCTACTTGCAGAATCTGGGGAGTTCAACAGCCCTCCTTCCTGTCATATTCTCCTCCCTGTCATATTCTCCTCATACCTTTTAGTCCAAATTGGCAGTACTTCTGAAGGTATAAAATTCTTGGGTACCGGGAGGCTGAGGCAGGAGAATCGCTTAAACCTGGGAGGAGGAGGTTGCAGTGAGCTGAGATCACACCATGGCACTCCAGCCTGCATGACAAGAGCAAGACTTCATCTCAAAAAAAAAAATTTGGGGGGGTACCTTGTGACCCTCGTGGGTATGTCATAGTAATTCATTCCACTAAACAAGAGGCTGCTCTGCAGTTTGTTTTTTTTTTTCTTTTTTTAGACAGAGTCTCGTTCTGTCACCCACCCAGGCTGGAGTGCATGGCACAATCTTGGCTCACTGCAACCTCTGCCTCCCAGGTTCAAACGATTCATGTGCCTCGGTCCTCTGAGTAGCTGGGATTACAGGCACGAGCCACCATGCCTGGCTAATTTTTGTATTTTAGTAGAGACAGGGTTGCACCATGTTGGCCAGGCTGGTCTGAAACACCTGACCTCAGGTGATCCGCCTGCATCAGCCTCCCAAAGTGCTGGGATTACAGGTGTGAGCCACTGTGCCCGGCCTAGGATCCACTGACTTTTAGAAGAGCAAGACCACCAGCTAGTGTCTAGATGTTCACCTCATCATCCTTTTAATATGTTGCCTCTGTAATGTGGACCATTAAAATCTTTTATCTGGCTGGCTGCCTTATAGTAATATCCCCTCAATTATTTTACTCATTTACTTCTTTTCTTTTATCCCCAACTCCATGTGCCTCCTCTCTACCTTGCTGATCTAAGTAGCAATAATATTTTACTTCTATTCCTTTTCCTTTTCATTTCAACCTGTTTATTTTGAACAAGAATAAATATCCTTTCAGGGACATGTTCTCATTCCTTTTCACCAGGTCTGTGAGATAGTGATGATCCTCTGTTTATGTTTATTTGCGGAAATAGATATTTTATTTTATGTGTAGACTAGTCATTATCTTGTCCTATCCATCTTTTCCATGTTTTCCTTTGTTTGTTTCATTTCCTTTTCCTTTGTTTCATTTCCTAGGATTACAGGCATGAGCCACCGCGCCCAGCCTCCACACATCTTTACGAGATAGTTTCATCTTGATTGGTGGCTTCTGCCATTATGGTTGAAGGAATCCATGAGACATACATCTAATTGCAGGACAGTTCTCAGGGTGGCCTTGGGCTGACCCTGTTTTCCTCTCTGCTTGTCACTTGTAGTTATCAAGAATAACTGCAGAAAGTGCTGGAAATGTAACACTCTGAGATAGAGAGGTACTGGGTGGAATAGCCCAGGCTTTGTTACAGTCTCCACTAGAAACAGGATGTCCTTCAACACTTAGCTTAGTACGTCATGTTTCTCCAGGGTATAAAACCCAAGGTGGTCTGCACTTCGTGGTCCTTTATCTGCAGGGCAAGTGGGGCATGTACAGTTGAGACTCCATTCATCCCGGGCAGCTTTCTGAACCTTGGAGGACCAGCTCACAATGAATTTTAGGTTTTGGTTGCTGCGCACGTGCAAGTAATAAATCCACTTCATGGAATTTGTTGCGTTATGTGGGTGTTCTTTCTTAGCAGACTCAGGCAAGTTGGTAACCAGTGCACACCAAACCTGCTTCATGCTAATCTCTTCAGTGAGCTTTCTGTGTGACTGAATACTCTGACCGTTTAATCCTGCAGAGGCAATAGCAAAAGGCTGTCCAGCCATACAATTGGCTTTCTCTACAAGACAACAGGATACACTGCTTTCCTGACATTGAATTCCCCAATTTTAAAATATTTTATCATCCTAATAGGCTGAGAATTTCCAAAACCATAAAGTCCTCGTTTTCTGCCTCATAGTTATTTTCTCAATTTATCTTTCCTCTCACATTTTACTATAGACAGTAAGAACACTTGAACATCTATATTTCTACAAAAAGCCTGTGTATGATGATTTATAGTCTCTAAGACAATACAGATTTTCTCTATCATGTTCTTTCCTTCCTTCTGAGTCATCACTAGCAGAGTTCTTAGAATCTCCAGTTCTACTCACAGTCTGTTCAAAGCAATTTAGGCTTTCTCTCTCATGCTCGTGAATATCTCTTGAATATTCTTCTAGCCAATATGTATAATCCAATTGTGATTCCAGATATTGATTGGTTGGAGCAGTAGTACATGTCAGTATTAGAAACCTTTGCTTCTTCAGTGCCTCTGATGTCATTTATTAAAGTTGCAAATAAATAAACAGTATGGGAAAGTGTTTCCAAATAAGGAGTTAATAATTGGCTCAAATGTTTCAATTCATTAAATTGGGCATCTGATCAGAAATAATAACCCAATCATGTGTTTCCTTGTTTGCAGACCTTCAGCCAAGCTCTACGGATGAAATGAAAAATGGGAATTCTATTTCAAAGTTTCAGAGACATCCATGATGAGGGAATTATTAAAAGAAACTCTAGACTCCTAATCCTATGAAAAAACAGAAAGGATCCACACATTCCTTGAATTGTTTATAGATTTTGCTCTGCTTGTATTTGTTAAAGAGTAAAAGGTCTGTAGCTTTCAGTAGTTTCTCTCTCTCTCTCTCTCTCTTTTTTTTTTTTTTCTCAGACTGGGTCTCACTTTATTGGCCAGGCTGGAACGCAGTGGTATGATAATGGCTCACTGCAGCTTCAGCCTCCAGGGCTCACACAATCCTCCTGCCTCAGCTTCCCACGTAGCTGGGACCACAGGAGCATGACACCATGCCCAGCTAATGTTTTATTTTTATTTTTAGTAGAGATGAAGTCTCACTATGTTGCCCAGGCTGGTTTTAACTCCTGGGCTCAAGTGATCCTCCTGCCTCAGCCTCCCAAAGTGCTGGGATTACAAATGTGAGCCACTATACCCAGCCAGTAGTTTCTCAAAGTTTATTGGAAATGTCATCATTAATTTTTCACCTACATTTTAATTTAAATCAATTTAATTTAGTTACAATTTTTGAAATTAAGAAATAATTGTCTTAAAAATGAATATACTACAACTATTTAATCAGATATCCAGTTTAGGCAGATACGAAGGCAGTGAAGAATATGAAAACTAATGTAAAAGATATTAAAATGGTTTTAAGCAGGGACTCAAAAAGACATTTGTATACCAGTGTTCATAGCAGCATTGTTCACAATAGTCAAAAAGTGGAAAAAATTAAATGTCCATCAATGGATTAATGGATAAACAAAATGTGATGTATCCATAAAATTGAATATCCAGCCATAAAAAAGTTCTAACACATGCTAAATATGAATGAACCTTGAAGATATTATGCTAAATAAAGCAAGCCAGACACAAAAGGACAAATATTGTATCATTTCACTTATACGCTGTACCCAGAATAGTGAATTAACAGAGAAATAGAATATGGTTATCAGGGGCTGAAGGTGGAGGGTAATGGGGCGTTGTTGGAGGCCAAAAGAGTGAGGGTCGTGATCAACTCAGGATAGCACTGGAGACTATATGAGTAAACAGCAAACTTTTTCTCATAAATGCAGAATGTTAGCAAACTGACAAACTGCGTCTGCCACCCAGAAGGCATGCTGAAGGCAGTCACGCCCCAAGTGCAGTGCTTCTTGTGATTAGGCAAATCTGAAGCCTGTTAGTAATAATATGAACCTGTGATCAATCAAGCAGCTGACCAATCGTTACCTCCTCCTCCCTGCTCATTCTACCCAATAAATAAGAAGGGTTGTGGAAGCTCAGCAGCTGCCTTTGCTCACTAGAAACGGGGAGCTCTTTTCTTCTTCCCCTGGCCCCCTTCTTTATAACAGTTTCTTTTGTCTTAGGTTTTCATTTCTGTGTTTGTCCTCCTTCATTCAGTCTCGTAATGACGGTCTCAAGTAGTAAGAGTAATGTCTCTCATAATGACAGTAACAAGTAGTAATTGTGGCAGTCTACCACAAGTGGTGCCTGAACAGGGATAAATAGGGACATTCAGGGACAAACAGAGACCTGAAGAGACCTGCAGGGACCTGAAGAGGCCTGCAGGGACAAACAGAGATAAGCAGGGATAAATAGAAATAAATAGAGATAGAAACAAATAGAAATAGGGAAAGACAGGGACTTGCAGAAACTAACAGGGACCACAGGGACAAATAGGGATAGATAAAGACTAGCAGAGACTAGCAGAAACTTGCAGGCACTGATAGGGACACATAGCATCCTACAGGGACTTGAGTGAGGAAGGTCTGGGAGCAGAAAAAACTAAAGCCCAGAAAAAATTAAAACCAACCAGATGAACGAGAAACCCCATTACAAGTCTGCTGGCAGCAACATAAGGTCAGTGTTCTAAAACATGTACTGTTTAGTGCCCTAGAGGTCCAAAGAATGAGAAGTTTTTGAATCAAAATAACATGGGGAAGAATTTGGTTATTTCTTTTCTCTTTTTTTTTTTTTTTTTTTGGAGTTTGGTACATATCATCTTTTTGTTATTTCAGGGTTTGAGAGAATTTTTTGCCCCACCTATAACACCTATTGAGGGTGGTGAGCAGGAGAGGGAGGATGAAAATTGGCTTGTACCGTCTTCTGCGGCTACAGAAAGGCTAACTTTAGCTTTGGCTTTCGTGGATTGTAAACATTTGCTGGCACCTGTGAGATGTGCAGAGGACTTGGGAGGTTTTCTCAGAGCTTGTCAAGATGTGGGAACTGAGCACAAGGATAAGCCTCAGATTTGCTTTCTCTGTGTCTTCTGTTAATCAGAAAGAGCCTGTTTCTTGTTATCAGTGGAATGTTTTACCCCGCAGCAATTAACCAAAAGAGGCAGAAGCTGAATTGTAGCTTGTGGAGCAGATGCTTCAGCAACAGCATGCCTCCTGGCTACAGCTACAAAAACCTTTGCTTTTGTTTTGGTAGATTTACTAAGGTGGGGACCAGGGTATGTTTGTGTTTTCACAGAAAATGAACAAACCGTGTGGGTGCTCTCAAGGTGTGTGCGACCATGGAACAGGAGACTGGAGGGACTCATGGATTCCAATCACAGGCCTGGTTCCCCCAGTACAAGCCATGAGCCAGTTGAATCTGAATGTGAAGATGGAATGAGGACCAACTGGAGTCACACTCACATCAACCCCCATGACATGCAGACAGATCAAGAAAACCACACAGGAAGCTGAGAAACTGTTAGAGCATCAGGGTCAGGCAAAGACCCCTGACTCCATGTTTGTGGCCATGCTGGCCATGGTTTCCTGTGCATCTGTAAGATAAGCTGGACCACCAACCAGCAATTGAGGGCTGCACAGCCAGTAATTGCCTTTCTCAAATTAATTCAAAAACAAAAAGGGAGAAATGTTGGAGGCCAAAAGAGTGAGGGTTGTGATCAACTCAGTATACCACTGGAGGCTATATGAGTAAACAGCAGACTGTTTCTCATAAAATGCAGAATGTTGGCAAACTGACAAACTGCGTCTGCCACCCAGAAGGAATGCTGAGGGCAGTCACGCCCCAAGTGCAATATTTCTTACGATTAGGCAAATCTGAAGCCTGTTAGTAATAATATGAACCTGTGATCAATCAAGCAGCTGACCAATCGTTACCTCCTCCTCCCTGCTCATTCTACCCAATAAAAAGGGTTGTGGAAGCTCAGCGGCTGCCTTTGCTCACTAGAAGCGGGGAGCTCTTTTCTTCTTCCCCTGGCCCCTTTACAACCGTTTCTTTTAAGTTTTCATTTTTACGTTCGTCATCCTTCGTTCAGTCTCGTAATGATGGTCTCAAGTAGTAACAGTAATAACTGTCCTAGTGATGGTTTCAAGAAGTAATAGTGGCTGTCAGCCACAGGGAGTCACTGTTTAATAAGTAGAGTTCCACTTCACGATGATGAAAAACTTCTGAAAATTTCAGAGATGGTCCTACAACAATGTGAATGTCCTTAAAGCCTCTAAACGGTACATTGGAAATGGGGCCAGGTGCGGTGGCTCACACCTGTAATCCCAGCACTTTGGAAGGCCAAGGCAGGCAGATCACCTGAGATTAGGAGTTCAAGACCGGCCTGGCGAACATGGCAAAACCCTGTCTCTACTAAAAATACAAAAAAATTAGCCAGGCGTGGTGCCCCACGCCTAATAGCACGCACCTGTAGTCCCAGTTATTTGGTAGGCTAAGGTACCAGAATCGCTTGAACCTAGGTAACGGAGGTTGCAGTGAGCCAAGATCACACCACTGCACTCCAACCTGGGAGACAGAGGAAGACTCTGACTCAATTAAAAAACATGGCTAAAATGGTAGATTATGTTATATATATTTTACCACAATGAAATTTTAAATTTTATTATTATTATTATTATACTTTAAGTTTTAGGGTACATGTGCACATTGTGCAGGTTAGTTACATACGTACACATGTGCCATGCTGGTGCACTGCACCCAGTAACTCGTCATCTAGCATTAGGTATATCTCCCAATGCTATCCCTCCCCCCTCCCCCCACCCCACAACAGTCCCCAGAGTGTGATGTTCCCCTTCCTGTGTCCATGTGATCTCATTGTTCAATTCCCACCTATAAGTGAGAATATGCGGTGTTTGGTTTTTTGTTCTTGTGATAGTTTACTGAGGATGATGATTTCCAATTTCATCCATGTCCCTACAAAGGACATGAACTCATCATTTTTTATGGCTGCATAGTATTCCATGGTGTATATGTGCCACATTTTCTTAATCCAGTCTATCATTGTTGGACATTTGGGTTGGTTCCAAGTCTTTGCTATTGTGAATAATGCTGCAATAAACATACATGTGCATGTGTCTTTATAGCAGCATGATTTATAGTCCTTTGGGTATACACCCAGTAATGGGATGGCTGGGTCAAATGGTATTTCTAGTTCTAGATCCCTGATGAATCGCCACACTGACTTCCACAGTGGTTGAACTAGTTTACAGTCCCACCAACAGTGTAAAAGTGTTCCTATTTCTCCACATCCTCTCCAGCACCTGTTGTTTCCTGACTTTTTAATGATTGCCATTCTAACTGGTGTGAGATTGGTATCTCATTGTGGTTTTGATTTGCATTTCTCTGATGGCCAGTGACGATGAGCATTTTTTCATGTGTTTTTTGGCTGCATAAATGTCTTCTTTTGAGAAGTGTCTGTTCATGTCCTTCACCCACTTTTTGATGGGGTTGTTTGTTTTTTTCTTGTAAATTTGTTTGAGTTCACTGTAGATTCTGGATATTAGCCCTTTGTCAGATGAGTAGGTTGCGAAAATTTTCTCCCATTTTGTAGGTTGCCTGTTCACTCTGATGGTAGTTTCTTTTGCTGTGCAGAAGCTCTTTAGTTTAATTAGATCCCATTTGTCAATTTTGGCTTTTGTTGCCATTGCTTTTGGTGTTTTAGACATGAAGTCCTTGCCCATGCCTATGTCCTGAATGGTAATGCCTAGGTTTTCTTCTAGGGTTTTAATGGTTTTAAGTCTAACGTTTAAGTCTTTAATCCATCTTGAATTGATTTTTGTATAAGGTGTAAGGAAGGGATCCAGTTTCAGCTTTCTACGTATGGCTAGCCAGTTTTCCCAGCACCATTTATTAAATAGGGAATCCTTTCCCCATTGCTTGTTTTTCTCAGGTTTGTCAAAGATCAGATAGTTGTAGATATGCGGCGTTATTTCTGAGGGCTCTGTTCTGTTCCATTGATCTATATCTCTGTTTTGGTACCAGTACCATGCTGTTTTGTTTACTGTAGTCTTGTAGTATAGTTTGAAGTCAGGTAGTGTGATGCCTCCAGCTTTGTTCTTTTGGCTTAGGATTGACTTGGCAAAATTTAAATGAGAAAATGTAGATTAAAAAATGGTTTTGGCTGGATGCAGTGGTTCACACCTGTAATCCCAGCACTTTGGGAGGCCAAGGCAGGAGGATTACCTGAGGTCAGGAGTTCGAGACTAGCCTGGCCAACATGGTGAAACCCCATCTCTACTAAAAATACAAAAAATTAGCCGAGCATGGTGGTACACACCTGTAATGTCAGCTACTCAGGAGGCTGAGGCAGGAGAATTGCTTGAGCCCAGGAGATGGAAGTTGCAGTGAGCCAAGATCATGCCACTGTACTCCAGCCTGGCCAACAGAGCGAGACTCTGTCTCAAAAAAAAAAAAATGGTTTTAGAAATCTGAACAATGACAAGGCCTGATATTATCTTCAAAGGTTGAAAATATCTCAGAATTTTCTCCCTCCAAGATGCTTGCTTTTGGATTTTTTTTCTTTTTTAAAATTATAGCTTCAGGGGGTGCATGTCCAGGTGTATTGCATGATGATGGAGTTTGGGCTTTTCCCTGAGCAACACTTTCATATTGAGCAATTTGGAGCATAAAGTCCTAAATCCACCCAACTCTGTTATCAAGCAAATCTGTTAAGTTCTCAGGGTTTCTGTTTCCTTGTGGATCAACAGAAGTGTTGATAAGATTTATGAGCTTCATTTTGGCTAAAATTCTTTGGACTCAATGACTCCATTAAGAACATCTGAAATCACTATGCACAAACTCGTGGGCAGCCACTTATTTTTCAAGAATGCAAGACCATCTCAGCCATAGACTCCTAACTTAGCTGCATAAATAAGGGTCTCCCTGCAAAAGCTTACTTAAATTCCGATATCATAAAAAGAGGAAAAGTAATCTATAAAAAGAACAGTGATTCTTACATGTAAGAAGTGTTAAATAAGGCTGAATATTTCTGTTCTATCTATATACAGAGAGTCTTTGAGGTGGAGTCTCACTCTGTTGCCCAGGCTCTAGTGCAGTGGTGCATTCCCAGCTCACTGCAACTTCTGCCTCCTGGCTCAAGCGATCCTCCACCCTCAGCCTCCCAAGTAGCTGAAACTACAAGTGGGTGCCACCATGTCAAGCTAATTTTTGTATTTTTTGTAGAGACAGAGTGTCCCTATGTTGCTCAGGCTGGTCTCAAACTCCTGGGTTCAAGTGATCCACCTGTCTCAGCCTCCTAAAGTGCTGGGATTACAGGTGTGAGCCACCTTGCCCCACCATGTTTAATATATTTTTTAAGCCATCTTATAAAGTAGTATTTGTTAAAATAATCCATAATAATGAGTGGATGGTTGCTTGGGATGGAGTAGAAGTCAAGTAAGGGGAAAAAAAAATATGGGAGTATGGAACGTCAGGTCCCGGTAATTAGAGACTAAGAAGTTTTTTGGCACTTTACATACACACACACACAAGCTTTTCATCCTTCCAATTGAATTAGATTTTTAAAAAACATTTTGCTAAGCCTTTCTATGCAAACAGCATTTTGCTCTTTGCTTGGAGTAGGAGAAATCAAGAAAAGTGAGAAAAGATACCTGGCATAAAAGGACCTCTTTTGTGGTTAAGCATGGTGACATTATGACCGTGATCTTGAAGAATCTGAGAAACCCGGTCCATCAGTAGATAATGGCTTCCACCTAGGAACAATGCACAACTTCAGTTCTGGAATGATGAGAATACAGTGTCTGAAGTCAGTAGTGATCAATCCAGGAGAGGAAAGGTAAGGAAACAGAAGTGGATAGTGATTGGAGGAAGATGAGTTTTGCCAGTCTCCTCATGTCCCTCTGGGTAAAACCCAGCCCACTCACCCAGAGCATGGCCGCCCAAATTTTTACCTGTGGCTCTGGTCCGTGAGAGATTGCCTCTTGTGAATCACGGTATCCATGTCAGTGTAATGAGCTACTATGTGCTTAGCCATGGGAGTTCCTCATCCTGAGGTACATGTATATTTTAACTAAGGCCTTATGGAGACACAGAGTCCAAAAGAAATCACGGCACTGGTGGAAATACAGGTATGGTGTTGTACATATGAGTGTGAATAGTTCCTAAAAAACAATGAGAGCTGTTTCTGGGATCCTGCTCTTTGGACATTTCTGCTGCTGTAGGAGATAGAAACCTTAAGAGATTGGTCCAAGAAATCATCACTGGAACAGAAGGAATGAGGGGCCACTACTTAGAATCCAAATCCTTAAGATTCCAATGTATTTTGAAAGGATGTACTTAATTTAGGCCACACAATGATCAAGTTCTAATTAAGACATTTGAGGACAACTGTGGGGCGCTTGGGGTGGGCCTGCTGGATCCTGGTTGCACGAGAGACTAGGGAATCATTGATTCCAGAAACATCCATCCTAAGGAAAGAGAAGCTTGATCCTCAAAAGAGGTACAAGTTCCACGAAATCAATGTCTTCTCAGTACATGTTCTAATACACAGCCTTTGCTTGAATCTAAGGTTCTCAGCAGCAGAGAAAGGAAGATCAGAAGAGAAGGTAATGTAATAGTAAATACCAAAAGCCTGCGGGGTGGGGGTGGAAGGGAGTAGAGAAGTAGTGTTCAGCTCTCTGAATGACTCAGTTTACTTATACCCAGGCTTGAATAGTCTGGAGCAACAAGGGACGTATAAAGTACAAATCTGCAACAGGTCTTGCTCACATTTTAATCCACGTAAGAACAGGGAGCTGGGAAGAAGGGGTCCCCACAGAAACAGCTGTTAGCGGTGGATCTTGGGGAGTCAGGTGGCTTTCTGGGGCAAAAATCAGCATTCTAGCACCTCAGAAATGACATCAACTCCTTCTTGGAGCCTGAGGAAGGAGGGCTGTGTACTTTCAAGAAGTTAAGAAGCTCTGTTGCTTCACTGCTACTAACACTCAGAAAGAGGGGGAAAAAGTCTTCAAATGGACTTGCACTGTTTCTTAAACAGTGATTTTTGAAAATCCCCAGTGAAAAGGGCTTCAGAGTGGAAGTTGTGGTGAGCATGGTCTTGCAGTAAGAAAACCCTGAGTTAATTCCTCATGGGACATCAGGGAGGCCACAAGTGCTCTTAAGGAAGGCATCTCACTCCCCATCCTTCAATTGCCCTCTCAGGAAATGAAAATGGGCACTAAATTAGATGATCTGTGGTTCTTCCCAGCCCTACGAGCCCTAATTCTCCATGATCTAAAAGGAATCCATTAGAACCCACTATGGGTTGAAATAAAGTCTTGGGGAAGCTCGATCCTGAGATGATCCCTTTATGTTCATATATGTTTCTCTTTTATCTTCTATTCCCTTTGGGGTAAAAGTAAAAGAAGTAAAACTGAGACCCAAAATGCAGAATTAACAGTCCCATGAATCCCTCAAATAACGGTCAGCGGCACAGGTAAAAGGAAAGATACTCCAAAAGATGCGAATGACCTGGATCTTCTCCTCAGCCCTCGGCAGTTCTCCAGGTTTCCCCTGGTGGAAAACACTCCACTGGCATTGCAGCCATGAAATACCTGCCTGCGCCACCCTGGCTCCGGATGCAGCTTCACAACATTTGCAGTGCTGCCCTCAGGAGGGCCTTTCCCTGGTCTCCAAGAGCCTGAAAACGCTCACCACTGTTTCTACTGGAAGCTACTGTGCACCCACACACACGCACCCTCCGGAGCTTAAGGTGAGCCTCTGAAAGTCCCACTGCGCCCTGGAGAAGGCAGCCCAGGAACTCAAGCTCTGGGATGAGTCTCAAATTTCTGGCCCCAGCCCTGCGGGATGGGGGCGCGTCCTGAACAGGAAGAAGACAGTAAAGGAGAATCTCTTTTCTCCAAAACTTTCTTCCCCACCTCAGCAATAGAGGCCCCTCTCTGCCCCACAGCTGAATGGGCTTCTCCCTCCTCCAGCCGGGTCCGCAAGCCCAGCCTGGAAAATCACGTGGATGACTCTGATCAAGCGCTGTTCTCTGGAGCCCTGGCAGTGCGAGTATCCGGGACGCGCCTGTCTGGGAATTCTCCGGCCAAGCACTCACCTACTGTAGATATTGTCAGGATTTTGGCAGCCTCTGAGAGCAGGACCCCAGGGAGAAGGAAGCCCACTAGAAGAAGCACTCGCTGCCCAGCCATGCTCACTTCTACGGAAGCCGCGGATCTCAGCCTGGGCTGCGCGCCCTGCGCCCGGCTAAGGGACCCTGTGCACCTCAGTGCGCCAAAGGCACTGGCTGTGGGTAGAGGTAGGAGTAAGGATCCTGCCAGTCTTCTCTTCTGTCCATCCCCTCTTGCCCTCTGCCCCTCCTCCCTCGTGCTCCATTGGATAATCTATCCTCGCTCTACCAAACTACCAGCAGTCAGTAGGAGGGGTCGGTGAGCCCATACTTAACCCTGCTCTGCCCTTGTGATCACAGCCCTCCTGCCTGGAAAATCCTTACTGTGAGTGAGGAATGGCAGGGACCTCAGTAAATCGAGCTGATGAAAGCTCTATCTCCATGGGACCCACCTCTCTTTTGCAAAGGCTGTGTGAATTTACCTACTCTAGTTCCCTTCTAACTGCCTCTATTACCTCATACTGCCAGCCCCGCGATCTATTTCCTGAGAGACTTGCTTAAAATCTTGAGCTGATGTTCCAAGCCCAAGACCTCCCTGGAAGGGAATCCCCAAGGGAAATCAATCTACCATCCCTGGAATCTATCTCTTAGTGTCTCTTTAGAAGGTAACATTCCTGAAAAGAGGCTAGAGTCCTACCTCTGGAAGTCCAGGTCTGTCCCTGGAGGACTGAAATTCAAAAGCTGAGACTATCATTCTGAATGAGTATCCTGAAATAGGACTGGTGAATCTTTCCATAATTTCCAAGAGCACATGCTGATGACAGCTTGTAATTCTGCCTCCGTGCAATGTCAGCCCCAGTGAGGTCAGGGATCACCAGGTCCGGTAGTCCCCTTTACTCTCTATCCTCAAACTAAGACTTCCTTTAGGAAAGGCTTTCAGTGCAACTCTAAATAAGCAGAGAAATCCTTGGTTGCAGTGGGTCCTTGAATTCTGCGTGTTCTATTCCTGCCTTCTTCAGTCTACAGGGGTTATTTTTTCTCATTGGAATTTAAAGCATTACATTCTTATGCATTTGTGCATCCCTCACCTAGCCATGCCTATTGTGGAGAAAGAGGAGAGAGAGAGAGAGAGAGAGAGAGAGAGAGAGAGAGAGAGAGAGAGAAAAGTGTGGGAAGGGCGAGGTTTACCAGACATCACAAGGCTCCAGTTCGTCTTATTCTTGTACTTTTCATAATGCATTAGCAAAATAAAGGATTTGTTATCAAACTCCAAGATTTTTATTTATTCAACAATTATATTGATAGATTTTTTTTTTTTTTGAGACAGAGTCTCGCTCTGTCACCCAGGCTAGAGTGCAGTGGTGCACTCTCAGCTTACTGCAACCTCTGCCTCCCAAGTTTAAGCAATTCTTCTGTCTCAGCCTCCCGAGTAGCTGGGATTACAGGTGCCTGCCACCACACCCGGCTGATTTTTGTATTTTTTAGTAGAGACTGGGTTTCACCATGTTGGCCAGGCTGGTCTTGAACTCCTGACCTCACATGATCCACCCGCCTTGGCCTCCCAAAATGCTGTGATTACAGGCATGAGCCACCACGCCTGGCTGATAGCTATTTATTATGCCAGGCATTGTTCTGCCAGGCAAACTGATACTAAACACACTAAGAAATAAAATATATAGTACATTAATGGCAAATGTTACTAAGAAAAATCAAATGGAAAGAGATATGAAGAGTCAGGTATCAGATTCGTTAACGTTTTACATAGCATGATTCCAATGGACTCTAAAATATTATAGGAGTATCAGAGATATATGAACCCAAATTTTGAAAATATTAACTAGTTATTGTTGCTTTGGAGAAGAGTTCTATGTAATTGTGGTTATAAACATCTTATAAAGAAATTCTGGCTGGGTGCAGTGGTTCATGCTATAACCCCAGCACTTTGGTAGGTGAGGTGGGGGGAACACGAAGTCAGGAGTTCAAGGCCATCCTGGCCAATATAGTGAAGCCCCGTCTCTACTAAAAATGCAAAAATTAGCCAGGCATGGTGGCATGTGCCTGTGGTCCCAGCTACCCGGGAGGCCGAGGTGGGAGAATCGCTTGAACCCAGGAAATGGAGGTTGCAGTGAGCCGAGATCGCAGCACTGCACTCCAGCTTAGGAAACATAGTGAGACTTTGTCAAAAAAGAAGGGAGGAAGGAAGGGAGGAAGGGAGGGAGGGAGGGAGGGAGGGAAGGAAGGAAGGAAGGAAGGAAGGAAGGAAGGAAGGAAGGAAATTGGCTCTTAAGGTACATTCTGAAACATTTACAGATTCTGTCTTATGATTTCTCAGATTTGCTTCAAAATAATAGGTTGTGGGGGTAAACAAGGTTAAATGTGGGTGGCAGGATAAGAAAAGAGAATTGCCAGGAGTTAGTAATCACTGGAGCTAAATCCTGAGCATAAAGAAGTTCTACTTTTGTGAATGTTTGAAATTTTTCATTAAGATGTTTTTATAGCTCTTCCACTATAATTCTATTTTTCCTTGGTGTTATAGCAATTTTTCCTGTATACACATAAGGCTACTCATTAAATGCATATATATGAACAATTATAGTTTCAGGTATTATACCTTCCAGGGAAACAGTTAGTCCTCGTTTTATAATGAGGACCTATTTTGTCTCTGGTAACACTTTTCACCCAAAGTCTATTTTGTTTGCCATTACTACTAACCATTCAGATTTTATCTTCCATTGTGGAAAAAGATCTATCTTTTCCTATCCTTTCATGTTCAACCCTCCTGTATCCTCATATTTTAGGTGTGTCTCTTGAAACAGCAATCAGCTTGAAATTTTTATTCAAGTCTGTCAATCTTGTATTTCAGTCCGAATGCATGTGTTTAAATCTACCAGGTTGCTATTTCTCCCACTTATTCTGTTACATTTCCTCTACTTTTTGGCTTTCTTTGAAGACTTTAGTATTTTAGACCACTAATTCCCTTCATATAACTTGGAGCGGGGGTGGTGCTCCATCTCACTGGAGTCAGACAAACTGATAACCCATTCACAGTGAACCTGCTTCCTATGTACAATATTTCCAGACTCATTAGGTCTCCATAAAGGCTTGCAGCAGGAGTTGAGGAGATAGCTTTGCTACAATCTGGTGTCTTCTTTTCTACTTATGGGAAGCTATGGGTTCTGTGGGTGTTATGTGATCTTCTTGTTTATGTTTATATTACATGCAGCATTTAATTACATGCAGATTGTGGAGGCCCCAGAAGGGGAAACTCCCTATGATGTACTCTCTTTACTCTATCCCGATACCAACCTATGCATTTTCTAAACCTTAATGCCAGTCAAAAGCAAAGAGTGTCATAGGCGTCACAAAGGAACAGTACACATGAATACCCAGATTAATTCTAGCACCTATTAGTAAAGCCTAAAGTCTCCATTCTCCTGTACATGTGGAGACATTTTGATGTGGATACATACCTCCTACTCATTAGTACAAAATCCTTTGCACAGAGAACTTCAGAAACATACAGACTGAAAAAAGAGTCCATTTGCAAATTTTCTACAGAACCCAAATAAAGTGGGTTTCATCCTCCTTATACGACTTAAGGTTTAGTGCCAACTGGTTTGTAGCAATGGTCCCTCAAGGGATAACACACAGTCCTGTCTGTGCTGTCCTTGGAACCACAGCTACAATTGCATTCCACCTTCTCATCTACATGGATCTGGGGCTCCATGATTGAAATCATCTGCTCTGGCTGCCTACCTTGTGGTCCCCATCACACTTAGAAAGTCACTGAAGGCTGGGTGCAGTGGCTCACACCTGTAATCCCAACACTTTGGGAGGCCTAGGTGGGCAGATCACCTGAGTTCAGGAGTTCAAGACCAGCGTGGCCAACATGATGAAACCCCATCTCTACTAAAAATACAAAAAAATTAGCCAGGTGTGGTGGTAGATGCCTGTAATCCCAGCTACTCAGGAGGCTGAGGCAGGAGAATCACTTGAACCTGGGAGGGGGAGGTTACAGTGAGCTGAGATCGTGCCACTTTCACTCTAGCCTGGGCAACAGAGCGAGACTCCATCTCAATTAAAAAAAAAAAAAAAAAAGGAAAGTCATTAAAGCAAACTCAGTGCTTCCTCAGGTCCAGCCAGAGACTGTAACCAGGAAACAGAAGTGTTTCTTTATCAGCATGCCCATGATAGCTTGCTGCTTAAGTGCATGAATATAGGTCAAGGCTAAATAGCAAAATATTCTGGTTCAGCAGGTCAAGCATTCTGGAGGATTTTTGGCCACTTTTCTCTTTCTTCAGACCCCACAGGTTAGCTAACCCTCCACCCACTTCCCGCTGCCTTCACCCTGGCCAGGTGCCAGTGCAGACTTACCCCATTCCCCGATAGCCTTGAGTAGCCAGATGACAGAATTCTGGGCAATTAGGACAGAAATCTCTTGGCCAATCGTTTAGTGAGGTTGTGGAAAGATAATGCTGTAAACTTTTATTTTTCAGGAAATCTGGAAACCTACAGTCTCCATGCCTGCTCAGCAAAGAAGGAGCTCACTGTGGGCACCAGAGACAGGGACCCAATGTGGAGACCCACGAGCCTGTGTCCAGCCTTGTACTCTCAAGCACAGGGCAGGCTTCCTGAACATTGAAGAGAATATGCGGGAGAACAAAACAGAAACTGAAAGAATATGCAAGGTATCGTTCTCAGATGTTATTCCGTGATAGATGGTAGGGGCATGAGTGAGTGAAAGAGGCTGAGAAGATCTGGACAGGGAGTCTGGAATGGTCAGGCTGTGATTTAAGAGGGACATGAGAAGGAAGGAGGATTTTAAGGCTGGAAATCTAAGGGTCAGTGGTCCAAGTCACTCAGAGACAGAATCACAGCACAGCCCTTGCTGATGGCAAATAAAGGAGGACAAGAGGACTGGAAAGAATTCTGCTAACAGGCAGGAGCTAGTAAGGATGAATTTGTAGCAAAATTAGCAAGCAGAGATGATGTAGAGAACAGGGTTGCCAGAACTGGTGGGGAGCCCCCAAGAAATGGTGACACTGCCCAACAAACGCACCCCACCAAGGCTGTACATGGTCTCACATCTCCTCCACCTTTCTGGCCCCAGGCAGCCACCCAGCTGCCATGCCATGCCCAGCAGCTTTCCACAAAGCTACATAGTGCCCAGAGTGAGCCCCAGGAAGAACACAAAGACGTCGAGCAGGTTCTGCTCATTCCAGGGCTGCAGGAAGGCATAAGGCTTGAGGTGTGCTGCCCCCTGTCCCCACCCCATCTGGAGGATGTAGTCGATTCAGCCCACCGGCCACTGGTGGGCTCAGGGTTTGGGAGCACCTGATGATGCTGGTGGCCAGGGCTGCAGACTTGTACCTGTTTGCAGAAACAGAAGGGTGGAAGCAGCATTCAATGACAGCTATCAGCAGCTTAGGCTTGACACAAAAGGCTGGTTTTCAGACAGTTGTAGCCTGGCCCTGAAATTTACTAGCTGGGTGCCTACAAACTGTTCAATTTTCTAAAGATTCCTATGTTCATGAAATTGAACTTAACGCTGAAAAGTAAGGATGTGCATGAGTCAGTCCCTGCCTTCATGGAGCTTATGATCTACTAGACCAAGAGATACCTATACAGTTGCTATGTGTGCTCTTGCTAAGGAAGCACTGCTGTTTGTAGTTCTCTCAGTGGATAGAGCTAGGACATGTATACAAGCAGATGTGCATATAGATATTCCATACATAAATCTCTATGTCTCTATCTCCATGTCTTTACTATTGTGAATAGTGCTAAAATGAACATGCAAGAACTAGTGTCTTTTTGGTAGAATTATTCATTTTATTTTGGGTATATAACTAGTAATGGGATGGCTGGGTTGAACAGTAGTTCTATTTTTAGTTCTTCGAGAAATCTCTTTCTCGAAGAGAAACTGTTTTCCACAGAAGCTGAAGTAATTTACGTTCCCACCAACAGTATATAAGCGTTCCCATTTCTCCATGGCCTTGCCAACATCTACTATTTTAGAGCTTTTAATAATAGCCATTCTGACTGGTATGAAATGGTATTTCATTGTAGTTTTGATTCACATTTCCCTGATGATTAGTGATGTTGAGCATTTTGTCATGTTTGCTGGCTGCTTGCATGTCTTCTTATGAGAAGGGTCTGTTCATGTCCTTTCCCACTTTTTAATTGGGTTGTTTTGATCTCGTTGAGTTCCTTATAGCTTCTGAATATTAGTCCTTTGTCAAAGGCATAGTTAGCAAATATTTTCTCCCAATCCATAGGTTGTCTGTTTACTCTGTTGATAGTTTCTTTAGCCGTGTAGAAACTCTTTGGTTTAATTAGGCCCCACTTGTCAATTCTTGTTATTGTTACCATTGCTTTTGAGGACTTAGTCATAAATTCTTTTGCTTTGTTCATTAGAAAAATTGTTTTCTTTATTTTTGTCTGACTGGGTTGATTCAAAGGATCCATCTTTGAGCTCTTAAATTAGTTCCTCTGTTCAGAATAGTCTGTTGTTAAGGCTTCCAAATATGTTTTGAAATTTCTGTAGTGGTTTTCTCTATTCCAGAAGTTCAATTTTGTTCTTTCTTCTAGCTATGACGTCTTTCATATATTGGGTCAGTTTTCTGGCTTCCATGGATTGAATTTCAACCTTCTTTTGGATCTTGTTGAACTTTCCTATCCAGATTCTGAATTCTGTGTCTATCTTTTCAGACATTTCAATCTGGTTAGGATTCATTGCTAGGGAGCTAGTGCAATTCTTTGGAGATAATGAAACATTCTGACTTTTTGAATTGCCAGAGTTCTTGCACTGGTTCCTTATCATCTGAGGGACCTGGGATTTCATTTTCTTTTTGAATTTGGATGGGTCTTTTTGTTTTCCTATTCTTTTTTCCCTTGAGGGTTTGACTGCTGTTAATGTTGTGTTTAGTTGGTTGGCTTCTTTGCTGGGTGCTCTCAGAGGGCTGAGGCTCTGAATGGGTTCCTAGGTTGTAGATGGTTTCCTGCTGTGGGTTTCAGAGGCATTGCATTGTTTGGTGGTGTAACTCAAGCTGCAATCCAGTAGATGGCACTTAATGTAAGGCCCACAGATAGGCTCTTCCTCAGCCAGGTGCCCCTTTTGTTTTACAGTACGTATGCAACAGTGCCCTGGAGAAGAGAGGCAGGGGCGAGAATTGATATCTTTTCTGAGTCTGCTCCCAGGCCTTGGTGACATATCCTTCAACTACAGGCACTGCACCCACATTTCCTTTGCATCAAGGGGGACTTTGGAATTCCCTCATACCTTATACCTTAGGGCCAGTCCCAGCTGAGGGTTAAATCACCAGGAGACCCACAACACCCCGGTGATATACCAATCCCCTGTGCTTGTAAGAGTCAGAGTGGGCTGTGGAATGTGTCTGGCTGGTGATGCAGTAGGTCAAGTGTGTGGAGTCTAAGTCCCTAGGCAGGACAAACTGCTTTCCACAGGGACTGAAGTAATTTACATCCCCACCAACAGTGTATAAGCTTCCCATTTCTCCATAGCCTGATCAACATCTGTTATTTTTAGACTTTTTAGTAATAGCCATTCTGACTGGTATAAGATAGTATCTCATTGTAGTTTTCGTTTGCATTTCTCTGATAATTAATGATGAGCAATTTTTCATATGTTTGTTGACTGTTTGTATGTTTTCTTTTGAGAAGGTCTGTTCATGTCATTTGCCTAATTTTTAATGAGGTTATTTGTCTTTTTCTTGTTGATTTGTTTAAATTCCTTGTAGATTGTGAACATTAGCCCTTGGTCAGATGAATCATTTACAAATATTTTCTTCCATTCTGTAGGTTGTTTGTTTACTCTGTTGATAGTTTTTTGTTGTTGTTGTTTTGTTTTGGGTTTTTTTGCTGTGCAGAAGCGCTTTAGTTTAATTAGGTCTCATTTGTCAATTTCTGTTTTTATTGCATTTGATTTTGAGGACATGGTCATAAATTCTTTGCCTAGGCCAATGTCCAGAAGTTTTATCTAGGTTTTTATCTAGGATTTTTATAGTCATAGATCTTATATTGAGCATTTTATCCATCTTTAGTTAATTTTTATACATAGAAAGAAGTAGGTGTCCAGTTTCATTCTTCTGCATACAGCTAGCCAATTTTCCAGCACCATTTATTGAATAGGGTGTTCTTTCTCCATTGTTCATTTTTGTCCACCTTTCAAAGATCAGTTGGCTGTAGGTGTGTGGCTTTATTTCTAGATTCGCTGTTCTGTTTCATTTATCTATGTGTCTATGTTTGTACCAGCCCCATGCTGTTTTGGTTTCTGTCGACTTTCAGGATAGTTTGAAGTTAGGTAATGTGATGCCTGGCTTTGTTGTTGTTTTGCTTATGATTGCTTTGGCTGTTTGGGTTCTTTTTTTGGTTCCATATGAATTTTAGAACAGTTTTTTTCTAATGCAATGAGAAATGATGTTGGTAATTTCATAGGAATAGTTTTGAATCTCTAGACTGCTTTGGGAAGTATGGACATTTTAACAATATTGATTCTTCTAATCCATGAGCATGGAATGTTTTTCCATTTGTTTTGTGTTGTCTACAATTTTTTTTTCAGCAGTGTTTTGTAGTTCTCCTTGCAGAGATCTTTCATTTCCTTGTTTAGATATATGCCTAGGTATTTTGTGGGGTTCTATTGGTGATTGTGAATAGAATTGCCTTTTTTTTTTTTTTTGAGACACAGGCTGGAGTGCAGTGGCACGATCTCAGCTCACTGCAAACTCCTCCTCCCAGGTTCAAGCGATTCTCCTGCGTCAGCCTCCTGAGTAGCTGGGATTACAGGCACCCACCACCATGCCCAGCTAATTTTTGTATTTTAGTAGAGACAGGGTTTCACCATGTTGGCCAGGCTGGTCTCGGTCTCCTGGCCTCAAGTGATCTGCCCCACTCGGCCTCCCAAATTGCTGGGATTACAGGCGTGAGCCACCATGCCCGGCCTAGGATTGCATTTTTTTATTTTTAAATTTTAACTTTTGTGGGCACATAGTAGGTGTATATATTTATGGGATACATGAGGTATTTTGGTACAGGCATGCAATGCATAATATGCATAATAATCAGAATTGCATCTTTGATTTGGTTCTCAGCTTGAACACTGTTGATGTGTAAAAGTGTAAATGATTTTTGTACATTGATTTTTTATCCTGAAACTTTACTGGTCATTTATCTAGTCTAGGAGCCTCTTGGAATAAGCTTTAGGGTTTTCTAGGTATAGAATCATATCGTCATTGAAGAGAGATAATTTTACTTCCTTTTTTTAAATTTGGATGTCTTTTATTTTTTTTTCCCTTGCCTGATGGCTCGGGCTGGGACTTCCAGCGCTATGTTGAATAGAAATGGTAAGAGTGGATATCCTTTCCTTTTTCCGGTTCTTAGGGGGAATGCTTCCAACTTATGTTTATTCCGTATGATGTTGGATGTGGGTTTATCATAGATGGTTCTCATGTATGCTTCTTTAATGCCTAGTTTGTTGAGTGTTTTTATCATGAAGTGTTGTTGGATTTATCAAAAGCTTTCTTGTATATATTGAAATAACCAAATGGTATTTGTTTTTAACTCTGTTTATGTGGTGAATCTCATTTATTGATTTGCACATCTTGAGGCATCATTGCTTCTCAGGAATAAACGCCACTTGATCATGGTGAATTATCTTTTTGATGTGCTGCTGGATTCGCTTTGCAGGTATTTTGTTTAGGATTTTTGCATCTTTGTTCACCAGCGATATTGGCCTATAGTTTCCTTTTTTTGTTGTGTCCTTGAAAGATGTTGTATCAGGATGACACTGGTTTCTTAGAATGAGTTATGGAGGAATCCCTCCTCCTCTACTTTTTGGAATAATTTCAGTAACATTGGCACCAGCTCTTCTTTGTATGTCTGTTAGAATTCAGCTATAAATCCATCTGCTCCAGGATGGAGCAGGATGTTTTGTTTTTTAACGAAAACAAAAACAACAAAAAAACGGTCTCACTCTGTCACCCAGGGTGCAGTGAAGTGGAGTGATCACAGCTTCTTGCAGCCTTGACTCCCTGGGCTCAAGAAATCTTCCCACCTCAGCCTCCCAAGTAGCTGGGACTACTGGCACACACCACCATACATGGCTAATTTTTGTATTTTTTGTAGAGATGAGATTTCACATTGGTGCCCAGGCTGGTCTCAAATTCCAGGGTTCAAACATTCCACCCATCTCAGCCTCCCAAAGTTTTGGGATTACAGACATGAGCCACTGCACCTGGCCGAATTTTTTATAGTGGGTTAATTTTTATTACTTATACAACTCCAAAACTCATTATTGGTCTATTCATGGTTTCCATTTCTTCCTGGTTCAACTTTGGGAGGCTGGGTATTTCCAGGAATTTATGCATTTACTCTAAATTTTCTAGTTTGTGCCCATACAGATGTTCATAGCAGTCTCTGAGGATCTTTTATATTTCTGTGGAATCAGTTGTAATGTCACCTTTGCCCTTTCTGATTGTAGTTATTTGTATCTTCTCTCTTTTTTCCCTGCATCTAGCTAGTGGTCTATCAATCTTGTTTATCCTTTCAAACAACTAACTTTTTATTTCATTGATCCTTTTTATGGCTTTGGGGGTCTCAATTTCATTTGTTTCTGCACTGATTTTAGTTATTTCTTTTCTTCTGCTAGCTTTGAGTTTAGTTCTTGTATGTTTGTTCTTGTTCTTTTGTTTGTTCTTGTTCTTGTTCTTTCAGGTGCAACATTAAATTGTTAATTTGAGATTTTTCTATCTTGATGTAGGCATTTAGCACTATAAACTTTCCTCTTACCACTGCTTTTGCTGTATTCCAGAGATTTTGGTATATTATACCTCTATTTTCATTCATTTCAAATAATTTTTTATTTCTCTCTTAATTTTATTATGTACCCTAAAGTCTTTCAGGAACAAGTTGTTTAGTTTCCATGTAATTGTGTGGTTTTCAGAGCTCCTCTTGGTATTGATTTCTAATTTTATTCCACTGCGGTGCATGATGATGCTTGGTGCAATTTCATTTTTTTAAATTGGTTAGGATTTGCTTTATGACTGAGCATGTGGTTAATCTTTGAGAAAGTTCTGTGCACAGATGAGAATAACATATATTCTGTGGTTGTTAGCTGGAGTATTCACCAGATGTCTATTAGTTCTGTTTGGTCAAGTATCAAATTTAAGTCCAGAATTTCTTTGTTAGTTTTCTGTCTCTGTGATCTGTCTAATGCTGTTATTATGTTATTATATGGCTGTTTATCTCCTTTCTTACTTCTGGAAGTAATTGTCTTATAAATCTGGGTGCTCCAATATTGAATGCCTATATATTTAGGATAGTTAAATCATCTTGTTGAATGGAACCATTTATCATTACATAATGCCCTTCTTTGTTCTCTTTTACTATTGTTGGTTTAAAGTCCGTTTTATCTGATACAAGAATTGCTACCCCTGCTTCTTTTCATTTTCCATTTCAGTGATAGATCTTTCTCTATCCTTTTATTTTGAACACGTGAGATGGATGTCATGAAGGCAGCAGAGGGTTAAATCTGTTTTTTATCCATATTGCCATTCTATGTCATTTAAGGAGCGCATTTAGGCCATTTACACTCAAGGTTAATATTGATATGTGAGGTTTTGTTTCTATTGTGGTATTATTAGCCAGTTGCTAGTTGTTAGCTAGTTGCTTTGTAGTTTCTATTATGTAGTTGTTTTATGTAGAGTCTATGGGCTTTACTTACACGTGCTTTTGTTGTAGCAGGTATTGTTCCATGCTCAGAACTCCTTTTAGCCTGGATCTGCAGCTGTGGTTTGGGCAGCTGCAGTGGCACCCAGGAGGGCAGGGTTCCTGCCTGCTCCTGGACCTCAAGAGCACAGGGAGGCTTAGATCTGCCTGCTCCATGGGGCGTGCGACTCCTGCCTGCTCCGTGGGGCTGCGGCTCCTGCCTGCTCCTTGGTCGTGCAACCCCGTCCACACCCCTCTACTGCAGCCTGCGTGATGGCAGCGGCAGGCCATCTGGAGCTGCCGCTGCCATCACTTCTGCTTAGTTTTTTCTATTGTTATGTCTTCCAGCTGTATTTTGAAATCTCTGTAGTGAATTTTTCTATTCCAGAAATTCTGTTTGGTTCTTCCTTAATATAACTATGTCAACTTACATATCCTGGATCATTTTTCTGGTTTCTTTGTATTAGATTTCAACTTGCTCTTGGATCTCATTGTGTTTCCTTGCAATTCATATTTTGAGTTACCTTTCATTTCAGACATTTCCGTCTAGTTAGGATCCATTACTAGGTAGCTGGTGTGATCCTTTGGAAGTGTAAAACACTGTTGCTTTTTGTACTACTGGAGTTCCTGTGCTGATTCCTTCTCATCCAAAGATGCTGTAACTTCTTTTTTTGAATTTGCTATCATTTGGGTGAGGCTTTTTCATTTTTTAATTTTTTCCCTTGGGGGTGTATGACTGTGGTGCATATTGTGTATGATCATTTGGCTTAGTTTCTAGGTGCTTTCAGGAGACAAGTATTCTGTACGGGTTCCTTGGTTGTGGATGGGTTCTAGGCGGTGGAACCTATCCACAAGCTATCTCAGATGCTGTTTGCTGTAGCTATGTATTTTTTGTTTAGTGGTGGAGTTCAGATGGAGCCCAGTAGATGGCGATAAAAAGTAAGAGCTACCAGGTAGGCTGATGCCTAGTGTACGTGCCCTCCCTGATGAGGATGGCAGAAAGAGATCCTGTTGGAGTATGCTGAAGTCTCACGGGAAGGTGGAGCAGAAAGTGCATCAGCTCCTTGTCCTGAGCTGGCAGGAACACGATCTGCTTCCATATCATGCCCCGTCACAGGGCTCATGACCTGTTTACAAAGGCTTTGTTCTTTGGTTCCCGGCCACAGTGTAGCTGTACACCACAGATTGACCTCTCTGAGGGATACCACTAGTATGGGGGTCAGGGCAGAATTTCTTCCCCCAGTCCAGAGCAGGAAACTTCATGGTCTGTCCTCAGTTGCCGGGGCACGGCTGCTCCATATAGGGAGGGGAAGTTGGACCCCACCCTTCATCCCATTCTATTGTTAATGAGAATCTGATTGTTACCAGCTCTTACCATCATAAATAAAGCTACAATGAACATTCTTATGCATGCCTTTTGTTGGAAATGTGCATTCATTTATCTTGGTATGAATCTAGGAGTGGAATTCCTTGATCACAAGGTAGGGTAGGTTAAGCTTTCTTAGATATTACTAAAGAGTTCTTCTAAGGATTGTACCAGTTTCCACTACCACCAGCAATGTATGAGAGTTCAACTTGCCCCACAGCCTTCCCAAATCTGGAATTGTCAGTAAGTCTTTTTAGTGTTAGTTATTAATATCTCCTTGTTTTAATTTGCATTTTCCTGATTACCAATGATGTTGCATACTTTTGAAATATATTATTGGCAATTTGGGTAGCCTTGTTTATGAAATGCCTAAGCAAGTATTTTGTCATTTTTCAAATTATGTGGGATTTTTTTTGTTTTGTCTTATTTTTTGTAGGAATTTATATATATTCTCGATCAGAGTCCTTTGTTCAATATACATTGGGTGCTGTCTTCTCCCAGTATATGACTGGTCCTTTATTCGCCTAACGGTATCTTTTGATTAATGGAATTTCCTATTCATAATTCTAAGGTATTTATTTTTTTATGTTTAGATTAGTGCTTTTCATACTGTCCAATAAAAAATACCTTGCATATTCTGAGTTCAAAAATACATCGCTTGTTTTTTTCCAGAATCTTTATTGATTTATCTATTATACTTCAGTCTATGATTCATTTCAAATTTTCTATGTACAGTGCTGGGCATTTTTTCCATGTGGGTATATAATTGCTTCAGCAACATTTATTGGGAAAAATTTTTTAACTTTTATTTCCACATTGTATTGGGGTTTTGGTCATAAAACAAAAGATCATTTTTTGTGGGGTTATTTCTGAATACTACTATTCTGTTTCATTGATCGACCTTGATAGCCTTATTCTAATATTATACTGCCTTAATCACAGTAGCTTTAAAGTAAATCTTGAAATCTGGAATTCTAATTTTTCTGAAGTTCTCCTATTCCACATTGCAAACAACTTGTTAATTTTAACAAAGACATTTATAGTATAATTATATAGTAATTTTATAGTTTTCTCAAGATTTAATTGAATCTAGACATCAATTTGGGTAAATTGATTTCTTCACAATGTTAATTCTTCCAATCCATCTCCAGTTAATTACATCCTCTTCAATTTTTTCCAAGGTTTTATAGTTTTCAGTGTACAGATCATTTAATTTATTTAAAAGATTTTGTTTTATGATTATTATAAAATGTACTATGACATTTTATGTCAATTTTCAATTGTTTATTTCTGGTATATAGAAATACAATTGATATTTGTAAACTGACCTTTTATCCTATGACAAGGTTGGGTTCATTTAGTAATAGCTGTAAAACCAGACCTGGTACTGAGAGTTTACTGAACCATTTGTGATTCCCTTGGATTTTCCATGTACCTAAATGCATAATCTGCCAAGAGTTTTATTCTTTCTTTTTTATTTTATTTTTTGGCCTAATTGCATTCCATGGACTTCCATATAATGTTGAAAGGAAATGGCGAGAGTGGACCTGCCTGTCATGTTCCTGACTTTAGGGAAAAGAAATAGAGTTATTTTTTCACCATTGAATGCTACGTCAGTTTAGAATTTGTAAATACTTTTTATTAGATGAGGAAGATTTCTTTATATCTAGTTATGAAATAGACAATTTTTGAATATAGATCAATAAATTAAAATGCATGTTATAATCCCTAAGGGAACCACTAGATACACGTACGCATACACATACAAATACACATGAACATACACACCCACCCACACACATGCACACACACACACACACACACATACAAACTAAAAAGTCAATAGGGGAAATAAAGCGGTGTAATAACAGTATACCTCTAATTCACCCAAAGAAGACACAAGAATAGAAATTAAGTAGCAGGTGGCACAGCTCAGTGCCCAGGGAGTCCTTCTTAGCCCACAGTTTCTCCCAAAGGAGAAAATGAAAACTGAATTACAAGTTTTCTCAGCCTGTGGTACACTGCCCACCCAGAACATTAAGGGGATCAGGAAAATTGAAATGTCTGGGACAGCTAGAAGCATTGAGAAGGGGAAGAAGTACACAGCAACTGGTGTGTGATTCTCAATAGCTGGACATGGATTCTGCTAAGTGGCTTGAGGATTCTAGCAAAAGGCCCACCCATAAACCCCACACAAGGAAAACTTGCTGGCAGACTCCCCCATTAACAAACTAATGCATGCCTTAAACATACTGTGTGTCCATCCAGGATGTTGCCCTGTGCATCTCTGTGCACAAGGCCTAAGTACTCCTGCAAATGGCACATGGATCTGAATAGCAGATGCAGATTTTAGCAGCAGGTTCAACTCCATTGGAATGTGAAAAGAAGCACACAACCTTGAAAACTTTGGGGCATTGTTGGGTAAAACAGATAAACTCTCAGTACCAGGTCTGGTTTTACAGGACTGAGAGACAGAACATAATCATAAGACTTCCTCCCTTAGAGGGAACAAGAGGAGTGAAGCAGATGCATCCATAGAAAAGGTCTGAGAGACCCCAGAATCTCTAGTGGGACTTACTGAGGAAGGTCTATCTCTCGCAATGCTAGAAAGTAGACTGACATAGGTGACTACTTTTGCAAATGCAAACAAAGAAAGAAAACCCTCAAAGAACACAAAGAATCAATGAATTATGGTATTACAAAAGGAACACTATAAAGCTCTGGTGGCTGACCCAAAATAAATAGAAATCTACATACGGCCTGACCAAAAAAAAAAAAACAAAAAATAATCATTTTAAAGAAGCTTAGTGAGTTACAAGAGAACAGATAGACAACTAAGTGATATCAGAAAAACACTACAGGAACAAAATGGAAAGTGCAACAAAGGGACAGAAACCATAAAAATAAGCCAACAGAAATTCTATACAATATCTGGCTGAAAAACTCAATAGAAATCCTCAACAGCTTGATAGAAATCTAGCAAGTAGAAAAAAAAGAATTTGACAGCTGCTCTGTGAAAACCTGTACAGACTGCTTTTCAAAATGGGTCCCTAATCCCATTCCTCCTCAATGGGCAGGACCTCCCAACCAGGGTCTCCAGCCACCCCTGCCAGTGCTCTCCAGCCAACAGAGTTTTGAAACCTCCCTAGGACAGAGCTCCCAGAGGGACAGTGGGGCTGCCATCTTTGTTGTTTGGGTGACTTAGCTGTTCTGGCCTTTAGATTTTGGAGAGTCCAAGGCGATCAGGGGCTGAAGTGGACCCCCAGCACAGCACAGCTGCTCTACGAAAATGTGGCCAGACTGTTTTTTTAACCAGGTCCCCGATCCTTTCCTCCTCACCAGACAGGGCCTCCCAACCAGGATCTCCAGCCACCTCCTATAGGTGTGTATGGGCCAGCAACAGGTCCATACCTCCCTAGGACAGAGCTCAATCTTTGCTGTTTTACAGCCTTCAATGGTGATACCTCTAGGTACTGGAAAATCTGAGGTGACTGCAGACTGGAGTGCACCCCCAGCATACTGCAACAGCCCTATGGAAAAGTGGCCAGACCGTAATATGGGTGCCCTTTCCGATATCTCCTCATCAGGCATGTCCTCCAGCCCTCGGCCTCCAGCAACTGCCCCCAACCCCAGAGCTATCAAGCCAGTAGCAATCTGGCAACTCTCTGGACAGAGCCTCCAGGGGCAATTGAAAGCCTCTCTGCCACTGCCTCTGCAGTAGAACTGCCTTTGCTACCCTTCAACTAACAAACAAGCAAAGACCCTAAGTGCTTTGTTCACACCTCCAATAAGCTGCAGTTGACCTAAGGAGAGGAGGCCAGTCCATCTCCCATGGGTCCCACATACCCCTCACTGCTCATCTTAAGACAGGGAACCCCTGGCTTGGTCCACAATACAGACCCTTCATCCTGAGCTGATTGCACTCAGCATTTGCTGACTTGCATCTCTCTGGGGTGGAACCCCTAGAAGACAAGCAAAATGCCCTTGGCCACAACCACTACTAAGATCCCTTCTTTTGCTCCTTTCAAGTTGGGAAAGGAACATAAACACTGAGATCACCCCAGAGCTGTAGTGGAAAGCCCAAGAATGCCAAGCCATGATCTACAGCCAGCACTCAATGGGGAGAGAAACCCACACCCTCAGAGCATTAAGAAGGAACACAGTTGTAACCATGAGGAAACATAAGGGAGACACATAACCAAGTAAGAGTTTACCAACTAACCAATAAGCCTAAGTTCCACCTACTGGATCACACCCTAAAGCTTCAACACCAAAAATACCTCACTAACATACCCTCCTGAAACCAGAGACAAGAAGTCAGCTACAAATAAAGACCCTGCATGAAGCCATGGCCCAATGAAAACATCCAGAAAAGAAGTCTATTGGCTGTACTTAACATACACTGCAGTTAAAGGAACACCCACATGCAGAGATGAGAAGGAACCAACGCAAAAACTCCAGTTACTCAAATGACCAAAGTGTTGTATGAGTTTAGTAATTCTAGATGCTGTTTGTGATTGAAACAAGATTGAGGACAACCTTGTCCTCCAAACAACTGCACCAGTTCACCAACAAGAGTTCTTAACCAGGATGAACTGGCTGGAATTACAGAAATAGAATTCAGAATATGGATAGGAACAGATATAATTGAGGTTCAGGAGGATGGAAAAACCTAATCCAAAAAAATAAAAAATAAAAATCAAGATAAAGTGATACAGGAGCTGAAGGACAAAATATCTGGTATAAAAAAGAACTTAATGGATCTGACAGAGCTGAATAACACAATACAAGAATTTCACAATGCAATCACAAGAATTAGCAGAATAAACCAAGCTGAGGAAAGAATCTCAGAACTTAAAGACTGGTTCTTTGAAATAAGAAAACCAGACAAAAATAAAGAAAAAAGAATAAAAAGGAATGGACAAAACCTCCAAAAAGTGTGGGATTATGTAAAGAGGCCAAATCTATGAATCACTGGCATCCCTGAATGGGCAGGGAAGGGAGGGCAGGAAGCAAACAACTTGGAAAACATATTTCAGGATATCATCCATGAAAACTTCCCCACCCTTGCTAGACAAGCCAACAGCCAAATTCAGGAAGTACAGAGAACTCCTAAAGGGTCTACAAGAAGATCATTCCCAAGACATATAATGGTCAGATTTTCCAAGGTCAAAATGAAAGAAAGAATGTTAAAGGCAGCTAGGGAGAAAGGGCAGGTCACCTACAAGGGGAACACCATCAAGCTAACAGCAAATCTCTCAGCTGAAACCTACAAGCCAGAAGAGATTGGGGGCCTATAGTGAACATTCTTAAACAAAAAAAATCTTCGACCAAGAATTTCATATCCAGCCAAACTAAGCTTCCTAAACGAAGGAGAAATTAGATCCTTTTCAGATAAGCAAATGTTGAGGGAGTCTTATAAGAGATCTTGCAAAAAGCACTAAATATAAGAAAATACTGTTACCAATCACTACAAACACACATGAAGTACACAGACCAGTGACACTATAAAACAACCACACCATCCAAGCCAACATAATAGCCAGCTGACACCACAATAAGATCAAATACATACATATCAATACTAAAATTGAATGTAAACAGGCTAAATGCCCCCACTTAAAAGGCACAGAGTGGCAAGCTGGAATAAAAAAAAAGCAAGACCCAATGGTATGCTGTCTTCAAGAGACCCATCTTACATGAAATGACAGCCATAGGCTCAAAATAAAGGGATGGAGGAAAATCTAACAAGCAAATGGAAAACAAAAAAAAAAGCAGGCTGCATTCCTAATTTCAGATAAAACAGGTTTCAAACCAACAAAGATAAAAAAAGACAAAGCATTTTATAATAATGGTCAAGAGTTCAATTCAACAAGAAGACCTAACTATCCTAAAGATATATGCACACAACACAGGAGCACCTAGATTCTTAAAGCAAGTTCTTAGAGACCTACAAAGAGACATAGACTCACACACAATAATAGTGGGAGACTTTAACACTCCACTGACAGTATTAGGCAGATCACTGAGGCAGAAAATTAACAAAGATATTCAGGAACTAAACTCAACATTGCACCAAATAGATCGGATAGACCTTTACAGAACTCTCTACCCAAAAGCAACAGAATATACATTCTTCTCATTGCCACATGGCACATACTCTAAAATTAATCACACAATTGGATATAAAATAATCCTCAGCAAATGCAAAAGAACCAAAATCATATCAAGTCATGGATTAAAGGTTTAAATATAAAACCCCAAACTATAAAAACCCTGGAAGACAACCTAGGCAATACCCTCCTGAATATGGGAATGGGCAAAGACTTCATGACAAAGACACCAAAAGCAATCATGACAAAAGCAAAAATTGACAAGTGGGATCTAATTAAACTAAAGAGCTACTGTACAGCAAAAGAAACTATCAACAGAGTAAACAGACAAACTGCATAATGGGAGAAAATATTTGCAAACTATGCATCTGACAAAGGTCTAATATCGAGCATCTATAAGGAAGGTAAACACATTTACAAGAGAAAAACAACCCCATTAAAAAGTGGGCAAATGACATAAACAGATATTTTTCAAAAGAAGACATACATGCGGCCAACAAGCATATGAAATGAAAGCTCAATATCACTGATAGAGAAGTGAAAATCAAAGCCACAATGAGATACAATTTCACACCAGTCAGAATGGCTACCATTAAAAAGAAAAAAAAATAACCGATGCTGGTGAGGTTGCAGAGAAAAGGGAACACTTATACACTGTTGGTGGACGTGTGAATTTGTTCAACCATTGTGGAAAGCAATATGATGGTCCCTCAAAGAGCTAAAAACTGAACTACCATTCGACCCAGCAATCCCATTACTGGGTCTATACACAGAGGAATATAAATCATTCTATGCCCTTTCTCTACCTTTTGATTCCTGCTCTGCTCTGCTGACCTCTCATCTTGGCCCTGCCTAGAAGTCCAGGACTGGCAGGTCTCCATGGAAATCACATAGGGGACAGGCCCTTTGCTGAAGTGGGCAAGTGATGCCCTGACCAGCACTGACACAGTACACCAACTTGAGATACACAGAGTCCACCTTCGATGTTCACATGTCTCCCTTTCTGAACCTTCTCTCGATTTTTGGGTGCCCCATCACCCTTCTTACGAATTCTAACTAATTCTGTACTCCCCACCCCACCCCAACTCACAGGGAAGAGACAGAGAAGTGGTGAGGTTTAAAAAGCAGCACGAGGGTCTCCCTGTCTAGTATACTAATGAATACACCTGTACCTATTATAATGCAGTAGCCCAGATCAGGGCAGGATGGTGACTCACTAAATTCACTCATTTATACCTGGTTGATCCTGCCAGTTAAAGAAATGCACCCATTTATCTGTTGAGTCAACACAAATTTGTTGAGCATCTACTATGAGCCAGGCAGGGGTGATTCTTCAAATAAGACAAACAAAAACCATCCCCTGTGGAGCTTGTATTTGAGTAGAGAGATGAGCATTAGTATATAGTATATTAGGCAGTGATAAGGAGAAAAAAATAAAGCAGGAAAGTCCCCTCTGAGAAATGACTTCCCAATAAAGACCTGAAGGAAGAGGGTGAGCTAACCATGCAGATGTTCAGTGTTTCTTAACAAATGAGTCCCTGCTATGGGGCAGCATTATGGTTGGCATTTGCAAGGGCATTATCTGATTATGATCCTCACAGCAACCGTGAGGAGTATTGTATGATAAGACACCCCTTTCTCTTTTTTTAAACAAATAATGAGTTTGAGGTTCAGGTTTACTGACTTAACCAAAGTTCCCAAACACCATATTAAGAGATACCACTCTCTTATCAATTTTAATAATTAGTAGTTTTAAAATTGTTCACATACATAACCATGTCATAAGAAATAAAAGCTTGTTTCTTTTTTTCCTTATCCTTAGGTCTTTCAGTTCTCTTTTCTTGTCTTATTATTTTGGGACACACAATGTTGAACAGAAGTAGTGAAGGCAGGCATCCTTGGCTTGTTCTGGATCTCAGAGGGAAAGAATGTAGCATTAAGGATACTTGCAGTAGTTTTGTGTTCTTGTTTACGAATACATATTTACTTATAGGTAGATAGATAAATAGATAAACATTTATTAGAAAATGAATGTTTACTTTTATTCCTTGTTTCCTAGGACTTTTAAAACACATAAATAAATATTGAATTTTATTTAAATGTTTCCTGCATCCATTTGTGATGGTCATGTGACTTTACTCTTTTCCACCATTAATGTGATTTATAATAATTTATTTTCCTTTTTAAAACCCTTTTAAATTTTGCGGCCAGTCACGGTGGCTCATGCCTGTAATCCCAGCACTTTGGGAAGCTGAGGTGGGGGGATCACTTGAGCTCAGGAGTTTGAGACCAGCCTGGGCAGCAGGGCGAAACTCATCTCTACTAAAATTACAAAAATTAGCTGGATGTGGTGGTGCACACATGTAGTCCCAACTACTCAGGAGGCTGAGGTGGGAGAATCGCTTGAACCCAGGAGACGGAGATTGCAGTGAGCCGAGATTACACCACTGCACTCCAGCCTGGGCAACAGAACAAGGCTCTGTCTCAAAACAAACAAACAAACAAACAAACCTTTCAAATTTTGAAATGTAACCCATATCCAAAAAAGTGCATAAAATATAAATATACAGTATAGTGAATAAGGATGAATAGAAACATACTTGTAAAAAATATTCAAGTGAAGAAACAAAACATTGCCCCTTGAGTGATATCTCTGAATCGGAAGCACTGACTTTTATAGTCAGTCCCCTCACTTGACTTTCTTTATAATTTGCCCAACTATGTATGTATTTCTAAACAATAAAGTTTAGGTTTTGGTAGTTTTCCTGTTTTGGCTATATTGGATATATATTTTAAACCATTCTATCTTTCTTCTATTTAAAGCTATATCCCATTTCTATTCTTTTAATGATTGCAGAGGTTCTAACAAGTGTCCTTAACTTCTCAAAGTCTACGTTAAGCAATATCTTTACCCTCTTTCTGAATATTACCGCAACCTAAAAACACTATAACACTATTTCCTCCACTCCCAATTTATATGGTGAGTTGTGTAATTTAATTCTCTCTATATGTAAGTTTTGCCTTTTTATGATGAAATAAAATGTACATACAGCAAAGCACATACAAAAGAAGGTACTACTTAATAATTCACTACAAAGCGAACCCCTGTAAAACCACCACCGAAGTCAAAAAATAGAACGTAGCCAGCAATCCAGAAGGCTCTTCTGTGCATCATTGCAATCACTAATCCCTTGGTCCCCCTCAAAGGTAAGCAATAGCCTGACATGTATGGTAATCTCTTCCTTGATGTTTTAAATGTTTTTACCACTAGGCATTCCTCTTTTAACTCTACAATTTTATTTTGCCTCCTTTTGAATTGTATGTAGATAAAATTATATTCGATTATTTTTTCCTGTTTTGCCTCTTTTGATCCATATTATGTTGGTGAGTTTTATCCATGTTGTTGTATAGCTGTAACAAATTCATTTCCATTTATTCAGTGAATTTATCCATCCTTTTAGGAAAATTCATTCTGTTGAATGAGTTGTTTGTGATTGGGCTATTATGAATAATGCTACTATGAAGAATATTTTACATATCTCTGGGTGCACATATACACATGTGGATATATATATATATATATGTACATATACAGTAAAATTCCTGAGTATGAGTACTTCAACTTTAGTAGATATTACCAAAATCGTTTTAATGTGGTTTTACCAATTTATACCCAGTGTTCAGTTGCTTCACATTCTTGCCAATACTTATGAGAAAAGAAAAGAGTGCTTATCTGAGGAATATGAGTCTTTTTAAATTATTAGGCCCAGAGAAACATTAAAATGGGACAGTAATCACGTTCTATCCTCCCCTTGAGCTATGTACTCATCTCATAGAAACTGCTTGCTATTGCCACAAATAGCCACAAATTAACCTAATAATGCCCCACCAGACACTATAACCCAAACCCTATGATGCAGGACAGGTAAGCCCCAAACTTAGGGCTTAGCCTAGGAGAGTTCTTGGCTTTGCCTAGGAACGAATTCAAGGGCAAGCCAGTGGGGTTAGACAGCAGTCTTTTATTGAACGGTACTGCTCCTTCAAGAGAAGGACAAACTCATAGGGAGCACACCCAGAGTCAGCAATGTATGGGCTCTTGGCAACTGCATTTGTATTCGCTTATACCCACTTTCAATTACATGCAAATTAAGGGGTGGCCCAATGCAAATTAAGGGACAGGCATATTTAGAACTGTCTTGGAAGGAGGCAGTAACTTCCTGCCATGGAAAGGGTTGGTAACTTCTGGGTCATTGTCATGGCATTTGTAAATTGTCATGGTGCTGGTGGGAGTGTCTTCTGCTAATGAGCAAAGAGGACAGCTGGGGATCACTTTCATCGCCATCTGCTGGTTCTTGCTGGTTTCTCCACTTGATCCTGTCTGAACCAGATCCTGTTTTGGTCAGCAGTGTTGTGACAAGAAAACAAGTCCTGCCAGTCTCCCACCTCACCTATAGTTTTACAATGTATAGCCAATCACTAATCAATATTATTTCTGTAAGCCACTGAGAATTCCTGATGAATGACTTTGTATCAGCCCACTCCCTGTCCCCCTTTTTTTTTGCCTTTATGAACCTGCTTGTAACAAAGCCCAAAAGGAGCTTATTTTCAAGCTTACTTGGGTCTCAGTCTTCCAGGCAGCTGTCCTCATTTTGGCTCAAGTAAACTCTTTAAATTATATTTAGTGTCTCAGCCTCTTCCTTTTAGGTCATTATTATTATTTTTAAATTAGCTGTTCTGATGGGTGTGGCTGAGGTATTTTGTTCTTTAATTTGCTTCTCAATAATTCTAACCAAGGTGCGGTGGCTCACATCTGTAATCCCAGAGCTCTAGGGGGACAAGATGAGATCACTTGAGGCCAAGAGTTCAAGACCAGTCCTGGGCAACATAATGAGAGTGTTTCTATAAAAAATAAAATAAAAATTAGCTGGGTGTGGTGGTGTGCACCTGTAGTCCTAGCTACTTGGGAGGCTGAGGTGGGAGGATCCCTTGGGCCCAGGAGTTTGAGGTTGCAGCGAGCTATGATTGCATCACTACACTCCAGCTTGGGCAACAGAGTGGGACCCTGTCTCTAAAAAATAGAAATAAAAAAAACTCTAAGAAAAGCAAGCACATATATATTTAGGAATCCCCTTTCATGTAGGGCTTATTCAAGTGTCTTGCCTGTTTTTCTATTGGTTTGTTTTTATCATATTGACTTTTAAGAGTTCTTCATATATTGTAGGATGTGAGACACATATCACTTTTTCTTTACATAAGGTTGGTAACAACTAGTCACATGATTTCACCAGATACAAAGGATCCTGGGAATGTAAGCTAGCTGTGGTGCACAGGAAGAAGAAAAAATGAGTTTTCTGAGCACTTACTAGTCACTACAATAATATCATCTAACAAATAAAAAATATTTCCCTATATTCCAAATTTGCAAGTTTTTATTTCACAAAGAATTTCATTAAAATATTTCTATGATTTTATTTACTGAGATTGTCATGTAATTCTATTTCTGGTCATATGTAATGAAGCCTTGCTACCATGATAATCACTGCTTACACAGCTGACTTGGCTTTGGCCTCCTGACCTGCATAGGATCATCCTTGACATAGGTTAGATACTTGTCCCCACTCAAATCTTATATTGAAATATAATCCCCAATGCTGGAGGTGGGAGGTGATTGTATCATGCGGGTGGGTTTATCACGAATGGTTTAGCACTATCCCCTTGGTGCTGCCCTCTCAATAGTGAGTGAGATCTTGAGAGATGTGGCTGTTTGAGCCTTTAACCATTTAGGAAAAAAAAAAAAGTGCAGCTTGCAGCCAGCACTCATTTAGTTTTACATAAACATGTTCTTTGAGGCTAAAGCAAATATGATTGACTTTCAATGTAAAAATAAAATATAAAAACTGTTCTTGGAGTGCTTTCTAAACAGAACTAACATCAGAATTGTCAGAATCATCAGAATTGTTAGAATCATCAGAATTGTCTATTCTAGAAAAATTGGATTCATCAAATGAATCTTCGCCCAACAATTGTCTGAGAATGATGTTAACATCATGCATAGAAACATTACATTTTCTCAAATTTGACATTTTCAGCGATCAAGAATTACTATATTTTATAAATGGAAATACCGCTACTAATTACTATATTTTATACATGGAAATACCACTACTAAAAACAAAATTATAGAATTATGTCTTTTATTTCCAAAGTTGATATACTAGAGTGATGAGAAAATAATAATAAAAGTGAGACATTTCATGGCAAAGTTATCTTGGCATACATGCTGCAGCTGCAAGTGCTGCAGGTGAGTATTCTCAGTGCAGATGGGGAAAGGGTTAAAAGTGTGTGGCAGCCCTCCCACTTCTTGCTCCAGCTCTCACTGTGTGATGTGATTTCTGTCATGACTATAAGCTTCCTGAGGCCTTCCCAGAAGCCAAGCAGATGCCAGCATTACGCTTTCTGTAAAGCCTGCAGAACTGTGAGCCAATTAAACCTCTTTTCTCTATAAATTACCCAGTCTCAGGTATTTCTTTATAACAATCCAAGAATGGCCTAATACAATCCCCAATCCACACTGAATGTTCACTTTCTTCTGCAGAATAAAAAGTAGATATTTGCTGGCCCTGAACAACAGAAAGCAGAACAAATAGATGTTTATGTGGTTGTACAGCATTGCTTAGGTACCAGCAGCAGCCTGGCAATGCTCCCTCCTCAGAGGTTGGAGCACCAATTCCATAATATTTCTTCCTCAAGCTCTACAATCTGGTAACTCCAACCTCTTCACTTCCATTTTCCCAACCATAGGGGTGACTGCTTTCTGCAGATTTTCTTTCTAGGTTTCTATATAGCTCCATTGCTGCTCTTTCAGCATTCTAACATGTATGTAACCAATCACTTCTGTTAAACCTGGCATCATTTCTGTTTTCTTGATCATATCCAGATATATTACCCTTGAAAAACTCTAAGCTTGAGATATTGATGTGAACACATCCTCAATATATAAGTCAAAAATTTAACTGAAATATTTCTGTATTCCAGGGCCACGGGGAGATGTTTTATATAGAGAATCGAGTGTCCAAATCAGAAGTAAATAATAAAGGCTCCTCCCTCCTCACTTTATGAATTCTATAACCTAGGTGTCCAGAGACCACAGAAGCTTAATGCAAGCCATAACTGTTGAATCTTTTGGTGGCTAAGAACCATTCTTGAAGTTCAAAAGATAAATAAATAATTAATGGAAACGTGAATTTCCCCATCTCAGGGATGGAGAGATGGGTGGGCAGAGGAAGAAAACAGGAAAAGCCAAGAAATTACCAAGTCAGTTTCAATACTGGAGAGAAAAGGAAACCAGTTAAGACATCATCAAGGGAAAGCCAAGCATCAGTTGTGACAATTTCCATATCGTCAAGAAATAACCAACCAACCAAGGACTTTGTGAAAGTCTTTGAGGCTAGGTGCTTGGTGCTCACAAGTCTTTACGCTGTAAGAATGAAACAGGCTGGCCAGAAGCCACAGTCAGTCAGTTACCTGCAGGACCTTTCAGCTGTGGTAGGGAGACAATTCCCTAATTAGGCTGATTGTTAGGACATTAATCCTTTCTCCCTCCTGCTTCCAGTGAGCAAGGTGTGATCACTTGAGTTACACCTCCTAAGTCTGGTGAGAAAGTGTACAAAGGCAAATGTCCTTAGGTTCATTATCCCTCAAATAACAAGACTGAGGGAGAAAGAACGGTTTTGTCTCATCCCAGTGTTAGAGACAACTCTTGCTTTGTTTCTCAGAAGTAAAACTCTGTCCAGGCTCAGTCAGTAGATTAGCCAGCCAGAAGATGGGGAAGTATAGTTCTATCTCATTGTTAACAGTCCACATGTAGAGGATTATGTACGTGCATGTGTATGTATTATGTATACTTATACATACACGCATACGCACACAAAGCATGGGTAATAGCTACGCTTCTTTGTAGCTTATTATTCTACAAAATTGATTGACTGTTCAGATGTAGTTTAGGAAAGGCCCTATTAAAGTCCAAGAACCCCTTGGACTTCTACCAAGTTGATTTAAGACTTACTGTAGTCATCTCCACCTGGGTGTAAGTGAGGTAGAACAGTGGAGCTTTAAGATATGTCTACAGACTTGTGCTTTATTCAGTTATTTTTATTAACAAGGTACCTGAGTGAAATTGGCCAGAGTTAAGATCTCTGAAAATGCCTGTTTTGATAGATCTCTTATTTCACTGACATAAACTATTTATTTGTAAAAAGAAAGTTTTAATTCCCACAATTCTTATAAAACCCTCACCCAGAATGAAACACTAAAATTATTTGGTAGCTGAAAATACACTGAATTAAAATAAGCAGAAACACTTTCATAATCAATTATGAACAGTTTCAAACAGGTTAAAACTATGTCTATGGCCCATGCTACTTTAGGCTACGCACTTGTGACATTTATCTACAGTCTTCAAATTCACTCTGAAAATTAAATGCTTCAGTAAACACCTTCATCAAAATTAACATTAAAGATCATGTTCCCCTGTAAATTCAACATAAGATAAAACATTGTGTCCTTTCAGGATATAAAATGCATGGCTTTTATAAAAGGATGGGGCAAGATATATGTATACGACTAAACATGACTTTTCCCATAATATTCACTATTATAACTTCTGTATTCACTTTTAACCTTTTAACCATCCTTCAGTCAGCATATACTTCATGAAAGGCACTGTTAGTTTCTAGGGATGTATAGATGACTGAGCCCTTGTTTGTGCTGTAGCAAACCTAGCCTATTCACATTTATTGTCTCCAAAAATCCTTAGAACTCAAAGTACTAAGTTATTTTAATCTATTAGATGTTGACAAACATCTATTGGGCATTGGCTGAGCTATCACCAGCCAAAGAGTTGTGTTTTTCTTTAGCAAGAGATGATATGTGAAACAGGTTGACAGAGACCAAAAATTTCTTTTTTCCTGGTCAGAAAACCACAAGTGTGAATGAAGAATATAGTTTTTCAAATTTCTTAGAATTCTTTTTGGTGAATTAGGTCACATAGTATCTTTAGCTATTTAAGTGTGTGTTAAAGATACATCCATTTTCAGGAATTTTTGTTGGCTATCTTCAATGTGAAAATAACTTTATTCTTACTTCTTTTAGACAGAAAAGCAATGTTCTTTTGAAAGTTGGGTAACGGTCAAATAGTAGTCATATTTTCTCCTTATTTTTGCCACTATAGCCACAGGACTTTCTGAACAATGACACTAACCTCCCCTTAAAAATTGTTTTCTAGGCTGGGCGCAGTGGCTCACAACTGTAATCCCAGAACTTTGGGAGGCCAAGGCAGGTGGATCATCTGAGGTCAGGAGTTTCAGACCAGCCTGGCCAACATGGTGAAACCCCGTCTCTACTAAAAATAGAAAAATTAGCCAGGCATGGTGGCAGGCACCTGTAATCCCAGCTGCTTGTTAGGCTGAGGCAGGATAATCTCTTGAACCTGGAGGCAGAGGTTGCAGTGAGCCTAGACAAAACAATTGCACTCCAGCCTGGGCAACAAGAGCGAAACTGTTTCAAAAAAAAAAAAATTTTTTTTTCTAAGGATTTTGTGGCTTGAAAATCTAGCAATTTTGACTAACTTTATACGTTTTTTATACTATTCTCGAAGAGATGTAAAAGGATGTATATGGAAGTTAATAGTCTGGTTTGCCTATATTGGATTTTAGTATCACTAAAATTACTTTTTTAAAAAGTTAAGAGATTTTTAAATTGTTATTCCTTTTAATTTCGAGACAGGGTCCCACTCTGTCACCCAAGCTGAAGTGCAGAAGTGCGATCTTTGCTCACTGTAACCTCTGCCTCTCGGACTCAAGCCATCCTCCCACCTCAGCCTCCCAAGTAGCTGGGACTACAGGCGGGCACCACCATGCCCAGGTAACTTTGTATTTTTTTTTGAGAGAGAGATGGGGTCTCACTATGTTGCCCAGGCTGGTCTTGAACTCCTGAGCTCAAGCAATCCAGCCACCCCACCCTCCCAAAGTGCTGAGATTACAAGCATGAGCCACTACACCTGGCCGAGACTATTTTTTGGACCAGTTTCAGGTTTACAAAAAAATTGAGCAGAAAGTTCAGAGAACCCCCACCTGTTTCCCTGTTAATTAACATCTTGCATTAGTATATTTGTTACTATTGATAAGCCAATATTGATACCTTAACTAAAGCACACAATCTACATTAGGGTTCATGCTTTGTAAAATTTTATGGGTTTTAACAAATGTGTAACATCACACATCTACCATTACAGTATCAATAGAGAATAATTTCACTGCCCTAAATATCTCAAGCTCCACCTATTTATCCCTTCTCTCCCACCCACCCCCACCACTGGAACTCTGATCCTTTTATTGCTTCCATTGTTTTGCCTTTTCCAGAATGTCATATAGTTGGAATCACACAGTGTATAGACTGGCTTTTTTCACTTAGTAATATGCATTCAATATTCCTCCTTGTCTTCTTATAGTTTGATAGTTCATTTTTTGAGGTTGAATATTCCATTTTATGGATGTACAACAGTTTGCTTAATTATTTACCCATTGAAGGACATCTTGGTTGTTTCCAGTTTGGGGCAATTATGAATATAACTGTTATAAACACTTGTGTGCAGGTTTTTGTGTGGACATAAGTTTTCCATTCATTTGGGTAAATTCCTATGAACTTGATTGCTGAATCATATGGAAAGAGCATGCTGGCTTTGTAAGAAACTGTTAAACTGTCTTCCAAAGTGGCTGGCAATGAATGACAGTATCTGTTGCTCCACACCCTTGCCAGCATTTGGTGTTATTTAGTGTTTTGGATTTTAGCCATTCTAGTAAGTGGCATTTTATTGTTGTTTTAATTTACAATGCCCTTATGACATAGTCCCTTAAGCATCTTTACATATGCTTATTTGCCATCTGTATATCTTGTAAGGTGTCTGTTCAGATCCTTTGCCCACTTTTTAATTGGGTTTATTTTTGAGTTTAAAGAGTTCTTTTGCATATTTGGGATACAAATCTTGTATAAGATATATATATTTTGCAAATATTTTTCTCAGTCTGTGGCTTGGCTTTTTAGCTTTGTATTCTCTTAACAGTGTCTTTGTGGCTTGGCTTTTTAGCTTTTTATTCTCTTAACAGTGTCTTTTGTGGAGCATAAGTAAGTTTTAACTTTAATGACGTCCAACATCCAATTTTTCTTCCATGAATTGTGATTTTGGTGCTGTATCTAAAAACTCACTGCCAAACCCACGATCACTTAGATTTTCTCTTATTTTCTAGAAGTTTTATAGTTTTGTGTTTTATTTTTATGTCTATGATCAGCTTTGAATTAATTTTTGTGAAAGGTCAATATCTACACTTATCTCTTTGAATGTGGATGTTCCAGGACCATTTGTTAAAAAGACTATCTCCATTGAATTGTCTTTGTTCCTTTGTCGAAGATCAATGGACTACTTATGGGTCTATTTCTGGGCTCTCTATTCTGGTCCACTGATCTGTTTATTCTTTCGCCGATACCACAACGTCTTAACTACTGGAGTGGAGCTTTATAGTAAGACTTGAAATTGAGTAGTGTTAGTCCTGACTTTGTTTTTCAATGTGTTGGCTCTTCTGGTCTTTTGCCTGTCTATATAAATTTTAGAATCAGCTTGTCAATATCCACAAAATAACTTGCTGAGATTTTAAATGGAATTACATTGAACCTATAGATCAATTTGGGAAGAGCGGACATATTGATAATATTGAGTTTTCCTATCCATGAACATGGGCTATTTCTCCATTTATTTAGTTTTTTTATTTCTTTCATCAGCTGTAGTTTCCATCACACAGATCTCATACAAATTTCATTAGATTTATACCTAAGTATTTCATTTTTGGGAGTGCCAATATAGATATTGTGTTTTAAATTTCAAATTCCACTTGTCCATTGCTGCTATATAGGAAAGTGATTGACTTTTCTATATTAACCTTGTTTCTTGTAACCTTGCTATAACTGCTTATAGTCTAGGAGTTATTTTGTCAAATTTTTTGGACTTTCTACATAGATAATTATGTCATCTGTGAACAAAAAAGCATCTGTACACTTTTTATTCCCTTTCTTCTCTTACTCTATTAGTTAAGACTAATGTAAATAATGTTGTGTTTTAAATTTCAATTTCCAATTGTTCATTTTTGGTATACAGGAAAGCAGCCTACTCTGTCTTCTTGGTTAGCCTGGTTAAAATTTCATCAAATTTATTGACCTTTTTTTTTTTTTGAAGTCCCAGCTTTTGGTGTTGTTGATTTTCTCCACTGTTCTCCCATTTTCAATTTCACTGGTTTCTGATCTAATTTTCTTTAAACATTTTGTAGTGAGGGGGTTACTTCTCTTTTTAAAAATTTTTAAAATAAGTTTTAAATTGATACATAAGTGTCCATATTTATGGGGTACAGTATGTTTCAATACATATATAATTACTTTCAAACATAAGAAAAAGTAATGTGAAAACTAAAGTACACATATTTATTTTAAAACATTTGTCATATTTGCTAATAAATTGATAAGGAACAAAGAACGCCTGAATCTACTTAAAAGAACCTTAATCTCAAATGAAGTAAAATATATAAACAATCAGCAAAATTCTTATTAACTTGTAGAAATGTAATTTATTTCATGCAAAGCTACATTCTTTCCTATATTTTAACAGCTAATCAAATAAACATTTCAAAAAATTCATTACATCACAATAAGTTAAAATACTACAAAGGAACTGCAAGTCAATCAATTTATCAAAACCAAACTGAGCGAACACTATGCATAGATAAGGCCAAAGTTACTAATTTGCTTATAGGTAGCACTTTGCAGCTTTTTCCAAGTACATATTTGAAAATGTAGTGAGAATCTACAGAGAAAAAAAATAGTTTAATCTACAACCCAATGATCAGATAGTAAAACATTTGTCATTACATATCAGGTGGCAATGGCTAACTAAAGATAAACTTGGCATCATGCACCAAAAATGACCACAGTAACATTTTGAAAAATTATGATCATATGCACATTTGAAAAGATTAATTTTCTATTTCACCTAATCAACTGAATTGGATAAAGGCAAAATAACAAGTATTTTATTAATGCAATGCAGAAATTAGGTTTTTGGTATATTAATAATTTGCTTGTGTATTGGTATATATAAAAATCACTGACGGGATCTAGGAGTATTTCAAGCTCACACTGGACTACTGAACTTTAGAATACTGTCCTAAGGAAATAGGTCTGGGCAGAACTTATTTGAGATAGATTTTAAAACTATTTAAAAGCAATACTACAATTAGTTACTTACAAAAACATTTATAAAAATTAAATATCAGAAAGTGAGAACATCAATATTAGAGCTCTGTTGTATCATTCAATGTTATAATTTATAAATACATATTAATTTAAAACACAGGTCCACATATTTTCTACCTTCTAAAATAAGAAAAATCCTTCGAGTTGTTTTCAAAATATGAACAAAAACAAATCCATTGGATTGCTTTTAAAAAATATATACACAGTCTCTCCCCTACAACTTGGTATGCTAAGTACGGAAGATGCTTGCCAGCATTGTTGAGAAATGCAGTTCCAAATTAGTAGGCTAATAACATTTATGTCAATATCAACTCTAAATGGTGTTGTACAGTCAGTTTAAATAAATTATGATTTTACCCTACATATGTCTGCAATAGTAAATCATTCTTTCTACTCTTTTGAACTAAGTACAGTAAAATTCTTTCACAAAATAATCTGAGATCAAGATAACCAAAAAAGGAAATATTTTCAGTGAAAAAAAGTTAATTTTTCCCAAGGAGTGTGTAAAAAATAAATGTCTTTTAGGATATTGATGAGAAGAGGAACATGCCAATATCCTTGCTTTATTAACAGATTTAAAATTTACAGTGAGTCCTCAATTGACCTCAATGGACCAATGGCTTGGTACAGAAGGAATCAGAGGCGAGGACATGTTCCTGCTGCAGTGGGAAGTAAGACAGAGCAGGACTACGGCCTGCCCTACTGGAGGAAATTGCTCCTAGGGCCTTGTCTCCAGGAGTTGGGAAAGGGGAAAGAAAACATTGCCCAGTCTTCCAAGTCTCTGGGCAAAAAGTCACTGAGTTGGAAAGAAGTACCTCATACAGATGGGAATTCATATTTTAGAAGGCCTTCTGTAACCTTCTTATATTGTTTCAACGCTCCTAAGAAAAGTTTTGATGATGTATGTTATTAATTCCTTTTCATAAAAAGATGTCTCAAGAATCTAAATAAATCTTAAATTTTGGGGGGGAAATCTATTTTTATGTAAAAATATTACACTGAAAACAATTTATTTACTGATGTGTCCTCTTTAGTGACCTAAAAGATACACTGAGCCAGCATACTTTACATTTGTATTCAGATGTTGCTTAGTTGTCTAGCAAAATCTGTTTGACTACTTTAGGTACAATATTGCTATTTCAAGTAGTGGGATTTGTAGTCAGAACTAGTTCCTTCTGAGCGTACCACTCATCAAAAACAACTCTGTACACAAAACAGAAGGAAAATCTTTCAGCACATTAAAAGTCATGCTATAAACATAGGCCTCAGAAAGGAAGAAAGGTATAAAGGAATGAGAGAGGACATAAGAAAAGAAAGACAAAACCCTAAATCCACTTACTTCTTAACATTTAGAATTCAATACAATCCATTACATTTGATGATTCAAGTACGCTAAGATTTTTCAGGGACATATTTTGTCGCTTAGTGCAAATATACTTGTAATTTTTAGGCATAATCCACTCAAATCACAAGTAAGAAACTCACCTTACTAAACAGGTGAATTATAATATGGAGAGTTTATTTTTTCTCTAATATGGTAATCAGCACACCAGCAAGAACATTCCCTAAACCTATTAATAAGAATGAGGTTTGTAACTGAATGTAAATTAAATTGCTCCATTAATATGCTAAAATATACTTTTAAAAAACCACACACATTGACTTTCCTATGCTAATTTAATTTGGGCATACATGCAGCTTAAATTTCAGAACTGATCATCTAATCAAATAGTAGTCCAAAAAAATCAACTGGCAGAATGTTTTTTTGAATGTCTGGATTGTCAAATTTTCTGATCTATTCTTTATAAAGGGAAAACCCTTGAATCTTTTGATTTAGTTCTTACCATTTCTGTGAAATGAGGGCCTCTTATGCAATGAGATTATTCAAAAGCCCTTGTATTCATTTGGTAAGAGAGCAAATTTTAATAATTAAACTTATTCTTTCTTTTGTTTTTTACAAAAATGCTCTATTGATAACAAGTTATTTATGTTGTAAAAGAAGTTAATTAGTAATTTAGAGGTGATTCATTAAATTAATAGATTATTATTATTTTCTACAATAGTTATTCTGAATTACTGGCTTACTGAATATTCTTACCTAACAACTATTTAAAGAATAATTTGGAAAATTTTAAACTAATACTTATTATCAAGTAATAAAGTCATCAAAAATTACCAGAAATAATTCTTTAAGAAATGTACTTTGCATGTAAAGTATATGTATTTAGTAGTCCTATTTTGCAGTAGATGTCATTATATTTCAATAAGCTTCTCAAAAGAGAAAACTTCTACCCATTACAGTTTTTTACACAGGGTGGCTTGACAAATATTAACTTGGTTCCCCAGCAATAAACTGAGTCTTCCAGGGTCAAGTCATTGCCTTCTGAACTCAAATTTATCCAACAAAATAACATTTTTATATGATTGTATATAACATTCTGTAAGACAAATTCTGCTTAAAGTTGAATATTCTGAATCACTGAAACAACCAAATATTTTAAATATAACTTGAAAGTCATAAAGGAATCTATACCGGTTGTGAAGTGTATGCACGTATACACTTCAATTATTATAACCATAAAAAATTTAATACTAAAGGAAAGTGGTAACATTACCTTACACGTTCCTACCAATTTATCTTAGGGCATTATAAAAGTTAGTTATAAAAGTAATTGGCTAATTTCTTTTCCTTTTCTGCTTCTGTTTCAACAACAGCATCTTAATTTCATGACAAAACCTGATGAGAAACATTATACTTAAGAAATTATTCCAAAGTAAACCCAAAGACTAAATAAAACAACACTACTTTCACAGGACTTTTGATGAATTAGTCCAAAAGCGTTTTTGCTTTAAGTACTTGTAAACTTTTCTGTAATAATAAGAAACTGGACCCATTTCTGGGATGATCATTTCCCCATCCAATACCTTCAAGTATCACTAGGAAAAATAGCACAGTTATAAACTCCAGTACATAAACACCAATTCAACTTCCTCACAATGGCTTTGTAAGGTAGATCAGCAGGTAAATAGCAAGTATCATCTTCATTCTGCAAATGAAAGTGCAGAATGAAGCACTTGAGGCACTGAAGAGCTACATGATTTGCCAAAGGTATTCAATTAGTCAATCATTAAATTACAAAGAGGATCAAATTATCTCTGCTCCTGGCTTATTGCTTTCTGGCCACACTTCACATGAAAAGACTGTATGTGTGTGTTCTTAAGTGTAGTCTATATGACCTTCAATTCAGAGTAAGTCTATCCACTGATAATTATTTTAAAAGGGATCTAATTGCAAAGATCATAAAAACTCAAAGATCAAAATTTTCAGATAATGAGGATGATGCTCTATTCCTTTCAATATCTGCATAGAGCTGTGTTTTAAAAAAAAACTTACATGATAATATTTATTAAAAATAAAAATAAAAATTTTAAATTTATGTCTTGGGGAAAGATTAACTTCAAGTTAGGGGAACCATATAATTCATCTTCAAACTGGGTGGGATACTTGAGGGTGAAAGTAATCACTAGTAATAAACAGGATACTAGGTGTTACACTGAGACTGTATTAGGCAAGCTGAAGTATGGTCACCAAATGTAGCATGGATTCAGTAAGAGTTGCAAATATTCTAGGGACATAAGAAAACTCTCTGCAAGCATGCTGCAATCAAACATGTTCACTTTTCAATAAAACACTAGTGCTTTAAAATATAATACATAAATTTATCTTAAACACAAAGGTTAAAAACAGTCTATTTAGTAAGAATGTTTAACCAACAAGTTATTACACATTTCCATTCTAATATAGTTTTGTTTTCTATAAACCACGATTTAAGTATCAGTAATAACAGTAAATGGATTCACTTTTTACCTTTGAATAACCAGTTTTTTTCTCAAAAAGTATAAGCAGGTACCTTTAAATACTGAAGGATTTTGTTGGACTCTTTGACTACTTAAAAAAAAACTATTTTTCATTAATGCCTAGGATTTATCCTTGAATATCATAATCAACATTTAAATCAATATGTTAAATGATAAATGTGAACATAGCTTTCTGAAATGAAAATCTTTTATAAAGCAATACCAGAAGCATAAAAAAATCCAGTTACTACAAAGACTGAAGGAATACTATATCACCTGATTATAGTACACATGCTAAATACACAGACACGCATCACTTGAAGTATAATCTTAATCTTATACATGCAAAAATCCCCCACGAGTTTGCAAACAGATTTGAAAAAGCACTTTTTACATTCAGTTATGTCTAGTAAGTAAGCCTTGTTTTAAGACACGAGTTTTATGAATACAGTTATTATTTGAGGTCTCCATTCACTTACATTTCTTTGGGAAATACAGGTTGAATATACTTTTTAGAAGTAACAAAAATGTAAGTCACAATAACAAAACTGTATATAATATTATTTAGTATGACTTATGGCTTCCTTGAATCTTTAAAATAACTCTCTTGAAAAAAAATTAATCTGAAACAAACTGAACTGCATGTTCTTAACATATGTTGATCTTTCTTAAAGTCCTTCCACTGTAACTGTATTTCTAAGGCAGATGCTTAGGAAATGATATGTAATAAATCTTGTTGAAAAAGGTGATACTCTATTCAATGCACATTAAACTATTATTCCTAAGATATAATTAATTCTCAGTGCCTTTTTTGTTATCTTGACACTTTTCACTGTGTATAGAGGAAATTCTAGGGTACACAGATGTTCATCAAGACTGAACTGATGTGTTGACCTTGGTTAGTGGTCCCACAAACTTTTTCAGACTTTAAACATCATTAAATATGTCACTGCGAGACATCGAGAGATATCGTCCACCAGGCTGATACCTAAAAAGGGAACATAAAGAAATGATCTGAGGCATCAAAAATAATAAAGGAAGAGAGGAAAACAAGAATACATTAAAAGGGAGTGGCCATATAATTTGTAAGTACTGTAAAATCTAGTCAGTAGCTGAAAGCAGAAACTTACCCTCCAAGTATATTATCCAAAAGGACTTAATTATAAATCAACCAGCAACGGTTTTAGACCCTAGAATATATGCATGACAGAGTGAGAGATGTAAAAAGAAGGGGGCAGGGGATGTAAGACACATCTGGGAGATTAATCAATTCAATAACCACTCTCAATTGTTGCAAATAAATATAACCTAGGTTTTTACTGCATATAGGCAATACTATAGTAAACATTTTCGTGCACATGATATTTTGCTTTTATTTAATTATGTGCTTATAGCATAATGGCTAAAAGTACAGACTCTGTAGCCAGAATACTGGACTTTGAATGCCTGACTTGCCATTTACAAGTTGTGTGACTCTGGGCACTTTACTGAGCCTCTCTGGATTTAAATCCAGCTGAATTTGCAACCATACAATTACAATATTTTTGCTAAAGGACTTAGAATAGTGTCTGGCATCTAGACACTGCTATGCAGCAGTTACTAAATATAATAAATTTCACAAATGGGACAATCAGAAATAGGCATATAAATATTGTTGTGATCCTTTGCTATATATTTCAATTATTCTTTCTTATTTATAATACCACTAGTATTGTATGAAGATAACAATTTTAGTTACCATTACTGGATGATATAAAAGCATTAGAAAGTCTAAAAAGGTATCAAAAGTTACTTAATATATTTTTTATTGTTAGTGAAAATGAACATTTTCCTTTACTTATCACTTGTTTACTTTCACCTTTACTTACTTATTTTCAATCTTGTCAAGTCAATGTGTTATTAAAAGTGTAGAGGAATGCTAGAGCTAAAATGTCACAGCCAGAACTTACCTTCCTGATTCAGATTCAAGAGGATCATCAGTGAATGTTTCTGCATTAAAATCCAAAGGTTCTGCATCTTGGAGAAGTTCTATCCGGTCCCTTTCAGTCCTGTTATTAGCCCTGGTATATTTGAATGCAGCTGCAAAGGAAGGGGGAAAAATGTCTACTTCCCTACTGTCTTTTAACTTATGGGTCACAGTCTATGGAGGTACAGAAAGAAAAATCAAAATTCCAAGGAATCTGAAGACAAAGAACATAAGAAAAGATAACTACATGGTTCCTTAAAATCAGATTAAAATTATAAGCAGTATAATAGAATATAGCAAGGAAAAGTTCTCTAGGCTTGTAGTTAGCTAAGAAGCTCTCTAAGCTCAGAAGCAGACACAGTGCAAACATTTCATTAGTGTAACTCAGAATTAACATTTAACTATGGTATCACAATGGTGAAACTGTTTATTAACAAAAGTAGTTTGAGTTGGTTTTACAGTAAACCTCATTTCTTGGCTAGGACTTTAATGTGTAATCAGCTCAAACTCTTAAAAAAAGGTGTGTCTTTTTACCATAAGGCAAGAGTATGGGTAGCACTAGCCAACATCGGCACTAGCCGATATTTAATTAGAAATTTTCTAGTAGCTATATTAAAAAGTAAAAAGAAACAAGTGAAATTAATTTTAATATATTTAAACACAATATATCCAAAATATTACCATTTCAACATGTTGCAAGTGCTCAATAGCCACGTGTGGCTAATGATTATCATACCAGACAGCAGATAAAGAAAACTAACTCTCCCTTCTCTATGTGGATAGGGATTTCTATATAAACAAACCAAATTTTCACAATGTTGTTCAGAGGAGTCCAAGTAGATTTACAACAGCTTTATGCTATAGTTCTTTCTGAAAACTTAATGCAAGCCAATTCTATCATATTTACATTTTTGTAAGCTTGGACTCTGTCCCAAATGCAAATCTCTTCATCTTTTCTCTCACTCATTCAGCAAATCGCAATTGCCCAATACATGCTAGATTCTCTCTAATTCATCATCCTATGACTTTGTGACTCCTCTTCTTTTAAGCACTCTCCCGTCTTGCCAGGTCTTTCTATTCTGTAAACTTCTTCCACTCTATGGTAAGCAAGCATCCAAATCCCTTTACAGAATCCTATTTCCTAGTTTTAACTAAGCCTTTAGCCCTTTCCTATTTATTATACCCTAAAGTCCTTCAAATAAATCCTTTTCTCTTCATCTCCAGGACAACTGCCTTATTTTAGACCATAATCATTTCTTGACTGTATTACCAAACAGTCTCTGAAATGGTTTCTAGTCTCACTTCCCCAAGAATTATGCTTTATACTGCCATCAAATTCATCTTTCTAAACCAAAAATCTTATCATGCTTCTTCCCAGATTGAAATCTTACCTTTAGGTCAAAATCCCAACTTTTTTTTCTTTCGTTTTTTTTTTTTTTTTTTTTGATGGAGTCTTGCTCTGTTGCCCAGGCTGGAGTGCAGTGACATGATCTCGGCTCACTACAACCTCCTCCTCCTGAGTTCAAGTAATTCTCCCATTTCAGCCTCCTGAGTAGCTGGGATTACAGGTGCATACCACCATGCCCAGCTACTTTTTGTATTTTTAGTAGAGATGGCGTTTCACCATGTTGGCCAGGCTGGTCTCGAACTCCTAACCTTAGGTGATCCACCCACCTCAGCTTCACAGGCATAAGCCACCGCGCCTGGCCCCAAATCCAAACATTGGAGAATGACAATATCTGTTCCCCAACTACTCTGTGGCCTCCTCTCTTATTAGCCTCCCCATGCTTAGGCTTTAGTTAGAGAAAAACATGCATTTTCCCAAAGGTTCTCTCATGCCACAACGTCCTGCACTTAGTCTCCCTTCTAATTAAAATACCCTTCACCTGGCTAGGTACTATTCCTTCTTAAATACTCAGCTAAACATGTCCTTATTACAGAAATATTTCTTCATTATAAAAACTCTTTCCTAAGATAAGCCCTCTTTTTCAATCCCCAAGCTGAATTCCTTCTGCATCTGGTGTGCATCCTTCTATCAGAGCTGTCATGAGAAATCTACAATATCATACATAGTCTGTAATTAAAATATTTTTAACATTTCTATTTAGCTCTTTTGTATAGTTTCCATCTCTCTGGTGAAATTCCCCCCTATCTGTTCATGCACATTGTCCAACCTTTCCATCAGATCATTTAACATATCAATTGGTTATTTCAAAGTCACTGCACTGTCTGATAATTTCAACATTTGAGCCACCTCTGGGTCTGGTTATGTTCACTATTTTATGTTTTGAAAATGGCTCATATTATCTTACTTTCTTGTATATCTCATAATTTTGGGTTAAAAGCTAGACATTATGTGTAAAAGAAGGAAAAGATGGAGAGAAATCATAGTTTTATGCCCAGAATGGGCACACCTCTTCTATTAGATCATCATTGCTGATGGCTTGAATCACTCAACCTATAGTTGATCTGAGTTTGGATTTGGTTGTTGCTTTAGTTTCCTTAAGTCCCCAAAGACTTCACATTTCTCTAGTAATGAAATCCTATGACCTTGTACTTAGTAGGGCCTCAAGTGTCAGATGGTTTCTCTCAGTATTCTTTTTCCACTCTCAGATTTCAGTAGTCCCTGCATGGATATGGATATGCCACAGAGGGAGTCTTCTCCATGTTTCTATTCCTCCTCCAACAATTGACTACTATGGCTTGGTGCTCAGTGCAAAACTTGTAGCTGAGTGGGTGAGAGTGCTCAGTTTTTCTCCTCCATCCTCAGTCTTAAACCCTGTGTACTGAAGCCTCAGTGGTGGAGCTTTTCAGCAATCTTGCATCTCTCCCAAAAACAGCCTCTTCCTTCTACTCAGTTCAAGGTCCTAGGCAAAAACTGGTTTCTTGGCACCTCCTAAATAGCTTCTGCATCATGTCAGTGTGGGGTCAGTGATACAAAGTTTCCTAACCCACCCTGGTAGCAGATGGCTTCTGTCTGGTATCAGTCCCTCACTCAATTATGAGCATCCTGAGGACAAGAAATATACCTTCTTTGTATTGCTGTATACCTGGGAATATGCCTAACTTATATGGGTCAGTCAATAAATTATTATAAAAATGACCAAATAACCTACACCTACTAATAGGAAAGAAAAACATCAAGGTAAGTTGTAGAAATAAACACCTGCCTAGAACATACCTGGGATAAGTGCTTACATTATTTAGGGTTAGTATACTTAGAACTATTCATTTGATGCCCCAGTTTCTCCTTTCCCTACCACAGTACATATTTGAGCTTCCCCATCCTTCTATATACTGAGGAATGCAGAAAAAAAAGAAGTCACTGCAAATATACCATTTATAATTCTACAAAGGCATTTCTGGATGTGTGTATTCTAACACTCAATCTCTATGCAAGAAAGCATAAGAAAACAATTTCCAAGTGAACTAGAAGATAAACTACTTACAACGGTTGGTATTAACATCTGAGAAGTTTGACTCTTTGGGGTCAGTATGAATATTTCTGTTCCTAGTGGAATCTTCTCTATTGTGTCCATAACGTTCTTTCCATTCCTAGAAAAGAAGCACAAATAATCATATAATAGAACAGAAAATAATTCATTAATGTCAAGAGATTACATATGCAATATAATTTATTTTCATCAGAGATTCATTAGTAATCAATATAATTATCCTAGTATCTTTAAAAATCATAGGTCAATGTTTTTATTTTTACATGATTTATTGAAGTCACAGTCTCTATAAACTTCAACTTTTACAAATGACATAGAGATATTTTTGCTAACTTTGGTTGTTACTCATCTATCTAAATTGTAAAACAATATTACTACAAGCTTACTTTGACCATGTAAAAGTTAAGAGAACCCATAATGACTAACAGACGTTAACAAGATTTTCTTTCACTCAAATAAACTACAAATATTAGAGAGCCAAAAAGTCAACAGTTAAAGTTGTATACAAACATAATTAGCCTATGACTCACACGGCATTGTGTGTTATCTTAAATGCAGTCAAACCATATTAACTGGATTCTACTCATTAAATTCTTAGAATTGAAAGGGACATTAGAAGTCACCTAATGCAACTTTCCATGCAGTGCAGGGTCTCATTCTAAAACATCCTTGCCAGATGCTTTTTGGCTCTCTGACTAGATAGCATGTAATTTCCTATGTCCGAGAAGCCTATTGCAATTCTGGTAAATTGTGTAATTTAGAAATTCCCATAGAGAAGAGAAATCTATCTCTAGTAACTTCTACTCTTTGGTTCTAGTTCTGCATTCTAAAATAAAGAAGATACACATATATGAAGATACACAAAGACAACTATTAAGTTTCCTGTTAGTTTTTACTTTGCCAGTATATACACCCATTTGTTAAAAAAATGTGTGGTAATTATAATTAGATTTTACTCATTTTTTGCCTTTTCATTTTCTTCAGGAGGGTAGTTTGCCTCAGAAAATGGAGGCTTAAAGAAAAATTAAGGAGGAATAAAATTAATGTCACAGCACCAAAAAAAGAGAAACAATTTTAAAGCAATCAAAACCACTTTAATAGCAAGAATACACAAATTTATGTATTTATTCATTCGACAAATATTCATGGAGCACCTACTTTAGCAAGAAGCTGCTCGATGCTAAACACAAAGAAATTTATTACTAATGACTTTTAGAACAGGTCTGTCAGGATACTTAGCGTATATACCTGAAAGTATTAAAATTCCCTTTCTTTAAAAATATATCTTATAACATTTTTCCACTGTTTTTTTCTGTCTTTAGCTAATTATTCCAAATTAGTAAGATTCTTAAGAAATTAAATTTCAAATTAATCTTCAGATTACAGAAATTAATACTGTACTTACTCTTCTTCGATTTTCACCTTCTTCTTGCCTTTGCCTTTTTCTCTTCTCTAAAGACAGAAAAATGATCTCAAATATGGCATAACATGGTTTAATCAGACATAGTGCAACTGAAGTAAAGATAGCGGGCAATGACCAGTATTTCTTTTAAATTATCACAAAATCAAATGTTATAGGTTATTGCTGGAAGGAATTTGAGAGGTTACCTTACTCAGTAGTGAATGCCTTCTCTATTTTTGTTGCAGATGGCCCTGTAGTCTCCGCTTAAATAACTTTAGGGAAGAAAGATTTCTTTCTCACAATGACCTGAAATTTGTTTCTCTGTAAATTCTATTCTTTTATTCCTGTCTTCTAAGTTAAGTTCATACTTCTTTTCTTTCTGTATGAGTCGCTTTCCTTGTTACTCTCTTTAGGTTACAGACAAGATGTTTTCACTTTTTTTCCCCCAGGATATGCCCTACAGACTCACAATTCTAGCTGTCCTTCTCTAAATACCTTCTAATTTATCAGTCTTATTCTTAAAAATCTTACCCAGGACTGGATGTGCTATGCCATATGAGGTCTAATAGGAGAGCACGTGAAGGCTACACTGGCTTATTTTGGAGCTGCAATACATTTTGTCTTACATTCAACTCATAATTACACAAAAGCCCCAGACTCAAGTAGGGAGAATGTCTAAGAACCAATGTCCCAAAAGTCAAGTTTTTTTCCCTCCATGCTATCATCACTTTGAACATCAGTAAATTTAATACACTCAGTTTTGTGATTTGATTCTACTAGAGTACCATGTATTCTAACAGGCTGTTAATGATCACGTTCTAAAAAAGTAGCCTTTGTTTGAATGATTTCCCATGCAGTATCAAACCGATGATTCTTTAAATTAATGAGTTTTATAGTTGTACAGAGCTTCGCAAATATGTTTCAAGGTAAACATGAAAATGATTCCAAGACCATACAAGGGTGTTATCTCGCTGCAGACATACTAATAATTTAAGCTTCAGAATTTCTTAAAGACCGATAAAACAATTATTCATGTTTTCAAATTATTTTTGCTAGAAAGGCCATTGTACATTTTTAGCTAAAAATGTGCATTAATTCATAATTTCTTAGAATAGATTAAAAAATATTCACAAACTACACAAATATTAATTTTGTATTTTGAGTCTTAGCACTTAGTATTTTCCCTTCATTTATTTTAAAAGACAAATCTTACCTTTTCTGATTAATTCTTTTCCTTCATTAACTAAGTCTGATGTCATATCATCATCTCCCATAAACTGCTGGAAACCGAGCAGATTCAAACAACGGGTTCCCAAACTAATAAAAGCAGATTTTTTAAAAAGACAAACATTATTTCACATTGTAAATATTTAGATGAATTGTTCTTTAGCATTGTCACTCCAAAAGAAGACTATGCTTCATTATCTGTTATCATATAGTTATCTACTGTCACATCTGACATGCTTCAGGAAGTACCACTTATCTCCCTTTCTAAGAAGTGTATGCCCTGTACTTCACTGATTAGGGTATGCACTATATTCAGGTTTCTTATAGATGTCAGTTAAGTCAAGTTATCAGCATACCTTCAGAAAACAATTATACCAAGATGCTAAAATGATAACTGTAATAATGTAAGAGCAATTTTTTTCCTCTGATCTAGTTAACTATTTAAATAGCTTTTATACACTACAAATTGATTACTATATCTTATCTGAAGACTACTACCTTATATCTTATTTGCTATTTACTTTAAATTTGATTGTTGTACAAGACAAGAATACTGAAAATATGGAACACAAGGAAGGAAATGATAGGTGAATAAGCAGGATTAATATTTCTTAAGATCCAACTATACATCAGATAATTTACAGATGCCTTCTTATTTAATTTTAACTATCACTCTAAGAGATAAATATCACTTTACAGATAAGAAAACAGGCCTAAGGGGTTAAATACTTTGCTAAAGATCCCTTAATAAATGACAGACCTAGAATTTAAATCCCAGAGAAAATAAAAACCAAGCAGCTCTTTTTATTATATTAGTTCTCAAACTTTTTCAATGATGTACTTCTACACAGAGAGGGAGGAAGAGGAGGAGAAAGTGGTGAAGGAGAGAGAGAGAGAGAGAGACGAAGGGAAAACAGGAAAGCAATTTAGAAAAAGTGAAGATCTCCATTCCATTTTGCAGTAAAAATGTGTAAATATCTAGCTAATCCATAATATATCTACTTGTTTCATTCATATAAAAATGTTTTTTATGCATTACCATTGGGTAAAATTGGGGTTTTGTAGATGATCATGTTAATTCTCTGACTTCAAACATTTCCTTACCATCTTCATATCCTTATGGGAGTACTATACTCCGGGATGAGAAGCTCAGAATTAGATCACTGTCTCTGGGAAAGTTTTCTCTTTGTCTGAAGTATCAGGAAACAACTTATGCTCTCTAGGCAGGTAGGTCTGAATATTAACTCTGGGTGTGGCTGTGTTGCTAATAGTGTGGGAATTAGACTAATTATGGCAGCATTTCAAATGAAAATGAACTTATCAAGTTAACCTATCATTGAAATGTCAGTAAGGCATTGCTTCAGGTGTTTCTATAACAGAAGATCTATTTTGTGAGTTAATCCGAAAATTAAGGAATACAACCTTTTTTTTCCCTTAAAGATAAAATGGCACTCAAAGTTTATCCTGATTAACTCTAGAAAGACACTTTTAATGATTATCTTAACAATTTTGCTTTCGGACATAGTGATTCCTTATAGCTAAGATTTTATAGTTGACAGAGCACTATTCTGCCCCATATCACTTGATCTATATAACCATCTAATAAGGTAAGAAGAAATGCTAATCTTGCCAGCATAACTGTAACATTAAAAAAATTTATACAAGTTCTTAATGTTCCACTTTATTAACTTTTCAAATGATTAAGCACATAATAAAAACATAGTTTTAGGCACACAAAGTATGACTAGTCTCTTCTTTTAATACATCATTTTCACACTGTAGATCTGTTACTGTCTCCACCTAAAGAAAACACTAAAAATATCAGATTTGCTATCAGTTCATATTAAAAGTATTATTTTAAGGGAGGAGAACACCCCTCATATTGTCTTATGCCCTATTTCTGCCTCCAAAGAAAGAAGTAAAAACTAAAAGGCAGAAATGGAATCCACAGGCAGATAACCCAGCACCGCGCCCTGGGCCTGGTAGTTAAAAATCAACCCCTGACCTAACTGCTTGTGTTATCTATAAATTTCAGACATTGTATGGAAAAGCATCGTGAAAATCCCTGTCCTGTTCTGTTCCGATCTAATTACCGGTGCATACAGCCCCCAGTCACGTACCCCCTGCTTGCTCAATCTATCAAGACCCTCTCACGAGGACCCCCTTAGAGTTGTAAGCCCTTAAAAGGGACAGGAATTGCTCACTCGGGGATCTCGGTTTTTGGACATGTGAGTCCGCTGATGCTCCCAGCTGAATAAAGCCCTTTCCTTCTACAACTCGGTGTCTGAGGGGTTCTTGTCTGCGGCTCATCCTGCTACAATTTGAAGTTATAATCTTTTAGTTATTTTACTTATAAGAAAGTAAAATATATTTTCAAAAATTCAATAGAAAATGTATTTTAAACAATATCTGTTTACTCATTACTGTAATGTTAGTAGATATTATCTGTAACAACTATAAAATGGTATTGGAAGATTTAAATAAAGTGGGTAGATAAAATTTATTTTTCTCAGAAGAGTAAGCAATGAACATTTTTAAGTATTTTTGAAAAAGTGGTATTTTGGGTATGTTATGGAGCACTTCAGCAATGAAAGAGGGCAGAGTACAGGATGAGGAGGCCTGACATGTAAAAAGAAGGAAAGACAGATGCGAGAAGCCAAGTACACCTATCCTTTAATCCCTTTTGAATCTCACTCCTGCCTAGATTCTACCATTCATTCTAATTCCATGAAAACAGCATGCCATGTACTTTATGACACAGGAGAAAATTTCTCCTCTAATCTTAATGTACAGCTTGATTACAATCGGTCCTCACCTGACCCTTTGTGCTGGCCATGGTCTGAAGCATTTAGACACCCAGCAATAATTATTGGAAAGCTCTAAGGCTAATTTATGTCATTAGAAAAAAGCTGGACATAAGGGTGTTTTGCAGGCTACGATAGCTGTCAGTGTCAAAGGCCAGGACTTAGAGTTAACATTCTGTAATTAATCCTATCATTTTTTAGCCTAAATAGAATAATGTTAAAATAGTATTATTTATTATAATAGAATAATAACTCTACCTCTTTTTTCTTTAAATTTTTTAGAGGGAGACTCGCACCTGATCACTCAAGTAGTCCCTTCAAACTATCCCCAGCTTCTCCAAAGCTACAATGAAACAAACTGAAACTCAATCAGTAAATATTTAAAAGAGCTTTAAAGAGAAAGGATATCCAGATTTAAGAGCAAAAGAAAAAACAATGTTAAGTTTCTTACCTAAAATAAGTAGCAATGCAGAGAATTACCACCAACATAGGATAATATATATAGAATCCATCTGCAATAAAGGATAAAACTTTCATGGAACCCATAATCTGAAGAGCAAGAAAAAAGTAAGTTAAATTGGAATAGCTCTATAATTTCCATTCCTTTCCATCATTAGAAAATTTGCCTATAACCAGTTATATCAATCCATTTGAACTTTTTAAAAAGTAGAAAAAAAGCAGTAAATGGACTTATTTTTTAAAATCTGCTTTTTATTGAGGTTTTCTCTTAAAGAAAATTAATATAATTATTACTCAAAATTATCACATACATTGACTACAAATATAAAGTTAATATTAGTATAGGTCAGTTCTTTTGATACTGGTCAGCTAGACAACATATATGAACCAAAAAAAACATTTTTATCATAAAAGAAGGAAAATCACTTTTATCTAGTCAATAGTAATACGTATACAATCTTTAAGAGAAAATTTTACCAATAACACTATAGAACTTTTCTGCTGGCATTAAAAGAAATTTCACAATAACAGCACCTCATATAGATAGTGAACCTAAGGAATTCTATTTTCTGACCGTACTTACAGATGTATAAGCAGTTGGTTGAGTATTCTTGTGAGAGATAGATGAATCCATATGGGTCAAACCCAAGAAATTAAGACATAAAGGAGGTGTCAAACGGCAAAATAGCCTGCAACAAACATTTAAAAATATGTATATAAAAAGTAAAGCAGCAAAATACATTTTATAGTATACTGAGATGTATTAAAAACATTTCAGATAATTATAGCTAAAATTTTCATCTATTTGCTTTATATATATATTGAATTCTTAATGTGACCTGCCCTCACTTACTTGGGAGATATTCTGAAAATTGCCACATCAATGCCTACGTGACTACAGCCTCAAGCTCCTTGCTTTTATGGTTTCTGCCATTGCTTTATCCCCACAAGTTGTGGAGTGCCTTTGTATCATCTCCTACAACTAAGCCATCCGTAAAATCCATCTCACAGCATGACAAGGACAGTAACATCCTCAAGGTGAATTGTATTCAGTACATAAAAGAACTGAAGTTGTATCAACATATGTCATTCTGACAAGCACAGATATAAAGTTGTTCAATTCTGTCCAAATAAAAAGAATGCCTTACAAACCCACACACTTGGATAATTGGGGCTGGGGAGAATAAAGTGTGGGTATGAATTAAAAAAAAATAATATGAGATAATTCTTTTGTGGTGATAGAACTGTTCTGAATCCTGATTGTGTTGGTGGCTACAGGAATCTACACACACACACACACACACGAATGAAGGATAAAAAATGGTGAGAACTAAATAAAGTCTGTAGTTTGTAGTTAATAGTAATGTTTTACTCTCATTTCCTGGTTTTGATATCACTGGGGGTAGCGTGAAGGTTACATAGGACTTTTTGTGCTACATTTGCAACTTCCCATGAGTCCATAATTATTTGGAAAACAACAAAAAAGATGCTTAAAAATACTTTGGATGTCAACTCCTCTATAAAATTATCTAAGTTCATCCTTTATAAATACCTAATAGGACTCATTTAACAATAAGAACAGGTAATAGATTGTACAATCTTGCCCAACTTGAAGACATCTCTCTAAATCCTCTCTGAATTCCTCAGGAAAAATTGTTCTTGTTGGTTTTCTCAGTCCTCCTCAACTCAGTGAGAGACCGCTGAATCTTAGAACACCATCTAGGTCTGACTTAGTCTCTAAACTGTCCATTGTTTCTACTGCTTGCTAATCTCTGGTTGGTAAATCCGGGCTCACTAAGTATGCTTCTTCTGCCTTCTAGCCTAACCTAGCACACCTATTTTAACCTTAAACCTCAAGCAGGAAGTAGCTGGCAATCAACAAACATCAATTTAATATTTGAAACTAATCAATTAGCTGATAGAAATATAGATGTTAGTGGAACACCTGTAAACAACAAAAAATAAAAGATCCATAAGAATACACTCAATGATGACATTTCTCTTGTTTCTAAACATAATCCTACTTACATGCCACTGAAAAGAAGGCTATAAGCATCAGTCTGGTGATGTGAGGCCAAATAATAATAGTTAAATACACGAATCCTGAACACAGTAGAATAAACACAGATACTTAGGAAGAAGATGGAAAGGAAGCAGGCAATCTGGAAAAAAACAAAAACAAAGCAGTTTGTTTAAAACAAACAGACTTTAGCACTTAACAATTACAGGCATTATCCTTCATTTCTTTTTCTTTTGTTTTTTTGAGATGGAGTCTCGCCCTGTCACCCAGGCTGGAGTGCAGTGGCGCGATCTTGGCTCACTGCAACCTCCACCTCCTGGGTTCAAGTGATTCTCCTGCCTCAGCCAACTGAGTAGCTGGGATTACAGGCATGTGCCACCACGCCCGGCTAATTTTTGTATTTTTAGTAAGATGGGGTTTCACCATGTTTGCCAGGCTGGTCTCAAACTCCTGATCTCATGATCCATTCGCCTTCGCCTCCCAAAGAGCTGGGATTACAGGTGTGAGCCACCACGCCCAGCCTGGCCTTCATTTCTAGCTAACATTTATTGATGCTCTAAAATTGAAATACAGTAATAGAGAATTTTTTAATCACCCACTAAGATTATGAAAAAAACCCAACACTTCAAACTGTTTAACATCCTAGATCCAAAAGTTTCGAATCTACCTTCTAATGTGAGCCTGTTTTCCCATTCCCTTGGCAACTCTTCACATGAGGCCTATAAGTTATGTAGCTTTACTGGCATAAATATAATCAAAGTATTCCCAGGGCCAAGTGTGATGGATCCTCCTGAAGCAGGACGATCACTTGAGTGCAAGAGTTCCAGACCAGCCTGGGCAACATGGCAAAATCCTGACTCTACAAAAAATACAAAAATTAGCAGGGGATGGTGGTGCATGGCTGTAGGCCCAGCTACTTGGGAGGCTAAGGTGAAGGTGAGAGGATTTCTTGAGCCCGGGAAGTTGAGGCTGCAGTGAGCCATGTTCATGCCACCACACTCCAGCCTGGGTGACAGAGCAAGATTCTGCCTCCAAAAAAAACAGAAAGAAAAAAAAAATCTCAGATTTCTGCACTATCTTGCAACTTTTCATCTCTCCTCAAATACAGTTATTAATTTCTATAGTGTGGGTAAAATAATGAAGCACATTTCTGGAAGTTTGAATAACAACACTGCAGAAAACCTCACTGCTTTCATTTTTACTAGAAGAAATACATGGAGAAAATAGTTAAGGATTATACTATGAAGTGACATCTATTTATGACAGACATAAAATAAACTGACCTCGATATAAATATAATTATATGTTTTTTCTGCCAGCTGTATGAAGACCGCAAAGAGGGATAAGACAGGAGTAGTGCTAAAGAATGTGCACTCTGACCACACAACAATCACAGAGAAGATGGACAGAACCACAGCAAGTATCTTGTAAAACCATGGTCGCAAAAGACATTCCCAGTACCATTCTAGAAGACAAAAGAAAAAAATGATTAGGAAAACTACAAAAGAGTAATGGGATATTTACATTGTTTCAAAATAGCTCCTAATAAGATACTTAATTACAAAGAGAAAAACAGCAATTTTACAGTGGAGAATCCAGGCAGATACGAACCTAACCAAATGACACCCATGATGGGACAAACTGACATCATGTGCCTCCTGCTATGATGTACTGATAGGAATGTGACATTGCTGCTGTGGTAGTCCTGTGAAAAATGCAGAACTTGCGTCTAATTTTAAAGAAACATCAAAGTCAAATTCAGGGACATTCAACAAAAAACTGGCCTATACTCCCCAAAACATTTCTGATATATCATAAAACACAAAGACTGAGAAACTGTGTCAGATTAGAGGAAACTAAGGAGACACAACAACTGAATGCGATGCATGATCTGGGATTTTTTACAAAAAATATTATTGGGATAATTATAGCAAAATCTGAATAAGGTCTGTAAATAATGGTAGAGTATAAATATTAATTTTTTTATTTTGATGGCTGTATTTGGCTATGTAAGAAAATATCTTTATTTTTAGAAAATATACACGGAAACATTTAGGAACAAGGAGGCATCATGTCTGGATACAACTCTAAAATAGTAATAAAAAAATACATACAGAAAAAGCAAATCAATATGGCAAAATATTAACATTGGAGAGCCTGGTTGAAGGGTATATGGGAATATTTTGTACTGTTTTGGTTTTTTGTTTTTTTTTTTTTGAGATGGAGTCTCGCTCTGTCGCCCAGGCTGGAGTGCAGTGGCATGATCTCGGCTCACTGCAACCTCTGCCTCCGGGGTTTAAGTGATTCTCCTGCCTCAGCCTCCCAAGTAACTGGAATTACAGGCGTGTGCCACCACTCCCATCTAATTTTCTGTATTTTTATTAGACACGTGCCACCATGCCCAGCTAATTTTTTGTATTTTTAGTAGAGACAGGGTTTCACCGTGTTAGCCAGGATGGTCTCAATCTCCTGACCCCATGATCCACCCACCTCGGCCTCACAAAGTGTTGGGGTTACAGGTGTGAGGCACCACTCCCAGCACTATTTTGGTTTTAAGTCTGAATTTAGGTATAAATAAAAATTTAAAAAAGAAAGCTCAATAAATTAAAAAGCTATATTTTTAGTTCATTTACTGAATAGTTAGCTTCTGGTTCACTGTAATTCTTTACAACTTTCCTCTCATAATTCCTAGTGATTTCAATATCCACATAAATGATTCCCCTTTCAATACCCTTATCTCTCATTTCTTTGACCTCCTCTCCTCTAATGAACTTTCCCTCCACCCTACCTCAATTACTTGTTGCTATAGTGATGCCTAAACCTTTTATTATCAATATCTCCAGCCCTTCCATATAATCACATTCCAGCATCCTTGTCTTCAAACAATACCTTCATCTAGTACAGTATTTCAACTCCACTAACTGACCATACCTGGATGAAAAATCAATTTATTCTATCACATTTTACCGTTATTTAACACTTTGATACCCTTCCTTCCTCATGCAGCTCAGATTCCAGTCTTTGAGGACAGTATCCCACTTACTTTGCCCCATTTTGCTCCACTGTACCTGCTAAGCTAAATCACACCTGTTTAAATCCAACTCGCTGGCTACTCTCAGCCTGCATCCACACAGCTGCACATTGCAGGAGAAAGACACCCCACCTTGTTGACTGGCCTCACTTTAAATTCTTAATCACTAGCTTCAAGTGGGTCCTCAGTACTGCCTCACTAGCCTACTATAATTCCCCAATCTTCTCCCATGCCACTCTCCTAGGCAACTATTTTGCACCTTCTCTTCCCTCCTCAAATCTCTAAAATCTCCTCTCCTATACTTACTCTCCACATTTCATTGAGAAAACAGAAGCGATCAGAGAATTTTCCCAAGTTTCTAACACTACACCTTCTCAGCTAGTTACATCTGTGCCTTACCTCCACCATTCTCTTCATTGTTCACTATTTCCCACCATCTCATCTCTACTAGTCATGAACATTGTCTTAGAAATTCTCTATTGTCTTATCAAATTCTATGAATTTTTTCTTTTCTTTCTCTTTCTTTCTTTCTCTCTTTCTTTCTTTTTGTCTTTCTTTTCTTTCATCTCTCTCTCTCTTTATTTCTTTTTTTTTTTTGACGGAGTCTCATTCTGTCCCCAGGCTGGAGTGTAGTGGTGCAATCTTGGCTCACTGCAACCTCTGCCTCCCGGGTTCAAGCGATTCTCCTGCCTCAGTCTCCCAAGTAGCTGGGACTACAGGTAGGCTGGAGTGCAGTGGCGCAATCTCGGCTCACTGCAACCTCCACCTCCTGGGTTCAAGTGATTCTCCTGCCTCAGCCTCCCGAGTAGCTGGGACTACAGGTAGGCTGGAGTGCAGTGGCACAATCTCGGCTCACTGCAACCTCCGCCTCCTGTTCAAGTGATTCTCCTGCCTCAGCCTCCCGAGTAGCTGGGACTACAGGCACGCACCACCACGCCCAGCTAATTTTTGTATTTTTAGTAGAGACGGGGTTTCACCATGTTGGCCAGGATGGTCTCAATCTCTTGACCTTGTGATCTGCCCGCCTCGGCCTCCCAAAGTGCTGGGATTACAGGTGTGAGCCACCGCGCCTGGCCTCAAATTCTATTATATCATTTACTAATTACATGTGATAATTTCTCTTGACTATGCCCCCAATCCTCTTTCAGCTACTACCCCTTTTCTCTGTTCCCTTTTATAAGGAAAACATTTTTAGAGTTTTCTAGTCTGTCTCCAATTGCTCCTCTTCTTATTTCTTTTAAATTACAGTCAGACTTTTTTATCCTCTCCCCTCACTTCTCTAAAATCCAATGGTCAGGTCTTAATATATATGATCCTTAATCTATGTGCAACATTTGAAAAGGTACTTTATATACTCTTTTCCTCAAAACACTTCATTGTCCTAATTTTCCTATCTCACTGGCCCCTCCTTTTCTAGTCTTTTCTGCTAGTTACTTCTCATCCACCTAATCTCTAAATTCTGGAGTGCCTCAGGCTTGGTCCTCAGACTTTTCTCTTTTCTCTATCTCAATTACTTCTTTATTGATTTTATCCTGACCCCATGGTTCCCTACACATTGATGGTACCCTAATTCATATCTGCAATTCAGACTCCTCCCTTGAATTTCAATTTCTATAATCAACTGCCTATTCAGAATCTTTATGCCTTTATATGTTTATTGTCTGTTTTTCTCACTCCACAAGGGCAGGAATTTCTGTCTTTTTAAACTGATATATACCAAGCTACCCAGCACCCAATAATACATAGCACTAATGTACCCAAATATTTGTTGAATGAATGAAAACAGATAACACATCATTCCTTCATTTAATTAGGAAGGATTTTTGTTAAAGGAGTTTTCTGAGATATTTGTTATAGCCATTAAGTCTTCATACTCAAAACCAAACATGCAAAGGAGAATCAAGTGAATATAACAATTTTTTTAAAATAAATAAGGTAAATAGAAGTTTTAATACTATGACACTTTGGTACTTGCTTTAAGTTTCTTCACACTAAATTTGACAATACTTGAAGGGATTGCCATAAATTAGCAAAAAGGAGAAAAATGATAACTACAAAGTATAGGTTTTATAATAAGACTAATAAATGTTAATAATCAAAGAGGACTACTTAAGCAAATATTTCAGTAGTATGTCAAGACTGAAGAAGAGACCCAAGCTTGTGATGTAAAATTACTTAAAATTCTAACTATTTTAAGTACAGTCATGTGTCACATAACAACATTCCAGTCAATGATGGACTGCATATACAATGGTGATCCCATAAAATTACAATACTGCATTTTTACTATTATCTTTTCTATGTTTATATACACAAAAACCACTGTGTTACAACTGCCTACACTATTCAGTACAGTAACATGCTGTATAGGTTTGTAGCCTAGGAGTAATAAGCCATACCATATTGCCTACCTGTACTATACCATCTAGGTTTAGTACATACCCTATGATGCTCATGCAGTGATGAAATTGCCTAACAATACATTTCTCAGAGTAATCCCAGTCATTAAGCAATGCATAATTGTATATATTATGCATTATAAAAAATATGCTTGATGTATACATGTTTTTTAATAGAATTTTTATTATTTGTGAAGTAACAGTGGAAACTGATGGATTATATGTTATATGATAAGTAAAACAGTTATTTTGGGGAAATGTTACCAGATACTTAATATCACATGGTATAAATCAAATAATACAAATAAAATTCAACTTTGCATTGGTGAAAATACATAACTTCTTTCTACAGAAAACTTTTCATCATTAAAGTTTGAAATTTATATCAAATTACATACCAAATGTAGGATTATAAAAATATTGGATAAATCGATTTTCTGGCTCTGGCGATTGAAAGGTGTGAACAAACTGATGAGTAGCACTAGTTTCATTTTTTGCTACATCTTCTAGATAAAATGCTTGTTCCAAAAGAATCTGCCATTGTACTTGAGTTCGACGGTGTCTCTGAACTGAATAAATCACCTAAAAAAGAGAATGGGGGTAGACCTGGCAGTGTTCTGATCCAACAGTGGTTCAACTCTCCACTAGGGAGCATGTTTGGATTGTCATAACAATGGGAAAGTGCTAGGGCATTTACTGGGTCAGGCTGAGAATATTAATGTTCCAAAATGATGTAACAGTTTTATATAATGTAACAGTTATGCTCAGTGAAGAATTCTCCCTCCCCAAACGCCAATAATACCCCTGCTGGTATACACAGAGATAAAATATTTCAAAGAATGATAAGGACGGGATTAAAGGAAGTTTTAAATACACATTCACTAAAAATTCCTTTTTTTATGAGCAATGATTAGAAGTCTAATTAAAATCATCATTAAGTAAAATACTTATAATTAACAAAGTTACCTGTTTATGCAGTTTTACCAGACTTTTTTCACTTGGATAGATACTATGCTTTTCATCAAAATCTTCATAATCATCCATGTTCCTACCCATTTTTTCCTGATACTCTGTAGGGCACTAAAAAAAAAAAAAAGTAGATTTTTAAAAATCTTAATTGTAAAAAGATAAAAATTTATTTTTATTAAAAATCTTTCATTCTTGAGCAGTTCTAATTTTCTCAAAAACATCTTCCTACTTTATTGTCATCTCTAGTTAGACTTCATTTGCTGATATTTTCTTGAAAATGTCTTAAAAGATGTACTGAGTTTCTTCTCACCTTTATAATATTAATCTTTGTGTTCATATATACCAGATAGGTATAGATGGCTATAGGCAGGGGAGCTTACCTGCAGGAAGCAACTAGTATTTGAGAAGATTATTCTAAGTAGGATAAATTATTTTTCTAGCTAAAGAATGAAGCAAAATCATGACAAATCCAAGATGCTGAATTTTTGAAAGGCATAGCACAGAGAAATAAATACATGCATTTAAAGTCATCTTCCATACTACTACTCACTTATTACCTATATGAACTTGGGCAACTTAGTTAACCTCTCTTAGTAGTTCTCAAAAAGTAGCAAATGTGAGATAAATAGTTAGAAAAGTGATTCCATGAGTATTATCTTAGCCAAACAGAACACTACACAAGAATCAGTATAACAGATTTAAAATCTAGGAAAATAAATGTTTCCATGGTTCTGTGGGTTTAAAAGACAATTGGGGAACTGCAAATAACCATTTTTGGAAGTATATGAATACCCCTAATTCAATACCAATGCATCAAAACCTTAACTTTATTAAATATAGTTAAGTTTATTATAAATATAGTAAATATATAAATATAAATATAGTTAAATATAGTATAGTTTATTAAATGTCTATGTTAACATCATTCATTTTATGATATATGTCATGAATATATTAATGAAATATATTTGTAAAATAACGTGTAGGCAGCTGATTGTAAGATATTACTGAGGCCTTGGTTTATTTTCTTATAGGAGATATGCCTTTAGTGAACATATACAATGACATTTTAAAGGTTTATTTCCATCATTGTCATGACAATCCTTATATATTACTCAACCTCTATCTCCATATTTCAATAGAAAATACTGCCAATAATTAGTGTTAAACTTGCAGTAATTAAAAAAATTCAAAGTACAAATGGTGTTGGGTTGATATTTCTATGAAAATGAATTTAGAAGACCTCAGCTATAGGCTGTTTTCATACTTTTCTGGTACTTTTGGTATAATATTATATAAGTGTATATTTCAAAAGGAAACAGACAAGATGATTTCATTACCTTTTTAAGTATTGTATCAACACATTTTCTCAATGGGTGATTATACTTGATGCTTTCATTCACTTTACGAACCTCCTATAAAAACAGTAAAATAAATAAAAATATTTCCATTTCTACAGATCACATATTCCAAATGAGAATGCATTAGGTACTATATATTTTCTCACAAGTTCAACTTCAACACAAATTACTTTGCATTACATGAATAAAGGTTCTTAAGAACACAAGTAAAAATACAAAGTCACTGAATAGCTATTTCTATACCCTGAACTTTTCCTTACTTTCTAGATTCACTCTCTCATCACTTCATTACTTGGTACACAAAAAAGAATAAGCACTATTTAAAAGTCCACAAAAGATCAGACAAACTTTATGGTCCTAAAAGAATAGGGATATGTTCCTCTGCCTTACTCACCAAGATCAATGATCTCATTATATAAAATACAGTGAAAAACCAGAGGAAGCAGAAAAGGCTACAAATGTCACAAAGTGCCAGCTCTTTTCCAATAGAAGAGTACTCTAGAGCAGTCATGATTGATTAACTCCATACTTGCTTATCAGGAGCACACTATCTACTGGCGGGCGCAGTGGCTCAGGCCTGTAATCCCAGCACTTTGGGAGGCTGAGACAGGTGGATCACTTGAGTCCCAGAGTTTAAGACCAGTTTTGGCAATACAGTGAAACCCTGTCTCTACCAAAAATACAAACATTAGCCAGTCTCATAACCTGGTCTCTAAATAAATAAATAAATAAATAAATAGATTAAAATTTAAAAATAGAATAACTTAAAAACAAACAAACAAAACAGCATACTATTTGCCAGTACTGTGCTAGGTGTAAGGCCCCCGTAATCCATACTGGAGGGTGGGGAGAGAAGACAAGGAATTGTCAGTCTTAAAATTTCAGTCCAGTAATGGATAATTAAATAAGCAATTCTGAGTATAAAAGGCACAAAAGGGTTAAAGAGAAGACTCTTTAGAACCAGTAGTTCCTAAGGAATCACAATATTCTATAATATTCATGAAATTTTTAAGAAGTTGAAACCACTGTTTTAGTCAGGTGAAATAGCATGTTCACAGCCTGGAAAGCATAAGAGAAGTGAGCAGGATATTTAGAAGAACATTCTGGGGCATAGAGTAGAGCAGGGTTTTAAGGGATACAAAACTCAAGGCGGAGAAGCCATCTAGCACATAGACAAAATTGCGAAAAAATATTTGTAATTTATATGACAGACTCATTATCCTTAATATGTGATGAGCTCTTACAAATCAACAGAAAAATGGGAATATAGAAAACAATACAATTGGCCAATAAATGTCTAAAAAGATATCTGAGCTCGCTAAAAACAGTTACAGATTTTAAAAATAAGAAGCTTTTTTCAAAATTGATATCATGTAAAGAGGTAAGACTGGGAAAACAGGCCCTCCTATACACAGCAAAAAGTGATATAATCTATTTAAAGGTAATTTCACAACATCTATTGAAATTTAGAATATGCATACTTTATAAATAATCTGTACCAGTAGACACTATTCCTGTCAAGGAATTTAGCTTAATGAGGAAAACAAACATAAATAAAAATGATGTGGAAACTGCTGTCAAAGTATGAGGTGCTCTGAGAGGGGAGAATGTAGATTCTGATTAACTGATTATTTAAAATGAGATGAAACAAAATATATAGAAGTCAGTCAACCAAAGGGAGAGACTAGAATATTCCAGGCAAAGAGACAGGGACAGGACACATAAAGGCCTCCAGGCGTAAGTGAGTACATTATTTGAAGGGACTGAAAAAGTCCAGTGTGATTACAGGGAAAGGGAGATTAAGGGTCTGCATAGCACTGGCTCAGGCTGAAAGAGCAAGATCAAAGTGATCCTAGAAGCCCTTAATCATGGTTTATTTTGAGGTTAATGTGTGATGCCTATACATGACAGTGACAAGATAAGACTTGGGTTTTTAAGAGGTTACCTGGAAGCATCATTACATCTATTTTCCATTACTAAGCTGCCTTAAAGTTTCTTGACTTGTTAGCACAAATTTATCATACTTTTAATATGAACTAAACAATTTGTTTATATATTATATGTGAAATACCATGTTTTTTTCTTTAAATTATTTAGCCATATTAAAAAACAAGTACTGAAACAATTAATTAACATTTGCTATATCTATTATAAATTTAGGGTTCCTTCAAAAGTTCATAATTTTAATAAAGCATGGAAAGTATTTGAAATATACTGTTTGCCTTCTTCATACAAAATAATGTAACTTTGAGCTCTTTCATTACTGTGTCTTGTCAAATTCTTTTCTAAGCAGGTCAGACAGCATTCGTGAAGGGAGGCTAACAGGCAGTTTTCAGTGGAAAAAAGTAGCTGTTTCTCCCTCCCTAAAATTCTCTATCTAGAAAAATGATAAAAGGTAGAGGTGACCTTTTTGGCCATCTAGCAAATACCTTTTGAATGATTTGACATAGTTTATAAGTTTTATTAATGCTTCAAAGAAAGGTAATAGACACACAAATGCATATATCAATTTCAGAGAGAAACATATCATAAAAATACCAAACAGTTTTTATAAAACTACATTTGGGAGATTAAATGGATAGCTGAAAAAATAATTACCAATAAAGTGATTGAAGTTTGTTATCTGTCAAATGACTGGACTTCTCAGTATGGCATTCAAAGCCAAGATATAGCTTTATCTTTCCAATGTAAACTTTATGCTCAAACTAATTTGGTTTTAAAACTTCCTGATATCTGCCCAGAATGTTATCAGCTATCAAAATTCTACCCATCCCGCAAGGCCCAGGCCATACTTCATGTCCTTTGACCATTATTCAGTAGTGATACCTCTCCATACTAGAGCATTTTCATCATTCATGTCACATTTACCATAAACTGTAAGGGACTCTGTCCAATTTTCTACTCTAGAAAGTCAGTAGAATAGGAATTTCTATTCTGGCCAGTTCTGCATAGCACTTAACATGGCAGGAAGACAGTAAATATTTTTTAAATGATAAATACATTTCTCCTCAAGTTTATAAGTTTCCAGATATTCAGAAAAGCAGAAAGAATCCCAAAATACCTTGAAGTATATGGCCAGAGAAATTCATACACAGGAGGTGGAGCAAGATGGCTGAACAGAAGTCTCCACTGATTGTCCTCCTCACAGGAACACCAAATTAAGCAACTATCCACACAAAAAAGTGCCTTCATAAAAACCAAAAAACAAGGTACAACCTCAGCCACTGTTGGCTATAGTACTAAGTGGGCTCTTGGGGCCCCAGATTGCAGGACTCGGCTCTTAGACAGCATTGTTGAACCTTCTCTGGGTCACATGGGAGTCCAGTGCCCTGAAGGGAAAGTCCCAGGCATGGCAGCATTCACCAAAAGCTGACTGAAGAGATCTTGGGCCTTGAATGAACACTGGAGGTAATGAGGATATACTCATTGTGGCCCTGGGGCAGTAGTGGCCATGGAGAGAGACTCCTCTGCTTGTGAAAAGGGGAGGAAAGTGTGAGAAGGACTTTGTCTTGTGGCTTGGGTACCAGTTTAGCCACAGGTAGATTCCTACAGTTTTTGGCTCCAGGCCCTAGCTCCCAGATGGCATCTCTGGACACACCCCAACTCAGGGAGAACTTGCCACTCTGAAGGGAAGAACAAAAGCTCGGGTGGCTTTGCCACCTGCTGACTGTAGAGGACCAGGGCCTTGAGCAAACATAGACGGTAGCCAGGCAGTGGTTACCGTGGGCCTTGGGCGAGACACAGTGCCATGATAACTTCAGGTCTAACTCAGTGCAGTCCCAGTGATGGTGACCACAGGGGTGCTTGAGACACCCCTCCCCCACCTCCAGGCAGCTCAGGACAAAGAGAAAGACTCCAGTTGTCCGGGAGAAAGTAAGGGAAGAGAACAAGAATCTCTGCCTGGTGCTCCAGAGAATTCTTCCAGATCTTATCCAAGACCACCAAGGTGGCACACATCTCCAAGTTTGCAAGAACCACAGCATTATAGGGCTTGGGGTGTCCCCTAATATAGATACAGCTGTAGTGACCAAAAACTTAGATTACAATACCCAAGTCCCTTCAAATACCTGGAAAGCCTTTGCAAGAAGGATGGCTACAAATAAGCCCACACTGCAAAGACTATAAAGAATACCTAACTTTTCAATGTCCAGACACCGACGAACATCCACAAGAATCAAGCCCATCCAGAAAAACATGACCTCACCAAATGAACTAAATAAGGCACCAGGGCCAAGTACAGTGGCTCACTCCTGTAATCCCAGCACTTTGGGAGGCTAAGGCTGGAGGTCACTTAAGCTCAGGAGTTTGAGAACAGCCTGGGCAACATGGTGAAACCCTGTCACTAGAAGAATACAAAAATTAGCTGGGTGGTGGTGTGTGCCTGTAGTACCAGCTACCAGCTACTTGGGAGGCTGACGTGAGAGGATGACTTGAGTCCAGGAGGTGGAGACTGCAGTGAGCCAAAATCATGCCACTGCACTCCAGCCTGGGTAACACAGTGAGACCCTGCCTCAAAAAAATTAAATAAAATAAATAACAAGGCACCAGGGACCAATCCTGAAGACACAGAGATATGTGCCCTTTCAGACAGAGAATTCAAAATAGCTGTTTCAAGGAAACTCAACAAAATTCAAGGTAACACAGAGAAGGAATTCAGAATCATATCAGGTAAATTTAACAAAGCTGTTGAAAGAATTAAAAATAATCAAGTAGAAATTCTGGAGTTGAAAAATGCATTGACATATTGAAGAATGCATGAGAGTATCTTAACAGCAGAAATGATCATGCAGAAGAAAGAATCAGTGAGCTAGAAGACACTTGAAAATTTGGCTATTTGAAAATATGGTTAGAGGAGACAAAAAATAATAAAAAAGAATGAAAAGTGTCTACGAAATCTAGAAAATAGCCTCAAAAGGGCAAATCTAAGAGTTCTTGGCCTTAAAGAGGAGGTAGAGTGAGAGATAAGGGTAGAAAGTGTATTCAAAGTGATAATAATAGAGAACTTCCCAAACCTAGAGAAAGATATCAATATTCAAGCATGAGAAGATTATAGAACACCAAGAAGATTTATCTCAAATAAGACTATCTCAAGACATTTAATAATCAAACTCCCTGAGGTCAAGGATAAAGAAAGGATCCTAAAAGCAGCAGGAGAAGAGAAACAAATAACACACAATGGAGCTCCAATATGTCTGGCAACAGGCTTCTCAGTGGAAACCTTACAGGCCAGGAGAGTGACAGGATATATTTACAATGCTGAAAGAAAAAAAAAAAACTTATCCTAGAATAACATATCCAGTGAAAATATTCTTCAAACATGAAAGAGAAATAAACGTTTCCAGACAAACAAAAGCTGAGAGATTTCGTCCATACCAGTCCTGTTCTATAAGAAATGCTAAAGGGAGTTCTTCGATCTGAAAGAAAAGGACATTGATGAGCAATAAAAATCATCTGAAGGTACAAAACTCATTGGTTATAGCAAGTACACAGAAAAACAAAGAATATTATTAACACTATGACTGCGGTGTGAAAACTACTCATATCTTGAGACAAACCAATGAAAAATAACCAACCCAAATGTCCAACAATGATTGACTGGATTAAGAAAATGTGGCACATATACACCATGGAATACTATGCAGCCATAAAAAAGGATGAGTTCATGTCCTTTGTAGGGACATGGATGAAGCTGGAAACCATCATTCTCAGCAAACTATCGCAAGGACAAAAAAACCAAACACCGCATGTTCTCACTCATAGGTGGGAACTGAATAATGAGAACACATGGACACAGGAAGGGGAACATCACACACCAGGGTCTGTTGTAGGGTGGCGGGAGCGGGGAGGGATAGCATTAGGAGATATACCTAATGTAAATGACGAGTTAATGGGTGCAGCACACCAACGTGGCACATGTATACATATGTAACAAACCTGCACATTGTGCACATGTACGCTAAAACTTAAAGTATAATAATAATAAAATAAAATAAAGAAAAATAACTACAACAACTTTTTAAGACACAGATAGTATAATAATACATAAATAGAAATAACAAAAAGTTAAAAATTGGAGGGATGAAGTGAAATCTAGAGTTTTTATTAGTTTTCTCTGTTTATTTTTGCAATCAATGTCAAGTTGTCATCAGTTTAAAATAACAGGCTATAAGATATTACTCACAAGCCTCAAGTAACCTCAAACCAAAAAGCATACAACAGATACACAAAAAATAAGAAGCAAGAAGTTAAAACATACCACCAGAGAAAATCACCTTCACAAAAAGGAAGACAGGAAGGAAGGAAAGAAAAGAATATCACAAAACAACCAGAAAACAAATAACAGAATGGCAGGAGTAAGTCCTCACTTATCAATAATAACACTGAATGTAAATGAACTAAACTCTTCAATCAAAAGACACAGAGTGGCTGAATTGATAAAAAAGACATTACAACTGATACTGCAGAAATTCAAAGGATTATTAGAGACTTCTAATGAGCAACTATATGCCAATAAATTGGAAAACCTAGAAGAAATGGACAAATTCCTAGACACATACAACCTACCAAGATCAAACCATGAAGAAATCCAAAACCTGAACAGATTGACAACAAGTAATAAAATCAAAGTCATAATAAAAAGTCTCCCAGCAAAGAAAAGCCCAGGACCCAATGGCTTCACTGCTGAATTTTACCAAACATTTAAAGAACTAACACAAATCCTACTCAAACTATTCTGAAAAACAGAGGAGGAGGGATACTTCCAAACTCAATCTACGAGGCCAGTATTGCCCTGATTCCAAAACCAGAAACAGACACATCAAAAAAAGAAAACTGCAGGCCAATATCCCTGATAGACACTCATGCAAAAATCCTCAAGAAAACACTAGCAAAATGAATTCAAGAACACGTTGAAAAGGTCATCCATCTGATCAATTCAGATTTATACTAGGAATACAAGAATGGTTTGACATATGCAAATCAATCAATGTGATATATCATATTAATAGAATGAAGGAAAAAAGCCATATGAGCATTCCTATTGATGCTGAGAAAGCATTGATAAAATTCGGCATCCCTTTATGATAAAAACCCTAAAAAACCCTGAATATACAGGGAACATACCTCAACACTATAAAAGTCATATATGACAGACCCACAGCTAGTATCATACTGAATGGGGAAAAATTGAAAGCCTTTCCTTTAAGATCCATAACAAGACAAGGATGCCCACTTTCACCACTGTTATTCAATATAGTACTGGAAGTCCTAGGTAAAGCAATCAGACAAGAGAAAGATATAAAGGGCATCAAAATTGGAAAGAAAGAAGTCAAATTATCCTGTTTTCAGGTGATAAATCTCACATTTGGAAAAACCTAAAAACTCCACCAAAAAACTATTAGAAGTGATACACAAATTCTGTAAAGCTGCAGTACACAAAATCAACATTCAAAAATCAGTGGCATTTCTATATGTCAACCGTGAACAATTTGAAAAAGAAATCCCATTTACAATTGCTATAACACAAATAAAATACCAAGGAATTAGCCAAATAAGTGAAAGATCTCTACAATGAAAACTATAAAACACTGATGCAAGGAATTGAAGAGGACACAAAAAATAAAAAGGTATTCCATTTTCATGGATTGGAAGAATCAATATTGTTAAAATGTCCATACTACCCAAAGCAATCTACAATTTCGATGCAATCTCTATCAAAATACCAACGACATTCTTAACAGAAATAGAAAAAGCAATCCTAAAATTTATATGGAACCACAAAAGAGCCTCAACTGCCAAAGCTATCTTGAGTAAAAAGTGCAAAACTGGAGGAATCACATTATCTGCCTTTAAACTACATAATAAAGTGATAAACAAAACAGCATGGTGTTAGGATAAAAACAGACCAATGGTACAGAATAGAGAACTCCAAAATAAATCCATATATCTACAGTGAACTCATTTTTGACAAGGGCTCCTAGAACATACAATGAGGAAAGGATAGTCTCTTCAATAAATGGTGCCAGGAAAACTGGAAAACTGGATATATGCAGAAGAATGAAACTAGACCAGTTATCTCCCCATATATAAAAATCAAATCAAAATGATTTAAAGACTTAAATCTAATAACTCAAATTATGAAACTAATACAAGAAAGCATTGGAGAAACTCTCCAGGATATTGGACTGGGCAAAAATTTATTTAGTAATAACCTACAAGCACAGGCAATCTAAGCAAAAGTGAACAAATGGGATCACATCAAGTTAAAAAGCTTCTGCACAGCAAAGGAAACTATCAACAAAATGAAGACATAACCCACAGAATAGGAGAAAATATTTGTAAACTATCTTTCTGACAAGAGGTTAATAACCAGAATATATAAGGAATTCAAACAACTCCATGAGAAAAAAAATTTAATAATAAGATTAAAAATGGGCAAAAGATTTGAATTTCTCAAAAAAAAAAAAAAAGACATACAAATGGCAAACAGGCAAAAACAGGCATTTTATAGTTTTCATTGCAGAGATCTTTCACTTATTTGGCTAATTCCTTGATATTTTATTTGTGTTATAGCAATTGTAAATGGGGTTTCTTTTTCAGATTGTTTGCTGTTGACATATAGAAATGCTACTGATTTTTGAATCACTGATCATCAAAAAGATGTAAATCAAAGCTACAATGAGATATCATCTCACCCCAGTTAAAATGGGTTTTATCCAAAAGACAGACAATAATGTAATGTAAATTAGTACAACTACTATGGAGAACAGTTTGGAGGCCCCTCAAAAAAATTAAAAAAAAAAAAAAAGCTACCATGTGTTTCAGCAATTCCACTGCTAGGTATATAACCAAAACAAGGAAATCACTATATCAAAGAAATGTCTGCACTCCCATGTTTATTGCAGCAGTACTCACAATAGCCAAGATTTGGAAGCAACCTAAGTGTCCATCAACATATGAATGGATAAAGAAAATGTGGTACATATACACAACAGAGTACTATTCAGCCATTAAAAAGAATGAGATCCAGTCATTTGCAATAATATGGGTGGAGTTAGAGGTCACTATGTTAAGTGAAATAAGCCAGGCACAGAAAGACAAACTTCACATGTTCCCACTTATTTACGGGGCTGGGAGGGGTTATGGGTAGAGGGGAGGGTGGGAAGTGGGAATGGTTAATGGATACAAAAATATAGTTAGAGTGAATAATATCCAGTATTTGATAGAACAGGGTGACTACAGTCAATAATGTAATTGTACATTTTAAAATAACTAAATGAATATAATTGGATTGTTTGTAACATAAAGAAAAATAAATGCTTGAGGTGAAGAGCATGTACGAAAATTTTTTAAAACCCCAGAAAAACAAACAAAAAAGAAATTCATACCTGAGAAATCATGCATTGTTTTTGATGGAAAGAGGTTCAGAGTTCTCCTGCTATCTATGTGTACTTACTGCTATTTTCAAAACATCCATTTTTAAAGAGCAGTTTCTTATCTAAACTTTTTTACACAGCTTAAAACTTAAGAATACTATACTAAAATAGCAGAGAAGTCCAATGCTGGTCCTTAATTTTCCACATCCTATTTCTAAGCAAAGGGCTCCTATTTTAAAATAACAACAACAAAATCTATTTTATTCAGACAGCAAAGCTTCCTCTAGGGAAAATCCATAACTCAAATAATAGCTGGGTTTATTTTTTTTGCAGGAATGTTGAATAAATTAGTGAAATCCAAATTCCTCAAATCTGAAACAACTGAATTTAATACCAACTTTTGGATGGAACGCTATCAAACTTAAACTTAAATTAATTTCTTTTATCAAATATAAGTATCTTATTGAAATATCAGTTTTCAATTTTTTCAAAAATTCAAAATTTCAAATATAAATGTAAAATTTATCAAATATAAATAATGTTCTTTCAAAAGACATAATAACATTCATCATGGGAATGTTGAATATAACAGGAAATTTATTCATTTCAATTTAAATAATACTATTTACAGACTCACTCCTACATTTAAATCAATATTTTCTGCTGTAGTTCTTACATTTTGTAGAGAATAAATGCTGCAAAGCCAACGTAAAATTTTCGAATCACAGTATACATTCATTTATTCATTTATTCATTCATTTAAAAAATGGTTGCTGAGTGTTTAAGAGTCTGGACAATCAGGGAAGATGTTATGGGTTGAATTGTGTCCCCTGAAACCTAACCTCCAGTATCTTAACATGTGATCTTATTTGGAATAGGGTTGTTGCAGATTTAATTAGCTAAGTTAAGATGAGGTTATACTGGAGTGGGATGAACTCTAATCCAATATGACTGGTGTCCTTACAAAACAATGAAGTTTGGACACTGGCACGCAGGGAGAACACCATGTGAAGATGAAGGCAGGGGTCTACAAGTCAAGGAATGCCAAAGATCGTAGACCACCAGAAGACAGAAGACAAACATGGAACAGATTTTCCCTAGAACCCTCAGAAGGAACCAACCCTGCAGATACCTTAATCTTGAACGTTAGTCCCCAGAACTGTGAGCCAATATTTTCTATTGTTTAAGCCACCCAGTTTGTAGTAGTTTTGTTACAGCAGTCCTAGGAAGCTAATAAAGCTTCCCTGAAGAATTATCATTTATGTTAAGACTTGAAAATGAAATAGGAATTAGCTGAAGAGAGTGCTGAAAAGAGCATTCTAATAGTTTGGGAATAGCATGCTCAAAGATAGAAAAGAAAGACAATGTGTGTAATAATTAAGCATATGGTCATCAAGCCAGATCAATTCAGTCCACTACTTGTTCTCATACTAGAACACACCCACTCTCATTCATTTATTTACTGGCTATGGCTGCTTTCATCCTACAATGACAGAGTAGTTGCAATAGAAATGACATTGCACACAAAGCCTAAAATATTTACTATCTGGCCCTTTACAGAAAAGTTTGTCAGTCCCTGTTTAAGGCAAGACTGCCTGGCTCTTATCACTTCCTAGCCATGTAGACATGAGAAAGTTACTTAATCTCTCCGTGCCTCATATTCTTCATTTATAGAATGGGGATTTACAAAAATCTCTATCATAAAGTCATGAGAATTAAATATATGTATAGTGCTTAGAAAGTCCCTCTTAGGCAAATAGTAAGTCTATATAATTGTTTACTATAATTATCACCATTACTAAGTTTGAGGAACGAAAGTTGAGTGTTAGGTAAATATTAAGTCTATAGAATTGTTTATTATTTCATCAACATTAGCAAGTTTGAGAAACCAAAGATGACCAGTGCAAGAAAATAGAGGCTTGGGATACAGCTGGAGAGCTAAACATAGGCCAAATTATTTTTCTGTAGGCTGCATTAAAACATTTTGGAGTTTATTCTAACATGAATGAAAAGCCTTCAACAGGAGTTTTAATTTGGAGAGTATCATCAGCTGAGTAGCATATTTTCCCTGGGAAGCAAAAATGTGAGGTGACTACAATAATCTCTTTAAATCCATAACAAAATTTTTATTTAACACAGAAAAATTTTATAATTTGTTGTATATTTTTATGTACAGTATTGAAAGTTATACTTTCAACAACTTTGTGAAACTAGGTTAAGTCATCAAGTAAAATGAAGTGTCTTATTAAGATTACAGATAGGAAACAAAACTTACCAATACAAACTCCCATGCAAATTGTTCTTTAAAGAGGTTTCCAGAATTGGTGGGATTACCTTAGGTTAACCTTTCGGAAATAAGTGTCCTCTGGTCATTATTCTCAGTTCTACTATGTTAGGGTAACCATACAATTTATCATTTAATCTCGGAGACTTTTGAAAATTAAAGAGGGTACTATTAAAAGTTACCTCAAAATAATAGGCGTAGCCCTGCACTATTGAATATATTTTCCATGAATCTCTGTCAGACAGAAGATGGACAAGACACATCATGAGGCTGAACTGCTAAAAAGTCATCCTGGATGAGACATCCTGAAGGATTGCACAACACCAGTTTTGCAGTCTGAAGCCCATCAATGCACTAACAACAACAACAAACCAAAAATGACTAAAAGGGGATACATATGACTTAGTGACTATTGCTTATAAGGTTCAAACTTGCTTACCTCCATGGCATCTTCCAAATTCTCTTCTGCATCTGCTTTCTCTGTCATCAGTTTGGCTGCCTTAAAATACGTTTTCATAAGTAGATAACCCCTTTTTGCTCCATTCCAGTATGATCGAGGAATTTCCACCAAGCCATACCCCAACAACAACACAAGAAGAAACAGACCCCATGTATTTGCAGCAGCTATCCCAATTGTCTGAAGCTGGTTCCTAAGAAAGGGAAACAACAGATAATATGTATATTTTAATGGAAAGATAAAATGCGACTGCATAAATAGACTTTAACACAGGAGACACTGTTTCTACTGCAGTTAAAATTAGCATCTAGAATAATTCATGGCAATAATATGTATATATTTTCCCAAAGGAAACATTTTTCATTAGGTGATTTCTTATTCTATATTAAACAAAAGAAGTTTGAAAATGTTTCAAATTAACCTGTGTTGCTGACCTAGCAAATCTCAGGAATACAATAGTGAGACCTAGCACTGCTGATCTATTCCTAAATTTTCAGATGTAGACCTTCACATATATTACAAATCATAAGTATAAAACAGATTTCAATTTTATTGAAATATCTAAATCCAAGGTAACATTAAGAACAAATATGCCTTCAAATTATAATCAAAACAAAAAAAATCACAAGTTCCAATGAAAAATAAAACCAGTTATTTTATCATAAAAATTTTGAAATTCTATCCAAAAATCATAAGGGTTATTACTTTTAATATATAGCCATTAGACTAATCATTAATCTTTTGCCTAAAATCTATATTTAAAGATGTCATTCCATATTTTCTTAGTAATATGGATTATTCACATATTCTTTTGGGGAAATCCATAAAATATGTAACAATATATTTCTCAATGAAATGTCTTTTTACCTGCACATATGAAATTAAAAATGATTTTTTAAAAATGCAAACATACATTAAAGCAATGTTAAGAAGACTACTTTTCTTACCATTCTAAATGTAAATGTGGGTTTACAGCTACATAAATTAAAAATGCTCCAAAAATCAGCAAATAGGTGCCATAGTAGATTGCATTCTCAATTAGTGCAGTTTTGATCTTTCCAGTGATGGAAAACCCTCCTGATCTTGCATATGACTGCATAAAAGGTAAGAGAATCCTAGATGGATAGAAAAAATATGATTAAAAACCCAAATAATTGATATGTCTGTATAATCTCAAAGTGCCAGAAATATATGAATCTCAATTTTAATGAATAGGTCTTCTCATTAATAAATGTTTATAAGTAATCATGAATACTTAATAACTATAATAGATGACTGAGTATTTTTGTAATATAAAATTTTAGGGAAAGCAAATGGGTCTTTAAAGCCTTTATGAAGAGTCTGGACTACATTCAAAGAAAACATTTTTGATCAAATTTTAGTTTCCTAAGGCTTCACACGGAGAATGGATAAAAGGGGAACAAAATTGGAACTAGTTGGGAGGGGGAAGGGTGATGATGGTGGTAAGAAGCAAAAAGGGAGAAGGTCAGTTGACAGCATACTGACTTTGAAGTAGTACCTAGGAGACATCCAAGAGGAGCTGCACACAAACCCAGCTTCAGGGTTCAGGAGAGCGGACTAAAAATATGGATAGCTTCCGAAGTCATCACTGTATCAATGGCAGTGAAATAACATCAGTAGATACTCAACTGTAAGAATGAGTATGGAGAATGTGAAGGAAAGAACTGAGACAGAACTCTGAGAAATATCAACTTTTAAGAGAGGTAGAGAACAGAAGGAGGGTAGACCAGCAAAAGAGACTGAGACAGAACAATAGTGGGGCAAGGAAGAAAACCAAGGAGCATATGGATTAGGAACTAGGAGAGGAAAGTTAAAGTGGAGAGAGAGAATCAAATGCCGCCAAGAGGTGAAGTAAATTAAGAACCTGTATGTATAAGTGGAGGAGAATAGAAAGCAGAGTACTATGGTTAAGAAATAAGTAAACAATGAGCAAGTGGAGATATCAAATATAGAGAATTTATTTAAGAAGTTTGGCTGGGTAGGATAAACTATGGCATATACATATAATGGGGTATGTTACAGAAATGGAAAAGAACAGAATACTGATACATACAGCACAGCATAGATGAATTTCCCAAATATGTGAGCAAAGAGAGATGCAAAAAAGTTCACAATGTATAATTCTATGCTTATAAAGTTCATAAACAGGCAAAAACTAATCTATGGTGACGGAAGTCAGAATCATGGTTACTTCTGGGGAGTGCGGGATGACTACACAGGGAAGCGTGAGCGAGGCTTCTGGGGGCATTGCTAATGTTCTATAACATCATCTGAGTGCTGGTGTATGGGTGTATTCACTTTGAAAAAAGTCAAACTAAACACAATCTATGCATTTTTCGGTACGAACTTATGCTTCAATTTTAAAAAGTTTCTAAAAAAATTTAGTTGTGATCAGATCAACAAGGCAGAAGCTGGAAAGGAATCTGAATTGAGAGACTTTCATTTTTGTTTGTTTTCTTTTCAAAAGATGAGAGAAATGTGCATGCTTCGTTGAAATTGAAAGCTACAAGTATGTAACAAGAGCTGAAGGGGATGGATCCATATTTTAGGAAGAAGTGATGGCAGCAGCAGCTTGTCTGGAGTGGCCCCCAGCAAAGTTGCTGGCCGCAGTGTGGGGGGACTGGCGGGGACTGTGCACTCCATGGAGCTAGCAGGAGCTGGGAAGAGGTGGGAGCCCCACCCCCTTCCGAGTTGGCGGGGCAGGAGCCCTGCTCTGGGCATAGCTGCAGCTGCCCAGCTGTGGCTGTGGACCCAGGCATCCCTGCACTTTCGGGGACCCAGAAAGCCCCCATACCCCTACAGGCTTGGAAGTACCTGCTCCTGACACCTGCTCTGATTTTGGAGAAAAGTTGTGACTGAATCCAGGCACTGTTGTAACCTAGCTGGGTGTGCACACATGCTCAGGGCAGCACTGACACCAGCCCCCGGCTGCCTCAGCCCACTCTGGACTTTGGACATCAACAAGCACAGAAGGGAGGCTGACAGTGGGGCTGAGGGCAGCTCAGCATGGGCCTGCAGGCACTGGTTGGCATGAACAGCCTGGGTGCCATAAATGACATGATTGATGGTGGCAGGAGGCAGATAGGCTCCTGGGCAGAAGTGGGCAGGTCCCCGGTGAAGCCCCACCTTCAAGCCAGGGACAGCCTGAAGCATGGAGGCCAGGCCATCAGCTCTGTGGACCAGAGTGAGAACTTAGGGTGCTTTATCCAGGTCTGCCTATGGCCCAATCAGTGCACACTTTCTCCTCTCTGAAGCCCATAAAAACCCCAGACTCAGCCCCACTTAGGTAGATGACAGGACAACCTGACTACAGATAGGAGCTATCTACTTCAGGTCTCCTCTCTACTGGGGGCTGCACAGACGATTGGGATAACCTGCCTGCAGATAGGAGCTACCCACTCTGGGGCTCCTCTCCACTGAGAGCTATACTTGTCAGGACAACCTGCCTGCAGAAAGGAGCTATCCACTTTGGGTCTCCTGAGAGTTGTACTATCACTCAATAAAGCACCTCTTCACCTTGCTCACCCTCCAGTTGTCTGCATACCTCATTCTTCCTGGATGTAGGACAAGAACTCAGGACCTGCTGAATGGCAGAACTGAAGGAGCTGAAACACAAACAGGGCTGAAACATGGCCCTGCCACTTGCCATGTTGCAGGTGACGAGAAGAGAAGAGCTGTGGCCCTTCCAGGAGCCCAGATCTAGGGGCTCCCCAAGCTAGGGCTGTGACACCCTCTTTGGAGCTCTGAGGTTTCTGGCATCTCCAAGCTTCTGGGTACCACCACATTCCTCTCATCCAGATGCAGGTGCCCACAGCAGAAGCTGCTTGCAGTGCATCTGACCCAGCCACAGGCTTTCACAGAGCCGACACCTGTGCCGATGCCTGGAGCTGCCCACCCTGCCACAGCAGCCAGCGTGTCTGGCTGTGCTCAGTGGCTGGATCCCATGCTCACTCACTCACACACCCCTCACCACTCCATGCCTGGCTCGCCCTTGGGAGTCATGAGATCAGAGCCAGGAGCATGAGCTAAGTGCAACCTGCCAGGCTGAGTAAGCGGAATAAGCCCAGCGGGCCTGAGTAAAATTCAGGCAAAGGTGCTACTGGCCATAGAGGTTTCCAGCTGGCAAAACAACACCCCTAAGGATCCTGTGACAGAAGTATTGGCTTTAACAAGCATGACTCTTCCATCTTTGGAGGGGAAAGAAAAAAAGATGGGTAGGTATGTAGATTTGTTGGTGAGAAGCTGAAAGAGCTGCCGTCTGATGACTCCTGTTTTAACTGCTGGATGGAAAGTAGTCATCTGCTAAGAGGCTAAGAGTAAAGATGATTTTGTTGTTGTTGTTAGGGAGCACAAGAGAGAAAGCCATAAAGAGGACGGAAGTTTGAAGTGAATGGAAATATTTCTTGTAGAAAATGGAAAGAAAGCAAACTAAAAAAAACAAAGAAGGAAAGTCTGGCAATGTTGAGAGCCCAGTTGAATTTAATAGACATGACTTTACAAAAGCACTACTCTGCTATGTAATTTTTCTCTTGCAATGTTCAGTGCCTCCAGTTTTAGAGTGCAGTTGTTTGCAGATCTAAGAGATGCTTAGTAGACAGTGGATAACTATGAGTTTGGAGCACAGCAGAAAGATAAAAATAATGGGTAGAAAGATTCAGAATGCATATGACACATAAATAAATTCCAAACTATATTGATTGAAAAACATTTTATTCCTTTAGCCAAAATTTTAAAAATTTTATCATTTACTGTAACTTACCATGTTAAAAATTGTGACGTCCAATACACTACCCTCCAGAAAATTGGCATGATTCCATCAGGAATGTAACTCCATGGCTTGAAACAAGGATGCTGGCTGTTGAATAAAAAGTTAAAGCCAACTAATCATAAATGACTACTTAAATGAATTATACAATTAATTTGCATGTGGCCAAGTTAATTTACATTCAGATTTTAAATTACTGACTCTAATAATCAATAACCCATAAAATTTCAAAGAAATTTTAAAATTCAAAGCTGACTGCCAAACTAAAAAAACACACAAAAGCAACAAAATAGATTGTTCTGAAAATGTCATTTAAGTTTTCAACTTTCAGTGTATTTTTAGTCATTGGGTAAAAAGAAAACTTAATGTTCAACTAATAGACTAAAAGTGCAACAATCATTAAAAGCAAATGTATTATGAAATAAAATTTCTAATGATTACCTTTAAAATACACAATCCATTTATAGGTTGGGTTTTTTTTTTTTCAGGTTATAGGGGTTGGGAGGGGAAAACATTAGGTAATTAATTCCTGAAAATTGTAATGCTAATTAAATCACTCACTATAACATAGCTTCTATGGAGATGCATGCTAGCAATTATACATAATTCTGTTTAAATTTTTGAAGACATGATGAGTCTCTGATCATAAATTCTGCCATGGAGCCATATTCCTAAGCTAGAAGGATATCCCAAGAACTTGCAACAATCTGTAGCTGCTGCTGATCTTTATCCAGTTTTTTTAATAGTGCTTCAAATGGAAGTAACACCTGCATTTTAAATTTACCTTTTCTGAAGTTAGATTTTTTAAAAATATGCATAAAGAAGCATGCAAATACTACTGAAAGCATTCATAAAGGCTATAGTCAACATATATAAGCTTTTTACTTAAAAGTTCGATATGAATTCAATATAATCTTTGGACAATTTGAACTTTATTAATTTTTTATGTAAATCTATAATGCTTTTGAAGGATGTGCAATATGAAAGGAATACCATAAGTTCAGAAATACTTGTCTTTATTATAACCTTGTAAATTAGGCAAAAGTGAAAATACATCCCACGTTTTTAAATCTGAGATAGGCTGAGAGGAAAAACAGGTTTTAGAAATTACATACTTGGTAAAGAAGAACCAGGACTAAAAAATCAGGACTTCTTCAAGTTTCTCACTACCGTCTACTGAAGGGCTTTGTGGACCAATAAATATTAAAAATTAGATTTAATTAGAATATGATGTAATGAAAAGTCTACTAGGAAAGAATAGAGGTGGGGAGAATTAGTAGAGAATGAGGATAACTTACATAAATATAAAGTCTGGATGGTAAAAACTTTCAATTTTTAAACAATGTGTCCCCTACAATGTTTATATATTTTTTTTAAAAAAGGAAATACCTTGGAACAGGGTTAGCAGTTGCGTACAATCCTGTAATGTTGCTATTCTCAGGAGGGCTTGAATTTGCAGCAGCATGCTTGCACCGGTTGTATATTGTCTAAAGCAACGAATGTATGGTTTAAAAATGAGAATCAAAAGGTTACCAAGTACTTAAAGGACATCAGAGTTTATAAATCTATCTATCTAAACTTACCTTCTTGGCTATGCTTTATTCTTTTTTTTTTTTTTTTCTTTTTGTGTGAGACAGAGTCTCACTCTGTCGCCCAGGCTGGAGTGCAGTGGCGCGATCTCGGCTTACTGCAAGCTCCGCCTCCCGGATTCACGCCATTCTCCTGCCTCAGCCTCCCGAGTAGCTGGGACTACAGGCGTCCGCCACCACGTCCGGCTATTTTTTTTGTATTTTTAGTAGAGACGGTGTTTCACCGTGTTAGCCAGGATAGTCTCGATCTCCTGACCTTGTGATCCGCCAGTCTGGGCCTCCCAAAGTGCTAAAATTACAGGCGTGAGCCACCACGCCCGGCCCTTGGCTATGCTTTTTAATGATCAAATGGCCATATAATCTTTTAATTCAAAACTGACATAACTTAGCTGTCTTAAGAAATAACATTATTTCCAACATGCTGTATGATTAAAATTTGTCTTTTAAATTGTGAAAATAAATTTCACTCCTTACCGTACTAACATCCAGAGGCAGTATGAAGACAATAAGAAAGCAGAGATACCAAGCAAGCAGTGTTCCAATAATCACAAGTCTATGCTGTTTCTTAAAGTCTCCATATCGATGAAGCAGAAATAATGCCAGAAAAAAGACAAAAACAATCTCAAGTCCCAAAGCTGCACCACTCATTATTGAATATTTCACTCTGACTAACCAAAGTTATTCATGTACAGGTCTGGACCATATCTATAAAGTAAAAAGAAGGTTAAAATGCATCATTAACACAGGAAATGACATTTGGAAATTTCATCTGAATATTTATTAGTACATTAATACATTAATCAACTCTTTGGAGAAATGTCATGCTTCACATTGGACTATGAATAAGATTAAAAGGGTAATTCCTATCCTCAAGTACTTATATTTTATTTTTAAAGCACACTTAAAAAATTTCACGTACCTTGTATTTTCAAAAACTTAACAAAAATTATTAGTTCTTACAATATTACAAATTAAGAAGTTCTTATTTTAGATGTGAACAGTTTTAATACAGTGTCATCTGGAGTTTGTTTCTTAATATTATAAGTCCTAACAGAATAGTTTATGCAAATAAGCTGTTAACTAAATCCTAGGAAATTAGATACTTAGTAAAATACATTTTACTAAGATTATTCATCCTCTATAATTTAAGATTTTCTAAAAGAGAGGAAGGAAAAAACGGAAAGAGACCATTTAAAAGTAACCTTTTGTTTTTTGAAATAGTATTTTTCTTTTGTGTTAATTTCACCTAACAACTCAACTTTCATGAAATTCTTACTCACTGCTTTACAAAATATATTTATCACTTCCATTTATCTACATAAATCTTTAAACTTACTTTGATAAATTCTCATTTTTAATTTTTCTACTATTTTATATGCAGAAAATTTATCAATGACTATTAAAGTCATACATTTGAAAACATTCTTAATTTTATGATACAGTCATCAGCGAATAGTTTACTTGATATCTCTCTACTCAAAAAAGTTAGAGTATAGAGATTTAAAGTCTCTATTTTAAAATTGAAAAATTTGATATCTCTCTATACTTAAAAAAATTTACTAATCAAAGGCAATATGAACTTTTTCTCCTTTGTAAAATCAATGTTAGACTTTTGTTTATCTACATACTACAGTATTTCAAGGAATTGATTAATATCCTAACACAGAGAATCAAGAGTGTGATCAACCCAACAAAATAAAATAAGGGGCAGTGGCTCACACCTGTAATCCTAGCACTTCGGGAGGCTAAGGCAGGCGGATCACCTGAGGTCAGGAGTTCATGACCAGCCTGGGCCAACATGGTGAAACACCATCTCTACTAAAAATACAAAAATTAGCCAGGTGTGGTAGCGGGTGCCTGTAATCACAGCTACTCAGTAGGCTGAGGCAGGAGAATCGCTTGAACCTGGAAGGCAGAGGTTGCAGTAAGCCGATATCGTGCCATTACACTGAAGCCTGGGCAACAAGAGCAAAATTCTGTCTCAAAATAAATAAATAAATAACAAAATAAGGGAGAACCAATGAAATACTTCAAATCAACAAACATCTTTAACTAAAACTATTTAGAATAATAGAAAAGACAATTTAAGTACTTTAAATGGTTAAATTTAAATTTATATACAAAATACTCCTACATGAACTATCACATAGAAAAATCACATTTAATGAACAATTTTCTTCACTATTTTTTATATTGGTAAACAGTTTCCATTTCAACTGTCAATATTTTCATTTTTCTTAATTATCTAAAATTGAACTTCTTTCATCAATCTCTACCCTCTTATCCTGCTATATTTTCCTTCAATGCATTTATTCATCTGATATAATACACATTCTTTATATTTATTGTCTCTCCACACCTCTCCCCTTACCCCAGAGACTCTATGAGAGCAGAGACTTGACTATTTTATTCCATACTATATTCCAGTTGTCTGATGTAGTTAGTACCTGGCATACAGTAGTATCAAGAAATATTTGTTGAAATAATAAAAAATACTGTGTAGTTTAGTACATACACTATTTTTCTATTACTGACGACTTCAAAGGCAATGTAAAACTCGTGTAATGGTAAACTGATTTAACAAATACTTATTACAACTCAAAAGGCTTAAAACTCTGAACATTACCAAATACTACTCAAATTTTCAAATTTCATATTCTATGAAACAACTTATACCACAACAAAGTCAAATCTTATGTTTTAAAAAATAGACAAGGTTTTGCCATGTTGCCTGGGCTGGTCTCGAACTCCTGAGCTCAAGTGATCCACCTGCCTCAGCTCCCAAAGTGCTGCAATTACAGGCATGCGCCACAGCGCCCAGCCAAATCTTATTTTTAAGCTAAGCATAGATTAAGTAGTTGGCTGAAAGCTCAATGCAGAATGTGCTGATAACAAAACCATCTTCGAGATCTAGGGTTTTTTTTCTTTAAAAAAACCCAATTGATGTGAGTTTAAATATAACATAATTAACTGAAAATCCTTTTATGACTTGAACTAGACCTGAAATTGTCCAGTGCAAGGAATATGACAATCATACAAAAAAAAGACTAAATATTAGAGATTACCAAAGAAATGCTAAATAAAGCATGGCAGAGCCAAATGATGAAATATTATTGTAGTATAAGAAATAATGTTTGTTAAGATTATTTAATAACATCAGAAAATTACCCTAACAGCAATTGAAAATTTGGCACATATTTTTACATAAGCATAAAAAAGAGTAAGGTAACAATGAAATATATTAAAACATCAATAGTCTTTAGGTGGTAAGATTATGGGCATAATAAGCAAACAACAAAATCAGTTATAAACCTGACACTAGCTATTAATTTTTTTACTATGGCACTCTGTTTTTCAGTCTGATTCATAGTCAGCACTTTAAAGGGTTGTAGATGAAGAAATAGAATTATGGATCCTTTATTCTAGTAATAAATGATTTGGTTACATACCTTCCCACACTTCATGTGTTAGTATCTTACCACTGCTGTAACAAATTACTACAAACTTAGTGACTTTAAACAACATCCATTTAGTATTAATATCTTATAGCTTCTGTAGGTCAGAAGTTCAAACATAGCATAGTTCAACTTAGTTCTCTGCTTAGGGTCACACAAGTTTAAAATCAAGGTGTCAGCAGGTTTGCATCTTTCTCTGAAGAAGAATCCATTTCTAATCTCATTCAGGCTACTGGCAGGGTCTCACACTGTCGCCCAGGCCGGAGGGCAGTGGCATGATCATGGCTCAACATAACCTTGAGCTCCTGGGCTCAACTGATCCTCCCACCTCAGCTTCCAGATAGCTAGGACTATAGGTGCACACCACCACGCCTGGCTAATTTTAAAAAAAAATTTTTTTTGTAGAGACAGGGTCTTGCTATGTTGCCCAGGCTGGACTCAAATACCTGGCTGCAAGTGATCCTCTCACCTTGGCCTCCCAAAGCACTGAGATTTCAGGCATGATCCACCTAGCCAAGCCAAAACTCAGTTCTTTATGGTTATAGGACTGAGATCCCTGTTCCCCTGCAAACTGACAGCTGGCATTTAACCTTAGCTCTAGAGGCCTCTCCCCAGTCTTTGCATGTGGCTCTGTATATGTTTTTAAATTGTATATATTTAAAGTGCACAACAGTGATGTTTTGATATACTGTACATATACAGTGAAATAATCACCATAGTCAAACAAATTAACATATCTATCTCCTCACTCACTTCTCTCTCTGCGTGTGTGTGTGTGTGTGTGAGTGTGTGTGTGTGTGTGTGTGTGTGTGTGTGTGTGTGTGTCTGTGGTCCTGAATATTTTAGAAGCAGCAATGGCTTGTCAAATTCTTCTCACACTTGAAATTTGTTTTACAGGGCTTATCTGATTACACTGGGCCTGCCTGAATAATTTCATCATTTTTACTGGTTCCAGAGATAAGAGCATAGACATTCTTAGGGGTTTATTATTCTGTTTACCATACCATCTATTTCTGTTGAGGCCGAACTATATTGCCTTATTATGACACAGATTAGGACCAGTGATCCCATGAAACTGGAGATAAAAATTGGGGTTTTCCTAACTTGAGAAAATAATAGTTTCAAAGTCCATATCTTTAACCTTGTGCCAACATTCAAGTGATGAGTTGCAAGGTTTAGGGAAGAAGGAGAAGAAAGGGGATGATAATGATGATAATGATGATGATGGTGATACTAAAATGGGGAGGTAAATAAAAATTCAGTTCCATGTGATTAAGCACCACAGTAGCAAAACTTGATTATACTCGAAATCAAAATGGCAATTCATTAAAACTACCAGATTTTAGTGCCCGATGTGTGGGCATATCGTACCCTTCAAAACACCAGTTCTGAAAGTCTTAAACATTTAAAATCCAATTCAATCTTTTTCCAATCATCAAAATATTATTCAATATTACTTTCAAATGCCTTTATAATGGTTTCACAATTAGCGTGTTAATGTTACTGACTAATGTTACTGACTAAAGTACTGTTTCCTGAGTACTTTACGGCTGATAATAGTTTTTCAGGCCAAATACCCTTTGATGGAACTTCAGAGGTTAAGATAATTTTGTAGTTTGAAGAATTCCAAATGTTTTGAGAGAGAGAGAGAGAGAATGGGTACCAAGTGATCAGAACACAAACAAAACACTGACAACAATTTTGTCAAAACCAAAGATTCTGAAACTGAATGAAAAATTTCTGACCGGAACCTAATGATTCATCATTCTCAAATACTGTTAACTTAAATATCTGAGTCTGATGAATCATTAGGTTCCAATTGGAAATTTTATCTAACTTCACATATCTGTATTTTTACTCAGATATGTGCAAAATAATAAAAACCAGGAGACAACTCAAAATCCTAATTATGAAAAATCAAAAGAACCAGAATTAGAAGTGAATGATTAAGTCAACAATTTTCCACCAATAATTAAATTTAAATCTTCCAAACATAATCGTTATTCACATATTTAAAGATTTCAGGTATGAGAGAGTTCAGTTTAGGACACAGACTACTGCAAGAGACTATTACTCCCACTCGAAAAATGAAAAAAAAAAAAAAACCATCATAATATTTTTTAAAGGTACCTAAGAGCTGAGTTGGCGAACCAACCAGGTAACCTGAATTCCAAAATGTGACAAGCCCCTGAGGACAGTGGCATACTGTCCTGCTTTACCTTTTGCAAGGCATGAAGAGAAGAGGTAGCAATCATGTAAGCATATAAGAAAAAAGAACTAAAATTTTACTGAATTCTTAAAGATTTCATACATAGAAATTGCAAGACATTTTGATAGAGAATAATCTGTAAAGTCCTTCCTAATAATAAAATAATTTCAAAAAACGAATAGCTAACATTTAGAATGTGTTCACTAAATTTTAAGCATTGTATTAATACTAGTACCTGCCAAGCTTTATCAAATTAGACCTCACAACCTAGTAAGAAAGGGCTGTTCGTTTCCTTGCTTAACAGAAAAAAAACAGTGCAGAGAGGTTAAGTAACTTGTCCAAGTTAACAGAGCTGGTGAATGGTAAAGCTGGGATTCAAATAGAGGCATCTTTACTACAGAGCCTGGATCATAATTACATGTCTCTTCTCTAATCTAGACATAGTTTCTTAATGCAATTTAAATTGCTTAATGATTTATTTTGTTCAGTCTTCACAGGGAACAAATTAGAAACTTTCTCCCATTTCTTTTAGATATATCAGGACAGAATGCTTAGTCATGTTTAATAAAGAATTTAACGCAAACTTTTTACATTACAGATTATACTACTATTACTTGATTTAAGGGTAATATATGACTGTACTCTACATGGGAAAAGTGGAAAACATAGAGTAAATTAGAATCCGTTTGTTCTTGCCCCAAGCTGCCTATCTTAGAGCATTAAATTACAATGAATTAAAGATCTACTTAGTTCCAAGCACCATTCATTCATTTAGCAAATATTTACTGAACGCCTACTATATGGTGAGCTCTGTTCAAGGGGCTGGAGATAGAAAAATCCAAGCAAAGTCCCTGCCCTTAAAAAGTCTAGTGGGAAGAAACAGGCAATTAAAAAAAATACATTAGGGGGTGATAAGGGTTATGTAAACAGGTAGCTGCCACCACCACAGAGACTATCAGTTCTGGAAATACATTATTCAAGATTAGTTTGGCTACACATAACAGAAAAGTCCAATATAGTACAGACTTATACAATGCAGAATTTATTTCTCGTGTAAGTCTTGAGATAGGTGGTTATGGCAAGTTAGCAGATTATCAGAGGCCCAGGCCCCTTCTATAGTCCACATCCTTAGCAGGTGGCTTTAATCCTTATGTTCCAGGACAGATGCTGGAACTCCAGGAATCCTATCATCATCTAGACAGCAGGATGGAGAAACAAAGAAGGGTGGACCGTCTTCCTTTTAAAGAGATGTAAGAATCGGCTGGGCACGGAGGCTCACGCCTGTAATCTCAGCACTTTAGGAGGCTGAGGTGGGTGGATCATCTGAGGTCGGGAGTTCGAGACCAGCCTGACCAACATGCAGAAACCCCGTCTCCACTAAAAATACAAAATTAGCCAGGCGTGGTGGCGCATGCCTGTAATCCCAGCTACTCAGGAAGGCTGAGGCAGGGGAATTGCTTGAACATGGGAGGTGGAGGTTATGGTGAGCCGAGATTGCGCCATTGCACTCCAGCCTGGGCAATAAGAGTGAAATTTCTTCTCAAAAAATAAAAATAAAATTAATCAGAAAAAATAAGATACATCAGTAGCAATCACAATGCAGTTCTTTATGACCAGATAGCAACCTCTATGTACCTACTAATCTCGTCTTCAATGGACACAATTCCTTACGTTAAAAAGAATCTAATGTACCAATTTAAACTTGCATTTATTATATTAAGGCAATAGTCATGATTAGAAGGAAGGCAAAAAAAAATTATTCCCATATTAGGAAGATGAAGTATGTCTGTTACCGGGGCAAACTATCAAACTGAATTTCAAAACTGACAGGCTCTCCCTGAAGTCCTAGAGAGGATCTTGTGTTCACTAATTCAGATGTTGCAAGTATTCTAGTTCCCAGGTAACTCCTAGTAAAACCAAGACTGAACAAAGATATTTCTCATCTTTAAATTTAGAATCATCTCATCGATTAAACCTTCCTATCTATGAGATCTATATCTGAAGTGGGCTCTCCCAATTATTTTACATCTCAAAACTGTTTATTCTCATTATGGCATCTTAAATATTTTTGTTTATTCTTTCTCCTCCATTAGCTTACAGGCTCTCTCTGTTTTGTTCCCTTTCCTGAAGGAAACTATAATTTTTTGTGTCAAAAATATTTTCTCCTATGAGTTGCAATCTTCAGGGAAAGGACGTAGCTTCAAACAAAGGCAAATGCTTTCTCCTTAGCCAAAGTAACATAAAGGTCACTTTCTGTAAAACATCAGGATATTGCATTTTAAAATGCTTTCCATATAACATTAGTTTGATGAACGGCTTAGCCTAGGATTCTGCACCTAGTTCCAATCAAAACCAAGTTGTGAACAGATCCCTTCTTTACACCAATCTCATCTTTCAAGAACGAGCTAAAGGTTCATGAATTCCTTCCTCAAGAGGCAGTTACTTTTCAAGCTAAGGACCAAGCTTGAAACAAGCATATACCTGCACAAGGGAGGTTTAATTTCACTACAGAGCGAATCATTTTTTCAAGGAAACCAGAGGGTGTGTCATACAGCATCACTGAATATTCTAATATGCGATGAAGCTGTTATGCTTCCTTATGAACTTTATAAATCTTCATTTTTATGAGGCTTAGAATTCATCCCCCTTCCCTCTTCCACTGTTTTCCCGGGGTCACAGTTGTAGTATAGTTTGCCCAATGGATTTCGCATGGTCATTGTACCTGGAATATGTCACGCTCCCTACTCTTACTGCCCCCAAACTCTTCTCAGCAGAGATAGGCTGAAAGCAGCTCGCTTTTAGGCGGCGACGCAAACACACGTAGCCAGCTGAGCGACAGCAAGCAACCAAATGGCTTTGCTGGAGGCCCCCTGCGTGCACGGGTAAAGCTCGTTGCAAAATACAGTCCTTTCATTTATTCCCATGTTGCTATTTATGAGACCTGTCAAGGCTGCAAGGGCATGCGCAGCCTTCCCACCACACAGGACCCGCTGGGGTCTCCGGCTCCCCTAAAATTAAACCATTGTCTCTCGTTCCAACGGCGTGTTTAGCTGTTGTGCGTTATTTTACAGATAAAGGAAGGATCCCGTCCACAGACCCAATTCTTAGGGCCGCCTTCTCCCCGACGGAGGAAGAAGCTTCCTGGCAAAAGGACGAACAGGTGCGACGCCAGCAGTTCGCAGCCTCTCACCTGGCCGGCGGGCTGGGCTACTGTCACCACTCAGCAGCCAAGGACTTGGGCCCCGCAGCGGCGGCCACTCGGGGTCTGCCGGGTCCCCTCTCTTTCCGCCTGCTCTCGGCCCCGGACCCCAGACTCAAAAGCGCCTCACGCGTTCCGCCTTAGGCTCACCGTCCGATCTCGCCAGACAGCGTCTGGACGGGACCGGGAAACGGCGGCCGCCACAGCTGTCCAGGTTCTGGGATCCACGCTCAGAGACGACAGCGCTGGCGATCACCAGAAGGCCTGCGGGCTCCCGAGAAAGGAAAATCCGTCTACAGTCCAGCGGCTGACATTTCCCAGTCAGCCGTAGCGCCGCCCGCTTCCGCCTCCCCGCCTACCCCGTGGGCCGACCAGTCCCGCTCCCGCGGGGGGTTGTGGGTATCTCGAAGGCGGGTAAAGCTGCAAGGGAAGGAAGTAAGGGCGAGCCCGTCGGACTACGAAGCGGGACGGAAACTACAATTCCCAGCAGGCCTTGGGCCTCAGTGCGGCCGCGAAGCAGAGCGGGCTGTAGAGCCTTGCGCGCGCAGTGGGGATGGAACGTTGCTAGGCTTAGCGGGTCTGGCTGCTGGGGGCCCGAGCAGCACGCTCGGAGCCGCCGCGCGCCAAAGCGGGAATCTGGGAGGCGAGCAGCTCTGCAGTTAATGCACGTATTTTAAACTCCCGGGCCTGCGGACGCTATGCACAGGTAAACGGATTGCAAAAAGGGGAAGAGCATGAAATGGACCCTCTTAATAATTCTTTTAGGCCGCGAATATCGCTACTGGCTAATATTGTTAGTAATGCTGTTAAGTGAATGGTTGCTTAGCCCCTTCTTGGGGAAAGTGTGAATGGATGGATGCCTTAGTGCGGGGATCAGCGTGTGGTTTTATTTGGCTTCCCTAATTGGGCTTTTCTGCCACCGTTTTCAATCAGTGTATGATTGCCCTGTCTCTCTCCTTGTCTGTTCCCTCCACTGGGAGAAATTCTTGAGGCCTTCTGCAGGATCGTAAGTCAAAAAGCCTTCTCGATTTGTTCTTTTCATTTCTTCGTTTTCTTGGTAACTCGCCGCAGGCACATAAAAAATGCGATTCTGTTAGCTGCTGTGAAGGTTTCCTACAATGCATAAACTGCAGCTTCTTTAATTGCCTTGAAATTATTTATGGGTGTGTTTTCGAAAGGAACCGGGGGTATTGTGCACTTCTGCAGGAAGCACCTCCAGGAGATTCCAGACCTGAGTAGCAACGTTGCCACCAGCTTCACGTGGGGATGGGATTCCAGCAAGACTTCTGAACTGCTGTCAGGCATGGGGGTCTCCGCCCTGGAGAAAGAGGAGCCCGACAGTGAGAACATCCCCCAGGAACTGCTCTCAAACCTGGGCCACCCGGAGAGCCCCCCACGGAAACGGCTGAAGAGCAAAGGGAGTGACAAAGACTTTGTGATTGTCCGCAGGCCTAAGCTAAATCGAGAGAACTTTCCAGGTAAGGACATGAGGGTAAAAATGTCAGTTATGCAAAGGGTGGATTTAGCTATGTTGTTGGGAAACCTTTGTTCAGAGATCTTTAGCATGGGTTCCTTTTAAGATTGCCTAATTCTGAAGCTATTTTTCAACAAAATAGGGCAAGTCGTCAAGTATGCAGGAATCTTGGTAGATATATATATATATATATATATATATATATGTATGTTCTGGTGCATAATCACCTTGAAAATTTTAACCCATGAGAAGACATTCCTGCCTTTTTCCTTAGAAGGGAATCTGCCTGCCTCAAGGCCAGCTCAGTTTCACCGTTTAACAGAAACATAAACAGTGGTCTTCTTGTAGGATTCCTTTTGCTTTGTACCCCTGAGTGATCTTTTTGCCTTAATCACTTTAGTTATTTATCAGTGGACTGCGAAGTGAACGTTCACCTAAGTGGGGGAGACATCTCCCCAGGCCCACTCCCACCCCCATATTGGCTTCTCCTGGTATGTTCTGTCTCCATTACTGCTGACACTATCTGTTTAATCACCCAACCCGAAAACCTGAGAGTCAGTCAGCTTCCCACCGCCCCCCAACATCCAGTCATTCATCGCATCTTTCCCTCTTCTCTGGTAACTATTTCTCAAGTTCTCGTCGTCTCTTGCCTGAACTATTGGAGTGGATTCATAATTCCAACCTTCTTCTCCCCAGATCTATCCCCCGAACTAGAATGGATTGACTGAAATGTAGAACTTACTGTATCTTCCCTCCTTAATAGCTCCCCATCCCCTAGTTCCTCAAGCAGGCGAACGAGTGCCTCCCAGAGTGAACCAGAACCCTGGAGTATGCAAAAGCCATAGGATAAACAGGGCATTGACCTGGGGTTATCAGTTTTTCTTACTAGTAAGCTATTTAAAACAGTAATACAGCAAATATTTGCTGAGCACATACCATGTGCTAGGCCGTGTTCCAGGTGCTGGAGATAGAGGAGTGGGCACAACAAACATTTCTGCTCTCAGGGAGCATCCATTCTAGTGAGAGAATACAATAAACACAATAACTATTTTTATATAGTATGTTAGAAGGTGATAAGAGCTATGGCTAAAAACAAAAATAGAACAAGCCAAGAGGGAATGCAGGTCTTGGGGTGGGAAGATAGAGTGCACTTTTAAACCAGGTATTGAGAGAAAGCCTCAATTGGACAGTGACCTTTAAGCAAAGACATAAAGGAGGCAAGGAGTGTGCCATGCAAATATCTTGGAGAAAAGAGCTCCAAGCAGAAGGAACAGCCACTGCAAAGACCCTGGTGCATAAATGTGACGTATTTGTTCCAGGAACAGGGAAGCCATATTCTAAGAGTGGAATGAGCGAAAGGGAGAGTCGGGGGAGATCAGGCTGGAGGTAATGTTGAGCAGAGTTGTGATGGGACCTGATTTAACCTTCTAAAAATGACACACTGATGTGTTGAGACTCAGCTGCAGGGGCATCAAGGGTAGAAACTTAGGGTCTTTTTTAAATTTCATATTTTCAAGACGGAGTCTTGCTCTGTTGCCCAGGCTGGAATGCAGTGACCTGCTCTTGGCTCACTGTCTTCACCTGGATTCGAACGATTCTCCTGCCTCAGCCTCCTAAGTAACTGAGACTACAGGCATGCACCACCACGCCCAGCAATTTTTTTATTTTTTGTAGAGATGGAGGTTGCGGGGGCGTTCTCACCATCTTGCCCAGGCTGGTCTCAAACTCCTGGACTCAGGCGATCCTCCAGCCTTGGCCTCCCAAAGTGCTGGGATTACAGGCATGAGCCACCACACCTGGCCAAAGCTTGAAGTCTTGTTGGGGGTGAGGGTGGTCAGATTCCGGATATATTCCCACATTAAAGTCAACAGAATTTAGGAGGCTGTTGAAATCATCTGTGGAAGAGGTGATCAGAGTCTAAATTGAAATCAGGTGGGGGATGATGGCGAAGAAGAAACAGATTAAACATTTAAAGATGAAGTCTTGCAGACCCAAGGTAATTTAAGTATATTCATAAATTCTCCCATCTGGTTTCCTTTGCAGAAGGGTTGATAGATTGGTTGTTTAGTTGATTGGTTGGTTGCTCGCTTTGGCAGCACATATACTGAAACTGGAAATACAGAGAAGATTAGCATGGCCCCTGCGCAGGAAGACATGCGGATTCGAGATGCATTCCACTTTTAATTAAGAAAATAAATACGTTTGTTTTCAGCCTTTTCTTTAGGAAAGAGAACTTTGCCCAATTTATGGTCTGGGAATATACATCAGGAATTGGATTAGTTAGAAAAGCAGTAGAGGGTTGTAGTGAAGTCAGATCTGGGTTTGAATCCTCATTCTTGCGTTTATCAGCCTTGGAAAGTTATTCGAGCTTTCTTTGCCTTAGTTCCTTTATCTGTGAAATGGAGTGCTGTAATAATACCCACTTCACAGGTCGTCGTGAAGATTAAATGAGAATGACGTAAAACCCTTAGCATGCCACTGACACGTAACAATACATAAGCCAACAAAATTCCTGACACCAATTTTGGAGGCTAGTGGACTTTTATCTTTTGTTTTTAATATTGTTACTCTGACCCTGTTAGTATAAAATTTTTTTTCTTCAAAATTTAATGTTCACCGCTCTTCTTTGTGTCTGGAATGTAGCCCTAACAATCTGGTGCTTGACCAACCAAATATGGCGAAAGATACTTCCTGCTAAGATGAACAGATTTTTATTAACCTGTCCAGTGCCGATAGCTTTTGACATAGAGTGTGATTGCTATATGCCCTTCCACAAGTGAAAAAGAATTTTTTTTAAGCAAGGCACTGTGGGAACAAGACAGAAGTTTCCGGAGTCTTTGCTATTTCCCAGGAATTTGCAAGTCAAGTTGAGGAGAAAATACAATAAAAAATAAGAGCTGTGATTCCCATTCAGGTGGATGTGGAAGATCTTCCTCCTTCCACTCAGCAAGAAAGGAGATTCTGAGGAAAGAGAGGGCTCTGAAAATGGTGTAATCAGTGTCTTGATGGTTAAAGCTGACTTCAAAAGTATATATCTGAAGGGAGAGAGAAAGAATGGTGACTTTTATGTTTATTACCTAAGGAGAGGCACAGAGGGAAACCAATGTACGTGGACTTACAACAGAGATTGCTTAATTGGTGTGGAGTGGGGAAGGGTGAAATCAGTGATGCAGGATGAGGGACAGCTGGTATAGAGGATTCCCAATGGGCCTTTGGAAGCCTGGGCCTCCAGTGGAGCCGGATTGTCATTCCAAGGAGTTTTGTCTGCAGTTGTCAGGACAGGTGGCTACTAGCTTTGCCAGGATTAGGGTAGAACAGGCCACACCTGCTGTACATAGATATCTGATGACTGGTTCTGGGCTGCAAGTTTTTGTTGGTTCTTTGCTAAGCAGTTTCTCCCTGCAGGCCCCAGTCCAGCCGTACATCTGGCAACTAAATCCTCTTCATCCGTTTATCTGGGAAGATGAAAGCTCTGTGGCCAACCTGTACTAGAACAGGTCTGATTGGCCCTTGGAGTGAGTGTATGGAAAGAGTTGGGGAGGAAATGGCCCAGCAATGAGGTCAGTAACAGGCGGAAAGGGGACAATTGCATTTTATTTATGGTCATGAAATGCTTGTCCCCCACCCCACCCTTTAAACAGGTGATAGCCATGAAAATGGAGGTGAACTAATTTGTTGATCAGCTCTTCCATGACTCTTAAATGCTTGAAATTCCAGACCCTAAAGTGGTTGTCAGACTGGAGATACTAAAATTTACTGTATATCAGAATCCCCACAGGAACTTGTTCAAAGTGTAAAATTCCTGAGATTCTGATCCGGGGAGTCCTGGCCTGAGTGAGCCTGGGAATCTGTGTCTTAATACCCTTAGGCAAGCATTTTTTCCAACTTTTTTTTTTTAACCAGTAAGAAACATATTTTACATTGCAATCCTGGGTATGTATCTGAAACAGCAGTTTTACAAAACTGTATTTCCCCTTACTAAGATATTTTCTATTCTGTTCTAGTTCATTCTTTATATGTACATATATGCTAGTCAAACCCACTAAATTGATTTCATGATCTATGTGAGTCTCAGTCTACAGTTACTAAACTCAGCACTGGAAGAGCCTTTATGGGATCTTCCCAGTCATCTTTCTTTGTTCCATAGCTTCCTTTCATTCATCCATTAAGCAAATATTTCTCAAGCACCGTTTTAGAGGTTGGGACTACAATACTGAACATAACAGGCAAGAGACCCTGCCCTCATAGTGCTTATACACTGTTCCATATTTTTTCCAAATCCCAGCTTCTGTTGTTTCTTCATTACACCCCCTACACCTCAGGGTTGAGCAAGTCTTTCATAGAAATAAAGGGTTGTGGGACTGAAGGGGTACATGGGGGAATCCTTGTTAAGTTTGGCTGTGTTTTGTTTTTTTCAGTTTTGCCCACCTTAGCCAAAAAAACAAAAACACCCAAAGCCAACATGGCCTCAAATGTATTATTTATGGTTTGTGGGAAGAGGAAGGAGAACTCATCTGGGATGGCACAATCTGTTTGTAGTTCCCCAGAAAGAAAGCATGGGGTATTGCTACTTAAAACAAGCCAGCAAAAGCAATTCTGAGGTGAGCACCCCCCAACTCCCTGAAAGAAATGCACACACACACAAAAACAAGTATGAGTACCAGGTCCTCAGTATACATTTCTGCAAGTATAATCTGATTATGCTTAAAGAGCAGCAATTTTTTAAGTCAAAAGTTTGATTATGATTAGCATTACTTTGGATTTTCAGCTTGAATCTGAGTGGAGTGGAGTGATGTTCTGAGAAATAAATGAGTGGAGTGATATTCTGAGAAATAAATATGTCAAGTAAGATGAGTTACCTACACTGCAAAGATGGAATGCATAGAAAACTCTCCAACAAGGCCCTCTTCCCAGAGAATTTCAGGAAGCATGAGATGTGATAAGGTTACAGAAGTGGGAAACTGGGTTTGCACCTGAGAAATAATTGGAAACAGTGGTAGGTGAGGGTGATTGTAGTAGGTTTGCTGGTTTGGCCCAGTTTTTGCCCTTTCCTGGCCCTGAAGTATATTTAACTGCCGTCCATGTCATTGAAGACTGGAGACCTTGGGCTCAGTAATTATGTCTTTTAATGTGGGTCTGGTATGCAGCTACAGCCTTGCTGGATTTAGCAGAGACAAGTGGAGAAAAGACCTCTGGATTTTTCCTTCCGCTCTCTGCAAACAGACCAGGCAGCAGTTTCATCATGAATTCAGGAAACAGATGGCTAATGTTTTGAGAATTAAATATGGCAAGGAAAATTAGATTAAGCATATCACAGCCTGGATGCCTATTGCTAGAGCAGCTATTAAAGACAAACTTCTGCCCCATCTGCTGGGACAGCAGCCCATATCAGGCTGTGGTACCCCCACCCGGGGCCCCTAGGATTAGTGTCATTCTGTGGTCAGCTGAGTAAGAGCACTGGGTACTTGGCTGCTAGCTGAGTATGTGTGTTTTCTAGGACCTTGCTCCTTCCATTTGGTGGTGAACCCATTGATAGCATCTTTGTTTTATTTTCTCTCTCCTCCTCCACTCACTCCCTAGCCCTGATTGATTTCTGTTTCCATAGCAAGTCCGGGTTTAATTCTCACCTTTTCAAAATTTGTACTTACAACAGAGGAGAGCATAGAATATTAGAACCCACTAGGATGGAAAGGGCATGATTTGAAATCAGACCTGAGTTTAAATTCCCCCTCTGCCACTTACTGATTGTGTGACCTTGTCTCTTTTATCATAGTTGCATGTTTTCTTGAAGCCCCAGCCCCCATCTCCCAGAGACTACAGCTATACTGATAGAGGACATTCCCTTCTGCTCTGGGTTTTTGTCTTCAGCCTCATCCCCTCCATATGCCAACAGTGCTGTGCACATAGTCGTTAATTGGTTAATAAGGGTTAGCCATTCACACTAATAAAGAATTAGCACATTCACCATTTGAATGAAGAGGGCTAATAAATACATTTGGCAAATATTTATAGAGTCCTGTTATGTGCCAGGCATTGTTAGGTAATGGATGTGCAAATCTGGGCATGGGGCCTGTGGTGGTATCCTGGGTGGGAATGCTTCTTTGAGCAGGTGCCATTTAAGCTGAAATCTGGAGGAGTTGGGAAGGCAAAGATGGAAGTTGCAACACAAAGTCCTCCAGACTTTGGAGTCTCACATGCAGTCTTCATTGGTTAGGTCTACTGACCTCTGCATTCATCACTATGCCAGATTTTCCTCTAGCACTTTAATTACCTGGCTGCTACTGCTCTTTTAATTGGTCCTGATTTCTTATGTCTTCCTAATAGAAAGCACCAAGTTTGTTAATTTATTTCTCCTGCCCTGTACTTCATAGCAAGCTTTTCTAATTTCCTTTCCCCAGCCATAATTTCTGTTGGTGCCCTATCTATAGCCCCTTGAAGCCCCCCATTCCCTTACATGCCAAAGCTTTTGCCTACGTGTAGATGAGATTCCATGCCTGAGGGCTTTCTCTGGGCAGGAATACTGGGGAGTCCCCAAATAGTGACCAACAGCAATTGATGGATTAATACCCCAGCACTCGTGCCCTTGGTTGAGACAGCTCTGGGGTAGTTTCTAGATGGTTTACTGGAGTCCCCAGAAGATTTGAACCCCAATTGCCCATAGGGATAACCTGCCTATTAGCCTACTCCAGGTTGGCTTTCTTCCCTTCCACCTCTGTCTTCTCCACTCTTTCTAGTGCTTCCTGGCATCACTTCCCAAATAAACTACTTGAAGTCAGAGCTTCAGAATCTGCTTCTGGGGGACCCAAACTTAAATAAAGGGCAGATACGGGGTTTTGGTAAGTCATACCATGCAGACCTTGTCCAGTGTCTGCCCATGGGTGAAAATTCAGAGCAGCACTGAAAAGGTCATTGCATGAAGAAAATACCCAGACTTAACTGGGAAAGGAGAGGAATATAGAAAAGAAAGTTTTACTCCCTGCTGCATTATTTAATCTTTTCTTGTACCTCATTTACTCTTCACTGAACAATTTTGCAAGATAAATCTGTCAATTTCCTTTCCTGCAGGTAAAGAAACTGAGGCCAGAAAGATTAAGTAACTTGCCCAAGTTCACAGACTTGGGGCAACACAGCCAGGATTCTGATAGAAACTGTGCTGCTTTCTCAGTCCAGTAGTCCTCAAATGTGTTGAGGAGGCCCAGCGTATGGTGTCAGTATGATTTTTACAGATTATAGTAAAATCTCAACATATTAGATTCAAAATAGCTAAGTATGTTATTGAAGTATAGTTAAGCTTACTCTTCCATAGAGGCCACTTCCTCCAGGAAGGCTTCCTTAACCTCTGCACCATTCCCATGTGCTGCACAGCACCCTGAATCCTGCTGTAGCCCATCAGGATAGTTTATTGAAATTTCCTGTTTAATTGTTTGTCTGTATCTCTCAAACTCAGAGTAGAATAAGGGTCAGGATTGTACCTTACTTATTGTTGTGGCCCAAAACCTAGAACAGACCTCAGTGTATATAGTACATGGTTAATAAATACGTGAGTGGATGACTATACTTATAGCTAAATATAGTTATGCCCAATCAATTACTAGATTCTGATCTAGATATGTAAGAGGCAGCAGAGGTCTGAGAGAGTTGGATTAATGGGAGAAAAACTTGAGAAAAGCCTGTCATTCAACTTTGTTTTCAATTTGGGGAGCAGGGCAAGAGCCTGGTTTGAGAACCTTTGTCCCCTGCCCATGTTGACTTTGGAGGAACTTTGTGGCAGTGATGGAACAGCTGCCACGTCGAGGAGCCTCCTCACAACCTCCAGCTGCCTCCCCAGATCAGCAGGGGTGATCTGCCTTCAGCTTTCTACCCCTAGCTTTCAGGGCCTCAGTCAGTCCTTTAATTTTGTCCCCTGAAGGGCGTGAGGCTAGGGGAACAGGCATTCATTGAACAACTGTGTATCTCCTACTCATTCTTCAAGAGAGGCCACTTCCTCCAGAAAGGCTTCCCTAACCCCTGCGCCATTCCCATAAGCTGCACAGCACCCCGAATCCTACTGTAGCCCATCAGGATAGGTTATTGAAGTTTCCTGTTTGTCTATATCTCTCAAACTCTGAGCAGAATAAGGGTCAGGATTGTGCCTTATTTATCATTGTGTCCTTAAAACCTAGAATAGACCTCAGTGTATAGTACATATTTTATAAATATGGGAGTGGATGAATGTATCAATTTTATGCTAGTTCCTGAAAATACAAAAATTGTTAAAAAAAAAAAAAAAAGCGTTTTTGTTTCTCAAGAGCTCCTGGGGGTCTAGAGAGATGAGTAAGTAAATAATGAAATTATGGTACATAAGTGGCCTGTCCTTGTTGATGTCACGGGAGGCCTTCTGTGGGAACTGGGGCTTCCATTTGATTTTAAATGAATAGTAGTTGGAGGCAAGCACAGGATGTGCAAAAGCATTGAGATACGGCACAGAATGACTCATTCTAAGAATTACAGGTAGCTCCAAATGGCTGGAACACATTTCTAGATAACAAACCTAGGAAAACTAGTTGAGACCTGGCTGAAAGCGTTTAACTTTGTACTAAGCATTGTGGACTTTAGCCTAAATACCTGGGGTGTACCACTGAAGGATTCTAACTGGGGGAAAGACATGCTGGTTTAGAAAGACTGCCCAGGGCAGCAGGTGTTTGTCACACTCCTCGGTGTTTTTCTCCCTTGTGTCCTCAAACCCACTTATACAGGGCCTGGTACAAAGGACATGCTCAGTAAAGACTGGCACCTTTAAATGGGAGTAGGAGGAGAGAATATCACCAGAATTGGTGTAGAAGATCCATCAGAGGTGGAAAGCCTAGGAAGGCAATCATTGAACTCATCTGACTGTTTTTTAGGATTCCTTCATTGTGCATTTATTTCCTTCTTGGCAATTGTTACATTATCCTGAGCTTGTGGGATTATTCTATGTATTCATATGTAAGAGTTTCATACTTGTTGAATAGTTATTTAGAGATTGCTTCTATGAAAGAAAACTGCGCTTCCTGCATCCACCTTTCTGTTCTAAACACAGCAGCCAGAGTGATCCTTTTTGAACTTACGTGAGGGCCTGTCATTCCTGTGCTCAGAATCTTCTAGTGGTGCCTCATAGAATTCAGCGTCAAAGCCAAAGGCTTTATCATGACCTAGGAAGCCTGCATGACCTGGCTGCTCTCTGATTTTTCTACCCACCTACCTCTGCGCTCTACACTGGCCTCCTTGCTATGCCTCAAACACACATGCTGTTCCTTGGATCTAGAACACGTACACCAGATACTCACAGGGCTCACTCCCTCACTTTGTTCAAGCCTTTGCTTAGTGATCGTCATCTCAGTATGGCCTTCCCTGACCACCATGTTCAAACTTAATAACATCTGCTCTGAACTCTCTGTTCTCTCCCTTGCCCTGTTTAATTTTTCTGCACAGCACAGATCAATTTTACTATATCATATAATGTACTTATTTTTTGATGTGTGATTATCTGTTCCGCATTACTGGAATGAAGTCCCACGAAGGTAGTGTTTTGGGTCTGATTTACTACTCCTTCCCAACACCTAAAATGATACCTGGCACCATAGTAGGAGCTCAGTAAATATTTGTTGAATTAAGAAATGACAATACCCTTTTGTATTGCTCTTTTAGGTAAACTGTGCCTTTTGTAAACCTGAAAGAAAGCATATTAGTCTGTTCTCATGTTGTTAATAAAGACATACCCAAGACTGGGTAATTCATAAAGGAAAGAGGTTTAATTGACTCACAGTTCAGCCTGGCTGGGGAGGCCTCAGGAAACGTACAAGCTTGGTGGAAGGGGAAGCAAACGTCCTTCTCCACATGGCGGCATCAAGTGCAGAGCAAAGGGGTCGGGGAAGCCACTTGTAAAACCATAAGATCTTGTGGGAACTCACTTATCACCAGAACAGCATCAAATTACAGGGGCGGTTATCACCAGGTAACCGTCCCCATGATTTGATTACCTCCCACTGGGTCCCTCCCGCAACACATGGGGATTATGGGAACTACAATTCAAGATGAGATTTGGGTGGGGACACAGCCAACCATAGCAGAAAGGGAAGAAGATTTATTTGCCTTTTAAATAAGGTCACTACTGAGTCCACATCAGAGAGAAACAAGGCCTTCCTTTGCACCCAGAAGCACCACAATATCTTATTGATGTCAATGAATTGACAATGTCATTGAATGACATTTGAGAGGGTGGGACTTGCTCTGTACCACTCTTCATGCCACAGCCTCCGATTGGCTGGCTAGAGCTGAAGGGAAGAATAGGAAAAGTGTTCTGGGTTTCTCTTTTTGATTTGCTGAGAGAGTGTGGTGGTCACTTCAGGGTACATAGATGATGGAATGGGGAATTTAACACGAATTAAATTACTCATCACCACAATTATTTTTCTGTTCAACAGAAATGATTTTTCAAACAAAAATAATTGTGAGGATGAGTAATTTAATTTGTGCTAAATTCCTCATTTAAGCTAAATGTTGTATATTCTTTATGTGTTTGAAAAGACTCAGTAGACTTGATAGGGTGAAAGAATGGTGATGGCAAACACTTGTTTTCCCTCCAAAGGTGTTTCATGGGACTCCCTTCCGGATGAGCTGCTCTTGGGAATCTTTTCCTGTCTGTGCCTCCCTGAGCTGCTAAAGGTCTCTGGTGTTTGTAAGAGGTGGTATCGCCTAGCGTAAGTATTTTTCACCCCTTTGGCAAACGTAGGGGAGGAAGAGGAGAGGAAGGTTATTTATTCGTTTTGGTCTGATGAAACTAAAAACCAAGAAAAATAGAGCAGCGCAAAGCAAACTAGGTATCTTCATATTTTTATTAATCAGTGTCCTCATTTCACAGTGGAAGAGGAATTTCCTGGGAGGGATAAACTTACCAATGTCTGGAAACCTCTTTGCCCTGTATTCAGTGCAGCATGTGTTTATGGGATGCTGACTGTAGGCCAGGCGGTGTGCTTTAAGTGCGGAGAGAGTTACAGAGGTGCATGCAGACAGCGGTTCCTCACGCCGCTGGGCTGAGCAGTGAGCACAATAGGGAGAGGGAACACAGGCTTGGTGTTAGACCCGAGTGCACACCCAGCCTCTGCTGCTTACGCTCTGCATGACCTGAGTGAGTTAGTTGACACTGCTGAGCCTCAGTCTCCCCATATGTAAATGGGGATAATGGTTATGAGGAGGAAACCACTGGTTATGAGGATGAAATGTGAAGATGCTGGTGTAATGCCTGACTCACAGACATGTTCCACACAGAGTAGCCATTGGTGGGGTTGTGCTCTTTTTTTGGCAACACTTTTCAAGTGTGGAAGGTGAGTTGCATGTGGAAAGACTTGGTGAGCTGGAAAGGCAATAACAGGCCTGGAGCAAGAAAAAGGCTATGTTTATCAACTGGAACTTTTTACTATCTTCATGCCTTCTCATCCCTATCCTACCTCCTGGTCATTCTTTGCTTTGTGTTTAAAGGCCATCCGTCTGGCTTCTCCCTCCACATACTTAGAACTCCCTGTGTGAGATAGCAGGAGCCTCTTGCCTTCAAGGGCGTGCTGCTATTTACAGGTGTGGGTTGTTTGCTTAGAAGAGCCGCAGAGAGGGTTGCACACCTGGAATGCTGGTGCAAGTGGCAGGCAAGTTTCACTTACCCTCACCGCACTCAACCCCACTTTGGTTTTCTTTTTCTGCCAGCTATGCATTTATCCTCTTCTTGCAGAGTCTGTTAATCCCATTTTAAAATTTTATTGTATATATTTAAGGTATACAGCATGATATTTTGTTATAAGTATGTGAAATGGCTGCTATCATTAACATATTCATTATCTCACATAGTTACCTATTTTTTGTGGCAAAAGCACCTAAAATTTACTCTTTTAGCAAACATTCTGACTACAATACAGTATTATCGACTCTAGTTCTCCTGTTGTATACTATATCTTGGGATGTGTTCATCCTGCATATCTGTGGCTTTGTATTCTTTGACCTACATCTCCCTTAGAGTCTGTTAAACTTCATCTCAGTTGTCATAAAAGTAATTACTGACATTTATTAAGCACTTGCTTTGTGACAGGTGCAGTGTTTGCAATTTAATCCTCCATATGATTTTAAGTGATGGTGTTTGTGTCATCTCAGCTTCAGAGGTGAGGAAACTGCAGGGTCAGGAATAGTAGGTTGAGAGATAAGTGGAAAGGCAGGAATCTAAAGTTTGGCTAACTCCACGGTCTTAACCATCATACCATATCTAGTTATGCTTGGCTTAGGGTTCAGGTAGCTCCCAAATTCATTTTTCTGTGAGGTGTTCATCTTCCTAAAAAATGTATATTATTTGGAAAGAAAATGAATTGTTCCAAAACTTCTCCCAGGTTGTTGTTATTGAATGCTGGTTAAGCTATAGTTTGCCTTCTTGCAAGAGGAAACATCAAGCATGAGATTCAAGACAACCAGAGCAGTGCTGATCTGGTGTCAATACCAATACCTTGGAGGCCAAAATGGATTTCTGTCTGGGCAAGAAAGATACAAAAGTGTGCCACTCTCTTAAGGATATCTTATCTACAGTCCACCTTTTTAATGATAGATTTGTCACACAAATCACACTGACAATTTTTTTATGATGAAGTTATTTCATAACTCTGGCCAGTGGTCCACTTATTTCAAGCACTATTAAAAAAGAAAATTCTAGTACACCTAAGCATTTAAAATGTTCCTTCATGTGCTTATATTTCACATTTTCTTTTTTTAAATTGAATTAAACTATGGATATTAAAACCCTCTTACTGTGCTATTCAGTACGTTTTTAGAACATCCCTTTTGTTTTAGAAACACCATCTATAATCCGTTGTATTTTTCCCTTATTTCACATTAGTTCATACACACACATATGTACACATACATATACACGTGTATGTTTTAAGCTTCAAATATATTATAAGGCACAGCTGAACCATGACTGTTGCTATTGAATATCTATGACAGCCTTATTTCATAATAAAATAATGCTAACTTTCGTTCCTTTAGTAATTTTCCATGTTGCTACAGTAATCATAATTGCTTGACAAAAGTGTCAAATAGATTTAAAACTTCTTAGAGGATCCTATTTGCCTAGTAATATAATAATTAATTGATTTGAGCAATCATTTTTTAAATTTGTCAACTTGAATGCTGGAATATGATTCTCTGGTTCTAGATCACGGCAGTGCTAATGTTCACATTGAACCATCTAAATTGGAAGTATATAGAAAGAGAAAGATGGAAGCTTATCCCTGGTGAAATCAAGAAAAATTCTCTAGTGCCTTAAAAATATCATAGCTAATTGTATAGCCAACTTAAAAACAAAAGTTCTTTTAGAATATGCTTCAAGGAGATTTAGCAGCAGTGTCCTACCTGTTAGTAATGTTGTTGAGGGCTTCCAGCATTTAGTGTGACCGACTGGCCAAATTAAGTATCTCCTCTTTTATAGGTCTGATGAGTCTCTATGGCAGACCTTAGACCTCACAGGTAAAAATCTGCACCCGGATGTGACTGGTCGGTTGCTGTCTCAAGGGGTGATTGCCTTCCGCTGCCCACGATCATTTATGGACCAACCATTGGCTGAACATTTCAGGTAAAGATGAAAAATCCCTGGAAAAGACTATTTCTAAATTTCGAGGTAGAAACAGATCAAAGCTTTTTTTTTTTTTTTCTTTCTTCAGCCTTAAAGCCTATGGTAGGTTATCTGTGCAGTGTGGGATGTTAATTCCATACTTTGCTATGGGGCCTTTGTGCTAAAACCTAGCATAGATTTCAATGACACTGTTCCCATTTCACTCAAGTTTACTGTTAGTCTCTTCCCAGGGTGAAAGAGGCACATTTGTCTTCTCAAGTCCTCAGCTGATAGGGGGACTGTGAGTCCCACAAGGCAGGCACAAGTAAAGCACTCACTGGCAGATGCAAGGGTGCCCAGTTACTTCCCCAATGCCCATTTCTGATAAATAAAAAAAAGTGAGGAGTCTTTTCATGTTTGTAGCTTGGGGTTTATGATTTTTGTCTTGGAGAAATTTGGAACCTGAAAAAAATGCCCTCTTTTTGTTTGTTTTGTAGAATATTTTGAAAAAGAATTTTCTGTTCTGATAATTTTGCAATACTGAGGTTACTGCTATCACATAGTAGAATAACTAGGTACTGAACAGAAAAACAAGCTGAAGACAACAAAGCTAAAGATAAAACATGTCTCCTGACTCCAGTACTTTTTCCCTTCTTTCCGTAGTCAGGACCGCCTCTCCCACTGCTTTTTATCCTGTTCCTCCTGTGGCTGTTCCTTCTCAGTCTCCTTCACATATGTGATTTCCTCTGTTCACTCCAGGGTCGGTTCCTGGCTGCCACCTTTTTCAAATCCAAATGCTGTCCCTGGACAAGCTGTGTCCTCTACACCCACATTTATGCCCAGGACTCTCAGTTCCTCATCTATAGCTTGGCCCTCCCTTTCAAATTCCCAAATTTCTAATTACCTAAAAACGTCTGTACCTGAATTTCTTACAAGGACTTCAATATTAGCATAACTCAAATTTGGCCTCCCTTTTTTTTTATTGTTTTTGTTTTTTGAGACGGAGTCTTGCTGTGTCACCCAGGCTGGAGTGCAGTGGCGTGATCTCGGCTCATTGCAACCTCTGCCTGCCAGGTTCAAGCAATTCTGCCTCAGCCTCTCGAGCACCTGGGGACTACAGGTGTGCGCCACCACGCCCAACTAATTTTTTGTATTTTTAGTAGAGACTGGGTTTCACCATGCTGGCCAGGCTGGTCTTGATATCCTGACATCGTGATCCACTGGACTCAGCCTTTCAAAGTGTTGTGATTACAGGCGTGAGCCACTGCGCCCAGCCTGGTCTCCCTTTAAAACTTTCTCTTCCGCTACCTTCCCTGTTCTATTGCTGCTCACCCACTCACCCCTGCCAGAAACCAGGAGCCGTTATGGTCTTAATCTCCTTGTCACCCACATCCAGCTCATTGTTGTGATGCCCACTCGTTATTTTCTAAGTGGGACTATATTGGCAGCAACATCTGTACTTGGCAAAAATCCTCTTGCATTTTAAAATGAATGAAGATGGGAATACACTAGTAGCAATATGTTTTATGACCCTATAGTTAATGCTTGAAGTATGTATTTAGAGTCTTGTTTGTGATTGGCTGCTCATTTGGGGAGAAGAGGGGTCTGGTTTGAAATTGGATGTACCCGTGAGAGCCACCTATGGAGCTCCTTTTTTCTCTCCGTGTTTAGCCCTTTTCGTGTACAGCACATGGACCTATCGAACTCAGTTATAGAAGTGTCCACCCTCCACGGCATACTGTCTCAGTGTTCCAAGTTGCAGAATCTAAGCCTGGAAGGCCTGCGGCTTTCGGATCCCATTGTCAAGTGAGTGGCAGGCAGAGTGTCACAAAGGCAGTTGATTTTATGTGTATGAATTTTTTTCCCTGTATATAACTGGGGTGCCCTTCTAGCCATATCCAGGTGGATACAGAAAATATCTAGTGCAGTGCTCTAGCTTCTGCAAAACTTTTCAGGACTCATTGAAGCAACAAAAGCTTGAATGCTAACTATATGCCAGGCCCTGTGCTAGGTTCTAGAGATACAAGTACAAGGATGAACAATGCATGTGTATTATTTGGGAAGAAAATGAATGCTCTAAAACTTTTCCCACCTTGTTAGTGAATGCTGGTTAAGCTATAGTTTACCTTCTTGCAAGAGGAAACATTGAGCAAGACATGTCTATTTTCTCTTGCAAGAAGGTAAACTATTTATGAGCAAGACAGATAATTACCATGCAGTGTGTTTATTAAATGTTTCAGTGAATATGTGGCAACACACGAGGAGCCGCCTTGTTAGAGGAAGTGACTCTTGAGTATTGAAGATATCTAGGTAGGAGATCTCTAGGTAATAAGACAAAGCAACCAGTCTAGGTAAAACTTCCTGTGTGGTTCTAAACTCTTACGTAGTTGGAAGTTGCTGGAGCACAGGACTAAGGGAGGAGAGTGACAAGGTGAGGAGAGTCAGGGACCAGATTGTAATGGGCCCCTACGCCTTGCTGTAAGAAGAATGGACTGGACTCTTCCATTAAGAGGGAAGCATGGGCCAGGTGTGGTGGCTCACACCTGTAATCCCAGCACTTTGGGAGGCTAAGGTGGGCAGATCACCTGAGGTTGGGAGTTTGAGACCAGCCTGGCCAACATGGTGAAATCCTGTCTCTACTAAAAATACAAAAATTAGCTGGGTGTGGTGGCAGGCACCTGTAATCCCAGCTACTCAGGAGGCTGAGGCAGGAGAATCGCTTGAACCCGGGAGGCGGAGGTTGCCATGAGCTGAGACCACAACATTGCACTCCAGCCTAGGTGACAAGAGCAAAACTCCATCTGAAAAAAAAATAAAAAAAGGGAAGGATGGTGGAGAGAGTTGTTCTGAGAATGGAAGGAACAAGTCAAGAGTTGAAATTTAGGAAATTAACTTGCCAGGTACCATGGAGGGTCCATCGAGGATAGAAGAAGCTAGAGTAGTTAAGGATACTGCTGTGTTCGTTCAAGTGAGAAAAGGTGAAGTCTGATATAAAACAGATAGCAGTAATAGCAGCTAATGTTTTGGGGCATGTATTATGTGCCAGATAGTGAATTTTGTAAATGCATTTTCATTTAATTCTGACAGCAACCCTATGAAGTGTGATCTTGTTTCCTTTTTATAGTTGTGGAAACTGAGACACAGGGAGACTGAGTAAGTCTTTTCCAGGGTCACATTGTTAGTAGGTGGCTGAACCAACATGTGAACCTAGTGATACAATATTCCAGAATTCTTACTCTTAATCACTAAGTTTTACTAACACAGGGCATTTGGGGATGTATTAGAGAAGATGGCAAATTTGAGAGATGTATAATCAAAAGAACCTGGTGATTTTACAAGTAGATGTTTGCAAGCTAATTCTAATTATGGGTGAAATGGATATATGTTTATTCCATTGTCTTTTTAATTCAAAAAGTACATTGATTGATATTCTTGTGTATTTGCTTCATAGTAAGTCTTTTATTACATTATATCATTTAATCTTCTTAATAACTCTGCCAAGAAGTTTGATAATACCATTTCACAAATGAGTAAACTGAGGCAAATTATCCTGTTTGATGTCTGAGAGATAGTGATATACATTTTAAACTCACTGACTCAAAGACCTGTGAGCTTAACTACACTCGCCTGCTTTCATCTAAATGTTGTTGATGAATAGTGTCTTACTGGTCTTTTTCTTCTGACGTTTTTCTCTTTTTCCAGTACTCTCGCAAAAAACTCAAATTTAGTGCGACTTAACCTTTCTGGGTGTTCTGGATTCTCTGAATTTGCCCTGCAGACTTTGCTAAGCAGCTGTTCCAGGTATGAAAGATGTGAGACTTGATTATAGACTCTTATGTCAAACGTAAAATTATCCCTCACATCTGTATAAAATGGGATGAACTTTTTGAGCTTTTTGTACTTTCCAGGCTCTTGATTTGGTGAATGCAAAATCTTTTGCCCTCCTAACTTTCTGTCCAAACTCAGGAGCCAAGTCAATTGAGTTTGCAAGTGATACTTGTATAGTGATCTCTTTTTTGTTTATTTGGAACTGTTAAAATAAGGGAAGTGTAGTAGTGTCTATCAACAGTATGGTTGTAAGAAATTTGCTCACACTTAACTGTACATTCAGGTTTTTTCCCCTATGGTATCTGTAGACCTAACTTACAATTTTTTATCAAATTTGGTGTTTTATAAATATAGACCGTAAATTTGGGCAATTCTATTAACAATATCTTTCATAATAATGTCAGCACATAAAGGGTACAGAGTTACAGATATTGCTAAGTGAGGGGAGTACATGCTTTTTGGAATACACAGTACTAGGCATATGTGTGTTTTTTAAAAATATCCCTTGGTCTCCATGGTACAGCATTTGAATCTGTGTCTTGTTAATGGTCCATTTAAAATAGATTGCCTCTGGATATGCGTGTTATCAGTGAGATCAAATGTATAGCCCTATATTTAGTCAGCAGTGCCAGAAGTGGGGAGTGGGGATTAATGGTTGTATTTTGTCTCTGAAACCCTCGTTTTTGCTCAGTTAGCAGAAGCACAGTAAGACGAAGTGGCTTTTTGCAATATCAGCATCTCTTTATTAGGAATCCTCAGTGCAATCCATCAATTGCGTAAAACATCCTGAGTGATTGTTCAGTCTGTGTTGGGTGGTTGGTAGTTTGAGAAAGCAAACATAAAAGACTGGCATTTCTACCTGCAGTACTGGAATAAGGTTTGAGCCATCAGGTGCTTCTCTCCATTTCGAGGAGGAGGCACATTCACTAAGGCCCTTCTGATCCCCTGGCAACTTTCAGGGGCAAACAGGGTATACTTAGGTGACTAAAGGTAGCTACTGTTAGAGAAGCAGGTGTTCTGTGCATGAAATGATAAGGAATCCATGGTTTTATATTTTCTTTGTTTGCAGTTTGAGGCAAACTCATTCCCGTGTGATGGTTTCATATTTTGTTTATTACCCCTCTTTTGTGCAGACTGGATGAGCTGAACCTCTCCTGGTGTTTTGATTTCACTGAAAAGCATGTACAGGTGGCTGTTGCGCATGTGTCAGAGACCATCACCCAGCTGAATCTTAGCGGCTACAGAAAGAATCTCCAGAAATCAGGTTAGAGCTTCCAAGCCTGGACCACTGAGGCCTTCACAACATAATAGATGAGATTCATTGAGCTTCTCCTAATCATTCCTCCACATAAGTTTTCTCATTTAATCCAGTGCATGTGTTAGTCCCCTTTTTCAGATGAGGTAGCTGCTAATCAGAATGGTTAGGTAAAGGTAAACAGCTAGTGAGCTAGAGCCAAGGTTTGAATTCAGGATCTAACAGTAGAAACCTTTACACTTGAAAACAATGTATTTTTAAGCAGAAAAACTTTTAATCAACTAAATGGTTAGGTAAACCCCAACATAAAAATACATAAATGTAGCATTTGATTAGTATTAAGTAGTGGTTGTTCATTAGGGGCTATTTTGTCTGTACGGGGACATTTGTCAATGTCTGGAGACATTTTTTATTGTCACAGCTGTAGGAGTGCTGATGGTCTCTCATGGGCGGAAGCCAGGATGCTGGTGGACGGTGTATAGGATGGAGAATAGCATGCACAATAATCTGGTCCAAACATCAGTTCCAAGGTTGAAAAACTATTATAAACTCTGTTAATAAGTTCATATTTATGACTTTTACTTTTTATTCAGTCCAAGAGGGCAACGAGGATTTTTAGATGAAAACAGGCATTAGAAGTCAAAGGTAGCAGGGAGCAGTCTTTAAAAACCTTAATATTCAGTTACGCTTTATTTTACTTGTATGTTAATGAGAAAATCTTGATTTGCAAAGATAAGTGATTACAAATGGCAAGTTTTTTAAATGGCTTCACCGTCTCAGGCCAACATTCAGTTTGTGGGCTCTACAAAACCTAGTTAAACCAGCAACACACATCAACCATATCTTGATGTTAGTACTAGCTTATTTGAGTGTGTTTTGTTTATTATAGTTTTTATTATTCTGAAAAAGATTTGAATCAAACATCTGCAGAATAGATCTTAAAATTTAAGTAGTATAAAACTACTGCTCCAGGACAGATGTCCTCTGGTAAGATGTATAAAGCTATAGAAAATAATTGCTAGGATCTCATGAGTGGGTAGAAATTCGAGTCTTTCACCTGTGCAAGGACTCAAATTTGGACTACTGCCATTCCAAACACTTGCATTTTCAGACAAGGTGAACACTTTCTTTAGCAAGCTGTAAAAGCAGCAATCATGTCTTCATTTCATACCACTCTCCCCACCCAGTATTTATAATTACTATTTTAAAACTGATCATAGTGTTATACAGTCATTTAAAAAAAATGTAAAATACAGAAAAACACAAAGGGAAGCAAATTATCAATAATCTTAACATCTTGCTAGGCTTTTTCCTGTACAAAAACTGTTTTTTTTTTTAATGGGACATGGTATATTAAATACTTCGTAATATGCTTTTTAACCCCATTTTCAGTGACTACATGATGTCATCATCAGTGGCTATGTGATAGTCCATCAAATAGATATGCAATAATTTATATTAAGTCAATAACAATATATGCAGTTGATCAGAATTCTAATGGACTTTCAGAATCTTCCCAGTTTTTCTCTCCTATAAACAATTTTATGAGTGACAGAGACAAATCTTTAGATGCATTTCTAAGGATAGATTCTTAAAAGTGGAATTGCTGGGTCCAGCATTAAGTACTATTCTCAAGTTTTGGATAGTTTCTGCCAAATTTTCCTCCAAGAAGTTTAAACTCTTCACCCACGAGCATCCTCTTAGTGTGAAATCCCATCACTCTTGGTTCTTCTCTGTCTGCAGGTGAAGGGAAGGCAGTGCCTTGTTTATATTTCTTTCCCACATCTGGATCTTTCACTGGTTTACTGAAAGATTTTCTGACATGAATCGAGGCTCTGGGTGCAAGGTTGAGAAACTGCTGTAGGCAAAGTGCTGTTGGTTTTGTCCAAATTTGGCTTAAAATCTTTCCCTTTGTTCCTCCAAGAAAGAACAGAGAGCCTGTTTACCGAGTTTTGGCAGAAATAGTAGGTATTAAAATGCTGCTTGCTAGACACATTCAGGACAGAGAGACAGACTGTAAATTGAAGTGTTAGTTTTTTAATTATACCATGGGGATAAAAAGTTTTTAATGTCATTAACAATAGCACACACCATTTCATTATATATGAGATAATATGGATTTGGTTTTAGCTCATAGACTGGTACCAGATGGCCTGGGTTCAAATATCCACTCTGCCATTTACTGGGTAGACTTGAGCAAGTTGCTAAACTTGCCTGTTCCTTAGTTTTCTCAGCAGTAAAATGGAGATAAGTAGAACCCATCTCTTAGAGTTACAGGAAAGAATAAATGAGTTAAGACATGTACAGCATGTGGAACATTTCTTGCCACATGGTAAGAGTTCAATTAGTGTTGGCTGTTAATACTGTTCCTTCCCCCACTACCCCCATCACTACCTTTCCATGGAGCAATGGATGAAGCACAGAAACATTTGGTCTTGGATTTGACCTTGACTTCTGTAGCTGAAATCATCTCTCCTTTGAAGTAACGGGTTGGATTAACGGGTGGTTTCTAAGATCCTTCTAGCTCAGGTTGGGTCTACTGTTTATGGTGAAATGAAGGGGACAGTGAAAAGGAAACCTTGGCAGTGACTACTGTTTACTAACTACTTCCTGCCCAGGGAGGACAGAGCTTAAGTGTGGGCCAGAGGAAACTAACCCTTTATCCCCCAATGTTTCGTTCTTTCTCCAGTGGTGTCAAAGTATGATTGCATCAGATTTTGCTGATGGCTAGTTGGCTGGCTAGATGATTGGTCCCTCAAAATTTTATTGTGTACTTTTTTCATTTTTTGGTCATTTATTAAATATTTATTGAGCACCTACAGTGATTGAACAAAACAGAGCCTTGAACAAAACAGAGAAAGTCACTCTTATGAAGATTACTTTCTAGTGGGGGAGCCAGAAAGTGAACATATTTCATAAATGTTATGAAAGGAGGTAAAAATGCAAGGACGAAGAGCAAAGCAGAGTAACCAGATAGAATGTGGCAGAAAGAGGACTACTTTTAGATGGAATGGTTAAAGACAGGGCCTCTCTGAGGAGACTGTACTGGACCCAGAGAACTGACTGAGTGAAGAAGGAATCCATATGCATATGTGAGAGAAGAACATTCAAGAACAAAGGACCAGTGAGTGCAAATACCTTGATATGGAACCAATGTGTGAGAGGGAGCAGGGAGAACAGTGAGAGGAGAAAGATGGCCAAGGGCTGTCTAAGCCAAGGCAAAAGCTTTGAATTTTTCCTAAGTGACATGGGATATGGGAAGCCATTGGAGTATTTCGAGCAGAGCAATATGACTGACTTCATTTTAAAAGACTCACGCTAGTGCTGTGTTGAGAAAAGGCTGTAGCGGGGAAGTATGAAGCAGGGAGACCAGTTAGCAGACTAGGCTGGTGACACTTAAGGTGGTAAGAAATGATCAGATTTGGGCACATTTTAAAAACCAACATCATGAGATTTGGTGACACAATGAACGTGGGATGTGAGAAAAATAGTCCACTATGATTTCAAGGGTTTTGGCTGAAGCCACTGGATTCGTGAAATTATCACTTGCTGAGATGGGAAAGAGTTTAGGGAAGGAGGAAATTTGGGGGAGAAATTGAGTATTTGATTTTAGACATAAATTTAGAGGCCTATCTCATATCCAAACGGTATGTTGAGGAGGCAGTTGAAAATGCAAGTCCAGAATTTAGGAGAGGGGATATACTTGTGAGACGAAAAAACCCTCAAATGTTAATGAAGTTTGCCTGTTGTTCTAAATAAGTAACATTTATTGATTCATTTTCTGATTGCCAAGTAGCTTACATGACTTTCTTCCAAATTCTGAAAAGTTGCCTGTAATCCAAACACCCTTGAATACTGCAGTTAACATTTTGGATGTATTTCCTTGCAGCCTTTTTTTTTTCTTCTCTCTTTCTTTCTGTGTATGTGTTTGTGTGTAAATGTGAGTTTGAGTGTGTTTTGACCAAGTTGAAATTATAACGCATTGTATATATTTTGTTTACAAGCTATCCTAGTATTTTTTTAAATGTATGAAATGTTATCAGAAAGCGTTTTCATAATGATTAGCAGTGTATTTCACGGAATGGATGAGGTTAACATATTAAACTAACTGGAGGAGGGGCTAATATAACTGTTGCCACATTGAATATATTCATACACATCTATATTTTTCTAAAAGTGGAATTACTGGGCCAAAAGTAAACTGTATAATTCTCTGAATTCTTTAAAAAAAAAAGAAAATCAGTTCACTATCCAAAAAAAGCAGGAATCAGTTCACTATCCAAAAAACGCAGGGTTCAGGCTCCTGAAAGCCTGCAAATAAAATTAAATATCTACCTGTGGTACATGGAAGACCTACTTTATGGTAGACCTACTTTATAATAGAATTTTTTTTCACTTGATGGCTGAGAAGAAATATTTCTAATTTTATTTGGTATTTCTTGCTCCTTTTTATTATCTTGGTATTTTGCAATGTAGATTTGTTCATGTTCATTGCCTATTTTTGATTTATCTTTTTTCTCTTTATATAAGATTAACTCACTGTTTAATATATGTTGAAAACATTCCCAGTTTTCTGATACTTTTTAAATTGTTTTAATATGGTAGTTTTAAAATTTTATGTAGTAAATTTATGTGTTCCCTATGTTTTCTTTTATGTTTAGAAATACCTTATACCAAGATTCAATTAAATAATTACCCTGAATTATTTATTTAGTAATTTTTAATATTTAATATATTATTACCCTAAATACAAAAATATTATTTTTGTATTTAGAACTTATTATGTGGAATGTATTTAAATATGTTATTTGAGTTGGAGAAATATTTTTTTCCAGTTGTAGTGGCAATATTTCTTTTTACTGATCCATTATTTCTCTTGTTGATCTGAGGTGCTACCTTTGTAATATATTGTTTGCTTATATATACTGGTGTTTAATTTTACTTTTTGCTTTTGTGAATGGGATTTTTTTCCCTATTATTTTTCCAGCCTGCTATTGCTGATACATAGATAAGCTAAAGATTGTCATTTTACACAGTTTTCTTTTTCGGATGATTCTCTTGGGCTTTTTGGGTAGAAAATTTTATGTTCCAAGATGATCATTTTTTCTTTCTAATAGTGTGTGGTTCTAATTGCATTGCCCTGAACTTCCAGCATGATGTTCAATGATAGTAGTGATAACAAATATCCTTGTCTTGTTCCTCATTTAATAGTGACCATCATGTTTTTTTGCTTTTCCTAGATCTCTCTACTTTAGTTAGAAGATGCCCCAATCTTGTCCATCTAGACTTAAGGTATTTTTTTATTTGTTTATTTTAGATCAAAAGTTGAAAAATCTTGATTTCTCATTAAATTGGGAAAGGATCATAATGTTGAAGCAACTAAACAGTAGGTTATTTCTGTCTTCTTTATCTAGGATCAATGTGTGATTTTCAATATCTTTTCTTCTGCCTTCTTAACAGTGATAGTGTCATGCTAAAGAATGACTGCTTTCAGGAATTTTTCCAGCTCAACTACCTCCAACACCTATCACTCAGTCGGTGCTATGATATAATACCTGAAACTTTACTGTAAGTATGTTTTGTTTTTAATGCTTAATAGAAGGCAGGAAACAACAGAGATGCCCCTTGGTGTGAAAATCCATTTTTATTAATAGACATATGAAACCGAAACATTAGTAATAAGTATACCACAGACTGGCTATGAAAGACCAGCAGAGTATTGCTTAAACTGGTGAAATTGAGTTGATCCAGATTGTTCACTAAACATTTATTGTTTAGCTGTAAGCAGTTTTAATTACTAGCTTGCTGTCTTAGTATCTATGAGAAGACTTAGCAGAGAAGCAGAAGATAACCTTTTCCTCCAGGAAACTTGAAGTGTAATTGGGAAGGCAGACCCAATGTGGGTTAGTGTCTTTTTTTTTTTTTCTTTCCAAATTTTTCGGATTAACTCCAGTTGATTCCAAAACTTTCATCTGGGCTTAAAGTTCTGTATCTTCTAGTGATGTAAGTCCTGGATAGTGAAGAAATTGGAAAGATATAAGCCTGTAGATGGTATGTATTGTAAGTCTGATACTGTTTTTGAACAGGGGCATGTTAAGGTCTAAAAAGTGAAGTGAAGTGACTTATTCAAACCTGATGGTGAGTTGGTGGCTGACCTGGATCTAAATCCTAGGTCTCCTGGACAGAGGCAAAATAGTCACTATCTAATCTAATAGTTTATACAAGGGTTAGTTTTACCTGCTCAGCAACTTCCACAGAATCAAGGGAGTGCAAGAAAGCAGCAGCCTGGTCCATCTTTCCTTTGGGAAACACCATACCCAACTCATCCTGGGAATCATATCTTGTTTGAAAAGGTTTTCTGCATTTCATTCCAAAGGGCTGGAAAAGTCTCCCTAATGGCAAATGTACATGTGTAGCAATTTTATTAAAAACCACAAGAGGTCAGTATCTTAGAGTTGATCAGGTGCCCAACATGTCTTGAATGCGGCTGCTGGACTCATTTATGTAGCTCATGAACTAAAAGTTAATTTAGCTTCCAGCTCCTAGGTAGGAAGGGTGGTGAATTTGAACAAAGAACTTTAGTCCTCAGAATCATAGTTTGAATCTTTTAAGTTAGTTTCAAGTATTAATGAATAAATCAGATACTTCAGCTACACAGAGTTAACTAGTAGAGTTAGGAAATCTGGCAGCTACGCATTTTAATTAATCATTTTTAAATTAATCTTGGGGTTCAGGGTCTGAGCTGGTATCTCATTTGGGAAAGGACTGCCTAAAATAGGATGGCAGGATTTACTTTCCCAGCTCTCAAATGTTGGGGTTTAAATTCATGCGCATGAAACTCTTATTAAAATCCCTGCCCTCTCTATTTTCTAGCATCCAGAACTCCTAGGAGCTTCTAGCGTCTACCCAAAAAGGCTTCTTTGTCATCCATTCTTTCCTGTCCTTGCCATCTGGCCTCCTGCTTCTTTGCCTGTGCAGCCCCCTGGGGAGTGTGGTGATCATTCTTTTTGGGTTGCTTTTCTCAAGAGAATCTATCCATGTGTCTTGCTTTTGTTCCTTCTCTGCAGAAAGAAAGAAGCTAAGCAGGTAATGACCCAAATGCTTTTTCTCAAGCAGAGGCGAGGGGAAGGCTGTGAGCTCTTCATTTTAATATTTTTATCCAGTGGGATAATAGTAATAGTAATTGCGATACCTGCATAATAATGGCATGGTAATACTTGGAGGCAGTGTGAATTGATAGTTACAAACACGGGTCTGAAGTCACAGACCTGTTGTGAACCTTCACTGTATTATTATTTCTTATTTGTACAAATCTTATGAAATAAGACAAACAGGGGCATTAGGAGTTTAGTTACAAGTCAGACCACTAGAATAGAGAAGAAGAAAGATCCTGTCCTTGAACATTAAGGTAAAGAGTATATTTCTTTAGGTATTGTGTAAATAGTACACTGATTTGCATTGTGAATCCTTTAGGATGAGTTTGTTGGTACCTTATGCTTAAAAGTTTCTTGAGATAAAATAAGAATTAGAATGACTCTAATTTCAATCATTTTGGCAGCTGATATATTTGAGGTTTATAATAAAAATTCCAGGATGTTTCCATAATAATTTCAAGAGAGCCATCTATGCTAAAGAACTTAAGGCTATTTATTTCTCGGAAGTGGGAAAATACAATTTGAATGTCTTTCTTCTGTAATATTTTAAAATACTTGGGAAACTATAAAGTTTTCTTCCCCAGGACCTATTCCCATTATATTTATTCCCTTACTTCTTAATTGGTCTTCTTCTCTATGTCTAAACTTCCTTCTAATTCTTCCCTATTTCTCATTCAAGTAAGAAACCCAAGCTGGAGGTAGTAAACTAATCTAAGATAAGACTAAAAGACTTCTGTGGTAGGAGCATTTGTAGTTGAGGCATTTAAGATTTTATAAGGAAAACAGGATTATTGTACAGATAAGGTAAGGAGCAATCCTGTGAAAGAGTTCATAAATATCTTTTATTTTCTAAAATTCAATATACATAAGACATTGGTGTGATTTTACATTTCTTACATTAGAAATAATGGCTCTTGAACTACTTATTTCTATTTGCTATCCCTTAGTTTGCTCTTCAGTCTCTTCCATTGTAGTTTTTAAAAGATGCTTGCAAATTTTTTATTCTGAGTTGTAGGTAATGCACATACCGGGGGCATTTTTTTTTTTTTGTCTCCTTAAAATTTTAGAGACTTTCTGGATTTTTGACTTGGAACTGGTTCTTCATCCATCATCTTATCTTATATAACCCCCTTATATATAACACCCGGGTGTGTTCTGAGAGTCTGTTCTTAATTTCTTTCCTCACCAAATCTCTTTCCCAATGCTGTTGCAAGAACATGTCCTCCTCTGCCATCTGCCATTCCTCCTTTTCTTACTCCACCTACAGTTTCTTCCCTTAAATATTCTCCAGTGCAGAATGGCTCACAATTTGGCTAATTTGGATATACCAGAACCAGAATTCTCATAGTAATTACAACGTTTCCCAAGTTTCACATGAGGGATTCAAAGTTGGAGCTGGATTGCTGTCATCGTAAGTGATTAAGTATAAGTATCTGTGTATACTGTGATCTTACTTCGACAGTGTTTCTACATTCCAGAAAGCAGTTTACTTAATGACAGCAATTTGTTCTTTCTGATTTTCTTTGGTTATATACCTTTAGATCTTATTGTCCCCTTGTGAACAAGCATATTTATTTCCCTTGGATAATGCTTTTATTTTATAAATTAGCCTTCATCTTGTACTCAGCTAACGTATATTAAACATTTGTGGGGTTTAAGACACCTTGTAGAATGTAGAATAAATACATTTAGGGGAGTAGTGGGAAGACTGGAAGAGCAGGTTAAACACGGAAGGTCTTCAGACTAGCTGAACAGCCTGGGTTCTGTAAACACAAGGGAAGCATCAAAGGTTTTGGAGCAGATGAATGACTAACATGAGCTAGGCTTTAGGAGGATGCCTTGGAAATTGGTATATAGAATAGGCTAGAAGGAAGAAAGACAGTTATAAGGAAAGTTTGGGGCTTTTTAAAAATAATTATTGACAATGTGAAAATATAAAGGATGTTTCTGACTTTAGGTAATTGATGTGCTCATTGATCTGTAGTAGGATTTTGTTGAAATTCCAAAATAAATGTTCCCTTTCCTGAGACTTTGTACTGTATGTCCCAACCTTGAGCAAACAGAGATGAGAGAGATGAATTTCTAGGCACATAGATCTGAGTTAAGAAGGAAAAAATCATTACCAACACCAAACAGTATTTACTTTGGAAAAACAGAATTTGTGAAACAGAATTTGAGAAACAGAATTTGTGAAACAGAATTTCACTGTTAACAGGGTTGAATTTCATCTAATGTGAAATACCTAAAGGGACTGGCTTATCTATGCAGAAAAAAAATGGTAATACGTAGGGAGGTAAGATGGCTATTACCTCCTATAAAGGGTGTGATTTTTCACCCATTGTCTCTACCTGTACCCAACTGTATAACCCTATCTAAAATATCTTAGGGAAGTCAGTGGTAGTTTTCATCACACATAATGGACTTGTTGACTATGAACCATTATTAAGAAGTTCATCAGTCCTGACAGCATCTCCCTTTAAGAGATGAGCCTAGTTCAAATAAAGGTCAAGTTCATATCCTTAATTTGCATGTAACCTGTGGTGGTTCCAACTGGTGCCGCAGTAAAACATTTGCTTTTACCATCACTCACTTGCTAGTTTCTTCTCATAACACAGTAACCCCATTCAGATCACTGTATAAATCACAACTGGAGAAAGGAAGCAAATATGGTTGGATTCTTAAATAAATCTGAGTTTCTAAGGTTATTAGGAACCTCATTCAATAAAATGCAGCAGTGTGTTTCCTAATGACATGTTGCTCAAGCTATATGGTCTGTGCTTTCCAGTTTAATTTGCTATTTTCTCAAATCATTTATTGTAAATTACACTTTCAGACTGCATTTTGTAGATGACACAAATTGTAAAATTTGGGTCATATAACTCTAGTCAAACAGTTTCCATAGATACTGCTATTCTGAAAGTCTTTTTCTTCCTTTCCAGTGAACTTGGAGAAATTCCCACACTAAAAACACTACAAGTTTTTGGAATCGTGCCAGATGGTACCCTTCAACTGTTAAAGGAAGCCCTTCCTCATCTACAGATTAATTGCTCCCATTTCACCACCATTGCCAGGCCAACTATTGGCAACAAAAAGAACCAGGAGATATGGGGCATCAAATGCCGACTGACACTGCAAAAGCCCAGTTGTCTATGAAGTATTTATTGCAGGATGGTGTCTCTTCTTTAGAACAGGGAAAATAGGCAGGAAGCCCAATTGCTGGAGTACTTAGCTAGTTTTATTCTTGGTTTTCCCTTTGCCTTCATTCTGCAAGTATACTAGGGAGCCATTTGAGAGGGAAAACTATGAAATCTTGCTTTTTGAAATGATTCTAAAAGCTTCTATCACTGCTTTGCTCTTAAGAGCCAAAGTTGTAGGCCTTTTGAAATTTTAGGAGAGTGAGCCTATAATTTCAAGATACCTTAAAGAGCAAAATTTGAGCCACCTCTTCCAAGTGCCCTTCTTACTAAGTCTATTCAGAATCAAGCTTAAAAATTACCACCAGCAAACAATCTTCATAGCCCATATAACTTTTATCTATTTAATTTTATAGTATTGCTTTATAAGACAGCTTAGAAGAACAATAAGCTATTTGTATTATGAGCTGAACAAAAAGAGAATCATAGGATAGTAGCGTCTGAGGCCATCTTTTCTAGGAATAGGAAAGAGAAAAATGTATTTGAATTTTGCCTTTAGATTTGAAATTAGGTTAATAGAAATAAGTAACCCCATGTAATTCACCTTAAAACTTAACAAAAGACCAAACATTACAAAACCCAGAGATATAGAATCAATATAGGATTTGAAGGCCCAGCAGACAGTTTTCTATGACAGGTTAATCTGAAGTATCCTGTAATGTTCATTAAGTTACTGTGTTTCCAGAATCTAAATTAGATGAGAAATATAATTGTGGTTTTCTAACTTGATAATCAAATTATGTTAACATGGGTCCTTTAGCTTTTAAAATGACTTGCTTTGTTTTAGAAAGGTGGTATTAATCCACTCTCTATTCTTGAAAATTTGGATGGGAGAATTCTGAAGTTGCCTGCTGTTTTCCTTTAGCGCTGAGGTTCTTAAGGTTACTTTTATATTACTCTGGAATCAAGTATTTTAAATTGTATTTTTTTTTTAAATGATCTCTCAGCAATAATTGTTTGAAACTATCCATATATAAGGTTATCAGACCTACAGTTCCCTAAGAGGAACTGCATGTTCTCTTCAATCAGAAATATACAGTAGAAGCAGGTATATCTTCCATGCAGTTTCAGTAGTAAGCACTACTTATACCTACATAAGAGTTAAAATCCAGATGTGGGACCTTTTGATACCATCAGTGATATATATTTTTTTAAACTGGTACAGAGAAGTGAAAAGATTAAATTCTACTTCTATTTTTTTTTTTTTTTTTTGAGACGGAGTCTCGCTCTGTCACCAAGGCCGGAGTGCAGTGGTGCGATCTCGGCTCACTGCAAGCTCCGCCTCCCAGGTTCACGTCATTCTCCTGCCTCAGCCTCCCGACTAGCTGGGACTACAGGCGCCCACCACCACGCCCGGCTAATTTTTTTGTATTTTTAGTAGAGACGGGGTTTCACCATGTTAGCCAGGATGGTCTCAATCTCCTGACCTCATGATCCGCCCGTCTTGGCCTCCCAAAGTGCTGGGATTACAGGCATGAGCAACTGCGCCCAGCCAAATTCTACTTCTTAAAAATCACAAAAACTAGTTTAAATTGATGACTTGTTCGTATGTTCAAAATGTAACAACAAAAAAAGCTAACACCAGTCATTTATATTAACTTTTTTTTTTTAAATCAAAAATTGTTAATGTTAGAAACATACTATGAAGTGCCTTTATCTGCTTAGACCTAAGGAAGATTTTAAAGTTGGGTTGCACAGGAAATGATGATGCTTCAATTTCTTAATAGTTAAAAAGTGCTAAATACTACTTGAAATTATTGTTTACAGATTAGTGACAAGAGCTGGGGTTAGGATCCGGTTGGACTCTGACATCGGATGCCCTCAAACATACAGAACTTCCAAACTCAAGTCCAGCCATAAGCTATTTTGCCAACATGTCAGAGTAATCTGTATTTTTGTATGTGATTTCTACTTTTATAGACTTGTTTTAAAACAATAAAACACATTTTTATAAAAATGAGTGCTTAAACTAAGTTGTATTCCTTTTTTCTTTCTCTTTTTTTAAGTGCTGTGGTTAAAATTTGAAAGCATTTAGTGTGGTATGCCATTTGGCTTAGATACCTCTAAATAAGACTCTTCAAAACAGAGCCCTGAGATGGTCCTTTTTGACCCATCTACTTCATATGCTTGTCACATTAAAAAAAAAAGTTTATAATGCCTTTATAAAAGGGGCTAATACAGTCTTGTTATCTTTTTTTTTAAATTATACTTTAAGTTCTAGGGTACATGTGCACAACGTGCAGGTTTGTTACATATGTATACATGTGCCATGTTGGTGTGCTGCACCCATTAACTTGTCATTTACATTAGGTATATCTCCTAATGCTATCCCTCCCCTCTGCCCCCACCCCATGACACGTCCTGGTGTGTGATGTTCCCCTTCCTGTGTCCAGGTGTTCTCGTTGTTCAATTCCCACCTATGAGTGAGAACATGTGGTGTTTGGTTTTTTTGTCCTTACGGTAGTTTGCTGAGAATGATGGTTTCCAGCTTCATCCATGTCCCTACAAAGGACATGAACTCATCATTTTTTATGGCTGCATAGTGTTCCATGGTGTATATGTGCCACATTTTCTTGATCCAGTCTATCATTGATGGACATTTGGGTTGGTTCCAAGTCTTTGCTATTGTGAATAGTGTTGCAATAAACATACGTTTGCATGTGTCTTTATAGCAACATGATTTATACTCCTTTGGGTATATACCCAGTAATGGGATGGCTGGGTCAAATGGTATTTCTAGTTCTAGATCCTTGAGGAATCACCACACTGTCTTCCACAATGGTTGTACCAGTTTACAGTCCCACCAACAGTATAAAAGTGATCCTATATCTCCACATCCTCTCCAGTATCTGTTGTTTCCTGACTTTTTAATGATCGCCATTCTAACTGGTGTGAGATGGTATCTCATTGTGGTTTTGATTTGCATTTCTCTGATGGCCAGTGATGATGACCATTTTTTCATGTGTCTCTTGGCTGCATAAATGTCTTCTTTTCAGAAGTGTCTGTTCATATCCTTTGCCCACTTTTTGATGGGGTGGTTTTTTTCTTGTAAATTTGTTTGAGTTCTTTGTAGATTCTGGATATTAGCCGTTTGTCAGATGAGTAGATTGCAAAAATTTTCTCCCATAGTGTAGGTTGCCTGTTCACTCTGATGGTAGTTTCTTTTGCTGTGCAGAAGCTCTTTAGTTTAATAAGATCCCATTTGTCAATTTTAGCTTTTGTTGTCATTGCTTTTGGTGTTTTAGACATGAAGTCCTTGCCCATGCCTATGTCCTGAATGGTATTGCCTAGGTTTTCTTCTAGGGTTTTTATGGTTTTAGGTCTAAGTCTTTAATCCATCTTGAATTAATATTTGTATAAGGTGTAAGGAAGGGATCCAGTTTCAGCTTTCTACATATGGCTAGCCAGTTTTCCCAGCACCATTTATTAAATAGGGAATCATTTCCCCATTTCTTATTTTTGTCAGGTTTGTCAAAGATCAGATGGTTGTACATGTGTGGTATTATTTCTGAGGGCTCCGTTCTGTTCCATTGATCTATGTCTCTGTTTTGGTACCAGTACCATGCTGTTTTGGTTACTGTAGCCTTGTAGGATAGTTTGAAGTCAGGTAGCATGATGCCTCCAGCTTTGTTCTTTTTGCTTAGGATTGTCTTGGCAATACGGGCTCTTTTTTGGTTCCATATGAACTTTAAAGTAGTTTTTTGCAATTCTGTGAAAAAAGTCATTGGTAGCTTGATGGGGATGGCATTAAATCTATAAATTACCTTAGGCAGTATGGCCATTTTCACGATATTGATTCTTCCTATCCATGAGCATGGAATGTTCTCCCATTTGTTTGTGTCCTCTTTTATTTTGTTGAGCAGTGGTTTGTAACTCTCCTTGAAGAGGTCCTTCCCATCCCTTGTAAGTTGGATTCCTAGGTATTTTATTCTCTTTGAAGCAATTGTGAATGGGAGTTCACTCATGATTTGGCTCTCTGTTTATCTGTTATTGGTGTATAAGAATGCTCGTGATTTTTGCACATTGATTTTCTATCCTGAGACTTTGCTGAAGTTGCTTATCAGCTTAAGGAGATTTTGGCTGAGACGATGGGGTTTTCTAAATATACAATCATGTCATCTGCAAACAGGGACAATTTGACTTCCTCTTTTCCTAATTGAATACGCTTTATTTCTTTCTCCTTCCTGATTGCCCTGGCCAGAACTTCCAACACTATGTTGAATAGGAGTGGTGAGAGAGGTCATCCCTGTCTTAGGCCAGTGTTCAAAGGGAATGCTTCCAGTTTTTGCCCATTCAGTATGATATTGGCTGTGGGTTTGTCATAAATAGCTCTTATTATTTTGAGATATGCCCCATCAATACCTTATTGAGTTTTTAGCATGAAGGTTGTTGAATTTTGTCAAAGGCCTTTTCTGCATCTATTGAGATAATCATGTGGTTTTTGTTGTTGGTTCTGTTTATATGCTGGATTACATTTATTGATTTGCATATGTTGAACCAGCCTTGCATCCCAGGGATGAAGCCCACTTGATCGTGGTGGATAAGCTTTTTGATATGCTGCTGGATTCGGTTTGCCAGTATTTTATTGAGGATTTTTGCATTGGTATTCATCAAGGATATTGGTCTAAAATTCTCTTTTGTTGTGTCTCTGCCCGGCTTTGGTATCAGGATGATGCTGGCCTCACAAAATGAGTTAAGGAGGATTCCCTCTTTTTCTATTGATTGGAATAGTTTCAGAAGGAATGGTACCAGCTCCTCCTTGTACCTCTGGTAGAATTTGGCTGTGAATCTATCTGGTCCTCGACTTTTTTTGGTTGGTAGGCTATTAATTATTGCCTCAGTTTCAGAGCCTGTTATTGGTCTATTCAGGGATTCAAGTTCTTGCTGGTTTAGTCTTGGGAGGATGTATGTGTCGAGGAATTTATCCATTTCTTCTAGATTTTCTAGTTTATTTGCGTAGAGGTGTTTATAGTATTCTCTGATGGTAGTTTGTATTTCTGTGGGATTGGTGGTGATATCCCCTTTATCATTTTTTATTGCGTTTGATTCTTCTCTCTTCTTTATTACTCTTGCTAGCGGTCTATCAATTTTGTTGATCTTTTCAAAAAAACCAGCTCCTGGATTCATTGATTTTTTGAAGGCTTTTTTGTGTGTCTGTCTCCTTCAATTCTGCTCTGATCTTAGTTATTTCTTCCTTTCTGGTAGCTTTTGAATGTGTTTGCTCTTGCTTCTCTAGTTCTTTCAATTGTGATGTTAGGGTATCAATTCTAGATCTTTCCTGCTTTCTCTTGTGGGCATTTAGTGCTATAAATTTCCCTCTACACACTGCTTTAAATGTACCAGAGATTCTGATATGTTGTGTCTTTGTTCTCATTCGTTTCAAAGAACATCTTTATTTCTGGCTTCATTTCGTTATGTACCCAGTAGTCATTCAGGAGCAGGTTGTTCAATTTCCATGTAGTTGAGCAGTTTTGAGTGAGTTTCTTAATCCTGAGTTCTAGTTTGATCACACTGTGGTCTGAGAGACAGTTTGTTATAATTTCTGTTCTTTTACATTTGCTGAGGAGTGCTTTACTTCTAACTATGTGGTCAATTTTTGGGATAAGTGCTATGTGGTGCTGAGAAGAATGTATATTCTGTTGATTTGGGGTGGAGAGTTCTGTAGATGTCTATTAGGTCCAGTTGGTGGAGAGCTGAGTTCAATTCCCGGATATCCTTTTTAACTTTCTGTCTTGTTGATCTGTCTAATGTTGACAGTGGGGTGTTAAAGTCTCCCATTATTATTGTGTGGGAGTCTAAGTCTCTTTGTAGGTCTCTAAGGACTTGCTTTATGAATCTGGGTGCTCCTGTATTGGGTGCATATATATTTAGGATAGTTAGCTCTTCTTGTTGAATTGATCCCTTTACCATTATGTAATGGCCTTGTCTCTTTTGATCTTTGTTGGTTTAAAGTCTGTTTTATCAGAGACTAGGATTGCAACCCCTGCCTTTTTTTGTTTTCCATTTGCTTGGTAGTTCTTCCTGCATCCCTTTATTTTGAGCTTATGTGTATCTCTGCACGTGAGATGGGTCTCCTGAATAGAGCACACTGATGGGTCTTGACTCTATCCAATTTGCCAGTCCGTGTCTGTTAATTGGAGCATTTAGTCAATTTACCTGTAAGGTTAATATTGTTATTTGTGAATTTGATCCTGTCATTATGATGTTAGCTGGTTATTTTGCTCGTTAGTTGATGCAGTTTCTTTCTAGCATTAACGGTCTTTACAATTTGGCATGTTTTTGCAGTGGCTGGTACCGGTTGTTCCTTTCCATGTTTAGTGCTTCCTTTAGGAGCTCTTGCAGGGCAGGCCTGGTGGCGAGAAAATCTCTCAGCATTTGCTTGTCTGTAAAGGATTTTATTTTTCCTTCACTTATGAAGCTTAGTTTGGCTGGATATGAAATTCTGGGTTGAAAATTCTTTTCTTTAAGAATGTTGAATATTGGCCCCCACTCTCTTCTGGCTTGTAGAGTTTCTGCCGAGAAATCCACTGTTAGTCTGATGGGCTTCCCTTTATGGGTAACCCGACCTTTCTCTCTGGCTGCCCTTAACATTTTTTCCTTCATTTCAACCTTGGTGAATCTGACAATTATGTGCCTTCGGGTTGCTCTTCTCGAGGAGTTTCTTTGTGGTGTTCTCTGTATTTCCTGAATTTGAATGTTGGCCTGCCTTTGTAAGTTGGGGACATTCTCCTGGATAATATCCTGCAGAGTGTTTTCCAACTTGGTTCCATTCTCCCCGTCACTTTCAGGTACCCCAATCATACATAGATTTGGTCTTTTCACATAGTCCCATATTTCTTGGAGGCTTTGTTCGTTTCTTTTTACTCTTTTTTCTCTAAACTTCTCACTTCATTTCATTCATTTTATCTTCAATCACTGATACCCTTTCTTCCACTTGATCAAATTGGCTACTGAAGCTTGTTCATGCATCATGCAGTTCTTGTGCCATGGTTTTCAGCTCCATCAGGTTATTTAAGGACTTCTCTACACTGGTTATTCTAGTTAGCCATTCGTCTAATCTTTTTTCAAAGTTTTTAGCTTCTTTGCCATGGGTTCAAACTTCCTCCTTTAGCTCGGAGAAGTTTGATCATCTGAAGCCTTCTTCTCTCAACTCGTCAAAGTCTTTCTCCATCCAGCTTTGTCCATTGCTGGCGAGGAGCTTTGTTCCTTTGGAGGGGGAGAGGTGCTCTGATTTTTAGAATTTTCAGCTTTTCTGCTCTGTTTTTTCCCTATCTTTGTGGTTTTATCTACCTTTGATCTTTGATGATGGTGACGTACAGATGGGTTTTTGGTGTGGATGTCCTTTCTGTTAGTGTTCCTTCTAACAGTCAGGACCCTCAGCTGCACGTCTGTTGGAGTTTGCTGGAGGTCCACTCCAGACGCTGTTTGCCTGGGTATCAGCAGCGGAGGCTGCAGAACAGCGAATATTGCTGAACAGCAAATGTTGCTGACTGACCGTTCCTCTGGAAGTTTCATCTCAGAGGGGTTCCTGGCCGTGTGAGGTGTCAGTCTGCCCCTACTGGGATGTGCCTCCCAGTTAGGCTGCTCGGGGGTCAGGGACCCACTTGAGAAGGCATTCTGTCCATTCTCAGATCTCAAACTCTGTGCTGGGAGAACCACTACTCTCTTCAAAGCTGTCAGACAGGGACATTTAAGTCTGCAGAGGTTTCTGCTGCCTTTTGTTTGGCTATGCCCTGCCCCCAGAGGTGGAGTCTACAGAGGCAGGCATGCCTCCTTGAGCTGCAGTGGGCTCCACCCAGTTCGAGCTTCCTGGCTGCTTTGTTTACCTACCCAAGCCTCAGCAATGGCAGGCACCCCTCCCCTAGCCTCGCTGCTGCCTTGCAGTTCGATCTCAGACTGCTGTGCTAGCAGTGAGCGAGGCTCCATGGGCATGGGACCCTCTGAGCCAGGCGCGGGATATAATCTCCTGGTGTGCCGTTTGTTAAGACCATTGGAAAAGCACAGTATTAGGGTGGGAGTGACCCGATTTTCCAGGTGCCATCTCTCACAGCTTCCCTTGGCTAGGAAAGGGAATTCCCTGACCCCTTTCACTTCCCAGGTGAGGCGATGCCTCACCCTGCTTCAGCTCATGCTCGGTGTGCTGCACCCACTGTCCTGCACCCACTGTCCGACACCCCCAGTGAGACGAACCCGGTACCCCAGTTGGAAATGCAGAAATCACCCGTATTCTGCGTCGCTCACACTGGGAGCTGTAGACTGGAGCTGTTCCTATTCGGCCATCTTGGAACCACCTCACCAGGCTTGTTATCTTTAAAGTGCTTCCAGTAGTAATATATTTACAAAACATTTGAATTCAAGTGACAAAGGAGTATTATCAATAAAAGTCAGCAGCATTTTAAAAATATATTTGATCAGGTTATACTATGTGTTTTATTGTCATTCAGAAACTATTTGAATGTTCACTGTATGCCCAGAGGCCTTCCAGGAATTCTGTTCCTTTTGGACCCTTCCATTCGAATGGTAGAATGGTGATTCTTGAATATCACCCAATTGTGCTGGTCCTATCACCACTATGCCTTTTTTTAAATGATGAAAAACGTCAAACATATGCAAAAAAAAAAAAAAAAAAAAAAAGAATATGATGGACCCCATCTTCCAGTTTCAACAGTCATTGATTCCTGGCCAATCTCACTGAATCCATGATCTCAACCATTCCCCTCCAATACAGATAATTTTGAAGCAAAACCCAGACCCATAATATCATAACTATTTTGGTATATACCTCTAAAAGTTAGGGATTTTCCTGCGTGAATCCTGAAGCATTGTATATCAAGATGGTGTTGACAATTCCTCAGTTGTCTCGTGTTTTCTTCAATGGGTTTATTTTGCTCAGGATCCAAACATGGTGTACATACTGCATTTGATTTAAATTCTCTAAATCTTAAATTTAGGGTTTCTTCCTTTCTTTCCTTGTAATTTATTTATTGAAGAAACTATGTTATCTGTCCTGTGTTCTACATTCTGGATTTTGCGTCTATCCCTGGAGTAATAGGTTAATCTTTCCCCTATTCCCATAAACTGGTGGTTAGATCTAGCAACAAAAAGCTCTAGACCAGGGGTGATTTTCCCCCACCCAGGAGATACTTGGTAACATCTGAAGACATTTTTGATGGTCACAAGAGAAGTGCTATTGGCATACAGGCAATAGAGGCTAAGGATGCTGCTAACCATCCGAAAACAGGAAAGCCCCCTACAACAAAGAATTGTCTGGACAAAATGTCAATAGTGTCAGTGCTCCAGAGGCTTGTATCATCAAGTTCTTTTTTTTTTTTTTTTTAGCCAGGAGACACTTGATAAGTAATATCCTGTTCTTCTATTCAGATACATACCTGTCTGTTTCATTTTCACTGCTGTCACTTTACCTGCTCTTGGGCTCTTGATTCCTAATAGACCCTATCCACAAGCTCCAGAGACATGAGGGACACTGGCCAAGTGCAAAACTTTATTTCTGGATAAAGCGCTTGTGTCCTATCCTGGTGAACCCAATTACACTTCAACATTTATTGACCATCCACAATGTGCAGGATACAACAGCCCAGGAGAAGATGCAGAGCCTATGAGGAAACAAAGGCAAGTAGTCTAGAGACTGGGCAAACTAGAAAGAAACCTCTTGTCACTGCATACCCTAACCATGGAACAAGCAAGATGACAACCTCCTCTTTCTTTACTATTCCTCCCCACCTAGCCAAATATCCCAGAAAATCAAAGTTTTCTTCACCAAGAGACTAACCCTTCAAGATACAAGTCAAAGCCCTAAAAGCCTATACTAATATTATGGATAACTCAAAACGTAACTGCTTTGAGTTACTATGTTTTAGCAAATCTAAATACTAAAATGCCGGTATTTTTACATTTCTCTAAATACCAGAATATCTAAATTGTAATTTTGAGCATTAAAATCACTATATTTAAGGTATTCAGATTAACACTTAAAATATGCTTTTCTACTTTTAGCTCATGTAGTCAGTGATTTTCTTTAAAAAAAGTCTTAAAGCCCGTAAGACTTAAAAACTCTTCATACCTTAATGTAGAAAACTTAATAAGCCTTCTCACTGACTTATGCCCCAATCCCTTGAGTACTTTTAATGTTAAAGTCAAGAATAAAATGCCTTTGAAAAAATAAAATTGAACTATTCTTTAGTTAGACAACTCATTAGTACATTTACTCTTATCTCCCCCACCATTATATTTAGGTGTTGCATTATCCCTGGGATCTTTTCTGCATAATTGTCTTAGTAGATGCTATTCTTAAGTATAAGGATGCATAAATAATATTGGTACAATGGAATGAATTTAAGTGATTTAAATTCTAAATGTACATTATTTTCACAACTAAGCAAAATATATAACGTATCCTTAAACTTGTATTTGACAACTTTTTCAACTCAAGTGGATATTTTACAATAAAAATGTGTTACCTGGCTCTCTTTCTGCTTATTAAAAAGTGAAATCAATGTAGTAAAACATGTAATATGATTTAATGTACAGGGGCCATGAATGTAAATGCACAAGGAGTATCAAAAATATTAAGTCAAAATTATCTGAAGAGCCTACACTGACCAGGTAAGCACTTCACCCTGATTTAATAACTAATCATTCTATGTCAAATGTTAACAGTGAATGAAGTCAACAGGGCACAGAATAATAATACACAGCAGTGGGGAAACACTTCTGAAACATAACATTTTGTGAAAACTAGTTTTCAAATAATGACCCCTTGAGAGGGAAATAAGAAATGTTAAAAAGAAGAGGTAACAGTGGAGTAATTTTATTCACATAGGGTTGCGATTAAAAGGTTAACTCATTCAAACACATTTTTGCTATGCTAACATTCCTTTGCCTCTTATTCTTACAAATAAACCCCCATCACAGAGCAGAAATGTTAGAAATTATATCACAAATGGAGCACAATAAGTATTTTTAAAACCTTTTAAAATATGGCTTATAATTTTACACAGCAAGTTACCTATTAATATGTTACATATTAACAGATCTATTTGGACAATCAGATTTCCTTGAGATTAAGGATGGAGTTGGCATTTTTCCTTTAAGAAGGCATTTTAAGGCCGGGCATGGTGGCTCATGCCTGTAATCCCAATACTGGGAGGCCGAGGCAGGCAGATCACAAGGTCAGGAGTTCGAGACCAGCCTGACCAACATGGTGAATCCCCATATCTACTAAAAATACAAAAAATTAGCCAGGCATAGTGGTGCCTGCCTGTAATCCCAGCTACTTGGGAGGCTGAGGCAGGAGAATCGCTTGAACCTGGGAGATGGAGGTTGCAGAGCCGAGATCATGCCACTGCAGTCCAGCCTGGGTGACAAAGCAAGACTCCGTTCTCAAAAAAAAAAAAAAAAAAAAAGAAGGTATTTTAAGCCTGTTAGGGGAGGTTCTATAGTATGGAGCTTCTTTATAAAGTGGTATCTTATGTATATCAAAAAAAAAAAGCCAGATCAATCTCTGGGAAAACACTACATTTTAATGTATTTCTATCTGATATGTCATAAATTCTTTGCTATGAATGTCTACGCAGATACTTTAAGAAAAATTGATTCTCTGGATATACATCAAAACCTAGATTAACTTTGTACATTAACATTTATTTTAAAAAATTGATAAGAACAACATGTTAAATATTGGCAAAACTAAGAGCACTCAATTCGACTATCCGTCCAGCTTTCACAGAATTTACTTCTGAGCCCACAAGACTCAAATTGTATAAGGATAGAGTCTGTTTCATTCATCAACATATCCAGCACCTGACATAGTTTTACATGGCACAGAGTGGGTGTTCAATAAATATTTGTCAATGATTGAACAGAAATTTTCAGCACCAAATGAAAGAAACACATGACTTTGAACAACGGCACGAGAATACCAACTGTTTGATTATGCAACGACAGGATCTTTTGGCAAAAATTCTAGGATTACTTATAAGTAGATCAATAATTAGATAATAATTTCCTCCAAAAATAAAGGAATTCTCATGGGGAAAAAAAAAAAGTCCTAACATCTTATCCTAAAAGCTATTCTGTAAATCTTGGAATATAAGCTAGGTGAAAACCACAATACTAAGGAAGGCAATTCCAAAACTACTGTGTTTTACATATTTATTAAAGAATCCATTCTTTCTGATAATACTCCTAACACAGGTGAAGATATTTTTACAATATTTTACCAAACTCCTAATAGAAAATGTCTAATCAGTTCATCCTTTTAGTCCCTGAATCCATGTTTGAGCATTTTAAAGATGGAAGAAACCTGTAAGACTCATATCATTTTAAAAAAATTGACTTAAAACACTTATTGGATAACTAATACATTTGTAACAGCATCATGATTTGTTTTGCTATCTGTATTTCACCCAGAACTGCTGAATTACAGAATGAAACTCAAATGAAAGCATTCATCTATAATTTCAAAAATTATTATTTGAAATTTTTAAATCAATAGTCATAACATCATCGTGTTCCGAAATTAGAAAATTATTAGCACATATACAAACATATTTACCTATGTCAATTAGGTCAATGTCAGGATTTATCAAAATTCTCTGTCTTGAAAATTTTTTCAAAATCTTGGTTTTCAGGTACTATAAAAAATATGCACTAATCAAATGATATGTGTTCAGTTCTGACAATCCCACAATTAGGAGGAAAGGGAAGGAAAACACACTTATACAGTTAAGTTTCAAATCCTAAATATTTAGTCCTTTATTTAAGCCTGCCCCTCTAAATTTAAAAAGGTATCAGCACTCTTGGTTACCAATTGTAAGCAATATAAAAATTTCACTGGTATCAATTCTAATTGGTTCAGTCCATCCATTTTCTTATACAGTGAATGTCTTTTTTTCTATCAGAATCCAACAGAAGAATAATGCAAATCTCACTTCTGAGCCCACGGGCAAGCAGTCTCAACAATAACCAAAAAATGTCACTTTACGACTGGTAGTCTGTTTCTGAAGTAAAAATATTCTCGCCAGTAATCAAAATTTGTCATGAGGAAATCCTTCACTGTTCAAGAAGCACAGTTCGAAGCTCATCTTCTTTATTGATCATCATCGAAGCAATTGCACCATCATTAAACTCAAAAGAAGTTCCTCCATCCACAACCATACAGGCATCCCAACAACGAGAACGAACACAAACCCTAGGCAGAAGGAAATATCTCATTAAATAGTAATAGTTTTCTTAATAGGTTATTTTAATCCTGAATTTTAACCTAGCAGATCATTTGGCCTCCATTTTAAAAATCAAGTTGTTCTCTGGTATGAGAAAATTAGTCACTATGTAAATATATGGGTATATTATGAAGGTCTCAAAACGTTCAGGATGGCACCATTCGCTCAAGCATTTAGCAGTAAAGAAGTGCAGACCTGACTGAACTCACAGGCTGTTTTCATATGATTAAATGCTGAATTACTAACATTACAAATATTAAGTATTGAATAAGAGTGTTAACTATTTTCATGTAAAATTTGTACTTAAAATTTTTACTTAAGTATAACACATATACAGAAGAGTTGGGTACATGTAATTATGTATACAGGTATACACCCAAATTATTAATGTACAGTTCAGTGAACACACTTATGATCACCCAACTCAGGAATCAACTCTTACCCAGCTTGCTGGAAGCTCCCTCACTGCCTTCTCCCAGTCACTATCCCTGCTCCCTCCTCAAGCATACGCACCTTCCTAATTTCTATCACTGCAGTAGTAATAGCTTTGTCTGTTCTTGAGCTTTATATAAATGGAAGAATATAATATGCACAGTGGTGCCTGTCTTTTCCTCAAAAGTATGTTTGTGAAATTCAGCCATATTAGTACATGTAATAGTAATAGTAGTGTGTTCATTTTTAATGCTGTATGAAATCACTTCTGTTATATGAAAACACCAAAATTTATATCTCTCTTCTACTATTCATGGACATTTGGGTTTTTGGCTATTGGGAGTAGAGCTGCTATGAATATTCTTGAATGTCTTTGCGCACATATTTCTGTTGGTGCTTACATTTCTTTTGGATGTATACTTCAAAGGGGAATTATTGGATCACCGTGTATGCTATGTGCAGGTTTGCTAGGTAATTGCCAAACAATTTTCCAAGCTATATATTCCTAACAGAAATTTAGGAATATATAGAAAGTTGTAGTTGTTCCTCCTTGCCAACAATTGGTACTTTAGCCATTCTGGTGGGTGTATATGGTAGCGTATTATGTAGTTTTAATTAGCATTTCCCAGATGAATAATAAGGTCAATCATGTTTTTTGTGTTTATTAGCCATGTGAATATCACCTTTTGTGAAATGCCTGACTTTGGCCATTTTTCTGTCATGTTGCCTGCCTTTTTCTTACTGTCAGTAGGAACTTTTATATACTAAATATTCTGGCTATGAGCCCATTGCTGGATATAGGTCCTGAAAATATCTTTCTCGCTCTGCCTTTTTGTTTTCTTAATGGTATCTTTGGATTACTGGCAGTTCTTACTTCCAGTGTAGTTCAATTTGTCAATCTTTTGTTGTTATAGTGCTTTTTATGACATGTTTAAGAAATCTTTTCCATGTCAAAATCACAAAGCTATTCTCCTATTAGCAAAAACTTAAATATAAGTAGTATATATCTTTGAAGGAGTCTTTGTCGTCTCACCCAAACTGAGTACACATCTGTGGATTAATCAAATTAACTCTCAAATGACAACATGAATGTTAAGATAAATTTCCTTATTTGTGTCTAACCTGGGGAAAAAATTAATTGTATGTCTATAAAAAGAAAATATGTACACTAAGGTCAGCAATTTGTTAATTGCTTAAGCTGTTTTCTGCTTGCCATGAGATAGATGACATTTTCTCCGAATTTTAGATTTTCTTGTTAATTTGGAAAATTGGGGAACCTTTACAAAATAAGAAATTACATCCACTTTTTTATATCCTCTCTCCCCAAAAATAAAATGAAGCAAATTCAATAGGCAGGAGGTCACTTTTAGGGAAAACCTAGAAGAAATGAATACTATTCTAAAGGTTTATTGCTATGCAATCTAAGTTTTCTATCAGTGTTTATTGTGTTTTTATTCTACAGCTTATGAAAAAGAAGGGGCTTTCTATTCAGCTTCTTTTACAATTATTGTGTCTTCGTTCATTTTTTAAAAACCAACAAATCACTGAAATAAATAACTGTACCCTTTCTAGTCACTTAAGTTTTAGCTTCTCTAAAATGGCACAATGAGTGTAAAAGAAAATATGATTTTAGCCGGGTTAGCATGATACCTTGTTACTTTCACAGGTTCTACTTTTCCTGCTAGATTAAGTTTGAATGAGCAAATTTAATGAAATTAAATAGTTTTCAAACCAAGTGGGCTTTGTAACAATGAAAGGGATGAAAACAGTCAGAAGTCAGATTGAGGATGCTTACTTTGAGGAGAAACAACGCTGACGACTGCTTGAGAAAACTCTATTTGCTATTGGTTCTCGAATACTGAAAAGTATTTTTGGTTCTTCCGGACTGTAGAGCAGTGATTCATTATATTCATTTGTTACTACAAAGAAAAAAAAATTAGCACACTCAATAAAAGATGGTCACTTCTGAGAAGGGCAAAACAAAAAATAGATGCCATCCCCCATTTAAATTCTGTTCCAAAAGTATATTTGGGAACAAGTTTCTTGAAACTCGTAACACATATTCCATTAAAACACAGTAACAAAAAACCTTATAAATAAGAATTAGGTACCATGATTTGCCCACAGAAACATACATCACCCACAATACAGTAGGAATAGGTACAACTGGGGAAAAAGAAAAAAATAAAAAACACTAGCTTCAAAACTTGTAATTAAACAATAGAGGAATTAGATAGATGCACTCAAAAAAGGAACTTGAGTTGCCATATGGCCCTACCAAGTTCTTTCCAAAATACCATGTCAAAGAGCTCATAACGATGATAATAAGCAAACAGCTTGATATAAAATGCAGTCTCAAACAATGACAGGCAATATCCTTTCTCCAATACACCCCCATTACTCAACATATTTTCTAGAAATCTTTGGGACCTGCTTTCTCTCTAATCAAGAGGTACAGGAGGGCTGGAATACAAAGCACAAATTGGTTGAGAAAACTACAAAGATATCAGGCTTGAAAGTTTAGTTGAGTACTACATTAAAAAAATTAAAAGACTGTCAGATAATCTACCTTATTTATAAAAGTTTCATTTGAATTACTGACTTTAAAAAAAATCTAATTCACCCACAAAAATAAAATTTGGCTTCATGAGAACACACCACAAAAAAGCATGCTAGCTCTGAAGGAAATTTCAAGAGTAATTTCATAAATGTCTGTAACAGTGATTGCATCACTGGCATTCACTGTTGCTTCTGAAGATAGTCAAATCTTGAAAGGAATGCCATTCATTAAAGTAAAGCTTTGGTATGTTTACTAAAAGAAGAAAGTCACAGATATTTTTATATATATATAGATATAATATAAATTAATATATATATACATCCTTAATTTATATATATACCTGATATAAATTTCAGTTATTTTATATATATTATTTTTTAAGTTGAATTATATAATTAAGAAGCAATTACTATATATACCTAACTTTCCTTTGATACAGATTTACTGCTGGTGCTAATTCATGAACCATGATTAAAATAATCTTGTAGGTCTCAAATTGAGTGAAGGAGACCAGAATCCATTTTAGAAGGCTGAACGGGGCTTGAGAGATTTGCTTCTTTTTTCAAACTATTTTAGAGGCAAACTGTCCCCCCAACAAAGGAGGTCTTATGTGGAAACCTAACAATAAAGATAAACTGACACTGTTCAAATATTGTATCAGGTTATGTTCTCACTCATAGGTGGGAACTGAACAATGAGAACACATGGACACAGGAAGGGGAACATTACACACTGGGGACTGTTGTGGGGTAGGGGGTGGGGGGAGGAATAGCATTAGGAGATATACCTAATGCTAAATGACGAGTTAATGGGTGCAGCACACCAACATGGCACATGTATACATATGTAACAAACCTGCACGTTGTGCACATGTACCCTAAAACTTAAAGTATAATAATAATAAAATTAAAAAAAAGAAAAAGATATTGCTAACTCATGTTAAGGTAACCAATGAGAATGAGGCCGTTCTGATAAATCCAAGCATTTGTGTTTATGGATGACAGTTGCAGTCTTACATGTGTCAATATTCACTTGGTGTCTATATATTTTTTGTCATATATGTTGAGAAAATACATAGGTTGGTAGATGTAACTTTAAACACATTTGGGTTTGGAGTTTTATAAAAAACAATCTAGCTTGAAATTTTAGGATATCCTTCAATGCAGAGAGCAAAAAAAGCTTTACTTTGAGGTGTGTACAAGAATGATCCTGGTAGATAGTAGACTTCAGTGTGTTACAATCTGATACGCAAATCAAATGAATGTGTTTTTCAGTTTAAAAATTTAAATTGTTTTAAACAGAATTTAAAGAATACATTTGAAGAACTTCTACAAACACCAGCTAGATGATCTACTTTAACCCCCTCTTTTTACAACTGTAGAGGATCACAGCCTTGCCCAAGTTTCACAGCTGATGTAGTAGATCTGGAAATGGAACCTACGATTTCAGATTTCTTCATAAGTATTCTTTCTCTAACAGCACTAATTCTCTTACAGGAATCGTGAGGTAATCAGGCAAAACTAGGGAGAAGAATGTTAAAAAGAATATTTGAGTGAATAAGAAGATAAGCACTCATAGCTCAGTGAATTCCATCTCATTCAGAGGATATTAATGGCTTACTGAATTTAGCTATGCATTTCCTATTTGTGAGATAAGGATTTTTCTGTAATTCCCTATCCCCCAGGACATGTTTGCAGTTATACTGCTTTGACTTAAGAGTTATATTTCAGGGTTGACTAAAAATCACAACAAAAGTCCAACTTTAATCTTTATGTTGCTTAAAGACATTTAAGGGGATATTGTATTAAAAGCATGTTTGAGTAAAAAAAAGTACTTTGCTAATTAAACAACACTTCACACTATCATCCTTAAAACTGAAACAGAACTAAACTGTTAGTGATTATTATCATTTGTCACTGACCTTTCTCTACCAATTCTCTGTTCAATGGAAGACTCAAATTTCCTTGTCGTTTTGCTGTTGAAAAAGGAAAGGGGGAAAATGTATGTTATAAATATATATATCTTATATATATATTTTCCTTGAAAAAGGGGGAAAAATGCTTAAAGTGTATATGTGTTATATATATATATGTTATTATGTAACATAATAGCTAATATAAAACAACATGTATACATTATATAGCATATTATCATAAATAAACAGTAGCCCCCCCTCGCCCTTATTAGCACTTTTGCTTTCCATGATTTTGCTTTCTTCCAGTTTCAGTTACTGGCAGACAACCATGATACAAAAATATTACATGGAAAATTATAGAAATCAACAATTCATGTTTCAAATTGCACATCATTCTGAGTAGCATGGTAAAATCTCACGCAGTCCTGCTCTAACCCACCTGGGATATGAGTCATCCTTTTGTCCAGCTTATCCATGCTGTACATATTACTGGCCCATTAGTCACTTAGTAGCTGACTTGGTTATTAGATCGACTGTCATGGTATCATAGTGCTTGTGTTCAAGTCACCCTTATTTAACTTAATAACGGCCCCAAGGCACAAGTAGTGATGTCGGCAAATCAGATATGCCAAAGAGAAGCCATAAAATGCTTCCTTTACATGAACAGGTGAAAGTTTTCAAAGAAAAAGGTCATATGCTGAGGTTGCTAAGATTTACAATCAGATATATGAATCTTCTATCAGTGATATTGTGAAGAAAGAAAAAGAAATTAATGCATAGTATAAGGGTTTGGTAGTATCCAAGGTTTCAGCATTCACTGGGGGTTCTGGAACTTGTCCCCTGCGGATAAGAGGGGACTACTCCAATAGCTGTTTTGGTACTCACCAATATTTAAAACATCTTCTACAGCCTGAGTTGCAACCCTGTTAATATTGAATGACCTAGAAACAAAAATCACATAATTCTTAGTTTTAATTCTAAAAACATGCTAAAAATCAAAAAGGAATAACCTACTTAAAATATAGAAAATTCTTAGAAATTAGGAGGAAGTTCTAAATGAACAAAGTTAAAAACTGGTAAATAATGTGCTAGTATGGGTATGATGAGACAAGTATTTTCATACATTGATGGGAACAGAGATATTGCAGTTGGAGAGCAATTATGCACTATCAAAATTAAAATGAACATATTCTTCAATCTAGTAATTTAACCTAAAATATACCTCCATCTATAATACACAAAGATAGGTACAAAAATATTAGCTGAAATGCTGTTTATAACAGCAAAACAACTCAAATAGGTACCCATAGAAAGCTGACTGAATAAATTATAGCTACTCATTGATATTAAAAATAATACAAATATATGTGCTGATATGTAAGGATAACCAAAATATTAAGTTAAAAAATAAAAGGTATCATATAGTGTATATGTTGTTTCATTTTAAAAACAAAAAATATATATATAGTATGACTCTAGAGATAAGTACTAGAGATATGAAATGAAAGGGAGACTAGCTTTTTGCTGTATACCCTTTTGTACTTTTTAACCTAGGCAAGTATTCTTTAAATTATAAAATAGTTTCCTTGAAGGTAAGAAATCTTTTACATGTGCAATGCCTTGCTTAACCACTAAAAAACAAGCATTAGTACAAACATGGATAACTTTTCAAAATAGTTCTGTCCCGGGGTCTATAAAGATCACTAAGAAAAGGTTGTTTTTTTAAAAAAATATATTCCCAGTAATTTTGAATTCTTCTACTGCCTCATAACTCTTCATACATGATCTCAATATATAATCCCAAGGAACAGGAATAACATATGAGTCAACGCAATTCTAAATCTAAATTACTGGCTCTTAACGTTTTGGGGGAGTGAGAGTAAGAGATACTCTTATACCTGCTAACCCTGTACCCTTCATGTTTGGAGAAATGCAAAAACATGAGAATTTTTTTCTTAGGTCTACAACCTTCACCATTCTAAGAGTTCTCATTTAAAATCAGACATAACCTCTACTACCAAACTGGAAGACAAACTGAGTATCACATCTTCATCAACTACTAAAGCTCCATCTCCTAAACATACATCTTCATCCTTAATTAAGTCTGGTAGGGCAGCATGTATGGAGAAAAAGGACTGAGAATAATCTTAAGAAGAAACTAATTGAAACATATGGTGATCTGGCTCTGTAGTATTTCTCCCAGTGTATGGAGTAAACCTTATTCCCCACTGAACAGAGAACTGACAGGATAATGGGACAATTCAGAGACATTTGCTGTGTAATACCACCCCTATATCCTGTCTCCTGTGGAAGAATTTTTGGAGATGCAGAGACAGAATAACTATTCCCCAAACCTGTTTTTCTTCCTGAACGCATAGGTTATATTTTCTAGCTCTTCATGCCATATAGTCATGTGACTGAGTTGTAGCTAATGGAATCAGAGTGGACATGATAAACAATACTTCAAAGCCTGGCTCAGAGCCTCCCATGGGGACCCTCCATGCTCTTCCACCTTCTGTAGCACAGCAACCGGAGGAGCTATGTTTAGAAGGTGGTAGAGCCACGTGATGGAAGAACTCTGGCTCCTTCAATAACCACTTACAGGAAGCCACTTGCCAATCAGGAATACTCACTGCAGACTTTACAAGAACAAGAAATAGACTTATACTGTGTTAAGCCACTGAGATTGGTGGTTTATCTTTTATAACAAATAGCTTACCATGAGTCATACATTTCCACATTTCATATTGAAAGCAAAGACTAATTAAAGAATTCCATACAAGAAAAAAAGCCCCTCTCTATCAAGAATTAAAAGAGAGAAAAATAGACTATCCTAATATTTTCTTTCCAATGATTCTTCAGAGGTCTATGGTTTACAGATAGGTTTAAAATTTAAATCACGACTTCACCATTTATTAGCCACATAGCTTTGGGAAAGTCAGTTAACTTATGAAACTTTTTGGATTCTACTTATGAAAATAAAATCACCTACTTCCAGAGTATTTGTGAGAATTTAAACAAGATCATCTAATTAGCTTGGAACAAAAAATGTGCTCAGAGATAGTAGTATGATAAAAACAAAAATTATTAATGTATAGAAATATACAGCTTTTCCCCAGCCCCTCTGGCTCCTCGGCTTCTCTTCTCTTCCTACATTTTTTGAAGCAAAAAGGACAAAAGATGAATGGGAATTGCAATCATAGCAAAAGAATCATCAGTAATGGAAGAGGGGAGAACATGTTAGATGCAAGCAAGCTGCATGGGGCTTGGTAGAGAAGAGACTGAGCAACGAAGGTGTCAGGGATAGGATATAGCTTGTGAGAAAGACTTTTATACTAGAGCACAGGAAATAATAGAAGACTTTAACAAGCAACATAGAGAAGGCTGAGATTTTAATCTAACCCATACTTATCGAAATGCAACATCAACACAGGACTCAACTACTGGGTGCATGTGGGAGGCGAGGAATGCTTTAAAAGCATTGTAGTGGCTGTCATTCCTTATGCTCTGAAAGGCTGAAAACTTGAACTATCAAAATCTATCAAAATTACACCCCTCCCCAGACAGAAGCCCCATTGCCTCTAGCAGAAGCACTACTTCACTGGGATTAATTAGCAAATTTATCTTGATAATTCTTCAGTACAACGTAGTGACTTTTCTTTCAACTATGTGACCTCTATAGACACCTCAGAACCCCTCTCCCTCTCCATTTAAAAATTGACCTTCCCTTGTGAAGCAGCACAAGTAGTAATGACAGTGAAAAGGGCACTGATTTTGCAGTCCAGCACACCTGTGCTTATATCCAGGTTCTGACTCTTACTTCTTGTATAACTTTGGCCTAAATATTTATCCTTGCTAACCCTTAACTTACTCCTTTATAAAATGGGAATGCTACTACTTTCTTCCAGGATTTCTAAAAGGATTAATTAATATATAAACGTACCTAGCACAGTACAAAGTAGCAGGGGCTATATAACTGATAGCTTGTATTACAATGCATAAAAAATAAACATACAGAATCACAGAAGTTCAGAAGGCAAAGTAATCTTACTATTTTATCAGTTCCAATTCCTGCATTTGGCAGGCAAGGGAATTTGTACATAGTTGTAAAGCTAGTCTGTGGTTTAATCAGGTCTCATAACTTGCAGGCCAGTACTCTTTTCAATTATACCACTTTGCCTATTTTTTATGGTAAGAATACTGGGTAAATACAATCTCTATTTCTAACAGAAATTTCCATTTCTATTTCTAATTTCACTCTAGTTTTCAACAAGTAGCATAGCATGTTCAACAGGAAAAATACTATCATCATAAATGACAGAAAGCTGTTAACTGTAATGTTTTCAATTTAATCTATAAGATGGTTACAAAATAATTTTATAACATATTAAAGGATTAAGTTTTTTTCATAAAATTATTGGAAAATTCATTTTAGAAATGTTCCTTTCACTGGCCCTCAGGAAAATAAGTTATTAACCTATCTTTTTAAATGATACTTCTTATTTTTTCAAAAAGACTATTTGGCTAAGTTTTTTTATTGAATACTTATGAATTAAATGATATGATATCTGAAAATAACTTCAGAATAAATAGGACAAAAGTAGATAGGGGTACAGAGGTAACAAGATTGGGCATGTGTTGATAATTACTGAAACTAGCTAATGGTATGTGGGGATTCATTACACTATTTTGTCACTCTTATACATATTAAAAATTTTGCATAATAAAATAGTTTAAGAAGTCATGTTAAACAAGTAGGAAATAAAACTCTAAATTAAACTATACAAATTTAAAAGTTTGATAAGCATTGTTTTAGCTATATACAATTGTGAGCATATAGTCATTTACTCAAAAAATATTTTTTGAGTGAATATATATAAGGTACTGTGCATAAAAAGATTAAGCAGGAAAAAAAAACCCCTCTAGTCGCCATCCCAAATCCATAAAGTTGCTTTAACTAGCTGGGTACTAGCATATTAGATAACTAATAATGTAATAGCGGCTATAATAGTGCTATGAGAAAAAGTGTTAGGGAAGGATGAAAATGATTAATTCACTGTCTTTATGAAACAGGTGAGTGTTAAGGATTTGCTAAAGAGAATGACATTTCAAGACTGGATTTTCAGACAGTGGATAGAAAGTGGAGTGTTCAGGCATTCAAGGCAGGAAGAAGTTGCATTGAGCAAAAATAAAAAGCCAAGCGAGAACAAAAAGTGTGCTGAGAATTGCAAGTAGCTGTGCCAATTCTAGTGTGCCATAGGTGGGGGTAAGGGTAGGGCAGGAATAAGGCCAATAAGATCGCTAAGGTCATATGTTAAAGGGCCTCAAATGACAGATTAAGCAATCTGAACAGAGGTCAATGAAAGTTATAAGGCAGAGAAGAGAGACAGATTTATCTACATTTTAGAAATATTACTCTGTTGTAGATGCTGGAAAGGATGTGGAGAAATACAAACACTTTTACACTGTTGGTGGGAGCATAAATTAGTGCAACCATTGTGGAAGACAGTGTGGCGATTCCTCAAGGATCTAGAACTAGAAATACTATTTGACCCAGCCATCCCATTACTGGGTATATACCCAAAGGATTATAAATCATACTACTATAAAGACACATGCACATGTATATTTATTGTGGCACTATTCACAATAGCAAAGACTTGGAACCAACCCAATTGTCCACCAATAACAGACTGGATAAAGAAAATGTGGCACATATATACCATGGAATACTATGCAGCCATAAAAAAGAATGAGTTCATGTCCTTTGTAGGGATATGGATGAAGCTGGAAACCATCATTCTCAGCAAAATATCTCAAGGACAGAAAACCAAACACCGCATGTTCTCACTCATAAGTAGGAGCTGAACAATCGGAACACATGGACACAGGGAGGGGAACATCACACACTGGGGCCTTTTGTGGGGTGGGAGACTGTGGGAGGGATAGCATTAGGAGAAATACCTAATGTAAATGAGGAGTTGATGGATGCAGCAAACCAACATGGCACATGTATACCTATGTAACAAACCTGCATGTTGTGCACATGTACCCTAGAACTTAAAGTATAATAATAATTTTTTTTAAAGTTAAAAAAAAAAAAGGAATATTACTCTGTTGTAGTGCAGATGACAGCCTGAAGAATAAAAGGTGAGGCACAAAGAATATTCACTAAAAAGGTGCAGGCTTGGACCAAAGCAGCAGCAGTAGAAACCCAAAAAAGTGGACTAAGACTTCAGAAGTACAATTAATAGGATTTAGAGACTGGGATATATAGAGGGGAGAATGAAGAATGGAAAAAAAAAATGCTTTTTTTCTCTAGAGCATGGAGTCAGGGTAAATGCTGATGGTATTCATCAATATAAAGAACACAAAAAGAAAAACTGAAGACAATAAATTCAGTTCTGAATTTGTTGAATCTGAAGTGCTACTAACATCCTATCTGGCATGTAATTTTAGAATATGAGTTTGTACTCAGGAGAAAAGGTATGTTTGGGAGGCATTTATGTGGAATGTACTAAGAAGTAGACGAGATTACCCAGAGGGAGATTATAGAGTAAACAGGACATAGGGATGCACCAGGTTATCTCCAGTTAGGCTTTTAATATACAAACCTCCAGCCTACTTTTTTTATTGTACTTTGTATTCATTTCCTTACAGTTATTTAAAATATTTTTCATTTTTAAGAAAAGATAGTCCCAAAACCACTTCTCATTTCCTTTCCTTTGCAAACCTAGTGCTCAATAATGACCAAATCCAGGCTGTAACTGTAATCCAAGAAGTCAAGGCAGGACTACTAGACCCAAATGATGAATGAAACAGAAACTTGGCCTACCTACATAACACCACCAGGACACCTCTTGCATATTACAGGCCTTAGATGGGCCAAAATATTACATTACTAAAAGTATTTCACAAAACTTGATAAGCAACATCCCAAGTTACTCACCAGGCCTTTGATCCTGTTCCAGTACACAAATTGAGCCCTGAACTCTTCTGTTTTTCCCATGGACCATCATCAACTGAAATCTCATAGTAGGAAGCCCTGTGAATTGAGAATATAAAACTGTTTGCTGAGCTTATGGTTCAAGGTAAATAAGAGAGTCTTCTTCAGAACTAAGGAAATCTTAAGTAAGTCAGCTTACCCAAGAAATACTTGACTTAGTAGGCACACACATCATGATGCTAATTCCAATACTGATTAAGTGAAAAAGTTAGAAGAAATTAAAAAAAAAAAAACTACATGTCTGCATGCCTGTCTGATTTATATATTCCTTTCTGTCAATACTTTAATATTTCAAATAGGAGCTTCTTGCAAATTTTTAGCTAGCATTGTGCTTTTGCTCTTATGGAATCTAACATATACAGAGCCTCATTTCTGAATCCAAAAAAAGAAAATACTATTCTTAAGTGAGTTTCATTCTTGGTAGCTAGTCCTTGATATATTTTAAAGCTGATTCTAATTCTTAAAGTTATTAATAGTTTCTACTAAACTCTTGTTTCTTAAGTTACATGCTAATGTACCTTTTGAATTGGTAGTAAGCTAACAGAGATTAGATAATAAAGCTGTAAAGAAAATTCTCAACCAATACTGGATTAGTGGACAAAACTAGAAATAAACCAGAACTATAAATTTCTTGGGATTTACATTTCTTAAAATATTTCATTAATATGAAATCAAATGGGTTTTCTGGCACCAGCAAAAATGGCACTATTCTTTAACTCCATGAACACATAAATGATTTGTAACTATTCAAAGAACTTTTGCAATGTCTAAAAGCCTATTTTGTAAACTCTATCTTAAAATAATGGTGTCACTGATCAACACTGAATTTTTTTCTCCAGCAAATAAAAAAGTTACGATAAAACCGTAATAAAATACAACTTTTCAAAATAATTACTGGACATGCTTGCAAACACTAACACTATGGATAATTTATCTCTTATTCTAACCTTTACAGTTTATCCTGTAAGCTCTTAATTTGTAAGGGTTTTGCATAATACAACTCCTTTTCACTTTTTTCTCTATAGTCAGAATTTCTTATTAAAAATAAAAGATAGCAGGCCTAATATTCACATTTAATCTATTTCATAGCTTTGTTATGTCTTCCTAGAAAACACACATTAGGAGCCTATTATGTACAGACAAGCCAGCCAAATCCATAGAAGTGGCTGCTACTATGCCAGAATCAAGTAGAAACAAAAGAGATTAGAGGTAAGGGGGCATGGGTAGAAAAGAAGCAGAGGCAGAGAGAAAGACAAGTACAGTCAGGTGAGAGATGCTCAGCCCAAAATAATGAGCAAATTTAGTGTCATTCTCACATGCAAGATTTATCAAGATTAGTCAGTTCATAGAATTTTTGTTTCAGGGAAATTATTTTTTTAAGGCAGCAATAAAACTCACAGTCCCTTTAGAGTGGGTATACTTCTTCTTAAATTGTCCACTGCTACAGCCCAAGAATAAGACATTCTAGGTTAGAACAAATAGGAGAAAAGAAAACAAAATTGGGCCTTTAAAATGTTCTTAAATCTAAGAACATTATAAATGAGGCAGGAATAATATTGCTGCACTTCATATTTTCCAAGCAAGGCACTTAAGTTTTCAGAGCATAGTGAAGCCTCAATACAGGATCTAGAATCAGAAACACCGGGTTTATGTTACAGTTCTGATGCTAGCTAATTATATGACCTTGTGCTAGTTATTTGAACTCTCCAAATCTCAATTTTGTCACTAATAAATACAACCACCTTTCTCACAGGCTTGCTATGAGCATTAAATGAGATAGCATACACAATATACGCAGTGCCTGACACACAGCAGGCATCCAATAAATGTCCATTTCCTTTCTGCCTAATGGTCTATGTCATAAAATCTTTAAAAGTGAGTTCTAATACCTGCAGTAGTTAAACTATTTTCAACAGCATCAGAAGCCAATCCATTGCTGTCCTTACTTAGTAAAAACATAAGGTGAGACATCAAAGAACACAAAAAGCAGCAGCATCAGTTATTTATGAGATAAACCAACCAGATCATTACTGCCACAGAAAATAAAAGCATTCGATTGAAAATCCCCTCAAGAAATTTCACTAACTCCCCCAAAATCTATCAACTGATCCAAGTTTTCCTCCATTTATAAGTTATTTAATTTTTTAGTAAGTACAAAATTATAAAGCAAAGCTAGCTCTCAGCAGTTACCTTTAAAATACACAAACAGAATAAAATAAGCCATTAAATGGCTTCCCTGAAGTAAGCATAAACTCACAAAACATTTTTATCATTGCATTTATTTAAGGTAGACTTTCTCCAATCTCATTTAAAGTTCTTCCTCTCTTTTCTATCTTATGTCTTTAGAATAATAACTAGATTGTATCAGTAGAGTTAAATTTTCTTTCTTCTCTCAACTACCACATAGTATCTATAATTCATGTCCATATTGCTTCAAACTTTATATGTAGCAAAAGAGAAAACTTTATATATAGCATAAGTCTTGCTGTGTTAAAGTATATTTTTATACTTTACTATACTTTTAACTCTTTTTTAAATTATGTATTACTCTCCAAAAAATTAAGATACCACTATCTTTGTTATTCATCTTTACATCCCTAGTGACTCACATATTACACATAGCACATGCATGAGGTATTTTTGTTAAATATTACATAAACAAACTAATTACAAATCAAAGAAACTGTTCAAACCCTTCCGCTGAATCAAACTTCAACTCTTTTTCGGCACAACCCGAGTTGAGTCATTGGCTACAATGTGAATATCTTTTTTAGTTAAGACAAATTTTTCTCACTATAATTAAAGTTCTTATGAAAGGATATGACTTCCAGCAAACAAAATTTCAGAATTTATGGAACTCTTAGTAAACTAGGGATCCAACAACATAATCTTCAAAGGGCCACTCACATGGTTCTAGTAGCAGGAAAGTAGCAAATAAAACTCATCTCTAATCTTCTACCCTTAATTTACTTACATCTACAAGGATGAGAAGCCAGGTTCTAAAGTACTACCAAGAGTTAACTTTATATCACAGTAGTCATTTTACAGCTCGTCACTGTGTTCCACAAAAATGTTTTCCAAAAAAATTATGTTGATAATGTAAGCCTAAGTTATATTCAAGTCCCACAAAACAGCTTCTGCCGGTAATGAAACACACACATTTTTACACTCCTAATGAGGAACTACATTAACCTTAATTTTTGCAATAATGGTTATAATCTTGAACTGTCAATGCACTTGCCTTATGATGTGTTACACTAAAAAGGATACAACATCACCTATGGAGCATTTGTGTCAAAAATGCCTAGTCCGAATCTAACATGAAAAAAAATCATACAAATTTAAAATAAGGGATATTCTGCAATCCAACTGGCTTAGACCATTCAAAAATATTAATATCATGAATGACAAAACAGGATGGAGCTAAGGAAGTGTTCTTAAATTTAAAAGGCCATGATGGCCAAATGCAATGTGTGATCCTTAATTGGATCCTGGTTAAAAACAAGTAAACAAATTATAAAAACAAGCAAGCAAACAAATCAGCTTTAAGAAGCACTAATAGGAAATCTTAATATGAACTGCCTATAAAAGTTTTCTATCAACTGCAAATTTATACTTACTATATTACTCTCTTAAATATTTATAAGCTGGGAACAGTGACATGCACATCTAGTCCCTGCTACTCAGGAAGCTGAGGCAGGAGCATAGTTTGAATCCAGATTTAAAGGCCAACCTGGGCAACATTTAGACATGGTAAGATGCCATCTCTAAAGAATAAAAATAAAACATTAATAAAGCACCTGGCCAAGCGCAGTGACTCACACCTGTAATCCCAGCACTTTGGGAGGCCGAGGCAGGCAGATCACCTGAGGTCAGGAGTTTGAGACCAGCCTGGCCGACATGGTGTATCAGGGGAACCAGCCCCCAATATTTAAGAAATTATAAGAGTATTGATTGGGGAAGTGATAAATGTCCATGAAATCTTCACAATTTATGTTCAGAGATTGCAGTAAAGACAGGTATAAGAAATTATAAAAGTATTAATTTTGGGAACTGATAAATGTCCATTGAATCTTCACAATTTATGTTCTTCTGCCGTGGCTTCAGCCGGTCTCTCAGTTCAGGGTCCCTGACTTCCCGCAACAATGGTGAAACCCCATCTCTACTACAAATAAAAAATTAGGTAGGTGTGGTGGCATGCACCTGTAGTCCCAGCTACTCGGGAGGCTGAGGCAGGCTAATTGCTTGAACCTGGGAGGCAGAGGTTGAAGTGAGCCAAGATCACGCCACTGCAATCCAGCCTGGGCGACAGAGTGAGACTCAGTCTCAAAAAAAAAAAATAATAAAGCATCTATATAAACAGATTAAAGGCTCTGGGACACAGTACAATAACTTTATTTAATCTAGGGTTTCACAAACTTTTTTGTCATAGAATATTCTTTCCCCTTAATACATATTAACATCTATGAAGGTTTTGGAAATATTTCATTAAATAATGAACTGCCATTACTTGCAAAATATTATTCACAAATCTTAGCCAGGTTGTAGAAACTGAATAAATATCCAAAAGCACTAAAACATTAAATTCCATGCTCAAGATCACAGGTTTAAAAGTACCTGGATGACAGACTCTCCCCAATGAAGACTTCATTTAGTGCTCTCACTGGCAGAAGTTGGGGTCCTGAAGCCTCAGACCCTGCATGTAATTTAAGACAAAGAAAATCCAAGATAGCTCCTTGATTTCTAGAAATGTTATAAAAATTTTATAAAACACTACAACTTTTATATTTTTGTTTTTAAAAGAATCACATACTTTAATACAGTTAACATTTAAATTATCTTTTACTTAAAGCATCCACAATATAAACCTTAAAGGAACCTAAACTTACACCTGTAATGAAGGCCCTCTCTCTGCAAAATAAACCTTAATTCTTCTTGAAGCAATTTCTCAAGAGTGATGAACTATATTTATCCATCTCAAAAGATTCTTGTTGTTACACTTAATTTTATCTTGGAAGCTTCAGAGATATAACTTACCAATTAAAAAGAGAACTATTTTGGATTTAAGCAGCAAATGACATGCATGGCTTGGATGATGGAAACCAAATCAGGTATGTTAAGAAATCAGACTTTTTTTTCCAAATAAGGAAACCTCAAGAGTGTTTTTAGCAACAGCAGCATTGGTGGAATATTTCCACATCCCCCTTCATAACTCCTAAAAAAATGTTTTCTTTTTTTGAATCTATAGGGTTGTGTGCACAGTTAAAGTAATCTTCCTTCATAATTACTTAAACATTACACCATCATATAAAATCCTCCAAAGGATTCCCAGTGCTTTCTTGTTCAAATTTGTGACTGTCCCCTTCAAATGGTTCCCTTTACTTCTTTTATTAGTTTCCAACTGGAAATGGCAACTCTGTATCCTCAATGTCACAACTATCAGATTTATTGGACTCAAGTATCTCCCACTAGGCAAGCATCTTGTGACAAGTTTGCTGTCAGACAAGTTCACTTTTCTGTCTCCTCCACAATTCCTACTAAGTTAATGTTTAAAAATCCATCCCAATTGTGGTAGGCAGGCTCCAAGCTGGTCCCCAGTGATTCCTGCCTCCCTGGTATTCACAATTTTGTGAATACATATACTCACACTCTCTTTCCCACATCATACTAGGGTTGCTCTATGTGACCAACAGAATATGGCAGCAGTGATGACATATCACTTCTGAGATCAGGTTAGAAAAGACACTATTGCTTCCACCTTGGCCACTCTCTTTCTCTCAGATCACCTGCTCTAGAGGAAGAGATAACATGAACAACCCTTTGGAGAGACCAACATGGTGAGGAACTGAAGCCTTCTGCCAAAAGCCATGTGATGAGCTAAAAAAGTGTGTTCTCCAGTTCCAGTCGTCTTTATATACTGCTGTCCTGGCCAACAGCTTGATTGTCACCTCCTGCCTAAACCAGAAGTAACTAGCTAAGCTACTCTTAGAATCTTGACCTTTATAATCTGTGTGAGGTCATAAATATTTACATTTAAGATGCTAAACTGAGTGATTTGTTATACAACAATAGTTACCTAATACACTATAGTTACCAAATACACTAATAAAACCACCACTGTCACCAAGACAACATTGATCTATTCTTCTCCTTTGACTTTGTAGCCTAATTATTATATTCTTCTGTTTATTATGTTTATTAAATGGAACATTATATTTTTCTCATTTCTTTTGGACTATAACTGCCTAAAGGCAACCCAATTATTCTTTCAAATATAACAAGTTGATATTACAATACCAAGTACCCTTGGAGCACTTGTTGTTTACCTAAATTATCAGCTCAACTTCATAATACAGAGAAAGACCTTGATACAAAAAGCTATATATGCATGCATATATATATATATGGATTTGATATGTTTAATCAAATTTGATTGCACATAAGAATAAAACTGGCTTTAAACTGTCTTAGGTACTACATATATTCACATTCTCATTCTTGACAGTTTTACAAACATAAATGGCTAAAATTTATTGTTTAAATTACTTTTCCTTAATTACTAATGAAATTTGTTTTAGATTACTATCCCCACAGATTTCCTACAAATGCTCAACAATAGGTACTCATGAAATATTACCAGTAAATTTGAGCTCTCACCATCAAACTGTAACCATGTTTCCCTTTTATGCGGTCTTGACTTTCCACCTCTATTCCCATTTTCCCTCATCCTAATTTATCTCTCCATATTACATTTTTATTACATGTGCTTGTTCAATTTCAATTCAAAACTTTTGTCAAATGAGTTTGACAATAAATAAAATTGTTTCAAATCTCATTAATCATCTTAATTCTGCTTATTTTTTCATACTAATTGACTACTAAACCTTATCTAATCACAGAACTGTGTTCATTTAAAACTTGCCACAATGGGACATGAAAAGATAAGACTCCATACCAATTACTTTTTTTTTTGAGATGGAGTTTAGCTCTTGTTGCCCAGGCTGGAGTGCGATGGCACAATCTCGGCTCACTGCAACCTCCACCTCCCAGGTTCAAGAGATTCTCTGCCTCAGCCTCCTGAGGAGCTGGGATTACAGGCATGCGCCACCACGCCTGGCTAATTTTGTATTTTTAGTAGAGACGAGGTTTTACCATGTTGGTCAGGCTGGTCTCAAACTCCTGACCTCAGGTGATCTGCCCACCTCGGCCTCTCAAAGTGCTGGAATTACAGGCGTGAACCACCGTGCCCAGCCACTGATTACTTTTTTATCCAAGAGAATAGATTACAAAATTATAATTTGTATTTTTAAACACAGAAGTGTAATACTAGTGACACAAACTACTACACTGTGTAATTCTCTCACACTGTCATATTGCTAAACTTTATTTCCAGGTCTACTTGCACTAGGTGGAGCCATGTGACTAGTAATGGCCAACAGAATGTGGACAAAAGTAATGAAAAGGCCTAGTTCCTAAAACTTCCCATAAGATCTTCTATGTTCTCTGTTTTCTCCCCACAAGATGCAGAGGATCCAACAGAAGACTCAGAGGCCTTAAAATACGGTAGCAGCCACTATTTGGCAGCAGCCTTGGTTGCCTGAAAACTCCTTGGACAGTGAGATGAGTTAAAAATAAGCTTTTGCATTCAGTCACTGAATTCTGGGGTTGTTTATTAAACCAATTCATCTCTCTATATTAATAAAACCAGTCTTTATTTATATAGCATTTACATTGTGTTAGGTATTATACATCATCCAGAGATTATTAAAGTATAGGGAAGGATGTGCATAGGTTATATGCCAATACTATGCCATTTTATATGAGGGATGTGAACATCCTCGAATTTTGGTATCTGCAGAGGGTCCTAGACCCAATCCCCCTCAGACACCAAGGGATAAGTGTATATGAAATAATCTGCTCCAGTCATCTCCTCCTCCTCTCTGGAAGCTTGCAGTAGCTGTTTGTATTCTGACAAACCTTGGTGTAGAACATTTTACCATTAATTATGTGAAACACTTTGTGGGTCCTTTCAATTCAAAGACTCTTGCCTAAGTTTCCTAATTGAAATTTTTAAAAAGTATTAACTGATTCATACTAACTGTGTATATTTATGGAGAACAGGTAATATTTTGATACATGCATACAATGTATAATGATCAAATCAGGGTATTTAGGATATCCATCACCTCAAATATTTGTCATTTGTGTTGGGAATATTTCAAATCTTCTCTTCCAGCTATTTTGAAATGAGGTATTTTGAAATATACAATAAATTGTTAATTATAATCACCCTACTATGCTATTGAACGTTAGAACTTATTCCTTCCATCTAAGTGCATATTTGTACCCATTAACCAACCTCTGTTTATCCCACCTTTCACCCTTCCCAGGCTTTGGTAACTATCACTGTACTCTCTATCTTCATGAGATCAACTTTTTCAGCTCTCACATATGAATGAAAGCATATGATATTTGTCTTTCTATGCTTGACTTATTTCGCTTCACATAGTGACCTCCAGTTCCATTCATGTTGCTGCAAATCTCAGGATTTCATTCTTTTTATGGGTGAAGAGTACTCCATTGTGTATATATACACATTTTCCATATTCATTTATCTACTGATGGACACTTTGACTCCATACTTGGCTATTGTGAATAGGGCGGCATCAAACATGAGGCGCCAGTATCTCTTTGCTATACTGATTTCCTTTCCTTTGGATAAATAGCCAGTAGTGGGATTGCTAGATTGTATGGGAGTTCTATTTTAGATTTTTGAGAAACCTTCATGCTGTTTTCCATAATGGCTTTACTTATTTACATTACCACCAACAGTGTACAAGAGTTCCCTTTTCTCTACATCCTTGCCAGTATTTGTTATTTTTGTCTTTTTGATAACGGCCATTCTAACTGGGGAGAGATGATATCTCATTGTGGTTTTGATTTGCATTTCCCTGATGATTAGTGACGTTGAGCATTTTTTCATATAGCTGTTGGTCATCTGTATGTCTTTTGAGAAACTTCTATTCAGAGACTTTCCCACTTTTTAATGAGATTATTTGTTTGTTTGTTGTCTGAATTTCTTGTATATTGTGGATATTAGTCCCTTGTTAGATGAATAGTTTGCAAGTATTTTCTCCAATTCTATAGGCTGTCTCTTCACTCTTGTTTCCTTTGTTATACAGAAGCTTTTGTTTAATATAGTTCCATTTGTCTATTTTGTTTTTGTTGCCTGTGCTTTTGAAGTCTTAGCCATAAAATCTTTGCCTAGACCAACGTGCTGAATAATTTCCCCTGCCTGTTTTGAGAAATCATCATGTATAATCTTTTGATTTTGAACATTTTTCTGTTCTTTTTCTCGAACTACCATTAATCAGATGTGAACATCCTAGATGCTGAGCTATGATTCACTAAGTTTGTATGTTTCTATATATGAAATATTAACTTCATTTATAAACTAAACACAGTGAATCTGAGGAATCTGAGCAGTGACTCTTTATATACCAATCTATATCTTTTTATAAGACTGCTGGTGAAGACAGTCAAATCTACCATCTATTAGTGGTAGAAGTAACTTCTTTCAGTGAGGGATTAAAATTTCTAACTATTATTTTTAAATTGTACTTAATAGTTATTGCAGACTTTCAAAAACAGTAATAGAAGTTCATGTGCATATAATTTCTTAAGATTTTTTTAAATAGAATTCTTTTTTTGGAGGAGAACCTTTAAAACACAACATAAACACATATCTTAGAAACATGCTAACCTATTAAGCTATAAGTCACCATGAAAAACTCTGGAATAAGGGGATATAAACATCAGGTACCATGAGAGAGCAGAGGCAGAAAGCAAAAATGTAAAAGTAGCTTTTCCTGATAAATTTATCCAGAAAATAAAACATAGGAGAAAACTGTATCTTTTTAAACAGTCTACAAATATTTAAGATTTCTCTTGGGATATTCTTGCATCAATAAAGTCCTACATTTGCTATAAAAAGTGGGAAAATATGGCTCAAAATGGAGAATTTGCTTTAACCCTCCTAACAAAAAAAGCTGCCAAATCACCTTATGCTAATATTCTCTAAGCTACACAAATACTTCAAGCACAAATCCTAAGGCTGGAATGCAAAATTTCCCAATAAATATATTTAAGTATAACTATATAACATGTATAACCATCATAATCTTCCACAGATTAGCTCATTTCATCTCTACTGCTTTTTTTTTTGACATTTCAAAGATTAAGGCCAAGAATCTTTTCTCAAACATCAACTATCTTATCAGATACTTTACAATCCTTCCCTAATCAGCTAGTTTTCAAATCTGTCCTAGAAAACATTTCTAGAAATATGCTATTATTTACTTCAGATTCTAATAAACTTTACAACTGAAGTAATTCACTGTACTTTGTTAAGTGCTATTAATGACACTAAAAACAAGTAAATTATTACATCAAAAAATTTGAGGTCAAAGGAGCTATGAGTTAAATATTTCCCCAAACACATCTGATGCCCAATCCACCTACTTTCATCATGAGCTCTTTCAATGTTAAGGGCTCTATTGTGCTGATTCAAGCTTAGCTGCTGCTCGTGAAGGTCCACAGGTACAGGGTTTATGCCAGTCCCTTCAAGGTATAACCTGATTCTCTGCCTCCACAACCACCTTAGAAAAATGAAGAAAAGGCAAATTATGTTAAAATAGAATAAATTAAAGAGTAGACATTATAATAATTTAACCAAATTAAATAGTTAATAAAAACTAGTTACCAGTTATTCCATGAATAAATTATATCAGAAACACCTAAAGCCTATAGCTTCCTTATCAATGACAGATTTGAATATTTATTCTCTTTTCAATTATAACGGAAACACCTAATGTGCTTGTACAAAATCTCCCAAGTAACTTAAATTAAGTCAAACTCTATCAAGAACCCATAAAGTCCAAGATACTGAGCTAGATATAGCTTGTGCTTTGCTCAGCAAAAAATATTATACAAAAAGGAAAGCATTCTTAAATTAAAATAATATTGTGTTCAGATGGCTGGATTAGATAAAAATCCCTCTCCACAAATTTTATAATGGAGGTTTTTTAAAACAATAAAAGGAAAAAAGGATTAAGAAACAATAAATAAAAGTGTTGATTACACCTAAAAATTTAAATAACATCTCTGGTAAAAGGAAAAAAACAATCAGGTTTAATTGATTTCAAAACTGATAATCAATGTATCGAAAGTCAATGGGACAGATTCTGCTAGGTAAGTATACAAAAATATACTTCCACTTGGTAGCTATAAATTAGCCATTTCTTGTCAAACTTCTGAAATGACTAGAAACTAGAATTACTGGTAATGAAATGATTCTTGAAAAGAAGATCTAATACAACTTCACAAACATCTGTGGGAAAAGCTTTCCCCAACTATAAAATCTAGTCCAAGTCAGGAAATAAAAAGTAGTCCAACTTAGCTCTCTCAAATATAATTGGCCAACCTCATGCTCCTTCCTCCACCTTCCTCTTTTCCTGATGGTCTGACCACTGAACACATTAAGTAAAAGAAACTTTTAAAAATCCCATCCCCACTGCTTAAGAAATACTTTTATGTGAGACAGATACCAGGAATCTCAGCATGGTTGGATTAAATCCAGCTCTCAATCATTACTAGATGGGAGATAAAGATAAAAAATATAAAATCTGAAAATTCAAACAATTTTAGCCAAAGTTTTAATTACCTTTCCACTAAACTGATAAGGACATGTAACGAGGTTAAGAAAGTAGAGACATGCCTGCTATCTCACTGAAGGAGAAAAAAAATTTCTATATGCAGTTATATTATAGGCCAACCAATATTTGTCAGGGTTTCTCTCCACAATTCCAACTGGACTAGGAGAAGGTAAATTAGACCTATTTGTGACTCAGCTAATACATTACTTTTAATGGCTACTGTTATATCTATGGAGTAATCCAAACATTATCTGATTTGTTCTGGTTTTTTGTGTGTTTGTTTGTTTTGAGACACAGTCTCACTCTGTTACCCAGGCTGGAGTGCAGTGGCATGATCTCGGCTCACTGGAACCTCTACCTCCTGGGCTCAAGTGATCCTCTCAACTCAGCCCCGCAAGTAGCTGGGACTACAGGTGCTTGCCACCATGCCCAGCTAACTTCTGTATTTTTTGTAGAAACAAGGTTTCACCATGTTGCCCAGGCTGGTCTCAAACTCCTGAGCTCAAGTGATCCACCCGCATCGGCCTCCCAAAGTACTGGGATTACAGGCGTGAGATACCGTGCCCTGCCTGATTTGTTCTGTTTTTTAACAGCATTATTAATGGCACATACTTATTAAGATACTTACATAAGAACAACCGTAAGAAATTCCTACCTGAACTCACCACGATAGAACTTCTGTAAGGCTTCTGGAAAGGAATGTGTATATCGAACGGGCAGGCATAAATGACCCTCAGACCTATATTTTAACAGGAATTTTTTGGTGATATAAAGAGGAAAAGAAAAAAGGTGAAGCAAAAAAATTTAATCAAAAGGTATCACTAAGCTATAAAAATAAGAAATGAAATTCTAAAAATGTCTACCCTATATTCCATTTTTTGCCACAAAATTGTGTTCTTTAAATAAAAACAAAAAAGACCAGATAGAATTAGTAGTCTACATCCAGCTTTAATGCCATAATACATAATAATATGTGAGTTTCTACGTTACAATGAAACTAAAAATAGCAGCAAATCTGCTACTAATTACCCTGTAAAGTTATTTAATGGTACAGTGTTGTTCAAATCATTATTTAACTACTAACCTTCCAATTTTTATTCTAACCTTTAAATTATTTAACTATTAACTTTGGGCAAGTCACTTTAGCATCAGCTTCCTCATCTCCAAAATCAGGATAAACCAGCAATCTCAAAAGGAATCAAAATATTTATGTGAAATGTTTTGAACCATAATCCTTTCTGAAATGTCATTTAAGATATCCTAAGTCACTAAAAAAGAACTGAGAAAGCTTAATCCAATGTAATCCTTCATTTATTCAAAAATACATAAATAATGAAACTCCTTTAAGGAGTTCATAGCTTGATGTGGAAGACAAATTAAAACAAACCATTGCAAATTATAAGGTGGTAAGATTGCCTATTGGTTGGTGTAGATGAGAGTATGTGGCACCTAAAGATGTCCAGAAGGCTCAGTCATCATCATTTAATGATACTCCAATCTTGAAGAAAAGGCTGAGGGTAGGCTTAGCAAAACAAACTCCTGATAATAAATGTAAATCAACTTGTAAGCGTGAAGGGCACAGAAAAGTGTTTTTACAAAGTTGTGAATAGTCAACTTCTTTATCTAAGCAGGTCAACACTGAGGTTAAGAAAGCGTAAGGCCTAGGTTTTTAAATTTTTATATTCATTGTAATAGTTCACACAATGTTAAGTATATAAAAGGTATCAACAGTCATTTGATAGAATAATACCTGCTGAGGTCAACTGCAAGTCTAAAACCCTTGCAGAGAGAAGACTTTCTCATGAGGTTACAGTCAGATATCAGCTAGGGCGGCAGGCATCTGAAGGCTTGACTTGGACTAGCACGACCACTTCCAGGGTTGCTCACTCACATGGCTGGCAAATTGGTGCTGGCCATTGGCAGGAGGCCTCAATCACCCTCTACGTGAGCCTCTCCACAGAGCTGCTTGTGAGTATCCTCACATCATGGTGGCTGTCCTACCCCACAATGAACAATCCTAAAGACCAATACAGATGCTGCAATACCATTTATGACCTGGCCTTGGAACCTACACATTCTCACATCATATTCTACTGGTCACACAGGCCATCCTTGATTGAATATTGGGGGGCAGGGAGGAGTACATTAAAGGGTACCTAAATACTAGGAAGCTACCTTGGAGGCTGACTACCACATGCCCTCTATCCCATTTTGAATATTAAGCTTTCAAATGTTGTAATTATTTACCAGGCTCGGTAGAGTGGCTATAGAATACAGAAGAGATGGATAGAAATTACACATTTGATTTAGATGAGTCCATGTGAGTGGGCCATCTTGAAAGTGGATCCTCCAGCCCAAGTCAAGCCTTCAGATGCCTACAGACCAAGCTGACATCTACTTATCCTCAGGAGAGATCTCAAGCCAAAACCACCCAGCCAAACTGCTCCTGAACTCCGACATGCACAACCCGTAAGAAATAATACACTGTTACTGTCATAAGCCTCTAAGTTTTGGGGTGATTAGTTATGCAGCATTTGACAACTAATAAATAGGAGAAAAAACTTAAGTTGAACATTAACTTCTGGGCTTTTTTTAAGGACTGAGACACCACTATATTTAAGATAAAGAAATCAGACAACTTGAAGCATACACAAAACCAGAAGGCAATTTAACATATCTGCCTGGAGGCAAGAAGAGAAACCAAAGAACTTCTAACACCTGTTCTTCTAGCTAGAAAATAGAGAAGAGATGACAATATTAACAATTGCTTGCCAGCTTCAAATTCCCACAAATTTATGAATATGAAGCCAGTTTCCAAAAGAAAATATAGTTCAATAAACTGTGTAACATATGATCACTAAAGTGATCTTTTACCTTAATGATATAAAAATAAGCCATTAAGAAGTTCTAAAACCCAAATGCATCAACACTGATGGCAATTAAAAATTAATTACTGAACCAATGATCTCTATTATTTACATTCAGGGAATATTTACTCAGCTAGACTGGGGTTCTATCCCTATTCCCTAAAATCACTGAATCAATCATTCATTTTTCAATTCATTTATTGCCTACCAGCTATGTATAAAACTATGCTAGTGACAGAGAAATTAAAATACAAGGTCCTATACTCAAGGAATTTATAGTCTAATGAAAGAGAAAAAGAAACAGAAAATAAATATATAGGGATAAGTGCTTTCTGTAGAGGGAATTACAACCCAGGAGAAACACCAGTCTTGAACAAACAAGAAACACAGAAGTGAGTAAGTGGTATAAGGGAACTTTTGACAAAAGCACATACAAAGGCATGGGTGGGTGGGTTAGGGGGACATAGGCCTTCTGGAGAACTCTTTCACCTACTCTCAAATCACGCCTTGGGTCATCATATCAACAAAGCTCCCCACCAGAGTAAAAGCATCCCTGTGTGAGCCTCTAACCAGCATGTTGGTGGACACTCATATAGTTACATTTTGCAGTTAAGAACAGCCTTTTAGAAAGGATCCCAGGCTGATCCTAGAAAAGTTTCCAAAAATATATTTTTTAAGCTAAAGAATGTGTCATGCCTGTGGACATATGAGGACAGGTGAAACTAGAAAAGCAAACAGGCAAGAGACAGTGAAAGATAATATGTATTATGCTAAGGAATTTACAATGTATCCTGAAGGTCATGGGAAACTCTAAAAGATTTAATAAGAAGTGGATATAATCAATTAGATCTGCACTTTAGAAAGAAGACTAAGGCAATGTGTAAAGGATGAGTTAGAAGGAGAGAGACTGTAAGCTAGTTCAGTAATTTAAACAAACTATAAAGGGCTGAGCTATTTTTAGTGGCAGCGAGGATGGCAAGAGATGGACTCAAAAGTAAGTTCCCTAGAACTTAGGACCAATTTGATGATAGAGTGAGGGAGAGGTAGTTACAGCTTCAGCACAGATGATTTCATTCATCAAGAATGATGGGAGAGAGGAAAGGAGAGTTTATTGGTACATGTTACAATTTTAATACCACTGGATATATCCAAAGTAGAGGCCAGTGTGGCTAGAATAGAATGAAGGGAAAAATAATAGGCAATAAGGACAGAACTGGTAAAGGGCCAGATAATGTACAGCCTGTATGTCACATTTAAGGTGACCAACTGTTCCCTGCTTTGCCTGGGACTGACATTCTCCTGGGACACAGGACTTTCAGTGCTAAAACCAGGAAAGTTCCAAGAAAACCAGGAGAAGTTTGTCACCCTATTCATAGTAAAAAGGTAGATTTTACCCTAAGTTAGATGGGGAGCCACGACAAAAAAAAAATCTAGGCAGAGAAGTTACATAATATTATCAAACTTCCATAAAATAATCACGCTGGCTGCAGTGGGGAGAAGAACTAAGAAACTATAAGGGTAAGAATGGAAGCAAGAAGATCAGTGTTGGAATAAAGATTCTGGAGTCCCAGGGGACTCCAATAATACCACAGTATTAATCAGCCTCCCTAGAGACAATATAGGAATTGAAGAAGAAAAAAGATGGCCCAGAGCACAATATGTAAAAACACCAGTATTTAGCCAGTAACCAAATAGTAAGATCCTTCAAAAGAAATACAGACAAAGAAGTAGTCACAGAGATAGGAAGAAAAAGGTATCATAAATGCCAACAAAGTACAGTTGAAATAAGGGAGCAGTTAGCACCAAAACTTCCCAGAAATCAGGTAAGACAAGGACTAAAATATCCAGTAGATTCGGTAAGTAGGATATCACTGATCTCTAAGGCAAAAGCAACGTCAATGAACTGGTTGGGGGCAAATCCATAAAAAAACTGCAAAGTTTTAGAAAATAACTGAGAACTGAAGGAGTGGCGATACCAAGCTTGGGGATAAGTGGAAGGAAAAGAGATAATAACCAAGAGAGTGACACAGGGTAAAGGATTTTTAAAATTTTCTTGAAAAACAGGAGTCTTGAACAAGTCTTTTTAGGCTAAAAGGAGTCAAGTGTGAAGGGAGAGAAAAAAAAGACAAGACAGGACAAGATTTTTTTAAGCAAGAGAAAAGGTGAAGTAGTTCTAATCCAGTGACTTTCAATTCCTCTGTGAAAACAAGGTGGGTTTATTGAAGAAAGAAGGATAAGGGAAGCAAAGTGAATGCAAAAGTTGAACTACTGAAGCAGCCACCACAGAGAATGGGGAAGAGAGATGAGTAGGGCTACATAGGAAGTTTGTGTGCAACTCTAAGTCCACCGCCAAGTGCTGAAGACTACAAACTGGAAGTGCCACCAAACCCAATGATCTTTTTTTCCCCAGATGACCATAGCAGTACTGATGCAGAAGTAGAAAGGATGATGGTCAGATTGATCTAGAATTGTGCAGAAAGATAATGATGAAGAAACATTTGCATTTTGGGAGGCCAAGGTGGGTGGATCACTTGAGATCAGGAGTTTGAGACCAGCCTGGCCAACATGGTGAGACCCCATCTCTACTAAAAGTACAAAAATTAGCCAGGTGTGGTGGTGCATGCCTATAGTCCCAGCCACTCAGGAGGCTGAGGCAGAAGAATTGCTTGAACCCAGGAGGCAGAGGTTGCAGTGTGCTGAGAGTGCGCCACTGCACTCCAGCCTGGGCAACAGAGCAAGACTCTGTCTCAAAAAAAAAAAAAAAGAAAGAAAGAAAGCAAGAAAGAAATATTTAAGAAAGTGAATGAAGTGAGGAAGAAATAAGTGGAGAAAATGGAGGTGATCAAAATACTGAAAGTCAAAGGGCAGATTTAGTGGGATAAAGTAATAAGGCTGCTGTTAAGGTAGAAGGCTACAGTCAGAGTGGAATTAATTAGGATTGTAGAGATAGGGAATTCCAGATCACCATAAAGTCCAGGTACAGTCATGGCTGTGGGTGGCTAGAACAGAATGAGGGTAAATATCACGAAGCTAAGGAAGGAAACAAAAAGTGCCAATAGTGTTTTTATTGGTCTTTTTATTAAGATAGGTCTTTTTATTAAGTCAGTAAAGTCACTGTCCCCCAAAAAAATCAGTGGTAGCATAATGAGGAATATAAATACAAGCCATAAGGAAGGGTAGAAAATGGATCATTATTAACTTGTCCCTCCTCAGCAATACCAAAGGTCCCCAACACTCACCTGGGTCAAGAACTCAGGTCTATTATGCCACAGATCCTACTCCCAAACTACCTGGGAAGCTAAAATGTGAGAACTGGTCCATCCTATAACATAATTTCCTACCACCAATGCCAGCTAGATGTATATATATTTTTCATGCCTGAGCTTAAAACTAGAGCTATATCCTTGAAAACAACTACATAAAAGACAATCCTACTCAGTTCTACATACCTAAATTTGATTACTAGAATGCTTCTGGAACATGGTTCTAATGTTCATGGTGGCCAGGAACAATGATGCTTCCACTTAGACACCATACACCTAGTAAAATGTCTGTAGCAACAGAGCCCAAGAATGTGAACATGGTCAAGAAAATAAAAAATAGCTTCCAAATTTTAAGACAGACCATAAAAAGATACTATGCAATCAAAGCAGAAATGCATGTATGTATAACCTAAAAAAAAACTTAAAAAGCACACCACACAAATCAAACAAAATGTATACGTTCTTTCTTACCGTTCTGGATCAGTGTTTACCCCTATAACTGGTTTAAGTCTGTCCAAGACTTTACTCGCTGCCAGCAGCATTGTGCCATCACCTAAGGAACATAAGACAAAATACAAGACATAACCAAATTTCTGTTATAAATCTAGTTTTTGGCCATTTTGAAAATCAGTAGTTTTAACAATCATACCCCACCCTGCTAACCGCTATAGCCTATCCCACTCCCTTTCTACCTATTATACCTTTGGATTCTCTCTCCCACTCTAATCCAGGATTTCATAAGTGGCAAGATTACATTTAGGCAGAATAATTCTTTGTTGTGGGGACACTGTAGAATGTTTTAGAGGTAGTCCCTTTACATACTAGTAGCACCCCACAGTTAGTAACCACTAATCTAATCCAAAAATTTCTATTAGCCAATCTTCTTTCCTTCTCCCATAACACCAGTCCAAATTCACAAATTATTTTAATAAAAACATATCCAATGTGTCCAACTTCAAATTTTTCTCTTCAACACCTGCTGTCAACTTAAAGCTTTAGAAACAGTAGCCATTAACTTAATGATAAAGTTCAGAAAAAAGTAAGTACAAGTATATTGGGACCAAAGAGGAATAGAATTTACCTCATCTCATTAAACTCTTTATCAACTTCATTTTTTTCTTAAAACTGCCATAATTATACCAAAATACAATAACTGATCCTTTGAATCATATTTGAAGTTAAATGCATACCTTAAATATGCACAAGGAACCTCATAGTAACGTCATTCATTTAAAATGTAGCCTTGTATAAAACAGAAGTTTTAAACTTGATCGTAACAATCCAAAAATGTGTTTAATGGTAAGACTCTGAAGGCTTCAATATAGCTAGACCCTAGGGTATCTGGAAATAATGTGTATTAAACATTTGTATATGCCAACATCTTTACTTCTGTCAAATTATTACCTCCTGCAGCTATGACAGCATCTGCCCATCGAACAGTCTCTTCATCATATTCTCTCCTCTTTACTAGACGAACCTCAATTCCCTCATTCCTAGGATAAAAAAGGAAAGGTTATATGAAATTTCCACTAATAATATATATAACAGGGGTATGTTTTCTGAGAGGCAGATGATTACAATAGAGATGTAAAATAAATTTGTGTCTTATAAACAAATTTACATGGAGCTTTATAACATTATCTTTGTTTTCATTTAATTACAACAGCCAATTAACTATGATAATTAAGGAAGCATATGAATAAATCGAAAGTTATATCCCAAATCTCCATGTGCTTTAAAAGCTTTTATAACCACTAGTGAATAGCAATATTGGTTAGAATTTCATTTTCTCTACTCCTTCTAATGCTTAAATTCATAATACAAAAATGGTCCAGAAGACTAACACCTTAGAGTGACAATTTTTTAAACTATAAAACTGAATGGCCATTATTTTAAATCCAACAAATATTCATTGAGTACCAGACACCGGAATAGTGACTAAATACTTTGTAATTCGCATGTTTCTCACACTGACTCTCTTGTACACATATAATTGTGTTTAGTTCTGAATTAACTGAAGTTTCTGTAATTTTTGGACAGAAGTTTCTATAATTTTCAAACACTCAAAAATATTATTACAATGAACACTCATATAATCCACTAGTCTGTTTTAATAAATAAAATATTATACAGTTGAAGCCAGCTGTGTAACTGAATTAACTCTACAGAAGATGCATTTCTCTGGAAGACCAAATAATTGAAAACACCTGTGACATTTTCAGAGAACAATAAATTTTTCTTTAAAGATGCTATAAAATCAGATCCATTAACCTTGATATAATTTTCTGAAAATGATTTTATAATAACAATCATCACTAAAAATCTAAGAATGGGCTGCTAGTACAAAATAAAAACTGGAAGTCCTGAATATAAAATCCAACCCAAGACCCAATCCCATAGACTTACCGTAAACTATCTATAATATGTTCTACATTTTTGGTGTGAATATGATGTCGTTCAAGAAGTCCACTGTAACTAGAGCCTTTCAATGCAAGCTATATCAAAACAAAAGAAACGTTGTTTTACTAATATATATTACACATGATGTTCTAATATTATGATTTTTAAAAGCCCCGTATAAAATATAATTTTTTGAAAATATATTTTAATAACTACCTGTGAAACCTACAAGTACAAATTGAACTAGAAAGCCTGATATCAGAAAATTATAATTTGGCTTTAATACCAAATACAGCATTATGTTTTCTGAATCATATAGTCACCAGGATCTCAAAATCTTATGTTTTACAGCTTAAGTTTTTTATTTTTTTTATGACTTTTTTTTTTTTTTTGAGATGGAGTCTCGCTCTGTTGCCCAGGCTGGAGTGCAGTGGTGTGATCTCGGCTCACTGCAAGCTCCGCCTCCCTGGTTCATGCCATTCTCCTGCCTCAGCCTTGATGACTTTTTAACACACTGCATATGGCTACTTGATGACCAAAGATAAACTAATACTTGTAGAGGCGGTTAGATGACCTTTGTTCCACTTGGATTTGCTTCTCTCTTGTTCTCAGATTTATAAACTCTATTTGGAATTTACCTTACGAAATCTAAACAAAGGGCTGACTAGCTCCCTTAGAAAGGATAACTTATATATACATATATCCTTCAAAAATTATTTTTCCTAGTTGGAGTAACATTTTATAACTATCTTACCATTAAAATTTTTTTAACTATGTTTCTTATGAATAATCCATAAAGTAAAATGTAGAGAAAAAAGTTCAGAAATATCCTTAGTGAACACCCATTTAATCACCAAGTAGGAAATTTGTCCACTAGAGTGAATGCTAGAATTCAAAAGTGTGTTATTTGTACTTTCTTTGCTCCTCCGAATTCCTTTATACCTTTCCTTTCCCTTTTTCTTTTCTTTTTTTTGTTCTTGAGATGCTGTCTTGCTATGTTGCTCAGGCTGGTCTTGGACTCCTAGGCTCTAATGATTCTCCTGCCTCCGTTTACCAAGTAGATGAGATTATAGGCACGTGTCACTGTGCCCAGCTTATACCTTTCCTCTTTATGTAACAAAATCAGTCTTTCAAATACCTGTCTAGACATGATTTTTTTTTTTTTTGAGACGGGGTCTGGCTCTGTTGCCCAGGCCGGGGTGTGGTAGTGTGATCTCAGCTTACTGCAACCTCTGCCTCCCGGACTCAAGCCGCCCTCCCACCTCAGCCTCCCAGGCAGCTGGGACTACAAGTGCACACCACCACAACCAGCTAATTTATTTTATTTTTTTTTTTGGTAGAAATGGGGTTTTACCATGTTGCCCAGGCTAGTCTCGAACTCCTGGGCTTAAGCAATCCACACACCTTGCTTCCAAAAAAGCTGGGGTTACAGGTGTGAGCCATCACACCCAGCCTAATATACAATCTCAAATATTTTGTTTTAAATCATTACTTACTGAACTATAAAGTAAAACTAATTTTTAGACAGCATTTTAATACATATTTTACTTTTTAAAGGTTATAAAGAAAACACTAACAATATGGAAAATGCATATTTAAAGAAAATTGAAATCAAATATAATCTTATGGCTCAAAATCATTAGTGTTAATATTTTGATACCTACCTTCCCCATCTTTTGCCTACGAATACTGGGTTAAGAGTTTTTAAATAGTTTTGTCCTTGCTTTGTAATTTTCGTTATGTTCTCACAAAAGAGAAGCTGAGGAAGCATTTGGCTATTGTGAAAATTAATTAATAGATGTTAACTTACCAAGATATACTATAATAGATTAGACAGCCTGTGCCAAAATTTAATGCCTAGCCAAAAGCCTCATTAAACTTAGACTAAGCAACCAATGTCAATAATTTTTTAAAGGAAAGCACTGACTATGATAATAACTAGAAAAATCCTTCATTTAATTTAATCAACAAATCAACATGAGTCAGTAAGGTTTGAAAAACTATTTTAGAGTAGAATTTCTTAATATGGACCAACAGAGCATGAATATTCAGATTACCACTATCATTACCCAGCTACAGATTGACTAAAACGGCACTAACCACCTCTCAGTGAGTATGGACCACTACCCTCTCCCTTGGCAATCTCTAGTTTCACGGCTTTAAAAGAGATCTATATGCTGATGCTGATGATTCCCAACTGCTATCTCCCAACCCGGCCTATCTTTAGAGCCTCAAATACATTTATTCAACTGCTTATTTGACATCTTTCTTTGGCTATCTAACAGGCACCTCAAATTTAGAGGGCTAGATATTGAACATGCTAGATACTGAATACTTGAAATGCTATTATTATTCATTCAGTATCTAGCATGTTCAATATCTAGCCCTTGATTTTCTGGCCCAAGAATTCCCCACCTATGGCTTAAGCCAACAGTCTAGAGTCACAGCCGATGCCTCCTTTTTTGCTTATTTCCACATCCAATTACTAAATCTTATATTTGATCCAAGCACTTTTCTCTTCTTCCCCTCTACCACTCATGATCTCACACGTGAACCACTGCACAAGCCTCTGACAGGGGTTCCCTACTTCCACTCTTGGCACCCTATAGATTATTCCGAACACAGAAACCAGAGAGACCACAGCATGTCTCTTCCTCAGCTTAATGCCCTTCTACAAATGGCACTTTCTTCCTACCAACTCTCAGGCTTATGCCACCTGACTTCTGCTCCTTTCTCCTACCTCATTTTTCCTCCCCATTCCCAACACTCTAATCTCTTTGGTCTATTTTCACCAAGCTCTTCCTTTGTACTTGCTGGAATGCTTTCCATCCCTCCACCTAACTCTGACTCTTTTTAACCCTGGGGTGCCAGGACTGCTGAAACAGCTGCTGCTAGTGCTGCCCTTGCAGCTGCAACAGCCACCACTGCCAATTACTCCATCCCAACACCTGTTAATTCCCTTTTTTGCATTTACCACACCTAAAATTTCCTGGTATTTTTAAAAAATCCCTTTGAATCTCCTTACTAGAATATAAGTGCTGGGAGAACAGTGATCTTACTTATCTTGTTTGCCATTGTTCCTCAGGGCCTAAGTACTAGCTAAGTATTTGTTGAATGAACTCATGCATACATTTTCCAGAAAAGCAAGAATAGTGCAGAAGCAGATGCTACAGAAGATAACCCAGAAAGTGACAACAGTGTGCAAACCAACCCTTAGAACTGAGGAGAGTTAGATTAGTTACTATAGTATATTATTTTGTTATAATTATCTCTTACAATTCCACTTTAGGCGTGAACACTTTACACAGCTAGAAGTTAAGCTCTAAAAAAAATTCATCTAAATATTTGACTGCCTACTACTGTGTTCATTTAACTACTAGTTGAACTTAATCAAATGTATTAAACAAGGCACTGCAAACTGCCAAAGACAATGATAACTAATTCAAATGCACAATAAGCCTATTACAACAGTTATATCTAATTTACCACTTCTACTTTAAATAAAACTTCAAGGGTAGCTGGCCCTCATACTTCAATTCCCTATCCAGGATTTTTACCTTATGTTCCAAATTTTGGTTTGGACAATATGGAACATGTACCCAGGAAAAAAGCACATAAACCTTACTGTGTAAGCCCTGTAAATGCTAGTCTGGTAGTTCAGAAACTTTTATGCTTACTTCCTGGCTCTCGGCAAGCCCCAGGAAAATAAGATACATGGCGTTGACTGTTAGGGAACTTTGGCTTGAGATGGCGAAAGGGTCTGAATTTGTGGGAGAAAAAGTTTTGGAGAACTAACAAAAAACTTCAAGTTTTCTATGATTGCTAACAATAATAAAATTCCTAAAATTCCAAATCTAAATACAAAGTTCAGGCAGCATCAGAATACTTAACATTGAAGCAGAAATGTCAGTTCATAAATTCTTATTCCCACTCAAATTTCTTCTTGTGAACTAACTTTCTAATAAGTCATCCTCAACATTCATTTAGAGAATGTAAGTTCTTATTTTCTTTAAAGGCCTCGCTGGTTGGGCTATTAAGCTTTATTAACATGAACTGGCTAAATGAGACAGATAAAAAATAAGAAAATCACTTAATAAACAGCATCAATTAGAAAGGCTTAAATCACTATTCAACTGGCTTTAATTCTTCCCTTACATTCAATCGCCACAGCCAGTGAGTACTGAAGTCCAATAATTATATTTGTTTAAAAGGCATATGCAAAAGCTGGTAAGAATTTCTTGCTAAACCTTTGAAAATAACATGACTTCAAATATCTTAAAACACTCCTTTAATCAGACAAAAATAAGAACACATGATTTCTTAGACAATGTCTTACCATTAAAAGGTTAGAGAAATTACTGAAATTTAGAACACATTCCCAATTCTCTGCAATGTTACACAACATTATTAGTAACAGTCTTTAATATTTTCCCCAAAAACCTGTTAATTCTTCTCTCCATTAAAATAAATAAATAAATAAATAAAGATTCACCAGGACACTTGGAAAAAGCAGGTGACTCCATGAGATCTACAGACAGACAGACACATTTCAATATAAGCAAGAGTTTCTCCTACAGAATCTCCGAAAGCCAAGATCATGTCTCCCCACACAGCTCTGATATTAAAATAAAGCACAACATGTAAGGAAAAAAGCAAGATTTTGAATGGATAGATTTAGCACACTTTAAGATCCAGATGTGATAGTTATGCTATTACCTAAATGGTTTATAACACCTTTATTAAATTATCACAGATGGTTTTACTTATCTAAAACTAAATTTATTGCAATTACAAATTTTTAAGACTTGTTTTACCAGTCAGTTGAGTATTGCTATTTTGTACTCTATGTAATTTCTATGATAGCTTAATAAGGGAAGGAGTTAAGTTTTTTTAAATTTAACACATAATAAATGCACAAACTTTTGAGACAATGACAGTTCAGTATGTCAATCCACTAGGCATAATTTAGGCACCCTTAAAAGCATACACATTTAACTAAATGGTACTCTAAGTGTTACTCAAAATTGCCTTAAAAAGGTTAACAGCACCTAATCAACACCTAGATACTCAACCATTCACCTAACATGATCAGACCTAGTGCACTGAACCCTAAAGACTTCTTCACATATATTTGGTATTTATCTTAGATCATCTCTATTCCACTTACTTTCTCCCAGGCTCTCACCTTTATTTTCCCCAACGTTCTCTATTTCTGCATTCCTCTGTTAATTCTGTTGACCTCCTCCCTTGATATTGCTTGAGGTTCCAACTTTGGTTTTCTTATCTGCTCTCACTTCATTTTCTCTGAGTTATCGCCCCACTCCAGGAAACTCACCTACCAAGTATATCCCAGTAACCTTGAAATCTATACTGTTAGTCCACGTCTCTTGATCTACAGCCTTGAATTTTCAAATGCTACCTTTACATCCATCCACAAATAGTTCAGGTACCTCTCTCCAAAAATATCAAAACTTGATTATATACTCCCCCTCAAATCTGCTCTTCTGAGTCCAATTTATCAGTTAACAATAGCATCATTTACATGAGCAACTTAATAAATCCGTGTCACCTTTAATTCTTCCTCACACTCAATGTCCACAGCCAGTCAGTAGTGAAGTCAAATAATTACATCTGTGAAGTGTTTTGACAATCTATGTACTTTAAGTTCATGCTGCCACTGCTTGAGTTCTGGACAACACCAACTCTTATCTGGTCTAATGCAAAAGCTTGCCTCCAGATTTTCTAAACTAGTTCCTTATTCAAAAGTCTTTGACTAATTCCCATCCCCTAACTAACCTTAACACCACCACATTTTGGGCGTCGTATGAAAACAAAAGCCAGTTTTCATACAACGTCCAAAATGCTGAAATCTCAGAAAAATTGACCCTCATCACCCAATTCCTATGGAGAAAGACAGGCTGAGCAAGGGTTGTGTTCTACCATAAAGAGTCTGAAAACCACTAGGAGATAAAGCTAACTCCTTGGCAAGAGACTTACCACCTTTATAAGGTCCACTCTACCTGTTTGGCCTCAATATACTATGATTTTCAAATTGTCTTAAAGTGCATTATAAGCTGGTCACAATTTAACGATCACAGCCAGCATTATCATTAACTAGAAAATAAAACATACTAGGCTAAATTCTTCCCTGTTATCTTTTATTTAAAATATATTTTTAATTCTTCCCTGTTATCTTTTATTTAAAGATGTTTTTATAAAACATACAAGGCTAAATTCTTCCCTGTTATCTTTTATTTCAAATTTATGTACTGAGTCACAATGTAAGAGATCTCTGATTATGGATCACAGTCAGTTTTGAGTTCTTTTGGTTGGCTACAAGATGAACTTCACGCAAGTCTTGCTGTTCTCTCCTTCACACATAAAAATTCTTCTGTATTTTTCAATATTTAATTCAAACATCCTGAAATTAAAAGATACCATTTCACCTTCATATTAGCAAAAATGTTAAAGTCTACTAAGTGCTGTTCAGGAACCCACTAAATGCTTATGGAAAAAATTATTTGTACTTCTAATTACAATATTTTTTTAATAATGGAAAAACTGTGACTAACCTAATTATCCAAACAATGAAATATTGCACAGCAGTTAAAATGTATTAATGGGCCAGGCGCGGTGGCTCACGCCTGTAATCCCAGCACTTTGGGAGGCCGAGACGGGCGGATCACGAGGTCAGGAGATCGAGACCATCCTGGCTAACACGGTGAAACCCCGTCTCTACTAAAAATACAAAAATTAGCCGGGCATGGTGGCGCGCGCCTGTAGTCCCAGCTACACGGGAGGCTGAGGCAGGAGAATGGCGTGAACCCGGGAGGCGGAGCTTGCAGTGAGTCGAGATCGCGCCACTGCACTCCAGCCTGGGCGACAGAGCGAAACTCCGTCTCAAAAAAAAAAAAAAAAAAAAAAAATGAATTAACACGTATCTACACAGATAAGTTTTGAAACCAATAGTAAATAAGAGAAGCAAATTTCTAAAGAATAGGCACATATTCTAAAGAACAGAATTATCATTGACTAACTTTTAAAAGACACACATGATGTTACACTTGTTTATGGATACTGTCATATTAATAAATGTAAAAGCATATGTATGAGAACAATACACTTAACGTCAAGGCAGTGGTTACCTCTGGTGAGGTAGGGAGTGGGAAAAGTTGGATGCATAAGGCTTTAGTTGTAATATTTCCATTTTTAAAATTCTGAAGCACATATGGCAGAATATTAATAGCTGTTAAGTCTAGGTAGCTGAATACACAGGTGTCTTGTTACTTTCTGAAACATTTCTATATGTTTGAAATATCTCATAACTGAAAATCTAAACTTTAAAAAGATCACTGAAAATCTACTCAAAAGTTGGGAGTGGGGGAGTCTTTTCTCCCCTTCATCCCTACCCTTCCCAAATTGTTCTCTCCCTTCCCTGTACTCCCATGGATCACTTATAAATATTTATAATATAATGTAATAGATGTTTCCCATGTATTTGGAAACTGTTTACTAATCTTTGATTCTCCAGGATCCAGCAGGATGCCTAGCAGTTAGCAGGGGCTCAAAAAACGGTTTTGTGAACAAATATTTAAAAGTGACACTTTAAACAAATTAACTAACAGACTTCCTGGATATTGCCAATAGTGACACTGTAGCAAGTACTTTTAATGCAGATCATAATTTTTGTAATTATTTTCTCTATTACTTTGAAATGATAACTTCTTTAAAATTTTGGTTAAAAAAACACTACGCAAGCAGAGTTAAAAATCAACATATTTTTAGTTCACTTAAGTGATCTATCTTAGTAAAGGAATCTACTTTGGAGTTAACCAAATCAATGCTATTTCAGGTACATAATTTAAATATATGTAACATTTACATAATGATCATTATTGTGGCTAAACTGGAATTAGATTATGCAGCTTTAAGTTAAATTATGTAAATTGTAAATTATTTCACCTTTCTAAAAATTATGTGAGAAAGGAAAAGCAGGTATTACTATAAATATTTCAAAGCCAAAGAGACTGATTCAGAGAGGTTAGGTTACTTGCTCAAGATTACAAAGACATCAGATTGTGCTTTCAGGATCAAAACTCTGATCTTCTGCTGTTAAAGCAGGATTTGTCTACTCTGTTATATCCATGCAGCCACATACTACTAACATTCCTACATTAGCCATATATCTTACTCCTGCTTGAGAACTGTGAATACTCATTAGGCCACTAAGCCTCAATTGTGATGACTAAGTTACATAACTCAACAACTATTCTGTTCTTTATCAGGACCTAATTCTACCACCTTTCATTTAGGAAGAGGAGAGCCAATTGGATGAACCCTCCTTCAATGCAAATGTTTTACAAAGATTGGTCTATTTTCCTGCATAATCCATATCTAGTGGTTTATTATGAAGAAAATATATATATATATATATATAAAAAATAAATTTTCCTAAAGCGTGAAATAACTGGCACACTTGCTGATATTTTGAAATTATATATTTCCGTTGTACATTACAAAGTTCACTGATAGTGACAAATAAAGTCAATTTACACTTTACTAGTTGAGAAGAGATTAATGTGCATCAAACACAACTATTAGAAGTTAATTTATATAATTAAAAATATAGTAAAATGATAACAGTGAAAAATTTTGTTATTTGCAATCTCATGGCTGGTCACATATTTGTAGTTTTTAAAACCTCCCCCTAGATAATGCTTATATACAGTGAAGGCTGAACATCAGGGCTGTGAAGCATGTTGGTCAATGATTCTCTAATGGTGACACTTCAGCTACTGTGATATTTAATTCTTCTACATCTTTGTGAGTTTCCTATTTAACTGCAAGTATTTATAGAAAGGGAGTATACCTTAAACCTCTGTTTTCCAAGTTGTGTTCCACAGAATTTAAAACATTTTCTGCTCCCTCCCACCAAAAAGAATCCCATAGTCAAATAAAAATCATCTTTTGCTTGGGCTCATGTTTTTCAAAGACATTTAACCCGAAACCTCTATCAAAGAATCCAAAGCTTAAGGCTTAAACTCTGACTTAAGCTTTCAGCAGCTAACATCTGGAAAGACAGACAGCTGGTAATAAGGCCCTGGACTAGAAGGAAGCTGGTCCCCAGGCTCAAGGAGAAAAGACCTAAAAATGATCTTAACAGAACATCAGAAACATTTTACTACTTTTTTTAGTGGAAGTATGGGGGTGGAGAGGACGATAAAGGAGATGCAATTCTTGCCCTCAAAGAGTTTACAGTTTAGAAAAGAAAATAATCACAGATAAGTATTATGAAGTGAAGAATGCCTAACACAATCTTGGTAGCCAGAGAAAGGCAGAGGCACAGCAAGGTTACCAAGGATGGCATCCTGAGAGAGTAATGTCTGAGCTTAACCTCAAAAAAAAAAAAAAAAAAAACAGGAATTGGATAGAGGAAGAAGAGCATTCAAATCAAAGGAGGCTACAAAAGTAGACACATAGACACTGAGAGATGCAAATTCAACCACCCTGAAATACCATCTTTCACCCACCAGGTTGGCAAAGACCCAACAATTTAATGAACTATGTATGGAAAAATAAGTCCCCTTATACAGGGCTGGTGAAAGTAAAAATCTGTATAATCTCTAAGGGAAGCAATTTGGCCAAATCTGTTAAAACTTTATATGCACAAGGCTTTTGACTCAACAATTTCAACTTTAGGTATTTGTCTTAGAGCTTGATTTACATGCATATAAACACAAATGTTATTCATTTCAGAATGTGTTTAATAGCAGAAGATAAATTAGGACACAAAATAAAGTAACATACATACTATTTTTAAAAAGAATGGGAATGTTCTTTATGACAATCTCCACAAATGCTGTTAGGCTAAAAAAAAAGGCACATAATAGCTTAAATAGTATATTATCATTGAATAAAAAGAGATGAGGCAAAGAAAAAGAATATTTCACTGTGCTGATTTGTAGGTATAGGTTGCTTCTGGAAGAAAACACAAGAAATTGATAACAGTTACTTCCAGGGACAAAACTGAATGACAAATGACAAGTAACAGAAAGACTTCTTTGTATAATATTTTGTATCTTTTATATTTTGAATCATTTTATGTGCTACTGATCCATAAATTAAACTAAATCAGTACAACATCTAATGGAAATTAACACAGTTTGAAATTGCTAGAATATGAAATTTAAGACAAGAAGTGATCAGAAGTGAAGCTCAAGAGATAGCCAGTTCATGAAGGGACTTATCTGCCATTCTAAAGATCATGAACTTGAGCCCACAACTGTGTTTCTCAGTTTAACTGGGGACCACATGCCAACCAGGGATAAAACACATCCCTGGAATTCAGCCGGAGTCATTAATTTCAGGTGTGTGCTTCATAAAACCAAAGTCTGGGAATTCTCCACAAACTGAGTCAGAGTCTTGCGGGGCTAAGGTTCAGGTGTCTGCATTTTAACAAGTACTCTTGGTGACTAAAGGGTACAGGGAGCTTCTGTGGAGTTCCAAGCAAAAGAGAGAAAGGGCCAGATGTTCACTTTAGATAGACACTCTGGTAACTGTGTCTAGAAGATTTGAGAGGAGCAAGGATTCAGTTAGAAAGCTCTGGCAGTACTCCAAATCATGCTCTTTAATTTGATTAACAATCATATTGTATGTAATATACTTATTGCATACAATGTAGCAAAAGTATACCACCTGACAAAAGTATACCATGGTACGCTTATTGCATACCCTGTGGCAAAAGTATTATCTGCCCAAGTGCTACAACCTAAGCCACAAAATCTTCAGAAAACAAAAGGGAAATCCAAGGTGCTACACCTTCCAAGTCATCTAGTTTAATCCAATAACACGGCAGACTGTTAAATGAAATTATTCTATCCCATTATGAATTTTAAAAAACAAAACTAAAAATAGGAACCAGTAAAAGGGTTGCCGAGTTGTGAGACCTGGAATGATGGAGAGGAGGGCAGAAACTGCTGACTTCTTATTTGTTCTACATTAAAATTTTTTTTCCTTATTCAGTTCCCCATCCCTGGTGACAGGTGAAAAAGAGCTTTAAATAAAACCTTTTTTTGACCAATGAGGTATGTTTCTGGTGTCAAAATCCTTTCCAAGTCAGTTTTGTTTCATCTAGAGTTCTAATTTGTGTCAAGGACCCTGTTAATAGCAATTGCACATTTGCCAACAGCTACATCTCTTAATGATGCAAGTAAATTGTAATAATAGTTTTACTGGCCTTTGAAAGGTCATGAGACAGTAGAGGTAAAATGTTTGACCAGAAATCTGATATCACAAAATAAGTCACTGGTCAATCAATGGGGAAAAAGACAAGATTTTAAAATAAAGCAATGTAACCAATATGAAACGGTAAATAAAAGTCAAAACTTTGACTAGCTTGAAGGTTGTAAACCTATTCTGTGCATGCCTTATCAACTAAAAAATATTTCCTGTAATTGTTTACATTTCTACAAAGTTAGAAAATCATCAGCCTTCAGGGTATAAAATTATACTGGCACTCTATCCTTCATCTTCCATTTGCATTTTAACAAATAGCCTAAAACAGACCTGTTTTACATCAAAAAACCACCACCACGACAACAAAAGAGAATGCTTTGACAAAAAACCAAGTTACCATGACACTATAGACACAGCAGCCATGGTGAGACTCAAGCACTTGGCCACTTTCTTTTATATCCATCCAATTCACATGATTCACATAACTTAGTATTTTCTACCCCAGCAATATAACAAATAATACTTATCATCTTATCACTCCTATTACAGAATCCCATTTTAGGACAGCTTCACACAGCCCAGTATTCTTTGGCCTGTTAATAATCTCTCATCTGGTCTACAACTAATGCTATTGCATTCTGAGTATGGGCCTTTATATAAACTATAACACAAATTCAAATCAGTAAGGAACTTATCCAATAAAACTGTAATGACAACACCACCAACAAAAACTATTCCACTGCCTGGCAATTACAAAACTGTGTATTCTACAGCCCACGAGTTTTACTTCAAAGCTGGCTTATCCCAAACAGCATTACCTAGCAATAGACAAATATTTACCTATTAGAGATTTCTCCACTCAGAACGGGTACACTTAGGTAGTTTGACTTTTTAAGACTTATTGATTTTCCCTACATTTTAAAAGTTTTTTTATTAAGTGGTAATCTAGTTCAGAGGTCCAAGAGTTAATCCTAACTGAGATGCCACCCATTTTCTTGAGGCCTTGAAAACGTTATCCACAGTTTCAAAATGCCAGTACTGTAAAGGGCCTTGGAGGCTATCTGGTACTACCTCTGCAATTCACATACTGAATTAGGTGAAGCACTTTGAAAACTGACACTACTATACAAAAAGTATCATTTCCACCTATGAGGCCCAGAGAAGAACACACATAGGAAGTTAACCACACAGAACCAGGGCCTAGAACTGAGCTCTTCACTCTTAATCCCACACTCTGAACATGCCAAGTGAGCTATTTTAAATTGTTGTGGGAAGCTTCGATAAAACTGTATGCACATATTTATGCATACATGGCATTTGACAAATCCTACAAGCTAGACTTTGCAAAATTAGTACAACCCAAAGGGCACACCACTTTCCCCAAATAGTAACACTGTGCTTTCTTAGAACATTACTAGTCCCTATCTCACCTCTAGTTTCACTCCCTAATACAAACTCAACTACTCTAACCTCCTGTTCAAACCCTTTATTCTTTAAATGATGCAAGTGTATTCTATAAACAGTCATTTTCAAACACTTAGGAAAAAGAAAACAAATCTACACATCTAGACTCCCATCAGGTGAATGCAGGAGCCCTCTTCAGTAAACCCAACAAAGAAGCAGGATGTTTAATGTTGACAACAGATTCAGCACTTAAGCAAAGATGATTTACAATTTCATTTTGATGCCTCTACAAAATAACTTCGCTAAGATCACACGATACCAGAAGTTTCCAACAGGTTGTCTAGTCTTGCACAGAATTAAACTAAATCAGTTATGTGCAATTAATTCCAAAACCTTTTGGTGCACAGTGCCAACAATTAAGAGATTTCCAATATATTTTTCTGGACATACTGCTCATGGTAGCACCGGGCACTCTCCTTTTCCTAAAGTTGGTGGATGGTGGTATGGGATCAGAAACTGTTTTTAAAGTTGGTGGGGGGGGATGACAACAGGAAGATTCAAACTCTGGTTTTTCCCTTGGATTTGTATCTTTGCAGATATATTAATAAACATATCAAATATGGTATATTGTGGAGATACTGCTGCACAAGAGTCGCAGGCTTTTTTATTTCACACACTACCCAGTATACCAGCCCCTTGTCCTGACATTTCTCCTTAATAACGTACATATACAAGTCAAATTTTCTCCCTTTTCCTTCTTAGCACCAAAGACCTGTGCTTTTAAAACAAGCTCGTAGTGTCCAACGACCACGTTCCAGCAAGGAAAAGGCTCACGCTGAAGGACTTTCCGGAGTGCCCTAGGCCTCGCAGTCCTGCAGAGTAAAAGGGGGTGTGTCCGCGGTTGTTTCGGCCCTTTTCCCCCGGCAGCCCTCAGCGGCGCCCTGGGCCCCCTTTCTCGCGGCGGCCAGGGGAGCTGTTCGCAGGGCGTCCAGACCTCAGGCCACTGGCTCACTTTCTTGGAGTGGGTCCCAACCAGGGAACGAGGGCGGGGGCGGCGAGGGCACCAACGAATCCTCAAACCCCTCACTCTGAGGCCACTCGGCAGCCCCTCTTCGCCCTCCCCGCGGCGCCCCTGCCTCCTAAGTCCCTGCATGAACCACTGTCCCTCTCTCTCCCCCTCTCCCCGGCCCTGCCTCTCCCTCGCACACACGCCCAAAGGCAAAGGAGGCCCAGGGAGAAGCCAGAGGACCTGGGGGCCGCGAGAGAGGCAGGACCGGCATCTGCGGTGCCCTGGGAAGAGTCGTCCCGAGAGGTCCCCCCGAGGGGGCGCAGCCGCCACCAGAGCCCCGGCCGAGCCCGGGAGCGAAGCGGGGCCGAGCCAGGACCCACCAGCTGCTTCAGGTCCTCCTCCGAGAGCTCCGCGTAACGGTACCGCTGCTGCTCGAACTCGTACCGGGTGGTTTTGGCCACCACCACCACCCGGGAGGGGCGGAAGCCGCCGTCCGCGCGGCTGCCACAGCCCGCCAGCTCGCGCGGCTGCCCCTGCCCCAGGTGCCGCCGGCCGCCACCGTCACCGCCCAGCCGGGGCCGCGCGGCGGGGCCTCCCGCACCCGGTCCCCGCAGCGCCGCCGCCCGGCCGCCCGCCACGCGACAACAGCTGCCCAGCAAGAAGCCTCGGTAGCAAGTCATCGTGGGCCGGGCCGCGGCCGCGGGCTTGGGCTCGGGCCCCTTGCCTCAGCTCCCTACCGCCGGGAGTGCGCGCCGTCCGCGCCGCCCGGGCCTCTAACTTCGCGCCGGACGGGCAGAGGTTAAGTGCCAGGACGTGCGTGGCCCACGCGGCTAGGGGGACGTACCCAGGCGTTGACGAAGGCGGGGAAAGCGTGGCGATTGGGAAACGGGAGACCCCACGCGGGAGAAAGGTGGGCGGGGAAGAAATGGAGGCCCCAGCTAGTGGGTTTTGTTTGTTTGTTTATTCGTTTCACTCACGCCTGCATAATGGCTGCTTCGCCGCCCGGGGGCGACCTCCCCGCACCACACGCTTCCCCGAGGTCGCTCTTCTCCCGCCCCCAGGCTAACTCTATCGGCCAATCAGAGCCCGCGGCGGCTCCGGATCCGAGGGGCCGCGCCATTGGCTGCGGCCTGAGAAAGAGGTAGAATTCTGTTAGGCGATTGCGTCGCCCTGAGGAATCCAGCTGGATCCGGTCTGAGGCGGCGCGGGGCCAGCGGGTGGGGTTTTGAGCGGCTGGCGGGAAGGCAGGTTCCTGGCATATGCTCGCTTGGGTTCTGTTCTGCAGGCCGACCACGTGCCCATTGGTTTATTTGACCAGGGTCGGTGTGATAGCTGGTGTGTCTGGGGCCGGGCTGGGGGCTGAGGAGGCGGACCCGGCTCCTGCTGCACCGTGTGCGTGGCTTGGCACGAAATCCTCTCGGCGTGGGACCCAGTGCCCGCCCCGCTGCCCCCTGCCCCCCCGAAGAGCCCTACCTATAGGACAAAGTCCAAATGAATTAGTTCTTTGAAAGCTTTTAACTGGAAAGGAGTGAGTTAAAGCAATGTTTGATGACTATTGATCTGGCTTTGGAATCTTGGGTAGCTTGGGAGGCAAGAAGAGGAGGAAGGGATGCTGTTGGGATAATGACCCGTGGAGTGATCAGGACCTGGGCTGGGGTGTGACGAGAACAGAAGGAAACGTCCCATTGTAAGGGGAGAACCACATGGCAGTGCACATCCTGCTGTTCAATTCCGCAGCTCCTTAGATCCCCTTCCCCTGGCACTGTGTTTGCTCCTTTGTAGTCCTGGCGCTACGTCGCTTCTGGACTTTGGGCAGGTTACCTCATCTTTCTGGGCCTCAGATTCCTCATCTGTAAAAAGGGGGTTAGGGTGACCCCAAGGTTCTACCAAGTCCAAATCGATTCAGTGAATCTATGACTCTCCTCACGGGCCCACCAGCACCAGCGTTCATTCGTGGGTTCCCGCGGTGTGCCTGCTGTGTGCCAGGTAGTGTATTGGACTGGGAGCATACACAATGAAGCCCGATAGGTGTTTACTTGGTAAAGTTCTACCACTGACCCGTTCTCACCAAGAACTTTCCCTCACAGCAGCTGCTAATAGTGACGTGTAGTGTAACAACCTTAATAACCTGAGCTTCTAGAGGTAACATCTATAACTATCCTCAGACTCCTTTGTAGTCTTACTATTTTAAACTTCATTAGCATTAGGAAGGAAAAAAAAAAGGGAGAAATCACAGATGACGCTTAGGTTTGAGGCCAGGGTGAACAGGGGAATGTTAATTGATCCATTCGATAGAGAAAAAAAAATGCGTAGGGAGAAACTGTTTGGGATCAAAGTCTGAGTTTTGTTGCTCATATTTGAAATCTCGGACCTCATTTCTTCCCATTTCACAGATAAAAACCCAGATTTTTGACTCTCATTTCAGCTGCAAACATATACATTGACATCTCAGTTGGAATAGCCCTTTGTCCATAGTTATTTTGCGTCTCATCTTCCACCTCCTCAAAAATAGTGTTTCTGAAGGCATCCTCTCACAGGTATCTTGAATTTTCCCTCCCAAATGAGTTTGCCTCTTCAGTATTTAAATATGCTCATGTCTATGACATCTTTAAAATTTTTCTAAAAAAACAAAACAACCTCTAAGCCTTTGTTTTTACATATTGCCTGCCTTACCTTTACAGCTGATTCTCGAAAGAGTAGTCTGTTCATCATTGCCACATCCCTGCCTCCTAGTCATTCCTCAACCTGTTGTACACTAGCTTCTCCCCACTACTTTGCTAATTACTGCTGTTTCCAAGGTGACCAAAAGATCTTGTTGGAACTCAAAAGACTTTTTTCAGTTCTTTAATTGATTGATCTTTCCAAAGAATTTGAAATGGTTATCATTTCTTCTTGAAATCTTTTACTGTCTCCCAACATACCAGTCCCTAACAGTGTTTCTCCCATCTCTATGTCCCTTTTTGACTTCTTCCTAAACCCATCTCCAAGATGTCTTCTGTCCTCGTCTCCTTGTCTCTTCTTCTCCGTCTTTTTTCCTTCTCTCTCTCTCTCTCTGTCACACACACACGCTCCTGAGTTCATTCAGTGTTGTGTAATGGAAGGATCTTGGTTCAAATCTCAGTTTTATTGTTTATTAGCTTTGTGAAACTTGAACTGGTTGTTTAACCTTCCTGAGACTACTTCTGCATTTATAAAATATAATTGCTACCTTGTAAAATTGTGAATATATGCACAGATGCTTAGCACTGTGCCCATTACACAGTAGACACTTGGCAAATATTAGCCCCTTTCATGACCTCAGCTATTACTGGCATCTTTAGCCCAGATCTTTCTCTTGAATTTCCAATCCTTATCTAGTTTCCTTTTAGATAATGTCTCTTAAATCTTACACATGTAACACACATTCGTGGAGATTAAATTAAATTTGAGTGTCACTGTAGGCCAGGCATCCTGCTAGGTGCTACAGATGAAATGATAAAAAGCTTCCATGCCCTTGAGGAGCCTAAAGTCTATGCAGTGATAGAGTTATACACAGAATGCTGAGAAATTTGGAGGAGCAAGTCTCAAGTCAACCTAACAAGAGTTAGAGAAGGCTTTTTGGGAATGTGAAGAGCTAAGCCTTAAGTAATGAATTCAATATTAGCCATTATCAGCAAGAATGAGAAGGAAATTCCACAGAAGAAACACCATGAACAAATGCATAGAAGCAATGAACTAGCAATTTTGAAATTTTAGAGAATTTAGAGAGAGGCAGGCAACATGGGGAAGTGAGGCTAGAGAGGTAGACAAGGGTAAAGACAATGGAAAATGTTAAATCCATGCTTAGGAACCTGCCTTTTATCCTGCATATATTAGGAGGCAACCAAAAGGAGAAAATGACATGATTAGCTTTGCAAAAATTGTGAATTTTTTTTTTTTTGAGATGGAGTTTCGCTCTGTCGTCCATACTGGAGTGCAGTGGTGCAATCTCAGCTCACTGCAACCTCCGCCTCCCGAGTTCAAGGGATTCTCCTGCCTCAGCCTCCAGAGTAGCTGGGACTACAGGTGCGTGCCACCAGGCCTGGCTAATTTTTTGTATTTTTAGTAGAGACAGGGTTTCACCATCTTAGCCAGAATGGTCTCGATCTCCTGACCTCATGATCCACCCACCTCGGCCTCTCAAAGTGCTGGGATTACAGGTGTGAGCCACTGTGCCCAGGCGTGAGCAGGAATTTTTTAGAAGAAACACAAACAGTGAATAAATACTTGAAAAGATAACCTTATTGGAAATTAGAGAAATACAAATAATGTCATTGTGAAATAATATTTTATATCCACTAGATTGGTAGAAATTAAGAAATCTTGGTAACACTCTGTTAGAAAACTTATCCATATCAAGTCTTGATTAGGCTAAACATTAGCTAATCATTTCAATAATTCTTCCTTCCAGTGCCATAGTTTACAAATATCTTTTTTTTTTTTTTTTCCTGAGACAGGGTCTTACTCTATCCCCTAGGCTGGAGTGCAGTGGCACTGCACCGCATGGCTCACACAGCTGCAACCTCCCAGGCTCAGGCAATCCTCCTACCTCAGCCTCCCAGGTAGCTGGGATTACAGATGCGTGTCACCATGCCCTGCTAATTTTTTTTTTTTTTTGAGATGGAGTCTCGCTCTGTCACCCTGGCTGGAGTGCAGTGGCACCATCTCGACTTACTGCAACCTCCGCCTCCCGGTTTAAGCAATTCTCGCCTCAGCCTCTCGAGTAGCTGGGATTACAGGTGCATGCCACAACGCCTGGCTAATTTTTGTATATTTAGTAGAGACGGGGTTTCACCATCCTGGCCAGGCTGGTCCTGAGAACTCCTGACCTCATGATCCGCCTGCCTCGGCCTCCCAAAGTGCTGGGATTACAGGCGTGAGCCACCACGCCCAGCCACCCTGCTAATTTTTAGAAATTTTTGTAGAAATGGGGTGTTGTGCAATGTTCCCCGGGCTGGTCCTGAACTCCTGGGCTCAGGCAATCCGCCGACCTCACCCTCCCAAACAAAACTGCTGGCATTCATGGATTTTTGAGTTTTAAACTCAGACTCCATCTATGGTGAGGCTGGTGTGCTTTTCTAGTAAATGAGTCTAGCCAACCATGTGATAGCCATATCTCAAGCAAGCTTAACTGTTCTCAACATTTTATGGGGAAAATTATATATCACTGTGGTATTCACAACTTGAAGATTTACAGAGGTTTTAAAATATATCCTTCCCAACCCCCAGAACCCTTCCCACCCCCACTTCATGTTCATTCTGACTCTATGAAAGACATATATACCTCTTTTTATGACATTCAAATACTCTAAGACCTGTATAGCAGGGGTCCACCACCCCCGAGCTGTGGACCAGTATCGGTCCCTGGCCTATTAGGAACCGGGCCACACAGCAGGAGAGGAGCGGCAGGCAAGGGGGTGAAGCTTCATCTGTATTTACAGTTGCTTCCCATAATTTGCGTTACTGCCTGAGCTCTGCCTGCTGTCAGATCAGAGGCAGCATTAGATTCTCATAGGATGCAAACACTACTGTAAACTGCTCATGCAAGGCACCTAGGTTGCACGCTCCGTATGAGACTCTAATGCCTGATGATCTGAGGTGGAACAGCTTCATCCCAAAACCACCCCCACCCTACCCACCCCCTAGCCTGTGGAAAAATTGTCTTCCACAAAACCAGTCCCTGGTGCCAAAAAGGTTGGTTACCACTGCTGTATAGGATGTATTCTCCTGGCGAAAAAGCGTTCCTTGTTTTGGCAGTAATGGATGGAAAATAATATTTTTTAAGAGAGAACATTTTAATTGTCTATAATTAGGGTAAACAGTTGGGTAAAATCTTACTAAAAGAAAGTTAAGGTTGTCTTAACACAAGATATATAATGACATAAATTAGTTAATTAAATTTTAATTAAAAACAGCTGCTTTGGAAATCCAACATGTATACTTCAAAATAATTTACCTAAATAACTTATGAAAATGGATGTTATTGTACAACTCATCTCTCCTTATAAAAGGAGAACAAAGGACATAGGAAAGCTGAAAAGAAGGCTAGATGAAGATACAGGACAAGGAAAAACTATAAAATGTTTCTACTATTCCTCCAAAATTGTACTAAATATTTGTGTAAGAATTCTAAGAAAGAATAATGGAGTGTATAGAAAATGGGTTGAAAGAGTTGTGAGCTAAATATCATGTTTCTGTTCTTCTTCTCCATTTCATAATCTGGGAATTTTCTCTTCTCTCTTTGCCTTGCTGATATTCTAACCCTACATTTGGTTTTGTTGCACTGGCATTTCTATATAGATGAGAAATTAAGATAGTTAATTTTTTCCATTGATATATGCGGAGAAATCTAAAGAAAATCATAGAATGAATTCAACTTAAAATGTTTCAAGCATTGAGAAGATAATTGCTTTATCTCTACCTTAGTGTGGGGACGAGGATGAACATGTCAAAAAGATAAAGATGACCAGGTGTGGTGGCTCACGCCTGTAATCCCAACACTTTGGGAGGCTGAGGCAAAGTGTATCACTTGAGATCAGGAGTTCAAGACCAGCCTGGCCAACATGGTGAAACCCCGTCTCTACTAAAAATACAAAAATTAGCCAGGTATGATGGCGGGCGCCTGTAATCCCAGCTACTCAGGAGGCTGAGTGAGGCACGAGAATCCCTTGAACCCGGGAGGGGGAGGTTGAAGTGAGCCGAAATCGTGCCACTGCACTCCAACCTGGGTGACAGAGCGAGACTCTGTCTAAAAAACAAACAAAATAAATAAATGAAGTTATTTGTTCTCTTCTTCACTTTAGCAATTTATAGTGCAATCACAATGTTCCCACATCAGCTGAGATCTTAACAATAAAAGAGAACCAGTGCTTTATTATCTTCTCCAAATATCTCTCTGTGTTATGTTTCTAATGAAAATTTTCTGCTGAGTGTGTTCCGCATCAGAGTCACTCTTCTTGATTTTAAAAAAGAGTATTTCTGTTGTCCATTCTTTTTGTCCTTTCTTTCGTACTAAATCTCTTTTTCCCCTTCTATCTTTTCTTCATCTCTCTCACATTTACTTTATTTTTCCTCTTTATTTTCTGAGTCATTGACTCCTTTATTTAGAAGTAAAGGATATTATGTGCCATATTTCTTCTAGAATCACTGGAAGAATGAATGGGCCTCTCTTAGTAGTTATATTAAGTTATGCTTTCTCAGTTATAAGGAAGGACAAAATGTTGAACAATTGTCATAATCATAATCTGAAAGACTTAATTTAAATTTCATATGCTAAACTTTCAGGCAGTAGCTGAAGTTTGACTTAATAAATACTTATATATTTTTATTATTTTATAACAGGTATGGTAACACAGTAATATAACTTTTGAAAATGTGTGTTTGCATATCCAAATGAATATTGTTCTTCGAAGCATCACTTAGTGAAATTACGCCCTCATTCCAAATATGTTGTCATTGTTCAGAACATTTTCAGAAACATCTTGGAATTATGAATTTTTATCCCCTAATCAGATAATTGCTTAGGGGTCACAATCAAAGTCACTTCGAAGCCATGGTGTGATAAAACTGAATTGAAAAATGAAATAGGGCTATAAGTACTGAGACTAATTTTCTTGTGTGATTCATGAGGTGTCTCTGAAACAAATCGCAAAGAAGAGGATCAAAACTCTATTGTAAAATTGTTGAAATTACTGTAGCCTACTATAATAATATCATTTAAGAAAAAGATTCATTTGGCTACATATGATACATTTGTTTTTCTATACAGCCCCATCTACTAAAATACTAATGAAAATATAATTACATAAATAAAGTAGAACAGTTAACATATTTGGCTTTCTTACACATGCTTTTTGATACATAGGTAATGTATTATATTTTATTTATTCATTTAACAACTATTGGATGCTGACCATGAGTCAAACATTGACAAGATGCAACAGATACAAGTCCAAGAGCAGATGCTCTTTTTAAAGGAATTCATACCATGAATATATAAGCTTATCATATTAGGAAATCCAAAAGCTAAATTAAAATATTTCCCAGAAGATAAATAGGATTTAGTGAAATGTTATCATGCCATTATACTATTTTTCAGAGAAATGACTCTGGAAATTTAGTAAAATATTTGTTTTGTGGTCAAGTATGACTGAAAAAAATAAACATTTTGTTAGGTATTTATCAAATCTAGCAATTTATAATTCTAAGTATTATATCCATCAATGTGATGAAGAGTCCAAATTAGTTATAAAATCCTATTCTAAATAAACTTCTTCAAAAATGATAAATTTTGAACTTCTGAAGTCCATTTTTTTAAATTCTGTCAGTTTCTGCACAATAATCAAAATGTAAAATGTAAAACATAAAAATGTTAATTGCAACAAATTACATTTCTTAAACTTTTCTATAAAAACTCTTCAAGGAATGAATAGAATCTTCTCATTAGTTAGGGTGGTTTAGTATTTTCAGTAGGGTGACCCCTCTTTTTGTAGATGTCATGTTTATAGTAGGTAGTATTCATGAACAGGCAACCGACTGTCTGTGAGTCCAACTAGAAGGATCTGTGATATAAATTTAAAATGTTTTATTATACAATATTATATTTAGGGTAGATTTTTAATATTGAATGCAACTAAACATGAATATTAATGAATATACTCATTGGTGATGAAATAAAAGCTACAGAATATACATTTTTACAAGCAACATTTAGAGATGTTGCTAAAATTTTAATCATGCCTCTTTTAGATAATTTATAAGCAACAAAGTGCAAAAAATTAGACCTTTTATTGCTTCCATAACATTTTAGCATTTGTTTTTACTGCCTCCTGGAGAAGATACTAAGTGAAAATGGGAAAAAATGGCAGGGGAAAGGGGGTTCATATGATTGACATTTGCTTTGCCTTATTTTCATTGTTTTTTATTAAGATAGTTACATAGCACCCCTTTCCTAAAATGGAATATAACAGAATATAGATATCATAAACATGTGTCATTAGTTAGTGAGAGAATTTGCTATTTAATCCTTATTTCAAATTGACATTGTTAATGTGTACCAACTAGTTCTCTGATAGACCCCATTTTATTGTTGGCAGTGTAAACATTATTATAAAATAAAAGATTTTTTTATTTTATATGTTTTAAAGACTAATAAACCATTTGTTTAATAGATTTGCTTAAAGTAGCAAAAAAAATCATATTCACTTAGTTTTCTGAATCACTGGGTCAAGCAGGTTATAATACTGATCTGCATGTTTTGTGTATTTTTCCTTTTGATTATAGCTTTAATATTAAGCAAAGGAAGATATTTCATCCAGTTATGTACGTTCTTTGATAGATTCTTAAATTACATATGATTAAAGCAGCTTTAATATTTCAAAATGATTAAGAGTTGAAAAAAATGCTTGTTACCACACTATCGTTGTAATTGTATTACTCAGTCCTCTGTAAAACAGAATTCAGGACTAAGTGAAACTGTTAGTGAAAACGCTTGGATGACTTTTATTGGAATAATTACATCTGTATAACAAAGTTGAGCTTACTATGTTTGACATTGTTTTTCTCCAAAGAGAAGTACGAATATTAGTTTTAAATCCACATATCAAGATAAGCACTAAAACCTAACAGTCTGTTTATCACTGATTCCACTTCAACCTTACTTTATTTGTGAATCCTGATACAATAAAAGAAATAGTACTTTTTCCCCTAGATAAAATAGGTCCTTGAAAATAGTATTTGTACAATCTAGTTATTCTTACAAGCAGTCAAATTCTAAAAAGGGAATAAACGAATTTTCAGGGTATCAAGCCAAGTTTACCAAGTGGGCTTATTATATGTATTTATAATTCTTCCTAGTATAGCCAATAATAAAATGAAAATAAGTGAAGAGAAATAAAAATGAAGGGTTAATTTCAGGGTAGCAATGTAATAGTTTTTTATGCAGTTTATAAGCAAATGACATAGGCATCACCATGAAGCTGACTTGATAAAATGAAGACCACTTATAGAAGACAGTGATTTTCAAACCCACTCCTCAGATCCAAACAACTAAGGCTCTAGCCACCACTAACTTTAAACAGAGCAGTTCCACTTGTTAAAAAATCTACCTAATATATTAGGATCGTGCTTAAGAATTCTTTTTTAAACCTCTGAACTAACAAAACAAAAGCTATTTACCTGATCCATTTTTAGTGACTTGGATGAAATCATCCTCATTCTCATCACAGCTTTCGCAGTTCAATTGTTGGGCTGTTTCTGACAGGCTTTCAGCTTGATTGACATCTCTCTGCTTATTGAAGCTTTGAAGTGCAACAAGACGATGATGTATTGCTGCATACAAATATGCTGTATCTTGGGCACTGGCCTGCATGAGGAACATTAAATTGTTAAGAAAATCATTAATATGTTAGCTACATTTTACAGATTTTTAATCTTTCACTACTAATAAGGAAGGAATTACATGGCATAAATCTACAGTGTACATAGGTGCTAACAACCCTAAAAATTAAGCAGTAAAAAGACAATCTTGAACCAAATTGAATCCTAAAATGTATACTTTTATAAGCAATCCCAATGTACACATTTTAAATTTAGAAAGTGAAATTTTGTTATATAAAATTTCTATTTGAATTTTTGAATTTAAATTAGTTAAGACCATCCCTCTTTCACTATTTTACACTATAGAAAATTGTAGGATTGCAGAGAATAAAGACTTCCATTTCCTGTCCATCACTTTGCTTGGACATTCCTCCAAACTACATAGCTTTGTGGATATGCTGAGCTCATTAGAGCAGTCTATGGTATTGTACCATAAATACAGCAGAAGTTCTTGCTTTTCAGTATTTTCCTATGCTATTTTAATGGTTGTTATTCATATGAAAATATAAAAACGATGGTAACAATAAAGTTGGCATAACATTTACTGTTAAAATATTCTTTTTTTCAATTCCTTCAGTAAAACTGTGGGTTATTAATTTCGTTTATATTAGCAAAATATAAGCAGCACAGGTATTAAATATATGCTTGTTTCCCTCTTCCCTTTATGAATGAGGAAATTATGGCTCAGAAGGGTAAAATGACTTGTCTGAGTTGCCAGTCAGCAAATTGGCTGAAAGTTGAATCCCAGGTTTTATCATTCGCATTAGTGGGATTAATGGAATAAATTATGGTCCATAATAGAATAGAATTATTTCACCTACTGAAACAATTTTTGAAGAATAAACTAATGTCATGAAGACACTCATTAACATTGATAAGTAAAATAACATGTGTATTTCACAGTCATATTAGCTATTTAATCTCAGCAGCTTTTCTAAAGCCAATAATAAAATGTATAAATAAAATGTACTATTGTTACCATCATTTTGCAGATGAATAAAATCAGTTTAAAGAAGGCTAAGTAGCTTTCCCGAAGGTTATACGGTATGTACGCTATGCTACATATATGTATGTATGTATATTCTTACACACAGTTGTATGTGTATACTAAAATATAAGACCAAAATGTTAATAGTGACCATCTCTGAAGATGGAATCTAGTCATGTTTAACAGGCTCAGTCTCTGGCATGCTACTTTACCCACCTAAAACCAAGGGGGAATCTGGCCCAGACGACTGGCAAGAGTATTAATACCTTAAATGGTAAACGGGGTTTGTACATCATCTTACCAGAACATTTTAATGCTCAATATCACTTACACCTAACAGTACACTTACTGGTAGCTAATAAACTTTGGTTTTTCATCACAGGCACCTGCCAGGTTTTTTTCCATATTACTACATGGAAGCCAATTTATTTGTATTGTCACCTTCTGCCTGAACTTGGGTAATCAGTCTTCTCCAGTCAGTCCATGGGGAAATCCAGTTTTTTTTGAGGGGAGGTTGTGGTTTTGTTTTTGCGTTTCATTTTGTTTTGTTTTTTTAAGCTTTATTCTTGCCAGCTCTCTTGGGTCTGGATCTTGTATTTGAGGTCAAGTATTCCTCTGCCAGGAACAGCTAAAGCTGTGCTCCCATCCTGTTACCTTGGAGATTTACTCATGTCCAGAATTGGAATTTGCTGTTGGACTGGTTGTTTTAACTTGCTAGCTCTGTGTTTTTCCATTTCCCACTGGTTCTTTTCCAGTGACCTAAAGGCTTTTTTCAATCTCAGCTTGCAGGATAAGCATTAGGCTTCAAAGTCTGCTAACCTCTTCCTGGGAACCATTCCTGACAATAGTCACTTTGGTAACAGTAAGATTGTTCACAAAATTTCAATAGTAAAGTAAAGGCTAGAGATTTGATGGCATGTATCACACAAATGTCTTGGAATGAGTACCAATTGATTACATAGACTTTGGTGTTAATTTCTGAATTTCACATAAAATTTATGTCTTATGCTATAAACAGACATAATGAATGGCTGAGTTTTTGCCAATGGTACAGATTATTATACCTAATGAAAAAACAAATTAGTAATTGCAGACGTCTATTAATTTAGTAGGATAATCTTCTATCACTGAAATTTCTCCCTTACCTGAATTAAAAATATTTTGATGCTATAGTCTTCTAAATCAGTAGCTGTTATTCGTACATTTTTGTGGTTTGCTCTTTGAATCTTCATTTGGGCCCAGAGTTTGCTGTTGAGGATCAGCCTTAGACTGCCTTGATTGCGCATAACTAAAATAGGAAGGTGACTACATCAGGCCACAGAACAGTTGACACGGAGGAATTTACCATTTTCAAAAGCAAAATAAATCTTGTAGTTGTTTTTCAGACTGTAGATTCAATACTAACTTGTGATTTGACTAGATTAAAACTTGATTTTCAAATCATACTTTATTATGTTGGGAGAACTTTTTTATCTTAAATGCTGAAATTACACTTTTTTACTGTAATATTTAAAAGTGGTTAAAATTTTAGAACTCCTTTTAAGAACTGATGGTCTGAAGAATATTTGTCCACGAATTGTCTACAATGAAGAAAACCAAAACAAAAACCTTAAGTGTCCAAAAAATGGAATTAGTTAAATAAATTGTGGTGTAGTCATTCAAGAGAATATTATGAACCCATTAAGAATACTGCAAAAATAAATTTATTGATGTGAAAAATCATGGTGTAATATGTAAAAGAAAAAATTAGGCTACAAAGCAAAATAAACACCATGAATCAGAACTTTTACAATCTATGTGTACATCTATATATACAGAAAACAAAGGCCAGAAAAATATATTCTGTTAATAGATGTTATCTCAGGAAGATAGGCCTTTAAGTGACTTTAAAAAAAATTTTTTCAATCCATGCTTTCTGTTTTTTACAATGAATGTGTATTACCTGCATAATAAAAAGAAAGTTTCTTTTGGGGTTTGTTTTTTGTTTTTTGTTTTTCTTTGGGGGTATTTTTTTTTCTTTGGCAGGCAGTGGAATCAAACCAGAGTAGTAAATAACTTGGACCTGCCTTGGGACTATTACTTGGTTGGGTGATTTAGAAATCTGTGTGCCAGTTACAGAACTGAAGACACTTTCTGTCCTTTTAATCTGAATTATATCTCTTAACCATTTCTTGAGTTTGATATCCAAAACTCAACAAATAACCTTATTCTTGGATCCAGTGTCTACCTGTGGTCTCCTCCAAAGTCCTGACCTCTCAAAATTGACCAATAAATCCATTCATCCTGCCCAGATCTCTCCCTGTGCTCTCTTTCAGTTTGGACCTCTGAACAATGCCCATTGCATTATTTTGAATGCTAGCTCTCTTGTATTTTTAGGTTTGACTGGCTCCAGCTTCTGAACATCACTGTGCCTGCAGGATTCAATAACTACACACCTTAGAACTAATCTCTTTCCTTAGAGACTAATCCTTCATCCCGACCCCCATCCCATGTCTGGGATGCCAAGGATAAATTATGGGACAAGTATTTTCTTTTAGAAGATCTTTTCACTTCACAAAATAATTTGCATCATATTCTTTCAAATAATAATAAGATTACTATTTAGGTATGTGCTTGGCTCTGATATAAGTGCTTTACATGCTTTATCTCATTGAAATCTCTCAGTCACTCAATAAGTCATGAACTACAGTTATTCCCATTTTAAATTGATATAAGTAGAGTAGAGAAAGAGATTTAAAAACTTATCAAGGTCACTAGTTAGTCACTGCTGGAGCCAGAACTGGAGCCCATGCAGTCTAACAGGAGAGCCTACTTGAAATGGGAAGCTCCTATAGAAATATTTTCAACAGTCTGATTTTTTGGTGTATTTTATAGCACATCTCCAGAAAATGATGTGTACCTATATTATTATAAGTACACAGGAGAAATCCTGACAAATTATGGCTTGCTTTACAAAAGGATTCCTTACTTAGTCTTGACTGTAATGTTCCACAGTCAGTGCTTGCTGTGTCATTCAGTCTCAACGTTCCTCTGCCCCTTTCAATCCAGGATTGTGTTGTTTTGTTGAATATGAAAAGCTTGCAGTTTATCTAAATGACAATTTTTTAAAATGTCAAATATATAGAAAATTTTTTCAAAGTAAATTATTTCCTATGTTATGACACGTTTATATGTGTCTAGTCTTTTACCAAAATAATCTTTGTTAATGATTTATAAACCAGCTTTTAAAATATATTTAACATTTAGAAACATATAACTTTCGGATAGTTCAAACATCAAAAAGTAAAAAGACATACAAAGTGAAAAGGGCCCCCAGCTTTTATTTCCCATCTACCAATTTCCACCCCTGCAACAAGTAACCACTGGTGTAAATATTTTGTTTATCTTTCCAGAGATATTTGTACATACATACATGCCAATACATATAAATGTTCCCCCTCTTTTTTTCTGTCAATGGTAGAATGCCATACATACTTTCTGATTTTTTAACACTATGTCTATATATACATCAATTTTTATATTAATTATTTGAGCTATATAATGTTATTTGAAAGTAAAAGAATCATTGAACCATTTGCATGCTTCAATATTTTTAAAGAGAGCATGATAACGTGGAGAAGTAGGATGTGATACCACAGGTTACCCTACTGCAATCATTACTACTGTGTACAAGAATCACCTAGACAGCCTGTTAAAAATATAGCATCCTGGAGCCTCACCCCTAACAATTACTTCAATAAGACTGGAATTAATCTAATCCAAGGGTTATGCTTTGAGACACACTTAAAATAAAAGTGTCTGTAGATCATAGAGGAAGTGGAGAGGAATGGAGAGAGTTTAGAGAAAAGCAGATGGAGAAAGGCAAAGGGAAATTTCTGCCTTGTTGGGAAAGGGTAAAGTTGTAGTAATTACATTTCATGTGCTTGTGCTGATGGTGATACTACTCAACATTAAAATCCTGTGATACTGTAGTGTGTATCTGTGAAATTCTTGAATTACATGAAATTCTAAACTTTTTTAAAGGAAGCTAAATTTTATATGAAATTCTAAACTTTTTTAGAAGGAAAACGAAATTCTTATTGGACTGAAATCAAGTTATCAACATTGTTAAACGTGTAAGTAGAATTATTTAATCACAATAATAGCACCAATTGTAAAAGCAAGTATTAAAGCAGGATACTTGGCTGTCTTATTTCTAAGGGACTAATGTGAATAGTTGTAAACCTAACAACCCATTTTCCTGCCAGGTACACATACAAACACAAGAAGAAAATAAATTATTGGTTCAATTTTTGAGAGCATCCAACATTTTTATTTAAGCAACTTAGTCTCCATGAAAACTATACTTCTGTCTGTATTTTTAAAGATGCCTCTTCTCATGTTAACTTTATTCCAAGTATGTAAATGCTACCAGAAAGAGTAAAACATGATATACAGACCTTTAACACATTATGTTCTGTTTCCTCCCCTGTTATAACATCAATTTTCTCCAGCAAGCATTTTCGTGATGGTTGGGAAGAGAATGCAGCAGCTGATTCAATTAGGGAAGTATTTTTAATAGAGTCTGTTCCTAAGAGAAAATGGGGAAAAAACACTTAAAAGTCCCCATTTTCTCTACTGTGAAAGTTCTTTGTTGCCCCTATTACCACATATATCTACTTGGCTTCTTCTAGTAGTAAGTGATTCTAAAAATTCAGACTGCTTGAGTTGGTGTAAAATCTCCTTATCAATTCCCCCATAGCATTAACTCAAAAAATTTTTAAAGCTTATATATCAGATAATCATATTTATATGCTTTAACCTTTACCAAAATATTTGAAACACTGGATTATTGGTTTTTTAAATCTTATAGTAAATATTAATTTTACTTATATTAAATATTAATGTTAATAAATAAAAAACAGGAGACAAACTAGGTGAATCTAATGTTTTACAAATGAAAGAATTCTTACTTGAACTTAAAAAGTTGACAGGAAATTTCGGAATGGATTTGAATGGTTTTTCCTTGGCATATGAATCATTTTCAAGTTGAGGCTGGGTGAGTTTTTGAGTACCCTGAGAGCGGAAAAAGATGCATTATTTTATTTAATAAAAGTTTTAATTTTATCCCTACTATGTTTGCAGTAAGACACTTCCGTTTTTCTGTTTCAACACAGCAAGCAAACCTAGCTGGTATGTTTTTGTTTTGGACTTTCTGTGTGCTGAACAGAGAAATCGTCTCTATTGTTAGAAAGCCTTAGTTCTAATCCTCAGAAAACATAATCTAGTTACCACCAGCCTACTTCAGGTGGGATCTAGTCCCGGAGGCAATGGGAAAGGTCTAAGGGCACAAAAGAAGGTAATAGATGTTCCACACTCTCACTAGACTAAACTGATGCCCAGGAGGTACAAAAGAAAGAAAAGAAAGAAAATGTGCCTTTGAACTCGGGAGTTAAAAAGTATAATTCAATTTAATATTACTTTTAATTAATTTACCATTAGAAATTTAAAGTGACAGCTCTGTATATAGTAATAGAAACATATACCAAGGTATTTCAGTATCCCCAGAAATTTACTCTTGCTATCCACTTTATGGAAAAAAACAAAAAAGTTATCCAGAGACCCCCACAAGATGTCTCAGAGAACATCTTTTTAGAAAAAATCCTAACTTTTCCTCCCAGACGATTTTGCCAACAGTAGCTTTTAAGGCTACTTGGGGCTCTGTATGTCTGTTGTAATCAAGGCCTGCACAAAAAAAGACTAATTGACATGACATTTGTGATAATGTGTAGCCCTCTGCAAAACACAGAGAACTGGAACAATGATACTTAAGAACTTAGGCTTACATTTTTTCCCTTATGAACTGAAAATTCTTTCACATTACTTAACTAGACATCAAGATATTCCCTCAAAATTGGTAGAGATGGGTATAATTATTTCCATTTTAAGAAAATAGAAACTGAGGCACAGAAAGTTTAAATGACTCACTCTAAAAACACATAGTCAGCCAATAAGCCAAGAGTGCATCCTGGCCCCCAAATCACAAGGCCAAAAATTTACAGGATTAGAGGACAAACACAAATTATCTCTATAATTCCTGTTATCCTTAAGATATTACCAACTTAAAGAGATAGTTCAGGTTCCTTTATAAGCCTTTATAAGTTGAGGTTCCTTTAAGCATTTAAAATGCCCACAGGAAATGTGCACAAGTGCCTTCTCAAACAAAACCCGTAGTCCTGACTATAGTTTATTTGTATAGGTATCTCTCTGCCTGCTCTTATTAGATTATAAGCACCTTTAGGGCCCAGTGTCTCCTTTAGCTTGCATAACCACTTAGGTGGTTTTCAAACCTGCCTGTACATTGGAATCACTTGACACCTGGCCTCACCCACAGGCATTCTGAGCTAATTGGTCTGGGATGAGGCCAGGCATAGGAAATCCTTAAAAGAATGATTCTAACAGGCAGCCAAATTTGAGATCAATGCTTTATATACCGTAAGAACTCAGTACATGTTTGGTAAATTGAGTTGAATGTTAAGTTGATCCTGTGAGGTTTGGAAAGCATTGTCTGACATTTTACAGACACTGTGGCTAATCTGGTGTCAAACTTAGAAATAAATGATATGGAATAAATGTGCCTAAATATACTGCCTGTAAATTCACCATGGAGGCTGGTCCATTTTGGTTCACATCCAAAGGCATAGGTCACAGCTCTAGGATTGGTGAGTTGACCTTCATTTTGGGAATGACAGAAGGGTTCCTAAATAAACTAAGCCTTTAAAATGACTAACATATGAAAGCCCTAAAAATTTTGTAATGAGTTTGGGCGCAGTGTCTCATGCCTATAATCCCAGCACTTAGGGAGCCTGAGGCGGGTGGATCGCTTGAGCTCAGGAATTTGAGGCCAGCCTGGCAACATGGTGAAACCCCGTCTCTACCAAAAATACAAAAAGTTAGCCAGGTGTGGTGGTACGTGCCTGTGGTCCCACCTACTCGGGAGGCTGAAGTGGGAGGATCCCTTGAGCCAGGGAGACAGAGGTTGCAGTGAGCCGAGATCGTGCCACTGCACTCCAGCCTAGGTGAAAGAGCAAGACCTCATCTTAAAAAAAAAAAAAAAAAATGGAATGAACTGGCTTAACGAGTTGGTTCTTTTATTAATCTAAATCCGTACATGGGTTTTTAAATCTCTGCAGCTTCTTTGGGATTCTTCATGTAACTGGTATCCCTGAGACAAGCTAGGCACGTTCGAGCTATCTCAGCCACTTTCCTGACTTGAGTGAAAGCTGGAAAAGGTATGAAGATGTGATGGACCAGATAAAACCATAGGCATGGTTTTCCACAGCTTTCACTTTTCTGTAAAATTTTCCACTGTAGATCAGAGTTCTGTGGGGATCAGAGAAGCAGTTACCTCATTGCAAGAGGATGCTGAACATTAAATAAGGATGATGGTAATAACGTGAGGGGTTTTCACTAGGCAAGTATATTCTCCTAGGCAAGTAAAGCACTATGAATTTTCTCTGAAAGCTAGCAAAAGAAAGTTATAATAATGCTTTTTGATGTAAGAGCTTGAAGTTAGGGTTGTGGTTAACTGATAAGAACAAATTGGCTCAAGCTTATAATCCCAGCACTTTGGGAAGCTGAGGTGGGCAGATGACGAGGTCAGGAGATCGAGACCATCCTGGCTAAGACAGTGAAACCCCATCTCTACTAAAAATACAAAAAAAAAAAAAATTAGCCAGGTGTGGTGGCACGCGCCTGTAGTCCCAGCTACTCAGGAGGCTGAGGCAGGAGAATCACTTGAACCCAGGAGGCGGAGGTTGCAGTGAGCAGAGATCGGACCACTGCACTCCAGCCTGGGTGACAGAGCGAGACTCTGTCTCAAAAAAAAAAAAAAAAAAAACCAAACTGGCAAATAATTTTAAATGCATCTTGTTACAAAATGATGACATCGACAAACTATTAAACTATCATTACCAACTGAGCTTATCTAACTATTGCAGATGATTCTGGGATTTCCTTGGGTACTTTTGGTTTAACACAAGTCAAAGAACTATTTAATATTTCACATCAGTAATAATGTTATAATTATACAGTTCCCTTCCTCTGTGGGTTTCTATTATTTTAACAACTAGGACATGCTTCCCAGGAGAATCTTTCCAGTTAAAGAAAGAAAATGTGCGTTTGAACTCAGGAGTTAAAAAGTATAATTCAATTTAATATTACTTTTAATTAATTTACCTTTAGAAATTTAAAGTGACAGCTCTGTATATAGTAATAGAAACATATACCAAAATCTTACCAAAACTCTTTCTACCATGTTTTCTCCAAAAACAAAATTGGAACTGCAGCTTTTAAAAGAACATTTATCTTCATTTGGTTGACATCTAAGAAAATGAAATAAGCATTTACTATTTTAAATACATAGATAAAGCCATTTTAAACCTTGAAATAATCAGATAATTTAATAGATTTATGTAAATCAAATTTACTGCTCACTTTTGTTAGTGTGAATTTAATGAAAAATGAAGGAAAAATTCAGATAGTGGCATCCAGAGGTGATTGTCAAAATAGTTTCCAGCTCTTACAGCACTGGCAGAGACCAGTCCTGACTGCCTCATGCCCATCACTGCACTGGCTGTGTGGTCAGCCAGGAGGGCTTCCCAACCCCTTTTGCTTTTCCAACACACCCTGTCTAGTATCTAATTTCCCCTCTTCTCTTCCTCAAGTGGCTGATGTTTTAGCAACCAGAGATCTCCAGGGCAAAAGCGAAACCCTGTCTGTTATAATTGAGTGTGCATTGGCTTAAATTTTTTGCCTCCCAGAAACTTTTTTTTAATGTTAAAAGTGTTTTTCATGATGAGAAACTCGAAGACCGGAAGCCCGCTCTTTGTAGACAGATGTGCTCAGGGTTCGGCATTGCATCCCCAATGCACATAGAAGGCACCTGCTACCGCACCTGGACAGAGCCCAGTCATGTGAGTCAGTTTATATCCACAGCTAGTTTTAACCTCTCAGATCAAACATTTATCCATCACTAGTAATACTAATAAATATTGCAGATTTATACTGCTTTCCTTGTTGCTTATCTAACCTATGCCAATAAATAATGTATAATGCCAAAATAAAAGAAAAAAATGCTAGAGAGAGAGGAAGAGAGCCTAATCTACTAATCAGATAATTTATGTCCAACTAAATAAAAGTTTAGCCATACATTTTCAAAAAGTTCTCACCCAAGTTAATGAAACAATGAAGACAATCCAGTATTAATATGATAATATTTAAGAATCGAAATATTTTTAAAAACATTTTAAACTTGTGTTTCCTATAAAATCTCCTTTCAAATGGGAATCTTGGCAATTTATCCGTACAAGGTCAGAAAATTATTTTCCATGAATGGTTATAATAATGAAAGAATGCAAGAATGAAAGGACAACGCTTCTATTTTCTCATTAACTTACCCTACTGATGTTGCACCTAAAAAGTCCTGGTTAGTAGACAGCTGGACTGAAATTCTAGCCCTTGATAAATTTTCACTTAACAAATAGGAATTTCCCTCAGAAATCTGAAAGTAAAGAAATCCATCAAAAAGTTTATAAAGACTACCTTACTATAGGACCATCAGACAAGGAAACAATAGTTATAGTTAAATATATTGAAAGCTTACTATGTTTAAGTACTGCCTTAAGCATTTTATGTACGATCTCATTTACTCCTTACAACTCTAACACTTTGTAATTCTATTGTCCACATTTTACAGGTGAGTAAACTGACACAAAAAACTTAAATAATTTGCCCAGGTCACATACAGTGGCGATCTGTCTAATACCGGAATATCATAATATTCAGAAATCCCACCATGTTTTGTTTATTTTTGCCATTTTAGTCAAATTGGGTTAATTCTCATTTCTGGATTAGTAAAGCTCTTTTCAGGACTATTTAATCCTGGGAAACACCCTAAGAATGTCACCATCCTAGTCACCCAATGTGAGAGAAAACCCCACTCATCTATTTATCTTGAAATTTTCAACTAGTAACTTATCCAGTTACTTTGCCTTATGTACATATGTGTATGCACAATACCTGAATTAATATATAAATGTAAGAGTGAGGAAATTTAGAATTGGAAGGAACCCTATACATTATCTGATCTAGTATTTACAATTCCTTCCTCGACCAGGAATTTGCAAAGATGTTTCAGGGCGTTTGTGTCTTTTAAAGCCAGATGGGTTATGTTTCCACTTAAATTTTTATTTCAATCAATAAAAATAATTTTGAGTACTTTTTCTTTTTTAACAAGAGTTTGACAACTGACAAATATGTATCAAGAGAGCATGTGCCATGGTTGGCAAAGATCGAAGTACATGCTCATTACCTAGTCATTCAGATAATGTATCTCTCAGCCAAAATGGTAGTTTTCACTCCTATGTTGGTTAAAATAGTTATTTAGGCATATATTGTTTAATCTATACATAGTAAGTAACCATTGATTAATGATAGGATGAAAATAATTTATCTGATTTTGATATACAAGATAATAAGAAATATAAAGATAATGGTTCTACAAAATCCACCTAGAGATAGTTTTCACAAAATCTTTAAATTACATTCATTTGGTCAAAATTCTTACATAGGATCTTATATACAGTGTGTCTCTGGATCTTCAAAGATCAATAAATGGAAAATTTAATGATGGGCATTAAATTTTCTTTTTAATGATGGGCATATACAGTAGGGCTTTTCAATAACTGGAAATAAGGTTTATTCCCTAGACCTTATAATTTATTCAAAAATAAATATAAACAATAGCTTGAAATTTTCTCTTAAGCTTGGATCATTTAAGAAGAAAATGGAAGAAATATATTAATAAATTTTATTTTAAAATATGCAATGCAATATTTACAAAAATTCTGCCAAGAAAGAAATATTGATGTATTTTTGATGTCATAACATGTAATTAAAATCTTGCTCTATATTTATAGTGCATGCCATTTTAAAATCAAATGCAATATAACTTTTTAGAAATTAGTCAACATATTATACTTTCTATTACATAATTTAAAACAAGTTAAACACCATGCATCACTTCTTTTTTCTCTTTTCTTTTTTGAGACAGTCTGGCTCTGTCACCAGGCTGGTACCATCTCGGTTCACTGCAACCTCCACTTCCCGGGTTCAAGCTAGGACTACAGGCACATGCCACCATGCCCAGCTAATTTTTGTATTTTTTGTAAAGACAGTGTTTTACTATATTGCCTAGGCTTGTCTGGAACGTTTTAGCTCAAGAGATCCACTCATCTCGGCCTCCCGAAGTGCTAGGATTAAAAGAGTGAGCCACCACGCCTGGCCACTTCACTTCTTAAATAAAAGTAAGGAATTATGTAACATGGTGATAATTATTACATTATATTTAAGTGAAAACAATAATATACTTATCTAAAATTGAAGACATGTTTTACTTAAAAATTACTTATATAGCATGCATAAATGATGAAATGATTTTTTAAATTCATAATGGATCTCTCCAAATAATATCTTACAAAGTAAAGAGTTTAGGAATATAAAAATATTGGAAAGTGCTGATCAAGTTCAAGTCCCTTACTTTGCTGATATAAAAAGATGTTGAATGGGTGCTTTGTTTAGATAAACAAAGATAGCAGCAGAGGCAAGATTAGTACCAATCTGGTATTTTTTTACACTTCCGTGTTTCTGTCCTTATGTTCACTAAGGGAAAACAAAGCGAAACTATGTGACCAATCCTCAGTAGTTCAGCTGGAAACAAATGGCTAAGATGGAATAACTCTCAAATTCCAACCTACCTATCTTGAGTCCTATTCCTCCTGTGTCTGCTTCTGCTGGAAGACAGGTAGCACTACAGCAATTGAATATATCCCCAAACCCATATCTGCACGGCTTGTGTAAGTTACTGTCTGTTTAGAAAGGCCTACAAAGAGTGATTCAGACACTACATAGTTGGAAGTTAGAATTCTTATCTGTCTCTAGAGGCTTCCCAAACCCTCCCAACTACACTGTATAGGGAGTTCTCTGCTCCTGTTATACTGGAATTTGGCTCTGAAATGAACCTCTGGTATGACCTAAACTGGCAACGATACACTGTGATGTTGACCAGTTGGCGATGTAGAGAAAATCCCTGCCTCTTTTTTGACTACTGACTCTGGCCCCTGGCTCCCTCATTGCTGTCCCCATTCTCACACAGGGTCATTGCTCTGGCACAAGACCCCCAGATTTCCACTACCCAGTACTCAACTTTACAACTTTAGAGAGACCACAGATTTGTGAGACTACAACTCTCCAATGTCAGAGTACAACTTTGAAAAGTTTACCAAGGGCTTTATGCTATCTAGCCCAACAACAAAACAAAGCTCAGACAACTCCTATTTCTGGATATGGGGGCCCCAAACAACCTGCAAAAAGAAAGATGAGGGATTGAGGTCAGTTCCGTTATCCTGGGCTTTCTCACCTTATTATTTGTTTTTTCTTTAGTCTTGCAAGATTCCAGTGCCTTGTGTCCAAATGTTTTTCTTACTTTTGCACAACTTCGAGCTTGAGGTAGCTGCAAAATAGCAGGTCTAATAACATGTTTAGAATGTTTCACAGGACCTTAAAAGAATAGAATTAAAGGATAAATATATGTTTACTGAAATATTCCTTTACTCCCTATTTTTAATTAATATAATTCTTATTTTCTAAAGTCATGTTTAAATGAGGGACTAGCGTTAATTAATCCAAGTCAAAATAACCATTGAGTTCCCCAACATTCACACCCTGCCTAGCTTTTGCCCAATAACTATTCATTTTGATCATGAAACCTGGCTTACTTGCATTATTTCTTCATGTTTTGTCACTCTGACCTACCTCCATGCCCCCAACACACGCACACATATAGGGAGATGAAAATATAGGTGGTAAAATATACAATTTCTGAGGTTCTTGAAATAGAAGCTACATACCTTGTTCAGCACTCTTTATATCAACACTACTTTGCACAAGAGCTGATGTCATAAAAACATTGTTTTTCCTCACTGTAAGAAAAAATATTTAAATTTTTTTAAATACAGAAGAGTGTCAGATTCTACACTATTTGGGGCTTAACAATCCCATTCCGAACTCACCAGCAGATGTCGCAATTGGCACTAACAGAGTAGTAGGTAGTGCCCTCTGGAGCACTGGCTCTGCGAAAAATGGGATTGCCAGCCAGGCGCGGTGGCTCGCGCCTGTAATCCTAGCACTTTGGGAGGCCAAGGCGGGTGGATCACCTGAGGTCAGGAGTTCGAGACCAGCCTGGCCAACATGGCGAAACCCCGTCTCTACTAAAAATACAAAAAATAATGAGCCGGGCGTGGTGGCAGGTGCCTGTAATCCCAGCTACTCGGGAGGCTGAGGAAGGAGAATCTCTTGAACCCAGGAGGTGGAGGTTGCAGTGAGCTGAAATCGCACCACTGCACTCCAGCCTGTGTGACAGGAGCGAGACTCCATTTCAAAAAAAAAAAAAAAAAAAAAAAGATATTGCCGGATGCGTCCTGCTACATAGTTCTGTTTACTTTCAGATATCTAAGTGAAAATTAGGTGACTAGCAGAAAAGGCAGTCTTTTTTTTGAATCTTTAAATAGTGCACTGTCAGAAATTCTACAGACTACAAAATCTGAATTGGTAATGAACCCTCCGGCATTAATATATAGCTCTTATAGAATATTATAAAACTGTTAGCAAAGTCTGCCCACACTCCCTGACTTTTTAATGAGTATACCTGAAGAAAGAAGTAAAGATGACAAATCTGCTAAGTTATTTTTCTACAAACATGTTGGTGGGGTAAGACTGTGGTGGTGGCTCCGAGTATAGAATTTCTATACATTTCAAAGGGATCTCCTCTTCATTGCAAATTGCAGAAACAGCAACCTTTGGCATTTAATGAAAATGAGAAAAGAATAATTGCTTCTTCAAAGTATTCTTTAAGGTGTTATAAATGTTGGGGTAGAATCCCTTCTCTACTTCAGAGTTCAATTTAATGTTTTTTATGATCTTTATTATTGAACATCAACAAAAAAAGAGCCATATTTTTCTCCTGCTGAACACCACTAACATTCTGCACAACATAAAACAGAATGATAATCTTTCTTTTTGTGTGAGTGTCCAGTAAAAAATGAATTAAAGCACGTGCATAGATAACTTAAAGTCGTTCCTTTGTTTTATGTATAAATACAATAAAACAGAACACCTTTGCCTCTGGGATTAGGATCTCTATTTCTATGTCTCTCTCACTTTTTTTTTTTTTCTTTGAGATTGAGTCTCTCTCTGTCATCCAAGCTGGAGTGCAGTGGCATGACCTTGGCTCACTGCAACCTCTGCCTCCTGGGTTCAAGCGATTCTCTTGCCTCAGCGCCCCAAGTAGCTGGAACTACAGGCGTGCAACACCATGCCCGGCTAATTTTTGTATTTTTAGCAGAGACCAGGTTTCACCATGTTTGCCACGCTGGTTTCGAACTCCTGGCCTGCAGAGATCTGCCTGCCTTGGCCTCTCAAAGTGCTGATATTACAGGCATGAGCCAACACGCCCAGCCAGGATCTCTGTTTCTCTTAATGTCTGAGCTTGTCAGTCAGGTTAGAAGGACTAGAGACACTAAAAGGTGTCTCTTCTGCATCTGAAAGTTACTTGATATACTGTTGCTCAGTCATGCCTGCAATTATTAATAAGAATACAGATTTATTCATTGAAAAACTCTGTTGTTCAGGCCAGGCATGGTGGCTCACGACTGTAATCCCAGCACTTTGGGAGGCCGAGGTGGGCGGATCACGAGGTCAAGAGATCAAAACCATCCTGGCCGAAATGGTGAAACCCCATCTCTACTAAAAATACAAAAATTAGCTGGGCATGGGTGGTGTGCGCCTGTAGTCCCAGCTACTTGGAAGGCTGAGGCAGGAGAGTCACTTAAACCCGGGAGGCAGAGGTTGCAGTAAGCTGAGATCACGCCATTGCACTCTAGCCTGGGCGACAGAGCCAGACTCCGTCTCAAAAAAAAAAAAAAGAAAGAAAGAAAGAAAAAACTCTGTAGTTCCTGGGTAGAGGGGGATCAATTCAAATGAAGTGAGTAGTTTGTAATTTTTCTTTCTTAGTGGCAAACTTAACTTGGAAAAGGCAATTGATTGTTTAGTAGAAATAAAAACATGAGAATAGAGATCATTTTAATGTGGAGAAAATGCCAACCATTTCAAATATTTTATTATGATAAAACAGTTTTACTAAGCAAAACATTATAAATTTCAAGTAAAGAGGAGTAATGTTTTAATTAGTGGAAATTTTAATGGATTTCTATGCTAAGCTTAAAATATGAATCTAAAGCATAATTGCATGTTTTAAATGCTATTACATTATAAACTATGTAGATGGACAATAGTAAGTAAAATAATGCAAATTGTTTTTACTTTTATAGGGCTGCCTTAAATAAAATAATACTGTTATAAATGTGAAATCCTAAAAAAACATGAAGTTCAAACTTTCTACCAAAGGTAAAAACATATACTCAGAATTTGTGAAGTTAGAATTCATAAGGTATTCTTCGATGCATACTTTGCTAAGGCCTCTGTTTATTTCTAAAGTGTCAGCATTTTATGATCGCTAAAAAAGAAAAGTCATCATTAATAAGAATGATTTTGAAAAGTCAGTGTCAGGCTTGAGGTTCTAGAAACTCTTTATTACCTGGCCCAGAATGGGGGAAGGTTGGGAGGTTAGTGACGGATGAACATCTCATTTGCTTCTGAGACAAGGTTGACACTAAAAGCAGATTGCAAACTAAAGTCAGTAAGAAAGTGGGTTTTTTGTTTTGTTTTCATTTGGAGTTTTGCTGTTTTGGAAAAATTTCTGTATCACTAATTTAGAAAAATCTTTTTATTTCTATTAATAAAAATGAGTACATCTGATGAAGATGATAAATTAATTTCCATTCAATTCCATTCAACAGTAAATATTTATTTTGTGGTCACCATATGTAAGACACTATCAACCATGAAGATGACCTCGAGGAACTCACAGTGGAGGAAAAATATATACATAGATGCTGTATTACAAGGTGGAAGGCATAGAGCTCATTATGAAAGGAATCCCTGGAGTGCTTTCAGCATAGAAGACAAGCAAACTAAGTTACTGGTTTACTCAGAATACAGTGTATGATAAAATTATTTTCAAGGGGTAGGCATCCATTTATTTAAATAGGCGGTTACTTTTTTTTTTTTTTCTTAGGAGTCTCACACTGTCACCCCACCTGGAGTGCGGTGGAGCAATCTCGGCTCACTGCAGCCTCCGCCTCCCAGGTTCAAGAGATTCTCCTGCCCCAACCTCCCAAGTAGCTGGGACTAGAGGCACCTGCCACCATGCCCAGCTAATTTTTTTTGTATTTTTAGTAGAGATGGGGTTTCACTATGTTGGCCAGGCTGGTCTCAAACTCCAGACCTCATGGTCTGTCCACCTTGGCCTCCAAAAGTGCTGGGATTGCAGGTATGAGCCACCGCGCCCAGCCTGTGGTTACTTTAAAAATGGCCTTTTCTCCTGCTTACAAAGCTAATACAAGCTCAATGCAGAAACTTTGGAAACATAGCAAAATACAGAGGCATGGGGTACAGGGAGGAGACCAAATCACTTGCAACTCCTCTACTTAAGATAACCACTGCTATCATTGTGGCTTATGTCCTTTTGGTATTTTTTCCAATGCTGATAAATGGAATGTTTAAATACTGACTAACTGTACCATTGTATAGCTTGTTGTTTTCACGTAACAATATATTATAAACACTATTCAGCTGGCAAGCTTTTAACATTACCCTTTTGAAAAGTTTCTCAGTAATTTTGCATTCAGAATAAACATAACAGTGAATAGTCAACAGTCAAGGCTATACATACCTCCCTGGGACTGAGAATCTGTAATATGAAAAGTAAAAGATGAAGACCGTACACGCTTTGTTGGAAAACCATTACATTCTGCAAGAAAAGCAATGGAAAGGCTAAAATTACTTGTGATAATAAATTATCCTCAACTCATGATAGGGTAGGATAAACAGAATTTTCTTTTGTCTACACAGACCATCATTTGATAGCACATTTTAAATATTGGGGTTAATAGTTTGCTGATTGATTATAAACCTATAGGCATATCATACTAGTATGAAACAATTAGAAATGAGTGGTGTCAGCAATAATTTGTATATGCATTCTGAGGTCTACAGAGAATGCTTTTGATAGGCTAAGGGGCAGGGAGTGGAGCACAATGAATTTTAGTCACTAACATCAGTGTTCTCAGGGACCTATATGTCATCTTTCAAAACAAAAGTGAATCTACTGGCATATTTAAAAAAAGAAAAAACATTAACTTTCACATAGTCTGTGCCACATGCCAAAATACTTGTGTCTGCTAATTTTGTTTGTATAAAGATTGATTTTGGAATACAGGATGAAAATCATTACCTGGTTCTGCTGCTTCATACAGGGTGTCTTCTGCAGGTCTCTGAAAGGAAACAAAACCACTGAGGAGAGCTGAGTATTTGCCTTTGTATTATGTTGGTGCAAAAGTTATTGCAGTTTTGGCAATTAAAAGTAATGGCAAAAATTGCAATTACTTTTGCACCAACCTAGTACATCAGATTTCCACCCTGCCACTTTACAGAATTCTCAGAAGCCAGGGCTAATAAGCCCGGCCAGGACAAAGCAGTTCACCTTCCTTTGTTCAGCACATAGTCAAGAAAAAACAACGTCTAGTCCAGTGGTTTTATAGTTCAATGGCTGCAGATTCGCTTGTGGAAGTTAGTTTAAAATGTGGATTTTGAGGCACCTATTCTCAAGATTCTGAAGTGGTTGTTCTGGGATGGGGTCCAGGAATCTGCTTTTTTAACAAGGGCTTGGAGGTTGAGTGTTTCTTTTGTTTAGTGTTTTTGTGGGTAGTAGGTTAAATTACCTGCATGGGTAAGAATGAATACCAAGAAATAAGGTAAAATGAGAATCTAGTGGAGTTTTTTGTTTGTTTAGAGATGAGGTCTTTTTCTGTCACCCAGGCTGCAGTACCAGCAGTGCAATCATAGCTCACTGCAACCTCTAACACCTAGGCTCAAGCAATCCTCTTGTCTCAGGCTCCCAAGTAGCTGGGACTGACTACAGGCACATGCCACCATGCCTGACTAATTTCTTTTTATTTTTTTGTAGAGATGGGGTCTTGCTTTATTGATCAGGCTGGCCTCGAACCCCAGGCTTCAAACAGTCCTCCCACCGTGGCCTCGAAACATGCGGGGATTACAGGCACAAGCCATCATGCCCAGCAACTAATCTTACTGTTAGTCTTTCAAAACGAATGATTTTATTATGATGCCAAAAAAAGCAGACAGAGTTCAGAAGATCCCTTTTAAATCAAATATTGTAATTTAGAATGTGTTTTTTTACCGAGTTTTAGGCTAGGTCAGTGGTGAGGACTCATATGAGGAGCTATAGTCCTCCTAATCTCTTTCAGCTCCTCCCCTTTTCAAGTTACTCCAAATAAAGATATTACCATAGCGAAACAGTATGTTATCCATAGCTGCAAGACAAGGCCTCTGGCTTCCCATTCCAGCCAAACTGAAGTTTGTAAATCCTGACTATATAAATAATCTGGAGGCACTACTCTGCTAGTAAAGAACAGGATAAACCTATGCAGCCGTGATATCTTTCAGGATAACTAGCTTCCTGAAATATAATTGTCTTTGTCAAAGTAAAATTGAACAAAGAAGTAGTCAATCTTACCTTAAAAGTTTGTTCTCCCTTTTCAAAAACAAATATGGGTTGAGCAATGACAGATTTTTCTGTGAAAAAAAAGAAAACAGGCAAGAAATCAAAGCATACTCTGACATTTCTTACATCATCTAAAAATATTTGAAGACTTTTTTTTTTGTTTTTTGTTTTCTCTGCATTTGGGTAAAAGCCAAGCTATTTTACATGAATACTATCAATTGCACATTTATAAATAATTTAACAGTTAATTACAGAAATAAATACTTGGGGGAAATGATAGCAGTATGTTTCCATAAATAGATAATCCCATTAAAAGAACATGCTTTAAGTGTTTAAGGAAAACAAAATATAATTATGTACCTTTAGAATCTCATCAGAGCATAGCGATTAACACCATTGCTTTAAGAATAAAAAGTTTCAATGAGTGAAAAATCTAATCTAGGAGTAGTACTTCCACTTAGGTTAGATGTGGAGGTAGAAATGATATGTATGCATTGCATTACAACCTTAAAATATCCAGAAATAATTCATATTTTCTTCACTAGTCATACACCACACTTTATTTTTAATATTTAGATAAAAAATTAGTCTTACACAGTGTTATAAAGTAGGTAAAATTTGTCTTCAACCTTGCCAGCCTTATTAATATTTTGTATTTTCTTATCTTAGATATGGCAATAGAGAGAAACTCATTCATTCTAGGGTATACATAAGTGATAACAGCTTTAAATATCAACGCTCCAGAATTCTTAAGAAATACTATGTGGTAGTTAAGAGCTTGGGCTCTGAAGTTAGTTTAGATAGGCATGTGTTCAAATATAAGTTACATCACTAATTGACTAACTACTTTGGGAAACAATGTATCTTTACCTTAGTTTCCTCATCTGAAAAAAAAAAATCAAGATTAAAGCAGTACTTACCTCATAGAGTTTATGTGAAGATTAAATGAGACTTTTAGATATAATTTTTTAAATTTTAACAAAAACAAAAAAGCCTTAAAGAAAGGTTACCTGGCATTCCACCAATCCCCATTCTAAAACTCATAGCTATCATTGCTAAATGATGACAACACATTCTGGATGAGACCAAGTAAGACCTCAGAACTTTTCTCAGTATAGCAACCATTACCAACATATTGTCTTGGCATACACTGAGGTAATTTGCCATCCCTGAGCTGAATAAATAAAGCTGTAGCTGACAAATTTCAAGAAACTACCAGACATATACAACTTTTAAATGCCAGAAAGGGATTCCCCATTTCTCCACAATCTTATCTCATAAGAGTTTCATAATGTCTGCAAACACCCTTTGTGAATTTCCTAGAGCCATGTGAATTTGGATACCTCTTTTCAGTCCAGTGAAATAAACTGTTTTGTGTTTAGTGGGGTTTTTTTGTTTGTTTTTGTTTTTTTGTGAGACAGAGTCTTGCTCTTGTTGCCGAGGCTCGAGTGTAATGGCCAATGGCTCAATCTTGGCTCACTACAACCTCCACCTCCCGGATTGAAGCGATTCTCCTGCCTCAGCCTCCCGAATAGCTGAGATTACAGGCATGTGTCATTACACCCAGCTAATTTGTATTTTTAGTAGAGATGGAGTTTCACCATGTTGGCCACGCTGGTCTCGACCTCCTGACCTCGGTGATCCACCCACCTTGGCCTCCCAAAGTGCTGGGATTACAGGTGTGAGCCACCACACCTGGCCTTGTGTAGTTTTTTTATGCAAGCACTTACCATGCTGTCTTCCCTTGGAGCCAAGTGATCCCCAGCAGAAAATCTTCACTAATATATTGGCATTACCATTCATATGAAACTATAGCTCAATTCTTTGTTGTTTCTCAAGACAAGCTCCTTTTCCGGAAATTATGTTAGATTTAAGCAGTGAGATTTGCAGAGACTTTGAAAAAGAAATAGTTTTCGTGAATGTGCAGTGGAATATTTATCAGTTAGAATAATAAATGTGACTCTTCTAAACTGGGCTTAGGACAGTCATCCCTAAACAGCATGGCTTGATCTAAGCCTACACAAATAATATGTTGACCTTCCCTCTATCCAAGCATATAACTAAAAATGTGCAAAAGTGATCTTCAATGGCAACATTAAAGAGGAAGTCACAAAGAGTACTTGCAGCTTGGAGGGCATATAGCAAAGTAAAAAGGCCACCTTTATCCATTAATTCAACACATATTTATTGAGCATCTTTTTTATGCAAGCATTGTGCTGGGAACTAGGGACACATGGTCTAATTGAAGGTGCATTAGTGGCAGCGGAGCCACCTTCCCTCCTTGACACTGCCCAGAACTTGGTTAGCAAAGAGATAACCTTCATACTTCTTCCACCTAGATGCTCTCCCCTTCTCCCAAACAATTCTCTTAGCTCCAAAGACTGAGTCAAAAGTAAGCATTTGTCAAGCCATTGGGTCTACAGCAGATTTTTTTACCTGACCCAGTAGGAGAATCTGAAAATAAAAACAGAGTCCTTAAAATTATATTTTTAAAATGTAGCCTTTTTTCCTTTCTACTGTAGTCATTAATCCATTTATTCAACAAATATGTATTGAGAAATGACAATGTACAAGACATTTTGCATGGTATTGTGGATGTTAAAATTAAGTTTAGCCTAAAGCTACCTTCTTATAAATTCTGCCTAAAGATTTCCCTGTTCATAGTGAACTGGATGTGTAAACAGACTGGAAACTACTCCTCTACCAATCGCTGAGTTTTGGCCAATCACAGGAGGCCAACTCTTCAAATAGAGGAAAAGCCAGCTGTAACCAATCCAGCTGTTTCTGTATGTCACTTCCATTTTCTGCAGGTCACTTTCCTTTTTCTGTTTCCTTTTTCTGACCACACGCCAGCACCAGAGTCTCTCTCAACCCATTATGGTTTGGGGGCTGCCTGATTCGTAAATTGTTCTTTGCTCGATTAAACTCTAAGAAATTTAATTTTTCTAAACTTTTTCCTTTAACATGGATAAAGCAGAAAAGAAAACAGATGTAGTCCCTGCCTTTTATAGAGCTTACACTGAGGAGGAGAAACAGAACTAAGTAATTAATTACGCAATTATTGAAGTTCAACTGGGGTAAGCATTATCAAAGGGAAGTACCAGGCTCTCAACAGGTAACCAACAAGAGAATCTTAGTTTTTGGGGTCAGGGTAAGGTTTCCAGGAGAGGTGATATTTAGACAGACTTGTAGGATGAGTAGAGGTTAGCCAGGCAAACGTAGAAGAAGGACATTCCAAGCAGAGGGAAAAGCAAGAGGAAAGTCTCTGAGGAAGGCTGGAGCTTGGCACATTTAATAATGAAAGGAACCAGTGTAGCTGATACCCTAAGAAAACAGTGGACAAGGGTTACAAAACAGGGCTGGAGATGAGGCTGGAGCTTTGCAAGGCCTTGCAGGTTCTATCAGGGAGTTCTGTTTTTATTCCAAGAAAAATGGGATGTCGAAGAGGGATTTTAAGCAGGGGAGTGATTTGCTTTGATATGCATTTTTTCTTTTAAAGATCACCCCTCCCGCGGTGATGAAAGGGTATTGGGGGGAAGGGGCTAAGGGAGAGGAAATAAGAATCTAATTAAGAGGCTAGTCTAAGTTCTAGAAAAGAGCTGATGAGGCTGCTCTTTTTTCTTTGTTTAAAATCATGCATCCATGACTTTTTTTTTAGAGAAATTGAATAATTAAAAGATTAAAATACAGTCTTCTGTGGCAGTGAAAGAAAATGAGGGGATTAGAAAGAAATACTTTAAAACTTAAAGGTTAATTTTGCTATTTTGCTTGTTTTGAGATTCATGTAGCATTTCATGAATCTCAATATTCAATGTTGTTTTTTTCTGAAATACTTCATTAAGAGAAGACATTCATTCACCTCACAAATATTATATTGAGTACTTGTTACAAGAAAGAACACGAAGTACTATCTATTTAATTCAATCTCAGTTCACTTGTAATTCTGCTCCACAAGGGAGGTACACTGTGGGTCAAGTGCTTTTATCCATCATCTGGTCTAAATTAATTATTTTAATCATTCTGTGGATTAAATATGGTTTCTGCCACTTACAGATGAGGAAACTAAGGCTTGGTTTAGTGCCTCACTAAATGCATACCATTAGTAAGTGGCAACGCCTTTAATTAAATCTAGGCCTCCTGCCTCCAAAACCATTGATTTAACTTCAATGCATCATACTCATGTATTATCCTATATGGCTCTACTGGCACATATTAGTCCCAAATGTATGATATGTGACATAATCCAGCACTATGCTAAGGAAAAATCAGTATAAAATAACAGGACTTTCAGCTTTGTCAAAGTTGATTGACCATACACGTGAACTTCGACTCCCTCCTTAAATCAGAAATCACAAAATAATAAGGTTTTCTTGGTGTAGGGGAGGAAGAGGAAGCCACCACAAATACAAGGAAAAATGAAGAGAAATAATAGCAACAAAATTTTGGAAGCTGGGAGGCAGAAGGACAAGTGGTAACTGACTTTGCAGCCTAATAGAGCTTAAACATAAAAATAAAGAAATACCGTGGTGTGTGGAGATACGGAGATTAATGCCGAAAGAAACAGTGGTGAGAGTTGGATATAGTTGTCTCTGGGGATCAAGAAAAGGGAGAGCAAAGGAGGGGACAAGGATGAGTCTCCTGTTTTTCCAGAAAAGCCTCATAAAACCATTTGATTCTTTAAATCACATGAATATGTATAACTTTGAAAATATAAAAACTAAATTAAAAAATAATCCCCTTTCTACCATAGTCAGACTCCCAGAATTAGAGGACAAACCCCATGCTGCTTGCCAAAAATAGACTTCTTATTGAATTATCCTGCCCAGCAAGCATACAGTACCTTGCTTCCTGGGCTTAACTGTTCTTCACATTAAAATAAGTGGAAATAAAGGTATAAGTAAGATGGAGTCACTGAGTTCAGAAAGCAATCAAAACTTCCCCAGAATAACTGAAGATCTGCTTTTTATGATGCCATCTAAACCTTTGAAAGACATTTGCTTTAGTTCTTGGCCTTCACCTTTACTCAAAACACTCATCTGAGTCTGTAGACAGGAATTCACTAGGAAGAAAACCCAGTACAGTGGTCCCTGTTATCTGTGACTTCAGCTACACATGGTCAACTGCAGTTCAGATATTTTGAGAGAACATTCACATAAAATTACAGTATATTGTTAAAATTGTCCTAGACTATTATTCTTAATCTCTTGATGTGCTTAATTTGAAAATTAAATTTTATCATAGGTATGTATAGGGGAAAAAAAATTCAGCTGAATGCTATGCATATATTTAATTGCTTTGTCCTCCAGGATTTTAAAGTATTATACTATCACAATCAATGTTTACAATAAACTTTTTTTTTCTATTTTATGTACTATATACCCCCCCTAATTTTGGGTGGGTTATAAGGTGTCCCTACCTTTTATTTCCATATCTTTAATTGACACCTGGTCTCTGACAAATAAACCTATTTCAACTGGGAAAGTAACTGGAGGATTTTTTTGCTGGATCCTCTCAGAGATGGGGATTTGAAAGGATCTACTGAGTCAAAAGAAGATGTCAAAGATAGAGTAAGATGCTGAGAATGGAGTACCTTTGGCTCCATTGTACTCCAGGGGGCATGAGGGACAGGCAGCTTCTAGAAGTCCCCAAGTTTCTGCTACACAGCTTCCCCCACCTAGATTACAGTACACCTCTTCTTTCCACTTGGTAGTGTAGTAGAGGTGGAAACCAAATTCTCCATGCTGGATAGAACCAGGCTACTCTAGCCAGGGCTAAAAAAGGTTGTGTAAACAGTCTTGGCAGGAAAGAGGGTGGCAACAAACCCCTGCAGAGGGGCAGGCACTGCCAAATGGGTCAGCTCTAATTGCTACCAGGACTGGAATTATCCACTTGAACTGTAGCCCTGGCAGTCCCTGCATTTTCTTCTCCCTTTCTTCCTGGCCCTTTCCACATGTCTCTTCCACATCCTCTTCTCTAATTTCTGCTCCTTGTGCACTGTCTCACCCCAATCTCCAGGACTTTCCTTTATGTCCCTGTCTTCTCACCCTTCTTCACCGTGTCTGGTTCTTTGGCTTGTCAAAGCATGGATTTTAGAGCTTGGAAGTTAGATGGTCCTAGAGCTGTATTTTAAATAAAGGACTCGAGCCTCAGCTTTTTCATCTCTCTCTCTCTCTCTCTCTCTCTATATATATATATATATATGTGTGTGTGTGTGTGTGTGTGTGTGTGTGTGTGTGTGTGTGAACTATTATGAGGATTTAAGCAGTATATGCATGCCAGAACACCTACAGCTTCTTCTTCTAACCTTTTGAAACAAAGCAGAATATCTATCTGTATCTGTCTATTCATCTGTCCTCTGTATATGCACACTTCTCTCCATATATCCAGATGTAGACATCTATCCACACATACATAAACATAAACATGTAGCAATATGTCAGGCTACAGTCTGCATAGGAGACACTGAATAAAAGTTAGATTCACTTCCCTCCTGCTCTGCTGTCCTGTGTGATATGCACTCACTATATTAGTCTGTTCTCACGCTGTTGATAAAGACACACCCAAGACTGGAAAATTTGTAAAGAAAAAGAGGTTTAATGGACTCACAGTTCCACGTGGCTGAGGAGGCCTCACAATCATGGTGGAAGGTGAGAAGCTCATCTTACATGCAGGCAGACAAGAGAGAATTGAGAGCCAAGCAAAGGGGGTTTCCCTTTATAAAACCACCAGATCTCGTGAGACTTATTCACTACCACGAGAACAGCTCATGAAGGAAACCGTCCCCATGATTCAATAATTTCCCACTGGGTCCCTCCCACAACACATGGGATTTATGGGAGCTACAATTCAAGAGGAGATTTGGGTGGGGACACAGCCAAACAATATCACTTACCTACTCTATGTTAGCTCTGGGGGAAGTGCCTCATTCTTCCCCAAAAGTCTTTCTTTTTCTTTTCACTCATTACCTTATGCTTACCCCTAGCTTGCTTCTCATTTCTCTCCCATCTTTTTTATTCTTTTTATTTTTTGATATCAGGAAGTTTCCAAATTCAGATGTGGCCCATAAATAGTCTTAGAGATCCTTGCTCCTCAAAGTGTGATCCAGATGGACCAGCAGCATTGACAGGGAGCTCATGAGAAATGCAGAATCTCAGTCTCCACCCCCGACCTACTAAGTCAGAAGCTACATTTTATAAGGTTCCCGGGTGATTTGTAGACATGCTAATACTTGATAAGCAGTCCTCTAGAGCACATTCAGATTTCTGTCAACTGAGATCAAATTTAGGAAAATGGCAGTAAAGATTCCTGGACTACTCTAGTAGTCACTAGTTAGAGTAGTGACTACTAACTAGTAGAGACTAAACCTGTGGGATGTTCTGAGTAAGCTCACAATTAATGTGAAAATAATTACTATTCAAACCGTATACTATAATTACTACAATTCAGTGTAAGGTGAAGTCAAGGGCTACCCTAAGTACTTGCAAAGAAATCTCTGTGGTAAGGATATTGAAATGTCAATATTGATATTGATATTAAAATTAGTCATTCGGATATTCTGCTTGAAGCAATTAATGATTTCTTCTCACATGCAAAAGTTCGCTTTCTGTTTTAATGATATACCTAAAATCTAACTTATTTACATGAACAAATTTTTTTGGAAAAGGTCACCGGTTGAGATTATTGAATGGTGATTAAAATGTTCATTGCTGCAAAGCAAAAATTTAAGCTGGAAGCATAAACTACATCAAAAACATTGGCCATAGCTCTAAAATTCCTCAACAAAAATTTGAAACATCTGAAGTTTCAAATGTAAAAACTGACATTATCTGCAGAAAAAAAATAGACAAATCATAGCAGGGGATCTCAATCTCTGCATGGAGCCCAAGGAAGAGGAGATACAGAAAGTCAGAATCACGATCTTGATTTTTTAAAAAAGAACAAACAAAAAACCCAACCTATGTTGAAGTATTTTAAGATAGTTAGAGAAGGGGCAAATTGTATCCCCAGAGGAAGAAGGAATGTGTGCCAATTCACAAAGGAACCACAAGCATGAGACATTCTGTACTTGTTTCTACTTATTTCTAGCCATATGTGGGGGAACTCTAAAAAACTTTTTTTAATGAAATAAACAACAAACTATCTACTAAAAGATTAAAAAGTATGTTTTACAGAAGGAGGTGGTAGGGCCACAGCATGACATTACTAACTGTGATGGGACACTCTGGTTCTATTTCCTGAGATACTTTGTACCAATTTGAAGGTAAGATAACGAGGCCTCTGGGGAAAAGAGAGGCAATTTATACAGAAAGTTTCCAGGCTGACTCACAAAGCACTAGCTCAACTGGAGAAGCAAGATGAATGGATCCTGCTGAAACGATTGCAGCCCTGATCATACATGTTGAAGATGTAACCAATTTTGTGTTCAGATCTTTATACCAGATGTATATGAAGTAAAAGGGTAGGAACACTTATCCCTTTTGATCTAACTGCAGTTTTAACTATACTTGTTCTTAACTGCTTTAAAGTTTTTATCAGAATGAAGTTATAAACTGCCAACTCTGGGAAATCTAGCATTTCTTAGTTTATATTCATTTATGACTAACACCCACTAGAGAAAAAAGAATCAACATGTGAAAAAAATAAGGAAAGTTATTCCTCTTTTCTCATCAATACCAAGCTGATAAAGAAAGCAGTTATTTTCAGAATGGAAATCATTTCACAAGAAGAAATTGGAGAAGATGAGAAAACTCTCTGTCAATATGACTGATTACAACCATTATTATCCAGAGCTTTGTCTAATCCTTCTCATTTTCTGAACACATCTGATTCTCATGCTGATAATCTTCAAGGGAACCATTCATTTTAAGTTCTAAAGACTCAACTCTCTCCTCCACTGATTTGTACATTGTTCTAGATCTAGACACTGAACAATTTTGAAAAACCAAGACATAGAGATAAGAAAATATCTAATGTGAACAAGAGGCAAGAAGACTCATAGGTTGTATCAAACACAGACCTGCTACCCTTCTGAAAGCAGGACCAAACCCTTGAAAACTCTTGGGTTGAAGGCACTTCTCACCCCAAACGTAACTCCAAACTGTGCTGCTTCATTTATAATCCAGCCACATGTGATAGTGGGCCATAGCCAGTGACTTAATTTCATTTGCATTTAAGAAACTGGGGATCTTCAGCAGCAATAATTCAATTGAAGAAAAATTCTTCTCATTTTTTAAAGTTATTTACTTCACTAACATCTTTATGGAGTTCACAGAGTCCTAAAAACAGAATTTTTGTTAAATCGTTTCACATAGAACATCAGGCAGATCACCCTATCAATCAAATACAGTGGTGACTGAAGAAACTGAATTTATATATGTATTTTGAAAATGTTTTGTAATTGATCCCCAAAGATATGATCATCACGTGCAGTGCTAGCTTTTTATTTGGGGGTGATCAGGGACTAGAATGGTTTTATAAGGACTTTCTTTGTTTTTTAATAGATCTTTTTCAATGACTATCACAGCATGCTCCATTATATTTTACTATTGTTTTAGTGTCAGGACATTACTCTTTGAATTATTATTTTTTCTTTCTTCTTAAAGATAATAGCTACCATATGAAATGCATATACCCATCATGACTAGTCTTTACTCTTTTGCCTTTTGAAATGTTTAACTTAATATGACTTTAAGAAGTACCATGAAAAGTTAGATCTGGCTGATCACCAAGGATGCTTCTTTATGCCCTGGCATAATATAAAAATTTACATTTGTGCCATACTTTATAAGACATATTTACATATATTAATATTTGGTAAATAAAAGAATGACTGCTAGGAACTAGAGGTATGGTTTTAAAAACCTGAGCTTTGGAGAAAAACAGACTGGATTAAAATTTTATCTCCTCAAGTTACTGTGTGAGCTGGGGCATGTCATTTGAACCCTAGAGTCCAGGTTTTCTCACCTGTGAAATGGGGATCATTAGACCTACCTTATAGAGTTGTAACGATTCAGCAAGGTCATGTATGTAAAACACTCAGCACAGTGCCTGCCTCATAAGAAATGCTCAGTAAGCTGCAGCTCTTATTACATGATATGATCCTCAAGAAGTTAGTTATTGAACCCTTTTGCTCATGAGAGAACTAAGGCTCTAAAATTACGGGACCTGTCTCAGGTCACACAGATAATTCTTAGATATCTGAGACTATAATGCATGAGAGCTGACTCCAAATCTTTTTTCTCTAAGTTAGCTTTCTTCCTGGCTTCCATTGTGAGTTAAACGACTATTTTACAGCTTCTTCTTTTCTGAAAGGTGACATGCCTGGGCTATGATGGCTCTTTCCTGCCTTTCATGGTTCTGTATAAACCTGGTTGGGACATGATCCTATATTGTGTGAGTCTTCCTGCACTTCAGTTTTGCCGTCTATAAAACACTGCAAGATGCTTCTGTTATTCTTGCCATTATTTGTACACATTCTGACTCTAAAGAGATTTGATCAAGAATGTCTGCAGGCAAGTGGCATAGTGATCCTAGCAATGTAAAATCTCCATGTAAATATTTCTTTTCAGACACTGGCAGCAATAACTAAGAAGAATGTGTTACTTTTGACAGGGCACACCCATTTCTGCATAATTTGAAGGCGTTACTTTGTCTATAAATAAGACTATTGTGTTCTTTTGTGACAAAATTTACTTGCAATGTTTACTTGAATATGCTTATTAGGAGCAAATGTGGGACTTCTGGATTGATAATGACAGAAAGAACTGTTTGCTCTTTCTCTACACTACTCCCTTATTTAGGCCCAAGGGCTCAGAAAGTTGCAGAATGTGTCCTAGGATGTGCTTGGTCAACCTGATACCATTTGGAAATACATATTTAATTTGACAGCATTTGTAAATCACATATTTTTCACTCAGAATAACTCGCAGTGTGAAAATGCTCCCATATGTTAAAAATGGGTCTCTGCTTCGCTGAGGGAGTGGGGAACAAAGTCTAGGTTTCATGGGATGTTGGAAATATGCATTGAGCAGGCACATACGCAAGTCTAAAATGGTGTCTTCTCAAAGTTAATTTTAAATAATAATTAGTAGATTTTTCATTACTGCTAACATTGAAGAGGTACTTTTGACACAAAATATCATATCAGTAAGAACTAAATCACTCTTCAAAAAGACTACTAATAAGTTAATACAGCTGAAATATAGCTTCATATATTGAGTCCAGATAAATTTAAATCCTTCCCCTTTGGTGAAGAAACATACTATTTTTAAATTTCTTCATGGATTCCAAGGACACAGGCCGGATGGAGAAGCTTGATTCCAACTTCTTCCAATTCTAAAACTCATTTCTTTAAACTAATTCCTCTTTGTCTTGAGCCTTTGAGCACATAGAAGAAAAAGCTCCTTGTTTCTCCATTTCCACAGGAATAAGTGGATGTTATTCCACGGAGAACAAGTCTTTGGCAGTCTATTCAGGAAGAAGGAGCTGAGCTGCCATCCAAAGCCCGACTAGCCCAGGAGGGGCCTGGTCCCCATTCTCCTCTAGGGAACCCCCAGGAGACCCATCATTCCTCTTCTCCTTGTGTTTGAGGGCTGAACTGCCCTCCTGGCCCTCAGGCATAGAAATGTAGCAGGAATAACATGATGCCTGTGGCAGATGGTTCTGCAGTGATATATATTATTGCACCATATCAGAACTAGTTTGGAGGAAGTAAAGGCCAGGTAGTAATTTGTACACTTACCAGAAACGTTTTGTTCACCAAGCTAATAAAAATTAGCAGAGAAAAGTTTTTACTTTTAAAATTTATATGACTTGAAAAATTCCCAGGAAAACTGAAAACAGTCCTGTAAATTTATCTATTTCTGAGGATGCCTGGCTAGCTCAGTTGGCTCACTACAACCTCTGCCTCCTGAGTTCAAGTAATTCTCGTGCCTCAGCCTCCTGAGTAGCTGGGATTACAGGCATGTGCCACCATGCCCAGCTAATTTTTGTATTTTTAGTAGAGATGGGGTTTCAACATGTTGTCCAGGCTGGTCTCAAACTCTTGACCTCAGGTGATCCACCCACCTCAGCCTCCCAAAGTGCCGGGATTACAGGCATGAGCCACCACACCCAGCACGTTAATTTAACCTTACTCAGTTTTCAAAATGAAAAATGTTACAAAAAAAAAAAAACACCAAAATTTTAATCCATATTTGAGAATGAAGCTTCTTATAACAAAAGTTTGTCTTGTTAAATAAACAGAACCTCATAATCTGTAGTACTGGTATGGGTCTTGCCTATGCTCTGTATATAAAAATACACACACACACACACACACACACACACACACACATCTTTATCTGCCACTTTATGTCTCTGCAGACAAGTAAAGTTGAATACAGCCAATCGTAGACCAAAATAATCCATTTTCAGCATTCACAGACTTTCCTCTTTACTCTTACTCTTTCAATAGCAATATCCTTCCTTTTATTAGAACAATTCCTTAAACAGGTCATTATAAAAATCTGAAATATGGTTTTTACATCTACATGGAGCCCCACTCCAGAGAGATGACCATGTTATTGAGCTGTAGTTGCTGCAGGTTTGAAAGTTTCTCTGAATCTGATGAGGGAAATAAATTTGAATCTCATTAGCATTGAGTTATTTCAGCTTCAGCCCATCCTGCCACGATACAGGTCATACTTAAAAATCTCTTCTTTATCTCTCCTGTTTGAGTATATAGGTTGGGTTCCCTCTCCTCACTTCCTTTTTTTTTTTTGAGATGGAGTTTCACTCTTGTTGCCCAGGCTGGAGTGCAATGGCACGATCTTGGCTCACCACAACCTCCACCTCCCGGATTCAAGTGATTCTCCTGCCTCAGCCTCCTAAGTAGCTCACTTCCCATTTTAAACCCTGTTCTCCTTCTGAATCAACTCACAGACATACATTTTATGTTCTTTTGAGGTGGCTTTAGTTAGTATCAAAAGATACCTTCACACCAGCATCCCTTGTTAAAAGTCTAGATCTTATTCCTATGACCTTTTGTTTGTTTATTGCCATCCACAGGGTGTGAGGTATGTGATCATTGGGTAGAAGGAATGCAGCTTTTTAATTAATACAGGTATTTACTGCATTTTAAATCCTGACTTTTGAATATTTTGCTAGATTTGCCAACAGACTTCATTAAAAAGCAACTCAGGTGTGAAACTTACCTTCCCTAAATGTTAATTAAAATTTTAAGTCAAGTTAATGATTTAGTGTAATAGTTGAGCCACCACGTGAAATAAAGTCCTAGTTTAAATACAAAGTGAATTATAATAGTGACTATTATTTAGCCCTTTTTAATTTGAGGTTTTGCATACTGCCTCTTTATTTTGTCAAAAACCCAAACTGCTCTCCAAGGCTGTATCAGTCCTGTTCCAAAAATGGTACATTGCTATCTTTCTCATTTCATGCAGTGTGGGACATAGGGGCTAGGCAGTTATTTAAAGTTAAGCAAAAACTGCTAGCCTAATCAGTAAGCCACTTGCTCTGAGCTGCTAGGTGTGCACTGATACATCTGTATTTTTGCAACTGTTTCTTTTCCAGTCAAATATACCCTTTTGGGAGACAGTTGGATGTAGTTGGTAATTCATATAGAAATTAACCAGTGATTTAATAGCAACCTATTCTAAACAACTGAACCACAAATTGAGTTTAAGGGCCAGCCATCATCCAAGTCCTTCTCAGGTACTTAGCTGAACATCTATTTTGTACCAGCTTAAGAGGCAGTGAGCATGAGTGAAAGCAGTCTCCGGAGTCCGGATCTTGGATTACAAGCTTGGCTGAAGACCCCAGCTCTGAGACCTCCTGGGGCTTTCACAAAGAAATGAGCTAATACATCAAAAGTACTGAAAAACAGTGTCTGGTATATAACAAACACTTCATAAATGTGATTTGTTTGTAAGTGACATGTTAGCACTGTGGTATGGTCTAGGGTATGAATCCATTTTTCTGTCTCAAATAACTTGTACAACACAACTGAGGCAGCATTACCACGAAAGAATAATTCTTGGCAAATCTCAGAATCTCAGTTTTGAAAGTGATTTTATAGGTCTCCTAGTGGAACTTATCATCTAAGGTGTCAAGAGCATCCTCAGTAGATGGCCTTCCATAACAAAGAATATCAATAAGGGTTCAAATGTTTGCTCTTGCCAGATCTTACTTCATGTGTGGAGCACACTAGTGTACAGGCTACATGTGTGCCAGGATCTTGGCCCTTCATCCCACAGGATCAGCCTCCTGAATTTACCTCAAAGTGCTGTATCATTTCTAACATATGCCTTATTGTTAAAAAATGTAGAGAAGTGCTGCTTTTGGTTATCACAGTTGTAATTGACTTTAGAAGACACCAGCAAAGACAGCATAATTAGTATGTGAATGTTAGATTAAATTATACCATCTAAAGTTGTATCTATTGACCTAGTGGGGAATTTGTACCTCAGGTATGGTTACCAGCACCAGGAAACCCACATTCAGAGGCTTCTTATTACAAGGTTGTCATCTTTCCTTCTCAATCAATATCCGAGCCTTTGAGATTTAGCATCATCAACATCAGAAATGAATTTTCATTGGTGAAATTAATGGCATTCAAGACCTTGGATTGCCTGAAATATTTTAAGGACACTTGCTAGTCTTACACAACCTGGACAGAAGAATCTGGCAAGACCTGTACCCTGTACTTTTAAGTACAGTGCCCAAAGCTTTATACTGAAAGGTCCCAGTGTCCATTAATGAGCAGGATAATTCGTGGTTACTGGCTGACTACACAGAATACTGCCTGGGGAATGTCGTTTTGTCTGAGCAAACCTTAAGGAACAAAGAGTTTGGGACATTGTATGCAGTGTTTTATGCTTGTTTGCTAATTAATGTTTGTTTAGTAAATATCTGTCCATTTGGAAGAATTTACCCTAAGATTTGCTTTATTTTAACATGGTATTGAGGTTGAGAGGAGTAGCTTACTTTTACTGCATCCCTAACTTTTTGTTGGTTATTTCTAGCTCCCCAAAAGAACCTGAAAGGTGTAAATGATCAAATTAACTCAAATTGGCATGTAATATTTCCCATCTCTCTCACAGTCAAAGCCAAAGGACTTACCAGGGCAGACATGACCATGTAACTGCTCTTTCCTCTCCCCTCTCCCTTATCTCTCAATCACTTCCTAACACTCACTTAAGCTAACTTGATCATACTGGCATCCTTTTGTCCCTCCAACACAGTCATTCTTAAAGTGTGATCTCTGCAACTGCAGCAATGATGGCATTTCTCTGAGAACTTGTTAGAAATGAAAATTCTTGACTCCTTCCCTCCATTCCCCTCAGAATTTCTGAATCAGAAAGTCAGAATGGGACCCAGCAATTGTGTTTTAATAAGCTATCCAGGTGATTCTGCAGGTGATGCTAAAGTTTGAGAATCACTAACCTAGATAACTGTGATAAAAATATTGCTCTAACTGAAATGAATCAATAACCACGTCAGAACAAATGTAGACCAAGTGTGATTTCTAAAACTCAGTCTTTGTACTTACTCTTTATTCTACCTGGACTGCTCTTCCCCTAGATGTGGCATGACCCACTCCCTCACCTCTTACAGGTCTTTACTCAAATTCACCTTCTTAATGAGGTCTTCCCTGAGCACCCTGCTTAAATCAGATCTCCATTATGACACTCTATGCTGCCTGCTTAATTTTTTTTCCATAATTCCTATCTTCATTATTATCATTTACACCATTGAGCCCCAACCTTTTGGCCCATGGGACTGGAAGACAATTTTTCCACAGATGGTGGGAAGGTGGGTGGGGATGTTCTGGGGATGAAACTGCCCCGCCTCAGATCATCAGACATTAGATTCTCATAAAGAGCACGCAACCTAGATCCTTCACATGCACAGTTCACAATAGGGTTCACGCTCCAGTGAGACTCTAATGTGCATTGATCTGACAGGAGGCGGAGCTCAGGTGGTAATGCTCACTCACGCCCTGCTCACCTCCTGCTGTGTGACCCAGTTCCTAACAGGCCATGGACCCCTGTTTGCACTATATATTTTGCTCATTTATCTTCTTTATTGTTTGCCTTTCTGCCTCTGAGAAAATAAGCTCCTTGTGGGCAGGATTTTTTGTTTGCTTTGTTCACTAGAGTCGAGAACAGTGCCTGATAAATGGCAGCCACTAAGTATGTGTTAAATAAAATAAATGAAGTGCTATGTAAATGCAAACAAGATGAAGTAGAGATGGGGTGAAAAAATATTCATGAAGTAGTCCATTTTAGGTGTTTATTAAACGATAACTCATGAGTCAGTTGTGGCTTTAAAACAATACAACACTGAATTCTAAAGAAAATTAAGATAAATCGTTGATTCTAAAGGATGTTCAATAATGAAAAGACAGATGCTTGACAAAAAGAGTTAGTGTCTCGCCCTAGGTGTTAGATAGTTCTTTTTATTATACCTCAATTTATCCTGTGCTAATCTCATTGATTAGCTAATTTTTGGTGACTATGTTATTAATAGAGAAGTTCTAAGCTTTAGGAATAAAAGCAACAATAAAATACCACTATTATTAAAGCTGACTAAAGTTATACTAACATTTTCTCTTGAAGGTGTGATATTTCCTGAGCTGTGGGTACTCTGCCAGTAGGATACGTTATGTTCTTGGGCAAGTTATTCTAATTCATTGAGATATTTCAGTCTCTTCACTATTCTGTGGAATTACTAGTAGAGGCCTAGAGGAAAATTTGGAGTCTGAGGCCTCCTAGGCAGTCTCACATTTTAGAAAATGAGGCCTAAATTACATAGAATAAAATGCACAGATGAATTTTTGACAAATGTGTGTGCACAAGTAACCAAAACCCTATCAAGATATAAAACATTTTTATTGCCCCAGTGTGTTCCTTGTGTCCTGTTCCAGTTCTCCTCCCTGGGCAACAACTGTTCTGATGTCTATCACCATGGCCTAGTTTTGCCTGTAGAAATATGTACTCTTTTGTGTCTGGCTTATTTTCACTCAATAAAACATTTCTGAGATTCACCTACATGGTTACATGTATCAGTAATTCATTTCTTTTTACTACTGAGTAGTATTCCAGTGTGTTAATATACCGCAATTTGCTTACCAGTTTACTTGCTTATGAACAGTTTTGGGTTGTTCACATGTTGGGGCTCATATGAATAAAATCTGCTACGAGCATTCTTGTGCAAGGCTTTCGTGGATATATTTTTATTTCTCTTGGAAAAATACCTAAATACGGAACTGTTGGATAACAGGGTACTTTTGGGTTTAATTATATAAGAAACTGCCAAACTGTTTTCCAGAGTGGTTTTTACCACTTTCCAGCAGCGAGTGAGTTCTGGTTGTTTCACATCTTCTCCAAGCATCATGTTATCACCATTTAAAATTTTAGCCATTCTAGTGGATGTAAAGTGACATTTCATGGTGGTTTTATTTTGGATTTCCCTGATAACTGATAACGTTGAACATCTTTTGATGTGCTTTTGGCCATTTATATACTTTCTTTTTGAAGTGTTTGCCAGATCTTTTGCCCATTTTTAAATCAAATTGTTTATCATGAGCTGTAAGAGTTTTTAACATATTCTGATTGAAAGTTCTTTTTCAAATATATATTTGACATTTTTCTCCCAGTCTTTTCTTGGTGGTATCTTTTGAAGAACAGATATGTTTAATATTGATAGTCTAACTTATCTATATTTTATGGTCAGTGCTTTTTTGTCAGTCTAAAAAGCTGCCTTTTTGATGGTGAAGATATTTTCCTACATTTCTTCTAGAAGCTTTGTATATCTAACTTTTGTGTTTCAGTTATATTCTATCTCAAACTAATTTTTGTGTGAGGTAGGTATTGTGGTTCATTTTCAGAAATATTTTTCCCCATTTGTTCCAGGATTCTTACAGAAAAGCTATCCGTTCTCCCTTTGAGTTATCTTGATAACTTTGTCAAAAACCAACTGACAATGTACTAATAGATCAATTTCTGGACTTTATATTCTGTTCCAATAATAGATTTTTCTATCCTTACACTGATATCATCTTGATTTATTATAGCCTGAAATCCAAAAATGTAGGTTGTCAACTTTGTACTCTTTTTCAAGATTGATTTAGTTATTCTAGGTCCTTAATATTTCCTTATCCTTTTAAAATCAGTTTGTCAATTTCAAAACAAAAAATCTGCTGTAATTTTTATTGAGATGGCCTTGACTCTATAGGTCAAGTTGAGGACGATTGACATCTTAACAATATTGAGCATTCCAATTCATGAATTTGGGATGTATCTCTTCTTATAATTCAGTCTTCTTCAGCTTCACACTGCAATGTTTAAGTGTACAAGTCTTGCACGTATTTTGTTAAATTAATCCGTATTTCCTTTTTATGCTATTAAATGAGTACTCTAATATTTTTAATTTCCACTTGTTGTCAGCTAATATATAGAAATACGATATTTTTTGTATGTTGACTTTGTAGCCTGATACCTTAGTAAATGCATTTATTAGTTCTAGCATTTTTTGATAGATTTCTCAGGATTTTTCTACAAATACCATCAATCATCTGCAAAAAAAAAAAAGATAGTTTTACTTCTTTATTTCCAATATGTAAGCCTTTTATTTCTTTTTCTTAACGTAATACACTGGCTAGGATCTCCAGTACACTGTTGAATAGAAGTGATGATAATGGACATCTCTGTTTATTTTTCCTAATCTTAAGAGGAAAATGTGCAATCTTCTACATCGAGTAGTGTTAGCTGCTGGGTTTCTTGTAAATGTTTTTCATCAGGTTGAGGAAGTTGCTCTATTCCAAATCCCTTGAGTTTTTATATCAGTTGGTGTTGAATTTTATGTTCCTCTACATCTTTCTGGCACAAAGGTATTCATAACACTCCCTTACAATCCTTTTAATATCTGTAATGACACCCTCTACATCATTCCTCATACTGGTGGTTTCTCTCTCTCTGTCTCACCTTTTTTTTTTTTTCTTAGAGCCTCACTCCATTGCACAGGCTGGAGTGCAGTGACACAGTCTTGACTCACTACAACATTTACCTCCCAGTTCAAGCAATTCTCATGCCTCAGCCTCCTGAATAGCTGGGATCACAGGCACATGCCACCACACCTGGCTAATTTTTGTATTTTTAGTAGAGATGGGGTTTCACCATGTTGGCCAGGCTGGTCTTGAACTCCTGGCCTCAAGTGATCTGCCCACCTCGGTCTCCCAAAATGCTGAGATTACAGGTGTGAGCCACCGCACCCGGCCATATCTCTTTTTATTGATTAATCTAGGTAGGGGTTTATTAATTTTATTAATATTTTGAAAGAAGTAGCTTTGGGGAATCATGGAGGAGCAGACTACTTTCTCATGACTTTGTTTTTAGGAATGGAAAAATAAAGGATTTTTTTTTTTATTTTGTGTGTGTTAAGTCCAACTTCAAAAGTGTAATTAGGGATGGCCTTGGACAACCATGGCTTTTTTTTTTTTTTTTTTTTTTTGAGATGGAGTCTCACTCTGTTGCCCAGACTGGAGTGCAGTGGCGCGATCTCGGCTCACTGCAACCTCTGCCTCCCGGGTTCAAGCGATTCTCCTGCCTCAGCCTCCTGAGTAGCTGGGACTACAGGCACATGCCACCATGCCTGGCTAATTTTTTTTTTTTTTTTTTTGTATTTTTAGTAGAGACAGGGTTTCACCATGTTGGCCAGGATGGTCTCGATCTCCTGACCTCATGATCCACCTGCCTCAGCCTCCCAAAGTGCTGGGATTACAGGCGTGAGCCACCATGCCTGGCCCGGCTTTTTTGTAGTGGTAAAATATACTTACCATAAAATGTATCATTTTAACCATTTGTAAATGTACAGCTCAGTAGTGTGAACTGTATTCACATGTTTGTATAACCAATCTCCAGAACTCTTTTCATCTTGCAAAACTGAAACCCTGTACCATTAAACAACATATCCTCAATCCTTTCTGCCCCAAAACCCTAGAAGCGCCATTCTACTTTCTGTCTCTCTAAATTGCTCATGTAAGTGGAATCAGACAGTATTTATCTTTTTGTGACTGGCTTATTTCATTTAACTTTTTTATTTTTTAATTTTTTATTTTTTTATTTTTATTTTTTTTCAGTTTTAGCTGTATCTTATTTATTTTTATTATTATTATTATACTTTAAGTTTTAGGGTACATGTGCACAATGTGCAGGTTAGTTACATATGTATACATATGCCATGCTGGTGCGCTGCACCCACTAACTCGTCATCTAGCATTAGGTATATCTTCCAATGCTATCCCTCCCCTCTGCCCCCACCCCACAACAGTCCCCAGAGTGTGATGTTCCCCTTCCTGTGTCCATGTGTTTTCCTTGTTCAATTCCCACCTATGAGTGAGAATATGTGGTGTTTGGTTTTTTGTTCTTGTGATAGTTTACTGAGAATGATAATTTCCAATTTCATCCATGTCCCTACAAAGGACATGAACTCATCATTTTTTATGGCTGCATAGTATTCCATGGTGTATATGTGCCACATTTTCTTACCTCCAGTCTATCATTGTTGGACATTTGGGTTGGTTCCAAGTCTTTGCTACTGTGAATAATGCCGCAATAAACATACGTGTGCATGTGTCTTTATAGCAGCATGATTTATAGTCCTTTGGGTATATACCCAGTAATGGGATGGCTGGGTCAAATGGTATTTCTAGTTCTAGATCCCTGAGGAATCGCCACACTGACTTCCACAATGGTTGAACTAGTTTACAGTCCCACCAACAGTGTAAAAGTGTTCCTATTTCTCCACATCCTCTCCAGCACCTGTTGTTTCCTGACTTTTGAATGATTGCCATTCTAACTGGTGTGAGATGATATCTCATTGTGGTTTTGATTTGCATTCTCTGATGGCCAGTGATGGTGAGCATTTTTTCACGTATTTTTTGGCTGCATAAATGTCTTCTTTTGAGAAGTGTCTGTTCATGTCCTTCACCCACTTTTTGATGGGGTTGTTTGTTTTTTTCTTGTAAATTTGTTTGAGTTCATTGTAGATTCTGGATATTAGCCCTTTGTCAGATGAGTAGGCTGCGAAAATTTTCTCCCATTTTGTAGGTTGCCTGTTCACTCTGATGGTAGTTTCTTTTGCTGTGCAGAAGCTCTTGAGTTTAATTAGATCCCATTTGTCAATTTTGGCTTTTGTTGCCATTGCTTTTGGTGTTTTAGACATGAAGTCCTTGCCCATGCCTATCTCCTGAATGGTAATGTCTAGGTTTTCTCCTAGGGTTTTTATGGTTTTAGGTCTAACATTTAAGTCTTTAATCCATCTTGAATTGATTTTTGTATAAGGTGTAAGGAAGGGACCCAGTTTCAGCTTTCTACATATGGCTAGCCAGTTTTCCCAGCACCATTTATTAAATAGGGAATCCTTTCCCCATTGCTTGTTTTTCTCAGGTTTGTCAAAGATCAGATAGTTGTAGATATGCAGTGTTATTTCTGAGGGCTCTGTTCTGTTCCATTGATCTATATCTCTGTTTTGGTACCAGTACCATGCTGTTTTGGTTACTGTAGCCTTGTAGGATAGTTTGAAGTCAGGTAGCGTGATGCCTGCAGCTTCATTCCTTTGGCTTAGGATTGACTTGGCGATGCGGGCTCTTTTTTGGTTCCATATGAACTTTAAAGTAGTTTTTTCCAATTCTGTGAAGAAAGTCGTTGGTAGCTTGATGGGGATGGCATTGAATCTGTAAATTTCCTTGGGCAGTATGGCCATTTTCATGATATTGATTCTTCCTACCCATGAGCATGGAATGTTCTTCCATTTGTTTGTATCCTCTTTTATTTCCTTGAGCAGTGGTTTGTAGTTCTCCTTGAAGAGGTCCTTCACATCCCTTGTAAGTTGGATTCCTAGGTATTTTATTCTCTTTGAAGCAATTGTGAATGGGAGTTCACTCATGATTTGGCTCTCTGTTTGTCTGTTGTTGGTGTATAAGAATGCTTGTGATTTTTGTACATTGATTTTGTATCCTGAGACTTTGCTGAAGTTGCTTATCAGCTTAAGGAGATTTTGGGCTGAGACAATGGGGTTTTCTAGATAAACAATCATGTCATCTGCAAACAGGGACAATTTGACTTCCTCTTTTCCTAATTGAATACCCTTTATTTCCTTCTCCTGCCTAATTGCCCTGGTCAGAACTTCCAACACTATGTTGAATAGGAGTGGTGAGAGAGGTCATCCCTGTCTTGTGCCAGTCTTCAAAGGGAATGCTTCCAGTTTTTGCCCATTCAGTATGATATTGGCTGTGGGTTTGTCATAGATAGCTCTTGTTATTTTGAAATACGTCCCATCAATACCTAATTTATTGAGAGTTTTTAGCATGAAGGTTGTTGAATTTTGTCAAAGGCCTTTTCTGCATCCATTGAGATAATCATGTGGTTTTTGTCGTTGGTTCTGTTTATATGCTGGATTACATTTATTGATTTGCATATATTGAACCAGCCTTGCATCCCAGGGATGAAGCCCACTTGATCATGGTGGATAAGCTTTTTGATATGCTGCTGGATTCGGTTTGCCAGTATTTTATTGAGGATTTTTGCATCAATGTTCATCGAGGATATTGGTCTAAAATTCTCTTTTTTGGTTGTGTCTCTGCCCGGCTTTGGTATCAGGATGATGCTGGCCTCATAGAATGAGTTATGGAGGATTCCCTCTTTTTCTATTGATTGGAATAGTTTCAGAAGGAATGGTACCAGTTCCTCCTTGTACCTCTGATAGAATTCGGCTGTAAATCCATCTCTTCCTGGACTCTTTTTGGTTGGTAAGCTATTGATTATTGCCACAATTTCAGATCCTGTTATTGGTCTATTCAGAGATTCAACTTCTTCCTGGTTTAGTCTTGGGAGAGTGTATGTATCGAGGAATTTATCCATTTCTTCTAGATTTTCTAGTTTATTTGCGTAGAGGTGTTTGTAGTATTCTCTGATGGTGGTTTGTATTTCTGTGGGATCGGTGGTGATATCCCCTTTATCATTTTTTATTGTGTCTATTTGATTCTTCTCTCTTTTTTTCTTTATTAGTCTTGCTAGCGGTGTATCAATTTTGTTGATCCTTTCAAAAAACCAGCTCCTGGATTCATTAATTTTTTGAAGGGTTTTTTGTGTCTCTATTTCCTTCAGTTCTGCTCTGATTTTAGTTATTTCTTGCCCTCTGCTAGCTTTTGAATGTGTTTGCTCTTGCTTTTCTAGTTCTTTTAATTATGATGTTAGGGTATCAATTTTGGATCTTTCCTGCTTTCTCTTGTGGGCATTTAGTGCTATAAATTTCTCTCTACACACTGCTTTGAATGAGTCCCAGAGATTCTTGTATGTTGTGCCTTTGTTCTCGTTGGTTTCAAAGAACATTTTTATTTCTGCCTTCATTTCATTTAACTTAATGTCCTCAGGTTCATCCATGTTTTAGCATGTGTCAGAATTTCCTTCATTTTTAAGGCTGAAAATTATTTGGTTTTATATATATATATATGTATAGTGTGTGTATATATATAGTGTGTATGTATAGTGTATATATATAGTGTATATATGTATGTATGTTTATATATACATATATATGACATATAAACATATATATACTCATACATATATAGTGTATATATACACTATATATACATATATGTGTGTATATATACATATATAATATATGCATATATACATATGTACACTACATATTATATATGTATGTATACATATATATACACACACATATATATACACACCATATTTTGTTGATCCATTCGTTTGTCAGTGGAGATTTGTTTGTTTCCATCTTTTGGCTATTGTGAATAATACTACCATGAGCATAGGTGCACAAGTATCTGTTTGAATCCCTGCTTTTACTTCTCTTAGGATTTTATCCAGAAGTAAAATTGCAGGGTAACATAGTAATTCTATTTGTTAATTTTTTGAGGAACTGCGTGATATGGTTTTGCTGAGTCCCCACCCATATCTCATCTTGAATTGTAGTTCCCATAATCCCCACATGTCATGGGAGGGACCCAGTGGGAGGTAACTGAATCATGGGGGCTGTTACCCCCATGCTGTTCTCATGATAGTGAGTTCTCATGAGATCTGATGGTTTTATAAGGGGCTTTTCCGTCTTTGCTCGTCACTTCTCCTTCCTGCCACCATGTGAAGAAGGATACGTTTGCTTCCCCACTTCTGCCATGATCATAAGTTTCCTAAGGCCTCCCCAGCCCTGTGGAACTGTGTGTCAATTAAACCTCTTTCCTTTATAAATTACCCAGCCTCAGGGAGTTCTTTATAGCAGCATGAGAACAGACTAATACATTGCCATAGTACTTTTCACAGCAGCTCCACCATTTTATCTCCTGCAACAGTGCACGAGGTTCCAATTTCTCCACATTCTCACCAACATTTGTTATATCCTGTTTTTTTTTTTTTTTTTTTCAAATAGTAGCCATCCTAATATTTGTGAAGTGGGAAAATGAAGTTTCAGCCATTAAACTTATTTATTTATTGTTTCCTAGTGGACTCTATTAGGAAGGCTTATTATGGAACTATCTAAGGGATCCTTACATAGTTCCAAGGAAGGGGCTGTCACATCAAAAAGCCCAAACATGTGATTAGAGATTGGAAATTTCAAACCCACCCCATTCCCCTAACTTCCTAGGAGGAGAGAAGAACTGGAGATTAAGTTCAGTCATATGGCCAATTATTTAATCAATCATGCCTACATAATGAAACCTCATTAAAAACCCTGGACACCATGCTCAGGGGAGCTTCCTGATACTAAGAGGGCGGCACACCCTGACTCTGTGGAAGCAGAGGCTCCTGTGCTCATGACCCTTCCAGTCCTCCTCCCATGTACCTCTTCATCTGGCTGACCATTTGTATACCTTATAATGAAATGGAAATTGAAAGTACAGAGCTTTCCTCAATTCTGTGAGTTGTTCTAGTGAATTATCAAATCTGAGGGGTTGTGGGACGTCTTTAATTTGTAATTGTCCTGGCAGAAGTGCAGATTGCTTGGGGACACCTGAAATTTGTTGTTGGAATCTGAAACGGGGCAGTCTTATGGGACTAAGTCCTTCATTTGTGGGTCTTCACTAATTCTGGGTAGTGTCAGAATTGAATTGAATTGTACGACACTCAGAGAATAAGTGTCAGAAGACAAAAAGAAAATCATGAGGAATTCCAACATGTCTTGGTTATCCATGGAGAAGTTTCTCTAGTATAGATCAATTTAAAAAAATTAAACATTGTAATACTAGAAATCATAGATTTTACGAGACAGCTGTATGTGGCAGAAAGTACATTGAAAGCAGCTCTTAATAACTGTGTAACCTTGGAAGAGTCATCTTGACCTTGAAGATTCACGGTTTCCACATCTTTATAAATAAGGATAACAATACCTGCTCGTGATTATTAGTTTTATGTGTCAGCTTGGCTGTTCCATGATACCCAGATATTTTGTCAACATTCTGAATGTTTCGGTGAGGATGTTTTTGAATGAGGTTTACACTTAAACTAGTAGACTTTGACTCAAGCAGATTGCCCTTCATTAGTGAGTGAGTCTCATCTAATCAGTCAAAGGCCTGAATAGAACAAAAGACTGACTACCCCAGAGCAACCAAGAATGGACTCAACTGCAGAATTAGCTCTTCACTTGGGTCTGCAGCCTGTCAGTCTACACTGCAGTTTGGACTTGCCAGCCTTCATAATTGTGGGAGTGAATTTCTTAAAATAAATCCCCCTCTCTCTCACCCTCTCTCTTCTCTCTCTCTATTCTCTCTCGTTAAAATTTTGCATATAACTTTTGCTGCTCCCAAAACTTAATTATTAATAGCCTAGAGGTGACCAGAATCCTTATCAATAACATAAGACAGTCGATTAATACATATTTTATATATTATATGTGTTATATACTGTATTCTTATGATAAAATAAGCTAGAGAAAAATGTTATTAAGAAAACCATAATGAAGAGAAATATATTTACTGTTTATTAAGTGGAAGTGGATTGTCATTAAGGTCTTCATCATTGTCTTCATTTTGAGTAGGCTGAGGAGGGGGAGGAAGAGGAAGGGTTGATCTTGCTGTCTCAAGGGTGGCAAAGGAAGAAAATCCACATATAAGTGGATCTGAACAGTTCAAATTTGTGTTGTTCAGGAGTCACCTGTATACACACACACACACACACACGCACACACACACATCCTATTGGTTCTGTTTCCCTGAAGAAGCTTGACTACACTATTTCATTTGGTTGTTGTGAAAATTAATGAAATAATGTATATGAGACCATTTGTAAATTTTAAAGCACCATAATACATAAGGAAGGTTGTCTGCCTAGTACATGTAATGTGTAATGAGCTTTGCTGAGGCTGTATAGACATGTAAATTAACGTTTACAAATGTGTTCATAGAATCAATATTAGAGATAAATGGATTAAAAATATCACAGGAGAAGCTAGAAGATAGCAACAAGTTGGGAGATGAGCCTCCTGGACTTGTGTTCTGGACTGATAGAGCATTTGTTGTCATAGTAAACTCCACGTGGACAGAAAACCATGGCTTAGTTGTCTTAGTTCAATTTGCATACTCAGCATCTAGCACAACACTTTGCACCTTGTTGTTGCCCAGATAACTGCTGAAGAATAAGTGATTTTTATCTATGTAATCACTTCAAAATTACACTTCTGTGAGTGACTAGGTGGAAGGACACGAAGCATTTTAGCATATGGCATGGGGGGTTAGAAAATATATATGTGTTGAGGTCAGTGCGGTGGCTTATGCTTGTAATCCCAGCACTTTGGGAGGCCGAGGTGGGAAGATCATGAGGTCAGGAGTTCGAGACCAGCCTCACCAATATGGTGAAACCCCCGTCTCTACTAAAAATAAAAAAATTAGCCAGGCATGGTGGAGTGTGCCTGTAGTCCGAGCTACTCAGGAGACGGAGGCAGAAGAATCACTTGAACCCGGGAGGCAGAGGTTGCAGTGAGCCGAGATCATGCCACTGCACTCCAGCCTGGGTGACAGAGTGAGACTCCATCTTAAAAAAAAAAAAAAAAAGGAAAAGAAAATATGTATGTGTTGAAGCTAGTCACGCCTACAGAAGTGTCGAATGTCAATTAATCATAGTCTGTATGCTAAATAATAGAGGCAGAACTTTAGGCTGGCTGGGGAAAGGCCAAAGCCGTGAACCCAGGATGATTCCATGAATAAAGCCAGACCTCACTCTCTAAAACAAATGGCTTTGCTTCCTGGGACCTTTGCTGAACTTCACATAATAGCAAGGTGCAAAAATAGCTTGGAGGAAAAAGCAGGGCCACTGCTCTGAATGAATACTTTAAAACTCCAGGACAGTAACTGGAATGCAATTTAGCAACACAGCAAATACTACCCAGCTCAAATCACTAGATGATATTTCTTGCAGCAATCAATGGCCAGTCTGGACTGCATTAGCATGCTTCACAACTTTATGGATTGTGGCTTATGTGGGCAGATATTTTGAGACTTGGGTGTGGAAGAATATGCTTGCTTTCAAAACATTCTAGGCAAAAAGCTAAGTCTGAGAAAGAAGACCAGTCTTGTGGGTATTTTGGGAAGTATGTCATCATAGTGATTATTTCCAGGCTTCTCTGGATATTGCCAGTGTGATGGTTCATGCTGAGTGTCAACTTGATTGGATTGAAGGATACAAAGTATTGATCCTGGGTGTGTCTGTGAGGGCGTTGCCAAAAGAGATTAGCATTTAAGTCACTGGGCTGGGGAAGGCAGATCCACCCTTAATCTAGTGGGCACAATCTAATCAGCTGCCAGCAAATACAAAGCAGGCAAAAAAACGTGAAAAGGTGACTGGCCTAGCCTCCCAGCCTACATCTTTCTCTCTTGCTATTTGTCCTTGAACATTGGATTCCAAGTTCTTCAGTTTTGGGAGTCAGACTGGCTCTCCTTGCTCCTCAGTTTGCAGACAGCCTATTGTGGGACCTTGTGACTGTGTAAGTTAATACTTAATAAACTCATCTTTATATACATATACACACATATATACACATACGTATATCTGTATATATATACACATACATATATGTGTGTGTGTGTGTGTGTGTGTGTGTGTGTATATATCCTATTAGTTCTGTCCCTCTAGAGAACTTTGATTAATACAGCCAGTAAAGGAGAGATCTTCAGGATAGCCTGGCTTAAAACAATAGTGGGGTATTATTTTTCACCTATAAAATTGAGAAGGAGTTTAAAAAATAATAGTATTACTGAGAACATACCCCAACACTGCTGATAGGAGGGTCACTTGGCCAAAAACAATTTTTAAGAATGTATAATCCTTTGACTCCACAATTTCACTTCTAAGAATTTATGCGAAGAAAATAATCCCATATCAGTGCAAAGATCTATTCATTAGTTTAGGTGCAGTCCAGTGTTAATTATAATAGTTAAAATATTAGAAATAAATAATATATCTAACAGTAGAGAATTGCCTAAGGGAATTTTGCTACATCCATATAAAGGAACAGTGTGCAACTGTTAAAAATAAGGTTGTAGAAGAATATTTAATGACCTGGAAATTTGTTCATCCTCTGTCATTAAATTAAAAAGCAGTTTACAAAACACTGTTTACAAAAGTATCCAGAACAAGTCTATATTGTTTAAAAAGCAAGCAAAGGAATAATCCATACAAGTGCATAGAAGAAAAGTCTAGAAGTTTATACATTAAAATGTTAATAGCAATTATCTTTGGGTGGTGGGGTTACAGGTGACTTCTTTAGGCTCACCCCCACCAAATTTTCTATTAAAATTATCATATTAGCAATTGAAGTGGGGGGAAGTCACTTTAACATTTCATACAAAGTCAACAGAAAACAAAAACCTCTGATAAACTAGAATTGTTTACTAACAGAGAAGCAAGAGCATTTTACAGTGCTATGCCTTAACCCTGACACATTCCAGGACTTTACATTCTAGGGTACTTGGTTCAAAATTTATTTGAGCACTAGTAGTAAAGCATGGTCTAAAAGTTCACATTGTTTTCATTTACCATGAAGTATTTTCTGCCGACACTATGCTAAGCCTTGTAGAGCATGAAGTCATGTTATACAGCTCCAGGAACCGATGCAGAGAGGTGGCCTGACACATTCATGTGACTGTTAGCACACAGATTCCATCTTGGAAATGGGAGGTTTTGGCCCTTTAGCCAACACTCTCCACACCACTGAAATCTAAAACTGCGTCTACAGAAAAATAATTAAAGAGCTCATTGCCTAGACCTACACATAAAAAGATCTATCCTAGGTTATTGAGGAGAAGTTAGAAGTGTCTGGTGAATCCTTAACCTCTGTGGAGTGATGATGTCATCCATGAGAGACCCAGCCTTTCCCACAAGTGTCATTTGCTGTCCCTGACAGGGTGGATTGGAGGGATCATCTTGTCTATTCATGTCAACCATCTGACACTAACTCAGCTGGCTGGAGAGTGGATTTGAAAATTTAAAAAGACTGATGGTGAAAATGGCTGGGAGGTAGATAGTTTAGTTTGAATGAGTGCCCAGCAAGTGAAATGTGACACTTTTCCCTGACTGTCTCCAGATGTCCCTGGACCATAAAAAGGAAAGAGTCAAGAATATATTTATTTTTCCCACAATGAATGAGCCAGAGATCCAGACAAACTTAGGCTTAAACAAAGTGAAAAAAGTGTCCCACCAGTGGTACTATGGTAGAGAAAGCTCCAGGCTAACTTAAAGCTACTCTCAGCTGAAATCCCCCTTGTAGCTGACTCAGCCTTGCTCAGATGGGTGTTTTGAATTAGACAAAATCTAGCATACTCTAAAAAACACAGTGGCTAGAAGTTTAAGCATGTAAGTTTCAGAATGACAGCTCCAAGGAATATGCATTCTTGACAGTCTTCCATAGTCCTCTAAAAATCAATAGTGAATCCAAGTTAACCCACCCTTATGCATCACTATTATGTCAGAGCTTCCCCGGGTCCTTCACCAGCCCACCATTCTTCCTGGAATGCAAATGCACAGAAGGTCACAGAATATGCAACTCATGAGCTGGACGGACTCACCTTGCTGTCGCCGGTCCTCCTGCAGCTTCAGTTTACAGGTGTGCAAACTGCCAGGCAGGTGGCTGCTGCCTTTTCTTGGTATGGTAGTCATGGTCCTAGCAGTATGGCTGTGACTCAAGGATCACTAGGGCACCTCCTTCTCTGGCCAGTCACCTAAAGTGGCCTTCACCAGACACCCAGAAATACATAGATTCATGCAGATCTTGTCTTTGCATGTACAACATATACTCCTCTACTAAACTTCCAAGCTTTTTCCAGTCATGATTCTTGAAATAAATAATCACCAATGTTACTTCTCCTAAATATAAAGATGCCAATTCATTTGGTTAAAAACACAACTTAATTCCTTCATTTCAAAACAAATTGAAACTAAACCTCCTTATAGAGTAAAATTCTACAAATTAACTATTTCTAACAGATTACACTTTTGTCATTTTTAAATTCCTTTTGGCGACATGAAATCCAATGCCTCCAGTATTTAGAGAAGGCTGCTAAAATAATACAGACACAAAGAAAAGAAAAAGTGCTGCTGAGTTAAGTCAAGTGATTTCTAAGCCTGATCTGAGTTACCCTCTGTGACAGCTGAAAGTGTACAGTTCTTAAGGGACTCTGGAAGGAGGAGGAGCAAAGTGGGCTAGGATGATTAGCATAAAGAGGCAGGCAAGACGGGCATTGGAGCTGCTTTGAATAATAGTGAACAAAGCACAGATTCTAAAGATGCCCTGCCCTTATGTTACAGTAACTGAGTACCTGATTTCTGCTACTTTGTTTGTAATTAAAATGCAAGCTGAAAGCAGGAGTTTATACTGCAAGGACATTCATTTGTGCATGTGAAATCTAAAAGGTATAAATGGAACTGGTAATGAGCTCATGGAAATGTACTGCTGGAACTTTCAATTTCTGTAAACACCTCCTAGTCTTCGGAAGGGAGCAGTTAGAGGGCAGCCTTCCTGCCAAGGCAACTATTTGGAGTTCTGGAAGAAAAATAAACACACAAAACATTATCTTTCCAGAGTCCTATTTCTGTTTCCCACTTAGAGTTCTTATTGCTACTTCTAGGTCATAGGAGAAAGTAATTTCCAGTTTTACTCGTTGGCTATTTCCTTACTGTTTGGAAACATAAACCCCAAACACCATTAATTTAACTTGAGAGCTTGCCATAACTGAAGTCATAATGAATGCTGGTAGGTCCTGCCCTTCAAGAGTCACAGCTCTTCGCAGATTCAGAAAGAAGGTAGTGGGCAGGACTAAGGAGAAAGGCAGAGCTGTTTAGCCTCGAAGTCTGGACTCTGCAGCTTCTTATGTGCATTTGGAAATTGGTGTTAAACTTGACACTGTAATGAATTTACCTCCTAACCAGATCTGGGTGGCTGCCCTCATTTTACTTTGAGGCAATTAACAATTCCCCAAGTATAGTCTGGTTTATGAAAATTTTTATGAAGTAGGTGATTGATCTTTTATAATTCTTGAATGCTTTAATTGTTTCAGTAGTCTATCTACTGCAGTTTTAGGCTAATCACAGTGTAACAGATGACAGAAGTGTTGTGCTACTTTGAAAGAGAGTCTTGTTATTGGAGAGTCATAGTTTCTACTTTAAATGTCTGCTATTCATCTCATCTTCCACAAAAGCCATGGTGGAGAGACAAGGTGATTTTTCCTGAATATGTAAAGTTATTGTTATTCTATCAAGTTATGTACCTCACTAATAAGCATATTATTATACAGGTAAGTTAAATAACCTACAAAACTGTAAGCCAGCCCTTTTGAGAAATACATTTAAAATGTTTTATGATGAAAAAATTTAAAAATACATGAATAGGAGAGAATAGCACAATAAGCCCTGCATACTCATCACTTGGCTTCAATATTATCAACTCATAGACAATCGTGTCTTAAAACTATGTGTTTCATTATAGCTGTTCTCCCCCTTATTACACCACTGGAGTTGAAGCATCCAGACATCATTGCATTAATAAATATTTCAGTGTATATTTCTAAAATGTGAGGATTTAAAAATAGATAACCATAATAAGATAGTCACGCACATAACAATTAAATATGATTATTTGATGTAATTAAGCATCCACACAGTGTTCTTATTTTCCTGATTGTCTCATAAACTTTTTTATCTTTACATTTTTTGCAAATTGGGACCCAAAGGTCCACACATTGTATTTGGTTGATATGTTTCTCAAGTCTTTTTTAATCTATAGGTTCATCTCAGAGAGAAATGTTGCTTGGAGATGAACATCTACACTTACCCTAATTTATGTCTGATTTTTTCAAGGAAGCCCCCTAGATGCCTCCATTTTTCTTACTCAGGAAAAAAAGAGAAAAAAAAAGGGTGGTCATCTGGCCATGGAGGCTAAGACATCCAGCTTTCTTGCCATGGTGTTCTCATTCATATACAGTGCAACCTTGACCCAGCCACTTAACATTTCTGGGTTTGTGTCTTCATTTAGCATATGAAACAAATGTTTGCTAAGCAATGGGATAAATTATTCAACACTCATTCTATGGATATAAAGGCCTGGGAAAGGGAGGAGTATCCTACTTTGTCTCTGACTAGAGCCTAAGGAGAAAGAAATAGATTTAAAACTAAAATCTGGGTAGGATTTAGGGGTATATTTGAAAATCTAGTCCCTCAGTTTTCAAACTTAGCTAAGAATCATAATTACCTAGGCCATATTGTAAAGATGTAGATTCCCGAGCCCCAACTGCACAGTCTGATGCCTAAGGTGCAATCTGGAATCTATATATTTTTATAAGTCCTCTAGTCTAAATAAACAAGCATTATCTGCTTAAACGGAGCTGGTTTGTTCCACTATTTCATTCATTACATCTTTCTTGAGGGCCGAAGAAACCAAACCCTCCTTAAACAGTAATTTCAAGTGCCACAACGTAAGGGGACAGGGAGGATACAAAGGAATGCTACTGGTTCCTCTTTCGTGCATCAACGAGGCAGTCCCAGGCAGTGGCCTTGTGAGGGATTAGCTGAGTCAAGGGAATCCTGGGTTCCTACACTGCCTGTTAAGTTCCATTGCTGTTCTCGAAGGAGTCTCTGGTTTGATTTACCAGTTTCCACTGGAAATCATCCAGCATGGCAGAAAGCAGCACGTTACAGGAGTACATAAGATAACCTCAGATATATCAGCTACAGTGGGATGGGGGACTACTTTGCTTCCCCCTTTCCCCACTTACTTTCCAGAAACATCACCAAATTAGTTCACAGTGGGCATATTGTTCCTTTTTTTTGCATAAATGAAAACAAGAAATCAGATTGCAGAAGTCTGGCTGGGTCAAGAAAGAGGTGAATCATCTTTGGCATTTTTACTTACAATTGATTAAAAATGAATTTGAATCCTATAAAGGCCAAACTTCTTCCCTTATCAAGTCTCTGTGATCCCCACAAAAGGATACCACTGGTTTCCTTTTCCTGGGGTTTTCCTTATCTGCCATATCTTCTCTGCTTAACCTGTGTCTTTGTACTTCCGGAAGAGTAGAGTGAAATGGCGCATCACAGATAATCAATCATACCAGCTGGCACTTTGGGGGTCGATACTTCAAAAAATTGATATTTTATTGCTAGAATTTATACCTCAAAAAGCACAGTGTGTGGCTGAACAAGCTAAATGGTATTAGGTTTACAGGAGGGTTTACTTTTCTCAGTTACCATATTCAAAAAGCAAGGACACATGCATTTAAAATTAGTCCACAAGTGAGTTACTTGTTTAGTTAATAACCTGCCATGTTTCAAAAGCATTTGTGATGTCTAGTCTGCAAGTATATCTATTATTTGAAGGCCTTTGGACTGCTTGGAATGATAGGTGCTATATAAATAAAAAGCAATATTATTGAATTTATCACTCTCATTCTTAGAGAATAAGTTTAAAGACCCCTATCAGCAGGCAAACATGAAAACTGTGGCTGGGATTAGCCTCATTATGATCCCCAAAGTACTACAGGAATTATTAAATGATCATTATAGTTGAAGGCTGATGAATTAGTGTCAAGATTTTAGATTTTCTGTTGATTTTAAAAAACAGATCCCCTGCTCCTTTATATCAAGCAGTGGTTGATTTGTTTCCAGATTACTCTTCCTTAATACACAATCAGATATATTATAGATGAGAATGTTGAGTTTCAGGATCTCACAGTGGCTTATGTATGGTGTATATTGTAAAGCCTCCACAAAGGTAGGCTTTCGTGGCTATTCAGAGCCATGTTATTACCCCAATGTACTATAGTGTTTAGCTCATAGAGTTTCCCAGGTGGCACTGTTGGCTGGATTCCCATAACTGCCATCTGTAAAAACATAGGAAACACAAATAATGGTAGAGATAGTTTCACTTGAATACTTGCTCCTGTCCGTGGATTCAAGAGACTACACTGGCATAGCACCAAACTGCTTACTTATCAAAGCTGCTCTCTATCCTGAAATTGCTACAATTGATCTTTAACCCATTGAACACCAACATTTGGGTCATGTTTATCATAAATATTGCCTCACTACATAAACATTGCGTTGGCAGTTCAGACTAATTTGGGCCCTTTTGCTGCTGAGCCTTAGATTTGGCTGCCTCAGGGCTCCCTCTGGAGGTCGGCAGAGTCCAAGGTCAGTTAATATTAAAATAGCCTTGGCCTTGGCACAAGATAAACCCATGTCTTTTCATCCAGTGCCCACAAGAATGGGGTCCTGTATTTGTGAGCTTAGAAGATGATTGTCTGTATCTGAGGTTGGAGGAAAGTTACCTGATTATCCTCCTGTAAGTGAAATGTGATTACTGCTATGTGCTGGTATTTAACTTTCTGAAGTTTTACATTTTTCTATCTTTATTGAAGTGTTTTAGCTACAGTGAAAACAAAACGAAATAAAACCATAGGTCAGAAAAATGCCAGATTTTATTTTATTTGTTTGTTTTAGTGACAAGGAAACCTAGAGTAAGGTGGTTCTGGTTCTATAATGACCACCCTCTGGGTAGGAACAGATGATCCCACAGAGTCTGAATTCCATCTAGAAGTGTTTGAAGCACCTGGGAATTGGAATCAATGGGTTTACAGCACAACTTAACTCTTTGAAGGTAAATATGCACTAACTGGGATCAGTTTCAAAATAAAGCAAATTAGCTTGCACCAAATCAAAATTTTACTACTTCATTTGAATTGGCATTTACAGGAATAAAATAATAGCAAACCATGTTTCTCACTCCCTTCCTCATAATTTCTTCTTTCCTTTTTAGTTGGTTTATTGGTTATTTGCTTCTTTCTTTTCTTCCTTCCTTCTTTCCTTTTTTCTTTGCATTTCTTCTTTCACTGATTTTCTTTTATATTAATTAGGCGGACTATAATGTAATTTTGATGTATTAAAAATAAAATTATTCTATATCTGAGATTTGCTTCAAAATAGCCTAGGAGAGTGAGATTTGGGGAGATAGAGATGAAATAAATTTGGCCATAAACAGATAATTATTAAAACTGAGTCATGAGTGCATGGGGATTTATAATGCTTTCATGTCTAATTTTGCATATTTTTACAATTTTTGTGATAAAGCACTTTAAAATATAATTACTTTTAGTGAACCTGATTGAAAGGGTACAAGGAACAGGCAATGTGCTAGATTTATCAGAGTGTGTACAGAAACTCTTTATTTTTTTCCTAATTTTTTACTTTTTACATTATACAATTCACACACAAAATATTTTGAAATGTTAACATTCAAATTAGTGTGGCAGTACTACATGAATACGATTTATAAACATACAAACAAACCCACATCGGGGTATATTCTCAAGCATTTGTTGTTGCTAGGGGTGCATGACCATCAAGTTCAGAGACCTCCATGAGAGAGGAAGAAGGCTGAACCTTATGGGAGGATGATGCACTCATTTAAAGAAAACCAAACCGTCATTTTACTTCTTCCTTCTCAACTGTGTAGCTATTCTTTTCTACATCCTTCTTCTAATTTTATTAGTACTTTATCAGTTTTACTTCTAAAATAAAATTGGGTTGTGTCTTACCCAGTTTAGGCTGCTATAGAAGATTATAATAGACAAGGTGGCTTATAAGCAACAGAAATTTATTTCTCACAGCTATGGAGGCTGGCAAGTGCAAAATCAAGGCACGGACATGGTCAGGTTCTGGTGAAGACCTTCTTCCAGACTGAAGACTGCTATCTTCTAATATTCTCACATGGGGAGAGGGTCAGAGAATTCTCTGAAGTCCCTTTTATAAAGGCACAAACCCCATTTATGAGAGCTCCACCCACATGGCCTAATTACCTCCCAAAGGCTTACCTCCTAATACTATCACATTGGAGATTAGGATTTCAATGTAATAATTTGAGAGAGAGGGCACAAAAGATTTAGTATTTAACAAGTTCCCTTTTCAAGGGTAGAAGAGAGTTTTTAATCCAAATTCAGCTCCATAATGGGCCATTGAAGAAAAAAATGTCTATGAGCTCTTTAGATTCCCTAGCTTCTTACTCTTGAACTAAAACTACTTGCATCCTAGCCCATAGATACTGTACATGAGTGCGCGCGCGCGCACACACACACACACACACACACACACACACACACACACACACTCCTTTTCTCTTCCTGGCATTTGCAACCGGCATGTGAGGATTAGGTGTTGTAGCTTAGATATTGATCTTTGGCTTCAAACAACAACATTGCCTAATGAGCTGCAGGTGAGAAATCCTAGGAACGCAAGAAAGCTCCTTGAACAGTTGTATCAGTAGCATGGCCATCAAAGTCCTCCCTCATTGCTCAATGAGGACCCAGAGAGACTGGGCTTGGAGAAACTGGAAGGGTCAGAATATAGGATCCTTTTCATGTCCTTAGTGGTCCAGTATGGGTAACCAAATGAAAGTGGTGGTGAATAAATCAAGGAAGAATCAACCTTCCACTTATAATCCTTTAAATTGCTCCTCAAATAGAGCTTGAAGCTCTCCCAGGACCTCTGAAACCTAGAATTAAGTGTTATTGGCACAATAAGACAAAACTACTGCATGTTTTTCTGCTCCCCTTTTCTGTGTTTTACAGATATCAGCTACATCAGCAAACATATACTTCTTCATTGTCAGCTTTTCAAAGTAAAAAATGTTTTTAGGATCAGGATAAGCAAACAAAACAGATGACCCTGGAGATCATTATACAATGTATACAATATCCTGTGTCACTTAAAATAAAACTAAAAAGAGAAATTGAATCTTAAATAGAAATTTTAATAAAGCAGTAGAGAAAAGGTGTTTTAAAATTACTCACTGGAAAAACTAATCAAAATAGCAGGCTGAGCATAGACTTCCAAATACATTTAAATGATATAAAAAGTTATACAGAGAGATAAAAAATATAGATGAACATACATTAGAAAGTTATCTTTAAGTATCTGCCATCATTGGATCATTAAAAGGACTTACTAAAGTAAAAAAGAGATAGGACCTGAACAATAAGAGTGGAATAAACTAGTAAAAGAAAATGCTCGGAGCCAATAAGTATGCATATCATTGCATATTAATGAAAGAAATGCCTGTGAAACAGTCATGTTTATCTGTAGGATAACTGGCAATTATTTATTAAGAATGTGAGTTATCTGCCTGGGAAAGGATTTAAACAGGAACCAGAAAGAGAAGCAGAGCCAGAAGTGCCGTAAGACCTCTGATGGATATATTTCTAGATGCCATGATCTACCATAACCCTGGCTTCAGGAGCTGAGTGCTTTGCAGTGGTTTCATCCGATAAATTAGTTTCTCTACAAGGTACTAAATGAGTCACATAGAGTCTGCATCTTACCCTCCATCCCTCCTTTCAAATGTTAGCCAGGGATTCTTTCTCTCTCTCCCTAAAAATATTGCTGCACCTGTAGTAGAGGGAAACAAAAGGCACAAACATAGAATCATCTAATCACACAGCCAAGAAATGTTAGAGACAAGAGACAATGCCACAGGGACAGTGGTAATCCACTGACATATTGTTTTAGCCTAAACAGAGCTTCAAATAATATTCAATTAACAATGAATATTTTTAAAGACCTATAGATTTTATATAAAATTCTAAATTTCAGGTTCTCATCACAAAATCAGACCCCCTACTTGTACCTCCTTCCCAAAAAGCCATTGTAATAGGCTCTAAAACACAGTAGCTCAAACAGGATAAACTTTTCTTTCTTCCTTACAAAATAGTCCAGAGATGTTCAAGTGGTCCAGAGTGGATAGGTGGCTGTATCTAAAGTTATCCAGGAAGCTTGGTTGCTTCTATTTTCTTGCTCCAAAAAAATTTACTTATTGTTAATATTTTGGATTTTAAAAAATTACTGTCTTTGCCAGAAAACAAATTCTTTTCCTTTTGTGGGAACTGATATATTAAATAAATTAGAGAAAATTTAAATCTCCTGCATCCAGTAGATGATAAATAGAAATATAAAACCACTAAATCTGTACTCCTTTAAATCAACAAAATATGACTTTTTTTTTTTCAAGACAGGCTGGAGTACAGGGGCGCAATCTGGGCTCACTGCAGCCTCCCTTCCAGGCTCATGCAATTCTCCCACTGCAGCCTCCTGAGTAGAATACAGGCACACCACCATGCCTGGCTAAATTTTTGTATATTTTGTAGAGACCAGGTTTCACCAGTTGCTGGACTCGAACTCTGGGGCTCAAGCAATCCACCCACCTCGACCCCCCAAAAATGCTAGGATTACAGGCAATCTTAAAATTTATCATGCACTGTTTTAAAAATTATAGATAGAGATATGGTAAGACAAAACAGACACAAACAAAAAGTTTTCACCAAAACATTATATATAACCTATAATGACATGGATGGTGCTAAAGAAGAGAGAGAAATATAAGGTGCACCTATTCATATGTACATAGATGCCTTGTTTGTACTAATAGCAAATGTCTATTCGATATTCCTTTCATAATCTTATTCACCCTGAAGCAGGCATTGTTGAGTGCCTGCCCAACAGCCATTTCCTACTTCCTTTTTTCGGATAGAACTCTGATCTTGTGCAGCCATCTGCTTCAGGAGAGGTGGTCCTCATCCCCTCAAAAGGGATTGGTCTGACTCATGATGAAGACCCCATCCTCCTTGCCAGTCACTGGTTTAGGCAGGACATAGGATGCTGTCGGGCCAATGATATGAGAAGGGAATCTACTGGACTAAGTGGTGGAGCTCTGGGAAAGGTTTTCTCACTGTTAAAAAGGAGGCAATGAGAAGAAATGGGTTCATTTTTCTGCTTCTGGATATTGTCATTAGGATATGAAATTCTAAAATGGCTTACAGGGACCTAGTCTGAAGAAAAGGTGGGACATTCCTGGGTCTTCGCATGACACTGTTGAGCCACAAAATTAACCAACCTAAGCGCCGCCCCACCTCTGGAATTCTTTTAATGTGAGATGATAAATTGCTTTATTGCTTATGTACTTAAGTGGAAGCTTCAACTTTAAGTTTGCTTGTCACTAAAAGCATCCTAACCAATGCATATTTCTTTGTCAGTTTATTAAAAATTCTGTTGCATTTTCCTTACCTGATTACTAAAAAGTAGTGTGTTTAACGGTGTTCCCCAAAAAGACATGTCCACATCCTAATTCCTGGAACTTGTGACTGTTATCTTATTTGGAAAATGGTCTTTGCAGATGCAATTAAGTTAATCTTGAGATAAAATCTTCCTGGATTACGGCAGGGCAAGGGTGCTAAATTCAATGATAAGTATCCTTGTAAGAGACACACCCCAGAGATCTAACAGACAGAAGAGGAGGAGGCATTGTGACCAGAGAGACAGAGACTGGAAGGATGCAGCCACAAGCCAAGAAACACCAAGTCATACCAACCACTCCCCAAAGCTGAAAGAGGCACAAACAGAATCTCCCCTAGAGCCTATGGAGGGAGCACAGCCCTGCCAACACCCCAATTTTGATCTTCGGGGCTCCTGAGAATTGTGAGACAATAAATTTCTGTTGTTTTAAGCCACCAGGTTTGTGGTAATTTTTTACAGCAGCCACAGGAAACTAATATATAAAAGTAGCACTGGAGAGGACTCAGTAGGAAGTCAGTTACCAACAACACTTACTAGCTTAACCATAGGCTTTCCTATGCATGGTAGCCAAACGTGAGGGTATTATAAATCTCTTTATATCGAGGGGGAGAAAAATATGTAGGACTAATTCCAAGAGGAACACCAACATAAACAAGTGTGTGTGTGTGTGTGTGTGTGTGTGTGTGTGTGTGTGTGTGTGTGTTTGCAAGGTATTTATTTCTTAATGAGTATTTTTCCCCATTTGGGATAAAAACCTAGGGTAGGATCTTTTTTTTTCCAAAAATGATGTGCTTATTTGTATCTTTGTCTTCAGTAGTATATACTCAAATTATTATTAGCAATTACCGCTGGGGAATGAAACTGGAGAGGATGAATTTCCTATTATACTTACGCTTATTTAATTTTATTTACAGTAAACTCACTATTTCTATTGTAATTTAAAAATTTAGTCAAAGATAATAGGTTCATATTTTCATACTCTTTCCTACTCTGATTATAGGGCTCAATTTTTTTTTACTGTGAACTCAAGGCAAAAGGAACGTGTACACTATAATGTGGTAAGTGCTGAACTACAGAGTGCCATAGAGAACAGAGAAGATTTCCACTATCAAGAAAAGCTTCTCAGGGGAGGTGACTTTTGAACTGTATCTTTAAAAAAAAAAAAAACAAGAATTTGTCAAATGGACAATATGAGGGGAAGGGATAGAGACATTCTGGGCAAAGCCGTGAAAGAGAATGAGGCAGTCTACAGATGACAAGCAGTTTTCTGAGAATGGAGCACAGCATGCACCCTCTTACCCTTGTCTGGATTTGACCACTGAATTAAGACATCTGCCAGCTGCAGTTCTGATGAGCTGAACTTTCTATTGGAATTCTTTCTGGCCTGAGCTTGCCTATTGCTGTATAAGCTCTGGTGTGTCAGGGAGATTAGGCCAGATATCCTTTCTGTTATTCCAGAATGCAGTGTAGCTCAGTGGTGAAGATTTCTATGCTTGTTCAATAAGAATTTATTGAGCACCATGATAGACACTATAGATGGATATCCAACAGCCACGTCCTCTTCCTCAAGAGAACCCCTGTTTTTTTCAGATGTTGAGTGGAAATAGCCGCCAAGGAAGGTACCTTAGCCAAAGCCAATAATTATAATTCCATTTGCTTTTGCCAGTGTTTGGTTTAGGGGAGGCCATAAGATTGAATTTGTCAATGAAATACAAGGGAAGACTGCTGGGGATATTGAGGGAAATATTTTTTCCATGATATAAAGAAAAAGAAAAAGAAGAAGAAGGAAAACATATGGGAAGGATTTCACCCAAAATTTGTCTAGTCTTCAAATGAGGTTGTGTGAGAATGTGATGCTTCAGATGGTGTAGCCATCACGCAATGTTATGAGAGATATGTGCTGAGGACACTGAGGCAGAATGATGGGTAGTTTCTTTCTAGTTATTCGTGAGAATGTTAAACCACTAAAACCATCTTGAAGTCACTTACCTCTGGAAATGTAATGTGAGATCATAAACACTTATTGTAAGATATCCTGTTACTTGCAGTCAAAATCATTCTGAGGCAAGCATTTGCTGTATTTAAGACATTGAACTAAGTACTGGAGATTCAGTAGTAAGTAATACAGATATAGATCCTACCTGCATGTAGCTATAGTCTTTGGGTCTGACAGTAGGTTCAAATTCAAGCTTTGATGCTTTTGGACTTAAGACCTTGGGGAAGTTATTTAATCTCTCTGAGCCTGTTTCATCATTTTCAAAACAGGGATGAATATTCCCTGAATATTCAGATCTATTCCCTCATAGATCTGTAGTGAATATAAAATGAAATAACACAGTGTTTAGCACAAAGCAATATCTCAATAACTAATAAGTGTGAGATGTGCTGGTGGTAGAAATAGGAATAGAAAGAGAAGGATGGCACAAAAGTCATTATCTTAAAGAAAGAATACCCAGGATTTTGGTAAACTGTTAGTTATAAAAATATTTGAGAGCTTTGTTTTCTTTCACATCATTATAGGAGTTAAAGTATTCTGATATCTTCTTTGATTTATAGCTTATTGAGAAATGTATTGCTTAATTTTCAAATATGCAAAGAATTTCAAGTTATCTTTGTGCTATTGATTCTGTGGTCAGAGAATATCCTTTGTATTATTTTAATCCTTTGAAATTTTTATGTATTTTAAGTTCAACATACGGTCAGTTTTGACAAATGTTCTCTATATACTTGAAAAGAATGTATCCTAGAGTTTTTTAGCTCTATATACATTCTATATGTGTCCATTAGGTCAAGTCAGTTAATCATATTTTTTAAATCTTCTATATCTTTACTGACATTTTTGGTCAGCTAGACCAAATCATAGATGATTTGTTGAGATAAGTATATTAAAATATCCTCTTGAGTTCCCTTTAAATTAAATATTAAAATTTCCTTTATGGTTACCCTTTTTATTCTTTCTCTTTTCATTCCTCCTAATTTTTACTTTTTATATTTTGAGGCTCTGTTAATTGCTTTTGCACTTACAATTGTTTTCTCATGGAGTAACCCTTTTAACAATGAAATGTCCTTTTTCTAACCTCTGGAAATGTTTTAGAAGATTCTACTTCATTTGCTTTCAATGTAACTCCATTTTGTATTTGTTAAGGTGTGCATGGTATATCTTTTATCCACAAACTTTTGTTTTCAATTTATCGATATCATTATATTTCAGGTATATTCCTTATAAGCAATGTACAAATTATTTTTAAAACCTAGTTTGAGAATCTTTTTCATTTGAGCATTTAGTCCTAGATTTTCATGTCATTCATGTATATACATTTTTTAAAACTATGATTTTAATATTTGTTTTCTATTTCTCCAACATGTTCTGTGTTCCTTTTTCTTTTCTTTCTTGCCTTTTTGGATTAATGATTGCTTATTATTCACTTTTTCCTATTACCTTGTTAGTTAGCTTTCAGAAATGATTCTTTCAGTCGTTACTCTAAAGATTATAACATACACCCTTGACTTATTAAAGCCTGATATAAATTAATCCTTTATCACTTCCTGTACAATATGAGAACCTTGGAACACTTTAACTTCATGTAGGCACCTTCTGCCTTTTGTGCTAGTGTTTCCATGTGTTTTAATACCAGATATAGTTTAAATCCTACAATGTGTGATTTGTTATTTTATAATACATTGATTTTATGTATCAGTATATTTAGATTTGTCTACATATTTACCCTTTCTGCTGCTCTTTATTTCCTCCTGTTATCTTCATGCTTCCAACTGGAAAAATTTTCTCTCTCCCTGAAGAACTTTCCTTAAAACTTCCTGTAGAAGGGGTCAGACCATGACAGATTCTACTTTTTTTTTCTCATGAAAATCTAATTATTCACTTTTACTTTCAAAGAATTTTTGCTGGGTATGGAATTCTTGATTGTACTTATTTTCTCTTACAGCTTTGAAGATGTCATTATATTGCTTTTGGTTTCTGCTATTTCTAAGAAGTCATCTGTCATATTGTTGCACCTTTGAAAGTAATCTGTGATTTTTCTCTGGCTGCTTTTTCAGATTTTCTCATTTTCTTTAGTTAACAGCAGTTTTACCAAAATGTAAATTAGTGTGTGCGGTTTATTTTTCGTATTTCTCCTGTGTGAGGTTCATAGCACTTCTTGAACCAATGATATGATGTCTTCTATTAATTCTGGAAAATTTTTACTTCAAATATTTTCTTAAGCTTATTCTCTCTCTTTTCTAACAGATAATTATTTTACATTTGTGGGATTTTTAACATCACGTCTTATATGTCTCTTATACTTGTTTCTGTATTTCCATTCTGTCTTCTCTCTGTCCTTCAGCCTGGATATTTTCTTCTGACTCATCTTCCAATTCACTAAACCTCTATTCAACTCTGTGCAACCTGTTGTTAAACCTCTCTTTAAGCTCAGAGTTTCAGTTATTGTATTTTAATTTGAAGATTTTCAGATTTTTTATTATTACAGTTTCCCATAAAACAATTTATCTGCTGGAGTTTCCCATCATATTTTCTAATTATTGAATATATGAATCATGGCTATTTTAACTTCTGTTTCTTGTACCAGCAAGCAATGTCTTTTAATTCTTAATTTTTGTAGGTACATAGTAGGTGTATATATTTATGGGATACATGAGATGTCTTGATACAGGCATGCAGTGCATAACAATTACACCATGGAGAATGGGGTATTCATCCTCTGAAGCATTTATCCTTTGTGTTACAAATGATCCAGTTAGTCTCTTTTTGTTATTTAAAAATGTACAATTAAATTATTGACTATAGACACCCTGTCGTGCTATCAAATAGTAGGTCTTATTTATTTTTTCTAATTTTTTTGTAGTCATTAACCATTTACTCTCCTTCCCACACCCACTCCCACTACCTTTCCCAGCCTCTGGTAACCATTCTTCTCTATGAACTCTATGTCCACGAGTTCAATTGTTTTGATTTTTAGACCCCACAAATAAGTGAGAGCATTCAATGTTTTCTTTCTGTGCCTGGCTTATTGCATTTAATATGATGATCTCCAGTTCTGTCCATGTTGTTTCAAATGACAGGATCTCACTCTTTTCTATGGCTGAATAGTACTCTATTGTGTATCTGTACCACATTTTCTTTAGCCATTCATCAGTTGATGGACACTTAGGTTGCTTCCAAATCTTGCTGTTGTGAACAGTGCTGCAACAAACATGGGAGTGCAGATATCTCTTCAATATACTGATTTCCTTTCTTTTGGGTGTATATCCAGCAGTGGGATTGCTAGATCATATAGTAGCTCTATTTTTTAGCTTTTTGAAGAACTCCAAACTGCTCTCCATAGTTGTTATACTAATTTACATTCTCACCGACAGTGTACGAGGGTTCCCTTTTCTCCACATCCTCACCAGCGTTTGTTGTTGCCTGTCTTTTGGATATAAGCCATTTTAACTAGGGTGGGAAGATATCTTATTGTAGTTTTGATTTACATTTCTCTGATAATCAATGATGTTAACTCCTTTTCATGTGCCTGTTTGCCATTTGTATATCTTCAGAAAAGTCTATTCAAATCTTTTGCCCATTTTTTGATTGGATTATTATTATTATTTTTTTTTTTTGCTGTAGAGTTGTTTGAGTTCCTTATATATTCTGGTTATTAATCCCTTGTCAGATGGGTAGTTTGCCAATATTTTCTCCCATTCTATGGGTTGTCTCTTCCCTTTGTTGACTGTATCCTTTGCTGTGCAGAAGCTTTTTAACTTGATGTGATCCCATTAGTCCATTTTTTGCTGTGGTTGCCTGTGCTTTTCAGATATTACTCAAGAAATTTTTGCCCAGGCCAATGCCCTGTTGATTTTTCTCAAAAATTTCTTGTAGTAGTTTCAAAGTTTGAAGGCTTAGACTTAAGTTTTTCATCTATTTTGATTTGATTCTTGTATATGGCAAGGGATAGGGGTCTAGTTTCCTTCTTCTGCATAGGGATATCCAGTTTTCCCAACACTGTTTGTTGAAGAGACTGTTCTTTTCACAGTGTATGTTTTTGGCACCTTTGTTGAAAATGAGTTCATTGTAGATGGTTTTGTTTTTTGGGTTCTCTGTTCTGTTCCATTCATCTATGTGTCTGTTTTTATGCTAGTACCGTGCTCTTCTGGTTACTATAACTGTATAGTATAATTTGAAGTCAGGTAATATGATTCCTCTCCAGTTTTGTTCTTTTTGCTTAGGATAGCTTTGGCAACTTTGGGTCTTTTGGGTTCCATATAAATTTTAAGGTTATTTGTTCTATTTCTGTGATGAATGTTATTGGTATTTTGATAGAGATTGCATTGAATCTGTAAATTGCTTTGGGTAGTGCAGGCATTTTAACAATATTGATCCTTCCAGTTCATGAACATGGAATATCCTTCCATTTTTTGGTGTCCTCTTCAATTTCTTGCAGCAATGTTTTATAGTTTAGATTATAGAAATCTTTCACTTCTTTGGTTAAGTTTATTCCTAGGTATTTTATTGTAGCTATTGTACATGGGATTACTTGCTTAATTTCTTTTTCTGTTTGTTAACTGTTGGAATATAAAAATGCTACTGATTTTTATATGTTGCTTTTGTATCCTGCAACTTTACTAAATTTGTCTATCAGTTCTAATAGTTTTTTGGTAGCATCATTATGTTTTTCTAAATGTAAGATCATATCACCTGCAAACAAGGATATTTTGACTTCTTTTTTTCCAATTTGGATGCCCTTTATTTCTTTCTCTCATCTGATTGTGCTAGCTAGGACTTCCAGTACTGTGTTGAATAACAGTGGTGAAAGTGGGCATCCTTGTCATGTTCCAGATGTTAGAGGAAAGGCTTTCAGTTTTTCCCCATTAAGTATGATACTAGCTGTAGGTCTGTCATATATGGCTTTTATTATGTTAAGGTATGTTTCTCCCGTATCCAGTTTTTTGAAGGTTTTTATCATGAAGGGATGTTAAATTTTATCAAATGCTTTTTCAGCACTAACTGAAATGATCATATGGTTCTTGTCCTTTATTCTATTGATAAGATGAATCCCATTGATTGATTTATGTATGTTGAACCATCCTTGTGTTCCAGGGATAAATCCAACTTGGTCATGATGAATGACCTTTTTAATGTATTATCAAATAAAGTTTGCTGGCATTTTGTTGAGGATTTTTGTGTGCATCGGAAATATTGGCCTATAGATTTCTTTTTGTTGTTGTTGTGTCTTTGTCTTGTTTTGGTATCAGTGGAATACTGGCCTCCTAGAATGAGTTTGAAAATATTCCCTCCTTCTCTATTTTTTGGAATAGTTTGAGTAGGATTGTTCTTCTTTAACCCTTTCCCCATTTTCCCTGAGAATACTTGCCAGCAGCACTTGTGGCTGCAGCACTTACCCCGAGATAACTTTGCCATGAAATATCTCACTTTTACTATGATTTTCATATTGCTTTAGTATACCTACTTTGGAAACAAAAGACATCACCCTATTTATACCATTCTGTTTTTAGTAATGATATTTTTTATTAACAAAATATAGTAATTCTCAATCGCTGAAATGTCATATCCTAGAAAATGTAGCATTCCTCTGTGTGACATTAACATTGTTCTCAAATACTTGGCTGAAGATTGATTTGATGAATCCAATTTTTCCTAAATATATTATTCTGATGATCCTGATGTTAGTTCTCTTTAGAAATAACTCCAAGAACAGTTTTCATATTTTATTTTCATATTGAAAATAAAAATGAAGCACACCTATAGGATCTAGAAAATAGCCTCGAAAGGGCGAATCTAAGACTTATTGCCCTTAAAGCAGAGATACAGAAATAGATGGGGGTAGAAAGTTTATTCAAAGGTATAATATCAGAGAACTTCCCAAACCTAGAGAAAGATATCAATATCTGAGTACAAGAAGGCTATAGAACACCAACCCTGTCATGCACCTTAGAGACCAAGCAATTTAACCCAAAGAAGACTACCTCAAGGCATTTAATAATCAAACTTCCAAAGATCAAGAATAAAGAAAGGATCCTAAAAATAGCAAGAAGAAAGAAACAAATAACATAAAATAGAGCTCCAATACATCTGGCTTTTCAGCAGAAACCCTTTAGGCCAGGAAAGAGCAGGAAGAAATATTTAAAGTGCTGAAGGAAAAAAACTTTTACCCTAGAATAATATATCTGGTGAAAATATCCTTCAAACATGAAGGAGAAATAAAGTCTTTCCCAGACAAACAAAAGCTTTCATATTGAAAATCAGTCAGATTTGCTTCAGCCTCAAAGAGTGTATTTATGTAAAATTAAATTACTGTTGGCAGCGAGCTGTGTTTTTTTTTTTTTCTAAACATTAAAGGGGTTAAATGTTTGGTAGAATTCAGCAGTAACACCATCAGGTCCCAGGCTTTTCTTTACTAGGAGACTTTATTACAGCTTCTATCTTATTACTTATTATTGGTCTGTTCACATTTTGGGTTGATTCTTGGTTCATTCTTGGTATGTTGTATGTATCTAGGAATTTGTCAGTTTTCCAATTTATTGGCATATAGTTGCTCTTAGAAGCCACTAATGAGCCTTTGAATTTCTGAAGTATCAGCTGTAATGTCTCCTTTCTCATCCCTGATTTTATTTATTTGAATCTTCTCACTTTTTCTCTTAGTCTGGCTAAATTTTATCAATTTTCTTTGACTTTTCAAAAAAACAACTTTTTGTTTCATTGATCTTTTATATTGTTTTCTATATTTCATTTGTTTCTGCTCTGAACTTTCTTTCTTTCTTTCACTAATTTTGAGTTTGATTGCTCCTGCGTTTCTAGTTCTTCAAAATGCACCATTAGATTGTTTATTTGAAATTTTTCTTCTCTTTTGATGTTGGCACTTATAGCTGTAAACTTCCCTCTTAGTACTGCTTTTGCTGTATCCCGTATGTTTTGGTATGTTGTGTTTCCATTATCATTTGTTTCATGAAAATTTTCAATTTTCTTTTTAATTTCTTCATTAACCCACTGGTTATTCAGGAGCATATTGTTCAATTTCCATTCATCTGTATAGTTTCCAAAATTCCTCTTGTTATTGATTTCTAGTTTTATTTCATTGTAGTCAGAGAAGATGTTTCATATAATTTCAATTTTCTGGAATGTTTTAAGGCTTGTTCTGTGACCTAACATATGGTCTGTCCTTGAGAATGATCCATGTGCTAAGGAAAAGAATGTGTATTTTGTAGTTCTTGGATGAAATTCTCTCTAAATACTTGTTAGATCCATTTGGTCTATAGTGCAGAGTAAATCCAATGTTTCTTTGTTGATTTTCTGACTGAAGATCTGTCTAATGCTGAAAGTGGGGTGTTGAAGTCTCCAGCTATTATTGTATTATAGTCTCTCTCTCTCTCTCTTTAGCTCTAATGATATTTGCTTGATATACCTGGGTGCTCCAGTGTTGGGTACATATATAAAGTTGTTATATCCTCTTGCTGAATTGACCCCTTTATCATTATATAGTGACTGTCTTTGTCTTTTCTTAAAGTTTTTCTCTGAAATCTATTTTGTCTGACGTAAGTATAGCAACTCCTGCTCTTTTTTAGTTTCCATGGACATGAATATCTTTTTCCATCCCTTTTATTTTCATTCTGTGTGTGGCTTTATAGAGGAAATATGTTTCTTGTAGCAACAGATCATTGGGTCTTGTTTTTGCATCCATTCAGCCACCCTATGTCTTTTGATTGGAGAGGTTAGTCCATTTACTTTCAATGTTATTATTCAGACGTAAGAACTTACTCCTGCCATTTTGTTATTTGTTTTCTGGTTCTTTTGTGGTCTTACCTGCCTTTTTTCTTCGCTTAGTGTCTTCCTTTTAGTGAAGGTGATTTTTCTCTGGTGAAATGATTTAGTTTCTTACTTTTTATTTTTTGTGCATGTATTGTATGTTTTTTGGTTTGAGGTTATCTTGAGGCTTGCAAATACTATATTATAACCCATTATTTTAAGCTTATAACAACTTAATACTGTTTGCATAACAAACAAATAAGCAAAAAGAAAACTAATGAAAACTCTATGCTTTAACTCTGTCTCCCTGTTTTTTAACTTTTTGTTGTTTCTATTGCTATCTTATTGTACTGTGTCTTAAAAGTTGTTGTAGTTTTTCATGTGTTTTTTGGCTGCATAAATGTCTTCTTTTGAGAAGTGTCTGTTCATGTCCTTCGCCCACTTTTTGATGGGGTTGTTTGTTTTTTTCTTGTAAATTTGTTTGAGTTCATTGTAGATTCTGGATATTAGCCCTTTGTCAGATGAGTAGGTTGCGAAAATTTTCTCCCATGTTGTAGGTTGCCTGTTCACTCTGATGGTAGTTTCTTTTGCTGTGCAGAAGCTCTTTAGTTTAATTAGATCCCATTTGTCAATTTTGGCTTTTGTTGCCATTGCTTTTGGTGTTTTGGACATGAAGTCCTTGCCCACGCCTATGTCCTGAATGGTAATGCCTAGGTTTTCTTCTAGGGTTTTTATGGTTTTAGGTCTAACGTTTAAATCTTTAATCCATCTTGAATTGATTTTTGAAAAAATGCTCATCATCACTGGACATCAGAGAAATGCAAATCAAAACCACTATGAGATATCATCTCACACCAGTTAGAATGGCAATCATTAAAAAGTCAGGAAACAACAGGTGCTGGAGAGGATGTGGAGAAATAGGAACACTTTTACACTGTTGGTGGGACTGTCAACTAGTTCAACCATTGTGGAAGTCAGTGTGGCGATTCCTCAGGGATCTAGAACTAGAAATACCATTTGACCCAGCCATCCCATTACTGGGTATATACCCAAAGGACTATAAATCATGCTGCTATAAAGACACATGCACACGTATGTTTATTGCGGCATTATTCACAATAGCAAAGACTTGGAACCAACCCAAATGTCCAACAATGATAGACTGGATTAAGAAAATGTGGCACATATACACCATGGAATACTATGCAGCCATATAAAATGATGAGTTCATGTCCTTTGTAGGGACATGGATGAAATTGGAAACCATCATTCTCAGTAAACTATCGCAAGAACAAAAAACCAAACACCGCATATTCTCACGCATAGGTGGGAATTGAACAATGAGATCACATGGACACAGGAAGGGGAATATCACACTCTGGGGACTGTGGTGGGGTCGGGGGAGGGGGGAGGGATAGCATTGGGAGATATACCTAATGCTAGATGACACGTTAGTGGGTGCAGCGCACCAGCATGGCACATGTATACATATGTAACTAACCTGCACAATGTGCACATGTACCCTAAAACTTAAAGTATTAAAAAAAAAAAAAAAATTAAAAAAAAAAAAAAAAAAGTTGTTGTAGTTATTGATTTGCCAGTTCATCATTTAGTGTTTCTACTTAGGATAAGAGTAGTTTACATGCCACAGTTACAGTGTTATAGTATTCTGTGTTTTTCAGTGTACTTACTACTACCAAGTGAGTTTTGTACTTTCAGGTGATTTCTTGTTGCTCATTAATGTCCTTTTCTTTCTGATTGAAATACTCCTTTTAGCATTTCTTATATGATAGGTCTGGTAATGATAAAAACCCTCAGCTTTTGTTTGTCTGCGAAAGACTTTATTTCTCCTTCATGTTTGAAGGATATTTTCACCAGATATACTATTCTAGGGTAAAAAGTTTTTTTCCTTCAGCACTTTAAATATTTCTTCCCACCCTTTCCTGGCCTAAAGGGTTTCTGCTGAAAAGTCAGATGTATTGGAGCTCTATTTTATGTTATTTGTTTCTTTCTTCTTGCTATTTTTAGGATCCTTTCTTTATTCTTGATCTTTGGAAGTTTGATTATTAAATGCCTTGAGGTAGTCTTCTTTGGGTTAAATTGCTTGGTCTCTAAGGTGCATGACAGGTTTGGTGTTCTATAGCCTTCTTGTACTCAGATATTGATATTTTTCTCTAGGTTTGGGAAGTTCTCTGATATTATACCTTTGAATAAACTTTCTACCCCCATCTCTTTCTCTACCTCTGCTTTAAGGGCAATAAGTCTTAGATTTGCCCTTTCGCAGCTATTTTCTAGATCCTATAGGTGTGCTTCATTTTTTTTTAATTCTTTTTTCTTTTGTTTTCTCTGACTGTATTTTCAAATTGCCTGTCTTCAAGTTTGCTAATTCTTTCTTCTTGATCAATTCTGCCATTAAAAGGCTCTGATACATTCTTCAGTATGCCGGTTTCATTTTTCAGCTCCAGGACTTCTGCTTCATTCTTTTTTAATTATTTCAATCTCTTTGTTAAATTTCTTTAATATAATTTGGAATTCCTTCCCTGCATTATCTTGAATTTCTTTGAGTTTCCTCAAGACAGCTATTTTGAATTCTCTGTCTGAAAGGTCAGATATCTCTTTTTCTCCAGGATTGGTTCTTGGTGCTTTATTTAGTTTACTTGATGAAGTCATGATTTCTGGGATTGTGTTGATACTTGTAGATGTTAATCTGTGTCTGGGCATTGAAGGGTTAGGTATTTATTGTAGTCTTTTCAGTCTGGGCTTGTGTGTACCCATCCTTCTTGGGAGGGCTTTCTAGATATTTGAAAGTACTTGGGTGTTGTGATCTAAACTGTATCTGTTTTAGGGGGCACTCCAAACCTAGTAATGCTGTGGTCCTGCAGACTCATACAGCTATTGTCTTGATGATTTTGGACAAGATCTGGGAGAATTGTCTGGATTACCAGGCAGAGACTCTCATTCTCTTCCCGTACTTTCTCCCAAACAAACAGAGTCTTTCTCTGTTCTGAGCCACCTGGAGCTGGGGGTGGAGTGACACAAGCACCCCTATGGCCACCACCACAGGGCGAGACCTGAAGCCAGCACAGTACTGGGTCTCACCCAAGGCCTGCTTTAACCACTTCCTGGCTGCTGTCTGTGTCCCCTCAAGGCCCTGGGGCTTGGTCCATAAATGCTGTCCAAGGGCCAAATCCTGAAATCAGGGTCCCCAAAAGCCCACTTGTCTGTCACCTTAGGTACCAAGCTGGTCTCTAAGGTGCATGACAGAGTCCTCTTTACTTTTCCCTCTGCTTTTCTCAAGCAGGAGTCTTGCCCTGTAACCACCACAGGCGGGAATGTGCCAAGTCTCACCTGAAGCCAATAAGTCTGAGTCTCACCCAAGGCCCTTGATGTAGTATCTGGGTATCGCTGCTGGTTATTCAGGGCCCAAAGGCTCTTTAGCTGGCAGGTGATGAATGTTACCAGGACTGGGTCCTTCCCTTAAAGGCAGCAGGTTCCCTTCTGGCCCAAGGGTGTGTCTAGGAAAGTCATCCAGGAACTAGGGCTTGGAATGGGGGCCTCACAACTCTGAGGGCTGTCCTGTCCCTGTCCTGCTGGGACTGAGGTGGTATCCAGGAGGCAAGACTATGCGCTTCCCACTCTACCCTCTCCACTCCTAAAGGGGAGGGAGAGATCTCTTTTGGACCATGAACTGTGAAGCCTGGGGTTAGGTTAGGAAAGGGTTGATGCCAGCACTCCCTTAGCTACCCCAGCTGGTGTCTCAATAGGTCACATGTCCTCTGCACCCAAACAAGTCCTCTGGCTTTGGGCCCAGTTCAGCACTGGGACTTGCCTAGGAGTTACAGTGCTTGTGTCCTAGACTGCCTTTTGAGTTTATTTAGAGCCCCATAGCACTTCAACCTGCAGTGGCAAGCCTCTCGGGAACTCAAATTCTGACCATTGGGATCAGTGGTTCCCCTCTGGCTAGGGCTGGTTTAAATACTCCCTCTGTAGGCAGGTGTCAGCTGAGTGCGGTCCGGTTTTCCTTTCTGCTATAACAGGAAAGCACACTGAGTTCAATGCCTCACAATTGCTGGCTCTCCCTCTCTCCAAAGCACAGAAATGCTCTTTGCACCACACCATCACTGCCAGGGGATGGAGGAGGGGTTGCACTGGTGATTCAAGACTGTCCTACTTCTTCAGTGCCTCCTTCAGTGATATGAAGCCAAAACCAGACCAGGTATTGAGTGCTCACCTGATTTTTGGTTCTTATAAAGGTGCTTTTTTGTGTGTAGATAGTTGTTAAATTGGTGTTGCAGGGAGGCACAATTGGTGGAGTCTTCTCTTCCACCGTCTAGCTCTGCCTCCCAGCAGCAACATGTTGATCCATGTGGGGCTGTTTCCATTGTCCATTTCTTCCTGGGATTTTTTTATTTTTTATTTTTTGGCCAGATCATCTTGTTTCTTGGTATGCAGATTATTTATTTATACCAAGAATTGAAATGATCTGAGCACTATCTTTGTGAGTGTTAGTCTATTTCCAGTTCAACTCTACTTTTAGAGTTAAGACCTTTGGTGGTATCAGCCAAAATCAAGGGATCCTCTTAGGTGATCCCTACAGACCCTGTCCCTAGAATTTGCTCAGCTCTCAACCTCTTGTCCACCACTTAGCTACACTGAATGTTGGGGTCATTCCTTTGACCTTGCCTTCTCTCTGAGATTTTTGTGCTCCCAAGTCCTTGTTACTTTAGTAGCTCTCTATTCCCTTCCAACAGATGTCTTATATTTTGTTGAACTTCATAATTACTCTCAGTAAAAAAAACTGGTCTGGAACAAGTTAGTCTACCATTACCAGAAAATTTAAATTACTATGGCTTAAAGAAAATACAATATATTATGTTCTGGATGTATAGTCATTTACTGTAATTTTCATAGCTTGCCTACCTAAGTTGATTTACAGCAAATAGAGACCTACTTTTTTTGGCCATAAAATATAAAGTTATGACAAGAGTGATAATGCTGACATAAAAGTAACTTTTAGATTTTATTTTGAAATGTCAGCTACATAAACAAATATTTGCCAGAAAATAAGTGCTCTGAAATACAGCCTTGCTCTAATTTGCACCATGTCGACTGACTTTTTTATAACAAACAGAAATTATTCTGATAAAAATTAAGTACTTCATATCATAATTTCCAGGAAAGAAAAGCCATTCCAGCAACATGGACTGGCTTGCTGCCATTCCTGCTGCTGCCTCACCTTTCACTGTAATAGTGCTGAGAGCAACAGGATACTTGGTTTTGGATACTTTGCCATTAGCAATACAGTGTTTGACAACAGCAATACAATATTTGCTCAGCTCTAACCTTTCTATATCCTCTTTCTTCTTCTGATATTGTAATAGTGGTCACTAATATAGGAATCTGTAGCCACCAGAGATGTCCCCGAGCTTGTTATACTCTGTCCTCTTTTCCTAAACCACCCTTTCTCTTGCTTACTCATCCTTCAATGTTTAGATCAAGCATCTTCTCTGTGAAAATTTTTCTGGCTCCATGTTCTCCAGAATGGAGTTAATCACATCCTCATCTAGGCTGGAACTATATTTTGAGTGTATTTCTATTATTATACATATCCTATTTCCTGATAAATATATGTTTGCATTTGTTTTTTTACACCAAGATATGAGTACACTTTGCCTAGTACATGGTGCTTAGTAAACCAGGAATAGAAGGAAGAAAGGAAATGAAACAAGAAAGAATAGAAGAAAGGAGGCAAGGAAGGAGGAAGGGAAAAAAGGAAAAAATATTATGGTTTCTTTTTCCTTTTTTTGCTCAATGGGACCATGACGAAATAACCAACTTGTGGTATGTTTGGATCCTGGAAATTATGCCCCAAGTTGGGAAAATGTCTGCTGTTTCCATGGTTAAGAAACCAAATGGAAGAAATGCATTTGACTTTTTTTTTGAAAAATTGTTTGGGACAGGTAAATTAGATGACTTTAAGTAAGTAGTTGACACCTGGAATAAGTAGAAAGAATTAACTGCTACTGACCTAAGAGGGAAAGATGATCTTAATAATGAGATTATGATCATGAAATTGGAAGGCCTCTGAAATCAGACAAGCCTGCTGGAATCTGAGCTTCACCCTTTGCCAGCTCTATGACTTTGGGCAACTTACCATCTACAGGCTTCTGTTTCCACATTACATGAAATGAGCATAAAAATACTTACCTTATAGTTGTTATATAGTCTACATTAAATGAGATAACCACACCTAGCTCAATGCTAGGCCCAGGTCATTTGGATGTTTAGATATTAGCTTCTTTTTCCATGCATAGCAAGTACTGACTTAAATATCTATCTATCTATCTATCTATCTATCTATCTATCTATCTATCTAACTGTCTGTCTATCTATATTTTAGAACATATATATGTGTGTGTGTGTGTGTGTGTGTGTGTGTGTGTGTGTGTATTCTCCCCAGGGATCTGGGGAGGAACCATGATGGAAGTGGGACACTAGATCAGGGTAAGTGGAATTGGCCTGGGAGGTAAGTAGGAAATGAGTTGTGAAAGGGTTTCTACCAGCTCTCACATATTCTGATTTATAATTAGTCTGTTGGGATTTTGTTTGGGATAAGTCAACTCTCCATACAGTGAAGATTCCAGGGAAAACTGGTAAAATACAGTTTCTCATCCACGTAATTTGAGGCCTGTAGATTATAGGCACCTCTGCAAGATGACAGGAAGACTCGCTGAGGGCAAGGACCTTGTCCAATTTAACATTAAGTCCTAAGTGTGGAGCAGAGACTGGCACAGAGGTGGTCAGTGAGTTTCACTGGAAGAACAAATTCATGAAACCACACTTAAGACCCTGTCTGAGCCAAACTGCTGAAATTTACATCAACAGCAAAGCCCAGAACTCCTTGTAGAATTTTGCTCTAATGTCATCTTTTTAAAACCTGCATAAACATCAAGCAAGAAACAAGTGGACTTTATTTTTCTTGACTTTCGTCACATTCCCATTTTCTCTCAATCTTAGGAAACTTTTTCAGCTTTGTGACTGAGAGACAGCCAGCCTTTCAGCTGGGTGAGCTTTCCAGTTGCATGAGAAAGAGCTTCATAAGAAACCACCTACACTCTTCCCATCCAAAAAAATAGAAAAAAAGAAAGAGAAGAATATAAAAAGAATTGCTTCTCCTCCAAAAATACAGGTATTTTTGCTTTCTCTTATGCTGACTTTTTGTGGGTTACTAACTGCATGTTTAAAATTTTGTCATTTTTATGATTTATACAATTCTAGACAAAATACTGTTTAAAATCACACAAAGCATAAAAGATAGTACACAAATACAATGAAAACATAGAGATAGCTGTCCCGTCTGAACTCAAAAGGAGAAACCCCACTGGGAACTGACTACTACAAATAATTTAGTCAGCATTTGGCAGCCCCAGAAAATTACAAACCTGGAAGATAACAAACAATATTATGTGCATTGCATTGCAGAGCATCAGTCATGCTTGATATGAGAAAAAAACCTTTTTAGGAAAAGGAATTAAAATTATGAAATAGAGTTGTGTACATAAGTGGGAACTGTCTAACAACTATTAAGTAAAAATATATTTTTCCTCTTTTGAAGCCCACTTGAAACAAACTTTTTAAACGTCATTTCGAGTTTAGAATTAGGCAGGTATTTTATATTTTAAAGAGTCCTATTTACTTAAATTCCCAAGGCTGACAGAAAATTAAGGCACCCATATTGTTTAGTAGAACATGGCAAAAATTTGGTTTCATGTTTGTTTCAGGTGAGCTATCACGTTCCAAAAAAGTCTGTGTATGGTTTGGGAAGCTGATTCATGGAGACTGGAGTCAACCTGATTCTAGCCTCTGGGCCAAAAAGAATCACGAAAGAAGTGATTACCTCAGTGACCTGATGTGATGTCAGGCTTAGTCTACCACAGTCAGCTGGTGAACAGTCCTTGGACGGTTTCATTAATGGCACAGGAGAGACCTTGTCCACCTCCAGTAACAGAAAGAAATGACCAAGCAAACAGCCCAATAACAGAGCCAGCCTAAATTCTTTTTTTTTTTTTTTTGGTAGTTGCAAGATTTAATAGAGTGAAAACAGAGCTCCCACACAAAGGGAGGGGACCCAAAGAGGGTAGCCATTGCCGGCTCGAATGCCTGGGTTATATCCCGATCATTGTCCCTCCCACTGTGCTCTCAGGTGATAGATGATTGGCTATTTCTTTACCTCCTGTTTTTGCCTAATTAGCAATTTAGTGAGCTCTCTTTACTACCTGATTGGTTGGGTGTGAGCTAAGTTGCAAGCCCCGTGTTTAAATGTGTGCAGTCACCTTCCCAGCTAGGCTTAGGGATTCTTAGTCAGCCTAGGAAATCCAGCTAGTCCTGTCTCTCAGTCCCCACTTTCAACAGGAAAACCCAAGTGCTTTTGGGGAGGTTGGCCGACGACTGCTCTAACTGATTCCTGCTGAATTGGGGCATAGTAGGGGTCGTGCAGTTGAGATTTCCTCGAGAGGAGTGCCTTCAATGTCATTAACATCAGAGCATGGGCTAGCAGGCCGGTCCAGGGTCCACGGTAGATCTTAGTCATGGGCTATATCTGGGGCTCCATTTGAAGAACATTTGTAGTTTTACAGCTTTGATTCTGGAAGAGACAAACTTAACAAGGAGGTTTAAGATAGAGGGATTGAAATGTATGGCCTGCAGTGCAGGGGATTATTTCCTTGGCACACTTCACAGGCCCTGACTATCTGCTTGATAGTTTTGAAAAGGCCCGGTCCAGTAAATAATAATTTGGCCATCTGACGGGTGCTATCAATGTCTAAGTGAAAGGTTTGGTGAAGGGTTTTAAGTAATTTCCATTGCTTAGCTGCAGGCAAAAGTACTTTTCCTCCTTCGGTTGCTAGCCATCCTGAGGGTAGGAAACTATGTCCTCGTCAGGTTCTCCATTCTATTTCTCCTGCTGAGTACTGGGGCTTGGTTTCCTGGAGGGGGTTACCCCATACTAGGGGTCCTTCTATAAGCATTTCTAATGGAGGGTCTTGTCTTGCGGCTCTTTTGGCTTCAATATCTGCTTGGCAGTTCCCTTCTATTTCCCTTTCCTTTCCTTTCTGATGACCCCGGTAGTGTAAGACTGCCAACTCTTTAGGTTTCTGTACAGCCAATAATAATCTCCTAATGGCTTCCTGATGTTTGATAGGTGTTCCCTCGGAAGTTAGGAATTCCCTTTCTCTCCATATTGCTGCGTGGGCATGGAGGACTAGGTAAGCATACTTAGAGTCTGTATATATATTTACCCTTTTTCCTTCTCCTAATTCTAGTGCCTGAGTGAGGGCTATTAGTTCTGCCAGCTGAGCGCTAGTTCCTGGAGTGAGGGGATTACTTTCAAGTATTTCATTAACACTGACCACTGCATACCCCACTTTTCAAAGTCCTTTTTGTACAAAGGAACTTCCATCAGTATACAAGTTGAGGTTGGGATCAGTCAAGGGAACCTCTAGAAGGTCTCCTCAAGCGGCGTAGGTTTGAGCGATTACTTCTTGACAGTTATGTTCTATCTTTTCTTCATTGTCTGGAAGAAATGTGGCTGGGTTAAGAGTTGCACAAGTGCACAGTCGCAGCACTGGCCCTTCAAGTAATAGAGCCTGATATTTAAGTAACCGGTTATCTGACAGCCACAAGTCTCCTTTAACAGTAAATATGCCATTCACATCATGAGATGTCCACACAGTAAGATCTCTTCCCTGTATTATTTTAACTGCTTCAGATACTAAGACTGCTACTGCTGCCACTACCCATAAACAATGAGGCCAACCCTTTGCCACTACATCAATTTCCTTACTCAGGTATGCCACGGGTTGCAAGCTTATCCCTTGGACCTGTGTAAGCACTTCTAGAGCTATTCCTGTTTTTTCTGTGACATATAAAGACTAGGCCTTGGGCTTCTAGGTCTTTAACAATCTTTTGGAGTCCTTGTTTGGCCTCAGGTCTAAGGGGGTACTGCCTTTGGTAGGGAAAGGAGGCAGAATCTTTTAGTTTAACTTGAACAGGACGGGCATTCTTTGCTTATCCATATTGTCCTTCTGTTGCCCAGACTTCAGAAGAATTAATTCCTCCTCAAGCAAGGGACAACAAACGGGTGTTCCTTCTCTTATGTTCAGGTGTATAATGGCCCCTGCTTTTGCTAGAATGTCTCTCCCTAACAAAGGAGTGGGGCTTTCAGACATAATTAGAAAAGCATGTGAGAAGAGTAAAGTTCCCCAGTCACAACTTAGTGGCTGGGAGAAGTATCTAGTGACTGGCTCTCCTAGGACACCTCGGATAGTGACAGATCTGGAGGACAGTTGTCTGGGACAGAAGAGTAAGACTGAGAAGGCCGTGCCAGTGTCCAGGAGATGGTTAACCTCCTGGCACTCAATGTTCAAGCATACCCGGGGCTCTGTGAGGGTGATGGCATGGGCTGGCGCTTGCCCCAGGCACCCTCAGTCCTGCTGCTGGATCATCTGGTTAGTAGCTTCTGACTCAGAGGACCTTCGTCCCCTGGGGCAGTGGGCCTTCCAGTGATTCCCTTGGCATAAGGGGCATGGACGAGGGGGCGGCTTATTTCTATTTGGACAATCTTTTTTAAAGTGTCCTTGTAGACTGCACTGGAAGCAAGCCCTATTAGGTATTTGATTTGCCCAGCTTTTCCATTTTCCAGAGCCTCCAAAGTCTACTTCTCTGAGTGCCATGACTAAAGCAGTGGACTTTTTTTCAATCCCGTTTGTCCCATTCCGCCTGCTCCTCCTGATCTCTATTATAAAAAACCGAGGTTGCCAAGTTCAATAGGGTTTCTAAGTTTTGCTCTGGGCCTAAGTCACACTTTTGAAGCTTTTTTCTAATGTCTGCAGCTGACTGAGTGATAAACTTATCCTTTAAGATTAGTTGGCCTTCAATAGAGTCAGGTGACAGAGAGGTATGCTTCCTCAATGCCTCCCTTAGTCTCTCCAGAAAGGCAGTAGGATTTTCTTCCTTTCCCTGTGTTATAGTGGACATCATTGAATAATTTACAGACTTCTTCCTAGTTTTCCTTAGTCCTTCTAGCATGCAAGTTAGCAAATGTCTGCGGCACCAATCTCCATGTTCTGATCCTGTGTCCCAATGAGGGTCTACACTGGGAACTGCCTGCTGGCCTGTGAAGAATCATTTTCTTTCCTCTGTTGTCATCCTATCATTGACCTGACTGAGATACCAGAGATCGCCAAACTCTCAAGCTGCAGTTACGGCGGCATTTCTCTCATTTGGGGTTAGTGTCTGATCTAGCAGTAACATTATATCTCCATGTCAGATCAAAGGATTGTCCTAACCCTTGTAAAATATCAGTATAGCCATCAGGGTTATCTGAGAATTTACCTGGATCTATTTTAATTTGCTTCAAGTCTGAGAGAGAAAAAGGCACATGCACTCTGGCTGGGCTGAATTCTCCTCCTCCCACCGCTTGGAGGGGGCATAATCGGGGAATATCGGCACTCTTTGGTTCATTGTTTACCCCTTTGTCTATCTCCTTTTGGACCGTTTGGGTTGAAGGGGGGTCCTTATTAGTTGGGGAAGGAGTCAGGGGGATGCCGGAGAAGGGAGGTAGACTCTGAGGGCTTTCTGTAGGGCATAAATCACACTTTTTACATAATTGCGAGTTGTCTCTTAATGAAAAGAAAGTTTGTACATACGGCACTTCACTCCATTTGCCTTCTTTTCTACAAAAGAGGTATAGCTGTAAGATGGTGTTATAATTTATTCTGTCAGGAGGCCAGGTTTCTCCCCCTTGAAGAGGATATCGTGGCCTAGCGGTACTGCAGAAGAATATAAGTAGTTTCTTTCTTAGCGTCTGAGGGTCATATTGGTCCCAATTCTCCAGAATACATCTTAGGGGTGTTTTTGCCTTCGGGGGAACACTTCCCATCGCTTTGGAGGTCCCATCTGGGTCACCAAATGTTACCAGGGGGGTCCTTGCTCCCAGAGCTCCCAAGATGATGGCGGGCTGCTTCCAATATGGCGGTGGGCCACTTCCAAGATGGTGGAAAGCCTTGTGCTCTCTGATCTGGAGTTCTTGGCCTCATGGATTCCAAGGAATGGCATCTTGGGCCATGCAGTGAGTGTTATAGCTCTATTAGAAACCGTGGATCACAGAAGAGAACCATGGAACCCAGTGACTAGTGTTCAGCTCTATTAAGACAAACCCGGGCACTTCGCCATGCAGGAACAATGACAGGCCTTTAGCCCGATTGGGAGCGGCAATGGGTGCCTCACTGGATCAGGAGCACAGCGGACACCCTGCTGGATCCAGAAGGATGGAAGTCAGCGGCGGGTCTGCGATGGCGGCAAACAGCAGTGGTGGATGGCGAGCAAAAACTCAGCTCGAGCCGTAACAAACACAGACCAGAAGAGTGTGCAGTTTCAAGATTTAATAGAGTGAAAACAGAGCTCCCATACAAAGGGAGGGGACTCAAAGAGAGTAGCCCGAGCCAGTCTAAATTCTTAAAGGGATTCAGCATCTGCTGGGTTAGATCAGAGGCCATGGAAAACAGAGGCAGGAGAGAGACCAGGACTAGTCATCCACTAGACCAGGACTTCTCAAGCCTGGCTGAACATTAAAATAACCTGGAGAATTTTAAAACATTCTGATGTCTGGGCCCCAACCCTAGGAAATTTGAATAAATTGGTTTGGGGTGGAGCTTGAGAACAACAGTGTTTTAAAAGCTCTCCAACGTGATTCTAATGGACACCTGGACTTGAGAAACACAACACTAGAGTATCTTGAGGGCACACTTATTCACCACTGCTCATCAAGCATGTACTGTATAATACCCAGCTCATGGCACATGAGAAATGGTATTGGGTTGAACAAAGCATAGTAAAAAACCAAAGATTTCCCTCTAAAGTGGGATCTGCAGTGTAGCTGCTGCAAGTCCTCCTTTTGTTTCTCCAAGCACCTTTTTTTTTTTTCCTTTTTAAATTTTGTCCATATGTATGTGCACTTATTTAACTAGGTCCCATGGCAGTTAGCATACTAGTCACTTAGACCTAGACAAGTAGGACCCTGTACTTGGGAGTGCCTTTCTCAAAATTTCCCATCTTTTCCAGTGCCTGTGACCAACTGGGGATGGCAGGGCCTTCTGGGTGTGGCACTGGAGCCCAGGGTAGAACCTCTGTTTCTTCCCTCCTCAACACTCTACCCTGCATGGGGCACAACCAGATGCCTCCAGGAGCTCGAGGACTCAAATGTACAGGGTCATCCCAGGGCCTTGGTTCCAGGAGGGTAGACTGGTTCCAGGAGCCTGGCCAGTAGACTGCCCCCACCACTGGCAAAAATGTTTCTCTCCTGAGATCATGGGAGAGTATGCCTACAGAATGGTGCTGACGTGCTCATTTTTTTTTTTTTTTTTTTTTGAGACGGAGTCTCGTTCTGTCACCCAGGCGAGAGTGCTGTGGCGCCATCTCCGCTCACTGCAAGCTCCGCCTTCCGGGTTCACGCCATTCTCCTGCCTCAGCCTCCCGAGTAGCTGGGACTACAGGCGCCCGCCACTGCGCCCGGCTAATTTTTTTTTGTATTTTTAGTAGAGACGGGGTTTCACCGTGGTCTCGATCTCCTGACCTCGTGATCCGCCCGCCTCGGCCTCCCAAAGTGCTGGGATTACAGGCGTGAGCCACCGCGCCCGGCCGACGTGCTCATTTTGAGTGACTCAAATTATTTAGATAAACAGGGTCCACACAACAAATATTTGCCTGGGCCTTGCATATCCTTAGAGTAGCTCTGCCTCTAGATTATTCATTCTTAAATTTCTTAGAGATGAAACTGTGGGCTGTCTTACACTGAAAAGATTACCACAGTAGTAAACCTTGTTTCTTGGGAAAGAATCCAAGAGGATTTATGGAGACAAGTCAGTTAAAGCTGTTGTCCACATTTTTCTAGGGGACATTTTTATTTAGACAGGCATTTATGCCAGAATTTTTGTAAATGCATCATGAGAAAACGTCCAAATGCCTTAAAAAGACTTAAAAAAAAAAGGATAAAGACTGAAAGAGCTCTTTGCCACTCTTTTTCTCTCTGTCTTCTCAAAGCAAACCTAATAAATGTTTAAAAATATTTTAAAGCAATGAGAGAGAAAATCATGACCTTCTGAAACTCAGACTACTAGCTATCTGATTAATCTTCCTGGGAAACTTATCCTTGTTAATAATGTTTATATTGGACTAAATGCTGAAATAAGATTTTGGCTGTATTTGGATTAAACAAAAATATATTATCAAAATTAATTGTACCTGTTTCACCTTTTTTTTTTTAAGATAGAGTCTTGCTCTGTTCCCCAGGCTGGAGTGTACAATGGTGCAATCTTGGCTCATTGCAACCTCCGCCTCCCGGGTTCAAGCAATTCTCCTGCCTTAGCCTCCTGAGTAGCTGGATTACAAGCATGCACCATCATACCTGGCTAATTTTTGTATTTTTAGTAGAGACGGGGTTTCACCATGTTGGCCAGCTGGTCTCGAACTCCTGCCTCAGGTGATCCACCCGCCTCGGCCTCCCAAAGTGCTGGGATTACAGGCATGAACCACCCCACCCAGCCTTCATCTTAGTTTTTTAATGTGACTATATGAAAATGTAAAATTACATAGGTGATATATATTTCTGGTTCACATTCTATTTCCTTTGGATAGCACTGTGAGTTGTTAAAATTTCATGAACTGTGAACATAGACATGGAAGCTTCCTTAAAATTGGCTAGACATTTTAATTCAGCCAAACCGAAGAGGACAGTCATTGGCTGAAAATCTAGTGGAAGAGAATGGCGGTGAGAGGAGAGATCACAAGGGTTAGAAAAGTGCTTACCTATCTGAAAGGGGAGGGTTTGGGACAGGACTCAGAAATTGGTGCATCCAAAGATGACAGGAGGATGATCTGTCATCTTTGGATGCACCAATTTACTTCACAGAAAAAAGATGAAGTACACCCAACCTGACATGTGCACTCACTGACTCGCCCTTGGGCCAAAGTGTGAGTTCCTCATTCTTAAATCTAATCCCCATAGACTTGATTGCAGCTAATTTCTAGGACATGGCACAAAACTCTGGACTGAACTTCAATCGAAGGGGGATAATGTTTCAAAATCAACCTGCTGGGAACTTAAGCCATAGTAATTTAGGCATTCAATGCACACGTGACCTTGATTTTTAGTCAGAAGCTTGTGAGATGCAGAGATTTTTTTATATTGATACAAGAAGGAAGCCTGCAGGGATGGATTGATACATCTAGCTGCTTCACAATCCAGACAAGTCCTCAGGGATTTTTTTTTTAATTTTAATGTCTAATGTAAAATGCTTATAAGAAGTAAGATATCTGTCACACTTTCCACTTACAGTGCTTTTGTTCTTTCTGCCATTTGTCCTAACACCTTCCAGCTCCTAGGTGCTGCTGAAATGAGTGAGCAGGGTAATTGATGAGAGTTTGGGAGCTGGGAGAGCAGTGAGCTGATGCTTGGAGCCTTGCCGCGATCGGACACAGTAGGTTGATTTTCCCCTCAACATGCAGGACCATACCTAACGATTCCTTACAACAAAACAGAATACAAAGTAAAGAGGATTTGACACACAGCAATTCCTACCATCCTCTTGGCCCCCCAGCCCGGGATATTGAAGCCAAAGTTGAATTTGAAAAGCACATTTTCCCAAACTCCTATTTTAAAAGCAGACACTATCTTAATGGCACAGTGATAACAATTATATTCAGTTATTTTTTCTTCGATCCTGCCAAAGAGATGCTTGGGAAAAGCAAAGATTTTTAACATCTGGCTTGCCTGAACAGAATTCGTACTTCAGTGAAGAATGCTACATTATGAAGACTTCTCTTTCAATTCTTTTAGTTTCTGGATATCAATGAAGATATCACCACTAATGAAAGTGGTAAATCTGGGGAAGATTACTCAGAGTGGCAAGATTGCAACATTTTTCCCAGGGATTTTTAGGGACCCTCTCAACTAAACAAATAGCAGTAAAGAAGAATCACATTTTAAAATATCCTTCTAATGTACTCCATTTTAAATATATACACCTACTGTGTACCCATGAAAATTTTAAAAAAAATTTTAAGTATCCTTCCAGAGGTTTTGTGGAAAGGTGGGGTTTTATTTTCTAATATCACAAATATTACTTGTTGATTCAAGCCAGTCATCTAGCCAGTTATAGCAACTTCTCAAAGCTATTTTAGGAAGAAATTTTTGCTTCTTGTCATCTTCCCACCAAAGATAAGTTCTGGAGAAGTTCATACGCTATTAACTATGACAATAACTGAGACCTCAATTTACATTTTTCTCCTTGCTCCAAACTCATTCCTGGGTCACCAGAATAGACATAGATATGAATGTGTAGGCTCCATGAGGACCACACCAGGCAGGATACAAAAACACTGGAGTGTATCAGGAGAAGTGATTTGCCCTCCTCCTACCTGCCAAAGGTGGTGATTTAGAAGTGATTTAGGAGTAAGACTGGGGAGACTTCTTGAAGACATCTTGGGATATTAGAGTCATTCTATTCACACCCTCGCTCCTTGAGAAAGGGGATCATTTGCCATGGTCCCTCATAGAGAGGATCCCTAGAGACAATCCCGCAAAGCTCAAGGGTACATCTGAACATAGGGACTGGCCCCAGTTTCTCGTTTGGAGTGTGCCAAGTGACAGAACCCATTGGCACATGCCAAGCCCCACGCAAAGGCCACCAGAGAGCTTTGGACATAGGCAGAGGGCCTCAGAAAGGGGGGCAGAACAAGTCAGGAGAGGGCACAAATCACCTCCCAGTTCTTCAAACACCCAAGGTGGTTGTAATAGGGAGTCTAAGATTCTTGGGGCCCGAGAGGCCCCATAAGATGGCTGACTGGCTGGTTGAATTCTAAGCAAACTTCCGTTCCCTGGACACACAGGAAGCAAAGGGACTCAGTAGTAATATTAGTCTCAGGCTAAAGGGTCCCCTGTCCTGGACCCCATGCTTTACAGGGTCCTGCCTTTGCCAACAAATACATTTACTAAAGAACACGCATTGCTGCCATTCTGGGTCTGAGATCAGAGCTCAGAGCTGGCACAGACCAACCTAAAACTCTAAATATTTGCTCTCCCAGCTGACATTATGCAGGCCCCAGGGAAATCTCCACTTGCATTAGATCCTGTAAATAAAAGATGTTATATGCAAAACTCTGAAGGTTTATGGGCTGTGCTGCTACAGAGGCTGCTTTGGAGTGTGAAGAGGATAGCAGTATTGTTCATATTATGCTTAAATATGTATATATGTAGGTTTAGTTATATGCCTGAAGCATAATTCCTGTTCTTTACTATGGCAATTTGATGGACATTAAATCCTAGAATTGCAAATAGTTTTTTTTTTATAAAATAGGCTTTTTAATTTTAATAAATCTTGAATATTTGACATGAAATCTTAATTATTCAGAAATGTAGGAAAAGTAAATTTATTTATATTTGTTTACTCCAATTTAAATTTTCTTAATGCATTCAAATTGCATATATTTTTAATATAATTACATTTAATTTTTAATCCATTTGATCACTGCTGACACAAGAATACAAGTTATATATGAAAATATTAATTTTATCAACACAATTAGTGACTTTGCTAGAAATGACCAAAAAATTTTGATTCTAGCAAGTAAGTACATACTAATTTCTGAATTATTACTCATCCAAACATTGCCAGCCCATGAAGAGAATGCCCAGGTACATGCAATACAAATTAAATTCAATAGTCTTTGATATTTTGCTAATTCTGGGCTTTATATATATTTTTCTAATTTGTCCTCATAAAGGTATGTGTGTCAAGTGAGGATGACAGGACATATTTCATTTAGCAATTTGTTAGTTTGATTTATAATTCTAAAAAATATATACTTAGGGAATGGGGTCTCCATTTGCTCCATGCCTTGTAAAGTTTGGGTGGACATGAAGGAATCCCATCTGTAGAGGCTCACGGTAGACCACTATCCTGAGACTGGATGAAGCCGAAGTGAATGTCAAAATGCCATAGGCATCCAAGGATCACTGAGCCAGCAGGTGGTACCCATCGACCAGACTGGGTGATGATATTGGCAGCTGGAATCAGCAGAGAGGTGACTGAAATCAGCTATTCCACTTCCACCTGCCCCACTGCCTGCACCAGTCAGCTCATTCTTCCTCATCTTCCCCTCTCCCTGCTGCCTTCACAAGAAGTCAAACATGAGATTCCTTCCCTGGAAATTCACCAAGAGTTGAATGCAGTTTGAATTGCAGTTGAATGCAGGGAGTGAAGGCAGTGTGAAGAGAGAATTTTGAACTGGATAGTAATTGAAATGATAATACTTGAATTTGACTACAGATATATTACATTAAACCAGTGCTTAACAGATTGCAGTATTTTCCTGCTATAGAACATGAGTGGGAACTTATAAAAGAAAAATGGGCACCAAAATGAAGTGTTTCATGTTTGCTGATATTTGGGTTCTTCTAATGCCTACCTTCTACTGGTAGCACCATGCCAGAAAATAGGACACTTTTTTAATTGTTGAAATCATCAAAGATAGAAGGATTGGGATTATTCATTTGTTGGCTTGATGCAGTGACTTGTAATTCTAGCTGCACGATAGAATAACTGAGAGCTTTAAAAATGTTTCAATTTCCAATTTTGCCCCATCCCAGAATAATTGAGTGTGAATCTCTCTGTGTACAGATTCTATATGTCTTAAAAGCAACCCTAGTGATTCTAATGAGAAAATGGTGTTGTAACCCACAGGAGATACCTGCTTGGTCAATTGTTTGCCACTTTTGTGTCTGTGCTGTCAGATATTCACAGATTCACCAGTTAATGCTGTACTCTTTCCTCTTTCCCTAGCTGTGTTGTCATGGTCCAAGACCCTGCCTCAGGTGCCTTGCACAAGAGCTTGTTTACTGAGGGGTATGTGACAGCCACATCAGTGACCTGGGGAAATTAGCCTGTGTCAAAGCCAATTAGTCACACTGTTTCCACTTTAATAAAGGAGATCAATTAAGAGGAGAGCTGCACTGGAAAATTCCCAGGCCTGCCAGACCTAGGGTGTTATGTTGTTAGGCACCAAATTCATTCATTCACTCAACAACCATATATTTAGTGCCAGCTATGTGCTGGACACTGGAAATAAAATGATAAATACAGATACAACAACAACAACAACTTTCAAAGCACTCTCAGTTTTTTATCACCTCGGAAATCAATTTCTCACCTGCCTATTTTTTAAAAAATTGCCTTCTCTCTTGCATTGTTTCTGATATGGAATCTTGTTATCTTTATCTTTACTCTTCTGTATATAGCATGTGTTTTCTCTCAGACTGCTTTTAAGACTTTAAAAGCCCCTGAATTTCAACGACTCTTTTCTAGACTTTGGAATTTGAGAGGTCAGTAATCTTTTTAGTTAGAAGAGTTACCAGTTTTAATTGTGCAAGGTAAAAAACAAAATGAAAGATTTTTTGACACACAAAAAGTAGCAAATAGATCATCTCAGTATAAGGAATTGCAATTTAAATTAAATAAATTTAGCTTCATGAAAAACTATACAATTTTTTTCTCCTTTTGCTGCTTCCTAACAAGCAGTTGTTTGAAACCTTCCTTACTTCCTTTTTCCTTTCTTGTTTAAAGCTTGCTTTCTTTGTTTCTTTCTTTGTTTCTTTGTTTCTTTCTTTCTTCCTTTTTTCTTTTCTCTTTTTTCCCTTTCTTTTTCTTTCTAATGAGCAGTACCTGTTCTCATTCTCCAAATAAATATTCTATGATCAAATTACACTTCCAGCCAAGATAGAGAAAAAGACCAGATTTACCCTCTCACCTTAACCAATAAATTTTAGAAGTATATGAAACAATGGTTTTCAGGACACTGGATATCAGACAAAAACAGTGATTCCTGAAAGACAGGAGATGAATGAGGTGAGTCCTGTGATTACCCCGGTTTAATGTTTTGAGAGAGAGTCCAGTCTGTAGTGCAGGGGGGAAGAACCCAAGTCGAGCCTGGAAGACTCCCTGACTAGAAATAGAGCTAAAAGTTGGGAGTGAATAAAGTGACAAGAGTCACTGGAATGTCTACCAGGCAAGATATCTGAAGATCTGTAACTCCCTTTGAGTTTTAAGCTGAGCAATAATTAGCACATGCATGGAAGGAAACTACCTGAGGCCAGGAACAGAATCACCTGGAAGGACAGAGGTAACAGTGTCTGGCATTCACACAGAGTCAACATAGTGCCTGTACCCAGAAATCACACTGGAAAACCTCATGTTTCATAAGGCATTTGGTAGAATACTCAGAAAGGTCTTGTCTTGGTAATGGGGGATAATTAGCCCTGTAATACGAGGACTGCTCTCGTCCCATTTAATAAATCATGAAACCAAAACCTGAAAGGATTGAACTATTTTCACATACATTAACTGTGTCCCAGAACAAAGCTGATTTGGTTTGGCTGTATCTCCACCCAAATCTCATCTTGAACTGTAGTTCCCATGATCCCTACATGTCATGGGAGGGACCCAGTGGGAGGTAATTTAATCATGGGGGCCGTTACTCCCATGCTTTTCTCATGATTGTGAGTGAGTTCTATGAGATCTGATGGTTTATGAGGGGCTTTTCCCCTTTTGCTTGGCACTTTTCCTTGCTGCTGCCATGTGAAGAGGGATATGTTTGCTTCTCCTTCCACCATGAATGTAAGTTTCCTGAGGCATCCCCACCCCTGCAGAACTGTGACTCAATTAAACCTCTTTCCTTTATAAATTACTCAGTCTTGGATATGTCTTTATTAGCAGCATGAAAATGAACTAATACAAAAACACAAGAATATTTACAGAGATATAAAGCTTGCAACAAGGTAAAATTCCCAATCGCTTTGCGTTTATACTGAGTAATGGGATTGCTGGGTCAAATGGTATTTCTGGTGCTAGATCTTTGAGGAATCACCACACCATCTTTCACAATGGTTGAACTAATTTCCATTCCCACCAACAATGTAAAAGCATTCCTATTTCTCTGCAACCTTGCCAGCATCTGCCAGTCACCATTCTGACCGGGATGAGATGTTAACTCATTGTGGTTTTTATTTGTATTTCTCTAATAATCAGTGATGTTGAGCTTTTTTTCATATGTTTATTGGCTACATGAATGTCTTCTTTTGAGAAGTGTCTATTTATATCTCTGTCCATCAACAATAGACTAGATAAGGAAAATGTGGTACATATACACCGTGGAATACTATGCAGCCATAAAAAGGAATGAGATCATGTCCTTTGCAGGGACATGGATGAAGATGGAAGCCATTATCCTCAGCAAACTAACGCAGGAACAGAAAACCAAACACCGCATATTCTCACTTATAAGTGGGAGCTGACCAATGAGAACACATGGACACAGGGAGGGGAACAATACACACTGGCGCCTGTTGAGGGTTGGGGTGAGAGGAGAGAGAACATTATGAAAAACAGCTAATGCATGCTGGACTTAATACTTAGGTGATGGATTTATAGGTGCAGCAAACCACCATGGCACACATTTACTTACATAACAAACCTGCATATCCTGCACATGTACTCCAGAACTAAAAATAAAAAGAAAAAAACAAAAACAAACAAACAAAAATTCCCAATTGTTTACATCGAATTAATAATTACCAGGCATGCCAATTATCACTAGGGATAAAGAAAAACATAAACTATAATAGGAAAAAAGCAATCAACCAAAATAAACACAGATCTAGATACATGGAAGAAATAACAGACAAAACAGTGATTACAACTGTATTGCTTACAGACAAAAAAGTTAAACAGAGACACAAAAGATGGTTTTAAAAAACAAATAGAACATCAAGAGATGAGAACTACAGTTTCTGAGATGAAAAAACTTCACTGGATGAGATTCACAGAAGATTGAACATAAGAAAAGAAAAAAAGTAGTGAATTTTCAGATAGAGTAATAGGCACTATCCAAAATGTAATATATAGAGAAAATAGATGTTTATAAAAATGAACAAAACATCAGTGTACTATTGGACAGCTTCAAGTGGATTTATTTATGTTTAATCAGAATCACTCAGAAGGATGAGAGTGGGAAGGGGCAGAGAAAATATTTGAAAAAATGATGACTAAAATTATTTCAAGTTTGATGAAAGTTTCAAACCCACACAGCACAATCAAATTATTCAAAACCTGTGATAAAGGGAAAGTCTTAAAAGCACTCTGATAGAAAACACATGCTATACATAGAAGAGCAAAAATAAAGATAACAGTAGATTCCATATTAGGAACAATGCAAGAGAGAAGGCAATTTTTATTTATGGTGATTTTAGAACACTCAACAAATTAGAAATAGAAGGAAATTCCTCAACCTTATAAAGAGCATCGATGAACAACCTACATCTAACCTCACACATGATGATGAAAGACCAAATAATTTCTCCCCAAGATAAGAAAAAAGAAAAGGATGTCTGTTCTCACCAGTTCAAGTCAACATTGTACTGGATGTTCTAGTCAATGCAATAAGGCAAGAAAAAGGAATAAAAGTTATCCAGATTGAAAAGGTTGAAGTAGATTATTTTTTTTCAAATGATATGGCCCTTTATGTAGAAAATATAATGACATCTACAAAAAAAACTACTTGAATGAATAAATGAGTTTAGCAAGGTGGCATGATATAAGATTGATGCACAAATTAAATTGTATTTCTATATCGTATCAACAAACAATTAGAAATTGAAATAAGACAATGCCACTTACAATAGTATCAAGAAATAGGAAATACATTTCTTGTATAAATCTGACAAAATACGTGAAAGACCTATACACTGAAAACTGCAAAACATTGCCTAAAAACAATTAAAGACCTAAATTAATAGAGATACATTATCGTTCATGAGTTGAAAGACTCAATATTTTTACAATTGCAATTCTTTCTAAATTGATCTGTAGATTCAACACAATCCCAATCAAAATTTCAGCAGACATTTTAATAAAAATTGGCAAATTGATTCTAAAGTCATATGGATGGCATTCAACCAAGGTGGAAAGCAAATAAATAAATAATCATACGGAAATGCAAAGGACTTAGAATAGCCAAAATAATTTTGAGAAAAAAACAATATAGAGGACTGACACTACTTGGTGTCAAGACTTTAATTATAAAGTTACAGAAATCAGGACAGTGAGATATTGTCATTAATACAGACAAACAGATCAATGGAATAGAATAAAGTGCCCAGAAATAGACCAACACATATATACACAACTAATTGCTGATAGAGGTACAAAGGCAATTCAGTGGGGGAAAGAATAGTTAAGTCTGCTCTAACAAATTAGCACAAGCTGGGTGATTTATAAAGAATAAAAAGTTACTTCTTGTAGTTACAGAGGCTGGAGGTCTGAGATCAGGATGCCAGCATGGTTGGATTCTGCTGAGTGCCCTCTTCCAGGCTTCCGATTGCTGTCTTCTTGATGTATCCTTACATGGTAGAAGAGGACAGGAGAGCTCTCTGAGGTTCCATTTACAAGGGTGCTAATCCCATTTATGAGGGCTCCATCCTGAAGATCAAATTACCTCCCAAAGGCACCACCTTTTAATACCATCACACTGAGGATGAAAAGTTCAACATATGAATTTTGGAGGGACACAAACATTCAATCCATTGCAGACAGCCTTTTCAACAATGGTACTGAGACATTTGAATATCCATAGGCAAAAATAAATGAACTTAGATCAATATCTTCCACTACATAAAAAAATTAACATCAATGGTCATAGACTGACAAGCTAAACTCCAAACTATAAAACTTGTAGATGAAAACATAGAAAAATACCTCTGTGACCTGGTGTTAGGCAAAGATTTCATAGATATGAAAGGTAGCATGAACCATAAAAGAAAAATTTGAAACATTGAACTTCGAAATTAAAAACTTTTGCTCCTCAAAAGATTTTAAGAGAATAAAAAGACAAACTACATACTGGAAGAAAATATTTACAAATCATATATTTGATAAAGAATGTATAAGAATATAATAAGAAACTCTCAAAATTTAATAACAAGAAAACAACCAGTTTTTTAGGATTAATTTTAATTTTGCAAAACAAGTCTTTAAAAAAAACAAATCACTAGGAAAAGACAATCTAGACCTAGAATTTTTGGCAAATAAACTCTACCTCAATTTTCAAACTATTGTGGCTACAAGAAAATAGAAGAATAACAATTAGAATTGGGGTTAAAACTGAATAAACAAATATATAGTTACTCACTAAAATAATAGTTTTAGCCAAGTCAACTGCAAAGAGATATGCAGAATGTTAATAGAATGAGTTGGATCTTAACATGTATTTGATAATATCTTATATTCTACTGGCTACTTAATAACCTGATGCAAAAAAAAAAAAAGCTTTTTTGAAGAGTAGACAAATACCGATAAAAAACACGTGCTCAGCACTTCTGTGTACCACTCATGAAGACATCAAGGACATCCCTGAGAGTTGGGAATGGGGAGGGCATCATTCATCTACAGGAATGTGGAAGATGTAGAGAAGCCTGAAGTCATCATATGCATAATATGGCATATAAAACACATCCAGAAAATGCAAGTAAATTAAAATTAAAAATACTTTGCCCCAATCCTCTTAAGCCAATGAGAATATTCTCTTTTTTTAAGAAAGTAAAGGAATGAAAGAATGACTACTCCATAGGCAGAGAAGCCGAGAATATTCTTAAAATTGCACTTTCTTAACATGTAAGTTATGTCTTCCAAATAGCCTCCTGAGCTCAAAAATAAGGTAAAAATCCCTGTTGAACTAGTATTTGCTACTTTACCCTCACTGTTGCGCTGTCTCTCTCTCTGTAGGTAAGGAGAGGATGTGTTCACAACAGCTAAGAAACAAACCTGCATGCGTACCCTCTGAATCTAAAATAAAATAAAGTAAGAAATCCTCAAGATAGTAAAGTATAACTGAAAAGTCAAAAATCAATGGGTTGAATGGTTGATCTATACTGAGGATATATTTGGCCTCATTACCCATACTTCGTATTATAGTGCTACATTACTTTATGACAATCACAGATATTAGGAAGGAAAACCGTAAGGCAATGCAGAAAAAAATTACTGTGAACCAAGAAGCCTAGATCAAATTCTCCCATTGCTTGGGGATTCTACAAGAGTTGTAATCTTCAGTTAATGGACTAAGTGGTCTGGAGGTCCTGTTGCTCCTATGTTCTTCAATGACACAAGAGACTTTTAGGTCGTCCATCCATGTATCATTGGCAAAGCTTCTGGGGCTTTGTACACACCATGGTTGTGGATCTTAGCAGGGACGACACCAGTCTGGCTAGCTATTGGACTCAGGTTTAAAGCATTATTGCCTGAACCAGGGCTAAATTCTCCCAATAGAAGGGATGTAAATTTAGAAATTCCAGAAACAAAGTCTAGGACAATGTTTAGATGTCTAGTTTGTATGACAAAACAGTAACAGCCCTATGATTTGTAGGGGGTCTATATTGTCAATTCTACTGGAAAGAACACTTTGCAAAATATTTAAATCTTTTCTGCACTTAAAAAAAAACAGCAAATGTGTCTTCACACCTTAATTTTAGCTGCTAAATTTTATTGACCAAATGGTTTTATTTAATGCTTTTGCATTACATCTTTAAGTACAGTTTCTCCAGGTATTTTCTTTTCCAGGAAAAATAGGTGGAAATTTTGCCTTTGTCTCATTTTAATAAGATTAGCTGCAAGCCTGTATAAAACGCCCATTTTGCTGTTGTTATCAGGAAAATGTAATGCCCTGGATTCTAAATATTAAACTAAGAAAGACTGTAAGGCAGAACATGCATTTTACACAGCTTCAATTACTGACTGCCTTCTGCTTGTGCTGGGGCAACACCTTTTGCCCCATCTTTCTCTGGCTGTTGACCAGAAGCAGGAAGTACAGAGATACATTTTAGTGATGAAGGAAAGGGGCTGCATCAAGGGTGTCTTCAGGCCTTAAAAATATTTTTGACCGCATAAATTCTCATTTCATCTAAACAGGTTTCTCACAGACCTCTCAAAGAAGTCTAAAAAGCCATTCTAGCAGAGGTAATGTCAACATATTCAATTGTAAATAAACTCTGAATGTGAAGTATATGAATGAATCATTGCTTTGTCATTTGTTTTGTGAAGTTCACTTTTCAGAAAATATTATTATATTGAGGTTTACCTTGTCCAAACTCAAAGACCTGAAGACATTCTAACAAAGCTATTGACTATTTCCCTTTGCCCTTAGCATATATTACAATGACTTTGGCTCTTTAGACTTGTACATGCCGGCATATAATTTATAAGTTGCTAGAATTCAGTTTTTCTTTACCAAATTAAGTATGTTTATACTAGAGATAAGAAAAATAAAGCTTACCAGAAAAGCATGGTCTTTTTCATATTTTTCCAGCTGTCTCTGTCAGAACTCACTGCCCGTTGCTTGAAACAACATCTTTCTTCCTGGCTGTGAGCTCCTGAGATGTTGGATTTGCTGTTTATATAATCTTTTATTCAAAACATCAAGAACTACATCTTTGGGCAATTTTTAAAAATTAAGGATACAGCAGTAAGCAGACAAAGTCCCTGCTCTTTGGAGCTTTCTTTAGATGATGAGTGTGAAGTAATGTAAATAATCAACCATACATTAGGAAGGGGTTCATATGTACTCAGTTCTGTCCTAGGGACTGTATTAGTCCATTTGAGCTGCTATAACACACACACCATAAACTGGGTGACTTAAACAACAAACACTTATTTATCACAGTTCTGCAGACTGGGAAATCCAAGATCAAGGTGCTGGCAGATTTAATGTCTGTCGAGGGCCTGCTTCCTGGCTTGCAGATGGCAGTCTTCTCACTGCCATGATGTAATTATTAGGTTGTTGCAAAAGTAATTTCGGTTTTAGCAATTTTTAAAAGTAATATCTCCCCAAAGCCCCACCTCCAAATGCCATCGCCCTGGGGATTAGGCCTCAACATATGAAGTTAGGGTGTGGGTGACACAGCATTCAGTCCGTAGTAGGGAGCCTTGTGGAGTGGAAGGATCCAGGTTCCTTAGGACTAGAGTGGCAGACAAGCTTTTGCTGGGACTTCAGCTGGTGTCTCACTTTTGTAACACTGTTTTCATCTCACAGGGTAGGGACCACAACAGAGACAAGCTGGGCTGCAGCGCTCATAAACTGATTCCAGGCAGATTCTCTTTAAGCGTGTTTTACCTTTCTTTCTTTAAACCAGCCCTTACCTGTTTACTGGAGAAAAACTTCTTTCCTTTCTCTTTTATTCTTCACTTCCCTCTTGATTTCATTTCATTTCACCTACTGATGGCTTTTAAACATTAGAGTAGTATGAATAAAACATTTTAAAGCCCAAATAAAATCTGTGTTTTGAAATAAAATTAGCTAAAATTAATAAACAGTGACAGCAACCTCACCAAAAAGCCCTGACAGGCATGTAGAATTCTCCTTAAGGAAGTCTCCATCTGACTCCTTATCATACTTTCATTGGCTCCCCTCTTCCCCAAGTTGACCACTTAAATCAACCTGCAGACTTACCCAGTTTTCATTCCAGAACATGACCAATTCAGACAGTATTTAAGGATTTAAGAAATTCTAGCCACCTCTCTCCACCCAGGACTCAGCCTGAAGTCATATTTTACTGATGAATGAAAATAAATATCATTAGGCTAAGGTCTGGGGTGTATATTATTATTATTGTTGTTATTTTTAGAAGTATGCTATAATAAAGAATGTTTCTTTTTTTTTTTTTTTTTTTTTTTTTTTGAGACGGAGTCTCGCTGTCGCCCAGGTTGGAGTGCAGTGGCGCGATCTCGGCTCACTGCAGGCTCCGCCTCCCGGGTTCACGCCATTCTCCTGCCTCAGCCTCCCGAGTAGCTGGGACTACAGGTGCCCGCCACCTCGCCCGGCTAATTTTTTGTATTTTTAGTAGAGATGGGGTTTCACCGTGTTAGCCAGTATGGTCTCGATCTCCTGACCTCGTGATCCGCCCACCTCGGCCTCCCAAAGTGCTGGGATTACAGGCGTGAGCCACCGCGCCCAGCCAAGAATGTTTCTTAAAATAAGACTCTAACCAAACTTAGGATCATTTGCTGAGTTTCTTTAAAATGCCTATGTCTGGGCCTCACATCATATGGTTCAAAATTGCTGGGGTTGAGACCTGGAAATCTGTATTTTAATAGCATCCTATGCATTTCTGATACACACTCAAGTTTTGAGATCCTTAAGGGTCCCAAACACAGTCCCAAACACAGGGAAAATATATTTGTATCTACACATAAGTCATTTTGTTTATCTGAGTATATAGGACCGGAGAAATTACACTTAAAAAATACTTTTTAAAAAATTACCTTTATAAATTACTTTTTAAAAATGACTCTTTAAAGAAATTAGTATTATGAAACTTCATGGTCATATGACTGGAACTTTTAGTGATTTTTCCCCATATTTGCATATTAATTCAAGTCCTTCTTTATATTTCAACCTCAACTTGAATTATGTTATTTTATTCTACCTGATTCCATTGAGTAATTATTTATGTATTTATTTACCAAACAACTGTTTAGGGTCACTATGGTCCAGGCACTATGCTAGGATTGGGGATACTTTTGAGGACCTTAAAAATTAAGGGGAGATGTGGTCAAGGGAGTACTGAAGTCATCTAGGTAAGTAGGAAATTATAACACAACAGGGCAAGCATCATGATGAGAGGTGCACAATACTCACACGAAATAAACTATTAACACAAAGATGAGCCATTTTCTTCTTATTATTATTCTTTTTTTTTTTTTTTTTTTTTGAGATGGATTCTTACTCTGTCACCAGGCTGGAGTGCAGTGGGGCTATCTCAGCTCACTGCAACCTCCGCCTCCCGAGTCCCAGTTCAAGCAATTCTCCTGCCTCAGCCTCCTGAGTAGCTGGGATTACAGGCACGTGCCACCACGCCCAGCTAATTTTTATATTTTTAGTAGAGACGGGATTTTACTATGTTGGCCAGGCTGGTCTTGAACTCCTGACCTCGTGATCTGCCCACCTCGGCCTCTCAAAGTGCTGGGATTACAGGTGTGAGCCACCATGCCTGGCCAGGTGACCCATTTTCTAACCACAACACCAATCCTCTGACTTCTACAGCTGCAGAGCCACCCAACAATGAGCCTTGTCTTCATTTTTCTGCCACCAGCAAAATGCTCTATATCAGTAAGGCTTTAGAAAAAGGAACGTAAAAAGTAGTTTAGATGTAATTGTAACTGGAATAAAATATCCCCAATTCTGAGGGACTTTTTCTCAATAGGGAAGAATAAATATTTCTATTGCCCCTCTTACTTTCCAGAAATAGGTAGGTATAATAATCCTGCTCAAGAATGGAATCAGGAGTTTCTAAAGAAAGACAAGTAATTTCAAAATGTTCACTGATTCTTTAGATTGCTAGAGATGGTCTTGGAGTAAATTGTTTAACAAAACACCTTAATCAATCTCCAGATTTGGAGACAAGTGACCTGATCCTAGTTTGGTTCCAATGGATTGTAGTTAGGTCAGTTTCTCGACTGCACATTATTGACATTTGGGGCTGGATAATTCTTGGCTATGAGAGGCTGTCCTATGCATTGTAGGAGTTTTGCAGCATCCCTGTCCTCTACCCACTAGATGCCAATAGAACCTCCCTGCTCAGTAGTGACAATCAAAAAGGTCTCCAGATATTGCCAATGTGCCCTGGGAGCAAGGGAGCAAAACTACCCCCAGTCAAGAACCACTGGGTTACACGGGTTAACTGCCTAACTGTAGTTAGAAAGCACTAGAAAGTAACAGCAATTTGGGGAGGTTAACCTGGCATCTAGGGAGAAACGTAAGGAAGAGGTTAGCTTCCAGCAACATACCAAGCCTAGTTTGAGAAAATCCCAGTGATAGGGAAGTCGTTGGTTTTATAAGAAGAGTAATGTCTAATAAAATTGTAAATTTAAAATTGTTTTCTGTTTTGTCCTGAACTGAAATTTCTGTTCTCTCTCTCTCTTTTTTTTTCTTTAACCTGCAAACATCCAGTAAAATTCTATTGCATAGCAATAAGGGAATTGTAGCCTCCTCAACTTGACCCCGCTGGTGCCCAGAATTCTAGCGACCAAGAGTGAAATAAGCAAGATGACCCTGGAAATTGTGGGTAGGAGCCAGAGAACAATGGAGAAGCCACACTGACTTACTTAGATGAGGACGTGAGACATGCTGTCTTTTCCCCAAATACTGCAGGAAGGTAACCACTGTGGGAGAGGAGATACATTCTCTTATTGTATCTTTCTCTTTCCTGGAAAAGTTTTTGAATATAATAGCAGGTTATCATATTTCAAATGGATTAGGCACCCTATTTTCTATATGCATGGGAAAGGATTAGACAACCTCCTGGAACTTATTTTTAAATTGGTAATTTTAAAGGAAGACATGAATGCTGAAACAATGAACACTCAGTACTTTTGATTTTAATTATATTTTTAAATGAATGATTGAGGTAAGGGTGTTTTTTTGGGTTTTTGTTTTTTGTTTTTTGTTTTTTTTGAGACAGAGTTTTGCTCTTGTTGCCCAGGCTGGAGTGCAATGGTGCGATCTCGGCTCACCGCAAGCTCCGCCTGCCAGGTTCAAGCGATTCTCCTGCCTCAGCCTCCTGAGTAGCTGGGATTACAGGCATGCGTCACCACGTCCAGCTAATTTTGTATTTTTAGTAGAGACGGGGTTTCTCCATGTTGGTCAGGCTGGTCTCGAACTCCTGACCTCAGGTGATCTGCCCGCCTTGGCCTCCCAAAGTGTTGGGATTATGGATGTAAGCCACTGCACCCGGCTGAGGGAAGGTATTTTTTTAAAAGCTTATTAATTGTGGAGAAACTATAAGAATATACAAAATAAATCCTTGCATTTTTTGCACATAGTCAAATTAGGATAGTGGGGATATGGATAATGCTTTTTTTCCTGCTAATTTTTTTCAAATGTCACTAACCCTTTTTAGTAAAAATAATGTATATATATATATAAATTATATAATAAATAGCTAGTATGTGTATACGTTAGTTAGGTGACCCCACCACAATTAAGAAATTTAAACAATGGATTCAATATAAAACAGGTAAGATTACCTTTATACAGAAGTGATTCCAACAAAGTAGGATTTCCTCAGGCTGAATGTGGGACTAGGACCTATAATGTAATCAAGACTTAAACAAATGTGAAGGCCAGAAAACTGGACCCCAGCATTTCTACTGCTGTTCATGCTGAGGGAATTACTTGAGAAATAAAAGGTGCTCAGATTAGCTTGAAACATGCCATGAAGTAGGTTCATAATTCACATCAATACATAAAGACTCTGCAGAAGTCTTGCAGGAATAAGCACTTAACATTGCTTAACCCCAAATTTTCCAAGCTTACGTGTTATTCTATGGGATGTACTTTGCATAACATGACTGGTTTTAGCATCTGAAGAAAACATGAGCAAACAAGTATGAATAGAGAGATGAGAGAGGTTGGTACAGAATCAAAAAAAAAAGGAAAAACCCCCAAATTAACAAAGCGTCATCTCTCTTTAGCACCAGGTGGAGAAGACGCTGACTGATGACCATGGGTATTTGGTTTGGTTTGTAGGCACGCACCCAGGTGGAGATGACATGCCAGGCCTTTATTGACAATAGCCATTGAGATCATTCAGTTGCTCCTCTGATTCCATTCTCAGAAAACAGCATTTTGACTACAATTTGGCTTTTCATATAACTTTATTCATAGGCAGAAAAAGCAATAATGCTATTCCTGTGTGCTTGGTAATTTCCTTTTGCAAGTAATTAACTTAGCTTTCTGGCATGAGTCTCTTCTGCATTTTATCAGCTGACTAAGTCCATCTAATCCTAACTACTTCAGAAAACTCTGGAAAAAAATCAGCTTTGTACCTGCAAGCTAAGGATTAAGCTTAGGTTTTAATGGTTCTTCCTAGTTACTCACATTTCTTTCTAGTTCTTGCCAAAAGACATGCCTAATTTTAACATAGCTATAATCGCAGCAGAAATGCAATTTATATTCTGCTTTTTTCTATGTTTCCAGATTGCTACATAATTTCTGTAATGATCATTTTTAATGGCTGCATCATAGCTAATGAAAGTGATAATTTCTTAAGAATAATTTGCCAAGCCATTCTTTAATTGTTAAACTGTTAAGCTGCTTTTGATTTTTCCATAGATATATAATGAACACCTTTGCATTCTAGCCTTTTCTTTCCTTAGAATTTTGATTATTATATCAAGTGGTATAAATGTTTTCATGGTTCTGTAGATGCATTGCCAAATCATTTCTTAAATGGAGAGAAATAATTTACATGTTTAATGCCTCTCAGCACTGATTTAAATTTTGAAAATAAATGCTTAATGGAATAAAAAAATGATGTTCTTCTCATTAAAAAATAATGGATTCAACATACAGAAATTTAAAAAGAATGATTCTGTTCAAAGAAGAAATTCCAGGAATTAAGCGTTAACCTAGCTGAGAAAAAGGCGGGGTGGTAGCGCCTGCTCCCTCAAATATTTCTCTCTTACCAGAGCCCAGGACAGGCGGCAAGTGGAAGGCATTCTGTTCCCCCCAGCATGGACTGCTTTTGGGGAAGGATGTAAAGGATAAAAGAAGCTGGGCGCGGTGGCTCACACCTGTAATCCCAACACTTTGGGAGACCAAGGCAGGCAGATCACTTGAGGTCAGGAGTTTGAGACCAGCCTGGCCAACAAGGCGGAACCCCATCTCTACTAAAAATACAAAAATCATGCTTGTAATCCCAGCTACTTGGGAGGCTGAGGCAGGAGAATCGCTTGAACCCTGGAGGTGGAGGTTACAGTGAGCCAAGATTGTTCCACTGCACTCCAGCCTGGATGACAGAGCAAGACTCAGTCTCAAAAATAAAAATAAAAATAAAAATAAAAATAAAAAATAAAGGATAAGAGAGCAAAGAGGTGAAGACGGTTTTGATAATGTCCACCTAGATCACTGAAGAATTGTTGTCCCGTTTACAGAGACAGAAAAATTTGTAGAAAAAAGCAGCTTTGCGTTGGGAAGTGATTCATCTCCTTTCAGATATTCTGAGTTCAAGTCTTGCAAGAGTGGAGTACAGGTTGTAAGAGTGAGAGATCAGAACTGCAAATGCAGGAGTAGAATCATTAGCTAAAGGTGATGATAATTGTATCTTTGAGAGAGAGGAAGAGGCAGAGAGAGATTGCAAGAAAAGAGAGCAGAGGGCAGAAGGCTGTGTTCTGTGGATATTTTCCCAGGTTCAGGGGACAGGAGGAAACAGAGTCGATGATGGAAAGGGAGGGAGAAAGGCAGTCAGGAGGAGGTAGAGAGAGGAGAGAGTTTCAAGGAGGACATGGCCAAAAAACACACCCTTCAACAAAGTGATGAAGAACTTTGGCTGGCCAGGAAAGGCTGAACTTAGCATTAAGGATCTTTGGAGAATGTGTATGGGAGAAGGGAGGTGGGAGTTGTGGGGAACAGAATCCAATTTCCAAGGAGGAAGTGCAGAAGAAAAGATGTTGTGAACGTAGACTACTCAGTTATAGGTGATCGACTGCTCCAGGAAAGAATGAAGTGGAGAGAAAGTAGCAGGATCAAGCAGATGTTTAAGCAGGAAATACATATTTGAAGAAGGGACCAGGAAAGACGCTAAGAATAAAGATTCTAAACAAGTGCAGGGCGCGTTCAACATGCATAAACTCGCTGTGGTAAGAGCAAAGCTGTGTATGCAAAAATCTCTTAAAACCTGCTAATCACATGCTCTATAATAGTAGCTTTCAAACTCTGTTGACAGTAACCAAGAGTAAGAAAAACATATCTGAAACAAAAGTTTCACTCTGATATTTTCTATTGTTATTTTCCATTTGTTCATCATCTTCCTCTTCCTTGTCCTCCATCTCTCCCTTCCTCTTCTTTACTCCTCCTCTTCCTACTCCTCCTCCTGCTCTTCCTTCTAGTGGAGTCCCACTAAATACATTTCATAACCCACAATTTGGAAAACTCTGACCTACAGGGTGGCCTTAAAAGCAACATTTATTTTGGGAGAGTTGTATTACATAAATATTTCTCCACTATATGCAAAAATATTTTATCATAGCTCTTAAAATATATATAATTCTGATTCATATCAAATACCAATACACTATAATCTTCTTCTTCCTTCTACTAACAAGATTAGAAGAGCTAAATATTTCGCCAGACTCCCTTACAGCTATTCAGCTGAGGGGCCAGGTGTCCAAGTTCTGACCAATGAGACCTAAGCAACTATCTGCTGGGATTATTGGAAAGCATTTGTTTTCCTGCTGTTGCTGTTCTGTGCCTTTCCTTCCTGCCTTAAAAGTGAAAGTCATGCCTGAAATGGAAGCAGCCACATTGTGACCATGGATGAAAAGTCAAAAGAATCCCAGGGGTATTGGTCCTGACAATGTTGAACCTCTGAAATGAGGCCAACTTCACTTTGTGACACTTTCTGCATCACTAAACTTCAGGAGAAAATGGTCTTCATGTCCAAAGCACAGAGCAATTCTATATCTGGTCCTTCAGTTCACACATTTGCCTTATCTTCATTAAACCTGGAGGTCCCAGCCAGGTATGGATGAGCCTTGCGTGAAACAGAGAAGAGCAGGGCTTCACCATTGCACCTCAAAAACCAGAGAAAGCACCAAATGGAGCTTGTTTCATATTAGTTTCTATAAAATTTCATATTGGTTTCTATAAAAATAGAGGGTCTTCACTACAGTGGGCTAGTTGATTTTGAGTCTTGAGAGGATAAATTGACGGTAAGCATAGAAGACCCTAGCCCTGAGCTTTACGACTTCCCTGGCTTTTCCTTCTCACAATTAGTAGCTTTTCAGAAACACCATCATTGGCACAAAGGGTGGCAAATGAGTTATGATGTTCAGGTTTCCCTGGGAATTCTGGCCAGGTGGTGAGTCTCAGTCTTATTAATTTGCACTTCCTGTTGCTGACCTTGTGGGGAAGGTCAGAGTCTCTCCAGGTGATAAGAACAGATAGGACTGAACCATTCTTTGGGCTTAGTGTGAGTCACTCACTGCAAATTGATCAAGTTACTGTGATACCCCCTGTATTAGTCAGACTTCCCCAGAGAAACAAAACCAATAGGATGTGTAGATAGACAGATATGTAGATAATAGATAGATATTTGTCTTTATATATATGTATAATATTGATAGAGCTATAATATAGATAGATATGGATCAATTTATCAATCAATAGATAGATTTATTTTAAGGAATTGGCTCATGAAAGTATTGGGCCTGGGAAATCTGAATTCTGCAGGGAAGTCCAGCAGCCTAGAGACTCAGGGAAGAATTGCTGTTGCAACTTGAGCCTGAAGATTGTCTGGAGGCAGAACTTCTTCCTTGAGGGACCTTTTTTTTTCTCAATGTTGTCAACCGATTGAATGAGGCCCACTCACATTTTGGGGAATAATCTGCTTTATTCAAAGTCTACTGAATCAATGCCAGGTGCAGTGATGCACACCTATAATCACAGCACATTGGGAGGTCAAGGTGGGAGGATCACTTGAGGCCAGGAGTTTGCAACCAGCCTTGGCAGCATAGCGAGATCCAATCTCTGAAAAAAAAAAGAAAAAAAAAAAAAGCCTACTGAATTAAATGTTAAACATATCTTAAAAATACCTTCACAGCAACATCTAGGCCAATGTCTAACCAAATATCTGTGTATTATAGCCAAGACAAGTTGACACGTAATGGTAACCATCACATCCTCTGATTAATAAATCACACTTCCCCTTTACTGAGCCTCTCCAAATAGGAGGACAGAGGTGTCCCTAAGGAGCTGTCTAGCTTTCCAAGTACTTTTTTCTACCTCTGTCAGCTGAATTAAGATTTTCTTCAAAGGAAAATGCAGCACTCAGATAAATTCTTTGAATTTAAGAGGTTTTGTTCAGGAACTTGGAAATAATCAGTTTATAAGTGCAGCCTAAAATATTTCTGTCTGTAATTTTAATTATCTTGAGTTTGCAGATTGTACTAAAATAGCTAGCACCTATTTTCTTCCACTTAAAATGCTCCAGAATTTCTGGCAAAAGGAATAAGCTATAGGAGAAAACAAGTTTTTCATATTTTCATGCATATAGATTTTAATTTTCTTATCTGCAAATTTAGGAAGTTAGACTACATTATCTCTAAAGTCCTTTTTAAATGCAGTGTTTTTGAGTTCATAATCATAATGAGTAGAGTGAGTAGCCACTTGTCCCATGGAAGAGTAGAATATAGGTGTGTGTAAGGTAGGGGCCTGCTAGGTATTTTGTTTTTACATATGGCAATGACTCAAGTCACCAAAGCACAGTTCTGTTCTTTTTCCTTCCTTGTCATCACTCCCCACACTCTACCATTCCATCGTGACTGCCAAGAACAAATAATCTAGGTTATCAATGGCCAGGTTCAGTGGCGACCCTGCCAAGTGTAAAACAAAATTTATTTGCATAAACAAGAAGACCTGGTTTGTGAGCATTGCCACTAGGATCTATACAAAGGGACTGGGAGGGATGAGACTGGCTCTTTTTGGACAGATGAGGCTTTGTGGAGCCTTCTAGCCTTATGGAAGGATGCAGGCACTGGACCTGCCCAATCTCAAGGAAGAGGCACCAGGAGAATCCACCCAGAGACTTTTGAAGGAAGCATTCTGGAAGATAGAGCTGGTGTGCATTTCTCATCTTGAATCCTCTGAAAAGCTGGTGTCAGCCAGTACAGCTGAGAGACAGGAAAAACATGTCTGAGATAGCCCACGTCCCCACTGTGCGGTGTGGCAAAGGCATGTGAGATTTCCATGGGCTCAGCATGAGCTATAGAAGTTGGTGAGCCCTAGAATCTGGCTGCTACCCAGGCCTATAGCTGCGGGATGACTAGAGATGGGTTTCTGGGGGCAAGGGAAGGAAGTGCATTCCTGTGGGTCTGTCCATATCTAAAAGCTATGCAGAGGAGCACATTAAGTGCACCACACATTACAGCTTGCAACAGACAAGGACAGATCGGCTGGAGGCAGCCAAAAAGCAGACCAAAAGCCAGATGCAGAACCTCCCCATCACCAATATTCAGCCAGGTTCCTGAGGCCTCTTCCTTCTTTTTCTGAGGCTGAGGCTGCCAGGAAATGATCAGAGTGAGGGCCTGTGGGAGCTTAAGAGTCAGACGGGAGGAAGGGGCAAGCAGAAACTCAGAGGGAGTGTTAAACTAGATGAAAACTGGTAGTAATAATAATAATAATAATGCCTGTACTTGACCGAATGCATACTGGAGAGAGATCCTGTTACAGTTCAGTTCAAAGGGGCTAAAAAAATGACAGGGTTGGCCTCAGCTGTCTAAATTGTCCTGAATTCAGTTTTCCTCTCTCTAGGCAGATATGAGGACTAGTCAAAGAAATGTGCACACTGATAAAAACAAAATGAGATTTATATTTGCACATCACCGCTTGGTGACTTTGCAATGCGTATACGCTGCATGGAAAGTTCTAGAATGATTCTTTTAAACCCAGCATTATCTTTCAAAGATATTTAAGCATGGCAAGTGTTTGCCACACTTGTTTATGCCGAGTGGTTTTATATGGACTGATTTAATCCGGCTGAATTCAGCCTTGCTTTGCTAATTTTGGTAACCTTCCCAGTGGAAAGAAGGGCTGAGACGATTGGAAAGAGTTTGGAAAAGGGGAGAGGGGGCTAGGGTGGTCGTTAGTAAATCTGTCTTCAGACTGCTGGCTGCTACTTCTTAGAAGGACAATTTGACCAAAACAAAAGGTCAGGTACCTGTTGTTTCCAGGTGAGAGAATGTTTATTATACATAATGCCAGCATACAGGTGGGACCCAGTAAATGATAATAGCTTCTTCTGTTATTTGCAGATGCATAATCTTTCATGGCATCATCACTGCTAGGAGACTTCTCTTAAAGTGGCTCAGCCAACTTCATACCTGAGTTCCTGGAAGAAGTTGGTCAGCAGGGGTGGCCCCATGACCTTCCAGTGTGCAAGGGCATTAGTGCATCTGGGTAGATAATCCTGTGCTTCCGATTCATTGGCCCTGTGTCTAGTTGTTTTGCCTGCATTTCTTCCCGTAGGAAATTCCTAGTATGTGCTAGTACCCAGCAAATTTACTCTGAAACATTTTTACTCCACAGGGCTTTTTTCTTCTTCATTGATTTTTGGCTTCTGATTTCAGAACTTCTGCCCCAACTAACTGGTAAATGCAGCTGGATACCATCTGGTTTATGTGCTTTGCCATCACAGATGACCTACCTCAGGCAGGTACCACTTGATTTTCCTTTCCTTAAGGTCAGCCAGTATACGGAGAGCACAAGTGGGAAACGTTCAGGGACTTTCTGAATCTAAATTAGCTTTCCTCAAAGGGTGGTATATGCTAAGCCCTGCAGACAGCGTTTAAGTGAAAGATAAGTCACCCTGCAGATAAAAAATATACAGAACAACTGCCATTTAATGTGCACTTGTATAGTCTCTAACGCCCCCAAGAGTCTTCTGGGATGAGGACCCCAAAGTGTGAGGGGATGAAAGAACTTGCTCAAGCCCACACAGCTGGAAAGTGGGTTTGAACCCAGTCCTGCCTGACTTCAGAGTTCACATTCTTGCCTCTGTGCCAAACTGCCTCCCAGGCGCCCTTGACCAAAGAAATAATATGCATTGGTTGAAAGGAGGGATTTTGTGTCGCTTCAAAGGGTAGAGGTGGAATCACAGGGTGAAGCCAAAGGAGGCAGATTTCAGTTCAGCGTAAGACAAGACTTTTAACCACGGGAGGTGGCCAAAAAAATGGGATGAGCTATTTTGCAAGCCAGTGAGTTCGTGGCCTAGAGGGATTTGCTCAAACTCAGACAAGTGCAGATCTGTGCTACTGCCCGGAGCATTCCTGCTTCAGCTGGGAGGTTGGACTGCACAATTTTTCAGGCTCTCCCAACTCAAGAGTCTATAGTTCTGTGATTTTTAGAGGACATGTCGCAGAAAGGTGACTTCTGTTCCTCAAGCATGCCAGGTTCATCCCGGAAGCTGTTGTAGGCCTACACTTGCTGTGAGGCCTCTGGGCTGGTTCTATCCTCTGCTGAATGTTCTCTCCAACACGATTACCCCCAGGCTAACTTTACCTCCACATCTTTTCAAAGAGGCCTACCAGACCACCCTATTTAGAATTTACCCTTTACAAAAAGTGCATCTCTGCCAGCACTCCCAATTCCTCTTCCTCTGTTGTAACTTTTTTTTTTTTTTGGAGCACTTATCATCACCTTTTATACTATGTAATTTACTTTGTTAATTCATTAATTGTTTATTGTGTTTCTTCCTCTGCCAGTTCTGTGGGGCCAAGGTTTTTTGTTTTTTAAAAAAATTTTGCATCCTAGTACCTAAATGGTCTGTGTGATGTTGTAGGCAATCAATAAATATTTGTTGACTAAACGATGGAACCACGCAGGGAAGTCTGAGCTCAGGCTGTGCTGACACCCAGGTAGACAATGTTGGGTAAATCACTTCACCACTCTGGTCTCAGATTCCTCTTGGCGTCTGTACATCTGTAAAAATAATTGTGTGATTTTAAAATTCAATTGGGTGAGTTGTTGCATGCCTCTTAAAAATACACCAGGTAATTTCAAATGAACACCATACAAATGTAAGAAGAAAATATGGCAGTCATCACTTTTGAACCACACTTTGGTCTTTCTGCAGCTGCGTGGCTAACCTAAGCCTTTTCACACTCAGGTTCTTTGTTATTCTGAGAGCCATTTATTATTGGAAACACATCACTGAAAGATAAATCTAGTGACCAGTGCACTTCCTGTATGAACCCTTATGCTGGGGATTTTCCACTGCTTGGTTACTGCTTAGGGGAAAATTTTAGAGCAGCAGGAAAAAACATTGATGATTTGCTCCTGTTACTGGCATAAGTCATGATTGGCACCTCTAAGCACACTGGGGATATAGCAGCTAGTCTGATTGTTTGTTTGTTTTTTTTTAATCCACACACATTTTGTGAGTTTTACTATTATTTTCAGGTGTAGTTAGGTGGCTTCACAAGAATATGGGGGAAGCATGTTATATGGGCTATGTGAAAGTATATAGTTGTTAGATAATCATAATTATTAGATAGCTAGATATTTGTCAATCTAATATATGTACAGTCATACATCACTTAACAATGGGACTATGTTCTGAGAAATGTGTTATTAGGTGATTTTGTCATTGAGAGGACATCATAGAGCGTACTTACACAAATCTAAATGGGATAGCCTTTTGCTCTTAAGCTACAAACCCGTTCAGCATATTACTATACTGAATACTGCAGGCAATTATAACACAATAGTAAGAATTTGTGCATCTAAACACATCTAAACATCAAAAAGGTACAGTGAAAATGCTGTATAGAAGATTTTTTAAAATGCTAGACTGTATAAGGCACTTACCATGAATGGAGCTTGCAGGACTGCAAGTTGCTCTGGGTGAGTCAGTGAGTATGTGAGGAGTGAATGTGAAGGCCTAGGACAATGCTGTACACTACTATAGACTTCACATACATTGTTTTCTTAGACTAAACTGAATTTATTACTTAAGAATTGTTTTTTCTTCAACGATGACTTAACCTTCGCTAAATGTAACTTTTTAACTCTACAAACTTTTTAACTTTTTGACTCTTGTAATAACACAGCTTAAAACATGAACACATTTTACAGCTACACAAAAATATTTGCCCTCTTTATATCCTCACTCTAGAAGCTTTTTTCTATTTTTATAAATTTATTTCTTCTTTTAGTTTTTAAACTTTTTTGTTAAAAATGAAGACTCAAATATACACATTAGTCTAGGCCTACACAGGGCCATGATCATCAATATCACTGTCTTCCATCCTCACATCGTGTCCCACTGGAAGGTCATCAGGGGCAATAACATGCATGGAGCTGTCTTTTCCTATACTAATGCCTTCTTCTGGAATCTCTCCTGAAAGACCTGTCTGAGGCTGTTTTACAGTTATTTTTTTTTTTGTAAGTAGAAGGAGTATAGTCTAAAATAACAATAAAATATAGTATAATAAATACATAAACCAGTAACATAGTCATGTATTATCATTACCAAGCATTATGTCATGGACATAATTGTGTGTGCTAGACTTTTATACCACTGGTAGCAGCACAGTAGGTTTGTTAACACAAGCTTCACCACAAACGTGTAGTTCATAATGCTATGACATTAGGATGGCTATGTCATCATTAGGCAATAAAAACTTTTTAGCTCCAGTATAATCTTATAGGACCACCATTGTATACGTGGTCCATATATGCCATTGACGTCATTCTTCGGTGCATGACTGTGCTGAATGTAGTAAAACACATACATAGATGATAAACTGAAGTAGTATTTTCCTGTAGAATAAAAGGCTTCAAGAAACTAGAAAAATAAGGACAAAATCATTCCAAAGCAAACCGAAAGAAGAAAATAAAGAACAGAAATCAATGAAATTTAAAGCAGAAAAAGAATAGAGGAAATCAATGAATAAAAAGTTGGTGTTTTGAAGAGATCAATAAAATTGATCTAGCAAGACTGACAAAGAAAAAGAGAAGACACAATTACCTACATCAGAAAGAAAATAAGGAATATTACTACAGACCCTACAAACATCAAAATAATGATAAGGGAATACTGTGAAGAAGTCTACATAGAAATTTGGCAACTTAGATAAAGTAGACCAATTCCTTGGAAAGTACAAATTACCACACTTCACCCAACATGAAAGATATAATTTGAATAGTCCCTTAACTATTAAGGAAATTGAATTCATAATTTCAAAACTCCCAGAAGATGAAACTCCAGAATCAGATGGTTTTACGAGAGAATTCTACCAAATGTTTAATAAAAAATTAACATCAATCCTACACAATCTCTTTCAGAAAATAGAAGAAGAGAACACTTCTCTGATGTTCCGAGCTAGGTAAACTTTAAAATTGGCTAATTTTTTAATTATTATTTAAGTGTTAAAAATTTCACCTTTCCTTAGAAGTTGGTGATAAGTTTTTCTCCTTAGGTTATACTGACACTCATAGTAGAGATTCTTGATAAATATCTATTGAGTTTTTCCAGCACTTTGCCCATCTAGACATAACTACATAATAAGTGGAATCAAAGTCCTCTCTCTAGGCTGCATTGCTCTTTGGTTTACTTATTTGAAAGCATCCTAATATTGCTTTTATTAATGTCATCCTTAGATAAAGAAAAAAAATCTGCTAATAAAAAAAAAAACCCCCACTATAGTTTAACTGGCCTCTCAACTAGGATTCTATGTTTTAAGATTCCTCTGTGTATCTAGAGTGCTCCAGTTGTGGCTCATAACTGTTTAAATTACCCATTTCTGTACAACAAATCTCCCCAAAACTTAGTGGCTTAAAACAATAATAATCTATTATTTCTCATGATTTTGTGAGTTGAATAAATAGTTCTAGTTTTGTGGGGGTCAGTTCTGTAACTGCAGTCAGTTGGGAGCCAGGCGGGGCTTGTCAGCTGTGATACCTTCATTCTCCTCTATGTGGCCTCTCCTTATGGCTAGCTTGGGCTTCCACACAACATGATGGTTTCCAAACAGCATTCCAAGACAGCTTCATCACATGTCTGGCATTTTGGCTGGGAAACTAGACTAGTTGGAAATCAGCCATGTGTCCTCCCAAGCAAGGTACCTGGACCTCTTTACATGGTGGCTCAAAACTCCATTAAAGCAAAGGCTGCTTATTTTAAGTCTAGCCTGAACTAGAATTGATTCTGCTACATTCTGTGGGGCAAAGAAATTCACTATACCATCCCAGATTGAAGGAGGAGGGACAAATAAGCTCCATCTCTCAGTGGAAAGAAAGTATAGAATTTGTGGCTATCTCTGTAGCTCTAAATCTAAATCATTTATATTCCTCTAATCTGCAAAATACACTATTCCTTCCTAACATCTTCAAAAGGCTTATTCCATTATGGCATCAGGCTCATACTTAAGATCCAGAATGTTTTCATCTAAATCAGGTCCAGATATAAATGGGGTTCCGAAGGTGCAGTTCCCTGAGTACAGCCAATCACTGTGGCTCTTCTCTATCTAAAGATCTCTGAATTAAAAACACAAGTTCTTTTTCTTCCCAGACACTCAGCCTACAAAGATGACACAGTAATGGGTACTCCCATTCAAAAAGGGAGGAAAGGGAAGCACATAGCAGCCTCTGGCCCACAGTAATTATGAAATCCCTCTGGGGAGAGGTTGTCAGGTCTCCTACTACAGCACGGAGACTATTCCTTGATTAGGGCCCATGTCTGCTCTCTCCTTTCTCATTTGGCTCTTTGGCTGATTTTTCCCAATCTACTGTTAACAGCTGAGTAAACTTCTCTGCCTGGTTTCTGCTTTTGTAAAGTTTACAGCCTGGAAGCCTCATTTTATTTTGTACTTTTCTGTCCCTTTTAGTCAAAACTGGTAAGGCTTTTACCAATAAAATTCTCTTTAAAATGTTGTATATTTTCTATTCATCAAATAGCAAATTCACTTTATTAAATAAACATCACACCTGGCCGGGAGCAGTGGCTCATGCCTGTAATCCCAGCACTTTGAGAGGCAGAGGCAGGCGGATCACTTGAGGTCAGGAGTTCGAGACCAGCCTGGCCAACATGGTAAAACCCCGTTTCTACTAAAAATACAAAAAATAGCCGGGCGTGGTGGCTCATGCCTGTAGTCCCAGCTGCTTGGGAGGCTGAGGCAGGAGAATCGCTTGAACCCGCGAGACAGAGGTTGCAGTGAGCTGAGATGGCACCACTGCACCCCAGCCTGGGTGACAGAGCAAGACTCTGTCTCAAAAAAAAAAATCACACCTATAAACATCTTCAAAATAGACATTTTCCCTCCTTTGAACCGCAAGTCAGGGTGCTGTGGGGAAATGCTCTTAAGGATCTTACATTTTTCTGAAGTCTTATCAAAGGGTTGCACAATCACAAGTCAAGGTCATATAACCTTGATTCAATCTTTACTCTGAGACTATTTTAGTGTCAGCATCATGTATTTAATCTTTACCCTGAGACCATTCCTTATTTTGGGAACTTTTTTCCTCATGGAGATGCAATGAAAATCAGTTTTATTTTCCAAACTACTACGTCCAGGGATGGAAACATTTTCTCTCAATTCTGTTTTAAAAAGGAATAATTTCTTCTTTGGCTCATTTCTGTTTTCCCATGCTTCGTTATAGGTGGCTAAAATAAGCTGACTTTCACTTTTGACACTTTGCCTCAAAATTTTCTTGGCCAGATCCATAAATTCATTGATGTGTTTTCTATCTTCCAGGTAACCACAGGCAACAATGTTGCCAAACAATTCTAGCACTACATAAATTTCGCTTTCTCCAGCTTCTGATAGCAAATACTTCACTGCTTTTCCAACCTCCACTAGTAGTCTCCTTGCCATCCTACCAACTTCTGCCTACTCTACATGATCTGAAACTGATGCCACATGTTTTAGTTTTAGTTTTTGTTTGTTTGTTTGTTTGTTTTGGTTTGGTTTTGAGACGGAGTCTCTCTTTGTCACCCAAGCTGGAGTGCAGTGGCACGATCTCGGCTCACTGCAACCTCTGCCTTCTGAGTTCAAGCGATTAACCTGCCTCAGCCTCCAAGTAGAGTAGCTGGGACCACAGGCACTCACCGCCACGCCTGGCTATTTTTTGTATTTTTATTAGAGATGGAGTTTCACCATGTTGGCCAGGCTGGTCTCAAACTCCTAATCTTGAATGATCCCCCCACCTTGGCCTCCCAAAGTGCTGGGATTACAGGCATGAGCCACCACACCTGGCCTGCTTTAGGTTTTTGTTACATCAGCATTGCACTTCTAGTTACCAACTTCTGCATCAGTTATATTTGCTGTATAACAAAAGACCCTGAGGCTTAATGTCTTTTTTAAAAAGCTACATATATATATATATTGTTTCTCAGGATTTAGTGAGTTGAAAGAGTGATCTTCCAGTGGTCTCACTTACTCAGTTATGAGACTGTGTTGATCTAGCAGTTGATCTAAGGCTGCTGGCCAAGATGCCTTAGTTCTCACATGGCTGTTCCACATGGCTAACACGGGTTCCTTCACACAGTGCTCTCAAGGCTACGTTTCAAGATGGCTCCATTCACATATCTAGCATTTTGTTCAGGATGGCTAACATCCTAACATTAGCCAGGCATCTAACTTTCCCTATGTTCTCTCCAGCAAAGTAACTTTACATTGTAGCTGAAGGCTACAGCAGAACAAAGGTAGAAGTTGCCAAGTTTCTTAAAGCCTGGGCCTATAACTAGCACAGAATCACTTCTGCTGTATTTTTTGGTCAAAGAAGTTCATAAGCCCAACCCAGATATGAGGGGAGAGGAAAACAGATGCTACCTTTTGATAGGAAGGGTGGCTAGGATTTGTGGTCATTTTTAATCCACCAATGACCTGACAATGACTTCAAGGATATGTAAGATCCTTCAACGTTTCTTGGTTTTTAGATTTTGTTTCATATTAGAAATGTTTACTTTGCACAGAATACTTAATAGTTCTTTAGGAGAAAAGATTGGAAGAAGAATCATTTGCGTTTCTCTCTTAACACCTTACACAGAGTGTGCCACTAAATATATAATTTCTAAATGAATCTTGGCTGAATGAAATATTCAGTCTGAATTTTGTAATATATGTATACTATTGTATTATAATTCCATGTGAAATGGATTTTGATTCATGGTAAACTTGCCAAATCTAATTAACTATTTGATTAATCAACAGCAGTGAATCCCCCAACTGCTGGTTTGACAGCAATTTTACTACAAGTAGAACCTTCTTAGTCAAATGAAGCTTCTCATAAACAGTCCTTCTCTCAGGCAACAGTTCTTAACCCTTGATGCACAATAGAATCATCCGGGATGCTTTTAAAACATATTATCCCAGAGCACTTTCACCTAGACTAATTAAATCAGAATCCCTAAGTGCATTAGGATTATCTCTAGGTGATTCTCATGTATACCCAGGGCTGTGAACCACTTTTCTGGAGCTAAGGCTTTGAAATTGCATCTTGCGTTTCAGGGAGGTAAGTTTAGCCCTTCCTCACCCAGCTTCAACCACAGCAGTCCAGCTTTTTTGTCTAATATACATATTCACAACCTGTGAACAATTGAGGTCACCAAATGAATTTAATGCTAAGAAAAAGTTGAAAACACTAGGGTGTTGTGATAGCCGAGGACTCTTGGCTTTGTGAAATAGAACAAATAATCATTGAAATATTTTTCTTGGCATTTATACAACTGGTCTACATGAACAACCTTGAGGTTGTGACTGTTTAATAGGAGGCAAGATCTGCCTTCCAACATCTCCAGGGTGTTTGTTTATGCACAGCCTTCTAATCATGTTGCAGATCTGAAGCTTGTTGGTCATCTTTATTTACCCAAAGGTTACATAGGGCCTAGTGTCTGTGTATTGTAGAAAAGGATAACCTTTTCCTGTTTCTGCAGGAAGTACTTTGCAAGGCTCAATTTCTGACTAACCCCTAAAGCTCACTTTTCAAAGGAAAAGATACCAACTCATTTTCCTTGAACTCTGCAGAGCTAGTTCTTGTGGGGAATTTTTACGCTATAGGAAAGGGTAAGAATTGGTATGGAGAACATTTTCAAGAAAAATCATTTCTCTAAGGGCTAAACAACGCTTTTAATAATCAAATAAGATCAAGGTCAGAATGCTTTGTTATTTGAACACTTCCTCAGTTCAAAGGGTCAGATGTAATTATTTCCTGCCCTTGTAGCTCAGGTAAGTCAGTTCTGAAGATAAACCTCTGCAATTTAGCAAACCAGGTTCCTCAGGTAAAGAGCTTATTAACAACATCCACATAGGTCTTCATTTCAGGGATCTAGAAAACAATTGTTGGTCCTGTTCACATTTCCTCATCTCTCTGTTTCTTCAGTTCTTGCAATCTGGATTCTGCTCACATCATTCCATTCCAAATTCTCTGGCAAACATTGCCAAACCAAGGAGCAGTTTATGGTCCTTAGCTGGCTGTGCTCCTCGGCTGTGTTTAACCAAGCGTCTCTTCTCTAAATTCTTTACTTCCTTGGCTTCTCTGACAGTACACTCTCTGGTTCTCTTTGACCATTCATTCTGTCCTGTCCTTAAATTTGGGGAATATTCAATTGTTCATGTTTGGATCTACTCATTGTGTGTCACCCTTTCTCACTGATTTCATGCATGCTCTTTGTGTTAACAAATAACAACTACTGATGATTCCTATTATCTCTTTCCCAGGCCACAAGTTTCCCTACATTTGAGTTTCAACATTACATACTCTTGTCCTTAACAAATGTTTTCCAAAGCACAGCCACTGAGCCAGTGTGAATTGGTATGAAAGAGCTTCTAGCAACATTCACATGTGCTGTAACTCTCCCCCACCATGCCTGATGCTGATTTCTAACCATCAGTCCATATACTTCCTTTCCTCAGATAAGTTTATTTCAGGAGCATGGGGGCCTTTACATGTCGTTTCCTCCTTCCCCTGTCTCTGTGCCTCAGTCAGGTATCACTGCAGCATCAATCAATACAGTGTGTGATTTGAAAGCTTGCACCACCAAAGGAGAGATTTACAGTAAAATTTACTAGTCTACCCTTTCTAGCCAATTAGATATACTTTGCAGGGTATCCTCTGAGTGTCTGTTTCTTAGAATTGGCATCCAATCTTTGATTTCTTGCTTTTTATATGCAAGAAGATGTTTTAAGAAGACATCCTTTTATTTTGCTGTGTCCTTCTGTCTTCATATTGCCACACATTCTCCACGCCATTTCCATAATCTTATTTATTTGAAGAAACTCGACCTTTCATCATGGACATTTCGGTAGATCTTCCCTGTGCCATGTTAACCTAGGGCCCTGGAGAAAGGGCAGTGAGCTACACTGTAGACCTTGGCAGTCCACTGCACAGCGCTGTTTCAACAGCAATTAATGTCCCCTGCAGGACCCCTGTTACAGAAACATTTTGACTCTCTTCTCTTGTACAGGCCTAAATGATGCTTACGGGCTCCCTTGAGAAGCTCAAATTGATAGAAAGCACAGCCATACATTCTGTAACTTCCTGCTTTAGACATGTAGCTAGGGTTTTATCTTTACTGCACTTTGGAGACGCTCTTGACTCTTGCCTATAAAAGACCCTTGGGTGTCAGCTCACTTCTGGTTAAGACTATTCTTAACCTTGATAAAGTTGCTGTTGTGACGATTTGAGGTGGTACTCTGTAAGGCAGTCTCCAGGTCTGTCTTATTCACTGCCCTATTGCCCTAGCACATGATATGCAGGGGCTCACTAAACATTTGTTGGAGAAAAAAAAAAAACCATGAATGCCTATATCCTTATACTTCTCAGCTAATAACTTAGGTGCCCTTTTCTCACAAAGGCTGAGGCAGATGTGATGCGTTCCTTAGGCCACCAGAATGTGGGTTTGAGGATTCATCTTGAAACCAAACAAATTTTGATAATTACAGAGCAAGTAGAGCTGCTTACATTTTGCTCTGTTGTGTCAAAGGTCACTTAGTCCCTAAGTCTTTCAAAGAAAAGCCTGGACAAGTTACTGAGCATGACCTCCTGGGCTGGTTGCCCAATAAATTTGCTTTAGCATTAGGTTATCCTGTAGTTTAGCAAAAGGGAGTCATCCAAGAATAGACGCTAAAAGCCTTTTGATGGGAATAGGAAATAGGGAATCTGATTTCAGGTAAGCCTATGGGAATTTCCTATAGCAAGTTAGGTCCTAGGAGTGACACATCATGGTGGGCATTTTGCCCAGGCTTTTCAGATTGCCTTGTAAAAAGTCTCAGGAGGCTAAACTCAGTTATCAGCCTCTGCAACCATAAAATTTCAGGGACACATTTCCCTCATCAAGCACCCTTCCAAGGACACTGGTGAGCATAACAAGGTCTCCCTTCAATGAGTAATCAATACCACTGCATTTGGATCACAAAGAACTCAGACAGTTGCTCTTTTCAAATCTTTGTTTGCAGCACATAACTCTTCACCACCTGCAAGTCTCTATCTTTATATTCAAATGGCTAAAACCTACACACTCTACACCAGAATTTTCCAGTGGAATTTTCTGTACTAATAGAAATATTCTATTCTGCACTGTCCAAAATACTAGCCACTAGCTCTATGTGCTACTGAGCACTTGAAACATGGCTACTGTGACTGAGGAACTGCATTTTAATTGGATTTCATTTTTTGCTTACTTTTACTTTAGTTTCAGGGGTAGATGTGCAGGTTGGTTATATAGGCAAATTGTGTGTCATGGGAGTTTGGTGTACAGATGATTTTGTCACCCAGATAATGAGCATGGAACCTGACAAGTAGTTTTTTTATCCTCATCCTCCTCCCACTCTCCACCCTCAGGTAGCCCCAGGTGTCTCTTGTTCTCTTCTTTGTGTCCATATGTACTCAGTGTTTAACTCCCCCTAATAAGTGAAAACATGTGGTGTGTGGTTTTCTCTTCCTGTGTTAGTTCACTTAGGAAAATGACCTCCTGTTCTAGCCATGTTCCTGCAAAGGATAGTATCTCATTCTTTTTCATGGCTGCATAGTATTCTGCGGTGTATATGTACATTTTCTTTATCCAGTTTACTGTTAAGAGTATTAATGTTGATTCTATTTCTTTGCTGTCATGAATAGTGCTGCGATGAAGATACATGTGCATGTGTCTTTATGGTAGCACAATTTATATTCCTTAGGTTATATACCCAATAATGGGATTGCTGGGTCAAACGGTAGTTCTGTTTTTTTTGTTTTTTGTTTTGTTGTTGTTGTTGTTGTTGTTTTTTGAGACAGAGTCTCTGTCACCAGGCTGGACTGCAGTGGCACAATCTCAGCTCACTGCAACCTCCGCCTCCCAGGTTCAAGCGATTCTCCTGCTTCAGCTTCCCGAGTAGCTGGGACTACAGGTGCGTGCCACCATGCCCAGCTAATTTTTGTATTTTTAATAGAGACCGTGTTTCACCATGTTGGCCAGGATGGTCTTAATCTCTTGACCTCGTGATCTGCCCGCCTCGGCCTCCCAAAGTGCTGGGATTACAAACATGAGCCACCACGCCCAGCCTCTGCTTTAAGTTCTTTGAGAAATTGCCAAACTGCTTTCCACAGTGGATAAACTAATTTAAATTCCCACCAGCAGTGTATAGGTGTTCCCTTTTCTCCACAACCTTGCCAGCATCTGTTATTTTTTGACTTTTTAATAACGGTCATTCTGACTAGGATGGGATGGTATCTCACTGTGGTTTTGACTTGCATTTCTCTAATGATTAGAGATGTTGAGCATTTTTTCATTTGCTTGTTGGCAGCATGTATGTCTTCTTTTGAATATTATCTCTTGATGTCCTTTGCCCTCTTTTTAATGGGGTCATTTGTTTTTCACGTGTTAATTTGTTTAAGTTCCTTATAGCGAATTTCATCTTGATTCATTTAAGTTCTCACATGCTATTAGTGGATACTACTGGACAGCTCAGCTTTACACAATTGAAATATATATAAACACAAAAGAGAACAAGTGAAGTAATACTTTAAGTATTCTAAAATTATAAAAATAATATATTGTCAATAAAGATAAATTTAAAAATAGACACATGTAAGAGGGAAATGCTAAAAACACTCCTATCTCAACATCTAAATGTAAGCACTATTGACATTGTGACATATGCTCTTTCAGTTATTTCTCTTCCATTGTATGTTAGAAACGAAAATAGTGCAAGACAGCCAATATATCTTCAGAATGATCAAGGGAACATGAAAACCCCAGATGAACTCGGTTTAAATGGATTATAATCGGTATGCCAGGATCTGCCCCTTGCACAGATGACAGGCCAGGTGGCTGCCCTGTAGGGTGAATGACCACTCACGTCTGCGCATAAATCATTTCCCCATAAACTATCTTGATGCCCTATGTTCCCGTAGTATTTAGAATGGTGTACATCTGTTAAAAGCTAAATATTATGTGCAGCACTTCACATTTCAGCTTTTAGCATTTTATGGGGGCACTATCTAGACTGTCAAACCCAAGGCTGGAGCATTTAAGGAGGCCTAGGCAGCTAATGGGCAGTGTTTGGCCACTGGCACAAACAAGGAAAGAACACCTACTAGGGAGAGCATGGGGAGACCCATCTTCATATTTTAGTCTAGGACAGGGTCATACATACTACAAAAGTTCATTCATTCATTCATTCACATATCCATTCAACAAGTAATTTGTAAGTACCTATTCTATGTCAGGGTCTTTGAGAGGGGAATGGATATATTGGAACTGTGGAGGCCAGGGGAAAATCTCCTTTTATCTGCTGTAGGTTCACTGAAAATCAACTGACAAAAGACAGATTCATAGGAGAAAAGGTATACAGATTTATTTGATTACAGTTTTACACGGAGCCTTCAGAATAAAGACCCAAAGATACGGGGAAACTGCCCATTTTTAGGCTTGGGTTCAATGAAGTACGGACAGCCATGGAGAAAAATAACTGGGCAGAAAGGGTATGATCTAATGTTAATAGACTGAGTAGGAAAGTCCAGCAAGGTCTGTCTGTTTAAATTCCTCTTAGCTTCTCTGTGCAGTATTCCTTCCTTCTGGGTATGCAGCAGGACCCTCTTGAAATGGGGGTCTTATGACCTACAATCAAACAGGATAAGTCAGATCATTTTTTAAAAATTTTTAAAAATTAAACTTAAGACTGGTTAGATTTTGGCTGTGTCTCTTTAGCAGCTTAAGCAGCAAATGAAATTCCTCCTGGAAGAAGTATTCATTCTTTATCCTGCCACCAGCTTACAGTGAGCCCAGGCTGGAGTGCAGTGGTGTGATCTCAGCTCACAGCAGCCTCAACCTCTAGGGCTCAAGCGATCTTTCCACCTCAGCCTCCCTTGTAACAGGGACCACAAACCCACAGCACCACACCCAGCTAATTTTTGTATTTTTAGTAGAGACAGGGTTTCACCATGTTGGCCGGGCTGGCCTTGAACTGCTGGGCTCAAGTGATCTGCCTCAGCCTTCCAAAGTGCTGGGATTACAGGCATGAGCCACTACCACGCCTGGCCTAGACGATTTTTTTTTTATGGCCAGTTTTTACACAAAAAGGCTGGGGGGAAGTTAGAGTAATATTTTTAGGTTTTATGGCTGGCTTTGGGGAAAAGGGGCTCTGGTTTCTACAATCCACCTTGGGGAAGATGGATTCTAGTTTCTATGTCTGGTCTTGGGGGAGGATGAGAGGCCACAGACAGGAGGGCAGGAAAATGTCAGAGAAAATCTTTTACTCTGGGGGATGCTTTAGAGGCCTTCATCTGGGGGTATCATTTTCTGATCCCCAACAGGACAGAATCATAGTCTCTCCCTTGGGAATTTTTGAATCAAATATGCAGACAGACAATAAACAGGGGAAGAAATTTTAAAAATATTCAATTACAAGTTGAGAAAAGTGCTATGAAAGAAACAAAATGTAGAAATGAGAGTAAAGGAGAAGAGGGATAGGATGGGTCAGGTCATCAGAGAAGGCTTCTTGGAGACAGGACCTTTAAAGAGAGACACGAAGGCTGAGAAGAAGCTAGTTATGTTGTGCATGTGTGCATGCGTGTCCATGTGCAATCAAGACTGAAGGCACATGGGCTGAGGGTTTTTTCTTAAGTTTCCCCCGACAGTTGGCTATGGCCTCAAGTGCAAATTAACGGGGTACCAAAAAACTCCAGCATCCAGTTAAATAATACTTTAATGCAATATTTTAAAATCAAAATTAATGCAAAAAATTCCATCATAGACAAAAATATTCTAATTGTAACTAAAGACAGTATCCATTGCAGTGAACACCCTTGTCTGGGCTCCAGTGGACCTGGGTGTTCTCTGGTTGCGCAACATGGTGAGTCAATGCACACAGGAAAGCACATGTTCATAGGGAGGAAGCGAATTCTGGCTGGAGAAAACAGGCAAAGGCCTGGTGGGGCAGAGCTTGCAGCATAGTGAATGATGGAAAGGTGACTTGACTGGAAGTTGAATTAGTACGCGGGGGTAGATCATGCAGGCCTGCAGGCCACATAAGGACTTCAGTGTTACTTCTGAGGGAAACGGAACAATCATGCAAAGTTATAATCAGGAGGGCGATATGATCCTAGTCGCTAAGAATACAGCACTGAACACAGTCTGAGAATGTCCTCGTCCTAAAGGAGCTTCTGTTGTAGTGGGAACTGAAACCAAAGGAAAGGAAAATTGAGTTTAGAGAAATTGTGGAGAATTCAGTGGTGCCCTTGAGGGTACTGGAGGACTCTGTGAGGCAGATGATGTCAGACAGGGTATGGCTTTTCCTATGAGCCCCAGTATCTGTCTACCCTGCCAGGAAGAGGCTTTACCTGGTTCTGGCTCCACTTTTTCTGAATCTTTCTTTGCAAACTGTTGACTTGTTTCCTAACCTGATAAGCATTGTGTTCCTGCCAGACAAATCAGTTAGCTAATTGTCTAATTACATCTGAAGGCATTCTTCCAGTATTGCCATTCCTTTCTTTCCTAGTTCAGATTATTAAGGGCTGCAAATTTCAAGCTACCAAAAGTCAAAACTCACTCTAAGCCAGTGGCAGGATAAAGAATGAGTACTTCTTCCATTTCATTTGCTGCCTAAGCTGCTAAAGAGACACAGCCAAAATCTCACCAGTCTTAAGTTTACTCTCAACTGATTTCTTGTAGAGAAGCCTCAGGAATTCACTTGGCCTGTGCCCCACTCAGCCACAGACCAGCCGCTCATCCTCATTCTTGTGACTGGTCATCACCACTCCTGGTAACATAGTGCAAAACTGAAGGGGGTGCTTAGAATGAACTTCCAAAGGGAAAAGGACAGGATGTCCAGTTCATTTTCCTTTTTAGATGTAATTCCTAGACATGAATTGGACAGTTCCAAGTTCAAGGAGGTCCAGCTGGGAGCCAGAGGGCTGTGGGCCAGGATGCCACCCACTGATTAAAGTCAGAGACCAGGCCAGGCATGGTGGCTCACGCCTGTAATCCCAATGCTTTAGGAGGCTGAGGTGGGAGGATCTCTTGAGGCTAGGAGTTTGAGACCAGCCTGAGCAACATAGCGAGACAGACATCTCTACAAAAAGTTTAAAAATTAGCCAGGTGTGGTGGCATGTTCCTGTAGTCTCAGCTACGTGGGAGGCTGAGGCAGGAGGATCGCTTGAGCCTGGGAGTTCAAGGCTGCAGTGAGTGGATTGTGCCACTGCACTCCAGCCTGGGTGACAGAGTGAGACACTGTCTCTAAAATAAAATTTTAAAAAAACAAAATAATAAATAAAAGAAACCAGGCAGCACACTGACCAGTACCAGAATCTGGTCCAAAGACAAAAGGACACGGATGAGAGGGGCTGATGGGGAAGCAGGAGAGGGATTTGGGGAGCGGCTGGGATTCAGGCTAGGGCTGTAGTTCAGGAGGGAGACAAGCATGAGAGAGGATATGTGAGGAGATGGGAATCAAGACTGAAGACACATGGGCTGAGAGTTTTTTCTTAAGTTTCCCCCAACATTTGGGTATGGCCTCAAGTGCAAATTAACAGGGTGCCAAAAAAAACTCCATCATCGAGATAAATAATATTTTAATGCAATATTTTAAAAATCAAAATTAATGCAAAAAATCCATGATAGACAAAATATTCTAATTGTAACTAAAGACAGTATCCATTGCAGTGAACACCCTTGTCTGGGCTCCAGTGGACCTGGGGTGTTCTCTGGTTGTGCGACATGGTAAGTTGCTCTACCTTTCTGCCTCTCAATTTACAGAGAAACAAACTGAATGCCAGAGAAGTGCTCATTCTTTTAAGGAGCCATTCATTAAATCAGATTCTCTTGGGGTGGGAGGAGGGGTGCGTGCTGGACATCAGTAGTTTTAAAAATTCTGCCCAGTAAATCTAATGTGCACCAGAGTTAAAAAGAATTAGGAGGCCGGGCGCGGTGGCTCACGCCTGTAATCCCAGCACTTTGGGAGGCCGAGACGGGCGGATCACGAGGTCAGGAGATCGAGACTATCCTGGCTAACACGGTGAAACCCCGTCTCTACTAAAAATACAAAAATTAGCCGGGCATGGTGGCGCGCGCCTGTAGTCCCAGCTACACTGGAGGCTGAGGCAGGAGAATGGCGTGAACCCGGGAGGCGGAGCTTGCAGTGAGTCGAGATCGCGCCACTGCACTCCAGCCTGGGCGACAGAGCGAAACTCCGCCTCAAAAAAAAAAAAAAAAAAAAAAGAATTAGGAAATGATGACCTGGCTCGCAAGAGTAATTCCAACTAAAGTGTAAGTGGTTAAGAGTAGATTCCTTTATTTCTCCTGCCACACATTGTCAGCACATTGACAGTAATACTGTTGGTTGAGGGCACCATGACACCAGGGCGGGTCATGAGAAAGGATAAAGCAATGTTTATTGAGTGCCTACTTCCTCCCAGTCAGCATGCTGGGTGCTTTTTCATTTGGTTTAATTCCCATGATGATCAGATGAGGTTGGTAGAATCACCTCCACTGAAGATATGAGAAAGCCAATGCCTTTATATAAAGAAGCCTTTCATGAAAACCTTTAAATAGCATCACAAAGCAGAATCATCCCAGGGAGCATTGGACCTACCTGCTCATTCTACAGACCCTACAGAACTACCCACATGTCTGCCCTCACAATGAACATTCAGCACCACCTAAATACAGCTCTCTGGTTAAATAACTGGGGACTCACACATTCTCCAGCAGCTTCACAGTGACTGGGGCAGAATGAGGGAAAACAGAGGTTGAACTGGCTCTGAGGTCTGTTGAGAATATGACTACGCCTGGTATGAGGAGGTCCATTTGGGGTAAATTGGCTCCAGCCTGGATGATTCCTCTGAGAAAAGATTTTGCATTCCCTCATTTTGCTTCCCCACCTCATTTTCCCCACAATCAAAACATTTGAGCTCTAAATCTATGCCAAGCACTGAACATCCTTTGCACAATATTTTTAATCATCTTAACAAGCCTATGTGGTAGGAATTATCATATCCATGCCATTCATGACCCAAGGCTCAGTGATGCCAAGGAATTGCCTGGCTTCTCACAAGCTATAGGTAGCAAAGTTAGGATTCAAAGTCAGGTGTTCTTACTCCAGAGCATGAACTCCAAAGCATGGCCTACACTGCATACTCTCCTTTTAATGCCCTAGAACAGAGCAGATATACTGTATACTCTAATGCCTTTCTGTCAGGAGCAGCTATTTGAAATATGGTGGGCTGGAGCCACCTTAGTCAGCTGGCCAGAATGTGGTACAGTGGGTATCACTGAAGACCCAACAGCTTCTTGTTGATAAATAGCATAAAATTCCCACCATCTGAGTATTTTTCCATTTAAGGAGACAGCACATTTTACCTGAGTCAAGTGGTAGTTTATTTACAGCCCAAGGAAATACCAGAAATTAAGAACCTTCTATAGTTTGTTTGACATCAGCCCATAATTATGTAAGCTGATTTCTTAGCATCCTAGTAACTTTCCACTTCAGTCTAGATTGGAAATATCCCCTCACCTCCTAAAAGCTGGGGTATGTTATTTTTGCAGCGTCAGCCAGAGGATGCAAAATGACAGCAATTTCAGTATTCAGAGTTTTTTCTCTTCCTCATATTTAACTCAAATAGACCCTTCATCTTTTGGTTTCCATTTCCCCAAAAGTGTGAGACCCAGAGAAGATGCTTGAGGCCAAGGACTGTATTTTTATCCATCTTTGTTTCTCCAGCACCTAATACAGTGTCTGACATGCTACAGACATTCAGGAAGTGAATGAATGACGTGTGCTTGGAATATGAAGGTGCTACAATGAATGACCCACCATTGACATACTCAGAAACATTTTTTCTAGAAGTGCAGATGATTTGCAGTAAGCCACCATGTCATCCTTTAACTTGCTTCTCCTGCTGTTTTTAACCGCTTTCCTGCAGCTAGATTTACTGACACCTTCCCAGTGTGGTCTCAGGGTTACCCTAACCCCACTAAGTCTTGAGTAGATCATGTTGGAGGCAGGAAGTTTATCAGTAGCTTAAGTCTCCACCACCTACAGGGCCTTAAGAAAGGATAAAGTCTCCAAAGCAGGATTCTGGGTGATAAGCTGTATCTTCTGGGTTCACTTCAACCCTTCAGAGTCTCCAAATACATCTAACCCTCATGACAATTGTGTAAGGTAGGTATGTGTGCCTATTAGGATTAGGTTTGCTTGTGTAAAACAAAAACCCAATACAATAGATTCACCAAAGAAGAGTTTATCTTTCTCACATGACAGGAGGCTGCAAGAGCATTCAGGGCTGTCTTGTGACTTCTCCAGAGCCATCAGGGTCTTCGGCTTCTTTTAGCTTTCAGATCCCCCAGGCTGAGCCTGTGACTTGGGGCTTCCTGCTCACTAGACGGCTGTTTTTTCTTTCAGCATCCTGTATGAGTTCCATGCACAAAAAAAGGGGGGAAAGGATAAAGGGGAAAAGCAAATGCCAACTGAATTGACCCCTTTAACACATTTTCCTGCAGCCCTTTGCAGGAATGTCTGCTTAGCTTACTAAACATACCTGGGACTCTGGGGATGTAAGTGTTTTTAATCAGTTAGACTGTTTCTAAAATAAAATTGGGTTCTTTTCATAAGGATAACAGGGAGGTGAGACTGGCATCTAACAGTGTCTTGTCACAATATGGCAGCATTTGGTGCTCTAGGAAAGAGCCCTGGGAGCCCATGATTTTAGGGTCATGGTGATTCACCCCACCTCTGGGTAACCGAGTCTACAGCACCAGTCTTCTGTCATGTTTCCCCTCTCCTCACACACCCTCCCTCATATGTGTCTCCCTCCTGAACTAGAACCCTACCCTGAACCACAGTCACTCTCCAAAGTCCCTCTCCTGCTCCTGCCTCAGCCTCTCTCACCACCACATCAGGGTTCTATTGTCTTTGGACCAGATCCCGGTACTGGTCAGTGTGCTGCCTGGTCTCTGCCTGAATCAGTGTGTGGCATCCTTGCCTGCAGCCCTCTGGCTCCCAGCTGCACCTCCTTGAATGTGAGACTGTCCAGTTCATGTCTGAACTTGTCCAGAGGATGACCAAAGGCCTGTTTCTACAGTCAGGTTGGTTTCAGTACCCAGGAGTCAGGAAAAGAGGATCTAATGTCTTGTGGTAACAAAGTTCCAGAATGCTTTGCATTTGGCCCTCTTGGGGCTGGATGTACTACCATACTTGGAGCTGAAGTGAGGTAGCTTTCATCCCCCATCTCACATCACCTGACTGCTGAAGTGGCATCCAAGATGTCCGGGAGGTAGGATTTCAGGGGGCCAGAAGGCATGTCATTCTCATCTAGGCTGACTGTTGTGTTTTATTCATGAGAAACAGAGGTCTAGAAAGGTGGGATTAATTTCTCTAAAGGAAGAAGAGCTGCACCCACACATATGGGATCTCAGCCATGCAGCCCATAGGAGGTATGTCGGGGTGAGCTAGGTGTCTGAGACACTGCTGGGATTCTTCCCAGAGCCCTCTCCCAGCCTCCTTCACTACCAAGAAGGCAGAGGGAAGGGTGTGAGGGTTGCTACCGAGAGGATTTCCACATTCCTAACAAGGAGAGCATTTTGGTGGAGAGTTGAGAAGACAGAACCTCAGGTGAGTCTGGTGCTGTGTGATTGAATAGAGAGAAATCCAGACATTAATGGTTCCAGGGCACAAATAGGAGGTCCAGGGCAATGTGGAAATTGTTCGAGGTGCTCAGGGTTGCATAAAAGAAGGAACAGTAATGGCAGGTAACATCCATTGAGCACCTACTGTGGGCCAGACACTCTTATTAGAGCTTTACCTGAATCAACTGACTGCTCATAGCAGCCCTGTGAGTTCAGTATTGAAGGCCCACAATCCTATATCCAAAATCCTTGAGGCCAAATGTGTTTCCAATACTGAATTGTTCATATCATAGAAAAACAATATGGTGCCTACACTGTGTATTGTGTAATGATTCCCAGAGGGGTCTAGGGCAGCACTTAGTAAACAAGCACATGGACATTTCTGCAGCCAGTGGGCTAGACAAAGCCCACCAAAACCATCACATTGAATGTGACACCAAATAAGTTTGAGTATGCCACTTATGAAAAAGCTTTTGGTTTTCTGGGCTTTGGGGATTTCAGAGCTTTCAATCTACATCCTTATCCTGATTTTCCAGAGAAGAATACTGGCAGTGTGGCTCCAGCATCTGCGCTGTTAACTATTTTGTTCTGCTGCCTGATGACAATGCGCATGTATCATACCCTGCACATCCCATGTCGCTGTGATATATGTGGCTTCGTCCAGTCCTCGAGGAAAGACTGAGGAAGGGGGAGCAAACTCTGGTACATCTCTTTAACAAGTGGTGAAATCGAGGCTGACAAGAGTGGTATCTTGTTCAAGGGCACACAGTGGATGGATAGAGCCACAATCCAAAGCAAAGTGCAGGTCTGCAGGCTCCTGGCTCCCCTGACTACCTGATTCCTGTGCTATTGGGTATGTTCCTTAGAAATTATTTGAAGGAAGAGTAATAGGAAGAGAAATGTTATTATAATATTTGTGGCACTTGGAAGAATAGGTTCGCAGTGGTGGCAGAATCAAAAACATGGAAACCGATGCTAACTTTTTGAATGAATTGTAGAAGAGGAGAACGTGGTGTGTTTTTATCATCCCCAAAGGAACCAAAAGGTTCTAACCAGTCGAGCAAGAGACGTGACAGCATCTGCAGCATTTGTTCTCTGAGACCACGATGATCTCTCTCACAACTGGGGTTATCTGAGGTCTCCTGCCTATCTCCAAGGGTGGCTGAGGAAGCAAACAAGCAACAAAACATTGTCCTGATGACTGAAAGGTGAGGGGCAGGAAGCCTCTGCTGTTGTGTCCCAGGGACCTTAGACTAAATGTCAGAAAGCCTCAGCCTCAGAGAGTCTTGAGAAGAGTTGTCTGTGCTATTCAGAAAGGTGTCAGAGGAGAGAGCTGCAGCCTCCCGGTCTCCCTGAGACCCCAGAGCAGTCAGCCTCCAGAGGGAATAGGTGAGCGATGCAGAGGATGCTGGTTCTATCTTTGTGCTCAGAACACATGTAGCCCTAGTGTGGACAGGAGAACAGGCAGGGGTTGGAACAGTGGGGGAGTCAGGTGGCCCTGGGTGATCCTGGGAAGGATGGAGGTAGGAGGGACCTGGGAAGAACTTCAGGACTCTTCCATCTCTCACATCACCACATCGCAGTGCTCGCACTCCAGCAGGAATCTCTGCAGATGTTTCCTCTTCTGGCTTATAGCTATAGTTTTTCTTTCATGACCAACTGGCAGCTACCTACATGGTATTACTTAAGGGCACCAAAAAGTCCTTTTGGTATCTCACAAATATCTCATCATTAGAGGGACTCCTTTGTACTGATGCAAAAGGGACTCCTGATGCAAGAGGGACTCCTTTGACTCTGCAAAAGACATGGAAGGATTTTGTGAAAGAAATGCCTTACATATGCCACCTATCTATCCAGAATGGTCTCTCCTGGCTTTTCCATCTGTTAAATTTCCACTCATCTTTCAGACCTTCCCCAGACCTGTGGCTCTTTCCTGAATGCCCGCAATAGTATTCCTATATCCACCTCTATTAGAACTGCTGCCACTCTGTAATATTGTTCTGTTTACAGATTGGTCTTACCCACTGGATAGGGGCTATAATACAACTCACAAGGGCTAAATTGGGCAATATATGTAAAGTGCTTAGCACAGAGTAGACATCAAGCAAATAACAGTTATCTTATCTGGCCTTCTGTCAATTATTCAATTGAACTGTTTCTAATATTCACTACTTTCCTTCCTGCTTCCCTAGCACCATACTAATACATTCCTCTATTACTTTAAGAGCTTCGTAACTGCCCTCTGTGCCTCTAATATCTTTCTTTTAACTTTTATGTTTCTTACAGGCTGCTGGCTAATGAATTCCCCTAAGATATTTCTGTCTTTATATTCTTCCACTATTCAAGGACTGCAGTGGCTCCCAGTGTTCCACTGCATTAGCTCCAAACTCCCAGCAGCATGTCCAACAGTCCATTTGCTCCCCACAGACCAAAGCCCTTACCAATGCTTTGCAGGTGACCCAGTCCCCCCATGCACCAAATGTGCTGTGCTAATGACTTGCTCCAGGACCTCTGTTCTCACCTTCTAACCCACAATGTGCTCCTTACTCCACACCATCTTCCAAGTCCCTCCTTCCAGATGTAGCTTACGTTGGATATGATCCACGAATCAATTACATACTTTAAGTAGTCAATTAATAATCACACACTGAGTAGTGCAGCAGGGGAAAGTATAAAGGAGACCCTCTGAGCTCTCAGGAGCTGAAGTCCACATGGAGGCTCACTGCATACTCACATCCAGTATCATTAACTTCTCAAGATAAATGCCAAGTGTAACCTACGTTTGGCTGGCCCTCTCCTTGACCTGATACCTTAGGACTGCAGTTGCCTGGAAAGTTTCGCCTAAGCATTTCTGAAAGTTGAAAAAGGTGTCTCATGTGAGGTCATCAATAAATCCTTGCAGCTTCTCTATCAGTTAGGCATTCTTTTGGCCCTAAGTAATAGAGCATCCGATAGTGTCTCCAGCAACAAAAATATTAAATGTCTCACAACGGGAGAAATCTGGAGGCAAGCAGATGCAAAGCTTAATGTGGGTTTAAGAATGACTGATAAATGGCAAAGTTGACTAAACTGGGGCTATGAGGTTATAGGTCTTTAAATTCTCCCTGACTACTGAAAGAATATGTTCCAGAGACAGGCATGTACATAGGGGAGAAGACGGGAAATAAGGAATCCAGTGACCCGGTTGCAGATAAGAAAGAATATGAGCACTGATCTTTCAGGGAATACGTAAACTAGGTTGGTACTTAAAAAAAAAGGATGTCTACTATGCTTGACATTCTACCACATTGGTAGTCAATTGAAAAAAACAAACAAGGGGAGTACGGGCACTTTTATTGCACTATACTTTCCTATCTTCTTTTTCTTCCTAGACTCCTAATATCTGTGTATATATTTAAAAACTCTGTTATGTGGTCAATAATCAGAGCTTTAAAGAATCAATGTCTACATATTGTGGATATTGTGTGGCTGCTGGTTAGATTGTCAGTCACATTGTTGACGGCCTACCCAGCAGTCATTCCCTTCTTTTTTCTTCTTAATAGAACTCAAATGTTCTTTAGGTCTGAAGCCAGCCCTGTGCAGCTGTGTATCTCAGAAAGGTTGAGCCTCCCTGGATGGATTCTGGCAACGTCCTTAAGGACCCAGGCTCTTTTCAACCTTTGGCTTCACCATTTTGGCCTCTTGGCCTTTCATCCTCCTGCTTGTACTTCACAGCCTCTAGACAGCTGTCATCACTGAAGGCATCAGGAGTGATTGAAAGGTATGAAGCAAGTGGAAGGGTCAAAAGGCTTTCTCTTCTCAATGCCTCGTCTTTTTCTTGAGAAAGGGAAGTTGCCAATACCCAGCCATCATGTTAGAATTCCCTCCTCCAAGTATAGTTGGACCCTACTGGACATTTTTTTTTTTTTTTTTTTTTGAGACAGGGTCTCATTCTGTCACTCAGGATGGGGTGCAGTGGCTTGAACATGGCTCACTGCAGCCTTGATCTCCCAGGCTCAAGTGATCTTCCCACCTTGGCCTCCCAAGTAGCTGGGACCACAGGCACACACCACCACGCTCGCCTAATTTTTTTAAATTTTTTTTATAGACAGAGTCTTGCTATGTTGCCTAGGCTGGTTGAACTCCTGAGCTCAAGCAATCCACTGACCTCAGCCTCCCCAAATGTTGGAATTACAGGCCACGGTGCTTGGCCTGGACACTCTACCTTCTTTCAGGCACAATCATCCCTTATGTTAGTGTTGCCAGGTTTACAAATAAAAATATAGAACACCCAGTTAAATGTGAATTTCAGAGGAACAACAGATAATTTTTAGTGTAACTATGCCCAAATGTTGTATGAGATATACTAAGAAGTTATTTGCTGTTTCTCTGAATTCACATTTAAGTGGGCATTGTGTCTTTATCTGGCAACCTTTTCTATGGGTGCTGCCACAACTTCCTCCGGGGACCACTGTTTCCCTAAGGAACTGCCCCCACAGGTGGCCTGGAGACCTCAAAATGCCACAGCACCAGGATGTTCAATGAGAAGGTTGCCCTGAACACCTCTCTTCCCCTTTTGTTTTACTATGTTCATGCAATCCCAAAGAAAAGTCACTTGTGCCTCACTGTCTTAATACATGTTCAATGAAACATCTTTTTATTTAGCTTTTAGCCACTCCTCTTTGAGACTCAGCCCTGAGTTCTGGGGGTGGAGCTGAGCCAGAATAAAAATGCAAATGCAGACACGTTGCCATTCCCAGTTTCGCCTTTGCCCTCTGGAACCAAGGTTTAGCCAGCCTTGTCTGTCTGCCTCGACTCTGACCTTTTTCAGGGCACTCCAGTCCTGCTCTCTTAAGCAGCATGTTTTTAGTTCATGCAAACAGACCTACCCAGCTGTCTGTCTACACAGGCATGTCAGAATCTTCCAAGTAGGTGCGTCTTAGTCTCAGAAGAGATGCGTGCATTGTGTGCTCTTCAGAGGAGGGACAAAAAGCCTTCACTTCTTGAGGCAGTCTTCATGGAAATTAGGATTTGGCTTGGTCCTCAAAAGGAAGGGGAGGGACAAGTCAAAAGGCAAAAAGAGGATATGGCTGGCAAACAGGGCTAAGTGGGTTTTCAGGAGATTGAGGAGACCAAGACTGAAGCAGGGATTGCCTGCTATAAAGTTGGGAAATGAGATTGAGTACATTCTGGGCCAGATTATGGAAGACACTGCAAGTAAGAAATGACAGTATGTTTGATTTAATAGGAAAGAGAGCCCAGTTAAATGTGAATAGAAAGAAATATTTCAGATGATATGATGTAGGCTTGTTTTTACACTTCCCCTCATTATTCCCCAGTGTAAAGGTAGATCCCTTAAAGACAAACACAGTACCCTTTGTTGAAGATATGCCCTCTTCTGCCAGTTAGGAAATCTGAGCCTTTAACAGAATTTACTATTTCTAGCCAAAGTCTTTAGCTCCTGGAGTAAACAGTAAGATCACCTAGTATTGGAGAAAAAACCTATTTTATTCTTCAATATTAAAATTAACATCAACTTTAACTCAAACACAAGGATGTTCCAGGGCAACTTTCATCCTTACTAATTCTCTGACAGCCACTTCCTTCCTCCTGGGCCCGGGCTTGTTTACAGGGGATCTTCTGGGTGTGTGTAGTTTCCTCCCCATTTCCCACCCACTGATCAACACAGTGCTGGCCTTCAACCACTTAACCCCTGCAACACACGCAGGATTTTCTTGCCCAACGAATTGAGTGCACCCTGTTTTCTAGTTACACTGTTCTGAGAACAGTACAATTGAGCTCCCCCAAAGTAAATCCCCTCCCCTTTATGTACCTTGTCTCTCAATGGTCCCTTCCCTATCCAGGGGTCTGGTGACCTCTATCCCTAACATCCTGCTTTAAACCCTGCCCTGAAAAGGATATGATTAACTATTTCACATAATGCCTGGAGATGCTCACATGGGGGTGGGGAGGAACCTGGAAAATTGAGATACACAAAAAAATACAATACAGCCCTCTTCTAAGACCTTTTCTTCTCCCTTAAAAAGAAACCCCCAAAACTCAGGAGGTGAGGGGATGAGGTAGGGTCAGGGGAGGATTCCTTGTTACTTCTGTTTTTCTTGAAATTTTTCCACTGTGACATTCACATGTTTACTAGGATGTAAATGGTCACCACAGGTCAATATGTGATTGTTCCAGCAAAACAGGAAAGAAGTCATGTCTAACATAAGTGAATCTCACAGATGACAAATATTGCATGTGCTGATTCATATGTGGGAGCTGAAAAAGTTGGTCTCATGGAGGTGGAAAGTAGAATGATGGTAACCGGAGGCTGGGAAGGAGTGGGTTTGGGGTGGGCGTGGGGAGGTGGAGATGAGGAGAGTTTGGTAAATGGGTACAATCATACAGTTGGATAGAAGGAATAAGTTTTAATGTTTGACAGCCAAGTAGGGTGGCTAGAGTTCACAACAACATATCATATATTTCAAAATAGCTGGAAGAGAGGACTTGAAATGTTCCCAACACATAGAAATGATCAATGTTCATGGTGATGGATTCCCTAAATGCCTTGACTTGACCATTACACATTCTGTACATGTAACAAAATATCACATGCAAGCCATAAATATGTACAAATATTATATATCAATAAAAAGTAGAAAAAAAATAAGTAAAGCTCAAATTAGGGGGATTTGGGCAGCAGCCATCGGAGCAGGTGCTGTTTCTTCAGGCCAGAGGAGGCCTTTCCCAAATGAGCAACAGGGCCAGGCGCGGTGGCTCACACCTATAATCCCAGCAGTTTGGGAGGCCAGGGAGGGCAGATCGCTTGAGGTCAGGAGTTCAAGACCAGCCTGGCCAACACCTTGAAACCCTGTCTCTTCTAAACATAGAAAAAATTAGCCAGGTATGCTGGCACACTCCTGTAATCCCAGCTACTCTGGAGGTGGAAGCATGAGAATCACTTGCACCCGGGAGGTGGAGCTTGCAGTGAGCTGAGATAGTGCCACTGTACTCCAGCCTGGGCGACAGAGCAAGACCCTGTCTTAAAAAAAAAAAAAACAAGAGCTTCAGGCTTTGCTGAAGGCCAGAGTGCTCCTTGCATGGTCCTTTAGCTTCCAACCCTTCACTTCGGTCATCAGAAGGATCTTTCTAATGCAGTTACTGTTATTTTCCCACATGTTTACTCAGGAACAGATAATACATATACATGGCACAGAATTCAAAATACCTCACATGATTGAATAAAATGTAAGCCTGCTTCCTTTTCCCACTCCCTGGTTACACTCTTCCTGGAGGTGACCTCTATTATCAGTTTCTTTCTTTCTTTTTTTTTTTTTTTGAGACAGAGTCTCTCTCTGTCGCCCAGGCTGGAATGCAGTGGCTCAGTCTCAGCTTACTGCAACCTCCACCTCCCAGGTTCAAGCAATTCTTCTGCCTCAGCCTCCTGAGTAGCTGGGACTACAGGCGCGCACCACCACGCCCAGCTAATTTTTGTATTTTTAGTAGAGACGGGGTTTCACCACATTGGTCAAGCTGGTCTTGAACTCCTGACCTCATAATCCGCTTACCTCGGCCTCCCAAAGTGCTGGGATTACAGGTGTGAGCCACCAATCAGTTTCTTAAATATCCATCTTCCAGAGATGTCTATGCATTTTCAAAAGTAGAGTCAGAGTTATTTGGAAGTCTTTGATAGGCTTATTTGCTTATTTTTTCAGATATATCACATCCATGTGGTTCAAAAATTAACAAATTTAAGAGATAACCAGTGAAAAGTCACGCACCCAGCCCTGTTCCTAGCCTTCTTCCTGGTTTCCATGCTATACCACCACTTCCCCCACCCCATCAGGTAACTTTTGTTATGTTCTTGTGAATCAGTGCAGACGTTTTAAAGGCACATGCAACCAAATGCAATTCCTATCCCCCCTTTAAAGCGGTTCTTTAACTTGGGACTCTATAAAGACAACAAAAAGAATTATTTGAATAAGCAAACTATGCATTAATAGAATTAACTCTATGACTTTATGAAGCAGTCAAGCTCATATATATATTGCATATTTGTAGCTTGTTTTACATATATATTTACATATAATATAAATATATATAATATGTATATATGTGTGTATTATATATAAAACAAACTACAAATAATAAACAAATTTAACTGCCTGGGTTTCCTTCACTTCAGAATATTGTGATCCCCTTAAAAGGGACCCTCCCCGACTATTGAAAGTACTTAAAAATTAATATTACCTGAGCCCCTACCAATCAGAACAGAAGCCCAGTTAATCAGAATCGCTGCCAACAGTGCATACAAGGGTACCTGGTGTACCACACAGCTGGGTCCTGCTACCCATGAGGCCTATTTGTCCCTGGAGCAGCCCGTGAGATTCTAGGACCAAGATGACTTACCACCTATGTCGGTCTATAGTTTTGCCTGCCACACGCAAGGGTGGTGTTCGTAGAGCACTGTGGCTTCTGATGGGAGGAAGGAACTCTGCTCAGAGCCCTATCGTTCTGAGGACCACCTTATGTAGGGGGTTCCTTGGTTTCCCCCTGGCTCCAGCATCCTGGATTTTATGTAATCATTGCATTTTCTCTCATGAATTGGCCCATGTAACATGCTTTGTAGATTACTGCTGAGTTTACCTATTTGGGAGGCCAATCTAGAGAAGAATGTCCCAATTGCAAGCTTGGGATCAACTGTGCCCCTGGGGCATTGGCTCCTGCTCTACTTCTTGAAAGGCCTTCCCCACGCAGCCCTGAATTTTGAAGTCCCACCCGTCCTTTAAAATCCAATTCAAGTGTTTCCTGAAAACAGTTCAGCTCTATCATTCGAACGTGTGTCTTCTTCTTCTTGGCCGCTTATTGCTATTTCTATCATACCATCACATTCTGCAGACAGTTGCATTCCAGCTGTAATTATATTTGTTTTTCCCTGCCATAAGACTGCATATTTTGTGATCTTGGCTATTTATCTTTGTGGTCCCATGGCATAGCTTAGCAAGGTGCTCAGTACACAGTAGGAGCTCAATAAATATTTTTTTAAATAGAATTGATTGTTTGGTTCAGTCCTCATTCTTAGCATAACTAGATGGCGTAGGGCATAAAAGGAGAGGGGAAGTGCTGAAAATCGCTTACTTGACAAGTTGGGTTTTTTTGTTTGTTTGTTTTTGCTTTTGCTTTTTAAGAGGCTTTCAATACGGACAGCATAGCAGGATGGTGAAGACCTCAGTCATCTCTGGCCTTGACATAGCCCAGATCCGCACTGAAATTACTATTATCTTGGGCAAGCTATTTGACCTCTCTAAACTTCAGTTTTCTCAACTGTAAAATAAGGATGAGAATAATAATGCCTACCTTATGAACTAGTTAGCACAGTGGCTGGCAGTAAACGTTCAATCATTATCATTTTTAATAGTTTTTATTAGGATGACTGTCTCTATCATCCATCTCTGTTTACACATGGCCAGAAAGCTTTGACAATAGCAGCTGAAAACAGGAGCGCTTTGAACCAAGGCTCAGACCATTTCCACTCCCAAGCTGCTATTTGCTTGGAAGGAGGGAAATTAAAAAGCTATTAATGAAACCTCAGTGAGCCTTCATTTCCCACTGGGGAAGCTGGCTGAATAATTGTGAAAGTTTTGTTCAAGTCTGTTCTTTGGTTCAAAAATACACATTCTCATTTCTAAGCTGACACCAATACTAGGAGCCATGGGGCACAGTTTTAAATTTACTATTTCCTACAATACATGAGTGTTCTTAAAATATAATTTTAAAAAATCTGTCCAATTATCTCATTTTAGTCTCTAACAGAATGACAGTTAAGCTTAAATATTATGAAGGAAAGTTTTCCAACATGAAGAAACTACAAGGAACACTCAGATAGCAAAGGGACATGGAAAATTTACAATTTCTAAAGCTAACTTTTCAGTTAGACTGCAAATACCGTAAAACCTTGCAAAAGTTCAGGAAGCAGAGACTTAACAACTGGAAATTGCTTATCAGTTGTGCTGGAAATTTCCACTGCTTCTTTTGCTGTGGAAGGGGCTGTACAGTGGGGAAGTACTGTCTCCACGTGTGTGTGTGTGTGTGTGTGTGTGTGTGTATGTGTGCTGCCTCTTCAGCAACCCTTCGCAATGCTGTGTCATGTTCTGTTTTCCTTCCAGCTTCCTCTGTCTTCCAGCATTTCCTGCAGTCACCAGAGGGCCCTTGCGTGGCTTGTTTTCCATATGATCAATGTTCTGTGGTACATGTCTCTACTCCCACTATCTGACTATTAATACCTCCATTGCAGATGCATTATTATACTTATTAATGAAACCGTGTTTAGAAAAGCATAATAAGATATATATTGGCTTGTATCAACAAAGGAAATATTAATCCAAGTCAGTTGACAGTTTATGCAGAATGATAGTTCAAACCCTTAGGAACCCAGGATAGCACTTGAACCGAAGCCCTTTTTTAAATTATAGATGATGAAATTGAAGCACAGAGAAAAGAAGCAATGTTCCCAAGGTCACATAGCTAATTAGAAAGTCTGGCTTTAGGATTAAAAATGTATGGTCAACCACATAAAGAATAGAGTGGTGGCCGGTCGCGGGCTCACGCCTGTAATCCCAACACTTTGGGAGGCCGAGGCGGGCAGATCACGAGGTCAAGAGATAGAGACCATCCTGGCCAACATGGTGAAACCCCATCTCTACTAAAAATACAAAAATTAGCTGGGCGTGGTGGCACGCACCTGTAGTCCCAGCTACTCAGAAGGCTAAGGCAGGAGAATCACTTGAGCCAGGGAGGCAGAGGTTGCAGTGAGCCGGTATTGCACCACCGCACTGCAGCCTGGCGACAGAGTGAGACTCCTTCTCAAAAAAAAAAAAAAAAAAAAGAATACAGTGGTTACCTACTATAGTCATGGCCTGCAAATTAAGAAACAGCATGGTTCTTTTCCTTAGGGAGTCATGTTTGGGAAACAAAAATATCAATATGGCATGTTTAAATTCTATTTGGGAAGCAGCACCACTAAGACAAACATTGCAGAACATAAATACCAATATAAGTGTGGACAAAAAGAATAGACACGCCTCCATAAGTGTCTACCTTTTCTCTAGGAGCATGCCGACCAGGGTGAAGACTACAGCTAAATCACAGGTGGTTGTGGGTGTGGTCGAGAATAGGAAAATGGCACATCCTGGAACTGTAGGGGCCAGTTTGTCTAGGGCTAATATGAGGGCCAGTCTAGGGGAGAGCTGTGGAGTAGAAGTTTGGCTAAAGGGGAAAGAATGGAAAAGAGGCAGGAAGGTACCTGCCTGACCTGCTGGGGCTGCTGTCTTGGTCTTTGGGGAACTGACTGAAGTGTCAGGAAATGTTCTGCTTTCCTCTCTGGGCAATTACTACATGAAACAACTTCTGGAGCTCTTCGTATTGCTCTGGGAACATGGTTCCCTGCGGTTGGTGGGGAGGCTACAGGCTTTCCTGGTCGGGGGTACCTCCCAGGGCCAATCTCGCAAAGGCACAGCGAGGGACCTAGCTGGAAGCACATTCAGAATCATTCTTTCAGGTTGAGGGGCGTGTTGCAGTTGGCAGGCTGGCTCTGCACAGGGATGGCCCCGGGTTAGTACTGCAGATTCCGTCTGCCATCAGCTTTAAACTTTCCTCCAAATCAAGTCGGGATTATCAGCTGTGTGACAGGAAATGGCTGTGGTCTGCAATTGTAAGTGGATCTGCACATCAACCTTTTCAAAACCTTCCCAGACCTCCACTCACCACCAAAGGAAAAGAATATTCACCCACCAGCAGCAACAGCAGCAGCAGCCCCTAGACACCTGAAATTCTCCCCCATGATAAAGTCATTTCCTGGGATTAAGTTTATCTCATACCTCCAGAGAGAAAAACTGAAGCTCAGAAAGGGTAGGCAGCTCATTGAGAGAATCGGCATTTGGATCTGGATTTTCAACATGGATGCCAGTGTTTTGTTTTGTTTTGTTTTGTTTTGTTTTGTTTTGTTTTGTTTTTTCTACTCATCAGCACAGCTCCTATTGCTTCAGTGTGAATTTATCAGGCCAGCTCTTGTGCGTGAGGAGAGGGAAAAAGGGGGCAGACTGTGGATGGGCAGCGCAGGGACACTTAGAGGTGCAGGAGAAGCATCATTTCAGCCTAAGCTACAGCTAGCCAGAGCAAAATTAAAAATTCATTAGTGTTTGCCTCCTGCTATCCTGTTTTCCTCTGGAAGGATTGGGTTGTATCCCCCTCAGGGATATTTCTGAAGGAAGTTGGATAGCTTGGGCTATCCCAAAGACTCTAAAAAGACTTTCCTTAGCACCAATGGCCTAATGAGGTTTTTACAAAGGCCACATTTGACCAAGAGGTGGATGAATATGACATATACAAGATTCTTTCTGTCAGTGACAGAAACCCAAATCAAACCAAAATAAGCAAAAAATAAATGTATTGGTTCACTCAACTGGAAAGAACGGGGACCTCAAGAGTGACTAGACTCAGAAATTTAGAGGATGCTTTCAGATCTCTGTCCATTTCAATGCCCTGCTTCTGTCTGGATTGGCCTCATTCTCTCCGACTAAATATGAGCTCCTGCAGATGGCTGCAGGCCTACATTATTCCAGTTAGTGACCCTGGAGGAAGCAGAGAGCGGCCACCTTCCAGTGTCATACTGAAAATTTCAGGGCAGGGCTCTGAATAGCTCTGTTTTAGTCAGATATCCAGCCTCTGAACCAACCACTGCAGCAAATTTCATGAAATACTCAAATTGGCCAGACTGGGATGTGTATTTGCTTATGGGATGAGGGTAGTCAAGTTCCCAGCAGTAAATAGATGGCTCACTCAGACTAAGGAACTTCAAAATCGTTCAATGACAGGACCGCTCACAAAGGTTGCCAGCATCCAAGGAAGCCAGCCAAGGGAGTGCAGAATCTCAAGGCTGGAAAGCTCTTACCATCCTGAAGCCTGAGGGTCAAGGGGATGGGGAAGTTCCTGGAACGAGGAGAGGTAACCATATGGAAAGCCTCCCTGACAGACAGATGCTGTGGCCTTCAGTAGAAAAGCGCAGCCAACTGTCCCCAAGCTGGCAGAGAAATCACTAGGAGAAAAAAATATCTCTACCTCCCTCTTCTTCCTTCCTCCAGTCTCCTGCCAAAAGCTTTCATGCTCAAACCCAAAGGGAAGCCAGAGAGAATGGGACCCCTTGATGCATCCGTGCCAGCCAGGAAGGTGTAGAGAGGATCTGAAAGGGCAGTTAGAATATATTCAATAGAGTACTATGATTGACATCCCCAGCATGAATAAAGAATCTTGAAGAGAAGACTTACAAAGGAAAAGCAGGTTGCTCCTACCATAAAAAGGGAGAAAAGTGCTGAGCAGTTCAACATAACAAACACCCATTACAAATTATAGGGAAGGAGCCTGTGCCCAGGGCCTGAGCATGATAATTTTACAACCAGATAAAGGCTCTGAGATCCAAAAGACATCACTGCCAGGCAGAAGTCCATAGGACTGGAAGACCTGACTCTGTCACCAATGCTCTGCCCATCAGAGCCCACTATAATCTCTCTCTCCTCTCAGTACCCACCCACTCACAGCAGAAGCCCTCTGGGCACTGCCATTTGTGCCACTGCATTGCTTGATCTCTGTTTTTACATAGGCCTTAATTCCTCAACTAGGTTTAAAACTGGCATCCAGCCTAGGGATTCATACCAAACAGATGTTTCACAAATTTGGGCAATAAAACACTGCTGACTCTAGGCAGAGAAAAAGTGTGACTTTTTTTCAGGTCTTTGAGCTCTATGTCTCCTTTTTTTTTTTTTTTTTTTTTACTCTCATTAAATAAGTAATGCAAGATAGAGGATAAAATGGGTCTAGTTTGGGGGCTGGTAAAATGGTGCAATTAAAAAATTTTAAAGGCCTGGCACGGTGGCTCATGCATGTAATCCCAGCACTTTGGGGGGCTGAGGCAGGCGATCACCCGAGGTCAGGAGTTCAAGACCAGCCTGGCCAACATGGCAAAACCCTGTCTCTACTAAAAATACAAAAATTAGCCGAGCGTGGTGACACATGCCTGTAGTTCCAGCTACTCCGGAAGCTGAGGCAGGAGAATCGCTTGAACCCGGGAGGCGGAGATTGCAGTGAGCTGAGATCATGCCAGTTCACACCAGCCTGGGTGACAGAGGGAGACTCTGTCTCAAAAAATAATAATAATGATAAAAATTAAACAAATAAAAATCAGTGGCTTGGGCATTGGGAGACCAAGGCAATGGCCCAGCCCCAGTAAACTGTGTGGCTCACGAGGCCTGTCATTCACTCTCTCTGGGTCTTGGATTCTCTTCCCTACTAATTGAGATGCTTCAGTGGCTTATCAGCTTCAGTGCTATTGATATTCTGGGCTGCATAATTCTTTCACGGGGGCAGGGGCTGCCTGTGCATTGTAAGGTGCTTAGCCACATTCCTGGCCTCTACCCACTAGATGCCAGCAGCAACCTCCACCCCCACCCCACCAAGTATGACAAACAGAAATGTCTCCAGAGATTGCCAAAAATGCCCTGGGGACAAAATTATACCTCCCTCTTCTCTTGAAAACCACTGGGCTAGATAGCTTCCGACCAGTTGAAATAAAGGCTTGGTTTCATGTTTTCGAGATTGAAAATAACAAGGACAAATACAGGATGGAAATTTTCTTTTATATCAAAGTCAGTGATGATAAGGCAGCTCTTCTCTATCAAGTTATTAAGGACCCAGACCTCTTTTATCTTGTTGTTTTACCATCCACAGGGTTTTCTCTAGGCTGGTCCAAGTTGGTCTGCCACTGCATCCAATCAACAGGAAGGAAGAAAGGGGAGAGGGATGAGTAGGTTCATGTAATCACTCTCATCTCATTGGCCAGAATTTAGTCACATGACCATAGCTAGCTACAAAGAAGACTGGGAAAGATAGTCTTTCTAATGGGCTGCATGATCCCAGCTTAATTCATTTAAAATCACAACTTGGACTGTTCTTTACCTACTTTTTTTTTTTTTTTTTTTGGTTGGTTGGTAGGGGAAAATGTTTGGGAAATGGGTCCTCAGCGAACTTCGGGAGGTGGGAATTCAGTTCTCTCCATTCTCTTTATTTCCTTCCCTTCCTCTAACCATCAGAGCCTCCGAGGCCCGGCTGTCTGTGTCATAGATAGAATTCCAGCCGCCTGACAGATCTGTCCAAAAAGCTCAGAGCTGGTTGACTTCATACTGAGGAAAAATTCTGAAAGTCAGCTCTCAGTTTTTTAGTAGTTATAGAAAGAACTGCATTCTGCTGAGGGCTCTGGGAGTCAGCCTGAAGCCATGTTTAAAGAGGCTTGTGTGAAAAGACAGATGGAAGAGATTTGAAGATCAAAGTGAGCCCTGAAGAGTCAGATTCTGCCCAGAATTGGATGACTTCTGATAGCAATGGTGGGAGCATCCAGAGGCAAGGGGAGAATTGAAACTTTTTGCATCTCTTAGTGTGGCATCATTAGCTTTGCCTCTAAAATTGATCATTTATTAATGTACTTAATACAGAATTTATTACATGTATTACATTAACACATAATTAGTTTATTAATAAACTAATGAATTCAATTGTTTTCTCTTCTAGATTGGAGTGTTATATATGTTAGACTGTTTCTCCTCTGCTAGCTGATAACAGCAGGGCAGAGATAAGGTTTAAAATCTCCAGTACTCTGTATTTAATAGTAGAATTTCCTCAGTATCCCCAGGAAATTGGTTCCAGGACTTTCTGTGGATACCCATATCCAAGGATGCTCAAGTCTCTGATATAAAATGGCATAGTATTTGCATACAACCTACACACATTCTCTTGTACAGTTTAAATCATCTCTAGATTACTTATAATACCTAATACAATGTAAATACTATGTAAATACTTGTTATGCTGTATTGTTTAGAAAATAATGACAAGGAAAAAGTCTGTCGTGTTCAGGACAGATGCAATTTTTTCAAATATTTTTGATTCACGCTTGGGTGAATCCGCAGATGTGGAAGGCCACCTGTACTTATTACATGTGTAGTTCATTATATAGTATATATAATTACCTAATTATACAACATATAATTATCCACTGCAATATATAGTTACCTATTATATAATTACATAACTAATGTGTTTTTCCTGCAGATAAGCTGTAGAAGAAAAAAAAACATAAACTGTAAGAAACCAAGAACACTCAATATAGAAAAAAGAGTGCTAAATTGAACTACGCTTGATTCCTAGCTCAAGAAAGCCAGGATGGGTGAGATTGTGTTTTTCTCTGTTACACAACAAAATCGGCATCTAAGTTAGAGTTTGTTAATTCTCAAGCATTTAATTTCATGTGTTTTCAGTAGACTATTGGCTATAATTACTATAATTTTAAAATTTTTTATTCTGAAGTGTCATATATCATGCAGAAAAATACACTATTATATATATATATGAATTATCATAAATGAAAAATATAAACAAATTACTATAAAGTGAACACTCATCTGTCCATCCGTGCAGGATAAGAAATAAAACACTACCACTGCTCAAAGCCCCCTCATGCCCTTTCCCAATTACCACTCTAGTCCTTCCTCAAAAGATAAACACTGTGCTTACTTAACAGTATAATTTCATTTGGCATATTTTTTAACTTTATATAAGTAGAATCATTTCTCCTTCTCCTTCTCCTTCTTCTTCTTCTTTTTTTTCTGATACGGAATCTCGCTCTGTCACCCAGGCTGGAGTGCAGTGGCGTGGTCTCGGTTCACTGCAACCTCCGCCTCCCGGGTTCAAGCGATTATCCTGCCTCAGCTTCCTGAGCAGCTGTGACTTCAGCCTCCCACACCCCAACCACGCCTGGCTAATTTTTTTGTATTTTTAGTAGAGACAGAGTTTCACCTGTTGGCCAGGCTGGTCTCGAACTCCTGACCTCGAGTGATCCGCCCACCTTGGCCTCCCAAAGGTCTGAGATTACAGACATGAGCCACCGTGCCTGGCCAAATCATACATTTTCTTAAAGCATTCTTAGAAGAAAAAATTGGGTGCTTGTGCTTACCATTGAGTCAATAAGATGAGATATTTGAAATAGGGACTGCCTTGAAATTTAGAACATACAGTCAGTGAAATTTTGTCTCTTTATAAAAAAAGTCTATCTTTAGATAGACTTATAGATATAGATGATAGAAAAAAGAGCAAGACTGTGACTGCCCAGTTTAAGAGATCTAGAAGGTTTTTCTAGGAGCCAGCAACTTGTCCCCAAATAAAATAGTTATGTTCTCTTTGACAAGAACCCAGAAAGTTTCCACAGCCAATCACACACTAACAGATGGGATTTAGTGACTGGGGGGAAAAAAGCAAGCAAATAAAACTTCAAAGAAACAGAAAGATTGAAGAAGGAGAAAGATAAGATTTTGCCTTCTTATTTATTTTAGAAGTGGTTGTTAAATAGAGCCACTCATAATAAATTTGTCTTTTTGTTTTGTTTATAGATCAAGATTACTTGAGGCCAGGCACGGTGACTCATGCCTGTAATTCCAGCACTTTGGGAGGCCGAGGGAAGCAGATCACTTGAGATCAGGAGTTCAAGACCAGCATGGCCAACATGGTGAAATCCTGTCTGTACTAAAAATACAAAAATTAGCCGGGCTTGGTGTCTCATGCCTGTAATCCCAGCTACTCAGGAGGCTGAGGCTGGAGAAGCTCTTGAATCCAGGAGGCTGAGGTTGCAGTGAGCAGAGATCGAGCCACTGCATTCTAGCCTGGGCAACAGAGGGAGACTCCTTCTCAAACAAAAAAATAATAAAATAACTACTTGAACCAGGAAAGGGAGGGAGAAAATGGAAAATTAAAGAGTTAGAGTCTATATTAATCAGTTTTTGCTATGCTTTGTTGTGAAACAACCAACCTCCAAACATCAGTAGCCTAAAGCAATAAAGGCTTTTTCCTTACTTATATTACTTCAGCTGCAGTGAGCTGCCATTATGTTGCATATGTCTTTTTCTTCCATAACACGAGCTTAAGAAGCAGTTTGATCTGGGATATATCATTCCTAAGGCAGAGGAAAAAGAAAAAGAGATGGCAGAGATACTCAGTGACTATTAAAACTTCTGCTTGGGCCTGACACGTCACTTGCTGCTTAGATTTCATTAACAAATCAAGTCACTTGGCCAAGCTTGACATTAGTTGACATTAGTCCTTTCTAGAGTCAGCAGATCATTGGAACAACAGTGCAGACCATTACAGGGCTCATTTTCAAATGAAGATCAGTCAGAAATTGTAATACAAAAATCAGGGGGAAAGGGAAGTAGTTCCCCAAAATTCAACATGCATAATCAGAATCTACCCATTTGTAGATTACCCATTCATGTAAGAAAATCCACTAAATAATTCATAATATATGCCTTAGATATGTTAGAAGCCCATGTAGTTCATAAAAGAACAGTGACTTCTTTAGGAAGCATCTTTCACTCCGTGCACTGGATTTCCAATAAATTCTTTTGTTTTCCGGAAGAGTGTGAAGAATTCTCAGATGAAAGGAAGAGCCATAGCCTAATCCCTGCTTTGTATCCAGAAGCCTCTGCCTATAGCCTGGATTTTCAGTATCTCTTCTGTTCTATAATCCTCCTCTGTATGGACTCCTACGAGGATATAAATTATCTATCTTCAGCCATAAGTTTTCTGTGATGTATTTTCAGAAACTTCACAATGTCTATCCTTGCTGACAACATAAATCCTTTCTTCATACTGAAAAGACCGGAAAACAATTCTGTTTCTTTAGACGGTTCTTTGCTATAAAACTTCTTCATTTAAACAGCACTTTCTTAGCCCTTGTAGAATTTGTTTTGTTGAAGTGCTTAGTCTGTCTTTGAAATAAGCATATTTCATCTAATTTTGAATGATTCCAGCTGCTGGATTACCTATCTTGAAAGTGAGTCAGGAGACTTGTTGGTTTGGGGGGATTAGAGAAGGAAGTAGATTTCAATTTTCCAAAATGCAAGTCTGACACCTTCTGGAAAGCATGTGACTATTACACCCACAAGTTAGTTCCCTTGGTCCACTATTGAGAAGGCCAGGGGTACATGAAGTTAGATGGGCAAAATCTTGCATTTTTATTTCTATAAACTGCTATTTAATATTTAGGATTTTCTTCAATTATGAATATGGACAACTAACCATAGTAGTATTATTAGTAATGTTGTCAACAGTAGAAATTATAGATTTAAAAAATCACATTATAATTATTGCAGATATCAAAAAGTATTGTTTACACTCACCATTACTTTGAAATTCTGATAGACCTGTCATTAGATCTCGTTACTTAATGAGTTAGTATAAAACACGTGCATTAGTATTTCATATATTTGCTATTTTAACCTTATGACTTTTGAATATTTCAGCATAATTGGTTTTCTTTGAAAATCTATATATATTATTAATATTTGGCACACAAAGAATATTTTGAGAAGTTGTCTATAGTTTACAACGAAACAGCTATGGGTTTATGGTACAAAAAAGATTAAGAATGCTTGTTCTAGATGCATTCTAAAAGGGATAGAGGAGGACAAAAGAATATATAGAACTACATCTCTCTTTCACTAAAATAATGATTTTTAGTTCTTGTGTATAGAGTTAAATGGCAAGAGTATTTTAATATAAAATAATGTTTTGATATTATATAATGATTAATGTACAAAGCTTGTCTTTCCTTTTTCTTCTCGTGAAAATGGACCCCAAAACTGTGTCAAGGGAACTACCCCTTTTTCCTTCACTTCCCTCCCTCTACCCCCCACCACAAAGTTGAGTTTTTAAAAAATGTCTTTTTTAAACTATGAAGTTCATTTTTAATTTTTATATCAGGTAATAATTCCTGGACACTGAATTGCAATTGACAAAGGGAATAAGAAAAGACTAGCAAATTTCCCATCATTCATAAAAATGCTTCTACATTAGAAACAGCAGAAACACACCTGAGCTCTATGGTGTTCCTGGGCAAGCAAGGGGGCTACTGTTGAGCACAGTCTGTGTGTGGAGCTGCTTATTTTAACAAGATGGACTGGAGAGTCGGCTCCAAGTGTGTAGCATATGCTCTGAGGGAGCACAAGATCATCCAGCAGGAAGCAGAAAGAAAAAATTGGAACTTCTATTTCTGTTTATCTAAAATTTGAAAACCAACCAACTTTACCTGTATTTCTCACATATTCTGTCTGTACGTCAGCAGGTCAGGATCCTATGAGAGGCATGAGGTGTCCTCAGCAAGGTGTGGAACTTCCACAAAGCAGTGGGGTTGGCAGCCACCCTTCATCCTTCCTCTGCTTTGGAGCTGCTGAGACATTTGCAGTTTTTGTGTGCCCAGTTAAGTGACTCCACAAATGCATCATCTTGTTTTAACTAAGCTTGTCTTCACAAAGTGGAGTTCCACATGGAACTGTGGGTTGAAGATATTTGCAATAATGCGATCTCATAAACTTATCAAAATACAATGGCAGAGGTTCATTTACTCCTAATGTGACCCTTTCAGAAACAATACAAAGAAAAAAAATGACCAACTCATAACATCTAATAATTAATTGAATGTCCTAAAATAGAAGTAATCAAGACGATTTAATATACAGATTGATAAATGTTGTTGCTAATGATGACCTTGCCTGCAGTGCATATTGTGCCTTGAGAAGTTAGTTAATAGTAGCCATACATATAAAGAACTTATATATATATATGTAAGTTCAAAGATTATTTACTAAGAAAAATACATTATCAAAAGAGTTTGAATAGTACTATTATAAAGCTCCAAGAATAAAGTTTTTGAACCAAACCATGAATAAAAAAGTTCTATTGTGAGTTTAGCATCATTAGAAGAGGGAGTGCCATGTTGGCCAAAGTGAGTTTTGCTGGCCCAGGATATTAAATCTAACAATAATGTGGAACAGCAAGAAGACATTGTTGGTTGAAATGGACATTAGGGTATTGTGGACTGAGTGTATTTATCCATCTCTGCCTGTCTCCCTAGTTAGACTGTGGACCTCATGCAGCCAAGAATTGTGTCTATTAGTCCCACATTCCAAGCTGCTGCCTGGCATCAGTAGGTGCTCAGAAAACTTTTGCTGGGCTTATGGATTCAAAGAAACAAATAACTAAGGGGAATTTTACCTTTGGTTTATAGCACAATTTCTCTTTGCCCCTTAGCATTTCCCAGTGATGGGAAGTTATTCCAAGTTGGAAAGCAGAATTCAAATGACAGGACCAAGAGCCTGAGTTGACAGAAAACATCAGCTCCCAGAGACCTGCAAGTCCCTCCCGATCCTGGGCCTCCTTTAGCCTTTCCACATTGCACTATATTACACCAACTACAATTTCAAGCCATATTTGTGTTGCTGGTTGTCTCCCACTGTTATTTGGGGAGCTCCTGGAGGGGAGACACAGTGTCTTACTCATCCTTATTTTCCTGATGGCTAGAACAATGCCAGACACAGAAGAAAGCAGCAGGGAGCAAATGCATATGAGCAGGTGCTACCTGCTCAGCGCCAGATGATGACATATGCTATCTATTCAATTATCACACTAACCTTACAAAGGTTAAATTACATTCCCATGGCCACACAGTAAGTAAGGGATCCAGGATTTTGAGTCCAGGTTTGATTCCAAGTCCAGGACTCTTTCTACTACCCCCATATTATGTCAATAAATGTGGGATACATAAAGCGGTTGATTAACTAACATAACCTCTTCATTGTGGCTCTCAAATGACAGACATACAAATATGGCTCCCTGCCACATAGTGGAGGCCACTTCATTTTCAAGAGCTTCAATCATCAACTTCCTTTCATTGATCTAAACTCTACTTCCCTACAACTTCTACTTACTGCTCCTTGTTCTTCTCCAGAGCCACACGGGATAACTAATGCCCCTTCCACAAAATCAGCCCTTGGCTTATGAAGACAGTCACTATGTGTCTACCCCTCACCAAGTAGCTGTTTTTCCATGCCATCATGACCAATCGGCTTGCAGGAAGCAAAAAGGAAGCCTGATTTTAATCTTTTAATTGTGGATCCTTTGCCATGAATTGTGTATCTTATCTAGCCAGAAGGTTCCTGAATTTATGCTGAGCTAGACCCAAATAGGATATGCCTTCCGTGTGCTCTGTTATGCACCAAAACACGGCAGTGAACCCCCAGTTGGCCATTGCTTTTTCCTTTGTGAATGTTCACCTATGCTAGCAAGCACAGGTTGCAGGCCTGGGGGAGGTGGGTGATTCACCAGGTGTGTCTGGATGGGCTCTATGGAAAGTACCCTTAGCAGCTTCTCTCAAAGTGCAGTCAGGAACCACCTGCATCAGAATCAGTGGAAGGCTGTGTTAAAATGCGAATTCCTGGCCCCACCCTAGAACACCTAGATCAGAATTCCTAGGATAAGACCTGGAATCCTTACTTTTAAATGAGCACACCATCCAGCGATGATTCTGATGCATACTCAAGCTTGGGAGGCTCTGGACTAAAGCAGGCCATGCTTAAGTGGCATGGCAGTTGCCATGTGGATAGTGAAATCCACATTGGTGGATGGCAACTAGAGTCAGTTCACATAAATAAGAAATATTTTTAAATGAAATGGGGTTGTCAATACTGATGTAATGTAAGAAAAGCAAAAGGTTCTGGCAAGGAAACTTAGCAGCAATCACATAGGAAACCATGATTAAAAAAGAAAAAAGAAAAAAAGGATCCTGTAGTTGGCAGGGCTGGCCTAGGCAATGTAAGTGGACACTTGTAACAGCCCCTTTGAAAGGTTCTGAAAATTCCTCTGAGTGGGACTCTCTAGTGGTGATTTATAAAGGAGTGAGGTGATTGGCCCTTTTTTTGCAACCATTAGATTTTCTTTGATTTGGAAGAACACATGGCTAAGATGGAAGATGAATTCCTAATGTTAGCTTGGACCCATCTGAGGGCTGTGTTGACAAGGGACAAAGTAGTCTCTGCCAAACTCAGTGTCTCCTATGGGGCTTTCACTGAAACCCAGTGGGTTGAGTCCTCGGTGTCTCTGAAGGATTTCTGAAATAAAATAACCCTTCATCCCCACTCCCAACCTCCTTTATTAAAAGAAAATATTTTTTATATAAATTGAATAAACGCCGAAATCCCATATGGCTCAGGTGATACTTAGATGCACTCAGAAACATCCGGGAACCAAAAGTAATAAAAAGAAATTCCATTTTTTACTTTTGTTTTTTAAAGAAATTAAGGGAGCTTCCATTTCTGTCACTAAGTACTACTTAAAATCGTCTCTCCCCTTGTTCTTTCTCTCTCATACCTCTTAGCTGCCCAAAGCCTCTTCTTCACAGTCTGACTCAGTTCTCTCTGCAGAAAGCCTCTGGACTCACTGGGGCTGAAAGGTCGCATGTAGGGGAAGGAACAGCAAGGCAAAAGCTCTTGTAGAAACCATAAGTGATGCCTTGGGAATTCTGCTCTGAGAGCTGTTGTGAGCCCTGCCTGGAATGTTTTTAGCTTCTCTGGGGGTCTTGCTGTTAGTGAGGTTATTTCTGTTGCTGACTTCTCTTCCTTCTCAGCCTCTATGGTCTTGCACCTGATTAAAATAAACAGAAGCCACCAGACAGATCACTAAGAAGGTAGAAGTTCACGAACAAAACAGCTGGTGTATTTGAGCAAATATTTTTTTTTGTTTGACAAAGTTCCGCTCTTGTTGCCCAGGTTGGGGTGCAATGGCGCGATCTCAGCTCACTGCAATATCTGCCTCCCTGGTTCAAGCGATTCTCCTGCCTCAGCCTCCCGAGTAGCTTGGATTACAGGCACCCGCCACCACGCCCAGCTAACATGCCCAGTTAATTTTTGTTATTTTTAGTAGAGTCAGAGTCTCGCCGTGTTGGCCAGGCTGGTCTTGAACTTCTGACCTCGGGTGATCCACCCACCTTGGCCTCCCAAAGTGCTGGGGATTACAGGCGTGAGCCACTGTGCCCGGCCACATTTTATTCTTTTAATTTCAACTGTTTTATTAAAACTCAGACCACCCTTATCTGGTGAACTGCTTGATCCTACCCAGCAGGTGAAAGGATCAGAGAAAATAACAACCAATCAATAGATGTCAGCAGGCAGTCTCATTCCCAAACAAGATAAAAGACCATGGACTCTGATCTCAAACCAAAATATTTACATATCTCGTTGAGGACATTATCGGCAGTTTGGAGGGGACATTATGGTGTAGACAACAAGAAAAATCACCGAAGGAAGTTGGGAATAGCCTGGGCTAGAAAAGGATGAGCTAACGTGTTGGGGTTAGGAATCTCCAGCTCTGATTTCTTAAGCAGCCATTGGAATAAGAAACTGGGCAAATTCCCAACAGGGTGGGGCAATCCCCCTGATCCCAGCCCATTGGGAAAAGGGCCTAATTCTGCTTCTCCCTTCCCATTCCCCAGCAGCAACATAAAAAAGCACAAAATGTCTCAGTGCTCTGGAATTTCTTCACTCAGATGACCCTGGGTGGATTTTGCATCAAAAACACAGATTTATGAAAGAGCAAATTATTTGTGAAAAATTCTTCACTTTAGAGGAAGAACTGTAGAGCATCACCACAGGCTTATTCATGACTACATTTGAAAAATATGATTCTAGGTCAGAGATTCTGGTATACCCATAGATTTTCAGGAACATATCTTCTGCATTAGAGAAACATTCTGCAAAAAATGTCCATCAGGCCCAAGCAGTTTCAGCAGCCGAGTAGCCCATCTGGGAAACAACTCCGGAACCCCTTCAGACAAACCCGCCAAGGCTGGGTGACTTGGCAGTCCCTGAGCCCCTGCCAGCTCATTTGTGGTCTGTATTTTTCACAGATGCTCCCTGGTGTGTAGCAATTTCCGGATATTTTTCAAATGGTTTTTATCCTGCCAGCTGGGTGCAGTGGAGGGACTACAGCTTGGACAACTCAGCCGGATGGACCCATCAAATTCAGCTTGCCAGCCCGGTTAGGATTAGACTGCATTGTTTGCGCCTTGCCCTGAGGTTGGCACCTATCCCCCTATCCTGTTGATTTCCATCCCTACTCCTTCCACTTCCCTAGTGCTCTTGGCCCCTGTTATGAGACGACTAGCCTGTCATCCTACCCCTATGAAAACCTCCTTCCCAGGTGGACACCATTAATGTGCAGGCAATGTAGTGGAGGGAGAACAATATTCTAAGAGTAGGAAAATGTGAGCTAGACCCAGTTCTGCTAGTAATTAGCTCCATGGCCTTGGTCAAGTTGTGTAACTTCTCTGGGTCTCATTTTCCTTTCTGATAAAATGAAGGCCCCCATCACTACTTTCAAGTAAGGCCTTTACCAAGTCATCCAAGTTGTTCCAGTAAGTTGCACATCTGACAACGGCCCATCCCTTACCACCTCCTCTAAATATGTTTTCTGAGATATTTCAGAAAATAAGATTTTAGAAGGAAAGCTGTATTAGTTGCACAAACCTACTTCAGTGACAGGCTAGGATTGAACATTAAAATTTGAAAGAAGACATGAATTCCCTTATTAATGCTGCTTAGGGGAAGAAGAGGCTGAAGGAAGGCAGCTTCTATAAAAATCAATGGTGAACTGGAATTTATCACCTCTGTGTGAGTCTGACCTCTCAGGACTTTTTCTCTAGAATCCCAGGATCCTAAGTAATGAATAATGAATCTAAACATGCCTTCCATGACCTTGAGGATATGCAAACATGAAATTTTGAAAAAAGAATAAAAGAAAGAAGAAAAATTCTGGAAAGTTTAACTTCATTTCTATTATCATACTCAAAATGAAAGTAATGTTTTCTCCAATTATAAAAATAATATAGAAATCTGGAGACTACCAAAAAATATAAAGCATAAAACAAAATCACTCATAATAGAGATAACCACTGGCAATGTTATGGCTGTTTCCTTTCACCCTTTTTGATCTGGACACTATCGAAACAGTTTCCTTCATGATTTTGAAGCATCAGTCTCATTTTAAATTCTCCTGGCTCATAGAAATCGCTGAATCCCACAGAATTCCAAGTACCAATACTACTTTTGGTTTCCTTTTCCATATTTCACTCTGACCCGAAATGAAAAATAATGCTGGCCAGACACGGTGGCTCACGCCTGTAACCCCAGCACTTTGGGAGGCCAAGGCGGGCAGATCACCTGAGGTCAGGAGTTCGAGATCAGCCTGGGCAATATGGCGAAACCCCATCTCTACTGAAAATACAAAAAATTAGCTGGGCGTGGTGACACATGCCTGTAATCCCAGCTACTCAGAAGGCTGAGGCAGGAGAATTGCTTGAACCCAGGAAGCAGAGGTTGCAATGAGCCAAGATTGGGTCATTGCACTCCAGCCTGGGCAACAAGAGCAAAATGTTGCCTCGGAGAAAAAAAAAAAAAAAGAAAAGAAAAGAAAAGAAAAATAATGCTAACAGGTGACTATTTCAATATGTGGTACAACTGGGACTCAATATGGATGTTTGCTGCTGCTTAGCGTTTATAAACAAGCCTTTGTCAGTGTCTCTGTTTCAGTAGGGAGTACAAGGCACATTTTTCTAATATGCACATTTTGCTCCTCTGTTTTAAATTCTTCAACGGCTTCCTATTGCCCTTTCGATAAAATTCACACTCCTGCAGAAGACTCACAGAGGCCATCATAATTAGACCCCTGATCCTCTCTCTGGTCTTGGCTTGCACCCCTTTCTCCCACACTCTCTGCTCCAGCAATACTGGTCCTCTGCCCAGGCTGTTACTCTCCCTGTAGCATTCTTCCTCTTCCCATTGTCTGGCTAATTTCTTATTTATCCATCAGAACAGGTTTTTGATATGCCCCCACCTTGTATTCCTCCCATATGAGCACTTGTTGCATTTTATTGCTGTGGTGTATTTCTTGCCTTTCCTACTAAACTCTACATGCCCTGGGAGTAATGACTATCTGTTTTGCTGTCCGGTGTACTCCCATCACTAAGCATGGGCTTTTTGCAAAGTGAGTATTCAATAAACACTTGTTGAATGTGTTAAAAAATAATAAGTGAAAGGCATTGTTAATTCACATTAACAAGAAAGCTTTTCAAGAGAATATATACACATATTATTAATATTATCTTTCACAGTGGGAGATTTTATAAGTGGTCAGTGCTGAAGAGGGAGAAATATACTTGTGCTGTTTTATGAAAAAGGGCAGTGGTTTTGGAAGTTCAGATTAAAACTTTTGTATAGATTTTGTAACTGATGCTGCTACTTTTAAATTTCTCCAGAGTAGGCTAGGAACTACAGAGATGATCTGTGTCCTACAACCCCAGAGAGCACCATTCATAATGCGTTCTACCATGTTACTCCAAAGATAGGTAGCAGAAGCAACCTCTGGCATTAATACCACAAGGCCCTACAATGCAGGTTTCCTTAGTAGCACTAAAACCTGATAATGATAAGCCATATATGCAGTACATTTTCAGTGAGCAGACAAATGGGGAACTGAGGCTCAACTGAAAGCAGCAGGAAATTCAAAGGTATTTATATTTAGTACACTAAACATTTTTCTATGGATGCAGCAACCAAGTCTGTCTTTATAACAATAGGAAAGGGCTCGCATTCTCTGCAGTAGTTCCTTTCCTTCATGGGTGGGCAAGGGGATTCCCAGAAGAAATGGGAGTAGTGAAGGCCAGTTATTATTAATGGGATATAGGATCTGCCTACCTCCTACATACGATGCAGCAGTCCACTTTTCAGCCAGGCCAACACTCTTACTACTTTCCGAAAATGTAATAGGAAAGAGGGAAAGGATATCCCATATCCCAACTTCCTAAGGGAGGACAATTTAATCATTCTGTTATATTTCTGATAGCTATAATTATTTTTAATGAGCCACATATTATATGAAACTAAATCACAGTTCTGGTTTATTTTATTAAAATGTAAAAAAAATTCCTTCTTTTATCATTATAGAAAATAAAACCATGAAGAACCACACCTCAAGGAGAGACTTACCCCCTCCACATTCATCTGAGACCCCATGACCATTCCTTTCATGCTCTGCTTATGCTGTTCTTACCCACGCCATGCTTATTCCCAACTCCAAGTCATTGCTCATGCTGACCAGAAGAAATTACTTTTCTTCTTCCTTTCACACAGTTGCAAATTCAGCCTACCCCATGAGGACCAATTTCTTTACTGCCTTCATTCTAAGACCTTCCCCAATACCTCCAAACCACACTGCTCTGCCATTTCCCAGACATTCTTTTGCACTTATAACCAGCATTATTCATTTTGGTGATTAATCACACTCTGCTTTGCAATGTCTCTTGGCTATTCTCAATGTCTCTCCTGACTCCCCAATGGATCTCTAAGTTCCTGGAAGGATGAAGCTGTAACTCATACTCCTTTGTATTTTTATTATAGTATTAGCCACATAAAAGATGTTGAAAGATACGACAAATGGTTGAAACCGTCATGAAACTAACAGTGAACAAAAAGGTAGACCACAGTGGTAAAATTCATAATGTTTAATGGTAGCCAATTAAGAAAGAATTTATGTAACAACACATAGACTAAAGAGAAACCAGCACATTCATTTTAATTTAAGATAAATTTTTTATAATCCAAAAGACTGGATTAAAATGAAATGACCACATACCTCAACGTAATAACAGCCATATATGACAGACCCATAGCTAGTATCATACTGAATGCAGGAAAACTGAAAGCCTTTCTTCTAACATCTAGAACATGACAAGGATGCCCACTTTCACCACTGTTATTCAACATCCTGCTGGACATCCTAGCTAGAGCAATCAGACAACAGAAAGAAATTAATAGCATCCAAATTGGAAAAGAAGAAGTCAAATTATCCCTGTTTACAAATGATATGATCTCATATTTGAAAAAACCTAAAGACTCCACCAAAAAGCTATTAGAACTGATAAACAAATTCAGTAAATTTGCAGGATACAAAATCAACATAAAAAATCTGTAGCATTTTTATATGCTAACAGTGAACAATCTGAAAAATAAATCAAGAAAGTAATCTCATTTATAATAGCTACAAATAAAATATCTGGGAATAAACTTAATCAAAGAAGTGAAACATTTCTACAATAAAAATTGTAAAACATTACTTCAAGAAATTCAAGAAGACACACAAAAACATGAAAAGATATTCCATATTCATGGATTGGAAGAATCACTATTGTTAAAATGTCCATACTACCTGATATGGTTTGGCCATGTCCCCACCCAAATCACATCTTGAATTGTAGTTCCCTAATCTCCACGTGTCATGGGAGGGACCCGATGGAAGGTAATTGAATCATGGGGTTGGTTACCTCCATGCTGTTCTCATGATAGTGAGTTCTCACAAGATCTCATGGTTTTATAAAGGGCTTTTCCCCTGCTTTGCTCTGCACTTCTTGCTGCTGCCATGTGAAAAAGAACATGTTTGCTTCCCCTTCTGCCGTGATTGTAAGTTTCCTGAGGCCTCCCCAGCCATGCTGAACTGTGAGTCAATTAAGCCTCTGCCCTTTATAAATTACCCATTCTCACATATGTCTTTATTAGCAGCATGAGAGCAAACTAATACACTCCCCAAAAGCAAGCTATGGATTCACTGTAATCTCTATCAAAATACAAATAACATTCTTCAACAGAAATAGAAAAAATAACCTTAAAATTTATGTGGAACCATAAAAGATCCAGAATAGACAAAGCTATCCTAAGCAAAATGAACAAAACTGGAGGAATAACATTACCTGACTTCAAATTATACTGCAGAGTTATAGTAACCAAAACGACATGGCACTGGCATAAAAACAGACACATAAGCCAGTGGAACAAAATAGAGAATCCAGAAATAAATCCATATATCTGCGGTGAACTCATTTTCAACAAAGTTTCCAAGAATATACATTAGAGAAAGGACAGTCTCTTCCATAAATGCTGCTGGGAAAACTGGATATCCATATGCAGAAGAATTAAAGTAGGCCCCTCTCTCTTGCCATATACAAAAATCAAAACAAAACAGATTAACAACTTAAATCTGAAACTCTAATCTATGAAACTACTAAAAGAAAACAATGGGGAAACTCTCCCAGACAATGGAATGGGCAAAGACTTCTTGAGTAATACCCCACAGGTACAGGCAACCAAGGCAAAAATGGACAAATGGGATCATATCAAGTTAAAAAGCTTCTGCACAACAAAGGAAACAATCAACAAAGTAAAGCGACAACCTACAGAATGAGGGAAAATATTTGCAAACTACCCACCTGACAAGGGATTAATAACCAGAATATATAAGGAGCTCAAACAACTCTACAGGAAAAAAATCTAATAATCTAATTTTAAAATGAGCAAAAGATCTGAATAGACATTTCACAAAAGAAGACATGCAAATGGCAAACAAGAATACAAAAAGCTGCTCAACAACATTGATCATCAGAGAAATGCAAATCAAAGCTACAATGAGATATCATCTCACCCCAGTTAAAATGGCTTAGATCAAAAGAGAGGCAATAACAAATGCTTGTGAGGGTGTGGAGAAAAGGGAACACTGTTGGTGGAAATGTAAATTAGCACAACCACTATGGAGAATAGTTTGGAGGTGCCTCAGAAAAACTAAAAATAGAGCTACCATATGATCCAGGAAGCTCACTGCTAGATAGACACCTAAAAGAAAGGAAATCAGTATATTGAAGAGATATCTGCACTCTCATGTTTATTGCAGCACTATTCACAATAGCCAGCATTTGGAAGCCACCTAAGTGTGCATCAATGGACAAATAGATAAAGAAAATATGGTACATGTACACAATGGAGTACTATTTCACCACAAAAGAGAATGAGATCCTGTCATTTGCAACAACCTGAATAGAACCAAAGGTCATTATGTTAAGTGAAATAAGCCAGGCACAGAAAGACAAACATCATATGTTCTCACTTACCCATGGGTGCTTAAAATTAAAATAATTGAACTCATGGAGATTGAAAGTAAAAGGATGGTTACCAGATACTGGGAAGGGTACTCAGGAAGGAGTTGGGGCAAGAGGGGATGGTTAATGGGTAAAAAAAATAGTTAGAAAGAATAAATAAGTCCTAATATTTGCTAGCACAACAGGGTGACTATAGTCAATAGCAATGTACTTGTACATTTTTTAATACACCCCTCGGGTTGGTTTAATTATTTTCCCATAATATACCAGATATATTTCTTTTTCTTCACTTTTTTTTTTAATTATATGTTAAGTTCTGGGATACATGTGCAGAACGTGCAGGTTTGTTACATAGGTATACACGTCCCCTGGTGGTTTGCTGCACCCATTAACTGGTCATCGACATTAAGTCTTTCTCCTAATGCTATCCCTTCCCTAGACCCCCAACCCACAACATGCCCCAGTGTGTGATATTCCCCTCCCTGTGTCCATGTGTTCTCATTGTTCAACTCCCACTTGTGAGAACATGCAGTGTTTGGTTTTCTGTTCCTGTCTTAGTTTGCTGAGAATGATGGTTTCCAGCTTCATCCATGTCCCTGCAAAGGACGTGAACTCATCATTTTTTATGGCTGCATAGTATTCCACGGTGTATATGTGCCACAGTTTCTTTATCCAGTCTATCATTGATGTGCATTTGGGTTGGTTCCAAGTCTTTGCTATTGTGAACAGTGCCACAATAAACATACATGTGCATGTGTCTTTATAATAGACTATAATCCTTTGAGTAAACACCCAGTAATGGGATTGCTGGGTCAAATGGTATTTCTGGTTCTAGATCCTTGAGGAATCACCACACTGTCTTCCACAATGGTTGAACTAATTTACACTCCCACCAACAGTGTAAAAGTGTTCCTTTTTCTCCACATCCACTCCAGCATCTGTTGTTTCCTGACTTTTTAATGATCGCCATTCTAACTGTCGTGAGATGGTATCTTATTGTGGTTTTGATGTGCATTTCTCAAATGACCAGTGATGATGAGATTTTTTTCATGTTTATTGGCTGCATAAACACTTCTTTTGAGAAGTGTCTGTTTATATCCTTCTCCCACTTTTTGATTCTTTTTTTGTATACTCTAAGTTCTAGGGTACATGTGCACAACGTGTGGGTTTGTTACACAGGTATACATGTGCCATGTTGGTTTACTGCCCCCATCAACTGGTCATTTACATTAGGTATTTCTCCTAATGCTATCCCTCCCCCAGCTCTCCAGCCCCCGAGAGGCCCCGGTGTGTGATGTTCCCCACCCTGCGTCCATGTGTTCTCATTGTTCAATTCCCACCTATAAGTGAGAACATGTGGTGTTTGGTTTTCTGTCCTCATGATAGTTTGCTGAGAATGATGGTTTCCAGCTTCATCCATGTCCCTGCAAAGGACATGAACTCAACCTTTTTTATGGCTGCATAGTCTTCCATGGTGTATATGTGCCACATTTTCTTAATCCAGTCTATCATTGATGGACATTTGGGTTGGTTCCAAGTCTTTGCTATGGTGAATAGTACCACAATAAACATATGTGTGTATGTGTCTTTATAGTAGCATGATTTATAATCTTTTGGGTATATACCCAGTAATTGGATCTCTGGGTCAAATGGTATTTTTAGTTCTAGATCCTTGAGGAATCACCACACTGTCTTCCACAATGGTTGAACTAATTTACACTCCCACCAACAGTGTAAAAGTGTTCCTATTTCTCAACATCCTCTCCAGCATCTGTTGTTTCCTGACTTGTTAATGATCACCATTCTAACTGGCGTGAGATGGTATCTCATTGTGGTTTTGAGTTGCATTTCCCTGATGACCAGTGATGATGAGCATTTTTTCATACTTATACATTTTTAAATAATTAAATAATATAATTGGATTGTTTGAAACACAAAGGATAAATGTTTGAAGTGATGGATACCCTATTTAACCTGATGGGATTATTATGCATTGCATACCCGTATCAAAATACCTCATGTAACTTATAAATCTATACACCTATTATGTACCCATAAAAATTTTTTAAAATTTAACGAAAAAATAATACAGTACTAAAAAAAAAAAAGAAATAAAGAAAATAAATGAAATGACCAGACAGGTAGGAAGTGTGTTTTCTGGATTTGAGTGTGAAATTACTTATGAGCAATTGTTATTTAATTGATTTAAAGCACAACAAACCATTTGAATTATAAAAGGGATGCTTGATAAATCTCTTTACATAATTCAGTGTGGCCTGGAGTGCTCGTTGCTTCTACTTTTGAGTAATATTTCCAAATATTTAAGACACGTAGAGCAATTTTAACTGAATGAACATCTACAAAGAGCCTACATCTAACATCATAATTAATGGTAAGACACTAGAAGCTCTTCCGTTAAGATCAGGAACAAGGCAAGTATGTCCCCTCTCATCACTCCTTTTCAACATCATACTGAAAGTCCTAGCTAGTGCAATAACACTAGAAAAGGAAATAAAAATTACATTGAGTGGAATATGAAAACTCAAAATTGCCAACATGCCAGATCTTCCTTACTTGCTATAGCAGTCCCAAAGTCCCAGCAATTTCTTTTGTGGATATCAACCAACTGATTCTAAAGTTTACATGCAGAAGTGAAAGACCCAGAAGAAGCAAAAAAAAGAAAAAATTGGAGGAAAAAAAAAGACAGAGGACTGACACTACCAGATTTCAAGACTTACTATAAAGCTACAGTGATTAAGACACTGGGGTATTGAGGAAAGGATAGACAGATCAATGGAACAGAAGAGAGACCCCAGAAAGACAACACAATGGAACAAAGAGTATTTTCAACATAGAGTCAAACAACTGAACATTCACAAGGAATAAAAAGAATCTAGACATAGATTTTCCGCCCTTCACAAAAATAAATTCAAAATGAATCACAGACTTAAATGCAAAATCCAAAACTACAAAACTCCTAGAAGATAACATGGGAGAAAATCTTGATTACCTCAGGTATGGTGATGACTTTTTAGATACTTCAAAAGGCACAGTCCATGAAAGAAATAATTGATAAACTAGACTTTATTAAAATTAAAGACTTCTGCTCTTCAAAAGACACTCTCAAGGGAATGAGAAAGCGAGCAATAATTTTGGAGAAAATACAAAAGACATGCTGATGAAGGACTGATATCCAAAATATACACAGAATCCTTAAAACTCAACAATAAAAAACATGACAACCAAATTTAAAAATGGGCAACAGACCTGACAGTTGCCTCAACAAAGAAGATATACAGATGACAAATAAGCATATGAAAAGATGCTTTACATAGTATGTCATTAGGGAATTGCAAATTAAAACAACAGTGATATCACACTTATTAGAATAGCCAAAATGCAAACCACTGACAACCACCAAATGTCGACAAGGATGTCAAGCAAGAGGATCTTTCATTCATTGCTAATGAGAATGCAAAATGGTACAACCACTTTGGAAGGCAGTTTGATAGTTTCTCACAAAGCTAAACATATTGTCACTATACAATTCAGTAATCATGATCCTTAGTATTAACCCAAAGAAGTTGAAAACTTAATGTGTTTTTCCAAAAACCTGTATATGAGTGTTTATAGCAGCCTTATTAATAATTGCCAAAACTTAGAAGCAACCAAGATATCCTCTGGTAAGTGAATGAATACATAAATTATTGTCCATTCAGATAATGGAATATTATGAAGTACTAAAAAAGTAAGCTATCAAGCGATGAAAAGGCAAAAGGGAAGCATAAATGCATATTAATTGATAGAAGCCAATCTTAAAAGGTTACATAATGTATGATTCCAACTATTAAATACAAGACACTCTGAAAAAGGCAAAACTATAGACATAGTAAAAGGATCAGTGGTTAGCAGGGGTTAGGGAGGACAGAGGGGTGAATAGGCAGAGCACAGAGAATTTTTAGTGCACTGCATTAGTCTGTTTTCATGCTGCTGATAAAGACATACTTGAGATGGGGCAACTTACAAAAAAAAAGAGGTTGAATTGGACTTACAGTTCCATGTGGCTGGGGAAGCCTCACAATCATGGCGGAAGGCAAGGAGGAGCAAGTCACATGTCACATGGATGGCAGCAGGCAAAGAGCTCGTGCAGGAAATCTCCCCCTTGTATAATCATTGGACCTCATAAGACTTATTAACTATCACAAGAACAGCACAGGAAAGACCTGCCCCCATGATTCAATTACCTGCCACCAGGTCCCTCCCACAACACGTGGGAATTCAAGATGAGATTTGGGTGGGGACAGAGCCAAACCATATCAGGCAGTGCACCTGTCAGTATGATATTATACATGTCATTAGATATTTATAGAATCCACAGAATGTACGTTAAGAGTTAACACTAATGAAACTATGGTCTCTAAGAGATAATGATGTGGGTTCATTGATTGTAACAAATATGCCACTCTGATGAGGGGTGGTGACAATGGAGGAGGTTTTATGTATGAAGGGGCAGGGAGGATATGGAAATCTGTATACCTTCCACTCAATTTTGCTCTGAACCTAAAACTGAAAGCCTATTTTAAAAATCTGGAATAAAATTTTTTAAAATTGCATGTTAAACTCAAGAATTTTTTGAAAGTTTTCATATAAGAAAATGAACTATGTTCCTTGTGGTCTAATAAGAATATTATATTTCCTTCCTGAAGGTGGCGTTTGTGTACCATGGTCAAAGAATGCTTCCCTCATTTGTTAAGGGAAAAAAAAAAAAAAAAACCTTTCCCGGACAGTAAAACATCTCATAAAACTGTCATGAGTAATTCCAGCAGCTGAGCTGAAATGGACAGCTACTCAGAACACCTTTGCTTTTCCATGACAGGGGTGAGATTTTATAAATTAAGGTTATAGACTTACCTGCGAACACTGGGACCTATAACTCAATTTACAGATACCTTGAAGCTGAAAGAGTGTTTGCAGAGCCTACACTCTGGGATGTGTTACAGGCACAAGGAAGTTCATGAGCTAAGACAGGCCACTAAATCTAGCTAAGATGGCTCAACAAAAATGAGAGTTCTCAGGCCTGCGCAGAACCTGTGACCAAGTTGCTGTTAGCCATAAACACCTGCATTGTGGGAGCTATTTGAACTTGAGAGAAAAATCCCCTAATTAAAAGGCACCTAAGCCCAAATTCTGCATAACAATTTGCTCTGGAGCATGTTAAACTCACAGATTTCTGGACTTCAGATATCCTAATGTCAAGAGTGTCATCGGGGCACAGGAATCTACATTTAAGAAGCTTCCTAGGATGGACGATTACTCAGATATATAAATAGAACAAACTCCTGATATAAGCAGCAACATGAACAAATCTCAGAAACAAGATTCTGAGCAAAAGAAACCAGACACAAAAGGGTACACACTGTGTGTGTGTGTGTGTGTGTGTGTGTGCGCGCGCGCGTGCGCATATCTATATATACACACACATATACATAACATATAAAGTATGTGAGTATATATATTATATATATATATAAAGTTATAGAATGAATACAACTCACCAATAGTTATAGAAATCAGGTCAGTGGTTGTATAGGGCAGGAGGTTAGGTGGATTGACTGTAATGGGGCATAAGAGAACTTTCCAGTGTGATAGTAATATTCTACATTTTTATTGGAGTGGCAGCTACATGGGTGTATACATTTGTCAAAACTCATGTAACTGTACACTTAAACTATGTACATTTAATTGCACATAAATTGTACCTTGATAAAGCTGATTTAATAAAACAGACTTCCTAGGTGATTCAAACATACATCTGGGTTTGGGAGCCACTGATCCTTTGCTACTGGAGAATGACCAGATCATAAGTGCACTTGAGCCACACTGGGGCTCCTGTGTGGCATTTTTATTTCCATTGACAGAACTTCTGAGCCCCAGGGCACCTTCCAGACCAAGTTGTCTGACTTCTAGGTTTTCTATATGTGTTAGTCAGGGCTCTCTAGAAGGACAGAACTAATAAGATATGTGGATATCTGAAAGGGAGTTTATTCAGGAGAATTGACGCACACGATCACATGGTAAAGTCCCACCATAGGCCGTCTGCAAGTCGAGGAGCAAGGAAGCCAGTAGTGGATCCGTCTGAGTCCCAAAACCTCAAAAGTAGGGAAGCCGACAGTCCAGCCTTCAGTCTGTGGCAGAAGGCCCGAGAGCCCCTAGCAAACCACTGGAATAAGTCCAAGAGTCCAAAAGCTGGAGAACTTGGAGTCTGATGTTTGACAGCAGGAAGCATCCAGCACAGGAGAAAGACGAAGGCTGGAAGACTCAGCAAGTCTGCTCTTCCATCTTCTCCTGCCTGCTTTACTCTAGCTGTGCTGGCAGCTGATTAGATTAAGGCTGGGTCTACCTCTCCCAGCCCACTGACTCAAATGTTAATCTCCTTTGGCAACACCCTCACAGACACACCCAGAAACAATACTTTGCATCCTTCAATCCTAATCAAGTTGACACTCAATATTAACCATCACACTATATGCAAAACCTGAAGCTCAGAAAGGTTGAGAGACTTTTCCAAAGTCACACAGTAAAATACCAGCAGATATCAGATCTGAATTTCTGACAGCTTTTGCTATTCTCAGTATCACACTGCATCCAAAGGAAGAAGAATGAGAAGTGGAGAGCAGATGCTCCTTGCTCTGATTTTGCTCATTTACCCTTCATTACCATCTACAGGATGGAGCTACCTGGTTACCTGAGCCAAGGAAATAGAATACAGTCCAATTTTATAAGGAATGGCTGAAAGACTTTGGTTTCAGACTTGTTTATTTACTCATTCAACGAATAACTAACCAATATTTGTTGAGTGCTTTCCAGTCACAGTTTAAGGCACAAAAGCCAGTAGTGAATAAAACACACAAGATCTCTGCCTTCAAAGAGCCTATTATCATCAACAATAAAGAAATAAGCAAATACATGAACAAGAAAATTTCAGATGGTGGAAAGTGCTTGAAGAAAACAAACAAGGTAATTGATAGAATAACTGCAAAGGAGGGTCTATTTTAGCTGGGCTTTTCAGAACAGGCTGTGCTTGAGATAGTGACAGCGAGGAGCATGAAATATGGCTGGAGATGGTGGAGAGACTGAAGGCAGCTATCTCAAACACGTCAAGAGTTGTCATGTAGAGAAGTGTGCTTGCCTCATGCTGACTCAGAAGGTGAAGTGAGAAAAAATCTGAGTGCAAGACAGAGGTTGAATTCAGATCAGTTTAGGGAAGAACTTTCCAACCTAGAAGAAAAGGAATTAATATTTACTTGAAGCGTACTATGTCCTAGCTTCCTTATTTGTAATATTTTGTTTAATGCTTTAAAAAACTGTAGGTGGTAAGTGAAACAATATCTATTGGAAGGAGCGATCTCCCCCTCTCAAGAAGTATGCATGCTCCCTGGCTAAGATAGAGACAGATGAGTGAGGGGTTCCTTAACCTTGCGGATCCGTGCCCCTGCAGATGCTGCCCTAATTATGTCATAGAAACCAATGGAAAAAGGAAATCAGATTCCCCAGATTCCACCCCCGCCCTCGCCCCAGGTAGTGAAAAGTTAGTGAGACTTCTTGAAAAACAATAGGGTGTTTCCAGGTTAACTAAGCTTTAACCTTTAACCAAATTCTCAGGAAGGGCTTCCCTGAATATTCTCCCTGTGGAATGCAGCAGAATGGCACTCTAATGCCTCCCTCAAAGAGAAAGTGATAAGGCCATGAGCTGCTCTTGAGGATGAATACCAGCAGGAGTGGGAAGGGTGCTGAGCTACCTGTGACCTATAGAAACTCTGCCTGGCTCACTTCCCTTCATTAAGAGAAAATGTGCTTGATTCACTTCAGGAAAATGAGATTATTTATGAGAAAGAAGTACCCTTGATTGGAGGCTCTTAAACAAGTGGCTTTCCAGAGAGAACAGTTAAGTCTCCACCACAGACAGCCCTGGGAAGAAAAAGACAGCCCTAGATATTTTGGATAATTTGGGCATTGACCTTCCTGAGGACTAGTGCAAGGAATGAAGTAAATGAGCTCGATTCCTTTCATTCTGTGAGTCATAGCTTCGTCGAAATTACTCAATTGTTGATCCCACTTGGCTCCACATGGAAGGCAAAGTTCAAGCTATAGTACAGGTAGCAACATGATCCGTGTACAATTGTGCAAAACACAAAATTCCCATAGGCCAGGCACACTCCCATTGCCTTTGGATGGTGGCTCATGAAGATACAACCATGTCCTCTGTCTTTTGTCCTATCCTAAGTTGTTATCTCTTAGGCCATAAACTACTCAAAGGCCCAGTCTTCCCTTCTTTCTAGCACCATGCCTGGCAGAGAGAGAGACAAAAGGCACCTGATTAGTGTATGATAAACGAATAAAGTTTCATAAGTCCTACTTTTCAGATCCTAATAATAGCTCCCAGTGCCCGGGAGTATGCTGAACACTTTACAGGTATTACTGCATTTACTCCTTAAAACAACCCTGTGAAATGAGTACTATTGCCATCATTATTGTTTGAATCATCACTATTTTCACATGAAGAAAGATCTAGACTTGAAGCCACTATGCTATAATGCAGGTTGGTTTTTACCCTGTTGATGTGGGATGTGCCACAGGCAGCATGTGGCAAACCTGGAGACTGCTTTGTCCCAAACCAGAGTCAATGTCTCAACTTACACCATTGCCAGTTTCTTAGTAATTTGGGCACTACGTGGGTAGAGGTGACACTGTTGAATAGAGAGAAAAAAGCCAAAAGGCAGGAGTAACTTTTCTGCCTCTGATTTTCCCTTGCTCTTCTCTGTTTTCCAGTGCTACCAAGGGGCATACAGACTGAAATCTCCATATTAAAGTGAATCCACAACTTGTAATAACCAGTGTGTGGGGGAGTCTAGGATGGCAGACTAGGGTTTTGATATCTAATAGCAAAAGATTTTTTGCTTCTAACTTGATAAGGTGTGAAGACTTTTAGCACTTTATATATGAAGCCTACATCTCAATTTATTTTTAAAGTGTGACCATTTCAGAGTTTACTAAGTGCTAGACACCATGCCAAACCCATTCGGTGCATTATCTCAATTAATTCTCAGGACAACAAACAGCCCTACCAATTTAAATTGTTTTCCTTTAGCTTCAATGTAACGTATTGGCCTGTGGGGAAATGAGCAGGTAGTGGTGACAGCTAAGGGCTGGGCACTCAGCTACAGACAGGTGGAATAAATTTAAAAGTTTTGGCAGGTGATTTTCATCAAACAATGCAAAAAGAACTGTCTCCTTGACAACCTGCATGTCCGTCTTGGTCAACTCCTGATGAACCAAGACAGTCACAGGACTTCAGAACCCTATGCAGCCATGGGGAGGAACCACACTTGGTTCTGAGCTAGCAAATCTTTCACCTCAAAGAGTGCATAACCCAAGAGAGAGATAAGTTATCTGTTTTACAGCAGGAAACACACACACACACACACACACACACACACACACACACACAGATCTGGGTTTCAGTTTCATCTTTAAAAACTAGGGTTCCTGAACTTCTTCATCAGGCAAAGCCATCACAAACCTACAGACCACCTTTTCTTGAATTAGAAGAAGACACCCCTTTTGAGAAAACTTAGTGAGTTTGGTGCAGTGCTTGGTGAGCAGACTGTAACGCTTGTGTCCTTTGCTCCAGGATCACGCAGCTCTGTGCCACAGTCCATATCTCAGTGAAAAAAAGCACAGGTCTGTATTTCATTTCTGACTTGTCCTGTTGGCAGACACCCCCAAACAACCTGCATAAGTGTATGCAACAGGGCCACCATCAGGAACAATGTGAATGTCCCAAAGTGACAGTCCGGGGCCCCAGCCCACCCACAGATGGGTTTTGTTATCCCTAATGATGTTTGAAAGAATTTGAATTGCTTGTCAACCTTAAAAATTAGGAGATTTCATACAAAATCTAGAGTTCAAGCTTTTCTTGAAAAATGAGATCTGGGCACACTGGCTCTACATTCCTGCATTGCAAATTAAATTGGAGCTAAGCAGTGCTGCCTATTTATGTATGTACTTAAAAATTTTTATAGTATATTTTAGATTTCATTCTCCATTAGCATATAAAAAGCTACCATTTTATTTTTATTATTATTATTTGTATCAGGTTTTTAAATAGATGGTCCTTGTGTTTGGCATAAAATCTAAAAGATATGAAATGGTCTATACACACTGTTCCCCAGTTCCCCAGATGCAACTGCTCCAACCATTCTTATGTGTCCTTTCAAAGGTATTGCATCCACACACTACAAAAACATATGCAGTATTTCTAAGACACCATCAATTGCAAGATGCACCATTATTTTGTGTTCACTAAGAAAAAAAATTCCAATAAAATCATGACATTGTGCCTTAATGATGGTCCTGCCTGATCCATACATCAGTCAAGTCAGCCCCTCATTGCTTTGAAATTTGTTTCATCTATTCTAAGGGGCTGGACATTTTTCCTGCCTTCTGTTGGACCACTTGGAGTATGGCAGCCAATCCTTTTACATGTATCTCAGTAAGAAAATGTAACATGGGGCCGGGCGCGGTGGCTCATGCCTCTAATTCCAGCACTTTGGGAGGCCGAAGCGGGTGGATCACGAGGTCAGGAGATTGAGACCATCCTGGCCAACATGGTGAAACCCCGTCTCTACTAAAAATACAAAAATTAGCTGGGCATGGTGGCACGTGCCTGTAATCCCAGCTACTTGGGAGGCTGAGGCAGGAAAATCTCTTGAACCAGGGAGTCAGAGGTTGCAGTGAGCCGAGATCGCACCACTGCACTCCAGCCTGGCAACAGAATGAGACTCCATCTCAAAAAAAATAAAGAAAATGTAACATGGCTTTATCTACTTGTGGATATCTTCATTTCGTAGGTCTTAAAAAAGACTTAGTTGTTGCTTTGATAGATATGTAATTGATTGATGATATAAATTGATTAAATTGATTCCCTGAATTTATTTTGGTGTAAAAAGTAAGGTACGCATCTATTTTTTCTAGCAGCTGCTTTCAGTTTACTACAGTTCCCTTCCACTTTCAACTGTCTTACCTTAGAGAGCTTCACTTGTGTTACTTGTTTGGCACCCTAATAGACATTTGAGTTTATAACACCTGGACTATTGGACAAATGGCTGGACAATGCAATTAGCAATCTTACTGGTAGTCCACTTGCTATGAGAGGTGGTGTGGTTTCAGCACAGGAAGCAAAGTCCTCTAAATAAGACCTATATAGCTATGCACATGCTTTCAACTGGGAGAGCCCTTTAGGAGCCAGCACATGGCTAGTGTTGCTGGGGTTACCTTACCTGGGGGCTTCTAACTTCTGGCTTGATTCATCTCCCTCCTTCTTTTAGATGATGTGTCTACATCACCGGTAGGCAATGTAAGGAAAGCAAGTAAGATTCGTATCAATACAAGACAACCTAATAAAAAGCAAAGCTAAAATTGAAGCCTGGGAATAGGCTTCTGCATTTACATTAAATATGTGATAATTTTGGTGCAAATTGACATGGTTGTTCTAAGACAGACACATCTTAAAGTATGCCTTGTACTCAGAAGATGTGCAGTAGACAAATTTTAGAGGTGTGAGTTCTGGGCCTTCCTCTACTAGGGTACCTTGTGCCTCTTTGAATAAGCTTGTCTCTGACACTTCGCTTATTGGCCTATTCTATGTAGAGATGGTTTAGACCAGAATCTAGATCTAGGATCTAAAGTTCTTTGAACAACAGATGTCTTTGAAATACACGTAATTTAATATAAACTTTCAGAGCATTCACAGGCTCCCTGATGTCCATCTATTCATTTCTATACATGACTGTCCAACGCTTGCCTTTATACACATTCTAAGTTTCACTTATTTTTTCTTGTGTCACTGTCACAGAGACAACATTTAACAGTGCTTAGCGGCTGCACATTAAAGATATTTTTCAATCTTCTATTCCTTGAGAGAGTAATAACCAAACAGTCTTGTAGAGGATATTCATGGCCCTGGCATCTGATATTAGGGCACAAACACCTTCCACTTACAGAGCAAATATGCCAGATACTCACTTTCCTAGCACCTTTGCAGCTAGGGCCTGAATCTCAGTTTTGTTTCTGCCCTGGATTTAGAATTGGAAACTGGTAACACAAAGGAGCAAGACCACTCGCAAGATGTCCTGGCGAACGTGGCCACAGTGACAACATCTCCCATCTGCCTCCGGAGGCTGCAGTGGTGGCTGTTTTGATAGCAGTGCCCAGTGTGCATTAGAGATGTTAGCTGTACAGTCTGCAGCATGTGGGCCCAATTCCAGGGACCGTGGTCTCTTTGAGGGAGAGGTTTACTGTGGCATTTTGAGCATTGTCCTTGGCTGATTCTCTGGCCCAACTCAAGATTCTGCAAGTTACCAATATCCTTTCATAAATTCCTTTTCTGCTTAAATTAGCTACAAGCGGTTTCTATTGCTTACAACTGAAAAGCTGGGTGACACAAACATCACCCTTCTTAAATGGATACAATGACAGAAATTATTTTTCAAAAAAGTACTTCTTGAAAAGTTAGCTGTCACGGTAATTTGGGAGAAGGGGAACAGAATGCTGAAATGTACAACTTAATGTAACTATTTTACTCTACTTCCCTTTAGCACCTTAAGAAACTGGCAAAAGTAACAGCAACAAGGATAATATTAAATAATGAGAAATCCCTTGAGCGATTCTTCCACTATTCCATCAGTTACTTTGACGGATTTAATGATGCATTTATTTATGCTTCATCAAGCAGTTGGAATTTGTCAACAAAACAGTATGCATAAGTCATACGTACTTTTTTGAATGCCTATTATGTGTCATTATCACTGCTAGATGTTGGGGCTGATTCATAGAAGAAAGAGATTGGTTTTCCCTTTGAAGTAAGCAAGAAAGTTTAACATAATGCTGTAAGTGTTACAAGAGTGCAGCAGGAAGAAACAACAAGTTCAGCCTATTTTGGGTAATCAGAGAAAAATGTTTATCATCTGGGTTGTACTTTTTTCAATAGACTGAAGTGTGGTCAGGTTGTGTCTCTGAGAGTGTGTGAGGTTTCCAAGGCAATAAATAGTGGGAAATGGAATTTTATCTTTGTTATTCTAAAAAGCCACTGTAATGTTTGTGCAAAGTTTTCTTAGTGCTCCCTAAGTTTTCCTGTTCCAAAGGGACTAAAGAATTTTTGTTTAGGCTCTAGCAAGCCTAAATTCTGTTGGATTTGATTGTTGTGCCCTCCCAAAGAAGTGGCATGAGTCCCAACAATTTGGAAATGTTCAGCCTGTTTTGTTTTGTGCACCACTGCCTTGATCCATGGTAAGAACTTACCTGGAAAGCAGGTGTTCGCTCAGGTCTGATGGGGCTATAGGACAGATTTGATAAGGCTACTGATGGGACAGAAGCTCTGCTGTCACAGGAGGCTTGCATAAATCTTGCTGCTTTGAGGGGTTGAGGGAAGCTGTGTGTAGGGAGAGAAGGCAGTTAGTTCGCCAGCAGTTCTGTCACCAGGGCCACCTAAAGAAGGAAGCAGGCATTTGCGGTAATAAGGTGAAATGTTTATAGTCTTGTTTCTGACCATAACCACATTGAAAGCTTTTCCTGGAGAATCAAGCAGAAAACTTCTCAGGCCTCAATCCTCATCTCCTGTATTTCCCATGCCAAATATTGCTTCAATTTTTCAGGAATGACTTTACTCTACTATGAAAAAAAAAATCCCAAGGAAATAAGAGAAACTTGTGAACAAAACCTGCAACAAGGGATCCTGCTGCTAAGAGAGTTAAAAAGAAAATACAACTGTTCTGAGAGTTCAATTTAAGATCAGTGTTTGGAATGAAAAGCACATTTTTGCACAGCAGCCTAGTTATAAATGGTGATGGGGTTCCCAGATGGGCCAAAAAAGGACTACTTAACTCACAATGTTACTGTAAAATCAATCATCTTGTCTTAGCCCTGTATATGTTCATACCATTTGCTTTTTTCACTATATACATTCATTTTCTTTTTCTTTTTCTTTCTTTCTTTTTTTTTTTTTTTTTTTTTGAGATGGTGTTTCTGAGTTTTGCTTTGTTGCCCAGGCTGGAGTGCAATGGCACAGTCTCAGCTCACTGCAACCTCTGCCTCCCGACTTCAAGCAATTCTCCTGCCTCAGCCTCCCAAATAGCTGGGATTTTACAGGCACCTACCACTATGCCCAGCTAATTATTGTATTTTTAATAGAGACAGGGTTTTACCATGTTGGCCAGGCTGGTCTCAAACTCCTGACCTCAGGTGATCTGCCCATGTTGGCCTCCCAAAGTGCTGGGATTACAAGTGTGAGCCACCATGCCCAGCCTTATACATTCATTTTCTACCATAAGCCTCATAGGAAGATATTTTTTAAATAGAGAAAAGTATGAAGAATGAAGAAAAAACTCCCCAAAGTCCACCACCGAAAGATAACCATAAAATACAATTTATTCCAGTTATTCAACATTTTTAACAGATTTATTGAAGTATGATTAACATACAATGAACTGCAATATTTAAAATGTATAATTTGATAAGTTTGACTTGTGTGTATGCCTGTGAAACTATCACATCACCACAATCAAGATAATGAGCAGATCATAAACCTCTCCCCGCAAATCCTCATATCCCTTTGTAAGCGCTCCCTCTGGTCCCCATCCCCAGGCAAACACTGATCTGCCTTCTCCCACTATAGATTAGGTTGCATTTTCTATAATTTTATATAAATGGATTTATAGAATATGTATTTCTTTTTGTCTAGCTTCTTTCACTCAGTGTAAGTTTTTGAGATTCATCGACACTGATAACCTATACCAATAGCTTATTTCTTTTTATTGCTGAGTAGTATTCTGTTGAATAATTATACAATTTATTTATCTATTCATCTATTAGTGGATATTTGGCTTTGTGATGTTTTTTTCCAACACCAACAAGCAATTCTTCAGTTCTCAGACACCAACTTGATGTCCAAAAATTCAATTCAATTCTGACACTAATTACCTAGGGTTAGCACAGATCCTACAGGTTAAGAACTCATCCTACAAGACTGCTGCCACTTCAGACTCCAGCTACAAATGAGGTCCTCAGGCAACTACATTTCTGCCAGACTGACTACAAGTTCAGGGATTCTCACAACCCCCCTTCCAAGTCCTGTAATTTGTTAGAACAACTCACAGAATTCAGGAAAGCACTTACGGTTACCAATTTATTATAAAGGGAACAACTCAGAAACAGCCACACGGAAGAGGTGAGTAGGGCAAGGGGTGGGAGCGGTGGGCAGAGCCACCCTCCCAGCACCTCAGTGTGCTCACCAACTAGGAAGCTCTCCAAACTCCTGTTGTTTAGGGGTTTCTAATGGAGGTTTTATGATGCAGAAATAGTTGATTAAATCATTGGCTGTTGGCAATTGAACTCAATTTCCAGTCCCCTCTTCTCCCAAGAGGTTGGCGTGTTGGGAAGGGAGAGACTGAAAGTTGCAACCCTGTAATCATGTGTTGGTCTTTCTGGTAACCAGTCTCATCCTGAAGCTATCTAGGGGCCTCACGATGAGTCACTTCATTCGCATAAACTCAGGTAATGTGGAGAGGGACTTGTATTTTTTTTTTTTAATTTCTTAATTTTTTAAAAACTTTTCTTTTAGGTTCAGGGGTGTGTGTGCAGGTTTGTTATATAGGAAAACTTCTGTCACATGGGTTTGTTGAACAAATTATTTTGTCACCCAGTTATTAAGCCTAGTACCCAATTGTCATTTTTTTCTGCCCCTCTCCCTCCTCCAAAACTCCACCCTCAGGTAAGCCCCAGTGTGTGTTGTTCCCCTCTCATCCATGTGTTCTCACAACTTAGCTCCCACTTATAAGTGAGAACATGTGGTATTTGGTTTTCTGTTCCTGTGTTAGTTTGCTAAGGATAATGGCCTCCAGCTCCAACCATGTTCCTGCAAAGGATGTAATCTTGTTCTTTTTTATGGCTGCATAGTATTCCATGGTTATATGTGCACACTCTCTTTATCTAGCTTACCGTTGAAGGGCATTTAGGTTGATTCTATGTCTTTGCTATTGTAAATAGTACTGCAATGAACATATGAGTGCATGTGTCTTTATGATAGAATGATTTATATTCCTTTGGGTATATACCCAGTAATGGGATTGCTGGGTCGAATGGCAGTTCTGTTTTTAGGTCTTTAAGGAATCGCCACACTGCTTTCCACAATAGTTCAACTAATTTACACTCCCACCAATAGTGTGTAAATGTCCCCTTTTCTCCATAACCTTGCCAGCAACTGTTATTTTTTGACTTTTTAATAATACCCATTCTGATCTGTGTGAGATGGTATCTCATTGTGGTATTGATTTGCATTTTTTTCATATGCTTGTTGGCAGCATGTATGTCTTCTTTTGAAAAGTGTCTGCTCATGTCCTTTGCCCACTTTTTAATGGGGCTGTTTGTTTCTTGTAAATTTGTTTAAGTTCTTTATAGATGCTGGATATTAGGTCTCTCTGAGATACATAGTTTGCAAATGTTTTCTCTCATTCTGTAGGTTGTCTGTTTACTTTTTTGATAGTTTCTATGGCTATGCTGACACTCTTAAGTTTAATTAGATCCCATTTGTTAATTTTTGCTTTTGCTTAAATTGCTTTTGGCATTTTTGATATGAAATCTTTGCCCATTCCTATGTCCAGAATGAAATTTCCTAGGTTATTGTTCAGGGTTTTTATAGTTTTGGGTTTTACGTTTAAGTCTTTTAATCCAGCTTCAGTTGATTTTTGTATATGGTATAAGGAAGGGGTCAAGTTTCAATCTCTGCATATGGCTAGACAGTTATCTCAGCACCATTTATTGAACAGGAAGTCCTTTCCTCATTGCTTGTTTTTATCAGCTTTGTCAAAGATCAGATAGTTGTAGGTGTGTGGCCTTGTTTCTGGGCTCCCTATTCTATTCTATTGGTCTGTGTGTCTGTTTTTGTGCCAGTACCATGCTGTTTTGGTTTCTGTAGCCCTATAGTATAGTCTGAAGTCAGGTAGTGTGATGCCTCTTGCTTTGGTCTTTCTGCTTAGGATTGCTATGGCTATAAGGGCTATTTTTGGTTCCATCTTAATTTTAAAACAGTTTTTTCTAGTTTTTGTGAACAAAGTAAATGGTAGTTTGATAGGAATAGTGTTGAATCTGTAGACTGCTTTAGGCAGTATGGTCATTTTAACAATATTGATTCTTCCTATGCATGAGCATGAAATGGTTTTCCATTTGTTTGTGTCATCTCTCATTTCTTTCAACAGTATTTTATAATTCTCATAATAGAGATCTTTCATCTCTCTGGTTAGCTGTATTCCTAGGTATTTTATTCTTTTCATGGCAATTGTGAGTGGGATTGTTTTCCTGATTTGGCTCTCTGCTTGGCTGTTGTTGGTGTATAGGAATGCTAATGACTTTTGTACTTTGATTTTGTATCCTAAAGTTTTGCTGAAGGTGTTTATCAGCTGAAGGAGCTTTTGGATTGAGACTGTGGGGTTATCTAGATATAGAATCATGTCGTCTGCAAACAGAGATAGTTTGACTTCCCTTCTTTCTATTTGGATGCCCTTTATTTCTTTCTCTTGCCTGATTCCTCTGGTCAGGACTTCTGATACTATGTTGAATAGGACTAATGAGAGAGGGCATCCTTCTTTTGTGCTGATTTTCAAGAGGAATGCTTCCAGCTTTTGCTCATTCAGTATGATGTTGGCTGTTGGTTTGTCATAGATGGCACTTATTATTTTGAGGTATGTCCCTTCAGTACCAAGTTTATTGAGAGTTTTTAACATGAAATTATGTTGAAGTTTATCAAAATCCTTTTCTGCATCTATTGAGATAATCATATGGATTTTGTCTTTAATTATCTTCATGTGATGAATCATATTTATTGATTTGCATATAGTGAACTAACCTTGCATCCCACGGATAAAGCCTATTTGATCATGGTCGATAAGCTTTTTGATGTGCTGCTGAATTTGGTTTGCCAGTATTTTGTTAAGAATTTTTGCATGGATGTTCATCAAGGATATTGGCCTGAAGTTTTCTTTTTTTATTGTGTCTCTGCCAGATTTTGTATCAGGATGATGCTGGCCTCACAGAATGAGTTAGAAAGGAGTCCTTCCTCCTCAACTTTTTGGAATAGTTTCAGTAGGAATGGTACCAGCTCTTCTTTGTACATCTGGTAGCATTAGGCTGTGAATCTGTCTGGTCCTGGACTTTTTTTTTGGTAGGCTATTTACTACTGATTCAATTTCAGAGCTCACTCTTGGTCTGTTCAGGGATTCAGTTTCTTCCTGGTTCAGTCTTGGGAGGCTGTATGTGTCCAGGAATTCATCCATTTCTTCTAAATTTTCTAGTTTGTGTGCATATGGGTGTTTATTATAGTCTCTGATGGTTATTTGTATTTTTGTAGGGTCAGTGGTAATATTTCTTTTGTCATTTCTAATTGTGCTTATTTGGGGTCTTCTTTCTTTTCTTCTTTATTAGTCTAGCTAGTGGTCTCTCTTATCAATTTTTTTCAAAAAACCAGCTCCTGGATTTGTTGATCTTTCTAATTTTGTTTTTCAGTTGTGGCAGGCAGTGGTTGAGACAGAGTCTCTGTCACCCAGGATGGAGTACAGTGATACAATCTCAGATCACTGGAATCTCTGCCTCCCAGATTCAAGTGATTCTCATGCCTCAGCCTCCTGAGAAGCTGGGATTACAGACATGCACCACCATGCCTGGCTAATTTTTGTATTTTTAATAGAGACAGGGTTTCACCATGTTGCCCAGGCTGGTCTTGTACTCCTGACCTCAAGTGATCCACCCACCTTGGCCTCCTAAACTTCTGGGATTACAGGCGTGAATGGTTTTTTGTGTCTCAATCTCCTTAAGTTCAGCTCTGAGTTCAGTTATTTCTTGTCATTTGCTTGCTTTGGTTTGCTCTTGCTTCTCTCGTTCTTTTTGTTATGATGTTAGGTCATTAATTTGCAATCTTTCTAATTTTTTGATGTGTGCATTTAGTGCTATAAATTTCCCTCTTAACACTGTCTGAGCTGTGTCCCAGAGATTCTGGTATGTTGTATCTTTATTCTCCTTAGTTTCAAAGAACTTCTTGATTTCTGCCTTAATTTCATTATTTACCCAAAAATCATTCAGGACTGGGTTATTCAATTTCCATGTAACTGTATGGTTTTGAGCGATTTTTTTCCTTTTTTTTTTGAAATGGAGTTTCACTGTTTTTGCCCAGGCTGGAGTGCAATGGCACAATCTTGGCTCACCGCAACCTCCGCCTCCCGGGTTCAAGTGATTCTCCTACCTCAGCCTCCTGAGTAGCTGGCATTACAGGCATTTGCCACCATGCCCAGCTAATTTTGTATTTTTTAGTAGAGACAGGGTTTCTCCATGTTGGCCATGCTGGTCTTGAACTCCCGACCTCAGGTGATCCACCCTCCTCGGCCTCCCAAAGTGTTGAGATTACAGGAGTGAGCCACCGCGCCCGGCCTTGAGCTATTTTCTTCATCTTGATTTCTATTTGAATTGCACTGTGGTCCAAGAGAGTGGTTGGTATGATTTCAGTTCTCTTGCATTTGCTGAGGATTGTTTTATGTCTGATTATGTGGTTGATTTTAGAGTATGTGCCATGTGGTTATGAGAAGAATGTATATTCTTTTGGTTTTGGGTGGAGGGTTCAGTAGATGTCTATCAGGTCCATTTGGTCCAGCGTTGAGTTCAGTTCCTGAATATCTTTGTGAATTTTCTGCTTCAGTGATCTGTCCGATACTGTCAGTGGGATGTTGAAGTCTGTCACTGTTATTATGTGGGAATCTAAGTCTCTTTGAAGGTCTTTAAGAACTTGCTTTATGAATGTAAGTGCTACTGTGTTGAGTGCATATATATTTAGGATAGTTAGGTCTTCCTGTTGAATTGAACACTTTACCACCATGTAATGCCCTTCTTTGCCGTTTTTTGATCTTTGTTGGTTTAAAGTCTGTTTTCTCTGAAATTAAGATTGCAACCCCTGCTTCTTTCTGTTTTTTATTTACTTGGTTGATTTTTCTCCATCTCTTTATTTTGAATCTGTGGGTGTCATTGCATGTGAGATGGGTTTTTGAAGACAGCATACCAATGGGTCTTTCTTCTTTATCCAGCTTGCCACTCTGTGCCTTTTAATTGGGGCATTTAGCTTGTTTGCATTCAAGGTTAGTATTGATATTTGTGGATTTGAACTGTCATTGTGTTGTTAGCTGTATATTATGCCAACTTGTTTTATAGCATTACTGGTCTGTGTACTTCAGTGTATTTTTGTAGTGGTTGGTAACAGTCTTTCTTTTCCATATTTAGTGCTTCCTTCAGGACCTCTTGCAAGGCTAATCTGGTGGTAATGAATTCCCTAAGCATTTGCTTGTCTGACAATAATCTTATTCCTCCTTCACTTATGAAGCTTAATTTGGCTGGATATGAAATTCTTAGTTGGAATTTCTTTTCTTTAATAATGTTGAATATTGGCCCCCAATCTCTTCTGGCTTGTAGGGTTTCTGCTGAGAGGTCCACTGTCAGCCTGATGAGCCTCCGTTTTTAGGTGACCTGACCTTTCTCTCTAGCTGCCTTTAATGTTTTTTTCTTTCATTTTGAACTGGAGAATCTGATGATTTGTGTCTTGGAGATACTCTTTTGAAGCATTTTGTGGGGGTTCTCTGCATTTCCTGAATTTGAATGTTGGTCTCTTTAACTAGGTTGGGGAAGTTGTCATCGATATCCTGAAATATGTTTTTTAAATTATTTCCATTCTCCTCATCTCTTTCAGGGATGCCAGTGAGTTGTAGATTCAGTCTCTACATAATCCCAAATTTCTTGGAGGTTTTGTTTATTCCTTTTCATTCTTTTCTCTTTATTCTTGTCTAACTGTCTTATTTCAGAAAGCCAGTCTTCAAGCTCTGAGATTCTTTCCTCAGCTTGGTCTATTCTGTTATTAATATCTGCAATTGCATTATTAAATTCTTCTAGTGTGTTTTTCAGCCCTATCAGATTGGTTACATTCTTTTTTATACTGGCTATTTTGTCTGCCAGCTCCTGTATCATTTTATTGTGATTCCTAGCTTCCTCAGATTGGGTTTCAATGTTCTTCTGAATCTCTATAATCTTCACTCCTATCCATACTCTGAATTCTATTTCTGTCATTTCAGCCATCTCAGCCCGCTTAAGAATCCTTGCTGGAGAGGTAGTGTAGTCACTGGGAGAAAAGAAGACACTCTGGCTTTTTGAGTTGTCAGAGTTCTTGTGCTGGTTCTTTCTCATCTTTGTGGGCCAATCTTCCTTCAATCTTTGAAGGTGCTGTCCTTTGGATATTTTTTTTCTTTTATCCTACTTGATGACATTGGAGGCTTGATTGTGATATAAGGTGAGTTCAGTCAACTGGTCTCATTTCTGGAAGATTTTAAGGGGCCCAGGCTCAGCATAGGATTCCTGGACTGCATGCCGTTACTCTGGGGGACTGGTATCAGGGCCTGGCTTTTATCTCTGGCTCCTCAAGGTTAGGAACATGCTGCACTGGAGGGGTCAAAGTGCTTCCAAACTGAATGGCTATTCGCAACATCCATGCCAATGGATGGTGACAAGCAAAGCACTTCATAGGGTGATGGCATCAGGATCTGTCCTTGTTCACATGTGCCAGCAGCAGTGGCAGCAGAAAAGTGGTAAGATGCATGCTCATCAGCTGTGGCTGGGTGCTAGTGGGTGCTGGGTTGCTGGCTTCCATGAGGGTGTTCACAGCAGCTGCAGGGCAGCACGGCTGGGTGGGGATGCCATTAGCAACTGTGCACGTGTTCACAGTTGTGGTGGTGTTAGCATAGGGGTGGGGTGCTGGTGGGCACAAGACTGTGTGCACCCTCTGTGAGCATTCCCACAGGCAGCAGTGGCTGGGTCCACTGTTCTCCATGACTCGTTTTGCACCAGTGGCAGTGTTGGCTCAGGGACAGGTGCTGGCAGGCATGGGGCTGGTGGGCTCCATGCCCACCAAAGTTCTGATGACAGTGGTGGTGTGGCCAGAGGATTGGGATAGTGGGAGGTGGATGGGGGGAGGGGAGGGGGGAGGAAGAAAGGTATGGTCACACCAGCAGGATGCACGTGCACATGCACACTGGTTGGGAAGGGAAGACAAGGTCGCCCCAGGTGTACGCATACCAGCAAAAGGATGGTGCAGGGAGGTCATGGGCAAGTGCATGCAGGCAAAGTGGCACAGGGGGAGGCTGCATCGGGGGCAGCACAGGTGAGCTGGTGCATGTTCATGGGGCCCACTCTGCTGGAGCACTCTGCCGGTCAGGTGGTCCATCAGCACAGGAGCTATGATGCAGGCCCCCAAGGCACCAGAGGCTGCCTTGCAAGCAGGCACATCCAGGCTGGGTCCCAGAAGAGGCCAGCAGACCAAGGGGTGCTCAGGTCAAAATGGCCCCGTCTCATGGGCAAAACCTCCCTGCAGAGTTCAGGTCCAACAATTCCCCCAAAGCTAAAATATCTTATAGGAATAAGTCGAGCCTAGAGAGATGGGCATCTTGATATCAGGTAGTGATAGTCTCCACATCTGTTCTTTCTCAAAGTTGTTTTAGCTGTTCTGGGTGGTTCTTTGCATTTCCATATGAATTTTTGGATCTGCTTGTCAATTTCTATAAAGAAGTCAACTGGGATTTTGACAGCATTGCATTGAATCTGTGGGTAAATTTGGGAAGTATTGTCATTTTAACAATATTGTCTTCTCACCTATGAACATGTAACACATTTTCGTTCATTTACTCCTTATTTCAAAAATGTTTTGCAGTTTTCAGTGCACAAACCTTGCATTTCTGTTGTTAAATTTACTCCTAAGTGTTTTATTCTTTTTATTCTATTGTATAAAAATATATAAAAATATAAAAATACAACTGGTTCTGTAATTGGTCTTGTATCCTGCAACCTTGTGGAAATTTCTTATGACCTCCAATAATGTGTGTGTGTGTGTGTGTGTGTGTGTGTATTTTTTAGGATTTTCTATATACAAGATTGTACCATCTGTGAATAGAGGCAATTTTACCTCTTCCTTTCTGATCTGGATAACTGTTATCCCATTTTCTTGCCTAATTGCCCTGCTTAGATTCTCTGGTACAGTGTTGAATAGAAGCAGTGAGAGCAGATACCCTTGTCTTGTTTCTGATCTTAGAGGAAAAGCACTCAGTCTTTCACCATTACATGTGATACTAGCTGTGGGTTTCTCATAGATGCCCTTTATTAGGTAGAAAAGGTTCCCATCTGTTTTTATTCTCTTGAGTTTTTTAAATCATGAAAAAGTGTTAGACCATTAATTGATCTTTAAAGATTAAACCAGCAGGATTTTTTGTAGATTCTGTATAGACAAGCTGTTTCTAAAATTTATATGGAAGAGCAAATGAGCTAGAATAGCTAAAACATATTCACCATGGTCAGCCTAGGCCAAGTCATCATCACCTGTCATGTGGATTATTTCCAGTCTCCTCCAACTAGTCTCTCTATGACCACCCTTGCCACCTTATAGATTAGTCTTACAGGCAGAGTGACTCTCATTGTACCTAAGCCAAATTCTGTTTCTCTCTTCAGTAATCTCCCACCTCACTCAGAATAAAACCTAACATTCATACAAAGGACCAGATATCCAGTGTCACTTGCCACCTTTCTACCTCTCCCACCTTATCTTCTCCTACTTTTTCCCATGCTTACTCTGCTCAAGCTACGCTGGTCTCTTTACTAAACTCAAATATATAAAGGATACTCCTGACACAGGGCTTTCGTTAGCTCTTCCCTCTGCCTGGAATTTTCTTCCTCAAGATACCCATATGTTTCATTCCTTCATTTCATCAAGCCTCAGCTCAAATGTCGTATTCTCAGAGAAGGTTTTCCTGCTCACTCAATAAAATAGTAATCTTCACTTCTGTCACTTCTGCTATGTTTCTTACTCTAATGTGTTTTTTTTAGTAGTTCTTGCTCCCACTCAACAAATTCAATATTTATATTATCACTTGTTCTTTTTCTACCTCTTCTTCTTAGATATTAGCTTTAAGAGAGCAGAGACATTATCTGCTATATCCCAGAATATTCAACAGTCCTTGGCATTATAATAGATGCCCAGTAAATATTTGTTGACTAAGGGAATGCTTCTGTTTTAAAGAGAATTTTTAAATTTTTGATGTAATCAAACTTAGTAACCTTTTCCCTAATGATTTTTGCTCTTGTGTGTCTTAAGAATAATTTATAAACACCAAAGTCATAAAAAATTGCTGATATTTCCTTCTAATATTCTTGAGCAGTTGTTCATTATTTAGATCTTTTGTACATTTTAATTTTGTACATTTAATTTAGTGATAAGGTATAGGATAAAACATTTTTGTACGTGTAAGATAAAAACTATTTTAATAATGCTTATCGAATTTTTCCTTTTCTTCTAATTTGAAAAGACAATTCTAACATATGCTCTTTCTCTTCATCTTACTTTTTCTCACAATATGTGTATTTCTTTCATCATTAAAAATGTCCCATAAACATCATTTTATTGTTGTGTAGTATTTCAACCTGTGACAATGCCAACATTTATTTAATACTTTTTCAATAATTAGATATTTGACTGTTTCCATTTTTGTTTGTCTAACACTAAAAGGAACATCTATATAAATGAAACGTCATTCGTATTCAATTGTTTACTTAAAACATATTCTTAGAAGTAAAACTGCTTGGTCAAAGAATATGAACATCTAAAGTTCTTATACAAAGTGCAAATTATTCTCCAGAATAGTTAGACCAACTTGCCCTTGTTTGAGCATTTACCAGTAAATGAGAATACAGGTCCCACTATACATTTACCAACGCTAGTATCAAATATCTTTCTCCTTTCTTTGACATTCTTTAAATATTTATATGCTAGGCCCCAGGCTAAGCTCTTTACACAGATAATCTCATTTAAATTCTACAATTCTATCAGATAAGTACAACCATAATCTTCCTTTAACACATAAGAAAATTGAGTCTTCAACAGATTACAGGACTTGGCCAAGGCTACACAGCCAGTGAGTACTAGAGGTGAAACTTCAACCCAGGCCAACTAACACCAGAAGCAGAGCATTTTAACCAGCTCTACTTTTCCTCAAATCTTTACCAATTTAAAAGGCTAAAAAAATGGCTTCTCTTTTAATTTGCATTGCCTTGACTACTAAGGAAGATGAACATTTTATTCTGGGCTAATTGTATTTACTTCTAGATCAATTCTATAGGTAGCAGTAATCTGAGTTCCAATTTGGTCATTAGAAGGTGGTATGCTGGCCTCAGCGTAACTCAGATTTTAGAAGAGTAAGATTTGGATTCGAGTTGCACTTTGTTGGCTCAGCTGTGCGGTCTTGAGCAAGTCACTTAACTACCTGGAGCTTCAGGCTCTTTACTTGCGAGATGAAGGTAGATATGCTTTTTCTCACCAAGTTGTTATGAAGACTGCTGAGATCAAAGGAGTTTAAGCACATAAGCAAACAATGAGATACAAGGCATGAGAAACACTGGGCTAGGAGCTTTCCAGTGTCTCCATTATTCTTCCTATCTCCATGAAATAGGCAGTATCTCCATTTCATAAGTGTGAAAAGTAATTTGACCAAGGTTACACTGGTAGTAAGTGGTAAGAGTACTTCTAAGTGCTTGGCACATAGAAAGTCCTTAGTAAGTGTTCATTCATCCAGGAACACATCACTCTTTGCCCCAGAAGTGGAGATGAAGTCTCCCCAGTTTCTCAAGAGATGAGGGCAGCATTTTTTCAGAGAGAAGAGAAGATCCTTTAAAGGACAATGCTAATATTATGGGAATAATAGGCATCAAAGGAAGAAATAAGAAGATAATCAAATGTTATCCAATTCCTTTCTTTATTTTACCTAAAATTCAGAAAAGATCTAATGACAATCCCCTCAGCAAACACTAAACTTTCCTGCAACAAACCATATACAAGTTGCTCCTACCATGTGGCTTTTAAGCCTCATGCACACCGACTTTTCTAGAGCATTATTCTCACGTGGTTGCTCCTCTTATGCCTCCAGTGCAAATGAGATGGAAGTTAAATAAGAGCTTTCTTACTTTATTGAATTCCCATTGATAAACATCTCCCTTGCAATCGTCTTGGCTATTCTCTCTTGTGGGAGAGACAGAGAGAGAATTAGCTATTGTTTTCTAGATTCAAACCCTCCCTTCTATGTTCTGTGATGCTGCTGTGTCATCTGACACCATGTTACACTCTACAGTAGCTAGCACTAGAGGATGACTGCAAAGTTGGCAGAGGAAGAACTGACTTGCTTCTCCCTATGGCTTCTTGTTGGGTTTCCATGGGCTTCATGGTCCTGCCAGCACAACCCTAACAACACTTCTTTTCCCCATCAACACCAGCAGACAGGCACTCCAATCTCAGATGTCTTTTTCTCTAGGTTTCTAAGTTCTAGAAATTCCAATCTCTTCTTTTGTTCCACAGCCCTAAGGATGGTAGCTGCTTCCTGCAGTCCCTCCTCTGTGATACATCTTTTTGCCTTTTCAATTCTTCAACCCTAGTTGAAGAATATAATCATTCATATTAAATGTTCTTTGTCAAAATAATTAGTGTGGTTTCTGACACTGAGTGCTATCAAGGAGGTGGAAGAGGGTAGGACCAGGAGATTATTAAAATCCTTTCGACAACAAATGTCCATGTTCTTGTACACTGGATTCACTGGAAATCCAGTCACTGGGAATCCAGTCTACAAGATTCAAATCCCACAGTTGCTTCTTCCTAGCTGTGGGAACCTTGGCAATTTTCTCCCAAGCCAGGAATCCCTAAGTTGCAGAAGGGACTTGAGATAACCTGAACTTGGGCCAGTGTGAGGCCCAGGGGAAGGTGGGGAGGTTCCCAGTCTCTGCCTTCCCTTGGCAAGCCTTCAAGCTGCCCAGTGTCCAGTTCTACTCATCCTGGTGCAATCCTGCCAGTGATACCAAACCAGACCCATTCTACCCATCACACAGCATGCAAATCACTGAGAAGACGAGTTTTGCAGCAGAGAAAGAGTTTATTTACAAGGAGCCAAGCAAGGAGGTGGGAGAACAGGTCTAAAATCTACCTCCTTGAAGACAGGGCTTAAGGCTATTTGTAGGGTAAAGAAGCAGGGTGGTCTAAGGTGTGGGGAAATGTGATTGGTAGTGGGGAAAAATTAGGTAATTAGTGGTTTGCACAAGCATAGTTGATGTTCATGGCTCTTCACAGGACTTATGTTCAGAAAATGGTGATGTTAGCATGATTGGAGGGAAGAGTTTTAGGCCCTTTGACATCAAAAGGTCACCTCTTAGGCATTTGCACAGGCCCAGTTGAAGGGTTGGTGGTCTCAACTGGTTCAAACTGGACAAGAAACAGCTAGGTCCTAAGAAACAACTAGGTCCTAAGAAACAACTTCAAGCAGCCATTAGTGTAGTGCCATATACATCAGAGCTGTTACCTATATGGAATCTAGTGGCGGTGTTTGTTATGTATTGTGTGGCTACATGACTTTTAGCCAAACCGTATATACAGGTTTTCAGCTCAACTAGAAGCAGATGATTAAAAGCAAGCAAGACAGGTTAACCTAAGTTTGGGGGGCTTAATCAAGTTAGCCCTTGGTTGCACCAGCAATAAAGCATGCATGAGAATGGTGACCCCTGGGACACATTTCCCTGACACCTTAGGGGCATTTTCCTGGCATCTTCAGCTGTGGAAAGATGAGGTAGCCACCAATTCTGGGTCCAACAAAATTGGCATTAGTTTCTTTCCATTGGAGAAGAGACACACAGGAGGAAGTGTGGACAGTGCCCTACACTCAAGGCAAGGCGGCTAACTCGAACCTGCATGGGGACAGGAAAGATGTGCCCCCTCCTAGGATTAGCAGGGTCTAGAATTACTCAAAGTTGATGGTTTAACATTGATTTTAAGATTATAAGCCCTGGTGCTAGACTGTCCAGATTGAAATCCCACCACTGCTTCTTACTTGCTTGGGGACCCTGCAATTTTCTCAACCTTTCTATGCTTCAGTTTCTTCATCTGTGTAATGGGGATAATTAGAGTATTTACCTCATAATGTTTTGAAAGGGTTGGATTATTTACCTTATGCAATGCATTTAGAACAGTGTCTGGCACATAAAAAGTGATATGAAATGTGTACCTACTTGCTGATGATGATCTGTGTATGACAAGCTAAGCAACAGAGAGATGCACAGACACCCACGTGAACAGAGAAGTATGTTTTGATGGAATCTTTTCAGTCAGAAGAGCTACTTGTTAAGATACTTTAGGTTGCAAGAAACAATAAGCCCTAGGACAAATGGCTTGAAAGGGAAATTTATTATCTTAAACACAACAAGTTCAGAGTAAGGCAGCTTCAGCAGATCAAAGATGCCATCAAGGACACAGCTCCTTTTCATATTTCTTTTCTACCATTCTCTGCAGAATATTTTGTTTCCGTTTTTGTTTTTGTTTTTGTTTTCTGAGGCTTGACCTCTCATGTTTGCAAGAGGGCTGTAGTAGATTTCACCATCCCAGCCTTGAGACAACATACAGGGCATTGGAAGGACTTTAACTCCCCAGTGTAGCATTTAAAGATAGAGGACAGCCTTTTGCAGATGCCCCTCCTTCAACCCACCCTGAAGGCTTCTTTCTCCTTCTCATTGGCTAGACTGTTTCTCATACTTATGCCTAAACCAATCAAGATTACTTAGAACAATCAAGAGTCACAGCTGAGGAATAGGCATGAAGCTCACCTCCCCTGAAACATATGACTGCACAGGTGGCTATATGCCCAAACAAAATCAGGGTTCAGTTAGGAAGAAGAAAGGCAAAATGGCTGGTGGGCAAAGAACCAAGAGTGACTGCTACCATGGCCTTCCCAGCACCCTGCACAGCACACAGTCATTGGCCTGTGCATAAACTTGGCTCTGTGCCCAGATTGACCGCACTGACATTTAGGAGAATATATGGGGGAACAAGAAACCTGTCTCCCCACCTCATCAAGGATATGAGGGCCAAAATAGGTTTATTCGTCTAGACCCCAAACACACACAGACACACTGTTGGGGAGTGTTTGTCAGTTAGGAGAAGTGTAAGGAATGGAAAAGAGTGAGGAGAGGAAGGGGAAGCCAAGCGCTGAATAAATTGGCATGTCAACAAAGGATGGAGAAGAGAACATTAGCGCGAAAAAGAATGGGAGCTGGAGAGTCCCCAAGCACAGAAGCTGGGGAAATGAAGGGACAAATTCAGGAAGGAATGTTATTTAAAATGTGTGCACATCTGAGGAGCAAAAAAAACAGAAGAGTGGCACAAAAGGCCAAGCCAGAGGGGGAAGCCTGGGAGCAGAAGTTGAGAGGGGGACTCTTTCAGGCAAGTGTAATAGCAAGGATACAGCAATGACCCAAGCACCAAGTCTGTTTTTCCTTAAAGTGAAATCTATGCTGTTCTGAAAGTATATGACTAAAAACCTGCTATATCCATGAGGCAGGAGGCTGGAAGCTGGGGCAGAGTGGCAGCCTGGGGCCAGAGATGCACAGACACCCATGTGAACAGCTCCTGACAGGGAGGGGTGGGGGTCTGAGCTGCCAAGCTCTGCCTGGGAGATCTGTTTACTTTTTCATGCCCAGATCTTGAGGGGCACTTTTGGCAATGTTTACTGGGGACCCAGACCTCACTCTTGGTCTCCCACAGTGCTAAGACAGGGGCAAAAGGCTCAGGGTGACCGTCTACTGACTAGGAGGCTTGGAAATATCTGAAATCTCTTTAACCCCAGGTTCCCTTAGTGGCTGCATTCTCTGATGAACACTTTTAGTAGTTGAATCCACAGAGGGCAAACTCAACGCTTCTGGGTACTGCTGCTGTAAAAACCAGGAGAATAATGAGAATTTATTGCAATTATTCTTTGACTAAGCATGGTATTTGTTCAGAAGAAACACTTTAATAAGTCATTTAAGGTGGTTGCTAGCACATAGCCTCATGCACAAGGACTGTGTATCGTTACACAGAAGGAAGATGGTGAGATGCTACACCCTGCCAAAGTAGCTCCCCGACCATCTACGCAAATGTTTAGTAAAAGTCTATGAAACCTCACAAAACTGTGGCGCGAGTAAACTTTTTTTCTGGGACCAGAACAGAGGCTGTATCTTGCTCCTAAGATGAAGTGGGGGTGGGGGAGTGAAATTATCAGCTCATGTGAATACAGGAGTCAGGGACAGCTCTGCTGACTCCTGGAGCCCCATGAGCAAAGCACTACCTCAGACATCTGGGCATATGGGGCCTGGGTATCTATCAATCAACCAACCAATCAATCAGAAATCCAACCAATGGGAATTTATGAGGCTCTGGCTTTATGCTGGGCTCATATGAAAGCACATATGGCAGATACAAATTACAGGAAATGAACGGCATTCAAGAAGTTTACAATCAAACCTGGGCACCAAACTCAAACCAAAAAAGGGGTTTAAAATGTGTGTTCATGACTATGAGTACCATAGAGATCAGAGACTCAGGGAGACCAACAAAGTTGCAAGTAGTCATAGTTTAAGGAGGAGATGGCTTGGAAGCAGGGAAGTATGATCAGTCTTTACAGAGAAACAGATGGGAAGCGGAGGATTCCAGGGAAGCATAGAGGCAGGTACGAGGAGTCAGGGACACGTGTGGCGAATGTGAGGGGCTCTCGGTCTTGCTGGCATGAAACTGGGTGATTCTGGGACCTAAGCATCAAGAGAGGTGAGAGGGAGATTCAAGGTCAAAACAGTCTCCATAGCTCAGAGAAGGAGGACTGCCCGCTAAGCAAACATGCTCACACCCCAGATAGAGTGAGTTTTCAGAGCAGAAGAGCTGAGGAAGCTTTTTATGTGATTTATAACGGTCTGTGACCCCAGACAGCGGCACACCCCAGCCCCCAAATGCCACTGCAGAGAGCAGAGATGTGCTTTTTCATAAAAATGTTATTTTACTTTAATGCAAAAGTCAGGAAAATTAATCTGGGCCAAAAGGAGAATTTCTTGTAGAGACCTCTGGTTTCCCCATAAATTCTCCCCAAGTGCTCCCAGGCCACAGCGCCCCTGCTTCCAGTCTGCAGTCTGTTGGTATTCAGCCTCTGCCCTGGACCAGGAAATTACCAATTCCAGTCTCACACAAGGAATTAAGGTTGGAACAATACAGTATTTTACAATCCAGTACAAGCTGCATTTATCCAGAGCTTTTCATGCATGGCATCTTAAAGTTCTTTATGACCCTTTTTCTTAAAAAAAAAAAAAAAAAAAAAGGAAAAAAAGGAATTTAAAAGAGAAAACCTTCTAAAAACCCAAACCCCCACTGAACTAAATGAGCCATTCAGAGTGAATAGGACTTAACAGTGGCCTTCAGAATAGGAACAGAGGTCCCACTCGGATGGAACAAGAACAACAGAATCAAAGGAAAGTACAGCTCAGAGAAGGCTGCACAAGGCCTGAAATGTACCCCTCGGCCCTTGGGGCACTGATGGGCTCTGCGATCTGTGACTGGCACAACCAGCTTTGGATGGGGATCAGAAGATGGGGATGTGGTCCCCATGATTCAGTGAGTGCAGAGGGGACAAGAAGGTCACCTTTTGGCTCTGAAGATAGTCAGCACCAGCCTCAACATTTGTTCTCCCCACTTGGCGAATACCCTCCCCAAAGGCCACTAGACTAGGAAAGGAAGTGGCTATATTATGTGCCTTTGGATTCCAATCCTAATCCTAGCTCCTTCTCAGGTACCCAGAGCCCTCATGCTACATTCTGCTACAGCCCCAGCTATGCTTGCCCTTCTTGGAAATCCCTCATGTTTTGAACAACCACCACACACCTCTTCTTTCCCCCTCTTGTTGCAGTCTCTCATTGCCTGAGGTAGTACCCAGAGTCCTTTGTCTCATGACCAAGAAAGTTAAGGAGTGCAGACACCAAGGTTGGAGCGAAAGTTTAATAAGTGAAAGAAGAAAGCTCTCCACTGCCGAGAGGGGACCTGAAAGAGGGTTGTTGTTTTACAATTGAATGCAAAGGTTTTAATAAAACACTGATGAGAGCTGGGCATCTTATTTATATAAGGTGCGAATTTCGGGTAGCTATACCCCTCTCTCCTAGTGCACGTGCAGGCCCTTAGTTTGAGTTACTCCATATTGCTTTGTTCGCCTTACTGTGCATGTGTCAGGAGATGGAATTTTCCATTGCGGGCATGTCTGGGCAAGTCACCTGTGTAGCCTTTCTTATCTGTATGTCTGTGGGCATGTCTTAGGTAAGCCCCACTGTGCAAGTTCCCTTATCTGTGCCTGCAGGGTGTTTGTTTGAAAGAATTTAACCGAGGACTCACCCTAACTGCCTGCTGACTGGTTTCTTTCTTTCCCCTCTCTCACTCTCACCCTGCTTCCAACCCCCTTGCTCTTCCCCGGGTCCTGTGTTTTGCAGAGAGCCAGCTCTCTGCTTGGCCCAATCTTATAAATTCATTCTTTTAGTGGTGTTTTGGGATGACAATTATTCAAAAAGATGCTTATCTCAAAAACTGTATTTTCATGTTAAACAGATCTCCAATGTTGTCACTAGAGACCTGAACTATCCAGGGAGGTAGAAGATGCTCAAAGTAGATGTTGCTGACTAGAGATTTTCAGAGTTGCCTTGGTGTACTAGAGGCCAGTGAAGGTGTTTATCCATGCACAGAGGAAATGTGAATAAGTTGTCTTGGGCTGCTGCCAAAGTAAAACTATCGGCCTCATGAGTCAATCCATGGGCAACCCAGCTACTTTACATTCACAAGTTCAGGTTTTGGGTTTTGCTGTTGTTGTTGTTTCCATCTTTGTTTTTGTTTGTTTTTTTATTTCCTGCTTCTGTGTAGGAATGAAGCTTCAGAATGAGGTGAGATCATTTCTCTAAAAAATTAAAGAAATTACTTTTTTTTTTTTTGAGACAGAGTCTCACTCTGTCATCCAGGCTGGAGTGCAATGGTGTGATCTCGGCTCACTGCAACCTCTGCCTCCTGGGTTCAAGCGATTCTCCTGCCTCAGTCTCCCAAGTAGCTGGAATTACAGGTACCTGCCACCATGCTTGGCTAATTTTTTGTATTTTTAGTAGAGACAGGGTTTGACCATGTTGGCCAGGCTGGTCTCGAGCTCCCGAGGTCAGGTGATCCACCCGCCTTGGCATCCCAAAGTGCTGGGATTACAGGTGTGAGCCACTGTGCCTGGCCAAGAAATTACTTTTTTAAAAAAAGTTTGAAAAGCTTTTAAAACACAGTTTTAAAAATGATGACACCTGCTTCCCAGTGATTTCATGACCAGTAATAAGATAATGCCTGTAAGACACAGAGCATGGTGTTTGACAGAGTAGGAGCTCAACAGCTGCTGATTCCCACACTCCTGTTTTCTTGCCCCATTTCCCTCTCCACCCCTTAAATCCTTTGCTCCCATCTTGCACTTGTCCCATGTTCTTTAACACTTTGCACAATACATTCCGGAGAGCGTTCTCCAGAGCCCCTGCGAATGGGCAGTGTGAGCAGCAGCATGGGAGGGCAATCAGCCCTGGGGTTGGAGACTCTAACCAGTTGTGCGACCTTGGACGATTCCTTTCACCTCTCTGCTGCTCTGTCTCACCATCTGTAAAATGAGCTCATTGAATGAGGTGGTATCTAAGGTCCTTCATGGGTCTAACGCACCAGGTTTTGTGACAAGTTTTACAACAATATCATTAACTAAGTTTAACCACTCTGAATTATGACACTATTGTTCTTTAAACTTCTCAACCCCTTCAGTCTCAAACACAGTCATTGTTGGCTCTATCCTATGCATACTAAGACACCAAAAATGCGATTTGGAAACAAAGGCCAAGAGAATCACAGGCAACCAGAATGTACTGCAAGATTAGTGTGTGTGATTTGCTGAAACCCATGTCCACGTGGGCCCACAGCTAACAAGTAACAAGATAATGGAGATTATGAGCTAAGCTAGTCTCTAGTACTAACTATTGTCCCTAGGGCAGAAGGAACCAGCAACCCCCAGTCTCCTCCTGACAGCTTCTGTCAGTCTCCTACTGACATAAGAAATGGAGGGAATGGAAACCAAAGTTGGTGGAATCGTGTTGGAGACATGGCAAACACCCTCCATCATTTATGCACCTCCAGTCTGACTTCCAACTGCCAATGCACACCTTTGCCTGAAGGTTTTCACTGTGCCCAGTGCCTACTCTGCCTGGGCACACAGCAGCTGGAATTGATAACCCCCCAGAAGCAGTCTGTTGCCACACTCTGGCTCCTTAACGCTTTGGATGGGGTAGTGCTGGGGTAGGTATTCTTCACTGGCTCCTGGAGTTGCCCTGCAGCTCACGCCCCAGTTGCCCAAAGTGGTGATTTGCTGAATGAGGCATTCTTTGTTGGCTGCTTTCCCTTGCCCGTCCCACTTCCTCATTCTCTTACTGGTGTTTCCTGGGATCACTTCCCAAATAAACTATTTTGACTCAAATCCGTGTTTCAGAGCTTGCTTCTGGTGGGGATCCAAAATGAGAGAAATGGTTCCGCTTCTAAAGATATAGCTTTGTTCTACAGTTGATCCAAGTAGCTCATTTATTCATTCAACAAATATTTGTTTTGCTCCTACAAGAGCAGGCACTGAATCAAGCACTGAAAAGCTACACACACGCGTTCTGTGAAAGATCAGTAGATGGGTCCTTGGCTGAGAATGTCCCATGACAGGCAGAGTTAGCTGAGACGAGGGAAAGGATTATGGGACTACCGTGATGTACTGGCCTGCTGAGTATCTGAAGATGAAAGACCTAGCCCTGAGAGTCTAATTCAACACCCACCATCCTCCCCAGCCCCCGATACACAAACACCTCTTTAAGATGTGAGGCATGAAAAGGCAGTCCTGGCACATTTTGCTCAGGAAAATGTGTAGCAGGAATAAAGAACCACCCTGCATTCTTTGTTTGTCCAGGTGCCTGTTCACATCAGAGGCGCTTGCAGGGTCTGACCTGCTCCAGGGGCTCCTCTGGGCCTTTGAAGCCAGCAGCCTTTCTGGCCATGAATCCTGCCCAGCAGCCTGGGAAATGGATGTTGCTCCAAGAGTGCGCCCCTGCATGTCACAGACAGCACTGTACCCCGGAGGGGCAAAAGGAAGTGTGCAGACCTCACTGTGCCCTTTAGGGTCTCAAGGAGAACCCATGAGTTTTAAAGAGAAACATCACATAAAAGTGACAGGGCTTCAGAGTCAAGAACCTGAGGACTCAAGCAGCTGAATAAATGGTGTCCACATATTCACCAGCCTGTCCCGTCACCTCCCAGGAGGCCCCCAGGGTTGTGGCGGATGAGGTCTGGCCTCAGGGATTCCTCCCATGGCTGTGTCCAAGGCGCCAGAGAGGGCCTTCTTCCCTTTCTCCGTGCCGCAGAGGAAGCTGACTGGGGACATGTCTGCACTGTTTGTGTGGGGTGCTTGTTCCAACCCCGTTCTGGAATTTCTTCTTAGATTTACGCAAGCCAAAATGACATTCTCTACCCTCAATTTCAATAGACATCAGTAACTGGGATCATGAATTGGGCTAAAAGCTGATGAAATTTAGTATTCAGATCAAATAACAAGTGTCCATTGAAGCACATTTTTAAAATTACCAACATAATATTGTTGTAGGAAAACCCGGGTTATTGTCAAACTAGCAGGAAAGATTATGCAGATACTTTGAAGGGTGAGGGGGCCAGAATTTATCGGGTGAAAACGAGAAACAACACAGCAAAGCGAGAGAGGAGTTCCTGTTAACAGGCCCTCATCTCACAGACTAATTCCCAGGTTCCCACGCAGGAACACTAGGGGCCAGGCTCCTCCCCGCCGCAAGGCGCAAACTTCTGTGGTTCCACCCCGTCTTCTCCCAGTGCGCAGGCCTGTCGGAGATTCTCCAGAGAACCTTTTATACTTGGATGTCTCAATAAGTAATTTGAAAAAGAACAAATTGTCTTTCCATCTGCTTCTTTTCTTAAGTGGCTCTAACCTACTTCTTTTAAGTTTGCCCTAAAGCCAGATTGTCTTGTGATTGGCCGCACCAAGAAGGCCTGGAGCAGAGAGAGTGGGATTCACGGCTGAGCCTCTTCTGTCACCAACTCCATTGCACCACAGACCTGGGAGTTGTCATTCTACTGCTGACTGCCACATTAAAGACGAGATGATCCTAGCAGGAATCTGTATTTCTCTTGATGAGAAAATGGAAATATTGTATTATGTTCAGAAATTAAGTGTGAACACTTACTAATAGATTAAGTGACATTTATTCAATGCTTCTTTTTTGTTTCTTTGTTTTTTTTGTTTTTTTGTTTTTTTTTTTTGAGATGGAGTCTCACTCTGTCGCCCAGACTGGAGTGCAGTGGCGTGATCTCGGCTCACTGCAACCTCCGCCTCCTGGGACGGATTCTTCTGTCTCAGCCTCCCAAGTAGCTGGGACTACAGGCGCACGCCACCACACCTGGCTAATTTTTGTATTTTGTATTTTTTTTTAGTGGAGACGGGGTTTCACCATATTGGCCAGGCTGGTCTCAAACTCCTGACGTTGTGATCCGCCCGCCTCAGCCTCCCAAAGTGCTGGGATTACAGGCGTGAGCCACCACGCCCGGTCTATTCAATGCATTTTATTTTAGAAATTAAAGATCAAATATTTAACAAATATTTGATGGGTAATAAAGTTTCATGTTAATGAAAAGATGGTACAAGAGGAGTGGGTGAAAACAGGAAATACAGCTCAGAATTCCAGTTGTATTTCTCCCAGTAGGAGCATGAATGCTGACTGTGTGCCATGATTTTCAGGTAAAACAAAATGAAATAAGACATTCTTCCAACTCAGAAAGCTTACAACTCAGGGAGGTAAAGAGACTAAGGCAAATATCAAAATAGTACAGTATATGGCTGGGTGCGATGGCTCAAACCTGTAATCCTAGCACTTTGGGAGGCCAAGGCAGGCACTGATCACTGGAGGTCAGGAGTTCTAAACCAGCCTGGCCAACGTAGTGAAACCTCATCTCTACAAAAATAAAGAAAAAATAATAAATAAAATAAAATAAAAAATAAATAAATAAAAAATTAGCCGAGAATGGTGGTGCACTCCTGTAATCCCAGCTACTCAGGAGGCTGAGGCAGGAGAATCGCTTGAACCCAGCAGGCAGAGGTTGCACTGAGCCAAGATTGCACCACTGCACTCCAGCCTGGGTGACAGAGCAGGACTCCATCTCAAAAAAAAAAAGAAAAGAAAAGAAAAAACACATAGCTGGGCGCAGTGGCTCACGCCTGTAATCCCAGCACTTTGGGAGGCCAAGGTTGGTGGATCATCTGAGGTCAGGAGTTTGAGACCAGCCTGGCCAACATGGTGAAACCCCATCTCCACTAAAAATACAAAAATTAGCCAGACATGGTGGTGTGTGCCTGTAATCCCAGCTACTTGGGAGGCTGAGGCACAAGAATCGCTTGAACCTGGAAGGCAGAGGTTGTAGTGAGCTGAGATCGGGCCACTGCACTCCAGCCTGGGTGACAGTGAGACTCCCTCTAACAAAAAAAAAAAAAGTACAGTATTAGGACTATAATAAGTGTCATAAAAGAATAGCCATCAAAGCAATGTGGGAATTCAGGAGAGGTAGAGATCATCTTGGTTGTGGGTGATTCATTCATTCAATAAACAGTACCTAGTATGGCCAGTTCAATGTGTAAGACATTGAACTGCAAAGTGAACTAAACAGACCCGCCCTCATGGAGCTCACAAGCTAGCAGGGAGAGACAGGCTGTATAAACAATAAGCAAATCAAGTAAGTCAATTAAATGTTTGTTAAAGAGGTTTTTGTTTGTTTGTTTGTTTGTTAAAGAGGTTTTAAATGCTAAGGGGAAAAAGGAAATAGAGCAGGGATCTTGACCTTTCCTCTGAGTGGAATAGGCTGTCAGAGAGTTCTGAGCAGCAGAGTGACATAACCTGATTGATATTTTAGTAGGATCACTCTAGATTGAGAAGCGCTTCAGAAGATGTTTGCAAGAAATATTAAAACCATCATCGTTAATGTGTATTGAGCAAGCCCTGAGTGCCAGACACTGAGAATCAAGTATCCTGAATTCTCTCATGCCCTCTCCTATCAACACTTTGGGGTCGATATCATTATAATCTCTAGTAAGCTGACTGAAATTGAAGCCGACAAGCTAAACAATTTGTCGAAAACCTCACCACCAACAGGAGGAAGAGCCACACATGCCAAACGTTCCAACCGCTAGCCCTCTGCCTCCAGGTGGTTCTATTCCAGGTGGTATCTAAATGCAACCCACTTTCCTACAATCCACTTTCATGTGATGGATTTCCCAGAAAATCTAACAGGGTTCCCAAAATTTGAAGCTCTCCTTTGGGAAGTTTCTGTGTAGAACTCAAACAGGAACTCTCTGTTCCACCCAAGCCAAGAAATACATGACTATAATGGTCAAGATAGGAATATGAATGATAAAGTATATCGCCTCAAAGATTTCTTAATGCAATATAGCAGAAGATATATATCTATGTTTATATCTATTACACGGTATATATCTATTACAAGGTATATATCTATGTTTTAAAAAATAAAAATAAACAAACCATACAGACCAGGCAAACAGAGCTAGACAGACAAAAAGCCAAAGGAGTTTAGGACTCCAAGCTTATTGCCACTCAAACGTGCCATGTTCATTTATCACTTTATGCCTGGCTCTTGCACACTTGTCCTCACATGTTTTTATTCTCATAAAAAAACCTGTATCTGAGCACTAATTGTTATCATCCCCAATTTATAGGTGAAAAACCAAGCTTAGAGATAATTGCCAAGGTGGCATTTTACAATTCAACACCATTTTTGTTAACTCCAAATTCCATAGACTTTTTACTCGATCTCACTGTCATTTGGATGGAGGAAAAGGAGAGGAGAAGAGAGGGAGAAACATTGTCTCATACTAGGAACAAATGACTACCAGCAAAGTCAATAGCTACCTACCATAATACCCAACTAGATGGTGATTCAGGATGAGGTGCCTCTTACCCAGACACACAGTAACTAAAGGCAAATTGTAAGTAGGGCAAGCTGAGTCTGGAAGAGGCCAGGTGCTAAGATGAGTGGTCCAGAACACGGGACATATTTGGCCAAAGCCCACGCGTGAAACACAAACTGGTGCTACTGGGACACAGGGCAGTAGAAGACATGGTAAGAAACTTGAGGCAAGCGATGGCTGGTCAGGGTACTGGATAAAAAAGAAGGGCACAAAATGTGACATAGGGGACTTGATAATAATTCTTGAGTAGAAGTATGAGGGAGAGGCAGGACCTCTGTGAGGGTCTTAGGCCAAATGCTGGCTTCATGAATGGGACAGGATGACGTGGGTAATGATAGATCATGGGTAGGTAGAAGACATACGTGGAGGTGAATCCTCCCAAGTGCTCAGATTGGGACTCAGGATTCCTTCTTCCACCTACCCATGGGGAGGCCCTGCAGTGTCTGGGGCCCAGGATCTAAAGGGTGATATTTATTCTCCAAGGTGCCTGACCACACCTGGCCATTTTATATCATTATTTAACTCAACCACTACCAATGTTATGGGACCCTTAAAAAGAGATTGATTGACTGATTGATTTGCTTATTTATTTAAGAAACTGAAGCGTCTCTTCCCTATGTGAATTTTGTCTCAAAAAGGATTCTGTCGTATATATTTTAGAACTTAATCTTATAATATTGCAATATTTTTATCCAAGTCTTTTCCAAACATTGGATTTTTGTGAGATTTGAGGATTAAAAAAAATTCCTTTAACTTCTACCATTTTGCCATCTTTGGAGGATATAAGCATGTGAGGAGCAATGCATGTGATTCCTATAAACTCATATTTCTTATTTTTAAACGCTGGCATTATTTGGGCTGACATCTCCTCAGCCCAAATGATGAAAAGTTTTGGCAGCTGTTTATTTTACCATAATCAAATCCATGCAAGATTCTGAGTCCTGAAGAATGCTGTTTAGAAAAAATTCTAGTAAGGACAGATCATTATATTCAGCATCATGGCACCTTAGATGTCAAGTGCTGTCTTCCCTTGTCAATGCCCATCACTGCTACTCACTCATATGATCACGTGGTCATCCTGTGAACAAGGCAGGTTAGATGAGCAAGCTGAGACTAAGCTTTCTGAGACTGAAATTTTTCCTTTGTCAAAATTGGGTGAATACCCAATTTCCTATTCAAACATTAATATAATTTGAGCTAAGGTTAGGATTATCCAGCCCCCACTCCCACGCATTGTCTGGGTAGATAAACCTCTCAAAGGAGAAAACTGGAAGGGAAATAAGGTACATTTAAATTTCAATCTCTGGCTTGATAGATTGGTATTAAATTTGTCTTTAATGACTCTTATCCTACATTCCTATCTTATTACAGTCAGCTGCAAAAGAAACAACAATCCTGAATGTACCTTAAAGGGCACAGGAGGATTAAGTAATGGATGAAGAATGTCCTGACAAGTCTGTCAGGCTTAAACTTTGGAACATGCAGAACATGCCTCAGAGTCTCAGGAGCAATGGGCCCAGTGAACAATATCATTGACATTCTGGCTTTGATTTTTTTTTTTTTAAGGAAAACCTATTTTAGGCCTTCAAACTTTTGTTTTCATTTTACTGTATGTTGTAAACTCGAGCTGCACTGTTCTTAATGGAAGCCACTGGCCATTCATGGTTTTTGAGCACTGGACATGTGGCTAGTCCCAGTGGAGATGAGCTGTAAGTATAAAAAATGCCCCAGATATTGAAGACTTCATGCTAGGCAAGGAAGTAAAATTGCTCATTAATAATTTCATATGGGTTACATGGCAATATTTTTGATGTATCGTGTTAAACAAAATATATTATTATAGTTAATTTTACCTGTTTCTTTTAGTTTTCTTTTTTGAGACGGAGTCTCACTCTGTTGCCCAGGCTGGAGTGCAGTGGTGCAATCTTGGCTCACTGCAACCTCCACCTCCCAGATTCTCCTGCCTCAGCCTTCCAAGTAGCTGGGATTATAGGTGTGTGCCACCACATCTGGCTAATTTTTGTATTTTTAGTAGAGATGGGGTTTTGCCATGTTGACCAGGCTGGTCTGTAACTCCTGACCTCAGGTGATCCACCCGCCTTGGCCTCCCAAAGTGCTCGTATTACAGGCGTGAGCCACCGCACCCAGCCTCTTTTAGCTTTTTAATGTGGCTACTGTAAAGTTTAAAATTATGTTTTGGTTCACATGAGTGGCCTGCATTGTATTTCTTTCACATAGCAGTCGTCTAGAGAACAATTATTTCTTAAGAACTGTGAAGAGTTTGAGATTTTATCCCACTTGCAAGCTAAGAAGTCACCCATCTACAGTTTCATGGATGCCGGTAGAAGACACCAGACTCCTGTGTCAAAGACAAAGGATAGTTTATAACTGACAGCAATAGCGGTAGCCAGAGTATCAGCATATTTGTACCACCTCACCAAGCCCCAATTTCCACAGGGCCAGATGACACCTATACATGTAGCGTATTGCATTACAGGAGAAAAACTTTGAATGTAGAGAACTCAAATCTTTTATGAAGTGCAGTAAGCAAACCTACTATTTGCTCTGGAGAAAGACACTAACTCTATTTTCTAAGGCTGTTAACTATAAAAATGTATTTGAAAAGATAATCCAGGAAAGAGGATAATCAGCGCATTCCTTGCAAGATGTACAGAAATGTGAGAGACTGATGGAGAATTATCTACTAACATTCTCATTTCCACAGGTCTGCTTTTCTTAGACTGTGCATTTCTCTGAGAATGTTGTATTTCTACAGACTAATTTAATACGTATTGTTCAAAAGCCGACATTAATCCCTAACTCGCTGTAATTTCTGGAAGGGTTTGTAATTTTCTTACTGAATTGCACAGCCTGGTCTTAACCCTTGCTTCTCTTCTTTGAAAATAACTCATTTTTTGGAAATCATTGGATTACAATTTCCTTAATGGACCTTTGGCACTGTGTAGAAAAGTAAGACAGGAATGAAAAAAAAAACACATAAAATAGGCTGATTCTCTGGGCACGCACATGGAAGACACATTTGGGAGCACTGGCACTTTAAAAACATTGGTTTCACTGAACAGTGATTGGAAGTTTCCTCAAAGTCTTGACTCCAGAGCCTCAGTTCCCATGACAGCATACAGGTCTGAACAGGCTCTGTCTTGCACCTTGGAGCATGACACCTTCAAAGCGTTTTACCAACATCAAGTAATTGATTTTCACAATGTAGTGGAGAGCTTGATCATTAAGTACTATTATCCAGATTTGACTGGCTTAATTCACTTGCCTCAGGCTCCAGCAGCCAAGTCAAAAGCAAGAGGTGGATTCAGAATATCTGGCTTCCATCCTGTATAACCCTAGGCAATGTCTGTGTTTTTCCATATAAAACCACTCCTCCCTGTCCTCTTAAACACATAAATTAAGTAGCAACTCATTCAGCAATACTATATTTTCCTACGCTGTTGCTTATAGACTATTTTTCTTCAGTTCTTTTAAAATGATAACTATTTGACTTTTAAGTGTTTTCATTCATTTAAATAACAGATGCACATGAAAGACAAAAGCGGGGCTGTGTATGCAATGAAAAGTATTCTACATTCCTTCACGGTCATTCAGCCACTTAGTTCTCCCTGGAGGCAGTCCTCCTTATTTCTAGTGAATATTTCCAGAGATAGACCATGCATTTACAAGTATGCCTATATCTTTTCTATTATGTAATTAATATGCATGCTATACATATGTTTCTGCATCTTGCTTTTTTCAATTTCAATTTATTTTTCTCTTTCTTTTTTTTTTTTTTTTTTTTTTGAGACAGTCTTGCCCAGGCTTGAGTGCAGTGGCGCAATCTCGGCTCACTGCAAGCTCTGCCTCCCGGGTTCAAGTGAGTCTTGTGCCTAAGCCTCCAGAATACCTGGGATTACAGATGTGCGCCACCATGCCCGGCTAATTTTTGTATTTTTAGTAGAGACAGGGTTTCACCATGTTGTCCAGGCTGGCTTTTTTCAATTTTCAACCTTGGAAATCATTCTATATCAGTACTTTCAGTGCCTCATTCTTTGAACTGTACCATGTGTTGTCAGTATCCTCTTTGGGAACATGGAGATCATGGAGTTTGTTTCTAATCTTGCTATTACAAACAGCATCTATTTAGCCAATACTTACCCGTACTCACTTTGTGCCAGGCTCTCCAGTGAATATCCTTGTACTTATGTCATTTCTTGCACTTCTGCTATCCTTCTGCAAATTATATCTAACACAAAGTAAGTATATTCACTGTAGTTGTAATTTTCATTTCCCTAATTATACATGAATTTGAGCATCTTCTCAATTGTCTGTTTTGCTATTAGTTTAATGATCTTTGACTTACTGATTTGTCACTTCTTTTAGAATTATGTGTATGCCCTTTGTTTTTGATATGCATTGAAAATATTATCCTGGTTTTAATTTCTCATTTCATTTTGTTTATTTTTTTCTCACCATGTAGATATTTTTATTATTATACAATCAAATTTATCAATCCTTTTTATATGACTCCTAGGTTTTTTGTCCTACTTGGAAGAAAAATTTTCTTATTGTGAGATAATTTAGAAAAATTTTTTTTTCTGGAATTTTATACTTTCTTTTTTTCTAGTTAAATCATTGATCCATCTTCAAATAATTTTGGCCTTACTTGAGGCAAGAATTCCATTTTCTTTTTTCCAGATGTCTTTTAGATTTTCCCAATACTGCAAAGACAATTTAAGAAAAAATAGTTTAACTTCAAAGAGTTTTATAATTTATTAAAAGTACTATATTTCTTTTACCCAGTGTGTATTCTATAGGAAGATGAGAAGATGTGTGTCTTTTCCCATCCAGTCCATTTTAGTAGTAAGTCCTTCCTTAATGGCCAGGGCGTAACTTGCCTATTTAATGGTCAAAGCATACTGGCACTCAGCTGCAAAAGAAAGATACCAGGAGATGCAGAATCAGAGGACCCAGCTAAGCTGTGCCTTGGATCCTGACACACAGAAACTATGAGATAATAATTGGTGTTGTTTTAAGCCACTAAGTTTTGGGATAATTTGTTACACAGCAATAGAAAACACAATGGGCACAGATGAAGGTAGAGAAGTCCATATAGAAGTGGAAGCTGTTAGATATGGGGTCTAAATTTCTTTTCAAAAAATCAATATGTCAGTATGTTCAATACTTTGCCTTCTACTTTTAAACTTAACTTCCTTATAAAGCAACCTTTTTCAATTATCTGCTCCACCCTGACGCATTCTGATTACCTGCTCAACCCTGACTCATTACCTGCTCTGTCATAACCATTTATCCCCCCAAATCACTCACCCCATCACTCTCTTTAAATTAGCTAATCGGAATTAGTTTAGCCTGTGCGGTCTAACCCTAGCCAATAGGGGAACGACACAGCAGCAGGGGCCATGTGCGTCAGGGATAAGAACCCCTTCCCCTCCCTTGTCCAAGTGTGCACTCACCATTGCTCCATCTGTAAGGGCGCACCCTTCTATAGAAGTAACTTGCCTTGCTGAGAATTAAAAAGAAAATTTTATATTCAAGTGCTATTTCTTTTGCAGCACCGAAACTTTATTTATAACAAAGCCAATGGTAGTTCTTTTCTGATTGCTTTCATTTTCTCAGTGACAAGGTCATCAGCTGACAGTGAAGGTGCAGCAAGATGTAATAGAGGTTAAGGAGAAATAAGAAGATACCAAATAGATGCATGGGAGAGTTAATGGACCAGGAAAGTATAGTCTGATTGACAAGTATCTTAGAGGCTAATGATACTTGTGGCCATAAATGTAATGTGAGAACAGTCAGCATAGCTGCGTAGTTACCTGCAGCCATATTCCCCTGCGTGAGTGCAGGCACAGAGCCAGCAGAGATTTGGCTGTCGCTGGAACTAGCGTTTTGCCAGGTGAGCACGATAAAGGAAGAAGAGGCAAGGAAATTGAAGGTGTATGCAAAAGAATAAATATTATGACATACCATGGAATATAGCCTTGGTACACTGAAAATGAAGAGTGTAAAAAGACAGTGCAATCAATCATTATAGGTCCTAGACTTGGCTAGGCTTTTAAAAATCAGAATTTAGCCGGGCGCGGTGGCTCACGCCTGTAATCCCAGCACTTTGGGAGGCCAAGGCGGGTGGATCACGAGGTCAGGAGATCAAGACCATCCTGGCTAACATGGTGAAACCCCGTCTCTACTAAAAATACAAAAAAATTAGCCGGGTGTGGTGGCACATGCCTGTAATCCCAGCTACTCGGGAGGCTGAGGCAGGAGAATCACTTGAACCCGGGAGGCGGAGGTTGCGGTGAGCCAAGATCGTGCCATTGCACTCCAGCCTGGGCAACAAGAGTGAAAGTCCATCTCAAAAAAAAAAAAAAAAAAAAAAAATCAGAATTTAGTGGAAGTGACCTGGAATAATGAAAAATGATGTACAATTATTTTAGAAAATAATGTAACATCATTGTGCAAAATTGAACATGCTTATGCTCTTTGGTTCATTAACTGTGCTTCTAGAAAAACTTTTGCAAATATGCACCAGAGACAAGTACAAGTTACTTACAGAAGAAGAGTTAATGATACCAAAAATGTGGAAATGGTACACAGAAAAAAAAAATGAGTGAATATATTTTGGTAAATTCACACCATAGAATGTTATACAGCAGTAAAAACAAACTTCAGCTATGCACAACAGCATGGAGATGTTGTATGTATGGTATGCATGAATACAATATATAGTATACGTAATGTGTGTATGGTTTTTACGTATCATACATAATGATACGTAAAACATGCAAGTTACAATAGACCACATGCATATAGTAGACAATACGCACTACAACAGACTACATGCAATATCATTTTTATGATGTTCAAAATAACTAAGCACTCTACTGCCTAGGAATACATACATATATGATAAATTCATTTTAAAAATCAAGAGAATTAAAAGCATAAAATTTGGGATAGTAATTCTTCATGCAGAGGGGATAAGGAAATGATGTGGTAAAGGAAAACAAGTAGATGTAAATAAAACAAATAATATAAGAAATGGTGGTCAAATATTGGGATTCTTGAAGTTGAGATTCTGGAGTGGGTAAGATTACTGATAAAAACAGGGCCCAGGAGGCATGAACATAGGAGTGAGTGACTGAGGTAGAATGGAGGATGAGATGTTGGAGGAGGGGAGGCTGAGAAACTGAAAGCTCAGTGTATGGGAAGACTTATTTGTGTGGATATTGAAATCACCAAAAATACAATGGGTGTAGTGATAGAAAAATGACGGTGATCCAGGAGGGAAGGGAAGTGATGTTAGAGCCAGCAGATGGTTGCCAAAAGGAAGGAAGGTGGCAGACAACATAGTCCCATGTTGAAACTGGGTGTTTTTATGGAGGATATGGGACAATGGCTTGGGAGCAGCACTGAGATGCAAGGAAGACACTCATCCTATTCCAGGCCCTGTGGCGCCAGGCACGTGGCTGAAAAACCAGTGACCTGTATAGAGGGCTGCAGGGGAGCAGTGTCTTGAGGGAGGAGCCAGTTAGAACAAGGACATGAAATAGGTATTTTAGAAATGAGAGGCCGGTCATGGTGGCTCATGCCTGTAATCCCAACACTTTGGGAGGCCGAGGCAGGCAGATCACCTGAGGTCAGGAGTTCAAGACCAGCCTGGCCAACATGGTGAAACCCCATCTCTACAAAAATACAAAAATTAGCTGGGCATGATGGCGGGTGCCTGTAGTCCCGGCTACTCAGGAGGCTGAGGCAGGAGAATCGCTTGAACCCGGGAGGCAGGCAGAGGTTGCAGTGAGCCTAGATTGTGCCACTGCACCCCAGCCTAGGAGACAGAGGAGACTCCATCTCCAAAAAAAAAAAAGAAAGAAAAAAAGAATGGAGATGGTTTCATGTCTATACATTGAATTCCAGAGGTACAAGGGAAGAGTTTTGAAGGCTGCAGAGGGATGAGATATGGCGTCAATAAAGCAGATATACATATCTATTAGAAAGGAGCATCTCGGGGGTGAGGAATGACCAGGGAGTCCAGGGCTTCAAGTGGTAATTGGCTTACACAGAGCTGAAGGCTGTAATGAGATTAGTCCAGAGGATCTCAAGGAAAATAATGCCATGGAGACTGTGGGCATTAATGGATAGGGATGAGCAGCGGTCCTGCAAGAAAGAAGCAAGAAAGTCTGGGAGTTTCTTCAGCATTGCAATGGAGGCAGGAAGACTGGGGGAGGGGCACTCAATTGGTCCCTGTGCTATCCTACTCTAACCTCCTACTGAAAGACTGACATCCAAAGGAATGTAAAATGGCTTCGTTCCAATTTCATTCCTGTATATTGACCACTTCCCTCCTGCATTCTTTTCCAGAACCTTGGCCAAAACCATTCAGAGCCAGCCAGCTGTTACATAATATTCACCATTTGTTTTATTTGTCATTACCCATCAGAACCATTGGAATGATACCCACTGGCCAAAGACCCTTGGGCCCATATTCAAAACCAAAAAACTCAAGAATGAAATAACTGGAAGACCACTGATCTGGGAGCTATTCCTTAGGGTAGGGAGTGCATCCTGTGGAACAAGGAAAGCAGCTGGGAAAAGGAATTACTCTACTCAGGCATGGATTCAGGCTGAGGCTCCAGGGTTAAGGAGCCACTACAGAGTCAGTCAAATCCCTTTGGCTGTTTCCAACATTTCTCATGAGGCGTTTTGCACAAAGACTGTGGTCTTGGCAGGCCACTCACCCCTGAAGGGCTCAGAGTAATAGGATAATTCAGTAGTATGTGGTTACAAGGTGCCACAACCCTCCTGGATAGCTGACATTTTCAAGAGCAATAAAAATACCTGGACAAAGGTTAGAAAGTTCAACAACATAACTCTAGAAAGTTCAACAACATAACTCTAATCACTATCATCAAAAATAACCACTATTAATCATACGTGTGACTTCTTCTGGAAAGAGTAAAATTTTTGGCTATACAGTGATGTAAACTTAAAATCTGACCATCACCCCTATTTTAATTCAACTCAACAAATGCAAACAAATATTTCTTTAGTGCTTATTATATACAAGGGCCTGTACTACGTATTGTGTGAGACAGGAAAAAATGGCAATGCTTTTTTTTTCCATCAAGAATCTTACAAGAGAGATGAATGAGTAGTGAGTTATCTATATTACAAGGAAAAGGCTGGGTGCAGTGGCTCATGCCTGTAATCCCAGCACTTTGGGAGGCTGAGGTGGGCGGATCGCTTGAGGTCAGGAGTTCGAGACTAGCCTGGCCAACATGGTCAAACCCTGTGTCTACTAAAAGTGCAAAAATTAGCCAGGCATGGCAGTGTGCACTTGTAGTCCCAGCTACTCAGGAGGCTGAGGCAGGAGAATCACGTGAACCCAGGAGGTGGAGGTTGCAGTGAGCCGAGATAATGCCACTGCACTCCAACCTGGGTGAAACAGACAGACTCCGTTTCAAAAAAAAAAAAAAAAAAAAGAAAGAGAGAGAGGAAGAGAGTTGTCTACTCAGGATTCAGCCAGATGCTGACTCTGGAACAAAAGTTCAAGTGCAAGTAGTTGGGACAGGAAGGAGACATTGACAGAGGACTGAGACAGGAAGGGAAGAGAGCCAATAAAGGAGTTATCAAGCCAGTTGCCAGTGTAGGTGTCTGAGCTTATTCCCACTAGGGAAATGCTGGGGGGTATTACTGAACACATGCTTCAGGGCTATCCCACCCTAGTGCAACGTAGCTGAGGTATTTATCCAGCATCTCCTAGTCATTGGTTGAGGGCAGCTCCTGGCTTGTGTCAATTCCCCCATACTTTCAGCCTACAGCACTGGCAAATGTAATGAAGCTAAATGGCCAGAAAAAGCCCTCAGGCAAGAAAAAAAAGTACTGCCATGGCAGTTGGAAATCATGAACTGAAATAAGGATGAGGAGATATGGGAGAGGTATGAATCACATCTGTTACAATTGTAACTCGGCAGAAAGGTGAATACCTGAGGGACAACACAAAGAGCTCTTAAGTCTTGCTGTTATAGAGACTTTACAATTCAGGAAATTTTTTTGACTCGACCCCAGTGTAATGAACATTTATCATTCTTACCTGGCATCTCTGCTATTTGAATGCCTTTCCTGTTTAGAGGGACTTTCCCACTTTAGAGTTATGTGTCTCCTTAAGACAGAAACAAAAACCTCTTTTCCCAGCTTCCCTTGTAGCTGCAGAGTAGGCATGTGACCTAGGCTCTGCCAGTCAGATGTACCCATGCAAGACTTCCCTCAGAGGCTCATAATGTAGATGAAGCACCGATCTGGTTAGTCCTGATGAGGGTGGTAGCAGAGATACCAAGCTTCCAATACAGCAGCTGGAAATGGTCTAGCACCTCCTAGTGTCAGAGGTGAAAACTGTGTTATTTGCGTCCAGGCACCAGGAGTGCTATCTACACTGGACCAGTCCTGCAAAGTAGCCTTTAAGTTAAAAAAAAAAAAAGTTTCTGTGAAATACCTAATATCCTTTATAAATTACTTATCTAATGAAACAGACTAGCATGTGGTGTTTGCAGCAAGGAAGCTTGATGATATTTAAAAAGGAAAAAAAAGATTTGTATAAGCAGAGAATTTGGGGAAAGGAATTGCAAGGTCAGGAAACAGCACGAGGACAGGTATGAATGTGTGAAGATCCAGAGTGTGTAGAGATATTTGCTGATTGGTGTGGCTGAGGAAGAAAGGAACTCAGAACTAAGTGTTAGATGGTTGTATGGTTCATTAGGGATCCTGGCAGAGAGCAGCATTGTGAAACTGAAACCATACTTTGAGAAACAGAGGCTTATATCCAAACTGGACACTAACTGTGATGAGAAAGAGCAAAGTGGTTGGAGTGGATTTTGTGGCTTCACAGCAAGTGTGGTTGTTAAACAAAGGTAATGCAATAATCAGCTAGACAAGGCAAAAGGGGGAAGGTCAGAGTGGCGCTGTGGAAAAGGATTGGGCTTCATTATGCTTCAGATCTCGGTTTGAATTCTGTGGCCACGTATTACCATAACATCTTGAATACTTCATTTAATCTTCTTGATCCTCAGTTTTCTTATCTTTAAAAACATAACTAACAAAACCTAATGTCCTACCATAATTAGCTTAAGACATGTAATCCAACAGAGCAGATTCATCGATCTTTGCAAAGACCACACAGCAGAAAGACGTCTCATCAAATGAGAAAAAAAGATAGATTTTTAAACAGGGTTTTGGGGAAGGGTAGAGTTAAGTAAAATTTATCTGAGTAATATTTTGATAAACTCAAAGAAGTCAACATCAAGTCTGGACTGCAAAGAAAACCAAGGGTTCTGTTTGCTAAGAAACTACAAAGTTAAGATGAATGTGAAATGCTGCATTCAAACATTTTATCTGCCAAACATCTGAGTAGACAATAAAGGCCACTGCCCTGTGCCAAAGTGACTTGAATCCTCCAAGCAAGAGTGAGATATTTTATTCCTACTACCAAAAAAAAAAAAAAAAAAAAAAAAGCCGGGCACGGTGGCTCAGGCCTTATATCCCAGCACTTTGGGAGGCCAAGGCGGGTGGATCACCTGAGATGAGGAGTTTGAGACCAGCCTGGCCAACATGGTGAAGACCCATCTCTACTAAAAATACAAAATTAGCTGGGCATGGTGGTGCGTGCCTATAATCCCAGCTACTTGGGAGGCTGAGATAGGAGAATCACTTGAACGGGGGAGGCAGAGATTGCCTTGAGCTGAGATTGTGCCATTGCACTCCAGCCTAGGCACCAAAAGTGAAACTCCATCTCAAAAAAAAAAAAAAAAAAAAAAAACTTTAAGCCAATTAAATTTAACAGTTTAATTGAGCAAACAACAATCTGTTAATCGGGCAGAACCAGAATATGTTCTGAACTACTTTGGGGCTGCCACATGATTCAATAATTTACAGACATTTGATATGATAATGGCTTTGTAGTAGCATTTAAGACTTTGTAGATCATATATTTGAACAGTGGAACACACAAATAAGAAAAGAAATATTTGGTCAGAGTTTGTAGTATACTTAATCAAGAGACCAAGATTAACATCATAACATATGATGTTATGTTAACATCATATAGAATCAATGTAACAATGTGTGTCATACAAAGTTTGTCATGAGGATTTTTGGCATTATGTGAATATTTACTTTCAAATATAATTAAGTATTCTAGCTGTAACTGAGTAAAACACTCCTTGTGTGCTTTACATATTGAAATTCTACCAGCCAGTTAGGGTTTTAATGTACATGTATTTTTCTGACACTAAAATGTAACAATAATTAATGTGATTACATGAATGCATAAAACAATTCACCAAGCTATACACTGATGATTAATATACTTTATACTTGCTGAACCTCAATTTAAAAGTTTTTTTAAAGAAAAAAAGAAAACATCCCTGAAGATAAATTTCTTGCCCAAGATTATACAGCATTTTATTGCAAGAAAATGCAACAAAAATTACTGTTTGACTAATTATTAAAATGTACTTACTTTTTAAAGTACTTATCTTTTTAACTATTTGTGTACATGAAAGTAATAACATCAACAGTCAAGAAATTTCCAAAATAAATAAATAAGGAAATTTGTAGGACATTCACATTTTAAGAGACAGTATGATAGGACAACCTGGGTTCAAAGACAGCATGATAGCCTAAGTCTTTGAACCCAGGTTGTCCAACTCCACCTCCTGCATGATCAATCCCTAAGGTATATTACATGAATACAAAATATATAGTTGCCTGTGAATATTTTACATATAGTCAGCCTTCTGGAAAAGTTGACTTCCCAGTCTAATGGATATAAGATGATAGCCCAAATTCATTAGAAGGGCTAAAAAACCAAAATGAGATATTGCATTAAATGAAGAAAATCTGAAAAAGAAGCTTGACATTTCTCAAGGTTTTTATGATCCTCGAAAGAAGAGATAACTGAGAGGAAAGATGAGTGCCCTTAAATATTTGAAGGTTCTCCAAATGTCAGATCAGAAAATATTACACCCCAGCCTGCAGCTGGTAGATCACAAAACACCACAGCTCCTGTGAGGACACATTCTTGTGGTCAGGAACAGGCAGTATCTTGATCTACTGAATGCCGTTTTTGCTGAATCTGAAGTTGAGGAAATACACTTTCCCCTAGAGGTATTCTTTATAATCTACTGAAAAGATTAATAGAGTCATTCAAGGTTAATTAGATAGTTTCTGACTCTTACTCACTCTCCTACTAGGAAAGGCCACCAATGCCAGTCATAGACCAATCTTCTCCAATCCCACACCCCAGGATTTAAGAATCCGGAAGCTGAACTCATCACAGACTGGAAGCCCTACTCAGGGTCTCAGCAGTGATGGGATGAATACAGCATGCTACCATTTGCTACACCCCATGAGACTCCTCATACTGACAGCTTTCAGAATGAAGGCTCCACTGCTCACAGCCTCTTCTCAGTGTCACTATTACATCATGCAGCATTGGAGGCATGGAAGGTCATTACACAAAAAGCGACTTAAACATAGGTCCTATTTGCTAGACTAGTGGCTGGCAGCCTCTCAGAGTGGTGTGTTGACTATTCTTTCATCCCTAGTGTGGAGGAGACAGGGTAGCACGAGAGGAAAGGTTGAATCCTGAAGTTTCCCTTCTAGCAGGAGCTGCAGAGTGAGGTACCAGCTGTCCTTCACAAGGCAGAGTCTCAGACAGACACCAAAGAGTAAACACACTTCCCCTAAGAGGAAACTGCAGAGCAGGGGGAAAGGGTATAGTAGACCCTGGGCAAGAATGTTAATTGAGGTCCACACATTTCTTATAATTTTAACCAGTAATATGAAGCTGCCGGATTGTATCTGACCTATTTGAGTTGTGTTGTTGATGAGAATAATTTTGTTGCTCAATTTAATTGTTTTGATCAGTAATTAGATAATTTTCTATCTTTTAAAATCACTAAATTGAAAAAAAAATTTTTAAACTCACAATACCAAGGTCTAGCAAAGATGTAGACAGAGGGAGACCCTCATACACTGCTGACAGAGGTGCAAAATGGTGCAGCCACTTTGGAGCATACTTTGGTAGTTTCTTCCAAAGTGAAACATATACTTACCATATGATCCAGCAATGCATGCCTAGGTATTAACCTGAAAGAAATAAAAACATATGTGCACACAGAGACCTGTACAGGAAGGTTTATAGCAACTTTATTCATAATCATCCAAAACTGGAAATGACCCAAATGCCCAGCAACCAGTGAATGGATACCTTTATAAAATAGAGTATATGGCAATATGGAATGGAATTGAATACATCAGCAATGAAAGGAAATGATCAGGTGATACTTGCAACGACATGAATGACTCTCAACAGGATTGTGCTAAGCACAAGATGTCAGACACAAAAGACCACAGCATATACTGTATGAATTCCATTTACATGACATTCTGGAAAAGACAAAACTATAGAGACAGAAGTCAGACAAAAGTTTGCCAGGACTTGGGGGCTGGGGAGTGAGGGTGTGGATAGACTATAATGGGGCACAGAAGAGCTTTCTGGGTTGGATGAAATATTCCATAGCTTGACTGTGGCCATGGTTATGTAATAGTATACATTTTGTCAAACATGTAAAACTGAACACCTAAAATGGGTGACTTTTGCTATCTGTAAATGATGCCTAAAAAAACTGACTTTAGTAAAAAGAATTGTTAATGTTGTATTTGCAAATTTTATGTGGGTCATACCTGATAAAAGCCTGCTCACTTTCCTTTTTAGTCATTTTTAAAAATTTAAGCAGACTGCTTCTTTGAAGATTTACTGTTTTTCCTTTACAGCTTTTCCTCTTTTCTGAACTCTGCATTTGTATTTTCAATTTGTCACAATTGCAAATTGTACTCATTCCCAATGATCTAAAGCAGCAGTCTCCAACCTTTTTGGCACCAGGGACTAGTTTCGTGGAAGACAATTTTTCCAGGGGACAGGGAGGGGTACGGTTTTGGGATGAAACTGTTCCACCTCAGATCATCAGGCATTAGATTCTCATAAGGAGCACAACCTAGATCCCTCGCATGTGCAGTTCACAATAGTGGTTGTACTCCTATGATAATCTAATGCCCCCACTGATCTGACAGTAGTGGGGCGCAGGTGGTAATGCATGCTTGCCCGCTGCTCATCTCCTGCTGTGTGGCCTGGTTCCTAACAGGTCACATACCAGTACTGGTCCAGGCCTGAGGGCTGCGGACTTCTGATCTAAAGGATTACAAATAAAGCAAATAATATTCAAAAGTTTACAAATTTAAACAGACCTTCATCAAAATCTGTAAATTAAATGCAAAAATTGGAAAAGTAAAAATGTTTTTTGTAAGTTTTTGGAAGATGTTATTTTCTTCTGAAGTAGTCAAAATTATTTATTAAAATAAAAATACAAATTACAATTATCAACATTTAAAATTAAAATTATTTAAATAAAAGTAAAATTCTTCATTTGTGATAATTTAAATAAATCTTATAAACTATTATAATAAAAACAAAACTTTTGCTATTCTTGAGTTTGCCGTTTGCTATCTGTCCAGTAGCCAATGAAAATAATCACTATTGGGAATTTTTGAAGATGGTCGAATCGGAACAGCTCGAGTCTGCAGCTCCCAGCGAGACCAATGCAGAAGGCAGGTGATTTCTGCATTTCCAACTGAGGTACCCAGTTTATCTCATTGGGACTGGTTAGGCAGTGGGTACAGCCCACTGAGGATGAGCAGAAGCAGGGTGGGACATCGCCTCACCTGGGAAATGCAAGGTGCCAGAGGTCTCCCTCCCCACAGCCAAGGGAAGCCGTGAGGGACTGTACTACCCAGCTGGGTTACTTTGCTTTTCACAATCTGAAGATCAGGAGATTTCCTCATGTGCCTACACCACCAGGGCCCTGGGTTTCAAGCATAAAACTGGGCGGCTGTTTGGGCACACACTGAGCTAGCAGCAGGAGTCTTTTTCGTACCCCAGTGTCACCTGGAAACCCAGCAATACAGAACTGTTCGCTCCCCTGGAAAGAGGGGTGAAGCCAGGGAGCCATGTGGTCTTGCTCAGTGGGTCCCATTCCCATGGAGCCCAACAAACTAAAATCCACTGGCTTGAAATTCCCGCTGCCAGCACAGCAGTCTGAAGTTGACCTGGGATGATTGAACTTGGCGGGGGAGGGGCGTCTGCCATTACTGAGGCTTTAGTAGGCGGTTTTCCCCCCGACAGTGCTAAGGAGGCTGGGAAGCCTGGGTTGGGTGTGGCAAAGTGGCAGTGGCCAGACTGCTTCTCTAGATTCCTCCTCACTGGGCAGGGCATCTCTGAAGGAAAGGTAACAGCCCCAGTCAGGGGCTTTCAGACAAAACCCCCATCTCCCTAGAACACAGCACCTGAGGGAAGGGGCGGCTATGGGCACAGCTTCAGCGGATTTAATCATTCCTGTCTGCCAACTCTGAAGAGAGCAGCTGATCCTGACAAGAGCGATTCTCCCAGCACACCGCACTAGCTCTGCTAAGGGACAGACTGCCTCCTCAAGTGGGTCCCTGGCTCCCATGCTTCCTGACTGGGAGAAACCTCCCAACAGGGGTCGACAGACACCTCATACAGGAGAGCTCCAGCTGGCATCAGGCTGGTGCCCCTCTGGGATGAAGCTTCCAGAGGAAGGCAAGGCAGCAATCTTTGCTGTTCTGCAGCCTCCATTGCTGATACCTAGGTGAACAGGGTCTGGAGTGGACCTCCAGCAAACTGCAGCAGACCTGCAGAAGAGGGGCCTAACTGTTAGGAGAAAAACTAACAAAGAGCAAGCAACAACATCAACATCAACATAAAGGACCCTCACATAAAGACCCCATCCAGAGGTCATCAGCCTCAAAAATCAAAGGTAGATAAATCCACAAAGATGAAGAAAAACCAGTGCAAAAACGCTGAAAATTCCAAAAACCAGAATGCCTCTTCTTCTCCAAATAATCACAACTCCTCTCCAGGAAGGGCACAAAACTGGACAGAGAATGAGACTCACGAATTGACAGAAGTAGGCTTCAGAAGGTGGGTAATAACAAACTCCTCTGAGCTAAAGGAGAATGTTCTAACTCAATGCAAGGAAGCTAAGGATCTTGATAAAAGGTTACAGGAACTGCTAACTAGAATAATCAGTTTAGAGAAGAGCTTAAATGACCTGATGGAGCTGAAAAACACAGCACAAGAACTTCGTGAAGCATACACAAGTATCAATAGCTGAATCAATCAAGTGGAAGAAAGGATATCAGAGATTGAAGATCAACTTACTGAAATAAGGTAAAAATGTTTTTCATAAGTTTTTGAAAGATGTTATTTTCTTCTGAAGTAGTCAAAATTATTTATTAAAATAAAACAAGATTAGAGAAAAAAGAGTGAAAAGGAACAAACAAAGCCTCCAAGAAATGTGGGACCATGTGAAAAGACCAAACCTACAATTGACTGGTGTACCTGAAAGTGATGAGGAGAATGGAACCAAGTTGGAAAACACACTTCAGGATAATATCCAGGAGAACTTTCCCAACCTAGCAAGGCAGGCCAACGTTCAAATTCAGGAAATACAGAGAACACCACTAAGATACTCCTCGAGAAGAGCAACCCCGAGACACATAATTGTCAGATTCTCCCAAGTTGAAACAAATGAAAAAATGTTAAGGACAGCCAGAGAGAAAGGTCAGGTTACCTACAAAGGAAAGCCCATCAGATTAACAGCTGATCTCTCTGCAGAAATCCTACAAACCAGAAGAGAGTGGGGGCCAATATTCAACATTCTTAAAGAAAAGAATTTTCAACCCAGAATTTAATATTCAGCCAAACTAAGTTTCATAAGCAAAGGAGAAATAAAATCCTTTCCAGACAAGCAAATGCTGAGGGACTTTGTCACCACCAGGCCTGCCTTACAAGAGCTCCTGAAGGAAGCACTAAATATGGAAAGGAAAAACAGCCACTGCAAAAACACACCAAAATATAAAGACCAATGACACTATGAATAAACTGCATCAACTAATTTGCAAAATAACCAGCTAGCACAATGATAACAGGATCATATTCACACATAACAATATTAACCTTAAATGTAAACAGGCCAAATGCCCCAATTAAAAGACACAGACTGGCAAATTGGATGAAGAGTCAAGACCCATCAGTGTGCTGTATTCAGGAGACCCATCTCACATGCAAAGACACACATAGCTCAAAATAAAGGGATGGAGGAATATTTACCAAGCAAATGGAGAGCAAAAAAAAGCAGGAGTTGCAATCCTAGTCTCTGATAAAAAAGACTTTAAACCAACAAAGATCAAAAAAGACAAAGAAGGGCATTACATAATGGTAAAGGGATCAATGCAACAAGAAGAGCTAACTGTACTAAATATACATGCACCCAATACAGAAGCACTCAGGTTCATAAAACAAGTTCTTAGAGACCTATAAAGATACTTAGACTCCCACACAATAATAGTGGGAGACTTTAACACCCCACTGTCAATATTAGACAGATCAATGAGACAGAAAATTAACAAGGATATTCAGGACTTTAACTCAGCTCCGGACCAAGCAGACCTAATAGACAGCTACAGAACTCTCCACCCTAAATCAACAGAATATACATTCTTCTCAGTGCCACATTGCATGTATTCTAAAATCAACCACATAATTGGAAGTAAAACACTCCTCAGCAAATGCAAAAGAATGGAAATCATAACAAACATTCTCTCAGACCACAGTGCAATCAAATTAGAACTCAGGATTAAGAAACTCACTCAAAACCGCACAACTACATGAAAATTGAACAACCTGCTCCTGAATGACTACTGGGTAAATAATGAAATGAAGGCAGAAATAAATAAGCTCTTTGAAACCAATGAGAACAAAGACACAACATACCAGAATCTCTGGGACACATTTAAAGCAGTGTTAAGAGAGAAATTTATAGCACTAAATACCCACAATAGAAAGCTGGAAAGATCTAAAATCGACACCCTAACATCACAATTAAAAGAACTAGAGAAGCAAGAGCAAACACATTCAAAAGCCATCAGAAGACAAGAAATAAGTAAAATCAGAGCAGAACTGAAGGAGATAGGGACAAGAAAAACCCTTCAAAAATGTCAGTGAACCCAGGAGCTGGTTTTTTGAAAAGATTAACAAAATAGATGGACCACTAGCTAGACTAATAAAGAAGAAAAGAGAGAAGAACTAAATAGACACAATAAAAAATGATAAAGGGAATATCACCACTGATCCCACAGAAATACAAACTACCATCAGAGAATACTACTATAAACACCTCTATGCAAATAAACTTGAAAATCTAGAAGAAATGGATAAATTCCTGGACACATACACCCTCCCAAGGCTAAATCAGGAAGAAGCCAAATCCCTGAATGGATGAATAACAAGTTCTGAAATCGAGGCGGTAATTAATAGCCTACCGAGCAAAAAAAGCCCAGGACCAGACTGATTCACAGCTGAATTCTACCAGAGGTACAAAGAGGAACTGGTACCATTCCTTCTGAAATTATTCCAAAGAACAGAATAAAAGGGACTCCTCCCTAACTCATTTTATGAGGCCAGCATCATCCTGATACCAAACCTGGCAGAGACACAACAAAAAAAGAAAATTTCAGGCCAATATGCCTGATGAACATTGATGCAAAAATCCTCAGTAAAATACTGGCAAACTGAATCCAGCTGTACATCAAAAAGCTTATCTATCACGATCAAGTCAGCTTCATCCCTGGGATGCAAGGCTTGTTCAACATACATAAATCAATAAACATAATCCATCACATACACATAATCAATGACAAAACCACATGATTATCTCAGTAGATGCAGGAAAGGCCTTCAATGAAATTCAACATCACTTCATGCTAAAAACTCACAATAAAGTAGGTATTGATGAAACATATCTTAATAAGAGCCATTTATAACAAACCCATAGCAAATATCATACTGAATGGGCAAAAGCTGGAAGCATTCCCTTTGCAAACCAGCACAAGACAAGGACGTCCTCTTTCACCACTCCTATTCGGCATAGTTAGGAACTTTTGGCCAGGGCAATCAGGAAAGAGAAAGAAATAAAGGGTATTCAAACAGGAAGACAGAAAGTCAATTTGTCTCTGTCTGCAGATGACATGATTGTATATTTAGAAAACCCCATTGTCTCAGCCCAAAAACTCTTTAAGCTGATAAGCACTTCAGCAAAGTCTCAGGATACAAAATCAATGTGCAAAATTCACAGGCATTCCTATACACCAACAATAGACAAGCAGAGAGCCAAATCATGAGTGAACTCCCATTCACAATTGCTACAAAGAGAATAAAATACCTAGGAGTACAACTTATAAAGGATGTGAAGGACCTCTTCAAAGAGAACTACAAACCACTGTTCAAGGAAATAAAAGAGGACACAAACAAATGGAAAAACATTCCATGCTCCTGAATAGGAAGAATCAGTATCGTGAAAATGGCCATACTGCCCAAGGTAATTTATAAATTCAATGCTATTCCCATCAGGCTACCAGTGACATTCTTTGCAGAATTAGAAAATACTACTTTAAATATGGAACCAAAAAAGAGCCCGTATAGCCAAGACAATTCTAACTAAAAAGAACAAAGCTGGAGGCATCATTCTGACTTCAAATATACTATTTGGTTACAAATATACAGTAACCAAAACAGCATGGTACTGGTACCAAAACTGATAGACCAATGGAACAGAACAGAGACCTCAGAAATAACACCAAACATCTACAACCATCTGATCTTCGACAAACATGACAAAAACAAGCAATGGAAAAGGATTCCCTATTAAATAAATGGTGGTAGGAAAACTGGCTAGCCGTATGTAGAAAACTGAAACTGGACCCCTTCCTTACCTATTATACAAAAATTAACTCAAGATGGATTAAAAACTTAAATGTAAAACCCAACACCATAAAAACCCTAGAAGAAAACCTAGGCAATGCCTTCAGGACACAGGCATGGGCAAAGACTTCATGACTAAAACACCAAAAGCAATTGCAACAAAAGCTGAAATTGACAAATGGGATCTAATCAAACTAAAGAGCTTCTGCACAGCAAAAGAAACTATCTTCAGACTGAACAGGCAACCTACAGAATGGGAGAAAAATTTTGCAAGCTACCCATGTAACAAGGTCTAATATCCAGAATCTACAAGGAACTTAAATCTACAAGAAAAATACAAACAACTCCATCAAAAAGTGGGCAAAGAATACGAACAGACACTTCTCAAAAGAAGACATTTATGCGGCCAAAAAACATGAAGAAAAGCTCATCATCACTGGTCGTTAGAGAAATGCATATCAAAACCACAATGAGATACCATCTCATGCCAGTTAGAATGGCCATCATTAAAAAGTCAGTAAACGACAGATGCTGGAGAGGATGTGGAGAAATAGGAACACTTTTACACTGTTGGTGGGAGCATAAATTAGTTCAACCATTGTGGAAGACAGTGTGGCAATTCCTCAAGGATCTAGAATCAGAAATACCATTTGACCCAGCAATCTCATTACTGGGTATATACCCAAAGGATTATAAATCATTCTACTATAAAGACACATGCACACGTATGTTTATTGCAGCACTACTTAACAATAGCAAAGACTTGGAACCAACCCAAATGTTCATCAATGATAGACTGGATAAAGAAAATGTGGCACATACACACCATGAAATACTATGCAGCCATAAAAAAGAATGGGTTCATGTCCTTTGCAGGGACATGGATGAAGCTGGAAGTCATCATTCTTCACAAACTAACACAGGAACAGAAAACTGAATACCACATGTTCTCACTTATGAGTGGAAGTTGAACAATGAGAACATATGGACACAGGGAGGGGAACGTCACACACTGGGGCCTGTCAAGGGGTGGGGTGGAAGGGGAGGAAAAGCATTAGGACAAATACATAATGCATGCTGGGCTTAAAACCTAGATGATGGGTTGATAGGTGCAGCAAACTGCCATGGCACATGTATACCTATGTAACAAACCTGCATGTTCTGCACGTGTATCCCAGAACTTAAAGTAAAATAAAAAAAAAAAAAAAAAGAGAATCACTATCACTCTTCAAGTATGTTGTGTCCATACCAACATAAATACATCTTCCAGAGTTATATGAATTGTTTGATGTTATAAATACTCTCAACTGCGGTTTGTAAGCTAATTCATGAGTACCCCCAGAGCCACTAATTAAAGCACACAAAAGAGCAAGAAAATGAATATTCAGCACTACTGGGAAACAATCTTCTGAATTCATGTTTTCCAAAGGGAGAAATTTGAAATGTTGGTTTGTCTTACTTCAAATCTTCCGTCGCTTACTCCTCCCTGCACTTCAAAGTAGTGTCCATCTCTAACTTCAGCAGAACAACCCACAGACCTTTAGACCCAGTTGCCTTTGTTTCAGGCACCCAGGCCAAGAAATGTGGACAAGCATTTCCCTGGGGCCTTAGCAGTGTCAGTCATGAGAGTCAGTATTTAGGATTATGAATTGCAAGGTGCCAGCACCAAGCACAGGATCCCAAGTGATGAAGACACTCACTTATGATTTAATCACTCTTTTCTGAGTGTAATAGCTTCTAATATGTAGAACCCTCAAAAAGCACTCAGGGCAGAAGCCCCTCTTGCCTCACTGAGAGGGTGTATCTCACCTACTTACCCTCCGGTTCTTCTCACTATACCTCCAATGCCAGGATTGCCCTAAAAAATTATCTTTCAAGTATGAATGCTTTTGGTGGGGATCACACTTCAGGGGATCATTTCACACCATAATTATCTATAACATTTGAACAGGGATTCTGTGTGAGCAACCAGGCTCAAGAATGGGTAGAATGGATTTGATAAATCGGTAGGTTAACTACCACTTATAATAATCTATTGCATATTTCAAAATAGCCAGAAGAGGATAATTCAAATGTTTCTAGCATAAGGAAAAGACAAACATTTAAGATGATAGGTATCCAAATTACAATAATTTGATCTTTACAAATTATGTGAATGTATTATCACAAAATTTATCATGAAAATATGCACAACTATTATGTATCAATTAAAAAATTAAAATTAAAAAGGTAAAAATGAAAGAATGGGTAGAATGGATGAGAGGAAGCTTTGGAGACCTGGAAGAACAGAGGTCATGGTGGAGGATATGGGGGAGGCCCTCAAAAGAAGCTTCAGGACTGTTGGGGGTAAACTCTGCCCTAAAAATCTTCACATGTGCCCCAGGCTATAAGTGTTCTCCCCAACATAGAACTATAGAGGCCCTAGCTGTGGAGACTGCTGTATGAAATATAAAATAGAATAACACTTCATCAAGGCCCAGTGGTTCACATTGGAGGCTACTGTGCATTTGGGATAGGGAGATGGATAAATAGGTCATCTGTATTTTTCAGGTAGTTAAAAGTGTTTTTTAATACCCATTGTTCACTTAACAAAATTGTTAGTGTTTTGGGGGTGTATTTTGCTTTGGAAGAGGTGCCTTGCAACAGAAGTTTGATCACGTCACTCTCTCAATTAAAGTCCATACATGGCCTCAAAACCCCTGAATGATTTGCTTTGCGCCCACACTGACTGCCACCCTTCCCTCATCTTGTGGCCCTTATGAAGACTACAGATCAGCCATGTGCTTTTAATTCTTTAGCAAGCAGTTTCCTGCCACTAAGCCATTGGTCTTTCCAATACATTGGAAACATAAACATTCTGCCTGAAATAAGTGTTCTTCCTACCTGTCCTGGCATGGCCAGCTCCTTGTCATCCTTTCACCTCAGTTCACATATCCTTACACCTTGCAGCAGCCTTCCTTCCTGGCCACCTCACCTCAAGTAGGAAACAACTTCACATACACCTTATCCTCTGTCTCAGCTCTTCCTTTCTTTCTTGACTTTACAATCTTTGCCTGAACATTTGATTATCTGCTATGCACACTGTCATTTTTGCCTGGCTAAACTAGAATATGAACTCCATGATCTTGTTCTGTCTTGTTCTCCCAGGTACCTTCATTGTATCTAATGAAGTCCCTGGCAGAAAGTAAATACTCCACTAATAAAAAGTCGCAAAAGAACTGCAGTTCCTTGGAGGATATATTCCTGATATAACGGATACTCTGTGAATGCTGTTCCTTCCTCAGGTAGGTTTGCAGAGTACCAAACAGGACTCAATGGCAAATAAAATGTATGTCACCATGAGATCTATGGGAAATAATAGTTTGATAGGTATGGATTGTGGCCACAAAATAGGTAGTGTCTTTTAATATCAGTGTGTCATTTCAAATACATGAATATACTGGAGCAGAATTCAATATTGCCTGGAGTCTTAAAAATAATCTGGCATGACACATAACACCCTCCCAAAACTAAACAAGGAAGACGTTGAATCCCTGAATAGACCAATAACAGGCTTTGAAATTGAGGCAATAATTAATAGCCCACCAACCAAAAAAAGTCCAGGACCAGATGGATTCACAGCCGAATTCTACCAGAGGTACAAAGAGGAGCTGGTAGCATTCCTTCTGAAACTATTCCAATCAATAGAAAAAGAGAATCCTCTCTCACTCATTTTATGAGGCCAGCATCATCCTGATACCAAAGGCTGCAGAGACACAACAAAAAAAGAGAATTTTAGACCAATATCCCTGATGAACATCGATGCAAAAATCCTCAGTAAACTACTGGCAAACCAAATCCAGCAGCACATCAAAAAGCTTATCCACCACAATCAAGTTGGCTTCATCCCTGGGATGCAAGGCTGGTTCAACATATGCAAAAATCAATAAACTTTATCCTTCGCATAAACAGAACCAACAACAAAAACCACATGATTATCTCAATAGATGCAGAAAAGGCCTTCAACAAAATTCAACAGTCCTTCATGCTAAAAACTCTCAATAAACTAGGTATTGATGGAATGGATCTCAAAATAATAAGAGCTACTTATGACAAACCCACAGCCAATATCATAATGAATGGGCAAAAACTGGAAGCACTCCCTTTGAAAACTGGCACAAGACAAGGATGCCCTCTCTTACCACACCTATTCAACATGGTGTTGGAAGTTCTGGCCAGGGCAATCAGGCAAGAGAAAGAAATAAAGGGTATTCAATTAGGAAAAGAAGAAGTCAAATTGTCCCTGTTTGCAGATGACATGACTGTATATTTAGAAAACCCCGTCGTCTCAGCCCAAAATCTCCTTAAGCTGATAAGCAACTTCAGCAAAGTCTCAGGATACAAAATCAATGCGCAAAAATCACAAGCATTCTTATACACCAATAACTGACAGAGAGCCAAATCATGAGTGAACTCCCATTCACAATTGCTTCAAAGAGAATAAAATACCTAGAAATCCAACTTACAAGGGATGTGAAGGACCTCTTCAAGGAGAACTACAAACCTCTGCTTAACGGAAGAACATTCCATGCTCATGGATAGGAAGAATCAATATTGTGAAAATGGCCATACCGTCCAAGGCAATTTATAGATTCAATGCCATCCCCATCAAGCTACCAACGACTTTCTTCACAGAATTGAAAAAAACTACTTTAAAGTTCATATGGAACCAAAAAAGAGCCCACATAGCCAAGACAATTCTAAGCAAAAAGAACAAAGTTGGAGGCATCACGCTACCTGACTTCAAACTATACTACAAGGCTACAGTAACCAAAACAGCATGGTACTGTTACCAAAACAGATATATAGACCAATGGAACAGAACAGAAGCCTCAGAAATAACACCACACATCTATAACCATCTAATCTTTGACAAACCTGACAAAAATGAGAAATGGGGAAAGGATTCCCTATTTAATAAATGGTGCTGGGAAAACTGGCTAGCCATATGTAGAAAGCTGAAACTGGATCCTTTCCTTACACCTTATACAAAAATTAACTTAAGATGAATTAAAGACTTAAATGTAAGACCCAAAACCATAAAAGACCCTAGAAGAAAACCTAGGCAATGCCATTCCGGACATAGGCATGGGCAAAGACTTCATGACTAAAACACCAAAAGCAATGGCAACAAAAGCCAAAATAGACAAATTGGATCTAATTAAACTAAGGAACTTCTGCACAGCAAAAGAAACTATCTTCAGAGTGAAAAGGCAACCTACAGAGTGGGAGAAAATTTTTGCAATCTACCCATGTGACAAAGGGCTAATATCCAGAATCTACAAAGAACTTAACAAATTTACAAGAAAAAAACAAACAACCCCATCAAAAAGTGGGCAAAGGAAATGAACAGACACTTCTCAAAAGAAGACATTTATGCAACCAACAGACACATGAAAAAATGCTCATCATCACTGGTCATCAGATATATGTAAATCAAAACCACAATGAGATACCATCTCATGCCACTTAGAATGGCGATCATCAAAAAGTCAGGAAACAACAGATGCTGGAGAGGATGTGGAGAAATAGGAACACTTTTACACTGTTGGTGGGAGTGTAAATTAGTTCAACCATTGTGGAAGACAGTATGGTGATTCTTCAAGGATCTAGAACTATAAATACCATTTGACCCAGTGATCCCATTACTCGGTATTACTCAAAGGATTATAAATCATGCTACTATAAAGACACATGCACATGTATGTTTATTGTGGTACTATTCACATTCACCATAGCAAAGACTTGGAACCAACCCAAATGTCCATCAATGATAGACTGGATTAAGAAAATGTGGCACATATACACCATGGAATACTATGCAGCCATAAAAAAGGATGAGTTAATGTCCTTTACAGGGACATGGATGAAACTGGAAACCATCATTCTCAGCAAACTATCACAAGGACAGAAAAGCAAACACCACATGTTCTCACTCATAGGTGGGAATTGAACAATGAGATCACATGGACACAGGGTGGGGAGCATCATACACTGGGGCCTGTCAGGGGGTGGCGGGTTAGGGGAGGGATAGCATTAGGAGAAATACCTAATGTAAATGATGACTTGATGGGTGCAGGAAGCCAGCATGGCACATGTATACCTATGTAACATACCTGCACGTCGTGCACATGTACCCTAGAACTTTAAGTACAATAATAAAAAATAATAATCTGGCATGGTGTCATGGACCTGGTGTACATATTTTATTTAAGTGCTGAAACTTTTAACTAAGTAAATCTTCTATCATCTCACACCAGTTAGAATGACGATCATTAAAAAGTCAGGAAACAACAGGTGCTGGAGAGGATGTGGAGAAATAGGAACATTTTTACACTGTTGGTGGGACTGTAAACTAGTTCAACCATTGTGGAAGACAGTGTGGTGATTCCTCAGGGATCTAGAACTAGAAATACCATTTGACCCAGCCATCCCATTACTGGGTATATACCCAAAGGAATATAAATCATGCTGCTGTAAAGACACATGCACACATATGTTTATTGCAGCACTACTCACAATAGCAAAGACTTGGAACCAACCCAAATGTCCAACAATGATAGACTGGAATAAGAAAATGTGGCACATATACACCATGGAATACTATGCAGCCATAAAAAATGATGAGTTCATGTCTTTGTAGGGACATGGATGAAGCTGGAAACCATCACTCTCAGCAAACTATCGCAAGGTGGGAATTGAACAGTGAGAACACTTGGACACAGGAAGGGGAACATCACACACCGAGGCCTGTTGTGGGGTGGGGGAGGGGGGACGGATAGCATTAGGAGATATACCTAATGTAAATGACGAGTTAATGGGTGCAGCACACCAACATGGCACATGTATACTTATGTAACAAACCTGCACGTTGTGTACATGTACCATAGAACTTAAAGTATAATAAAATATATATATAATAAATAAATAAAATTTAAAATTAGAAAAGTAAATCTTCATAAATGTTAGAACTCATTTATATTTTATTCTCTGGGAACAGGTAGGCTGTTAATAGATAAACAGTGAAAAAGTAAGTCTCTCTATTCCAATATGTAGGGTCAATAAATAAAGGCCACCCGTCCTTTACTTATTTTTAAGCTGTGTGGTTCCTCAGAGCCTTAAGTGAATAAATACTGTGAGTCAGAATCACAGAACCATTATTCTTCTTTGAGCACCGATTAGTATTTCCTGGAACTAGTGTTCCCTGGCACACAGTTTGGGAAATGCCATGGTATAATACATCATTCTGCCTTTTAAAACACTGCAAGACCAAATTATACGGTGCTGAAGAAAATACTACAAGCCTGTGCAAAAACACAACAGCATACAATTCATTAGTGCTTTAGCTCAAATGTGCCTGGTATGGTCCAGCTTCTCTCCACTTTCCAGAGAACATCTCTCTTGCATTTACTGCTTCTCCACACATGTTTTAATAATCCAGGAATAGAAGCAGCATTCCTGGATTATTAAAATGTACAAAGAGATTATACAAATATCTTCCAGGTGGTCAAGATCCTGGGGGAAAGTAGAGAATCCATATTAGAGTTTACAATAGGGTTCATTTTTACTAGTTACATACTGAAAAGTGTCCAGAAATGTGAGTTCTTATTCTTTCTCTGTCTGATTATAAGACTTTCAAACAGTCATTCATTGACACTAAAAATTTTTATTGTCAGGCCTTGTTGTAGGTGCTGGGGACATGTTAGTTAACAAAACAGACAAAATCCCCGCTGTCATGGAATTTATAATATGGTGGGGAAAGGCAAATAATAGCTGAAATAAATAAGCCATTCATCTATATATTAGGAAGTGATAAGTACTATGTCAAAATATAAAGCAGGAAAGAGGGCTATGGAGTGTCAGGGGTACGACTTTAACAGAATGGCTAAAGGAGACCTAATTGAAAAGCAAAGACTTGAAGAAAGTGAAAAAGTGAACCACAAGGATGTCTGGGGAAAAGCACTCCCCGCAGGGTAAACAGCAAAAGCTCTGAGGCAGAATTGAACCTGGAGGTTTGAAGACTTGCAGGAAATCCAGCATCTGGGATAGAATGAGAAAGGGGGTGAAGAGGAGGAATTGAAGGCAGAGTGGTAGTGAGGAGCTGAGAGGCAGCAGGAGAGATGGAGGCCAGGAGAGACATGATCTGGCCTGATGCTCTGACAGTATCCTCCTGGCAACTGGGTGGAAAATGGTCTGCAGTGGGCCAAGGGCAGAACCTGGGAAGCCAAATAACAATCACATAACAGACCAGAAAAATAATAGAGACATGTACAAGCCATAATTGTAAAGTTTTTACATTTTCTGTACTCAATGAAGCACTTTTTAGATCCATTACCTTACCTGATCCCCATGACGACACGTTTTGTGACAGCATACATTACACCTGTCTCACCGATGAGAAAATTAAGGAATAACAAGGTCAAGGGTCTCGCACCACAAGAGGCAACTCCTATGTGAAAGAACCGGTTCTGGAGTCAGGAGCTCCACCCCAAATTGAGAGCTCTTTTCACTATACTCCAGTTTGCCAATTCAAGAGATAAGTCTTACGTCCCAAGTGTTTGGGGAAATGCTTAAGGGGAATGGTGATGAGTATGCATGCTAGGTTTAGCCTAGAGGAAGTGAGGTTTAGGCAGAATTGTAGTTTTTTTCCTTCCTTTTCCTTCTTTCTAAACTTTTTATTGACATATAACACACATCCAGAAAAGTGCACAATCCCCAAACTGAGTTTTTAAAGGAAATTTTGAAGTTTCTAAGCTGACCACAAACTTGAAGGCCTTCATGAACATGTGCCAAAACAAGGGTAATAAATTCTTGGAAAGATGCTTTTAGGTACACATGAAACCTCTCATTAATTCTGTGCCTGGGCTTCCAGGGTTAGAGATCAGTACACTGTTCCACACACCACAAAAATGACTGTCTTGAGACATTCTCTGCAATTCAACAAGTTTAACCCAAATCCTGACATTACCGTTAGGACTGGATAGCCAACTGATTGGAAAGTTTGGACTGCATTTAAAGGAAATTTCAAGTGTTAATTTTCCAAAAAGCAACAGCAACTTTTTAGAGATCTGCAACTCAGGTCCTTTACTGTCCCCCAACCCCCTTTTTACACCCATTTGTGGAAACAAACAAACAAAGCGCATGATGAAAATGTTTTACGTCTTCAAATAATTAAATAAGATAAAATAACAATAAACAAACTCATATTCAAAATAAACAAATTCATATGACTCTATATCAGATTTGTAATGTAATGAGAGGAAATAATTATTCCAAGTGGCTTTTGAACATAGTACTTTGACTGTATACACTAGTGGGATATATTCCAAGGCAAAAAGAAAGGCAAATAAATCTTAAACTTCACTCACTAGGTTCATTGTCAGTGGTAAAAATGCTATTGGCATTTTGAAATTATTTTGTGTAGAATAAAGAAACTAAGTAAATACAGTATAACTGGAAATCAAGAAGTTTATAGTAAGAGAGAAGAGATACAAATATAAAATCAAAGCTAAGTAAACCAAGTAATATTAAACTTAATTGGAAATAATATAAACTAATATTTTGTTTATTTAATTCTGACCTCTGTCTACTGAAACATAGACACTATAGGCCAGGGCATAGAAACATAGTTTCTATAGGGCATAGAAATCATGCTAAACAAGTAGCTATAGGCACATCCAGTGCCTCAATCTAAATAGCATCCTCCACTCAAAGGAACCAAGACTCCTTAGAGAAAGAGAGAAATTCAGATCTGGGACAGCTCCCATGTGTACAGGGCTCCCATTGGCCATGTTGGGGAAATTGGAGGAGTGAAAAGAAAACTGACCATAACTGATTGTAAAATCTTGAATAAATGATATCCACAGGTTCATACTGACATTCAAAAGTGGAATAAAATTAAAAGAGAAAAAAAAACAAACCTCATATGCTATCTTTGACGGTGACGATTTCACTAATTCATTATTCCAAGAGCTGATTGTTTTTCCCTTTTAATAAAGTAGTTCATCCATTTATCCATAACAAATGAACAAAAGCTCTATTTTGCAGAACAATTTCAGCTACTAAATGCAGAAAGGATGTTAGCATGAGAATATCACATTTTTACAACTATTAATAAGATCCTTGATTCAGACAAGAATCATTGATGGATACTATAGTTATTAAGGCAAAGGTTGTCAGAGAACAGGATGTTCACAGTATATGAAAGTATCACCCCCACAGATGCTTGCTAATTTGCAAAGGCATGTACTTTTTCAATGCAAAGATCTGGTGGTTATCACTTTAACCGAGTGATCAAATTTAACATCGCAAATAGTCAGACAGCTATTTTGAAATTATAAGCCCCCTAACAGGATGCAATATTATAAAGCACATAAAATCACCTCTGCAGTGTTTCTTGCCAAAACTTAAATCTGAATTTAATCAAGTATTTAGATCTAACTTCCAATTTACAGGAAATATAAGACATAAGGAACAAATATAACATATTCATGAGAAAGCATTCAGACAAATCCACAAGCAGGGACATTCTATAAGACAGCTGGACTCATCTCTTCAAGAGGTCAATGCCATTTTTTTTTAAAAAAGAGGAGGGTTGTTCTAGAATAAAGAGATTTAAAATATTTAGCTAAACACAATGTATATATTTTTATTTGAATTCTAATTTTTTAATTAAGGCTACAGAAACAGTTTAAGTAATTAGGAAAATTTGAATATGAACTGAACATTAGATAAAATTACATCATTACTGTGAACATTCTTAGGTGTGATAATGGCACTGTCTTTATGTAGGAAAATGTCTTTCTTTTTAGGAGAAGCATGCTGAAATATTTTGGGATGATTTATGATGATGTCTACCACCTACTTTCCAAAACCTATATAAAATTAGGCAAGTATGACAAAATGTTAGGAAATGTTTGATTCCAGGTAGTATGTATAAGAGTGTACACTGTACCATTCATTCAACTTTCCACTATGTCTGAATATGGTTATAATTAAAAGATGGAAAAATATATATGCAGACCAAACAACATACATTTTAAAAACAAATACCTAAGGAAGAGGAATGGGAGCTGGGAATGAGGACAGAAGAGGAAAACAAACCAGTGGAGGAGCCATGCGTGGATGAAGAGATGAGGATTACAATTGACTCAACCCTCTGCTCCTGAAACAAGAAAAAAAAAGGCATTCTTCAAGCCTTGAAGCTGGCAAGTGAGTCCCTTCCCTCATAGCTGGGAGGGCAGGCAGAGCTATGTGAGCGTGAGGAGTTGAACCCAGCAGACCCACAAACATGCAGCAGCAGGCTGACAACCTAGGGCTGTTCACAGTGCAAGTCGTGTCTGGATGCTTTCAAATCCATTTGGTGATGGGAATTATCTCCCTTATGTAATGAAGGCCTCATGTTATTTGATTTACAGCTTCTCATACAATGGTAGATTTGTTCCATAATCCCCTGGATTGTAGCTAAACCCCCAAGGACGTATTTATCTACTTTGCTATAGTCAAGGCCCCAGCTCATATGTAACTATAATTTCTTCCATTTGCTCAAGGTGTGTCATCAACTTCCAAGCATTTCAGGAGAACTCCTCTGCGTGGCCTCCCTGAGAGCCAGGTCAAGGGGGCTGTGAAGCTCACACAAGCCTTGTCCCATGAGAGAGAATGCAAACAGCTGAAGTACATTGCACCTGGTCCTTGAATAAACGTACAGTCCAGGAAGTGCCCCACCAGGTCTTGATGGCATATAGTGAAGAGACTGATTACCTCCCAGGAGGTCTGCATAAAGATCCTGAGAGGAACACATGGAGAATTCCAATAGAGTGGAAGCTTCCTGAGGGCAGGAAATGCATCTTCCTGTATCCCAATGCCTAGTCCAGTTCTGAGACTATGATAGGTGCTCAATACATATTTGTCAACTGAGTAAATAGATAAGTGAATGATCAGTCAAACAAAGCATAAGTGATTCAGACTGGAAAGGAAAGGATAGGTAAGAAAACCATGATGTATTTTCCCTTAATCTGAATGAACAAGTGATTTGAGTGGCAAACAGGGAAAATAAAACACGTGGCAGATATCTATATCTACCCATTTTGTTTTGGTGAGTTAAAACTATTTTTAAGTAAATATAATAAATGGAAAAAATGTGGCCTATGTAAGTGAGATACAAAAAAAATGACTAGAAACAAATTGTTCATTTGTGCTAGAAACCAAAGTGTTGCATTACAAACATCCAAGACTGAGGACTATTAATACCCTGTGAGACCACTCTCTGATATTTCTAGTCTAATAGGAGCAATCCTCATTCCTGGTTTTGTCAACCACAATGGTTTTCATTTCACCCCCAGAAGCATCATGAAATTTTGCCCTAACTTCTCAAAACAAACTATTTTAATTCCCCAAATTATTGTAAAAACAAGGTGGTAATGGACAAGATGGAGGTGTTGTGAAATCAAAGAAGCAATTATAATTCTCCAGAAAAGTTCAAAACTCTTCTCTCATCCAAACAGTTGTTTCTGAAAATGCCACACTCCCCAAACTTAGAAATAACCAGCAGACAGGTAAAAATAATCCCTAAGATTTTTTGACTTATTCTTGCAGAACTTCTACTGGGGAGTGAGTCTTCCCTTCTCCAAAGCACAAAAAAGTAAGTCTTGCTAGATGAGGGAAGCCAAGTTTGTTAGGCCTGGCACAAAGCAAACATTTTTGCCTTGCTTGAATTACTTTCAACAATTGAAAACATCACTCTAATAACCAATGCCACAAGAAACTATGCAGTGAACTCAGAGAAAATCAAGGGGGGTGATCTGAACTTCAAACATGGCCTAAGTAGCTGATCAAGAGAGACAATTGCTGGTATTTAAAAGCAGAAAATTAAATAGAGGTCCTGTGTGTCTATTCCATTTTTACCCACCTCTTTAAGTAAACCCTTTTCTGTGATATCAAGAGGATCCATCTGCTAGCTACATCTTCATGAAGCCCTTCCTTCAGTTACTCGCAAAGAATCAGCAGGTCTTGAATCTGACTCTACCAAATACAGACTCTATTATAACCCAATCTCTTTCTGAGCCTCTCCTGAATGGAATACCTATTCCTGGCTTCTGATTATTATTGTGTTGGACTAGTTCAAACTTTGATCCAACTCTCAGGGCTGGAATGATATCCAACCAGTACAGTACAGTGCTTGAAACCATCCACTGTTTTGTCAATGTTGAACATTTGTAAACATTTGTCCAATGCCATGGTCCTAAGTGTCAGTCTGGAAGAGGCCTTGCTTTGTGACTTTCCCCTTTTTTGGAAATTCATTTAATCTTGCTCTGAACGTTATTTATTTCTTCCTGCTTCTCCAGATAAAGCCAAGAAGGCCCCAGTAAGTATCTGCTAGTCATCCAAGAGTAAAACAAGTTGACATCCATTTTGATTTGCATCTCCATTTCCTGGTATTTTTAATCCAAACACCCAGGCTTAAATTCTATGGTAAGCAAAGAAACTCATCATCATTGCTTACTACAAGTTATGGACGCATAAAGAAGTAATTCTTATGCTGAACAGTTAACCATGCAAAACTCTGAGTCTTACTCCCAGAGATGCCAATATAGTAGGTCTGTAGTGAAACAAAAAAGTGACACGTTAACAAGTGCTTCTGATTATTCTGTAATACACAAGTGGACATGGACCACATTTTTGAGAAAAGAGAAGGCCAGAACAGCAAGAGCTGACTGGACATGGAGGCTCACACCTGTAATCCCAGCACTTTGGGAGGCCAAGGTGGGAGAATTGCTTGAGGCCAGAAGTTCAAGACCAGCCTGGGAAACATATTGAGACCCTGTCTCTAATTGTTAATAATAATAAAAAAAAAAAAATAATAATAATAATAATAATAATAATAATAAGAGCTGAAAACAGCTGGAGGGGGAAAAAGGTCCCAGGAAACTTGGTGGAAGCCAAGGTTGCAGGTGGCCTTTGGTGGAGGCCCTTGGTGGGGAGATATCCGAGGTGTGCCATTCCCTCATGAACTGCTACTCACCACTTGACCCCATGCAGAAGGGAAGGGTGAAGAAGCAGTGGTTGTGCCAAACAGCAGGCGTATCCCAGTTTCCCAGACTCTGCCCTCTCTCGCTCATCACCCTAAGGGCTGTTTCATGGCCACCTATGGGCTTGGTCTCACTCCCAGTTGCCATAAGTGGTGACTGGAAGTGGAATGCAGGCAACTTCCACCCGACTCTGGTCACTTGGCATCATCAGTAGAGCTGCCAGTTAGACTCTGACCTCATGCATTAGTTAGGACAGGCATCCTTAATCTTTTTCACTTCACAGCCCTCGAAATACTTTTACAATAATCTCACTCATTTCTAAGTTGATATCTAACATTATATATTATTAGTTTAAATAGTTGCAAAGGATATTGATATTTTTCTGGCATGTTGTATATTTTGGCATTTTAAAATTAAAATGTTATGAGACTCTTTTTTTTTTGAGATGGAATCTTGCTCTGGCACCCAGGCTGAAGTGCAGTGGCGTGATCTCGGCTCACTGCAACCTCCACCTCCCAGATTCAAGCAATTCTCCTGCCTCAGCCTCCCGAGTAGCTGGGATTACAGGCATGTGCCACCATGCCTGGCTAATTTTTTTGTATTTTTAGTAGAGACAGGGTTTCACCATATTGGCCAGGCTGGTCTCAAACTCCTGACCTTGTGATCCACCCACCTCGACCTCCCAAAGTGCTGGGATTACAGGCGTGAGCCACCGCGCCTGGTCTACAGGACTCTTTTAAACGTAGTAAACAGAATCTAAAAATTATGATTTGGCACCCACCATCATTCATTCATCTATTCAAAATGTTCATAAACAAGTCCTTTTTTAGTAGTTAGAAATTTTATAGCAATGCATTTTCCTCTTAAACTTGTATTTCCATCTGACTTCCCCCATATAATTTCATCCAATATAATATTTTTTATTCTTATAGTCTTTTAACTCTTTCATCCCATTTTCTCTTCAAAATATATATGTTTATTTATAGATATAGATAATCATATGTATGGTATGTAAAGATTACCTATAGCCATACCACCCTTAATGAGCCTGATCTCGTCTGATCTCAGAAGCTAAGCAGGTTTGGGCTTGGTTAGCACTTGGATGGGAGATATATATATACATGTGTAAATACATATACATATTCATCTATCTATAGAGATAGATATTCAGATATATAGTCTGACACTTAATTTTTATTTATTTATTAGAGACAGAGTCTTACTCTGTTGCCAAAGCTGGAGTACAGTGGTGTGATCATAGCTCACTGTAACTTTGAATTCCTGGCCTCAAGCAATCCTCCCACCTCAACCTCCCAAGAAGCTAGAACTACAGGCACACACCACCACACCAAGCTAGCTTTTTTAAAAAATATTTTTTGTAGAGACAAGGTCTCACTATGCTGCCCAGGCTGGTTTTGAACTCCTGGCCTTAAGCAATCCTCCTGCCTCGGCCTCCCAAAATGCTGGGATTACAGTCATAAGCTACTGTACCTGGCCTAATTTTTAAAAATTTAATGTTTTTTTAAAATTTCCTATCACTAAAAGAGTTGGAAAATATCTCCTGAGTTTAGTTATCACTATAATTTTGGTAAAATCAACGTAAGTATGTTATAAATAATTAAATATAAAAAAGGAAATTTTATTGGAAATGCATATCTAAATGAATGGGACTGATTTTAATTATTTCTATGAATACATAATACTTAATGTTAGAGTGATTCAGTGTTCAGCATTAATTATACTAATATTTTTCATTTTTACATATGAAAGTCCTGAGAAACCTTATTTATTCAAATACTTATATGAAAATGGAAATAGTTTTATTATAGCAATGTTATTTAATTTTTTGAACTCCTTCTAAGCTAATTTTAATGATTTATCAGCTGACAATTCCTCCTTGAATTTTTATAAAACAAAATATCAGAAATCATATGGGTTGCAAAAGATTTCTTATGCAATTATAGACTCACGTAATTTCTCACACCAACACCAGTATTTCAAATAGTCCTTTGGTGCCTGATATGGTTAGGCTTTGTGTCCCCACCCAAATCTCATCTTGAATTGTAATCCTCATAATCCCTGTAATCCCCATGTGGGAGAGACCAGGTGGAGGTAATTGAATCATGGGGTGAAGTTCCCCCGTGCTGTTCTCATGATAATTAGTGAGTTCTCTTGAGATCTGATGGTTTTATAAGGGGCTTTTCCCCCTGCGCTCAGCATTTCTCCTTCCTGCTGACTTATGAAGAAGGTGCCTTGCTTCCCCTTCGCCTTCCGCCATGATTGTAAGTTTCCTGAGGCCTCCCCAGCCATGCTGAACCGTGAATCAATTAAACCTCTTTCCTTTATAAATTACCCAGTCTCAGGCAGTTCTTAATAGCAGTATGAAAACAGACTAATACAGTGCCCCATAGGTTTTTACATTCTGGAGCATGCTTTCTTGATGGGGACAAAAATTGCTTCTTAAAAGATGAAAAATATCTTACTCCTATATGTATAAAGCACAGATATGCACAGTACATAAATAGATATACAGGGTACAGATGTTCCTCAACTTACAATGGGGTTACATTTTGATAAATCAATAAAAGTTGAACCATGTCAGATGTTCCTTGATTTACAATTAGATTAAGTCCATATAAACCCATCATAAATTGAACTATCATGGGCCAGCGGCATATGTACTGTATTAAAATTTCATAATAGGAATGATTACCAAAAAATGTCCAAAAGGCTCCTTAGAAGGTGATAAGAATTAAGTCTGAGAAACACTGCCTCAAGGGCAAGTCCTCATTTTAAGATTTGGAATGAGTTAGAGTTACACCTTTTCTTTGAAGTGGGAGAAAAAGGGCATTTGTGGAGTGAGAAATGGAAATTGTTTCAACCACAGGCATGTTCTAAGGTAGACTAATTTTAGGAAGGAATCTGTTTAAGATTTGTTCAGTGAATTAGTGTCAGTGAAGTGCATGAAACATAGTTAATTTTTCAATTTCAGTATTGTTATTATTACCATCACAACATTTATCATTATGTGGAAGTTTAAACATCTGGCAATTGATTCCCTTAAAATTATAAGGGTTTTCATATCCAGTGGAGGATATTTATCCCCCAGGGAAACTTATACCTCACTTTCAAGGTCACCAAGTTAGGATAGGATCGGTTGCTTATAAAGGAGACCAAAAGTAACAATGCTTACAGCAGACAAAAGTTTATTTCTCTGTCACATAGAAACTGGAGCTGGCATGGCGGCTCCCCCCCAACTGGTCAGGGCCACATACTCCTTATATCTTGTTGCTTTGCCAGTCCCTAGGATGTTACACTGATCTACATGATCCATGATGGTCCACTGGCATGTCCCCATTCCAGCTGGGGAAAGGAGAGGAAAAGGTAAGGAGGACATAGTCTGTTATAGACCGAACATTTGTGTCCCTCCAAAATTCATGTATTGAAGCCCTAACCCCCAAGGTGATAGTATTTGGAGTTGGGGCCTTTGGGAGGTAATTATGTTTAGATGAGGTCCTGAGGGTAGGAGTCTCATGATGGGATTAGTGCTCTGATAAGAAGAGACTAGAGAGCTTGCTCTCTCTCTACCAAGTGAACACACAGCAAGAAGGCAGCAGTGTGCAAGCCAGGAGAAGGCCTCTACCAGAACCCCACCAAGCCAGCACCTTGCTCTTAGACTCCCCAGGCTCCAGAACTGTAAGAAATAAATTCCTGTTGTTTATAAGCCTCTCAGTCTATTGTATTTTGTTGTGGTAGTCTGAGCCGACTAATACCCGCCCCTTCCAGAAAGGTGCACATGTCATGCCTACATTCTCATACCATAGGCCGGAACTCAGTCAGGTGGCCAAATATTGCTGCAAGGAAGGCTGGGAAATGAAGTGTTTAGCTGAGTGGCCCTGCACTTGGCTAGGTATCCTATGCCATTTGAAAAGGGGAGAGGGATACTGAAGGAGATCTAGGAGTCTCTCTCACACCCGACCTATATGATTCCTGGAGTTGTGGTGGGAATCCTGGTATCTTTCTTAGTTTCTGGTCCTTAATCGCTGCTCTGATAGCCTGCTCTGTATACCAGTTTCTTCAAGACTGGGGTCCTGCCTTGTTCATACATATCCCTCGCCCAGGGACTGGAGTCCAGTGGACAGAACACACTGTCTGCTTGCATTTTTCTTCCTTTCTTTCTTTCTTCCTTCTTTCCTTCCTTCTTTCCTTTCTCTTTCTCTCTTCCTTCCTTCCTTCCTTCCTTCCTTCCTTCCTTTCTTTCTTTCTTTCTTTCTTTCTTTCTTTCTTTCTTTCTTTTTCTTTCTTTCTTTCTTTCTCTCTCTCTCTCTCTCTCTCTTTCTTTCTTTCTTTCTTTCTTTCTTTCTTTCTTTCTTTCTTTTTTTTTCACTCTTGTTGCCCAGGCAGTGCAATGGCACGATCTCGGCTCTCTGCAACTTCCGCCTCCTGGGTTCAAGCGATTCTCCTTCCTCAGCCTCCAGGGTAGCTGGTATTACAGGTGTGCGCCAACACGCCCAGCTAATGTTTGTATTTTTAGTAGAGATGGGGTTTCACCATGGTGGCCGGACTGGTCTCGAACTCCTGACCTCAGGTGATCCACCCACCTTGGCCTCCCAAAGTGCTGGGATTACAGGCATAAGCCACCGCACCTGGCTGGTCTGCCTGCATTTCTGAACATCACTATCTTGAATTTTCCCATTGCTCTGCATATCTAATATTTTCTCTTGGACCCAAGACACAGCAGAGAAGTGGAATAAATTCACTTCTCTAGTGGGACTAAAAATCAGTCAACGGCTGATTCAGGGGAGAAGAAAGAAACCAAATCATCAACTGAACTGCTCTGGTTGAAACAGATGGGGACCCTCCGTTGGCTTCTCCAACCCCTTCCCCACTTGACAAATCTCCAGTGTGGTTGGGGTTGGGCCTGGCCATAATGTGCAGTCTTGTCAAAGTGAGGTCTCCAAAGAATTTTGACTATAGTTAGTCACAAGAGAGTTTCTTTTACTTTTGTTTGATGTGGGGTAGCCCATAACCTCCTCTTATGCTCTGCCTTAGGAAATAATCAAGAATCAGCCACACAAATAAATTGGGAGGTACTGATCTACTGCTCTCCTAATATCTTAGGCCAGGTAGGAAAGAGGGGAATAGAATTCACATGAATCTCAAGAGTGTATTGGCTGGGCACAGTGGCTCATGCCTGTAATCCTAACACTTTGGGAGGCCAAGGCAAGAGAATCACTTGAGTCTAGGAGTTCGAGCAATATGGTGAGAATTCATCACTACAAAAAAAAAAATTTAAAAATTAGCCTAGCCTGTGTAGTCCTAGCGACTCGGGAGGCTGAAGTGGGAGGATGGTTTGACTCAGGGAAGCAGAGGTTGCAGTAAGCCATGATCGTGCCGCTGCACTCCAGCCTGGGCAACAAGCAAGACCCTGTCTACAAAAAAAAAAAAAAAAAAAAAAAAAAAAAAGAAGTGTGTTATGCAGAGGCTGCAAAAGAAACTGCAAACCAGCACATAAAGCTGTAACTGCCTTTGAAGTCTAGAAGGTTACAGATGAGCCCTAAGATGAGCTGTGTCACATATCATTTGATGAAAAACCTGTGACGGCACACATTATTGCTCTTGCCAGTTAGAAAGAGAATCTGATTCTTATGGCAACATTTGTATCTAATTAAAAGTAATTAATGATTAGGCTGAAGGGATAGTTTAAAGTCAATTGATAGTGAGGGCAAAAAGTATCAATGTATGGGTTAGATTATGCTATAATAATAAGCAAACCTAAAATCTCAAAAGAAAAAAACAGGCATATCTCTGAACAGCCCTAATCACGGCCAAAGAAAAGTTTAGGAGACTTGCTTGCTTCTTCGATTCCTTGTGTTTGAAACAATATAATGCCAATATCAAAACAAAAATTTCTGTGCTAAATATCTGGGGAAGGATACAGAGTGGATGAGGGAAGGTTCCCCTTCAACACAGAAGGTGTTCCTGATAACGATGGTATGAGGGCTCTGGCCCAGCCAGAAGCTTCCATCTCCTAAGAGCCAAACCCAGACAGAGCCTGGATGTCTGTAGAAGGAGGGGCAGCATCCCGGGAGTGAGGGAATGGTGCGTTCTCTTTCGATGTTGAGAGTTCTACCTAACTAAGCCCGATTAATAAATGACTAATGTACTTACTTAGTCAGTTGTTCAAAAATATCTTTTGAATGACTCCAATGTGGTAAGCACTGTAATAGTGTGACAGAAATAGAACTAGGAGGCCAGGTGCGGTGGCTCATGCCTGTAATCCCAGCACTTTGGGAGGCCGAGGCGGGCAGATCCCCTGAGATCAGGAGATCGAGACCAGCCTGGCCAACATGGTGAAACCCCTTCTCTACAAAAATACAAAATTAACTGGGCATGGTGGCGCATGCCTGTAATCCTAGCCACTCCGCAGGGCTGAGGCTGGAGAATTGCTTGAATTCAGGAGGCAGCGGTTGCAGTGAGCCGAGATCACTCCATTGCACTCCAGCCTGGGTGACAAGAGCAAGACTCCATTTCAAAAAAAAAAAAAAAGAAGGAGAAAGAGAAGAAGAAGAAGAAATAGAACTAGGAATTACAACAGATGGGTTATTCTGATTCTGGAAGAAGAGGGCCACAGGACACCTACTAGTTATGGGATGATCCAGTGCCCAGGAAGCACTTGACACAAAGTAGATGCTCACTAAGTACTTGCTATTGATGATGGTGGTTTAATGGTTGCTTTCTCTAACTCGGTGGTTTTCTTTTATTTCACTTCCATGTCGATGGACAAAGGCAGAGCTCTCATGCTATTGCATGGCGACACCTGGGCTCACTGCTGAAGCATTGTCTCCATCGTGGGTATCTCCAAAAGTGACAGGCCCTCTACTTTCTGTTTTCTTCCAGGGAGGCGGGTTAGCCTGCAGGCCTTTGGGATGCTGGGTCATAGACTAGATGTGTATTTCTCCCTCCATGATATTGGCAGATCTCCTACCCTTGGTGTAGCTGGGCTCATTCCAAGTGCTTTTGGGGGTGCTCTTGGCCAGGCTGGCAGACTCCCTGTACAGAACGTGCCTTGTACATTATCCTCTGGGGGCTGCTGCCGATGAGTTCTCTGCCAGCAGCATCCTCTTCACTCCTTCCATGCATAGCTGTAATTTTTAAATTTTTTAAAGAAACATTTATTCAGGTATAACGTACTTACAGATATAATAAAATACTGAGATCATAATTGCCCTTCTAATTATGTTTGGTAGATTTTTCCAGTTTGTCTTCCATGTGTAACTTTTTTTAAACATAAATTACTCAAGAAATATTTCTATTTTGTGCTTTTTTTTCATTTAACAAATATTTCACGTTTCTACATAGGCTGTAATGAGAATTTTAGTGACTATATTCTGTTGTGTTTGTGCCTCCAAAAAATTCTTAAACCACTCTTTTAAAGTTTTTTTCAAGGATAAGAAAAAAGTTTAGTTGGATTTTTCAAATAACTTGCTCTCAACTCCTGATTTCTTTCTTGCATGAAAAAAAAAAAAAAGCCATGACTGCTACCAGGTCTCGTTGACTCTAAAATGTCACCCATTGTAAGACACACCCCATTTTATGTTCCTGAGAAAGAACGCAGCTCTTTAATAATGACTGCAACTTGCGCAAATGTCTCCAGAGTGAAATATGCTTTTCGAGTATTACAGAGCTGTCTGCAAACTTTGGAACTCAGCACCATGAGCATGTGGTGCTCTCTCTGCCCTTGCAGGCCCAGCCATCAGCCTCTTGCCCTGGCACACGTTCAGCAAGATCTCAGGGAGCGGAATTAGCAAACAGGAAAACTAGCCCGGCAGTGGTGGCTCCTGCTAATCCCAGTCTGTCACACTAGCCCATGTAACTGCTAAAAGATTGACTAGCTTTTCCTCACCCAGCAGGGCCCCTCTTTGTGTGACAGCCCTCTTTTCCTCCTGCCACACACCCAGACTTTCCAAATGTCCCTAGAAGCCCTCCATTTCTTCATTCCATGGAAATTCATCTCTCTATAGAATTGGGTTCCTTTGGACATGTTTGTGTCTCCAGCTCTCCAGTGCCTTTTTTTAAATATGTTTTTTGTTGTTGTTGTTGCTGTTGCTGTTGTTTTTGTTTTTTTGAGATGGAGTCTCACTCTTTTGCCCAGGCTGGAGTGCAGTGGCACAATCTCGGCTCACTGCAACCTCCACCTTCCAGGTTCAAGTGATTCTCCTGCCTCAGCCTCCCAAGCAGCTGGGATTACAGGTGTGTGCCACCACGCCCAGCTAATTTTTGTATTTTTAATAGGGACAGCATTTCACCATGTTGACCAGGCTGGTCTCGAACTCCTGACCTCATGATCCACTTGCCTTAGCACAAAGTGCTGGGATTACAGGCGTGAGCCACTGCACCCAGCCTATATGATTTTTTTTAAAGCTTATTCATTTTTATCTCCATGTCACTGTGGGAGCAATGGTCTGTCCCAATCATCTACATCCTAATGGGAAGGTGTCACTGTAGTAGATTTTGTCTTACATGGTTGGGCTTATACAATGGCAATGACAGTGATAGTTATGCCAAATCCTCTAATGATTTTGTTTGGGTGTCATTTGGAATTTTCTTTCTCTCAGGTGCTTTAGTTAAAAATCCAAACTCCCTGGAAATGACTGTACAATGCAGAAGGTGCAGACTGGTGGATACTATCTGCAGATATCTTTTCTTTGACCTGTACTCTGTGTGTATGGGCTTAACTCGAATTTTTGCCAGTATTTAAAAACTGGAAGCTTTCACATTTTAAAATTTCTACATTTTCATTTATGGAGAGTGACCTCTGGTGGCCCAGGTCTTGGGTTCCTGCACAGCCATGATGGTCTGGAGCAGAGAAGTGGCCAACCTCTTCCAACAGGACAGCCCTCTCATTACCTGCCTGTAGGCATACAAGGTTGCATCTCTTTGTCTGATGGATGGGTCATAGGTGACATTAGGGAAGGCTTCACAAGGGCATCTTATTGCACTTAGAATAAATCCAAGTCCATACCATAACCTAAAAGACCCAACACGCTCTGGCCCCTGGCTCCCTCTCTGACTCATTTCTTCCCATTCTCCCCCTGACTCACTCTGCTGCCTGCTTACTGTCCCTCAAGCAAGCCAAACATACCCAGCTTCAGGCCTGGGCTATTTCCTCTGCCTATTGATTTTCCCCCAAATAGTTATATGACTCAGGGCCTAACTTCATCCATGTCTCAACTCCAATACCACCCCACAGAGAGGATTTTCCTGGCCATTCTATCTGGAACAGCACCACTCAGCAGCTATACCCTTCCTCTTTATTTTTGTAGCACTTACCTCTACATGAGGGCAAAGACTCTTCTTGGGTTTTTGTTTTTGTTTTTTTGGTGGGGCTGGGAGGAAAGTGTTTTCTGTTTTTTGTTTTTGTTTTTGTGTGCTAATGTACTCATAGTTGTACCAGTGCCCAGTGCCTGGTACACAAATATTGTCAAATAAGTGGATGAATGAACACTGTCTTTTGACTCAAGGCATTGGTTCTGTAGTTTTCAGACCAACAGGGAAATGGAGCTTCATCAACTCTGACATCATTTCCAACTCTAAATTTTGTCCTTCTCACCATAAACCTCATAATGAGTTACAGTTTTCAAGCTAGCCACTTGTCCTCTTAGGGAATACCAAAAATGCCCATTTTACAGACAGAAGCAGAAAGGAAAGCCAATCACTTGATGCCAACTGACAAAGACTGGCAGCTTCACATGCATGGGGAAGAGAACAAAGCCAACATGTCCCCAGAATGGTAAGACAAAGGTAGAATGGTGAAATGGAAGATGAGCATCGTGGTCAAGGTGAGGAAAGAGGAACTGCCACTCTTCCTGTTAGTCTGTGGGGGAGTGTATCAGGTGAGTTGGATATGAGATGTGTGACCTCACTGGAGAATGCCTAGGGGCCTAGGCTGCAGAGCTGATCAGGCTACTAGACCCTCTGTAGGTCCAGGCATGCCTGCTGAATGAAGAAATGGAGAAATGAACAAAGGAGGGCATTAACTCCAGCAGAGAGTCAATACCATGAGCCAGTGCTGACTTGTTTGAGCCATAGGTTCAGATCTGCACTGTCCAATGTGGTAGCCACTAGCTATGTGTAGCTACTTAAACTAAATTAAATAAATGAAATTTAAAATTCATTTCCTTTGTTGCACTATATTTCAAGTGCTCAATAGCTACATTGGGCTACTGTCTACCCAGTGGTACAGATTACAGAACATTTTGCACAAATTCTTTTGGCCAGTTCTGATTAGATACAGCTACGCACCTGGCTTTCCAGTGTCCAGCCCTATATCCCAGTTGCTTTTAACTCAGATTCCACCATTCTCTCTTTCTTGCTATAGGATGAGAACCTGGCTGTTTAAAAACATGGAATCAGTGGAGTCCTGAATAGCAGCACATGACTTGCAACAACTTTCAACATCTCATAAAATGGCTGCTCAGCATTCACTTTCCATCTCAGAGTCACTTCTTTGGAACTGCTAGGGAGTCCAGGGTACATTTGAGTCCTGGCAGCTCATGTCCTGCTCTGTGGCAGCTCTTCCCACTGCTCATAGGAGTCCCATACCCACTTCTCAACCATGTCCGGCTGAGCATTACAAATCACCTTCTGTTTAAAATAAAATAAAATAAAAATCTGACTCACTGGAGTTACTCCAGTTCACTTTCTTGTTTGGAATTCCACACTTCTTTTGATGTTTATCAATACATCACTACCCAGCATGCTTGCCAAGATCATGTCTAGGCTGTGGTGATCTATCATCACCCCACAGCATATTCTAAGATGCATCCCACCCCCTTTAAGGGTCCGACAGGTCCAGGAGCAGCACAACGTGGCAAGATGCCAGGGAAAAAGGACTCAGCTCTCATGGAGACATCTTATTCACCAGCCCAGGGCTGCCTTTGAGAGCAGTGTGTACTAGGGAAGGATTCCAAGGAGGTGTGTGACTTTGGAATAATTACAGAGGTCGGCAAAGCAAGTTAGGAAAGCCTGGAAATCGTAATTACGGCCAACCATAGACAAGGTGCTGAAGTTGAGAAGTTTGTCTCAGGCTTCCCTCCAAACTCCCCTGGGAATCTTTTTCTCTGATGTGTCTCCTTTGTCCCTGTCTCTCTAGCTTGTCCAGAACTCTCTATCTTGGCTTCTTACTCCTCAGGGAAGCTTCTATTTGGCTCTTTTTCTCCCATGGAAACTTGGTTTCATTCCCATTAGGCTCTGCTAGTTAAGACCAGCCAGTTAATGGGACAAGCTAATTTACTTAAAAGCATGAGTCCTTCACCTGGTCCAAACGTGGGCTTAGAGGGAGGTGAAGATCCTAAGGCATTACAATTTTGTGTGCCCATTTTCTAGGGGAAAGAGTCATAGATTTCATCAGATTCTAAACTAAACACATTCTAAACCCTTGACCCCCCAAAAAAGTTCAAGTCACTGTGGGCTAATACTGAGAGCTAGTAACAGCAGGGGGGTTTCTTCTGATGTGATGTTTGCATTTTAACCACAGCGCAATGGAGAAACTACCATCTGTTACATATTTTTGCCTCAGGAAAAAATAATGGGAGAGTTTTCAGTCCAGAGGCAAGAAAGATAGGAAAGACTGGGGCAGGAAACAGGGCTTCTTGTTTGCTTTTGAGATCATGTCCAAACACCCCCATTTAGGAGCAAGGGCATCTTCATCTTCTCTTCTTAGTAGCATGTGTTTCTCTTTGAACACAAAACCTTTCCACTCACGTAAAATGTAGGCTTTCTTTAGAAATTTCAAAGAAACAAATCAGGCTTAGGATGCCATTTATGTTCTTCGTTACAGATCATTTCTGCAACGGAGTGGCAGCAGGGCATGACGAGGGAACAGGAGACAAGGTTTTAGTTCCAGCTCTCCCGCTAATTTGCAGAGCATCTTTCCAAGCTTGGCTCAGCCTCTCTGGGCCTCAGTTTCCTCATCTCTAAAAAATCTGGGCAGTCCTCACCAGTCCTATGATTCTAAGACACTGCCAAAAGTCTATGTGAAATAAAATTTCTCTACTGCCCTTTTATTGGTACTGAGGTTGTTTTCATATTCGAGGAGAAAAAATATCCAACCAAACACTAAGTTGTTTTCTTTCCTTTTAATATGTTAGCATCTTGTCCAAAGGAGCAAAACCTGCTCTTAAAAGCTTCAAAACAGTTTGTGGTGGATTGCAATTCTTGTCTCAGAAAGATTAATTGGAAACGAAATCTAAGGAAGAAAATTCAAAGCCCATTTCAACGCTTCCTGCCTTTTAGATCTTCTAACATGTAAATTGACCGTTACAAAGAGGATTAGTTATTAGAATGGTCTGCGTGAAGACCAACATTCAGCTCCCTGTTTATTCCTAGCCAGAGCATCCTGGGTGACCAGCATCTTAATGGCCTTCTTTTCAGTTTGTGAGAGGATGAACTGCATACTAACTCCAGATCCTGTGTTCCCCAACTTTAATCTAACCACAACCTTAACAAACTGGAGACTCTTCCCCACCACCAAATTGTGCTTTCAATTAGAACAAACCTGGTGCTCCAGACATCCACACTAGGAAGCCACAATTATCCTTAAAGACTTAAAGCTACTTTTAATCTCTGGATTTTTGTTGGTCTCTTCCATACTCATTTCTGCTATAATCCTTATCTGCTTCATCTTTTTATTCTTAAGTCCTGAGTGGTGGTGGTGTTTTTCCCTCAAAAAATTCCCTGTAAGACTGCACTTTCTAATGGCTTTGTTCTCCCCATCACTGCTCTTACACCTCCTCTTTTCTTCTAATACAAAGACCTTCTTACCTAGCAACCTCAACTATTCTTACATTATTGAGAATCAGGAAACGAGCAAGGAGCTGGATCAAATAGCCAACATGGATTAATCACAAGATTTGTGATAAGTTAGCCTTCACTCAAACCAGTTTGCTTTTGCATTGCACATAATTCTATCTACAAAAAAAAGCAAGTGTCAAATGTATATGTGGGTGGAAAAGGGGAAGGGCCAGGCAGGGATGGAAGGAGAGAGGGCTCTGAGGGCTAGATGCCAGCAAAGCAAGATGCCAATGGGCAGCCTGGCAGTGATAAAGGAAATAAAAGGCAATAAAGAAAGGGTAACAGGGAAATCAAAGAACCTTTGCATTCTGGAATACTTAACGGTGAGATACATAGACCCATTAACTGCAGTGGTAAGTAATCTGGATTATAGCGTATCTAGAATGGGCTTACAATGAATTATCGATTTAGCTTGGCAACAGGACAAAGGTGATCAGCTGATGGAGAGGAACTATTTCACCTAAGCTCCCAATAGTCACTATTCCTTTTTTATTTTAATAATAGTTGAGCACATAACTGTTCAGAATAAAGTCTATATATTTGTCCCTTGGTATTGGTGAAGAATTAGTTCCTGGATCTCTCTCAGATACTAAAGTCCATGGATACTGAAGTCCTTTATATAAAATGACATAGTATTTGCATATAACCTACACATCTCCTCCCATACACCTTAAATCGTCTCTAGACTACTGATAATATCTAATACTATGTAAATGCTATGTAAATCATTACACTGTATTGTTTAGGGAATAACAACAAGGAAAGTGACTGTACATGTTCAGCATGGATGCAATTTTTGCTGAACACTTTTGATCTTCAGTTGGGTGGATCCACGGATGCAGAACCCACAGATACATAGGGCCAGATGTGTTTCCCATCCTCCCTTGCAGCTGGGTACGGCCAGTGGAATGCGATTGCAGGTCATGTGGACAGCTTTCAAGTCATGCTTTTCTTTAAGGGAACCCTCAGCCTTTCCAGTCTCCTCACCTGCTGGCTGGGATGTGCACATGGTGATGGAGCGGGGACAACCAGCCACACATTGAGGGTGACAGACCAACAAGAAAGAGCCTGGGTTGCTGCCACAGTGGAGCACCATGTCACCTTATACTGCTTATGCTTGATCTATTCCTTGATAAGAATATAACCTTATCTTGTTTAAGCCACTAATATTTTTGTTTTTAACAACAGAACCTACATCCTAACTAATAAACTAGTGAAATTTTATTACTTCTAAGTAGGAATGTGACTTGAAATATCCCAATGATTATGCCTCAAACTCCACTTTCTCTCTGTCCTGTGGCAATGGCTTCATGAAGAAATGAAAAAAGTAGAATTTGGAGTCAAACCTTGGCTCCACTCCTGCCTAATTTTTCTTCACCCATAAATGCACATCATGAGAGTTAGTATTTATTAGATGCTTCTGTGCACCATCTCATTTAACTCAAAACTACCCTATGCAGTAGGTATTATTATTACCCTATGCAGTAGGTATTATTGTTCCAGTCTTGGATGGAGTTAAAGATGGAGTTAAGCATCTTTCCTGAGATTTTTTCAGCTACTGAGAGGCAAAGCTGGGATTTGGAGTGAGAGAGCTGGACTTGTGAATCCACAGCTTTTAACAATTTCCCTTTGCACTTAACTTTCTGCATTGGTGGGAGATCAAGGTTAAGTACAAAACCCAGAACACAGTCATTTCTTCACAAACTGGGGAAATTACTGGATGATGCTAACCAGATTCTGACAGACTCTGTCTCTTCGAGTGTAGGGACCGCATTACCTGCTGACCACCTTAGCTCCAATGCAACATTCTTCCCAGGAGGTGAAAGGACCTAAAAGTCTTTAATTGCTTACTTAACCAGGGAAGTTTTCTTTCTCCTCCTGTTATGAATTGATTTTTTAGTCAAAATCTCAGAGTCCTATGTCTTTCCAACGCTACATCCTATAGTGATAATTCTGAATCATTAAAAAAAGTTTAGATTCTGCCTAAAATGTTCCAGAAGGCAGGAAATATACCCCAATAGTAAACCCACATACTGAGAGAGGACTCCCCTACAGATGAGGAAGACAGACAAACTCCAGCCCTCTGGTCTTTCCTTTCTCACACAGGAGGGAGAAAGAATAAATAAATACTTCTTGGTGCCAAAAAGGAGGCTCTGGAACTTAAGGCTTGTCGGTGCTCACAAAAGGGAAAAAAGAAGAAATGCAAGTGTGAGAAGAAGGAAGAGAAAGAGGAAAAGAAAGGAGGAAGAAAAACATGTGATCCATGCAGATTTCTCCTAAAATGGATAAAGGGGAAAATGAGGGTGCTTTAAAAGGTAGGTTCTATTTTCTGTCTAAGACTCATTCTGCTCCCATCCCCCACTGCATCGGTGTGTTGAGGGGGCGGTAGGCAGGTGGGATACTGCACATGTGGAAGCCCCCTGAAAATTGCCAAGGCCCCCAGGACTGTGATCCTTCTCTATCCGGCCTAGACAGGAAACATTTCTATCTCACAGTGCTAGAAAAATGCATTATCCCCATGTATTAATCTGTTCTCATGCTGATAATAAAGACACATCTGAAGCTGGGTAATTTACAAAAAAAAGAGCTTTAATGGATTCACCGTTCCACATGCCTGGGGAGGCCTTACAATCATGGCAGAAGGCAAAGGAGGAGCAAAGGCATATCTTACAAGGTGGCAGGCAAGAGTGTATGCGGGGGAACTCCCCTCTATAAAACCATGACACATGAGGACTATGGGAGCTACAATTCAAGATGAGATTTGGGTGGGGACACAGCCAAACCATATCACCCCATTTCACATGTAAGGAAATAGAATCTTGATGATGACAACCAACTTGTCCATGATCATACTGGTATTAAATTGAATGATGGAGCTGACTTTTTATCCTTTTTTGAGACAGAGTCTCACTCTGTGGCCCAGGCTGGAGTTCAGTGGCATGATCTTGGCTCACTGCAGCCTCAACTTCCCGGGCTCAAGTGACCCTTTCACCTCAGCCTCTCAAGTAACTGGGACTACAGGCGCACACCACCATGCGCAGCTAATGTTTTTGTTTTTTGTAGAGGCAGGGTTTCCCTATGTTACCCATGCTAATCTCAAACTCCTGAGCTCAAGTAATCTGTCCACTTTGGCCTCCCAAAGTGCTGGGATTCCAGGTGTGAGCCACCATGCCCAGCAGACCTGGGATTTTTTTTTTTTTTTTTTTTGAGACGGAGTTTCGCTCTTGTTGCCTGGGCTGGAGTGCAATGGCGCAATCTCGGCTCACCGCAACCTCCGCCTCCCAGGTTCAAGCAATTCTCCTGCCTCAGCCTCCTGAGTAGCTGGGATTACAGGCATGCATACCATGCCCAGCTAATTTGGTATTTTTAGTAGAGACGGGGTTTCTCCATGTTGGTCAGGTTGGTCTCAAACTCCCGACCTCAGGTGATCCACCTGCCTCGCCCTCCCAAAGTGCTGGGATTACAGGCGTGAGCCACTGCACCCAGCCAGACCTGGGATTTTTAAACTCAAGACTGCCAGTTGTCCACATCCACTGAAAAATAGGATTCATTTTATATATAGCACCAATATTCTCTTTGGATTACTTCTTTTACTAACTAGCTATTATTCAAGTGTCTTTCTTTTTTTTTGTTCCACATTTACTAAGTACCAACTATGTCCAGTGGTTAAGATATAGACATGACTCCTCCTGTCATTAGATTTACAGACTGATGGAGAAGGCAAAGATGAACCAAATAAGGGCAATAAAGTGGTAAAGTGGTCCGGGTGCGGTGGTTCATGCCTGTAATCTCAGCACTTTGGGAGGCTGAGGTGGGTGGATCACTTGAGGCCAGTAGTTCAAGACCAGCCTGGCCAACATGGAGAACCCCTGTCTCTACTAAAAATACAAAAAAAAATTAGCCAGGCATGCTAATTTACACGCACCTGTAATCCCAGCTACTCGGGAGGCTGAGACACAAGAATTGCTTGAACCTGGGCGGTGGAAGTTGCAGTGAACTGAGATCACACCACTGGCATTCCAGCCTGGGTGACAGAGCGAGGCTCTGTCTAAAAATAAATAAATAAATAAAGTGGTAAAGTGTTACAAGTACTATGACAAAAGTATTTGCTTTAATAGGGATGTGTCAAGCCACCTCAAAATCATTTCATTTTTAGAAATAAGTAGAAAAGACATTAGCTCATATATTTTGTCACTTTGTAAATATAAGATTGCCTATCGAGTTCAGTTGAGGTAGAAATAACTACGTCTGCAAAAAGCTCATGATCATTCTCACTTATAAGTGGGAGCTAAACGATGAGAACTCATAAACACAAAGAAGGAAACAACAGGCACTGAGGTCTACTTGAGGGTGGAGGGTGGGAGGAGGGAGAGGAGCAGAAAAGATAGCTATTGGGTACTGGGCTTAATACCTCAGTGATGAAATAATCTGTACAACAAACCCTCATGACACAAGTTCACCTATGTAACAAACCTTCACCTATGTAACAAACCTAAAGGGGTACCTTTAGGTTTAGGTACCCCTGAGCCTAAAATAAAAGTTTAAAAAAAAAGAAAAGCTCATGATTGCCAAGCAGTCACTCAGGATGTGGGTTCCATCTCTTCATGAATAATAGGAATGCTGTGCTTTTAAGGATCACCCCCTGCCCCCTCAAAGAAAAGATCAGAATAAAAGAGAGGAGGTAGCGTAGAGGAAATAATAGCGATCACCTGTTCCCATGACCGGCCAGCTGATTGGGTTAAGCCATTGCTTCTCTGTCCGTTTCAGCTTCCTCATCGTGAACTCACAAGGTCCCCCTGGCTGATATCTGAGGCCCCCTCTGGCCCTCACAATGATCTAGTTGTAAGTAATGAGGTGAAGTCAAGTCAGCTATGAGGTCAACCTCATGGGAGGCAGCTTGGTTCTCCAGTATTCCTAACAGTTCTATAAGCTCCCAATATTCTTCCAGAAAATTTGCTTTTGCTCTTTTTAGCTAGAGCTGGTTGCTGATGCTTTCAACCGAAAACTCAGGGAACTCCAGATCACTAGGCAGTGGGTAGAGTCAGGGTGCCAAGGTCAATTATGTTTGTGGAACTCAAGGCTAAACAAAGCTACACCATATTCTTTACTGCAGGCTTTTTCAGACTCTTTTTCATGGCCATGTCTTTGTGACTTTCCAAATGAGAATATCATATTTGGAGTTTCCTAAGCCATCTCTATCACAGATCCTTTTGGTTGTTGTTTTATTAAAGCGATTTGGAGGACCTGTAGCCTGGGCTTCCTGGCTTCTGAGATGTTTCACTTTTGTCTTTAAGTGTTATATGTGTGCAAACTCTGACCTACCAGCCAATTTTAGGATCTTACATGAAGAAACCTTATTGTCCACTTTCCTTCACCCTCATAAAATGCTAGGTATAAACTGATTACTACAGTAAAGCAAAATTGTACTTCAAACTCCTTGTGATGCAGCTATCCCATAACCACAAAGGCTTAATGTGATTAAAGCCACAATAAATCGCAGACGCTCTTCATGAGGCCAAGAGAGCTGACCCATGTCACGTTGCCAAAAAGCAGTTTTCATGATTACTTTCTGCCTGCCCAGGATTCCTGTGGTTTCCACTGGTAAAGTGATCTCTCATTTCCTGACATTATTGCTCTCTTACTGCCATTCCCTGCATTGTATCACGGGACTCCTGGAAGGGTCAGCTGCCATGGGGATAGAGAGAGGATGCACTCCCAGGCATAGCCAAATATTGATTATCCACAGAAGGTTTAACCACAGCTCCGTCAGCAAACTGTGGTTATCAATGACGTGATCACTGCCACTAAGGACACTCTGCTCAACCCAATGTTTTATTTAATTCAAAACTTTTATCAAATTTGTACCAAACTCATACCACATGCCAAACTTTGGAAGATTATCTCATGCTTTCTGCTTCTTACCCTATGTTAACTCTTGAGGAACTGCTGGGACCTAGAAATTCCTGTAGTACATTGTCTAGAGAGCAGGGACTCTGGCCTGAAAGAACTGCAGATTCCTAACTCATCTCAGTGTCCTCTGGGTAGAGAAGGCAGGTGCTCCTTGGCATTGTGTGTTTCAGCTACAAAAATAGACACACAAAATGTAAGCTTAAACCTGTAAGGAAATTTTTTTTAACAAATCTTTCTGACAAAAAAATTTGTCTCAATTTGATGTTAGAAATTATTCATTCCTGGGACTTTCTTCAATAAAGAAGATTCACTTAATGCAAAATAACTGTTTAACTAAAAAGAGGAAGAGAATACATTCTATGTCTTAGTATTCACAACTAAGCACCTTGCTTAGGATGCTCTCATGCATATTATATATATGTATGTATATTACATGTACATTTTGATATGTGAAATAAACATTGTAAGATGGCTACTTTTATTAGTATTCCCACTTTATAGAGGAGGAACTTAAGACATAGGAGGTTAAAAATCTTGACAAAGGTCATATTGTTAACAAAAAGCAAAGTTGGCACTGACTCCAATGTTTATTACACATACAGCTACTATGCTCTGTTCCTAAGAGGTTTGCTGAGACATTGATCCCATCCACCCTCCAGGGGAAGATGGAGTCCCTAAACCCAGTAGCCTCTGGTCATGAGCATTTGCATCTGTTCAACCCTCTTCTGCTCACCTCCCCACATAACCCTGAGCTGTACAAACTACCACCATTTTCCAAATATGCCGGACATAGTAAATGTTGTGAAGCATTGATTTAGCCCCCTAGGAAGTCACTTTCTGATTAAAAGGTAAAAGCACTGGGTGGGTGGAAACCCCATAAGTAACCATGTGCTGAGGGCGACCTTTTTTCTTTTAGGACTAGGCTGAAAGGTCAGGAGCTGGGGGCAGGGGCAGCAGATCAGGGAGGCTGTCATTCCTGAACAAATATGGTAGGATAATTAGGCTGAGTGCCCCTAAGCACTGAATGACATTGCTGAAGTCAGGAAAGTCTTCATGGACGTAGTCAGAAGGCTGTGTCTGTCTAGAATGGGCTCAGAAAACTACAGCTACAGCCAGACCTGTGAGCCAAATCCAGCCCACAGCTTTCCTTTTGTATAGTCATGAACGAGAATGTCTCTTATATATTTGCAAGGCTGTAAACAAAACAAAGACTATGATAGGGACTATTTGTGGACCTCAAAGCCTAAAATATTTGCTATCTGGCCCTTTACAGAGTAAGTTTGCCAACAGTCTGGTCTAGAATTCACCCATGACTCCCATAAGAAAGCCATAGGTCAATGAACATGAAGCTAGAATAAAAAACATTGTGAGTTTGCAATGGCTCCACTTGCAATTTTATGGCCTTTGTGTAACTCTTTAAAGCAGACATACCTTACTCTTTGGGAACAAAGTTTCAGTATTTGGTTGGAAAGAAGGGAAATGGAAAATAACCTTCTGTTTCCCAACTTTACACCTTCTGATTTAGTAAGTCTCCAGGTACTTTGTGAGTTCTTTCCAGGCAGATTCTGTGAGAATGAACAGCTTCAAAGATGTTTCCAAGAGTGGGTATGAGAGATCTTAATCATAAGAAAGAAAATATTAATGCCTATTGCATATCAGAAACTGTCACATCTCCTGAATCAAAAATTCCATGCAGCCTGCCTCCATTTAACAGATAACTCACTAGATCTCAAAAGGGTTGCCCAAGATCAAACAGCAGGTAAAAGGCAAACTTGGGATGCAATTCTTGGTTTTCTGATTAAAAATCCAGTGTTCCTTTTCCTATACTCTACTCAAGATAATGAATTTGAAAGTGTTTCAGATGGAGAATCCAAAATCCAGGGGCCCAGCTAGTCCCTGGTCCCTCAGCTGATTAAAGAGGGTATCAGACTAGAGGATTATAAGGCCTCACCCAGCTCCATCCTTCTGTGATTATTTTTGAGAAATGATGTAAATAAAATAGAAGGGGAAGCTCAGCTCAGGTATGCAATTTATGCTTCTGGCTTGTCAAATTTCCTTGAGGTATGAGGTCAGTGGGGGTAAAGGGAACATGGCCAGACTCATTTAAGAGAGAGATGCATGACCAATTTCTGCATGCAAAAGGCCTCCAAAGCTGCAGGCATGGCAGCCTGACTCAACAAAGACTTCCTCCCACTCAAACACATGTAAATACTGGATAAATATTTTAAAAAGCTAAAATACCTAGCTTGAAAGAAACCCAAGATAATTCCCAGGTGCCAGACACAAAAAGAAAATTTAAACTCAGAGACATAAGCTTCAACTAACACAAGAAGGACCAGGAAAGAATCAGGCCTGGATACGGGCCCTACAGTAAATTTGGCCTGGAGGCTGCTCGGGCTGGAACTTATACCTCTGTTTAAAACTGGGACTCTCAAAAATACTTCCAGGACTTGAGAGGGTAACTAGAACTTTGTTTACTGCCTGGGGATGACAGGAAGCAAGCTATCTTTTCTGGACTGTGGGTGGGAAAAAATATATACATCCTGTGAAAAGCCCCAAACCTAACCTGGGTATGGAGTATGAATTTAAGCTATCTACATGTTATAAGAATCTCAAGCAAGATATTAACATCATTACTGGCCCATAACCAGTGGAGCCACAGGAATCTAGAGAGAAGTGATATCAAACTGCTCCGTAAGGAGTTATCTGTAACCCAGAGTATACAGGACTCTCACTAGAAGGAGAAAAAGCTTATAGTAAATAATTACTAACCATATGATTAAAAAGTATCAGCAAGGAGCATCAGCTGATACAACACATGGAAAAATAATGAGGCTGAAAGCTAGAAATAATGAAATAATCTCAAAGATGCTGAAAATAAGTATGTTTCAAGAAGACATAATAAACACATCAAAATGATAGGATTCTTAAAAAGCAAGCAAAGGACTTAAAGATAATCAAATTGAACTTTTTTAACAGAAAAATGTAATCATTCAAATTTTAAACTCAAATTAAATAGCAGATTAAATGCACTTAAAAAGAACTAGTGAGCTGGTAGATTGATTTGAGAAAATCATCCAGTATGAAACACAGAAAGATAATAACATAGAAAATCTTAAAGAGAGTTTGAGAGCCATGGAGGGTCGACTGACAAATTCCAACCTGATTGAACTATAAATTCTAGAAGAGAATGGAGGGAAGGGGGTTAGAAACAACTCAAAGAAATAATGGCTGGGAATTTTTCAGAATTGAAGAAAGCCCCTGAATTCCAAGTAGGATAAAACAAAACAAAACAAAACCAACAAAAAGCTCACAAAACTACATACGTTGGAGCCAAATTTTTAAACAAGAAATAAACTCTTAAAAGCACCTGAAATAAGACAGGCACAGAAAGACAAACATCACATGTTCTCACTTATTTGTGTGATCTAAAAATCAAAGCAACTGAACTCATGGACATAGAGAATAGAAGGATGGTTACCAGAAGCTAAGAAGGGTATTGGGGGCTGTCGGGGAGGTGGGGATGGTTAATGTGTACAAAATAAATTAGAAAGAATAAATAAGACCTACTATTTCATAGCACAACTGGGTGACTATAGTCAGCAATAATGTAATTGGACATTTTAAAATAACTTAGTAATTGGATAGCTTGCAATTCAATGGATAAAAGCTTGAGGGGATGGATACCCCATTCTTCCTGATGTGCTTATTTCACGTTGCATGCCTGTATCAAAACATGTCATGTATCCCATAAATATATGCACTTACTATGTATCTACAAAAATTAAAAATAAAAAAGCACCTGAAAAAAGATATGACACCTAAAAAGAAATGACAATTAGGCTGACCAGAGAATTATTATTAGCAACAATAGAAGAGTTTCTCTTATACCCAACTAAACTAAAAATATTTTCAAAAACTAAAGCTAAAAAAAGTTTACCATTGACATCTATTGCTGAAAAAACTACTAATCTGATGTACTTCAGAAAAAATATAATTGAACTCAAAACAGGGTGTGAAGCAAGAAGAAATAATGAGCAGACAGGTTAATCAAAAGCATTGATTTAAAACAGCAAGATCATCTAATCCAGAAGAGCCAAAAGCAAGCAAAACTAAAATACTAAGGAAACATAACATGGAAGATTGAAGGGGCAGTTTTAAATCTTTGTATATTGGGGAGGGGAAACAAAGAAATATTGACCAGTAAAGTATGCATGATAGAATTTTTACTGTAACTAATAAAATATTTGAAATAGAAGGAATACGTTCAAGCCAATAGAAGGAGATGAAGGAGTGTTGTAATGAAAACAAACAAAATAATAAAAGAAAAAAGGAAGATGAAGAGGAAAAATAAAAGCACATGGACAGAGTTCTTGGAGGTCTAGTTTCTGGTTCAAATTCAAAACTCATCCCAGCCCCTGTTGAGGTTGGGCGCCACCTGGTGGTGATCATCTACTCTGGCTTGAATATTGATGGGTGGTTTCTGAGTCCAGGAACTGGCTGGGGACCCACTCTCTGCCTCCACTGCCTGCCATTTCTCCTCTGCCTAGTCCTCTTCCACATACGTAGAAGATGAAGACTTTAATTCACCTCCTGATTAAGAACAAGGGCTGGGCAGACCGTGGGAGCTCATCACCGACTGCGTTAGACCAAAATTTGTGTTTTGACCAGGAGTTATGACATTCAAAGAAATAATAAAAGCTCAAAATTTATGATTGAATATTCAACTCCAGGAGTTAAAAAAAAATGAACAGGGTAACCCAAGGAAAGCAGAATGAAAGAAATGACAAAGGTAAGTAAGGATTCAATGAGTTAGAAAATAAACAACAGATGTCAAGAAAATCTAAGTTTTTCTTAAAAGGTAACTAAATTAACACCTGGCACAGAAAAAAGTATACACAATTAAAAATGTTAAAACGGAGCATAATTGGGGATGTTCCAAGATGGCCAAAAAGGAACAGCTCCGGTCTGCAGTTCCCAGCATGATCAATGCAGAAGACGGGTGATTTCTGCATTTCCAACTGAGGTACCTGGTTCATCTCATTGGAACTGGTTGGACAGTGGGTGCAGCCCACAGAGGGCAAGCTGAAGCAGGGTGGGGCATAGCCTCACCCAGGAAGTGCAAGGGGTCGGGGGATTTCCCTTTCCAAGCCAAGGGAAGCCGTGACAGATTTCCCTTGGCTAGGAAAAGCCAAGAAAACAGGACCTGGAAAAACAGGACACTCCTGCCAAAATACTGCACTTTTCCCAAGGTCTTAGCAACTGGCAGACAAGGAGGTTCTCTCCCGTGCCTGGCTCCATGGGTCCCACACCCACAGAGCCTTGCTCACTGCTAGCACAGCAGTCTGAGATCAAACTGCAAGGCAGCAGCCTGGCTGGGGAAGGGGCATCCGCCATTGCAGAGACTTGAGTAGGTAAACAAAGCAGCCAGGAAACTCGAAATGGGTGGAGCCCACTGCAGTTCAACAAGGCCCACTGCCTCTAGACTCCACCTCTGTGGGCAGAGCATAGCTGAACAAAAGGCAGCAGACAACTTCTGCTAACTTTAACATCCCTGTCTGACAGCTCTGAAGAGAGCAGTGGTTCTCCCAGCACGGCATTTGAGCTCTGACAACGGACAGACTGCCTCCTCAAGTGGGTCCTGACCCCCATGTGGCCTAACTGGGAGATACCTCCCAGTAGCAGCTGACAGACACTTCATATAGGTGGCTGCCCCTCTGGGATGAAGCTTCCAGAGGAAGGATCAGGCAGCAATATTTGCCGTTCTGCAGCTTCCGCTGGTGATACCCAGGCAAACAGGGTCTGGAGTGAACCTCCAGCAAACTCCAACACACCTGCACCTGAGGGACCTGACTATTAGAAGGAAAACTAACAAAACAGAAAGGAATAGCATCAACATAAACAAAAAGGTCATCTACACCAAAACCCCATCTGTAGATCACCAACATCAAAGACCAAAGGCAGAGAAAACCACAAAGTTGGGGAGAAACCAGAGCAGAAAAGCTGAACATTCTAAAAATCAGAGCACCTCTTCTCCTCCAAAGGATTGCAGCTCCTCGCCAGCAACGGAACAAAGCTGGACAGAGAATGACTTTGATGAGTTGGCAGAAGTAGGCTTCAGAAGGTCAGTAATAACAAACTTCTCTGAGCTAAAGGAGGATGTTCGAACTTATTGCAAGGAAGCTAAAAACCTGGAAAAAAGATTAGACGAATGGCTAACGAGAATAAACAGTGTAAAGAAGACCTTAAATGACCTGATGGAGCTGAAAACCATGGCACGAGAACTTCATGACTTATGCACAAGCTTCAATAGCCAATTCAGTCAAGTGGAAGAAAGGGTATCAGTGATTGAAGATCAAATTAATGAAATAAAGGGAGAAGAGAAATTTAGAAAAAAAAGAGTAAAAACAAATGAACAAAGCCTCCAAGAAATATGGGACTATGTGAGAAGACCAAATCTACATTTGATTGGTGTACCTGAAAGTGATGGGGAGAATGGAATCAAGTTGGAAAACACTCTTCAGGATATTATCCAGGAGAACTTCCCCAACTTAGCAAGGCAGGCCAGCATTCAAATTCAGGAAATACAGAGAACACCACGAAGATACTCCTCAAGAAGTGCAACCCCAAGACACATATTTGTCAGATTCACCAAGGTTGAAATGAAGGAAAAAGTGTTAAGGGCAGCCAGAGAGAAAGGTCAGGTTACCCACAAAGGGAAGCCCATCAGACAAACAGCAGATCTCTAGGCAGAAACCCTACAAGCCAGAAGAGAGTAGGTGCTAATATTTAACATTCTTAAAGAAAAGAATTTTCAACCCAGAATTTCATATCCAGCCAAACTAAGCTTCATAATTGAAGAAGAAATAAAATCCTTTATAGACAAGCAAATGCTGAGAGATTTTGTCACCACCAGGCCTGCCTTACAAGAGCTCCCCAAGAAAGCACTAAACATGGAAAGAAACAACCAGTAACAACCACTGCAAAAACATGCCAAATTGTAAAGACCATCAATGCTATGAAGAAACTGCATCAATTAACAGGCAAAATAACTAGCAAACATCATAACGACAGGATCAAATTCACACATAACAATCTTAACCTTAAATGTAAATGGGTTAAATGCTCCAATTAAAAGACACAGACTGGCAAATTGGATAAACAGTCAAGACCCATCAGTGTGCTGTATTCAGGAGACCCATCTCACATGCAAAGACACACATAGGCTCAAAATAAAGGGATGGAGGAAGATCTACCAAGCAAATAGAAAGCAAAAAAAAACAGGGGTTGCAATCCTAGTCTGATAAAACAGACTTTAAACTAACAAAGATCAAAAGTGACAAAGAAGGCCATTACATAATGGTAAAGGGTTCAATACAACAAGAAGAGCTAACTATCCTAAATATATATACACCTAATACAGGAGCACCCAGATTCATAAAGCAAGTCTTTAGAGACCTACAAAAGAGACTTAGGCTCCCACACAATAATAATGGGAGATTTTAACATCCCACTCTCAATATTAGACAGATCAATGAGATAGAAGGTTAACAAGGATATCCAGGACCTGAACTCAGCTCTGCAACTAGCAGACCTAATAGACCTCTACAGAACTCTCCACCCCAAATCAACAGAGTGTACATTCTTCTCAGCACCACATCACACTTATTCTAAAATTGAGCACATAATTGGAAGTAAAGCACTCCTCAGCAAATGTAAAAGAACAGAAATCACAACAAACTATCTCTCAGACCATGGTGCAATCAAATTAGAACTCAGGATTAAGAAACTCACTCAAAACCTCACAACTACATGGAAACTGGACAACTTGCTTCTGAATGAATACTGGGTTAAATAATGAAATGAAGACAGAACTAAAGATGTTCTTTGAAACGAATGAGAAAAAGACACAACATACCAGAATCTCTGGGACACATTTAAAGCAGTGTGTAGAGGGAAATTTATAGCACTAAATGCCCACAAGAGAAAGCAGGAAAGATCTAAAATCGACACCCTAACATCACAATTAAAAGAACTATAGAAGCAAGAGCAAACAAATTCAAAAGCTAGCAGAAGGCAAGAAATAACTAAGACCAGAGCAGAACTGAAAGAGACAAAGATACAAAAAAACCCTTCAAAAAATCAATGAATCCAGCAGCTGGTTTTTTGAAAAGATCAACAAAATTGATAGACCACTAGCAAGACTAATAAAGAAGAAAAGAGAGAAGAATCAAATAGATGCAATAAAAAATGATAAAGGGGATATCACCACTGATCCCACAGAAATACAAACTACCATCAGAGAATACTATAATCACCTCTACACAAACCAGAAAATCTAGAAGAAATCAATAAATTCCTGGACAGATACACCCTCCCAAGACGAAACCAGAAGACGTGGAATCTCTGAATAGACCAATAACAGGCTCTGAAATTGAGGCAATAATTAATAGTCTACCAACCAAAAAAAGTCCAGGACCAGAAGGATTCACAGCCAAATTTTACTAGAGGTACAAAGAGGAGCTGGCACCATTCCTTCTGAAACTATTCCAATTAATAGAAAAGGAGGGAATCCTCCCTAACTCATTTTATGAGACCAGCATCATCCTGATACCAAAGCCTGGCAGAGACACAACAAAAAAGAGAATTTTATACCAATATCCCTGATGAACATCGATGCAAAAATCCTCAACAAAATACTGGCAAACCGAATCCAGCAGCACATCAAAAAGCTTAACCACCACGATCAAGTCGGCTTCATCCCTGGGATGCAAGGCTGGTTCAACATACGCAAATCAATAAATGTAATCCATCACATAAACAGAACTAACGAGAAAAACCACATAATTATCTCAATAGATGCAGAAAAGGCCTTCGACAAAACTCAACAGTCCTTCATGCTAAAAACTCTCAATAAACTAGGTACTGATGTAACGTATCTCAAAATAGTAACAGCTACTTATGACAAACCCACAGCCAATATCATACTGAATAGGCAAAAACTGGAAGCATTCCCTTTGAAAACCGGCACAAGACAAGGATGCCCTCCCTCACCACTCTTATTCAACATAGTGTTGGAAGTTCTGGCCAGGGCAATCAGGAAAGAGAAAGAAATAAAGGGTATTCAATTAGGAAAACAGGAAGTCAAATTGTCCCTGTTTGCAGATGACATGATTGTATATTTAGAAAACCCCATCATCTTAGCCCAAAATCTCTGCAAGCTGTAGCAACTTCAGCAAAGTCTCAGGATACAAAATCAATGTGCAAAAATCACAAGCATTCCTATACTCCATTAACAGACAATCAGAGAGCCAAATCATGAGTGAACTCCCATTCATAATTGCTACAAAGAGAATAAAATACCTAGAAATCCAACTTACAAGGGATGTGAAGGACCTCTTCAAGGAGAACTACAAACCACTGCTCGAGGAAATAAGAGAGGACACAAACAAATGGAAGAATATTCCATTCTCATGGATAGGAAGAATCAATATTGTGAAAATGGCCATACTGCCCAAAGTAATTCATAGATTCAATGCCATCCCCATCAAGCTACCAATGACTTTCTTCACAGAATTGGAAAAAAACTACTTTAAAGTTCATATGGAACCAAAAAAGAGCCCTCATTGCCAAGACAATCCTAAGCAAAAAGAACAAAGCTGGAGGCATCACGCTACCTGGCTTCAAACTATACTACAAGACTACAGTAACCAAAACAGCATGATACTGGTACCAAAACAGAGATATAGACCAGTGGAAAAGAACAGAGGCCTCAGAAATAGCACCACACATCTACAACCATCTGATCTTTGACAAACCTGACAAAAACAAGAAATGGGGAAAGGATTCCCTATTTAATAAATGGTGCTAGGAAAACTGGCTAGCTGTATGTAGAAAGCTGAAACTGGATCCCTTCCTTACACCTTATACACAAATTAATTCAAGATGGATTAAAGACTTAAATGTTAGACCTAAAACCATAATAACCTTAGAAGAAAACCTAGGCAATACCATTCAGGACATAGGCGTGGGCAAGGACTTCATGACTAAAACACCAAAAGCAATGGCAACAAAAGTCAAAACAGACAAATGAGATCTAATTAAACTAAAGAGCTTTTGCACGGCAAAAGAAACTACCATCAGAGTGAACAGGTAACCTATAGAATGGGAGAAAATTTTTGCAATCTACCCTTCTAACAAAGGGCTAATATCCAGAATCTACAAAGAACTCAAACAAAGTTACAAGAAAAAAACAACCCCATCAAAAAGTTGGCAGAGGATATGATCAGACACTTCTCAAAAGAAGACATGTATGCAGCCAACAGACACATGAAAAAATGCTCATCATCACAGAGAAATGCAAATCAAAACCACAGTGAGATAGTCTCATGCCAGTTACAATGGCCATCATTAAAAAGTCAGGAAACAACAGACTATGCAGAGGATGTGGAGAAATAGGAACACTTTTACACTGTTGGTGGGAGTGTAAATTAGTTCAACCATTGTGGAAGACAGTGTGGCGACTCCTCAAGGATCTAGAACTAGAAATACTATTTGACCCAGCAATCCCATTACTGGGTATATACCCAAAGGATTATATCATGCTACTATAAAGACACATGCACACGTATGTTTATTGTGGCACTATTCACAATAGCAAAGGCTTGGAACCAACCCAAATGTCCATCAATAATAGACTGGATTAAGAAACTGTGGCACATATACACCATGGAATACTATGCAGCCATAAAAAAGGATGAGTTCATGTCCTTTGCAAGGACATACATGAAGCTGGAAACCATTATTATGAGCAAACTATCACAAGGACAGAAAACCAGACACCTCATGTTCTCACTCATAGATGGGAATTGAACAATGAGATCACTTGGACACAGGGCGGGGAACATCACACACCAGGGCCTGTCAGGAGGTGGGCGGCTGGGGGAAGGATAGCATTAGGAGAAATACCTAACGTAAATGATGAGTTGATGGGTGCTGCAAACCACCATGGCACATGTATACCTATGTATCAAACCTGCACGTTGTGCACTTGTACCCTAGAACTTAAGGTATAATAAGAAAAGGGGCATAATTAAAGAAATGATTTTTAAAATATATATGCAATATTATGCCAATAAAGTGTAATACAGATAAAATTGATAGTCTTATAATTTAAATATTTATTGTTTGTTAATATACATATCAAAACATTTACAGAACTATGTGTGTAAATGCTTACATGTAATGATATACATGATTTTTAAGTGGTCTTATATTTGCTTTTCTATGTCTCAATTGACCCCTCCCCCTACAGGCACATGCATACCCCACGACACCCTGTGTGTATCACAGGACACGCTTTGACTGTGAGTGAAACCGGAGGGATTTAGTTTTCTCCTCATAAGAAGCAGTGGAGTTACTTTGCTGCTGGCAATTCTTTTGGCCTCTCCTTCATGGTCCCAAGATGGCTGCTGCATCAAGCCTACATCCCAATAGGAAGCAGGAGGAACAGAGACAGGGCAACCAGCAGAATTCTACTTAGGTTTTATAAACCAGGACAGAGTCACATGGCCATCTCTGGCTGCAAAATGGCAAGGGGAAAGAGGAATGGGAATGGGGTTGGGTCAACAAATCAACATTATCTGCCGCACCATTTCCAAGTTAATTTGTATCCTCCTGTGTTTTTCTTCACGTTCCTATGATCCTATACAGACATACAAAGGACTGTACTGAACCATCGCACGTTGTGATGGTTCATTTTAGGTGTTGACTTGACTGGTTTAAGGATACTCAGATAGCTGGTAGAGCATATTTCTGGGTAGACATGTGAGGGTGCTTCCAGAGGAGAATGGCATTGGAATCAGTGGACCTTAGTCCACTGATCTGCCCTCACTCAGTGTGGGCAGTTGAGAGCCCAGATAGGAATAAAAAAGGGCAGAGGAAAGGAACATTTTCTCACTTGCTTTCTTTCTCTCTCTCCCTGAACTATGATTCCCATCTTCTTCCGCCCTTGGACATCAGAACTCCAGGTACTCCAGCCTTCAACTTCTGACTGAGAGCTATATCATCAGCTTCCCTGGTTCTTAGGCCTTCAGGTGACTGGACAACACCGCTGGCTTCCCTGTGCCTCCAGTTTGCAGACCAAGTATCATGGAACTTCTCAGCCTCCATAATTGTGTGAGCCAATTCCTGTAATAAACCCCCTGTCATATATCTACATATTATATCCTATTGGTTCTGTTTCTCTGATGGGGCGAGGAAGTATAAGACCAGAAGGATACACATGCAGTCTCAATGCCTCCTTGTATAAAAGCAGTCCTGCCTCCTCCTAATGATCAGGATCAGTGTTGCAGCAGTGAGGAAGCATCCAGCAGAACTCCAAGTACAGGGAGTGTAACTGACCAAGGATCCTAGCTACTGGCTCTGAAATCTGAGGCTGCACTTCCCACAGGCAGCTCTAGGTCGGTGTCTGGGCACAGCAGGGATAGGATGGTGGGTCTTTCTGGGAGACATGGGACTCCCCTAATGGTTTGCTTTGGGTTTAGGACTCCCCAAGGCCCTTCTTGAAACTTCCTTGTGCTGCATTGCAATCTAGGGCCCTCCCACCCAACCTCTCTTCCCTCTCCACCTCTCTCAGCGTCAGACTTACAACACAGTCTGGCCATTCTCCCATTCTAACAAGTCTACCACACATTTTCTTTCACAGGTCTTTGCTCCAGTAAAATCCACACATGTTTAATCCCATCTTGGGGTCTGCTTCTCAGAGGACCTACACCCATGGTCAATTACACCTGTCAGTACAACAGCTTTCTTCTTGCCTACTGGAATCTGGCCATAACTGTAATTTGTAGTTCGGTGGAAACCTTGCTGTGTCCCCCTGGCAAAAGTACTATCTCTCTTTGGGGACCAGGGCATTCAACCCTGCAGAGATCAGACTTACAGGGGTAGAAAGCACAAAATCCACCAGAGGGGCTACTCCTGCTTCCACCCCTTGGTTCCGAAACCTGTTTGTTTTTCTACTGAAGACACAGTATTATATAGAGGTCTATTATCTAATACATACACCGCAGACTAAAGGATGGCACCCTACCATTAGAGTATTTCTTCTGAGCAGGAGCATCAGCTGCTATTTTAGAAGATGCTTCTACCTTTCCAAGATACCAGCTGCTTCAGGATGGTGTAGCATGTAATACAAAAGTGGATCCCATTGTCATGATCCCACTCCAACATTGCCTTCACTATAGTCAGTTACTAAATTGTCCATGCTTGTGGATCAGGTATTCTGTAAGTTTCTAAATAATGGAGCCTAGATAAAAACTCTGCAGGGAGAAAAGCAAACCTAAACCAAAAACAAGTCTCGAAGGTAGTCAGCCTCCAAGATGGCTCCCTGTGATTCTCTTCTACTCATTTTCAATATTTTTGTGAACTCTCCCCTGCATTGAAAGGTCCGACCTTTATAACCACTAGGATATTGCAGACATGATGCTGTGTACTTCTGAGGCTATGCCACAGAAGACATTGTGACTTCCACATTTCCCTATATTGGATCACTTGCTCTGGAGGAAGCCAGCCACCACATATTAAGACACTCGGGGGCTGGGCACGGTGGCCTACACCCGTAATCCTAGCACTTTGGGAGGTCAAGGTGGGTGGATCACCTGAGGTCAGAAGTTCAAGACCAGCCTGGTCAACATGGTGAAACCCCGTCTCCACTAAATATACAAAAATTAGCCAGGCATGGTGGCAGGTGCCTGTAACCCCAGCTACTTGGGAGGCTGAGGCAGGAGAATCGCTTAAACCTGGGAGGCAGAGGTTGCAGTGAGCCGAGATCACACCATTGCACTCCAGCCTGAGCAACAAGAGCGAAACTTCGTTTAAAAAAAAAAAACAAAAAACTCAATGAGTCTTATGGAGAAGTCCACATGGTGAGGAGCTGAGGCCTCCTGCCACCAGCCAGCATCTGACTGCAGTCTCAAGCAGTCCCTTAGCCAGAACTGCCCAGCTGAGCAACTCTCAAATCCCTGACCTACAGAAGTCACAAGGGATGATAAATGATTGGTTTGTTTCAAGCAACTTAGTTTTGAGACAGTTTGTTATGCAGTACTACATAAGTGAAATAATCCTGAAATAAGTCTAAAGTTTTGGGACATTGGTACCCTCCTGGCTCCCAAACAAACCATCTTACTTCTTTTTCTACATGAAAATCAAAAGCATTCTAACTACAAGCTAAGATATCCTCTATAACAAATCTGATTATTCTTCATAAATTCTTGAGGTCTGCAATGTATAAAAATTACAGAAGAAGGTAATTCAATGCCCTGGATTATTGAATAAAGAATAGACATTTTTTCATCTGGTTTTTCAAAATGTAAACATATGCTAAAACTAACTACTAGAAAGACAACAGAAACAAAAAAACTGATGCCATTCCTTGTCATCTTCCACTTTGTTTTGTGCTTTGGATAAACTTGAAATTCTTTGGGTTACAAGAGAATTGCAAACACTATTGTCCTAGAAGATGTCTGACTCTTAAAAACTTTTTCTGAAGCACTGAAATAGGAAGAGAGGAGGTCAAACTATCTCCTCTCTTCCATATCATTGCAGATAATATGATTCTATACCTAGAAAATCCCATAGTCTCTGCCCAAAAGCTCCTAGATCTGATAAACAACTTCAGCAAAGATTCAGGATATGAAACCAATGTACAAAAATCAGTAGCATTTCTATACACTAATAACATCCAAGCTGAAACCAAATCAAGAATGTGATCTCACTCACAAGAGTCACAAAAATATTAAAATACCTAGGAATACAGCTAACCAGGGAGGTGAAAGATCTCTAGCATTAGAATTATGAAACACTGCTGAAAGAAATCAGAGATGACACAAACAAATAGAAAAAACTTTCCATGTTCATGGATTGGAAGAATCAATATTGTTAAAATGGCCATACTACCCAAAGCAATCTACGGATTGAATGCTATTCCTGTCAAACTACCAATGACATTGCTCACAGGACTAGAAAAGAACTATTTTAAAATTAATATGGAACCAAAATTAGCCCTTATAGCCATAGTAATCCTAAGCAGAAAGATAAAAGCAGAAGGCATCACACTATCTGACTTCAAACTATAGGGCTACAGAAACCAAAACAGCATGGTACTGGTATAAAAACAGATGCATAGACCAGTAGAAAAGAATAAACAGCCCAGAAATAAGGCCACACACCTACAACCATCTGATCTTTGACAAAGCAGACAAAGACAAGCAATGAGGAAAGAACTCCCTATACAATAAATGGCACTAAGATAACTGGCTAGCCATATGCAGAAGATCAAAACTGAACCCCTTCCTTACACCATATACAAAAATAAACTCAAAACGGATAAAGACTTAAATGTAAAAACCAAAACTAAACTCTAAAAACTCTGAACAATAACCTAGGCAATATCATTCTGGACATAGAAATGGGCAAAGATTTCATGACAAATATGTCAAAAGCAATTTCAACAAAAGTGAAAATTGACTAATGGGATCTACTTAAACTAAATAGTTCCTGCATAACAAAAGAAACTATCAACAGAGTAACAGACAACCTATAGAATGAGAGAAAATTTTGTAAACTATGCATCTCACAAAGGTCTAGTACCCAGCATCTATAAGAAACAAACAAATTTACAAGAGAAAAACAACCCTATTAAAAATTGGGCAAAGGACATGAACAGACACTTTTCAAAAGGAGATGCACATGTCTAACAAGTACATGAAAGAAACCTCAACATCACTGATCACTACAGAAATGCAAATCAAAACCACAATGAGATACCATCACACACCAGCCAGAATGGCTATTACTAAAAAGTCAAAAAATTACAGATGATAGCAAGGTTGTGGAGAAAAGGGAGTGCTTATACACTGCTGGTCTGACTGTAAATTAGTTCAGCCACTGTGAAAAGCAGTCTGGTGATTTCTCAAAGAACTAAGAACTACCATTCAACCCAGCAACCCATTATTGGGTATATACCCAAAGGAATATAAATTGTTCTACCACAAAGACATATGCATGTGTATGTTCATTACAGCACTATTCACAATAGCTAGGACATGGAATTAACCAAAATGCCCATCAACAGTTGACTGGATAAAGAAAACGTGGTATACATACACCATGGAACACCACACAGCCATAAAAGAGAACAAAATCATGTCTTTTGCAGCAACATGGATGGAGCTGGAGGTCATTATCCTAAGTGAGCTAATGTAGGAATAGAAAACCAAATACCACATGTTCTTACTTATAAGGGGGAGCCAAACACCAAATGCACATGAATACAAAGAGGGAAACGACAGATACTGGGGCCTACATGAGGGTGGAGGATGGGAGGAGGGTGAGGATTGAAAAATACCTGTCAGACACTATGCTTATTACCTGGGTGATGAAATAATCTGTACCAAACCCCTTTGACACACAAGTTACCTATATAACAAACTTTGCACATATACCCCTGAATCTAAAATAAAAGTTAAAAAATAAAATACAATTTAAAAAAACTTATTTTGATGATGTTAGTGGTGATATTAACAAATGTGATGTGTATCATAATAAAAATATGATAACATTTGGAAAATCAAGCATAACTCAATGAACCAGTATTTTCGAAATGACTGATGCATGGTATTACAAAATTATGCCTAGGTAAATATACACTCATAGTGCATGATAGACCAATAGATTTTAGTGTAATGAAGTATGAAAAGTTTACTGATATGGCTTCAGATTCTACATTGTAACTAACCTTTAATTATGCCCACTTTTCAAGTTTTATGAAGTATCTCACTCAAACTCCCTGTCTCCTGTGCCCTGATTACCCAAAATTATCTGCAAAGGCTATGAAAGTACTCTTTTTTTTTTTCAATTACATACCTGCATGAAGCCAGATTTTCAACATATACTTCAACCAAAACAACATATTGCAACAGATGGAACGCTGAAGCAGAGATGGGAACCTAGCTGTCTGCTATTATGCCAGACATTGACGAGAGCTACAAAAATGTAACATGATGTCACACTTATCACTAATTACTTTTTGTTTTGGGAAATATGGTAATTTTTCACAAAAATATGTTATGTTAATGTAGGATGGGTTTATTATTGTTGTTAATGTTTTTATTATTGTTAAGTTAATGTTTTTATTTCTAAAACAGTATACATTTACAGATTTACCCCCCAAAACAGGTTTTGGGGGCAGTCCTCATTTTTAAGAATATAAAAAGATCAGAAGACCAAAGAGTTTGAGAACTGCTGACTTTTTGCAACCTGATGAAGTTGGAAGTTTTGTTATCCTCATTCTACAGATGAAGTAACTAATATTTTGCGAAGTAATTTTCCAGGGTTATGCAGGAGATGACAAGTAGCAAAGGCAAGCTTTAACTCAGGATCCCTGGCTACTGGGCCCAGATTCTTAAATACTGCAACATCCTTCTGGAGTCTAGTCAGACAATTTAGCTGTAGCAGCCCCTAGAGTGGGCTTTATCATCACCCCCAATTTTTCCCATTCTTAGTGGCACAATTACAGAAAAAGGCAGCATGACCTTTCCCAGGATAGAGCCTCCATGAATGAACGTAGGTTGGTGACTGTGGGAGTCAGTACTCTGGTAGACGGGGGAGGAGTGGGAGAAGCAGTCAATTCTCACCTATTGTCCATGCTTTTCTAAGTATATGTCCGGATTCTCTCAACCCTCAGACTCCACACTAAGACTTGATATTTTCCAGTGGGGTTGACTGAAGCAGTGACCCAATCTGCAAGCAGATGTTGAGTACAGGCTCTTCCTCTCACCTTCTAGTTCTGCCCTGTCCAATACAGTAGACACTGGACTCATGTAGCTATTTGAATTTACATTCAAATTAGTTAAGTAAAATAAAATGAAAATTTCAGTTCCCCAGTCTTACTACCATATTTCAGGTACTCAGAAATCATGCCCTGTACATGTTTCTTGCAGGTACTGGGGTCTTTGGAAACCCTTGCAGTCTAGTGAGAAATGTTCTGGCTTTGCAGTCAGTTGAACCTGGGGCCACTGGACAATAAAAATACCCAGATAGTTGTTGTTGTTGTGGTGGTGTTGGTGGTGGTGGTGAGGTGATGGTGGTGGTTAGTGCTGGTAGTGATGGTGGTGGTGGAGGTGGTGATGGTGGTGATGATAGTGATGGTGGTGGTGGCAGTAGTGGTAGTGGTGGAAGAGGTGGTAGTGGAGGTGGTGGTGGTAGTGATGGAGATGGTGGTGGTTGTGGTGATGGTGGTGATGGTGATACTGATAATGTGATGGTAGTTGTGATAGTGATGGTGGTGGTGATGATAGTGACGGTGGTGGTAGTGGTGGTAGTGATGGTGATGATGCTGGCAATGGTGATGGTGGTGGTGATGATAGTGGTGGTTGTGATAGTGATGGTGGTGGTGGTGAGGATGATTGAAAGCACTGAAGACCAGGTTCTGCCCTTGGGATTGATAAATGTTGGGTTTCTCACTGTGCAGTCTTTAGATTCTGTGCATTAGAGTCCCAGGTGTGTTTCAGCCCTACTGAGCCAGAATCTCTGGGAGGGAATCTCTTCTTTCCACAAGCTCTTTGGGAAATTATTAAGTGCCCCAAAGTTTGGAAGAATTGTGATAGATTAAAGCTGTGGTAGCATATTAAACATTCACACATAAGAAGCAAGAAACTCTAACTCTCCAGGAGGCTTACAATGAACTCTGAATATTCCCGGGTGTTCCTATCACAGTCCTCTTCAGTAAGCGCTAGTCCTTGGCTGTTTGGCTCCAGGAAGCACAGACTCCAGGTGGGAGGGCCTCCGGCCACTACAACGCAGCAGGATTCCTAGAAGCCAGGCACACAGCGTGTCTCCTCTGAGAGAGGCACAGAGCCTCACAAGGCTTATTGGGGGGAAAGACCAAGTTCCTATTACAGCCACTATCCAGTGTCTACACTAACACATGCCAAGCTCAGCTCCAGGCCATGTCCCAGGCCAGCTGACTTGGCTTTCTCCCCTCAGCATTGCAATTTACCATTTCCCGGAACCAAAAAGCCTTAAGTCTCTCCATGCCCTCTGTAGACGTACCAAGACGGGGCCTTTTCCCTACCTGGGCTAGTGTTCAATAGATGAGGCTGAGATTTTAAAGCCCTGCAGCAGTGAGTCTGTGAGAATCCTCTTGCTTTATTTGCCTTTTTGTTAGGCTTTCTTTAGAAATTCGTTGGTGTGTAACTCCCGGTAGGCATGACTACAACTGGGTGTATGCTCCCTCTCCCTTAGGAGTTCAGGAGGAGATTGGAATGTGGTTCTGAGTAGATGGGGAATCTCATTAATCAATGTGGGTAGGGCTGGTGGAAAAAAAAAGTTTTAGTATATGGCAAGCTTGAAAGGCCCACAGAATTTTCTTAAATTCTCTTCAAAGCATGCAGTTGAGTACTCTTGTTTAGCAGGAACTTTGCTGTAACATGACTTTCCTTGGCTCAGAGTATGGGGTTACAGAAGACCTCACTGGGACCCAGCCAAGGAAGTTAGATTAGCAGAAGTACCAGAAGTACTGGATGAGAACATAGTGTCATTGAGAATGTGGTCCTGGAAAAAAAGATCTCAAGGGCAACCATACTGCAGGATTTCAAACCACAGCAGGCCAGGGAAGTTCCTGATGAGAGAAGAAGCTGATCCTCACGGGACCAGGTGACTGTAATGCAGGCTGAACATTCCAGAACCCAAGCAAGGCTCATGCAGGCAGAACTGTTGCTGGGCCCATTGCCAAGTCCGGCCACTCTGACACTGCCCAGGAAAGCCATGGAATCCTTCTTTCCTATAAGGACATAGTCAATTATGCATTTATGAAGCACCTAGCATATGCAGAAAAGCATGCATGGGCTGGGCGCAGTGGCTCACATCTGTAATCCCAGTACTTTGGGAGACCGAGGCGGGTGGATTACCTGAGGTAGGAGCTCGAGACCAGCCTGGCCAACATGGTGAAGCCCCATCTCAACTAAAAAAAACACAAAAAAATTTGTTGGGCATGGTGGCACATGCCTGTAATCCCAGCTGCTCAGGAGGCTGAGGTGGAAGAATCACTTGAACCTGGGAGGCGGAGGTTGCAGTGAGCCGAGATCATGACACTGCACTCCAGCCTGGGTGACAAGAGTGAAACTCCGTCTCAAATAAAAAAAAAAGAAAAAGAAAAGCATGCATGGTTCTTCAGCATAGAATTGGAAAGAAATGAAACAATAGTGCCTCTGCCATGAAAGATGTTTATGTTCAATTAGAGGTCAAAAGTGTGGCTATGAGGAAAATAATAAGTAATCATAAAATTATTAGTGTGGTACAAGCACAGTAAATGTATTTTAAAGAAAGGGACTCATAAAGGCAAAGAGTGTATTTTAATTGTGATTATACTTCAAAAGAGAATGGTTAAGATGAACAATCCAAAAATTAATTATTGGCTAACTTGTAGGCTGGTAGCTGGCAGAGATGCGTGTATGCATGTGCGTGCATGTGTATATGTACATGTGCATGTGTGTGTGCATGTGTGTGCACGTGTACTTGCGTGTGTGAGCACATATGTGTGTGCGCATGTGTATGTGTGCATTGTATGTGTGTGTGTGCATGTGTATGTGTGTTGGCACCACTGTGCAAGCACCCCAGAAGCATGAAAGCTGAGCCACATCCATCCCTCCCTCTCTCCTTATGGTTTGTTTCCTTGTCATGGATTTTTTCCTCTCTCACTCTCCCTTCCTACCCTTCATCTTCATGTTTCCCTTGCCTGTGCCCTTGATCAGCTGGTGGAAGAGATTAGAGAATGTGTTTTCCCTCCTACTGATTCTTTCATTGCTCTGCACCCTCCTGCTCCTTCCACCCTCGTACCTAGCCAGACCTCAGCTGCACATATTGCTCCAAGTGTTTGGGATTATTTCCCAGTGTGTGGTAAGGAGGAGAATCCCAGTGCCAGCAATTCCATGCCGTCTCTGGATCCTAATAAGTTGGCAGCCAAAGAAATGCAGGCCAACGCAATGAAACCTTCCAGGGAGCCAGCCATTCTTGGATGACTCTGTGGCTCCGACTCACACTTCACCCCCTACTTTTGTTTTCTTCTTCCCTACAACAGCAAACAAATTATACACGAATTCAAAGCACAGGCCTGGTGAAGGGTGTTGCGGCTTCTGTTGCTCTTTCTTCTCTGAACCTATTGCTGCTCCCCAGGACCTCCCTGGCTGGGATGGATGTGGTTGTTCTCATGTGAATAAGAGTACAAGGCAGAGGCTGAAGTGATCCAGTCCTAATCATGTTAGGATTCAAGGCTCTACTTGTCCCTCGGTGTAGGTCACTTAGGCATTAGCACAGGGCCTTGCTTAGAGTCCCCGTTCAATAAATACAGCATGTGTCTGTCAACTGCTTCATGCAGGCTCCAAAAATGAGCCATGGGAAAAAGAAGTCACCTCTCCTAAAGCTTGCCAACTTCCTGGAGCATCTGAGAAGTTGCAAGATGGCAGTGGTGATTATGTTTTTGTCGTTATGGTCTGGGTGGGTAGGTCCATGTGGCTGCGCTTATTGGTGCTAATGACATCAAGGATCGGTTCCCAAAAGGCCAGCAGGCTTTGTGTAAAAGAAAATGTGCTGTGTGGCCCTGAATTCCCCTGCCCTCAGTCATGGACTATGGAGAGTGGCCTTGCTCTAGCCTCGACAGAGCGTAGGCTGGTTTAGGTCATGTTCATCTGGGAGACAGGGAGGTGGGAGACTTCCAAGGAAACATCTCACTGAGGGCTACTGGCAGCAGCAGGAAATAAATAAAAGAAAGCACATTCACGTCATAACTGTTTCCTCCTCTTCTCTGTCCAAATCCTAGCTGGCTTTTCACCCATAGACGAGGCCCATGTCAATGCCACCCCTGTCTCTTGGGCAAATGTTCCTTTATTGATTTTCTGGCATACGTCTACTTGCTTTACTGGGACCAGGGACAAAGAGCTGCCCCCACACATACCCACACACAGGCTGTGAGATGTTGGGTAGGTTACTTAACTTCTTTCAGAGCCAGGTTTCTCATTCATCAAGTGACAGAATAAAAAATCCACATCACAATCCTCCATTGGGACAATTAAGTCAGATAAAGCAGGCAAAAGTGCCTAAGTCATTTGTAAATTGACATGAAAATGCCATCATTTTTTCTCAAGCAGATTTCTGCTCCAGAAGAGAAAAGAATTGCTTTTCTACAACTACAGAGACTCCCAATTGAATCCACAGCCCATCTATCTATATTTACTCTTAGAGTTAATTTTTCATGGTCACCAACTAAAGAATTTTAAAAAAATTAAGGCAGGTGACTTCTAGTAAAGTTTGCAGATTAAACACGACCATCCACTTTCTTCCCCTCCTAAAACACCACTAAAAATGCCTTTCAAATGCTTTCTACTTGGTAATCAAAACTATCCTCACCAAAAGAGAATGGAAGGAAGTCTACCAGAGACTGAGAAGGGTAGTGGGGAGGTAGGGGAAAGGTGGCAATGGTTAAGGGATACAAAACAAACAGAATGAATGAATAAGACCTAGTATTCCACAGCACAACAGGGTGACTGTAGTCAATAATAATTTAATTGAACATTTTAAAATAACTAAAAGAGTATAATTGGATTGTTTGTAACACAAAGGATAAATGCTTGAGGGGATGGATACCCCATTTCCAGCATGTGACTGTTATGCAATGCATGCCTGTATCAAAACATCTCATGTACCCAATAAATATATATACGTACCCACAAAAATTAAAAATTTAAAAAAATTTTTAAAAAAACTATCCTCTACAATTCATGGGAATCAAGCCAGCTTGAAAAAGGGACAAGTTGTGCTTGTAGGCTGGATGTGTGCATATTAATTATAATTATCTGGATATGCACTGAAAGCATCAAGGGTGGGAAAAGCATATATACTTTTTTTTAACTCCTCAGGTAATTTCAAGGGTTGGCCTGGTAGAGAAACCCTGGGCCAGCCCCTCAATATCCCCACATTCCTTAACCTGGGGCAGAGTTTCTCCAACTTTCTTGGTAAGATTCACCTGGGATACCTGCTAAAGATACAAATTCCCAAATCCATCCGTTTCTCTGAATCAAGTCTTAGGGGAAGAGGCCTAGAAAGTAGGTGAATGATATCATCTGGGAGTTGGGAAACACCGCCCACAGTTCCTCAAATGTTACCTGAAAACCTTGCTTTTCCTCAGTTACCTGAAAACCTTGTTTTTAAGAAGTAAAGATTGCCAGGCAGATCCACCCTAACTCAAAGAATTTTGAGAACCCTGGAGTGAGACTTGGAATTTTCACTTCTACCTAGCACTCAAAGAATTTTAATTTGAGAACCCTGGAGTGAGACCTGGAATTTTCACTTCGACCTAGCACCCTCGGTTGACCCCCAAGTCTGCTACTCCATAAGAAATGCTGCTCCAAACCTCTGGAATGGCACCAGAGAATGGAGGATGATTCCTAAGTACTGCCAGCTCACACCTCCTATGCCTGAACCAGACACTTGCTTGAACTTCCTTGTGGCTATTAAAAAGGGTTGACTAATTATACAAAGGGACAGCCCTGAGCCATTTCAAGCCTGGGGAGTGAAAGCTGTAAAGTAAGGTAGGTGGCCTGAGGTGCTGAGACAAGCCTGGGCAGGCAAGCCAGTGTCCAGAGAAGTTGCATTCCTAGGGCTGCTTTCCGGGGCTCCACCCCCTTTAAGCTGTGAAACAACTCATATGCGCCGCTGCCCCCAAGGAAGTGCTCCTTCACCCTGGTGCTGTAGACGTGTACAAGGGTCTGGCCACTAGTGACAGACCTGGCGAATCTCCCTTTGGCATCCATTCTCGGGGCTCCTGCCGCCATCTTGGATCCCATCCCCACGGGGTCTGCAGACTCATCACTAAGGACAGAACCTCTCTGGGCACATGATGTAGTCTCCTCTCGAGTATATTTCTGTCTCCAAGCAAGGAGCCATTAATTATGGAAAATGTGAGGAAGGGGGGCATTTTCTTCCTTCCCTAAAGTTCCTGTCAGCATGCAAACAAGAATTTCTGTCCTCTCCAATGTACTGAAGCAAAAGCTGCTACTTCCCAGCCACCTCTCATTGGTTTCTCCCTAAGTGATAACAGGGGGTCAGTCTAGCAGTGTAGGAAGGTTGTTCTTGCTGGGTCTCTGCCCTCAGCTGCAGGAATTTATCCAAGGGACAGCTTGTGCCCCCCTGTTACTGTGTACTCTGGAGATCCTGTGGCTTGTCCCTTTGGCAATATGAATGTTAAGGTATGGATTCAGAAATACAGTAAAGAAAAGCTTGCTTCAAAGTATAAGAGGACCTGGGGATTCACTATTTGTCTTTAAAAGATGAAGGGGTAAACTTATTTCTACCCTTCCATCACCCATCTGTTTTAATCTCTCTTTTGAAACCACTATCATATAAGAGTGCGGGACGAACACAGAGCATGAGTCCCTGAGCATGGGGTGCTGACGGGCAGACTGACTGGCTAACCAACTACAGAGACTCCCAATTGAATCCACAGCCCATCTATCTATGTTTACTCTTAGAGTTAATTTTTCATGGTCACCAACTAAAGAATTTTAAAAAAATTAAGGCAGGTGACTTCTAGTAAAGTTTGTAGAGTAAACACGACCATCCACTTTCTTCCCCTCCTAAAACACCACTAAAAATGCTAATAAAGAGATTTTTTTTTCTTAAGCCACAAATCTAAAAGGCTGATAGTCCATGAGAGGGGGCATGAAGAGCAAAATTTTGAAGGCAGAAAATGCACAAATGCAATCTGTCAACCAGAAAGCTAAGAAGCAATTTGATTTGCAACAAGAGATCCTCCAAAGCTTAAAAATTAGCAGCCACTAGTAGGGGCTGAAAGGAGTAGCTGAAATAAATAGGAGTGGCTGAAAGTCTATATTTTAGAGTCGAACCCTCTAAGCCCCTCCCAGGGCAGTCATGTTATGCAATCTGTGGCTTTTCTCCTAACAAATCTCAGAGACTTCTGTGATTCTAATTTAGTTATTTATTTATTTATTTATTTATTTATTGACAGAGTCTCACTCTCGCCAGGCTGGAGTGCAGTGGCACGATCTCGGCTCACTGCAACCTCCAACTCCCGGGTTCAAGTGATTCTCCTGCCTCAGCCTCCCGAGTCTCTGGGATTACAGGTGCACACCACTGCGCCCAGCTAATTTTTTGTATTTTTAGTAGAGACGGGGTTTCACCATGTTGGCCAGGATGGCCTCGGTCTCCTGACCTCATGATCCACCAGCCTCGGCCTCCCAAAGTGCTGGGATTACAGGTATGAGCCACTGCCCCTGGCCTTGTGATACTTTAAACTATGTGCATTTACTGCCTTTAAAAAAATTTGTTTATATAAGGAGAAAGGGAAGGTGAGAAGAAGGGATTCTCCACTGATGCGTATGTTGAAGGCCAATTTCCCGTCTTCCTCTTCACTCTGGATCTGGCCTTTTTAAGTCCAACACACACTGTCAGTTGAAGATCTGAAAGGAGCAATGCCGCGGTGTGAGGAAATTTCATCGTGAGAACAGTTGGGTGTGGTAGCACATTACTCAGGAGCTTGACTTTTGTCTAAAGCATGTAATTAGGCCCATCCAGGCTCTCCCCTTCTGCCAGGGCACGGGCCCTACTAGAGGCCCTGACCCTCAAGGCTACTGTCCTTCTGGCCAGCACAGCTGACTTCCATGACCCTGGCCAAAGCTGAGATCATCCTGTTAGCTGCACTTTGATCCTGGAGAAGGCCTTCTCCCATGCTGGCCAGGGTTCCTCGTTGGAATGGAAGCCTGTCAAGTCACATTCCTCACCACCTACGTGCTAGAAGCCCATATTTTCTAAATCACTCCTGTTGTGCTCATCAAGGTTCTTCTTGCTGAGAGTCCACCCAGTCTCTCCATTTTCAGAAAGCCCATTCTGGGTTAGATACACACTCATCCTTTCTTGGCATTTTCTCCTCTGCAAAGTGGCTTCCTCCCAGCTCTGCCTCAGGCCAGCCTTACCATGCCAGGTCCCATTTGGGACTCTTTTGCTCCAAAACTCTGAAATCTCCATTTTCAAGGACAAGACAATGATGTGGCTCTGGGAAGCCCAGTGCACTTAAATTGCAGCTCTTTAAACTCTTAGGATTCTGTCTAATTTGCATTTTAATGCATATACCTCTAGTGGCTTGCCTGAACCCTTGTCGCCATCTTTGGGAGAGGAAGTTATAAAAGCACACTTGCTAGAAAGAGGAACTTTGTGGTCATTTCATTTATGGAGACTCTAGTGTCTCTGGGTGCTTCTCCTTAGGATATCCTAAGGAGATATCCTATCCTATGTAGACTACTGGGACAGTAGTCTACCTTCTATGGGTAGACATCACTAATGTAAAACATTACTAATCCTCACCTATTTTTCATACTCTTAGCCCCAGAGCAGCTTACTGGAAATGATTTCCTGAAGAACTGGACAGTCATTAAGACTGTGTGCTCTGGGGTATGGAATCCTGACTCAGTTGTGTGACCTTAAGAAGTTAACTTAACTTCTCAGTTTATTCATCCGGGAATAACAATAGTATTTGTCTCATGGGTTTTTATACTAGTTAATCTGGGTATGTGCTCTGAATGGTACCTGGCGTAGAGTAAATGCTCAATAAATACTATTATCATGAGATCCTCCTGTCCTTCAAGGAAAACCCACATGACCCCCAAGTTACCCACTCCCCTCTGTTGAGCACTGTGCCTAATATGTGTGGCTGTTGTTGCATTTATCACCCTGCAGCCTCCCCCAGCTGGACAGTGGCCTCCTGAGGACAGGTGCTGTATCTTAATCCTCTCTACATTCCCCAATATCTGGCACAGAGCTCAGCATTTTGTAGATGTGCAATAAATGTTTGTGGAATAAATACCTTTCAGAGGAGAGGGAATGGCAGGCAGTTCTGAACTACTCAGCAGGTTTGATCAGGCAACCAAAGAAATGTGAAATAATTCTTGTTATCTTTCCTTCCTCAACTGCACCTTAACTGTCAGGGACTCTGGCCACATCATCTGTGTCACCGGGGAGATTTTCCCATTTGATTATAACTTGTTTCTCCTCAGGGAGGAGTGGTGAAATGCCTCTAGAGAGGAGGGATGCTGGAAGAAGGATGGAGAGAGGGAATTGATCCAAATGTGGTGGATCCTGATCAGCAAGGCAGCCAGTTCATTGTTTTGTGTTCTGTGACCTTTTGAGGATGTCATTTTTCAAGACTTCTTCTCAGCAAGAGCACTCTGCCTCTTTCAAACTCCCCTTAGCATTATTGTACCACCCCAGAGTCTGTTGACCACAAAGTTTGTTTACAAATACTATGGCAACCCCAGGAGCTCTGGCAAATCTATTGCCAGCAAATAAAGCACAAGGCTGGAATCACCAAAGCCCTCTGGAGTCTCAGCCTTACGGATAGGGTTTTTAAAGCATCTGTTTTATGTTCCTGAGCAAGCGTTTCACCATGATTTGCAGGGCATTTTTTTTTTCCTTTAAATGTCTCATATCCCTCTCCTAAGGGACATTTAAAAAGCCATTCTTCTTGCCAGTAACCCCATTAAAGTTTAGTTCCAGAGCTTTACTGGGGGGATTTTCAACTATCTTTTTGATGTTCTGGTTTTAATGGGACAGTATATCAAATGTGAGTTTTTATTGTAGCTCTATCCCCTTTGCCGTACCTGTTTAGTTCTGTTGCAGATCCTGATATTAGGACTCAAGTATGAGAAGTTTTGGAAGCAGGTGATCCCAAGAAACACTGGAGGCAAAAAGAGGAAGTAAGCAAAGAGAAGACAATGAATAAATGGTGTATGATCCATGAATAAATGGTGTACAGCCAATTTCTGCTGTGACTGGAGCATGAATCCATTTGGGGAACACAGGAGTCAGAATGAGTGCCTGAGAGTTATCAAGTCCCGGGGCAAGGGAGCCGAAGGATCTGTACACCAACTTTCATCAGTCCCTGGTTGAGGACAGCTGGGTAGGAGAGATGGAACTCATCTTTACACACTTCTCACCTGCTGAAAGCAAGCCCTAGGGTGTGAGAAGTCTGGAACTACAATAGTAAGGCCAGAGAGGATATGGGCAGGACACCAAAAGCAACCCCTAGATACCCTCCTCAGCCTCATGCCCAAGAATGGGGGATTCTGTTCTTTGTATCCGTGTGTTTCTGTCTTTCTTCTCCCAAAACAGAATGACTGATGGTGACATGCACATGGGATTTATCCTCTCCAAGGAACTGTGGATCACATGTGATTGTACATGCAGCACCCACATGGGACAAGAAAGAGAGTTAGGTCTTGCTAGTCATCCAACACACATACTTCTACTGTTTATTTCAAAGCTCTTCTAATAGTTCACTATAACCACCCTGTCCTGTTGAGTCTTTGCTTCTCTAGGCTGAATGTTCCCAGATGCCTTCATGAGTATGAGTAGAATACAGTAACACCACCTAGTTTTTGCACAATGCTTTAATTTCTTATGAAACACAGAGCATAGTCATGCCACAGTTACCACTCACTCTGAGCCCTCCCGTACCTCCCTGTAATGAGGCTATGCTGCTGGCTTTAAATATGGAGGAAGAGGCCCATGAGCTGAGGCCTCCAGAAGCAGAGAAAAGCATTTTCCCCAGAGCCTCCACAAGGAACCAACCCTGATGGCATTTTGACTTTAGCCCAGTGAGACTGATTTTGGACTTCTGACCTCCAGAACTGTAAGGTAATAATTATGTTGTTTTAAGTCTCTAAGTTTTTGATAATTTGTTATAGCAACAATGGGAAATTTAAATAGATGAGAAAAGATATATCATGTTAACATTAATCAAAATAAAGCTAGTGTGCTATTTTAATATTAGATAGGTAAATTTTAGAGTAAAGAACACTGTCATGGATAGAAAAGGTAATTACATAATGATAAATGGGTCAAGAGAACATAAAAATTCCAAAAATGTGTACATCTAATAACAGAGCTTCAAAAATACATGAAACAGAAACTGACGTAACTTCAAGGAGAAAATTTTTAAATCTGTAATTGTCAGATTTCAATGTCGGTCTCTCAATAATTAATAGGAAATATAGAATGTAAATCAAAAAAGATATAGACATCTTGAACAACACTATCTGTTAACTTGTCCTAATTGGTATTTATAAAACACTCCACACAATAACAACAGAATATACAATATTTCCAAGTGCACACGGAACACTTATCAAAGTAGACCACATTCTGAGCAATGAAACAAAACTGTATACATTTAAGAGGATTATATTATACAAAGGATTTATATTATACTGACTTCTAATTTAATTTCATTGTAGGATGCAGCCAAAATGGTACTTGGAGATGCAAGTATAGCAGTAGCCACCTATATTAGAAGGAAGACCGCTATTGAATCAATGATTTCAACTTGCACCTTAAGAAATTCTAAAAGCAGCAAATTAAACTGAGGAAGTAAAGCAGAAGGAAGTAATGATAAATATCAAAGCCAAAATCAACAAATACACAACAGAAAAACAATAGAGGAAAGCAATGAAACCAAAAGCTGCTTGCTTGAGAAGATTAATAAACATTGATGGATAAATAATAAAACTGATGAATCTCTACCTAGAAAGGTCAGGTAAGAAAGTAGAGAAAAAAAATCATTCATATTAGAAATGAAAGAGGTGACTGCACCTCAAATTCTACAGATATTTTTAAAATAATAAGGAAATATCATGAGCAATTTTATTCCAATAAATGCAACAACTTAGATAAAATGGACCAAGTCTTTGAAAAATACAAACTAATAAAGCTCATGCAAAATAGATTAATTTCAAAATAATTATGCTGAGTGAAAGAAGCCAGACAAAAAACAGTATATATTGTATAATTCCATTCATATAAACTTCTAGAAAATGAAAACTAATCTGAGAGGAAGCAGATCAGTGGTTGCCTGGGGATTTCGGGTGGAGCTTTGGAAGGTCAGGGAGCAGGAATGGAGGAGAGAAATGGATGACAAAGGGGCAAGAGGAAAATTTAGGGGGTGATGAGTATGTTCATTTTCTTGGTTATGATGACAGCTTTACCACAATCAAGTGACATATACGTCTGCCAGGACTTATCAAATTGGAAAACCTAAGGGTAACACTTCAAGACATTGGTCTAGGCAAAGATTTTATGGGTAAGACTTCAACAGCACAGGCAACTGAAGCAAAAATAGACAAATGGGACTGTATCAAACTAGAAAGCTTCTGCACAGAAAAGAAACAATTAACAGAATGAAGAGACAACCTGTAGAATGGGAGAAAACATTTGCACACTATTCATCCAATGAGGGACTAATATCTGAAATCTACAAGAAATTCAAACAACTGAACAGCCGGAAAAAAAAAAAAATCCCATCAAAAAATCGGCAAAGGCATTTCTCAAAAGAAAACATACAAATGGCCAACAAGTATGTGAGAAAATGCACAACATCACTAATCACTTGAGAAAGGCAAAAAACAACCACAGTGAGAGATAATCTCACCCCAGTTAGAATGGCAATTATCAAAAAGACAAAAAATAACAAATGCTGGTGACAACTGGGAGAAGGGGAACTCATACATGCCATTACTTGTTAATGGCAAAAACTGCAATCAAAAGTAACGGCAAAAATTGCAATTACTTTTGCACTAACCTAATAGAAAACAGTAAGAGGTTCCTCAAACAACTAAAAGTAGAACTACCATATATGATCAGCAATCTCACCTCTGAGTAAGTATCCAGAGGAAATGAAATCAGTATGTCAAAGAGGTATCTGCACCCCTATGTTTATTGCAGCACTATTCATAATAGTCAAGATATGGAATCAGCCTAAATGCTCATCAGCAGATGAATGGATAAAGAAAATGTGGGGCCAGGCGCAGTGGCTCACACCTGTACTCCCAGTACTTTGGGAGGCCAAGGCAGGCAGATGACCTGAGGTCAGGAGTTCAAGACCAGCCTGGCCAACATGGAGAAACCTTGTCTCTACTAAAAATTAAAAAAAAAATTAGCTGGATGTGGTGGCGCATGCCTGTAATCCCAGCTACTGAGGAGGCTGAGACAGGAGAATCGCTTGAACCTGGGAGGTGGAGGTTGCAGTGAGCAGAGATTGTGCCACTGCACTCCAGCCTGGGCAACACAGTGAGACTCCACCTCAAAAAAAAAAAAAAAGAAAAGAAAAGAAAATGTGGTAGATATACACAATGGAATACGATTCAACCATAAAAAAGAATGAAATCCTGTCATTTGCAGCTACATGGATGAGCCTAGAGGACATTATATTAAGTGAAATAAGTCAAGCACAGAAAGATAAATACCACACGTTCTCACTCCTATGTGGGAGCTAAAAAAAAAGTTGAGCTCATAGAAGTAGAGAGCAGAACTGTGGTTATTAGAGGCTGAGAAGAATAGGAGGGAGAGAAGGATATGGAGGGTGTTTAGCAGACAGGAAATTACAGGCAGATAAGAGGAATAAGTTAGTGTTCTATAGCACTATAGGGTGACTACAAATAATAATTCATTGTGTATTTTCAAAAAGCTAGAAGAGAGAGTTTTGAATGTTCACCAAGAAATGATCAATATTTGAGGTTATGAATATGCTAATTACCCTGATTTGATCATTGCACATTGTATACATGTATTAAGATATCACTCTATATCCTATAAATATGTATAATTATGTGTCAACTAAAAATAAAAGGAAAAATCTTATCAAATTGTACACTTAATCACATGTGGTTTATTTTGTGTCGATTATACCTTCATGAAAGTGTGGGTTTTTTTCTTTTCAATTCGAGGGCTGTTCGATAAATCACTACTCAATCTACCTGTTTTTAAAGTTTGAATTCCAAGGACCATCCAGCTTTATTAAAATCCCAGCATTTTGAGAGGCCAAGGCGGGCAGATCACCTGAGGTCAGGAGTTTGAGACCACCCTGGCCAACATGGTGAAATTCCGTCTCTACTAAAAATACCAAAAATTAGCCAGGTATAGTGGCAGGCACCTGCAATTCCAGCTACTCAGGAGGCTGAGACAGGAGAATCACTTGAACCCGGGAGGTGGAGGTTGCAGTGAGCCGAGATCACGCCATTGCACTCCAGCCTGGGCAACAAGAGCGAAACTCTGTCTCAAAAAAAAAAAAAAAATCCCCTTGAAACCAGGGGATGTGAACGGTCATATGCATATTTATGTGCAGTATGCTGAGTTCTGTCCTGAAGAGGAAAGGAGAGGTGGACAGAAAGGGAGGGCACAGGCAGCAAGCTTAGCGGAGCTACCAAAAGTGCTACAGACACAAAAAACTTTCACTTGCCACCCTCTCCCCAGGCAATACACAGGATACAAAGTAAGTGAAATCCATTTTCTTTACTCCTGGCCCGACATAAATATTCACTGGCCTGAAGCAGAAGAACTTGTTCCAGCTAGCTTGCCAGTTACACCATCCTGGCCAGGCCACACGCTTAGCAAGCTGTATTCCAAGTCACTGTGTCCTGGCTAAGCCGCCAAGGGCATTGCTTGGGACCTTGCTATAGGCAGGCCAGAGATTTGCATTTCTTAGCTGGGGGATTCCAGCAAAGAGATCAGTTCGGGCACCTGAATCTGACATGGAAATGTAATATTTGATCCATGAAGCCAGTTGAGATGTTGCAACTCCTTTGCACCGATCTGATTTTACTCTAGAAGTATTTTCCTCCAGCCTAGACTTGGCTCAGGTGTCCTAGAAATCAGAACTGTATGTGGGTAAAAAGTGAGCAGGTCTAATGTTTACTGAAAAGAACGCAAGGTCTCTGTGCATAGGGATGTTATAATTGCTCTAGGAGTCAGGCCTCCCTCCATCCCTCCATCCGCTGGTCAGTGTGGGGTTTCCTTCCACTGGGGTGGGGAACAGAGCTGCTGAGAATGCTGCTGCTGCTCTCAGAAATGCCACCACGGTTGCCATTGGCAATCCTTTCTTGTGCAATGTCCTTTCTCAGGAAGATGAATACAGGCTGTACATAAACCAAGCATCAGTCAAACACTCAGCAACCCCCGGTCTCATTAAGCAGAAACTAAAAGGACCCTGAGGAGAAATAAATTTGGCTAAATCTGGAGTTCAGGGGAGAACCCAGGAAAGGGAAGGAACTTCCTGCCACATGGGGACCACTTTTAGGAAAAAACCCTGAAGCCCAGCACATACATTTTCCTCCCTCCCAAATGCCAAGGCCATTTTAACTTTCATCTCTTTGTTCATCTGTTTCATCAGCAAAATCCCTGATTTGAGAGTCATGGACAGAAAGAATTGCTATAAGTAAAGGTCTGTGCAGAACAGGATAGCACTTGCTTCTCTTAGAACAGATGTGTTTGCAGAGAAGGAACAATACACCAGGGTTTTTCTAATCTATATCTGACTCTGATTAGTTGTGAAACCTCAAAACAAGAAGAGTGGACTCTAGTTTTCAAGCTGTAAAGTTCTATAACCCATGATTTAATAAAATCCACCTCTGATTGCTCTCTGGAACTCTGAACTCTTCAGAAATCAGCCAGAATCCAGCAGAAAATAAAAGTTGGCCATGAAGGACAGCCATTCTACTTTGATTTATTTTTGCTGCATTTTATCTTTTGTGTAAAATATTTGGCACATAATGACAAAAGAAACAATCAATCTAAGCTACAAGGAGCAGCAATTGTAAGGGCAGAAATGATTTCATAAGAAAAATTTCTTTGACCATGTGCCAAAAAACCTGCTTTCTATGTACAGTGATCAGGCTGCCTTTGAGTTTTCAGACTCTTGGTAGAAAAAAAAACAAATTCCAATTTTGAATGTTTCATGTTTCTTGGTACTTTGCCCTACACAGATAGTCTTAAAGTTTATTGTTATTTCTAGGACTAATCTGGTCTTAATTCTTCATAATAACATAGGCCAAATATCATAAAACAAAACATCATTTATCCAGTGTCATGGGGGTTATATTGGTCAATGTTTTCAGTTGCACATGGCAGAAGCAACTCTAGATGTTTAAGCTGAAGAGGAATGGCTTTCTTTGAGGATATGATGGTGGGCCAGGGATTTTTCACCTGTGGCCTGGTAGCCAGAGACATTGTTCAAATTATACCACCAAACTTCTCCTATTGCTGCTACCTAGGTAAACCAAGTTAGTGGAACATCAGTTAACCTTTTCCTGGGGCCGAGGGCTATTGCTCTGAATAAAATGTGTTGTGATATGAAGTACAGAGAGACTGGAACTGGAGCCACGCAGTGGGGAGGCAGGAAGCGTGTGTATCAGGCATAAGCTTTCAGCTGTAGCCCCGGAAGCTGGTACTAGAGGGCTCAGACTCACTTTACACTGGTGACCCACCTCGTGTATATGTGGAGTCTCTGCATTCTGCCTCCAGCCTCTGTAGGATAGACAAGTGCAGGCTGAAATTTACGTCTTCTGGGGCAACCCTCAATGAATTTAGTACAGAGTAGAGTGGGCAGGTAAATGCTCTAGCCCCTCTCATCTTCAGGGAAACTGTCTGACAGGCATTCTGTACACTTCTTAAGAGACCCTGGCAGAATCCAGCACTGCTGTCCATAGTAGCAGCTTTGATCATGCATCCTTACACTAGCTTTTCCTCCTTCCTTGCCTCACTGTCACCATCCCTCACTCCTGCTTCCTAAGAACATTTCCTCAGTAAAGAGGCATCCCGAAAGACTACTCAAGTCCTTGTCTCAGGCTCCGCCTCAGGGAGAACGCACACTGAGACAGCCTGGCTCATGAACTGAATCTGTCAACTTGGAATTCCATCACAGAGCTTTGCCTGCATCATGTACCAGGGGAGTGAACAGAGGATGAAAGAGAGAAGAAAGGGCAGTCTCAGCTCACTGTGCCAGAGTGCTTAGCTCAGCGTATAACAGGGACTCCATAAATATGGAATGAATGAACAAATGAATGAAAGAATTGAACATAGCAAGTTCATCTTCAACAATGATAAATGTAACAATAACTACCAATAACTACTCTGTATGCACCTTCTTATGTAAAATGTACAACCATTGTACAGCTTAGGTTTCAGAATCAGAGCTGGGTTGGAATCCAAGCTCCTTGACTTGGATTAACTTTCAGCGTTTTTACTTAACCTCACTAGGCCTTAATTCCCTCATGAACAAAATACGTGTAATAATAGTATTTACCTCGATGTTTACAAAAGATGCTTGGCACAGGGCTTATCTAGCACTTACATAGCTAGCTATTTTTCTTATCAGTCCCTTTTTGCAGATGAGAAAACTCAGGTCCAGCTATCAATGGTTGAGTTGGAACTTCATCCTGATCAGTTCAGTGGCAAAACTTAAGTCATTTTAGCTGCTATTTGTCCCTACTGCCCTGCTGGAAAAGTGGTCCAGAATTTTACCTATGGAATTGGGCAAAGTTTGTTCAGGTTGTAGGCATGATTCAACAGAAACTGAAAACAGTGTCTTATGTTTACAACAGTTTGTGGAAAATACCAAGTGCATAAGTAGCTGCTGTAGGCTGGATGGTTGCATCTCCCCAAAATGCATATATTGAAGAAGCCCCTGACCTCCAATGTGATAGTATTTGGAGATGGGGCCTTTGGAAAGTAATTGGACTTAGATGAGGCCATGAGGGTAGTGTCTCATGATGAAATTAGTGCCCTTATTAAAAGAGAAAGAGACATGGAACCTCTCTCACTGAGGAAGGGAACATTCCAAATACTGAGCATTTACCTGAAGGCAAGTGTATTACTAAAGAAACCTAGAAACCATTAATGAAATGTTTGTTATTCCCTGCAACCTGTCAGGTAAGGCTCATGCAGATTAATTGTGTTGCAGAAAAACAAAGAACCAATATTTTCTTTGCACAACTGACTAGGAGTAAATAAATTATCACCACATTGGGTGATGAAAAAATTTTTGAAAAAGCTGCTGTGTTGCTCCTGACAGATTTTTTTCCCATTCTTTGTACTAGTTTCCGAGCTTGAATGCATTATAACCAACGACAGTTATCTTAAAGCTAGTCATATAACATTCCCTGGTCGATTGATTTTATTATATACAGTTAACGATAAAAGAAGTGTTTATATGGGTGGGGGAGTGGCAAACATAAATGTAAAATAACAGTATTTATTTTACATTTACTCTTCACTTTGACAAGCAAATAATGTGGTTTCAAGAATGCTTTTGAAAAACAGATAACCAGGCCGGGCGCAGTGGCTCACGCCTGTAATCCTAGCACTTCAGGAGGCCAAGGCGGTTGGATAACCTGAGGTCAGGAGTTCAAGACCAGCCTGGCCACCATGGGGAAATTTCATGTCTACTAAAAATACAAAATTAGCCAGGCATAGTGGCACATGCCTGTAATCCCAGCTACTCGGGAGGATGAGGCAGAAAAATTGCTTGAACCCTGGAGGTGGAGGTTGCAGTGAGCCAAGATTGCACCACTGCACTCCAGCCTGGGCAACAAGAGTGAAACTCTGTCAAAAAAGAAGAAAAGAAAAGAAAAGAAGAAAAGAAAAACAGAAAACCAGTAGAAAAATGTTAATATAAGATAAATACTTTCAAAAACACTGGAAAATATTGAAATAAGGGAAGCACAGCCCATATAGGAAAAGACAGTATACATAGTAATGAAAGAAAAAGAAAAAACATGTTTTAAAAAGAGGACATATATACCAACTATATCATACTCACAATAAAAATAAATAGCTTAATCTCCACTATTAGAGCTTGAGATTTTCAGAATATTTACAAATTCTAACTATATTTTATTTATAAAACATTTATCTAAATCACAGAAAGTTTAGGAGTAATAGGATAGGCAAAGATATGATAACTAAATGCAAACAAACATAGTTACTCAGTATCCATATGTCATAGTCGAATTTACTCCTCCCCCTAAAAATGAACAAGACGGAGGGTAATTTCTTTTCTAATTATTTATTTATTTTAAATTAACAGATAACATTGTATGTTTTTATCATGTACAACATGACATTTCAGAGTATATAAACATTGTAGAATGGTTAAATTTCAGTAATTAACAAATGCCTTACCTCACATAGTAATTGTGGCGAAAGCACATAACATCCACTTTATATTTTTTAAGGAAACAAATAAGCATACAATGTGTCATCATTAACTATCGTCACCTTGCTGTACTGTAAAGCTCTTGAAATTTATTGCTTCTATCTAACTTCTGTCTATCTAATTATTATGACTGACCAAATCTCCCTCCTGTCTAACCGTCCAAGCCTCTGCTAACCACCATTTTACTCTCTACTCCCATTAGATCAGCCTTTTCAGATTTCACATGAGTGAGATCATGCAGCACAGTAGTCCCTCCATATGCACAGTTTTGCTTTCCAGTGTTTCAGCTACCCACAGTCAACTGTGGTGTGAAAATAGGTAAGTACAGTAAATGTGTATATACCACATTTTCTTTATCCATTCAACCACTGATAAACACTTAGACTGATTCCATATCTTGGCTATTGTGGATGGTGCTGTGATAATCACAGGAGTACAGATCACTCTTTGACATAGTAATTTCATTTCCTTTCGATATATACCCCGTAGTGGGATTGCTGAACCATATGGCAGTTCTATTTTTAATATTTTGAGGAAGCTTCATACTGTTTTCCATAATGGTTGTACTAATTTACATTCCCACCAATGTATAAGGGCTCCCTTTTCTCCACATTCTTGCCAACACTTATCTTTTGTCTTTTTGATAATGGCCATTCTCACTGGGGTGAGGTGATATCTCATTGCGGTTTTGATTTACATTTCCCTGATGATTAAAAATGGTGAACATTTAAAAAACATACCCGTTGCCCATTTGTATATCTTCTTCTGAGAAATGCCTACTCAGATCTTTTGCCCATTTTAAAATCAGGGTTTTTGTTGTTGTTGTTGTTGTTGTTGAATTCTGTTCCTTATGTATTTTGGATATTAACCCCTTTTCAGATATATAGTTTGCGAATATGTTTTCCCATTTAAAGAAGGTAATTTTATAAGAATCTTAATCATGATAGTGCTCACAAAAGCCAGTTAAAAAAGGAAACAAAAGAATTTTAATCATGAACCTTTATGAACAGAATAGCACTCAGTTAGAGAAGGCAAAAAAAATAAGTGTGGTGCATCATGAAGAAAATAAGAGCACCTGTTTTGCTGTTTGACAAGTCAAATAGTAAAAGTAAATAAATTAAAACAGGCCGGGCGTGGTGGCTCACGCCTGTAATCCCAGCACGTTGGGAGGCTGAGGCGGGTGGATCACCTGAGGTCAGGAGTTAAAGACCAGCCTGACCAACATGGAGAAATCCCGTCTCTACTAAAAACACAAAATTAGCCGGGTGTGGTGGCAGGCGCCTGTAATTCCAGCTACTCGGGAGGCTGAGGCAGTAGAATCGCTTGAACCTGGGAGGCAGAGGTTGCAGTGAACGGAGATCACACCACTGCACTCCAGCCTGGGCAATAAGAGCAAAACTCCATCTCAAAATAATAATAATAATAATTAATTACTTAAAACAAAGATCTGAATAATATAGGAAAGTTGAATAGCTATAGCTACAGTTGCAGCCAAATTTTATTCCCTACAGGAAATACATTATCCTTTCTAGAGCCCATTAAACATTTATAAAGATTGATCATGTATATTATGCCATAAAAATTGTCAATAAATTCCAACTGTAGATACTGCAGAGGTAACATTCTGTTATTAGAACAAAACAAAACAAAACAAAAAATATGGCTAGTTTCCCAATTTATTTTATTAAGCCAGCATAATTTGATGGCAATCCTTGACAAATGTATGACATGAATTCACTTAAAATATAGATGGAAAATTCTAAATATAATATAAGGAAAGTGGAATTTAGGAGCACACTAAAAGAAAGAATGCACTGCAAACAATTGGCTTTATCTCAAGAATATAAAGCAGATTTATTGCCAATCTCTTATTATGGCATCTGTAAATCAAAATAGAAAACTTCATGATCATGCTAATAGATGCTAGAAATGCATTTGATAATATTCTGTAACCATTCCTGATAATAACTTTGGTAAATCAGAAGAAAGCCTGCTTTAACATAGCAAACAGTTACAAGTATAAATAACTATTTAATCCTCACCAATACACTAATGGTGGACAATATTATTGTTTCTGACTTATAAATGATAAGTGAAGCATAGAGAGGTTACAACACCTTCCACTAATAAGTAGAATGGAAATGAAGCCAACATAATATTTGTATCAGTAAGAGTTCCACAGAAAAACAGAACCAGTAGGAGATATGTATTAAGAGATTTATTGCAACAAGGCCAGGCCAGTGGCTCATGCCTGTAATCCCAACACTTTGGGATGCCAAGGAGGGCCGATCACCTGAGGTCAGGAGTTTGAGATCAGCCTGGCCAACATGGTGAAACCCCATCTGTACTAAAAATACAAAAATTGGCCAGACATGGTGGCCCATGCATGTAATCCCAGCTACTTGGGAGGCTGAGGCAGGAGAATCGCTTGAATCTGGGAGGCAGAGGTTGCAGTGGGCCGAGATCTCACCACTGCACTCCAGCCTGTGAGACAGAGCGAGGCTCCACCTCAAAAAAGAAAAATTAAAAAAAAAAAAAGATTTATTGCAATAAATTGATTTTTGTAATTCTGGGAGCTGGTTACAAGTGCAAAATCTGTAGGCAGGTCATCAGGAAAGGAAGGTACAGAAAGGAAGCTGCAATCCACGGATGGAAGTTTTTCTTCAGGGAAGCCTCAGTTTTGTTCTTAATGCCTTTCAACTGATTCAGGCAGGCCTACACAGAGTATGGGGCATAATCTCCCTTACTTAGTAAAGTAAGACTTCGTTTTTATAAAAAGGTTTTATTTGGCTGGGCCTGGTGGCTCGCTCCTGTAATCCCAGCACTTTGGGAGGCCGAGGCGGGTGAATCACAAGGTCAGGAGTTCAAGACCAGCCTGGCCAAGATGGTGAAACCCCATCTCTACTAAAAATACAAAAATTAGCCAGGCGTGGTGGCACATGCCTGTAATCCCAGCTACTCAGGAGGCTGAGGCAGAGAATTGCTTGAACCTGGGAGGCGGAGGTTGCAGTGAGCCGAGATCGTGCCACTGCACTCCAGACTGGGTGACAGACTGAGACTCTGTCTCCAAAAAAAAAAAAAAAGGTTTTATTTTAGGTTCAAAGTTACATGTGCAGGTTTGTTATATAGATAAAAAGTGTGTCACAAGGGTTTGGCGTACAGATTATTTCATCTTCCAGGTAATAAGCATAACACCCAATAGGTAGTTTTTCAATCCTTGCCCTCCTCCCATTCTCCACCCTCAAGAAGACCCCAGTGTCTATTGTTCTCTTCTTTGTGTCCATGTGTACTCAATGTTTAGCTGTCACTTACCAGTAAGAAAATGCAGTATTTGGTTTTCTGTTCCTGCCTTAGCTTGCTTAGGATAATGGCCTCTAGCTCCATTCATGTTGCTGCAAAGGACATGATTTTGTTCTTTTTATGGCTGTGTACTATCCTATGGTATATATATATCACATTTGCTTTATCCGGCCTACCATTGATGGGCATTTAGGTTGATTCCATGTCCTTGCTATTGTGAATAGTGCTGAAATGAACACATGCATGCATGTGTCTTTTTGGTAGAACAATTTCTATTCCTTTGGATATGTACCCAATAATGGGATTGCTGGGCCAAATGGTAGTTCTGTTTTAAGTTCTTTGAGAAATTGCCAAACTGCAGTCCACAGTGGCTAAACTAGTTTACATTCCCACCAGCAGTGTATAAACATTCCCTTTTCTCTGCAGCCTCACCAGCATGTTATTTTTTGACTTTTTAATAATAGCCTTTCTGACTGGTGTGAGATAGTATCTCATTTCGGTTTTGATTTGCATTTCTCTAACTATTAGTGATGTTGAGCATTTTTCATATGCTTCCTGGCTGTGTATATGTCTTCTTTTGAGAAGTGTCTGTTCATGTCCTTTGCCCACTTTTTAATGGGATTGTTTGTTTTTTTCCTGTTAAGTTCCTTATATATTCTGGATATTAGATCTTTGTTGGATGCATAGTTTGCAAATATTTTCTCCCATTCTGTAGGTTGTCTGTTTACTCTAAAGATAGTTTATTTTGCTGTGTAGAATCTCTTAGTTTAATTAGGTCCCATTTGTCAATTTTTGTTTTTGTTGCAATTGCTTTTAGTGCCTACTTCATGAAATCTTTGCCAGGACCTATGTCAAGAATGGCATTTCCTAGGTTTTTTCTTTATTTCTGGGCTGTTCCATTGGTCTATGTGACTGTTTGTGTACCAGTGCCATGCTGTTTTGGTTACTATAGCCTTGTAGTATAGTTTGAAGTCAGGTAATGTGATGCCTCCAGCTTTGTTCCTTTTCTTAGGATTGCTTTGGCTATTCAGGCTCTTTTTGGGTTCCATATGAATTTCAGAATAGTTTTTCTAATTCTATGAAAAAATGTCGTTGGTAGTTTGATAAGAATAGTATTGAAACTGTAGATTGCTTTGGGCAGTATGACCATTTTAACAATATTGATTCTTCTTGTCTGTGAGAATGGAATAGTTTTCATTTGTTTGTGTTGTCTCTGATTTTTTTCAGCAGCGTAATTTAATTCTCATTGTAGAGATCTTTCACCTCCCAAGTAAGACTTTAATCCTACTTTAATCACATCTATAGAATCTTATCCTAAATATATTATATATGCACCCAACATTGGAGCACCCAGGTTCATAAAACAGCTACTTCTAGATCTACAAAAAGACTTAGACAGTCACACAATAATAGCAGGGGGACTTCAAAACCACACTGAAGAATTAGACAGAACATCAAGGCAGAAAACTAACAAAGTAACTCTGGACTTAAATTCGACACTTAACCAACTGGATATAATAGACATCTACAGAACACTCCACCCATAAATTGTAGAATATACATTCTTCTCATCTGTACATGGAATATACTCCAAGATTGACCACGTGCTAGACCATAAAGCTAGTATCAATAAATTTAAAAATATTGAAATCATACCAACCATACCCTGAGACCACAGTGGAATAAAAATAGAAATCAATACTGAGATCTCCCAAAACCACACAATTACATGGAAATTAAACAACTTGCTCTTGAATGACTTTTGGGTAAAGAATGAAATTAAGGCAGAAATAAAAAAATGTTTTGAAATAAAGGAAAATACAAACAAAACATACCCAAATCTCTGGGATGCAGTAAAAGCAGTGTTAAGAGAATATTTATGGCAGTAAACACCTACCTCAAATGGTTAAAAAGATCTCAAATTAACAATCTTACATCGCACCTAAAGGAACTAGAAAAACAAAAACAAACTAACCCCAAAGCTAGCAGAAGAAAAGAAATAACTAACATCAGGGAAGAAATGAATAAAATTGAGACCCAGAAATTCATACAAAAATCAATAAAACAAAAAAATTGTTTTTCAAAAGAATAAACAAGATCAATAGACCACTGGCCAGAGTAACAAAGAAAAAGAAAATTCAAATAAGAACAATCACAAACAACAACGGTGACATTACAACCAATTCCACAGAAATACAAAAGACCCTCAGAGGCCATTATGAACACCTTCATACACACAAACTAGAAAATATAGAAGAAATGGATGTCTTTTGCAACAACTTGGATGGAACTGGAGGCCATTATCCTAAGTAGTAACTCAGGAACAAAAAAGCAAATACCTCCTGTTCTCACTTATAAGTGGGAGCTAAGCCATGGATTACACAAAGGCATACAGAGTGGTAAAAATGGACATTGGAGACTCAGAAGTAAGGAGGGTGGGAAGGAGGTGAGGGACAAAAAAAGGTCACCTATTGAGTACAATGTATACTACTTAAGTAACAGGTGCAATAAAAGCCCAGACTTCATCACTATACAGTTCATTCAAATAACAAAAACCACTTGTATCCCTAAAGCTATTAAAATAATAAATAAATAAATAAATAAATGCTTTCTTTCTTCAATAACAAATTAACCTTAACTTATGGTAACTTTTTTACTTATAATTTACTTACTTTTAATTTTTTTTAACTTTTAAGATTCCTTTGTAATAACACTTAAGTTAAACACACATTGTACACCTGCACAAAATAATTTTTTCTTTATATGCTTGTTCTATAAGCTTTTTTCTATTTTTAATTTTTATTCTTTTACTTCTTAAACTTTTTATTAAAAACTAAGACACACACACATTACCTATATGACTGGCAGTGCGGTAGGTTTGTTTGTAATAGTGTCACCACAAACACATAAATAATGTATTGTATTACAATGTCAGGACATCACTAGGCAATAGGAATTTTTCAACTTCATTATAATCTTATGAGACAACCACTGCATATGTGGTCCTGTTGATCAAAATATTGTTAGGCAGCACATGACTGTGTTGTCTATCCTATGTTGAAATTTACATGATTATCTCAAATGTCTTTTGTGTAGTTGTTAGACCTATACAGAGTCTCCAGGCTTGCCACCAAGGCTATACTGTTCATGGACTCTTTGTGCAAGCACTATGGTGGTTGAGGACAGAGACTGGCTGGTCTCTAATGGCTGAGTTATCATGTCCACTTGTTCAATGCATTCTCTGTGGTTGATACCCTCTTTATTCACTGACTTCTATCTCCCCTTGTTTAGGGGTTTCCCCAAGAGCATAATTCTTCCCACACTTCTGGGTCATGTTTACACACAATCAAGAAAATTTCCGTGGTGTTGAAGAAGGCCTACAGGCAGTAAAGTGAGAAATGCAGGTCCTTGTGGAAGGAAGCTGTCAGCATGCCAGGAACTGTCTGCAGCTATAGGTATGCTCACGTTAAGTGAAGGCAATATGCGGTGAGATAGTAGAAGCATCAGCTATAAATAAGAAATGTCATAAGCCTATGCTATAATAGAGAAAATAAAAGTTTGGACAAAGCTTCCCAAGCATAGGCAAGGTTAAAAGAAATTAAATAGAATCTATGAATAGAAACAAGAAGAAGAAGATAAAGGAATGTAGCATGCAAAAGACAAACGAAAGACTAAAATTGGAATAGGGCTCAAGAAACAGGAGAATATTATTTTACAATGTCTCTATAGAATAACTTTATTAAGAATATTAATTTGACCAGGAACAGTGGCTCACACCTGTAATCCCAGCACTTTGGGAGGCTAAGGCAGGCGGATCACAAGGTCAAGAGATCCAGACCATCCTGGCCAACACGGTGAAACCCCATCTCTACTAAAAATACAAAAATTAGCTGGGCGTGGTGGCACATGCCTGTAGTCCCAGCTACTCGGGAGGCTGAGGCAGGAGAATCACTTGAACCCGGGAGGCAGAGGTTGCAGTGAGCCGAGACTGCGCCACTGCACTCCAGCCTGGCCACAGAGTGAAACTTTGTCTCAAAAAAAAAAATTAATTCAATATAAAAAGAATGCAAAGGCAAGAACATATAACAACATGGAGATGGGAAAGGAGATGGAGAATGAAAAAAAGCATATTGAGAATACCAAAAACCTCTCACCATTATATATCCCATAAGTAACCTAGATACGGCAAGGAATAAAACAGATAAGGCTAAATATTAAATCAATGATGTGGAGGAATATCTTAAGATAAAAAGAGTGAATACATAATAAAAATAAAAGAAATGAAATGAATGAAGGTAAAATAATAGAGAACAAAGACAGTTCAACTTAAATGTAGGTGGTGTCCTTGAAGTAAAAAATAAAATGGATTTAGAGGGGGAAAATGTATTTAGAGATATAAAATTACCCTGAAATGAATAAAGAACAGAATCTAAAAACTTGAAAGAGCACACTAAGTATCAAGTAAAAATGATATAATGTACTAAATACCACGACGTAGTCTGATTAAACTGTTAAACTTTAGAAATAAAGGAATCTGTATGTGTACTATATTTCATAATAAAATATATAAATTTAAAAATAAAGGAAGAAATCCAGGCAGAAATTTAAAAGTCATAAATAGGGTAAAAATGCAGGATGACTTATCCACAGAAAATTTAATTCCAGAAGACATTGGAATAACATATACCAGATTCTGAGAAAAAGAAAAGATCTACCCATACATGTTGTCTGGTATAAAAACCACAGGTAAACATTTTTAAACAAAAATCATACTTTCTTAAAACACATTTTGAAAAAACTATTTAACGATGAAATCCAGTCACACAAGCAAGGAATCAAAACAAAAGAGTGTAGGAATCTAAAATGGTAAAATCAATGTAAAAGACTGAATCTATTGAAAGTAGCTCTAAGCAGCCAGAGAAATAATTTCATCTCAAGCAAAACATAAGTATAGACTGAACAATCAAACAAAAAAACCAGTAAGGGTATAATGGGGCTGAAAAACACTATAAATCAATCTGACATAACTAATATTTATAGAACACTATATCCAACAACTACAGAATACACACTCTTTTCAGTGCATATGGAATGTTTATGAAGACCACACACTAGGGTATAAAATAAATCTCAAGAAAATGAAATGTATTGAAATTATAGAGTAATATAATTTTGTTGCATATGTGACCACAAGGCAATAATTAGAAACCAACAACAGGAAAATATCTAAAAATATGCAAATGTTTGGAACTAACAATATACTTCTAAATAACCCATAGGTAAAAGAATATGTCACAATAGAAATTAGAAAATATTTTGAACTCAATGAAAATGAAAGAACAACAAAGCAAATTTTGTGAGATGAAGCTAAAACAGCGTATAGGAAGAAATTTATGGAATTTTAATTGTTTAAACAATCATAAAAGAAGCTCTAAAGTCAATGAACAAAGCTTTGACTTGAAGCTAAGAAAAAGAAGAGCAAATTAAACCCAAAGTAGAAGAAAGAAAATATTAAAGTTAGGAGCTAAAGTCAGTAAAGTTGAAAACAGAAAAACTGTACATAAAAATCAATTAAAAACAAAACCTGTTTATTTGAAAAAGTAAAATTGATAACCTTCTAGCTAGAGATATTACATCCATTAAAAAGATAATAAAGGGCCAGAAGCGGTGCCTCATGCCTATAATCCCAGCAGTTTGGGAAGCCAAGATGGGAGGATCACTTGAGCCCAGGAGTTTGAGACCAACGTGAGCAACCTAGTGAGACGCCATCTCTACAAAAAATTTAAAAATTACCCAGTTGTGGAGGTGCATGCCTGTAGTCCCAGCTATTTGGCAGGCTGAGGTGGGAGAATCACTTGAGCCTGGGAGGTTAAGGCTGCCGTGAGCCTCACATCACTACACTGCAACCTGAGTGACAGAGCAAGACACTGTCTTAAAAAAAAGTGACAATAAAGGCATATTACAAACAATTTGATCCCATAAATTTGACAAAAGAGATGAGATTTTTAAAAATTCTTTGAAAAAAACAAACTACTAAAACCTAGTCAAGAAAAAGTAAAAATCAAATAATCCTCTATTAAAAATTAAATTTATAATTTAAAAGCTTCCTACAAAGAAAATTTCAGGCCCAGCTGGTTTCATAGACAAATTCTATCAAACACTTAAGGAAAAAATAATATCAATTCTACACAAAGTCTTTCAAATAAATTAAAGAAGTGGAAATATTTCTTACTCAACTCATTCCATAATGCTAGGATTTCTTGGATACCAAAATTAGACAGACATTATAAGGGGGAAAAAGCCTACATATCAATGTTTCACACTAATATATACTCAAAAACCCTGAATAAAAGTTTAGCAAAATAATACAACAATATATAATAAGGAGAATATATGATAACCAAATGATTTTCATCTCAGGAATGCAAGGTTTGCTTAACATTATTATAATATTGTCAATCAATGTGATATTGCTTAGAACAAAGGAAAAACTATTGATTCTAATAAATGCAGGAAAAGCATTTAATAAAAATCCAACATCCATTTATTATAAAAATTTTCAGGAATCTAGGAAACAATGGAAGTGTTTTCATCTAATAAAGAACATTGAAAAACCTACAGCTGACATCATCCCTAAAAGCAGACTTTCGTCCTTACATCAGGAAGAAGGCAAGGATACCCTTTCTAACCATGTTCATTCAGTATTATACTAGACTTCTTAGCCAGTGTGATCAAGCAAGAAAAAGGAATAGAAGACATAACTACTGAAAAGAAAGAAACAAAGCAGTCCTTGTTCTGCAATGATATGATTATATATGTAGAAAGTCCTAAGAAATCTACAAAAAGAATACTAAAACGAATAATGGACAGTTTAATAAAGGTCAATATATAAAAATTAATTTATATTTCTGTATACTAACAATGAAATATTAAAAATTGAAAGTTTAAAAACACCACTTAAATGTCACAAGCAATCTACAGGATCAATTTTGCAAAAAATATATAAGACTTGCATTCTGAAAGCTACAAAACAATAGTGAAAAATATTTTAAAGACCCAAATAAAAGAGATATACTATGTTTATAAATTGGAAGACTCAACATTGTTAAGATGTCATTTCTTTCCAAATTGATTTATAGATTCAATGCAGTCCTAATCAAAACCCAAGCAGGTATTTTTATAGAAATTGACAAGCCGATTCAAATATTTATATGAAAATTGCAAAGGACCTAGAATAGTTAAAACAACTTTACAAAAGAAAAACTAAATGAGATGATTTATATCATTTGATTTCAAGACTTGCTGTAAAACGATAACAATCAAGATGTACTACTGACATATGGATAAAAAGATACATCAGTGGAACAGAATAGACAGTCCAGAAATAGGCCCATACTTTTGGGGGTAACACCTATCTTTTTTTAAATAGACACTGCTAAGAAAACGAAAGGAGAAGTCCAGGAGCGGTGGCTCATGCCTGTAATCCCAGCACTATGGGAGGCCGAGGAGGGTGGATCTCAAGGTCAGGAGTTTGAGACCCATCTGGCCAACATAGTGAAACCCTGTCTCAACCAAAAATACAAAAATTAGCTGGGCATGGTGGCACACTCGTCCCAGCTACTCGGGAGGTTGAGGCAGAATAGCTTGAACCCAGGAGGCAGAGGTTGCGGTGAGCCAAGGTCATGCCACTTCACTCCAGCCTGGGCAGCAGAGCGAGACTCTGTCTCAAAAAAAAAAAAAAAAGAAAGAGAACAAAAGGAGAAGCCATAGACTGGGAGAAACTTTAATGTATCTGTTATATATTATATAACTTGTAACCAGAATATATAAAGAGTTTACAACTCAGTAAGAAGTTTACAACAAAATTTAAAAATGGGCAAAATATTTGAACAGATACTTTGCAAAACTGGATACACAAATGGCCAATACACATATGGAAAGATGCTCAATACTAGCAATCTTCAGAAAAATTAAATTAAAACCACAATGTGATATCAATTCATATCCATTAGTATAATGCTATTAAAACGACTGCCAAAATCAGCTGGGCGTGGTGGCACATGCCTGTAATCCCACTACTCAGGAGACTGAGGCAGGAGAATCTCTTGAACCTGGAAGGCAGAGGTTGTGGTGAGCCGAGATCACGCCATTGTACTTCAGCCTGGGTGACAGAGCGAGACTCCATCTCAAAAAAAAAAAAAAAAAAAAAAAAAAAGACTGTCAATGCCAAGAAGCAACTGAAACTCTTATGCATTGCTGGCAAAGATATAAAAAATACCACTGCTTTGGAAAATAATTTGTCTGTTTCTTCTAAGGTTAGATATAGCCTTACCATGTGACTCAGAAATTCTAAGTATTTTTTCAATAGGAAAAACAGTTGAATGAAAGGACTTGAACATAATAGAAGCTTATTCATAACAGGCAAAAGCTAGAACAACACAAGTGTTTATCAACAGGTGAATGGGTAAATAAGTCATGCTATATTCATACAATGGAATTCTACTCAGCAAATTCAAATTTTAACACTGATACACACAACAACATAGATGAATCTAAAAAACATATCTTGACTGTGGAGGTGGTTACACAGGTGTAAAAAGTGGATGTATTTTATTGTATGTAAATTATACCTTTATAAATTTGCTTTTAAAAATAAGCAAATATCAGACTTTTTAATGGAAAGATCAGGCTGACAATGTCTGAACCTACTGATTTATCTTAACATCACAAAAAGATAAATATTCCGGTAATCAAATATGTTTTTCTCCTGATGTTGCAACCGGCCTTTTTTTTTTTTTTTTTTTTGAGATGGAGTTTTGCTCTTCTTGCCCAGGCTGGAGTGCAACGGAGTGACCTCGGCTCACTGCAACCTCCGCCTCCCGGGTTGAAGTGATTCTCCTGCCTCAGCCTCCTGAGTAGCTGGGATTACAGGCGCCCGCCTTCATGCCCAGCTAATTTTTTGTATTTTTAGTAGAGACAGGGTTGCACCATGTTGACCAGGCTGGTCTGGAACTCCTGACCTCAGGTGATCCACCCGCCTCAGCCTCCCAAAGTGCTGGGATTACAGGTGTGAGTCACCGTGCCCAGCCACAATAGGATATTTTAAATGTCATTTACATAATGTTCTTGCCAGAAAATCAACCCTGAATCTGATAAAGTCTCTAGTTCCAAATACGAGTTTAAAGAAAAGAGACAGAAAAACGTGTTAAACTACTATGAGGTGTACAATCAGCAGAAACCAGAACATAGGAAACTCTAGACGATAAATGAATGACATGTTTTTTTCAACAACTAGATTACAAAGGAAATTAAAACAGTGAGGAAGTCTATAAAAAAAATTGCCTTACCGTGAATCCACTAGTAAAGAGAGCCTGAGGCAAAGCTTATCTCAGGAAATGAGGAGAAAGGGAAATAGAAGAGGAAATAGGTTAATAAAAGAGTGTACATTTCTGACCTGCCCCACTTGGTGCCAAGTGTGCAGTCTTGAGGGACCGTCTTCTGAGACACAATTTGAGCTACTGCATTTCAGGACAGCCTACATAGGAAGAGGACGATGGAGGAATTTATGCACTAGCTCCCATCACCCATTGATCAAAGATTTACCTTTGAGTGTTAACAACCCAAAACTTCCCTGTGCACATTCATGGGTCCCAAAATAACTCACGTCTCGTGGAAAAGGAATTCCCAAGAAGGAATGCAGGAGCCCCATGCCATGGGCATGATGCCTCACCACTGTTGGGTTTTGTTTATGTGAAGGCTGTCACTAAGGCAACTGGAATAAAACAAGTGGCCAAGGGCCTGGGGAAAGGTGAGCTGAGAGGATCTGAAGTGGTGCACCTAAGAGGGGCTTGATACATAGACTTAGGAGACATATTAACCAAACACAAAGTGAGGACCTTGGTTGGATGTTTATTCAAACAAGTTGTAGAAAAACGTCTATGATATAATTGGAAGAAATTGAAAAATTGAAAAATGACTGGATACTTTGTATTAAATAATTAATATTTGGGTTATAGTAACAGTACTATGTTTATTTTAAATACTTATCATTTACAGATATATGCTGAAGAATTTGTGGATGAAGTATTATGATGTCCAGGATTTGCTTCTAAATAATCCATTGGGCAGAGAGGGAGGTAAAGATAACCCAAAGTTGGCCATGTGTTGATAATGATTAAAGCTATACGCTTATCATATGAAATTTGTTATACCCTTTTGTCTACTTCCGTCTGTTTAAAATAATCCACAGTATAATATTTTTTAAAAATAGGGCACTAAGAGCTTTTACATTAAAGGCTCTGGCACGTGGGTGAGATGCCCTTACTTAGGGGAAATAGCAATATGCTAACTTTAAATCTCTTTTCTTGGACTGGTCAGAGTTCCCAGAGAAGATCCTCTCAAATCCCTGCCTGCAGGGTGTATTTGTGGATGCCAGAACTCTGGGAACAAAGGAGAGGCAGACTCAGGGTGGTCTCACCATTCAAAATGCCCAATTTCACTTATCTCCCTGTTTTTAGCATGGCACCTCTACCCTCAACCATGTTTGATATCCATCAGCCTCCTCTGCTCTCCCTCTCCAGAGAATAAACCTCCTATCTTCTCCTGGAAGCAGAACGAGCATTTGCCCAGCTATGCAGATAAGGAAGAATGGATCTCTCAATCTCTAGATCTTCAACCAATCTGTTTTCCCACTTCTAGAGGTGGGAGTGAGCAACGTATTCCCTATTCCAGAGACTTTTGAGGATCCAGCGTCAAAAATCATGCTGCTTCTTAGCATTCCCTAAAGTCAATTTAAAGTTAATGTTCTGGGGACTTTATCCATCTATTTCCTAAGTTCTAAAATGTTGGTGTTGTGTTCGTCTATGCCTTTTTAAAAGAAAAATCAATTTACTGGCATTTTAGTAGAATTTAAAGAAGAAGCAAAACTAAATCAACAGCTTTATAAGGATATAATTCACACACCATCCAACTCATTCAATTAAAGTGTAAGCTCAATGGTTTTTAGTATATTCACAGAGTTGTACAACTATCACCACCACCAATTTTAGAAAATTTTCATCACCCGGGGAAGAAACCTCATACTCATTAGCAGTCACTTCCAATTTCCCTCCAAACTCCAAGCCCTAGGCAACCACCAATCTATCTTATGTCTCTATAAACATTTGCCTATTCTGGGCACTTCATATAAATACAATAATATAATATGTGGCCCTTTGTGACCAGCTTCTTTCACTCAGCATATTTGCAAGATTTATTCAGAATGTAGCCTGTATCAATACTACATTTAATTGCCAAATAATATTCCATTTTATAAACATATCACATTTTATATATCCATTCATCAGCTGATGAACATTTGAGCTGTTTCTACTTTTTGGATCTTATGAATAATGCCATATGGACATTCTTTTTTAACTTTTATTTTAGGTTCAGAAGTACATGTCCAGGTTTGTTAATAGGCAAATTATGTGTCACGGGAGTTTTGTGTACATATTATTTCATCACCCAGGTAATAAGCATAGTACCAGTAGACATTTTTTCAGTCTTCTCTCTCCTCCCACCCAACACCCTCAAGTAGATCCCAGTGTCTGTTGTTCCCTTCTTTGTGTCCATGGCTACTCAATGTTTTGCTCCCACTAATAAGTGAGAACATATGGTATTTAGTTTTCTGTTTCTGTGTTAGTTTGTGTAGGAGTATGGTCTCCAGTTCCATCTATGTTACTGCAAGGAACATGACCTCATTCTTTTTTATGGCTGCATAGTATTCCATCGTGTATATGTATCACATTTTCTTTATCCAGTCTACTGTTGATGGGCATTTAGATTGATTCCATGACTTTGCTATTGGGAATATTGCTCCAATTGCACATATGTGTGGGTGTCTTTATGGTAGAACAATTTATATTCCTTTGGGTATATGCCCAATAATGGGATTTCTGGGTAAAATGGTAGTTTTTTTCTAAGTTCTTTGAGAAATTGCCAAACTGCTTTCCACAGTGGCTGAACTAATTTACATTCCAATGAGCATATGTATAAGCATTCCCTTTTTCTCCATAGTTTTGCCAGCTTCTGCTTTGTTTTTTTTTTTTTTTTTGACTTTTTAATAATAGGCATTCTAACTAGTGTGAGGTGTTATCTCATTTTGGTTTTGATTTCCATTTCTCTAATGATTAGTGAATGTTGAGCATTTTTTCATATGCTTGTTGACTGCCTGTGTGTCTTTTTTTGAGAAGTGTCTATTCATGTTCTTTGCCCACTTTTTAGTGGAGTTGTTTGGTTTTTGCTTCTTAATTTAAGTCTCTTATATATTCTGGATATTAGACCTTTGTTGGATGCATAGTTTGCAAATATTTTTTCCCATTCTGTTGTCTGTTTACTCTGATGATAGTTTCTTTTGCCATGCAGAAGCTCTTTAGTTTAATTAGGTCCCATTTGTCAATTTTTATTTTTGTTTCAATTGCTTTTGGCATCTTCATCATGAAATCTTTGCCAGGGCCTATGTCCAGAATGGTATATCCTAGGTTATCTTCCAAGGTTTTTATAGCTTTGCATTTTACATTTAAGTCTTTACTCCATTTTGAGTTTATTTTTGTATATGGTATAAGAAGTCCAGCTTCAATCTTATTCATATGGCTACCACCATTTATGGAATAGGGAGTCCTTTCCTCAATGCTTGTTTTTGTCAGCATTGCTAAAGATCAGATAATTGAAGGTGTGCAGCTTTATTTCTGGGCTCTAGCAAGTCAAATCCAGCAGCACATCAAAAAGCTAATCCACCATCATCAAGTAGGCCTCATCCCTGAGATGCAAACCTCATCCCTGGGATGCAAATTTAGTTCAACATAAACAAATCAATAAACATGATTCACCACATAAACAGAACTAAAAACAAAACCACATAACCACCTCAATAGCTGCAGAAAATGCTTTTGATAAAATTCAACCTTCCTTTATGTTAAAAATTCTCAACAAACTAGGCACTGGAGGAACATACCTCAAAATAATAAGAGCCATCTCTGACAAACACACAGCCAACATCATACTGAATTGTCAAAAGCTGGGAGCATTCCCCTTGAGAACTGGAATAAGACAAGGATGCCCTCTCTCACCACTCCTATTCAACATAGTACTAAAAGTCCTAGCCAGAGCAATCAGGCAAGAGAAAGAAATACAAGGCATCCAAATAGGAAGAAAGGAGGTCAAACGATCTCTGTTTGCAGACTATATTCTATATCTAGAAACCCCATAGTCTCCACCCAACAGCTCCTAGATCTGATAAACAACTTCAGTGAAGTTTCAGGATACAAAATCAATGTACAAAAATTAGTGACATTTCTATACACCAATAATGTCCAAGTTAAGAGCCAAATCAAGAATGCAATCCCATTCACAACAGGATTCACACAAGAATAAAATACATAGGAATACAGCTAACCAGGGAGGTGAAAGATCTCTATAACAAGAATTACAAAGCACTGCTCAAAGAAATCAGAGATGACACAAACAAGTGGAAAAACATTCCATGCTCATGATAGGAAGAATCAATATTGCTAAAACAGCCATACTGCCTAAAGCAATCTACAGAATCAATGCTATTTCTATCAAACTACCAATGACATTTTCACAGAATTAGAAAAAACTATTTTAAAATTCATACAGAATCAGAAAAGAGCTCAAATAGGGAAGGCATTCCTAAGCAAAAAGAACAAATTTGGAGGCATCACATTACCCAACTTCAAACTATACTACAAGGTGACAGTAACCAAAACAGCATGGTACTGGTGCAAAAATAGACACATAGACTAGTGGACTAGTGGAATAACATAGAGAGCACAGAAATAAGGCCACATACCTACAACCATTATGAATGTTCTTAAATATATGTTTTCATTTTTCTTTTTCTTTTCTTTTTTTTTTTTTTTTTGAGACAGAGTTTCGCTCTTGTTGCCCAGGCTGAAGTGCAATGGCATGATCTTGGCTCAGTGCAACCTCCACCTCCTGGGTTCAAGCAATTATCCTGCCTCAGCTTCTCAAGTGGCTGGGATTACAGGTGCCCGCCACCACACCCAGCTAATTTTTTATATTTTTAGTAGAGATAGAGTTTCCCCATGTTGGCCAGGTGAACTCCTGACCTCAGGTGATCCACCTGCCTCTGCCTCCCAGAGTGCTGGGATTACAGGCGTGAGCCACCATACCCAGCCATGTTTTCATTTTTCTTAAGTATATACGAAGGGTGGAATTACTGATCTTATAAGAACTCTATGCTTATAACCTTTTAAAAAATGGCCACACTCTTTTCCAAAGCAACTGTACCATTTTACATTTCCACCAGCAGTGTATGAGAACTCAAATTTCTCTACATCCTCACTAACATGTATTATCTGTCTTAATTATAGCCATCCTAATGAATATGGAATGGTATCTCATTGTGGCTTTGATTTGCATTTCCTTGATGGCTAATGATGCTGAGCATCTTTTCATGTGCTTACTGGCCATCTGGATATCTTTTCTGAAGAAATGCCCATTCAGATACTTCACCCATTTTTTATTGGTGTTATTTGTGTTTTTATTATTGAGTTGTGTAATTTCTTTATGTTTCCCAAATATAAGTCCCTTACCAAACATGTGATCTGCAAATTTTTTCTTGCATTCTGCACGTTGTGTTTTCACTTTCTTGATGGTGTCCTTTGAAGCACAAAAGTTTTAATTTTGATTATATCTAATTTATATTTTCTTTTGTTCTTTTTGCTTTTGATTTCGTTTCTAAGAAACCAGCCATTGCCCAATCAAAGGTTGCCAAGATTTATGCCTCTGTTTTCTTCTCAGAGTTTTGTAGTTTCAGCTTTTACCTTTAGTTATTTGATACATTTTAGTTACTTTTTGTGTATAGTGTGAGGTAAGGATTCAACTTTATTCTTTTGCATGTGGATATCCAGTTGTCCCAGCATCATTTGTTGAAAAGATCATTCTTTCCCCCATTGAATTGTCATGGCTTTCTCATAAAAAATCAGTTGAATGGACATACCCATGTTCATTGCAGCATTATTTGTAATAGCCAAGATGTAGAAGCAATCCAAATGTCCATCAACAGACAAATGGATAAAGAAAATTTGGTATTTTGGTATACACATACAATGGAATGTCATTCCACCTTTAAAAAAAGGAAATCTTGTCATAAGCTACAACATAAATGAAGCTTGAGGACATTAAGCTAAGTGAAATAAGCCAGTTACAAAAAGACAAATACTGTGTCATTCCACTTATATGAGGTATCTGAAGTGGTCAAACTCATAGAAACAGGAAGTAAAATGAAGAGAAAGTTAAACTCATGGAAACAGAAACAGAATGTGATGACCAGGGCTTGAAAAATAAGGACATGAGTAGTTGTTGTTCAGCGGGTATAGAGTTTTAGTTTTGCAAGATGAAACCGTCCTAGGTATCTGTTCACAACAACTGGAACATAGTTAACACTTCTACACTTTACACTTAAATGGTTAAGATGGTAAATTTTATATTATGTGTTTTTTAGTACAATAAAAAGATCAATTGACTGGAAATGTGAGGGTTTATTTCTGAATTCTCAATTCTATTCTGATGATCTATATGCCAGTACCACACAATCTGAATTACTGCAGCATTGTATTAAGTTTTAAAATCAAGAAGTAATTTATCTTTAATCTTTTTTCATAAAAATTGAAAAAATTGTTTTATCTATTCTGGATTCCTTGAATCTTTATATGAATTTTAGGATCCATTTGTCAATTTCTGCCAAAAGTCCAGCTTGGGTTTCAATAGGGATGGCACTTAATCTGTAGATCAATTTGGGGAGCATTACCATGTGATGGTGAGTTTTATGTCAGTTTGGCTGAGCTATGGTTCCCACTTATTCAATCAAAAACTAATATAGGTGTTTTGTAAAGGTATTTTGACACTAAATCAGGGAGATGGTGCTATATAATCTGGGTGGGTCTGATTCAGTCAGTCGAAAGGCCTCAGGCACAGAAGTAAAACATCCCTGAAGAGGAAGAAATTTTGCCTATGGATTGAAGTTTCAGCTCATGGCCGAGTTCTAGCCTGTGCTTTCTAAAATCTGTCTTATGGATTTTGGACTTGCTTGGCCAGCTGCCATGATTTCTTGCAATAAGCAAATCTCTTTCTCTCTCTCTCTTATTGTATGTATGTGTGTGTAATATTCCCTATTGGTTCTATTTCTCTGGTAGAACTGTGACGTATGCATATTAAATGCAAGATTTAACTAAATATTATTAAATTTTACAATCATGAACATAGGATATCTTTCCATTCATTTGGATCTTCTTTAATTTCCCTCAATAATATGTTGTTTTCAGAGTATAAGTTTTGCATTTCTTTTAAAATTTATGTCTAAGTATTTTATTCTTTTTATGCTATTATAAATGGGATAACTTTCTCAATTTAATTTTTGATTTGTTCAGTTACTCTATGGAAATGTAATAGATATTTGCATACTAATTTTCTTTTTTTTAATTTTATTATCATACTTTAAGTTTTAGGGTACATGTGCACAACGTGCAGGTTTGTTACATATGTATACATGTGCCATGTTGGTGTGCTGCACCTCGTCATTAGTTGGTGTGCTAATTAACTCGTCATTTAGCATTAGGTATATCTGCTAATGCTATCCCTCTCCCCTCCCCCCACCCCACAACAGTCCCCGGTGTGTGATGTTCCCCTTCCAGTGTCCATGTGTTCTCATTGTTCAATTCCCACCTATGAGTGAGAACATGTGGTATTTGGTTTTTTGTCCTTGCGATAGTTTGCTAAGAATGATGGTTTCCAGTTTCATCCATGTCCCTACAAAGGACATAAACTCATCATTTTTTATGACTGCATAGTATTCCATGGTGTATATGTGCCACATTTTCTTAATCCAGTCTATCGTTGTTGGACATTTAGGTTGGTTCCAAATCTTTGCTATTGTGAATAGTTGCATACTAATTTTCTACCTTGAACCTTGCTGAAATTATTAGTTCTAATTTTTTTAATGGATTTCTTAAGATTATTCTGCTATTTTTAACAGAAAAAAAAAGTTTCTTTAAGAAAATGGAGGCCTAGCATGGTGGCTCACACCTGTAATCCCAGCACTTTGAGAGGCCAAGGTGGGCAGATGACTGGAGGCCCGGAGTTTGAGACCAGTCTGGGCATCATGGCGAAACCCAGTCTCTACTAAAAATACAAAAAATTAGCCAAGCATGGTATTGCATGCCTGTGATCCCAACTACTCGGTGGCTGAGGCACGAGAATCACTTGAACCTAGGAGGAGGAGGTTGTAGTGAGCCGAGATCACACCGCTAAACTCCAGCCTGGGCAACAGAGCGAGAACTTGTCTCCAAAAAAGAAAAAAGAAAAGAAATAGAAGAAAAGGGGAAAAAAATAATACTTTAAAATATGTGATAAGGAGCAATTAGAGAATGACATAGTATAGACATGCTTGCATGGAAGTGGCAAAGGATACTGAAACATAAAAGTGTGTTTCAGGTAAACCACAAATAGTATAACACACGAACAGCTCATTAATTCACTTTTTTTTTTTTTTGAGATGGAGTCTCACTCTGTCATCCAGGCTGGAGTGCAATGGCACGAACTCGGCTCACTGCAACCTCCACCTTCCAGGTTCAAGCAATTCTCCTGCTTCAGCTGCCTTAGTGCTGGCACTACGGACATGCACCACCATGCCCGGCTAATTTTTTATTTTTGGTACAGAGGGGGTTTTGCCATGTTGGCCAGGCTGGTCTTGAACTCCTTACCTCAGATGATCCGCCCCCCCTCAGCCTCCCAAAGTGCTGGGATTACAGGCGTGAGCCACCACGCCGGGCCTTAAGAAGTAATTTGAAATCAGATCACAAAGTGCCTTAATAGCCATGCTAAAGAGCTTAGACTTTATTCTATAGACCTGTGCTTCTCAGACTTTAATGTGCATATGAATCTGTGAAAATGCAGATTGTGATTCAGTAGGTTTGGTGTGAGATTCTACATTTTCATCAAGTTCCAACGTGAGGCCAATGCTATTGCTCCAATGATCACACTTTGAGGAGCAAAGCTAGAAGGCAGTGGGAGCCATCGTAAGTTTCAATGCACACATAATTCAGCCAGTTTAAGAAGGCTGGCTCTGACTACAATGCAAACAGGTACAAGCAATATTAAGAGCCAGTAAAAAACTAGATGTCCTGAATTTCCTTTGAGTTGATATACATAGTTATGACATGTTCTCCAGTGGTGTCCAAATGCAAAAAAGGGGAAGCAGAGAAACAGAAAGCGAGTTTACCTCATGTAGTACACTAGCTGCCCACCCACTGCAATCCCCTAGAGTTTTGCCTGAGGAAGGCTGTTTGCTGTATGACTGACTGGACTTTCTAGCTGAGCATCTCAGGGACTCAGAACCTCCAGAGCCAGCCTCCGATGTGGATCTGCCAAAGTAGTGGTGGTTGTGCATCGTTTCCTTTTGCCCCTTTAGAAATGACTATAGTGCAATACGCCAGAATTCCTATTGGGTAGCTTTGGGCTATCAAAACAGCAGAGAATGTGGGGAAAACAAAGAATGATCTTAAACTCTTTAGAAATGCCAAAGAGTTTGATAATATGCTTAACATTTTTGGTCCTTTGCCTGCATATGCCTGCTCCATGTCTGTTACAGGCACATTATCTTTGTGTAGCTGAGCAGAACTAAGCCTGCAGTATCTTCTTTTTAGGACCTCACTTGAGCTTGCATTTAACATGCCAAGTAATTCTAAACAGGAAAAATAAGGGGAAAAAATGCCACAATACTATCTTTTATTTTATTTGTTTGTTTGTTTGTTTGTTTATTTATTTATTTATTTATTTATTTGAGACCGAGTTTCGCTCTTGTTGCCCAGGCTGGAGTACAATGGCAGGATCTTGGCTCACTGCAACCTCCGCCTCCTGGGTTCAAGCGATTCTCCTGCCTCAGCCTCCTGAGTAGCTGGGATTACAGGCATGTACCACCACCCCCAGCTAATTTTGTATTTTTAGTAGAGAGGGGGTTTCTCCATGTTGGTCAGGCTGGTCTCAAACTCCCAACCTCAGGTGACCCACCCACCTCAGCCTCCCAAAGTGCTGGGATTACAGACCTGAGCCACTGTGCCCGGCCAGATCAAATTTACTTTCTAAATGTTTTCTCTGGATGCTGTGCATAGAATAACCCCACTCCTTAAAAATGGCCCAGATACATCTAAAAGAAACCTGGAGAATATTTTTGTAATTTTGGAGTAGGGAAGGTCATGGAAGAGAAGACTGATGCATCCATTCACAAATTCACTTAATACATTTGAATGCTAATAGCGTGTCAGGTATGGCGACAAGCCCTGGGAATACAGTGGTGATGAAACTCTGTCCTTGTGGAATTTATAAACACATTTGACAACATAGATATTGATGACTTCCGAACGGCACAAAAAGAAAAACAAATTAAAGACAAAAACAGAAAGTCACAATAAAAATAAGAGACAGCAAATGGAGAAGAAAAATGTGCAGTGCACAATCTAAAGGGTCTAATTTTCATACCATATACGGAGTTCTTATAAATCAATAAGAAAAAGACAAATAGCCCATTGAAACATGTAGGCAAAGAAAAAGAATAGACAGTCTACAAAAAAATAAAAATAGCCAATTAACAAAAGCATTTTCCAACTGCAATGATAATTTGACAAATACAAACTATAAAAAGCCAGATTATTAATATTTATTGCTGGTGTGAGTAGAAACTTGAAAAAACTTCTTGGGGAGTAATTTTTTTTTTTTTTTTTGAGATGGAGTCTTGCTCTTTCGCCCAGGCTAGAGTGCAGTGGCATGATCTTGGCTCACCACAACCTCCGCCTCCCAATTTCAAACAATTCTCCTGCCTCAGCCTCCCAAGTAGCTGGGATTACCAGTGCCCACCATCACGCCCAGCTAATTTTTGTATTTTTAGTAGAGATGGGGTTTCACCATGTTGGCCTGGCTGGTCTCGAACTTCTGACCTCTTGAACCACCCACCTCGGCCTCCCAAAGTGCTGGGATTACAGGCGTAAGCCACCGCACCCGGCTCTTGGGAAGTAATTTAGAAATGTCTATCAAAATGTGCACAGGTAGATTTGGTGAACTGTTAACCCCGTGGCCCGCCTGAGGGGTGTGCTGTCCCTTCTCCGCCTCGGTATAGTCACAGACTGCGAGCATGTGACCTACAGTTCCCCAAGAAAATGTCTTTTTCTGAGACTTTAGATCTTAACCGTTAGGATAGAAGAAAGAGTTGGAGTTTACTCATCGCTCAGTGACCCTTGGCCCAAGCTGGCCCTGCTATGAAGGGCATTCCTTTGCTTTGTGATTCTGGGCCCCCACTGCTGCAGTGGTTCTTGCCCATCTTCACGGCTGATTCTCCACATTTTTTTAGCATCTGTGAGTCCCAACTGTCCTTCCAGTATGTTCCTTTTTGCTTACGTTAGCAAGAAGGTGTATCGTTGGATTGCAACCCAAAAATTCTCATGCATACACTAAACTCTTTCACAGTGGTTACTTGCTAGAAGTGGGACCAAAAGAGTAATGAAGAGGTGGATGGGTATGGGAAAGGGAAGAGGAGTGATACGGTACTATTACACTGGTTTTTGTTTTGGTTTGGTTTTGAGACGAGTCTTGTTCTGTCGCCCAGGCTGGAGTGCAATGGCGCGATCTCGGTTCACTGCAACCTCCGTCTCCCGAGTTCAAGTGATTCTCCTGCCTCAGCCTCCCAAGTAACTGGGATTACAGGCGTGTGCCACCACGTCCAGCTAATTTTTTTGTATTTTTAGTAGAGACGCTGTTACGCCATGTTGGCCAGGCTGGTCTCGAATTCCTGATCTCAGGTGATCTGCCTGCCTCAGCCTCCCAAAGTGCTGGGATTACAGGCGTGAGCCACCGCCCTCGGACTACATTGGTTTTTAAAATACTATTCACTGCTTATATTTTTATAAGAATTTAAATACAGAAATAAAGAAAAATGGGAGAGTACAGGTAAGCGGAAATTGAGAAAAAAATGAGTCACCTGTAATATTACTAACCAGGGAGGGCTACTGTCAACAGTTTGGGGCATACACATGCAAATTTGTACGTGTATGCATATGTGAGGTTATATGTTTGCATGCACAGACACATTTATTTATATACCCGTATATAAAGATGGGCTTTTACCACATTTGGAGAGTTTCTTTGTCAATCAACAATGTATTAAAAATGCTTATTTGACAGGGCACGGTGGCTCACACCTGTACTCCCAACACTTTGGAAGGTGGAGGTGGGTGGATCGCTTGAGCTCAGGAGTTTAAGACCAGCCTGTGCAACATGGAGAAGTCCCATCTCTACAAAAAATACAAAAATTAGTCAGGCGTGGTGTCATGTGCCTGTAGTCCCGGCTATATCTCTTGAGCCCGGGAGGCAGAGATTGCAGTGAGCCAAGATCACGCCACTGTGCTCTAACCTGGGTGACAGAATGAAACTCTATTTCCAAAACAAAACAAAAAAAGCTGCCAGGCGCGGCGGCTCATGCCTGTAATCCCACCACTTTGGGAGGCCGAGGCAGGCAGATCACAAGGTCAAGAGTTCGAGACCATCCTGGCCAACATGGTGAAACCCCGTCTCTACTAAAAATACAAAAATTAGCTGGGCGTGGTGGTGCGTGCCTGTAATCCCAGTTACTTGGGAGGCTGAAGCAGGAGAATCTCTTGAACCCAGGAAGCAGAGGTTGCAGTGAGCTGAGATCACTCCACTGCACTCCAGCCTGGTGACAGAGTGAGATCTTCTCAAAAAAAAAAAAAAAGCTTTTTCATATCATCAAATATTACTAGATTGTTAATGGCACTGAAGTCTTCACTTGCTATAACATAATTTATTGAATTGATACCTTACTATTAATTTTTACGTTATTTCTCATTTCCAATATTACTATTTAAATGGACATAATAACAATGCAATAAATGATCTTTGATTGGTCATTATTCAGAAATGTAGTTATAAAGGTATTTGAGGGACAAGTGGAGAAATTAGATTATGAAATGGATATGTTAGGAAATTATAGCTCATTTTGTTACTATAATTTATGGTATTGTAGCTGTGAAAAATGTTCTTTTTTAGAGTTTAACACACACATACTTAGAGTTGAAGTGTCACACTTTCTGAAAATTAGTTGTAAATGTTTAGCAAAAATGAAAGATGAACAGATGATAAGCAGATGAGAGAAAGAGAAATAGATGAAGCAAATATGACAAAATATTAGCAAGCATGAAATCTGGGCAGGTGGTGGATACGTGAGTGCTCACTAAAATATTCTTTCTACTGTCCTATTTGTTTGACTTTTTTCATAATACAAAGTTTTCTTTAAGAATATCAAATATTTCATAGAATTTTCTGGAGGGTTAAAATCTGAGGCAAAAAAGACAATGAAAAATATCATAGTTACACTCTTTGTACCTTTACATAATTTTCTTAAGATAGATTGCTCAAAGTGAGTTTCTGGATCAATTAGTCTATATTAATTTAAGCCTTTTGATGCAATATTTTATTAAATTACCTTTCAGAAAGATTTTAGTATTTGCACTCCTAATGATAAAAAATTTGCATACAAGAAAGTATATTTCTCCATATCCTCATCATCACAGAGTACTTACTATCAAAAAAACTTTGATAAACAAAACCTGTCCTGAATTTTGTGTTGTCATTTATTTAGTATGTAATATTCATAATTTAAATGTCATTTACAGTAATTCTATGAATTTCCTGTTCATGTTCTTTGTTCTTTTTTTATGGTAGTCTGATTTTTAAAGTGATGATTAAGGTCTCTTTATATATTAAGAAAAATAATTCTGTGTCTGTCATTCTGTCACACATATTGCCGTTTCTTCTATTTTTTTTTTTTTTTTTTTTTTTTTTTTTGAGATAGAGTCTTGCTCGCTCTGTTGCCCAGGCTGGAGTGCAATGGCACGATCTTGGCTCACTGCAACCTCCGCATCCCAGGTTCAAGTGATTCTTCTGCCTCAGCCTCTCAAGTAGCTGGGACTGCAGGTGCCTGCCATCACGCCCAGCTAATTTTTGTACTTTTAGTAGAGACAGGATTTCACCAGGTTGGCCAGGCTGGTCTTGAACTCCTGACCTCAGGTGATCCACCCAGCTTGGCCTCCCAAAGAGCTGGGGTTACAGGCATGAGCCACCACACCAGGCCTCATTTCTTCATATTTTGTCATTTACTTGTTAACTATGTGTTTTTTCCCCAAATAGACCATTTTAATTTCAAGTCTTTCCTTCATGATTGCGTGTTATGATTTTAATCCCAAGATTAAATATTTATCTATTTTTGTATTTAATTAATGTCTCCCTTTACATTAAATACTTTAATCTTACAGGAATATATTTTATTATAAGGTATGCCCTAGTGTACTAACTTTATTTTTCCAAATGGGTAACTAGCTTCCCTTATCATATCTTAAATATATATACTTGAGTCCCTTTCTGTAGTTTCTGTTGTCTTTTCAATTATCTGTTTATCTGTTTCTGGGCCAGTTTCATACAATTTTATTTGCTGTAGCACTACAATGTATCTTAATCTCTGATACAGCAGAGCCTTATCATTCCCTTCCTGTTCAACATTTTCTTTTGTTTTCTCTTTTGTTAATTCTTCCATGTGAACTTCAGAAGCATTTTGTCAAATTCTAAGAGAAATTCTATTGGCATTTTGATTGAAAATGTTACAGCTATAGATATTAGGGGAGAATTTACATCTTTACTATAGAAAGTCTTCTGTCCAGGAACATAACGTGTCTCTGTATTTAATGGTCTTTTTGTTCTCTCAGGAAAGTTTTTAGTTTCTTTCAGGCAGGTCTTACACATTTTAAGTTTATTCCTAGTTACTTTGTATTTTTTGTTGCTTTTGACAGCTATATGATTTTTTTCTATTTTATTTTCTAACAAAGGTTTTATCTTTATGTCTTATCATCCAATCTGTAACTTAAATTGGCTTACAGAGTGAGATAAAGAACTAACTCCTCTCTTCCCTGAATCGATGAGCTTTTTTCCAAATAGCAGCCTCCATGGAATATTTAGTCACCAAAAAAAGTTAATACAAAAGTACATAACAAGCCAGGAGTGGTGGCTCAAGGCCTGTAATCCCAGCACTTTGAGAGGCCGCAGCAGGCGAATCACCTGAGGTCAGGAGTTCAAGACCAGCCTGGCCAACATGGTGAAACCCCATCTCTACAAAAATACAATAATTAGCTGGGCATGATGGCAGCTGCCTGTAATCCCAACTACTCGGGAGGCTGAGGCAGGAGAATCACTTGAACTGGGGAGACAAGAGGTTGCCATGAGCCAAGATCACGCCATTGCACTCCAGCCTGCATGACAGAGCAAGATTCCGTCTCAAAAAAAAAAAAAAAAAGTATGTATACACTGTGATTGTAATTATGTAAAAATATACAAGCATATTGCCAAAGATTAGAAAATAATATATAAAACTGGAAAGCAGTTTTGTAAGAGTGAATTTTTTATGTTTAAATTTTTCTATTTAAATTGGTTTTCTTTATAATCTTGTTTTCACAATTAATATAAACTGGATATTGAAGAGTTCATTTTTCCTCAGCATCCTTTTGAATGTAACAGTTTCTTGTATTTCACATTATGTACCTAGTGCTTTCAGGTGTTAATTGAGTGGCATTTCCCAAGCTAGACAACCTGGTGCCTGCTTAAAATAAGAGACGAAAAAAGAGAAACCCATGTATGCCCTCAAATATTAAATTCTGGAATAGGGACTTCTGTTTGGCTTAAGTCATGCAGTGTTTTTCTCCTTGCCTAAAAATTTGAAACAAATATTGTTCTGTGTGCCATGAACATTAAAAGGTTTTGGAAGAATCACAGCTCCTGTTGGCAAACACCTGCCACTCCATGGCCTGAATAAAACTTCCCCATCCTCTTTCAGGCTGCGTCTCTCTATTTGTCTCTCCCATGACATTTTTAGAAATTTCTATTTCTTTGTTAGTTGAACTCCATGTCTTAGCATCCCTGTCACCCTCAGGATTACTTCGTGTCATTGCTTTCTTCTCTCAGTCTTCCCTTTTTTTGTTGAAAGCAATTTCCAATACAGATGTGCATAAAGATCCCTGTGTTCCAAGCAGAATTAGGAGAGGATTCTCTTCCTTTGCAAAAAGGCTGCCATGCTATTGCCATTGAGGAACATCTTATCCTACGTTGGGTGAAGTAGAAGCAGAATGGGATACAATTATTATTATCTGTGTCAAAGAGAGTGGTGGATTTTCTAAAGTGCTCAGGATAGATAAAATTGATATGTCAAAGAGTGTTAATAGAATACCTCAGTGGCCTAGCATCATTTGAACATAAACTAGTTAATGGAAGTAAACTTTCCAGATAACTGAAGATTCTCACTGCCAGTCCAACTATTGTATTTCGGTATAGTATAGTGATGATCTCACTGCTTGTAAAGTTTAGGGTCATCTGCCCCTGCATTCAATAGCCTCAAACCCCTACACTTTATTAAAATTAGGCCTGCCTTTTGCCAGACTCTAAGTTGTTCCCTTTTTTCCTATCAGAGTCATCTCTTTCTAGCAGCATCCCACCTCCTTAATTTACTTCTACTCTATCATGGCCTAGAAACCAGATGAACACACAATTGCTGAATTGAGTCCCAATGAAAACCTAAGAAAATTCTGGGACATGTTCCTTAGCTGTCCCCTGCTACGGCTTTGGGAGGTCTAATGTCTCCTAAAATCTTTCTTCCTTGGTAGGACCGTATAGGAATAACACACCATTCATTCATTCATTCCTTTGTTCGTTCAATGAAAAATCCATTCACTATGCCAGATACTGGACATACACTAGTAACTAGGACAGACGACTAGTCTTTGCATGCAAGAAATTTAAAATCTAGTCCTACAAATGGATATTGTGAATTGAGCTTCCAAGAGTACCATGAAAGCATGGAACAGGAGAACTTGTCTACATAGGTCAACTGATAATTCAAATTACAAAAAGAAAAAAAAAGTCCTACATTTCAAAAGGACAAATTTGCTGCCAGGAAACCATAATAGTCCTATTAGAGGCATGAGTCAGAAGCTCTTCAGGGAATAAGTTGTTTCTGGCAGAGGAGGTTGGTTCTGAAAGCAGGTCCAGTCCCGTGCACAGCTTCACGCTCCAGGGCTGCAGCAAGAGACCGGTCCTCTCACACACACCCACCCACCCCTGCAGCTTCTCTTCACACTGAATCTACACAAGCCCGTTTGCTACTGGAGGAAGATATGAATATAGTCGTTGGGGGACTTGAATTTGTACCCATAGCTGGTTGAGCCAGGCAGGAGAAAGGTACCATGATACATGACTTCCCCAGAGGGTTGCAGGAGTCAGCCAAGGGGTCCTCACTTTCAAGAATAAATAAAATGGAGGAATATAGACTCCTCTCTGGACAGTTTCAAATTTGAAGAGACAGCTAAGAAAGAGAAGTGTGAAAATTTCCATGAGATGAGTATTTTGGTCGCTGGTAGAAGCATCGAGTTCACAATTTAGTTTAGGAAAATCTGAACCAGTATTTCTATTCTTTCCTTACAGTTCCAAATTTTGTGCCAGAAATTGAAAAGACTTACTCTCCTGTGCATCTCCCCAAACCTCCCACTTTTTGTATGTTTTTGAAAAGATGATAAGCAGTGGGCTTTCCTAATGGTTCCTGACAGTAAGCAGGGCAATGGGCTAAATTATTTAAAAATAAGAAAAAACCTGGAAAAATATTTAACAAGCTAACTGGTGGTTTTTGTTGTGTTCCAAAATGAGAGGCATTCAAAAGAAGGGCCTTTCTGCTTCCTATTCAAGCAGAAATTCAAGATATCAAGCCCCAAAACAGGGCCCCCGGAGCAGGGAGATGAGGTCACAGCTGACCACATGAGTGGATCTTGTCCAAGAAAACTCTTTGAAGGTATCCCTTATGGTAACTGAACAGATTGTCCCCTGAGGTTGAAGCAAACACAGATAAAAAACACTCGGGAAAAGCCACTGGCATGGCACAGGGATGATAAAACGCCTGCTGATTTCAGCTACTCAATGCAGGCTTCAGGCCATTTTTCCTTAACTCAGTCCTATGTTTACCCTAAACTCCAGAACTCTCAGTTGTGAAGAGTAAGAGGCTGATGGGTGTCCATTCAATCTGCTTATCATGAAAATTACATGAAAGCTTCCTTCTACTTCATAAGAACCCAGGAATTAAAAATGCAAATTTAATCAGGGACTCCAGGCTCTCCACTCATCCAGAATAATCTTCCTAAAAAGTCCCTTTCACTACCCATTGCTCAGAAGCCTGCACAGTCCTCTCAAGTCCGATATAAATGCTTTATAAACAGCCTTGCTGACGTAAGCTTGCTCCTGGGGACACAAGTACTCTGTTCATTTGAGGAAGGTTTCCACATTCTCCCATGTATCTTGTTGACGTCCATACCTGTGCCTGAGCACAGACTACCCTTCTCTGCTAGGTGCACCTGCTCATCTCCATTTAGGCCTCAAGAGGAACATAAGTCCTGACTTTTTCATGCAACCCTTTCTCCCATCATTGACAAACACTTGATTTCTACCCAATTTTTCACAGGTATCTTCACATCAGGGAGCGAGGAGCCTCTGAGATCCACGTAACCCCAAGATCGTGGTGTCTGTGACTTAAAGTAAACATGTGCAGAAAACTAGTTGCCCAAAACCTTGTACAGACTCCAGCATAAGAAAGACAGGGTATTCACAACCAAACTTTCCCATGCATGTCCAATCTCCCGACCCTCCCAGAATCTTTGGGACATAAAGATTATTAAAGTCTCTAGGGCCATACAAGTGTCAGCCATCAAGCTGATTATACCATAGAGAGAGGTGGTCTGTGGGTTTCCTTCCTTCTCCCATCCTCCCTGACTTGCTTTTGAATAGTTTGCCTTGAGTTGGTAGTAAAATGTCCACCTTTCTATCTGGGTCTTTTTCCATGAGCTATTCTATCCTTTGCAGTATGTTTTACATCAACCTATATCCACCCCAGAAGCTGGTATACTTCCAAGTTTTTGCCGTTTTTTCACTGTACTTGGAACATCTTTGTCCTCCTCTCCTCCTGGGAAATGTCTCACCAGTCTTTCCAAGGTTCAGCTCAAATGTAACTTCTTTCTTCATCTTCTCTTTACTTCACTCTTACATAATATTAACTACTCCCTCTTCCCTATCTCCAAGGTATCTTATTCTTTACTCTGTTTTAGAACTCATCAATTGTGTATAGTCAATTGTTTATATATCTGCCATTCCCAGCCCCTGGAGAGGAAGAACTAACTTATTCTTTATACCCCCAGTTCCTGGCCTTGTGCCAAGCACATAGTAGATGTTCTTAATGTATGGAATTGAATGCGAAGTGCCCAGAGGATCTTGAAATGGGCCGGGTGCCACTCTTTTCCACACAGGTAGAAGAGGTCTAGCCTCGGGCAATATTCTGCTGCTTCTGCTGCTTGCTGGAGGCCCTATTGACTCTCCCATGTCAACACACAGTTTCTTCCTTCTTATCCCAGCTCTGACACCCACTTCTGGTTCTGCTTATTCTGCAGACCCATTGCAGGCCAGCTTCTCAAATGTTAGTCTTTTGACCCCTCTCTGCACAAGCCTAAGTACTTGCCTATTATACTTGAGCCTCAGTTTCCTCATCTGATAACCTACTGTTAGCACTGTTGTATAGAGAAAAATGAGATGTGTATATAAAAAGTGTTTTGTTCTGAAATGTCGAACAATAATGCAACCAAACTTAAGTTTATATTTTAAGGTAAAATATATTTCTAATCCAATAATAGTGATGATGCAAAAACAACTCACAAACTTGGCATGCAAAGGAGTTGGAACTATGTTTTTGTGTGGCCGAATAGATTAAGAAAAAAAAATTATAACAATGTTAGTATGATGGAAAAAATATAAAAAGTTACTGAATATTAACTTGAAAGTTACTGAATATTACCAGTTTTAAGAATGAGAAATGAAAACCTTTTTTTTTTTACATCCTTAAGACATCTGATTATTATCTCTCCATAGACACCTCAAATCCAATATGTTCAAAAATAAACTCATTATCTCTTATCCACTCACCCTCCCCCAAACACACTTGCTTCTATACCTACATTCCTTCTTTTGGCCAGTGCCTCTACTATCCATCAGTCCCTCAAACCTGGAGGACCTACCGCTGACTCCTCACCATCCCTATTCCACCTGCCCATCCAATTGGTCACCAAGTACCATGGAGTCTAAATGCTAAAATGCCTCTTGATTCTCTCTCCTCTTATACAAACTCATTGACCCACTTTTAGGTGCTCACAATTTCTCACCTGTTCTGATTCATTTGTGTCCAATTAGATCTTCTGTCTACAGTTCATCCTCCCAAATGCCACTAGAGAGAGCTTCCAAAGACACGAAGCTTAACAGGCCACTTTAAAGTATTCTAGGACTCCCCAAAACTCCTTAGCATGTCATTCAAATTCTTTCATGATTTCACCTCTGCTTACCTTTCTTTCAAGTTATACTTTTAAGAGTATTTTCTAATATGGAAAAGTATCTTCTAAAAGTATCTTCTAATTCAGAAAAGTATCTTCTAACATAGAAAACCTTCTTGGACCTTCCCAAGGTGAGCTTTCTCCCATACATCCTATAGCATTGTGGGCTCACTTTAATTAGAGCATATGTCTCAAACATTGTCATCTCTAATTAGGTATCTTCTCCACCAGACTGTACACTTTTTGCTTATTCAACTAAGATTTTTACAGGAAGATATTAACTGAAATTCTTCCATTGCCTCCTCTTCAAGGCAGGCAGCACATGAGTGAAGTGAGAGGAAGTGGAAGAGAACAATGATGGGAATGGAGGAGTAAAGAAGAGGTGAGTCCCAACGTGGGAGGAAGAAAAGAATAGACCTTGAGGCTTTTGTTGGTGGATGAAGAGAGAAAAACTCCATACCCAGCAAATGTTTGGCCACGTGACACCAGCAAAAACCAAGGAATTTAACCCTTGATATGAGTCATCTTAAAACAATACAGACAGCAAGACTACCCACCATGGCCTCTGAAAAAGGCATCTGACTAGACAAGCTTTTGCCTGATGGATGTGGACTAATCCCAAAGAATGAATGTTTCGTTGTGAATTATGTTTTGACCACATATCAACAGGTGACTGCACTTAAAGGACTTCAGAGGTTTTTAAAGAGGTTTTCAAATATTCTCATCACAGAACTCTCTAAGGGCAGATATACATTTCAAAAACAACATGCTGAAGAAAACACACATGCTCACACACACACACACTGGCCCAAACATAGTAAAAAGAGATCACAAAAACAATAACTCTTGGTAAATTTAACCAGTTAGATTAGTTCTTTGTTGACCTCTCTCCACACAAACATGCTACTATTGGTCTTAACATCTAACCAAGCCCAAGTTTATATAGTAAGAAATAGGATATTCTAAAATTCCATCTTCTTAGGAATCAGTCTTATACACATGAGGTAGGAATTTTATCTACTTAGTAAATGTACTTTTCTCAACCAAACTTTCTGCCCTAAAAGCACCAATATCTATAAAGAACATAATACAGACTATAATTCTAGTGTTATCATTGACTCAGTTACCTACCACTTTAGATATACCTTATAGCTGTTTTTGTGATTTGCCAACATGGGGTATAAAATAATGCTGAGTCTTTTTAAAATATTTACATTAAATAACTCTGAGCTCTACTCTTCTATTGTGAAAATGTATTGCCTCCCTCTTTGGGGTATCTCACCTCCCATACTAAAAGAAAGAATGCAAAGAGGCTTGCTTTGCTGAAGGCAGCAGTCCTGGTTATTACCCCATGATGGAAGAAAACTGGGAAATATGAGGAGTTCATTCACTGAAGAATGCCAGGCTCTAGTGCAGTTGCTGCTGGTAAAGTGCTTGTGGAAAGCAGGTAGTTTGATAGTGAGATTCAATCTTTGGTCACTGCTGCAAGAACAGTGGTGATTTATCATACTTGTGCTGGCCACCCGTCACTAAAGAAAGGGACCTGGGCACCAATTCACATCAATGCTACTGGTTTGGCAGGAGTTTCTTAAGGTGAATTAAAAAAAAAAAAAAAGACATGTAAAAGTCAACAACAGTCACTACACAACAAAGGCACATTTTCTAGTTACCTGGCTCATTCTGAACAATCACACACAGATGTTTTCCAGATGTATGTCCACAGTGCCAGGAAGGGTCCATCAGGAGGAACCTTACAGCCTCGGCCACATCCTGAGCTCCCAGCCAGCTCTTTCCTTGATGATCTGGCCTTGGTTCCTTTCTCTCATAGTGAATGTACACATCTACCAGTTGACCCTCAATCTGAGCCACCTCAATTCATCAGATATAATCTCTTCATGTTAATCTGCAAAACAGAGGGTATTGGTGTCTCCATTCTATTTCTTCTAGAAAGCTCTTTGGTTTTGTGCAAATTGTTCACTCTTACAACCCAGACCCAAATCCTAGCCAAGGAGAATGTCTCAGTCAGAGTCCTGACAGTAAAGAGATGGCACATGTATATACTGAAGATAGTTAATAAAAGCACAATTTAAAGATGTGGCAGGGGGTGGGGAGGGAAATGCAATACCATACTAGTAACAAAGGAGGGCCATCACCCTCTATGGGACTGAAGGGCAAGGGGACAAAGTAGATCAGTACCTAAAGAGGGTAGGCATAAGGAGAGGGCTACCTGACAGGAGCTGTGACTTATAGTAGAGGAGCAGGGACACAACTCACCCTCCATGACCTGTTAAGAAAAGCTGTAGGAATAAACATTCCAACCTCACTCTTCTGCCTTTCTATCTCCTGCTGATTATTTCTGTTGGCCAAATGCAACAGGATGCCAGAAGGCAGGGGATCACGGTCAGTGCATGTCAGCGTCTTGAGTACAGAGCAGGGTAGAAAAAAATGAAGAATACAACTGGATGGGGAAGGGTGAGACTTAGCATAGAAAGCCAGAGGGGAAATGCCCCATATATTAACACTATTCACAGTGCGTTTCACAAACTGGTGCCAGTCTGTGAGGTATTTGCGGCTGAATTGCCATGAGCTAAATACAGAAATACAGAATGTACATTTAGAAACCTTAATAGCAACTTAGCACAGTCAGCATTCAAGTATGTGATTGTTTCATTAAACAGGAAGTAGAACAGTTCAGTAGCTATTGTTTCCTTGAGGAATATTGTTCATGGCATGAGCTATATTCTAGTGGTGTACAAATAGGCTCATGATAACACATGAGATATTTTAAGGCAAGTTTGTCAACTATAACTCAAATATTTATAAAAATATTTTAAATTGTGAGAATTTATTTATTTTTACAACTTACTATTCTATCACTTCAGTTATTAACCAAGCCTATTTTTATTTAGATATAAATTACACATTTTTTCTTATTAGAAAAATTAAGGACTAATATTTGTATTGACACTTCCATGTCTGGTATTGGCAAAGTAGCTTGTATTGACTAACTTTTCTGTAGATCGTGCTGAAAATTTTTTTTTTTTAAATCATCATCTGAAGGTTCTGGAGAGCAATAAAAGAAGCAGAAACTGGAGGAGAGTCAGTGTTTCAAATCAGGGAACTGCACTGGATAAAATTTGTAGGTCGGGCACGATGGCTTACGCCTGTAATCCCAGAACTTTGGGAGGCTGAGGCGGATGGATCATGAGGTCAGGAGTTCAAGACCAGCCTGGCCAACGTGGCAAAACCCCGTCTCTACAAAAAATACAAAAATTAGCCAGATGTGGTGGCACATGTCTGTAATCTCAGCTACTCAGGAGGCTGAGGCAGGAGAATTGCTTGAAGCTGGGAGGCAGAGGTTGCAGTAAGCTGAGATCATACCATTGCACTCCAGCCTGGGCAACATAGCAAGATTCTGTCTCAAAAAAAAAAATCATGTTTATATAGCTTTTTGTCTGAGAGTTTGCCCCAGTTGACACAAGTCTAAGATAACTAAAACTCAAGCAGAAAGTGCCAGTTTGAGGAATCAGATATGGAATTTGAAGAAAATGTCAATAAATTTAATAATGGACCCATTGAAATTATCCAATATAAAAAGAAAGAGGAAAACATTGAAATAAGATGTACAAAACTTTAGGAACCTGTAAGACAATGTCAAGGAGTGAATGCATAGCTCACTGCAGCCTTGAACTCCTGGGGTCAGGCGATCCTTCTGCCTCAACCTCTTGAGCAGCTGGGGCTACAGGCACACACCACCATGCCCAGCTGATTTTTTTAAAAATTTTTTGTAGAGACATCCACACATGTCCAAACACACATAGCACTGAGAAAGCCTTAAGCAATGACACACATGTAACAATAAGCATATCTAGTATCCGTTTGTGGTTTATAAACACCATTGTTAGCCAAAAGCCAGGTTTCCATGGAGAGAAGGAATACAAGATGATCCTGTGGTATCTCATGCTGAAAAGCAAGAAAGTGCTTAAAGAATAAGAAAGCATATCAAAAGGACAAAAAGGCAACTTGAAGGAGCTCCCTCTGGCCAAATCTAGGACAACTGATAAAATCAACTAATGTTAACTATAGTGGGTAAAAATTTGATTCACATGATCTTTGAGTAATTTTCACTAAAATATCTCCACCTTATAAGGGAGAGTTCTGGTGGACACCATCTTATCCATATGATCTAAGTCAATATCACTAATATTGAGACAAATCAACATGGTATGCCTCCAGATATGATATACTGAGAAGGATATATCGCTTTATTCCTGCCAAAAATACATAGCCCGAAACTAATCATACCCAAATTGAGGGACATTCTACAAAACAAACAGCCTTGTTCTCTTAAAAAAAAAATGTCAAGGTTAAATAAGACAAGGAAAAGTTAAGGAACTGTTTCAGATTAAAGGAAGCCCAAGAGACCTGACAACTATTGCTACATGTGATACTGGATTGGATCATGAACCAGAAAAAAAAATAGCTATAAGGGACATTATTAGGACAAGAAATGAAATTTACATAGGGACTATGGATTAGAAAACAGTGTTATAGGAACTTAACAATGTTAAGTTTCCTGAATTTAATATCCTTATTTTCAGAAAATCCACACCAAATGATTTAGCAGAAAGGGGGAATGATGTCTTGAACCTACATTCAGATGGTTCAGAAAAATAATATTTTAAATAAATACACACATGGATATGAGACAGAAAGAGACAGAGGCAGACAGACAGGGAATGGGGGATGAGTGGAGACAGAGACAGAGAGGAGAATACTAAAGCACATGGAAGCAAAATGGGAGCTGGTAAGGGCATACTGGAGCTCCTTGTAAAACTCTTGCAACTTTTCTTCTTCTTCTTTTTTTTTTTTTTTTCTTTTGAGACAGAGTCTCACTCTGTCGCCCAGGCTGGAGTGCAGTGGCATGATCCCAGCTCACTGCAACCTCCGCCTCCTGGGTTCAAGTGATTCTCTTGCCTCAGCCTCCTGAATAGCTGGGATTACAGGTGCCCGCCACCAAGCCCGGCTAATTTTTGTATTTCTAATAGAGACGAGGTTTCACTGTGTTGGTCAGGCTGGTCTCGAACTCCTGACCTCATGATCCACCTGCCTCGGCCTCCCAAAATGCTGGGATTACAGGCATGAGCCACCGCACTCGGTTTCTTGCAAATTTTCTATGAATTTGAAATTGCATCAAAATAAAAACTTAAAACATATAATTAAAATTATATAGTATTTATAAAAATATTCAGTGATCAACAAATTGGTGTTATTTTCTTGGAGAATTTGTGAATTATTCTTATTAAAAATAATTTTTTAAGCTGAAATTTTCTTTAGAAGTTAAAATAATGCATCTGAGTTCGTTAGCATATTTTTTAAAAAAATTATATTAATAGCTGAACATTAAAAAGAATAAAAGTAAAATAATTATTCTTGGTATATATTCATATACTTAATCAGTTTTGTAATTCTGTCTATAATACTATGTCACTTGTGTTCTTCCCTTGCTTCTATGTATTTGAAAGCTTTGTTTTTAATAATTACAATTTGCTATACACTTCAAAATAAAAGTTTTTAGTTGTTTCTGTCACTGAATAATTTCATTAAATATTTTCAACATAATTTTTAATATGAAATTATTATTTTTAATTTTCTCATAAAATAGCCTGCAACATTCTTTATAGGTGAATATTTTATTAATAAATTTGAAATCCATGACAGCTTCAATTGACTCTTCTCTTTTGGCCATAATATTTTTATGTGAAAAACTACTTGTCTTCACAGATGCTGGCCACTGCACAGGCAGCTCTGATCAAAGTCTACTAAATAGAGGCTATTCTCAAATTTCGACTTTTTTTTTTTTTTTTGAGACGGAGTTTCGCTCTTGTTGCCCAGGCTGGAATGCAATGGCACCATCTCGGCTCATCGCAACCTCCACCTCCCAGGTTCAAGCGATTCTCCTGCCTCAGCCTCCCGAGTAGCTGGGATTACAGGCATGTGCCACCACGACCAGCTAATTTTGTATTTTTAGTAGAGGTGAGGTTTCTCCATGTTGGTCAGGCTGGTCTCAAACTCCTGACCTCAGGTGATCCACCCGCCTCAGCTTCCCAAAGTGCTGGGATTACAGGCATGAGCCACCGCACCCAGCCAAATCTTGACTTTTTAAATTGAGATCTTAAATATTTTAGCCCAAATATTTTTACAGGTACTGTTTTTTTCCTTTAGACTACTTTTTGCAACAAATATTTTTACAAGATGAAATTTATTTTAAAGTGTCCCTTTTTATGATTCTTCTAAATATGTAATCAAATTTAGATTCTGCAAAATAATAGGTCTTCTCAATTTCCATCCATTCTAGACTGTAACATAAACTTATAAAATTAAAACGAAAATCTTCATCAAAAGATTTTTCCCATATGTTAACCTATTTCACCACTTGAGCTCTCATCGATTATTTTTTTTGCTTCTTCTCTTGCTTCTATGTATTTGAAAGCTTTGTTTTTAATAACTACAATTTGCTATGCACTTAAAAATAAGTTTTTAGTTGTTTCTGTCACTGAATAATTTCATTAAATATTTTCAACTGATTTTGAACAAGATGCAACCAAAATGAAGAGAACTTTCTTCATCATTATGGTTGATGTTTAGGTTGATTTCCCAAGTAATTCTTCAAAAAGCTCAAACCTTTTTTTTCTTTTTTTTTTTTAAGTTCCGGGATACTTGTGCAGAACGTGCTGGTTTGTTATACAGATATACATGCGCCATGGTAGTTTGCTGCACCTACCAACCCGTCACCCTGGTTTTAAGCCCCACATGCATTGGCTATTTGTCCTGATGTTCTCTCTCCCTTCACCCCACCCCCACCCCACAGACCTCAGTGTGTGTTGTTCCCCTTCCTGTGTCCATGTGTTCTCATTGCTCAACTCCCACTTATGAATGAGAAGATGTGGTGTTTGGTTTTCTGTTCCTGTGTTAGTTTGCTGAGGATGATGGCTTCCAGCTTCATCCATGTCCCTGCAAAGGACATGATCTCTCATTCCTTTTTATGGCTGCATAGTATTCCACAGTGTATATGTACCACATTTTCTTTGTCCAGTCTATAATTGATGGGCATTTGTGTTAGTTCCAAATCTTTGCTACTGTGAATAGTGCTGCAGTAAACATATGTGTGCATGTATCTTTATAATAGAATAATTTATATTCCTTTAGGTATATACCCAGTAATGGGATTGCTGGGTCAAATGATATTCTAGTTCTAGATCCTTGAGGAATCGCCACACTGTCTTCCACAATGGTTGAACTAATTTACATTCCCACCAACAATGTAAAAGCATTCCTATTTCTCCACACCCTTGCCAGCATCTGTTGTTTCTTGACTTTTTAATAATCGCCATTCTGAGTGATGTGAGGTGGTATCTCACTGTGGTTTTGATTTGCATTTCTGTAGTGATCAGTGATGTTGAAAAAAGCCCAAACATTTTTAAGGTCTGATTGATGATGCATGGCAAAGAGAAAGTATATACTGCCATCTGAAGTTTTTTGTTTGTTTTTTAACATCAGCTTTATCATAAAAAAATCAGTTACTCTATATACACATAAAAATATGTGTAAAATTTAACCACTAGCAATTCCTATTTAAATTGGTAAAACACCAAAATCTGCTTGGAGGCAATTAGGAATTGTGTGTGCACCACTGTCAATCCAAGTACACTTCTGTTTTATAGATATCATGATTAGAACATAGTTTTTACCATGGTGCTATGCTCTGCCAAAATTTATATTCATGTCACCACAGACACAAATAATTTCATTTTCAATGTTGAACTTTTCCTTGAATTCATCTCAGTATGCATAATGGTGTCAGATGTTTTGCTTTCAACAAACAAACTTCCAAAAGCATAACTTGATTTCATGAATTGTCAGGTGAAAAGAAAGTTAAGTCATTAACTGGAATGAGCTTGATCAATTTTCTATTTGAAACATCTGATGACTTTGATATACAATTGGAATTATTTAACTGTTTGCAAAGTTCTTCTATTGTTAATGGAGCCAACAGTTCAGCATGGCTTTGCACATGCACAAGAAATGTTGGTACTGAAAATGATTGAAATTAACTTAGAAGAACAGACATTTAATCTAAATGAAAAGTCACTTCAAAGAATGATGTAGAAATAAACCTTTCCACAGCTGCACATATTAAATTGTTTTCTCTGACCACAATCCTCTTAAGATAACTTCCAACTTTGAAGTAGGTGCTGTTGCTTTTTCGGCAGATGCGTGTCATCTGCTTTTTATAGGTTTAGTGATATCACTAAAACCCTTTGATGGATAGTAAATGTCAACATTTTTGTGCAAGTTCTATATTCATCATCAGCTATCTTGAAAAATGAACATTTAAGACCTAATTTTTCATTAAATATGCTCTTTCGGGTTGTTGGTTTTGTTTTGTGTTTGTTATCATCATTGTTGTTGATTTTCCTTTTGTTTTTTAGCTCATTGCTGCTGAAAGTACTTTTTACAAAATTTTTAAATAGAGTTACAAAATAGTAATGACCAAACCATTATAGCAAGAAAGTTTATATTATTTTCTGAATATGACACTTGTATCACTACTATTGAGCTTTATATCCACCACATATGTCTCATATACCCATCCTGTAATTTCCTGTATTTCCTACTGATAGACAATCTTGTGGTTGTGAGTCTTCCCAGCCATGGCTGGGTACATACAGGGCACAACTGACTGGTAGACCAAGTGGCCAGTAGAGACAGCAGCGTCAAAGCGCAGAAGGGGCGAGCTGTCGCTATTCACTCAAGTGTGAGTCTTTCCAGCTAGCTGCCTGCATGCTGTTCTTGGAAGGAGAGGTTAATTTCATTGCATCTGAAAAGAGGTGGAGAAAAGAATATGAGTTATCATTGGTCCTCTTTCCAATTTAACCACATGTTAGGGTAAAAACTCTGTTTACTGCACATGCATCTTACATGTGACCGTGGCAGAACCAAAAGTACAAGATAGAGGGCTACCGTATCCATTTTCTGTGCTACATAACAAATTTCCCTCATCTATAAAATGGGCATAGCAATGGGTCTACTTGTGGGGTTTTTGTAACAAATAAAAGAGTTAACAATACAAATATGATTGGGTTAAGGAAATATATAAGAATTAGGTATTATTATAATAATTATTACTGCTTTCTAGAAAAAAACAAATACTATAATACTTTCAACAATTCCTCATTGTTGAAATTGTTAGAAACCAAGTTGTTTTTCAGACTCTTCACTGTCATGAATGCTTTCTTCGTGTTCCATTTGCCAATTCCTGCCACTTTATAGTTGTATTTCTGTAAATAATAATTCTACTGCTACAACCTCAGCAATTAGCTTTTATGGGCAGTCATGTTACGTATTTGTTGGCTTATATTAAACTTAAGATTTTTTTAAAAAAATGTACACCCAAGTATATTTCATCTAAACCATTACTAAGCCATAGTTTCCCACTTCAAACTCAAATAGCTGGTTTTATGAAAGTACACTTAGAATTTTCCATCCAACCCTTTTTATGTAATCTTGTTAGTTTCCATTCATAGCTCTATTTCTTATGAGATCTTTTTGATCATCCAAGTTATTAGCTTTGGATTATTTGTCATTAAGAGCATAGGTTTGGGCCGGATAAGGTGGCTCACGCCTGTAATCCCAACACTCTGGGAGGCTGAGGTGGGTGGATCACCTGAGGTCAGGAGTTTGAGACCAGCCTGGCCAACATGGTGAAACCCCATCTCTACCAAAAATGCAACAACAACAAAAAATACATAAATAAATAAAATAAGCTGGGCGTTATGGCGGGCGCCTGTAATTCCAGTTCCTCAGGAGGCTGACCCAGGAGAATCGCTTGAACTCAGGAGGCGGAGGTTGCAGTGAGCCGAAATTGTGCCATTGCACTCCAGCCTGGGCAACAAGATCGAAACTCCATCTCAGAAAACAAACAAACAGGCCGGGCGCGGTGGCTCACGCCTGTAATCCCAGCACTTTGGGAGGCTGAGGCTGGCTAAAACGGTGAAACCCCGTCTCTACTAAAAATGCAAAAAATTAGCCAGGCGTGGTGGCGGACGCCTATAGTCCCAGCTACTCGGGAGGCTGAGGCAGCAGAATGGCGTGAACTAGGGAGGCAGAGCTTGCAGTGAGCCCAGATCACGCCACTGCACTCCAGCCTGGGTGACAGAGCAAGACTCCGTCTCAAAAAAAAAAAAAAAGAACATAGGGTTGGGTTGTATTCAAATAATTCTAGGCCTCAATACCAGCTCCACTCTTCATTAATTCTATAGAATTGGGCAATTTCAATCCATTTTCTCATCTGTCAAATGACAATACTAATAAATATTTCACATCACAGGATTCTTGGGGTGATTAAATGGTATAATAGTTGATACCTGTCAATATAGTATATGAATAAAATATTTTATAAATGATATTTATTATATATAACATAATATTAGATTTTAAATGCAACATGTCAAATATTACTATTTATATAATATTAATAAAATATTGTTATGAAAAATTATTCGCCAGGATAAAAATAATCACCAGGATAATAATAATAAAAATAATTTTAAAAAACTATATTCTAATAGAGACTTCCTTCTAGTAGGCATATGACAATTTTAATAGCTACAAATCCATCTGTCAATTTTAAAACTTTAGCAGCAAGAATGATATTACTGTACTAAGATAGTCAACATAAATTTTGATTGACTTCTTACACTCAGATCTTTCTTTTTTCGCAAATGTTTTGTGCCTTATTCATATTTTATTCTTCAGCTCTTTGAATATATCCATGTCAGTGTATCCACCTCAGAAAGTAAGTTCCTGAACAGACTTAACCAGACACCTACACTACCCAGAGGGAGCACACTGGGACAGAAGTCTGCTGCCTGGGAGAGCACGCACACAAAACACATTGCAAGGCAGCTCATCCCAAGGGCTGCACAAATCCTATTCCATCCGAAGAAAAAAGTCACCTATTTCAGAGCCACACACAGAGCAAGCACTCTGTACACATGGAGATAGCATTCCCAGCACTGCTGTATGGATTCCCTCTTCTCTCCTGGTGCCCACATGAACTTGCCCTAGGATATCCTACATTCTCTCTCTCTCTCAGTCCACTTATCTCCCCTCCTACACAAAAACAAATTTTCTCTCTCTCTCTCTCCCTCCTTTTCTCTCTTGGACTTTGGGAGTGTCAAGAAAGAGGGGTGGTGGGGAGGGTTACACTGGATCTTTTACATAATCTTTGAATGTTTAGCAAAGCACAGAGCTTCTCAGGGCATTTCTCCCCACTGCACAGCCAAGGCACCCAACCCAGCTGTTCCATTCACTATTGTCCTGGCAACCCGGCGTGGTTGATCTTTCCCTTGTCCTACTTTTTTAAAAGCCCTTTCATCACAGCTTTTCCCTTTGGAACATAACAAGAAGGGACAGAGGTGAAGGAGTGATGGCCGCTCCTTGTCACATTCTCCACATTACTAGGTGGCCTGCACTGCCTGGGCAGCCACCCCATCCCCAGACTCCACCCTGCTGAAGTGCCCCTTTCCTGCTGGCATTGGGGCTAGGTCTGACTGCAGTGCGGTCCGCTGGCCCTGTCCACCTTCCACTTTGCTCCATTTCCCTTTCCTCCGAGCGCTTTCGCCACCATCAGGCCCTGGTTCAGCCACTGCTGCTGGCCAGTGCCCTTCTGCTAAAGAGCAACAACTCCCTCGTGAATGCCAGAATCATCCTTAAAAAGTCTAATGGAGAAGCTAGTTCTTTAATATCTCAGCTCTTAATCTCCCTCCTCCAGAACCACAATAATGCTCTGGCCTCGCCAGATGCCTCCGTTACATGTTACTTCTACACACAGGGAGAGACGCTATTCACACTTTCAGGGTGTGTAAACCGAGACTCTGAAAGATTAGTAACTGGAAGGAAGGAGACAAGACTATTTCTTCAGTGTGTAACAGACTCCAGCTTTACACACACCACCTCCAGGTAAATGTTCCTGGGGCTGGTTACTGATGCTCACAGTCATTAGGCAACTCACCCGACACTGGAGCTGAACCTAACTCCTCCAACTCCAAACCCAGCATTCCTTCTAGAATTTGAGAAAGAACACTTTTCCCCAGATATCTCAGGAATAAAATGGCTCCCTCCCGAAGGCTCCCACCTCCTCCCACAGCCTCATTACCTTCATAGCTACCTTTACCATCCTGGAGGGTAAGGCTGCCATTTTGTTCACCTTGACATCAACTCTCTGTCTCCCACACTGGAGATGCTCAACAATATATGCTTTATGGAGATACTTTAAGACAGACAAAGGTCTCATAGAGGGAAAGCTTTTATTAATACTTAGGATCAACCTCATACACAAAGGCGATTGGAGACACTGACATTTTTTCCTAGGTGAATCTGCTCCTAATCTGACCCTCCCACCCAGCGCCATTAAAAACACAACATACATTTCCTTCTTCTGTCTATCCATGGGAGTTAGTAATAACCTTTATAGCATTTATTACGGTGTGTCAATATAACTTCTTTCTCATTCTATCTCTCCACCAGGCTGGGAGTTTATCAAGGATAAGACACCCTGTAATTCATTTCTGTGATAGATGAATAGTAGGTGGTAGGTAAATGCTTTTTGAATGAATGAATGAAGATTAAATGAACCAGAATCTCTGCTTGAAATAGGAGGTGGGGAAGGTTGACATTGTCTATGAAGTTGTCAGACTCTTTGATCTATTGAATGCTAGCGTTCAAAGGCACTTTAGAAGTGAAGCCAAATTCCTTCATCTTACCAAGAGGGAAGCCCAAAGAAGTTTAGCAACTTGCCCAAAGTTGCACAATTAGCCACTGAGCTGGAACTAGACCTCAGGTCTTCTGGTTTCCAGTTTAGTGACTCCTGTCCTTTTGAGAATTTGTAACAAAGAGGAGGGAAGACTTAGAAATCTCCCAAAGTGTCCCCATTTCTCCTTCAACCCAAGTTCCTTTAGAAGCCAGCCCAAAACTGTTATCCCTTTTTAGGGGCCTTATATCCAAGGCAGCTGTGGGAGATCATGAAGAATTTGAGCTGGGGTGGCTAAGGAAAGCCAGAACTCCCCTGATGTTCTCTCCCCTTCCCTCAAAAATTGCTTTCACTTCTAAGAATTTACCTTCATCTGTAAGGTGGACAAAGTTTTATATTGAAGGACTTTTATCACAAAGTTATTTATAATAGTAAGCATTTTGCACAATATAAGTGTCCAAAACCAGGAAAATAGTTAAATAAATCATGGTACAGCTATACAATGACTATTACGCACTAACTGAAAAATCGCATTTTGTTAATACAATGAATTCATGCATGACATAAAAATATTAATATTAGCTAACAATTAATGTTTACCATATGCCAGGTGCAAGCTAAGAATTTTACATGTCATCTTATTTAGTCCTGACAGCAAGTTGTGAAGAAGGTACTATTATTACCTCCATTTTGCAGAAGAGGATACTGAGGTTTAGAGAGGTTAAGTAATTTGCCCAAGCTAAAACAACAAGTAAGGACAGAGTTAGAAACTTCAGAAAAATGTCTTTATTATAAAGTTATGTTTTAAAAATCTGATGTACAACTTTCTGTATTATATTATTCCAACTATCTAGTTATTTTATTCAAAGAAAATATCATCAATGTAGTTGTTCCTGGCTAGTAGAAATACGTACAGCTTTTGTTTTCTATAATGTGCAATATTTTTCAAATGTTCTATAATGAATAAATATTTCTCTTACTTTATTTATTTGTTTTGTTTATTTAATTCACAGCGAAAGCTTTTTAAAAAAGTAATGTCTCCTGGGGAAATGGCAGCTACATCATCAGAATTTGAAAAAGAGGAAAAGAGGGGATACCTTAGAAAAAGTCCATAGGAAAATGAGAGAAGTTGAGCCATCTGGCTGCTGGCACCCTACTCCCTCCTCCTCCAAGCCTCTTCCCCTTCACCAGTAAGAACATTCCCAACTCAGGACCCAGAGTAGCAAGACAGGAGCTGCTTGTCTTGCAGTACCAACCATCGGTGAGATATAGATATATGGTTCAGATTTTGCCTCTCAGATCCACTTGTGCCAAACTCAAGAGCCAATGACCCAATATAAAGGAATCGCGATGTCTTTTTTCTCCCACTTGAACATTTCCCAAATTTCAAATTAGTGAAAGTTGCTGAAAATTGGGTCCCCCACATAGAAATGATGGCCATACTAGTAATGAACAGTTAGTGAGAGCCAACATTCCCCAGTCTTCACACTGAACAATCTCTCTGTGGCACTGGAACCTGCTTATGTTTGTCTACGTTCATTTGTTCAACAAACTTTCATTGATCACACAGTATATGACTTTTTCCCAAGCATTGACAATACAGAGGTTAAAAAAATACAGACCAGCCCCCTGTCCTCACAGAATGTGTCTATAAACTCTTAGCATTCCTCCCCTCAAGCCCTGGAATATGGCCTGGCCTTGGTGACTTGTTACTCCTTAATAAAATGCAGCAGAAGTGTCACCATGTCACTTGGTAGTAAACAGCAATGAAACTTCTCCTTAGCTTTCTCTGCAGTGCTCTTGGAACCCAGCCACTATGCTGCAAAGAAACGCAGACCACAGGCAGAAGCCTCATATAAGAGTTCTGGCTGAGGGTCTCGACTGAGGGCTCAGTTGATGGCCACTATCAACTACCAGATACATGAATGAAGAAGGTTTTGAGATGATTCCAACTCCAGCCCTCATCTGGCAAGTAAATGAGAGACCCTGAGTGAAACCTGCCAACCTGAGCAAAGGCAATCTTTCAAACTGTGAGAGGTAATAATAATAAATAATGTTTATTTGTTTTACACCACAAAGTTTGAGATTTTTTTTTAGGCAGCAATAGATGAGTTTACGGTGTAGCAGGGGAAAGCAGACATTAAATAATTATCCAAAAAAAGAAATTACATTATAAGAGTACCGTGAGATTCTTCCCTTTCCTGGCTCACAAACCAGAACTGCATCCCAGTTCGTCGCTATGCCCTCCCAGCTTCTCTCTCCTTGTTAATGGCATCTCTGTCCTGACAAAAACTAAAACTGCAGAATTTGTGTCATTCTGCACTATTTTTTTCAGACTCATACCTAATTGGTAATCATATCCTGCTGATTCTACTTCCAGAGGTACCTCCCATCTGGCTCTTTCTTTCCAATCCTACCACCACCTGGGACCACACTGGGCCCTGAGAATCTCATCCCTGGCTTATTGGAATGCCCTCTCCAGTCAGTCTCACAGCCTCCATTCTCTTCCTTGTCAATCCATTCTATTCTCTGCTTTCAGACATATGTTCCTATACCAGGTCATCCCCAATTTTTCCCTCCCCTGCTCACAAAACTTTACTATCTCTTCTCACTTCCCGCCCTCTTCCTTTCTCCACCATAATGTTGTGTGCTTGACTTAGCTTCTCACAAGACTTTTGGGATTAAGTGATTCCCGGCCAAGAAACAAAAGCAAAATCGTCCTATTCCCCAGTGGATTCGGATGAAAATTGGTAATAAAATCAGGCACAACTCCAAAAGGAGACATTGGAGAAGAACCAAGTTGGGTCTATAGTGTGCCACATGAGATGGCACACATATTTATGCTGTCTGAAGGTCACAATCATGTTATCATATCAAACTGAAAATGTCACCACTATCTGGAGAGCTGGACATGTTTTATTGGGAAGATATTTTTCCTCTCTGTACCTGTTACAAACCCACTGGTTGATTGAGTTGAGTAATAAATATGTGAGACCTTCTGTTTAAAAAAAAAACCAAAACTTTACTATCTCTTCATGGCCTAACAAATGCAGGCCAAATGCCTTAGACCTTTCCTGGTCTGCGGTTCACCTCTGATCTGGCTTTATTTTCCATACAGTTCTGCTACTGCCTGCTACACTCCGATAATCTGGACTTCTCCACACACTCTGAATGCCTCTTCTCTTTGATGCCTCTGAGCTCTCTATCCCCCCATCTGGATGTTTTCTTCCTTCCCCATGTGTCCAGGAGTCTACCTCCTATGACTTTCAAGGCTCTTATAGCAGCGATTGTCATCAGTCCTAAGGCCAGCTAATAATGATAGCTGTGACTGAGATGGCTTATGACCGAACATCTTGCACAATGGAAGTTAGGAGTTTTAACTGAGCGTGCGGTCAGCTAGAGACTACAGTTCCCACCCTTCTAATGCAACTTGGCACAATCAGGTGACTAAGTTCTGGAACATGGAATGTAATCAGAAGTGAAATGAGCCACTTCTGGGTGATGTCCTTAAAAAGATGAAGCATGTCTTCACCTGGCCTTTTACCTTTCTTGCTTGCTGGGATGTGGTAAGAGCCAGAGCAACCATCTTGGTCTTAGAGCTGGAAGCCATGTTAAAATGTGGAGGCCCCCTTATAGCCACAGAATTCCTACCTCTGGACAGAGAGAAGAATAAACCTCTATTATGCTCTGCTACTGGAATTTGGAGTCTTTTTGCTATAGTAGCTTAGTCCATACCCCAACTAATATAATAGTTAATCGTTATATTGACATTTTTATTATGTGGCAGATACTCTTCATCATGTTATTTAATTTTCATAAATGTCATTGTGAAGAAGATAATATTGAAGATGAAGAAATTGAAGCTCAGAAAAGCTTTGCAACTTGCCCAAGGCCACACAGCTAGCAGGTAATCAAGTTAGAACTCAAACCTAGGCCAGATGATTTCAGAAACTATACTCTTAATCACTATTTATCCCTTTGCTCTGTTCCACAGCCTTAAAGGCATAGATAGATCTCATTCAGGCTTGCCAAGTGTCCCCAAAAGCACCTAGGAAAAAATTCTTGTATATAGTAGATGCTCAATAAATGTTTGTTGAATGAATGATTGATCTTAGGAAAACTTTGTGAAAGTTTCTAACTAAAATAATGTGATACACAGCTGGGCATAGTGGCTCACGCTTGTAATCCCAGCACTTTGGGAGGCCGAGGTGGGTGGATCACCTGAGGTCGGGAGTTCGAGACCAGCCTAACCAACATAGAGAAACCCCATCTCTACTAAAAATACAAAACATTAGCCAGGCGTGGTGCCACATGCCTGTAATCCCAGCTACTCAGGAGGCTGAGGCAGGAGAATCGCTTGAACCCTGGAGTCAGAGGTTGCAGTGAGCCAAGATCATGCCATTGTACTCCAACCTGGGCAACAAGAGTGAAACTCCGTCTCAAAATAATAATAATAATAATAATAATGTGATACAGTTAACTGTTTCCGGTGACCAGTAGGCCGCATCCCTATTTTATAGAGACCACTATTCCGGGTGCTTAATACCAACAAATCTCTTCCCAGAGAATACCATGTATTGGAGCACTTTTTGCCCATATCATTATTCATCTTACAATCAACAGGGAGTCTATGTGAATTATTGGGAAAAAACGTTTAGCCTGTTTCAGTCATCTACATTTATTTACACAGCTGTTCTTCCCCTTGTTCAAGCAGAAGACCGTGGTTCAGAAATCAGAGATGGAAATAAAATTAGGGGCTTTTTGAAGACTGCTGTGTGGTATCCTGCATCCTGGGCTCTCAGCAGGGATGTGGGGTCCAGGGACTTTCAAAGTCTTTCTTTGTGCTATGTTAAGGGTCCTGGTAGAAAGTGAATAGTGCTGAGAGCTTGGGGCTGTGGGAGAGGTTATTATAAAGTACCGGCATCCTACTGTGAGGGCTGAATGTGTTCCCTCCTTCAGGGCTCTTATCTGGAGTGCTTCGACAGAAAGGGAATAGAACAGAACGTCTGAACTGTTCTAGGGTTGTCTTCAGCCCTCCTCTGGGAAAACTTTTAGCAAGAAACACAAATCAAGGGGAAGCTAAAGAATGATTTTTAAAAAGGGTCTTCAAACAGTAACAGCCAGGCTTTGTTTTTTTCAATTAAGGGGACAAAAAGAAGAAATCACAGCCAATTCTCTTTCCAATTAAGTCTCATGGACCTCCCAAAATAAAACACAGATGCTGTGACGAACACTAACACGCTCTTCAGTGAAGTGCGCTTGAACTCAGTGACACTTAGAGAATGATTTTTGAAACTAAAAATTTAAAACAAAAACAAAACAGAGAGAGAGAGAGAGAGACCATAAAAGCTTATTATAATCATGGCTTGCACTAACTCTATGGGAGGTTATGCAGTAAAGCTGAATTCTTTTTCATCAGTACATTCAAAATAAATTCATTCTTCTCTTTCACTTCCAATACAGATATACATTTAAGATGATTCTTCCTCCTATGTGTACCTACCATACTGATATTAACATATCAGTTTAAAACTAAGCATTATTTCATGTTAGAACATATGTTTGGTAAGAATGCCCATGCCCTAGAATTTCATGAAGTCATGTGTCCCAGGAAGAAGTTACATGGGTAGGAGGGCTAAGATGATCCTACTACCTAGAGGACATTTAGATTAGGAAGAGCTAGACAAACATTGAAGAGACTTGCTTGACCCACTGCTGTTCAGTTTTAATGAGGCCAAATCTCATGGAACAGGGGCAGAATGGGCGGAGAGTGGGTCATCAGCCCTGGCTAATTCTAGTTTCAATTCAGCAAATCAGAATCACGGTTCGCGGCAGCAATCCCATGGATGCCATCGAGTGTAACCGCCCAACGGTTTCACCTTGCCCGCTGCCTAGACAGAGCCGATTCATCCAGACAGGGGAATTGCAAGAGAAAGAGTAATTCGCGCAGAGTCGGCTGTACAGGAGACTGGAGTTGTATTATTACTCAAATCAGTCCACCTGAGCATTCGAGGATCAGAGTTTTTAAGGATAATTTGGTGGGTCGGGGAAAGCCAGTTAGCCAGGAGTGCTGATTGGTCACGGATGAAATCGTAGGGAGTCGAAGCTGGTCATTTCCTGGGTGGGGGCCACTAGATGAGATGAGCTAGTTTATCGATCTGGGTGGTGCCAGCTGATCCATCAAGTGCAGAGTCTGCAAAATTTTTGAATTTTGAACCATGTGAATATGTTAACTATTCAAAAGATAAATAAAATGGAAATTATTTAAAAATATGAATTATTCACTCTCCTGATGGTAGTAATGGTTTCACAGGTATATAGCTATGTCAAAACTTATCAAATTGTACACTTTAAATATGTATAATATTATATCACAGTAAAGCTACTAAAAATATGATATATGACAAATTTATTCACTATCCAATAAATACTATTAGGATATTTGGCTGCCATTTTAGAAAGTGAAATAGAAAAGTTAGATGCTTACATTACAGCAGACACAAAAACATATTCCAATTGGATTAAAGTGCTACATGAAAAACAAAACAAGCTGGGCACAGTGGCAGGCACATGTAGTCTCAGTTATTCAGGAGGCTGAGATGGGAGAATCATTTGAGCCCAGGAGTTCCAGGCCAGCCTGAGCAAAAGAGCAAGACCCCATTTCTAAACAAAATAAACAAATAAAATAAAAAGGAAAACAAAACAAAGCAAAAGCCCTATAAAAATTTTGAAAGAAAATATTGGAGAGTTACAATGTACGTTTATTACTTTTGAGTGGGGAAGGCCTTTCCAAGAAATACACAAAGCCTAGAAGCCATGGAGAAAAAGTAATAATAGCAGACTTCACCACCCAAAATGTAAAGCCTCTGACAAGAAAGACACCATGAATGAAGTTAATGTCATTGAACAAGGCATCAAGATATCCAGTAGAGGCCGGGCACGGTGGCTCATGCCTGTAATCCCAGCACTTCGGGAGGATGAGGTGGGTGGATTGCTTGAGACCAGGAGTTCAAGACCAGCCTGGGCAACATGATGAAACCCTGTTTAAAAAAAAAAAAAAAAAAAATATATATATATATATATATATATATATACATATATATAAACTCCAGTAGAATATATATCCAGTAGAATATATATCCAGTGGAATATATCTTTAGAGATAGCACGGTCCTCCACTATTCTGCACCACAGGCCCCTATCACAGTCTACTGAAGCACCTTCTCAGATGACATCTGGAGATATCTGAAACAATTGTAAGGTGATATGAAAATATCTGTGATTTCTATGGGTGACAAAGTCCGAGTACTGCTAAAACTCATGTAATTTTCTGCCTACATCCATTAGTTGAAGGAATTGCTGAATTTCAACTAAAGGTTAATGAAAATAACCTAAATATTTTTCCCATTCAAGTTCACAGACCCCTGGAGCCTATCCACAGAACCTTTGTAGGGTGTCTCCAACCCCATGGGCAGTGTTCCAGGGAAAGATCTTGGCATAACCTCAAAAGACAAAGAAATGCAAAGGGTAAAATGTGAAAGTCCAATCAAGCAGTATAGCCCCCCTGGGGTTGCTTAAATTACGTGCCCTCAAGCCTTCAAATTCATAACAGAGAGAAAGAAAAGAACACCTTCCTTCATATGGCAGCATGGAGGTGAGAAGCAGTGCCGTGTGTGCCCAGCTTCATATGTCACACCCAGCCAAAATCTCTAGGCAATGGGCAACATGACTAGCTGAAAACAGAATTCCAAAAAATTCCCCTAGGAAAGCATCTGAAAATTGTTTGGATGACATAATTATTTTCTTAGCAGGTATGTATCTATAATCCTAGGGAGATTTAGAATTAAATGCAGAGGTGAAATAAATAAAAGACATAGTATTCTTTGCTTATGCCGAATTAGGGGAGACTCTGAGACTATTTGATGTTTTCAGTTCTTGTAATTTTAAGATAATTTGGCATGTTAGATAGGACTTCTGCTTTTTCCTCCCTTATCTCATTATCTTCCTTCCAATTCCTCGATATATTCTCCACCTCTAGACATTGGAGAGCCCAGGGCCTTTATCTGTTCTCTAGCTACACTCACACCCCATAGGAACACTATCTATAGCGGATAAAACCAAATCTAGTCTCAAACCAGACCTCTCCCATGAATTCATTCTCTCATATCTAACAGTCTATTCAACATCTCCCCTCGATTGTCTCAAATTTTGACTTCCTGCCCTGACCACACCCCACAAGTCTGTTCTCAGACTTCCCCAAATCAGTAAATTACAACTACATTCCTACAGCTACTCAGGCCAAAAACCTTGGTTTTAGAGTCATTAAATCTTACATAAAAATTTGGCTAACAAAATGAGGCAGAATAATAGAATAGAAATTGGATTAGGTATAATACCAGCTTTTGTAATCGTGTTTGTTGTACTAGCATGTATAATGTTAAATAAAACAACTTCGGCCATTTAATTTTTAGTTATTCCACCCCATTTTGGTTTTGAATCTTCTCCTCCATCTTCATTCATTGTCACGCTCCCTTGGCATGATTACACAGAGTTTTAAATTCTGTGTGTGCCACAGGTCCCAAATATAGAGCTCCAGCTTCACCTCTCTCGAGAATGCTGTTGCCACCTAGAGATTTCCACTGGAGATCTACGAGCATTCAGAGCTCTTCATTCCCCTGCACCTAACTTGAACCTTCAGTCCTCCACCTCATTTTAGTCTATTTACCTCGTTGCTCAAGCCTAAAACTTCAGCTTTATCTTTCACAGCTCTCTTTTCTTATTTTGTCCAATTTTTCATCAAATCCTGACAATTCTTCTTCCAAACCATATCCCTAAGTTGTAGCACTTCTCCCCACATTTATGGTTAGTCACCTTAATCCAAGCCACCAACAACTCTCACTGGGCCTTTTCCAATGGCCTCCCAGGTAGTCTCTCACCCTGCTAACCATTTTCCACAAAGCAGCCAGTTAGCCTTTTAAAAAAAAAAAGCCATTTCATTCTTCTTCATGATGTCCTACAGTGGCTTCCTATTTCACTCCGAGTGAGATCCAAAGTCGTTTCCTAAAGCAGTATGCATTTATTTGTTTGGGGTCTGTCTCCCTCCACTAGAATGTAAGTTCCATGAGGGTCAAGACATCTTCTCCTTTGTTCACTGCTTTAACCACAGCACCTTAAACAGTGCCAGGCAGAGTGGGGATCAAGAAATACTTGTAGCACAAAAAGAGAATAAACTGCTGAATGTGGAGTGAAGGCTGGGAGTATAAAGCAGTGGAGGAAGGAGGGCAACACTAACATTTTAGTCTATATTTTGTACACTTTTGCAAAGAGATGTTTTGAAGACCTCAGTCTTCAAAAATCTAAAAGGAAAAGAAAATTTATTTAAACTTGTTAACAAGTCCAAGCTCTATATAATGACTGAAAGGGCAATAGAATAAGATAGCAAAATCTGTGGGTCCAATGTGGGTAGAGCTGAGGAATCTGGAAATGTTAAATCAACTTTAAGAGGAAGAGGCCGGGCGCGGTGGCTCACACCTGTAATCCCAGCACTTTGGGAGGCCGAGGCGGGCAGATCACCGGATGTTGGGTGTTTGAAGACCAGCCTGACCAACATGGTGAAACCCTTCCCTACTAAAAATACAAAATTAGCCGGGTGTGGTGGTGTGCGCCTGTAATCCCAGCTACTTGGGAGACTGAGGCAGGAGAATCTCTTGAACCCAGGAGACAGAGGTTGCAGTGAGCCGAGATCATGCCATTGCACTCCAGCCTGGGCAACAAGAGTGAAACTTGGTCTCAAAAAAAAAGAGGAAGACCAGGGCTCCGTGTGGCGGCTCTTGCCTGTAAGCTCAGCACTTCGGGAGGCCAAGGTGGGAGAATCACTTGAGTCCAGGAGTTCGAGACCAGCCTGGGCAACAAGCAAGACCCCCATCTCTACAAAAATAAACAAATAAAAAATTAAAAAATAAGAGGAAGAACAGATAGAAGCCATGCTCTAGTCTGTATCGACTTTGTAATGAGGTTCAAATCCCAGTTTTGGCCGGACACTGTATCCCTGAAGAACATCTGTGCCCTTGCCCACTCCTATTTGTTCTTTTCCATTTTCTCATCCTCACAACATCGATTTCAACTCATACAGCCCAATGGGCATTTTAAAATGTCCAGGCAGCTCCTTTTGAGTTAAGATACACCTGAAGGAAGGGTTTTCTTCCATAAAGCCCCAACATCTCCAAATAAAGATTGCAATCTCATCAAAAAGACCCAAGAGAATACTTCAAAATGGACAACCAGCAACCAATGAATTCTGCCTAGCTAGAAGCTCCAGACTTTGAGGACTCGTGGATTTGTGATGATTTTTTTCTGTCTGTGATGAGGAATTGGGAAGACCAGACATTCATGGTGGGTAAAGGAAATGCCAGAGAGGAAGCTCCAGGATTACCAGTAAGTGCCTCTTGAAAAGGGCCAGTTTTGGAAAGGTAGGATTTGCTAGTGCCTGGCTATGGTAATGGGTTTGCAGGAAATGACTGATGCAAAGCAGGGTTAACCTGAAGTAAATTTACCCCTCAGCAGGCCTCCTTTCCTTAACTCCGCCCCCACATATTTTAATCAAGAGGCAAACCCCCAGGCTGGGATTAGACAGGGACTACATTTTAATCACTAAACTTCTTCATAACAATAGGCCTCACTTAATGGTCCTAACTTCCTGGAAGATTTTGAAAGCAGAACTAGGGGGAAAAAAATCTCTGAATCCTTTGGGATTTAATGGAGTAAAGGTGCAAGTCCAAGTAGCTCTCTAGAAAGGGGAGACTCCAGCTACCCTGTGCAGGGCTTGAGGGGTGAGTTCCATCTTAAATATTACATTTGAAAAACAGCAAACATCTAAAAAGAGTTTCCCTAATAAAATTATTCACTCTCTTCTACATCTGGTGAAAGGTGCTTCTTCTAGTCTTGTCTCTCTGCCTTGTGAATGTTAGCAATTGTGACGATTTGGTGAATCTATTGCCCTTTAAGACAGGTCTTCCTCTAATGGAAGAGAAGAAAAACCAGGGTTTTAATCAGAGCACGGATGGGGGCCTGTTTCTGCTGATAGATATCTTGGAATACGGAAGAATGTTGCCGCCTGGGGGTTGCTCCCGTGGTATCTGTGTCACATTTGGATGTTTGGGTTTTTTGGTTTGTTTGGTTGGTTGTTTTGTTTTGTTTTGCTTTGCTTTGTTTTTGGCTCATGGAGATTGGGTAATTCTTGGAAGGTCTTCAGGCTGATTTTGCTGTGGTTGGTGTTACTGCTCGTTCTGCCAGGTACTAGAAAAAAGACTAGCATTCTCCAAAGTGCATTAATATAAACCTATTTTTGATTTTGAAAGTCACACCGAAAACTTCTTCTTCCTTTCTTTTTTTTTTTTTTTTTTTTTTTTTTTTTTTGAGACGGAGTCTTGCTCTGTCGCCCAGGCTAGAGTGCAGTGGTGCGATCTCGGCTCACTGCAAGCTCCGCCTCCCGGGTTCACGCCATTCTCCTGCCTCAGCCTCCCCAGCAGCTGGGACAGGGGCACGCCGCCACGCCCGGCTAGTTTTTGTATTTTTAGTAGAGACGGGGTTTCACCATATTAGCCAGGACGGTCTCGATCTCCTGACCTCGTGATCTGCCAGCCTCGGCCTCCCAAAGTGCTGGGATTACAGGCGTGAGCCACCGCGCCCGGCCCAAAAACTTCTCTTCAACCCAAGAAATGCTGTCACTGCCTTGTCAAGAAAGCAAGGGATACATCTTGTTTCAGCTTTGTTCCCACTCCTCAACTTGTCCTGACTTGGAACTCTCTCCTCAGTCTTTTTTCTGACCTCTTGCCGTGGGTAAACAGCAATCTGGGCCCCCTTGCTGGTCCCCTCACAGGACTTGTCTTGCTCCCGCCATTTCTTCCGCCTGGCACGCCTCTCCCTAGCTACTCCTAACTGCAGAAAAACCTTCCTCATCTTTAGAGTTCTTTCTGAAATGCTGCCTCTTCCATGAAACCCTCCCTTTTCCCCCACAACTGGAATGAATTCATGTCTGTCCTGTCCGCTGAGGGATTTTATGTTTTCATCTCTCTCATGAGGTCTTCCTCTGACACGTATTTCATTGCTCATGTTTTCCCTACCATAATGTAAGATCCTCGAGGACTGCCACGATTTTGCCCCACCTTCTGTATCCCACCTTCCCTCCAGTGCCTTCAAACATAGTGGGAATCTGTAGAATTCTGAGAGTAGTATTTTCATCCGGACTGTTAGTCCCAGCAGAGCAGAATTGTGTAGCGCTTAAGTTCCCAGGCTTTAAGTGCAAGCGGACTAGGGTAGAATCTTGGTCCAACCACTTAACCAGCTCCTGACCTTGGCAGTTGCTAATTCTCTGAGAATCTCAATTCCTTCATTGGGAAAGTGGGAATAATAAAACTTAGTAACAGTGGGATTGTTGTGACAAGTAAATGAGGCAAATATAAAACACTTGGCATGGTGCCTGACACATAAGTCTTTTCAAAAAGACTTAATAAGTGGTGGCTCTTTTATTATTATTACTATTACCATTAGCCATAAACTTCTGTGCAGAAACCAAAATATTCTTACCACATGTTAATCTATTTAAATAAATTAAGAGTGATTGCTCTGGAGAGAGGAATTCATGAGCCCTACCAATTCTATCTTTTTCCAAAGACTCTTCTATAAAGAGCAATCACTTTCTAACAGTGCTGACCAATAGAAATATAATGTGTTATATACATATTTAGAATTTTCTACTAGTTACATTAAAATAAGCAAAAATAAGCAAGTGAAATTAATTTTTTTCTTTGTCACCCTGGCTGGAGTGTAGTGGCACGAACACAGCTCTCTGCAGCCTTGACCTCCCGGGCTCAAGTGATCTTCCCATCTCAGGCTTCCAAGTAGTTGGGACTATAGGTGTCCGCCATCATGCCCAGCTAATTTTTGTATTTTTTATAGAGACTGGGACTGGGTTTTGCCTTGTTGCCCTGGCTGATCTCAAACTCCTGCACTCAAGCAGTCCGCCAACCTTGGCCTTCCAAAGTGCTGGGATTACAAGAGTGAGCCATGGTGCCCAACCAAAATTAATTTCAATATATATTATTTAACTCAATATATCCAAAATATTACCATTACAACATGAAGTCAATATAAGTATTAATGAGATATTTTACATTTTGGGGGTACTAAGTTTTCAAAATCTAATGTATACATAACACATAAAACAGCGCATCTCAAATCCTACTAACTCTATTCAAGTGCTCAATGGTTACATGTGGCTAGTGATTACCATATTGGGCAGCACAGATCTATAACACAGAATTTGAAAACCTCTCCCTCATAAATGAATACTATCATTCCCGGCTTTCACAGAATGTAGTTGGTACTACAAGACAATGTGTTTCTCTGAAAATGGTTAGGACTGGGAGTGCCAACTCTAGACTCTGGTCTGGACTCTGCCATTTACTTGGATAACTTTGGGTAAACCATTAAATTTGGCAGTTTTATTTCCCGCATTTGTCCTGGGGCTTAGCTAGGTCACAAGGCACAAAAAATAGGACTGCTCTCTTCAACTCAGTCTGTCTCATTGCCACCTACGTCCCTAGGAATAGGCCTAAGACCTGAGACAGAAACCCCTACACATCGTAGCTACGGTTGAACTTTTTTTTTTTTTTTTTTTGAGACGGAGTCTCACTCTGTCACCCAGGCTGGAGTGCAATGGTGCTATTTTGGCTCACTGCAAGCTCCGCCTCCAGGGTTCAAGCGATTCTCCTGCCTCAGCCTCCTGAGTAGCTGGGACTACAGGTGTGCGCCACCACGCCTGCTAATTTTTGTATTTTTAGTAGAGACGGAGTTCGCCATGTTGGTCAGGCTGGTCTCGTACTCCTGACCTTGTGATCCACCCGCTTAGGCCTCTCAAAGTGCTGCTGTGGTTGAACTTTTAAAACAAGCCATGTTTTGAAGAAGATTTATTTATTTATTTATTTGAGACGGAGTTTCGCTCTCGTCACCCAGGCTGGATGGAGTGCAGTGGCGCTATCTAGGCTCACCGCAACCTCCGACTCCTGGGTTGAAGCAATTCTCCTGCTTCAGCCTCCCGAGTAGCTAGGATTACAGGCATGCACCACTATTTATTAATTGAGGTATCATGAATACTGTGGAGTTCTTGGAGTTTAACTCATGCTTTTCGTTTTTCCCCCAGAGGTTATTCCAGTTTATGGGAATTTCATTCTTAGAATTTGAGTACTTTGAGTTACCCAATCCAGTCATTTCCAAATCTTGCCCCAACAACTTGGAATACACTCAGGGTCCAGATGCTGGTGGTTGGGGTTAGGGAAGAGAGAGGAGGAGGGGAAGCTAGAGGAAGGGTGAATCAGTGGCTCTGCCTCCCGACTCTTCAGGTTTAGAGCTGATGTGTCATGTTGCTTGTTTCATCATGAGATTTGATTGGAACAAAGGGTTAAAAAAAATTGAAACCCAGACCTCACCTCACTCTTCAGTTTGGAGGAGAGGACCTCCTACAATACTGTATTTGCCCAACCTTGCACCACTCAGGTCTCCTGACCCCCAGTCTCCATGCATTTTTCTCTAATGTCACATGACCTATCCTGATTTCACCTGTTGATTATTAAGCGATTTTGAAAAATCTACTGCATGTCAGCAAACAACTGAGGCCTGGGGTACGAGTCAACTAGTCATCCTGCGTTAATTCTATTTCAAGCAAGTGTGATCCATCCTTCCTGGGGAGGCAGTGGGATGAGGAAGGAGGCTTGCATTTGCTTCTTCTATGACTCAAAAATGAACTGCCTCATAAGGCAATGGGAATTCCCTGCCTGGCCAAGGAAAAGGGGATTGTTAAGCATTCTGAAGGCTTTCTTCCCTGGTCTTTCAGCTTAGAATCAATCCATAGGCACGACATTCACAGAAGATAGAATTTGACTCAGGAGCACAGCCCAAATCTTGAATGTATGTTTTAACGCTTAAACTAACTTTATTCTAACCTTACCCCCAGATTACTATGATTGCATCCAATGTCCAAAAGTTATTTCAGCCACTAAGGTTGATTTGTGCTCAAGGCCCAGTTTCCACCGTTCACCCTGTTTTCTCAACCCAAAACTGCATTTTCTGTTGCTTTAAAAATTTGCATATTTTCTCAGTGCCTGTTTCTGACTTACAATAAACAATACCCAGACCTCCTGCCAAAAAAATGTCCAAATGCGAAATAGTTGCTATAATAGTCGTTTCTGTGATGGCAACTTTGAGCTGTGTGCTTTTAAATTATAATTACTTTTTTCCTTACAAAAGATGTGTATCTGTCTTGATTGCTGTAATTATGATTCTATACCAGCAAACAGTTATAAAAGATTCATGTCATCACTGTGCTTCATAAAACCCATGCCCCTCAATAAGCTTCCTTTGGTACTGTATTATGTTTGTGTTTAATTTGTGGCAGGGAAATCCTAATGAGAAGCCATTAATCACTGAGTGTATATAAAAATTTGTGTCCTTAACTAAACAGACCAAAGTGGATATGGCAAGCCCGTTATTGGCATGACATGATTTAGAATCAGGAAAGCGATTTGAGAAAAACAATCTAGTCTAACCTAGTTTTACGGATGACATTCAGAACTGGGAAAGGAGAGCATGTGGCTTAGTGACTGCACACATAATGGGACCAGGAGCCCAGAGATCCAGGTTTGAAACCTGAACTTGGCACTAAGGAATTATGGCACAAACTGACTTGACTTCCTCATTCATCCTCGCTTCCCAACTGTGATGTGTAGAATCCACACATTAAGGAGGTGCCTCACCCAGGGAGCTACCTGGGGGCAAGAAAAGGGGGACACTGAGGTAGGCTCTGAATCCCACCCACCCCCCATTCAATTAGAGCAGCCACACTTGGATTTATTTTACATTGTAATGATTGAAGAAGGAACTCATTGGCTTTTTTTTTTCCTTTTAAGTTTGATGTTTACTGACTTCCTTTCTCCAAGTCTTAGAATTGGAAATGGACTGATGAACCCTCTTGTGTTTGTGACTGTGTTGCATCTGTTTATTGGTGCAGCAACTCTTTTCTGAGCACCTTCCGTTCTGGTTCCTAAGTATGCAGTAGTTATCCATACAGGCCCTGCCCTCAAAGACCCTGCAGTCTAGACAGGGAGAATTGCAGCACAAAGTGGTAATGACTCTGGAGATTTAAACCCAGGGGGCCTTGGGAGCACATAGGAAAGGCAACCAAGCCCGTTGGATTTGGGGAGTGGGAGGAGATTAGAGTTGACTCCCCAGAAGAAATAACAGATTGTAGGCCTTCCTTTTAATGTTCTTTCCTTTCTTTTCTATCTGTCTTTAAAAAAACTCCTGGGGGCTTCTTTTGGGAAAAGATGAGAAATCAACATGAAGAACTCTTGTCTTAGCGCTGACTATGATCCCCAGCATATTACTCAATCCCTACTGATCTCCAACATCTGGGTCTACAGGACCAGTAATAATAGAGTAGAATAGACCTCAAAGTATTATCACGAAGATTAAATTAGATAATGTGTGTAGAAGTACTTAAAAAACTATAAAGCCCTGTAAACATGTCTGCTGAAGGCTTCAATTCCAATCAACCTACATAATCTTTTCCAGCTAAACGGATATTCTTGGTTCTACAAAGTCTTGACTCATGTTGAGCAACTGGGGAAAATGTCACTTTTCAATATAAATAATAATTGATAACAATAACATGTGTGAAGCCTTCATTAAAAAGCAGACCCTCTTTAGCTTTAGAATGGAGAAAACATGTTGTTTTTTAAGGCATCATTATGTCCACCTGTTGGATCACTTGTGAGAAAAATAACAGTTGGTGTAATTTCTTGCCACGTGGGAATCTATTTGGGGGGGTTCCTCTTGCTGGTCTTCACCTTTGTGTTGGTGTTCCCTAGGCTTCTGCCCTTGCTCAGTCCTCTTCTGAAACCCCATCAGAGGTCAAAACAGAAGAACTTGCTAGAGCCACATGCTGATAACTAACTTGAGTGAAGTGAGCAGGACAAGTGGGCTGGAGAGTGCACACTCCACCTACAGGAGGCAGCCTTGGCTCAGTGTCAGCCGACCCCTTCAAGGGCCTTGATATTCTCAAATGGTCAGTATTTTTCAGTGTGAATGTGAACTCACCTAGTTTGTAAATGCTCCTCCTGCCCCTTGACTTCCTAACCCAAGTCTTAGTCACTTCAAGGCTTTGCATTTTACCTAAAACGAAAATTACTTCCCTGCTTAAATCCTGTGGCTGGCTCCCCATTGACTAGGAGTGGAGTTCAAGTTGTAAATTCGGCCCCTACTGGCCTGTTCTCCAGCAGGAACCACTACTGGCTCCCTGCCATGCCACACGATGGCTGCTATGGGCAGGCACCTGCTAGAAACAGTGTACACAATGTGGATCCAGGCACAGCCCCTTCTCTTAAGTTGCTACCAGTCTTTTTGACATACTAACTGGTAAATAGGCCTCAGCACACAGCGATCTCATAACCTTCTGTTGGGCCCTGTCCTGGCCCACTGCTTAATAATTACGATGCGTTTATGGACTCCTTGAGGAAAGAAACTGGTATTTGGAACACAGTGGTTGCTCAATGTTTGTTGAAAGAATAAATGAATGTGATAAAGTTAATTTTAGTTCACCTCTCTGTAGTTGGATGTTTTTAGGTTTCATATGACTATAACTTTAAAATAAAACCTAGTTATTTAAAAATTCAACTAACCAGACTTCACCACAGGTTTTTTTGTTGTTCTGCTTTTTACATTCATATTTAAGAAGAAAAAAAAATCAAAACAAAATGGAAGACAACTACCACAAGTTCTTCTACACCTACTGCCTCTAACACATCCACTGTTACACTCTGGGGTTAAGTCAGGTCCTGTTCATTGTCTTAGCATTCTACAATTTCCAAATTCTAGGAGGAGAATTGACATTCATGATGATCCTAAAATGCAAGCTATTTAAACAAGGAATGATTTTAAAACCATCATTAAATTAAAAATCAACTTGGAAAATATTGAAAAAAGATTAAAAGGTTTTCTAATCCATTTTGTTGCTCAAAAAAAAATCCAATTAACCAAAATTTCCTAATTTTGAATGGTGAAGTTTGACTGGCCTGTACCATGCTAAGATCAGCACGTGCTTATTACCGTAATCTCTTGTTCTTCAAACCAATAAATGCTCCCTTTAAGGACAGGTTGGATTTGGTTATTTCTTGTTATACTGACATTTTTTCCCAAAGAAAGAATTTACTGATAACATACTTCATCACACAATGTTCACAGAAAGATCTTGACAGATTTTTTCAGCAGGAACAGCATTTGCTGCTGGTGTTTGTGTTTTTTTCATTTGATAATACTAACATTAATATGATCCCCCAGCTTCTGTGTCTCCCACCCTGAGTAGCTTTAAATGAAATACAGCATACAGAGACTTGTTCATAATTTCTTGATCTTTCATTTATTTAGTGTTTCTAGAAGGAAAAAAAAAGATGTTTTAAAGCTCAAGGGACTTAACTATAAAGTAGAGGGGAAAAGGTAGAAATACGCGTTGAGGAAACCCAGGAGGCCCCCAGGCATGACTTTTGCTATAGCTTTCCAGAAAGAGAAAGTGGTGCTTAAAGAAGTAATTCCCAATGTTTCCCTCCAGACTAAAATTGGATGAACTCTGAACTGAGACTCTTTGCATCTCATTTTCTCATTAGGTTTTATTACAGCCAACAAAACTTTCAGTGGTGAATTACTTCCCTTCTCAACAGAATACCAGACTCCCATAATGTCTACACAAACTGAAATAATGAAATGGTTTTTAACCAAGCTTTAGGGATTAGAGAGGAAAAAAAAAGTGAAAAAGAAAGGGCACCAGGGTCTTCCCATCTCTATGCTAACCAAAGTGTGGTTTTCCAGCCCTTTTTCTTGCCTATTAACAAAAATAAAAACAAAAAATGGAAATGCCACTGGGCTTGAAACCCCATTTAAAATCAGATTTCTCTTTCGAGTTCCCTTGCAATACAAGTCAAAGTCATTTCCACCAAAAAAAAAAAGCGGTGGGGGGGGGGGGTGTGCAAATTAATCCTAAACTCATGGCTCAGATAGGACCTGGTATAGTAAATAAATGCTTTTAAAAGTAGTCATGGCATTGAGAAATGGCTCCATGCACCTAAACCAGAGGCACCAATGTAAAAACTAGTAATTGTGTTTTAACACAAAAGATTGAAAAGCGTTTTGTTTCACATCCTAATATTATTCCACCCACTTAAAAAGAGTTACTTAATATTGACTCTGTATTAGGTATAAGACAAGTTCTTGCCCTCAAAGAACTTATAATTTAGTTGAGAAACCAAAACTTAACATGAGCTTAAAAAGAAGGATGCAGTACAAAACATGGTATAATTAAGTGCTAAACAATGTAGTATAGATGCTCAGTGACCTAGGAGATCAGAGGAAGGGAAGGGTCACTGAGGGCTGGGAATGTCAAAAGCATGTACTTTCAGTAAGTTCTTAAAATGATAGCATGTTAGAAAGCTGTTATAATTGCTGCTGATTTGTAATTTTAAAGCATTGACATGATTCACCATTGCTTTCCAACCAGTAGCTGTTTAAAAGGACATACAGTTGAGGGTGAAAGGAGATATTTCTTTATGATCTCCAGAGATTTGTATTGAGGGGAAAAAAGACATACTTTCTTGTTGAATAATAGACCAAGAATTGAGCATATTTTGCATGGGGAATATTAAATTCAGTGAACAAGAATCCAAACCTCAGGCTGTGATTCTGGTATAAATTTTTGTTTCTAATGAACCATTTTCTTCCTTCTAAAGAAGATTTAAGTTTTGGGAATAAGTCACCTCAAAAAAATTTTTTTTTATTTTCTAATATCTATTTTCACAATTTATTTTTCTTTTAAGAAAAGTGGACTAGAAGCTCAAGTTACCTTCTCAAGGCAATGAGAATTTTTTAGCTCTAAAAAAGTTGTGTGTGGTAGGGAGAACATTTAGCATCCTTTAAAATGGAGACATCTGAACAGCAACCTATCTTTTGAATCACCAAATCTCAAGTGTACTTTGCACTCTTGGTCTTAAAATGCTTTTCATTTTCTAGTTTGGCAAAAATTCCAGTCTCTTTACATTTGCTACCTTTTCCGTCTTTGCAACACAGGCAGTGTGAGCTAAATTAGGTTTGTTAAAATGAAGTTTTGAAGTTTCAACTGCTGAAATAGAGGCATGTCCCTAACTTTAGACAAATTTAGAGAATCGTAGTAAGCATTATTTTTTTTCTACATACTTGTCTGCATTCAGTGTCTTCCCAAGAAACGTCAGTTAATTCCCCGATTCGAAAAAGGAACTTTCTCGTAACAGTTGTACAACCAGGCTAAAGAGCACACCCTCGTCTTCCCTGAAAGGGAGGAAACATGCAATAATGTGAGGTAATTAAATTTAGCCTTAGAAAAGTCTTTGAAACGTTCTAATCAAGACTTTCAGCTTTCCGATTGTGTGCGCTTTATTTTTCAATTCTTCCTAGTCCCGGTTTTGCATTTCTAATGACAGTGAACTGACAAAGCGTGAAAGTGGTCTAAGGAGCAAAACAAAGCCAGCAAGCCTGCTTCTGGTGTGCCAAGATTAATCAATATTCCAGAAACCTCGGGGTTTCCCCCTCCTCCCTGTGCGGTTTCCATTCCCCACTCCTCCTTTCCCGGGCACAGACTCCTCCCCTTTTCTTAAGTTGCCCTGATAGTAACTTGCAGTTTCAGAGCACATGCACACTGTCAGGGCTAGCCTGCCTGCTTACGCGCGCTGCGGATTGTTGCTCCGTTGTACCTGCTGGGGAATTCACCTCGTTACTGCTTGATATCTTCCACCCCTTACAAAATCAGAAAAGGTAAGTGTCACATTCTGTGTTCCTGCTGGGTTTAATTTCTCCTTTCACTTCTCTGCCGATGTATTTTGCCTTCCAAGCAGAGGAGTAGCCTGAATCAAGGCTAGCCATTTTGGTAGATAAAGTCCTTGTTAGTCATCTCACGTCGTGAGAGTGTGGTGTCTGTTTATGCCGGGTCCGCTGTTAATTCGGAGTTGAGTCATTCGGGGTGGATTGGGGGCAGATTGTGGCGCGAGATCTAGAAAAGGATCAAGGTTGAGCGGATCTGCTTAAAAGTGACTGGTAAGAGGAATCAGAGCTATTAGTTTAAAAAAAAAAAAAATCTGGTCTCTCCTATTTCCCGGTCTTCACTTCTCCCTAAGCATTTAATCCAGTGTGAAGTCTTAAACAAATTAGAAGTCTTAGTATCACTGACCCCAACTTGCAATTTTATTTAAAAGGCAAACTGTTAAGACAAGTCTTTTTTTTTCCTGCACTGGGATTGCGAGAAGTCATTTGCGAGGAGTCCTTTGGTTTCCAGTTACCTCCCCCACAGGCGCACACGCTGGCTGCTTGCGTTGGCAGCGACACACATCCATGGTACGGCTGGTTTTCACTCGGATTGATTATGGGAAGGGCTATGGATTAGAGCTCCTGTAAAGCACCAGGAGGAATCCCTTGATTTTTCAGAACAGCTGATTTCCACCAGGAAAGAGATTTACTGAAATGTAGTTAAATAGCGTGAGTGCTTTAAAGAAACCAGAAACCACAAGCTGTAATGTTTGGAATGAAAATTGGTTTCATCTCATCTGTTCTAGAAATCCTAAATTTTAAAACGCTAAAAAGTCAGCGATAGTTTCCTCGGAAGATTCCAGCATGTGTGTCACAAAGAAAAACACTACTTCATACTTCTACTTGTGATAAACGAAGCTGAATTGTGATTTCAGATGATTTATAGATGTGCCCAGAGCACTTTGCTTATTTCATGGAAAAAAAATGAAAAAATTACCCTGTAAAATAGTCACATGTATTTCCCATGTACTGTGGGCACTTGTGTTCTTTTTATGACCATATTTACTAGTAGATATTATTATATTTTTTTCTTAATGAAGAAAATAGCTGGTTACTTTACTGCATGTAACAGAGACAACTCCCACCTATCAGTATCTTAATTATTTTTATTGACCTGGTTATGCTTTCAACCATGTATACAGCATAATTTGTCAAGTAATGATTGAATACTTTCTGTGCATTCAGTTCAATTGGACATTTACTGATTGTGTACGTTGTGCAAGGCATCAGCTGGGTTCTGCGGGGGAGGGTGGGAATAGGGGTTCTCAGTCAGATCTAGCTCTGAAGAACCCTTTTATAGCCTCATTGGAAGGGGAAGGACGGATTTTTAAAAAGAAAATAGAATATATTCCGAATTTATGCACATTTCTCACACGTGGTCCACTAAAATATGCACACTGCAACCTTGAGGTCTGGTATTGTGGCTCTCCAGTCCTTGATTCCTGCTGAGATTATGCAATTTGCCAAGAGCTTGCCTGGTGTGGAGCAGCACTGATTTCTCACCCCTGGAGGCTATAACTCATGTCTCTTTTTCTCCCATTCTAGTTGTGTTTTCTAATACCAAAGAGGAGGTTTGGCTTTCTGTGGGTGATTCCCAGACACTGAAGTGCAAAGAAGAGACCCTCCTAGAAAAGTAAAATATGACTAAAAGCAATGGAGAAGAGCCCAAGATGGGGGGCAGGATGGAGAGATTCCAGCAGGGAGTCCGTAAACGCACACTTTTGGCCAAGAAGAAAGTGCAGAACATTACAAAGGAGGATGTTAAAAGTTACCTGTTTCGGAATGCTTTTGTGCTGCTCACAGTCACCGCTGTCATTGTGGGTGAGTCATTTGATTAAAAACAAAAAAACCTGTATCTTGTTTCTCTGGGGCATCTGGCTGCCCGGGGAATATTATCAGATGAACTAGTTGTAGGTATCAAAATGGTAGCCTAGGCTTTCCTCTGAACTTGATGATTTTTCTCCATAAAAATGACTGTTTTGGCTTGTTTGGAGCAATATATAGTAAACACATCATTAGGCATCATTAGGCATTATGCAAATCAATTGTGTGAGGAAGAAAAATAAATAAAATATTTTCCCATTTCATGTAAGGATAAGGAAGTGATCATTTAATCATTAGGCATGACAAAGCAAGCATGCTAGATTTGGCCAAAATGTAATTATATACAATGTCAGTTGCACTTAAAACTAATTTATACAATTAGTACACCTAAAATGACATGTTGGTTCCAAATAGTAATTATATTCTAACTGGTGCTGACTTGAAGCTGAGTATCAACGCTTAGGCACAGAGACCGAATATTTTATGTGTTTGCACTCTCTCACCCAGCAACTGGGAAAGGTAGATTGGGGAAAATGTTAACACAGATCTCTTTCATTCATTGCTTTGCAGAGCCTGCCATAACCAGCTATACCTTTTTTTGAATCATTTCCATCTCTTACTAATTTAGCAGGGTTGACAGCAATCTGTACTAATAAAATATTATTGTTTTGTTTTGTTTATTGATCTTAAAAGTTATAGTTTATTACTTATGGGTGGCATTGATCCTACTTTAAAATATAGCTGAAAAAACCTACTTATTTGGAATTTTTGACCAAACCAATACAGAAATCCTTAGATTGACAAACATATACGCCAATGCCAGGTTGTAAAAATATTCCAACTTAACCTACCAATTTGCCACCAAAAAAGAGGCATTCAGTACCGTTTTAATCTCTACTTTGGAGTTTGCCAAGATTTCCATCAACTTTAAAGAGGTAATGATTTAATAAAGATTAAGAAAATTCTGTAGTGTGTAAATATAACTTTTTTCAAGAAAATTGAATTCTTAAATTGTAGACAAATGAAGTATAGCAGGAGAGTTTGTCACAAGATTTTAGATACATCCCATTTTAACATCATTGTCTTCCATTAGTAATCACTGGTGATTAATGATGGTTCAATTAATTTAGAGATATTCAAAGAGAACATGTCCTAACTGACCCAGAGAAGTAATGGCTTTCCACAGTAGGTTTCCAGGCTTGAATATATTCCTGGGTGAAATATTTCAGTCCCACATCATTGTCCTGGAAGTCAATGCAAAATACAGTCTGCTTGCCTCATTTGTCACTCTGAATCAAAGTCATTGCCAAGCCAAGCAATAGCTGCATAATAATAATTGCAAACATTTATATAGTACTATTCCAGCTACTCTGTAGGAGTTTTGTTTATATTAGCTCACTTAATCCTCAAACAAGCCTATGAAGCGAGTGAGAAGGTATGATTACTATGATCTTCCTCATTTTGTAGATGAAACTGACTGTGGAGAGATCAAGCAATTTGCCCAAAGTGACAACACTAGTAAACTCTAGAGCTGGAAGTCAAATTCAGTCTAGCACCGGAGGCCATTCTCTTAACCACTCTATTCTTCCTCTGCTCTGCTGCTAGTTGACATCTTTTAAGAGATGCCAGGAAGAGAAATACCCTCATGAGTTGATGAAGGCCAGTTAGCTAGCAGTGCATTCACACAGCATTGTCATTTAACTGCATGATTTACCCGGTTACCTCAAAAGAAAACTTACAGTTCTCCTATAGACCATTAAGCCACTTCCTTCTCATTCATTTAACACATACTCATTTATAATTCATGATCCTATACGTATAATAAATAGAGCTCAGTAATACTGGAGTATATTTGAAAAAGATGGAGAAACACCATTCAAAATGGTGTTGTAAACACCAGAAGAGTGGAATTTCTAAGACAGAAATGTTTCCATTCAAGAATACAGGAATGGAAATTCATAAAACTTGAACATGGAAGACAGATTGATGGAGAAGGAAGTTCCTAAGTCATTAGTACAAAGCAATAACATCTCTAATAAAAAGAAGATAATGCCAGGATTTAAAAGTCTGTTTTTCTCTAGGAGTTCTGGGATCATCCCTAGTCTATTTTTCTCTAGGAGTTCTGGGATCATTCCTCACCCAGTGAGGGCTTTCCTAAGATTTGTGAGAATTGCAATAAGAGTTGGCTGAGCTAGGGTAGATAAGTTGGCCGGGTGCCCTCATGGTTGGCTTTACTAATGGAAACTGAGGAGGCAGAAGCAGCAAGAAGAAGGCACTAACAAAGAAACACATAAAAAGAGCTCATTGACAGTCAAAGAGACCACTGAGTCTACATCAAAGACTTGGAATAGCAAATAGACAACTTAGGAGCAAACAGATTTAGGAGAGAAGGAAGAACCCTTCAGTTATCTGTTAGTGTGTCTTCCATCAAGAACCCAGTGAATATAAAGGCTCTATTTAGCTTGTCACTGGGTTCCATGTCTACCAGTCCTAAGAGATAGGAAAAGAATGTGTCTGTACACCAACTCTTAATTTATTTGCTGTAGCATAAGAAAAAACAAGAAAGATGCTAGCAAGGAAGAAGGAGATAATTATTTTCCCCCAAGATGAGAGATGAGAAGAGCTATAGTTATTACCTAGTTTTCAAATTCCTAGGTTTTTATTGCTTTTAGTAAAAAAAAAAAAAAAAAAAATCACTGGGAAAACCTATGTACTGGGTTGAATCTTTTGTTTAGACTGTTTTTTTTTTTTGCCTTTTTGAAATAAAATGTATATGATTTAATGTGTAGAAGTGGAAACTAGAAAAATATTATGATAAAGACATGTGAATCCATATATTCAAAATAAAGCAGAAAATTATAAATATTTTGATATAAATTCATCTACAAGCATAAGCATAGAACCATTTGTACAATTTTATGTCATTTCTACTGTCATTTCTAAGCAATGTCAAAGTCTGAATGTGCCATGCCATGACAAAAGCTCATGTAACAAGAGCGGTTAGCAATCCGAGAGAACACAGTGCCAAGCTCCACATCCCTTAGAGGGCCCGTCATGAAAGCATTAGATAATGGTCTGCCAGGGCTGTTGTGGACATCCGTCTGACAAAAACCACACTGGGAAGAGTGGTTATTGTCTTTCTTCCTCCAGAAAGAAATTTCTCCCTTTGGACTGTGGTAAGTTGTGTTAGAGTGACCTCAGACATCTAGCTGAAAGAAAGGAAAAGTCTTTGTCATGTTCAAGTCACAGAACACTGACTCTTTCCATGGCTAGGGAATGAATTGCACAATAAAAATGAAATCTCAGGCCAAACAATATAAAGAAATGGGTCATAAGATCAGCTGCAAGGTTGGGGGATATGTATAAATAGGAATGCATAGAATTGAGTGGTAGTTTTACCTGAAGGCATTCACAAACACAGTAAACTAGCAGCTTTCTCTGATGTTGGTCTTGGCGCACGCGCACACACACACACACGCACACACACACACACAGAGTTTGCATTTGAGTTCTCCTTTTTCTGATGGTCTCCTTGCACAGTTCACATTTGAGTTCTCCTTTCTCTGATATTGATCTCTCACACACACACACATACACACACACTCACAGAGTTTACATTTGAGTTCTCCTTTATATGGATTTGAAAGAAATCGGTGAATCATCCTGGCTAAATTTTTATAAAGCATTTCCCTCTGTTCTCTAATACTCTGGCAATGAATTTAAATTGCACTAAAATTCAGTGGAGGGAGGATCACTTGAGCCAGGAGTTCAAGATCAATCTGGGTAACATAGTAAGTTCTCATCTCTCCAAAAACATTTTTTAAAAAAGTATCCGGGTGTAGTGGTACATGTCTGTAGTCCCAGCTACTTGGGGGGGCTGAAGTGGGAGGAGGATCACTTAAGCCCAGGAGGTTGAGGCTGCAGTGAGCCATGTTCATGCCATTGCACTCCAGCCTGGATGACAGAGCGAGACCCTGTCTCCAAATAAGAAAAAAAAAATAATAATAATAATAATAATAATGGTAATAGCTAACACTCACAATGTATGGAAAGCACTATTGTGTTTAAGTGTATTAACTTTATTTAATTCTCACAACAACCCAGAGAGGGAGGTAATTTTATTACTCTCATTGTACAGATGAAAAAACTGAAGCCCAAATCCTTACCACACAGCTGATGAATACTGAGTGGGATTCAAATCCACCATTCCGGCTCCAGGTGCTCATTCACCACACTGTTCTGGGTGCTATAACACCCATTCTGGCTTTACTCCAGCAATTTGCTGAGGGTCTGCCTGAGGTAGCAACGGAAGAGATGGAAAAGAGAGGTCGAACTGAAAGCCCACTGGTGAGACTTGGCAATTGATTCAATGAGAGAAGGTGGACTGCAGACCAATGGCCCGCTTTCTGGTTTAGGTGGCAGAGTGGCTGATGATGCCACATTTGAAGGTAGGATACAGGAGAAAGACTGGGGCCTTGGGGGTGCACGAGGGTAAGTTCAGTTTGGACCTGTTGAGTTTGTGGGGCGGGATGCCACCGAGGTGCATATACAATGGAAGAAGCTTGCTGCAAATCAAGATTTAGAAGGTATTCCTACAACCTCCAAACTGAACGAAGACAGTTCTGTCTTTGGATTTCAAGTGAATAAGGATCAGTGAATCGGGCTATCCTACTGCATAAATGAGTCTACTCTGTAAGTGAGTCTATTCTCAGAACAGTTTCCGTAACTCTAGGGCCCTCTCCTTCATGCTTAAAAGCACTAATCTTTCAGAAATGCTGTAGTGGTGTTCTGTGCCTGGACGTAACTGACCAAGCCAGTTAGGTCAGCCAAGCAGGTTAATCAATGTGGTTTGCTATCAGCTGCTGGACTGAACTGACCTGGTAGTGGGACCACAATAGCCAACTGCTTGAGTTCGTGGAGCAGGCACAGTCGGGCGCCCACACCTCTCAACTTCCTGAACCCCTGATAGCGGGGCATTTTCACACTGATTGAACAACAGCAATCCAAACAACGATGGACAGATAACTGGGTTCAGACTTACGGTTTCTTCAACACTTCTTGGAAATGAGCAGGGAGAGAGGAGCTTCAAGAAGCTGGGGGTAGGGGGATCCTGAGTCCCCTGGTGTTACCAGAGCTCAGCTGTGCTTTCACTCAGCAGAGGCTGGGAGAGGAGGAGGAGGAAGCTATGGATTTGCAGAGTTTTTCTCTGGAGAAGCCACACTGGGTTAGGTTATAAGAACTAGGGTCTGATTTCTCTGTGCTTTATCTTCTCCCCTGGGGGAAAAAAAATACAGAAAAATTGTCAGGGCTAGTGATAACACATGTACCCACAGCACACATGCCTCCCAGCCCTCTCCCACCTTCTCCAAAAGCACTCCAGGCGCTGCCTCCTACTGTGACGGTGTAGCCCAGTAAGGTATAGTGGAGATCAGAGCTATGTGCTCTGGAGTCAGACAGCCTAGGTTTATGTCCAGTTCTGGAACTGAGCCTCTGTTTCTTCATGTATAAAACAGAATAATTATAAAAACTGTCTGCCAAGATTTATATCCCAGTTCTGCTATGCACAAGCCATATCACCTTAAATGATTTCCCTAAGTGCTTGCCAGGTAAAGTGTCCATAGACATTGTAAACCCCACATCTTTTATTTACATCTCTGATATGGCTTCAAGCTGTCATATGCACTGATTTGATGATGCTGATCTTCCAGAGAGCTATAAGACCCTGGCATTTGGGGAGGCTGGGGGGCAGAAGATACTCACCTGGTTTTGGTTTAGAAGTGGCTTCTATTTCCTTAGCTAGAGAAGAGAGCCAAGAGAGTTGTAGGAAGAGCCTTAATAGTTGTAACGGGCTTTTAGATGCAGAAATGAAAGCCTCAGAGTAAGTGATACCATCATTATCTGTCCCTTACCGATCTGGCCTCCTGAGCAGAACCAGAAAGTAATCCCCAGGCAGCCGTTATCACAGCAGACTACTTAGTGGAGGGGGCGCCTGACAGTAGACGCCTCTCTCAGGAAAACAGGGAGGTGCTAAGAAATGTTTTAGTAAGTGTTGTAATACACTCAATAGTGAATTTTTTGTTCATACCTCTCAGGGCCAATCTGAGTGTTCACCACCTCCCTGGTTTCTTCTTTCCTCCAGCCCTTTGGTGCCTACTGCCCATTAACTGCCACTCTGGTCAGAGTGGGGGCTGGCTGGAACCCTGAGAGAAATGTGGCTGGTTTCCAAGAGAGTTGGGAAAGGTTGTTTTGAAGCAGTGGGTAGAAGTCTTAATGTTGTTCTAAGTGTATCTCTGGATTCTATTTTGCTCTTTTTCTTCTTGTCATTTCAGATATTGAGGAAACAGAGCAGGCAATTTCAAATTTCTCTTTCAAGTAGGTAATCAAATAAGCAAGTGTGTTCAGAACAATTAACCTTCAGTAATAATACCTTTCATTTTTGTGGTGGTACAGTTTACAAAGCACTTTCTGTTGCACTCTCTGTAGCACGTAAGCTATGACCAGGCCACCCTCCTTCTGATTTGTATCTGCAAATGTCTGGGACGCAGCTAAGAAAGCATTGAGAGTCTAAAGATCCTGGGTACAGGCCCGGCTCCATCAACTAACTCGATTTTTATGGTGTAAGACAAATCTCTGGGTCTCATTTTCTCATCAGCAAAGTAAGTTTGGACTAATGTCTGCTTCCAACTCCAAAATTCTATCATTTTAAGTCTAGTTTATCTTCCTCTAAAATATCTGAATATATAGAATAATAAACAGAGGTGTTTTGCTTTGTTTTATTTTGTTTTGCTTTGTTTTGTTTCCAGGGCATGACACTGTACCATTGCTAGAATCTTTTTCCTAGATAACCCATTCTGGCTGGTCTCTCCAGTCTAACAAATAGCCCCCTTCTCTCCCTTTGACCTCTTGAGGGCCCCTGGCTCTGGGTCTGATAATCAGTGTTTCCTAGCCAGTGTTTGAGAACACAGTGAGGACACACTTTGCAGAAGCCCCTTCTGCCCTTCAGTCTCTGCCCATCTCTCATAAATTAGGGGAAGAAAACCACAGGCTTTTGTTTTTGCTATGGAATAAATAAGATTGTGAAGAGCCTAACCTGTTTAGAGGAGGCAACCAGAGTTTGAGCACTGTCTTTTCCAAGCTGTACATTCCAGGTACTTGATATTTATGGAACACTAGGATACTATCATTCATCAAGTATTTGCTGGCAGCTAGGTGAGCTGCATCATTGCTGGGAGCTGAGAAAACACACAGAGCACTTCAGTGCACAGAGTTTAGCGACTATACTCACTGAGTATAAAAATGATGAATTTTGTCTGCGTGCAGTGGCTCACGCCTGTAATCCCAGCACTTTGGGAGGCCGAGGCGGGTGGATTACTACGTCAGGAGTTCAAGACCAGCCTGGCCAAGATGGTGAAACCCGGTCTCTACTAAAAATACAAAAATTAGCCAGGCGCGGTGGCGGCTGCCTGTAATCCCAGCTACTCGGGAGGCTGAGGCAGAGAATTGCTTGAACCGGGAAGGAGGAGGTTGCAGTGAACTGAGATCGTGCCACTGCACTCCAGCCTAGGTGACAGATAGAGACTCCATCTAAAAAAAAAAGATGAGTTTTATGTCAAGCTTCAGTGCTATCAAGATTGCCTAGAGCTTATTCCCTAGGCCAAGAATATTCACATCACTATGCCCTATCAAGAGATATGCTCAAGAGAGTTTGAAACCAAAAAGAGAAAGATAAAAGGCCCAAAAAGGTTTAGATAAAGGAAGATATACCCTGGATAAGTTAAGGGAGGGCGCTCCCTTTTTCCCTTTGTATAACTTATCAAAGATTGGCAGGTAAATTTAGGCGCAGCAAATTGAAAGGCACAACCAAGGTTTGAATTTCAAGACGGGGTTTCTGTCTCCAGAGAGGGCAACTCCATTCTTCTTGTCCTCAGACTTCTCCAGTTCTCCAACAATGTTTCCAGGCTACAAACTGCTGCTGCTTCACACAGAGAAGACAGCCGGCTGTTAGCGAGAGACTTCTTATTCAGAACCTTGTATGATGAGGCTCGTTTATCCCTAATGAGAGTAGGGAGAAAAATATACCCTGCAAAGATGGTCCCTTCTTTTATACACATCGCATTACTTGAAATATCATCTTTCAAGCAAATAAAACAAAAGCCCGGGTTTCTTGTGCTTGTCTAGAAGCTTGCTGGTATCTTCAGCTACTTGATGAATGTGAAGAGAAACATCAAGAAGGAAATTATGAGTCTATGGAGAAACTCCCTGTGAAAAAAGTAGTCATGCTTTTATTTAGTTATTTATTTATTTTTGTTTTCTTAGATTTGCCCTTTTAGGGCAAATGAAGTAGTTTGTAAGCAAACCTGAGATTCAACAAACTTTTCAGGGCCTTGTAAGTTCTGACTTTGCAGTGCTTTCCACGAGACGATGGGTGACGAGGAGCTTGTCATCTTTGCAGAGCGGTTTCAGTTTTCTCATACTTGTAACTCCAAGGGCTAATTGATTGAAGTTGCACATGAGCCTATAATGATTGAGTTCAAAGTTTTTTCAGATTCGCTTCCTTGTCTCCAAAAAAAAAGAAAGCGGTTTGGTCAGAAAGTGATCTACTCACTATAAATCTGAACACAATTAGTGACTTTCCTCTCCATGGCCTAAACTAAGTAAACTCCTCGTTAAAGCAAATTAAAGCAGGATTGAGGAGAAATCAACCCAGACTCAAAGCGACATTTTAGAAAGATGCAGGCATCCAGCAAAAATATTGCAGAAAAGAATCCAATAAGATTAAAAAAGAAAGAGGGAGAAAAGGTTGCGGGCTTTTTTTTTTTTTTTTTTTTTTGGCCTATTTTATTTTACTTATGTAGTAAATAAATTAACATAGTCCAAAATAAAAAAATAGAAAAGCTTATAAAAAGAAAGTATCTTATTGACCCCTGTCCCCCAAGGTTCCCGTTTATCTTGTTATTCATTTCTCGTATGCCTTTGGAGAAATGTTATGACTATAAAAATAAATATGTATTTATTCCTTTTTTGACTCTTTGTATACAAATAATAGCATAGTATACATAGCCCACTTTTCACCTTGCTTTTTTCACTTTACAATATACCTGGGATATTATTCCTTAGCACGTAGAAAGGCCCCTCATTCTTAGGGCTACATTGTATGGGCATAATATAACTTATTTAAGCAATTACCAATTGATGGACACTTCGGTTGTTTCCAGTCTTTAGACATTTTTATTTAAAAACGTTGTAATGAATGATCTTTCACCCATGTATCTGGATATACCTAGAAGTGAAATTGCTGGGTCTAAAGGTATACTCATTCATAATGTTGATAAGTATTGCTAATTTGTACTCCATAGAATTTGTAGTCATTTGCTACAAATGTGGGATTTAAAAAAGAGTTAGCCTCGGTACTGTACTGCCTCTGCCAAAGGTAAGCATGAGTGGACTTTGCAGTTTGTGCGGGTTCCGCAGACAGACTGAGGAAACTAAGGAAATCAGTGCATTGGAAAACTGCAATTTCAGGATAGAATCAGGTAGATGCAGGTATCTCCCTGCTTCTAAAGCCCAAATTTAATCCATATACAACACCCAAAGCTTTAATTTGTATGTTACATTCAACTTTTGAAGCCCTTTCACATCTCTTACCATCTATCATCTTCACAATAAACTGTGAAAGAGATGAACCAGGGTTTCAGTTTTTATCCCTCCCTCTAAGCCTTCACCCCCTACCACCAATTTAGCAGAAGTTTAGAAAGTGAAACATTGAGTGATGTGTCAAAGGCGCTTAGAAATAAGAGACTGCCAGAAATAAGTCTATAGAAGCTAGGATCACCCCGCTCCCAGGCCAGCCCTGGCTGCTTTAGTTACAGTCTTAGGGGATGCAACCTGTCCACAAATAATTCCCCAGAATACTGGTGCTAACAGTCTGAGCACAGATGGGTCTCGGCTGGGCTCTAGAGCAGAACATAAAATCAGGAAACTAGAGCAAACTTTACTCTTCATACTGCACAGAGACATATCAGTTAGTAGAACAGAGGCTCTGAAAGAACAGAAAAGGGAATAGATGGAAATGGGAACACCTTTGCTGTGCACCAGCATATAACACACAAAAGGCACCAGGGGAACTTGGGAAATTTTAAACATATTTCATTCCCAGTTTCTACTTGTTCATAATAATTTCCTTTTTCCAGAAAGGAAGGCAACAAGTCCTGCTTTTAATTGCTATTTCTGGAATAGAAGATTTTTAAAAATAACAATGGATTGGACATTTAGAATACCTGTAGGATTATTTGTAAATTAAATTACCACTTCACATAGCCTTTTTTGGTGCAGTTTTTGGAAGAAAGCACCAGGCCTTTCTTAAAACTCCAAGGTTCTTCTGATGCAGTTGTCTCTAAGAGTCACACACCGTGTGCACATAAGTCCGTGTCTCCACTCTACTTGGTCATCAGTCACCCAGGGCTCTCTCATTTGGGCACCCCTGGTGGAACAAGGCTGGGGCAGGTATTTCCCACCTTCAACAGGAAATACCAAAGGACAAAAGAATGAGCCAGGCCAAGGCCCAAATCTCCCAAGGATGTGGAAACAGAGGAGTGGGGGAGGGTTAAGAGGTTGCCTCCAACACTGAGTAGCTTCTCACCAGGAAACGCCTGAAAGTTTGACAGAAACAAAAGACCAGGGACCAGCAGAACTCTTACCCAGGTAGATTCACCATTATGGCTTTGCTTTCTTTGTAAAAATAAGCCAATACAGCCTGGCACAGTGACTCACTGCTGTAATACCAGCAACTCAGGGGGTTAAGGCAGGAGGATCCCTTGAGACCAGGAGTTTGAGACCAGCCTGGGCAACATAGTGAGACCCTGTCTCTAAAAAAATTTCTAAAATTAGCCAGGCGTTGTGGTGCGCACCTGTAGTCCTTGCTACTCAGAAGGCTGAGGCGGGAGGATCACTTGAGGCCAGAAGTTCGAGACCAGCCTGGGCAACAGAGTAAGACCCTAGCTCTAAAAATAATGAAAATAAGCGAATGGAAATTTATGTCCAACAGCTTCATCAAACTGTAGTTTGTAAGCAAACATAAAAATCATAAGTGTGAGACAGGCTTATGATTTCTCCAAATTGGGCCAATTCCTGAAATAGAAATTTTTATTTGATTTCTCATATAATTATTGCATGCCTGCCATAATAATTGTAATGGCTAAATTGCTAAAACATTTTTTGACTCATTAAATGCTCTCATATGCATTATCAAGGAGTTTAGAATTCATTAACAGAAACAAGATGAATTAGTATAAAGCAGCTAAGATTTATAATGCTTTTGATGAACATGGTTCTTTTAAACTCAGAACTTAAAGTTCAGGAGGATCTTAGACACCACCCATTCCAATTGATCTCTCTCATTTTGCAGATTTTTTTAAAAAAGAAAAAAGAGGCCTGAAGAGATTGTGTGATTTGAAGATATGGAAACAGGCAGACCTAAGTTTGCCATCCCATCCTCTCATATCACTTACCGCAATGTGCCTTGGGCAAGTGGCTTATTCTTTCTAGGCCTCAATCTTTTCATTAATGAGATACTGATATTAAACGCTACAGGTTTGATGTGAAAATTAAATCATTTAGATAAAGCATCGCCTACCCTAAGTTACTGACAGGATCAGGCCCAGAACTGTCTTTCTACAGCATCACACTTGCTCTCCCTTCTACTCAAAAAAACCTACCTTAGGAGCAAATTCGGGATCCATAGCTGTCATTCCTCATTTGTGAATTTAGAAAGCTAAGCCTATGAGAAATCATAATTCAGTCAAGATCCAGTCCCACAGACCATGAGAGCAAAATCACATGGTTTTGTACAGAGGGGACATTCCTTAGGGTAGGCTACTATGTTCAGGGATTGCAGTAGGGAATCAGATTTACTGGGGAGCACAGAACAGAGAGATTCCTGCATTCAGAAAGTGTGCTCAGCACCAGCTGGGGCCCAGGCACTGTTGGATCCTGCTCATCTGAAAGAAAATAAGACATGTTTGTTCATTCGTTCAACAATATATTAAGCACCTACTGTGTGCCAGGAACTGTTTGAGGGGCTTGATATAGGTCAGTGAACAAAACTGTCCAAAAAAACCAAAAAAAGTTCTAACCTTGTGGAGCTTACATTTAGCAGGCAGAGAAAATAATAAACAACAAGCATAATAAATAGAAAATTATATTGTATTTTGGAAGGTGATAGGAACTATTAAAACAAATAAAACCAGCTAAGGGATAGGAAAGTTCAAGGTAGACCTCATTCAGAAAGTGACATTTGAGCTAGGTCTTTTTTTTTTTTTAGGCAGGGTCTCTCTCTGTCACCTAGGCTGGAGTGCAGTGGTGCAATCTCGGCTCACTACAACCTCCACCTCCCAGGTTCAAGCGATTCTCCTGCCTCAGCCTCCTGAGTAGCTGGGACAACAGGTGTGCACCACCACACCTGGCTAATTTTTGTATTTTTAGTAGAGAGGGGGTTTCACCATCTTGGCCTGGCAGGTCTCCAACTCCTGACCTCAGGTGATCCACCCACCTCGGCCTCCCAAAGTGCTGGAGTTACAGGCGTGAGCCACCACGCCTGGCCGAACTAAATCTTAAAGGAGGTAAGTGTTGTGGATATGTGGGAATGATGTTTTAGGCAGAAGGAAGAGCCAGTGCAAGGACCATAAAGGGGGATCCTGTCTAAGATGATGGAGAAATGACAAGGAGGGAAGTGTGGAAACAGGTGAGAGGGAGCAGAGTAGGAGATGGGTTCTGAGGCAAGGTGGATCTAGGGGGGCTTGCCAGGAGCACCCATTGATTGCATGGTCTTGGGCTTTGACTACATGAGAGGAGGAGTCAGTGGAGGGAGTAGGGGAGAGAGATCCTGACCTAGGTCTCAGTGTTCTTTTGGGAATAGGCTGGAGAGAGGTGAAGTAGAGGCAGAGAAACCAGTTAGAAGACTACTGCAATAGTCCAGCCAATAAGGAGGGTGACTTTTTAATCTTGGAGCCTTCTTCATTTACAAATTAGAAAAAAAATTTGAAGCATAGAAGGCAATAGAGTTATCCAGGATCACACGGGGAGTTAAGGGCTAGGACTAGAATCTCGACATCATTAATTCCTTAAACATTTGTAGAGCATCTTCTCTATGAAGATAGAAGCAGCCTGGTAAGGAGGCCCAGAGACCTCTGCATGTTAGATTGACCTCTAACTGCCGTGTATAGCTCAATTGTCAAGTGTGGGTGGGACTTGTGACTTCTAACCAACAGAATATGGCAGAGGTGATGGGATGACACTCCTGTGATTATATTACAATTATACGGCAAATTCTTGTAACCTTGAGACAAATTAGTGCTAGTTTGGTTTTGGTTTTGCTACCTAAATGGAAATATCCTAACTGTGAAATGGCAGCATTTGTGTCACGTAAAACCAGTGAGTGGTGTGCTATCAACACTGTGATTTTCCTTGAGCCACGAAAATGGACATCCTGGTCCCCTTTCTGGCTAGATATGCAGGCTGAGGTTTTTCTGGGCAATGGGTATGAATGCCTCCTGGCATTCCTGTAGCACTAATGCTCAAACAGCTGGCTGGCTCATCTTGGTCAGGCACTTAGTTTTCTCGTGGTTGGCCTCAGAATGCGAGGTCTTTCTGTCAAGATCATTGTCTCTATTGCTTTGAGATTTCCTTTTGACATCTGAGCTCCTTTGGGGCACTACCTCGTTTTCTGGAAGATTTGGCGTAGTAATAACTCTTAGAAGACTTTGGTCTGCCAAATTGTTCATGACAAAGTTCGCAGATAGAGGAGGTACTTTAGTAAAATTTTACTATTTCAAACTCCAACATTTACCAAAAGTTAAGTAGTATGATTTGGTCTGAAGTTTACTTCAAATCATGCCTCATTCTTTTACTCTTAAATATTTTCTGGCATCTTAATATTTTCAATAGTTTTATCATATTAAATGTGGACCAAATTCTTAAAGTTGGTCTTTAGCTTGTAACTTATTGTGTGTGTTTGGCCTTAAAGAGTAAACCTATGATATCTTCTTTCTGAGGCTCCAGTGTGCACGTTGTGTCTTAGTTTAGAAAATGAGACGATATTTAATTTTCCAAAGAAGTATTTGTTGTTGGCCGGGCGCATTGGCTCACGCCTGTAATCCCAACACTTTGGGAGGCCGAGGTGGGCAGATCACGAGGTCAGGAGATCGAGACCATCTTGTCTAACACTGTGAAACCCCGTCACTAAAAAAAAATACAAAAAATTAGCCGGGTGTGGTGGCAGGCGCATGTAGTCCCAGCTACTCGGGAGGCTGAGGCAGGAGAATGGCTTGAACCTGGGAGGCGGAGCTTGCAGTGAGCCGAGATCGCACCACTGCACTGCAGCCTGGGCTACAGAGGGAGACTCCATCATCTCAAAAAAAAAAAAAAAAAAAAAGAAGTGTTTGTTGTTAGGAAAACAAGGAACCTCTGAAGGACTCCTTTCTTGAACTTTCTGCATTAGCAAAGAGAAACTATTTAAGCAAAAATGCAACTTTGTTTATAGCATTCATCCAGCACAGTTATTTTGATCACTTTAAACATTCTAGTCAATATATTTTCTAGATTCTAGAAATCTTGTTAAAATACTAACACTGGAGTAAAACAGAAATCTTAACTAATATTGATAACCAAGGGTGCATGATCTGAATATTGCTCATGACATCCATATATTGTATAACATCACCTAGATGCAAACTTTGCAAAATTTGTTTCAGCTCTAACAAATTCTGCTAGGAAGTTATTTTGATTTTCATTGCTATTTTTGCAGAGTAATCTATAATAAAGGATTCGTTCTTTTGCACTGAGGATCTGGTGGCCATAAAGCTTTTTGTCAGCTTTGGGACTATCAATCAATGTGTTTCAAATAAGTGACCACTAATGAAGCTCAGTTTTGCAAAGGGTGAGCTGCTTTACCACAGAGAAAGACTGGTTGTGGCCGGGAGAGGTGGTTCACGCCTGTAATCCCAAAACTTTGGGAGGCTGAGGTGGGTGGATCACAAGGTCAGAAGATTGAGACTACCGTGACCAACAATGTGAAATACCGTCTCTACTAAAAATACAAAAAAAAAAAAAAATTAGCCATGCATGGTGGCGCATGCCTGTAATCCCAGCTACTTGTGAGGCTGAGGCAGGAGAATCGCTTGAACCCAGAGGCAGAGGTTGCAGTGAGCCGAGATTGCGCCACTGCACTCCAGCCTGGGCGACAGAGCAAGACACCGTCTCAAAAAAAAAAAAAAAAAGAAAAGAAAAAGAAAGACTGGTCATGCTACGTCTCCTTGGTCGGAAAGACAGAGCAAAGAGGGCTCTGAGAAGTCTGTGTATCAGGCTGTGTTTCCATGAAGGCTTTTTTCATTGCTGGGGTAGAATGTAATAGGAAACTAGAACTGCCTACCAAGATAAGCAGCCTTCGTATTCACCGCATTTCCTCTTGATTTGATGCTGATAGCTGGCCGACCCTACCTCTGGCTTCAGCTCTAACGTGGCTTGTAGGAGCAGAAAGCTGATGAAAAATGACTTTTGTTGATTCATTCAGCAGTGAGTTGAGAAAAGCTAGCTGTTGACTTCGTTAAGTAAAATCAACAAAACTTTTCCTCAGCTTAAGCTCTAGATTTAGTTAATGTCATTCAAAATAGATGAAAAAGTAGGCAAAATATTGTGTACCCATTTAGACTCCTTCAGTCAGTACCATGGCTGTTGAGAGGCTGCGAGGACAGTAGAGTGGGTGAGTCTGGACCCTGGAGCTGGACAGTGTGGGTATCAGGTCCACCTCAGCCACTCCATGGACTTAGGTGAGCACGTAACCCCTCTTTAAGCCTACTGTGGCGCCAGCCTGCCAGCTGTGTGGTTTTGGCAATTTACCTGCCCTCTCAATGACTCTGATTCCTCATCTGTGAGATGTGGATAACAATAATAGTCCTGGCCTCGATACAATGCGTGAGGCAATGTGCTTGTGAGGACTTGGTATCTGCCACGTGGTCAATGACTAGGAGCTGTTGCTGTTAAGGATGCAAACGTTGACACACGTCTTCATTAAATTCTTAATTAAATGTCCTTCTCACGTTACTACCGATGGTTTCTAGTGACTGAAAATGTGTGCAGTGGAGGGAAAGGCAGACTATTTTAATTAATAAGCTTTATATAAGTTTTATTAAATCATGAAAAAGGATTTGGTATAGCCATTTTTGAAAGTGGCTATACCACCTTTGAGATCTTCAGCAAGTAAGAAGACCTGTAAAGGGTTCCAAGATGTGCTGGTGCTTACAGGACATGTGTAGGAGATCCAAGGTTATTTCTCCAGGGCGTTCACCATGTAGGAGTTCAAGATGCTAAAGACCCAGGAACCAGGCTCTTTTGAGACCTATACTCAGGCCTAGGCTACAAGAGCATGTTTGTGTTTGAGAGGCATTAAAAGAGTAACGGAAAGAGCACTGGGCTTTGTGTAGAATCCCTCCACTCAACCACTTATGAGATCTATAAGCCTGAGCAAGTTAACTGACTTCTGAGCATCAGTTTATTAATATTTAAAATAGACACAAGGCCTGGTACAGTGGCTCACGCCTGTAATCCTAGCACTTCGGGAAGCCGAGGCAGGCGGATCACGTGACGTCAGGAGTTTGAGACCAGCCTGGCCAACATGGCAGAACCCCATCTCTACTAAAAATACAAAAATTAGCTGGGCCTGTTGGTTCATGCCTGTAATCACAGCTACTCAGGAGGCTGAGGCATGAGAATTGCTTGAACCAGGAGGCGGAGGTTGCAGTGAGCCGAGATTGTGCCACTGCACTCCAGCTTGGGTGACGGAGTAAGACTCTATCTCAAAAAAATAAAAAGAAAATAAAATAGATACAATAATATCTACCTCATAAAGTTGTGATGAGTGTTAAACACCATCGTTAACACATAGTAAGGGCTCAATAAATTTTCCCCTTTCCCAGTGTAATCTCATCTTTTTCAAGAGTAGAAATAGCTCACCTGGTAAACCCAGAAATAGTAAACCAACCAAAGCATAGTCAGGGATAAAAATGATTCAAAATGTGTCTGAATCTACTATCACTCTAAACAACACCTCTCTTCAAAACTTTTGACCTAAAACTATCCCTTATAAATAAATGATGTCTCCTCTCTATAGAGAAGAGATGTCCTACTTTAGAGAAATGACGTCCTCCTACTATAGAGAAGAACTTTTAGACAATGTAGGTGTTGTCTTAAGGAATGTAAAGAAATAGAGACACATCCTAGAGTAGGACTGCACTTCCCAGCAAGACCAGCTTGCTGACTATAAGGAGAGACACACACAAAATATCACCACCTCTTGAGACTTTGCTTCCCTTACTGTCTTGCATTGTTCTGTTAGATATCTGTTTGGCAGGTAAGAGACTGTGTCATTCACACATTACCCAGAATTCATTCATGGAGCTGGCTTACTTTCCCTCCTAATACCTAAATAAAAATTGGTTGCACTGAGTAAGTGCAGGGCTTGAGTGGGGAAGAGGAGAGAAGGTAGTAGAACACCCAAGGAGAGGAAGAGGCTGTATACACAACCAGTGTTGTTGTATCAATGGGAGTAGAGTTAGTGTAGGCTCAGATGAGACTCTGGAAGATGAGATCAAGTGCACCTAGTATTTAGAATAATCGCTTCCTTCATCAGCCCTTGTTTGACTTTTGCTTCTAGAACCTATATCATTAGCAGAACAGCTATTCTATCAATTACTTATAAATAAGATAAATTTTATGGACTAGATAGTATCCTGCCTACCCTTGGAAATATTACTGTATGTAAGTAAGTGTATTTCTAATAACAAACAGCCAACTTGGATATGAATTTGTAAAACCAAGTCTGGTCTTCAACTGTTGTTTGCAGAATATCTAAAACTCGTGACAGCTTGATACGTTCAAATTCCAGATGACCAAAATGAGCCCCTTGTGTTTATCATGCACATGTTTTGTTATAATTGAATGTCAAGTGTTTAAATCCATTTAAATGAAGATCAGAAAGACACATCATCAATTCCAGTAAAATTAATTTGATTGGAAGTAAAGCAAAATGTTTGTTTATTTATATGTGATAAAGCACTTATCTTTGTGTGACTTGGCTTTTATGTGAGCAAGCAGGAAAAAGACAGATATAACCAAAGTATTTTATTAATTCCTATAAGTTATGGATACTGCTGTGTTAAATAATGCACATTGTAAATCAGAATTAAATGCCTTACACCAGATTGGGTTCCAGGAAGATTGAAAGTTAAATATTTTAAAACAAAACAAGTAAACAAAGAAAGAAACATGAATTTAAGATCTATCAAACTTGTGAGGGGGGAGGGAAATTAAAATGTATAAACTCAAGAAGAAATCACCTAATAAAAAAGGTGTGCAGACATTGTTATAAAAATGCAAAACACCTGTACATGTTTAATATAATGTAAGGCAAACAAACCAGAAAAACAGTTATAGCAAGTATTTTATACATAGGCAAAGGGTAATTATCTTTATTATATAAAAATAATCTACCCAACATATACACACACACACACGTACGTACCTAGACTCTTAAACGATTAGGATTGAATAGATGCTTGGAGAAAATACAATTAGGAAAAATAGTCAACATCATTAGATGTTAAGTAAATACAAAATAAAACAAAGTATATAATATTTACTCATCACATTATCAAATTTTGCTTGTTTTAACAATCTTTTTATGATAATACTCTGCTCCTGGGGGTAGAGGAAATAAAGCCTCATTCACTAATAGAGCATTAAGCTACCCAGCCAACCCACGCAGAAAGCAATTTCGTAACATGGATTCAGGTAGTCGTATCCTCTGAGGTAGCAGTTCCCTTTCTCTAAAACTACACTAAAAAAAAAAAATCCCAGATGTAAAATAGCCTTCATATATTCATCATGATATGCTTCATAAAAGTGAAAAATGCCAAACAACCTAAATGTTCAACAATAGAGTGAGGACAAAGTAAAGCCTGATACAGTGAACGAATCTGATATCAGGAGACCTAAAAGTGATGTTTATGGGGACCGTATATGGAAAAGTATATTCTGTATGATTTCCATGTGTTTAACTATGTATTGGAACATTCTGCAAAAGAGACACACAAAGTGGTTGCCTTTGCTCTACAGGAGAAGAGGAAACACATAAAGGGGTTAAGAACCTGGGATCTGAGTCCAAATTGTCTGTTTTTAAATCCTAGCTCTGCCACTTGAGTATATTTGACTTTAAGCAAGTTTTAAGTTCATCGTGATTAGGTTTCTCCCTCAGTAAGTTAGTGGTAAAATAGTACCCTCCTCCTGGGGTTGTTGCAAGGATTAAATTTGCTGCTAACCTAGGCAACACCCAGCATATAGCAAGAGCTCAGTAAGCATTAGTTATTTACTATTTATTTCAGTGATACAAACAATATGGGCAGGATTTTGCCCCACCTTTCTGCGTTTTCCAATTCAACTTTTCTCCTTGACCATATTACTGTTACATTGGAAAAAAGCAATAAATATTTACCTGAAGGCCCTGAGAGCTGGGTCAGCTGGATTTTTTTTAGCCACGTAGATTAAGATTCTTATTAGAATATCACAGTTTAGAGACAAAGAATGGATACTTTATGGTTGCTAAGACCCAAGAATTGAAATTGGAGTTGCAGTGACAATTCAAATGAACTTTGTGTCCCATTTCATAAGAAGTTAAGACAGTTCAGTTTCCGTAAAAGACTGCTTGCCTCCTCTAGAAAAGCTTGTGCCAACCCGGTATCATTCCCGCTTCTCCCCACCAACCCACCACCCCCAGCCTTTAGCTCCTAGTTAACTCAGTGCTGGGCATGCTGCTTTCTCTATAACTTACATGGACTTTTTTAAAAAATGGAATCACATGTTTCAGTAATAATAGCAAGGCAAAAACTTTAAAAACATTTACAACACTGGCATAAGTAAATTTTCTTTGGCAAGGAAAGTAAATTAGGTAAAGGGGAGAGGGAGTAAATTTACACTTTTATTGACACCAATACCTTTATTAATTTCTGAACATTTCAGTAGTTATCATGCATAATTTGATTTAAATGCAAATTTCTCATTCTAAAAAGATTTTAAAGTTTCAGTTGTAGAGGGAAAATTAAGGGGAAAATTGCGTTCTCTTTCCCCTATATTCTCCCACGTTTTCAGGGAAAATTTTGGGGAGAAAATCTCTGCTCATTTTGGAGTCTTCTCTTGCCAGCAACTAACAAGTCTGTACAATACAGTTACCAAGGCAATGTCAAGACCATGTAGACAGAGGGAGAAAATGTGGTGTGAAGACAGGGAGATGATGAAAATGGATTAACAATGTGAACATGAGGGGTTTTTCTAACTGGAAAAAAAAATAAAATCACACTATCCTTTAAAAGTGGTTATGTTAGCAATTCTAACATCTGTTGTTATAAAGGAACTTAATTAAAATAAAGCCTTTTTTTTCTATATCACCTGTTCGTGAATGCTTATTTGTTTCCTAATTATGCCCCAATCTTTGTAACTCTGTATTGAGCCAGGTCAGAATGAGTTCCACTGCATTCAAGTTAGACAAAGGGATTTTTTTACTTGTTGAAACTAGAAAGAGTTTTTTTCTATAAGTTCTATTGAACCACGGATTCAGCCAGACCCTCACAGATAATGACTGCAAAGATAGATACATCTCTTGCTCCCAAAGCAGCACAGATATTTGCTGCTTAAATAAATACAACCACCAGCCAAATACTTACTCATTTTGCTAGGGCTGTTCCTTCTGTTTCAAAAAAGACTCAATTTTTCTTTTTCTTTTTTTTTTTTTTTCCTTCAGGTACAATCCTTGGATTTACCCTCCGACCATACAGAATGAGCTACCGGGAAGTCAAGTACTTCTCCTTTCCTGGGGAACTTCTGATGAGGATGTTACAGATGCTGGTCTTACCACTTATCATCTCCAGTCTTGTCACAGGTACCATAAGCAGTTGTTGGTTTGTTTGGTTTTTTTTAAGTGTGTTTATTGCAAAAGATTGCTTAGAAAAGCCAGTGCTTTAGGTTTCTGCTGGATGCATGCTCTGTTCTAGAAAAAAAAAAAAAGTCCCTTCAAAATGATGGAAAGGAGGCTTTAGTAATGCATGAATGATTATAACTCTCGTATTTTACCAATCACAAGAGGAAACGAATTTAAACAGCCACGTAATCTGGTTCGCCTCACAGTGAACGAGGTGCCCTGCTAAACACCACACCATCAGCCTTCTCTGACCACAGTGATGTAGTTGACAACAGCGTACAACAGGTCTGTTTTCTCACCCTCTTATCCCACCCAGATAACATCTGGTTGGACAGCCTATTAGCTATTGATGCAAGAATGCTTGTTCTCAGAACCACCAGGACTTGAGCGGGAGCCTTCTTGGAAGCCTCATCAAGAGGTAATGCCCACAACACTCACCAACTCTGCTGCCACCAACACTTATCTTTTCCTGGTGTACCCGCATGATTTCATTTCCTTCTCCAGTTGCCTCCCACCCCCGTTACCTTTTATGCTAGTGGGAGAAGGGGGAGGGGGCGGGAGATTTTCCCATCTGAATATTTTATCAGTGGACACTTGGATTTTTAACAAGTGGAAGCTTTGCAGGATAGGATTCTATGTTCTATGACAATGAGATAACCATTTATTCCTGCATGGGAAAAGGTGAAAGAGTCATTTGTCTATGTGATTGGTGAATCAGATGGAGCCAAGAAGTTGCAGAAAAATGTTACTGTACATTCCTTCCTGCCCACTCTTCTCTTTCCCCACAGCACATCTCTGACTTGGAGAAGGAATTTCCATAGACACTGCCCGAGCAGGATGATTTCTGGGTTTGTAGGTAAAGCTCAGAACTCAGGTATTACTGACCCTATTCTCTTTTCCACCCTTGGCTCACTGTTCCCCTGTTGGGCATATACCACTCTACCTCTATGTGAGCTGGCACTGAGAATCCTTCCCATCCCAGGGAGTTCTCAAGGATATTTATACTATCCTTCAAGATCTCTGTGTAATGAGAACTTCATAGTACAACTCAAAAGTCATGGAGGAACATTCTATTACATGCCTTGGAGGGCTGGCTATTACTTAGACAGGAACTATGTCAGATTTTCCCTCAATGCCTTGCAGATCTCTGCTGGTTTCCACTTGTCCAGGGCCTTAAACAAGTGATTGCATGTACATATGCTTTCACTGGAGAATGAATTGCCCATAAAACAGTCCTGGAGTTGATTTGATGTACTTGTTTGTGAAGCTGGGATGGTCCATTGCTGACCAGGGGTAATCACAGCAGCTACAGTTCTTACCACAAAAGCTATATTCATGCTGACATGAGGGCACATGCTTATTTTATTATCCATATGCTGATATTTTTCTGGGAAACAAATTATTCACAGAAAGCACTTGTAAGACAGAACCCACATCTGACATTTTCTGTGGTAGAGCAGAGTCTCTCCTCACCATCCCTGCTGGCAGGGCATCTGGATTAAGTGCCTGCAGTTTTCCTATACACAAACCGAGGGGTTCTGGATCTTTTATACTTTCTCTTCAAGGGTGGAACCAATGTTTAGAGGTATCTGCTTTCTCTTAACTGTGCTGAAAATCCAATGTGTTACTCTTTAAAAGAGAAAAGCCCTTATATGATACAATTAGAGAAGTGTTACTTCCCCTTAGCAGCAGTCCCAGTTGATCACCACCTTGAAGTGGAATTTCCTGATTTTTCTTAATACCTAATAACAAACAACTTTATTGAAGAAATAAGAACTTTGGTTGTGTAATTTTTCAGAAAAAAAAATACTATGATGCAATCCCTTTGCATGGCTAAAGAGAAATTTTTGGTCAAAACTTGGAAAAATTGTTAACATTTATAATATTGTTAAAGAGAAAAGAATTATAAGCTGCAAACAACTAATATAAAATGAACTTTTAAAACTGTAACCTAATTGCAAGTTGGGAGTGTTGCCAAATTGGACCATTAAGAGAGTTTTAGCTCTTGTCCAGGACTGTGCTAAGGCAAGGAGTCTGAGGGGCAGAATTTAGTTCGCCAAAGATCTTTTTAAGGTGTTAGTCTGAAGTGAGTAATTTCCAAACTACACAGTAATTTAGATATTTATGATCAAATGGAATGAATGATGGATTCAGTAAGAATGTCCTTTATGGTTTTGAATACAATAATTCTAACCCAAATGAGGGTATGACCCAGCTATAATGGGAAGGGAGGAACTTCTACAAATTACACAGACCCCTGGAGGATCCCTGTGTATACTGGGAAATGTTACTGGAGAATGTGTTGCCTAGGGAAGAAACAAAGGCAGGCTCCATTGCTTTAGAGTGGAAAGGCAACCTCAAATGCCTCCAGTGGCCACGTGGGTGATGCATGTACATGAAGCTGCCCTTTCAGGCTATTTTTTGTTTTCCTATTTTGATAGAGTCATGGATACAGAGAAATATTTCTCTTCAACAAGAGAACTAAGAGGGACAAGTATGATGATAAACGGAGAGGGACCCAACTACAGAATAATATGGCAAAAGGCAGGCAAAGAGACTATTGAGACAAGGGCCAGATCTTCCTGTTTTTCAAGAGTATCCAGAAATCTCAAATTTTTTAAGAACCTGCAGATTCTTTGATACAATTCACGAAACAAACCAGTGCAAAGCAAACGCAGTACACCCATTCCAATGTAATTCCAATGGCAGGCCCATTCCAACCCTCAGACTACCAATATTTGAACTCAGGTTTGAATGTCAGAATCCAATCATTGGCAGTCCTGTGCCAAAGCTTAACTGATAATGTGGAATTCACTACTGAACATCATGTTTACTGCTGACTAAACAAATTGCTATTGGAAAGCCTCTTCTCTCCATCTTCTGGGTATAACTGCATTGTGTAGTAGCCATTCTGGTCTTTTCTGCACCAGAAGGAACACTGGAGTAAGAACTCAGAGGTCATGCTCCCATAGGAAATATTTCCCAGTGGGGAAATACTTTATAGACTTGTTTCTCCTAAGTTCAGTTGTCCCAGGGTCTGTAGACAGAAACTGAAATGCATAAAACTATTATTGTGTTTCTTGGACTAAGCTTTTTATTGTGGAAGATTCTAGAAAACATGCTATAAGTTTAATTGTACTAAAGCCACATTTAAATTCTGAGACATCTAAGTTATATTTTTTACTTGAAACATCCGTGTTTATGAGTTGTGGCTCTATAGCCCTTGTAAGCCATGTTCCCTTTTCCCTGAATTTGAAACTCCAATCTTTCCAAACATCCCTGGTGTGTATTAGCATTCCAGAGGCTGCCAGAAAGAAGCTGGGAGGAAGCCTAATGGCTAGATTTGTACTCAAGTACCTATTTTTTGGACAAGAAGACTATGTCTGTGCCAACACACCACACAATAAAATAGGGGTTTGGTGCCAGTTTCTATCGATTTGGTCAGGATGGGCAGCCAAACTAGAAATTTCATGCCAGAAATATGAGTTGGTTTGGCTGACTTAGCCTGATTAAATTCACTGGATAATAATTAAATGTCACATCTGGTTGTGCAGGGTAGACATAACTATTACCTCCTCACTTCTGAATCTTTTCAGAAACTAGTGCTTTCTTCTTTTCTCATTCTAAGTGTGCATTCCCCCTCAATCACTTACCTCAGAAGAAATCTTTGGTGTCACCCCAGTTTTCTGGAAGTGGGGAGCACAACTTTTGACATGCAATCTCTGTGGTGTTGGGCATGATGTAAGTAAAAGAGGTGAGAGAGGAGTGTCAACACGAGTAAAAGCAACAGTGTCTGGGACGTATGGTAGGGCACCCTCGAGGCAGGATTATCAAGTAGATGAAATTTCTCATTTAACATTCATTCATTCTTTAACAGCTGTTTATTGCGCTTCTACTATGTCAGACACTGGGGATACATGAACACAAAGATACAGTCCCCAAGAAGATGTATGTTGGGTGCTGAGGAGAGAGCTTCCCTGCATCCCTTAATTCACATAATATTCCAGTTCCAACTAAAAGGAGATAAGACTCGTTCTCTGTACTCCCAACAAGAAAGTGACAAGCTGATTTTTAAGAACATGATTTCAAATCTGATTTTCATGACACAGCATCTCCATCCTAAAGTCAACTAGCCCAGAATTTTCCATCATAGGTACCATCTCAGTCTCATTTACTTAATATTTTCTTTAAACCAACATACTCTTCTTCCACAGCCTACAATCATTACCCAAAATGGAAACCTCCTATTACTTGTCATGTGAAGGAGATAAGTAACAATGTTATGAAATTGTAAATTGATGCAATTGCCTAACAAAGGCTCTGGGAGCCTGAGACCCGACTCCCCCGCTCTTGTAGTATTTTTAAATGGCTGGGCGTCGTGGCTCATGCCTGTAATCCCAGCACTTTGGGAGACTAAAGCTGGCAGATCACTTGAGGTCACATGTTCGAGACCAGCCTGGCCAACATGGTGAAACCCCATCTCTACTAAAAATACAAAAATTAGCCAGGAGTGGTGGCGTGTGCCTGTAATCCCAGCTACTCGGGAGTCTGAGGCAGGAGAATCACTTGAACCCAGGAGGCTGAGGTTACAGTGAGCCAAGATCGCGCCACTGTAGTCCAGCCTGGGTAACGGAGTGAGGCTCTGTCTCAAAAAAAGAAATATAAATAAATAAATAAATAAATAAATAGAGGGGATTAGCAAATGTTAACAAGGTGTTAAACACACATTAGTACCAAAATAAGACTTTGCCTTTCCTGTAATCCAAAGAATCAAAAGAGAATTGAAAAGAATGACTTTCTCACTGTGATTTAATATTAATTAAGGTAGGATTTCCACACCACCAGAACACCTATCCCACTTTGGAAAGCACTGATCTGGTGGTCCAGACATTCCTGCAGTGTCCCTTCCAAATGACTGTCCAGCTTCTTCCTGAACATATCTAAAGACAAGAGCTCTTTGGAACCCATTTGTCCTTAGAAAACTCTAACAATACTTTTTTTTTTATCCAAAATAAAACAAATAAATTTAAAAACCAGAAAAACAAAACACAACACCTGCCTCTCTGGTCCTCTCCTCTCCATGTGACAAGCTCTATGATGTGTCACATATTATTTGGGCAGCTTCTTTTCAAATCTATAGACCAACAACTTCAGTCAAATGTGGGACTCAATGACTGTTGAAGGCAGTGAGCTAGAATCACCAGCAAAGGGCTTTCTTAATTAAAAATAATAAATGTTGTACCTCAAAGTACGGTCCTTTGGCTTCAGAGAGATGACAGTTACAGTAAGAGTGAACTAAAGTTTTGTCATTTCGTGTAACACAAAAGGGCTAGACAATTCTTAAATCTTCGCATCTGAAGGGTTTGTCAAGGGCTTGCAAAATGAGTCGAAATCACTTAAGAGAAATTTAATATCTTAAACTATGCATTGCCATGGCTCTGGTGTATGTCTGAGGCCTGTTTGAATACTCTGAGCATTTATGGACAAGAAAAGGAGCTGTAGATTTCACCACCTGCCCCCCTCAACACCTACCCGTACGTTGTATTGAAAAAAAAAAAAAACAGTATCTAACGCAGGGAGGAATTTCTTTAGGCTTCCCTTTCATTCTCTATAAAATGTAAGTGATAAGATACCTGTGTCACAAGGTTGTTGTGAGGATTTATGCCTGGCACATAGTGTGTGCTCAATTAATGGTAGCTGTTGGCGGTAAGAGTAGCAGCAAGAGCTGTCTTCTGGCGGTTCCCATTGTATAAATGAAAATTCTAGAGCAAGAAGACAGAGCTTCAAGTCAGGGACACGGAACTAAGGCTCCAGATTTCACAAGTCTCATTTGTCTGTGATCCCTGAAGCAACCACTTTCCTATTAAGGTAAATTGAAGAAACCATAAAATTAATCCGGTAACAACATGGGAGCCAGCGAGAATTCCTACCTCATTACTGGAAGGGATAGGTTTCTGCCCTGCGGCATGGAATTCGATTACCTTATCACAGCTGCATAATTGTAAATATTTTCATTGGTTATACAACTGCTGTGTCTTTTCTGAGAAACTCAGCCCCAATGTGTAACACCCTGGATTCCACGGGGCAGCAAATTCCACACACTGCACCCATGTTGTGAGCGGAGATTTTCGGGCTGACCAAAACTTGAGGCGAACTGAGTCTCCATCTTAACACTCAAACACACTTCATGGCGGCCTGGAAACAAGGCAATCATTATGAAGCTTCAGCCCAGTTCTTCTGAAACCAACGTATTGGGCCTGCTTCATTGTCTCTCTAGGGGCTAATCACAAACATGTGGGAAGGGAAGCTAAGGAATGCCTGTCTAGAAAGGGAGGTTGTATAATGTAGTGGGAAGAACCTATCTGTGGGGTAAACTTTTTTTGCATCATGTAGAAAGCAAATCTGGGTAATTAAATGTTTGTGTGTGTGTGTGTGTGTGTGTGTGTGTGTGTATTTAGGTTTTGGTGAGGTATAAAGCCATTTAAGTCTAGCTATACCAAAAAGAATTTACCTTTCCATTACAGATGATTCATTCAGTAAGCATTTGTTGAGGATCTTTATATGCCAGGTGCTTCTCTAGGAGCTGAGGATACCAAAATGGAGAAGACAAGATTTCTGCCCTCAAGGCGTTCAACGTCTGGTTGGGAGATGGACTCATGATTGCAGTATTCATGGTATCAGTGACATGGGTAGTATCATCTCAATGAAGGAACAACTTAGGGAAGGAACGATGCACCCGTCTCTTGCCCTGCCTCTCCAGTATTCGGGCTTCCTTGCTGGGAAATAACTCTATTAGCAGAGAAGAAGGGGGTCTTTTCTTTTTCTTTCTTTCTTTCTTTTCTTTCTTTCTTTCTTTCTTTCTTTCTTTCTTTCTTTCTTTTTCTTTCTTTCTTTCTCTCTCTTTCCTTTTCTCTCTCTCTTTCCTTTCTTTCTTTCTCCCCTTCCTTCCTTTCTTTTTCTTCCTTTCTTCTTTCTTTTTTTTTTTTTTTTGCCCTGAATTGTTTTCCTCTCACCTGAGTCTTTCACCATTAAATGCAGAAAGAACCAGAGGTGGGGCCCTGTGAAATTCCCAAGAAAAGTCAACCTGAGGAACATGGCCTCACAAATGGGAAGTAAAGGAGAAAAGGTGCTTGACAGGCTTTCAACGACAGAAACCTTCCCTTTCGAAGGGAGCTTGCAGGAAGGGAGCCAGGAGACCTGAGGATCTCTGGGCTCATGCAACCTTGCTACCAGAGCAGGAATCCCCTCTCCAGCCCCTGGAAAGTGGCCATGGAGCTCCCCTAAATGGTCCATTCTTAGGTGGTCTCAACTACGAAGTCTGTCTTCTGTGAGGTCCACCTATTGGTCCTAATTGTGTTATTTGGCACAATTAGGATGGCAGTCTTTCAGATGGTCTCAGGGGAGCACCTAGCAGTCTCTTGGGCACCTAAGCATAAGCAAAGTGTCCCAGTGCTTCTTCTGTGCCTGTTCTCCAGGACTTCCACCATCTTGATTGCCTCTCCACCATCCACTGTGCTCCCAGAGCTGATCCTGGTGCTCCAGATGTCATGTGACTGGGTAGGGACAGTGGTCTAGATCCAATCCTCTATTAATGCAGGCCAAGGTTGGGTCCGCTGCTTTACCAGCCACGACAAACCATTGGCTTAGAGGAGTTAAGCTTGTGGTCAACTAAATCCTGCAGAACTGAGTGTGGAAAGATTTTTGTGGCAAAAATGGAATTGTTCTTCAATTAAAAGATCAGTAATAAAAGGCATACGGCTTTGTTGTGAGATGCTGCTTTCCAGAAGGCTTGAGCCTGTGTGAGTTAGAAATTCTTATTTGCTAATTTCAGCAGCTTCAAGTGAGCCAGAGATTTTGATCAGTTCTCGTTTGGAAGAAATTTTTGAAAAATTTAAAGAAAAGGTAAATAAGAAAGGAAAATTTAAAGCTTCCTTTATCTCTAGGAAAAATAAGATTTTCCACCCTTAAATTATCAACTTAATAAATCTCCTTCAGAATGCTGTGGAACTGCAGGTTTCTTCTGCTGATATCATGGTTTCCAAGAGAGTGAGTTACCTGGTTAATTCTGACTTGGAGGTTTGTGCCTAAGGATTGGAGGTGGCAGGTTGGGGTTGGAGGTGGGGAATACTTCCGAAGTGAGACACTGTCTTAGGCTCTTCTAATTTCTAGAGCTCACATTCTGAGAGGATGCACTGTCCCATCAGATTAATTGCACTACATAGAGGTAGTGCCCAGCTTCCAATCCCTGCCCCCCACCCCAGAGTTCTTTAATTAATTGATCTGAAATGGAGCTTGGGAGTTGACATTTATTTGTAGTTCTCTAGATGATTCTATTGTGCACCCATGGTTGAAAACTACCACTTTACAGTTTTTCTAGAATTGTTGTTTTCTGGCGCCACAGTCCCCCACTGTTACTACTTTAGTTGATACCTTTATTAGTTCAGATACCCCCTCTTCTAGGAAGCCTTCCCTGGCTTTCCCCTGCTAATACAGGGTCGCAGAGGTGTAGATACGTTTCCACCTTATCACAGTTACTGCATCACAATGGAATGCACTGTTAACATGTCTATCTTCCTCATAGAGGCTTCTTGAAGGTACTGTGTCTTTATCTGGCACATTCTTTGCATTGCCTAGAGGACAGAGTCTGCATTCTTGGCAGGACAAATAAGAGCCTTAGCAGCCTTCGCAAGCCCCTCTACCAGCTTTATTGCCTGCTGCTCTCCTGGCAGAAACCCTGTCCCTCTCTCAACGTCCTAATGCCCTCAGCACTTCATCCTTAGTATGCTTCCCTCTTCCCTAGCTCCATCAGAATTCTTTACCTACTTCAAAGTAAATTGAAAGCTTAGCTTTCAATCTTTCCGTAAAGTTAGCCCTATTGATCCCTCCCTGGAGTACCTGTCACTGTCACTCATACATTACCAGCACATGCTGTCATGCTCCAAACTAAACTGGAGGGTTCCACTAGGACCATGTTTGATGTATTTTTGTGGCATCTGGAGCAAAGTTCATCCTGCCTGAGAAGTGTACCATTTTTAATGGTTTTTTGTTTGTTTGTTTTTGAGATGGAGTCTCGCTCTGTCGCCCAGGCTGGAGTGCAGTGACGCGACCTCAGCTCACTGCAACCTCTGCATCCCGTGTTCAAGGGATTCTCCTGCCTCAACCTCCTGAGTAGCTGGGACTACAGGGGCCCGCCACCACGCCCAGCTAATTTTTGTATTTTTAGTAGAGACGGGGTTTCACCATATTGGCCAGGCTGGTCTCGAACTCCTGACCTTGTGATCCACCCGTCTCGGCCTCCCAAAGTGCTGGGATTATAGGCATGAGTCACCGCGCCTGGCTAGTTATTTTTAATCACAAAAGCAATGCATTCTCTATTAGAAATGACACATACAAATATTGATGAGCATAAAGTAAAAAGTGAAATGCTACTCTGCAAAGGTAACAACCGTTAACAGTGCTAGACCTGTTGCTGGAGAAGCAGTGTGTGGTAGGGAATAAGTGTTCAGGCTAGAAGGACTGAGTTGGAAGCCCAGCGTGGCCACTTCCCAGCTCAGTGACCTTCGATGGGCTACTTTATCTCTCTCTGCCTCAGTTTCTTTATCTACACGATGGGGATAATAGTAGTATCTACCTCATTGGATTGTTGTGAATATGCAAGTTAATACACATTAAACATACTGCCTGACACACAATCGCTGCTAAAACATCGGCACTATTAATCTTTCACACGCTTTGTTAAAAGCTTACACACAAATATACCATTGTTTTTATGAAAACGGAATCATATGTATTGTTCTGTAATATGCTTTATTTGGATAGTATTCTCCTATGCAGATATGTCTTATCACTGAATGATTAGGGTATCTCTAATATTCTGCTCTTTCAAATAATTCTGCAGTAAACTTCAGCATGTATGTATCTTTGTAGTCTATTTCTGAATGATTGATGACTAAAAGCAGAGCTGTTAGAGCACCAAGCATGTGCATGTAAAATCCAGAGAGATGTTGCTAAATTACCTCCCAAAATTATTCTCCCAAAAGGATGCTGTTTTCTCCTACTCCTTCAGAAGATATTCTCCACTATAAATTCCATACAGTTTTATTTAAAGTCATTTTTATTACTCGGGTGGTGCATGAATGCTTACTATTTGTGTAAGTAAAATAGAAAATGCTATATATAAGGGAAAACATGAAAGTACGCTGCGCATGCACGCACGCACACACACTCACAAACATGAAGACCCCCACTACATTCACTCTAATTTGAATAGACTTCTAAACTGATTACCCTGGAAATGACTGGGAACCCGCATTCCGTTATAAAAAGACTCTGTGCACCATAAAGCCAAGTAAAAAGATGCTGGAGTTTCTGCTAGCAGAAATAGACAGAGAGAGAGAGGAAGAGGTGGGGGCGGCTGGGGGAAGGGTCTATATCCAGATAAGGATTTCTGTGGCCATGTCATGAATTGTATGCCTCCAGAGGACAGTTCTGTTTTTTCCCTCTGTTTGGTATTTGGTGGTCATTTCATGATAAGCAGAAAGAAAACTTTGGGATAGTGCTATTCTCTGCTGAAGGACGGATTTACCTGAATGATCTTCCAATTTTGAGTCTGGGTAGAATCTAGGGTCCTAAGTCTTAAGTGTCTGCAAATTCATTTTACCAGGCAAGATAGACTTCTTTTTGCTTCTTCATGGTGAAGATCCTTGCAATAATCTCAGATCCTCAGGCTGGAAGCCGGTGCATTACCCCATGATGTACTTCTTTCACTAACCCATCAACTTCTATACTACCAGTGTAACACTCTTCTCAACCGGACTGCCTCATATGGGGATATAGGCTTGCCATCTTTGTGTTTATTTTTTAAAACAATTGTTTGAGTTTCCATCCAGGTTTTCTTCAAAGGGAAGAAATTTCCCCTAAATTACCAAGCCAGTTTCCTCTCATAAGGCATTGGATTAAGAGTGGCCAGTAGCTGAGTTTTGTGATTCTGAGGATAAGTAATAAGTCAAAAAGAGCTGTTGGCTAATCCTTTAGAAGGATACTAAAAGAAGAGTAAGATGATCGTAAGCTTCCTAGATCCAGGCTGTTAAAATGACCTCCATATTACCAAGACTTGTCAGTACTGTTAAGGGAAAAAAGAGGGGAACCCCTATATATAAAACCACAATCTTGTTTCATCTATAATACCCCTGGTCCCCCTCCTTCATCTACACTGCCACCCCCACCTACACCCACCACTTGATCATTTTATAGCAGATATTTTATTACATTTTTGAAAGCAAAGGAAACATAAGACAGGTGTACTATTTTAAGATTATATTAACATATTTCATGTTTCTTTAATGCCCCAACACACACACACATACACACACACACACACATACACACACACCAAGAGCTGATCACTTGAACAAATCATTAACCAATTGACTTGCTTCCCATTTCTGGTATAAGCTTCTGTACCAGTGCTTTATATTAATTACCAAAACCCTCCTGCAGACAGAGCATGATACATCTTTAGTATAGGATGATGCAATAAAATGTTTATGCTGTGAAATTTGGGGACAAAATTTTTCATCATGGCATAATGTGCATGTATGGGCACACATAGCTTTGTTTGTTTATTCTTTTTTCAGAAGTCCTTCCAATTCTAAAATGTATTGTAGTCTGACAGTGCCTCTAATATTGGTAATTCTTTTTAAGTTTATAACTTTTCCCGAGTTTGTTTCTGCACTTTAAGGTTTCTTAACTAGGTTATTTCTAGTTGAGCTGTAATTTCAGTGTATAGTTCTCCAGAGTGTTTGTGCTAAGTGCTGAAGTTTCATTATTTTAAAGCTACCTCCCTGAAAGTATATTACAAATGTTCTACAATTGTAATATAGTGATTCACACACAAAAAAATCCCTATTATCAGCATACCTAAACTACACACTAAATATTTAAGAAAAAAAAAGTGGAAACATTAGTAGCTTTTATACTGGAATCTTGCCATTTCTTTTTCAATTTAGAATAGAATTTGGTTGTCTTATCTTGGTACTCTGTGCTTCATGACATATCTGAAAGCATTCTTTTGGCATGGATCTGGAAGATAGTTTTAGAGCCAGACATCAGTGTAGTAGTTCTCAAGATACTGAAAATTCATAACATTCTTATGGGTATAATAAAAAATGTTTACATATTGAATTCTATGAATTCTATAATATAAAGTAGGAGCACACTTACTATGTGAAATATAACTCCTATGCAATATAAAAGTAAAATTATAAGCATATTTCCATAAACAGTAAAAGCTATTAAATCTAAGCATGATTGACAATTTCAAATGTTCCAATATCATTTAGGCATAATACTTCAAAGATTTCAAGCCCTTTTTCTGCTAGCATTCAGAAAAGTAGAGGACAAGAAAGGATGAAGAAAAGCTTACAGTGAAAAAATCTTAAAATTGAGAGAATTCAATCTATTAACTTTAATCTATAAACCTTTTTTCTCCGAACTGGGTACATTGGCATCATTATTTGATTTTAGCAGCAAACATTTGGGTTTAGCTTATGGAAGGCAGATGTCCTGTGGGAACGTGACTTGAAGTCACCATATAACTTCCCGCTAAATAAACATCTGAACTGTAACTTGACAGCTACCAAGTGAGGTCAAGTGTCTGAAAGTGCTGTGTACACCACATAAGCACGTTTTCCTTATGTGAAGGATGCATTTCTAGCAATGTGTATCAGACTTTCAAGTACTCAAAACATACTTGCTGCCAAACTTTGCCACCCACCACTAACCTCCATTTGATCCTTAGAAGGTAGAAACTTATTTTACAATAGAAAAAGAGATTATTTTATTTGTATGATGTCCCTAAAATTATTTCTTGGTATTGATAGACCTAGGTTTATCTTATTTCAAGTTTGCCTTATTTTTTAAGAGGTTTATTGAGATATAACTCACATACATGCAATTTACCCATTTAAAGTGTACAATTTAATGGCTTCTAGTATATTTACAGAGTTGTGCATCCATCATCACAATCAATTTTAGGACATTTTTATCACCCCAGAAATAAAGCCTGCATTCGTTGGCCATCACCCCCCGATTCCCCCAAGCCCTCAGCCCCAGGCAAACTCTAGTCTACTTTCTTTCTCTATAGATCTACCTATTATGAACATGTCATGTAAGTGATATCATTCAATATATGGTCCTTTGTGACTGGCTTTTTTCACTCAGCACAATGTTTTCAAGATTCATCCATGGTGTTGTATATATCAGTACTTCGTTCCTTTTTATAGCTGAATAATAATATGATACATACATATTGCATATACATGGACATGTGATATGTCCATATAATGGAATACTACCCATTCATATAATGAACATATCACATGTCCATATTCCATATATGACATGTCCATATAATGGAATATTATCCATTCATTAGTTAGATATTTGGGTTTTTCCTATTTTTTGGTTTGGTTTGGTTTTTGCTATTATAAATAAGGCTGCTTTGAACATTCATGGACATACATTTTCATTTCTCTTGTGTATTTACTTAGGAATAGAATTGCTGGGTCATATGATAACTCTTCTTAGCCTTTTGAAGAATTACCATGCCATTTTCCAAAGTGGCTGCACTATTTTACATCCCCAGCAGCAGTGTATGAGTGTTCTAATTTCTCCACTTTCTTACCAACACTTCTTATTATCTGTCTTTTAGTTATTATTCATCTTTTTATCAGGGTGGGTATTAAATGCTGTCTCACTGTGGTTTGATTTGCACTTCTCTGAAGGCTAATAATGTCAAGTATATTTTTATGTGCCTATTAGTCATTCATACATCTTCTTTAGAGAAATGTCTATTCAGATCCTTTGCCCATTTTTTAATGGGGGTGGCTTTTTGTTATTGAATTGTAATCGTTCTTTATATATTAAACTTACACCTTGTAAAAACGCTGGGCACTAGACTATACAGGGATTACTGTACCACTTGTCATAAATCATAGCTATGGTCCTCCTTGAGAAGAATTCCTTACTGTAGTTAACACCTGCTCTAAATAAGCACTCTGAAGTGCTTCTTACAAAGGGTAACGTGGGCCAGGCACGGTGGCTCACACCTGTAATCCCACCACTTTGGGTGGCCGAGGCGGGTGGATCATGAGGTCAAGAGTTCGAGACCAGCCTGGCCAACATGGTAAAACCAAGTCTCTACTAAAGATACCAAAAAATAGCCAGGCGTGGTGGCATGAGCCTGTAATCCCAGCTACTCGAGAGGCTGAGGCAGGAGAATTGCTTGAACCTGGGAGGTGGAGGTTGCAGTGAGCCAAGATTGGGCCATTGCATTCTGTTAAGCCATTGCACTCCAGCCTGGGCAACAGGGCAAGACTCCGTCTCAAAAAATAAATAAATAAATAAATAAATAAATAAATAAATAAATAAATTGCAATGTGAATAATGAAACATCAGTGAAAATAAGTAGTTTTATATTATTATGTACTTTTGAAGTAAAACGTCTCCCCCCACCCCCCATAGCAAAGAGATATAATAGCCAAAACCAAAAAGGAAATACAGTGGGATGTCGTTAGTAATACCTTTTGTTTGTCTTAGGTGTGAGAGGATTCTTGCTCTTATCCGTGTGATACATGTTTTGGCTAAAGCTTTGAAGTCATAAGATATGTAGTCTAGGTATTGTAATTGTGCATTTCATATTTCAAAAATTGTAAAATTCAAATGTTAAGTCTTTGGCTACACTAAAATAATTGTTGAAATCCCTTAAAATGTAGATGGTAAACTCATCAGTTATAACTTTTTGTTGCACTAAAATATGAGTTTATTTCTTTAGTTGTAGTGAATAAAAATAAAGTTAATTACAAAAGTAAAGCAGGTAACACAACTATTTGAATATGCTTAACACTATTGAACTGTACCTCTAAAAATAGTTAAGATGGCACATTTTATTATGTGTTTTATACCATAATTAAAATTTTCAAAAATAAGGCAGATATAAATATTTTAATGTCAATTCTTTTGAGTGGACTATTCTAAATGATTATTTGCTTATCAGTCTAACTTAAGCACAGTTAATCACTTTTACACTGCTTTGAGTTAGATAGCTGCTCCCTATCCTAAATTTTACTTTCTAAGATGAGTAATACAGATACTCAAGTTAACCAGGATGTTAGTCTGTGGGTCAGTGATCAGGTATCTCCAAGTCAAGACATTCCTCAGCCGCCCCTGTGGTTGTCCTGTGAGGTGGTTGGTGGTGAGGGTGGGCCTGGGGGGAGACAACTGCAACAGGAGGACCTCTGGATTACATACCCAAGTTCCCTCTCAGGAATGTGGATGCTAAAAGTGAAGTGCTGATAACAAATCTCACTGGTATGAAGTAGATTTTACAAGCTGCTTCAGTCTCAGGCTATATCTCAATTTATGGGGCGGCGTCATTGCTGAAAGTTCTGTGTAGGTCTTTTACCATAGTATTGAATTTTACATTCATTATAATGCTTTTTATTATGAGCTCTAATTCCAAGTTAGTTATTTTTAATTCAGAAAGAAAGTAAATATTTGCTTTCTGGAGGTAACTGCACTTGAGTATCTGCAAGGAGAGCCCCTCAAGTTCTGTTTTTGGGGATCCTCCCCTTTTGAAAACACTAATCGGACCTCAAAACCAGATTTTATCTTTGAGGACTGACTTCCGCTGCCTTTTTTTTTTTTTTTTTTTTTTTTTTTTTGATAGAGTCTCACTCTCACCCAGGCCAGAGTGCAGTGGCGTGTTCTCGGCTCACTGTAACCTCCGCCTCCCAGGTTCAAGCAATTCTCTTCCCCAGCTGCCCAAGTAGCTGGAATTACAGGTGCCTACCACCACGCCCAGTTAATTTTTACATTTTTAGTATAGACAGGTTTCACCATCTTGGCCAGGCTGGTCTTGAACTCCTGACCTTGTGATCTACCCCCACCTCGGCCTCCCAAAGTGCTGGGATTACAGATGTGAGCCACCGCGCCCGGCCCTCCATTGCCTTTTGACCATCAACAAAAAAGGCCAAAGTGAAGCTTGCTGGAAAGGCTTTGTAAGCCAACCATTCTCAGTAATTTTGGGGTTGTTTCATTCGTCTTTATTTGGACGAGGTTAAAATCAGTTGCACATTTGTACTGAGCATTTTGGAGTCCTGTTATTTGAATTATCCATTATTTCCTATATAATTGGAGAGTTAGGGTTAATGTTTTCTTCTATCTCATGTCTTGAATTCCCAGCAGAGGCTACACAAAATTTACTTCTACTTCATATACCAGTTTATCATGGTACAGATTATTGCTCATTTTTATTCTTGAATAGAGCTACAGGCCAAGCAACTTCTTGCATTGATATTGATGTCTTCTTTCACATATGTAAGTAATATATGTAGTGATTACAAGACATTCCTTTTGTTCATTAAAGAAAACCCCCAGGAGACTCTTTGGAGTAAGCTATGGGTAACCCACTGAATACTCTTTAAAGAAGCAAACCTATATCATTAAGGGAAAGCTAAAGATACGTAAGTTTTTTGAAGTTGACATCAAGGAGGGCAGCATTGCTTGGCTGGTGCAACTGCCAAAGACAGGACAGATTATTGGTCTGACGAAGGACAATCTGGAATTGTAAAGAACGCTGATAGAATATTGCATGGACAAGTTTAGATAACAAGGGCTGGTATTTTTCACTAACACTTGGTTTCCTCTGTGTGTTTTGCTTTTTCAGATTTATCTTTTCTGTGTTGAAATCCACACAAGGGACATAAAATAACCCTCAAAAAAATATAAACACAATATCCAAACCTTTTGGAAATTTAAATGTTAAGTATTATTCAGTAATGTCTGCCCACTGTAGTTGGACAAAACCACATTCAGGTCTATGTGTCAGCTTTGTCCCTCAGCCCTGTGATTTGCTTTTGGTGGCTCAGGGCCAGCTCTCCAAGGGCAAGCTCCATGAAGGCAGACAGTGCGTCTCCATTTTGATGAAGGCTTGCAGTCAAGGTCCTCAGTGTGTGTTAGAGAGGCATAGAGCTCTGCAAGGGTAAGTTCATGTCTATAACAATAATTGACCTCCCTAGTGGAAAGACAGGATTTTCCCAAGGAAAATAGTTTGCGGTGTCATATTTGTGGTCTCTCTAGAGAGACAATTCCGTAAGTGGTTCCTAAGCCTTGGAAAATTCTCTTTTACAATAGTACCCACAAATAATGTTCAAAGAGCTATTTTTGAGGAAAGGATTCCTCACATTTTTGCAGGTGTAAGTCATTCCTGCCTCAGTGGAGTACAAAGAGTGATGTGAGGGAAGCAGAGCTGCTGGCAGGAATTTTAAAAGTATACTATATTTGTCCCACATTAACTGTGCTTCTGGGGTATAAAGGTCAGGGATAGAACTGGTCCTGTGGGATGTTTCTCATCGAAACCACCTCTATTCCAAAGCCTTGGTGTCACTAGCCAAGATGTATCTATTCTAATAAAATATAGGTCTCATATGACACCACATTACAAAATACAAATTTTCATTTGTTTTTGTTTATCTAGTCTATTGGAAATGTGTGGTTCTTTTGTAGTTTCAGTTAAGAGTCTAATTTGGTCATTTGCCTCTTAAAATACTCTTCAAGTCCTGTGAGTACTCAACAAACACTCACTGTTGACCAATTTCTATTTCCAGCCACATACTGTTCATAATGAAACCTACTTAGAGGATTTGAATGAAATAATTTAATTATTTTCAATGTACAAGAGGCAAAATTATCTGCCATGAATTTCTCTGGAGTAAAGCATCCTCAGTCCATCCAAGTAAATGTTTCCATTTTTGATGTTCAATCAAGAAACATTCAAATTCAACTGTATTTTTTGTTAAGAAGAATATTTCCTTTGGCATTCAAAATGATCCCAAACATTGCTTGGAAGAGAGAAGTGGGGAGAGAGACCACATGTATTAAAGCACATTTAACCAATTTTACTTTGGCACATTTTGTTTTGCCATTCCACCTATCAGTCTTCTCACAACCGAAGAGCACTTATAAACATTAAGATAGAATTTTAATCTTTCATGGAAGGAGCTTTTTGTCAGCATTGGAAAAAGGGAGATTTGGGTCAAATTTTGACTGAAGGGCCATTTCCTTAGCAAACATCCAGACTCCAGGGATCCATTTTGTTTTATTTTTGCCATTGAAAACTGTTTTTGAGAAAAGGCAAAAGTCAAAATTATTAGGCTTTAAAAGACAGCAGTTTCTTTTATCACAATTTGCCACACTAACTTCGTGGCTTCTTGTTTGTTTGTTTGTTTATTGTTTTTAATTTATTCCAATATTTATTGGGAGGAGACTAAAATCAGCTGTAAGTGTATGGTGAACATTTTGGAGTTAGGGTTAATGTGTAAGCCATTCTGCATTTCTTTCATCACTGAGATTTTTATTTAATTAACGCATTAATTATCATGAAGCTTACTATTTGGTGTCTGCTTATCTCTTTTTTTGAGGACCAAGCATATAAATATGCGAGGAATAGTGTTTTATTATTCTAAATACCTTGCCATTATTAAGAGTTTTTTTATGATTATACTGTCTCAATGTTGAAAGAAAAATTTTTAAAGATTTGCATTTCAATTTTTTTACCTATAGGCAAGACTGTACCACTCTGGGCAACAAACTTAAGTTTCAGAAATTTAACTTAGGAACTTTTCAAGGAAATTTGAGATTTGTGTCAAGAAACCTTTTTATTAACGATTAATGTAAAATTTGGAATACGGTTCTTAAGTTAATGTGAACCTGCAAAATCTACCATTTTTGCCTCCATAATAAGTCAGACCTTGTACAACTTAAAAATGCATTCTGTCCCACGTTTCATGCTGTCCCTTCCTCAGAATAGTCTGGGAGTTCAGCTTTTATAACCTTTGGTTGCCCTTGGAAGGTATTTATGGCTTGGATGGGCTTTGTTCATAATCACTGTGTTCTTGTAGGATAACCCCCCTGGCCTTCTTGTGACACTGAGCTACTGATAACAACTTCTCACGTGTACAGATAATCCAAATCCACATTCAAAAAGTGCAGCGTCATCAAGACAGACTTGAAAAGGCTTTTTTAGGCATCAACAGGTCATTAAAGATAGCACATCTCACCATTTTTCCCTTCAACTACATACATTGTGAAGACTTAATGGGGGAAGGTGTAAGATTTTGATCTCTCATGATCCTGTGTTAATGGCCTGTGGTTCAAGGGTTACTAAGATTGCAATAGAAGAAAAAAAATATAAAAGCAAAAAAATTTCCCAAGAAACTACCACAAATACATACTTTTATACTGCACATAATGAACATTCCCGACTGTACAGTGCTATAATTATAGTCCTTATGTATGTTTAATTGTAAAAGTCACACATCTACCCTACTTGAATGAATGTATCTGATTGACTCATTGGTAAAAGATTATTTATCTTGACGAGGCCTGGTGGCTCATGCCTGTAATCCCAGTACTTTGGGAGGCCAAGGTGGGTGGATCACCTGAGATTGGGAGTTCGAGACCAGCTGGACCAACATGGAGAAACCCCATCTCTACTAAAAAAAAAATACAAAATTAGCCAGGTTTGGTGGCCCATGCTTGTAATCCCAGCTACTCCAGAGGCTGAGGCAGGAGAATCACTTGAACCTGGGAGGTGGAGGTTGCAGTGAACTGAGATTGTGCCATTGCACTCCAGCCTGGGCAACAAAAGCAAAACTCCATCTCAAAAAAAAAAAAAAAAAAAGATTCTCTATCTCTATTCCGTATCTCTATCCACACACACAAAAAGGGACAATTGGCATAAATTCCTATTTTTAGGCTTCCCAAAGAAAAACACAATCCTATGTTCTGTTGGCTGACAAGACTAAGATTAAAAAGTGACATAAAGCGTAGGACTGCAGCCTTTCTATAGTTTATTATTTGTCTCCTGAAAAGGAAGATATTTGTATTTCTTTTAGGAACTTCACTCCAACAGATTTATTCTAAAACAATTCCTGACTGTGTTGAAATAATGAGGTACAGTTCACTTTGAGAAAATACCCTAAAGAAAAGTCCTGATCAATGATTCTCAAAATTTTTCCGGTCTCAATATACTTATGGGATAAAAAGTCATTCTTCTCAGTAATTAATAGTAGCTAATATAACCCTTTGCTTTTGTGTTTATTGTTGGTGTAGAGAGAGCAGAAGGAGCTATGTTAATTTGTATGGCTTTTAAAAACTAAAGATTATTCTGATATCCCAATATTCATTTCCCCCAGTCCTCAACCCTTGAGTGAGATGGGCCTTCCCCATTGAAAATCACTGTGTGAGTTTTCCAAAAACAATTAATTATAATACGTTCCATCATGGATTACTTTAGTGCACTTAAAATTTGACTCAAAATTTTACAAGCATTGATTTTACTTTCAGAAATACGTTTGTGGGCAGATGTGAAATTTTCCTATGGGAATATCAGTCTACCTTACTGTTTTGGGGACATCCAAGTCTTAGTGTAGAGGCGGGTGGGGAAACTAGATTAAATGTTGAGTGAACTTGTCTACTGTTTCTACCTTGACCTCTAACTCTCAGGTGAGGGTGGAAGTCCTCTCTCCTGAATACAGGATAGGGATTGTCTATAGTCTGAGGGAAAGGCTGCTTTCCACTGGGGTCATTTATCCATCTGTAAAAGAGGATTTTTCTCCCCTTAAATATAATCATAATACCCATTATCACTTGTTAAAACATAAATAATAATCCTTTAATAATGCCATTAGTCAGTTTTCAAAAATCCCCATTTCTTTTCTTTCTCTTTTCACAGTTTGTTTGAATCAAGCCATATTCATACATTGAATTTGTTTGACAGAGTCTCTGAATCTGTTAAGTTTGAAGGCTAGCTCTCACATTCTCTATCACCAGCTTTATCTCTGTCTTCCTTTCCCACCCTTCTTATTTGTAATTTGTTTGTTAAAGAGATCAGGTTGTCAGGTAAAATTAGTCTTCCACAATCTGGATTTTGATGATTATGTCACCATGGTATTGTTTAACATCTTTCTCTTTCCCCCAAACCATTGGTTTTCAGTCATGAGAGATAGATATAAGCATTAAAACTCTATAGCTGAAATGGCCTTGAAGATCCTTTGTAACCCATAGCTTTTAAAAGCTGGTACAAGTCAATTGGCCAAAGGATATTGAGTTAGGCAGGGCCAGCCTTTGGCAATGCAATTGCTGCTTCCTCAGACTCAACAAAAATTATTTGTTTTCTTTGAAAATGGGAAAAAGCTACAGGATAAGTCATAAGGCATAAGCATAACTAGAATTGTCTGCAAAATAAGCTTATACACATGGTAAAGGCCTCATGATTCTAAGCCTGTGTCCCAGGTTCCCTTTCAAGTTACCAAGATTTGCAGAGTTACTTCATTATTATGAAGATGGTGAGTGCATGCAGAACAAATGTATTCCTGGTAAAAGAACATTAACATGATGGGGAATGCAGCTATTCTAGATGTGATATATAAGAGTAGGGAAACTAAGTTTTTTTTAAAAAAAAAAAAAAAAAAAAAAAAAGGAAATATAGAAACTAGGGGCTAAACTAGTAACTTGGCCCCTCCTTGGGTTCCTTCCCCACACCAGGCTTGCTGACTCTTCCTCCCTAACTCCACTGCCCTCTACTATGGCCACCATCTGCACCCTAGTCTGGGCAACACCATATTGATCCTAATCTACACTAACTTCCTTTCTAGTCTCCCTGCCATCCGCCTACCCCACAATCCAGGGTCTTGCTCTTTTCTTACCTACTTTTTTTGCACAAAGGTAGCATGTTCTTCCTAAAACTCAACTCTGGGCTCATTCCCCACATTGCTTTTGGAATAAAGATCAAACTTCTCACATGGCTCCAGCTTGTGCCTTTCTGTCTTATTTCTCACTCCTCCTCCCCACCCTCCCACCCCCAGCCCAACCCCACTCCCACCCTAGTGTCTGCCTGGACTCTTTTCCCCAGCTTCTTCACCTGAAACCCCTCCTTACCCTCAGGTCTTACCTTGCATGTCACTTTCTCCAGGAAACATCTCCTACACACACAGTACAGTTAGGCAGCCCCATTGCCAGTCTCCACCTCCTCCAGCCAACTGTGTCATGAAAACAGGGACCATTTTGTTCAGCTCTCCATCCCTGGGGACAGACAGAAATCATCTTTCGAGATTCCAGAGAGTCTTAAGTTATTTTATAAAGTGTTGTGAAAGTCTCCACTTTCATGTTAAAAAGTACTATATGCTGCATAACATTTTTCAGAAAGGGTTATTATGGAAGGGCCGAGGGTCAAAGTTCCAAGGTCCTGAAAGTATTACACTGCTTCCCTGAGCAGTGTCAGACCAGAAAAACCAACACCGGACTCTTGACTCAGGGAAATATTGCACCCTACTGCCAATTTATGTGGTTGGCTTTTTTATCTTTTTAAACAGGCAAAGAGAGCTTTGCCATGCTTTTCCTGGAAAGATTCACTGATTCAATCCTTCAGCTAATATTTGGTGGAATGCCTACTAAAGCCATGGCATGCAATTCTGCCGTAGGACATGAAGTCGTGTGTGCCTGCTGTTGAAAGCAGTGAGTGTTACATGAGAGTTTTCTGATTGCCAGCTAGTTTGCTTCCCTGACAGGCATTTCCAGATGTGAGGAAAGATTTATTTTGGCACTCCCAGCTCCAAGTGGCGTGAGCGCACACACACATACACACACACACACACACACAACATTCACTCTCCTTCAGTGCTTAGGATCATCATCCTCTGCCTTCAAAGTTGGTAAATTGAGTTTGCGCTACAGCAGAATAGCTGGCTGTTGGTAACTTTCAAGGGGAGAAAGGGCATCTCTCCCTCCCCTGCAGCTGAGTACAACAGCTTAAAAATAGAACAATGTGTGTTTGGTGTGTTCTTTTCATCCTCTGCATCAATAACAGGTGTACAGTTACAGACACAAAGAGCTAGATTCACGTCTTCTGAAGCCTCCAGAGAATTCCCAGAGTTACCCATGGAGCAAGAACTGGGCCTAAAATATTTAGTAAAAAGAAAGTAACCCAATATATCTATGTATTACTAACACTGCTGTCTCACATGGCTTTATTCTTCTCCTCCCATAGTGATCCCCAGATGTAAATGCACAGCGGAAGAAAATTTTACCAAGAACAATTCTTAGCGACATTACATACCCACACTTTCCCCAAAACAAAATAAAGTTAATACCTCTAAAAATTGAACTACAGAAATTGGCGTGACTGCTGTGAATAGCAAACTTGGAAATGCTTTGGGTGAGGGTACAATACTGAACATTCAAATGCTTCCACTGGATAATGCAGGTCTAGCTTCATAAACCCAGTGTGAGAAGTCAGATTGATTTGCTAGTTTGCTTTTTATGCATTTTCTAAGATGTTTCTTCTTGTTTTATGACCTCTTAGAAGCACTGACCTCATATTTGCCTTGAGATTGAATGCTTTGCCCATCTTGCTGCACATCTGTGATCATTAATGGTATTACTTAATGAATAAGTTAGCATGTAAATTTGCAATGTGGAAACTGCATCCCCTGCCATCACACTTCTCAGCAGCTGCTTACAATTCTTTCACGTTCCCTCCCCAAGGAAATGGTTCATAACAGAATTGAACAGATGCTAGGTGTTTGGCAGCATTGTGAGCGACACTGGTTTTCAAAATTTAGGTTATTTCATGTCAGATAATTACAATTTCAACAGCTTTTAGGCCTTTAATGTGTGGCGGTGTTCACATAAATACTTAACCTCTGACTCCACATTTACCCCTCCCAAGTTCCCCTAACTTATTTATTGGTTCTGACAACACCACTACTAAATTCTTGGCTCTCAAAGTCGAATCTGGTAAACACGCATGGGCAGATCTGACTTGGCACTAAAATTGCTCCTTCTTTCTAGATGAGCTTTTACAGTTGTTCCTGACAGCAGTCAAGTGTTGCCAGAACTCCAATGTATAGTTTAGTAGAGTTTCCCAAGTGCCTCTCTCCTGGGCCCCTCACTTCTGACACACACAGATCTCTTCTTTCTCAACCTGATGCACTGTTCTGTCTCATGGAATGCTGTGATGCCCTGGACTTGTGAGCTTTGAGAGCAAACACTAGGTCTTTCTAGAGCTCCTGAGAGTGGCATACAATAAGTGCTCAATAAATGCATCCCACATGAGCTGAGGATAATTAGCTAAAAATAAGGAAAATATTGATGCTTTTGTTTGTTTGTTTTGTTTTTGAGAGAGCCTCGCTCTGTCGCCCAGACTGGAGTGCAGTGGTGCGATCTTGGCTCACTGCAACCTTCGCCTCCTGAGTTCAAGTGATTCTCCTGCCTCAGCCTCCTGAGTAGTTGGGATTACAGGCATGTGCCACCACATCCAGCTAATTTTTGTATTTTTCGTAGAGACAGGGTTTTGCCATGTTGGTCAGGCTGGTCTCGAACTCCTGACCTCGTGATCCACCCTCCTCAGCCTCCAAAAGTGCTGGGATTACAGGTGTGAGCCACCACGCCCAGCCTAATGTTTTCTTCCTAATCAGCTTTAATGTCAGAAGACTCAAAATCCACATCTGAGGGGTTCTTACACCCCTCCAGGGGCTGTTAGGAAACACAGTGAAAATGGTTTGGGCATACAGAAAACACTCTGTGAGTGGGATGAGCCAATGGAAATGTTCTCGTGCTGCAGAACACTCAGTGGTAGATGAAGGGTGGTTTGTGTATCTTAATGACTGAGTCCCTGCTCATCGATATCCCAATCACTTGACTTCTTAACACAGTTTATCTCCCTACTTGAAATGTTTTACCTTTCCCCCCATTCGAAAGTTATTCCACACACATTCATGAAGCATTTTACAAATGCTGCAGCCTCCCTAAGACTGGATGCTGATAACACTTCTAAAGGGGCACAGACTCCATAAGACTGTGGATGCCGATACACTTCTCAAGAGGCACCATTTCCTTTCCCCTAGCAAGCCTTGTATAGCTCTGTCCCCTCACTGGATACACAGAAAACAGTCTTGACCGAGCATCTGCCATATGTCTTCATGCTACCTTCCCTTCCTTGTCCCCATTGCATGTGTGCTCTGCGTCATGCAGGGCTGCTATTGTCTAGCTGAGGTTGTTAATTCATTCAGTATTGAGGCCCTCCAGTTAGCTGTGCTAGGTGCCTAAGAAGGAAGTCACAGCACTGTTAACCATAGACTCCAGGTCCTACATCTCCTTCCTCTGCAGAGTGAGGAGATGTTTGCATCTGAAAAGGTAAACAGGGGCCAGCTGAGTGGTGCAGGGGACATTCGCTCTGGCTGCATTTATTTGTAGTAATTCCTGTTTGGTTCTTAAGAACACAAACTTCTGGAGCTACCAGTTGCAGCATTGACTAGCTGTGGGAGAAGTCACTTTGGCATTCAGGGCTTGTTTATGGAGTGGAAATAATAGTAGTGACAGTAATAAACATGTTTGTTGTATGTGCCTCCTGGGGGACCTGGAGGTGAGCTCACGGGGAATCATGGCTGTGAGTGTGGTCTATGTGAATCTATAGGCATTGGCTAATGTCAGTGACTACTACACTCTGAGATTCTGCTTTAATATTATAAACACCAACTTCAAAAGCCCTTTTGGCTTCTTTGCCGGAGAGTATCAGGTGTAAGGTCTCTCTTTGCACTTGCATCTAGTGTCTGCCTAGAGAGGATCATTTCCTCAGCCTCGGCTTGGTCAAATGATGGCATTCTCACTGGCTGTGCCCTGGCTTTGTCACTAATTGTTAGGCAGTTTCAGAGATCGTGTTGCATGTTACTTCACCCCGTTTCTGCTGACTGGCTGCCTCCTGAGTGCTGCTTACTGCAGTTCATAGATGTTTCTGAAAACTGCTTATGGGTGACCCTGAGTAAACAATTAAAAGTCACTGTATTTTCTATGTTAGAATTAAAAAATCTACCTTGCCAAGAAAGCTTGTGACCTTGTAAAGATTGGGAAAACTCCACTTGTCATAAACTTAACCAGTTTCCAACTCATGCACTAAAGCAAAGCTTTAAGCCACTTTGCCTTATCAAAAGGCCATGAAACTTTCATTCTGTCCTAGCCTCACCACTAACTAGTGGTGTCATTTTATACATCATCAAGCCTTTTGGGTTCCTTGACCTCACTCACCAGACCTGGAGGGCCCCGGCCAGTTTTAGGCATTTAATTTTGACTTTTTGATGACAGAATGGTTTCCAAGGGTGTTTGAGATTCCCTGTGGAATTATGTTCACTACAATCAAGTTTCCATTGCATTAAGATGAGTGCAAGTTAGAGGAAACACATCACAGGGTTTACTTAGCCTGGAACAGAGCTGGACGCATGATTGCTCCTCAGTAATCAGATAAATAAGATGTGATTTACATCAGAAGCTGTAAATGACTGAGAACATTGGTGTTGCAGTAAAGATTATACTTATTCTACCTTAAAGTACTAAAATCCTAATCTTGATTAAAGGTTAATTCTATAATTGGTCAGTGACTTTTTAATTTTACCTGCCATAATAATTGCTAGCAACTACTGGGTAAAAAAAATATGCTGGTTATTAAACATATGTACTTGTTATTCCTTCTGAAAGGTCATTGTTATTATTCCCATTTTATAGATCAAGAAACTAGGTCTCAGAGAGGTTGCATAATGTCTCAGGGTCTCCCTGCTAGCAAGGGGCTGAGCTTGAATTCAAACTCAAATCTACGTGTCACTAAAGCCCCCTCTCTCTAGAGCCATGTAACCCCTGATGTGGTATGTGGCCTCTAGATTAGTACTGGATCAGTTTATAATTTTAAAGTGCATTTGTTCCCTTAAGTCTTTTCTCCACATGAGCTAAATATTTTTCATAATTTTTCTGTACTCGTGTACTTAGCCCTTTACATCATGTGTGGTTGAACATTCTATTATTTGGTGAGACTATGACTGTCTAATTGGTCAGTGAGAATCTGACTTGTCTAGCAACAAAAGAACTCCTTGAGAAGAGGAGCTACTATTTGTACATTTGCATTGCAGCCCTGGTTGCAGTGATGAACTCTTGCTATAGTATGTTACAAAATTATGTCATTGATTTGTAGATTGAGTATAGTTGCTTAATTATTCTCACCTGCTGAATTTGCAGAATTTGTCATTCATCATTCATTCAACAAAGCTATACTGAGTTCCTGCAGTGTTAGTCACTGGGCATATAGTAATCAATGTAAACCATCGTGTATTACTATACTTCAAGGGCTGTGACCTGGAAAATCACTGATATGTTATTCCAGAATGAATAAAAGTGAAGTTGAACTTAAGGCATATACTTTAAAAGAATGGACTTTTTAATAATCATTGTAGCACAACCAGAAATTTTTGCTAATGAATTATCCAATTAACTTTTCTGAAGCCTAAAATAATTATGCTGTTATTTCTTTTGCATATGAATAACTTCTGTTTGTATTGATCCTTGATGCATTTACATCTCTGCCCAAATGATATGACATTCCTATCTAGAGGGGAAGGATATTTATTAGCTTATACTTCTCTAGATTGATACTACTGATTCTTTTAGGAAAACAGTAATTCCTGAAGTTACAAAGTCAGGCTAACAGTATTCCCACAAAACATCTTGTAATAGCTTCATGTGCTATAGGGAATTTTTTTGTTTAAAAAGTGCTCCCTTTCTATAATCACTTTTTGGTTGTGGAATTCCTGAAACAATTTGTTTTGGTTATTCTGAAAAATTCTGAATCTTCCCTAATACCTTTAGTAATAAAATAGGACCTGATAAAAATCACGAAGTGTCTTTGAATCTGGCTGAATATCTAGACTTAATGAGTGTTTAAGGCTCCATGTCAACCTGCAAAGATACCTGGTGAAGCACCCTTATGTACTTTTCTAAAAAAACCCTGCCCTGTTCCATACTTTAATCAACGACTCAACAACATAGAAGTCATCTACATAGTGTTTTCATACGACATAAGCCCAAAAAGGATGGCTTCCACTGCATATGCCTGTGATCATGATTCATAATGATTTCAATAGGCTGCAATGCTGGATGGAAACCAACATGATGAAGTTGAGCAAGGAATAAGTGTACATTTCTGCTTTTAGATTCAAAAGGCAATTGCGCAATTACAGGATGGGGAACAACTGAGCTTGGCAGCAGTTCATGTGACTAAAGGCTTAATGTGAACCAACAGTAGGAAGTGGTGGCTAAAAAAGAATGAATGTAGCCGTGTGCTTCCTCAGTAGAAATATTAATAGTCACTGTACTCTGCGCTGACCGCACTGCATTGGGAATAATTTGTTTGGTTCTGAGCACATTCAGGAGAGGCTTTGACAAAGCAGAGTAGCTACTAAGAGGGTGTTGAATCCAATCCAAGACACATTTATTAGACTCCTGTTTTGGGCAGGCAATGTGCTAACCAGGGCAGGCAATAAAGACACAAAGAGACTTTGCCAGTCTCTAGGCTCAAGGAGTTGAAAATTTAAATAGAGAGTCAGACAGGTACACGCATGACTATAAAACAAAGCGCCCCACGAAACCAAGAAGCACAAAGAAAGGGTTGTGGGAATTCAGGGGCTGGGCTAGTGGTCAGATTTCCACAGGAAATGAGGACGAGAGCAGAAGAAGCCTTAAGAGCAAAGAGACAGAGACAGGAAAACCCAAGGCATGTCTAGGGAATGCTGAGAAGTCTGGGTTGCCTGGCAGAATAGGGTAGGCCTGCGTAGGAAATGAAGCTGAAAAAAGAAGGTTTGGGCCAGAGCGTGAGGACATTGACTGGTAGGCAGTGGGAGGCATTACAGGTTGGTGAGCATCTGAAAAAAAATAATGATATATGAGGATCTGTTGGAGAAATGATGCATATTGAGTCTATAGAAAAGAAGACCGAAGTCCCCTGGTAAACGTATCTCAGACTTGCTTTGGGTTCCTCCAGAAGCAAAAATTTATCTCAAAGGGAAAGGGTTAAAAGGAATGAGATTTTAGATTTCTAAGCAGTTTTTTTTGTTTGTTTGTTTAATCAAAGCTGCCCATGGTGAAGACTTACCTTAGAAGATTGTGAGCACCATTGTGGTGGGACTCAGAGAAAGTTTGGTAACTGACACTCTAAACAGAGTTGGGGGAGAAATGCTGCAGCTTCACCAACTGGCCTGGGCATTCTAGGGATTACCCATGGCCTTTGCAATGTGTAATTATCCATGGTTGAGGTTTTTTTCTTTCTTCTTTGACTTAAGACATCCATTAGTATGTCATTTTCTGAATAAAGCCACTATGTTATGACTCTCCAGTTCAATGAGAGATGTCAAACTAACTCCAGTGCAGGTCCCAGGGCTGTGACAGTAGCCACTCACCATGACTGTGGCACTTTACAACCTACCCATTTTTTTTTTTACTGTGATATATGGCTTCCTTTCAAACATGACTTTAAGCAGATTACTATCACAATTCCACATTGGATAGATCAAATGCACATCAATGATTGATACCAGTCTAGTGTGAAGAAGAATTTATTTTACAGAAAATCTCCAAGACAGTAGGCATAATGATCAAACAGTGGGCACTGGAGTTGGAGAGACTTCAGATGCCAGCAATGCCACTTATTAGCTGTGTGATCCTGAGTGAGGGACTTAACCTCCCTGTTTCCTAATCCATAAATGCAGAGTGACCATTGTTAGCCTCCACCTTGAAGGGTTGTTAGGAGGATAAAGGAGGTGAAGCACTCAGCACAGTGCCTGGCAGTAGGCTCTAATTTGACTGAGTTCTTATGGTTTACAATGGTGTTCCAAGGAGCCCTTCAGAGCTAAAAATCCTTTTTTAAAAGCAAAAATAAAAACATCACTGTCATCATGCCACATATTATTAAGGCATCACGTATGTTAATTTATTGAATTCTCAAAAACATCCATTTGCCAAGAGAGTGAGGGATTACATACCTTGACCAGTCACAAGCTGATAAGTGGGGGGAGCCAGGATTCAAGCCAAGCAGCCCTGGAGTTCATGTTGATGACAACCATTTCCTTCCAGTTCGTACCAACACGTTTCTGTTTTCCTCCAATTCCATTCCAAATCACCCCGCTAGATAATTTGATGTGTTTTATTTGTTTAGGCCAGTTTCACAATATTTTTTTAAGTCCTGTTGACTGTAATAAATACATCAAAGGCTTAATGTTTATGTCCTTTGCCAGAGTATCAAGAAGGTCCTTAATAAATGTTGAAAGAGTGCACGAATAAGTGAAAAATTTTAATTGTAGGAGTAATTTATAGTCACTTTTAGAAGAAGCATGTTATCCTGAATGTAACTTCACTACCTTACCAATTCATTCCATTATTTGTGATGAGCCATAGTCCTTTGAATCCTTCATTTAAAAATCATTGTTTTGTACCTGGCTTCTCTTTACCTTATGTATAGTTCTTCTATTCCATACTTCTCTTTAACAACAATGTCCCCAGTTCTATCACTCGCTGTCTTTTTAAATCATTTAGTGTGACTATATTTTACTCAAATATATCCATCTACCAATTGTGTTTGTTCCAAACCCTGGTGACTGTATCTTCATCACTCACTCTATTCCTAAATTCCAGATTAAAGAATTATTTTACCAACCCGTCTCATGCAACTCAAGTCAACCAAATGTTACTTCCACATCCTTTCTCTATACGCCTTCCTAGACCCCTGAAATCTATTCAGGATAAGTGAAGTTTGCTATAAGGGACTGTCCACAATTTTCTTGTATAATTTTTGGGATTCCTAAATACTCCTTGAAAAAAAACATTGGAATATGAAGCTGAGAAGAAACTATGCACGTAAGTATTACAAAACTAAAGTAGAATGTGCAGAAACAACTCCCTCCTAGAGAAGGAAGAAAGCTACAAAAGTGTTATGCCACTACTTGTGGAATATATCAGCAATTATTCAATTCCATTGCTGCCCTTGGACCTGGGGGCAAAAATGTAGCTTTTCCTGTTCCAAGGGAAGAATGTTCTGTTACAATGGTAACCAGAAACAGGGAAGCCGACCAATTCTAGAGTTTACTCCGACAGTGTTTTCACTCTATGCAGTAACACTGCTTTATTGTTTGGCTCTGGTAGCTGAGAGAACAATCTCCCACTCCCTAGGTGAGACTATTCTTTTATAGGAACTATTCTTTTAGATAAAACAACCAATGAGCTTTTAAATGCTGAGAAAACTAATCAGAACTGAAAGGGGGTGCCGTTGGCCACAGCTCAAGAAATATGCTGACTAAGATAAAAGCCCCTTCTGAATTTTTCTCCATCCCATCTTCCTTTGCTTTCTCATCTCCCTTCCTTTTCTCTACGTTTTCTCTTTTCTCTTTCTCCTCTTGTCATTCTCTCAGCTCTATCTCCACAATCTTCCCTTTCTCCTCTCCTCAGCCCCAGCTCTATCACCAAAGATTTCATTTTGCACACTCTTTTTACTGGCCAAAGTGTGGACCTGAATTTTTTAAATGTATTTTCTTATATAGTAGATAAGATTCACATCTCTGGATTTAATTTAAAAAATAGACAAAGTGGTGGCTCATGCCTGTAATCTCAGCACTTTGGGAGGTCCAGGCGGGCGGATCACCTGAGGTCAGGAGTGCGAGACCAGACAGGCCAACGTGGCGAAACCCCGTCTCTACTAAAAATACAAAAATTAGCCAAGCGTGGTGGTGGGCACCTGTAATCCCAGCTACTTGGGAGGCTGAGGCAGGAGAATCACTTGAACCTGGGAGGCAGAGGTTGCAGTAAGCTGAGATCATGCCACTGCACTCCAGCCTGGGCAACAGAGCGAGACTCCGTCTCAAAGAAAAAGAAAAGAAAAGAAACAAGGTGAACATGTTTTATTCACTAGTTGCTTTTTTTTCTTTAAAGAAATACATCTGTTTGAAAAATCTTAATTTCAGTTTCAAGCAACAAACAACTTCAGTCCATTTCAGAGTGCTAACGTTGGAATCTGGTTCCAGAATCTTTGCAGAGTGTGGGTGGGCACAGGTGCATGTGGCTCCTTTGGCCATAAGAATCTGCTGCTTCCCAGCCTCATGACTGGGCCTGGAGTCACACTCCTGCTTCAGCTGTTCTTTGGCAAAGCAGGGCCAGAATGAACTGGTCTTTAACATTCATATATTGCTTTCAACTTCTATGAGGCTTTCATTTCAATTCCTTTTCTTCTGTGAGGGACAGGCCTTCCTTGGGAAGAAAGGTCACCCCTTGAGTCTGACATGCTCTGCAGTCAATTTGAGAAGCCTTTTGGTTAATTTTGGACAAGTCAAGCCTGGTGGTGGAATTCGGTCCCATTTAGCATTCTGCCAGCTAGGAAGCGTGCTATCTCGATCATCTTCCCAAGACAGTCATGCGGGAAGGTCTTTTCGCTAACAAGAAACACAATCCAAAGTAAAGACAGCTTTTGTGGAAATTGCAAACTACTCATCCAGTGGTCAGTTGTAAATCATGATTCTTTTGGAAAGAAAGGGAGACAGGCTGGGGCTCTGGCCCTCAAAGAACTTCCTCTCATTAAACCAAAGCAATTTGCTGCTCTCCCCAGGCTCTTTCTGTGCGTAAATTCACCTACTTTTCCCGCCACCATCAGTGGTCCTGGTGCTGCTGGTGAATGGGCATCATGGGGAGACAGGGCTTTCCACGTGATAGAGGTTTCTTTCCAAACCCAGGCTTTACAGGTAGATCCAAGGGTGGCTTTCGTCAGCCTGTTGCCCCCACTGCCCAACACACACTTTGCTTTTTGCTGCTATTTTCTGCGGTCCTGGGTTTCTAAATCTTGGCAAGAGGACAGTCATTCCTTTGTGCTCGGCTGTTACAATGAGGTAGCCAGAGAAAGGGTCTTGGTCTGAGGCTGTCAGCTGTTACTAATCACGACTCCCCGGCCCATGGTGGGTCCCGCTCGCCTCTCCCTCTTGCTCTGCTTAGCACACATAAAGAAGATGAATTACTCTCTGGTTCCTCTTCAAAAAAGCATATTGTGCGGCACATTCCAATACAGTGAGCGAAGGATGGGCTCATGTGAAGGGTAAATGGGTATCCAAATCACCTCGCAGCGGGGCTCGCGCCGGCAGCTGTGGGCCTCTGAGAAGTGAATTTCGGAGCTGCCCCTTCTGAGAGTTTCCGGCGACCTCGCTGAGAGTGAGAGGAAGTCCCTGCGGTGGGCCCTCTGGCAAACCACATACTGGGAAGATCGCGGGACTGTGTTAAGCTGTCATGAGAGTCAATTGAATGGTCAAGACCAGCGTAGACAGAAATAAAGCTTGACCACTCAGAGGCCGCCATGGGCTGCTTACCCGGGAGAGGCAGTCTCCACCCCAAAGGTTAAGCCAAAGGGCGCTAGAAGTTCTTTGATGTTAGAAGTAGCAGTGGTGGAAGTTGTGCCTCAGTTTCCTCTCATTGCTTCCGAATTAAAGTTCATCCTCAAAGGACGACTGTAGCCAGAGAAAAGGGATTGTCTGCTTAGTCCTATCAGACCGAGGATACAGTGATTTAGTTGACTTTTTCTGCCACTAATAATACTGTCTTCGCCACTGATTTTTTTCTACTTAACAATCTTTCAAAAGAGAATGTTTCTCTTTTGCTTTTCTACACTTCATTTTCTTTTCTTGTTTGTTTGTTTTTGTTTTTAGAGACGGAGTCTCGCTCTGTCCCCCAGGCTGGAGTGCAGTAGCGTGATCTCTGCTCCCTGCAACCTCCGCTTCCCAGGTTCGAGCAATTCTCCTGCCTCAGCCTCTCGGGTAGCTGGGATTACAGGCATGCTCCACCACGCCCGGCATTTTTTTTTTTTTTTTTTTTTTTTTGTATTTTTTGTATTTTTAGTAGAGACGGGGTCCCCATGTTGGCCAGGCTGGTCCCGAACTCCTGACCTCAGGTGATCCACCTGCCTCAGCCTCCCAAAGTACTGGGATTATAGGCGTGAGCCACCGCGCCCGGCCCTGCACTTAGTTTTCTTAAGGAACACTAGAGCTTGAAGAAAAAGACGTGTTGACAAGTTTTAAGGGTCAAATTTAAAAATCAGTTTCCCTGATAAAGTATGTGCCATCACACGTGGCAAATCTGTAAGGAACACTTGGTGTTTTCATGTAATGTAATCTTATAAGGCTAAGCTGTGTTATAGGCTAATAAAATGTCATTTGTGATATTATAAACAGCCATAATGAGAAGGAACCTTTGACCAGGGTGAAAACCCGTGTGAAAATGCTTGTGACTGTGAATTCTGCAAAATCGTTCTCCGCTCTTCATGGAGATGGTTTCATTCTCTTCACCAAGAATCACTGATAAAAGTAAATTGCCTTCTTTGCTCAAAATTCCGTGAAGTGAACCTTTCTAAAATGTATTCCCTTGTTACAATGTCCATAAAATTTCTGTTCAAGTGAAATGACCCAATACCCAAGGTCACTATCCTCATTCTGTGGTCTCCACTAGTGAGATGAAGCAAGTTCTTGGGTATGGTGGACAGCCCAAGATCATAGGAAACAAAGATGGTAGGAAGGGAAGACAATAAATAGTTCATGGTTCCTTTTTGTTGCTGTTGTTGTTGTTTTTAGACAGAGTTTCGCTCTTTTTTGCCCAGGCTGGAGTGCAATGGCATGATCTCAGCTCACTGCAACCTCTGCCTCCCAGGTTCGAGGGATTCTCCTGCCTCAGCCTCCCAACTAGCTGGGATTACAGGCGTGCACCACCACACCTAGCTAATTTTGTATTTTTAGTAGAGACAGGGTTTCACTATGTTGGCCAGGCTGGTCTCGAACTCCTGACCTCCAGTGATCCACCCTCCTCGGCCTCCCAAAGTGCTGGAATTACAGGTTTGAGCCACCATGCCCGGCCCATTGGCTCCTTTTTAAAGCCTCTACTATTAACCAAATGGGGGTTTATGCCAGTGTTTACAAACATTTTTTTTTTTACCAGAAACTACAATAATAAATATATTTTGTATTGCAACCTGGCACTCACACACATACACACAGAGAGCTGAAAAAAAATTCTCACAAAACAATACTTACCTTTACCACATGTGACACACTGTGATATTTTCTATTCACTTTGATTAATTGATGAAAATACTAGTTATGACCTACTAAATTGACTTCATGAAGGCACACATTTAGACCACAGGCCTCTCTTTCATTCCCTTCTCTGCATTTCTATTTTAATTTACTCATTCATTCACCTGTTAACATATGGACAGATAGAGCTATAGCAGTTACTTCTATAGGCTCATCTGCAAGAGGGAAATATGTTAGCAAAACAGGGAAAATAATACAGGTGTGCCAGAGAGAAGGCAAAGGAAGGGAAAGCAATAGGGTGCCCATTCCATGGTGGTGAGTAATAAGTGGAAGTTTTCCAGCCTCCTGGCCTTCCTGAGCAGCTTAGGGCCACCTTGCCGGGAACTCATTCCCAGCTCTGGAAATGAAACTCCGGGTGCCGCTGGGTTTGCATTGACACTCTTTCCCCACAAGGTTTGTCTCTTGTTGTTCCAGACAGAATGAACCTCATTATTTTGGATTAATTGGGGGAAGATCAACCAAAATTAGTGAGTCAGAATTAAAGAGTGTTTTAAACAAAAGCAACTTTAGAATTTGTAATTCATATAGTAACCCAATCTAAGTGTTAGAAAAAAAAAAAAAGCATGTGGCCTCTATCCAGCATAGCAACAAAAACACTAATAAGAATGGCTGGTTATTCAAAAAAATGATTATTGAGCCCCTCTATGTGCAGACACTATGCTAGGCACTGAGGCCACTGCAATGAATAAAACAGATGGTCCCGCTCTCTTGGCACTAAAATTCTGGTAGCAGGAGACACAGAATGAACAAAACTGTCCTTTATCAAGGACCTACTTTGTACCCTGTAAATATGTTTTCTCTAATCTTGCAATGTAGATATTGTTAGTGTATTTTCTACATCAGAAGTAAGGCTTAGAGGTGAAATAATGCTTTGTGAACAGCTTGTTTATTATGTACCTGTTTAATAAGTAATAATAACACCTAACATTTGTTGAATGCTTACCACGTGCTGAACACTACTTTAAGTGCTTTCTATATGGAAGCCCCTTTAATGCCAGTGAAAACCCTATGAGGGAGCTTCTATTTTTCACATTCCACAGAGGAGGAAACTGAGGCTTGGAGAAGCCACATGGTACCAGAGCCAAAAGTAGAATCCAGGTATTCTAACGTCAGAGTCTGAACTCTTAACCACTGTGCCACTGTCTCTTAGATTACATTCCGAGGCTATCACTGGCTTACTAACTGTGATGCAAAATTGTGACATAATCATTCTTTACCAACAATTTGGAATCTAACTTTTAATGATTTGTCTTCGGTTCCAGAACCCTTAGAATCATAGCACTTTGCAGTGTTTTTACAAGCTAGTCTATAAAGGGGCCAGAAGAAAATATTTTTGCACAGAAAAACAATATAGTTCTAGAGAGAGATTTGAAGTGACTTTCTTTGTGCTCCCTCCCCACCCCTCACTGCCTTTCCTGGGTGAGTTTTTTCACCCTCCTCCTCACTCTCTTCCTAGGATGGCAGTGTACCCTGGACTCAGCAGTGGGCAGCTGCCTAGGACACACGGCCCCATTTTTCAATCTGTAATTATGAAGTATATTGTATTTTTAGAGTTTGATTTTCTTATTAAAAAAACTTATATTCACATGAATATGGTACATATTAGCACTCATCCTTGCTTTCCTTGTAAGTTTGCCCATCTTGAAATTCTAGGAGGGTTGAGAACAGGCGTCTTTCATTAGATGCGTGTATGAGAAACTCATTGTGGAGAAGGGGTACATCTAAAATAAAATAAAAACTGAAACAGAACAATCTTCTTGAATCAGCAGTTGCCATCACTCTTTTCTTTCCTTCTGGACCTGTTCCAGTGGCCCTGGAAGAACAATGAAACATCATGGGGATAAGTGGGAAGACAATTCAAAACAGAAGACTACTTCTCTAGATTTTGTGTTTCAAAACCAGAGATGGGAATTGTTGAGGGGAGTACACTGATACATGTTAATGTCCAAGTCACAGATTTTCAGCAGACAGGAGAATAAAATCCATGCCAATGATGGAAACTTGGGAACTTGGCACATTTTATGTTGTCCTTTAATACTTGACTGAATGTATATTTTATTTATCCAAGAAGTCATATTAATTATTATACCATAAGAGATCTAATTTACCATATAGACTTACAGAGTACCACATACACATTTCCAAAACATTCCCTCTCTGCCCCCTAAAATCCCATGAATTTGGTGCATATTTGTTGTGACAAATCAATTGCCAAAAGACTGTCTTTATAATTACCTATTTGCTCAAGAAACTCCCTTCCTTTCCTCTCTCTTCCATGTGATTACTGCCTAAAATACTCAGGTGTTTGAAGCAAAGTTTTAATCTTTTACTTTCTAGAAAGCATCTTATTCAGTCTCCTTCTGATGCTTAACTCATTGTTGAACAGAAATAGGTTTGGAGAAATGATTGCTTGCTTGATAAGTGGTTATTTATGGGTAGACTTGTAGAAAAGAAAATAAGACTCAAGTGCTCACAGCAGCCAGCAAATATCCACGGCTCTCCACCCTCCATTAAACATGCTCTGGGCTGTTTTTCTAGGAATGGTGAAGAATTTGCACTGATATTATCAGCTCTCTAGCTAGTCCTTCTGGTGACCAGTGTTAATCAGCTTGATCTTAAAGTAGGTTTAGGGAATACTGAGTAATGGGACAGAGATTTTTCACAATTATATTCCTCCACAGAATTATCTTCAAGCCAAGTGGCTCATCTTAGCAATTAACTCAAATGCAAGAAAGTTAGAGAAAGTCAGCATGGATAACAAGCAAATGAAACATGGGTGACTCCTGGCTTGTCCATAAAAAGAGAGGTATAGCAGTAAGAATACTCTCTTGGAAATGTGGGTTCAAATCCTGCCACTGTCATTTATTAGCTGTGCAATGCCGGGCAAGTTATTTAACTTCTCTGGTCTCTTGTTTCTTCACCTATAATATAGTATCAACAATATCTGCATTATACAATTGTCATGGAATTAAATGACCATTACCATCAATCAAAGATAGGACTTAGCGAGTGAGTCTTTGGACCACATAAAAGTTAACTCAAAATGTACAAAACACACACACAAATGTGTCATTGTAAGTGAAAGAGCCATCATGGTACTTATAACAATAGTACAATACAGTATTTCTTTGGATTTCAGGGGGGTCTTGATTCTGAAGGCAGGTTGTTTTCATAATAAAGATGTCATGATGTCTTGAATTGGGCTAGTTTAGCTAAGCCCAGATCAAATGAAGAAAAAGAAACTAGTCAAGATCATTATCTTTACCACTTGCTCTGGAATGTGTTTCTCAAATATGTATTTAGATGAATGCATGGCTGTCGTAACACACTCCCACAATTACCTACATACCAAAGTAACTTCCCGTCTCCCCATCACCCCAGTGCCCTTTTCTCCCATATATTTTAAAGTGATAAGGCTCAATGTAAACTTCCTCCTTCCCAAACGTTTAGGGCAGTTCCTGCCAAAGTGCCCCATTCTACAAAGTGATTTAGTACTTTAACCTTGCTCCAGACACTCTGACATCTCTGTTTAGTCTCTGGTGTAAAAAGGTTCGTCTCTCATATTTCTTGAGGTTGGGGAAAGGAAATGGTCACAGAGTTTAGGTGAGGGTGGGAAAGTGATGCCCTGCTCATTTGGGGTTTTGTCTTCCAGAGTTCTTCCTCCATTTTCCTGATGCCACCAGTATTAAGGCCATTGTGTGTGAACAGATTGCACACATCTGTCCTGCTGTTGCCCTGATGACAGTGTACTGCCTTGTTCCTGGTGGTCTCATTTGTTTTACAAGCTAGGGTACCTGGAACAGAGGTGGTCAAGTAACTCTGTGTGGGACTTCGATCCTCCTTTAAGGGAAGGACCTACATGGAGATGTGATTAATGAATATACCTCCCTTACCTTTCTTGGCTGAAAGAATAGCAGCTGTTACTTTATTCTCTTTCAAAGGATAAGGGCCAATATGCAGAGGTGAGTGAGGCCTCTCATTTGATGATTGAATCTCCTTCTGTGCTTTTTGGGAAAAAATGCCTTGATGGTTGTCTTCAGCTATTTAGAATTAGAAAGTATGAAGAAAATGTTTTCATATTGGTTTTTACTTTAAACATTTTTTAAAAACCTATGAACTTTATTTTCTAGAGTCGACAGCCCTGTAGCCGTGGGTATTGGGATAACTTTCCCTATCCCTCTCCCTATGGTGTGAGAAGGGACATTAAACCTCATCCTTTGTTTGCCACTTTGGTTTCCAGTGCTCTGCCTTGACCACTTAGCACTCTCTCCGAATAGCTGTAGGTCGAGAATAGTGGGCAGGAGCATCAGAGAAGAGTTGGCGTGAGAACGGAACAGCACCACAAAATAGAAGGCGAGAGGGAAAAAAGCATCTCGGAGGAAGAAAATACTGCCGCCTGGTACTCCCTGGTACCCAGAGATATCCGGCGTATTGTGCTTACACTACTCGCCGGTTCCACAGGGAGAGAGCCGGAAGAATTGCAGGCTTTGGTGGTGACAAGTTCAGGCACTCATGGGAAAGAGAGTGGGCCCCTTTCTGAGAGAAATCATTTTGAGCACAGCCAAGCCAAGATATTTTGAGATGTGATTCAGACCTGAGAATGAAACTGCGGGGGGATGGGATACTTCGGTTGGGAACAGATTAGCCCATTTTTAACATAGTTGAAATGTTGAAGTGGTGCCATCCTAACAAATGAATACTTAGCCCCGGGTTTCGAGAAAGTGGCCAAGGATAAAAGAGGCTAAGTGCATGGCATCAAAGCCAAAGCTGGCCTCCTTATCTGTGGGAGCTGCAGTTGGTTTTCTCAGAGGCAGAAAGTACACTGAACCTAGTTACATAAGACCCGAGTTCAAGTTCCCACTCCATTCCACTTGGTGTTAAGTCCTTTAAACTGTTACTTAACTGCTTTATAATCTGCATTATAGGTTGTTAAAAATAAGAACATATGAAATACTAAGGGCTTATAATGAAAATTATAAGTGATACGATTCAAATACGAATGAAATTATAAATTGAAGGTCATGGCTTCAATTTCCACTTAAGCTAATTACCTTTGTATTAAGATTTTTGAGCAAACCCAACCAGTTATCTGGCAATCGTAGACACCATTTTAATCAGTACTTTACCTTCTAAATATGCAAATATTTAGAGTTCACACAAACTCTAAATATGTTCATGTGAACAGGGCCACTACCTGAATATTAAACCACCATTAGAATCTGATACTCGTCATTGAAATACAGCATAACCTTTTAATACATTTGTGGAAACACCATTTTAAATTGTTAAAAAAAAAAAAAACTCAATTAACTGTAATTGGATTACACTATAATTGGATTTTAGTGGGATTGGGGAGGATAAAGAATGAAGAAAAGTGAAGATACAGCTAATAAAACAGAAGAGCTCATATTAATATAGATAATTTAATCTTTTGAGAGTTTTTTGTCTTTTCCAATAGTTTTTCAGCCCAAAAAGCATGGAACTGTGTTCCATTAGCTACAGCCTTTAGGAAAACCTTAAAAGTCATGCCTCCTTTTTTCTCTAGGATGACACCTTGCCTGAGGCAGACTTTGAAGATGTTCTGAAAATGAGGGAAAGAGGGATATTTAGCATGAGATGAGGCATCTCAGACCTGTGGGACAAAGTAGAGGAAGACAGGGTACAAGAATGAGAACTGTGCCATGATAATTTTTAAAAATTCTTTGATTGGATGAGATGAAATAATAGCAGAGAAACTATTTGAGAACCTTATAAGCCAATGTCTACTTTAAATGCAAATTGAAGATAGATCACCAGGTGATCAGAATAATAGCTTAAATTGTACATTAAAACATCAAAAAAGAATCCCAAATACATATATAAAATAATTCTTTTGAAAGAATTTAATGGCAGTTAATCTGTGTGTGAATCACCAGAGTGCTTGAACTTGAGGTAAACTTAGATTATCCTGCCAGAAAAATGTTTTAAGTATTTATTTACACACACATGCACACAGGCACACTCACACACGCACTACTCACACTCATAGCTTCCCCAACTAACAGTAACCTAGGAAACAATCTGATTGCACTTTTGGACCATTAGAGAACAGTATTGATTTGGCCATGTGAAATCAACTCTTGGGGCAGAAAATGAGTGACTGCATGTTCACTGACACTGCTGATGCCTCACCATTCTAGCCTCGGCCTTTTCCCTTCACCTTGTGAGATTTGGGGCCAGGTTCTCACAACATGTACGAAATCCCATGGCTGGGTGGGATAAGGGTAGGGGAGTATAAAGGAAATGCTGTTCCCATTGTTTTCCACTGGAGAATTCCCTGGACTGACTTCCTGAAAATCTTCTGTTTGCCTCCACCAGGAATGGCGGCGCTAGATAGTAAGGCATCAGGGAAGATGGGAATGCGAGCTGTAGTCTATTATATGACTACCACCATCATTGCTGTGGTGATTGGCATAATCATTGTCATCATCATCCATCCTGGGAAGGGCACAAAGGAAAACATGCACAGAGAAGGCAAAATTGTACGAGTGACAGCTGCAGATGCCTTCCTGGACTTGATCAGGTATGTCCTTGCAAGCCCGTCCTTTGGGGTGTATTTTCGCCATCCAGACCCTCTTACTGGTTACTATTCAAACCCTGGAAGGGGTGTGTGACTGAACCAGCCTTGCCAGGCTTGAAATGAAGGTCATATATCTTTACCTCTTTCTTATAGAAATTGAAGAAAGGATCCATTTTCTGATCTTGTATGAGAGAGGCGAAAAGAGCAAGGAGAGGATATGGATTTTGAGAGCCTTGCTTTTCGGATTCAGAATCTGGTCACTGACCTCTCTCAACTATGCAGCTCACCTTGGAATTTTAATAATTCTTAACCTATTTTTCTTAACTGCTGTTCTTTAAGGCTAATTTTTATTCAAGTATGCCCTATTCTTTGGACCCTTCTGATTTTGAACTTGTGATCAGTATCATTGCCCACTATGCACAACGCATTATACACAGTTTGGTTCCAGAGGGACTTTAGAGATCATCTTGTCAAACCTGTCCCAAGGTTTTCCTTTCATAATGTTTATGGAGAAAGAATTTGGCAGGTCTGTAATAAAAGAATAAAGGATGGCTTCTTTAGCATTGTTTTACATACAAACCATACGTTGATTACAAATGAGTTTTATCTACTACTTGAAGCAGACTTGGTAATAGAGTCAGCCTTATGTAGAACTGTGAAGTAAGCCAAAATCCAATCCCAGCACCTTCCTGCTTCCTCTCCCCTACACACCTGCCCTTGCTCAGTCAGGTCCTGGCAGGAAGCATACCACATACTCTAAAGGAACCTTGAAGAAGGTTTGCCAAGGTGCGGGCAGCCTTAAAGGAACCTACAAACGATGGTAAGGCCTCAAAGCCCTAACAGTAAGAAACTATTTTGTTAACACCCTTAGCTATGAAGGAGCAAAGGGAACCCAGAAAGAGCTATAGCCTTGGGAGGGAAGGGCCTCAGGAGCCCTAAATGGAGGAAGGGAGCTGCCACAAAATCTGTCAAAGAGAGCTCTGGGAGAATATAGACTCCCTCTGCCCTGTGATCTGTCAGTGCATGTCACTAGACAAACCTAATAGGAGTAGGAAGCCAGAGGGCAAGAGAACCCATGTGTTGTGGTCCATAGAGGCCTGGATCCCAGGGCATAGACAGAGTGGAGAGTGAATCTAGAATGACAAAGGAAAGATATCTCAGCATAGGCTCTAGATGCCCCATCTGCTCAGCATTCCCCCACTGTTTAGTCCCTCCCAGCCTGTCTTCCCAAAGACTAGCTCTTTCCTCCCAGCTTTTCAGCTAACTTACCTGCAGAGTGATTGGGCTGCCAATTATAGATACCTGTCTAAAGGGCCCATTCCCCATTGATCTTCTGAAGGAAATTCCTCTATGCCATCTCAAGGAATGGGGCTGTGGCAGGTAAAGCCAAGAGAGATTTGGGGAGCAGAGGGTACCTTCAGCAGCACCTCTCAATTCCCACCATGGGTGACTTTGCACCATCTCTATGTATGTAAACACTACCCAAGGGGCCTCTTCTTGAAAGTCCTTTTTCAGGGAGTTAATCACAATGATCTGCAGGTATCAAGCCACCCTATAACATTATTTCATACCAAGTTGACATTCAATAGCTATGTTTTTATTTAGTTCATACAATTAATTAAGGCTTTTCACCATTTCTGCATGAACTTTACCCTCAGATAGTTTAGATTAGAAGTATTTTATTATATTACATTTTCTTTCCCTGTAATTTTTATTCCTTGTTTGAAGAATTGGAATCTTGTCATCCCCAGTCTGGTTGATCCATCAGAAGACTGTGTTTCTGCCCTGCCTTGCTGCAGTGAAAAATGTATCCTGCCTACAACCAATCACTTGGTTTGAACATTTATCCTGGAATCTCCTGAATGCATATTTCTATCAAGGTTGATAGCAACAACCTCATAGAGTGTAGATAGGAAGGAAAAGAAAACAGGATGATCTAGTAGGAAGAAAGGGACAAGCATTTATAATACTAAAATATAACTTTGATAACGTGCAACTGCTGGATTCTTGAGCCTGTGATAACTGCTGGATCATTTCTCCTTCTCCCATAGTCTTTCATCTTGGAGCTCTAATGATAGTTTAATCCAATCTCCTCTTTAAGAGATGAGTCAAATGAGACATAAATGGGTGCCATGACTTGGCCAGTGTCACACAGCTGATGACAGACTTCCCAGCCAGAGTGTTGTCCCTCACTCTACCCCCTACAAACACAAACAGTGCTTTGACAAAGTCTCTGAAGAAGTAACAAGTCCTGCCACATGGGCTTCAAGTTCAAATTTTGCAGGTCATCTCTCCATTGGCTACCAAAGAGTTGCAGAAGCTTTAGCAATTCAGTGCCAAAACCCCATTCCCCAGAACGCCTTTGGGAGGCTTTTCTGGAGAACAAAATTCCATAGGCTGACCATGGCTTTTGATTCAGAACATTTGGTTCCTAGACACATGGCACAATAACCAAAATGACCACTGCTAAACAATACCTTAGTTAGCCAGAAAGCTAATGATAAAAGTCATTTCCAGTCTTACTTTGATTATTCCTAGTAGCAGGGTTTTTAATAATATAATGGCTGAGTGAAGAACCCCATTGGCTGACAAGAGGATAAATGAGTCAAGTTTGGACTCCCCTGAAAATATGAACTACATGGGCCACACTTAGGGAGGACCATATATTCTTTTCAAGCTGTAAAATCCACTAACATTTTTGTTTTTCCATTTGTTGCTTGGTTCAATGCAATCTTTACCTTACACACAATGAAACAGAATTTAAGGAGCAAACTTATTACTTGGAAAATTTTGCAAGTGACTATTACTTTCTTTGCAGGAACATGTTCCCTCCAAATCTGGTAGAAGCCTGCTTTAAACAGGTAAACACTCTACAGACATTAACTTGCCTTTTAAATTCCTCTTTTCTATACCAAACCAAGTGGGACCCTCTTTTCCCTGCTCATTTCTCTGCTATAAGAAACACTTCTCTTGTCAACCAGATTAAAAACACTAGCGTTTTCTAGGAATTTTGGGGGGAAAGGATGGTTCTTACCTTGTATTGAAAGCTTAGTAGTTGTCAGACACAGTGTGTCTTGCATACAAATATCTCATTGAGTCTGCTATTGTTAAGAAGGCTAATCACAAGACCCCCCCTTCCTATCACCCAACTCCCCACTGGCAAAAGCCCACCAACCAAACAAACACCAATATAAAATATATTTATAACTTGCCTTAAAGAAGATTAGAGAGATTATTTAGATTTCTGGGTTTGATTTAAATATCAATGGACTGTTTTTTTTTTTCAAGTCTACCAAGCACCTAATGGACTCTAAAGGAGAGCCAAAGCAGAAAGGAATGGCATCATCATTCATGGAAATCCTGCTATATGCCAAGCACTAACATTATTTTTAGTCCTCACATAAATACTATAAATATCATTGTCTTCATTTCACTGATGGGGCAGCTCATCTATAAGACTCAAAGCAATTATGTATCGTGCACAAATTCTCACAAGTAGTAAGTGGGAAGACTCGGAATTCAAATTCATTGTGTTGACTCCAAATTCTATCTGCTTTCTGCTACTCCATTCTGCTTCCATGAAAGGAATATTCAGGGCGATGAGACACCGACCTGGAGGCTATACTGAGGTCCAGCTCCTTTTAGCTCATATACAAGCAACTCTTGGCTCTGTGTTGCAGATACAAATACCTTTTACCATTAGAAGATAAAAGCTCACTTTAACCTCACTTGAATATAAGAGCTTTGTTGCCTAAAATATTAAAAGGGAAACAGACACTCTTGGTTAAATAATATTTCCCAAACATTTCTCCAGATGGTGTCAATTCACTCCTGTTGTAATTCCCTAACGCTTCTGCTTAGGATCTGTAAAACAAACCAAACAAAACCCCAACCTAGTAGAAGACTGGATTTTACACATATAAGTCTCCCTTTGTTTTTTTTCCCCTTGTAATAATTTTTAAGACTATTTTTAATATGTAATGCATGCACACATTGAAACATTCAAACCAAATTCTTTCTTTAAAAAAAAAAATAAGCCTGAGGCCAAAATCTAACTTTCTTTGTTCAAAAACAACTATAACTATAAATAATAAGCGCCTTTCAATCCAACCAGCCAACTCTAGCACCATGGGGCTGACGATTCCAGTAAGTCAGCTGGCCCTGTGTGATATCAAAAATGCTGATTTCCAGATCCTTCAGATGGAAAAAGTGCTGACTTGTACAGATTGATTGTGTTTGATTTGGATTTGCATTCACAGGATTTTGAAGGGAAAGAAAATGTTTCTCCCCAGGTCTAGTTGGCTTAGACCAGGATGCAAACAAGGTTGCAGTTTCTGTGCATGCTGCAAACAGAGTCTAAGGGGAATGAGTTAGAGGCATAAGAAAGCCTGATCAGGATTGAAAATCTGCCCTGGACAATCCATAAAATGCATAAGGACCCAACGGAATAAAGAAATTTGAGAGTTGGTTGGAATAGATGAATGGGGCCAATTTTTTTGTTGCTTGAAATTACCAGTGCTACTAACTGTTCATGAATGTGTCCATAGTATTGACAGCTGGCCATGGCTTTGTTTGGGAGTAGTTGTTTCCCAGTGGATAAGAAACTTTTCCATTAACCCTTGGTAAAGAAATGACCAAGCACTTCATATACAGCAGCACTTTCTTCCCCTAGACTCTAGATTCACTCACCATCACTCACCATTATTACTCTCACTGGTGCTTTCCCTACAATCACCATCAAGATCAGGAATTCTATTCTCATTAAAATCACAGAGGGATGAGTTTACTTGTTTCATGTGGCCAGCATCTCCTGACTGGGGCATCTATGTAGAAACTGAATAGATGATGGGAAAAAGACCATCTCTTGAGTTAGAAGAGAAACCCCACTATAGACTTGGAGAAGATGAGCTGTCATCACCAACTATTAATCAGGCACCTATTCTTAAGAACTAATAACATCAAGAATGGCTTGGAAACAGCTTGTTTAGGGATTTTTAATTTGTAATACCCACTGAAATCTCTAAACAGGTCTAATCCCTGAAGGGCTTTTTCATTGAGCACCATTAGCAGAAATTAGTACAATACTTTAAAATTTGCAAGATGTTCTCCTATATTCTGTTTAATTTGATTATCACAACAACACTGTGAGGTAGAACCAGCACAACTGTTCTTGTTTCACAGCTGTAGAATATGAGAGAAAGGATACCAGGTGATTTATCTATTATACCATAGCATGATCCCCACAGAAAAGAAAAGGACTATTGTGAATATTTGGGTTTATGGTTTTAAAAAAATCCCATTATAGTCATTTTATTAGGGTTTCAGAAGAAAGCAAAAGCACATGCATGTGTTTAGTCCAGCATCTTTAGCTGGATATCTCTTTCCTGTTATCATTTGTTATGTATTTGAGTGTGTGTATGTGTGTGTGTGTGTGTGTGTCATGATTTGTATGTATTTCAGTATGTGTTTCTGTCTGTCTGTGTTGAGAAACTAGTAGGGGTTTGCCACAGATTAAAGAGAGAGAGAGACTTTCTATAACACTCATCTCTGAATACAAAGTAACAGAGTAACAGTAATCATTTTAGAAAATTTGACAATAGGAAAATATAAAGAAAAAAATAAAAATCACCTTTAATCCTCGTTGTGCTTTTTATTTTTAAGTTTAAAACCAACTATGAGAAGAGAAGCTTTAAAGTGCCCATCCAGGCCAACGAAACGCTTGTGGGTGCTGTGATAAACAATGTGTCTGAGGCCATGGAGACTCTTACCCGAATCACAGAGGAGCTGGTCCCAGTTCCAGGATCTGTGAATGGAGTCAATGCCCTGGGTCTAGTTGTCTTCTCCATGTGCTTCGGTTTTGTGATTGGAAACATGAAGGAACAGGGGCAGGCCCTGAGAGAGTTCTTTGATTCTCTTAACGAAGCCATCATGAGACTGGTAGCAGTAATAATGTGGTATGTATTTCCATTTTCTATATATGTTATATACGAGATGGTTATTGCCATCAACATGTGTTCTGTACTGAGGAAGGTGCCACGAGGCAGGATGGCCAATTGCAGTTATCTCACTCTGGTAAGCCCAGGAAAATCAATGAATCTCTGGGCCTCTAGAGGCCTTGAACCTATCTGCAAGCCTCTTCTAATAAGTTTGCTTCCTTGTTTTCAAAAGCTGTCACCTCCTTTTACCCCAGTGCTGATGGAATCTCATTCCTCATTTCTCCATTTTTTATCTAGTTTTTCATTCAAGACATAATTATTGAGTGTCTACTATATGCTAAGCATATAGTGCCAGGCACTGTGGATATAGCAATAAAGAAAACATACAAGGATATTCCAGATCTTACACTCTTTTAAGGGAGACAGACAATAAACAAACAAATCAATCAACCATATGCTTTAGTCACAGGTGCTGTGGAAAAATAAAATAAAATTGCAGGTAACTAGGAGAAGGCACAAAGTTTGCCTTGGATGGTGCAGAAAGGCCTCTGAGGAGGTGACGTACTTTGTTAAGACCTGAATGAACAGAGGAAGCAGTCATACCAAAGTGCCAGAAGAAGGGTGTTTCCAGTAAAGGGAAAAGCAAACGGAGAGGCCCCCTAGGCCATCAGGAAAACTGAGGGCTCCTCATCTGTTTCAGCCCTAAGAAAGAAATGTAAATGGCAGTTCTGCTGCAATATCTAAAAGATTCACAGGAAGTATTACAAAATGCCAAGCCACAATTTATAACAAAATTTGCTTTAATAAAGTTGACAGCAGGAGACAAAGGAAGAGACTATAAATGCAAGAGGAACATTGACCTTGGAAAGTAAACTTTACCCAACGGGGAGAGAACGCTTTGATTGACCTAGGCTTTGTGTGGAGGTTGCTTCTCTTTCATTCTTTATTTTTAATCCAGTCTCCTCTGTGGTACCTGAGGCAGGAAAGCATCCATTGCTAAGAAAAGTACTCAGTCACCAACATGATTAAAAATGCCCTTGTCTTTAATGCCAACAAAGCCCAGAGAAATCCATTTTTCAGGAATTTGTACAAGATGGATATGAACTTGGGCACAAAGACAGATCAGAATGTGGTCTCCACAGGAGCCCCCACTTGGAAGGCTCCTTTGAAACCCTGGCAGGAATGAAAGTGGACATTTATCTTCATATTATTAAATGCCTCCACCTTTCACCTCTTTTATGAAAGAAGCCCATTCAAGGCCACTGAATGAATCTCACATGCAGCTTGTCTAGCTGTACATTCGCCTGCACATTCAACGCTGAGTTATTATATTTCTGAAAACAGGTATTCCTATGATTTCCTGGCCTGGGTTCTTAAAGGACTTTTGAAAGAAGCATTGTATTTTTCGATTTGAAACAAGTCCTCCATAGTTCCCAGGAGACCCTTCTTCTTAAGTGTGATTGGCTTCTCTGTGTTTGGTAATGTGAGTTTGGTTGTAGTTTGCTGCACATATGAAACAAACAGAAGGGAAATCCAGGCAGCGAGGCCTTTAAGCAAACTCTAGGTTATTTCAACATGTAGAAATCATTTTGAGTCTCAGTTTATTGTCTGCAGAAGGAAAGCTCATAAATGGCAGTAGCAGCCTGTGGGGAATAATGACTTCATTAGAACACCTATAACCTGATTGCAGTAGTACATACATGCACATTATTAAGTTTAATAATGAATTTATTTTATGGACATCTTCTAATTATGGCAAGTGGTACTAGATTTCCATTTGTACTATAACATAGAATTTTCTCTTAAAGTAAATTTACTTAAGTAAAAAAGGTGATCTGAAGAATAATACTAAGTAATCTTGTAAGTGGTATGAAGATATGGAAAGGCAATAATAAAAGTGGCCCTTGAATAAGAGAACTGACTGCAAACCTGAGACACTGGTGTAGCATCGTGTGCCTCTTGCTTTAACTTGGGAATCAGGCTCTGATGTGGAAAATGCTTCCAAAAGTCTGGATATTGGTACAGTGGATTCCGGCTGTTCAGGACACTTAGCAAGGGAGCAGGAGGCAGAGGGAGTGAGTGGCATCTGAGGACCAGAAAAGTGACCCCCATGTAGTGAAAGGAGGGCTGGCTAGGAAGACAGAGGTGGGTATCAAAAGCTCTGTATCTGCCTTTTCCCCCAGGTCTAAGAGAAAAACATTGTGTCCTAGAGCAATTCTCAGTGAGGGGAAAGCCCGATTCTGCAAGAATCAGGGGAAATTTATATTTACAAAAGAAAAAAAAGAAGTCCACAGTTTCTGTAAGAAAAGAAGTCCACAGTTTCTGTAAGTCCTAATGGTATCCTGGGCAGGAAAGTTTGGCAGTCAACTCTCTTTTCCCTTTTTCTTATCACTTGGAAATTTCTGTGGACTAGCTTGGTGGAAACCAGACTCCAACCGTGCTGGTGTTGCTTCTCCCCAGGTATGCCCCCGTGGGTATTCTCTTCCTGATTGCTGGGAAGATTGTGGAGATGGAAGACATGGGTGTGATTGGGGGGCAGCTTGCCATGTACACCGTGACTGTCATTGTTGGCTTACTCATTCACGCAGTCATCGTCTTGCCACTCCTCTACTTCTTGGTAACACGGAAAAACCCTTGGGTTTTTATTGGAGGGTTGCTGCAAGCACTCATCACCGCTCTGGGGACCTCTTCAAGGTATGTATGTATGTGTGGAAAATGAGTCTGAAATGTTACCTTGAACCAGGGCCCCTCAAGTAGGGTGTAGGAGAAGCCATTTTATTCTGAGTTTTAAACTTCCAAGAATGATGAGTTAGCTTTCTCATTTCTGATGTCAATCACACCTGTTTGGGATTCAGGAAATGCCTGGCTACATATCTTTTGTGGGGACAAATTGGAAATCAACTATCCTTTCCCGTCCACTTCATCTCTCTTTAGTTGACATTTGCCTGAGGGAGAAGAGGCAGAGTGACTTGGCACAGGCTGTCGTGATGAGGGCATGATCACAAGTGATGCCTCACAGAGGAACCCAGAAGCAGGAGAGCTGCCAAATGACCCCGTGAGGGGACCACACTGTTCTTAACCTGCTCCCCTATTTATACAATTGCTGACTTAGTTCCCTTTAAGTTAGAACATGGGAGAGGAAGGAACTGTCTGTCCCAAAGACCAAACGCACAGACAGTCAGAACTACCAGGACACTCAGCTGATGTGCCCTATTTCACTGTTCTCAGTTCTGCCACCCTACCCATCACCTTCAAGTGCCTGGAAGAGAACAATGGCGTGGACAAGCGCGTCACCAGATTCGTGCTCCCCGTAGGAGCCACCATTAACATGGATGGGACTGCCCTCTATGAGGCTTTGGCTGCCATTTTCATTGCTCAAGTTAACAACTTTGAACTGAACTTCGGACAAATTATTACAATCAGGTACAAGGAAAGAGTTCTATACACCCTTTCTTAAGAATGCCTTTAAGGCTGGGCGTGGTGGCTCACGCCTGTAATCCTAACACTTTGGGAGGCCAAGGCGGGTGGATCTCCTGAGGCCAGGAGTTCAAGACTAGCCTGGCAACATAGTGAAACCCTGTCTCCACTAAAAATACAAAAATTAGCCAGGCCTGGTGGCACGGGCCTGTGGTCCCAGCTACTTGGGAGGCTGAAGCAGGAGAATTGCTTGAACCCGGAGGCAGAGATTGCAGGGAGCTGAGATCATGCCACTGCACTCCAGCCTGGGGGACACAGCAAGACTCCATCTCAAAAAAAAAAAAAAAAGAATGCCTTTAAAAGACAAGAGGATGACCAGGGTTGGGAAGGGGATCCCACATAATCAAGAGGTGGGGATTTGGGGTAATCATTCTATATTTAGGTATTTTAATTGGTTTTTTTAGATTATAGATGTATACACTCATTAATAACAAGGTTCAAAAAATATAAATATGTATAAAGTAAAAAGGGAAACTTGCCTGCCATCACATCGCTCCACATCCTTCTGTAAGTGACCATTGTTCATGTTTGGTTTGGAAAGACTTTTCCTATGCATAGACATGCACACACTTCTTTTTTGTAGTTAGTGAAATCATACTATACATACATGTTTGCCTTTGATTGGTTTGCTTATTAATAGACCAATAAATATGTCTACTTCATCATTCTTTTTAATGTCTGTAAAATACATAGTATGGATATTTCTCCTTTTTAAAAGTGTTAGATTATACTTCAATTTTTAAAAGCATTAAAATATGTTAGCTTGTATAGATACTACTAGAAAATAAAAAGTTAGATGAACTTTTTCTCTTGGGTGAATTTTTAGACAGTGTAAGATAGATGACAGACCACACTGACAAGTAGTTCAAGAATCTGATTTTTGTGGAGAATTTTTTTTAACTATTATATTTGAGGTGTTCAGTGAAAAGTTATTTTCCTTTCCATACCTTCCCCCCATCTCTTAGTTTCCTTCTGCAGAGGCAACCAGTGTTACCTGCAAGTTTCTTCTGCATCCTTCCAGAGATACGCCAGGCATACGCATGTGCATGTGCAAATATAATCCCTCCTTTTTGCTTATTAAAAGTTATTTTGCACAAGGGACCCATGAGTCTAATGGCAATGGGACACTTTAAGCCTCACTATCCAGATCAGCCTCTGCTCTTCATTGTTGTGGGGTTTTTTTTAAATTGTTATTAAAAGTACATTTTGGAGAGCAAACTAAGTCAGATTTGGGGGGATTTTTATCACTCAACATTTTGTTGTGAAATGCCCTACATATAGGGAAGTTGAAACAATATTATACCAACCATCCTCTACCAGATGGAAAAATTGCAAACGTTTTGCCATTTTTGCTTCTTCTTTCTCTTTCTCTGCCATTATGACATTTCACCTGTACAAAATTCAGCATGCATCTCCTAAGAATAAGGATATTTTTCTACATAACCACAATAGTAAGAATCTTAAACATACTTCCAGAATATCCAATCTATATTCAAATTTCCACAGTTGTCCCCCAAAACATGTCTTTTACAGATTTTACTTCCAGACCAAGTTCAAATCCACATTTATGGCCTACATTTGGTGTCTTAGTTTCTTTTCATCTAATCAGTCACCACACATTTGTTGTTATGTTTATTTAGAAATAAGTTGTTAGACTCTGTGTATATGTTTTGTGTTAGTAGAAAATGATAATAGTTGTAGTAGGATGCATCGGAGTAAAAAGGAAAAGGCTGATCAGGGCCAGAGGTCAATGACTGACCTGGGGGTTCTGGGAACCTCAGGCCCAAAGTAGTTATAATGGGACTTAGGAGATCATTATCTCAGCTCACCTGTAACCTATACTTTGGCATATTGATTGAAAGGCTCTGGGTTATTAAAAAAAAAAGGTGACAGAGTTAAAAATAACAGTAACAGTGACAAGCAAGATAGAAATATATTTCTCTTTCATGCAGCACAGCTCTGCTCCACAAAGCCTTCAAGGCTGATTGATAGGTGCTCTGTGGTATAAGAGACTAAGTCTCTAGGGTATTATCATTATCCAGGTGGTCCGGGATGACTCACCACCCCCAGATTTTAGTCAGTCGGAAGTGGGGAGATGGTATACCCTGCAAGTTGCTCAGTACCTCCATGCATGTCTGACTGGCCAGAACTTAATCTAAGCTTCAAGGGAGGTTGGGAAGTGTAGTCTTCATTCTGGGGAGCCATATACCAGCTAAAAGTCCCAGTATCTTAGAAGGGGACCAGTATGGGGACCATGAATACTTTCTGTGACAGACTTAATACTTTATTAATACCACTTATAACCAGATAATACTTTACTATTTATAAAACATTTGCTTTGCAAGCCAGGTCTACACTGCCTTCATAAAAAGTATTTCTAATACTATAAAACTTTGTTCATAAATCATTTTGCTTTTGAATTAACTAAGCAAACCAAACTAAGAAACCAAATTTGATTCTTTTGACAACATTAATCATGAATGTTCAGTAACTTTACAACCCTCCACTTGGATAGGGGAATTACTAGAAACAAATTATTATTGTAACTCTACAGCATTTTAGACTTTGCCTTACAAAATACTTTCAGGGATGTTTAAAAGTGTATAGCTGCCAGTTTATTTAAAAACGACTAGAATAATAGGTCCAACTTCACAAGGGTCATTGTACGAGGACCAAATTAGATAAACCATGCTTAGTATATCAGAAGACACATAGTAAGCACATGATAAATATTAGTTAGCATGATGATTAGTTCAATTTTTTTTTTTTTAATCTCATTTACGGGCCAGGCATGATGGCTCATGCCGGTAATCCCAGCACTTTGGGAGGCCAAGGTGGGTGGATCACTTGAGGTCAAGAGTTCGAGACTAACCTGGCTAACATGGTGAAATCCTGCTCTACTAAAAACACGAATATTAGTCGAGTGTGGGGGCATGAAGCTGTATTCCCAGCTACTCAGGGGACTGAGGCACGAGAATCACTTGAACCCAGGAGGAAGAGGTTTCAGTGAGCCTAGTTTGCACCACTGCACTCCAGCCTGGGCAACAGAGTGAGATACTGTTTCAAAAAAAAAAAAAATCTCATTTACGTTTTTTCTGAAGCGCGTCCTCTTGTGTTACATGGCAAGTCAGGCATCGGCACCGTGCGTATTTTGCAGCGTATATGCTCTACGTGGGGAGCTTTGTAAAAGTGTTTTCTGTTCTGGTACTTCTGTTAACAGCATCACAGCCACAGCTGCCAGTATTGGGGCAGCTGGAATTCCTCAGGCGGGCCTGGTCACTATGGTCATTGTGCTGACATCTGTCGGCCTGCCCACTGACGACATCACGCTCATCATCGCGGTGGACTGGTTCCTGTGAGTATGCTTGGCCTGCATTCCAGCTCACTGTCACAGGGTCCCCCTCTGTCACTCTAGGGCACCAGGCAGCCTGGCACATCTACAGAAAGAACTCTGAGGAGAGGGGCCTCTCGGCCCATAGTTAAATTGTCCTTATTGTCTGACCCCTGGTCCTTATCTGGAGACCGAGCCCCAGATGCCATGTGCACTCACTCCCCTGTCAGCCTAAGGGGCACATCTGGCTGCCACACATCTCACTCCATAAAGCCATTCAGGAATTGGGAAACCCGCTGTCTGCAAAGGCAACATAAATCAGCAAGGCTGTTTCTGAGTTGCACAACATGACACCACAGCAGCTGGAACAAAGCTGCAGGCCCCACATGCCAGCTTAGGCCCTGCCTCTGTGTGCTTCCCATTCCAGTGGGAATGATTTTCCCATCCTAGCCCAATAGGGTGAGGCTGAGCTATGCCGACACTGGGAAGAGAGCTAGTGTCATTAAGTGGAATTGAGTTTCGGATCTAGGGAAAGTTACAAGAAATGTGCCCTCCACATTCTCAAACTCTAACCTCTACAGGCCCATCCCTTCGCCCCCTTCCCTCGCTCTTCCAGCTGGCATTCTCTGTGCCTTTTCTCTTAAAAATTTCCTTCCACTTTTGAAAATCTTTCCCCAGGATGCCCAAAGCAAAGCCTAGAACAGAGTACGTGTTGGAGTTAACACAACATATGTTCACTAGAACTGCAACATGAAAAGAGCTTGACAGTGTGCGTGAAACCCCAGACTGGGCGAGAGGATTCACTCCCCAGTTACTTGGACCTGTGTTTGTGTCCTGACCTTGTGTGAGACCGGGCAGATTACCCAACCACCCTAGTTTCTACCTCTGTAAAATGAGGGTGCCCGTGTCCTCTACCTCCTAGGGGTACTGCAAGATTCAGTGCAATGATGCCTAGAAAGCATGCAGCCTACTGTCTGGCCCACAGTCAGCATCAGTTAACATGAGCACTCTCATATAAAGCTACAGTTCTCCACAGTCTTTGATCTTTACACTTCAAAATTATTGAGAACTGAAACAGCATTTGATCTATATGGGTTGTATCTATTCATATTTATCATATTAGACACACTTATAAATTTCCACTTGTTAATTTATTACATGTTTTATTTAAAGGTGATAATAATTCATAAAATAAAATAATGGAATGAATTTATTATCATCTTTAAACAAAAAGGTTATATATGCTAACATAAATAGCATTTTTTTGCAAAAAACAACCATTTCGACCCCAAAATTTATTTTATTTATTTACTTGTTTTGAGATGGAGTTCCATTCCTGTTGCCCAGGCTAGAGTGCAATGGCACAGTCTTGGCTCACTGCAACCTCCGCCTCCTGGGTTCAAGTGATTCTCCTGCCTCAGCCTCCTGAGTAGCTGGGATTAGAGGCGCCCGCCACCACGCCTGGCTAATTTTTGTATTTTTAGTAGAGACGGGTTTCACCATGTTGGCCAGGCTGGTCTCGAACTCCTGACCTCAGGTGAACCACCTGCCTTGGCCTCCCAAAGTGCTGAGATTACAGGTGTGAGCCACGGTGCCCGGCCTCGACCCCAATATTTAGTGAAAAGAATGGTACTATTTTATGTTTTGCAAGTTTTCTTAATGTCTGGCTTAATACAAGACAGTTGGAGTTTCCTGTTTCTGCAGTTTCACAACTGCTTCAGTGAGTTGTGACATCACACATCATGTAGTCTTTGCAAAACTCCACTATACATTCATGAGAAAATGAGACTGAGAGGGACAAATGACATCTTAGTATTATTATGAGAATGGCTTAAAGAGAAGGCTCGTTCCCCACTGTTGGGACTCTCACTTCAGTCAAACTAATAACTGAACATTCATCATCTATATGGCCTTATAACCTTTAATAGCTACTATTATGAATATTATGTGTCTATTACGTAATCTTGCAGTTGGTAGATACGGCGAACTGAATGTTAAGAGGTGCTTCGCTGGCCAGTTCCTAACGTAAGTTGAAAACTTGTGATGCTCACGGGAGCCTCGTTTTTCCCTCCTCCCCACCCTGCCTGCAGGGATCGCCTCCGGACCACCACCAACGTACTGGGAGACTCCCTGGGAGCTGGGATTGTGGAGCACTTGTCACGACATGAACTGAAGAACAGAGATGTTGAAATGGGTAACTCAGTGATTGAAGAGAATGAAATGAAGAAACCATATCAACTGATTGCACAGGACAATGAAACTGAGAAACCCATCGACAGTGAAACCAAGATGTAGACTAACATAAAGAAACACTTTCTTGAGCACCAGGTGTTAAAAACCATTATAAAATCTTTCCATCTCATTACAGCTCATTCGCTCCAGCAAGCCCGTCATCTTCCCTTTCCTCCCTTCTGATAAGACTGGAAAATAGTCCTCCAAAACACAAGGGAGGATTTTGGGTGGCCAAAGTGTACAATTTTCATCCCACAATTGAAATTTTTAAATCATTTCATGTTAGTCTTACCGAATAAGGTACCAAGATCACAAATAGTGTTGATCAGATCTTACAAGTTTATGTGGCACACAATCCTATAAATGTGATTTTTTTATATAAGTTAAAGAGACAAATAGTAGGCTAAAAACATTTTAAAATCAACTTTTGAAATTTAAAAATCTTTCAGAATACAATTCAGTTTTAGTTTCAAAATGTTAACAACTTGAATTACAACCGGTTATCAGTTGGACAGTAAGATTTTATCCCTTTCTCTTCTGACTGGTATACCTATTTCATTAGTAGCTAGGTGCACATATACATCTAGCACAGCTGTGAGGACAGACAGAAGGCAAAGTTTCCATGTGGCCTTGAGCAAGTCCCATCTCACCTCTAGGCCTCAGTGTCCTCATCTATAAAATGAGGGACTTCCCTAGAAGTCTTCATGGTCTCTTCCAGCCCAGACATCCTGTGATGTCATGAAAGCACCTGCCCTCTGTTTCCCCTCAGAACACCCTGTACCATCCATGGAGCACGAGGCCTTCAGAAAAGACACTTCAATGGGAGTGAACATTTCTAACTAAGGACAGGATGGCTGTGTGTGGTGGTCACCAGGTCCTGTGAGCAAAGTGCAGGTTATGCAAGTCGCCAGGCAGGAGGCCATTCCAGGAGTGGGATTATTCATCAAACTCTTTGCCCAGTTCATCCCAATGGGGGAAGTATTCCCTTCTTTCCTACTCTGGGAAGAATGTCTCCTGCCACTCCTCAACTGATGATAGACTTCGAAAACAGATGAGAAGACTAGCAGCTAGCAAGGGTGCTTGTGGTCACACTGTGGAACACTAAAGAGCTAGGAAAGAGTTGAGCACAGGCAACATTACAAACAAAGGATTTGAAAACACCAAGAGTACAGGTCTTCTTTAAGGAAGAATAAAAAAGAAGAGGTTCATTTTTCTGGCTTTTTTTTTCACCTGAAACACTTTTTCTCGAGTCCAAAATCATTCCCCCCGTGAAGTCTGCTTACCAAAACATAAGACGACTTATATATTTGAAAGAAGTCAAATGAATGAGCTCTCTAATAGAAGTCCATGAGTTGAGTGGGTATTTCTTATTTGAAAGTGTTTTTCTTTAATCAAAAGTCCTTAGAATGAGGGAAACAAAATATTTATTTGTTTTGGAATCCCACTTATCAAATCATTCAAAACTTTCAGCTGGAGTGGGGTTTGCTTTTGTTTTGTTTGTGTCCATAAGAGAAATGGTAGAAGATGAATCAGTATGAAGACACTGTCAATGAGGTTATGAGAAAAAAACAGCAGGGGCATTAGTTTCAGGCAAGGCAGCTCCCAGGTTTAGAGATTAATTTTTACCCCCTAAGGAATATCCAGTCAAAGACGCTGAGTGGGAGCTGTCAGGCAGTAGCAGCTGTGTTTGAGTTTCTGGCTGAAAATGGTGAAGAATGGACTTAATTATGCTAACAAACTGAAAAATCTAGACATAGATCCTCTGATATACAATTAGAGATATTTTTATATAGACCCCAAGCATTCTGTGCATAAAAGTTAACATTAGGCTGTGGTGCAGTAACCATTTAATGTCGAGGCTCTATTTCGGAAATACACTACAAATGTTAAAGTACGTGGCTGTCCTCTTAAGACACTAGTAGAGCAAAGACTTAATCATATCAACTTAATTCTGTTACACAATATGTGTTTTTTAATATACTAACCATTTCTTATGGAAAGGTCCTGTGGGGAGCCCATCCTCTCGCCAAGCCATCACAGGCTCTGCATACACATGCACTCAGTGTGGACTGGGAAGCATTACTTTGTAGATGTATTTTCAATAAAGAAAAAAATAGTTTTACATTAACATCTTTGCACGTTGTTGTTATTCTTCTCCTCAAAGAAAAATACATTTTCCATTCATGGAAATATTACAATAAGCTCAGGGCAGTCTCTGGAAGGATCCCATGCAGCAAGGTAAAATCTTGGCAGAGCCAGCCACAAGAAAATAAGTAAGGACATGCTCTCCTGCTCAACTCCAAGAACTGGAGCTGGAAACAGGAGGAGGTGAGCGGAGCACTTTGCTGTAGCAGGCCATACTTCCTTGTCCATGTCAGATTCAAATTTCTCAGATGAATTGAATCATTTCCATGTCGGGATTAGAAAAGTGTGATACCACCATGGGCCCTTCCGAAAAAGTAACTTCCTGTCTGACCTCCAAATTAGGTAGATTTATCTCTGTGATTATTACCACCATTTGTGAAAAGAGCTAACTAAGATCTCAAGGGATTTCCAGAAACAGCCATTGTGCTGGTGCTCTATTCATTAAGAACAGCTTACGGATGACTACTTTTCATCATGCTTTTTAGTAAAGAATTCGCAGGCAATATCATGAAATCTCCAGATTGAAGTAGTGTCTGGAGCCTATAATCTGACCCTCTCTACCAGCAGGTGGCAGCCACCTAGAGGAAAGGCTCTTAAGTTGGATCCATGGACCCCTAGGTCATCCACATGAGAGTTCAATAGGTTCATCGCCCTTGAAGTTGTGGGGAAAGTTTTGTGCATTTGCCTTTTTCTGGGGGTAAAATTCTTAATTTCAATCGGTTTCTCTAACAGATCTTACGACTAAAAAAAAAAAAAAATTTACAAATCGCTATGTTTGAACCATACACCCTAACTTTTGTGAAGGCATATGTGGTATTTACATGACCAGTTTGGGAAAAGAAAGGCTGCTCACAAACTGAGGGAACCAAGCCTGGCCACCCTGAGCAGATCAATATTTGCCCCCTGTGAAACGTTCTGGGAAGTGCCGCATAAAATCAATCCACTGCTAGGAAGTGCTCCCTTCTGCCGGGACCATTTTCTTCCCTTCTGCAGCCCACGCTGGGTTTTGGCCACCTCCACAATGCAGACATAAGAAGCAGGTCATCTGCCTGTGGGAGGTCTGTGGAAAGCCCCTTATGGTTAAGGGAAGTGCCTCTCAGCCAGAGTATGACAAAGAGGGTGGAGAAGCAGGCCTTAGATCCCAACATGTGGTAGTCACACATGTGCTCACAAATGGAACTATGAAAAATATGCAGGTTCACAGCTTTTTTTTTTTTTTTTAAGATACAGGGTCTCACTCTGTGATTATGGCTCACTGCAGCCTCGAACTCCTGGGCTCAAGCGATCCTCAGCCTCCCGAGTATCTAGGACCATAGGCTCACACCACCACGCCCAGGCTAATTTTTATTTTTATTTTTTGTAGAGACAGGATCTCGCTATGTTGCTCAGGCTGGTCTCAAACTCCTGGCCTCAAGCCATCCTTCTGCCTCAGCCTCCCAAAGTGCTGGGATTACAGGAGTGAGCCGCTGCACCCAGCCTCTGGCTGACATTTTTTAAAATGTTTCTTATAAGTTATTACATTTAACAAAATATTTAAATCCTACCCTCAGAAGTTAGGAGTCTATGTCCTCCTGTATCCACATTCATCCTGGTACCACCACTGTCCCTTCCCACCCAAGCAAAATTCTCCTTTTCAAGAGAAAAAATCTCACTTTACCTCACTATACCTATAAGTAAAGGCATAGAAAAAAAAGTAAAATCCTTGACTCATCTACACAGTGTTGAAAACAGAAGTGTGAGTTCTGTTAGCTGAACGGGCCTGGAGGAAGCGTGGCGGGAAGGCTGGATCCCCGCCGCAGGGGCTGCGGGGCTGTGGCTGCCTGCGGGCTGGGCAGGGCCGGGCGCACGCCCTCCTTCCGGGTGGCCGCGGGCCCCGACCCCAGGCTGCCGTCAGTCGAGCGGCCTCCGCAGCGGCCGCGCTTCCCCTTCTCCCACCCGGGTGGTCCCAGAACTGGAGCAACAATGGCCGGCTCTGTGTGGCCGCGTCCTGGGGCCAAAGCAGTCGGGACGTGTCACGCCGAGGGAGGGCTCCGAATGAATACGCTGACAATAAGAAGGAAGGGAGAGCGAGGGAGGTGATGGGCAGCGTCCTAGAGGGAAAGCGGGAGATGAGAAATCTACGAGATCCGCGAGGCGGCGTCCGGGGAGCGAGCCTCATAGTGGCCACCAGGGGGAATGCGGAGCTCACCTTGGGCCGCTTCCGCGGGGAGCTCTAAAGGGAGCTGGGGCACTTCCTCTTAGAGATCTCACTTGGGTAACATCGAATTCCAAGTCTGCAGTGCCGAGAGGGAGCAATCTGTGAAAGCCATCAAGTCAGGTTTAAAATTCCTCAGTGCCCCCATGTCACTTTTCCCTCTGTTCACCCTGCTTCTTCAATAGCCTCCCCAGAGGACCCCCTTCCTTTCTGGGTATCCTGTTTTGTCTCCCTTGTGCCTCATCTCCCTTCTCTCCCATCTCCTCTTCCGGATTCTCATCTCCCTCTTCTGTCACTTACATGTTTTGCAGCTACAGACAGGTACTCAGAAGGTGGCATGGTAACGGTTTCCTGCAGGTCATGTCTCATCGTGCCCACAAAACTGCTGTCTCAACCTTCAATTTTGAAACATTCACAGCATGCTGAATTCCACATATAAGTAGGGTTGTCAGATAAAATACAAGACACACAGTTAAATTTGAATTTCGGGTAAATAACAATGTTTTAGTATGAGTATTAAATAACAATGTGGTGGTGTAAGTATGCAAAATACTGCATGGGGCATCCTGTAATTTTATGTGTTAATCTGGCAACCCTCTAGACACTTGAAATGTGGAACTCAGAACAATTTGTATTTGCTTCAATGAAGCTGATATTATAGGTGAAAGAGGTTGCTTGGAGTGGGGGGATCTTCATTATAAAATAATCACCCCCATTTTGAATTTTTCTCTGAAAGCAAAAACATGCTTTAAAAAGCAATTTAGATCTAACATCTCCTACTATTAATTGTTCTGGTGACATTATCACTTATTATGTGCTTGTAAATCTTGTGGCCATAGTTAAAAAGCTTGATGAATCACCTTTAGGATTTCACAAAACTGTCTTGAATAAATTAAGCAATACCTCAGTTATCCATAGTTGAGATATTTAAGACTGACATCTGCTTTTGTTTTCTTCCCTCTCCTATTTTCTTCTTTCCTTCTCTCACTCCTTACTTCTACCCTCCCCACTGCCCCAACATAAAATATTTTCTGTAATCCATTACAGGGCTGAAAATTTTGGCATTCACATATTGTTCTCCAAAGACGGACACATTTTTTTCATTTGGGGAGCACCTATTAGAAAAGCACCCATTTTTTTTCATATTGTGCTATTCAAAGTTGATTATTTTCCAGTCTCTGTAAAGTTGAGAATGAGGCATTTTTCAGTCTCTTCAGGGAACTCCAGCCTCCATGAATGGGAATCATTCCCAAAAAAAACCCCTTTTTAAGCCAAGTCTGAAGGATATGAAAAAACAGGACCCAACTGACACCGCACAAGGGGAACAAAATCAAATCATAAACTCTTTCCAATAATGACATATGCAAAATCATGTAAAGATGGTAGTGAGTGTCCTAGAAGATGGTGTCAGATGACAACTTTTTTATTTCTTTTCCAACTCTTAGCTTCAGAGGATCATAAGTCCTGGAAGCAGCCAGCCAGGAGCTTCCAGACATAGCTGTCACAGGGGAAAATAAAGACCATTTGGAAGTCAGCTCAGCCCTGCACAATGAACTGATGACTGGCCTGCCCTGGGGAGAACTCAGCACGCAAAGATTTTTGTCGGCAACACAAACCTCTGAATGCTATAACCAAATTCCCCTGCCCTTGGCACTCCAGTGCCTCAGTGAGGCCTTCTTTCATTTAAGCCCATGAGGAGCTGTTAGCTAAAGAAGTGGAAAACAAACATGAGAAAGTCAGCAGGCATGTTAGAAAACTCACATGGCTAGACTAAAAATAGCTTTACGCTTCCTAAAACTTAAAGGCCTTCCGCTTCAGAGTGGTGGTTGAACTCAAACTTCTACACGGGGATGGGTTGAATCCACACTTGTTATACCTGAATTCTTAAGCAGTTCAGAGACCCTGGCTGGTCCATTCCCTGCACCTCAGCATCCTCATCTGTAGATGTGGGGATTGCATGAAACCTACCGTCTCCAAATCAACTTTCATATCAAGTGTCTGTGTATTGGAGGGGATGCTAGAGTTAAAACGCTTAGTTAAATGGTCAACTGCCCTTAGCATATGATAGGTTAAACTTCAACTTCCCTATCGTAAATGGGTATCATAATACCTTCTTTATTATGGTGTAATGAGAATTAAATAGATAATAACTAGATATAAGATTCTCAGCACAGTTCCTGGCACTCAGGGAGATTCTTAAGATGTTCAGAACAACACTGGCTCAGTAGGGAGGAAGAGGCACGGGGTGACGCTGGAGGAAGGGAGAGTGGCTCCCGGTGCCATCTGGACCTGCTGTGAGCTGGAAGGAACTCCCCGAGGAGGCCACAGACCTACATTGCCCGGGGGGGACGCTTTGCGGAGGTCGTCACCCCTGGAAACCGGCATCATGAGACACTGCCAGGCTTCTTCACGGAGGGGCCCGGGCCTCTGCGCCCGGGGCGGCCCAGCAACCCCTGCTCGCCTCCGCAGAGGCCTTTTGTCCCGCGGGCTCTCCCAGCGGCCCCGCGCTGCGTGGCCGTTTTGTGAAGGGCACAATCCGATGTTCTGAGGAGACCACCCAGCTTCCTCTCCCAGAGTCTACCAGAGAACAAAACCGCCCCTTCGTGTGCCAGCGACCTCCCCTTCTGCCAGACCCCCTCCCACTGGCCTCCTCCCTGCCCTGCCAAGCGGGGACGGAGAGCCAGCCGGCCCTGGCCCGGTGGGAACCCAGTTGATGGTGCGCTTATTAGCTGTCCTGAGCGCGGGGACAAACTTTCTGTACCTGGGCCGCTGCTGCCACCCTGCGGCCAAGACCTTTCTCTAGGCCCCGATGACCCAGAGCAGCCCGGACCAGACAACGTGCAAAGAGGAGCGCTTACAGCAAACTCCTCCCTGAGGGGCTCAAGGAAGGCTGGAGAGCCAGGAAACAGTTCCGATGGCTGAAGGAAAAAGGAACTCATGCTCTGTGGCCACAGCACTGATTCTCAAAGTGTGGTCCCACAACCAGTATCAGCATTCCCTGGGAACTTAGAAATACAAATTCTCAGACACCACCCTAGACCTACTGAATCATAAACTCAGAGGGTAGACCCCAGCAATCTGTTTTTTGGTTTGGGGGAGTTTTTTAGAGATGGATCTTGCTGTGCTGCCCTGGCTGAAGTGCAGTAGTTATTCGCGGGCACAATCATAGCGCACTGCAGCCTGGAAGTCCTGGGGCTCAAGTGATCGTCCTGCTAAAGCCTCCCAAGTAGCTGGGACTACAGGTGCATGCCACCTTGCCCTGCCCAGCCATCTGTCTTAAGAAGCTGACCAGGGGATTCTGATGCACACCCAAGTTTGAGAACCACTGGTCTAGACTCTAAAAAGAAACAGACCTCAGAGGTGACAGAGCAGGATGCTAATCCTGGCTTTGCCTATGAGCTGTGTGACCTTGGGCAAGTTTCTTAACCTCTCCTTGCCTCCTCTGATTCCTATCATGATGAAAATCATTCCTAATTTCCAGGATTGTTGAGGATTAGATCAGAAAGAAAGGTGAAGTCACTGACATATATTCGTGCTTGATAAAAGGTGCTTGCTTCCGGTGTTATTATAATGGGGTCATAAATGTGCCCGCATTAACACTAGAATGTACAGAGAAAACACAATTCCTCTTTTCATTTATTTAGCAGGTATTTATGGGATGCCTACTGTAATGGGCAATGTTGATAAAGCCCCTCCCTCCAGGGAGGTACATTTTAATATCTGTGTAATATAGGGTGCTATGGACTGAATTGTGTTCTCCCACCCTTCACCAACATTCATATGTCAAAGCCCTAACCCCCAATGTGACTATATTTGGAGATGAGGCTTATAGGAGGTAATTAGGGTTAAATGAGGTCACAAAGATGGGGTCCAAATCCAATAGGATTGGTGGCTTTCCAAGTACAAGGAGAGAGAGAGAGATCTCTTTCCACAAGCACACACCAAGCAAAGGCCATGTGAGGACACAGTGAGAAGGCAGCTGTCTGCAAGCCAAGAAGAGGGCCCTACCAGAAATAAGTCATGCTTAGAGGGTCAGAGGGTCAGACAGAGGCATTCCAGTGAAAGCAACACCGTAAACTGACGTATCTTCCTCTCCCCACACCTCTGCGAGGCAGTTCATCCAGCACGCTGCTTTTGAGCATCGATGTGGCTGGACTACACAAGCAGGATTACTCTATTCTTAAAGATTCCCAGTTGCTGGTTTTAGAACTTAATCCCCCTTCCACATTAGAAATGCCCTCCTTTAGTGAAATTGTAAAGTTCTCTTACCACATATAGTATAAAAACCTTCAAGTACAGAAGGGAAAGGCATATATAGCCTGGGCTGGGCACGGTGGCTCACACCTATAATCCCAGCAACTCGGGAGGCCAAGGCAGGAGGACTGCCTGAGCCAAGGAGTTTGAAGCCGCAGTGAGCTATGATCGTGACATTGTACTCCAACCTGGGCCACAAAGCGAGACCTTGTCTCTAAAAAAGAGAGTGAGAGACAGGAAGGAAGGAATGAAAAAAGGGAGGGAGGGAAGGAGGGAGGGAGGAAGGCTGTTGTGTAGCAGGTGCCTCACAGTGATCCTGTGAATAGACAGAATTCTCCTCATTTCACACATGAAAATGTTGAGGTTCAGAAAATAAGCAGCTTACTCCAGGTAAAAATCGCAATTTGAGTCTCTCTCCAAATCCAAAGCAGGTGTTTTTCCCCTTAGACTGTTTTAACCATGGAAATTATGTCTGGTCAAGCACTGCAAACCAAGAACTTCATCTGAAACATACTGTGGTAATATCTCCTAGGCCAGTGTTTCTCTTTTTTTTTTTTTCTTTGAGACGGAGTACTGCTCTGTCGCCCAGGCTGGAGTGCAGTGGCACTATCTTGGCTCACTGCAACCTCTGCCTCCCGGGTTCACGCCATTCTCCTGCCTCAGCCTCCCGAGTAGCTGGGACTACAGGCGCCCGCCACCGCGCCCGGCTAATTTTTTTGTATTTTTAGTAGAGACGGGGTTTCACCGTGTTAGCCAGGATGGTCTCGATCTCCTGACCTCGTGATCCACCCGCCTCGGCCTCCCAAAGTGCTAGGATTAGAGGCGTGAGCCACTGCACCCGGCCTAGGCCAGTGTTTTTCAAACTGTAGGTTGTCAGTTTAGAGGGTCCCAATTAGTATTTTTTAGTGAAAGAATAGAGCAGAATAGAACAGAAAATATCACATGTATTAAAGTATTGTTTCAGGAAATTTTTATTATAATTGTGCGCATGTGTGTATAGGCTTGTAACTTGAGTAACTTCCATTTCATGATTAATAAGTGTAAAGCCACAGTTCCAAGCTTTTTCTGATCAATAATCCATCACCAATCAATAATTTTTCCACCCCTTGAATTCAAGAGTTTGACTGGCTTGCTGTTTCCAGAACTGATCACCTTCAAGGAGCTTTTATCTTCCAAATACAAACTGTTTCTTAGGAAGTGATGCTGTGGACTTTCATATTAAAGAGCCAAGTGTTCTACCACCACACATTTCCAAATTCAGTTCTGGGTTCTGTAATATATGTTCTTCTGACCTAGCCTTCCAAAATCACCCCACACTGATGAATGTGAAGATGGGCACCAAGACCAAGTTAAGCTTCTCTTAGACAGTACCTGCTGGTGCTGCTTGCCAAATGAATAAGCGTGCCCTGGCACCTAGCTCTGGAAACAACCAAGTAGAGGAATCTCTTGTTAGCACTGACATCTGGTGGTCACTGAGAGGCCAGCACCCCAGCATCTTGAACTTAAAAGTATGCACCTGGGAACCAGGCACCAACCCCGACGACTCCAGCAGAATTGATTCCTCGTCCCCCTCCTCTCCTGGACCACCTACCTTCTCCATGCAGCTGGACTCAGCAAGCTGGAGAGAAAGATCAAGGATTTAGAGTCGGATGCAGCCAGGGTCCACAGCCTAACACGTGATCCCAGGTAAACTATCTAAACTCTGTAAGACTCAGCTGCAAAATTGGGATAAGAAAACAATCTACATTGGGCATTGGGGTATCTTATTTAACTCTCAAAACAACTTCTTTGATGTTAAGTTCCACATACCTATTAAGCATCCAAATGTTGATTCCCTTCTTCCTTCTGTCATTTTATTTAAGGCACGCTCTATTCCTTCAAAGTCTTGAGTCCCACTTCCTTTCTATCATTTTTTGTCTGGCTTACTCCATTGAAATAATAGCTAATATTTATGGAGTGCCTACTATGAGCCAGGTGTTGTTCTGAGATGTACACTGTTAAAATCGAGCTATGTCAGCCCTCTGAAGTCAAGACTATCATCTTCCCTCTGTTTCACTGATGAAGAAAATGAGGTGGGGTGAGTTTAAGCAGGTTGCCCAAGGCCACAAGTCTTGGGACTAAATTTTTAAACCCAACACTGTAGCTCCAGAAGGCACACTCTTAACTTTTGAGCTGAATTTGACTCTTTGCCTTCTGTTGTAATAATAGCTAATGCTTATTGAGTGATTATTAAGTGCTGGGTTCTTATATATATTATCTCATCTAATCTTTACAAAAACCTATGAGATCATTATTATCATTATCTTCATTCTACAGATGAAAAAAACTGAGGTTAAATGATCCGCCCGAGGTCACGAAGTCAACAAATGGTGAAATTGGAATTCCAACTTGGATAGTTGGATTCTGTAGTCTTTGGCCTTAACCATCCTTCTCCTGGAGGGGATGCTGGAGTTATGTAGTTCCAGCCTCCCAATGAGCCTGTGATCTCGAAGGCAGAGCAGTCTCTGCTGGTAGAAGGCACTTCCTTGCCAGATGGTTGATGACAGTGATAGTGATCTGGCTACGCTGGTGAGGCCAGTCCTGCCTTTGTGGCTGCACAGTAGCGCAGCTTCAAGGAGAGGTCAATAGAAAGGCCTCAATGACTCTCAGGTGACTCTCAGCAGATTTCCTGCCCAGTGTCTAAAGGCAAGGGACAATAATACTGACACTAAGAGAGCTCTCAATTCAATGTGCCATCCCTGACATGGGTTCTTGTCATTCCCTTAATTTAAACTCTGCAGTGGCTTCTCATGGCTCCAGGATAAAGTATAAATTCCTGCACGGAGTGTCAGGGTCTCTGATTACTGAACCCCTGCTTCCCTCTCCATCCTGATTTGCAGTCCTCGCCTCTGTTGGAAGGAAATAGCCACAGAACAAACTTGCCCCCCATGGCACTGTGCTCTCATAACTCCAGGCCTTAGTTACACATGCTGGTCCTCATCTGGAAACATCACCTCCCTACCCCAACTGTCCCCTCGCACCCCAAACCACTCGGCCCACCTCCTTGTTGACTCCAACTCCTACTTCAGTGGAGGCAGCAGGTGTTTCAGGAAGCCTTTCCAGACCCCTCTTTGTTCCCCTTGGCCTCCCAGGTTACTGATATCATGGCAGAATGTGGTCTGTCTCCCACCAACTATATGCTTCTTTAGGGCAAAAAGTGGGTTTTTTAAAAAACCATTGTACCCCAGTGCCTGGCACAGAGTAAAAAAATAAATTTAAGTATATATATATATAAATTTAAATTGTATATATATATGTATGTAAAATGGTGAATTTCAAATGACCATTGTTAGCAACTATTTGAGTGCTGCGCACTTCCCCTTCCATTCTTTCCCAGTACAGGTGTTACTGACATTTTTGGTGAGACAATTCATAAGGTGGGAATGCCCTGAGAATTGCAGGCATTTGACATCCCTGAGTCCTGGACACCAGATGCTGGTAGGTCCCCACCCCTCTACCATCCCCATCACCCTTTCCCATTTTCCACCTTTTCATCCTTGTTGCTGTGACAATGAAAAATACACCTTTACATATTTTTTTAACATCCTCGCAGAGGTACCTTCCTCAGAACCACTGTAGCTAAAAGGTGTTTCCGATTCGGACAGAACATACTTTCCTTGAATCGGGCATTCACAATGTTTATGGAAAGTTTACATTTCATCTCTAATGCCAATGCTTCTGCATATTTATTTATACATTCTGTATATTTCTAATGCCATTGCTTCTGTATATTTCACCTCTAATACCATTGCCTGTCATGTGTAAGCTCCAGGAGACCCTCTTGGGTGACAGTGAACTTGAGCTGTGTAGCAATGACATTATCATGATATGAGTCTGCCCCTGATAGGGATAAAGGGTAAGGAGGGGAGAGGAACTCAGAGAGATAAAATGTTAATCACATTGTTAGGGCAGGGATGACAATAGTATTCACCTTTTCTACTTGACCAACTTAATGAAAACAGTAAAATTCTCTTGGGGAATTCTCAGTATCCATTGTTAACATCAATTACACAAGCAGTAGACATCAGGTCTGTGTCAGGAGCAAATGGCTGACCTGAAGAGATGCCTTATGTGCTTTGAAGGTAGTGCTAGGAGGGCTTACAAGTTATGTTGAATATTTGACATTGCTGATACCCAGTTGTTTTGGGAAAGTAAAAATCCTCCCTTTGATTGACTGGTGGTCTCAGTTTCCTTCTCTGCAATGGGGATTTTTTTTTTTTTTAATGCTTCTCTGTCTAACTGAGTAGAGCAAGGAAAAACCTCAGGAATTTCAGAAATGAATGTACCATTCACCTTTCTATTTTGAAGGCTAACTATTGCTTAAGTCAGGCCTTGTATCTTCATTATCAGTGTCAGCACATCAAAGTGTTAAGTATGGGACTGTGTTATGAAAGAGACCATGAAACTCTACTATCATTTCTTTTATACTTATAGGCATTGATCACTTTAATCAAAGATAAAACACCTTGTTTAAAACAATTAGCTTTGACAATACATGTATAAGCAGAACCTTAAATTGTAAATGTGTTCATTTTCTTCTTCCCTACTACACATATTAAATAATAGAGACAAGAAAAGTAGGTGGAAGATGATTCCAAGTAACTTTGGGGCATTATTACAAAGTGAAGCTGGTAAGATTTTTGTCTTTTTGACAAATTCAAGGAAGCCTGCAGAAAAAATCTTGTTTCAGGAGTACATTTTCACTTAGCTGTTCTCTAAGTAGAAATGCATTACTCCTAGAAAGAAAAATGAAAGTTCTTCAACTGCCGAAGACAAAATGACAGATTTGGCTTCCAGCAATACATTCTTGACAGCTACTAGAGTTTCAGGAAAAGAAAACAAGAAAATTAAATTTGACAGAAATGAAGAGGGGGAAAAAAGAAGCAATTTTTTCTAGTTAGCATCTCAATGTCTTTGGAGGGATTTTAGGGCAATTCCATAACAGACCACTTAGGCATCTCCCCCATGTTCCCCTATAGATGTGAATGTTATTTTAATGGAGCTGCCACCCTATAGACAACAGGTGGTGTCTACACGTGAGTCCACAGACTGACTGCATGATGACTTGCTCAAGAGAACTTGAGAACAAACGGGAGCCACGACACGCTTGGAAATGAATTGTACAGCTTTCCATCAGACTTCATTTCTGTAAACTTAAGAATATACTTCTGCAGAATTTTGCAAAAGCCTGTACTCAAGTTTGGGCTTCAGATGGAGGAGCTTGTTTTTTCCATGTTTGGACAGCTATGTGATCCAATATGGCAGGAGCTATTAAAATGTAAATTAATTTACCTATATTATTTAAATAAATTACTTAAATTAATTGGTTGATTATATTTAACATGCAACTAAAAAGTCGGTTCTTCAGTCACACTAGCCATGTTTCAAGGGCTCAAAATCCACATGTGGCTAGTGGCTACCACGTTGGACAGCGTGAATACAGAACATTGCCATCATGGTGGAAGGTTTTATTCACTGAGTTATCTCTGAGCTCAGGACAGAGTCATGGATAGTGAAGGGTGGGAATTGGGAGTGAAGTGGCACAAAAGGAATAAGCTGGGGAGAAGAGGTTGCAGCAGACTTCTGTGAGCAACCAGGAAGCAATTCAAGTCAAGAAATAATTGCTAGCCCAGGCATGGTGGTTCATGCCTGTAATCCCAGCATTTTGGGAGCCGAGGCAGGCCGATCACTGGAGCCCAGGAGTTTGAATAGCCTGGCCAACATGATGAAACCCTGTCTCTACCAAAAAATACAAAAAATTAGCCAGGCATGGTAGCACGTGCCTGTAGTCCCAGCAGCTACTCAAGAGACTGAGTGGTGAGGATCACTTGAACCCAAGAGGTGGAGGCTGCAGTGAGCCAAGATTGTGCCAAGGCACACCAGCCTGGGCAATACAGTGAGATCCCATATAAAAAAAAAAAAAAAGAAAGAATTGCTAATTGCCAATGCATAACCACAGAACCTGAGGGAAACATAGAAGAATAAAAGAGATGTAGTCCCTGCCCTCAGGAAATTCAGAGTAGGACAAAAGAAACAGAAATACCCATTACAAAACCACTTTAATACAAGTTCCAGTGACAAAAAGGACATCTCAGGAGACAGTGATCGAGGAGCTCATGGAGTTATAAACAGGAATTAAAGATGAGATCATTAAATGGCTGAAGGATGGGTGAAAAAGGGGACCAACGGGTAGGAGAGGAGGAGAGGACTCCACAAGGGAGATGACAGGGATTGGAGGGAAATGCAGGGGTGTAAGTGCTGGCAAACACAAGCTTGATGTGGAGCCAGGCAGGCAGAGGGTGTAGACTCCCCAGGATCACCAAGGACGGCTTTTTATTCATCTCTCACCACTACATTTGAAAGACATTTATTCTTATTACCGAAATGATGGAATAGGCATGTGCTTTGGACTCAGAAAATCTTGGGTTTGCACCCTAGCTCTACTACTATGTACCAGCTATGTGACCTTAGACAACTTACCTACCCTCTCTGAGCCTACCTTTTCTTCCTCATCTACAGAACTGGGAAATGATAGCTATTTCTAAATACTGTCACGAGGATTAAATGATGTGTGTAAAAGTGCTTAACAGAATGCCTAGCACATAGTAGATACTCAACAGGGTTAGTTTCCCTTCCCTTTTCTGAAGGCACTGGCTACATCTGCAGACTTTGGGGGCAGAATGCTTGGTTAAACTCCACTCTGCCTCTCATGCCGGCTGTGTGATAAGTGGGCATGTTGCATTCCAACAGAGGCATTCCCAAGTGACAGGTGAGTGTGGACATGTTACAGCTTAAGCCTGAGCACACCACTGTTTGCAGCAGGAATAGGAACTATTGGCAAAATCACTTGGTAGGATTCCATTCACACTTCTTATGTTAAGGAGAAATGTTTGCCAGTTAATCTCACAGTAACAATTTGAGAACGATGAGAAGAAATCTTGAAGCAACCACTCAGAACAATTGGGGAGGGAGAGGGGGCATTCAATAGGGTTTTATTTACACTTGTATGGTCAGATCTGCTGCAATCTGCGCCCGTGGTGACACCTCACAGCACTCCCTATTGGTTTACACTTTTAGAACTTAATCACATACATTTGGGCTTACAGTGTTATCTCTTCTATAACAGATCATCTGCTTCCTTTTCATTTATCTTATCTCCCAAGCCAATATCCAATTTTCTTGAAGGCAAAAGCTGAGTATATGCTCTTTCTATCCCAGGTCATACCTAGCACATTCCTGAACTTGCTGTAGAAAGGAGAAAAAGAGAAAGGAAGGAAAGAAAGGAGAAGCTTGTATTCGTGTTTGAAATCTGAAATAAATAGATATTTGATAATGAAATGGCCACACTGAGTAATACTCACACGGCCCATTACAGTCTAACATTTGGTGTCAAGTGCTGTGTTGTGGCACAGTCTGGGCCATCTTCATGTCAATCTCAAATAATCAAGACTGTATCTTGGAAACATGCTAGAAAAACCCTTTAAGGTTCTGCAGCCATTACTTGTTCTAAATTATTTTAAAGAGATACAATAAATCTTTTTGCTCATATTTTATATGTTTTTTAAAATAGTATATGAATTCATTTTCTTGCAAAAGATTTGAAAAATAGGGAAATATAAAAGTAAACCATAGAAGTTGCCTTCACACTTTCATCTCACTCCCACCCCCCTGACAAGCCCTGTTAACTATTTATTGTGTTTCCCTGAAGTAATCTAACTCACTAGGTTCAAGTTAGATCCATGCATTTGTTTCCTGTGGGTGCTGTAACAAATCATCATAAATTCAATGGCTTAAAGCAACAGAAAAGTATTCCCTCACAGTTCTAGAGGGCAGAAGTCCAAAATCAGTATCACTGGGCCAAAATCAAGGTGTTAGCAGGGCCATTCTCCCTCCAGAGGCTCCAAAGGAGAATCCATTCATTGCCCCTTCGGCCACTGGCAGCTGCCAACAATCCTTGGTTTGTGGCCACATCACTCCCCTCTCTGCCTCCATGGTCACATTGCCTTCCCCTCTCCTGCATGTGTCAGATCTTCTGCTTCCTACTTAGAAGGATCGCAATGTGGTGACATGTAGGGCCCACTGGATAATTCAGGATCATTTCTCCACCTGGAGATTCTTCATTACACCTGCAATGACACTTTTTCAGTATGTCATAACATTTACAGGTTCCAGAGATTTGAATCTGGTATCTTCAGGGGCTATTATTCAGCCCACTCCAGTAATTTGTTTTGTTTTTTGAAAAAACAGTGAAGCCTTCCTTCAAAAATTAATGACAATAATAATAACAAAACTGCTGTCGAGATCATGTTCATGTTACTACAACTGGGAAAAGTTAATATTCTGATGAATCTCTAACATCCCTCACCACTTTCCTCTACTTAATTATACTCCCTTTAAGGTCATCTGAAAAAAGTGGGATGTTCTCAGGTAAATATGCAGCTGGTAATTTAAATTCAGTGCCTCAAGATATTGTTTTTAACCTTCCTTTCTGTCTTCCCTTTCACAAGGGTAACTTAACTCCCAGTGCTCCCAGCCCCTTCCATCCTGTTGCATCAGTTTCAACTATGGTTGTTCTAGCCTCATTGTCAGAGCACGTGATGAAAGATCATTAGCATCTGATGCAAGGCTGTGCTCCCTCAGTGCGCTCCAGTTGGCTCCGTGCCCCCATGTGGAAACTGGGCTGCCTGGCGGTGGACCATGTGCCAGTCCCAGGAGCCCCAAAGATTCTGACTTTGAAAGCAATCTTCAGGGCTTTACCTGGGAAGCAGAAGAACTCTGGAGAACTCTGTACACAGGTGAGTTCACTAGGACGGTGAGCAAAGTAGAGGTAATGTACACTCCAGGAGGAAGAAAAAACCAAAACAGAAACCCCAGCCTCCACTGACCAACCTTCCTCTCCTGATTTCCCACTGAAAAGGCTGGATTTTCCACAGACAACCTGGAAGTTCTTGCCTGGGGAATGTACAGTGTAGAGACTTGGCACTTTCATTTTCTCATGTAATTATGCATTGAAAATGAAGCTTAATATTGAGCCAATAAGGAGAAGTTGAGTTCAAAACTTAACACCTTCCTACATCTTATGCCCTTACTCATCCTGGCTCCATCTCACCAGTATCTATTTTACTTTGGGGAAGGAAGCAGTTAAATTTCAATATGAAACAACAGCTCCCAGAACTTTCATTACCGCCAGTAATTACTGCTCAGGGAAAGGATAAATAATAATAATAATAATAATAATAAAGCATAACTCCAATTCCCCATAATCTGCCTGCTAGTTCAAGTGGCCAACATAATATTTACAATATATTTTAAGTCAAGCATGAAAAAGTTGAGAATACCAACAAACTTTATTATTTGGAGTGCTGACAAAGAACATAATAAAGCAATTAAACACCATGTCAGACCGGGTTCATTACACAAATATGCCCATCCTCCTGGAGGGCTGTTGGGCAGAATAAGTGAGGTAATGTATCTAGGGTGCTCTGCACAGTGCCTGGCAAGTGGTAAAGCCTTGATAAATAGCAGCTAGTGCTATTCTTAGCACAACAGTGGGGCCCACATGGAAACTCCACCCAGTAGTAGGCAAAGGGAGGAAAAGATATGGGAAAGAATGCACAGTAAGAGGTGAGGAGGGAGAGAAAGAGAAGAAGAAAAAGAGAGACCAACAATCAGACAGACAAGTGTCACAAGTTTCCAGCAGGATCACTTCTACCCTGGATGCATAATCCAAAATGACCATTTTATCTGATTGTTAATGCCTCCAATTGACCTAAAATTGTTATACTTTTTATTTATGTCAGAAAACATTTTCCAACTGCGGAAATGCAGTTAGCTCTATTGATTTTCTTTTCTTTACAAAAAGGAAAGACCCAGGTGATGATTTTTTTCCACTCTTCATCCCTGAGATTCATTTCTGGTTTTATGGTTTCATGGACCATTTACCTATCTGGAATATCTGGAAAGTGTGCCTGATTGGGTATAGCTTTCCTTTCCTGGTCAGCAACCAAGACCTCCCTCGATTGCCATAGTGAAATGAGTGAAATCTGCACCACCACGCCTGCCCTTTCAATGTGCTGTATTAAAATAAATTGATGACGCTCATCACCAATCTTTTGCTGGAGAGAGGGACATCAACATTAATATTCTTGTTTGCTTATTTGTGTCCTGTATTGGTCCATGGAGAATTTGAAGAGCTTTTCAACAAGAACACATGCAATACTATTGTAAGTTAGAATAAAGAATCAGCAGCAACAGGGGCAAAATAAATAAAAATAGAAAGTTGAGACTGAGAAAAGCCCACTGTGACTGAAATTTAGCAGGAGAGAGAAGTATCCAGGCAGCCTGAGCAGCAACCTGGGAGCCAGGGCCCAGGAGGCCAACCTGGGGATTGGAGAGAAGGAAACAGCAGGAGCCTCTGGAATCATCAGGAAGACTGCAGGGTGGAGCACACAGAGGGGAGGTCGAAAAGCCTGAGAGTCTAGACAGAGACAGCCAGTGAGCCAGAGATACCCAACTTTGGTCTTGTTATTGCAACTTAACTCCGCCCCTCATCCCCCTTTAGTGTGGCCCCAGGGAAATACAGATTACTAGTTTCCAGTCAAGAACTCAGTGCGTAGGGAGCCTGAGATGCTGGTTAAGGCAGATCCAGATGCTCTTGAGATCAGATCAGCGAGTGGCAAAGTGAGCATCTGCAGGGTCTCCCATGAGCAAAACCAGGAATTTCCTGGAGAAACAGAGTCTGCTCTAGCATGGCAACAAATGAAGGCTAAGCTTGCAGCATTCTATACCATGGGTCATGGCTCTGATATTCTTGGCATGGAAAATACTAAGTCGCGTCTTACCAGTCATACAGCAAGGTCACAAAAAAAAGTCTCAGAAATACCCTCATGAGCAACAGCTTCCCAGTGAATCTGCCTGGATGAATTAGCTGCACAGTGTGTCCCCAGAGGAACTAGATGAAGAAGCCTGCAGCAGGCGGGTACTAGATATGAGGCAATCCATTTTGGAGGACATCTGCCAAAAGAATAATTTTCAATTTAAGATGGTTAATATTGAATCACTCTTTAAAAAAGAAAAACAATTAGCTAGCAGGACCACCTATGTGCTGTAGGCCCCTCCTGGTCCCTGCCATGAGGCTACAGATCAGCAAACTGGAAGGTTTGCAGGTTTGCATTCTCCCATCATCTGTAACCAGGCATCCGGGTGACTGCAAAGAAGTTTCTAATCATTAAAATATGACTTTGCAAATAGGTGACCGTGGCAAGGCACAAATCACAAATTTATCCAATTTCTTAGCAATCTATTCTGGCTTGGATAACCCTACTTCTTACAGAACTATGAATTTACCAGGATTCCTATCACATCTGAATTAATAGCATAATGATTTTTGAGTGCTATGAACCTTCCAATTGCCTCTTCTGATTAAAAAACTGTGTGGGAGGAATCCACTAGGGTACCTCTTCCCCAGTGTCCTTGTCCTTCATTATCTCAGGATAAGTAGAATAATGGCCCCCCAAACATATCCACATCCTAACCCCTGGAACATATGCGTATGTTAGGTTACATGGCCAGAGGGAATTCAAGGTGCAAGTGAAATTAAGTCGTTAATCAACTGATTTTGAAATGGGACATTATCTGGGGTTTTCTCAGTGGGCCTAATGTAATGACAGGGTCCTTAAAAGTGGAAGAAGGAGGCAGGAAAGTCAGAACCAGAGAGATGGCATTGCCAGAAAGACTCAACTAGCCTTTGCTGGCTTTGATGATGGCAGGGAGCCTCTAGAAATCAGAAAAGGCAAGAAAACAGATTCTCCCGTAGAGTCTCCAGAAAGGAACTCAGCTCTGCCAACACAGTGCTGATTTTAGCTCAATTTCTAATTTCTCACTGTAAAATAGTAAATTACTACCTTACTAGTATGCTATTTCTCCCAAACTGCAACTCATACATAACCGGAGAGTTCACCTCTCTCTTCCCAGATGGCAGTGGTTCTCCAACCTTGGCTGCACATTGGAATTCCTTGGGAATCTTTCAAAACACTGAATCCTGGGGCCCAGATCCAGAAAGTCTGGCTTAATTGTTCTGGAGACTGCCCCAAAATTCGGAATTTTAAAAGCTCCCCTGACAATTGTAACGTGCAGGTGAGTTTGAGCACTGTCATTAACTCCTCAGTGTCTCGACAGTTTTTAGTCTCATGCTCTTCAGGCCATAACTGTTTCCTATCAAAGGCTGATGAAAGAACAATAAAAGATATAAACTGACATATAATTGTTGACAGATTTCTTTCCATAACAATGAGGGCATAACCATGATCGACAGTGGAGAAACCGTACTTGAATCTTGTTTGTTTCTCATATAAAATGTTGGCACAGGACATTGGGTCCCTAAAGCTCTACATTGATCAGAGTTTACTTGCAAAGAACTGAATCCACTGTAGCTTGTTTAAGCAAGAAAAATATTTATTATAGGATACTAAATGGCTTACTGAATCATTGAGAGAGTTAAAGAAATAGCCTCCAAGCCATGCTTTCAGGAACAAAAGCCACAAGGTATAAATGGTTACCTTGGAGCTTCTACCTCTTGTGTGGTGTGATCAGGAAGCAGCTGGCTCTGGAATCATACTACCCCCACTACGATGGGGAAGCTGCAACAATGCAAAAGCTGCCATGTCAGAAAGTCACACCTGCCTGCCGTGACACACACTAGCAGAAGGAATGCCCATGGCGAGCTTCTTAGCGCTCATCAACTCAGTTATCAGACACTGGTATCTACGTTAATGCTGAAAAAAAAATCCCTCCATGACTGTGCTTTCCAGAAAAAAAAAGCCAGAGCAGCAAAAGTACAGCTTCCACCTCACTTCTGCTGTCCAGATCTTGTAAAAATATGTTTAACTGGCTCAACTTAAATGGCATTCAAAACCTTAGCTGCAAGAGAGTCTGGGAAAAATAATTTTTTTTTACTCTCTAACTTTTGTAGTTGAAGAAAATTCTCTAGAAGAAAGCTTGAGTGGATATTGAGCACCAATCCACAATAAATTCCATAGACTGTTCCTCTGGCTTTTCAACATACATGCTTACTTTCTGCCTGTATTCAAAGTTCCTAACTGTCCCTTGTACCAAAAAAAAAAAAAAAAAAGCACTCACTTCCCTTCAAAAGGAGAGACCCAAAGTCCTCTAAGTCTCTGCATCTATCTTTGGGTGATACTCATTTCTTCTCTAGCTCAGTCACAACCCCACCATAAATCCCATTTATATGATATTCTGTAAGATATAATCTCATAAAGTTAACCAACATCAGTAGGCCATTTATAAAATTGTGAGGATGAGGGAAAGGAGAAGAGGAAAATGGTCAATATACTAAAAATATACATAACAGAGAAAGGAAGAAAATATTGATGTTTATGATAGTTCTAGTTACTGTCACAAGGCTGTAGTTGGCACTTATAATTTTTTTCCTCCACAACCCGTTATAAGTTACTTTTGTCTCAGTCAGCCCCATAGCTGGGCCAGGCTACTTATCTGGTGGAGTCACCCAAATCTTGATTCCTAGTGGCTCTGAGCCCCTGGTAATCCTGATTATACCAGATTTCAGTAGTCTTCCATTAAAAGTTAATATTAAATATGTAAATTAAATATATAATGCTAATATAAGGTAACTTTTACCAGTGGGCATGACATTACTTTGAGGTGCCCCACAAGATCCCTTGGGTTCCAAAAATACTCTTTCTTAGTCCTGTTATATAACAGCAATCCTATTTCCCCTTGATAATTGGGATTAATCACCCTGCTGACAGAGTAGTGACCCCTCTTTTGCCTGTTGGTTCATCAACACAATTTCTCCAAAATGTTCAATGGCAATCTCAAATTCCAATCCAATGAGACAAACTGGCATCATGTGCATCCTGATGTTTTCCATTGAGAAAAACACAACATTGGTTGGGTGGTATTCCTGCCAAAAGTGCATCCCCTGAATCTAATTGTGAGGAAACAACCCATCAGACTGGGGAAAGAGGCTTACAGACATTCACAAAACGGGTCAATGTGTCCAATTTACTTTTCAGCAATTTCTCATCAATACATGGTTATTGTGAACAAACATATAGGTCATGCATATCCTTATATTCTGTGCCCATCCTGTAAGTTCTAGTCACATACGACTTCTGCACTCTTTCTTGACACCAATATTCCAATCTTTTGCCTTCCAAATTTCTGATTACCAGCTAATCCAGTGCCCATTAGCCATTACCAATGAATCTGTGTTGACCTGGACCTCTGAACATCTTTATGTTCAAGCAACATTGACAAGTTCTACCCATTGAGAGGTTTTCTTTCCCCCACTTCAAGATCACCACTGAGTGGTGCTATAATGCTACATCAGTTGACTTCCAACTGACACAAGAATGTCACGCAGGTGCATCCACAAACCAGGATCGATTTTTTTTTCTTTTTCAGATAACTTATTCATTGGGCCCTCCGAGGAATCTATAGTTGTTGATTAAGGGAGAGGGTGATGCAGCAGGTGATGCCCTAACAGCGTGAGCCTCCCCTCCCGGCTCAGACAATACACTGTGTCTTCAAGACCATGTAACAGTGAAAAATGAAGAATGAGAAGACTATTCTTATAGCATAGTTAATCAACTAACACCCAGCTCATGAAAAGGAAACCAGGACTGTTTCTCAAAGGGAGAATAGTCAACTGACAAATAGGGCATAGCTTTGCTCCACAACCCCAAGGAACCACACTGTAATTCTCCTAGAGGGGCTTGCCACAGGTTCCATGCACCATCCTCATCTGATACAGACACTTCAGCCACTATTAGATCAGCTGGGTTATTAGGGCCAAGTGGTAGCACTGCTTGCTCTGCAGTCTGGACCATCTGAAAAGCCTTTTAATACTCTGGGCCCTACTCCAAGTTGGTAGCCATACAGGTAGCTCAGTAAATGGGTCCAAGCAGCACATCCAAATGTGGTATGTCTCCAAAAGCCAAAAGAGATCTGCCAAGCTTGTGCCTCTTTCACAGTGGAAGGTGCAGGAACTAGTTTTTTTTTTTTTTTTTTTTGGCGGGTGGGGGAGTCTCGCTCTGTCACCAGGCTGGAGTGCAGTGGTGCAATCTCGGTTTACTGCAATTCTTCTGCCTCAGACTCCCAAGTAGCTGGGACTACACGTGCGCACCACCATGCCCAGCTAATTTTTGTATTTTTAGTAGAGACGGGGTTTCACCCTAGTCTTTCACTTTGGATGGGGTATCCCAAAATGCTCCAGGCCACTGGCCCTCTATCAGCTTTACTGAGGTGATGGGTCCTTATGTTCCTATGATTTTTTAAATATCCTCTGTCATGTATGCATCTTACCAAGAGCACATGCTGCTTCTTTCACCAGGCCAAATAGAATGATGTCATTAATGTAGTGAACCAGCATGATGTTCTATAGCATGGCGTGATGGTCAATGTCCCTGCAAACTAAAAATGTGACTGAGAACCTGACAGCTGACACAGCTCAGAGATAAGATAGGGATAATGCACTACATCTCTGTGAAGTAAAAGACAACTGATTCTCGTATCTGTACTAACTAGAACAGGAAAAATAGTATTTGCCAAATTTATGGCTCCATACCAGGTTCCAGAAACTATATATTAATCTGACATGTGAAACAGCAAAATTGGAGTCACTGTCTGAGAAAGTTTACAGTAATCTACTGTCAATCTCCAAGACCCATAGTTTTTCTGTAAGGACCAAATACGTGAGTTTAATACAGATACGAGAAGAATCGTCATCCCTGCCTTTCTGTTATTTCCTTGAGGTTGTTGTATTTTTTCTAGGAAGGGGTGGTGTTACCATTTTGATAGGTGAGGTAGTTGCAGCTTCCACTGGACCCTTGACAGTTAGTAACCTTTACTCCCCAAAACCATTCTCCAGGTGCTGAAATGTGTACTCCAACTGTGCATTCAGGAGTTGAGAAAATAATCACAAGATGACTTCACAAACCCTCTAGGATCACATCACTGAGAGATAAAATCAGACAAGAATTCTACTCGTAACCTCTAGAGAACCACAGTGATATGTTTGGTCTCAGGGGATTAATGTTAATAAAAATTAGAATTCAATAAGCCCTCAAAAGTCTCGGTTTTTCCCTTTTCCCAATGCACAGTTGAGTTGTTAAATTGCTACAAGTTTCTTTGAGAAAGGTTAGGAGGAAGATTTACAGTACATTCTCTTAGTAGGATCTCAGGATCCTGGCTTCCTCTTCATTCAATGGCCCTAGGTTTATAAACTCCTTAGTCTAGAAATTGGGTGAAGTTGGGCCTATGTTTTCCAGATCTACAGTATTTTTTATTAAATTGATCCTGATAGACTGGCCATCTACTCATTCCTAGAAACTCAATGACCAATTAACTTATAACAAAGGTCAGCTTGCCACTCCCATCCTGTTGCCAGTAGCTGTTTCCACCCTGCTTCTGGCATTCAAGAATTTCTACTTGGCCTCTGCCACTCCAGCATCTCAACACACCCTTTAATATCAAAATGCCCATTTCAATAGCAGCATTTTCTACCTTCACTCCTGGCCTACAGAGGACTTCACTGCAATACTTTTCAAGAATTTGTTTCTCACAATTGTGTTCTCAATGCCTTGGTGAAAAGAGCATCCTTGGCAAGTGACTGGGTCATACACAAAATATCCATTCCAATAGTTCTTCCTCCTAAATGTTTGGATCTCTTCCCCTATGCTATATCATGAATTTCTGACACCTCAATTTCCTTGCAAGTATGCCACCTTGGGGTCCTGTTTCCAGTCAATCAGACAGACCAAGTTACAACCATTCCCATCTTTATCAACGAGAACAATGAACTTATACCAATAAATCAAGCCAGATTTGAAAGTTTGCGTCTTCCTCTGTGGCCTAGATTCTTCTAATCCACTCCCACACCTATTCCCCAGGTTTTTGCTGATATAAAATGGGCAAAATCTTGCAGTTCTTTGAGTGTGTAAACTTTTGCTTCTTAAGATAGGCATTGTCCTTTCGGAGTGTGCTGGGGTTTGACTCTAATTATAGGTCTAGAGCAATGAATGGTGGGAGATGAGAACAGGAAGAAATCTTGCAGCCCCTTGCATGGAAACCACTTCAGCAAGACCATTCCAGAGTCTCTAAGGAAGGACAGACCAGCCTCATCACGCAGAGGAGGAGAAGATGTGTCTACTGACAAGGGAAGTTTGATGGAATTCGGAGGACTTGTATACTCAGGTTCAGTTGAACTCGCCCAAATGGCTCCATTTCACTCCTTAGGGTCTCACCCCTTCCCAATCAATACCCAAACTTTCATGTAAGTGACCTAGTGATGCTGTGAGTTCAGACCATCTTTCATCATCAGCCCACAGGATCAAACTGCATGTGACGATAGAATGCATCAGCCCTGTGGCTACATGAAATAAATGATTCTTCTAGAAAGTCATAGAAGCTCCCTGGTCCTCAGATCATGCCTCATACTAAAAACTTTAAAATTCTTAGCATATAGTTTTCTTCTTAAAGCTCTCCAGTGCAGGCAGAGACAGCCATCCAAATCCACAGTCCATGTTTTCCTCATTTTCTCCATAATGATTAGCAGGCACTCAGTCCACTAAAGCCTTGTCTTCACTGGGCACTTCATTCCAAGTGACCAGTGGGTGATATTTTAAGTAACTATTTTGCCACTGTCAAGCACTGCAAGCATTCCATATTCTAATGCTAACCTCATCATTGTTCCTTTCAAACCCAATCAGGTCAGAAAACACAAATCCAGGTTTCCAGTTTCTTTAGAGTATGTTGTCTGTAACCCTCCTGGCACCAGTAACAGTCATAGTCAGGGTCCTATTGCAGAGAACTTAAGCCATTCTAGCAAGTTTAAGCATGAAGGGATTATAGAGCATTAAAAAGCTCACTGAATTATTGGGAGAGCCAAGAAAACAGACTAAGCTTGAGATTTCAGAAATGACTCCCAATGTCACGTTGTAGAATTGGGTCACAAGGAAGCTCTTGGGTCACCCAAGATTAGGAAACCACCACGTCCTAAACCATAGACTGCCAAAGTCAGGAAGCCACCATAGTGTGGAAGTTTTCATGGATAGAAACTGCCTCCACGTCATAGCAGACATGCTTTAATCCTCACCTGCAGAAGGAGATCTCTGTGACTCACCTCTTGACATGAACAAACTTCTGCTAACACTGCCATAGAAAATGCAAATGCCTCCACAAGCAATTCCAAAAGAAAAAGCAGACACAGAAAAAGCATGGCTTCTGCCTCATTTCTGCCTTCCTCACCTTGCACCAGTGCAACATAATGGCTGGATTTAAATCACATCCAGAATCCTGAGGGCGGGGGTGTGCAGGAAATGTGGTGTTTGGTTCTCCAGCCTCGGCAGTGCAGGAAGGCATATTAGAAGGCAAGTGAAGTGGACACTGGGGGCAGATCTACTAAACCCATCACAAGCGCCAAATACTGAGTTCTAGTCTTAAGCTCCGACAAAGAACCCACGTAGATGTAACTCTGTTTGCAATCAATGTGTCCACAGCTTATATCTCTTTATATTCCCCACATAACTGGTATAATCCCTTGACAGTTACATGTAAATTGTAAGTTCCAATTGATTGCATGATTGGTTTAGAATATGTTATAACAAGAAAGCCTTTTTTTTTCTGACTATTGACAGGATCCCAGAGGGGCTTCCGAATCATCTAAGTAACAGTAAATTATATTTGGTAGCATCACAGTTTGAAGTACACTGTGCAATATACTCATTTCTGGAAACTGATATAGGGAACAAAAACATCCCTTTTTTCCATTCACTTCAGAAAACAGAGAGTTTACTGTCTTAAGGAAAGGCACTTTCATGGCCTCTTGCCTTGAAGTCAATAATGTGCTATACCCAAGAGTCCCAGTGGGGACGAACAGTCTATCTTCTCCAAGATACCCTTTCTTATCTTGCATTCGGCTGTCTTGAAACTCCTAAGTCTCTGGAGTAATCATTCTGCCTAAGACAGAGTACATCTTTGTGAGTATTTCCCAGAGGAAAAAATGACCCAGAGAACTATGGCCCCCTCCTTCAAAGTCTGCTCTGAGCACCAAAATCTATTTGGATTATTTAAGTATCCAATTCACACAGTGTGCCAAGTATTGGGCAGAATCTACACCTTGCACAGCCCAGCTGCCTGCTCAGAATTTGGGAGATCAAAGGTCATCCTGTTCATCCCCCTGCCTTCAGTCAGGACTATGCCAAATCATTTCTAGCCAACAAGAAACCAATTGTGACTTGGGAATAACATGAGACACTAAATAGCCATTTTCTTCTCCTTAAACCAAGTATCCCTTGTTAGTTTCTTTCTTTTCTTTTCTTTCCTTTTTTTTTTTTTTTTTTTTTTTGAGACAGAGTCTCACTCTGTCACCCAGGCTGGAGTGCAGTGGTGCAATCTTGGCTCACTGCAACCTCCACCCCCTGAGGTTTAAGCAGTTCTCCTGCCTCGGCCTCCCCAGGAGCTGGGATTACAGGTATGTGCCACCACGCCCGGCTAATTTTTGTATTTTTAGTAGAGATGGGGTTCCACCATGTTGCCCAGGCTGGTCTTGAATTCCTGACCTCAGGTGATCTGCCTGCCTTGGCCTACCAAAGTGCTGGGATTAAATACGTGAGCCACCACACCTGGCCCCTTGTTAGTTTCTAAACCATTGATTGAAGAAAACTAGCTAAGGAAGGTGAAAAAGTTTAGTTTCAGAATCCCCAAGGAGATCTTGCCAAGGCCCACACAGGCCCAGGTAAAGGATATTTCACTGACTATTGTGTCTTGCTCAAAAAAATCTAAGGACTTAGGAGGCAGCACAAGGCTGGTGATGTGGCACACATTGAAGGAAGCGACCAAATCTCTCTCTAAATACAAAAGAGAAAAGAAATAAAGTGGAGGTAATTATTTTAGTAATTCAACAGCTCCCCTCCTGAATTACTGGAATAATTGCCCTATCTTTAGTGGAGATTGGATTGTATGCTTAGTAGCGGCTCTAGGCCTGGATCCTAACCGTGGTCTTCAGGGTAGGGTAGTCTTCCAGTCCTCCACTGCTACTGCAAACTTTATGCTCCTTGGCAATGTGAGTACAACCCTCCCCATTTTCATTCCTTAAACACACTCATATCCCCTCCTGTTTAACCCTAAATTCTCAGGGCTTGTCCATCAAGTAGAACCAGGCCATGGAGGGTATTGGCTAGAACAGAGGTTATGGCTCCATAGGAAGGTGTTTAATGTGGCATTATTTTTCAATGGAACCATGGACAGTCAGATGCCATTTTTAATCCTTTATAAGAAGTCAGCAAAGGAGTAAGAACAACTCCCCAGAATCTCTTGCTAGAATCCTGTCTGGCCCTCAAGGCAATCTCAGCTCTGTCTTGAGGCTTTGTGGCACCCGTCATTGTCTCCCAACTCCTTCCCCCAACATGCACCAATGAAGGCTTCCGCATGTTCTTGCCTTTCTGACCTAAGTTGTGCCTTGCACTCTCCCTCTTATCCCTGTCCTACCCCAGCACACATACACACATGCACACACATGCATGCATACGCACACAATCTTTTGCCCCCACCCCCACGCACACACCCCACACACTGATCTTTTGCCATGACCCCAGTGGTCATAAATAACAGCAGCTTGGAGCTTATATGGGTTCCAGTTGTGGGACCATTTCTGAACTATTGGTCAAGCTCTATGCCTCAATTTTTTTTTTTTTTTTTTTTTTTGAGACGGAGTCTCGCTCTGTCGCCCAGGCTGGAGTGCAATGGCGCTATCTCAGCTCACTGCAACCTCCACCTCCCAGGTTCACGCCATTCTCCTGCCTCAGCCTCCTGAGTAGCTGGGACTACAGGCACCCGCCACCACGCCCAGCTAATTTTTTTGTATTTTTAGTAGAGATGGGGTTTCACCATGTTAGCCAGGATGGTCTCGATCTCCTGACCTCATGATCTGCCCATCTCAGCCTCGCAAAGTGCTGGGATTACAGGCATGAGCCACCGCGCCCGGCCATGCCTCAATTTTTTAATCTCTAAAATGAGGATAACAAAACATCTATTACAAAGAGTTGTTTTTGAGGTACTAGAAAAAATGCCTGGTGCAACACATACTAGCTCTTATTATTATGGGACATGGTGTCTGCGATGGTGTGTGCTGACCATGCCCATAGCTCCCTTCAGAGAAAAGCGATCACAGGTAGACCTTTCTTAAGATGCCATAGCTAATGTTCACTGAATTAAAGGTGAGGACCCAAGCCAAAGGGAGCCACATACAAGTAAACAGAAAATCAGTAAGGCCAGTTGCCAAGGAGAAAACTCTGCTTCAGATGCTACCCAATGGGGGCCACCATTCAATATGGAGTGCCCTGATAGAACTTCTCTCTTAAAATTTTTGAATATAAAAGCTCTCAGAAAATAAAACAAGAGAGGCCTGCTTGGAAAGAGATGAAAAGATGACCAGATCACTAGCAGGGCCATCATACTCTGAACGGCAATGATTCACTGAGTTATCCATGAAACCCACTGTGTACATTTAAGCCTGGAAAGCAAAGGATCCAGGGACAGCATAGATGCTGAGATAATTTCCCACATTTCTTTCCTTCTGATGTATCTTTTTCTCAAAACCTATCCCTAAGCAGTGATTTTCAAACTTTAGTGTTAATAGGAACCTGTGAGATTTGTGAAGATGTAGATTCCTGGGTGCTCCCACTAGAGATTCTGATTCAGGAGAACTGGGATGGGGCCTCAGATAGGGTCACTATTTGTGGCTACACAACTTACTCACTGCGTTCCTCCAGGAAGCACATTCATACTGACTGTGATGTGAATGCCTCCTGGGAGTCGTGCAGTACACAAGCTGCCCCACTGAATGTGGCAGCCAGGAGTAACTCATATAAGTGGCTCCAGTCTCACAGTAAGAAAGAGTGAAGGTAACCTGGATACCTTGTCATCTAAAAGAATTCGGGGTCAGGCATGGTGGCTCATGCCTGTAATCCCAGCACTTTGAGAGGCCAAGGCAGGCAGATCACTTGAGGTCAGGAATTCGAGACCAGCCTAGCCAACACGGTGAAACCTCGTCTCTACTAAAAATACAAAAATTTAGCTGGGCGTGGTGGCAGGCGCCTGTAGTCCCAGCTGCTTGGGAGGCTGAGGCACAAGAATCGCTTGAATCCTGGAGGCGGAGGTTGCAGTGAGCCAAGATCATGTCATTGCATTCCAGCCTGGACGACAGAGTGAGACCTTGTCTCAAAAAAATAAAATAAATAAATAAATAATAAAAGAATTTGGTGAATACTAGTCCCCTGCTGACCCATTGCAGGCCCTAGTCACCACTCATAACCATACAGTATCTACAGCTGGCAAGGACTTCAGTAGAAAGGGAAAAGGTTAGGCAGAGAAAGGACCAGCACATTTGTATTTCATTATATACAGAAAGTTTCAATAAGAGGCTTAGAGTTTAGTCTAAATATATGTCCCTTCTGAGTGCTACTGGCTGTGAAGCAATCGGAATGAAACCAAATACAAAGAGTGCAGAATGAATCGCTGCTGAAAATCTTACAACACCCTGAGGCACTGGCATTGTGCTCCCTGCTCCCTGCCTCTCATTAAAAATACTGCTTTCCAAGCCCCATTAATTGGGAGGGTCTCAATATAGTTAGGGAGTAGGAAGACTCCACAGGCCTTTGAAAAGATAATTGTGCATAGAGAGAAAGGATTTATCATCTACCAAGTGAGCGCAAGTCAACAGGTTTTTGCAGAGCACTGTTAGGGGTTGATAGGATAAAACGGAATTTAAAGACTCCATCCCCAGCTACCCAAAGAAACTGATGTCTTTCATGGGGAAGCGGGACACAATTAAAACACAGAAACACATTGAAGGACAAGGAAGAGATATGTCACGAAGTGCCAAGTTACTGAGCCTGTACATGCAATTAGAGTTCAGAAAACCAAGAGAACAGTGAGGCTTCCCAAAGCCACATGGAAGCAATTGAAGAATATTCCAGTGGCTACTTTTGTAAAAGGTTTGAAAGGAGAAGCAGACTTGCTCACTTTTCTGCTGACAGAGCCCTGTGCTGGATGTCGCTTATGTCCATTTCATGTTCTCTGGACCTCACATTTTACTCCAGTTTTCCTGAGTACACCTCACTTCTGCTGCATGATTGACAGGGGCTTCTCAGACGCCTGGCCTGGGACATCTATGAGAATCACCCAGCACTTGTGCGAATCTGGCAGTGTGAGGGAGTTAACACCTGGAGTTGATCCTTGACCAGCCAAGGATGGGAGCTTGTGGATGCCTGTCCCCATCGTGTCCCTTGAGTAGGCAATCATGAGATTCATTCTTCATGGCTGTCAGAGAGTCCCAGGAGGATCAGGCTCCAGTTTCCCACAACTGCCACCAAATTTGATCATACAACTTTGTAGGTACTGATTTGCCTTCTTTCTTTCTTTCCCCCTTCCCAGTCCCCTACTCCAGTTCCCTGAAATCACTTCTGAAAATAAGCTACTTGCACACAAACCCTTGTGTCAGGCTCTGCTTCCTGGAAGGACTTCAGGGGCTATGACAAGCCCCTGGGAAGATGATGAGTTCTGTTTTTGAGAACTCGAATATTTTCTCAGTTTGCAGTGAACTCTGACACAGGGCTTCTCCCCAAGCAGTTTGCCCTCTAGGAACGTGTAAACCAAAATGTACTATATGCTTGACTTAGAGGTTTAACCAGAAATGAGATTATATTTTAGGAAGGCTCAGGATATGAGGACAAGGAGCAGAAAGGAGCATTTTCTATTTCCTAAGTCCCTATGATGGGCCAGTACTGTGCCATATGTATTTGTATTTTATTAATGATTATGTAAACCTAATTAGGTAAGTAGAATGATCTCTCTTTTGGAGAGGAGAAAACTATGGCTCAGAGGGGGCAAGAAGTGACAAAAATTACACGCTGAAATCAGGTCTAGGGACTCCAGAGCCCACATCTGGCTCATTTCCCTGATGCTGTCTCCCACACACTATTCATTCGCGGGGTTAGGCACATCTCTCAAGTGTGTCAATGGTCTTCAGTAATTTTTTTCAAGTGTTGAACTAGAAATCAGTGATCTGCAGCAATTAGTTGGCATTTTAATCTCTCCAGGTTGAGGGATAGAGTTGGCCCCTTAAAAGAGCGTGAACGACCAGAACGCTAGAAAGCTGCTTATATCTGCCTGCTACACCGAGAAACTGAAAGCCAGCTTCAGCTTTGCTCTGAGAAATACAGGGCAGCTGTCTAGCTGGTGTATAACACAGAACTTGTGTCATGCCTATCATAGCGCTGGGCTCAATGCTGAGCACACAGTAAGTGCACAAGAAACATTTGCCAAATTATCTAAAAGCTCTGAGAGCCACAGCTCCATTTTCTTTGTGTTGTAGCTCACAAAACACATTTCTATGCTGTCTATGCTGTGCGCCATTCATACCTTTTACATGTGGACCCCCAGAATAGTAAGGACCTAAATACATTTATTAAAGCCACACAATAGCATCTTGAGTCTGAGAATCCTCTTGTGCTCACATAGCTCCTGGAGCATTATAACTCACAGCTTTTTGAGTTGTCACTCTATCTTGCTCTTGCACAACGAGCTGGATCCCTGCTGCCTCATGTCATCATCCTCTGTACTTTTCCTGATTCTGTGTTTATTTACAAATTGGCTGATTCCAGTTGTTTCTTATTGACTTACAAGTCAACACAGAAAAAACAATTCAAGTGCAGGGTATTGAAAGCCTAGATATACATTCTCACACTGTTTTCTTTGGTCACAGTGACCATGTCACATCTCTGAGACCATCTACCCTCACTTTGCATCTCCCAACCTTGGAGAAGAAAGAATCAGAAATATTTAAGCCTTCTGCAGTGGACATGCCACATCCATGTGTTCATTTACATTTGCTGAGATAGAACTACCTGATTTGTATGCAATGAAAAGTAGGGACTTTAATAACTGATATCAATTTTATTGAGCACTAGGTTGCCATGGAGTTGGGACTCTAAGCAACGTTTCCTAAACTGCGGCCCTTCAACCAGCTGCATCTGAATTTCCTGGAATGTTGTGAAAAATACAGATTCCTAGCCTCCATCCCTGATTATTAGTTCAGAATTTTGTTCGGTTTTGTTGTTTACAAGCCAATTGACTGCTAACCAAGAGATTCTTGTCACAGTAAAGCTTGAGACTCCCTAGGTCTATGGAGACCTGCAAGGCCCTATGTGGCCAAGCACAGATTTCATTGGTGCACATCGCCTCTACCTTGTCCACTTCGGAACTCTCACCCAGCTCTGGCACTGTGTCAGCTAATCCTTCTTCATTATATGAATTTGTCAATGTATTGGTGGAGGTGAAAAGAAATGAAGAAGAAATATTCAAGAAATCACAATCCAAAAAGTTCACTGATGGACTATGAGAAGGAAATTGACCCAAAAATAGACTATGACAGTAAGTCACTGTAAACACATCATGCCTTCCAGCTATTTTCCACATCTGTGTTTGGCTCTCAGAAACTTCCCAGCAGGTACCCCATTTTGGTTCCAAAACCACGGTTATCCAATTTTACTCTGGAAGCAAGGAAGAGTTAACCTAATTTTCTAATTTCCATTGAGAATGTAGGAGAAATTTGGCTTCGTATAAAAGCTGTATGTTGTATAAATAATAATAACTCCTTATGTTTGCAAAGTAATTTATGGTTTCAAACATCATTTAAGGACAGTGTCTTATTTAAACTTTTCATTGTTGAAGATACCAAAATTATAATTTGGTATCTACTAAGGTAAACAGCAAGCCAAGATTTGATTACTTCCCCCAAGTAATTTCTGTCAAACACACAGAGGTCTTAAAAACCAAATCAGAAGAAATTCTTCAGCGAGGGCGTGAGAAACATGCAAATGCTGACTCACAGACAGTTTCGTGAGATACTTCTAATCTTCACATATATAGTTGACAGCAAAAAAAAAAAAAAAAAATCATGATTTGCCAAAATGAAAATTAGCTTCTCTGAGTCACTGTGTTTGAGTGTATAAATTTTGTTAATAAAAGTACCTGCTATGGATTTGGTTCTAGGAGACATATCATGTCTTAAATCACTTCCTGAATTTATGCAAATCCGCCTGCCAAAGAAAGGTTCACTCTCAGACATAATGCTTTTGACCACAAATAAAGTCTCTGCCATCTGTTTTCACACTAGGAAAATGCTATTTGGATTCAGTGATGAAATAAAAAATCCTATTCACATAAATCCAGGTCTTGTTCTCTTACCCTGGGATACCTCCTGCTAAAATTACAAGAAAAGGGACTTTGTTAATTAAAGTGATGAAGTATGAACATATGTTGTTCAAGAATAGCAATACCTCCACCTGCATCTCCAAATTATTAATATTCATATAGCCCTTGGTTTTTATTTGTTTATCGGAAATAAGAGCTCTTCATAACCAGGGCTTCAGATATCATCATTTTATCGGCACCAAAATACCTGAGGGAGGAGGTGTCTTTATTTTTATAGCTCCTTTTAGCTTTGTGCACCAAATACTTCAAGGATATTTATCACTGCTGAGTATCTTTTTGAAATAAGAAAACATAAGCAGATTAGGACACTAAAGAACTAGAGAAGGGAATTTAAGTTTGGGTAGACAAAAGAAATATTATCATGGTTGAGAAAGGTGGATTCTGGGTCCCTAAATCTCACCCCATTGATGACCTCTGCTCCAGGCACAGAGGAGGACATGACTTAAGGGAAAATGCATGGTCAGCACAGGCTGGAGTTTCAGTCCCAAACTTGTAGCCCCACCCTGGGGAGCTTGGGAGGCCCCCTTTTCCTCTGAGCACCAGAGCTAGAGTGAAGGCAGGTGGAATATCCTGTTACCTGGCTAATTACTCCCAGGCCCCACCATGTTCCTGATGGGCTCATCTTGCTATTTTCTCTCCAGAAGAGGAAGTATGAGGTTGTGTGAAAATGTGAGCATGTGTGTCCCCTAAGATACCTTTCCACGCTTCTTTCCCCTTGCCCCAGCCAAAAGGTCATCCAAGGAAGTTGGGGGATAATCAGGCCCAGAGGTGCCCTGGACCAGACGTCCCATGATCTAGCATACGCAAAGGAAGACGCTAAGAAAGTACACATGGAGAAGACGAGGGATACAGGGTGTTTCTTTCCAATCTCTCTGCTTCTTCCAGCAAAAGCCCCACCCTCTAGCCCTCAAGCCTGCTGGCCTCATGGAGTGTAACTAATCCACAGCAGCATCCCTCCTTCTGGGGACACAGTGTTGGGTAAGGAAGTGTAGGGGAGCCAGAGTCTTTGAAACCTTATCAGCCTAAAATCTCAGGGTTACACACAAGTCAGAGGCACTTTCTGTCACCCCTCCTTCTGACCCTGGTCCCACCATTCTCTCAGGTGGAACGCTCCCACCATGCTCTCCCCCTCTATGTCCCACATTAGTCCAAATGTTTCCTTCACGTCATCTCTCATGTCTATAGCTTTCCACATTCGCAGATTCCACCCTAATTCACATACCAAGATTATTACCAGAGACTCTGTTACTGGATTCCTTGACTTTCCCATCAATTATTCTATCTCTCTCCTTCCAAATGACTATCCCTAAGTATCATTGTCTTTGTGCCAAGCTTAGGTACCAACCTTCTGTAGTTCTCATAACCTACAGATTATGATGCAAGGAACTATTAATAGCACAGATTCTGGAGCCAGTCTCCTGGAGCTCCAATCCTGGTTCTGCCACTTATTAACTCTGTTACTTTAGGCAAGTTACTTAACCTCTCTGTGCTTCAGCGTCCACCTCCTAAAATAAGATAAGATAGTAAATACCCCATAGGATTGATCCGAGGATTAAACAAGTTAATACAGAAGTGTCTAAGCAACCAGGAACTGGTAGCTATTATCACTCTTGTTACCGAATGTGGTCCCAACTTCTCAGCCCGGCATCTATTGGTGCATACAGTCAGTACTCTGAAACTACACTCTTGAAATTGTAGATGCTATCCTAGGGGTCGCTAGTAGCTTCTAAAACAAATTAGAAGCCCACTTAAGGTGATAGTCATGGTGGCCAATGAGTCATTCTCTGCTCTCACAGAGTAAAGATTTAATTTGAACTAAGAACCTTAGAAGAAATACAGAAAGCGGGCGAGGAGAGGTGGTTTTTCCCCTCTGCTGTTCCTGGGGACACATGTGATGCTCTGAGAAGGCAGAAGGGAAGATTCGAGCTGATTATAATCTAATGAGGCTGCCAAATCAGTTTCACTTTCCAATACCACATAAGGACTGGTGAGTCTCATGGGCCCTGAGCCAGGATTATTTTAACTGGTAGCATTAGCTGGGTCAGACCGATCAGCCTCTATGGGGAATACTTTGGGAACTGTCATCTTCCAAGCCAGCGCAAGAACAGCCTCTGCCACTGAACTGATGGTGATACACACGGTATTTGGAGGGCAAATCTGATTCACATGCAGTAGCAGGAGATGGAAGAGTGGTTAAAATGAAAGGGAGAGGAGAAGAAGAGCAAGGGACGAGCATAATACAGGGAAAGAAGAATAATACAGGTAGAATAGGAATTACATAGAAGGGAGAAGATCATTTTTTAAAAAAAATAAGGGCCAGGCATGGCAGCCTATAATGGTAGGCAGCACTTTGGGAGGCCATGGCTGGAGGACAGCTTGAGGTCAGGAGTTTGAAATCAGCCTGGGCAACATAGCAAGACCCCCATCTTGACAAAAAATACAAAAGTTAGCCAGATGTGGTGGAACACACCTGTAGTCTCAGCTACTCAGGAGGCCGAGGCAGGAGGATCACTTGAGTCCAAGGGTTTGAGGCTGCAGTGAGCTATGATCATGCCACTGCACTCCAACCTGGGTGACAGAGACCTTGTCTCTAAAAAGTAAAGAAATGAAATAGAAAATAAAAACGAATGGTAGAAATAAAAGGAACTGAGTAGTAGGGGGCAGAGGCATGTCTAGGGGAGAGAACTAGAACTGCCAAGGGATTTGAGTGCCTGATGGATTCTGAAGACTGAAATATACATGACCCCAAAAAGCAATGTCATTTGTAAATATTTGTTAATGAGTTTAGTGAAGTGCTACATGGAGGAATGATCTAGCCAATGAGAACAATGTGCACCAGCCAGTTGGATTCTTGAAGCTGCAGAGACTTCATCTTCAGCCACAGCAGGTGGCTGAGGGCTAGAGTTACTTGGGACTTTCCCCAATGCTCTAGTTCCTTCTATCTCTTGGAAACAAGTCTGGCTCAATATGTTCAGCAGCCCCATTGATGTTGCCCAGAGGAAGTGTGGATCAGGGCTCGCTGACCCCAAGGTTAGCAGCAGAAGAGCAGGGCCTCTGCCTCCCCAGCCAGGAAGCCCACAGTCTTGGCCACATGAATGAAGGAGGTCTTGGCAGCATCTGACACACCTCGGGGTAATGATTTAGCCACCCCAAATTACCGTGTCTCCACAAAATAGTCACTTGGGGCCACACTACATTGTGGAGAGATAATGAAAGAGCTTCTATTTTTGAGCTATCTTTTCCTCATATGCGAATAATTTCACACACAAAAAAATGAGAAAACCACTTCTCTCTGTCACCTACAGAATCAGGAACAGGGATCAGATTATCTTTTAGATACCCGCCCCAAAAAGAAATAAAAATCAAGAAAACATGGGTAAATACCATGGTGGACATTTAAATGAAGCTGAGAAAGAAAGCTTTCTCTATTTAGAGAAGAATTCAAAATGGATGGCAGGAGATTTGTTGAAAATAAGGAAGAGGGAGGGAAAGGTTAGTAAATAATAGGTCAAATCTTCAGCCTAGAGGGCACTACTAAGTTTTCTTTTGTTCCCCCTTAGGTTTCCTGGTGTAGCAGTGCAGTTGCAACGTAGTTTTGTTTTTTGGGTTTCTTTAAACCTAGAGTGGTAAGAGGGACTTGGTGGCGATGGACTGCCATGGGTCGGTTCCTTAGAGGGCTCTTGAGTTTTTCCCACCTGTCTCCAACTCCAGGGCCACCACTCTAATAAAGCCACTGCCATCTCTGACCAGCTCCCCTGCTGTGGCTTTCACTCTTGCTCTCTTTACAGCCCATTCCACACAGCAGCAGCCAGCATGGCACTTCCCGTTCTGGGCCCCTCCCACTGACTGCACCCTGTGCTTGTCCTTCATAGTGTGTAAAGATCTGTATGTGGGGTGATTTGACTAACGGTTCTCTCCCCTTAAGTATAAGTAAACCTATGAGGGCAAGGACTGCTTACCTTAGCATCCTTGGTTCCTGGTAGGATGCCCATCCCATAACAGGCTGGAGCTCCTGGGTGTGTGGGAGGGAGTAGGAAGGAAGCAACAGCTGCCAATCAAAGGCCCATTTGGGCATGTGACCCTTAGCTAGCCAATCAGAATCCTTTCCAGGGTTGTAGCAGTTGAAGCTGTGAGCAGCTCAGTTGGTTGGGTTGTCTGTCTTGTCTTGGCTTGGATTCTCCCAGAAGGAGATCCTGAGTCAATGATTCGGGTGCAAGTAGATTTCTTCTGGGAGCCTTTCTTTAATAAAGCACTTGCACCTGAGTCATTGACTCAGGATCTATTTCAGGATCTCCTTCTTGAGGGAGAGGGCGAAACAGGATCCAGAAGAAGCAAAGCAATGGAGCAGGCATGGCATCAGGAAGAGGACAGGGAGGCTGCCGTAAGCCCAGCAGGCTCCCTTTCAGGCTGTTAAGGAGGGGGATGAGTACGAACATGAAGGTGGCCCAAGTAGCTCTAAGGTCCCTTCTCTCATCTCCTGTCCTTACCGGGGGCCGTAGGCTCTAGATAAAACGCTGCCCCACCACCCGCCAGGGCTTTTGTTTTGGCTCACCTTTCATCCGCCTTCTCAGACTCTGTCTGCCTTGGCTTCCCTCAGCTGAACCCAGGGAATTTGCATTTTGCTATTTTCCATCTGCACTGGGTAGCCTGGCTCCAGATGTTTGGGGCAGCAAATGCAGAAATTCCAGGCAAACGGATCTGATCATTCTCTGCTTGGCTCCACTCGCTGCATCCCAAGCACCAGATGCCTCACTGGTGTCTGCCTACCTTCCTGGGAGGCAGATCCACCGCTCATAAGATAGAGCCCAACGACAAGACCCTGTACTTATGGAGGCCTTTTATTTAACAACTCATTTCATTGAAGGAAAAATCTAGAATCTACTAAGACCTCCTGATATTTTTTAATTAACTAGAAATTGTGGATGTATCCCTCAATATTTTCATCTAAAGTGGTTGAAATGATAATGGAGGGGAAACTGTGTTTTAAAAGCGTGTTACTCCATTTCTTTCATTCACCTCCATCAATGATAATATGAGTTATCACTCTTAATATTAACCACGTGGCAGGCTTCATGCATTCTCACATACATTTCACCCTAAGGCCTGGAGAAGATAATTTCACCAAAGTCACACAGGTAGTACATGGAAAGGTGTAAATTTGAACCTGGATCTTACTGCAAACCCATACTCTTAACTGCTTCATTCAACTTTTGCCAGCAATCATTTGTCATAGACTAAATGCCAGAACCTAAGCCCAAGATTTTGCAGTATACAGAGGAGAAACTGGATGTCTTTTGAAATGCTTCAGAATGGTTTCTATAGTACATATCTGAGCAGCACTCCATGACCAAAGGATGCCAAATCCTTTGCCCCTTGTATTACACTTCATTCATTAGTTCATTCATTCATTCAACAAATGCTTATAAAGCACTCCTGTAAGGCATTATTCTAGGCACTGAGTGTTTGTTATTGAACAAAAAGGACAAAAAATACCTCACTATTCTCAGAGTTTACATTCAGGGATGCAAGAAGGAGCGTGAAACAGGAGATAGGCAATAAACATTAAAAAATTAAGAAAATTTTGTAATATGTTAAGAGGTGATCACTATGGAGAGAAAAAGCAAAGTAAGTGAAATCAGAAGTGCAATTTAAATTAGGGTGGTCAAGTCAGGACTCCCTACGAAGTTGACTTTTGAGCAGAGTGCAGGAGGTGAGGGAGTGAGGCATGTGGCTATCTTGAGGAAGAGTGGTCCAAGCAGAGAGAACAGCCAGTGCAAAGGCCCTGAGGCCCATCCAAGGAACAGTGATAAGACTGGTGTGGCTAGAAGTGAGGGTAATAAGAGACAATGACACAGAAGTAACAGTAGCCAAAAGGCCAGAAATAAGAGGCACTATTTTTATGTCTTGGTCTCTTGAAGGATCAGTAATGTGGTGGTTTCCCCAACACCTGCTAAGCCCTCAAGGTCTTTATATATGCACCATTTTCAGGATTCCAAATGAAAAGAACAGTATGGTCCCGATGGTACCAACGGAGTAGCTTCAGCTGCTCATAGAGCTATTCCTATCCCATTCACCCCACTCCAACACCCACACTCCTCAATTCAGTCTTTCAAGAAGCTGGGGTGACCAGAAACCAGAAGAGGCAAAATTTCCCACCCGTCAGGCCATCTGCAGCTGCCACCTCTGCATGCCTTTCTTCCCCACAGAGCCTGAGACCCTCATTCCTTCCCTGAGAAAGTGCCCTCCAGAGTCTACTTACCCTCCTAAGAACAGCGTATCAGTGAGTGAAAAAATTGGTTTCGCAAAATTTTTTTACAAAGTACTTTATCCAAGTAAGGGAGGCTGAATTTCCACTGAGAGCTAACGTCACTAGTCAGAACAGTAGCAAAATGTACCAAATCTTAGGGACAGGCTAGCACATAATGAGCAAATGAGTAAGAAATCAGGGGCCTTGGCCGGGGGCGGTGGCTCACACCTGTAATCCCAGCACTTTGGGAGGATGAGGCGGGCGGATCACGAGGTCAGGAGATCGAGACCATTCTGGCTAACACGGTGAAACCCCGTCTCTATTAAAAATACCAAAAAAAAATTAGCCGGGAGTGATGGAGGGCACCTGTAGTCCCAGCTATTCGGAGAGGCTGAGGCAGGAGAATGGCGTGAACCCGCGAGGCGGAGCTTGCAGTGAGCCGAAATCGCGCCACTGCAATCCAGCCTGGGCGACAGAGTGAGACTCTGTCTCAAAAAAAAAAAAAGTCAGGGGCCAAGGGCAATACCTAGTGAGGCGCAAGTTTGGGTTGGGTCTAGTGGTATGAGGGCAGTCTCCTTGGGAATCTGAACTTGTGCCAGAGGACGGGCTCCTGTTGTTTAAGGGCTCTGTACCAGGCTGGACAGATGTGGCTGTATGCAAATCTCACTGCCGTAAGTACAGGCCACCAGTGCCAACGTAGGGGGAAAGCAGAGCTTTGTTTCCCATGGCTTTGTAGAGTGATATTGCCACACGTCAGTGAAGAATCCTTATTCACACAAACACATTAGCCCCACTGCGACTCTCACTTGAGGGAACGTAACACAGCCCATCTCATCGTTTCTGTTTGAGATTCAAGCTGAACGTGAACGTGACCCAGCATTTGCAGTCGTCCACAGCAAGAAGTCAAGGTCTTTAACCGTGAGGTCAGAGACTCGAGGTTGAATCCCAGTTCTGCCACGGAGCAGCTGGATGGCAAGTTACCTTAAATTCTCAGAGTCCCCTTCTTGTAGAAAAATGTGGCTAAAATCATACCTCGAAGGATTGTCATGAAGATGAAACAGGCTGGCCCATAGCACCTACTCAGATAAGCCCTTTTGGAAGAACATCATTCAGAATAATCTGTGGGCTGCAGAATTAGATGGCACATTTGAGAAACTGAGGGAAAATATGGAAATGTCAATGATAATCTCCTCAGAAACATATGATTTACTTTCAACTCCACTCTTAGACTCCTGAACATCCAAGGGAAAGTGGGATATTCAGCCCTCAACCAAAGACTTTGCAAGAATGTCTCCATACAATTCCAAGCAAACCCCAATTTAGACGTCCTTTCTTTTGCTGAGCATATTTTATGGAGAAAAAGACACAAATAAATTAAAAGTTTATTCAGATACACCATTCTCTAAAATGACCCTTTGGAAAAGATAGCAAGGAAAAATCTTTAGGTAATATTTCTTTCCTTGACATTAATTCACATAACATAAAATACTTGATTTCAAAATATTCCCCACCCAAAACGATTAAAGGCACCTTTAGCCAATGTTTGTTTAAAAGTCACCTATTTCTTACAGTTTTAGACCTTTATAAAGATATTTTATGTGGAAAAAAGGATTCCAACATTTACTGGTTAATATTTTGGCAAGAAATGTCAGAAAGATCTTGAGTAAATTCAGGTTTTTTTCCTCTTCAGTTCTTCTTAACACTCTGAAAGACATGAATGATTTCTAGGATTTACCACCAGAGGGCACTAATGCAAAACTGAGTCACAGAGTCGCATACAGTGTATTTGGCCTCGCTGTCACCGAAATGCTTCTTTTTAAATAAAATGCTCCCCTTTTATTTAAGCAAAACTTTGAATACAAATGCCTCACATTAGCACTGACTGAAAGCAAAATGTCTGACCACATGCAATCATTAATATAAAAGCATATTATTCGGGAATACTATACATAAGTTGTTTTCTTTTTAAAAGTAGCAGTTTATAAAATTAAAAATAGGGTGAACTGAGAACATCTTCAGAATAACCATGCCCTCATCTCTTGGACTTGTTTCTCTGAGTTCTCTAGTTCTCACTGTCTGTACCACTCCTTTGGGTTTTGCATTTAATAAGCTCCAATGAGGCTGTACTGCAAAGAACAGAGTAGCTAGACCAGATTTGGATTTGAATCCCAGCTTTTCCACATAATAGTTTTGTGACCTGGAGAAGGTCTCTGTGCCTCAGTTTCCCCACCTGTACAATGGAAGCAGTTAGAGCTGGCAGAGCTGTGGTAAGGTGTAAGAGATTATGGTTACAAAGTCCCTAGAACATTCTGGGTGCCTAATTCAATGCTGACATTTCGTGGGATTATATGTGGGATTCCTGTACATGAAGATGCTAAGAAAGAAGTACTATTATTATTCCTGCATGACAGACACGGAAACTGAGGTTAAGTAATATCCCAATGGTCACAGAACTAGTAGTGAGCAGGGAGAGTTACAAAGCTCATGTTACTTTGACTTTCCACACTGCTTGCCCTCGAAGGGTAGATGATGGGTGGGCGGACATTGTATGTTAAGCTTCTTTGCACCTGCAGGGATGACACACATGATAGGTTTTCAATGAATGCACGGTGAAGATGATGAATATGCATATGTGTCAGATTCTGAAAAAAAAAAAAAAAAAAAAAAAAAGGGAGGGAGTAGATACAATTGCTCTGAAAGATCAAAAGAGCTTTACCAAAGCACAGTATTGTTATCATCATTATTATTATCATTATCACAATGATTAAATGCATCACCAGTTTGGCAGATTGCAGGATAATGATATGCAGAGAGTGTCATTTAGCCTAAAAGGTGATACCTTCCCAGGAAAGGGAAAGAAAGGGGAGCTGAGATGAGGCCCAGGGAGCTCAGAATTTCTGAGGCAAGAGAGGAGCTGGGCCTGTGCAGGGAGAAGGACCAAAGGGGGCACTGGGCACCTCGCAGGTGAACTGGTCGAGGGTCCAACAGGTAGCCACACCTGGATGAAGAAGGGCATGCAGTAATAGGGCACCAGAAGCATATTCTGCTAACAGTGTGGCATATCTATAGGGGAATATCTTTCCCCAGCCAGCCCCAAAGAACAGTCTGAACTTGACGTGGCTTCAGTCCTGGAGCCAGCAGGGAGATGTAATCATTGTTGGTTTCCTGGCCTCTGCATCCATCCCTGTTCCTGTCCCCATCATAGTTCCTTGCTATCAGGGACTGTGTCTAGCCTGTCTTAGTATCCCCAATGCCAAGCCTAATAGCTTGCTCAGTAACTCTCTACAGCCTGAAAAATGAAGGGCCCCACGCTCTCCACCACCACCCCAGAAGGAGGCCTTACCAGCATCTGTCCTAAAGCATCAATGTCAAGTGCTTTCGGCTCCAGCACCCTCAGAGCTCTGAGACCAGTGTTTTCTGGCTACACAGGCAGTAAGAAGCACAGGCCTGCTGCTGCTTACAGCAGGCCAGACAGAAGCTAATTACAGCAACCTGAACTTACCATGACTAACATGCTTATTTAATTCAAGTGTTTGTTTGTTGACCTCCAGAAATCAAATATAGAGGCCTCACGGGCCAGGCCACCACTGGCGCCCTGGGAGCGAGGTCTGTGTGCAGAGCAATTACACAGGCCTGCAACCAGGCAGGGGTTGGGTTGCATGGTGATACCTGGAACATTATCCACTCTGGAAAGATGTCAGTTCTGTGGGGAATGTGGTTCAACCTGGGCAGAAAATGAAAGGCATGAAGCTGTCCATGAAGCCTCTTAGCCAGTGACGGCTCTCCTGCAGGAAGACTAATTTGTGGAAATAATAACAGCCCCCTTCACCAAATACCTACTATGTATCAGGTCCTTTATGTACATGATTACATTTATTTATCCCATCTTTGTGAGACAGATATAATTATTGCAATTTTACAGGTAAAAAAAAATTGAGTTTCTTAAGCAAGGACCAGGTTAAATAACTTTCCCAAGGTCAGACTGTAATGGTAGTAACAGTAACAAATATTTTCAGGGTGTTTGCAATAATTCTGAGCTGAGAACTTCATATAATACCATTTAGTACTCATAGGAATCCTATGAGGTAAGGATTATTATTAACTCCATTTTCCAGATGAGGAAACTGAGGCTTGGGGGGGTGGTTGAGTAACTTGTCCAAGGTCACAAACAGCTATGATATGGCAGAGCCAAGGTTCCTATGATGATAATAATAGCTAACATTTAAGGCAGGTACAATGCGCCATGGCTTTTGTCATTTCAGTCTTCACAACAACCTTGTGAGGTGGGAATCGGTATCCTTATTTTACAGATGAGGAAACTGAGGCTTAGGAAGATTAAGTAATTTTTCTAGGGATTAAAGATTTTGACACAGTCTTACCCTAGCACTCTAGCCTGAAATCACTATACTATGGGGCTCCCTGGGCTGGAATTTCATTAGAGCATAAGGAGTGAAACTAAGATTCAAACCCAGTCTGTGTGGCTTCAAAGCCTGTAATCCTTCTGGCTCAACATTATACAATTCTCCAAATGAAGCTTTTGTCTGAAGGGCAGCAATTGTTCTTTAAGTCCAAGCATATCGGCACAGGTTGCTCTGACCTATGGGCAGTTAAAACAAGCTTTCGAAAGACTGAAGGCACATGGAGGTAGAAGGAGACTGGAATAAGAAGGGAAGGATGAGGCTAGAAGTTAAAGCAGGTCACTCAAATCAGCAACCAAGCACCCCCATCCTGAACAGAGGCAGCGAGATTCCATCCAAGCATGGGCACTTGGAGCAGACTTCAGTTACTGATAATAACGATGTTAATGACTACTAATATTTACTGAGCATTAACTAGGTACCAGACACTGTTCTAAGTCTCTACATGCCTTTCTTATCTATTGTATCTCTATTTTACATACAAGCCAACTGAGGCTCAGGGGCCTGGAAGACCTGCCCAAAGGTGACTCCAGCAGGAAAGGCACAAAGCCAGCACCCAGATCTGAATCTCACTCTAGAGCACCCAGGCTGGGTTCTTTCTGCCACTTATGTCACCATGACCCCATGGTCATGAGCTAATATAATGCCTCAGTTAATTAGACTTCTTCATCTACAAAAGGAGTTCATAAGTTTCTCTTCTTTTAATAGGGAGGGAATGTATGAAGGCAGTTCTTTAAAAATATATATATATATCCCACAGGTATTAAAGTTTTCCAAGCTGTCACTAAATAAATGATACTCCTGTTACAGGAAAGAGGCAGGACCTTTAAAGAAGACAGCCACAGCTTCAACACAGCATCAAAAAAGATACATTTCCATTGTTTGTTTATTTTTAAAACAGAGTCTCACACTGTCACTGGCTGGAGTGCAGTGGCTCGATCTCAGCTCACTGCAACCTCCACCTCCTGGATTCAAGTGATTCTCCTGCCTCAGCTTCCCGAGTAGCTGGGATTACAGGTGCACACCACCATGTCTGGCTAATTTTTTTGTATTTTTAGTAGAGACGGGGTTTTGCCATTTTGGCCATGCTGATCTCAAACTCCTGACCTCAGGTGATCCTCCCACCTCGGCCTCCCAAAGTGCTGGGATTACAGGCATGAGCCACTGCACCAGGCCTCTCCATTGTTTATTGTAATCAATTAAACCCAAAAAACATGAAATGGAATTGTATCACTTTTCATGAAAATATACTAGTTACACACCACACACACACACACACACACACACACACACACACACACCCCTTCACTACCCTATAATTAATGGAGATTTCTCCCTGCAAGGAAGTGGTCAGATCTGTGTGAACCGGGTAGTGTGAAGTTAAGTTCCAAGGTATGTATAATGTGTTGTAATTCCTCTACTCTCCATACGCTGTTTTTGTCCCCAAAGAATCAGGGAGTTCCTGGGGAAATCTCTAAAAGACTCAACAGGACTGGGAACAAATCTCACTGCTTTGTTGAGTACTTCCAACATAGTCATTAGTCATGAGTCAAGGACCCAGCAGGTAGCCACACCTGGATGAACAAGGCAGGCAGTGACAGGGCACCAGAAGCATACTCTGCTAACAACGTAACTTCTTCTATATAGAGCACAATTTAAAAGTTGTTTCAGGCTGGGCGCGGTGGTTCATGCCTGTAATCCCAGTGCTTTGGGAAGCCAAGATGGGAGGGTGGCTTGAGGCCAGGAGTTCAAGACCAGCCTGGGCAACATACTGAGACCTCATCTCTACAAAAACCATTTTTAAATTAGCCTGGTGTGGTGGCACATGCATGTAGTCCCAGCTATTTGGAAGGCTGGGTTGGGAGGATCACTTGAGCCCAGGAGTTGGAGGCTGTAGTGAGTCGTGTTCATGCCACTGCACTCCAGCCTGGGCAAGACAACGAGACTCTGTCTCAAAAAAAAAAGGGCTCTTTCTCCTCAGCAGTCTCTCCCCCAATAGAAAGAACCAAAAGGTTTGTGTTAATTTAATACCTTCACTTGAACTCAGGAAACACATTTTAATTCATATTTGCCTGCCTCAGAGTCACAATGTCAAGAAAAGAAAATGCTAGCAAATATTACTTCCAAATTAATTATTTCTGAATGTTTTCTTATATCACTAGAATCTCATTATGATTATAACAAATGTAAGCTAAGGTCCACATATTAATATTTAACTGTTCTGTGCAATGGGTTTATTACTCCAAATACTGCTAAATCCCCAAAGATTGCTATTTAGTTAAATGCAGAGAAGTCTTCATAGAAAGATTTCTAATTCATCATTTCTAGGCCAAGAGTCTCTGAGGTCTCATTTCCATTTAGAAAATGCTACTGCCACGAAAAGAAGAATTGATGAAATCAAATGGCTATCTTCCCTAAGACAGACTTGCTGGTACTTGAACCCTGGATTTAGGGCATAGATCAAAAGAGCACCCTATCTACCGGGAAGCCCCCCTTCCTCCACCACCTTGAGCACACACCCACCAGCAGCATCCTTTAATTTTTCAATTCTATATAGAGATATTGCTGGGCTATTGGAACTGCAGTACTTAGAATTCTTACAAACACATTTCTTCATCCCATCTACCACCTTGGCAGAAGTTCTTGGAAAACTGATGATGTAAATTGGTGCTAAGACCTTGTGAGCACATTAAGGCTTGTCATGGAAAAATGGGTGCAGCGTTATTAAGTCCGAGAGATAGTTCCAGCTTCTGGTCCTCATGTCAGGTTTCCACATCTAACGAGCTAACAGGAGTGACTAACCTCTGGGGTGCAGTGTTGGACAACTTAAAACAGAACATTAGCCCTGGTCCCCATCTCGCCCATACCCATTCTGCTCCTGACATAGTTTACCTTAGTTCAAAGGACTAAAAGACTTTGCCTTTAAAAAGGCATCTTTGATAGAGCAAAATTTGTTTATTGAGCATTCTATCAATCAGATAACTTTATGGTAACTGGCCTGTCTACAAATGCGTAATGATTATTATTATTTACAATTATCATTTTTTAGCTCCTCTGATCCTGATCCTCAGTGACCAGGTCCTGTGGCTTCTGTTTCCAAAGTCCCTCTGGCTGTACAACCCCTGTTTTTCACAGCCTGTCCTTAGATGAGGACTTCATCCTCTCTTGCCAGGTCTACCATCATCGTCTCCTAACTGATGTTCTCGCCAGCCCATTTCATACATTACACCATGCCTTATCATCTGCCTGAAAGCACAGGTCCGGTTTTTGTCATTCCTCTGCTTAGAAGCCTTCAGTAGCTCCTACAGCCCTTCATACTCCTTGATCTGCCATTGACTCCTGTCCACCAAATGGTACCCAACCTCCGCCTTTGCAAACTCATCCTCCAGTGTCTCCTTCACATGTCTCCCTGTGACTTCCTATCTTTCCCCCTTGAGTCCAGAGATGTCAAATCACCCTCCTGTTTCCATCTCTGCCTGTGAGTATTCTACCCTCATCTTTTCAAATGCTACCTTCTTCATGAAGGTTTTCCTCACCTCACTTCACCCATTCCTCTCACCAAACACACACACAAAGATGACCTGGTCCTCTCTGAACCCCCTTTGCACTCTGCACATTTCTAAAGATGTCATCCTCTAGCCAGTATTAGAGCTGGTAGTGAACTTGCCCTAACCACAAGCACCTTACAGGGTCACATTCAAATTCGCTTTCCTCCAATGTTTAGGACAATGCTCTAAGCACATACCAAATAATCAGGAAACATTAGTGTGTGCATTCATTCAAACAATATACCTTCATTTTGCTTTCAAAAAATTGGAAAGATTTTTAATTTTTACATTTGCAAAGAAAAGAATTTTAAGAGATAGCACTGTGCTAAAAGGTTTAATAGTATATGATATCATTCAAAATAAAATATTTAATCAATGGATCCACCTTGCCCGTAAGTGAGCCAATCCTGCAGATTTGACAATTCAAACATGTGACCTTGTGAATGCTGCTAGTAAATATAGCTCAGCGGTCTGAAGCCAGCCTTACATGTGGTCTCCATCTCCAATCCTTTGTCCCTTTTCTCCATGGAGCTTCTTTATAAGCTTTTTTTTTTTTTTTAACTCAAGTTGGTGCTGAATTTTTGGCACTTACAGATCTATCACTCCAAAAAGGAAGCTCAAAAAGTAATAAGCAGGCCCAGATTTATGTTCAGTGCCCAAAAAATATGCAATTTCTCCACTTTAATCTGATCCAGCCAAATGGCCAGTCCAATGTGCAACATATGTCCAGCCAACTGGTTGGAGTCCATGCATTTAGTTCCTTCTGTAGATTAATGAGATTATGGCATTGTTAAAAAGAGACAGAAAATGCTAATTTGACATCTACCATGATATACTTTACAGTTTGGGGGGTTTCTGCATTTTAAGACATTTTTAATTACTTTGTTATGCTGTGCCAATGAGGACCATATGCCCATTCTTGTCCCTCCACGCTGTCTCCATAGTCACCTGCACATTCCCAGGCAGCGCAGACTGTCCAGACCTTGCTATCACAGCCTCTGTCTAGGAGAATCAAAAAGCAGCCTTCTCCTTACACTGGTGCATGCACCTTCTGGTTAAAGCTGTTTCAGAAGAAAATAAAAGTCACCTACATGTTCAGAGCTATAGAATGAACTGACCATGAAAAGAAAACTTACTTCAAAACAATAGGCGTTCACTTGGTTGCAGAAGAAAGCCAGCCACATAGCAGTAGAAGCACTCACCAAAGGTACACTAACCTGTGACTTGGCAAAAATTGGAACTTTTGCTCATGTGATATACATTATCTGCATTTAAAAAAATAATTTATGAGGCGGCTGTGGGCTACTACGCTGCCCCAAAAGGTTGTTGGAGATGATTGATATAACACATGCTAACATACAGGATATTATTCTGTCCTTTGCAAATATTTCTGAACACCCCCAAAAACTTGAACAAAGCAGAATTGGATCTTCCTCCGTTGATCCTCAGGGGAGCCCTCTCCACCATACTCATCTCCTTGTATGGAGATGGACTTCACATGGACGGAGTGCTGAGGCTGAAGGGCAGCACCGCTGCTCACTTCAAAACATTTTCTAAAAGTCCACTTGGACTGACAGCTAGAATTCAAAAAATAAAAATTAAAAATTACCCATGCTAAATCATGAATACTAGCAGTAGCCTGCCACTTATGAAGCACCTACTAAGTGCCAGCCGTCATTCTACAGGCATTACCTCTATCAACTCATTTAATCCTTATACTTATCCTATGATTATTAAATAGATACTGTTATCATCTCTTTCTCACAATTAAGGAGACAGAGGCACAGAAATGTTAAGTAATATGCCCAGTGTCACCCAGCTAGAAAGTGCTACAGTCAGCATATGAACTCCAGAAGTCTGGGAGAGACTGCACCCTTAGCCACTATATTATATGAAAAGAAAAATATGAACAAAGACAACCATCCTACTGAAAATAGAAAGATGGAACGAACAAGCTTATTTTTCCAAATTCTCTTGAGCAATTATTGAAAATGTTTTGTTTACTATGAAAGAGTTTTAACATTTTGGGGTTCCAAACTATGAAATAACGGCATATAGATTGAGTTAAACATTGGCACGATGGCAGCCCTGCGCTGAGGAGGTATACGGGAAAACAATGCAAAACAAAACACAAGCATATGCACCTCGAATCCACCCGGCAAGAACACAAATGGCAGGGAAGAGAACGCGAGCCTCTTCTCTTCCCTACCCAACACCTGTTCCTCTTACCAGATGGGAACCTGCTTCCTGTTCCCGGAAGGCGATAGAAGGCCCCCAGATCCAGGTGGAGCCAGCAGCTCCCCCACCACTTGGAGGCAGCCAGGCAGTTTCTTGGCACAGATCTACAGTGAACAGAAATGTCAGTCCCAGGTAAAGGGTGCGGGAGTGGCCGGGAGGCAGGAGTGCTGTCACAAACTGCTCTTTGGCATCAGCATCTCCCACCCAGGAAGAAGAGGCTGCGGACACGCTCTCTTCTAGTGCTGCTGGAGGCCCAGGGCAATAGAAAACAGTAAGTCCAGGAGGAATTGGCAGAAAAAGTGAGTAGGCCAGTAAGCCTCCACCTCTCCTTCTCCACATCTTAGGATGGTTCCTGGTAGCATAGGCCAGTGGCCATGGGATGAGCTTTAGTGTTAGACTGAACCTCGGATCAAATGCCAGGTGTGCCACTTTCTGGCTATGAGACCTTGCAAAAGTCATTTAACCTCCTTCTACTTTGTTCACCACTACCTTCATCCTCTTCCTGGTTGCCTTGAGATCAAGTCTACGCTTTTTATTTTATTTTATTTTATCTTATTTATTTTTTTGAGACAGGGTCTCACTCTGTCACCCAGGCTGGAGTACAGTCACACAAACACAGCTCACTGCAGCCTCAATCCCCTGGGTTCAAGCCATCCTGCCAACTTCATCCTCCCAAGTAGCTGGGACCACAGGCATGTGCCACCGCACCCAGCTAATTTTTTCTTTCTTTCTTTCTTTTTTTTTTTTTTTGGAGAGATGGCGTTTCACCATGTTGTCCAGGCTAGTCTCAAACTCCTGGGCTCAAGTGATCCTTGTGCCTCAGCCTCCCAAAGTGCTGTGATTACAGGCATGAGTCACTGCACCCAGTCTAAACATCCTCTGAACTAAGCTTTTTATAATCCATAGGTTCAGGCACCTGCTTACCTCTTCAGCCTCATTTCTCGTCCCATATCTATATTCCAGGGACCATTCTAGTTCTCACCTCTGGACCTTGCTCATTCTGTTCCTTCTGCCTGGAACACTTCCTGCCCCTTTTTTTTTTTTTTTAAACTGATCCAACCTACTCACCTTTCAGGTCTCAGTGAATGTCACTTCCTCCAAGGAGCCTCCCTGCCTGTCTCCTCTGTGCTCTTATAGCACCAAATACTTACTCTTAGGGAACATTTATAACCCTACATTGTAAAGCTACATTGCAATGTAGCTGTGATGTGCACTTATAAACAAGCGCATTGTAATAGCCTGTCTGCTGCTCAGTGTATCACTATACTGTGTGCTCCTAATGGGAAGAGGACAACTTTTAACAGCACCCTATTAAACTATCGCTCTTACCTCTTTTATGTTTCTCTTTCCTGCTAGATTGTAAGCTCCACGTGGCCAAAGACTACATGTGTCTTGCCACTTTTGTATCCCCAGAGCCTAGCATATAGGCTGGGCTAGCATATAGCACAAACTTAATGAATATGGTTGACTAAAAGAATAAATAAACCTCTCTACACCTCAGTTTCCCCATCTGTAAAATGGTGTAAAACAATATTCATCTCGAGAAGTACGTATGTGAGAATTAAATGAGCATGTACAAAGCCCCTGAGACGTAGCAGAAGTCAATAAATGGCAGCTCTACCGTCCGTTCATCCATTCAGCCTACATGCATGGTTCCAATCACCCTTTAAGTCCTAGGGAAAATTTGCATTTAGCATTTTGTCCACATCCCATCTCAGAAATATAACTCTTGCCCTAAAAATCTCTAGAGAAGATGCCACACTTCTCCCTCTGGTGACTACCTGTGTTTCCGAGTCCTTTGTTAGTCAATCAGCCAATAATTATGTCAAAATCATCGACGTATGATAGATATTCAACTACAGTATTTACAGAGTTCTTCGATATCCAGAATAAGAAAATCTTGCACAGAACCATCAGAGAGTCATTTCCAAGAGTCGTTTATTCATGAGCCTCTCTCTCTCTCTCTCTGATACACACAATCTCCAGGATACTAGAAAGTTTTCAAGGGACAGTGAGTTATCCCATAGATGAATTCATTCCCCATCCACTGCGGACTCACCTGATGCGAGCTAGATGCTGAGGCAGAAAGACTAAGATAGAGACAAGATAGAGACAAAAATAGAGAACTTCCTTTGGGAGTTCCCAGTCTATTGGAAGGAACAGGCACGTAAAAAAATAATCTGCATAGTAAATGGACTGACAATGGAACGCTGGGTAGTACCGCAGGCTCCCAGAGGAGGGAGCTAGAGAACAACCTAGTCAGATCCTAAAATGGCCCCTACCAGTAGGCTCTAACAAGACTTTTTGCCACATCTTCCACCCCCTTGCTCTCATTCTGTCTCCTGTGAAGATGGAGAACAGTTCATCAGCATCTTCCTGATAATAACTGCCTCAATCCATCATAAAGGCCAGCCCTAAGGAACACAGAAGTCACCAAGTTCACGGACCCTGTCTGAATATCTCACTGTCACAGAAGTCTATAAAAGATAAGACTTGGAATCTGACCGGTTGAGCTAATGGGGGATTTCCAAGCACTAGCTATTCCACCCTTTCATAGATAAGCTCTTTGTGGGTGGTGGTGAGAACACATCATTCTATTTGTTTCTTGTGAGGGCTACTTTGAGCACTGACTTGGTCTTCATGGCACTTTATTTTATGTCCTGAAAAACAGGACCCAACTGAAATTCAGAATCATTACTAAATGCAAAGAGAGAGAGAGAAGCATGAATTATAAGTGCAATAAAATCTCATTTTTTTTTCTGTGTTGCTAATGAGGAGGAACACATTTCTTTCTGTTCTGAGCATGCTTTCAGAGGGAGGCACATGGAGGAATCCACTGCCAGAGACAGTCTTAAGAACAGGTGGCAGAACAGTCCTCGAACAGCTGTGAGCCGGGTGCTCAGAAAGGCATCTTTGACCACCTCCCTGTCGCACAAGCCCTGCTCTGGACACCAGAGTCCCTACCACAGGGAGCCTCCTGAGATACAGAGCACTGTTACTGGGGGAGGATAAACTTATGCTTCCGTCCACAGTATCACATTTCTGATGACGACTAACTACCACCCAGAACAGATCCAGATAATGAGGGGCTGGGAGACAGACCTGGTAAAATGTAAGCAATGGAATAAGCTGGCAGCAGGGAGTGCCCTCAGCTCAAACGGGGTGGTGATCCAAGGGCACAGGTCCCTGGAGAAGTGTGTTAGCTCGCTAGGGCTGCCTAACAAATACCATAGACTGGGCGGTGTAAACAACAGAAACTTACTCTCTCACAATTCTAGAGGCTAGAAGCCTGAGATGGGGTTGGTCTCTTCTGAGGCCCCTCTCCTTGGCTTGCAGGTGGCCAGGTTCTCCCTGTGTCTTCATATGGCCTTTCCTCTGTGTGTGTCTTCGTCCTAATTTCTTCTTCTTATAAGGACACCAGTGATATTGGATTAGGGCTTAATTATTTAACCTTAATTATTAACACCTCTTTAAAGGCCCCATCTCCAAATACAGTCATATTCTGAGATACTGAGAGATAGAATTTCAACTTGGGACACAAGTCAGCCCATAAGAAGGAGTGGGACAGGAAACATGGGATGAAAAAGGAGGGACGCTGCTGGAAAGCCACCAGTGCAGGCACTCACACGAGTTTGACCATATGGAAGGCTTCAGGGCAGAGATGAAGGGTCACAGCTGCCACCTCTCCACTGATGACTTTCAAACCTAATTATTCAACTATGACCGCTCCCTTGTATTCCAGTTCCACGTTTCCAATGGGCTACTGGACACGCGCCACCGGTATGTCCTGCCAACATTTTAAACAAATACAGGAAAATGCAAATAGAACTCATTTCTGATTTCTATTATTGTCATCACTAACCTTCCAGGAATTTTTCATTCCTTCCCTCTCCCTGCAAATCTAAAATATCACCAAGGCCCTTTGCTCTTGCTTTCTTGTGTCTCTTGATCCATCTCCTTTCCCCAGGCTGATGGTTACTACATCTCCTCTGGTCATTATTATCCAGACCACTGAAAATATCTCCTAACAGGCCTCATGCCTCCAGGCTCTTTCACCACCAATTCATCTACATCTACTACTCCTGGAGTAATCTTTCTAAACACTGCTATTAAAACTACCTCTGCTCTAAAACCTTCCATGTCTCCCCATTATTACTGGAAAAACTTTTAACAATACAACCTAGTATTCTAGGCCTCTATCAGTCTGGTCCCTTCTAGTCTGACAGCCTACTCTTCCCCTAAACATTCTGGGGAAAAGTGGAAACGAATGAACAAAACCCCTACACAAACCTTCCATTCCACAAAAGAATAAGTCAATCTTCTTATTTACGGCCTCCTTGTAATATGCCACGTAGATGCTCATGTGCCCAACATTTTCTCCTCTGCCTTTCTAAATTCAACCTGTCTTCTAGTTCCCATCCCATCAATAGTGCCTCCTCCATTCCTGACCTTTCTTGATTGTTAAAAATATCTTTTCCTACTTCTCTCAACAGCACTTACCCATTTAGCACTTCAGTGTGATATTTTTCTTATATTTTTTTCATATCTATTTCTGTGTGTCATCTTACCCCGCAACTACGTGTGTGAGTACGCCTTCCTCCCCAGGCTCCTCAAGGGCAGACACAATGCAAAACCCGTGATACTTAATAATAACCAAAACACTCATTGAATATTGATCACATGCCAGGCACTGTGTTAAGTGTTTTCCAGCATTATTTCATTTAATGCAAACAACAATTCAATAAGGTAGGTACTATTATTATCTCCATTATACAGATGAGGAGATTGTAGGTTGGAAAGGCTAAATAACTCTCCTAAAATGACATAACTAGTAAATGACAGAGCTAGGATTCACACACAGGTCTGCATGACCCAGAAGCCCCTTCTAATAGTACCTTTCACAGAGTAAGTGCCTTTCAGAGAATAAGTGCTGAGCATATGTTTGTGAATTAAGGCTATCCCTGTTACCAGAGCATTTGGGGTGTGTGGCAGGCAGAACAATGGCCCCCAAAGATGTCCACATCCTGATTCTCAGAGCCTGTGAATCTATTACATTACATTGCAAAGGGGGATTTAGGTTGCAGATGGAATTAAGTTTGCTAATCAGAGGACCTTAAAATAGGGAGGTTATACTGCAGTCTCTGGGAGGGCCCAACATAATCATAAGGGTCCTTAAAAGAAGATGAGGGAAGCATAAGAGAGACTCAGGAGTGATGCAATGCCTGCCTCTGCCTTGCTGACTTCAAAGATGGAGGAAGGGCCCATAAGCCGAAGAATCTGGAAGCCTCTGGAAGCTGGAGAAGAAAGGAAATGGATTTGCCCCTGGATCCTGCAGAAAGGGGCACAGTCCTGCAGCCTGACACATTCATTACCACCCAGCGAGACATATTTTTGTCAGATTTCTACCATACTGAAGTGTAAGATGATAAATTTGGTTGTTTTAAGCCACCAGATTTGTGGTCATCTGTTACAGCAGCAATAGGAAGCTAATTCCATGTGCAAAAATTCACAGCTAGCCCTGGATTATCCTGATGAATGGGCATTGCCCTGGTGAAAAATCAGTAGGCAGCTCTCTGTAGAACCCAAAAACCTGCCTTCCACCTCCATGGCAATTCTTCATAGGCAGAAACTGTACCACTCTCACCTGTTTCCTGGGCTGATCCTTTTCTACCCTGTCCCTGTGCTATTCTGAAAATAGCTTTACCAAGAAGGACATGAAACTGTGAGCAAAAGTCACACATTCATGACAAAATTCTCCCAGGAAGATTATCATTCCAATCAAAACATGTATGGTATCCTTTTAAAATATCATTACCCAGAGCTTTCATTCTGAAGCACTTCCCATATATTATTTTAGGTGTCTGTGCCAGCCCATAAGTGTGCATAAATGGCAGTTTCTAGTGCACACCGTGGTTTTTAGATTGCAGTTTTTGAGTTGATTCCAAGAATTTTACTCTTAAGAAGCCCAAATAGCACTGCAGACAAATGTATTTTTTGAAATAGTAGAAAAACTAACAGTTCAGAATTTTTGGACTAAGTAGCTGATAGAGAACAGGTTGGTAACAGGAGACTGGTGTAGACTCATAGACTCATACCCTTCTTGCTGAGCCATCCTCACCCTGTGGCTTGGCCTAATTGATTTTCTAGGATCTTTAACCACGTCTAGGCTGCGGATACACCTTGCATGGTGGCATGACTACATTGATGGAGTTAGAGCTGAGATCCACATTCCTATTTCTCATTTCCTGTCCAGCTGCCTTTGATGGATTTTCCTTAATCACCTGGACCCTCACAGCTCTGCCACTTTCCTTGCTAGTTCGGATTAGTTTGATGTTTATGTGTCTGTAATAATGGAAACAATAAAAACCACCAACCTCCCTGCTATTCTTCAGGTGCTTTACATACACATTATCATTTAACGTGCAGTTTAGTGCTGTGCTTACAGCATGGACTTTGGAACTAGACCACTTTGTTTCCAATCCTGGCCCTACCACTCATCAGCTTGTGTGACCGTGGGCACATTCATTAACATCTCTAGGACTCAGCCCTTCCATCTCCCTCTCCCACAAGCCCTGCTCTGGACACCAGACTCCCCACCACAGGGAGCCTCCTGAGATACAGATCACTGTTACTAGGGGAGGACAACCTTATGCTTCCGTCCACAGTATCACATTTCTGATGACGACTAACTATCACCCAGAACAGATCCAGTGAAATGGCAATTTAAAAAGTACTTCTTTATAAAGTTGCTGCGAGGATCATATGTTTAGAAGGGTCCCGGTAACGTAGCCAATGCCACATAGGTGTATGACCTCTTCCCTATCTTTTGAGGTAGGTGTGAGACTACGGTGCTCAGAAAAGTGGAACGACTTTGGGCAACTTGGGAACAACTTGCCCAAAGTCACACACTTGATCAGAGGCAGAGGTAGGATATGGAACCGGATCAAGTCCAACCGTGGACTTTCCACCCTGCTGCGCCGTCTCAAGTTTGTCCCTGATTGGTTCTGAATCCCTGGCGCCCATTCTCATCCCGCCCATCCGAAGATAAAACAATCTTCCTCCCGCGCCCCGCTGCTTCCCGGGAGCTCCCAGGAACTCTAGAGAAAACAGGAAAACTGAAAAGTGCGCTCTGCCTGCTGTGCCAGGCATGTCCCTCAGGGGGAGCCAACAAGGCTTTATTTCGTCCCGGCAGCTGGCCCCTGGGCACGGCCCCCAGCCCGGCGTCCCAGTTCCAGCCGCGCTGCAGGGGCGCGAGGGTGCCCGGCTCGCAGGTGTCCGCGCGCACCGCAGGGCTGCCCGAGTGCGGCTGGCGGAATCCCTCCCCAGCTGGGGAGGAAGGCAGTTGTTTTCTTCCTGGTGGAACGTTCCACTTGAAACTGTTCCACAAGGGCTGTTCTCGCCTCCGACTCCGGGAGGAACTGTAATTAACACAGCAACAAACGCCCACGACGCTAACTGGCAAAGGGAGTGTAACACGAGCCGCTGCTACAACCGAACTGGGCCAATTGCTTTCCCTTCTTGCCTCCCATTTGGTCTGTTTTGGTTCCGCAGTCATCCAACTGTAGCGTTTCTTAAAACATGTCAGTGGCTGGTGTTTGTGTTTTGGGTTGAACAGTTTCACACACGTCGCTGGAGCCCGTGCTCGACCAGCTGCTGTGCTGGGGATTTGCTTTCTGCGGCTTTGGGAGTGTCAGGTAGCAAAACGAAGAGAGTAGTCGACTAGAACGGTGGCGGGGAGGAGGAGGAGGGATTGTCTGCAGTGGAGTCGGGAGCCTCCTCCGGACCAGGACAGGTAAAACCGGTCTGCCAGGTCTCAGGGGGAGCGGGTGGAGACGTCCCACCTCACCTGGCTGCGCTCCGACTCAGGCTCAGCCGGCAGGTTCTGGGGCAATGGGGGAAGGGAGAGGGGCCGGGCCCTTGTGGGTCCCGCACGCACACAGTACTCAGGGGCCAGCCAGGTGCCATCCCAGGTGGCCCAGCTTGGGGTGGGCAGCCAGGGTTGGGGCAGGGGTGCGTCCTGAGTTCTTTACCTTTGAAAGGTCTGATTTCCAATGCTGCCCTTACACATACCCTTGCTCCTGCCGAGTTTAGTCCGTGGCTTCACTGGGGAACTTGTTACATGGAGATTCACGGGCCCTGCCGGAGACCCAGTGAGGCAGAATCTGCCCTTTAACAAGATCCTCAGGTGATCTGCAGACACGTTAAAGTTTAGGAAGCACTGACTGCCTTATGACATATTATACTTTCTTCTAACGTCTTTCTATCAATTTCCCATCGTGTCAACACACTACCTTAGAAAATTGCAGAACAGGCAGTGGCTTTTAGAGAACTGTAACTGCTCTCAGCTAAATGTCTGCCCCGTTTGATGCTTAGTAGTAGCTCTCTGCTAATTACTGCTAAGGGGTAGAGTGGGGAGAGGCACAGCCAGCAGGACTATACAGTCCAACCCAGGAAAGCTCAGAGACTAGATGGGGAACCCAAATCCAAACAAGAAGAATGATGTAACTCTACAAGGTAAGAATATACAAGGCAGAAATGACTATCATAGAAGCAACGTAAACAGTATGTGCTGCATGTTTAGTAAATTCACTGTATTAAGTATCTACTACCAATTTTTTATGTATTCTCTCTCTATACAGATTCATACATATACATATATGTCTATAAGTATATAGAGACAGAATATATATTCTGACACAGTAGGGATCAATATTTATTGAATCAATAGCTACAGCCCATTACAACGCATTCTCCTGGAAAGAATTTTGTGTTTTAGACCAAACCAGCATATATCTGTTCCAAAATTAAAATGTATTACCAATAACCAAGAGTCCATTTCACATGTCTTTTAAAACATTACGTATGTATTCATCATAGGTACATGGCTCCCATTTGAACATGATGGTTCTAGAAGCCCAGAGAGGCCCAGCAGAGCTACTTAAAGAATCCTGTGAAGTCTTCCCAGTCAGAATAACCCAACATACCTCCTACATGTCCATTAAGTCCTCCCAGGGCACAATGCCCTCATAGATCACAGACTGTAACTTTTTCAAAGCTGTTTCTTTCTCATGAGTTATTGATCTGCAAGCTAAACATTTTCAAACTGAGCTTTCACTCAATGGCCTGGAGTCACTTCAATTTATTCTGTCAAGTACTCAAGGTTCCTTACCTAGGCACTTAATCATGTGAGTTGTACATAGTGAGTACCAGTGAAAAGCAAGGTGGAGCATCCCTCATCTCACCCTATCAGAAGGATGATTACAATTTTTAAAATTCATTTGTTCCATCTAAAGGGGCTAAGGTTAACAAAACATTGCAGGCATTTTTTTCTGTTCTTTGTCTCTGTTATGTCCCAAATGCCTAAGACAGATCATGGAGAACAGCAGGTGCTCAATGAATATTTTGAGTTGAGCCAAATTGAATTGGTGCTTGAGGACATAACCAAGAAGAGATTATCACTCTGTCACACTATGACATTACTACCTGTACATGCTATTTCCAACAATATTTAACACACAATTTGAAGTGTTCCCTCATGCTTTATCCTTGCTGGAGACAATCAGGTCTGGTAAGACAATGGAAGGCAAACAAGGATTCTAGAGGGAAAGGGTTGCAGGAGGGAGTGGGGAAGGACATGCGTTTAACAATGTTTAGTGAATGAGAACTGTCACTTTTGAATGTGAACAGTAAAAAAGCAGAACAAAAGGTTGAGAACCCAATCTAGAATATAATTGCTATTTTTAAAATAAAAGTTTCACCATCAGAGTGAACAGGCAACCTACAGAATGGGAGAAAATTTTTGCAACCTACTCATCTGACAAAGGGCTAATACCCAGAACCTACAATGAACTCAAACAAATTTATAAGAAAAAAACAAACAACCCCATCAAAAAGTGGGTGAAGGATATGAACAGACACTTCTCAAAAGAAGACATTTATGCAGCCAAAAAACACATGAAAAAATGCTCATCATCACTGGCCATCAGAGAAATGCAAATCAAAACCACAATGAGATACCATCTCACACCAGTTAGAATGGTGATCATTAAAAAGTCAGGAAACAACAGGTGCTGGAGAGGATGTGGAGAAATAGGAACACTTTTGCACTGTTGGTGGGATTGTAAACTAGTTCAACCATTGTGGAAGTCAGTGTGGTGATTCCTCAGGGATCTAGAACTAGAAATACCATTTGACCCAGCCATCCCATTACTGGCTATATACCCAAAGGATTATAAATCATGCTGCTATAAAGACACATGCACACGTATGTTTATTGCAGCACTATTCACAATAGCAAAGACTTGGAACCAACCCAAATGTCCAACAATGATAGACTGGATTAAGAAAATGTAGCACATATACACCATGGAATACTATGCAGCCATAAAAAATGATGAGTTCATGTACTTTGTAGGGACATGGATGAAACTGGAAACCATCATTCTCAGCAAACTATCACAAGGACAAAAAACCAAACACCGCATGTTCTCACTCATAGGTAGGAATTGAACAATAAGAACACATGGACACAGGAAGGGGAACATCACACACCGGGGACTGTTGTGGGGTGCGGGGAGTGGGGAGGAGATATACCTAATGCTAAATGACGAGTCGATGGGTGCAGCACACCAACATGGCACGTGTATACATATGTAACAAGTCTGCACATTGTGCACATGTACCCTAAAACTTAAAGTATAATAATAATAAAATTAAAAAAATAAATAAAATAAAATGAAAGTTTCTAAAAGGCAAGAACTTCTAGTTCAATAACGCTTCCCCGTCCACTATAATAACCACAGCTAATATTTATTGAGTACTCACTACATGCCAGGCACAATCCTACTGACTAGTCTTTACACTAACCCTTAGAGGGAGGTGCTGTCACTACCCCCATGATACAGATGAGGAACAAATGACAGAAGTTCGGTCATTTTCCCATGATCACGCAGAGCTAATGGGCTCAAGTACAGGGCCAGGATTTAGAGACCTGGGTTACAAGCCCATGCTTGTAACCAGTGGGCTGAGAGTAAGAAACACCAAGTGAATTTGAAAGAGAAAACAACCTGACAGAAGACCCTGCCGTCCTGTCTTTTGTCCTTCTGTAGCACATGCTCTCAGTCCACTGGCACAGGCCCTCAGCTTACCCTCGAAATCACTGAGCTTCAGTGGTTCCTTCTACGCTCACTGATGGCCCCCCTATGTGAAGACCCTCTGCTTGTCTCCACAGGAGAGTTAGGCCAGAAATGCCAGGGAGCAAATGCCCCAGACCCAAAGCCAGTGAAAAATGGGAGTCAGTAAATCGTCGACTTTTCTCTCCCCTTGTGACACTGTAATAGGATAATTCTGACTTGCATTATACAGTCTTTCAGCGGGCTCCCAGAGGGACTGGGTCCCAATTGTCCTCTGTGCTATTGCTCTCCCCCATACACCCTTTACTGGTTCTCCTCCCCTCCTTGCCTCATTTACCCACTATGTTTCCTGGAATCACTTTTCAAACTCCTTGTCTCAGGATCTACTTTTGAGGAAACCAACTCAAAACACTTAAATAACATGATATTGAGTAGGACTTTTCCCATTGCAATGGATTTAGCAATTAGGACCCCAAACTAAGGATGTTAAGCACCCGACATACTAAAGACAGCTGAATACAACTAGAGGCAAGACATCTGCTTGGTGTCTTAAGAGAAGGATGAAAGAGTTCTGCAAACACATTATCTCTACCCCATTTCTCTCCTTTCCCCCAATCCATATAAGCAGACAACTAGGAAAGGATAATTTAAAGAAATGGTTGAGATCCTCCAATGAGGAGTTCTGTGGCTTTTCCTTCCTCTCCCCATGGGAGCTTCTGGTACCCAAGACAAGTGAAATTGCACAAAAAGTGGACATTTGAGTCACAGAATATACAGAGGCTTCTACAGAGCCCACCAAGAAACATACATGCACCCTTCCTCCTGGACCAAGAGAACCAGCCTCTGGGCACTGGCCACATAGAAGCCTTCAACTTCCAACAGAGCATCAGTCATGTGCCCAGCCGAACAAAGTGATGTCTGCCCCTATTTCCCCCTCACTAGCAACAGAAGAGCTTGAAGTGAAGGGGGAGAAGATAATGGGAACAGAGAATGTGAGAGTAGACCTGCCACTCCTGCAACTTCATGTCCTTTGGGTTAAAATGAGTAGAAGAGGTGAGTGTTAAATTGGATGAGACGTTCAAACTTTGTAGAGGACTAGATTGTTTTATTTTGTTTTGCTTTTTTAACTTAGAGTGATCGAAAACCTATGAAATCTTGAGATATAGTTAAGAAAAGGAAAAGGAATATTCTACCCAGCACAACAAGGGCAGCAATTGGAGAAAAACTATCTTTAATATTTACACCCCAACCAAATTAGGCTTTTCAGATTTGCAAGTTATACTTGTTTTGTAAGGAGAATTCAGCAGAGCCTGTCTGGATATACTATCTAACAAATACTATGGAGTAAAGATGAACTGTCAAATGTGAATGAAAAATCGTTAGGAAGCATTTGAAAGCTTCCTTTATCCCCACCATTAGATTAAAACAAATCTTCTAGGAGAGGTGAACAGCAAATAAGCAAACTGGGACTGGGTGCAGTAGCTCATGCCTATAATCCTAGCACTTTGGGAGGCTAAGGCAAGAGGATTGCTTGAGGCCAGGAATTCAAGACTAGCCTGGGCAACATAATGAGACATTGTCTCTACAAAAAATTAAAAAATAAGCTGGGTATGGTGGCAACGCCTATAGTTCCAGCTACTCAGGAGGCTGAGGCAGAGGATCACTTGAGCCCAGGAAGTGGATGCTGCAGTAAGCCGTGATGTCACCACTGCACTCTAGCCTGGGCAACAGAACAAGATCCGAACTCTTTAAAAAAAAAAAAAAGCGGCTGGGCGCTGTGGCTCACGCCTGTAATCTCAGCACTTTGGGAGGCCAAGGCAGGTGGATCACAAGGTCAGGAGTTCAAGCAGCCTGACCAACATGCTGAAACCCCTTCTCTACTGAAAATACAAAAAAAAATTGGCTGGTTGTGGTGGCGCGCACCTGTAATCCCAGCTACTCGGGAGGCTGAGGCAGGAGAATGGCTTGAACCTGGGAGGCAGAGTTTGCAGTGAGCAGAGATTGAGACACTGCACTCCAGCCTGGGCAACAGAGGGAGACTCCATCTCCAAAAAAAAGAAAGAAAGAAAGCAACCTAGAAGAGAGTAATCCATTTTTGATGGCAGCTCATATGGTTACTTTGTCTAGTACATTTATTTTAAAATATTGGGAATCTTGACATTGAAAGAATTCAAAATCTGTTTTAAATGAGAACTCTGGAAACTGAAATTTGAAGAAATTTCCTCAGGGACTGGTGTTGATAAACTTTACAAATAACATTATTGATCTGCAAAAGTCACCAACATATTGTCATGGTTTTGGTAGAGCCAGGCACTGTACCCGGAAAAAAAAGAAAAGGAAAAAAAAAGCTTTCATCATCAGCAATGTCAAAAACCATAAAATCAGCAATTAGATTTAGAGAAAAAGCCTGTGGGAATGAAAACTAGTGATGCAATCAGTTAATCTGAAGCTGGTTAAAATTCTGGTGTAACCTAGGCACCAATTGCTATCTTTTGCTGATATGAACTGAAGGAATAAAAAGCAAGCACAAATGACTGTAGAAAATAATAAAGCTATCCATTGTTCTTCCCTACTGTCTTTTCCCATAATGATTTTCCAAATATGCAATGAAGGGGATTTTTAATGCTGTATTAAAAGGAGATATTTTATAGAAAATATGTAGAAAAAAATCTGTGAAGATACTCATTAAAGAGCATTGAGATTAATAACAGAATTTTTTAATCCACACAGAATTTAATTTTTTTTTTCTTTTTTTTTTGATGCAGTCTCACTCTGTCACCTAGGCTGGAGTGCAATGGCATGATCTCGGCTCACTGCAACCTCTGTCTCCTGGGTTCAAGCAAGTCTCCTGCCTCAGCCTCCCAAGTAGCTGGGATTACAGGCACGTGCCACCACACCAGGCCAATTTTTATATTTTTAGTAGAAATGGGGTTTCACCTTGTTGGCCAGGGTGGTCTCGAACTCCTGACCTCAGTTGATCCACCCGCCTCAGCCTCCCAAAGTGCTGGGATTATGGCAGTGAGCCACCGCACCTGGCAGAATTTAATTTTTCTAAGCAGAAAAAGTCAAGAAGACACTTGACTTTAACATTAAAAACACCTAAATATTTATTCCAGGAGGAAATATAGGGGATCTTATGCACATATTTATAGACTCTGGTTCTGTCATTGTCACAGATGGACATTTGCCATTCTTTCTGGCCACTCAGCATCTGAAACTTGGTGGTGCTTGAGGGGTGCTTGAAGAACATCCCTCTTGAGTCTCATCCACACTCCTGGGGCACAGCCCATTTCCCACTATAAAGATGAACATGCTAGGCTCTGGATCACTCAGCCTCCTTGTGGCTGGGCACAGGCACTTCAGCAGGCTTCATTCATCAGATGCAACCCCTCAGCCTTTAAAAGAGGGGGGACTGCCCACATTTATTGTGGAGATACATGTTAGTGGTGGCAGCAGGAACATCGCTTGATTTTCAGAGGCAGCAGTGACAGCATTTATAGTGGCCACATAAATGATAATTAATACTGTCAACTTGATTGGATTGAAGGATACAAAGTATTGATCCTGGGTGTGTCTGTGAGGGTGTTGCCAAAAGAGATTAACATTTGAGTCAGTGGACTGGGGAAGGTAGATCCAACCTTCACCTGGTGGGCACAATCTAATCAGCTGCCTGCGAATATAAAGCAGGCAAAAAAAACGTGAAAAGGAGAGACTGGCCTGGCCTCCAAGCCTACATCTTTCTCCTGGATGCTTCCTGTCCTTGAACATTGGACTCCAAGTTCTTCAGTTTTGGGACTTGCACTGGCTCTCCTTGCTCCTCAGCTTGCAGACAGCCTACTGTGGGACTTTGTGATTGTGTAATTTAATACTTAATAAACTCCCCTTTATATATATATATATATATATATATATATATATATATATATCTCCTATTAGTTCTGTCCCTCTAGAGAATCCTGACTAATACACCCTGGCACACCAATGTCAGGAATATCAGCAGCACAAGGTCTAGCATTGGTGTCCAGAGAAGACATTTCTGCAGCATGATCTGGGTATTGTTCTCAACCTACACCTTCCCCCACAGGTACTCTGAGCTGCCTTTAAATGAATTCTTCAGCTTCTGAAATCACCTAGGTTTCTTTGACTGACACAATTATTACTCAACATGTATTGGAAACTGCAAAATGATTTGGGGCAATTATATCCATTAAAAGAAATGAAAATGAAACTTCATCAAATCCTCTTGGGGATAAGAATCTTCCAAAGACGGTCCCTTTTTCCACCAAGAGACATAAGGGAATAAGTTTGTGTATCTACAAACTTAAGTATGGAAAATGGAAGTGACAACTTTCATTTGTAAGCAAGTCCTAATTTTTTCCAAAGCTTTTTAATAAATTTTTTTTTTGTAATTGGAATGAAAAATGGTCAGGGAACTAGAAGAGAAGTTAGGGAATTCTAAATCCATCACTAAGGGTAGTATTTCAAGCAGACCATAAAAGAGAAGCTTGATTGAGAACATCTAGGAAGCTGTGAGTAACAGCATGAAACAAGCAAAGGTCGATTTAGTTGGATGACATTGAATGAAGTACTTTACAGTATAAGATTCATATGATCTCTCAAAGAAAAATTATCAAACTTTCATCTGGAAATAGTAAAAAAAAAAACAGTCAAACATGACACTTATTAACCAATAAATTATAGCATAAAATAATAGTTAAAAATAGCAACAGGAGAAACACCTTTTATTTGAAGATCAAGGTTCCAAGCAAACATTCCCTAATTAATCCTTTCAACAGCATCAGGAAGCTATTATTTAGCATTTTCATAGAAAGCAGTCACTGTTTTCAAAGTGCTTTACCAACAGTAATTAGATGTTTTTCTCATCAACCTTGTGAAGTAGGTCAATATCATTATCCCAATTTTAAAGGAAAGCAAGGCAGTGAATAAATACATACAGATAGTGAAGACCACTAACATAATTCTTATGATCACTATCCATATATCTACCATTCTCATCTTTAAAATATGTAAAAGCATCTCTTGTAAATTGTCTCATTTTAACTCTCCTCAAAAACCCAACATAGTATGTGCAATTGCCTCCATTTGGCCAGTGAAAAATTGAGGTTCACACAACACACACACAGACACACACACACTTCATATTAGAAAGGCAGTTGCCTATTTTGTCTTCTTGTAAGGTCTAACTCAACCATGGTCCCAGGGCCCAACAATACTGAAGCTGCCTAGGCAGACAACACTCACTTCTAAAACAATTTCCTTTCAAACGGAAGGAAATTCCCAAGCATCTGTGCCACATAGTAGAGTGGGTTTTTGCAAAGTGTGTTCATACCATGAAACAGCTCTGAACTTATTTTATTATAGCAGATCCGTGGACCACCAATCCCCTAAGACAACTATAAGGAACATTTTGAATAGCAAGATGGTACTTGCTACATGTGAAACCAAACACACAAATAAAACTACCAGATTCCTTGATGGCTTTAGGAAAATCAGTCTCGTTGAGAATAATAGGAGCTGATTGGTCTTTGAGAAGAGTAATTCAAAACTGGGCCATCAGATTTAAGAAGATAGTTTAGACCGAGGCAGAAACAACTTCAATTTATTTACAAAGGTCTTCATCATATATGGTATTTCTTCACAGAAAACCCAAAAATTAACTACACATGTGTGCTTTTCTTCTTCTCTGTAATTACAGTGGACTTAATGTTTTCTTTTTATGGAGAAAAAATGTCATCTGTGTATTTTCTTTGTAATTTAGTTGGACTGTTTGCTAAACGTTAGCAATTATAGCAAAATATGAATAATAAAAAAGAAAAAATTGTCAGATCATAGCCTGACCTTCTTTTTTACCCACTGCATGAATTTTGACTATATCAAAGCAAAACAGTTTAGAATTAGTAATATGCTATTTTCCATTCATCTAACTGACAATTAAGCTAAGTGAAGAAAATTTGGCCTTAAAGTTTATAGAATTATTCAGCATGAAACAAAAAAAGAACTCAAGTATGCCCGTGTATCTTCAGTCACTACTTTGCAAGTGAATGTTTCATTATCTTGGAAAAGCTGTTTTAGGAAACCTAAGATTTAATACACACTATTTTAAAAACTTGTCCTTTTCATTACAAGCACACTACAGTAATTCCAGTCAACTGTTTATTTTCTTTAGTTATATCTCCCTGAATGTTTCATCTGAGGAAAGTTTCAGTTTGAGAAGCCAAACGTGAGCTGTGACAGAATTCCACAAATCAAAAATTACTTAAAGGTTTACATTGGGGTAATTCCAAAAGCAGGGAAATTTCAAAGCCCAACAAATCAACACCACAGGGAATTCCCTTTAATGCCTTCCATCAGTCCTTGTTATTTAGTTTCACTTAAGAATGAAAGTCGAAAGCATTCCACGATCCTTTTTTAAGGTGATTTCTTTTCCTAATTCAAATACTCCAAGTTTGTGCAGAGAGGTATAACCAGAAATTCTTCCCTCTGGAGGAGCCCTAAGAGCAATGCCACTGTGTCCTCATCAGTTACCTTCTGTGGGCAGCCCAGTATATTGGGCACCATCTGGGGACACCATGAAAGAGCTTGGAAAGGGGAACAAACACCCAGGAGTGGTGAGCATAGAAATCAACAAGAGCAAGGGGCCAGGAACAAGTCAAAGGCAGCTGGATCCATCCTCTTTCCACAGTAGCACCCAAAGGAGCTGCTGCATGCGCAGCCAGTTACCAGACACTTAACCCTGCCTTTCTTCTCACTAAGCTGTCCACACTCTACGAACAAAGGTTTCTAGAAGCAGGTACTAAATCAAGGTTCAAGGTCCATCTCTCTAGTTCGTAGGGTTAGTAAAGACTGAATGTGATAATATGAGGCCCTCAGAAAAGGAAAAAGTGCTGCTTAAATTAAGCTACCACCATCACTATCTTAACCATCAGGGCTGTTTGCTCTGCTTCAGCTTGACATGGACACAAATAATAACAACAGTTGAATGTGTAATATGTGTGGCACTATATAAATCTCACTTAATACAGACCCATATATGTCTGTCAGTCTGTAACACAGGCTTACGGACTGTAAAACTGAAGCATGAAGAGGTTAAGTAACTAACTTGCTAAAATCAAAGTCTCGTTTATCTGACCTTAAAGCCCACTCATTTAACCATATCTTAATTAAAAATATTTATTGTCTTAGTTTGGATTCCTCAGAAAACAGAGCCTAAGGTAGAAGGTTATGTGATGCTATTTTGCTAGGAAGTGAGCCCCAGTGGGCAGGAGTGAAGGAAAGGAGAGCAGGACAGGGAGGTAAGGGGAGGTGATGCCAGGAAGCATGATGGAACTCACCACTGCTGACTGATGTTGATGGCCCCGTCAGCAGGACTTTGTCCCCAAGAAGTTATATCAGCTGCTTCTCATTATGAGGAAAAAAGGGCAGAATTTATTCACTGGCTCCTAGCCTCTGTTAGTCTCTTAGGGTATAGACTCTTCCACACCTCCAAGTTGCCCTTAAGTGAGCATGAACCCAGAGTTGAGTGCCCTGGAGGAATCAACAAGGAATTACAGGGCTGGAGATGAGAGATGTGTGCATAGGCAGCAGGTGATGGGCTGTCAGCTTGCACCTGAAATGAGGCAGAATCCATGCAGTGAGAGAGGGTCTAAAGTGGTTCATAAGAGAGGTCTCATGCACATATACTCTACCATGACATTGGATTTCCAAATGGAGCAGAAAGTCAGAAATCATTCACATGAAAGCCATAGAGCCATCTACAACTTGGAGATCATGGATTGCTTCTGAAAGAATTATGCCACCTCTACCACAGCATTTAGAGTGTATAGGAGTATATATACTCACACTAACCTGAATTCGTCTCATACAGTGATAATATACATGATCCAACTCAATACAATTCACCTGTAAAAAGCAGCTCATGTATCACATCCCTCTGGAAAGTCTTCCCTAATTCTCTCCCTTACTCCTGCCGTTGGGTTAGGGACCTCCCTCTATGTTCTGATAACGTCCTATGCATAGATCTCTGCCATTACCCTTTTCATCTTATGTTATAATTATTTGCTAATATGTCAGTCTTCCCCCAAAAGAATGTGAGATTCTTAAGGGAGGGAACTGCTGTCACAGGTCTTTGAATCCCCAGCATAGTGTTGTATACCTTAGCATGTATTAGGTACTGAAGGCATACAGTGTAAGGAAGGGGAAGTTGGAAGTGTTGGAGGAGTGGAGGCCTGAAACAGTCATTGTGGGAAGTGGAAGAGGGAGCAGTCCAGAGTCCAGAGAATCAGGAAGACTGTACAGGCAGTGCTGAGGGCGCACCTGTGGCTGGCGGCTGTGAGGTCATGATGGAAATTATCTATTCACCTGTGTGACTTTCTCCACTAACACCTAACTGGAGAGGAGAGGGCAAGTTTGAACCACATGTTGCAGATTTTGATGAGTGCTGTGACCAGGAGGTCAGGAAATAATAATTTAACAGGATATTAAATGGTATTTCCTGCTGTCTCATAGTTTCGGCTGAGACCCCAATCTATGGATAATGGGTATAAATGTTTGCAAATTCAAAAGAGAAGTAGTGTCAGTTATATTCAGGACTTACCAAGAGGTGGGCAAAAATCAGTCCTGCACCCTTTAGCCTATTGCCCATCTCTAGGCTATAAAAGAAAAGATAAAATATTTTTTCAGAGAAAAATTCTTTAAAGAAAATTGTCATTCTGGAAAAAAGCATTATGGCACTTCCTCTCACCTTTCCACTACCCTCAACCCAAACGAGAGGGCTCTCTTGGCCCAGTAGTCTCATGAGGCCTGTGATTGGCAGAATTCTAAGATGATGCCTGCCCCACTCCAAGACCCCATGCCCTTGTATAATCTCCTTCCCTTGAGTGCAGATGAGACCTATAGCTATGAGGGCCATCACTCCCATGATTATATTACATTAAGTGATGAAAGAGATATTTGCAGATATAATTAAAGTCCTAGTCAAGTTCATCAAAGGGAAGCTTATCATGAGTGGGCCTGACCTAGTGAGGTAAGCTCTTAAAAGGGTGTCTAATGGTCTCAGATGTTCTCTTCCTGCTCTACAAGAAAACAGACAGCCATGCTGTAAACTGTCTATGGGGTCCAAGTGACAAGAAATAGTGAGTGACCTCTAGAAGCTGACAGCAATCCCCAGTTGACAGCTAGCAAGAAAACAAGGACCTTAGTCCTACAGCTGCAAGGAAATGAATTCTACCAACAAGCAATGAGCTTGAAAAAGGACCCAAAGTCTTAGGTGCAAATCACAGTTCCAGCTAACAGCTTGATTTCAACATGGTGAGACCCTTAGCAGAGGACTCAGCTAACTGCTACCAGGCCTTCTGACCCATAAAAACTGTGAGATGATATATTTGTGTTGTTTTAAGCTGCTAAGCTTGTGGTAATTTTTTACTCAGCAATGGAAAATGAAAATGGCGCCTAAGGAAAATGTGGTGAAAATTCTTGGGAAATATTCATGCCTGTCCCTTAGGGTTGGAGAATGACAAAGGCTAATGCCTCATACTCACCTGGAAAAGTCTGAGGGTGACTGGTTGCCTGAAACTGTTATCTGCAATGGCATGGGAAGAAGAGAAGGCAGCAGGGTATGTATTTATTCTGAAGCCAGCAGGGTATGTATTTATTCTGAGCCAAGTTGTCCCTGCTGAAGTAGCAAGGAATGAGATTTCTCAAAAAGACTCCTGGTAGAACTGCCTGCTGGGGAAAGGCGCTCCCAGCAGAACAGGGTTGAAGGTGTCCATCAGAGGAGTAGTGTAAGAGATCAGCTGGAGAGGGCCTTCCCTGGCGAGCAAAGTGAGGTAGGAGGTCTGCTGAGTGGTGGGAGCATCTCTGAAGAACACACAGAAACTCTCCACAAGAGAAACAACCAGCAATAAGACATATGACTTGCACAGGAAGACAAGTACTGCATGATCTCACTCATATGTGGGATCTATAAAAAGTGGTTCTCAAAGAAGTACAGAGTAGAATGGCAAATACCAGAAGATAGGAAGGGTGGGGGGAGGAGAGAATGGTGAGCGATTGGTCAATGAATTCAAAGCTACAGTTAGACAGGAAGAATAAGTTCTGGATTCTATTAGGAGAGTGACTAGAGTTCACAATAATGTATTGTGTATTACAAAATAGCTAAAAGAGACATTTTTAAATATTTTCACCACAAAGAAATGATAAATGATTAATGATTAAGGTGCTATGTTAATGACCCAGATTTGATCATTGCACAATTTATACATGTATTGAAACATAATGTTCTCCATAAATATGTATAATTATTATGTGTAAATTATTTTTAAAAAGACATCTGCCTTGACAGAGGACACTGACGGCCATGTAATTTCAGCACCAGTCAAGTAAGAAAGTGCCCATCCCCAAGGACATTTGCAACAATAACACTTTTGGTTGTTACAGTGGGAAATAAGGTGGGGGTGGGGCCTGCTACTAGCATCTAGGAGTAAAACCCAGGTTGCTAAACATCCTATAATGTGTAGGACAACCCCCGACAATAAAGTCCAAAATGCAAAAAGTGCTGAGGTTGGTAAAATCTCAAATCCCTTCCTCCCCTGCCTTGAATAAGCCCAAGGCAGCAAAGAGAGTGAGGGAAGAGATAGGTAGAGGACAAGAAAAGACTTCACCTCACTTCTGTAGTGCCATCCTGCAGAATTTCAGTGCCATCCCATGAAGAGAGAGGGGGGCAGCTTTGAACTGAATGAGAGACACAAATGCAGGCATACCTCAGTGATACTGTAGGTTCAGTTCCAGAGCGCCACAATAAAGCAAGTCACATGAATTTTTTGGTTTTCCAGTGCATATAAAAGTTATGTTTACACTATACTTTAGCCTACTATGTGTGCAATAGCATTATGTTTAAAATTGTACATATCTTAACTTTAAAATTCTCTATTGCTAAAAAAAATGCTACGATAATCTGAGCCTGCAGTAAGTTATAATCTTTTTGCTGGTGGAAGGTCTTGCCTTGATGTTGATGATGGCTGACTGATCAGGGTGGTGGTTGCTGAAGGTTGGAGTGACTGTGGCAATTTCTTAAAACATGACAACAATGAAGTCTGCCACATTGATCATCTCTTTCTTTCACAGAAGATTTCTCTATAGCATGTAATGCTGTTTGATAGCATTTTCCCCAGAGTATAACTTCTTTCAAAATTGGAGTTAGTCTTCCCAAATCCTGCCACTGCTTTATCAACTCAGTTTATGTAATACCCCAAATCTTTCACTGTCATTTCAACAGTGTTCACAGCACCTTCACCAGGAGTAGATTCCATCTCAAGAAACAATGGTCTTTGCTCATCCACAAGAAGCAGCTCCTCATCTGTTGAAGTTTTATCATGAGATTGCAACAAGTCAGTCACATAGTTTCCACTTCTAATTCTAGTTCTCCTGCTATTTTCACCACATCTGCAGTTACTTCCTCCACTAAAGTCTTGACCCCTCAAAGTCATCCATGAGAATTGGAATCAACTTCTTCCAAACTCCTGTTAATGTTGATATTTTGACCTCCTCCCATGAATCAAATTTTTAATGGCATCTAGAATGGTGAATTCTTTCCATAAGGTTTTCAATTTACTTTGCTCAGATCCATCAGAGGAACCATTATCACTGGCAACTATAGCCTTACAAGACGTATTTCTTAAAAATAAAACTTGAAAGTTGAAATTACTGCTTGATCCATGGGCTGCAGAATGGATATGTTAGCAGTCATGAAAACAACATAAATCTCCTTGTACATCTCCATCAGAGCTTTTGGGTGACTAGGTGCATTGTTAATGAGCAGTAATATTTTAAAAGGAATCTTTTTGTCTGAGCAGTAAGTCTCAACAGTGGGCTTAAAATATTTAGTAAATCATTCTGTAAATAGACGTGCTGTCATCCAGGCTTTGTTGTTCCATTTACAGAGCACAAGCAGTGTAGATTAAGCATAATTCTTAGGGGTCCTAGGATTTTCAGAATGGTAAATGAGCATTAGCTGCAACTTAAAGTAACCAGCTGCATTAACCTCTAACAGAAGAGTCAGCCTGTCCTTTGAAGATTTAAAGCCAGGCACTGACTTCTCCTCTCTAGCTATGTAGGTCCTAGATGGCATCTTCTTCCAATAGAAGCTGTTAAAAATCTGTTATTTAGTGTAGCCACCTTCATCAACAATCTTAGCTAGATCTTCTGGATAACTTGCTGTAGCTTTTAGATCAGCATTTGCTGCTTCACCCTGCACTTTTAGGTTATGAAGATGGCTTCTTTCCTTGAACCTCATGAGCCAAATTCTGCTAGCTTCAAAGTCTTCTTCTGCAGCTTTCTCACGTTTCTCAGCCATTATAGAATTGAAGAGAGTTAGGGCCTTGCTCTGGATTAGGCTTTAGTTTAAGGGAAGGTTGTGGCTGGTTTGATCTTCTTTCCAGACCACTCAAACTTTCTCCATATCAACAAAAAAGCTGTTTCATTTTCTCATCATTCCTGTCTCCACTGGAGTAGCACTTTTAATTTCCCTCAAGAACTTTTCCTTTGCATTCACAAGTTAGTTACTTTGGAGCAAGAGGCCTAGCTTTTTGCCTACCTCAGCTTTCAATATGCCTTCATCACTAAGCTTAATCATTTCCAGCTTATGATTTAAAGTGAGAGATGTGTGACACTTCTTTCCATTTGAACACTTAGAGGCCATTATAGGGTTATTAATTGGCCTAATTTCAATATTGTTGTGTCTCAGGGAATAGGAAAGCTGGAGGAGAGGGAGAGAGATGGGGAAACAATTGGTTAGTGGAGTAGTCAAAACACACACATTTATCGATTAAGTTCACCATACCATCTTATACAGGTATGGTTCGTGGTGCCATTCATGGCACCTCAAAACAATTATAGTGGTAACATCAAAGATCACTGATCACAGACCATGATAACAGATATAATAATAATGAAAAAGTATGAAATAGGGCAAGAATTACCAAAATGTAACACAGAGACGCAAAGTGAACACAGGCTGCTGGAAAGATAACACCTGTGGATGTGCTTGCTTGATGCAAGTTTGCCTTGAACCTTCAATTTGTAAAAAACACAATCTCTGAGAGGCACAATAAAACAAAGCACAATAAAACAAGATGTGCCTATATTGATGGGACTTTTCAGTACCCCAAAATGAGACTTTGCTGTAGCAAAGCTACGGAAGTCCAAGATGGCATCAGGACAGAGTCAGGGAAATACAACTGAGTGTGTTTAAAAGCAGTTGGTAGAAATTTCCCCAGTGCTGCCCGCTGGGTTCAGCTATTATGGTGTGACAATAGTCACAGATCCACAGAGGCTATAGTGTAACTGAATAGGTCCACACTCAAAGAAACAGAATGTTACAGGAAAAGAGAAGTATCAGTGAGGAACAAGAAAAATGTCCATTGTCTTAGGTCAGGTTCCCTAGAAGTAGAGCCTTAATCAGGGATTCTTGTGCAAAAGGGTCGGTGAGAGAGTGAGACCAGGTGAAATCCCTTCTATTCATTTACCAGCGCTGCCATGACAAAGTACCATCAACTGGGTGGCTTGAAACAAGATAACTTCATTGTCCCACAGTTCTGGAGGCTAGAAGTCTAAAATCAAGATGTCTACAGGACTGGTTCCTTCTGCAGGCTCTGAGGGAGAATCTGTTCCGTGCCCCTTTCCTAGCTTCCAGTGACGGCCAACAATCCTTGGTGTTCCATGACTTGTAGCTGCATCACTCCAATCTCTGCCTCCATTTTCACGTGGCACTCTCTCTGTGCCCCTGTGTCTTTACCTTATATAGACACCAGTCATATTGTATTAGGAACCCACCCTGCTCCAGTATGACCTCATTTTAATTAATTATATCTGCAAGGACCCTATTTTCAAATGAGGTCACATTCTGGGGTACTGGGGATTAGGACTTCAACATATCTTTTTTGGGAAACACAATTCAACCCATAATACCCCTTAAGGGAATGGGGGTGCAGCATAGGGCAGGGGAGGAATCTGAACAAGATATGAGTTTAGCTCAGTTCTAGCCCCATCCTGATCCCACCAGGAGCTCCAAAGTCTGAATGGCATCACAAAGTCATTCCCTTAAAAGGGATGGAGAGAGCATCCTTTTGCAACCCCTGAATTGGCCAACCATTGGCTGCAGGTAGTCCCTGACAGGAAAATCTATCAACCCAGGTGTTTCTGGTTAGGGTTTCCATTCACCTGAGGGCAGTTGTTGTCTAACGTTACTGTGCATCAGGAACACAGATGGCTGGATCCCAATCCCAAGTTTCTGAGTCAGTAGGTAGGGCCTGAGAATTTGCATTTATAACAAATTCCCAGATGATGCTCTGCTGCTGGTCCCAGGACCACACTTTGAGAACCACTGATGCAGGGCAAAAATTCTTAAAGGGGCAGTTGTGAGTAGCCAGTGGCCAACACTTAGAGCAGTGAGGGGCTGGGGTGGGTGCACTGGAGGGTAAAGGGAACCCGGGCAGAGCAGCAACAGTGTAGTAACTACACTATTCTTCTTCACAAAGTTGAGGTAAGTGGGGAGTGGGAAAATAAACCCAGAATGGCTGCAAGGGAATTGGTGTCCTTAGGACAGAGCCAGATTTTTGTTACAGCAAAGAGGAGATCAACTCCTACAAAAAGAGGTTGTGAAAAGAGGGATGATACCAGTGTAGACTGCCAGGTTGTCTGGATAAAAAAGCCAGAAAAAGGAGTTTCTATTTTTCAAACAATCGGTGAGACACGTGGGGTGTACAGGAATAATGCAGGTGATTTTAAAACTACAGAATCTTTCTTGGATCTCCCCTGTGTGCCTCGTGACCAAATTGGCTACCAACGCCAATTCATTCCTTTTTTTCCAACTCTAGGAGTCATTGAGTGGCTAACAACTATGCAGCCACACCACTCAGTCATCTAGAGGGCCTGAAGAATCCCATCAAGTGTGCTACAGTCTGTTTATTTAACTGGTAGAGACAAAGCTTTATGGCAGCTTTAAGCTGCGGCTGAAGCTTAACTATATGGCCCTTCTAGTAAGAGAGTTATCGAAGATTGTATAAAATTGCACCAATTTTACTGAAGCCGAGAAAATGTTCTGTGGTTAGAAGGGGAAAAGATATTTCAAATGCATTATATAAAAGACAAATTAAAATAGACAATTTAAAGAAAGGGGTAACACTAAGTAAAGGGAGCACAAAATGGATTATCCTTGATATCCACAGAGGTTGCTTGAAAAAGAATCTGGGAATAAATATGAATTAATTTAATAGCATCAGACTAAATTATGAAACTAAATGTTTAGAAAGTAGCAGAATGTCTTCACGTTAAAAGCAAAGAAGAGAAAGGATTTCAAAGAACTACATTTCAAGCTGAATGGAAAGCAGATGGAAAAGCCCATATGAAACAAGGAAGCTTCCCCTTGGGGAAGCATATCCTTAAGAGATTCACAGATTTTGAAATTGGGAGTCACATCTTTATTAGGCAGCCACCCAAGGAAGCCTTATGGGAAAAAAGGCTTTAAAAGTTGGGATTTTCTAATGTTTATAATCTTGCATTGGAAGGCTATTTTACCTTTTATTCTTTACATAAAGAAAAATAGGCTGGGTGTGGTGGCTCATGTCTGTAACCCCAACACTTTGGGAGGTCGAGGCAGGAGGATCACCTGAGGCCAGGAGTTCAAGGCCAGCCTGGGCAACATCACAAGACCCTGTCTCTACAAAAATATTTAAAAGAAAAATGCATTCTCACTGTAGAAATTTTAGAAAATACAGAGTATTTATACTTTTGGAAGTTTGTACTAGTAGTAGTAGTACTCCTAAAAGCATGAAGAAGAAAATAACTTGTATTCATCACCCCTTCATGGAAACAAAACCATGGAATATACAATTTTTTCTTCATTATAATAGAGATTGTGTTGTTTTTAACCACCTGTGTCCCAATTTTCTCACTTAACACCATATCATAAACTTTTTCAATATATAAAGGGATTGGTCTTTTTCATTTACATAAGTGAGCTTTGTTTATACGTCTGATAACTTACGATGCTAAATGACAAAGAGTGTTATCAAGAAAATCCAGAGTTCCCACACTGGTATCAAAAGCTAGAGCCAAAAAAGGCTGCTATATTTTGATACCAACGCCAGATGGGACAAGTGTAGAAAACAACAGTTACATCTCTGTATTGATCTGTGTCTTGCAATAATCTGTCCATGTTCTAGAAACTCCTACTCAATAATACAATAAGTGTATTGTACTTATTACCAAACTCAATAATACAATAAGTGAAGCTCTTTTAAATAGTCTCTTTTAGTTTGAGCTATCATACCTATACATAGATAGATAGATAGATAGATAGATAGATAGATAGATAGATGTACCCAATAAAGATACAATATATATATATTTTTTAGACAGAGTCTTGCTCTGTGTCCCAGCCTGGAGTGCAGTGGCACGATCTTGGCTCACTGCAACCTCCGCCTCACAAGTTCAAGTGATTCTCCAGCCTCAGCCTCCCCAGTAGCTGGGACTATAGGTATGCGCCATCACACCTGGCTATGGTTTTGTTTTTGGTATTTTTTGTTTTTGTTTTTTGGTATTTTCAGTAGATATGGAGTTTTGCCACATTGGCCAGGCTGGTCTCGAACTCCTGACCTCAGACGATCAGCCCTCCTTGGCCTCCCAAAGTGCTGGGATTACACGTGTGAGCCACTGAGCCCGGCTTCAATTTTGAATCCTATTTTTTTCCAAAATGAAAGTATATTAACTTTGTTGGGTTTTGTTTTTGGATTATAAAAGCAATGTATGCTCTGTGTTGAAGAAATAGTAATGGAATAGACTGGATCAACTGAATAAAGTAAAATAATAGAAAATACAAACATGTTTTAAAAAAAAAAAGATCACTAGTAATCCAAACATCCGAAGATAAACACTGCTAACATTTTTGTACATGGCAAAATAATATCATCTCTTTAGCTAACTTACTAAGAGAGTAGAGAGTAGTGGTTAAGAGCAAAGATTCTGGTGTCAGCCCGCCTGGATTCAAATCCCAGCTCTACCATTCTGTGATCTTAGCCAAGCTACTTCACCACTCTGCACCTCAGCCTACAGGGCATTAAATGAGTTAACACAAGCAATTAGAATATATCAGTTAGGAACTATTATTTACGTTAAGCAAATATATCCTTACTGACTTGGGAGATAGCATAAAAGGACAATCCAAATCATGTGAGCAATTCTGCCCATCCTTCCAACTCAATGAGCATATGCCTTGAATGAATGTGAAATAGGAGATACAAATCTGCAGTTCCTCCAGTAGGACTGTTCCCAGCTACTTCTGTGGGGGAATCTCATGTTTAAAGATAAGAATTTTTTCTACAACATGGCCTCTAAACACAAGCCAACTACTTCATCTGGCATCTCAGCTGAAGAAACAACGCTCCATTCCAGTGATAGGGAAGACAGTGCCATATTGTTCTCCAATGTGGGACATTCTTAAGAGATTTTCAAGAGTCAAGGTATCTATATGTAATTTTGCTTTAAATTCTGATATCTAAGGTGTCATTCTACCATATATCTGTATTCATTCCCTATTGTTGCAGTATATCTGTATTCATTTCCTATTGTCGCAGTATATCTGTATTCATTCCCTATTGTCGCAGTAATAAATTAGCACAAACTTGGGGGCTTAAAACAACACAAATGTATTCTCTCACAGTTCGGGAGGCCAGAAGTCCAACATTAGTTTCACTGGGCCAAAATCAAGGTATCAGTGGGGTAGCACATCCTCTGGTGACTCCTAGGAATAATCAATTCCTTGATTCTTCCAGTTTTTGGTGGCTGCCAGCATTCCTTGGCTTGTAGCTGCATCCCCCTAATCTCTGCCTCTGTGGCAACATTGCTTTCTCTCCTTTTGTCTGTATCAAATCTCCCTCTGACTCTCTCTTATAAGGACACTTCCAATTATATTTAGGACCCACCCAGATAATCCAGGATAATCCCCCCATGTCAAGATCTTTAACTTATTCACATCTGCAAAATACCCTTTGCCATGTAAGGTAACAGTAAACATTTTGGGAATTAGAATAGGAACATATTTGGGGCCATTCTTTAACATACCAAAATATCCATTAAAATTTTTCATGTGCATTGGGGGTGGGGAGATGGTAGGAAAGGAAGGAGGGAGAGAGAATGAGTGAGAGAGAAATTTCATGGGTGACACCAAAACTGTGTTTTGATTTGGGTGCCATTGAGCCAACACAGCCATGTTCCTAGGTACAGACCAATCTCCAGAGAAGAGAAATCAGTTGCTACTCAACAGGCTTTATAATCTGCTTTGAACACACCAGGTGGATCTTAAATTACAATATTTCCCAAGCTTTAGCTTAACAAAGCAAGTTCTAGCTCCCCATCCTCTCCATGTGTTGTTTTCAGTAAATACACATTTGGTCTCGTGTGAAGAAAGAGGATTTCTCAAGCCCTGTTTCAGGATCCATATACTGTAACCCATTTGTCTGATTCCACCACCCCCACCCCACCCTAACTAGTTTTTCAAATGCTTTCAGGAACAATTAGTTTTGCTAACACATGAAATCCAAATGTCCAATTTTTGTAATAAGATTAAAATCAGCCAGTAGAAGCCAGAAACTGCCTTTCATCAAAACACAAGAATTGTATGTCTCTATGCATATTGTCAAATTTTCTCAAAAAGGAAATGGAAAGGTAGAAAACTGACTCTCGTTCATATGATAATCAACCCATTTTTTGTTTCTCTCTCTATTAAAAGGAATAGATGCATAAGAACTGGTGCTGAACAAGTAAAACAATAGTAATACTACATCTGGAAGATTCTATTCAGAATACGTGCATGGAGAAAATCAAAAGGTGCTAAAATCTCCAGATTAATAGAAGCAGTATTCCAGTTAGAAAAAGTTTAGGTTATAGCCCTAATTTTCTTTTACTGGTATGAATAATAATGTGATTGAATACAGATCTTGCAAAATTTATGAATTAGATTCATTTGACTTCAGAATGCATTATTTTGGAAGCAGCTAGATCAAGGTCAAGACTACATATAGATACTGGACAGAGGAAAAGAGATGGTTGTATACGTGTAGCCAGAGTTACTCCTGAGAAGCCTACTGCAGTAACCACAATAAAAACCATCATCAGAAAACAGAAAAGCTCTTTGAGAAGCAAAGTTGTGCGGTGAAATGAGGCTGAGAATTCAAAGTCTTAGGCTCCAGGTTCTGGCCTAAGAACTACGCTTTTCTACTAAAAAGTTGCTTCACAGTTACATAGAGGGGCTTCAGGACTATTCCAGCCAGCTTCATGTAATGCGTCGAGGGAAAAAGTTTGGGAACCACAAAACCCAAGACAATTATGGAGAACTATATTTAGATCAAATGTGTACACACACACACATTTCTCATCTCAGAAATAGAAAACCCTGATGTACAATGTTTACATATTTTTCAATTACTGTCCCATCTACCTTTATGAAGGCATAATTCAGCAAAATTAATTAGATCAAAATTATTCTTTGACTTCTATAAATTGCCACTTATATTGGAAGAATAGGCAATTTTCTATTCCAAAGTGTTTTTTGTTATCTATTGCTGCATAACAAACCACATAATGGCTTAAAACAATACTAATTTATTATTTCTCATGATTCTGTGGGTAGACTGGGTGGTTTTTCTGCTCTGTGTGGTGTCAACCACAGTGTTGGGATAGCTGGGAGATAAAAAACAATATCACTCAGATGGCTGGCATTTGATACAGGCTGCTAGCTGGGAGCTTAGAAGTTGGTCGGGGGCTTCAGTTCTCTATGTGGTCCTATATATATAGCGGTCTGGGCTTCCTCACAGCATGGCAGTCAGGCTCAGGAGAAAGCATTCCAAGTGTGTAATATGAGAAGCTGCAGATCTCTTAAGGCCCAGCCTCTGCAGTTACAGTGTCACCTCCACCACATTCTATTTGTCAAAACAAGTTACAGAAGCAGCCCAGATTCAAGAGGAGAGGTGGAAAACCATGTTTCTCAATGGGAAGAGTGTCAAAGAATTTGTGGCCACCCACCAGACCAAAGCCAATGAGTTAATAGTATTGGATATCCTTAGGCTATAAAGAGCCTGAGCTACAGAAAATTACTGAGCCAGTTTCAAACTTACAACTGCTTTCTCCAGACTTTCTGTTACATAACAGAATTAAGAGTACTCATTGCTAAAGATACTGTTGGGTGGGTGTTTTGTTACTTGCAGCCAAATGGATCCTAAATAATAAAGTACTTCACTTTCATCACCAAATTTCAGCAGGAAGGCTGTGCTAGGATGACTTAGCTAACAGATCAGAGTGAGAGAATTTGAGTGAATTTCTCCTGAACAAATATGAGACAGTTTTCTAGGGACTCTCAGAAGCATGGCCAAGTTCTTGTACAGATAGTTGAGACTCAAAGTCATCACAATCTGGATCTAATATAAATATGATTTTAATTGGACTCACAGGCTGGTGAGTTGCAGAGGGCAGACATTGACAGTCAGATCTCCTACAATGACTAGCTGATTATACCTAATCAAGTTGTCTTAGTGCCACTCAAAGTGCCAATCTGCAATGAAATAAGAAGATTGCACCAGAATGTAAACCAACACACTGCTTCCTTCATTGAGAAGTCTTGCCAAAAAAAAAAAAAAAAAAAAAAAAGTAAGCTGAACTAAACAGCATGCTTAGTGATACAGTTGAATTACACTCAGGCACAAGTTCCTTATCTCCTCTCTCTTTGCTAACTGGTAACAAACAGTTTGCGGACCTATAGTTGTTCTACAAACCACACAGGCTAATTAATGGGTTATAAAGGTCAGGCAACAGGCTAGACTACATACGATAATTTACAAGGAAAGAAATCCCATGATTCTACTCTGAAACCCACTCCAGTGATTCACAGCAAAGGACTTCTTTTCATTTAAATGTGCTGGCTACCAAATTATGAAATTTTGTTGAATAATATTGAATCAGTGTATTTGTAGATATCATTCCCCACATTTTTTTAAAGTCTATGTCTAATTTAACTATTTAACTAATTTGAAATTTGTTCACAAATGAGAAAGTGGTAACTGTCTAGCCAAGCAGATGGCTGTAAGTAAGGAAATTTTCTGTTCCATGTGGCTTCCGATTAGATTTTTCATCTATACCCAATATAGCACAGTTCTCTTTCAGGAGGTTAAAAAAAATTACTAAATATCTATCTAAGGTTTCTTTAGGAACTGTATTCTATTCAGTAATAGAAAGCTGAAGAGGAAAAAAAGAAAAAAAATAACAGTGGCTAAACAAATGAAGCATTTTGTTTTTCTCACATGAAAGATTTCTGGAGTTAGATGGTTCCAGGTTAGCACAGTGGCTCCATGAGGCCATCAGGTCCCAGGCCTTTTGTTTTTCTGCTTGGCCATCCTTGGCTGTTGCTCTGTGGTCTCAAGTTAGCTGCCTTACTGCCAGCATCATAGTCATCTTCCAGGCCAGAAGAAAGGAAAGGACAAAGGGCAAAAAACACACATGGTAGCTAAATCTGACGTCATTTAGAGCATGTTATTAAATGGTCCACTGAGGAGGTTCCACTTTCATATCTCCTTGGCCACAATGTTGAGACACGGCCACCCCCCATAATGAGGAAACTGAAAAATAAAAAAGTTTTTTGTTTATCCCTTGCATTAGTTTACTAGGGCTGCCATAACAAAGTACCGCAGGCTGGGCGGCTTAAGCAACAGACATTTGTTTTCTCACAATTCTGGAGGCTAGAAGTCTGAGATCAAAGGGCACCTGGGGTTGGTTTCTTCTCAGGCCTCTCTCTTTGACTTGTAGATGGCCATTTTCTCTCTGTGCCTTCACTTGGCCTCTCCTCTGTGTGTATCAGTGTCCTAATCACCTTTTCTTAAAAGGACACCAGTGATAATGGATGGGAGCCCACACGAGTGACCTCATTTACCCAAAATTACCACTTTAAAGACCCTGCGTATTAGTCTGTTTTCATGCTGCTGATAAAGACATACCCGAGAATGGACAACATAGAAAAGAAGGAGGTTTAATGGACTTACAGTTCCATGTGGCTGGGGAGGCCTCACAATCGTGGAGGAAGGTGAAAGGCACATCTCACTTGGTGGCAGACAAGAGAAGAGAGCTTGTGCAGGGAAACTCTTTTTATAAAATCATCAGATCTCAGGAGACTTATTCACTATCACAAGAATAGCACAGGAAAGACCTGCCCCCATGATTCGGTTTCCTCCCACTGGATCCCTCCCCACAACACATGGGAATTGTGGGAGTTACAATTCAAGATGAGATTTGGGTAGGGACACAACCAAACCAAATCACCCTGTCTCCAAATACAGTCACAATCTGAGGTACTGGGGGTGAGGACTTCAACATAAGAATAGTACAGGGACACAACTCAGCCCATAACACCCTTCCGAGCATAATCATGGATCTGCTGGTGAGAAAGAAGGAGGACATTGATATAGGGTAGACACTGCAATGTCTGCCAAACTTACTATATTGCTTGATTTCCTTTAAACAGACAGCTTGAAAATTATACACAATCCAGTTTAGATACTTATAAACAAGATGCATGATAAGGACTACCTAGCTATAACAAAAGGCCTGCTTATTTACTTAAGGTGTTTAATTTTTCATATATATAATAAAAGAATTCGCCCACTGCCATGAGCAACATTAGGAATGTTCTGGAAAATGCTAGAAGTTGTCCACTATGTGGAATAGCAATGATCACAAATAAAGGAAAATTTGCTTGAGGACCACTATTCCTAATATTTGCCATTGTAATTCCATTTGTAATTAAGCAGGGCCAATTGTGTCCCCCTAACTTTTAGTGTCAGAAGATTTTTATTTCTCTTGATCATTATGTGAATTAAGGACAAATCCTTGATTTTGTTAGTGATATTTTTCATTTTATTTTTGTTAGATTATCTATAATATTAATGAAATGAACATGATTACTATCAAGGATTTTGTATTAATTCTTTGATTAATTCTCTGATTCCCTGGAGAGACAAAGAAAACCATCTTGGAATTCTAGTCTCAGCTCTCCAGAGTCCTTATGAACTTCAAGTGTGCTATCTACAAAATGAAATATTTTTCCCTGTATTCTTTAAGTTCCCTGCTTCTAAGGGATTCCATTGAGCCCTAAGATTTGTGCACAAATGTACATCAATTTTGTCTAAACTGGATATTTTTCCTACAAAATGTAGAAATTTTATTGAATGTTCTTTTATTTTTCCATTGTTTTCAAAGAACTAAGATTGCAGAGGGATCAAAATTCATCTATGTGGATAGGTTTGTAAATAACAAGGCTTGGAGGCAAATAATAAAACCAGAATAGGTGAGAAAATATATAGTTCTCCTAGAAATTATACTTTGAAGAGTTAATACTCACATCACCTAGTCATGCCTCTAAAATGAAGAAAGAGGATACTGCTTTGAGTATTCCAATCCTTGGATTTTAATGAGGGAGGAATTTATTCATGGAAACATGCACACAGTAAATGTGTGCCACTTGTACTTCTGAACACATCTGGTGCCAAAATAGAGGAATCTAATAGTCAGACCCACCTGCAATGTCCCCATCAACACAAAAAAGGCAAGCCACACCCATCACATTTAATAATAAATTCATTTTGCATCTGGTTTAACTGAGCTTGAAAAGGGATGCCTGTTATCAGCATATTGCGTATTCTCATTCCAGAATATTTCTCTTTCATTAAATTCTCAGGGGATTCTGTGGGTAGGGGCTGAGAATGTGGATGTCTGAATTGATTAACCCATCACTGTATATATTACAATGAAAAAAAAATGAAGAGCAGCTGGGTGAGAAGTAAGTAAATGCAGAATATCTGTGTATATGTAAATGAAAATAAAGGGGCTTGAAGGAATATATAACAAATGGTTAATAGGACTGCGATGGCTTTGTAAGGTGCACATAAGCACATAAATTCAGGGACCTGCTATTTCAGTGAGGTTTCTGAGAGTCTAGTAGACTGGAACATGTCAGAATATCTCCTTGAACAGCTGCTGCACTTTGCATCCCTTTCCACCAAGAAAGAGGCACAGTGCTTAATGGACCCCTTGGGATTTAGAGACAACATATACCACATTTAAGTGTGCAGTTCCCGTCCATTTACTAAGTGATTCTTAAGGCATCCTGCTCTGAATGGAGCCAAGAGGAAAAGAAGCTCTCCAGCTGAACTCAGATTACAAGTGTCCCTTATGACTTAGCATGTCCAATAAAGTTTGAAATGTCTGTGGCCAATCTGAAAAACTACATTCAAAGATTCACTGCTCAGCCTCCTAGAATTTCACAGGAAAGCCCTGCTGTCCTTAAAAAAAAAAAATTATTTTTCTTTTCTGAGCCACAGCTTTGGGCTTGCTACTGTGCCCTAGTAGAGACATAATATCTACCTGAATTCATTGCTGCTGTAACAAATTACCACGCACTTAGTGGCTGTAGTAGACTAAATAATGGCCACCCAAAGATATTAAGTCCTAATCCTAGAAGCTGTAAATGTTACCCTATAAGGAAAAAGGTCTGTACAGATGTGATTAAGTTCAAGATCTTGAGATGAGAAGATTATCTTGGATTATCTTGGTGGGCCCTGAATTCAATCACACATGTCCTCATAAGAGAGAGGCAGATGGAGATTTGATAGAAGAGAAGTACACATGGGGAGGATAATGTAAGGAAGGGCAGAGGTTGGAGTGATGTGGCCACAATCTTAAGGAATGGTAGCAGCCCCCAGAGGCTGGAAGAGGGGAGGAGTGGGTTCTCCCTTTGAGATCCCCCCAGAGGGAGGGCAGCCCTGCCTACACCTTGATTTTAGTCCAGTGACACTGATTTCAGTCTTCCAGGCTCCAGAACTATGAGGGATACATTTCTGTTATCTTAAGCCACCACATTTGTGATAATTTATTATAGCAGCCACTGGAAACTAATGAAGTGGCTTAAAACAATGCAAAGTTACTCCCTTACTATCCTGGAAATCAGAAGTCTGAAATCAGTTTCACTGAGCCAAAGTCAGGTGACAGCAGGAGGACTGGTTCCTTCTGAGAGCTCTGAGGAGAGAATCCATTCCCTTGCCTTTTTCAGCTTCTAGTGGCTGTGGCCCTTAACTTCTAGGCCCTTCCCCTTTCTTCAAAATGCATCCGTCTAATCACTGCTGCCATCATCACATCACTTCTTCCTCTGACTCCAACTCTTCTTGTAACCTTCCTATAAGTAATGCTGTAGTTACATTGGGTCCATCCAAATAATATAGGTTAATAACCACATCTCAAGATCCTTAAATTTGTCATATACGCAATGTCCTTTTTGTCATAAAAGTGACACCCACAGATCCTAGAAATTCAGGTATAGATATACTTGGGGGCCATTATCCAGCCTACCATGATATCTAACCATCGGATTTCTTTGTTTTTTTGGTTTGTTTGTTTTTTGTTTTTTGCTTTGTTGTGAGACGAAGTCTCATTCACTCTGTCCTCCAGGCTGGAGTGCGGTGGCACGATCTCAGCTCGCTACAACCTCCACCTCTTGGGTTCAAGCAATTCTCGTGCCCCAATCTCCTGAGTAGCTGGGATTACAGGTGTGCACCACCACATCCAGCTAATTTTTTTGTATTTAATAGAGAAGGGGTTTTGCCATGTTGGCCAGGCTGGTCTTGAACTCATGACCTCAGGTGATCTGCCCGTCTCAGCCTCCCAAAGTGCTGGGATTACAGGTGTGAGCCACTGTGCCTGGCCAAACCATGGAATTTCAAATGACTATGCAACCTGCTCTTCCCATCATGAGCTGAGTTGTTATCTGATCCAGAAAACCCTAGCATTGTGTGCAGCTGCATTCCACCCTCAAGGAAAAAAAAGTGTAGGCTCAAGCAGGTTCTGAAGACACCAGCATTTTTCATAAACATGTGGCTTACACTCTGAGGGTTCCTACTCCTGATGCAGTGCCACATCCTCCTCACCTTACACGTAATGACCTGACAATTGCATGGGAATTTTAAAAGAATTTATGAAAGGTTCTCAGATTATTCTGCATAATATGTTGACACCTTCTGTAAGTGGGCTGCTTCACATTACAGTGCCACTTACATGGGCTATGAAGGACGATGAGGCAGATAAATTCTCTCAGTGAGCAGAACTTTTAGCAATACATGTGCTTATCCTCTTTGCTTGGAAACAGAAATGCCCAAAAGTATAGATTAGCATCCATTCATGGGCAGGGGCTACTAATTTGGTTAGTTGGTCAAGGTCTTAGAAGACACAAGAGTGGAAAATTCATAATGAGGGCACTTGGGGAAGAGCTATGTAATGGTGGGGCAGATTGCATTTTTCAAAGATTGTCACACCAGCATATCCCATGCCACATGTGCTCCTTGCAGTGTGACACTGATACTCCTCTCTTGAGAGGTGAGGTCTATGTTCCTCTCTTTGATTGTGGGCAGGTATATGACTGGGCAGGTATATGACATTCCTGAAGTCATGTCATGTTGAGGCAGAATAGGGTCTGGAGGCAGGGAACATAAGGCCTACTTCATGCTGAGGCTACTCCCTTTTCAACCCCTCCTTTTGCTGTGTGGCAGTTGCTGCAGGGCAGTTGGAAAATGAAGATACCTCTGATTGGTCCTCTCCCACAACCAATCAGACTGGTTGCAGGCCTACTCTTCAACCAACTGGACTTGTCATGGGTCACTAGAGTGAACCAATGGGAAACCTCCAGAGGGTATGTAAACCCCAGAAAATTCTGTAACTAGTGCCAAGCTGCTTGCTGGAGCCTGTTCCCACCCTGTGGAGTGTACTTTAGTTTAAAATAAATCTCTACTTTGGCTGCCTTCCTTGTGCGTTTTGTCCAATTCTTTGTTCAGAACTCCAAGAACCTGGACAACTACCCTCAAGCCATAACAATGTGACTTTAAAAACTAAGTCATGGAAAGTCATACAGCTTTGTTCTGATCCTCTTGGGATGCTCACTTTGGAACCTAGTAACCATGCTGCAAGGAAGCCAAGCAGCCACAAAGAAAAGCCACATGTAGATGTTCTAGCCCCAGCACCAACTGAAGACCAAGCCTATATCAGCATCAACCTCCAGATATGTGAGTGAGCAAATCTTCAGAATAATCCAGCCCCTGACCTTCAAGTCATCCTAAGTGACACTAAGCAGAGCAGAGACCAGCTCCGTGAGACCAGCCTAAATAGCAGATTCATGAGCAAAATGAATGTTATCTTAAGCCATTAAGTTTGGGATGATTTGCTATACAGCAATATGTACAGACAGAAAACCTCTCAGAATTGGCTCAAAGTGCAAAATTAGTTGTGTCTGTTGTGACTGCTAACCAAAAGTCAACCACTGCAGATGAAACTCTCCAAAACCTGGTAAACAAGTAAAAGTGTTCTGGAGATGTCAGACTCTTTCCCCAGCCACCCCAGTACTTACTCAATGGGCACGTGAACAAGTTACCATGGTGGAAGGGATGAACTTTCCCTCACCGAGGCTGATCTGGCTACTTCTGTTGCTGAGTGCTCAATCGGCCAACAGCAGAAGCCAGTAATGAGTCCACAACATAGTACCATAAAGTAGTACCTGGTGGGCAGCTGACTCTATAGAAAATCCTCCCTTGTAGTAAGGCAGAGATTGTCCCAAAGGAGTAGAGATGTATTCTGAGTTTGAGTTATCTTTCCTATCTGTCATATTTCTGCCAGTACTGCCATCCACAGACTTACTAAATGTCTTGTTCATTCAACTACTGACCAAGGAACAAAATGTAAAGAAAAATTAAGCATATTATAAATATGGTAATCATTACATCATTATGTATACCATCACCCAGAATTACTCAGCCTTCCAAAGCAGTAAAAATGGCTTACTAGGCCGGGTGTGGTGGCTCACACCTGTAATCCCAGCACTTTGGGAAGCTGAGGTGGGCAGATTACCTGAGGTCAGGAGTTTGAAACCAGCCTGGACAACATGGTGAAACCCCATCTCTACTAAAAATACAAAAATTAGCTGGGCGTGGTGGTAGGCACCTGTAATCCCAGCTCCTCGGGAGACTGAGGCAGAAGAATAGCTTGATCCCAGGAGGCAGAGGTTGCAGTGAGCCAAGATCGTGCCACTGCACTGCAGCCTGGGTGACAAGAGCAAGACCCCGTCCCCCCCCAACAAAAAAATGGCTTACTAAAGACTCAGTTATGGTGTCACCAAGGAAATATTACCATGTTAGGTTGAAATGCTTTCCTACAAGATGTGATATAAGCTCTGATTAAAAAAAAAAAAAACCGATAAGGGGCTGAAATGGAGTAATAAGGGCCAGATTTATGCTCTCATCTGTAACAACCAAAAAAAGGACACAACGTATTTGAACAAACAGTTTGGAAGACACTAGACATCAAGCAATGAAGGACGGTGATCCTGAGAAACAGGAAACAAATGAGGTAAGCCCTACGATTGCCCCCGCTTACTGGCTTGAGTTTCCAGGCTGCAGTACAGGGAAGGAAACCTTAGGTGGAGCCAGATGGATTTCCTGAATTAAGGAGACAGAACTAAGAGTTCATCTCAGGGAGACTAAGTTGCCAGAAATCACATTAAAGTATACCAGAGAGGACAGAGCTGCACACAGAAAGAACCCCAGACATCTGCAGAGGCTCCCAACTACACATTCAGCAGAGTAATGATCATCCCATGTGTGTAAGGAAAATACCTTAGGCCAAAGAAAGAACCATGTGAAAGGATTAGAGGGAACAGTGCCTGGCACCCACACACGGATTGAAATAGTACCCACCAACCAGACTAGAAAACCTCATAGGCTACAGGGCATTGGGTAGAATACTTGGAATGCTCTTGCCTCAGGAGTGGAAAATAATGAATCCTAGACTAAACTTAGCAAATCCTAAAAGCAAGACCCAAAAGAATCAAACTGTGTCCCAGAAACTTACTTGTGTTGAAGAATAAAGCTCAAGAATATTCACAGAAATACAAAACTATACAAGATCTAACAGGGTATGCCTTCCTGTACTGCAGAGGCTAGAAAGCTACAAACAACATTTCCCAGGTTCCCTCACAGCTAGGGTCCTGGAAGCAAATATTTTTTTTTTTTTTTTTTTTTGCGGAGGGGGCCAGTATTTTGCCAACCAGATATATTTTCATGTGACTTGGAAGGTAGAAGTAAGGCAGAGGAATTTTTCCTGATGCTTTGTTCTGCAGCCACATTCCTGTATCCAGGTAGGAACTCTGTGGGTATTATCGCAGCAGCAATAGTGGCTGATTGATTTGGCAGAGTTCATTGAAGTCAGAAATTCCAGCACAACTTTCCAATTTTTCATCTTCCTAATAATGGCAGATGTAGCAGCTCCTCTTGCAGGACAGTATAGTGGTATTATTCTGCAAATGTAGCCTAAATAACATTCCTCTAGTCCTTCCAACTCCTTATATTATACCTCTTTTAGATTAAAACAGCTGAAATTATTTGTTTCTTAAAAACAAATTCTATTATAGAGTTTGTATTATTTAGCTGCTTCTATGTAACAAATTACCCCCCAACCCCAAAAAACTTAGTGGCTTAAAACAATAAACATTTATTATCTTATGATTTCTGTGGGCTAGGAATTTGAAATCAGATTAGCTTGATGATTCTGGTTCAGAGTGTCTTGTGTGGTTGCAATCAAGATATTAGCCAGGGCTACAGTCATCTGAAGGCTTGAGTGGGGCTGGAGGATCCACTTCCAAGATGGCTCACCAATAAAAATGTTGTCAGAATGACTCAGTTCCTCACTTGTATTTGGCAGGAGGCCTCAGTTCCTCACTGCATGTATTTCTCCACAGGGTTGCCTGCATGTCCTAACAACATGGCAGCTGGTTTCCCCCACACACACCACCCTGCCCCCTCACCAGAACAAGCAATCTAAGGAAGAAAATGAAGATAATGCTGCAGTACCTTTTATGACCTTGTCTCCTAAGTTGCATGCCATTACTTCTACTTTATTCTGTTCATTAGAAGCAAATCACTAAGTTCAGCTTACAGTCAAGGAGTGGGAATTTGGTTTCCATTCCTTGAAGGGAGCAGTGCCAAAGAACTTGTGGACGTATTTTAAACCACCACATAATTCTATACAGATGTGAAAGTATATTATTTTGCATATTTTCTATGTAGTCTGCATACATCTAAACATCTCTCCATAATTACTAATAATTCCAACCCCAAATAGGTCATCTCTTCTGTCCTGGAAACTGGTCAAATTTCATCAGTCTTTCTTCTATTATCCTAATTTTTCTTCTTCAAAGGCAGTATTTCATGAAGGTTAATTTGCCTCTTACTCCTGCTAATGTAAAGATGAGATTTGTCTCTGTATTTACTATGAATGTCATGGTTTTCCATACTGAATAATTATTAATAACCACAGACCTATCTTTCTTATGAGCAAAAAATGAAATTCTACCATTGTTTCATAGTAGGAGACCCCAAGAGTAATTAAAATATAAGTGAGTCATTTTAAAAGTGTCAGGATAAGGGAGTGGAAGGGCTTGAATTATCTTACTAAATTTATTGAATAAGTGAATCAGATCATTTAAGAATAATTTCAATTCCTTACGTGATTTTAAAAGCAGTTAAATTATTTTCAAAGGGTTCCCAGATGACTACCCTTATATAGTAATAATAGCAAGATATTTCAGATAATTAAAGATATTTCAGAACCATTTTGACAATTCAAAAATGTTTCTAATCAAACTAGTTATATTATAAAACTGGAGAGATTGCATTAATTGCTCATATTTGTTTTAATATTCTAAGACACAATTTTTAAATTTTTATATGCTATGTCTTTCCCATTAACCCTTTTCACAGATGCCCATTATCAGGATAATGTTAGGACCGTGTCCAACAACTAGCATAGTTATTGTAGCAAATTAAGTGCCCAACAAAATTTCTTGTATTAATTAATGGATTAATGTAGCTAATGAGAGTGAGGTCTGGTCACTTGAAGAAGAGTGGCATCCACCTGGCTGGCAACCATTTCCAAGTTAATTTAAAATCTGTCATTTTGTTCGCCTTACTAGTTGTCTTTTGTGCCATAGATGTGTGAGCCCATAACAATTTTCAGGACTAATATGCAAGATGCCAGAAAATACAGCCCACATCCCCATCCTCAACCTGCCTAATAAATGGAGAATACTAAAGCATGAAAGATAATCGCAAGTGAGGCATTTGCTGAATTCTGAAGATACATTCCTATACCATGTCATCAGAATTCTTATGATTGATTTGTTTTTTTCAAAGTACTACATGCTGGTCTACCTTTACATGGTTGGCTTCCTACCCACTTGTCTCGACCCTTCTTTACTCTAAATATGTTTGCATGTTTTTCATTGTAAACCCTGTGTAAGATAAATGGTACTATAATGAAAAGTAATGTATGAGAAATGAGTGTATTTGACATTGGCTTTAGAAGTGGCCTCCATAGATACATGGGAACAACCGATGGCATGCACTATAGAAGGATCGTAAGCAAGGTTATGGAGAATGGAAAGTGCAAAACACGTTCAGCACCTAGATATCTTTTAATCCTAAGTAACTCCCCTAATTGTGAAAGGAGGTATATTAAAACACAATATGTAGGCACACACCTGTTAATTTTGGAGAATGCAATTGCCTTACTGACGTAAGCCACCCATCAACCAAAAAGGTGAACACCCAAAAGGATATGAGTCATGACTTTTTCTTGACTGTTTAGCTATAATGTTATTGGTCAACTGTGTTAACATACAGACCCCCAATAAAAAAGAGTCATTTGCTTTTTGATTGAAGGTGATTATCAGGACAAAGATATAAAAATCTGAGGAATCTCTAATAAGCATACTATGAATACTGTCAATACCTGGGGGGAAAAATGTCGCCTACATCCATAATATTCTCTCCAAATGGCTTCCAGAATCTAGTCTACCCGATAGCATATGGCAAAAGAAGACACTGGACCCTAACTATAAGGAAGCTTGGAACAGTTGTGACAGTAATTTCTCTGGTAGCATTAGGTAACAACTAGTAAAGTCCTCTGATTACATGCATAGTTCCTCAGAAAAATGAAAAACATGATTTTAAATCTGACAAACTCAATATACGAGGGCTGTAAATCAGAGTTGTTTATTCAGCCCACACATTAAATGCACATATTTCTTTAAAAAATACTTACACACCTACTATGTTCCAGTCACTGTGCTAGGGATGGGGGTGGAAAGGAGAGTAGAAAGATGGATCAAATGGAATTCATTCCTCCTAAGAAATGTACAATTATACAAGGGAAACAAACAAGGGAGAAAGAAAGCATGGGAGGAAAAGTTCACATTGTCCTCTGTGTCTCTCTTTAAATTTTTTTTTATTTTTATCAAACATATACAAACACATATATTTGATTCTTTGAACAAGTAGTTTTACAAATTTTTCCCAATCTCCTTTCATTCTCCATTTAATGAAGGCAAATGTGTCATTCTTCCAGAAGGCTCATGGAAGAGGCAGCACAGATTTCTACTCATGGATTGGTATGGAATAGATGGTCTGTTTATGGAATCTCCTAAATTGGAGGATTTTCTTGGGAATCAGCATCTAGTCTGGATTTCACTAATAAAAAAACAACATTAGTCTGGACAATACCAAGTAGCAGACTCTTTTCCTGCTTTCTGGACATCATCTGGAAGGTGCTAATAATCAAATATTGAGAAAATCCCCAGGAGAATAGTCAAGAATGAACTGCAAATGTATTGATATGTTTCTCACAGATTACTGTTTTTTCCCCCGATTCTCCCAACCCACCTAAAAAGATCATATATTAGGAGTCAATTTTAAATTAATGGTATAAGCATAATACTTGCTCTAGATGTTTGATCATGTGCCCTTCATTTGCAATAAAAGTTTTAATATTTCTAAGTGTTAGAAATATGAATATATCTTAAGGGAGAGGGTTGAAAATGATGCATATTTTTCATATTTTATAGTATATATAAATCTGCTACTGCATTCGTTTTCTTTAAATTAAATGAATTTCATCAACCTTCTTTGCACCAAATACTGTGCTAGGTACCTCACAAATATTAATCCATTTTATTATAACAACAACTCTTGAGTTAGGTATACTTAGGTCCATTTTATCTTACTTTATTATTATTATTATTATTATTTGAGGCAGGGTCTCACTCTGTCGTCCAGGCTGGAGTGCAGTGGCACAATGTATGCCTAGATAGCCAAGCATGAAAAAGAACAGCATGAACAATCAGGAAAACTTAATGTGGCACATTTAAGAAAAGGAAGAATGAAAACCAAAGAGAGGGTGGAGGGGAGGAAGGAAGAAAACATTGAAGAATCAGACACAAAAAGCTCAACCAGAAGAAAAGCTAATCCAAGAAACAGAAGGAAGTTCTCCCAACTTTCACTGTTGTATTTAAAAAAAGAAGAACATAAATTAAAGAAAGTAGGAGATCACATAAAAAAATCTACTTAACCACTAGTATTTGCTTTACCCATGACTTTTCACCAATAGAAACTATGATGTTATAATTAATGTAAATATGCCAGATATCATTAATGTTCACTTCTACTTCAAAATTATGGTATTGAGAGGTGACAGAGTGCTGGCAGTCCTCACAGCCCTCGCTCACTCTTGGTGCCTCTTCTGCGTGGGCTCCCACTTTGGCGGCACTTGAGGAGCCCTTCAGCCCACCGCTGCACTGTGGGAGCCCCTTTCTGGGCTGGCCAAGGCCAGAGCCAACTCCCTCAGCTTGCAGGGAGGTGTGGAGGGAGAGGCGCGAGTGGGAACCGGGGCTGCGCGTGGCGCTTGCGGGCCAGCTGGAGTTCCCCGTGGGCGTGACCTTGGCGGTCCCCGCACTTGGAGCAGCCCGCCGGCCCTGCCAGCCCGGGCAATGAGGGGCTTAGCACCGGGGCCAGCAGCTGCAGAGGGTGTACTGGGTACCCCAGCAGTGCTAGCCCACCGGCGCTGCTCTCAATTTCTCACAGGGTCTTAGCTGTCTTCCCGCGGGGCAGGGCTCGGGACCTACAGCCCGCCATGCCTGAGCCTCCCACCCCCTCCATGGGCTCCTGTGCGGCCAGAGCCTCCCCGATGAGAGCCGCCCCCTGCTCCACAGTGCCCAGTCCCATCCACCACCCAAGGGCTGAGGAGTGCGGGCGCACCGCGCGGGACTGGCAGGCAGCTCCACCTGCAGCCCCGGTGTGGGATCCACTGGGTGAAGCCAGCTGGGCTCCTGAGTCTGGTGGGGACGTGGAAAACCTTTATGTCTAGCTCAGGGATTGTAAATACACCAATCGGCACTGTGTATCCAGCTCAAGGTTTGTAAACACACCAATCAGCACCCTGTGTCTAGCTCAGGGTTTGTGCATGCACCAATCGACACTCTGTATCTAGCTACTCTGGTGGGGCCTTGGAGAACCTTTGTGTGGGCACTCTGTATCTAGCTAATCTGGTGGGGATGTGGAGAACCTTTGTGTCTAGCTCAGGGATTGTAAAGGCACCAATCAGCGCGCTGTCAAAACAGACCACTCCGCTCTACCAATCAGCAGGAGGTGGGTGGGGCCGGATAAGAGAATGAAAGCAGGCTGCCCGAGCCAGCAGTGACAGCCCGCTGGAGTCCCATTCCACACGGCGGAAGCTTTGTTCTTTCGCTCTTTGCAATAAATCTTGCTACTGCTCACTCTTTGGGTCCACGGACTGCTTTTATGAGCTGTAACACTCACCGCGAAAGTCTGCAGCTTCACTCCTGAAGCCAGCGAGACCACACCACGAGCCCACCGGGAGGAACGAACAACTCCAGACGCGCCGCCTTAAGAGCTGTAACAATCACCGCGAAGGTCTGCAGCTTCACTCCTGAGCCAGCAAGACCAGGAACCCACCAGAAGGAAGAAACTCCGAACACATCTGAACATCAGAAGGAACAAACTCCAGACGCGCCACCTTAAAGAGCTGTAACACTCACCACGAAGGTCTGCAGCTTCACTCCTGAGCCAGCGAGAGCACGAACCCACCAGAAGAAAGAAACTCCGAACACATCCAAACATCAGAAGGAACAAACTCCAGACACGCCACCTTAAGAGCTGTAACACTCACCTGGAGGGTCGGCGGCTTCATTCTTGAAGTCAGTGAGGCCAAGAACCCACCAATTCTGGACACAGTAGTTATTAAGCTCATCCTTGAAAGATTCTCCCCAGGGCCTGAAAGCTTAAGGGAATGAATAACTCCTCCCTCCTCAGGCCCAGTCCCAAGGCGCAAGGCCACCTGCGCCAGTAGCGTGCAGTCAGCAAGATAGCAGAAGCAGGAACAGAGCTGGCCGGAAGACACATAACCCCTGAAGATGGAGAGGGAGGCCGTCCGGGTACTACGTAGCAGTCATGTCAGACTGGGACACTTCCTGTTTACAGAGGACTATAAAACCCCTGCCCAGTCCTCATTTGGGGCTGACGCCATTTTAGGCCTCAGCCAGTCTGCACCCAGGTGCTCATTAAAAGAGCCTCTTGCTCCATACCACCTCGTGTTGTCTGTTGGCGCACTCTCCCGGTTCGAACCAATGCAAGAGCCTTGTAATCATTAAATTTTATTATTTAATGCATTAATAAAGGAGCAGATATATTTCTATATCACAAATTTTCAAAATATTTTGATAATTCGTTCTTAATATGATTGATTTTTTCTGTAATTGTATGCATTTTACTTTAAATTTGTAAGAACATTATTCTGAGAAGGAGTCTGTAGACTTCACCAGAGTGCCAAAACCATCCATGGAACAAAAAAGTGGTTAAGAACCCCTGCAGTCAAATCCCAGAAAAGCCTGCAGCTCCTCCAGCGTTCACATCACGTGAAAAGACCTCATGCAAGTGAAGCTGAAGCTTCATTTGTTTTAAATTAAATTGATCACTGGTTGTAGCTGAAGCAGCCATTATCAACCAAGAGATAGAACCCAAGTGCTGGTAATAATACAGTAACAAGAAAGGACTTCTAACATCATGGAGAAGCAATGCTGTTACTAGACCTTACCAACGACAATAGCTCAGAATCTAACACAACCCACAGACTCCTAATAAATGGTAGAACTGGAGAAAGTTGCATATTCATGAGTATTTTCCTTCACAGTATCGAATCTCCTGCGTACAAACGTCCAAGTGAAAATTGTTTCATATCAACAATAAGTGCAATGAAAAGTATCCCTAAATGTGTTAGTCTGTTTTCCCACTGCTGATAAAGACATATCCAAGACTGGGAAGAAAAAGAGGTTTTAATGGACTTAAAATTCCCTGTGGCTGGGGAGGCCTCACAATCATGGTGGAAGGTAAAAGGCACATCTCACTTGGTGGCAGACAAGAGAAGAGAGCTTGTGCAGAGAAACTCCCCTTTTTAAAACCATCAGCTCTGGTGAGACTTACAGTCATAAGAACAGCAGAGGAAAGACCTGCCCCATGATTCAATTACCTCCTACCAGGTCCCTCTAACAATACATGAAAATTCAAGATGAGATTTGCGTGGGGACACAGCCAAACCATATCACTAAATTTAAAAAACTTTTCCATCAATAAAGAAAAGGATCTCCAATCTATGTTTAGCAAAAGTAAACTCGTTACTCCCTAGTCAAAACTCTTCAGAATCTTAATACTATAGCAATGCTTTCAGAGAGTCAAAGACTTCATAGGAAATCTTTTTTTTTTTTTAAGATGAAAAGTCAGGATCTGAATTCATACCTTGCCCAAATGTATTTGGAAATTGCTTTTGAAATCTGAACTCTAGGCATTCTTTCCCTTTAATCAAAAAGCAATATACACATCAAGCGACTTTATATGTGTGCTTGACCTTCATTAATGTTTCCTGTGGGTAGTACTTTCAAATTATTTAGCTTATCCATTAAAGTTCTTAATTCATAAGAAACAAATGTCAAAATTTCAGAAGCTACACATCAGAGATGGTTCTGAAAAAAAAATATTTTTTTGCCAAAATACTAACTTCCCATATCGATTCTCTTTCCCCAAGAGCTCTCAAGGAACTCATTTGAAGTTTTTTCAAGTTCACAACCAGCCTTACAAGATTTATTTACCTAAAAATAAGATCACAAGAATCACAAATAGAGTAGATATGGTGGCCCTTCTGCCTGAAATGTCCTTGCTGCACCTCTCAGCTTGAAAATCTCTTCATTTTTCAGTGCCTTTTCATTCATCCATCTTCCATGCCCCCAGTAGAATTAGCTGCTTTGTCTTGTGTTTCCATAGCACTTAAGTTATGGCCTTATTTAGCACTTACTATCTACCATTTGAATCTGTTTATATGGCTGCTTACTCAACTAGATTACGAGTTCTTCAAGGCTAGGGTGAGTTTTCAGTTCTCTCAGGGATGCAGGGATAATGTAGGTACAGAAACAAAGACAGAAACCGAAGAGAGCAAAGGTTGATGGGAAGAGCAAAAGGTAGAGCCTGAAGTGATTCCTCAAGCCAACCTTCACTGCATCAACTTTTTCCTTTTAATGTATTCGGTTTTAATATGAGAAGAGGAAAGAAGTAGGGTTCAGGACCAAAAATAATTTTACCAACTTTAGTGAGATAATTTTTCTGTAGGAAAATCAAGGTAATTTAAGGTTTATCTCCAACTGTGCCTTTAACCCAGGCTGACCCACCACACATTGTGTAACCAGCACAAGCACTGAATAAAAGTAAACGTAAAGTCTTATATTTCCTATCTGGCAATTATCTCTCATTCATTTGCTTTGCTTTTCCCCACATTTGCTCTTTGCTCCCACTAACTACCCCACACCCATCTCAGTTTATCACACTAGGACAACTTGACTTTTTCTGCTGGGAACCACTGGATGGAAATCCAGGTCCATTTTCAGACTTCATAGTGCAGCTCTGAAACTCAAATCCCAGATCCCAGTGACTTGGAGGAAAACAGAAGAGGTAGTATTGCTTTTCTCCTGCAGAAGAAGAGAGGCAAAGATACATGGCCTCACATGCAGCATGGAGCCCTGCCAGGAAGGCTCTATGAACTTCCTGGTCTTGTTATGTGTTGTGTATAATACCCTCACCTGAGCAGATACAGCCTTTCAGCCATTCAGTTGGAGAGGTAGGTACTATGGCTGCAGTTCCAGGAACTCAAAAGAAGACCTAAGAAACAAAGAACATATTTGTGGCTTTGTTGGAGTTTTCCCAAAAGCAGACTCAAGACAAGGATATTAGTGCAAGTAGTTTTATTAGAGAAACAAAAATAACACAGGTAAAGAAGTGAGAACATGATATATAAAGACAGAAAGAGAAAGCAACCAGTAGGAGTGCTATTAGGTGAGCTGCCACAGTGGAAGCTGGTGCTCTATTTCCCATGTAGAAATCCTTACAAATAGTGCAAAACGTATGTCTCAGAATTACCCAAGCTGTGAGGTGAGGGAGTTGGGATATTTATACATAAAATGTATACATTTTGTACATTTCTACAAGAGTCAACAATTGGCCAGGTGTGGTGGCTGATGCCTGTAATCCCAGCACTTTGGATAGCCAAGGCAGGTGGATCACTTGAGCCCAGGAGTTCAAGACCAGTCTGGCCAACATGGTGAAACTCCATCTTTATGAAAAATACAAAAATTAGCCCAGTGTTGTGGCACGCACTTGTAATCTCAGCTACTCAGGAGGCTGAGGTGGGAGAATCGCTTGAGCTCAGGAAGCCGAGGTTATAGTGAGCTGAGATTGCGCCACTGCAGTCCAGCTTGGGTGACAGAGGGAGATCCTATCTCAAAAAAAAAAAAAAGTCAATAATTGAGGGCTTACTGGAGTGAGAGGGCAGAAGTTAACTCTTAATTGGGCAACATGGTTTTCCACAGTTGTAGTTGGGGGGTGGAGGGAAGATCCCTGCAGCAGATATGCAGATATTGGCAAGTGGAAGTCTAGAGACTGAAAACTCCGAGGACTAGGGTTAGCCACTACCAGCCTGTACTACATGTTGTCTGTCTGCTAATCTGGCCTAAGTCCTTACATTGGATACTTCTGAGGCAAGCCTGGATAAGGAGTATGCATGGACACGAAGTGGGAGTTGGCACTGGAGAGTGCATTTTTTGTAAATGCAGGCTACACTAACACCCCTTTTTGCATAGTGAGAGGGTGTACCCTTTTGTGCTGGTGCCTTACTCAGGCTATTACATAGATGACAATGGAGAAAAACAGGCTTGGCCCTACATCCTAGTATCCTGATCCCCAAATGAGCCAGAGGGTGGAGCGTAGCCAGAATCTGCCTACAGATTCACATAAATGACAAGTCCAGGGGCTCGGGGAACTTCCTGAACCAAGATGCAGTTCAAATCTACCTCACTCTGGGTAGAAGCAATAAGGTAAAAGGAACTATTTTCATCCACATTTCAACTCAGGGAGTAATCTGGGCATCAGAAAGAAACTAAATGGAATCTGTGCCAACCTTTTAAAAAATCTTAGAGCCACCCTTTAGGGCGAGATTTGTAATGTAAACAGGGTCAAGAGGAGTCTATGAACAGGAGAAATGTGTTGTGGTCCTGTAAGCCCAGGCCATGTTGCATGTGCTTTCTAGGTGAGATCTGTTTGCTTCTTAGGTAACTAGTGAAGACATCACCTACTGTTCTCACAGGTGAGGAGCCTCAAATGGAATCAGGGAACTTCTGTCTTCTCTATTGAGATGAGCAGATACTGTTTCATCCTCTTCACTGTTCAAGCCTGGGTAGATGGTAGAGCATCTGTCAGCATCCCTCTGAAACCTGAGGCCTGGAATTTGTACAGCAGAGTAAGCAATGGAAGTATCTGAACTGCTCCCTCCTGTGTGGGGGGCAGGGAATAACGAACATCAGCTTAGAGTCTTCAAAGAGGGGGTTGTGAAACAGGACCAAGGATTTGAATAAGACGAGAGAGTGAGAATGAAGGAGGGCTTGGCACACAGGGAGTATTTGTGTGTAGTACCTTCCATCTGAAGGCCAAGCCTGTGATGCCTCCAGCCCCTTGTGTACAAAGGAAAAGGAAAGTTTTAAAGTCACAGCCCCTGGTTCTCCCTCACCATTATATTCTTGGAGGGCTGCCTTTATCTTCAACATCATACAGCCTGTGTGCATCTGGGGAAGACGAGCAAGGCAGAAGCTGCTCAGAAAGGGCTGCTGTTTCCTGATCATTTTGCAGGATGTATCAGTCCGAGTTCAACCAGTGAAGCAGAGTAGTAGAAGATAAATATATCTCCTCGTGTGTGTGTGTGTGTGTGTGTGTGCGCGCGCGCGTGCAATTGTGCAGCTGGCCAAGTAAGTCCAAAGTCTGTGGGGCAAGCAGTCATGAAAAGAAGATCACAAACAAGCAGAAACCCCAAGGGCACAGCCAGGAGCTTGTTCACAGGAGGTCAGAAGAGAAGATTATAAGCAGGCCAGAACCCATGGGCACAGACATACACACTCTCCCCCATCTTCTCTCCTCCCTCCTTTTTTTTCTCTCTGTCCCCAAAGAAGCCCTATGCCCTCTTTTAAGGCCTTCCAACTGGTAAGGTCAGACCCACGCAGGATAACTTAAAGTCAACTGATGAAGAACTTTAATTACATTTGCAAAAGTCCTTCACAGCAGCACCTAGACTGGTGTTTGATTGGATAACTGGGAGGATTGTATATGCTAACAAATGGCTACTGCTTCCCTTCATTTTCCAGCTCTCACAGGAGTGTGTCTCTTATAGCCCACTCTATCTGGTACTGCACTACAAACGGAATTCTGGAAAATGCAGTTTAACTTAGTTAATCTCAGACATCACACAGCCATCACACAGGGAGATTTGGCAGAGGTGGGGAGGGGTACCAGTCATCCCTGAGAATTACTAGGTGGAGTTCCCAGTAAGTATCACTCACCCAAGAAGGACCTACCAAGGAAAACAACTCTGTGGATAGGAGAGACGTTAAGACTGTCTTCTCTGATTTCTATTCCTCACTCAGATTAGGGGAAAAGCCCCTTCATATTCAAAAAGAAGGGCCCCACTGCAACCTTAATTAGGCATCCTGTACTGGGTGAGAAGTGGAATGTCACTCATGAGATCAAATGCAGAGGCCCACTGAGGGGACTCATTCTGAATGATTGGTATGGTCCTTCCCATGGTCCTTGATGGTAATTCAGGTTTTAATGCAGAAAACAAAAACACTCTAGATTCTTTTTAAAAATTATTTTTAATTGTGTAAAATACACATAACAAAATTTATCATCATAACAATTTTTAAGTGTATAGTTCCGTGACATTAAGCACATTCACATTGCCATATAGACACCATCACCAACCATCTCCAGAACTGTTTTCATTTTGCAAAATGAAAACTCTGTTTCTGTTAACAATATTTCCCCATCCTCCCTTCCCCCAGCCACTGGCAACCATCATTCTACTTTCTGTCTATGAATTTGACGACTCTAGATACCTCATATAAGTGGAACAATACAACACTTGCCCTTTTGTGACTGGCTTATTTCACCTAATATAATGCCCTCAAGGTTCATTCATGTTGTAGTATGTGTAGGAATTTCCTTCCTTTTTAAGGCTGTATAATACTCCATTGTATGTAGATACCACACTTTGTTTAGCAGTCCATCTATTGATGGACTTCTCTGCTTTCAATGCTATTGGCTATAAACACAGAAGTGAAATTGCTGGATCATATGGTAATTCTGTTTTTAATTTTTTGAGGAATTGCCACATATACTGTTTTTCACAGCAGCTGCACCATTTTATATTTCCATGACAGTGAACAAAGTTTCCTATTTCTCCACATCCTCACCAACACTTATTTTCTGTTTTTTTTTTAACAGCAGCCACCCTAATGAGTCTAAGGTGAATCTAGTTATTTTAAGCAGAAATGAAATTAGACACTTAGAAACTATCTGATGCACTGGAGCAACAAGCTCTAGACTGGACTTCCAGAATGATTGCCAGAACACTATAAAACCATCTGCCAGGGGAGCAATTACGTTTGTCACAATCACAAATGAGGGGAAACAAAAAGTTGTTATTAGAACGACTGAGTTCAATAGTAAACCACTATTACTGTTGTATCAACTCTGACTACAATAATGATGCTTAACAAATAACGACAAAACTTCACTGGCCTACAACAATAAATATATATTTAGCTTTGTGCCTGCAGTTGGCTAATCTAGGCTAGACTTTCTGGGAGCAGCTGGACTGAGGCAGGAAGCTCTGCTCCATGTGTTTCTCATCTACCTGCTGGGACCAGCATGTTTACTGGAGTACAGTGTAGTCATCTCATGGTGATGTCATAAGGGTGAGTGGAAACCCACAAGTCCTCTTAAGGGCTAGGCTCAGAACTGGTATGCCAACACTTCCACCTTCTACTTTTGGTTGTATTTCTCTCATTTAGTGACATGGAAAATAATAGGAATACAGGGAAGTAAGAAGATTGGAATCAAGAAACCCCTGCCACTCCCACTCAATGCCCTCAAGCAGGTGTCAAGACATTGGAACATGTGGCTGTCACTGTTTGCCCTACAAGTGTCTCTCACATCCATGAAACTGGAGAGTGGATCCTGGAACACGGCTGCAGAAAAACTCCATAACTATTCTTGCCAGCAGAAAATAGCCAAACACAATAGAAAGTAAATTCCACCTCACATTTCATTTCCAAAACTCACACAAATGCATCTTTTTAGAAGCCCTTAACAAGTATTGAGAGTGCTAGCTGCAAATGAGTCTGAGAAATGGTTTTTTTAAAAAAACTTTTGAGCCTCTGGAACCCAAGACATCACACTAGGAAGCAGAAATTAAGGCCAAGTGCTAATTGGTCACATCCAACATACCTGGCTAGACACTCATAACATATGGTCTCCTGAATCACTTGGATATTCAGCTTCACTGCATCTTAGTGACTCTAATAGTACCTGCAAGCTACCGCAGTCCCTCGAGCTCCTTACTCCTAGGGGTTCTAGTATATGGCTACCAGGACCTCTTAGAGCAAGATCTGAAGAGTCACCCTGAGGCAATATCACCATTATATCATGCTCGTAATACAGGAGGATCATTTACAGATGTGATCTTTATTAAACATGAACTTGAGAAATTCACCCTCTAAAATCTTAGTTTTCATTTGAATTTGAAATGTTACAATATAAAACTAATCCTAGAAAAAGATTTTTCCCAGAAGCAGATAATTTTTGCATTTTATACTTACGTAAGGTTTAAGATAAAATAAAACACATCATTTATTAATTTAGACTTTTTGTTGCAGGTTTCCTGAAACATTGTTGAGTCTTAAAAAATAATTTAGGAATTGATGTACAGGTGTCACTATATTTATCGCTGAAGTCTTTGATGAGTGTTGATGGCACTATTTCCTACTATTGCTGGCTTGTTATAGCCTGCCATGCTAGAAGTTTAGGCATTGATGGATTATAGAACCTGAAGATCTGGAGAAAGAAGTAATTCAAATGTAGTCAAAAGCTGTCAAACTCCTATTGTTATTTTTGGTACTTCAGGGGCTCAAAGAGTAGCTGGAGAAGACCAAGGGCCAGGAGGCAATGTTGGTTAGCAAAGGAGAGCAGGAAGCCAGCAGGCACAGTGGACATTGAGGAATCTTGGATATGCCACACTCCTGATTCAAGAGCAGCAGAGAGTAAATTAAGAAGAGAGAATACAACGAGTCAGGAAAGGCTTTGCCCTGGAGAAAAAGCCAATTCCATGGTCAGCAGGAGAAACTAGAATCAGTTCACTGGTCTGTTACTCATGCACGAAACGAAGTCAGGGCTTGTATCAAAACCTCATGTCCAAGTTGGTAAGTCAAGACTGACATTCAGAAGACTCAAATTGAGTATGACCCAAACTGACTTTAGCAAAAGCAGGGAATCAAAATGCTGGGGGTTAGAGGACAGTAATGGGTCCCAACAATGCAAAGAACTAGAGTATCAGCAAAACAGAACGCACAACAAAATAGAGCCGCCTAGGGATGAGGGTGGAGAAGAACACCAAGGCATGGGCAGACTGCCTCGCTGCTTTTGCCTCAACCAATTTAAAGAGATTGGCCTTGGGATGCAGTATAGAGTTTGGCAGGAACTAGTGGAGACATGGGTGCTGCAGGTCAAGGCAGGCCAGAGATGCCAGGCAGCCAAATAGAGAAATAAAACACAGTTGACCAGCAGTTCTTCACAGTCCAGCAGCTGCTACAAAGACTTACATACTTCTATTTGAAAGAGGAGCCAGATCCCAAAATACAGAATGCTCAGGGGATCCAGTGCAATGAAAATAACCTTGCTAGAGCGACAGAATTTAAAAGACAGACCTTGACTACAATAAATAGCAAAGTAATAAATGTTAGTACCACTCTTCTCACAGTCACAGGGTTCAAGAGGACAAATTTTTAAAAATTATTTTGTTTTATTTTTAAAACATTTATCTATAAGATACATAAAACATCTGCATTTTAAGAAAACTCTTCTGGTAATAATTTTATACTTTATTATTTAAACATTCAATAGAAAGCTAAAATATTAATAAATTAATCAAAATCGGGTTTCATAAAAGTTGCTTCTATAAATGACATTTTATAGAAGTACGATTCTGTAAAAAGACAAAGAAACAGGTCTAGAAATCTGGAATGAGTCTGGTCTCTAATAATGACTACTGATCATTTCTGATAACACATAAAAGATAACATTCTCTGCCCCAATATGAATATTCAGGCCAGGTGCAATAGCTCACTTCTGTAATCCCAGCACCATGGGAGGCCAAAGCAAGAGGATCACTTGAGCCTAGGAGTTTGAGACTAGCCTGGGCAACATAGGAAGACTCCTGCCTCTACAAATAAAGTTTAAAAAATTAGCCAGGTGTAGTGGCACACACCTGCAGTCCTACCTACTCGGGAGGCTGAGGGAGGGGATTGCTCAAGCCCAGGAGTTTGAGATATGTAGTGAACCGTGATCACATCACTGCACTCCAGCGTGGGTGACAGAGCAAGACCTTGTCTCGAAAAAACATTTTTAAAATAAAAATTTTAAAAAAGAATACTCGACCATTTCACAATAGCAGTTAAATATGCATAAAATATAAACAATTATTAAGTATCATTAATATAATCTAATATTTGGAATGGGAAGAAACTTTTGTGCTTTTTCACATGGATTGTATTATCCCTAAAGTCAATGACAGCTCAAATTACATAGTTACAGATGTTAAAAAATACCTGACTGTGTGTGATCAAAAAGTTCATTAAGATATTTGTGGCCTTTTGACAACAAATAGATTTGTATAATCAGCTAAAACCCACTGGAGTATACAAATATGGTGTCTGGAAATTTTTCTTTTTAATAAAGCAACAACAACTTCCAGACAAATTCCAGATACTGGTGAAGCTGACCAGTATCTATGAAAACTTTGCAAGCTGGACTTTCCTCAGACAGCACATTTCTCTTTTCCATCCAAGTCCTTTCTCTGTTATATTTTACATTACGATAACAAAATGATACACAACCTGCTTTAGAATGTAGCCAGTGAATCAACACAGGAATGGTGTTATCTCAGTAGCAGGACTCTTCGTTGGGCAGAGAATGAATACCTAATAGCAAGACAAAATGGAACAAAAAAACCTGTTGTGTATGGTAATTGTGATCTATTAGGTGCTCTAAGTGAGTTTCAAAAATTTGTCTTCAGGAAATTACAAATAGAAGAGTTTCCAGAGAGAGCCCTTACCTACTGTATTTTCTTCCTGGCCCGATTTTTGTTGAGACCTGGTGGCATTACCTTGAGGCCATGGAGAAAGTTACCACTTATAAATCCAGTTTTTAATGTATTTTTTTTCTTTTCTTCAATCTACCATTACCTTGATCTTGATGGTTTTTAATACATTTTAATGTAATGATCACTGCTGCTCTGTTTTTAGTGTTGTAATTATTTTAAAGCCAGCTTCAGTGAACACCAACATTATTAGCTAACTGTATAGGGTGAGGGCTATAAAACTCCAACTATATTTAACTTAAAAATAATTTTGCTTAAACCTTTAAGGCATCTTGATAAACTTTAGGTTAGTTAAAATAAGCAGAGCAGTCAAAGATGTTTTAGAGTTTCATCTCTCATTCATGGACTTTTGTTCCTGTTGTTTATCCCAAACACAATTCCACGTAACTTTCTTTGCCCAGTCACAAGCTGAATATTTTTAACAGCAGCTCAAACTCAGAAAAGGGGTGTGTGTGTGTGTGTGTGTGTACACGGACACACATAGTGTTCTAGTCAGGGTTCAAAATCACAGATACCCAAGCTAGCTCCAACAAAGAGACAGATATGTAAGACATATAAAGAATCTCATGAAATATGAGGTTAGGAATAGCAAGCCTTGTGCAAAAGTGGTACTGAGGATTAGAAAGCTATTTGTTTTTGTTTCTTTTTAAAATTTTTCCATAAGTTATTAGGGTACAGGTAGTATTTGGTTACATGAGTAAGTTCTTTAGTGGTGATTTGTGAGATGTTGGTGCACCCATCACCTGAGCAGTGTACACTGCACCATATTTGTAGTCTTCTATCCTTGTCCCCCTTCCACTCTTCCCCCCAAGTCCCAAAAGTCCATTGTATCATTCTTATGCCTTTGCGTCCTCATAGCTTAGCTCCCACATATCAGTGAGAACATACAATGCTTGGTTTTCCATTCCTGAGTTACTTGAAACCAAGGCTACATTCTCTACTTCTCAGGAACCATGTGACTTTGTCCTTAGTCCTCTCTCTCGTGATTGGATTCTTCTACTTATCAGAACATGGTCATCTGGTATGACTTCATAGCTTGGCTTCTCAGCTCCAGTGAGCACCACCAACTAAAATGGTCTTTTGTGGACATGCAAAGTGGCTCACGCCTGTAATCCCAACACTTTGGGAGACCAAGGCAGAAGGATTTCTTGAGGCCAGGAGTTCAAGACCAGCCTGGACTACAAAGCGAGACCCTGTCTCTACAAAAAATGTTTTAAAAATTAGTCATGTGTGGTGGTGCACACATGTAGTCCTAGCTACTCCAGAGGCTAAGGCAAAAGAATCACTTGTACCCAGGCATCAATGAACTATGATCGTGCCACTGCACTCCAGCCAGGGCAACAAAGTGAGACCCCTCTCTAGAAAAAAATTTTTAATGTCCCTTTGTGTTTCCTAATTCAAGTTTCTGAGAGAGGGACTTAGATAGAGTCAGCAATGTGACCTGTGATTGGCCCTTTGTGGGTCTTCTGGAATAATCAATTAGATCAGAGAAGACAGATCACAAAAATGGCCAAACAGACCTTGTGGGCAGGACAAGCAAAGATAGAAATGTCCAGTATGACCACTGAGTGTATGGATAGTTGTTATTTATATGGCACATTATAGCTTCACAATACTACATTTTAAAATTTACTCTGTCTTAGTGAAAATTCAACTAGAAAACAGAAAATATATTTACTTATTTACAATAGAGGGAATTTAATACTGGAAATTGGTAACATAGGAGATGGAAAGGCTGAAAGTGAAACTGTAAACAACGTAGACATTAGCAACAGCAGGATGTTTCTGGCTCCCCTAAGCTGGAAGGACAAAAATAGCGGGTGGTGTTACTGGAATTCAGGGCCAGAACCACAGTCAGCCTAGAGACGAGGGAACTGAGGTCATAAAAGAGGCACAACTGTTCCTGAAGATGCTGCAGGGAAAGAGAAGAAAATAAATACTCTGGCTTTTCTCTTCTTCTCACTTTCCAGTCTTCTCTGTACTTGCCATTGGCATGACACAGGAACCTGGTGTCTCAGCCAGTTCATGCTGCAATAACAAAATATCACAGACTGGGTGGCTTAAAAAATAGGCATTTATTTCTCACAGTTCTGGAGACTGGGAAGTTCAAAATCAAGAGGTCAGTATGGTAGGTTTCTGGCAAAGGTAGGTTTCTTCCTGGCTTGTAGATGGCCACCTTCTTGCTGTGTCCTCACATGTTGGAGAGAGAGAGAGAGAGAGAGACATCTCTTTCTCTTCCTCATCTTATAAGGCTACGGCCCTACGCTTATGACCTGATTTAACCTTAATTATCTCCTGAAGACCCCATCTCTAGAAACAATCACACTGGAGAGTAGGGTTTCAACATGTGAATTTGGAGGGGGCACAATTCAGTCCCTAGCACCTGGGAAACACAGCTGCTCACCACCCCCATACCACTGGGACATAGAAAATGCAAGAAATGCATCTGTCATCGCAAACAGGACAAGGACTGGCATGCTCTTCACAACACTGCAAGGAAGCTATTATCATTCTTACTTTACAAATTAGGAAATGAAGGCAATTTAAATAAACTTATTCAAGGTCACAAAGGCTGTAGATGGCAGCAACAGATTTTATTCCAGGTCTTCTCATTCCAAACCCAGCTGACAATGACTTCCACTGAGCCTTCACCATGTATTTCAACTTTCCTGGGCTCACCTTTCTCCGAATTTCTATACTACTTTTATTCTTTACCTTGCAATTCATCACTGATTACCATCTTATTTTCATCATTCTTTTGAGGAATATTTTCTCATTCCACACCTGGCCAAATGAACAAAAAGTACCTTAAGATCAAATATCATGTAGCCTCTCCGCCAGGCGCGGTGGCTCACGCCTATAATCCCAGCACTTTGGGAGGCCGAGGCAGGCAGATCACTTGAAGTCAAGGGTTCGAGACCAGCCTGGCCAACATGGTGAAACCCCATCTGTACTAAAAATACAAAAATTAGCCGGGCATGGTGGCATACATCTGTAGTCCCAGCTACTCGGGAGGCTGAGGCAGGAGAATTGCTTGAACCCAGGAGGCGGAGGTTACAGTGAACCAAGATTTCACCAGTTGACTCCAGCCTGGGCGACAGAGCAAGACTCCGTCTTAAAACAAAACAAAACAAATATCATGTAGCCCCCAAATAGCATCCATCCCATTGTCGAGGCATACAGTAGGTGCCAAATGACTGCTTTGATTGATTAATTTCTCCCACAACATTTCCTAGTGTTATTGAGAATGGTTGTATTTTTTCTTGTTAATAAAACCCTTCATCTATTTTCCAAAATGCCATAGTTCTCCAGTCATCAAGAAAATTTGTCTGTGGCTCAAGGAAATCATCTATATAAATGTCTTTTTATTATTTTAGATATAATCCCATAGAATGGCCTATTGGTACGAATCAGAATCTTTAAATACTTTCCAATTTCCCTCTTAACTGAGTTATGTGTCAAGGTTATCTTTCATCTTCCGCATTATTCATCCTTATTGTGAAACTGCCATCCACCTTTGTCATAGCTGCCCTGCGAATATCCGGCTAGGTCACTATTGATTGGCAATATGTCATACCATCCTTTGCAGATGAAATTCATAGAAAAATCAGAAATTCCTTTGCAAAAGCTCTTTCAGGTAAAATGATAAAGATTTATTTCATCATGACCATCTATGTTAGGAAATATGGCATATATATTGCAATCACTCAGAATGTTATTAGCACAATGAGATATAAAACAAAACCAGATTTCATAGAACTTGTATTAAAATATCAGAATCATACTGTCTTTTACTTTTACCCTAACTCAGCTGCCAGCTTCTGGACCCTGTCATAACTAGTAATTCTTTTCTTCAAGTATCCCATTCCCTGATCACCAGCAATTATTTTTCCAGATTACTTTCATGGGCACCACTGCAAAAACTCTTCAACTGCTTTGAGACCTCCAGTGCAATGCCCCTGTCACTTTCTCCCCATCCACTGTTACACATCCCACTCCACCCCTCACCAGTTTAACTTTCTTCCTTTCCTAAAATGTTGTTTTTCTGCATGTCTATTTAAGTTAGTGAACATTCTTGGAGGAAATAACAGGACCAGGCTGAATGATTTCTGAGGTTTAGTCTTTTTCAGGTAGGGGAAGGATGTTTTAGCTTTTGTTTTTGTTTTGAAGGAGATGAGGGTTGCAGCTTTTCTTATGTTTTAAGGAAAATTGATGGTTCCTGTCAGACCCAAATTATATTTAATTTTTTAAAAAAAGTTGTAGTTTAAAAATTCAAGTAACATGAAAGGATGTAGAGGTCAGCATCAGTCTCCCTCCAACCCCCTGATAGTCTCTGGTTCTCCTCTCTGCAGCAACTGGTGTTTTAATTTTTCTGTATCATCTTCCCAGAAGTATATTATATTAGTCAAGATAGGCTAGGTTATACTGTAGCAGCAAATTTAACCCAAAATCTCAGTGGCTGAATACAACAAAGGTTTGTTTCTGCATCAAACTGCATGCTTAAGCTGCATCACTTTGTGAGGCTGTCATCTCAACATACAGTTTTGGGTGAAGAAAGAGCTGGAAGGTTGCACAGGGGCTTAATCACATGGTCCACTTAACTGTAGAGTCATCTTCTGTGTGCCCAGGTGGGAGGGGAGAGCCAGATATCAGTAAGCACTAATAATCTCTATCATAAATACACTTATCTGTTCATTTTGCATAAATGGGAGCATACTAGACATAGTTTCTCCACTTTGCTTTGCTTTATTCACTTTGGAAGATATGATGCATATGATAATTTCCTACATGTGATCACACTATAATTTATTTACCTACTGTTTGATTGGTGGATATGTAGGCCATTTCTAGTATTTTGTTACTATAAACAGTAGCTATAATAAATATTATTGTAAGAGTAATACTGACATGTATTGAGACCATAATGTGTGCAAGGCACTATTCAGATCATGTGGTATATTTTAAGTCTAATGCTGTTGGCAACTCTATGTGACAGGTGACATAATTTACAGGTATATTATTTATAGCAGCAGAGCCTGGCCTTAAACCTAGGCAACTGGTCCCATAGCCTATCTAATTCACATAGATATTTGCACCTATATGCACAAATTTCCACCATATAAATTCCTGTAAGTGAATTTGTGGATCACAAAGAGTTTACGTTTTAAATTCTGTCAGATATTTTCAGAAGCACTAGACACCTTTTGTGGACACTTTCAAATCCACTCTGCTCTTAGGCAACCTATTCCATGCAGGTATCTACAATCTTCACGCAGATGTAATTTGACAGCACCTTTTCTTGGCATTCTCAACACTCACACATCAGAGAACTGGAAGCACAGGGACGTCTAATGCCCATGTAGCCCCCTTGACCAATGGAAGCCAATCAATAAATGCTTCTCTCCCAGCTGGAAACTTCTATGATATATTTCCTAAGGCTCTTCAGAAGATCTCACAGAATTGAGCATTAGTTTTCCAAAGCAGCAACATACTGAATCTTTGCACTAGGTTTCTTTCATCCTCTTTCACTTCCCTGTCTCTCACTCTTGTTCCCTGCAATGACTTCTTAAATAAAGTATCTGCAGCAAAGCATTTGTCTCAACTCTGATTTCAGAGGAATCTAAATGTAGTAAATGCATGGTGCACCAACCAGATCCCTTCTTCAAGCCCACGGTACTCTTTCCCTTGGCCACTGGGAATGTGGCCTGCTGAGTCCCTTTTGGAGCACTACCCTAGCCAAAGGGAGCTGCTCCACTCTCCCCACAGCCTAACCCAGTGACTGGTAGGTTTAGGGGTAAAGGATCCTAACTACCGTGTCTCTGTTTAAGATCTCTTTGAAGAACAAGCTCAACTCCAGATAGTTCCATGGTGATATGGTTTGGATGTTTTGTCCTCTCCAAATCTCATGTTGAAATGTGATCCCCAATGTTGGAGGTCAGGTCTGGTAGCAGGTGTTTGGGTTATGGAGGTGGATTCCTCATGAATGGCTTGGTGCTGTCCTCGTGGTAATGAGTGAGTTCTCACTCAGTGAGTTCACACAAGAGCTGGTTATTTAAAAGAGCCCGGCATTTCTCTTGCTCCTTCTCTCACCATGTGACACGCCGGCTCTCCTTTGCCTTCTGCCATGACTGTGAGCTTCCTGAGGCCCTCACCAGAAGCAGATGTTAGCACCATGGTTCATGTGCAGCCTGCAGAACCATGAGCCAAATAAACTTCATCATTATAAATTACCCAGTCCCAGATGTTTCTTAATAGCAATGCAAATGGACTAACACACATGGGATGCACCAAGCCCAATAAATGGCAACTACATCACAGTTCAACTTCTCCCTCTGCTCAGTCTTGCTTTCCTCACTCCCATACAGGTGTTGTTCTTGAGAACACTCCCCCATAAACCTCCTGCATGTAAATATCCACCTCAGAGCCTGTTTCCTAGGAAACAAGATCTCAGACGCTAAACTAAGACAATTGGTATCAGTAGTGGCCCTAGAAAACAGGCCTTTGGGATGAGATTTTGGGGCTGGATCACTCACAAACTGCAGTAAAACTCCTCTGCAATTCCTGAGCTCTCAATTGTCCAAGATTGAGATGAGGTGCATGTCAAAAGTGAAGTACTGGGTTATGCAGTAGCTAAGGTACTTAACAGGGTTAATGTTCATTATGATTGTAGTGGTGGCCTGAAATGCTTTTGATCTAAAAGGTTTTTGCAGTGACTAAACAGGTGTATTGAGCGCAGATATGATGGGGATCTCAACCACTGAATTCTTTAAGTGTTGATGGGGCTACCATTTCCTCTGAGCTGTGGTATTATTTGTGATTCACTATCTTGGCCAAGGGGTTGGGGGACAGTTTCAGAGGCTTACAGAATGTCTATCAGCATAGCAATGGACACAACATTACCTCTGAGGGTCTCATTTTATGGCAAAAGTAGTAAGTCAGTGGGTACAGGACCACAAGACATAGCGGTTTTATCACATACCTCTTTATCCCAAAGCATCTAGCTTACCAGATGGTTAAGTGACCTTTTACAGGTTCAGGTAACCCTCCAACTCATATGAAGTACCTAAAATAAGCAAATTTATAAAGGCAGTATAATAGAGGTTACCACAGACAGGATACAGGAGGGAATGGGAAGTTATTGTTTTGATGAGTACAGAGTTTCTGTTTGGGATGATGAAAAAGCTCTGGAAATGGATAGTGATGATTGCACAACATTGTAAAGGCACTGAATGCCACTGAATTTTACACTTAAAGATGGTTACAATGGTGACTTCTGTTATGTATATTCTACCACAATAAAAAATGTACAAGTGTTTTTAAAAAGGAATTAATCTGGAGTATAAAATTCCACTGTACTAATGCTTTATCTACTTGGTATTAAGGATACAGATAGGTAGAAAATTAAAAAATATATATAAAGACAATTTGCTGAAGTTTTCCATTTTCCTTCCTTTTTTTTGAGACAGAGTCTCACTCTGTCACCCAGGCTGGAGTGCAATGGCGCAGTCTCTGCTCACTGCAACCTCTGCCTTCCGGATTCAAGAAATTATCCTGCCTCAGCCTCCCAAGTAGCTGGGACTGGAGGTGCATGTCACCACACCCTGCTAATTTTTGTAATTTTTTTTTTAAATAGAGACAGGGTTTCACTATGTTGGCCAGGCTAGTCTCGAACTCTTGATATCATGATCTGCCCATCTGGGCCTCCCCAAGTGCTGGTATTACAGGCGTGAGCCACCACACCCAGCCTTTCCTTCCATGTTTGAGTAGCATTTATTTGGCGGCTCCTAGAATACCAGTTAGTATATGTGCAAAAGGATTTCACTTACCTTGCTTTATCTCTTTATGTGAACGCACTCCATGCTATTAGAATTAGTAACAGTGCAATAAAGTTTCAGAGTGATAACAATATTCACAGAGTCAGTGTGGATTTTATGGCTCACTAATCTAGCTATGGAAATTAGAATGCCAGATAAATACATATTTTACCAGTTTTGCATGTTTAAGGGGATAGGCAGTCTACCAAGACATTTCCGTGAGTGGTTAGTTCCCTTCTGCATTCATATGCAATACTGTAAGCTCTTAGTCTAACTGCATCATTATATTTCCTCAGTGATTGATAAAAATTATAAATTAGCTGTTGTTGCAAGATGTTATTTTTCTTTTCTATAATTTCACAGACATTTCAAAGATAAAACTGCCATATAATCTATAATAGTAGAAAATATCCAAATGCACTCATAATTTGGTGCAGAGGATCTATAGTTGGATAAACTGGAAGAATTGATAAAGAATATAAAAAGCATATCTTTGTTATTACTTAACTGAAATATTCACAGTGATGCTATCATTGTTTTTGCAATGCATGAAAATTATTATTTCTGTATTAATTTAGAACTAGCACTATAAGTTCTGCAATATTGATTATTATTTCCCTTGGGATAGTATAAATCATTTTAATATGCTGATGTGGTTAATATTTCACCAAAGTTAATACTTATTTCTTACACAATTATAACTCAAATAAATCACTCTTTTTAGCACGTTGCTTTGTCTTATTATTCTGTGCAATTTTACTTCAGAATTACTGCCATCCTTTGTTTTTTCTGTGATTGTACTACCTTTTTTACTTTACTTTTTATATAAAATACATAGAGTATAAAATTAATGTGTTTCAAATGAGTTCTGTAAACAATAGTTTAATCACAAGACTCTGAATGCTCCAGGATAGACCTGGGAGCTTCTGCTCCTGTATTTGAGTTTTAAGCTAACCAAGGGTCAATTGTTTATCCCCAGATCTGTTGATGCCAGTTATAGTAGTTGTTACAACTGCAGAATTTAATTAAATACTACATAAAATGAGAAATATGAATGCAGAAACGTTAAGCTTTAATTTGATGGAAACTAAGTCAAAGGCTTCAAAATGCTTAAAAAGTGAGTTGCTTAAAAATATTTGTAAATTACATGGAGGTGAAGCAATTGTAAAAAAAAAAATTGAATTGCAAAAATCCAGAAAGATTCTGCATTCGGACTGCTCTGCAATGTCTTATATTCTATCTCCATGTTAATAAAATGGAAACCATGAAATTGAAGATAATGCAAATGAGATTGTGCCTTATTAAAACAAAGCGTAAAACTCTGATCAGGGGCTAAAACTCAAATGAAAGAAATAGACTCCCCTGAACATTTGGTGAATGAATGCATAAAATATAAGCTTTAATTTTAAAACACGTAATTTTTGTATTGTTTTTCCCCCTTTAACCACTTTTTTGACTAACTAACCACCAGCAGCTAACGTGTCAGCAAAGAGTGTTCCCGGTATTAGATTATAGTCTAGAAGGGCCTGTCTAAATATTCTAATATGTCATAAAAACCTGAAAATTTTAATAGAACAAGATTTAAGTGATTTTGTAGCATGGTTAAGTACAAAACAACAATGCCTAATAACTTAATTTGTTGCATCTAAAATAATATTGGCGTAAGCAGACGTGATTTATAAATTTTTGAAATAGAATAAATTGGGTTTTTGTCTTCTTATCTGTTTTATTCAAATTTGAGGGTTGTTGTTATTGTTGTTTTAATAAAAGATGGAGAAGGGGAATGCAAAGGTAACACTTTTGTTTTTCAGGCTTTTCAGGAGTTAGAGAATATAAATACCAGCAAAATAATCTTTCAAAAACACATTTTACAGCTTTATTGAGGTATAATTGATATATAACAAACAGAACCTATTAAAGTGTATCATTTGATATGTTTTGACATATGAATACACCAAGAAACTAGCACGTTTCCAAAGTGGTTATACATTTTACATTTCCACCATCAGTACATCAGAGTTTGTATTGGTCCACCTCCTTGCTAACAGTTGGTATGATCAGTTCTGTGGTTTGAATGTTTGTCTCCTCTGAAGCTCATGTTAAAACTTAATTCTCATTGTAAAAGTATTAAGAGGGTGGAAAATCTGACTATGCTATTTGAGAGGTGGGACTTTTAGGGAGTAATTAGGATTAGATGAGGTCATGAGAATGGGACATTAGTGGCTTTATAAGAGGAGAAGGAGAGACCTAAGCTAAGATGCTCAGCCCCCTTGCCATGCAATGCCCTGTAGCACCTTGCCCTGGGACTCCCCCGAGTCCCTACCAGCAAGAAGGACCTCACCAGACATGCCTCCTTAACCTTGGACTTCTCATTCTCCAGAAGTGTAAGAAATAAATTCATTTTCTGTACAAATTGCCCAGTCTCAAGTATTCAGTTATAGCAATAGAATACAGACTAAGTCAGTCTTTTAAATTAAAGCAGGTGGGCCGGGCACGGTGGCTCATGCCTGTAATCCCAGCACTTTGGGAGGCTGAGGTAGGCAGATCACCTGAGGCTGGGAGTTCTAGACCAGCCTGACCAACATGGAGAGACCCCGTCTCTACTAAAAATACAAAATTAGCTGGACGTGGTGGCGCATGCCTGTAATCCCAGCTACTCAGGAGGCTGAGGCAGGAGAATTGCTTGAACCCGGGAAGTGGAGGTTGCAATGAGCCGAGATTGTGCCATTGCACTCCAGCCTGGGCAACAAGAGAGAAACTCCGTCTCAAAAAAAAAAAAAAAAAAAAAAAAGCAGGTGTATTCTAGTTGGTGTATTTCATTGTCAGGTTAATTTGCATTTCCCAGTTACCAATGATGTTGAGCATCTTTCCCTGTGCTTATTTGTTATCAATGTATTTTCTTCAAGTCTTTTGCCCATTTTTTATTGGATTGTTAGTCTTATTAAGATGTAAGAGTTCATATATACTAAATAAAAGTTCTTTGTCAGATATATGTTTTGCAAATATTTTCTTCCAGGTTGTGGCTTGCATTTTCATTTTTATTACAGTGTCTTTTAAATAGGGAAGTTTACTAATTTTGATAAAGTCCAATGTGTTAGATTTTTTCTTTTACATTTGTTGTTTTGTGTCCTTTTAAATAAATATTTGCCAAATCTAATGTTTCTAAGATTTCATATAATGTTTCTTCTAGAAGTTTTATAGTTTTAGCTCTTGGATTTAAGACTGTAATCCATCTAAAGTAAATTTTTGTATGTATGAGGTAAGAGGTAAGATTCTTTTTTTTTTTTGCTTTATATTGCTGTCCATTTGTTTTATCATTGTTAATGAAAAGATTGTCCTTTCCCCATTGCATTGCCTTAGCAACTTTGTGAAAATCAATTGATCATGTATATCTGAGTCAATTTCCAAATTCTCTATTCCATTCCATTGATGTATATGTCTACCTTTATATCAATAGCATACTGACTTGATAACTCGCACTTTGTAATCATTCTTGACATCCAGTTTTGTAAGGTTGGCAATTTTGTTATTTTTCAAAGTTGTTTTGGGTATCCTAGAGCCTTCATATTTCCATGTAAATTGTAAAATCAGCCTGCTAATTTCTACCAAAAAAAAGTCTATTGATATTTTTATTGGAATTGCATGAATTTGGTGTGACCACAGCTCACTGCAGCCTTGACTTTCTGGGCTCAAGCGATCTTCCCACCTCAGCCTCCGGAGTAGCTGGGACTACAGGCATGTGCACCACACCTGGCTAATTTTTAATTTTTTTGTAGAGATGGGTCATGGCCATCTCTTGTCCCAGGCTGGTCTTGAGCTCCTGAGCTCAAATAATCCTTCCACGTCAGCCCTGCAAAGTGCTAGGATTATAGGTATGTGGCACTGCACTTGGCTTCTCAGCAATATTTTGTAGTTTTCAGTCTACAGGACTTGCACATCTTTTTAATATTAAATATAAAAATTAAATTTTTATATTTTATATTTTAAATTTTCATAGTTTTTGATGCTACTGTAAATGGCATTTTTATTTGAATTTCTAATAGTTTGTTAAAGTATAAAGAAATATAATTGATTTTTTAATATTGGCTTTGTATTCCCAACCCTGCCAAATTCATTTATTAGTTCTAGTTGCTTTTTTGAGATTACTTAGGATTTTCTTCATAGAAAATCAAATCATCTGAGAATAAAGAGTTTTCAGTTTTCCTCTTCAAACTGTATGCCTTTTATTTCTTTTCTTGCCTTATTGTACTGATAAAATCATCCAGAACAATGTTAAATACAAGTAATGAGCATAGACGTTCTAGCTTTGTTCCTAGTTTAGAGGGAATGCATTCACTTTTTCACAAAGTATGATGTTAGCTGTAGGATTTTTTGTAGATGCCCTTTATCAAGGTGAGAAAATTTTCTTCTATTCTTAGTTTTATGAGACTTTACTTTGTTTTGTTTTACCATAATTGGATGTTGAAGTTTATCGAATGGTTTTTTGCCTCTATTGAGACAATCATATGATTTTCTTTCTTGATTTGTTACTATGGTAAGTTACATTGATTTTTTTCAAATGCTGACCCAACTTTTTATTCCTGGGATAAATTTCACTTGGTTATAATATATCAATCTTTTTATTTATCATTTAGTAACATTTTGTTAAGAATTTTTGTGCCTATGTTCCTGAGGGATACTGGTCTGCAGTTTTTTTTTTTTCTTGCAACATTTTTTTAGCTGTGGTGGCAGTGTAATACCAGCCTTATAAAATAAATTTTAAATTGTTTTTTCTCTTCTGTTTTCTGGAAGAGTATATGTAGAATTGTTTTTTTTATTTTTTAAATGTTTGATAAAATTAACTAATGAAGTCATCTGTACCTGGAATCTTCTCTGTAGACAGGTCTTTATCTACAAATTTAATAATTAATATATGATTATTCAGATGATCTATTTCTTCTTGAGTGACATTTGGTATTTATATATTTTTAAAAATGTGTCCACTTTATCTTGATTATCAAATTTATTTGTATAAAGTTCTTCATAATATTCTATTATTATTCTATTAATGTCTGTAGTAACGTCTCCTCTTTTATTCCTAATAATTCATTTTTTCTTTTTTTTCTTACGAGTCTAAAGATTTATGGTTTTATTGATCTTCTCATAGATCTAGTTTTTGCTTTTATTGATTTTTTTCCCTATTATTTTCTGTTTTCTATATTATATATGTCACTTAGGTCAGGATGGATCAAATCTTCTATATCCTTACTAGTTTTATAACTACCTGTTCTGTCGATTATTGAAAGAGTGTGGAAATCACTGACTATAATTATGAATTCATCTATTTCTCTTTTCAGTTCTGTTACTTTTTGCTTCATGTATTTTCAAGCTCCGTTATATGCATGTGCAATTAGGATTGTTAAGTCCTCTTGATGAACAGATCCCTTTAAAAGACTCCTTAAGGCCAAATTATTTATATAATATAAAGTTTGTGTATTTGGAGTGGGTATAGGAGTCTGGGTATTTAGGTCCTGGTTTCAGCTTTGGTGCAACTTGGCTGTGAGTCTAGTTTTCCTCATCTATAAAATCAGGATTAGATCATTTCTAAACTTCTCTAATCTACGAATGACAAAGATTTTTGTAGTTAAATTTTACATACATTGAGAAATTGCAGAGGTAATTTCTTCCAGTGCACTTTCTCCTGGGAAAAACATCCTTAGATAACAGTTTTTACCTGAATGTAAGTATAAAGAAACATAATTTCATTATATAGTTTTAATAAGCTATTAGAAATTCAAATAAAAATGCCATCTACAATAGCATCAAACATATGAAAATTTAAAATATAAATATGTAAAACAAAATTTTTTGTTTAAATTTATCATACGTGCAAAGATTTATATACTAACATTTAAAGCATGACTTTAAAATCTCCCACACATATAAATGCTACTTCCTTTATCTGATACTTCAAATGGCCAAAGCCTCCATCAGCCCTAACATTAAGCTCTGGACTATTTAGAAGTTTGTTATTTCGTTTGCAAATGTTGGAGATTTTCCAGATATCATTGTGTTATTCATATACGAAGAAGTCAAGTAACTTGCACAAGGACAAACTTATAAGTGGCAGAGCTCAGATTTAAACCCTGACAGTCTGGGTCCAGGAGCCAAGTTCTTATCCAGACACATTATACTGCCTTTCTCCATAGATGTTTAGCTGCCTTATAATATATCCTGTACATAAGTTGATAAATACTCACACATTAGTACACTTTCACCAGTAAATAAGAAATTTCTGAGCATATATGCACAGGGGCTACCAATAATAAAATAATAGCTTTATTAGAAATATGTTTCAATTATAAAATATTTAATAGCTACACATGAGTTAATGCTCATCAATGATGCTTAGACCCAGTCACTTACAGACAATACGCATGTTTTTCTTCTCATTTGATTACTTTGGAAAAGGAAGAAGGGATAAGTACAGCTATCCCTTATTATCCATTGGGGATTGGTTTCAGAACCCATTGTGGATACCAAAATTCATGGACATTCAAGGCTCTTATATAATATGGCATAGTATTTGCATAGAACCTATACACATCCTCCTGTATACTTTAAATCACCTCTAGATTATTTATACCTAAGACAATGTAAATGCTATGCAAATAGTTGTTATATTGCATTATTTAGGAAATAATGACGAGAAAAAAAATTTGTACACATGCAGAACAGACACAGCCATCCGTTTTTTTCTTCAAATAATTTCAATCCCTGGTTGGTTGAATTCACGGATGCAGAACCCAAGGATACAGAGGGCCAACTGTACATGAAAGCACACTTAAAGAGTAACAAAATACAAACCTCTCTAATCAAAAAAGATTTAAAAAGCAAGTTTTTTTTGTTTTTGTTTTTTGGTTTTTGGTTTTTTTGAGACAGAGTCTCGCACTTGTTGCCCAGGCTGGAGTGCAATGGTGTGATCTCGGCTCACCGCAACCTCCGCCTCCCAGGTTCAAGCGATTCTCCTGCCTCGGCCTCCCAAGTAGCTGGGATTACAGGCATGCACCACCTTGCCCAGCTAATTTTGTGTTTTTAGTAGAGACGGGGTCTCTCCATGTTGGTCAGGCTGGTCTCCAACTCCCAACCTCAAGTGATCCGCCCACCTCCGCGTCTCAGAGTGCTGGGATTACAGGCGTAAGCCACCATGCCCAGCCAAAAGCAAGGTTCTTAAGCAATCAATGAAAGAGAAAATGAAAAGAGACAATACATTAGTTCATCTTAGGAAGACTTAGAACCCTCTTTTTATTTGTGCACTTGCTTGAAGCATGTAACAAATTATTTCACTTCTGTAACTGCCTATTTCCTATTATCTTTTTTCAAAATCTGAATGATCAATTTCATTACAAGTAACAGGAGTCTGACCTAACCCCAAAAGGAAATCTATCAGCTCATGTAAGTTGGAAGTTCAAAGGGTGAATTGTAGGCATGAATGTAAGAACTCAAAATGATGTTGTTATACTTCTGCCTCTCTCCATCTTTCAGTTCTACTTGACCCCATGTTGACTTAGGCTCTCTTCAAGATGTGGCAGAGTTAACCATCAGCAAGTCCAGGAGACAGAGCATACAATTCTCTCAAGAGCTCCAACAAAAGTCCCATATAACGTTTCCAGATGTTAACATTGGCCCATCTAAGGTCATATAGTAATCTCTGCTCTAATAACTCAGCATAGGAGCCTGGAATATTCTGTTTCAGACCCTATTTAAACCACAAGGAGCACAAGCTTTGTAGTTTTATGATGATAAGGAAGAAAAGGTATGATGAAGTAAATACAGCCACAGCACATCATTCAATATGACAAAATCAAGGCGATTTACAACAGTCCTAGCAAACTAACACATATGAGCACAATCAAGGTGATATTTCCAAAAAAGGAGACAACACTCTGGGTGGGCAAAAAATGTAGATGTTCACCATTTAACTTCTTTTTTCCAATTACTCCTTTCCCCACCTTCCCTAAGTTTCCTTTCTAGGAAAGGATTTGAGCCAAGTACTCTTTGAACATTTCTGAGTGGCTCACTGTTAACCTTGATACTACTAAGCAAAAAAGTAAGTTCTCTGTTGTTATGGGTTGAATTTTGTCTCCCCAGAATTTGTATGTTGAAGTCCTAGTACATCAGAATGACCTTGTAAGGAGATAGGTCTTTACAGAGGTGATGAAACTATTAGGGTGGGCCCTAATCAAATGTGACTGATGTCTTCATTAAAAAAGGAAATTTGGAGATGCACACATACATATGGGGAGAATGCCACGTATACAGTCATGTGTCACTTAACAACAGGGACACATTCTAAAAAATGTGTCATTAGACAATTTCATCATTGTGCAAACATAACAGAGTGTATTTGCACGAACCTGATAGTATAGCCTACTACACATCTAGGCTATATGGTATAGCCTATTGCTCCTGGCTACAAACCTGAACAGCATATTACTGTACTGAATATTGTAGGCAATACTATGTATTTGTATATCTAAACATAGAAAAGGTACAGTAAAAGTATGGTATGATAATGTTATGGAGCCACTGTCATATATGTGGTCGGTCCGTCACTGACCAAAATGTTGTTATGTGACACGGGACTGTATGTGAAGAGGGTTATCTACAAGCCAATGAAAAAGGCCTGGAAGAGATCGTTCCTTCACAGCCCTCAGAAGGAACCTGACCCTAACCCTTGCTAGCACCTTGATTTTGGACTTCTAACCTCCAGCACTATGAGACAATATATTACTGTTGTTTAAGCCACCAGTTTGTAGTACTCTGTCACAACAGCCCTAGCAAACTAATACATCTAACAAAAACTTCGGAAGTATAGCTCAATATGATAAAGTTGTAGTAATAGACTAAAATTAATAACTAGCTTTCTGACTGAACCCAATGTTCTTAACATTTGCCCACAAAACCTTTTTAGATGAAAAAATTAATGATTTTTATGAGGCCAGCATCATCCTGATACCAAAGCCTGGCAGAAGCACAACAAAAAAAGATAATTTTACACCAATATCCTTGATGAACATTGATGCAAAAATCCTCAATAAAATATTGGCAAACCGAAACCAGCAACACATCAAAAAGCTTATCCACCATGATCAAGTGGGCTTCATCCCTGGGATGCAAGGCTGGTTCAACATACAAAAATCAATAAACATAATCTAGCATATAAACAGAACCAAAGACAAAAACCACATGATTATCTCAATAGATGGAGAAAAGGCCTTTGACAAAATTCAACAGTCCTTCATGCTAAAAACTCTCAATAAACTAGGTATTGATGGGATGTATCTCAAAATAATAAGAGCTATTTATGACAAACCCACAGTCAATATCATACTGAATGGACAAAAACTGGAAGCATCCCCTTTGAAAAGTGGCACAAGACAGGGATGCCCTCTCTCACCACTCCTATTCAACATAGTGTTGGAAGTTCTGGCCAGGGCAATCAGGCAGGAGAAGGAAATAAAGGGTATTCAATTAGGAAAAGAGGAAGTCATATTGTCCCTGTTTGCAGATGACATGATTGTATATTTAGAAAACCCCATCGTCTCAGCCCAAAATCTCCTTAAGGTGTTAAGCAACTTCAGCAAACTCTCAGGATACAAAATCAATATGCAAAAATCACAAGCATTCTTATACATCAATAACAGACAAACAGAGAGCCAAATCATGAGTGAACTCCCATTCACAATTGCTTCAAAGAGAATAAAATACCTAGGAATCCAACTTAAAAGGGATGTGAAGGACCTCTTCAAGGAGAACTACAAACCACTGCTCAATTAAATAAAAGAGGATACAAACAAATGGAAGAACATTCCATGTTCATGGGTAGGAGGAATCAATATCGTGAAAATGGCCATACTGCCCAAGGTAATTTATAGATTCAATACCATCCCCATCAAGCTACCAATGACTTTCTTCACAGAATTGGAAAAAACTACTTTAAAGTTCATACGGAACCAAAAAAGAGCCCTCATTGCCAAGTCAATCCTAAGCCAAAAGAACAAAGCTGGAGGCATCACGCTACCTGACTTCAAACTATATTACAAGGCTACAGTAACCAAAACAGCATGGTACTGGTACCAAAACAGAGCCCTCAGAAATAATGCCGCATATCTACAACTATCAGATCTTTGACAAACCTGACAAAAACAAGAAATGGGGAAAGGATTCCCTATTTAATAAATAGTGCTTGGAAAACTGGCTAGCCATATGTAGAAAGCTGAAACTGGATCCCTTCCTTATACCTTACACAAAAATTAATTCATGATGGATTAAAGACTTAAACGTTAGACCTAAAACCATAAAAACCCTAGAAGAAAACCTAGGCAATACCATTCAGGACATAGGCATGGGCAAGGACTTCATGTCTAAAACACTAAAAGCAATGGCAACAAAAGCCAAAATTGACAAATGGGATCTAATTAAACTAAAGAGCTTCTGCACAGCAAAAGAAACCACCATCAGAGTGAACAGGCAACCTACAGAATGGGAGAAAATTTTTGCAACCTACTCATCTGACAAAGGGCTAATATCCAGAATCTACAATGAACTCAAACAAATTTACAAAAAAAAAAACAACCCCATCAAAAAGTGGGTGAAGGATATGAACAGACACTTCTCAAAAGAAGACATTTATGCAGCCAAAAAACACATGAAAAAATGCTCATCATCACTGGCCATCAGAGAAATGCAAATCAAAACCACAATGAGATACCATCTCACACCAGTTAGGATGGCAATCATTAAAAAGTCAGGAAACAACAGGTGCTGGAGAGGATGTGGAGAAATAGGAACACTTTTACACTATTGGTGGGACTGTAAACTAGTTCAACCATTGTGGAAATTGGTGTGGTGATTCCTCAGGGATTAGAACTAGAAATACCATTTGACCCAGCCATCCCATTACTGGGTATATACCCAAAGAATTATAAATCATGTGCTATAAAGACACATGCACACGTATGTTTATTGCGGCACTATTCACAATAGCAAAGACTTGGAACCAGCCCAAATGTCCAACAATGATAAGACTGGTTAAGAAAATGTGGCACATATACACCATGGAATACTATGCAGCCATAAAAAAGGATGAGTTCATGTCCTTTGTAGGGACACGGATGAAGCTGGAAACCATCATTCTCAGCAAACTATCACAAGGACCAAAAACCAAACATCGCATGTTCTCACTCATAGGTGGGAATTGAACAATGAGAACACATGGACACAGGAAGGGGAACATCACACACTGGGGACTGTTGTGGGGTGGGGGGAGGGGGGAGGGATAGCATTAGGAGATATACCTAATGTAAATGATGGGTTAATGGGTGCAGCACACCAACTTGGCACATGTATACATATGTAACAAACCTGCACATTGTGCACATGTATCCTAAACTTAAAGTATAATAATAATAAAAAAATTAATGATTAATTATAAATACTAGTATACTCTTAAGATATTTTTTATCTACACATTTACTTATGTGATTCCCCCTTCCTGAAATGCTTCCACTGTTCTTCTACTTATTAAAATCCTATTCTCCTTTCATTAGAGCACGTTTGTAGTATTGCCAATCTATAAGGCATGCTAAAACACCATAGAGGCACTAAAATTATCTCTGGTAGAATACTATGTTGGGAAGAAGTATTTTGATAAACAGCTTAGAATAAGCATTATTCTCTTAGAAGAACAGAAACTTTCCAAACTCCAAAGGAAGATGGATCCAAGTGCTGAGCCTTTGCATTACTGAGTGGGGTCTGAGCTGGAGAAGAGCTCATTGGATTATGAGTTCCTTGAGGGCAGGGACTAATTCTTAGTCTTCGTTATAACTGTTTTATGGTGCTTTTTAGTTTTATGATGATAAGGAAGAAAAAGTATGATGAAGTAAATATAGCCACAGCACATTATTCAATATGACATTTAGGGTATGAATTAGACATGGTACTTGATCTTCAGTACCAGAGCCTGTGGACATACTCTGGGGTATGCAGCAAATGGAAAGCACATAAGTAGACTTTCAATTCCAGAAGGAGAAGGAATGTGTCTGTTTTATTGTATCATTCTCATCATCTAGAACAGGACTATGTACAATTTATGGACAGTATTAAAGCACTTTCATAAATGAATGATAGCCACACAATATACCTTTGCTCCAAAGAAACTGTGAATGCTCAATCAATGGTTTCCAAATTTTGGATATCACAGACTGGTAAAATTTGAGAACTATTTTTGGGTCAATCACAATATTGTCAACTTCTTAACTGGCAAGAAAAAATGTTAAGAAATATGACTACCATTATCTTTGAAAGATGTTTTCACACAAAAGTAATATAAAGGATATGTATCCCAGAATAAATGACAATCCTTTAAACTTAAATGCATATAATTTCATTTAACAAAAAACTCACTACAGAAGCTGATGCGATGTCTTCAAGTGGTAATAGTACACTATCTTTAGTTTAAGCAAGGGTTAAACAAATGAAATATTATGTAAAATTTTCAAACTGGAATGAAAATAGCAGGTTCTGAAACTTTGGGACTGCTGGGTTCTAGCACTGGAAACAAGAAGTGACTTCAGGGAATTCAAATGGTATAAGTGGATGAGAATTAAAAGTGCCCTACTTATTTCTGAAAATGTTAGCCAGACACACTTTATGAAACATAACACTTCAGAACTATAGCCAGAAGTTATAACAGCTGGAGCCAAAAATTTAGGGACCAGGCCAAGGCCTGCTCAGGGGTAGATTTTTTTTGAGGAAAGAGAGCCCTCGTTTACCAACACAAAACCACGCTCTGAACTAGAAAACCTATGATAGGTGAGAGGTGGTGTCAATGCCAAAACTGTTAGAGAAAGATTAACTCAGCAAAAGAGGGAAAATAAGATTCCCAATGAAGATAAACTTGTAATGATGAAAAAAATCAAAACTGCAAGGAAAACTGTTACTGAGAAAGAACAACCACAAACTCAACAAATTGAATAATTCACTTCCAAAGAAACTGAAATAATAGCACAATCAGTGTTTGATATCTTCAAAGTGATAATGGAAGGAATAGCACCAATAAAAGAAAAAATGAAACAAAAATAGAAAGAAGTCAAACATAAATAGATGGATAATTTAAAAGTACCAATTAGAAATCCCAGAAGTTAAAAAAAAATCATAGCCCCTATATTTTCTTTTAAATGGAAAAATATTGGAGAATCAACTCAGAACACAGCACAGGTAAATAAAGGGATGAAAATATAAGAGAAATTAAGATACGTGAGTGGATGGATTGAGAATTTCCTTTACACATTAATAGAAGCTCTAGAAATATAGACTAAAGAAAGTAACTGAGAATTTCTCAGAATTAAAATAAATAAATACAAAGCATGAATCCTCATAGTGCATTTTTAATAGCTGCAATAAAGTTTCTTGCCCTGTAACTGTTTCCAATCCCATTAGTAGGTGGAATCTATGGTCCCTCCCCTTAAAACTGGGTGGGCCTTTGTGACTCTTCCTTGGTTAGAAGAGTGCAGTAGAAATAGTGCTATGTGACTTCTGAGACCAGGTCATAAAAGGCAATCATTTGCCACCTAATTCTCTCTTGAGATGTTTGCCCATGAAATACAGACATCACGCTGTGAGTTGACCATGGAGAGACCAATATGAAGTGGAACCCAGGCCCCCAGACTTAAGCCCCATCTGAGCTCCCAGCTGACTGCCAGCACCAACTGGCCAGCCACATGAGTGAACCATTCTGGACTCAGTCCCCTCATCACTCAGTTAAGCTACCCTAGCTAACACTATATGCAGCAGAGATAAACCCTCACCACCAAGTCCAAACTACAGATTCGTGAGCAAAACATTGTTGTTTCAAGCCACTAAATGTTGAGTGGTTTGTTATGCAGCAATAGATAACTGGAACACATGCAACACAGATAATTTACTACCCGCAAACCTTCACTGAGAAAACTATTAAAGGACACATTGAGAAAGAAAAAGCAATCAAGAAGAAAGGAGGGGATGCAAGGAGAAATGATAAGCAAAGAAGTTGGTATCATTTTCTGGTAAAGCTAATTAACTATTGACCAAAAAATTTAATGCCATCTGTTTATGTTGAGAAACAAAAATAGAAAACTATAATGAAGGCAATGTAAAAGATACATTGTGGATGGTTAGAGTGCTAAGGTTCTTATTTTATTAAATAGTTCTAGAAAATACAAAGTTAAGTGTATAGGAGAATATGTGAGTCAGTAAGATCTCTTATTCAATGCTGGTGGGAATGTAACTCAATACAACTATTTGAAAAACAATCTGGCATTATTTTATGAAACTGCAGAACCACTCTAGAAAACAATTTGGTATAATCTTGTAGAGTTAAACATGCTTATCTTACAATGCAGTACTTTTACTCCTGAGTATATTTCAGGTATTCTATCTGTGCTGCAAGAAATACGTGTTAGAATGTTCATAGAAGCAATGTCTGTAATAGCAAAACACTAGAAACAACTTAGAAGTCCGTGGGTAAATACGTTATAGTTTATTCTTATAGCAATGGAAATGATTGAACCTCAGCTCCCTGTACAACATGGATTAATATTAGTAACATAATGTTGAACAGAAAAAAGTAAGTCCCTTTTAATGCCCTCTTTATAAAATATGTTGCTCCTTTTATATGATCTCCTTTCTATAAAGCTCTCTTTCTGTATAAAATCCAAGAAAATGCGAAACTAAAATATGTAACATTTAATTATGCATATGTTTGTGATAAAATTATTTTCAATGTTTTAAAATATAATTATAAAATATATTTGTATGTTTTTTAAAAGTAAGGAATGATAAATACAGACTTCGAGATAATGGTTACCTATGGGGCTTGGTGGAGGAGAGGCAGAGAGGGAGATTGTATTAGTTCTTTTTCATGCTGCTAATAAAGACATACCCAAGACTGGGTAATTTATAAGAAAAAGGTTTAGTGGATTCACAGTTCCACGTGGCTGGGGAGACCTCACGATCATGGGAGAAGGTGAAAGCCACGTCTCATGTGGCGGCAGGCAAGAGAGAATAAGAGCCAAAGGAAAGGGGAAACCTCTCATAAAATCATCAGATCTCATGAGACTTATTCACTATCATGAAACAGTATGGGTGAAACTGCCCCCAATCATTCAATTATCTCCCACTGGGTCCCTCCCAAAACACATGGGAATTATGGGAGTACAATTCAGGATGAGATTTGAGGGGGGACACAGCCAAACCATATCAGAGATGGAATAAAGGAAGAATCTATAGGTAGATATAAATTATTGGTACTTTTTGATTCTTGGCTTGGGTGGGTATTCATCATAACTTTTGTCGGGGAGTAAGTGAATATAAATTTTCAAAATAAAATAGAAGTGAAAATAAATAATACAGATTACCCATGAACAAATGTTAACAATGTATTATGATCAATTCAATTTTGTTTACCTGTGATGTAAACATAATATAATATGTAGATAAAAAGCAATATAGGAATAGCTTCCAAACTACCGGGAAAAAGTAAAAGTTAAGAGGGAAAAGGCACCGCAAAAATCTATTCCTTTGTTTTTTTCTGGTATATTTCTCTTTTCATTGCAGATTAGAGAAATTTTCTTCATGCACTAGTTACTGGACACCAGCGACCTACACTGAGCCTCACCAAGTAGTCAAAGGGTTCAAATCTTATCATTCGACTTTATATATTGTCTTTGGAATTGGTGCAAAGGATTTTTATTTGTCTTGTCTGACTCTGTATTCTTGAAAATGAAAATCTAGTGACCATAAGTATTAATGCCATTGCACTTTACAAACACATGGCTTAAGATGCGTGTTAGCAGAAACCAGTCTTAAGATGTCACTCAACAAAAACATTTCCAGAAGCTTAGCACTTAATTGGCCTTATTAGCACCATCTGCTCATCAGTCTTGCTTGTAGAAAAGTGTTTTCATCAGATAGCAACAAGTTGAAAACAAGGCAGATCACCACACTTTGTTTTGAATTTAACACCACATTTTGCCTGCCTCTTATCACAGTTTTAAATCATCACATTAAATAAGTGAGTCAAATCATAGCACTTACATTACATGTTTGACTCTGGTTTCCTCTGTGATCTCTTGAGCATGTGTGTATGTCCAGAAGTCCTTTTCTCTTCAGACCTACATCTGTCAGACTGCTTAGCCAGACATTTGGGGAAATCCTCTCTAGTGACGATATTCAAGAAAACCTTATTCACATACTCCATTTTTGTTTTCATTCTACAAGCCTGGTTGCTCTAACACATCAGGCATAGAAAAGTTAGACCTAGGAACATGCAGAAATTAAAATCAGATACTGGGTAATGATTTGAACTAAAAATTATTTCTATTATAAAGGCTTCCTTCTGAGAGCCTTTTGACAATTAAGCACTAATGATAAGAGAGTTTACTGTTTGGATTTCCTACTCTAAATGTCTACTTTAATATTATTAATTTAACCATAGGTTATTTTGAAGGTATTTATATACTAAACTAAAGAAATACAGTTGAATGTTCATTTCAGAAGTGGACTTAAAATTTAGGGGAAGTTAAAATGAAATTTTCACTTCTTTAAATTTACATATACATCACTTTTTACATGGAAAAATGTAACATTAAAAACATGATAATCTGCCAAAGTAGCTATTTAGCCAAAGCAAACATAACGCTAATTAAGGAAGAAAATATAAAAAGCAGTTTCCTTTCTTAGGCATCTTGGCTGTTGGTATAATTGTTTATATTACACCAAATTAATACTTTTTATTTAAAAAAAATAGGAAAAATAAGACTATCCTCAGAGTTCTGTCCAGAACATAAAATACTCTGCCAGGTGAAAACAGCACAAACTAGTTGTACGAAGATGTAAATTTAAGTTTATTCTCTTTTCTCATAAGAAAAGTGCACGAAGTGCACGCGCACACACACTCACACTCACCTGGAGTTTACAATATACTACAGAATCAAACATGGCAATAAAATATAGCATTTTTGTAGACTTATAAAGCCAGGAGGTTTTAATAAATGGTTAAAAGCTCCTTTGTTTCTGGTTTATAAATGTTAATAATTATACCTGCCTCCTAAAGTTGTTGTGTTAATTACAGGAGATACTTGTGAAGGATCTGGCACATAATAAACAGCAGCCATTATTATTTTAAAGCATGCATTTAAAAATTATGAATAAAGATTGTAAACAAATGGCCTATTTCAGGAGATTTTCTCTAATTCCTGTTTTAATAACTAACAATATTGGCAATTATCACAAAACACCTTGTAGTTTTATTCCACTTTCTAGCAAAACCTTATTAAGACTTACTGAAAATGGTTCATATTACTAGAACTTCAATATCACCTAGACAAAAATAATATAGTACATTTATTAGCCCTGTAAACAGAAAATACACAAATATTTTAAACCAATTACTTTCACACATTTTAGTTTACATCATTCTTAATTTTAAAATTTGTCTATAAAAATATGTAATCTAATCAAAAAATTTCTTACTCATGACAATTAGTACAGTATAACATTTCATCTCATATTTAACAGTTTTGTGTAAAATTACATTATAAGCAAAGAAAATAAATATTTGAAATGTACATGTGATTTACTGAAATAAAAAAATTATATTAATACATTATCAAGAAAAACTAATATCTGTTAAAACTAATCTCAACATCATCTATATAGTACTCCTGCCAAAAATGTTTAATGTGAATCTAACCATAAGAGAAAAAAAAGTTAATTGAAATTGAAGGACAGCCTAGAAAATAATTGGCCTAGACTCTTTTATGTCATGACAGACAAAAATGGATGAGCAAATGTTCCAGATTAGAGAAGACTAAAGAGACTTGATAACTAAATGCAAGAGAAGATCTGTGATTGGATCCTGAATCATAGAGGAAAATGAACCATATATATAAGATATTACTGGGACAATTGGGAGAATTTGAAAATTGACTGTATATTAGACAATAATAATGGATTCGTGTTAAATTTAAGTGGAAAATTTGATTGTTTATTATCTAGAATGTCCTTGTTCTTGACAGATACACACAGAAGCATTAATATGTCTCTAACTACTTTAAAAATGGACCAGCCAGCTGGGCGTGGTGGCTCACACTTGTAATCCCAGCACTTTGAGAGGCCGAGGTGGGCAGATCACCTGAGGTCAGGAGTTCGAGACCAGCCTGGCCAACACGGTGACACCCCGTCTCTACTAAAAATACAAAAAATTAGTTTGGTATGGTGGCACACACCTGTAATCCCAGCTATGCAAGAGGCTGAGGCAGGAGAGTCACTTGAACCCGGGAGGCAGAAGTTGCGGTGAGCTAAGATTGCCCCACTGCACTTCAGCCTGGGCGACAGAGTGAGACTCCGTCTCAAAAAAAAAAAAAAAAAAAAAAAAAAAACAAAGACCAGCCAAAGAAAAAACTATAAATATACAGAAAGAAGCAATTACGTCAAAATGGTAACAATTTTTGAATCTATGTGAGTAATACGTGGTTGTTCATTGTACTATCCTTTCAACCATTCTGTAAGTTTAAAAATATAAAATTGAGAGAAAGAAATCTAAACTACATAATTTTTAAAGTATACTGTATCTAACAATAAGTGAGCGTTCCTTCCTGCTTTCTCACCCATGCCCTCTACCCATATGCACTCTAGAGGGGCGAAATTGCCCTGTCATTGCTCTTGGTCTGCAGTGTCACGCAGAAACCACTCACACGGTAAATCTACTGTAACCGTTGACACATTCACTGTCATAAGATGGCGTGCATTCTCAAGTGCACATGACTTACTTAGTTCAGACCATCTGCATGCATGCTTTTTTTGTCTTTGAGTATTCAAACCAGAATTTGTATGTTATTCTAATTAAAATAAAAATTATATAAAGCTCATGGAGAGGGACTTTATTTAAAATAAAAAAATTCTCTGTTTCTCAGTTTTCTACCTATAATTTAAGAGAACACTACCTGCCTCACAGGATTGCTGTCAGGATTAAGTGAACAAATGTATGAAAACATTAAGCCCAGAATCCGGCATTCAATAAATTTATTGATATTCAATAAATTGTAGCAATTATTATTACCCTAACCTTAATTTAAGAAGAAGATTCTTATTTGTTTTTTTTGTGAGGAAAATAGCCAGGTACTATATGTAAGAATATATAATTAAGATCAAATTTGTCATTTCTTGTGAAAGTGTGAAAAGCCTTAAAAATGTTCTACTCTGAGCAAAATAACCTCTATTATAGATGTAACCTGGTCAATCAAAGGCTAGTATTATGGAAATTCACAGATAATATTAAAGTATTATAACTCATTATACCTAAAGTCTTTAGTCCTTAGAGAATCTATGTTAGAGAAGTTTTCCTGTATCCTATAGAGGTAGTATGCAATGATTCTTTTTCCTTTTTATGCCTCTAGCATTTTTGTGCTGCTATCATAATACCTAAGAATGGGTAATTTATAATAAACAGAATTCATTGGCTCACAGTTCTGGAGGCTTGGAAGTCCAATATCAAAGTACCAGCATCTGGCAAGGGCCTTCTTGCAGCATCATTCCATGTTGGAAGATGGAAAGAGGGTGAGAAAGAACAAGAGGGGTCCAAACACACCTTTTAAATATTTTATTTTACTTCAGAAGTTTTGGGGGTACAGGTGGTTTTTGGTTACATGGATAAGTTCTTTAGTGGTGATTTCTGAGATTTTGGTTCACCCATCACCTGAGCAGTGTACACTGTGCCCGATATGTAGCCTTTTTTTCTCACCCCCTTTCACCCTCCCCTCCAAGTCCCCAAAGTCCATTCTATCATTCTTATACCTCTGTATCCTCACAGCTTAGGTTATAAGCTAAGCTTATAAGTGAGTTCCCACTTATAAATGAGAACAAACGATAATTGGTTTTCCATTCCTGACTTACTTCACTTAGAATAATGGCCTCCAACTCCATCCAAGTTGCTGCAAATGCCATCATTTTATTCCATTTTATGGCTGATTAGTATTCCATGGTGTATACATACCACATTTTCTTTATCTACTCATTGGTTGATGGATATTTAGGTTGGTTCCATATTTTTGCAATTGCAAATTGTGCTGCTATCAACATGGGTGTGCATGTGTCTTTTTCATATAATAACTTCTTTTCCTCCGGGTAGATACTCAGCAGTGGGATTCCTGGATCAAATGGTAGTTCTACTTTTAGTTCTTTAAGGAATCTCCATACTGCTTTCCATAGTGGTTGTACTTGTTTACATTCCCACCAGCAGTGTAAAAGTGTTCCTTTTCACCATATCCATGTCAACATCTTTTATTTTTTGATCTTTTAAATTATGGCCACTCTTGCAGGAGTAAGGTGCTATCTCATTGTAGTTTTGATTTGTATTTCCCTGATAACTAGTGATGTTGAGCATTTTTTCATGTTTGTTGGCTGTATATCTTCTTTTGAGAATTGTCTGTTCATGTCCTTTGTGCACTTTGTGATGAGACTATTTGTTTTTTCTTGCTGATTTCTTTGAGTTTCTTGTATATTTTGGATATTAGTCCTTTGTCAGATGCATAGTTTGAGAATATTTTCTCCCATTCTATGGGTTGTCTGTTTATTCTGCTGATAATTTATTTTGTTGTGCAGAAGTTTTTAATTTCATTACATTCCATCTGTTTATTTTTGTTGTTGTTGCATTTGCTTTGGGGTTCTTAGTCATGAATTCTTTGCCTAAGCCAATGTCTAGAAGAATTTTTCTGATGTTATCTTCTAGAATTTTTATGGTTTCAGATCTTAGATTTAAGTCTTTGGTCCATCTTGAGTTAATTTTTGTATACGGTAGGAGATGAGGATCCAGTTTCATTCTTCTGCATGTGGATTTCCAGTTATTCCAGTACCATTTGTTAAAACAGGGTATCATTTCCCTGACTTTATGTTTTTGTATGCTTTGTGAAAGATCAATTGGATGTAAGTATTTGGCTTTATTTCTGGGTTCTCTATTCTGTTCCATTGGTCTATGTGCCTATTTCTATACCGGTACCATGTTGTTTTGGTAATGACATGCTCCCAGATTTGTTCTTTTTGCTTAGTCTTGCTTTGGTTATGTGGGTTCTTTTTTTGTTCCACATGAATTGTAGGATTGTTTTTTCTTTTTCTGTGAAGAATGGTGGTGGTATTTTGATGGGAATTGTATTGAATTTGTAGATTGCTTTTGGCAGTATGGTCATATTTACAATATTGATTCTACTCATCCATGAACATGGGATGTGTTTCTATTTGTTTGGGTCATCTATGATTTCTTTCAGCAGTTTTGTAGTTTTCCTTGTAGAGATCTTTCACCTCACCAGTTAAGTATATTCCTAAGGTTTTTTTGTTTTGTTTTGTTTTTTGCAGCTATTATAAAAGGGATTGAGTTCTTGATTTGATTCTCAGTTTGGTCATTCTTGGTGTAGAGCAGAGCTACTGATTTATGCACATTGATTTTCTATCCTGAAACTTTGCTGATTTCATTTATCAGATCTGGGAGCTTTTTGGATAGTCTTTAGGGTTTTCTAAGTTTACGATCATATCATTGGTGAACAACGACAGTTTGACTTCTTCTTTTCCAATTTGGATGCCCTTAATTTCTTCCACCTGTCTAATTGCTCCGGCTAGGATTCCCAGTACTGTGTTGAATAGAAGTGGTGAAAGTGGTCATCCTTGTCTTCTTCCAGCTCTCAGGGGAATGCTTTCAACTTTTCCCCATTCAGTATGATGTTGGCTGTGGGTTTGCCATAGGTGGCTTTTATTACTTTGAGGTATGAACATTTATGCCAATTTTGTTGAGGGTTTCTATCACAAAGCAATGCTGGATTTTGTCAAATGCCTTTTCTGCATCTATCGAGATGATTATGTGATTTTTGTTTTTAATTCTGCTTATGTAATGTATCATACTTACTGATTTTCATATGTTAAACCATCCCTGCATCCCTGGTATGTAACCCACTTGATCATGATGTATTTTTTTTATATGCTGTTGGATTCAGTTAGCTGGTATTTTGTTGAGGATTTTTGCATCTATGTTCATCAGGGATATCGGTCTGTCATTCTCCTTTTTTGTTATGTCTTTTCCTGGTTTTGGTATTAGGGTAATACTGGCTTCATAGAATGATTTAGGAAGTATTCCCTCTTTCACTATCTTTTGAAATAGTTTCATTAGGATTGGTACCAATTCTTTGAACGTCTGATAGAATTCAGCTGCAAACCCATTTGGTCCTGGACTTTTTTTGTGGGCAATTTTTTTTATTACTGATTTAATCTCACTGCTTGTTATTGGTGTGTTCAGAGTTTCTATTTCTTCCTCATTTAATCTAGAAGGATTGTATATTTCCAGGAATTTAGTTATCTTCTGTATATTTTCTAGTTTATATGCCTAAAGGTGTTTATAGTATCCTTGAATGATCTTTTGTATTTCTGTGGTATCAGTTGTAAGATCTCCCATTTCATTTCTAATTGAGCTTATTTGGATCTTCTCTCTTCTTTCTCTTCTTTCCTTGGTTAATCTCACTAAAAGTCTACCAATTTTGTTTATCTTTTCAAAGAATCAGCTTTTGTTTCATTTATCTTTTGAATTTTTTGTTTTAATTTCATTTAGTTCTGTTCTGATTTTTGTTATTTCTTTTTTCTGCTGGATTTGGGATTAGTTCATGTTTCTCTAGTTCCTTGAGAACTGGGTAATTTAGGTTGACATTAGGTTGTCTATTTGTGCTCTTTCAGACTTTTCGATGTAGGCATTTAATGCTATAACTCCCCTCTTAGCACTGCTTTTGCTGTATTCCAGAGGTTTTTGATAAGTGTATCACTATTATCATTCATTTCACAGAATTTTTTAATTTCCATCTTGATTTCATTGTCAACCCAAAGACCATTCAAGAGCAGATTATTTAATTTCCATGTACTTGTGTAGTTTTGAGGGTTCATTTTGGAGTTAATTTCTAGTTTTAGTTCATTGTGGTCTGAGAAAATACTTGATATGATTTTCACTTTCTTAAATTTATTGAGACTTGTTTTGTGGCCTATCATATAGTCTATCTTGGAGAATGTTCCATGTACTGATGAGAAGAATGTATATTCTGCAGTTATTGGGCAGAATATTCTATAAATATCTGTTAAGTCCATTTGTTCTAGTGTATAGTTTAAGTCCACTGTTTCTTTGTTGACTTTCTGTCTTGAAGACCTGTCTAGTGCTGTCAGTGGAGTATTGAAGTCTCCCACTATTATTGTCAAACTTGTCCTTTTATAACAGCACCACGCCCACCTGTGAGAGCAGAGCCCTTGTGGCCTAATCACCTTTTAAATGTTCCACCTGTATGTACGGTTACAACGGCATTTAGATTTCAATATGAGTTTTTGAGGAGACAAACCTTCAAACCATAGCAGTAGGAAAAAGAGGGAATAATTGATAGAGATGTACTTTAGTAAACAAGAAAGACTGAGATTGGCCTGTAACAGGCACCCAGATTGTTCATCTAAAAATAACACTCCCTTGAGTGAGATCACTTCAAAGGAGATGTTGGAGGTTTGAGGAGATAAGAGAAGGTATGAAACTGTCATTTAAGAGAGTGGGAAAGTAAATGGACTAGAAGAATACAGAACAATTCTCAAAAGTCATTAAGGCCCCACATGAGGATAATGAACATTAATTTACATTGATACCAATAAGCACAACTATGTGTTCTTTCCAAGCTAGGTTTGGTTATGCAGATGTAGACACCCACCAGGCAATAGCTGAATTAATCAGGGTTGTGGTTTTGCCAAGGCAATATGATGAGGTAAGAGAGAAAGGCAAAGGATTTGAGGATGAAATAAAGTGAATGATTATAGTGTTTGACTATGGAATTTAAACTGAGGAAGGAGGGAAAAGTGGCCCACAGGAAGAGGTGAGATAGCTAAAAAAAATGGTAGGATCAGTAGACTGTAGGTTCTAGTTGGATCCAAGGCTTGTTAGAGTTACAATATAGACAGACGAGTTAGAAACCCATGGCTTATGCCTGTAATCCCAGCACTTTGGGAGGCTGAGACAGGTGGACTGCTTGAGCCCAGAAGTTTGAGACCAGCCTAGGCAACATGGCAAAGCTCTGTGTCCACAAAAAATACAAAAATTAGCTGGGCATGGTGATAATTCCAGCTACTTGGGAGGCTGAGGCGAGAGGATCCAATGAGCCCAGGAGGTTGAGTCTGCAGTGAGCCGTGATCAGGACACTGCACTCCAGCCTGGGCAGCAGAGAAAGACTCTGTCAGAAGGAAAAAAAGAAAGAAAGAGGGAAAGAGAGGAGAAAGGAGAGAGAGAAAAAAAAGAGAAAGAGAAAGAAGGAAAGAAAGAAAGAAAATAAAGAAAAGAAAGAAAGAAAGGGAGAGAGAGGAAGGGAGGAAGGAAGGAAGGAAGGAATGGAGGGAGGGAGGAAGGGAGAGGGGGAAGGAAAGAAGGAGGGAAAGAAGGAGGGAAGGAAGGAAGGAAAGAAGGGAGGAAAGAAGGAAGGAAGGAAGAGAGGAAGGAAGGAAGAAAGAAAGGGAGGAAGGGAGGGAGGGAAGGAAAAGAGGGAAAGAAGGAGGAAAGGAAGGAAGGAAGAAGAGAAAGAAAGAAAAGTGGTTGTCAGAGAATAGTATGCAGCAAATTGAGATTATGAAGCTATTGCAATTATTGGCAACGAGAAGATCTAGGATATAATTACGAGAATGATGAGCTGAGGTATGGTGGAAGACAAGATTATTGGAGAAGAGATATCCAAGGAACTAAATGGCCAGGTTTTTGGAAGTTTCTCCCATGTGTTTATTAACATTACCAAGAATTAAGACAGGAGTAGTAAACAGTGGGTCAGGAAATAAAAGCAAGAAATGAAGGACAATGGAGGGGAAAATGAGGAGATGTTGGTCAAAAGGGTACAAACTTGAAGTTATAAGATTAGTAATTTCTGGAGACCTAATGTACAACACTGTGACTATAGTTAGTAATAATGTATTGTATACTTGAAATTTGCTAAGAGAGTAGATATTGAGTATTCTTAACTTACAAGACTATAAATATGTGAAGTGATGGATATGTTAATTAGCTTGATTGTGGTAATAATTTTATAATGTGTATGTGTCTCAAAACATCATATTGCACACTTTGAATATATATTTTCATTTGCCAATTATACCTCAATAAGGCTGAATTAAAAAAAAAAAAGCAAAATTCCCAGATCCTACCAAGAAGAAAATGAAAATAAAAGAAATGAAGAACCGTAACCCAGGTGGCTAGGAGACAGAAGCAATAATGGAGACAGTGGATGATATAGTCTGATGACCTGAGCCTCACATCTGAGTATTTTTTTTAGGGAGAAAGAAGTGAGAATGCTCTGAAACTGGTGACAAGGAGCAAAGAGGACACATACTCCCACCTGGCCCCAGTTGTATGGAAGAAGAAATATCTTACCACTTGACAGTGTAGGAGTAGGCTCAGGAGAGAGCTAGGTTTCAATTAGAGCAAGTGAGGGGAACCTTTAGAGAGGGTTGAAGATATAGAACTGTTTGTTGATGCTGGATCATGAGTTGCAAAGGACACAGTGTTAAAGGTTTCGGAAATTAGGGAGTGGTGGGAAAAACGAATAAAATAGGAGATATGCACAGAGTAGAAATTAGAATGGGAAATGAATAGGAAAGAGAGTATTGTGCTATTTGCAGATTTAATCTCAGACTAATTTTAGTGGGCTGGAGGCAGAGACTAGTGGTAAGGTTGTAAGCGTTGAGGAACAAGGAATAGTGGTTTTCCAGGAATTCCTCTTGATCCTACAGAAGGAGGCAAAGACATCTAGGAAGGCAGAGTCTTCCTCAGGCTCAAGGAGTCCCCTCTTGGTCCTGACAACAGCAATTAGATCCAATGTCCTCGGATGATTCTTGACTCCTGCCAGGAGAAAAGTCTTTCTACAAGTATATGGGGCTCTCACTTGACCCTTGGCTGATGAAGGCAAGCTGATCAGGGGAGGCCAGATCTTCCTCCGACTATGTAACAGCTTCTTTCTAGCCCCTGTTGATGGAGTTGAAAAGGCCTAAAGAGGCTGGAAGTAGGTCTCTGCATTAGGGCGTATGTCCAGAATTAGCCCTGGAGTCAAGTTCCATGAAAAAAACCCAATGAGCTTTTGATTAGAATTGCATTGTATTTATAGAATGGCTTGAAGAAAATACTAGGTGCTCAATAAATGCTGTCTGAATGAATAAGTGAAACATGAATGATAGCCTTCATTTCAACCTCCCAGGAGTGTTAGCATATTTACACCATCAGATATTTCAGTGCTTTCCCAAAAGCCACTCCTCTGTCCTTACCATCCTTGGAGTCTCTTTCTCTCTCCCTGGAGGATTCAGAGATTTGTGAGCAGATGGACAGCCCTTCATTTTACCAAACAAATCTCTCCTTTAAGTGTAACGTAACTCTGAGAGGAGAGGAAAGGAGATTTTTGAGATTTCCTAGTCCTTTTTCATGAGAAAGTTGGGTAGTAGTCACTGCTCTTCCTGCTTTATTTGTTCATCACTATCCTCAGTCAGGAACTTAAGAACCAAGCTGTCCATCAAGTTTTTTCTCACCAGGGAAGATACATAACTTATATTGCATCCCGTGTCTTTGCTGTCTGAGTTCCTGGGTTTATGAAGCTATTTATGAAGCCCATTAGCCAGAATTTTGTAGAACACCAGGCCACAGGCAATGCCTGTAGCAGAAGGCAGTGAATGTAGCACTCCAGATGCTCTGAGAAGCCTTCCTGGTACTCTGAACTGTTCAATCTTTCCTCACTGACCCCAACTGCTTTCCTGTCCGTTAATCTCCTATAGCCTTCCCCATTTATCTCCATTAACCCTTACCCAGTCATATAAAATGAATACTAATTCATACCTCTATTTTTCTGATCATGTTATTCCTGTTGCCTAAAGACCAAGTGGCATAGTACAATTATGCTTACTATTACATGTATATCAGATAGGCTTTGTCATAAAATTAGTGTGATTATAATATTAAACTTCATGTATAACTAGCCTTTGCTATATGACTGATTTAATCATGTCAAACATTAGATAGAATAATAATAAAACTGTTACTTCTGGCATGCTGGGCAAACCCCTCTTCAACAAGCTCATGATATAGTTTGGCTCTGTCTCTTCACCCAAATTTCATCTCGAATTATAATCCCCACATGTCAGAGGAGGGGCCGGGTGGGAGGTGATTGAATCATGGGGGCGGACTTTCCCCTTGCTGTTCTCATGATAGTGAGTTCTCACAAAATCTCATTGTTTGTTAAGTGTGTGATGCTTTCCTCTTCTCTCTCTCTCTCTTGCTTCACCATGGGAAGACATACCTTGCTTCCCCTTCACCTTCCACCATGATTGTAAGTTTCCTGAGGCCTCCCCAGCCATATGGAACGGTGAATCAATTCAACCTCTTTTCTTCATGAATTACCCAGTCTCAGGTAGTTCTTAGTAGCAGTGTGAAAATGGACTAATACACTCTGTTTTCCAAGTGTTTTTTCTCATTTCCTTAAAGTATAGCACTGTCAAATAACTAATAAAAAATAGCTGTTCTTTGGTAATAGAAATATTGCTATCATCAACAATGTTCAACATGTGTATCCATAACCCAGAAGAACTGAATCTGCATATGGCTCTGCTCTGCTGCCCCAACTAAATCACCTTATTAACTCATTTCCAATAAGTACTTATGTATGTATTTATTTATTTATTTATTTTGAGACAGAGTCTCAGTCTGTCACCCAGGCTGGAGTGCAGTGGCATGAGCTCGGCCCACTGCATCCTCTGCCTCCCAAGATCAAGCGATTCTCGTGCCTTAGCCTCCCGAGTACCTGGGACTGCAGGCATGTGCCACCACACCCTGCTAATTTTTTTTTAGTAGAGACGGGGTTTTGCCATGTTGCCCATGCTAGTCTCAAACTCCTGGCCTCAGGCAATCTGCCTGCCTTGGCCTCCCAAAGTGCTGGGATTACAGGTATAAGCCACTGCACCTGGCCTCATTTTCAGTAAGTTTTTATTCACTGCCTACTATATTGTGCCAACCACAGTGGTATTTTTACCCTAAGTATATTTGCCTGAGACTCACGTTAGATCATGAAGTTTTCAGGTTTTTTTCTCTTTTCAAAAATATAACTTCTGGGCTGGGCATGGTGGCTCACGCTTGTAATCCCAGCACTTTGGGAGGCCGAGGCAGGTGGATCACTTGAGGTCAGGAGTTCGAGACCAGCCTGGCCAACATAGTAAAACTCTGTCTACACTAAAAATACAAAAGTTAGCTGGGTGTGGTGGCAGGTGCCTGTAGTCCCAGCTGCTTAGGAAGCTGAGGCAGGCGAATCGCTTGAACCCAGGAGGCAAAGGTTGCAGTGAGCTGAGATCGTACCACTGCACTCCAGCCTGGGCAACAGCGTGAGACTCTGCCTCAAAATAAAAATAAAAATAAAAATAAATAAATAAATATATATATATATATAAAACTTCTTATGAAACAGTTGTATTTCAATAACACTACAGTGTAATGATAAATGTGATACACATAAAGCCAATTTTGAAGGAAAAAAAAGCAGATGGTACACTTTAGTGCATTTCTCACTAACATTTAACTCTCAACAATCACTGCTTAATCTGACCTTCATTTGCCCAGACTGGATTAGAATGCTCCTTTTTAACTCAATCCCTCTATGTTAACTTTTTATACTATTTGATTTATGTGCTTTTGGTTTTGCCATCATTAACCTAAGTAATTCGAAAAGTCTTGAATAAATGAGGACTAAGTCAGATAACTATTTCAATTAACTCACTTTTCAGTTCTTAAAAATTATATTTTGGCCGGGTGTGGTGGCTCACGCCTGTATTCCCAGCACTTGGGGAGGCCGAGGCGGGTGGATCACGAGGTCAGGAGTTTGAGACCAGCCTGACCAACATGGAGAAACCCCGTCTCCACTAAAAATACAAAAATTAGCCGGGTGTGGTGGCACGTGCCTGTAATCCCAGCTACTCAGGAGGCTGAAGCAGGAAAATCACTTGAACCCGGGAGGCAGAGGTTGCAGTGAGCCAAGATCTCGCCACTGCACTCCAGCCTGGACAACAGAGGGAGACTCCATCTCAAAAAAAAAAATATTATATTTTAAGTGATTGTGAAAAGTTTCTCAGATCATACACAGATACACACACATAGACATATATGTATACACGTACATACATAATTGGCAAAACAAAAAAATATAATTTAGATTAAGCTTATTTTCTATTATAAAGTCTGGTATGAAGAATTTTATATTCTATTACAAATGTTTAAGGTTAAATTTTTTATGCCATTAACACAGATGGAATGTTTTTCATTTTTGAGGGAAAAGGAGATTAAAATCTTTGCTGTTTTCTAATTGCTTAACTGAAAAAAACAATCAAGAGGATCCCTATTATTAAGCCACTCTGCAGGATTTATTTTCCAAAGTTTAAGGTTTTAATTTAAAAAGACAATATTACATGTTGTTGTCAATTCCCTTCATATTTCAAGAAAGGATGATCCTTTATTAAAGTTGAAGAGCATTGCATTGCATTAATTATTTTGAAACAACAGCAATTTCCAATTCACTTCAGTAAAATTTAACTTCCTCATAAAATGTCAGTGGACACCCATTTCTTCAATATTGTTCATATCAATTGTCTTTAAATGTTTAAAATGTCAATAACTATTAAATATAAACTCTACTTCTGAAATAGAAATTAAATTTTCGTGAAGTAAAAATTTAAGTAATCATTAAGTGTGTTGACATGTAAATCAATGTTCAAGTTTAGTGTTTTGAAACTTTTACAAAAGAACAAATTCCTTTGTTTTAAACAATTTTAATGAGGACATAGTTGAAAACAAAAACTTCTCAATTGCAATAATTTGGATTTTAATTTCGAAATAATAATCTTTAAAAGTCTAACATTAGTCACAGAAAGGGTTAAATTTATTTTTCACCATTTTGTGTTATGTATAATTAAACAAAAGCAAATTTGTACTCCTTAGGTGTTAGGCTGACATTTCCACTTCTGACTCTGTTTATATTAGACACATTCTTTTAAGCTACTTCAAGTATTTTTGGAACAAAGCAACACACAAAATAAACAAATGCATTATGTTTGTTGACATTTCTTTTTCTAGCATATCTGAATATCTATGTGATCTCCAGGATTGATGATAAAAATCAAACACTATACAGTACTATTTACTGTCGTCTTTTATGTAAGTGAGTTGTAAGAAGGTGAAATTATACTTTGTTTTATATTCAAATAGAAGCAGTAAGATACTGAGTTATTGCCATAAGCAATCTTACAGATAGGTTCCAGAAATAACCAAAAGAACATTAGAAGATGTAACAAGCTTTCTGTCACTTGTATTTATTATTCCTTGTGATAATATGAGCTTTACAAACCCTTTAAGTTCTTACCAAGGACCAAAACAGGCCAACTCTTCCTCCAAGTTATCTCTCCCATATACCCATTCCCACTCTACCCTACCCTACCACCATTCCCAGAAGTAATTCTGACCATAACCTTTCACTTACTCAACCTACCACCCCATTCTCAATGCATTCCTAGGATTCTGCAACCACTAAAATCCAAAGGATAATTTCAAAACTGAGGTAGATATGGTTGGTTGCCTAACATTCCCTAATTTTTCATTGTTTATATAGCAATTTAAGGAACCTTGAATTATTTCTAGCAGTAGCATTTCAGAGAAGGTGGGTTTTCCCTCCAGAAGAGGAAATGAACCATAATTGGTCTAAATGAAGAGTGTAATCTCATCCTGCTTTGTTAATGGTTAATGTGACTTAGTTTTGCCTAATTTTGACCAATGAGATATAAGGGGAAGTCTGCTGACTAGACTTCTAGGAGGGTCTTACTCAAAGTAAAATAATCCTTTCTTTCTGCTTTAAATATATAAGGATGCAACAATCTTGTCACTGTGAGGTGGTTAAGTCTAGAACAATAGGCCAGCAGTCTGAGGAAGGCAGAGAAGAGGGTACCTGGGTCATCTGGAACCCCCTACTTGCAGACTACTTGTTTGCTGAGATATTTGGATGTCTTTGTGGATTATGTAATTAATGATTGGATAATCTGTTACTTGTAATAGAAAATCTTCTTAACTAATTTTCAGAAAAGTAAAAGTTGATAGTTTCCCCATTCCATTCAACTTCAAGCACTATCTAAAGCCTTTTAATGATGCCCCTTTTGGGAGGAGCATAGAGGCTCACACCTGTAATCCCAGCACTTTGGGAAGCCGAGGGGAGCCTCATCGCTTGAGCTCAGGAGTTCGAGATCAGCCTGGCCAACATGGCAAGACCTGTCTCTACCAAAAAAAAAAAAAAAAAAAAAAAACAAGGCCGGGTGCAGTGGCTCATGTCTGTAATCCCAGCACTTTGGGAGGCTGAGGTGGGTAGATCATTTGAGGCCAGGAGTTTGAGACCAGCCTGGCCAACATGGTGAAACCCCGTCTCTACTAAAAATACAAAAAAAAAAAAAAAAAAAAAATTAGCCAGGCGGTAGTGGCGCATCCTGTAATCCCAGCTACTCAGGAGGCGAAGCAGGAGAATCACTTGAACCTGGGAGGCAGAGGTTGCAGTGAGCCAATATTGTGCCACTGCACTCCAGTCTGGATGGCAGAGTGAGACCTGTCAAAAAAAAAAAAAAAAAGATACCTCTTTAGAAGATAAATGTTTTTCTCTTCCATCATTTATTCTGTCTTGTGCTGTATGCCTATTCTAAAATTTTATTACTACACAAGAAGCTTCATGAAATTATGACGAATTAGGTTTGCAAAAAGTCCCAATTTTATGTACCTTGGTCCCATCTTTATGATGTGTCAACTTTTAACGTATATGATCTCCTCCCAAATCCCACCATCAACATTAGAATGTGTTTTCAGGAGAGGATGTTAGAGAGTTATATCCTTAGTATGATTTTAACATCAAGATGCTAGAATGCCCTTAGGCAGTGATTTTTCAATGTATATATACATATCACCTGCATCAGAGTTACCTGCAAGGGTTTCTTAAAAATGCAGAATCCTCAGCCCCATCCCAGAACTGGTGAAACTGGAGTCTCTAAAGGTAGGACCCAGGAATCTGCATTGTATAAGCTCCCTCATTAAGGATTGAGAGCCACAGGCTTAAGGTGACTTATATTTTGTAGAGTTGGTTGGAGGTAAAGGAGACTTTGAGGTAGGGTAAGTCAGACCGTTAAATCATCCTGAAGAAGTGGGACAGCTGGGGACTCTCTTGGCCATTTGCCATGTTACAATGCTTCCTTGTCAGTGAACATACAAACTTCTAAACTTTGATCAGGCACAGTGAGGCTTCCCCTTCTAATGAAATCATTTATGTAATTGATAGCAATAACAAAGTCCATGGACTACTAATTTTTTTGGCTTACACTGAGTTATCTCTGATAGAAAATCTCTGCTAAAAATTGGTTTTTAATACCCGCATGTGAGAAAGTAAAAGTATTAATCAGAGATCATCACTGTCCATCACCTTGAGTATTAAAGGAGATCAGACCCATTAAGGGATGGAAGCAATGACCAGTTTCTGGATATTGCATTCCACCCAGACAAATCCCTTTTTATTCTGCCTTCCTTAAGAAAGATAGCTGGAGTGGAATAGAGGGCAGGGGATCTCTAATTCCTGTTTGGACCTTTGAAATCATTCAACTATTTAGGAAAGACACTACACTACCAGTGGTTTGAGTAATTAGTATAAGTAACATTTCATTATTTACCAATATTATTTTGAGTAGAGAATAAAGAGACTTTGCTGAAAAGTATTTCTCACTGACATCTGAACTTTTCATTCACCGGCTTATAAAATGACCTATTATTTCCAGGAGCTCGCAAGGAAAGGGAGTTTCCGAGATTACTAGCCAAGAATTCCCCTAAAACTGATGACCGTCAATGAATTTGGTTGTGTTTCACCTGAGACTTAAGAGGTACTTGAATACTTAATCAGCTTACCTCCACTGTTCTGCCCCACCTGAATCTTTAGAAGATTCAGGAGCTAAAATCTTTAGAAGATTCAGGAGCTAAAAAGAAGGCCTCTCAAAAATAAGAGACACCTGTCCCCCAGAGATTGGTGGAAGACAAAGGGCAGACAGGTATGATGAGTTCTAGATATTGCAGATGCAAGTGCCCAGATGAGAACAGACTTATCTATTACATGAAAGAAACGGGCCGGGGTAATTGACTATATCAAAATAGCAAGAGCATGGCCCTTCTCAAGTCCAGCTCAGCCAAAAAGTACTATGTAGGAAGATTGCCCAGTGTGGACAAGTCTTCCAATTTTTTAAAAGAAGCTAGAAAGCTGAATGTTTACATGAAAGCTCCCAATTTCTAAATGTTGGTTCAGAAAAATTTTAAACACTGTGTGAGCCAATAAAACACATCTTCAAGGTTGAATTTGGCCTGCAAGCATACACTTGCAACCACAGAGGTTTGCTCTCAAAGGTAAAATAGAAAAGTTAAAAGACTATTAAGGTTTCCAAGCTAACTGGGGAGGACAGGGTTAGGTATATTTTGAAAATTATTAATTTTTTTTTCTCTGCCTTTCTGAGTGCATGACATTGGCCCCATTCTACCTGAAACATTGAAACATCCATTGGCTTTGGAAAAACAAATTAGGAATTTTTCACTGAAAAAATTAAAGAGAAAGACTAAGATAATATTTAGCTTCTGATGTTTAAAAGTTATTTTCTTCTGTGTACTATGTCAGCAAGCAGTAAGTAGCCATAAGTGGATCTGGAAACCAGATAATAGTACTATTTTCCAAATAGTTTAGTTTCCCATAGGTAAATTTAAAGGATCCACAGAGAATTCAGCATGTTCTTCCACTCAATGATAATTTTTCTATAAAATAGAACTCTCTTCTAATGCAGAAAAGCCTGAATAATTACTTGATGTCATGCCAAATATGTAACAGCAGGACAATGTTAGTCAGACAGGGAGTAGGTATGGAGAGAGCCAAGCAAAATGTCCTTTTCTGGAATCAGCAATTCAGGAGTTAAAAGTTCAAAGTGAACGGTGGTCTAGAAATGGGAAGTCATGTCAGAGTCTAGACAAGGTACTTGCAGCACAGTCACTACAGAACAAGGTAGATTGGGATTGCCAGGTCTCAAAAGTCAATGGGGGTAAGATCTAGAACTTCCCAGTTCAATATGGTAGTCTCCAGCCATATGTGGCTAGTGAGAACTTGAAATGTGTCTTGTTTGAATTGAGATGTATTGTAAGTGTAAAACCTACAATGGATTTAGAAGACATTATTTTAAAAGGACATAAAATGTCTCATTAAAATTTTAAATTTTGATTACATGTTGAAACGATAGTATTTTAGATATATTGGGTTAAATATAATATATTCCTAAAATTTATTGCACCTAATTCTTTTTACTTTTTTAATGTGGCTACTAGAAAACTTAAAAGAGCAAATGTATCTCATATTATATTTCCACTGGTCCAGGACATAAACTATTAAGCTAAGAGGAAAATCAGGACCCCAGGAACATCCTGATGGCAAAGCATGCAGTTCACATTCTTCTGCACTTCCTGATGAAGTGAGGAGATGGGGAATGGGATGTGGTAGGGCAGCTTTAGGTCTGCACACACGAAAAAGGAAGTTAGAGAAATAGAGAACTCTGGAAATAACTAGACCTGCTGATGTTTACTAAAATGGTAAGAGAGCTAAGATAATAAAGATGTTTTTTAAAAATTGTTTTAACTAAAGCAAGATGAAAAGAAATGTAAACACATAAGTATAATCAGATACCTGTTTCACCAGTCTTGTACACTACCAAATCATTATTAGAACTAACTAATGCCAAGGCTTCCATACTTTGTTTGTTCCCAGCTTATTCCTGACTTCAAGATTTCTAACCATGCTTGTTCAAAGTTAAAAAAAAACTGTTGTAGCCAGCCTTCAGCTAGGATTTTTGTTCAACCAGATCTTCATGCCAACAAGAAGCACCTCTTTCCTACTGTATGCTATTAAAGATTCAATATTTCCTTTAGAATAAAATCCAGACATTTTCACCATAGTTTACATAATCTAGCCCCTGTCTAGCTCTACCGCCTCGATGTTCGCCACTTGCACATTAGACCACTGACACACTGGAATGAATGCATAATCATTCCCATGCAGGAACTTTGCCCTTCCTTTTTCCTCTACCTGAACTACGCATTTGCCAAATCTTTGTGTGGTTTCCTCCTTATTTAAAGAGGCTTTCCCTAGTCATTCTTTGTGATCCTGCCCCCAACATCTCTTTCTATCTCATTGTGCTATTTTATTTTCTTCATAGCAATTACTGCTGCCTGAAATTGCCTTATTTTTTCCTTATTTATTACTAGTCTCCCCCACCCCCGCTTTTCCAAATGTGAGGAACCTATTCACTGTTGTGTCTTTATTGCAGGGTCATCACAGACAGTTGCATTGATTATGCACTGCACAATTGTATCATAGTCTATGTGTATACATACATGGTGGCCTGCTCTCTAGGTGCCTGCCACATATAGGTGCTCAATAAAAATCCAGTAAGTGAATGAAAAGCTGCCTTTGTCCTTCAAGTTTCCCCAGTTTTCTTCAGCTCCTTTTGTTCATTTGTGACCCAAGAGGATAAGATTGAAATATTGATATAGAAAAAAAATAGGTTCTAGTATAGGTAAAATTCTTTTCAAGTCTTTTTCAAAGCAACAAATTCTCTGGCATCTATGTTACATTTGACCCTGTTTATTCTCGTTTGGAAAACCCTGCCCTTCAGATATTACTCCCAACCTAACCCAAGACACATATGCTTTTCATTTTCTTACCGAAAATTTAATCTCTTTATAATTGTTCTCCTTGCTAAGAGCCACAAGATCTTGGCAGGTTTGAACTCATAGTACTCATTACAGATATCATTCATTTGGGAATTTTTTTATGAGTTGACATATGAAATTTCTCCTACTTTTGTATTTATTCCCATCTAGCACTTAAATTTACATCTAACTTTTTATAGTGTGCCCCTGCCTGCGCTTCTACTATATGTTGTTGAGGAGACAGACTGATATTTCTACTTTCAATTCTCTAGGCAACTGTCAACTGTCCAGCCTATAATAGGTCCTCAATATCAAATGCTAATTTGAGATGATTCGCTTTTTTTAGTAACTGAATTTCTGATTCAGAATGAAATCTTTAAAAGGAACCAGGCTCCCTTTCTCAAGATACATCAGTGAAAAACACTTGAAAGTATATATCCAGCTGTTAACATTGTTTATTGAGAGGTTATTAGATTATGGTGGGTTTTTTCCTTCTAAAGTTTCTGACATTTTCTAATTTTTCTCACTGAGTTTTTATTAAAATTTTAATTGGAAAAATAATGGAAATACATTGTGTTTTTGAAGACAGTACAACAATTACATATGCCGTAAATAGGTTTTGAAGACATAAATTCTGCTCAGGACTTGGGGGACTCTGTTCTCGAGTCCAGGCCCTCCCTCATGTTGCCTAGGAAGGTAGTGCCAGAGCTTGCCAGAGGGAAAGAGAATTGGCAGGTGGTGCCAGAAGTCTAGAACCAGGAGCAATCATGGTAAGTCGGAGCAGACGTTGGCAGAGAGAGGTTGAAGAGACAGTTGGAAGCTGGAAACAAGGAGACCATTTTATTTCACTTAATCCATTTTATTTCATTTAAATTTTTTTACTTAGCATTTATCATACCAGCCACTTTCAAATTCATGATCTCACGTTAATCCTTTTATCACTTTGTGGAAGGTATTTATACACTAGTTTTCAGATGGGGCAAAGAGCATTCTCAGAAATGTAAATAATTACATTCATTCTCACAGCTAGTAGGTGGCAGAGACAAGATTCAAACTTCACAATAATTCCCTGCAAGACTCAAGTAAGAGAAGATTGGTGGTTCAGAACTGAGACCACAACTGCTCAGTTTCTAGACTGATGCTGCTTGGAAAAATCCTGTTGCACTTGAACTTGCCTGGCTAAGTTCAGATGTTTTAAAGAAGCTTATCAAACCAGACATTAATTAGGACCCCAAAATCTGGTCAGACGCTAGCAGGAAAGTGGGAGATATATTTTAGGGATTCCTGGGATTCAGACTTCACAGGCCTTGCTCAGTCATCACATTTATTAATATTTGCCCAAATCCTGGGATGGGAATGAGAGAATGAGGAACACACTGATTAGCAACTTTCAATCTCTGCTGACCTAACATTGTGTAATAAATTGGTCAAAAGCTTAGTCTTTGGAATAGAGCAATCACAAGTAAATTCTCAGTTCTGTTTTTTCCTGGCTGGGTGACACTGAGGCCAGGCACTTAACCTCTCTGAGGCTTCATTTCCTTAATGCTGAAATGAACATGGGGGTGTAGGTATCCCTTTGATATACTGATCTACTTTTCTTTGGATAAATACCCAGTAGTGGGATTGCTGGATCATATGGTAATTCTATTTTTAGTTTTTTGAGAAATCTTCATGCTATTTTCCATAATGGCTATACTAATTTACATTATTACCAACGCTGTATGAGTTCCTTTTTCTCCATATCCTCACCAGCATCTGTCTTTTTGTAATTAGCATTCTAACTGGGATACGATAATATCTCTTTGTGGTTTTGTTGATTTACATTTCCCCGATGATTAGTAATGTTGAACATTTTTTCATATAGCTGTTGGTCATTTGTCTTCTTTTGAGAAATATCTATTAATATCCTTGCCCAATTTTTAATGGGGTTATTTGGGGGGTTTTTTTGCGGTTAAGTTCCTTGTACATACTGGATATTATTCCCTTGTCAAATGAGCAGCTTGCAAATATTTTCTCCTATTCAACAGGTTGTCTCTTCACTGTGTTGATTGTTTTATTTGCTGTGCAAAAGCTTTTTGGTTTAATACAGTCACCACATTAGTTCATTCTCACATTGCAATAAAGAAATACCTGAGGCTGGGTAATTTATAAAGAAAGGAGGTTTAATTGGCTCATGGTTCTGCAGGATATACAGGATGCATAGTGGCTCCTGGAGAGGCCTCAGGAAACTTTTACTCACGGCAGAAGGCAAAGCAGGAGTAATCTCTTACATGGCCGGAGCAGGAGGAAGAGGGAGAGGTAGTAAGAGCTACACACTTTTAAACCAGCAGATCTTGTGACAACTCACTATCATGAGAACAGCACCAAAAGGGAAATCGCCACCATAATCCAATCGCCTCCCACCAGGCTCCACCTCCAACGTAGGGGATTACAATTTGACATGAGATTTGGGTGGAGGCACAGACCCAAACCATATCAGTTGCATTTGTCTATCTTTGCTTTTGTTGCCTCTGCTTTTGAGGTCTTTGCCATAAAATCTTTACCTAGACCAATGTCTTGGAGTGTTTCTCCTATGTTTTCTTCCAGTCATTTTATAGTTTCAGGTTCTATATTAAAGTCTTTGATCTATTTTGAGTTGATTTTTATATATAGTGAAAGGGGTCTAGTTTCATTGTTATGCATATGGATATAGAGTTTTCCCAGCACATTTATTAAAAAGACTTGAATGGATGTTCTAGGTGCCTTTGTCAAAAGTTAGTTGGCTGTAAACCAGGCTTGGTAGCTCAGACCTGTAATCCCAGTTATGTGGAAGGCTGAAGTGGGAGGATTACTTGAGCCCAGGAGTTCAAGCCTGCAGTGAGCTATGACCATGCCACTGCAATTCAACCTGAGTGACAGAGAAAGACCCCATCGCTACAAAAAAAAAAAAATCAAATTAAAAAAAAATAAGCTGGCAGTAAATACGTCGATTTATTTCTGGGTTTTCTATTCTCTTCCATTGGTCTATGTGTCCGTTTATACCAATACCATGCTGTTTTGGTTATTATAACCTTGTAATATATTTTGAAGACAGGTAGTGTGATGCCTCCAGCTTTGTTCTTTTTGCTCAGGATTGCTTTGGCTATTTGGGCTCTTTTTTGGTTCAGTGCAAACTTTAGGATTGTTTTTTTCTATTTCTGTGAAGAATGTTGTTGGTATCTCCATAGGGATTGTATTGAATCTATAGATTGCTTTGGGTAGTATGGTCATTTTAACAATGTTAATCCTTTCGATCCATGAGCATGGGATGTTTTTCCATTTGTTTGTGTCTTCTTCAATTTCTTTCATCAGTGTTTTGTAGCTTTCCTTATACAGGTCATTCACCTCCTTGGTAAAACTTATTTCTAGAATTTTTTTGTAGCTATTGTAAATGGGATTGCCTTCTTGATTTATTTTTCACCCAGTTTAATATAAATGTATAGAAATGTCACTGATTTTTGTATGTTGATTTTGTATCCTGCAACTTTAGTGAATTTGTTTATCAGATCTAAGAGTTACTTGGTGGAGTTTTTAGATTTTTTTAAATATAAGATCATGTCATCTGCAAAGAGGGACAATTTGACTTCCTCTTTTCCAATCTGGATGCCTTTTACTTCTTGAAATAGCATTTCAACAGATAAGAAAGGCATTTACAGATGTTTTCTTTCACCAAAAGGTGTGGCATAAATAATTATTCATGAAATATTAAACTGTTTATTATGTAGCATTTCTCAGCAACAGAACAACAGAAGAAGGTATGGCTCTCTTTCATGTTAGCTTAAAAGAAACTTACTACACGTGTTTTATAGATATATAACATATGCTTTTAGAAAGGGTCTACCTGGGTGGCAATTTTCTTTTGCTAATAGACTCACCAGGGGGTTGTCCTATGCTTTCACGAGCTCCAGAGCAGGTGGGCTGCAGAGCTGACCACTTTCCCATCTACTCCTCAAGGGGTCTCTGCTGCCACTCATCCCTGCAGCTTCTCATCATTTCTACCATTTCTAACCTCTGCTACTTCTGCAATTATACCACTTCCTTTACTAACCACTCCTCTTTCTTCTTCTGTTTTCTAGTTCCTTTCACTTATTCCCTGCTTCATGGATTTAACAAACAAAAGTTAGCAAGATGATTTTTATGAATAGTATTCACCAATTAAGGCACTGTTTTGTTTTGGTTAACACAACCATCATAAGCCTCTGCCTTTCTTAACCTCAAACTGAAGTGTCTGAAGCCTTTCTCTGCAATATTTATTTCATTTAATTATGATTCCAGACTTGTTCTTGAAGATTCAGAGTTGTTAAAAATGGATGCTGGGTAGGCAAGAATTTACAGTAATTCTATCAGAATAAATAAAATAATTCCAGATCTGCTTAAAAAAAAGAATTGCACGAGTCCTATGAACAAGTCAATGGTCACTCCCCCAATATTAATTTGTTTAAAAATATATGTAAAAATAATGCACAAAATATGATTTAGAAGCATAACAGGCATACATTATAAGTGTAACTCTATCTTTTGATCCCTGAATCAGCATTAAAAAAAACAATTGTTCATTGATTAGTACAGGCCAACAACAAGAATAAAGGACAGTTTAATGTTTTAAAAATCAATTCATTAAAAATATGTTAACCTTCATCTGTAATTTGGTAAAATAAACTAAAATTAGACTTGAGTTTATCATAACAATTAGCTAAGTGGCACTAACAGGTATTCACTGAGGTATCATACAATTCTTTTTGTTTGTTTGCTTGGTTGGTGTTTTTTTTGTTTTTTGTTTTTTGTTTTGAGACGGAGTTTAGCTTTTGCTGCCCAGGATGGAGTGCAAAGGCATGATCTCGGCTCACTGCAACCTCCACCTCCCAGGTTCAAGCAATTCTCCTGCCTCAGCCTCCCAAGTGGCTGAGATTATAGGCGTGAGCCACCATGCCCAGCTAATTTTTTGTATTTTTAGTAGAGACGGGGTTTCATCATGTTGGCCAGGCTGGTCTCGAATTCCTGACCTCAGGTGATCCACCCGCCTTGGCCTCCCAAAGTGCTGGGATTACAGGTGTACCACTGCCCCCGCCTAGTAATGGATTCTTTAGAATAGTATACATATTTGGTCACTGAAGAAAACACCTAAATCAAGCATCATTAACTTGAATCAAATGTACACCAAAACTCTTTTATCATAGCTCATTATTACCTAACATAGATTTTATAGTAATTCAAGGAGTCAAACTCTGTCACATGAAAATTAAAATAACTTATAAATAAAGGTTGTAACAACTAAGTCACCCTGTAAGGAAGCCCTATTTCCTATTTCCCCACAACAGCATTACAATAGGGAATGTTTTTATTTCTAAAAATATATACTGTGTAGTCAGGCACAGTGGTGCATGCCTGTAGTCCCAGCTGCTTGGGAGGCTGAGGCTGGAGGATCATTTGAGCCCAGGAGATCCAAGGCCATAGTGGACGATGAGCCTGCCTGTGAATAGCCACTATTCTCCAGCCTGGGGAACATAGTGAGACCCGCCCTCCTCATCCCTTCTCCTGTATCTAAAAAAGGAAAAATACTATAATATTATGTAATTCTATGTTTCTGACACTAGCATGGATATTATTGTAAGAGTACCTACCAAAAAATAATTAAACATTACTCCAGATTGAACTTTATTGATCTGTGTCCTGGGCAGCAAAAGCTAAACTCCGTCTCAAAACAAAAAACAAAAAACAAAAAACAAAAAAAACACCAACCAAGCAAACAAACAAAAAGAATTGTATGATACCTCAGTGAACACCTGTTAGTGCCACTTAGCTAATTGTTATGATAAACTCAAGTGCCCAGCACAACAAGTAATTGGTGAATTTGTTGCCAAATGGTTTAATTATAAGTGTTACTCATATGGCCAGATGCTAAATAAAAGCCAAAACAAGACAATTATTTTTTGCATTTTCCTTTCAATTAGATCTTCACATTTAAAAGAACTTACTTAAGTGAATTCATCATATCTATATTCGTGTTATTAATAACATCTTTGAATAATTAAGATGTAAGCATTTCAAATAATTACATCTATAAATACTACACAATCCTGTCTGAAGTTTTGCAAATGCGTTCCAATTGGTACTTATTTTCTTATATCCCACAGCTAATCAATTTTTTAAATTCTGTCAGTTCTACATTCAAAAGATATCCAAACGCCTACCCCTTTCTACTACACCTCCGCTACTTCAAAGGGCTTTGCCTCTCACCTGGGCTACCACAGTTAACTTCCTGACTGGCCTCCCAGCTTCCACCCTCGTCCCCTAAACACAGCAGAAAGAGTGATCTTTCTAAAACGTTGTCATATCAAAGCTCAGAACTCTCTACTGGCATCCCATCTCACTGAGAATAAATTTAAAGACATACAAGCCCCAAGCAGTTCTGCCCTTGGCTACAAATCTGACCTCATCTTTTACCACTTTTCTCCTAGCTAATTCCCCAGACACCTTGCATCTCTCTAAGCATCTCAGAGCCTTTGCACTCACTGCCCATGACACTATTTCCTACATGTCTGCATGGTTCACTGCCCCTCATCTTTTCATTGAGAATTCTGCTCAATGTTATCTCCTCTAAGGAGCCTTCTCTCACTAGTCTACCTAAAATAGTGCTCCTTTTTTTCCCCTACCCTTTCTCCTGATCTGCTCTTTCTTTCATAGACAGACCTTATCACCACCAGACATGTATTTATGTGATGGTTGATTCATTTTATTTGTCTCCCTCCCCCTAGTATAATGTAAGTTCCAAAGAACAGGGATTTGCTGTTTGATTTGCTCTTCAAGAAACTTTATTCTTCCAGAAACAAAAGAGCCTTCTTGCTATTCTACAACATGCAAAGCTCCAACCCACCTTGGCCTAATCCTTGTTTTTCCTCTGTTTGGAAACTTTTGCTCAGACATTCACATGGCTCACCCTTCATTTCATTCATGTCTCACCTCAAATGCTATCTCCACAAACAGGCCTTCCCCTGACCAACCGCCATCATTAACCATCCTTTTTATTTTTCTCAACAGCACTTATTGCACTTCTATATTCGATATTTATTCTTTTATGTATTGGCTGTTTCCACCCACTAAAATATAGACTCTTGTTCACCACTGCATCCTTAGCATTTAAAATGGTTCCCCAAAAAATATTTGTCAGGTGTTCAATAAACGTTTGTCAAATAAATAAATGAATACAAGAAATACTTTGAAATTTTTGGAGTCATAGGTATAATACATAGTTATCACAAGATTTTATAGATTCTCAAGATGAATGCCCATTAGAGCTTTGTTTTACTTTGAACTACAAAAAAGTTAGAATAACTCTCCACTTGCATACAATTAAAGCAATTGAAAAGTAAAATAAGAAAAATATTCCATAAGAGTATAGAAAAATGATGTTCATCATTATGACCTTTGGTCCCAGAATAGCCCAGAGACAAACTGCAAAGTAAATGAAATTTGTCATCTTTCTTCCATCTCCTCTGCAAAAACCTATCTTCCTGCCTTTGGCTCACCCCACTTCCTTTATGTCTCTTCTCTGTCACTGATCAATTGAATCTTTTTAACAAGTATATGTGGTAGTGAGTATCTAATTATCTATTTTCTGGTTATCTATTAATAACCAGAAAATTAGTCTTAATGATCCTTCTTCTCACATATACTCATTTAACTGCTTTTATTGAAGGATGTCATGTTCCCATTAAAAGATGTTTTTAAATACAATTACTAGCCTTGAGGAAAATTGTATTAATTCAAGAAAATGTATTTTTCTGGCCAATTTAATGCATAGTACAGATAAGCTAACAGCCTCAAAAGAGTAGAATAGTCCGTAAATTAAATGAACAATTGATTAGATTTGTTTGTTCAACTTAGGTAATATTTGTCAGTTAATTGAAGTCAAACATTTATTATTGTTCTCACAACAAGCAAAACATCAATAAAAAATGGTAACTGGGTACTACTTTAAATTTCAACTTGTTTCCAGATATATTATCTCTTTTGATCCTCATGACCTATGATGCAGGTTAAGCAGGTATTATTATAGCAAGAAGTAGACATTGTGGAGCTAAGTTTCAAGACCCCTGATTTACCTGAGACTCCTGGGTGAGACCTAGTCATGTGTTGCTGTATTATTCTTCCTAACATGATCTTTGTGTGATTGCCATGTTTTAGAAATTCTTTCCTGGCCATCTAGTTGAAAATACATGATGTTCCAAGAGACCCCTGATAAATGAAGACCTGTTGGGTGAGGTGGGTGCAGAAAAACCCTTAAGTCAAAGGAAACACCATACTGGGTACTAAAGACAAGAGATTCTCTGAAGTAAGAGAAGACCAGCATTAAGAGTGCGGGCTACATGCTGGATCCTCACTGAAGGAGGAGACAGATGTCAGATCATGGAAGGGCTGAACAGTAATGTTAAGAATTTGGGACTTTTATGAAAACTGTTTTAAGATTGTATTTTAAAAAGATCATTCTAACTGCAATGTGGAAAGAAAGTATACTTTTGGCCCAATTATAAATTTGATTACATGTGAAATGCCTTCAGAGATTAAGGGAAAGTGAATCTACAGATCTAGGACACAATGTATTATTTTACATTCTTACTTATTTTTCTGCTAAAAAAGATATATTTTCCTTATTTTAAAAAGTGGGATTGTTCTAGTTGTTCCTACCTTTAAAAATATCTAGAAATATGGAGCAAATTTTATCATGATTAATTTTTTAATTAATACAAAATATATCCCAAAACCCAGGCAACCTAACGCATGTGGAAAATTTTTTTAAAGTATTAAAAGTACAATAAATGTCCCTTCTATGTTTAGCAAGCTCATAACAACAATAATAATTATTTATTATTATTATTATTTTAATTGAGACAGGATCTCACTCTGTCTCTGGGCAGGAGTGCAGTGTCGAGATCATGGCTCACTGCAGCCTCCACCTCCTGGACTCAAGCAACCCTCCCACCTTAGCCTCCCAGTAGCTGGGAATACAGGTGCATACCACCACACCTGGCTAATGATGGTATTTTTTTTGTAGAGATGGGGTTTCGCCATGTTGCCCAGGTTGATCTCAAACTCCTGGGCTCAAGCAATCTGCCCAACTCGGCCTCCCAAAGTGTTGGGATCACAGGCATGAGCCACCACACCTGGCCAAAAATAATTATTAATAACACTCAGAATTAGTAAAGCTGAGATGGAATAAATATAGAAATAGTGTTAGTGGTATTGCTCATTTGGAGAACAATATGGTGCTAGGTAACAAGAGTTATATAAATGTTTATATCCTTTGATCCAATAATCCCACTTTTGAAAAATTTTCAAAGACAATTTAAAAGAATACAAAACTTTTCATAAAACAATGTTCATGGGGGTTTTATCTAAAACAGTGGTAGTTGATAGTGACTATTATCATCCTAAGGCAATAAGTCACATACTTGGTAATAGTTATTAGAAATTAATGTTTGTCAGGAAAGGTTCTAGAGCCTGATGTATTCTTTTCTGGTATTCTAGGCTTCAAGGTGAGATGCCTTCCTTGGGCAGTCTAGAATCTGTGTGAAAGTTCTTGGTATCTGAAAAAACTAGAATAATGGGAAATTGAATTGTCTCTTATTGTATGCCTGCAAACTCTTAGATTAGGTTTGAATTAGGGTTACTTTCTGGTTACAGTATTGCTAGTCTGTGACATTTTACTTTTGTAAAACTGCTTTTGGAAGGGCAAGTGACAAGTTAATCAAACGTATTACTGACATACCTCAGAAAATAGTGGAGCTGACAACCTGAGAAAAGGCACCTACTTTATAATTCTTTGTATTCCTATACTTTAAAATAAAATTCCATACTTAAGTAGTAAGGTTTATAAAAAAGATAGATTTGTTCACTTTAAATGAATACATGTATAAAATACACAATAAGGAAAATTAAAAGGCAGATAATAAATTGGGAAAATATGTTTATTAATAATGTTAATTATTAATATGTTTGTTATAAACAAAAGGTTAATATTCTTAACATACAAATTGTTCTTATAAATAATTAATAGATGGCTGCCACAATAGAAAAAAATGTAAATGACATGAACAAAGTCAGAAGATGAAATGCAAATGGACAGTAAGTGTAAGAAAAGATATTCAACTTAATAATAAAGAAAAGAAAAATGTTTTGGCTTGTCAAAGCTGGAAAGGATTGGCAACAATGACATTGTGTGTGTTAGAAATGGACATTCTCGGGGGCATTCCCCTGTTCGAACCCATTGCAAGGAATCTAAAAACCTTGAAAAAAGATTAGACAAATGGCTAACTAGAATAAACAGTGTAGAGAAGATCTTAAATGACCTGATGGAGCTGAAAACCATGGCATGAGAACTTCATGATGCATGCACAAGCTTCAATAGCTGATTCGATCAAGTGGAAGAAAGGGTATCAGTGATTGAAGATCAAAGTAACGAAATAAAGCAAGAAAACAAGGTTAGAGAAAAAAGAGTAAAAAGAAATGATTAAAGCCTCCAAGAAATATGGGACTACGTGAAAAGACCAAATCTAAGTTTGATTGGTGTACCTGAAAGTGATGGGGAGAATGGAACCAGGTTGGAAAACACTCTTCAGAATATTATCCAGGAGAACTTCCCCAACATAGCAAGGCAGGCCAGCATTCAAATTTAGGAAATACAGAGAACACCACAAAGATACTCCTCGAGAAGAGCAACCCCAAGACACATAATTGTCAGATTCACCAAGGTTGAAATGAAGGAAAAAGTGTTAAGGGCAGCCAGAGAGAAAGGTAAGGTTACCCACAAAGGGAAGCCCATCAGACTAACAGCAGATCTCTCAGCAGAAAACCTACAAGCCAGAAGACAGTGGGGGCCAATATTCAACATTCTTAAAGAAAAGAATTTTCAACCCAGAATTTCATATCCAGGCAAACTTAGCTTCATAAGTAAAAGAGAAATAAAATCCTTTACAGACAAGCAAATGCTGAGAGATTTTGTCACCACCAGGCCTGCCTTACAACAGTTCCTGAAGGAAGCACTAAACGTGGAAAGAAACAAGTGGTACCAGACACTGCAAAAACAGGCCAAATTGTAAAGACCATCGATGCTATGAAGAAACTGCACCAATTAACGGGCAAACTAACCAGTGAACATCATAATGACAGGATCAAATTCACACATAACAATATTATCCTTAAATGTAAATGGGCTAAATGCCCCAATTAAAAGACACAGACTGGCAAATTGGATAAAGAGTCAAGACCCATCAGTGTGCTGTATTCAGGAGACCCATCTCATGTGCAAAGATGCCCATAGGCTAAAATAAAGGGATGGAGGAAGAACTACCAAGCAAATGGAAAGCAAACAAAAGCAGGGGTTGCAATCCTAGTCTCTGATAAACCAGACTTTAAACCAACAAAGACCAAAAGAGACAAAGTAGGCCATTACATAATGGTAATGAGATCAATTCCACAAGAAGAGTTAACTATCCTAAATATAGATGCACCCAATACAGGAGCACCCAGATTCATAAAGCAAGTCTTTAGATATCTACAAAGAGACTTAGACTCCCACACAATAATAATGGGAGACTTTAATACCCCTCTGTCAATATTAGACAGATCAACCAGACAGGTTAACAAGGATATCCAGGACGTGAACCCAGCTCTGCAACAAGCAGACCTAATAGACATCTATAGAACTCTCCACCCCAAATCAAAAGAATGTACATTCTTCTCAGCACCACATCGCACTTATTCTAATATTGACCACATAATTGGAAGTAAAGCACTCTTCAGCAAATGTAAAAGAACAAAAATCACAAGAAACTGTCTCTCAGACCACACTGCAATCAAATTAGAACGCAAGATTAAGAAACTCACTCAAAACCGCACAACTACAAGGAAACTGAACAACTTGCTCCTGAATGACTACTGGATAAATAACAAAATGAAGGCAGAAATAAAGATGTTCCTTGAAATCAATGAGAACAAAGACACAACGTACCAGAATCTCTGGGACACATTTAAAGCAGTGTGTAGAGGGAAATTTATAGCACTACATGCCCATAATAGAAAGCAGGAAAGATCTAAAATTGACATCCTAACATCACAATTAAAAGAACTACAGAAGCAAGAGCAAACAAATTCAAAAGCTAGCAGAAGGCAAGAAATAACTAAGATCATAGCAGAACTGAAAGAGATAGAGGCACAAAAACCCTTCAAAAAATCAATGAATCTAGGAGCTGGTTTTTTGAAAAGATCAACAAAATTGATAGACCACTAGCAAGACTAATAAAGAAGAAAAGAGAGAAGAATCAAATAGACGCAGTAAAAAATGATAAAGGGGATATCACCACCGATCCCACAGAAACACAAACTACCAACAGAGAATAATACAACCACATCTACACAAACAAACTACAAAATCTGGAAGGAATGGATAAATTCCTGGACACAAACACCCTCCCAAGACTAAACCAGGAAGAAGTTGAGTGTCTGAATAGACCAATAACAGGCTCTGAAATTGAAGCAATAATTAATAGCCTACCAACCAAAAAAGTCCAGGACCAAACGGATTCACAGCCGAATTTTACCAGAGGTACGAAGAGGAGCTGGTACCATTCCTTCTGAAACTATTCCAATCAATAGAAAAAGAGGGAATCCTCCCTAACTCATTTTATGAGTCCAAAATCATCCTGATACCAAAGCCTGGCAGAGATACAACCGAAAAAGAATTTTATACCAACATCCCTGATGAACATGGATGTGAAAATACTCAATAAAATACTGGCAAACCAAATCCAGCAGCACATCGCAAAGCTTATCCACCATGATCAAATCAGCTTCATCCCTGGGATGCAAGGCTGGTTCAACATATGCAAATCAATAAACGTAATCCATCACATAAACATAACCAAAGACAAAAACCACATGATTATCTCAATAGATGCAGAAAAGGCCTTTGACAAAATTCAGCAGTCCTTCATGCTAAAAACTCTCAATAAACTAGGTATTGATGGAATCTATTTCAAAATAATAAGAGCTATTTATTACAAACCCACAGCCAATATCATACTGAATGGGCAAAAACTGGAAGCATTCCTTTTGAAAACTGGCACAAGACAGGGATGCCCTCTCTCACCACTCCTATTCAACATAGTGTTGGAAGTTCTGGCCAGGGCAATCAGGCAAGAGAAAAAAATAAAGGGTATTCAATTAGGAAAAGAGGAAGTCAAATTGTCCCTGTTTGCAGATGACATGATTGTATATTTAGAAAACCCCATCATCTCAGCCCAAAATCTCCTTAAGCTGATAAACAACTTCAGCAAAGTCTCAGGATACAAAATCAACGTGCAAAAATCACAAGCATTCCTATACACCGTTAACAGACAATCAGAGAGCCAAATCATGAGTGAACTCCCATTCACAATTGCTTCAAAGAGAATAAAATACCTAGGAATCCAACTTACAAGGGATGTGAAGGGCCTCTTCAAGGAGAACTGCAAACCACTGGTCAACGAAATAAAAGAGGACACAAATAAATGGAAGAATATTCCATGCTCATGGATAGGAAGAATCAAGATCATGAAAATGGCCATATTGCCCAAAGTAATTCATAGATTCAATGTGATCCCCAACAAGCTACCAATGACGTTCTTCACAGAATTGGAAAAAACTACTTTAAAGTTCATATGGAACCAAAAAAAAGCCCGCATCGCCAAGACAATCCTAAGCCAAAAGAACAAAGCTGGAGGCATCACGCTACCTGACTTCAAACTATACTACAAGGCTACAGTAACCCAAACAGCATGGTACTGGTACCAAAACTGATATATAGACCAATGGAACAGAACAGAGCCCTCAGAAATAACACCACACATCTACAACCATCTGATCTTTGACAAACCTGAGAAAAACAAGAAATAGGGAAAGGATTCCCTATTTAATAAATGGTGCTGGGAAAACTGGCTAGCCATATGTAGAAAGCTGAAACTGGATCCCTTCCTTACACCTTATACAAAAATTAATTCAAGATGGATTAAAGACTTAAACGTTAGACCTAAAACCATAAAAACTCTAGAAGAAAACATAGGCAATACCATTCAGGACATAGGCATGGGCAAGGACTTCATGAGTAAAACACCAAAAGCAATGGCAACAAAAGCCAAAATAGACAAATGGGATCTAATTAAGCTAAAGAGCTTCTGCATGGCAAAAGAAACTACCATCAGAGTGAACAGGCAACCTACAGAATGGGAGAAAATTTTTGCAATCTACTCATCTGACAAAGGGCTAATATCCAGAATCTACAAAGAACTCAAACAAATTTACAAGGAAAAAACAAACAACCCCATCAAAAAGTGGGCAAAGGATATGAACAGACACTTCTCAAAAGAAGACATCTATGCAGCCAAAAACATGGAAAAATGCTCATCATCGCTAGTCATCAGAGAAATGCAAATCAAAACCACAATGAGATACCATCTCACACCAGTTAGAATGGCGATCATTACAAAGTCAGGAAACAACAGGTGCTGGAGAGGATGTGGAGAAATAAGAATGCTTTTACACTGTTGGTGGGAGTGTAAATTAGTTCAACGATTGTGGAAGACAGTGTGGCAATTCCTCAAGGATCTAGAACTAGAATTACCATTTGACACAGCATTCCCATTACTGGGTATATACCCAAAGGATTATAAATCATGCACACGTATGTTTATTGCGGCACTATTCACAATAGCTAAGACTTGGAACCAACCCAAATGTCCATCAATGATAGACTGGATTAAGAAAATGTGGCACGTATACACCATGGAATACTATGCAGCCGTAAAAAGGATGAGTTCATGTCCTTTGCAGGGACATGGATGAAGCTGGAAACCATCATTCTGAACTAACTATCACAAGGACAGAGAACCAAACACCACATGTTCTCACTCATAGGTGGGAATTGAACAATGAGATCACTTGGACACAGGGCGGGGAACATCACACCTGGGCCTGTCGGGGGGTGGGGGGCTAGAGGAGGAATAGCATTAGGAGAAATACCTAATGTAAATGAGTTGATGGGTGCAGGAAACCAACATGGCACATGTATACCTATGCATCAAATCTGCACGTTGTGCACATGTACCCTAGAACTTTAAGTATAATAATTAAAAAAAGAGGCCTAGCTAATATACCCCATGAGAAATATAATGCTTCAGAAATACAGCTGTCAATCCCTGTTTCATCAGATGTTTATAGGGTGCCTTGTAGTTTTAAAATATTCTCATAAAATTATTATATTCTGAGTTTTTCACAATAAAATAATGTAGATTAAAAAAAGAAATGGACATTCTCTGGTACCTAGGATTGTACATTGATATCATGTTTCTGGAGGACAATTCGAAAATATGTACCAAAATTTTCAATACAGTAGATATATTTTTTTGATCCAGCAATTCTACTTCTAGAAATTTATCCTTAGAAGATAACCCTGCAAGTACTCAGATTTGTATATACAAGAATATTCTCTACAGTACCACTTACTTGCTATTAAATAAATGGGAAACAATAGAATTATCCTTTAACAGGGATTAAATAACTTTATGTTCAATCATACTACCCAGTCATAGAAAAAATAATGTCGACCTATATTTAATGACATAAGAAAATATATACCACATACTATTTCATTAGAAAGCAGCATACAAAACACTATGTCTACAGAAGTATCCAGCTATGTAAAATTATATGTATATGTGTGTGTATATGCATTATAAGATGATTAGAAAATTGCTCAGCAAAATTTTAGCAGTGATTATCTCAAAGTGGTGAGATTTCAGCTGATTTTATTTTCTCCTTTTATACCTTTGTATACTGTTTTGATTTTTTAAACAATTATCATGTACTATAATTAAAATTAGAAAAATACAAAGCTATCTTCATTAGAAAAAATAAACTTCACATTTTATTTTTCACAATCTTTATATTTAGAAAAGTAATCATTGCACTCCAATTTACATCAATTATGTAAAAAGTAATAATAAAATGGATTCGTTGTAGTTTACCTCAATACGAATACAATTTTTTAAAAATATTGTCTCTCCTTTTTTCATTATTTCAATTAAAAAAAATCTCTGTTAGGGTGAGCCATCTCTTTAATAAGAGGATTGCCTTCGCTGTACTGTAACTTATGGCCCCTCGCCCTTCCTCCCTAAAGCACAGGCATAGGCACATGCAGCGCCGGGTGCAGCCAGGAAGCTACGTGCGGAGCCACCTGCCTAGCCACCAGTTGAACACATCCGAGACCCCAAGCATCGCCAGTGGACTGTTCCACTTTCCAGGAGTAGGGGGGGATTTTCTTAGAAATATAACTTATTTAGGCCCCAATTCAATAAAAGAACCTCAATCTTCCCAATCCAATCAACAGAACAAATCACAATAAACAAACATGTGTAATAATATAAGTTAATCTGAGGTAGAATTTTGAACCTGAGCTTCTCTTTGTCTCTCCAATAGGAACTCACTAGGGAGAATGGTTTAATCCAGGAGTGTCCAATCTTTTGGCTTCCCTGGGCCACATTAGAAAAAGAATTGTCTCGGGCAACACATGAAATACACTAAGGATAGCGGATGAGGTTAAAAGAAAAAAAGCAAAAAAAAAAAAAACAGTTCTCATAATGTTTTAAGAAAGTTCACGAACTTGTGTTGGGCCACATCCAAAGCCGTCCTGGGCTGCATGGGCCTGTGGGCCGTGGGCTGGACAAGCTTCTCTTAATCCGAGGTATCCCGCGCAGGTAAGAAGCTCACTGTTTGTTTGTTTTACACTCCTTAATAATTAGGTAATTCTGTAACAGCACCAAGTCCTTATTAGTGTGTCTCCTTCCAGAAATATAAGCACTCATTTTGTCCCTTTTCATGAATTCCCCTGAACTACAGCGATTAATCAAAAATTTGAATTCTGGGTCTGGTTCCTCCGGGGTACAGAAGGTCAGGGCTGAGAGAGCACGTGGGACTTGGCCGAATCCTATAAATAGAATCTGCATTTAAGCTTCATACGCGGAATATTTCAGACGCCTGACAGGGTGGCCTTGGCCAGTAGTGGGAGGGAAACCACACGCCCTTGGATTTACCAGTACAGTCCTAATTTCATGTCAATGTATTGTTTGGGTTTTTTTGTTTGTTTTTTGGGTTTGTTTTGTTTTGTTTTGAGACAGAGTCTCACTCTGTCGCCCAGGCTGAAGTGAAATGGCGTGATCTCGGCTCACTCCAACCTCCGCCTCCCAGGTTCAAGCGATTCTGTCTCAGCCTCCCGAGTAGGTGGGATACGGGTGCATGCCACCATGCCCGGCTAATGTTTGTGTTTTTAGTAGAGACGGGATTTCACCATGTTGGCCATGCTGGTCTCGAACTCCGGATCTCAGGCCGTCTGCCTGCCTCGGCCTCCCAAAGTGTTGGATTACAGGCGTGAGCCACCGCGCCCGGCCAATGTATTGTTTTCAATGAGGGTCACTCATTAAGTGTAATTAAATTCAGCTAAATGTAACTTAATTTTTTATAATGTTCAATGTTTAACGTAAACAGAAAAAAAGAATCGACGTGCCCAGATTTTCGGGTCATTATAGTTGAAGCCAGCTCAGATGGAAAGCTGAGCTTTTTACAAGGAACACAGGAGAAATGCAGGTTTGCGAGGGAGAAATGAACACGTATTATTTCTCACAATCTTTATATTTAGAAAAGTAATGGTTGAACTCCACTTAATTTGTATCAATTATGTAAAAAGTAAAACGGATCCGTTGTAGTTTGAGTATCTCAATACGAATACGATTTCTTTTCAAATATTTTCCCTCCTTTTTCATTACTTACATTAAAAGAAAAAGTCTCTATTAGGGCGAGCCAGGTCTTTAAATAACGAGATTGTCTTCGCTTGACTGTAATCTACAGCCCCTCGCCCTTCTTCCCTAACGCACGGCACAGGCAGCCCTGGTGCCGCCGGGGAGCCACCTGCAGAGCCACTAGTTGAGCTGGGACTTTACATGCCTTATCTCATTTACTTTTTGTTTTTTGAGACGGAGTCGCACTCTGTCACCCAGGTTGGAGTGCAGTGGCGTGATCTCGGCTGACTGCAACCTCGGCCCCCTAGGATCAAGCGATTCTCCTGCCTCAGCCTCCCGAGTAGCTGGGATTACAGGCGCGCACCACCATGCCCGCCTAATTTTTGTATTTTTAGTACAGATGGGGTTTCACCATGTTGGTCAGGCTAGTCTCGAACTCCTGACCTCTCAGGTCATCCGCACGCCTCAGCCTCCCAAAGTGCTGGGATTACAGGCTTGATTTACTTTTTTACCCATTTACTTTTCACTGGAAAACCGAAGGACATTTTATTTCGGGAAATCAATTTGCTCAAAGATAATAGAACTAGTCGAAATTAGAGGATGTGAGCCCAGATGGGACTCGTAAATCCATGCTTTTTCTGCAGTCCCATGCTGCTTCTAAAGTAAAGGACTTTGCTAGTTACTTAGGTCATCTCCCTCACTTTCAGTTGAAACCATTTAACCAGAAAGATAACACTTAAAATGGTCACCTTACTGGTTTGTGGTAGAACCAAAATGAAAAGGTAGACTTTGGGATTCAGCTGCTTTCTCACTGTAGTGATTATGCCATTTTGTCTTTGGCTTTTAACCAATGTAGAATTAAAGATGAGAAAAATATTTTTAAAATTATTTTTCTTAAAGCAGCTAAGGGCTTAAGAATATTAGTCCTTGTTTTTGATAGCACATATAATAAGCAATAGCCTATAATGCTATAGCATATGTACTATTTCTGCGATAACTTGGGTGTAAATCACCATACAGAGCCTGGGCTTTTTGTTTCACGTGATGGTGAATTAGGTCTTGCACAGCCTATTTTTGCTTTTCTCACAAATTCTCTGTGACTTAGACCAATTATTTTCAAATAGTTTATTCATCAGTGAAATAGGTACAATGTTATAATGCCTTAGTCACAAAATATTCATTTCTTAGTAAAGCCAAGGATGTTTCTTAGATTCTAATTTGGGTAACATGGAAAGTTTCAGAAAATTTTGTGAAAAGTTAACTAGTAATCTTTATGTTTTGGAGGAAGGCACAAATTAAAGAGGGAAAACTTTTATTACATGTTCAATTGGTACCTAAGCATTTTTAAAAATACTGTTGGTAACACAGTGAGATCCTATCTCTACAAAAACAATTTTTTAAAAATTAGCCGGGTGTGGTGGCACATGCCTGTGGTCCCAGCTACTTCGGAGGCTGAGGCAGGGGGATTCCTTGAACCCAGGAGGTTGAGGCTGCAGTGAGCCATGATTGCACTACTGCACTCCAGCCTGAGCAAAAGAGCGAGACCCTGTCTTTTAAAAAAATAAAATAAAATAAAACTATTGTCTACCATTGTAAAATATTTACAACAGTCCTATGAGGTAGTGTTTTAAAACTGTGCACACTGGATTATTTTGGGTAATGTGCCTACCATCAGAGTCAGAATTAAAATTTCCCAATAATAACAAATATTTATTTAGAATTAATTATGTGCCAGGCACTGTGGTAAAACTTTACAAGTATTATCTCCTTTAATTCTTACCCTTAGTCATATGAGTTAGCCACAACTATAATTTCCTTTTGAAAATGTTTATTTTATTCATTTATCTTTTTAGAGATGGGGTCTTTCAGTTGCCCAGGGTGGAATGCAGTGGCAAGATCATATCCTTGAACTCCTGGACTCAAGCAGTCCTCCCACCTCAGCCTCCCAAGTAGCTAAGACTACAGGTATGTGCCACCATGCCCAGCTAGTTTTTTTTATTTTTATTTTTAGAGACAGGATCTGGCTATATTGCCCAGGCTCATCTTGAACTCCTGGCCTCAAGCAATCTTCCCACCTTGGTCCCCACAAAGTGCTGGGATTATAGGCATGAGGCCACCACTCCTGATCCACAACTATAATTTCTAATTTATAGATGAGGGAACTGGGATTTAGAAAGTTAAGTGACATCCAGGTTCTTAACCATTATGTGCATTGTCTCCCAGGTATCTCTGAGTAAGTGAAAAAGTAAAATTTCCTCCTCTCAGTACTCTTATCTGATACTTTCAAGCAGCCCAACACCCAGTAAAAGTGACATGTCTAATCCAGAAGTACTGGTTTTGGAGTAGGCAACATATACAAAGAGGCAAATATCCATGTGAGGTGCCATCCCAGGCTATCACAATCTTTGGATTTACCCTATCTTTAATAGTGCCTGAAGGGGTTCTTTTAACTTCAACCTTTGTAATAAAATACAATGATGTAATTGGGAATGAGTGAACTCCATAGTAAACTCTATGATTAAAAAAATAGTTAATATGTGTATATATAAATATGCAAAGTACAAATAATACAGAGTGTGGTTTTCATGTTAATCTCAATTACTTCTCACTGGGGAACTGGTGAAGCCTTCATCAAAGATGATTAAGAGCAATAATACTGTTCTAATACTGTCCAGATCTTTCTTTCTTTTCATCCAGATGATTCTGTAAGGTCTATTGATAGTGTGTGTGTGTGTGTGTGTGTGTGTATATGTGGGTGTGTGTGATTCATGTCAATCTGTATTTGATGCTAGTTTATATTGGTTTCTTATGTCAAGAATAACAAACTAATAGGAAGGAATTTTAATTCTGCTTACAATTGTTCTAAGTTCATTTATCAATTGGCAATTAGCAGAAGAGGTAGTGTCAGATTGGGGAAGACAGCACTGAATGTTTTATGCCTGAGGGGCCAAATTGAGATGGTGGTGGCAAGAAGGAGTGGGGCTGGTTAGTAGTTAGGTTAGTCATGAAGGCACACAGTAACTGGAGGAAGAAGGAAGGAACAGGATGGAGAAAGAGAGAGTGCTGGAGGTAAACTGCCTTTCTCACAATTTGGTCTATAGCCAGCCTTGCTCTTTTTGCCTGAAATGTTTGCAACCTTTCTGTTTTAACTTTCTACATAAAGGATTTTTTAAATGAAAACTTGTAATTTTTTCCTTATTGTCAATGTGATTTATATTTATTACAGAGAAGTTAGAAAATACAAATAGTCAAAAAAGAGAAAAATAAAAATAAAATACTCATTATGACAACATTAAAATTAACATAATAACTTAAAATTACTCAGAGATAACTCATTTTACAGTAGGGTGTCTACTCTTCTAGTACAAGTAGTTTTCTGATTAAGTGCTAATATTCCTGATTACCATCCCAAGTCATATCAATTACTTATTTAAATCTACATTTTCAATATTTGTTTTTTGTGAAATTCTCTATTTTATATAGAAATGAAATTTCAAATTAACAATAGCAAAGGCTACACATAAAAATAATGTAATATTTTAGGTGTAAAATTTGCTTCTGTTTGGCCTATTCCTGCAATATTGTATTTCTTCTTCCATATAAATCCTGCCACTTCATGGTTTTTAAAAATCTTGTTGATTTTACCCAAATAAATGACTTACTGCGAACGTTACTTTTAAAACTTAAAGGTTTAAATTGTTAAAAGTATTGAAAAGATAAAGGTAATTGTTAAATATGTTGACTTATAAAATAGGAACTTCTTCGCATAACAAAAACTCAAAGAATGTAAACTCAGAGAATATGTAGAGAATGTGGGCCTGTTTGGGTTTAGTTAGAAAACAAATTTTGAACAACGTCTATTCATTCCATAACCAAAACATTTGAACAATTAATTATCAGTTCAATTTGAAATTAGGTAATGTGATTTTCCACAGAAAGGCATTTCCATAGGATATTAATAGAGGTTATGTGATAACAGGATTTCATGATAAAAAATGGGCTAAACAAAATTTAACAGATTTTTTCATTAAGGAACGTTCAGAGCCTTTAATATGTTGATATGCGTGATAAATCTTCAAGTGGAAGAATATGGCCAAAGAATTCTTTATTTCTGGATCATTTTGCAAGACTAATGTTCTGTGAGATAATTTGGGAAATAGTGGTATAGTGACTCAGTCTAGTTAAATCATCTTAAAGTAGATTTGGTACACACAATATCGTGTTGTCAATTTGTTTGTACAAAAGTTAGTGATTTGCCAAAAAGTGTAATGTCGGTAAGTCCTATCTCATTTTACAGTCCACGGGTTTATCCCTAAGTTTTATTCCAATCTATAGGATATTTCTTGCCCTGATAGTATATGAGAGGAAAATAAAAACCAGAAACCTTACATTTTTAATGAAATATGAACATTTTGTGGGGAGGAGAGTGTCAGTCATTCAACACACATTTATAGAGTGCCTAGCCAAGCACTGTGTTGCTGCTGAAACTACAAGAATAGTTAGGGGAATGGATTTTTTTAAGTGTAAAATATATTAATATATTTAATATGTACTGTAAATATACAGTACATATTAATTCCTACACAAACTAAGGAACAAGTGAAGAAAGTCTCCAGTTATTACTTCTTATAAAAGTCTGCATATTTTATCCCACTAGGATCAATTTTCCAGTTAGAATTTAGATTATATTTGATAGTTGAAGAAATGCTGGATTCTTTGGTCTATAATTGTGATTATAACTTAATTTATATTTTCTCTTTATAAAACTTTTCATATTTTTTAAAGCTTTGAAATCCTTAGTCATTCAACAATTTGATATAAATCCCTTATATTTTCTTCTAGATGTGTACTGCTGATTTTTAACTCTAACTCTAAAGTGTTTGGGATTTGGTAGATGATGAGTGAGACACTAAATAGATTTTCTCAAATGTTCAGTTAGTTTTCACAGCACCATTTATTGAATAATTTTCCATCCCACCATCTTTCTTTCTGAGAGATTTTATATGAGATGAATGTTGCACACCTTTTGGGCATCTGTCGAAATGATCATATGTGTTTTCTGATTTCACTGGCTGATATGATGTATTTGTATTATAGTAATGGGTTCACATGTTTGCAATTATGTTATGAACTTAATTATTATGGTATAATCCTTAAGTTACTGTTGAATTAAGATTTTTAGTATTTAATTGAAGATTTTCTTTAGTTTTCATTTTAATAATTTTTTGGTTACATTTTAGTCTCAGAATTCTATTAGGCTAATAAAATGAATTGGATAATTTTTAACCATGTTTAACTTCTGAATAGCTTATAAAGCAGGGGAAAATGCCATTCCATAAAAGTTTGATGAAATGATCTGTCTGGACTTAGCAATATTTCAGAGTAATTCTTTAATAATATTAAAAGTATGTATCTTTTAGTTGGTTGTTCTTGATCAACTATAAAAAGTTTGGATAAAAGAAAGTATGAGGAAGAGAAATTAATTACTTTCAAGCCCATCTTTCAGAGATAACATTTTGGTGTATTTCTTTCTAACCAATTTTTAAATAACAAAATTGGCATTATGATGTATTTTTTTCTGATTTTCTATACCATATGTGCTTTTTCTCCTATAGTCTAATATCCTTTAAAACATATATATTTAAAAACAAGCATTCAATTGGTAGACATTTAAGTTTTTATTTCTTTGCAATTATAAGTAGTACATCATTTTTCTATGAGTCACTCTAAAATATTTTAAAAGTCTGTTCACATCCTGAGTTCTATTAACTTACCTGAATAACCTATAATTTTTAATGATGGATTAATTTTGATTTACATTTAAAATTTAGAATTTCATCTGCACTTTGCTTTAGTGGATGTAATGTGAGATTGCAGTTTTGCATTCATTTATTTATCCAGTGAGTCATTCAGTGGATATTTATCAAGTACATATTCTATTAGGTGCTGATAAACCAAACATAGTCCTAGCTCTAGTGGAATTTACAGTTTAGGGAGTGAAGGCAGACATAAATCAAATAATCACACCAATAACATACAAATATAAACTGAGATAAGTGCCCAAAATGAAAGGAAATATGGGTTCCTTGGCAGCAGGGAGCATGATATCATTTAAAGTATTAGAAAGAGGACCAGAGTGGCTGGTGTTGGGCTGCAAGGTGGAGATAACTAAGAGACGAGACTGGAGAAGCAGGCAAGGATATGCCATGTAGAGCCTTGTGACTTATTAAGAATTTTAATCTTTATCTTAAGAGTAGTGAGAACTATTTAAAGATTTTAACAGCAGGTTAACATGATCAAATTTATCACTATGGAAGCAGAAGAAAGAGTTGAGGGGATGAGTGTCTTTGTGGATGGCAGAAGCCCGTAAGCTATTATAGTAACACAGGCAAGAAATGATGGTAGCCATTTCTGGCTACGAATAATAATTGATGACTAAGTTGGTGTTGCTGGAGACAGGGAGAAGTAGACAGATTTGATGGATATTTAGAAAACAAAATGAGTAAGATTTGGTGATTGATTGAATGGGTGGGGTACTGGTCAGGGGATAAGGGAGAGAGGTATTAAGGAAGACCTCTAGATTTCTGGCTTGAACAAAACTGGATTCACAAAAAGCCGTTTCCCAATATCATTTGTTAAATAGGCTATCATTCCTTCTTGGGTTATGACATATTGGAGTTTCTTCCAACTATCTGTACATTTCTATGGCAAATATGTTGCAACCATTTTAGTTTTACAATGTATTTCAATATTTAGAGAGACGAATACACTCCACCAAAACTCTTCTTTTTAAAAATATCTTTGTTGGCTGGGCATTGTGGCTCATGCCTGTAATCCTAGCACTTTGGGAGGCTGAGTCAGGAGAACTACTTGAGGCCAGGAGTTCAAGACAAGCTTGGGCAACATAGCAAGACCCATATCTACCAAAAAAAGTTATCCAGGGGTGGTGTTATGTGCCTGTAGTCCTAGCTATTCAGGAGGTGGAGGCAGGAAGATTGCTTGAGCCCAAGATTTCAAGGCTACAGTGAGCTATGATCATGCCACTGCACTTCAGCATGGGCAACAGAGCAAGACCATGTCTCTAAAACAAACAAACAAAATATTTGTCTGTTTCCACCTATTATTCCATATGAAGTTTAGAATCTTTTTTCAATTGCTAAGAAAAAACCCTAGAAATTGAGAAGTTCTCTTTTAATTTTTATAGCTCAGTATGAAGTTTTATTCATTTCTTTGTATAGATTTCACATATTTCTTGTTAGAATTATTCTTTTTTTTTTTTAAGATGGAGCAATCTCAGCTCACTGCCTCCCGAATTCAAGCAATTCTCATGCCTCAGCCTCCTGAGTAGCTGGGATTACAGGCGTGTGCCACCACACCCAGCTAATTTTTGTATTTTTAGTAGAGACAGGGTTTCACCATGTTGGCCAGGCTGGTCTAGAACGCTGACCTCAATCTGCCTGCCTGGGCCTCCCAAAGTGCTGGGATTACAGGCGTGAACCACCATGCCAGGGCTCTTGTAAGAATTATTCTAAGTATTTTGTTATTAGTATTGTTATTGTAAATGCAATGGATTTAGTTTATTTTAATGCAATAAGGTGATAAGATTATGGAAGCTTGTTGAAGAAAGCCACAATGATGCTATCTCAGGTGTAAAACTTTTGGTAATTAAAGGGATCCCTCTTTGTCCGAACTCAAATACCTAACATGATTATATTTTCTGTTTGATGTTGCAAGCAAGATATCTGAATACACTGAACTTGAGACTGTAGAGAAAAAAGTAAGAAAATAGATGAGTCTGTGAAGGAACTATAGTTATTAATATTAATACCAGTACCTGGGGAGTTGGGTAGATGTTACTTGGAGCGTGCATTCATGTCCCATATCAGAACTGTCCTGTGCTAAATGGAATCACAGAATTTGAAGAACGGCTGAGCTATTTGGTAGAAATAAAATCTGAATTTCAGAAGAAATTCACTAGTTTTCATTAGCATGAATTATGCTTTAAGTTTCTGCAGCTGACTAGAGAGATGTGTTTGAATTTTGTAAGCATCTGCCTTGTCAACATGGCTCTACTTCAAGAGGAATTGATTGAGCTGAAAGCAAACTCATATAATCTCTAGGATTTTTTTTAATGAACATATACATCATATATTACCATTCTGAAATTTCTGGCTCTGTAGTCAAATTCTTGCAACATTAGAGTCTTCCAACTCTTTTAATGTATATTTTCTTTCCTGAAACTATGGAAATAAAATCTAAGGGCCACTTTCAATAATGTAAACCTGGACTGGGAATTGAGATGGGCCCTGTCTATATTCAGTTCCCCCCCCCCGCTTTTTTTTTTTTTTAACAGTTTCATTGAAATAGAATTCACATACCATACAATTCACCCATTTAAAGTGTACAATTCAGTGGTTTTTAGTATATTCACAGATATGTGCAATCATCACTACAGTCAATTTTAGAGCATTTTCATTACCTCGGAAAGAAACTCTGTACCCTTTAGCTATTCCCCTGCCCACCCATGCTCCCACCCTCAGCTTTAAACAGCCAGTAATCTACTTTCTGTCTGCATAGATTTCCATATTCCATTCATTTGAATGCAATCATATAACATATGGTCTTTTGTGACTAGCTTCCTTCACTTAACATAATGATTTCAGGATCCATTCATGTTGCAGCATGTATCAGTACTTCATTCTTTTATATACCATAATATACCATTATATGGATACCATATTTTACTTTTGCATGTGTCAGTTGATGGACATTTGGGTTGTTTCCACCTTTTGGTGATTCTGAATAATGCTTCTGTAAACAAATGTGTACAAGTTTCTGTGTGGACATATGGTTTCATTTCTCTTGGGTATATACCTAGTAGTAGAATTGCTGGGTCATATAGTAACTAGATGTTTAATCACTTGAGGAACTGCCAGACTGTTTTCCAAAGTGGCTGCACCATTTTACACTCCTATCAGAATGTATAAGGTTTGCAGTTTTCCTCTATATCTTTGCCAATAATTGTTGTTATCTGACTTTTTTATTCTGGCTATCATAGTGAGAATGAAGCCTTGTAAGTGAAGAAGAATGAAAACCTTGCAGTTTCTTTATTTGCTTTTCTCTGGTGATGTCAAGCATCTTTTCATGTACTTATTGGCCATTTGCATTTCTTCTTTGGAGAAATGTCTATTTAGATTCATTGCCCATTTTAAGTGGGGTTATTTTTTATTAAGAGTTCGTTACATATTATAGACATAGATCCCTTATCAGATACATGATTTGCAAATATCTTTCCTATTCTGTGGATTTTTTCACTTTCTTGATGGTGTCTTTTGAACCACTAAAGTTTTCAATTTTGATGAAGTCCAGTTTATGGTGTTTTTGTTTGCTTGCTTCTGGAGGCTTGTGTTTTTGTTGTCATAGCTAAGAATCCTGTCAAATCCAAGGTTATACAAATTTATCCTTCTGTTTTTTTCTGAGAATTTTATAGGTTTTCTCTTACATTTAGGTCATTGATCCATTTTGAGCTAATTTTTGCAAAATGGTGTGAGGTAAGGGTCCCAGTCTTTTGCATGTGAGGTAAGGGTCCTAGTCTTTTGCAGTTGTCTCAGCACCATTCGTTGAACAATAGCCTTTGGTTCTTGAACAAAGTTTGATCCGTTATATACCAGTATTCTCGCTGACTTCGAAATTACTTGAAGGCTAGTACTTGGCCCATAATTTTACACCTTTGTATAAATAAACCTCATTAAACTAATGTGACACTACTTTGTAATACTGTAAAACTAAATACTTTTTTTCTGGTTGTTGAGACAGGCTCTCACTCTGTCACCCAGGCTGGAGTGCAGTGGTGCCATCATGACTCACTGCAGCCTCTACCTCCTGGGCTCAAGCGATCCTCCCCCTTCAGCCTCTCAAGTAGCTGGGATGACAGGTCGACACCACCACACCTGGCCAATAAAAAAAAAATTGTTTTTAGAGATGGGGGTCTCACTATGTTGCCCAGTCTGGTCTTGAACTGCCAGACTCAAGCAATCCTCCCACCTCAGCCTCCCAAACTGCTGGGATTACAGGCATGAGCCACTGTCCTCAGCCAAAAACTAAATACTTTTGAATAGCTAATAGGTTATAATTCTACTATTGTTATAATTTAAAATGTATGTGGCCCACATACATATGGATTTCTGATAGTTGTGATTCACTACTGGAAAACATGTAAACCTCTGAAATATGGCATAATCTTCACTTCCACCCTGTCATGCTAGTTTTTGTCTTACCACTAGGTGACATGAACAATCAAGACTATATTTACCCTTGATTTAAAGGAACCAAAATGTGTGGGGATGGTGGGAACCAATGGTGAGTGGATAGATATTATGAGAAGGTTGGTAGTCAGATAAACGTGTTATGGAGGAGTGATGAAAGTGAAGCAGCAAGAATGGTCAGCAAGCGTGGGTTGCATTGGAGTTGCACCTTGGGGTGAGAACAGACAAACTACTTGGAAAGTTTGCTGTAAGCTTTCTAGATGTGGGATGAAAGTATTATTAAGTTGAAAGTATTATTGTTAAGGAGATTTGCTGCTAAAAAATAAATTATTAAATCATTTGACTGGTTACATTAACTTTCTCATTGATTCACCTTTCTCCACCCTCTCTTACATTCCATCCTTCCTTCATTCAGTTGCCCAAGCTTCTGTTTTCATTGAAATTACAAAAGCAATATATAGCCACCTCAAGAGTTCAGATGTGAAAGTTTTATGTCAATGAATATGAACATTTTTACAGCTCAATACATATTTCTAAATTGTATGAAATTTCCAAGTTCACCACACCTTATCCCTTTTGTGGGGTAATGTTATAGGTACTTCTTTTTATTGTTAATTGTAGAGTTATTCTAAAATGCAAATTTTATCATGATGTTATCCTGTAAGTAAAGTTCTTTCATATTTATTTGTTGAGTGTGGGGTAATATCTGCCTCCCAGGTTCAAGCAATTCTTGTTCCTCAGCCTCCCAAGTAGCTGGGATTACAGGCATGCACCACCACACCTGGCTAATTATTGTATTGTTAGTAGAGATGGGGTTTCACCTTGTAGCCCGGTCTCAAACTCGTGACCTCAAGTGATCCGCCCACCTCAGCCTCCCAACGTGCTGAAATTATAGGCATGAGCCACCACGCCCCACCTAAGAATGTTATCTGTCAATTTGGATATGCTAATTCAAAATCTTTAAGAAGCTCATATTCTGATATTCTTAGAATACAGTAATATTCCAAAAAAATAGGGAATTAGAGACTTACTTATATTCAGAGGCATACTAAATTCTTATTAGTGAATGTAATAGCTACACTGTAGTCAGAATAGTTTTCAAACCAGTTTTATGGTAAGCATCTCCTAAAGAGCCAGATTTCACAACTATGATGTTTTACAGCAATATTGTATACAGAATGAAAATCCAAAAGATTTAATGTAAACACAAAATTAAACTTAAGCATGATCATTTCTAAGCTCCTAGCCAAAATGGACATTCAAAAGTTTTTACAGAAATTCTGAAAGATGTGCAATATGTTCTTTAAATTAAAAATACTTTTCCATCTATATTGTCAAATACTACTATAGCTCTTCTAAATTCATAATGTAAGCTATTTTCCCATACATCAAGCAAAAGTTACATCATTTGGCTAGATATGATTATAAGGAATCATCTGACTGTATTGGAGAAAGCTGATGAATGTCGATGTTAGAATTAGGAAGAAGGCAATGCCGAGTGTTAATTGTGCAGTTCTTGTAGAGTTAATTGTAGGTGCTTTAGAAGCAGTACAGAATTCAACAGTGTAAGATGGAAAGAAGCTGATAAATCAGAAACATTACTATTAAATTTAGGTTTTGGTGCTGCTTTTTTAAAGAGAAAATAAAATATTTCAAATGTCTAGAGAAAAATGTTAAAAGCAGTATACATGTGTGGGTACAAATTCCTGACTAAACTTTTATATTTAAGTTTTTAGCAAAAGAGAAATTCTTTACTCAAACTTCCTGATTTTGTTCACTGGAAGCCACTTTTTTGATGCTTTTCCTAATCTGTCACCACTCCTTACTCTGGAATAAGACAAGAAATGAGCTATTTTCTCACCAGCCTTTGTTTGGTTTTTGAGTTTATTTATTTATTATTTATTTATTTTTTTGAGACGGAGTTTCACTCTGTCGCCCAGGCTGGAGTGCAGTGGTGCAATCTCGGCTCACTGCAAGCTCCACCTTTCGGGTTCACGCCATTCTCCTGCCTCAGCCTCCCTAGTAGCTGGGACTACAGGCGCCCACCACCACGCCCGGCTAATTTTTTGTATTTTTAGTAGAGACGGGGTTTCACCATGTTAGCCAGGATGGTCTCTATCTCCTGACTTCGTGATCTGCCTCCCTCGGCCTCTCAAAGTGCTGGGATTACAGGCGTGAGCTACCGTGCCCGGCCAGAATCTTTTAGATTATTAAATGAAAACTAGATAAAACAGAAATACCTATACTACATATCATAGATGCTGAAATGTTGACTTTGGTGACAAAGTTACTAGTTTTTATTGGACTTTGACATGAGTTAACCCATTACTATGTTTATCAATAAGGAATAGTTCATGGTAAAGCTATTGCACTTTATTAATTTAATGTTTAAAAGTTCATAATAGCTATTTTTCATGAGTGGAAACATTTAAAAGCTTAGGCTGTTTATGCAATTCTAATAGCCCATATTCATCACAACTCGTGTGTAAAGGAAACAAATAATTAGAAGTAGTAATACTGGTGGCATTGAGGGTTTTTTGGCATTAAAATGTCTCTAGGCTGGGCGCAGTGGCTCACGCCTGTAATCTCAGCACTTTGGGAGGCCGAGGCAGGCGAGATCGCACCACTGCAGCACTCCAGCCTGGGTGACAGAGACTCTGTCTTAAACAAACAAAAAAAAATGTCTCTAGGACTGATGAGCTGTACATCTTGGATATTATCGCTGTGATTAACTGACTTGACACCAAATGCCAATTTATAAAATAATGCCAGTATAATATAGCATTATAAAAGAATATACCCTTCAAAAAGTTTAAAGTCTACTTTCTAGTACTCAAAATCAAATAATTTGCTTTTTATTTTTTATTTTTTGGCTGGAGATCGGAGTTTTATTATAACTCAAATCAGTCTCCTGGAGCATTTGGGGATCAGTTTTTAAGGATAATTTGGTGGGTGGGGGAAGGCAAGTGAATAGAGTGTGCTGATTGGTTGGGTTGGAGATGAAATCATAGGGAATTGAAGCAGTCCTCTTGCTCTGAATCAGTTCCTGGGTGGTGGCCACAAGATCAGATGAGCCAGTTTATTGATCTGGGTGGTGCCAGCTGATCCATCAAGTGCAGGGTCTGCAGAATATCTCAAGCACTGATCTTAGGAGCAGGTTAGGGAGGGTCAGAATCGTGTAGCCTCCAGCTGCATGACTATTAAACTATAATTTCTAATCTTGTGCCTAATTTGTTAGTCCTACAAAGGCAGTCTAGTCCCATAAATGATTTGCTTCTAAGTATCACTTTCTTGAAATCACTGGTGGCATACTGAATTTGTATGATTGTTCATATATCAATGAAATTAAATCTTTCAATAAAATTTAAGAAGTTTGTCTACTTCATAATGAAGATATGCTCCACGTCCTATGGAGATAGTGCTTAAGAAGTATATTTTTGAAAGGAATAAACACATGAGTAAAAGTATATATGGTATGTTTCCACAAACCTTGAAACGAGTAAGGGGCTAGACTAGCTAATTCATTTGGTTATTCAACTAAAAATGTTTGGGTCTTTACATTTATTTTGATGCAGTTAGCTAACGCTCAGCTCTTATACTTTTACTTCAAATAATATATAGATCACATCTATTCATTCAATATGCACCCATTCTATCAGGCATTTTGAAGTTCTTAGACAAAATTAAATAAACTGACATAATCACTTAGCTACTAGATTCCTCCAAACATCTCTCACAAAACAGATATTACTTTATTTGTTGTGTTTATAAACAGTAGTGGAAACAATTCTGTTCTCTAATTTTAAGCTGAAAAATCATGTCCTTATTAATTCACTGTAATAATTTTTTATTAAATTTTATCCCTTATTTCTTAGATTAAATGCACATAAATTTGATGTACAACTTTATAGTTTTAAAATGTGTCTATTTATGGCCTAATTTCAACTTTAAGTGAAAATGGAATTATTAAGAAATATTCACTGTTACATTTGGCTAGCAATTCATCATGGCATTAAGGTACTGTTTTCCATGGTTTTTCCATCTTGGGTTATAATACTGAGACATTTCACTTGTATAGTTCTGCATTCAATTTTTCTTCCAATTTATTTCCTGCAAGGTAATTCTAAGTTATAATTGTCACTGTATCCTTATTTGATACATTGGTCGCCTTTCTCTCCTTATGACTGTCTTTTTGGTAAACTCAAAAAGTGAGCAGGGGCCATACAGTTAAATTCAAAACAGGAAGTCATATGATGTTCCTTTATACTCCTACCTTTCATGATTGACTTGGCTCCCTCTGCTGGTTAGTAATATAATTCCTTTCTTAGTTCAATAGGGTATGTGTTAACATTGGTGAAATATCTGGGGTGAATAAGCTTGGAGTTAGAGCTTCTTATATGTTGATTCTCTAGCAAATTTTGTGTTTAGCTAAGGTTTTAACCAACCTAGGCCTTACTTATCTATAATGGAAAGGGACTTGGTATCACATGCCTGAAAAACAAAATTTTTATTAATGCCGTCTTAAATAGACTTGCCAACATTACAATACTGAAATCTACAAATAGCAAATAAAGTGAAAGAGTAATGAAATATTTAAATTGTATTAAAATATTTCAGTATAATATAATCCTTAACTTATTTGCTTTCTGGTTAGATACTTTTCATTCTACTCATGCAATATAATGCCTCCTTTTTAAATTCTATACACAATTTCTTCCTTCTTAAGTTTCCCCCTTTTAAATCCTATACACAAGTGTAAGTACATTTATTTAAATATATAGAATGAGTTGGATGGCAAATGAGAGTTACCTATTTAAGAACTTATTTACTTTGGCTAGAGAGAAAACACTTATTGAAAGTTTATTTTTCGGAGGGAGAAAGAAGTTTCCACCATTTTCAGGGAGTAATTTGTTCCTATGATAATTACTCTGTGAAAGATAGAAATTTGCTTTGGTCTGACTTATTAATAAACACTTGTTTTAAGATTGAAGGGAAGGTGGGAAGAAATAGAAACAAACATATATTCTGCCCCATGTTTATTATTGTGCTGTATCGGACATTTTAGATTGGAAAATGTGCTACAACAGATCAGTAATAGTCACAGATCTACACACAACAAATGTAGGTCCACTAGGAAAATAATTCCTCCTCACAACTTTAACCGTATTTGACATTTCTACTAACAACATAACTTTATTTCCTACCCTTTGCCTTAAGATTACCTTTCTGAAACCAGTATCAGATCTCTAAAATAGCCTGGTACTTCCTCTAAAATCCTTCACTAGTTCATAGGCAGTCAGATCTTTCTAACATTCCTTTTTTCCCCATTTTCTAAGGAAAATCTGAACTGTAGATTTTTAAAAACAAAAACAAACACTTTTTTTGGCCTGTAACCCACAATAAGGAATATGTTTTACAAGGTAATCTAACACATATACACATGAACAAATGTTTACTTAAAAACACATACCCTTACCATCTGTGATGTACGCTTTTATTTTCTATTCTTTTCTCTATTTTAAATAAAAAATGCTAGTCATAATGCAATAAATTAATTTCATGACCCATAGTGGTACCATAATCCACAGTTTAAAACACTGGTCTGGAGCAGATGCTTTGACTGCAAGGTAACCTACTCAAGAATGCTGTTAAAATGAGCACCATAAGCCTCTCTTCATACCTATTTTAGATGTTTTAAGTTTTTAACAGATTTTATATTCTTCCTTCATAAATACAGTAATTTTTTAAATGATGTTTTTCCAGATTAGTTCAGTATTAAAATACTTGACTAGTTTAACTCTGGTTCACATGCAGAGTATGTGTAGGTTCCAGAAAGATTAGGCTTTCATGAAACTTTATGGTCTTAAATAATTTTACATTAAAATACTTCAGAAGTGCATTTTTTGAGGCCCTTCCCTCTGTGTAATTCTTATGCATTACACAGTGAAACTTGTAGTATAATGTGGAACTGGTCACTTTGATTTAGTAACATAAGGTATAGATGCATGAAAACATAAACAGTAAGGCCAGGCACAGTGGCTCACGCCTGTAATCCCAACACTTTGGGAGGCCGAGGCCGGGGGATCACGAGGTCAGGAGATGGAGACCATCCTGGCTAACACGGTGAAACCCCATCTCTACTAAAAGTACAAAAAATTAGCCGGGCGTGGTGGTGGGCGCCTGTAGTCCCAGGTACTGGGGAGGCTGAGGCAGAAGCATGGCGTGAACCGGGAGGCGGAGCTTGCAGTGAGCCGAGATTGCACCACTGCACTCCAGCCTGGGTGACAGAGCAAGACTTCGTCTAAAAAAAAAAACAAAAAAAAACAAAAAAACCATAAACAATATAGGAGTGTCATAGGATTATAAATAGATGGCATGGATAATAAAATCTACAAGTTTAGAGAAAATTCGTAATTATAGGTGAGAAGTATTAATGAAAGGACAAAGCTTGTTCTTAAAGGATCAGAATAGGCCAAGATGAAAAAAGGCATCCATGGGAAAAGAACTGTTCATTTCTATAATTTTAACAAAATAGATAATCTATGTTGAATAAAATCCATAAATACTATTTCCAAATTTGATTAAGGTATTTACTTTGAAAACCTGAAACAGGAACATATTTACAGTGTTAAGTGATTTGATAATTTTGTAGTTCTGCCCTAAAAATCAATATCCTTAATTAACCCTTCATCAGTTTCTTAAGTCATCTGTCATCCTGAAAGCAAGTTAATTATTCTAAATGTTAAATAATTTTGGTAGTGTCTAATCTATAAAACATACATACACTACCAGTTTTTTTTCTACCTTTAACAAATTCGTTCCCATAAAAGACAATTTTATCACTAACAAAGGATAACTGGCAGGCATAAAATAGTGAGTAGAAAATGATTTTCTAAAATTTTTCATTTCTATCATTTTATAGCAAGTTGCATTTATCTTAAAGATAAATATTCTTCAATAAAAATAACAATTCAAATTTTTCAGTTGTAGAAATTCCTGGTGATGACATTTGATACAAATAGTTTATCCCTGAAATCCATTTAAAATTTTTAATCAAATCTTCTGCAATTCATTGATCAAGAATACATACGAGACTATCCAGGGATATTTCTAGCAAAGAAAACTGAGTCATGCAACTCAGTTCTTGAAGCAAGGAGGCAATTTAAAGTCAGAATAAAGGTTTACTGGGCTATCCTCAATGGACAAGTGGAGGATGTAAGTCACCTGATTTGGAACATAAAAGACTTAAAAATGTAAGAGCAAAACAAATGGATGGTATTGGGAAAAATAATTATTAAGAAAAAAAAACCCAAGACAATGAAATGAAGAAAACACTAATATTAGATTAACAGATTCTATGTAAGATCTCAACTTGGATACTTAAATTTATGCAAGCAAAATACCATTTGATTTAATAGAGAAATACTGTGATATGAATTGAAACAATTTCTTTGATTCTATAACCTGGAAAAAAAATGGTATAAACTATATACAAGTTAAAACCCTCAAAGGCAGTGTTGTTTTCATTCACTGCCATGCATGAGATGTCTAGCATAAAGCTAATTAGCGCCTAATAAGTCCTCAATAAGGGAAGAAACTAAAAAAACTTAAAAATTTTAAATTAAATGACACAATAATGCCAAGACTTTCCAAAGCAGATTGACTGTAGCAGCTGCAGTTACCTGGACATGCAAAATTACTAGTTTACCAGTAACATTTAAGAAAGCAGACAAGAAGATAATTGTGCTTCTATTAGCGAATTGAAATAATGGTATTTTGAAACTGAGTGAAAAACACATTCTGAGTCATCTGTATTAACTTAAAGCTGTTCTGAAGATTAATGGGAAAAATAATAATGAATAGACGATTGGATTTACTAAACAATGTTTGATTAATTGTATTAATGGTTATAAAATACCTATCAAGGCTGTCTTTTCTTGTCCAAAAATTCAATACATGAAATATGAAAATTTGTAATACCATAGCCAAAGCCTTATTGCATAGCTTCTAGCTTACTGATATATTTACTTATTTTAATTTAAAAAGCCTGTTTTTCCAGCCACTAGGAAATAAGATTTCTCACGTTTTATAGTACTCAAAAATCATGATTAAGTATATCTAATGCTAACCTAAGTGTAAGCAAACAGCAAACTAAATGGTGAATTAAAATATCCACACCAAGCCTGACCTCAGCTTTCATTGAACCTTTTCTTCAGAAGAAAACTAAAAATAAATTTCACTAGCATTTGCTTTGCTTGACAGCATAATTGAGTAGCAACCAAAGTAGCCACATGTGGTCCTTTATGTAAGGCCTTCTAGCCTCAGAAACACACACCTTTTGAATTAGCGTGCCTGGTACCCATTTGTGCCCAATAAATACTTGCTGAATGAACTTTTCCAATAGTGCTGGATTTGCTCTGAGCCAACCAAATTCTCACTTTTAATGTATTTTGAAAGACAGAGGACGACAAGATGAAGAATGCAGTTTGAGACTCAGAAGAGCAAACATAATCGGCCCAGTATGGATATGATCATTTGATGCACTGTCCTCGGGCATGCTCATTTACAGAAGCCTAAAAACAAATTTTATCCCTCATTTGTGGGTTTCTGGTGTTGTGGAGGGCTTTCCAATGTTTAGAAGCAATATATTTTTATAGAATTCTGTAATAAACGTGTTTTAAATCTTTTATAAAGCTCTCTGTAGCATATAAGTACATATTAAAGACAGAAATGGGGGAGCATCAAGGCCCTTATAATCGCATTCATTCCTTAACCACATACTACGCATCTACTGTGTGGCATTCTAGGCGGGGGCCGTAACACCAGTGCAGAAAAACACAACCTCTTGTCCTCTTAGAGCTTACATTGCACTGGGGAAGGAGAGATAAGAAGATAAACAAGTATGGATATGTAGACTGTCCAAAGGATAAAATGAGAAGGGGGCTAGGGAACTTTCAGTTTAAAAGTAGCCGCGGAAGCACCGAGTGACACGAGCAAAATCCTGAAGGTGAAGGAGCAAGCCCTGTGGACGACGCTCAGGGAAGAGTCCTACTCGCAAGGATGCCAGGGCAGGCCCGCCCCCACCCTCAACGGCGCGCGGGGACTTCTGCCGCAGTCAAGGCTTTGGCTCACTCCCCTCAAGACGGGAAGCCATTCGCAGGGCCTAGAGAAAAGGAGTGACAGGATCTTGGCCCCCTGAGTGGCCTGAGGCAAAAGGAATAATCTAAGCAAGTTTTCCTACTTACTTTTAGCGCACTGGTACACACACAAATACACAATACAATTCATATAACACGAATTTCGTCCCGGTTGAGTAAAATTCCGCTTACCTACTGCACTTTTTACCGAAAATAGCCCCTTTTTAATTTACACAAACTTAATAGAGAACGGTGGAACAATGGTTACTTCTTGTTTTACAATTTAAAAACTACAACAACCATAGTACTGTACGTATAATCACATATTGTATTCCAGCCTTGTCCAGCGCCTCAGTTTTCCGAACCTAAAGAGGAAAACGATGTTTGAAATCAGCTGGCCGCAGGCCCGCGGGTCGCCCGCAGTCACCGGTGGCTGAGTCGGGGCCGGCGGTTCTCCCCGCGCGCTCGGCTCCACCCACACCTAGAGGGGGGCGCCCGGGCAGCCGCGGGCGAGCTTCTCGCTCGCGCAGCGTCGCCTACAGGCCTTTATCCTGACCGTTAGAGAAGAACCCAAACCTCTGCCGACAAAAAGCAAAAGCAGCGGAGACCGCGTATTTCCAGAAATAAACGCATCATCACAAACACGATTCCAATTCAATCCAGCCGACAGTCGTCTTCACCTCCAAAGGTTGCGTTCTTATTCGCAGAAATAACACGCAGTCGGGCGTAAGGTCCCGGCTCTCAAAAGGCAAGGTGTACGATCCATCCATCCACCCGGCTGCAGGGACACCATTTAAAACGGGCATCATCGCCATCGAATCGCGGGCGTCCTCTGTGGGGCCGCCCGGAGATCGGCTCCCTAAAGCTAACGACGACCTGGGACAGCCAGCGCGGCCTCCAGCCGCCGCCGTCGGCGACCTGAGAGCCCGTCCGGGCCTGAGTGCCCCCCACGCTCACGACCACCACCGAACTCGGGCCCCGCTCCTGTCGGCCTCCAGGAAAATAAAGACAGAGGAGAGCCGGCCCGCCTGTGTCGCAGGGCAAACGTCGCTCTGAAGCATCGACAATACTGGCAACATCCACAGCCGCCCTGAGGGGACGGGCGTAGAGGAGAGCTGCCGCCTCCCGGCTGCTGGGCCCGGGTGCCGCGCGGCGCGGCCGAGGACGCGAGCCCAAGTGGCGGCAGCGGCGGCTGCGGCGGTGGCGGAAGTGGAGTGGGGAAGAGGGGGTGGTTGTTAGTGTTTGGCGCCGGCGGAGGGAGTCATTCCTGCAGCTGCACTTCCGGTCGGCATTTTGTTCTGAGAGGGAGAGACGGAACGAGAGAGAGACACACACAGGGCTCCTTCCCCCCGCCCTCCCCCCCCTCCCTCCGTCGGTACCGACTCACCCGACACCACCAAGCCGCAGGGAGGGACGCCCCCGCCGACAGGAGAATTGGTTCCCGGGCCCGCGGCGATGCCCCCCCGGTAGCTCGGGCCCGTGGTCGGGTGTTTGTGAGTGTTTCTATGTGGGAGAAGGAGGAGGAGGAGGAAGAAGAAGCAACGATTTGTCTTCTCGGCTGGTCTCCCCCCGGCTCTACATGTTCCCCGCACTGAGGAGACGGAAGAGGAGCCGTAGCCACCCCCCCTCCCGGCCCGGATTATAGTCTCTCGCCACAGCGGCCTCGGCCTCCCCTTGGATTCAGACGCCGATTCGCCCAGGTAAATTCCTGCTCTTTATTTCGGCGGCGGCGGCGGCGGCGCCGGCGCCAGGTCCTCAGCGTCTCTCCTCCTCGCTCCCCTCCCCGCCGTTTCCTTAGCGGCCCCAGGTCTCTTCCACAGGCGAGTCTAGAGTTCGCTCCTCTCTGGTGGCAGCCGCCTTGGGTAGCGGTGGTTTTGTACCCTCTCCCGGCCGGCTCCGGTGGCGGGGACTGGGCTCCTGCTGGGCGGCCGGGGAGGCGTAGGCCCGGCGGAGAGTGCAGGCCGCGGGCCAGCGGAATCTACTTGAGCTCGGGGATTAGGAGAGCTCCGGGCTGAGCGGAGCGACTGCTGGTCGGTGACAGGCCTCGCCCGGGAGTGGAGCCGTAGCTAGTGGGGAGGCGGAAACAATACAACTAACAGCAAATGTGCCCTGATCGTCCCCATATTTACAACTTTCCCGGTCCGGGAGTGGGGAACGTCCCAGTGAAACAAACAACCTCCCTTCTTCCCCCTGTGACCCCATGAAGGGAGGAAGTAGTTTCAGTTAGTGAGACAAACGTAAATACTCAGACGCGGATCCAGTGGTAATTCTTTCTCTTTCTAAAACTTGTTTGGACGTTGGAAAGTTCATAAAGACTCATTTTCTTTTTTAAAGAATTAAATCGTCCACATGAATATTTAATACAGAAAAACATACTGTGGTAGACACTGCACATCTCCCCCTCCCCAAGAGCTTTTATCTTGTTGTTTTGACAGTGTGTTGTTGCACATGGACTTTTTATTCAAAGACAAGTATAAAGTACTTGACAGGTTTACTCTGCCACTTTCTATTTGTATGCGTTATGTAAGGGCAGTTTTAAGCGACTATACGTAAAACACTCAGGTACTTCCTGACCAAAACGTGTAGGAGCATACAAAGAATTTTAAGTGTTCTGAGAATTGTGCTGAGATACGGGTAAAACCACTTTTCTTTTCTTTTTCCAAAAAAGAAATTAAGTTATACTTAAAATCCTTGGGAGGTTAAAAAATTGTAGAAGGTGCCATCCTTTTATGTCAGGGCAGTTCTTCTTGAGGTCCCAGGATTGTCATTGGCTGTTTGTGCCATGATGTTTGACTGTGTAATGAGAGAGGTGTCATTTTAATAGGTTAAATGTATCTGTAAATGCTGGAGAAAAATATCAGTTCTAACTTGACAAGTTCTAGTTCATGAGTAAGTTAAGTGTTTCGAGCTTGTTTATGGAGGCGTTCATAATGTAGGTTGGTATAAGGGGGAAACACCAATTTAAAATTCCTCAGTCAGGCAAATTGCTAGAAAAGTGTACCTGGGTTACACGTTTTGATATTTTGTTTCATATTCGCTGAAGGAAAACTTTCATTGGTTAAAATGAAGCAGCACTGCTCAGCGAAATCCCTTGTTTTACTAGTGTTTGTTACATTGGTTCATATTTTTTGTGTCATTAAATTATTGTCACTGTAGAATAAGTTATTTTGTGGAGGTTATTTTTGAGTTTAGCGTCCTGATTACAATAAATTGTTTCACATTTCCTGCAAACGTACGGATAAATGTTTAAAAGAATGAAGTTAATATAGCTGTCACGTACTAGGCATGTTTTTAATGCTATAAATCCGTGTAGTAGTCAGTAGCGTGTCCGTGATTTGTATTGGTCAGGGAGCAGTTTGAATTTTAAAAAGCCTGAAGCTCCTGCTGAGCCCCAATCCCGGCCTCCCTCCCTCCCACTAATCTCCCATTCCTGTCTTTGTGCTGCCTGCTCCTGTTAGACACTGTTTGCTACGGGGCCTCAGGCCTACTGCGGGTGGGGGGGTGTGCGAGTGGGGGGCATGCCAGGGAGGGAATGCAGACGGGAGGAATACTTCACATCTTAAGAAAGCAGAGGGTTTGTTTTTTTGGGGATGGAGGTGGTAAGGGCTTCATTATAAATGTTTAAAAGGCCTTCATATATTCCTGTGATTGTCTCTACAACTTTTATTTCAAGGGATAAACATATTTTTACTAAAGATAATAGAGGAGTTGTGCTTGCTTAATTTTCACGAACTGAAGCAACTTATTTTTAGAGGTTGTCTTATGCAGATGTTTGAATAAGTGTGTTAGAGATGGGTTTATGTGATTGATTCTTTTTTTTCCTGAGACTTTGGAATTGTTATAGTGAATTAGTTCTTCCCAACTTATTTTCCCAATTCTACATATTTAGTAATTTGTGAGTAATATAGGTTGTGTGATAGCTTTCATTATGATAGCATAAACATTTCTTTAAATTTAAAAATATGTTTTGTTTGGTCCAAACCAATTAAATACGTCATTTTTAAAGGAGAAAACATTGTGTAAAATTCAAATTGTAAAATTTAAACTTGAACTTTAAATCTCTGATAACCTAGTTGGAGAGAATAGTTTGTTTCCCTAAAGAGTGTAGAGTGTTCTGCTTCCCCTCTGTTGGTTGGAATATTCACTAGTGGCTAATCATCTATTTCCATTAAAAATTAAAATTCAGTGAAAGGAGAAATCAGAAGTGTTCCAGTAACCTTATAATCCTAGTTATATTATTTGGAGAAATATTTTCTCATACACCTAAAGGAAATTTCAACAATGTCGCTTATTGTTTCTCTTAACTCTGAAGAGTTGTCAATAACTTTTGTTACTTGAAAAGAGATTTCAAGTAAATAATGAAAGTAAATCAGAGTTGAACATTAAATAGATAATTTTCAATGTTTGAGAAGTGTATATAGGATGCTTCCTTTTTAAAGTTATTCAACAATTTGTTTACTAAAGTTATCTGAGAACATTTTTGAACCTGTTCTAGAGATCATTATAATATTTTCTGCTTTTAAGGAAAAGTTATACATTACTTGAAAAAAGAAAAACAGTCTACTTGAGATTCTTTTTAGGGATGTAAAGTGAAAGTTTTTACTATGGCAGTAAACTTGGTTCTTCATAGTAATCATTATTAAATTTCAAAAATATGAGCAAGCTATACCAATACAAAATTTTCTTTACTTGCAGCCGAAAAATGTATTTTCTAAGGCTTCTTCAACTAATTTCATATTTAATTTTTTGGTACCAATCCATCATCAAACTGTCATAGAAATATTTGAACATATCTGTGTTACATGTTTGAAATACCCCATTGTGGTATTTTTACTTTCTCAAAATAAGATGTAGTAATTAATAATATAAGAGTAAATAAAAACCAGGAGTTTGAGTTTTATTTAATTTCATTTAATCCTCCTTTCTGGTGCTTATTAGGAAAAGCATAATTTGGAAGAAATTCTAAAATTTTAAATTAAGATTTCAGTTTTATGTGAAGTGATTAGGGAGTGTGAGGTAAACAGTAATTCCTTTTAGAGAAATGTAACTTTAATTCTGTTTATCACATTTACTTGCCATAAAAATGAATGGGAAATAATTGACTAGGAACCTTTATAGAAGGCTGACAACTAACTGTTCAGTTGAACATGCTTATTTTAATATCCTGAGCGTACTAGGTTAGGTTTGGTGGTAATTTATGGTCTTATATAGCCTTTAAAAATTGTTTTAAGATGGACTTTTTAAGCAAAGTTTTTCGTTTTTTCAGCAGTTGTCATTTATAATAATTCTTCGTATTTTAAAACTAGTCCTTTTTCAAGGTGACCTGAGTTCATTTAAAAATATTCTGATATCCCTGTGAGAGAAGTGACCAGCTTTCCGTTTAATGATGAAATACTTGACACTTAAGAGACCATATGATTTGTGTAGATTCATGTAGTAAGTCAGCCGGAGGATAAGGGATTCCCTGACACTAGTATTTTCTTAGATTATGTTGCTTTAAGAAATGTGTGAGCTCTGGTCTTGAAGCTAGGTATTGCTCAGTGCTGACACTGACACCATTTGTTACTTTTTCAATTATCTAAGTTCAAAGTGCATTTTTCTTGTCTTTGAGAGAGAGGATACCTGTTTCTTGGTTGTATTTTCCTGGTATGAAAATAGAGTGGGATTTTAGTGTTTCTGGTTGATTTAAAAGGAATTTTAAACTCCATGTCTCTTAAGGCCATCATTGTAATTTTAAAGGGTATTTTATGTGCTTAGAATATTTTGCCCAAATAAATTAAGTAATAAAAGTAATTTTAGGTATTTGTCTTGTGTGTAATTTTTTTTTTTTGGTGTAAATCTGGAGTCAGTTTTGTTGAATTGAGTTTTGTCAAGTTGCATTATGTTTTAAGGCATATTTTTTTCTATTCCCAAAGTTATATCATTAGGAGAGATCATTGCTTGATGTAGCATTGCCAGCTAAGATTTTGAGGACTTATTTGCCAGGAGTTAAGTCTGTCCCCATAATATCTCATTTAATCTTTTAACATGCCCAAAAGTAGAAACAATAATTATCTACAATGTACAGATGAGGAACCTGAGGCTGGAAAGGTTTAGAAAACTGCCCATGGTCCTACAATTAGTAAATGATCAGTCTGATTTACATTTGTTCTTATGGATTCAGGATTCTATGTATCTAGTTTCAATGAAATTTTAATATTATCTTTTGGGTGTTAGTTGATGTGATACTTGCCCAGTCACTTAGTCAAGAAAATTGTGTACTTCAGGCAAAGAAGCTGAAATAGAATTCAGGCTATATATTCTGTATTTATAATACTTTTAAAAATCAATAACTCTTTACCATCTTGTGTTTAAAACAATTTTTGTTAAGCAGTCTGTGAAGCTTTTAGTTCTTTGAAGTATTTTATATTGAGTTGAAGATGTTTGTCAAAGCATCTGTTGTTAGAAAGACAAAGTTCAGCTTTAGAGAGTCATTTCATTCATAGAAATGTATATGACCAATTGTAGGATAGTAGCTAGATCTATAAATTAGTATGACTGATCATTTTGTAAAGTTTCAGTATTTTTATAGCCAGAGAATGTTGATCATTATAGTCATCAACTTGGGAGGTTGTGCGCTTATTCCAGAACTGTTGCCAGTACATACAACCTTATAGGAATTCCTTTTGTGAATACCTTTAACACATTTGAAATAGTCTTTTTCTCATCTTTATGACAAATCTTTATTTTCTGGGGTGAATTTGAGTTTTAGATACTGTACAACGTCACTTGAAACTTAGTTTAGGGATTTTTTTTGTGTCTGGCACTATGTTGAGTGCTTTATGTTTGTAATATGTAGTATTATTGAATGTTTCCATGTGACAGAAACTGTGCGAGGGAAAAGGTTTTTCAGTTCCTCAAGGTATTGAAAAGTTGAATATGAAATTGAAGTTAGTTGTATGAGAAAACTGAGATATAGAATGATTACGTGACTAGCCCAAGGTCACACAACTAATAAGTTCAAGACAGTGGAGAAAGGATTTCAGAGTTGATACTTTACCCATAAGCCTTAACCACGATACTGTGTATCATGATTTGAACCACCCAACTACTCAGTGAAGTTAGTGATACTGTTCTCTTTTTACAGAGGAAATTGAGGTTCATCATGCTTAAGAAACTTATTCAGGGTAGCAAACCTAGCAAGTGTTAGAAGTAGGATTCCAGCTAAAATGTATCTAATTCTAAAACCTCTATTCTTTACATTCTACCACCCTGGCTCTTCAAAATTTATAATACAATTTTTGGTGAAAGGGTAGCCTTGATTATGAAGTTAGTGACACTGTTTTTCTTGTGGAGCTTACAAGAGTAATTCTAAAATGTTTTGATCAGTTATAGCTGATTCATTATTTGATTATAGTCTTTTTTTTTAAAAAAAAAACCCACCTTGTTACTTTACTTCGTGTATAGTACACAAAATGTTTGTATATTCAAATATGCATATAAATAGGATATTGATTTTTAAATGCAGGTACTGTGGAATATATTAAATGTAGGTATCTGTGGAATAAGTAGCTTTAGAAAATTTGGCAAAAGCTATTCTCAGGCTATAACAATACTGAAATTTTAAAAAAATGATCAGTCATGCTAATTCATAGATTAACTGTATTTTTATGATTTTATTGTGACTCTTGTTACTTTTAATAATGTTAAGCATTAAAAAAATTCCCAAGAATGCATTGAATTTTCAAAATAATTCATGTAGGTAAATTGCTTTGCCATCTTACATGTGTGACATATCTCTTAACATGCATATACCAATTTCCTTTGAGTTCTCTTTTGTACATATTTCTCCTTTGACAGAAAAGAAAAACTTTTTCAGAAATTAGCAATATTAATTTATTAAAATAATTATATATATACTTTTGCCTCTCCTGAGAAATGCAGAAGCTGTGACATAATTTTAAAATGCTGGATTTCCTTTTGTTAGAATTAACATATTTGGGTCACTTATGCAGGTGAAATGCACAGTTATTTTTATATGAGCACTATTGAAAAAATACTATTCTAGATACATTAAAACTAACAAATGTCTAAAACACTAATTATTAAATTCTGACTATACTTTTAAAATATTAGTCTTTATGATTGATATTTATGATATTTAATTTGGTATTTGTAAAGCAAAAATGTCCTTTAATCCTGGTGAGGAAATACATTACAGAGTTTTCTCAACACTGCTACTTGTCAACCCTTTCAGTATTTTAAAACCTGCCTTTAGTTGTCTTTATTTGAATCAGATTGTGGGTTGCCAGTTTTGAGCCAAAGACATCGATCGTCTGAGTGTATGCTCTATGTAATTCAGTTTTTTTTTTTGGTAATGACCAAGTTGAAGTTTTACATGGTTTTAAGTTGGGCATAACTCCATTTATTATTTATTTATTTTTTATTAATACTATTCTTTAAAATTGATGCACATGAAAAAATTTCTTCCTAGGGTTCTGCGTATACCTCAGAAAGCTCTAAGATTGAAAGCTGAAATGTCATGACCTGAAAACTACTGATTCTTTCCCCTTTAAGAAAAGAATTTGGAAACTAGTGTTTATTCCATAACGTTACCTTCAAGTTATCCTGAAAGACACACATGACATACGCTTTTATTTAACTCTACTAATCTTTTTACTATTTTCTCTTTCCCTTTTTTTATGTATCTCTTCCTTTCACTATCAATGTCCATTTCATCTCCCCCAAAGCAAATTTTTACATACTGTGGCTAATATAGGTATTTGTTGTTAATGTGGTTGATCTTGTAATGTGTTACTTTCCCTGATGAAACCCAGAGCAGTTTCAGAGGCCTCAAATTCTGAGATCTTCCTAAGTTCAAAATAGATTGCTGGTAGAAAAGCATTGACATTAACCATGAAAATATATATTTGTGTATTGTTCCCACTTCTATAGACATATATTACTTTTCAAAATGTCAGCTCAAGGACCAGAAATTTTTTCTGAGGAGAAAGAGAAAGCATTGCCTTTACAAAAGTTTCCCTGATCATTCCATTTCATAGCATTTGTACAGTTTTTTACTTGTATCTCTTGATAAAATAATTTGTTCCTATATTCGTCAGCCATACTCAACCATCAGCTCTGTGAAAGCAAAGAGATTTTGTATTATCTTCATCTGTATGTCTATAACATCATCACAGTGCTGCTCCTGTTTTAGGTATTCAATATATATTTGTTGTTTAGTTAGAATTGAGCCATGTGGTATTTCTTAAAGGTATGTTTTTAAATCTAAGATTAGTGAATGGCAAGTACATTTCTCTTAATTTCAAAATATAATTTTCTTAGGTAGAGCTGTGTCCTTGAGGGCTTCTTGCTTTGGGGGTAGGAATATTTTATTTACATATATCCCTAACAATACATACATAACTTTATAAAGATAAAGAAAAATTTAAAGTTCCTTTTTAAGCTGTTAATGAGGATCGTGAAGTACAGGAAGGGTTTTTTGTTCTGATTCCTTAGGCAGTATAATTGGAGTAAGATACTGGAGTATTGCAAGAAGTGAAATATCTAAATACTTTCTTGTTTTAATCTTTGGATTTATTGCAGTTTTAATTTTTTTTTTGCCAATTTAAGTATTATATATAATCAGATAAGTTAAATAATGAGAAATACGTTACAGCACATAAAAAATGCTATTCAGGGTCAGCAAAGCCTGAGTCCTGTCCTCTCGCTCTCCTCCCTGGACAGCATGAGCTTCACCACTTGCTCCACCTTCTCCACCAACTACTGGTTCCTGGGCTCTGTCCAGCCACCCAGCTATGGTGCCTGACTGGTCAGCAGTGCAGCCAGCGTCTATGCAGGCGCCAGGGGCTCTGGTTCGCGGATCTCCGTGTCCTGTTCCACCAGCTTCCGCGGCGGCTTGGGGTCCAGGGGCCTGGCCAAGTGGATGGCCCAGGGTCTGGCAGGAATGGGAGGCATCCAGAACAAGGAGACCCTCCAAAGCCTGAACAACCACCTGGCCTCCTACCTGGACAGAGTGAGGAGCCTAGAGACCAAGAACCAGAGACTGGAGAGCAACACCCGGGAGCACCTGGAGAAGAAGGGACCCCAGGTCAGAGACTGGGGCCATTACTTCAAGACCATCGAGGATCTGAGGGCTCAGATCTTTGCAAATACTGTGGACAATGCCTGCATTGTTCTGCAGATTGACAATGCCTACCTTGCTGCTGATGGCTTTAGAGTCAAGTGTGAGACAGAGCTGGCCATGTGCCAGTCTGTAGAGAACGACATCCGTGGGCTCTGCAAGGTCATTGATGACACCAGTGTCACTTGGCTGTAGCTAGAGACAGACATCGAGGCTCTCAGGGAGGAGCTGCTCTTAATGAAGGAGAACCACGAAGAGGAAGTAAAAGGCCTACAAGCCCAGCTCACCAGCTCTGGGTTGACCGTGAAGGTAGATGCTCCCAAATCTCAGGACCTCGCCAAGATCATGGCAGACATACAGGCCCAATACGACGAGCTAGCTCAGAAGAACCAAGAGGAGCTAGACAAGTACTGGTCTCAGCAGATTGAGGAGAGCACCACAGTGGTCACCACTCAGTCCGCGCAGGTCGGAGCTGCTGAGATGACACTCACGGAGCTGAGACATACGGTCCAGTCCTTGGAGATCCATCTGGACTTGATAAGAAATCTGAAGGCCAGCTTCTGGAGAACAGCCTGAGGGAGGTGGAGACCTGCTATGCCCTGCAGGTAGAGCAGCTCAACAGAATCCTGCTGCACCTGGAGTCAGAGCTGGCACAGACCCAGGCAGAGGGGCAGCACCAGGCCCAGGAGTACGAGACCATGCTGAACATCAAGGTCAAGCTGGAGGCTGAGAGCGCCACCTGCCACCGCCTGCTTGAAGATGGCAAGAACTTCAGTCTTGATGATGCCCTGGACAGCAGCAACTCCATGCAAACTATCCAAAAGACCACCACCCGCTGGATAGTGGATGGCAGAGTGGTGTCTGAGACCAGTGACACCAAAGTTCTGAGACATTAAGTCAGCAGAAGCAGGGTACCCTTTGGGGAGCAGGAGGCCCATAAAATGTTCAGAGGTCATTGGGGGAAAATAGGCTATTCAGTTAAAATAGTTATCTGATGACTGAAATTTTTTTAATATGTCAGGTGTATTGAGGTATAATTTATACAGTAAAACTCAGTCTTTTGGGTGTGCAGTTTGATGAGTTTTGACAAACATACACAGTCTTAAAACCACCACCACAATCAGAATATTTCCATTACCCCCAAAAGTTCCCATGTATCCCTTTGTAATCAGTTTCCTGCTCCTACTGCAGCCCGAGGCAACTAGATCTGGTTTCTGTCTCTATAGTTTTTCCTTTTCTAGAACATAAAAATGGAATCATATATAGCCTTTTATGTCTTTTTTTTAAATTTAGCAGAAAGCTTCTGAGATTCATTCATGTTCTATGTATCAGTAGTTTGTCAATGACTGAAGTTTAAAATTGTTAACTTTGGTGAAGCTCTTACGAAAGAGTATTATCAAAAAATAGTACTTTGAACAGTGGTAGATATTTCTCTCAGATTTTGGCAGCTGCCTTATTATTGAACATTTTACTTGCTCATTTTTACCCCTCGACCCCCAAATTTTACTTACCTGTTTAACCCTCAACCCCCAAATCTAGTCTAATAGACATTATTATATGGCATTTATTTATATTAGTAAATGCTGTTTAATTCTCTACCAAGCATGTGAAATAGACCTACTCTCTTTTTCATAATTAAAATAGGTAGCATCTTGCATTTTGAACATACAGCACATAGAAACTAGAATAAAAAATGAAGGATGGTGCAGTAACACCAAAAACTTGAGTTTACATTTGCTTTAGGTTTAGTGTTTGTAAGTTGGTGCTAAAAAAAGAGCATAGATTATAGTGAATAACAGTCACAGCCTCTCTTCCAATGATTAAAGTTAGAAAAGCAGTGCCCTTTACTGAAAATTGGGGGCAGATAATGAGAAAAGAGTAATTTTCTGGACATTTTATTCGACCACCTCTCCCCCGACCCTTTCCTTTTTGAAACAGCTTCATCTCTGGGATATTCTCTTGTTGTTTGCTTATGTCTTTGACCTCCCATTTTTTAAGTCTTTTGCTAGGTCTTGCTCCTCTACCTACCCCTTTAAATATTTGTATTCTCCAGGAGGTGCTTCAAACTTATTTCTGTTCTTCCTGTTGATCTCATTTATTCACATGACTTGTTACATGCTACCTGTGTGCTGATGACTCACAAATCTATCTCCAGAATATATTTCTCTTCTGAGCCAGATCCAGCTGTCTATCAGGTACCTCCTGATGTCCCATGAATAACAGAAATTCCATAGTATGTAAGTCTGAACTCATCCCTTAATTCTTCCTTACTCTGACCTGTCACCCAAAGAAAGAAAACTATTAAAAAATACATGAAGTAGGTTAATGTTTTCACTATCAACTCATTTACCTAAACTAGAAATTTGGGATAATCCTTGACACTTCTTTACCATACTTCCAGTTCAGTTATTCACCCAGTTCTGACATTTGTAACACTTCCCTGAATTATCACTTGAATCTACCCCTTCCCCAATGTTTTGATTCTGTGAGAGGTCCTGAACATACAGTTTTCTCAGATTTAATAACTTCTAGTATTTTAAGAAAGATTTAGCAGTAATTGTGAAAGTAATATGTATTTAGTATTGGATACTTTTTGCTTCTATGCTTGGGCTCTGGTATTTAAAATTAAGGTGTAATCTTTAGTAACAGTGATACTATATAGCCTAAATGTGACTGTGTTCTGTTATATCTAAAATTTAGGACTTTTGACTTACAGCCCAGTTTATCAGCTGGAAGACTTGAACTCATTTTTTAACTCATTTTTTATCTTTTCATTCTTGCTTTTAGAATACTGCATTTCATGGAGTTGTATATTCATTTCAATACTTTGTGTTTATGTGTTTTGGAGCAGGGTAGAGGAGAAAATGGGAATGTATAAGGAAAGTTAAAGGAAGGACTTTTGAATTGACTTTCCTATACTGTGGAAACAAGTTTACTTAAATAACATTTTCACTTTTATTGCAAACAACAGAAAACTAAAGAAATGCTGTGGGATATGATACCATTCAGGTGCTAAGCATGCACATATTTTTAATGACAGGAGTTAGATGTGTTGTAACAGTATTGCTTGTTTGTGAGTTTGGAAATTAATGTTCATGGTTTTGTATAACTTTATGATATTTCTTCCTTAAAATAAGAAATTACCCCTCCAGCCCACAGTTTGAGCCAAAGGGTCTGCTTGAAATTATTAGTTTAAATAATCCTGAGCGCATCTTTTGTAAAGGGCATTTTAAAATGTAATGCTGCCTTGAAAAACAAAGCAAGCATTTTCTTCGTTATATCTAGAGTTTATAACTAAAGAAGTAATATGTGCTATATTTTGCTCTAGTGCCAAGTACCATATTTTGGAATGAATAGAATCAATCTAAAGGCAGTTTACAAAGGCTGAAGGGAGACCCAGTTTGGTAGTCATTGGATCCCTTTGGTGGCTTGCACATAGTAAGCACTCAACAAACAATTGTTGAATAAATGAATTTGAATATATTTTCAGTTTGGGGACATAGGACTAATTAGAGTGACAGAAGATGGGTGGGGCTTGCTAAATACTGAGCAAGTTTTATAGAGGAAAGAAAACATGAAACCCAGAAATGGTGGACAACATTGACAGCAAAGAATTGGTGTAATTTAGTTAACTATTTTTATCTGGACAATAAGGTTTGTTTAGTTGGATAAGAGAAAGATCTATATACAGAAGTGTTTTGAGTTCTTTCTACTCTTATTTCCACTCTGGCTCTACTTCTGAACCCCCATGTTCACTGCTAAAGAACTAATTGTAGGCTTGGGGCTAAAATGATCTGCATAATCCAGATACTCATATTAAGAACTGGGAGGAGGTGTTGGGAAAGAGGTATTTCTTACAGTTCTTCAATCTTTCCAATTACTCATGTTTCTTAGTATATGTCAGGGTGCCACTGCACTGTCCTCCGTATTCATATGAGGATGTCTAAAAACTAGAATTTAAAATCACATATAATTTACAATAAGCTTGTAACTGTCCTAGTATGAAGTTCAGTATCTGAATCTCTAATAATTAGTTACCTAGCTGTTGAGCCACATTGCCATCTACTCTGATTATCATATGTTTCTTATGATTCTGATATTTTAAACTGGAAGATAAACACCACAGTTTTAGTGTGTTTTATAAAAATTTTATAATTCAGTAACAATCCATTCCTTTATTTTCTTGGAAGCCAAAACTACATATAGTTTCCTGATATGTTAAGCTTAAACTGTGGAATTTAGAACTTAAAAATTTTCAAGAGCTTCAAAGTTGAAGACTTTTCTTAATTTTTTTTCAATTGTAGAACCAATGTGAAAAAAAAAACTACATGCTGTTTGGGAAATGGGAAAAATATCAAATTTTATGTTTTTCCTACTAAGTTTCCTATTAAATTTTTACATAAAAATATTTATGATGAATGTAATTATGGTTAAATACATATATTAATGCTATAAATTTATTCCTCTTTTAACGTTGGATCATAAAGATTTTCCTAGTTTTCTATATAATGTTCATAATTCTTTAAAATGTTGCCCAGTATTTTGTCAGTGGATGAACCATAATTTATTCATTCTATTCTTGCATACTTTTTGCTTTTACTTTTTTTCTATATAAATAATGAGGCAGTGAACATCTTTATATGTAGTTTTTTCCCCCTTTAGGGGCTTTATTCGCTTAGAGTAGAATCTCTTAAGTGGAAGTAATCCTGTAAGTGGAAGTTGGGTCAAAAGGTTTGAACATTTTTATGGCCTTTAATATATATTTCCAAAACTAATTTTATTCTGCTATAATCTTTATTTTCATTCACATCTTAATTCATTCAGTAGATTCATTGTGTTTTTCATATAGAATACACACTTCCTATGAATATTATTAGGTCATTTAAATGCTCCCGTTTCCCACTATTGTGCCTGTGGTCTCTTTTTACTATATATTTTTAACCTCTTGATGATAAACAGTTGTGGCTTTTCAAACGGTGTATATCATTTCGAGGTATTATATAGTAAAATTAGCATGGGATCTAAACTGCTATTAGCCAAGTGGCATTTAGGCCAATTCTTAACCCAAGCCCATGTCTTCAACTGTAAACTGAAGAGGTTCTCAGCTTTTGAGATTTCATGGACTAGTCAGAACAAAGCAAGAAAGTGCTTTTCTGCAGAAATAAAGTGGTAAGGATATTGTAGATTGGAATGTAAAAAGAAAAGTAATGTCTAGGTAAGACCCATTACTTAGTCTTAATATTTGAAATGTGAAATACCCAGTGTGATGTGAACATGGTCATGATCTCATATTCATTCTCTTGTACATCAAACACTGAGTGATTCCTATGTCTTTTCTCAGGAGCTATTAAGGCATTGCAGATGGTGAAATAAAAGACTTCAGGCCGGGCACGGTGGCTCACGCTTGTAATCCCAGCACTTTGGGAGGCCGAGGCGGGCGGATCACGAAGTCAGGAGATGGAGACCATCCTAGCTAACACAGTGAAACCTCGTCTCTACTAAAAATACAAAAAATTAGCCAGGCACAGTGGCGGGCGCCTGTAGTTCCAGCTGCTTGGGAGGCTGAGGCAGGAGAACGGCATGAACCCGGGAGGCAGAGCTTGCAGTGAGCCAAGATAGCACCACTGCACTCTGGCCTGGGCAAAGAGCGAGACTCCATCTCAAAAAACAAAAAAAGAAAAAGAAATAAAAGACTTCAGCCCACCCATATTATAGTCTAATACAGTTTATAGACAGGTAAACAGAGATTATGTTACAATATCTAAGTGCTATGATCAAGATAAACAAGGTGCAGTTGGAGCACTGGTGGTAGGGGTGGTCACCTAATTTAGACTAGTGTGGTGAGGCGCAGTAAGTCAGGAGCCCTCCTAGGTGTGATGGTTAGTAGATATGCAAACTAAGTTTTGAAGGCTGTTAGTCATACTGTGGAGTCTGGGCCAACAATTTGATTTTTGGAAACTGATGATGGCTTAGATTATTAGAACATAGGCTGGAAAAGGGGCATGCCAAAAAGGTCTGAAGCTACAGAGAGGGGCAGGCTACAGATTATGAAGGAGTGGATATGCCTTACTAAGAATTCTGTGTTTTATTTTAAAGACGAGAAGCCAGGAAGTTATTTAGTAATGGAGTATGTTTTATGCATATGTAAAAAAATTTTTGGATAGTAGGCAGGAAAAGGGAGGCTCAGGAGGCCAGTAGGTGTTGAGGTCCTCAATTAAGATGGGGGATTGTAGCGAAGGAAACCCATAACAAATATTAAAGAGTTAATCTAGTTATAGTTTAGTGATTCTATGTAGGTAGATTGGGTAAGAGAGAATGAAAACAGTCAAGGATATATCCTTGATTCCCAAGTTTCATGTGGGCATATGAGAGTAGAATATAAGTTAAATCAGTTTTGGCTGCCTGTGAGTAAAAATATAGTGTACCAAAACCTGTATCACCTTTCACATTTTAAAAGGAATGGATATTGAAAAATTTAGTGGCTTGGTCAAATTGTACTAATGATTATTTGGAAATGACTTTTACAGCTGACCTAGAAGATCTCTCCAGTGTTAAATCAGGGTTAAAAGTAGTACAGTGGATGAAAAAATGCTCATCACTGGCCATCAGAGAAATGCAAATCAAAACTGCAATAAGATACCATCTCACACCAGTTAGAATGGCGATCATTAAAAAGTCAGGAAACAACAGGTGCTGGAGAGGATGTGGAGAAATAGGAACACTTTTACATTGTTGTTGGGACTGTAAACTAGTTCAACCATTGTGGAAGTCAGTGTGGCGATTCCTCAGGGATCTAGAACTAGAAATACCATTTGACCCAGCCATCCCATTACTGGCTATATACCCAAAGGATTATAAATCATGCTGCTATAAAGACACATGCACACGTATGTTTATTGCGGCACTATTCACAATAGCAAAGACTTGGAACCAACCCAAATATCCAACAACGATAGACTGGATTAAGAAAATGTGGCACATATACACCATGGAATACTATGCAGCCATAAAAAAGGATGAGTTCATGTCCTTTGTAGGGACGTGGATGAAGCTGGAAACCATCATTCTCAGGGAACTATTGCAAGGACAAAAAACCAAACACCACATGTTCTCACTCATAGGTGGGAATTGAACAGTGAGAACCCTTGGACACAGGAGGGGGAACATCACACACCAGGGACTGTTGTGGGGTGGGGGGAGTGGGGAGGGATAGCATTAGGAGATATACCTAATGCTAAATGACAAGTTAATGGGTGCAGCACACCAACATGGCACATGTATACATATGTAACAAACCTGCACGTTGTGCACGTGTACCCTAGAACTTTAAAGTATAATAATAATAAAAAAGTAGCATGGTGGATTATAATCTTACTTGATTAAATTACTAGAAGATAATACTATTTCTTTTTAATGCTTTGTTTTCTAGTATATTGACTATATTCTTGTGAGCTTAGAATAACATAATGAATGTTCTTTAATAACTATTTTCTATTGTGCAAAGTTCTCTTAGGGCCTTTCTGGTGTATTTGTTTATCCAGCCTCATCTGAAGACTGCCTCTTCAGTTAGTTTTATACTAAATCCATACATACACTATAATGAAATCTTGTAGTGAGAACTATGTTACTTTGTTCATGAAGGGATTATCTTTACAAATATAATTAAAGGGATGCTTTTAAAATAAATTTTAAAATGGCAGTAGCTTTTTAGAATTGTTACATGTAGGAACAGTTATAAAGCAGTCAAACTGATGTATCCAAAATAACTGACCAGGTGACATACTGCCAAAATGAAAATTAGTACTTTCCAAGGTTCTAAGTATACTTAAACAAATGTACTTCATTTTGTTTTTTGGCTTGAGAGGTAGCATATCAGAATCACCTAGGGATTTTTTTTTTTCAAACTTTAATCCTTTTTTGGAGATGTAAGTTTTTAAGTTTCTCTTTTAGCTGTGTTCCCTTAGACTTCTCAATCATTCAGTAAGAATTGAATAACTGCAGTGTGTTCAGCAATGAATACTAGATATTTGATATGGACTTTTTTTGAGTCTTCCTCCTGAATTTTACATGGCTACCTAAAAGATCTCTCTCTTTTTTGTATTCTATAAAAACATCATCTGTGAGGCATAAAGGAGCAAGGAATCATGTGAGCAGAGTTAGCGAATTAGATTTTTAAAAAAATGAGAATGGTGAGATGTGTTTAGTTCTGAAGAATGGAGGAGGAGTTGCTGGATACTAGCGAGGACGTAGAATTGAGGAAAGAAGTTAGGGTAGGAGATAGTGTAAATGAATTTGGTAGAAAAAATTCAGTACAGCCTACCAGCAGTACTTCAAGTAAAATTAGAAATTGTGAACTGACCTATCTGTTCCTAAAGGTGTCTTATATTTTAAAAGTTTGCTCAAAAGTCAAATTGAATCTTGTTAGAAACACACTACTTAAAAATATAAACCATGCCTATGTGTTCACACTAAGTCCTCAGCAAATACTTCTTCTTTATTAGTTCATAGTTGCCTTTCTACTGATTTGATGGAAAATATATCCTTCTCAAATATATTTCCAAATGAAAATCTGCTAATTTGTGACATTTCTAATGGATTATTAGGAAGGAAGGTATTTGATAAGAAGCAAAGAAAAAGTAATCAAATTAGCTCAAGTTCATCTGATATTGAAATATGATAAGTACTCCTTAGTAACACAGCTTAGCTAGAAACCGCAGATAAAGTGAAGTATCCAAAAAAAAACTCTATTTATATGAGAAGTTTGATTTAACCTTTGTCTAATATCTAAAGTTAATTATGTGTCCAAAGGTATTGTACTATACTATACTGTCATGTATGTACTTTCAAAAATACATGTATATAAAAATACATATATACATATAATATATTCGTATATACAAATATATCCTATGCACTTTGATAGCTCTATTTTGATAACTTGTTTTGTATTTTCCTACCTCACACCTTTTGATCAAAACATTTACCTCCTTTTTTATCCATCTATCCAAATCATACTTTCTTTCTATCATGATCTTATGTTTTTTTCCCCCCACTGCGGGGAGGTGGCATGTCAGAATCCTCTGTGGATTATTTTCAAGCTTAAAATCCTTTCCACCTTTTCTCCTGCCCCAGTTCACTTGATCTTTTCTAGCAGTACCTATGTGTAGGAGTTATAGAAATTATATGTTAGCTTGTCACATTTTCTTACTGTATATCAAGCTAAAGTTTATTTTGTTTTATTTTTACCTTATTTGTCTTCTCAGTCAGATTATAAACTCTTAGAGGACACAGTCTGCCTGTGGTGCTTGGTGTCTTACCTGCAACAGGCTTGTAGCAAGTGTTTGCTGATAACTGGTGTAGCTCATCTGGACTGGTTTGAAGAGGTTTGGAAAATATCTCACACTCTTATAAACTGTAAAATTCACCCTTTTAAAGTGTAAAACTCAGTGATTTTTAGTATATTCACAAAGTTATGCATTCATCATTACTTTCTAGTTCCAGAGCATTTTCATCACCCCCCAAAAAACCACGTTTCCATTAGTGGTCACACCCTGTTGTCTCCAGTCAGTCCTTGGCAACCATTAATTTACCTTCTGTTGCTGTGGATTTCTGTATTCATATAAGTGGAATCAAATAATGTGCCCTTTTGTGTCTGGCTTCTTTTAATTGCTCATCTATATTGCAGCATGGATCAGTACTTCATTTCTTTTTAGGACTGAATATACTCCATTGTATGGATATACCACATTTTACTTTTGCTTTGTCGCTTGATGGACGCATGGATTGTTTTCAACTTTTGACTATTATGAATAATGCTGTTATAAGCATTCATTTGTAAGTTTCTGTGTGGATATGTTTTTACTTCTCCTGAGTAGGTACAAAGGGGCAAAATTTTTAGGTCATGTGGTAACTATGTTTAACTCTGAGGAACTGTCAGACTGTTTTCCAAAGAGGTGCATGATTTTACATTTGTAGTAGCAATGTATGAAGGTTAGACTGTCTTTACATCCTCACCAACACTTGTTATTGTCTGTCTGATTGTATTGGTCCTAGAGGGTGTGAAGTGGTATCTCTGTGTGGCTTTGATTTGCATTTTCCTAATGACTGATGATATTAAACACCTTTTTATGTGCTTATTGGTCATTTGTGTATCTTCTTTGGAGCAACATTCATCCAAATCTTTTGCCCATTTTTAAATTGGGTTATCTGCCTTTTTATTGTTGAATTATAAGTTGTTAGACATATTCTAGATACAAGTTCCTTATCAGATACGTGATTTGCAATATTTGCTCCCATTCTGTGGATTGTCTTTTCACTTTCTTGATAGTGTCCTTTGAAGCACATACATTTTTAATTTTAAAGATCTCTATTGTTTTCCTTTGGTTGCTTATGCTTTGGGTGTCATAAGAAACTATTGCCTAATCCAAGGACAGGAAAAGTTACACCCGTGTTTAGTTTTAGCACTTACATTTAATACTCTGATCCATTTTGAGTTAATCTTTTTCATAAGGTATGAGGTAGGGATCCAACTTCATTATTATGTACGTGTTTATCCAATTTTCCATTACCATTTGTTGAAAAGACTATTCTTTCCCATTGAATGGTCTTGGCATCCCTGTCAAAAATCAGTTGAATGTAAATTTAAGAGTTTATTTTTGGCTCTCAATTTTATTCCATCAGTCCATATGTCTGTCCTTACGCCAGTACTACACTGTCTTGATTACTGTGGCTTTGTAGTAAGGTTTGAAAGTGAAATGTGTGAGTCCTCCAACTTTGTTCTTTTTCAAGATTGTTTTGACTCTTCTGGATCTCTCATTTTCATATGAAGTTTAGGATGTTTGTCATTTTCTGCAAAATAGGCAGCTGCAATTTTGATAGGGGTCGTATTAAATCTGTAGATGAGTTTGGGGAGTATTGCCTTTACAATAATATTAAATCTTAACAATCCAAGGGCATGGGAAGACGTTCCATTTTTTTAAAGCCCTAATTTCCTTTAGTGTTTTGTTTGTTTGTTTTGAGACAAACTCTCGCTATATGGCCCAGGCTGGAGAGCAGTGGCATGATCTTGGCTCACTGTAAAGTCCGCCTCCCTGGTTCAAGTGATTATTGTTCCTTAGCCTCCGAGTAGCTGGGATTACAGTCCTTTGCCACCATGCCTGGCTAATTTTTGTATTTTTAAGAGAAGGTGCGGTTTCGCCATGTTGGCCAGGCTTGTCTCGAACTCCTGGCCTCAAGTGATCTGCCTGCCTTAGCCTCCCAAAGTGCTGGGATTACAGGCTTGACCCACCACACCTGGCCAGTGTTTTGTAGATTTAAATGTACAAATATTGCATTTCTTTTGTTAAATTTGTTCCTGTGCATTGTGTTCTTTTTAATGCTATTGTAAATGGAATAGACTTTTATATATTTTTTTTTTTTTGAGAAGGAGTCTTGCACTGTCACCCGGGCTGCAGTGCAATGGCACGATCTTGGCTCACTGCAACCTCCACTTCCCAGGTTCAGGCGATTCTCCTGCCTCAGCCTCCCGAGTAGCTGGGATTACAGGTGCACACCAGCACACCTGGCTAATTTTTTGTTTTTTTAGTAGAGATGGGGTTTCACTATGTTGGCCAGACTAGTCTTGAACTCCTGACCTCGTGATCCACCTGCTTTAGCCTCCCAAAGTGCTGGGATTACAAGCATGAGCCACCGCATCCGGCCTGGAATTGCTTTCTTAATTTTACTTCCAGATTGTTCACTGCTAGGGTATGGAAGTGCAGTTGATTTTTATATATTGATCTTGTATCCTGCAACCTTGCTGAACTTGTTTATTAATTGTAACTCATGCTCTTCTTTCTAGGGACAGTTTATGTTCTTTAGTTTGGTTCATTGTGCCCTCCTCCAGTTTTCCAAATAATACATGTCAACAGTGTTATAAGAAAGAAATTTCTTATTTTCTCAATCCTGCTTTGTGACTTAAACAAACTTACGCACATATGAAAAGTAAGATCAGACAACTCAGAAGAAAAACGATATCCACTAAAAACTATGTCAACATTTTCATTTAGTGCTCTGGCTGTAACATAGGATTAAAAATTTGAGGATTGTGGTTCAGTAGTTAAAGCAGTAAGCTTTGCCAATAGTGAGGCATCTTGAGTATTTGTTGCGGAAATAAATAAATGCCTGCTAACAATGTGTATATAGGGATGCAAAATAAATTCTATTGGTCAGTAATTTCTGAAGTCTTTACTCCACTAGTCAGTAAGTGATTTTCAGTAGTGCATCTGGAAAGCTTGAGTCATACAGGGAAAAAAAAAAAAAAAAAGCAAGGAGGGAAGAAACAAAAGGAAGTAAGATTAATAATTTGAATTTTGTTAATACAGATAATATTGTGATTTAAATAAATCTATTGATTAGGAACAAAAGAGGAAAAAATAACAGATTACAGTATTATTCCTCAAGTTCAAACTTCTGTGTTTCTTAATGCCAGAATCAAACCTAAAATGTCAAACACACATATAAAAAGATGCCCAAACTTACTAGCAGTTAGAGAAATAAAGAGTAAAAATCTAGCTAGCTTATTATGTATTTTGTTGATCAGTAAGGATAAAGTGTTGAAAGTATGCTTCATATACTATAAAGTATGCTTGTTTAATAAGTTGTATCCTCTATTATCATTAATATTGTTGTTCTTATCAGTGACCTTTAGGTCTTAAAATAGATGTAGAGAAGGGTAGTGTAATCCTGCCTTTAAAAAAAAATTCATCAAATGCTTTATGTCTTATTCATGGTCATATTTAATACTGTTGAAGAAACCCATGAGATAGATATTTTTGAGACAATTGAGGCGTAGGAAGTTAAATAATTTGCCCAAGCTTACACAGCTTGAAACAAGAGGAAGAAGAAATCAAACCTATGTTTTTCTGATTCCTTTTTTTTTTTTTTTTTGAGACGGAGTTTCGCTGTCATTGCCCAGGCTGGAGTGCAGTGGCACGATCTCAGCTCACCACAACCTCCGCCTCCCAGGTTCAAGTGATTCTCCTGTCTCAGCCTCCCGAATAGCTGGGATTACAGGCATGCGCCATCACGCCCACCCAATTTTGTATTTTTAGCAGAGATGGGGTTTCTCCATGTTGGTCAGGCTGGTCTCGAACTCCCGACCTCAGGCGATCCACCCACCTCACCCTCCCAAAGTGCTGGGTATAGGTGTGAACCACCACACCTGGCATGTTTTTCTGATTCTAAAACTTAGTTTTAAACTTTTTTTAAAATTTAGTCTTTAACTTTTAATTGGCATACTATATTGCTTCTCCACTACCTTTGAACTTATTCCTAGGTGGATTATATAATAAATAATATTCCTTGGAGTTTTAAATTGTATTAAATAAGATTTAAAGTAGAATTTTAAAATTGGATTTTGATTTTACTTCAGAAAACTCTCAAGTGTTTGCTTTGGGAAATCGAAGAAAACATTTGCCCATTGTTGTAATGCTGCTGTATTTCCCAATTGTGATTTCCAAAATTTCTTTGATTCTCACTTTGGGAAATGGGGTCTTGAAATTCATGAAATCCAGTTTTGGGTCCAGAAGCAAATAGACTCAGTGAAAGAGACAGTCATGGGAGAACCCCTTAAATAGTTTTAGGACAAAAAGTTACAGTTTAAAGAGAAGGATGGGTAAATGTTGAAGAAAACTTAATACCTCTTGTTTTCTCTATGTTGAAGACTTTTGGTTTTGCATTAAGTCTTGCCTGCATTAAAAAAAAAGTGTAATGTGATTGTCTTATGTACTTACAAATTAATATGTATTGTATCTTTAATTGCATCTCTGTGGAATTTTTATATCATTTGCTTTCTTTGTTTTATACCTTTCTTTGGGAATCTCATATTCAGTGCAGACTGTTGTAATGAGTTTGGTTTGTTGACCTGGTGAGCAGTAGGATTTTGTAAAAGGAAATTCAGCTTAAAGCATTCAGAACTTTGGCTGTTGTGCCCTTTCAAAAGTGAATTTTTAAATAGGTTTAAAATAAATGACTGCCTCCAAAGGATTGCTTTCTAAATTTTGTGTTAGAGACATGCTTGCCTCCTGATTTTGTATTTTAGCCCCAAAGTGAATTAAGCTTTCCTGCTTGAGTTGGTGAATATTACTTAAGTACATGTATATACACAGAGTTAAAAACCTGCTAGTACTCAAAAATCAGTCCTGTATTGTATAGAGATTTGCCTGCTGATGGATCAGGTGTTGTTTTCAGTATACTGTTCTTGGACTTTATGACAGACTAGGGGTACTTAATGCCTGAGTTGATAATCACATTATTACTTCTTACACTTTGTTTATAGAATCTAGAAGGAGTTAAACAGAAAAGTATTTTTCTGTTCCTTCCTTATGATTTAGAAAATAGAAAAAGTCTTCGCTAAAGCCTTTAATAGCCTTATTCTTAGTGATGATGATGATTATATTAATAGCAATGATGGCCAGTATTTGTCATGAGCTCACTGTTTTGAATATTTGACTGGCATTATTTAATCTTCACTACAGTTCTTGAGGTATAATCAGCCCTTCATATTTGAGAGTCACACATTTGCAGATTCAGCCAAGCACAGATTGGAAATATTCAGGAAAAGAAACCAATAAAAAAAATACAAAAACATTTAAAGTGCAGTATAAAAACTATGTAGCATTTACATTGTATTTGGTATTATAAGTATTCTATTAATGATGTAAAGTATACAGGAAGGTGTGCATTTTATATGCAAATACTACACCATTTTAAATTAGAGACTTTAGCGTCCATGAATTTCATATCTACAGGGATCCTGGAACCAGTCCCCTCAGGGCCAAAGGGGACTGTCTAGCTATAATATCTCCACTTTCCAAATTAGGAAACTGATGCTTACAAAGAATGTGACTTGCTCAAGAGATGAGAGAAGGAAGTCCCATGAGCAATTCAGTCAACATAATTACAATGAATGTATGCTCTCCTTAAGTTTAGTTAGACTCCTGACCTCCTTGAGGTCAGGGACTTAATATGTTTATTTCTTTAATTCTAGTACCAAGCACAGCACCCAGCATATGGCATATGCTCGGGTTTTTTTTGTTTTGTTTTGTTTTGTTTTTTTAATAAAGAAATGAAGTTGCGAGAGGCTGATTCATTAGCTTTAGCTGTAAGTCTTCTGGAGGGAATCCATACCAATTTCATTTACATTGCATGATTTTTTTTCCTTTGCCTTGGAATACCGCTTGGCAGGGGACCTAGTAAGTTCCTGTTCATTCTTCAAGTTCCAGCGTAATTCCATCTTTTCTTTGATGCCTTCCTTGTCTCTTTTAGGCAGAATTAATTGTTCCCTTTTCTATCCACTCCCTTTTTTTCCCCAGCCTTTATTTTAGATTCCAGGGGGTACATGTGCAGGTTTGTTACATGGGTAAATTGCGAGTCGCAGGGGGTTTGTTGTATAGATTATTTTGTGACCCAGGTAATGAGCATAGTACCTGACAGGTAGTTTTTGATCTCCACCCTTCTCCCACCCTCAAGTAGGCTTTGGTGTCTCTTGTTTCCTTCTTTGTGTCCATCTGTGGTCTATGTTTAGCTCCCACTTACAAGAGATAACATGCAGTATTTGATTTTTTTGTTTCTGTATTAATTTGCTTAAGATAATGGCCTCCAGCTGCCTCCATGTTGCTGCAAAGGACATGATTTCATCCTTTTTTATGGCTACATAGTATTCCATGGTGTATATGTACCATATTTTCTTTATCCAGTCCACTGTTGGTGGGCATCTAGGTTGATTCCATGTCTTTGCTATTGTGAATAGTGCTGTAGTGAACATACACATCCATGTGTCTTTATGGTAGAATGATGTATATTGCTTTGAGTATATACTCAGCAGTAGGATTGCTGGGTTGCATGGTCCTTCTAAGTCCTTTTTTTTTTTTTTTTTTTTTTTTTTGAGTCGGAGATTTGCTCTTGTTGCCCAAGCTGGAGTGCAATGGCACGATCTTGGCTCACTGCAACCTCTACCTCCCAGGTTCAAGTGATTGTCCTGCCTCAATCTCCCAAGTAGCGGGGATTACAGGCGTGCACCACCACACCCAACTAATTTTGTATTTTTAGTAGAGAGGGGGTTTCCCCATGTTGGTCAGGCTGGTCTCGAACTCCTGACCTCAAGTGATCCACCCCCCTCTGCCTCCCAAAGTGCTAGGATTACAGGGGTGAGCCACTGCACCCAGCCCTAAGTTCTTTGAGAAATTGCTGAACTGTTTTCCACAGTGGCTGAACTAGTTTACATTCCCACCAGCAGTGTATAAGCATTCCCTTTTCTCCATTGCCTCACTAGCATCTGTTATTTTTTGACTTTTTAGAATAGCCATTCTGACTGGTGTGCAATGGTGTCTCATTGTGGTTTTGATTTGCATTTCTCTAATGATTAGTGATGTTGAACATTTTTTTGATATGCTTATTGGCGGTATGTATGTTTTCTTTTGAGAAGTGTCTGTTCATGTCCTTTGCCCGTTTTTTTTTTAATAGAGTTGTTTTCTGCTTGTTACTTTGTTTAGATTCCTTACAGATTCTGGATACTAGACCTTTGTTGGATGTATCGTTTGCAAACATGTTCTTCCATTCTGTAGGTTGTCTGTTCACTCTGTTGATAGTTTCTTTGGCTGTACAGAACCTCTTTAGTTTAATTAGATCCAGCTTGCCAATTTTTGTTTTTGTTGCAGTTGCTTTTGAAGTCTTCATCATGAAATCTTTGCCAGGGCTGATGTCCAGAAGAGTTTTTCCTAGGTTTTCTTCTAGGGTTTTTATAGTTTAAATTTTACATTTCAGTCTTTAATCCATCTTGGGTTGATTTTTGCATGTGGTGAAAGGAAGAGGTCCAGTTTCAGTCTTGTGCATATGGTTAGCCAGTTATTATTGAATAGAGAGTCCTTTCCCCATTGCTTGTTATTTTCAGCTTTGTCAGAGATTAGATGTTTTAGGTGTGTGGCTTTATTTCTGGGCTCTCACCTGTTCCATTTGTCTGTGTATCTGTTTTTGTACCAGTACTGTGCTGTTTTGGTTACTGTAGCCTTTTAGTATAGTTTGAAGTTGGATGGTGTGATGCCTCTGGCTTTGTTCTTTTTGCTTAGGATTTCTTTGGCTATTCGGGCTCTTTTTTGGTTCCATGTGAATTTTAGAAGTTTTTTGTTTGTTTGTTTTTTGGTTTTTTTTCCTAATTCTGTGAAAACTGTCACTGGTAGTTTGATAGGAACAGCAATGAATCTGTAAATTACTTTGGGCAGTATGACCATTTTAACAATATTGATTCTTTCTATCCATGATCATGGAATGTTTTTCCACCTGTTTTTGTAAACTCTGATTTTTTTTTAGCAGTGTTTTCTAATTCTCATTGTAGAGATCTTTCACATCCCTGGTTAGCTGTATTCCTAGGTATCTTATTCCTTTGTGGCTATTGTAAATGGGATTACATTCTTGATTTGACTCTCAGCTTGGACGTCATTGGTTTATAGAAATGCTACTGATTTTTGCACTTCGTTTTGTATCCTGAAACTGTGCTGACGTGGTTTATCAGATCTAGGAGTTCTTGAATAGAGACTGTGGGGTTTTCTAGGAATAGGATCATTATCATCTATGAGGAAAGATAGTTTGACTTTCTCTCTTCCTATTCAGATGCCTTTTATTTCTTTCTCTTGCCTGATTGCTCTGGCTAGGGCTTCTAGTACTATGTTGAGTAGGAATAGTGAGAGAGGGCATCCTTGTCTTGTTCCAGTTCTTAAGGGGAATGCTCCCAGCTTTTGCTCATTCAATATGATGTTGGCTGTGGGTTTGCTATAGATGGCTCTTACTATTTTGCCCCTCTTTTTAAACTTTAATATATTAGTAATACCTATTATTTTCATATTGTAATTATCTACTTCCTCTAGCCTGGGAATTCTTTATAGGTCGGGGAGGGGACAGTGGTAGGCTTTATCTAACTCATCTTAGTTATTGTCAGTCTCAAGTATGATTTCTGGCACTTGGTGGGTGCTCACTAAATGTTTGGGCTGAATGAATTCATATAAACAAGCTAAAAATAGACTTGTAGATAAATGATGGAGAACTTTATTTAAACTTTGTCTTCTCTGAATTACTGTCATTTGCTTTGTGATTTTAGGCTACTTCTTAGTTTATGAGCACCATTTCTCAAGGCTGCATTCTTTAAGAAATATTAATATTTGAGGAGATACTACACCATCCAAAGATTGCCGCTAGTATTTTCTAAGATGTTTTTTAGGGAAAAAATTTAAGAATGGAGGGAAGAACCTAATCAGTGAAAGATGTGATCATAAATAAGCAGACAGATTTATAGGAATAAACAGGTTAAGAATTTGAATATAGAAATATAGAAAGGAATATATTAGATTAAATTATAGAGTCCTAAAGTAGAGTGTAAGCCAGAATTATATGTGCTCTTACACATACCACATACTGTATAGGATTGTTTATGAGGTTCAGTTGAGATAATATAAATAGAAGTGCTCGTAAGTAGGATGTTTGTTTCTGCAAAATGAATTTTATTAAATATTTAGTGTACTGTAGATAAAGTGATTCTTAAGAATTTTTAAAAACTGGGCCGGGTGCGGTGGCTCGCGCCTCTAATCCCAGCACTTTGGGAGGCCGAGTTGGGCTGATCACAAGGTCAGGAGTTTGAGCCCAGCCTGGCCAACGTGGTGAAACCCTATCTCTGCTAAAAATTCAAAAAATTAGCCGGGCATGGTGGCGTGTGCCTGTAATCCCACTACTTGGGAGGCTGAGGCAGGAGAATCACTTGAACCCGGGAGGCGGAGGTTGCAGTGAGTCAAGATTGTGCCATTGCACTCCAGCCTGTGTGACAAGAGCAAGATTTCCTCTCAAAAACAAACAAGCAGTTATGTATTGCCATGTAACAAATTACACCAAAATTTAGCAGTTTAGAGCAATAAATATTTATTATCTTAGTATTCCTATGGGCCAGGAATATGGCTACAGCTTAGTTGAATGCCCTTTTACTCATGGTATCTCAGGAGGCTATAGTCTTCCTATAGTTAGGGTCAGTTGAAGCTGCAGTCATCACAAGGTTTGACTGGCAGAGAATCTGTTCCAAGCTTAATCACTTGGCTCTTGGTGAGCCATAGGTTGCCTATAGCTGTTGGCTGGATACCTCAGTTTCTTGCCACCTGTGTCTCACCTTAAAGCAGCTCACAACATGGCAGCTGACTTCCCTTAAAGTGACTAAGAGAGGGTACCACAACAGAAGCCAGTCTTTTTGTAACCTAATCTCAGAAGTGACATGCCATCCCTTTTGCCATATTCTATATTTGTTAGAAGTAAACACACAATAGGAGGGAATTACACAAGGTGGATGGCGTAATTGAAGGCTGTCTTAAAGGCTGCCTATCACAGTGCAATTAGTATGGCATTAGTATGAGAATTCCAGTGATGCAAAAGTGAAAAATTCGACAAAAACAAGTACAGGAAGCAAGTTGAGGTTGGTTGGTTGGTTGGTTGGTTGGTTTTACAACTTTTAATGCATAGAGGGTAAATTGGCCAAAAAAAATTAGTCAAGAACAGAAATATGTAGCTTGTCAGCAGTTAGTTGGAAAGGGGTAATAAGCAATGAATTTGAATAATTTACTAAGAGATAATATTACTGTAATGTGTGTGTTCATGGGATCAGTTCATCTCTTCCTATGTATTTCTCATTTCTGTGTTGGTTCTGACGCAGGAGTTTTTTCCTGTTTGAGTGAGATCCACTAATGGAGGATTGTTATTTGATGCTTAGGACTTGGGATTGAGCAGAAAACACTACTGTTGGCTTGTAAGATCATAATCGGTGTTTTGAATATGGAATATACTACCTTCTTAAATTTAGTTTTACATGTGTGAGTGAGGCGGTTTCCCCTGTGCAGTTTTTCCTTGCACTTCTCCTTCCTGAACCAATCTTAATGAGGAATGTGTGTGACATGTACCAAAAACTTCAAAACTTTAAGATAGAGAAAATATTTTGAAGATGCCTATTCATAAATTATTTATTGGTTTAATTTATTTTCAATAAAAATTTCAGTGAGATGTTAGGTAGGCGCAATATTTCTGAAATTTATCTAAAAAATAAGAAAGTCAAAGAAAATTCTGAAAACTATGTTTTTGTTTTTGTGTTTTTTTTTTGAGATGAAGTCTCACTCTGTCACCCAGGCTGGAGTGCAGTGGTGCGATCTTGGCTCACTGCAAGCTCCGCCTCCCGGGTTCACGCCATTCTCCTGCCTCAGCCTCCCAAGTAGCTGGACTACAGGCACCCGCCACCACACCCAGCTAATTTTTTTTGTATTTTTAGTAGAGATGGGGTTTCACCGTGTTAGCCAGGATGGTCTCGATCTCCTGACCTCGTGATCCGCCCACCTTGGCCTCCCAAAGTGCTGGGATTACAGGCGTGAGCCACTGCACCTGACCCTGAAAAGTATATTAATGGGGAAGGAAAAACAGACATGCCTTACTACATATTAAAATGTCATTTCAAGCAGTAGTAGCTAAAACATCAATACATCATGATAAATCAGTGGATGAGAACAACCCGAAAATAAAACCCTACCATTTCTGCGAATGAAGTATATAATCATTATCTAATATAGCTAATATGTAATATGTAGTATATAACATGTAATGAATATACATAAGATGTGTAAAGGAATTCTGCATTTTTAGACCTCCCACAACAATTTTAAATAGTGACAGTGATACGAATAATATTATGATTATTTTGGGACTCTTTTAACATTAATTTTAACAAGAATGTATTTTGTGTTAAGTATAATCTTGGTTGCTGGGGTTACATAATTTATCATCCTGTTAAAATCATTTTGTTGTCTCTATTAGTCTTTTCATTAAGAGTGATATGTCCTTTTTTCTATCAAACTACTAATGTCTTTTAGAAATTATTTCTGCTACCAGGACAGATTTTGTTTTACTTATTGCTTAAGATTGTTAACTTGCAAAACGAAGTGAAGTGAAAATTTAATCAACTGTGTAGACTGTCCTAACTACCTTAATCAAGTAAAAGAATTTACTTGACTTTGTTGCAATCTGAGCTTTTATTTTGTCAAAGTCTAGTTATCTTATTAAGTCTTCAGTAGAAGATATAATTAATACTTGGTGATTTCTAAATCTGAATATTGGAGAAAAGGGCACCAAATTGAAGAATGCTAGATTTTAAATATTTTCTAGAACTTTAATCTATATGTTCCTCAAGGGGAATTATTGTTAAGCACTGTCTTGATGTGGGAAAATAGATCCACAAGAAACAGGAGTTTCTTCTTCCCAGCCCCTAAAGATACACTACATTGTAACTTTAGACTTGACTGAATTTTTCAATGTAGTGCTGTCTTTGCATAGGTGTATGTCTTTGCACAGATGGTGACTAGTAGAATGTGGATTCCGCTTCTCATCCCATCATACTTGTTTAGTTTTTCCGGGTGAATATATAGCCAAGTTTTAAAAGCAATGCTCTGAGATTCTTACTCCACATCTTGTTAAATGGCGATTGTGAACCAGTAGATCTGGAGTAGGGTTTGAGAGTCTGCATTTCTAACAAACCCAAAGGTGATGTTATGCTCTCAGCAAGGTTCTAGACTGCTAAATTTCCTATATAGACTTAGTTGTTGCGATGTCTTTATTCAAAAAGAACTGCTTTGTTCTTGGTCTTATAATTGTAAGATATTTTGTTAGGTGAGTCCCATATATTTTTTCTCACTTAATCTTCACAACACCCCTGCAAGACTGTAATACATGTTCATTATGGAAAATTCAGATAAGCAAAAAGAAGAAAAATAAAAGTTACGTAGATACCAGAAATTAAAATAATATTTATTTATAAGTTTAAGACTCCAAGTGAAGATTAAAGTTCTAAAAGGAACTAAAGTTATAGCTTCGGGAGTATTATATGCATTTTCCCACCTTAAGTAAAGAAAACAAAACATTGTGGGAGTAATATGACTGAAACTAAAATGTATTTACTTAGAAAAGACCAGAAGAAAATGTCAGAGCATACAGTAGTTGCATTAGGGTGACAGGATTATAACAGGCACTTTTTCCTTTTATCTGCAGTCCACAATATTTATAATGTGCATATGTTACCTTTACAATAAAAATTTAAAAACCTTAGTCTTCTCAGAAATGCCACTGAGGAAAAGGTCTGAAAGTTAATAATAACTAAACTAAATAAATACTTTACAATTTAAATGAAAATCATCAAGATGGACAAAGAATAATTCACACAAGTGAAAAATGGTAAATGAACAACTGAAAAGAATAAATCAAATACAGCTTTGGTAAAATAGTAAACAGCTTTACACAATAGTAAAAAAACATGCAGCTAAGCAGGTATCTATCTTTTCCAAAAGGAAGTATTTTAGAGCTAACAACCAATGCTGACAAGGCACAGCAAAACCAATATATTTGTTCATTTCTGGTAGTAGTATGCATCCTTTTGAAAGGTAATGTGATTAACACAAAGATTCATAAATATTTAATGGCAATAGAATACAAAAATACTATACACACTCCATCTGTCACTATGTAACATGTTTACATGCTGAAAGACAATCTTTTGGGGAAAAAACTCTTTTTTGAGGATAAAGAGATGAGATTACCGAGTGCTTTAGTGTTTGCTTAAACATTCTTTAAGTCTTCTTAACTTAAAAAAAGCAAATAACCAAAGTTAACTTTACATATGATAGCCCTCTATCAAGTAAGTAAACCACATTTTGCATATTATGGATGTTTATGCTTTTTTGTTTGTTTTTAGCCCTCTTTAGACAAATTCCTATAGAATTTTCCTAAATTAGAAACAAGTCTTGAGATTTGTTTTTAACTTTCCTAGTACTAAAGTCAACCACTTATTCCAAATTTATTGAATTCACCTGTATGTGGTACAATTATTATCTAGTTATCATACAGGGAACGTAGAATTGGTACCACAAGGAAATAATGATTTTAAGAAATAGAAAGATTTAAAGGTATTATTTCAGAAATGACTGGAGAACTTTAGGCATTAAAAAAAAATCTGTAAGTTCTGGTTTCAGTTTCTTCTCTTCAGTGTCCAAAATTGCATCCAAAATAGCACAGCCACTGCCAAACATGTGCATTAAATCTTGGAAAGCAAAAAGAGAAATGGTCTGTACCAGTAAGCCACAGTATTAAAAAGTTTAAGCAGAGACTTTCAGAAGTAATCGGTCAGGTGCAGGTTCTGTAGAAACTTGAAGTCTTACCTAAGGAACAAGGTAAAGGAATGTATAACATATACCATGTTACATGAACATAACATTTAATATTGCAAATACTTTACAGAGCTATTATTTTATGTATATCCTTGTCTGAAATGATTTGTCTCCACTTGAACCTTGTTGACTGTTTTTCTAGACTTCTTAAAACTGAAACCAAATAGCATACCCTAATTATCTAGTTGAGTATTTCCCAGCCATATGTTGGGTGAGAGCTGTTGGCATTTTGGACAAGACACTTCTTGTGCTGGACTGCCCTGTGATTTTGTGTCCCACTCATTACTACCAGTTGCAACCCTCAGGAATTGAGTACTAGAAACACCCTCACAGTTTTCATGGGGTTGGTGAGCAAGTACCTTCTGTTGAGAATTGGTCTAGTCCTTTGAAGAATGCTAGGTAGCTCTTTCTAAAATAGGTTAATTTCATGTCATAGTGTTTAGGTAAAAGCTTCACATTGGACATGAATAAAAAGGATTAGAGTTCAGTGTATTCAGGAAACTAATATAAGATCTTTGAATCTTCTTATTTTGTTCCAAGATTGATGAAATTCAGGAGAGGACTTGCTACAGTGTTTTTGGAGGGTAATTTTGCACTACTGTTTGAATCAAAATTTTAAATTACGCATTTGTCATTAACTCCACTTCTAGGAATCTAGCCTGTAGGAATCTTGGAGGGCATAAAAAATTATTTGCCAGGATGTTCATTTGCAGTATTATTGGTAATCACAAAAATAGTAAAAACTAAAAAAAAGAACGAAATAACCAACAACAATATAACCCCACCTACCTGAATGAGTATTATAAATAGAGAAAAGGTTAAATGGGCATATAGTACATGCTATACGTTTATTATTTAAAAGGAACCAGGACTCTATATCCTGAATAAATTTTTAACAATGTATTATTAAAGGAAAAAAAGAACAGTATGGGCCATGCACAGTGGCTCACACCAGTGATCCCAGCACTTTGGGAGGCCAAGGTGGGCAGATCACAAGGTCAAGAGATCGAGACTATCCTGGCCAACGTGGTGAAACCCCGCCTTTACTCAAAATACAAAAATTAGTTGGGCATGGTGGTGCACACCTGTAGTCCCAGCTACTCGGGAGGCTGAGGCAGGAGAATCACTTGAACCTGGGAGGCAGAGGGTGCAGTGAGCGGAGATCACGCCACTGCATTCCAGCCTGGTGACAGAGTGAGACTCAGTCTAAAAAAAAAAAAAAGAATGTTATGATTAGTATGATCTTCAGTTTTGAAATAAAAATGTGTGTGTATGGATAAGTAAGGCCTGGAAGGTGACTTCTTATATTGTTGAAACAAATAAATAAAAAAGTAGAACCAAGGCTTTCAAAGGTTGAGAAAGGGAATAATACTTCCTTTGTTTTTCTAGAACATGATTGGTCCTCCCATCATTTTCCTTCATTTCTTCCTTTAGACTGCACAGTTGCACTTGCAGTAAACCCTTCCTCTTGAATCCCTACCCAAAGATATTTTGAAAAGGATCTAGTAACTAATGGGGCAATAAGCAGCACTATCATCATGGGCACCTTAGGCTCAGAATTTGTCATGTTTTAACTGTTTCTCTGTCTTTGCTCCCATGTCATCTTCAGTTGTTGGGTCCAACTTGCACATCTTTTCCATATACCTTTATTGTTCTTCCTGTCTTTATCCTAGTTCACTTCATACCTAGATTATTATAGTAGCCTGTGAAGCTGGTCTCTTTTCGGCTTAAGTATTTCCAGCCGTGGAGAGTATACCTCAATGAAAATATTGCTGTAGCAATTTGTACCTCTTTACTCTATAATTTATTTTTTATCTTACCTTTTTTTAGTGGTGGAGTAAGAAGGTAAAGGTAAAGGGAGATATAGGAGCTGATACTATTGTGTTTCAGTACTGGTGATCTATTGCTAAATAATTATATAAGCTTGCATACTGACCCAACTCTTCTAGAAGGGAGAGTGTTAACAAAACTAGGAGAGAGATTGTAGCCAAGGTTTAAAATGGATATATTTATGGGAGAAGCCTGCTTAGTGAATTGTGTTTTAGGGTAGGAATTCTGAATGAGTAAGCATGTCTGCTCTTTTTCTAATATCTGTTAAGTTTGGGGCTATTTTATTCCATGTCTTTTATCTTCCCTTTTAGAAATCCCTCAGTTGAATTAAGAGGAAAAAAGATCATTTAAAAAAATATCTAGACTAGCATTGTATGAATGAAGACTGCAGAAATCTGTAGAAACCCGCTAGAAATTGGTCAGTTAGTAAGGTGTATCCCCTTGATAGCAATTTCTCATATGGAGGATGTAGTAGGGAGGTCATAGCATCTGGAGAGCTTTTTCCTAAGTGACAGTCATCACATTCTGAGATGGCATCCCACTTATCACCTTTCTCCCTTTGAGAATCAGTTTTAATGAGTCATTATTACTAAGGGAATGTGTTTTATTTCTCATGTGCAGGGGCAGAAAATTAATTTGGAACAGTTACCTTAAAGAAAGTGAGTTGGCAGTAACAGTGATTATTTCCTTCACTCCCATGCCCAAATCTTTCATACTCTTTAAGGCTGAAAACTGCCACTTCCTGTAGGAAATATTCCCTGCTTTCCTTCTGGCCTTTCCTATTTAATTTGTCCCTCTTCTGATCTTACTTGAATCTTTTTTATGACCCTTGTTATTTTCTACATTGTACTATAAATTATGTGTGTGCTTATTAAAAAATCTATATTCTATACTAGAAACTCTTCCTAGAGCAGAGTACATGTCTAACGCCTCTTGTATTCTCACAGTACTTAATAGAACATCTTGCACATAATATAGAGGCTCAGCAAATATTTCCTGATCATATTATTAATTGTGAAGTTTGCTAGGCAAAAGTTAATGAACTTCAAATGTCATTGCTCTTCTACCCCTTTAAAATGTCTTTTACCACAGAGAAAAATTAGCAAAAATTATAAAGCTGATATCCAATAACTGAAATTAGGAAAGCAATGTATTGAAGAAGGAGCTAGTGTAAATCTAGAAGTGAGTAGAGATGTAGATAAGCAGTGAATTTTATAAAACCTTGTGGGTAATGCAAAGAGTTTGACCTTTTTCCGTACTTGAAGAGAGCCATTTGAAGACTTTTAAGAGGGGAGTCATTTGATCAAATTCGTGTTTTAAATAAATTAGTGTGATACAATGAGGAAGCTAACTGTACAGATAGTAACACCAGAAGATGGGAACCCAATTAGGTTATTGCAAGAATCTAGGAAAGAATAAATCCTAAAATCTTAGAGCAGAGGCAGTATAGTAGGATAAAAGAGAATAGATTTAAGAAATACAGATAAAATTGATAGGCTTGGTGCCTTATTTGATGTGAAGTAAGGCAGATGGAAGCATCTTGATGAGGCTTTAGAGATTGAAGTGCTGACACCTAAGTTAGAGAAGGAATATAGGGAGGAGGGAGAATAGCAGTAACTTTAGTGGCTGAGATGAGTTTTGAATGTGGCGATATTGGATTGTCTGTAAGAGAGCCAGTTGAAGATGTCCAGCAGTCAGTTGGTTATATAAGACTCAGGTTTATGGAGCGGTCAGTCTGAGAATCATCAGCATATAGATTCAGAGTAAGAGTGGCTAGAGTTTGTCCTAGAGAACATGTATTACTGATTTTTTTTTTTTTTTTTTGGGGATGGAATCTCACTGTCGCCCAGGCTGGAGTGCAGTGGCAGCAATCTTGGCTCACTGCAAGCTCCGCCTCCCGGATTCAAGCGATTCTCCTGCCTCAGCCTCCTGAGTAGCTGGGATTACAGGCATGTGCCACCACTCCTGGCTAGTTTTGTATTTTTAGTAGAGATGGGGTTTCTCCATTTTGTCGGGCTGGTCTCAAACTCCTGACCTCAGGTGATCCACCCGCCTCGGCCTCCCAGAGTGCTGGGATTACAGATGTGAGCCACCGCGCCCGGTGTGTTGTTGATTTTTAGAACCTTTTTTTCACTGTTTTCTCTGGTGTTTCCATTAGCAAGTATTTGTTACGGTTTACTTTCTATTATTGTTTTTATTATAGAAACAGTGTCTTTCAACCTGAATTTAATCATGAGGGGAAAAAAATCAAAGCAATCCTAGTTGAGGAACACTGTGAAAAACAATTGGCGTTAAGTTTTCAACAATGTGTGTCTTGAAATATTAAAAATATAGGTTGTGGAATTGTTCAACGTTAAAGGAGACTAAAAGAGACGTGATAACCAAATGCAACCTGATTTGATTGATTGATTCCAGATAATCTTTTTAGAGGACATTATTGGAATAATTGGAGAAATTTGAATATGGATTGTATTTTAGATAATAGTAACAATGTTAAAATGTGATAATTTATTGTTGTATAGGAGAATGTCCTTTTACGTAGGGTAAAGTGCCATAATGCAACAACTGCAGTGGTTCAGCACACACAAAAAAGTATGTGTAAAGTGATAAAGCAAATGTAGTTTGCATTGTAAGTGCTTCTTATGTAAAAATGTATTTTTATAAAAGTGCCTAGTTTTCTTATTTCCTTCTTTTTTTTTTTTTTTTTTAAAAAGACAGACTGTCTTGCTCCGTCTCCCAGGCTGGAGTGCAGTGGCATGATTACAGCTACTGCATCTTCTACTTCCTGGGCTCAAGCCATCCACCTGTCTCAGCCTCCTAAATACTTGGGACTACAGATGTGTGCCACCACAGCTGGCTAATTTTTCTGTAGAGAAACTCCCAATTTTTCTGGTCTTGAACTCCTGGGCTCAAGCAGTCCTTCTGCCTCAGCCTCCCAAAGTGCTGGAATTTCAGGTGTGAGCCACTGTGCCCAGCTTAGTTTTCTTAATATATTTTTGCATGTGGTAGCATATTAGAGGTTGAATACAATTGTATTTATTACATGTTTGTGCTTTTCTCTATTGATTATGGGAAATTGTTAAGACAAAAATCGCATTCACTGTATAGCAGCTGGTTTATCCTGTGGTTCTTCTCTTTGCAGGCAAACTTACTAAGTAAATGGACCAGAATAAATTATTTTCATAATCTATTATTATTAAACCCTGTATTAGTCAGAATGGGATATAATCTCAGTTATTTAATACAACTAGGGTTTATTCTTGCTCACATTACTTATCCAACAGTTTGTCAGGAAATAGATCTACTCCATACAGTAGCTCCAGAAACCACACTGATGGAATTTCTGACAGTGTATATCTGTACACCTGGAACATTAGTCCTCCACGGTGACCACCACATGGAAATAAAGAGCTAGAAGGTCTTCTGTTGGCCGTTAAATATTTCAGCCATGAAATGACACCCAGGTCATTCAGGCACTCACAACCTAGTAACCAGAACTAGTTACCTTACCCTACTGGTAAGTGTCTGGGACATGTGGGAAGCACAGGTTGTTTGGTGAACTGTAAATGTGTCTGTCACATATTGTACTTCATCTCAAGAAATATGCGTAGCCTTTAAACCTATGGATAATGGCCATTGTTGCCATAATTCTGCCTATTAAATTGTACTAAAAAAGTGTTACAGGCCGAGTATCTCTAATCCAAAAATCTGAAATCCAAAATGATCCAAAATCCAAAACTTTTTGAGTGCCTACGTGGTGCCACAAGTAGAAAATTCCACACCTGACCTCATGACAGGTTGCAGTCAAAACTTTAATGCGCAAAAGTATTAGAGATATTGTATAAAATTACCTCTGGGCTATGTGTATGGGGTGTATATGAAACATAAATGAATTTTGTGTTTAGACTTGGGTCCCATCTACAAGATATCTCATTACGTATATGCACATGTGCCAAAATTTGAAAATCCGAAATTTGAAACACTTCTGGTTCCAAGAATTGACACTCAACCTGAATCACTTTCAGTGACAAACAGTGGCTTTCCTCTTATATATTGACTATTTCTCACATAATCCATTTTTATTTATTACTTTCAAAACTATATAATAAATGTAAACTGATTTTGAGAGTTTAGTGATTTGCCCAGAGTTACAGAGTCTGTCACTTGGAGAGCTTGTAGAGTTTTGAGATTTTGCTTTGCCATTTAAATTTAATGATAGCTACATTTAAATACTATTTTAACCTGAAACTTTTTAAAATATTTTTAAAAAGGAGTTTTTTCCTCAGATTTTTATTTTTCTTCTTAAAATTTATATTATTTACATTTAAAAAATAGCATTAGATAGTGTTTTCAGAATGAAGTCTATCAGCCCTGTATATAATCATCCTTTTTTCTTGGGCACTTAATTAGTTAGACATTTCTCAAAGGTATAAATTCTAATGTAGTTCTTAAAAAATATCCAAAATGTCCTATATTATAGTTTATCTTAAACACATTTGAAATGTCTACATATAATAGATTGATGAAATCTATATAAACTTTAGTAACATGTCTCTAAGATATGGCACTACAATTAATTTCTAATATTAAAAATTTTAATAGAACCACAAACAATAGAAAACATTTTAAATTGTATTTAATTTTAGGATGTTTATTTTAAATCTAGTTATAAACAAAGTCAGTTAACCAGATTCTTCAATGGACTTGATCCCTGTACCACCCTTTCCTGCACACTTCTTTTTATTGAATTAGGTAAATTGTAAACCAAAAGCTCTTACTAGATGAAGTTCTCAGGTCAGTACAGATTCAACAGTCTGTTATACCCCTGTAATTCCTGATTGGAGTTTTGTTCTCAAAATCATACTCTTATGAACAAACGCCAAAGCTATATCATAACTATGGAATGAAGGGGAGAGAGTTACATTTTAATATTTAAAATGTTTAAAGCTTTACATGTTTGAAGCAGGTTTATTAGCTTAGTAGTTTTAACTTTTGTTCAATTATAATCAAAAAATAGCTTTCATGTTTAATCTCTGACCTTTGGTTTGACATGTAAAAATGATAAATTTTATCATAGTGATACATTGTAACACATGCCCAAGTATCTCCAAAACTGACTTCATCTTTTGTGAAAGTGATGCCAACTGAACATACCAGGAAGTCTTAGGCATTTGTATCAAACTGCCTAAGAACCCAGCTGTTAGCTTATAAGTCAGTGAAATTATATTTTATCATTTATTATCATTGATAGAACACAGACTAAAAGGAAATACATCTGAAGTCCATTTCTTTAATTCATCATTATCTTCAGTGGAAAAAGATATGAGGAACAACATCACTCATTGGAAATGAACTGTCTTTGTCATTTCATTTGTGGTAGTTGTCCTTTCTTCAAAAAGCTATTTCTTGAAGAAAAGGAAAGTTAGTGAAATTTGTTTTCTCATTATACTTTATCCAAATTTGAAGTTTCCTAATAAAAGTAGATAATTGCCTTTTGGCAAGTTTCCTCTTTATTACAAGTTCATGTAGGTGTTTGAGTTTGTTTTTCTTATTTATAAGAGGCAGAAGATGATACCTATTTTCACAGTTACTTACTAACTTACTGCTTTAGTTTGAAAGAAACTGACAATGTTTCTTCTGAAACTTTTTAACAATACAATTAATTAGCATCTGACTAAAAGTATCTCTTTGGGTTTTTAAATTGGACATGTCAGGTTGTTTAGTATCAGTTGTTTTACTAAAACCACGGAAGTGCCCTCAATTTTTACAGCATTTTGTTTTTTGAGTGAATTTTACCAACCATTTACATTTTTTTTAAATTATACTTTAAGTTCTAGGGTACATGTGCACAACGTGCAGTTTTGTTACATATGTATACATGTGCCATGTTGGTGTGCTGCACCCATTAACTCGTCATTTACATTAGGTATATCTCCTAATGCTATCCCTCCCCACTCCCCCCACCCCACAACAGGCCCCAGTGTGTGATGTTCCCCTTCCCGTGTCCAAGGGTTCCCATTGTTCAATTCCCACTTATGAGTGAGAACATGCAGTGTTTGGTTTTTTGTCGTTGCAGTAGTTTGCTGAGAATGATGGTTTCCAGCTTCATCCATGTCCCTACAAAGGACATGAACTCATCCTTTTTTATGGCTGCATAGTATTCCATGGTGTATATGTGCCACATTTTCTTAATCCAGTCTATCATTGTTGGACACTTGGGTTGGTTCCAAGTCTTTGCTATTGTGAATAGTGCCGCAATAAACATACGTGTGCATGTGTCTTTATAGCAGCATGATTTATAGTCCTTTGGGTATATACCCAGTAATGGGATGGCTGGATCCACTGGTATTTCTAATTCTAGATCCTTGAAGAATTGCCACACTGTCTTCCACAATGACTGAACTAGTTTACAGTCCCACCAACAGTGTGAAAGTGTTCCTATTTCTCCACATCCTCTCTAGCACCTGTTGTCTCCTGACTTTTTAGTGGATCGCCATTCTAATTGGTATCTCATTGTGGTTTTGATTTGCATTTCTCTGATGACCAGTGATGATGAGCATTTTTTCATGTGTCTGTTGGCTGCATAAATGTCTTCTTTTGAGAAGTGTCTGTTCATATCCTTCGCCCCCTTTTTGATGGGGTTGTTTTTTTCTTGTAAGTTTGTTTGAGTTCTTTGTAGATTCTGGATATTAGCCCTTTGTCAGATGAGTGGATTGCAAAAATTTTCTCCCATTCTGTAGGTTGCCTCTTCACTCTGATGGTAGTTTCTTTTGCTGTGCAGAAGCTCTTTAATTAGATCCCATTTGTCAATTTTGGCTTTTGTTGCCATTGCTAAATGGCATTACTCATCATTTACATTCGGTAAATGACATGTCATTTAGTAATGACATGAAGTCCTTGCCCATGCCTATGTCCTGAATGGTATTGCCTAGGTTTTCTTCTAGGGTTTTTATGGTTTTAGGTCTAACATTTAAGTCTTTAATCCTTCTTGAATTAATTTTTGTATAAGGTGTAAGGAAGGGATTCAGTTTCAACTTTCTACATATGGCTAGCCAGTTTTCCCAGCACCATTTATTAAATAGGGAATCCTTTCCCCATTTCTTGTTTTTGTCAGGTTTGTCAAAAATCAGATGGTTGTAGATGTGTGGTATTATTTCTGAGGGCTCTGTTCTGTTCCATTGGTCTATATCTCTGTTTTGGTACCAGTACCATGCTGTTTGGGTTACTGTAGCCTTGTAGTATAGTTTGAAGTCAGGTAGCATGATGCCTCCAGCTTTGTTCTTTTGGCTTAGGATTGTCTTGGCAATGTGGGCTCTTTTTTGGTTCCATGTGAACTTTAAAGTAGTTTTTTCCAATTCTGTGAAGAAAGTCATTGGTAGCTTGATGGAGATGGCATTGAATCTATAAATTACCTTGGGCAGTATGGCCATTTTCACGATATTGATTCTTCCTACCCATGAGCATGGAATGTTCTTCCATTTGTTTGTATCCTCTTTTATTTCGTTGAGCAGTGGTATGTAGTTCTCCTTGAAGAGGTCCTTCACATCCCTTTTAAGTTGGATTCCTAGGTATTTTATTCTCTTTGAAGCAACTGTGAGTGGGAGTTCACTCATGATTTGGCTCTCTGTTTGTCTGTTATTGGTGTTTAAGAATGCTTGTGATTTTTGCACATTGATTTTGTATCCTGAGACTTTGCTGAAGTTGTTTATCAGCCTAAGGAGATTTTGGTCTGAGATGATGGGGTTTTCTAAATATACAGTCATGTCATCTGCAAACAGGGACAATTTGACTTCCTCTTTTCCTAATTGAATACCCTTTATTTTTTTCTCCTGCCTGATTGCCCTGGCCAGAACTTCCAACACTATGTTGAATAGGAGTGGTGAGAGAGGGCGTCCCTGTCTTGTGCCAGTTTTCAAAAGGAATGCTTCCAGTTTTTGCCCATTCAGTATGATATTGGCTGTGGGTTTGTCATAGATAGCTCTTGTTACTTTGAGATACGTTCCATCAATACCTAATTTATTGAGAGTTTTTAGCATGAAGGGCTGTTGAATTTTGTCAAAGGCCTTTTCTGCATCTACTGAGATAATCATGTGGTTTTTGTCTTTGGTTCTGTTTATATGATGGATTACGTTTATTGATTTTTGTATGTTGAACCAGTCTTGCATCCCAAGGATGAAACCCACTTGATCACGGTGGATAAGCTTTTTGATGTGCTGCTGGATTCGCTTTGCCAATATTTTATTGAGGATTTTTGCATCAATGTCCATCAGGGGTATTGGTGTAAAATTCTCTTTTTTTGTTGTGTCTCTGCCAGGCTTTGGTATCAGGATGATGCTGGCCTCCTAAAATAAATTAGGGAGGAGTCCCTCTTTTTCTCTTGATTGGAATAGTTTCAGAAGGAATGGTACCAGCTCCTCCTTGTACCTCTGGTAGAATTCGAATCCATTTACATTTTAATATAGGATTACCAGGTTTTTATGCTGCTAAGGACATTTTTGTAAAAATTATTCCCCCAAAAAATTAGTTTAATAAAAGAGAGGGCATTTTACTACCAAAAGGTAAAGTAGGAAAGGTGTATCTTCAGAATAAAAGACTGCCCTTCCATATATTTCAGTTGACATTTTTATGCTGATATAGTATGTCTCCCATTATCTTTATTTCTCTCCTACCTCTCTTTTTTTTTTTAAGAGATAGGGTCTCATGAAACTGCCCAGGCTGGCCTTGAACACCTGGGCTTGAGTGATCCTTCCACCTCATCCTCCCTAGTGGCTGGGACTACCGGCATGTACCACTGCACCGAGTATTACTTTTTTTCTCTTTACCATGTGCTTCTGTGAACTTTATTTTAATCCTTACTTGAAAAGCATGATTTTGAACACACCCTGTGATGAAGGTTACAATGCTTATTGCAATATTGCAATAGAAAAGGAGCTTTCAATTTTGTAGGCAAAGTTTTTGTGTGCCAGATCCCTGACTGAGAAAGAAGATATTTTCATTTAAAAGTAAGCAAATAATCCTCTACTTTTTTTCTAACACAGCAAATTGATCCATATGCATAATGAAAAACCTCTGATATTGAACATAGAGATTCTTATTAATTGCAGTGTTCACAGGATTAGAATTTAAATACACAAATAGGTGTCTGCAGCTATCAATACCAGATGACTCAGTAAGCTAAATACAGACTTTAATAGAACTATCTTGGATGCCTTTTAAAATATCTTTTAAACTTGTTGTCAGGTATTCTGTTTTATCTTTTGATTTCTAAAATGGGTTGTAACATTTGAGATTCACTGAAGTTTCTTTTGTATTTTTTATGGCAATAGTATTTTGCCATTTTCAGGATAGAAATACTCATTTTTGAAGCTATTACAGTAGGCAGCTTTTTTGTAAGGTGATATGAATATCAGAGAAATATAACTACATGTTATACTTCTGATTTCATGGGATTAAAAAAAGAAAAGGCTTCTCAAGTGACACAAATGCATATGTTTTCAGAGACTAAGAAAGCATAAATTGATGATGACAGAACTTGTAACGCATTTAGATTTGTGTCACTTGAAAAACACTTGTTACAAGCATGTTGTCAATTTGTGTATTTCAACAAATAGCCATTTTAAAGAAAAACATAAAGTAAATAATAGTACACTGATGATATTCAGATATGGTGAAATCATACAGGTAGACCTTGAATGAATAATGAGCACATTGCTTTAGGACAGATGTGACTCTCAACTTTTGATATTTGACTGTGTGAGTTTAAAGTTGATGCTTTAATTTTTTAATAGGTCAAACTTGGGAATCTAATGACTGATAGTATTTTTGATAAGAAAGCACTAATATAGAACAAGAAACAGTGTTCTGAAATGAAAATTATCAGACTTCCACTTTCTGTTCATATCTATTTCAAAAAATGTACGTGGCATATTATGTTCTTTGCTACTTAGTGGCTATTAAAATGGAATCATTTTATAAATGTCTTTCAGCAAAGAAAAATGTTGTCTGCTGCTGTGATCACCCGCCACTAAGTACTGTGCTCCTCCTCTCAGTAGCTTGACCACCTTATATACTTTATGTGGCATCTTTAACCTGTATCTGTCACCTTACATATCTTCTTCTTTGTTCCTTAATTTTTTTTTTTTTTCAAAGACTGCCTGGACCTACTCTCTCATTCTCTCCTCTGTATTGCTGCTATAGTTGTCACTTTCTTCTACATTCCCATTCTCTGCTTTGGCTGCTGTAATTATCTTTTGCTTTTACTATTTTGATCTTGTCATTCAGGACTGTACTATAAATTACATTTTACCATGGGTTAGGTTTACCTATCTTCAAAAAACTTCAGATTACCTTATTCTCTCCTCAATACCAAATAATATACTCTAGTTTTCTTAGCTAATTTTTAAGCGTCTCCCCATTCCTCCAGATCCACCAAGAAAAATTCATCCTACACCACATTTTTACCCCTGGACCTAAAGTGTATTATATGTTCTTGAACAGGAAAATTTCATCTCCTGAAAAAAAAAAAATTACTGATATTTCCATGAGTACATATTGATTCTGGTTTGACTACTATTTTGAAATAGAGTGGATGTAAAAATCTATGATGAAATCTTAAAACTAGTAAAATTATCATTAGAACTAGTATTATACATGGAACTATTAGTCTGGTAGCATAGTCTGTTATACTACTCACACTAAAGCAAAATAAAAAGTACTGTCTTCACTTGGAACTGTTGTCTTACAATTCTGTGCCTGTCTTCACCATTTCATGAAAATATTAATTGTTCTTCTTGGCTTACTTTTTCTTTAATTTATGTTCTTGCCAGGTCAAAATCAAAAGTGATGATTTAGGACTTGGGCATTTGTCGAGATAAGTTCATATTGTCACCACTTTCCCAATTTTGAAGCTTACAAAAAAAATAGGCAGGATTTTAGTTTGCCTTCAGTTAGGGAAAGGAGAATTCATTTGCCACAGGAGTAAAATCCTACGTTTTATAAAGCTATTTTAATGAAAATACCAGCTTTCCAAAATGAATGGGACAAACACAGAATTGATTGTTGCTTAAAAACTTTAACTGTATTGAGTTTTGGTAAATCATAATTCAAAAATAAAATGCAGGGGGACAAGAAATTATTAACTTTTTATTGTTGAAATACATTTTCCTCAAAGTGTTTTTTTGGTTTTGGGTTTTTTTTGTTTTTTTTTTTTGAAACGAAGTCTTGCTCTGTCACCCAGGCTGGAGTTCAGTGGCGTGATCTCAGCTCACTGCAACCTCTGCCTCCCGGGTTCAAGTGGTTCTCCTGCCCCAGCCTCCCGAGTAGCTGGGATTACAGGCTCCCACCACCACGCCTGGTTAGTTTTTGTTATTTTTAGTAGAGGCGGGGTTTCACCATGTTGGCCAGGCTGGTCTTGAACTCCTGACCTCAGGCGATCTGCCCGCCTCAGCCTCCCAAAGTGTTGAGATTACAGGCATGAGCGACAGCACCTGGCCCCTTCAATGTTTTTCTTAAAAATATGTTACCAGTTTCTATCACTGCCCATTTTCCACCTCCTTATTTTTTGTATAATGACCTTGAATTTTGACCCATTTCTTAAAAATTGGATTTTTATCATAATTTTTATACTCTTACCCTAAACCTATTAGTTTGATTTTTCAATAAGAAAAATCATGCTATTCATAGTATAGGTGAAATCTCATCTGAGGTTACCCACTTGAGTAGTATATTCATAGAAAAAGTATTTTGAGTCCTTAAGAGCCATGAAGAAAACAAAACTGAGGGGTCAGTTTTCTTTTGGCCATTGTCGAGTATTATACTTTTAACTTAGTATGAAATGTAGGAAATGTCCAGCATACTGGATACTTATTTCTCTGGAATCACTCTGGCTGTCTAATGGTGGTATTTGGTATTACTGCAGAAAGCACAGGTTTTGTTTTAGAAAGTCCTGGATTTGACTATCTTACTCATTTTATGAAGTTGTGCAGTGATGAACTCTGAGGTTCATGTACTTATATTACTTATAAAACATTTAAATTGTTAGGGTTGTTATGCCTAAACTTGATGATTTTATGTACCATCGCAATTTTGTTGAGAAGATAAATGCCAAAAAGCAAACCCTTGGAAAATTAGTTTACCTTTCTTTACCTTACCTTTGATAAAGGGAATGTTAAAGGGTAACTGATTTGAACTACAGATTTCTTTTCTACCACCTTTAAGGTCCTTTCCAGTATTATCTCTGTAAACAAAGTTAAAGAAAAATACATTTGAAAGAAAAGATTTGTTGTAACTAAACCAATTAAAGCTGGCTTCTAGGCCAGGGCTGGTGGCTCACACCTGTAATCCCAGAACTTTGGGAGGCCGAGGCGGGCGGATCACGAGGTCAAGAGATCAAAACCATCCTGGCCAACATACAAAATTACAAAATTTTTGTAATTTTGTACTAAAAATACAAAATACAAAAATTAGCTGGGTGTGGTGGCGTGCACCTGTAGTCCCAGCTACTTGGGAGGCTGAGGCAGGAGAATCGCTTGAACCCAGGAGGTGGAGGTTGCAGTGAGCCGAGATCACACCACTGCACTCCAGCGTAGATGACAGAGCGAGACTCCATCTCAAAACAAAAAACAAAAACAAACAACAACAAAAAAATGCTGACTTCTCAGGGCCAATGATGTTATTCTCTGAGATATATATATATTTTTTCCTTTCATGGATAAGTTGAGGACATTATCTTGATATCTCTTGATCTGATAACTAGAGTAATCTTTGAATATTGTTGTTAGTTATTATTAAAAACACTTATTAAGGTCCTTTATGGAAAGTGACCAGTTTCCTGCTTTTATATACATTCTTCTTTCTGTGGCCTGAAACATTATGTGGTCTTTGGTTATTTACTTTACAATTTAGTTATTCTGATAAATACTCTTACTTTAAAAATTTTATATCCAGAAGAATCTTTTTCTGCAGTCACAGAAGTAGTCTTGGTTGACCTGTTTTGGCTTTCTGTGTAATGTCTGTATTAGATACCAACTGATTGATATAAATGAGACTCTAAGGGGATAATAATAAGTGTTAAGGCCCAATCAACACCCTGAGGCTGTGAAAATGTTCACTACTATTTGTAGAAAGTTCATATATAATATGATATAAAAATTGCAAATTGAGTCCTGGCAATATCTAGTCTTATAAATGGATAGAGCAAGATGCACTTTTGAGTGAATGAATTCCTGTTTTAAAGTGGTTAAGGATTATATTTGCAAGTTCCAAGTTATCTGTATTCTACTAATTGTCCTATAGATGACATTGTTATAATTTGTTCACTCACATTGTTGCTTTCCACTAAGATCTGTTATTATTATCTTTAGGATTTTCTTATTTGTTAACATGATTGCTTAAGTGATTAATCAAACTAAATCAGATAACATAGAACTCAATGAATATAGCTCTTAACTTTGGATAACAGCTATTTTCCTCTTGAACTAATATCCAAATTTTTGATCTTTAAATGTTACAACTGCAGTAAGCATGGAATATTATTGAAATAAATTTAAATATAACTGTTTAATAAATTATTAATTATGGATGATTAATAAAATGTTTAGTGTGTTACTGAATGTTTCTTGAGAAAATTTTATATCAGTTTAAATAGTTTTGTAGCTTGTCAGCATTACAGAATTTTTTATTTTTTTATTGTGTCATTAAGTGTAGTGGTTAAGAACATAGGCCTGGAGTAAGATTTGAATTCATATTCTGATTGTGGTCTTTATTAGCTGTGTGAACTTAGGCAAATTACTGTAACCTCTTTGAAAAGGCTTCCATTTCTATAATAGTTTGCCAGCTGGTTTGGTCAGGAACACTGTATTGTCTTGTGTATAGGTGTATCCACAATGTCTGGTACCTTGTAGGTACTCACTAAATTTTTAATGAAATGAATGATAACTGCTTTGGATGATTGCCATGAAAATTAAATGATGATATGAATGTAAAGCAGCTAGTAATGTACATAGCTGACACTAACTGCTGTTATTATCAACAGTGACAGAAAATCTCCAGTCTAGCTAATACAAGAAATAGATTTTTCCTCAGACTCTCATCTCACATTCCCTTTTAAGATTTCCTTGTCCTATCCCCACCCCAGACGTTTCCATTTTGCTTTTATTTTCTATAATAATTCCTGGGGGCCTCTATTAAAGGCCTTTTTCTTTGACTACTTACATCCATTATACCAGTATCTTTGTCAGTAAAATTTTATATATCTTTTATTCTGTCATCAGGTTAAGAAACAATAATTGTATTTTTAAAGGAAAATATTTTACGATGCTACTAAGCAGTTACTTTGTCCACTTATGCAGGTATTTCATAAGTATGAAGTAGGGAGGTCAATATCTGTCTGACAGGAATCTGCTGAAGATTAATGTTATCTAGCAGAATGCTTGGCATATAGAAGGTACTCAAATAAGTGATGCTATCTATTAATAGCATTGATAGTAATACTTTAAAACACTCTTTTCTAGTATATCATATCTCCAAATTTAATATTTATTGTCTTTTACACTTATTTTACATACATTAATTCATTACTTTTTTTTTTTTTGAGATGGATTTTCACTCTTGTTGCCCAGGCTGGTGTGCAATGGCGTGATCTCGGCGCACTGCAACCTCCGCCTCCTGGGTTCAAGTGATTCTCCTGCTTTTGCCTCCTGAGTAGCTGGGATTACAGGCATGTACCACCACACCGGCTAATTTTGTATTTTAGTAGAGACGGGGTTTCACCATGTTTGCCAGGTTGGTCTCGAACTCCCGACCTCAGGTGATCCATCCACCTCGGCCTCCCAAAGTTCTGGTATTAAAGGCATGAGCCACCGCGCCCAGCCAGTTCATTAATTTTTAAAATAACTCTGAGGTAGGCACTATTATCCTCACTTTATATTTGAGGAAACCCTCAAAGAGACTAAGTAAATAACTTAAAGTCTTTCAACTAGTACGTGGCAGAATTATAATTAAAAACCTGTTTTTGCCACTATTGCATATTGTTAGAAGGCTGTTTCTTCTTGAGGCTGAGCTAAGAGAACATATATCCATCCTACGTAACTTACAGTTCCCATTGTCTGTTCATTTGCCTATATTCTACTCACATTTCCTGCTTTCCATTCTTACTTATTTCTGTCCAACTAGACCAAGAACATAATATTCTATACCCTGTCTCCCAAACTTCTAAGTCATGGATTTGTTTTAACCTCCTGCTATGCTCATTTAGCTAGGTATCATTTATGAATATTTTCTTCTCATTTTCGTACCCATTCTCAAGTCTAATTCATTGATGACTCAGTCACGTCAGTAGTTTCTCCATTACCATGGCAATACCTTCCTGAATATGAGAATAAACATATATCCTGACTTAATTCCTTTGGCTCACTCTGTGAATTCTTTACCACTTTTGAACACTGTAAATGTACCTTTGAGAACTTCTTTGTTGCCAGTTTGATTTAAAAACAAAACAAAAAAATGTTACTGACTGTTCCAGTTATCTGTTGCTGTGTAACAAACTACTCCCCATACTTAGTGTGGTTTTAAAATAACAGCCATTTTCCTATGTCTCACGATTTTGTGGGTCAGGAATTTAGGCAGGGCTTGGCTTTGTTCATGTGGTGGTGATGGAGGTTACTTGGAGGTATTCAGCTGGTAGATGGGCTGGCCAGAATAGTTCCAGATGGCTTTACCCATATAAGTGCCGCCTTGGTAGAGACAGCCAAAAGGCTCGATTCAGCGGAGACATCATGTGTAGCATCTGCATACAGCATCATCAGCATGGCTTTTTCATGGTCATGTGATATTTAACATAGTGGATCAGGGTTTCCAAAAAGTATTGTCAACATGCTTATTTGAAAGCTGTAAGATTTCTTATCACCTAGCCCCTTTCTGCTGCATTTTATTCACCATGCATGTCACAAAGGTCAGCCCAGATTCAAAGGAGAGGAATTAGCCATTACCTCAATATGAGGACTAGCAAATAATTTGTGGTTTTTATTTTTTATTTTTGTGGGTACATAGTAAGTATATATATTTATGGGGTATGTGAGATATTTTGGTATAGGCATGCCATGAGTACTAATCATGTGGTTTTTAATCTGCCACATTGAATTAAACCAATTATTTTAGATTGTGTAAATTCAAGTTGAAAAAAATTGGTAATAGGGCAAATGGTTTCATGTATTTTTTTACCGGGAACAAATTTAAACAGTTATTAGAATCAGAGCACCTATAATGGGAGTCAATTTTTCCTGAAGCTGAACCAAAATGTTTATTGGTTTGATTTGAAAGGAGAAGTTGGTTTTGTTGACGTTAGAACTATAAACACTTTTTCCTATAAATATGTATATTCTCCCTCTAATATTTGCTTTATGATTAACAGTGTACTATCATCTGCTTTTGTATCACGACTTGAGTTCAAGAGTTGTAGGTGTATGAGATCTGAGAAAAGAAAGAATCCTCCACTCCATTTCATTTAATGTTATATTCTCACCAATTTATATAACACTTACATATTATAAGTATTGTTTTCTCAAGGAGGATACAGGCATATTTTACTGAGAGGAGAAAAGAATATCAAGGCGGATTTTTGGTTTAAAATGTTATTCATATTCTAAACTTGTAGATCATTATAAGGATTTTGCCTTTGCTCTGAAAAAGTCATTGAAGGATTTCAAAAAGAGTGACATGATCCAACCTGTATTTTAATAGAATCTCTGATTGCTATGTTTAACTGCCAAGGAGTGCAAGAGTGAAAAAGACCAATTAAGAGTCTGGGAAGGGAGCATGGTGGCTTGGAAATGGTCGAATTTTGGATATATTTTGAAGGTAGAGACTCACGATCCAAAAGTTGTGTAAAAAAGATAGGAGTCAAGGATAATAAGATTTTTGGCCAAAGGAACTGGACAAATGAGTTGTCTTTAATCAAAATTAGGAGTATTGTAGAAGAAGCACGAAGAACAGTATAAGGAATTTATTTTGGAAGTAAGTTTGAGATGGTTGTTAGACATCCAAATGGAGATATCAAATAGGCAGTTGGATATACCAGTCTGGAGTTCAGGAGAGAGGTCCAGGCTGGAGTCTTTAATATATATAGTGTTTAAAATCCTTGAGACATGGAAATCACCAAGGGAGAATAAAGTGGTAAAGGAGACGGGTTTCGCCATGTTGGCCAGGCTAGTCTCAAAATCCTGGCCTCAGGTGATCCACCTGCCTCAGCCTCCCGAAGTAGATTACAGCCATGAGCCACCATGCCCGGCTGCAGTGATTTTTTTTTTTTAAATTTTCTACCACTTTCTTTCAATAAAACCATACTCGATGCACAAAAAGAGCAGGAAAGTCAGGAGACTGGGAAGCTTTGCAACTAACTTTGAATGTGTGGTCTTGAACACGTAATTTCATCTTTTTCTTATCTGTAAAACGAAGAGATTGGACTAGATTATTTGTAAGATGCCTTCCTACTTTAATATATCAGTGAATCTTTTCAAAACAGGGTAATTATATTGAATGTAACTGTCATCCTAGGGTAAGTGAAGTAGTCTTTAACTACATGCAGGTGACAGTTTGTAAGCTTGCTTAAAAACATGATTGCTTTGCCTATTCTTCTCAAGAAATTTTAGTCAAGTGCAAGTTAGAGCTAATTAATACAACCAAATCACAGTGTTTGTTTTTGCATTCCCAGAAATTGTTAGTACTGTATATGATCAGTATGTACAATAAATGTTTTTACTAACTAAAAAAATTTCTTAAGGAAAAATATATTGACCTAAGGAGAAATGTTTAGAGCTAGATAAAGGAGATTAATATCTCTAGATGCAATTTTACTTTACAACGTTATTGAGGTATGATCCGCTTAATATAAAGTTCACCTGTTTAAGTATACAATTTAATGGTTTCTAGTTTTAGAACCTTTTCATCAGTCCCCAAATTTTCCTCAAGCCTATTTGCAGTGAGTTCCCAACTCCCACAGCCCTCTCCAGTCCTGGCAACTACTGATCTGCTCTTTGTTTCTATAAATTTTTCTGGACATTTCATCTAAAAAGAATTATATGTAGTATTTTGCATCTGGCTTCTTTCACTTTGCATGTTTTGAGGTTCATTTATGACATAACGTATCAGTATTTTGTTCTTTTTTATTGCTGAATGGTAGTTCATTGTATTATGATATTTTGTTTGTCTATACACTAGTTGGTAGATACTTATATAATTTCCAGTTTTTTACTTTTATGAGTAATACTTTTTTGAGCATTCATGGAGAAATCTTTGTGTAGACATACGTTTTTATTTATCTTGGATACATTCCTAAGAATGGAATTGCTGGGTCATATGATAATTAACTTTTTAAGAAACAGCCAAACTGTATTCCAGTGTGGCTGTATCATTTTACATTTCTACCAGCAGTGTGTAAGGGTTCAAGTTTCTCTACATCTTCACCAACAGTTAATAGTGTCTTTTTTTATAACATTATGACAGTTTAATGGATGTGTCATGGTATCATTGTGGTTTCAGTGAGAATATACCTAATGACTAATGATACTGAGCACTTTTTTTTATATGTTTATAAGCCATTCACATGTGTTCTTTGGTGAAGTGATATTGAGCACTTTTTTTTGTATATTTATAAGCCATTCATATGTGTTCTTTGGTGAAGTGTCTTAAGTAAGTTCTTTGCCCATTTTCAAAGTTGTGTTATCTTCTTGTTCACTAGTGAGAGTTCATTTAAATTCTGAATACAAGAGCTTCATCAGATTTGTGATTTGGCAATATTTTCTCCCAGTCTATGGCTTGTCTTTTCATTTTCTTATTGATATCATTTGAACTATGAAAATTGTTAACTTTAATGAAATCCAGTTTATCAGTTTTATCTTTTATGGCTCATGTTTTTGTTATCTAAGAACTCTGCCTTGTTTTTGTCATCTAAGAACTCTGCCTGACCTAAGGTCACAGATGTTTTCTCCTATATTTTCCTTTAGATGGTTTATAGTTTAAGCTCATACATTTAGGTATTTGATCCATTTGAATTAATTTTTGTGTATGGTATAAGTTAATGGTCTGTTTTTAAATTTATTTTTGCATGTAAATGTCCAGTTATCTAAAAATCATTTGTTGACAAGACTGTCTTTTATTCCATTGAATTTTGTGGGCATCTTTGTGAAAAATCTAACATAAATACAAAGATTTATTTCTGGACTCTAGATTCTCTTCATTGATCAATCCGTATACCTGTCCTTATATTAATAGCACACAATCTTGATTACTGTAGCTTCATAGTAAGTTTTGAAATTGGGTAGTATAAGTTCTCCAACTTTTTTCTTCACTAAATTATTTTGGCTATTCTAGATCCTTTGTATTTTCCTATAAAGTTAGGATCAGCTTATTTCTATGGAAAAAAAACAGCTGGGATTTTGAAAAAGATTATGTTGAATCTATAGATCAATTTGAAGAGAATTACCATATTAACAATTTTGAGTCTTCTAATTTATGAGCATGGAATGTTTTAGATCTTTTTGGCTCAGCAGTGTCTTATAACAGTGTGCAAATACAAATCTTATACTGATTTTTAAAAATTTATTCCCAAATATTCTTCATGGTCCTAGTTTGAATGGAATTGTTTTCTTAATTTCATTTTTGCATTTTTGCTAGAATATAGAAATACAACTGATTTTTGTATGTTGATTTTCTATCTTGTGATCTAGCTGAGCTTTTTTTTGATTCTAGTTGTTCGTTGGTGGTTTCTTAGGATTTTCTACATACTGGACAGTGTCATCTGATAATGCAGTTTCATTTCTTCCTGTCTAATCTGAATGCATTTAATATCTTTTTAAGTTTTTTTCTTAAAATGTGTTACTTTTTGGTGTTTTGCTGTACTAACTAAAACCTACAGGACAATATTCAGTGGAAGGAATAAGAACAGGCATTTTTGTTTTTCTCCTGATAGGGAAGTTAGCTGTAGAATTTTCATAGATGCTCTTTATTAGGTTGAAGAAGAGCCTTTTTATTTCTAATTTTTGAGAGTTTTAAAAAATAGTGGTTGTTGGATTTTGTCAAGTGTTTTTCTGTGTCTTTCAAAATGGTCATGTAGCTTTAGTTGCTATTTCTATTAATAAGATGTTTTACATTAATTTATTTTTAGATGGTTAACCACCCTTGCATTCACAGGATAAATCCCATTTGGTCATAATGTGTAGTCATTTTTATATGTTGATGAATTTGGTTTGCCAGTTTTTAAAAAATAATTTTTGTATGTGTGTTCATGAGGGATATTGGTCTGTAGTTTTCTTGCATTGTCTCTGTCTGGCTTTGGTGATACCAGACTCAGCTGGGAAATATTCTCTAGTTTATAAAACAGTTTATAAAAGTTTGCTATTCTTTCTTATATATTTCATAAAAATCATTGGTGAGATCGTCTGTGCCTAGGCTTTCTTAGTGTGAAGATTTTTAATAAGTAGTTCAGTTTTCTTATTTGTTAGGGATCTATTCAGAGTTTCTATTTCTTGTTGAGTCTGTTCTGGTAATTTGTCTTTTGAAGAATTTCCTTTTTTTTTAATATAAGTTGTGTAATTTGTTGGCTTAAAGTTAATATTCCCTTTTAATTCTTTCTTTTTTTATTTTTTTGAAAAGGAGTCTCACTCTGTCACCCAGGCTGGAGTGCAGTGGTGTGATCTCGGCTCACTGCAGCCTCTGCCTCCTAGGCTCAAGTGATCTTCCCACCTAACCCTCCTGAGAAACTAAGACCACAGGTGCATGCCACCATGCCTGGCTAATTTTTGTATTTTCTATAGAGACGAGGTTTTTCCTTGTTGCCCAGGTTGCTCTCGAACTCCTGGACTCAAATGATCTGCCCACCTTGGCCTGGAAAGTGCTGGGATTATAGGCATGAGCCATCACACCGGGCCTTCCCTTTTAATTTCTAAAGTATTGGTAGTGATTTCCTCTCCTTCATTTCTGATTTTGGTAATTTGTGTCTGTTCTCTCTTACTTTCCTGATCATTCTATTTAAGACATTGTCAATTTTGTTGATTATTTTTTAAGAACTAATTTTTGAATTCATTCGTATGTCTCTGGTTTTTTTTTTTTTTGTTTATTTTTACTTTTATCTTTATTTTTTTCTTCTTCCTGTTTTTGATTTTGTTTACACTTTTTCTAGTTTCTTAAGGTATGGAAGCATAAATACTGATTCGAGGCTGTTCTTTCTAATATGGGCATTTAAAGCTATAAATATTCCTATAAAACTGCTTTAGCTGTATCCCATGAAGTTTAATATGTTGTGATTTCATTTTCATGCAGTTTTAAGTATTTAATTTCTCTCATGATTTCTTCTTTGACCCATTGATTTTCTCAGATTTCTTTCGGTTATGGGTTTTAATTTTATTCTTTTGTTGTCAGGGAACACCCTTTATATGATTTGTTGTAAATTTAATGAGATTTATTTCATGGTCCAGCATGTGATCAATTTTGGAGAATGTTCTTGTATGCTTAAAAGGCATTGAGTATTCTGTGGTCTTTGGGTGGAGTGTTCTGTAAACTTAAGTTAGGTCATTTTGGCTGATAGTGTTGCTGAAGTTTTTTACATCATTGTTAATTTTCTCTCTAGTTATATTTATCATTCAGTTCTGTCGGTTTGTGCTTCATATATGTGGCAACTTCGTTGTTAGGTATGAATACATGTATAAACGTTATATCTTCCTTATGTACTGACTCTATCATTATGAAATATCCCTCTTTTTCTTTATTACTATTTATCTTCAAGTCTGTTTCATCTGCTGTTAATAGCCATTCCAGCTTTTTTATTGTTTCTGTTTGTATGGAGTATATTTTCTATTATTTTACTTTCAACCTATTTGTATCTTTGAATCAAAGAGTGTCTTTTGTAGAAGTATATAATTGGGTCTTGTTATTTGAACCAATATGATAGTTTTTGGCTTTTGATTGTCATATTTAGCCTATTCCCATTTAATGTGATTTTTGATATGGGTGAATTTACTTATGCCATTCTTCCTTTACTGCCTTCTTTTGTGTTAAATATTCTTTTAGTGTACTATTTAAATTCCTCTGCTGTTTTTTTTTTTTTTTTTTTTTTTTTAAAGAACAGGATCTCATTCTGTTGCCCAGGCTGAAGTGTATTGGCTATTCACAACTGCCATCATAGCATACTACAGACTCACACTCTCTGCTCAAGTGATCCTTTCACTTCAGCCTTGTGAGTAGCTGGGAGTACAGGCATATAGGAGTACATTGGAGTACAGGTGTACGCTACTGCATGCAGCTCTCTTGATTTTTTTTAAAACAACTTTTTAGAGTTATTTCCTTGGAGGTTACTGTAGGGATTACAATATGCTTCTTAATTTATCACAATCTACTTGTATAGTTAAATTTTTATTCCAGTATAGTAGTAGAAAAACTCTTCCTTTAATAAAGTTTAAAGTAGATAAGTTTTTAAAAACATACTGTTTTTTAAAAATGTACTGTTTTTAAAATCCTAATTTTTATACTTAGTTATTTTTAGCAGTGTCATATTGAATTCTGTTACGAGTTTCATGGTTACTTATAATAACCAGTTTCCTCATTACATAGTAGAATGGTATTTTTCCAATTTGAACTCTTAATTTTAAATTTTCTTCTACCTTTAAAATTCTGTGATTCTGTTTGGTCAAAAGGGTCTGTGGAAATAATACTTGATATGTTTATATAGTGGTTATTCAAAACTTACTCATATATTATTTGCTGACATCTGATGAGATATAGTTCTAGAGACATTTTTTATTTCTGGACTTTAGTCTTGGATGGATGAAAATTTGATCCGATTTCAGGAAAGAAAAGGATTATAAATTAGAATCCATAACATGGTAAAAGAAGTTTGTTTTTAATGTCAATCTAATGGTAATTTTTGATCATTTAATTTTTTAATTTAATTAAATCTAAGGCTGAGCAGATTTTTCTGTATGGTTTCAGACACCAGTAGTGAAAATTACCCAATTCCATTTAATTCGGTAGCAGTAAGATACCAGTTGGCTTTTATTGATTAATCTTCCTTGCTCCTTCATCAACTATACCATATTTATATTTTATAAGTAAAAAGTTACTCATATTGCTAGCTTTTTGTGGATCTGTTTTGGATTTTATTCTCAATTTTCCCAAGGATTTTTACATTTTCAGTCCATGTAAAACTTCAACTCTTATTTTTCTTAATAAGAGTATGGGGGGGTGGGCAGTTTCTATAATTAACTGATAGGTCTCTGTTAAAATGAGGTTCTCTTTCTAATAAAAAACAAATGTGACGTGGCTAATGTAAGTTTAACATGTAAAGATCATGGTATTAAGATCACTTGATTTATGTTTGTATATGACCACCTGGTGTCATCATTTTAACTACATGAACTTGCTCAGCATCCAGATTTCACACTCTTTAACTTAGTGTTTGATTGTGTAAGACGTTGTGTTTTTTATCTAATACATTCTCTAGCAGTGTTATATTTTATTTCAACCTGGTAACCATATGACCAGCATTGTGCTAGGTATTATGGAAAGATTTCAAAAATTAATTTTTAAAAATTAATGAGACAAGATTCTGTACCTAAGGTGCCAGTGAAATGATTTGATAGAATGTAATTATGCATGACTGGATGCTGACTTTGTGTGCATCTAATACAGAAATTCATTAAAGGAAAAGATTGTAAAGTAAAATGGTAGGTAGAGGATGGTTTCCAGGAAGAGTTGGAACTTGAAGGATGGTAAGTGAAATGATAGAGGAATAGAGGATAGATAGATTTTTGTCTAGGTGTCATGATAAAATAGTAACATAGACAGTCCTTGATTTACAGTGGGTCAACTTTACAGTTTAGATTACTAATGAATGGGAGCAATGGTAGAAATTATAAGATTACAGATAGTGGCTTTTCATTTTAGAAATATTTGAGCACTAACATTTTAAGGGGAAATGATTGTCACATTGACACATTCATACATTGGTACTGTAAGAATTTGTAGTGCCAAAAAAGAATCATGAATGAATTCCCACATAATGAAGCTATGAAGAACTTTCAGAGGCCATGGAAATAAATGAATTTTTGAAGAGCTATAGGTAGACCTAAGTAGCTAGAGTTAAGAAATTATCAAAGATAATGAACCACTGGAGAAAGTGGAGTCAGTAGAGTCAATCTAAGGTACAAGAAAGAAGATTGAGTCACAGAAACCAAAGAATGAGTTACCAGATAGAAGGACTCACACTCACCATGCGCGTTGAATGTTGCAATACTGTTTCTCTTCTCTTCAGTGTCCCTCTTTTCCTCCTTGTAGCTTAAATTCAAAGGTCATTTAATCATTTCCTTGCATACAAATACCTTCAGTTCCTTCGCTCCTCTCTGTTTTGGCAAAACCACAGCTTTGGTTAAATCTCACCCTTGCAGCTAAGTGGGACTGGAAAATAATTCAAAAAACATAATGACTGGTCTCACTTTAAAGGCAGTGGGCTCTTAATGTTACCCAGCAATTGTACCACACTTCTTTGATCCATTCACTCTCCTAGATGATTGTTTCATTCTTTTTCCTCTCCTGAAAACCTCCAACATCTCTTCTTCATCAAGGCAATCAGAAAAGTTTTCACAAGTACCTGACATCACATTTGTCCTCCTATTCTTTGTTAAACCTACTCTAAACAGGTTTCTGCTCTTCTGTCCCACCGTTTTCAAAATGGGTCTTCTCTAAGTCACCAGTAACTTGCATCAAGTCTAGTGATCAGTTCTCAGACTTCAAGATTCAGTGACCAGTTGATGACTCCTTTGGTATTGAGGGCTCTCTTCGTTGTGCTTCTAAGGTACCATATTGTATTAGAATTGCTGTATCAATACCAGTGCCAACACAGAACACACAATATCCAAGGTTTCTTTTCAGTTCTTTTTGTTCTTAGAATATATTCCAGTATATTAGTTTCCTAGGACTGCTATAACAACTTATAATACCATAAAGCTGGTGACTTAAAACAACAGAGATTTATTCTCTCACAGTTCAAGGGGCCAGAAGTCCAAACCAAAATGTCAGCATGCCTATTCACCTTCCAAAGGCTCTAGGAAAGAGTCTTTCCTTGCCTCTTCCAGCTATGGTAGTGGCTCCAGGGATTCCTTAACTTGTGGCTACCTAAAACCCCAGTCTCTGACTCTATCCCTACATGGCTCCCTTTGTGTGTCTGTCTCTTTCTTCTATCTTATATAAGGATGTGTGTCATTAGATTTAGGGACCATCCAAAATGATCTCATCTTGAGATCCTTTATTACATTGGCAAAGACGCTTTTTCCAAATAAGGTGACATTTATGGGCTCCCAGTGGACTTATTTGCAGGGGGTTGAGGGTTTCACATTTCAATAAACTATTCAGTAATTGCATAGTTATAGTCCTGTCATCAAAGTTACTTGAATTAAATTTTTCTGTGTGATTATGGTATTATTTGATATATAGTTGGGTTTGTTTGTTGCTGTTTGTGTTCAGTTTTAGGATTTGCTTTTTCATCCAATAATCATAATACTGATTTTTGAGTATATATAACATACACAGTCATGCACCATATGATGACATTTGGTCAACAACAGACCATAATGACCTACAGGTCCTACAGGATTTTAATACCATATTTTTACTGTACCTTTTCTATGTTTAGATACACAAATACTGTTGTGTTACAGTTGGCTACGTATACAGTACAATAACATGCTGTATAGGTTTGTAGCCTAGGAGCAATAGGCTATACCAGTAGCAATAGGTGCGTAGTAGGCTATAACATCTAGGTTTGTGTAGGTACATTCTGTTATATTTGCACAGTGATGAAATTGCCTAATGGTACATTTCTCAGAACGTTTGTCCCTGTCATTATGTGACCCATAACTGTGTGTAGCTCAGAGGTCAAAGTTATATTAGGAGGATATGCCCAGAATTCTCACTACCATCCCATTTTACCTTCCTTGTGGATAACCATTTCATGACTACTTTCAAGTTTATCTTGACCTAACAAGTAAGTCTGATTGATTAACCTCATCTTAATCATGGGACAAAAACAAGCAGACTCCTCAAAGTTCCATATTTAAAATGGTGATAACGAGACTTAACTCATTGGATTATATTGAAGATTAAATGGAAAAAAAAAAAAGTAAAACAACTAGCACAGTGCCTGGCACATAGTAGATATAATTTCCTTTTTTCCCTTCTGTACCTCATAATATAGGCTATGTATTGCCTACAATTAGGGAGGCTAATCAGTTTGTTCACATATAGCCTTTTCTTTCTATAAAGGAGAATTTGTGATATATTAAACAGGCATTATAAAATATTACCCAGAAGTTTTATCAATTTTTTGGCTTTCAGCTCCTGAAACTATAGATAGCATTTATCTATAGTTAGTAGCACTAGTTTTAAAATTTGGAATCTTGGTCCTCTCATTCATTTATGTATTACAGCAGAGTCAGACTTATTTTAAAAACAATTCTAACCTGCCTGAGGCTTCTGTCTAGAAGTGGAATGTATTTTGGGTAAGCTTCTTAAACTTCATAAAATCACCTTCTCATTTATTCCTTGCCTTAATTAATAAAACATGTACTTCTGCTCTTAATGACCTTCAGCCATATACTCTTGACATTCTAAATTTTTCTAACACCCAATTTTGAGAAAATGTATTAATAGAGGACTGACTAAAGGTTGGCATTCTCTGCATTCCTCTGAATATTTCAAATTTTACTTTTAGGTTAAACCATACCGTTGGAGATCTGTGTGCATGGATTGCATGATTTTGACCTCTTGTTAACTTTGCATTTGCTGGATTGTACTTTCAGGATGTGATTTTTTTTTTTCCCAAGAAAAGAGAAGAAAAGGAGAAGTTGCCTAAAACAGATCTTTAGTTTTTTTAGGAATGCTATTAAGGACCTTCTCCATTATGTCATCCAACGTCTTTCTGAGGACTTACTAGTGAAATTACTCTCAGATTTCTGCATCTTGGAAATGCTGTACTTCTGAACAACTACTAATTCACTTTTATTTTATACACATATTTTCTTCTTTGCCTTACTAACAAGGAGACTTAAGCCTTATTTTAGGACCAACTCTTGGAGTTTGGAGAACAATGTGTGTTTCTGTGTGCCATTTTTATTTTCGATATCAAAATGTATTGTTTGCCCTGAATCTTTCCCCTGTTTATTTTTAGTCATATGTATGCATCAGAATTATCTGAAGCACTTATTAAATACCAGCTCCCATCCCTGAAAACCTTGGGTTCAGCGGGTATAATAGATTGCATTAATAGCACCGGTTGTTTGCCATGTGACCACACCATTTACCCCCTGCTCCTAAAGGGGCAGATTATATTTCCTTGCCCCCTGACTTTGGATTTGCTCATAGGACTTACTTTGGTTTTAGTGGGCGTGACATGACCAAAGGCTTGAATAGCACTGGCAGGATTAGGCTTGTACTTTTGTGCCTCTATTGTCTCCAAAAGACCATGTCCAGCCTGGCCCACTGGTTCCGGGAGAAGGGTTGAGAGACTGTAGTTTTAGGCCAGTACGTATTGAAGTATTTAGGGGAATGAACTTTGATGTTGTCACCTCTTAAATGGTTCAGGGAGGCACACACCACACACACACACACACCCCCGACCACCACCACCACACCACGAGTGAGAAAGGGAAAGACGAGGAAAGAGTGTGATTATTTAAGCAGATGGAGCAAAATGTAAGCAACTGGTGAATCTGGTTAAAGATTATGGTAGTTTCTTGACTAATTATGTAATTTTTTGAGTTTGAAATTATATCAAAAGTAAATGTTATCTCTTCCACCTAAAAATGTAAAAACATTTAAAACCTTAAGAAAATTGTTCTGCAAAGTTTCTAAATCAGCTAGTTTGAACATTAAACTTTGTTCAGTGATAAAAATCTATACTAATGAACTAGGTACTGTCCAGAATACACAGACTATTACTGTTTTTTAAAATTTTTAATTTTGAAATAATGTAAATCCATAGGAAGTTGGGAAAAAGTATACAAGGAGGTCGTCACCCAGCTTCTCACAATAATACAATTTTACATAACTGTATTACAGCTTCAAAACCAGGAAACTGACGTTGATACAATCCGGGAGCTTGTTCATATTTAACCAGCTGGATATGTACTGTTGTGTGCGTGTACAGCAGGTGTGTGTGTGTACAGTTGTGTGTACATATAGTTATGTGTAACAGTACCACACTCAACTTACTATTCTATCACTGTAAACACTACTTCAGGTGGTATCTCTTCATAACCACACCTGCGCTCTTGTTGTTTGTTTTTTTCACAGGGTCTTGCTCTGTCACCCAGGCTGGAATACAGTAGTGTAGTCATAGCTTATTGCACCCTCAACCTCCCTGGCTCAAGTGATCCTTACACCTCAGCCTCCCAAATAGCTGGGACTACAGGTGCATACCACCACACTTGACTAATTTTTGTATTTTTTGTAGAGATGGGCTTTTGCCATATTGCCCAGACTATTCTTGAACTCTTGGGCTCAAACTATCCATCTGCCTCGGCCTCCTGAAGTTGGTATTACAGGCTTGAGCCACTGCGTCTGGCCCACTTGGGAGTTTTCAGCCCCTGGCAACCACTAATCTTTTCACCATCTCTACAATGTTATTATTTCAAGAATGTTACAAAAATGGAATCATGTAGTTTGTAGGCTTTTGAAATTGGTATTTTTTCTACTTAGTGTAATTTCCTTTATATCATCCAAGTTGATGTTTTTACCAATAGTTTTTCCCTTTTATTGTTCTGGCAGTCTGTAGTATGGCTCTACCATCGTTGGTTTAACCATTCTGCATTGAAGGACATTTGTTTCCAGCTTTTCGCTATTATGAAATTGTCTTAGTCCATTTTGTGCTGCTATAACAGAATATCTGAGACTGGGTAATTTATAAAAAACAGAGATTTATTTCTTATAGTTCTGGAGTCTGGAAAGTTCAAGATTGAGGGGCCCACATCTGACGAGGACCTTCTTGCTGTGTCATCCCATCATGGAAAGTGGAGGAGCAAGAGAGCACAAGACATTAGTGGGGAGAAATAGAAGGGGACAGAACTCTTCTTTTTATCAGGAACCCACTCCTGAGACAACAACATTAATCCATTTATGAGGGCAGAGTCCTTGTGAACTAATCACCTCTTAAAGGTCCCATCTCTCAACACTGTTGTATTGGGGATTAAGTTTCCAACAAATGAACTTTGGGGGACACGGTCAAACCATAGCACGAATAAAGCAGCTATGAACATTCATTTGCAGGTTTTTGCATGAACACAGTTTTCATTTCATAAATACCCAAGAATGTACAATTGCCCTTTTACTTAGCATTTAGATTTTTCCTTTAAAGTTTATTCTGAGGCAATTGTTTTCATACTCTGTTTGTGAGAAACTATTGTTCTTTCCAAGGCCTTAAAGCTATGACTAATTCTGTAAACACAGTTATTGTAATTTCAGGTTAATATTTTTAAGGAGTATATACAGCCTTGTGTGAAAAGAGAGAAATGGATTCAAAACTAAGCAATTTTTAAGTGTGCCATGTTTATTAACTAAGATATGTATGTAAATAACCAGTAGATTATTTTTTGAAGTAGCATGAGTCAAAATAAATCAAATTGAGAGCCCCTTCAGCTTGTCTGTCAGGTCAGGAATGAACTAATTTGTACGTACCTTTTCTCCCTCATCTTGTGTCAGTCCTTCACTATGTACCAGTTACATAATCTTCTTTCCTTAGCTAGGCTCTGTCCTTCTTCAGGGACTTGAGCATGTTAATCATTATGGATCCTCATTTCTTCTTCCGCCTTTGCCTGTTTAACTCTTACTTATGAGATTTCCTTAATGAGACATTTCCTCCCTCCCCAAACGTAAGTTTAGTTACCTTCTTTTTTTCTCTTGCAGCACTTTGTTTTGTTTTGTTTTTCATATAAAAAACAGCTAGGACTCTGGAATGTTAAGAGTGGGGATTCTGGAATCAGACTTGGGCAAGTTACTTAATCTTTATGTGCCTCTGTAATTATTGTCTTAAAATGAACATAAAAGTAGTACCTAATTCATAAGATAAGGATTAAATGAATTAAAATATATAAATCCCTTAGATAACAATGCTAGGCATATGTTAAGCACTATGTTAGTATCATCAAATGTTGTTGTTACTGTTATGGAATTTATCACAAATATGTAATTATATGTTTCGTAGTGATTATTCATCACCCCTACTGGACTCTAAGGTCTGTGAGGATATGTCTATTTGGTTTACCACTGTATCCTCAACAACTGCTGGTTGTCCCTATTGTAGGTGTTAGGTATTAAGTGCATGATAGTGAATACATAAAGGTTTACTTTTTTAAAAAAATTCAGGAAACCAGATAATCAAAAAGAAAGAAATTAATCACTTAATAAGTTTCATCTCCCAGGGATAAGAAAACATAGGTAAAGAGAGATTAAACTACTCCTTCAAGTTCAGGCAATTCAGTATTCTAATTGAAAGTGTTGTGTTTCCTTTTTAAGTCTAGTTTTGCTTTTGTGTTTATATGTCATAATTAATTGTGTTAAAACATAATTTTAGAAACCGATCTTTCTATATCCCTCTTTTCTATACCCCCCAATTTTACTTCACTTTCTTAAACAACAATAAAAGTCTCCTGTAACATAAGAAAGCTTTTCTTCCTAATTATCTTCTTTAGGTACTTTAAAAAAAATCAATCAGCTATCACATGTTATGGACAAGGGGAATCACTATTGAGTTAATATCCTAAGACGTTCAAAACCCAGAACCAAAAAAAAAAAAAAAACCACCAAAAATGCTGTTTGGAGAGTTTCAGGTTTAATTAAAGAGTTTGTTCAGGTGTTTTTGCTGTTTGGAATCATTATCTGAGAAATTATGCTATAACACATGGTCATTTGATTCTGTTTCCATTAGCCTTCTACTCTGGGATATATGGCTACTACATTTTCTTTTTAATAATCTGTGTTTCACAGTAAGTTTACTTTTGTGGAACTCTATTATTAAATAAATCAGAAATCTCACTTAAAATTTAAAAAATTATTTTTCTAATGAAAAATTGATATTACAGAACTAAATTTTTAAAAGTTTATGTACAGAAAGGATATAGTATTTGATGTTATCAAAACTTACATGTTATGATTAGTTCATTGACCATGAGTATATTAATTTAGAAAAAAATACATCCCTAATTTACATCATCCTTAATTTGTATACTTGTCATGTAGTGCAGGGGTCCAGTGGAAATCATAGAAAGGTTGCTGTAGGTAATGAGTCACAAGTCACTTTTCTCCATTGATAGCTTCTTTTTCTGTAAATCGAACTATTTAAAATAATTTAAAAACTTAGATCCTTAGTAAAAAGCTGTTTTTTATTGGTCTAAGTTGACTTTTTAAAAATTTATTTTCCCTGGCCAGGTGCAGTGGCTCATGCCTATAATCCCAGCTCTTTGGGAGGCGGAGTGGGGCGGATCACCTCAGGTCAGGAGTTTGAGACCAGCCTGGCCAACATGGTAAAGCCCGTCTCTACTAAAAATACAAAAATTAGCCAGGTGGGGTGGTGAATGCCTGTAATCCGAGCTACTCAGGAGACTGAGGCACAAGAATGGCTTGAACCCAGGAGTCGGAGGTTGCAGTGAGCTAAGATCGTGCCACTGCATGCCAGCCTGGGTGACAGAGTGAGACTCTGTCTTTAAAAAAAAAAAAAAAAAAAAAAAAAGGCCAGGTGCGGTGGCTAACGCCTTGAAATCCAGCACTTTGGGAGGCCAAAGCAGGCAGATCACTTGAGGTCAGGAGTTCGAGACCAGTCTGGCCAAGATGGTGAAACCCCATCTCTACTAAAAATAAAAAAATTAGCTGGGGGGTGGTGGTGCACACCTGTAGCCCCAGCTACTTGGGGGGCTGAGGCACGAGAATCACATGAACCTTGGAGGCAGAGGCTGTAATGAGCCGAGATCGCACCACTGCACTTCAGCCTGGGTGACAGACTCTGTCTCAAAAAAAAAAAAAAAAATTATCCTCCCTAAAAAGCTATTCCAGTATCTTTTTTCACATTCATTAGTTATATTATTTAGTGGTTATATTTGGTTCTCTTGAACTGTTTTCTGAGTTTTTGAAACCAATTGCACAAATACAGCGCAAGGGAAACATGGTTTAGCAGTAGTAGGACTGAAAAAAAGTTTTAATTCTTGCTAACCTCACTGTGAGACTGTAGTATTTTGTACCTAACAAAAAATTTTCCGCAGTAATCTTTAGTTAAAAAAAAACCCTTCTATTACAGAAAACTATATAGTTGTTATATTGTAACTTCAAATTTTTGTTGTATTTTTTATTGTCATATTGTTTTTTCTCAAATATTTTCAGTCCACAATTTGTTGAATCCATGGATGTGGAACCTGTGAATACGGAAGGCCAACTGTACAAAAAAGATCCCAGAATTAATAAGTAAGGTTTAGTAAGCTTTCGGGATACAGAATTAATATACAATATTCTATTGTATTTCTGCATCCTAACAATTAACAATTGGAAATCAAAAATTTGTCAATTATAATAACATCAAAAATGTGAACTACTTAGGAATGAATCTGAAAAAGTATGTGAAAGCACCGTAGACCAAAAACTAGTAAACATTGCTGAGTGAAATTAAAGAATATCTAAATTAGTGGAGACATATAAATTGTTTGTAGATCATAATGCTCAATATGGTTATCAGTTCTCAAATTGTTACATAGATTGAATGCTATATCTATCATATTCCAAGCAGCTTTGTAGAAACTGACAAGATGATTCTAAAATCCATATGTAACTATAAAAAAAAAACCCTAGCATCAGAACAGTTTGGGAAGAGGGAATAAATTTGTACTAAAGCAGAGATATTGATTAGATAATTGGATATGAGTCTAGTATATGGGAGAAAAGTCAGATTTAGAGATACAAATTTGGGAGCCAGAAGCACAGAAGCACTATTTTAAAATCATGCCACTGAATGAGTTCAACAGTAGAGTACGGAGAGGAAGATAAAAAGAACCAGAAGAGGATCCTGGAGTGGCCAGTTTAGTCAGCAGAAAAACTAGGAGAATGTGTTGTTCTGGAAGACAAAGAATTATTCAAGGAGGAGAGAATGATCAACTTTGTTGATTTCTAGGTCAAATCATATGAGGTGAGAGGCTTGCCCACTGAATCTAGCAATTTTAATGTAATTGCTAACTGTGGCAAGATATTTGGTGGAATGGAGAATAAAAACACATATGGTTGTGGGTTCCAAGAGAAAGTAGGAGAAGAATTAGGGATGAATATAAACAACTGAGGGAATTTTGCTGTGAAAGGGAACAGAAAAATTAAGCCATTGTTGGAGAGAGATCATAGGGGTCAAGATAAATGGTGGGGTTTTTTTGTGTTTTGTTTTTATTGGAAGTAGGGACAATTATTTGCATATATATGTTTTATGCTGATTGGAATTATTCAATATGTGGAAAAATTGATGATGCAGGAGAGAGGAGAATTGCTGAAACGGTATTTTTGAATGAGTTAGAGCAGGATAGAGATCAGTATGCAGATGACACATAAGTGATCCATGATTTTTTGCATCTCTTCCACGTATACCTTTTCTTGATTGCTCTTTCATGTGCTTTATTAATGATCTTACCTATTGGGAGAGTTTCCTAAAGTATCTGAAGCATATTCCATGTTTTCGTACTAGATTGTCTTGAAGAACTGAAGATCAAAAATCAAAGTAGCCAGAGTTTCTTGAAAAGATTCTTAAGGCAGCCAGATTCCAAATGGCTAACAGAACCAAAATGGCAAAGACTATTACATACTTTTATAATTTAATATTAATATAGAAGTCTTGTTCACAAATTTTTCTTATATTTCACATGTACATCTCAAAAAGTTTCCATTTCAGTATTTAAACAAAAAACCACACACTTCAGGATCTTTTGCTTTCTAATATTGTTGAATAATCAATTCAGAAGAATCTGGCCAATCTTTGATGTGCTAGTAAAAAAAAAACCAAAGCTGAATTTTTAATTTTCTCACTTATTTACATAAGTTGAAAGTGTGCCCTCTTGTGGACTATTCAGTAATTTTCACATAAAAGCCTTTTCCTTGTATATTGCAGACTAAATTAATTGTATATCATCACATATGTTTTGGTCAAACGTTGAGATCTAGATCTTAATGTTAAGTTCTTTAAAACCTAAACCTCATTTGGAAATAAACAGTCATTGTTTGATTTTGCATTTCTAATACAATTGTGTATGAAACAGTCTTTTAACAGTTTCAACCTATATAAGGGACTTGGAGACAGGCTATTTCTTTTGCAATATAAAAGAAGATGAGAAATAAATTTTGTTTTGGTGTGTTGGGAGTGGACTAGGAATCCAAACAATTCATAGACGCGCTTGGAAATTTCCTCCGTAGCCTCTATGTAAAAATAAATTTTTAATAATCAAATTCCAGGACACAGGACTATTTTTTTCCTGAGGTAGTTTGTAGTTTTGTGTAGTTTGGTACAATTAAACTTTGCATAACTAACTACAGGCCTCTGCAAATCCATTTAACTGTATAACAAACTGGGACTATTTAAAGTTATGTGAAGTTTTATTAAAGTCAGTTCATAGATGTGTATAGTTTTGCTTATTGTTTTATTTCTCAGCAAACATACACATATTTTATAAACTGCTTTTGAGAAACCCTAAATCTCAACTTTATTTACTTAGTGGTAACTTTTCTTTCTCTGCATAATAGTACTCAGTAGTGTAAATATATCCTTCTAATACACGTTATAAATATGTGATATAGCTACACTATTGGGACACGCATATACATTATTGGTATCCAGCGGTGGCTGCAGAGAGCTCAGGGTTCCAGAAGCAAAGCAAGTGTCTGAAGAGAGTTTTAGAACTTTGCTTTATTTTGCATTTTAAAAATTTATTGGAAGTAATTTGAAACTTTAGAAAAGCAGAAATGTTTTAAAGAAAGTGAGAATTTTTACAGTGCAGCTTATTGGGAACTTTTTGTTTTTGAGGTAGGATTTGAGGAAGATCCTTTCAGAAGTATCTTAAATAGCATGTGAAAAATCTGTTCTTGAATAGCAGGCAGGGAAAAGGAATCTGAAGGTGGCTTGACTGAAGTGAAAGGATTCTGCTGGAGAGGTGCCACTCTCTAGGGACTCACTGACCTATTTAAAATAGTAAGTAGTACCACATAGATTTATTTATTTATTTACTTAACCTGTGTAGCTATTTAGCATTTATATCCCACCTATTTCCTAAAAGGATTTTAGGTGTTTTATAATGTTAAATGTAATATAAACCAGGACAATAAAAATATACTAGTTTAAACTTTTTAAAAAATTCTTTAATGTGAGAAGGCTGAGCAAAGGGCAAGGAGAACCTTTTCATTCTCCCCCCAGAAATCTTGCTCCTCTTTTACTAAAGCTTTCAATCATCTCTCCAAGTGGTGGCAGGGCAATTCTAAGGTCTGACCTTAGTTCTTAGCATAGTATGTTAACAGATTTACCCTTAGTTTTCTGGCCCACCAAGACTCCAGCAGACTTTCTGTTGCCCAACAGGCTGGGCTGCAGCCACACTATAACAAGGTCTGAATCTCAGCCTTGTGAGATGAGTATGCTTTTCCAAATTCTTATTTTCCTCAGATATTTTCCTCCCTTAAACATGTGGATGGTAGCTGTTTCCTGTATTTGCCATTCCTGTATTTTGTAGAATCCTTTTTATACCTTCTAGTTAACCATTTTTTTACTACTTAATAATTCTATATATTAAATTTTTCTTGCTCAAAAACAGTGTGTGTGTGTGTATATATATGCATGTGTCTGTGTGTGTGTATATGTATATATATACACACACATATATGTACTTAGTTTTAAGCCTTTCCCCCACCACCAAAAAAATTAACATTAGCAAAGGTGTTAATTAGCTAAATATTCCACATATATGAAATTTCAGTTTATTCAAAATAATGTTATAATCACACAAGGTGACAATATAGTTTAAAGAATACTGACCTAGAGATCAAACACTTATATTCTAGTCTTGGCTAGTGAATTACTAGCTCAGAGACCTTGAACAGACACTTATGTTCTTTGAAGAACTTTTACTGTTTGCTGTAGGTTTATCTTTTTTCCATAGCAGTGTAGATGTTTCTCAGTTTTATGTCCTTTAGGCAAACATAAGAATATAAGATTTGATTAGAAACACCTGAGTTCAAATCCTATTTCTGCTGCATGCTGCCTGTTTAGCTGTAGAGAGAGTATTTACGCCCTGAAACTTAATTTTTGCATCTGTGAAATAGTGATAATCTTTACAATCCTTTGATATTGGAATGATTAAGGAAAGGAATATATAAATATCTGACACATAAGAAGTGCCAAAAAAAATTTCCCCTACAGCATTACTTTATTTCTTGCCTATCTGATCTATTATAATGTAACTGTTATCAACCCTCAATAAGTGGCTTCCATAACTATAGCTATAGTTCAGACTACTTTTGTCAGATTGTGAATTTCCAACTTCCTGCTTTAGACATCTCCAACTAGATATTACACTGGCATTTTAATCTGAACAAGTCCAAAATCACACCATGGTTACATGTAAGTACTGCAGTATTCTAACAGAACTTTCTGCTTCCATCCTCTGTCTCTTTCTCCCCCACCCTATCTTCCTTATCACTATTAAATTAGTCTTAACTGAAAGCTTAAGGATGTGGAAAAAGATATCAACATTATGTAAGAAACTCCCTTGCAGGCTCCAATTGACTTTTCTGGCCATATGCTCTGTCTAAAGTGTTTATGAATATACCTTGCATATTATATTAGTCTTTAGCACCTAGCTCAGTATACTTCATAGAAGATGCTTAACATAGGTAATTATTTAAATATTCAGAGAAATCTATGTACATATAGCAGCAACAGGAGACTTACTAATTTTTTTATTTTATCATAGTTTATATTAGTATTTTCCTGAATCATAAAGTAATATTCTAATCATAATAAAAGTCCAAGGAGTACAGATAGAAATACCACCAAAATAAGAATTCCCCAGCATCTCAGCATATACCCGACCCCTAATCATTGTTAAAGGTTTAATAATGTTCTTTTTTTTCATGCCTAGACCATCATTTTTATGAAAATGTGTTTTAAGCAAAAGTATTTAGCTTGGTTGATGAGCTTATGATGTGCACACTGATATTTTCAGTTAGCAATATATCTTTAATATCTTTTCATGAATTTTAAGAATCTTTGCCATTCTTCTTTATTTTAGTGCCAATTTGCTGAGAGATTAAAATATAGAATCATCACTGTAAAGTTGGTTCAGGCTTTAATTCAATGATTCTTTCTCTTTTCTCCCTCTGAAATATGTACCCCCCTTTACCACATTCTTGTGGCCAAACTCAAATTTTAAAGGGCAGAGGATGTTCCATCTTGTTAACCATTGTACTTTGCTTGCCTAGCATACATAGTGTCTGACACAGTAACATAAGATAAATATTAATTGGATGCCTCATGAAGGACTAAATATTTTAGAAATAGTATGTTGTGTTGGGTGCCACTTATAACTCAGGAGGTACTTACAGGTTTGAATGAACTGTTATGTAACCTGATACAGCATTTTAAACTGTTAACTATTAAGCATAGTAAAAGGAAAATGCTTTAGTTATGTTGAAGACAAGATGAAGCAGATTTTTCTGGAAAACAACACAAAGTAGAGTTTAAAGCAATTTATTAAATTGCTAAGACAGATTGAATAGTTATTATGAGAAAAGTTACCAGAATCGTATCTTACATCCATCATGTATTTAGCTCATTTTTAGTGTATTCAAAGATGGAGAAAATAAGGGGTTTGTGCTTGGTAAGATTCATTTGCTAAAATGTCATTGTACAAATTTTGAAAAGAAAGGTTATGAACTTAACATAAAAAATACCATGGTGTTTACTTACTCATTGTAATCTTGTATCCAAAACTGTTTTTCCTCAAAGTGAATTTTGCTTTCTGCTCAATAGTTCAGATCAAGAAGAAAGTAAGAGTAATTGAAGTGCCATAGAAATGTGAATCACATACTAAATGTGGTTATAAAGTAAGGATCCTAACTCCATAAAGCCAGAGTCACCATACTTCACTGTCACATGGTGTAGTATACTGACTAACAGTCTTTTAAACTGGATGTTTCAATCAACCCGTAAAATAATATTTAAAAAAGAATGAGACATCTGTATAAATGAAAGATTTCTAAGATAATATACATGGCAAAAGTAAGATGCAGAAGAATATATAACAAATAACATTTGTTGCATTTAACGAACACTTAGTACATGCCCAGCACAGTTCTAAGAACTTTACACATATTATTTCATCCTCACAACAAAATTTAATAATAATTACCTACCTCATATATCAGAGATGAGGAAACTGAGGTGCAGAGATTAAATAAGTTGTCCAAGGTTATGTAGTAAGTGGGGGAGCTTGGATTCAAACACACAGCCTAATTAATATTTTTCTTCTTGGCTATATATTTTGAGTACATTGATTGTGTATGCATAGTAATCTCTCATGGATGTACCATCATTTGTTATACTAATAATATTGTTATACATTTTAGCTGTTAGTTTAAGTGTCCATGTGCCAGATAGCCTGATCTTGACTCCAGCTGTATGGCCTTAGGCAAATTATTTATCTTCTCTGTACATCACATTCTTCATCAAATAGAACTGTAATATTAGCACCTCAGGTTCATATGAGGATTAAATGAGGATTAAATTTATTACATAGTAAGTGCTGAGCAAACATGAGTTACCATTTCTATTTTTTAATCACTAAAAGTAAAAATATTGTGGGAATATCTACATGTGTATGTTAACATGTATATGATTATTTCTTTAGGATATATTTCTAAAAGTGAAATTGTTGAGAAAAAATGATGCATTTTTTTAAGGCTTTGGTTATAGGGTGCAAAGTGGCCCGCCAGAAAGTTTATCTACCATCAGATAATAAGAATGCCTTTTATTCCAAATCTGTCCCAATTTTAGTAGTATTATAATCCCTACTGATACTGTTTTATTTGCACTTCTTTTGTTTGCTTGAGGAAGTTGTAAATTTTGTTGTGAAATTAAATGAAGAAGTGGAGTCTTTAAAAATCTTGGCAAATGCTTAAAAGTTCCCTTCAGACTCATTAGAATGGACTAAATTGATAATTTACTATAATATCTTCCCCTAATTAAGCATTCTTTTAATTAAACCTCAAGCCATTCTTAAATTTAGTTTATAAATGATTTCTCAATGTATTTTGTTCGATTTAGTTCTTAGTATTACAACAGTTAAATTTTTTTCTGCTTTCTGTCGCCAGTATTTATTTCTCCTACCTTATGATTTAAATAATTGTAGGTGAGCAGGCCCAAGACTATGACTTTTAATACTGTGGTGAAATATATACTGGAATGCCAAATAATTATTTATAATAGATCTTTTAGAAGTAGGAATTATTTGTATTGAAAAGATGCCTTTCCCTCTATTTGTTTTGAAAAGACTCCTGTTCTTCATCTGTTCTCCCGAATCTGTTTAGTAATGCTGTTAACTTTCTGGATCACTTACTATGTGCCAGGTGGTATGTCAAATGATATATGTGCATTATTTTATTTTATTCTCATCACCACTTAGAGGTGGGCTACTTTCCTCACTCTTCCATTTTTTCAAATCAGCAACTCTCAGATGGCTTTGCCTGGTTTAAAATTTACCCACAATTTTAAAGACATTTTACCTGAACTCACAAAGCACTGTGCAGTATACTCTTATAGTTCTATTCCCTCCATCCCTTTCAGTGTTCAACCCACTAAATTTATTTTATAATCTACTAATCAGTCACCAATCACAGATTGTAAAGCACTACCTTAAGTGACAGTTTTAAAGCCCTCATTAAAATCTTCTTTACAGTTTGGTTGCAGTTTCATTCTAGACACATGTCAGCTTCAGTTTTACGAAAAACAATATACTTTCACAGAGCCAAGCAGTCCAAAACATTATTCAATCCAGAGCCAAAAATGTCATAGCTAGTTAGTTAGGGTTGTGTTTGTTCATGTTTAGAATCCTAGGAACGCTATTTCTTGATGGACCCTGGTCACCTTCCAACATAAAGTAGCAACATTTCCACAGATTACTTACATTTATTAAAAGCTGTGACTTTAGCTAAAATTGTAACCTCATTTCTACCAAATTCCTCTGCTGTTCTTCAAAATCTTGGATTCCAGTGGAATTAGCCATAGTTCAGCAGTGAAGATCAAATATTTTTGTCAGTAATCATCAACGTGTAATTAAAGCACTTTAAACCAAGTAAGTATTGTTGCTCTCCCGCCCTTTCCCCTTTACTCCCAGTGTTTACTTGACATCATTTCAGTGCATTTTTATGTCACTGTGAAAAGCACAATCTTGTGGTTAGGTTTATTAATCTTCTAGTTCATACATGGGTAACTAAATACATAGTCATTTTTAGGCTAAAAATCCTAGCCTGGGGTTGGATCTGCTCTATTTGTTACTCACCTGGGACTTAAGAAAACAGTCAGGTAGCCCACAGTAGAATCCTCTAGCATATTACTCTCTTTAGGTTCCTATTCTCTGAGTTAAATAATTAAATACAGTCATTTGTTACTTAATCTGCTTGAATATGGCAGTGTACGTGTACAACAGTGAGTTGTATATGAATAACAAGATATTTTTGTGATCTGTAATTTTCATTCAATGGTTTCTTTCCATTAATTACTGAGCATAAGTTGGAACTTTCTTATTAGCATAAATTTAGGAAAAATTCATTGTGTTTTGGTGACCTTTATCAGATTTTAAATTCCAACCAACTTTTTAAAGTGCTTGATGTGACTACTAACTATGCAGTGTTGCATTAAATTTCTTTAGTAATTGTTAAATAATCAAATTAATAATTTCAAAGAGTAGAAATTAGTAATTTCACAGTGTAGCAAATGGACAAATATAGAATAGCTAGTAGTGATTATAGCTTTCCTATATTATTTCCTGTGCCTTTTCCTTTCAGTGGGCTTCTGCTAGAAATTTTGTCAGTCATTCACCAAAGGAAAGTAATGTTTTTTCCCTTAGCTGGCAATTAGTAAAGAATGTACATATAAAGGTCTTTAAACTGTAAAGAAAAAAGAGGAAATGATTACCACAAAGACAAGATAGTTAATACCCCTAGAAGGAACCAGAATGCTAGCCTTTTGGATGATGATTCTATGGATGCTTACTTTATAACTCTGTTAAACTGTGTGTGTGTGTGTGTGTGTGTGTGTGTGTGTGTGCGCGCGCGCGCGCGCGCGCATGTGTGTGTGTAGCAGTTTAATGTACCTTTGTGCAATAGGTCTTATATTTATAATAATAATGTTTGGGGTGAAGGAAATTCTTAGTTTTAACTACCCGTATAATTATACGTTAAATAATTCTATTTGCAATGTTGCATTCAGACATAATGAGTAAGGGAAATTATCAGTATTATGTCATTTGAATGTTTGACGTTTACAACTCAAAAACTTAAGAGGTTCTCTTAAAAGTGACTGACTAGCAAATACAACCTTAAAAAGATAAATATTTAAGTTTTTTAAACTGGAAATTACAATTCCGTTTTTAATCTTAGCTCTATGGTTTAGTTGATGTAGACTTCCATTTGCTGATTAATTTATAAAGTAAAAGTCACTTAATGAGAGCATATCTTTGATTAATGCGTACATTGTTAAAATATTATCTACTTACAAAAAAGGACTTACCAAGTACTGTTAAAGGAAAGATAAATGTTTTACAAGCCATATGTTGAAAATAAGAGAAAAATTTGGGGGCTTGGAACAGAATAACAAAGTGTTCAGTTTTACAGAATGTCTTCATATATTTTTCTGTGTGTGAAGAGAGAGAGAATTCCATCATGATAAATACTGAACATTAAAGTCAATTAAGTCATTTGTATGGGGAACATTAAAAATGTTAACACGTCTTTGTCCTTTATGTGGTTGCATATTGATTATGTGACTTGTAAGAAACATGTAGTGATAGTTGGAAAGACAAGCTAAGTACATGAACATTAAGTAATCGTGCAAGATTGAAACAAGACAAGTTTCAAAAGATGTCACAAAGGAATATATAATTATTTACCAAAATAATATTGGGCAATAAATGTCATAAGTTCAGAGTAGATTAAGATACTCATTTGGATGAATTTGAGGTTTCATGAAATCGTGGGAACGTGCTTTGGATCTTGAAGAATTATAGGATTTGTTTGGACCAAAGTAGGAATGGGCTTCCTAGGTAGGAAGAATGTCTTAAGGAAATGTATAAAGATGGGAATACACAAGGGAGATTTGGGAGAATCTGATTAGATCAGGTTGGTTGGAGAGGGTGGTTTATATAGGATAATGATAAAAGACACAGCTAGAAAGGCAAGTTGAAGCTAGATTATGAGGTTAAATGTTTAACGTGCTTATAATGTGGAAATGAATTGCAGTGCTTGTCGAGGTTGATCAAGTATTCCTTTCTAGCAATCCAGCCTAGCAGTTAAGAAACAAACTCTGGAACCAGATTGCTTTGGTTCTAATTCTTGCTCCACTAGTTACTTTAAACTCACTGTAAATTAATTTCCTCTTAGTAAAATGCAAAAAACAATAGTAGCTACTGTACTGGGTTGTTGTGAGAACTGAATTAATGTGTGCAAAGCACTTTGCAATTGCTTAACATGTAATAAGTGGTATGTGAAAATGATTATTATATAGGTTGAACAAACCAAAGCAGTAACTTTTTTTTATAGTGATTAAGCATTTTCCTGATAGTAATATATCTGACATATCTCTACAAATAATTGTCTGTTTTGTGTGTTGCAGTGTTTGGGAAATGGGAAGTAATGACAGCTGGCACCTGAACTAAGTACTTTTATAGGCAACACCATTCCAGAAATTCAGGATGAATGGGGATATGCCCCATGTCCCCATTACTACTCTTGCGGGGATTGCTAGTCTCACAGACCGTAAGTTTGGTTAATTTATCTAATTTAAGTTCTACTGTGTGTTAACAATAATTTTTACAGTGACTGTTCTAAAAATTATTATAGGTTCTTTAAAACACATTTACAGAAATAGCAACTGAAACTGCCCTTTAAAGAAAAAAAAAATTGATAGCCTAATTTATCTAACTTCTTAGTGATGTTTATTTTGGTTGTCATGTTCAGTAATCTGTTGGAGCTTGTTGGAGGTATCAGCAGCCTATTTTACTCTAAGGACTTAAGAATTTTAAAGAACATTGCCAGTCTTTTGAGATTTATTTAATGTAACTCAATTTTTCAGAGATTTATTCTTTTGTTAGGCATTTGTAACTATAATTCTTAGTCCTTGAATAATGATACAAAAAGCTACCTACAATTTTAGTTACTGTGTCATCCTACCTGAATAAATAAAAGGAAAAAGATATGAGAGGGAAGGGTAGAAAGTGAGAGGATGGCATACTTTTCTTTGGATAGCATTATGCAAGATTTGGGACTTCATAATAAGGGAGCTAGGAGAAAGTATCTTCAAGAAATGTTTTTGTCCATGTTCAGTATCCTCCAAATACAACTTTTCTGGCTTTTGTTTTGTTTTGTGAATTTCCAGTTGGTTTTAGTGGGGTAAAATAGATAACAGCCTGTTAGCTTTGAGCTTAGGAAATAAGCGTAACTAGTTTATGAGGTCTAAATTAACAGGAGAGTGCTGTAGGTGATTGGGTCAGCATTACTCAGGTAAGAAAACTTTTTGAAACTGGCATTAGTTTTTATTATCACTTTGTTGTAGGTAAGGCATAAATAGGAGTTCAAAATCAGATATACTGTCAGGAATTTCTTTTTGGTTTTTCTCCCCATGATCTTTGCTATACCTAAATATTTTGTCTTTCCAGGAAGCCCTGTTCATTAAGTAATAATTTATTTTCTGTGTTTTTATTAATGAGAATCCTGTTGGTACCTATTGAGGCTGAGCACCATGATAATTATACTGTATAGGTGATTAGAAATTAAGCCAAAAACAAAGACACCTGATATTTTAGTGAGCTTTCTTAACCTTTAGACAAATGAACAAATTTGTTAGGTGAACAGAGATTAAACGGCTGAATTTAAGCTACTATAAAACATTTATGTTCTTTTGTTTGCTATTAGAAGAGAATAAGTAGGAGACAACTAGGAATTTGGAATTTAGAAGAATATTTTAATATTCTTACAGAATTCTATGCTATGAATGCTTTCTTGCTAAAGTGAGGTATTTATTTGTATATTCTTAAGCTTTTAAAAAACGTTACTTGTCTACTTTATGAAGAGTCAGATATTGTTATTTGTTTGTATGAGCGTACTATTGATTCTGAAAAATCTTATAAACAAGAACAAATGAGATTAATGAATTGCTACATTGGAAGTTAGTTTGTAACCATGCCTTTTTCGCTAGTCATTTGTTAATAAAATTTAAGAAATGAAAAGCAAGGATGAATATAAGGGAGCTGAATTTTATTCCTAGAGACTAGTATAATCTATTATGGTCCAAGTGATGTTTTGGAAGTTTTGTAGGGTTGATTGAGGTTTGTTAGGAAGAGGAGGAATGCCTTTTAATAATTTGTCACATTGATATTTATAACTTACTTTTAATCCCAAAATACAGATAAGCACTAAAGAGACTTCTATAGTCACTCAATTTCTAATAATCTGATTTTATTCCAAATAGTCCTGAACCAGCTGCCTCTTCCATCTCCTTTACCTGCTACAACTACAAAGAGCCTTCTCTTTAATGCACGAATAGCAGAAGAGGTGAACTGCCTTTTGGCTTGTAGGGATGACAATTTGGTTTCACAGCTTGTCCATAGCCTCAACCAGGTATCAACAGATCACATGTAAGTATGATCAATTTTATATCTACTATAAGTGAAAAGTTTTGGCCTTACTAAGAGAATCCGTATTCCTGGTTTTATTTCAGAAATTTTTAGATACATAGTTTATTTTTTAAAAATATCCATATCCGAGGGAGAATATAGTCTTATTGCAATAATAGATTAATGAGATTTAAGTAGGCAATATTTATTTTTAGATAATAATTCTGACCCATGTAGCTCTATGGATATTTTTTCAGCTCTTTTGAACTTATCTTGGGGGATCCATCATTTGTGCAGAGATCTGGTCATGAAACTATATCCCTGTCTGGGCGCGGTGGCTTACACCTGTAATCCCAGCACTTTGGGAGGCCGAGGCAGGTGGATCACGAGATCAAGAGATTGAGACCATCCTGGCCAACATGGTGAAACCCCATCTCTACTAAAAATACAAAAAAAAAAAAAAAATTAGCCAGGCGTGGTGGCGGGCGCCTGTAGTCCCAGCTACTCGGGAGGCTGAGGCAGGAGAATCACTTGAACCCGGGAGGCAGAGGTTGCAGTGAGCCGAGATCACGCCACTGCACTCCAGCCTGGCAACAGAGTAAGACTCCGTCTGGGGAAAAAAAAAATTATTTTTCACTGCAAAACCAATACATATTTATACAAACAACACAAAAATGTGTAAAAAGTAAAATCTCTCATTCTTATCCCTTCATATTCCACCACACAATGTTACTCATGTAACCTCGCATTCTTTATTTTTTTAATTTAAAAATTCATCATGTAGGGGAATGAGGATAAACACATTATAATGGAGAGATATCTACATTAGATGCGGTACATATTTTTGGGGCATTTTTAAAGCTGATGACTCTAAGGTGAGATACTTACTAAATGGATTTTCTAATGGAGAAGCTAAGAAATGATTGGTTAAAATCAGAAAGAAGTATAATACTACTAATATTTTGTCACTCCAAAAATTCAGCAATATCTAAATCACTTCTTTTTTTTTTTTTTTTTTTTTTTTTTGAGATGGAGTCTTGCTCTGTTGCCCAGGCTGGAGTGCAGTGGTGCGATCTCGGCTCACTGCAACCTCCACCTCCTGGGTTCAAGTGATTGTTCTGTCTCAACCTCCTGAGTAGCTGGGATTACAGGCCCCCACCACCATGCCTGGCTAATTTTTGTATTTTTAGTAGAGACAGGTTTTCACCATATTGGCCAGGCTGGTCTCAAATTCCCGACTTCAGGTGATCCACCCACCTCGGCCTCCCAAAGTGCTAGGATTATAGGTGTGAGCCACTGTGCCCAGCCTCTAAATCACTTCTTATGCTTGTACATACTTATTCAGTAGTTTTCACCAAATATTTAAAGATGTAAAGGAAATAGCACACGTAAAATAAGGACTTATTTTATGGAGAGCTCCTGTAAGATTGCCCTGGAAATGTAGTGAGTCTTATCATTGGACACCATCTTTATAGGTCTTCATGGTTAGATCCAATGAGTAGAACATTGACATGTATAATATAAAGTTAAAACACTGCCTATACTTAATTTTATCATCATCTCCCATGGTTATGAATTTAATTTGCTACTTATATTGAAGTTTATTGAAAATTGCTGCTGTGAAGTGTATTGAAATTTGCTGTTTGGTTTCCGCTTTTCCCGCACCATGACATTATTTGAGAAAGCAATGTAAGATGGAAAAATTACATAACCTCTGGGTCTTGTCTTAATCAGTGTGGCAACAGTATCTTATTTGTAAGACATTCCCAGAAAGTCAGACTCACTCATATTCAGGTGTAAGAAAATATATTCCAATACCAAATATCAACTTTTTGTGTAACTTTCACTTGTCTACCCTTCCATTATTTTGAATAGTTTAGAATAGAATGTATTTCTTTTCTATTTTAGAACTACTTGGAAATTATTAAACTCATAGTTCAATAAAATAGTGTTTTGGGCTTTTTTTCTCTTGACTGTGTAAAGTAAAATGAAGAAAAAGATTGTCCTTAGAAGAATCCCTCTCTGTTATTTTTGATAATTATATTTCTCCCAGGGATAGCATATTTGAAAATTCATAACTGTTGGGTCAGCCACAGTGGCTCACACCTGTAATCCCAGCACTTTGGGAGGCCGAGGCGGGCAGACCATCTGAGGTCAGGAGTTAGAGACCAGCCTGGCCAACATGGTGAAACCCTGTCTCTACTAAAAATACAAAAATTAGCTGGGCGTGGTGGCAGGCACCTGTAATCCCAGCTACTCGGGAGGCTGAGGCAAGAGAATCACTTGAACCTGGGAGACGGAGGTTGCAGTGAGCTGAGATTGTACCATTGCACTCCAGCCTGGGGGACAAGAGTGAGACTTCGTCTCAAAAAAAAAAAAAAAAAATTCATATTGTTGGCCATACCAGTGTGATTTACTTTTATATGATAAGTCTTCTTAAGAATCAGTCACCATTTTAATTTTTGATACTTATTTTCTCAATGCCAGAGAGTTGAAAGATAACCTTGGCAGTGATGACCCAGAAGGTGACATACCAGTCTTGTTGCAGGCCGTCCTGGCAAGGAGTCCTAATGTTTTCAGGGAGAAAAGCATGCAGAACAGATATGTACAAAGTGGTGAGTTTCTTAATAACTGAATTCCCATATCAAACTTGTTTTATACATATTTAAATCCAGGTGTCTTCTTTAACAAGCTGGCCTATCAGGAATGCGATGTTTATGCCTTCAGTCAAGCCAAGAACAAGAAGGAAACTAAACTGATAAGATTCTTGTAGTTTAATATGTAACTAAATTCCTTGAGAATTAGACAAAGCTTTAAGTGTATTTTGTTAAATATGTTGGAATATATCAGTTTACTCAGCTTAAAAATTTTTTTGTTTTAGAAAATCAGAATTAATTTGAAATAAGTCTTTCATTAATTAAATAAATATTTGCAAAGCTTTTGAACATGTACATTGTAGCAGGTATATAGAGTTTTAATACTGATTGTGATTATATTCATGGTTTTCTAGTAATTGATTTAATACTCCTGTTGCCTTAGCAACAGAAAAATTGGTTAAGTATTATTATTAAAGAAAAATTGATTCATGGTATTATAAAATAATAAAAATATTACATCCAACACAGATATAATTTTTATGTAGTCATGGAGTACCTTTGGGTTAAGAGCATTGTTCTGTTCAAGCTTACTGAATTTGACAAGCCCAAGTGCCTGTTTGGCTCTCAAGATTAAAATAGGGCAGGAATAGCTTGGACAACTTCAGAAAGTTCAACTTTGTTAATTAAATAATTGTATTTAAGAATTTTATCAGCCGGGCATGGTGACTCACGCCTGTAATCCCAGCACTTTTGGAAGCTGAGGCAGGTGGATTGCCTCAGGCCAGGAGTTAAGACCAGCCTGGGCAACATGGTGAAAACCTGTCTCTACAAAAAAATACAACAACTAGCCAGGCATTATGGTGTGCGCCTGTAGTCCCAGCTACTTGGGAGGTTGAAGTGGGAAGATCGCTTGAGCTCAGGAGGTCAAGGCTGCAGTGAGCTGAGATTGCACCACTGCCTTCCAGCCTGGGCGACAGAGCGAGACCCTGTCTCCAAACAAAAAGAAAAAATAAATAAAATAATTTTGCCAAATTCATTTTGGTTTTGGTTTACTTTGTTGGCAGCACTTCCATGATGCTTCCCATTCTGTTTCCTTTAAATAATATTGCTTTGCTGATTCTGTGTACTTGTGTTGTTTGAATGGTATTTTGAAAGCAATTGCATAGTTACTATTGATTCCTCAAAATGCATAATGGGGATGCTTCTGACCGACTTGCCTTTTAGCAAGTTGAAGGTAGGTATGCACGACAGGGCTCTGACTTCACCAGAACTAATAAGTTAGATTGCAATAGTAGGAGACAGATATAAATAATGAAGGAAGCTAGAGTTATGACGGCTTTCTGGAAAAATGTTGGAATTGAAAGAAAATGTGGAAAGAGAGTTGAGTGGAAGAAAGACTAATAGAGTAGGAGTATTAGTTTTATGAGAATGTGAGTAAATCTAATATTGGATAAATGAATCTAAGGCTACTAATACTACATTTTTGCAACTTACATTTTTGAGTATTTGGGTAGTAAATCACTCTGATAAAAACTTTTAGAGTGTTCACCTCTCAGTCACATATTTTGTGTTTTATACTACATATACTTGTTTTTTAGTCCAAAATATTGTTTGATTTCTGTATACCCTACTTTGTAAAAGCATAAACTAGCATTTAAAATTAATCAATTAATTGCATGTTATTTTTTTTTTTAAAGCATTTTCCTGGTGATATATGGCTTTGAAATTTTAAAAGTTGGCTGGGCGTGGTGGCTCACGCCTGTAATCCTGGCACTTGGGAGGCCAAGGTAGGAGGATTGCTTGAGCCCAGGAGTTCAAGACCAGCCTGGGCAATGCAGAGAGACCCTGTCTCATTGAAAAATAAAAAATAAAAATAAAATAGAAATTTAAAAAGTTGATTTTGGGGTTGGTAAGTTTAAATATGAGTCATGCATGTGGAGAAAATTGTAATAAAATGCAAATCACTTTAATCATAGTTCTTTGGAACTTAGAATTAATTGAAAAGGACTGTTAGAATTTCATTTACCCGTTTTATTTAGAAAGCCATTGCTTTCAAACTAGTAATTCCAGTTTGTCCCAGTGATGGCTGTTAATTCAGGGGGGAAAAGCTTTTTAACTCCTGTCTCATTGAGTGTTCATCTCCCTCCAAAAGAAAAAGAAAAAAAAAAAAACCTCCAGCAACAATAATTATAGTAATTAAGCTATTAAAGCTATGGAGCAAAACAATTCTGTGCTGAGTTTGAGTTGGAAAAGAAAAGTCAGAAGTTGAAATTTAGACTACATACTTAAGAAAACACCCTTCAATGGTAGACTTAGAGGCGATTTTGAAACCTAATTTCATTCAGCTACAATCTCTTTTGTAGTACTCTTAGCAAATCAACTTCTGTTTGAATATTTCTAGTGAAAGCCACTTTTTATAACAACAGCAGGAAATGAAATTTGGAAATACAATTTGATGCTTGCAGCTGCCAAAAAAGAGATTGGCTATAGAAATCATAAGAAAATTCAGGGTGTTATTTGTAGATTTTTATCTGATTTTGAAATGTCTAAATAAGTGAATTTTTCTGTGTCTCCCATATAATGAAATGTCATGTGAATAATTGAGAAATAATGTCTAGCTTGGAAATAAATGTAAGAACCAGAATGCTCTTCACAGGTTTTTATTTTTTAATAAAATATTCCGTTAATCCCTACTATGTGACAAAGAGTTATTGTGAAAGAAGGAATAGGTACATTCTGTTTTGCTTCAGAAGACATTCAGGTGGAAATTGCAGGAATTCAAACTTTCGGCCCATAAATAAAGTACTTTTCAAAACCTGTGTCTGAACCATGATAATACAAATAGCTTTGTGAAATTAAGTTCCCAAGCATGAGAGATGTATATGATAAAATATTCATGTAATAAAAACTACCCTGAGTCCCGTTGTAGAAGGAAGTGTATTGTGTTAGGTGCGAGGTTAGATAAGACAACTTTTAAAAAAATCTTTTCAATTCTAAGGCTAAATAATAGAATATTGAGTAAGCAAGTAAATTTTTTTAAAATATTATAATCTCTGTTTCTAGTCCTGGATTAGTTTTATGGAAAATGGTGTTGTAATAAAATTGTTCTTGAAATTTACAGTTTTACAGCGTCTATATTTTGCTCTTTGAAATGAAAACATTGATCAAAAAAATCTCTGGAATGTTTGAAAGAATAACTGATTTCAGTTATTTAAAGGACACTTTACTGTTAGAAGAAAATAACGTTCTGTATTTTTGTGTTTTGCATAGGAATGATGATGTCTCAGTATAAACTTTCTCAGAATTCCATGCACAGTAGTCCTGCATCTTCCAATTATCAACAAACCACTATCTCACATAGCCCCTCCAGGTAATATATGTATATATCGTTTATTAAATATTGTCTTGTATGGTGAATATGCTGGTGAATATATGGTTCATACATTTAGGTAATGGTGGATTATTTAGAGTTTAAATAGTTGAAATACTTAAATAGTAATCCACTTTGCATTTGCCTTAAAATGTTGTATATGGAAATAGTCTGATATGCTAATTGAAGTAGCTACCATCTTAGTAATGTAATTTCATACAGACAAAAAATGTTAAAATAACTAATGTGTTTGAGATAAGAAGATTTACGGAGCATGGCTTTAAGTACCTTAAACAGATTGGTACTTTTATATAAGTAAACAAATTACCTGTTTTTAAAAACTTTTTTATTGTAACTCTTTGATTATGAATTGTGAACAATTTTTGTATGTTATTTGACTATTTTGCAAGATTCTTCTGTTTGCATAGATTTTACATATATAAACTAAGAGATCAGAGGACTTTGTGACAGTCAGATTTCAAGGAATAGCGTGTTTATTTTATTTCCTTATATTTTTTTATTTGGGTTTTGGGTTTTAGCCGGTTTGTGCCACCACAGACAAGCTCTGGGAACAGATTTATGCCACAGCAAAATAGCCCAGTGCCTAGTCCATACGCCCCACAAAGCCCTGCAGGATACATGCCATATTCCCATCCTTCAAGTTACACAACACATCCACAGATGCAACAAGGTAAGAAAGTTGTTTGTAACTTCACTGGGAATGTCTAAGTGCTTTAATTCCAAGCAAATTTGTTTTTTAAAATATAATTATTAAACACAAACTAAAATACTATACTGTATACTTGTCAGTAAACCTTTTTAAAGATATGGCTTAAATCATTAAAACAATGTTACACTTACCATTTGAAAATTTGTCATTTTAGGAGGTGAAAGGAGCAGTGTCATTTTGGCTTTTTGGATTCAGTTATTATATAACTAAGTATATTTAGGTGTGAAATTAAGAAGAACTGCGTTTTTAAAAATTGCTCCTTCTTCTTACATTAGCACTAAGCCAAGGGACAATTACATTTTAATTGGTAAAGTAGATACAGTCAGCCTTTCACATACATGGTTTCTGCATCATGGATTCAACCAAACACGGAGTGAAAATATTTGGAAAAAAAATTGAGTCTGTAGTGAACACGTACAGACATGTTTTCTTGTCGTTATTACATAAACAATATAGTATAGCAACTGTTTACATAGCACTTACATTGTATAGGCATTGTAAGTAATCTAGAGATGATTTAAAGTACTGTATAGTGCATAGGGCTATATGCAAGTACTATGCATTTTATATCAGGGACTTTTAAGCATTTGCAGATTTTGGTATCCACAGAAGGTATTGGAACCAATCCCTCATGGATACTGAGGGATGACTACTATGAAAAATTTACTATACTGTAATAATTTGTAGTAAAAATTTACTGTAGTACAGTAAAGGAAAATTAATCTTAGATGCAAAAATTTGAGATTAAATTACCAGTTCTTACTTGATTACTAGTTCTTAATGTCATAATGTTGATATTATGATGTCTTTTTAAGGTTATATTGCCTGGAGATATATTTCATGGTTACTAAATAATTGATTTATTATTAGTATAAATTGTATGTTTTAAAGAAATTTTTTAAAGCAGAAAAGTGCAAAGGATAATATAAAAAACATCTTTATTTTTGTCCTCCTTAATTAACAGCAAATTTTAAAAACTTGCTTTCAGTCACTAGTTTCTACATGTGTATTCTTGTTTATTATGCATGAAGTTGAAACTTTATTCATTAATAAACTTATTAATGTATAAACTTTTAACTTTGTCATCCATCAAAACAGCTAACTCTGGTTTCCCAAAACCAGATTATGAAATATTAGGTTGAGCTTTTTTACACACGAACTCAAGGAGAAACTGGGAAGCAAATTTGACACATTTGAAATAGACACAGCCAGGTGTGGTGGTATGCACTTGTAATCCCAGCACTGTAGGAGGCTGGGGCAGAGGAATCATTTGAGCCCAGGAGCTCAAGACCAGCCTGCGCAACATAGTGGGACCCTGTCTCTACAAAAAAAAAAAAAATTAGCCAGGCATGGTGGCATTTACTTGTAGTCCCAGCTACTCAGGAGGATGGCTTGAACCCAGAAGGTCAAGACTGCAGTGAGTCATGATCACACCATTGCAGTCCAGCCTGGGTGACAGATTGAGACCTATCTCAAAGAAAAGAAATAGACACTTAGAAAATTACTGAATTGAGTGTGAGTGCCAAACATACATATCTATGTGTATATGTAGATTCTTAATATATGTAAAATACTATTATACTCAAGTACACAAAAGTCTGAGGGACATTTTACATGTAATGGAGGAAAAATGTCAAAAGAGCACATCCATATACACATGAATGTGTGTAAAACAGAATGTAAATTTTATCTCTAAGAAATGTGATGTGTTTTCACAAAATTAACTTAGGTTTTTAATGTAGTTTGAGGACCTATTCAGTATTGTGTCATTTCTTAGAAATGCTCAGATAAAGAACTAAAAACCATACTCAGGGATTAGCCTCACCCAGATATTAAAGTTATTCTAAATAAAAAAATTTAGTCAGTACTACCCAAAACAGTTTCTATATTCAACGTAATCCCTATCAAAATACCAATGACATTCTTCACATAAACAGAAAAAATTTATATGGAACCAAAAAAGACCCCAAATTTCCAAAGCAATCCTGAGGAAAAAGAAAAAAGCTGGAGGCATCACACTACCTGACTTAAAAATACATTACAAAGCTGTAGTAACCAAATCAGCTTGATACTAGCATAAAAACACATAGACCAATCCCAGAATAGAGAATCCAGATATAAATACAGATATTTACAGGCAACTTACTTTTGACAAAGGCACCAAGAACATAAAATGAGGAAAGGACAGTCTCTTCAATAAATAATGCTGTGAAAAATAAACTCAAAATGGATTAAATACTTAAATCTGAGACATGAAACTACTAGAAGAAAACATTGAAGAAACACTCCAGGATGTTGGTCTGTGCAAAATACTTTCTGTTTAAGATTTCAAAATATAGGCAACCAAAGGAAGAAATAGACAAATGGGATTACGTCAAGCTAAAAAGCTTCTGTACAGCAAAAGAAACAATCAACAAAATGAAGAGACAACCTACAGAATGGGAGAAAATATTTGCAAACTATCTGTTTGACAAGTGATTAATAACTAGAATATCAGGAATATATAAGGAACTCAATAGCAAAACAATAACAACAGAAACTGATTAAAAGCCAAAAGATGTGAGTAGACATTCTCAAATGAAGACATCAATGGCCAGCAGATACAGCAAAAAATGCCGAACATCACTCATCATCAGAGAAATACAAACAAAAAGCACAGTGAAATATTATCTTGCCTTAATTAAAATGGCCTTTTTCAAAAAGACAGGTAATAGTGAATACTGGTGAGGATGTGAAGAAAAGGGAATCCTCATATACTGTTGGTGGGAATGTAAATTAGTACAGCCTTTATGGAACACTGTATGGTGGTTTCTCAGAATACTAAAAATAGAGCTGCTGTATGATCCAGCAATTCCACTAGTAGGTATGTATCCAAAAGAAAGGGAATCAGTATACTGAAGAGATGCACGCCCATGTTTATTGCAGTACTATTCACAAAATAGCCAAAATATGGAATCAACCTAAGTCCCCCATCAGTGGATGAATAGAGAAAAGGTGTATGTATACACAATGGAATATTACTCAGCCATAAAAAAGAATAAAGTCCTGTCATTTTCAGCAACATAGAGGGAACTAGAGGTCATTATGTTAAGTGAAATAAGCAAAACACAGACAAATATTATATGTTCTCACTCATATGTGGCAATTAAAGTGGATTTTAAGAAGATAGAGAATAGATTGGTGGTTACCAGAGGCTGGGAAGGGTAGAGGAGGGAGGTGTTGAAGAGAGCTTGATTAATGGGGACAAATATACTGTCTGATAGGAGAAATAACACACAGTGTTTAATAGCTCAGTAGGGTGACTGTAGTTGACAGCAATCTATTTTATATTTCAAAATAGCTGGAAGAAGATAATTTGAATGTTTTTACCATACAGAAAAGACAAATATTAAGGTGGTGGATATCTGAATTACACTGATGCAATCTTTACAAATTATATGAATGTATTTATCACATGTATCCCAGAAATACGTGCCTCTATTATCTGTCAATAATAAAACATAATTTTATTTGAAAAAGAAAAAAGTCTGGCAGGGAAAAAGTGGATAGGTCAGTAGGACAGAGAGAATGCAGACGTGAGACAGTTTAGACTATTGAGAAAGGTTGCATTTTTTTTCAACTTTATATTACAAAAATTTAACCATGCAGAAAAGTTCTAAGATTAGCACAATGAACCCCTTCACCAACAGGTATCCTGCCACTTTGTCCTTAAGTACATCTGCTAAGAATATTCTCCTATATAAAAAATTAAGGTCAGTTCTGTGGTATCATCTAATATCCAGAATACATTTGACTTTTACCAATCCAGTTGTCCTAAATATATTTTTAATATCTTTTCAAAGCATGTTCAAATCTAGCTTTTCACACATTGCATTTGATTTTTACATCTCTTATGGAGGCTCTTTTAATCTAAAGCAATCTTACACCTTTTTCACCCCATGACACTAATTTTTGGTTTTTGAAGAGTTTGGCTACTTTTGTTGTAGAATATTTCATATTCTAAACTCCACTCTTTTCTGCTGGTGTTGTTTAATTTGTTTTCTGTATTTCCTATCAAGTAGAAATTAGCTTTAAGGTTTTACTAGTTTCCAGTTACACATTTTTGGCAAGAGTACTTGGTAAGCAGTGTTGTGCACTTTACATTGTATCTTATCATTATCATAAAATGGTCTCAGTATCAGTGGTGTTTAGGTGGTGAACCTCTCTTTATTGTAAAAGTACATATTTTTCCCTTTGCAATTAGTAAATAATCTGTGGGATGATACTTTGAGATCATGTAAATATACAATTTCCCATTAATCTTTTACTTAAAGGGGGTAGCATTCAGTGAATCTCATTTTATCAGTTTTTACAAAGTCATTGGAAAAACGATGATTTTTTAAAATTTTATCATTCTAAAGATTACATTTTAAAATCAGCATATAAGAATGGATTGTTTAATAAATGATGTTGGTGATTGTCTAGGTATTTTGCAATTTTAGCTGGATTCCTGGATCACTGAAAGCAAAAGTGTTCTAGATTAATAAGCTGTTTGTATTTTTTAAGTCATAAAATTATAAGAAAAACGTGGGCGAATTTTTGGTATTCTAAGAGTTGAGAAGGCATTATTTCTAAGCAGACCGAAAACCTCGATTGTAGAAATGAGAAAAAAAGATTAATTATAAATTTGTATATAAGAGAACATAAATATATAAATTACATAAATATAAAACAAATATGGGGGATATATGCAACATTTATTATAAACACAAAGTATTGATTTAATATACCGAAATCTCATACAGATCGATAAGAACAAGACAAAAATGAACTAAAGAAGTAAACAGGCAATTTACTGGAAAAGAATAGCCAAGTCGATACAGAAAGATTTAATAAATATATGAAATTGTGGTCACCTTAGCTCATAGAGATGCATTCAAAATTAAGATGAAATAAAATTTTATATCAGATTGATAAACATTTCAGTCTTCATAGTGATATAAATTGGTGCAACTTTTTTAGAGAACCGTGTGTTTGACAGTATCTATCATATAATTTAAAATTCATATACCTCACTCAGTAGTCCAAAATCTACCTCCCTTAAAAGAAGGGGAAAGGGATAAAAACATACTCAGACTGTTCTAACAAGTTCTACCAAACATTAAATGAAGAGATATGCTAATCTTAATCCATTCCAGAAAAAAGAAAAACAGCAACACTTTCTTAACTCTTTTTATAAAGTTAAATTACAATCTGGATACCAAAATCAGGTGAAGTGAGGGGAGTATGAGAAAGGAAAATTATAAATCAGTCATCACATATGAACATTCATGTCCTGTTCCCGAATTGAAACAAAATGTTTCTAATTTTTTCTACCACTAGGTAAGATTAAATCAATCTCTTTTTCTTTTTTCCATACAGATGGGGTCTTGCTGTATTGCACAGGCTAGACTCAAACTCCTGGGCTTAAGTGATCCTTAAGCCTTAAGGTGAAACAAATTTTTTAAACAAATATTAAGAAACCAGGCCAGGCATGATTGCTCACTCTTGTAATCCTATCACTTTGGGAGGCCAGAACGGGCAGATTGCTTGAAGCTTAGGAACTCAAGACCAGCCTGGGCAACATGGTGAAACTCCATCTCTCTCCACAAAAAATTAGCCAGGCAAGGTGGTGTGTGCCTGTAGTCCCAGCTATTTGGAGGCTGAGGTGGGAGGATGGCTTGAGCCTGGGAGGCAGAGGTTGCAGTGAGCTGAGATCACGCCACTGCACTCTAGCCTGGACAACAGAGTGAGACTCTGTCTCAAAAAAAAAAAAAAAACAAAAAACAAAAAACGAATAAGCAGTGTTATCAACCTATATGACAAAATTGGATATATATATGAATTGATTAGTAGAAGACAATTAATATAATTCAGATTATGGGCCTGGGGTCCTGTGAGCCTTTTAATAGGTCTCAAAAGAGCATTCAGAAAGATTCAACTTCCATTCATGACATTTAAAACTTTTCACTGAATAAAAATACATTAAGCACTTTGGGAGGCTGAGACTGGTGGATCACGAGGTCAGCAGATTGAGACCATCCTCGCTAACACAGTGAAACCCGTGTGTACTAAAAATACAAAAAAATTAGCTAGGCGTAGTGGCAGGCGCCTGTAGTCCCAGCTACTCCGAAGGCTGAGGCAGGAGAATGGGGTTAGCCTGGGAGGCGGAGCTTGCAGTGAGCCGAGATCGCCTGGGCAACTGAGCAAGACTCCGTCTCAAAAAAAAAAGAAGAAAAATACATTAAGCTGGGTGTGATGGTGCACATCTGTAGTCCCAGCTACTCAAGTGGCCAAGGCAGGAGGATCACTTAAGCCCAGGAGTTTAAGTCTAGCCTGTGCAATACAGCAAGACCCCATCTGTATGGAAAAAAAAGGAGAAGAGGTTGATTTAATGTTACCTAGTGGTAGAAAAAATTAGAAACATTTTGTTTCAATTCAGGAACAGGCCATGAATGCCTATAATGACATTTATTTAGTGGGTGTCCCAGCCAATACAGGAAGATAAGAAGCGTTAAACTATGTATAATTATTGGTAAGGAAGAAAAAAGTGTCATTTTCAGGTGACATAATTGTCTTCATAGAAAATCCAAGATAAGCTACAGACAAGATACTAGAATTAATAAAAGCATTCCACTTAGTTACTGGACACAGCATCATTATAATGAAATCAATTGCATTTTTATATACAGAAATAAGCAGTTATAATCTTTTTTGATAGCATTAACAGTTTAAAAGAGCACCACAAGATACCTAGGAATAAATTTAATGAAAGATGTAAAAGACTTTTGTGGAGCAAATTACAAAACTTTTGAAAGAGATAGAAGAAAAGAAAATGAAGAGTTATGCCATCTTCATGGATAGGAAGACTCAATAGGGTAAAGATTATTATTACACCCGTATCTATAAATTCAGTATAACACTGATAAAAAATCTCAAGGAAGGTTTTTGTGGAATTTAACCTGCTTCTAAAAATTCATATAGAAGTTGTTCAAGAATAGACAAAATAATAAGGAATGAAGTGTAGCAGCTCAGTCTAACAACAGTCAAGATTTATTGTAATATTGGTGCAGACATGGAAAAATAACATATAGTGAAGTAGAACATGATGAAGAGCTTAGGAACATACCCATGGACAAATGTAAACTTGGTCCATATGGCATTATATCTTAATGGGGGAAAGAATGATTTCTTTAATTAATGATGCAGTTGTTCATATGGAAACAAGTAACATTGGATCCCTATCTCACACTTAAAAATAAGTTTTACATGGGTTAAAGACCTAACTGAAAAACCAAAACTGTAAGGCTTTTAGAAGATACAGGAGGCTGTCTTTTTATGACTTTGTGTAAAGGAGGGGATCTGAATGGCCAGTACACAAGAGAAGATGCTTGGCTTCACTAGTAATCAAGGAAATCCAAAGTAAAGTGACTGTCAGAAACATTTCCTACCCTTAGAATGATAAAAATTATTGGCAAGGATATAGAACAGTGGGAACTCTCATACGCTACCAATGAATACAAATGGTCATAAGTAATCTGTTATTTAGTAAGGTTAAAATATGCATATCTGGCAATTTCACTCCTAGGTATTGGCACCTAGAGCTCTTACACATTTATAAAAACAGTCCTTATGTACAAGAACATACATTGCAGCATTGTTTATGGCAGCAAGCATTTTAAGCGATTTGAACATCCACATAAGAATGAACAAATAAATAGTGTACATCATACAGCAGAGTATGTGTAATTATTTAAAATAAATGAATTTACACCAGGCACAGTGGCTCACATCTACCTGTAATCCCAGTGCTTTGGGAGGCTAAGGCAGAAGGATCATTTGAAGCCAGGAGTTTGAGAGCAGCCTGGGCAACATAGCAAGACCCCATCTCTACCAAAAAAAGAAAAAGCCAGATGTGGTGGCAGTTTCCTGTAGTCCTAGCTACTCAGAAGGCTAAGGCAAGAGGATCACTTGAACCCAGGAGTTTGAGGTTACAGTGAGCTATGATCATGCCAGTGAACTCCAGTCTAGGTAACAGAGCTGTCTGTAAAAAAAATAAATAAATAAAAGAATTTAAAACTATATATATATATATATATAAAATCTCAGTATAATATTAAATGGAAAAACAAGTTATATAAGGATAGATACATATATCATCTATATAAAATTATAATGTAAAAACAACACAATGAATTACTTAGGAATATATTCATGCATAGCAAAGGTATAAAGATAACACATAGGCAGAATAAACTCAGATCAAAATAGTGGTTACCTCTAGGGAGTAAAAGGAAAGGAATAGAGGAGAGAAATAACAGATAAATGGAGATCTTCAACTATATTTGTAATGTTTTAGTTCTTTTCAAAAATAGATTGGAATCTGGCAGAGTGTTAAGATTTGATGAAACTAGTCAGTACATGAGTATCTGTTATATTATTCTCTGTAATTTCTATATGCTTAAAATATTTGTGAATAATTACTATTCTCCAAGAATGTTAAGAATCTTTTATTAAACCTTTTTTTATTCTTATTAATTTCAGCATCGGTATCAAGTCCCATTGTTGCAGGTGGTTTGAGAAACATACATGATAATAAAGTTTCTGGTCCGTTGTCTGGCAATTCAGCTAATCATCATGCTGATAATCCTAGACATGGTTCAAGTGAGGACTACCTACACATGGTGCACAGGCTAAGTAGTGACGTATGTAATATATTATCATTAAGGTGATAAAATAGTTCTAATATTTGTCATATAACCTAGTATTTCCATTTCAAAATTTGAATGATACCTACCGTATATCATTATACTGGGTACTGAGTACAACATGGCTCCTGCACATACAGAGCTTAGTCTAGAGCAGGATTGGTCAAGTGTGACCAGTAGCCTGAACCACAAAGTGAGAATGGTTTTTACATTTATAAAGAGTTATTTAAAAAAAAAAAAATGTGATAGAGACTGTATGTGGCCCACAGAGCCTAAAATATTTATTCTCTGTTCCTTTATAATGAAAAGTTGGCTGACCCCTGACCTTGAGGTTTAGGTTCTTAATGAAATATTTCAGTTTTAGGTTAATACTGCTCACACTAAAATTTTTTTTTTTTTAGATAATGAGCCTGTATTTATTAGTACTTGACTCTTTTTCCCTCTGATACTTGTACAAAGTTTTGTGTCTGAAATTTAATATTGCCTTGATGTTATTAAAATATTCCACATTCTGGAAATTTGCCTTGTTATTGATTTGATTGTAATTTATGTAAGCTGCATGTGTCTAAGGATAACACAGATGACAATAAACTCTGCCCTCAAGTCATTTACCACCTGGTAGAGTATTCATAGCTCCTTTTGTAGAAAAAAGCAAACAAAAATGGAGCATACTAGTAATACAAATTTTCTTATTCATTGCCATGCTTAGGCTGTTGATTCTTTTGGATACAATTTCAATTCTTCTAAGATATACCAAGAAGAAAACAGGAAAGTGCAGAAGAATTATGCTTTTGAATTCCAACACTTTACCTGTCAGTAATTTATGTCTCTTATTGGTTCTCTTTTAAGATTTCTATAAAGCCTCTCCTGTCATTCAAAAGATAAATTGTATACTCTATTTTTAGGATGGAGATTCTTCAACAATGAGGAATGCTGCATCTTTTCCCTTGAGATCTCCACAGCCAGTATGCTCCCCTGCTGGAAGTGAAGGAACTCCTAAAGGTACTACTGTAACTAAAATTTCCTTCTGTATATTTTATATTTGAAGTTGAATAAAGAACTCAGACTTCCTAAAGCAGATATTAAAAAGTTATTCTGTATTTTTTTTTCATTGTAGAAAAAAAAATAAACCTGTACAAGCAGGTCTGGATCATGGGATTTAAATCTGTCCCTATTCATTGATTCATTTATCTTCCACTTACCCAGTAATCTGTTGATAGTATTCTCGGATACATCCAGTATCCATTCTCTTTAATAAATCCAGTGGTCTTTTCAAACCACAACGTTCTTCTCTTAAACATTTGAAAATTTTGATCAGCTTTCCTCTTTCCTCCAAAAAGACTTATTTCATATGAGCCCATCTGTTTTTCTCCCACTTCTTTCATTGATACTTTTTTTCTTCATTAGCTCCTCTCCTTATTCTTATTCTTCTCAAGATTTCTATTATTAGACCTTTTATCACTCATTGTACTTTTTTCCCTGGCCGTTTTATTAAGTTTCATTAACAGCATTGATTATTTTCATGCATAAGACTCCTAAATCAATCTTTGGCTCCAGTCTTGTCTCCCAAGTTCTAATTCTTCATTTCCAGACAAAACTTCCTTCATACCTAGCGGATATTTCCAATTCATCTTCAAAATGGTTTTCACTGTTCTTTCTACCATCCCATCTGTCTTAATGCTATTCCAGTCCTGAATCATTGTAACTTAAAAATTTTAAGTTATCATAAAGCCTCTTTTCAACTATTTAGTCATTTATCAAATCTAACCTGTTCTGTTAATTTTTAAATCTCTCACGTCTACTTTTATCTCTGCCTTTTAAAATTCTTTTATTCCAGATCTAAGTTAAATGGGTGATCTTCCATGGGCCCTCCCCTAATCTCCTCAAGCTATTAGTTTATATTTTTTGTAAGAACTTTTACTACTTTATGCACACGAATTTCAGTTTATCTTTGAATTTTCAAAGAACCTTGCATGGTCTTCTATCTGTAACAGATTCACAAAATTGTGAATTTAAGTCCAGGTTTGAGCCAGTTTTTAAAATACTTAAAATTGTAGTCAAATAGCTTTAATTATCAGTTTGTTGGAAGAGAAAACTGTCTTCTACTTTTTAAAATTAGCTTATAATTAATTTTAACATAGCTGGTAATATATTCTCTCAAGTAATGAGAATTTCTAATTATAGCCATCTGAAACATAAAGATATTTTACCTCGTATCTGCTTCATATGGTAAAGATCTTTTTTTCACTGATTGTGTTCGTACTATTTATCAAGGACATTTTTCTTTTTTTTTTTCAAAAATTTTTTAAAAATTTTATTTTATTTTACTTTAAGTTCTGGGATACATGTGCAGAATGTGCAGGTTTGTTACATAGGTATACATGTGCCATAGTGATTTGCTGCACCTATCAACCCGTCATCTAGGTTTTTTTTCTTTCTTTCTTTTGAGACAGAGTCTCGCACTGTCACCCAGGCTGGAGTGCAGTGGCATGATCTCGGCTCACTGCAATCTCCACCTCCCGGGTTCAAACGATTCTCCTGCCTCAGCCTCCTGAGTAGCTGGGATTACAGGCACATGCCACCACGCCCGGGTGATTTTTTTTGTATTTTTAGTAGAGACAGGGTTTCACCATGTTGGTCAGGCTGGTCTCGAACTCCTGACCTCGTGATCTGCCCGCCTCGGCCTCCCAAAGTGCTGGGATTACAGGCGTGAGCCACCACACCAGGCTTGTCGTCTAGGTTTTAAGCCCCGCCTGCATTATGTATTTGTCCTAATGCTCTCCCACTTCTTGCCCCCTACCCTCCAACAGGCCCTGGTGTGTGATATTCCCCTCCCTGGGTCCATGTGTTTTCATTGTTCAGCTCCCACTTAAGAGTGAGAACCTGCGGTGTTTGGTTTTCTATCAAGGACATTTTTCATAGAGTGAAAGTTGAGCTGTTATGAGCCATTTCAATTCTGTAAATTGTATGAATTTTCAGGGATAAAAACCCGGCTTCTGAAAGAGAGAAAAACTTCCAGAGTAACTATTTGTAGGTTAGATACATATCCCACAAGTGTTGTCAAGGTGAGAAGTTATTTAGATTGCCGGGGAAAGAGAACAGGGAGATAGGTGATTGATCTAGATAACTAGCTTTTTTTCTTCTGACTCTTGAGATTAGATAGATAAATAGTAGATGAACTTTAGATAGAAATGGAAAACTTTAAAACAAATAACCTCACTAATATATTATTCACCAAAAGCTTGAACTTCTGTCATGAAGTTGTTTTCTAACTAGTTTTGAAGGGTAAGTGCATTGTCAGTCTATCTTGATTTTTAGATTAATTATTAGAATTTGAAGTTTGTTCTAAAGTGTATATAATTTGCCACATAGAATTTAAATACAAAGGCATAATGGTATATTACAATTCAGACTTAGACAAATCTTGTTTTAAATCTTCAGGTTTGTTAACTACATAACCTTGGGCAAATTTCTTAACCTCTGTAGGCTTCATGTTCCATTTCTGAAAAATTTTAAAGATAATACTCAAGAATGTTGTAAAAATCAAGTGAATTGATATGTAAAGCACCTTTCACAACTCTGACACAAAATGTTAGACTAACATTTATAGTTAATTGCTCCCATATCATCTTTATCACACTAGAGTCAATAAATAAAGTTGTATGTTTATATATAACATTTAAAATACATTAACCTTGCTAACTGAAAGTCCAGATTTATGTATCATGGAAAAAGACTGAAAGCTTAATTGAAGGCAGTTCTAGGTTTAAGTTCTGTCTGTAAAAAAACTTTTATCTTGACCAATTTTTACAATTTCTTACAAGTTTTTAAATATTTTATAGTTTAGTGATAAGAAATGTATACATTATTCAGATGCAGTTATACTATTATTTCTGAAGCATATCAATGCACTTTTTCCTTCATGTCTGAAGGAGAATTTTTGTCTGAAGGCTTATTAACTAGGATAATTTTTCCATCTGATTATTTTTAACACTTTCCTGTTTCATATAACATTGGTTGATTTAATGGACTCTGGGCTCAATATATTTTATTGGGCCTTGAAATTTACTGAACTTATTTATTTTTCTAATAAAAAGAGGATTAGCAAGCTGAAGAGAGTATGTGAATGATGTTAAGGGAGAAAGAGAAGACCACATAAAAGTATAAATCAATATTTTACCACCAGTTTTTGAAGTAAGTAAAGGCTCTAGTAATTGTAAATTGACCACTTGCTTTTTGTTATCATCCCAGTAGTATTCATGTAAGATAGTCTCTAGGATTAAATTGTTATTTTTGTGTAATTTAACAAAAGCGTACTTATTCTTACTTTAATCAGGATATATCTGTTTTCCCAGATAGTCCATGAAAGAACAGAGATGGTCATACCCAAAATATTTGTGTTGTATCATCTTTAGAAGCAATGAACTTTTTACCCCTATAAAGCTAAATATGTATACTTTATAGGCACAAAAATATAGAAATAATACTGGTCTGAAAAATTGAATACTCATACTTAGATTCAAACCTAGATTTTAGATTAACTACTAGCAAGCTAAACAACTGTGTGGGACAAGTTTTTAAGCTTTCTTTTCATCTTTCGTAAATAAGTAGCTTGGATTATATAATTTCTTATTTTTTTCTAGTATTACTATATTGTCACTTATTAATATTTCTATCACATTGTAAGAAAATGTGAAACCACCACAACTGTTACTTCTATCGAATTATTTTTCTAGGCTCAAGACCACCTTTAATCCTACAATCTCAGTCTCTACCTTGTTCATCACCTCGAGATGTTCCACCAGATATCTTGCTAGATTCTCCAGAAAGAAAACAAAAGAAGCAGAAGAAAATGAAATTAGGCAAGGATGAAAAAGAGCAGAGTGAGAAAGCGGCAATGTATGATATAATTAGTTCTCCATCCAAGGACTCTACTAAACTTACATTAAGACTTTCTCGTGTAAGGTCTTCAGACATGGACCAGCAAGAGGATATGATTTCTGGTGTGGAAAATAGCAATGTTTCAGAAAATGATATTCCTTTTAATGTGCAGTACCCAGGACAGACTTCAAAAACACCCATTACTCCACAAGATATAAACCGCCCACTAAATGCTGCTCAATGTTTGTCGCAGCAAGAACAAACAGCATTCCTTCCAGCAAATCAAGTGCCTGTTTTACAACAGAACACTTCAGTTGCTGCAAAACAACCCCAGACTTCTGTGGTACAGAATCAACAACAGATATCACAACAGGGACCTATATATGATGAAGTGGAATTGGATGCATTGGCTGAAATTGAGCGAATAGAGAGAGAATCAGCTATTGAAAGGGAGCGCTTCTCAAAAGAAGTTCAAGATAAAGGTAAAATAATCTCATTATTACCACTTCATCATCTGGGCAAATATGTAATTATAGTGTCAAAAATTTTTTTCACATTACTTTTTTCCCGAATATTTTGTATAATTTATGTCTACTCAAGTACATATTTTTATTACTAATACTCATAATGCAGAAGTTAAATTCGTAACAATTTCATTTATTGTCTGAAACAACTATATGAGATTTGGTAATTCTCTACTACAGGTCTGTTACTCATTATGTACTATATGATTTTACTTATTTGTGCTTTTCTGCTAAAATGAACATTAGCATTTCTATATAACATGTATATTTCACAAGTTACATTAATATTGTTGTGCACCTTCAAATTTTTTTCTGCTAAAACAAGGTTAACCACTGTAGAATTATTTTGAACAGGTACACTTAAGAAAAGCTCATGTGTATGCTTATTAGGCAGTTAGATATTTCACTTGGTTTATGATCCTACTGGCTTAATAATGTCAAATTTTTTTAGTAAACAAATCATGGAAAGAGTTAATATTAAATAGCAAACCTTAGAAATTAAGAGTCTTTTGGTGGTAATTACAGTGAAGTGTTCCCTTTTGTCTGACTAGTATGTTAGGATGGAGTTTCAAGACATACCTGGTCTATGAGTTTATGAGCTTTCCTTGCGCTTCATAATCAAACAAAAATAAATTCATAGTAAGTTCTTAGTAATTTGGTATACACTGTATACAAAATTTCTTTCATGTTTTAAGAGACTGATGAATCAGTGATTCAAATTAGCAATATAATTGATGAATTTGATTGCTATATAAATGCATATACACATTTGATCAGACCAAAAGCATGCTTTATGATTTAATTTTATGATTAAAATATTTTAGGTTGATTTTCAGTTCTTATATTTTATTTCTTGGTAATGATAAAACTTCTTGATATTGGGTAGAGCTGATTTTTATATATGATGTGTTCAGTGTTTGACAGGATCATGACAAGATAATTGTGTTTCTATGCTAAGAAACATGCTGAAGATTAGTATTATATTTCCTGTCTGTCATGATGGCTCATTTTAATGTTATTGAAAAAAAATGGACTGTATTTAGTAATTGTTGTACTACAATGTTTGCAACATATGTAAATCAGAAATAGATGCAAATAAAGAGATTGCTAGAAGTCTTCATTTTACTGGCTAGGGAGCTGGGTTTTTTTTTCTTTGTCTTTTTTTTTTTTTAATATAGATTCAGGGGATATATGTACAGGGGTTTGTTACGTGGGTATATTGTGTGGTGGTGAGATTTGGGCTTGTAGTGAACCCGTCACCCAAATAGTGATCATAGTACCCATTAGATAGTTTTTCAACCTTGGCTTCGTCCCTTTTTCCCCCTTTTTGAGTCCCCTGTGTCTGTTGTTTCTAACTTTATGTCCGTGTGTACCCATTGTTGAATTCCCACTTATAAGTGAGAACCTGTAGTGTTTCATTTTCTGTTTCTGCATTATTTCACTTAGGGTAGATAATGGCCTCAAACTGCATCCATGTTGCTGCAGAGGACATGATTTCATTCTTCTTTATGATTGTGTACCACGGTGTATATATACCACATTTTGTTTATCCAGTCCACTCCTGATGGACGCTTAGGTTGATTCTGTAACTTTGCTATTGTAAATAGTGCTGTGATAAACATATGAGTGCAGGTGTCTTTTTTATAAAGTAATTTTTTTCCCTATGGATAGAAACCCAGTAGTGGGATTACTAGGTCAAATGGTAGTTCTATTTTTTGTTCTTTGAGAAATCTCCATACTGTTTTTCATAAGGGTTGAACTAATTTACATTCCCACCAACAGTGTGTAAGTGTTCCCTTTTCTCTGCAGCCTCTGTTATTTTTTGACTTTTTAGTAATAGCCATTCTGACTGGTGTAAGATTGTATCTCATTGTGGTTTAATTTGCATTTCTCTGATGATTAATGATATTGAGCATTTTTTAAAATGTTTGTTGGCTGTGTGTACATCTTCTTTTGAGAAGTGTCTGTTCATGTCTTTTGCCCACTTTTTAGTGGGTTGTTTTTTTCTTGTTGATTTGAGTTCTTTATAGATTCTCAGTATTAGACCTTTGTTGGATGCATAGTTTGTAAATACTTTCTCTCATTCTCTAGGTTGTCTGTTTACTCTGCTATGGTTTCTTTTGCTGTACAGAAACTCTTTAGTTTAATTAAGTCCCATTTGTCAATTTTTCTTTGTGTTGTTTTTGCTTTTTAGGTCTTAGTCATAAATTCTTTAATTAGGACAATGTCCCAAAAGAGTTTTTTGCAGGTTTTCTTCTAGGATTTTTATTGTTTGAGGTCTTACAGTTACATATTTAATTCATCTTGAGTTAATTTTTGTATAGGTGAGAGGCAGGAGTCCCGTCTCGTTCTTCTGCTTATGGCTAGCCAGTTTTCCCAGCACCATTTATTGAATAGCGTGTACTTTTTCCATTGTTTATTTTTGTCAACTTTGTTGGAGATCAGTTGTTTTTAGGTATGTGGCTTTATTTCTGGGTTCTCTATCCTGTTCCATTGATCTGTGTGCCTATTTTTATACCAGTACCATGCTGTTTTGCTTACTCTAGTCTTGCAGTGTAGTTTGAAGTTTCCTAATATGATGCCACCAGCTTTATTCTTTTTGCTGAGGATTGCTTTGGCTATTCAGGTTCTTTGTTGGTTTTATATAAATTTTAGGATAGTTTTTCCAGTTCTTTGAAAAATTACGTTGGTAGTTTGATAGGAATAGTGTTGAATCTGTAGATTACTTTGGGCAGTATAGTCAGTTTTAACAATATTGATTCTTCCTATCCATGACCATGGAATGTTTTTGATTTGTTTGTGTTATCTATGATTTATTTTATCAGTGTTTTGTAGTTGTCCTTGTAAAGCTCTTGCAACTCCTTGTTTAAATGTATTCCTAGGTATTTTATTTTGTGTGTGTGGCTATTGTAAATGAGATTGAGTTCTTGATTTGGTTCTCAGCTCGAACGTTATTGGTGTATAGACATGCTACTGATTTTGGTACAATTATTTTGTATCCTAAAGCTTTATTGAAGTTATCAGGTCTATGAATCTTTTGGAGGAATTTTTAGGGTTTTCTAAGTATGGGATCATGTCATCAGTGAACAGAGATAATTTGACTTCCTCTTTTCCTATTTGGATGCCTAATATTCCTTTGTCCTGCCTGATTGCTCTGGGTAGGACTTCTGGAATTTTTTTTTAAACTGGTAAAGTTTTGATATTAAGGGTGAAATGTTGCTTGTACCTCTTCTCTTTAGTTTGCAGTATGAGGTTCAGGAAATAAATATATAGGTTCCAAATTATATCTCTTCCTCTAACCTGTTATAAAAGTATACGCATATCAAATGAAAAAAGTAATATTACTCAGCTTTTCTTATTAACCTGTTCAAAATTCCTGAATCTTAGGATAGCCAGTTTTGCAGGAAACATACAATATCACAATTCCCTGACCAAGAAATATTAGTTGCCCTGATAACTGAATTTTTTGCATGACGTTAAATCTGTATTATGGAAAAATGTGTTCTTGAAAAAGAATGTACTTTTTAAGTGAATTTTAATAGATGTTGATAGTAACAAAAACAGAGGAGGAATGGTGACCTTTTTTTTATGTATCATGTTTGTTGAATCCAAAGTTTCTACTTATAAAAATGGAATTAAAATAAGGGTCATATATAGTTCTAATTGCATATTAGCAAACTTATTTTATACTGCGAACTTTCCTTTGGAAAAATAGAACAAAGTCAACAGATACAACATACTGTTCTTGTAGAAACTTGTATATTTTATTTTCAATTATCTAAATAGTTTTTTCTGTAATCTGTGATGGCATAGTTAACAGATAACTGAAAAGTTGAATGAGCAGAGTTGACATTCAATTTTGGTGAAAATACAGGTATGCGGTGATAACCTGAGGATTAAAGTAGGTTTTGCTGATTTCATATTATTGTTGTCATTTCTAACTTGTTTCCTGAAAGCCACTTTCCTCTTATTTCGTGGATTTATAGTCACGTATCACATAATGATGTTTCATTTCACACCAGACTTTATATACAATGGTGGTCCCATAAAAATATAATATTGTATATTTACTCTACCTTTTTTATGTTTAGATATGTTTTAGATACACAGATGCTTACCATTGTGTTACAGTTGCCTACAGTATTCAGTATAGTAACATGCTGTACAGGTTTATAGCCTGGGAGCAATAAGCTATACCATATAGCCTAGGTACATAGTAGGCTATATCATCTAGGTTTATGTGAATATACTATATGATGTTCACGTAACAGAGACACCTCCTAACAATGCATTTCGCAGAATGTATCCTGTTGTTAAGCAATACATGAAATACATGACCGCATTTGAAAACTTTTGGAACTTAGATGCCACCTAACCCTTTTGATTTGAACTTGGCATATTGCATTCAGTTTCTGCATTGTGTGATGGGATGGTATTTGTTATATAAGAAGTTACCTTGAGATTTTGAGATGATTAAAGGTGTGTATATTGGTCCAAGGGTGTAGGTGAGGTCATAAATAAAAGCAAAATTCTTCTGAAGTGGTGGTTTTAGAGCCCTTAAGAGATGAAATACTTCCTTGAAATTAATTTGTCCCAGTTACCATTATTTTTACTTATTAAAGACTAAATGTTAAAGTGGACATTTAATATATTCAAACATTTGGCACTGAGGACTTTTTTACAACTGTTGTATTACTACTGGTGATATGGAGCAGGCAGGACTATTTGTCTGGCCTACTAGTTGCACTTTAGGATATGAGTTTGTTTGCCAATATATTCGTTTACTGTGAGAGAAATATTCCACTCAATAACCAGAAATCAAAAACACTGTACCTTATAAGTAAGATTAGAAAGTTCAACAAATGTAGAATATTTGTGGAATTCAAGTAAAGGGATAGAATAATCTTAAGAAATGTTTTACCTAGGCTGTGGTAGACCCTATTGTACCCTTGTTCCGCAGAAGAAAGACATTTTTCTAGCCGCTAGGTATTTATGTCCCTTTGTCCTGTTCTCTCTTCTTTGAGCAGTTCTGTATATACGTTGATAAGGCAACTTTGTAACCTAATATTTTATAATATTCCAAAAGGACCCTTTTCTCAATCTTTTTGCTCATACTTTTAGTGTCTCTAATTACATAAATTAATTTTAAAAGGCTATTCATCTTTCTTTGCTTCTGGGATGACCTGTCATTAGATATTAATACCTTTTTCATGTGCTGAAAATTTCTGCTTTCTTTTGTCAAAGAGGGGGTTCCTTTGTTCATCTTTGCCTATTTCATCTTTTCCCAAGGTCCACTTTCCATGTTAGCAAGTATAAGGAATGGCTCAGCTTCACTAATGTTTTTATAATGTTACAATATTCTTGCACTATAGCCCTTGTTAAAAGTCAATGATTACCTACTGTCATTTGGAATAAGAGACCGGGATTTTGGTACAAGGAATAGGACAATTAGCCACTCAGCCTGTATTGTGGTTGAGGGGTGGTGTGTTTTCATTTTACATAATTGGCTACCATGTATACACAATTATTGTGCTTTCTGCTTTAAGTGTTTTCATTTATCACTTGTAGATTTAAGTAAGTGGTATAGTTTGTTTTTCTTGTAAGCGTAATTGAGTTTAGAATTTCTGTAAGGGCTGCATCTTATTTTGAGAATATCAGCATCTGGATGACAAGTGTTGGTTTTGAGATTATGATAATCCTTTTGTATGCATTTTCTTTAGGAATATATGTATTCTGATAGCTAATCTTATGGTTCCCAGTGCTGAAGAGGGCTTACAGGTAATCACTGTCCTAAATACCAAAATGATTCTTCATAGAGATGGCTTTCCATGATTATTAGGTGGTTATGATGTAATGAAGACTCATAACAAAAGTGGGTGGACAAAAGTGACCTGTACAGATTCAGAGCTGCTTTATAAGGAGTAAGTTCATGGTGGAATTGAATCAGACCAAGTGAATCAGAACATACATGCTCTTGACATACCTAAGAATCCTTGTCACAGTAATGAAAATTTTCCAGGTTTTACAGGAGTAAAGTACTTTTCAGTAGTTGAACGATTAAAATTTTGTATTTAACAGCATTTTGTATATACTGAAAAACAATGGTAAGATGTTTCCCAATCTTAATTACTTGTGTGCAAATACTTTCATACATTTTTTATTATAAATAATCATAGGATTCATAGTTTAAATAAAATATATCATTTCTTTGAAATTAACTTACTGTATTTGCTAAATTTTCATTTTAATGTCTTTACGTAAATTGGATTGAGGTTAATAATATATAAACTCTTGAGTATTTTGTAATCCTTTAAAAATCAGCCCTCTAAGCTATGTTAATGTTTTTCTGAAGACTGTGCATAAAAGAGTCAGCCATAGATATCTTAAATCTTCAGATGCCTGAGACCTATGTCGTTGTGTATCTTAAGTATGATTGATTAGTCTACCATTTTAATTATTTTTACAAAGCATATTTCCTCAAAAATATAGAAATCTTAGGTTATATTTTTTGAATTTCTAGAGTCTTATAAAAGTTTAAGGGATAAGCATAAATTGATAAAGCATCTTATTCATGAGATATCAATTGGTTTGCCCTGTGGCAGAACATAAAGATGATTTTTGAATGGCAGAACATTCTAAAAGAGGATTCTATAAACATAAATTTAGTATTCTGATTTCTTTTTTAAGGTATTGATGTAGAAAACTTCCTATAAATTCTTACCATGTTAGTTTTAACTGGTGGAAACAATCTAATGATAATATATTATACTTTAGAATTAAAATGGTAGTGTTTTGCAAATGGAGCATGTGTGGTGATAGATTTGACTGGACAACTGAAGGAGCAGAAGGACTTAGTTTTACAAAATATAACTAACAAATATCTTAAGTAAATTGCGGTTATATTTGATTAGATTTTAAACTGGCAAGAACTGCTACTTCCCACTTTAAAAAGAAAACAGTGGAACTTTGCTATATAGAAGAAGCATTACCATTAGGAAAAAAAAATCACAACTTGGTTCTCTAACAATAAGGAGCCATTTTTCAGTTGTCAGTTTGACTTTTAACCTTGTGATACCATCTTCCTTATATGATATATCACATTAGTGAATATTGCAAGAGAATCTAGAGATTGCCTTGTTAAAATAAATAACAGTGACTTTTAAAACATACTCAAGCAATTCAGCAAATAAACAAAAGGAAGCCAAACCTCAAGGTGCTATAATGTAACCATTCCCAAGACCTAACTGGAGATTTAATTTATAGAAAATGACTAGCTCCCTCTTAAGTCAGAAATGGAATCATACACAGAAATATATAGATGTTAAAAATACCTTCACATTTTATTGTAATGGTGAATTTGTGTTTGTGTGTGTGTTTGTCTTTACATTTCATAATACTGTAAATTATTTCTTTCTGAGACCAGAATGGATCCCAGAACATTATAACTTTATATCGAAGAGTAGGAACTGTTTCCTTCAGTGGAAGTTGCTTAAGACAGGATTCTAATTTATACCTATTGCTCCCTGATTTTAAATTTTCTATACCTATGAAATCTGTTGCTTCCTTATTTTAAATTTACTTCTATCTAACATTGTGGTTAACTTTTAAACTCCTTTCACACTTTTAACACTTCAAAGAATTTGAATTATTGATTAAAGTTAAATGACAAATTATTAAATTCTTTTTTTAAATTCATTTTTTCCCAATGGCATGGTATATATTTTCTTTCTTTTTTTTCCATACTTATCTTAGATACAGTAAAAACTTATATTTCCTGTTTGGTATATTGGCAGATTTGGAGCTCTTTATGGTTTTTGGCTAACAGTTAAAAGTAACCTGAGTGAGACTTTATGATTTGTAACTGGTTGCTTTATTATTAGGAAAAGAATCTGATTTATCCGTGACATCTATGAACATAAATATATGTTTGTATTTGGTACATTATAAGTTCTATTCATTTTATATTCTTACACTTATTTATATCCTTAAAGAGTATGCAGTTAAATTCTTTTTACTATATTTATTGAGATCTCTCAAGCATATTTCTTCAAACCTTACCTTTCAAAGTATTGTGTCATTCATGCTTACTATTTTATGTGTACATATTTGCATTTGCATTTTACTCCATTTTAAAAACATAACCTTAAAAAGATAAACAACGTCCATAGGGTTTTTAATAAGATAAGAATACATGTCTATTACTGATATTGATATTTATCTTTAAATTTCAGATAAGCCTTTGAAAAAAAGAAAACAAGATTCTTACCCACAGGAGGCTGGGGGTGCTACAGGAGGTAATAGACCAGCTTCTCAGGAGACGGGTTCTACGGGAAATGGGTCAAGGCCAGCATTAATGGTTAGCATTGATCTTCATCAGGCAGGAAGAGTGGACTCTCAGGCTTCTATAACTCAGGATTCAGACTCCATAAAAAAGCCTGAAGAAATCAAACAATGTAATGATGCACCTGTTTCTGTTCTTCAGGAAGATATTGTTGGAAGTCTTAAATCTACACCAGAAAACCATCCTGAGACACCTAAAAAAAAGTCTGATCCTGAGCTTTCAAAGAGTGAAATGAAACAAAGTGAAAGTAGATTAGCAGAATCTAAACCAAATGAAAACCGATTGGTGGAGACAAAATCAAGTGAAAATAAGTTAGAAACTAAAGTTGAGACCCAAACAGAAGAACTTAAACAGAATGAGAGCAGAACAACTGAATGCAAACAAAACGAGAGCACCATAGTTGAGCCTAAACAAAATGAAAATAGACTGTCTGACACAAAACCAAATGACAACAAACAAAATAATGGCAGATCAGAAACAACAAAATCAAGGCCTGAAACCCCAAAGCAAAAGGGTGAAAGCCGGCCTGAGACTCCAAAACAAAAGAGTGATGGGCATCCTGAAACCCCAAAACAGAAGGGTGATGGAAGGCCTGAAACTCCAAAGCAAAAAGGTGAGAGCCGCCCTGAAACTCCAAAGCAAAAAAATGAAGGGCGACCTGAAACACCAAAACACAGGCATGACAATAGGAGGGATTCTGGAAAGCCATCTACAGAGAAAAAACCTGAAGTGTCTAAACATAAACAAGATACTAAATCTGACTCACCTCGGTTAAAATCAGAACGAGCTGAAGCCTTAAAGCAGAGACCTGATGGGCGATCTGTTTCTGAGTCACTAAGACGTGACCATGATAATAAACAAAAATCAGATGACAGGGGTGAATCAGAGCGACATCGAGGGGATCAGTCTAGGGTTCGAAGACCAGAAACATTGAGATCCTCTAGTAGAAATGAACATGGCATTAAATCTGATAGTTCAAAAACTGATAAACTAGAACGAAAACACAGGCATGAATCAGGGGACTCAAGGGAAAGACCATCTTCTGGGGAACAAAAATCAAGACCTGACAGTCCTCGTGTTAAACAAGGAGATTCTAATAAATCAAGATCTGATAAACTTGGTTTTAAATCACCAACTAGTAAAGATGACAAAAGGACAGAGGGTAACAAGAGTAAAGTAGACACTAATAAAGCACACCCTGACAATAAGGCAGAATTTCCAAGTTATTTGTTGGGGGGCAGGTCTGGTGCGTTGAAAAATTTTGTCATTCCGAAAATCAAGAGGGATAAAGATGGCAATGTTACTCAGGAGACAAAGAAAATGGAAATGAAAGGAGAGCCGAAAGACAAAGTAGAAAAAATAGGATTAGTTGAAGATCTAAATAAAGGAGCTAAGCCTGTAGTTGTGCTACAAAAACTGTCTTTGGATGATGTTCAGAAACTTATTAAAGATAGAGAGGACAAATCAAGAAGTTCCCTTAAACCTATCAAGAATAAACCATCAAAGTCAAATAAAGGTAAGAATACTTCTACTGATGTCATTTATAATATAATCGATTTTAAGTGTTAAGATTACTAAGTTTTAAAAAGGAAATTTACAAAAATTAGAAAGCTACTACATGAAAATATAACATTTATGTCAAACAACAGGAAATTTTTTTCAGGAGTATAGATAAAAAGTTTCCAGTGAATTTTTTTTTCCCCACAGTTTTTTTCTTCCCACCCACTACTCAAGGTAGTTATGAATGTTACTGCTATTTGGTTACACAGAGATAAGTTATTTTGCTGTTTAGTTATTTCTTATATTTCTGAAATATGCTTAAGTGAATGTTGTATTAAAATAGCTGTCTTTAAAAACTCTCTATTTAAAAATGTCTTACAATACTACATTCTTACAGACCTGTGTCTGAGCCAATTATTGATGAATAATTTGTATAGTTTAGAAAGTTATATAAAAGGTTATTTTTCATTTTGTTGGGGAGATGGTTAGTTAAATATGTTTTATATTTTTAAAACATATCTTTTTGTCCTTGTTTATGCAAAGGTAATAGGGAATGGTACTTACTTTTTAAATTTGGTTAAATTGTAAGTTTGTGGGAGGCGGGGGACTGGTGTTATTTTTGCATGGTTTCTGAATTCTCTGGTTACTTGAGTAAAATTATTTCCAAAGGGAGAAGAATGTCTTAAGTGCCAAAAGATAATGGCCATTTGTGCAGAAGATATACTTCTGTATCCCTTTGTACACAAGTATTTAAAATAACTTTTTTTATTTTTAAATAGAGATGGGGTCTTGCTTTGTTGACCAGGCTGGTTTCGAACTCCTGGCCTCAAGTGATCCTCTCCTCTCAGCCTCCCAAAGTGCTGGGATTACAGGCGTGAGCCACCGTGTCCATACAGTCTAAATATACTGAGGTGTAGTGAAGGCAATAGAACTGAGAGTTTATTTAAGTTTTCCTTCTGTGAAAGAGAATTATTAAGAATTTAGATTTATACTTATATATAACCAAGTATATGAAATCTGGAATTGCATTGGCCAAGAGGGTAACCATTGCCTTTTTTGGCTATTTAAATTTAAGTTAACTAAAATTGGAAGTTCATTTCATTAGTAGTCACATGTGGCTGTTGGCTACCATATTGGACAAAACAGAACATTTGCATCATCACAAAGTTGTATAGCACTGCAGTGTATTAGGAGATACAAAAAGTGTGTGGTTATTGTTTTTCATAACATGCTGTTGTAGCTTGTCTACCAAGAAAGCTCTTTGAAAACATATTATAAAGAACTCTTTATTCAAAGAATGACTTGTGGCTAATCTGTTGTTATTCTTGCTTGGTCTTCGTCAACATTCATTTTTTCACTGTTAATTTATTTCCTTTTGTCTTACAATAATGAAAAAAGATTGCCTTCTGAGTCGCTAATATTTGTGTTCTTTGAGTGAAGCTTTTAAATTTTAAATTATGGCAATTAGACTTACCAAAAGTCAGTTAAGACATCAGCCTTAATTAATAAGTAGGCTTTTTTATTTAACTTGAATGCATCTTTTCAGAGTTACTTGTTAATATAAAAGAGGTTGTAGAATGTGGGGGTTAACACCACAATTGTTTTCTTTTAGGTAAAAATTTTCTTTAAAATTTTTTAGTGAAAGTTTGGGAGTAGCTTATATTTATAAACTAAAGAGTATGGCTATACAATTTTAGAAGAGTCAGGTGAAAGATGGAAAGTGGTACCCTCTTGTTCCTTTGATCTGGACCATCTTTCTCTCCCTCCCCTCTCAGCTTACCCTAGCCTTGCTTTCTAAACTCTGTTCTAACAAAGAGTCTTTTAAAACTCCTTAAAGAACATCCAGAAGTGAATATAGCTTTTAGTTAGTAATTGGTATATTATTTCACCTGGGTTTTTCACATGCAATAATATTGCCTATGAATATGTTTTTAGCACCAAAATGCGTTTCTGATAGTATACTTTTAATGCAGATGTATATACCTGATATGGTCATGTTAGTATGTAAGTAAGCTATCTGGGTGTCTGCCTATTAGAGTGATGTGTGTGTATGTGTACATGTGCATGTTTGTGTATATATACACATATATTAATGTAACTGCAATTACAGTAACAGTCCTTTTCATCAAAAAATACTATGTCAGTGCTTAGATGCATTTCAGGATGCCGTGTAGCTATCTTTTGGATTAATTTATTTATGTCTTAGGATCCATATCTTTTTTTTTTAGTAATGATCCAATTTTGGTTTTGTTTTAGATTTTTGCTACTCAGTTTAAATAGCAGAGTTGGGTAATTGTGGATTTTTTAAAATTGCATGTATATGAAGCACAGTTGTAGATTACTGACCCTTTGTAGTATATACTGGGATTTTCTTTGGAGATTCACAGAAAATCACATTTTGATGTGTTGATGATTTTCTGAGTAAAGGAGTTAGTCTGAATACTGCTGGGATACTTGTATGGTTGGTTCCTAGGGCCAAAATTGAAGAGCCATAAATTTCCATCTTTTAAATATTTTACCTGATGTTCATATAGAAAATATTCATTCTTTAGGATATATTTTAAGCTGATAAATTTTGATTGTGTGATAGAGGTATAGATTTATTACTCCTAATTTAGATTACTTATTTTTGTCTTTTGTATGAGCATGATAAATGTAAAGTGGCATTGTTACATTTGATTTGATTTCTGTGGCACTATATCTGTATCCCTAGTACCTAACAAAATACTTCATACATAATAAATCATATTTAATGCCTATTGAATGGAGATGATGTTGCCACCATTTTCAGGAAAAGCTTTTGTGTACAGATTAAAATTAGATAATCGTCTTTTATGTTCCCATCAATACACCCTAGCTCAAGAGCTACTTATTTTTCAAATCCTGCTTCCTAAACATTGTTAATAACTCTTCACCCTGTCAACTACCTAGTTTTTTTGTTAAGATCCAAAGAAAACCTGCTTATAGTAATATGTGTTTAATTTTTCTGTCACACTTATTTTGATCTATACTGGGATTAATATTATTCCCATTCTTATCCTGCATTGTTAACTTCCCTATCTTTCCATCACCATGTTTATTCCTTGCCTGGGAGGGGTGGAGGGGGCAGTCAGGCAGTGTAACTGTTTGTAGAATTCTTTTTAAGTTCTTCAAATATCTTCTACTAAAATATACTTCAATCAGTATGTTACATGCCAAAAAATATGTTGTTAAAAATTTTATTAGACTATTACCCTAATGTATAGTGTCTCTAAATTAAAATAATAAAGTTATGAGATCCTTTAAGATTGGCATAATCTCCCAGCATTTTGGGAGGCCAAGGTGGGTGGATCATTTGAGGTCAAGAGTTAGAGACCAGCCTGGCCAACATGGTGAAACCCCACCTCTACTAAAAATACAAAAATTAGTTAGGCACTGTGGCAGGCACTTGGTAGCCCCAGCTACTCAGGAGGCTGAAGCAGGAGAATCGCTTGAACCCAGGAGGAGGAGATTACAGTGAGCTGAGATTGTGCCACTGCACTCCAGCCTGGGTGACAGAGCGAGACTCTGTCTCCAAAAAAAAAAAAAAAAAAAAAAAATTGGCATAATCATCAACTAACACATGCCTTCAGTGTTATTAACAGCTTATTATCAGTAATTACAAACATATTTGATTTTGTTGTTTTTTTTTTTAACTCCAGAGTGTCTCAAAATATCTTTGCTTTATGTCTAAGGAAACCATTTTTTCTTCTCTCTCCCCCTACTTCTTTCCAACTAGTATATCATTCTCCATTGTGTGGACTCAGTGCTTTCAAGAAATATCCGTATTATTTGTTATTTGACATCATCCTTTAAACTGAAGAGTAAAGCAGTTTCTGAAAGTAGTCTTCACTGGGAATGTATCTAGCAGCTTTAATAGTCAATAGCGATTAGCCTATATTGCTCACTTGATGAGCTAATGATTGCAGGCCTTACTAGCGACAGTGATCGCACTTCAGTTATCTACTGTTACAGTTACACTACTAAATGCTGATAACTATCATCAGCTGGTTGCCTTTTACTTAGCACTGAACCAGTCTAGTTAGATGGTGTTTAGGATCCTCAGCTTCTGCAAGTCTGAAAGTATTGTTTCTGAGAGTGAATTTATAGCACAGTTTATTAATTCCTAAATGAGGAATTTTCGGTGTTTTCTTTAAAGTAGATTGTAATATTGAATAATATTTAATGATGCAGTGGAAATTTATTTTGTTTCATTTGTACAGTTTTATAAAATACCTTTCTTAAAAACTCAAATTTTCAGTTTCTGTAAAGATTGATATCAGTGATATCTTTAGGAAATGTTTGGAGAAAGTTTATTACAGAAGTTGGCATAATCTGTATCTAGCTCTTGTGACTTTAGAGCAGTATTTTGAAAATTTGTACTCATGATTTCCATTTGTAGAAATTTTCCAAAGTATGCTTAATAGATTGTTCATACAAATATTGCTTAAAAGAAATGCATTAAGTAGAAACCTTTTTATAAAAACTAAAGTTTGCTGGAGGTATTCTCTCTCCTTTCCATTCTGTCTCTTAAGCCAGCCCAAAGACATAGTTTCTATAGGGTTCTTGTGTCTGTAGAAATAGGTATATGATTTAACAGCTAAGGAGCTAGCAAATATTAATTCTGTAAGACCCTGTGCCTATTTATGAAGAAATAATCTTTGACATGCTAAATTCCCTTTTATATTCTAAAAAAAAAAAATTTAATGAAACCCTTCTTTACAAGGGCCTGATGTGAAATTAAGAGTATGAATACCTACTAGTATTACACCACCAATAAAATGGGTTTTTTAATATGGATCTCTCTGTCTTGCCTATAAAAATATTAGCGTTTTCTGGCTGTAATGTATCAATTTTTAAAAATTCTCTTTTAAACTTATTACAAATTATAGTACAAAGAGAACTAATATCAAAACCCTGAATAAGCCTTAACCTTTCAAAGCTTGGTTCATTCGCTTTTAAAATAAAGAAACCAATTTCCCTCCTACTTTATACAGTTATAAAGACAAAAATGAATGTTGTTATAGTAAAAGCTAAAGTATGTCTGATTTTTTTATATAAAGGAAAGTACAGTCATTCAATTTCTAATTGAATTGAATTTATCTAATGAAGAAAGTAATTTTTTAAAATAAATCTTTTTATGTATCTGTACTTTATATTCAGTGTAGATTTAAAGATATTACTGCCACAATTTATTTTTCTCACCGTGTATACATATCAAGGAAAGAATCATTTGATCCCTGCCCCCTACTTTTCTGTAATGAGTAGTAAGTTGTTACTTACATAATGAGTAGTAAATTGTCATTTACATGCAGTATTGAAAATTTTTTTTTGCCCCCACTTACCTCTAATTGAAGTTGAAGATCCATTTGGTGCTTCTGTGTTATATGGGTAGGTTAGTGGAAGAATTGTCACTGAACTATTCCATTATGCCTGCCCAAGTTTTTTTTTTTTTTTTTTTAGGATTTATAAAATTTGGAGGTTTATGTGAGGCTCTTAGTTTTGTTTCTGAACGTGACTTGTTTCCATTGACCAAAGCTTCACTTCAGTCCCAAAGATTTTATTAGTTTACGTGATTTATTTCTATCTCAGAGTTGTTTTCCTGTTTTAAAAAGAAAACAGAACACATTGTTAGTTATCAAATCAATGATTCTTTTAAGTTTTTTGATGATTTCTGGTTTTAATAATCTGGCAAGTGCTAATTTGAGTGATTTATAATGGAAATCAAAGATTGCTTAAATGTAGCATATCTAGGAGTAAATGTATTCTTTAGCCATATTAAAGCCAGAGTATAGAGTGCACTGTATCTAATGGAATATATGTACAGAAGCTGAAAATTTGATATCTCACAAAATTGTGACTAAATGACATTATTCATCAAGCCAGTAACATAAAGTTTTATGGGAATTCAGACATGCTGATTTAAAGAATAAAGTAGTTAGGACAAAAGAAATTAGGTGAGAGATAATCATAAAGCACTAGTAATCTGAAGTTTTAGGAACAAATAACTTGGCAAGCAACAATAATCCCTAAAATCATCAATCCCTAAAATACATCATCATATACTAAGAGATAGCAAGACTTTATGTTTGCATTTAATGGATTATTAACTAATTCAGGGGAAATAACATAACCAATTATGTCATACAGATAATTTTAAGTACTTGCTGTTTATTCATTTCTGTTAAACTGAGTTAGTTATCCAGATCAGGATCCTTTTGTTTTTTTAAAGACAGGGTCTCATTCTCTTACCCAGGCTGAAGTACGGTGGTGCTAATATAGCTCACTGCAACCTGGAACTCCTGAGCTGAAATGATCCTCCCATCTCAGCCTCCAAATGGCTGAGTTATCCAGATCCTTGATGTCATATTGAAGATCTCAGGCCTGAATATGGGAAAGTCATGCATTTTATTTATTTATTTATTTATTTATTTATTTATTTATTTATTTATTTATTGAGATGGAGTCTCGCTGTGTTGCCCAGGCTGGAGTGCAGTGGCGTGATCTTGGCTCACTGCAGACTCCGCCTTCCGGGCTCATGCCATTCTCCTGCCTCAGCCTCCCGAGTAGCTGGGACTACAGGCACCCGCCACCATGCCTGGCTAATTTTTGTATTTTTAGTAGAGACGGGGTTTCACTGTGTTAGCCAGGATGGTCTCGATCTCCTGACCTCGTGATCCACCCACCTCGGCCTCCCAAAGTGCTGGGATTACAGGTGTGAGCCACTACGCCTGGCCCCTTTATTTCTTATCTTTGTAATCAAGCAACCTGGCGGAGTCCATTTATAAAGAGCTTCATGAAATGGAAGAAAGGATGTGGTTAATTCAGAAAATGTGTGAAACCTGTGGAATAGACAATTCTGTTCAAAATGAAACAGCGTTCACTTTTGGAGGATGATACATGTAGAGACATTGATTCCTGGATTTTTTTTCTTTAAAGTTGGAGCACCTTCAGAAATAAAACATTTGGCCTTTGAATTACATTGTTTAAACTTTCAAAGTTTTACAGAAGTTAAAATGATCTAGAGGATACTAGAGAGGTCTTAATTGATAGTATTCTTGTTAATGTAGGGAATAAGAAAGGGTAAACTACTGTTGATAAATGTTGATACCTGCTTTATTGGATATAAGGCATAGGTTATCTGTGTTTGGCTATTGTGAGTAATTTTTTTAAAAAGAAGGAGCAGAGTCCTTGCTCTGGGAACATAATCCATTGCAGAGAGAGCACAAGAACTAGTACATATTTTAACCTTTGATTATTGTGTTAATTAACAAGGAAAATATTAATTCTGGGATATTAGTGTTGAGTCAGTGTGTCTGTGATGTGAACTTAATCTAAGCAAAACACTTAGGTACATTTGCTTTAAAAAAAAAAATCCCGTGATGGATGAAAGGCCAAATACTTTGGGTTATCTGTATTTATAAACCTATGAAGATTATAATGTTTCCAATATACTGCAAAAAAAAAAATTTGTATTCTTAGAAATTTTGGAAATGTACTCATTTGTCTATCAAATACAGCAACTCAGGAACTATCCAGGAAGTACATCTGTAAGTGGACATGAGAAATTGTGAACCAGAGTTAGGCAATCAAGAAGCATCTATTGACTATCCATATATATGTACTCAATATTATGTAGGTCATGTGGAAAAGGGAAGATGTATACTCTAAAACATGATTTTCCATCAAAAAGACACATATTAAAGTAGAGATATTCAAAGACTTTATAGTGAGGTGCAGAACGTGTTCAGTTTGGGGCTGAAAATATGCAATGCAAAGCTAAAGTTGACTTCTTTTACTTCTACCAGTATTCTAAAAAAGAGGGCCCTCACTGATAAAACTTAACTAGTTAAATTAAGAAAGCCAATACAGAGAAATATTACCTGATTTCAAAATGACACAGAAGTTAAACTCAACGTTAGTTAGAATTCTTAGCAATGAAGTCTTTGGGATATTACCAGTCATGAGTATTTCATGTTTGTTGGGTAAAATTGTTCCTATGCATGTCCTTAGAAGAACAGAAGCCTAAAAGTTACTGAAATAACTCCTTTGTGATACTGAATAAAAGTTTCAGAAGAATAAAAAAAGGGTTATTCTTTCATTAAGATTAATATTTTATATCTCCATCTTGAGTTATTTGATTGTATCGTCTTAATATTCTTGATAGCTATTTACTTTTCTGTCATGATTTTTATTCTTTACGTAAGCACTATTATCATTTGCATGTTATAAAGGATAGTGTTAATGTTGATTGTAAGTTACTAATATTTCCTGCTATAAACCACAAAGGTACTCTTTGCTTCCAATTCATAAAATTTATCAGGTAAGATTTTTCTTTTTATACTTCCACTCAAAGTAAGTAAAGGAAGCTAAAATTGCCATCTTTAGTAATCATTAAGGACAAATTATCCGAATAAGTAGCTTTTGCTACTTCTACTTTATTTTTTAAACTATCAGGAAGATAGTCCCAGTTTATTTCTTCATAAGAACTATTTGTGTATGTGTTTGTGTGTATGTGTGTAGGATTAAGTAGTATAATGGCTCTTATTGTCTTGTCTTCTTTTTTATTGCCTTGACTCTTGTGGGAAGATATGAACTTGAATTTCTAACTTGAAATGTACTTTTCAGTTACAGACATTTATATTTTAAAAGATTTGTCATCTATTTATCCTGTGTTACATGTTTCTCTCGTCTTCAGTTAAATTGTATATATTGATTTGTCTGTTTGAAGAAGTTCTCCGTAATGCTAAAGGCATTACCATGCCCTCAAATAGACAGTAATAGGTAAAAGCATATGTATAGCTCTTGTCTCAGCCACCATACACAACTGCCAAGATCATAGAGAAGGAGGAGGAGTGGTAAGTGTCTTCCAACACTTCTCACTTGTATTGAGGGGTAACATTAGATTCAAACTACTTCAGACCTACACAAAACAAAATTTATGTACTACCAAGAATGTCAAGTGTACCTCTTACCACAAATCCACTTGCTAATGTCAGTGAATCTCTAGTTTCAGAAAGTTTTTAGTCAGTGCAAATTGAAGGCATTATATCAAAAATGTATTATATAATTACCCTTCATTTTTATGGTGGTGTCATGTTTTTAAAGTCATTACATAATTATATGTATATATGTACACATACATATATATTAACTATATTGTCACTTTAGGGTTAAGAGTATTATAGTTGTGTTTTATTAAAATAAACAGTTGATTTAGAAAACAAATACTAATATTTTTATTATGCTAACTTAGTTAAAATTTTCCTTTTATCTTCAGATTTACATTTTTTTTTTAAATTTACCTTTCATTAATAGGTAGTATAGATCAATCAGTGTTAAAAGAATTACCCCCTGAACTCCTGGCAGAAATTGAGTCCACCATGCCACTTTGTGAACGTGTGAAAATGAACAAACGCAAGCGTAGCACAGTTAATGAAAAGCCAAAATATGCTGAAATCAGTTCAGATGAAGATAATGATAGTGATGAAGCTTTTGAATGTAAGTATCACAGAACTCTTTGTTATTATTTTAGAGTTTAAAAGCAGGTTGATGTGTTTTTCTCATTTATAATTTGGGGGTTTAGCAAAAGCACAGTCACCTTAATTCTTAATAACACAGTATAGTAAGTTTTTTTCTCTATACTTTAAAAATGCGTGAAAGATGAGATCAGTTGGCACCAAGAAAAAAATATTAAATAAGCTACAATTAATTTTAAAACACAGGTAGGTATGTGTCTGTATGCATTCAGCAAACATTTATTGAGCTCCTATTATATGCTAGACACTGAGAGTAAAAATGCAAATAAGATATGGCCCCTGTCTTCAAAGAGCCTTCAGTCTAATGGGGGAAATATGTAAATAAATAATTGCAGTATGCTGATAAAAGTACAATGATAACAGTAAATCCAGGGTGCTATGGGAACACATTGGATTGGCATCAAAATCAGAGTGGGGGCTCAGGGAATGCTTACTGGAAGAGGTGACACTTGAGTTGAGTCTTGAAGGACACGTAGGAGATAGCCAGATGAAGAAATATTTAAAACCATACTATCACTAAATTATGAATGGATTAGCCACATTGCAGATTATCTGTGTGGTTTGGACCTGGCTTCTCCTTTTTGCCCAGCTGTGTCCTGGAATTCCTCCCTTGTTTCACTGTTTTCCAGAGCTGGCTTCTTCACTACACAGCTACCTCTCTACAACACTGTGATCACCTGTCTTTGCACTAGACTTGCTATACCTCGCCTGTCTTCCTACTGGTCCACTGAAAAAGTTCTTCTCTTTTATCCCTATCTTCCTTCTTCTGGAGCAAGAGAATTGAGCCTAGCCAAGAGGGGTCAGCAACCTTGTTTGACTTAAACGGCATTCAGTGGAAACAGACTATGGGAGATCTTCACTTGTGTGCCAACTGACTTAGTCATAATGACCAAAAGAAGTGGGAAGACCACCAGTGTTCTACTTTTTCCACCTAGTGTCCATAGATTGAGGTGTGACAAGCAAGGGCAGGAAGGACAGATGCATGCTGCCATTTTTAAATGTATATTGCTGATGGAAGCCCTTCACCTCCTCCAAAGTTTTTAATGTTAATTTACTGATTTTTTTTTAATTGTGAGCTCTTGAGCTATGAGCAGTAGACTATGAATACTGAACAAATCTGAAAAAAGTTTTAAAATTGAAATAAAATATACAGCAAACTTAACATTTAATCATGTATAATTGTTATAATTGTATTATGAAATGTATTGACACACAGTATATTAAAATGGCTAAAGTTAATTTTTTTTATTACAATCAGATATTTTGGTCATATGGGGACGTGGTTAGCTCTGGAAGATGAGAAGATAAAAGAAACATGGGGCCCAGGAACTCATTCCCTTTAATATACATGCCTTACCACTCTGCCTCTTTCCCTCTAATAAACATATCACCCATATCTAGAACAGCCGAGAAGGAGGAGTCCCTGAATTCCAGTTTGATTTCAAATGACATTTCAAATCCAGTTGACTGAAAGTGACTGCCTCCATTACTAAATTGCAAAGATTTCTGAAGCTGTCTCACAGTTAAGTGGAAAGGATAACATAATCAAAAATTTCCACCAAGTGTAAAATAGTGGAGAGTAGAGCCACACATCCCTCATGTTTGTCACCAATGCAGCCACCATTCTTTTCCCCTTGCTTTCTATCATGAAAGCTATTGTCTCATCTTATGGAGGCACATAGCTTCGTTATAAAGCCATGGACCCTGTTATATCTATGCCCAACTATATCGAAAGGTAATATTTATTTTAAAGAACCTAAGCTTCACACACTGCTAGAAGAAAGGAAAGTTTCTCTGGATTTTTAAAGAGATGTCAGGAGTAGCTTCCTGTTTTTCTTCACTTATTTCTATACAAGTAACTATAGAAAAGTGGACACTGGAGGCACCGATTTGAATGGTGAAAGAAGTCCAAATGATTGTTCACATAAACAACCAAATGGTCACACCACAACAGAAACAGTGTATTGAAAATATAGCACAATACAAAATGTGAAACTATTATGAGAACGTTAAGTTGCAAGCATTATGCTGCTGAGAGAGAGAAAAAAAAATTTTTGAAACTTAGCAGTTTAATCAAATTGGTTTCTCAAAATCTAAAACCAAGGAAATAGTTTTGTTGAAGGTTAGGGGAAAATGTTGAAGGATAATTTTGAAAGTTGGGGTACACAGATTTGGATGGCCATAGCACAAATATAAGGTCACTGGGTGCCTGGGGAAAATGGAGAGAGGGGTGATGTAAGAAGCTCAAGAGATACATAGGTGAAATTTGGAAAGAGAAGATAGAGAACACCCAAGTCATGTTTTACGTACCTCTCTTTTGAGTCCTTTCCCCTCCCCTGCTTATTCCAGGGTAATGAGAGAAATGGAGAAAGAATAAGCTAACCACAATGAGTTGGTATCCTAATAACCTCATTATAACACAATGTGTTATGGAAGTTGTTTTTTTTTTAATTTGTCACCCCATTTTTATCTAAATTGTCTAAAATTTGATGAATGTGAAATAAAGATTTACAAGATCTGTGGATAGTTACCACCAATACAGCATATTCTATGTAATTACAAACCACTATAAGATTCTTCAAGCATTTTCTACTCATAGGATTGAATGCTTGAAACAGATTTGTTATGAAATTAATTAAAATGTACAAAGACTAAAGCAGGTCATATTCAAGGTTGTAAAATACTAATTTCTGGCGCAGTAGCTCATGCCTGTAATACCAACACTTTGGGAGGCCGAGGTGGGAGGATTGTTTGAGCCCAGGAGTTTGAGACCAGCCTGAGCAACATAGCAAGACCCCTTCTCTGCCCACATAAGAAAATAGTGCTTTCTGAAGAAGTTTGCTTATTAGTTGTCATCCCTTGTAATGTAGGCATTTCAGTACTTGTGAAAAAAACATCTAAGGAATTATATATAGAAATGACCTGTTTCTCTGTCACACATACACACACCCTACTTATATTAGTGTATGAAACAAGTTGTCACTAAAGGAATGTACTAGAGCATACTGTAATCATAAAAGAGGAACAGTCCTATCACTCTTCACATACGTCATAACCAAATTCATACCTAATTATGAAGAAAATCTCAGATATTTATATCCATTTACATTTGTGCTTTACATGAACCTTTTTGCTATCCAAGCCTGTGACTGTAAAGAAGAGGAAACAAAATGACCTTTTCCTGCCATGTTGTCCATAGATTAGCTAGAAGAGTCCAGAACCAGAAACCAACCTAGATTCTTGAACAGGAGTAGTTAGGGTAGCATTTAAGAATAAGATTAGACAGAGTATAGACATTTATTACCCACACATGAAGACACTGGCACAAGCATAGAGTGCCTGGGCCAGAGGTTGGCATCCTTACATCTAAGCCAAGTAGGGGACTTAAGCAAAACATTTGTCTTAAGTATTTGTGTATTTATCATAGTTAGGGATTCAGAAAAGAGCAGTTGCTAGTCAAATAACAGACTAGAAAGTTTATCATTGTCAGCAACAAGTGATCACAACAACAACCAGTATATGATTTCAAGGTAGGACACATCACTTCTCTGCCCTGGTTTTAACTTGGTGGTACCTACTGCATCCTAGAACAGACATGGTAAATATTTGTCACTTATAGTGCCCCCCAGCTCTTACTGCAGACATTTCTAATCAGTCTTTCTTGCTGAACTATGATGCTTTCTCAGGGCTTGGGGTTATTTTCAGCATAATGTTCTAGGCAGCTATTGCCAGTTGATGAGAGTTGATGTGTTAGATGAAATCTGTTTGCCAGGTCTGCCTAAAGGCTCCTGTCAGTACGGGTGATTTTAGCAGAATGCTAAAATGATGGGGAAAAGATTGAAGGTAACATACATAATCATGCTTATGAAGCGTGCATAAGCTTAGAAACTTTTCTTGGGTTTAAGCAAGACTTTTGTTGAAGAACTGAATTCATTATGTGAGTATTTACAACTGTACAGGTTTTTTCTGTCTCAGTAGGCTTGTCATGTTAGGTCACCAGGGCTTATGGAATTTATCGCTGAGTTGTGGGTTTAACTTAGCTATTAATTGATGATGTACATGGTTACCCATATTCTGTAACACTTTCTCAAAAGTTGACTTTTCCTCCAAACCCTGCTCCCCATCAGTAATCTAAGTGCTTTAAGGTGGTTCTGTTTTTCATCTAATTCCTAAATATAGTTTGTTTTACAGCCTCAATTAATCTTGAAGTTTAGGTATAACCCTTACTGACTTACTGAATAACTGTCCTTGAAGTGAACACTGTAGTTTAATTTCAAGAACCTTCCTCTCTGTATTTATTAGCAGTAAACACTGAGTTCATGTAAAGATCTTTAAATCTGGGTAGATTGTGCTAAAATTAGTGATACTTTTTCTATATCATAACTTAAACTTCTGGATAGACAAAATCACTGAATTTCCTAGACCCTATGGAATGAAGATTTTTTTCCCCATGTGATTCATTTGTAAAGTACAAGTTTTAATCATCTTTTTAAATGAGGTAAATTATTTGTCATGGGGATTTGCTTCTAGCCTCTAGGAAACGACATAAAAAAGATGATGATAAAGCTTGGGAATATGAAGAGCGTGACAGAAGAAGCTCTGGGGATCATAGGAGAAGTGGCCACTCTCATGAAGGAAGAAGGAGTTCAGGTGGTGGTCGTTATCGAAACCGAAGTCCGTCAGATTCTGACATGGAAGATTATTCTCCTCCTCCCAGCCTTAGTGAGGGTAATTCATCAGTGTCAACGGATTTCTTACATAAACCAATTTAAATTTAGGGCTTTAACTTTGAAGAATATTTTATATCTTTTTATGAGTTAATAACTAATTTTCAATTAAGACAAAAATACTTAGTTTCTATGTGCAGTGATTATCGTTTAAGTCTTTAACGTTCAGGAAAAAAACTAGAAACAAAAATGGAATTATTTTAAGTTGTCAGTCCTGCATTTCAGTACTTCTTTTTGTTCGTTTTAGTTGCTAGGAAAATGAAGAAAAAAGAAAAACAGAAGAAAAGGAAAGCATATGAACCAAAACTAACACCTGAAGGTAACACGTTAGTTTATTTAATTTGTCTTTATTCATATTCTTCAGCTTCACATGTCTACTTGTAATGTGAGAATAATGAATATATTTTTCTCTCTTGCAGAAATGATGGACTCTTCAACTTTTAAGAGATTCACAGCCTCAATAGAGAATATTTTGGATAATTTGGAAGATATGGATTTTACTGCGTTTGGTAAAATCAACTTAAAATACATTTACACATACTCTAAGTGTCTTAACTGTATCCTCTAGAGTAACTCAGTTACTCTAGTGATGTGTCCTACCTTGAAATCATATACTGGTTGTTGTTGTGATCACTTGTTGCTGACAATGATAAACTTTCTAGTCTGTTATTTGACTAGCAACTGCTCTTTTCTGAATCCCTAACTATGATAAATACACAAATACTTAAGGCTTAACTCAGTTACTCTAGAGGATACAGAGGCATACTCTGTGCTATCAAGAAACTTGAAATCTAGTTGTAAAGTCAAATCTAGTCTGTTACCAAGAAATTAAAAACTTTAGTACAAAACTCAAGTATATATTAATCAAGTCTGGATAGTATCTAAAGAATCATGAGTAAGTGAGAGTAATTTAAAAAGTCTTTATGCAGGTGAGGAGGCTTGAAAAGGCCCTGTATAATGAAGGTACTGATAGGAGCATATATGCAGAAATAAGCATCTATTCTTCTGTTCATTTATTCTAATGACCAATATTTATTGAATACTTACTGTATGCCAGTAGTATGTTAAGTGCTGGAGATGTAAAAATAACTAAAACCCAAACACCTGGCTTTAGGGAATACAGATTCTAATATGGAAAACAAAATAGTAAACCAGTTAGAATACAGTAGGATTAATGTTATATTCATGTATTACTTTTACAATGACATAAAGATTACATCTATAAATATTAAAATGTTTATAAAAACACTGCTTGCAATGTATAGAGCTATTCTTAACAATCTTATGCCACCTTCAGCTGGTAAAGTAAGTATTTGTTTTGTGAGAATTACTTGCCTGAGTATCATTGTGTTTGCTGATTATTTAGAATGTCAGTTTCATCTTTTTTAAAACTTTACAGTTCTGTGCTGAGAAATTGTCTTCTGTATCATTTAGGGTCCAAAAGTACAAAGGGCACTCTCAAAATAGGATAATATGAGGAGGAGTTATTTACAAAGAGACCAGTTAAAAAGATGGAGGCAAAATAATACCAGAACCCAGGGTTAACAGCCTTAAACCAAAAGAGTGAGGATACAGAAAAGTCACCAGAACTCATTCTGCAGGAAAAAAAGTTGTAGAGTAGGCTGCCTTGAAAGAAGCAATACCTTTTGGTCAGGGGACAGAGCCAGCCTGAGGAGACCTTGTAAGCAAAGAGTAAGAGATATAAATACTTTGACCTTACACTCCTCTTTGATCTTCTAACAGGGCACCCTACTGGCCAAACCCAAACAAAAGCCAGAGGGCATGGGAGACTCTTGATGTAGTCCATTCAGGTCAGCCTCCTGAGGCAGAGAATGTGGTTGAGAAAGAGTCAAGAGTATATCTAAAGTAGTAAAGATAAGATATCTATCTCATCTTCCCATTTCAGTCATAAATCTGACTTCAATTTCTGTCCTTTTTCATTCAGGGTTTACTTGAGGTTTATATATAGAGGCGTCTTAGGTTATTTGTTTAGTTTGCATGTCTAAAAATTTTATTAGAAAGTTAAGCTTGACATTTTGAACTATTTTATTTACCTAAACTTTGTTTGTGTTTGTTTGGCTTGATTTTGCAGGTGATGATGATGAAATTCCTCAGGAACTGCTCTTAGGAAAACATCAGCTTAATGAACTTGGCAGTGAATCTGCTAAAATAAAAGCAATGGGTATAATGGATAAGGTATCTCACCAAAGTAAAATTTATAAATTTACTTCATAGAAACATTTGAAATTAATTTAAGGTTTTCAGGGTAAATTATAAAATTTATGTAAAGTAAATAGTAAAAAGAAAACTCATTGTTGACTTCTGAGAGTCTAAATGAGTTTTTTTGTTTTTTTACAAAAGAAAAAAGTATTCTGCAGATTATTCTAAAGAGAATCATATTACTGCATTGAAAGAGGCATGGACTTTAATTTTTTCCAGAGTTTTTTTTTTTCATTTTCTCAAATATTTAGATTATTTAAATGCAGAAATATATTAAATTTTTCTTTGACATTTGCTTTAGTCATTTAGGGTCGTTGAGTAGAAGTTCTAAGTGGGAAAGTTTTCTTACTCTTTAAGAGGGTGACAATGCTATTTCCTCCATAGCTCAAAGGGAATAATTGTACAGATTGTTTCTTGAATAATATATAACTTTTACCAACGATTGATAAAGAATTTATATTGCTATTTTAGCTTTCAACTGACAAAACTGTGAAAGTCTTAAATATCTTGGAGAAGAATATTCAGGATGGGTCAAAGCTTTCCACTTTGTTAAATCATGTAAGTTTAAGATCCATACTGTTAATTTTACCCTTAATGTTATTAAGATCTATAGTAGTCCCCCACTTCTCTATTGTTTCATTTTCCATTTTCTCAGTTACCTACAGTCAACTGTGATCTGAAAGTAGGTGAATAATTTTTATTACAGTCTATTGTTCTGTTTTTTATTGTCATTAATCTCTTCCCATGCCTAATTTATAAATTAAGTTTTATCTTAGGTATGTATGTATAGGAAAAAACATAGTGTATATCGGGTTTGATAGTATCCATGGCATGCACTCGAGGTCTTGGAATCTATCATCTGTCCATTAGGGAGGGACTAATGTGAATTTTTTCACAAATGACTCTCATGTGGGGGAAATTTCACATTTCGTTAATTTGAGCATGTTACCATGAATTACTAGTTACATTCATTAGCATTGCTAGTAGAACTTCACTTTTAGTAATTCAGAATTAATGTTACACATTGTCAATTCACAGCTTTGCCATAAAGTAAGAATAATAAAGACATGAAAATGTTTGTCAATTTAAGGGGCAGTTCTTTAGTTTATGCTCTTCCTTATGTAAGTATATGAATGTTTAAATTTTGTTTTTGAGTTATGAGATGATAGTAGGTAGTAATTCTTTTTGTTGAGCTTCCCTGAAGAAATAACATAGTTAGAAACCTTATGATTTCCTAATATATACTAATTAATATACATTACTCCTTATATACCGTTTTTATACCTACCTCAAAGGGTTGTTCAAAGGATTAAAGAATTAATTCATGTAAAGCACTTAGTGTCTGGCACACTTTAACTTCTCAGTAAATGTTAACTCCAGCTGTTACTATATTTTAATATGCTTATATCAAAAGCAGTAGCAACATGCTTGCAATGGTTTATTAATTGAGTGAAGCAAATTTCCTGGGATTTGCCTTCCTAGCATTGTAGTGGACTATGAATTATATGTGCATTCAAATTGATCTTGATATCTCTGACATTAATGAATGCAAACACTAATGCTTATAGGCATTTAGTAAGTTCTGAGTTGATAAATTTTCTTTCTCTCCCTTTTTTTTTTTTCTCCCCTGATAGAGCCAGGGTCTTGCTCTGTCCCCTGGGCTGGAGTGCAGTGCTACAGTCATAGCTCATTGTAGTCTGGAACTACTGGGCTCAGGTGATCCTCCCACCTCAGCCTCCCAAGCTGCTGGAACTACAGGCATGCACCACAATGCCTGGCCAATTATTTAAAATGTTTTGTAGAGCCAAGCGCTCACTCTGTTGCTCAGACTGATCTCAAACTGCTGGCAACAAACAATCCTCCTGCCTTGTCCTCCCAAAGCTCTGGGACCACAGATGTGAGGCACTACACCTGGCCAAATTTTCTTTATTTTTAAAAGCCTGATTATAAAAGTAACATATTTATTGTAGAAAATTTCCAAAACACAGAAAGCACCAAAAAAGCTATATTCTAATCCAGCAATGACCATTTTGAACACTTTTGATATATATACTTCTCATGTATACGTATGTAGTATATATATTTAATATACAAGCACTAGATTTTATTTTATCTTATGAGGGAAATGCTCTTGGTGTTTACAAAAGCCACAGGATTGCTAGGGGATCTACATGGAATAAAACAAGCTTGTCCAACCTGTGGCCCACTGGCCCGTGTGGCCCAGGACAGATTTGAATGCAGCCCAACACAAATTCGTAAACTTTCTTGAAACATGAGGATTTTTTGCAATTTCTTTTTACGCTCATCAGCTATCGTAATTGTTAGTGTATTTTATATGTAGTCCAAGACAATTCTTCTTCCACTGTGGCCCAGGGAAGCCAAAAGATTGGACACTTCTGGAATAAAATATGTAGAAAAATAATCTCAGGTGGTTGTTTTCTGGATTATTAAATATATTTATATTTTTAAGTGCCCTCTCTTTACTTTTTGCATCACAGAAACAAAGGCTTAGAGAAACCTAAAGTAACAATCTACTCCATTGTTAGTCTACAAGTTACTTAAATACTTCGCCAAGAAATTGTGATAATCATCATCAGAAATCTAGAGTTCTGGAGAGCTGGCTGACTCAGTCTTAAGGAAATTACTTTCATCCCTAAAAACCGTAACAGTATTTAATATGTTGTGGATAGCCTTAACGTTTGGCATGAATCATGAGCCTCCTTAACTGACTCTTCCAAACAAACAGCAATGTTCGCATCAAAGACAAGCTACTTTATCTTTCCTTTGTGAGGTTTTAGGCATTACTGAACAGAAAGCCCTGTCTGCTTTACATATTATATATCGTGTTTTTGTTCGTTTTCCTAGGGTATAAGCTTTGAATTGGAAGTAGTCCTGTAATATAGTTTATATTTCATAACTAAAGATGTGATAGAAGGATTTTTACTTTAACAGTGAGATTACTCCTAATTTGCAATGTCAAGTTGCTGATGTGTAAATTAAAATAAAGTCTTCTGTCAGTTCTTAAATTATCCATTTAAAAAAAGTCTTCATTAGTCTGCATATTACTACTTTTTAATCTCAGTTTCAGAAACTGTGTTGTCGAAAAGCAGGTGTTAGGAATGATTGTCAATTTTAGTACTAAGTAAGATTTTACCCTTTGTCATTAATTTTTGCTTTGTTATCACAGCAGCAAGCAGAATTTATAAAGTCTTTAAACTATCATAATGTTTATACCCAAAACACAAAATTAATTTATATGCAGTTAAAGTCATAAGCTAAATCTTAAATTCGGATAAAGCACACAAAGGATATAAAGATAATTATAACTTTGTCAGTAGGGTGTCATCTAGTGGTGAAATGAGGTAGAGTATATCACGTTTGAAAACATTGAAACACAAATCGTGCTCAAAGTAGTATCAGTATTTGTACCTCATTCTGGATATTCTTAAAAGAATTAACACACATCATAACACTTTTCCACCAGTGAAAATCAAATCATAATTTTAATGTATATTTTAAACCTATAAATGTGTTTATTTCCATTTCATTAACAATACTGTTTTACAGAATAACGATACTGAAGAAGAAGAAAGGTTATGGAGAGACCTTATTATGGAGAGAGTTACAAAATCAGCGGATGCTTGTCTTACAACTATCAACATTATGACATCCCCTAACATGCCAAAAGCTGTGTACATTGAGGATGTAATTGAAAGAGTTATACAGTACACTAAATTTCATTTGCAGAATACACTTTATCCTCAGTATGATCCTGTTTACAGATTAGATCCTCATGGAGGTTAGTTCGTATAATATCAAAATTATTGTAAATTTTTGCCATGTTAGATGAGTCAAAATAGGACTTAAAATGGCACCAAAATTTTTGAATCATATAACTTGTAATAAACACTGATTTTGATTATGGATTTGACTAGAATATAGTACTTGTTCAATTATAATTTCTTTAGGAACATTTATATATAATAGAAGTTATTTCTACTTGTCAGGGAAAATCTCAGAAAATACTACCTTCTGGTTTCATTTATCACTTCGCCCTAATTTTACCCAAAATAGCAGTTGTCTACAAAATGGATTGATTCAAGATAAATACTCCTTTTCTTGTTCTTAACCTTTATAAATGAGCAATGAAATGTATACATTTGAAGGGAGTAAGGTCATACCTAAGTATAGTTCCTGAATAATGAACTTGACGATCTATTGTATAACTGCAAATTAATTTAAAGGGAAATATAATCTTACTATCCTGCTCCAATGGAGAAAAGTAGAAATCAAGATAAAATAATATTTTAGATACAGGGATTTAATAGCTGCTGAAGATTATCTGATGCAAGAATGTTTCTAATAGAATATCTCTAGAGAGTAATTTTCTATTTTAATAAATAAAAAGCTTTATCTTCCAGGTTCTGTAGCTAGAAAATTGTGTTCTCTTAATTCAAAAAACAGTTTGAGTACTGTTTATTAAAAATTATTAAAAGTTGATGTTTTCCTTATCTTGAATTTGTTTCATTTTAGGAGGCTTATTAAGTTCAAAAGCAAAACGGGCTAAATGTTCTACCCATAAGCAGAGAGTAATAGTAATGCTTTATAACAAAGTTTGTGACATTGTTAGCAGCTTATCAGAATTGCTAGAGATACAACTTCTTACAGACACAACAATTCTTCAGGTAAGATTTTTTGGTAAGCATTTTGTATATTTCTAAACTAAATGATTAAGTCTAGTATAACCTAGCTCACTCAATAATAAGACCAGCACTATATTATCAAGAATTTTTCCTGTTAAGAGTATGTTATATCTAAATCGAAGAAATAAAACTTCAGGAGTTTTAAAAAGACATTTTATCAGGAGACAAACAAATGTAGTGTAAATTCCAAACTCTAAATTCTTTGAAAGATGGGTTATATTTTCATGCAGATATTAAATGTTTGTTATTTCTTTATATTCCTGTGACATTTGTAAACTCAAAAAGTAGAGATTAGAGGACTGATAGCTATGATACAATGTACCTGTTGTATATGCTAACGTGCTTTGAGGATGAAGGGAAACAGAGAAAAGAATAGATGCTGATTAGGTGGGGAAAAGAAAAAATGCTTTCTTAGTGTTTTCCAGTAAGCTTATGAATGTATTGGAATTTAGTAAGATAGAATGTTACTGAAATCAACTAAAGGTGTATACTACTTACTCTTCTTTTTTAAACAGGTTTCATCTATGGGAATAACACCATTTTTTGTGGAAAATGTCAGTGAACTACAGTTGTGTGCCATTAAGTTAGTCACTGCAGTAAGTATAATCAATTTGTATTTTTAGTTACCCCACAAATAAAACAATATTGATGTCATTTAATCCAAATTTCCAAAAAATAATGAAGATACCTGGTTTTCAGTACATTCATTTCAATCTAAGGACTATTTTACTAAGTCTTATTAGACTTTATTAATTGAGGATTTATTTTTCTGTTTGGTTAATTTGTTGGGTTATTCTGTTTTTGTCACATTTAAAACACTTCCAAATATTTGCAAATATTTCAGCTAATAATTCCTTGATATTTATAATAAAGTTAGAATGGTTTAAAATCATTTAAATTCTTGTCTGACTGCCTATAGCCAAGATTTCATAGTCCTTTAAATGAAACTAGTGTACTCTTTGACTTCTATAAGAATGTTATAATTAATGATAGGAAAATAGAGCAGCTTACCTTAGATACTGAAAACATTTTCATTCTAAATGGCAGGTAATTTTTTAAATCACATGATATTATTTTTTGGTTTGTTTTCTATTATAAGTTTAACTTGGAATCTTATAATTACTAAACAGGTATTCTCAAGATATGAAAAACATAGGCAGTTAATTTTGGAAGAAATTTTTACTTCACTTGCAAGATTACCAACCAGCAAGAGGAGTTTAAGGAACTTCAGGTAATTAATTATAACAGAGGTCAAGTTTAATGAAGAACCACCATTATATTGAACCGTCATACATTTATTCTTCATTTCTGTCTGATTTATATTTTAATAATTAAAAACTAGGCAGTTACATCAGAACAGCATGAAAAATAGATGTGTGAAATAACATGGCATATTTAGGGGGCTTAGAAAACTTCACTGATTCTCAAGGGTAAAGATCTGTGGCAGGGTTTTTCAGTGTTGGCACTGTTGACATTTTAGGCCATATAACACTTTGTTATGCATAGCTGTCTAGTGGAATACAGCATGCTCAGCGGCATCCCTGACCTCTACCCATTAGGTACCAATAGACACCCTTCCTCCTTCCAGTTGTGACAACCAAAATTATTTCCAGGCACTGGAGAGCAAAATCATTCCTTAATATGAACCACTAGTCAGTGAGAAGATCTTGTTCATCCTGTTGGAAATATGGCTCAAAATAATCAGATCAGTTCAAAGAGGATTTTATAAGATTTTTGTGTCTCAAAAAAAAAAATAAAAAACAGAAAGATTAATGGCAGTATGGAGAATAAACATGGGGATTAAATGCTCTTTAATCACTAAGCACACTGTTAATAAGGAGTGTTACCCACTGCTATGGTCAGCATTATTGTCTTTGCCATCATAGATAATCACCGGAATTATCTTAATATTCCTGAGTGATTAAAAGTGTTGACGTGGCATATAGGATTGTTTTTAAGATTGCTTTGAAGGCTTCTTTCTTCTCTAAAATAATTATTTTATCTTAATCATTTTTTGGACTAATTGTATACTGATAAACATTTATTGTCTGTTAAACCTGAAGAAAAACTATGAAGAAAAACTATCAACACATAAAAGAATCCTTAGATTTTTTACAATATCTATAGAACAAAAGATGTGGAAATTGATTTTTTATAATCTGTGCTACCAACACTAGCATAGATGATCAAGAGCTGTGTAGCAGATTTTAATACCAAATGAATAACAGATTCAGCAGATGAATAGCAAAATATATGGGCATTTGGAAACTTTGAAGACTTTTATCATTTTCAAAATCATTTTGAGAAATGTTTAGTAGTAGTATGAATTTTTATCTGCAATGTATGTAAAGCATACAAATTTGTATTAAATACTGTATTTTTCCTTTGACTATTTTAATTATCTCAGCATGCATAGGCATTTACTTGATGTTTTTGCTAACTTACAACAAATAATTACACATAAGAACACAATAAGCACTAAGATCATGCCTAGAAATATTGGCAAACACAGTATCGTGAAACTTTCAGACAATAGATGACATTTAAATGAGATTATCTTGATACTCCATACAAATTTTTTTTCTTCATTAAAGGTTAAACAGTAGTGATATGGATGGAGAACCTATGTATATTCAGATGGTTACAGCACTGGTTTTACAACTTATTCAGTGTGTGGTACACTTACCATCATCAGAGAAGGACTCTAATGCAGAAGAAGATTCAAATAAAAAAGTAAGGAATCTATTAAAGGTTTTACAACTGTACTTTTATTGAAGGAAATACCTATATTCTCTGTCATTCTTATAAAACTGAAGTTCTTTTTTTTTCTTTCTTTTTTTTGAGACGGAGTCTCGCTCTGTCACCCAGGCTGGAGTGCAGTGGCGCGATCTCGGCTCACTGCAACCTCTGCCTCCCGGGTTCAAGTGATTCTCCTGCCTCAGCCTGCTGAGTAGCTGGGATTACAGGCACGCACCACCACGCCCGGCTAATTTATGTATTTTTAGTAGAGACGGGTTTTCGCCATGTTGGTCAGGCTGGTCTCGAACTCATGATCCACCCTCCTCAGCCTCCCAAAGTGCTGGGGTTACAGGTGGGAGCCACTGCGCCTGGCCAAAGCTGATGTTCTTAATTAGAGGTTCATGGCTGGGCTTTAAGGTCCTTTTAGAGCACTAGACATGGTGTTGGAAGAGTTGAGTTCTGGTTCTGTTGTATCTATCAGTCATAAAACATATAAATCATTTTAATCTTTCTGAGTTTATTCTTCAGCTGTAAAATGGAGGTGATAATACTTATCAAAACTGCTATACCAGGTTGTAAGGGTCAGTGAGATATTAAATGTGAAAGTGAATAATACAATATGTAATATATATGCATGTTGAGTATCCCTGATCCAAAAATCTAAAATCGGAAATGCTCTAAAATCTGAAACTTTTTGAGTACCAAAATGATATTCAAAGGAAATATTCATTAGGGCATTTTGCATTTCATATTTTCAGATTAGGGGTACTAAACCCATATATAAATACATAACATAGGATTATAATTAACATTAAATTCATGTGGAAAATGAGTTTATTCCCTCCCTAATAGGTAGCTCATGCCGACGATTTGCGTTTGGTTTTACAGCTTTTGGAGATGTTTAGAATTTTTCCAAGTGTATACTTTTATCTCAACAAAAGTTTAAGAGAAACAAATAATTTTGTTTATCTACTGTTAGAGCCAAGCATATGTGTGTATCTTTTTGGGAATAATAATAAATATGTAATAATTATTAATAACTGGACAGGCACTTTGGCTCATGCCCATAATCCCAGCACTTTGCGAGGTCAAGGTGGGCAGATTGCTTGAGGCCAGGAGTTCAAGACCAGTTGGGCAACATGACAAAACTCTGTCTCTACAAAAAATACACAAATTAGCTGGTCATGTTGTTGTGCACCTGTCATCCCAGCTACTCAGGAGGCTGAAACAGGAGGGTCGATTGAGCCTTGAGAGATCGAGACTCAGTGAGCCGAGATTGTGCCACTGCACCCTGGCCTGGATGACAGAATGAGAACCTGTCTAAAAATGAATGAATGAAAGAAAGAAAGTCAAATACTCTCTGAAAAGTTCAGATCCTCTTTATTTCTCCCATCCCAATCCCATTGTTTGTCTCTAGTCTTCCTTTCCTAACCATTGGTGACAAGTATCATGAATATGTTTCTTTCTTTCTTTTAATTATTTTTATGTAAATTTGATATACAATTATTTCATTTTTACGTAAAGGACAGTGACATATTTACAGCTAATTTTTTCACTCAACATCGCTTTTAATACATACAACTCATACTAGATTGTTTTTTACTTGAGTTAAAAACACCATATCATAGAATCACAACTTAAAGCAAAAGTTTCTGTAGATACACTTAGAAGTAAAATTAAGATAGTATACATGCATTAAATTTACTGGAAGTTGTCAATTTGCTTACTAAAGTGGTGTTTCAGTTTATAGCCCTACTTCTTACTTAAAATTATGGTCATTGAGAAATACCCATCTTATTTTGCATTTTCCTGGTTATTAGTGAGCTTGAGCCCCTTTTCCTATAGTTATTTGTCTGTTGTATTTTTATAACTGTGAATTGACTGTTTATATCTTAATCTTTAAATTTCTTTTTTTTTTTTTTCTTTTTGTTTTCTTTGAGACAGGGTCTCACTCTGTTGCCCAGGCTGGTTGCAGCAGCGTGATCACAGCTCACCACAGCCTCAACCGCCTAGGCTCAAGTGATCCTCCCACCTCAGCCTTCCGAGTAGCTGGAACTACAGGCACGCGCCACCATGCCGGGCTAATTTTTTTTTTTTTTTTATCTTGGTGATATTCTCTTTTTATTTATTTTGTCTTTATTCAGTAATCTGCTTTGATATCCTGAATCAGTATTTCCTTAGGTGGAGAGAGTTTTCATATATTGAATATTAGATTCTTTCTCCAATTTTTTTTTTTTTTTTTTTTTTTTTATTCATTCTTGGGTGTTTCTCGCAGAGGGGGATTTGGCAGGGTCACAGGACAATAGTGGAGGGAAGGTCAGCAGATAAACAAGTGAACAAAGGTCTCTGGTTTTCCTAGGCAGAGGACCCTGCGGCCTTCCGGCCTTCCGCAGTGTTTGTGTCCCTGGGTACTTGAGATTAGGGAGTGGTGATGACTCTTAAGGAGCATGCTGCCTTCAAGCATCTGTTTAACAAAGCACATCTTGCACCGCCCTTAATTCATTCAACCCTGAGTGGATACAGCACGTTTCAGAGAGCACAGGGTTGGGGGTAAGGTCACAGATCAACAGGATCCCAAGGCAGAAGAATTTTTCTTAGTACAGAACAAAATAAAAAGTCTCCCATGTCTACCTCTTTCTACACAGACACGGCAACCATCCGATTTCTCAATCTTTTCCCCACCTTTCCCCCTTTTCTATTCCACAAAACCGCCATTGTCATCATGGCCCGTTCTCAATGAGCTGTTGGGTACACTTCCCAGACGGGGTGGTGGCCGGGCAGAGGCGCCCCTCACCTCCCGGACGGGGGGCTGACCCCCCCCCACCTCCCTCCTGGACGGGGCAGCTGGCCGGGCAGAGGGGCTCCTCACTTCCCAGTAGGGGCGGCTGGGCAGAGGCGCCCCTCACCTCCCGGACGGGGCGGCTGGCCAGGCGGGGGGCTGACCCCCCCACCTCCCTCCCGGACGGGGCGGCTGGCCGGGCAGAGGGGCTCCTCACTTCCCAGTAGGCGCGGCCGGGCAGAGGCGCCCCTCACCTCGCGGATGGGGCGGCTGGCCAGGCGGGGGGCTGACCCCCCCACCTCCCTCCCGGACGGGGCGGCTGGCCGGGCGGGGGGCTGACCCCCCCACCTCCCTTCCGGACGAGGTGGCTGCTGGGCGGAGACGCTCCTCACTTCCCAGACAGGGTGGCTGCTGGGCGGAGGGGCTCCTCACTTCTCAGACGGGGCGGCTGCCGGGCGGAGGGGCTCCTCACTTCTCAGACGGGGCGGTTGCCAGGCAGAGGGTCTCCTCACTTCTCAGACGGGGCGGTCGGGCAGAGACGCTCCTCACATACCGGACGGGGTGGCAGGGCAGAGGTGCTCCCCACATCTCAGACGATGGGTGGCCGGGCAGAGACGCTCCTCACTTCCCAGATGTGATGGTGGCCGGGAAGAGGCGCTCCTCACTTCCTAGATGGGATGGCGGCCGGGCAGAGATGCTCCTCACTTTCCAGACTGGGCAGCCAGGCAGAGAGGCTCCTCACATCCCAGACGATGGGCGGCCAGGCGGAGATGCTCCTCACTTCCCAGACGGGTTGGCGGCCGGGCAGAGGCTGCAATCTCGGCACTTTGAGAGGCCAAGGCAGGCTGCTGGGAGGTGGAGGTTGTAGCCAGCCGAGATCACGCCACTGCACTCCAGCCTGGGCACCATTGAGCACTGAGTGAACGAGACTCCGTCTGCAATCCCAGCACCTCGGGAGGCCGAGGCTGGCGGATCACTCGCGGTTAGGAGCTGGAGACCAGCCCAGCCAACACAGCGAAACCCCGTCTCCACCAAAAAAATACGAAAACCAGTCAGGCGTGGCGGTGCGCTCCTGCAATCGCAGCTCTCGGCAAGCTGAGGCAGGAGAATCAGGCAGGGAGGTTGCAGTGAGCCGAGATGGCAGCAGTACCGTCCAGCTTCGGCTCGGCATCAGAGGGAGACCGTGGAAAGAGAGGGAGAGGGAGACCGTGGAGAGGGAGAGGGAGAGGGAGAAGGAGAGGGAGAGGGAGGGAGAGCTTAATCTTTAAATTTCTGATGAAGGCTTTGAATTTTTTTTTTTGATTGTATGGATTATATGTTTCTTAAACTTTGAGGTTGACATATTTTTTCTAAATTCTTTTTTTATTTTCAATCCATTTCTTTCTGTTCTGACCAGGATTATGATAAACAACTATTGATATTAAATTTGTTAACCACATATGTTACTCTTACATTATTTTAATAACACTCTATCTGTATTTTTATTTGTTTCTATAAAGTTTTAAAATATGCTTAGTGTGCTAATTTTGGCTTCTCTTATTATATATAATGTAATAGTTTAAGCATTTTAGTATTTAAATATATTACCCCTCTTCAGTAATAACATGACAATAGCAACAGGGCTAACTTATTATTTCTTGTATCTTTATAAACTCACTTTTTTTCATTCTAGATTGACCAGGATGTTGTCATTACTAACTCTTATGAAACAGCTATGCGAACAGCCCAAAACTTCCTCTCCATCTTCCTTAAAAAGTGAGTAAAATTAATATAAATCTGGTTTTTCTTTTCCACAGTATAGAGAATAGTTCATTTTTTTAAAAAGATGAATCCAATTTCCTGCCATAATCTGAACCTTGAATACATCTTCCTGACACTTGGTTTCTTGATCTTTAAAATGAGGCAATTGGAGTATTAAAAATCTAAAATTGGGATGGGACTACACGGGGGAAAAAAATCTAAAATTTTGTGAATTTGCTTATATGTTAGACTCCAGAAATTAAAGTACTAGATTGAAATTCTGTAATTTGTCTTCAGTAAATTTTGGAGAATTTTCCTAGTGTACCTGAATAGGAAAGTTTGTGAAGAGATGTTATTTAGCCTCCATATGAATTTTTTTTTTTTTTTAATGAGACAGAGTTTCGCTCTTGTTGCCCAGGCTGGAGTGCAATGGCACGATCTCAGCTAACTGCAACCTCCGCCTCCCAGCTTCAAGCGATTCTCCTGCCTCAGCCTCCCAAGTAGCCGGGATTACAGGCATGCACCACCATGGCCAGCTAATTTTTGTATTTTCAGTAGAGACGGGGTTTCCCCGTGTTGGTTAGGCTGGTCTCGAACTCCCAACCTCCGGTGATCTGCCTGCCCTGACCTCCCAAAGTGCTGGGATTACAGGCGTGAGCCACTGCGCCCAGCCCAGCCTCCATAAGAATTTATGATGACCTTGGCCAGGTGTGGTGGCTCACACCTGTAATCCCAGCACTTTGGAAGACCAAGGCAGGTGGATTACAAGGTCAGTTCGAGACCAGCCTGACCAGCGTGGTGAAACCCTGTCTCTACTAAAAATACAAAAATTAGCCAGGCATGGTGGTGCACGCCTGTAGTCCCAGCTACTTGAGAGGCTGAGGCAGGAGAATCGCTGGAACCCGGGAGGTGGAGGGTTGCCGTAAGCCAAGATCATGCCACTGCACTCCAGCCTGGGTGACAGGGTGAGACTCCATCTCAAAAAAATAAAGAATTTATGGTGATCTTTTAGGTAGAAAAACAGTGATCATTTTTTTAAATGTGTTTCACTTGCGAGAAAGTAGTATTAGTATTGCTTAATAAATGAATTCCCTATAATTAAGGAGAAAGTGGAGTTTGTGAAATAGACTCATTTTAAACCATATTTTATTTAATGTACATTTATATATTTTGTTACTAAACATAGAAAAAAGAAAACTTAGCTAACAATTTCAATCATGTTGGTAGACAGATGACTGACATGTGTCACCTAAATTGACATCCTTTTCATTATTTGCCTTTGAACAGATGTGGTAGTAAGCAAGGTGAAGAAGATTACAGACCACTGTTTGAAAATTTTGTTCAAGACCTTCTTTCAACAGTCAATAAGCCTGAATGGCCAGCTGCTGAACTACTCCTTAGTTTGTTAGGGAGACTGTTGGTAAGAGTATAGCATTTAAAGATTATTAGATTACTAGAAGACAACATAATGAGGATGTACTCTGATTCACAGATGATGAATTCTTTAAAAATGTGTAAGGAAATATGAACATTGCATCTCTTTTTGCATGTGCATAACTGTACACAATATTGTCAGTACCTTGTAGAAAATTTTCAAATGTTGTGAAGTTTGGTGCTTTCATTTCATTACATAAGATAACAGTGCTTTAACAATTTTTTTTTTTTTGGAAATGTTATATTGTTAAAAGCATCTCAACACTGAGTCATAAGTTACTCATTTCAAAGCAAGAAAATGATTAATATAGACTCCTTATCATCTTTAAGAGTATTTCTACAAATGTATGGCATTTTGTAGTCGTCATGTAACACAGTAGGTAAATGCAAAGAAATGTTGTGACTCTATTTTTAAACTACATTTGAACTTGCACAATACACATTGTTACAAAGCTTCTGGGACCTTTTTGTGAATGGGAAAATATGTTAATATTATTCGGAAACTATAATAACTTTTCATAGGCATCAGAATTCCACCCTAAGAAATTCTTACTCAGTAATACCACATTTTGTGCAAATAATACAGTTGAGCCTGCATATTTAATGAGTTGTGTTGTTCTTAAGGAAGTTTAATCTGTAATTTTTTTAGTCACATGAAAATGTTCAGATTCCAGAAAATCAAAAGGCAAAAATGACTTTATGGGACAATATCACAGGAAAAAAAAAAGTTTAAATTTTAAATTATACAATTTAGATTGGGAATTTATATGATAAATTGCTATTTAAAATATATTGTTATAAATCTATTCAATCAAAAACTATTTTGATATTTAGGTTCATCAGTTCAGTAACAAGTCAACAGAGATGGCTTTAAGAGTGGCATCTCTTGATTACCTTGGAACTGTTGCTGCACGGCTAAGAAAAGATGCTGTTACAAGCAAAATGGATCAAGGATCTATAGAACGCATTTTAAAACAGGTACTAAGATAAAAGATTAAAATTATGGGAATGAATAATAGTTATTTTCTTTGCATGTCCTTACATTAGTTTTGCATTTCATTTTGTGTGGATTCAAAATAAGATTTTTACTTCTAAAAGTGGGCTTTTCAAAGCCCCAGTGAGAAATTTTAAGACCTGAGAATGAATTATTTAGTCTAACAGGGACTTCTGAATGGTTCATATAAATCATTTACTTTCTTTTTGTGAAGTACTCTTAATAATGTATAATGCTGTTTTATATTTGATTTAACATAAATTTTATTTAAGTTTTTAATTTACTGAATGGTGATTTAGCATACACAATAAGATTGTTTTGTACTTTTGAATGTTTTGTATCTTCTCATACCAAGGAGGTGTGAGGAGAGCTTTTTTATACTTTATTACATTAGAGAGTTTTCATCTTGGGGGAAAAAGTGTTTTATTGCTTTTTTTTTTTTAATGTGGATGAAGTGGTAGTAATAAAGTTACTTGAGAAAACTGGTGAAGAAATGATTTCTAATCCTACTATATACAACTTCTGTTTTCATTTTTTTCTAGTCTTTTTTTATGCTCGTAATCATATCCATGTTGGTAGAAATGCCTCTAATTTTTTTTTAGCTATAGTTCGTGTTTTGAAATAATCTCAACCTTAGAGAAAAATTGTAGGAATAGTACAAAGAACTCCCATAAAAGCTTCTTGCAAATTCCTCAATTATTGACAATTTACAAAATTTCCTTTCTCATCTTTCAAAATATAGATGTATGTGTGTCTGTATATGCATTTTTTTTTAAATTTTGTTTCGAACCACTTGAAGTTAAGTTGCAGACATGATTCCCTCATTACCCCTGAATTCTCTAATGCAGTGATTTTCCAAGTATGATCCCCTTGACAAGTAACACCAACATTGAAATCATCTGGGAACTAACAAGTACATTTCTAACAAAAGTACAAATTCTTAGGACCCTCCCTGGACCTACTGAATCAAAAACTCTTGGTTTAACAAGCCCTCCAGGTGATTCTAATGAATGAATGAATGCTGAAACTTGGGAACCACTGCTTAGTGTATATTTCTGCAAACAAGAGCTCTCACTTAAATATCTATAGTACAATTATCAAAAGCAAAAAATTATCATTAATACAATATTAACATCTGATGTAATACAATACCTACTCTGGTAAATTATAATTTGTTGCCATCATTATTTTAATGCTCAAATCGTCCTAGATTTGATCAATGAGAACCCTTTGAAGCTGGCTTTTATATCATTTTGATATATTCCCATCATAATTTGAGGGCTTTCTAGAACAAAAAGGTATTTCAGGCAGATCTTTTACCTTCCCTACCCCTGCCCTGGGATCAGTTGTTTCTCCTAGGAATCTTGGTTCCTTTTGTTGGTGAATTGTAATGTAGAAACCAAGATCTAGTTACTGGATGACTTTCTGTATTTCTTAAAGTGGGCCTGGAACCTCTTATTGCCATGTATGGCTATGTTGATTATACATTGTGCAGCTCAAGGGGAAGGATCATTTGTAAATTTTTATGGCTCTCAACACATATTTCCAAAAGGAAATTCTTCCTACCTCTGAAGATTTAACACATTTTTCTGATCATTTTTATGTCAACTACCTATGAGCTCTTTTTTTAAAAAATGACATATGGTTCATAAAAATAATGGCCGGGCGCAGTGGCTTACACCTGTAATCTCAGAAGGGTGGATTATTTGAGGTCAGGAGTTCGAGATCAGCTTAGCCAACATGGTGAAACCCTGTCTCTACTAAAAATACAAAAATTAGCCAGGCATGGTGGACCATGCCTGTAGTCCCAGCTACTAGGGAGGCTGAGGTAGGAGAATTGCTTGAACCCAGGAGGCAAAGATTGCAGTGAGCCGAGATAGTGCCACTGGACTCCAGCCTGGGCGACAGAGTGAAACTCCATCTCAAAAAAAGTAAAACAAAAAAGGCAAACTTCAGCTATCAATATATAATATTTTTCGGAAATAATATTTTTCTGTTTTTTCCTTTTAGTTACTGTGGTTGTATTTTCATTTTTAATATCAGTTTTTCCTTCAGATTTGTGTTTACAATTAGGTGATTTATTAAAGCACACCAGTAATATCTTTTTTGTTCTTATTTGGTTTATTCTATAGGTTTCAGGAGGGGAAGATGAAATCCAACAATTACAAAAAGCATTGCTTGATTACTTGGATGAAAACACTGAGACTGATCCTTCACTAGTGGTAGGATTCTTTTCCCCTGTTTTGGAGATACTACATGTTTATTTAAATTGGGTTTAAGAAAATTGGGAGGTAGCATGATGAAGAGGAAAACTTAAGTTGTTTGGAATATTGATTTTCAAAACAAAGGGATACTTGATAATCTAAACAGAAAAGAATGCTTTGGGTTGATTTGTCTTATATGGAATTCTGGTTACAGATACTGTACTGTACTAAAATTGTGTGACAAGAGAAATATTTGGAAGTCTCTCCGTAAGTGATCTTTGAGGCTAGGCTAGGTCATTGGTTCTCAGAGTGAGTATGGGCCGAGTGGTACATGAGATGATCTATAAGCCTGTAAAAATAAACTATTGGATTTTTATATGTATATTTTTAAATATAATTTTACTTCTATTTCATGTATGTTACACAATGTAACCAAAATATTAGTATAAGAGGTTCATGTACAAAATTTATAAACTATTATTTGAGAACATTATACATAGAGATATTTTATTTTATTTTTTAACTGGTGGGATATGCAATTGAAAGAAATGGGATACTACTAAGCTCTTCAGCCAAATACTGTAGGTTTTCAGTTTGTATTCAAAGGAACAGATTTACAGGTGTGTCTCAGTGTTAAACTATTTCAGTGACAATTGTCTTGTGTGTTTCTTGGAGAACTAAGGCAAAATTTGAAAACAGATGAAGTCTTCTACCTTCAGCATTTTATCAATTTGTTTTAAACTTTCCTAGTTGACCCATCATCTGTTTAACTTTGTCATGATGTTGTCCTTGATTAAGTAGTTGATAATAGTATTCTATATTTAATACAGTTGTGTTTATCAAATTATCTTGACTTCATTAATATAAGTATTGGAACATAGTAAAATAATAAGTTTTCTAACATTTAGGATATTCTATATTTTCTGGCTTTCTTAAAATCTGTTTTTATCACATGGAAGTTGTTTTAAAGTAAACTTTAATATTTGTATTCCTGTAATGTGAGCACTCTAACTTTATTAACTTGGAAATCTTGTTGCTAATTTCATCAAGCTCAAGTCTGTCTAATTTCTTTCCAGTTTTCTCGTAAATTCTATATAGCCCAGTGGTTTCGAGACACAACTCTGGAAACAGAAAAAGCAATGAAATCACAAAAAGATGAAGAATCATCTGAAGGAACACATCATGCAAAGGAAATTGAGACAACTGGCCAAATTATGCATCGAGCTGAAAACCGAAAAAAGTTTCTTAGAAGCATTATCAAAACCACACCTTCTCAGTTTAGCACATTAAAGTAAGATCCAAGGAGAAAACAGTTTACATTTATCTCCTTGATATCTATTTCCCTAAGTTACAAAAAAAGAAAAATAAATTTTTAATGACTTTTTGTTGCAGGATGAACTCTGATACTGTGGACTATGATGATGCTTGCTTGATTGTTCGATACTTGGCCTCCATGAGGCCGTTTGCCCAGAGCTTTGATATTTATTTGACACAGGTAAACTGGATAAGAATTCCTTATACAGTGATATTGATTTTTCTGATTCTGGATGCTTGTGAGCAGTATATAATATCATTCATTGTTGAGTACAGATACTTAAAAGATCATAGATGTAGTATTTGTTTTTAGGTTCTCCGGCCGGGTGTAGTGGCTCACGCCTGTAATCCCAACACTTTGGGAAGCCAAGGCAAGTGGATCACCTGAGGTCAAGAGTTCGAGACCAACCTGACCAACATGGTGAAACCCCGTCTCTACTAAAAATACAAAAATTAGCGGGGCGTGGTGGCACATGCCTGTAATCCCAGCTACTCGGGAGGCTGAGGCCGGAGAATTGCTTGAACCTGGGAGGTGGAAGTTGCAGTGAGCCGAGATCGTGCCATTGCACTCCAGCCTGGGCAACAAGAGGGAAACTCCATCTCAAACAAAAAAAGAAAGTCCTTGTTCTACATCCCTTTTACATATTCTTGTTTTACAAATATATATTTGTATGAATGCACACACATACAGTATCAGTAGAGTAAGTGACATTATAAAAACATCCAACTAAATCCCAGCACTTTGGGAAGCCAAGGCGGGCAGATTACGAGGTCAGGAGATCAAGACCGTCCTGGCTAACACAGTGAAACCCCATCTCTACTAAAAATACAAAAAATTAGCTGCCATGGTGGCATGTGCCTGTAGTCCCAGCTACTCAGGAGGCTGAGGCAGGAGAATCGCTTGAACCCGGGAGATGGAGGTTGCAGGGAGCCGAGATTGCGCCACTGCACTCCAGCCTGGGCGACAGAGCGAGACTCCATCCCAAAAAATAAAGTAATAAAATACAAAACATTCAACTACCAAATTATGATTTGAATGATACTAAATATCTTTGATTCAAGTTACACATAGCAAGGTTTTAATGGGGCTACAGGTTCTGCAAATGAAGCAAAACAATTAAAAAACAGGTTTAATTGGATAAACGAAAGGCTCCAAAGTATGGACTATACACTTAACACCTGTACTGATTTTTAAGTTAAACTTTGAATCATTAGGAAAGATCCTTTACTCATTTATATACAGATTAAAGAGAGGTAAATAATAGATTTGTTTTCTTTTGCATGTTTTCATGCTATTTTTAATTAAATTTTATGTATTCTAAAATTTACAAAAATGTCAATGTTTGCTTGGCAGATCCTACGAGTTCTTGGTGAAAATGCAATTGCTGTTCGAACAAAAGCCATGAAGTGTTTGTCTGAGGTTGTTGCTGTAGACCCCAGTATTCTAGCAAGGGTAAAGAGCAAAAATGATTCTTTCTTTTCTACTCGAATTGGAATATTCACTCTATTTAGGTATAAATTGTTTTTTTCTCTTCATTTTTCTTTAGCTTGATATGCAACGAGGTGTTCATGGACGATTGATGGATAATTCGACTAGTGTCCGAGAAGCAGCAGTAGAATTACTAGGTCGATTTGTCCTTTGTCGACCTCAGCTTGCTGAACAGTATTATGATATGCTGATTGAAAGAATATTGGTATGTTTGTCATTTTTATAATGATTCGTGAATATAATTTTGCCTTTCAAGCATCATGTTTTGTTTTAAAGTGTTAAGTTAGAAAAATAAATGTACCAATTATATATTTATATTGTCAAATTTATGAACTATTGCCACTTTCTAAACAAGTACATATTTTCAAGAATAGCCCTTGCAATATCATAAAACAAATCATTGGTAATAATTGGATTCCTTTTTTCAGTTGCTGTTTCTTTTTAATTATACCAGTTTACAATGAGTAGATGATAGGAACCACATGGGGTAGTTAAATGTTTTTGAACAAGAATCTAGAGTGATTTTATGTATATATTTATGTATGTATATATATAAACAGGAAGAATTATTTCAGTGAGAGACACGTACAGAACGTTGGTACCTGACAATATTTTTGGATCCCTTAGGTGCATCTTCTTGTTTCCTTAAAGCTGATTAATGATAGCTCAGATACCTACAAGTTAAGCCCAAAAGTCCATTGAGGTTTAAGAGCAAACTAAAGAGGTTCTACATACATCATGGAATTCTCTGGCTCTGAAGCATTTTTCTGAAAAATGAAAGGAAACATTGGCATTAGGAAATATCTGTGGAATCTCCACACTACCCATTGCAGGCATATTGACTTATTGTAGAACTCAACATAGATGCACTAGTGCACAAAATTAAGTATTACCTCAATGACAAGAGTTTATTTTGTCACCCTTGGCCTAATATCAGAACATTGTGTGACAGAAGTATAGAGTCATTTTTAGCTTCAACTAGGCATAAATCTTGGTTGAGAAACAAATAATTTAAAGAAAAGCTGGAAAAATTTTTTTCCTTCTTAGGGCTTCCATCTTTTGAAGGGTAAAATCAACAGGATTCCCACGTATCTGATAAACTCTGATATTTGTAACCCTAGTAAAATATCCTAAAATATTTTGGGGATTGCTAAAATCACATAATGGAGATTAATAATTTTGCACACTTCATGTATGATGCTTTTTATTTTTAAAACTCTTTAATATGAAAGTTTGTTAAAGAAAAATAGTACAGTGAACACCCTTGTACCTACCTCCATACTTCATCTGTACTTTCTGCTAAATTATTTTAAGTCAAACATTTTTTACTTCTTTTCTTGTGAACACTTCAGTTTGTAACACCAAAAAAAGATACTGTGCTATATAAACAAAACCATTATCTCACCCAAATTAGCACTCTAGTATCATCTGAATACTAGTTCTTAGATCCTCCATTGTCCTAAAAATGTTTTTTCATTCTTCTTTTTTAAGAATCAGAATTCAGTCAAAGGTAATACATTGCATTTGGGGGTCATGTCTTAAAATTGAAGACTATTTTCTTATTCTTTTTTTTTTTTTTTTTTTTTTTTTACATCCCATATGACATTGACGGATTAAAAAGGCCTGATCGGTTTTGTTATCTTCCCACACTTCGTTTAATTTAACTTGTGTTTTGTATCTCTTATAAACCATAAGATAGGCCAGGCGCAGTGCCTCATGCCTGTAATTGCAGCACTTTGGGAGGCTGAGGCGGGTGAATCACCCAAGGTCAGGAGTTCAAGACCAGCCTGACAACATGGTGAAACACTGTTTCTACTAAAAATACAAAAATTAGCCAGGCGTGGTGGTATGCACCTGTAATCCCAGCTACTCGGGAGGCTGAGACAGGAGAATCGCTTGAGCCTGGGAGGCAGAGGTTGCAGTGAGCTGAGATCGCACCATTGTTACCCCAGCCTGGGCGAGAAGAGCAAAACTCCATCCCAAAAAAAAAAAAGAAGTAACCATAAGATAGTGCCAAAGGTTTGATTAGATTCAGGTTAAACATTTTTATGAAGTCTACTTTTAAGTGATACTTCATGTGCTGTTTAAGTGCCAGACACTATTCTAAAGCTTATGTTTGTTTTCTCATTTAATTTTGACAAGCGTATACTTCTAGTCTTGTGTCCAGGGCTTAACTATAAAATATGTTTCTATGTCTTAGATATCATACTTTAAAAGTAAAGACAACATAAAAAAATAACACATTTATAGTAGCAGAAAGCATGTAAAAAGCAAATATGTCAAGTGTGTTTATCATGTTAACAAATAGTGAATATACTGCGTATGGATACTTATTTTCTAATTTCATACACTAGGCATCTCAATTTTTCTGACTCTTAAAAATACCTTTCTGTTTTTAGGATACTGGTATCAGTGTCAGGAAAAGAGTAATAAAGATTCTCAGAGACATTTGTATTGAACAACCAACATTTCCAAAAATCACAGAAATGTGTGTAAAAATGATTCGCAGAGTCAATGATGAAGAGGGCATTAAGGTAGTGTTGACTGTTTTAAATTTATTTTTCATTAATGTTTAAAATAAGTTAAATGTTTATTGCACCTAAATGTTGATTTTAAATATATCCAAACACTTTACAATGAATCGTTTATAGTTTATAAACTTAAGAAAAATACATACTTTAATTTTTTTTGTTTCTAGATTTTTATATTAAGTATTATAATCTGATTTTAACCAACCAATTCCTCAGTGGTAATATTTATTTAAGACTGGCCATAGTAGCTCATGCCTATAATCCCAGCACTTTGGGAGGCCAAGGCAGGAGAATGGCTTGAGGCCAGGAGTTGGAGATCAGCCTGGGCAACATAGTAAGAATCCTATTTCTATAAAAAATAAAATGATGAAAATAATTTTTAAAAATTTCACCAAACATAGTAGAGCATGCCTATAGTTCCAGCTACTCTAGAGATTGACACAGGAAGATTACTTGAGCCCAGGAATTCAAGGCTGCAGTGAGCTGTAATCTTGCCACTGCACTCCTGCCTGGGCAAGGGTGAGACTCCATCTCAAAAAATGTGCATGTGTGTGTTGATTGATTTATTGATTGTTATTATAAGAGATTGCATTATATTCAAAGGTTTCTCATGGGATTATTTTAATTTTCAAATGATTTTAGTTTTCTAAATTATTAAATAAATACTTTGTTTCATTATGTTAAGTGAAATAAGCCAGACACAGAAAATAGCACATATTTTCACTCATGCGTGGAAGCTTAAAAAAAATTTATCTCATAGAGATAGAGAATAGAAAGATGGTTAGCAGAGGGAGGGAAGGGTTGTGAGGGGTTGAATAAAGAGGGGTTGGTTCACAGTTATCAAAAATACACCCAGAAGGAATAAAATTTAGTGTTCAGTAGCACAATAGGGTGACTATAGTTAACAATAACTTATTGTACATTTAAAAATAACTAGAAGAATGGAAATAGGATGTTCCTAACACAAAGAAATGGTAAGTGCTTGAGGCGATGGATACCCCAGTTACCCTGATTTGATCATTATACATTGTATGCTTGTATCAAAAGTTCAACTATACTTCATAAATGTGTACAGCTATTATGTATCCATAAAAAAAAAATTTTAAGTTTAGTCCTAAATTCATTAGTAAATTTACATTTATATATAATAATATGTATAATTGTCCCTTTTTTTTAAGTTTAGCAAACACTGTAACAACTTCTTCTCCAAAAGCAGTAAATATATTTTTTAGTTTGATCATAAACATTTGAGTGTATAGTATGAAGAAGTTCTAGGCTAGGGATAGTATCACCCATTCGTATTGTTTAAAATCTTTACCAAATTGAAAATTTTTATAGTTTTGAGAAATTAGTAGTTTTAGAAAAAACTGAGGAAATTAATACCAGAAATTCCTGGCAGTTTGTGTTTTGATTAGTTATTTATAGCTTTGTGTTGGGCCTAATGAGAATTTGGAATTGTGAAATTGCCGTATTTGTTATAATTAGTTAATTTGAAATTTCTCTTCCTTCTAGAAATTAGTAAATGAAACATTCCAGAAACTCTGGTTTACTCCAACTCCACACAATGACAAAGAAGCAATGACAAGGAAAATTTTAAACATTACCGATGTGGTAAGAAGGACTGGAACAAGGGTGTGGTCACTGTTGATCCAGACCTAATTGAGGCCTACATGTCTTATGAAGGAAGAGACAATAATGAGATATTTCATTAATCTTGACATTTCGTACTGCTGCCTTTACTTTATATTTCTGGAGATGCTGAAGGGATGCAAGTAACATGTCGTTGATGCTTCCATATAGCCCTACTTCTTGGCATTAATTGATGTAAACACTGATACTGAGATTTTCCTATTCCTCCAGCAATTAAAAACAGGGAGGGAAAGGAGAAATGGAAGAACAGATACAATCGCCCAAGGGTAATAATCTGCAAAGATAGTAATGCCTACTTTTTTCAGAAATTATGAATATGGATTAGCTACATTTTTTATTATGCATAAGCTATACATTTTGTGTTTTTAATATAAGAAATTTTTGCCAGTCACAGCGCATATGCCTATAATCCCAGCTGCTCAGGAGTCTGAGACGGGGGATCAAGAGATCTTTGAACCAGGAGTTCAAAGCTGCAGTATACTGTAATCATGCCTGTGAATAGGCACTACACTCCAGCCTGGGCAATATAATAGCAAGATCCCTTCTCAAAAAAAAAAAAAGAAAAGAAAGAAAAATTCTGTATATTCAATTACATCATCTTCTACATTTCTATTGATGTCTTTAAAATGTGCCATCTAGAAGCGTAATAAGAAAAATATTTTTGTTCTTAATGTTTAAGATATTACAGATTTTCCTCACAGAGTGTAGTTCAAGTTATTGTGCCATTTTAAACTTATGCCACTTTAAACATTTAGTGCCATATTAAACCTCAATACATTAAACTAATTTCTTCAATGTTTTCCAAGATATTTTTTAGAATAAAGTTCTGTAACGTTGGTAAATGGTTGTGTTACTGAAAAAATAGTTTACTTTAAAAATAAACTTTTGAATTGAGAAAATTGAAACATGTTTCAGGCTAAAGCATAACAAAAGTATATTTTATTCACATTTATAAATATACTTCTAACTTTGATTCTTTTCATCACCCTTAGGTTGCAGCATGCAGAGATACTGGATATGACTGGTTTGAGCAACTGCTTCAAAACGTGAGTGTTCTTTTGACTCCTGATAACCTAAAATTTAATAGGTTAGTTTTTTGTTGTTGGTGTTTTTTTTTTTTTGGACTGTATGATTTAAAAGAACCTTTTTAGTTCTTTTGGTAGGGAAAATTTATTTCAATATGTTAGGCTGGATGATTTTGTTAATTTCTATAATTAATTCAGTTGCCTGGTTGTGGTTTTTTTTTTTTTTTTTTTTTTTTTGAGGTGGAGTCTCGCTCTCTCACTCTGTCGCCCAGGCTGGAGTGCAGTGGCACAATCTTGGTTCACTTCAACCTCTGCCTCCTGGGTTCAAGCAATTCTCCTGCCTCAGCCTCCAGAGTAGCTAGGATTACAGGTGTCCACCACCACACTCGGCTAATTTTTGTATTTTTGGTAGAGACGGGGTTTTACTATGTTGGCCAGGCTGGTCTCAAACTCCTGACCTCAGGTGACCTGCGTGCCTCGGCCTCCCAAAGTGCTGGGATTATAGGCATGAGCCACTGCGCCTGGCCTTCAGTTGTCTATTGTACAAGTAAGTTTTCTGAATCATTAACTAAAATTCTATCTTACTTTCTTTCCAGATAATTTTTTTTCTTTAATCTCTGTGATTAATAGATACAAGATTTATAAATGGATCAATATATTGCATTAAAAATATAATTACATGATTTAGTATGTTATGCATAGAATTTCCTTTAGTAGTACAGAGTCAAACCACAACTAGTGGGTTTTTTTTAAGTTTCATAAATAGAAATGTTTATCTCCCTATGAATTGTTAAATTTTTTATTTTAGAAAATTTCACACAGGCAGAAATATCCATCACCCAGCTTCAAAAATTATCAGCATTTTCCCAGTCTTGTTATAGCTATCCTTCCCCTATCTGGTTTTCTCCTTTTCTTTCTTTCTTCTTTTGTTTTCCATAATACTTTTTTTTTTTTTTTTTTTTTGAGATAGAGTCTCACTCTGTTGCCCAAACTGGAGTGCAGTGGCGCCATCTTGGCCGGCTCACTGCAACCTCCGCCTCCTGGGTTCAAGGGTTTCTCCTACCTCAGCCTCCCAAGTAGCTGGGGTTACAGGCACTTGCCACCACACCCAGCTAATTTTTGTATTTTTAGTAGAGATGAAGTTTCGCCATGTTGGCCAGGCTGGTCTCAAACTCCTGACCTCAGGTGATCTGCCCACCTCGGCCTCCCAAAGTGCTGAGATACAGGTGTGGGCCACCATGCCCAGCCTGTAATACTTTTAAAACAAAGGCCAAACTTTATATTATCTCATTCATAAATACTTTAGCATCTATCTATCTGTAGCAGATGACTTTTTTAAAAAATTATCATTTATACCAAAATAATAATGCATTATTCCATAACTAATACCTATTCAGTGTTCATATTTTCCTGTCTCAAAAATGTATTTTTATAGTTGGTTTGCAGTTGCTTTGGTTGATATACTCTTAAGTCTCTTATGTTAGTTTGCCCCTTACCTCCCTTTTCTCATGCGACTTGTATGTTTTTCTGTAGAATCTCCCACATTCTGGATTTAATAGTCCACTTTTTTTCTGGTGTCATTTAAGTTGTTCCTCTATCCACCAGTTTTCAAGTAAACTCTTAGTGAAATCTAGAGGCTTAATATGATTAAAGTTCAATTTTTAATCTAGGAGACAAATACCTCATAGGTGGTGTTGAATATTATTGCATCACAGCAGGAAGCACATATCTAGTTGTCTCATTTTCAGTGATTGATCTTTGATGAATTTAAGTGATGATATACAGTCATGTAACGTCCAACACAATGAACATACAGGATTTCACCCTAAAATGCCTTTTTGCAGTTGATCCTCTCTTCCTGGCCCTAGAAAACTATTGATCTACTTTTTCTCACTGTAGTTGTACCTTTTCATGTACATTGTTCCTATCAATGGAGTCATACAGTATGTAATCTTGTGTTTGACTTTTTAAACTTAGAATGTTGATTCATTCTTGTTGCTAATATATTAATATATCTTTTTATTACTGAGTAGTTTCAGTAGTGTGGATATATCATAATTTCTTTATCATTCACCATTTTGTGGACTTTGGGGTTCTTTCCAGTTTGGGGTGTTATGAATAATGCTTCTGTGAATATTGGTGTGTAAGGTTTTGTGTAGATGTATGTTTTCATTTATCTTGGGTAAACTCCCAGGAATGTGATTACAGGGTCATATGGTGAGTGAGAAACTGCCAAAATGTTTTTCCAAAATTGCTAAACCATTTTTCATTTCCACCATCAGTGTATGAAAGTTCCGGTTGCTCCACATCCTCACCAGTTCTCATTATTGTCACTTTTTTTAAAACTTTAGCCATTTTGGTGTGGTGGTAAAAGTAGTACATTACTTTCTTAAGATGTCTTTTTTAAAAAACCTTCATGGTGTTTTCAATGTGTAATCTTAGACTGTCTTCTTAAATCATCTTTCATTTCATATTTTTACATGATATATTTGGCATCATTTCTTTCCTAAATCAAATAGTTAGCTCTATATCATAGAACCTTATGACCACCTTAGTTAAGTTTATGTCAGCCATCCCAAAAGGTACATCATGATTTCTAAAAGGCTCTAAATCATATATTTCATTTGATAGTTATTATAAATGATCAAGTAAGAATTCAATGTAATTATCAGAAATGTCACTATTTAGGATTACTAAAAAGAATCTACAATAATGTCATCTTGTATTAGCAAATTAGAAGCAGAAGGGACATGACCAGATTTATACTCTCTTAACAATGATAGTTTTACTTGTACATTCTTTGTATCTTTATTCTCTAGTCCCATTTATTTAGTTAGTAAGTTAGTTTATCCATCCTATTCATGCTCTCTATTCTATGCTTTCCTACTTTAGTTTCTGCCAGCAACTTAGTTTACCAATGATATTGTGACTTTGTGATATATTTCCTTATACTAGCAGAGTTTGGTTTAGTGAAAGAAAGCAAACTCATATATATATATATGACAGAGACATAACTACTCTGAGCAATTATAACATATATGCATAAATGTTAAGAAAAGCTAGGAAGGATATAAAGAATGGACTGCTGGAGTTATTACAAATTCTTGAGTCCAGAATAATTAACATGCTTACTGTTTTTACATGAGCACATATGCATGCATTGCATTCAGTCCAATTTCAGATATTTCTAATTTTTATTTTTGGATTGGGTTTTTGGGGTTTGTTGTTGTTGTTTGTTTTTTGTAGATCATTGACTCTCCCCATTTATTGAATTTTTTTTTAGGGAAACTTGAAGTACTACTAAAATAGCTTCAAATTCCCACATGTACTAAACTCTGTTCATTGTCTAAATAATTATGTTAGTATATCTTTTTTTTTTTGGAGACAGGGTCTCGCTGTGTCATGCAGGCTGGAGTGCAGTGGCACCATCATGGCCCACTGTGGCCTCAACCTCCCTGGCTCAAGCAGTCCTCTTTCCTCAGCCTCCCAAGTAGCTGGAACCACAGGCATGCACCACCATGTTTAGCCTTTTTTTTTTTTTTTTTTTTTTTTGAGACAGGATGTCACTATATTACTCAAGCTTTTAGTATATCTTTTGTTTTTGTTTTTGAGGCGGAGTTTCACTCTTGTCGCCCAGGGTGGAGTGCAGTGGCACGATCTCCGCTCACTGCAACCTCCGCCTCCTGGGTTCAAGTGATTCTCTTGCCTCAGCCTCCCGAGTAGCTGGAATTACAGGCACCCACCACCACGCCTGGCTAATTTTTTTATATCTTTAGTAGAGACGGGGTTTCACCATGTTGGCCAGGCTGGTCTTGAACTCCAGACCTCAGGTGATCTGCCCACCTTGGCCTCCCAAAGTGCTGGGATTATAGGCGCAAGCCACCGTGCCTGGCCAGTATGTCATTTTTAAATGTATGGTGCTATCATTCCTTTATAACCTTTAACAATTCATAGTTTTTTGGCATTTTTCAGTAGGATGTGGAAGATTAACTTCTGTCCTGAAGGTCCTCACATTTTTTTTATTTCTAAAATGTACTCCAGTTAGTTTAAACCACTACCATAAATTGAGTAGCCCTTTATGACAGTCTTCTTCAAAAAACACATTGATAGCCATGTGATGGGTACACAAAAATTAAATAGATTTTACAGTGCCATTCATTTTAATTACTTAAGATCTAAGACTGACCATTTTCTAGTTTGTAAGGAAAATACAGGCAATGAAAAACAGTTAAGAGTAACCTGTTTCATCTCTTCCTGTCCTTTGTAATCCAGAGCAAGATCTTTCCGAGTTTACAATAAAATATTTTATCTCTATCAACCAGTGAATGGATAAATAAACTATGACAATCCCATGCAATTTAATAGTACTCCACATCAAAAAGGAACAGGGTATTAATACATACAGCAACATAGATAAATAATGAAAACATTGTGCAGAGTAAAAGAAGCCTTACGTAGAAGAGTACATATTATAATTCCATTTATACAAAATTCTAGGAGAGGTAAAACTAATCTATACTGGAAAAAATCAGAAGAGTGGCTGCAGGGAGCTGGGGATTGACTGGGAAAGGACATGAGGGAACTTTCAGGGATGATAGTTATGGTCCCTATCAGTGGTTCTAAAGGTTACCAGCATTACCTGGAGTTTTATTAGAAATGCAAATTCTTAGGCCCTACTCCAGACTTAATTCATCAGTAACTCTGAGGGTAGAGCCCATCATTCTGTATTTTAACAGTCTCTCTCCAGATGATTCAGATATAAGTTGACGATTGAGAACAACTGTTCTGTATATTGGTGTAGGGACTTGAGTTACAGTGGTGAATGCATTTGACAAAACTGAGCAAATGTACACTAAAAATTTGTGCATTTTATTGCATGTACATTTTATCTCAAGGAAAAAACGGGGAGTATACTGAAGTCTCCAGTTTACCTTGAAATGCATTGAAAGTAAAATGGATATAGGTGTGTGTGTATGCATATGCATACATGTATACGTGTGTGTGTGTGTGTGTGTGTGTGTGTGTGTGTGTGTGTGTGTGTGTGTGTAGTGTGTGTGTTCATCCCAGCAGAAAAAATCTTAAAGGTAGGATCCAGGAGCCAGGCTCAGTAGCTTGCACCCAGAATCCCAGCCTCTTAGAAGGTTGAGGCAGGAGGATCATTTGAAGCCTGGAGTTTTAGACCAACCTGGACAATGTACTGAGACCCCATCTCTGAAAAACATAAATAAATAAAATTAACTGGGCATTGTGGCCTGTGCCTGTAAATTCAGCTACGTGGGAGGCAGAGGCAGGAGGATCACTTGAGCCCAGGAGTTTTAGGCTGCAGTGAACTATGATTGTGCCACTGCCCTTTCTTCTGGGGAACAGAGTGAGACTCTATCTCACTCACCAAAAATGTTTTTAATGGTAGAATCTAGATGATGGTCGTTAGAGAGTGTTCATGATAAAACTTTTTTCAACTCTTTTGTTTGGCTGAAATTTTTCGTAATATTAAGATGGTGTAAAAAATATACCTGTATCACTGAGAATGTTGGTACCTTTAAAAGATATTTTTTAAGTGAGCAAGCTAAATTATACTTTAAAAAAATTTTATGCACCTTGATTACTTCTTATTTATATTATAAGTGCATGGCTAATATATGTGTGTAGGTTAACATTAAAGTAGAAGAAATCATTTCAGAGTGGGCAAGAAAAACTTTTGATAAAATTCAATATCCTTGAATGATTACTTATAATAAACAAGGATACAATGTAAATTCCTTAATCTGACAGATAAAACTACAAAACCTAAAATGAAAATAATGCAAAATGGGAAACTGTGAGCTTTCTTCAAATCATGAATAAAAAAATTTAAATATATCAAAGTGATTGTAAAATGTATATGGAAAAGCAGAGAAAAGGTAAAAATAACTAATTTCTGAAAAAAGCTGAAGCACTGACTTGCCTTACAAAATATTGGGACTTATTTTCAAAGATACATTACATAATTAAGAGCAGTAATAAGTAGATTAGTACGAAATAGAACAATGGAACAGGATAGAGATCCCAGAAAACAGGCTTACACATATAGAATATGCTTGCTATAAAACAGAAGTGGCACTGCAGATGATGGAGAAAAGATAGACTGTTTAGTAAATGGGGTTGGGATATTTGACTGTCCATAAGAATTAAAAAAAAAAGATTCCTACTTCAGCTCAAAAATCAACTCCATATAGATTAAAGGAGAACTTTAAAACTTTTAGAAAATATAGGAGAAAAAAATTTTTAATTACATATGTGTGTGTATATGTACATACACACACACACACACACACATATATATATATATATATATATATATTTTTTTTTTTTTTTTTTTTAATGGCTTGGTCTTGCTGTGTTGCCCAGGCTGGACTCAAACTCCTAGGCTCAAGTGATCCTCCTACCTCAGCCTCTTGAGTAGCTGGGACTACAAGCATGCACCACCATGCCCAGCCTGAATATATTTTTGATCTCTGAGTAGGAAAGGATGCCTTAAACAAGTCACAAAAACCATTAACCTTAAAAGATTGAAGAAAGTGAAAATACAAGTCACAAAATGGGAAAAGATATTTGGCACATATATAACCAACAATTAATACCGAGAATAAATACATAAGAACTTCTCTCCTACAAAACCAGTGTAAGTCAAGAGTCCCAGTAGAAAAATAGGTAAAGTTAATTAATAGGCATTTCATGGAGAAAATAGCATATAGGACCTATACTGTGTTCAACCCCATTAGTAAAGTAAGAAATACAAATCAAGACCACATTCTACACCATTTTATTGACAAAAATGGAGAAGTCAGACAATCACAAGTAATGGAAAAGAGGGATCAGGTAGTGTCTTTTAATACAGATAATAATTGAGAAAGTATTACAGCCACTTGAAAAATGATTTCATAAAATTATCTCATAAAAGCATTATCTTGTGAAGTTGAACAATGCATGTATCCAATGACCCAGCAATTCGACTTCAAATATATATACACACAAAAGAATCTTGCATATTTGCATCAGGAGGCATATACAAGAGTGCTTATTGTACTAAAATTGGGATTAACCTATCTACAAAAGAGTGGATAAATGAATTAAGGTATAGGCACACAGTGGGGTGTTGTACAGCAGAGAAAATCAGTAAAATACAGCTGTATGCAGTAACCTAGATCATAGTGGCATAATGATGAGTGAAAAAAGCAAATCTCAGAAGACTACATCAAGTATACTACCTTTTTAGAAAGTGGAAAATCAAAGAAAAATATAAATAGCATACAGCTTATACTTTTTTTAAAAACAAGGAGATGGTAAATTTCTGATAGTGGTTATCTCAAGTGTGAAACAGGAAAATGGGATAAGGGAAGGAGCACATTGGGAGCTACAAGATATTAAAATTATTCGTGTTCTTGATTTGGATTCAAAGTATGCCATTATTTATTAGTAAATTAGAAGGGCATATACGAGTGGCAACAGTGTGTCATGAGTCAAAATTTATGATTAATTCTTTTGTGTGTACCTGAAGCCTTGGAAATGAAAAAGGAAAAACCAAGGATGAGAGAGGATAGTTTTCTACTCCTGCCGTTAAATAAAAGACCAAGCTAGGCCGGGCATGGTAGCTCATGCCTATAATCCCAGCACTATGGGAGGCTAAGGCAGGCGGATCACTTGAGCCCAAGAGTTTGAGACCAGCTTGGGCAACATAGAGAACCCCATCTCTACAAACTGTACAAAAATAAGCTGGGCACGATGGCTCACGCCTGTGGTCCCAGCTGTGTGGGAGGCTGAGCCTGGGAGGGCAAGGCTGCAGTGAGCTTTGATTGTGCCACTGCACTCCAGCCTGAGTGACAATGAGACCCTGTCTCAGAAAAGACCAAACTAGAATGTGATATTAATAGCTGCTTTAAGGAAATTAGAGAATGGGGCAGGAAGAATTTGCGGTTCATAGTTGAAACCTAGTACATTGAAGCTGTCTGCTTTATTTATTTCTTCAAATTGGAGGAAAAGGGGCAGTGTGTGTGTTATGTTACTCTGGTTGCTGTCAGTTGTTTTAATCATTTATGCATCTTGTGGGGAAAGTTTAAGCTTGTGCTGCCCAAGCTTGTGCCCAACTGTAAGCCACATGCATTTTTTTAAATGTTAACTTAATTTCAATTTTTATTTTATTTAATTTTAATTTCTCAGTCACAGTAGGTACATTGCAAGTGCTTAATAACTGCATGTGACTCTTGGAAACCATATTGGACAGCAAAGATATAGAATATTTCCATTATTGCAGAGAAAGTTATATTTAACAGCAGTGGAACTCTTCACAGAAATCAAATACACATTTAGATTCCTTCAATATCCCCAGAATTAGATTAGCTAGCTTTTCTTAGGAAAACAGATATACCTTATGACTTTTCTGTTGACCTTTGATTATGAAAGATTAGATTGGTTTTACTTTTTAGCTATATTTAGAATGAGCTCTATCCTCATCTCATTATTCATAACACTTTTCTAGCATTGTTTGTGATTTTGCAAAGGATAATGCAGAAAAGAAATCTACCGTTATGTTTTATAATTGCCTTTTAAGGTGCAATTCAGATGCAGTTATTAATTATTTAAAATAATTCAACTAGTATTATGTGATACTGTGTTTTTGATTGGAATAGGGAGAAAGGGAAGGTCATCTTTTCTACATCTTTCACGTATTACCTTAGGTCTTACACAGCAATTTAAGTACTTTGTAGTAAAATTGTTTGAAAGTATTGGTAAATTACTGGTTTATAAGATATTTTTAAACATATATATTTTTGTTTTATTAATTTGCACTTTGAGTATTAAATTGTTAATGACAAATTGAAAAGTATGTTACTTATGGACACTTTTAATGTGTTTATATTATTATTGCCTAATGAATAATTATACCGGGATTTTTTTTTCTTTTTTGTATATATATATGTATATATATATATATATATATGTATATATAGTTGTTGAAGTCCGAAGAGGATTCCTCATATAAACCTGTGAAGAAAGCTTGTACTCAACTTGTTGATAACCTAGTTGAGCACATTCTTAAATATGAGGAATCTCTAGCTGGTAAGACATTTTATATATATATTGATCTTTAGTTGATTTTATAAGATATTTTTAAATATTTTGAGTAAATTTCTCATTTTTGCCTCTGGCTCTGCTTGTCTAATGATTACTTCACTTTTAAATGAAATACATTTTTGTTATATAGGTATCTGTTTGATGTTGCATCCTAGATTATATTAAGATTGACTAAGATTATCTAGAGCATTGTAATAAAAGCATGGGCCTCACCTCTTTCACATATCTTTTAATAGCATATTATAATTTTAGATGTCATATTGAATAGGAGTAAAAATCCAGGGGCTAATATGTATCTAGCTAATGATACTCATCACAAAACTGATATCTCCTAAGTCATATAAAATTATGTCTCAAAATGAAATTGTTTTAGCTATTATAAAAATGTTTTTTAAAGATTTATATTACATTCCTAATATTTATTATTTATAATTGTTACATAAAGTTTGCTTAATCTTGAGCTAGAAATTTATTAAAATGTTTAAAATCACAAATTATTTAAGTACTTAATATTTTATATTATCTCACATTATTTACCAATCACAAATCTGAAGTTTTTTAATCAATTATAAATAAATGATTACTTAAGAAATATAAAAATTGGGCCAGGCGTGGTGGCTCACACCTGTAATCCCAGCACTTTGGGAGGCCAAGGCGGGCAGATCATGAGGTCAGGAGATTGAGACCATCCTGGCTAACACAATGAAACCCCGTCTCTACTGAAAATACAAAAAAATTAACCAGGCATGGTTTTGGGCGCCTGTAGTCCCAGCTACTTGGGAGGCTGAGGCAGGAGAATGGCATGAGCCCGGGAGGCAGAGCTTGCAGTGAGCCAAGATCACGCCACTGCACTCCAGCCTGGGTGACAGAGGGAGACTCCGTCTCAAAAAATATATATATATATATGTATATATATATATATATGTATATATAGATACATAGATAGATATAGATACCCATTGCTTGAAGCGCACAAAGACTAGCATTACTTCCCATCTAATGCACATTAATGAGGAACAACGTCAGCCTCAGTTGTTCTCCAAAATTGGGAGCCAATAGCCTCTAACAGCCGTCCATTTATGGCACCTACGGAAGTTGTTGATATGCTTTATATTTTTTATGCAGTCTTTTTTTTTTTTTTCCATGTGTACCTCTTTTTTTTCTTTTTATCTCCTTGTTCCGTTTTTTTATTTTTCCCCATCCTGGAATTTAGGGGTGATACTGATGTCCCTTAATGTTAAAAAGTTGCTAATTTCCTCTAAAAATTTGTTTCCTAAGAACCAGTGTATTTCCTGATTAGCAACATTTTCTTCCCACCTGAACAGCATTTTGTTTAGAGCTGTCTTATAGCATTGTTCCAATTTCTGTTTGTTGCTCCCATTTTTTAACATTCTTCTACTGCAACAACATGTCTTTTTGTACCAGTACCCTTAAACACAGTTTCACCTCAGCTAAATTGCTTTTTTTCCCATATTCACTTCCTTTTTTTTTTTTTTTTTTTTTTAAAGACAGGGTCTCACTCTGTCACCCAGGCTGGGGTGTAGTGGCGCAATCATAGCTCAATGCAGCCTAGAACTCCTGGGCTGAAGCAATCCTCCCACCTCGGCCTCCCGAGTAACTGAGACTACAAGTGCACATCACCACACCGGGCTAATTTTTTATTTTTCTGTAGAGATGCAGTTTTTGCGTGTTGTCCAGGCTGATCTCAGATTCCTAGACTCAAACCTTCTTCCTGTGATGGCCTCCCAAAGTGCTGGGATTACAGGTGTGAGCCATCACACACAGCCCATTGATTTTAGATAAAACCAATACGACATTTATTCCCAAAAGCCCATTCCTAAGCTTCCCAATTTCCATTAGTATAAAACTTGCCTTCTATAGAGAGCATGGCCTCTTGTTCTTTATCTTGAGTATTATTTCTATATCAAAGAAAAAATGAGATGGAGAAAGTCTAGTATCATAAGAACTACTAATTCATTATATTGAGGCCTATACTGGACCTATTTAGGGGATAATATTAAGTAATTTAAATAATATTCTGTATAGTTTCCACTACCTTGTCATATTTTAGTGTCTTATTTCTCTGTTTGTTTTTCCAGACTCTGACAATAAAGGTGTGAATTCTGGAAGATTGGTAGCTTGCATAACCACTTTGTTCTTATTCAGCAAAATAAGACCCCAGCTCATGGTTAAACATGCAATGACTATGCAACCATACCTTACCACTAAATGTAGTGTAAGTATAGAGCTGTCTTATTCTTGTATCTTACATAAAACATTAAGTGCTTTAAATTTAGAGTTCACATGCGTCAACCACATTCTCACTGACAGATCAACTGTGTCATTTACTTAGATATATGTACTATTTGTAGCAAGTGATCTATAAACATCAAGTCTGACATAAATAAAGTTCAGGTTCCATTTTGCTGTAAACTCCTCAAGCCAAACCCTCAGTAGATGCTTACTAAATGTTATAGCTATTGTTAAGATCTCAAAATGAATGAAGCAGAGTTCCTCTCTTTGAGAAATTTACTATCTTTTGGGTCCTGAATTTACTTTTCATTTGTCTGTCATTTATAATATAATAAATATAAAAATTGATACCCATTGCTTGAAGCACACAAAGACTAGCATTACTTCCCATCTAATGCACATTAATAAGGAACAGTAGTCAACCTCGGTCATTCTCCAAAATTGAGAGCCAGTAGCCTCTAACAGAGGTCCATTTATGGCACCTAAGGAAATTGTTGATATGCTTTATATTTTTCATACAGTCTTTTTTAATTTTTTATATTTTATAAATATATTTTATTTTTATAATAGAACAATATATTAAATATGGAAAATCTATAATATCATACCAGAGATGTTAGGCTGTTAATATTAACATACACTATGTTTTTCTAAAATAAGGTGTGAGTAGTAAGACATTGCTTAAGTAAAATTATCCATCAAATAAAGATTTTAAAGTATATATGACAGCATAGTGAGTTACGTGGTTTACATGTATAATGTCATTTGCTTTATGAAGTAGGTACTATTATCTCTGTTTTACAGATAAGGAAACTGAAGCTTAAAGAGTATAAGTAACTGCTAAAAATTTGAAATTTTAAAATACTCTAAAAACTTAACAAATATAAAGGTTTCTCACATACTGTGTTCCTAATGTTCCTAAGGAGCTAATTTTAACTGTTTCTCTGCTGCATTTGTTTTGCTGCTGTGGTCAGTTTTTTTGATTATCCAAATTACAAGCTCTAGGTGAAAACCTCAGGACTTCCTGAGAAAACTTTAAGAACTGAGGAGAGTAGTAAAGGATAATAAATACCTAAAAACAACATGCATTTACTTCTGAGACACTAATTCTATCTTTAGGGTTCGTATTAGATCCAGAAATAAATTGTTTAATAATTGTGGCTAATAATAGCTAATAATTTTTTAGCACAGTACCAAGCACTGTGAAAATTTTACATGTATTATCTCATTAACTTTGTGAAGTAAGTACTATTATGATCTCAGTTTTACAGATAAGGAAATGAAAGCTTAAAGAATATAAATAACTGGCCCAATGTCACAGAGCTAAGCAGTCCCAAAGTTAGAATTCAGCCCCATGTCTGCCAGTAGAGTCTGGACTATAATGAAACCTGTTATATATTATTTATATCATAAATAGTCCTTGCATGATTTTGAACCAGTGATTTTTTTAAAACAAAATCACTTTTAAAATGTCTTGTGCATTTTTTATGTATGTATGTACACAAATATAAAGTTGTATATAAATAAGAGTATCTCATACATGGTAAACTTTTTCTTAATGTTTTGTGGTTTTGATTTTTGTTTTTATATCCTATCTCCATCTTTATTCATCTTCCCTTCAGAATAAACATCTTAGAGTATCCTTAACATACTTTTATAGTTGTGGACACAGAGGTATATATAAATGGTTGACCGGGTTTTGTAAAAATTGAATCATATTATATAGATATTTGTTAGGCATATTTGGTAATCTCACATTACCTGGTATATATCTAATTCCTTGTTTTAGATGGCTATATATTATCCATTTTATGGATGTCCTATGATTTATTTAATCATTTCCCTATTTGGCAGGTGTTTACATATTTCCTTTGGATCACCACTACAAACAATTTTTAAATAAACATTCCAATTTAAATACCTAAGTACTGGTGACTTTATTTTGTTGGAACAGTTTCTGAGAAGTGGACTTGCTAGGTTGAAACAATGGTTATTTTGGTGTTCATTTTTAATTGATCTTGCCATTTTGCAGTGGATGTGTTTTATACAACCTTTTGGAAAGCTGTATGTGACAATCATTGTCATTATTTAGTATTCTTTGCCAGTCTAACAGGTGGTAAGGAATAATTCATTATTGCTTCAGTTTCCTTCCCTGACTGCAAAGAAGGTTGAGCATCTTTTCTTGGTACTGACCAGTGGGGCTTGCTTTTCTGTTAATTCACTATTTATATCATTTTCATATCATTCGTTCATTTTACCTTTGAATAATAGGCTTTTTTTTTTAGGAGAGCTCTTTATTTTAGATATTAAACCATCTTATAGTATATTCATTACAAATATTTTTTCCTATTCTGTTCTGTTGCTCTTTTACTTAATGGTTTCCATCTTTCTTTAAATTTTTCTTCTAGAATTTAAGATATTTCTTTTACTTGATTTTCCAGGCCAGGATGTTAAGGGAAGGTTCAGAAAATGCTACTTTTTTGTTGTTATGTGGTGGTTTTTTTTTTTTTTTTTTTTTTTTTTTTTGAGACTGAGGCTCACACTGTCACCCAGGCTGGAGTGCAATGGTGCAATCTTGGCTCACTGCAACCTCTGCCTCCTGGCTTCAAGCGATTCTCCTTCCTCAGCCTCCCAAGTAGCTGAGATTACAGGTGCACACCACCACACCTGGCTAATTTTTTGTATTTTTAGTAGAGACGGGGTTTCACTATGTTGGCCAGACTGGTCTTGAACTCCAGACCTTATTGATCTGCCCCGCCTTGGCCTCCCAAAGTACTGGGATTACAGGCATGAGCCACTGTGCCCGGCCTATTTCTTTTTTTTTTAAGACACAGTCTTGCTCTGTTGCCCAGGCTGGAGTACAGTCCTGCACTTCTGGCTGACTGCAACCTTCGCCTCCCAGGTTCAAGCGATTCTCATGCCTTAGCCACCCAAGTAGCTGGGATTTTACAGGTGTGCACCACCACACCCGGCTAATTTTTGTATTTTTAGTAGAGACAGGGAATTGCCATGTTGGCCAGGCTGGTCTTGAACTCCGGGCCTCAAGTGATCTGCCTACTGTGGCCTCCCAAAGAGCCGGGATTATAGGCGTGAGCCACTGTGCCCAGCCACTACATTTTTTTTTTTTTTAAGTAAAATGCTAGCACTGGTTCTCAAATGAATATCTTACCCAACAAAAATTCTTCTATCCCTAGACCCACTTTAACTCATTATGGGAAACAACAGGATTTCTATGCTACTTAAAAAGAATTTATCTTTTCTTTTTAATCCTGTGGGGATCCTAAAAGGAAGGATGAATATGATGTGGGAATTTCTTTTTTTTGTAATTAATACTCCTACAAGCCAAGTGGTGGGAATGTTTTTAACTAGTGTGTTAATGCACTCAAAAAGTCCAAAATGGGCTGGGCACGGTGGCTCACGCCTGTAATCCCAGCACTTTGGGAGGCCGAGGCAGGCGGATCACGAGGTCAGGAGTTCAAGACCAGCCTGGCCAGCATGGTGAAACCCTGTCTCTACTAAAAATACAAAAATTAGCCAAGCATGGTGGTGCGCACCTATAGTCCCAGCTCCTCGACAGGCTAAAGCAGGAGAATCGCTTGAACCTTGGAGGCGGAGGTTGCAGTGAGCCGAGACTGTGCTACTGCACTTCCGCCTGGGTGACAGAACGAGGCTCTGTGTCAAAAAAAAAAGTCCAAAATCTATGCCGGTAATCCATTACTAACAATGAGGATTAGTAGCTTAAAAACTAGATTAAGGCTGGACATGATGGCTCACACCTGTAATCCCAGCACTTTGGGAGGCCGAGGCAGGCAGATCACAAAGTGTGGAGTTTAAGACCAGCCTGGCCAATATGGTGAAACCCCATCTCTACTAAAAATACAAAAATTAGCCAGGCGTGGTGGCAGGCTAGTTGTCGATCCATATTCCCGACATGCTGGTGCTTCTCCTTCCATGCCTCCAGCTACTCTGGAGGCTGAGGAGAATCACTTGAACTCAGGAGGCGGAGGTTGCAGTGAGCCAAGATCGCGCCACTGCATTCCAGCCTGGATGACAGAGCGAGACTCCGTCTCAAAAAAAAAAAAGAAAGGAAAAAAAAAAACTAGATTAAAAACATGCATTGAAAGCCTTACTACACACACGCGCGCACACACACACACACACACACACATATAACTTTGATTGCCTTTGGGGAAATGAACTGGGTGGCTGGAGGATAGATAGAAACAAGACTTTTTATTGTAAATCCTTTTCTACCTTTTGGTTTTTTTTAAAAAGTCTCTACCTGTTTTTTTAAACATGCTTATTAGTTTTTCTAATCAAAGAAATAACACATTTAAATTTAAAATAAAGAAGTCCTAGGCTGAGCATGGTGGCCCACACCTGTAATCCCAGTACTTTGGGTGGCCAAGGCAGGAGGATCACTTGAGGCCAGGAATTCAAAACCAGCCTGCGCAACATAGTGAGACCCTGTCTCTACAAAAATGAAAATTAAGGCCGGACGCAGTTTCTCACACCTGTAATCCCAGCACTTTGGGAGGCCGAGGCAGGTGGATCACGAGGTCGTGAGTCCTAGACCAGCCTGGCCAAGATGGTGAAACCCCGTCTCTACTAAAAATACAAAAATTAGCCAGGCATGGTGGTGGGCGCCTGTAATCCCAGCTACTCGGGTGGCTGAGTCAGGGGGTTGCTTGAACCCGGGAGGCAGAGGTTGCAGTGAGCCAAGATCATGCCACTGCACTCCAGCCTGGGCAACAGAGCAAGACTCTGTCTCAAAAAAAAAAAAAGACAATTAAAAAATTAACCGGGTGTGGTATTATGCGCCTGTAGTCCTAGCTACTCGAGAGACTGTCAGGAAAATCGCTCAAGCTCAGGAGCAGGATTGCATTGAGCTGTGATTGTGCCACTGCACTCCAACCTGGGCAATTGAGCAAGACTGTGTTTCTTAGAAGTAAAGAAGCCTTCTGCCTGGTTCTGGGATTCTACATGTTTATCTGTCATAGAAAATTTTAACACAGGGTTTCTCAACCTCAGCACTATTGACAGGACTAGATGATTCTTTGTTGTCAAGGATTGTTCTGTGCATTGCAGGTTGTTAAGCAGCATCCCTGGCCTCTATCCACTAGATGCCAGTAGTGGCTCCCATTGTGACAACCAAAAATGTCTCCAGATACTGCCAAATACTCCTGTGTCAGGATACGGGGGAAGAAGCTTATTCCTGATTGAGAACTACTGGGTTAACATACACAGTTTGGAAAATACTAATCGTAAAAACTGTACCAGTCTTTGTATAATGCTGTCAATATGTAAATACCTTTGTTTAGAATTGACTTGTGTTACATTTTAGGGAAAAAATATAACATTGTGATTAAGTGACCCCAAAGTCACATTTTGGTAAGTTAGTTGTCGGTACATATTCCTGACATGCTGGTGCTTCTCCTTCCATACCTTGAAAAAAAAACTCTAACAGACTTTTTTTTTTAACTGGACCTTTACGTGCAAAATGCCCTATTTCTGCCCCCAAATACGTAAAGCTGTATATAGTTTCTTTTCAGGTTTTGGATATTCATAAAGCATTAATTTTATTCTTATAGACGCAAAATGATTTCATGGTTATCTGCAATGTTGCAAAAATCCTAGAGCTAGTTGTACCACTGATGGAGCATCCAAGTGAAACTTTTCTTGCCACTATTGAGGAAGATCTAATGAAGCTCATCATCAAATATGGCATGACTGTAAGCACTCAGTTTACCATTTCTTTATTCATTAGTGTAAAGTTCTAATGTATTTTATTAAAATTTTTAAAGCAAATATTTGTAAAAAGCTAAGTTTTTAAAATAGTATATTTTTAACTTTTATCTAAACATTTTCTATATCTTTTAGGTAGTGCAACATTGTGTGAGCTGTCTTGGAGCTGTTGTAAATAAAGTGACACAAAATTTTAAATTTGTGTGGGCTTGTTTCAATAGATACTATGGTAAGTTCAATACCAGGGTTTTAAAATTATTCTGCTAGGTCCTGCAGGGGGTCAGCTCATTTTAAACACATTTGATAAAAGGCTAGACTCGAGGAAATTATGAGGTGTGATTATCCACCGTGGTCCTCTCAGAAACAATATTTTCTAGTGTCTTTTGTATTTCCTGAAGAACCCACTGTGATTACTTCAGAAATTTATCTCCTGATAAGTAAAGATTGGTAAATTTTTTGCGCACTGTGAAAAGTAAAATTTAAATTTTCTTACATTAGTTTAGACTCTGAAGAGCACTCTCATAATTCTAGACATATTTAATATTTAGAACCATTAGTAAAAATTAATTGGCTGGGGACAGTGGCTCATGCCTGTAATCCCAGCACTTTGGGAGGCCACGGCGGGTGGATTACCTGAGGTCGGGAGTTCGAGATCAGCCTGGCCAACATGGTGAAACCCCGTCTCTCTACTAAAAATACAAAAATTTGCCAGGCGTGGTGGCACACGACTGTAATCCCAGCTACTTGGGAAGCTGAGGCAGGAGAATCACTTGAACACGGGAGGCGGAGGTTGCAGTGAGCCAAGATCATGTCACTGCACTCCAGCCTGGGTGACAGTGAGACTCCATCTCAAAAAAAAAATTGTAATTCATTAGTAGTAATTACTTGAACTTAGTAATTCAAAGATAAATATTATAAGTAAATATTACTTATCTTTATTAGGTGCCATTTCAAAATTAAAAAGTCAACACCAAGAGGACCCAAATAACACTTCACTTCTAACAAACAAACCAGCACTTCTTAGATCCCTTTTCACCGTTGGAGCACTATGTCGGCATTTTGATTTTGATCTGGAAGATTTTAAAGGCAACAGCAAGGTAAAGGTAGTAATACTTAAAATGCTATAAAACATAGAGCTATATGGCACTGTGATCTGAGAATGACAGTAGTGACCCAGGATGAAGGCAACATTAGAGTAGTCTGGTTTAATGAAAATTCTGAAAACAGTGCTGCTCAAAACGTGGTCCTCAGACTGGCTGCTAATCCATCAACTTTTTGTTACTGGTGTGTAACCAGATAATGAAATTTCCCTGACAAGTTATATCAGTTTTGTAACAGTAGCACACTGTTGACATCAACAGCTGACTTTTTAAAAAAAATTTTTTTCAATGAAGGAAACAATGCACTGATTTACATTCCGAAACAAGCTTCTTTGTCACAGACTGATACTTTGAATGCCACTGTTCTAAAATAAATGGAATTGGTTACTTATTTTTTTAATAAAGTTCACACAAATTCTCATTGTTTTAAGGTATTTTTTTCCTTTATAGTTGAAAATTAATCTAAGTTACTGTTCATGAACACTTTAATGTGTTTTCCTCCCCTTAGGTTAACATAAAAGATAAAGTACTTGAACTATTGATGTATTTTACAAAACACTCAGATGAAGAAGTACAAACAAAAGCTATCATTGGTCTAGGTAAGTCTAAATTTCTTTATAATTTGTAGCTATTTGAGAGGGATAGAGCATATTTTTAAATATTGTGAATCTAAATTGTTGATTTACTTTAATATGTTTCTATTAGCAGTAGGATTTGGTGTATAGAATGTAGGTCTGAGGATTAAAACAACTGGGTTGCATTCTTGTCATGGCCATTGACTTCCTGGGTAACCTTGAGCAAGCCATTTGTCTGTTCATCAGTTTCTTCATTAGTAAAATAGAGATAACAATACTTTCTTCTACCCCTCCTCCATAGGGTATCTTAAGAACATTTATTAAAGCCCTTTGATAAAGAAAAATAATATAGAAGAATTCTGTGCTCTTTGCATTTTTTTAATTGTTCTTTTTCATTGCAAAGCTTTGTCACTACAGGAAGCTGCCACATCTGGTTAAAACAATGATCAGTCTACACTGACTTATTTATATAAAAGCAAATAGTAAGCAACCCAGAAGGAACAATTTGGATATATACCTGTTTTATAATGTTTTTCCAGGAAGGATTGATGTAATAAAAACATGTTTTGCAATTGTTAGGCAGGTCTATGTGGCTTATATCTAGGAAGGAATTAGAATATGAGGAAATAGGAGGTGAATGGCATTAAAGTACCTGAATTGAATGCACTTCAAAAAAATACAAGAACAGTCTGTCCAGGTTTTTGGTTTTTGTTGTTGTTTTTTTTGGTACAAATACAGTTGGCCTTCCATATCCATGGGTTTCACATCTGTGGATTTAACCACCAAGGATCAAAAATACTGAGAAAAAAAAATTACACCTGTACTAAATATGTACAGACTTTTTTTGTTATTATTCTCTAAACAATACAACAGCAATTTACATAGCATTTACATTGTATTAGATATAAATAATCTAGAGAAGATTTAAAGTATACGAGAGGATATGAGTAGATTATATGCAAATACTACCCCATTTTATATCAGGGACTTGAGAATCCACGGATTTTGGTATCCCTGGGAGGTTCTGGAGCCAATCCCCCATGGATACCGAGCAATGACTGTACACGTAAAGCTACCCAATGAGATTAAAAACTTATTTGGAAATTTTATTTTGGTGTTATGATTAAGGTTTATACTTTAATCTGCATGAGTAGTTATTTATATTAGTCTTTTGAACAAAAATGAGTAAGAAAAGATTCTAACTTACCCATACCTTATTAAATCATGTTTATGATTTCTGTAAATAAATTGAAACCTTATCATTTTATTCCTCCTCCATCCCTTTTTGAAAATTACATATAGCACATAGAGTAAAAATTCAGACATCATTTACTAAGGAGTTAAATTGATGCAATATTAACTTCAAGCCAATGTGTACCTTCAGATATTCAGTCTGGACATAATTTATACGGAGTGGCAAAACTAATAGTGTTACAAGTATTTCAGAGTACAAAAAGATGAAGTTTTAACTTAAGCAGCGCTATTCAGAAAATATTGCCTCTAGACCAGTTAATAAAAGACATCTTGCCTGGGCCATAGTTATCCTGAGTGACCTTGGGCTAGTTATCTGATCACTCTATGCTTTGAGTTTAGTTTGTTGTTTGTTACCAATAATACTTGCTATCATCAGAGATCTTCATTTTTTCCTCAAATAAACATTATATACAAATAAACATGGATGATATATTGCTACTTATTAACCCGTGGTTATAGGATTCAGCATTGTGGCCTTATTATAATGCCATATGAAAAAGAAATGGAAGATATTTTTAGCTCTGGTTTATTATATTGTTTCATCAAATGAATATATTTTAATTTTTTTTTTAAAATAATGTCAATGTAGTACCTTCTGCTGGGGATCTGAAAAATGTTTGCAGACATTATTTCTTAAATCCTGAAAACATCCCTGTGAGGTAGGTGGGTGGTAAATATTATTATCCCCATTTTACAGATGGAGAATTGAGGCACAGAGAGATTATGTGACTCACCCAAGGTCACACTACAAGTCAGTGGTGGAGCCAGGAATAGAACCCAAGACTCCTGACTCCTAATCCACTCCCCTAGCCACTAGGCCCTGCTCCCTCCTCAAGGTTTCCTCTTGTGTGAAATTCTCCTTTGAAATGCAATTTCTTGTTTTTAATTCATGGGGAAAGAAGTACCTGCTCTAATGCTTCTCTAGGTAAGGCCACCAGCATATTCTTCCAGTCATTTTAAGTTTTAATTTTTTGAAATAAGGAGCCGTTTATATAATTTATTAACATATTTATTAAATGTTTTATTTAATTTTAATATGAATATATGATGAGATTTTTCCCCTCTCCCATAGGATTTGCCTTTATTCAGCATCCAAGTCTAATGTTCGAGCAAGAAGTGAAGAATCTATATAATAATATTTTATCTGATAAGAACTCCTCAGTCAATTTAAAAATACAAGTGTTAAAAAACCTCCAGACCTACCTACAAGAAGAAGATACACGTATGCAGCAGGCAGATAGAGACTGTAAGTGAAAATATATTTTTAAATTTCATAGCTACATTTATATTATAATGGCTTTATCTTCTTTAATCTAAATATCTAAATTTCCTTATTTGTTAGATGAAGAAATTCAGTTAAATAGCAGTCCTTATGCTGAGGTCTATAGCTGGGCTTTAGCATATTCTTAAATTCTCTAAAATAGTTTTAAAATTGTATATGTGTGTAAACATTAACATTTTGAGGGAGGAAAGAGATTATAGTTCTCACTGGGTTCTCAAAGGGGCCTCTGACACAGACACACACACACACACACACACACTCACACACAGATTAAGAACCATTGAGCCAGAACACTAGCTGTAACGTTTTGTGATTTTGGTTATGGCCTAATTTTGAAATATTTAGTAAAGTTAGTATAGGTGCTCTTAATGTGTGTTTATCCTTTGCTTGCTTTTGTAGGGAAGAAAGTTGCAAAACAGGAAGACTTAAAAGAAATGGGTGATGTTTCCTCAGGGATGAGTAGTTCCATCATGCAGCTTTATCTCAAACAGGTGCTTGAGGCATTTTTTCACACCCAGTCAAGTGTACGCCACTTTGCCCTAAATGTCATTGCATTGACTCTAAATCAAGGTCTTATTCATCCAGTTCAGGTAAGCATGTTTTATGGCAGCAGCACTTACTAAAAGAGCAAGATTAGTTGTAATTTGATACATTGTGATTATAGAGAATAAGTAGTTCTTCGTTCCTCTTACTCTTCTTTGTACTAAACTCTTAAGAATCTGGCAGTTTTAGATAATCTCTTGGGTTATGATTACTGCAAAATACCCATATATTCATAATATTGTCTCTGTTATAAACTTGTAATTTCTATTGGCAGAACATATACTCAAATTATTTTTCTAAGTATGGGTGATATATTTGTTTTAATTCATATTTACTTTTGTCCCTAAGATCCAACAATCTATAATGTGAAGAGAGTTAACTGGGTTTAAAAGTATAATCTGTTCAACAGGGTGGAGTCTTAGTCCACAGAAAAGTAAATTATATAAACTCAATTCCTTCATCTTTAAGTTGGGTATAACACCAACTACTCGACACCTCATAGCATTAATATGAGGACACAACGACGTAATAAAGACATTAGTGTTACTGAAGATTGGCAGCCAATGCTGATGTAGTAGTATATACCATCTGATGGTCAAGAGAGCACCATAGGCTACAAAAGTGTATGTATTAAGTAAGCAGAGTCTATACCCTTCAAGATTTTTATTTTGGGTATTTTTCATGGAACGTTTTAAAAATATGATTTATTTAAACATACTGTGGTCTTCCCTGTGTCCTGAAACAAAACATGTTAACAAATATTTATCCTGTTCTTCATGACTCCGGGCTATTATCATAAAGAATCATACATTATAATGAAACAGTAGTACATTGAGACTGTCACCTTTTTAAACTACCGAGGGTTCTTTGTTGGGTGCTTTTTATTATATATGCCTTTTAAACTTTTTTTTTTAATTTCACACAAAGGAGTCAGGTGCAGTGGCTCACACATGTAATCCCAGCACTTTGGGAGGCAGAGGTGGGCGGATCACTTGAGTCAGGAGTTCAAAACCAGCATAGCCAACATGGCAAAACCCCGTCTCTACTAAAAATACAAAAATTAGCCAGGTGTGGTGGCACATGCCTGTGGTCCCAGCTACATGGGAGGCTGAGGCAGGAAAATTGCTTGAACCCAGGAAGCAGAGAACCCAGGAAGCAGAGGTTGCAGTGAGCTGAGACCGTGCCATTGCACTCCAGCCTGGCCAACAGAGGGAGACTCCATCTCAAAAAAAAAAAAAAAAAAATTCACACAAAGAAATTGCAAAAGTGATACGATGAATTCCTTTATTCTCTTCACCTCTATTCACCATTTGTTGACATTTTGCCACAATTGCTTTCTCTCTCTCCCTTTATACATCTGCTTTTTTCTGAATCATTTGGTAGGAAGTTTCAAGTAATTATGATTCTTTACCACTAAACACTTCAGCATATATTTTCTAAGAACAAGGACATTCTCTTACAAAACCGTAATATAATCATTAAATTTGGGAAGTTTAACACTGATACAATATTATCTAATATACAGTTCATTTGCAGATTCTGCTAGTTAACCAAGGGCGTTCTCTATAGCCTTTTTCCTCTTCTTTTTTTTTGAGGCAAGATCTTGCTCTGTTTCCCAGGCTGGAGTGCAGTGATGCAGTCTCAGCTTACCTGCAGCCTCCGCCTCCTGGATTCAAGCACTCTTCCCACCTCTGCCTCCCAAGTAGCTGAGACTACAGGTGTGCGCCACCACCTGGCTAATTTTTGTGTTTTTGTAGAGACGGGGTTTTACCATGTTGGCCAGGCTGGTCTCAAACTTCTGAGCTCAAGTAATCTGCCTGCCTCAGTGTCCCAAAGTGCTGGGATTACAGGCATGAGCCACCGCACCCACCTTACAGCCTTTTTTCTTTCCTGATTCGAGATTTAACATGATCATTTCTTTCATTTAGTGCCATGTCTGTATTTTAAAGTTAGGTTTGTTGTTGTTTTTCTGGCCTTCACATTGCTTTTTAATTCAGACTCACTTAACATAGTAGTACTGTTTTTTGACTCTAGAAGTACAGTGAATATGACTGTTATCAACTCTCTGTTCCTCAAAGCCACATCTGAAATCAACTTTGAAAAACAATTATATTTTCGTAGCTTTGAGTATGGAAAACAAATTACTGTTTGCCCTATATTATCTTTACAAGGCAAATTCAGTCAAGCTTTAAAAACTACTGGATTATACATTTGTAGTCTATATCATAATCTTAAATAGATATTCTTAGTGTGAGAATGCTTTATGTTTAAAGAACCTAAAATTTACAATGAAATTGTTTAAATTTTATCACGTCAGTATTTTTGCTGGTGCTCCAGTGCTTTCTGGATTTAAGCTGAATCTCAAAAGATCTGTCATTTTAAAAAGAACACTAAAACATAGACTTTATAGGAAGGCCTATAAGGTTAAATTCATATATCTCAGATATATGAAAAGTTTTGACATATGTCTAAATAGAGAATTTTTACTACCATGATATCTCGTAATTTTTTTTTTTATTTCCAGTGTGTGCCATATTTAATTGCTATGGGCACAGACCCAGAACCTGCTATGCGGAACAAGGCTGATCAGCAACTTGTGGAAATAGACAAAAAATATGCTGGATTCATTCATGTATGTATTTTAACATTTTATAACCTAAATTTAAACATTTTTCTTGAGTAAAGCATTTCTTTGATAAATGCTCTGCCCACATTCATAATTGGAATAAAATGTCTTACTTAGTACCTATCTTCTAAACATGCAACTAAGTTAGTCTTCCAAGGTGTTTATTCTAGTCTAAAGTTAAGGTTGGGCTAGAGGTGACAGTACCAAGCACACCAGACTAAAAATCAGGAAACCTGGATTTTATATCTTACTATGTGAACTTGGCTGCAGTGACTCTCCTGGGCCTCATTTTTTTTTTCTTCTTTGAAATGAGGGAATTGTAAGAGATAATCTCTAATGTTCCTTCTAGCACTTCATTCTGTGATTCGTATTATTTTAATTAAAAAAAAACAATGAAGCTAGCCTCAGAATGTAATGCTCTAAGTATATTTTTAATTTGTGTCTTTTAATTTCCCTGACAAAAATGAGACTTTTATTGATTTCAGATGAAAGCAGTGGCTGGTATGAAGATGTCTTACCAGGTACAACAGGCAATCAACACATGCCTAAAAGATCCTGTAAGGGGTTTCAGACAAGACGAGTCCTCTAGCGCTTTGTGTTCACACCTTTACTCCATGATCCGTGGAAACCGCCAACACAGACGAGCCTTTCTTATTTCTTTACTCAACCTCTTTGATGACACAGCAGTAAGCACAAAAACTTATTATTTTAAGAAAATAAGTGCTCTAGAAATTTTATGGATAAAGTAGTCATTTTTTAAATATTACCATTTTATTAGTATATGATAGTAACTTCATTAAGTGTTTTCTTAATCTTCTAAGTTATTTACAAAGTACACAGTCAGAAGTGAAGGGGAAATTTTGTATGAGAATAAGTGTAATGAGGAATAATGTATAATTTTGCCTCCATACTGAATATCCTATAAACTTTGATAACAGTTTCTGTAAGCGTATCTTTAAATAAGCAACATCACTAAACTAATCGCTTTGGGAACCGATTACCTCAAATATTGTTAGAGAATAACTGTTCTAGGTTTTTGGCTATTGAGATCCCTAGTTGTTCAACTTGATTTCCCTTAATGAAGGGAAGTCACTTTTCTGTATAGTAGTCCACTTTTGTGTATAGTAGTCCTCCCTTATCATTAAAGATACATTTCATGACCCCCAGTGGATGCATGAAACCATGGATAGTACTAATTATTATATATACAGTCATGCATCACTTAATGACAGGGATACATTTGGAGAAATGCATAGTTAGGCGATTTCTTTGTGGGGTGAACATCTTACTTACACAAACCTAGATGTTGTAGCCTACCTAGGCTATATTGTTCCTGGGCTACAAACCTGTACAGCATGTTACTGTACTGAATACTGTAGATAACTATAACACAATGGTAAGTATTCATGTACCTAAACATATCTAAACATAGAAAAGGTACAGTAAAAATATGATAGGATAATCTTATGGGACCATCATCATATATATAGTTTGTAATTGACTGAAACATGTTATGTGGCACATGACTGTACTGGTTTTTCCAATACATACAAACCTATGTTAAAGTTTTAATTTATAAATTAGTCACAGTAAGAGATTAACATAATAATAAAATAGAACAATTAAAACAATATACTGTAATAAAAGTTATGTGAATGGGATCTTGCTTTTCTCTCTCTCTCAAAATACCCTGTTGTAGTTTACTCACCTATTTTTGGACTATGGTTGACCAAGGGTAACTGAAACTATGGAAAGCAAAACAGCAATTGGGGAGATTACCATAATTACAATTTTGACACTTCTGGCTGTTGCACTAGTTGCATTGGCCAGGACCATAGGCCAAGAAAACTGAATATTCTTTAAAGTTTACCTTTTAATTTATTTATTTCACACAGTATTTATTCTGCATCTGCTATGTACCAGCCATTGCGCTAAGAAGTTTAACGAGCATAAAATAGTAAAAACAGATATGGTTTCTGCCCACACAGAGCACGCATGAACCTATGTGTATAGCAACTTTTAAAAGAACAAAAGAGGCCAGGAGTGGTGACTCACGCCTGTAATCCCAGCGCTTTGGGAGGCCAAGGCAGGTGGATCACAAGGTCAGGAGTTCGAGACCAGCCTGACCAACATGGTGAAACCCCATCTCTACTAAAAATATAAAAATTAGCCGGGCGTGGTGGCACGCGCCTGTAATCCCAGCTACTCAGGAGGCTGAGGCAGGAGAATTGCTTGAACCCAGGAGGCAGAGGTTGCAGTGAGCTGAGATCACGCCACTGCATTCCAGCCTGGCCGACAGAGCGAGACTCCGTCTCAAAAAAAAAAAAAAAAAAAGAACAAAAGAAATACTTTAATTACTTGTTAGCCTGACAGCAGATTTTTGCAATAAAGCAAAATTATAATTACCATAGTGCAGATATCTTACTAGACCTCTTCAAGTACTACATGAAATTTATCATCAACATTATCATCATATCATTATCAGTATTAAGTTTGCATTGTGTATAGGACACTATACGAGGAGTGCCAGATGATATAATGTAGTGCTTTTGCCCTGAAAGGATTTTCCCTCCAGCTGTGGGGATAGGATACAAAATTAATAGTGATTACGGTTAGTATATCCTGAGTGCCCTGATGGTTTGTGTTGATAATATTGTTCCAGTCCTTGTTTCTGTCCAAAAGAACTTCATTTCTATGTGATTTCACTGCCTGCTTTATGTCATTGACTAGATGTTTTGTCATCTCAGCATTTGAAATGCTAAACTGGAAACCCAGCTCTCACAATGCAATGCTTTCTTCTGACTACCTCCAACAAAGAATGTCAGAGAAGGAACAAATGCCTGAAGGCCCAGAGGGATAGAATGAGAGGGATCTGCTATATAAACCAGGGAAGGAAGATGTTCCAGTCAGGGCCAAAAAATTAATTAAAAATACAAAGATAAGAATGTGTGGGAAATAATGAATAGTTTGTTATTTGACTGGGGCAGAAAGGTCATAATGAGGAATAATATATAGAGGATCCTGTAGATGGCAAAAAAAAAAACATTGTAAGTGTGTGAATAAAATAATGAGGACAATTGCCAAAGAGCAGTTTAGGAAGATGAATTTTTTTAGCATTGTGGTCACACTGGAGGTAATAATAAATTACTATGATAACAGTAGGGGAGAAAAAGAATGGATAGTAGAGGCTGGGTGTGGTGCCTCATGCCTGTAACCCCAGCATTTGGGGAGGCCGAGGCAGATGGATCACCTGAGGTCAGGAGTTCGAGAACAGCCTGGCCAACATGGCAAAATCCTCTCTCTCCTGAAAATACAAAAAAATTAGCCAGGCATGATGGCGCGCACCTGTAGTCCCAGCTACTTGGGAGGCTGAGGCATGAGAATCACTTGAACCTGGGCAGCAGAGATTGGCAGTGAGCTGAGATCGCACCACTGCACTCCAGCTGAGCGACAGAGCGAGACTCCATCTCAACAGTAAAAAAAAAAAAAAAAAAGAATGGATAGTAGAAAAGAAAAGAAAGTTGAGGAAAGAATTAAATGAGACTGTGTGAAAAGAATAGTTAGTGGACAACTGGAATATTTTTATCTTGAGCACCTGAAACAATAATAGGATTGTTGCCAAAGTCAGATTGCAAAGGAGTTGGCTTGAGGAGTACATAAAAAGGGAGTAGTCAAAGAGGTAGGAAGAGAAAACTTAGGAAGAAGATTTCATGAAGGAAAGTGTGGGTAATAGTCAGATGCTACTGAGAAGTCAAGGAGAGTAAGAAGTGAAAAATAGAGTAGAATGGTGAACTTCGTGGACAAAAACAGTCAAGCAGTGAGGGACAAAAGCAGATTGTAATTGAAAAGGGAGGGCCAGGTGAGATGACTCATGCTTGTAATCCCAGCACCCAAGGCAGATGATAGCTTGAGCCCAGGAGTTCCATACCAGCCTGGGCAACATAGTGAGACCCTATCTCTACAAAAATTAAAAAATAAAAACTGGACAGGCCTGGTGGTATGCACCTATACTCCTAGCTACCTAGCTACTGAAGAGACCAAGGCAAAGGGATTGCTTGAGCCCAGGAGTTCAAGGTGGCAGTGAGTGGTATCATGTCTCCTTTAAAAAAAAATAGTGGGGAAGACATGGGAGGAGCAGTCTAAACTATTCTTTGAAGAACTTTGAAAGGAAAGAGAAATACAGGGCTTTTATGGATGTTGAAGAAAATATGTATATTTTCTTCAATATTATATGAGTTTTGAAAATATATGAATTATAGTGTTAAAACTAATAGATGAGGTAGGGTTTTATGTCTACATTTTTTCATCTGTAACGTGGGTGTTGATACATATTGTAAAGTAAAAATAGAGTGAGAGTGATACTCTTATGAATATTAATAGCAAGGTTATTCCATCTGTGCTATGGGATCTTGCTGCTGCTGCTGTTGGGTTTTATGTTGTTTCCATGGCAGGGGAAGGTAGATGGTAGGAGTGAGTGTTTTTTAGTTGTGAGCTTTTTTTTTCCTTGAGCTATAAATATTTAAAAGAAATTTGAATATTAATATGCCTTTCTGTTTATGATCATGAAATGCTTGAATTCTCTATTACTTCTTTTTAAAGCAAGCAACTAAATAATCATAATTTTTCTCTTAAATTTTGCCTGCCTCACAGTTTTTACAGTGTGAAACTGATAGCATTGTCAAAACAACTCTGACATTCTGAATTACATATACACAGGAAACTGACAAATGTTTATGAGTACATGGGATTTGGGTTTTTTCTTTTAACCTATGTATTAGTACTATAATTACTAGTTATTTTGAGGGCAGAATAGTAACTGTGTGTAACTGATCTCCATATAGGTTAAACTCTTAGTAGCACAATGATATAACTAGAACTTTCATGTATACTTTCTGATATGGTATGGATTTATCATAAAGATTCCATATACTCTAAGAAAACTTCAAGGAATTTCACATGGATGCAATAAAAAATTTCACCTCTTCTCTTGAGATAGCATAGTGTAAGTCATTATAAAATTAAAAAAAATGGGCCTAAGATTATTTTATAAAATTCCATTTCTGTTCCCCCTTTTCCCTTTTTGTTACACCTGTCTCCCTTTCCCTTTTTCCCCCCTCTATATTTCTCTCCCTCCTCCTCTCCCTCTGTCTCTCTGTGTCTCTCCCCACTCTCTCCGTGTGTGTCTGCTTATCTCTGTCTAACATTAAGTGAGGTGAAAGTGCCCTGTATTTTTTCTAAAAAAGGTTTTTTGGTTGGGTTTCTAGATTATCCGCTAAACATGTGTGCTTTTTCTTAAAATTTACAGAAAACAGACGTGACTATGCTCTTGTATATAGCAGACAATCTAGCCTGTTTTCCATACCAGACACAGGAAGAGCCGTTGTTTATAATGCATCATATAGACATTACACTCTCAGTTTCTGGTAGTAACCTACTGCAGTCATTCAAGGAGGTAAGTTACACACATTACTATTCTTAATCCATCTGTCAAAGTGCAGGCATGCTGTTTTCACTGTTTTGTTTCTCATTATTCTTTTTATCCTCTTCACGAGTATATAAAATCTTTCTAAGTGAACTTAATGAAATCTGGGCAATACTTGACTTGGGAGAGGATGTACATTGCCACTTTACCTCTATTTAGAAACATCTAAAATAGATATATGGATTGTTCTGTTGATAAGCCATCACATTTATTTCTCTCACTTTAAGCACTGACCTTAAGTGTTTGCATCCATTCATACATTCATTTAAACTCCATTTTAAAACATTATTCTGTAAATCTTGTAATGCTGTAATCACAACATTACACATGAAAATATATAGCTTATTTACACTTAAACAGAAAATTTATGACACCATTGACTTTCTTATCCCTCAACTACAGCACCGTTATAGAGTTTGCATATGTGTGCCCAAAATCTTTGCTAAATTTCTTGTTGAACCTTCCATTGTTTCTGTCATGACTTTTAGGAGGAATGTAATTTATTTAATTATAAAAGTACCTGGTGTAGCACTAGGCATATAGTAAGCACTCAGTAAATTCTTTACAAATTGAATATTCTCATGTATCTAATGATCCAAGTAGATCTCATTTTATAAAATTGTATTGCTCACAACTCAGCCTTGTCAGACTAGTAAATCAGACAGATTATTTTAGATGCCTCCTGAGGGCTGGAATTACAGAGGTGTCTTAAACCCTTACTACTTGAAGTATAGACCACACACCAGCAGCAGTGGTTTCACCTGAGAGCTTATTAAAGCTGTAGAACCTCAGGCCCCACCCAGATTTGCTGAAACAGAATCTGCATCTTCAACAAAATCCACAGATGTTAATGTGCACATTTAAGTTTGAGAAGTTAATAATTTCCCAGGAGCTTTAGCCCTCATGTTCTCTTATTTTACCTACTTACTGGTATGGCTATCTTTGTAAATGTTTCTTCCACTTTTGAAGAAATGTTGTTATAATGTGCCCCACACACACACACCACACAAACTGCTTAAGTCCAGTTGACTTTGTTTCTAAGAGCTAACATTTTCATAAAGTACAAAGAAACAGGATTTAAGTCTTCAGAGAAAATTGCTTATTATCTTGCCGAAATGTTCTTGAAAAGGAGAGTTTGCTAGAAGCTGGGATGTCCAAGATTACTTTATTCTCCTCAGTTAAATTATAATTACTGCTTTTCCTCATAATGACTTACCTATGCACCAAATTGATACTTTTATAACTATCTTTTATTACTGTCCTTAGAAGAAAATTGTTTCCCTTTGAATGATATTTCAGAAGGATTTTTTTGAAGGAGTGGTTGTAGGGGAGGGGGTGGATATTATATATAATTTTATTTAGTTTTAGAAACTATCCCCTAAGATTACATATCCAGTTGTTGATATAAAGTCAAGAGGTTTATAAAATATTAGTTTAAGGAAGCTTTTTCAAGCTGTTGAATGGAGCATACTTATATTTACTAGTGGCATTTTGTTTTTATTGTTTATCAAACGATTTTTTCTTTCAGTCTATGGTAAAGGACAAAAGGAAAGAGAGAAAATCATCACCTAGTAAGGAAAATGAGTCAAGCGACAGTGAAGAAGAAGTTTCCAGGCCTCGGAAGTCACGGAAACGTGTAGATTCAGATTCAGATTCAGATTCAGAAGACGATATAAATTCAGTGATGAAATGTTTGCCAGAAAATTCAGCTCCTTTAATCGAATTTGCAAATGTGTCCCAGGGTATTTTATTACTTCTCATGTTAAAACAACATTTGAAGAATCTTTGTGGATTTTCTGATAGGTAAGGTTACATAAGCAGTGAGAGAAAAAACTTCACTCTGTTCAAATAATAAATATTTGGGCTGGGTGTGGTGGCTCATGCCTGTAATCCCAACATTTTGGGAGGCTGAGGCGGGCAGATCCCCTGAGGTCAGGAGTTCGAGACCAGCCTGGCCAACATGGTGAAACGCCATCTCTATTAAAAATACAAAAATTAGCCTAGTGTGGTGGTGCACGCCTGTGACCCCAGCTACTCAGGAGACTGAGGCAGGAAAATCGCTTAAACCTGGGAGGCGGAGATTGCAGTGAGCTGAGATTACGCCACTGCACTCCAGCCTGGGCAACAGAGCAAGACTCTGTCTAAAAAAATAATAATAAATATGAAACCCAGTTTTGTTTGCATGCTTACTTTAATGTTAGAAATGTTCCTTTTTTAAAAAGGAGTTTATTCTCTTCTATTGCTGGATAGTATTCTATTGTGTAATATGCCATAATTTATTTTTATTAAAGGGAAAAAAACATATTCCTATACTTGGTGATAATGCATTACAAATTGAAGGACTTATTTTGTTGATTTCCTTAAAAAGACTCAAGCTAACCTTAAAATAGATTACAAGTTTAAGTTTTTAAAGAGCTCTGAAGTAACAGATGTAAACCAACTAAACAGAGCTCCAGTAGAACTCAAATAGTATTTAAAGTACTCTATAAAGTAAGAGAGAGAAAAGGTACAGCTATTATAAACACCCTGTAGTTTTACCCACCAGTAGTCATTAAAGATACCTCTTTTCTGCCTGTAACCATGGAATTTTGGTCATTTTTTACATTCATTGAAATCTAAGATTAGGAATCACAAAATCAAATGTTAATAGGCTACCTGGTCAATGGCCAACTGGAAAGAGTGTGTTGCATGTAAAGAGGTCATTTAAGTGGACCTGTCTCAAGTTTCCATAAGCTTGTTGCCAAAGGAGAGGGTAGGCATAATGTGGCTAGAGCTCCCACTTTTTCAGGAGACACTAGAAATCCAGATTTTTAAGAGGAATATCTGTATTTGCAACAGGGTCTCGCTCTGATGCCCAGGTGGAGTGCAGTTATGCAATCATAAACTCCTGGGCTCAAGTAATCCTCCTACTTCAGCCACCTGAGTAGCTGGGAGTACAGATGCATGCCACCACACCCAGCTAATTTTTTTTATTTTTTACTTGTAGAGATGATGTCTAGTTGTGTTGCTCATGGTAGTCTTGAACTCCTGGCCTCAAGTGATCCTCCCACACTGGCCTCCCAAAACTCTGAGATTATAGGCATGAGCCACTGCTCCTGGCCTTATAAGGAATATCTTGATGTTAAATGTTGGCAAGATGCAAAATAATTTAAAACCTTGTAAGGTTTTGAGGCAATGCTAAGGAGTTGGAAAGATTTTTAAGCAGAGTTGTTAATAACCTGAAACAGGTTTATAAACAATCATTCTGGCCACTATATAGAGGATGGATAGGTTGGGGGTGGGGGAGCAACTAGTAGAAAGAGGTAAACCAGTTAGGTGGTATTAAGTAATTGTATTGAAGCTGTCCTAGGATCACAATAGTATTAAAAATAGACATGAGAAACTAATTTCATTAATATGGTGCTTCCTACCTATAATTGGATTTCTCCAAATACGTTGTTTCCATAGTTTTAAAGTTTTTGGTTTTGTTTTCCCAAAACAGTAAAATTCAGAAGTACTCTCCATCTGAATCTGCAAAAGTATATGATAAAGCGATAAACCGAAAAACAGGAGTTCATTTTCATCCAAAACAAACACTGGACTTCCTGCGGAGTGACATGGCTAATTCCAAAATCACAGAAGAGGTGAAAAGGAGTATAGTAAAACAGTATCTAGATGTGAGTAGTAAAACCAAAAGTTTTTACTTCTCATAAGGGCTTTTTTGACAAGTAAATGTGGGGGGCCGGTGGGGAGATAACTATCTCCTTCACATTGAATATAAGCTTCATGAACTATCAAGATAATTTTTCTCTATCTTATTTTAATGAGTTACTTTAAGCTTGTCTTTCCCATTGCACCCATGGCATCCTAATTATTTTTTCTTAGGAAACAGCAGCCCACGAATAATTTTATTTTAGCAAAAATGAAAGATTATAGGAAAACCTGTGTGTGTTTTGTAGTTGTCCCCTGGTATCTGCGGGAAATTGGTTCCAGTCCCCCCATGGATACCCAAATCCTCCGATATTCAAGGGCCTGATAAAAAAATGGCGTAGTGGGCTGCGTGAGGTGGCTCACACCTGTCATTCCAGTGCTTTGGGAGGCCATGGCAGGTGGATCACTTGAGCTCAGGAGTTTGAGACCAGCCTGGGCAACATGGCAAATCCCCGTATCTATAAAAAATACAAAAAATTACCTGGGGGCAGTGGTGTGCACCTGTAGTCCCAGCTACTCAGGAGGCTGAGGCAGGAGAAGTGCTTGAGCCTGAGAGGCAGAGGTTACAGTGACCTGAGATTGCACCATTACACCCCATACTGGGTGACAGGAGTGAAACCCTGTCTCAAAAAAATTATTTAAAAAGCATAGTATTTGCATATAACCTACATACATCCTCCCATATGCTTTAAGTCATTTCTAGATTACTTATAATACCTAATACAATGTAAATGCTATATACATAGTTGTTATACTGCATTTTTTTTAAGTTGTATTTTTTATTGTAATGCTGTTTGTTTTGTTTTGAGACGGAGTTTCACTCTTGTTGCCCAGGCTGGAGTGCAATGGCGCGATCTCGGCTCACCGCAACTTCTGCCTCCCAGGTTCAAGCAAGTCTCCTGCCTCAGCCTCCCGCATAGCTGGGATTACAGGCGCCAGCCACCACGCCCGGCTAATTTTTGTATTTTTAGTAGAGATGGGGTTTCACCATGTTGGCCAGGCTGGTCTCAAACTCCTGACCTCAGGTGATCCGCCGGCCTCCCAAAGTGCTGGGATTACAGGCATGAGCCACCATACCTGGCCAGTGCTGTTATTTTTTATTGTGGCATTTTCCAAATAGTTTTTGATCCACTGTGGGTTGAATCCGCAGGTGCGGAATCCGGGGATACAGAGGGCTATGTTTTTAATTCAGAAAAATACATGGCTTATATGTCATAAAAGGTAAAACTGCAAGCAGTCATTCTCTTACCGTGTTTGGCTATTCTGTTCCTTTCTTTTCTGATAACCAATATTATTACTTTTTCGTATGTTCTTATATGAGTAATGCCAATATATATATATGTAGATTTTCTCACTTATCAAGTATGCAAATGTATGTATATAAAATGTGCTTTAAAAATAGAGACAGATAATAGACTAGAGGTTACCAAGGACCGGGGAAGGAAAGAACGGGGAGTTATTGTTTAATGAGGACAGCTGTGGTTTCCAGTGATTAAAAAAAAAAAGAAACAGCTCTGGAAATGGACAGTGGTGATAGTTGTACAATATGCCAATGAATTATACATTTAAAATGGTTAAACTGGTAGGCTGGACATGCTGGCTTATACCTGTAATCTTAGCACCTTGGGAGGCCTATGTAGGAGGTTTGCTTGAGTCCAGGAAGTCCAGGCCAGCCTGAGCAACAGGGTGAGACCCTGTCTCTACAAAAAATACAAACATTAGCCAGACATGGCGGTGTGCACCTGTAGTCCCAACTGCTGGGGAGGCTGAGGTGGGAGGACCACCTAAGCCTGGGAGGTGGAGGCTACAGTGAGCCATGATCGTGCCACTGCACTTCAGCCTGAGTGACAGAGTGAGACCCTGTCTCAATTTAAAAAGAAAAAAAAAAAGGGTTAAGCTGGCAAATTTTATGATATTTCTATTTTATCACAATATAAAAGTTTTTAAAAATGTTTTTGAAATTAGAGGACTATCCTAAAAAATAAAAATAAAGTTTTATATTTTAATCTACTTAATTTCAGGTGTAGTGGCTCACAAGCACTTTGGGAGGCTGAGGTGGGCAGATCACTCGAGGCCAGAGGTTTGACACCAGTTTGGCCAACATTGCAAAACCCCATTTCTATTTTTCTTAAAAAAATTTTTAAAAATCTACTTTAAAGCAAGTAGCTGAACATAAAATAAGGTTTTTTGAACTAAGAATATAATCTACACAGTGGCTTTTCATATTATTCATTGACTGCAAACCTTACTCTAAAATTTAAAAATATTTTAGTTCTTATTTAAAATTTTTCAACATTCTTTGCTTTCTCTTGTATCGTCTTAGCAGAGAGCAAAGAGGGGAGATAACTAGAAAATGTCTATCAGTAATTATCACCTGATTGCTTGATGACTTGGACCAAGGGTCTGAAAACTCTGGCTGTTTTTGTATCTAACCCATTGCCTGTTTTTGCAAACAAAGTTTTATTGAAAACATTCATGCCCACTCATTTATTTGTCTGTAGCTGCTTTCATACTACAGTGGCAGAGTTGGGTAGTTGTGACAGACTATTTGACCTTCAAAATGAAAAATATTTACCACCTGGCTGTTTACAGAAAATGTTTACTAGCCCCTAATTTAGATGATGGCTAACGTCTGTTTCACCCACACCAAACTACTGCCATAGAAAACATTTAGGAATTTGACAATCTTGCTTGAAATATTTACTTAAAATTCTGAAATAATATCTGTTTTTTGTAGTTCAAACTTCTCATGGAACATCTGGACCCTGATGAAGAAGAAGAAGAAGGGGAGGTTTCAGCTAGCACAAATGCTCGGAACAAAGCAATTACCTCACTGCTTGGAGGAGGCAGCCCTAAAAATAATACAGCAGCAGAGACAGAAGATGATGAAAGTGATGGGGAGGATAGAGGAGGAGGCACTTCAGGGGTGAGGCGGAGGAGGAGTCAACGTATTTCGCAGCGTATTACGTAAAATGATTTTTATGTGCTTATATATGTCAGTCTATTAAATGTACACCAAGTAATGTAATACTTAAAAGAGAAAACATTTTGTAGATAGAGATTCTCTACTTACCCGTTTATACATCCTTTTGTAGAAAGTTTAACATAAAAGACAATAAAAAAACAGAAATGAGATTTATCCAGCATAAAGGGTTAATTTTTCTTTGAATTGTATTAATGTGTGTTATTTTTATTGTTGCTAAGTTTTATGTAGCTATATGGTTCATATGTATATATAATTTTATATATCAATAAGAGTAAAGACACGGGTACAAATTAAGAGTTATATGGTTTTACAAGTATATGTTAACCCCTTGGCGCTGGCGGTCACGGTGCGTCTCATTGCCGGCAATGGAAGTGTGCCGGGAAATCCCAACTCCCGGCGTCAAGGGATTAAAAGCAATAAAAACAATAATTTCACTAAAATTCTTTTGTGTAACACTTGGTCTTTTTTCCCCCCTCCCAATGTTTTAGTCATTGAGAAGGTCAAAACGAAATTCAGACTCTACGGAGTTGGCAGCACAGATGAATGAAAGTGTTGACGTCATGGATGTCATCGCTATTTGCTGTCCAAAGTACAAAGATCGACCACAAATTGCAAGAGTAGTGCAGAAAACCAGCAGTGGCTTCAGTGTTCAGTGGATGGCAGGCTCCTACAGTGGCTCCTGGACTGAGGCTAAGCGCCGTGATGGCCGCAAACTGGTGCCTTGGGTAGACACTATTAAAGAGTCAGACATTATTTACAAAAAAATTGCTCTAACGAGTGCTAATAAGCTGACTAATAAAGTTGTTCAGACTTTACGATCCCTGTATGCCGCCAAGGATGGGACTTCCAGCTAATGAATTTGTACATGCAGCCAAATTTACAGGAATTTTTTTAAAAGGCAGAAAAACTTGAAATACCAACATTCTGGCAAAAAAAAATCAGTTTTATGAAGAGTAAGTGGAACCTGGGATGCAGGAACAAAAGAAGGAAATGTTGGGCAAACATTTTTGTGGGAGCTCCCTTCGCTGTTGTGCAGCAGAAACAGATTCTCAGTTCATTTTTACTCCCACTGTATTATAGTTTAACAAAAATTGTTTATATCTTGGAAAAAAAACTTTCTGTTTAAAAAAAATAAACAAGTGAATGTTGGAAATTAGTCTGTTAATGTTCTTAATAAAGTGTTCTTGGAGTTTAACCTAGCAGCGGATGGCTTTCTTTAGCTTAGCCCAGTTTCCAGGGAAGCATTGTTTTTTCCAGGCTGTAAAATGGCAGAATCTCCTGGATATATAATTTATTCTGTTGAAAAAAAAAAAAGCATGCAGTATCTATGACCTATCTGCAGAAGGAGTTTTTGTAAATGTAGATTTTGATGTATTAGGTCACCCTGAAAACAATACAAGAAAAGGGATCCCCAGGTAATCTGGTGGAGCGAATACTGCAATAAATTTTTTTACTTCTCTTTGTTACTTGTCTGTTTCCATTTGAATTTCTTATTGTAAAAATCTGTTTAAATCCATTTATATTATTTTACAGTCTTTTATGTAAAATTTATTATATCACTGGTTTTCAAAGCAAAACATAAAATATTGTTTATACAGTTTGTATAGGCTGACTTCTGAATAATTGGTATCTATTATTTTCATTCCCATAAGAGGGTGTAAACAATTAACTCCAGGGTTTTATTGTATCCTGCAATATTTAGTATTAACTATATATGATTTAGCACTGTGCCAAACACATTTTCAAGAGTACATTTTGATATAAAAAGAAACTATAGTTTATTCCTTGTATGCTTCAATTTCTTTCTAGTGATGTCATGATGCTGATATTTATTCTTTAAACCTCGGGTAAAGGTAACCTGTTATTTGGAAAACCAGCATTTCTCTTGGTTAAAATGATGTCCGGTTATTTTAGAACTAGAGTTGAGATGAATATGACACTTCATAATTACACTCACTACATTTTTCACAAATTATTTTTTAATGCTGAAAAGAGTAATTTTACTTGTTGAGATGTTTATTCATTTTCTAATCTATGCTAAAAGCTTTTATCATAAGTCTTGGGAACAGTTGTCATTTACACATTACTTACTGCAGATATCTTGACTAAATCAGGAGGGAGGTGTTTAATCATTTGATATGTATAGTTGACACTCAGGAATAGTAATGCCTAAAATTTACAGTGGATGAGGTCTGTTTCAAGTTTAATTCTTTTTAAAAATGTTTTACTTATTTTTAAATCACTTTGAAAAAATTGACCTCCAGAATGCTGTTTTATGAAATTGGCAAATAAATGAAGGTATTCAATTTTTGAGGAAGAATGACATTGCCACAAAATACCTTTTTGTGACACCTATTAAACCACTATGAAAATAACTTTTCAGGATCTATTTCCTATGTGGAATTCTTTCAAATGCTTTCTTCACGGAAATGTTTTCTCACTCTTCGTTTTGTTCCCCTTACTTACATGTTTCTCTTTTCCTTATACTGTGAACTCTGGAACAAAACTAGATTGGGTTGGTTGGTTGGTTGGTTGGTTCTTCTTGGAGTTTATGTATATCAACAAAGGATTTGAGGTCACTTCTGAGAATAATATATCAAAAAGGGTACTGGTTAGAGAAAATATAAGAATAAAATCCAGCCCAGAGAGAGTACTAAGAATGTAAATGTGAGTAAAAAGCCAGTTTTGAATTCTATTTACGTGACAGTGATGCATGCTGTCATTTAATTCTCACAAAAACTCTCGTTATATATTTTATCCTCATTTTGTAGATGAGGATAGCAGGCTTAGAAGGATTTGGTAATTTACTAATGTCATGATAGGGATTTAAATCTGGAATTGAAGTAATTGTGTCTCACTACTCTAAGCTAATTGAACATCAGACATTAAGAGAGATGATCCTTATTGAAGTAAACCAGTTCCTAAAGGATCCTTGTAGTATACATACTTGGGAATCCTGTTCAGAGTAATTTTTAGGAAGTAGGTACACAGTAGTAAGTCTTCTGTTGCCTCAGTTGGCCATAGATGGAATTCTGTGTTTGCCACTCATTAGAAATTTAGGAATTTTAGGCAGGGCACGGTGGCTCACACCTGTAATCCCAGCACTTTGGGAGGCCGAGGCGGGCAGATCACCTGAAGTCAGGAGTTCAAGACCAGCCTGACCAACATGGGGAAACCCCGTCTCTACTAAAAATACAAAATTAGCCGGGCGTGGTGGTGCATACCTGTAATCCCAGCTACTCGAGAGGCTGAGGCAGGAGAATCGCTTGAACCCAGGAGGCGGAGGTTGCGGTGAGCCGAGATCACGCCATAGCACTCCAGCCTGGGCAACAAGAGCGAAACTCCATCTCAAAAAAGAAAAAGAAATTTAGGAATTTTAGGAATCAGTTTTGAAATTTTGTATATATTCTAAGCTCCTATTTTATCTGTTAATAGAAGCCAAATGTTAATATAAGCCTTAACTCTTAAATATACAAACCAAAATTTTCAGAAAGTTGAAGATTCTTCAAGATGAATTGTTAGGTCTTAACACTATTAAAGCTTTGGCAGTCAAATATACAAAATCAAACTTTAAGTATATTGGGGATTCACAAAGTTCTATTAAGTATTTAGAAAGTTCAGTCTTACTCTATAGTGTGTTGATTAATTACCATAGATTAATCTTGTTATATTGACTTGAAAAGATAGGTTATATTTGATATAAAAATTTTCAAGTATCTCTTCACTTTTTAAGTACATTAATATGAAATTTTAGCCTTATTGAAATTGTTTATTAAGAAAGAATGGCTAGTTTTAAAAATATGTTCATACCAAAATACACATGGCAGAAAATTCAGTGATCTCTAGAATTTTCTAGATGTAGTAATCTCTAATGGAAGAAATGCTGAGTTTTTTGAGAGAAATATATAGCTTACTCTGTTGATAGGTTGAGTATTTGAATTATTCAGGTAACTGAAGCACACAGGTGATTTTTATGACCATAGTCTGTCTCATGAAAACAGGTAAGTCAAACTGATGTTTGTTCAATACAGATTTCATGATCAGCAAGCAAATTTACCGTATTTTTATTTAGAAATAAATTAACCAGGGAAGTATGTGGTTCTCCCTCCCCTACCCACCACTTTTAGTTGCACAGAAAAATTCATCCTTGTCACTACCTGTGTCCAGGTGGTCTGCATCTTCAGAACTGTGGATATGGATAATTGGAATAAGATTACTTTTGCAAATATAAAACTCATCAGATTACCCACTTGAAATAATGTAATTTGAAACACTTGATAGTAATTTTTGCCCCATAAAAATCCTACGTGTTTGAACCTTTTGCTGTTTGCCTTGCTCATTTTAAAACCAAAGTTTGTTTAGTCCTATAGCTAATGTTTGTCATAGGCAGCATTTGTTACAAAATGATTTTACTAATTTTTCACTTGAATTTTTTTCTGAAATACAGTCTGTCCTATTGGTGCTAGCCGAGAAACAATTACATGCAAATTTAGTGTAATAGAAAGTCACTGACCAAACAAATTCAGTTTGGTACTCTGTTGACTAAGTGGTCATAAAGTTCCTGTGTGTTTTGCATGATGATGTGAGTACCAAGCCACCCTTCGTTTTTAAGACCCCAATTGTATATGGCTTCACTGCTGAGAGTGGTACGGTGTACACAATTATTTTTCTTATAAGAATTTTGTAAATTATTTTTACTTTAAGAGAATCTCCATTTACCCATTCCTCTGTTTCAGTCATTCTGAATTTCTGACCAAATTTATTTGAGCTGTACTCCATGCACCCCTTTCCACTCTTTCTGAAACAAGTCTCAGGCATCATTTTATTTTATCCATAAATAGGTTATCTTTTTTTTTTTTTTTTTTTTTTTTTGAGACGGAGTCTTGCTCTGTCGTCCAGGCTGGAGTGCAGTGGCCCCATCTCAGCTCACTGCAAGCTCCGCCTCCCATGTTCACACCATTCTGCCTCAGCCTCCCGAGTAGCTGGGACTACAGGCGCCCGCCACCATGCCCGGCTAATTTTTTGTATTTTTAGTAGAGACGGGGTTTCACCATGTTAGCCAGGATGGTCTCAATCTCCTGACCTCACGATCTACCCACGTCAGCCTCCCAAAGTGCTGGGATTACAGGCGTGAGCCACCGTGCCCAGCCCCATAAATAGGTTATCTTTAAATATTCTTCCTTGATATCAAATATCCAGTAAGTGTTTAAATTTTTTATTTTCTCATAAATGTCATATTTTTTAGGTCCTTTCTGTAGGCTTTCTCATGTCTTTTTATTCCTTGCAAATTTCTTATATTGAAAACACAAGTATTTTTCCTTGGGTTCTTAAGTAGATTCTAGGGGCTGGGCGCGGTGGCTCATGCCTGTAATCCCAGCATTTTGGGAGGCCAAGGCGGGCGGATCAAGAGGTCAGGAGTTCAAGACCAGCCTGGCCAACATGGTGAAACCCTCTCTCTACTAAAAATACAAAAATTAGCTGGGCGTGGTGGCACGCACCTGTAGTCCCAGCTACTTGGGAGGCTGAGGCAGGAGAATCACTTGAACCCAGGAGGCGGAGGTTGCAGTGAGCCGAGATTTCGCCATTGCATTCCAGCCTGGCGACACAGCGAAACTCCGTCTCAAAAAAAAAATAAATAAGTAGTTGATTCTAAATGGAGAGTCTAGTTGTTTTCTGATTTTTAATCAGTTTTCTTACCTGAAGTTATTGTAGGCTTGAGAGATATTGGATCTCTTTCAAATTCATAAGTAGCTTGAGCCTGTATAACTAGAACAGAGTACCACTACAGAGGTAATGAAGTACGGAGATAGGTCCACTTTTCAGGAAGATGGTGATAAGCATTGATTAATCCTTTGATTTGGAGTTGGCAAATAACCAAGCAGGCAGTTGGAGATAGAGATTTAAAGTAAGGAAATGGAAGCTGAACTAGATGCCAGAGGATGCCCTATAATCAGAGTTCCTTTTGTTGGTCAGTAATTTTGTAATACATACTGCTTGAAATAAGTTGACTGCAGGCTATGATTTTTTTAATGATACAGCTTTCAGGGTGTTACAGTTTTTGTTGAATGGAATTTTGCCCTTTTGTGACTTTTTTCAGTCATTGTTTAAATCTCAATCACATAGAACTTAAAATGAAAAGTTAGTGTTGCTTTATCAAACCCTTTACATTGACCTTTCTTCTGCTAAGAAATACCAGAGTAAGCTTTTCTTGATTATAACATGCCTAGAATTGTAATTTAGCCTTAACCTTACTAGATTTAAATCCTGGAGCAAAGAACAGAAAAAGGTTATTATGGTCTAAGTTTGTTATAAAATTTAAACCAATAATGGATCTCCAATTCCATAGTTTTAAAAATATTTATACAGTCATATGAGAGATGGCAAATAATCTGAAGTTTTTAATCACTTTGGAATTTACTAACCCCTTTGAGAATATAATGAAAGCCGAGAAATCTCTCTCCTTAGAAAATAGAATAAGTTCATATTCAGAATTGTGCATAAAATTTCAAGGGGTTCATGGACATCCCCATCCCATTTCCGTCTTTGGCCTATCTTGGGAATCTATGGAATGACTACAGGTTTAAGAAGGTGAAATTAAGGCTCAAAGAGGTGAATTGATATCACCAAGCTGCATACCTACTTATTGCTAGAGTCAAAAGCAAAACTGGGTTCTTATCTCCCATAAGGAAGATTTAACCTTGGGAAGTTCTTATTCAGTCTCCTGTTAAGATCTGAATGTAGGCTACTTAATGACTAAATTTTACTGATTTTTTTTTCTATACCTTTTCAAAAGATCCACGTTTTGTGTTCTCAGATTTTGTGATGCCTACCATCCTATTAGGTAGAAAAGGGAAAATGTGATATTTTATTGTGTTTTAATTATTTCTACATCACCTGGCTTGATGTAGAAGACTAAAACTTAGGTTAGTGAAAAAGAGTATTAACTTTGAAGTCAGAAGACATAGTCATAGCCATAGACAAAGCCATGGGTTTCTGAAACAAGTGTGAAATGAAATGTAAACAAAATCACTTAGCTTATTTTGTGGAAGCTTATTTAAAGAAATCTATACTTAGGTTTTGTGTAGACACATTAGAGAGAGAGAATCAGAATGCTGGGTTAAGTGGGGAGATGGGGGATGGAATTCTGAAAGTGGGAGCAGCATAGTGAGTAGAGGAGCTGGCGTGCGTGTAGTACAATGTCAAAAGATGAAGCCATAGAAAGGAGAGATAAGTATGCAATTTTGATAACTTTAGTAATGTAGTAATATAATTTGATCATTTTAATGTATAGGCAGTTGAAGGGCTCAAGGGATTGATGAACGATCACTCTGCTACATAGGGGAAAGACAAGGATGTCAAGAAGAGGACACTAATGCAATAGTCTCAGAAATAGAGACTGAACTAGGAGGATGATGGCAGTAGGGATGAAGATTGGAGTGATCTGCAAATGTATTTAGGAAATAAAAACATCAGGACAAGGATAGCTATCAGATTTCTTTGGCTTAAGTCACCAGGTTCAATTTTAAATATGTTGATAGTGCCTGTGGGACATTCAGGTGATGGTGATGTTCAGAGGTGGGAATATACACAAGCATGACACTTGGGTAGCCAGGGTGGGGACCCTATTGGAGTCAACAGCATTTAAGCTGTAGAGTAGGAGCAGCACAGAGCAAGGGGAGGATCTTGGAGGCTACCAACGGCTAAGCTATAACTACATAGAGTACTGAAATTCTGAGAAGGGAAGCTGGGGAGGGAAGCAAATAATAAAGCATTTAAAATGTCACATTTAGGAATTTGGAAGAGCTTTAAATGGGGTAAGATAATACTAAGGGCTGTAGTTCAGAAAGATCAGTAATTGGCTACAATGTAGAGAAATTGTGGTGATGCCAAACTGCATGATTGTATTGTTTTTCTCCAGTAGTACTCAGCTCCCAACAAAGAATTGAGTATGGCATCAAGCCAGGATGCGGGGATAGCTCTAGTTGAAGAGCTAGATTCAGAGAAAATGGAAGAATCCAAGCTCAGAAGTCTCCATGAAGTGGGAGAGCAAGTATGAGTGTGAGCAGCAGATGTGGAATAATTGGATGATATGATCAGAGAAAGGGATGTAAGAGATTCCTGAGAGCAGTTCTGGGTGCAAGGTATAGAGTGTGGCCTTGGGAATTAATTAGTAAAGTGAAGAGTTGCATTGTGGAGATCAAGGAATCACATGGTACATTCTATACTCCTTTCCTGAGCTAAAACAATGGCTTATTCTTTCTTTGGTACTGACACTGGTTTATTATCTTTAGTTTTTGCAGATTCCATCATTTGACAAGTATTTGCTGAGTGCCTACTATGAGCTGTGCTGCACCCATTGGCAGTAAGTTTGCATTCCAGTAGTGGAGACAGGAAATGACCACAAAGTACACAATTTAATAACAACTGAGATGTGTGCTTGAAAGGAAAAGTAATAGAAGCCAGGAGAGTATGTAGCACTGACATAGTCTGGATGGTTGAGGGAGATCAGAAAGGCTTCCTTCTCCAAGTGAAACATTCTCAGATAAAGCAGGACATGCAACAGACATAACAGATACCAAATAATGTCTGAACTATTGAGAAATAGGAAATGATTTTTGTTTTAAATTGCAGGCTGGGTGCAGTGGCTCATGCCTATAATCCCAACACTTTGGGAGGCTACGGCAGGCAGATCACTTGAGCTCAGGAGTTCAAGACCAGCCTGAGCAACATAGCAAATCTCTTTCTCTACAAAAAAAAATACAAAAATTAGCTGGGCATGGTGATATGCACCTGTGGTCCCATCTACTCAAGAAGCTGAGGTAGGAAGATCACTGGAGCCAGAGAGGTTGAGTCTGCAGCGAGCTGTGATGTGCCACTGCACTCCAGCCTGTCTCAAAAAAAAAAAAAAAATTGCTCCCACATTTTATTCCTTAGGGACATGGTGGTTGAGCTTTAAGGTATGAAGGGGAAATAGTTGAAGGGAGGGGGAAGCAAGGAGAGTGTCCCAAACAGATGACCAAGCACTTACAAAGGCCCTGGATAAAGTAGCATGTGGCCCTCAGAAGCTTCACAGTTCCTACGAATGGCGGAGAACAAATGAGAGAATGATGAAGGCAATGAAATAGGGGCTGATTCATGCTTCTGTAGGCCGTGTTAAGGATGTCCTATGAACAACAGAGCGCCATTAAAGAGATTAAGATACCTGGGGCTGGAATAGGGATTTGTATTTGTAGAATTCAATTTGTGTTTCTAAAAGATCACTGACTACGACCTATAGAATGATTGGAGCAGGGTCATAGTGTTCCATGTGAGAGATGACAATAACTTGGGCTGGGGGGTGGTAGTAGTGGAGGGAGGGTAGTGGCCTCATTTGTTTGGAAAGTTAAGTCAGTCACGTATCTTTGGTTATTATAATTTAAATTGTAATAAGGAGATAACAAGTATGAACTTCCTTAGTAAAATCAGATGAGTGAAGCCAGCCTTCCTGGGTTGCATCCACATAGGAGAAAACATGACTTACTCCTCGTTCTTCTGGAGAATGGCCCATGAGGGAACAACCATCATTTTAAGTGAAGAATCTAAATATATTACATTATCCAGAAAGGAGAAAAGTAGTCTAGGTGGATTCCTGCATAACTGTAAAAAGTCAACTGAATCTTTAACATTTTGCCATTTATAAAATTCAAAGTAATTTCAAGACAATTAATGAAGGTTTTAACTCAATAAAGTTTGTTACTTAATAGTTTGATTTTGCTAATTAAAGAAAGAATACCTTATCCCATCTCTCTCCATCTAGTCCTTTGTAGAGGCAACCACTTTAAATTCTTAGCTCTTTCTTTGGGTCATTTATATTTCTAAAGAATATACTGTTACAATTTGTTAACCCTAGACCTTACATATTGAATTATATTATGATCTGTTGACTTTTTTATGATAGGTAAGGACTTGGCTCTCATGTCCTTCCCCTCTCCTCCCAATATGGATATATTTAATGAGAATTTATATAATATAAAACAACTATGTAAATATTGTTTAATCAGAGCCAACACTTAGTGTACTATAAATACATGTTCCTGTATATGATGTTTTCTTGTGTACTTTAATTCCTTTGGAATGTTCTTTTATATCATTCGCTCTTTGGAGTCTTCCCCCACCCTCTTCCTCTATCCCAGCCCCTCCTCCCCATTAGTTTTGTATCAATGTGGATTCGTTTTCCAGGGCTGCTGCAAAGTTGTTCCAGACTTTTCCTTCCCCATTTCTGGCTGGATCCAGAGTCCATCTCTGGCATCCATACTTTTGTCCTTTTAGCTTAAAATTCTCGGTTTGCTTGAGCATATCCTGCCATAACTTCCTAAGAATAGGTGCATGGGGACAAAGTTTTCGAATTATTGGATGTCTGAAAACGTCTTTAGTCTCATGATTGATAGCCGGGTCTAGAATTCTAAGTTGAAAAGTTTCCCTTTGAAAGCTTCTCATAGTCTCCTAGCCTGTGCTGTTGCTGTTAAGTGGACTGATACAATTATGATTTTTGTTCTTTTGTATACGATCTGTGTTTCCCCTCTCTAGAAGACTTTAGGATATTTTTTGTATTTCTGGTATTCTAAAATTTCATAGCGATGTCCCTTAATGTGAATCTTTTTTAAAAAACTCATTTTGCAGCTGGGCACCATGGCTCACACCTGTTATCCTAGCCCTTTGTGAGGCTGAGGTGGGAGGATTGCTTGAAGCCAAGAGTTCAAAACCAGCCTGGACAACAAAGCAAGATCCCATCTCTATTGTTTTAATAAAATTAATAAAATTCATTTTGCAGGGTGTGTTGTAGGCTTATTTAATCTGTGTCCTTAGCTCTGGAGAATTTTCTTTACTAACTAACTTTCTCCCCTTTAGTTTATTTGTCCTCTTAAATCTGTAGATACTGTTCCTTTTAGACTAATTTTCTCAGCTATGTTTTTTGCTCTTCCCTGCCCCCTTTCCTTTTTGGCTCTGTCTTCTTTGAGAGGAGTTTTCCTACATTATCTTATCTTTTAACTCTAATATTAAATAATTCATTACAACTATATATTTTAAATTTTGAAGGTTTTTTCTTGTTCTCTGATTGCTCCCTTCATATAGCAACTTTTATTTTATGAATAAATATACCACCTTCTCATATCATCTATTTGTTAGATTAGAAAGTAGAATTTTCAGCTGGGTGTGGTGGCTCACACCCGTAATCCCAGCACTTTGGGAGGCCAAGGTGGGTGGATCATGAGGTTAGGAGATCGAGACCATCCTGGCCAACATGGTGAAACCCCGTCTCTACTAAAATACAAAAAATTGGCCGGGTGCGGTGGTGCACGCCTGTAGTCCCAGCTACTCAGGAGGCTGAGGCAGGGGAATTGCTTGAACCTGGGATGCAGAGGTTTCAGTGAGCTGAGATTGCACCACTGCACTCCAGCCTGGTGACAGAGCAAGACTCCATCTCAAAAAAGAAAGAAAGAAAGAAAGAAAGTAGAATTCTCACTTGCCATCTGGGGGCCTGAGCTCAAGTCACAGCCAACATAGCATGTGTTCAGGATTAAGTAGGCCGAGAAATCACATGCCATATTCCTTAGAGATCTGATTCAAATTATAAACTGCAGCCAGATAGATGGAGGTAACATTAACAGCTTTATTGTCAGTAGAGCCAGAATACAGAACACATTGTAACCTGGACCTGCAATCACAATCAAGCTTGCTGCCTTCTTCCCGGAATCTAGACCTTGCAATGCATCTGCTGGGTCGAGTATTTGGCAAGGCAGATACTTACTTATCTATTTAGGCAGCCTACCAAAAGAAAAATTGCTTACCCCTCACTTGTCAAGCCTCAAGTGTTGGGAAAGAATAGTGTCACATGCAATTGGTTTTTAATACAGGTATTGCACTCACTTAAGAAATGGAAACAGGCTGGGCACGGTGGCTCACACCTGCAATCCCAGCACTTTGGGAGGCTGAGATGGGAGGATTGCTTGAGCCAAGGAGTTAGAGACCAGCTGAGGCAACATAGTGAAACCCCTATCAATCACTACAAAAAAAACAAAAAACAAAAATTAGCCAGGCATGGTGGTGTTTACCTGTGGTCCCAGCTACTCAGGAGGCCAAGGCAGGAGGATCACTTGAACAAGAGGTAGAGGCTGCAGTGGGCAATGATCACACCACTGCACTCTAGCCTAGGTGACAGAGCAAGACCCTGTCTCAAAAAAAAAAAAAAGAAAAGAAAAGAGAAAATTTGGGCTGGGGGGAGCAACTGATGTCAAACTTTTTTTTTCTTTTGTTTTTGTTTTTTTGAGACAAGGTCTCACTCTGTTACCCAGGTGCAATCTCTGCTCACCGCAACCTTCGCCTCCCAGATTCAAGTGATTCTCATGCCTTAGCCTCCCGAATAGCTGGGATTACAGGCACATGCCACTACGCCTGGCTAATTTTTGTATTTTTGGTAGAGACAGGGTTTCACCATGTTGGCCAGGCTGGTCTCAAACTCCTGACCTCAAGTGATCCACTCACCTCAATCTCCCAAAGTGCTGGAATTACAGGCATGAGCCACCACACCTGGCGATGTTGAACTCTTGCCACTCACCAATCAGAAACATAAATTCTCTTTTTTCCAAAGAAATAATAACCTTATAGAAATGTGAGAATAGAGTTCCCTTTGTCATTGAGCATACCAATTAGTTTTAAAAACCATTTCTTTTATTTCTTCTTGAGTTATTTTCTCTATTATTTTGCCTATTTAATTTGGATTTTCCCTTTCATAATGATTTTCTCCATGCATCTAGGATGCCTAGTGGTCTATTTAGTTTTAGGGAAAGATGATACTAAAACATTTACTGAAGAAGCTGAGTGTGTAGGTGAAGCTCCTCTGGTAGGCTCTACTCTGGGCAGTAGCCAGCAAACTTTTTTCTGTAAAGGGCCAGAAAATATTTTAGGCTTTGCAGGCCGTAAGGTCTATGTTGCAACTTTGCAATTCTACCATAGATAATATGTAAATGAATAGACAGGATGCATTTCAATAAAACCTTATTTGTAAGAAGAGGGATTGAGCCACTTTGCAGACCTCTGCTCTAAGGCGAATCAGATGAGAAGTTGGACCCTTGCTTGGGGTATAGGTGCTAGGAATTCTTTGCAGAAGTTTGCAGAGATGAAGAGTTGCAGCCAGTCTACATATGGAATAATAAACCATGGTTGTCTCATGGTTTATTAGTGCATATGTAGAACAGCTGCATGCCCCTGTTCAAAAAGCTGGTATGCCCCTTTTTGTGCTTATCAGCTCTGAGTCTCAAGTTCACTTTTCATCACTATCCTCTTTTGCATAAATTATATCATGGCTTTCTCCACCCTGTTACGTCTGTTGCTGCTGCTTTTGTCTTCTGTCTTCTGAAAATTTGTTGAAATCTTTCATCTAGAATTGTCTCTTTTCCAATTCTCTTTGTTTGCATTGATTTATATATTTTTAAAATTTATTATCCTTTCACTTGGGTCTTAAGAGACAGACAGAATAAAAAATATTTATGAATACACTATATCAAGAAACTTGTGTGTGTGTGTGTGTCTTTTTTTTTTTTTTTTTTTTTTTTTGAGACAGGGTCTCGCTCTGTTACCCAGGCTGGGGTGAAGTGGCATGATCATGGCTCACTGCAACCTTGACCTCTCAGGCTCAAGTGATCCTCCCACCTCAGCCTCCCAAGTAGCTGGGACTACAGGCACACACCAACACACCTGGCTAATTTTTAAATTTTTTTTGTAGAGACAGGGTCTCACTATATTGCCTAAACTGATCTTGATCTCCTGGACTCAAGCGATCCTCCCACCTTGGCCTCCCAAAGTGCTGGGATTACAGGTGTAAACCGCCGTGCCCAGCAATTTTTAATTTTTTGTAGAGATGGGATCTCCCTTTGTTTGTTGCCCAAGCTGGTCTCAAACTCCTGGGCTCAAGCGATCCTCCTGCGTCAGCCTCCCAAAGTGAGATTACAGGTAGAAACCACTAAAAAACAATTTTTTATCTTCAGCTTTTAAGGGGTACATATGCAGGATGTGCAGGTTTGTTACATAGGTAAATGTGTGGTGTGGTGGTTTGCTGTACAGATCATCCCATCACCTAGATGTTAAGCCCAGCATCCATTAGCTATTCTTCCTGATTCTCTCCCTCCCCTCCTCAACAGGCCCCAGTGGCGTGTTGTTCCCCCTATGTGTCCATGTGTTCTCACCATTCAGCTCCCACTTATAAGTGAGAATATGCACTGTTTGGTTTTCCGTTCCTGCCTTAGTTTGCTAAGGATAACGGCCTCCAGCTCCATGCATATCCATGCAAATGACAAGATCTTGTTCTTTTTTATGGCTGCATAGTATTTCATGGTGTGTATATATATGTGTACAGTATTTTATTTGTCCAGTCTATGATGGACATTTGGATGGATTCCACATATTTGCTATTGTGAATAGTGCTGCAGTGAACATACGCATCCATGTATCTTTATAATAGAATGATTTATATTCCTTTGGATATATACCCAGCAATGGTATTGCTGGGTCAAATGGTATTTCTGCTTTTAGATCTTTGGGGAATTGCCACACTGTCTTCCACAATGGTTAAACTAATTTACACTCCCAGCAACAGTGTAAAGGTGTTCCTTTTCCTCCACAACCTCGGAAGCATCTGTTATTTTTTTTTTTTTTGACATTTTAATAATTGCCATTCTGACTGGTGTGAGATGGTATTTCATTGTGGTTTTGATTAGGATTTCTCTAATGATCAGTGATGTTGAGCTTCTTTTCATAGGTTTGTTGGCCATATGCATGTCTTCTTTTGAGAAGTGTCTGTTCATGTCCTTTGCCCACTTTTTAATGGGGTTTTTTCTTGTAAATTTGTTTAAGTTATTTGTAGACTCTGGATATTAGACTTTTGTCAGATGGACAGATTGCAAAAATGTTCTCCCATTCTGTAAGTTGTCTACTTGCTCTGGTGATAGTTTCTTTTGCTGTGCAGAAGCTCTTTAGTTCAATTAGATCCCAGTCGTCAATTTTTGCTTGTGTTGCAAGTGATTTTGGTATTTGCATTATAAAATCTTTGCCTGTGCCTATGTCCCAGATAGTATTGCCTAGATTTTCTTCTAGGGATTTTATAGTTTTGGGTTTTACATTTAAGTCTTTAATCCATCTGGAACTAATTTTTGTATGAAGGTGTAAGGAAAGGGTTCAGTTTCAATTTTCTGCATACGGCTAGCCAGTTCTCCCAGCACCATTGATTAAATAGGGAGTCCTTTCCCCATTGCTTGTTTTTGTCAGGTTTGTTGAAGATCAGATGGTTGTAGGTGTGCTAAATTCTTAATACTGGGGTAATATTAATTAGTTTATTTTTACTTTCACTAGCTTTGAACCTATTTAAAATGTTGTTTGTTTTTAAATTAGTATCATCTTTTTAAATCCTATGTAAAAAGTTTCCCTTCAGGTAGGCAACTCACTCCTACCACAGAAGTTGATTGCAGGCCCACATATATAGGCACAAGCTGGGTCATTCCCAATTTCCAAACCAATCTTACCTAAAAGTCTTTTTTCCTCTAAGGTGTTCCCTAGATTGAATATTTTCATGAAAACAGAAACATTAGCTTTCATCAGGGTCTCTACGTCACAAGGCCAAGTTCAGATGCTGAACACACATGAATGGTCAGTGTGTGAACAGTGTCTGAATGCAGTAGAGCTCTGGTGGGTGCCACTAGGACTTCTGCCCAATTAAGTGTTTTCCTCTTCTCAATAAGGTCCAAAGTTTTCCTACAGAAAAGCAAAGCAAGACATAAAGCATAGTACATGGTGATTATTTGAATTGTTGAGAAATGGAAAATGGTATAAGCTATAATGGCTTATCATTAGTTTATCAAATATTTACTAAATATATATTTATACTTTATAAACATTGCATCTAAAAAGCACTCATTGGATGTTTCCTCTCTATTCAGATACTTTGAGCAAAGCTGGCAGATCTTCGTGTCTTGAAGATGAGCGGATATTCAAGCTAGAGGCTAGGTACCTCCTAGGATTGTCAGCTTTCTGCTGATATAACAGAGTAACTACTACCTGACTAGCTTACCTGCCTTAACCGTAAAATTGGACAAAATATATGTAAGGCAATTTCTTTTAGACATTAGACAAAATGCAGCACAAGACAGTCACCCCCAATAGAGGGAAAGTTCCTGATGTAAGTCACATGAATGCCTGGCTGTCTGCTTAAGGACATTACCCTGACTCTAGCACAGTGAGTGGCGTCCAGGCAGACCACAGTGCTCCCACTGAGCTGAGCGGGGAGAGATCAGAGTTCTGGGCAGTCACAATGGCTGGAATCTACAAGATCAAGAGGGAAAAAGCTGTACAGAGGCTAGCTCATAATTTGGGGGTTTTTTTCCAACACTTTTTCATAATAACTCAAAGCATGGTAGATGCAGATACACTGAAATTGGGTATTAAAAGAGACACATTTTTTTCTTGTCAGGCTTGACATTATCTTGCAAAAGCCCATGTGAGAGAGTTCCCTGTGAGGTCTTTGCCAAGGGCTTATGTACAGTGCAACACTATATGCAATTTGCCAGAAAGCAGTAGCTACTAAGTTGAAAGAGAACAGAGATACTAGAAGCTAAGAAGTGCTGAAGGATGCTGGAGTCCCAGCCCAGCTAGAGTGGAGCACCAACACCTGATACTCCAGACATCCAGCTTAGACACCAGAAAGGCCCCCTGAGAATGAAGAATTGTGCCCTAGAGTAAGGCCCACAAAGCATAAAACTAAACCCATACGATGCACAGGGGGAAATTATGGAGGTTATGTTCTACTAAATTAGACTCAGAATAAACCTGGCACGCACTTACCACATATTCAAGATGATTATCTTTGAACTGCCTACATGAATAAAAACTATCAACTTTTCAGAACAAGCCAACAGAATTCACAATCTGTTACAATTCACCCACTATATAAAGAATACAGTAAAAAATTACAAGCTGGGTGTGATGGCTCATGCCTGTAATCCCAGCTACTCATGAGGATCACTCGAGGCTAAGAGTTCAAGACAAGCCTGGAAAACAGAGCTAGATCCTGTCTCATAAGTAAATAAATAAATAAATAACCACTAGACATGCAAAGAAAGGAAACTATGACCCAGAGTCCAGAGAAAAAAGTCAACAAAAACTAACCTTGAGATGCCCCAAAGACTTTAAAGCAGCTATTTTAAATATGTACAAAGAAACAAAAGTGTTTACAGAATTAAAGGAAAATGTATGGTTCTGTTTGTTTTGAGACAGAGTCTCTCTCTCTCTCTCTGTCACCCAGGCTGGAGTGCAGTGGTGCGATCTCGGCTCACTGCAACCTCCACCTCCCGAGTTCAAGTGATTCTCCTTGTTCAGCCTCCGGAGTAGCTGGGACTACAGGCACGTACCATCACACCTGGCTAATTTTTGTATTTTTAGTAGAGATGGGGTTTCACCATGTTGGCCAGGCTGGTCTCGAACTCCTGACCTCAAGTGATCCACTCACCTCAGCCTCCCAAAGCGCTGGGATTACAGGTATGAGCCACTGTGTCCGGCCTGAAAATGCGGTTTTAAGGAGAATGGAAAGACAATAGGGCAGAAAAAAAAGTTTTTTAAGAAATGGTGCCTGAAATTTTCCTGTATTTCATGAAAAACATCAACCTACAAATCCAAGAAGCTTAGGGAACTTCCACAAGAATACATCAAAAGGAACTTAAACCTACACACATCATAGTCAAACTGCTGAAAATCAAAGATAGAAAATACTCAAAATACTCAGAAGAAAGTGACATTGGCCGGGCACAGTGGCACACGCCTGTAATCCCAGCACTTTGGGAGGCTGAGGCAGGTGGATCACCTGAGGTCTGGAGTTTGCGACCAGCCTAACATGGTGAATTCCTGTCTCTACTAAATACAAAAAAATGAGCAGGGCGTGGTGAATCACTTGTACCTGGGAGGCGGAGGTTGCAGTGAGCCAAGATCGCGCCATTGCACTCCAGCCTGGGCAACAAGAGTGAAACTCCGTATCAAAAAAAAAAAAAAAGTGATATGCAATGTATTAAATGTAGAGAAATAACAGAGGTAATGGCTGACTTTCCAGTTAGAAACAATGGGAGCAAGAAGACAATGTAACAGCATTTTTCAAATACTGAAATAAAAACTTAACCTCAAATTTTACATCAAGCAAAAATACCATTCAAAAATGGATGACTACACATTCAATGCAATCTGTCAAAATTCCAATGACATTTTTCAAATAGAAAAAAATCAAAAATTTCATATGGAGTCACAAAAGACCACAAATAGCCAAGGCAAATCTAAGCAAAACAACAAAGCTGGAGGCATCACACTACCCGATCCCAAGATCCATTATAAAGCCAGAGTAATTCAAAACAATGTGATAGTGACATAAAAACATACACAAAGACCAATGGAACAAAACAGAGAGCCCAGATGTAAACCCAAGTATATAACAGTCAACTAATTTTCAACCAAGAAGACATCACTAGGAAAGGATAATCTCCTTAATAAAAAATGAAAACTTCCCAAGGACCTCTTTTCCTCTCTATCTGCCTAAAATAATTTCTTAATAACTTTTACAACATAACTATATGTTACCTATAAGAAACTTATTTCACCTATAATGACACACAGACTGAAAGTGAAGGGATGGAAAGAGAAATTCCATGTACGTGGAAACCCAAAAAAAAAAAAAAGAAAAAAGCAGGAGTAGCTATACTTAGATGAAATAGACATTAAGTCAAAAACTTTAAAAAGAAACAAAGGGTGGAGTTGTGAGATTGTGGCAGATGGGAGGTAGCACTAGACTGCAGCTCCGATCAGATGGACAGAGCAGCATGTGGAGGCTTGGATTATTAATTTTTGCTCCAGAACAACTGCAGAACTAAATCAGGAAACCCAAGGGGACCCACAGACTCTCTGAAGGAAGCAGATTACTCCTGCAGGACCCAGGAGACACCCCAAATACTGTGCTGGTATCCCTGGCTGAGAGACCCACAGACAGTTCACATCACAGGACTCTGTGCAGACAACCCCCAGTACCGGCCTGGAGCCTGGCAGACTTGCTGGGTGGCTAGATCCAGAAGAAAGATAACAATCACTTCAGCTCGGCTCTCAGGAAGCCACATCCATAGGAAAAGGGGGAGAGTACTACATCAAGAGAACACCCTGCAGGACAAAAGAATCTGAACAACAGCCTTCAGCCCTAGACCTTCCCTCTGACAGAGCCTACCCAAATGAGAAGGAATCAGAAAACCAACTCTGGTACTATGACATAACAAGGTTCATTAACACCCCCAGAAAATCACACTAGCTCACCAGCAATGGGCACAAACCAAGAAGGAATCCCTGATTTACCTGAAAAAGAATTAAGAAGTTTAGTTATTGAGCCAATCAGGGAGGCACCTGAGAAAGGCAAAGCCCAATGTAAGGAAACCAAAAAAATGATACAAGAAGTGAAGGGAGAAATATTCAATGACATAGATAGCATAAATAAAAAATAATCAAAACTGCAGGGAAACAATGGAAACACAGAAATGCAAAATGCTCTGGAAAGTCTCAACAATAAAATCGAATAAGTAGAAGAAATTAATTCAGAGCTCGAAGGCAATGTCTTCAAATTAACCCAATCCAACAAAGACAAAGAAAAAATAAGAAATGTGAACAAAGCCTCCAAGAAGTCTACAGTTAATGTTAAACGAAACCATTCACCTAAGAATAATCAGCATTCCTGAGGAAGAAAATAAATCTAAAAGTTTGGAAAACATATTTGGGGGAATAATCGAGGAAAATTTCCCTGGCCTTTCTAGAGACCTAGATATTCAAACACAAGAAGCACAAAGAACACCTGGGAAATTCATCGCAAAAAGATCATCACCTAGGCACCCTGCCATCAGGTTATCTAAATTTAAGATGAAGGAAAGAATCTTAAGAGCTGTGAGACAAAAGCACCAGGTAACCTATAAAGGAAAACCTATCAGATTAACAGCAGATTTCTCAGAAGAAATCCTGCAAGCTAGAAAGGATTGGGGCCTATTTTCAGCCTCCTCAAACAAAACAATTAGCAGCCAAGAATTCTGTATTCAGTGAAACTGAGCTTCATATATGAAGGAAAGATAGTCTTTTCCATACAAACAAATGCTGAGAGAATTCACCACTACCAAGCCACCATTACAAGAACAGCTAAAAGGAGCTGTAAATCTTGAAACAAATCCAGGAAACCCATCAAAACAGAACCTCTTTAAAGCATAAATCTCACAGGACCTATAAAACAAAATACAACTTAAAAAACAAAAACAAAAAACCAAGGCATACAAGCAACAAATAACACAATGAATGGAATGGTATCTCACATCGCAATACTAACAGTGAATGTAAATGGCCTAAATGCTCCACTTAAAAGATACAGAATGGGCCAGGTGTGGTGGCTCACACCTGTAATCCCAGCACTTTGGGAGGCCGAGTCGGGCAGATCACGAGGTCAGGAGTTTGTGAGACCAGCCTGACCAACATAATGAAACCCCGTCTCTACTAAAAATACAAAAATTAGCCAGGCGTGGTGGCAAGCGCCTGTAATCCCAGCTACTCAGGAGGCTGAAGCAGGAGAATTGCTTGAACCCAGGAGGCAGAGAGCTGAGATCATGCCATTGCACTCCAGCCCGGGCAACAGAGCGAGACTCTGTCTTTAAAAAAAGATATCTTTTTTTTTAAAAAAAAAAAGATACAAAATGGCAGAATGGGTAAGAATTCACAAACCAATCACCTGCTGCCTTCAAGAGACTCACCTAACACATAAGGACTCATATAAACTTAAGGTAAAGGGGTGGAAAAAGACATTTCATGCAAATGGACACCAAAAGTGAGAAGGAGTAGCTATTTTTATATCAGACAAAACCAACTTTAAAGCAACAGCAGTTTAGAATTCTTACACACACCGGAAGAGAGGTCGTCTTTCCTTGCCTAATGCAGCCATGGCTGGTGGTCCCAAGAAGCATCTGAAGTAGGTAGCAACTCCAAAGCATTGGATGCTGGATAAATTGACCAGTGTGTTTGCTCCTTGTCCATCCACCAGTCCTCACAAGTTGAGAGAGTGTCTCCCCCTCATCATTTTCCTAAGGAACAGACTTAAGTATGCCCTGACAGGAGATGAAGTAAAGATTTGCATGCAGGGGTTCATTAAGGTTGATGGCAAGGTACGAACTGATATAACCTACCCTGCTGGATTCATGGATGTCATCAGCATTGACAAGACGGGAGATAATTTCCATCTGATCTATGACACCAAGGGTCGCTTTGCTGTACATCGTATTACACCCGAGGAGGCTAAGTACAAATTGGGTAAAGTGAGAAAAATCTTTGTGGGCACAAAAGGAATCCCTCATCTGGTGACTCATGATGCTCACAGCATCCGCTACCTTGATCCCCTCATCAAGGTAAATGATACCATTCAGACTGATTTGGAGACTGGCAAGATTACTGTTTTCATCAAGTTCAACACTGGTACACTGGTAACCTGTGTATGGTGACTGGAGGTGCTAACCTGGGAATAACTGGTGTGATCACCAACAGAGAGAGGCACCCTGGATCTTTTGACGTGGTTCACATGAAAGATGTCAATGGCAACAGCTTTGCTACTCGACTTTCCAACATTTTTGTTATTGGCAAGGGCAACAAACCATGGATTTCTCTTCCCCGAGGAAAGGGTATCTGCCTCACTATTGCTGAAGAGAGAGACAAAAGACTGGGGGCCAAACAGAGCAGTGGGTGAAATGGTCCCTGGGTGACGTGTTAAATCTTTGTACATAATTAAAAATAATGTGGCAGGAATTAATAGGAAAAAAAAAAAGCAACAGCAGTTTAAAAGGACAAAGAGGGACATTATATAATGATAAAAGGACTTGTCCAACAGGAAAATATCACAATCCTAAACATATATGCACCTAACACTGGAGTTCCCAAATTTATAAAATAATTACTAATAGATCTAAGAAATGAGATAGACAGCAACACAATAATAGTGGGGGACTTCAATACTCCACTGACAGCACTAGACAGGTCATCAAGACAGTTAACAAAGAAACAATGGATTTAAACTATACCCTGGAACAAATGGACTTAGAGATACATACAGAACATTCCATCCAACAACCACAGAATAAACAGTCTATTCAACAGTGCATGGAACTTTCTCCAAGATAGACCATATGATTGATAGGCCACAAAACGAGCCTCAATAAATTTAAGAAAATTGAAATTATATGAAGCACTCTCTCAGACCACAGTGGAATAAAACTGGAAATCTGCAGGGGTTCAGTCAGGATGGTGGGGAAAATTATAAAATAAAACACAAACCTTCTTGGAAGGCCAAAAGGTTTTTGCAAAAGCTTCAAGATAGAGTTATGGCTGAAGGCAGCCTAATCCTCTTTGAGCTATAGCAAGGGTAATTAACAGGAATGTAGAGTAGTTTATCTAAATAGCTTGTTTACTCATGTGGTTCTAAAACTAACCTTTGATCATTTGTGGGCAGGATAACGCTCTGTGGGGAGGGGAATGGAGGAAGGCGACCAGGTTGATTACCCTCTAATGGTGTTTACTTGAGACTTTTGTCATTTAATGTGTACTGAATAAATACTGGGAGGGCCAGCGAGTCAGGGCCGGGGCTGACAGCACTCTTCTTAGAGTCTGTAAGTGGCCTGGACCTTCAAGCTGGAATGACAAGCATAATATCTGTGTCAGTGTACGTTATTCATCTGTCGTTAAGTCAGGGTCTGCAGGACAGTCCCCCACAGGTGGTGACCCCGATGTGACCAACACTGCAAAGGAAGCATGACGGACCCCTTGAAATGAAAGTGAAAAGGACCATGTGGTCAAGTGAGTAATCAGTAAGTCATTGGTGCCCGCTTGGGATCTCCAAGTTCAGGCTGAGGTTTCATCATGGGACAACAGTTATTAGCTCAACAGAAACAGTATATAAAAGTGTTGAAACAGCTGCTTAAGGCTAGTGGAGCCCGTTTCACAGGCTCAGTTAAGAGACCTAATGCAAACTGTAGTAAACCATAACACATGGTTCCCGAAAGAAGGCACGCTAGATGTAGAATGCTGGGAACAAGTGGGGAGAAATCTTGAACAGCATTATGCACAAGGGCAACAGGTCCCAGCATCATCTTTAACACTATGGGCTCTAGTAAGGACAGCTTTGGTCCCATTATACACAGAAAAGCCTAAAAAGGGGAAGGAGGAGGAAATGTCGCCTGCCTTACTGCCTCCTTTTCCCTCAGCCCCACCATCACCGGGCCAAAATAACAGAGAGGAAATGGAGGTTTTGCCTGAGCCCCCTCCTCCAATAAGTAAGAAAAAAGACAAGAAACACACTCCAGCTGTTTGTTTTTTGAGACGGAGTTTCACTCTGTTGCCCAGACTGGAGTGCAGTGGCGCGATCTCGGCTCACTGCAAGCTCCGCCTCCTGGGTTCAAACCATTCTCCTGCCTCAGCCTCCCGCGTAGCTGGGACTACAGGCGCCCACCACCACGCCCGGCTAATTTTTTGTATTTTTAGTAGAGATGGGGTTTCACCATGTTAGCCAGGATGGTCTCAATCTCCTGACCTCGTGATCCACCCGCCTCAGCCTCCAAAAGTGCTGGGATTACAGGCATGAGCCACCGCACCTGGCCACAACTTGTTTCTTTTAACCTTATAAAGAGCCAAGAAAAAGCGTTAAAGAAAATGGAGCCGCTAGCCCATTTACGAAAGGAATGATTAAGGCCTTGGCAGGCCACTTGCATATGACCCCATGGGACTAGTCAATGCTAGCTAAAACAACTTTGTAGCCTAGCCAATACCTCCTCTGGAAGGCAGAATACAATGAGTTGTACGAACAAGCCAACCAGAATCAGGTGGCCGGCCAAGACATAACAGCTGATATGCTCCAAGGGAGGGGTCCTCATGCCAATGTACAACAACTAGATTTTGATCCCCAGGCCTATGCTCAAGTGTCTTTGTGTGCTCTCAGGGCTTGGGACGGAATTCCCAAAAGTGGAGTTCAACAGGGATCTTTCGTAAATGTTTGACAAGGGCCTCAAGAGCCATTTGTTGAGTTTATCAATCGGTTAACCCAGGCAATTAAGAGACATACTAGTCACACCCAAGCTGCTGATATCTTATCGTTGCAACTGTCTTTTGAAAACGCTAATGTGCAGCAGGCAATGCAGGCAATCAAAGGAAAGGCAGCCACAGTTGGGGAGCTTCTATGAGCGTGTCAGCTGGTAGGAACTGAGACAAACAAAGCCAAAATATTGGCTATGGCATTAAGGCCTCCTAAAGTGAAAAGGGAGAGAAACCCAAATTGTTTTCTATGCGGAGATCCAGGTCATATGAAGAGGGAATGCTCCCATAGTAGAGACCAAGGTAATTCAGGGAAAGAACCCTCTTCTATATGTCCCCAATGTAGGAAGGGGAAACATTGGGCAAATCAGTGCATGTGTAAATTTGATAAAAACGCCAACCCCATAAAAAACCAGTCAGGCAACTTCAGTAGGAGCAAGCCCCAGGCCCCGCTCGCAACTGGGGCAATGCCAGCAGCTTTCCTCGATCAGATGGGAAGCCCACAGTCCTCTCTCTCAGAGCAGCCACCACAGGGAGCACAGGACTGGACTTACTCTGCCTCAACAAATTAATGCTAAAAGAAGGAGAAGACCCTAAAAGGGTTGCAACCGGGATCTGGGGCCTGCTGCCTCCAGGAACAGTGGGATTAGTCCTAGGGTGGTCTAGCCTATCTAGTAAAGGAATTAATGTGCTCACCGTGGTAATTGATAGTGATTATCACAGAGAGATATTGGTTATGATGGACTGTAAAGGTCTGCATATTCTTCCCCCTGGATCAAAGATAGCTCAGTTACTGATTTTATCATACTGGGTCCCCAGTCTCTATGGAAAGGAAAGGGGGAAGGGAAGTTTTGGGAGCACAGGAGCCACAGGAGTATATTGGAATCAATTAATCACTGATCAAGGACCCATGAAGAAATTGGAAATAAGAATTTTACTGGCTTACTGGGCACAGGGGCAGACATTTCAATCATTAGTGATCAAAACTGGCCAGAAACTTGGCTTTGGGTCAGTCAGAAACAGAAAATTGTCAGCATCATGGAAGCACACACAGCCAAGCAGAGCACACGCCCCCTAACATGCTATGATTCAGAAGGAAGAAAGGCAGTTATACAACCTCTAATCATGGCCATCCCTGTTCATCTTTGGGGATGGGACCTATTAGCCCAATGGGGGGTTACTCTGCAGACCCCTTTCAAACAATGGCCACTGTTATTATTCCTCCCCTACCCCTGATGTGGCTCTCTCAAGATCCGATTTGGGTAGAACAGTGGCCTCTGAAGGGAGAGAAATTACAGAGGGCCCATGAATTAGTTGAAGAGTAATTGAAAGCTGGGCATGTCGAATTATCTAACAGCCCTTGGAATTCACCCATTTTTGTCATTCCCAAAAAGTCTGGGAAATGAAGACTTTTGCATGACCTACGTGCTATTAATGCCAATTTGCAACCTATGGGACCACTTCAGCAGCAGCTCCCTTCCCCCACGGCGATTCCTCAAGATTAGCCTATAATCATTATTGACTTAAAAGATTGTTTTTATATGATTCCCCTAGCAGAACAGGACAGAGAAAAATTCATTTACAATATCAGCTATCAATAAAGAAAAGCCAGCTTGTCGAATTCATTGGAAAGTGCTTCCTCAAGGAATGCTAAATAGTCCTGCCATGTGTCAGTATCATGTAAATCAAGCCTTGCTCCCTAGTAGAAAATAATTTCCTGATTGCAAGATTATTCATTTTATGGATGATATTCTACTAGCAGCCCCAACGGAGCCAATACTTTTAAATTTATATTCCTCTGTCGTAAAGAAATACACAGCTAAGAGATTTAATCATTTACCTGAAAAAGTAAAAATGTCCTCTCCTTGGAAATATCTTGGGTACGTATTAACTTTCCAGTCAGTAAGACCTCAGAAGGTTAAATTAAAGACTAGCAACTAGCAACCGGTATTCTCCCAGATATTTAACCCCTGCAGCAAAAAGGGAAATTGAGGAAATAGAACAAGCCGTCTCTCAGGGGCAGCTAGATCGCATTGATCCACGTTATTCAATCCAATTGTTTTATCTTTCTCACCAAACACTCCCCTACAGGGTTAATAGGACAGATGGCCCCCGGGCTATGCTTCCTAGAATGGGTTTTTTGCCACATACCGGGACTAAAACACTATCTCCCTATAGTCAGTTACTTACTAAAGTCATCTATTCAGGCCACAAACAATGCAATCAGTCACTAGGTTATGACCCTGATGTCATCAGGATTCCTTTAAGTAAAAAGCAATTCAAAGCAGTATTGCCAGTATCTATTAATCTGCAAATAGCTTTCTCTGATTACACAGGACAAATAGAGCACATACTTCCTGCTGATAAACTCCTTTATTTCTTATCTCATACCCTGGTAATCTTACCCACAAAAATAGTTCACTCCCCCATACCTAATGCTTTAACACTGTTTACTGATGGTTCTGGTAAACATGGAAAAGCAGCAGTCTGGTAGAGACCACATAATTCAATCACTCGATCTGGGTTTACTAGCACTTAGAGAGCTGAGACTGGGGCCCTGATACTGGCCTTAGAAACTTTTTCCACTCAGCCCATAAATATTGTAAATGACTTGGCTTACACTGTTTATTTATTGCAGAACCCTCAAAACAGCCTTAATTAAGTCCGCTCTTGAGCCCACCCTGTGTGCTCTTTTTCTTTGATTTCAGCAATTCCTAGATCAATGTACACATCCTATTTTTATCACACACATTCCAGGCCACAGCTTTCTGCCTGGCCCATTGGCTTATGGCAACGAACAAGACCTACAAGTTATGACATCACTGCTTGACCAAGCCACCCAATTGCATCAATCTTTCCACCAAAATTGGAGAAATTTATCTAAACAATTTCAACTTACTCAGAGGCTGGCTAAACAAATTATCCCACAATGCCCAGATTGTCAGCTCCCTGGCCTCCTTCCACAGGTGTTAACCCTAGAGGATTAGAACCTCATCAGTTATGGCAAACAGATGTTACACACGTCCCTGAATTTGGAAAACTTAGATATGTACATGTATCCGTTGATACCAACACTCATCTAATTAGTGCACACACCCTTCCTAGAGAGTCCACTTGGTATATCATTAAACATCTTTTAACTTTTGCATTTATGGGGCAGCCCACAAAAATTAAAAAATTAAAAAATTAAAACTGAAAATGGTCCAGCTTATGCCAGCTCACAATTTCAACAATTTTGTCACAAGTGGAATATCCAACATTCCACAGGCATCCCATATAACCCCCAAGGACAAGCCATAGTAGAACGTGCCCACTCCACCCTTAAAAATATGCCCAGAAAACAGCCAGAAGAGGGGGAGTATGAGTAAAAACCCTCCAACACTATTGGCACAAGCCTTATTTACCCTTAATTTTCTAAATTTAGATGACGAATTTCAATCAGCTGTAGAAAAGCACTTTGCTAAAACCTCTCAAGACATAAAGCCTGCAGTTTTATGGAAAGATGTAAACAGTAATGAATGGTGTGATCCAAATGAATTGTTAATGTGGGGAAGAGGGTAGGCTTGTGTCCATACCCCCTCAGGTCCTCTTTGAATTCCAGCATGATGCATTAAACCATACCATGGTGTGGCTAGGATCCAACCTGGTACCGGAGATGAAGGAACTGACCCTACAGGATCCACAGCCCCAGACGATGAGGCTTCCATGGATGACACAAGCCCCGGACGTCACCTGGGGGATGCTGAAGAGGACAACTCAGGAGGCTGAATGAATTCTGCTCCAGACACAGACACCATTTACTTCAGATAATTTGTTCCTTGCTATGCTCTCTGTTGTACATTGCAACTCACATAGGGTATTGATCCTTTTTATGCTCTTGCTTTGTCTGCAAACTGTACCTGCTACACTCTACTGGCTCTTATCTTAGACCCGCCTTTCTTTCGCCCTGTCACCTGGGCAGACATCCCCTTCCCAGCCTATAATAACATAAGTGCTTGGCTAGGAGGGATAGATTTACCCCCAGTGGGGTCCCTCAGTAATGGCATACATTGGACTAAGGTGCCAGATAACACTACATATCACTCCACTATCTTCCCACTGTGTGTAAGTTATAAAGGTTCTAACACTTACTGTGTATCTGCCCAAACACAATTATGACCATATCATGGCAAAGAAAATGCCTTAACAGCCTTAGCTACAGGTAGCCTCAAACCAGGTAATGCAATCAATGCCACTTTCCCAAACATTCCTTCCTGTGCTAAAGGACAAAACTGGGAAAGTACTGGATTTTACTTTAGCTGGGAGGTCTGTCACAGGGGACAAGCCCATAGCCTCCAGTTAGGCAATTATAACATCTTAGACTGGAGTCCCCATGGCCATTTGCAGGGCAGCCTTACTAATGTCCTCCTCTGTCAAGGCATCAATCACAGTTTTGTAGCCATGTCCCATTCCCCTATGATTTGGGCCAATGGGGCGATGCAATATCCCAGACCCCAAGTAAATTCCATGCCACCTCAAGACACTTTATGGCACCTGGGACATCTTGGCACCTCCCTTGACACCTGGCATGGAACATATCATAATTCCGGTAACAACTATACTATAACCTTTATTCATACTGATCAGTTACGCTGATTAGTAACTGATTTGCACTACCCATCCATGTTTTCCTTATGGGAACCAATATTTCTATTTCACCCCAAAACTCCACATTTGTGACCCGGGTGCAGGGACAGACTTGGTTCACCTCATGTATCATTAATTACAATATATCTGATCTAAATATTACTAGTGTCATGGTACTAAGGAGATAATCTGAGGCATTCCTACCAGTCAATTTGACATGCGATTGGCAAGGATCCTCTGCCCTTGCCACCTTAGAGCGTACCCTGTCCCAGGTCAGACACAAAAGATTCATAGTTACATTTATGGCCTTTATAGTCTCAGCCATAGTCATCCTAGCAACTGCTAGCATTGCTGTGGCATCTATTACTGAGTCAGTATAAACAGCTGCCTTTGTAGATAATCTGGCCAAAAACGTGTCTAATGAACTTCTCTTATAGCAGGGTATAGATCAAAAAATTCTTGCACGTCTGCAAGCCCTTGAGGCTGCTTTAAAATATGTGGGGGAGCCACAAGATGCACTGGCATTCCAACAGCAATTAAGCTGCAACTGGGAGCATAAGCATATCTGTGTCACTTCTCTACCATGGAATCAATCAATGCATAGTTGGGATGAGGTGAAACAACACCTCTGGGGAATTTAACAGCAGACGTAAAGCAACTTAAAACTAAAATTTTAGAATCCCTTCACACTATAGATCTACACACCCAACAAACAGCCATATGGAAGGGTGTGCAAGATCATCTCTCCTGGTTAGACCCCCACTCCTGGGGGTCACTCTTTGACTAGCAGAGAATGTTGCTAATTATACTCATGATTGTCTTATGTTATTTACTAATTCTAGGATGCAAAGCCAGAATAAGAGCAATCACTGCCACTCCTGACAAACCTGTTGCTGCATACATCTGCACTCTCCAATCAATAAGACCCAATGCAGAAAACAGAAAAGGGAGAGATGTAGGGGTTCAGTCAGAATGGTGGGGAAAATTATAAAATAAAACACAAACCTTCTTGGAAGGCCAAAAGCTTTTTGCAAAAGCTTCAGGACAGAGTTATGGCTGAAGGCAGCCTAATCCTCTTTGAGCTATAGCAAGGGTAATTAACAGGAATGTAGAGTAGTTTATCTAAATAGCTTGTTTACTCATGTGGTTCTAAAACTAACCTTTGATCATTTGCGGGCAGGATAGCGCTGGGAGGGGTGGAGCGCTGGCAGTGGGGGGCAGGAGTGGAAGGAGACCAGGTTGATTACCCTCTAATGGTGTTTACTTGAGACTTCTGTCATTTAATGTGTACTGAATAAATGCCAGGAGGGCCAGAGAGTCAGGGCTGTGGCTGACAGCACTCTCCTTAGAGTCTGTAAGTGGCCCGGACCCTTGGCCAGATTGACAAGCATAATATCTGTGTCAGTGTACGTTATTCATCTGTCATTGAATCAGGGTCTGCAAGACAGGCCCCCACAGAAATCAACTCCAAAAGGAGTCTTCAAAACCACACAAATACATGGAAATTAACTTGCTCCTGAATGATCACTGGGTCAATGAAATCAAGACTGAAATTAAATAATTCTTTGAACTGAATGACAATAGTGACAAAACCTATCAAAACCTCTGGGATACAGCAAAGGCAGTGCTAAGAGGAAAGTTCATAGCCCTAAAGGACTACATCAGATAGTCTGAAAGAGCACAGATAGACAATCTAAGGCCTCACTTCAAGGAGCTAGAGAAACAAGAATAAAACAAACCCAAACCTAGCAGGGGAAAGGAAATAACCAAGGTCAAAGCAGAACTAAATGAAATTAAAACAAAAAACAACACAAATGATAAATGAAACAAAAACCTGGTTCATTGAAAAGATAAATAAAATTGACAGACCATAAGCAAGATTAACCAAGAAAAGAAGAGAGAAAATCCAAATAAACTCAAAAGAAATGAAACAGGAGATATTACAACTGATACCACAAAAATACAAAAGATCATTCAAGGCTACTATGAACACTTTTATGCACATAAACTAGAAAACCCAGAAGAGATGCATAAATTCCTGGAAAGATACAACCCTCCTACCTTAAATCAGGAAGAATTAGATACCCTGAACAGACCAATAATAAGCAGCAAGATTGAAATGGTAATTTAAAAATTATCAACAAAAAAAAGTCCAGGACCAGACGGATTCACAACAGAATTCTACCAAACATTCAAAGAAGAATTGGCACCAATCCTATTGACACTATTCCACAAGATAGACAAAGAAGGAACCCTCCTAAGTCTTTCTATGAAGCCAGTTATCACCCTAATACCAAAACCAAGAAAGGACATAACCAAAAAAGAAAACTACAGACCAATATCTCTGATGAATATAGATGCTAAAATCCTTAACAAAATACTAGCTAACAGAATCCAACAACATATCAAAAAGACAATCCACCTTGATCAAGTGGGTTTCATACCAGGGATGCAGAGGTGGTTTAATATATGCAAGTCAATAAATGTGATACACCACATATACAGAATTAAAAACAAAAATCACATAATCATCTCAACAGATGCAGGAAAAGCATTCGACAAAACCCAGCATCACTTTTTGATTAAAACTCTCAGCAAAATCGGCATACAAGGGACATACCTCAATGTAATAAAAGACATCTTTGACAAACCCACAGCCAACATAATACTGAATGGGGAAAAGTCGAAAGCATTCCCTCTGAAAAATGGAACAAGGATGCCCACTCTCACCACTCCTCTTCAACATAGTACTGGAAGACCTAGCCAGAGCAATCAGACAAGAGAAATAAATCAAGGGCATCCAAATCAGTAAAGAGGAAGTCAAACTGTCGCTGTTTGCTGATTATATAATTGTTTACCTAGAAAACCTTAACAATTCCTCCAGAAAGCTCCTAGAACTAATAAAATAATTCAGCAAAGTTTCTGGATACCAAATTAATGTGCACAAATCAGTAGTTCTGCTATACACCAACAGCAACCAAGCTGAGAAACAAATAAAAAACTCAACCCCTTTCACAATAGCTGCAAAAAATAAAATGCTTAGGAATATACCTAACCCAGGAGGTGAAAGACCTCTACAAGGGAAACTACAAAACAATGCTGAAGGAAATCATAGATGACATAAACAAATCGAAACACATCCCATGCTCATGGATGGATAGAATCAATATTGTAAAAATGACCATACTGCCAAAAGCAATTTAAAAATTCAGTGCAGTTCCCATCAAAATACCACAATCATTCTTCACAGAATTAGAAAAAACAATTCTAAAATTCATATGGAACCAAAAAAGAGCCCACATAGCCAAAGCAAGACTAAGCAAAATCAACAAACCTAGAGGCATCACATTACCTGATTTCAAACTATACTATAAGGCCATAGCCACCAAAACAGTGTGGTACTGGTATAAAAAAGAATAGAGAAACCAGAAGTAAACCGAAATACTTACAGCCAAGTGATCTTTGACAAAGCAAACGAAAACATAAAGGGGGAAAGGACACCCTTTTCAACAAATGGTGCTGGGATAATTGGCTAGTCACATGTAGGAAAATGAAAACTGGATTGTCATCTCTCACCTTATACAAAAATCAACTCAAGATGGATCAAGGACTTAAATATAAGACCTGAAACTATAAAAATTCTAGAAGATAACATTGGAAAACCCCTTCTAGAGATTGGCTTATGTAAGGATTTCATGACCAAGAACCTAAAAGCAAATACAATAAAAACAAAGATAAATAGCTGGGTCTTAATTAAACTGAAGAGCTTTTGCATGGCAAAAGGAAGAGTCAGCAGAGTAAACAGATAACCCACAGAGTGGGAGAAAAATCTTCACAATCTATACATCCGACAAAGAACTAATAGCCAGAATCTACAATGAACTCAAATCAGCAAGAAAAAAGCAAACAATCCCATCAAAAAGTGGGTTAAGGAAATGAATAGACAATTCTCAAAAGAAGATACACAAATGGCCAACAAACATATGAAAAAATGCTCAACATCACTAATGATCAGGGAAATGCAAATCAGAAGCACAATGCGATACCACCTTACTCCTGCAAGAATGGCCATAGTAAAAAAAAAGTCAAAAAACAATAGATGTTGGCGTGGATGCAGTGAACAGGGAACACTTCTACACTGCTGGTGGGAATATAAACTAGTACAGCCACTATGGAAAACAATGTGGAGAAAAAAAGAAAGAAACAAAGAAAGTCATTATATAACGATAAAGGGATCACTTAAGCATAAAAACACGGACAGGCATGGTGGCTCATGCCTATAATCTCAGCACTTTAAGAGGCAGAGATGGAAGAATCACTTGAGGCCAGGAGTTCGAGACCAGCCTGGTCAACATAGCAAGACCCCATCTCGTTTTTTTAAAAATTAAAAAACAAAACAAACAAAAAAAATAAATATATGTGCATTTCATCCAATTGCTGCAGAATACACATTCTTCTCATCAGCATATGGAATGTTCTCAGTCAAACAACAATAACAAAAAACCCCGAAAACAACAACCAAAAAAACCATGAAAAAGAACGCAAAGTCTACATGACACATGGGACATCATAAAGCAACCAAATATATGGATTTCAGTGCTCCAGAAGGTGAAGAGAAGATCAATGGCATAAGAAACCTATTTACCAAAATAATGACTGAAAACTTTCCAAGTATAGCAAGACATTTAGACATCCAGATACAGGAAGCTCAGACACCCACAAATAGATAACAACCCCAAAAGGTCTTCTGTCACATTATAGTCAAACTGTCAAAAGTTAAAGGCAGAGAGAAGTGCCTAGTCACATACAAGGGACGTCTCATCAGAGTAACAAAGGATTTCTCACCAGAAACTTTACAGGCCAGGAGAGAATGGGATGATATATTCAAAGTGCTGAGAGGAAAATAAAACAAAAACCTGCCTAACAAGAATTCTATACCCAGCCAAGGAATCTTTCATAAATAAAAGAGAAATAAAGTCTCTCCCAAACAAAAATGGAGAGGATTCATTTCAGGAATGAGTCCTCACATCTCATAATAACATCTCAATAATAACCCTACCTGTGAATGGATTAAATGTCCTACTTAAAAGATAAGACAGCAAACAACAACAGTAAAAAGACAATGAAAATCATAATATAATGACAAAGCAATTAATTCATCAACAGAATATTGCATTTCTAAATATATATGCACCCAACACTGAAGCACCCAGATATATAAAGCAAACATTACTAGATCTAAAGGAAGAGACAGACTCCAATACAGTCATATTTGGGTACTTTAAAACCTACTCACAGCAGGCCAGGCATGGTGGCTCACGCCTGTAATCCCAGCACTTTGGGAGGCCGAGGCGGGTGGATCACAAGATCAGGAGTTCGAGACCAGCCTGGCCAAGATGGTGAAACCCCATCTCTACTAAAAATACAAAAAGTACCTGGGCATGGTGGCAGGCACCTGTAATCCCAGCTACTTGGGAGGCTGAGGCAGGGAATCACATGAACCTGGGAGGCGGAGGTTGCAGTGAGCCGATATCATGCCACCGTACTCCAGCCTGGGTGACAGAGCAAAACTCCGTCTCAAAAAAAAAAAAAAAAAAAAAAAAACCACACACATACACCTACTCACAGCATTAGATAGCTCATCTAGCCAGAAAATCAACATAGAAACATTGGAATTAAATTTCACTTTAGACCAAATGGACCTAACAGACATTTACAGACCACTCCATCTAACAGCTACAGAGTATATATTCTTCTCATCAGCACACAGAATATTATCATTAGCACACAGGATATTTTCCAGGATAGGCCATATGTTAGGCCACAAAATAAGTCTCAATAAATTCAAATAAATCAAAATAATATCAAGTAACTTTTCTGAACACAATGGAATAAAACAGACATTAATAACAAGAGAAACTTTGGAAATGGTACAAATAAATGGAAATTAAACAACATGCTCCTGAAAAAAAAACAAGTCAATGCAGAAATTAAGAAGGAAATTAAGAAATTTATTGCAACACACAGAAATGAAAACACAATGTACCACAACCTATGGAACACAGCAAAAGCAGTGCTAACAGGGAAATATATAGCAGTAAATGCCTACATCAAAAAAAAAAAAAAAAAAAAAGAGAAAGACTTCAAATAAACAACCTAACAATGAACCTTAAGGAACTAAAAAATGCAAGAACAAAACAAACACAAAATAAGTAGAAGGAAAGACATTATAAAGATCAAAGCAGAATTAAACAAAATAGACTTAAAAAAATACAAAGGATCAACAAAATGAAGTTGCTTTTTTTACAAAAATCTTTTGTTCTTCAACTTTTAAGTTCTGGGGTACACGTGCAGGATGTGCAGGTTTGTTACATAGGTAAATGTGTGCTGTGGTGGTTTGCTGCACAGATCATCCCATCACCTAGATATTAAGCCCAGCATCCATTAGTTATTCTTCCTGATGCTTTCTTTCTCCCTACCCTCCTGACAGGCCCCAGTGCGTGTTGTTCCCCCACACCCCGCCGCAATGTGTCCATGTGTTCTCATCATTCAGCTCCTACTTATAAGTGAGAACATGCAGTGTTTGGTTTTCTGTTCCTGTGTTAGTTTACTGATGATTATGGCTCCCAGCTTCATCCATGTTCCTGCAAAGGACATGATCTCGTTACTTTTTATGGCTGCATAGTATTCCATGGTGTATATGTACTACATTTTCTCTATCCAGTCTATCATTGATGGGCATTTGGGTTGATTCCAGTTTTTGTTATCGTGAACAGTGCTGCAATGAACATATGCATGCATTATCTTTATAACAGAATGATTTATATTTCTTTGGGTAAATAACCAGTAATGGGATTACTGGGCCCAATGGTATTTCTACCTCTATCTCTTTGAGGAATCACACCACACTGTCTTCCACAATGGCTGAACTAATTTACACTTCCACCAACAGTATAAAGGCATTCCTTTTTCTCCACAACCTCACCAGCACCTGTTGTTTCTTGACATCTTAATTATCTCATTGTGGTTTTAATTTGCATTTCTCTAATGATCAGTGATGTTGAGCTTTTTTTACATGTTTGCTTGGCTGCATGTGTGTCTCCTTCTGAGAAGCATTTGTTCATGTCATTTGCCCAGCTTTTAATGGGGTTTTTTTTCTTGTAAATTTGTTTAAGTTTCTTGTAGACTCTGGATATTAGACCTTTGTCAGACGGATAGAGTACAAAAATTTTCTCCCATTCTGTAGGTTGTCTGTTCACTCTGATGATAGTTTCTTTTGCTGTGCAGAAGCTATTTAGTTCAATTAGATCCCATTCGTCAACTTTTGCTTTTGTTGCTGTGCTTTAGCATTTTCATTGTGAAATCTTTGCCAGTGCTGATGTTCTGAATGGTACTGCCTAGATTTTCTTCTAGGGTTTTTATAGTTTTGGGTTTTATATTTAAATCTTTAATCCATCTTGAGTTAATTTTTGTATAAGGTATAAGGAAGGGGTCCAGTTTCAACTTTCTGCATATGACTAGCCAGTTCTCCTAGCACCATTTATTAAAAAGGGAATCTTTTCCCCTTTGCTTGCTTTTGTCAGGTTTGTCGAAGATCAGATGGTTATAGCTATGTGGTCTTATTTTTGAGTTCTCTATTCTGTTCCATTGGTCTATGTGTCTGTTTCTGTCCAAGTACCATGCTGTTTTGGTTACTGTAGCTTTGTAGTATACTTTGAAGTCAGGTAGCATGATGCCTCAAGCTTTGTTCTTTTTGTTTAGAATTATCTTGGCTATTTGGGCTTTTTGTTCTTGTTGTTCCATATGAATTTTAAAATAGTTTCTTCTAATTCTGTGAAGAATGTCAATGGTAGTTTAAGGGGAACAGCATTGAATCTATAAATTACTTTGGGCAGTATGGCTACTTCCATGATATTGATTCCTCCTATCCATGAGCATGGAATGTTTTTCCATTTGCTTGTGTCCTCTCTGATTTCTTTGAGCAGTGCTTTGTGGTTCATCTTGAAGAAGTCATTTCCCTTGTTAGCTGTGTTCCTAGGTATTTTATTCTCTTTGTAGCAATTGAGAATCAGAGTTCATTCATAATTTGGTTGTCTGCTTGTCTGTCGTTGGTGAAAAGGAATGTCAGCGATTTTTGCACATTAATTTTGTATCCTGAAACTGTGCTCAAGTTGCTTATCAGCTTAAGAAGCTTTTGGGCTGAGACAATGGGGTTTTCTAGATATAGGATCACACCACCTGCAAACAAAGATAATTTAACTTCCTCTCTTCCTATTTGAATATGCTTTTTCTTTCTCTTGCCTGATTTCCCTGGCCAGAATTTCCAATACTATGTTGAATATGAGCGGTGAGAAGGCATCCTTGTCTTGTGCCAGTTTTCAAGGGAAATGCTTCCAGCTTTTGCCCATTCAGTATGATACTGGCTGTGAGTTTGTCATATATGGCTCTTATCATTTAGAGGTATGTTCCTTCAATACCTAGTTTATTGAGAGTTTTTAACATAAAGGATGTTGAATTTTATCAAAGGCCTTTTCTGTGTCAAGATAATCATGTGGTTTGTCTTTCATTCTGTTTATGTGATGAATTACATTTATTGATTTGCATATGTTGAATCAATGGTGCATCCCAGGGAGGAAGCCGACTTGATCATGGTGGATAAACTTTTTGATGTGCTGCTGGATTTGGTTTGCCAGTATTAATGTTATTGAGAATTTTTGTATCAATGTTCATCAGGGATATTGGCCTGAAGTTTTCTTTTTTTGTCATATCTCTGCCAGGTTTTGGAATTAGGATGATGCTGGCCTTATAAAATGAGGGAGGAGTCGCTCCTTTTCAATTGCTTGAAATAGTTTCAGTAAAAATGGTACCAGCTCTTCTTTGTACCTCTGATACAATTCAGCTATAAATCCGTCTGGTCCTGGGCTTATTTTGGTTGGGAGGCTATTTGTAAGTGACTCAATTTCAGAAATTGTTCTTGATCTATTCAGGAATTCAATTTCTTCCTGGTTCAGTCTTGGGAGGGTGTATATGTCCAGGAATTTATCTATTTCTTCCAGATTTTCTAGTTTATGTGCATAGAGGTGTTTATAGTATTCTCTGATGGTTGGTTGTATTTCTGTGGGGTCAGTGGTGATATCCCCCTTATCATTTCTGATTGTATCTGGTTCTTCTCTCTTTTCTTCTTTATTAGTCTAGCTAGCAGTCAATTAATTTTTTCAAAAAAAAAAACAACTCCTGGATTAATTTTTTGAAGGGTTTTTTCATGTCTGTATTTCCTTCAGTTCTGCTCTGATCTTGGTTATTTCTTGTCTCCTGCTAGCTTTGGGATTTGTTTGCTCTTGGTTCTCTAGTTTTTTGCTGTTGTTGTTTGTTTTGTTTTTTGTTTTTTTGTTTTGAGATGGAGTCTCGCTCTGTTGCCCAGGCTGGAGTGTAGTGGTGCGATCTTGGTTCACTGCACCCTCCATCTCGCAGGTTCAAGCAATTCTCCTGCCTCAGACTCTCAAGTAGCTAGGATTACAGGCTTGCACCATCATGACCGGCTAATTTTTGTATTTTTAGTAGAGGCAGGATCTCACCATGTTAGCCAGGCTGGTCTCAAACTCCTGAGCTGAAGCACTCCACCCACCTCGGCCTCCCAAAGTGCTGGGATCACAGGCATGAGCCACCATGCCTGGCCTCTAGTTTAGTTGTGATGTTAAGTTGTTGATTTGAGACCTTTTTGTTGTGGGGATTTAGTGCTATAAATTTCCCCATTAACACTGCTTTACCTGTGTCCCAGAGATTCTGGTACATTGTCTCTTTGTTCTCATTAATTTCAAATAACTTCTTGACATCTGCCTTAATTTCATTATTTACTCAGGAGTCATTCAGGAGCAGGTTGTTCAATTTCCATGTAGTTGTGTGGTTTTGAGTGAGTTTCTTAATCTTGAGTTCTAACTTGATTGTGCTGTGGTCTGAGCAGTTTGATTTCAGTTCTTTTGCATTTGCTGAGGGGTGTTTTACTTCCAATTATGTGATCAATTTTAGAGTGCCATGTGATGAGAAGAATGTATATTCTGTTGTTTTGGGATGGAGAGTTCTGTAGATATCTATCAGGTCCACTTGATCCAGAGCTGAGTTCAGGTCCTGAATATCTTTGTTAATTTTCTGTCTTGATGATCTAATATTGTCAGTGGGGTGTTAAAGTGTCCAGTATTACTGTGTGGGAATCTAAGTCTCTTTGAAGGTCTCTAAGAACTTGCTTTATGAATCTGAGTGCTCCTATATTGGGTGTATTTATATTTAGGATAGTTAGCTCTTGTTGAATTGAATCCTTTACCATTATGTAATGGCCTTCTTTTTTTATCTTTGTTGGTTTAAAGTCTGTTTTGTCAGAAACCAGGATTGTGACCCCAGCTTTTTTCTGTTTTCCATTTTTCCTCCCTCCCTTTATTTTGAGCCTATGTGTGTCTTTGGATGTGAGATGTGTCTCTTGAAGACAGAACATTAATGGGGCTTGACTCTATCCAGCTTGCCATTTTATGTATTTTAATTGTGGCATTAAGTCCATTTACATTTAAGGTTAATACTGTTATGTGTGAATCTGATCCTGTCATCATGATGCTAACTGGTTATTTTGCAGACTTGTTTTATGTGGTTGCTTCATAGTGTCACTGGTCTGTATACTTCGGTGTGCTTTTGTAGTGGCTGGTAATGGTTTTTCCTTTCCACATCAGGTACTTCCTTCAGGAGCTCTTGCAAGGCAGGCTTGGTGGAGATGTATTCCCTCAGCATTTGCTTGTCTGAAAAGGAGCTTATTTCTCTTTCATTTATGAAGCTTAGTTTGGCCGGATATGAAATTCTGGGTTGTTAATTCTTTTCTTTAAGAATGTTGAATATTTGCCACCAATCTCATTTGGCTTGTTGGGTTTCCACTGAGAGATATGATGTTAGTCTGATGGGCTTACTTTTTTTAGGTGACCTGGCCTCTCTGGCTGCCCTTAACACTTTTTCTTTCATTTTGACCTTGGCAAATGTGATGATGGTGTGTTTTGGGGTTTTCTTGTAAAGTATCTCGAGAACTGGGGTTCTCAGGATTTCCTGAATTTGAATTTTGGCCTGTCTTGCTAGGTTGGGGAAGTTCTCTTGGATGATATCCTGAAGAATGTTTTCCAACTTGATTCTGTTCTCCCCATCTCTTTCAGGTACCCCAATCAGTCATAGGATGTCTTTTTACATAATCCCGTATTTCTTGGAGGTTTTGTTAGTTCCTTTTCATTCTCTTTTCTTTATTTTTGTCTGCATGTTTTATTTCAGAAAGATAGTCTTCAAGCTCTGAGATTCTTTTCTCCACTTGGCCTATTCTGTTATTGATACTTGTGATTGCACAGTGAATTTCTTGTGTTGAGTTTTTCAGCTCTATCAGGTCAGTTTTCTTCTTCCCTAAACTGGTTATTCTGGCTATCAGCTCCTGTAGTTTTATCATGGTTCTTAGATTCTTTGCACTGGGTTCTAACTATGCTCCAGGATAGGCGTGGTGGCTCATGCCTGTAATCCCAGCACTTTGGGAGGTCTAAGTGGGCAGATCACCTGAGGTCAGGAGTTAAGAGACCAGCCTGGCCAACAAGGTGAAACCCCATCTCTACTAAAAATACAGAAAAGTAGCCGGGCATGATGGCACGTGCCTTTAGTCCCAGCTACTCAGGAGGCTGAGACACAAGAATTGCTTGAACCTTGGAGGAAGAGGTTGTAGTGAGCCGAGATTGCACCACTGCACTCCAGCCTGGGTGACAGAGTGAAACTCTGTCTAAAAAATAATAATACACCATAATTCAGCCGGGCATGGTGGCTCATGCCTGTAATCCCAGCACTTTGGGAGGCCCAGGCAGGCAGATCACCTGAGGTCAGGAGTTCAAGGCCAGCCTGGCCAACATTGTGAAACCCCATCTCTACTTAAAAAAAAAAACACACACACACACAAAAATTAGCTGAGCATGGTGGCAGGCGCCTGTAGTCCCAGCTACTCAGGAGGCTGAAGCAGAAGAATCACTTAAACCCAGGAAGCGGAGGTTGCAGTGAGCCAAGATTGTGCCATTGCACTCCAGCCTGGGTGACAAAAGTGAAATTCCATCTCTCCATGTGTTATTAGTACACAGTTACAAAAACAAAAACAGCACTGAACTGGTATAAAAACACAGACCAATAGAATAGAATAAAGAAGCTATCAATAGGTTGGGTGCAGTGGCCCATCCCTCTAATCCAAGCATTTTGGGAGGCCAAGGCGGGAGGATCACTGGAGCTCAGGAGTTCGAGATGAGCCTGGGCAACATGAAACACTGTCTCTATGAAAACTACAAAAAATTAGCCAGGCATGGTGGTGCGCACCTGGAGTCCCAGCTACTTGGGTAGTCGAGGTGGGAGGATCGCTTGAGCCTGGTAGGTCAAGGCTGCAGTGAGCCAACATCACACCACTGCATTCCAGCCTGGAGAACAAAGTGAGATCCTGTCTCAAAACAAAGACAAAAACAAAAACAAAAACAAAACAAAAAACAAAACAAAAAACTATCAATAAATCCATGCATTTACAGCCAGCCCATTTTTGGTAAAGCTATCAAGAACATACAATGGGGAAAGGATACTCTCCTGTTCAATAAATGCTGCCAAGAAAACTAGATGTCTATTGCAGAAGAATGAAACTACACCTGTATAAATCACATATAAAAACCAAAATAGATTAGACTTAAATATGAGACCTGAAACTATGAAACTACTTGAAAGAAACATTTGGGAAACATTTCAGGACACTGGTCTAGGCAGAGATTTTTTCTGAGTAAAACCTCAAAAGCACAGGCAATGAAAGCAAAAATTGACAAATAGAATTACATCAAGCTGAAAAGCTTCTGCACAGCAAAGAAAACCATCAACAAAGTGAAAAGACAACCTAAAGAATGGGAGAAAATATTTGCAAGCTACCCATCCAGCAAAGGATTAATAACCGCAATATATAAAGAACTCAAACAACTTAGTAACAAAAAAGAATCCTACTACAAAATGGACAAAATATCTGAATGGACATTTCTCAAAAGATGACATACGAATGGCCAACAGGTATATGAAAAAATGCTCAATATTACTAATCATCAGAAAAAAGGAAGTCAATACCATAATGAGGTATCGCTGCACCCCAGTTAAAATGACTAATAGTCATTTTATTTATTTATTGCTGGAATAGTCATTTCCAGCAAAAGATGGAAAATAAATGCTTGTGGGCATACAGATAAAGGGGAATGCTCATACACCCTTGGTGGGAATGCAAATTAGTATAGCAGCTATGGAAAACAGTATGGAGGTTCCTCAAATAATTAAAAATAGAACTACCATATGATCTAGCAATCCCATAGCTGGGTATATATACAAAAGAAAGAAAATCAGTATATCAAAGAGATATCTGCACTCCTACATTTATTGCAGCTCTATTCACAACAGCTAAGATATAGAATTGATATAAGTATCCAACAATGGATAAATAGCTAGAAGAAAAGGTTTGAATGTTTCCAACACAAATAAATGATAAATGTTTGAGGTGATGAATATCCCAATTACCCTGATTTGATTGCTACACATTGTATGCACATATCAAAATATCACATGCACCCCATAAAAATGTACAACTATCATGTATCAATAAAATACCCATAGAATATACAAAAAAGAAACTAACAGAAAACAATTTAAAATATTTTAAATGACAAAACAATTAAATGACAATTAACAATAATGTTAGCCTATAAAGCTATTTTCTAAAACAATTTGGTAAGGAGAGTAGCATTGTTTTATAGTTCTACAAATCTCTTTAATGTTTAGCTTGATAGAAGGCAGCTGAATTACCATACCTGCTTCTGCATTCAACTTGCTGCAATACATGTTGTAAAACCTGGCTTCACACAGGTAGATATTTGGAAAAAGAGGGGTATTTAATAGCTTTTTCAGATGATAGTGTGCTTTTATATTATACCAAACATTGATGAAGTAGTTGAAGGATACTGGTTCTTAGTCAATTCTCATAAAAATTATCTCTTAAAACTATGACATTATTGGAGCACAATACCAAAAACTAATCAGGTCTCTGTACCATGGTTCTTACAAATTTAAGATGAGCCTTCTAGAGGCCGGAGTCATATTCCCTTACTTTCCTGCCCAAAGCATCCATTCCTGTTTCTTCCTCCAAGGCTTCAGGCTACAGGGCAGAAGACAGAAGATCTCCTGGCCTCCATGAAACTTTGCTTATTTAGAGATTCAGGGTTGGTAAAAGGTAGTTGGTTTTTCTTTTCACTCCTAGGCTAAACCCTGCATAGGTGTTTTAAAATAGGGTTCATAATTGAGTTCTCAGGTGAGACTGATTTTCTTCTCAATGAAAAGATTTTTTTTTTTCCTATTAGATTCATCTGTATATGGTTGTTTCTCAAAACTCAGAGGGTAATAAAGGAGGAGGCAAGATAGAGGGTTTTTATTGAAAGTAGGTTATGCAAACTTGGCTTGAAAGGTACTTATCATTTTAAAAATTATGCCTAATGATGCATCAAATACAAAAACATATAATACATCAATAGTCAACCCTTTCCCCATAAAGGCAAAGTTACTGAGAAATGTTTATTTTTCCTCTGGTAATGGCTAATCCAGGTAATAATATGAAAGCAAATGGAAAATTCACATTGCTTCTTTCATTGCTTCTGTCCCTTAAACCTGTTAATCTTTCAGAACCACATTACTGAGGTGCTGGCCTGTGCATGGAAACCCAATGATATCCAGGTCTTACAGGTCCAGGGCCCAGTGGACAGACAGGCCCTGGTCCTCCACGCTGGCCACCATGTCTTCGATGGCATTCCAGTCCAGCTTGCTGAGGATGCTGCCAGTGCTCTCAGACACGCTGTCCACACCGCCCACCCCAAAAGGATGCTCTGGCTCTTCCTCTTCAGTTGGAGACAAGTCCTATTAAATTGAAAAGACAATTGTGGTCCTAGCCCCTAAAAACAAACAAAAAAACAAAAACAAAAAAACCTGGAACGTGAACTAAGCTTTCCAAAAATTCTAGAGTTGCTCATCCATCAAAAGGCTGAAGGAAATGTGCCAGGAAATAGGGCTGTGATTGCCCAGCACATCCAGATGGACAAGAGCTGAACATCATCTCACACAACGAGATGCTGGCACCAGATGTGAAGACAGGGCAGAACGGATGTTGATACTTGTAGTACGATTTTATGTTCTTACATTTTGGTCATTTTTTAGTTAAAAAATACAGTCACAGAGAAGTCTGAAAGACAAATGCTGAAGTACTAAGCCAAAAGGGAAGATGCTTTGCATCACGATTTCAAACTGACCTAACAACTTTTCAGTATTTCCACATCCCACAAAAAACAAACTAAAAAACAAACAAACAAACAAACAAAAAACCTGAAGAACATAGAGCAATCACTAGACAAACAAAATCTAGAACAATGCTTACTTGTAGAAGGGAATTGTGACTCTCATGAAGAATCTTATGGATTTCTGAAGGTATCGTCCAGGGACTCACCACAGTCTCCTCTCTTTCATACTCTACACACACCTGCTTGGTTTGAGGTGCAAGCCCAGCACTTCCATGTTTTTTTGTATGCTGCAGACTATGACACGGAGCATTAGAGCCTTTTAAGGGATAAGAACAAAGCACACATTGGGATTGATTCATTCATTCATTCATTCATTTGTTAATTGTGACTTTTATCATCAAAGCCAAGGTAGTCACATTTTAAATAATATTTGAATCACAAGGTCTGGAAATGGTTCACTTTAGAGTTCGAACAATTCCTGTCCTGTCACTGTACGAGATGGAAACTGAATTCCAGCCTTTGGATTTGAAAACTATTAGTAATTAATCTTTAAGACAAGAAAATCTAGGGAGGAGAGGCCACAGATATAACAGAACGGTGGAGAGGTATTGACACCAAAGTTGGGTGAACTCTGAGACCTGGGCCTTCCCTGTCTTTTACAGAAAGTCTTGTGAAAACTTCTTAGAAGCAATGTTTTGGGCATCTTCACCCAGGCTTAATGCTTACAATCTGCCTTTAGGCAAAGGCATCACAGTGAGTGTGGTGACAATACATTATGACCCTCTTTCTTCTTACTGCATATATCAGTATTTGTTGAAAAGAAATTTTCATTCCAGCTAATGCCCAGAGGCAGCTTAGTAAACCCACAAACCAATAAGGTTTCTCTGCACAAAGCCCTAGAGGAGCCTACCTCACCTAACACAATGTTCCAAAGCCAATATCACAGCATGTTCTACCCTTCGAGGTGATTTCATGAAGAAACACCCAAGACATGGGACAAGATGGGAAGTAAATATAGATCCCAAACAAGCAGTCATGTGGCTCCCTGAAGAGGGGAGAAGAGGTATGACAATGCTGAAGTTTGGGCCCTCTTTGTCTTTTGTAACTCTACCAACCTTATGTACTTGAAGCTGAAGATATCTCCAAGAAATAAAGCCCCCAAAATAATCACAGCACACACTTTGGCATTTAGTATAGGCTAATAAGCACTTTTACATTCAGTCCCTTGAACTTACCAGACATTCATGCCTGGTCTTTAGATTTTCTAACACACCTCTGCTCTCCCTAGCTAACTTCATTTAGTTCCATGGCTTTAAATATCACCTACATGCTGACAGCTCTCTAAAACCTGTACCTCCAGTCTCATAAAGCTAATTGCCCCTTCTTAAAATCCTTGCTTGGATGTGCAATAAACATCTGAACTTTAACATGTCCAAAACCACACTGTTAATTTTTACCCCTAAACTGCCCTATCCCAGGAAATGCTCAGGTTAAAATCCAGTATATCTTTTTTGTTTTTTGAGACGGAATCTCACTCTGTCCCCAGGCTGGAATGCAGTGGTGCAATTTCGGTTCGCTGCAACCTCTGCCTCCCGGATTCAAGCGAGTCTCCTGCCTCAGCCTCCCAAGTAGCTGGGATTACAGGCATGCGCCACCATGCCCAGCTAATTTTGGTATTTTTAGTAGAGATGGGGTTTCACCATATTGGCCAGGCTGGTTTGGAACTCCTGGCCTCAAGCGATCGGCCTGCCTCAGCCTCACAAAGTGCTGGGATTACAGGAGTGAGCCACTGTGCCCAGCCTCATCCTTCTTTCTTATACATGCCACATCCAATCCATCAGCAAGTCCTAATTTTGTCTATCTTCAAAATACATCCCAAATCAAATAGTTTCCTCCCATCTCCATTGTTAAAACCCTAGCCCAAGCAATCTATCCTTGTATGCCGTCTTCTGTTCTTTCTTTCCACATGTTCTAAAACATAAATTATATTATCTCTCTGCTTAATTCCCTAAAATGGAGTCTCACTGGATCTCAAGTAAAATCCAAACTCCTTGCCTTAGCCTACAGTATCTAGCCCATCTCTCCCACCATATCTCTCGTCACCTTTCCACACTGATCTTTTCTGTCATACCAACTTTGTTTCTGTACCAGGACTCTGAACTTTCTGTTCTGCCTTATCTTTATACAACAATCTTACCAGAACTTTGAACTTCTGCCTGAAACTGTTTTGCCTTATCTTTACCTAACAATCTCCTTTTCATCATTCAAGATCTTCACTCCAACATCACCTTCTCTTTTTCTAAATTTTTATTCATTTAATTTTTAATTTGCTTCATACTAAGAGCTGGAGTAAGAGTTTCACCTTCTCAAAGAGACCTTTAACCACCCTTGCTAGAGTAGTTCCACCTAGCCAGCCTCATTCTCCCTTATTTATGTGCTGCTTTCTGTGTTGTTCATGAGTAACAGTGCCTGGTATGTAGTAGGAACTCAATGGGCAGTTGCTGAGTGAATACTCTTCCTGACAGTCCTATGGAGAAACCATTATTATCCCCATTTTGCAAATGAGGAAAGTGAGGCTTAGAGAGGTTATGTAATTGGCCCAAGATGATGGAGATGATCCACCCCAGAACCTGGGCTAATGTATTAACTTTTTTTTTTTTTTTTTTTTTTGAGATGGAGTCTCACTCTGTCGCCCAGGCTGGAGTGCAGTGGCACTATCTTGGCTCACTACAACCTCTGCCTCCCGGGTTCACGCCATTCTTCTGCCTCAGCCTCCCGAGTAGCTGGGACTACGGGCACCCGCCACCACACCCGGCTAATTTTTTGTATTTTTAGTAGAGATGGGGTTTCACCGTGTTAGCCAGGATGGTCTCAATCTCCTGACCTCGTGATCCGCCTGCCTCAGCCTCCCAAAGTGCTGGGATTACAGGCGTGAGCCACCACGCCCGGCCAATGTATTAACTTTCTATTCTTTTTTTGTTTTGAGACAGAGTCTCGCTCTGTCACTCAGGCTGGAGTGCAGTGGCATGATCTCGGCTCACTGCAAGCTCCACCTCCCGGGTTCACACCATTCTCCTGCCTCAGCCTCCCGAGTAGCTGGGACTACAGGCGCCCACCACCATGCCTAGCTAATTTTTTTTTTGTATTTTTAGTAGAGACGGGGTTTCACGGTGTTAGCCAGGATGGTCTTGATCTCCTGACCTCATGATCCGCCCGCCTCGGCCTCCCAAAGTGCTGGGATTGTACAGGCGTGAGCCACCGTGCCCGGCCTAACTTTCTATAGGGTGAAGGAAGAATAATACTTAGAGGGCCCTTTAAGATCATCTTCATATCTATAAGTAAAATATGAATAGATCTATTAATTTGGATCCCCAAAGTGGCAGCTTTCCAAAAGCTTCTTCCTGGATTAGTGCCAAAGGGAAGGGTGCAGTGGTACAGACAGCTTAGGGATTTTTCTTTTGACTAGCCCCAAGAGTCTGAAAAAGAAACAAAGCTAACATCATTTGGTAGCACCTGCCACTGTAATATCCAATGTGAGAGCTATGCTCTAGTTGAAAAGGTTTGACATTTTTTCTGCTACTTAAAGACATCACAGAGTATTTTGAAATGCCACTGAAAGTTCCATGTTAAAATAATTATTTCAGTAAATATTAATAAGGAACAAATTTTGAAAAACCATATAAAGGAAAAAATCTACGAGCAGATGACAGGAATGCATATGTGAACAAACACTGTGTTAAAAAAAAAACAGCCGTTAAAACAGAAAAAGTGAGACTGAAAGAGAAACCAATGAGTGGTTAAGCAACATAACCACAAGAGTAGGCTTCCACTTCAAAGTAGATGGGAACAAGTGGAGGTGGGGTGCTGAAGTTATTCCTTCAAGTATTCACGATATGACTAGAGATCAACAAAGGCTACAAACATCAACTAATCCCAAACTCATCTTGGCTACAATTAATTTGGCATCTAGACATCGACATTCTTGTTTTGTCCAAATGAACATAATTATTGTCATCTAGAAAGAATGACAAATCAAACCACCACCTACTCTGCTAAAATTACAGTTAAGAGTCTTGCATTTTAGGATAAATCTTCACCTATGGGGTATTACAAACCTTGAGAGGCTATCACTGGGTTTCTCTCACCTTACTTTACCTAGAGATGGCTTTGTAATTTCCTTCCTTTCAGATCATAATGCATTTTTCCAGGGTTTATCTGGGATATCCAATTTGAGATAAAAATATAATGAGAAAAGTTCTGTGAAACTGAGCATGCATAAGACTTTTCAAGGTAAAGTGTACCTGCCCCACTGGACAGTGAAAGCTTTCTGAAGTGAAAGGTAAGTTATAGATCAAGAAGACACCCCACAGCAGAAACCAGGCTGCCAAGTACACTGGCTTCCCTCAGAAAGGAAGTACTCTTTCTCTAGGACGGTGGGCACTGACACTCAGTTTCTTTATAACATAACACCAAACAGTGTCTACAGAGTCTAGCCTGAGAAATCTGAAACTGGATGATAAAACTAAACCTATTACCTCCATCATTCCCAAAGAAAATCCTGCTTCTTTTCCTGCTCTACTTGTGTCAATTTGTGAGTCACAGTCTAGCTAAGCACTTAAGCTAGAAACTTGGAGTCATACACATTTCTAACTTTCAGAGGCAGGGTTACCATTGAACAATGAAACAAATACCTACAGCTTTCTATGGGCAAGGCCTCATGTTAGATTATAATGACTTCAAGAACACAAAACCCTGGATCTCCGGGACTTTCAAAAACAAAACAATATAACGGTACATGTAATTTCAACTGTTTTTAGAGGTAACATTGTATTTGGGGAGCATTTTATCTGTTGAACTAGACATTGCTAGATATTTGCTTTGAAAAGAATAAAAAGCTATTGAGTACTCTAGACTAGAAAACAATTCATAATGGGTAAAAAGGAAAGTCTTTGAAAGAGAGAAAAGCTGGCATGGGATTTAGAAGCTGGTACGGTTTGGCTGTGTCCCCAACCAAATCTCATCTTGAATTGTAGCTCCCATAATTCCCACGTGCTGTGGGAGGGACCAGGTGGGAGGTAATTGAATCATGGGGGCAGTTACCTTCATGCTGCTGGTCTTGTGATAGTGAGTTCTCATGAGATCTGATAGTTTTATAAAGGGGAGTTCCCCTGAATACACTCTTTTGCCTGCCACCATGTAAGACTTGCCTTTGCTTCTCCTTTGCCTTTTACCATGATTGTGAGGCCTCCACAGCCATGTGAAACTGTGAGTCCATTAAACTTCTTTCCTTTTAAATTACCCAGTTTCAGGTATGTGTTAGCAGCATGAGAACAGACTAATACACAAGCACAGGAAATGATGCTTCGAGGATTCAAAGTGATCCAAACGACCAGAAGCTTGGGTTTTAACGCATACATGGGGGAAAGAGTAGAAAAAGTACCCAATAGATCTTCTAGAAAATACCGCCATAGACATTAAAAAGTTGATAAATGAGTTAAACAATGGATTAGACATAGGTAAAAAGAGATGGGGTAAACTGAATGACGGATCTACAAAGTAATGAGTTAGCAGTAGAGAAAGAGGCATAATACCAAGCCTAGGCTAATTACTTCATATTTCTCATCATTTTTCACAGTACATATAAACTAGTGGGGTTTTTTTGTTTTGTTTTGTTTTGAGACAGAGTCTCACTCTGTCGCCAGGCTGGAGTGCAGTGGTGCAATTTCGGCTCACTGCAACCTCCGCCTGCTGGGTTCAAGTGATTCTCCTGCCTCAGCCTCCCAAGTAGCTGGGACTACAGGCACATGCCACCACGCCCAGCTAATTTTTGTATTTTTAGTAGAGATGGGGTTTCACCGTGTTGGCCAGGATGGTCTCAATTTCTTGGCCTCGTGATCCAACCACCACGACCTCCCAAAGTGCTAGGATTATAGGTGTGAGCCACCGCGCCCAGCCAAATTAGTGGGTTTTTAAAAAATCATTATCCCTACCAAATTTAATTATTTTCTTTCAATGGGGATAACTGCACAGATTTTGTTGGATTTAATGTGAGGATCAAGTGAGATAATGCACATGAGGTGTGAACACAATGCCTGGCATAGAGTAAGTGCTCTATACCTGTTAGCTACTATTGTTATTGTTTTAAGGAGATCTGAACAGGTCATTTAACTTCTCTAAGTCTGTTCTCATAGTAAGACATGGATAATAGTTACCCTGTTTACCTACCAAGGTCGTTACATATATCCTCACTATTATAACTTGTATTTTCCAGGTGAGAAAATTAAGAATACATAAATGGGTTAGAAATTTGCGTAAGGTTACAGAGTAAGTGGTTAACTTGATTCCATAAAGCTACTCCAAAACTTCTTCTCTGAACCACTGCAGCGCAGAGCCACACCCTTCATTCTGAAGTCTATATTTGAAATGGAGTGATTTATAATTTTTTTAAAATTTAGTATTAAGGGCCAGGCACAGTGGCTCATGCCTGTAATCACAGGACTTTGGGAGGCTAAGATGGGCGGATCACCTTAGGTCAGGAGTTCAAGACCAGCCTGGCCAACATGGCAAAACCCCATCTCTACGAAAAATACAAAAATTAACCGGGCGCGGTGGTGGGCACCTGTAATCCCAGCTACTGGGAAGCCTGAGGCAGGAGAATCACTTGAACCCGGGAGTGGAGGTTACAGTGAGCCGACATTGCACCACTGCACTCCAGACTGGGCAACAGAGTGAGACTCTGTCTCAAAAAAAAAAAAAAGAAAATTCAGTATTAAGTCTAAAAACTTTATCTTCTTTATCCCTTACCTTTTTGGAAGGTAACTGGAGACTGCGTAGCCTTTCTTACTGCTGCTTTGGCTCCACCAGCTTTTTTCTGTATGGTGAAAGTGGCAGTTCCTATACAGAGAGACAAACATTATTAGCCTTCCATAGACATCCATGATTTTTATATATATTGTGAGTTATTTGAGGACAGACACCTTGGTGATCAGCTTTGAATCTGCTCACCAAGCCCTGTTCACAGTAGGGGCCCAGTAAATGGTGGCTGGTTTGAACCAAGGTGGCAAAACTTAAGTGCAGACAAAGAAAGGGAATACTTTGCTTTGACACCTGGTATCCTTCAAGCACAGCCATACTCTTTTTTCAAATGGCAAATGTGTTTTGACATCTCTGGCAACTGGAAAAGCTAGGGACATAATAAGCCTCTTAGCAGTAAACACCTAGACAAAATGCCAAGTTAAATTTTATCAACCGAATGATTAGTTTCTTAAACTCAAAGATTAATAACAACCATTTACTTCCATGTTATGCAATATCTCTTATTAATATAATCCTCAACAACTCTATGAGGTAGGTTTCAAATAACTTATCTGAGGGCAAAAATCAGCAGCAGAGCTGGGATATAAACCTAAGTTTAGAGGATTTAAAACTTAGACTTTTATTTCTTTTTTTTTTTTTTTTTTGAGATGGAGTCTCACTCTGTCACCAGGCTGCAGTACAGTGGCGTGATCTCCACTCACTGCAACCTCCACCTCCCAGGGTCAAATGATTCCCCTGCCTCAGCTTCCCGAGCAGCTGGGACTACAGGCACACACCACCATGCCTGGCTACTTTTTTTTATTTTTAGTAGAGACGGGGTTTCACCATGTTGGCCAGGATGGTCTTGATCATCTGACATGATCCGCCCACCTCAGCCTCCCAAAGTGCTGGGATTACAGGCGTGAGCCACCATGCCCGGCCGACTTTTACTTTTTTATGCCTAAGATGCCTCTCAGTTACTAATCATATAATCTTTGTATTGTAGTTGACAGAACTAAACATAAAACAAGCAACAATAACACAAACTACTCCTGGCCAGGCATGGTGGCTTACGCCTGTAATTCTTGCACTTTGGGAGGCCAACATGGGAAGATTGCTTGAGCCCAGGAGTTTGAGAACAGCCTGAGCAACATGGCAAGACTCCGTCTCTACGAAAAAATTTAAAAATTACCCAGGTGTGGTGGTGCACACCTGTAGTCCCAGCTATTCAAGAGGCTGAGATGTCTCACACTACCAGGCACGGTGGCTCACACCTGTAATCCCATCACTCTGGGAGGCCAAAGCTGGCGGATCACTTGAGGCCAAGAGTTTGTGACCAGCCTGGCCAACATGGTGAAACCCTGTCTCTACTAAAAAATACAAAAATTAGTTGGGCACGGTGGTGCAAGCCTGTAGTCCCCGTTACTCCGAAGGCTGAGGCAGGAGAATTGCTTGAACCTAAAGGACAGAGGTTGAAGTGAGGTGAGATCACGCCACTGCACTCCAGTCTGGGTGACAGAGCAAGACTCTGCCTCAAAAAAAAAAAAAAAAAAAAAAAAAAAAAAGGCTGAAGTGGGAAGATGATCTGAGCCAGGGAGGTCAAGGTTGCAGTGAGCCATGATCACGCCACTGCACTCCCTTCTGGGCGACAGAATGAGTTCCTGTGTCCAAAAAAAAAAAATTTCCTAACAGTATGGAAGCAGGGCTGAAGAAATTAGCCAAAAACTACATACTGCTTTACAAGATAGAAAGCAACATAGAGTCAAACTCCCAAGCATATTCAGAAAAACTCTTCATTTACGAATGAACTACAGTGAATTTGAAAATCTTGATGGAGCCTCACCTCCCCACATGTGCAATGACTGAACTTGACCTATGTGAGTTCAGGTTATCTGTATCACTGACTAGGAAAAGGTCTGGAATCAGTCTTGCCTGGATTTCCCTCCATTCTCCCAAACACTGGGGGACCTGAAACTTCTGAATGTAGCCAGGTGAAATGGTTGGGTCTGGGTGTGACAGAGGCCACAAGAACAAGGGGAGCCACAGCCTGTTCTACTGAGGCAGAGAAGTTAGAATATCCACAAGCACTCAAGCTGCCTCTTTTATCTTTGCCTTAAAAGACAGGACAATAGCCAGGCATATGGTATTATTCTCTGACATGGTATAAATACTATAATACCCGCCTATTAATATCCTTGAACAATAATTTGTTTATAAATAGCTATGCTTAGGCAAAAAGCTCAATAACCATTTTTTCCATTTATCCATTTGTTCAATGTTCGAGTATTTCATCTGTTCAACATGAGGGGTAATAGGAAGATGAGCAAGGGAATACTGCTGCAAAGCATTTAATCTAGTATGGGGCATGAAGTTTACAGGTAACAACAACAGGACACCTGTTGTAGTGCTTCAAGAGGGACATAAACATGTGGTTAAGGGTTCAAAGGACAGAAAAATAACTGCTTTAGCCACCATTATCTCTAATTTTCATAGCAACCATGCAGATTAAATATTAGCCTCAATTTAGAAATGAGAATGTAGAATATTAAATTGATTATATCAGCGTGGATGAACTAAAGAATTACAATTAGGAATGTCTTCAGACACACAGAAGTGAGACATTCAAGGTATAAAGGAGCACAAATCATGGCATGTGGTTGGAAAACAAGCTGCTGAGCAGCACAGGTTCTATGGGGAAAGGAGGTCAAGGAAGCAGGAAAACACACAGATGATGCCTTGAAGGCCAAGCAGAGGGTCTAGACGTTTCTGTGTGGGTATAAGTGTTGCTGAGGGCTTCTGAGCCCAGGAGTAGCAGGAGCACCTCCTCAAGCATAATCCAGCAAGGGCAGGTGAGATTAACGGAAAGACGGGCTAAGGCCATAGCAACCGTCAAAGCACAAGGTAAAAATAAAGACTTGAAATTGAACACATATAACAGGAGGACATATTTCCATATAATTCAAGACTTTTTCATCAGATGTTAAGAAACCATGGCTCAGGTTTTTAAAACCTTGACAATTTTAGATATGTATTTAATTCTGGCAAATATATCAGGTACAAAATAAGTTTTTTTATATAAGCATGTTTCACTATTTTGAAATTTCAGTTTTAAAAGAGCAGTATTTTCTTACTGTAATTTGTCAATCAAAAAAGCCAAGAGCTGGTCAGGCATGATAGCTCACACCTGTAATCCCGGCACTTTGGGAGGCTGAGGTGGGTAGATGCTTGAGCTCAGGAGTTCAAGACCAGCCTGGGCAACACAGCAAGACCCCCCATCTCTACAAAAAATGAACAAATAAACAAAAATTAGCTGGGCATGGTGGCACACGCCTATAATCACAGCTACTCGGGAGGCTGAGGTGGGAGATGGCTCTTGAGCCTAGGAGGCAAAGGTTGCAGTGAGCCAAGATCATGGCACAGCACTCCAGACTGGGCAACACACTGTGTCTCAAAAAAAAAAAAAAAAAGGCCAAGAGCTAACCAAACCACGAAGGGTTTCATCTAAAGAATTGGGATTTATGGAAATTTCAATTTTCTAAATTGAGGCAGCATACTGAAGTGTTGGTTCTATGTGTGTAGGCTCTAGACCCACCCTCGGATTAAATCTTGGCTCTACCACTTCCTAGTTGTATGATCTTGGGCAATTATTTAAGCTTTCTCTGACTTGGTTTCCTTGTCTTTAAAGTGGGAACATAATAGCACCTATCTCACAGGGTTGTAATTAAAGAACGTAAACAGAACCTGCCACATAATTAGTTGTTATTTTACTTTTTTTTTTTTTTCAGACAGAGTCTCACTCTGTCGCCAAGCTGGAGTGCAGTGGTGCGATCTCAGCTCACTGCAACCTCCGCCTCCTGGGTTCAAGCAATTCTCCTGCCTCAGCCTCCAGAGTAGCTGGGACTACAGGCGCACACCACCACGCCCAGCTAATTTTAGTATTTTCAGTAGAGACGGGGTTTCACCATGTTGGCCAAGATGGTCTCAATCTCTTGACCTTGTGATCTGCCCACCTCGGCCTCCCAAAGTGCTGGGATTACAGGCGTGAGCCACCGCGCCGGGCCTATTTTACATTTTTAAATGTATACATTTATACTACATGTCAGCTATTATAATACGTTGTTAATATATAAATATGTTACAAATAACTATGTTTTACTTAAGTAATCAAAACTCAAATATGGCACAATTAAAGAAAGGTGTAAATAATGGACATATCTTGAAATGGGAAAATAATTTTCAAAGGATAAAAACATGACATTATTTCAATCTGAGCTTCTTAGCATTCCTATTCTGTGATGTATTCATCCTGCAATCTATCAGAACTTGATTTGTTCAAATGCCTATATCTTTAGCCAGATATACAAAAGAAACAGACTCCCAAAAAAGTTATACCCTACTAATACCCTGATTGTTCAATGTTATTAAAAAAAAGCCATTCGGCTGGGTGTGGTGGCTCATGCCTGTAATCCCAGCACTTTGGGAGGCCAAGGTGGGCAGATCACCTGAGGTCGGGAGTTCGAGACCAGCCTCACCAACATGGAGAAACCCCATCTCTTCTAAAAATACAAAATTAGCCAGGTATGGTGATGCATACCTATAATCCCAGCTATTTGGGAGGCTGAGGCAGGAGAATCACTTGAACCTGGGAGGCAGAGGTTGCGGTGAGCCAAGGTCACACCATTGGCACTCCAGCCTGGGCAACAAGAGTGAAACTCCGTCTCAAAAAAATTAAAAATTAAAAAAAGCCATTCAAGGCCGGGCGTGGTGGCTCACGCCTGTAATCCCAGCACTTTGGGAGGCCGGGGCGGGTGGATCACCAGGTCAGGAGATCAAGACCATCCTGGCTAACACAATGAAACCCCGTCTCTACTAAAAAAATACAAAAAATTAGCCGGGCGTGGTGGTGGGCGCCTGTAATCCCAGGTACTTGGGAGGCTGAGGCAGGAGAATGGCATGAACCTGGGAGGCAGAGCTTGCAGTGAGCCAAGATCTCGCCACTGCACTCCAGCCTGGGTGACAGAGCGAGACTCTGCCTCAAAAAGAAAAAGAAAAAAAAAGCCATTCATTTAGGAAGATTCCTAGGGCCTTACTTCAAAGCAGAAAAAAAAAAAATTACAGCTAAGTCTTTATCAATGCCTCGCCTTCTGTTCAAATCAGAACTCCTTTTTACTAAGACTTATACCTTTTACTAATGAAAACACAACTTTGGAGACAAGAAGGAATAGGTCCAAATCAGACAATTTATAAAAAAGCTTTAAGTCTTACCATGTGGCCAAGGTGAGCCTTGAGGTTGCCCAAAAGACTTCCTCTTATGGATATAACTCGGTTTGGACATATATTTGACTTTTCCAGGTCGATTTATTAGAAAACTGTGACCATGTTGATTCTCTCTATAGTAGAAATCACATAATTATTACATTCCCAGAATCTCATATCAGCGATAAACTTTAACATTTCAAAAAGCCCAAATTAAGCTGGGCACAGTAGTGCAAGCCTATAGCCCCAGCTACTGGCGAGGGTGGGACAGGAGGATCACTGGAACCCAGAGAGTCGAGGCTGTGGTGTGCCATGATTGCACCTGTGAATGCCACTGCACTCCAGCCTGGGTGACAGAGCAAGACCCTGTTACTTTAAGGAAAAAACAGACCAAAATATAGCTCAGATTATATTCACTTGATACTGCCTAGTCTGTACCTCAGTGATGCACTTAACATATAACTCTCAACAAATTATTCTTTGTATCTCATACCTCAAACCTCATTTTTTTTCACAAAACTTTTTTGTGGTTATCTCACTCTCCATTTCAAATTCTCCATATATTGGGCAGTTATATATGTATTTAATCCCTGCTTTATTCTAGAAAAGTCTCAACGGGAATCTTTGGTATTTGAAGTAAACTCTACACTACACACACAGATGATCTGATTACATCTGGGTTTGTGTTGGTAGTATCTCCTCTAGGCTCTTAAATTATGTGATTATGTTTACAATTCTAATAATTTATTTTGTCAAATGTGTTGATGCTTAACAACACTGTACTCCAATTCATGTTCACCCTATGATCACCAACAGATATTAATAGAACTTTGCATGTTTGTTGACCATATATAAGAAATTTTATACTTGGGTAGTTTTCTTCAGCATTCTATGTTTAGTTAATTCCTGCCTAATTAACTCATATATAACCCCTCTGCAGGTGATTAAAGTAAAATACATAATAGTAGCTACAGCTGAATGAGCATAACTGGGCAGGTCTGGGGCGGGTAGCAGAAAGGGAAGTGGTAAGCAGCTGGGGACTGGCTGTTTCTGAAAGAGAGAAGATGACACATGGGAAAATAGGATGAGCAGTTAGAAGGCAAATTATGGAGGCAAATATTAACAACAACTAAATAAAACAGGACTGCACAGATACCAAATTTCATACTTCTGGAATACCTAAATGCTCTGTAAGCTTAGTGAGAAATATAACACAATTTTTGCCTTTTTCCTTGGTGATTCTATCAATGTATAAAGACCTCATGATTATGAGGCTACTTTTTTCCTTTATCATCATAACTCTAAGCAGGGTAAATGCAAATGCACTGAACTTAGGTCACGAAAGTGCTACATTTCTTCTTATCAGGCCTGACGTTATCTTGCCAAATGGCATGTGAAACCTTGTCTTACCCTCTTGGAGAAGGGCAGTGTTGACAACTGGAAGACTGAGTAGGGCTGGGTTTGTTAGGCAATGGTTTCTGTGGTAGAGTTGGTAGCTGTACTGACTCAGATAACAGTTCATTCATCAGACCGTACGCTTGTGAGATTCGACGACTATAGTGTTCAGAGAGCAGCAATCTGTAGACAAAGAATTAAGCATCATTTATTAAGAGTCACTTTCAGTTCATCTATCCAGAGGGAATATAGTGTTTGAAGATCACCTAGCATGTTCTGGTTTTTTTTTTTTTTTGAGACGGAGTTTCACTCTTGTCACCCAGGCTGGATTGCAATGGCGTGATCTCGGCTCACTGCAACCTCCGCCTCCCGAGTTCAAGCAATTCTCCTGCCTCAGGCTCCCGAGTAGCTGGGATTACAGGCGCCTGGCCACCATGCCCGGCTAATTTCACTTAGCATTTTCTTTCTTCAGCACTTCTAACATCCTTCTATTCATCAGATTTCTGAAAATGATTAGGCAGTATTATTAAAGGTACTTGTAGTTATGGTCTCTGGAGTATTTCCCAAATGCATGTAAATATCTGGGTTGGGAAAGGGAGAACAGCAGAAATAAAAGTCATAAAAACTGAATGAAACACATAATATTTGAAAGCAAATTTGAAAAAAGGCTAGTGAGTCTCATCATTTTCCTTGCAGTGATAACTCCCATAATTCTCTGTTTATTGACAAAAAAGAGACTATTGTGAAAACAGAATTCCTAAGGCATTAATCTATGCCTCAGCTAAGGAAGTTAGAGAGAAAACACAGGGTTACAGCTACCAAACTCACCTGTCTTTTTCATGCTTCATCTTTTGTCTCAGCCTTATTTCCCTTGAAGTCATGTAAAGCTGCATAAAAAATACCCAGTTGGTTCATTATTGTTCAATCCAAATAATTAAACCATTACACATAATTCTGTTATTTAGGAAACAGTACAAAACACTGTCGTGTTTGATGAAGCTTCCTACTCTAGCATAAAACATAAAAATGTTAAATTAAAACATCATGTAATTAAAGTAAAAACCAATTTAGGGAGGCTGCGGCGGGCGGATCACCTGAGGTCAGGAGTTCATGACCAGCCTGGCCAACATGGTGAAACCTCGTCTCTACTAAAAATACAAAAATTAGCTGGGCATGTGGCACACACCTGTAATCTCAGCTACCTGGGAGGCGGAGGCTGCAGTGAGCTGAGATAGCGCCACTGCACTCCAGCCTGGGCAACAGAGCAAGGCTCCGTTTCAAAAAAATAAATAAATAAATAAAAATAATAAACCAATTTAATAAATGGAAGGCAAAATCTATTTTACTAGTTCAATTAATATATTTTATTGAATTAATTAGGAGAGAACCTTATTTGGCTGCACTAAAAATGGAAAGTAGGAACATTTTAGGTGGAAGCACCTATGCTTTGTACTCAATCCTGTAATTAACCTCACCAAGAGCTTGTTAATAAAGCAGAAATTAGACATTTAAAATTATCATTTTTATGTTTTAAAATGTTTATCAGAAACCTACTACAGTGAATTGACTGTGACTCATAAACTCTTCAAGTTATACACCAGAAGGCAAACAACAAATGTCAGACACATACGTATTATTCCAGAACATTAAGAACTATTGGTGTGAGTTACATGTGAGGTTCTTTTCACACACAATTATGTATATAAAAATGGACACTCAGAAGTAAATTCACTTTTTCAAGGTCCTGTGGAGAAGTTGTCACTAGCAAATTAAAGGTCTTGTTGATTTCTAATAGAAATTCAAATGAAAATTTTAATTACATTAACACCTCACTAATCCCATCCCTTTACCCAAATAGAAGTTAAAAAACAAAACAAAAAAAGTGTTTGCAATCTTGAATGAGACCACAAAATCTATAAACCAAGCAGTTCTTAAACCCTTAGAGTTTACTTATTTTGAGACAAGAGTGCACTCTGTTGCCCAGGCAGGAGTGCAGGGGCATGATCTTCTCAACTGGGCACAAGTGATCTTCTTACCTTGAGTAGTTAGGACTACAGGCATGTGCCACCACATCTGGCTAAATTTTCATTTTCTTATTTTTTTTTGTAGAGACAAGGTCTCACTATGTTGCCTAGGCTGGTCTTGAACTCCTGGCCTCAGGTGATCCTCCTATCATGGGCTCCCAAAGTGCTGGGATTACAGACATGAGCCACTATTCCTAGCCAATTTATTCTAAATTTGGACACAATTCTAACAATCTTGGGTATTTACTTCACTGACAGCGAGAAGGTAATGTCAGAACCCATTCTACATTAGGCTAGGGGAACATACACACACACACACACACACACACACACACACACAGTCTCTCTCAAACACACATGCACACACTTTAAGATTCTGGTCAGGTACCTCAGTAGCCCTGAAGGTCACTACCATGTCTCCTGGGCTATCAAGAAAACGTTACGTTAACACCAATATGCTCTTTTCAGAGACAGGTAAGTAAATTGCACACTTTAAACAATAGTTCACCTACTTTTGCACCATTTGGCGTTTTAATGGAACAGTTTATCTGAAAAATTCACCTAAAGAATTTGTTATCCTAATGATGCTGAAAAAAATGAAGGGATATTGTATTTTATTTCAGATTACAAAGTAAAAGATAAACTGTAATCTAAACTGTAATCTAAATGTAATTTTCATAGTAATGTGACTATCAAAGTAATAGTGCTTTGTTTTACCATCTGAAGAAAAATATACCTGACCTAGCCTGGTTATGTCTGTATTTAGGGCTCAGTAAATAAATGCTGAGTTTTAAAAACAGTTAAAAAAACAAAAACCACACACACAGAACTGACATTGTTCTGTTGATACATGACTGGACAATAATTTTTTTTGTATTCTTTGTAGGTAACTTATGAACAGAAAATTGAAGGGTTTTTTATTTGTTAGCTTTTGCTTTATTTGTAGACACAGGGTCGCCCTTTGTCTCCCAGGCTGGAGTGCAGTGGTGTGATCATAGCTCAATACAGTCTCAAACTTCTGGGCTCAAATGATCCTCCTGCCTCAGCCTCTAGAGTAGCTGGGACTACAGGTGTGTGCTACCACACCTGGCTAATTTTTTTTTTTCTTTTGTAGAGATGAGATCTCATGATATTGCCCAGGATGCTCTCAACTCTTGGTCACAAGTGATCCTCTCACTTTGGTCTCCCAAAGTTTTCTAAGCAAATAAATTTTATAAACTAAGTAAGGGAGCAGGCATAGAAGAGTGAGTTTTTAAAATGGCTTTAATACACATAGTTGGTTGTCGCAACTGCCAATGACTCTCATTGAAAATTAAAGGAAGAACTCCAATTGGTCACCCAATCACTCAACCTCCTCCTCTTGTTAAAATGCTATAGCCATCATTAGCCTGGGGGACAAGAAAATATTTAAGATAATTCAGTATAACTTGGTTAGCACAATATGCTGCAACATTTTAAGATAATTTATTAACTTTTCCTGACTTAAGTAAAACATTTACTTTTCTATATGCCAAATTACAAATGTATCCAAATTATGTTAATCTTTTTCTTAAAATTTTGCCAGGAAAGTAATTACACATATTCTGTAATTCCATTACCCTTGACATGGCAGACTTACTGGATTGCTTCTGGGACAGAAAGGATCATGTTCTTGCCCTCTCTTTTCTGCCAGCTCATTTAAGTACTTTGCCATTCTTTCTTTTCGTTTTCTTTTCATCCAGGCTTGAATCTCTCTTCTTTCCTTGTCAGTTCTTTGTGAATGTCTGCCAGAATAATGCTGAATTCTGAGAAATTTAACAAGCAAGACATCATTTGCTTTTAAATTTGTTAAGCAGATAAGATATATCATGACTAAACACTATTTATCCGGAAATATTTTGCCCCATCTTCAAAAGTAGTATATACTTATGTTCTCTAGTCAACTCACTCCAATTTGTTACCTGAACTCCACTGAAAATGGACTCAGAAAGCTAACAACTTCTTTATAACATTTACCTTAAACTCGATTTTCCCTTCTTCTTTAAACTCTATCTTACCTGAGTCTTTTCCTAACTCTCAGAAAACTATATAGCCTCCTGCATTGGCTCCTTTCTTCTCTGCTCACTGCTTCAAAATTAATTATCTTAAAGGTTCTCCTTTTGACTTTTTTTAAACTTTTTAATTTTGTGGGTACATAGTAGATGTATATATTTATAGAGTACATGAGATATTTTGATACAGGTATGCAATGCATAATAAACACATCATGTAAAATGGGGAGGTTTCCACTTCTTTATCTATTTAACTTATTCCCTGCACTATCTCTATCACTTTCAAAACTTCTAATACAGGGCTGGGCTCAGTGGCTCACACCTGTAATCCCAGAACTCTGGGAGGCCAAGGCAGGCAGACTGCTTTAGCCCAGGAGTTCAAGACCAGCCTGGGCAAGATGATGAGATGTCATCTCTATTAAAAAAAAAATTAGCCAGGTTGAATGGCACATGCCTGAAATCCCAGCTACTCAGGATGCTGAGGTGGGTGGGAGGATCACTTGAGCCTGGGAGGTCGAAGCTGCAGTGAGCAGTGACTGTGCCACTGCATTCCAGCCTGGGTGACAGAGGGAGACTGTCTCAAAAAAACAAAAAAATTGTAACACAGAGATGACTTCCAACAGCTGCCCTTATGGATCTACTCCCATGCTTAGGTTCATGCCACACTTTCCATAGTCTGGCCCAAATTAATGGACTAAGCATGGCAGGGATACTGTGAAAGGCCCATTGCTGCAAGACACAGGTGACTCTGTGGGTGACTTGGCCTGAGGTTTTACCATTGACCTGGCTGAAACATTCTTAAAACTACACAGTGCACTGAGACTCTGTCTCCCCTACCCTCTTTCCCTCTCCTTTACCGGGAGGGCTGAGAGCTGCATCATAGTCTGATGCTTCTCCTTACTTCTTCCCTGCATTCCGCCATCCTCTCACAAGCATTTTCCCCAGTAAATCTCTTCTACAGCTAATCCAACCTTAGCTTCTGCTTCTTGGAGGATCTGAACTAACACACATGCAGTAGGAGTGGTCTGAGAAAATGGGTGGTGCAAAATGGGGATTTGGGGCAAGGTGCAGTGGCATGCACCTGTAGTCCCAGCTACTTGGGAGGCTGAAGTGGGACAGTCGTGAATTCAAGCCCAGCTTGGGCAAAATAGCAAACCTCCATCTCCAAAAAAGAAAATTTTAAAAAGTTTTTTTTTAAAAGATGGGGACTTGAGACAGATGCATCACCCAGTGATTGAAAAAGACACCCTCCTAAACAGAAGGCCAGTCACAAATACAAACAATATAGTTTATTCTGAATATCTGCTTTCCTTTTGAGACTCTGATATCTTAATACATGGCAGGCAGTATCTCCCCAGTAAAACCCCAGGCACTGAATTTCTAATGGGCTTGCCTGGTAGACATTTCACACATGTTGTCACAACTTGTTACTGGAGGAATTAAGTGCATTCTGTGCGACCCCACTGGGAAAAGACTCTTAGAAGCTGGTGTCTGATTTTCCCTGGAATTTACTCCATGTACCTTTTGCCTCCTGTTAGGATAAATTATAGCCATGAAAACGACTATTTGCTGAGTTCTGTGCATCCTCCTAGGTGATTTCTGAACCTGGAGGTGATCTTGGGGACCCCCAGCACAGGGTCAGATCTACATCAGCACTGCAGTATGATAGTTGTCCCCAGTTTTATTGCATCCTCCCTTTTTCCCTTTCAGGCATTTCTCCAAATAAATCTCTTGCTCATCAAAATCCCATCTGCTTTGCAGAGGACTTAAAACTAATATACCGATGAATATTACCACTCGATGTTCTGGATGTTCTTCTGCCACCTTATAATCTAAAACTGCATTCTCTTTTTTATTTAATTTTTTTTTTTTTTTTTTTGGAGATGGAGTTTCGCTCTTGTTGCTCAGGCTGGAGTGTAATGGCACGATCTTGGCTCACTGCAACCTCTGCCTCCCGGGTTTAAGCGATTCTCCTGCCTCAGCCTCCCGAGTAGCTGAGATTACAGGCTTGCACCACCACGCCCGGCTTTTTGCATTTTTAGTAGAAACGGGGTTTCACCATGTTAGTCAGGCTGGTCTCAAACTCCTGACCTCAGGTGATCCGCCCACCTTGGCCTCCCAAAATGCTGGGATTATAGGCATGAGCCACCGAGCCCAGCCATTATTTAATTAAATTTATTTATTTATTTATTTATTTGTGTTTTTGAAATCTCATCTCTACCAAAACTATAAAAATTAGCTGGGTGCAGTGGCACACATCTGTGGTCACAGCTACTTGGAGGCTAAGGTGGGAGAATCACTTAAGCCTGGGGAGGTTGAGGCTGCAGTAAGCCATGATTGTGCCACTGCACCCCAGCCTGGGTGACAGAGTGAGATCCTGTCTCAAAAAACAAACAAACAAACAAAAGATATATTATGTCCTTCTCAGGGAAGGAAGCAAAATTAACAGAATACAGGATTTAAAAGATATTTTTATTACAAAAAATTTTTTTTGAGATTGGGTTATGAGACTGGCTAATTTTTGTATTTTTGGTAGAGATGGGGTTTCCCTATGTTGCCCCTGTATTCTTTATCCTGCTAAATAAATCACCATCAACTCAGTCACCCAAGTAAAAAAGCTGTCACTCTTACCACCTGATAGCCTCCAAATGTTTACTTACACCTATTACCCTACACTCTCCATTCTGATCACCTCATCTCTAAACTACTGAAGTAAGTCTTCTAACTGGCTCTAATTTGTATCTTAAAGCCCTGTGCTGCGTGCAGATGGTGTCACCTGGAGCTTAAGGACCTGAATGCATGTATCACTGCTGAAAGAAATCACAAATAACAATACAAATGGAAACATATCCCATGCTCATGGATGGGTAGAATCAATATTGTGAAAATGACCAATGCAATTCCTATCAAAATACCACCATAAGGGCCAGGTGGCTCACACCTGTAATCCCAGCACTTTGGGAGGGGCCGAGATGGGTGGATCACCTGAGGTCAGGAGCTCAAGACCAGCCTGGCCAACATGGCAAAAACCCATCTCTATTAAAAATGAACAAATTAGCCAGGTGTGGTGGCATGGACCTGTAATCCCAGCTACTAGGGAGGCTGAGGCAGAAAAATTGCTTGAACCCAGGAGGCAGAGGTTGCAGTGAGCTGAGATTGTGCCACTGTACTCCAGCCTGGGCAACTCTGTCAAAAAAAACCAAAAAAAAACAAAAAAAAAATCATCATTCTTCACCGAACTGGAAAAGACAATCCTAAAATTCATATGGAACCAAAAAAGAGCCTGTACAGCCAAAGCAAGACAAAGCAAAAAGAATAAATCTGGAGGCATCACATTATGACTTCAAACTATACTATAAGGCCATAGTCACCAAAACAGCATGGTACTGGTATAAAAATAGGCACGTAGACCAATGGAACAGAATAGAGAACCCAGAAATAAACCCAAATACTTACAGCCAACTGATCTTTGACAAAACAAACAAAAACATAAAGGGGGAAGGACACTCTATTCAACAAATGGTGCTGGGATAATTGGCAAGCCACATGTAGAAGAATAAAACTGGATCCTCATCTCTCACCTTATACAAAAATCAACTCAAGATGTATCAAGGATTTAAATCTAAGACCTGAAACCATAAAAATTCTAGAAGATAACATCAGAAAAACCCTTCTAGACACTGGCTTAGGCAAAGGCTTCATGATGAAGAACCCAAAAGCAAATGCAACAAAAACAATGATAAATAGGTGGAACTTAAGCTAAAAAGTTTCTGCACAGCAAAAGAAACAATCAGCAGAGTAAACAGACAACCCAGAGTGAGAGAAAATCTTCACAATCTATACATCCGACAAAGAACTAATATCCAGAATATACAAGGAACTCAAACAAATAAGCAAGAAAAAAAAATTCCATCAAAACAATAGAGTTAAGGCATGACAAGACAATTCACAAAAGGAGATATACAAATGGCCAACAAACATATGAAAAAATGCTCAACATCGCTAATGATCAGGGAAATGCAAATAAAAAACCACAATGCAATGCCATCTTCTGCAAGAATGGACATAATCAAAACATCAAAAAATAATAGATGTTGGCAGGGATGCGGTTAAAAGGGAACATTTTTATACTGCTGGTGGGAATGTAAACTAGTACAACCACTATGGAAAACAGTGTGGATATTCCTTAAAGAACTAAAAGTAGAACTACCATTTGATCCAGCAATCCCACTACTGGGTATCTACCCAGAGGAAAAGAAGTCATTATATGAAAAAGATACTTACACACGCATGTTTATAGCAGCACAATTCGCAATTGCAAAAATATGGAACCAGCCCAAATGCCCATCAAGCAATGAGTGGATAAAGAAATTGTGGTACACATATACACCATGTCATACTATTCAGCCATAAAAAGGAATGAAATAACGGCATTCGCAGCAACCTGGATGGAATTGGAGACCATTATCCTAAGTGAAATAACTCAGGAATGGAAAACCAAACATTGTATGCTCTCACTCATAAGCTATGAGGAGGCAAAGGCATAAGAATGATAACAATGAACTTCAGGGACTTGGGAGAAAGGGTGGGAGGTGGGTGAGGAATAAAGACTACAAATTGGGTACAGTACATACTGTTCAGGTTGATGGGTGCACCAAAATCTCACAAATCATCACTGAAGAACTTACTCATGTAACCAAATACCACCTGTTCCCCCAAAACCTATGGAAATTAATTTAAAAAAAAAGAACCTGCATGTGAGTATCAAAGACAATGGCCAAGAACAAATTAAGAGGGCAGAAGTCCAGGAACGTATTTCACATGGTCAGCCAAAACAACTTTATAAGGCTAAAAACAAAGCAAAGCCAGTTACTACTCATCTTAAAATAAATGTTATGAATGATGAAAAGTTAACAATGTTAATAAAGCATTTGTAAATATACAAAAGGAACTAAACTTCTCAAAAGCCCTTTCTCTTGAACCTCTGCAAAAAGAACCAATTCCTCAGAAGCGTCATGAAAGCAAACCCGTTAATGTTGATGAAGCTGTAATACAGTTGTGATAAAGTGTAATACAGTGGTGATGCATCTAATTCCCCATAAAAGACCAATACATTATATGTTTTATACAATTTTATTTTTAAAAATCTTAATGTGCAGGCATTGGCACATTTTAAAAACGAACTGCATAAACAGATCTTTCCTCCTATCTAGGAAAAATGGAATGTCAGAAGTCAACAAAATGGATAAACTTAAAGTGCTAAAACAGAAGGCACTTCACCAAATCTGTTCACTGAAACAGTTATATATCCTTGCTTGCATCTTTCACGTTATAGGCTGCAGTGAATGTCTGTCTGGATAGAAGAACATACAGAAATAGTTTCACGGCAGTAAAAATGTAAGTCGAAGAAGTGATGAGTACTTTGCCAACGTATTTTGTTTTTGATAACCTTCCTTTGTTTTTGATAACTTTCCTTTTATAAGTGGAGAAAACAGGATTCAGAATTGAAAGAAAAGTTGAAATCGCAGAATGCAGTTATTTGGGGGATGGGGAGGTTGGTAGATATTAAATCGGTTTTCCCCTGAAGCAAAATGAAAAGAAAAAAAGCGCTTTCTACCACACCCTACTGCGTGTCAATAGGTTGAACTCAGTGATTCCCTCTGGTCTTCACAGTCAGCTAGTCTCACTCTCCCCTTCTAATGCACAAACTCTAGCTACATCTAATTCCTTGCCCTTCACTTATAAATACAAGAACTACTGTGATTGCCTTCTTTCACTGACTTTCTTCCCCTGAGCTCCCACAAACACTGATATAACTTGGTCTTAGAGCTCTATCTCCAAGAGCAGAAACTGTATTTAATTTTTTTTTAGTAAAAAAAAATTTTTTTTTTTGAGACGGAGTTTCGCTCTAGTCGCCCAGGCTGGAGTGCAGTGGCATGGTCTTGGCTCACTGCAACCTCCACCTCCCAGGTTCAAGCGATTCTCCTGCCTCAGCCTCCGAAGTAGATGGGATTACAGGTGCCCACTACCACACCCAGCTAATTTTTTGTATTTTCAGTAGAGACGGGGTTTTGTCACGTTGGACAGGCTGGTCTCGAACTCCTGACCTCCTGATCCGCCCACCTCAGCCTCCCAAAGTGCTGGGATTATAGGCGTGAGCCACCGCGCCAGGCCAAATATTTTTATAGAGATGAGGTTTTGCTACATTGCCCAGGCTGGTCTCAAACTCCTGAGCTCAAATGATCCTCCCACCTCAGCCTCGAAAGTGCTGAGATTACAGGTGTGAGCTATCGCATCCAGTCAATATTTAATTTTTATTCTAATTATTGACATTTAATAGATTACTGTTAACACGATCATTAACTTAACAAAACAACTGAAGGTAACTAAATGCATTAGTTTAGGAAGTTAGGGTTTAACATGGTCTTAATATAAGGTTATATATAATACAGCAGATACATCGAATAATAGAAATTAAAATAATTAAATAGAAATTAGTGGAATCCTTTTTCGTTTTTGTACAATATTTTCTGGTAATAGAAAAATATTGTTACCAGAAAATAATGAGGTCTTATAAGTTCAATAATAACTTCTTTTGAAAACAAAATGACTTCGAGAAGTGTTTGTAATGTCTTTGCCCACTTTTTAATCTAGTTGTTCTTTGCTTATTCGATTGTTCAAGTTTTTTTTTTTTTTTTTTTTTTTTTGAGACAGAGTCTTGCTCTGTCGCCCAGGCTGGAGTGCATTGGCGCAATCTCGGCTCACTGCAAGCTCCACCTCCCAAGTTCACGCCATTCTCCTGCCTCAGCCTCCCGAGTAGCTGGGACTACAGGCGCCCGCCACCACGCCCGGCTAATTTTTTTGTATTTTTCAGTAGTGACGGGGTTTCACCATGTTAGCCAGGATGGTCTCAATCTCCTGACCTTGTAATCCGCCCGCCTTGGCCTCCCAAAGTGCTGGGATTACAGGCGTTGAGCCACCGCCCCCAGCCCAATTGTTCAAGTTCTTTGTAGATTCTGCATATTAGATCATTGTTGGATGCAAAGGTTGTGAATATTTTCTCCCATTCTGTAGGCTGTCTGTTTACTCTGTTGATTATTTTGCTGTGCAGAAGCTCTTTAATTACATCCCACTTGTCAATTTTTGTTTTTGTTACAACTGCTTTTGAGAACTTAGTCATAAATTCTTTCCCAAGGCCAGTGTCCAGAATGGTATTTCCTAAGTTTCTTCTAGGATTCTTATGGTTTGAGGTCTTATATTTAAATGTTTTATTCATCTTGTGTTAATTTTTGTATATGGTGAAAGGTAGGGGTCCAGTTTCATTCTTCTGCGTATGGCTAACCAGCTCTCTCACAACCTTTATAGGGAGTCATTTCCCCTGCCTTTCCCCCTAATTTTTGTCAACTTTGTCAAAGATCAGATGGCTGTAGGTATGCAACTTTATTTCTGAGTTCTCTATTCTGTTCCATTGGTCTGTATGTCCATCTTTGTACCAGTACCATGCTGTTTTGGTTAGTGTAACCTTGTATAATTTGAAGGCAGGTAACATGATGACTCTGGCTTTGCTCTTTTTACTCAGGATTGCTTTGGCCATTTGGACCCTGTTTTGGTTCCATATGAATTTTAGAATAGTTTTTTTTTCTAATTCTGTTTAAAATGATATTGGTAGCTTGATAGAAATAGTGTTGAATCTATAGATTGCTTTGGGCAGTATGGTTATTTTAAGGATATTGATTCTTCTGTGAGCATGGGATGTTTTCTATGTTTTTATGTCACCTGCGATTTCTTTCAGAAGTGTTTCGTAGTTCTCCTTGCTGAGATCTCTCACCTCTTTGGTTAGAGGTGTGTGTGTGTGTGTGTGTGTGTATGTGTGTGTGTCTGTTGTAAATGGGACTGCATTCTTGCTTTGGTTCTCAGCTTGAATGTTATTGGTGCATAGAAATGCTACTGATTTTTGTACATTGATTTTGTATCCTGAAACTTTACTGAAGTCATTTATCAGTTCTAGGTGGCTTTTGGAGGAGTCTTTAGGTTTTCTAGGTATAGAATCATACTGTCATAGAAAAGAGATAATCTGAATTCTTATTTTCCTATTTGGATGCCTTACGTTTATTTCTCTTACCTGATTCCTCTGGCTAGGACTTCCAGTACTGTGTTAAATAGAAGTGGTAAGATTAAGCATTCTTGTTTTGTACCAGTTCTTAAGGTGAATGCTTCCAGCTTTTGCCCGTTCAGTAAGATGTTGGCTGTGGGTTTGTCATAAATGGCTATTAATCACATTTATTGATTTGTGTATGTTGAACCAATCTTGCATCCTAGAAATGAGGCCTACTTGATTATGGTGAATTAACAATCACCACAATTTGATGTGCTGTTTTCGGTTTGCTATATTTTGTTGAAGATTTTTTACTTCTATATTCATCAGGGATATTGGCCTGTAGCTTTATTTTTTCCTTGGGTCTTCGCCAGGTTTTGGTATCAGGGTGATGTCACCTTCATAGAATGATTGGGGAGGAGTCTGTCCTCCTTGATTTTTTAAAAGAGTTTCAGTAGAATTCCCACCAGTTCTTCTTTTATGTCTGGCAGAATTTGGCTGTGAATCCATCTGGTCTGGGGCTTTTATTGGTTGGTGGGTTTTTTATTACTGATTCCATTTCAGGACTTCATATTGGTCTGTTCAGGGTTTCAAATTTCTTCCTGATTCAATGTTGAGGGGTTGTGTGTTTCCAGGAATTTATCCATTTCCTCTAGATTTTCTACTTTGTGCATACAGGCATTCATAAAAGTCTCTGAGGATCTTTTGTATTTCTGTGGGATCAGTTGTAATGTCACCTTTGTTGTTTTCTGATTGTGCTTATTTGGATCTTCTCTCTTTTTTTCTTTGTTAATGTAGCTGGTGGTCTATCAATCTAGTTTATCCTTTCTAATAACCAACTTTTGGTATTGTTGATTCTTTGTATGGATTTTTGGTTCTCGATTTTGTTCACTTCTGCTCTGATTTTAGTTACTTATTTTCTTTTGCTAGCTCTGGGGTTAATTTGTTCTTGTTTTTCTAGTTCCTCTAGGCGTGATGTTAGATTACTAATGTGAAATCATTCTAACTTTTTGATATAGGTGTTTAGTGCTATAAACTTTCCACTTTTTTTTTTTTTTTTTTGAGAAAGTTTTGCTCTTGTTGCCCAGGCTGGAGTGCAATGGCATGATCTTGGCTTGCCACAACCTCTGCCTCCCAGGTTCAAGTGCTTCTCCTGCCTCAGCCTCCCGAGTAGCTGGGATTACAGGCATGTGCCACCATGCCCAGCTAATTTTGTATTTTTAGTAGAGATGGGGTTTCTCCATGTTGGTCAGGCTGGTCTCCAACTCCCAACCTCAGGTGATCCACCTGCCTCAGCCTCCCAAAGTGCTGGGATTACAGATGTGAGCCACCATGCCCAGCCTCTAAATTTTCCTCACAATGGTGCTTTTGCTGCATCCCAGAGATTTTGGTATGTTGTGTCTTCGTTTTCATTTATTTCAAATAATTTTCTTATTTTTGCCTTAATTTCATTGTTTACCCAAAAGTCATTCAGGAGCAAGTTGTTTAATTTCCATGTAATAGTGTGGTTTTGAGAGGTCTTCTTGGTATTGATTTCTATTTTTATGCTTCTATGATCTGAAAGTATGGTTGGTATGTGTATTAGTCTGTTCTCACACTGCTAATAGAGACACACCTGAGATTGGATAATTTATAAAGGAAAGAGGTTTAATTAAGTCACAGTTAAGCATGGCTGGGGAGGCCTCAAGAAACTTATAATCATCGCGGAAGGGGAAGCAAACATGTCCTTCTCCACATGGTGGCAGGAAGGAGAAGAATGAGTGCCCAGCAAAAGGGGAAGTCCCTTATAAAACCATCAGATTGGCCAGGTGCAGTGGCTCACACCTGTAATCCCAGCACTTTGGGAAGTCGAGGTGGGCGGATCACAAGGTCAGCAGATTGAGACCATCCTGGCTAACATGGTGAAACCCTGTCTCTACTAAAAATATAAAAATTAGCTGGACGTGGTGGCACGTGCCTGTAATCCCAGCTACTCGGGAGGCTGAGGCAGGAATAACTTGAACCAGGGAGTCAGAGGTTGCAGTGAGCTGAGATCACACCATGGCACTCCAGCCTGGCAAAAGAGCGAGACTCTGTCTCAAAAAAAAAAACCAACAAAAAACCCAACAGATCTCGTGAAATAGTGTTTTTACTATCACGAGAACAGGATGGGGCAAAACACCTCCGTGATTAAATTATCTCCACCAACATGTGGGGATTATGGGAACTACAATTCAAGATGAGATGTGGATGAGGAAACAATCAGACCATATCATTCTGCCCCGGCCCTTTCCAAATCTCATGTCCTCATAATTCAAAACACAATCATGTCCTTCCAACAGTCCCCCACGGTCTTAACTCATTCTAGCATTAACTCAAAAGTCCAAGTCCAAAGTCTCATCTGAGACAAGGCAAGACCCTCCTGCCTGTAAAATCAAAAGCAATTTAGTTACTTCCTAGATACAATGGAGGTACAGGCATTGGGTAAAAATACCCGGTCCAAATAGGAGAAATTAGCCAAAACAAAGGGGCTATCAGCCTCATACAAGTCCAAAATCCAATAGGGCAGTCATTAAACCTTAAAGTTCCAAAATGATCTTCTTTGACTCCATGTCTCACATCCAGGTCATGCTGATGCAAGAGGTGGGTTCCCATGGTCTTGGACAGCTCTGTCCCTGTGGCTTTGCAGGGTACAGCCCTCTGTCCCAGCTGCTTTCACAGCCAGCATTGTCTGTGACTTTTCCAGGCACATGGTGCAAGCTGTCGGTAAATCTACCATTCTGGGGTCTGAAGGACGATGGCCCTCTTCTCACAGCTCCACTAGGCAGTGCCCCAGAAGGGAATTTGTGTGGGGGCTCCAACCCCACATTTCCCTCCCACACTGCCCTAGCAGAGGTTCTCCATGATAGCTATACCCTTGCAACAAACTTCTGCCTGGCTTTTCCATACATCCTCTGAAATCTACTAGAAGGTTCCCAAACTTCAATTCTTGACTTCTATTCACCCACAAGCTCAACACCACGTGGAGGCTGCCAAGGCTTAGGGCTTACACCTTCTGAAGCCACAGCCCAAGCTGTATCTTGGCGCCTTCTAGCCACAGCTAGAGAGGATAGGATGCAGGGCACCAAGTCCCTAGGCTGCACACAGCAAGGAGGGCCTGGGCCTGCCCCAGGAAACCATTTTTCCCTCCTAGGCCTCTGGGCCTGTGATGGGAGGGACTGCCATGAAGGTCTCTGACATGCCCTGGAGATATTTTCCCCATGGTCTTGGTGACTAAAATTTGGCTTCTCATTATTTATGGAAATTTCTGCACTGAGCTTGATTTCTCCCCAGAAAATGGGTTTTTCTTTTATATTGCACTGTCAGCCTGCAAATTTTCCAAACTTTCATGCTCTGCTTCCTCTTGAATGCTTTGCCACTTAGAAATTTCTTCCACTGGATACCCTAAATAATCTCTCTCAAGTTCAAAGTTCCACAAATCTCTAGGACAGAGGCAAAATGCTACCAGTCTCGTTGCTAAAACATAATAAGAATCACCTTCTCCAGTTCCCAACAAGTTCCTCTTCTCCATCTGAGACCACCTCAGCCTGGACGTTATTGTCCATATTGCTATCAGGCTTTTGGTCAAAGCCATTCAACAAGTCTCTAGGAAGTTCCAAACTTTCCCACATCTTCCTGTCTTCTTCTGAGTCCTACAAACTGTTCCAACCTCTGCCTGTTACCCAGTTCCAAAGTCGCTTCCACATTTTCAGGTATTTTTACAGTAGCACCCCACTCTCTGCAGCACCAATTTACTATATTAGTCTGTTCTTACACTGCTAAATAAGACATACCTGAGACTGAACAATTTATAAACGAAAGAGGTGTAATTAACTCACAGTTCAGCATGGCTGGGGAGGCCTCAGGAAACTTACAATCATGGCAGAAGGGGAAGCAAACATGTCCTTCTTCACATAATGGCGGGAAGGAGAAGAATGAGTGCCCACTGAAGGGGGAAGCCCCTTATAATACCATCAGTTCTTGTGACAACTCACTCACTAGCATGAGAACAGGAAGGGGCAAACTGTCCCCATGATTCAATTATCTCCACCTGTTCCCTCCCATGACACATGGGAATTATGGGAACTACAATTCAAGCTGAGATTTGGATGGGGACACAGCCAAACCATATCAGTCAGATATCAGGGTTGTTTTTTTTTTTTTAATTTATTGAGACTTGCTTTAAGGCCAAGCATTTGGTCGATCTTGGAGTATATTCTGTGTGCAGATGAAAAGAATGTATATTCTGTGGTTGATGGGTGGAGCGTTCTACAGATGTTTATTAGGTTCAATTGCTCAAGTGTCTAATTTAATTCCAGAATTTGTTAGTTTTCTGCTTTGATGATATGTCCAACTTTGTCATTGGGGTGTTGAAGTCCCCCACTATTACTACGTGGTTGCCTAAATAGTTTCATAGGTCTATAACTACTTATTTTATGAGTCTAGGTGCTCCAATGTTGTATGCTTATATATTTAGGATAGTTAAGTCTTCTTGTTGAATTGAACTCTTTATCATTATGTCCCTTTCTTTGTCCTTTTTTACTGCTGCTGGTTTAAAGTCTGTTTTATCTGATATAAAAACAGCAGCCCCTGATCCTTTTTGTTTTCCATTTGCATGATAGATCAGAAAGCCTATTTAAAATGTATTCTAAGCGTTAATTTTTGGGTAAAGTGCTATGAGCTAATCATTAATTACTTCTAGTAAGAGACAGGATTAAATGTATGTTGTACTTAGAGTGATTCTTGGGAAAACCCACAGGATACAGTTATATACTATATATTGTTAGAGAAAAGGGAAGAATGACACATATACATAACAAAACATGAAAAAAAAATCTATTCTAAGCTTCAGATTTGTTTCATAAAAATCACATTAAAATATGACAAATTTTGAACATTCTTGAATGAGAAGCATTTTAAACAGGTTAAAAATGAATTATTCAATGATTACCTGGAGGTGCCCATAGCTTGTTCTGTTAAGCCAAGTTCTTCACTGGAAACTCCGTCTTTAATTATAAGGTCATCAATAATGTCTGCAATATCAGTCAATCCAGTCATCTGGAGCGGATGTACTGAAACACTTCATTTGCAAATGTAATTTAAGAAATATAAATCAGTATCTACAACTTAATTACATTAAGCAAAAATAAACATGTAACAAATGAACACAAAATGATAAACATATATCTACTGTTCCTTCTATTTCTGTAATTCTAGTATCTCTCAGTGAAAAAGACTAATCAACAAAAAGTAATGACTTGGTAGATTTTCTTTAAAAAGGAAACATATGGTCCAGAAGAAAACCCCTATAGATTCTGTTTAAATTTAATCCATATTTATATAAGAAAATGTAGTAAATATAGTCTATTGAATTCTAACTACTTGTGCTAAAACAGTAAGAGATATAACAATCCTCAATTTCTTAAAAATATTCCATACCCAATGAAAACTTATATTCCTTTAAACCACAAAGATATATATAATGTAAAAATTCACACACATATGAACAAAATTTTCACTATCTACACCCAACTTTAAAGAAAATTGTGAATTAACTCTTAAGATATTTACCTCTCACACAATTCATCACTGCTATTCATACCTAAAAAAAAAATCATTATTAATAAAAATTTTGGGTTTTTTTTTGCTTTCAATTGTTAATCTAATTTAGAAATTATATAACCAGAAATTAAATTAAAATACTTTTAAACTTCCAAATTGGTTTATAGATATATATTTACAGCATATTTATCCTCTTCCTGAATATGCTATCTGATAGTGAATACTGTCTACATATTTTTTGAGACCATGTCTCACTCTGTCACCCAGGCTAAGTGCAGCGACATGGTCATGGCATACTACAACCTCTGCCTCCGGGCTCAAGCAAACCTCCCACCTTAACCTCCTGAATGGCTGGGATTACAGGTGTGTGCCGCAATGCAGGCTAATTTTTGTATTTTTTGTAGACACGGGGTCTTGCTATGTTGCCCAGGTTGGTCTCGAACTCCTGAGCTCAAGTGATTCACCTGCCTTGGCCTCCCAAAGTGCTTGGATTACAGGCATGGGCCATCGCACCCAGCCAGTATAAGATTATTACTTTTTCTATCCTGAGTACTCAGTGTAATATGTCAGAAGGCACAACCCTTCTTTGCTTAGTACACAGTTTAGAGTACTGGAGTGCAATTTACTTTATAAAATATACACAAACAAAAAACAAATCTCTGGTGATCTGAAAGTAATATATTTTAGAAAATATCTTATTTAAATCCGAGAAGCAATTTACCTGTAAGAATGTGTCCCAAAATATAATTTTTAAGTCTTGTCCAGTATTAACTATATGTCTTCAGAGAAAAACACTTAATCTATTCAGTCTTCTATATGTTTCATTCTAAATGTTTAATTCTTCTATATGTTTAATTCTAAAAACAGGATTGAATTAATATAGGGAAAAGTGTTCTGACATCTCTTCTCAAAAAATATTCCTTAAGATTTTATTATCTTGAGATAAACCAAATCTGTCCCTAAGACTTACACATTCACATGGTTTTAATATGAAATACCTGTTTTCTTGAAAACATATTGTTCTATTTAATTTATTAACCTCCAAATCAAGGATTTTATTTTCGTTCTCAGAATCTGGGCATTTGTGGGTTAAGAGCAACTAATTCAATTTAACTAAGAGAGAAATATTTCACATAAATCTAAGATTAGCGTAATAGTAATAGTTCTACCCCTTATAGCTTTTTACTAGGTAGAAAAAGATATTAATCCTATGTACTTAGGAAAGAGAAGGTCCATTAAAGAGACACTTTCTATCAGTATTTGAGAGGCCCCTGCTGGCCTATTCACGAAAAAAAGCTTGAAGGATTCTCTTCCAATAACGACTGGGCTGCATATGGGGAAGTAGGTGAGATTAGCGAAGATGGTGACCTCTTGGGTTAAAGATTGAAGTGTTTGTCATCAAAGGTTGGTAAGTAACAAGTTGCCCTTTCTCCTATTAGTAACCCAGGATCACTAACCCACGGCCACAGTACCTGTTTATTACCAAGTAAACGTTCTTAAAACATTATGAGATTTATGCATGGACTTTTTTTTTTTTTCTAGCTCATCAGCTATTGTTAGTGTTAGTGTATTTTATGTGTGGCCCAAGACAATTCTTCTTCCAATGTGGCTCAGGGAAGCCAAAAGACTGGAGTCTAGACTTTGACATCAGACCTAGTTATACCTTTGCCTTAGACTCTGGCAACACTAAACAACCACGTTCCCCCTCTCCTCCTCTTTTACCCACCTAGTCACTGAGTACCATCAGTTACTAATTCAAAATGTCTCGTTTCTTCTATTTCTTTCCCACAACACTAGCCAGGCCCTCATTATTTCCCAGGTCAGATTTTAGTAGCCTCCTCAGTGGTCTCTATGCCTCCATTCTATTTTTCCTCAAAACCTCCTTGTTTTACTTCTCTGCTTGGAATTCTCCCATGTTCCCAAGGATAAAATGGAGTGTAAACTTCTCAGATATAATTAGAACCCTCTACCATCTAGCCATATGAGTCCTGTTTAACCTCATTTGTCAATCCTCCCCAGAGAAGAGAAGAGAAAAGCTATCAGTGACCAAGAAAATAAAACAAGATTCTCAGATGCTTTATATATGATACTCAGTCTTCACAACTTTGTGAAGTGGAAATTATTATCCCCATATGTTGATGACTAAAACACACATGGCATCTAGAAAGAACTGAGAAAATAATTACAAGATTTAAAGTCAGCTTCTTAATAGGTTTTCTTTTATTTAAGTAACAGTAATGCCATTTAAAATAGCATTTTTACTGTTTATATCACTTTAATAATGGTAATAGAACATATACTAAACACTCAGTAAAATCATTTTAATTGACCATCAATATCTGAGAGAAAAAAAATATTTCCAAGCCACTGTCAGTGATTGAACTGATGTATTTACTATGTTCTATTATTCATAGGACAAAGTATATTCATTAGGACTAAAGAATAACAGTTTTAATTGCTACCTCCAAATGAAATAAAACAAAAAGTGGCACTAAATCCTTCTAAATCTCAATCTCCTCAACTGTAAAATGGAGATAATAATAGTGTCTACACCTCATAGATCAGGCTTAAACCAGAATCTATGCATATAAAACAGTGATGTTTGGCACATGGTAGAGGCTCAAGAAATGATGGCTACTATTTTGTTTTCAAATTAAAATTCAAAGTTCTTATAATTGGAAGAGTTTTAATTTTTCAATTTTTGTAAAAATCAACTATTACAGTAATTCCAGTTGCTATATATTTCATATTAATAAGTTACACCAAGATATGATACATAATTGCAGTATGTCTTATGAAGGTGACAAGATGTCACAGTTCTTCATGTGACTAGCAAAAGTTTTAACTTTCCTTCCCCTAAAATAAATATTACAAAATGACTTCACAAACCTTTCATAACTATATTCCCAGTAAATCATGTTCAGTAACATTATAATGGAGAATAAGAGTATGTGTAAATGAAAAAGTAAAGAACAATACCAGGAGAAGTAGTATTCTGATCACTGGAACTGGAAAGGCTGACAGCTGAATCGGCAGTAGGAAACACACAGGTTTTCTGACCAGAATAATTTTCTGTTATTGAAAATTCAGGTTCTGAAGTCTCCTTTTTGTCACTTTGATCTTCTTCATCCATATGGGTCAAAAAACGCACTAATCCAGAGTATATATTACAATTAAAATAAAATAGTAGAGGAAAAAAGATCACATGGAAAAGACAATTGCCACTATTTCCAACTGGCAACCCAGATATTAGAAGTTTGTCACATATTATGCTAATAGCTTTCTACTGTATAATGAATTTAATAAAAAATTTGAAGTTAAAGCTCTCCCACAGTAAATAAACAAGATTTATTAGACTGAGCTGAAGTACATAGGCCTATGCCCTTTCATAAAAACATAGACATGCTAAATTACAAAAAAAAATTTTAATATACGACCAATCTTTCTAAACAGAGAAATCCCATGGTGCCAGAAAAGAAAAAGGAACTCATAGCTGGAGCAGTAAGTGGGCAATGATGCTGGGATAGTCTACTGAGGAATAGGAGATGTGGTTCTGTACACTGCAATGAGGGAAAAACTGAGCTACCTTCATGTATCTTAGAGCACTGAAGGACAGCTTTGTCCATAAAATAGGAAAAAGAAAATCTCTCCCCTGGTGAAACAGCAAATAAGTTTTCTATCTGCATGGACAGCAGCTGAGAGAAAAATAAAAGTCAACTTTGAGAAATCAACACCCTGACTTGCCACAAGCATGAACAGGGTCTGAATTTCTACCATCAATAAAGTACAGCAACCCCAAGTGAAGAAACGTATACTAAAATTTGTTTCAATTTTTTCCTACTTCAACGATAGCAAAAAGCAAATGCAAAACTACTCCAAAGACAAACATATAATCTAGCAGAACTTCCACTAATGATAAGCCCATGATAAAAAATTACAATTCACACAAAGGAACAACCAACCATGAAAGACAGTCAGTATGCAGATTCAACAATTGATAATGTGCACATATGAAATACAATAATCAGAAAAGGTTAGTCATAAAACATGACTGAAATTATGAAACAGATAAAGCATAGGAACAGCAATAAAAAAACAGGACACAACATCCAAAGAGCAGATAGATTTGAAAAAGAAATAAATACAACTTCTAGATATTAAATGTAGCCACCAAAATTAAAATCATAATGAATAGCTAAAACAGCAAAGACACAGCAAAAAAGAGAATTAGTAAACTAGAAGACAGATATGAGGAAATCATCCTGAGTGAACCACTGATAAAGGGAGGAAATTATGCAGAAGAGGCTGAATGAGATAAGGAGGCCAGGCACAGTGGTTCACACCTGTAATCCCAGCACTTTGGGAGGCCAAGGTGGGCTGATCACCTGAGGTCAGGAGTTCGAGAACAGCCTGACCAAAATGGAGAAACCCTGTCTCTACTAAAAACACAAAAAATTTGCCAGTGGTGGTGGCACACGCCTGTAATCACAGCTACTTGGAAGGCTGAGACAGGAGAATCACTTGAACCTGCGAGGCAGGGGATGTGGTGAGCCAAGATTGTGCCATTGCACTCCAGCCTGGACAACAAGAGCAAAACTCTGTCTCGAAAAAAAAAAAAAAAAGATATAAGGAACAGAGTGAGGAGGTCCAACATGCCTCTATTAGGTGTTTTAGAGAGAAAAGAAAAAATGGGGAGGAAGCAGTACTTCAAAATATTATGGGTGAAAAGTCCCCAAAGTTAAATCTTAAAACTAAAGAATCATTCCTACTCCAATATAAGGTAAATAAAAGAAATACGGTCAGGCACGGTGGCTCACGCTTGTAATCCCAGCACTTTGGGAGGCCAAGGTGGGCGGATCATGAGATCAGGAGATTGAGACCATCCTGGTTAACACGGTGAAAACCCGTCTCTACTAAAAATACAAAAAATTAGCCCAGCATGGTGGCAGGTGCCTGTAGTCCCAGCTACTCAGGAAGGTGAGGCAGAGAATTGCTTGAACCCTGGAGGAGGAGGCTGCAGTGAGCCGAGATCGCACCACTGCACTCCAACAGAGTGAGACTTTGTCTAAAAAAAAAAAAAAAAAAAAAAGAAGTGGATGCAAGAAGCAACTGTGGGCAACAATAGCAGAGAAGAGAAAATACCAGAGAGCATCTCAGGCAATAAAAGGTATCATGAAACTTGTTTTGGTTTTATACATTTGTTGCCTACATATTTACATTATTTAAATTAGAAATTTTAGGCCGGGCACGGTGGCTCATGCCTGTAATCCCAGCACTTTGGGAGGCCGAGGCAGGCGGATCACGAGGTCAGGAGATCAAGACCATCCTGGCTAACACAGGGAAACCAAGTCTCTACTAAAAATACAAAAAATTAGCCGGGCGCGGTGGCGGGCACCTGTAGTCCCAGCTACTCAGGAGACTGAGGCAGGAGAATGGCATGAACCCAGGAGGCGGAGTTTGCAGTGAGCCAAGATAGCACCACTGCACTCCAGCCTGGGTGACAGAGCGAGACTCTGTCTCAAAAAAAAAAAAAAAAAATTAGAAATTTTAAAATGAAGTAATTGTTGGCAAAGAAAATGCCAAACGTTGAGAAATCTTAACTAAGTGCTGACTTAAAAAATAAAAGGCAAGGGGAACTAAATGGGAGGGTTAAAAACAGAGTAGATCTAAAATATTTGAAAACAGTTATCAGAGGCCGGGCGTGGTGGCTCACGCCTGTAATCCCAGCACTTTGGAAGGCTGAGGCAGGCAGATCACAAGGTCAAGAGACTGAGACCATCCTGGCCAACATGGTGAAACCCCATCTCTACTAAAAATACAAAAAATTAGCTGGGTGTGGTGGTGTGCACCTGTAGTCCCAGTTACTTGGGGGGCTGAGGCAGGAGAATTGCTTGAATCTGGGAGGCAGTGGTTGCAGTGAGCTGAGATCACACCACTGCACTCTCCAGACTGGGCCACAGTGTGAGACTCCATCTCAAAAACAAACAAACAAAAAAACAGTATCAGAGAAGATGGAGGGAACAAATCAGCGCTAAAAAGGTCTAAAGTCCTTCTATTGTTTGGGAGGTAGATATATTCACCTTAATTTAAAATGAAAAAAATTTTAAGAGACGGTGTCTCACTATGTTGCTCAGGCTGGAGTGCAGTGGCTATTCACAGGTGTGATGATAGCATACTACAACCTTTAATTCTTGGGCTCAAGTGATCCTCCCACCTCAGCCTCCCAAATAGCTGGGACTACAGGTATGCACCACCATGTCCAAATTCACCTTAAATTTTAACTCACCTATGAATGTTAAAAATTCAAGAATAACCACTAAAAACTAAAAATCTAATGTATAATTTCTGAACCAATACAGCAGGAAAGAGAGAATACAGAAAACTCCATCCAATAAAAGGCAAAAAAGAGGGACAAAAGTAAAGGAAATAAATGGCAAAAAAACCACCATGAAATAAGATATTAGAAATAAGCACAAATATATCAGTAAATACAATAAATGAACAGTGATTATGCTTGCTGGTTAAAAAAGACTGTCTAATTATTTAAAGGAATGAAATCTAGGTACATGCTGGACACAAATACAACATAATCAAACAGCCTGAAAGTAAAGGGATATCTAATTTACAAGAAATACAGAGGAGAAAACAACACATTAAATGACATCACAGAGACTCAATTAGCAAAACTCAGACTCTGAAAAACACTTCAGAACAACTATCTTGTTTCTTCAACAAAGAAAACTTCAAGGAAGAAAAAGGAGAGAAGGAACCCAGAAGTTAAGAGACTTATAAGCCATCAACCAATGGCCACTTATAGATCTTAGCTGGGTTCCAACTGTAATAATTAAAAAGCTTTTTTTTTTTTCGAGACGGAGTCTCGCTCTGTTGCCCAGGCTGGAGTGCAGTGGCATGATCTCGACTCACTGCAAGCTCCGCCTCCTGAGTTCAAGCAATTCTCCTGCCTCAGCCTCCTAAGTAGCTGGGACTACAGGCACCCGCCACCACACCAGGCTAATTTTTGTATTTTTAGTAGAGACAGGGTTTCACCATATTGGCCAGGCTGGTTTCGAACTCCTGATCTTGTGATCCACCTGCCTCAGCCTCCCAAAGTGCTGGGATTACAGGTGTGAGCCACCACGCCCGGCCTAAAAGACTATTTTTTGAAACGAGACAATTGGCAACATTTGAACTCTGATTAGATATATAAGTATATTAAGAATTTTTTAAAGGAGTGTCAATATTATTGTGCTTATGTTTTAAAAATGGACCTGATCTTTTAGAGATACATACAAAATATTTATACATAAAATAATGTGCTGTCTGGGTTTCGTTTCAAAATAATCAAGAAAAAGGTGGGAAGAGTGGGTGGGTGTATAGGTAAAAAAGGGATTGGCCATGAGTTGATAATGATTAAAGTTTGTTGTTGAGTATATGAAAGTTAATTGTATGATTCTGCCTTCTATTAAAATAGTGTAGAAATTTTACATAAAATTTTAAAAAATAAAGCATATCAAAAAGATATACCAGAACACAGGGGTAGTAATGTTCATATTAAACAAAATTGACTATAAGTCAAAAAGGATTATTAGGGATAAAGAGGGTTATTACTTAATGATAAAAGAGACAAAATCCAACAAGAAATATAACAATCCTGAACTATATTCACCTTATAGCCTTAAGATGAATGTAACAGATTTACAAGGAGAAATAATTCCACAATCATTATGGGTAATTTTTAATGCAACCTTCTAAGAAATGAACGGATCAAGCTGACTAATCAGAAAAAATACAAAAAATCTGGACAACACAATTTAGAAGCTTGACCAAAGGGAGATATATACACATACACTACATACAACCAACAGAAAATGTTTGGCCTCTTCAAATAAATGTGGAACATAATGTAAAAACTGACTATCCTCAGCCACAAGGGAAATTTTAACAAATATCTAAGGATTGATATCATCATACACATCAGCTAATCAAAATGCAATGAAAATGGAAATCAACCACAAAAACATAGCCCAATATTAGAATGCTTAATATTTAGAAGCTAAAAACTCCTTTTACAAGCTAAAGAAATCATAATGCGAACTACAAACTATGTAGACCTGAACACCACCAGATGATGATGAGTATCAACATTCTTGTCTAGGTCCATGCAGAAACATATTCAGCCTCAATTACACATATTAGAAAATAAGAAAAAATAAAGTTAGAAAAAAGCCAACAAGTTAATGCCCCCAAAATAGAAGAAATAATAAAGATTAATGAAAAAGGAAACTGAGAAACAAAGAGAATTAACAAACACTGGTTTTTGAAAAGACTAAACTGACAAGACTGAATGAGAAAGAGAACACAGGTATGAACCACAGACACAGCAGAAGGTAAAAACAACTATTCTAATTTCATTCTTTCAATAAAAAATGAAAAAACTTAATACCTCACCACTGCCTGGCCATTTTACCAGAACCTCAAATTCCAGCTCAGCTGATGATCACAGACAAACAGCAACCTCAGCACAAAGCTCTGTGCAATCCTCAGCACTATGAGGCCAATGGCTTGGAATCCACAAAAACTGAGCTCCAGGCCACACTTGCCCCATCCTAGTATAAAATCCAGAGGAGGTTACTGCCTTCTCAAAAAAAAAAAAAAAAAAAAAAAAAAAGGCCGTGAGGTGGAAGCTAATCACATTACAAAAAAATAATCCTAATCTAAAAACTGGGAAGCTTATGACTTCAGCTCACATAATGAAAACTACTCCTACTTCTGGCACTCCACAAAACAATGCACATTCTTTCAGATCAACTAAAGCAAGACTTCAGCCAGCCCCTATCAGCCCCTACAAACCTTCTTCAGAAATGCTAATGGTTTTTGAAGCTAATGTTTTTTTGAATTCAGGGCCAGAAGAGAATTCAATGTGATCCACTGGTCCAATCTGTAGAAAAAACACACACAACAAAACAACAGTAATACTTTGATAATTTCAAAATAACAAACAGTTTTATGTAAGTTTTAAACACTTGCATTAATGCAAAAGTGAAAAAAATGGGATTAAATCCAATATAAGCTAAATGGTAGGGATCAATAAAACAGAGGAAATTTTTACTTATTTGTAGCTTAACTGAGTTATAAACTTTTAAAAGGCTCAGGAAAATTGTATCATAAAATTTTAGAATGAAGAACCTTAATTACTATCTAGACAAATTCGTATTAAAGATGAGAGAACAAAGCCCAGAGAGATTCAATGACTTTTTTAGTGGCATAACACGGTCAACCCAGGTCTTCAAGACTATTTACCACTCAGTGTCTGCCCAGAGTATCCCTGGGCCTCTTCCAGGACTATAAGCTGTTTTCTTAAGTTAGGCAAGTGAAGATGTTTGTATTTATGTGTACATTATAATAATGTGAGAGCATTTTTTAAAAATATACCAAACCTGCTGGGCCCAGTGGCTCACACCTGTAATCCCAGCACTTTGGGAGGGTGAAGCAAGCAGATCACTTGAGGTCAGGAGTTCGAGACCAGCCTGTCCAACATGGCAAAATCCCGTCTCTACTAAAAATACAAAAATTAGGTGGGCATGGTGGCAGGTGCCTGTAATCCCAGCTACTCAGGAGGCAAAGGCAGGAGAATTGCTTCAACCTGGGAGGCAGAGATTGCAGTGAGCCAAGATTGAGCCACTGCACTCCAGCCTGGATGACACAGTGAGACTCCATCTCAAAACTAAATTAAATAAATAAGCAAATTGTGGTGTGTGTGTGTGTGTATACAAAATTAACATTATTTCCTTCAAAGTGGTCATTTTAGAAGACTAAATATCTTCCTTTTCCCTGGGAGATATGTTCCAAGACGCCCAGTGGATGCCTGAAACGGTGGGGGTAGTACCGAACCTTATATATAGTTGTCCCTCAGTATCTATGAGGGATTGGCTCCTGACATCAAAATCCACAGACTCAAGTCCCTTATATAAAATGGTGCAGTATTTGCATACAACCTATAGACATTCTTCCCATATACTTTAATCTCTAGATTACTTATAATATCTAATACAATGTAAATGTTAACTATTAATAGTTGTTATGACGTATTGTTCAGGAATGACAAGAACAAATCTGCACATGTTCAGTACAGATGCAACCATCCTTTTTTGTTTTTATTAAATATTTTCAATCCACATTTGGTTGAACTGTCAGATGCAGAACCCATGGATATAGAGGGCCGACTGTATACTATGTTTTTTTCTATGCGTACATACCTATGATAAAGCTTAATTTATCAATTAGGCACAGTAAGAGATTAGTAATAGCTAAGAATAAAATGCAACGATTATAACAATATACTGTAATCAAAGTTATATGAATGTGTTTTTTTTCTGTCTCTCAAAATATCTTCTTATACTGTACAGAAGGTAACAGAAACCTCGGAAAACAAAACTGCAAATAAGAGGGGACTACTGTACGTAAGGGCTTTGAGCAAATGCTTTTGGAACTCTTCCTTTGAAATTGTCTCCCAACCTTGTACCACAATTATAAATAACTGTTCTACTGGTGAATCTTTAGTATATAAATGTGATTTTATTAGTGCCAGAATCAAAACTAAGATAGCAAAGACAACCATTGAACAAATATTTATTAAATGCCCACCATGTGTAGCAAAAGACATTGTCCCTACCTTCGAGTCTTAAAAGGCTTGAGAGAGGAGCCCTATCAGAATTTTTGAGAGCCTTTTCAAAATGCCAAGTCACCTCCACCTCCCCAACAGATTCAGCAGGGATAGAATGTATACTCTGAAAAAGCATCTGAGTGATCTTGACATGCACAGGAGTCCAAATGCTTAATGGACTCAGACATGTGGAAACTCCCTCCTCCAACTCCTGCTTTGGCTGGCTTTCTCCTGAGTCTCTTATGACTTCAGACTGTTCTCAAGTCTTGTTGAATACTCATCCTTACAAGGCAGTGTTTCCACAAGATTCTTTACCCTCTTCTTTTCTCCTCCATGTGCTCTCCCTGAGGAGCACCTATGCTATCATGATTTGAACTTCCCCCTAACTGATTACTCCAAAATCTGTACCTTCAGCCCAGTTGTAGCTCCTCAGCTGCTTTTGAGGAACTGCCTACTTATCTCACAGCACCTCAAATTTATCATGTCCCTGATAGAAATCATTGTGCCTCCCTCCCCCAACACACACGCGCGCACACACACACACACACAACTCCTCCTCTTCCTTAGTTTGGAAAATGGCTCCACCATTCACCCAGGCTGGAATCTGGACACCACTGTGAATCTCTGTTGTCTTCTTCACCTTCCCACAGCTTATCAATCTCTAAGTCCTGTTAATGCCTTCCCTCCATTCTTACTGCTCAAATTCAGGCATATGGTTATTTCCTGCCATGGATATTTAGTGGATCTCAAACACTTATCAGTGGACCTGGTATAGAGCTAGCAGCATAAGAATCATTTGTGAAGCTTGTTAATAACACAGATTCCAGGGCTCTAACCAGACCTACTTAAAATCAGAATTTCAGGGAAATGGGGCCCAGGAATTTGCATTCTTAACAAGTTTCCTATATGATTCTAATGGGCAGCCATTAGATTTGGAACCACTGTGACCCATGTGGTCTCCTTGTTCCCAGGCTTATCCTTTCCAATCTACCTTCCACACTACTGTCTGCATATCTGATAATATCCCTTCACTGTTTAAAATTCTTCAGTGGTTTCCTACTGCCTGCTTATAGGAGAAAATCCCAATCGCTTGACATGGTAAATGCTTTCTGTTCCTCCTTGTCTCCCCTCTCCTACCTCTACTGCCAGATGTCTTAAAGTCCAATCCCACTAACTTCTACCTCTAAGTAATGCTCATACAGCTCCCCAAACACTCTATGCCATTTGGTACCTTTCTCCTTTGCTCACAATATTTTGTCAGCCTTTCTTTAATTAACTGATGAATACCAATTCATTACCAGCTCGAGTCACCTCCACAAAGCCTCCTCTGATGCCACAGCTTCACTTACCCCGTCCAGTCACAACATGTCAGGCATATCTATGTGCCTCATTAGACCCAGTATGTATGTATTCATTGGTATATACATCTATCTTCTTTTATTAGATTTTACACTCCTTGAGAGTAGGTACTATGCCTTATTTATCTTTCTATTCCTAGAATTTAGCACAGGGCCTAATAGGCAGTAGTTGCTCAATAAATGTTTGTTGAAGGAATTAATTATTCATGAACTCCTGTGAGAGTGAGCAAGCCAGGATCAAGACTAGATTCGGGTATAAATCAAATATCTGGCTGTAGATAATGACTACTAAACTAGCTCAAAAGGCAATTTCAAAAGAGATTCTTTGAAGTAAGGAGTTCCAACAACTGCTTTGATGCTGTACATTTATTTGGATGTGACAGATCTAAATCTGGGTTTAAAAAAACAGAAAGCAGGCCAGGTGCAGTGGCTCACACCTGTAATCCCAGTACTTTGGGAGGCTGAGGTGGGAGGATCACTTGGGCCCAGGAGTTGGAGACTGGCCTGGGCAACATGGTGAAACCCCAAATCTACCAAAAAAAAAAAGAGGAAAACCACCAAATAAGCATCATAGTATCATTACTTAGTATTAATATTTTTAGCAGTAGTCCTGCCTCATAACCTTTCAGTATAGTTTCACATATGCTTAATCTTTATTTTTAAATGTGTTAAATGTTTGGATTAAAGGTGTACTATAAACCTAATAAATACATTTTTTAAATGTCAACATGCTAGCAACCTGGAATTTTTGTAAGGTAAGTCAATAATGGAATTCTTATCCTGCAGACTATTTTGCATTTCCCAATATTAGACTTTAAGACATTTAACTTTGTTTTTTTTTAAGAGGCAGGGTCTTGCTCTGACACCCAGGCTACAGTGCAGTGGCACAATAATAGCTTACTGCAGCCTTGAACTCGTGAGCGCAAGTGATCCTTCCACCTCAGCCTCCCAAGTAGCTAGGACTACAGGTGCACACCACCATACCCGACTTATTATTATTTTTATGGAGATGAGGTCTCGCTACGTTGCCTGGGCTGATCTCAAACTCCTGGCCTCGAGTACCCAACCATGGTCTCATTTAACCTATTATGTGTAACATAATATTTGTTCTTTAATCCTTTTGATATAAATTGTTCTTCCTTTAAAAAAAAGGACAAAATGTGTAAAATAATTTTTGAGACTTCCTATTTTATTTAACTACCATTATATATATAAACATTAATTTATTTTTTATGTCTACCTTTTATAGAAAACTAGGCTGGTGTGGTGGCTCACATCTACAATCCCAACACTTTTGGAGGCCAAGGCAAGGCTGTTTGAGGCCAAGAATTCAAGGCTAGTTCAAGCAAAATAGGGAGAACTCGTCTCCACAAAAAAATTTTAAAAACTTAGCTGAGAGTGGTGGTGCACACCTATAGTCCCAGGTACTCAGGAGGCTGAGGTGGGAGGATTGCTTGAACCTGAGAGGTTGAGGCTGCAGTGAGCCATGATCACATCACTGCACTCCAGCCTGGATAACAGAGCAAGACTATGACTCAAGAATAAAAAGAAAAAAAGATATGAAAAATTTCTAAGGAACTGATTACTAACTCTCTTATATAAAATATTTAAAAGAAACTGACAAAAACTCCAAATAGAAGGACAATAATATTTGTAAAATTATAAAATCTTTCAGAGAAAAATGATAATTACAAGTGGGGTTCCTTTAAAATCACATTCTAGTTTTGTAATTCATGTATTTCTTTTCTTGGTAGGAAGCATGGGTTTACTTCCTTTTTGTATGGGAGGACCCTAGACAAAGCTTTATTTAGAGCAGAAGATCAGCTGAATAGCCCTATATCTACAGAAGAAACTAAATTTATACTTTAAAATGTCCCAACAAACAAAACTTTAAGCATCTTCAGGGAAGATGGCTTCACTGAATTCTACCAAACATTTAAGGAAGAAATAGTACCAATCCTATAAAAAATTTTCCAAAATATAGAAGAGAGGGTAATATTTTCCAACTCATTTTATGATAATAGCATTATACATGGGTTTACTTCTTAAAAGCTTAAGGTAATTGTTCTCAACTGAGGGTGATTTTGGCTCCCAGGAACATTTGGCATTATCTAGAGACATTTTTGACTGTTACAACTAGGGAGCAGTGCCACTGGAAACCAGTGGGTAAAGACCAGGGATGCTGCCAAATATCCTACAACGCATGGGACAGTCCCCCACAACAAAGAATTAACTGGCTCAAATGTCAATAGTGCTGAGGTTGACAAACCCTAGCTTAAAGAAAACAAAGTTCTCATTATTTTGAAAAATCAGGTATCCAAAGTTATATCACACTACAAATCTAATAATTCAGTAGCAAACAAAAAACTAAAAATAAAGGTAGTCTACCTTATCACAATGTAGATCTAGCATTTCAGGCTTGGGGAAATCCTGTTCTATGTTTTCAGCAATGTTCTGTATTGCTAGCAACTGCTCGTCAATTTTCTGAAGCTTAGCACTGAGATGCTCTAGTTGGTGAGCTGCAGAGCTTGGTGCAGGGCAAGCTGCAGAGACACCTTGCAGCCGTTTCCACAATAGATAATCTTCTGCAGAGTCTGACTTTGTGCTCTGTCCTTTGAATCGGAACTCTGGTTTTGGCAGACCTAAATATTAATAAGAATAAAAGCAGAATTGATTATAATTAAAGAAGAGGTATTATTGATGATCTCATTTTTTGATGACTTCATTTTAAACCAACACAACACTACTTTCCAAATCAGTTTTAATTAAATATACCTAAAAATTCCTTTTCAGCTTCTTGATTTCTGGGATAAGAATACATAAATTACTACAACAAAGTTCCACAAACAAGGAAGTCTGAATATTACTTTCATCCCTTGCTACAAACATATACTTCATCAAAAAGCAACTTTAATATTTTTATGACTTTTTCAAATTCTACTTGAAAACCAAAAACATCACACGTTAAAAGCTATCCCCAATATTGGCTATTACTGACTTTATATGAGATCTCAGGCAAACATTAAACCTCCTAAAACCAAAATCAAAGCCAATGACTCTTCTTATTCTTAAACTCAGTTGATTCTTCTCCCAAATTTGCAATAGTTCTTTTTTTTTTTTTTTTTTTTTTTTAAGAGATAGAGCCTTGCTTTGTCACCCAGGCTGGTCTGAACTCCTGGGCTCAAGCAATCCTCCCACCTCAGTCTCCCAAAGTGCTGGATTACAGGCATGAGCCACTGCGCCTGGTCTGCAACACCTTTTTTAAATGCACTCTTTTTCTGATGTTGGGGTCTCCTCCTCACTGTATTGCTCATACTTCTTCTTCTGCCATCCATTCCTTTTACCCATAAGTACTTCCTGGGCTGCCAGCCTCAACTCACTTCTCTACTCACTCTTCCCACTTTCTCTGAGTTATGTCATTGATGAAAGATCCCAAATCTATATGGCACTCTTTCTTAGCTCCAGCTCCTTATATCCTGAACATCCCAGTTAGGTTGTCCCATAAGCATATAAAAATGAATTCACTGCTTCTGCCCCTCCAAATTGCTCCCTCTTCCTTGTTCCGCAGCTCAGCAAATAGCACCACCGTTCAGTTTCACAAGCCAGAGACCAGAAAGTCACTCGAGGCTCCTCTCTTTCCTTCAGATCCAAAGTGACAACAAGTATTGATGATTCTACCTGCTAAACACCTACATTCTTAATACCACTACTTGGCTGAAGCTTTCACAATAAATAGACCCCAAATGATATCCCTATCTGTAATTTATCTCTAGCCTATCTAGTCCATCTTCCACACCAGGCCCAGAGAGATCTTTTAAAAACAGAAATCATGTTCCTTTTCTGTCCAAAACTCTTCAGTGTGTCTCCAATACCTTCACCTTAAAAGTCCAAATGCCTCCATATGACAGACAATGGCACACATAATCTTCCCTCTCTCTACCTCTCCAGCTTCATCTCTTGCTATTTCTTTAAACGAACAAACAAAATACTACTCCATTTGACTCCAAACATAATGAACTTTAATTTTCTTTTCTTTTCTTTGAGACATGGTCTTGCTCTAGCACCCAGGCTGGAGTGCAGTGGTGAGATCTTGGTTTACTGCAACCTCTGCCTCCTGGACTCAAGCAATCCTCCCGCCTCAGCCTCTTGAGTAGCTGGGACTACAGGTGTGTGCCACAACACCTGGCTAATTATTCTATTTCTTATAGAGACAGGGTCTCACTATGTTGCCAAGGCCGGTGTCAAACTCCTGAGCTCAAGAAATCCACCCGCCTTAGCCTCCCAAAGTGTTGGGATTATAGGCGTGAGCCACCACACCCAGCCAAACTTTAATTTTCTCAAACTAAGCAAGTTCCATTAACTTACTGCAAAATCTATTCTCTCTGTCTGATAAATGAAATTAATCTGTAGCTTATGGTCATTTGAAATGCTGGCCTAACATACTCAGGGGTCACAGAGAGAAAAGTAAAACGTATCTAAGCTATTAAATGACAGAGCTGGGATTCAAATCCAGGTCTGTTCTATGTGAATCTAAAAGCCAGGCTCCTTTCACTTTCCCACATACTTCCCCTGTCTGAAAGATTGCTAGCTTCATACATCCTCCATCCACCACTCATGCATCTTAGCAGCCCCATGACAGAAGAGAGAAGATGAAGGCTTTAAAATCTGAAATGCTGGCACTTGTTTGTATATGCAGCTGTTAATACACATGCCCTAACACATCCTAAACCATCCCTTCCTTGCTCCTCATGTCTCCTGAGTGCCCACTGTCATTATACAATAATCAGGCAGAGCTAGACTCTGTGCCCAAGCATCTTGCAACCACAGGGCTGACTAGGTCCATACCTCACAACCACTGTGGAACCTAGGGGAGACTTAGGTTTCTGTTGCAGGAAGTCTGATTGCATATTGGATTAATCTAACCAGTCACAGGATGTAGTAGCTTCAGGTTGTGGAGGGATATTCTTCTAGGCTGGGTGTGGTGGCTCATGCCTATAATCCCAGTACTTTGGGAGGCTGAGGTGGAATGATCACTTCAGACCAGGAGTTTAAGACCAACCTGGGCAACATAGTGAGACCCTGTCTCTATGAAAAATTTTAAAAATTAGCTAGGCATGGTGGTGTGTGCTTGTAATCCTAGCTACTTAGGAGGCTGAGGCAGGAGGATCCCTTGAGCCCAGGAGTTCAAGGCTACAGTGAACTATGATCACACCACTGTACCCCAGCCTGAACAGCTCAGCAAGACTCTGTCTCTAAAAAACAACACACACATATATATGTATTTTATTAAAAATTTTAAATATATATAGTCTTCTAAATCTTGCAAAAAGTTACCATAATGCAACTTGACTATAAAACTGAATATTTATAAGTACTATTGAATTGCATACACCTGGCCATAAAGATGGAAACAACAGACACTGAGGACTACAAGACAGAGAAGGAGGGAGGAAGGTAAGGGATGAGAAACTACCTATTGGGTACTATGCTCATTACCTGGGTGATGCGTCCAATCATACCTCAAACCTTAGCATCATGCAATATACCTATGTAACAAACTTGTACATGTGTCCCGAATTTGAAATAAAAGTTGGGAAAAAAAGTACTGTTGGCTACCATGCCTGTTTATTTTTGGTGTGCTATTTGAGAATTTCCCACCTTTTACAATATGAGAATTGCTTTCTAACATCAAAACACTCATGAACTCACAAAGAATATTTATTTTTAGCCCTATTAATTGAGAAAAGACATATGCATAAACAGATCTGTGACTTCTTACAAAATATCCATGGTTCCCAGCTTTGGAATCATGTCTCTATTTCATTTACCTACTTGCCCCCATGCTCCTTAGCAAGGGACAACCCTTTTTCTGGTTTCTTTTGCAATTACCAAATTTTGGTGCTTGTTTCCAATACAACAGTAATTCAGGAGAGGGTCATGCTATACCTCTTGGCTGTTTACCTTTGTTCTGCTGTATGTCTGATGGTGTAGGTGAGGTGACACTAGGCTCCTTCACTTCTGTAATGCCTGCTCTCAAGCTTTTTCCATCCAGACAAGCTGGAGTTACTTCTGCAGGTTTAGAAAATAAATCCATAGAGGAATTGGCTGATTCTATCAAGACTATGAAAAGCATTCAAAGACTGATTCTAAACTTCTAAATAAGGTAATCCGAAGATTAACAGAACATTTCTGTGCATGTAAACATCCAAAAATACAGTGGGTTTGTAGGAGGAGAGGTAAGAGATGTGAGTAGGGATAACAATGCTATATTAAAGAACTTTTCAAATTATATTTGTTTTAAAAGTAGGAAAAAATTACCTTGACTCTTAAAATTATGTGGGGGAACAGCATTAGTAACTGAAGCTGCCATATAATGTAACTCTGCAGACGATGGAACTGCTAGATGATCGCTTTGCTGTTTGATAACATTATCATTTGAAGGCTCTTCTCTCACAGGTAATTCCTGTAGAAGATCATTAGCTTCAATGTCAATCACATTTATATAAGTATGTCCAACCTGAGCCAAAACACATAAAACCAAAGAGGGTTACATTCTTTTTACTCTATGTGGTCACTCCGCCAAAAAAAAAAAAAAAAAAAAAAAAAAGGCTTAATTCTTCATTCTTATTAAAAACAAGGAAAGAAGGGCCTGAATGTGCCTAACTTAGGAAAAGGAGCAGGAAGTATGTATTATTGGTCTTAGTTTATAATATTTTTGGCATAATGCTTAAATTAATTTTTGAACCTTTACTACAAAGCTACATAGATGAGATTTTTAACCTCATTTCATCTACCCAATTGAATAATGTCTACATGACCATAATACATTTTAGCGCAAAGGTATTATTAAAACTTCTGAATAAAACACAAACCAAGTTTGTTACTGTATGAGGTATTGAGGGTGACCAAGGTTTCTCTGACATTTCACTGGAAAGCTTCAGATTTAGATAGACATCTGGGACCAAGAGCTGAGGAGCAGTCAAAGGCTCATGTTCTGAAAATTAAAAAAGAAATAATCAGGAACATTCAAAAAAAGGCTGTAAACTGCTCCAAATCATCAGCTTTGTATGAACAAGTTAGCAACAAACAACATAAATTGTACTTCTTGAAATCTAAGTAGAAGTGACATGGGTATAAATAATTAAAGCACATTCTATTCTAAGGGCAATTTAAAGTAATTCATAATTGAATGTAAGCTGACTATTGTTTCTCTCATATGAATGATTTACAAGAACAATAAAGTAACTAAATTACATCAAGAAAATGCTAAAATTTCCTATTTCCGTATCAGATATAGTAAGTCATGCTTGTCTACTTTAGGGAAGTTTCAACAAAACCAGATTTTAGAAGATTAACCTATAACTAATTTTTTTTTAACTTGAACACTTTCTTGTTATTTGCTTATTTTTATTGACAGCTTTATTGAAACATAATTCACATTTTTTTTTTTTTTTTGAGACAGAGTCTCGCTCTGTCACCCAGGCTGCAGTGCAGTAACATGATCTAAGCTCATTGCAACCTCCACCTCCCGGGTTCATTCTCCTGCCTCAGCCTCCCGAGTAGCTGAGACTACAGGCACCCACCACCACACCTGGCTAATTTTTTTGTATTTTTAATAGAGACAGGATTTCACCATGTTAGCCAGGATGGTCTCGATCTCCTGACCTCGTGATCCGCCCGCCTCAGCCTCCCAAAGTGCTGGGATTACAGGCATGAGCCACTGCGCCCAGCTAATTCACATTCTTTTTTTTTTTTTTTTTTTTTTTTTTTTGAGACGGAGTCTCGCTCTGTCGCCCAGGCCGGACTGCGGACTGCAGTGGCGCAATCTCGGCTCACTGCAAGCTCCGCTTCCCGGGTTCACGCCATTCTCCTGCCTCAGCCTCCCGAGTAGCTGGGACTACAGGCGCCCGCCACCGCGCCCGGCTAATTTTTTGTATTTTTAGTAGAGACGGGGTTTCACCTTGTTAGCCAGGATGGTCTCGATCTCCTGACCTCATGATTCACCCGCCTCGGCCTCCCAAAGTGCTGGGATTACAGGCGTGAGCCACCGCGCCCGGCCTAATTCACATTCTTTAAAAGGGTATCATTCAGTGGTGTATAGTATATTCACAGAGCCTATAATTAAATTTTACCACTTAAGGTGTTTTAACATCTAAATTTCACAAACGTTAACTGCTTCTTATTTAACAGTAAAATAAACAGGCCTGTCACAGCAGATCAACAAACAGTTTAACTCTGTGCCTTTTGTTCTAGGCCTCTAGCCTTATCTTCTAGCACTGTATTTTCAATAAAGCACTATTTTCAAATGTAACTCATATTGAGTACTTGTTACCAAAGCTTAAATTTAAACCACTTAAAACTAGAAAAAAAAGGAAAATAAAAATACTGAAATCATTCCCTCTCTCTTAATTGATTGGTTTAACCGCTTTTTTAAGGGGGATGGTGACTAGCTTTGGCATAATGCAGATACATCTTTAATAAGTCATACTGTTCTTAGGAAAAAAAAGAAATCACACATGATATGCAAGAAATTATTTGCTGCTTGGTACCACATTCAGAAACAACTTCTTGAGAAGTAGCTTCCTTATCTTGTAGTACATTAAAAATTTAAGACAAAAAGAGAAAACAAAAAAATTTCACAAACACAAGAAAAAATTAAAATATATGAATACAGATAATTAGATATTATGCATAAAAGGTGATAGGTAGAAACAAAGAGTGACAACTTAACAATGTAATTTTAAATAATTAATGTAATTTCAAATTTTATTATTATTTATATCTTGGGCCTTCACCTAGATGAATAGCAGACTCAGGAAACAGCTGCCAACTTCGATAAACTACTTAGCAACAAAAGCAATGTACCTCCAAGGCTTTCTCAAAGACATGCTTAGATAATGAACATTTAAGAATGTTTCTCAGTTCCGATGTGGTGGTTCAAGCCTGTAATCCCAGCACTTTGGGAGGCCGAGGAGGGCAAATCACTTGAGGTCAGGAGTTTGAGACAAGCCTGGCCAACATGGTGAAACCCTGTCTGTACTAAAAATACAAAAATTAGCCAGGCGTGGTGGAGGTCACCTGTCAGGAGACCTTGGCTATTTGGGAGGCTGAGGTAGGAGAATTGCTTGAACCTGGCAGGCGGAGGCAATCTTGAGCCAAGATTGCACCACTGCACTCCAGCCTCCAGCCTGGGAAACAGAGCAAGACTCCATCTCAAAAAAAAAAAAAATGTTTCTCAAATGCAGAGTCATCATTTATATCAAAACCATTTTACATGTGCTCAACTTCATTCAGAAAGAAATACAAATTAAAATAATGACTTTTTTTTTTTTTTTTTGGAGACAGAGTCTTGCTCTGTCGCCCAGGCTGGAGTGCAGTGGCACAATCTCGGCTCACTGCAAGCTCTGCCTCCCAGGTTCATGCCATTCTCCTGCCTCAGCCTCCCAAGTAGCTGGGACTACAGGCGCCTGCCACCACACCTGGCTAATTTTTTGTATTTTTAGTAGAGATGGGGTTTCACCGTGTTAGCCAGGATGGTCTCGATCTCTTGACCTAGTGATCCGCCCACCTCAGCCTCCCAAAGTGCTGGGATTACAGGCGTGAGCCACCGCGCCCAGCCTATAATTACTTTTTTTGACCTATCAGATTGGCAAAGTTAAAAAGTTTAGCTAAATCACAGTAATAACCAAAAAAGTCTCTTATGCAGGAAGATACTCATTGAAGCATAATTTGTAGGAGAAAAAACTGGAAACTGTCTAATGTATAGCTGGAAGAAGGAATATGCTTATGAAGTACTTTTTTGATGACACAGGGACATGTTTGCCATACATATAAATCAAAGTGAAATGAACAGGATAGAAAATACGGGTATCCCTTGTAATGCAAATCTAATCCACTCCTGCAAATGTGCTGGATAGTGAATTTTCTGATTCCAGGAGACTTTATGACAGTATTTCAAATGGAAATAAAAAGGTGTCCTAGCCCATCTAATTTTCCCAAACATCATTAAACAACTCTTAAATAACAACCCATCAAGGATAACTACATATAAAGCATTTTAAATATAACTTTTTGATTAATATTCATTTAATTCATTAGTTAGCATTCAATATGCAATAATACTGAACACATTAGAGATGAATTGCCGTCAACATTGTAGCAAACATACTATGATGCAAATAACAAAATAAATAATATGTTAAAGATACACTCTAATTTAAGAGCATCCCAAGGTACTTGGAAAAAAATAACACTGGGACCCAGGAGGATTAAACTAAACTCTCATGGAAAAGCTAGAGAAGATAGCCATAATATCTGGACAATGAGAGTTTAGATAGTAAGGGAGGACACCTATGCTATATACTGTATTTAACAATGTAAAATGCACAAAAGACTGAAAGAAAAAACAATATCAAACCGTTATTGCTAAGTGGTGTGATTATGGTTAATTTTCATCTTCTTCATAGATTGCTAAATCACCCAAATATTCTACAATGATTACATTTTTAAAACATAAGATAAAGTTAGGCTAAAAAGCATGCACAAGGTTCTGTACATGGGTAAAAGAAATTGTTTACTAAAAATCATAAAAAAGAATTTCTGTGATAACAATGGGTAGAGCACTATTCAAGATGCTATTCATAATGATAAATAATATTAAAGAGGAAATTTGTCAGGAAACATTCCAAATAATAGGTCCTCCAACACTTATTTCCTCTGCTCCTGGACACAGTTAAATACCCCTCCCTCACCGAACCCAGTCCAGTCCTTCCTAGCTCACCTTCACTAGCCACAATCCCAGGCCTCCCAACCTTGGGCATGCAATTCCAGTAAAGGTAATCAATAACATAGAGAATCCAAATTCAAAGCATTATATTTACTGACTTAGGATGTAGTCTATGGCAATTTTGAAGAAAAGTGTCTATTATGTTTTACTTAAGTTATCAATTTGATTTCTACAGTATATACCAAGACTGGAAAGAAAAATCTAGGCAGAGTAAATAATATCACATAATTAAAAATTCCCTTTAAATCACTGTCTTAAAGGAAAAGTCTAGATAACTTAATTGTATCAAAATATATGAATTTTTTTAAAAAGTAAAACAGCATTTACCTGGGTCTGTATTTGTACTTGCATCTTGACTTCCTATAGCTTTCTTTTTTACAGAGGCCATGAAATGCAATCCAGCTGAAGTATTATCATCTTGTAGCATTTCTTAAATATAATAAAACATTGGAAGTAATCATTGAGAAGCTAACAGATTACCAGGAGCCCAGCAGCACAGTACCTAACTCAATGGAAGTAAAATATGGGGTGTCAGGATGTTATTAAATTTTTTTTTTTTTGAGATGGAGTCTGGCTCTGCTGCCCAGGCTGGAGTGCAGTGGTGCAATCTCGGCTTACTGCAACTTCCCCCTCCCGGGTTCAAGTGATTCTCCTGCCTCAGCCTCCTGAGTAGCTGGGATTACAGGTGCCCACCACCATGCCTGGCTAATTTTTGTATTTTTAGGAGAGACGGGGTTTCGCCACGTTGGCCAGGCTGGTCTCAAACTCCTGACCTCAACTGATCCACCCGCCTCAGCCTCCCAAAGTGCTGGGATTACAGGCGTGGGCCACCGTGTCCAGCCTAAAATGGGCTTTCTCAATGAAGTGTTATGTAAGTTGAATCTCAAAGACATGGTAGAATCAAAACCAAAACTGTTGAGGACTCTGCACGTCCAGCTTAGAAACCTAGATATTCTTCTGGCTAATGAAGATCCAGTAGAAGCTGTTAAGCAGAGAAATGATATGGTCAGATTCATATTCTAGGAAAACAACCTAGCCAGTGTGTGGAAAATAGGTTTGAGTGGATATACCTAGTAATGGTGAGGGATGGGGAAACAGGTTAAATTTAAGAATTACAAAGGAAGCAAAATAGGTAAGAATTGGTTACTGAATGGATAAGAGGGAAGACAGAATTCAGAATCATGTGTTTCTGGCTTAGGCTGATATCAACACAAATGGAGAAAGAGAACATAGGAGGAAAAAACAGTTGGGGCAGAGTAGAAATAATGAATTCAGAATTCACATGGTGTACCTGAGGTAATTTCTACACAAGTGGAAAAACTCAAGAGGAAAGAAAATCAAAATCCAAAGTCTACTGTGAGAGTTTGGGTTTACATGTGGATTTCTCTGGGAGATCTCCCAGGAAGACTAGGTAGAATAAGAAAGTATTAATTATGGAGCATTGTGGTATAATGAAAAATATATATTTGGTCTACAAAGACCCAGTTTCTTGCACACAGGTCCTCAGAATCTTGGGATTTCCTGATAGGAGTGTCTGTTATTTCTAACGAGCCCCTTTTGATCATACCTAAGTTTATGCTAGAGGTGTCTCTTTGCAAGCCCTTAGATAGCTTCAGCATAGGCCCTAGTCACCAGAGGAACCAACCACATGATGAGAGGGTTAGAACTACCAGCCCCCAATTCACTCATCCTACTGCCACTTCTGGGAAAGAGAAGGGGCTGGAGATTGAGCTCAATCACAATGGCCAGTGATTTAATCAATTATACCTATGTACTGAAAAGTCAATAAAAATTCTGAAGCAAACAGGTTAAGGGAGATTCCAGGTTGGTGAATACATGGATGTGCTAGGAGAATGACCATCCCAGAGAGGGCATGGAAGCCCTGTGCTGCCCACCCCCACCACTGCGTATCCTTTATAATAAAATTGTAATCATAAGTAAAGTGCTTTCCCAATTTCTGTGGGTTTTCTAGTCAATTATCAAACCTGAGTTGAGGGGGGTGGAGTATAGGAACCCTTGAATTTGTAGTCAGCTGGGCAGAAATGTAGGTAGCCTCATTTTCATATTGTACATATTTCTAGAAAGCTAATTTTAACTCTAAACTTAGACATTACATTAATCATACACATACATACCAAAAGGAACGTCGAAGTCATCCAAAGGATGGGAACCACAATGTTCTTGTTGTTCCTAAATGAATTCCCACAGGATTACTCTATGATTAACTCAAAGATGTGTATTATTTTTGAAAAAAAAATCAATAGCTATGAAGATTGAATTCTCATGTATAACTTCAACTTCCATCATTCTAGACATAAGTATTCTATCAAATTATTTACTCTATCAAAGTAACTCTACAAATGAATTCAGAAAATACATAAGCCAAACAATAAAAAAGAGCATTACCAATTTAATGTAACGTTCCTAGGTTACCATGTGCAACTCTCTTCTACAGAGTAGCTTTGATAATACTCAAATAGTACACCATCCTGTCAAAAATCTTTCATGGACTCAACAAACATTTGTACTAAGTGCCTCTAAACATGCTCTTGAGGACTGACTGAAAAAGCATGCCTTTTAAAAATCAATGTAAACAAAACTATTAATACGTCTCTATTTAATCTGTTGTTGCAAAAATAGTTAGTCACCAAATATAGAAGGTATATTTTAAAAGACCTGACTTAAAGCTGGGCATGATGGCTCACACCTATAATCCAAGTGTTTTAGGAGGCTGAGGTGGAAGGATCACTTGAGGTCAGGAGTTGGAGACCAGCCTGGGCAACACAGCAAGGTCCCACCTCTCAAAAAATATTTTTTAATTAGCTGGGCATGGTGGCACACACCTGTAGTTCTAGCTATTTGGGAGGCTGAAGCAGGAGGATTGCCCGAGCCCAGGAGGTAGAGGCTGCAGTGAGCTATATTTATGCCACTGCACTACAGCCTGTGCAACAGAGCAAGGCCCTATCTCTAAAAAATAATAATAAATTAAATTTTAAAAAAAGACGTGACTTAAAATAGAGGTTACACAACAAACCTGTTTGGGAAATCCTAGAGGAATCTCAGAGAACGGTGAAACTGTATTAGGAGAAGCCCAAATAACATAATATATATATTAAGATGTCATAGAAATAAGCAAAGGGTGATTTCAAATATAAAAAAGCCACACAGGCAGATGCTCTAAACTGCAGTTTTTCATGTACCATCAAGTTGCTTTTCACATTCAGAACTCTATGTCTACTGCTCTGTGGAGGGAGGCAGCAGGGACTGATATACTGAATGATATGAAGATCCTCCTAGTCACAGTCAGAAGCTCCCAGCAATCAGACTAGATAAACCACAAAGACATACCAAACTCAGTGTACATGCAAACCAGGGAAGAATCTATAGCAGTTTTTCTATACCTTGGGTTTCTTAATGATTTCTGAATCATCATTATTAATTATGGAATTCTCTGGTCGAAAAGTCACATTTGGTTTTCTCCTCAGTTTCTCACATCTTTTTTCTTGCAGCTCTTTCTCAGCTCTTCTTCTTTGCCTGTTAAACATAATAGCATAAAACATACTTTTACAACTATAGCAACATTTGCTTTTCATTTATCATGCTATATAGGGATACAGTTGACAAAATTACGTTCATAAATTATTTTCAATAGCATTTAATTAAATTGGCAAGATATTCTGCAAATACAAGCAAATATAAGCAAAACACCAAATGTGAAATTTATTTCTAGAACCTCTACTACTGAACTGACTATTCTATATTAGTCACTGGAATCTAAGGACAGGTTTACACACCTTAGGTAATTATTAAACTCTCTTTTCTGTGGATTTGAAGCTGGTGCCAGAAACCCTATCAGATACCTCCATTTGTCTATTTGAAGACATTAAGCACACTTAGTCACCTCAGCAAAATTACAGCAAGGAGGAAAGAGGTCTCAAAATGCTAAAGGGAAGACTTAATTTGAAGAGGGAATAGATGGAAACAGAAAATTTCTGGAAAGAGAGCACTAGTGACAGATTTTACAGTCTGATAAATGTGAAATTTTAAAAGTATTTTCTAGACTTAGTAATAATCTACCAATCAATATATGCGGTAAAACACTACAGTAAGTGCTCTTCACTAGAAGTCACAGCCTTGCTTTTCACATACACATTTCTTAGTGCCCTGAAACAATTTACATCACCTACCCTCCTGCTTACTGTAAGAGTCTAAAGAATACGGTAAGATGATTGGTTCAAAGTATTAGATGATACAGTAGTCCCTGCTTATCCATGGTTTCACTTTCCAAGGTTTCAGTTATCAGAGTTCAACCATGGTTCGAAAATAGATGAGTTCAGTGCAGTAAGATATTTTGAGAGACAGAGAGAAAGAGATCACATTCTTATAACTTGTATTACAATATAGTTATAATTGTTATATTTTATTACTAGTTATTGTGCATTGCTTACTGTGCCTAATCTGTAACTTAAACTTTATCATTGGCATGCATATATAGAAAAAAACAAAATATATAATAGGGTTCAGTACTATCTGCAGTTTCAGGTATCCACTGAAGGTCTTGGCATGTATTCCTGGGGATAAGGGAGGACTACTGCATATGGGATATTGTACCAAATATTTGAGCAGCAAATGACTGTTCATCCTATTACCGACACTGTAAAAGAATCCTCCAGTCTATGAATGGTAGGAAAGAATTCCTTAATAAAATGGGAAAAAATTATAGTATTTGTCTCGCAAAATAGGAATTTTTCTCACATAAAATGTTTTCAGATGCATGACACTTGAAAAGAAAACTGAATGTGCAATTGTGTATAGCCTAGGAGACTGAACCAGATTACTGTGTGATTATAAATAATAATGAACTTGCTGATATATGATATTATCAAATAAAATTTCACTTAAGCCTTGCCTTTTTTTACTGTCCTTTCCTTGTCTTACTTCAGGTGGTTCTATTTTGACCTTTAGAAGTTGAAGGTGTCCAGCATCACCTTGTTCAAATAAATTATGTGTTAGTTTCTGTTGGCTTTGTTTAAACGCAATGAGGTTTTCAAGTGGGATAAGTTGTGTTTTTTTGCACTACAAGAAAGAAACAAAGCATAAGAATGACAAATTGCAAACTCAATTATGTAATATTTCAACAAAAGACTGAGGAAAAATACATTTGTTTAAATTAAACTGTGCAACAGTTAGAACAAATCAAATATAACAAATTGATTTAAACTGGCAATATGAGTATACATATCTTAGAGAAAAAGTGATTTAAAGTGCTGAAAGTTTCAAATGGGTCATCCTATTTCAGAAATTAAGCTAGAAGTTCTCAACTTCCTAATTTCATTCCCTTATTAAAAAGCTTTCCTCTGGCCAAGTGCAGTGGCTCACGCCTGTAATCCCAGCACTTTGGGAGGTCGAGACGGGCTGATCACAAGGTCAGGAGTTTGAGACCAGCCTGACCAACATGGTGAAACCCCGTCCCTACTAAAGATATAAAAAATTATCCAGGCATTGTGGTGCGTGCCTGTAATCCCAGCTACTTGGGAGGCTGAGGCAGGAGAATCACTTGAATCTGGGAGTTGGAGGTTGCAGTGAGCTGAGATGGCGCCATTACACTCCAGCCTGGTGACAGGGCAAGGCTCCGTCTCATACATAAAAACAAAAAAAACCTTTCCTCTTATAAATGAAATTATATAATGTCCAGCATTTAACTTAAAATTGTTTGGAACAGGGAAGATGTAGAGGCACAAAAACCACAGATGGAACAGACCAGCAATATGCTGAAAATCCCTGAAGCCTTGGGAATTGGGTGATAAAAACTTGGGGTTCTTCTTTGGCTCGTTATATGTTCAGAAGAAAAGGAAGCATGGTAAGTATTTTTTCTAAGGAATAACCATTTCCTTTCCCAGTACCATCTTCAAATCATAAAAGTACACCACAGAATGCATTACTCAATTACCTCCCTAAGATAGTACTGCTCTCCTCAAAACTAGAGCCTAAACCATTTTAATTTCATAAATCAAAAGTTATACCTTTAAAGAGGACTTGGTGGGTTTATAAAACTACCATTTTAATATATATGCTACTAATCACAGATTCTGGGTCTATTTAACAAATTTAACCTGTCAAAGATTTGAAGATCATACAATAATTGCTAGGAACCTCAAACAATATGTGTGCTCACTTGCTCTCCACTCTACACACACATAAACAAGAGCATCTGGTAATTTTTTTGCTTTCTTTTTTGAGTGTTTAAATCTGACACAGAGTACCTGGTAATTTTACTTCTTATTTCTTCCCAGAGCAGCAGAAATATTTATGAAAGAGTCCAGTAAATTCCAGTATTGATAGAAAGACCTAAAACCTTTAAAATACACAATTTTTTTTTAATAGAGACAGCTTCTCCCTATGTTACCCAGGCTAGTCTCAAACTCCTGGGGATCAAGGGATCTTCCCATCTTGGCCTCCCAAAGTATTGGGATTACAGGCATGAGCCACCATGCCCAGCTACAATCATTATTTTAAACCTAATTTTTATATGCTATTTTCTATAACAAGCATTTTTTTATGTACAAGAGCTTTTCAGTGACCATACAGTACTTATGGTATGAAAAAAATAGTGCAGGACACTGCTTTTGCATTACCATACAAAAATTCATTACCCTATTTTCTGGGGACAAATGTGAATGAAGTAATGACAATCTTGGGTATTTTCTTTCTTCTGCTATAGGTTGGATAGGTGTTGAGGGAACTGTAATAGATGCTCTTGAGGTTGATGGAAACATATTAGGAGGTTTAAGTGGCAGGTATAGTAACGGAAGTCCAAAGGAATGGTGAGGAGATATCTCAAGGGTCCCTGGCTTAACATCAAATAGTTTTTCTGGTTTTATAAACACTGAAGAGTCCTGTTGAGGTGTCAAATTTTCTTGTCCAACATATTGATCCAAGTTCACATGATTAGGAATTTCTGTAATTACAGTTTCTGCCCACGTCTTCTGCTCAACTTCTTTTTTTCTGGCTTCAGTGTTATACTGGCTTACATTCAAATGGGATGCTGGAGTAGTTTGTGCTGCTCTCTGTGGCAGAGCAGGTTGGAAGGAGTCAGATAATCCCCAAGCCTCTCTTGGTTGTGGCAAAGGCCTGAAGGGAACTTGTGGAATACTTCCTGTATGTAAGAAAAGGGGCTGGAATTCTTGTTTAGACTTAAATTGAAGCAAAGGAAAGCCATCACCAGGACTAAATGTTTTTGCATGTGGGATAAGTCTAGGTGCCTTCTGAACAACAGAAGGTGTGGACAAAAGGTAGAGGTGAGTATTTCCAGCAGGAGCTGGATAAAACGAAGTGGATGGTAAGTTTTGAGATGATGGAATTGGTCCTTTTTTCCGGGGCTGGCCATTTAATTGACATAAAGGAATACTCCCATGTGGAACATTCTGGAAGAGAAAAAAGATATTATGTAAGTTTAGAATATATTAGAAATTCCTTCCTTTGTAAATGGCATTCAGTATGTTTTGCAGTGGGTAGAATGTAGTAACTGCTAAAAAAAAAAATTATTTATTCAATAAAAAACACGATGACTATTGAACTACTCAGGACATTATTATTTTTTTTTTTCTGAGACAGAGTCTTGCTCTGTCACCCAGGCTGGAGTACAGTGACATGATCTCGGCTCACTGCAACCTCCACCTCCTGAGTTCAAGCGATTCTCCTGCCTCAGCCTCCTGAGTAGCTGGGATTACAGGCATGCGCCACCACACCCGGCTGACTTTTGTATTTTTAGTAGAGACGGGGTTTCACGATGTTGGCCAGGCTGGTCTCGAACTCCCAACCTCAGGTGTGGCCTGCCAAAGTGCTGGGATTACAGACATGAGCCACCGCGCCCAGCCATTAATGGTATTTTTACATACATTACCTGTACGTTTCCAGTACTATTTTGACCAGATGGGATAGTTCCTTCATGGCAGTGTGGGCTGTTCTTGCGAGGCTCTCTGGCGTTCTCTCCCATTGACTGTGGTTTAATAAAAAATCTCTCCTTAAGATTTTTGTTGCTGTCTTCAACATCACCACATCCTCTTAGGTTTGATTCTTGGCTTTCCCCTAAATGCACAGACTGAGACTGCTGTACAAGTTGTTGTGTATCTGGGAGATTAGCAAAGGATGATCCTACTATTTGCATTAGGCTCATGAAGTTGATCTGTTGCAGCTTGAATAAAACAAAAATTGAAGCGATATCTTAAAATATAACAAAAAGAATCTAAGGAATAACAATAATCATCTGAGTATTCTACAATAGTCACACGTTTGTCTTAATATCTATGAGAATCATGAATGCTGAGCAGGAGGCAGTCAGGGAAATTTTTTTTTTTTTTAAAGGGAGAGGAAAAAAATGATAACTTCCTGTCAACCAGGCATATGAATACTCACTTGCGAATGAAACTTGGAACTATTTGTAAACAGTTTACAGTATTCAGTTTCCATAAACATCCCAGGGATCAAAGGAGTGGGATAAAGACAGATTCTCAGAATAGGCCGGGCACAGTGGCTCACGCCTGTAATCCCAGCATTTTGGGAGGCCGAGGCAGGCAGATCATGAGGTCAAGAGATTGAGACCATCCTAGCCAACATGATGAAACCCCATCTCTACTAAAAATACAAAAATTAGCTGGGTGTGGTGGCACGGGCCCGTAGTCCCAACTACTCGGGAAGCTGAGGCAGGAGAATCGCTTGAACCAGGGAGGCGGAGGTTACACTGAGCCAAGATCGTGCCACTGCACTCCAGCCTGGTGACAGAGTAAGATTCTGTCTACACACACGAAAAAAGACAGATTCCCAGAATAAGTATATTTTGGACAGTTTTCAGCAATGAGCAGAAAGCAGTACACAGGTGAAGAGCAAGGAATTCCCTTGGAAACGCTGACTAGGTGAAAGTAGTCAGACACCAGTTGTCCCCAAACTTTGCTGCACATTACAATCACCTGAGAAGTATTTATAAGTCCCGATGACCAGGTCACTCCCTATCAATAATCGCAATGTCTGAGGATAGGAACCAGCATCTGTATTCATTAAGATGACCAGGTTATTTAAATGTCCAGAAAAGCTTGGGAAGCACTAGCATAGACATTGGCTTAGCTGGAACAAGAGATTTACAGCAGGCATAATGAAAAGATAGGCTAGTACAGAAGTTCACAAACTTCGGCATGCATCAGAATTACCTGGAGGACTTGAACGACTGCTGATCCCTATCCCAAGTTTCTGATTCAACAGGTCTAGGATAGGGATCTGAGAATTTGTATTTCCAAAGTCTAAGTGATGCTGATACTACTCGTCCAGGCATCATACTTTGAGAACCACTAGACTTGTGAAAGTAAGGCAGGAAAGGAGGGAAGGTAAAGACTTCAAAGTGAAGTTTTTGAAGGCCAACAGAAGAATTTGCATTTGATAGAACAAACCAATAGGGAAATAGTGCAGGTTTTAAAAAATGTAGTTTTCTTTTAATTATAAAGTAAATACACACAGGAAAAAACAGAAATTTTAAAAATAAAATAAATATCATTCATAATCCTACCCTCAAAAATAATGAGCATTGACATTTTAGTATATTTCCTTTCTCTAGCTTACTCTCTCTCTCTCTCTCTCTCTCTCTCTCTCTCTCTCTCTATCTATCTATTCTATCTAAAAGACAAGGTCTCACCCTGCTACCCAGGCTGGAGTGCAGTGGACTGATCATAGACCACTGTAACTTCAAATTCCTGGGCTCAAAGCATCCTCCAACCTCAGCCTGCCGAGTAGCTGAGACTATAGGCATGTGCTACCATGCCTGGATAATGGTTTGCTTTTTGAGTTTTTGTTTGTTTGTTTGTTTTTGTAGAGATGAGGTCTTGCTATGTTGTCCAGGCTGGTCTCAAACTCCTGGCCTCAAGCAATCCTCCTACCTCAGCCACCCAAAGCACTAGGATTACAGGTATGAGCCACCTCTTATAAAATTTAAAAATATAAAGAGGCTGGCTTCTTTCTATTTTTAAAACAAGATTGATATCATATATTATACAAATTTGTTCCTGAAATTTACTGAAGATTTTTAAACAGGTGACTAATATTATTAAAATAATACCTGAAGAAAGTGTCCTAGAATATAGAAGACAATGGAAGAACAAAACTAAGAATCTAAGGTTAGCCACTGCTATAGAAATAGCAAGTGGCTATTACCGACATATAGTATGGGCAAAAAATTCAAGAGGGCATAGTAAAACACTGGGTAGGGGTTGTGAAAGAAGGCAAAGATGACTTTTGAAGATAGTGATTCTTAATCTTTTGTGTGCATCAGAATTATCTGGATAATGTGTTAAATATATAGGACAGTGACCAGTGAAGTCCCCAAGTAATCCATCTAACAGTTTGAGAGATGTCTCTAAAACATTAAGATGGTAGAATCAGTGGTGCTACTAAACAGAAAAAGGAAAGAAGGGACTAGGGAGAATAAGAATAAAATTAGTTTCAGTAAGTTTCATGGGACAGGGGGACATGCTGAACAACTATTCTCATCAAGGCCCCTAAGTTCAAAGAGAAAATTAGTGCAGCTGGGCACAGCGGCTCACGCCTGTAATCCTAGCACTTTGGGAGGCCAAGGCAGGCAGATCACCTGAGGTCAGGAGTTCGAGACCAGCCTGGCCAACATGGCGAAACTCCATCTTTACTAAAAATATAAAAATTAGCCAGGCAAGGTGGTACATGCCTATAATCCCAGCTACTCAGGAGGCTGAGGCAGAAGACGCTTGAACCTGGGAGGCAGAGGTTGCAGTGAGCCGAGATCGCGCCACTGCACTCCAGCCTGGGCAACAGAGTGAGACTCCGTCTCAAAAAATAAAAATATAAAAAAAATTTTTAAAAAGAAAATTAGTGCCGAGAATCATCAATATGGAAATGGTATATATTACATCACATAAAAGGATATGGAAGTGAATGTAGGACAAATGAGCAGAGGTTTAGATCTGAAGGAAACTAATGTTTCTAAAAAGGTAAATAATTAACCATTGTTGGTAAACAGAAAAAAAGGATAGCCAGGTATGATGAAAGTCAAAGTGAACAGTAATTTGAAATGCAGCTGAGAGTTTCAACTCAAGCACAAGAAATATGGATAAGAAATATGTGATAGTGTCAGCTGGAAAATAAACCTTGGATACTTTTGAGTAGGAGCCCACTAATCTGGTTTGATTACTCCCCACCTCACTTTTGTGAGCAGCTGCATCCCAAAGAGCTCAGTAAAAATAGGTCATTGTGAGAAGTAGGTAGCTTAGCCTAGACCTCTGGGCCCTAGAGGTCTTTTTTTTCCTAGTAGAATTTTTTTTTCCTAGTAGAGTTTCCTAGCAGAGTCTCACTATGTTGCCCAAGCTGGTTTCAAACTCCTGGCCTCAAGCAATCCTCCTACCTTGACCTCCCAAAGTGCTGGGATTACAAACGTGAGCCACTGCGCCCAACCAGTTATAAACATTTGAATGAAAAGTACCCAAAGCAGAGAAATGCTTGTGATATAATTTTACCTTGTCAATTTCTGGAAATCTATTAATATTTTAAAACCCTACATGTACACTATGTGTAGATTTACTTACTTATATAGAGATGTGCTTACCTGAACTAATTTAAACATTTCATCTTGCAGCATCTGCCTAACGGACTCCGAACAATCTGGTAACTGAGCCGTGAATTCATTTCTCTGGGTCTTCTGAGGTGTTGGAGCAGGTGGTTGTGAAGCAACATTGACTCCATTTGATATCAGAAGTGGAACTGAGGAAGATTTTTCTTTATATGTAGAAATCTGTGCACTGCGTGGAAAGCATTTAAATAAAAAACATGCATTAAAATTGACAAAAAACAAATTGAATGTCTATGATCAGAATATTTTGATCCCACTTTTGTCTTCCAATTTAAAGGTTATTCTAGTAGTTTTCTAGAAATTTAAACCCTAAAGCCTTTCTCTCTAGTGCCCGTCAGCCCCCCAGACACATTCGTCATCAGCTCAATTTTCATCTTTATTAAGGGATTGTCTAGTCAGTGATGGGCTCCTTCATAGGGTGTTGCAAACCCAAGAGCTGACATATATTTTACTTGCCTGGTCCCTGTGGACATCTGAATTTGAGACCTGTGGAATCATTCTGATTAGCTGTACAGACTTCACAATTTGTAATTTGGCTTAGAAATATGTTTTTGACTAAAATTAATGATCCAGCATAGAGTTAAGAAAACTACGGAAAAACTGGGTTTAAAAAACTTAATTCTAGGATCAGTAGAGAAAACTACTGTTTATCATCATTAAATGTGAAACAATAGTACTGTGAACATTTCATTTCCAAGCAAACCTCAGAGTTTAAATGTACCATAAACCCTAATAAAAAATGCTTATTTACAAATAAAAATTAAGGATCAAAGCAAGGTGTTTAGGTTTTTTTTTTAAAAAAACAAAATGACTGTTGGGGGATGACTCCTCAAACATAGCAGATACTCAAAGTTTTCTACATTTTATAAACTAAGCAAGGGAGCAGGCAGTTATCAGATTCAAACAGATCACTGTTTCCAAAAAAGAAAAGAACATATTAAATTTCATATAGACTTATTTAGGTTTACACTCATTCCCATTTGGCAATAATATTTGCCTTTTATCGAGCATCTTAACACACCCAATAAAAAAACTTTATTTGGCAAATTCACAAAAAATAGGCATTACAACTGATCTATCTTTTCCTTTTCTGCCAAAGTGAAAGCTTTGAGTGTTGCTCCTTGAGAATCATGTTTCTCACAGCTGCTGCCAGCCTCCACTGTCCCCAGCTTTCTTAGCTGGGTGACAAGGGAGTTAGTTGCCCAGTGACAGGGATCTGGAATCTAAAGAGTAAGCGGAGCCAAAGAAGGTTTAGGAGGCACCCTCTGGCGACTGGGTTCCTGAAGTGTGATGGAAGGGGGAATGGGTTTCAGGCTGACCCCTCTTCAGGCATTCCTAGTAAAGCCACAAGGGGCTCCAGGGCTGTAGAGGTCCCCTTGGGCACAGGGTGGGTGCATTCATGCTTGCACAAGTCACTGGCACTCAGGAAGGCCTTGGGACAGTAGGGGCAGGTATAGGGGTAAACTGAGCTGTAGGTACAGCTGGATGTGCACAGCCCAGGCCAGTCTCAGAAGCTCTTTAAACTGAGTGTAGCAAAAGGGCCGGATCTGGGTATGAGGACTCATGCAGACGCAACAACATTTTGTGAAGAAGGTCTCCTTGCACAAACAGATCTGCCCATTTTAAAACAAGTTTATTGGGCTTTGCTTTCAACAGGTCTCAAGGAGATCGATTCTAACTATGAAAATTTTTTTCTGAGGTAAAGCTGTGCTATATTTTCCTATTTCGGCAAGATTTCTAAACACTAAGCACTCTGTTCAAAAGAACCGGATGAGTCTGTTCTGTGAGAGAATTAAAAGCATTTCAAACACTACAAGAAATCAGTTAGAAGCTGAAAATGAGCAACAACTTCATCTTTCAATAATATATCACTACTTTTTTTCAGAAAAGACTGTTCAACATAGTTCCTGTGTAACTTTAAAATACAATCGCTAGTGGAAACTCAGTAATGAAAGATGTCAGATCTGTGTGCTTATGCTGCTCTTTCAATGTTTTATGTTGCTTTCATTTTTCTTAGTTTTTAGTCAAAATGTAGCAATTGTTTCAAAAATGGTACAGTCGGCATACTTTCACTCTGTGATTTGTAAAACACAACTATTTTTAAATGGTATAGTAGGCAAAACTTCTTACCTAGAAATTTCTGAACTCGTATCTACTTGCATTGATTGAGGAGTGGTATGCCCAGGATGTGAAAAGGCTTCGATCATACTATCAATAAAAATTAACAGGTGATTAGTAAGCAAGATATTCTTTGCATTATCTAAGGTATGAGTGATCTATGCTCAGCCATCTAAGAGTCTAAACATCCTCTAATCTTCTATAATGTTTAGCTCATAATTACAATCTGTTTACATTTGTCTCCATAGCAATTAGTAACAGATCTAAGCAAAAGCAAAAAAATATGTCTGGATGACTTAAAACACCACTTAAATACGGCTGACTGCTCAGCAATGAAAACAACAGAACCCAAAATGAGGGGACATGAGGTTAGTTAAGACCCAAATTTCACCTATAGAAGAGGGAGACACTATGCTCAGAACCCTAGAGCCCATTGTCACATTTGAAACTGTAAAGAGGCTGGGCACGATGGCTCACGACTGTAATCCCAGCACTGTGGGAGGCCAAGGCAGGCAGATCACCTGAGCTCAGGAGTTCGAGACCAGCCTGGGTGACATGGCGAATCCCATCTCTAAAAAAAATACAAAAAAATTAGCTAGGCATGGTGGTGCACACCTGGGCAACACAGCAAGACCCTGTTTCCAAAAAAAGAAAAGAAAGAAAAGAAAAAAGAAACTGTAAAGATTAGTGTTTGTCTTCTCTCTCTCTCTTCTTGGGTAATTTTCCGAAGGAATCATTTTTATGAATAGAAGTATCTAAATTACTTGTAAAGGCCCATAGTATTAAATGCATTCTTTTTAACTGTCCACAGAAAAACTAACAAAATTTGCATACTGAACAGAAAAAGAAAATCTAATTATGTTGCCTTTTTTTTTTTTTTGAGATGGAGTCTTGCTCTGTTGCCCAGGCTGGAGTGCAGTGGCCTGATCTCGGCTCACTGCAAGCTCCGCCTCCCCGGGTCATGCCATTCTCCTGCCTCAGCCTCCCGAGTAGCTGTAACTACAAGCGCCCGCCACCACACCCAGTTAATTTTTTGTATTTTTAGTAGAGACAGGGTTTCACCGTGTTAGCCAGGATGGTCTTGATCTCTTGACCTCATGATCCACCCGCCTCGGCCTCCTAGAGTGCTGGGATTACAGGCATAAGCCACCACGCCTGGCCATGTTGCCTTTCTGATCTAAGGGAATTCTAAAATTTAGAACTTCTAAAATTCTAAAGATTTAGAAATCATGTCCAAACTGCAACACATGAAAACTGCCTTCAGCTCTCCTTGAAGCAATAAGCTAGCCGGCAGTGTATGTGTACATCATAGCCCTAATGAATAGTGTATAGTAATCATCACAACAGTGAAAGATTTTATACATACATAAAATAATTTATAATCATTCTTTATTTGATTCAATAAAAATGGAATAAGTATGAAAAGTGGTTCCCTACTTAGCAGCTAAATAAGCTTTGGCCTATTTACAGCTTTATTTTGATAAGGCTGATAGTGATGAGAGAACAAAAGGCATTTTAGATATCATTATTTATTTCACTCTATCAATACATAGAAGTATAACATTTACCAAAAATCATTTTACCATAACTATAAACTGAAGTTACAGTTTCACTAGAAACACAATACCACCCTAAATCATGTATTGTAAATTATGAAGGAAAAAAGCTGAAAGCTTCACTGAGGTAACCAGTGACAATCACTGTCATACTTTTTTCCCCCTTACCCTTTTTGTTCAGTCGATTTTTCCTCCATAATTGTCTCCAGTGGTTCTTCCCTTTGACACTGAACCTCTTCTGTGAACTCCTGTTAAAATGAATAGTACCCAAAAAGAAAACAGGTAAAACAAATAGGTATTACTGTCTTGAGTATTTTGAGTCTCATATTAGCCACTTAACCAGAGTAACAACAGTCTACAAGCAAGTGAGAAATCAAACAGTAAAATGTACTCCCAGTCCTGCTCTGACCTAATCTTTATACTGTGTGAATTGCCTCCACTCTGTCACACTGGGCTATTGAGCATGCTAAGTTACAAAGACAAGATTGTGTCAGTAGACTAACACACTGTAAATTATATACACCTAACACTATATGATTATTCATTTCCCTGTAAAAACAACTATAAAACCAGGAAAAATGAATCTTTTTTGAAAGAATTGTTACAAGGCAGGCAGATCTACTTGAGGTCAGGAGCTCAAGATCAGCCTGGCCAACATGGTGAAACTCTGTCTCTATAAAAAAATACAAAAAATTAGTCAGGCATGGTGGCGCATACCTGTAGTCCCAGCTACTTGGGAGGCTGAGGCAGAATTGCTTGAACCTGGGAGGTGGAAGCTGCAGTTAGCCAAGATCACACCACTGCACTCCAGCCTGGGCAACAGAGCAAGACTGTCTCAAAAATAAAAATAAAAATAAAAATAAAAAAGAATTGTTACAACAGATAGGGCACGGTGGCTCACACCTGTAATTTCAGCACTTTGAGAGGTTGAGGCTAGGAGTTCAAGACCAGCCTAAGCAACATAGCAAGGCCCAGTCTCTACAAAAAAATGTTTTTTTTTTTTTAAATTAGCTGGGCATAGTGGTGTGCACCTATAGTAAGACCCAGCTACTTGGGAGGCTGAGGCAAGAGGATGACTTTATTCCAGGAATTCCAGGCTGCAGTGAGCCATGATCGTGCCACTGCACTCCAGCTTGGGCAAAAGAGCAAGACCCTCATCTCGAAAAAAAAAAACAAAAACACAGAATTGTTACAATAATTGGAAATGTCTATGTTCCCCCTGGAAATTCAGTGTATAGAGTTTTGAGAAAAATAATATCAAAAAGTATATATATGTATAAAAAGTATACTACAGCTGAATTATACTTTTTAATTTTTTTTTTTAAAAGACAGGGTCTCACTCTGTTGCCCAGGCTGGAATGTAGTAGCACATTACAGCTCACTACAGCCTCAAACTCCTGGAGTCAAATGATCCTCTCACCTCAGCCTTCTAAGTAGCTGAGACTACTACAGGCGCATGCCACCATGCCTGGCTATTTTTTAATTTTTTGTAGAGATGGAGTCTTGTTCTCTTGACCAGGCTGGTCTAAAACTCCTGGCCTCAAGCAATCCTCCCGCCTCAGCCTCCCAAAGTGCTGGGATTACAGGCATCAGTTGCCATGCTTGGCCATACTTCCATACTTTTTAAATAAAGGACACATTTGCTACTCTTGATTAAATAAATTTGCTAAAGCAGTTTATGATGTGAAAACTTCATTGCCTGAAATTATTGGACAGGTTACTACACTGTACTAGAATTTCAGGGAAAGAAAAATGCCACACAGCATGGCTATATTCTACAACCCATGGTGCATTTTTAAGAGCTAGCCCTGCTTTGATATATTTAATAACAATGAATAAAAACATGTATAATTTAAACACTATACAAAATGAAAGAAGAATAATTATATCCACTATTTATTGACTTACTTCTTCTAACTGCTGTGGTAAAGTCATCATGCAAATGGCAAGACTGGGACTTCTGAAACCTCCAACAGATTCTTCAATGTCTTCTAGCGATAAGTGAAGATGAAGAGAAAACTGATCATTTAAAAAATAAGCTATTGACTTTTTAGGGGGCTCAGGGAATATTACCAGAAACAATATAATGACAGAAATATTTTCTATCCTTTTTATAAAGACAGTCTTTGAAAACACCTGGAGTCTATTCCATCTTCATCAGGTAAATCCCAGATGAGCCTTGAGAGGCCTTATTATTCAGTATGTTTAACTCCACGTAGTGCTCTGAGAGTTTCTGTCTTAAGGAAGACTGCTGGGGAGAGGTTTATAGAGTTGCTTCACAGAAATTAACAGACCATAATTATTATATAAGCAGCACAAGACGCCCAATAATGGTAAAAGAGCACCAACATAAAAATACCTTAGATCTTCTTGGTTTTATTAAAACCAAAATTAGAGTTAATATGCTCAATATTTCATAAATATTTAATTCTCTTAATTTTTTATTTTAGGCTACTGTAAACATACTAACTTAGGTATAAGACTAAATAAGTTACCTCAGATAATATTATTTACCAATTTCAAATTAATAAAGCCAAAAAAATAGATTATCTAAATGAACTGACCTTCATAGTCTGATATGTGCATATCCATTTCCTCTTCTGTAAATGCTTCTACTTCTAAAAGATTCTCATCAATATCTATAAATTCTTTTTTAGTATTATGAGTGATGGAAATAATATCATCATTGATTTCTTTTATATCAGGATTTTTTGCTTCAGTTGGCATTCTACTGAAAAAAATGCAGCAACTAAAATTACAACTATTCTTGGAGATAAAGAGCTAATTCAGTTTTGGGTTTTTTTTTTGTTTTTTTTTTTAAGATGGAGTCTCGCCCAGGCTGGAGTGCAATGGCGCAATCTCGGCTTAATTCAGTTTTTTAAAAGCAAAGAACAAACTTTGGTTTCATATTTATAAAATCTTTCTTTAAAAAATTCTGATACACAGAAGCTCAGGTAAAGATTGTTCAGTAAATAACTAAACATCATAGTTTTTATTTACTCGAATGATTGGAATAATTTCAACTAAAATTATCATTCTCACAAAGGACTCTTCATGCTATAATGGGTTTTGCCTTGGTATTCAAAGCTATGTTACTCCTAGCATTGCTTCATATATAAAAATGGATGAAAGGATTAGTTCAACTTCTGATATGGGAAATAAATTGATAAAGGAATCCCTCAGGATGAATTAATTGCTCTCTCAGAAGATATAAGCTAGACCAAGAGGGAAGAAATACAATTTGCAATGAATTGTTAAAGCACCTCAGAAAGCTCACTGCCTGCTCCTCTACTTCAAAAAATGCTCATTCCTTTAACTTTCAAGGGTTTGATCTTCCCTTTAAGCCCAAATGCCATCAAACTACATGTCTTATATTGAAAAGAAGAGTATAATCGGCAACTTACTTCAAGATATTTTGACAAGATTTATTCTGACCATTTCTTTCCTCAGTTCCACCTGGAGTTGCTACTGCAACTGAACCGCCAGCATCTGATTTGCTCTCCCTCTCAATATTGGGTCCAATCTGACACCCAGTGTCACGATTCTCTACCATCTAAAGCAAACCATTTAAAGTATTTAGTATTTATTGAACCCTTTATTTTTCACCATATTTTAAAATTATTCATTCTTTCTACAGGAATTCTGAATAATCCTCTTATTCATTTATCAAATATTTACTGCATTTCTACAACTCAATATTTGTTGCTGAAGCAATGATCAAGTCTTTATTCTAACTGGAAAAAGCAAATCTGACTACCTAAATAGTATTCAAAAGAAATCAGCCTTACAAATTTGTAAGGCATATTGTCATTGTTTTCAGGCCACAAAACAATGGCAAAAAAATTATAATATCCTCATTTCATTCCCTTTGCTATATCATAAAGACATTCAGTAGTTATTTCAAAATGACATAGTAGACAAAAATACATGCAGCTAAAAACACAAGGTACATCCTTTTTGTCTCACTTAAAATTTCCATATACATTACCTAGAAATACACATTTCAAGGATGACTAATATCACAGTATCATATAAACTGTATACCTTATGATAACAGAAACCAATCTCAAGGGAAAAAAAGGACTAGTGTGGTGGCTCCCACCTGTAATCCCAACATTTTGAGAGGCCAAGGTGGGAAGGTCACTTGAGCTCAGGAGTTTGAGACCAGCTTGGGTAACAAAGGGAAACCCTGTCTTTATAAAAAATTTAAAAATTAGTCAGGCATAGTGGCATGAGCCTGTGGTCCCAGCTGCTTGGAAGATTCAAGTGGAAGGATCACTTGAGCCCAGGAGGTCAAGGCTACAGACAGCTGTGATCCTAAGACTGCACTCCAGCCTGGGTGATAAAGCAAGACTCTGGACCAGGCGCAGTGGCTCACACCTGTAATCCCAGCACTTTGGGAGGCCGAGGCGGGCGGATCACAAGGTCAGGAGTTTGAGACCACCCTAGCCAATATGATGAAACCCCATCTCTACTAAAAACTACAAAAATTAGTCAGGCGTGGTGGCGCGTGCCTGTAGTCCCAGCTACTCACAAGGCTGAGGCAGGAGAATCGCTTGAATCCAGGAGGCGGAGGTTGCAGTGAGTTGAGATCACGCCACTGCACTCCAGCCTGGGTGACAGAGTGAGACTCCATCTCAAAAAAAACAAAAAACAAAACAAAACAAAAAGCAAGACTCTGTCTCAAAAAATGAATAAGTAAAAAATAAAACAAATTCACATATTCACATACACACACACACATACACACACACACTCACATCCTTCAGCCTAGAATAAACTACTTCAGAATAAAAGCACTTGCCATTGACTAGGGAAGAAAGAATAGTTAATTAAACACTAACTCCTCTACTGACTCCCCCATCTGCCTTTCTGTGTTTGGTTCTCCAACCTCTTCTGGCCTGAGAGTATAAGAAAAACTATCCCCTAACGGACTTGATGAGACATCAGTAATTAAAACTACAGAGCCACCTAGTCCTCCTTCATCTGAACCAAAACCTGAAACTGAAAGGAGAAATAATATACGTGTAATACCACTTGTAATATCACTTAAAATTATCTCCTTCCTTTTTTTCTTTTTTATAAATACACATAAAACTTCAAAACCTCACAGCCTCTCTGAAAGCACTTTATTGTTAAGAATTAAAGGAACCACTGGAAGAAAAAAATAGGAGATACTGATTATAATCAACATTGTCATTAATTTTCTATTATTTAATGATTCTTTAAAAGATGGGAAATGTAAACATAGTTTTAATCTAAAATGAGAATTCTCATTTGTAAGTAATAAACAATTGATATGCTTACCTTAATAATGGCATTTTTTGCCTTATATGTAGCAAAATAGGGTTGTTCCAAAAGCCATAATGATGTAAGAATGGCAGCTGTAGAGGTCTTTACACGAATTACTGGACTGTACTCAGAGGATGACTCAGTTATACCAGAATCACAGAGTAGCCTTCTATTAGACCACCTTATCATCCATTCCAGCAGTCTTCCTATACTGCCAAAAGTGTTTAGTGCTAAAGGAAGATCTTCTTGAGGGTTAATATCATTGCACTGAATAGCTTTGAAAATACATCTTCTAGTTTTAATGGACTTGGGAGTCCAAAAAATGTGGTTTGATGATCTCTGGATTAGACATTTCTCTCTAGTGTCATCTTGTATTTTGTAAATTGACCTTTGTTTTAAACCAAATAATCCACTCATTCCTTCATTCTTATTGACTTCATTCGAAGGATATTGTAAAAAAGGTTTGATCCCTTGATTAACCAGTACTGATGATGAAAGTTTCTGGTTTTCTAAATGCATGCCATATTCATCATTTAAAGAGGATGATTTTTCTGATTCATAGGACTCAGGAGCAACAACAAAGCAAGAACCAGCTCTAAACACATTCTGGCTTTTAGTTTTGCTCTGATGTCGTTTTAATGTTGTATGTACATCAAAAAGTAAAGAATTAAGTTCATGTTCTCTAAGCTTTCCAGAAAAACTAGTTAGAAATGGAATGTCAGCATCCCTGGAATAAGGTAGGTCTCTTTCAAGAATGTAACTCAAAAACAGATCAAGGAATTTAATATATTCATCATCATCACGTTCAAATTCCCAAACACCTATTACAGGAAGTGTATTTTGTGATAACTTTTCATGATCTTCTTTCTTTGTAGGATTTTCTTTCTGATTACACATTTTCCTTTTATCAGTTGGCTTATGAATTGATGTTAATTCCATGTGATTTGGGGCATTTCTATAGCAAAAAAATAAAATAAGACAAAATTAGAGATCATTTAATCACTAAAACTGATCTTAGAATTGACATGGAAAATTCTCTCCAATGATTAAGTCATGTATATTTTGTGTGCCTCAATTACCTACATTTCAAATGAGGGAGTGGGACTAAATGATTTCTAAGTGTTTTCAAGAGTGGAACATTTCTACTATGAGATCAAAAAAAAATTACTATCAAAAGGGAAAATTTGTATTAGAAGAGATTAAAATGTGTCCACAGAAATTTCACTATAAAAGAACATGAATAATTTTTCTGTGGGTAAAAGAAATAGTCCTCTAATGGGTCAGATTTTAGGAATACAAAGTCAACAAAAACTCCAAGCCACTGATATACAACAAAATTTAGGATTTCTTGTTTCTCTCTTGCATCTGCCCGCTCAGCTCCCCTAATACCATGTGTAATAAGCAAGACTGACCTTTTTTGTTTTACCACACAAAAACTGGGAACTTTTTCTAAACACTTTTAGCTGTTATGAAACCTGTTGGGCGGACACCTTAACTGCCCAACAACAATTCCTTTTAAATGTTTCTTCTCAACATGATTCCTAGGGCAGAACACAGATCCTTAGTTCCCTCAGTAAGAGAACAGGTGTTGGCCACCTGGGCTGAAAGCATCCCATCCCTTCTGATTGAGGCAATTTCCTTCCCTGAAATATTTCCCTTAAAAATATTAAGGAAATTTAAGGAAAAATTTCCTTAAAAATAATATGGCTAACTCAGTAACCTCAAACTATTTAAGTCTAAAGATTACTAAAAAAAACTGAAAGTCCTCCAGTGAAGTGTAGAATTTCATCTACTCCTTTGATTTTATAATTTCAGATGGCAAAATTATTTCATATATCAATAATACTTAAAGTAAATTTTCGAATGTATAGTCTCATTTTATACTCCTAATATTCTTATGAGTGGAGGGGGTGGCACTTATCATTCATATTATTAATAGCACAATCAGTGAGGGTTGCTGGGACCAGAAATCAGCTCATCAGATGCCTGAAAGCTACTTTTCAAAGGAAGTGAATGCCAGTGATTAAAAGATCTCAATTGTACCTTTGATAGATATTTATCCTACTTTTTTCTTCAACCGACAAAGCTTCAGAGAACGTATCTGCATCACTGTGAACCACAGAATCTCCTAGTTCTGTGAGTGTACTTCTGCTCAAACTAGTCCCCAGGGAATATCTGTCAACACCTGGAGCCTCATCTGGTTTCTCTTCTTCAATTGGTTCCCATATATTCACTTCAAAAGAGCCTATATTTCTCTGCACACGTTTTAGAGCTTTCACCCTCACTTTCTGGATAGAATGCATGACAACAGACATCATTTCCTCAGTCTGGGGTCCTGGAAAGAAAAGAATAAAAAGTCTTAGTGTTCATTAAAATATTTCAATTCAAGACATAGGAGACCCAACTCTGGTCCCTCCTGGGGACAAGAAACCTAACTGATGACTAAGGCTTATTTCCACATTCTTACTGGTCGTGTTTTCTTCAGTATTTACTGGAAAGATATTTTAAAGTAGAACTGCAGAAGCTAAAGAAGGTCCATTAAAGAACACAGTAAAAGAGACAGAACCTAGACCTCATGAAGAAAAAGTATGCCCTGGAAAAAAAAAACTTTAAGTGATTTAACTGTTTTAAAACTCAGAAGGATAATTATATTTAATAAAAAGAATAATGAATGTTTTTTCTATTATCACATAGAGAATAAGATAAAATGAGGATAATTCTAGCCAAAAAAATCAAGGACATTTTTCTTACTAAAAGTAATAAGAAACAATAGCAAGGGAAGGTTTTCAAGGCTGCCTATAGAAACATTTTAAAACATTATTTAATACATAAACAGAATATTTTAGAGGATGTCAAAAAAAAGTATTAAGAAAAATACAAATCACAAATACAATATATTAATAGAATAATACAAAATCACTGGACATACCTGGACTTAAATACTGAATTATAGTTTTAAAAAGCAGGGTAATTTTAATTCTTTAAAAATTCTGCAACATTGTAAATGTACTTAATGTCAATGAATTGCATATTTTAAATGGCTAAAATGGTAAATTTTATATTATATGCATTTTACCACAGTAAGAAATGTGTGTATTCTAATTTTGAAGAACAAAATTAGAAGCATAAATAACCATAAAGGGAAATTACTTGTTTTCAACAAATACTTGCAATATACAAAGTACCATATGCTCATTTTATATTATCTTACTTAATCCTCTCTGAATACACATCATAAAGCAGGTAATACTATGCCCACTTTACAAATAAAGATATGAGGCTCAGAGAGACTGAGCAACTTGCCTAAGATCGCACAGTTACTGACTGACAGAGCCATGAGCCGAAGTCAGCTTCATCTGGTTCCAAAGCAAGAGATTAGTCTTTCTGCAATGGAGAAATGTTTCTACCTTCTCATACTCCTATCTCAAGGAAGAGGCAAAAATGCATAGACACATAAGCAACAGTAAATAAATATTTTCAAAACAAAAAGGGAATCTTCTGCAATTTATCTGTTAGCTATCTGAGAAACAACAAATAATACCTTTCACAACACAGTGTCTGAGTCTCTGGTGAAGAGAGTGATATTTGTCTCTTAAAGGAACCCTCACGTCCTCAGGATAGGGAAATGCTTTCACGAAAATTTCTGCTACCTTCAGAAAAAAAATTGTTTAAGTTTTATGAGAAACATCATTCTTTTTTTTTCTTCCATTCCACAAATATTTTATTTTAACTCAAAATATAAATGCACATTTCTTACTAATCTTTTGAAGTCAGGTCAAAGCCTCTCTCTGAGCATCTGTCTGCTAATAGGAGTTTAGTATCAACTTACTTTTTTATTTTAAAATATGTAATTGACAAAAACTGTGTATATTCAAGGTGTACAATGTGATGATTTAATATACGTATACATTCTGTGCTGATTTCCATAGTCGAATTAATTAGCACATCCATCAATACACACATTTACCATTGTAATATCCTCCCTTATCAAATTTCAGGTAAACAATACACTACGATTAACTGTAGTCACTATAGCCCGGCGCGGTGGCTCACGCCTGTAATCCCAGCACTTTGGGAGGCCGAGGCGGGCAGATCACGAGGTCAGGAGATCAAGACCATCCTGGCTAACGTGGTAAAACCCCGTGTCTACTAAAAAAATACAAAAAATTAGCCGGGCGTGTTGGCGGGAGCCTGTGGTCCCAGCTGCTCGGAAGGCTGAGGCAGGAGAATGGCGTGAACCCGGGAGGCGGAGCTTGCAGTGAGCCGAGATCGCGCCACTGCACTCTAGCCTGGGTGACAGAGCGAGACTCCGTCTCAAAAAAAAAAAAAAAAAAAAAAAAAAACTATAGTCACTATATTGTACATTGGATCCCTAGAACTTATTCATCTTGTAACTGAAAGGTTGTACCCTTTGACCAAGATCTCCCCATTTCCACCACATCCCCAGCCTCTGACAACCACCATTCCACTCTCTGCTTCCGTGAGTTTAACATTTTTATATTCCACACACAAGTGAGGTCCTACAGTATTTACCTTTTTGAACCCACAAGATATTATGCTAAGTGAAATAATCCAAAGAAAGGCAACATCATCCTTAATTAAAATTAAATAAAAATCTTTTAAAGTCTCTGATTCTGATGTAGTTTACTTTCACCTACAAGCACATTACCTTTCTGATTGGTGGCAGTTCTCCAATAAGGCTCAAAATTATATCCTGAATAAGTTCTTCCATATTAAAAAACCGAGAGAAAGGCAGCATTCTATAAGCCCATTCCACTGCACTAAGACAGTGCTCAATCATACAAGAATCAAACTCCACTTCAAGGTCCTAAAAGGATATTGAAAAACATTCATTTCCTTTTTAGTTTAGATGGTAGACCAGAATGAGTTCAAAAGAAAGTTTTGCTACAAACAATAAAATCTTCTTTTAAACAATAATTTCCCACTTAACGTGTGTTCATTTTTCTTATTTTTGCCCTGGTAAATACCTTTTCTCCTTTTACATTTTCTCTTGCTTTCTGATATTGCCTGCAACTATAGGATAACTTATCACGGACATGCAGCATCCAACACAGAGCACAAAGTTCTCTGAAGCAACCTAAAGCAGGAACACAAATATGAAAGAAAATCACATGAGTATGTACATTAATATTATAACAACTCCAACTCTGCTGATCATTTTTTTCAAAATAAAGGTCTTTATTTCATTCATTATAAAATGAACACATGCTCATTGTAAATTTATATAAAAGTCCTTATATAAAAGTCATGGAGATTGACTTATAAGTCACTAACAGATATTCATTTATGTTTAAACATTTTTAATACTAAAAACTATTTCTAATAGTAAATAATTTTTTATTAAAAGCAATACAAGTACACAAAGATATATAAAATCATACTATGTATGCTGCTTTGCAACTAGCTTTTTTTTCACCTACTATATCTTAGATATCTTTTCACATGGTAATATACTAAGTCTTCTTGTTGCCAATATGGTGTTCCATTGTATGGAGCATCAGGATTTAACTATACACAATGCACAGGCTCACAATCCAGCTATCAAAACAAGTTTTCACTCTTCTGCTAATCTTAAATTTCTATTATAGTTAACATGTGACCAATTAAGTGAAAACCATCTCATGTTCTATGGTTAATAGGACCTTTTCAACGGGGTGGTGTAGGCTCTGTAGACAGAGCAAGACCTTGTCTCCTAGCTACTTGGACACCTGAGGTGGGAGGATCGTTTGAGCCCAGGAGTTTGAGACCAGCCTCCATGTTGGCATGGATGTGGTGAAAAGGAAACACTTTTACACTGCTGGTGAAAACGTAAACTAGTACAACCACTATGGAAAACAGTGTGAAGATTCCTTAAAAAACTCAAAGTAGATCTACCATTTGATCCAAAAATCCCACTACTGGGTATCTACCCAGAGGAAAAGAAATCATTATATGAAAAAGACACTTGCACACGCTTCTTTCTAGCAGCACAATAGCAAGACCATCTCTGGAAAAAGAAAAATATAGGAACTTTTCCTTTGGAGGAAGAAAGATAATATTCTAAAATTTAGCATTCATTCATTTATGCCTTAATTGTTTATTTTTATTTATTTTATTATGATTATTTTTTTGAGACGGAGTCTTGCTCTATCTTGCCCAGGCTGGAGTGCAGTGGTGCGATCTTGGCCTCCACCTCCCAGGTTCAAGTGATTCTCCTGTCTCAGCCTCCCAAGTACCTGGGACTACAAGCGTGTGCCACCATACCTGGCTAATTTTGTATTTTTAGTAGAGACAGGGTTTCACCATGTTGGCCAGGCTGGTCTCAAACTTCTGACTTCAGGTAATCCACCTGCCTTGGATTACAGGCATAAGCTACCACACCCAGCCTATGCCTTAATTTTTTAAATAAGCCTTATTTTTACAATAAACTGACTTTTATATTAGTAGTCAGTATTTTCATTTTCTTTAGGGAGCTATTTAATATGCTTTTTAAAATAAATATTACAAAGTCAAAAAGAACAGTTTGACATTATGGAAAGTGGGCAGAAAGCAGGTCTTCTACACATTCTATTCATCCCAATAGTGAGAGAGGATGGTGGGTACATGGCCCCAGGGGGACTATCAGGGTCTCCAGTGAGCATTTTCACACTACAGCCCACCCCACACATCAGATTCTCATAGATTCTGCCGGGGGAGCACGGCCCAATCTTTTGAGAAAGGCATCATTACTGACAGATGTGTTTCATTATTTCATATTTCACAGGCAAGCTGGGATAGAACTAAGGCCAAGAACTAGCAAGACACAGTGCAGCAACATACTAAACAGTGACTCATCTAAAAACATCCTTTATCTGTGTTTTTCAGACTGTGGATTACAACCTTTTATTAGTTACTAGGCTATAAAATCAATTCAGTGAGTCTCAATCATCTTTTTAAAATAGAATACAACAGAATATATCAAGCGTGCATTGCAGCCGGGCACAGTGGCTCATGCCTGTAATCCCAGTACTTTGGGAGGACGAGGTGGGTGTATCACCTGAGGTCAGGAGTTCGAGACCAGCCTGGTCAACCTGGTGAAACCTCATCTCTACTAAAAATACAAGAATTAGCTGGGCGTGGTGGTGTGCACCTGTAATCCCAGCTACTTGGGAGGCTGAGGCAGAAGAATCACTTGAACCGGGGAGGTGGAGATTGCAGTGAGCTGAGATCACGCCACTGCACTCCAGCCTGGGTGACAGACTTGAGATTTTGTCTCAAAAAAAAAAAGAAAAGAAAAGAAGAGTGCATTGCACACAGTAAGAGTAAAGGTAGTTCATTAAATTTTCATTCTAACTTCATATGGGTGTGTGCATGTATTACCTTGCTATAAAATCTGCACTTATTTTAAATCATGGTCAAAAATGTTTGAATACCAAAAAGATGTAACCAACTGAAACCAGAATAGAACGGGTTCTACTAGACAAACGATCGAGTTTCCACAATAAATAAAGGGCATGAAACAGAATGGGGGCAAGGAAACTTTTATAGATTAAGATGGACTTATAGGCCAGGCATGGTAGCTCCTGCCTGTAATCCCAGCACTTTGGGAGGTCAAGGTAGGACTGCTTGAGCCCAGGAGTTCGAGACCAGCTTGGGCAAAAAAGTGAGGCCCTGTCTTTATGAAAAAATGAAAAAAAAAAACAAAAAAACCAGGCCTGGTGGTGCACACCTGTAGTCCCAGCTACTCAGGAGGCTGAGGTAGAAGGATCACTTGAACCTGGGAGGTCAAGGCTGCAGTGAGCTACGATCACACTATAAAAAGAGAAAGATTTATATATCAACCAAAATGCAATGTGTGGTGGACCTTGATTGGATAGATTTTTTTAAAAAAACTATAGAAAAGACATATTTGAAATTATCAAGTAAATTTAAACATGGGATAGATAACATAGTCAGATGCCACATAATGGCACTCAGGTCAATGACAGACTGCATATACTATGGTGCACCCATAAGATTATAATGGAGCTGAAAAATTTCTGTCACCTAGAGACATCATGACATCATAGTCCACACATTACTCAGGTGTTTATGGTGACAACTGTGTAAACACACCTACTGCACTGCCAGTCATATAAAATCTAGCCCATACAATTATATACAGTACATAATACTTGATAATAATAAACAACTGTTACTGGTTTATTTATTTACTATACTATGCTTTTTATCGTTATTTTAGCGTATACTCTTACTTATTAAAAAAAACTGTAAAATAGCCTCAGGCAGGTCCTTCAGGAGTTATTCTAGAAGAAGGCATTGTTATAAGAGAAGACATCTCCAAGCATGGTATTGCCCCTGAAGACTTTCCAGTAGAAAAAGATGTGGAGGTGGAGGACAGAGAGATTGATGATCCTGACCCTATGTAGGCCTAGACTAATGAATATGTTGTGTCTTAGTTTAAATTAAAAAAAAAAGTTTAAACAGTAAAAAATAAACTTTAAAATTTTTCAATAGAAAAAAGCCTGGCCAAGCACAGTAGCTCACACCTGTAATCGTAGCACTTCGGCAGGCTGAGGCGGGAGGATCGATTGAGCCCAGGAGTTTAGACCAGCGTGAGCAACATAGTAAGACCATGTCTCTATTTTACAAATAAAAAAAATTAGGCCAGGTGCAGTTGCTCACACCTGTAAAGCCAGCACTTTGGGAGGTAGAGGCAGGTGGATCGCTTGAGCTCAGGAGGCCAAGATCAGCCTGGGCAACGTGGTGAAACCCCGTCTCTACTAAAAATACAAAAATTAACCAGGTATGGTGGTACATGCCTGTTGTCCCAGCTACTCAGGAGGCTGAGGCAGGAAAAATGCCTGAACCCGGGAGGCAGAGGCTGCAGTGAGACAAGATGGCACCAATGCACTCCAGCCTGGGCAACAGAGACCCCATCTCTACAAAAACTAAAAAATAAATTAGCTGGTACAGTGGCTTACGCCTGTAGTCCCAGTACTCAAGGGGCTGAGGTTAGAGAATGTTTTGAGCCCAGGACTTTGAAGTTGCAGTGAGCTGTGATTATGCCACTGTATGTCTCTTCAGCCAAGTATGATTACAAGAGTCAAAAAGGTTTTAATTTTTTTTTAAGTTCATAAAGTAAAAACATTACAATAATCTATGGTTAATTTATTATGGAAGAAAAATATTTTTAATAAATTTAGTATAGCCTAAGTGTACAGTGTTTATAAAGTCTACAGTAGTGTATAGAAATGTCCGAGGCCTTCAAATTAACTCACCACCCACTCACTGACTCCCCTGGGGCAAAAACTTCCAGTCCTGTAAGCACCATTCATGGTAAGTGACCCATACTTACCATTTTTTAAAATCTTTTATACTGTATTTTTACTGTACCTTTTCAATGTTTAGATATGTTTATATATACAAATATTTACCATTGTGTTAAAACTGCCTACAGTATTCAGTGTAGTCACATTCTGTATTCAGTACTGCAGTATTCAATATGGCAACACTTCTTTTTAGAGACAGGGTCTCACTATGTTGCCTAGGCTGGAGTGCAGTGGCTATTCACAGGTGCAATCATTGCATACAATAGCCTTGAACTCCTAGGCTCAAGCAATCCTCTTGTACAGGTTTGTAGCCTAAAAGCAAAAGGCCGTATCACATAGCCTCAGTGTGTATGAGGCTATTTTTGTCTAAGTATATCCTATGGTCACACAACAAAATTGTCTAATGACACATTTCTTAGGACGTAGCCCCATCATTAAGCAGGCCTGACTATATATGATATTAAAGATTTATTGTAAATTTTGTCAGTCATGATAATAGAATTATGGTTTTAAAAAATACCTCATCTGGCCAGGCACGGTGGCTCACACCTGTAATCCCAGCACTTTGGGAGGCCAAGGCGGGCAGATCACGAGGTCAGGAGATTGAGACCATCCTGGCTAACACGGTGAAACCCCGTCTCTACTAAAAATACAAAAAATTAGCTGGGTGTGGTGGCAGGCGCCTGTAGTCCCAGCTACTCGGGAGGCTAAGGCAGGAGAATGGTGGGAACCCGAGCTTGCAGTGAGCCGAGAGCGTGCCACTACACTCCAGCCTGGGCAACAGAGCTAGACTCCATCAAAAAAAAAAAAAAAAAACAAATACCTCATCTGGGCCGGGCATAGTGGCTCACGCCTGTAATCCCAGCACTTTGGGAGGCCGAGGCAGGTGGATCACGAGGTCAGGAATTCAAGACCAGCCTGACCAACACGGTGAAACCCCGCCCTACTAAAAAGTACAAAAATTAGCTGGGTGTGGTGGCCCGCGCCTGTAATCCCAGCTACTCAGGAGGCTGAGGCGGAGAATTGCTTGAACCTGGAGGCAGAGGTTGTAGTGAGCTGAGATTGTGCATGCCACTGCACTCCAGCCTGGGCGACAGTGCAAGACTCCAACTAAAAAAAAAACGACAACAACAACAACAAAACTTCATCTGTTCACTACATATACTGAAGTACTTATTGTACTTATGATGTACTCAGATTTGCTTTCATGTGTTGACAATTGTTGCAAGTGGGTGAGAGGTACTCGAGTGCTTATACATCTCTACTTTGGTTTAAATTTTCCGTAATAAAAAAACTTCAAAAGAGTGTGAAATCCTGGGCCAGGCATGGTAGCTCACACCTGTAATCCCAGCACTTTCGGAGGCTGAGGCAGGCGGATTACCTGAGGTCAGGAGTTTGAGACCGACCTAGCCAACATGGCAAAACCCCATATCTACTAAAAATACAAAAATTAGCTGGGCGCAGCAGCGGGTGCCTATAGTCCCAGCTACTGGGAAGGCTGAGGCAGGAGAATCACTTGAACCCAGGAGATGGAGGTTACAGTGAGCCGAGATTGTGCCACTGCACTCCAGCCTGAGTGACAGAATAAGACTCCATCTCAAAAATAAATAAATAAATAAAATTAAGAGTTAAAATCTACTATTTTAGGTAACAAACTAGGGAAAGGAACCTTGTTTTTTTGTTTTTGTTTTTGTTTTTAAAGAAACAGGGTCTTGTTCTGCCGCCCGGGCTGGAGATCAGTAGCAAGATCATAGCTCACTGCAGCCTAGAAATCCTGGGCGCAAGGAATCCTCCTGCCTCAGCCTCCCCAAAGTACTGAGATTACAGGCATAAGCCACCGCACCTGGCCAGAAAGGAACTTTTTTTTTCTTTTTTTTTTTTTTTGAGACAGAGTCTCGTCCTGTCACCCAGGCTGGAGTACAATGGTGCAATCTTGGCTCACTGCAACCTCCATCTCCCAGGTTCAAGTGATTCTCCTGCTTCAGCCTCTCGAGTAGCTGGGATTACAGGTGCACACCACTATGCCTGGCTAATTTTTTGCATATTTTAGTAGAGACAGGGTTTTACCATGCTGGCCAGGCTGGTCTCGAACTCCTGACCTTGTGATCCGCCCAACTCATCCTCCCAAAGTGCTGGGATTACAGGCATGAGCCACCACGCCCAGCCAGAAAGGAAACTTTTTAATCTAGCCAAATCACTTCTCAACAATCAAGAGACCAAATCAAACAAAAGAATAATTAAACAGTAGAACTCATGATCAAAATGAAAATATTAAAAATATGTGTTCAAATCTTTATTTAAGTCATTTCAAAGGACTATGTCCCTATTTATGAGCAAATATCTTTTAACTGGGATTGTTGTGAATTTAACTCACTTCTTACAGACCTAGATTTTTAAGAAATAAATGAGATTGTACATACTTTTCCAGATGACACCTGCCTGGCCCTTTTGTTACGTGAATGAAGAGTCTATGAAACTAAGCTCATGACAGGTGAGAGAAGCAATCAAGAAGCATTTCAATGCCGTTTCGGTTGGAAAAACAGACAATCTGAGCCCCAGGACATGTAAGATTATACTAAGGGTGAGTGAGTTAAGAATAAACTTTTTTTTTTTTTTTTTTAGGGACAGGCTCTCACTACGTTGCCCAGGCTGGAGTGCGGTGGCTATTCACAGGTACAATCATTGCACACAAGACCCTCAAACTCCTAGGCTCAAGCAACCTCCTACCTCAGCCTCCCAAGTACCTGGGATTACACCACTGTGCCCAGCTCTAAAATAAACATTTTAATCAAAGTCTAAAGATAAGATCAGGGCTGGCCAGGCGCGGTGGCTCACACCTGTAATCCCAGCACTTTGGGAGGCCGAGGCAGGTGGATCACGAGGTCAGGAGATCAAGACCATCCTGGCTAACACGGTGAAACCCCGTCTCTACTAAAAAATACAAAAAAAATTAGCCGGGCACGGTGGCGGGTGCCTGTAGTCCCAGCTACTTGGGAGGCTGAGGCAGGAGAATATCGGGAACCCAGGAGGCAGAGCTTGCAGTGAGCCGAGATCACGCCACTGCACTCCAGCCTGGGAGACAGAGCAAGACTCCATCTCAAAAAAAAAAAAAAAGATAAGATCAGGGCTTAATATAAATAGAACTGATAAGGATTAAGGAAGGATTAAGGAGGAAAGAGTGAAATGATATCTAAAGTTTTACTTCTTTTTAAACTTGTTAGGCAAATAACTGGACATAGACCACGAATTAAGAAATTAATTTAGGTCAGGCGCAATGGCTCATGCCTGCAATCCCAACATTTTGGGAGGCCAAGGCAGGTAGACTGCTTGAGCTGAGGAGTTCAAGATCAGCCTGGGCAACATGGCAAAACCCTGCCTCTACAAAAAATACAAAAATTAGCTGGGTGTGGTGGTGTGCACCTGTCATCCCAGCTACTCAGGAGGCTGAGGTGGAAGGATAGGTTCAGCCCAGGAGGTGTGTTGCAGTGAGTTAAGATCATGCCACTGCACTCCAGACTGGGCAACAGAGCCAGACTCTGTCTCAAAAAAAAAAAAAAATTCAGTTAAATAATGAAGCATGACATAAGGTAATAGGTATCACAATTTGTTTATATAAGAAATTTCTGACTTACTATCATATATATCATATATATATACATAGCTGTTAAAGTACAATATTTACTTGTAAACACAAAGTAAAATATCAGAGCATATTGTACTTTGAAGAGTCAATACTTTCCCAAATCAAATGAAAAATATACCATCATTCATACTCTAAGCAAGCAGTTCATTTTGGACAAACCTATTGCTCTAATGGAAACTTCATCAAGCTTGTGGTCTCCAGCTGCTCCAGGTCTAAAAAATGCGATACCTCCTTTACAGTAATTAAGTAATGACTGAGGAAAAGGACTCAGTGAAGGAAGGGATCCTTTCATTCGAATCTAAAAGTAAAGAATAACCGAACATGTTAATTATCAGCTGTATAAATCACTTTTAAAAGAAACTATAAAAGAATCAGGCAGGTAAGATAAGCCACACAGAATGGAAAACACAGCACATGAAATCAGCTATATTTTCAGAAACTTACAAATTTAATTCAGGAAAGTCACTAGCTTGTTATCTCAAAAAAAAAAAAGGTTCTAAGTAAATCATTTGTACTCTCTTGTCACAATTTTGCCTGTATAAGAAGAATTTAATGCTATTTTTCCCTGGCTTTCCTCACTGGCATAGCAAAGAAAATAAAGAAATTTAAGAATCTTAATCTTATCCCAAATAAAGCTGTGTACAGTAACTAAAACAAATACAAAAAAATTATGCCTACATACATAACTTTTAAAAAACTAATCTATAAATGGCAGAATTAGAAAGACACCATTTGGCAGCCCCTAATAATGACTCTAGGCAAGGATCATTAGTAAATGCTAACAGAGTAAAAAGCTGAGGGGTTGACGGGGATACTTGATAGAGGGTGTGACACGATCCAAACTCAATCTCCTCATCCCTAAAATTAAAATAAGCAAACACATGTGCCATGTGCGAGAGAGAAGTGCACAATACTTATGAAAGATTCATTTCTAAAAAAATTTGAGGCCAAGCGAGGTGGATCACACCTGTAATCCCAGCACTTTAGGGAGGCCGAGGTGGGCAGATCACTTGACGTCAAGTTTGAGCCCAGCCCGGCCAACATGGTGAAACTCCATCTCTACTAAAAACACAAAAATTAGTTGGGCGAGGTGGCAGGCGCCTGTAGTCCCAGGTACTCAGGAGGCTGAGGCAGGAGAATCACTTAAACCCGGGAGCCGGAGGTTGCGGTGAGCCGAGACCATGCCACTGCACCCAGCCTGGGCGACAGAGTGAGATGCTGTCTCAAAAAAGAAAAAAGGAAAAAAAAAAAGAAAATTTGAACTCCAATCTATTTAAACCTCTCTACCTCAATGAGCACAGATTAATGACCGGGTTACAGGGGTAAAAAAAGGAAAGAGAAACAAGCTAAACGACACTAAATGAAGAAACGATCAGACAAATCTAGAATATGGTGCAGGAAAAATTACCTAGTTTTTTTTTTAACAAACCAAGAATAAAAAGAGGGGAGCTTCTACAGATAACAGGCTGATTTAAATATATTTGGAGATGATAAAATTTATTTCCACGTTTCAGGAAAGGGCTCTAAGAGACATAAACCTGGGAAGGAAGCATTAACAGCAGGCTTGCAATTGATTTTCTCCTGCTAGTGTCACTTCCAGAAAGACACAATCTAATCAAATCTCCTGGGAAGCATGCTAATGACAGACTTCTTGTCAAATACATTAATGGCATTTACTACCAGGATGGTACTAAGAGGTAGAGAGAGAGAGAGCCAGCAAAGAAATGGGGGACCACAGTTCTACAGCCACATGCAACTGAATTCTACCAACAATCTGAATGCACCTGGAAACGGATGTTCCCCTAGTGCCTCTAGAAAGGAATGTAGCCCCGCTGCCACCTTGATTGGCCTTGTGAGACTCTAAGCAGAGACCTAGCTGAACCACCCTGTGGTGGTTCTGATGCACAGAACCTGTGGGATATTAAATGGCTGCTATTTTAAGCTGCTAAATTTGTGTTAATTTGGTAGGGTAGTAATAGAAAACTAATATGGCTCAGAATCTTTGTTTCAGCACCATTTTTTAATTGAGCTATAACTCACATATCATCAAAGTCATCTTTTAAAAGTGTACAATTAGTGGTTTTTAGTATATTCACAAAGTTAGGCAACCATCATCACTGTCTAATTCCAGGTCATTTTCATCACCCCAAAAAGAAAAACAAAAGTAGTCACTGTCCACTTCCTCCTCTCCCTAACCCCGGCAACCAACCACTAGTTACTTTCAGTTTCCATTGTGTTTCAAAAATACTTTTAGATAACTTATCAAAGTTATCTAAAAGTCTCTCCAAAGGTTCCTACTAAAAATAATTATATTGTTTTAATTAGGCTGAATTAATTTAATTTTACTTAGGCTGAATTAAAAATATTTGGAGATGATGAAATTTATTTCCACATTTCCAAGAGAGACAGCAGGCATATAAAGGATTTTCAGCTAGATAAAAAGACCTACCAGGTGTCCTATCTGGCTAGATATCTGATAAGAATGAAGCGACAGCTCAGCTGAAGTCAATATAGAAGGGGATGAACACCTGGGAATCAAACTGAATTGCACATCTCAGAAAATAGCAAGGGGGAGACCCTGACTAGTGGAGGCTACCGGATGGAAACAGACGAGAATGAACTATAACTTTCCATTCTCTGAACCCACAGAAGGCCCCACAGAACACAGACAACACCTCAAGGAGAACTGGGAGAAAGCCCTGGACTGAGTTTCAATCTTTAATGACAGGGGAGTTGGAAAAAAAAAAAACTGTAATTGCCTGGAATTAATGGACTAGATTACACTATCTTTTGCTAGACATGGTGGAACTAACCTAGAGACCCTGTTCAGAGTCCTCACCTTTCAACAGGAAGAATCTGGTCTGTTTGTTTATGAATAAATCTGAAATTTGTGGATTTATAGGGCAGGACTCCTTGGGAAAATATAACAATTATAAAAACAATAATATAAATATGAGTAATTTCAGTTAACACAGCATGTAAATGACTAAGATATTTCCATACCTTCTGCATGACTTTTCTTGCCCACCTCAACTGCAATATATACCACTGTGCTACAGGAAAAGAACACTGAGCCGCCCGGAAAAGCAGGAGAACACGCTGAAGGATTCCAGATACCTTCTGGCGATTATTTTTTTCAGCTTTTAAAAGAAGATCATCACCATCTTCCTGAGGAAAATAAAACAATCCATTTTAGTGGCTAGTAATGAGAAAATTTAGAATGTTAAAATGAAAATAAAGATAGGCTAATGAGCTGAGCACAGTGGCTCACGCCTGTAATCCCAGCACTTTGGAAGGCTGAAGCAGGAGGACTGCTTGAGCTCAGGAGTTGGAAGCTGAAGTGAGCCATGATTGCATCACTGCACTCAAGCCTGGGCCACACAGGGACACCCTGTCTCAAAAAAAAAAAAAAAAAAAAAAAAAGATAGGCTAATGATGCTCACTGCTTCTCAAACTAGGATGTTCCTGGAGATTTATAAAGGAAATTCTGAGGCACGGGCTCTGAGATTTCAACTATGGCTATTTCTAGAATTGAGAAATGTTATCTCCCCTCAACGTAAAGGGATAAGCTGACCCTTGTTCCCAGTCTTACGCTAGAACAGTTAAAGCCCGCTACTCCAGACTCCATTGGTGGGATGTTACAGAGAGGTCCATCTAAGCAGAATCCCTTTTCTCTTCCTCTGCTGGGAAGAATCCTACTTATATTTCAATGTTACTTCCTCTGTGAAGCCCATCCCTCTGTGCTACAACAGCACTTTGTTCACACTTCTACTGTAGCTTTCACCAATTTATTCCATATCAATTTATACCTGTATCCCACTGTACTCAGAACTCCCAAGAGGAAGGGCCTTGTCATTTGTCTTCGTATGGCCACAGTGTTCACACTCAAGTCTGATACATAGTAGGACCCAATAAATGTTTGTTGAATAAATGCTATCCAAACCAGTAGCTAAAGATTATTTTCCCAGATAATGAGATAATGTGAGCATTGTAAACATCTGCTTCCCCAACATCCTTCTTCCCTGCCCACTTCTTAACAGTACTCAGTTTTTGAGTATCTGCCCATCTCCTACATGGCTCATATGATTGAGGGAAAGCTCATCCCACCTCAAGGAAGGATCTATTCACAGGCCAAGCAGTACCTTGTGTTAAGCCTAGCCACAGTGACTGTTTAAAGGACAGGCATGTGACCCAAGCCAGTCTCACTAAGAGTGAATCTCAATCCTCTTGCTTGGAATGCTGGGACAGAAATAATTTTGCCACTTCTCTTTGTCTCAATCACTGTGCCCATGGACATGGACAAGGCATCCTTAGAAGCTGTTAGTGGCCATTCTGCTCCCACAAGGGGAGCTAGTCTTCAGGTGAAGATGACACCTCAGAAAACAAACTAGAGCAAAAGACAGAGCCCAAGTCTTTGGTAACATAACTAAATCAGAAACCTGCCCTACAACTAGGCTTCTTCATCACGTGAACCAATAAATGCCGTTATTGTTTAAACCATTTTGACCAAGTGTTTTATTACTTGCAACACAAGGGGTTCTAACTGATATACGGTGACATTTAGAAGAAACCTTACCAAGGAGAATTGCTTTAATAAAAAAGAATAAAATGAAGCACTACTAAAGGCAGTAACCACTCAAACTACTCGAACTATTATCTGCACAGGCTATCCAAAAAACTTTAAATGTCATTTCAAATTTCTAAACCAATTACTAAAGACTCAGATGCAAGAGGAAAGATGAATTATTGAGAAATGCCATGGACTTTTTATTCCTTCCATTTGTAAAATCAACAAGTAAAATGTTTTAGACTATTGAAATATAACCAAATAGGACAAATGAGAAATAAAAAACTAGAGGTAGAAGTCGCCAATATTGAAACAGGAGATAGTAAAAAAATAATACCCAGAAACACTTCAAAGTGTTAATCAAATACTTAAAAGTCTAAATGTAAGTAATTTATAATAACACTTTAAATCTTAAAACCAGCTAACTATAATGTTATGATTTTTTAATAAGAGCAGATAAAAAGTTTCTGAGAGGAATATAGTATTTATAATATAGAACTATCAATTGAATAGTGTAGGAAAAAAAAAACCTTTTAAAACAAAGTCAAATAAAAATAAGTCTTTCTTTTCTTTTTTGAGACAGAGTTTTGCTCTGTCACCCAGGCTGGAGTGCAGTGGTGCAATCTCGGCTCACTACAACCTCTACCTCCCGGGCTCAAGCCATCTACCCACTTCAGCCTACTGAGTAGCTGAGACTACAGGCACATGCCACGATGCCCAGCTAATTTTTGTATATTTTATAGAGACAGGGTTTCGCCATGTTGCCCAGGCTGGTCTCAAACTCCTTGACTCAAGCAATCTTCCCGCCTTGGCCTCCCAAGTTCTGGGATTACAGGTGTGAGCTACTACACCCAGCCAAGTCTTTCAAAAAAGGCAAAGACAAAGAGATAAATAAGAGACTGAAATAATGTATGGCTTCTAATTCTGACACTCATTATTTCATTTGTTAGCCTAAAAAATGCCTAATTTTTAAAAGTCTGGATATTAAGATTAATTGTGCTATATTGTTACAATAATTTTAACATTTATTGAATAATTACTATATGTCCCAGGTCCTGAGCTAGAAGATTTTACAGGATATCTCAATCCTCACAAAAATGCCATGAGAGGTACTATTATCATCTGCATTTAACCGATACGGAAACTTAAACAGCAGTTTAGTACATTCCCTAAGATTATACAATTAGTGAACAGCAAAGCTGGGATCTATACGTTTGTCTTTAGAGCTTGAATTTTTAACCTGATGATTATTATCAAGTTAATTATTTTAAAAACTTGACAAAATCAACTTTAAATTAATTTAAAAGTTAATGCTATAAGCTTACTTCACTAAGAATAGCTGGCTGGGGACAGTACAATGGAGGAGCTGGAAGATACAAGCCGAATGGCACTAAGCCCCACAGTCTTTTACTGAAGTCCTTGGCAGAGTCTATCAGAAGTTGAAATGTCTCCGAAAGAATATCTGCATCGGCCATAACTGATGCTTTCAGTACTTCTTGTACTGAACCAAATAGCAGATTTGCATCTTCCTCTTCAATGGGATCTATCAAATACAAAAATTTGGTAAAATAGTTAAAGCTTGTATTAAACTTCTTATCCATTTTGTAGGAAAAAATTTCAAATCTAAAAACATTCATTGTCAAGAATGAACACATTGGTTGACATACAAACATCCAAACTTACAGACAGAAATTACAAACTATCTTGTTACTTTAAGATTATAGGTAAGACCATGAGACATTTTTATACAAGATATTGTAGAAACAACTATACAATAAAAATATTCTTAGAATGTAGTTCTGAGTCAAAAATAATTGAAAAAATATTAATGGGAAAAGAATGTCAAGAAAGACACCAAAATAATATAAAAGATTGTGTGAGAGTAACTTTTCCTTTTTTTTTTTTTTGAGATGGAGTCTCACTCTGTCACCCAGGCTGGAGTGTGAAGTGCAGTGGCAGGATCTCGGCTCACTGCAACCTCTGCCTCCCAGGTTCTACCAATTTTCCCACCTAAGCCTCCTGAGTAGCTGGGATTACAGGCACACACTATCCAGGCTAATTTTTGTATTTTTAGTAGAGATGAGGTTTCACCATGTTGGTCAGGCTGGTCTTGAACTCCTGATCTCAGGTGATCCACCTAGCCTCCTAAAGTCCTGGGATTACAGACATGACCACCGTGCCTGGCCATTTTTCCTTTTCTTAATAGTACATGATAGTACTTTGTAATAATAAGTTAATAAAAATGACTTATGAAGGAAACAGGAAAACACAAAATAGTCATATGTATAGTACGGCTTCAACTATGCAAATATCTATATATATGTGCACATGTCCCAAAAGGCAAAATGTAAGATGTGGTGGTAGAACTGGAAACTCAGGGATTTTTCTACTATGAAATATTTTAAGCATACTGTAAAATATAGAATATATGAAAGTACAGAATATAATATGTCAAACACTTATGTACTGACTTCTCATCCTTGTCTGATATTAACATTTTTGCTATATTCAACTTAGGTAGCCACTATCCAGCATTTGGTGTGGATATACTGGAATTCCAATTAAATATATGTTGTCTTTCTGTTGTGTGTTCTACAAAGCTTAACTTCTCTTTCATATTTTTCAAATCTATGTCCCTATCTATTTTGTATATATTTATCTTTCTTTATATATTTTATATATATATATGTATATGATAGCTCAGATGAATAGCTCAGATTCATCTTTTCCAGTTCACAAATTTGCTCCTAAATTGGTTTAGTAACTTTAACCATCTATTGAAGTTTTTGTTTTTAAATCAGGTTGAGACATAATTTACATACTATATCCATCCTTTTTAAAGTATACAGTTCAATAAAATTAAACAAATCTATATTGGCTTGTAATAACATTTCCATCACTCCAAAAGTTATACTTCTTTGTAGTCAATTCCCTGTTTATTCTCAGGCAACCCCTGATCTGTTTTCTGCTCCTATAGTTTTGTTTTTTATAGAATGCCACAGAAATGGAATCATACGGTATGTAGTCTTCGTTCCTGACTTCTTTCAGGACTTCTTACCATGACGGTTCTGTGATTCATCTATGTTGTCACAAGTTATCAGCAATTTGTTCCTCTTCACTATTTGTTATTCCATTTTAAAGATATATTTGAATTTGCTTATCCATTCACCAGTTGACGGACATTTGAGGTGTTTCCAAATTTTGGCTATTATGAAAAAGTTGCTATAAACATTCATGTATGGATATTTGTTTTGTTTCATTTTTTGAGACAAGGATCTCACTCTGTCACCCAGGCTGGAGTGCAGTGGCACAATCATGGCTCACTGCAGACTTGACCTCCTAGGCTCAAGGGATTCTCCCACTTTAGTTAGCTTCCCAAGCAGCTGGGACTACAGGCATATACCATCATGCCTGGATAATTTTTGTATTTTCTGTAGAGACAGGGTTTTGTCATATTGCCCAAGCTGGTCTCGAACTCCTGGGCTCAAGTGATCTGCTGGCCTTAGCCTCCCAAAGCATTGAGATTACAGGCATGAGCCACTGCGCCTGGCTTCATGTACACATTTTTGTGTACATGAATATTTGAATGGGCCTGTTTCTATTTCTCTTTAATGGAATGGAATTCATTCAAGAGCAGCTAAAGAGAAAAAAATGGAACCCTTTGAATTTTTATTTGCTTGTTGTTTCTGACCTCTGGCAATTCCCCTTACTTTATTTAAAGCTTGGCCTTTAAGTGGATATTTTTTGTATTTTATCTAGAAACACATTTTATCTATGTATTTATCGTGGAAGAGTTTTCAGATCATTTAAAACAACATATTGCCAAAACTCAAAGTTCAGACTGGGGATATTTTAGTCCCTTCTTTAAAATCCAACTTTCACACAGTAACATCTTTTCATTGATTAAAGCAAAAGAACTGCACAGAAAATTATCAAAGAAAAGTTTATAGTCAGATTTCCAAGCATTATAGGTTCTCTCAAAACAGAAATGTTATAAGTTTTAGGAATCTAGAGTTAGAAGTCTCACTCTTTACTGGAGCAAAGCACCAATAAAAACAGAAGGGCCTCACAGTTGCCCTGGTTTTACATTAAATATACGACATTAAATGACTGATTTCATTACTTTTTATCTAAATTTCTCCAACTGTAAAACAGATAAATTTTATAGGATTCCTGTGTGAATCCATGTAATACATGTAATATTCTATCATTTTTAATTTTTTAATACCATTTTGAACTTTTCAAATAAAAAAGATCTATAATTTATGCACTAGGTGAGAGTTGAAATAAATCACTCCTAAGTACCCTTCCAGGCTTGAGATTCTACAGCTCCAAAAGAAAATGATACAAATGAAGCGAAATATAATTAGTGTAAAGGTATGTATGAAGGCTACTCTCAACATAGTCTCTGGGGTGGCCTTGCTCTGCAGGAGGAGTCAGAGAGCTGTAACACTGCGGCATCAAGAAAGCTACTTTAATATTTAAAAAAAAAAAAAAAGGCATGTATGGAAAATCAGAAAATCATTCAGTTATCAACCCTTGTATTGTAAGCTGGCATCAATTTTGGGTGTTCCCATGGTTAAGTATAAATATCATACTTTCATTTTTCAGCCGGGCGCAGTGGCTCATGCCTGTAATCCCAACACTTTGGGAGGCCAAAGCAGGCGGATCACCTGAGGTCAGGAGTTTGAGACCAGCCTGGCCAACAAGGTGAAACCCTGTCTCTACAAACACTACAAAAATTAGCCGGACGTGGTGGCCCACGCCTGTAATCCCAGCTACTCGGGAAGCTGAAGCAGGAGAATTGCTTGAACCCGGCAGGTAGAGTTTGCAGTGAGCTAAGATCACGCCACTGCACTCCAGCCTGGGTGGCAGAGTAACACTCCATCTCAAAAAATAATAAAATAAAATAAAAATAAATATCATACTTTCATTTTTGATAAGTTTATTTCAAAGTGTTAATACATTTGTAGACATGTATAAACTTTTTAAGGTATTATAAGGTTTATATTAATCTGACACGAATCAGACTATACATACATAACACACCTGTAAACTGTTTATATTTTGAGCCCATTTCATTTTTTGCTTCCAAAGAGGCTGGTTGACCTAAAACACACTGCAGTTTTTCCTGAAAAATCTGTGCTGGAGTCATACGGAGTGGTAGATTCAGACTCTTTTTCTTGGACCTGAAATGACATCAAATTAAGGGAAATGAATCCAAATTTTGAAAAAAAAGGAAAGGTTTCACATATCAAGGACTAAACATGAAAGTTTAAGAAACAATGGAATTTACTTTTTTATCTATCGTACATGTAAAAAAGATATATTCAAGGAAATATTGTATTAAGACCCTCCACGATTATGATCCTAATATACTCCCCCCATTCTTATTTCTAATTGCTACCCTAAACACGGGCTTTACTAACACATAAGTGTGCTAAATAAATGGTTTTTGTTTGTTTTGAGACAGGGTCTCACTCTGTTGCCCAGGCTGACGTGTAATGACATGATCACGGCTCACTGCAGCCTTGACCTCCCGCGCTCAAGTGATCTTCCCACCTCAGCCTCCCAAGTAGTTGGGACCACAGGCACGATCATCGCCCCTGGCTATTAATAAATGTTTTAACACAAATAAGTAAGCCACTGAGCTGTTCAATACAGTAACCACTAACTATATGTGGCTATTTTAATTTAAATTAACTAAAGTTAAATTGAAAATTTAATTCCTTGGTCTCACTGGCTGCATTTCAATAGTTACTTGTGGTGAGTGGCTACCATACTGGACAACACATTTCTATCACTAAAGAACGTTCCATTGAACAATGCTGAACTAAGGATTCCACATAAAATGTAAATACCAGCAATAAGAGAAATATAAAATACATAGTTCAATCATACTATATCTTAAAATTGCCTAAAAATCCATACCTCATGAAATTGCTATCACGTTTACAGAACAGCTGGAAAGCCACACCAATTGAAACAGACGTCTTCCAGTCTCCAAGTTTATATGCCAACCACACAGCCTCTGGAACCAGGCCACCAATAAATAGTAATTCAAGTGCATATTCAACTGTCCACACATTAGAGAGATTCTGATCTCTAACAACACTGGCCACCTTAGAGTGTTGCAGAGGAATAAGTCGAAAGGACTGCTCTGTGAGTAAATTTTTAAAAATGGATTATTACAATCACATCCAAACTCATGCTTCTTTACATGGGCATATTTATCTCTTCAATCAGTATTATCTACAAAAAACCACCAGGAAGATACATACAAAATGGGCTAAAGTAATACTCAACATGCCCTAGAACACTTTTAACACTGAAGAATGTGCCTCATTCGTGGGTCATGAAACAAATGCCAGCATTATTTTAAAAATGAAACAAAAGAGAAAAAAAACAAAACAGAATAGAAAGTATCAGACACAAAATAAAGGTAAATACTGTTTAATGAAACTTTTGTGTCAGGTAATATGTAAACACATACAAAAAACATTTATATCTACTATACTACTGGTTCACAAAGTACAATTTATTACCGTGACATGGGTCACAATGTGCAATTTATTACTGTGGGATGCTCAGAAATACATGTTTATTTCTCATACTAGATTATGAAATGTAGAAGGCAGAGACTACATTTTATCTGACTTTGTGTTACCCACAGTGTTATGCAATAAAAGACTAAGTTGAGGTAACAATGAAGCATATTAAGTGTCAATATTAGTGTTGATTACAAAGCAGAAAAGTGTGATGTTCAGTAATTCTGACTAAATAATAAGATTGCCATCTGGCCTGTGATTTAATACAAAAGGATAATATCGTTCCCCCTGGCCTTCTGTCCCTTTCCCTAATTGAAGTAACTTGATAAAGCAACTTAAAAATAGGATAAAAGAAATGTTATTAAAAAATACATGTTGATGGGATTTTTACTCATTCTCTCAAAATAAAAGTCATAAACAGCATTCATGAGCTTCTCTGTTCCTCGAAATGGTGAGTTTCTCACATGACCTATACAGGCTATGCCTACTGCAAGAACTAACATTTTAGCTCTCTGACAAACACATCAGGAAAAACAAAAAGTTTTCAACCACTTGGATGTCTGATTTTGCATAAGCAAAGGAGCCAGGAGACTGGCTAAATTTTTCCTATTTTTATTCACTACGAGCAAGGTAATATACCATTAAAATAACTTGAATAATTAAATTTTCTGAAAATTTTACTACTTTCACACAGTAAAAAAGTTCACGACCTTTTAAAATATCACACCAAATAAGCAACTCAAATCCCTAGAAACATTCTGATTAGAAAAATTAACATGAAATGTATATGCATCCTGAAACATTCACAGAACATAGGAGTTTGAACACATAGTTCAAAATCCATGGTTCTACGACTGATTATATTTGCTGACCACTTGTTGCCATCTTTATTAAATTTCTGATAGTATTTTAACTTGTACTACTCTAACTTAGGTGTGCCTTGTACATACATATGTATCTGTTCATGTCTACTCTTGCTTAAAGCCCTCCAACAGCTTCCCATGATACTTAAAATTCAGATTTCTTAACATGGCTTACATCATCTGGCCCCTTTACTGAATGCAACTCATATCACTCTCCACTTCCTTCTCTAGTTTTTTTTTGTTTGCTTTGGTTTTTTTGTTGTTGTTGTTTTTGTTTTGTTTTGTTTTGTTTTGTTTGAGACAGTCTTGCTCTGTCATCCAAGCTGGAGTGTAATCACGTGATCTCACTGCAACCTCTGTCATCTGGGCTCAAGCAATCCTCCTGCCTCAGCCTCCCAAGTGACTGGGAATCTCAGGTACATGTCACCATGGCGGGCTAATTTTTGTATTTTTTGTAGAGACAGGGTTTCATAATGTTGCCCAGGCTGATCTCAAACTCCTGAACTCAAGCAATCGGCCTGGCTTCCCAAAGTGCTGGGATTACAGGCATAGGCCAACATGCCCAGCCCTCCTCCTCTAGTTTACAGCCACACAGATCTTTCCGTTTCTCAAACACATCAAACTTGTTCTTGCCCTGGGGCTTTTACACAAACTCAGGTTAGAATGCCCTGTGCCTTGATGTATCCAACTCTTTTTTGTTATTAAGAGTTCGGCTTAGAGGCCGGGAGCGGTGGCTCACGCCTGTAATCCCAGCACTTTGGGAGGCCGAGGTGAGCGGATCAGGAGGTCAGGAGATCGAGACCATCCTGGCTAACACGGTGAAACCCCGTCTCCACTAAAAATACAAAAAATTAGCCCAGCGAGGTGGTGGGCGCCTGTAGTCCCAGCTACTCAGGAGGCTGAGGCAGGAGAATGGCACGAGCCCAGGAGGCGGAGCTTGCAGTGAGCCGAGACTGCGCCACTGCACTCCAGCCTGGGCGATAGAGCAAGACTCTGTCTCCCCCCCCCCCCAAAAAAAAAAAAGAGTTCAGCTTAACTTTCACCTCCTCAGAGAGCTACTCCTGAAATTCCAATCTCAAATTGCCACTCAGTCACGCTGTATTGCTCTATTTTAATTCTCTCCATAACAGTTATAACCATTTGATATATCTTGTTTATATATTTAAATTTCTGTCTCAACATATTAGACGTAAACCCCGTAAAAGAACAAGTACTTTATCACTTTGTTCATTGCAGTTAGGATAAATCTGTTTCACAGATGAAAAAAAAAAAGAAAAGAAAAAAAGAAAACATGCGCATGCGCCGTAGCTCTCCAGAACGGGAAGGCTGTACTGAGCCGGTCTCGGGAGACGAAGGATGGGATGTGAGGCGGTCCTGCCTTGCCGCCTTCTGTCCCTAGTCTCCGGGTCCCCGCCCTCCAGCCGCCTTTGATTCGTGACTGGGTCACGGTCCTCACTCATTCCTCAGAACCGCGAAGAAAGGAAGCTAGCGTGTTTGTTAGAAAACCTAGTTGGGAGTGCAAGGCAGAGAGCGTTCAGCACCCTTGTTCCTCCCGACCCCTCAGGACAGAAGCAGGGCTCTGGAGGGCAGGGATTCCCCCTCGTCTTGGCCCTACAGCCCCAGCTGGGCACTAAACTCGGGCCACGGCGGGGCGAGCGAGGCGGGCTCCGGAGGAAGCTGACGGCTGATGATGGCTCAGTCCAACATGCTCCCCGTGGCTGATGTGTTGAGTCAAAATGAACTGCGCAAAAAGCTATACCAGACATTTAAGGATCGGGGTATACTGGAAACACTCAAGATACAACTTCGAAACCAGCTAATTCATGAGTTAATGCACCCTGTATTGAGTGGAGAACTGCAACCTCAGTCCATTTCAGTGCAAGGGAGCTCCCTCTTAATAAGTGCCTCTAACTCTTTAGTGGCAGATCACTTACAAAGATGTGGCTGTGAATATTCACTTTCTGTTTTCTTTCTAGAAAGTGGTTTGGCAAAAGAAAAGGTATTTACTATGCAGGATCTATTACAACTCATTAAAATCAACCCTACTTCCAGTCTGTACAAATCACTGGTTTCAGGAGCTGATAAAGAAAACCAAAAAGGTTTTCTTATGCATTTTTTAAAAGGATTGGCAGAATATCATCAAGCTAAAGAAAGTTGTAATATGGAAACTCAGACAAGTTCGACATTTAGCAGAGATTCTCTGGCTGAGAAGCTTCAGCTTATTGATGATCAGTTTGCAGATGCTTACCCTCAGCGTATCAAGTTTGAGTCTTTAGAAATAAAGCTAAATGAATATAAGAGAGAAATAGAAGAGCAACTTCGGGAAGAAATATGTCAAAAGTTGAAGTTTTTTAAAGATACCGAAATAGGAAAAATTAAAATGGAAGCAAAAAAAAAGTATGAGAAGGAATTAGCCGTGTTCCAGAATGATTTTGAGAAAGCTTGTCAAGCAAAATCTGAAGCCCTTGTTATTCGGGAAAAGAGCACCCTTGAGAGAATTCAAAAGCACCAAGAGATTGAAACAAAAGAGATTTATGCTCAAAGGCAACTTTTACTAAAAGATATGGATTTGCTAAGAGGAAGAGAAGCAGAGCTGAAGCAAAGAGTTGAAGCTTTTGAACTGAACCAGAAGCTCCAGGAAGAAAAACATAAAAGTATGACTGAGGCACTTAGGAGACGGGAGCAGAATATAAAGAGTTTTGAGAAGACCTATGACCAAAAACTCAAGAATGAACTCCTAAAGTATCAACTTGAACTAAAGGACGACTACATCATTAGAACTAATCGACTGATTGAAGATGAAAGGAAGAATAAAGAAAAAGCTGTTCATTTGCAAGAGGAGCTCATAGCTTTTAATTCAAAAAAGGAGGAACTCAATCAATCTATAAATCGCATGAAAGAACTTGAGCTTGAATTAGAGTCTGTCAAAGCCCAGTCTTTGGCAATAACAAAACAAAACCATATGCTGAATGAAAAGGTTAAAGTGATGAGTGACTATTCACTACTAAAAGAAGAGAGACTGGAGCTTCTGGCACAAAATAAATTACTTAAACAACAACTGGAAGAGAGTAGAAATGAAAACTTGCGTCTCCTAAACCGCCTAGCTCAGCTGGCTCCTGAACTTGCGGTCTTTCAGAAAGAACTAAGGAGAGCAGAAAAGGCTACAGTGGTTGAGCATGAGGAGTTCGAAAGCCGCAAACAAGCTCTGCACAAACAACTGCAAGATGAAATTGAGCATACTACACAGTTGAAGGCCCAGATACTAGGTTACAAAGTTTCCATAAAGAGGTTAACTATTCAGGTTGCCGATTTAAAATCGCAATTGAAGCAAACTCAGACAGCCCTAGAGAATGAAGTGTACTGCAATCCAAAGCAGTCTGTGATCCATCATTCTGCCAATGGATTAATAAATGGCAACATGGTGCTTCACAATGGTGAGATAAGTGGGGATTTCTTGAACAATCCTTTTAAACAGGAAAAAGTTCTAGCAGGTACGGTTGCATCAAGGATCACAAATTATCCAAATGCAGGGATGGAGGGTAGTTCCCCTGATTCTGACCTTGAGTTTGTCGCCAATACTAATGCAAGGGTCAAACAGCTTCAGCAAGAGGCGGAACGCTTGGAAAAGGCTTTCAGAAGTTACCATCGGAGAGACATTAAAAACTCTGCCAAAGGCCCACTACCAGCAAAGAGCCCACCATCTCTGCACTTGCTGGAAGCCTTCAAAAACATTACTTCCAGTTCCCCGGAAAGACGTATTTTTGCAGAGGACAGAGTTGTCTCTGAGCAGCCTCAAGTGGGCACACTTAAAGAAGAAAGGAATGACATCTTGGAAGCCCTGACAGGCAGTGCAGCCTCAAGGCTATGCGGGGGCACTTCCTCCAGACGCCTCTCCTCCACACCCCTTCCAAAAGCAAAAAGAAGCCTTGAAAGTGAAATATATCTGGAAGGTCTGGGCAGATCACACATTGCTTCCCCCAGTCCTTATCCTGACAGAATGCCCCCGCCATCACCCGCTGAGTCTAGGCACAACCTCTCCATCCCTCCCTTCTCCAGCCCTCCGGAGCAGAAAGCGGGTCTTTACTGGAGACAAAATGAACTTCAAGACAAAAGTGAATTTTCAGATGCGGACAAGCTAGCTTTTAAGGATAACGAGGAATTTGAATCATCTTTTGAATATGCACGGAATGTGCCAAGGCAGTTTGAAATGGATGGGCCCTCTCCTGCCGGGGATATGCTTCATATGGGCGCAGCTGTAGCTGCTGTGCCCCTCTCATATCAGCACCCAAGTGTAGATCAGAAACAAATTGAAGAACAAAAGGAAGAAGAAAAAATATGGGAACAGCAAGTGAAAGAACGAAAGCAGAGAGAAGAAAGAAGGCAGAGTAACCTACAAGAAATTTTAGAAAGGGAAAGAAGAGAACTAGAAAAACTGTATCAGGAAAGGAGGATGACTGAAGAATCACTGAAGATTGAAATGGAAAATGAATTAGAAATGAGTAATCAAGAAATGAAAGACAAATCTGCTCACAGTGAAAATCCTTTAGAGAAATACATGAAAATCATCCAGCAAGACCAGGAGTCGGCAGATAAGAGCTCAAAAAAGATGGTCCAGGAAGGCTCCCTAGTGGACACACTGCAATGTAGTGACAAAGTCGAAAGTTTAACACGCTTTTCTCATGAAGAACCAGATGACTCTTGGTAACCATGTTTGCTGCCCAGCTTCTAACTTACATACCATGAGAAATTACATAACATTTACTCCTTTGTAAATGTTTCTCTATCAACAGATAAAACTCTGAATAAAAATGTGTAATCCAAAAAAAAAAAAAAGAAAGAAACTACAAATGTTTTCGTATTATCAATTTCATGTGGTGCAAGCTAGTATATGTGCAGCACTAAGAATACTGTGTGGCAAATAGTAGGCACTTAATAAAAATTAGAATGAATGAATATCATAGAAATTTGTGTACCTGTTTATACTGAGAGCAGGGCAGTTATCTAGCACAGGATTAGATGCATTTTGACCATACTAATGAAAGTATTAAATTTAAAAAGTAAATGGTCCAAATAAAATAATAAAAGTAAATCATCCAAATAACATTAAATACTGAATTAGCAGGCTCAATATTTATTAAATCTCTACATTTTGACATAAATGAAGGTGGCAGCTCTTTCACTTTAAAAATTGAAACTTCAGCTGGGCACACCTATAGTCCCTGCTACTTGGGAGGCTGAGGTGGTTAAGATCATTTGGCCGGGCACGTGGCGCACGCCTATAATCCCAGCAGGGAGGCCAAGGCAGGTGGATCACCTGAGGTCAGGAGTTCGAGACCAGCCTGACTAACGTGGTGAAACCCTGTCTCTACTAAATACAAAAAATTAGCCAGGTGTGGTGGCATATGCCGATAATCCCAGCTACTTGGGAGGTTGAGGCAGGAAAATTGCTTGAACCCAGGAGGTGGAGGTTGCAGTTAGCCAAGATCACACCATTGCACTCCACCCTGGGCAACAAGAGCGAAACTCAGTCTCAAAAAAAAGAAAAGATTGTTTGAGGCCAGGAGTTCAAAAACAGTCTGAGCAATATAGCAAAATTCCATCTCTAAAAAGAAATAATTAATAAATTAAAATTTAAAACTAAAAACTTTATAAAGATCAACTTGTCCCAATTTTGTGATTTTAAAAAGCCATGTTCAGTAAAAACGAATCTAAGCCATTACTTTTCTCAGATTCTATTCATTCATAGTCATAAATCACCTCCTATGTTTCAGATACTATGCTAGAACAGTATCATTGAGTAATGGCCTCTGTATAATATGTTTTAAATATTATATTATGTGCAATGCAAAAAAAGTTTAAAAAGGATTTGTTTACTACATTACCTGTTTTAATATGAAGTGGGGGAAGAACATTCACATGATGAGGGGGCAAAATGCAAAGCTGCTGATTGGTGAAATAGGCAGCCATGAAACGAGCCATGGACTGGACGACTCTCACTGCTGCCTCAGGATGAACACCGCCCACCATTCCACACTCAAAATGAGACTTTGCAGCACCTAAGGAATACAGCAATGACCTAAGAAGATTGTGATCAACTACCAAAAGTAATAATATTTAAGTTCCCAACATTATACAAAAAGAAAATTGCAATACCTTTTTTTCTGAGATAAGCACCCATGGCCAATACAAGCTGAATTATAATAGGTACCGTACTTCTTAAAGACAATAAAACCAGAAACAATTACAATTGACCCTTGAACTTCACGGGTTTGAACTGCATAAATCCACTTATATATACAGATTTTTTTTCCATAAATGTACTAGAAAATGTTTTGGAGATTTGTGACAATTTGAAAAAATTTGTAGGCATACCACATAACCTAGAAATATCAATAAAAAAAGAAAAAGGTATGTCATCAATATAAAAAATATATGTAAATAATTATTTTATCATTTAGTACCATAAAATACATATAAACTATAAAAAGTTAAAATTTATCAAAATTGGCTGGGTACAGTGGCTTACACCTATAATCCCAGCACTTTGGAAGGCCAAGGTGGGCTGATCTCTTGAGCTCAGGAGTTTGAGACCAGCCTGGGCAACATGGTGAAATCCCACCTCTACAGAAAAATACAATAAAAAGAAACATTAGCTGGGCATGGTTGTGCGCACCTATAGTCCCAGCTATTCAGGGTGCTGAGGTAGGAGGATCGCTTGAGTCTAGGAGGCGGAGGCTGCAGTAAGCTGAGATTGTGCCAGTGCACTCCAGCCTGGGCAACAGAGCTAGATAGACCCTGACTCAAAAAAAAATTATCAAAATTTACACAAACACTTACAGGCCATATATGGCACTGTTCACAGTCAAGAGAAATGTAAACACACATAAAGATAAAGTATTAAATAACTGCATAAAATTCATTGTAGTTCCTACTGTACTACTGTATTAATTTTGCAGCTACTTCCTGTTGCTATTTTGAGGAGTTCAAGTGTTGCAAGTATTTGCTTAAAATACTGTGTGATGCTAATCATCTCTGCATGAGCAGTTCATCTCTCTAGTAAAGTGCACATGGCAATAAAAAGCAACCTCACAATTCTTGTGTAGTTCTCATCACGTTTAGTGCAGTACCATAAACCTTGAATAACACCATAAGACCTACAGGAAGTGCCACCAGAGATCCTGGAAGTGTTCTGAATAAGCAGAAAAAAATCATGACATTACAAGTAAAAGTTGAATTACTTGAGACATACCATGGATTGAGGTCTGCAGCTATGGTTGTCTACCATTTCAGACAATTAATCTTGGAAACAGATAACATAAACTTGTGGTATCAATAAATACAGTACAATACTGGAAATGTATTTTCCCTTATGATTTTTTTTTCTCTTTTTGAGACAGAGTTTCACTTTTATTGCCCAGGCTGGAGTGCAATGGTGCGATCTCAGCTCACCACAAACCTCGCCTTCTGGGTTCAAGTGATTCTCCTGCCTCAGCCTCCTGAGTAGCTGGGATTATAGGCACGTGCCACCACGCCCGGCTAATTTTGTATTTTTAGTAGAGACCAGTTTTCTCCATGTTGGTCAGACTGGTCTCGAACTCTTGACCTCAGGTGATCTGCCCGCCTCGGCCTCCCAAAGTGCTGGGATTACAGACATGAGCCACTGTACCTGGCCTCTTAGGATTTTCTTAATACAACTTTCCTTTCTCTGGCTTACTTTATTCTAAGAATACAGTATATAATATATACAACATATAAAATATATGTTAATCAACTATTTATGTTACCAGTAAGGCTTCTAGTCAACAGTAGGCTATTAATGGTTAAGTTTTTCGGGAGTCAAGTTATACACGAATTTTTGACAGCATGAGGGTGTTGGTGCTCCTAACCCCTGTGATGTTCAATGGTCAACTGTAGTTAGTAATTATGTGCACATACACCTAAGAACTGTTCACAACTTTAAGTTTTATTTTTTAAATGGAGGTATCTATACAAAATGACCCAGGCACGACAGCCTTGCAAGCTTAGAATTTCATTATTTATTTCCCGTTTTTCCTTCTCTTTCCTTTTTTTTTTTTTTTTTTTTTTTTGAAGATAAACGGGGCAGGGCTTACTACAAAAATAATCTAAAAAGCACTGATATAAGATTTTTTTCTTTTTTTCTTTTTTGTTTTTTGAGAAAGAATCCTGCTCTGTCACCCAAGCTAGAGTGCAGTGGCACATTCTCAGCTCACTGCAACCTCTGCCTCCAAGGTTTAGGCCATCTTCCCGCCTCAGTCTCCTGAGTAGCTGGGACTATAGGCACACGCCACCTTGACCGGCTAATTTTTTTTGTATTTTTTTGGTCAAGATGGGGTTTCGCCATGTTGGACAGGCTGGTCTTGAACTCCTGAGCTCAAGTAATCGGTCCGCCTCAGCCTCCCAAAATGCTGGGATTACAGGTGTGAGCCACCATGACCACCCAAGATTCTTAATGCTTTTGTCTGTACCATTAGATCTGAGAATCTTAATATACTCCCATTAGTAATAGTAGCTCACTAGTATAAGATTTTGGGGGGCAGGCAGTAGCAAAAAGAACGTGTGGGGTGGGCCAGGCACAGAGGCTCATGCCTGTAATCCCCACACTTTGGGAGGCCCAGGATGGAGGATCACTTGAGTCCGTCCAGGAGTTTGATACCAGCCTGGGCAACATGGAGAAACCCCATCACTGCAAAAAAATACAAAAATTAGCCAGGTGTGGTGGCATGTGCCTATAGTCCCAGCTACTCAGGAGGCTGAGGCAGGAGGATCACTTGAGCCTGGGAGGTTGAAGCTGCAGTGAGCTGTGATCACGCCACTGCACTCCAGCCTAGGTGACAGAGTGAGGCCCTATCTCAAACACACGCACACAAATGTGTGGAGTGAAGGGAGATGGCTAGATAGCAGGTGGACAGAAGAATCACATCAAAATTTCTGGCATAACTCCAAAGTGCACTAGCAGGATTAGAGGACATGCGTCATTCCCACTTGAGAATCTCAATAATAATATAAGCTGGCATTCACAAATTTGAAAATAAATTAGCTTAAAACTACTAAATACTGTATAGATAAATACTAGGATAACATTAGTTGGTATGAAGTGTATGGCTCCAACAATAGAAAGGTATCTTTCTTTTCCAGAAGTGATCTGACACATATTCATGGGAAATTACATTTTATATGTGTATGGATTTCTATCTTGTTCACTGTATGTCCCAGCACCTAGCACTTCTCCTCTCATATAGTAGGCCCTCAAAGGAATATTGTTAATAAAGAAAATAATGTTAATTAATGTTACCTGGTTTCTTTTTTTAAACAAAAGGAATTGAGAAAATTTTATTAGCCTTCAAGCAGTAGTCTTCATTTAGTCACTGTAATATTTGGGGGGAAAAACCACACTATTTCTTCACATTCGAGTTAGAGATACCTGGGTAAAAATTTTTTTCTCCTGGGTAAAACTTATGGAGGAATTATACAAAGGTAAGATTTTCAGTAATCTTAATCATTCAAACCTTATGCAAAACTCAGGAATCAGCCTCTTAAATAGGGAGTGACCTGATGATAAAAGTTATTGTCACAGAATAAAGCTGTATCAATTTAGAAGTTAAAAAAATTTTCAAAGTGTAAATCTCGACCGGGTGCAGTGGCTCATGCCTGTAATCCCAGCACTTTGGGAGGCCAAGGCAGGTGGATCACCTGAGGTCAGGAGTTAGAGACCAGCCTGGCCAATATGGTGAAACCCCGTCTCTACTAAAAATACAAAAAATTAGCTGGGCATGGTGGTGCACGCTTGTAATCCCAGCTACTAGTGAGGCTGAGGCAGGAGAATCACTTTAACCCAGGAGGCCGAAGTTGCAGTGAGCCGAGACTGCGCCATTGCACTCCAGCCTGGGCGACAGAGCGAGACACCATCTCAAATAAATAAATAAATAAATAAATAAATAAATAAAAATAAAGTGTAATTCTGTATAGGGTGCAGTGCTAATGTTAATAACAGAAACCCGGCTGGGCGAAGTGGCTCATGCCTGTAATCCTAGCACTTTGGGAGGCCGAGGGGGGAGGATCACCTGAGGTCAGGAGTTCGATACCAGCCTGGCCAACATGGTGAAACTCTGTCTCTACTAAAAATAGAAAAAAAATTAGCCAGGTGTGGTGGCAGGAGCCTGTAATCCCAGCTACTCAGGAGGCTGAGGCAGGAGAATTGCTTGAACCCGGGAGGCAGAGGTTGCAATGAGCCGAGATCGTGCCTCTGCATTCCAGCCTGGTGACAAGAGCGAGACTCCATCTCAAAAAAATAAAAATAAAAATAAAAATAATAGAAACCCTATTTAATAAAAATTAAATAACTATAGACAATTATTTAATAAGGTAGGTGTGCAGAAAGGAACTACCATAGCATGCATGACTGCTTGAAATGCTTGCTTGTAAGGTGGTCCTTGGCTGGTATCTGGGAACTTGGATTTTGGGAGGATTTCCACCACCCTAACTGATAAGAAGAGCTCACTGAACCTAAACTGTATAAACAATGTGGTTTACGCTGAACATCTGTTTTCCCTCTGAGAGTGTAGAATTTTGGTTTGTACTAAGGCAGAAGGGGTTTATGTGACCAGCCCCCCAATTAAAAACCCTGAGCACTGAGGTTCTAATGAACTTCCCTGGTAGACTATATCTCACATGTTGTCACAACTTGTCACTGAGGAAACTAGGGACATCCTGTGTGACTCTACTGGGAGAGGATTCATAGAAGCTTATTCCTGGTTTTCTCCAAACTTCATACCATGCACCTTTTCCCTTTGCTGATTTTGCTGTTTTCTTTCACTGTAATAAATCATAGCTATGAGTACAACTATATGTTAAATCTTCTGAGTTTTCCTAGTGAACCATCAAATCTAGGGGGTAATTTTGGGGTCCCCAACCCAGTAAGTATATGCTTAATATATTTTAAGCAATCATCATTAAAAATTAAGACAAATGAGCTGGGCGCGGTGGCTCACGCTTGTAATCCCAGCACTTTGAGAGGCTGAGGTGAGTGGATCACCTGAGGTCGGGAGTTCAAGAACAGCCTGGCCAATGTGGTGAAACCCCGTCTCTACTAAAAATACAAAAATTAGCTAGGCATGGTGGCAGGCGCCTGTAATCCCAGCTACTCGGGAGGCTGAGGCAGGAAAACTGCTTGAAACTGGGAGGCGAAGGTTGCAGTGAGCTGAGATAGTGCCATTGCACACTAGCCTGTGCCACAAGAGCGAAACTCCATCTCAAAAAAAAAAAAAAATTAAAACAAATGAATTACTACAGGTTCAACTTATCATGAAAGTTAAATCACGTAAGGACAATATTGCAAAAATAAACAAATAAATAAAGACTATCCTGTCATTTAAAAAGTCATATACAGAAGTCTTTCACCCTGGGTACAGTGGCTCACACCTATAACCCCAGCATTTTGAGAGGCTGAGGTGTGAAGATCACTTGAACCCAGGAGTTTGAGATCAGCCTGCGCAATATACCAAGACTCATCTCTACAAATAATAAAATAATTTTTAAAAATTAGCCACGCATGGCTGGGCACAGTGGCTCACGCCTGTAATCCCAGCACTTTGAGAGGCCAAGGTGTGTGGATCACGAGGTCAGGAGTTTGAGACCAGCCTGACCAACATGGTGAAACCCCATCTCTACTAAAAATACAAAAGTCAGCCAGGCATGGTGGCGCATGCCTGTAATCCCAGCTACTCAGGAGGCTGAGGCAGGAGAATCGCTTGAACCCAGGAGGCAAAGGTTGCAGTAAGCCAAGATCACGCCACTACACTCCAGCCTGGGTGACAGAGCAAGACTCCATCTCAAAAAAAAAGAAAAAAAAAATTAGCCAGGCGTGAGGCACATGCCTGTGGTTCCAGCTACCTCATTTCCCAGCAGACTCATTTCTCGGAATTTATCTTAGAGAAATTATTAGTAATGCTCACAAATATTTAGGTACACTGCAGCATTATTTAAAATAGTAAATACATGGCAACAAAATGTACAATAATGGGAAAAAGATTCAATAGATTTTTTTAAGTTTATTGGCACTGGAAAATATTCATCATAATTTTAAATTTATAAGACTATCCAGCTCCGGTAATATATACATATACATGTGTCAAAAGGCCCTAGACAAAAAAAAACTAAACTTGTAAGTGATTTTGTTTCCTTTCTACTTTTCTGTATTTTCAAAATTGCCTAATATGAACACGTATTACTTCCTTAATGAACATAAAAATTTAAAAAGATAAAAATCAGAAAGTAAGCCAAGCACAGTGGCTCACACCTATAATCCCAACACTTTGGGAGGCCAAGGTGGGTGGATTGCTTGAGCCCAGGAAGTCAAGATCAGCCTGGGCAGCATGGTGAAATCCCATCTCTACAAAAAAAACAAAATTAGCTGGGTGTGGTGGCACACACCTGTAGTCCCAGCTACTCACGAGGCTGAGGTGGAAGGATGGCTTGAGCCCAGGCGCCAGAGGTCAGATAAGCTAAGATCACTCAACCACACTCCAGCCTCGGCAACAGAATAAGACCATATCTCAAAAAAAAAAAAAACTCACAAAATAAGACATTTATAAACAGTGGCTGAAACAATCAAGAATGAAATTGCTATCAACTCTGTTTAGAAATTTCAAATACATTGGGCCTTTCAGACACATTCGTATATACAGTAAACATCTAGCAGTCTACCACCCTATAAGCATTATAAATATATTACATGTTCATTCATATATATCTTTCCCTCTGGTTATTGCCTAATTTAAATATACCTCTTTGAAAAAGTCAATCCAGATACTCTGCAATCTCTTAAACAGATTTTTTTTTTTTTAATTTGAGATGGAGTCTGGCTCTGTCACCCAGGCTAGAGTGCAGTGGCGCTACCTTGGCTCGCTCACTGCAAGCTCCACCTCCCAGGTTCATGCCATTCTCCTGCCTCAGAGCTGGGCCTACAGGTGCCCGCCACCAAGCCTGGCTGATTTTTTTGTATTTTTAGTAGAGAAGGGGTTTCACCATGTTAGCCAGGATCGTCTCATCTCCTGACCTTGTGATCCACCTGCCTTGGCCTCCCAGAGTGCTGGGATTACAGGCGTGAGCCACTGTGCCCGGCCCAGATTTTTTAAAAGACTAAAAATATTCTCGGAAAATGATTTTTATGATTTCACTAAACTGCTGTAAGCAATAGTTAACATACTAAGGAAAAAACACTTGGGTCCTAAAATTATGTCTAACAAATAGGGTTGTAAGAAAGCAATCATACTATCAGCTCAGCAGGCAATTACTATACTGTTAAATCCTGGGGATTCTAAGATTTAAAAACAAACAAACAAAAAACTTCAACATAGTCCCTGCTATTGGGAAGCTGAGAGTCCAAAATCCAACATAATATACTTAATCACCAGAGAGGTAGAACAACCAACTTTTATGTATAAGCAATTTCATGTCTACACTAAAAATACAAACTAACAAGTAAACATACTGCATTCTGTAGTCCTAGCCACTTGAGGCGGCTGAGGTAGAAGGATTACTTGAGCTCAGGGGTTTGAAGCCAGGCTGGCAACATAGGGAGACCCTGTCTCTTTTTAAAAATACAAAGAAAGAAAAAAAAAAGCATACCTGAAAAATCTTTATTTTCTTTTACAGGTAGTTGGGACCATCTCAGGATTTCTCTTGCTAGCTGATCACACAATCCTTGAGCATCATTTAAATTATAGCTATAGAGGTGGCAGTATAAGAGAGAAAGATAATAGCGTATCTGAAGAAAATACGTCCTTCTTCCTCCTGAAACAAGAAGTAAGCTCACCTTAAAAGTATGTAAGCAAAGGAATGCCCTTGGTGTAGTGCTCAATTGACGGGAGTGTGTAGTTTGTGAAAATTCATCAAGTTGTACACTCATGATATGTAAACTTTTCTGCATCTGTTTCACACTTCAATAAATGATTTTTTTCACAGGTGATCTGGGTACATTACATCCCCAAATAAAATTGGAATTATTTTACTCAGAAAGAATGGATAAGAGGTAGGCAACCAGCAGTTTCAGTCTTCAGATATGTAAAGGCAGTTGTCAGGGGCTCCTATCTTATATTTTTTTAGCATACTTTGCTCTTTTTCATTTTAAATTCTAAACAATTTATTTTCTTTCATCACACCCTAGGATGACTTAGATTTTATCCAAAGAAAGCTGCAAATTCTTATCATCTTAACATTAAGGTCTACTAATAACTTTTATCTCAAGTATACACAGTATGAAACAAAAGGGAACATGCCACAAAAAACTCCAAGGAACCATATGTATATCAAAGGGATGGCCAAAGAGACTTACTGAAGCAGAAGAAACAGTTATCCAATAAGATAGGAGCCCCTGACAACTGCCTTTACGTATCTGAAGAATGAAACTGCTGGTTGCCTACCTCTTATCCATTCTTTCTGAGTAAAATAATACCAATCTTATTTGGGGATATAATGCACCCAGATCACAATTTCTCCCTAGATGTGGCCATGTAAAAATGTGACTATGTTCTGATTCAAGAGATAACATTGTATGCAATTTCCAGAAAAGCTGCTTAAAGAAAGGTAAATCAGCTAGGAAATGCAACCTTTCTAGCTCTTCCAACCTTTGTCCTATTTGCTGCCTAGAGCATGGATGTGATAGCTGAAGGTCCAGGAACCATCTTAGCTTAGGTAATGGCCTTAAGATTGGAAGCAATGCACTAAAGATGATGCAGCAGAAAAACTAAAGGAGCCTGGGGCCTTGGTGATACCATGGAAACACCAAATCAGCCCCAAACTGCAACTTCTGCCCTCCTTTCACAAAGGAAAGCCACTCTTTCTCTGTTGAAGCCACTGCTACTTTCAATCTCCATTACTAGAAGCCATTCCTAATGGATGTAGTTGTAAATGAAATTAAACAAAATGTCCATAATGGAACTCATTACAAAAACTTTTCTATACCCAGAACTTCAGATCTCAGTGAATGCTGCTCTTTTCATCCAGATGGACAATCCCCAAGTCAGAGAACTACACTAGCCTTCTTTCTCCAAATCTACTCAATCACAAGTAGACTGATCAAGCCTATTAAATAACTGTCAAATGTAACCTCTGTTCTCCATTACCCTTGACATTGCTTTGGTTTCAAGGCTTCTCGTCTGACTGATTTTCTTGCCTCCAAGTAAAACCCACGCCCCTATGTCATAGTCCTGCAACTGGCCTTCCACAACTGTACCAAAGTGATCTTTCTAAACAGCCTATTCTTATTTGTACAAGTCCCTTTCCTACCTAAAGTGTCTTAACTGATTCCACTGTCTTCAAGATAAAATCTTAATTCCTTACCACTCCATTAAAGACCCTCCTTCATCATCTGTTGTCCATCTGCCTCTCAACTTAGCTCTTATGATCCTACCGCCAATATCACATATACATATATCACATAATCTAGTCCTACTAAACTACTTGAAGTTTACCAAATTGCCATGGTTTCTCAGGCCTTTTTGGTTTTGGAACACTATATACTCTGTTAAGTCATTCCCATGACCTTAATTGGCCAATCTCTACTCAATTTTAAATGTCAACTCCAAGAGGCTTTCCCCAGACTGATGCTTGCACTCCAGCCTGATTGTATTGAGGTGTTCTTCTGTGCTCCCTAAACATCTACCATAAAACATAATGAGAAAAGTGACTGTAGGCAACTTGAAGGTAAAGTTGTTTATTTCAGTTATCCCTAGTGCCTAATACAGTGCTGGGCACATAGCAGGCACTCAACAAAGACTGGTTAAGTAAATGAATTAATGAAATATACAAAGCCACAGCAGTCAGAAAATAAATGTAATAATAGACCAAATCTGACCACGTAGGAGTTGCAGTCAGGGTTCCAGGGTCACCAGCTGAGAACCTCTGTCATCTCAGCCATACCCTCAGCTCTGTATCATAAAAGCTATAACTTGTTTCTAACATCCACACCCCATATCCTTATCAAAAACTCCTCGAAGCCCATACTTAATGCAATGATACGTTTAACTTACATACAATTCTTAAAGTTAAATTACTTAAAGGCAAAAAGCCCTCGCTCCATGTTTCTCTAAGTCTGTAAGAAGGTGGTGAAATATATGACCTATAGTTTCCTATTGAGATACTTGCAGTCTCTCTAAATGACAAAAAAAAAACCACATTATTTTATTTAGGATCTAAATCTCATTTTTCCCATCAACAATCAACCACAGGCTTTATCACAAATCAAAGAAAGGACAGAAGGAGACTTATCTACAGATCACTGAAAAGATTTTTAGTGTTACCAATTCCAAGGTTAAGAATAATTTTAAATAAGTATTCATGAGTGTCAAGTTGCCTACAACATGTATTCTATTTGGCATTAGGATATCATAAGCACTCTGAAATTTAGAATTATTTTTAAGGTCTATGGCAAGCTAAAAGATGTCCTGCTAATATAATGGCACATATTTTTTGGAATTTAGAATTACTGTTAAGGTCTACAGCAAGCTAAAAGGAGTCCTGCTAATATTATGGCACATATTTTTTAACACTCTCTTACCTTTCTCTTCGATTTCTTGTAGAGCTTTTTTCCACAGCTGAACAGACTTTTCATATGATCCTAATAAAAAACATTCTTCCCCTAGAAAGTTTTTAACCAACAATTAGTCATAGTTAATTATATTACTTCATAAAAATTTACTTTGTTTTAAAATCCAGTTAATGGAGCTCAGCCAGAAATTATTTTGAAAAACAAATCATTACAACCAATTAGAAATTCAAAGTCTGGTTAACTATGTCATTTATTCATGGAGTTAGAAAATATTCATAAGATACTGACCATTGATAGATTTAAGTTCTAAGGTTTGATTCAAGCAATCTCCAGTACTCTGTAGGTTAGCCTGCAAATGACATAACAGGGACTTGACAGTAGATGCTTCATGTGTCATCTTTTCAGTTAACTGACTATCAGCTTCAGGAACTCTTCGATTTAATTGTGCTTGATACCATAAAGTTTTTTTGTACAGTATTCTCCAGAGAATAAGCAATCTGCACATAAAATCAGGTAATTATCAAAAGCAAATTTCAGGCTAATGATGAGTTTAGCCTCCTTTTTAGCCTATTTTTTTTTTTGCCTGTATTCTTCATCGGTATAACATACATACAAACTGATCACATTTAAATATAGTGCAAAATAAAATGATTAAAAAATGCCTTATATAAAATCTTCATAAATATTTTAAGCACCTGTAATCTTTTTTTTTTTTTTTTTTTTAAGACACAAGGTCTCACTACGTTGCCCAGACTGATCTCAAACTCCTGGGCCCAAGCGATCACCCTACCTCAGCCTCCCGAACAGGTGAGATTACAGGTATGTGCCACTGCACTCCAGCCTGGGAGACAGGGTCTTGCTCTGTTGCCAGGCTGAATTGCAGTGGCTCCATCACAGCTTACTGTAGCCTCAACCTCCTGGGTTCAAGCAATCCTCCCATCTCAGCCTCCCGGGCTCAAGCAATCCTCCCATCTCAGCCTCCCAGGTAGCTGGGACCACAGGTGCACCACACTGTTTTTTTTTTCTTTTCAGGCAAGGTCTCCTCCTGTCGCCCATGCTGGAATGCAGTGGCGTGATATCTGCTCAACCTCTGCCTCCTGGACTCAAGCAATCCTCCCACCTCAGCCTCCTGGGTCGCTGGGATTACAGGCACATGCCAATAGGCCTGGCTAATTTTTTAGTTGCGGAGTTTCATCGTGTTGCCCAAGCTAGTCCTGGGGTCAAGTGATCCACCCACCTCAGCCTCCCAAAGTGCTCGATCACAGGCGTGAGCCACTGCGCCCAGCCTAATTTTTTAAAGAGGTCATTTTTTTAAGAGGTCATTTTGGCCGGGCGTGGTGGCTCACGCCTATAATCCCAACACTTTGGGAGGCTGAAGCGGGCGGATCACCTGAGGTCAGGAGTTCTAGATCAGCCTGGCCAACATGGTGAAACCCCGTCTCTACTAAAAATACAAAAATTAGCCAAGCGTGGTGGCAGGCGCCTGTAATCCCAGCTACTCGGGGGGCTGAGGCAGGAGAATCTACTTGAACCCAGGAGGCGGAGGTTGCAGTGAGCCGAGATTGCATCATCGCACTCCAGCCTGGGGGACAAGAGTGTACTCCATCTCAAAAAAAAAAAAAAAAAAAAAAAGAGGTCATTTTTTAACAGTACTTAACTAAACCAAAATCTTTCAAGATCATGGTTTTCCGAGACTAAGAAAATATGTATTGTACAACATTTGGCATAAATCTAACAATTTTTTTTGGCAAACTAAAAGTGTATACATTTATCACGTATAACATGACATATTTAACATGATGTTTTGAAACGTACTTAAATATTTTAAAAAATAAAATCTATAATGCTGAGTGCTAACAGATAAAAGATTTCTTTCTGGGGTGATAAAAACGTTCTGGAATTAGTGCTAATAGTTTCACAACCTTATAAATATACTAACAAACACTGAATAGTACATTTTAAAATGATGAATTTTACAATATGGGAATTGTAGCTCAGTTTCTAAAAAAGTAAAAAAAACTAAGCTAATAGTATCCCAGTATTAAAATAAGTGATTATACCTGTGTCCTGGCTGTTGCACAGGATTTACTACTTGAGGATGAATCTTGAAAAATGAGTTCCAAGACCAGTTTTTCTGAAAACCACTATCTTGAAACATCTGAAAAATAGGTACCACCAATGAGTCTTGAGCTGTTATTTTACTTCCATCAGCTGATGCTGAAATAACTTCAGGTTGAAGAATGTATACACCATTTAAATTGTCAGCTACCATTTTGAGTAAATAAAAACAAGCTAAAAGTTTCTCTGAGAATAACTGACCCTTTTGTTGCTGAGTCAGCAAAAGTTTTACAGTATTTGAGGTCAGCTTTATCAAATGCCCCACATCTTGTTTGTATCTTATATCCCAATAATGGATTGATAAACACTGATGAAAAAGTTGAAAGATACAAAGTATCCATGCATTATGTCTTGAGCTTTTGCTTAAAACAAGATCAAGTTTAGGAAAAGGACATTTTATAAATTGAAGAATGTAAAAAAAATGAGTGATACAAACTACTATGTAATTTAACATTAAATTTTTTTCTGTCACAGTTTTTGAAATTCCTATAGTCCACGCTGCAAGTAGACTTTTCTGGATAGAATGCAGTTCTGTAATGGTTCTATCTGTCTCCTCACTATCATCCTTTGCATGTATCGTATCAAACATAGATGCAAATTCCAATCTTCCTTCCTTCATACTACTACACAGCACATCATCTCTTTTGTTCCAAAAAGGACATAAGTTGTCTGGAAAGTGTCTGCCTTCGTTAGTTTCTTCTGCTTCAAAATCCTAAAACATGAGGGGAAAAAAATGATACTTAATACCATTTAATACCTTATCAATAGCATCACTTTGGCGTTCTTAAATTTCTCTTCCCTTTAACAAGAGAAAAACAGAATATGTTTCTTGGAATAAAGTCATAATTGTTCCAAGTAAATAAAATTCTGCTGCTAAGTACCTGAAAATCTGCTGCATTTTCATTTATTGTTTCTTCTGCCTGCAAGAATTTGGGGACAGTGAAATCGGCTGAACTTTCATTTCCTTGGTGTTCTAACAGGCTAGACCTTAGGGAATTCAGTGATCGCAAGTTCAGTCCTTTGCCTTTTGGCTAAAGAAGAAAAGATGAAAGATTTCCAAGAGCAAAATGTTATCTGTAATTCTATTATAAGCAATTAAAAATTCTATAGACAACTGTATACAATTCAAGGACATTATTGTCAGTAAAGTTTTAAATTTGAAAAGAAAAAGGCAACTTTCCCCAATGATATAAAAAAGCACTATACCTTAGACAATATCACACTTTGATATATTTTCTCAAGCCTCTGGGTTGAATCAAGTAGAAGTGATCTCATGTGTACTGATGGAGATAGGCTATCAAGAAATCGAAGGGTTGTGACCATATATCCATCAGATATAACGAGGTAGGGTAACCGTGAGTGTGCTTTTATAGAAAATCTCTGTCTCATAGGGTCACTATCAGAAGCTGATGAATCAACAGAATTATTTGAATCTTGAAACGTAAACTGCTGTGGTCTAGTAAACAAACATCAAAATACAAGAATCAGTAAGAGAAAGATCTTACGGAAAACAATAATGTTTTTCAAAAAAGAAGAAAAAGTTACAGAACAATGAAAAAGCAAGCAAGTGAAACACACAAAAATATTAAATGTGTTTATATCTTTCAGGAAAACATAACACAGGATAAAGACAAAATAATATATAGGTTCATGTGTTTTAAAATTTTCCTAAATGGTAGCATTTATTCTATTTTGTATTTATCTACATACAACCTATTTCAGAAAATAATTCAGGCAGTTTATTTTTACTATTAAAGAGAGTTAAATAGTTAACTTTCCTCTTACCATATATTTAAATATGCTTACACAAATAAAATTATGAACTATCAGTATACTTTTTATTAAAGAGGAGAAAGAAAAAAGTTGAGAAGATTTGGAGAGAATGGTGGTGAGTAAAATTTTACCTATTTAAATTTGAGTTTCCACTTAACTTAAACATACAATATTGTTATTATGATGTACCTGATTCTGATTACTTAATATCACTCCTTATTAAAGTTGGGGCTTTACAAATATAAAAGGAACAAACCATCAAAGTATATTGTAATTTTTTTCTGGTTAGGCAACTATTCAAATACAGATTTTTTTTATTAGCCAAATGGCAACAATAGAAAGTTGGTAATTATAGGACATACACCCCACAGACTTCTGTAGAACCATTAAAAATAATGCCTAACATGGAAAGATGTAAAAGATATACTGTGAAATCAAAAATGGAAAATAGTAAACAGGATATATCACATTATCTAGTTTTTAAAAAAGAAACTAATATTGCTATTATCATTGTTATATGAATATTTTTAAAATGTGGGGGACAACATACTAAAATGTTAATAATTGTTACCTTTGAAGTATAGGATTACAAGTATTTAGTTTTCCACATTATTTAATTTTGTAACATTTGATTTTTGAGTGCTAAAATAAATAATGAATACTATACTTTCATAATCAGAAAAAAAGCAGTTTGGAAGGCCCCAAATATTAATTTTAAAGGAGAATATGAGAAAATTCTAATGAATTATGAATTAGACCATAACAAGTAAGGAAAAAATACTTTCACTGCAGGAAGTGACACGTTTTTCCATTAGCATTGCCAATTGCTAAAAATTGTCATTTTTGGGAGGCTGAGGCGGGCGGATCACGAGGTTAGGAGTTTGAGACCAGCCCGACCAATACGGTGAAACCCCATCTCTAGTAAAAATACAAAAATTATCTGGGCGTGGTGGCGCGCGCCTGCAATTCCAGCTACTCAGGAGGCTGAGGCAGAATTTCTTGAACACGGGAGGTGGTGGTTGCAGTAAGCCGAGATCACACCACTACACTCCAGCCTTGGTAACAGAGTGAGACTCGGTCTCAAAAAAAAAAAAAAAAATTAAATTAAATGTCATTTTTGCTAAATATAATCGAGGAGGCCGGGCGCGGTGGCTCAAGCCTGTAATCCTAGCACTTTGGGAAGCCGAGGCGGGAGGATCACAAGGTCAGTTTGAGACCATCCTGGCCAACATGGTGAAACCCCGTCTCTAAAAAATTAGCTGGGCGTGGTGGCGGGCGCCTGTAGTCCCAGCTACTCGGGAGGCTGAGGCAGGAGAATGGCATGAACCCAGGAGGCGGAGCTTGCAGTGAGCCGAGATGGCGCCACCGCACTCCAGCCTGGGGGACAGAGCGAGACTCTGTCTCAAAATAAATAAATAAATAATAAATATAAATATAATCAAGTAAACACCCTACCTCAGTTTCCTTTCTATAAAGCAAACGGAATAGATTAATTTCAAATGTCTTTTCCAACTTTTCTGTCTTGTAAACAGTTATGCATATGTGTCTAGCCACATATAATCAACATCAATAACAACAAATATTTACTGAGCACTAACTTTATGCCAGACAGTGCTGATTTATAATTATGTATTACCTTACTTCATTCTCTAAACCCTAAGACACAATTAGCGTCACACTGCTTTCATAGTAAAAGAAACTGAGGCTTAAAGAATAACTCTTCTGCAAGATGGGAGATCAAAATAAATTTTTAAAAATAAAAAAATTGGTACAGGCTCATGCCTGTACTTCTAGCACTTTGGGAGGCCAAGGCGGGTGGATCACCTGAGGTCAGGAGTTCCAGACCAGCCTGACCAACATGGTGAAACCCCGTCTCTACTAAAAATACAAAATTAGCCAGGCATGGTGGCACATGCCTATAATACCAGCTACTTGGGAGGCTGAGGCAGGAGAATCGCTTGAACCCGGGAGAGGGGGTTGCAGTGAGCCGAGATCACACCACTGCACTCCAGCCTGGGCAACAAGAGCGAAACTCCGTCTCAAGAAAAAAAAAATAAATAAAACTAAGAATGAAAATTTAAAAATTGAAAAAAAAAAAAAGAATAACTAACCCAAAGTCATACAACTAATAAGTAAAAGAACCGGTATGTGAATCTTGATCTGACTCCAAAGCCAAATTGCTACTTCATCTCACAAGTAAAAATTATAATATGACACATGCTATCCAAGTAACAAAATATCACATGTATCCCATAAATATGTAAAATATTGTATATCAATAAAAAAAATTTTAAAACAACAACAAAAATTAAAATACGGCTAAATCCTACAGTTTTCTATCCATTTCCAATAACTTTTTCCCTTTGGGAAAAAAGTAGATAAATCCATATGTCAAGTTAATTTTGAGTTATTAATTTTCTAAGTGCTATTATTTTATAACAATAAATGCTATATCATACTTTATTAACTTTTATATCAAAGAAGATAATTTTTCGTGCTATTAAATATTTAAATAACTTATACTTACATAGTCACAATGTCAAATTTTCACCAGGATTAAGCCACAAAAAGAAACAGAAGAAAACTACAAATAAGAAACAGATATTGAGATGACAGACTCAAAGAAAAAGTAAGACAATTTGAAAGATGAAATTTTTTTTGAATACACAGTAAAAGTAATACAAAACAGAAAAAAAATCTATAAACAAATTAACACAATTCAAATGTCTCACCTATACGTTATTAGTGGATGAAGAGGAATAAATTCTGCTGGGCCAAATTCTATAGAGCAACCAAATGTAATTAATGTTAGCAATTCACCTTGGCAGGTCAATAAAACCAGAGAGCCACGTTTTAACATACAAGCCAGAAAAAGACTATCATGCGTCCAGCTGATATCACCTACCCAGTAGGACCTATAATAAATAAGAGACAACATGTTTAGAAGAGATACTTTACAATGTCTATGACGATTTAAAATGGGCTGTACCAAGCAGAGGTGTGAAAGTTCAAAAAATGAGGGCAAAAGAATGACTAATAGTAGACAATTGCCATACACATTTCATGAATTTTACTTCCTAGAACAAAGGAGTTTGCTCATAAACATCTATTTCAACAATATTCCAATTAGAAATTCATAAGCAATTAAAAAACGAAAATATTCGGCCAGGCACCGTGGCTCAAGCCTGTAATCCCAGCACTTTGGGAGGCCGAGGCAGGCGGATCAACTGAGGTCAGGAGTTCAAGACCAGCCTGGCCAACACCGTCTCTACAAAAATACAAATAAGCCAGGCGTGGTGGCGGGTGCCCATAATCCCAGCTACTGGGGAGGCTGAGGCAGGAGAATGGCTTGAACTGGGGAGGCAGAGGTTGCAGTGAGCCGAGATCATACCACTGCACTCCAGTCTGGGACACAGAGAAAAAATATATATATATTCCTAAAGAACTGAGTTTTTTAGTCACTCACATATTAGAATGAATTTTAATCCTAGTAGAGTCTACAATCAAGATCTACTGATAGATTTCAAGGCCACATCTGTCCTCTCTGCAGGCTGTTAGAGTCCCTCTCAACAGCAGACTCTCCCTCTTCCCAAAGCTCTAACTGGTACTACTCCTTAACTATTTCGTGATTTTTTAATTTATTTTATTTTTATTTTTTAAAATTTTATATTTTAACCCTTATTCCCGTCTTTTCACAGGTGTTGATATCTGGTGATACTAATGTTTAATGAGACAAACAGTAGGTCCTCCTCAGAAAATGACAGACACTAAATCAAAAAGACCACTGAACTGAGACTAATACTTTCAAAGTATTATGAATAATATGAATGAGAAATTTACCAAAGAGAAAGGAACTTGTGGAAAGTAAAAGAAAATGAAGAGGCAGGGCTAGATAAACCTAAAAACTCTGAAAATGCATAGAACAGCATGGAAAAGTATTCAGAAAAGGAAGTTAGAAGCTGTAAGAGGAAATTCTCCTACTCTGTAATTTTGCATGGATCCTGGTGGTAGCTCATATGCCATCCCAAATCAACACTTATGTTACTATTGACTCAGATGTACAGGATACATATGTAGGGACTTGTTTAAAAAACTAGGCTTGGCCAGGCACGGTGGCACAGGCCCATAATCCCAACACTTTGGGAGGCCGAGGCAGGTGGATCACGAGGTCAGGAATTCAAGACCAGCCTGGCCAAGATGATGAAACCCCGTCTCCACTAAAAATACAAAAAAATTAGCCAGGCATGGTGGTGGGCACCTGTAATCCCAGCTACTCGGGAGGCTGAGGCAGAGAAGTGCTTGAACCCGAGAAGCAGAGGTTGCAGTGAGACGAGATCGCACTACTTCACTCCCACCTGGACGACAGAGCAAGACTCCATCTTGGGGGAAAAAAAAAAAAAAAAAAAGACTAGGCTCTCTCGGCCAGGTGCAGTGGCTGACATCTGTAATCACAGTATTTTGGGAGGCCAAGGTGGGAGAATTGCATAAGGTCAGGAGTTCAAGACCAGCCAGGGCAACATAGCAAGACCCTGGCTCTACCAAAAAAAAACAAAAAAACAGTCGTGGTGGCGTGCACCTGTAATCCCAGCTACTTGGGAAGTTGAGGCAGGCAGGGGGATAGCTTGAGCCTAGAAGTTTGAGGCTGCAGTGAGCTATGATCACGCCATTGCACTCCAGCCCAGGTAACAGAACAAGACCTTGTTGCAAAAAAAAAAAAAAAAAAAAAAAGAAAGACACTCAGCTCAAGATAGCTGACTAGACACAGGTAGCATGTAACTCCTCCATGGAGAGGAACCATGGACTGTCCACTTACTATTAAGTAGTAAGTAAGACTAAGAGTGGGAAAAGGCTCCTGAACACAGGGAAACAGTAAGAGAAAAATCCACAGGGCTTCATACCCCAAAACAGGCTTTCATAACCTCTGAGTGGGAGAAACCCTCAACCCACTAGGGCTTTGGGCCTGACACATGGAGCTGCCTAAAGAATGCTCAGAGACATTGCTCCAGAAAGGGAAAACACATGGAATCCCACAGGCATCCAAGCCTAGAGCAGCGTCAGAAAGCCTAGATACCAGGGATCTACAGACTTGGCTGCTACTGCACTGCTTCAGGGAGGAAGAGGGGAGACCAGGCACTCTCAGGCACTCCTGGGAGGCTCCCTATCACCCTGCTGTGGGCTGCTGTTGAGACTGAGATGTGAGCAGGCTGCACTTCTCACAGCTTCTTGCCTACACTGCTTGCCTGGGAGGGATACCACCCTCTCTGGTCCCAGGCCCAAGGTACCATTTTGACTGTTTAGAGCTGGGCTACGTCCCACCCTTGGGCTGAGTTTGGGTTGAGGTGGCTGCAGTCACCACCCAACTCAGGGAACAGGGGAGACCAAGCTCTCCGAAGCACACTTAGGAGAATACCCACCACCCTGCCACAGAGCAGCTATGTCATGGGGGACTAGTCCCCCCAAACCATCACAACTTCCAGTAACTCCAACATGGACTACTTGGGTCCCAGTGGGTTGCTTCACCACTACTACTGCCATCGCCCACACCATACCAGATACCCAGGGGCCTGAGAAACCACTCACACACCTAGACCACCACTCCGACTACTAGTTTCTAAGCATGCCACCTGGAAGCCCAAGAATCAGCCTTCAGGACCCATCAATACCAGGGCCAGTATAAGGTGGTCTAGGGCCTAAAAACAGGCACACTCACCCCACTGCTGCCACTACTAGGGCCTGAAGACTGGCTCAGTTGTTGTCCAAGTCCCTAACAAAACTTCACCATAACCCCAACTAATAACTACACCTTAAGCCACTGAGGAAATCACAGGTGCCACCAACCCTGTGTACTACTGAAGAAGTCATACAAAGATTACACTACTACAAGTATGCAAAATCAAAGCCAAAGTATCCTACTCAATCAACAACATACATACATCTTCAGGAAAAAAATTCTCCTCTATAAAAGCATTTTCAAAAAATTAAAACAAGCAACGGCTGTACCAGATGCACAGACATCAATGGAATGCCACAGAAAACATAAGAAAAGCAAGGAGATATGACACCACCAAAGGACCACAAAAATTGTCCGGTAATAGATGCCAATCAAAAATAATTCCCCCAAAATGCCAGAGAAATAATTCAAAATACCGATTTTGAAGAAGCTCAATGAGATGCAAGAAAATCTGAAAACCAATACAAAGAAATCGGAAAATCAATATGAATGAGAAATTTACCAAGGAGAAAGATTAAAAAAAAAAAAAAGAAATTCTGGAAATAAAAAATGAATTGAAGGAAATATAAAATACATTCAAAAGATTAAATAATAGACTACACCAAGCAAAAGAAAGAATCTCAGTCAGACAAAAATAAGAAAAAAAAAAAAAGAATGAACAAAGCCTTCAAGAGGTCTGGGAGTACAAAAAGTGAGTGAACTTATAAATTATCAGTATTCCTGAAGGGTAAGAGAGATCAAAAAGTGCCGAAAACCTATTTAAAAGAATAATAAATGAAAACTTCCTAAGTCTAGCAAGAGAGTTAGACATTCAGATACAGGAGGCCCAGTGATCCCCATGCAAATACATAGCAAAAAGGACTCCACCAGCGGCTATTATATTCAGAATGTGTTAAATCAAAGGGAAAGAAAGAATTTTAAAATTAGCAAAAGAAAAGAGTCCAGTCACCTATAAAAGAAACTCATCAATTTCCTCTAGGTTTTGTAGTTTGTGAGTGTATTATTTCATAATAGTCTTAATAGACGTTGTTCTGTGGTATCAACTATAATGTTTAGAACTGGAACAATACAAGGATGCCTACTTTTACCACACCTATTCAACATAATGCTAGAAGTCCTAGTCAGAGCAATCAGGCAAGATAAAAAAATAAATAAAAGGCATCCAAATTATCACTCTTCACTGACAATATAATCTTATATCTAGAAAACCCTAAAGACTCCACAAAAACTCTTAGATTTGATAAATGAATATAGTAAGATTTCAGGATACTTTATATTAACAAGATGAATATACAGAAATCAGTAGAAAATACACCAATAACTATGTAGCCAAGGAGTGAATCAAGAAGGCAATCCCATTAACATTAGCTACTAAAAATAAAAGAAAATACCTAGCAATATATTTAACCAAGAAGGTAAAAGATCTCTATGAGGAGAACACTGATAAAAGAAATTATAATTATAAAACGCTGATAAGAGAAATTGTAGATGACATAAACAAATGGAAAAGCATCTCATGCTTATGGATTAAAAGGCCAATATCATTAAAATGAACATACTGCCCAAATAAATCTACAGATTCAATGCAATCTCTATCAAATTACCAGCGCCATTTTTCACATAATTAGAAAAAACAATCCTAAAACTCGTATGGAACCAAAAACAAAAGAACAAAGCTGGAGGTATCATATTATCTAATTTCTTTTTTTTTTTTTTTTTTTTTTTGCAATGGAGTCTCGTTCTGTCACCCAGGCTGGAGAGCAGTGGTACAATTTCGACTCACTGCAACCTCTGCCTCCCAGGTTCAAGCGATTCTCCTGCCTCAGCCTCCTGAGTAGCTGGGATTACAGGGGCACACCATCACACCAGCTAATTTTTGTATTTTTACTAGAGACAGGGTTTCACCATGTTGGTCAGGCTGGTCTCGAACTCCTGACCTCGTGATCCGCCCACCTTGGCCTCCCAAAGTGCTGGGATTACAGGCATGAGCCACTGTGCCCAGCACTTTTTTTTTTTTTTTTTGGACAGAGTTTCACTCTTGTTGCCCAGGCTGGAGTGCAACGGTGCAATCTCGGCTCACCACAACCTCCACCGCCAGGGTTCAAGTGATTCTCTTGCCTCAGCCTCTTCAGTAGCTGGGATTACAGGCATGCACCACCACACCTGGCTAATTTTACAAAATCCAATTTAGTAGAGACAGGGTTTCTCCATGTTGGTCAGTATGGTCTCCAACTCCCGAACTCAGGTGATCCACCCACCTTGGCCTCCCAAAGTGCGTTAGCCACCATGCCCAGCCTACTAATTTCAAATTATACTACAAGGCTATAGCAGCCAAAACAGCATGGTACTGGTATAAAAACAGCACACAGATAAATGTAACAGAATACAGAACCCAGAAATAAAGCCACATAGCTACAACCAACTGATCTTCAGCAAAGTCGATAAAAATATACACTGGGGAAAGGACACCCTATTCAATAAAAATAGTGCTGGGAAAATTGGATAGATGTGCAGAAGAATGAAACTGGACCCATACCTCTCATCATATACAAAAATTAACTCAAGATGGATTAAAGACCTAAACATAAGGCCTGAAACTAAAAAAATCCTAGAAGAAAACCTAGGAAAAACTCTTCTGGACATTGGGCTAGGCAAAGAATTTATGACCACATCCTCAAAAGCAAACACAACAAAAACAGACAAATGAGAATTAATTAACTTAAAAAGCTTCTGCACAGCAAAAGACACAATTGAAGTAAAAAGGCAACCTACAAAATGGGAGAAAATATTTGCACACTATGTGTCTGACAAAGGGCTAATATCTAGGATCTATGAGAAACTAAGACAACTCAACAAGCAAAAAAAAAAAAAACCTCATTAAAAACTGGGCAAAGGACATGAACAGACATTTCTCAAAAGACATACAATCAGCCAATAAACATATGAAAAAATGCTCAACATCACTAATCATCAGAGAAATGCAAATTAAAACCACAACGAGATAACATACCAGTCAGAATGGCTATTACTAAAAAGTCAAAAAACAACATGTTGGCAAGTATGCAGAGGAAAGGGAACATGGGAACATGTTTCTCATGGGAACGTGAGAAAAGGGAACAAACATGATTGGTGGGAACGCAAATTAGTACAATCATTATGGTATAGAGATTTCTCAAAGAACCAAAATAGGAACTACCATTCAATCTAGTAATCCCACTATTGGGTATATACCCAAAGGGAAAGAAATCATTATATCAAAAAGATACTTGCACTCACACGTTTATCACATCACTATTCACAATAGCAAAGATAGAGAATCAACAGAACCATCTATCAACAAAGGATTGGATAAAGAAAATGTGGTGTGTGTATATATATGTATCATGGAATGCTACTCTGCCATAAAACAAATGAAGTCATGTCTTTTGCAGTAACATGGATGGAACTGGAGGTCATTATCCTAGGTAAAATCACTCAGAAACAGAAAGTCAAATACTACATATTCTAACTTATAAGTAGGGACTAAACAATGGGTACACATGGACATACAGAGTGGAATAATAGGCATTGGAGACTACTAAAAGACGGGAGGGGAGTGAGGGTTGAAAAATTATCTGTTGGGTACAATGTTCACTATTAATACTAAAAGCCCACACTTCACCACTACACAACATATGCATGTAAGAAATATGCACCTATGGCCAGGCACGGTGGCTTACGCCTGTAATCCGAGCACTTTGGGAGGCCAAGGCGAGTGGATCACGAGGTCAGGAGATTGAGACCATCCTGGCTAACACGGTGAAACCCCATCTCTACTAAAAAAAATACAAAAAAATTATCCGGGCATGGTGACGGGCGCCTTTAATCCCAGCTACGCGGGAGGCTGAGGCAGGAGAATGGCGTGAGCCCGGGAGGCAGAGCTTGCAGTTAGCCGAGATCACACCACTGCACTCCAGCCTGGGTGACAGAGTGAGACTCCATCTCAAAAAAAAAAAAGTATTTAAGGCCTTCCTTATATAAAGTGACTTTTAGGCTGGGCATGATGGCTCAGGCCTGTAATCCCAGCACTTTAGGAGGCCAAGATGGGAGGATCACTTAAGGCCAGAAGTTCAAGACCAGCATGGTCAATATAGCAAGACCCTGTCTCTACAAAAAACTTTAAAAAAATTAGCTACATACAGTGACACACACCTGTAGTCCCAGCTACTCAGAAGGATGAGGAAGGAATGACTGAGCCCGAGAGTTCAACGCTGCAGTGAGCTATGATCACACCACTACACTCCAGCTTGGGCAATAAGTAAGACCCCATCTTTTTTTGTGTGTGTGTGACAGAGTCTCCCTCTGTCATCCAGGCTGGAGTGCAGTAGTGCGATCTCAGCTCATGGCAACCTCCGCCTCCTGGGTTCAAGCAATTCTTATGCCTCAACCTCCCAAGTAGCTGGGACTACAGGAACATGCCACCACACTTGGCTAATTTTTTTTTTTTGTATTTTTTTTAGTAGAGATGGGGTTTCACCATTTTGGCCAGGCTGGTCTCAAACTCCTGACCTCAGGTGATCCACCTACCTCAGCCTCCCAAAGTGCTGGGATTACAGGCGTGAGCCACAGCGCCCAGCCTTTTCTTTTTTTTTTTTTTTTTTTTTTTTTGAGATAGGGTCTTGCTCTGTTGCTCAGACTGGAGTGCAGTGGCAAGATCATAGCTCACTGCAGCCTCTATCACCCACGTTCAGGTGATACCCCCTAGCTCAGCCTCTCAAGTAGCTGGGACTACAGGTGTCCACCACCATGCTCGGCTAATTTCTTTTTATTTTTTAGTAAAGATGAGGTCTCATTATGTTGCCCAAGCTGGTCTCAAACTCCTGAGCTCAAGTGATCCTCTCACCTTGGTTTCCCAAAGTGCTAGAATTACAGGTGTGAGCTACCACACCTGACAGAGACCCATCTCTTTTAAAAGAAAAAAAGAAAAAAAAGACAGACAAAAGAGTTCTTACCTAATAAGTGTAGCTGGAACCACGGGACTCTTGTTACTACATCCTTTAAGGCTACCACAGAGAGTAACAAAATTCAGTGTGTTTATAAATAATACCTGAGTTGCCTAGAAAGGAAAAAAAAGACAAGAAAACTATTAAAATTATTTTACTGTAACCATTATTTATAATTCTGGTGACACAGAGATCTATTATTATATTAATAAACTATCTAGGGAGTATTTCCTAACTGGCAAAGCAATATTGACCCCTGGTAGCCTTTGCTCTTTTATGTTCCACCTTAAAAACATTAGTTACCACAATGCTCTTCTTTCCTCTTTTTCCCTTATTCTTTTTTCATTTCTGAAAGCCAAGTTTTGAAAGTTATGGGATCTACTTTAAAGAACTTTACCAATCCACAATGTCAAATTGGATTAAACACCACCAACTTAAAGAATATAAAGCAGGCTGGGCACAGTGGTTCACACCTGTAATCCCAGCACTTTGGGAGGCTGAGGTGGGAGAACTGCTTGAGCTCAGGAATTCAAGACCAGCCTGGGCAATATGGCAAAACCCCATCTCTACCAAAAAAATACAAAAATTAGCCAGGCACGGTGGTATAAGCCTATGGTCTCAGCTACTTGGGGGGCTGAGGTGAGAGGATCACTTGAGCCCAGGAGGTCGAGGCTGCAGCAAGCCATGATCGCACCACTGCACTCCAGCCTAGGCAACAGAGAGAGACCCTGTCAAAAAAAAAAAAAAAAAAAACCAGAAAGAAAAAAAAAATGGATATAAAGGAGTATTTAGAAAAAGAAAAATCTCAAAACTGGAATAAACTCCTTCTTTTATAGATTACTTTCTAAGACAGATATTTACTGACCTTGGGGTCTTTCTGATTAAGAGTTACTGCCAGGGTAAGGCCATCTCTTGAAAAGGCAGAAATTAGAGCTCCTCTTGACTTTACTGATTCACATTTAGGAATTAAACTACAGAGATGACAGTCTTGTTGAGCCCAATGAACATGGTATGGCAATGATCTAAAAAAGTAATGAAATAATTGAAAACAAAAGGTATAGTAACTTTTAAATTTATATGTAGTTCATTACAAAAATTAAAGGATCCATCCAAATTCCTACATGTGCACATGTACTTAGGGAATATTTTAGAGACTATGTTAATCCATTGTGTTGCTGTAAAGGAATGCCTGAGACTGAGTAATTTATAAAGAAAAGGGGTTGGCTGGGCACGGTAGCTCACACCTGTAATCCCAGCACTTTAGGAGGCAGAGACGGGTGGATCACTTGAGGCCAGGAGTCTGAGACCAGCCTAGCCAACAGGTGAAATCCCGTCTCTGCTAAAAATACAAAATTACCTGGGCATGGTGGAGTGCACCTGTAATCCAAGCTATTCGGGAGGCTGAGGCAGGAGAATTGCTTGAACCCGGGAGGCGGAGGTCGCAGTGAGCCAAGATCACGCCACTGCACTCCAGCCTGGGCGACAGAGTGAGACTCCATATCAAAGAAAAAAAAGAAAGAAAGAAAGAGAAGGGGTTTATTCGGGCTCACGGTTCTGCAGGCTGTGCAAGCATGGCATCAGCATCTCCTCGGATTCTTGTGAGGGCTTCAGGAAGCTTTTAACCACGGCAGAAAGGAAATGGGGAGCAGCATTTTCCCAAGAGAGGGAGCAAGGGAGAGAAGGAGATTCCAGGCTCTTTTAAACAACCAGATCTCCCGTGAACTCAGAGCAAGAACTCATTACTGTAAGCAGAACACCAAGCCATTCATGAGGGATCTGCCACCTTGACCCAGACATCTCCAACCAGGCCCCACCTCCAACATTCCAACATTAAGGATTATTTTCAACACGAGACTTGGAGGGGACGAACATCCAAACTATATCAGAGACCTTTCAGAAGTCTGTGCACAAAAGAGAACCTGCAGATTAGCTAAATAAATTGAATATCAGAGTTCTGTTAGTAGAGCCATGTTTTTATATGCAACCCCAAATATATTATACCTGCTTCCACTAAAAGTTTGGATAAACGTATTTCTACATAATGCCAAATATTTTTAAAGGAATTTAAAAAGTAGGTCAGGAGTTCGAGACCAGCCTGGCCAATATGGTGAAACCCCATCTCTACTAAAAATACAAAAATTAGCCAGCCGTGGGGGTGCGCACCTGTAGTGTCAGCTACTCGGGAGGCTGAGGCAGAAGAATCGCTTGAACCCAGGAGGCAGAGGTTGCAGTGAGCCGAGATTACGTCACTGCACTCCAGCCTGGGCAACAGAGTGAGACTCTGTCTCAAAAAAAAAATAAAATAAAAAATAAAATGTAGAGAAGGCCAGGCATGGTGGCTAATGCCTGTAATCCCAGCACTTTGGGAGGCCAAGGCGGGCAGATCATTTGAGGTCAGGGGTTCGAGACCAGTCTGGCCAACATGGCGAAACCCCATCTTTACTAAAAATACAAAAAATTAGCTGGGTTTGTTGGCGCATGCCCATAATCCCAGCTACTCAGGAGGCTGAGACAGGAGAATCGCTTGAACCTGGGAGGCAGAAGTTGCAGTGAGCCAAGATTGCACCACCACACTCCAACCTGGGAGACAGAGCAAGACTCTATCTCAAAAATAAATAGATAGATAGATAGATAGATAGGTAGATAGACAGAAAGAAGAGGGAAACTTTGGGGATAGTATCAATGTTCTATAATTGATCCAAGTGATATATACATTTCAAACAATTGTATATATTTTTCAAAGTCTAGTTGTACACTTAAGACTTGTTTATCTTATTTTATTTATTTATTTATTTTCCAGACAGGGTCTCACTCTGTCACCCAGGCTGGAGTGCAGTGGCACGATTTGAACTCACTGCAACCTGGACCTCCTGGGCTTCAGTGATCCTCCCACCTCAGCCTCCCAAGCAGCTGGGACTATAGGCATGCGCCACCATGCTCAGCTAATTTTTTTTATATTTTGTGTAGAGATGGGATTTTGCCATGTTGTCCAGGCTGGTCTTGAACTCCTGGGCTCAAGTGATCCTCCTGCCTCGGCCTCCCAGAGTGCTGGGATTACAGGCATCCACCACCACACTCAGCCAAGATTTGTTCATGTTACTTCATGTAAGTTATATCTTAATATAAAATATAAAAATAAAACAAACAGAAAAATAAAAATAAAAACCACACCACACCATTTTACTCAATCTTACTTAGGCATTGTAAGAAAATAATGCATATTTTCGGCTGGGTGAGGTGGCTCATGCCTGTAATTCCAGCACTTTGGGAGGCTGAGGCAGGCAGATCACAAGGTCAGTAGTTCAAGACCACCTGACTAACATGGTGAAACCCCGTCTCTACTAAAAATACAAAAAGTTAGCCAGGCCTGGTGGCGGGCACCTGTAGTCCCAGCTACTCGGGAGGCTGAGGCAGGAGAATCACTTGAACCCAGGAGGCGGAGGTTACAGTGAGCCAAGATTGCACCACTGCACTCCAGCCTGGGCGACAGAGCAAGACTCCATCTCAAAAAAAAAAAATGCATATTTTCTATTTTATTAGGCTTTTTAGAATAAAACTATTTTTAAATAAAAGAACACTTAAGCATTTAAAAGGTACAATAGGAAATCAAAAGTTATGTCCCTTTTAAATTTCAACTGAATTCTTTTCCAGAATAGTTACTTTTATAGTCTTAGACAAGTAAAACCATAGCTTGTCTTATCTTTTACAAATTCTCACTTCAAAGAAGGGAAACAAGACAAAACAAGATAAACTTTCTGGATTAAACATTTAGAAATAAGAGGGGAAGAAATGATTTGTAAAGCCTCAGAACTTGAAACTCACAATAACATTTACAAATTTTATTACATGTATATGGATCAAAAGATAATAATGTTTAAAAAGGGATAGAAAATATGGGGCCGGGTATGATGCCTCATGCCTGTATTCCCAGCACTTTGGGAGGCCAAGGCAGGAGGACTGCTTGAGCCCAGGAGTGCAAGAACTTGTCTGTTAAAAAAAAAAAAAAAATTAGCCAGGCATGGTGGCACAAACCTGTAGTCACAGGTACTCAGGAGGCTGAGCTATGATTGTGCCACTACCCCCCAGTCTGGGTGACACAGCAAGACCCTGCCTCCAAAAGAAAAAAAAATCAGTAAGAAAAGGAAGAAGAAAACATTTACCTCACCTTACAGATGTAAATACATTCTCATGCCACCGAATTGCTAGAAATGTTAACTTCAGGCATTCCCCAGAATAAAAAGTAAATGAACACAGGCAGCAGTCTCCAAATAACTGTAGATAAATTTAATATACTTTAGTATAAAATTAATCTGAAAATAAATCAAGATACTAAAATACATATATATATTCCTCATCATAAACCAGTAAAAAATATTGAGATCTTGCTTATACTTTTTATCCTTAACATTAAGCTTAAGACTAAGTAATTTTTTTCTGAGCCAGAGGCAGGTCTCAAATGGGTAATCAGGTTGTAGTTTATGCTCTTAAGAAAATACTGACATTGACTGTGACTATAACTGAAAATATTCTTACATATTTATTTTTCTCTTTTTATACTTTTATACTATTTAAATTAGCACACCACCCTGAGAGTGGGGAGAGGGGACAATAAAACTTCAAAGTGAAATTTCTAACAAGAGTGGTTTGGATAATAAAATGCTGGTCCACACATACGAAGAATACCAAGCAGATATTTTAAATACGTTTTGGTTTTTTAAGTTCATGAATCTGTTATTTCCCAGTTAAATCGCATATTTAGTATCATCAATTCTAGCTTGTTAAATTACCAAACAAGCTCTCTCTCTATATATAATATATAAAAAATATATATACATATATAATATATAACATATAAAAATATAATATATAATATACATGTATTATATATAATATATAATATGCATATAATATATATAATATATACATGTTATATACATATATAATATACCATATAATATATAATATATACGATATATATTATATACGTGTATATATATTATATATTATACTTTTTTTTTTTGAGACAGAGTTTCACTCTCGTTGCCCAGGCTGGAGTGTAATGGCACGATCTCGGCTCACTGCAACCTCCGCCTCCCAGGTTCAATCGATTCTCCTGCCTCAGCCTCCTGAGTAGCTGGGATTACAGGCATGTGCCACCACGCCCAGATAATTTTGTAGTTTTAGCAGAGACGGGGTTTCTCCATGTTGGTCAGGCTGGTCTTGAACTCTCGACCTCAGGTGATCCACCCGCCTCAGCCTCCCAAAGTGCTGGGAATACAGGCGTGAGCCACCGCGCCCGGCATAACAAGCTATATTTTTAAATCAAGGATAGAGAAAAGGAGTTCTAAGTTAAAACTAATTTTAATAAACACTTTTTAAAAATGTGACCCAAGAAATATAAAAATATCTTTTCCATACAAGAATTTCACAATTACTATGAAAATTTATGGTGACTAAAGATATATAGTTATACCATTACACACTCTGCTAATCTGCTTCACAGATAAGAGTCTGAGACTGATTTTACCTCATTTTTTATAAAAACAGCATTCACTACAGCTTCTTTATCTTCGGTGGAAGGCAAGAGAACTGCTTCTTCAGGTATGACCTGGGACCACCGACCCGCCAATGAAAGGCTTTTAGAAGATAAGATATTCTTTAATTCCAAATATTCCCAAAGAAATATGCATCCAGAAGGTGTTATGAGCACAATTCTTTTCCCATTTCCAGATACATACAAGTACAGTCTCAAAGAGCTTGCTAAAAAAGTAACAAAAAAAGTAATTAAGCCTCTGAAGTCTGAATTCCCCCCAATAAAGTACATAATTTATGTATTCTTACAATAAAAAAAAAACAAATAATGTTACCATTCAGGATGTCAAAACTAAGGCACTAGCAAAAAATACAATCCAGGCACGGCAGCTCATGCCTGTAATCCCAGCACTTTGGGAGGCTTAAGGAGACGGATCGCTTTAGCCCAAAAGGTCAAAGCTGCAGTGAGCTATGATCATGCCACTATACTTCAGCCTGAGTGACAGAACAAGATCCTGTCTCTAAAAAAGAAAAAAAAAGGCTGGGTGGATCACGAGGTCAGGAGATCAAGACCATCCTGGCTAACACGGTGAAACCCCGTCTCTACTAAAAATACAAAAAAATTAGCCGGGCATGGTGGCTGGCGCCTGTAGTCCCAGCTACTCGGGAGGCTGAGGCAGGAGAATGGCGTGGACCCCGGAGGCGAGTGAGCTGAGATCCCACCACTGCACTCCAGCCTGGGCGACAGAGCGAGACTCCGTCTCAAAAAAAAGAAAAAAAAAAGTACAAAAATAGCAACATTTATCAAGTATATATTATGTGATATTAGAAACCTATTATTATCACAGAAATGTTAGGCATGCCAGAATTTTCTTCTTCAAGTTGAGTCTCAGTATCACAGATAAACATAACCAAAACTATATATATATATATATATATATATATATATATATATATATATATATATATATACACACACTCAGATATACATATGCACATACACAGAAATACATTTTCAAGACAGTAACAGAAAAATGTTTCATCCTCTTTTCCTATTTTTCCTAGTTAAACCAACTTAAACAAATAAAAAAATTCCCACCGACTGTAGCTTTGATCATTTCCTTAGGCTTTTCAGTTATTGGTATAGTTTTCAAACAATCTTGATCTTTGTTCCAAAGGAAAAGCTCTCCTGTAGTTAGTACCCCAGCCAGCCAGGCATCTGTTTCCAAAAATGAAATGCAATACTTACAATCTAGTATTTCCTTTAACATCACCCTAAGTTATTAAAAAATATAGTTTTAGCCATTTGAAAATATCAGTACTACTTAACCATTACTGGATGTTGTTAGGACAATAACATCCTTCAAGAAAGGCTGCAGACTAGGAATTTTCTTCTTTATCTTTCCTGATAGCAAATTAATTTCATTTATGAATTTATCATCCAAAAGAAAAACGGCTTCTTTTTCCTAAGAGAAGAAACATGTGAAGGACTCAAGAGGTGCCAGAAATTAATTCAACTTACTGCCTAAATAAATTATCCCAGAAATCAAAGCGACATTTAAGAAAGATTATCCATTTGTACCACAAATCATAAAATGAACATTAAGCTTAATACTCTATAGTAGCCTGAACATTTTGAATTGTTTTAAAATACCTCGTTAGAATTAATAGGTAAGGCTACCTAGTAGTTGTATTTCAATTTCTTTGAAGTTTAAAATTATAGGAGTGTCCTCTAATTCTGCTAGCCAAAACTGGCTTATCTACTTTTTAATCTTTTTTTTTTTTTTTTTTTAAGAGCTGAGGTCTCACTTTGTTGCCCAGCCTTAAGTGGAGTAGATATTTACAGGCACTATCCCACTACTAATAAGCATGAGAGTTTTGACCTGGCCCATTTCTGACCTGGACCAGTTCACCATTCTTAGGCAACCTGGTGGTTACCCCAGCCCCTTGATCTCGGGAGGTCATCATATTGATACCGAATTTAGTGCAGACACGTAATCGGTATAGCACACTGCAGCCCAGAACTCCTGGGCTCAAGCGATCCTCTTGCCTTAGCCTCCTGAGTAGCTGGGACCACAGGTGCATACCACTGAACCTGACTCTCATCAATTTTAACAGTAGTATGAGCAAGTTTTTAAATTATTTACTTAGATTAAAATAGATATAGCTTCTGAAATTCATAAATCCCTGACTCTGCTCATTTTTTATTACCTAGAAAAAGTAGGCTGTTTTGAGTTAACTTTGTTTTCATATATTCTAAGGCAGTGATTTTCAAGGTATAACTGAGCCAGCAGCATCAGCAACACCTCAGAAGTGAGGAGTTCAAGACCAGCCTGACCAACATGGTGAAACCCCTAGCCTCTACTAAAAATATAAAAATTAGCTGGGCATGGTGGCATGCGTCTGTAATCCCAGCTATTCAGGAGGCTGAGGCAAGACAATCGCTTGAACCTGGGAGGCTGAGGTTGCAGTGAGCCGAGAGGATGCCATTGCGTCCAGCCTGGGCAACAGAGCGAGACTCCATCTCAAAAAATAAAAATAAAAAAATACAAAATATCCAACCCTACAGCAGACCTAATTAACTGAAAACTTTGGGAACAGGGCCCAGCAATCTGTGTTTTAACCACCTCTCCAGATAGTTCTGATAGTTTGAGAACTCCTGTTACAGGGGAGTTAGTGGTATAATTTCTCACAGGAAATTTAACACTTTATTTCAATAATCATCACAAATAAAGTAGGGTTGCCTACTTTCCCTAAGTGGGGAATCTATGCCATATATTATGAATGGCATTCCTGGATTACTAACGTATTGTGGCCCATTTCTTCCATCCTAGTTTCCAAGAACACTTCATAGCACAATCATGAAAACCACAATAGGAGGAAACACTCCATTAACTGTTCCAGTAAAGGAAAGCTCAGGACATTAAATATTCCCTTTTGATATATGCCATCTCAACTTAACTTAAACTTGACTTAAACATAATATGAAAAAAATAGTTTAAGTAAAAATCTTCTAAATAAACCACTTAACATTCTGGAAAAGCTAACTTGCTCATTATAATAAAAACGAAACACACACAAAACCCTGTTCAGTGTGCAGGTAGGTGATCCTCCTGTAGATCCTCCTCCAGTAGATGATGTTTTATTTATTTAAGATCATAGAACACTCCTATATTACAGGCAAAACACACATATAACATATATAAAACTGGTATTGCATGAATAAAGAAAAACCTACCTTTCCCAACCAGGAGACACGTGGCCATGGTTTTTTCTGCTTAATACCTGTTGATGTCAAGATTTCTAATCTTATCTCCATGTTTGTTAAGCTATCAATGACCAATTAAGTAAAACAGTCCCAAGATTCTGTAAACAATAATAGTAATAAAATATAAATGATGCATAATATTCACTGGGCATTTTTTTTTTTTTTTTGAGACAAGAGTTTCGTTCTGTTGCCCCAGCTGGAGTGCAGTGATATGATCTCAGCTCACTGCAACCTCCGCCTCCCGGATTCAAGTGATTCTCCTGCGTTAGCCTCCCGAGTAGCTGGGACTACAAGCGTGTGCCACCACGCCTGGCTAATTTTAAGTAGAGATGGGGTTTCACCATGTTGGCCAGGCTGGTCTCAAACTCCTGACTTCAAGTGATCCATCCACTTCGTCCTCCCAAAGTGCTGGGATAACAGGCACGATCCACTGCGCATGGACCACTGAAGATCTTAACTGACAATTTTCATAAAGTTTTGATTTATATTTTATTTCTGAGTTGAAGTTTTGCTCTTGTAGCCCAGGCTGCAGTGCAGTGGCGCGATCTCGGCTCACTGCAACCTCCGCCTCCCGGGTTCAAGCGATTCTCTTGCCTCAGCCTCCCGAGTAGCTGGGATTACAGGCATGCACCACCACACCGGACTAATTTTTTTGTATTTTTAGTAGAAACCGGGTTTCACCATGTTGGCCAGGCTGGTCTCGAACCCCTGACCTTGGGTGATCCGCCCGACTCAGCCTCCCAAAGTGCTGGGATTACAGGCGTGATCCACTGTGCCCGGCCAAATTAGATGGGCTTGTTTTTTTGTTTTTTTAATAAAATAGCTTTAAAAGAAAAACTACTCAGAGACAGCACACAAAGATCTATCAAGATGCTAGCTATCAGTCAGCACGGAGGCTGAGATGGGAAGATCGCTTGAGGACAAGAGAGTTCGAGGCTGCAGTGAGCTGTGATTGTGCCTGTGAGAGCCACTGCACTCCAGCGTGGGCAACGCAGCGAAGACTCCGGCTCAAAAATAAATAAATAAAATTGCAAATAAAATAAATTCTCACAAAAGGGTTAACCAAATGCCAGAGAAACGCCGGCATTAGAAAAGCATCATTTGCAGCTCCTAATGAAATAACAAATCCAGTCAATAGTATCAGCGCTGCTAAAATTATTGAGTGAAAAAATACTGGGAACTTTATGCACTGACATACCCTAAATCCATTAGTCAATCTTAAAATTGCTAAGAGCGAGGAAAATTGACGTTCTATTCCTCCGGATCCTGCTCGAGAAGCTGGGGGACTCGGGTCCGGTGCCGAGGTGTGGCCCGAGCCTGGCACCACCCACGCCGGCCGGGTGACCCCGGCCCCTTGGGGCTCCCGCGCTCCGTCAGCAGGCGACGCTGGGAGGCTGGGGTAGGCCCAGAGCGAGGACGGGCCCGGACTGGGTAGTGGGGATGTACCAGGGCCGGGTGCGGCGGGAGACGGCCCGGGAGGCGGAAGGTCGCGGACCTGCCCGACAGAAGAGTAGATGAGGGGAGACCGAGGACGCCCGGGTCCGGGGAGCTTACGAGGAGGCCAGGATCGCGGGGTAAGGAATCCGCGGGCAGTTACCTCCGCCAGGGGCAGGGTCCGGCCAGTCAGGCGCGAGAAGGCTAGGCGAGGCCGACTGCGCGGGGTGAAGACGCCAGGCCGACAGCTGCGGGCCCTACCGCCAGCCCTGACGCGAGCCTGCGTCCTGGCGACGGCGGAGGGCGGGCAGGGGGCGCGGGCGCTGCCACGGCGCCTGCTCAGAACCGGCCGGGAACGCCGCGGGCGGGTCTCCCCGGTCCTCCGCCCCTCCAGCCCTGCTCTCAGGCCTCCGCCCGGGCCCTCTAAGCTGCCAGCCGCGCCCGCCTCCGGGCTCCTCGCCCCTCCTCCCGCGCGCTCCCCTCCTCAGCGGCCGCCGGACCCCCTCAGTTCACTTCTCCCAGTTAACGCGTTCCTCGGACGCTGCTAGTTTGAGCGCACAGGCATTGGGCGGGGCTCACGGGGGAGCCGCTTAATAACCGACCAACATGAAACTCAAGGGCTGCCCCTTCCTAGCGGGGACCCTGCACAGACCCGAAAATAAGGGGTTTTGCTCTGCCCTCCTCAGTTCACGTGGGCACCTTGGAACACTGAAGAAGGCATTTTCCGAACTCACTGTCCTACGGACTTATTCTCCGCACTGTTTTCGCCTCCTTCGCCCTGTTCTCGTGACTGACAGGAGCAGGGGTCACAAGCAGGCAGCCCGAGAGCTCTGCTCACCTGGAAAAGCATTTTTGTGTAGCTTAAATGTGAAGGCCTCAGGCAGTGGCCTGTTGTCCTCCTCCACATGCGCCCATCTTCACTCTTTCATGTGACTGGCCTGTTTTTGAAGGCAGGACCCTGTCACCCTTGGCTAGGCCAGGTATGTTCTGCACCGAAAATGGCCCTGCCCTCTGCATTGGATGGCTAGCTCTTAGGTTGGTTTATTTTAGCAAATAAGCGTTACAGGGTAGGCGAACTGGCTGCATCAGAACCACAATTACCCCTGTGTCTCTGGGTGGGATAAATGGCGGATGGCATTCTGGCAGCTCAGCCCCACTTATCTCAGAGGTTATAGATCTGAGGTGGTTTAGATCCACCCCCAAATCACGAACATTTTACATAAGCCGTGCTAGAGTTAGCATAAAAGTCTCACAGAAAAATTTGGAAACTGAGAAATCCTAACCTATTCCCACAATCCTGTGTTCCCATTTTTAGGTCTTAAGATATGAAGACAATGGGATAACTGAGGCTGATTTTGCTGTGTGGCCATTAGACCTAGAAATATTGGTGTGATTCTGGAGTTGATTGCTCCACACGTTTATTTATTTATTTTCCTTTTTTTCCCTCCTCTTCCTCCTCCTCTATTCTTTAAAAACGTATGGAAATGTATCCGGCAATGTTTACTGTAAAAAATAATGTATGGAAATGACTACAATTTGCTAAAATAAAAATCATTGAGCACTTATGTGTGTCAGACACTATGCTAGGTATAAAGAGGGGAAGATGGTGTCCCTATTCAAAAGAGAGTCACACACACTTAAGTTACAGTGCAGTCATAAATACCATGATCGCAGTATGCACAGGTCCATTTTCTCTATCTGGGTGATGGGAAGGTTCAAAACTAAGCTAGGTTTTGAATGAGGAATAGTTTCATTTTGAAGCACATCCATTTTGCGATGCCTCTGGAGCTATCTAGTGAACAATTTAGATGCGTGGTTCAGAAGCTCGATGGGAGGCTTGGGAACACAGAATGTGTAAAATAAGCATCAGTCTCCCTTTCACCCTCTCTGCACTTTTTAAGGGTCATCTGTCTTTAGTATATATTGGTAAGAGATTTTATGGAGGATACCAATTCTTTTTTTTTTTTTTTGAGACAGAGTCTCACATTGTCACCCAGGGTGGAGTGCAGTTGCACGATCTCTGCTCACTGCAACCTCCGCCTCCCGGGTTCAAGCGATTCTCCTGCCTCAGCCTCCCAAGTAGCTGGGATTACAGGTGCCCACCACCAGGCCCAGCTAATTTTCGTATTTTTAGTAGAGACGGGGTTTCACTATGTTGGCCAGGCTGGTCTTGAACTCCTGACCTCGTGATTCACCCACCTCGGTCTCCCAAAGTGCCGGGATTACAGGTGTGAGCCACCGTGGCCTGCCAGCATACCAATTCTTATGAGAGAATGTCAGGGGTAGAAGAGATCCAAGGAAATGGTTGACCAGGTAAAAAACTGATAAAGGTCAAATAGAAATAAGCCTGAGAATTGCCCCATCAGATTTGGTTTAGTGTTTAGTAGGTATAGTTATAGTGCCAGATATATAATAACTGAGTTCCTTTTGAAAGCATATAGTAAAATCAAATCTGATTAGCCTAAGTAACAGAGGTGATTTATTGTAATGATTCTGGGGTATCTGACAGATTGTAGATATTCTCTCTAGGGTGCTCCTATCCAATATAAATTTCTGTAATGATGAAAATGTTCTATGTCTGCTGTGTCTTAATATGGTAACCATTAGCCAAAAGTGCTACTGAGCATATGAAATGTAGCTAGTGCAACTGAGACCCTGTAAACTAAGATTCCAGTCAAAGAGAAGGGAAAAAACAGTGAGCTTTGCCCACAGTCTTTAAGACCTGTGCCCAGAAATAGTACATAATATTTCTGCTTACATTCCACTGGAAATAACTTAGTCACATGATCACACCTAACTGCAAGGAAGCCTGGGAAATGTAGATTAGCAGTGTACCCAGAAAGACTGAGAAAATGGTTTTGGTGAACAACTAGCAGTGGTCAGAATACAAAAAGTAATAATACAGATTTCCTGCTTTCAAGAATATCACAGGTTTAGTGGGAGACAGATGAGTATTTTACTAGCAATGAATAAAGAACATGCTATACAAACCCAAAGAAAACAGTAGATATAGCCTGGATATTTGTTCCTACCTAAATCTCATGTTGAATTGTAATTCCCAGTGTTGGATGTGGGGCCTGGTGGGAGGTGATTGGATCATGAGGGTGAATTTCTTGTGAATGGTTTAGCACAATTCCTTGGTGCTGTCCTCATGATGGTGAGTGAGTTCTCATGAGATCCGGTTGTTTAAAAGTGTGTGGCACCTTGGGAGGCTGAGGCATGAGAATCGTTTGAATCTGGGAGGCAGAGGCTGCAATGAGCTGAGATCATGCCACTGCACTCCAGCCTGTGTGACAAAGCAAGACTCTCTTTTAAAAAAAAGTGGCACCTCCCCCCTGCCTGTGTTCCTGCTTTTGCCATGTGACTTACGCGCTCCCACTTTGCCTTCCGTCGTGAGTAAAAGCTTCCTGAGGCCCCCGCCAGAAGCAGATATCAGTGCTATGCTTCCTATACATCCTGTAGAACCATGAGACACGTAAACTTATTTTCCTGTAAATTACCCAGTCTCTGGTATTTCTTTATAACAATGTAAGAACAGCCTAATACAATGGTATTTCTCAAATCTTAATGTACGTATGGATCACCTGGGAATCTTGTTAAAATATACATTCTGGGCCGGGCATGGTGGCTCACACCTGTAATCCCAGCACTTTGGGAGGCTGAGGTGGATGGATCACTTGAGGTCAGGAGTTCGAGACCAGCCTGGATGACATGGTGAAACCCCATCTCTACTCAAAATACAAAAATTAGCTGAGTGTGGTGGCACACACCTGTAATTCCAACTGATCGTCTCATTGATGCAGAGGTTCGGCAGGTTTCCTACAAGTTTGATTGGGCAGGACCCTTGTTCAATTTTTCTTTAATTCTCTTCACTCTGCCCTTTGTCTTCAGGCTGGCTTCCTTTGTGGTAAGTGAGATGATGGCAAATTTACACATCTTACAAAGAAAATATAGTTTTGTTTTTTTTTTCTAAAATTGAACATCCTTTATGAGCCTCTACCCCAGTATATAGAAGGGAAAGTCTTTATGTTGACAAATAATGGTACTTCCTTTTTTTTTTTTTTTTTTTTGGTACCTAAGTCTCTTTCTTATCAATGTTCTATCTTGCAGATTTTCTTTCTCTCATTCTAATCAACCTACAAAGTGGATCAATGGTGATAGTGGGCTGGGCGCAGTGGCTCACACCTGTAATCCCAGCACTTTGGGAGGCCGAGGTGGGCAGATTACTTGAGGTCAGGAGTTTGAGACCAGCCTGGCCAATATGATGAAACCCCCATCTCTACTAAAAATACAAAAATTAGCCAGGCGTGGTGGCACACACCTGTAATCCCATCTACTCAGGAGGCTGAGACAGGAGAATCGCTTGAACCCAGGAGGTGGAGGTTGCAGTGAGCCGAGATAGTGCTACTACACTCCAGCCTGGGAAACAGAGCAAGACTCCGTCTCAAAGAAAAAAAAAATTAGCCGGACATAATGGTGCGCGCCTGTAGTTCCAACTACTTGGAAGGCTGAGGCAGGAGAATCGCTTGAACCTGGGAGGCGCAGGATGCAGTGAGCCAAGATTGCGCCATTACACTCCAGCCTAGGTGACAGAGCAAGACTCCATCTCCAAAAAAAAAAAGATAGTGATAGTGGTAGGAGGGATTATATGCCCTTATGGTATAGGGGAAGAGAGTGCTTGTAATTAACCTTTGGTTATAAATATATAAGTATATATTTACATAATTATAAATATATAATCTATATTCTTATTTGGTGTGTTCAGGTTACTGTAACAAAATACCATTGTGAAAGTTGTCATAGTCTGACCGGGCGTGGTGGCTCACACCTGTAATCCCAGCACTTTGGGAGGCCGAGGCGGGTAGATCACTTGAGGTCAGGAGTTCAGGACCAGCGTGGCCAACATGGTGAAACCCCATCTGTACTAAAAATACAAAAATTAGCCTGGCATGGTGGTAGGCGCCTGTAATCCCAGATACTAAGGAGGGTGAGTCAGGAGAATTGCCTGAACCCAGGGAACGGAGGTTGCAGTGAGCTGGGATCATGCCACTGCACTCCAGCCTGGGTGACAAAGCAAGAGTCCATCTCAAAAAAAAAAAAAGGAAGAAAGTTGTCTTAGTCAAAATAGAGTCACTAATGTTAAGAAAACCCTGACAAACAGAGCTGAGGAGGACCATGAAGAGAGGGTTCTCACATTTACATGCTGGTAACAAGAAAAACTCTGCAACCTCACACAAAGGCCATTGCAATCATTAACAAAAAATGCTTCCGAAAGGACATCTGCCCAGCAACTGCCCGTTCAACTTCAGACTGGTGTCACCCTTGTTGTTGATCTTTGTAGCGAAGTATAATTATTTCAAAACAATTATGTAATTCTCATTTTTTTCCTTCAGAAACCATACACACATAGTTTACTGTGGCATGCGTATTTCCATTGCAGTGCTGTATTTTCAAATAAACATCATTTTCTTTTGGAAAGTCTCTCTCTGTTTGCTGTTTAGATTGACATACGTGGTGTCAGAAGTGAGACCTGAAGAAAAGTTCACTATTGAAAGGAATCAGCTATGCTTGGAACCAGTTTGCAGAGTACTCACTTGAACTCTTTGAGCTCTCCACTTCCACAGCTTGCCTTTTCTGGCTTGGTGAGTCTTCTCTCAGGTTGAGCCTCCCTCCTTCAGGTAGAAGCTTTTTTACTTTATTTGGGATCTGGTGTGGATAAGGCAATCTTAATAAAAGATCTTGTGTACCTTCTGGGACTATAAAAGGTTTTTTTGTGTGTGTCTTTTCTGGTATAAAGATAAGCATCTTTCTGAATTGAGGACTCTTGGTTTCTACAGAATTTACATTCTGTCTGTGAGGCATGTCTTCCCTGGTTTGCATGCCTAGTTTAATATTTCATTTGTTCTGCACAACTGGGTTAAAATGTTGGCAAAAACTCTTATCTTGATCTATTTTTATTTGGTTTGACTCTTTCTTCTTGCTTGTTTCTGAAAATCTTCCAAGAGCCGAAACAAACTTTTTTTTTTTTTTTTTTTTTTTTTTTGAGATGGAGTCTCACTCTTTCGCCCAGGCTAGAGTGCAGTGGCCAATCTCGGCTCACTGCAAGCTCCGCCCCCTGGGTTCACACCACTCTCCTGCCTCAGCCTCCCGAGTAGCTGGGACTACAGGCACCTGCCACCGCACCTGGCTAATTTTTTTTTTGTATTTTTAGTAGAGACGGGGTTTCACCATATTGGCCAGGATTGTCTCGATCTCCTGACCTCATGATCTGCCTGCCTCGGCCTCCCAAAGTGCTGGGATTACAGGCGTGAGCCACCGCGCCCGGCCAAACCAAAACAAACATTCTTGGCGGTGGGTGCAGGACAGCTAATTAAACATCACTAGAGTGGTTGCCTCAGCTAAAACAATAGTCTAAACTCCTGATATTCCCTGAAAGGATTTGTAGAGTATTCTTTGCTCTCAAGAAATTAATAAGAAATGGAATGATCTTTTCAAACATTAAGGCAGGCAAGGTTTTCTGGGACTCTCAGGCTGGTCTTGAGCCTCAAGCAATACTCCCACCTCAGCCTCCCAATGTGCTAGAATTATAGGCGTAAGTCATCATGCCTGGCCCCATTTCTTAAGGTAATTTTGTTTGAAGCTTTTCAGATTTATATCTAAGAAGTTCAACTTTTGCTGTACTTCACTGTATGAGATGTGCAGAGCATACATCATGGCCTCTGTTATTTCTCTCCTTGAAAAGGTATATCTTTTTGCTTGGCTGGAGTGATAACTCTGTCCTTCAACTGTTTCATCAACTCCTATAACATTTTTTCTCTGGTTCCAACTCTGCTGTTGTGGCCTGACGCTGACATGTTTGTCTTGAAGGTGTACAAAAGCAATGTTTTTCTACAGAGTAACTTGATTCTCTAGTCTTGGCTTTTCTTGATGTGTCTGAATTGTTCCATGTAACCAGGAAACTCCCCATGCTTTTTCTGAGATCCAGCTATTTTTCTATTCAATGTACTAGTTTTTTTGTTTATATTCCTTTATAATGTAGCGTACATTCAAGATGCTGGTCACATTCTTCCTGTGTCTACTTAATTCAAATACCGTTTTCATCAAGTTTAACTTCCAGGTTATGTAAACAGGCTTCCCCTAAGGAGAAGCAATTACACTGTAGGAAATTTTTCTTTTCTTTTTTGGTAACTGGGCTTTAAAGAGACAAAACAAAGATCTTAGTTTAGTTTAGCTTTTTGAGATGGGGTCTTGCTCTGTCGACCAGGCTGGTTTTGAACTCCTGGCCTTAAATGATCCTTCCATTTCAGCAAGACTTTACATTTTATCAAGATAATTCATATATTATCTTTATTGGGTTTCAATTAGCTGGATAACTGAGCTTTTAAAGGGTTAGGTTTCTACATCCATGTAACTTTCTGTATTGCTTTTGGTCTTTTTATTATTATTTTGCTGTGATTCTGTTTTAATCGAATGTTTTGAACCTTTTGACATTATTGGCCAATTTCCCCAGGATCAGAATCCTAAGTCTTTTTGGCCCAAAATTAACATTGGGATTTCTAGTTGGACCCCTGGGAAGCCTCAAAGAATATGTCTCTCATCTTATAGAGATAGTAAATGATTCGGCTTATTTGGCAAATTGCATAGGAGGCGTTGTGAAATGACAAATGATACTAGATATTCTTTCAGTTACATTATGGGTATATTATTAGTATAAATGTTCCAAAAATTATATAAACATAAAAATTTAATATGTTATTAGTCATAATTTTGATTATTGTGTTGAAACTTTTAAGTTATATTTATATGGATATGTTATTAATATGAGTATTATAAAGATTATATAAAATTTGGTCAGATGCGGTGGCTCACACCTGTAATCTCAGCACTTTGGGAGGCTGAGGTGGGCAGATCACCTGAGGTCAGGAGTTTGAGATAAGCCTGGCCAACATGATGAAACCCCATCTCTATTAAAAATATGAAAATTGGCCGGGTGCGGTGGCTCACGCCTGTAATCCCAGCACTTTGGGAGGCCTAGGCGGGCAGATCACGAGGTCAAGAGATAGAGACCATTCTGGCCAATATGGTGAAACCCCATCTATACTAAAAATACAACAAAAAAATTAGCCGGGTGTGGTGGCAGGCACCTGTAGTCCCAGCTACTCAGGAGGCTGAGGCAGGAGAATGGCGTGAAGCCGGGAGGTGGAGCTTGCAGTGAGCCGAGATCGCGCCACTGCACTCTGGCCTGGGCGATAGAGCGAGACTCTGCCTCAAAAAAAAAATAAATGAAAATGAAAATTAGCCGAGTGTGGTGGCTGGTGCCTGTAATCCCAGCTACTTGGGAGGCTGAGACAGGAGAATCGCTTAAACCTAGGAGGCAGAGGTTGTAGTGAGCAGAGATCGTGCCATTGCACTCCAGCCTGGGTGACGAGAGTGAAACTCCATCTCAAAAAATAATAAAATAAAATAAAATGTATAGGCTGGGAGTGGTGGCTCATGCCTGTAATCCCAGCACTTTGGGAGGCCAAGGCGGGCAGATCACCTGAGGTTGGGAGTTTGAGACCAGCCTGGCCAACATGAAACTCCATCTCTACTAAAAATACAAAAATTAACCAAGCATGGTGGTGCGTGCCTGTAATCCCAGCTACTCGGGAGGCTGAGGCAAGAGAATCGCTTGAACCCAGGTGGAGGAGGTGGCAGTGAGCCAAGATCACTCCATTACACTCCAGCCTGGGCGACAAGAACGAAACTGTTTCAAAAAAAAAAAAAATTTATAAAAGTCTAATGGTCCTGATATGACACTGTCAGTCATGATACTGGGTTTTCTTTTCTTTTCTTTTCTTTTCTTTTCTTCTTTGAGATGCAGCCTCGCCCTGTCACCCAGGCTGGAGTGCGATGGCGCGATCTCGGCTCACTGCAAACTCTGCCTCCTGGGTTCAAACGATTCTCCTGCCTCAGCCTCCGGAGTAGCTGGGATTACAGGTGTGCGCCAACATGCCCAGCTAATTTTTGTATTTTTAGTAGAGACAGGGTTTCACCATGTTGGCCAGGCAGGTCTGGAACCCCTGACCTCAGATGATCTGCCTGCCTTGTCCTCCCAAATTGCTGGGATCACAGGCATGAGCCACCACTCCCTGCCTAACAAGTACTCTTGAACACAGATTTCTGATAACTTTAAGATCAATGAACTAAATAAAAATTTCCAGAACTCTAATAAAGAAACGGATGGGTTTGGCCAAGTGTGTTGGCTCACGCTTGTAATCCCAGGACTTTGGGAGGCCAAGGCAGGCAGATTGCTGGAGCCCAGGAGCTTGAGACCAGCCTGGGTAACATGGCAAAACCTCGTCTCTCAAAAAAATACAAAAAATTAGCTAGGTATGATGGTGTGAGTTTCTAGTACCAGCTACTTGGAAGGCTGAGGTGGGAGAATCACCTGAGCCTGTGAAGTTGAGGCTGCAGTGAGCCATGATTCCACCACTGCACTCGAGCCTGGGTGTTAGAGTGAAAACCTGTCTCAAAGAATAAAAGAAGAAAAGAAACTGATGGGTTTTATGAATCAAGCAAAAAGCAAAACAAGACATCAATTACATGAAATTTAAGTAGTTGATAAATACAATGTTTTTATGGCTTTTATTTAAGACGTTGTTGGCTCTTTACTAAAATGTTTTGTTTTTCAGATTTAAGGAATTCTTCTCTCATAAGCTATCTATAGTTGACAGCAATTTCTGTTTTTTTTAATTATACTTTAAGTTATAGGGTACACATGCACAACGTGCAGGTTTGTTACATATGTATACATGTGCCATGTTGGTGTGCTGCACCCATTAACTCGTCATTTACATTAGGTATATCTCCTAATGCTATCCCTCCCCCCTCCCCCCACCCCACGACAAGCCCCAGTGTGTGATGTTCCCCACCCTGTGTCCAAGTGTTCTCACTGTTCAATTCCTACCTATGAGTGAGAACATGCAGTGGTTGGTTTTCTATCCTTGCGATAGTTTGCTCAGAATGATAGTTTCCAGCTTCATCCATGTCCCTACAAAGGACGTGAACTCATCCTTTTTTATGGCTGCATAGTATTCCATGGTGTATATGTGCCACATTTTCTTAATCCAGTCTATCATTGATGGACATTTGGGTTGGTTCCAAGTCTTTGCTATTGTGAATAGTGCCGCAATAAACATACGTGTGCATGTGTCTTTATAGCAGCATGATTTATAATCTTTGGGTGTATACCCAGTAATGGGATGGCTAGGTCAAATGGTATTTCTAGTGTGGAATTGTCACACTGTCTTCCACAATGGTTGAACTAGTTTACAGTCCCACCAACAGTGTAAAAGTGATCCTATTTCTGCACATCCTCTCCAGCACCTGTTATTTCCTGACTTTTTAATGATCACCATTCTAACTGGTATGAGATGGTATCTCATTGTGGTTTTGATTTGCATTTCTCTGATGGCCTATGATGATGAGCATTTTTTTATGTGTCTGTTGGCTGCATAAATGTCTTCTTTTGAGAAGTGTCTGTTCATACCCTTTGCCCACTTTTTGATGGGGTTGTTTGATTTTTTCTTGTAAATTTGTTTAAGTTCTTTGTAGATTCTGGATATTAGCCTTTTGTCAGATGGGTAGATTGTAAAAATTTTCTCCCATTCTGTAGGTTGCCTTTTCACTCTGATGGTAGTTTCTTTTGCTATGCAGAAGCTCTTTAGTTTAATTAGATCCCATTTGTCAATTTTGCCTTTTGTTGCCATTGCTTTTGGTGTTTTAGTCATGAAGTCCTTGACTTTGTCTGTGGCCTGAATTGTATTGCCTAGGTTTTCTTCTAGGGTTTTTATGGTTTTAGGTCTAACATTTAAGCCTTTAATCCATCTTGAATTAATTTTTGTATAAGGTGTAAGGAAGGGATCCAGTTTCAGCTTTCTACATATGGCTAGCCAGTTTTCCCAGCATCATTTATTAAATAGGGAATCCTTACCCCATTTCTTGTTTTTGTCAGGTTTGTCAAAGATCAGATGGTTGTAGATGTGTGGTGTTATTTCTGAGGGCTCTGTTCGTTCCACTGGTCTATATCTCTGTTTTGGTACCAGTACCATGCCGTTTTGGTTCCTGTAGCCTTGTAGTATAGTTTGAAGTCAGGTAGTGTGATGCCTCCAGCTTTGTTCTTTTGGCTTAGGATTGACTTGGCAATGCGGGCTCTTTTTTGGTTCCATATGAACTTTAAAGTAATTTTTCCCACTTCTGTGAAGAAAATCATTGGTAGCTTGATGGGGATGGCATTGAATCTATAAATTACCTTGGGCAGTATGGCCATTTTCATGATATTGATTCTTCCTACCCATGAGCATGGAATATTCTTCCATTTGTTTGTGTCCTCTTATTTTTTTGAGCAGTGGTTTGTAGTTCTCCTTGAAGAGGTCCTTCACATCCCTTGTAAGTTGGATTCCTAGGTATTTTATTCTCTTTGAAGCAGTTGTGAATGGGAGTTCACTCATGATTTGGCTCTCTGTTTGTCTGTTATTGCTGTATAGGAATGCTTGTGATTTTTGCACATTGGATCCTGAGACTTTGCTGAAGTTGTTTATCAGCTTAAGGAGATTTTGGGCTGAGACAATGGGGTTTTCTAAATATACAATCATGTCATCTGCAAACAGGGACAATTTGCCTTCCTCTTTTTCTAATTGAATACCCTTTATTTCTTTCTCCTGCCTGATTGCCCTGGCCAGAACTTCCGACACTATGTTGAATAGGAGTGGTGAGAGAGGGCATCCCTGTCTTGTGGCAGTTTTCAAAGGGAATGCTTCCAGTTTTTGCCCCTTCAGTATGATATTGGCTGTGGGTTTGTCATAAATAACTCTTATTATTTTGAGATACGTTCCATCAATACCTAGTTTATTGAGAGTTTTTAGCATGAAGGGCTATTGAATTTTGTTGAAGGCCTTTTCTGCATCTATTGAGATAATCATGTGTTTTTTGTCTTTGGTTCTGTTTATATGATGGATTACATTTATTGATTTGGGTATGTTGAACCAGCCTTGCATCCCAGGGATGAAGTCCACTTGATCATGGTGGATAAGCTTTGTGATGTGCTGCTGAATTCGTTTTGCCAGTATTTTATTGAGGATTTTTGCATCAATGTTCATCAGGGATATTGGTCTAAAATTATCTTTTTTTGTTGTGTCTCTGCCCTGCTTTGGTATCAGGATGATGCTGGCCTCATAAAATGAGTTAGGGAGGATTCCCTCTTTTTCTATTGATTGGAATAGTTTCAGAAGGAATGGTACCAGCTCCTCTTTGTACCTCTGATAGAATTTGGCTGTGAATCCATCTGGTCCTGGACTTATTTTGGTTGGTGGGCTATTAATTATTGCCTCAATTTCAGAGCCTGTTATTGGTCTATTCAGAGATTCAACTTCTTCCTGGTTTAGTCTTGTGAGGGTGTATGTGTCCAGGAATTTATCCATGTCTTCTAGATTTCCTAATTTATTTGCATAGAGGTGTTTATAGTATTCTTTGATGGTAGTTTGTATTTCTGTGGGATCAGTGGTGGTATCCCCTTTATCATTTTTTATTGTGAGTTGACAGCAATTTCATAAAGTGTCCTTTTTGAACAAAGATGGAAGCATTTGCTTTTTCTCCCTACTTGATTCCTTCAAAAGTTGGAAACTATTTGTGAGTATTCTTATTTTTATTTTTACTTTATTTTATTATTATTATTATTATTATTTTGGAGATGGAGTCTCACTCTGTTATCTAGGCTGGTGTGCAGTGGCACCATCTCGGCTCACTACCATCTCTGCCTCCTGGGTTCAAGTGATTATCCCGACTCAGCTTCCTGAGTAGCTGAGATTACAGACACGGACCATCATGCCCAGCTAATGTTTGTATTTTTAGTAGAGACGGGGTTTCACCACATTCATCAGGCTAGTCTTGAACTCATGACCTCAGGTGATCCACCTGCCTCAGCCTCCCAAAGTGCTGGGACTGCAGACGTGAGCCACCACACCCAGTGTTTTTTTTTTTTTTTGAGATGGAGTCTCGGTCTGTCTCTGGAGTGCAGTGGTGCGATCTCAGCTCACTGCAACCTCTACCTCCCAGGTTCAAGTGATTCTCCTGCCGCAGCCTACCAAGTAGCCGGTATTATATACATGCGCCACCATGCCTGGCTAATTTTTGTATTTTTAGTAGAGACAGGTTTCACAATGTAGGCCAGGCTGTCTCAAACTCCCAACCTCAGGCGATCTGCCCTCCTTGGCCTCCCAAAGTTCTGGGATTACAGGTGTGAGCCACTGCACCCAGCTGTATTCTTATTTTTATTTAAATAAGTTCAATAAAAATCTGCTCTCTATATAAGGAGGATACAATTGGAACACTGGTTTTACTACCAAGGCTTTGACTGAAATGTCTTAAAAATGTACATGAAATGCCTGGCTTCAAGAATTCCCAGCCTTATAGTGAGTGAATAAAAACAGTCACTTCCCAGCAGGCCCAAGAACATTATAAGTAAAATCTAAAGTCTCCTTTGTTTGCCTTCCTCGCCTTAAGAAATTTTTAAATTGGCCAGGCGCCGTGGCTCACGCCTGTAATCCCAGCACTTGGGGAGGCCGAGGCGGGTGGATCACGAGGTCAGGAGATCGAGACCATCCAGGCTAACACGGTGAAATCCCGTCTCTACTAAAAATGCAAAAGATTAGCCAGGCATGGTGGCAGGCGCCTGTCATCCCAGCTACTCAGGAGGCTGAGGCAGGAGAATGGCGTGAACCCAGGAGGCGGAGCTTGCAGTAAGCCAAGATCGCACCACTGTACTCCAGCCTGGGTAACACAGTGGGACTCCATCTCAAAAAAAAAAAAAGAAAAGAAATTTTTAAATCTGAGATTCATGTATGCTCAATATAGAGATAAAAATTTATGTTTCTAAAGAGAAACTATAATACATCTTTTGTTATGTAGTAGCCCTGTGCCTTACTTCCAAGTTCTTGTTATCTGCCTGTAGACTGGAGTAGGTCCTGAAGCCTCCTACTTTCTCCAATATTTGGCTGCAGCTTTCACCCTCAAAATGAAAGCTGCTCTATTCCTAAAGTCCTATAAGCTAACATTAGATTAATTTTAAGGAACAAGCCTCATGCTTGGTGTGTGTGCCACGCAAAAAGTTCACCAAACTGCCCAATGTCATGACCAAAGACATCCAAATTACAAACCCAGAGAAGTTAATGTTTTCACACTGTAAACAGCTTTTCCCAAGATGTTGGAACAAGGCTCCATGTCACAATGAGAATTTTATCCTCCTTAATGCTACCTTGTTTACTTCGCAGGATAATGGTGTAACAGAAACTTTGCCATCAATACCTTCTTGCTGGTAACTTAACAAACTCTAACCTAAAAAAATCCTTTAGGAGCCATTGATTAAATTTTTAAAAAGTCTGTGCTATTGCTAATACTACATGCTGTATCTAAGTAAATTATCTGGGAAAATTGAGACCCATGTACACAAAATAAACAATCAAGCCACGTAGTTACAACAGATCTCACCTAATTCTCTCTGGTCTTTGATTTATTCAGCTGTTTGTCTTAAAAATAATTATTTCTAATTGTTATGAGTAAGTAATAATGTATATATTTGTGGGGTACTTGTGATGTTTTGATACAGACACAAAATGTGTAATGACCAAATTAGTGTAATCAAGGTAACCATCAGCTCAAGCATTTGTCATTTATTTGTGTTAAGAATAGTCCAATTTGGCTGGGTGTGGTGGCTCACGCCTGTAATCCGAGCACTTTGAGAGGCTGAGGCAGGCGTATCACAAGGTCAAGAGATGGAGACCATCCTGGCCAACATGGTGAAACCGTGTCTCTACTAAAAATACAAATATTAGTTGGGTGTAGTGGCACATGCCTGTAATCCCAGCTACTCGGGAGGCTGAGGCAGGAGAATAACTTGAACGCGGGAGGTGGAGGTTGCAGTGAGCTGAGATCACATCACTGCACTCCAGCCTGGTGACAGAGTGAGACTCTGTCTCAAAAAAGAATAGAAAAGAATAGTCCAATTCCACTGTTTTAGTTATTTTGAAATATACAATAAATTGTTGTTAACTATAGTCATCCGATTTTGGTTCCAAATACTGATCTTATTCATTACATACAACTGTATTTTAGTGCCATTAGCCATCCCCACTTTATCCCTGCCTCCTCACTACCCTTCCAAGCCTCTGGCAACCACCATTCCACTCTTTATCACCATGAGATTGATTTTTTTTAGCTTCCACAGATGAGTGAGAACATGTGATATTTGTCTTTCTGTGCCCAGCTTATTTCACTTAACATGATGTCTTCCAGTTCCATCAATGTTGTTGCAAATGACAATATTTTGTTCTTTTTTGTGGCTGAATAGTATTCTACTGTATGTATATGCAACACATTTTCTTTATCCATTTGTAGTAGTCAGTCTTCTCTAGAGGGACAGAACTAATAAAATATATATATATATATATAAAGGGGAGTTTATTAAGTATTAACTTACATGATCACAGCGTTCCACAATAGGCTCTCTGCAAGCTGAGGAGCAAGGAGAGCCAGTCCAAGTCCCAAAACTGAAGAACTTGGAGTCCAGTGTTCAAGGGCAGGAAGCATCCAGCACGGGAGAAAGATGTAGGCTGGGAGGCTAGGCCAGTCTCTCCTTTTCATGTTTTTCTTCCTGGTTCATATTTGCTGGCAGCTGATTAGACTGTGCCCACCAGATTAAGGGTGAATCTGCTTTCCCTAGCCCACTGACTCAAATGTTAATCTCTTTTGGCAACACCCTCGCAGATACACCCAGGATCAATATTTTGTATCCTTCAATCTGAAAAGTTGATGCTCAGTATTAACCATCACAAGTCTACTCCTAGTCAACTTGAACTGATACACATCTCCTGAGATCACACATAGTCTTCAAATAAAGACAATAATAAGGTCACAATTACGCCTAACACAATACAACTATCCTTCGTACAACGGGAAACGTACCAATCCCCAAATACTATTACATAAAGTTAACAATATTTAAATGCTGATATGAAGTCAATAAATCTTATGTCACATGATAAAGGAAAAGGAAATAAAATAAAGATATTTTCTTAGTACAAGTTTATACATGCACAAACATGTTTTCAGCAAAAGAAGAAGGAAATACTCATGACAATTACAGTCCCTATTTCTGCACCTAGTCACTTCGTCGTAGCTGGTATTGATGACTACCTTCTTCTACTAGCCATTCTGTGTTCCCTTTGCCTTCAGCAAGCACCTCAGCAGGTTGTGGGTTTTTTCCTGGTGGAGTGACCCAAACCTTCATTCCTGAGGGGTCTGGGCCATTTGTAGTCCTGCCTGGATTGGGCTGTTGTAGTTTTCCATTGACCTTAATCACAGGACATGGTAATACTAAGAGATGTCCTAATGGATCTCCTGTATTCCATGCATTCTCTTCCTTACCTCCATTGTGAAGTAGTAGACTGATTTCATCTTGATAGTCTGGGTCAATCACCACAGCCAAAACTTTAACTCCCTTCTTAGCCTGTTGACTTAAAGGTAGGAGGAGCGCAAAGTGTCCAGGTGGCAATCTTAACTTCCAGTTTAATGGAATCGTTGTTGTGTCTCCTGGTGGCAGTGTTTCTTCCTCTGGAACTAAGACCTCTAGGCCAGCAGAACATAATGTTCCAGGAGCAGGAAGCAAAAATTTTGCTAGTGGATCACTAGGGGTGATGGTGAATGGTGCCACTTCCACTCTCACCCCTTGATTCCTGGACCCATGAATCCTGGCTATGGGAGAAACAGTACCATATATTGGATGCTGATTCAGAGCATACATGGTCTTCTGGAGAACTTTGCCCCAGCCCTGCAAAGTATTGTCACCTAGTTGGCATTGTAATTGTGACTTCAAAAGGCCATTCCACCGTTCTATCAATCCAGCTGCTTCAGGATGATGGGGAACATGGTAAAACCAGTGAATTCCATTGAGCATGAGCCCACTGGTTCCCTTCTTTAGCCGTAAAGTGAGTGCCTTGGTCAGAGGCAATGTTGTGTGAAATACCATGACAGCGGATAAGGCATTCCATGAGTCCACAGATGGTAGTCTTGGCAGAAGCATTGTGTGCAGGATAGGCAAACCCATATCCGGAGAAAGTGTCTATTCCAGTGAGGACAAACCTCTGCCTTTTCCATGATGAAAGAAGTCCAGTATAATCAACCTGCCACCAGGTAGCTTGCTGATCACCCCGAGGAATGGTGCCACATAGAGGGCTCAGTGTTGGTCTCCGCTGCTGGCAAATTGGGCACTCAGCAGTGGCCTTAGCTAGGTCAGCCTTGGTGAGTGGAAGTCCATGTTGCTGAGCCCAGGTGTAACCTCCATCCCTGCCACCATGGCCACTTTGTTCATGGGCCCATTGGGTGATGACAGGGGTGGCTGGGAAAAGAGGCTGAGTGGTGTCCACAGAACAGGTTACCCTATCCACTTGATTATTAAAATTCTCCTCTGGCCTAGTGCAGTGGTTCATGCCTGAAATCCCAGCACTTTGGGAGGCCGAGGCGGGTGGATCACCTAAGGTCAGGAGTTCGAGAGCAGCCTGACCAACAAGGTGAAACCCCGTCACTACTAAAAACACAAAAATTAACCGGGCGTGGTGGCAGGCGCCTGTAGTCCCAGCTACTCGGGAGGCTGAGACAGGAGAATTGCTTGAACCCAGGAGGCAGAGGTTGCAGTGAGCTGAGATTGCACCACTGCACTCCAGCCTGGGCGACCGAGCGAGACTCTGTCTCAAAAAAAAAAAAATTATCCTCTGCTGAGGTCACCTGTTGGTGAGTACTCACACAGGATACAAATATCTTCACGATTTTTGCCCACTCAGAGAGGTCCATCCGCATACCTCTTCCCCAAGTTTCTTTGTCATCAATTTTCCAATCAACACTTCTTCCAAGTCCCTGACCAGCCAAACCATTGGCTACAGCCCATGAATCAGTATATAATTGGACATCTGGCAATTTCTCCTTCCATGCAAAGTGCACAACCAGGTGCACTGCTCGAAGTTATGCCCACTGGGAAGATATGCCTTTACCGTTGTCCTTCAGGGATGTCCTACAAAGGGGCTGGAGTGCTGCAGCTGTCCACTTTCAGGTGGTGCCTGCATATTGTGCAGAACCATCTGTGAGCCAGGCACTAGTCTTCTCCTCCTCTGTCAACTGATCATAGGGAACTCCTCATGAGGCCATTGGTGCAGGCTGGGGGCGAGAAGGCAGGGTGGCAGGAGTGGAGACCATAGGCATTTGAGCCACTTCCTCATGTAACTTACTTGTGCCTTCAGGACCTGCTCGAGCCCTATCTCGTATATACCACTTCTGTTTGATGATGGAATGCTGCTGGTTGCACGACCCAGTTTATAACTAGATGGGTCAGAAAGCACCCAGTTCATGATAGGCAGTTCAGGTCACAGGGTGAGTTGATGACTTATAATCAAACGTTCAATTTGCACCAAAGCCCAGTAACAGGCCAAGAGCTGTCTCTCAAAAGGAGAGTGGTTATCTGAAGAAGATGGTAGGGCCTTGCTCCAAAATCCTAGAGGCCTTCACTGTGATTCACCTATGGGGGCCTGCGAAACGCTCCAAACAGCATCCCTATCTGACACCGACCCCTCAAGCACCATTGGATCTGCTGGGTCATATGGCCCAAGTGGCAGAGCAGCTTGCACAGCAGCCTGGACCTGTGTGCTGAGAAGGCCTTGCAGAGCCTTCTCCTGTTCTGGATCCCACTCAAACTGGCAGCCTTTCAGGTCACTCGATAAATGGGCCAGAGTAATACACCCAAATGAGTAATGTGTTGCCTCCAAAATCCAAATAGACCCACTAGCCGTTGTGCCTCTTTCTTGGTTGTAGGAGGGGCCAAATGCAGCAACTTGTCCGTCACCTTAGAAGGAATATCTTGACAGGCCCCACACCACTGTACCCCTAGAAATTTTACTGAGGTAGAAGTTCCCTGAATTTTACTTGGATTTATTTCCCATCCTCTGGTATGCAAATGTCTCACTAATAAGTCCAGTGTGTTTGCTACTTCTTGCTCACTGGATCCAATCAGCATACTGTCATCAATGTAATGGACTAGGGTGATATTTTGCAAAAGCAAAAAGTGATCAAGATCTCTTTGAATCAAAGCTGGAGCATTGATGTACCCCTGAGGTAGGACAGTAAAGGTATATTGCTGGCCTTGCCAGCTAAAGGCAAATTGCTTCTGGTGGGCCTTTTGGACAGGGATTAAGAAAAAGGCATTTGCCAAGTCAATGCCTGCATACCAGGTACTAGGAGGTGTGTTAATTTGCTCAAGCAATGAAACCACATCTGGTACAGCAGCTGCAATTGGAGTCACCACTTGGTTAAACTTATGATAATTCACTGTCATTCTCCAAGATCCATCTGTCTTCTGCACAGGCCAGATGGGAGAGTTGAACAGGGATGTGGTGGAAATCACCACCCCTCCATCTTTCAAGTCCTTGATGGTGGCACTAATCTCCGCAATCCCTCCAGGGGAAAGATACTGTTTTTGATTTACTATTTCTGTAGGTAGAGGCAGCTCTAATGGCTTCCATTTGGCCTTCCCGCTTAATAGCCCTCACCCTACCAGTGAGGCAGCCAATGTGGGAGTTCTGCCAGCTCCTAAGTATATCTATGCCAATGATGCATTCTGGCACTGGGGAAATGACCACAGGATGAGTCCAGGGGCCCACTGGACCCACTGTAAGTCAGACCTGAGCTAAAACTCCATTAATTACCTGACCTCCATAAGCCCCTGCTTTAACTGGAGGACCACAATGATGTTTTGGGTCCCCTGGAATCAACGTCAGCTCAGAGCCAGTGTCCAGTATTCCCCCAAATGTCTGATCATTTCCCTTTCCCTGATGCACAGTTACCCTGGTAAAAGGCCAAAGGTCTCTTTGTGGAAGGATGGGAGAAAGATTCACTGCATAAATTGTTGGTAATGGGCTGGACACAGTGGCTCACATCTGTAATCCCAGCAATTTGGGAGGCAGAGGCGGGCGGATCACCTGATGTCAGGAGTTCAAGACCAGCCTGGCCAACATGGTGAAACCCCGCTTCTACTAAAAATACAAAAATTAACCAGGCCTAGTGGCACACGCCTGTAATCCCAGCTACTCAGGAGGCTGAGGCAGAAGAATCGCTTGAACCTGGGAGGCGGAGTTTGCAGTGAGCCGAGATCATGCCATTGCACTCCAGCCTGGGTGACAGAGCAAAACTCTATCGCAAAAAAAAAAAAAAAAACATTGTTGGTAAAGTAGTGGAGACCTTCCTCAAAGGGACCTGGCCTCCCCTTTATTCAAGGAGCTCTGGGTTGTGAATTGGCTCAAGTCTGGAAATTGATTGAGGAGCCGTGATTCTCTGTTTTTATAATTCAAATCAGTGTTTTGTCCATTCAACCTAGACATTTCCTGCTAGTGTAAATTTAGTAGGAATGGAGTAGGCTTCCTATCAATTTCACTTCTAGGAGCACCGTGATTAATTAGCCAATGCCAGAGCTCTACACAAGTCAAACTATTCTGATTGCTGTTTTGCCTCTGCTGTCCATTATGGTAGCTATGCCCACCTTGTCTTTGACAGTTGAGTGCCACCACTTGGCCCCTGTGACCTCAGAATTCAGTTATTTCCATTGTATTTATTTTTTATTTTTATTTTTATTTCTGAGACAGAGTCTTGGTTTATCGCCCAGGCTGGAGTGCAGTGGCTCAATCCTGGCTCACTACAACCTCCACCTCCCAGGTTCAAGCAATTCTCCTGTCTCAGCTTCCCAGTAGCTAGGATTACAGGCACCCGCCACCACGCCTGGCTAATTTTTGTGTTTTTAGTAGAGATGGGGTTTCACCATGTTAGCCAGGCTGGTCTTGAACTCTTGACCTCAGGTGATCCACCCACCTTGGCCTCCCAAAGTGCTGGGATTACAGGCATGAGCCAAACTGCCTGACCTATTTCCATTGTATTTAAATTTTGTAGTTGAGTGACTGTGGTTGCCACTCTTAGATCTGACATACAGAGAAGAGGAATGACAGGGCTCTTCAAAGATACAGGTGCTGCCCTCAGAAATCTATTTAGCAAGGCATTGGTCAAGGCTATATCTTCTGGATCCTCCCAGCTGGGATGAGTAGGTCTAAAGTCACTAATGCACTCCACCATCCCAATCTCCCTAAGCCATTTGATCCCTTCCTCTACATTAAACCAAGGGAAATCAGGCATTTTAGCACACTCACAGTGGACCATATTTTAATACATATTTCTGCTAACCAAGCAAGTAAACAATTAGAACCTTTTTTAACTCCCCAAGCTGCAACATTAAAAGCAGAGTCCTTACTTAGTGGGCCAAATCAATAAATTCAGCCTGATCCAATTCTATGTTTCTTCCACAATTATCCCATATCCTTAGTATCCATTCCACTGCCTGTTCTCCGGGTTTCTGTTTCTATAAATTAGAGAACTCAAACAGCTCCTTTCGAGTGTAGTGCACCTCCTCATGGGTCACACTCTCAACCTCACATCTAGGGGCCCACTAGGACTTTAGTCTCATTATAGGTCTTGAAGCAAACAGAGGTGTTGGGGGTAGCTCCTGAAGAGAATCAACATTATCTTGCCTGGCAGCTGCCTCAGGGGAGGCCATCGCTATTGCCTCAGGCAGTGCAGGGTTTATCTCCTTAGACAAAGGTGGAAAGGCTGATGGCAGCATGGGTCGAGGAGAGGATGCTGCTACTACTGGGGATGGGGAAGCTGTTCCTTCTGGCAAAAAACGTTCATCAGAGTTTACAAACTCAGTGTCCCCGACTTCATCAGGGTCCTCCCACAAATCCACATTCCAAGTTTCAGGGTCCCAGTCTTTTCCCATGAATGCCCTCACTTTAACAGTAGACACCTGGCAAAGCTGTACATGTATCTTTCATTGGGGGTCAGCCACTCACATGTTAAGAGCTTGTATCTGTTTTTCCACAATTTCAGTTTTCTCTACAGGAGATACGACTCTCACTCAGGGCAATCTTAGCAGATTTGAGGCTCAGTATCTGTTTCTGAAGCCAGGAGACAGAATCCCTGAGTTTATCATTTTCTTTCATCACTTTGTCCATTGAACTTAGAAGCAACCAACCAGCTTCATTATGTTCCTTGGTTCTCCACATATGGTCAAAGATATTATGTATAGAGTCACTAAACTCTTTGCCTCTCATGAGTGGTGAATCAGGTGTGCCAAATGCATTTATTTTGTATAACTCTCTAAACAGTTCACACCAAGGACTATCAGTGTTCTCCATACTATTAGAAGTAGAGTCCTTAGCATTTTTGGGTCTAATCATATTAAGCAGCCAAATCCAGAAACCCCAAAAATGAAAGAACTCCATCCTTAACATTCTGTTCCTCTAGAACCACTCCTGGTACCAAAATCTGTATTAGTCAGGGTTCTCTAGAGGGACAGAATAGAAGATACACACACACACACACACACACACACACACACACACACACACACACACGGGAGTTTATTAAGTATTAACTCACACGATTACAAGGAATCACAATAGGCTGTCTGCAAGCAGAGGAGCAAGGAGAGACAGTCCGAGCCCCCACAAATGAAGAACTTGGAGTCCAATGTTCGTGGGCAGGAAGCAACCAGCATGGAAGAAAGATGTAGGCTGGGAGGCTATCCTTTTCACGTTTTTCTGCCTGCTTTACATTCGTTGGCAGCTGATTATATTGGGCCCACCAGGTTAAGGGTGAATCTGCCTTCCTCAGTCCACTGACTCAAATGTTAGTATCTTTTGACAACACCCTCACAGCCACACCCAAGATCAATACTTTGTATCCTTCGATCCAATCAAGTTAACACTCAGTACTAACCATTATACCATTCATCCATTGATGGAAAAGCAGTTGATTTCAACCTGATTTGGGGTATCTAATTATTAGGGTACTTGATATAATAAATTTTTAAATGTATCAGGAAGCTAAAGAACGAGTCATGAATAAACAAAAAATATTCATTATACCATATGGATACCATAGCATATTTCATCCATTCTAAAATGTGGATGAAATATGGGGAAAAAGTAGGGGAACCTCTACTTCTCAACTTAACATCTGAAACTGGGATCAGTTGTATAACACTTGTTAGTAATTGCCTCTGCATGTGCATCATAACTTGCAGAATGGCCGTCGCCCACTTGGCAGAAATTTCTTGAGTCCATAACAGAATGCCCTTAAGAAATACCTCATCACCAACATTCTTGATGGTCAGATGTTGATATTTGTTAAGGTCTTTAAAGAGTCTGAGATTTTACCCTCCTCGCAAGCTAACAAGCTACCTGTTAAATTGTGTGGATCTAAGCATGGGGTGGATGCTGGCAGAAAACATGAGACTCCAGGGGTTAGAGAAAAAAGGCTGCATTTTTCAAGTCAAAAGCAATAGGCAGAATGTTCAGGTGATGTTCATGAGGTTTCCCAAGCCTCCCAATTCCCACAGGGACAACACAGGTGGCCTAGATGGACAAATTGGGTTGTGTTACAGGAGAAAAAAGTTGAGCTGGGAGATTTATCATTTTTACAGTGAGTGGCAAATAGGCTGGCTCACTGTTGGGACATTACCTCAGCAAACACCACCCTAAGAAATAGCTAAGGAAGGAGTGGTCAGGGCCTTGCATTCTTGGCATACCCTGCAAGGGCGTGGGGCACTCAAGGTCATGGTGTAGTCTTTCCCATCAATATTGTGTTAGAAAACAGACATCAGTATCTGAATTCAAAAATGGTTTAGAAGAATTAGTCTATCAATATAAAATTATTTTTAATATACCTTAACTAATTTATTTAGTTTCTGTTTTCTTTTTATGAATGTACAACAATAATATGATAAAAATCTATCTTAATAATCTAAAGAACTCTTTCAATAAATGTAAAATAAAAATTCTTTTTTTTTTTTTTTTTTTGAGATGGAGTCTCACTCTGTTGCCAGGCTGGAGTGCAGTGGCACGATTTTGGCTCACTGCAACCTCTGCCTCTCAGGTTCAAGCGATTCTCCCGACTCAGCCTCCTGAGTAGCTGGGACTATAGGCACTTGCCACCACGCCCAGCTAATTTTTTGTATTTTTTGTAGAGACGGGGTTTCACCAGGTTGGCCAGGATGGTCTCCATCTCTTGACTTCGTGATCCACCCGCCTCGGCCTCCCAAAGTGCTGGGATTACAGGCGTGAGCCACCGCGCCCGGCCAAAATAAAAATTCTAAATGACGAGAATGAGAATTCATTGTCAGTTTAAGTTTAATTGGCAACATTTTTTCTTTCTTTTCTTTTCTTTTCTTTTCTTTTTTTTTTTTTTTGAGATGGAGTCTCACTCTGTCACCCAGGGTGGAGTGCAGTGGCACAATCTTGACTCACTGCAACCTCTGCCTCCCACGTTCAAGCGATTCTCCTGTCTCAGCCTCCGGAGTAGCTGGGACTACAGGCGCCCACTACCACGCCCGGCTAATTTTTGTATTTTTAGTAAAGGCGGGGTTTCACCATGTTGGTCCGACTGGTCTCAAACTCCTGAACTCATGATCCGTCTGCCTCAGCCTCCCAAGGTTCTGGGATTACAGGCGTGAGCCACCGTGCCCGGCCTACATTTTTTCTTTCTTGGTAATTCATAAACTGATGGTGTCTTAAACTGATGATGTCTTGCAATTGATGACATTTGAGACTAGATTAAATATTTAATGTTTCTCATTATTATGTATGCGATTTATCTCACTGTAATTTCTAATTTTTATTGTTGGAATGTGGCAATACAGTTTAGTCAATTTACCTTGCAGTTTTGCTAGTTCTCTTATTCTATTATTTTATCAAATTGTTTTTGGTAGTTCACTTGGTTTTTCAAAATATGCAATCATGTTGCCTTCATATGGAAATATTGTTTACATTTTTACTTGACCAGCCTGGGTAACGTGGTGAAACCCCATCTTAAATACAAAAAAAAAAAAAAAAAAATTAACCAGACATGGTGGCATGTGCCTGTAGTGCCAGCTACTCAGGAAGCTGAGGTGAGAGGATCACTTGAGCCTGGGAGGTTGAGGCTACAATAAGCCCTGATTGCACCACTGCACTCCAGCCTGGGTGACAGAGTGAGACACTGTCTCAAAACAAACAAACAAACAAACAAACAAACAAACAAATACCAGCATCTGCATTATTGTGTTCACTGGAAATGGTGTGGTTGTATAGACTCTAGCCCTTTCTCTTCAGTATATGAATTAACAGAACAAATACACTGGCAAAAATAGTAACTGTGATAAAATGTGAAAACAATGTATAATTTGATTTGCAAAATTCTATAACTTGTAAAAGATGGTGTTGCCATAGTCTGGATATTAAATCTTGTTTTTAAACACATGGAATTTAGGAATTAATGTGAATTTAAATCACTCCCTATAAGTGATATAATCATATAATTATGTCCTTTTGTCTCCATTTAGGTGACCTAGTACATTAATAATTTTAAAATTATATCAAATTATCTTTCATTATACAATATGTATCTTAATCTGCTCAGCAAACAATTGGTAAGTCTCCAATTACTTGTAGACTACTTGTTAGACTGGGAAACTGATACAAAGGTAAACAAGACACAGTGTTTCCCCTTTAAAAAAAAAGTCATAGGCCAGGTGTGGTGGGTCCCCTCTGTAATCCCAACACTTTGGGAGGCCGAGGCAGGTGGATCAGGAGGTCAGTGGCCGGTTCCTGCCTTAACTGATGACATTACCTTGTGACATTCCTTCTCCTGGACAATGAATATCAGAAGCTCCCCACCGAGCACCTTGTAACCCCCGCCCCTGCCAGCAAGAGAACAACCCCCTTTAACTGTAATTTTCCACTACCTACCCAAATCCTATAAAACTGCCTCACCCTTGTCTATCTCCCTTTGCTGACTCCTTTTTTGGACTCAGTCCGCCTGCACCCAGGCGATTAAAAAGCTTTATTGCTCACACAAAGCCTGTTTGATGGTCTCTCTCCACATGGACGTGTGTGACAGGAGTTCAAAACCAGCCTAGCCAACATGTTGAAATCCCATTGCTACTAAAAATACAAAAATTAGCCAGGCATGGTGGTGGGCACCTGTAATCCCAGCTACTCAGGAGGCTGAGACAGGAGAATTGCTTGAACCTGGGAGGCAGAGGTTGCAGTGAGCCAAGATCATGCCACTGCACTCCAGGCTGGGCAACAAAGAGTGAAACTCAGTCTCAAAAAAAAAAAAAAAGTTGTATGTTTAAATGCTTGAGCATTTAAATATTAGACATTAAGTGATTCATAATAATTCAGTCAAATAGTGTTTAGTTTTTTATTTCTACATTTTAATAGTAAAATGTATATGTACAGAAGTATATATAAAATATGTATGTAAAGTTAATAAAATATGGAGTAAACATCATGAAAATACCACCGAGGTCAAGAAAGAGAAGATTGCTAGCTTTCTCTTTCTCAGAGAAGATTGCTAGCTTGTCGTGCTCCTTGGAGGTAAGCATTTAGACTTTTTTTTTTTTTTTTGACACAATCTCACTCTGTCACCAAGGCTGGAATGCAGTGGTGTCATCATAGCTCATTGCAGCCTTGACCTCCCTGGCTCAAGTGATCCTCCCACCTCAGCCTCCCAAGTTGCTGGGATACCACCAGGTGGCTAATTTTTTTTTTTTTTAAATAAAGGTAGGGCCCAGGCTATGTTGCCCAGGCTAGTCTCAAACTGCTAGGCTCAAGTGAGCCTCCTGCTGTGGCCTCCCAAATTGCTGGGATTACAGACATGAGCCACTGTACCTGGCCCATTAGACCAAATTTTATGATATCTTTTGTTTCTCTATGGTTTTTGCCAATTATGTATACATATCTAAACAATATGGGGCAGGGTTATTATTATTATTTTTGCTCTGTTTGAAATGTGAGTAAATGGAGTCGTAGTGCAGATACTCTTTTTGTTACTTAATTATTTCACTTAACATATTGTTGCTTATCATGCCATGGTTGTCCATTGCATGAATACACCACAGTTTATTATTTATTCATCTAATTATGGAAATTTTTATTGTTTCCAGTTTGGGGCTAGTATGAGTGAAGCTGCTCTGAACGTTATTGTGCAAGTTTTTCTGTGGACGTAGGTTTTTATTTCTCTTGAGTAACTATCGAGGAGCAAATCACTAGGGATTTCTGAGTTACATGAATACATGGTTAACTTTAAAAGAAACTGCCAAACCGTTTTTTTTCCTTTTTTTTTTTTTTTGAGATGGAGTTCCACTCTTGTTGCCCAAGCTGGAGTGCAATGGCGTGATCTCAGCTCACTGCAATTTCCACCTTCCTGGTTCAAGCGATTCTCCTGCCTCAGCCTCCCAAGTAGCTGGGATTACAGGCACACACCACCACTCCTGGCTAATTTTTTTTATATTATTAGTAAAGACAGGGTTTCATCATGTTGACCAGGCTGGTCTTGAACTCCTGACCACAGGTGATCCGCCCACTTCGACCTCCTGAAGTGCTGGGATTACAGGCGTGAGCCACTGTGTCAGACCTAAACCGTTTTCCAAATTGGCTGTACTATTATTTTGTATTCAAACTAACAACATATGAGTTCCAGTTACTCCACATCCTTGCCAATGCTAGAAATGGCCAATCTTTTTAATTTGAGTAACTTGTGGATGTGTAGTCACACATCTTATTATACTTTCAATTTGCCTTTCTCTACTGAGTAACAATGTTGACCATTTTCTCAGTGCTTATTGCCATCCATGTATCTTCTTGGACAAAGTAGCCAAATCTTTTGCCCATTTTTTTTTGGAAGGGTAGGGGCTGTCTCCTTATTGAATTGTGAGATTATTATAAATATATTATGTATTATTATTATTTTTGAGACTGAGTCTAGCTCTTTTGCCCAGGCTGGAGTGCAGTGGAGTGATCTCCACTCACTGCAGCGATTCTCCTGCCTCAGCCTCCTGAGTAGCTGGGACTACAGGCGCCCACCACCGCGCCCAGCCAATTTTTGTATTCTTAGTAGAGACAGGGTTTCACCATGTTGGCCGGGCTGTGCTTGGACTCCTGACCTCAAGTGATCTGCCCACCTCAGCCTTCCAAAGTGCTGAAATTATAGATGTGAACCACAGTGCCCGGCCAGTATTATATATATTTTAGATACAACTACTTTATATCTATAGTTTGTAAATATTTTATTCCAGTTTGTAGTTTGCCTTTTCAGTTTCTTTCGAAGAGCGGATGTTTTTCATTTTGACAAAATCCAATTTAGCAACTTTTTCCTGATTAAAGTTTTTGTGTTCTGAGAAATCTGCCTGGCTGGGTGCAGTGGCTCATGCCTGTAATCCCAGCACTTTGGGAGGCCGAGGTGGGTGGATCATCTGAGGTCAGGGGTTCGAGACCAGCCTGGTCAACATGGTGAAACCCTGTCTCTACTAATAATACAAAAAAATTAGCCGTGCATGGTGGCGCATGCCTGTAATCCCAGCTACTCGGGAGGCTGAAGCAGGAGAATCGCTTGAACCCAGAAGGTGGAGGTTGCAGTGAGCTGAGACCACGCCACTGCTCTCCATTCTGGGTGATAGATCGAGACTCTGTCTCCAAAAAAAAAAAAAAGAAAGAAAGAAAGAAGGCTAGGCTCCGTGCCTCACACCTGTAATCCCAGCACTTTGGAAGGCCGAGGCAGATGATCACCTGAGGTCAGGAGTTTGAGACCAGCTTGATGAATGTGGTGAAACCCTGTCTCTACTAAAAAATACAAAATTAGCTGGGTGTGGTGGCGCATGCCTGTAATCCCAGCTACTTGGGAGGCTAAGGCTGGAGAATCGCTTGAACCCAGGAGGCGGAGGTTGTGGTGAGCCAAGATTGTGCCATTGCACTCCAGCCTGGGCAAGAAGAGCAAAATTCCGTCTCAAAAAAAAAAAAGAAAGAAAGAAAGAAATCTGCTCCAACCTGAGGTCAAAAGGATTTTTCTCCACCATTTTCCCATTTTCTTTCAGACATTTTGTAGCATAAGCTCTTATATTTAGGTCTATGATGCATATCAAATTAATTTTCACATATGGTGTGAGGTAAGTGTTGAGGCTAATTTTTTTCCATTTGGATACTCAATTGTTCCAGCACCATTTGTTGATAAGACTATTCTCTCCCACAGTGAATTAGCTTCGCATCTTTGCTGAAAATTGATTGTCCGTATATGTATATATCTAATCTGTATTTATTCTATTCCATTTATATTTATATCCTTACATCAATACATTATCATTATTACTGTAGCTTTATAATAAAATATTGAAATTCACGGTATATGTTCTTCAATTTTATTCTTTTTCTAAAATTTTTTTTGGCTATTCTAGTACTTCTCATTTCCATTTAAATTTTTAAATCTGCTTGTAAATTCTAATTTTAGGACATTTGTTGGAAATTTGATTGGGCTTGCATTGAATCAGAACATCAATTTGATGAGAATCAATGTTAATAAACTCAGTGTTTCAACTCATAAACACAGTATATATATATATTTTGAGATGGAGTCTTGCTCTGTCTCCAGGCTGGAGTGCAGTGGCACAATCTCAGCTCACTACAATCTCCACCTCCTAGGTTCAAGCAATTCCCCTGCCTCGCACTCCTGAGCTCAAACAATCCTTCACCTTAGCCTCCCAAAGTGCTGGGGTTACAGGCATAAACAACTGTACCTGGCCTTCATGCTACTTTATTTTTTACGAATATATATATATATATACATTTCTTGAGACAGAGTTTTGCTCCTGTTGCCCAGGCTGGAGTGCAATGGCATGATCTCGGCTCACTGCAACCTCTGCCTCCCGGGTTCAAGTGATTCTCCTGCCTCAGCCTCCTGAATAGTTGGGATTACAGGCACGTGCCACCATGCCTGGCTAATTTTGTATTTTTAGTAGAGATGGGGTTTCACCATGTTGGCCAGCCTGGTCTCAAACTCCTGACCTCAGGTGTTCTGCCCACCTCAGCCTCCCAATGTGCTGGGATTACAGGAGGGAGCCATCATGCCTAGCCCTTGATGCCACTTTAAATCATTATTTTATAAATTTTTATTAATTGTTGGTGGTACATGGAATTATAATTGATTTTTGTACATTGACCTTATATCCTGCAACGTTGCTAAACTTTGTCCTAGTAGTTCTGCTTACTGGTTATAGTATTTTCTGTATATTCTATAGGATTTTCTACATAGACAATCATGTCTGTCAATGAAGACACATTTACTGGCCGGGCGCAGTGGCTCACGCCTGTAATCCCAGCACTTTGGGAGGCCGAGGCAGCCAGATCATGAGGTCAGGAGTTCGAGACCATCCTGGCTAACATGGTGAAATGCTGTCTCTACTCAAAATACAAAAAGCTAGCAGGGCATGGTGGCACACGCCTGTAGTCCCAGCTACTCGGGAGGCTGAGTCAGGAGAATCGCTTGAACCCAGAAGGCAAAGGTTGCAGTGAGCTGAGATCATGCCGCTGCACTCCATCCTGGGTGACAGAGCGATACTCTGTCTCAAAAAAAAAAAAAAAAAAAAGACATTTACTTAAGCTTTTCTAAACCATATGTCTTACATTTCTTGTTTGCCATATTGTACTGGTCAGGACCTTCAATACCGTATTGAATAGAAGTGGTGAACAGAGACATTCCTTTTTAGCATATTTGAGACATTTACTCTTTCACCATGTGCTGAGACCAGCTTGATCGGGGAGACCCTAACCCAGCGGCGCTAGAGGAATTAAAGACACACACACACAGAAATATAGAGGTGTGAAGTGGGAAATCAGGGGTCTCACAGCCTTCAGAGCTGAGAGCCTTGAACAGAGATTTACCCACATATTTTTTAACAGCAAGCCAGTCATTAGCATTGTTTCTATAGATATTAAATTAACTAAAAGTATCCCTTATGGGAAACGAAGGAATGGGCCAGATTAAAGGAATAGGTTGGGCTAGTTAACTGCAGCAGGAGCATGTCCTTAAGGCACAGATCGCTCATGCTATAGTTTGTGGCTTAAGAATGCCTTTAAGTGGTTTTCCGCCCTGGGCAGGCCAGGTGTTCCTTGCCTTCATTCTGGTAAACCCACAACCTTCCAGGGTGGGTGTTATGGCCATCATGAACATGTCACAGTGCTGCAGAGATTTTGTTTATGGCCAGTTTTGGGGCCAGTTTATGGCCAGATTTTGGGGGCCTTGTTCCCAACAACCATGAAGTTTGATTTTAGCTGAATGTTTTCCATAGGTGTCATTTATCAGGCTAAGTTCCCTTTTATTCCTAGGTTGCCGAGAGCTTGATTATGATGTGTCCATGGTGGTTTTGTCTATTCTGCTCTGGGTTCATTGAGTTTCCTGGATCTGTAAGCTTATAGTTTTCATCAAAGCACAGTAAGTGAATGGTATGCAATGCAGGTGGACTGAGGTGCCTACTATATCTGATGTGCATAGCTGAGATCACATGTATGCCCAGCATCCAATTCTTTAGGAAAGCATTTCTTTCCTATTCCATATGGTTTGCATGACCACTATGCCCCAAGACTAGTCCATGACTCAAGCTGGACTCGTTGATCAGAGCCCTTCCTAGGACTTCTCTGTTAACTGTATCTCCAGGTTAGAGCTAACAGGATGTAACACTGCCCATACTCTCCCAGGAGTCACAGGTAGACAAATTGCAAGAGCAGAGTGACATGAAAAGAGAGGAACTGAGCTAGAGAAGGCCCTGAAAATATTGAGGCTGGGGATGTAGTCAGGTGGAAGTTGCCTATACATGGACATTTTAGTTTTGAGGGCCAATAAATTATTCTTTTGCTAAAACTAACATGAGACTTTTGTTATTTTTATTTTTGCTCAACTAAAATGCAGTGCTTATAATGCCACACTAGGAATCTGTAATTTCTTGAGGAAAAAGGTAGGAGTATATTTAGAGTTACATTTTTTTTTTTTGAGACAGAGTCTTGCTCTGTCACCCAAGCTGGAGTGCAGTGGTGTGATCTTGGCTCAGTGCAACCTCTGCCTCCCAGGTTCAAGCAATTCTTCTGACTCAGCCTCCCGAGTAGCTGGGATTACAGGTGCCCACCACCATGCCTGGCTAATTTTTGTGTTTTTTAGTACAGATGGGGTTTCACCATTTTGGTCAGGCTGGTCTCGAACTCCTGACCTAACGATTCACCCCCCCTTGGCCTCCCAAAGTGCTGGGATTACAGGCATGAGCCACCATACCTGGCTACATTTTTTAAAGGAATATAAAACTACTTCTTGACCACTGTTCACCAGTATTCACAATAAACAATATACAATTGGAATAACACTCTGACTACTACAAAATTATTTTTCCTGGCTTCTGGTGAACCAGTAAAATGAATATAGAAAAGAGTGTAAGGGATGAGCAGGGATAAAGAAAAAACATCCAGATCAATAGTTTAAGATAAAGCTTTGTTCTTCCAGGTCCTAAACTGCAACCATCTCTAACCATCTGATTAGGTTTCCATGAACCAAGCCTCAGATCGTCCATGAATCATGACCATTGAGTCAACATAGCACAGGGATTTCAACTTTTTGTAAAGAAAATGTTCACGAGGTGAATCTTTACATGTTCATTTTAGTCTTGTTTAAAACACACCAGGCTTTGTCTAGTTTCCTCTTCTGGGTGGGGAGGTTGTTGGCAGTGATAAAATTTTTCCTTTCAGGAATTCTGTAAATAAACCGTTATGTTTATGACTACATGTATAGATTCTGATTAGGTGCTGTATTAGTCCATACTCACACTGCTGATAAAGACATACCTGAGATGGGGCAATTTACAAAAGAAAGAGGTTTAATGGACTTGCAGTTCCAAGTGGCTGGGGAGGCCTCACAATCGTGGTGGAAGGCAAGGAGGAGCAAGTCACATCATACGACGATGGCAGCAGGCAAAGAGAGAGCTTGTTCAGGGGAGCTCCTCTTTATAAAATCATCACCTCTCATGAGACTTATTCACTATCACAAGAACAGTACAGGAAAGACTTGCCCCTATGATTCAATTACCTCACGCTGGGTCCCTCTCACAACACATGGGAATTCAAGACAAGATTTGGGTGGGGAAACAGCCAAATCATATCATTCCACCCCTGGCTCCTCCTAAATCTTATGTCCTCACATTTCAAAACCAATCTTGCCTTCCCAACAGTCCCCCAAAGTCTTGACTCATTTCAGCATTAACTCAAAAGTCCACAGTCCAAAGTCTTGTCTGAGACAAGGTAAGTCCCTTCCAGCTATGAGCCTGTAAAATCAAAAGCAAGTTAGTTACTTCCTAGATACAATGGGGGTACAAGCATTGGGTAAATACAGATTCCAAATGGGAGAAATTGGCCAAAACAAAGGGACTACAGGCCCCATCCAAGTCAAAATCCAGCAGGGCAATCAAATCTTTTTTTTTTTTTTTTTTTTTGAGACAGAGTCTCACTCTGCCTAGAATGCAATGGGCGATCTCGGCTCAGTGCAACCTCCACCTGCCAGGTTCAAGCAATTCTACTGCCTCAGCCTCACAAGCAGCTGGGATTAGAGGCACATGCCACCAGACCCAGCTAATTTTTTGTATTTTTAGTAGGGACGGGGTTTCACCATGCTGGCCAGGCTGGTCTCAAACTCCTGACCTCAAGTGATCCACCCACCTCTGCCTCCCAAAGTGCTGGGATTACAGGCATGAGCCACTGCGCCAGGCTGGGCAGTCAAATCTTAAAGCTCCAAAATGATCTCCTTTGACTTCATGTCTCACATCTGGGTAACACTGATGCAAGAGGTGAGTTCCCATGGTCTTGGACAGCTTCACCTGTGGTTCTGCAGGGTAGAGCTTCCCTCCCGGCTGCCTTCATGAGCTGGCATTGAGTGTCTGCGGCTTTACCAGGTGCACGGTGCAAGCTGTCAGTGGATCTACCATTCTGAGGTCTGGAGGACAGTGGCCCTCTTCTCACAGCTCCACTAGGCAGTGCTCCAGTAGGGACTCTATGTGGGGGCTGCAGCTCCACATTTCCCTTCTGCACTGCCCTAGCAGAGGTTCTCCATGACAGCCCCGCCCCTGCAGCAAACTTCTGCCTGGGCATCCAGGCATTTCCATACAACTTCTGAAATCTAGCCGAAGGTTTCCAAACCTCAATTATTGACTTCTGTGCACCCGCAGGCTCAACACCATGTGGAAGCTACCAAGGCTTGGGGATTGTACCCTCTGAAGCCACAGCCCAAGCTGTACTTTGGCCCCTTTTCATCATGAGTGGAGCGGCCAGGACACAGGGCACCAAGTCCCTAGACTACATACAGCATGAGAACCCTGGGCTGGGACCATGAAACCATTTTTTCCTCCTAGGCCTCTGGGCCTGTGATGGGTGGGGCTGCCGTGAAGACCTCTAACATGCCCTGGAGACATGTGATTAACATTCATCTCCTGGTTACTTATCCAAATTTCTGCAGCCAGCTTGAATTTCTCCTCAGAAAATGTGGGAAAGTTAAAAGCTACTTAGAGACTTGTTGAATGGCTTTGCCCAAAATGCTGATAGCGATATGGACAATAAGGTCCAGGCTGACCTAGTCTCAGATGTAAATGAGGAACTTGTTGGGAATTGGAGCAAAGATGACAAAGATAACTCTTGTTATGTTTTAGTGAGGAGACTGGTGGCATTTTGCCCCTGCTCTAGAAATTTGTGGAACCTTGAACTTGAGAGAGATGATTTAGGGTATCTGTCTTCTTCTAAGCCCTCCAAACTGTCCCAAACTCTGTGTGTTACCCAGTTCCAAAGGTGCTTCCACATTTTCAGATATATTTTCAGCAATGCCCCACTCTACTGGTACCAATTTACTATATTAGTCAATTTTCATGTTGCTGATAGACATACCCTGGCTCACACCTGTAATCCCAGCACTTTGGGAGGCAAAGGTGGGTGGATCACAAGGTCAGGAGTTCGAGACCAGCCAGGCTAATATGGTGAAACTGCCCCCCGCCCCCGTCTCTGCTACAAAAATTAGCCTGGCATGCTGGTGAGGACTTGTAGTCCCAACTACTCAGGAGGCTGAGGCAGGATAATTGCTTGAACCCAGGAGGCGGAGGGTGCAGTGAGCCAAGATCATGCTCTGGGCGACAGAATACCCGAGACTGGGTAATTTATACAGGAAAGAGGGTTTAATGGACTTACAGTTACACGTGGCTGGGGAGGCCTCTTAATCATGGTGGAAAGCAAGGAAGAACAAGTCATGCCTTACCTGAATGGCAGCAGGCATAGAAAGAGTTTGTGCAGGGGAACTCCTCTTTATAAAACCATCGGATCTCAGGAGATTAATTTACTATCTTAACAGCACAGGAAAGACTTGCCCCCATGATTCAATTACCTCCCACTGGGTCCCTCCCACAACACATGAGAATTCAAGATGAGATTTGGGTGGGGACATAGCCAAACCATATCAGGTGCTTTTAAAATATCCAATTTGGCTGGGCATGCTGGCTCATGCCTGTAATCCCAGCACTTTGGGAGGCCAAGGCAGGAGGATCACTTGAGGTCAACAGTTCAACACCAGCCTGGCCAACATGGTGAAACCCCGTCTCTACTAAAAATACAAAAATCGGCCAGGTGTGGTGGTGCATGCCTGTAGTCCCCGCTACTCAGGAGGCTGAGGCAGGAGAATCGCTTGAACCTAGGAGGTGGAGATTACAGTGAGCCAGGATCATGCCACTGCACTCCAGCCTGGGTGAGAGTGAGATTCCATCTCAAAATAAATACATAAATAAATTAAAATATCCAATTTAAATTATGCAATTAATTAAAGAATCATCTATTTAATGTCATGACTTCAGGAAAATTTTCAATTTAACATGAAGTGATTTATTTTGTAGGATCCTCTGAATGATGGCATCTCAGAAATATGGGCTTACTCATGATTTTTTGTTTTGGTGAATGGTTAAAAACAACAAAAGACGGCCAGGCACGGTGGCTCAAGCCTGTAATCCCAGCACTTTGGGATGCCGAGGTCAGGAGTTCAAGACCAGCCTGGCCAACAAGGTGAAACCCCATCTCTACTAAAAATACAAAAATTAGCCAGGTGTGGTGGTGGACGCCTGTAATCCCAGCTACAGGGAGCTGAGGCGGAGGTCGCAGTGAGCCGAGATCGCGCCATTCCACCCCAGCCTGGGGGACAGGAGCAAGACTTCATCTCAAAAACAACAACAAAAGAAAAATGTTTATATATCCATATTACGTATACACACACACACACAAACCACAATGGTCCCTAAGTATATGATAACAAATTCTAATTGAGTAATGACTACGGAAATTACCCTCGACATCTAGAAAAGCTGTTCTCTAATGCCAAGGAAATAATATGCCATCGTATCAAACATTCTTTTCCGATAAGGGAAGCAACCACAGAAAGCTTTCATTTGTTGAAAGTAACCAGTGCTATTGATGCAAACAAAACAAAATCCCAATGACTCTCCCCAAACTACTTTTATTTATTTTTGTTTGAGTCAGGGTCTCAATCTGTCACCCGGACTGGAGTGCAGTGGCATGATCTCGGCTCACGGCAACCACTGCCTCTCGGTTTCAAGCTATCCTCTTGCCCCAGCCTCCCAAGTGACTGGATTACAGGCATGTACTACCACACCTGGCTAATTTTTTTTTTTCTTCCCGAGATGGAGTCTCGCTGTGTCACCTGGGCTGGAGTGCAGTGGCATGATCTCGGCTCACTGCAAATTCCACTTCCTGGGTTCAAGCGATTCTCCTGCCTCAGCCTCCTGAGTAGCTGGGATTACAGGTGCCCACCACCACACCTGGCTAATTTTCATATTTGTCGGTAGAGACGGGGTTTCACTATGTTGGCCAGGCTAGTCTTGAACTCCTGACCTCAGGTGATCTGCCTGCCTCGGTCTCCTAAAGTGCTGGGATTACAGGTGTGAGCCGTTGTGCCTGGCCTAATTTTTGTACTTTTAGTAGAGAGAGTTTCACCATGTTGATGAGGCAGGTCATGAACCCAAATTACTTTTTTTTTTTTTTTGAGATGGACTTTCGCTCTTGTTGCCCAGGCTGGAGTGCAATGGCACGATCTCGGCTCACTGCAACTTCTGCCTCCTGGGTTCAAGTGATTCTCCTGCCTCAGCCTCCCAAGTAGCTGGGATTACAGGCATGCACCACCACACCTGGCTAATTTTGTATTTTTAGTAGAGATGGGGTTTCTCCATATTGGTCAGATTGGTCTCGAACTCCCGACCTCAGGTGATCCACCTTGGCCTCTCAAAGTGCTGGGATTACAGATGTGAGCCACCGTGCCCAGCCATAACCCGAACTACTTTCAAAATGAACATATCAAACTTGATTTTTATTAGAATGCAGCTATTTCTTCACATTAGTAAAGCAAAAAGCAAGAGCCCGGTTTTATATACACTTCATGTTTTGTTCTTTTGCTAACACCAAGTCTGCTTTATCTGAATTTTCCATTTCATGAGTATCATCAATTCTCCACTGCTGTCTGCATAGCCAATTATTTTTTTCAGGATCAAGGTCTCTTGGTTTGTCTGCAGTATCTCTTTCCTTGATTTTATGTTATCCAACTGTCAGGTAAATATTTTCTTCTTGTATCATCTTTTTCTTTAACAGCTTTTTTGAGAATTAAATGTTCCAAGTAACTCTTGACAAGCTTAAGTTTCTTCAGGTTCCCAAGTACTTTCAGCATCTATAAATCCCTTCCACATCAGGAAATGCACTACCTTACCATTCATCACACATTGATCCAGTACTTTTTCCACTACAAATTCTTCAGGCTCTGCATCAATTTTTTTTTTGGAGATGGAGTTTCGCTCTTGTTGCCCAGGCTGGAATGTAGTGGCGCGATCTTGGCTAACCACAACCTCCGACTCCCAGGTTCAAGCAAATCTCCTGCCTCAGCCTCCTGAGTAGCTGGGATTATAGGCATGCACCACCACACTCAGCTCATTTTCGTATTTTTAGTAGAAACAGGGTTTCTCCATGTTGATCAGACTGGTCTCGATCTCCCAACCTCAGGTGATCTGCCTGCCTCGGCCTCCCAAAGTGCTGGGATTACAGGCGTAAGCCACTGTGCCCGGCCCCAACTTTTTTATTCTATTGTTTCCTTTCCATTTTTTTGCTCACCACCTCATATTGCTCTGGGTTGAAGGTCTGCCGTGTCTCCAGCCCTGCATGCCTCAAGCTCAAGCTGCGTCTCAAGGGCTAAATTTAGATTTTAAAAAGACCACTCTGTCCTTGGTGTGGAAACAGAGATGGAGAGGTCAAAGTAGAGGCAGGAAGACCACTTTGACACTGTTTTAAGCATCCAAGTGAAACAGAGTAACTTTAATCCACCCTGAAAGCCTAAAGTAATGAGACAATTGGGCAGATATGGGGGATATCAAGTAGACTTGCTTAAAAACTGGTTTTGAAGGGAGGACAATGTAATGATTTTCATATTTTCTATTTGAGACAATAAAGAGGTAGAAAACAAGGAAGAACAGCAAGAGTGGGCAGAGGGCAGAGAGGGATGAGTTCAGGTTTGGTTGTTTTGACAGAGGTGCTTTAGGGGGTCATTTCTAATGTGGGTTGAAAACATACATGGGGATCCCGGATCCCACATGGTAAATTGATTTTGTTTTGTTTTTGAGACCAAGTCTTCCTCTGTCGCCCAGGCTGGAGTGCAGTGGTGTGGGATTTCAGCTCACTGCACCTCTGTCTCCAAGGTTCAAGTGATTCTCATGCCTCAGCCTCCCAAGTAGCTGGGACTACAGGCACCCACCACCACACCCGGCTAACTTTTTTGTATTTTTGGTAGAGACGGGGTTTCACCATGTTGGTCAGGCTGGTCTCAAACTCCTGACCTCAGGTGATCTACCTGCCTTGGCCTCCCAAAGTTCTGGGATTACAGGTGTAAGACACTGCACCTGGCCCTTGATTGATTTTTAAAGTTTTATTATTTGGCTTCAATCTCATTTATATATGAGGAAAACGAAGCTCAGAAGAGTTTCAATGATTTAATGGAAGACTTAAAATATTAGAAAAAAGTTTTATTCTTAAGAGAATTTAAAAGAAGACATTAATAGAAAATGAAAAGAAATTGTGAACCCTTTCAAAACCTTTCAATTCAATGTTCTAGTTCTTCATTTCCTTGATACAACTCTGTACCATGGTCATAATTTTTCCGTCTCATGAATAGGAGGAAAAATGACAGGAATGGAGACTACCCTGAGGAATACTTTTGAGATCAGTGGATAGGTGTTCAATGAATAAGTCAGGTATACCTAAAGAAACACTAAATGTACATGTACATCAGTCAGTATCTCATAGCATAAACAGTTAGTCAAGATAGCTTTCTCTTTCCTAACCGTTTTGCCATACTACAATGATCTAGTTAAAATACAAATTTCACAACTTCAATGATTCTTCACTGCCCACAATTAACGCACTGTTTCATAGACTATGTTCTACCAATTATACATTGCCTACATATAATAGTCACTATAAAGAAATAATGGACAGGCATGGTGGCTCATGCCTATAATCCCAGCACTTTGGGAGACTGAGGCAGGGGAATCACTTAAGGCCAGGAGTTTTGAGAGCAGTCTGGGCAACAGAGTGAGATCTTTTGGCTACACAAAAAATTAAAAAAAAAAAAAAAAAAAAAGTAGGGGGGGTGGGGCTAGGCGCAGTGGCTCATGCCTGTAATCCCAGCTCTTTGGGAGGCCAAGGGGGGTGGATCACCTGAGGTCAGGAGTTCAAGACCAGCCTGACCAACACGGTGAAACCCCATCTCTACTAAAAATACAAAAAAAAAAAATTAGCCAGGCATGGTGGCGCATGCCTGTAATCTCAGCTACTCGGGAGGCTGAGGCAGAAGAATTGCTTGAACCCAGGAAGTGGAGGTTGTGGTGAGCCAAGATCGTGCCATTGCACTCCAGCCTGGGCAACAAGAGCAAAACTCAGTCTCATAAAAAAGGCTGTGGTGAGCCAAGATTGTGCCATTGCACTCCAGCCTGGGCAACAAGAGCAAAACTCAGTCTCAAACAAACAAACAGACAATAGCAGGGTGTAGCAGCACGTGCCTGTAGTCCCAGCTATTTAAGAGGATGAGGTGGGAAGACTGAGTTGAGCCCAGGAGCTCGAGGCTGCAGTGAGCCAAGATCATGCCACTGCACTCCAGGGCAAGCCCTTGTCTTCAAAAAACAAAAAAATTCAAAAAAGTAATGCGTTGAACAAACACCAAGTACAAAGTATACTAATACAGTGGATAAATGCTACTCCAACTCTGATCCACTGACTGCCAGGATCAGCATGACACTACAGATGGAACTCAAGAATCTGTCATAACAGGCTATCCGGCTGATTGTTCTGAATGTGAAAGTTTTAGAAACACTGTTCCAAGGGTAAAAATGAGGGGACCTAATTTCTTCTCTCTTAGGAATCTTACCCCCCAAAAGGTATTGCAAGCATCTGTTGTGGGGCTGGAATTCCTAAAACCTCTCAAAGCATGCTGTGTGAATAAAAGGACAGTGTTCAGATTTCTGACTCTAACAGACCATCTAACCATGGAAGCCTACAGCCCTTTTAAAACATGTACTTTCAATGTTGTGAGCTGAGTATATATAACAACATATTGCTAGTATGTAAATGTGCTTAAAACAAAAATGAAGTTCTTATCTCTAGCAGAACTGGAGTCACACCTAAATTACAACATTCAGACAAGGCCTTCCTTTTAAGTAGACATGACAGAATTTTAAATTTATAAAACGAATTAATGTATCGCATACATTCACTTTACATATTCAAAAAACGCTAAACTTAAGAAACTGAAAAGTTGAAAAATAAGAGGTAGTAGTACCCACTGAGTGACGTTCTGGCATTCTATTAAATATTCTACATTAGAAGATTATAGGGAAAAGGGAGCTGAATTCTAAGAGAACAAATGTAGAGAAGGCAACCCTATGGTCTTGGGAAAAGACAATAATGGAAGGAAAAATATATTCAAAATGTATTGTACAAATTGTTAGACATGCATCACTTACAATAAACAGAAGGTAATTATTTGTGGTAGCATAAAGAGAGAAGGGAATAGGCCAGGCACATTGGCTCACGTCTGTAATCTCAACACTTTGGGAGGTGGAGGCGGGCAGATCACTTGAGGTCAGGAGTTCAAGACCAGCCTGGCCAACATGGTGAAACCCATCTCTACTAAAAATACAAAAATTAGCTGGGTATGGTGGCGCACACCTGCAATCCCAGCTACTCGAGAGGCTGAGGCAGGCAAATTGCTTCAAACCTGTGAGGCAGAGGTTGCAGTGAGCCGGGATCGCACCACTGCACTCCAGGCTGGGCTACAGGGTGAGATTCTGTCTCCAAAAAAAAAAAAAAGAGAGAAAGGAATAGAGTGTTTTGTTAGCTCTGGTCATTCCCACTCTTCTTCTCTCTTGTTGCTATTACTTTGAAGCATTTGGTTTGGTTATTCTATTTTGTTAAGGAATAATTAAAAAGTACATTACTAACAGTTTTGCTTTATATATTGTGTGCCTTGGGCAAAATTTGTGTGTGTGGTTATTCACAGAGGAGGAGCCAGATAGGTAGCTCAGTCCATAAACTATGGAAGGTAGCAGTATCCTTTACTGCAGTGGCTTTCAAATTTGACATGCACCAAAATCTCCTGGAGAGCTTGTTAAAACATAGAAAGCAGGGCCTCATCCCCCACGTTTTTGATTCAGTAGGTCTGGGTTGGGGCTCGAGAATTTGCATTTCTAACAAATTCCTAGGTGATGCTGATGCTGATGCTGATGCTTCTGGTTTGGAGCACATACTTTGAGAACCACTGCTCTAATGGAATCAGTAGTCACAAGGCCAAGCAGCCAGGTAGACACTAAGGGAAAACAGTACCTCCCTGTGTAGGTTTTCAGGACACAACATTAGTTACAAGTTTTATCACCTGCTCAACCAGGTATATAGCTATGTCAATTCTCAAGGGCTTTAACTGACAAAACCAGTTGTTAGAGGACAGTTCTTTCAAGGGTGAACCCAACACCTAAAAAAAGTTTTGAAAAAGTCAGTTATTTGCCTATTTAAGGACGGTTTTAGAATCCACTATTATGGGAATGGATCTGCTTAGCCTATTTGAGGTTTTTTTGTTTTTTGAGACAGAGTCTCGCCCTGTTGCCTGGGCTGGAGTGCAATGGTGCGATTTTGACTCACTGAAACCTCTGCCTCCCGGGTTCAAGTGATTCGCCTCCCTCAGCCTCCCGAGTAGCTGGGATTACAGGCGCCCGCCACCACGCCTGGCTATTTTTTTTTGTATTTTTAGTAGAGATGGGGTTTCACCATGTTGGCCAGGTTGGTCTCAAACTCTTGGCCTCGTGATTCGCCCACCTTGGCCTCCCAAAGTGCTGGGATTACAGGTGTAAGTCACTGTGCCTGGCCGCCTAGTGGAGTTTTAATGCCAATATCCTTGGACTAACTTGAAAATGAATAATATAAATTCGAAATTTCTGCCTGCAGTACAATTCAAAATAAGAGTTTCTAAATTTTTTTAATCCTTATGTTAAAATAATAAATAATCTCATTTCAGTTGTTTTTTCACCCAATTACTAAAAAACAAAATAGTCATAAAAAAGAATTCATTTAGCAAAGGTACTATTTGTAGATATTAGCCACTTATTAAAAACATATTTCTATTAAGATTGTTCTTACATTCTTAGATTTAGAACACCTGATATCTGGACCCAGCTGAGTTTTTATTTTACAGATCATAAAACGGATGAAAGTATATCACAGTAATTAATGAAGCCGTTCTAATTTAGCTTGAAGAGATTTAAAATTCCCAGTGATGGCTTGTACTGCTACTGACGAGCTCATAGACTGGAGCTCAACAAGGTAACCACAAACAGCATCCAGGCAGAGATTTGTAAATCTTCTCCTACAACGAAAAAGACACATGATTAATTATACATTTACAAACATTTCCTCCTGCAGGACTTCTTCCCCACCAACTTCTGGCAACTTTAATTCTCACAGGAGAGGAAAGACCATGTGATTAAGTAAATAAGAAATAAAGTAAAAAAGAAAACTTGGGTGTAGGTGGGTTCCATTTGAAGATTTTTTTTTTTTTTTTGAGACGGAGTCTCGCTCTGTCACTCAGGCTGCAGTGCAGTGGCGCCATCTCGGCTCACTGCAACCTCTGCCTCCTGGGTTCACGCCATTCTCCTGCCTCAGCCTCCCGTGTAGCTGGGACTACAGGTGCCCGCCACCACGCCCAGCTAATTTTTTTGTATTTTTAGTAGAGATGGGGTTTCACGTGTTAGCCAGGATGGTCTCGATCTCTTGACCTCATGATCCGCCCATCTCAGCCTCCCAAAGTGCTGGGATTACAGGTGTGAGCCACCACGCCTGGCCTGAAGATTTTTACAATGAGAAGAAAGCAGTAAGAGATGATTCCTGCTAATATTCTTTTTCAAAAGAATATCCCTTAAATGGCCAATAATATCACAAAGACATAATTGAAATGTTTTGGTCCTAGATCACTAATCTAAAGTAGAAGAAATGAATACATTATGTATGTTCAGCTGTAGAAAGGATTTAGGACAAGGGTTGAAAATGGAAAAAACTCCTATTTTTCATACATGGTGATCAATATCATTCAAATAGTTATTGCTAATATACACAAGAATCTTCCCATCTTCTCTTCAAATTTTTTACCCAGGTATTTATTAGAAGCATTTAAAAGCTTTTGCTGATCCAATATTTAATTCATAAGTACCTTTCACAATTTAAAACTTGGCTGGGATTCTCAACATATCTTATCAATAATACATGTATACAATCCAAAAGGTGCAGTGGCTTCTTCATTCTGTTCCAGAATGGATCCTATGAAGAAATATACATAATGAAATGTGAGGCAAATTGTGTCAATTGATTATTTAAATCATTTATACTAAAGTAGACATCAGGATCCATGCAAAACTTATCGCTATTAAAAAGCATTTAATATCACATGGCTACTAAATTATATATCTGATTATAGTTAATATTTCAAACAACATTAAAAACTTATTAATTAACAACACTATGATATTACTTAGGAGGCATATTTGATATACCAATCTACTTTGCAGAGCATGTAAATGTCCCGCTTAGGAATCTGAGATAAGAGAAAAATCTTTCTTTCTATGGGTTGTGACACCACTTTTACTTTGAACCTATGCAGATTTAGTCTGACATCATAAAGAGACTAAACTAGCAGTAACAGAAACTTAATTCTAGGTCTGGCTTCACCAGTTACTAGCCATGTGACTTAAGCAGGTTATTTAACATCTCTGCTCTTGTTTTTTGCAATATAAGATGGAGATACTACAGTTACCTGCTCATTTCCATCACAGGCTAATGTTGTAAAGCACTGTGTGATGCTGCTATAAAAGACACAATCTACTTTGACAAGTTTTTATTTGGATCTTTTATCCTTAGCATAAAAATTACAAAACATATAGTCTGATAAGGTTCAGCAGGGTGAGAAGGATCTTTAAGCACTGATATTTTAGATGAGGTTATAGTAAATAAATACAATGTAATCTTGTTCTTTTAAAGCAAATGATGATTCTTGGCCGGGCGCGGTGGCTCACGCCTGTAATCCCAGCACTTTGGGAGGCCGAGGCGGGTGGATCATGAGGTCAGGAGATCGAGACCATCCTGGCTAACAAGGTGAAACCCCGTCTCTACTAAAAATACAAAAAATTAGCCGGGCGCGGTGGCGGGCGCCTGTAGTCCCAGCTACTGGGGAGGCTGAGGCAGGAGAATGGCGTGAACCCGGGAAGCGGAGCTTGCAGTGAGCCGAGATTGCGCCACTGCAGTCCGCAGTCCGGCCTGGGCAACAGAGCGAGACGCCGTCTCAAAAAAAAAAAAAAAAAAAAAAATAAAGCAAATGATGATTCTTAATGTAATGAGTTTAGCCCACACCTTGGTTTAGCCTCTTTCACCAAGAGTAAAGCATATTTATTAATATTCAAAAATAATATTTCATTTTAATCATGATATACAGGAAAGCAACTCTCATTATCAGTTTAAAAAGTCAAAAGCATAATTTCCAAGACTCAACCAAGTGTAATTAGACTAAGTGATAGGATACAAAAATGCAATCAAAATACCCCACTCTATATCTACAAAGTTACTTTAATTAAAGAAAATAATTTTATGTTATTTAATATTTTCCTTACCCGTGATTTGAACAACTGATCATAAACTTCTAGTAGTCTAGGTAATGGTACTCCAATTTCATTCATTGTCTGTATTACGAAGCCCACATCCCAGTTCAAAGTACAAACCTGCTGTTCTAAAAACTGTACAATAAAATCTGGGAAGAAAAAAAAAGATCGGAAATTTGGATTTTTAGCTCTTGATACTAAAAGGTAGGTCTTATTCATAACTGAATAGTTTCTAGGGGGATATCTTCTGAAATCCAATTGCAATTTTTTGGGGCGGGGGGTTTTTTTTGCTATGTTGCCCAGACTAGAAATAGTGGCTATTCATAGGAGCAACTACAGTGCACGACAGCCTTGAAATCCTGAGCTCAATCCTCCCACCTCAACCTCCCAAGTAAGCTGGGGCTACAAGTGTGCACCATCACTCTCAGCTTAAAAGAAAAAAAAAGTTTTTTTTAAATAAAAGTAAGATATATACCAGAACAGGCAAATCTAAAGTAGATTAGTGGCTGCCTAGGGCTGGAGGGTGTGAAGGAATGGGAAGTGACAACTAATGAGCACAGAGTTTCTTTTTGGGATGATGAAAATGTCCTAAAATTAAAATTACAGAACCTAGAAAACTCAGAAAGATATAAGAAGAAAACAGAGACGATTCACGATCCCAATATTGAAGAGGACTTCACTGATAATTTTTTTTAGTAACAGTATTTAAAAAAAATAGGTTTCCTGTCCCTGTCCCTCTCCCTGTCCCTCTCCCCTCTTTCCAAGGTCTCCCTCTGATGCCGAGCCGAAGCTGGACTGTACTGCTATCTCGGCTCACTGCAACCTCCCTGCCTGATTCTCCTGCCTCAGCCTGCCGAGTGCCTGCGATTGCAGGTGCGCGCCGCCACGCCTGACTGGTTTTCGTATTTTTTGGGTGGAGACGGGGTTTTGCTGTGTTGGCCGGGCTGGTCTCCAGCTCCTAACCGCGAGTGATCCGCCAGCCTCGGCCTCCAGAGGTGCCGGGATTGCAGACGGAGTCTCCTTCACTCAGTGCTCAATGGTGCCCAGGCTGGAGTGCAGTGGCGTGATCTCGGCTCCCTACAACATCCACCTCCCAGCAGCCTGCCTTGGCCTCCCAAAGTGCCGAGATTGCAGCCTCTGCCCGGCCGCCACCCTGTCTGGGAAGTGAGGAGCGTCTCTGCCTGGCCGCCCATCGTCTGGGATGTGAGGAGCCCCTCTGCCTGGCTGCCCAGTCTGGAAAGTGAGGAGCATCTCTGCCCAGCCGCCATCCCATCTAGGAAGTGAGGAGCGCCTCTTCCCGGCCGCCATCCCATCTAGGAAGTGAGGAGCGTCTCTGCCCGGCCACCCATCATCTGAGATGTGGGGAGCGCCTCTGCCCTGTCGCCCCGTCCGGGATGTGAGGAGCGTCTCTGCCCGGCCACCCCGTCTGAGAAGTGAGGAGACCCTCTGCCTGGCAACCGCCCTGTCTGAGAAGTGAGGAGCCCCTCCGCCCAGCAGCCGCCCCGTCTGAGAAGTGAGGAGCCCCTCCGCCCGGCAGCCACCCCGTCCGGGAGGGAGGTTGGGGGGTCAGCCCCCCGCCTGGCCAGCCGCCCCGTCCGGGAGGTGAGGGGCGCCTCTGCCCGGCCGCCCCTACTGGGAAGTGAGGAGCCCCTCTGCCCGGCCAGCCGCCCCATCCGGGAGGGAGGAGGGGGGGGTCAGCCCCCCGCCCGGCCAGCCGCCCTGTCCGGGAGGGAGGTGGGGGGGTCAGCCCCCCGCCCGGCCAGCCGCCCCGTCCGGGAGGTGAGGGGCACCTCTGCCCGGCCGCCCCTACTGGGAAGTGAGGAGCCCCTCTGCCCGGCCACCACCCCATCTGGGAGGTGTGCCCAACAGCTCATTGAGAACGGGCCATGATGACAATGGCAGTTTTGTGGAATAGAAAGGGGGGAAAGGTGGGGAAAAGATTGAGAAATCGGATGGTTGCCGTGTCTGTATAGAAAGAGGTAGACATGGGAGACTTTTCATTTTGTTCTGTACTAAGAAAAATTCTTCTGCCTTGGGATCCTGTTGATCTGTGACCTTACCCCCAACCCTGTGCTCTCTGAAACATGTGCTGTGTCCACTCAGGGTTAAATGGATTAAGGGCGGTGCAAGATGTGCTTTGTTAAACAGACGCTTGAAGGCAGCATGCGGCAGCATGCTTGTTAAGAGTCATCACCACTCCCTAATCTCAAGTACCCAGGGACACAAACGCTGCGGAAGGCAGCCGCAGGGTCCTCTGCCTAGGAAAACCAGAGACCTTTGTTCACTTGTTTATCTGCTGACCTTCCCTCCACTATTGTCCTGTGACCCTGCCAAATCCCCCTCTGCGAGAAACACCCAAGAATGATCAATAAAAATAAATAAATAAATAAATAAATAAATAGGTTTCCTCACTTTAACAGCTTTTCAGAAAAGGGCAACTGCATCCTGATTTCAGAAATATTAAATGTGTTTTTTAATGCCCCACCCCTAGATTTATTTGACAGTTCTAACTGTGGCCTCATTCTTACTTTTAACTGCCTATCTTATCATAAACAGTAACAGCCAAATTTATAGTTATGGCCAGGCGTGGTGGTTCGCACCTATAATCCCAGCACTATGGGAGGCCAAGGTGAGCAGATCACCTGAGGTCAGGAGTTCGAGACCAGCCTGGCCAACATGGTGAAACCCTGTCTCTATTAAAAATACAAAAAAATTAGCTAGGTGTGGCTAATTCAAGACTAGCTTGGGCAACACCATGAGATCCCTTCTCTATCAAAAGAAAAAAATATATATATATAAGTAAAACATAGAAATCCTCCTAACTCAGCCTGATTAGCTAGGACTATAGGCACGTGCTACCATGCCTAGCTAATCTTAATTTTTTTTGTAGAGACGGGGCTTGCTATGCCCAGGCTGGTCTCAAACTCCTGGCTTCAAGCAATCTTCCTGCCTTTGCCTCTCCAAAGTGTTGAGATTACAGGTGTGAGCCACCACACAAAGCCCACATGATTATTTCTAAATTAAAATGAAAATTCCTTAAAAAGAACTATGTACAATACAGTGTTATTTATTTATTTATTGAAATGGGGTCTCACTGTGTCACTGAGGTTGGAGTGCAGTGGTTCGATCTCAGCTCACTGCAGTTTTCACCTCCCAGGCTCAAGTGATCCTCCCACCATAGCCTCCCGAGTAGCTGGAACCACAGGCGCATGCCACTATGCCTGGATAATTTTCCTATTTTTTTGTAGAGACAGGGTTTTGCCATGTTGCCCAGGCTGGTCTCGAACTCCTGGGCTCAAGCGATCCATCCGCCTCGGCCTCCCAAAGTGCTGGGATTACACCTGTGAGCCACCATGCCCAGCCATGGTGCAGTGTTTTTTAAAACAACTATCAAAAGTACCAGTTTCACACACTTATAAACATTTATATAAAGTATGTATTTGCTCTTTTATTTCTCTTTATTTTTAGGATCAATAAAATGGTATGGAAAGGGAACCGTTTCCATATTATACCTACAAAAGTAAGGGTATGAATAAAATGGTTTTATTTCTGACTATGTCCAGAGGGAATAGACCCTAAGTCAGAGATGGTCTGTAAACAAGTTTGAATGCTCATTTGAAAAAAAAAAAAAAAAAATTAGGCTGGGCACAGTGGCGAACGCCTTTAATCCCAGCACCTTGGGAGGCCAAGGCAAGCGGATCACCTGAGGCCAGGAGTTTGAGACCAGCCTAGACAACATGGGGAAACCTCATTTCTAATAAAAATACAGAAAATTAGCCAGGCGTGGTTGCAGGCACCTGTAATCCCACCTACTTGGGAGGCTAGGCAGGAGAACTGCTTGAACCTGGAAGGCAGAAGTTGCAGTGAGCCGAGATGGCATCATTCCACTCCAGCCTGGGCGACAGAGAAAGCCTCTGTCTCAAAAAAAAAAAAAAAAGTTATATTGTGAGGATTTTCATGTCTCTCAATATTTTTAAATAACACAAAAGTAGTTGATATTCTAATTTATGGATGTATTTATGTTGCTTCTATTGTTTTACCACTGAGGAAAACACTTGTAGGTTGGCAAATAGCTCATAATTAGCTACCTTATTTAAAAATTATAGCCACCATATCTCATTAAGAAAGGGATTCAAACACTAAGTTTTAACATAATTATTTGCTATTTTAAAGAAAAACATGCCCTCAACATAAAAAAAGAACAGTTGAATCAATCACAGATTACCTATGCACAAAAACATCAACCGTTTTTCTTTTCTCTTCAGAAACTTGTATAGGGTTACCAACAATATAATCATAGTTTGTCAGTCAGCACAATCCTAAGACAGGTAATATAAACTTGGAAAGTTAGTCACAGAAAGTTTCATACTCAACTCTTCATTAACAAATTCTGCCATTCTTTGGAAGTCTTTCCGGAGAGGCAGAATTAAAGTGCTGAACTAAATAGCAAAGAAACTCTTTATTTTACTCGAAAGATCGTTATTTGTCCATATCAACGGAGAAAACCATCAGAACAGAAAATACGTGACTGCACCTAAGATCACAGCTTACCTAAAGGAAAGAAGCGTGGTGTGCCAGCATAAATTTTGCCAAGGAGAACAATCTTGAGACTAAGAGCATGCATTCTATCCGAGGAGCTCAATGTCACACTGTCACTCAATTCTGTAACAAAAAGACATGTCATTTGAAACCCAAATTACTTTTAATGTGAAATGTTTACATTGGTTATTTAATTCTGTTTCAAGGTTCAAAATACTTTAGAACAGATAGTCACATTAATATGATTAACAGATTTGGTGTTTCTGTTATTGTCTGAGATACTCTCATGTCTTACCAGGTTATACTGGTTATTAGATTCTGAGGTGAGTGTCTCAGTATCTTTTATAAGGCAGCACAAATAATATAAATTAAATAACCTTTTCACTGAGTATTCTCCCGAATATTCACTTGGGTCATTCTGTGTATGATCATCCTCCACCATACCCAGGTGACTTCCACTTACTCTCTTCTTAGGTATACACAATTTTCATGAGCCACTAGCAGCTTGCATTATATTAGTTACTAGCAGCTTGCATTCCTCCACCAAGTCACTACATAACGTATGCTAACATACCTATAACTGAACACTTACCTTTCTCTATGATATCTTGCCAAAGTGTCTGCACCAATATAGGGTCTGAATAACCGGCACAATGAATTATTGCAAGTTTGCACTCTGCAAGTTTAAATGGGTCAGCAAATTCCCCATAAAGCTGTGAGAGAAAATCCCAAAATTAACATCCAACTAGAGATCAACATTCAGAGATTAATAGTGAAGCACTCCTTGAAAATTAAAAAATAACCAAAGATTTTACATAAAGTTTCTGAAATATGATATAAAGATGTGATGATGTATGTAGCTGGTTATAACTCCATATTTAAAAAGTTAAGGGTATGGGCCGGGTACGGTGACTCAGGCCTGTAATCCCAGCACTTTAAGAGGCCAAGGTGGGCGGATCACGAGATCGGGAGATGGAGACCATCCTGGCCAATATGGTGAAACCCCGTCTCTACTAAAATTTAAAAAAAAAAAAAATTAGCTGGGCATGGTGGTGCATGGCTGTAGTCCCAGCTACTCAGGAGGCTGAGGAAGGTGGAGGTTGCAGTCAGCTGAGATCACGCCATTGCACTCTAGCCTGGTGACAGAGAAAGACTCTGTCTCCCCCCGCCAAAAAAAAAAAAAAAGGGTAAGGGTATGGTAAATACATTCAAACACATTTTAGCATGTAGAGCTTTTTTCTTGGCTGGGAAGAAGATGTTGCAACGACATTCTATTTATTAATTTTAAAATTCATTTTTTCAAATTTCTGTGGGTACACAGTAGGTGTATGTATTTATGGGGTACATGAGATGTTCTGATACAGTCATGCAATGAGAAATAAGCATGTCATGGAGAATGTCTATTCCTCAAGCAGTTATCCTTTTGAGTTACAAATAATCCAATTACATTCTCTATTTTAAAATATACAGTTATTATTGACTATAGTCACCCTATTGTGCTATCAGATAGGTCTTATTCATTTTGTTTTTGTACCCATTAACCATCCCCACCTTCCCTACAAACCTCCTGCAATGGTATTTTAGAACTAGTGTTGTATAAACAATGGGTTGAAGAATCACAGGAATACTGACAAATCTCAAAGTGTTTCAGGGTACCTGGAACTATGTCTAAGAATAAATGAAGAGGAAGGAACTGCTCAGAAAATTACAGAGAGAGAAAGAGGTTTAGAGAGTTAAGCAAAGATAAGTTAGTTTTTCCAAGGCAAGAAGCGAGGCCATAAATAAGATGGTTTTGGTTTTTTAGTTTTTTTTTCTTTTTGAGACAGGGTCTCACTCTGTCACTCAGGCTGGAATGCAGTAGCACCATCGAGGCTCACCACAACCTGGGCCTCCTGGGCTAAATCAATCCTCCCACCTCAGACTCCTGAGTAGATGAACTACAACCACACACCACCACACCTGGCTAATTTTTTTTTTTTTTTTTTGATGGAGTCTTGCTCTGTCGCCCAGGCTCCTAGACTGCAGTGCCATGATCTCGGCTCACTGAAACCCCCACCTCCTGGGTTCAAGCAATTCTCCTGCCTCAGCCTCCCAGGTAGCTGGGATTACAGGCGCATGCCACCACGCCTGGCTAATTTTTGTATTTTTAGTAGAGACAGAGTTTCCCCATGTTGACCAGGCTGGTCTCAAACTCCTGACCTCAGGTGATCTGCCCGCCTCAGCCTCCCAAAGTGTTGGATTACAGGCGTGAGCCACAGTGCCTGGCCTTTTTTGCTATTTTTTTGTAAAGATGAGGTTTTGCCATGTTGCCCAGGCTGGAAATAAGCTGGTTTTAACACAGCTCTCATGCGAGGATGATAGGTTCTTTGTAGCTACTGGCCTGGAAAGAGTAGCTTAGCCTTTTTCTAGGAGTCAGATGAAGCAGTGGTGATCTGTCAGCCCAGTGACAAGCTGCCAAAGATGCCTTATCTTATTTGTGGAGATAAGGTAATTTTCCCCATGAAACAAAAAGCAAAATAAAAAACAAAAATTTCTCATTATTAGGTAACTACTATAAAAATTTCACTTGCTTTTTTATTACCTTAGTTATGTCCATCAGCTCAGAATCCAGCTGAGAAACTGCATCCTGTACAGAAGAATGATGGGAATACTGCCTTTGTAGTGTCTCCTGTATCTGAAGTTGGATCCTAGCAACCTAGTTTGGGCAGAAAACAGGATGTCTTAATTTATTTATGATAAATCAACATACGTTTGAAAGAACGGATCCTACTATCTGACTTTAAGTTTGCTAAAATAATGTATAAATGAAGATTTCTATCATAATAGGCTAATATTATCATAACAGACATCAACTAAACATAATAGATTTCACAGGAAGTATACTGTGGCAGACTCCTTGCTGCCCAATACTTATACCTTCCAAGACTGTAGCCAAATGGTTAGACTATACAGCTCAGCCTCCTCTGTAGGGGAGGTATGGCCATACAACCAAGTTCTCTTCAAAGGAATGTGAGTAGAAGTAGTGTGTCATGTCAGGGCTATAGTTTTTAAGACAGTGAATGTGTTCTTTCTTTTCCTTCCACCCTCTGCTGAAGATAAAGCAGAGGCCCTAGGGAATGGTAGTGCCAGAAAATAGAACTTGGGTTCCTAAATCAACCACACGGAGGAAAGCCAGCTGCCAATCAGGAAGACTCACCTTGGATTTTTGTGAATAAGAAACAAACTTTTGTATTTGGACGATGGTATGTTTTTGATTCTCTTAGTTAGGGAATTTTAGCCTACTCTACTTCATACATCTACTTATTTGCTTCCAAAATAAATGGTGAATGTGATGTAATCCACTTGCTGTTGAAACAGTTGGGAAAAACATTTATTTTTTATTATTATTATTTTTTGAGACAGAGTCTCAGTCTGTCTCCCAGGCTGGAATGCAGTGGTGCAATCTCAGCTCACTGCAACCTCCGCTTCCTGGGTTCAAGCAATTCTCCTGCCTCAGTCTCCCAAGTAGCTGGGACTACAGGTGTGTGCCACCACCCCCGGCTAATTCTTGTATTTTTTTAAGTAGAGACAAGGTTTCGCCATATTGGCCAGGCTGGTCTCGAACTTCTGACCTCATGATCTGGCTGCCTCGGCCTCCCAAAGTGCTGGGATTACAGGCGTGAGCCACTGCACCCAGCTGGGAAAAACCTTTCGAAGTGCCAAAGAGAAAACTTCTAAATTATAGCAATGTTTTTATGACCCAAGTGCATCCTTAAAAATCTTTAAGATTTATATCTAAACATAAAAATAAATATAAACAGACAAAAGCAACTAGAATAATAATGACTTCTCAGACCTATTACTTACCAAGGGAAGAATGGAATGTGGAATAACTATGTGGCTAGTACTCAATGTGGACACAGCTTAAGATCTTTAGCACTTACCTCCATTTTTTCTTCTAATTCATGAAGAAATTCACCATCGGCAGCTATTGATGAAATGGCAGTGGAACTTTTGGCACTAAGAATGGCTCGAGCAATGTACTCTAGTCGCTGCTGAAGTGAAATTTCTGTGCTAGAAGGGAAAACGCTTATTTTTAGTTACACAATTTCTTAAGGATTGATGATACAAATACGTCAATTAGTATGTACTGTTTCATACCAAACACACATAAAAAGCCATCTGAAACTTGAAAAAAAATCATTAGATTTAAAAAAAAATCTATTTTAGATTTCTCATAAGAGAGATCCACAATTTTAGACAACACATAAAGAAATACATTTATGACTAAAAAGTAACATCCTATTTAAAAAATTTAGGTCAGTATATTAAAACTTAGATTCTTCTAAAATTAAAGAAAACTGAATGTAAGTACATATAGCTCAGTTTTGAATCATTCTTCACAATAAGAATATTATGCCATACCTATGCATGTCAGCCAGTCTGGACAGTACACGAGCAGCATTACTGAAACTTCTGTTCTTCTCGTAATACCGCCAGAGTAAATCCATATAACGAACTCTGTTTTGATCAACTTTGGCCATTCGGACTAGATGTGGCTCCAGAAATGGAGAAGCAACCTAGAAATTATATAGTTATTCAGAAAAATTTTCTAACCACCTACAGATAATGTTCCTGATAAGGAAAATATAGTATTTTTAAGTCAACTACAACTTTGCCTTGTTTTATGAAAACAAGCAAAATTATAATCCAATACTAACAGATAAAAGAGAGGGCAAATTTTCTTATTATAAACAATTTTTGTTTTACCACAGTTAGCATAAGAGTTTCCAAAACAATTCTATTAGGTTGATAACAATAATTTAGTAGGCTGGGCATGGCGACTCATGTCTGTAATCCTCGCACTTTGGGAGGCCGAGGTGGGCAGATCATGTGAGCTCAGGAGTTTGAGACCAGCCTGGGCAATATATGGCAAAACCTCGTCTCTACAAAAAAATTAGCTGGGTGTGGTGGTGCGGGCCTATAGTTCTAGTTACTCAGGAGGGTTAGGTGTGAGGATCACCTGAGCCTAGGGAGGTCAAGGCTACAGTGAGCCATTATCGTGCCATTGCACTGCACTTCAGCCTAAGCTACAGATTGAGACCCTGCCTCAAAAAAGAAAAGGAAATTTGGCCGGGCACAGTGGTTCATGCCTGTAATCCCAGCACTTCGGGAAGCTGAGGTGGGCAGATCACCTGAGCTCAGGAGTTTGAGACCAGCCTGGCCAACATGGTAAAACCCCGTCTCTACTAAAAAGATATAAAAATTAGCTGTGCGTGGTGGCGGGTGCCTGTAATCCCAGCTACTTGGGAGGCTGAAGCAGGAGGATTGCTGGAACCCGGGAGGCGGAGGTTGCAGTGAGCTGAGATCATGCCACTGCACTCCAGCCTGGGCAACAGAGCCAGACTCCATCTCAAAAAAAAAAAAAAAAAAAAAAAAGGGAAATTTACTATAAAATTACAAATTTTTAAATAAACTTTGATAACACAGCTATTGATTCCTAGACATTGAGCTCAAAGGCATTATTGAAATTATCAAATGCTATGTATTCATTAAACAGATTGAGGAACACTGAAACTTAGGGTAGGTAAAAGGACATATCTGAAGTCACAGTGACTTAACAGCAGAGTTAAGATAAGATGACCTACAGGACTCATATTCATAATCCAGTGATTTCTACCCCGCAATACAAACTATCCCAATCAGCTTCGAATTAACAAGAAAATTGGAGCAGTAGCCTACTTTGCCCCTTAGGAAAAGATACTGCATTACTCAGCTTTATACTAACATCTAATAGCAGGCATGGGATGAGAAACTGAATTTTTTACATCTATATATGTGCTTAAATCATTGAGTTATGCTCCTTAAGAATAATTAACACAACTGCAATAAAAAAAGATTTACCTGTAGCAGCTTATCTGCAAGGTCGACTTGTATTAGCCAATTATAAAGGGCAATACTAAAGAGCTCATCCTTGGATCGCTGTGACAATTTAAGCATTTGTTCAAACTAAAATAAAGAAAATAGTAAAAATTAGCAGTTAAAGGCTCTGTTTCTGGGCATCACAACCCTTTAGCCCTATAAACTCCAGTAAGAAATCAAGAATCCTTACATGATAACTTCTAAGAACTACCACCTTTCCCCAAGATGACTGTGCTACCATTACCATGGAGAACTTCTAAACAGTGTATTCTCAGAATGAAAATATACTATGTCCCTTACATGATGTCCTGCTTCTTCATTACTCAGCATATTTGGATCAGATGACAACACTGGAGGACCAGGTTTTTTGGGTACACTGGGAGACTGAGGAGCGGCCTTACTTTGATTTACCAGTTCTTGAAGTGTGTCTGTAATGCATTTGTAACTGTTTAATCTGAAAGAAAATGGAAAAGGAACAATTACATTATTTAACTAGAAAGCAAATGATGGTAAGTGTGGTGACTCACGCCTGTAATGCCAGCCATAGGGAAGTCAAGGTAGGAGGACGGCTTGAGGCTGGGAGTTCAAGACTAGCCAGGGCAACAGAGCGGGACCACGTCTCTACAAAAAATACAAAAAAATTGGCTGGGCACAGTGCCTCACACCTGTAATCCCAGCACTCTGGGAGACGAAGGCAGGGGGACTGCCAGAGGTCACGAATTTGAGACCAGCCTGGCCAACCTGGTGAAACCCCGTATCTGACAAAAATACAAAAATTAGCCGGGCTTGGTGGTGCATGCCTGTAGTGCCAGCTATTCAGGTGAGTGAGGCACAAGAATTGCTTGAACCTGGGAGGCAGAGGTTGAGGTGAGCTGAGATCATGCCACTGCACTCCATCCTGGGTGACAGCAAGACCCTGTCTCAAAAAACAAACGAACAAAAAACAAAACAAAACGAAACAAAAAATTAACCAGGCGTGGCGGTGTGCACCTGTAATCCCAGCTACTTGGGAGGCAGAGGCAGGAGGATCGCTTGAGCCTAGGAATTCAAGGCTGCAAGTGAGCTATTATCATGCCACTGCACTCCAGCTCAGGCAACAGAATGAGGCCCTGTCTCAAAAACAAAAAACAAAACCCCCCAAAAACAAAACAAAACAAATAACAAAAAAGAAAGCCATTGATTTACCTTACCTAAGTATATACAAGGATTTCAAGACTATTTGGCAGAATAGATGTACATATTTGGCATTTAAAATAATACAAACCATATACTTTTTCAATAAGTTTGAGAAGTGTTTGGTTAAACATTAAAAGGGTAAAGTCATTAAATATAGTAATAAAAAAATATGTTTTCGCCAGATGTGGTGGCTGACACCTCTAATCTCAGCACTTTGGGAGGCTGAGAAGAAAGGATTGCTTGAGCCCAGGAGTTAAAGACCAGCCTGGGCAATATAGTGAGGCCCTGTCTCTACAGAAATTAAAGAGAAAAAAAAAATTAGCCGAGTGTGGTGACATGTGCCTGTAGTCCCAGCTACTCAGGAGGCTGAGGTAGGAGGATCACTGGATCACTTGAGCCCAAAAGGTCAAGAGTACAGTGAGCTATGATGGTGCCACTGACTCCAGCCCAGGAGACAGAGTGAAGCTTTGTCTCAAAAACAAAAACAAAAACAAAACAAAACACCCTCCATATATATATGTTATAGAAAGGTTATATATTTCTTCTTTGTTCCGAGACGGAGCCCTGCTCTGACGCCCAGGCTGGAGTTCTGTGGTGCAATCTCAGCTCACTGCAGCCTCTGCCTCCCGGGTTAAAGCAATTCTCCTGCCTCAGCCTCCCAAGTTGCTGGGATTACGGGTGTGCACCACCACGCCTGGCTAATTTTTGTATTTTAGTAGAGACAGGGTTTCACTATGATGGCCAGGCTGGTCTCGAACTCCTGACCTCATGATCTGCCCACCTCAGCCTCCCAAAGTGCTGGGATTACAGGCGTGAGCCACTGTGCCTGGCCTATATTTCTTTTAAGGACACACATTTCCTTTTTAACAGTCTCAACAAATTTGGGAATACTTAAAAATTATCCTTTAAAATGAAATCCTACTGGACATGGTGGCTCATGCCTGTAATCCCAGCACTTTGGGTGGTCGACCTTTACACAAAGAGGCCAGACACGGTGGCTGATGGCTATAATCCTAGCACTTTGCAAGACTGAGGTGGGTGGATCACTTGAGGTTAGGAATTCAAGACCAGCCTGGCCAAAATGGTGAAACCCTGTCTCTACTAAAAATACAAAAATTAGCCAGGCGTGGTGGTGTGCACCTGTAATCCCAGCTACATGGGAGGCTGAGGCACGAGAATAGCTTGAACCTGGGAGGCAGAGATTGCAGTGAGCCAAGATCACACGACTGCACTCCAGCCCAGGTGACAGAGCAAGACTCTGTCTCAAAAAAAAAAAAAAAACATAAAACAAAAAACAAAAAACATTATGCAAAGAAAAGTCTGTATCCATAAAGATGACAATCTGCTAACGTAATGGAATGCACCTTTCTTGGAAGGCCTGAAGTCCAACTATGTCTTCTTCTGGTTCTCCATGTTTATAGAAATGAAGCCCAAGACCTTGAGGATCTTTTTTCTCTGCAGCCGTAAGAGAAAGTTCCACCACACCCTCATAAAATCTCACTGATGGGAAAGAAAAGAATGAAGACCTATGACTTACTACTAAGTTGGATACATTTTTCCTTAGCTGGCACATGAAAATAATGATCAAGGTTATGTCTCTACTGTACAATAGTCACCCTGCTAACATAAAATATTTCTGATAGGTCTTCAGAAGGAAAAGGTCTTAATATGCCTAAAAGGCAACTGTTAAATATATTTCTTCATTGGGGGCCAGGTGTGGTGGCTCACGCCTGTAATCCCAGCACTTTGGGAGGCTGAGAGGGGGCAGATCACAAGGTCAGGGGTTCGAGACCAGCCTGACCAACATGGTGAAACCCCACCTCTACTAAAAATACAAAAATTAGCTGGGCCTGGTGGCATGCGCCTGTAATCCCAGCTACTCAAAAGGCTGAGGCAGGAGAATCACTTGAACTAGCGAGGCAGAGGTTGTAGTGAGCTGAGATTGCACCATTGCACTCCAGCCTGGGTGACAGAACAAGACTCTGTCTCACAAAAAAAAAAAGAAAAAGGAAAAAAAAAAATATATATATATATATATTTCTTCATTGGAAAAAAAAGATCCTATTTCAAATAACAAAAAGGAAAGTTTTAGTTCCCTACTGGGGGGAAAAAAATACCTTGGGATTCAAAATAATACCTGTGCAAATAGTTATGGCCTTTACATTATGTTAGATTTGATTTAAAGTAATTTTTTAAAAAGTAAGCAGATTATACCTTAAAACTCAATAAAAAATTTTAAATATCTGAAAAATAAATGTAATCCAGAAAGCAATGTAAAACATACAGTAATTGAACTGGACAAGAACTGAAACTCTAATGCTAAAAAGTTATACATTTCGGCTGGGCGCAGTGGCTCATGTCTGTAATCCTAGCACTTTGAGAGGCTGAGATGGGTGGATCACCTGAGGTCAGGAGATCGAGACCACCCTGGCTAACATGGTAAAACCCCACCTCTACTAAAAATACAAAAATTAGCTGGGCAATGGCCGGGCGCGGTGGCTCACACCTGTAATCCCAGCGCTTTGGGAGGCTGAGGTGGGTGGATCATGAGGTCAGGAGATTGAGACCATCCTGGCTAACATGGTGAAACCCATCTCTACTAAAAATACAAAAAAATTAGCCGGGCATGGTGGCAGGCGCCTGTAGTCCCAGCTACTTGGGAGGCTGAGGCAGAATGGCGTGAACCTGGGAGGCAGAGCTTGCAGTGAGCTGAGATCGCACCACTGCACTTCAGCCTGGGTGACAGAGCAAGACTCTGTCTCAAAATAAAAAAAATAAAAAAATAAAAAAATAAAAAATTAGCTGGGCGTGGTGGCGTGCGCCTGTAATACCAGCTACCCGGGAGGCTGAGGCAGGAGAATTGCTGGAACCTGGGAGGCAGAGGATGCAGTGAGCTGAGATCGTGCCACTGCACTCCAGCCTGGCTGACAGAGCGAGACTCTCAAAAAAAAAAAAAAAAAAAAAAAAAAGTACATTTCAAAAAATAGAAAGAACATTACAGCTTCTGCAGGTCAGTGTAGTCATCAAATATTGCAACACAATGATACCACATTCCTACGTCCTTTCACTCGGCCTCTGATGCTGAAAGAAGATTTGCATCTGGAAAGTGGCTTTTCATCATTAGCTTGCTTCATTCATACACTATTGTTTGTCTTTTGAGTTGAGTAAAAGATACAAGAAACATTTTATTTCTCACCTTGTCTATACTGAGCACAAACATTGGAAAGGTCCACTTGATTGCTAATTTTTTGATATTCCTTTAATGATTCCCTTAACATTCTTTCTTTTTCAGTCTTATTTTGAACTTGTCGGGAACGCTGGAGAAGCTCATTTGCCTAGAAGAGGAGATAACAAGAACTTAAAAATATATAAAATCAAGCAGACAGATGATGCTGTCAACTAAGTTTTAGTCTATGTCTAAATTTATATATGGTTATTACCATTAAAATGAAAACAACTCTACAAACTTACTTCTTAATTTTAGGCAGAAAAGTTTTTGACCAAAGATTCCTAGCTATTCTTAATTCCTCTCCCAAATATGTTAAGCAAGAGAACTTTTGTCTGGTAATTCTCTTGCCTAGTCAATACATTATTGGGCAGCAGGCAGTCCATGTGACACTGATTTATTTATTTTTTCCACCTGTAGGAAAGGATCAATAAAAATGCCCCCATTAACTCTAATTCACTAAAAGATTTACTTGAAGTTTTAGTACTTTTCCTTAAGCTAAGGAGATAAATTATCCCCTAAATTTCCTTAATTTCTAAATTTAGTGATTTTTCTTAATTTCTCACCTTTGGTTTTTTAATATGGCCTAGAAACACTATCAAAGATTCTTTATGGGCCAGGCGCAGAGGCTCATGTCTATAATCCCAACACTTTGCAAGGCTGAGGCAGGCGGAGGTCAGGAGTTCAAAACCAGCCTAGACAACATGGTGAAATCCTGTCTCTACCAAAAATATAAAAAATTAGCCAGGTGTGATGGTGCACACCTGTAATCCCAGCTATTTGGGAGGCCGAGGCAGGAGAATCACTTGAACCTGGGAGGTGGAGGTTGCAGTGAGCTGAGATCGTACTCAGTCTTAAAAAAAAAGAGAGAATATTCTTTATGAAAAACTTAAAGGAGGGCTGGGCATGGTGGCTCACACTTATAATCCCAGCACTATGGGAGGCTGAGGCAGGAGGATCACTTGAAGCCAAGAGTTCAAGACCAGCCTGTGCAACAAATCAGAACTTGTCTCTATAAAAAACAAAAAAATTGGCTGGGTGTAGTGGTGCACACCCGTAGCCCCTAGCTACATGAGAGGCCTGCTTGAGTCTAGGACTTAGAAGCTGCTGTGAGCTATGATCACAGCACTGCACTACAGCCTAAGCAACAGAGTGAAACCCTGTGTCAAATAAATAAATAAAAATATTTTTAAAAAGAAAAGCTAAGCTTAAAAGAGTATACACTGGTTTTAAGAAGCCACATATTCCAACCCCTTTCTTAGATGAGGATTCTGAGGCTAGGAGAGGTTAAGAGATCTAACTGACTGAGGTCCTATATTAAGTGAAACAAGATGGTTCATCATACATGATACCTCTTATAACAAACAATGAAATAGGTAATAAAGTATCATACCTTAGAACAAATTGCATCATCAGTGCTATATAGAAGTGGGCAGATATCCTGTAAATGTAAACTAATGCCATCAACAGCGGCATTATCTCTGATGTAGCAGTTGATAAGAGAAGCAATTAATGCCCCTGTGAGTTCTTTGTCCCTGATTACAAGATCTTTAAAGGTGGTGATCTTCAGCTGCTCTTGAAGTTCCTAGGAGCATAAAACTTTTCTATCACAATTATAGAAATACCATATTTCTAAACATAATGAAATTATTTTAATAAATTAAAATAACCTAAATATTAATAGACTCTATAATTGAAAAGCGAAAATATACTAATTAGTAGAAACAAATTTTTGCGAACTTACATAAAATCATAGAGAGTTGGAAAAGAACCTACAGTAGATCTAGTCCAAAACTCTCACTTTCCAAATGAGAAAAGTAAAGCTTAAGTAGAGCCAAAACTAGAGTCAGATCTCCTGGCTTTGGTTATAAAATGGAAAAAACAATCACTTGGCTATATTTGAAAATCTTGGGCTTACATATTACTCCTTCCTAAACACTGTTAGAATTCCATTATTCTAGGCCTTATAATAATATTGGAGTTTAATCTGTATTGTGAACAAATCTGCTTGTCCAAATGAAGCTCTAAAGTATTGATTTATACTATAGTAAAAGATTCTGTTAGTGATGTGACTGCTATCTCTTTTTTCTAAATTCAAGGAAATACCCAAACTGTGTTAAAATTCTTGAACAAATCTTTAATTTGCATTCATTGAGCATGCCATTGGTGATGTAAGGAAGAGAGCTTTGAAGATGGATCACAAAAACATACCCAGGATAAAAACCTACCTACAATATATTTATCACTCTATAAAACTCAAAATTATTATTCTACTTGGTATGAAAAAGATAAGTTTCATAATTAAATATATTAGCTTGAATTTTTAAAAATAAAAAACAGTATGTATTTAAAAGAAACAAAACCACCAACAAAAGCCACACTATTCATTGGACACTAGTGGAAAGAATGAGGAGACTGCCTTCCAACGTTGAAAAATGGTATACGAGAGTCAAAAAGTAAGTGTTTCAGAGTAATGAAATATCCATACAGGACAAGGAAAAAGAATTTTTTTTTTTTTTTTTACAGAATTGCAGCTAGTAACTGGGGAAGGAATCACAGATTTAAAATATTATCCTTTTGGCCGGGCATGGTGGCTCATGCCTGTAATCCCAGCACTTTGGGAGGCCAAGGCAGGTAGATCACCTGACGTCAGGAGTTCAACACCAGCCTGGCCAACATGGCGAAACCCGGTCTCTTACTAAAACTACAAAAATCAGCCAGGCGTTGTGGCACATGCCTGTAGTCCCAGCTACTCGGGAAGCTGAGGCAGGAGAACTGCTTGTACCCGGGAGGTGGAGGTTACAGTGATCTCAGATTGCTCCACAGCACTCCAGCCTGGGTGACAGAATGAGACACTGTCTCAAAAAAAATAAAAAACAAACAAACAAATAAATAAATATTACCCTTTTGTAATCCTAAATGAAATAATAAATTCCAGCAATGATTATCAATGGATGATTAAAATCTGATGGAGAATTCCACAATGGCAGTATTAGGCTTACTACTTGAATCCAGCAATTTATCTTAGTATAACTAAAAGAAGGACAACGAAACCTTTTGTATCTTCTAACAGTCTGATGAATAAACCACTACCTATGAAGTATTCTATTCTTCCTCAAAAAAGGACCTGAACTGAATCAAGCCTATATAATAAACTTTCATTTTATAGAAAATGCAGGAGATAGAGGAAGAAGCTCGCTACAAAGAGGATTAAAAAAAAAAAAGCCTTAGAATGTCCTTAGAATGCTGGACATTCTACTGGATGGATGACTGGATTTCTACAAGGCAACAGCAAGGAAAAGAAAAAGAAGGAAAGACTGCTTTAGACTGAAACAGATGAAAGAGAAAAACAAATTCCATGAGCAAACCCCTTAAACTGTTTAGATCCTGATTTGAATGAACCAATCTGTAAAAAGACATTTTTAAGACAGATTTTGCTATCAAATATTGACAGTTAATATTGGTAACTATCCAGCCTAGGAGATACGGTGAAACCCCATCTCCACAAAAAAATACAAAAATTAGCTAGGCGTAGTGGTGCGTGCCTATAGTACCAGCTACTCGGGAGGCTAAAGTAGGAGAATCACTGGAGTCCAGAGAGGTCAAGGGTGCAGTGAGCCGTGATCATGCCACTGCACTCCAGCCTGGGTGACAGAGCGAGACACTGTCTCAAGAAAAACTGGTAACTGATCATGACATTGTTGTTGTTCAAGGAACTGTCTATTTTTTTTAGAAACACAGTATCTTGAAAATGCTGAATGAGTCAAATGTATATGGGAGTTACAGTTTTTGCTCTACTTTTGTATACGTTTAGAAATGCTCACAATTAAATAAAAGGTAGGAATAAATTTCCTCTATATATTCTATCTAACATTTAGATTAATGTTGATTATCCTTATCCTTAGAAAGGATTCAAATGTGAACATCAAAAGAAATATGAACCATTTATTTCCTACAGTGATAAATATCTTCCTTTAAAGTAGGAGCAGTTGCCGGGCATGGTGGGTCACGTCTGTAATCCTAGCATTTTGGGTGGCTGAGGCGGGTGGATTACCTGAGCTCAGGAGTTCGAGATCACCCTGGGCAACACGGTGAAACCCCGTCTCTACTAAAATACAAAAAATTAGCTGGGCGTGGTGGCATGCACCTGTAATCCCAGCTACTCAGGAGGCTGAGGCAGGAGAATTGCTAGAACCCGGGAGGTGGAGGTTGCAGCGAGCCGAGATTGCACAACTGCAGCCTGGGCGACAGAGTGAGACTCCATCTCTTAAAAAAAAAAAAAAGAAAACATAAAATGAAGTAGGAGTGGTGTATATGTGTGTGTGTGTGTGTGTGTGTGTGTGTGTGAGAGAGACAGAGAGAGACAGGGTCTCACTCTGTCACCCAGGCTGGGGTGCAGTGGCACCATCATGGCTAAGTGGCGCCTCAACCTCCCAGGCTCAAGTGCTCCTCCCACTTCAGCCTCCCAAGTAGCTGGGACTACAGGCATGTGCCACCACACTTGACTAATTTATTTTTTATTTTTAGTAGAGATGGGTCCTGACATCTTGCCCAGGATAGTCTTGAATTCCTAGGCTCAAGTGATCCTCCTGCCTCAGCCTACCAAAGTGTTGGGATCACAGGCGTGAGGCATGGTGCCCAGTCAAGAGTATTTAATTTAGGTTGTTGGGCCCTTTGAAATTATAAGCAAAAGTCTGTGTGTCCATGTCGATATGCATTTCTTTAAGGGTAGTGAGAGATAGCTTTTATCAGATTCTCAGAAGAACCTGTAGCTCAAATAAAGGGTAAAGTCCACTGTTTTAAAAAATATGTTTTGTAAAGTATGACTTCATTCACATACCCACAAGTAAAAACTTGCGGCTTTGAAAAAATAGGTCCCCCAAGTTGGTACGCTTTTTTTGTGCCATCTTCCCATAACATACTAACTTCATCATAACTTAAATGCTTCCCAAAATAATCCCCTCCAAAGCCAAAATACTCATCCAAAAAATCCAAACATAGTATTAATGGTATAATCATAAAAAAATAAAAAAAATTACCTTCTGAAGTTCTGCCACAATGATAGTGAATTGATGTTCACAAAGAAGTTTCCATAAAGCCAGAGCCTGATATGATTTTCGAACCAACTGCTGAATTGCCTGAAGTGAAATCTTTTCACTTAGTTGAGCCTCTAATGAGAAAACAAAATAAATTATTATAAAATAACATAGGTTAAGTTGCTTTATTTCAAATAAAAACTGTAGTTAAGGTTGAAATCCCTGTTGTTTTCTTCCTAGCCCCCATTACAGGCAACCATGATAATCAGTAGTATTTATGTTATTATCTTCTCCGTGTGTGTATATATATATGCTTCTGTGTTTGTGTAGGTACACATAAACCATGAAAATATTGCTGTGTGGCTGGGCGCGGTGGCTCACGCCTGTAATCCCAGCACTTTGGGAGGCCGAGGCAGGTGGATCATGAGGTCAGGAGATCGAGACCGTCCTGGCTAACACGGTAAAACTCGGTCTCTACTAAAAACATAAAAAATTAGCTGGTGGGGGGGATGGCGGGTGCCTGTAGTCCCAGCTACTTGGGAGGCTGAGGCAGGAGAATGGCGTGAACCCAGGAGGCGGAGCCTGGGCGACAGAGCAAGACTCCATCTCCAAAAAAATAAAAGAGAGACAAAAAATTTAAAAGATAGTAAAAAAGAATTTACAAAATGATGAATAGAAACCTAGGGTCCTCAGTAGGGAAGAAAGTAACTTGGGACAAAAGTAAATGGTTGAGTGTTAACTGAGAAAGTTCTACTGGCCAGGCGTGGTGGCTCACGCAAGTAATCCCAGCACTTTGGGAGGCCGAGTTGGGCGGATCACCTGAGGTCATGAGTTCAAGACCGGCCTGGCCAAAGTGGCAAAACCTCATCTCTACTGAAAACACAAAAACTAGATGGGTGTGGTGGCACACGCCTGTGATCCCAGCTACTTGAGAGGCTGAGGCAGGAGAATCGCTTGGACCTGGGAGGTAGAGGTTGCAGTAAGCCAAGATTGTGCCAATGCACTCCAGCCTCGGCGAAAAAGCGAGACTCCATCTCAAAACAAACAAACCAGAAAGTTCTATCACGGCCAGAAAAAGTAACTCTAACCCTAACAATGGAAGGCAAAAGAACTTAGAAAAAATTAAATGGCACAAAAAGTTCATGCAATAACTTATTATTGTTCTAACTTGTATCTGGAATAACTGAAGATTATGAGAACTTTTCAGTTGCCTTGCTCTTTCCTTACTTGTTACTACTTATAATTGATAAAAAGCACAATGAAATATTTGATTCATATTTTTAGCTCTATAAAAAGGCATATTACTAATCATTAGGGAAATGCAAATCAAAATCCCAATGAGATGCCATTCCATGTTCATTAGGATGGCTATATATAAAAGGACAGAAAAATGACAAATGTTGGCAAAGATGTGAAGAAATTGGAACCCTTGTGCATTGCTACTAGAAGTATAAAATGCTGTGGCTGGCCAGGCGCAGTGGCTCACGCCTGTAATCCTACCACTTTGGGAGGCCGAAGTGGGTGGATCACCTGAGGTCAGGAGTTCAAGACCAGCCTGGCCAACATGGTGAAACCCCAACTATACTAAAAATAAAAAAATTAGCTGGGTGTGGTGACACATGCCTGTAACCACAGCTACTCGGGAGGCTGAGGCAGAATTGCTTGAACCTGGGAGGTGGAGGCTGCAGTGAGCTGAGATCGCACCATTGCACTCCAGCCTGGGAGACAAGAGTGAAACTCCGTCTCAAAAAGAAATAAAGATAAACATAAACATAAAATGCAGTAGCTGCTATGAAACAGTATGGCAGTTCATCAAAAAAATTAGTAATAGAATTACCATATGATATAGCAATTCCACTTCTGGGTATATACCCAAAAGAACTGAAAGCAGAGGCTTTAATTTGTATTTGTTCACCCATGTTAATAGCAGCATTATTCACGATAGCCAAAAAACGGAAGTAACTCAGTGTCCATCAACAGATGAATGGATAAAGGAAATGTGGTATATGTGCACATATGCACATATACACAATAGAAATTACTCAGTCTTAAAAAGGAAGGAAATTCTGACACGTTACAACATGGATGAACCTCGAGGACAGTATGCTAAGTGACATAAGCCTGCCACAAAATGTAAAATTTGATTTCATCCTAATAGGGTACCCAGAGTTGTAAAATTCAAGAGACAGAAAGTAGAATGGTGGTTGCCAGGGACCTAGGATAGGGGAAAAAAATGGGGGGTTATTATTTCATGGGTACAGAGTGACTTTTGGTGTTTATTTTTTTTAAGACAGAGTCTTGCTCTTGTTGCCCAGGCTAGGGTGCAATGGCACAAATTCGGCTCACTGCAACCTCCGCCTGCTGGGTTCAAGTGATTCTCTTGCCTCGGCCTCCCGAGCAGCTGGGATTACAGGTGCCCGCCACCACGCCTGGCTAATTTTTGTATTTTTGGTAGAGATGGGGTTTCAACATGTTGGCCAGGCTGGTCTTGAACTCCTGACCTCAGGTGATCCACCTGCCATGGCCTCCCAAAGTGCTGGGATTACAGGTGAGAGCCACTGCGCCCAGCCCAGAGTGACATTTTTGGGGAAGATGACAAAAGTTCTGGAGATAGATGCTGGTAATGGGTACATAAAATGAATATACTGAATGCCACTGAACTGTACACTTAAAAACAGTAAAAACGGGCCAGGCGCAGTGGCTCTTGCCTGTAATCCCAGCACTTTGGGAGGCTGAGGTGGGCGGATCATGAGGTCAGGAGATTGAGATCATCCTGCTTAAACACGGTGAAACCCTGTCTCTACTAAAAATACAAAAAAAAAAAATTAGCCAGGTGTGGTGGCGGGCGCCTGTAGTCCCAGCTACTCAGAAGGCTGAGGCAGGAGAATGGAGTGAACCCGGGAGGTGGAGCTTGCAGTGAGCCGAGATCATGCCACTGCACTCCAGCCTGGGCGACAGAGTGAGACTCTGTCTCAAAAAAATAAATAAATAAATAAAATAAAGTAAAAATGGGGCTGGGCACGGTGGCTCACATCTGTAATCCCAGCACTTTGGGAGGCCGAGGCGGACGGGATCACCTGAGGTTGGAAGTTCGAGACCAGCCTGACCAACATAAAGAACCCCGTCTCTTCTGAAAATACAAAATTAGCCGGGCGTGGTGGCACATGCCTCTAATCCCAGCTACTCGGGAGGCTGAGGCAGAAGAATTTCTTGAACCCAGGAGGCAGAGGTTGCAGTGAGCCAAGATCACGCCATTGCACTCCAGCCTGGGAAACAAGAGTGAAACTCTGTCTCAGAAACATAAACAAATAAAAAGTAAAAATGGTAAATTTTATGGTATATATATATTTCACCACAATAAAAAAAACATAATGAAATAGGTGTGTATCATGTTTTCTGGTGGAGGAAGGAACAAAAATGTATATGCTAAAAGAGATAGGGAAATATACAATATCCATATTAATATCCATATTATCCTACTTTCCCAATCACACTTTTTTTTTTTTTTTTTGAGGCAGGTTCTCACTCTGTCACCCAGGCTGGAGTGCAGTGGCATGATCTCAGCTCACTGCAACCTCTGCCTCCCAGGAAGAGGTGATCCTCCCAACTCAGCCTTCCAAAGTGCTGGTATTACAGGTGTGAGCCACCACCCCGGACCCAATTACACTGATATTTTAATTACAAATATTTGTGTACAAAGTACATCTTACTAAGAAAGTCCATTGTTTTCTATTCAAGTAATAAAATTTTACTGAGGTCATGTACGCTTAACTGATGAGAAGCAATAATTTACCATGAAACTTCCTCTGCAGTTCCTGTTGCATTTGCTGGGGATTTCCGTTTTCAGGACGCATGAATCCTATCAGCCTCTGCTGCACTTTAGCAGTAGTACTGAAACAGAAATTGCAGAATGTGTGTGTTTATAACAGCTTTATTGAGATATAACACATACAGTACAATTCAAACATTTAATATGTTTACTTTTTTTAAATAATTCAGAAGGTTGGGCAACCAACACCAGAAGGGCTGATGGCCAGAAAAAATTTATGACACAGACTAAACAGATGCTACTTAAAATGACTGAGATTAAATCAATTAAATGACTGAGAACATCAGCTATAAATTTTCCTAACCTGTAGAAAAAAAAAGATCAAGTAAAAAGAGGGGGTAAAGGAGAGAAAGGAAGGAAGGAAATTACGGAAGAGAAGAAACAAGCTAGATACAAAAGAGTTAATATGATTCTCCAAAGAGAATGGGACAGAAGAAACATAGATTGAGTATCCCTAATAAAAAAAAAAACTAACATCTGAAATGTCCCCAAATCTGAAACGTTTTGCACATCAGCATGATGCTCAAAGGAAATGCGCACTGGAGCAATTTCGATTTCAAATTTTCGGAATGGGGTGCTCAACCTAAGTATAATGCAAATATTTAAAAATCAAAAAAAACGTGAAAGCCAAAACACTTCTGGTTCCAAACAGTTCGGATAAGGGATATTCAATGTGTATCACAATACATAAAAAACGAGAGAAGAAAACTGATCAAAGCCAAGACGTTCATTCTTAAGGCTCACTGAGAGCTGTAAAGAAGATATACCTAAAGACATCATGTGACTTTTGAATTTCGGTAACAAAAAGAAAAAAACACAAAAAAATTTCAAAGTAAACACTAAGTCACTTACAAAGGAAGGAGAATCATACAGATAATGTACTTTTTCATCTACAACATTAAACTTTGGGAAGAAAATGGTGCAAAATGTATACGAAGATCTGAGAAATGGTCTATGATCTTAAAATCCCACATTCATTGGGCAATAAAAACGAACAAAGCATGAATACATCCTACCACATAAATCTCAAACATGAGCCCCCAAAACACACTAAGTGAAAGAAGCCAGACTCAAAGACCACACAGTATGATTCTGTTTATATGACATGTCAAGAATAGGCACATCTACAGAGATAGAGCAGATCAGTAAGTGTCTGGGGCTAAGAAGTGGGAATGGAAAGTGACTGCTAATGGACATGAGGTATGTCTCCTAGATAATGGAAGTGTGCTAAAACTGGACTGTGGTGATGGTTGCACAATTCTATGAATTTACTAAAAGTCACTGAACTGAACATTCAAAATGAGTAAATTTAGTGGTATGTAAAGTAGATCTCAAAAATCTGTTTAAAAAATTTCCATAGTCAATGAAACTAATGTTATAGGAATCCAAGGGTTGGTCGAAATTAGGACATGTATTAACTCTATTGTTAAAGGTAAGGGGGAAAATGATATGATCATCTCTGTAAAATGCAGTAAATACATTTGACAAACTCACTTATTGAATATGGTAAGCATATTCAATATGTTAAATATATGAATATGTTAAACATATTCAATAAGGGCTGAGTGCGGATGGCTCATGCCTAAAATCCCAGCATTTTTTGAGGCCAAGACAGGAGGATCACCTAAGCCCAGGAGTGCAAGATCAACGTGGGCAAAACAGTGAGAACTTGTCTCTACAAAATGTGAAATAAAAAAATTAGCTGAGCATGGTAGCATGTGCCTGTAGTCCCAACTACTCAGGAGGCTGAGGTGGGAGGATCACTTGAAGCTGGGAGGTCAAAGTTGCGGTGAGCCGTGATCATGCCACTGCACTCCGGCCTGGGCAACAGAGTGAGACCAGTCTCAAAAAAGAAAACCAAAAAACACCTCAAGTAAGGGTGGATGCAGTGGGTCATGCCTGTAATCCCAGCACTTTGGGAAGCTAAGGAGGGAGCATAACTTGAGGCCAAGAGTTTTAGACCAGCCTGGGCAACACAGTGAGACCCTATCTCTGAGAAAAATAAGAAAAAATCAGCCAGGTGTGGCAGCACATGCCTGTAGCCCCAGCTACTCAGGCGGCTGAGTCTGAGATTGCAGGGAATAATGATCACATCACTGCACTCCAGCCTCAATGACAGAGCAAGATTGCCTAAAAAAGAAAAAAAAAGAGAAAAGACAGACAGAGATAAGTGGCAGGGCGCAGCGGCTCATGCCTGTAATCCCAGCACTTTGGGAGGCTGAGGCGGGTGGATAACCTGAGGTTGGGAGATTGAGACCAGCCTGACCAACAAGGAGAAACCCCGTCTCTACTAAAAATACAAAATTAGCTGGGCGTGGTGGCTCATGCCTGTAATCCCAGCTACTCAGGAGGCTGAGGCAGGAGCATCGCTTGAACCCGGGAGGCGGAGGTTGCGGTGAGCCGAGGATCATGCCATCGCACTCCAGCCTAGGTAATAAGAGTGAAACTCTGTCTCAATTAAAAAGAAAAAGAGAGAGAGAGAGATTACCTTGTGCAGAGAGGAGAAAGCAAGTAGAGCTAGACAAGAAAAGATGGAAAAGATGAAACTATCTCTGTTTGCAGATGACAGAACTGCTTCTGTGACAATTCAAGAAACATCAATGAAAAAAACATCCTGCTAAAAACTGTAAAGATAAATGAGTAATTAAGAGAAATTAGAAGTAGATTAGAAAATTTACATATAATTGCAGATGTAATGGTAAAATTCAATTAACAAAAGACCATAATGTTAGAAAAAAAACCAAACAAACTAAAAACATCTGACAAGTAAAATTCCAGATAATTTGGAGGGAGAGGGATGGCAGTAGAAGGCAAGGAAACAAAATGTAATAGAGTTTGTTAAATTATTAATGCTGACTGAGATGCATGTCTGTCAGAATTTAAGACTAACAGAGGAAGAAAAATCATATGTAGAACTTCTTAATTGGTGTTTAAGGTAGAGAGAGGCCTGATCAATCCAATACAATAAGGAAATGGGAAAGGGAAGAAAATAAACAAAAAGCACAAATTCAGGATGGGGAGAAAAAAATCAAACATTTAACTAGACCAGATGCAGTGGCTCACTCCTGTAATCCCAGAACTTTGGGAGGCTGAAGGTGGATTATCTGAGGTCAAGAGTTCAAGATCAGCCTTGCCAACATGGCAAAACCCTGTCTCTGCTACAAATAGAAAAATTAGCCAGGCATGGTGGTGTGGGGCTGTAGTCTCAGCTACTTGGAAGGGTGAGGCAGGAGAATCGCTTGAGCCAGGGAGTTGGAGGTTGCAGTGAGCTGAGATTGCACCACTGCATTGCAGCCTGGGCGACAAAGCAAGACTCTGTCTCCAAAAAAACCAAACCAAAACAATAAACCACATTTAACTAATTCCAATAAAATGGGAAGGAGGTAAATTCTCCTGCTTAAAAGATAAAGACAGGCCAGGCGCGGTGGCTCACCCCTGTAATCCCAGCACTTTGGGAGGCTGAGGCGGGCGGAGCACGAAGTCAAGAGATCGAGACCATCCTGGGCAACATGGTGAAACCCCATCTCTACTAAAAATACAAAAATTAGCCAGGCTTGGTGGCACATGCATGTAATCCCAGCTACTCGGGAGGCTGAGGCAGAAGAACTGCTTGAGCCCAGGAGGCAGAGGTTGCAGTGAGCTGAGATTGCACCACTGCACTCCAGCCTGGGCAACAGAGCAAGACTCTGCCTCGGCAGGGGCAGGGGAATATATATATATATGTATACACACACACACACAAAGTATGAATAATGTTATATAAAAGTGTACTTACTTAGACTCTGTTTTTGCTTTTAAAGAAGTGTATATTTATGTATGCTTTATTATTTATTTATGATATTTTTTTTTGAGACAGAGTTTCACTCTTGTTGCCCAGGCTGGAGTGCAATGGCACGATCTGGGCTCACCGCAACCTCCGCCTCCCAGGTTTAAGTGATTCGCCTGCCTCAGCCTAGCTAGTAGCTGGGATTACAGGCATGTGCCACCACACCTGGCTAGTTTTGTATTTTTAGTAGAGACGGGTTTTTCCATGTTGGTCAGGCTGGTCTTGAAATCCCGACCTCAGGTGATCCGCCTGCCTCAGCCTCCCAAAGTACTGGGATTACAGGCATCAGCCATCACGCCCGGCCTATTTATGTGTTTTTGTAGTGACAAGGTCTCCTATATTGCCCAGGCTGGTCTCGAACTCCTGGCTTCAAGCAATCCTCCTGCCTTGGCTTTCCAAAGTGTTGGGATTATAGGTGTGAGCCACTCTGCCTGGCCTACATATGCTTTAAAAAGATTATACTGTAATACCTCGTTAACAATTCTAAGGAGTGATGTGACTCCCCCAATGCCATGTGATTATTATTTTTCAACAAAAAGTCCGTATTATATTAGAGGCTTAAAAATATCCATTCTTGGCTGGGCGCGGTGGCTCACGCCTGTAATCTCAGCACTTTGGGAGGCCGAGGCGGGCGGATCACGAGGTCAGGAGATCGAGACCATCCTGGCTAACACGGTGAAACCCAGTCTCTACTAAAAATACAAAGAATTAGCTGGGTGTGGTGGCAAGCGCCTGTAGTCCCAGCTACTCGGGAGGCTGAGGCAGGAGAATGGCATGAACCCGGGAGGCGGAGGTTGCAGTGAGCTGAGACCGCACCACTGCACTCCAGGCTGGGCGACAGAGCGAGACTCTGTCTCAAAAAAAAAAAAAAAATCCATTATTGCTGGGCATGGTGGATCACCTGAAGGTGGTCAGGAGTTTGAGACCAGCCTGGCCAACATAGTGAAACTCCATTTCTACTACAAATAGAAAAATTAGCTGGGCATGGTGGCAGGCGCCTGTAACCCCAGCTACTCAGGAGGCTGAGGCAGGAGAATCGCTTGAACCTAGGAGGTGGAGGTTGCAGTGAGCCGAGATTGCACCATTGCACTCCAGCCTGGGCGACAAGAGCGAAACTCCGTCTCAAAAAAAAAACCCAAATGTCCACTCTTGGTCGGGCATGGTGGCTCACGCCTGTAATCCCAGAACTTTGGGAGGCTGAGGCCAGTGGATGATGAGGTCAGGAGTTCAAGACCAGCCTGGTCAACATGGTGAAACCCCGTCTCCGCTGAAAATACAAAGAAGAATTAGCTGGGCATGGTGGTGCACATCTGTAATCTAAGCTACTTGGGAGGCTGAGGCAGGAGAATTGCTTGAACCTGGGAGGCGGAGGTTGCTGTGAGCCAAGTTGGAGCCTTCGTACTCCAGCACGGGTGACAGAGCAAGAGTCCGTCTAAACACATGTCCACACAAAAACTTGTACAGGAATGCTCATATCAGCATTCTTATTAGCCAAAAAGCTGAAACAACCCAAATATCTATCAACTGATAAACTGAGAAATGAGACAAGTAGTAATACATGCTACAACAATCAAACCTTGAAAACATGCTTGGGGAAAGAAACAGACACCAAAGGTTATCTGTTGCATACTTCCATTTATATAAATATTTCTATAAAGATTCCATGTATATAAATATGTCTATAAATATTCCATTCATATAAATATTTCTATATTCCATTTATATAACTATATTTCTATAAATATTCCATTTATATAACTATATTTCTATAAACATTCCATTTACATATATTCATATAATATATTTATATATTGTGTATCTTATGTAATATATAAAATATAATATTTATATAAATAGTCAGAAAAGGCAGATCTGTGGAGACAGAAAGTAGATTAGTGGTTGCCAGGGACTGGGGGAAGGTCCATGAATAATAATGGCTGGTCATGGGCACAAGAGTTTCTTATTGCTGTGATGAAAATGTTCTAAAATTAGATAGTGGTGATGGTTGCATAACCTTGTAGATACACTAAAAAATACTAAACTGCACACTTTAAAAGGACCAACTTTGTAGTATGTAAATCATCTCAACAAAAAATACAACGAAAAGAAAAAGATGAATTAATAAACCCTATTTATTCTTACTTTGGATTTCCTAATGGTCCTCCTGCAAACTGGGAGTTTCTGTCTAGAAATTCCTGCAAACCCTTTAGTTCTTGTAGCACTGACTCTAGCAGTTGGCAGGGAACACTACTTTCAATCTGTAAAAATGAAAGATTTTTCAAAAGTTTAAAAACACACCCTCTGTATAGCTATAATATAAACAATTTTAATTTTGAAATGAGTATCTCTATAGTTATTTCTTGTATCAATTCACACCTGTTGATCCGAATAAAGTATACCTACACACTTCCTCTCCTGCCAGTAACACTGATGCATAACTAACATACAATAAAATACAAATACTAAGAAAACATCTTGATTACTTTTATATATTTTTGTATAGTCATCACCCAGACCACAATACAGAAATTTCCAACACCAAAGAAAGTTTCCTATGTTCCTTTGTAGCCATTAGTCATCCCACCTCTGAGGTAACTACTTTTCTTACTCCTATCAACATAGATTAATTTTACAAGTTTTTAGACTTCCATATATATATATGGAATCATATACTGTGTTAGGCAAATACACTCTTATTCTTAGAAACTTGAACTTTTTTTTTTTTGAGAGACAGCGTCTTGTTGTTGCCTGGGAGTGTAGTGGCGCGGATCATATCTTACTGCAGCCTTGACTTCCTAAGTTCAAGTGACCCTCCTTCCCAATTAGCTGGAAGTACCAGCACATGCCACCACATATCTGACTAATTTTAATCTTATTTTATTTTATAGAAAAGGCATCTGGCCGCGTTGCCCTGGCTGGTCCTGAACTCCTGGGCTCAAGCCTTCCAAAGCATTGTGGTTACAGGCACGGGCCACTGTGCCCAACTCATGAACTTTAAGAGCCTCACAATTAAAAATATATTTGGACTGGGCGTGGTGGCTCACGCCTGTATTCTCAGTGGAGGCCGAGGTGGGCGGATCATTTGAGGTCAGGAGTTCGAGACCAGCCTGGCTAACATAGTAAAACACTGTTTCTACTAAAAATACAAAAAATCAGCTGGGCATGGTGGCGCGCACCTGTAATCCCAGCTACTCGTGAGGCTGTGGCAGAAGAATCGCTTGAACCCAGGAGGCAGGGGTTACGATGGGCCGAGATAATGCCATTGCACACCAGCTTGGGCAACAAGAGTGAAACTGTGCCACTGCACTCCAGCTTGGGCAACAAGAGCAAAAAGCAGTCTGTAAAGTATGCCAATTCATAGAAATTAGTGCTGGGTCCATGGAGTTTTCGTTCATATATATGTCAAAGTATTACATAGTAAAATTTGAGCAATATTAAGTTGCTTGAGTTATCCCTCATGACAACCTTATGAGGGAGATATACTACGCCCCTTCTTTTACCATGAGGTATCAGGCTCTGAAATGTTAAGTAATTTACTCATATTCAGACAGTTAATCAATGTTAGAGATGAGATTTAAACCTGAAGGTAAGCAGTTTGTTGTCCAAGAATGCAAACATATACATAAAAGAATAACCCGCCAGGCGCTGAGGCCCCCTGCCTGTAATCTTAGCACTTTGGGAAGCCAAGGCAGGTGGTTTGCTTGAGTCTAGGAGTTTGAGACTGGCCTGGGCAACATGGTGAAACCCTATCTCTACAAAAACTACAAAAATTAGCCAGGCATGGTGGCGCACACCTGTAATCCCAGGTACTCAGGAGGCTGAGGTGGGAGGATCGCTTGACCCCAGAGGGCAGAGGTTGCAGTAAGCTGAGACTGGGCCACTGCACTCCAGCCTGGGAGACAGAGCAGGACTCTGTCTCAAAAAAAAAAAAAAAAAAAAAAATAACCTTTGCCATCTTATTTGTGTAATATCAGGAAATGTGAAACAATCTAACCATTTATACCATCAACTGGCTACACAAAAATAACAAAATAATATTATACACACTTACTGCAGTGATCTCTCTGTTGCCACTCTTGAATATTCTCTCCACAACTAAGCTTGCATCCCAAATGTTTCTGGAAAAAAAAAAGTTTTAATGATTGTGCTGTAAATGAATAAAAACAATTACAATAAATTTCTTTCTCTAGGAACTTAATGGCTTTATTCAGTTTTTAAAACTTGCAGTGGTTTCATTTAACATTTTACTAAGCTATCTAGAAGAGTGGAATACTAGAAAATTTTCATACCTGATGTACCTAAGTTTTTCAGATAATGAAATATTACTGAAGAAAAATCAAAAGGCTCTGTATAATAAATTGTAAACAGGAAATTTATAAAGGGGCTCTGTACTGTTTCATACTTTTAAGCAAATGAGATGAATGAAATCATACATCTCAAATCTAAGAGAAATATATATTAGGCATGATAGCTAACTAAGATAACATGATAGACTGATTGCAAAAACAACCACATTTCTTTATCCCTCCCTATATCTATCCCCTCTGCAGTATGATTTGATGTCTCTCCCCTAAAAGGTGGTCTATTTCCCACCTTTTAAATCTGAGTTGGCCCTGTGACTTCCCTCTGGCCAAGTGAATAAGGCGGAAAAGTGCATGGTAAGCCAGTTCTGAGTTTAGAATAAAGGTTTTGCAAGTGTCTACTCTTTCTCAAGGAACTCTGCCACCACCAACTAAATAATCTTTGGCTGGCCTGCTGGGGGATGAGAAACCATGTAGAGAACAACCAAGCTGTTTCATCTTGGGCCATTCTAGACCAGCTGGAAAATATAACCTTGAACATGTGAGAGTCTAGCCAAGATAAGCATAGCTCTCTTTAACTTCACAACTGATTGCCTATTCTTGAGTTAGCCCAGCAAGACAAGAACTGCCCTGTTGAACTGTAGACACATGTCACTGAGTTATGGGGAAGTTTGTAACACTGTACATTCATATGTAAGTAGATATACAGTTGACCTTTGAACAATATGGGCTTGAATTGTGTGGGTCCACTTATACACAGATTTTTTTCCCACCTATGCTACCCCAGCACATCAAAACCAACCCTTCCTCTTCCTACTCCTCAGCCTACTCAGCGTGAAGACAAGGATGAAGACTTTTATGATGATCCATTGCCACTTAATGAATAGTAAATATATTTTCTCTTCCTTATGATTTTCTTAATTTTTTTTCTCTAGCTTACTTTATGGTAAGAATATAGTGTATAACACATATAACACAAAATATCAGTGTTACGGCTGTTTTAGAATTTGTCTAGCAGGTTTTCTGGTTTTTACGAGACTCCCCCATACTCCTACACCATGCAAAAGTTAAAAAAAGAAAACACAAAAAACATACAAAACGTGTTAATTGATTACTTATCAGTGAGGCTTCTAGACAGTAGGCTATTAGTAATTAAGAAAGTCAAAAGTTGTACATGAATTTTTGACTACATGAAGGTTGAGGAATGGTGGTTGGCATCCCCTAACCCCTGTGTTAAGGAACAACTGTATTTTGATGCTACAAAAATAGATTATGAGAGAGTAAGAGAAATAAAACACAGCAATGAATATAGTTAGATAACAAAAACTGGAATAATAGAAAAGTTTTATTGATCAACAAGTGAGCTAAAACTAAAATTTAATAGGAATAAATGATGTCCCAAATTCAGAGTTAAAAATATTTAACTACTCAAGATGGGACAAGGTGAGCAATAATTCATTATTTCATGACAAACTTACCCCATGATCCGAGAAAAGTAAATGCAAATACCATTGTGTTTTCCAGAGTACACAATCTCTGGTCCAGTCACACAACTCATATTTGTGGCCTGAGTTGCTGGGTTTCCCAGAGCACACACTGGAGTTGACATGGCAGGAGGCTGTATACCTTGTACACACATAAGAAAAACAAATCTCTTAATCTTAATCTTAGAACCCATAAATCTCTTAATCTTAATCTTAGAACCCATAAATCTCTTAATCTTAGAACCCATAAAATTCAGAATTCTCATAACCCAAGTTTGTGTATCTAGACACAAAGGTATTTACAAAAACAATGAAATACATAGATATTTAACTTGGTTTTCCTTAATAAGAAGAGAGATTTAAATGTGGATGGGTACTCCCAGATAGACTTGCAAGTGTTCACAATGCAGAATGAAAAGGAAACAAACTTGCCAGTACTGCTTGTAATGCTGACAGTGAAATAGAACTGATTACACAGATTTTAGGGTTCAATTTAATCCTGGTAGCCAAATAATGGGCTTTCCAGGCTTATTATAAGAGGAGTTCCTCCTAAATAAAGGCATTCACATCCAAATGCCAAAACTTGCTTGGACAGCGCTTCTAAAATTATATTTATTTTCAAGGGAATAAGGCAAGTTCATCTTTTTCACACTAAGCATTAAGGTTAACTCATAATGTTAGCACTTCAAAATGAATCCAATCCAAAACAAAGAAAAGAGGTACCATGAGACGGTGTTCCCAAAAAGGATGGATTTGGATAGGGACTACCACTAGGAACAGGAGAACCTAAAAAGGGAAAGAAGAATATAAAGATTTAGAAAAGAACATCTCAATCTTTTGAATGTGATCAAAATTAGGTAAAGAAGGTATTTCCTTTTTCTTTTTTTGAGGCAGGGTCTCTTTCTGTGGCCCAGGCTGGAGTGCAGTGGCATGATCTCGGCTCACTGCAACCTCTGTCTCCCGGGTTCAAGCGATTCTCCCGTCTCAGCCTCCTGAGTAGCTGGGATTACAGGCTCACACCACCACAGGCCGGCTACTTTTTGTACTTTTAGTAGAGACATGGTTTCACCATATTGGTCAGGCTAGTCTCAAACTCCCAACCTCAGGTGATCTGCCCGCCTCGGCCTCCCAAAGTCCTGGGATTACAGGTGTGAGCCATTGTGCCTGGCCACAGAAGCTATTTCTAAGCATAAGGAGTTACATTGTCCACGATATATGCAAGAATTAGGGACTGATCTCCTAGTAAGTTTCTAACAACTCCCACCTTGGAAAACACTGATGTGCGAGTTAATTATTAAATCATTCATCTGTTTCCCTCTGAATATATACCAAATGAGTTATGTAAATATGATTGGTTACATCTTATTTTGCTTCCTTACATTAAGGATTCAATATTAATAGATCACTTTTAAGAATCAGAATCTATAGATGTATTCATCAATTATACAATAGCAGTAAATAAAACATAATGAAAAGGCTTATTGATAAAAATTGCTATAAAGGTTCTAAGATTCAAACGATTAGAAACAATTTCATTTCAATGTTCCATACTCACTAGAATAGACAGGAGACCCCAAGATGGGACCAACATTACTTGGAGGCGGAAGAGTGGTTGGAAATCTCATCTGTGCTTCACCACCATACCTATTTTTATGACAAGAGGTTGAGTTTATTCAGTAAAACAAACCATCCATCTTAAAAACTGGAATTGTTCCTTTTCCTGTTTAGCTTCCAAGTAAATGCTTTAAACATTAGAGACTTCAATGTATTGTGCTGACAGTAAAGTATATGCATAAGACTTATAATAAATATTTATTCAGTAAATGTGGACTTGAAACTGCTACCAGGAAGAATTATAAGGGACTCTGATAACTTCTAAGAAAAAGATATGCAATGCATAGAATTTACTTTGTGAGTAAATGGCATTGTAATTTTCATACTAGGTTATGGTTAGATAGTACTTCAAAAAACGTTTCTAACAAAATCACATTTCAAATTCTTAAATATTTTCTAAATAGAAATATCTCTTTGGTACCAAGTTTCCTTAAAGTAATTCAGAAGCCTTCAATACTAATGATACATATTAAGCAGAATTGGCATAGTGTTTGGGGAAGTAAAAAAGATAGATGAGACAGTAACTGAGGTAGAACAAAGTGTAGAAAGTAGACAAGAAGTTACAGAACAGAATCCAGAGTTAAAGTAATAATGCATAAACTATGCTAATTTACTTGCTTCTATTACCATTATAATCTCTCCAGATTTCACCCTTTTGCAAATGAATTTTGGTAATTTGCCTACATAGTCACTCAACTGTTTGGCAAGGCTTTATCACATTGATAAAATCATTTTAAAAAGTGGCCCAGTAAAAAAACAAATAAATAAACAAGAAAAACTTTCACATACCTAAAGAAAGCCCGAGTAGCCCAGGCAGATACTTCTCTATCACAGGCAGCAGTGGAGCAAGCAAGAATAAGGCAAGTTGCACAAGCCTGGTCTTCCTGTGTAAAAAGAGGAATATTGGCCTTATATTAAATACAAATTTTAAAATGATTTGTGTACTGCTAGATGCAGTATTAAAGTCTGTATCTAGCACAGAGCAGGCATTCAATAAATACTTGCTGACTGAATGAAATCAGTTAGTGTTAAAAAGACAAGTAAACACTACTGGTTTTAAGTTCATCATAAGCACTAGGATTACAGGATGTTCTCTTTTCCTTTTAACCTAGATTCTGACTTAGTTTCCGGCTTATGTCTCCAATTTTCTTCCTGTGGTCTTTCTGCTTTCTAGAAAATAACAATTAAGTGGTAACACTGAATACCTACCATGTGTCAGGTACTATTTTAAGAGTTTAGCATATATTAATCCTCATACCACATCCTATTATAATGTATAAGGAAACTGAAGCCCAGAGAAGTCAAGTAATTTACCTCAGTGGTGGAGCTGGGATTTTTAACACAGGTGCTTTGAATCCAGAGTCTGTATACTTAACTTTGAACTACTCCCAATTTTAACCGTATCAATTCCAGTTGTGGCTCTGAAATACTAAGATCTCTACACTGTTGCCTCAGGTTTCTTCCTCAGGTCATTAAGCCAAAACAAACAAACAAACAAACAAACAAACCAAAAACAACTTGTCCCTAAATGTCTTGTGCTTTTAATGAAAAGGCATTTATCATATAACCTGAACAAGAAACTCTTACTAGCAGACTTCAATAAGAATTTATCAACAACAGGCCAGGCATGGTGGCTCACGCCTGTAATCCCAGCACTTTGGCAGGCCGAGGCGGGTGGATCATGAGGTCAGGAGATCGAGACCATCCTGGCTAACATGATGAAACCCCATCTCTACTAAAAATACAAAAAATTAGCCAGGCGTGGTGGGGGGGTCCTGTAGTCCCAGCTACTTGGGAGGCTGAGGCAGGAGAATGGAATGAACCTGGGAGGTGGAGCTTAGAGTGAGCCGAGATCACGCCACTGCACTCTAGCCTGGGCGACAGAGCGAGACTCTGTCTCAAAAAAAAAAAAGAATTTATCAACAACAGAGAATAAAAATCTGAAAGCTCACTACAAGACTCATATTAATCCTGCTTTCAAATGTCAGTTCACATACAGTGACTTAGGCAAAGAAAGGAATATTGTTAAGATTATCTATTTATGGCTGGGCTTGGTGGCTCACGGCCTGTAATCCCAGCACTTTAGGAGGCCGAGGTGGGCGGATCACCTGAGGTCGGGAGTTCGAGACCAGCCTGACCAACATGGAGAAACTCTGTCTCTACTAAAAATACAAAATTAGTTGGGAGTGCTGGCACATGCCTGTAATCCCAGCTACTGGGGAGGCTGAGGCAGAACAATCATTTGAACCTGAGAGGCAGAGGTTGCAGTGAGCCAAGATTGCGCCATTGCACTCCTGCCTGGGCAACAAGAGCGAAACTCCATCTCAAAATATATATATATATTTATTACAGTATTCCAGTCCCAATTTACATAAACTATGACTCCCACTGTTTGTTTAAAATAGCATCACATTTTTTAAAAGTATATATAATTACCTGATGTAATTTAAAGAATCTTTCAATCTCTTCTCCATCTCCTCCCACATTACTCACAAGTAGATGCCTCAGTTGATCTACAGGTCTAAGTTTATGAAACATAAGGCTCCCCTAAGAAATTTGAAGAAAGAACATGAACAAGAGATTTACCAAGATTGGCTGATAGCAACTGACTCTACCTTATTTGATAAAATAAATGAAACAAACAAAAAAAACCATTCAACAATACAAAGTAGGCTGGGTATGGTGGCCCACATTTGTATTTCCAGCACATCACGGGGCTGAGGCAGGAGGAATGGCTGAGGTGATATAAAAAGTACAACTGGTCAAAAAGATCATCTACTTCTCTACTCAACCTCCAGTAGATCTATATATCTATAAAGAAAACTTAATGCAATTGCCCCGGCAAAGCTGCCCCTTAAACCAGAGAATTAAAGTTAGATTATTAATTAATCATGTTGCTACTATTTATATCAATTTAGGCAAAAAAAAAAAAAAAAAAAGCTAGAAACATAGTCATACCTTATACCAGAGTAAATTCCAAATAGATCAAAAGACTTAAAGGACAAAATAAAACTATCATAATATTACGTTGGTACAAAAGCAATTGAGGTTTCTGCCATTACAGCTTTTTTTTTTTTTTTTTTTTTTTTTTTAGACGGAGTCTCGTACTGTCTCCCAGGCTGGAGTGCAGTGGCGCAATCTCGGCTCACTGCAAGCTCCGCCTCCCGGGTTCATGCCATTCTCCTGTCTCAGCCTCCCGAGTAGCTGTGACTACAGGCGCCCACCACCATGCCCGGCTAAATTTTTTTATATTTTTAGTAAAGACGGGGTTTCACTGTGTTAGCCAGGATGGTGTTTTTGCCATTACAATCAATGGCAAAAACCTCAATTGTTTTTGCACCAATCAATAAACAAAAGCAACTAAGAGTGGATTCTTTTATAAACCTTAGTGAGTGGAAGCTTTTCAACTATGACATATTTCAAATGATGGCTGGGCAGATTGGCTCTCGCCTGTAATCTCAGCACTGTGGGAGGATGAGGTGGGTGGATAGCTTGAGCTCAAGAGTTTGAGACGAGCCTGGGCTTTAGTGAGATCCTGTCTCTACAGAAAATACAAAAATTAACTGGGTGTGGTGGCAAACGCCTGTATTCCCAGCTACTCAGGAGGCTGATGTGGGAGGATCCCTTGAGCCTGGGAGGCAGAGGTTGCCGTAAGCCAAGACTGTGCACCACACTCCAGCCTGGGTGACAGATTAAGACCTTGTCTAAAATAAAATAAAATAAATAAAATAAAATATCAACTGATAACTGATAATTTTGACTAATTATAAGCTTGTGTGCCTGGGAAAAATCTCAATAAACAAAGTCAAATAAGAAACCAGGAAGGCTGGGTGCAATGGCTCACACCTGTAATCCCAGAACTTTGGGAGGCCGAGGCAGGCGGACCACCTGAGATCAGGAGTTCAAGACCAGCCTGGCCAACATGGTGAAACCCCATCTCTACTAAAAATACAAAAATTAGCCAGGTGTGGTGGTGTGCGCCTGTAATCCCAGCTACTCAGGAGGCTGTGGCAGGAGAATTGCTTGATCTGGGGAGGCAGAGGTTGCAGTGAGCTGAGATCACACCACTGCACTCCAGCCTGGGTGATGAGCGAGACTCCGTCTCAAAAAAAAAAGAAAGAAAATTATTCAATTAAGCCACTACTTCAGAGAACTTGACAAAAATATTATACATCGCTTATTTTTGTCACTACCATAACAGAATACGTACACACCTGTGCTGAGAGGAGAACAAATTTCTTCGGAGGTAACATGTGCTGCTGTACAACAACTGGTGAATCAGTTATTGGAATATGATCCTTGTTTAAAGGTGTAATTATTTTATCTACTTTCAATTCATCTATCGCAGAAAGAGCCCAGGAATGACCATCAACACCAGCTGTCATCTATGTAAAAGAAATAAATGTTTTATACATCATATTGAAGTTACATAATGCAAAAGAAAAAACTACAGACTTAATAAAGAAGTAAATTTAATAAATAGTACATTAACATGAATATTTTTGAAAGTATTATGTAATTTTCTACTATCTTTTTTTTAAATCAGGTATTTTCTGGGTTTTTGTTTTTTGTTTTTTTTTTGAGACGAAGTTGTCTAGGCTGGAGTGTAGTGGAGTGATCTTGGCTCACTGTAACCTTTGCCTCCCGGGTTCAAGTGATTCTCCTGCCTCAGCCTCCCTAGTAGCTGGGATTACAGCCATATGTCACCACGCCCAGCTAATTTTTTATTTTTAGTGGGGACGGGGTTTCTCCATGTTGGTCAGGCTGGTCTTGAACTCTCGACCTCAGGTGATCCGCCCACCTCGGCCTCCCAAAGCGCTGGGATTACAGGCATGAGCCACCACACCTGGCCTCTGGGGTTTTTTTTTTTTGAGACAGCATCTTACTCTGTCACCTAAGCTGGAGTGCGCTGGCACGATCACAACTCACTGCAACCTCGACCTCCCTGGGTTCAGTTGATTCTCCCACCTCAACCTCCCAAGTAGCTGGGACTACAGGAGAATGCTACCACGGCCGCCTAATTTTTCTATGTTTTGTATGAACAGGGTTTTACCATGTTGCCCAGGATGTTCTCGAACTCCTGGGCTCATGCAGTCTGCCCATCTTGGCCTCTCAAAGTGCTAATCAGGCATTACCTTTTTTTTTTTTCTGAGGCAGAGTCTCACCCTGTTGCCAAGGCTGGAGTGCAGTGGCCTAATCAGAGCCCACTGTAACGTCTGCTTCCCAGGTTCATGCAATTCTCCTGCCTCAGCCTTCCGAGTATCTGGGATTAGAGACGCACACCACCATACCCGGCTAATTTTTGTATTGTTATTAGAGACTGGCTTTTGCCATGTTGGCCAGGCTGGTCTCAAACTCCTGACCTCAGGTGATCTGCCTGCCTTGGCCTCTTTCCAAAGTGCTAGGATTACAGGCGTGAGCCACCATGCCCAGCCATAAGCAGGCATTTTCTATACTAATACATAAATCTTTTTGTACTAGAGGACAAGGGCAAACTTTTCTCAAGATAAACTATAAATACTCTTTAATAAAATTATAATTCTCTTAACCAAGTAACTACCTTCTACCATCTTTCCAGGATCAACTAAATCTGCTAAGATACTATCTTTCCTTTAAAAAGTATTTTACTGGCTCGGCGAGGTGGCTCACGCCTATAATCCCAGCACTTTGGGAGGTGGAGGCGGGCGGTACCCGAGGTCAGGAGTTCGAGACCAGCCAGGCCAATGTGGTGAAACCCTGTCTCTACTAAAAATAGAAAAATTAGCCGGGTGTGGTGGCACACGCCTGTAATCCCAGCTACTCTGGATGCTGAGGCAGGAGAACTGCTTGAGCCCGGGAGATGGAGGTTGCAGTGAGCCGAGATTGTGCCACTGCACTCCAGCCTGGACGACAGAACAAGACTCTGTCACAAAAAAAAAAAAAAAAAAGTATTTTACCAGCCTAGGCAATATAATGAAGTCCCATCTCTACAAAAAATAAAAAACCACCTCGGTGTGGTGGCGTGTGCCTGTATTCCCAGCAACTCAGAAGGCTGAGGTAGGAGGATTGCTTGAACCCAGGAGTTTGAGGCTATAGTGAGCTATCTATGCCACTGCACTCCACTCCAGGCAACAGAGCAAAACCCTGTCTCAGAAAAAAAAAAAAAAAAAGTATTTTAATCTTCTAAAATACTTTATAATAAAAAAATTCAAGCAGCCAAAAATGTTGAATATACAGTAAAAGTCCACATGCCCAATACCTAGACTCAACAATTGTTAGCAGTTCGCCATATCTGCATTCTCTCTCTTTCTGTATATTTGTTTTATTGTACTATTTGAAAGTATAGACATCATTTATCACTCTTAAATACTTTTGCACATATCTCCTAAAAATAAGAATGTTTTCTTACAAACCATATAATAACATTTAAAAATGTTATTGGCTGGACGACACGGCTTACACCTGTAATCCCAACACATTGGGAGACCAAGGCAGGTGGATCCCTTAAGCTTAGGAATTCGAGACCAGCAGGGGCTACATGGCAAAACCCTGTCTCTACTAAAAATACAAAAAAATTAGACAAGAGTGGTGGCATGTGCCTGTAGTCCCAGCTACATGGCGGGGAGGGGGTGGCGGGTGCTGAGGTAGGAGGATCCCCTGAGCCTGGGAGGCAGTTGCAGTGAGCTCTGATTGTGCCACTGTACTCCAGCCTGGGCAACAGAGTGAAACCTTGTCTCAAAAAAAAAAGTTATCAATTCCCTAATATAATTTAACACCTAACCAATATAAAATTTACCCAGCTGTTCTAATGTCTTTTATGACTATTTTTGATAACTAGGATTTGATCAAAGCTCATACACTATACTTGATGAGTTTTTTTGTTAAAAACAAAAGTCCACCTTTGTTTGAGAAAAACTCAAATATTAAATCAAATTATATGACATGCAGCATTTGTTCTAAAAAAAAAGTTAGGTGGAGGACAGTGTCTCACACCTGTAATCCCAGCAGTTTGGGAAGCCAAGGTGGGAGGATCGCTTGAGCCCAGGAGTTCAAGACTAGTCTGGGCAATATAGTCAGACCCTGTCGCTACAAAAAATTTAAAAATCGGCTGTACGTGGTAATGCACACCTGTAGTCCCAGCCACTTGGGAGGCTGAGGTGGGAGGACTGCTTGGGCCTGGGCAACAGGGTGAGATGCTGTCTTTTAAAAGAGTAAAGAAAAAAAAAAAGTTAACATTTATGGAATGGTGCTTCCTATGAGTGCCAGGCATTGTTCTGAGTGCTTTACACACATGAGCTCATTTAGTCTCACAACTCCATCGTAGTAGGTACGATTATAACTATTATAGAGGAAGAAACAGAGAGCCAAAAGCATGTCCTCCACTCCCCCAACACAGCATCCCAACCAGGACAGGGTTTATATCTTATTAAGTTCTGAATCCTCATAGTTTATCACAGCACTAGGCTGGTAGTACAAAGAATAAAGGAAAGAAGGCACTCCTTACCTCCTTATCTTCCTCCTGCTCCTACCCCAGCTCTTTGAACCTTGTCAGAAATTTGGTAGAGCTCAGGCAGACAATACTCCCATCCCTGGGAGTTCAGTTTTTACTCCTCCCACTTACACACACCTTTTTCCAGTCCCATCTGGAAGGGTTCAAATTTAAGAACCACCAAAGAACCACTAGTTTTCAGTGAAAACTAGAAGCAAAATGCCTGTGAAGAGGTAGCTCTAAAGACAGAGTACCAGACATTCACACCCCACTAGGGGCTGGTTTATCTGGTTTGATCAGCAGCCTCTGTGGGCTATGCAGGACTATTCAGGAGGACAGGCAGGAGTGAGCAGAGGACACCAAGGGGATGGAGACAGGTAGCCTCCCCTCACCTCCTTATACACTGGGGACTAGGATGGGCAGCTGGGGGCAGGGGCAGTTCGTGGGTTCATAGCAGCCTCGGTCCTCACCCAGGAAGACCATATCCACTTCATGATGTATGTGGTGATTTTTGTGTTTAAATCAAAACTGTGTGTTTGTGGGTGTCTCTTTGTTTATGTGGGAAAGAAAAATGAAATACAATAAGAAAGATGTTGGCAACTCAATTCTCTTACGTGAGGTTCAATTGACTCTTCAAACTTTATGTTTGAAAGTTTCCATAATTAAAAAAAAAACAGACAAAATTACAAAGAGATTGTTAGAATAAAATCTAAGTCACAACTGTAATAGATGGCCTCATATTTAAATAACTAAACGAGCAACATATTTAAATGAGGTAAAGATCATTTCATATGAACCTGACATGTTTTCAGAAAAAAAAAGACAACTTCAAAAAAGATGTATGTATTTTCTAGTACATTATGGAAAATATTCCGTAAGGGTCCAATGTTTTCTTTAAAGATTTTTTTTGTGATTACCACAGTAACTTCTACCCTGACAGAGGAAAACAAATAATTGACAGGATAATTTCTTTACTTTATAATTTCTAATAATACGTTATTAGAAGCAAACAGCAATACATCAGAAGATAAAAGTTTCTTCCATATTATCCTTCACTTAAAATTATATAATAGTTTTTTCAGAATTGTCAGGATAACTTACCTGGGTTTCCATCATTGGCTTTTGGAAAGGAAAAGTATCATGGTTGACACACCATAAAATATCATTATCCTCATTTTCTGAGGCTGCCATCAATAGAATACCTAAAAGTTTAATATACAAAATATTATTACATCATGTCAAATATGCATCCTCAATAACCTTAATAATTATTAGGTTAGTGCAAAAGCAATTGCGGTTTTGCAATTAAAATTATAAAACCGGGCTGGGCACGGTGGCTCATGCCTGTAATCCCAGCACTTTTGGAGGATGAGGTGGGTGGATCACGAGGTCAGGAGTCCAAGACCAGCCTAATCAACATGGTGAAACCCTGTTTCTACTAAAATACAAAAATTAGCTGGGCATGGCGGCAGGCACCTGTAATCCCAGCTACTCAGGAGGCTGAGGCAGGAGAATGGCGTGAACGCAGGAGGTGGAGGTTGCAGTAAGCTGAGATTGTGCCACTGCACTCCAGCCTGGGCGCCAGAGCAAGATTCCGTCTCAAAAAAAAAAAAAAAAAAAATTTTACAAAACCACACGTACTTTTATGCCAACTTAAAACTAGCATATATAAATATACACACACAACATCAATCTTTTTTTTTTTTTTTTGAGACGGAGTCTCGCTGTCACCCAGGCTGGAGTGCAGTGGCGCGATCTCGGCTCACTGCAAGCTCCGCCTCCTGGGTTCACGTCATTCTCCTGCCTCAGCCTCCCGAGTAGCTGGGACTACGGCACCTGCCACCACGCCCGACTAATTTTTTGTATTTTTAGTAGAGACGAGGTTTCACCGTGTTAGCCAGGATGGTCTCGATCTCCTGACCTCGTGATCCGCCCAACTTGGCCTCCCAAAGTACTGGAATTACAGGCGTGAGCCACTGCGCCCAACCGAACATCAATCTTTATAAACAAACAAGTTACAAAATAAAATAATTCCCTGAAAGACTATATAATTATTTTTAAGGTAGACTCCTTAAGTGTTCTCAATTTTAAACTGTATTTCTCTCAGATAAACATTTTTTTTTCACATTTTAGCATTTCTGAACTTAGGGCATATCTTGCAGTCAATGGGTTTATCAATTTAATTATTAATTTTATAAAAATATACTTAGTATATAAAAATGCCATGACTGACAAATTCACAATGTAATACAAGCTAATATTCAATGAAATACAGTTTATATACTGGTTAATTCAAACACACCATGAATAAAAATGATGAAGGTGCTAGAGGAATGGCAGAGATAAGTGTACTATAGAAGCAATTATCTGGGCCAGGTGCTGTGGCTTATGCATGTAATCCCAGCAGTTTCGGAGGCTGAGGCAGGCTGATCACTTGAGCCCAGGAGTTCGAGACCAGCCTGGGCAATAAAGTAAGACCTTGTTTCAACAAAACATGAGGCAGGAGGATTGCTTGAGCCGGGGAGGTAGAGGCTGTAATGAGTCATGACTGCATATTGCACTCCTGCTTGGGTGACAGTAGACACTGTCTCAAAAAAAAAAAAAAAAAAGGCAATTATCTCAACAAAACTTGCCAACACGGTGGCTCACGCCTATAATCCTAGCGCTTTGGGAGGCAGAGGTGGTAGGACTGCTTGAGCCCAGGAGTTTAAGACCAGCCTGGGAAACATGGTGAAACCCCGTCTCTACAAAAAATACAAAAATTAGCCAGGAGTGGTGGCACATGCCTGTAGTCCCAACTCCTCAGGAGGTTGAGCAAGGAGGATCACCTGAGCCTGGAAGGTTGAAGCTATGGTGACCCAAGATCCTGCCACTGCACTCCAGCCTGGGCAACAGAGTGAGAACCTTCCTCCCCACCCTCAAATGACTTGGAAAAATATTCTGTATTCATGGATTTGAAGACTTAACATAGTTAAGATGGCAACATGCCCCAAATTGATATACTGATTCAGCTATCACAATCCAACCTCACTTTTTTGTGTGTTTTTTGTTTTTGTTTTTGTTTTGAGATGGAGTCTTGCTCTGTCCCCCATGCTAGAGTGCAGCGGTAGGATCTTGGTTCACTGTAACCTTCACTTCCCCAGTTCAAGCGATTCTCTTGCCTCAGCCCACAAGAAGCTGTGACTACAGACATGCCCCCTACACCCGGCTAATTTTTGTATTTTTAGTAGAGACAGGGTTTCGCCATGTTGGCCAGGCTGGTCTTGAACTGATCTCAAGTGATCCACCTGCCTTTGCCTCCCGAAGTGTTGGGCTTACAGGCGTGAGCCACTGCACCCGGCCCCACCTCACTTTTTTTGCAGAAATTAACAAGGTGATTCTAAAATTCATATGAAAATTCAAGAAACTGAGAAGAGCCAAAATCATCTTTTAAAAAATCAGGCCAGGTGCACGGTGGCTCATGCCTGTAATCCCAGCACTTTAGGAGGCCAATGCAGACGGATCACTTGAGCTCAGGAGTTTGAGACGAGCCTAGGCAACATGGCAAAAGCCTATCTCTACAAAAAGTACAAAAATTAGCCGGGTGTGGTGGCACACACCTGTAGTCTCTCTCAGCTACTCAGGAGGCTGAAGTGGGAGGACAGCATGAGCCTGGGAAGCGGAGGTTGCAGTGAGCAGAGATTGTGCTACTGCACTCCAGCCTCGGCAACAGAGCCAGACCACCTCAAAAAAAAAAAAAGATCAAAGTTGGAATAGTCACACTTATCAATTTCAAAACTTATTACAAAGCAACGGTAATCAAGACTGTGCTACTGACATAAGGATGGATAATATAGACCAACAGAATAGAACTGAGAATCCAGATTCCATACATTAACGGGTAATTCACTTCAGACAGTAAGATGAAGACAATTCAATGGGGGATATAATAGTCTTTTCAACAAATGGTGCTCAGACAGCTAGATAACCACATGCAGAAGGATGAAGTCAGATTCCTACTTCACACAACATACAAAAATTATCACAAAACAGATCAAAAACCTAAATGTAGCAGTGAAAACTACACTTTCAACTTTTGAATTTCACTACAATTTCAAATTTTATTTTAGATTCAGGAGGTATATGTGCAAATCTGTTACTTGCGTATATTGCGTGGTGCTAAGGTTTAGGGTACAACTGATTCCATCACTCAGGTACTGAGCATAAGACCCAATAGTCCGTTTTTCAACCCTTGCTCCCCTACTTCCCTGACCCTTCTAGTAGTTCCCAGTTTCTACTGTTGCCATAGGGTATTTTCAAATACTTCACAACACCATATAATTTTAACAATTTTAAGAATATAATCTTAAATCTGATAGTATTTCAGAACTTACCTTTACTATAAAGAGCTCTATGTACTTTTGAAGGCTTTTCCACGGTTGAAGATGCTGAGAATCCAGGAGGTAAGCGGACATGAACCAGCGTCAGTGTATTAGGCCGTGCTAATGGCTGTCTGAATGGACAAGTGCTAAAATATAACCTAACACCTGAAGATGGGGTAAAATTATGCATCAGTAATAGAAAACAAGGACCTGAGGTAAATGTGTTATTGAAGCAATTACATACAGCAATGCAACACTCTGCTAAAACCATACATAACTTTCCTGACTAATTTTTATTTTTGGAGATGGAGTCTAGCTCTGTCGCCCAGGCTGGAGTGCAGTGGCGCCATCTCGGCTTACTGCAACCTCCGCCTCCCGGGTTCAAGCGATTCTCCTGCCTTAGCCTCCCAGGTAGCTGAGACTACAGGCATGTGCCACCACACCCGTCTAATTTGTTTTATTTTTATTTTTATTTTTTTTTGAGACAGAATCTTGCTCTGTCTCCCAGGCTGGAGTGTAGTGGCGCGATCTTGGCTCACTGTAAGCTCCACCTACCAGGTTCACACCATTCTCCTGCCTCAGCCTCCCGAGTAGCTGGGACTACAGGTGCCTGCCACCATGTCTGGCTAATTTTTTGTGTTTTTAGTAGAGATGGGGTTTCACCGTGTTAGCCAGGATGGTCTTGATCTCCTGACCTCAGGATCCACCCGCCTTGGCCTCCCAAAGTGCTGGGATCACAGGTGTGAGCCACCGCACCCGGCTCCCCTGACTGATCTTAAATTACCATATAGACTATCTGCTAAAATATATATCTAAGAAAATGTCACTCGAAATTGAGAGGTGAATCAATACATTTCATTAGAAAGAACTTGCAAAGACAAACCAAGAAATCTTGTGTTCCAATTCAGGCTTTGTTACAAAATGTCAGCCACTGCGCCTTTTAGGCTTGGCTTTTGTTTTGCTTTTTTACTGGTTTTTTGAGAAAAGATCTTGCCCTATTGCCCAGGGTGAAGTGTAGTAGCATAATCTCAGCTCACTGTAGCCTCAAACTCCTGGGCTCAAGTGATCTTTCCATGACAGCCTCCCAAGCAGCTGGTACTACAAGGCCGTGCCATCACACCTAGCTAATTTTTGTATTTTTAGTAGAGACGGGGTTACAGGGTTTCACCATGTTGCTCAGGTTAGTCTTGAACTCCTGGGCTCAGGCAATCTGCCTGCCTTGATCTCCCAAAGCGCTAGGATTACAAATGTGAGCTACCATGCCTGGCCTAGGTTTGGTTTTATATCTATAAAATGAAGAAACAGAATTAGAAAAATCTCCCAGTTTTCAAAATCCTTTATTTTACAAACTATTTATATGGCTTTACGGCAGATATAGAAGGAAAAATATATTTCTAATAATAAATTTCCAAATCTAAGAATTTTCAGAAGTTGTAACAGTAATAGCAGATATGTAAATAAAACAACATACCTGCATGTGTGACAGCCAATAACTGACAGTCCAGTGATTCAGAATTTTCAATCACTGCTATTTGGACAATTGGTTTAAAAACAGAACGATCGATGGTCCTAAAAGAAAGGAGAAAATAAAGTGTATTTTTAAAATGTGTCTGCTAAATTATAAGAAATATTTCCCATCAGAATGTTTACATATTTCCATATTTTCCTTTTTTTTTTGAGATGTAGTCTCACTCTGTCACCCAGGCTGGAGGAGAGTGGCGTGATCTCGGCTCACTGCAATCTCCGCCTCCCAGGTTCAAGCAATTCTCCTGCCTCAGCCTCCTGAGTAGCTGGGATTACGGGCTCGCGCCAGCACGCCCAGGTAATTTTTGTGTTGTTAGTAGAGACAGGGTTTCATCGTGTTGGCCAGGCTGGTCTTGAACTCCTGACCTCGCGTGAGCGTGATCCGCCCGCCTCGGCCTTCCAAAGTGCTGGGATTGGGATTACAGGCGTGAGCCACTGTGCCCGACCACATATTTCCATATTTTCTTTTTTTTTTCTTTTTTCTTTTTTTTGAGACGGAGTCTTGCTCTGTTGCCCAGGCTGGAGTGCAGTGGCGCCATCTCCACTCACTGCAAGCTCCACCTGCCAGGTTCACGCCATTCTCCTGCCTCAGCCTCCCAAGTAGCTGGGACTACAGGCACCCGCCACCACACCTGGCTAATTTTTTGTATTTTTAGTAGAGACGGGGTTTCACTATGTTAGCCAGGATGGTCTCGATCTCCTGACCTCATGATCCGCCTGCCTTGGCCTCCCAAAGTGCTGGCATTACAGGTGTGAGCCACTGCTCCCAGCCTTATATTTTCTAAATATGCTAAATAATTTAAGACTAGCTTCTTAGGAAAGTAATACAAGAGCAGCAAGAACTGGAAAAACTCTGGAATGTGTATTTTTTACATTTATATTATTAAGAGTAACCCTATTTTCAAACAAAGATCACAAAAAAAGACTAAAACCATTGGGTGAATGGTTGGTGGGGAGCAGTGTTCTCAGTGTCAAAGTATCATTACTGCTAATTAAAAAAGGAGAAAGGCCAGGTGCAGTGACTCACGCCTGTAATTCCAGCACTTTGGGAAGCCGAGACGGGCAGATAACCTGAGGTCAAGAGTTCAAGACTGGCCTGGTCAACATGGTGAACCCCCGTCTCTACTAAAAATACAAAAAAATTAGCCAGGGGTGGTAGCGCATGCCTGTAATCCCAGCTACTTGGGAGGCTGAAGCAGAAGAATCACTTGAACCCAAGGTGGAGGTTGCAGTGAGCTGAGATCACGTCACTGCAGTCCAGCCTGGGCAACAGACTGAGACTCTATCTCAAGGGGGAAAAAAAAGGGAGAAAATGGATCTTTATAATGTAGACATTTGGTTAAAATCACCTCAATGAAGCTTTCAACAGTGAGAAAACTGCTATTATGTGTCTCTTGATATAATGTAGTAAGACATTTCACACTGCCTATGTAATACTGGCTAAAAGATATATTACTGCTTGGTGAGGTGGCTCATGCCTCAAATCCTAGCATTTTGAGAGGCTGAGGCAGTCAGATCACTTGAGGCCAGGAGTTCGAGACCAGCCTGCTCAACATGGTGAAACCCCATCTCTACTAAAAAATATATAAAAATTAGCCAAGAATAGTGGCGCACATCTAGAGTCCCAGCTACTTGGGTGGCTGAGGCACGAGAATCACTGGAACTCGGAGGCAGAGGTTGCTGTGAGCCAAGATAGCACCATGGCACTCCAGACTGGGTGACAGAGCAAAACTCTGTCTCAAAGAAAAAAAAAAAAAAAAGAAAGAAAATATACATATATAAAATACATATAAACATCATATATAAAATATATTACTCAGAATCTAATTATAAAAAAAGATATATTCAGAAATTTGTATAATTATCCTGCCCTTCCTTCCAAACGTCAATATTATAAAAAAAAAAAAAGGTGGCCAGGGGGCTGTTTTATATTAAAGAGACTAACAACCAATCCAATTCATAAATTCTGATATAACTGGAGAAAAATGGAAAGAAAAACAACTATAAAAGATTTCGAAGCCAGGCGCAGTGGCTCACGCCTGTAATCCCAGCACTTTGGGAGGCTGAGGCATAAAAGCTGGCCAACATGGTAAAACCCCGTCTCTACTAAAAATACAAAAATTACCCAGGTGTGGTGGTGTGCATCTGTAGTCCCAGCTACCCGGGAGGCCGAGGCAGGAGAACTGCTTGAACCCGGGAGGTGGAGGTTGCAGTGAGCCAAGATCGTGCCACTGCATTCCAGCCTGGGTGACAGAGCAAGACTCCATCTCAAAAAAAAAAAAAAAAAGATTTTGGGGGCACGGTGGTTCACATCTGTAATCCCAGAATCCCAGGACTGTGAGAGGCTGAGGCAGACACGTCATTTGAGCCCAGGAGTTCAAGACCAGCCAGGGCAACATGGTGAGATCCCCTCTCTACAAAAAATACAAAAATTAGCCAGGTGGAGGTGTCCGTGCCTGTGGTCCCAGCTGCTTGGGAGGCTAAAGTTGGTGGATCACCTGAGCCTAGGGAGGTCAAGCACCACTGCACTCAATCCTGGGCAGCAGAGTTAAAAAAAAAAAGATTTTGGGGACTACTGGGCAATTTTAATATGGACTAAGTATATTGTTATGTAACAGACTAAAGGCATGTCGGTGGCTCATGCCTGTAATCCCAGCACTTTGAGAGGCTGAGACATGCGGATTGCTTGACCTCAGGAGTTCAAGACCAGCCTGGGCAACAATGGTGAAACCCCGTCTGTACCAAAAATACAAAAAATTAGCCAGATGTGGTGGCGCACGTCTGTGGTCTCAGCTACTCAAGAGGCTGAGATGTGAGGATGCCTTGAGCCTGGGAGGAGGAGGAGGCTGCAGTAAGCCACGATCGCACCACTGTACTCCAGCCTGGGTATCAGAGTGTGACTCCATTTCAAAAAAAAAAAAAAAAAAAAGTCATGATGTCTACAATGTACTTTCAAATGGCTCATAAGACAGGCAACAAAGAGGCAAAATGTTAAAATTGAGATAAAGAGTGTATTAGTTTTGCCGGGTGCAGTGGCTCATGCCTGTAATCACAACACTTTGGGAGGCCAAGGCGCGCAGATAACAAGGTCAGGAGTTCGTAACCATCCTGGCCAGCATGGTGAAACCCTGTCTCTACTGAAAATACAAAAAATTAGCCAGGCACAGTGGTGCGCGCCTATAGTCCCAGCTGCTTGGGAGGGTGAGGCAGGAGCATTGCTTGAACCCGGCAGGCAGAGGGTGCAGTGAGCTGAGACTGCAACACTGCACTCCAGCCTGGGTGACGTGACAGAGTGAGATTCCATCTCAAAAAAAAAAAAAAAAAAAGTGTATTAGTTTTTGTCACATTGTTCTTTTAATTTTTTTGTGGATTTGAAAAAAATTCCAGAAAAAAATTAGAGGGAAAAACAGAAAATTATGTGTTTTCAATTGTGTCTGCCTTCAGAATTTTTTTCTTGTCACTGAAGAATAAAACAAAACAAAAAGGCTGAGCAAGATAGCAAGACCCCAGGTCTACTAAAAATAAAATTAGGTGGGCATGGTGGCACACATCTATAGTCATAGCTACTCAGGAAGCTTAGGCATGAGGATCACGTCAGCCCAGGAAATTGAGGCTATAGCAGACTACAATTGCAACACTGCACTCCAGTCTGGGCAACAGAGTGAAACCCTGTCTGAAAAAAAAAACAAAAAGTTGATTTATTTCACTCTGATTGTAGCAATAATCTAGGCACAATGACAATAGAAGTTGAAAAATTTGAGGCCTTCATTATAAAAAGAGTGTTTGCAGGTGGGGTGCAGTGGCTCACGCCTGTAATCCCAGCACTTCGGGAGGCCAAGGCAGGCAGATCACCTCAGGTCAGGAGGTCGAGACCAGCCTGGCCAACATGGTGAAGCCCCATCTCTACTGAAAATACAAAAATTAGCCAGGCGTGGTGACAGGCGCCTGTAATTCCAGCTACTCAGGAGGCTAAGGCAGGAGAATCGCTTGAACCCGGGAGGTGGAGGTTGTAGGGAGCCAAGTCGCGCCATTGCACTCCAGCCTGGGGGACAAGAGTGAGACTTTGTCTCGGAAACAAAAAAAAAAGAGAGAGAGAGCGTTTGCAGCTTGACCAAGGTAGTTGGGATATGTGCAAATGGTAATGCAGATTGTCTGAAGACTTGGCTTCCGCGTTAGGTTCTTGTACTTATTTAGGAGTTAGATCTCAGGCAAATCATCCCTTAGTTTCAGTTTCCTCATGAATAAAATGGGTACTACAACTTTGAAATATTGTGTTCTGTACTTGTGTCAATAATCAGACCAACTAAGCTTGAACCACACATGTCTGTTAAAAGAGTGAGTAGTGGCCGGGTGCAGTGGCTCATGCCTGTAACCCCAGCACTTTGGGAGGCCAGAGCGGGTGTATTGCTTGAGTCCAGGAGTTCAAGACCAGTCTGGGCAACACGGTGAAGCCCTGTCTCTATAAAAAATAGAAAAATTCGCCAGGTGTGGTGGCATGTGCCTGTAGTCCTAGCCGCTCGGGAGGCTTAGGTGGGAGAATCGCTTAAGCCCAGGAGGTGGTGATTGCAGCAAGCTGAGATGGAGCCACTGCACTCCAGCCTGGGCAACAGAGCGAGACTCCATCTCAAAAAGAAGCAAACAAAAAACCGAAAGAGTGAATAGTTAAAAGTGGGGAAACTTTGAGACATGCAGTTTCCTAGTCATGATCCCTATGTAAAGTTGCCAGGAAAAACACGTCAAGCTGTACTTTACGTAGTAAAACCAGTCTACCTTATATTTCCAACTATCAAACATAAGAATAAAAGAGTCTCAAGCTGGGCACGGTGGCTCACGCCTGTAATCCCAGCACTTTGGGAGGCCAAGGCAGGTGGATCACCTGAGGTCGGGAGTTCGAGACCAGCCTGACCAACATGGAGAAAACCCCATCTCTACTAAAAATACAAAATTAGCTGGGTGTGATGGCGCATGCCTGTAGTCCCAGCTACTCAGGAGGCTACGGCAGGAGAATCACTTGAACCCGGGAGACAGAGGTTGCAGTGAGCCGAGACTGCACCATTGCACTCCAGCCTGGACAACAAGAGTGAAACTCCATCTCAAAAAAAAAAAAAAAAAAGTCTTGGCCAGGCACGGTGGCTCACGCCTATAATCTCCACATTTTGGGAGGCGTGGTGGGTAGATTACCTGAGGTCAGGAGTTAGAGACCAGCCTGGCCAACATGGCGAAACCCAATCTCTACTAAAAATACAAAAATTAGGCTGGGCATGGTGGCTCATGCCTGTAATCCCAGCACTTTGGGAGGTTGAGGCGGGCGGATCACGAGGTCAAGAGATCGAGACCATCCTGGCCAACATGGTGAAACCCTGTCTCTACTAAAAATACAAAATTAGCTGGGCATGGTGGTGCATGTCCGTAATCCCAACTACTCGGGAGGCTGAGGCAGGAGAATCGCTTGAACGCGCGAGGCAGAAGTTGCGGTGAGCAGAGATAGCACCACTGCACTCCCGCCTGGGCAACAAGAGCGAAACTCCATCTCAAAAAAAATATATATAAAAATTAGCCAGGCATGGTGGCAGGCACCTGTAATCTCAGCTACTAGGGAGCCTGTGGCAGGAGAATCAGTTGAACCCAGGAGGTGGAGGTTGCAGTGAGCCAAGATTGTGTCACTGCACTCCAGCCTGGGTGACAGAGTGAGACCCTGTCTCAAAAAAATAAATAAATAAATAAATAAATAAAGGAGTCTCTAACAGCTCCATTTCAAACATAATGTAGAGTGTCATCTCTTCAACATTCCTTGTCTTTTAGAGACATTTTGATGAGGGAATAATATATACTTTTAGAAGGCTACACACAAATAGTATAATTATGCCTGCAAATGAAATGCTTAATAATAAATTACATGTTACCTAGCAATGTTACCAGCAGCAGAGACAATGGCATTCTGTGACACAGAGGCAACTCTGCTCATTCCTTGTCCATCTTGTCCCAAATCATACACCTGTGAATACAAAATCATTCTCACTTAAACATGATTATATACTATACACATATTATTAAACTCTTTCTTTTAAGGGATCCTTTAATATTGGTATTTAATACAAACATGAAAACATTCAGATTCGAAATTTCATAGAAAGGGGACCCTTCTGAGAAGTGAGTTGGGCTTTTTTTTTTTGAGACGAAGTCTTGCTCTACTGCCCAGGCTGGAGGGCAAAGGCATGATCTCGGCTCACTGCAACCTCCGCCGCCCAGGTTCAAATGATTCTCCTGCCTCAGCCTCCCAAGTAGCTGGGATTAAAGGCACATACCACCACACCTGGCTAATTTTTGTATTTTTAGTAGAGGCAGGGTTTCATCATGTTGGCTAGACTGGTCTCAAACTCCAGACCTCAGGTGATCCGCCCACCTTGGCCTCCCAAAGTGCTGGGATTACAGGCTTGAGCCACCATGCCCAGCAGGCTTTTTTTTTTTTTAGTTACACAGTTCATAGGAAAAATTTAAGAGGTGGGAATTGTCTTCCTTAAAAATAAGGATTTATTTGACTCTTAATGGTATAATAATATTAATACTAACCTGTATTACTCCTTTCTCAGATCGTGTATATAAAATATTTCTAGAATTATCAATTGCAATTTGAAGAATAGGATCTAAAAGTAAGACAAAAAAAAAAAAGAGAAAAAAGTAAACCCAAGGATTAACAAAGCAAATACATTAGCTAGTTACAACAAACTGTTGAATCAGAACTTTGTATTCAGGGGCTTTCTACTCTCTTGCTTTGTAGTTAAATCCTAGGATGTTTGCATAAGATCCAGTCCAAAAAGCATTTTGGTCAGACAACACATGAAAAAAACACATGCTAAATACTGTGACTGGGTTATGAGCATAGAAAGTAAGTTATTTTGTCCTCTAAATGAATTTTAAGCCAAACTGAAAACAAATTCTAAGTTATTTTTTCATGAAATAACTTAGAAAATAAATTCTAAGTTATTTAAACATTAATGAATGTTTACTACATCCTAGAAACACAGAATAAGTATACCTGGTCCTTTATGTTAAGAAACTTCCAGTTTGGCCTAATTGATTGTGTGAAAGAAAATAATTTTAAAATTCAGTCATATTAATCTTTGGGTATACAGATCTTATTTTGCCAAAGCATTTTAAAAATTATTTCACCTGTTGAAATCTCTCAGTTCATTAAAAGCTAAGATATATTCTTTTTATACTGGAAATTTGTTCTAGACCAAGCAAACAATGTATTAGCTGTCTGAATGTCTGTCTCTCTCACATACATACACATATTTTGGTTTAATTATGTACAGCTGTTTTAGACGCAAGTTCTTTGATGCTACATTTATAGGAAATAAGTAAACTTGAGAACAAAATCCACACTTTCTCTAGGTTATGATCTCCTTACCCTTTAAAAGACCTTATGAATATATAAGAAATGCTACTTAACATAACAAATTGTTTCAATTAAGAATGATAATTTCTGAAGAAAACGTTGAGGGAACAATGTGTTAGAAATTAGTTGTACTTGCCAAATTTATTGTTTTCTACTTACCATCTTCTGAGAACGTGAATTGTAGCAAGGAAGGAACAAGGAAAGAAAGTGAGCTCTTTGAGTGGTTTATTTTCCTACATCTTTGGCTAAACCACCCTGCTTCAGCCTTAAAGAAAAAAGTAGAAAGACGACTTATAAAAGTATGTAACTCCCTTACAATAACTACTGTATATCCATATTTATAAAAACCTTCAAATCTTCATGAAATACCAGTTATAATCACTAATACCAGTTATAATCAACAAAACGAGACATATTATTCAAAATTAACTACTGAGTTTAGCCCATAATTTAAAATATCAACCAAATACTGACAAGGAAAGAATTTCAAGACATACTGTTAGATGAAAAGCCAGTTATGGGCTGGGCACAGTGGCTCGCACCTGTAAATCCTAGCACTTTGGGAGGCCAAGGCAGGTGGATCATTTGAGGTCAGGAGTTCGAGACCAGCCTAGCCAACATGATGAAACTCTGCCTCTAATAAAAACACAAAAATTAGCTGGATGTGGTGGTGCACACCTGTAATCCCAGCTATTGGGAGGCTGAGGCAGGAGAACTGCTTAAACCCAGGGGATGGAGGTTGCAGTGAGCTAAGATTCAGCCACTGCATTCCAGCCTGGGTGATAGACCTGGGTGATACAGTGAGACTCCATCACATTTAAAAAAAAAAAAAAAAAAAAAGCAATTACGAATTAAATCAATAATCCAAGTGAAAACACATATTTGCAAAAGTGCATTTTGTATTTGTATATGTGTATATACACACAAACACATATGCATAGATATCTATAGAGACATTGATGTGTGCCTTATGTTCCACGAGGACATACATAGAATAATGACTTTTACCTCTGAGGGCTGAGTTTTGTAGGCATGGTGTAGTCATGGGGACTACAGCTTCAACTGTATGCTTGAATATTTACCATAAAAATATATTAATGTCCTTATATAATTAGAAAACAAAATAAAGGCTTATCTTTCCCTACTCCATCAAGAGAGAAAAAAAAACGTTTACAAATGTCAGACTTACCTGGTAGGCTACTTCATATAAACAGCCATCCTTTCCAGCCAAGAAAATTCTGCCATTATCAGTGGAAGTTATTGTTAAAAGGTAAGTATTATCAGTAGGAAGAGAATATAAAGGATCTGGAAGCAACTGCATTCCACCAGACAAACTATCATTAAGAACTCCAGAACCTATTTAAGAAAGAATACATAAATCAGTTTATTAGCTACTCCACAGTTTTTAAAAATCTTTGCATTATCATCAGAATCTATATGTTTACTCAATTCTTTTTTTTTTTTCTTGAGACAGTCTTACTCTGTCACCCAGGCTGGGTGCAGTGGCCCGATCTCAGCTCACTGCAAGCTCTACCTCCCGGGTTCATGCCATTCTCCTGCCTCAGCCTCCCGAGTAGCTGGGACTACAGGCGCCCGCCACCATGCCCAGCTAATTTTTTTTTGTATTTTTAGTAGAGGCAAGGTTTCACCGTGTTAGCCAGGATGGTCTCGATCTCCTGATCTCGTGATCCGCCTGCCTCGGCCTCCCAGAGTGCTAAGATTACAGGCAAGAGCCACCATACCCAGCCTTACTCAATTCTTACTGACAATTAACATAGTCAACAGCTTCTATAATATACATTTTAAAATTACTAAAAGAAGTCTGATACAATTTGATAATTCAAGTTAAACAGAACCTGCAGAGTGTGTGAGTGTGTGTGTGTGTGTGTGTGTGCCTGTGTGTTTATTATATAGTAAGATAATAAACAAGAAACTAACCCGGCCGGGTGCCGTGGCTCATGCCTGTAATCCCAGCACTTTGGGAGGCCCAGGTGGGCAGATCACCTGAGGTCGGCAGTTCAAGACCAGCCTGACCAACATGAAGACACCCCGTCTCTTCTAAAAATACAAAATTAGGCCGGGCACAGTGGCTCACGCCTGTAATCCCAGCACTTTGGGAGGCCAAGGCAGGTGGATCACGAGGTCAGGAGTTCAAGAACAGCCTGGCCAACACAGTAAAACCCTGTCTCTACTAAAAATACAAAAAAATTAGCTGGGTGTGGTAGTGGGTGCCTGTAATCCCAGCTACTTGGGAGGCTGAGGCAGGAGAATCGCTTGAACCTGGGAGGCAGAGGTTGCACTGAGCCAAGATTGCACCACTACACTCCAGCCCGGGCGACAGTGCAAGACTCCCTTATCAAAAACAAACAAACAAACAAAAAAACAAAATTAGCCGGGTATGGTGGTGCATGCCTGTAATCCCAGCAACTCAAGAGACTGAAGCAGGAGAATCACTTGAGCCTGGGAGGCAGAGGATGCGGTAAGCCAAGATCACGCCATTGCACTGCAGCCTGGGCAACAAGAGCGAAAATCCGTCTCAAAAAACAAAACAAAACAAAACAAAACAAAAAACTAACCCAATGTTAACTTGTGGAAAAGAGCCTGAGGATTTGGCAGTAATAATCATTAATGTGAGTCAATGGAATTCAACATTTCACCCAGATTAGCTTTTAACTGTAATATCAATTGGCCAAAATACTATTATTTTAAAAAACGTTAACATGTGGGTTGCCATACCTGTTTGCAAATTAGCATAGCTGAGTCCAAGAATTACTATGTCTACAGGGGTCGCCAAAACCAGGAGGTGTCGCACATGAGGTTGAAAGATGCCTAAGATAAAGTAGACACAGGGCAGGAATACTTTCAGCATTTAAGCACTAACAGAGTAAGCTTTTATTACCATTAAAGTGAGCTACTAATTAAATGGTATATGAAAAGTCTGGATGCAGTTTAGTCAATTCTGTTGTTAAAAATATTATTATGTATGATCATTTAAATAAGTAAATTTTGAATGTCATCAAGATAATGAAGAGGAAAAAAAGTTAATAGCAGTGGAAAAGAACCACCTTAGAAAACAATCACTTCAGTATTTAATGCTATTTTAAAAGTGTTATATTACAAAATAGTTTAAATATATTAAAATATAGAGATGTATATTTGTATACCCATGTTCATAGCAGTGTTTTTCACAATAACTAAAAGGTGAAAACAAAATCCAAGTGTCCATCGATAGATGCATTAAAAAAAATGACATATATATATATACACACACACACACAAAATGGAATACTACTGAACTTTAAAAAGTAAGAAAGTTGGCCGGGCACGCCTGTAATCCCATGGGAGGCTGAGGCAGGCAAATCACCTGAGGTCAGGAGTTTGAGACCAGCCTGGCCAACATGGTGAAACCCCATCTCTACTAAAAACAAAAAATTAGCCGAGTGTGGTGGCACGTGCCTGTAGTACCAGCTACTTGAGAGGCTGAGGCAGGAGAATTGCTTGAACCCGGGAGGCAGGGGTTGCAGTGAGCCGAGATCACGCCATTACACCCCAGTCTGGACGACAGAGTGAGACTCCATCTCAAAAAAAATAAAAAAATAAAAACATAAAAGGAAAAATGTTCTGATGCATGCTGTAACACAGATGAACCTTGAGGACATAGGTTAAATAAAATGAGCCAGTCACAAAATGACCAATATAGTACCATATGATTCCATTTATATGAGGAAACCTAGAATAGTCAAATTCTTACAGACAAAAAGTGGAATGGTTACTACCAACTGCTGAGGGAAGGAGGAACAGGAGTTTTTAGTTAATAGGTACAGTTTCCATTTTACAAAATACAGAGTTCTAGATATAGATGGTGGTGAAGTTTACACAATAACGTGAATGGACTTAATACCACTGAAGTATAGGCTTAAAAACAGTTAAGATGGCAAAGTTTGTATTATGTGTATTTTACCACAATTAAAATATATATAATAGATTTCATTTTGAAATGCAAATAAAAGCTAGACAATTTTAGAAAATAAAACTTACACCTATAGTTATCTACACAAGAAAAGATTACAACCTTGATAATAGTATATAGCAATATTTATACACTTAATGCATCTCTTTTAGATTCTATGTAAAGGACATACATTTGCTTTGCTTTTCTTTTTGAGACAGAGTTTCACTCTTGTTGCCCAGGCTGGAGTGCAGTGGCTCGATCTCGGCTCACTATAACCTCTGCCTCCCGGGTTCAAGTGATCCTCCTGCCTCAGCCTCCCGAGTAGGTGAGATTACAGGCATATGGCACCATGCCCAGCTTATTTTGTATTTTTAGTAGAGACACGGTTTCACCATGTGGTCAGGCTTGTCTCGAATTCCTGACGTCAGTTGATCCACCCGCCCCAGCCTCCCAAAGTGCTGGGATTACAGGCGTGAACCAACGCACCCAGTGTCTTTATTTCTTCTTTTTTTTTTTTTTTTTTTGAGACAGGGTCTTGCTCTGCTGCCCAGGCTGGAGTGCAGTGGCAGAATCAAGGCTTACTGCAGCCTTGTCCTCCTATGCTCAAGCGATCCTCCCGCTTCAGCCTCATGAATAGCTGGGACTACAGGCATGCACCACCATGCCTGGCTTATGTTTCTGTTTTTTGCAGACAGGGTATCACCATGTTGCCCAGGCTGGTCTTGAAGTCTCAGACTCAGGTGATCTGCTCGCCTCAGCCTCACAAAGTGCTGGGATTACAGGTGTGAGCCACCACACCCAGCCTGAAAATATATTTTCAATGCAAGTAAATAAATAGTGTATAAAATGTCGGTTTGGGCTGGGCGTGGTGGCTCACGCCTGTAATCTCAGCACTTTGAGAGGCAGAGACGGGCGGATCACTTGAGGTCAGGAGTTCGAGACCAGCCTGACCAACATGGTGAAACCCTGTCTCTACTAAAAATACAAAAATTAGCCGGGCCTGCTGGCGGGCGCCTGTAATCCCAGCTACTCGGGAGGCTGAGGCAGAAGAATCGCTTGAACCCGGGAGGCGGAGGTTGCAGTGAGCCGAGATCGTGCCATTGCACTCCAGCCTGGGCGACAGAATGAGACTCCATCTCAAAAAAAAAAAGAAGTCTGTTTTTACTTAACTGAGTATCTATAATTGCAAAATGGCCATAATCTTAAAAAATTTCACTTAGGCCTTGCAAAAAAGTAATTTTTGTCTATTATTTCCTCCTATAAAAAGGTACATTTGGCTGCACAGTGGCTCACATCTGTAATACCAGGACTTTGAGAGGCCAAGGTGGGCGGATCGCTTGAGGCCAGGTGTTAAAAGACTAGCCTGGACAACATGGCCAAACCACATGCTACTAAAAATACAAAAATTAGCCGGGAATGGTGGCACATGCCTGAAATTCCAGCTACTCAGGAGCCTGAGGCAGGAGAATCGCTTAAACCCAGGAGGCGGAGGTTGTAGTGAGCACCAAGGTGACTCCACTGTACTCCAGCCTGGGTGACAGTGAGACACTGTTTCAAAAAAAAAAAAGTACGGTTAAAGAATGTGTGTGTGTGTGTATATATATATATATTTATTTATTTGTTTGTTTGTTTGTTTGTTTTTCAGAGGCGATGTCTCACTCTGTTGCCCAGGCTGGAGTGCAGTGGCGTGATCTTGGCTCACTGCACGCTCCACCTCCCAGGTTCACACAATTCTCCTGCCTCAGCCTCCCAAGTAGCTGGGACTACAGGCGACCACCACCAAGCCCAGCTAATTTTTTGTATTTTTAGTACAGATGGGGTTTCACTGTGTTAGTCAGGATGGTCTCGATCTCCTGACCTCATGATCCACCCACCTTGGCCTCCCAAAGTGCTGGGATTACAGGCTCAAGCCACCATGTCCAGCCAAGAATATATTTTAAATTTAAATCAATCAATTCTCCTTCCTAGTAACTCTGATAAGAGATTTGGCATTATGCTGGGCATGGTGGCTCACGTCTGTAATCCCAAACACTTTGGGAGGCCGAGGTGGGCGGATCACCTGAGGTCGGGAGTTCAAGACCAGCCCGACCAACATGGAGAATTCCCATCTCTACTAAAAATATAAAATTAGCCAAGCGTGGTGGTGCATGCCTGTAATCCCAGCTACTTGGGAGGCTGAGGCAGGAGAATCGCTTGAACCCAGGAGGCGGAGGGTGCGGTGAGCCGAGATCACGCCATTACACTCCAGCCTGGGCAACAAGAGCAAAATTCCATCTCAAAAAAAAAAAAAAAAAATAGAGATTTGGCATTATGAGGGTGAAAGAGTAAGTCAAACAATGCTTGTGATATCTACAAGATTTAATTTACTCTGAACTCTGTTCTCACTTCCATGGGCTATCAGGATTATGGCCAGGGCATGGCAGCTCATGCCTATAATACCAGCACTTTGGGAGACCGATGTGGGAGGATCACCTGAGGTCAGGAGTTCGAAACCAGCATGGCCAACATGGCGAAACCCTGTCTCTACTAAAAATATAAAAATTAGGCGTGGTGACATGCGTTTATAATCCCAGCTACTTGAGAGGCTGAGGCAGGAGAATCGCTTGAACTCAGGAGGCGAGACTGCAGTGAGCACCAAGGTGGCTAAACTGCACTCTAGCCTGGGCAACAGAGTGAGACTCTGTAACAGAAAAAAAAAGAAAGGTACATTTAAAGGATATATTTTAAATTTAAATCAATCAATTCTCCTTCTCAGTAACCCTGATAAGAGATTTGGCATTATGAGGGTGAAACAATAAGTTAAACAATGCTTGTGACGTTTCTAAGATTTACTCTAAACTCTGTTCTCACTTCCACGGGCCATCAAGAATATGGCCAGGGCACGGCGGCTCACGCCTGTAATCCCAGCACATTGGGAGGCCAAGGTAGGCAAATCACCTGAGGTCAACAGTTCAAAACCAGCCTGGCCAACATGGCAAAACCCTGCTCTACTAAAAATATAAAAATTAGCTGGGCATGGTGGCACATGCCTGTAATCCCAGCTACTTGGAAGGCTGAGGCAAGAGAATCGCTCAATCCTGGGAGGCGGAGGCTGCTGTGAGCGGAGATCACGCCACTGCACTCCAGCCTGGGCAACAGAGCGAGACTCTGTCTCAAAAAAGAAAAAGACTAAAAAAATGGCCAGGTGCAGTGGCTCACAAGTGTTAACCCAGCATCCCTGAGGTGGGTGGATTGCTTGAGCACAGGAGTTCAAGACCAGCCTGGGCAACATGGCAAAACCCCATCTCTACAAAAATTAGCCTGGTGTGGTAGCACAAAACTGTAGTCCCAGCTACTTGGGAGGCTGAGGTGGGAGGGTCTCCTGAGCCTGGGAGGTTGAGGCTGTAGTGAGCCATGATCATGCCACTGCACTCCAGCCCGGGTGATAGAGTATAAGACCTTAATCTCAAAAAAAAAAAAAAAAAAAAAAAAAAAGAGAAAGACAGACTAATAAAATGCAGACACTAAAATTTTTCTTAACATTAAATTCAGCAATTAATGAAAAATCTATAGTGCAAAACCTTCAGGTATATCAAGAAAGAGCAGTAAAAAGCAAATAAAATAAAATTCAAAAAATTACAGTTTAACATTTTTAAAGGCAGTGTCACTTATACCATTAAAGTAAACAGTTAAACATTAATAATCACTTTACATATTTCTAATTAGAATTCAAAATAAAACTTCAATGGAGAATACAATTGTTTAAAAAAGGGTGTTGTCAGCCAGGCGCGGTGGCTTACATCTGTAATCCCAGCACTTTGGGAGGCTGAGGCGGGCGGATCACCTGAGGTCAGGAGTTGAGACCAGCCTGGCCAACATGGCGGAGCCCCGTCTCTACTAAAAATACAAAAATTAGCTGGGTGTGGTGGCGCACGCCCGTAATCCCAGCTATTCGGGAGGCTGAGGCAGGAGAACTGCTTGAACCCAGGAGGCGGAGATTGCAGTGAGCCAAGATTGCGCCACTGCACTCCAGCCTACTCGATGGAACGAGACTCCATCTCGAAAAAAATGTGTGTTGTTGTTCAGGTCTATACCATTTGGAGTTTACATATACAAACATAATCTCTTCCTTATAGTTTTATTTCTTACCTGCTTTTGGCTTCACAAGCCCCACAGCAAGAATAGTCTCACTAAGTCCATCAAAATAGGCAAGGTCTCCTCTGTGAATAAATGAAGAAAAACATGTTACACATATAAAGCAAATAGGCCAGATGTGGTGGCTCATGTCTTTAATCCCAGTACTTTGGGAGTCTGAGGCAGGAGGACTGCCTGAGCCCAGAAGTTCAAGACCAGCCTGGGCAACATAGTGAGACTGTCTCTACAAAAAAGAAACAAAAAATTAGCCAGGCATGGGGGTGTGAGGCCACTGAGTTGGCAGGATCGCAAAGGCCTGGGAGGTTGAGGCTGCAGTGAGTAGTGATCATGCCACTGCACTCCAGCCTGGGTGACAAAGTGAGAGCCTGTCTCAAAAAAGAAAAGAAAAGAAAAACAGAAAACCAAGTATTATCTTACAATGATCTTTATTATTATTATTACTATTATTTTTGAGACAAGGTCCAGCTCTGTCACCCAGGCTGAAGTGCAGTGGCACAATCTTGGCTCACTGCAATCTCCACTTCACACCTGGCTAATTTTTGTATTTTTTGTAGAGACAAGGTTTGGCCATATTGCCCAGGCTAGTGTTGAACTCCTGAATGCTCTTTATTAGTTAAATAAATTTAGACACAGAATATAATGAAAAGACTGGGTGGGCACAGTGGCTCACACCTGTAAACCCAGCACTTTGGGAGGCCGGGGTGGGCGAATCACAAGGTCAGGAGATTGAGGCCATCCTGGCCAATGTGGTGAAACCCCGTCTCTACTAAAATACAAAAAATTAGCCCGGCATGGTGGCGCACGCCTGTGGTCCCAGCTACTCGGGAGGGTGAGGCAGGAGAATCACTTGAACCCGGGAGGCAGAGTTGCAGTGAGCCGAGATCACACCACTGCACTCCAGCCTGGCTAGAGAACGAGACTCCGTCTCAAAAAAAAAAAAGACTGGGAGAGGTGGCTCATGCCTGTAATCTCAGCACTTTGGGAGGGTGAGGCAGGAGCCCAGGAGAGTTCAAGACCCTGGGAAACACAGTGAGACTTGGTCTTTATGAAAAATTTATATATATATATAACTTTTTCATTTTATATATATTGAATATATAAAAATATTTTTCATTATATATATAATGAAAAAATAAACAAGCAAAGAAAACTGTTTCAGTTCCAAGACCCAGGGATCCAGACCTGCTTATGGCTAAGGATGAACTAGAAAAATAGGGAAATACAAAAATAGAAAATGCTGCTCCCCATTCCAAACATCTCCACAACAGGGCTGCACATCAAGTAATAGCAATCTACTGCTGGGGCAGGGATAAGGGTAAGAAGAGGGCCATCTTACAAGGATGGAATCACAGGAAGAGCCTAAGACTGAGGATGTAAGAGGAACACTGAGAAAAAATCTCCAGTAAACCAACTTGCACCCTAAGTACAACAACAGAACCCAAATCCAGCTCAAGTCCTGACCTGGAAAAAGGCAATTCCCCATATAATAAAGATCTGCTATACCTTAGCCAAGGAAAAGACATGCCCATTTCTAAGAATAAATACCACTTGCTACTTACTTACAGTATCTACTGTCTTAACATGATTTCTGGCTTTCAATAAGAAATCATGAGACACAAAATAACAAGAAAAAAAACCCCAGTGTCAAGAAACAAAGTAATCAATAGAACCAGACTCAGCTATGAATCCAAACTATCAGACAAGAAATGTAAAGTAACTATGAACTATACATATAGGCTTTATATAGGAAAAATTACCTAATTGACTATATGTACAAATAGGTAAAGTTGGGAGGTTGAGACGTGTGGATCACTTGAGGCCATGAGTTCAAGACCAGCCTGGCCAACACAATGATACCTGTTTCTACTAAAAATAGAAAAAATTAGCCAGGCATGGTGTCCCAGGCCTGTAATCCCAGCTACTCCGGAGGCTGAGGCATGAAAATCACTTGAACCTGGGAGGTGGAGGTTGCAGTGAGGCAAGATGATACCACTGCACTCAAGCCTGGGCAACAGAGCGAGACTCTGTCTCAAAAAAAAGGGAGAAATAAAACAGACAAAAAAAAATAGGTAAAGAATTTCGACAAAAAGATAAAAATTATAAGAAGTCAGCGAGGCTGGGTGTGGTGGCTCACGCCTGTAATCCCCAGCATTTTGGGAGGCTGAGGCGGGTGGATCACGAGGTCAGGAGATCGAGACCGTCCTGGCCAACATGGTGAAACCCCGTCTCTACTAAAATACAAAAAAAAATTAGCTGGCCATGGTGGCACACGCTTGTATTCCCAGCTACTCAGGAGGCTGAGGCAGGGGAATTACTTGAACCAGGGAGGAGAAGGTTGCAGTCAGCCAAGATCTTGCCACTGCACTCCAGCCTGGGCAACAGAATGAGACTCAGTCTCAAAAAAAAAAGCCAATGAAGGCCAAGTGCGGTGGCTTACGCTTGTAATCCCAGCACTTTGGGAGGCTGAGGTGGGCAGGTCACCTGAGGTCAGGAATTCGAGACCAGCTTGCCCAACCCGGTGAAACTCCGTCTCCACTAAAAATACAAAAATTAGCCGGGTGTGGTGGTGCATGCCTATAATCCCAGTTACTCGGGAGGCTGAGGCAGGAGAATCACTTGAACCCAGGAGGTTGAGGCTGCAGTGAGCCGAGATCATGCCACTGCACTCCAGCCTCAGCAACGGAATGAGATAAAAAAAAAGGGGGGGGGGTCCAGGCGCAGTGGCTTACACCTGTAATCCCAGCACTTTGAGACTCCGTCTCCCAAAAAACAGGGAGATAGAGACAGAAAGTGGAAAAACAAAAAACAGAATGGAGCATCCAAAATGAGGTATATAACAAAAGTATAGCTGAAATTTCTGAAGAAAGAGAATGTATCAGAATATTTCAAGATAATGGCTGGGCTGGGTGCGGTGGCTCATGCTTGTAATCCCAGCACTTTGGGAGGCCCAGGAGGGCAAATCACTGGAGGCCAGGAGTTCAAGACCAGCCTAGTCAATATAGTGAAACCCCATCTCTAATAACAATACAAAAATTAGCCAGGTGTGGTGGCCCATACCTGTAGTCCCAGCTACTCCAGAGGCTGAGGCAAGAAGTGCTTGAACCCAGGAGGTGGAGGTTGCAGTGAACCAAGATAGTCCACTGCACTCCAGCCTGGGCGACAGAGCGAGACTCTGTCTCAAAAAAAAAAAAAAAAAAAAGACAATGGCTGAACAGAAAAGGAGAGAGAGAGAGAGAAATAAAGATAACAGCTGAAAAAAATTCTAAAAATAATAGAAGACATCAAACTAAAGATCTAAGAAGCTCAGAGAACAAGAAGCAGAAAAAATACCACGAAAAAATATGATCTAGACTTTCAAGAAAGCTTCCAGTCATCCTGAAAAGGCCATCCACACAGGAACAAAATAGCTAAATGGCAACTTATGCGGACTAGGATTCCCCATCCTCTTACATCATGCCATTCCACAGGGCCCTTTGATAACTGGCACAGCCTCTTGGAACTACGATCCAATGCTGAGATATTTGGGGGTTAGAGAACAATGAAATGACCAAGATTACATTTTTATCATCCAGGTGGAATTAGGATTTATAATAGAAAGCCAATTGAATATTTAAACTAAGTATAAATTTTACAAAATTGAATTTGTGGACCTTGTGCCTTGATTTTTTAAAATAAGTACATTCTTCAAATAATTTTTCTTTAAATGAACACACACTGCTATGGATCAAATATCTGTGTCCTCCTAAAATTCATATTAAATCCTAACTCTTAATGTGATAGTATTTGTAGGTGGGGTCTTTGAAAGGTTATTAGGTCATGAGGGTATATCTCATGAATGGGATTAGTGCCCTTATAAAAGAGGACCCAAAGAACTCCCCTACCCCTCTGCCATGTGAGGACAGAGTGAAAAGATAGCCATCTATGAACATTGAAGTGGGCTTTCACCAGACCTTGATCTTGGACTTCCAGCTTCCAGAACCATGAGAAAGAAATTCATGTTGATCACAGGCTATGGTATTCTGTTTTAGCAGCTCGGACTAAGACACACAGTAAGGTAGGACTGTTTGTTCCATGAGGGCAGAACTACATTCATCTCATTCAGTACTGTTCCTACCACAACAACAGTGTCAGATACATAAGATCAATATGTATGTGTTAAATAAATATGTTGGATGTTAATGGAAATGTAAAAAATTTCATTAGTGTTTTTTTTTTTTTGAGATGGAGTTTTCCCTCTTGTTGCCCAGGCTGGAGTGCAATGGCGCGATCTCGGCTCACCACAACCTCCGCCTCCCAGGTTCAAGTGATTCTCCTGCCTCAGCCTCCCGAGTAGCTGCGATTACAGGCATGTGCCACCATGCCAGGCTAATTTTGTATTTTTAGTAGAGATGGGCTTTCTCCATGTTGGTCAGGCTGGTCTCGAACTCCCGACTGCAGGTGATCTGCCTGCCTTGGCCTCCTAAAGTGCTGGGATTACAGGCATGAGCCACCATGCCCAGCCGAAAACATATTTTAAAGAAAACAATTATTCTCACATTTATCTGTTCTGTAATATTTTTGCAATGACTTCTCTTGAAAAGATACATACCTAAACAAAAAAGGTTTCATTATTTAGTATAAAAATGAATATGTTATGGTAACATAACAAAGTGGGGAACATTCAGGGTACATGAAAAATAATCACAATCATACATCACTGCTATTACAACTATTACATTTCAACATGAAAAATTGCTACGAAACTTCTAGTAGAAAAAAATGGTTTCGTTTAAGCTATAGGTGTTAAGCTGTCATTTAGTTTCAATTTTGTTTCAATAATACAGTGTTTTGTTGTTGTTGTTTCTGAGATGGAGTCTCGCTCTGTCACTCAGGCTGGAGTGCAGTGGCACTATCTCAGCTCACTGCAACCTCCATCTCCCAGGTTCAAGCAATTCTCCTGCCTCAGCTCCCGAGTGGCTGGGACTACAGGCATGTGCCACCACACTTGGCTAATTTTTGTATTTTTAGTAGAGACAGGGTTTCTCCATGTTGGCCAGGCTGGTCTCGGACTCCTGACCTCAGGTGATCCACCCACCTCAGCCTCCCAAAGTGCTGGGATTATAGGCGTTTGAGTCAGCGTGCTCGGCCGATACAGTGTCTTTTTAATGCACGTGTGTTCCTAAAAAGATCATTAATTACTCAGGAACAAGAGTAACATCTTAATTATATGGGCTTTCCTATGTTTATCCCACACCTCATCTAAGGATAATGTAATGGACAACTGGAAGTAAAACAAAATCTATCTCTAAAAAGTCAACAGGGAGATCACCAGACCAACATGCTGTATTTAAGCAAAAGTACCTTAGGCTTTCACTCAGAATCATTTCTATACATATAATTTACACACGGGTCAAATTCACAAAATGACAACAAAATAAATAAATATCACATGCCTACTCCATAGAAATGCAAGGAAAACAGAAGTCTTTAAAAATGTCCAATCATCTCTCAATGAATTGCCAACATCTATTTTTACTACGGGCTAACAGCTTGGGACCCGGGCTCCTGCCACTCAAGAATGGCACCTAAACCAGCAGCAGCAGTTGGCAGCTTGTTAGAAATGCAGACTCTTGAGCCTCACTCAGGACTACTAAGACAGAATGCACATTTGAACATCTCCAGATGACTGATACTGAGAAGCACTGACCCAAAGGCTAGATGAATGAAAGATAAACCAAGCAGCTTCTAATGAGAACACTAGCTACAGTAAAGTTTATATAAATTCCAATCACCCTTAAAGCAAACCAGCCTTAAATACATACCCATCCTCATAGTTCCACATGAATATATCACTGTCAATTGTGAGCCAAGCTCTGCTGATAGGAGGGAACACACCCATCATGCAATTACACTGCATATCTGAGGTAGTGTGGATGTAAGGCAGACAGAGGTGAATCTTATTCTTCTTTAACTTGTTTCAATAGCTTTTGACTTAATATTTACGTAAAAAATCACAATGTGTCCACTCTTTAATACAACATGGAACCCATATACTTAAACGAATTTTAAATAAAACCCTTAAATGAATATATAACACATTAATTAAACATAGAACAAGAATTATAAGAATGAAAAATACCAATTTTAACATTTTTAAAATAAATACAAAGTAATAGGATACGTCCAAACTGCTCAACAAGTTCAGGTGGGAGAGGAACTCTTCGGATGGAACTGATCTCTGGAAGGTTGGGTACGGACAGCAAACCAGGTCCTTGCAAAGGATAATCCATATCTGACATGCCAGAAACGGTGGGATTATCTACAAAAAGAAAATGAAGTATTTATAATAATGTACTGCTCATCAACCGGGCAAACAAAAGGATTGAGTGCCACAAAAAAATTGTTGTGTGTTGGTTCCAAAGGTACAGAGAGAATATTCTAGTTTTGACCCAACACAAAGTAGTCCTGAAATATTCCCTTGTGAAGGTAGGAACAGTTACTGGTTTCAGGCCTAAAGGGAAAGTCATATCTCAAAAAACTTGCTCTGTAACAAAGGAAATGTTTATTTTATTTTATTTTTTTTTTTTTTGAGATAGAGTCTCGCACTGTCGCCCAGGCTGGAGTGCAGTGGCACAATCTCGGCTCACTGCAAGCTCCACCTCCCGGGTTCACGCCATTCTCCTGCCTCAGTCTCCCAAGTAGCTGAGACTACAGGCGTCCGCCACCACACCCGGCTAATTTTTTGTATTTTTAGTAGAAACGGGGTTTCACCGTGTTAGCCAGGCTGGTCTTGATCTCCTGACCTCATGATCCGCCCGCCTCGGCCTCCCAAAAGGCTAGGATTACAGGTGTGAGCCACCGTGCCCAGCTGGAAATGTTTAAATTTGATAATTTAGTGTTATTTTAAAATAAAAGTGGCTGGGCGCAGTGGCTCAAGCCTGTAATCCTAGCACTTTGGGAGGCCGAGGTAGGAGGATCATGAGGTCAGGAGTTTGAGACTAGCCTGGCCAACATGGTGAAACTCCATCTCTACTAAAGACACAAAAAATTAGCCTGCCTGGTGGCGTGCGCCTATAATCCCAGCTACTGCGGAGGCTGAGGCAGAACTGCTTGAACCCGGGAGGCGGAAGTTGCAGTGAGCTGAGATTGTGTCATTGCATTCCAGCCTGAGCGACAGGGCAAGACTCTGTCTCAAAAATAAATAAATAAATAAATAAACAAAATGAAAGCATGTAATTGTATTGTTTGTAACACAAAGGATAAATGCTTGAGAGGATAGATACCCCATTTTCCCTGATGTGATCATTTCACATTGCATGCCTGTATCAAAACATCTCATGCACCACATAAATATATACACCGTTGGGCGCGGTAGCTCACGCCTGTAATCCCAGCACTTTGGGAGGCAGAGGCAAGCCGATCACAAGGTCAGGAGTTCAAGACCAGCCTGGCCAAAATGGTGAAACCCTGTCTCCACTAAAAATACAAAAAAATTAGCCAGGCACAGTAGCAAGCACCTATAATCCCAGCTACTTGGGAGGCTGAGGCAGGAGAACTGCTTGAACCTGGGAGGCGGAGGCAGCAGTGAGCCAAGATCGTGCCACTGCACTCCAGCCAGGGTGACAGAGCAAGACTCTGTCTCGGGGAGAAAAAAAAAAAAAAAAAAAAAAAAAATATATATATATATACACACACACACACACACACACACACACACACACACACACAGACGCCTACTATGTACACACAAAATTAAAAATAAAAAAATTTAAAAATAATAATTTAGTGTTTTTCTATCATTTTGCTAATCTGAAATGGGAAAATATAAAACTGCTTTGGGGCTCAAAGGTAAAATGACTATAAGCAAACAAAATAATGACTGGGGGAAAATACTGCCTTTACCAGCTAAACATTTATAGATTAAAACAACCCATGACTTTTCCCTTTAGATTTATCCCCAAGACCACTAAGACAAATACAAATAATACCCCACAAGCAGTATCTTATTGGGGGGATAAAAACAAAGACTGCTCTATAAAGTGTTCTCATGGGCAACCTTTCTCTTGCTCTAAGACTCCATCACTAAGGACAGGAGTGGGCTGGTCTACTCAGCCTACCCTTGCTCCCGGACAAGGCGTTATTTAGACCTGACTGATGACCTACTTATCTCAGGCACTTTCTCAGGTTCTATAGAGTACAAAGATGTTAAGGAAAACTGACATATAAAACAATCTTGAAGTGTATTATGGAAATTTTTAAAATATATATAAGAAAAATACAATAAATACCCATGTACTGATTATCCAACTTAATAACCAGTAATATCCCCAATCATGTTTCATTTTTATCATTGTTCACTCCTTCCCCAATTATCTTTTTATTTTTATTTTTTGAGACGGAGTCTCGCTCTGACGCCAAGCTAGAGTGCATTGGCGCGATCTCAGCTCACTGCAACCTCCAATTCCCTGGTTCAAGGGATTCTCCTGCCTCAGACTCCCGGGTAGCTGGGATTACAGGCATGAGCCACCACGCCCAGCTAATTTTTGTAGTTTTAATAGAGACAAGGTTTCACCATGTTGGCCAGGATAGTCTCAATCTTTTTTTTTTTTTTTTTGAGACGGAGTCTCACAGGCTGGAGTGCAGTGGCCTGATCTCAGCTCACTGCAAGCTCCACCACCTGGGTTCAGGCCATTCTTCTGTCTCAGCCTCCCAAGTAGCTGGGACTACAGGCGCCTGTTGCCACGCCAGGCTAATTTTTTTATTTTTAGTAGAGACGGGGTGTCACCGTGTTAGCCAGGATGGTCTCGATCTCCCGACCTCGTGATCTGCCCGCTTCGGCCTCCCAAAGTGCTGGGATTACAGGCGTGAGCCACCGTGCCCGGCCGGTCTCAATCTCTTGACCTCGTAATCCGCCTGCCTTGGCCTCCCAAAGTGCTGGGATTACAGATGTGAGCCACTGCACCCGGCCGAACTCTTTTTCTCTTTTTTTTTTTTTCCTGAGACGGGGTTTCACTCTGTCGCCTTGGCTGGAATGCAGTGGTGCAATCACAGCTCAGGGCAACCTCAGCCTCTTGGGCTCAAGCAATCTTCCACCACAGCCTCGTGAGTAGCTAGGACTACAGTGTCATGACACCATGCCTAGCTAATTTTTTTTTTGTTTTTGGGGTTTTTTTTTGGGATGGGCTCTCGCTCTGTCGCCCAGGCTGTAGTGCAATGGCGGCTCACTGCAACCTCTGCCTCCCAGGTTCAAGAGATTCTCCTGCCTCAGCCTCCCGAGATGCCAGGACTACAGGAGTGTGCCACCACACCCGGCTAATTTTTGTATTTTTAGTAGAGACAGGATTTCGCCATGATGGCCAGGCTAGTCTCAAACTCCTGACCTCAAGTGATCCACTCACCTTTGCCTCCCAAATTGCTGAGATTACAGGAGTAAACCACCGAGCCCAGCCAAACAGCATTTTTCTTTTTCCTTTTTTTTTTTTTTTGAGACGGAGTCTCACTCTGTCGCCCAGGCTGGAATGCAGTGGCGCGATCTCGGCTCACTGCAAGCTCCGCCTCCCGGGTTCACACCATTCTCCTGTCTCAGCCTCCGGAGTAGCTGGGACTATAGGCGCCCGCCACCACGCCCGGCTAATTATTTTGTATTTTTAGTAGAGATGGGGGTTTCACCATGTTAGCCAGGATGGTCTCATCTCCTGACCTCGTGATCCGCCCACCTGGGCCTCCCATTTCTTTTGAGAAAGAGTCTCCCTCTATTGCCCTGGCTGGAGTACAGTGGCGCGATCTCGGCTCACTGCAACTTCCGCCTCCCTGGTTCAAGCGATTGTCCTGCCTCAGCCTCCTGAATAACTGGGATTACAGCCATGAGCCACCACACCCAGCTAATTTTTGTATTTTTAGTAGAGACGGGGTTTTACCACGTTGGTCAGGCTGGTCTTGAACTCCTAACCTCGTGATCTGCCACCTCAGCCTCCCAAAGTGCTGGGATTATGGGCGTGAGCCACCGCACCCAGCCACTTTTTGTAGAGACAGGGTTTTGCCATGTTGCTCACTCAGGCTGGTCTCAAACTCAAGCTCAAGTGATCCACCCCACTTCCAGGTCCCAAATTGCTAGGATTACAGGCATGAGGCACAGCGCCAGGCCTTTTTTTTTTTTTTTTTTTTTTTTTTTTGAGACAGGGTCTCACTCTGTTGCCCAGGCTGGAGTGCAGCGGCGCAATCACAGCTCCCTGCAGTCTCAACCTCCCCGTCTCAAGTTATCCTCCCACCTCAGCCTCCCAAGTAGCTGGGGGTCCAAGTGTGTGTCACCATGCCAAGCTAATTTTTGTATTATTGTATTTCTTTTCTTTAAGAGGCTGGGTTTTGCCATATTGCCAAGACTGGTCTCAAACTTCTGGGCTCAAGTAATCTGCCCACTTTGGCCTCCCAAAGTGCTGAGACTATTGGGCTGAATTCATATTAAAGCAAATCCAGGCTGGGCACAGTGGGTGACACCTGTAATCCCAACACTTTGGGAGGCCGAGGCGGGCGGATCACATGAGGTCAGGAGATCAAGACCAACCTGGCCAACACGGTGAAACCCTGTCTCTACTAAAAATAGAAAAATGAGCCAGTGGCGAACACCTATGATCCCAGCTACTCAGGAGGCTGAGGCAGGAGCATCGCTTGAACCTGGGAGGTGGAGGCCGTAGTGAGCCAAGATTATGCCAACTGCACTCCAGGCTGGGTGACAGTAAGACTCTGTCTCAAAAAATAAATAAATAAAGCAAATCCAGACATCCCATTTAATCCTAAAACATAACTTTAATAGGCCGAAGGTGGCAGATCACCATGTTAAATGGCAGTGGGAACACAGAGGGAGGAATCGATAACTTTAGTGAGGATGGGAATGCTACGAAAGACTTCAGGCCAGGAGTGTGACTTACATCTGTAATCTCAGCACTTTGGAAGGCTGAGGTAGGAGGACTGCTTGATGCCAGGAATTTGAGACCAGCCTTGTAACAGAGTGAGACTACGTCTCTACATAAAAATTAAAAATTAGCTGGGTGTGGTGGCAGGCGCCTGTAGTCCCAGCTACTGGGGAGGGCAAGGCGGGAGGACCACTTGAGCTCATGAGTTAGAGGCTGCAATGAGCTGTGATCATGCCACTGCACTCCAGCCTGGTAACAGAACTAGACCTTGACTCAAAAAAAAAGAACAAGAAAAAGAAAGACAACAAAGAGAAACTAAGGACTTTCACAGGGAGTCTGGAAAAAGTTTGTCAGGCAAAAAAAGAACATTGCAGAAACAATAAAAGTAAGATAAAATCCTGAGGAAATCCTGAAGATGGGGCTTCTTACGGAAAATATGCTAAATTCTCTGTAATCAGAGCAACGGATGAAAAATTGGATGGAAAAGAAGGGGAAGAGACTGGGTGAAAGAGGAAGGTGTGTGTAAAGGCATGAGATATGTAAGAGAAGGACCAGAATGCATGCACTGTTTTTATATCTTGTTTTCACACCTAAGGAGGCCAAAATGAGTAATGTTGTTCAAGATGATAATTGCTAATAGGCCAATCAGGTATTATAAGACACGCTCATTGGTAAGTAGCTGTAGGGAGCAAATACTATCTTTGTTTCTATCATTTCTTTGATTACAAAGCTATCAATGATTTTTATAAATAATCAGAAGTGTTCTCGGTTTACACTGCACAAATTATCCTATTTAGATTACTTTGGTTCTTGCTCACCAACAATCTTTTCTTTCTTACACTTCGCTGGTTTTCTCCAAATTCCATCTCACAAAGGGGTCACTTTTTCTAGCAACTGATGTAATTCCATAAGCCGTGGGGAGCTGGTTATAACTTAAAACTGTTAAACAAATTACTTTCCAGTCACCTATATTGTCAACACATATTCTGCCTTACTCTCCCTGTACATAAGCACTGTGATTTCCCTGTTCTCTTTCTTTATTCCACTGGTAGTTCTTTTAAGATCCTCCAGCATTTCATAACACACATCTCTACACATAATAAAGCGTTTCTTGGCCGGGTGCAGTGGCTTGCGCCTGTAATCCCAGCACTTTGGGAGGCCGAGGCGGGCGGATCACTTGAGGTCAGAGTTCGTGACCAGCCAGGCCAATATGGTGAAACCCCGTCTCTACTTAAAAAACACAAAAATTAGCCGGGCTTGGTGGCAGGCGCCTGTAATCTCAGCTACTTGGGAGTCTGAGGCAGAAGAATCGCTTGAACCCAGGAGGCGGAGGTTGCAATGAGCCGAGATCGCGCCATTGCACTTCAGCCTGGGCGAAGAGGGAACCGCTCCGTCTCAATAAATAAACAAATAAATATAAAGCAAAGCGTATCTTTAAGATAACATGCTAAATTTCCAAATTAACTTCGTTTGCTCTTACGATCTACTCAAACACTAACAGGAGAAATGAACAAATTTGGGACTTGGATCTGGAGATGCTTCTCATATGGCCTTAGCCATAAGCACTTGAGAGCGGCGAGAAGCTCATTAAGGTTGAGGTCTTTGCCTCTTTCTGCTTCAACTGGGAGCTTGCTCTTCACTCTTGCCCTCTCAAGTATCTACAATGAAGAAAGTGAGGAAAGGAAAAAACCTGAAAAGAAGCTGCTTGCTGTTCTCCAAAAATGCAGCCAACAGTGCCATAAATCTCAGCATATCCTCGCCGGGACCAACGCTGGGGATAAGTAGCAAATTAGGAAGTCAGGCGAGAGTCCTTTAGGTTGAGAAAGCAGGGTCACTATCACTCACTTGGGGCAGACACCATAAGCAGCTCGGAAAGGTCCGGGTACATGCGGTCCTCTTGCAACTGACGGTCGATGAGCCGTCCAGCATTTTCCAGAGCTTCCTGCAGGGCTGCGGCAGATGTAGAGGCCGGCATCGCCGCGCCCAACAAAGAAGACGGCATCTCGGAAATCGTAGACACCAGGGTCCAGAAAAAGTCAAAAACCAAGGAGAAACAAGAAAAGATCCAAGAAGTTAGCTTAGATCCGCCGCCTAGGGCGCGCGCGCCAAACGAGCGCCTTGGCGCCTCGACATGACGCACTTCCGCTTCATCCGGTGGGGAACTGGAAGACGCCGTTCTGGCCTGGGAAGAGGAAGCTGTTGGGAGGGGGCTAGAGGTTGTGGGTGGAGCTAGGAGGCTGCTGATGCTTTCGAGGGGGTTGAGGGTTTTGGGGTGTGGCAGGGTAAAATTAGGGTAGGTTATTTAGGGAAGGGAGGGAGGGAAAGGAAGGGAAGGATAAAGGGGAGGGAACAGGGAAGGAGAGGGGCGGGATGGGGTTGGATAGGGTGAGGAGGAAGGAGGGAGGAGGGATACGGTAGGTGGGAGCTAGGTCGTGTGTCTGGCCTAGGAGGTTGGTCAGGTTCCGTTGGTTTAAGCGCGTGCTCGACCTGAGTCTTGGAACTTCCCGCGTCGGTATCCGCTAACTGCAGCTATATGAGTTCGCGCATGAGCGCGCAGTTTGGTTCTCCAAGTAACTGCTTTTGTGAGAGTAGTTAAGAATTGGTAGGTCGCTGTCACAGAGAGGGATATAAACCAGTATCTCACTATATTCTTCGCGGGCTTCAGTGTAAATTAGAATTCATCAGGCTTTTCCATTTGCGTGTCGCTGTCTTTTGACTTTGTTGCCCCTTAGTATAAAATACGTGTTTAAGAAGAAGCTGAGTGCAGGTGGACCGCTGCCGTGCTTTTTATCGTGGCAGAGATAGCAGACAGTTCTAATTCATCTTTCCATTCCCAGCGCTAGTATAGGAACTCGTATGAGATAGGAACCCAAGAGTTCATACAATCCTAAGAAACTGAATACTTGCCTTGTGCCTGGTGCTGGGACTATCAAACTAACACAGTGTTTCCTGTCCTTAAGGTGCTTCAAGCAGAGACAAAGGGCTTCATTATAATTTTTCTATTTGGATAGGTATAAACTATAGCAGGATAGGAGAAAGCAGAGAGGTAAAAGAGGCTTCATTTACTACAGAAGGCAACCTGAGTGGGTAAATCAAAGCACTTTTTAGAAAGCTGCTCTTATTTAGAATCTCACCTAAGAAAGCTTCCAGTTATGTTCTTCAGAATTTCACAAATCAATAACTGAATTACTCTAAATTGGTCTTTTGCTATTTGAATTACATTTTTACTCCCTCAAAGACTTGACTACATTTCTGAAAATTGAAAGTTCTTTGATGTTACCAATCTACACTTAAAATTTGACATAGCCAATATACCAAGAAAAACTGGATTTTTTATCATTGGTATATAGATAGGCAGTTGGGTCTCTAGCTGTGAGTTTACTTTATTTGGTAGACCATAGATTGAAAAGTGGTGGTCTGGCACCGAGTTTGTTTTTAATTTGAGACAAAATACACAAAGTTTTCAACTCCATAAATTGGAAGATTCAACAACGTTGCTGTGATATTCCTGCATAGAAGTAAAGCTCCCCAAAGTGTAATCTAACTAACTTAATTCATTGGCATATTGCCTATGCTTTCCCACTACAACTGCTAAACCGAGTAATTTCTACAAAAGACTGCAAAGCCTTAAATACGGACTCTGGCACTTTACAGGAAAAGTTTGCTGACCTCTTCCCTAGAACAGATAATTATGAATTTTTTTGGTCTTAGGACCCCCTTGATACCCTTAAAAATTATTCAGGATTCCAGAGAGTTTTTGTTTCATGTTGGTTACATCTATTAATATTTGTGAATAACTCAAACTGAAAATTAAAATGTTTAACATTGTATTTAAAAGAGTAACAAGGCCGAGCACAGTGGCTCACACCTGTAATCCCAGCACCCAGCACTTTGGGAGGCCAAGGCAGGTGGATCACAAGTTCAGGAGTTGGAGACCAGCCTGGCCAATATGGTGAAACCCCGTCTATACTAAAATACAAAAATTAGCTGGGCGTGGTGGCGTGCGCCTGTAGTCTCAACTGTTCAGGAGGCTGAGCCAGGAGAATCACTTGAACCTAGGAGGCAGAGGTTGCAGTGAGTCGAGATCGTGCCACTGCACTCCACCCTGGGCAACAGAGTAAGACTCCGTTTCAAAAAAAAAAAAAAAAAGCATACCAAGCTTAATCCATGTTAATATAACACTTTTTTAAAATGAGAAATCACTATAGTTTCTAAAACAGGGAGAAGAATGCGATTATTTCATATTTTTGCAAATCTCTTTAGTGTCTGGCTCAGTAACGGATGGCTGGATTCTCATATCTGTATCTGCTGTCAATTGAAGAAAAATAACCCTCTTTTAAAGAATTAAAGTCAGTTTGATTCAGACTCAGGATTGCAACCTTTCAGAGAGTTTCTGTTAAGACTGCTCCAAAGTAGCTTTTAGCCCACAGCTTACATGTCAGGGGTTGGAAGCTCTGCATGTGCTCAGAAATTACATTAAACATGCTCATAAACTGGGTATAGTGACTCACACCTGTAATTCTAGCACTTTGAGAGGCCTATGCATGAGGGTCTCTTGAGGCCAGGCATTCAAAACCAACCTGGGCAGCCAGGTGTGGACCTGTAGTCCCAGCTACTTGGTGGGCTGAGGCAGGAGCATCACTTTAGCCCAGGAGTTCCAGGTTGCAGTGAGCCATGACCATGCCACTGCATTCTAGTCTGGTTGATAAAGGGAGACTCTGTCTCTAAAAAAAAAAAAAAAAAAAAAAAAAAAAGCTCATAAATTACATTAGAGCAAAATCTCATCAAAGTTTGGGTGTAAGAGTACATCTGGTTATAGATTACAGAGGCATAATCATGAATCCTATGGGACACTATCTTATGTACTGGAAGAGGCAAGGGGTAGGAACACTGAACTTACCTTTTTTTAAAAAATGCATTGATTGAAGCAAGAGACGTGGGAACCTGTGCTCTAACCTGCTTATTGTTTCCAGGGCATTCTTCTAGAAGTCTATACTTAGTCACTGAGTTGGGCTTTGTGAAATTCTGCTGGCAAGCAGAATGAGCAAACTTGGTTTTTTATGTTTGCTACTTTGTCTAACATGTCAACATTTTGTGACTTATTTAGTTGAAGTATAATATATTAATATTAAGAAAAGCTGGCCTCACCAGGCGCGCTGGCTCACACCTGTAATCCCAGCACTTTGGGAGGCCGAGGCGGGTGGATTGCCTGAGGTCAGAGGTTCGAGACTAGCCTGGCCAACATGGTGAAACCCCGTTTCTACTAAAAATACAAAAATCAGTGGGGCATGGTGGCGCAAGCCTGTAATCCCGGCTACTTGGGAGGCTAAGCCAGGGGAATTGCCCGAACCTGGGAGGCGGAGGTTGCAGTGAGCTGAGATCGTGCCATTGCACTCCAGCCTGGGCTACAAGAGCGAAACTCTGTCTCAAAAAAAAAGAAAGAAAGAAAGAAGGAAAAACTGGCCTCAGTTACATATTTAGAAAAAGAAGAAGTATTTTAATAATTGTCAACAAGTGCAGTCAGTTTTTTTTTTTTTTTAAACAGAGTTTTGCTCTTGTCGCCTAGGCTGGGGTGCAATGGTGCGATCTCAGCTCATTGCAACCTCTGCCTCCCAGGTTCAAGCAATCCTCCTGCTTCAGCCTCCTGAGTAGCTGGAATTACAGGCTAATTTTCTTTTCTTTATTTTTTTTTTTTGAGATGGAGTTTTGCTCTTGTTGCCCAGGTTGGAGTGCAGTGGCATGATCTCTGTTCACTGCAACCTCTGCCTCTCAGGTTCAAGCAATTCTGCCTCAGCCTTCCGAGTAGCTGGGATTACAGGCACATACCACCATGCCCAGCTCATTTTTTTGTATTTTTAGTAGAGACGGGGGTTTTACTATGTTGGTCAGGCTGGTCTTGAACTCCTGACCTCAGGTGATCCACCCGCCTTGGCCTCCCAAAGCGCTGGGATTACAGACGTGAGCCACCGCACCCAGCTACGCCTGGCTAATTTTCTGTATTTTTAGTAGAGACGGGGTTTCACCATGTTGGCCAGGCTGGTCTCGAACTCCTGGCCTTGGGTGATCCTCCCACCTCGGCTTCCAAAGTGCTGGGATTACCCGTGTAAGCCACCATGCCTGACCTGTTTTTCTTAAAGTGATAAACTCATTTCATTTATTTTTGAAAAAATGTTTGCCAAATACTTAAATATGAACAACTGTACTTTGTGAGTCATTCTTTCAGGTAAAAATAATGTTCCATGAAAAAAGCTAACCACTCAATTACAAGTGGTTTTCTTTTCGATGACCATTCTACTTAGATATGCATTAGCTGGGCATGGTGGCGTATGCCTGTGGTCCCATCTACTCAGGAAGCTGAGGCAGGGGAAGATCGCTTGAGTCCAGGAGTTTGAGGCTAAAGTGCTTCATGACTGAACTTGTAAATAGCCACTGCACTCCAGTCTGGGTAACACAGTGAGACCCCATCTGTAAGAAATTTTTTTAAAAACATACTTTATGATTACTTCTCATTTTGTCATACTGAAGGTTAAAAAGACGTATAATTAAGGGTCAGGGTTTAACGAAATGAATACTGTTTATGGCTTTATTAAGGATATTCCTAAGGGAAACTGATTTTGCTTACAACGCCTATGTAACTGAAAAATACAGTGACTACTACAACATTTTGAATCCTACTGCCTTGATTTATTTTAAGGGACTGTTTTAATTTAGGAATTTTAAGATAGAGCATGCTTCTTCAATGATTAGTAGAAACACAGATATAAACAAAGATTTTATTACTTACATGCCTGGCGGGGCATCTGGCGCACCTGGAGGTCAAGGAATGCAGTCAGGGAAAGACAAAGAGGGACTCATGAGCCAATGCATTTATTGGGTTCATGGTGTTTTCCAAATAGATTTCCCAAGAGGAATTCCCACACTTTAATTGGTGGGTTTAAAGCAAGCATGCACAAATTTGAGGACAAGCTTGTCAGCCCAGAATGGCTTTGAATGTGGCCCAACACAAATTCGTTAACTTTCTTAAAACATTGTGAGATTTGTGATTTTTTTAAAGTTCTCAGCTGTTGTTAGTGTATTTAATGTGTTGCCCAAGACAATTCTTCTTCTTCCATTGTGGCCTAGGGAAGCCAAAAGATTGGACACCCCGTTCTTGGAAGTCATGCTGTGACCGAGGTAGTCACTGTGGCATATCTGCACAGTCCATGTAGGACGTCAGTGTCAGCAGGGCCGGTGAAGTAGGCTGTATGTATTTATCCTATGGGGAGGCGGGCACCAGGAGGAAGTTTTACACAATAGATACCTGGATTGATCACATTGAGGAACTGGGAGGAGGTGTAGAACTAGAAACGGTGTCAAGGGTGACTGAACCCTGTTTCTGATATGAGAAAGTCCAACTTATATTCAAAATAAATGCTAAGACAACATAAAATTGTAAGAATTTGGCCGGGCGTGGTGGGCCACGCCTGTAATCCCAGCACTTTGGGAGGCCGAGGCCGGCAGATTGCCTGAGGTCAGGAGTTAGACACCAGCCTGACCAACATGGGGAAACCCCATCTCTACTAAAAATACAAAAAAAATTGGCCGGTCTGGTTGCGCATGCCTGTAATCCCAGCTACTCAGGAGGCTGAGGCAGGAGAATCGCTTGAACCTGGAAGGCAGAGGTTGCAGTGAGCCAAGATTGCGCCATTGCAATCCAGCCTGGGCAACAACAGCGAGACTCTGTATCAAAACCAAAAAAACAAAAAAACGAATACACTACAGGCACCGTAGATTTACCCACTGTTAACCCATTTCCCATTTTCCCTGAGAATACTCTCTGATGGTGCTTGCAGCTGCAGCCTTTACCCCAAGATAACTCACAGATTACAGTCCCGACTTAACCCCCAAAGTTTGTGTCTACTATTTTATTATTTTTGCATCACTCTATTATATTGACTTTGGAAACAAAAGACATTATTCTATTTATAGCATTCTGTTTTTAGTAGTGGAATTTCCATTTACAAAATATAGTAATTCTCGACTGCTGAAAATGTCAAATCCTAGAAAACATAGCATTCCTATGTGTGATGTTAATTCCATGGTGAACTTATGGCACTGAAATGGTGTGACAACAAGGCAGTCACAATGTTGTCAATATTCCACAATGATACTGTGATTGAAGTAGACAACAGATGGAAAGAAAACTAAGAAGCCATGTGTCATTGTGGATTATAACGATAATATGGGAGCAGTGGACTTGGCTGATCAGATGCTCACTTCTTATCCAGCTTAGCGCCAAAGGTACAAGGTTTGGTATAAGATATTCTTTCATAGGCTGTGTGCAGTGGCCCACGCCTGTAATCCTAGCACTTAGGGAGGCTGAGGCGGGTGGATCGCTTGAGCTCAGGAGTTCAAGACCAGCATGGGCAACATGATGAAACCCTATCTCTACAAAAAATACAAAAATTAGGCCGGGCACAGTGGCTCACGTCTGTAATCCCAGCACTTTGGGAGGCTGAGGCGGGCATATCACTTGAGGTCAGGAGTTTGAGACCAGCCTGGCCAACATGGTGAAACTCTGTCTCTACTAAGAATGCAAAAATTAGCCAGGGGTGGTGGCAGGGCCTGTAATCCCAGCTACTCGCAAGGCTGTGGCAGAATTGCTTGAACCCAGGAGGCGGAGGTTGCAGTGAGCTGAGATCGCGCCACTGCACTCCAGTCTGGGCAATGGAGCGAGACTCTGTCTCAAAAAAAAAAAAAAAAGTCGGGTGTGGTGGCGGTCACATGTAATCCCAGCTACTTAGGAGGCTGAGGCACAAGAATCGCTTGAACCCAGGAGGTGGAGGTTCATTGAGCCGAGATTGTGCCACTGCATTCCAGCCTGGGTGACAGAGTGAGATTCTGTCTCAAAAAGAAAGAGATTCTTCTCCACCTTCTAAACGTTAAAGTGTTGAACTCCCACATTCTGTTTAAGAAGGACAATCCTGAGCACACGATTAGCCTTGTAAACTTTAGACTGACAGGCCAGGTGCAGTGGCTCACGCCTTTAATCGCAGAACTTTGGGAGGCTGAGGTGGGCAGATCACAAGGTCAGGAGATTGAGACCATCCTGGCTAACACGGTGTAAACCCTGCCTCTACTAAAAATAGAAAAAATTAGCTGGGCGTGGTGGCGGGTGCCTGTAGTCTCAAATACTAAATAGCCGGGCATGGTGGCGCACACCTGTAGTCCCAGCTGCTCGGGAGGCTGAGGCAAGAGAATCGCTTGAACCTGGGAGGCAGAGGTTGCAGTCAGCTGAGATCACGCCACTGCACTCCAGCCAAGGCAACAGAGGGAGACTCAGTCAACAACAACAACAACAACAACAAAAAGGCAGAGCGCGGTGGCACGGGGCCTGTAATCCCAGCACTTTGGGAGGCCAAGGTGGGCAGATCACCTGAGGTCAGGAGTTCAAGACCAGCCTGGCCAACATAGCAAAACCCCGTCTCTACTAAATACACAAAAATTAGCCGGGTGTGGTGGCAGGCGCCTGTAATCCCAGCTACTCAGGACACTGAGGCAAGAGAAGAGCTTGAACCTGGGTGGCAGAGGTTGCAGTGAGCCGAGATCACGCCATTGCACTCCAGCCTGGGCAACAGAGTGAGACTCTGCCTCAAAAAAAAAAAAAAAAAAAAAAAAAGCAAAGGGTGTCGCCTGTAATCCCAGCACTTTGGGAGGCCGAGGCAGGCGGATCACTTGAGGCCAGGAGTTCGAAACCAGCCTGGCCAACATGGCAAAACGTCGTGTCTACTAAAAATACAAAAAATTAGCTGCGCGTGGTGGTGGACGCCTGTAATCCCAGCTACTTGGGAGGCTGAGACAGGAGAATCGCTTGAACCCGGGAGGCGGAGGTTGCAGTGAGCCGAGATCACGCCATTGCACTCCAGCCTGGGCGACAGAGGCTCCGTCTCAAAACAAAAACAAAAACAAAAAAAAAACAAACCAAAACAAAAAACCAAAAATTAGCCGGCACCTGTAATCCCAGCTACTCGGGAGGCTGAGGCAGGAGAATCGCTTGATCCCGGGAGGCAGAGGTTGCAGTCAGCTGAGATTACGCCACTGTACTGCAGCCTGGGCGACAGAGGCTCTGGCTTAAAAAAAAAAAAAAAAAAAGGGAAAGGATGTTATAGAAACTCCAGATACTACTTCTCCCCTCCAGTGGTCTGAGTTGCGCGGCGCTTTCCCGCCTGTCCGGTAGGGCGGTGCCGCGCAGAAAGCCGCGGTCCCTCTGCGGAAGGCGCCGCTCTTGGCTTCGGCGGCGCCGCTGTAGCTTGAAGGCGGTACTTCCTCCAGCATTTGCCGCAAGTTATTGGCAAGTTCCCCTGCAGTTGTTTGGGCTGTCCCTGTGGCTGGTTCTGGGGTGTGCGGCCAGCCATGGAGCGCTCTGGGCCCAGCGAAGGTGGGTTTCATGAGGCGAGTCCGGGCGGGGTGGGCCGTGTCGGGGGAGCTGGGGCGCCGCACTAACTAGGCCGCCTCTCTTTTCCTCTTGCTCCAGTGACAGGCTCAGACGCGTCGGGACCGGACCCGCAGCTTGCGGTCACCATGGGCTTCACGGGGTTCGGTGAGTGACTGCCCCAGGCAGAGACCCTCTTCCTTGTGCAGAGGTTTGAAGATCCGCAGAGTGGGAGTGGAGATCGAGCTGTCAACTCGGAATTATTGTAGCTCGGGTGCATACCTTGCAGTTTGTCAATATTCTTCTCCCATTTGTCTTCTATTCTGCGTTATCCGTTGGAACCAACTCAGATGACAGTTATGAGAGTCTGGAGAGAGAGGAAGAGAAAGGATTTTTCTAATTTTAAGTCACCAATAATGCTAAAATGAACATTTTTGTAAATAACAGCATTTGTACGAGGATTTTTAAAAATACGTAATTCGGTAGGGTAGATTTCTAAAAGAGAGTGTAGTTTATTCAGAAATATAAATACTTAAAAAGCTGAAAAATTGGGTATGTGCCTTTTAAAGCTTCTTGATGCTTATTGCCGTAATACCCATCAAAAAACTTGTTCCAGGTTATACCAAAGTTAACAGAATTAAGAATGCCATTTTTACCATATCCCTACCAACACAGAGTAGGTATTATTATTTAAAAAGAAAATTATTTAAAAAATGAAAACAAAACTTAGTAGACTGATACATGAAAAATGATTTCTCTTTATTTTCCATTTTAAAATTATAAATGCTGTTCATCCAAACATTGGGATTCTAACTTCCCTGAACCTTTTCTCAAGGTCTTCTTGTTTTCTTTTGACCAGCGTGTATTAATTCTATGATAGTAATTAAACAGTAGACTTACACATATTGGCCTTGGGTTGTGTTCACACATACTAGTTCTGTAGTTTCTCTATTCATTCTTTTTTTTTTTGGAGACGGAGTCTCGCTCAGTCGCCCAGGCTGGAGTGCGGTGGCAAGATCTCGGCTCACTGCAATCTCTGCCTCCCGGATTCACGCCATTCTCCGGTCTCAGCCTCCCGAGTAGCTGGGACTACAGGCGCCCGCCACCTCGCCCGGCTGATTTTTTTTTTGTATTTTTAGTAGAGACAGGGTTTCACCGTGTTAGCCAGGATGATCTCGATCTCCTGACCTCGTGATCCGCCCGTCTCGGCCTCCGAAAGTGCTGGGATTACAGGCGTGAGCCACTGTGCCCAGCCTTTTCTATTCTTTTTTTATTTTTTGAGATGGAGTCTCGCTCTGTCACCCAGGCTGGAGTGTACTAGTGCGATCTTCGCTCATTGCAGCCTCCTCCTCCCAGGCTTAAGCCATCCTCCCACCTTAGTCTCCTGAGTAGCTGGGACCACAGATGTGTGCCACCACACCTGGCTAATTTTTTATACTTTTGGTAGAGACGAGGTTTCACCATGTTGCCCAGGCTGATCAATCTCCTGAGCTCAAGCAGTCCGCCCACCTGAGCCTCTCAAAGTGATTACAGGCATGAGCCACCCCACCCGGTATAAATCCTTCATTTTAGTACATCATTCCTTTACTCAGGAGTGAGAAAGTTGTCCATATGTTTGTGCCAAATAGGGGAAAATTTTAAGAGTTTTGATAAAGTTACTGGGGGAGGAGGAGAATGTTTCCATGCTCATCCAGTTCCTTGTTAGAGGGCTGAGATTTCTGTTTCCCTCTTAGCTCCTTAAAGTACCTGCATTACTTCTCATGTTGCCCCTTTCGTCTTCAAGCCAACTATAATGCCTCAAATTCTTCTCAGACATTGGATCTCTCTGACTTCTTCTGCCATAGCTGTTCTGCATCTTTGCCTTTAAGGGCCAAATAGGATAGTTTCCCTATTTAAAAGTCCATAACCTTAATTATATTGCAAAGGGTAACTTTTGGGGCATTCTCCATTTTGCCTCCCCACATCAGTGTTGTTGTTTCATAGGGTAGGGATCTAGAGGAGGATGGGAAAGTTGCCTGGTTAATAGTACTTAGTGAAGGGATTGTCAGCAGAAGTTTTCTGTGACTCAAACTCCTTCTTCTGTGATATATTATGGTTATATTGGAGCCATGCTATAAACTAGACAAAGTAAGTGTTTATTGATCAGTATTGATCACCTAAAGTTTGGCCAACTTACTGCAAGACAATCACAGTCTCCCATTTGTTCATGTTTTAGGTAAAAAAGCTCGCACATTTGACTTGGAAGCAATGTTTGAACAAACTCGAAGGACAGCTGTGGAAAGAAGTCGCAAAACACTGGGTAAGAAGCTCAGATATTTGTTCTTTTATTGGTTTAAGTACTATGTATACCTCATGCAAGTATATTAAAAAAGAGAAAAGAATGTTGGCTGGGCGCGGTGGCTCATGCCTGTAATCCCAGCACTTAGGGAGGCCAAGGCGGGCAGATCACCTGAGGTCAGAAGTTTGAGACCAGCCTGGCCAACATGGTGAAACCCCATCTCAACTAAAAATACAATAATTAGCTGGGCATGGTGCAGGGGCCTGTAATCCCAGCTAGTCGTGAGGCTGAGGCAGTGGCTTCAGTTGAAGTCGGGAGGCAGAGGTTGCAGTGAGCTGATATACCCCCATTGCACTCCAGCTTGGGGGACAAGAGTGAAATTCCATCTCAGAGAACAAAGAGAGAAAAGAATGTTGTTATGCTACTTATCACTGTTGTTTTTTTTTTTTTTTGAGATGGAGTCTCGCCCTGTTGCCCAGGCTGGAGTGCAATGGCATGATCTCGGCTCACTGCAGCCTCCACCTCCCCGGTTCAAGCGATTCTCCTGCCTCTGCCTCCCGAGTAGCTGGGACTATAGGCACATGCCACCACGCCCAGCTAATTTTTTGTATTTTTAGTAGAGATGGGGTTTCACTGTGTTGGCCAGGCTAGTTTCGAACTCCTGACCTTGTGATCTGCCTACCTTGGCCTCCCAAAGTGCTGGGATTACAGACGTGAACCACTGTGCCCCGCTTTTTGTTTTTTTGTTTTGTTTTGTTTTGTTTTTGAGATGGAGTCTCGCTTTATTGCTGGGCTGGAGTGCAGGGGTGCGATCTTAGCTCACTGCAACTTCTACCTCCCCGGTTCAAGCAATTTTCCTGCCTCAGCCCCCCAGGTAGCTGGGACTACAGGTGTACGCCACCACGCCCAGCTAATTTTTGTATTTTTAGTAGAGATGGGGTTTCACCATGTTAGCCAGGATGGTCTTGATCTCTTGATCTTGTGATCTGCCTGCCTCCTAAAGTGCTGGGATTACAGGTGTGAGCCACCGCACCCGGCCCAATTTATCATTTTAAGACCAACAATGGGCCAGGTGTAATGGCTCATGCCTGTAATCCCAGCACTTTGGGAGGCTGAGGCAGGTGAATCACGTAAGGTCAGGAGTTCGTGACCAGCCTGGCCAACATGGTGAAACCCCGTCTTGACTGAAAATAGAAAAACTATCTGGGTGTGGTGTTGGGCCCCTGTAATCCCAGCTAGTAGGGAGGGTGAGGCAGGAGAATCGCTTGAACCTGGGAGGCAGAGGTTGTGGTGAGCTGAGATCGCACCATTGCACTCCAGCCTGGGCGACAAAAGCAAAACTCCATCTCAAAATAAAAAAAATAAAATAAAATAAAATGGGCGACAAGAGCAAAACTCCATCTTAAAATAAAATAAGATAAAATAAAATATAAAATATAAAACAAAATAACTAAAATAAAAAATAAAACGTTGTACAGCAGCAATATCCAGTATTTGGCAGTGTGCCTGACAAAAAATATTTTCAGTCTTTGGAAGAAAACTTTTTGTGGTGAAAAGAAAGCCATCTACATGTACTATTTTTTGAAAAAAACCTTTCATTATTTGTTTTATTTGAGACGGAGGCCTGCTCTGTCGCCCAGGCTGGAGTGCAATGGCGTGATCTCAGCTCACTGTGACCTCCGCCTCTTGGGTTCAAGTGATTCTCTTGCCTCAGCCTCCTGAGTAGCTGGGATTACAGGTGACCACCACCACGCCTGGCTAATTTTTTTGTATTTTTAGTGGAGACGGGGTTTCGCCATGTTGGCCAGGCTGGTCTCGGACTTGTGACCTCAGGTGATCCGCCCGCCTCGGCCTCCCAAAGTGCTGGGATTACAGGTGTGAACCACTGTGCCAGGCCAAAACCCATCATTATTATTATTATTGTTATTTTTTTGAGATGGCGTCTCGCTCTGTCGCCCTGGCTGGAGTGCAGTGGTGCGATCTTGGCTCACTGCAAGCTCCGCCTCCCGGGTTCATGCCATTCTCCCGCCTCAGGCTCTGGAGTAGCTGGGACTACAGGTGCCTGCCAACACGCCTGGCTAATTTTGTTTTTGTGTTTTTAGTAGAGATGGGGTTTCACCGTGTTAGGCAGGATGGTCTCGATCTCCTGACCTCGTGATCCACTCGCCTTGGCCTCCCAAAGTGCTGGGATTACAGGTGTGAGCCACTGCACCCAGCAAAACCCTTCATTATTATGTGAAATTTCAAACACGGAAGTATAGTCATGAACTACCATGTACCTATCAATCAGATTTAACTACTGTAACAGTTCATGGCTAGCATTACTTCGTTTCCCCTTTCAGATGATTTCGAAGCAAATCTTGGACATCATTTTACTCATAAATATTTTTGTATATACCTTAAAACGATAAGGATTGTTTTAAAAAAAGCTTAACCAAGATACCTGTAAGAGATAGGAAAAACCAAGTTGTTTCCTATCCTCTAGCACTCCTCTCAGTACTTTCCCCCCTTTTTTTTTTTTTTTTTTTTTATTTGAGACAGGGTCTCACTGCTGTTGCTTAGACAGGTGTGCAGTGGCATGACCTTGCCTCACTGCAGACTCCACTTCCCAGGCTCAGGTAATCCTGCCACCTCAGCCTCCCAAATAGTTGGGACTATAGGTTGGTGCTACCACACCCCACTAATTTTTTGTATTTTTAGTTGAGATAGATTTCACCATGTTGGCCAGGCGCAGTGGATCACGCCTGTAATCCCAGCACTTTGGGAGGGGCGGATCACGAGGTCAGGAGATTGAGACCATCCTGGCTAACATGGTGAAACCCTGTCTCTACTAAAAATACAAAAAATTAGCTGGGCGTGGTGGCGGGCGCCTGTAGTCCCAGCTATTTGGGAGGCTGAGGCAGGAGAATGGCGTGAACCCTGGAGGCAGAGCTTGCAGTGAGCCGAGATCTTGCCACTGCACTCCAGCCTGGGCGACAGAGTGAGACTCTTGTCTCAAAAAAAAAAAAAAAAAAAAAAAAAAATTTCACCATGTTGTCCAGGCCAGTCTTGAATTCCTGGGCTCAAGTGATCCACCTGTCTTGGCCTTCCAAAGTGCTAGGATTACAGGTGTGAACCAGTACTTTATTTCTGACACCAGATATGTAGGAGTTTTCCCCCACACATCAACCAGTTCTCCAACTGGGTATCCGGTAACTCAGTTTAATTCTGACACCGTCTGCCTGGAGACTACCACAAGACTGCCTTCACTCAGACACTAATCTCAATTCACAGGTTGTGACCAGTGCTTCTAATCTACTGGCTATAAATCAGGGTTCCCATGACCGCTCTTTTTGGTTTGATAATTAGCTAGGACGGCTCACAGGGAAACACTTTACTTGCGTTTAACAGTTTATTATAAAGAATATTATAAATGATACAGATGAACAGCCAGATGAAGTAATGCACTGGGCAAGGTATGGGGTGGGAGAGGTGCAGAGCTTCTGTGCCCTCTCTGGGTGCACCAACTCCCCAGCATACCCCTGTGTTCAGCTACCCTGAAGCTAATCACATCTAGTGGTTCAGGAGTGTCTAGGCTGGGTGCAGTGGCTCACACCTATAATCCCAGCACTTTGGGGGACCAAGGTAGGAGGATCACTTGAGCCCAGGAGTTTGAGATAAACCTGGGCTAACACAGTGAGATCCCATTCAAAAAATCTTACAAAAATTAGCTGGGCATGGTGGTGCACACCTGTAGTCCCAACTACTTGGGAGGCTGAGGTGAGAGGGTCAGTTGAGCCCAGTGGTTGAGGCTGCAGTGAGCTATGATCATGCCACTGCATCACAGCCTGAGTAAAAAAGCGAGAGCCTGTCTCAAAAAAAAAAAAAAAAAAAAAAAAATTTCTACAGATCTTAATTTTCAGCTTCTCCAGAGATTGGTGGGTGGGGATGAAAGTTCCAATTATCTAACCCATCAGTTTTTTAAGTGAGCAGCAGTCCCATCCTGAGGCCTAGGGGTCCAGCACTAAGTCACTTCAATAGCATAAACTTAGGTGGGATCCAAAGGGGCTTCTAATGAATAACAAGAGACAGCTCCTATCACTTAGGAAATTCCAAGGGTTTCAGAAGCTCTGTGGCAGGAACCTGAAACAAAGACCAAATATATATATATATTTTTTGAGACAGAGTCTTGCTCTGTCGCCCAGACTGGAGTGCAGTGGTGCGATCTCGACTCACTGCAAGCTCCGCCTCCCGGGTTCACGCCATTCTCCTGCCTCAGCCTCCTGAGTAGCTGGGACTATAGGTACCGGACACCATGCCTGGCTAATTTTTTTTTTTTTTTTGTATTTTTAGTAGAGACAGGGTTTCACCCTGTTAGCCAGGATGGTCTCGATCTCCTGCCCTCATGATCCGCCCCCCTCAGCCTCCCAAAGTCCTGGGATTACAGGAGTGAGCCACTGCACCTGGCCAAATATATTTCATATTATACCACAATATCATCACATCAAAAAACAATTTTAATATCCTCAAACGATGGACAAAGACATGCTATCTGAGGCATTTACAAATGTTTTAAACAATTTAGTGAATGTTTGTACTATCACAGTATAGGTACCTTGTATTTACCATTTTAAGCATATAATACAACATGTTTTGAACAAGGATTGTCTTGTTTGGCTATGTCGGCTTTTTGTTGTTATTTACTTATTTATTTTTTTGAGTTGCCCAGGCTGGAGGGCAATGGTGCAATCTAGGCTCACTGCAACCTCTGCCTCCTGGTTCAAGCAATTCTCCTGCCTCAGCCTCCCCAGTAGCTGGGATTATAGGCACGTGCCACCACCACCTGACTGACTTTTTTATTTTTAGTAGAGACAGGGTTTCACCATGTTGGCCAGGCTTATCTCAAACTCCTGAAGTCAAGTGATCCGCCTGCCTCAACCTCCCAAAGTGAAGCTTTTTATTTTTAATTTTTTTATTTTCAATTTTTGTGGGTATATAGTAGATGTATATATTTGTGGGTATGTAAGTTTTATAGCCCCTAGTACTTTGCTTTGTAAAATAGGTTCTCAGTAATATTTTGAGAATATTAAATTGAATTTAGACCTGTAATACTGTCTTGTTAAAAAATGAAATCTTGCTGCTTTGGAGAATGTTTTAAAATGGCACAATCTGGGCTGGGCACGGTGGCTCACGCCTGTAATCCCAGCACTTTGGGAGCCTGAGGTGGGTGGGTCACCTGAAATCAGGAGTTTGAGATCAGCCTGGCCAACGGGATGAAACCCTGTCTCTACTAAAGATACAAAAATTAACCGGGTGTGGGTGGTGGGCACCTGTAGTGCCAGTTACTCAGGAGTCTGAGGCAGGAGAATCGCTTGAACCTGGGAGGCGGAGGTTGCAGTGAGCCTAGATCGTGCCATTGCACTCCAGCCTGGGCGACGAGAGCAAAACTCTGTCTAAAAAAAAAAAAAAATGGGCACAATCTGTTGGAAAGAGCTTGGGATTTTTAATTGGGGGACCTAGGTTTAAGGCCCAGCCCCACAGTCTACTAGATGAGTAACATTGGATGGATTTTCCAATTTCTGATCCTTCATAATCCTGTTGTGTGTGTATCATCTACCTTGGAAGTTTCTTGAAGAGATTAAGATGTTGGGTGTAGTAGCTTATAAACAGCAAAGTACTTTATAAATATTATTTTAAATTCTTGTAATTTTTCTTAGTAAAGCATGTATGCATTTTACCTAAGAGGAACTTGGGGGGTTATTAAATTTTTAAATTTTTGAAAAATTGTCTCAAGACTATGATCTCCTTTGATTTTTGTGGACAAATTATTGAACTTTCTTGATTTACATCTTTGGACTGCAATTTCTACCTCTGATCTAAACACATGAATCTAAATTGATTATCTCTTTGAAAGATCTACTTAGCTTTAGCATGTAAATAGAAAATACCATTGGGATAATTTATAGAAGTAGTATTCATCATTATATGGGAAGTTATTCATAAGAGTTTTTTTTTTTTTTTAGTGTTCTTCCATACTTGGCAATTAGATTACATTTAGACTGTGGAATTAAAAGTGATTCCCTGTGAGCTGTCCTAGCAAATTATGAAATTGAAGAGAGGGGTTGTGGGAACCCTAGTTTCCTACCATGAGACAGTTTGACTTACTTTTCTTTAAAAGTTGAAAATTCTCATATGGGCATTATTTATCTCATGCTTGGTATTGGAGTCTTTCCCCAGGTATTGATAGTACACTTGAGGAAACTAAGACTTTGACCCTTTTAATAGCAAGTTTGTCTGTATATGGGGGTATGAGCTGTCTTGGTTGCTAAGTGCACTAGTGGAAAGGATGAATTACGGTAAAACCCCAATAAAATATGTGCTGTGAAGGGTCTGGAAATGATAATGGTACAAATTTTTTTTAATGTTTTTTATGTTCTTGAAAGCTATAAGTATGTGTAGGACATATGAAATACAAATTTTTTTTTCTTTTTCTTGAGACAGAGTCTCTCTCTGTCGCCCAGGCTAGAGTGCAATGGGACGATCTCGGCTCACTGCAACCTCCTCCTCCCAGGTTCAAGGAATTCTTCCTCAGCCCCCTGAGTAGCTGGGATTACAGGTGTGCACCACCATGCCCGGCTAATTTTTTGTATTTTTAGTAGAGACGGGGTTTCACCATGCTGGCCAGGCCGGTCTCGAACTCCTGACCTCGTGATCTGCCTGCCGCAGCCTCCCAAAGTGTTGGGATTACAGGCGTGAGCCACCACGCCCAGCTGAAATACAGACTTTTTTTTTTTTTTAGAAGTGTTACACTAGGCTGGGGACAGTGGCTCATGTCTGTAATCCTAGTACACTTTGTGAGGCTGAGGCAGGTGGATTGCTTGAGGCCAGGAGTTCGAGACCAGCCTGGCCAACATGGTGAAACCCCATCTCTACTAAAAATACAAAAATTAGGTGGGCATGGTGACTGGCGTCTATAATCCCAGCTGCTCGGGAGGCTTAGGCAGGAGAATTGCTTGAACCTAGGAGGTGAAGGTTGCAGTGAGCTGAGATTGTGCCACTGCACTGACGCCTGGTGACAGAGTGAGACTCCGTCTCAAAAAAAAAAAACAAAAAGAAAAACTAAGGGAAAAAGAGGGAGGACTGGCATGGTGTGGTGGCTCACATTTGTAAATCTTGAGGCAGGAGGATTGCTTGAGCCCAGGAGTTCAAGACCAGCCTGGGCAACATGGTGAGACCCCGTCTCTATTAAAAAAATAATAGTAAAAAAGGGGGAAATGGCAGCTGAGTAGGCAGCCTCAGTATCTTTTCCTGATTAGTAATATAATTGACTGTAAGACCTGAGGGAGAAGATGAGCCTAGAGTACAAATGCTGCTGCTGCCACCCCCCGAGGTCTGGAGGGATTGGCTGAAAAAACAGGGTGAACTAGGAGCTAAGCAGGCCCATTCTTTTTTTTTTTTTTTTTCGTGGAGATGGAGTCTCACTCTGTGGCCCAGGCTGGAGTGTGGTGGTACTATCTTGGCTTACTGCAACCTCCGCCTTCCGGGTTCAAGCGATTCTCCTGCCTCAGTGTCCCGAGTAGCTGGGACTACAGGTGCACACCGCCACGCCTGGCTAATTTTTTGTATTTTAGTAGAGACAGGGTTTCACCTGTCGAGACCAGGCTGGTCTCGAACTCCTGAGCTCATGCAAGCCACCCGCCTCGGCCTCTCAAAGCGCAAGGATTACAGGTGTGAACCATCACGCCCGGCTTCAGGCCCATTCTTTTTTATTTATTTATTTTTTTTGAGACGGAGTCTTGCTCTGTTGCCCAGGCTGGAGTGCAGTGGTGCCATCTCCGCTCAGTGCAAGCTCTGCCTCCCGGGTTCACACCATTCTCCTGCCTCAGCCTCCAGAGTAAGCTGGGACTACAGGCGGCTGCCACCACGCCTGGCTAATTTTTTTGTATTTTTAGTAGAGACGGGATTTCCCCGTGTTCGCCAAGATGGTCTCAATCTCCTGACCTCGTGATCCGCCTGCCTGGGCCTCCCAAAGTGCTGGGATTACAGGCGTGAGCCACCGTGCCCGACAGGCCCATTCTTAAATCTGGACACTGCTTTTTTTTAAATTTTTTCCAGTTTCTAGCATCAGAGTGCAGAATTGTTGACTCTTGACCCGCCTCAGCCCAGAAGACACAAAAAAGTCAACATGATCTAGCACTGTAATATTTGCCTTACCTCTTCCTGGAGGGTTTTGTCTTCCATATTTGACATGAAAGACTATGTAATTCCTTGTTGATGTTTGCTGGGTAAGCTTATTCCTCATCCTCCATGTCCCAGCAACTAAAGACCCTAAAGAATACAACATTCCACTTGATAAGTGTCCTTTGCTGCTGCTCAACTTGGATTGTATTGTATTTCATTATTAAGTGAAGGAAAAAAATGTTAAAGATTATCTCAGGTTATTGAGGATGGTGGCAATTGAGAACCAAACTATTCATACATAATCCTTTTTCTTCCTAGTGCCCCCACAATTGTAGAGTGAGATTATCAGAGGGAAAAAAGTTAATATTTTAAATATTTTTTTGTCTTTCTAGAGTAAACAACTCTAGAAAATTAATGTAGTAGTTTTTTTTTTAAATATAGTGAAAGCAAGTTTATTAGGAAAGTAGAGGAATAAAAGAATGGCTACTTTATAGACAGAGCAGCCTATAATATAAATTTTTTTTTTTTTTTTGGAGACCGAGTCTCACTCAGTCGCCCAGGCTAGAAGGCAGTGGCACGATCTTGGCTCACTGCAAGCTCTGCCTCCTGGGTTCACGCCATTCTCTTGCCTCAGCCTCCTGTGTAGCTGGGACTACAGGCGCCGGCCACTACGCCTGGCTAATTTTTTTGTATTTTTAGTAGAGACGGGGTTTCACCTTGTTAGCCGGGATGGTCTCGATCTCCTGACCTCGTGATCCGCCTGTCTCGGCCTCCCAAAGTGCTGGGATTACAGGCGTGAGCCACCACACCCGGGTAGTATAAATTTTATTATGATTTTGATAGCTAGTCTCTGACCAAAATTCTAGTGTAGGAAATTCAGAAAAAAAGTGCTGTTTTTTTTTTTTTTTTGAGATGATGTTTTGCTTTTGCTGCCCAGGCTGGAGTGCAATGGCGCAATCTTGGCTCACCACAACCTCCACCTCTCGGGTTCAAGCGATTCTCCTGCCTCAGCCTCCCGAGTAGCTGGGATTAAAGGCATGCGCTACCACGCCTGGCTAATTTTTTATTTTTAGTAGGGATGAGGTTTCTCCATGTTGGTCAGGCTGGTCTCGAACTCCTGACCTCCAGTGATCCGCCCACCTTGGCCTCCCAAAGTGCTGGGATTACAAGCATGAGCCACTGCGCCTGGCCAAGAAGTGCTAAATTTATGTTTTAAAACATTAGAAAGTTAATTACCTAAAATCTCACCTTTGAATACTTTTTAAAAAATATATCACCATCTACATTATGCTAATTTTGCTTAGCATATCTGTTAATATTTCCCCAGATTTCTGTTTTCTATCACTATTTTTATTATCTGCAGTTAATATTATATTGCTATGCAGTAATTTCGTTCAATTCTTTTACCACATTGGCCATTTAGGTTGATAAATTTTTTTTCTAATTTTAAAAATTGTTATAAAATACACATAAAATGTACCATCTTAATATTTAAGTGCATAGTGTTGTGCAGCCATCACCACCATCCATCTCTATAACACTGTTCATCTTGTAAGACTGAAACTCTATACATATTAAACAATTCTTCATTTCCCCTCCCTCTAGCCTCTGATAACCACCATTCTACTTTTTGTCTCTGACTTTGACTACTCTAGATTACCTCATGTAAGTGGCATTATACAATATTCGTCTTTTTGTTTTTCTGTGAGTGGTCTGTCTCACTTAGCATAGTGTCCTCAAGGTTTATCCAAATTGTAGCATATTGCAGAATCTCCTTCCTTTTTGGGTGAACAATATTTCATTATGTGGATATACCACATTTTGCTAATGCAGTTATCTACAGATGGATACTTTGGTTGCTTCTACATTTTAGCTGTTGTGAATGACGTTCTTATGAACATGGGTATACAAGTATCTTTTTTAGACTGTGCTTTCAGTTTCTTTGGATATATACCAGAAGTGGAATTGCTGGATCACGTGATAATTCTATGTTTAACTTTTTGAGGAACCACCATACTGTTTTCCAGTGGCTGTGGTTGATAATTTTTTGCTGTTACTGCTAACACTCTAAGTTATATCTTTGTGACTATGTTAATTTTTAGCCTTTCTAATACTAACATATTTTGAATTGTAACCGTTGGGATTTTTTTGTTAATCTTTTTTTAATCTTTTCAGAAGCAAGAGAAAAAGAGGAAGAAATGAACAGAGAGAAAGAATTAAGAAGACAAAATGAAGATATTGAGCCAACATCCTCAAGATCAAATGTGGTCAGAGATTGCTCCAAATCATCTTCCAGGTGCCTGATTTTCAGAAAGACTTCTATTAAACTATCAGTTTCTAGGTGTTTATAGAGTTTTTTTTTTTTTTTTTAATTTTTTTGAGATGGAGTCTTGCTCTATCGCCCTCTGCAGTGCAGTGGCGTGATCTTGGCTGACTGTAACCTCCATCTCCTGGGTTCAGACGATTCTCCTGCCTCAGCCTCCCAAGTAGCTGGCATTACAGGCATGCGCTACCACCCCTGGCTAATTTTTGTATTTTTAGTAGAGATGGGGTTTCACCATATCGGCCAGGGTGGTCTCGAACTCCTGACCTCAGTTGATCCACCCGCCTCAGCCTCCCAAAGTGCTGGGATTATAGACGTGAGCATCCTGAGTAGCTGGGACTACAGACGTGCACTACCACGGCCGGCTAATTCTTGTATTTTTAGTAGAGACAGGTTTTACCATGTTGGCCAGGCTGGTCTCAAACTCCTGACATGATCTGTCCGCCTCATTCTCCCAAAGTCCTGGGATAACAGGTGTCAGCTACTGGGCCTGGCCTCCAGTTATTACTTTTTTTGAGATGGAATCTCGCTCTTTCGCCCAGGCTGGAGTGCAGTGGCTTGATCTGGGCTCACTGCAACCTCTGCTTCCTGGGTTCAAGTGATTTTCCTGCCTTAGCCTCCCAAGTAGCTGGGATTACAGGTGTGGGCCACCATGCCCTGCTAATTTTTTTTGTATTTTAGTAGAGATGGGGTTTCACCATGTTGGTCAGGCTGGTCTCCAACTCCTGACCTCGTGATCTGCTCGCCTCAGCCTCCCAAAGTGCTGGGATTATAGGTGTGAGCCACCGTGCCTGGCATCCCAGTTACTTCTTTTTGGCAATGCAACAATGGCCTAACACATTGATGTTGTTTATCTTGTCAGAAAATCAACGTTTGTTTCAGTGATGTTTTGTTATTCTTTTTTTTGTTGTTTGGGTTGGAGTCTCACTCTGTTGCCCAGGCTGCAGTGCAGTGGCACCATCTCAGCTCACTGCAACCTCCGCCTCCCGGGTTCAAGCAGTTCTCTGCCTCAGCCTTCTGAATAGCTGAGGTTACAGGTGCCCACCACCATGCCCAGCTAATTTTTGTATTTTTAGTAGAGACTGGGTTTCACCATGTTGGCCAGGCTGGTCTTGAACTCCTGACCTTGTGATCCACCCGCCTTGGCCTCCCAAAGTGCTGGGATTACAGGTGTGAGTCACCGCGCCCAGCGTTATTATTCTTTTTTTAGTGTCAATGTCATTTGTAGTTCTGCTCTGATTTTTTTTATTTCCTCTAATAATTTTTGGTTTGCTTTATTCTTTGCCTAGTTCCTTGAGGTACATCATTAGGTTATTTGATGTATTTCTACTTTTTATGTAGGTGTTTATTGTTGTAAATGTCCTTCTTAGTACTGTTTTCTTTGTTTTCCGTAGGTTCTGATATGTTTTGTTTCCATTTTCTTTTGTTTCAAGAAATTAAAAAAAAATTTTTTTTATTGACCCTTTGGTCATTTGGAAGCGTGTTGTTTTATTTTCATGTATTTGTACAATTTCCAAGGTTCCTCTTGTTATTGATTTTTTAATTTTTTTTGAGACAGGGTTTCACTCGGTCACCCAGGCTGGAGTGCAGTGGCACATTCTTAACTCACTGCAACCTTCGCCTCCCAGACTCAAGTGATCCTCCCACCTCAGCCCCTTAAGTAGGTGGTACTACAGGTGTGTGCCACCATGCCTGGCTAATTTTTGTATTTTTTTGTAGAGACAGGTGTTCACAGTGTTGCCCAGGCTAGTCTTGAACTCCTGAGCTCAAGCAATCCGCTCACCTCTACCTCGAAAAGTGCTGGGATTACAGGCGTGAACCACTGCGCCTGGCCTGATTTTGGTTTTATTTTGTTGTGGTTAAAAAAGATACTTGAGGGCTGCGGGAGGTGGCTCATGCCTGTAATCCCAGCACTTTGGGAGGCCGAACTGGGTGGATCACGAGGTCAGGAGTTCGAGACCAGCCTGGCCAACATGATGAAACCCTGTCTGTACTAAAAATACAAAAATTAGCTGGGCGTGGTGGCTCATGCCTGTAATTCCAGCTACTTGGGAGGCTGAGGCAAGAGAATCACTTGAACCCAGGACGGGGAGTGAGCGAAGATCATGCCCTGGGACTCTAGAGTGAGACTCTGTCTCAAAAAAAAAAAAAAAAAAAATCTGTTTTAAACCAGTGCAGCTGGAAACTTGTGCGTTAATCATAAGGGGGAAAATTTTGGAGTATGAATAGCTTAATATAAATTTGTTTAGTCATTCAACTATTACTTACTGAGCATCTACTGTGGATTACACAGTGTTTTAGGCACTGAGATATAGCAATTAGCAAGTCAGTTGAGACCTTTGTTCTCACTGAGCTCACGTTGTTGTGGGAGTATTTGAAGGGATAGATAACAGACAACTAAATAACCAAATAAAATAACTTAGCAGGCATGTAATGAAGATAAACAAAGGTACTTAAGGTAATGGGAAGTGGTGGTGTGCCTGAAAGTTTAGAAGGAGTGTGCCCTTAGACTTCTTTGAGGAGGAGACATTTGAGGAAACTCCAAAGATGAGAAAGAGGCCGTGTAACAATCTATGGGAAGGGTAAGTCAGCCGACAGAACTACAAGTGCAAAGACCTTGTTGTGAACCAAACTTAACCTGTTCAATTAGAAAGAAGGCCTTGGAGTGGAGATTTGAGCTATGCAGTGGCTCAAATGTAGAAACTCAGATTTTTATGGAGGTTTGCTAGTTCATATACCTCTGTTTAAGGGTAACCTGAATGTGAGAATATATTCTTTTCAATTTTTAACCTAGATGAAAACAAAAAGAAAAATCTCATGTTTTTCCGTCAGTAGATATTGAGTGCCTGTTATAGGTGAAGCATTTTTTAGATGCTAGAAATATGTTAGATGCTAGAACAAAACAGAAATTCGTGCTTTCCTGGAGCTTACATACCAGAGATACTTCATTAGAAGGCAGTGACACTTTTAATCTTATCAAATATTTGAAAGATTAATTGATACAATTAAGAATGCTGAATGCTCAACTCTGGCGGCAGGTGGAGGGGTGGTAGATGGTGAGGGCTATGCTTACAGGTGTTTGCTAGAGACCTTAGTGAGAGTGTATAATAGTCCTCAGGTGTGGTGGATAGGAAACCACTTGGGAATCAGTATGCTATGCCCTAGACTCTCAAGCCCGTCCAACCTGCGTTATATTGTTGTTGTTTTCTTTTAGACTTTTAGCATCCTGAAGCCGTGGTTTTTAGTTTCTGTCTCTAGTGATAAGTAGAAAAGAGGGATGAGGAAATGGCTTCACTGGACAACCAGAAACAAAATAAGAACCCATGACTGTATTCTCTCCCTTGGACACCCCTGGTTAGAGTATGGTGTTTTTAGAATGCAAGAATGCTACATTTAATGTTTTGGCAATGTAGGAAACTTGGATTAGCCGTTAGAAATAACTTGTATTTCAGAAATTATATTGAAACATTTTGGGAGTAATATTAACTTCCTTACATGACTGGCATTATTTGCTACTGTGGCAATCAGGGATTGGATTCAAATATAGTTAATTGAGGCACTGGATATCTCAGTGGTTTTTGTCCGTTACTATTTTGTAGTTTTTCTTCTGTATTTCCTTGTTCACCTCTTTTTAAAATTTTTAAATTAAATTTTTATTATATATCTGTATTTTGAGACAGGGTCTCACTGTTGTTCAGGCTGGAGTAGAGTGACGCAGTCATGGCTCACTGTAGCCTTGACCTCCTGGACTCAAGTGATCCTACCACCTCAGCCTCCTGAGTAGCTGGTACCACAAGCACATGCCACCACACCTGGCTAATTTTTATTTTTTGTAGAAACAGGGTCTCGTGATGTTTCCCAGGCTAGTCTCAAACTCTTGGGCACAAGCAGTCCACCTGCCTTGGTCCCTGAAAGTGCTGGCGTTACAGGTGTGAGCCATTGCACTCAGTCTCACCTGTCTCTTTATGAGTGCTAATGGTCTAATGGCTGTCTAACATATAATTGCTGTGACCCTTTATTTTTGACTGCGTAAGACGGTTTTTTTTAACTTTCTTAAGATAAAATATTTGGCATTAAACATTTAATGTTTGAACTACAAATTTAAAAAAATTAAAAAATACCCAGTTGTTAATAGGAGAGGAAAAGTATCCTGAGAAATGAATACTATTTCCAAAGTGTGCTCTTCATTGCAGCAGAGGCAAAGAGTTTCTGTTTCTGTATTTTCAGGGATACGAGCAGCAGTGAAAGTGAACAGAGTTCTGACTCTTCTGATGATGAGTTAATTGGCCCTCCTTTACCCCCTAAAATGGTAGGAAAACCAGTTAATTTTATGGAGGAAGATATCCTCGGTCCTTTACCTCCACCTCTTAATGAAGAAGAAGAAGAAGCAGAGGAAGAAGAAGAGGAAGAGGAGGAAGAGGAAGTAAGTATTTCAGTGGTAATTTAAGAATTCGGTGGAGTAATATCTTTACTGTAGAGATCAGTTCTGCTAAACTGTTTTTCATGAGTAAGAGCCAATTTAAAAACTGAGGAAAGGCCGGGCATGGTGGCTTAACACCTGTAATCCCAGTTACTTGGAAGGCTGAGGCAGGAGAATCGCTTGAACCTGGGAGGCAGAGGTTGCAATGAGCCAAGATTGTGCCACTGCACTCCAGCCTGTAGACAGCCAGACTCCATCTCCAAAAAACAAACAAAAAACCAAACCGAGGAAAAAGGCCGGTACAGTGGCTCACACCCGTAATCCCGGCACTTTGGGAGGCCGAGGTGGACGGATCGCTTGAGCTCAGGAATTGAAAACCAGCTTGGGCAACATGGCGAAACTCTGTTTCTACAAAAATGCAAAAATTAGACGGGTGTTATGGTGCGCACCTGTGGTCCCAGCTACTCAGGAGGCTGAGGTGGGAGGATAATTTGGGCCCAGGAGATAGAGGTTGCAGTGAGGTCGACAGATGGCACTCCAGCCTGGGCGACAGAGTGAGACCCTGTCTCAAACCGCCCCCCCCAACCCCCCCGCAAAAAACCTGAGGAAAATGACTGTGGAGTTTATTACTGACAGCCTGTATTGAAAGAACTTCAGGAGGAAGAAAACAACTAAAAAATAATAAATGGAGGGCAGAAAGCAATGTGTTAAAAAGAAATCAATGGATAAAACATTTTGTTAAATCTACGTATGCGGCTGGGTGTGGTGGCTCACACCTGTAATCCCAGCACTCTGAGAGGCCGAGGCAGGAGAATCGCTTGAACCTGGGAGGCAGAGGTTGCAGTGAGCTGAGATTGTGCCATTGCACGCCAGCCTGGGCAATAAGAGCAAAACTCTGTTTCAAAAAAAAAAAAAAAAATCTATGTATGCATTGTCTGCAAATAATAATGATGATGGGTAAATTTGGGAGGATTTAAGAGCAAACTGGATCTAAAATTATTGTCAACAATGAAGTAGAAGATGGGAGAGTGAAATCAGAGTTCATTGCTTTGTAAATGTTATTTGGGAGGAGGCCAGGGATACCGGTTAACCTTAGATTAGTTTAAGCCAAGTATATAAGTTTACAATTTTAAGAGTAATTGCCCGGCAGGGCATAGTGGCTCACATCTGTAATCCCAGCACTTTGGGAGGCTGAGGTGGGCGGATCACGAGGTCAAGAGATTGAGACCATCCTGGCCAACATGGTGAAACCCCGTCTCTACTAAAAATACAAAAATTAGCCAGGCGTAATCGTGGCGCACGCCTGTAGTCGCAGCTACTCGGGAGGCTGAAGCAGGAGAATCACTTGAACCCGGGAGACAGAGGTTGCAGTGAGCCGAGATTGCACCACTGCTCTCCAGCCTGGGTGACAGATTCGGTCTCAGAAAAAAAAAAAAAAAAGATATAATCTCCAAAATACTGAAAGGAAAGAATGCTGAAGGAAATGGTCTACATTTGTATTTGACACTTGGGGTAGATAATTTTTTTTTTTTTTTTTTGAGACGGGAGTCTCACTCTGTCACCGAGGCTGGAATGTGGTGGCGCCATCTCCGCTCACTGCAAGCTTCGCCTCCCGGGTTCATGCCATTCTCCTGCCTCAGCCTCCTGAGTAGCTGAGACTACAGGCACCCGCCACCACGCCCAGCTGATTTTTCGTATTTTTAGTAGAGATGAGGTTTCACCGTGTTAGCCAGGATGGTCTCGATCTCCTGACCTCGTGATCTGCCCGCCTCGGCCTCCCAAAGTGCTGGGACAGGCGTGAGCCACTGCGCCCGGCCGCACTTGGGGTAGATAATTTTTTAACACCTCCCTTCTTTATGTGATGAATTATTTTTAGTAATAATTATGAAATGAAATGAAAAGTAATCAGAAAAGCAACAGCTTTTGTAAATCTGTCAATGACTGTCAAAATCGGTATTCTTTGCGTATTCCTTCTCAGTACATAGTACAGCAAATTTGTCAATTTGCGTCTGTCTGTAGTTGATCAAATAAAGCTTCTAATTTCAATTTTGTACATTTTTCTTTCATATGAAATAACAGATCTATAGTATATATACACACATATGCACATGCATTCATGTGTGTGCATATGTAAAATTAAGAAAACAAACAAGAATAAAATAAGAATAAATTTGGCAGTTTCATTAAAATTTTTGTTTTACAGTAAGTTCCAGAAATTGCAATGTTGATTGTATATTTTTTCTTTTATCAGTTCTAGTGGCTTTTAAATATCTCTGTAGGTTGAAATATTTTGACTGGGCACTGTGGCGCACGCCTGTAATCCCAGTACTTTGGGAGGCTGAGGAGTGCTGATCACTTGAGGTCAGGAGTTTGAGACTAGCCTGGCCAACATGGTGAAACCTTGACTCTACTAAGAAAATACAAAAATAGGCTGGGCGTAGTGGCTCACGCCTGTAATCCCAGCACTTTGGGAGGCCGAGATGGGCGGATCACGAGGTCAGGAGGTCGAGACCATCCTGGCTAACACGGTGAAAACCCATCTCTACTAAAAATACAAAAAATTAGCCGGGCATGGTGGTGGGCGCCTGTAGTCCCAGCTACTCGGGAGGCTGAGGCAGGAGAATGGCGTGAACCTGGGAGGCAGAGCTTGCAGTGAGCCGAGATGGCGCCACTGCACTCCAGTCTGGGTGACAGAGCGAGACTCTGTCTCACACACACACAAAAAAAATTAGCCAGGCATGGTGACAGGAGGCTGAGGCAGGGGAATTGCTTGAACCCGCAAGGCCGACTCTGCAGTGAGTCAAGATTGCACCACTGCACTCTAGCCTGGCAACAGAGCAAGACTCTGTCTCAAAAAAAAATTTTTTTTTCATGAAAGTGTTTTTACAGAAAATTCATTTTATATTTGGTAAAAACTTCTAAATTTTTTTCTCTAAAAATCAGAGAAAATGGCTAAATGATGTCAAACATTGCCATTAAATGATCCATTGCTTTAGAATGCTTTTGGTGAAAACAATTGAGGTATTCAAACATTTACCGTTTTAAATTCTTTTGCCAACCATGTCTTTTGTTTTTTCTTTTGGCATCCATAGAAAACAGAATTGGATTTGCTTAGCATTTTGTTTCTTTGTCTTTATAATCTTTGTTTATTTTGAATCTAGTATTTAAATGCAGAAACGTAGTACAACAGGGATTGGAGATAGGAAATTACCCTTGAAATGAGCTTGAATGATTCTGAACCATGAAAAACAGTGTGTAGAGACCCGAGTAGGTGAGTGTGTTTGTGCATGTGTGTGGTGCAGATAACTGGGAGTTCTCCAGATTAACTTCGTGTAGAATACAGTGGTTATTTATTTTTATTATTTATTTATTCATTTATTTTTGAGATGGAGTCTCACTCTGTTGCCCAGGCTGGAGTGCAGTGGCATGATCTCAGCTCACTGCAACCTCCGTCTCCCGGGTTCAAGTGATTCTCCTGCCTCAGCTTCCTGAGTAGCTGGGATTACAGGCATCTGCCACCACGCCTGGCTAATTTTTTGTATTTTTAGTAGTGATGGGGTTTCACCATGTTGCCCCAGCTGGTCTTGCATTCCTAACCTCAGGTGATCCACCTGCCTCGGCCTCCCAAAGTGCTGGGATTACAGGTGTGAGCCACTGCACCTGGCCAGAATACAGTGTTTATTAAAAGATAAGTAATACAAATATGTTAATTGAAGTTCACATATATGTTATTAAAACTCGATAGGAACCATAGCAAAAAGAACATTAAGTAGTGTCTAAACTAACATTGTTTATAATTGCCATCACCAGGTGATAATAAAAAGCAGGCTTATCTTTGCTTGATTTTATCATTGTTTTTAAGTTCTCTACAGAAAAGTGTACTCTCTTATTGTCTACATTACTTCCACTGATCTCATAGAATTAGTGTCTTTATAAAAAGAGTCACCAGAAAGCGTGCACTAACTCCTCCTCTCCCACGGGAAAGGAAGAATGGCTTTTTGAGGACATAGCAGAAAGTGGTCGTCTACAAGCCAGGAAGAGAGGTGTCACCAGAAACCACATTTGTCCATATTTTGATTGTGGACCTCTAGCCTCCAGACCTGTCAGCAAATACATCTCTATTGTTTTAAGTCACCCAGTCTGTGGTATTTTGTTTATGGTTGTGTGAGCTAATACAGGTTTGCAAGGCTGACTAATGGCTGATAAACAGAAGGGAAGAAAGAAGCATATTGCAAGCCAGAAAAAAATTGCTATAGCGAAGGCCCAAATGTATATAAGTACAGCTATGGTCATGAAATTGTACCTGATTAGTGCATGGCTGAGTTTTCTTACTAGGAGAAAGTAGAAAGATGAGGAGGATGAGATCAAATCCAGAAAGTATGAATAAATACTCTCTGGAGGATGTGTAATTTGGTAAGCTTTGTAGAGGATTACAGTTTTTGTGTTTTTTTGAGATGGGGTCTCTCTGTCACCCAGGCTGGAGTACAGTGGTGTAATCAAAGCTCACTACATCCTTGACCTCCTGGGCTTAAGTGATCCTCCCACCTCAGCCTCCCGAGTAGCTGGGATTACAGGCATGTGCCTCTACACCTAGCTATTTTTTTTTTTTTTTTTTTTTTTTTTAGTAGAGATGAGGTCTTACTACATTGCCCAGCTCGTCTCAAACTCCTGGGCTCAAGTGATCCTCCTGTCTTGGCCTCCCAAAGTGCTGGGATTACAGGCTTGAGTCACTGCCCAGCCAAAGATTAATTTTTTTTTTTTTTTTTGAGACGGAGTCTTGCTCTATTGCCCAGGCTGGAGTGCAGTGGTGCAATCTCGGCTCACTGCAACCTCCGCCTCCTGGGTTCAAGCAATTCTCCTGCCTCAGCCTCCTGAGTAGCTGGAATTACAGGCACGCGCCACTGCACCCAGCTAATTTTTTGTATTTTTAGTAGAGACGGAGTTTCACCATGTTGGCCAGGCTGGTCTTGAACTCCTGACCTCAGGTAATCCACCTACCTTGGCCTCCCAAAGTGCTAGGATTACAGGAGTGAGCCACCTTACCCAGGCCAAATTTTTTATTTTTAAAATTTTTGTAGAGGTGGGGGTCTCACCATCTTGGCCATGCTGGTCTCACCTGGGCTCAAGCCATCCTGCCACCTTGACTTTCCAAAGTGTTGGTATTACAGACGTGAGTCATTGTGCCTGGCCAAGATTATATTTTTAAGGATTTTTTTTAATTGACAGATTATTTTTAATTGACATAATTGTACATATTTCTGGGGTAGAGTGTGATCCTCCACACCTGTATACAGAGTGTAATGATCAAATCAGGGTGATTAGCATATCCATTGCGTAAAACACTGATCATCTCTTTGTGTTGGCAATATTCAAAATTCTCACTTTTAGCTCTTTGAAAATATGGAGTAAACAGTTGTTAACTATAGTTACTTTACAATGCTATAGAACACTAGAACTTATTCTTTCTGTCTAGCTGTAATTTTGTATCTGTTAACCAAACTCTCTTTATACCCCTCTTTTTCCTACCCTTTTCACCCTTTCGTTTCTGTTTCTACTATTCTCTCCACTTTTATGAGATCAGTTTATTTAGCTTCATCTGAATGAGAACATGTGGTATTTATCTTTCTGTGCCTGGCTTATTTCACTTAACACAATGTCCTGTAAACTCATGTTTGTTACTGCATGTGACATGATTTTATACTTTCTAAATTTAGCCAGATAGTATTTGTGTGTGTGTGTGTGTGTGTGTGTGTGTGTGTGTTTTAAATTTTTAAATCCATTCATTTATTGATGGACACGTAGGTTGATTCCATATCTTGGTCATTGTGAATAGTGCTGCAGTGAAAAGGGGAGTGCAGGTATCAAAATGTGAATTTCCTTTCCTTTGGATATATACTCATTAGTGGGATTGCTGGATTATGACAGTTTTAGTTTCTAAAAAATTGATAAATAATATATATATTTTTGGGGTATATATGACAATTTGATAAATTCGTAAAATGTGTACAGATTAAAACAGGGTAATTGGGATATCCAGGATATCCATCACCTTAAATATTTGTCTCTTCCTTATGCTAGGAACATTCAAATTATTCTCTTCTAGCTGTTTTAAAATATACAATAAGATTATTGTTAACTGTGGTCACCCTACTGATGTTTTGAATACTAGGTCTTATTCTCTCTATCTGACCATATATTGGTACCTGTTAATCAGCCTCTCTTCATCTTTCCCAGCCCCCGAACCTTCCCAGCCTCTAGTAGTCACTAATCTCTCTTTATGAGATCCACTTTTGTAGCTTCTACAGGTAAGAGCATGTAAAATCCATCCTTCCTTCCTTCCTTCCTTCCCTCTTTCCCTCCTTCCCTCCCTCCCTCCGTTTTTTTTTTTTTTTTTTTTGAGTCAAAGTCTTGCTCTGCCACCCAGCCTGGAGTGCACTGGCACGATCTTGACTCACTCCAACATCTGCCTCCTGGCCTCAAGCCATTCTCGTGCCTCAGCCTCCTGAGTAGCTGGGATTACAGGTGTGCACCACCACGCCTGGCTAATTTTTTGTATTTTTAGTAGAGATGGGGTTTCGCTGTGTTGGCCAGGCTGGTCTTGAACTCCTGGCCTCAAGTGATCTGCCTGCTTCTGCCTCCCAAAGTGCTGGGATTACAGGCATGAGCCACTGTGCCCGGTCCCCAATCTTTCTAACCACTCATGAATTATGTTCATATTTAAACTCCAACCATATTGTAAATTCAACACATCTAAGATAAAACTTAGGCTTTTATTTTGTCACACTTGAACTTTTGCTGTAGCCACTTAGCTGGTCTCTTTGCCTCAAGGATCTTCTGTTTTAATCCCCTTTCCCCACTGCAGCAAGATTAAACTACCTGTAACACAAGTCACATTGCAACTAATAGTACTAATTCCCTAAATGAGGGAAAACACCACCACAGCAGGGCAGGACTCCACCTGGCGATTTCTGAATCCAATTTGAGTTTTTTATTGTTCATAATCACTGTGGCACTTTTGACAGTCTATTTAATAGGAAAGCAACCAATTTCACATAGTGGAGTGGCTAGATATTTTAGCAAATATTGTTGAAATTAATGGGGTAATATTTTTAAAAAGAACCTTTCTTTAACCTAGTGTTAACTTTTTTAAAAAAATTAATTTTTTTTTTTAAAGATGGGGTCTTGTTTCAAACAGGCTGGAGTGCAGTGAATTTTTTTGACTCTCATTCAAGTGGTGTAATCATAGCTCACTGCAGCTTCAACCTCTTGGGCTCAAGTGATCCTCTTGCCTCAGCCTCCTGAGTAACTAGGACTACAGGTGCATACAACCACATCTGGCTACTTCTTATATTTTTTGTAGAGTGGGGTCTTGCTCTCTTGTCTGTGTGGCCTTGAACTCTTGGCCTCAAGTGATCCTTCCACTTCAGCCTCCCAAAGTGTTGGGATTACAGATGTGAACCTCTGCACCCAGCTAACCTAGTGTTTCTTAATCTGAATGTAAGAATCAGCTTTGGTGCAATTAAAAAGTATGCATGCTTAGGTCCTGTACTCTGGAGATTGATTCAGTATAACTGTAGTGGAACTTGCCTTAACTCCTGCAATTTGTATTATTTATAATAAAAGGCTCCACAGGTAATTCTAATGGATTTCTTCACAGTCTAGTTGTGCTGTTTACTTAATCACAGTTGGGGTCATAGGGTAACTTAGGGTACCTCTGCAGATTATGATCTGAGTCATGTCTCATGGATACCTAAGGATATGGGATATTGCTTATAAAATATTTCTTCTTAAAAAAAGGGAATGAAATTATTGCTTTTTTTATGATAGTGAAGCCACTTTAAAGGTTTCATATACCCTTTCATATAGCTCAGAGTTAATATATTTTGATCAGTATTTTATGAAAAAATATTTTTTCTATAATATGTGCATGTTAATGTCTCTGAAGCATTAGTGTTTAATTTCTTTTGAAGATGGCATGGCAGAGGCCATAAGCTCCTGGTTTTTTGAATCTTGTTCATTTTTATATCCTTGTAGTGCCTGAATTAACTATACCTATTAAATCATAATCATATTCTCAGAAGGGCCATGAACATGTAGATATTCTGGAAACTGAGCCTGTAGCTCTGACAGTTTTTTTTTAATCAAATTTAATTAATTTATTTTTCAATCCTGTTCCTTCTCTAAGTTATTGCTTTTATTATTGAAACTTTATTATTTAGTATCAGGAGCCTTGAAAATGTTCATTTCCTTTACACTCAATAGCCTTTTAAGGATTCTATCCAGAGGAAGTAATGAAAGATTTGGACAAAGCTTTCTGCACAAAAATAATTATCACATTAGTACTTATAATTGTGGTTTTCTGAATGTGTTGGGATTACTGCTGGGTGTGTGGTATGGTGAGATGGGGTCCCTCCTATCAGTTTTTGGCCAGGTCAGCTCTGTTTTTATGTTAGGCTTCCTCAGAGCTTTCTCTTGATGAAAGAGTTCCAAGTCTGAAAATGTTTGAAAATACCAGCGTATGTAAAATATTAGAATAATTAGGAAGAATATAAATACCTAGTAATAGGGAGAAGGACAAGTAAATTGTGTTGTGGTCATGTAGAATGTTATGAAGTCACTAAACATGTTTAATAAGGGTTTTTAGTAGCACTAGGAAAGGATGTAAAACTGAATAGACAGTATGATTTCAGTAATTTAAACAATAGATATGTGTGGAACAAAGTACTCCCATTGCTTGCTTCTAGATTGTGGGAATGAGGATAATATATATTTTTTTTGCCTTATACTTTTTTTTTTTTTGAGACAGACCCTCACTCTTGTTGCCCAGGCTGGAGTGCAATGGTGCGATTTTGGCTCACTGCAACCTCTGCCTCCCAGGTTCAAGCGATTCTCCTGCCTCAGCCTCCCGAGTAGCTGGGATTACAGGTGTGAGCCGCTGTGCCTGGCCCTGACTCATACTTTTTTATGTTTCCAGTTTCCACATTGACCATAGCTGTGCCGATAATCAGAAACAATTATTGGTGCTATAAACAGTTAATTGTCCCTCATTATAAAGCAATTATGACCTCAATTCAAAAATCTAGAACAGATTAAAAAAACCCAAAGGAAACAATATTGAACATGAATATAGAATAAGTCTTAAGTACTAGTAAATAAGCTTATATTTATTTTACCTCATCTCAAAAAGGATTTAATGGACTGGTCGCAGTGGCTCATGCCTGTAATCTCAGCACTTTAGGAGCTTCATGCAAGAGGATCACTTGAGCCCGGGAGTTCGAGACCATCCTTGCCAATGTAGTGAGACCCCCATCTCCACAAAAAATAAAAAAGCCAAGTGTGGTGGTGTGCACCTGTAATTCCAGCTACTCAGGAGAATGAGGTGGGAGGATCACTTGAGCCTGGGAAGTCAAAGTTGCAGTGAGCCATGGTTGCATCACTGTACTCCAGCCTGAGTGACAGAGTGAGACTCTGTCTCAAAAACAAAAAAGGATTTAATGAAGTGAAATGCATAGATTAGGAAGAAGGAAGGGAAACTGGAAAACTAAGGAAAACAAATTAAGTTAATTAATATAAAACATGAGAAACAGAGTCTTAAATACCAGGCTATGGGTAGGCCAAAAAACCTGGTTGCCATCATTCCTCTCTTTCCCTCATACCTCACATCCAATCTCTGATCCATTAAGTCTTACTAGCTCTGTCTTGAAGGCATATTACCAGATCTCTCCAATTCCCTGTCTCCATTACTACCACTTTAGTCTAATCCTATATCACTTCAGTGTTAGTAGCCACTAAAGTCTCCCAGCTTCCATTCCATTCTTGACTGGACTAGTATAGTAGAAAAAGGAGCAAAATACAGATACAGGGATGCAATATAGAATCGTGATTAAGAGAGTGAGTTCTGGAGCCAGATAGGGCTCCTTCACTTTAAAGCTGTGTGATTTTGGGCACATTATTTAACCTCTCTGTGTCTGTCTTTCCCCCTCTATAAAATGGGACTGATAAAATTCTCCACTCAGATTATGTGGATGGATTAAATGAGTGAATGAATGTATAAAGAACCCTTAGAATAGTATCTGGTATTTAAAGTGTTCAGTGTTAGCTATTATCATTAAGGTCATTTATTTCAATAGGATAGCAAAAGAGGAATTGAAAAACAAATTTAACAGGATATCTAATAAAAAACTTAAACTAAAAGGAAACTTTCGTATCATTTGAAGGAATTCACTCATGCATCATACCAACAGTCAGTGTTGTACATAATTAAGGAGCAACAGAGGTAACAATCATATTATTATTTAATATTATCCTAGACATTTTTGCCAGTTAAACTAAAATTATCAAGACTGCATTATAAGGAAGAGGTGGGAATATTGGTGTAGTTTATATGACTCTACCTGAAACAAAAGGAACTAACGAAAACTGTTAGATTCATTTAATAATGTTCAGTTTAAAGTGTTAAATGTGAAAGATAACTTTTTCACAATAGGAATAACAACAAATAATTAGGTGTAGTCCAGGAGTTTGAGATTGCAGTGAGCCAGCCATGATCTTGCCACTGTACTCCAGCCTGGGGACAGAGTGAGACTGTCTCAAAAGTAATAAAGTTAGGGAGAGATGGGCCTGAATATAAAGAATAGTATAAAGCTTTTCAAGACATAACATTTAAGTAAGTCAGGCCGGTGTAGTGTTTACACCTGTAATCCCAGCACTTGGGGAGGTCAAGGGGGGCTGGATCACCTGAGCTCAGGAGTTCAAGAACAGCCTGATCAACATGGCGAAACCCCATCTTTACCAAAAATACAAAAAATAATTAGCCGGGTGTAGTGAGCACCTGTGGTCCCAGTTACTCAGGAGGCTAAGGCAGGAGGATCACCTGAGCCTGGGAGGCGGAGGTTGCAACGAGCTAAAAATCGTACCACTGTACTCCAGGCTGGGTGACAGTGAGATTCCATCTTAAAAAAAATAGAAATAAGTCAGAACCACTAAATAATTGGTAAATATTTCTCAAATTTTTCCCACAGAGGTTAAATAATTAGTCCAATTTATTTATTTGCCTACTTTAGCTATTAAGTGAGAGAGATGTTATGCACACGTAGGCTATCTGTGCTTTTTTTTTTCCTTTTACGCCTTTTGTCTGTTTTTGTAGAAACGGGGTCTTGCCATGTTGCCTAGGCTGGTTTCAAACTTCTGGCCTTACGAGATCCTCCTGCCTTGGCCTCCCCAAGTGCTAAGATTAAAGGTGTGAGCCACAGGCAGGTGAGCCACTGTGCCCAGCCTAACCATGCTTTTACAGTATGATGCTGCCTCCCATACTTAGAAGCCTGTGGAATTGAGTGTGGAGCCTGTTTTAAGTGTATATTAGTTAGTGTATTATTAATTTGGCTGCCAGTGACAGAAAATGCAAAACAACAGTGGCTTAAACAAGATAGAAGTCTTTTCTCTCCCTCACATTAATGAATAAGGAGTTAAATGGAATAGAACTAGTTTGCAGGTCCAGGATATCTCAGATCTCGTCTGCGTCTGTCTTTTTTTCTGCCATCTTTAGTATACAGGCTTCAAGTTAGATGCTGTAGCTGTAGCCATTAATTTTGCATTTTTGTCAGTAAGAAGGTAGAGGGACAAGGTCAAGCGCAGTGGCTCATGCCTGTAATCCCAGCACTTTGGAAGCCTGAGGTGGGTGCATCACCTAAGGTCAGGAGTTTGAGACCAGCCTGGCCAACATAGTGAAACCCCATCTCTACTAAAAATATAAAAAAATTAGCCAGGTGTCATGGCACACGCCTGTAATCCCAGCTACTCAGGAGACTGAGGCAGGAGAATCACTTGAACCTGGGAGGTGGAGGTTCCAGTGAGCCGATATTGCACCACTGCACTCCAGCTTGGGAGACAGAGCGAGACACTTGGCTCAAAAAATTGAAAAAAGAAGGTAGAGGGATAAGGATAAAGAAGCCTCCTCATTTTGAACTTTGTATCTTTGTTTAACTTGAGAAGTGTAATAGTTTTTCTTTTTTGGAGGCCAGGAGTCTACCTAAAATTTAATGCTTCCAATACAAAGAATGGATGATAAGGGGCAACTAGCAACTAAGCAGTGAGTATCTATATTCAATATTTGTTGCTTTCAGTTATAGCAATGACAAGTTATTTATTTTGAATTTTTTTGGGTCTTTTTAGCCATTGTGAATGGTTCTTTAATATTGTGTGTGTGTGTATTATATATAATATATATAGCATGTGTGCTTATTTGATTTTATTTCATACTTGTGAACATTAGCTACCTTTCTCCAAAGGAATAAAAAGTGTAAAGTTTATTGGTACTAATGCAATCTTTAAACTCTTAAGATTTGGTCAGAGTATTAACATGCATGAATTTCATTTTTATTATTATTTTTTAGATGGAGTTTCATCTTGTTGCCCAGGCTGGAGTGCAATGGTGTGATCTTGGCTCGCTGCAACCTCCGCCTCCTGGGTTCAAGTGATTCTCCTGCCTGAGCCTCCCGAGTAGCTGGGATTACAGGCACCTGCTACCATGCCCAGCTAATTTTTGTATTTTTAGTAGAGATGGGGTTTCACCATGTTGGTCAGGCTGGTCTCGAACTCCTGACCTCAGGTGATCCACCCGCCTCGGCCTCCTAAAGTGCTGGGATTACAGGCGTGAGCCACCATGCCTGGCTGAATTTCATTTGAATTCTTTTGTGTCTGGTTCTGCTGTGTAGTTATTCTACTGTTTCTCTTCGGAAATGAGATGTAATCTTTTTGGTTTATTTTATTAAGGGAAGATTCCAAAAAACTAGCCTCAGCCGAGATTTTTGTCAAGCTTGACTGTGTATCTGTCAGGTTTGTTTATACCGAGGATCACTGAAGCACTCATAAGGGAAATGAAGGTATAAAAACTGCCTTTTTCCTTGCTCCCACTAACAAATGTGAGAAACTGGCCTTACTTTTTTTTTTTTTTTGGAGATGGAGTTTTGCTCTTGTTGCCCAGGCTGGAGTGCAGTGGTGCGATCTCGTCCCCCTGCAACCTCTGACTTCTGGGTTCAAGCGATTCTCCCGCCTCAGCTTCCCGAGTAACTGGGATTACAGGTGTGTGCCAGGATGCCCGGCTAATTTTTGTATTTTTAGTAGAGACGGGTTTTCACCATGCTGGCCGGGCTGGTCACAAACTCCTGAACATCAGGTGATCCACCCACCTCGGCCTCCCAAAGTGCTGGGATTACAGGCGTGAGCCACCATGCCCGGCTGAGAAACTGGCTTTTTTTAAGAGAATGTTTTAGTTATTCACTCTTTCCCGTTATTTTTCACAACTATTATAATTCATTCCTCAGTTAGCAGTGGCTTTATCAGTAATTCAGAATATTTTTTCAAAGACATGTCAAATCTTTCATCACAATAGGCAAATATATAGAAGACCTGATGCATAAATCTTTCAGACTTCACCAATCTCTATGTTGCCCATTCATTTTCTCTGAGAAAGGGGTCCACTAGTGTTTTTTTTTTTAAGAGATAGGGTTTTGCTATGATGCACAGGCTGGTCTAAAACTCTTGGGCTCAAGCAGTGCTTCTGCCTAAGCCTCCTAAGTAGCTAGGACTACAGGCGAATGTGAGTCCACCCAGCTTGGAGTTTGTTAGTTTTTTTTTTTTTTTTTTTTTCTTTTTTAGAGACAAGGTCTTCCCATGTTGCCAAGGCTGGTCTCGAACTCCTGGGCTCAAGAAATCTGCCTGCCATGGCCTCCCAAAGTGCTGGGATTATAGTTGTCAGCCACTGTGCCTGGCCTGAGTCTGCTAGTTTTGACTTGAGTACTGATGAAAACTTTAATGCTACTTTCTCATTCCTCCAGTTTCTGCTTGTTAAAATTCTGTGTACCCTTTAGGGACCATTTGAAATATAATTTCCTCTAAGCAACCTCTCCAGATGCTAGCTGCATTTGCTACTTCCCAGGCTTGGTTTCTGGCTTCTTGTTGTTAAATCATTATTTGTGTGCTTGTCCTAACTCCCTTACCTTTCTTTTCCAATCATATATTAAGACCTCAAGTACAGGAACTTTTGTATGAAAGGTATGGTAGTTTTTTAAAAGTCCTGTGTCTTCTAATGCAATACCTTATAAATGGTATGTACAGAGTACATATTTGTTAAATGGAATTGAACATTTTTGGTTTTTATAAATGAAAAGCTTGTGACATTCAAATGTGTTTTTTCTTTATGACACATAGCCCTTAGTTTCTATATGGAAAATGGAAGTAGGTATGGAAGTGTGAACAAAGGAAATGTGAGCATAGAACTGTAAATAAACATCTATTTCCATAAGAACCATTATACATGCCTTGCCCTAACCTTACAATTTAGATACATTATAGTTTAATAATTGTAAGAGCTGCCTCAAGATAGAGATGACTTAGTTAATTAAATTTATAGATTAAAACTTTATTCTCGCTTTATTTTGATAGCTTATGAACCTACCTGGCAAATGAATCAGAAAAAGTTGTAGTTTTCTTTCCTTAAAACAGTCACACAATACTTTCTAAAAAGTGTGATTGTTTTTATTAAGGTGTAACTATTTGTTTTTTTATTTTTATTTTGTGGAAATAAGGTCTTGCTGTGTTGCTCAGGTTGGTCTCAAAACTCCTGGCCTCAAGCCGCTTTCCTGTCTTGGCCTCCCAAAGTGCTGGATAACAGGTGTGAACCACCATACCTTGCTTTTAAGGTGTTATTTAATATAATAATGTGCACAGATCTTAAAGGTTCAGTTTGGTGAATTTTGACAGTTGTATATATTATGTGAAACCACCATCCCAAATAAGGTACAGAACATTTCTGTCATCTCTATAGTTCCTTGTGCCCCTCCTAGTTACAATACTGTTTACAAATGATTTTTTTTTTTGGCCAGATGCAGTGGCTCACACCTGTAATTCCAACACTTTGGGAGGCCAGGGCGGGTGGATCAGTTGAGGTCATGAGTTCAAGACCAACCTGGCCAACATGGCCAAACCCCATCTCTACTAAAAATACAAAAATTATCCGGGTGTGTTGGCACGCACCTGTAATTCCAGCTACTCGGGAGGCTGAGACATGAGAATCACTTGAACCTGGGAGGTGGAGGTTGTAGTGAGCTGATATCATGCCACCGTACTCCTGCCTGGGCTACAGAATGAGACTCCGTCTTGATTTGAAAAAAACAATTTGATAGCTCTAAAATTGGAAGCAAAATTACCAGAGTACTTACTAGTAGGTACGTTATAAACCACACTGTCCCAACTGTGATTAATTTTTTTGTTTCTTATATGTATTTTACTTCAGTTACTAGTTAGTAGTTGGATTTAGTTTTACTGCTAAAGGCACTATATTAAAAATATTAATTATATTATAATTTCTTTTTGATAAACTTTTTTTTACTTATTTTATTCCATTTTGTTTATCTATAATGGTAATAAAATTGTTCTTTCCAGTAGAATTTGAAGGATTATGATTATTTTTCTTAGAACTAAGTAAAAAAAAAATTCAAGTGGGAAGTATCAGAGAAAACAGGTGAAAAATCATCTTTTGGCTGGATGCTATGGCACATGTCTGTAATCCCAGCACTTTGGGAGGCTGAGGCGGGCAGATCATCTGAGGTCAGGAGTTCGAGACCAGCCTGGCCAACATGGTGAAACTCTGTCTCTACTAAAAATACAAAAATTATCTGGGCGTGGTGGAGCACGCCTGTAATCCCAGCTACTCGGGAAGCTGAGGCAGGAGAATTGCTTGAACCCGGGAGGTGGAGGTTGCAGTGAGCTGAGATCTTGCCATTGCACTCCAGCCTGGGTGACAAGAGTGAGACTCCATCTCAAAGCAAAACAAAACAAAACAAAACATCTTTTAACCATTTCTATTACTTGTTCATGATTCTAATTTTTTTTTTTTAGGGATGAAGGAGGTTCTAACTCATAATTAAATGGAAACTTTAGGATTACTGAGGATTTTCATTATCTTTGCTATCCTGTTTCCCATTACTACAGAAAATAGAAAGTTGGATTTTTATGACTGTAACTAAGGGCTGGATGTAACAGCAGCTTTCTAGTTGTGAGCACCTGTTCTCCATGAACTCTGTCTGACTCCCTGGCTAGCACGTTCTGTGGTGGGGAGTCCAAGTTTGGGCCACCACTGTGTTGCTTTGTCTTCTGGTCTGAGGCATCTCATCCCCTTGGCCTTGATCATTGCCAGCCACCTGTATCAGTCAGTCTCTTTCCCTGATACATGGGGAGAGGCTGAAGAATTCAAAGCGGGAGAAAACTATCTTTTAGTTCCCAGGAGTTGATGTAAGAATAAGGTGATTCATGTAAACACGCAACATAGGACTCATACTAGGCACTCAGAATGGCTGGGTTTTATCATTGTTTTCATCATCAATACCAATATTTGATCAATAACCAATTTAAATTTAATTGAAGTTGACTTCAATTAAAGAAGAAAAGTTTTAAAAAATTGGTATGAGAAAACTTAACTATTTTAACTTCAAAGTAGAATTAATGTCCTTTAAAACAGAGTAATTTAATTACGCCTGCAAGGTTATGTCAGCAGAGGATGCTAGAAGCTGTGTTCCAAAACCCAGTGACTATGTTCCTTAGGGTTTCGAAACTGCTAATGTGTGAAAATGGGCACTAGGGGGCAATAGAAGCTCTTTGGCAAGCATCCAGTTTTTCCCTTTGCCTGTCTATAGTGGAAGGAAAAAAAAGAATCTTTTATAAATAATGTCTTCTACAGACTGGAACAAGTGAGTTTGAGATTGAGATTAGTGTTGGAATAATTACTTTTTTTTCTCTGAAGAAGAATGCAGAAAAATTCTCTCAAATATATTTAAAATTTTATCTTAAGCTTTTTAGATAAGTAACAGAGATTCCTGACTGGGCACCGTGGCTCACACCTGTAATCCCAGCACTTTGGGAGGCTGAGGTGGGCAGATCATGAGGTCAGGAAATGGAGACCATCCTGGCGAATATGGTGAATCCCTGTCTCTACTAAAAATAGAAAAATTACCTGGGCATGGTGGCGTGTGCCTGTGATCCCAGCTACTTGGGAGGCTGAGGCAGGAGAATCATTTTGAACCAGGGAGGCGGAGGTTGCAGTGAGCCGAGATCGCACCACTGCACTCCAGCCTGGCGACAGAGCGAGACTCTGTCTCAAAAAAAAAAAAAAAAAGATTCCTATGTGGGAATTTTAAGGATAGCTTCCTCATACTTTAATATTGAAGTCTATAAAGTTGAATAAGGTTTATTTCTGTGATCATTAGTCTAATCCAAACTTTTGAAAATATATATCAGATCTTGCCGGGCACAGTGGCTCACGTCTGTAATCCCAGCACTTTGGGATGCCAAGGCGGATGGATCACCTGAGATTGGTAGTTCGAGACCAGCCTGACCAACACGGAGAAACCCTGTCTCTACTAAAAATACAAAATTAGCCAGGCGTGGTAGTGCATGCTTGTAATCCCAGCTATTTGGGAGGCTGAGGCAGGAGAATCGCTTGAACTCAGGAGGCGGAGGTTGCGGTGAGCCTTGATTGCGCATTGCACTCCAGCCTGGGCAACAGGAGCAAAACTCTGTCTCAAAAAAAAAAAAAAAAAAAGAAAATATATATCAGATCTTGTCACTTCTCTGCTCCAAACGTCTGGTTTCTTCCTATCACTTCAGGTTCTTTGCCTTGGCCTCTGCAAATCACACTGACTTTATCCCCTTCTACCCCCTGGCTTGCTCACTCCTCTCTAGCCACATTGATCTTTCTGGTTTTCTTTGGAGACCTCTATTCTTATTCCCGCATGGAAACTTTCTATTTACTCTTTCTTCCACATGGAATAATACCCAGAACTTCACATGGCTCCCTTATTTTGCTTGGATCTGTGCTCAAGTGTTACCTTCTCTGTCCATCTTATATAGGTCCCCCCTGCTCCCCATCCCACCTCTTTTCCTATCACTGCTTTATGGTACTTATCATTATCTGACATTTTTGTGTATTGGTTTATTGTCTTTCTTCACATAAGAATGTAAGTTCTATGAGGACAGTCTGTTTTTTTTTTTTTTTTTTTACTGCTGTATCCTCAGTGGCTTGACAGATACCTAGCACATAGTAGGTACTCAAGAAATATTAGTTGAATGAATGGAATGGCCATCCTTGGCTGTGGGCATGGCTACTTTCTTCCTAAACATTTCATTGAATCAAAGTTAGCTTCTGATCTAGTCACAATTATTCTTTTTTTTTTTATTTTTATTGATCATTCTTGGGTGTTTCTCGCAGAGGGGGATTTGGCAGGGTCATAGGACAATAGTGGAGGGAAGGTCAGCAGATAAACAAGTGAACAAAGGTCTCTGGTTTTCCTAGGCAGAGGACCCTGCGGCCTTCCGCAGTGTTTGTGTCCCTGGGTACTTGAGATTAGGGAGTGGTGATGACTTTTAAGGAGCATGCTGCCTTCAAGCATCTGTTTAACAAAGCACATCTTGCACCGCCCTTAATCCATTTAACCCTGAGTGGACACAGCACATGTTTCAGAGAGCACAGGGTTGGGGGTAAGGTCATAGATCAACAGGATCCCAAGGCAGAAGAATTTTTCTTAGTACAGAACAAAATGAAAAGTCTCCCATGTCTACTTCTTTCTACACAGACACAGCAACCATCCGATTTCTCAATCTTTTCCCCACCTTTCCCCTTTTCTATTCCACAAAACCGCCATTGTCATCATGGCCCGTTCTCAATGAGCTGTTGGGTACACCTCCCAGACGGGGTGGTGGCCGGGCAGAGGGGCTCCTCACTTCCCAGTAGGGGCGGCCGGGCAGAGGCACCCCTCACCTCCCGGACGGGGCGGCTGGCCGGGCGGGGGGCTGACCCCCCCACCTCCCTCCCGGACGGGGCGGCTGGCCGGGCCGGGGGCTGATCCCCCCACCTCCCTCCCGGAAGGGGCGGCTGGGGGTGGGGGGGGCCTGACCCCCCCACCTCACCTCCCTCCCGGGTGGGGCGGCTGGCCGGGCAGGGGGCTGACCCCCCACCTCCCTCCCGGACGGGGCGGCTGGCCGGGCGAGGGGCTGACCCCCCCCACCTCCCTCCCGGACGGGGCGGCTGGCCGGGCGGGGGGCTGACCCCCCCACCTCCCTCCCGCCGGGCGGAGGGGCTCCTCACTTCTCAGACGGGGCGGCTGCCAGGTGGAGGGGCTCCTCACTTCTCAGACGGGGCGGCTGCCGGGCGGAGGGTCTCCTCACTTCTCAGACGGGGCGGCCGGGCAGAGACGCTCCTCACCTCCCAGACGGGGTCGCGGCCGGGCAGAGGCGCTCCTCACATCCCAGACGGGGCGGCGGGGCAGAGACGCTCCCCACATCTCAGACGATGGGCCGCCGGGCAGAGACGCTCCTCACTTCCTAGATGGGCTGGCGGCCGGGAAGAGGCGCTTCTCACTTCCTGGATGGGATGGCGGCCTGGCAGAGACGCTCCTCACTTTCCAGACTGGGCAGCCAGGCAGAGGGGCTCCTCACATCCCAGACGATGGGCGGCCAGGCAGAGACGCTCCTCACTTCCCAGACGGGGTGGCGGCCGGGCAGAGGCTGCAATCTTGGCACTTTGGGAGGCCAAGGCAGGCAGCTGGGAGGTGGAGGTTGTAGCGAGCCGAGATCACGCCACTGCACTCCAGCCTGGGCACCACTGAGCACTGAGTGAACGAGACTCCGTCTGCAATCCCGGCACCTCGGGAGGCCGAGGCTGGCGGATCACTCGCTGTTAGGAGCTGGAGACCAGCCTGGGCAACACAGCGAAACCCCGTCTCCACCAAAAAAATACGAAAACCAGTCAGGCGTGGCGGCGCGCCTGCAATTGCAGGCACTGGGTAGACTGAGGCAGGAGAATCAGGCAGGGAGGTTGCAGTGAGCCGAGATGGCAGCAGTACAGTCCAGCTTCGGCTCGGCATCAGAGGGAGATCGTGGAAAGAGAGGGAGAGGGAGATCGTGGGGAGAGGGAGAGGGAGATCGTGGGGAGAGGGAGAGGGAGAGGGCTTGGGAGAGGGCTTCTTTTTTTTTTTTTTTTGAGATAGTTTCCCTGTGTCACCCAGGCTGGAGTGCAATGGGGTGATATCGGCTCACTGCAAGCCCCACCTCCCAGGCTCAAGCGATTTTCGTGCCTCAGCCCCCTGAGTAACTGAGATTACAGGCATGTGCCACCATGCCTGGCTAATTTTTGTAATTTTAGTAGAGTCAGGGTTTTGCCATCTTGGCCAGGCTGGTCTCAAACTCCTCAAGTGATCTGCCAGCCTTGGCCTCCTAAAGTGCTGGGATTACAGGCGTTAGCCACCGTGCCCAGCCACAGTTACTCTTTAGAAGCTGAGAAGCTAATACTCCACTTACACATTTCTAGGCTAGTCCTCCACAATTATGTCAAAAGTGTGCAGTCTTTTTAAAGCTCCCTTTCCAGGTAAGCTTTTGTATCCTCTCAAGGGTTGTTTCTGCCTCTGAGCAGTGGTTTTTATTTTGCTCAACAAATATTTTGTGCATCTGCTATGTGATGGACACTGCTAGTATGGATCAAAATGAGGATACTTTAAGGAAGATGGACTAAGTTATAAAGATAATCCAAAGCATACTTTAAGTGCAGTGACAAATATGGGGGTACTTTTTATCTGACTTTGATTATAGTCTCTTTACTTACAAGTTTTTGTTTTTTTCTTTTTTTGAGACAGGGTCTTGCTCTGTCACTCAGACTAGAGTGCAGTGGCATGCTCACTACTCAGCTGCAGCTTTGATCTTCCAGGCTCAAGCAATCCTCCCATCTCAGTCTCCCTAGTAGCTGGAACTACAGGTGGGCGCCACCATGCCCGGCTAATTTTTCTGTGTTTTCTAGAGATGGAGTTTCCTCATATTGCCCAGGCTGGTCTCGAACTCCTGGGCTCAGGTGATCTGCCTGTCTCAGCCTCCCAAAGTGCTAGGATTACAGGTATGAGTCACTGCACCCGGCCACCACCCCCACCGACGTTTTTTTTTTTTTTAAGAGACAGCGTATTGCTCTGTTGCCCAGCCTGGAGTGCAGTGGCACAATCATAGCTCACTGTGACCTCAAATTCCTGGGCTTAAGTGATTCTCCTGTCTCAGCCTTCTGAGTGGCTGAGACTGCAGGCGTGCACCCCCATGCCGAGCTAATTATTTTATTACCTTATTCTTTGTAGAGGTGGAGTCTTGCTATGTTGCCTAGGCTGGTCTTGAGCTCCTTGGCTCAAGTGATCCTCTTGCCTTGGCCTCGCAAAGTCCTGGGATTATAGACATGAACCACTGCGCCCAATACAAGTTATTTTAATGTCCAGGTATTCAGCAGTAAACTCTGGTAAACATCTGTCAATTTAGTGTATACATAGCAAATTGCAAAACTTGCAGATTTAAGTAAGTGCGCCATTAAGTAAGTGGAAATGATGTTAAAGAAGTTCTCCACTCCACCCAAAGCATTGTAAAGTGAGGAACTGGTTGAACTAGAGCAGTTAGTTCCTGATTGGAAAAGAGAAAATTGACAAGAATGATACGTGATTTGAATATCACAGGATTTTGAAAAAATTGAAGTTTCTATAAAATAATACTTGATTCATTCTTTGTGGATTCTAACATTTACTATATTATGAGATTTGTTATGACTTAAATTTTGAATTATGAATTTTATTTTATTTTATTTTATTCAGGATTAAATAAACCTTGACCTAAAAATTTTAATTTTATTTTAAGATATTTTAGTGTAATCTTTTTATACCCCCTCTTCAGTGAAAATTTGAATCTCCTGTTTTTTTGAGATGGAGTCTCGCTCTGTCGCCCAGGCTGGAGTGCAGTGGCGTGATCTCGGCTCACTGCAAGCTCCGCCTCCCGGGTTCATGCCATTCTCCTGCCTTAGCCTCCTGAGTAGCTGGGACTACAGGCAACCGCCACCACGCCTGGCTAATTTTTTCTATTTTTTAGTAGAGACGGGGTTTCACCGTGTTAGCCAGGATGGTAATCTCCTTTTCTCCTTTTTAGTTGACTACTTCTCTTATAATCATGAAAAAAAGTTAGGATGTTCTCCTTTGTATCATTTATCATTTCTTATAGCCATATACCTTCTTCTATATTCATAGAACTCTTGTTCAGTTTTCAAAAATCTCTTGGCATATCTAGTACTTTCTAAAAACTTTTTTTCTGTTACCCAAGGATATTTACTATCATCAGTAATTTTTCTTCTTCTTTTTTTTCCTTTTGAAATGGAGTCTCTTTGTCACTCAGGCTGGAGTGCCGTGGTGTGATCTTGGCTCTGCTCACTGCAACCTCCGCCTCCTAGGTTCAAGCAATTCTCCTGCCTCAGCCTCCTGGGTAGCTGGGATTACAGGCACCTGCCAACTCGCCTGGCTAATATTTGTACTTTTGGTAGAGACAGGGTTTCACCATGTTGGCCAGGCTGGTCTCCGACTTCTGGCCTCAAGGGATCTGCCCGCCTTGGCCTCCCAAAGTGCTGGGATTACAGGTGTGAGCCACCATGTTGGGCCCAGTAATTTCTGTAAAGTAATGGAATGCTCATTTTAAAAAATCTTTCACTTTCATTTCTCTTTTCCTATTTTACTTCCTTATGTCTTCCTGTATAAGCCCCCACCTCTTTGCTGTTTAACTCATGTTTCATTTTACGTTAAAGTGTTTCTTTTTTTTTTTTGAGACAGAATCTCACTCTGTCTTCCAGGCTGGAGTGCAGTGGCGCAATCTTGGCTCGCTGCAACTTCCGTCCTGGGGTTCAAGCGATTCTCCTGCCTCAGCCTCCTGAGTAGCTGGGTTTATAGGCGCCTGCCACCGTGCCCGGCTAATTTTTGTATTTTTAGTAGAGACGGGGTTTCACCATCTTGGCCAGGCTGGTCTTGAACTCCTGACCTGGTGATCCACCTGCCTCAGCCTCCCAAAGTGCTGGGATTACAGGTGTGAGCCACCGCGCCCAGCTGCTTTTCTTTTTTTAAAAACTGAATTTAGGCTGGGCATGGTGGCTCATGCCTGTAATCCCAGCACTTTGGGAGGCCAAGGTGGGTGGATCACCTGAAATCAGAAGTTCGAGACCAGCCAGGCCAACATGGCGAAACTCCATCTCTACTAAAAATACAAAAAATTAACCGGGTGCGGTGGCAGGTGCCTGTAATCCCTGCTACTTGGGAGGCTGAGGCAGGAGAATTGCTTGAACCTGGGAGGTGGAGGTTACAGTGAGCAGCGCCATTGCACTCCAGTCTGGGCGACACAACGAGACTCTGTCTCAAAAACAAAAACTGAATTTAGTGCAATTATATTTTTCGCTTTGTTTGTTTCTCTCAGTTTACTATTTATTAAATTTATTTTGGGCTACTTTATTTATTGATTACATTTCTTTTTGAGATGGGGTCTCACTGTGTTGCCCAGGCCAGTCTTGAGTTCCTGGGGTCAAGTGATCTGCCCCCCTCAGACTTTCAAAGTGCTGGGATTACAGGCGTGAGCCACCGTGCCTGGCCCATATTTTGTTTTCTACCTTAACAGCTAAAGAAAGTATTCTTGGTCAGCCACAGTGGCTCTCATCTCTAATCCCAGTGCTTTGGGAGGCCGAGGTGGGAGGATTACTTGAGGCTGGGAGTTCAAGACCAGCCTGGGCAACATAGACCCAGTCTCTACAAAATAAATTAATAAATAAATAAAAAGAGAAAAAAGTAAGTATTCTTAGAAGCAAGAATCAGGTAATTATTTTATGACTCCTCTAAATATTAATGAAGACAGCCAGAGGAACAGACATATCAATTTGCACTTTAGTAGTAGTAACACAGTGTTTGAAAGTAAAATAGTTTCCTTGATCTTTCACCTTTTGTTGACGTGTATACAAGTAGATTTGCCTGTGCCAATCTTGAAAAAGATTTGTTTTTTTCTTTTTTCTTTTTTAGACACAGATTCTTGCTCTGTTGCCCAGGCTAGAATATAGTGGTATTATCATAACTCACTGCAACCTCGAACTCCTGGGCTTAAGTGATCTTTCTGCTCTAGCCTCCTGAGCAGCTAGGAACAAAGGTGCATGCCACCATGCCCAGCTATTTTTTGTACAGATGGGGTCTTCATATGTTCCTCAGGCTGTTCCCGAACTCATGGCTTTAAATGATCCTCTCACTTTGGGAGGATGACATGAGGTTGAGAGTTTGAGACCAGCCTGGCCAACATGGTGAAACCCCGTCTCTACTAAAAATACAAAAAAATAAGCCGAGTGTGCTGGTACGTGCCTGTAGTCCCAGCTACTCGGGAGGCTAAGGCAGGAGAATCACTTGAACCCAGGAGGCAGAGGTTGCAGTGAGCCGAGATCACGCCACCACTTCAGCCTGGGCAACAGAGTAAGACTCTGTCTCAAAAACAAAAAATAAATAAAAGAATTATGACATGAAATAAGCATATGCACTATAGCACCAACAGTTCAACAGTTAGCGGATCCTTCTTTTGTGCAATTTTCTAAACAATTAAGATGAATTAACTCATATAATCCTCCTACTGCTCCAGTGAAGTGGAGGTACAGTTATCCATCCCCTTTCGACAGGTGAGGAAACTAGTATTCGGAAGTGCTAAGTTCTCTAAGGCCACGCAGTGGTAAATGGCGGAGTCAGGTTTCAAATTTAGGGAAGCTACTCCAGAATCCATGTGCTTAACCATTATGCCCTACTACACTACTGGTTGTGACCTGTTCTGCTTCTCAGGGTCATCTCGAATCTCTCCTACATTTGCCTCATGCCCTATCTGTGTAAACTGTGAACAGTCTTTGGTTCTGACTGTTTCATGCATTCCAGAATACTTTTTCTTCTCTCTGGATGCTGATCAATACTTAGTACACCTCTATTCAGTGGCATTCTATGTAAGCTGTGACGCTTGTAAGGTACTTTGTGACAGACCTATCTCTTTCATCAAGGAAGACCTTTTTCATTTTTCAGAATTATTTTTCCCTGTGAAAACAGAGCATTTTCTCCTTGTGAAAATCTTCACTGACTCACAAAAGTGGTGTTGAATACCTTCTCTTTTGTGCTACCTCTGATTTGTTATATTCCTGTCTTACATTTTTAGTAACAGAACTGTGGAGATATCAGGGTGAAGTGTGTATTAATCTTTATTCTACTTCTAAAAAGATGCTTTGTTTCCTAAATGAATCAATCAACAAATATTCTTTGTAGAGAGAAGGCTAAGGATTTGAGGCTTTGAGAAGATGGTTCAGGTTGTTAATTTGTGTGCATGAGAATGGGGTATACATGAGGTTGGTATTGCCACTGACATCCTAGATGAGGGACTTTTTCAGAAATAGGAAAAATGGTGCAACTCAGACCCAGCTCAGCAGGTGAAATTCTCCCTCTCTCTTGGTGGTTGTAAAAGAAAGTCTTCTCCTTGGGGTGGGAGTGAGAGTGTGGGAGGGAGGAGTTTCATTACAGGGTCCCAGGAAGCCAGGTCGCTACTTCTTAGTTCTGTTACAGGCCATCCTTCTCCCTGGCAAGCTCAGCTTCTCTCTTCTTTCATTCCTACCTGGAATGGTTAATACTGAGGGTAAAGGATAAGGATGGATTCTTAATACAAATATTAATAAGTAATAAATGAAAAATACCACTGCAAATGATAGGCTCTTTAGAGATTAGTATCTTATAACAAAATACAAGTATTTGCTTTCTAATTATGTAAGAAACTTCTGAAATGTTAATTTTGTTTAACTTTACCTGAAACAGTAGTCAAATGTTGTAGAAAACTTTCCTTTTTTCTTTTTTTTTTTTTGAGACAGAGTCTCACTCTGTCGCCCAGGCCGGAGTAGTGCAGTGGTGCAATATCGACTTATGCAATCTCCACTTCCCGGACTCAAGTGATTCTCCAGCCTCAGCCTCCAGAGTAGCTGGGACTATAGGCATGAACCTCTATGCCTGGCTAATTTTTTTGTTTTATTTTATTTATTTATATATATTTTTTAGACAGAGTCTCACTCTGTCACCCAGGCTGGAGTGCACTGGCGCGATCTCTGCTCCCTGCAACCTCCACCTCCTGGGTTCAAGTGATTCTTGTGCCTCAGCCTCCCGAGTAGCTGGGATTACAGGTGCATGCCACCACACCCAGCTAATTTTTGTATTTTTAGTAGAGACAGAGTTTCATCATGTTGGCCAGGCTTGTCTTGAACTCCCGACCTCAGGTGATCCGCCTGCCTCCTCAGCCTCTCAAAGTGTTGGGATTATCGGTGTAAGCCACTGCACCCAGCCCTCAGCTAAATTTTTTTTGTATTTTTTGTAGAAACGGGGTTTTGCCATGTTGCTCAGGCTGGTCTCGAACTCCTGAGCTCAAATCGATCTGCCCGCCTCAGCCTCCCAAACTGCTGAGATTATACTTGTGAGCCACTGCACCTGGCCAAATGTGAAAACTTTCTTAAACAAAATGCGGGAATGTTGTGAAAAGTTTTTGATTGCTACCAAGGTGGTGGAGAGCCATTGAAGGTTTTTGATGAAAAATGACCTATGAAGAATAGTATTGTAGAGAGCAGTGTGGAAAGAAGTGAAGAGGATGGAAGTGAGGGGGGGCCTTCTCAGTGACAAGGTAGTGTTCACAGTTCCAGATGTGAATAAATTCAAAGTAAATTATGTCATATAATTCATGGTAACTAACCTCTTTCACTTTTATAATTGACAAAGCTGAGGTTTGGTGTGGTTAAACAACTTACTGAAGGTTACAAGTGGAGTTAAATATAGATTCCTGTCTAGATTCCAGAATTTCTGACTTAGGAAGCAAATAAGAAGGAGAGTTACTGTGGTGGAGTGTTCATGGCCAGTATAATAAACAAAAACATTAAAAAAAAAAAAGAAGAAAAGGAAAAAACAAGGGAAGAAAAAGGAAGAACAAGAGTTGCTAATATAGGATTTCTTGTATGATTTTCAACTACCATAGTTTCATTGGCAATAATCATTGCTTTTTTAAAATCATGACAGAATTATAAATTGAAACACTGATTTGCTGCTGCTTAGGTTGTTTAAATGTTTGTTTTTTTTTGTCTTTTTTTTTTTTTTTTTTAGATGGTGTCTTGCACTGTCTCCCAGGCTGGTGTGCAGTGGCGCTATCTTGGCTCATTGCAACTTCTGCCTCTTAGGTTCAAGCTATTTGCCTGCCTCAGCTTCCCAGGTAGCTAGGATTACAGGCAGCCGCCACCACACCTGGCTAATTTTTGTGTATTTTTAGTAGAGATGGGGTTTCACTGTTGGCCAGGCTGTTCTCAAACTCCTGACCTCGTGGTCCGCCCGCCTCGGCCTCCCAAAGTGCTGGGATTACAGGTGTGAACCACCACACCCAGCCTATTCTTGAACTCCCGGTGGCTCATGCCTATAATCCCAGCACTTTGGGAGGCCGAGGCGGGCAGATCACCTGAGGTCAGGAGTTCAAGACCAGCCTGGCCAACATGGTGAAACCCTGCCTCTACTAAAAATACAAAAATTAGCTGGGCAAGGTGGTGCATGCTTGTAATCCTGTCTACTCGGGTGGCTGAGGCAGGAGAATCGCTTGAACACGAGAAGTGGAGGTTGCAGTGAGCTGAGATCACGCCACTGCATTCCAGCCGTGGCGGCAGAGGGAGACTCCATCTCAAAAAAAAAAAAAAAAAAAAAAAACAAAGACAAAAAAAAATTATCTATTTATAAATATATTGCTGCTTGTGTGTTTTTGGAATTAAAGTGTTCTTACAGATGTCTCTGTGTGGTTAGCAGTTCTTAGAATTGCCTAGGTAGCATGCAGTAATACTAAATATAATTATAAAGGCTACTAGATGGATCTTATTGACCAAAAGACATGCCAAATGGAGGCATCAGTACTGCACTTTGCAAGTGACAATTTAATTTTTTTCCATTTTTTTTTTTTTAAGGGACAGGGTCTTGCTCTGTTGCCCAGGCTGGAGTACAGTGGCGTGATCACGGCTCACTGTAGCCTTAAGCTTCCAGGCTCAAGTGATCCTTCCACCTCTGCTTGCTGAGTAGCTGAAACTACAAGTGCGCACCACCATGCCCGGCTAATTTTTTTATTTTCGTTTTTGTAGAGACGGAGTCTTGCTCTGTTGCCCAAGCTGGACTTGGACTCCTGGACTCGAGCAGTCCTTCTGCCTCACCTCCCAAAGTACTGGGATTACAGGCATGAGTCACCATGCCCAACCAACAGTGTAGTTTCAACAGAATATCACTCATCAAATTAACTTTGCGTTGATGTGAATTAACATTTTATTTGTTTTATAGTTATATTTAATTTGTAATTTTTTCCAGCTTTTTGTCAAAAAAGTATTTTTTTATATGTGCCTACTATAAGCTGAACATTGTTCTAGGTACCTAGATACATCAGAGAACAAAACAGACAAAAAAAATCTTGCTTTTATGGAACTTGCATTCTAATAGGGAGAAATAGATAATAAAGGCTGGGTGCGGTGGCTCACGCCTGTAATCCCAGCACTTTGGGAGGCCAAGGTGGGTGGGGCTCACTTGAGCCCAGGAGTTCAAGAATAGCCTGTGCAACATGGCAAAACCCTGTCTCTACAAAAAATAGAAAAATTAGCTGTGCGTGGTCATGCAGGCCTGTGGTCCCAGCCACTCAGGCGGCTAAGGTGGAAGGATCATCTAAGTCTGGGGCAGTTGAGACTGCAGTGAGTGAGCCATGATTGTGCCTCTGCACTCCAGCTTGGGTGACAGAGTGAGACCCTATCTCAAAAAAACAACAAAGAAGATAAATATAAACAATAGAAAGCTGTAAGTGCTATAGGGAAAGGGAACATGTAGAGCACGATAACATGGATCAGAAGTGCTAACTGGGAGACAGGTTGTAATTTAAAATAGGGCGGTCAAGTTAGGCCTCCTTCAGAAGATGACCTTTGAGAAGACTTGAAAGAGATTAGGAAGTTGACCATGTAGATATCTGGGAGAATGGTGCAGGCATAAGGAACAGCTAGTGTAAAGGCCCTAAGGCAGTAATGTGCCTGGCACGTTCATGAAAAAAGCTCTTAGGTGAGTATGGCTGGAACAGAATGAACAAGAGGGAGAGAAGGAGGAGATGACTGACATCAGAACACTAACAGGAGGACCTGTAGGCAATTGTAAAGGCTTTTCCTTTTATGCTGTTTTTTTTCTTTTTTCCCCCTAAGCCTTAGTTTGTCTATAATTATAATGATTTTGAGCATGATTTTTGAGTAATGGCATAATTTGAAAGATGCTTTTTAGGAAGAATGGAAATGACTTGGTAATTGATTATATAAGTGTGGTGAGAGGGACTCATCAAGATTATTAGTTTTGTAGCTGGTAGATAGTGGCAGTAGTTGCTGAGATAGAAAGCAGGATGAGCAGAGTTTGGAGGCTGAGTGATAGGGAAGATTGTAAATTCAGTTTTGGACAATTAAGTTGAGGTATTTCTGAGACATCCAGGCAAAGCATCCTGATGACTGCTAGAAATATAGGTTTGTTGTTGAGAGACATATAGCCTGGGATTATAGATTTTAGAGTCATCAGCATATGTATGGCTATTGAAGCTCTGACAATGAACAAGATGAGCAGAAAGCCTAGGACAGAACCCCGAGGGACAGATAGAGAAGGAAGATCCTGCACAGGTGGCCAAGAAGGAGGTAGAAGGTAAATCAGGGTAATAAGTGTCATGGAAACCAAAAGGAAGATTGTGATAGGAAAAAAATGTGTGGTCAATTGTATCAGAATTAGATGAAGTAAAATGAGAAGCATCTTTATTATATTTAATGACAAAGTGTAATTATTTTAACTTTAAGCAGTAATTCAGATTATATGAGATTACTTCACAGTTTGTTTTTTTGCCAAATCAAAACATCTTTACTGTTTTAGTTATCTACTTCTATGTAACAAACCACCTTAAACTTAGTGATTTAAAAGAATAGCCAGTATAATTTTTCTCATGACTATAAGTTGACTGGAGGTTAGCTGCTTCTTCTGGTCTTACTTTGAATCTCTCGTGTAGCTGCAGTTAGCATATAGCATGTTCACCACGGCCTTACTTACATAGCGGGTGCCTTGGTGGGACAGCTGGAAGGCTGGCTCCGTTGAAACTTGGGGAAAGCACCTTCCCTCTCTCTAGTCTTTCCAACAGTGTATCCAGACTTCTTACTTGATGATTCTGCATGGAAGAAGACAACAAGGGTGTGAATATTGAGAGATGTGATTTCTTGAGGCCATTTTTGGAGACTAATTAACATATCCACCTAAAAGTAGTTGCCTTAAAGCCTAATCTAGGTTCTTTTTTTTTTTTTTGAGATGGGGTCTCTCTTGCCAGACTGGAATACAGTCACGGCTCACTGTAGCCTTGACCTTCCAGGCTCAAATGATCCCACCTCAGTCTCCCGAGTAGCTGGGAATACGGGTGTGCACAACCATGCCCAGCTAATTTTTAAATTTTTTTTAGAGATGGGGTTTCGCTGTATTGCCCAGGTTGGTCTCAAACTCATGGGCTCAAGTGATATTCCTGCCTTGGTCTCTGAAAGTTTTAGAATTACAGGCTACCACGCTCAGCTTTATCTAGATTTTTGAACTCTTTAAAAAGAAACACGTTGGCTGGGCGCGGTGGCTCACGCCTATAATCCCAACACTTTGGGAGGCTGAGGCGGGCGGATCACGAGGTCAGGAGATCGAGACCATCTTGGCTAACACGGTGAAACCCCGTCTCTACTAAAAATACAAAAAATTAGCTGGGCGTGGTGGCGGGCGCCTGTAATCCTAGCTACTCAGGAGGCTGAGGGAGGAGAATGGCATGAACCCGGGAGGCGGAGCTTGCACTGAGCGGAGATAGCTCCACTGCAGTCCGGCCTGGGCGAAAGAGCGAGACTCCATCTCAAAAATAAAAAATAAAAAAAAAAAGAAACACGTCATTTCATTGATTCTTATACACATGCACACATAGACGTGTATATGTACATACATGTACATGTACACACACATGCATAAACACATGCACACATGCTTGCACACATACATTTCTCTTTTTATTCCTAATAGGATTCTCAGTATGTAACTGTTCAGGATAAAAGATACATTTCCCAGCTGGGCATGGTGGCTCACACCAGTAATCCATGCACTTTGGGAGGGCGAGGTGGGTGGATCGCTTGAGGATCACCTGAGGTCAGGAGTTCGAGACCAGCCTGGCCAACCTGATGAAACTCCGTCTCTGCTAAAAATACAAAAAATAGCTGGGCGTGGTGGCGCGCGCCTGTAATCCCAGCTACTCAGGAGACTGAACCTGGGAGGTGGAGGTTTCAGTGAGCTGAGATCGTGCCACTGCACTCCAGTCTGGGCAACAAGAGTGAAACTCCGTCTCATAAAAGAAAAAGATACATTTCCGAGCTTTTCCTGTTGCTAGGTATGGCTCTGTGGCTTAGTTCTGGACAGTGAAATGTAAGTGCAAGAATATGGACAACTTTTGAGAGGAAAATTAATGGGAAGAGATGTATCCTCCTTTTTTTTTTTTTTCCCTGCTGTCTGGAAACCACAGCAGCCTTTTGGACCATCACCTAGACTTGTTGAATTTATGAGGGCAACAAGCTGTGGTCCTGATTGTCTTAGACATATGTCAGTCCTGACTTTATTTTGGGTTTTTGTTACAGCCAAAACTAATTCTATCAGGCTTTTGTTTTGTTGTTGTTGTTTTTGTTTTTTCATTAAAAAAATAACCAGTTTTGCTTTTCTGCAGATATCAGCAAAAAAAGTAAAAATTAGTTTTATCGAGGTATAGTTTACACACAGTAAAATGCAACCAATTTATGAGTATAGTTTGTGAAATTTTAAAAATGTAAGCATCTGAGTAATCACTACTACAATCAAGATTTAGAACATTTCCAAAAATGTTTCTTTCAAGCCACCTTGCTGTCAATCCATTTTTCCCTCCATTTACCCCTAATCCCAGGCAAATCTGTTTTATGTCACTATAGGTTAATTTAGCCCATTCTAGAATTTTATATAAATGGAAACACTGTACAAACTCTTCTGTGTTTGACTTACTTTGCACAGCATAATGCTTTTGAGACTTGCCCATCTTGTCTCATGTGTTAGTGCTTTGTTCATTTTTATTGCTAAGTAGTAGTATGTTTATGAATCTACCATAGATTATTCATCTTTTGATAGACAAATAGCTTGTTCTTGGTTTTTGGCTATTCTGTATAAAGCTACTGTGATCATTCTTGTACAGGTCTTTTTGTAGATATATGTTTTTATTTCTCTTGGAAGCAAAATTGCTAGATCATGTGGTAAGTGTATATTTATAAGAAACTAGCAAACTGTTTTTTAGAGTGATTATTACCATTTTACACTCTCACCTGCAAAATTGGAGAATTCTGCCTCCTCCATATCCTTGCCTACACTTGGTATTGTTGATAATTTTAATGTTAGCTATTCCAGTAAGTGTGTAGTGCTGTTTAATTGTGGCTTTAGTTTGCAATTGCTTGTTGACTGACATTAAACCTCTTTTCTTGTGATGAGGTGTCACTGTGTTGCCTAGGCTGGACTCAAACACCTGGGCTCAAGCAATTCCTTCTGCCTTAGGCTCCTGAGTGTCTGGGACTGCAATGTGCATCGCTGTGCCTGGCTAATGTGTGCATCATTTGTGAAGTGTCTGTTCAAATCTTTTGTCCATTTGAAAAATTAGGTTGCCTTTTTATTGAGTTTTAGAGTTTAGAGTTTATTTTGAGCTTAAATATTTTGGATAGAAGTATTTTGTCACATAAATGTATTGTAAATATCTTTGTCCAGTCTGAGTCTGCCTTTTATTTTCCTGATCATGTCTGTTGAGGATAGAAATTTTAAATTTTGATAAAATATGTCAGTTTTTTTTTCTTTTTGGTGTGTATTTTTTGTATTCTAAGAAATCTTTCCTTACCAATGATTGCAAAAATTTTTCCTATACTTTCTCATTGTTTTATAGGTTTAGTTTTTACATTTATTACCTGTTTCAAGTTAATTTTTATGTATGGTGTAAGGAAAGGATTGGAGTTCCTTTTTTATTTTTTCCAAATTGATACCCAATTGTTTGAGTATTGTTTGTTTAAAAGGTCTTCTCATTTGGATTATCTTGGCATTTTTCTTGAAAACAAATTTGTATATGTGTGGGTTAATTTCTGATTTGTTTATTTCATTGATATGCATGGCCATTCTTACTCTACTATCACAATGTCTCAGTTACTGTAGCTCAGTTACTGTCTTAGTTACTATAGCTCTATACATGAAATCATGTAGTGTACAGTTCTCTGACTTGTTTGTTTTGAAAACTGATTTGGTTACTCTGAGTCTTCAAATTTACAAATACATTTTAGAATTAGCTTGTAAATTTGTACAGAACTGCCTGCTGAGATTTTGGTTGAGATTGTATTGAATCTGTAGATTAGTTTTGAGAGCCTTACTTTCCTAACAATATTAAGTTTTCCAATCCATAAACATTATATATCTTTCCATTTATTTTAAGTTCTCCTTAATTTTTCTCAGTAACATAGTGTTAAGTGTACAGGTCTTGCACATATTTTAAAAAATTATTTCTAAGTTTTAATGTTTTTTGTTATTATCTTAAATGGCGTGAACCACTGCACCCAGCCTGTTTTAAAGTTTTATTTGTGAACTTTCCAATGTCCTAACTAATATATCTCTTAGAGGTAAACCTAGTTCCAATACACCTTTTTATAAAATATCTTTATTGGGATGTAAGGTCAGAGAAAGGGAGTGATAAGATGAAAGTAAAGTGGTCTACTAATAAGGTAGAAAACAGTGTGACTGAGTGTGATCTGAAGAGAGAACTGTTGTAGTTAAAGATTTGTATATCTTGGTTTGTGGTTTTAGAATCAAAGCAGCACTGGGTGTCAATTAATTCTAGAATTGGACATGAGGGTAAATGGCTGAATAATGGTAAAGAAAATGAAAGACTAGTGTATTGAATGCGTTTTCCACATTGATTAAAATCGCCCTGTACTAATGAAGTTTTTACTGTTGTAATTAATTAATACTTTGTGTATAGATTTTTTTCTTTTCTTTTTTTCTTTTTTTTGATACGGAGTCTCGCTCTGTTGCCCAGGCTGGAGTGCAGTGGCATGATCTCAGCTCACTGCAACCTCCGCTTCCTGGGTTTAAGCGATTCTCCCACCTCAGGCTCCCAAGTAGCTGGGATTACAAGCCTGCGCCACCACACCCAGCTAATTTTTGTATCTTTAGTAGTGACGGGGTTTCACCATGTTGGCCAGGCTGGTCTCAAACTCCTGACCTCAAGTGATCCACCTGCCTCGGCCTCCCAACTGCTGGGATTACAGATGCGAGCCACCGTGCCCAGCATGTGTATGTATACAGTTTTTTTTTCCTTCTATCGTCCAGGTTGGAGTGCAGTGGCGCAATCTTGGCTGACTGCAACCTCTGCCTCCCGGGTTCAGGCCATCCTCCTGCCTCAACCTCCTGGGTAGCTGGGACTACAGGCTTGTGCCACCATGTCTGGCTAATTTTTGTATTTTTACTAGTGATGGGGTTTCACTGTGTTGGCTAGGCTGGTCTGGAACTCCTGACCTTAGGTGATCAGGCTGCCTTGGCCTCCCAAAGCGTTGGGATTGCAGGCATGAGCCCCTGTGCCTGGCCATATATATTTAAAGTTCTGACTGTCATCGGATTGCAAGATTCATGAAGGCAGGAACCTTCTTTCTTTAAAACCAGAATATCATCAGTGCTAGGCATAGTCAGTACTCAATAAATATTTATTGAATAGTTAATTATAAGAGTGACGTCAGGGCTTTGGGTGGAGAGTAACAGAGCTATCTTTATTTCTTCACATCTTAAGTCCTTAAGATCTCTTATATAATTCCTCTTTTTTTTTCTTTTTTCCATTCCCACTGTATTATGTCAATTCAGGTCCTCTCTGGATTATTGCAAGAATATTTTAATAGGCTTCCCTGTGCTTACACTGGCATTTACCTTATACTGGTAATTTCCTAGTTCAGCCTCCACACCACAGCCTTGATGATTTTTTAATTATTAATTTTATTGTGCTAAAAACACATAACATAAAGTTTACCGTCTTAACCATTTTTAAGTGTACAATTCAGTATTGTTACATATATTCACATTATTGTACAATCAATCCCCAGAACTTTTTCATTTTGCTAACTGAAACTCTATATCCATTAAATAGCAACTCCCAGTTTCCTCCTGCCCCCAGCCCCTGGCAGCAACCATTCTGCTTTCTATCTCTATTAATCGGACTGCTCTAGCACATATAAGTGGAACCATATAGTATTTGTCTTTTTCTAACTGATGTATTTTACTTAATATAATGTCTTCAAGGTTCATCTGTGTTGTAGCATGTGTCGGAATTTTCTTTCTTTTAAGACGGAAAAATATTCTGTTTTATGTTTATGTCACGTTTTGTTGATTAATTCATCCATCAGTGGATACTTGGGTTGCTTTTCACCTCTTGGTTGTTGTGAATACTACTGTGAACGTGGATGTACAAATAGCTCTTCAAGACTCTGCTTTCAATTCTTTTGGGTATATACCCAGAATTGGAATTGCTGGATCATACAGTAATTATATTTTTAATTTTCTGAGATACTACCAAGCTGTTTTCCGTAGTAGCTATACCATTTTACATTCCTACCAACATTGCACAAGGATTCCAGTTTCTTTACCTCCTTACCAACACTTGTTATTTTCTGTTTATTTGATAGTAAAAGTTTTTTGATCCTAGTGTGAAGTGATATTTCATTGTGCTTTTAATTTGCATTTCCTTAATTATTAGTGATGCTGAGCATCTTTTCATGTGCTTATTGGCCATTTGTTTACCTTCTTTGGAGAAATGCCTGTTCAAGTCTTTTGCTCATTTTATTTTTATCTTTGAGACGTAGTCTCGCTCTGTGGCCCAGGCTGGAGTGCAGTGGCGTGATCTCGGCTCACTGCAACCTCCGCCTCCTGAGTTCAAGCGATTCTCCTGCCTCAGCCTCCTGAGTAGCTGGGACTACAGGCGTGTGCCACCACGCCCGGCTAATTTTTGTATTTTTTTTTTTTTTACTAGAGATGGGGTTTCGCCGTGTTAGCCAGGATGGTCTCGATCTCCTGACCTTGTGATCCGCCCACCTCAGCCTCCCAAAGTGCTGGGATTACAGGCATGAGCCACCGCGCCCGGCCTTTGAGCCACCGCGCCCGGCCTTTCTGGCTAACTTTTTGTATTTTAGTAGAGACGGGATTTTGCCATGTTGGCCAGGGTGGTCTTGATCTCCTGACCTTCCTCGTGATCTGCCTGCCTTGGCCTCCGAAAGTGCTGGGATTATAGGCGTGAGCCACCGCACCCGGCCTTTTGCTCATTTTAAAATGAGGTGGTTTGTTTTTTTCTGTTGTTGAGCTGTAGAAATTAAAAAACATATATAATCTGGATTTTAATCCCTTATATATAAGATTTGCGCAAATTTTCTCCCATTTCTCTGTAGATTGTCTTTTTACTGTATTGATTATCTCTTTTGATGCCCAGAACACCTTGGCGATATTTTAAAATCTCAGATTTTTTTTTGTTGTTGTTGAACAGAGTCTCAGTCACCTGGGCTGGAGTACAGTGGCACGATCTTGGCTCATTGCAACCCTCACCTCCTAGGTTCAAGCAATTCATGTGCCTCAGCCTCCCAAGTAGTTAGAATTACAGGTGTGTGCTACCACGCCTGGCTAATTTTTGTATTTTTAGTAGAGATGGGGTTTCACCATGTTGGTCAGGCTGGTCTCAAACTCCTGGCCTCAAGTGATCCGCCTACCTTGGCCTTACAAAGTACTGGGATTACAGGCATGAGCCACCGTGCCTGGCCTAAAATCTCAGACTTTATCAAATTACTTTCTATGACTCAGAGCTTAAACTTCTGTTTTTTGGAATTGTATACAGCCTGATTTGGAACTCTCTCTCTGGCTTTTATGTATACAGTTGGCCCTTTGAGAGGAATTGGCTCCAGGACTCTCCTGCTGATCCCCAAATGCAAGGATGCTGAAGTCCCTTATATAAAAATGGCATAGTGCTGTATATGTATAACACATACACCCTTGCTCTATTTTCTGCCTAGCAATTCAAACTCTAGTAAGGGAAAAATACTTGAAGTTCAGAAAGTGTCAAGATTTATATTATTCTCTCCTGGATGTTCATCATATTCATCTAGATAACCTCTATTTTTTGAAAGATACCAGAAATCTCTTTTCTAACCACCTACTTTCTTAGGCAGAATGGAATTGAGCACTGAACCCTGTGTATACTTCTGTTACAGCAACTGAAACATTTTCATTTGCCCATTTGTTTACCTGTCTTATTTTGCTTTTCTGGACTGACAGTTCTGTGTAAGCAGAGTCTTTGTTAATAGTTCTTTTATCATTAATCTAACCCAGTGTGTGGTATGTAATTAAATAATAAATGTTTCTTAAGTGAATGTTTAGTGAGTAAATGAAGGTATTAGTTCATTCTCACACTGCTATGAAGAAATACACAAGACTGGATAATTTGTAAAGGAAAGAGGTTTAATTGACTCACAGTTTCACACTTCTGGGGAGGCCTCAGGACACTTACAATCACGGCAGAAGGCAAAGGAGAAACACCTTCTTCATAGGGTGGCAAGACAGAGTGCGACATGCAAGCAGGGGAAATGTCAAATGCTTATAAAAAACCATCAGATCTTCTGAGACTCACTCTCAGGAGAACAGCATGGGGAAACTGCCCCCATGATCCAGTTACCTCCACCTGGTCCTGGGAATGTGGGGATTACAATTCAAGATGAGATTTTGGGTGGGGTCACAGCCGAACCATATCAATGAAGAAATGAATTAATGTTAAGTTAGTGTTATTAGATCTCCATAGTTTCACTAGAATAGACTTTAATTCTGGTTGCCTGCACTGGTAGCTGTACTTCAGTGATTTCTGCGAGAAAATAGCGCTCATTTTCAAGCTTCTTTTTGGCAGTCCTTACTGTCTTCCCCCAGCACCCAGCAACTTTGTAGCAGATCTTTGTTATTGGGTAGAGGTTTAATTATGGCTTATAGTTGTATGTGACCTTAGCCTAGAAGGGTTGTTTCTGATTTGTAAGTCATTTGAAATTTCTGTAAGGATGTTCATCAGATAGAATTGCTCATATTATTTTAGATATATTTACCATCATTGTTGTTATTGGGTGTAGACCACAGAGCCTGGGAAATAATCCTTTGGTTGGTTTTCAAAATTAAGCCAAAACAAAAAATGGTATATTTTCCTCTCTTCCATTGGGACTGTAGCTCTTGTTATGAATTCTGGTAATAAATTACTTCATCGAAGTCAAATAGTTTATGATGTTCCTTGGCAGGAAAATCTTGAAAATATTTTACTGTTATAGCAAATTTCACACTAAGCTATATTTCAAAAAGTCATTAGTAAAAGTTCTGGAAAAAGAACAGTCACCATCAAGTGATATGCTACCAAAAGATGGATTGCTACTATTTTAGATGATTTAGCTGTGCCAATTATATGGGATTTTTATGAGTTATGCCATGCATGACTTCCAGTAAAACTTTGATTTTAAATGTAAACATTTATTTAAATGGTTAATTCACTCCTAATATAAATACTAAGTTGTGTGTCCTTGTAAATTTTTTTAAGTGTTAGAAATTGTCTATATATAGGCACATTCTGCATTGAAATAAATGAAATAATTTTCATCCTATCTTTTTGGTGACAGTATTTCTATTTGCTGAGTGATGAAAAAGTAGTTATGAAATGAGGTACAAACTATGATAGACTCTTCTGTAAGTAGAACATTTCAAGTATTATCTTGGTTCTTGCAAGAATATTTAGCACTTACAAATGAGTTTTCATTATGTTCAAATGTGGTCAGCTGCAAAGAGAGTAGTGACTCAGATTATTCAGTGTAGGAATAGTCCAGAATTTGACCTTTAAATTGTTTTGGAATTTGTGTTTGAATATTGATATCTCTGAAAGAGGTATGTGCAGCACTTTCCACAGTATAGTAAACAAAACAGTAATGTCTTTGTCTTGAAAAAAACTGCAATTCCCCAACTGTTTCTTTACAGTCTAAAACAAAACTACCTTTATTTCTGTATTGTTGCAATCTTCAATCTGCTTTTAGTCTGGGATATAATAATTTGGTCTTAAAAGGTTTTCAGCTTTTGAAAATCTTAGTTATCTCTTGCCTCTCACTTACCAGGCTGGCCTGATGTGATAGCACCTGCTTTTCTTTATGGACATGATCATTACTCTAAAATTTGAGAGTTAATTAAAAATTACAATCTAGTGTGATGAACAAGGTAGACAGTGGGCCATTTATTCATTTCTAAAACCTCTCTGTGTGTGTATGTATGTCTGCCATATACCAGCTTTTTGGTGCATAGGGGATCCAGAGATGATAAATAGATATAGTCTTTGAGAAGCTTATATTTTGCAGTTTGATAAGGGGGTGGTGGTGGGGGAGATAGGTAAAAAATTACAATGTATTATCGTAAGTTCTGTGACTGAGATAAGGAAATGCCATAGAAATGCATAAGAGGGTCATTTAACCCAGTGTTTGAAATGTTGAGAAGTGCTTTGAGCAGCTGGTCACATCTGAATTGAGTTTTGAGGGATGAATAAAAATTAGCCAGGTAAAGAGGAAAAGAAGCCTGGAAAAACACTCTAAGATGATGTGGCCAATATAGGAGGTAAGCCTTGGAATACATAGTGGCTATCATTTATTGAGCTCTACCATGTGCCAAACTCTGTTAGGAGTTTGAAACCACTTACTTCACTGTAACCTGTGGGGCAGGTGCTATTATTCATAGTTTGCAAATGAAACTGAGAGTCATAACTTTGCTGAAGTCATCACATGGTTAATTAATGGCATTGCTAGTTTAAAAAACTCTAGCATTTCTGGCTTTTTCTGTAGGCTATTTCCTCCCAGCAAAGGACAGTTTCAAGATGGAGGAGATAAATAGTTACCATGCTGTTGAAAGTTCGTGTATGTAGATTAAGTTCTGTAAAGTGTGCAGAGGGATTTATAGTGACTTGTTTGTTCATTTAGAACTATTTACTGAGAGCCTCTTATGTGCCAAGAACTGTGCTAAGAATTAGGAATAAAATGATAAATGCCAAAATTGAGGTAGGGGGTGAAAGAAAGTGGGGACACTGAGGGAAGCCATAGTTTGAAAAAGCGGGATTGCAGAAGAAAAGATAACGATTGAGCAATAAATTTTAGGGGAAGTCAGTAGTCTTTTAGTTTTTGTTTTTTTACTATGGTAAGTATTAATACTTTGTTTATATGCTGAAGAGAAAGAGCCATAGCAGGGGAAAGATTGAAGATAGAAAAAGCTGTTAGGTCACATGTTTAATTAAGTAGATTGTGAGATGATTCTTGAATTTGTAATAGACATATAATATTAGTAGGATTAGCCTGCTCTTGAGTAATGAGACTTGAATAAACAATGAAACCTCTGATTTAAATGATCACTGTAACCTCTTATGTCTGATTTATGCATTCCTCTTTACTGTCCCTCAGTTGTTCTGCCCATACTCCTGTCTATGATAGCATTCATTATACTGAAGTAGAGCCATTGATATCTCCCTGTTAGACCATATGCTTCTTGTGTGGGAGGGATGAGAAGAGACCGTGTCTGCTGCCACCTAACAACTGGTACAATCCCACTTCAGTAAATGCTTATTGAACCAATGAATCAGTGAATGATTTGGAGTTTCTTATTTTTACCATTTTTGAACAATTTTCTTTTTAACTTTGAAGGGTTAAAAGGTATATAGTTACCCTGTGAAGGTTTTGTTGTTTGTTAGAAATTAAGTACTTAACACTTTAAGGTATGCCCCAGAATAGATAGAGAACTTAAAAAATTTTTGATGTTGAAAGGACCTTGTTGGTTATTTTTTAGGAAAATCTGTAATTATTATTTTATACATAGGTTACAATATGCTTAAAAATAATTTTTGATATTAAAGTATGGTAAGCAGATATATCAACCTTTTCGCTCCTCTTGATAAACTGTGATTTAAAGGAAAAATAAATTTCTAGTTTTTCTTTATGAATTATACTATTAACAGCTACTGATTTATTTTTACATTTGGATTAAATTAAAATTTCAATTTATGTTGACAATAAGAGATAATTTTATAGAACCTAATGAGTTTCTTAGGTTTATCCTTTTAGAGATTTAAAATCAGTTTATCATCAGAGACCCATTGTAGTGTATCTAGAAGTGTAGAAAAAAGATACTCTCACACTTTTTTGCTGTTTTTTTAAGCTTTGTGTTTAAAAACCAATGATGCAATTTTAAAAAATTGTATTTCCTGTGAAATGTGTTGTGTAGTTCCCCACAAATATGTTATTTTACCATTAATGTCATGGGGTTTTCTTGTTTCAGAATCCTGTTCACAAGATTCCTGACTCGCATGAGATAACGCTGAAGCATGGCACTAAAACAGTAAGTTTAAAAATCTAGTTTTTTCCTCTCTCAAATTACAGGGCTGTCATGGAAAAGTGAACTGATAAGATACATTTGTATTAAGGCTAATTATACAATCAACTGATGACATAAAAGCTATAGACATTAAGGAAAAATAGATTACTTTTATGTTCAGTCAAAATAGCCATTTCCTTTTAGTTAAAATAGGAACAATTATTGTCACTGTTATTGTTGGCTTTAAAAATCTCTTATTTTTTAATATAGGAACATTATAAGTGGAAGAAAGAAATGAAACTCAAACACAATTTTGCTTTTTATGGTGTGGGAAAATTTCTTACTACCTTTAGCTTTACTTCTGTATCAGTAAAAGGCATGAATTTGTTCATTTTTCAGATGAATGTTGAGATAAGAAATGAACTTTAAGTAGTTACTGTATGGCTCTAAGTATTTATTAATACTTAGTTTACAGATTGCATGTTTATATTGTTATATTTACTTATGTTTGAGTAATCTAAAATATTTAAAGATGAATAATATAGAATATTTGAGATGTAAGGTGAAATCATTGTATCTTATTGCAAAGCCACTAAAAAGTAGTAGTTAAATGAGTGAAACATTCATATGAAATGAAAAAAATTATCTTTCCCTTTTCAGTGAAACTACTTTTTTCTAATTGACATGTAAAGAAGTAAGAAAATACATCCCATAATAAGAGGGAAATATCAATCAATAGAGGTAGACCCAGAAATGATATAAACAGGGTCATTCTTACAGTTTTTCTTTTGAAAATATTGTTTTCATAAAAATATTTATGTTAAATATAGTGGGTTTATTGTTATTTTAAATGAAATGGAAAAGATGTAAAAATCTCTTAGTTTTAATTTCTAGTGGAAATAGTGATACATATAACTCACATAAACAAAACCTCTTTGGAGTCCTCATTCGTTTTTTTTTTTGTTTTGTTTTGTTTTTGAGACAGAGTCTCACTCTGTCACCTAGGCTGGAGTGCAGTGGTGTGATCTCGGCTCACTGCAAGCTCCAACTCCCGGGTTCATGCCATTCTCCTGCCTCAGCCTCCTGAGTAGCTGGGACTACAGGTGCCCGCCACCACACCTGGCTAATTTTTTTGTATTTTTGGTAGAGATGGGCTTTCACCGTGTTAGCCAGGATGGTCTCGATCTGCTGACCTCATGATCTTCCTGCCTCGGCCTCCCAAAGTGCTGGGATTACAGGTGTGAGCCACCGTTCCCGGCTTGGAGTCCTCAGTAGACTTTAAGAGTGTAAAGAGTCTTGAAATGAAACTATGTGGGAATTGCTGCCCTAAGACATCATTTCCATCTAATTCTTAATATATTTATTTTTTCTTAAATCAGGTTTTTTATATTTTTGTTCTGAAATTATGATGGAATTCTACTTTTTGTGTTTTTAAGTAAATAAGGAAAAATTGTAGACTGAGTATTTAAAAGGAAGCTTTTCTGTCATCTAGTCTGGAGAATTTTACAACTGAGAGATGGGTCATGAGTTTCACAAGTTTGATTTAAATATTCCTTTTTTCGTAAATCAAGTTTTATCTTATAGAGAAACATAACTTAAAAAATACTCCAGTATGTTTTACACATTGAAAATCAATTAGAGTGTCTAATTATACTCTTGGCTTAACTCTTTTTTTTTTTTTTTTTGCAATCCTGCCTTTGTTCTACATGCAAATAAATTTATTTTTAAATAAATGTTGGATTAGAAGGTGACTTTTCTCTCTGATCTTTTTTTCTTTTAAATGAGTTATTTTAAAAAGGTCCATAAGGCCAATCTTATTTCTTTCCTATATACTTTACATTTTAGTCCCCCCGTCCCCACCTTACAGGATTATTTAAAAGCAAATACCTGACTTCATATGATTTCATCTGTGAATATTTCAGTATGAACCTCTAAGAGATAATATTGGGCTGTTTCTGAATGTGCACACGTACACTCTTTCTGAATGTGCACACATACACTCTTTCCTACATAATACCATCTTTATATATCTATTTTTTCAATAATTATTTAATCTAATATCTCATTAGTGTTCAAATTTCCCCAGTTTTCTCATACATCTTTTTAGAGTCAGTTTGTTCAAATCAGTCTCTTAATGATGTCTGATGTACTCTTAGGAGAATTATCATCATGTTTATTTTTTATATCTCTATAAGATTTTGTGCTTTTTCTCCTTTTAGTGAATATTTAGTGAATATACTTACTATGGCATAATAGTCAACTGAACCCTTCCCACTGAATGTGATGATAAAGTCTAAAGCTTTTTGAAAGGAGGAGAGGGTGATACACATTAATTCTTTTAATATAAATGTTAAAACTGAAAATTTGTGCTCATTCTCAAGTTGGAACAAGACACTTTTTTTTTTTGAGACAAAGTCTTGCTCTGTCACTCAGGCTGGAGTGCAGTGGTGCCATCTCAGCTCACTGCAGCCTCCACCTCCCAGGGGTAAGCGATTCTCCTGCCTCAGCCTCCCGAGTAGCTGGGATTACTGGCGCTCGCCACAACACCGGGTAATTTTTGTATTTTTAGTAGAGATGGGGTTTTGCCATGTTGGCCAGGCCGGTCTTGAACTCCTGACCTCAGGTGATCCGCCTACCTCGGCCTCCCAAAGTGCTGGGATTACAGGCGTGAGCCACTGCGCCCAGCCTCCGAGCTCTGTTTTCTATTTTTCTAATTACCTCCTTCATATCGTTTTGGTAAATGATGAATCATATATACAGTCAGCAACAGAGATCCTGATACTTCAGTGAATGGTAGCATTGAAAGCCTCATTTTGTAATTTTGCTTTTTAATTTGTCATCTTTCTTCTTAGGAGAACAGTCAAGTTTGCAATTTATTCTGTTCTTCCTTGATAAAAAGGAATTTGTCTCATATTTGTCAGACTGCATGTTTGTTTTACATAAGATTTAACAATTTTTAGTTCTCCTTTCTTTTAAACAAATATTTAGTAGAGTTTGTATTTTGTGCCATGTTCAGTGCTGGGCACAGACAAGGTCTCTGTCCATATGGTGCTTATACTCTTGAGGGAAGGACAGATACAGAATAGAGGAACCACAAATGGAGTTGTAATTTTATATTGTGTTGTAGTGAGATGAACACTGGTGGGGTTAGCCTTATTAGGAGGAGAAATAACTTTTAAATTGTAACAGGAGGGAAGAAGGATAGCATAATGAACGTAGAGGCAAGTGAGTTTGTAGGTGGTGGTAGCAGAAGTCACTTCTAGATTTTTAAAACTACTATTCATTTATTTTTGTTTTTGATTGTTTTTTAAGACATTATTGTTCGGGCATAAAAAATGACTTTGTTTTCACTTGTATATTTTCCTTGACATCTTTAGAGTTCATGTCTAATTTTAACATAAGTATTATTATTTATGTATGATTCCCTTATATTATGAAATCGGTATTTGCAAGTGCTAATTGAAATGAATATGTTACTTTGTCAGTATCTGACTAATTATAATTATATTAATTACATTTCAAGTCTATTTATTAGGAGAACTGATTTATAGAAACTTCCTTTATGTAAAACGTTGACTCTGGCCAGGTGCCGTGGCTCACACTTCTAATCCCAGCTTTGCGAGTCTGAGGCGGGCAAATCACCTGAGATCAGGAGTTTGAGACCAGCCTGGTCAACAAGTGAAACCCCTTCTCTACTAAAAAATACAAAAATAAGCTGGGCGTGGTGCTACGTGCCTGTCATCCCAGCTACTTAGGAGGCTGAGGCAGGAGAATCGCTTGATCCCAGCAGGCAGAAGTTGCAGTGAGCCGAGATTACACCACTGCACTCCAGCCTGGATGACAGAGTGAGACTCTGTCTCAAAAAAAACAAAACAAAAAAACCTTTGATTCTTTTACTGTGTCCAATGTATAGTAATCGCATTAAATATTCCTAATGCAGTTCTTTTCTTCTTAGAGGGCAGTAGATCTAGGGACTCTCTGCTTTGAGAGAAAGCTACATATAGCTTAGGAACAATGAGTTACACATTGGATATTGACGTGTGAATTGGACCTAGGAAAGTTCACAGGGAAAGCAATTTTTTTTTTTTTTTTTTTTTTTGAGACAGGGTTTCACCTTGTTGCCCAGTTGGAGTGCAGAGCCGCAATCTCAGCTCATTGCAACCTCTGCCTCCCGAGTTCAAGCAATTCTCCTGCCTCAGCCTCTCAAATAGCTGGGATTACAGGCATGCGCCACCATGCCTGGCTAATTTTGTATTTTTAGTAGAGATGGGGTTTCTCCATGTTGGTCAGGCTGATCTCAAACTCCCAACCTCAGGTGATCCGCCCGCCTTAGCCTCCCAAAGCGCTGGGATTACAGGCATGAGCTATGGTGCCTGGCCTGCAAATTTTTTTTTTTTTTAAGACAGAGTCTCGCTCTGTCACCCAGGGTGGAATGCAGTGGCACGATCTTGGCTCATTGCAACCTCCGCCTCCCAAGTTCAAGCAATTTTTGTGCCTCAGCATTACAGGTGCATGCCTCCACGCCCAGTTAATTTTTGTATTTTTAGTAAAGATGGGGTTTCTCCATGTTGGCCAGGCTGGTCTCAAACTCCTGACCTCAAGTGATCTCCCTGCCTTGGCCTCCCGAAGTGCTGGGATTACAGGCATGAGCCACTGTGGCCGGCCGAAAGCAAATATTTTATGGAACCAATATAAGTACTATTATAATGTGATTAGTCACTTAAAAATTCAGCTTTAAAAATAATTGTTTAAGGTGAATATACCGAGCCATTTGACCATAAGGGACAGATAATTCTGCTTTGTTCTACTTTGTTAAATAGATTTCTTAAAGCTCCCTTGGTGTTACTCATTTTGGTAATTTCAGATTCATATGGTTTTCATTCAGTTATGATTATCTTAAAAGTTTTCCTCAGATTGTATGTTGAAAATGCTGAATTATTGTAATTATTTGTAAGATTTTTACTTGTACACTAAAGCAACTTAGTTTATCTTATGGAATTGCAGTGATAGCTATTCTGAATACATGGTTGATGATTTGGGACAAAATTGTCAAATAGATTTAAAGTATTTTTCTTTATTGCAAAAGAATTAATATAGTAACAAAGTCTAATAATATGGAAGGCAACCATCCATTCCTGCTTTTCAGAAGTAACAATAGTTGGTGGTTTGTACTTCCAAGTCCTATAACATAGGGGGTGGGATTAAAGAACAGAAATGGGAGGTTATAATTGACCATATGTCATTTTGCTCCGGTCATTTTATTTTATTTTTTTAAAACCAGGTGTCTGCTTTGGGTCTGGATCCCTCAGGTGCCCGTTTGGTGACAGGAGGATATGACTATGATGTTAAGTTTTGGGATTTTGCTGGAATGGATGCTTCTTTTAAGGCATTTCGATCCCTTCAGCCCTGTGAGTGGTATGTATTCACTTACTTAATATCTTCATATTTGACCTAATGTCTTCACATTGGAAGACAGTGCTGTTGGCTTTGGAATCCCATCTACAATGATTTGTATCAAAATACATTACGTTTATATGACTGTATACGGCCTTCATAATTTAAATGAAGTAAAACGAGCCTTACATTTCTTTTGTTTCATAAACTTATATTTTAGGCTGGGCGCGGTGGCTCACACTTGTAATTCCAGAACTTTAGAAAGCCGAGGCAGGCGGATCACCTGAGGCCTGGAGTTTGAGACCAGAATGGACAACATGGCAAAAGCCCGTCTCTACTAAAATTACAAAAATTAGCTGGGCGTGGTGGCGCATGCCTGTAATCCAGCTACTCGGGAGGCTGAGGCAGGAGAATTGCTCTAGCCTGAGGGGTGGAGGTTGCAGTGAGCTGAGATTGTGCCACTGCACTCCAGCCCAGCAACAGAGAGAGACTCCATCTCAAAAAAAATTACAAAAGGCTAGGCACAGTGGCGCATGCCTGTAGTCCCAGCACTTTGGGAGGCCAAGGTGGGTGGATCACCTGAGGTCAGGAGTTCGAGACCAGCCTGTCTAACATGGTGAAACTCTATCTCTACTAAAAATATAAAAACAAGCCAGGCGTGGTGGCTCATGCCTGTAATCCCAGCTACTTCGGAGGCTGAGGCAGGAGAATTGCTTGAACCCGGGAGGTGGAGGCTGCAGTGAGCCAGGATTGCGCCACTGCACTCCATCCTGGGTGACAGAGCAAGACTCCATCTCAAAACAAAAAAATTAAAAAAAAAACAAAACTTTGTTTTAAAACATTCCAATTAATTCTGAGAAATGAGAAATTAACATATGTTAAGCCATTAACCAGGTACCAATCTATTTTGTACTGTTTAGGTATGGTCGGCTAGCATTATGTTAGAAAGGGCCTTCCATGTTGCTACAATGAGCCAGCCTTTCTCTTTTTTTTTTTTTTTTTTTTGAGACAGGGTCTGGCTCTGTTGCCCAGGCTGGAGTGCAGTGGCGAGATCTTGGCTCACTGCAACCTCTGCTTCTTGGGCTCAAGACATCCTCCCACCTCAGCCTCCCAAATAGCTGGGACTATATGGGTGTGCACCACCATGCCTGGCTAATTTTTGTATTTTTTTGGTAGAGATGGGGTTTCACCCAGTAGTCCAGGGTGGTCTCAAACTCCTGATCTCAAGTAATCCACCTGCCTCGTCTTCCCAAAGTGCTGGGATTACAGGCATGAGCCACCGCGCCTGGCCCATAAGACACTCTCTTTTCTGTTTTTGACCATATCTGATCTTCTGGCATATTGCTTTCTTATGGTATCATTTAACTCAACGGTCCCCAATCTTTTTTGCACCAGTGCCTGGTTTTGTGGAAGACAATTTTTCCATGGACTAGGGGTAGCGTGGAGGTCGGGGTGGTGGGATGGTTTCTGGATGAAACTGTTCTATCTCAGATCATCAGGCATTAGATTCTAATATGGATTGTGCAACCTAGAGATCCCTCACATGCGCATTTCACAATAGGGTTTGTACTCCTATGAGAATCGAATGCTATTGTTGATCTGACAGGAGCCGGAGCTCAGGTGGTAACGCTTGCTCACCCTCCCAACGCCTGCCGTGCACCTGGTTCCTAACAGGCCATAGACTGATACCAGTCCATGTCCTGGGCTTTGGGGACTCCTGACTTAACTTGTTTCTTTATCTCCTCTCCAATATTTCCTGTGGAATATCAAAGGCTTTATCATAATTATATTGTATCACTTCAGATGGCATGTATTGTCTAGCTGTTTCACTGTTAGTGACTAGAAATTAAGGTAAATCCCTGGATTAAGGTAGTGACATCTGATTCCTTCATTGTAAAGTTAATATTTTATACTTGAGATAGGCAAGAACTTCGTAGAGAGATAGTTTGGTATATGTAACTGTCCAGATACTCATCATTCTTTCACTTAATGAGCTCAGTGTCCATTGATGATTTCTTCCTGAATCGGTTATGTCACCGAGAGCTACAAATTGGTGATTTTCCTATTCTGTTATTTCATCTGCATTTATTTCCTGGCATCTTCTTAAAGAAAAACTTTTCCATTGATGTTCATTAGGGATATTGGTCTAAAATTCTCTTTTTTTGTTGTGTCTCTGCCAAAATCCTCAATAAAATACTGGCAAACCGAATCCAGCAGCACATCAAAAAGCTTATCCACCATGATCAAGTGGGCTTCATCCCTGGGATGCAAAGCTGGCTCAACATACGCAAATCAATAAATGTAGTCCAGCATATAAACAGAACCAAAGACAAAAACCACTTGATTATCTCAGTAGATGCAGAAAAGGCCTTTGACAAAATTCAACAGCCCTTCATGCTAAAAACTCTCAATAAATTAGGTATTGATGGGACATATCTCAAAATAATAAGAGCTATTTATGAGAAACCCACAGCCAATATAATACTGAATGGGCAATAACTGGAAGCATTCCCTTTGAAAACTGGCACAAGACAGGGATGCCCTCTCTCACCACTCCTATTCAACATAGTGTCGGAAGTTCTGGCCAGGCAATCAGGCAGGAGAAAGAAATAAAGGGTATTCAGTTAGAAAAAGAGGAATTGAAATTGTCCCTGTGTGCAGATGACATGGTTGTATATTTAGAAAACCCCATCGTCTCAGCCCCAAAACTCTTTAAGCTGATAAGCAACTTCAGCAAAGTCTCAGGATACAAAATCAATGTGCAAAAATCACAAGCATTCTTATACACCAATAACAGACACACAGAGAACCAAATCACGAGTGAACTCCCATTCACAATTGCTTCAAAGAGAATGAAATACCTAGGAATGCAACTTACAAGGGATGTGAAGGACCTCTTCAAGGAGAACTACAAACCACTGCTCAACAAAATGAAAGAGGACACAAAGAAATGGAAGAACATTCCATGCTCATGGATAGGAAGAATCAATATCGTGAAAATGGCCATACTGCCCAAGGTAATTTATAGATTCAATGCCATCCCCATCAAGCTACCAATGACTTTCTTCATAGAATTGGAAAAAACTACTTTAAAGTTCATATGGAACCAAAAAAGAGCCCGCATCGCCAAGACAATCCTAAGCCAAAAGAACAAAGCTGGAGGCATCATGCTACCTGACTTCAAACTATACTACAAGGCTACAGGAACCAAAACGGCATGGTACTGGTACCAAAACAGAGATATAGACCAATGGAACAGAACAGAGCCCTCAGAAATAATACCACACATCTACAACCATCTGATCTTTGACAAATCTGACAAAAACAAGAAATGGGGAAAGGATTCCCTATTTAATAAATGGTGCTGGGAAAACTGGCTAGCCATATGTAGAAAGCTGAAACTGGATCCCTTCCTTATACCTTACACAAAAATTAATTCAAGAAGGATCAAAGACTTAAGTGTTAGACCTAAAACCATAAAAACCCTAGAAGAAAACCTAAGCAATACCATTCAGGACATAGGCATGGGCAAGGACTTCATGTCTAAAACACCAAAAGCAATGGTAACAAAAGCCAAAATTGACAAATGGGATCTAATTAAACTAAAGAGCTTCTGCACAGCAAAAGAAACTATCATCAGAGTGAACAGGCAACCTACAGAATGGGAGGAAATTTTTGCAACCTACCCATCTGACAAAGGGCTAATATCCAAAACCTACAAAGAACTCTTAACAAATTTACAAGAAAAAAACAACCCCATCAAAAAGTGGGTGAAGGATATGAACAGACACTTCTCAAAAGAAGACATTTGTGCAGCCAACAGACACATGAAAAAATGCTCATCATCATTGGCCATTAGAGAAATGCAAATCAAAACCACAATGAGATACCATCTCACACCAGTTAGAATGGTGATCATTACAAAGTCAGGAAACAACTAGTGCTGGAGAGGATGTAGAGAAATAGGAACACTTGTACACTATTGGTGGGACTGTAAACTAGTTCAACCATTGTGGAAGTCAGTGTGGCGATTCCTCAGGGCCTAGAACTAGAAATACCATTTGACCCAGCCATCACATTACTGGTTATATACCCAAAGGATTATAAATCATGCTGCCAAAAAGACAAATGCACACGTATGTTTATTGTGGCACTATTCGCAATAGCAAAGACTTGGAACCAACTCAAATGTCCATCAATGATAGACTGGATTAAGAAAATGTTGCACATATACACCATGGAATACTATGCAGCCATAAAAAATGATGAGTTCATGTCATTTGTAGGGACATGGATGAAGCTGGAAACCATCATTCTCAACAAACTATCCCAAGGACAGAAAACCAAACACCGCATGTTCTCACTCGTAGGTGGGAATTGAACAATGAGAACACATGGTCACAGGAAGGGGAACATCACACACCGGGGCCTGTCATGGGATGCGGGGAGGAGGGAGGGAGAGCATTAGGAGATATACCTAGTGTAAATGACGAGTTAATGGGTGCAGCACACCAACATGGCACATGTATACATATGTAACAAACCTGCACGTTGTGCACATGTACCCTAGAACTTAAAGTGTAATTAAAAAAGAAAAAAAGAAAAACTTTTCCTCATTAACTGATGTTATTTGGTTACCCTGAAATATAGTTACTACTGAAGAGGCAGGATAAAAGCTTAGTTATCTTTCTTTAATTGCCCATTTTTAGCTTAAGGGCTGGTGGTGATAAATGAGTTGTTTCTGTTATTGGTGATCATTTCTTTTTCTTTTTTGAGTATCAGTATTTACGATTTTTAAATTTTCATGTTTCAGTCAATTGCAGTCATTATTCTTTTCAATGTTTAAATTGTCCTAGATTTGTCTAGTAGGAGTCCTTGATTGCTGTATAATTTTGACATGACCTTATTAGTCTTTAAAACTTACTTGGTTTCTGGCACAACATGATGTAGGCTTCCTGTTACATTCCTTTCCAAGTCCTGGAATCAGTACTTCCCCGAGTAGCCCGTCTTTCTTTTTGTGGGAGTGGTATTTAGAGACCAAATCTGGTTGCTAGGCATGCTCATTGATATTGGGATGTCATTGCTTTTGACCTTTTGATGGAAAGAGGTAGAAAATATAGACGCGTATGTATTCATGCATATATGTGTCTATGTTTAAATTACAAGGTCACTTTGATATTTCTATTTCAATTTCAAAATATTTAGTAAACTTTTAAATTTCAGAATATTTTTAAATTTATAGATAAGCTACAAAGATAGTACAGAGTTTATGCATACACTTCACCCAGTTTTTCTTATGATTAACATCTTATGGTCCATTTGTCACAATTAAGAAACTAACAGTCAGTTACTATTGATGAATCTCCAAACGTTATTTGGATTTCACTGTTTTTTTTTCACTAATGATTCCTCCAAGATACCACATTACCTTTGGTCCTTGTATTTGTTTAGTCCCTGACTGTTTCTCAGTCTTTCATTGTTTTTCATGACCATGACAGTTTTGAGGGGTATTGGTCGGGTGTTTTGTAGAATGTCTCTCAATTTGCTTTTGTCTGATGCTTTTCTCATGGTTAGATTGAGATTATGAGTCCTTGGGAAGAATATCACAGAGGTGAAGTGGCTTTCTTATTACATCATATCGGGGTACTTCTATCATGTTTTTTTAGGTTCTTCATGGTAAAGTTACTTTTTCCTTTCCTTTCCATATGCCATTCTTTGGCTGCAAGCCACTGAGTACTGCTCAAACTAGAGGCAGTGGAAAAATTTGGCTCCACTTCCTGGAGTGAGTAGTATTTAAATAAACTTTTTGGTTTTCTTGTGTATTTATTTTGTTGCTCAGCTTGTTTCAACTGTGGTGATTGGGAGCTCTTTTAGTTTGGTCTTTTGTCGCTTTGACATGCCTCCTTTCTTTCGTTTTTGGAAATACTCCCTTAATTTTTGATACTGCAGGATGCTCCAGGCCGGGCGCAGTGGCTCACGCCTGTAATCCCAGCACTTTGGGAGGCTGAGGCGGGCAGATCACCTGAGGTCAGGAGTTCAAGACCAGCCTGGCCAACATGGTGAAACCCCGTCTGTACTAAAAATACAAAAATTAGCCGGGCATGTTGGTGGGTGCCTGTAATCCTGGTTACTTCAGAGGCTGAGGCAAGAGAATCGCTTGAACCCAGAAGGTGGAGGTTGCAGTGAGCTGAGATTGTGCCATTGCACTCCAGCCTGGGCAACGAGTGAAATTTTGTCTCAAAAAAAAAAAAATAAAAAATAAAAAATAAATAAATAAATAAATAAAATCAAATGCTCCAGGCTATAGATGCTTGTATTTTCCCTGCCCCAGTTCTAGAATCAGTTCTTTTCCCCAGGAGAAGTATATTAGCAAATAAGATCTAGGTTCTTTATTATTATTATTATTTTTACTATACTTTTAAGTTCTGGGATACATGTGCAGAACGTGCAGGTTTGTTACATAGGTATACACGTACCATGATGGTTTGCTGTACCCATTAACGCATCATCTACATAGCTATTTCTCCTAATGCTGTCCCTCCCATAGCCCCGCACCCCCTGACAGGCCCTGGTGTGTGATATTCCCCTCCTTGTGTCCATGTGTTCTCATTGTTCAGCTCCCACTTATGAGTGAGAACATGTGGTGTTTGGTTTTCTGTTCTTGTGTTAGTTTGCTGAGAATGATGGTTTCCAGCTTCATCCATATCCCTGCAAAGGATATGAACTCATCTTTTTTTATGGATGCATAGTATTCCATGGTTTATATGTGCCACATTTTCTTTATCCAGTCTATCATTGATGGGCATTTGGGTTGGTTCCAAGTCTTTGCTATTGTGAACAGTGCTGCAATAAACATATGTGTGCATGTGTCTTTATAGTAGAATGATTTATAATCCTTTGGGTATACACCTAGTAATGGGATTGCTGGGTCAGATGGTATTTCTACCTCTAGAAGATCTAGGTTCTTAATATGCTCATTGCTCCTGGGATGTCACTGCTCTTAGGCTGACTCAGCTGACAAAGCTAGGAAATACATGCGTGTATATTATACTAACCTATGTATATAGTATATAGTGTTTTGTATCTCTCTACATCCACGTTAACCTGAACACCAGTTCATACTGATGTTCTAACTCTAATCCAGTACTATGTTGATTTATTCTAACCTTCATGCTTTTCTGTATCATCACTTTCCAATGGTGAGAAACCTAGCTTCCACTATCCATTTACTTATTCAGCCTCAGTATACCTGTAAAGCAATTTAAGAATTGTTAATTGTACCTGTGTTCCAATTTAAATTTAGCGTTACAGAATTTTTCTTAATGTCTTTTAATTTGATATTCAAATTAAAAGATAGAAGTCATTTATAAGAAAACACTTATTGGTCAAGGGGTTGGCAAAGTTTTTTTATAAAGGGCCAGGTAGCATTTTAGGCTTTACAGGTCACAAATGGTCTTTGTTAAATTTATCTGTGTGTGTATATATTTATGTGTGTGTGTGTGTCTGTGTCTATGTGTGTGTTTGTGTGAGTGTATACATTTTCTTTTTCTTTTTGTGTTTTTTTGAGATGGAGTTTCACTCTTGTTGCCCAGGCTGGAGTGCAATGGCGTGATCTCGGCTCACCGCAACCTCCACCTCCTGGGTTTAAGCGATTCTCCTGCCTGAGCCTCCTGAGTAGCTGGGATTACAGGCATGTGCCACCACGTCTGGCTAATTTTGTATTTTTAATAGAGTCGGGGTTTCTCCATGTTGGTCAGGCTGGTCTCGAACTCCCGACCTCAGGTGATCTGCCCGTCTTGGTCTCCCAAAGTGCTGGGATTACAGACGTGAGCCATTGCCTCTGGCCTATTTTTTTCAAGAAAAGACAGTAAAATCTGACTTGATGCCTTGGATCTTTGGTTAAGAAAGAAAATAAAATCATTTTCTAGCTGTAATTTCTGTTTGATTGAGTATTCCTAGGGTCATCACTTGATGATTCCAGTAGTTTAAGAGTGCTGTCCAATATAACTTTCAGTGGTAATGGAGATATTATGTATCTGTATCGTCCAGTATGGTAGTCACTCGTCACATGGGGTTACTGAATACTTGAAATGTGTTTAGTAATTCTAAGGAACTGAAATTTCTTAAAATCGAATTTTAATTAAAATGTATATAACTACACGTGGCTAGGTAGCTGCTGTATTGGATAGTGCATATCTTGAGCCTCCCTTTAAGTGGCCAAATCCAGTGCACACAAACTACCACAATAGATAACAAGGTACCTCTAGACATAAAAAATATGTGACTTAAGTTCAAAAACAGGAATGCTACTACCAAAAAGTCACTAAAGTTTAATGCAGATTTTTAAATGAAGAAAAAGTGAGGCCAGGTGTGGTGGCTCACGGCTGTAATCCCCGCACTTTGGGAGGCCAAGGCAGGCGGATCATGAGGTGAAGAGATTAAGACCATTCTGGCCAACATGATGAAACCCCATCTCTACTAAAAATACAGAAATTAGCTGGGTGTGGTGACACCTGCCTGTTGTCCCAGCTACTAGGGAGGTTGAGGGAGGAGAATCGCTTGAACCTGCAAGGCAGAGGTTGCAGTGAGCTCAGATGGCGCCACTACACTCCAGCCTGGCAACAGAGTGAGACTCCATCTCAACAACAACAACAACAACAACAAAAAAGAAAAAAGTGAAACATGTATATTTTAATATTTATTTTCCCCTCCAATTTCATTCTCTTTATTTTGTTGAATCATTGTTCTAGTTTCTGATTGTAACACCCAATGGGTATGTTAATGATCGCTGCTTGTGTTTTGCCAATTGCAAATTTGGTGAATGTACAGTAAATTCTCATTCAGCTGATACCTGTTGAATATGGGAGAGTCAAACTCTCATATGCCATTAGAAGCCTTTCTTTATTTTGAGACTGATTTTTTTTTTTTTTTGAGATGGAGTCTGTCTCATGTTGCCCAGGCTGGAGTGCAATGGCATGATCTTGGCTCACTGCAACCTCCACCTTCCGGGTTCAAGCGATTCTCCTGTCTCAGCCTCCTGAGGAACTGGGATTACAGGTGCATGCCACCATGCCCAGCTAATTTTTGTATTTTTAGTAGAGACGTGGTTTCACCATGTTGGCCAGGCTGGTCCTGAACTCTTGACCTCAAGTGATCTGCCTGCCTTGGCCTCCCAAAGTGCTGGGATTGCAGGCGTGAGCCACCATGCCCCTGCCTGACATTGGTCTGTTAACCTTTTAAATTACGTTTTTCACCCAAGTGAGAATCCACACATGCCTATAACTCAGCTAAATTCCCCCACATCTTTTTGTCACTGATCTGTATTATTCCTATATTATCCACAAAGATAACTTGAGGGAGTTTGTTGACTGTCTTGAAGATATGGAAACATAGTATGATGTTTTCAAACCATCTCCTCACCTGGAATAGCAAACATCAGAATTTGTCTGAGATCCAAGAGGCAGCATCATGGTGAGTAAGTGGATATCAAAGAGGCAGTCACACTCAAAGAACGCCCCCATAGCTATTCAGGAAGGGAGATAGAAGTCCAAGTCTAGGAGTGAAGCTGAGGTAAATAAAGTATTCTGGATTTTGGGCATCTCTGACGAATTTCTCCAGAAGAGCTCTTTGGTGCTGTGGTATTCTTAGCTTCTTTCTCACTCACCTAGCACACTTTAAAAAGACTGACATTATGTGTTTTTTACTTGGTCTACCAGTATAAAAATTGAATTTTAAAAAATGCTTTTCTTTTGTTGTTAAGCACAGTTTATTATTTGATATACATTATTTACCTGAATATATTTTTCTTTCTTGCCGAGACCAGCTCTGTCAGGGAGACCCTAACCCAGTGGCACTAGAGAAATTAAAGACACACACACAGAAATATAGAGCTGTGAAGTGGGAAATCAGGGGTCTCACAGCCTTCAGAGCTGAGAGCCCCGAACAGAGATTTACCCACATATTTATTAACAGCAAGCCAGTCATTAGCATTGTTTCTATAGATATTCGATTAACTAAAAGTATCCCTTATGGGAAACGAAGGGATGGGCTGAAATAAAGGGATGGGTTGGGCTAGTTATCTGCAGCAGGAGCATGTCCTTAAGGCACAGCTCGCTGATGCTATTGTTTGTGGTTTAAGAATGCCTTTAAGCAGTTTTCTGCCCTGGGCGGGCCAGGTGTTCCTTGCCCTCATTCCGGTAAACCCACAACCTTCCAGCGTGGGCATTATGGCCATCAGGAACATGTCACAGTGCTGCAGAGATTTGTTTATGGCCAGTTTTGGGGCCAGTTTATGGCCAGATTTTGGGGGGCCTGTTCCCAACACCTTCTCTTTGACATTTTCATGGTAAAATTATGTAAACTATCTGTAATAGCCTTTTACTTAATTTCCTGGTTTTTGCTTCCCTCTGTAACTGTCATCAAGTTACATAATTTTAAAATTTTATCTTATTAAGATCCAGTGACCTTCTTTTGAGTCATGTTTCAGCTCAAATGTCAGCTCCTCAGAGAGACCTTTCCTCACCATACTGTCAAAAGTAGCTCCTCTCCCACCTCTCCACTGCCACCCACTCTACCCATTACCCTGATTTATTTCTTTTATAGCACTTAGAATGATCAGAAATGATGTGTTTTTCACATTTGTTTACTTCTATTCCAGCACCTAAAACAGTGTTTGGGATATACTTGGAACTTATTATTCATTAAATAAGTCATACAATAGTAGTGTTTCATATTTTTTTTTCAGTAGTTTTCTGTTGAGAAATAGAGCAGAAGACTGTTTTCAGCAAGGTGTACCCACCTTTTGGAAAAGAAAGGAAGCATAAGGATTTCTTTTTCTGGAGGATCTGAAATCCTTGGCTTAAACCCTATCAGTTCAGGGCAAGTAAGGAACAGTTTTTGAAATCACTGGCTCTGCACTGTAAGTGATACCTTGAGCTACAGGCTTAAGGCTGATATGTTTAGTTTTTTTTAAAAAAATAAAAATATGTATTCTGAAGATAATTGAATAGTGAGTTTTATTGCATCTTATGATTTCCATTCATTTTATATTAAAAGTGATTGCCACTGAGAAATTTCCATCTATTCAAATGGTATTTGTAGTTCTTGCTATGTATGAACAGTTACTTGATTAAAGAGTTTCAGAGTTCAAATAAATAAAAAAAGAAAAAACAGATACCTACTGTTTTGCGTTTCTGAGTCAATCCTAGATTCTGAAATTTAAAAATTTCTGTTACTGGAAATCAGAATGGATGAGTCAATGCTGTAGTCATAAAGTGTTATACACTGTCTTCTCTGCTAATTTAGCTGAGCTTGTGCCATAACTATCAGTTTTAGTGGGATGATGGGGAGATTACTGTCCTAGATTTTCACTGAAGTATTTTTCCTCCTCTTTCTTTTTTATTGCATATTAATTGATGTAAAATTTAATTCTACAACTAAGTATAACTATAGACTTAATGTGCATAATGGAATGTGAGCATGGATTCTGACTCATAAAGATCTGAATTTGAATTATGTCTTGGCTTGTTCATTTGCTATATGACTTTAGGCATGTCATTTAATCACTTTGACCCTTAGTTTCCTTGCCTGTAAAATAGAATTAATACTACCAGTTTTTTGGTGTTCTGATTGATGATTAAATGAAATAATGTATATTTTATAAAGTGCATGGCACAGTGCCTGGCACCTAGTAAAGCATTCAGTAGATAATAGCTCACCTAGTATTTATTTAATATGAAGGAATCTCAGTGCACAGATTCTTAAGTTGATATCTCTCATGTCTTTCAAGTATTACTTCCCATTTCTGAGTTTTTAGTATTGTAACATTGGATTTTACCTCTGAAAAATCAGACTACTATTTAAGACTATCACCTGTCCTGATTTCTTTCTTTCTTTTTTTTTTTTTTTTTTTGAGGTAGAGTCTAGCTCTGTTGCCCAGGCTGGAGTGCAGTAGCACGATCTTGGTTCACTGCAACCTCTGCCTCCCAGGTTCAAGCGATTCTCCTGCCTCAGCCTGCTGAGGAGCTGGGATTAAGGCACGCCACCATGCCCGGCTAATTTTTGTATTTTTAGTAGAGACGGGGTTTCACCATGTTGGCCAGGCTGGTCTTGAACTCCTGACCTCAGGTGATCCTCCTGCCTTGGCCTCCCAAAGTGTTGAGATTACAGGCGTGAGCCATTGCGCCTTATCCTGATTTGTTTTTTGGGAGTATAGGCTATTTAGCTTTGGCTCTCTGTTATCTGTTCTCCATTTCCCTTTTTCTCTCGGGTCCAGTTCTCTTTATCTTTTTTTTTTTTTTTTTTTGCCACAATTTGTGAAAACTTCTTAAGCCAATTCACTTTACTAATTTTCTACTCTTTTAATGAACTTTTTAAAAGTCACATTTATTCAGGTATAATTTACATTTAGTAAAATTTATTCTTTTTATTTGTACAGTTCTATGAATTTTGAGAAATGCATACAGTCATAGTCATACACTATGATTATCCTCCAAAGTTCCCTTTAGCCCCTTTGCAGTCAGTCCCTCCTTCTGACCCCCAGGTAACCACTGATGTGATTTTGCCTCTGTCAGTAGTTTTGTTCCCTTTTATAGCTGTGTAGTACTCTTTTGTATGACTATATTACATACAGTTTATCTCTTTACCAGTTGATAGACATTTGGCTTATTTCCAGTTTTTAGGTATAAGGAATAAAGCTTCTATAAATACTCCGTACTGTAGAGGTCATTTTTATAGACAGGTGTTTTTATTTCCCTGGGTCAATACCTAAGTGTGAATTGCTTTGTCAGATGATATGTGAGTATTAACTTTATAGGAAACTGCCCAACTTTTTAAAAATGCCGTATCATTTTGCTTTCTTAGTGGCAATGTGTAAGAGTTGTAGTTACTTCATATCCTTACCTACACTTGGTATTGTCAATATGTTAAATTTTAGCCATTCAGTTGGGTATGTAGTGATATGTTATTGGGTTTTAATTTGAATTTCCCTGATGATTAGTGATATTGAGCTTATATGTCTTCTTTGATGAAGCAACTGTTCAAAAACTTTCGCCCATTTTAAGAACTGGGTTCTTTTCTTGGATTGGTTGATAAAGTTCTTTATAAGATATGTGTGTCACAAATATTCCAGTCTGTTGCTTAGATAGAAAGAGTTCCATAAATATTTTTTAAATAGAAAAAGTAGTTTCCAAAAAAATTCCACTTTTGTAATATATAATTTATGTATTTGTGTTTTTTAGTTACTAGGGAAAGTTTGAGAGGTTATGTCCTAGAAATGGAAGTGTATTATATGGGGGTATTGGAGAACTTTCATTTTATATTTTTATATGACATAACAAAGCAGCATGAATTACTTTTACAACTTACAAAGATATTTTACACTTCAGAAAACAAAGGACATCAAAAACAAAATTAAAAGACAAATTATAAACAAAACATTGTAACACACATTGAAAGCAATGGGCTACTATCCATAATACAGTTTCTGTAAATAAAGAAAGGGATATTTGAAAACTAAAACTAGCCAAAGGAAATGAATTAATAGGTAACAGCAGAAGAAATACAAATAGTCAATAAACATAAAGATATTCAGCTTCATTAATAAAGAAGGAAAAATTAAAGTGCCAGTGAGGTACTATGTATTACCTGTAAGACTGGCAAAAGTGAAGAGAACATATACTATCCAATGTGAGAAGGCTAAGGTGGGGGTGTAAATGACCAGACTTTTTTTTCCGCATAACACTTTGATAATGTCTTTTTTTTTGAGACAGGGTCTTGCTCTGTCGCCTGGGCTGGAGTGCGGTGGCGCAATCTTGGCTCACCACAACCTCCACCTCCTGGGTTCAAGCAATTCTCATGCCTCAACCTCCCAAGTAGCTGGGAATTCAGGCATGCACCACCATGCCTGGCTAATATTTGGATTTTTAGTAGAGATAGGGTTTCACCATGTTGGCCAGGCTGGTCTCCAACTCCTGACCTCAAGTGATCCACCCGCCTTGGCCTCCCAAAGTGCTGGGATTACAGGTGTGAGCCACTGCACCCAGCCAGTATATCTTATTCTGATGTAAACTGTAAACTATGATGGCAAGATTTGGAGAAACAAATACTATCAGGCATGGTGGGAGTGTAAATTGGCACTGTCTTATAGAGGGCAATTTGGCATTCTCTTCCAAATTACAAATGCATATACCCTCAGACCAAGTAATCCACTTTTAGGAGTTCCTCTGACACATATATCCACATATGTGGAAATGATCAGGAACAAGTTTATTTATTATAGCATTATATGTGATGATGACACGTTTTCTTGAATTTTTTTTCAGCACAAGAGTCTGATAATATGTTCTTTTTCCTTTAAAAAAATTCCACAGCTATATTCTTTGTCTTTTATATCTTAGAACAGTACAGACTGTGACCAGTGGCTGAACTCTAGTCCATGGCTTGTTTTTGTATGACACTTGAACTAAGAATGATTTTTACAGTTTTAAAGGGTTGTGAACTTCCAACACTATGTTGAATAGGAGCGGTGAGAGAGGGCATCCCTGTCTTGTGCCAGTTTTCAAAGGGAATGCTTCCAGTTTTTGCCCATTCAGTATGATATTGGCTGTGGGTTTGTCATAGATAGCTCTTATTATTTTGAAATACGTCCCATCAATACCTAATTTATTGAGAGTTTTTAGCATGAAGGGTTGTTGAATTTTGTCAAAGGCTTTTTCTGCATCTATTGAGATAATCATGTGGTTTTTGTCTTTGGCTCTGTTTATATGCTGGATTACATTTATTGATTTGCGTATATTGAACCAGCCTTGCATCCCAGGGATGAAGCCCACTTGATCATGGTGGATAAGCTTTTTGATGTGCTGCTGGATTCGGTTTGCCAGTATTTTATTGAGGATTTTTGCATCAATGTTCATCAAGGATATTGGTCTAAAATTCTCTTTTTTGGTTGTGTCTCTGCCCGGCTTTGGTATCAGAATGATGCTGGCCTCATAAAATGAGTTAGGGAGGATTCCCTCTTTTTCTATTGATTGGAATAGTTTCAGAAGGAATGGTACCAGTTCCTCCTTGTACCTCTGGTAGAATTTGGCTGTGAATCCATCTGGTCCTGGACTCTTTTTGGTTGGTAAACTATTGATTATTGCCACAATTTCAGAGCCTGTTATTGGTCTATTCAGAGATTCAACTTCTTCCTGGTTTAGTCTTGGGAGAATGTATGTGTCGAGGAATGTATCCATTTCTTCTAGATTTTCTAGTTTATTTGCGTAGAGGTGTTTGTAGTATTCTCTGATGGTAGTTTGTATTTCTGTGGGATCGGTGGTGATATCCCCTTTATCATTTTTTATTGTGTCTATTTGATTCTTCTCTCTTTTTTTCTTTATTAGTCTTGCTAGCGGTCTATCAATTTTGTTGATCCTTTCAAAAAACCAGCTCCTGGATTCATTGATTTTTTGAAGGGTTTTTTGTGTCTCTATTTCCTTCAGTTCTACTCTGATTTTAGTTATTTCTTGCCTTCTGCTAGCTTTTGAATGTGTTTGCTCTTGCTTTTCTAGTTCTTTTAATTGTGATGTTAGGGTGTCAATTTTGGATCTTTCCTGCTTTCTCTTGTGGGCATTTAGTGCTATAAATTTCCCTCTACACACTGCTTTGAATGCGTCCCAGAGATTCTGGTATGTGGTGTCTTTGTTCTCGTTGGTTTCAAAGAACATCTTTATTTCTGCCTTCATTTCGTTATGTACCCAGTAGTCATTCAGGAGCAGGTTGTTCAGTTTCCATGTAGTTGAGCGGCTTTGAGTGAGATTCTTAATCCTGAGTTCTAGTTTGATTGCACTGTGGTCTGAGAGATAGTTTGTTATAATTTCTGTTCTTTTACATTTGCTGAGGAGAGCTTTACTTCCAACTATGTGGTCAATTTTGGAATAGGTGTGGTGTGGTGCTGAAAAAAATGTATATTCTTTTGATTTGGGGTGGAGAGTTCTGTAGATGTCTATTAGGTCCGCTTGGTGCAGAGCTGAGTTCAATTCCTGAAATAATGCCGCATATCTACAACTATCTGATCTTTGACAAACCTGAGAAAAACAAGCAATGGGGAAAGGATTCCCTATTTAATAAATGGTGCTGGGAAAACTGGCTAGCCATATGTAGAAAGCTGAAACTGGATCCCTTCCTTACACCTTATACAAAAATCAATTCAAGATGGATTAAAGATTTAAACGTTAGACCTAAAACCATAAAAACCCTAGAAGAAAACCTAGGCATTACCATTCAGGACATAGGCGTGGGCAAGGACTTCATGTCCAAAACACCAAAAGCAATGGCAACAAAAGCCAAAATTGACAAATGGGATCTAATTAAACTAAAGAGCTTCTGCACAGCAAAAGAAACTACCATCAGAGTGAACAGGCAACCTACAACATGGGAGAAAATTTTCGCAACCTACTCATCTGACAAAGGGCTAATATCCAGAATCTACAATGAACTCAAACAAATTTACAAGAAAAAAACAAACAACCCCATCAAAAAGTGGGCCAAGGACATGAACAGACACTTCTCAAAAGAAGACATTTATGCAGCCAAAAAACACATGAAGAAATGCTCATCATCACTGGCCATCAGAGAAATGCAAATCAAAACCACTATGAGATATCATCTCACACCAGTTAGAATGGCAATCATTAAAAAGTCAGGAAACAACAGGTGCTGGAGAGGATGTGGAGAAATAGGAACACTTTTACACTGTTGGTGGGACTGTAAACTAGTTCAACCATTGTGGAAGTCAGTGTGGCGATTCCTCAGGGATCTAGAACTAGAAATACCATTTGACCCAGCCATCCCATTACTGGGTATATACCCAAAGGACTATAAATCATGCTGCTATAAAGACACATGCACACGTATGTTTATTGCGGCACTATTCACAATAGCAAAGACTTGGAACCAACCCAAATGTCCAACAATGATAGACTGGATTAAGAAAATGTGGCACATATACACCATGGAATACTATGCAGCCATAAAAAATGATGAGTTCATGTCCTTTGTAGGGACATGGATGAAATTGGAAACCATCATTCTCAGTAAACTATCGCAAGAACAAAAAACCAAACACCGCATATTCTCACTCATAGGTGGGAATTGAACAATGAGATCACATGGACACAGGAAGGGGAATATCACACTCTGGGGACTGTGGTGAGGTCGGGGGAGGGGGGAGGGATAGCATTGGGAGACATACCTAATGCTAGATGACACGTTAGTGGGTGCAGCACACCAGCATGGCACATGTATACATATGTAACTAACCTGCACAATGTGCACATGTACCCTAAAACTTAGAGTATAATAAAAAAAAACATTAAAAATAAAAAATAAAAAATAAAAACAAAAAGAAAACAGCAGGTTGAGTTGCATAGGAAGTTTTTGTTTGGGTTTCACTAAGAAAAATTCTCAGTTTGAAGACATGATATCTGAAGCTATTGTGTTATGTGCATAAAGGTTCTTGAACTTGGTGTTATAGTTTCTCAGTGTATGATGTTTTAAAAACTAAATATGAGATTAAGCTCACCTTTTCCTCTTTTAACATTTTTTGACTTGCGTTTCATCTTGTTTCATATTAAGGTTGCCATATTTGCTTCTTTTTTGATATAATTTTTTCATTTTTCAACTTTGGGTGTTTGTTTTTATTTTGCTCAGGATGCATGTGTGTGTGCATATCTATTGTTTATTTTTTGTAAATGGCAAATAAATATTTCTAACCTCAAAAAAAAAAAAAAAAAAAATAAAGGGTTGTGAAACAAACCCCAGAATAATGAAGAAGAATATGATACAGAGATCATATATGGCTTGGAAAGCTTCAAATATTTATCTGGTCCTTCACATAAAGTTTGCTGACCCTACTGTAAAAGCTCTTCACAACCGCTTATTATTTTGCTCTTCTTATTTACGCTCTCTGCCTGGTGAGACACAGGCTGAAAAGATTCTTCTTGTATCTCCTTACCTTCTTAACCTCACTGCTTGTGGCCAGTGGAATGTGTCTGTGATCTTAGGAAGTTTGAGGGAGCTGGGGCTGAGAGTAATCCTTGTGTGTGTGTTGGGGAGTCTCTCCTCTATGTGATGGATGCTATAGTTTTGTTGTTGTAAACTGTGCAACAGAGTGAGACAGAGTCTCACTCTGTTGCCCAGGCTGGAGTGCAGTGGCGCCATCTCCGCTCACTGCAAGCTCTGCCTCCTGGGTTCACGCCGTTCTCCTGCCTCAGCCACCTGAGGAGCTGGGACTACAGGTGCCCACCACCACACCCGGCTAATTTTTTGTATTTTTAGTAGAGATGGGGTTTCACAGTGTTAGCCAGGATGGTCTTGATCTTCTGACCTCATGATCTGCCTGCCTCGGCCTCCCAAAGTGCTGGGATTACAGGCGTGAGCCACTGCTCCCGGCCTGTATGCTGTATTTTTAGGAAAGATAGTAGGTTTTTGACTATATATCTTTGTTTTATTAACCCTATATTGTCTCTTCCACATTGTTTTTTGTGCCTGCTGCCTAATTTTTGTGACAGCTGCTTCCATAAGGGCATCCTTGCTGCTTTGAGAACGAACCACCCATGGACTTCATGGTTTCTGGGTAGTTTCATATGAGGCTGTTGCACTCTTTCTGGGAGGTGCTTTCCTAATCATTCTGATCTTTTCCTACTAGAAATTTCTGGATAATTTCCAGTTTTCAGTAGTCCTTTCATTTATCCTGATTTAATATTTTTCTAGGTTATTTCTTTTGGCATTTGGAGTAGGGAAGTCTGATGAAGTCCTCAGCTCTTTTTCCTTAGAAGTCTTATATATTTCCTATTTCCAAATTCTTAAGGATTTCTTATTTATATTCTTTTTTTGCACCCTCTGGAGAATCAACCTTATATTGACAAAATATATTTTTACATTTTTGGGTGACATTTGCAAGTCCTTAATTAATTAATTAATTAATTTTTTGAGACAGAGTCTCGCTCATTCGCCCAGGCTGTAGTGCGGTGGCGTGATCCTGGCTCACTGCAAGCTCCACCTCCCGGATTCATGCCATTCTCCTGCCTTAGCCTCCTGAGTAGCTGGGACTACAGGCGCCTGCCATGACGCCTGGCTAATTTTTTGTATTTTCAGTAGAGACGGGGTTTCACCGTGTTAGTTAGGATGGTCTCGATCGCCTGACCTTGTGATCCGCCCGCCTCGGCCTCCCAAAGTGTTAGGATTACAGGCGTGAGCCACCGCACCCGGCCCAAGTCCTTAATTTGTAAGTCTTGAGTATTTTGGTTAGCAATAATTAAGACATGTACTAAACATATACTAACTTGTAGTGCATTTGAAATAACATTGCATTTGGCTACCAAGATTTTATACCCCTCAAATAATCTTAGCATTGGAAATAAAGTAGTAATAATAATAATTACTTGTTTCAGTTACTGTACTAGGTGTCTTTATGTATATTATTTTTAATCCTCACCCAATTTTATAAAAAGTATTATTTCTCATGTTTTTTTCAGTGGAGGAAACCAGGACTCAGCAAAGTTATATTAACTAGTACGTCAACTCTGTGGGTTCAGGAGCATCTCTGTATAGTGTTGCCATCTAGTCTTGTCTCCTCATTTTCCATGAAATAAGGAGACTAAGGCCAGGCGTGGTGGCTCATGCGTATAATCCCAGCACTTTGGGAGGCCAAGGTGGGCGGAACACGAGGTCAGGAGTTTGAGACCAGCCTGACCAACATGGCGAAACCCCGTCTCTACTAAAAATACAAAAATTAGCCCAGCATGGTGGCACGCACCTGTAATCCCAGCTACTTAGGAGGCTGAAGCAGGAGAATTGCTGGAACCCAGGAGGTGGTGGTTGCAGTGAGCTGAGATCGTGCCACTGCACTCCAGTCTGGGTGACAGAGTGAGATTCTGTATCGAAAAAAAAAAAAAGACTGAGTCTAGTGAAGCCAGTAGACTTGCTCATCATCACGCAGCTAGTTAGCAGCAGAATGAGGACTTGGATCCCTGAACTCCTGACTCACATTCCAGTGCACTTTTCACTACAGCAGGACACCTTGGCTCCTGAGCCCCAAGTGACAGCCCCAAACAGCTGTGTTTATCTGTCTTGCATGTCCCAGCTTGTTTTGCTAGCTGAGCAAAAACTACTTAAAAGGATCCTCAATCTTCACCTTCCCATTCCCTTCCACTTCTACTCATATACTCCACTTGCCCCATGAATAACTTCACAGAAACAATTGTGCAATGTCACTAAGCCTTCCTCTGGTGTCAAGAGTTACTCCGTGAGAGAGCATTCACTTCCTCATGACTCCGGTTTACTGGTTAGATTGGCTTTCTCTCTCTTCTCTTTGATCGGAATCTTCGTTGTTTAGGCAGGAATTTGAGGAGCAGATGTTATGCCCCTTGAACAGCCCCTTTAATTCTCCTTAGTACTGTGTCTAATGACTCTTAATCCTGTCCTTTTAACTCTGTGGCTAGCAGACTTAAGAGTGAAGTGAGACAGGAATGATGAGCTTGATGCTGAACATTTCATTTTAATGTTGGCAAAGTAGTCTACAGAGAGTACATGACAAACAGTGAGACAGAGGGAAAATGTTAAAAGTGTTCCTATATAGCAGAAAAACAATGTGAATATTAGTGTGGGATCACTGAAATTTTGGGTTTCCCACCAAATGTAGATAGAACAGTTTGGTTATTAGTTTGCCAGAGAAATGGAGCCATTGACTGTTTCTACTTTGTCTTCTTAAACTTTTATATTTTTTAGATTTTCATTTCTGTTTTAAAATAAAAATAAATCATCAGAAGAAACAAAGTGATCTCTTATTTTTCATGGTTACTGGAGAAAATTACACTTCCCCCAAATGGGAGTAGCATTAACAAGCATATATCCTGTGAACTGATTCATTCCATTCTTTCTTTAGAGACTTTGGTTTAGCGCTCTGAACTTTCTGATTATCAGATCTTATGTGTTTGCTAATATATAAAATAACAAATTAGACATAATGCCCTATAATTTTCTCAGTTTGATTAATTGCCTGAAATTTGATCTATCAGTCAGTGTTTGATTAGAATAGAGAAATCACATGTAATTTGAACAAGGAAAGATCAGTACGAAGAATTGCTAGCTATAATAGGGTTTTGGAGCAATGAGGATTGGCTAGTAAAAAGTAAAGAGAACTCTAAGGAATATAAGAATAACAGATAAAAGGAGCATCAACCCCTGGGGTTGAGATACAACATCCAGGGCCTCTGAGATTAAGATCCAGACCCTGTTTGAGGGGGCATGGCTGTGGCTCATTGAATGAAGAGAAGTTGCTGTGGTAGAAATCTGTCTCATCAGAATCACTCTGCTATAATACTGCCTTGTGGAGGTACTGATGGAAGATACTGGGTGCTGCTGACTGCTGTGCACTTCAGGAGCCTGACAGTGGAGCAAACTGCACGGGTGCTGGATCTGGACACTGGAGAAGCTGTGTTGCAGTACAGAAGCCTGCCAAGAGGAGCACACAAGACTCTTGGAAAGAAGAGGAAAATCTCCTCTTACAATGTCGATCTAACATCATGCCAGCTAGCAAAGGAAAAATGTTTAAAGGGTCCAAGTTCATTTCTGCAGAGTAGACAGGAAAGGATGAATTCGGAGCTGAGAGACAGTAAGTGGACAACTGGCACATTTGGTCAAACTTGTAATTTTATATCTTAGATGGACAAATTTAAACACAAGTCCATAGGTGTTTTCCTTACAAGCTTACATTTAAATTTGGGATCCTGGTCAGAATTTTGCTAAGGACTTCATTCTTTCCCAGTGTTTCAGGAAGGATACCATGGGGCCAGAGCCACTTTTCTTTATTGTAAGGTCCTGGGCTGTGGCCCCTTTTGCTTTTCTGGGCTCCTTTCTCATGGGCATCTGTTTTGGGAGTTTCATTTCCTCATCTGCTTTGACACTTTAATCTTGGACATTGTAGTGAAATGCTTCACATTGTCACACATTCTAATCTCAGAGACCACTCCAAATCTTTTTGAATTTTCTTGGCCATTGAAATTAGTACTCTGGAATCAGTACATTAAGAATGGTTTTTTAAAAACTATCAGCTAGAATTTCAACATTTTAGAAGAAATGGGTCAGTATAAATTTGGAGGAGCAGTTTCTAGCTAGTAGTAGCTGTGCAGAAAAACAGTTTTATTGATAAGTATCTGATTTGGATTTAGGAACCAGCTAGGACGAAAAATTCTATTGAGGTCTGGCCAGATAGACATAGATTTTATTTTTCCTTTATATTCTGTGTCCAAAAGACAAATTGTCATGAGTTTTTTTTTTTTTTTTTTTCTGAAGTATCCATTTGTTTCTCAGCTTTGGAATTAGAGGTGTAGAAAATAAATGGGACTCAACAGCCTAAGATTTTGTTTAAAAAGATGTTCTTATTTATTTATATTAAAAAAATTTCTAAACTTTTTTTTTTTTTGCAAGAAACTGTATGTCAGCATTTTCATTTTTGATAGATAAATTTTATATTTGGGATTTTGATTATTAAGTTGTTTCTCCACCAGAATTCCTTATGGATTTTTGTAATAATCTCTATTTAATGTGTTTAATTATTTGCTTTCCATTTATATTTATTTTGGGATTTCTTTTTTAAGAGAATGGCACCTGTGACAGCATACTGTTAATATTACCCTTGTATCGTACTTTACCATGCCATCTCTGAAGAATATTACAGACCATTTTGGAGCATGGTGAATAACGAATTTTTACCTTAGGAGTTCACTTGAGTAGTCATTTTTATATTTGTGACTGCAAGTCACTTTTAGGGGCTGTACTTCCTTAGTACTGGTAGCATTATTATCCAATGGACTTTTATAGCTTTCATTAGGTTTTCTTTTGTTTCTGTTCTTTAAAGAACATTTTACTTAACTTAGTATTTCATTTTTCATCTATATTATGAGGCAGTAAGAGTCTTCTGTTTTTCCAAAGTTGAGACTGCTTTATATTTATTTCATATTGTCTACAGCTGTAGTGTTCAATACATTAGCCACTAGCCACATGTGGTTATTTAAATAAGATAAAATAAAAATTGGCTGGGCGTGGTGGCTCACACCTGTAATCCCAGCACTTTGGGAGGCCGAGGCGGGCAGATCATGAGGTCAGGAGATCGAGACCATCCTTACTAAGATGGTGAAACCCCATCTCTATTAAAAATACAAAAAATTAGCCGGGCATGGTGGCGGGCGCCTGTAGTCCCAGCTACTCAGGAGGCTGAGGCAGGAGAATGGCGTGAACCTGGGAGGCAGAGTTTGCAGTAAGCCGAGATGGCGCCACTGCACTCCAGCCTGGGCGACAGAGCGAGACTCCATCTCAAAAAAAAAAAAAAAAAAAAAAAAAAAAAAATTTAAGTTCTTTAGTTGCACTAGCCGTATTTCAAATACTTGATGGATACATGTGGCTAGTGGCTAACATAATGGATAGCACAGATATAAAACATTTCCTCGTCATGTAAAGTTCTGTTGGATAGTGCTGATCTGTAGCTTATAGGATGGTATCTTAGTCTGCTTCAGCTGCTAAAACAGAATACCATAAATTGGGTAGCTTAAACAGTAGATATTTTGACCAGGCGTGGTGGCTTGTGCCTGTATTCCTAACACTTTGGGAGGCCGAGGCAAGTGGATCACTTGAGCTCAGGAGTTTGAAACTAGCCTGGGCAGCATGGCAAAACCTTGTCTCTACAAAAATTAGCTGGGCATGGTGGTGCACGCCTGTAGTCTGAGCTACTTGGGAGGTTGAGGTGGGAGAATTGCTTGAACCTGGGAGGCGGAGGTTGCAGTGAGCCATGATCGCACCACTGTACTCCAGCCTGGACGACAGAATGAGACTCTGTCTCAAAAAAAAAAAAACAAAAAAAGAAAAAACAAGAGATATTTCTCACAGTTCTGGAGGCTGGAAGTGCAAGATCAAAGTGTTGGCAAATTATGTTTCTTAAAGAGGGCCTGCTTCCTAGATTGGAAATGGCCATCTTCTCTCAGTATCCTCACATGGTAGGGAGAAAAGCAGCTCTAGTGTCTCTTCTTATAAAGGAAGTAATGCCACCATAGGGGCTCTATTCTCATGACCTCATCTAAACCTAATTCTCTCCTAAAGGCCACACCTCCCAATATCCTCACTTTGGGGGTTAGGGCTTTATCATATGAATTTTTTTTTTTTTTTTTTTTGAGACAGAGTCTTGCTCTGTCACCCAGGCTGGAGTGCAGTGGCACAATCTTGGCTCACTACAAGCTCTGCCTCCTGGGTTCACACCATTCTCCTGCGTCAGCCTCCTCAGTAGCTGGGACTAAGGTGCCCGCCACTGCGCCCGGCTAATTTTTTATTTTATTTTATTTTATTTTATTTTTTTTAGAGATGGAGTCTCTTTCTCCCAGGCCGGACTGCAGTGGCGCTATCTCGGCTCACTGCAAGCTCCGCCTCCCGGGTTTACGTCATTCCTGCCTCAGCCTCCCGAGTAGCTGGGATTACAGGCGCCCGCCACCGCGCCCAGCTAATTTTTTGTATTTTTAGTAGAGATGGGGTTTCACCGTGTTAGCCAAGATGGTCTCGATCTCCTGACCTCGTGATCTGCCCGCCTCGGCCTCCCAAAGTGCTGGGATTACAGGAGTGAGCCACCGCGCCTGGCCTAATTTTTTGTATTTTTAGTAGAGACGGGGTTTTACCATGTTAACCAGGATGGTGTCGATCTCCTGACCTTGTGATTCACCCGCCTCGGCCTCCCAAAGTGGTAGGATTACAGGCATGAGCCACTGCGCCCGGCCTATCATATGAATTTTGAGGGAACACAAACATGCAGTCTGTAGCAGATGGTAATAGGCTGATATATTGCACTTGTTGATGTAAATCTGATAGGTTTCTTTCTCTCCAAGGACAGATTTTTAAATATTTAACAATACCAATAATGTTTCAGGTTCTGTGAGAATTTTATAATTTATAATTTCCAAACTTAAAATAATCTATAATCTATTTTGTCCTAACAATTACAAATATATTTTTTATTTCAGATTATATATATTCCTACCACATGGAGATAATTACAGCTTTAAAAAATTTTATTTATTTTTTCATTTTATTTCACATATTGACATTAAATTTTTATTGACACATAATAATTGTACATATATATGGGGTACAATGTGATGTTTTAATACATGTACTCAATGTGTAATGATCAAATCAGGATAATTTGCATAATTTTTTTTTGTAGGGAAAAATTCAAAATCTACTCTTCTGGCTATTTTCAAATATATAATACATTATTGTTAACTATATTCATCCTACTATGCAATAGGACACCAGAACTTATTCCTGGGTTCTACATCTGTTTATTAAGCCATCCAAGGATTGGAAATATTGGAAAAAAAATTGCATCTGTACTGAACATGTACACTTTTTTCTTGTCCTTATTCCTTACACAATATAGTACAATAACTATCTGCATGACATTTACATTGGATATTGAGTGATCTAGAGTTGATATGAAGTATATGGGAGGATGTGCAAAGGTGATGTGCAAATACTGTGTCATTTTATATCAGGGACTTGAGTATCCTTTGTTATCCTCAGGAGATCCTGGAACTAGTCCCCCATGGATACTGAGGGCTGACTGTATAGTCCTATCCTCACAGAACTTTGATTCTAATGAGGGAAGACTGACTATAAACAAAATATATATAATAGGTGGTGGTAAGTACCGTGGAGAAGTAACAAATGGGGCAAAGTGAGTTATACAGCTCCATTCTTAGAAACCTTGGAGTAATTTTCTTAGTTTATACTCGTGGTGGTTTCCTTTTGTCTCCTTTATTACATGGGACTCTGACATGTGCCCATAGCTAGGGTGGCAGTAGGATCTACCCGATAGTAGGGTGGCAGTAGGATCTACCCGAAAAGCATCCTGCTGATACAGGACCAAAGGATCCTCTTGTTCTCGAGCCTATAAAAAGAGCTAATGGTCTTGCTTCTCTTAACTGTGGCCTCCTACACTGTGTTTTGGACGATTGGTGATGTCTTGGATATTCTGTTTCTTTGGAACTTTGAATATACAACACTTTACTAGGGAATTAGCAATGGAAGCAGAGCAAAAATGTACAGAGGAAACAGAATGCATAACTCTGATGGAATTGAAGTCATGAGGCAGCAGAAAGCTTAAACAGGCAGAGTGGGAGGGTTAGAGGGAATTTAATTGGGAGTAACAGAAGTAATAGTTAATGGAGCCAGAATGCTTGAGTCATGTAATTGCAAAGCAGAGTTGGGAGCAGCAGATGCTAAAGAGTAGTTGCTGTAGTTACTCTTTGCGTTGTAGGAGCAGTTGTCATATTACTATATAGCTACTGAATGAAGAAGAGTTCTTAGTGAGGCCTGGGTGAACAGCTCTTCTTAGTATTCTGTGTGACCCCATTTGACCTTTTAACAAATCTCTAAGTAAATAAATAGCCCCTAAGGTAAACTAAGTTTTTCTCTGCTATTTTTTTGCTTGAGAGAGCTATAACTGTAATAGACTTATATTTCTGAACATTTTAGTGCTTGCCAATATTTGGTAATATTTATGTTTCCTATATTTGTAACGAACATTCTTCTTCCTTTACATTTTTTGTTAAATTATTGTTTCATACATAAAAGTTCACCTTTTATTGTATAAAATTGCCTCAGATTAATTTATACACATTGGCAATGGGTAAATAGAATTTTTCACATTATTAAAAACTGAAGGATGCCCATGTAAGCAAAAAACAAAAACAAAAACAAAAACAAAAAAAAACGCACAAAAATAAACCCAAACCCCTCAAACAATTTCAACCACAAAACATTTTACATATACTTACTAGTTTATTCTGAGAATTTTCTAGCCTTCAAGGATTAAATTACACTGTAAAGTGTGGTAGTGTACCCATTTGATGTCTTTACTGGTGAATTAAGGGCCTTAATATAAAATTGCTTCAGATGTCTCTAATTTTTATAATGTTTAAATTAAAATATAATATTTAGAAAATTACAATACTACTAAGGCTGTAGCTTGAGGACTAATCATAAAATGAATACATCCCTGTAATTACTACCCAGATAGAAGAAGTAGAGTGTTACCAGCACCAGAAACTTGTTTACCAGATATTACCCACAACCTTCTCATCCTGACTACTTGCACCATAGATTACTTTTGCCTATATTTGAATATTACTTAAATGGGTAAATACAGCATATATTGTTTTTGTCTGGCTTCTTTCACTTGATTATATTTATAAAATATATCCATATGGTTTATAGCAGAAATTTGTACATTTCAATTGCTGTACAGTGTGCTACTGTATGAATATATATCTACTTAGCTATTTTCTGCCTGTGGACATTTGACTTATTTCTGGTTTGGGGCTATTATGAGTAGTTTTTCTGTGAACATTCTTGTAGATGTCATTTGGAACATATATTTGCTTTTCTGTTGGGTATATACTTGGTAGTGGAATTGCTAGGTCATTGATTATGCATACATTCTGCATTAGCAAGTACTTCTTTTTTTTTTTTTTGAGACCGAGTCTCACTCTGTTGCCCAGGCTGGAGTGCAGTGGCACAATCTCAGCTCACTTCAACCTCTGTCTCCTGGGTTCAATTCTTTTGCCTCAGCCTTCTGAGTAGCTGGGACTACAGGCATGAGCCACCACGCATGGCTAATTTTTGCATTTTTAGGTTTTAGGGTTTTGCCATGTTGGCCAGGATAGTCTCAAACGCGTGAACTCAAGTGATTCACCCGCCTTGGCCTCCCAAAGTGCTGGGATTACAGGTGTGAGCCACTGCACCAGCCCATTAGCAGGTATTTCTAATAGATTTTGAAAATCATTGTACCAATCTACCCTCCTACCCATAGTCCACAAAAGTTACCTTACATCTTTGCCAACACTTTGTGTTGTCAACCTTTTAAATTTTAGTCATTTTGGTGGATATATAGTAGTATTTCATTGTGGCTTTATTTTGAATTTTTGTGATGCATGATGAGATTAGACAACTTCTCATAACATTATTGGATATTTGGATATCCTTTCTCAAATGGTTAAATCTTTTGGCCATTTTTCCGGTGGTTGCCTTTTTTTTTTAAATACCATTTAATAGATTTTAAAAATATGGTGGATCTAGGGACTTTCGTTGGTTAAATAGGAGGCACATATTCACTCGCAATTTTTGGCTTGTTTTGTCACTGTTTGTGATGTCTTTTGGTGAATAGAAGTTACTAATTTTGATGAAGGTAACATTTGCATTCTTTTTTTTATGGTTAGAATTTTTTTGTTTTCTGTTTAAGAAAATTTTTCTTTAACCCCGTGTTGTCAATTTTATCTTCCAGAAGTTTAGATATATTACTTTTAAAAGTTAATAATTAATGCCTACACTGTACCTGGAATTGATTTTTATGTGTGTTGTAAAATAAGGACAAAGATTTATTATTTACAATGTCAAATTGACTCCGCATCATTCATTGAAAAGACTGCTTTCATCACTTTTGTCATAAATCAGGTGGTCTTTTTCTTGTCATATTGCATGGTCAAGGACCTCTATCGTATGTTGAATAGAAGTGTTGAAAATAGGCTTTCTTTTCTTGCTCCTAATGTCAGAGGGAAGGTTTTTAACATGTCAGCATTAAGGAAGATATTTGTTATAGTTTTTTTTTAATGATACCCTTTATCAAATTAAGAACTTTCCCTTTACTTCCTAATTTGCCAGGAGGTTTTATGAAATTATTAGTGAATATCCCAAGTTTAAATACAAATTTTGTTAAAGTACAATTTGTATGCAAGATTTTGCCATTCTTAAAGCCTTGACTTGAATGCTTTGATATTTGCATACACTTGCATAAGTATCACTGAAAACAAATATACCCATCTCCTCAGAAAGTTCTCTTGATTCTTTTTCATTCTATGTCCCTCCTTCCCATAGAGGCAAGTACTTTTAAATTTTTATTGCCATAATATTTTCCTATTTTTTTGACTTTATGTAATTGGGATTATATAATATATAGTATGTTTCTTTTTTGTTTTACTCAATAAAATGTTTATGACATTTATCCATGTATTTCATTGCATGAATATACCAAATGTACAAATTATATATACAACGTGTAAAGTGTACAATTGATTGATTACTTGAGATGGAGTCTTGTTCTGTTGCCCAGGCTGGAGTGCAGTGGCACGATCTTGGCTCACTGCAACCTCTGCCTCCCGGGTTCAAGAAATTCTCTTGCCTCAGCCTCCCTAGTAGCTGGGATTTAACAGACACCCGCCTCCATGCCCTGTTAATTTTTTTGTACTTTTAGTAGAGATGGGGTTTTGCCATTTTGGCCAGGTTGATCTCAAACTCCTGGCCTCAAGTGATCTGCCCACCTCGGCCTCCCACAGTGCTGGGATTACAGGCATGAGCCACTGTGCCTGGCCAAGTGTACAATTTAGATTATTGTTTTCAGCTTTTGGACGTAATGAATAAAGCTGCTTTGAACGTTTTTGTATGAGCCTTTTTGTGTGCTATGAACATACCTAAGAATAGAACTGCTGAGTCGTAGGATAGGTACATGTTTACCTTTATATGAAACTGCCAAACAGTTCTCCAACATATTTTTTTATCTTACACTTTACCAGTTGTGTATGAGAATTCTAATTGCTCCACATTCTTGACCATATTTGATATGGTCAGTATCTTTGATTTAACCATTTTAGTGGGTGGGTATAAAATGATACCTTGTGTTTTTTTGTTTTTGCATTTCATAAATGATTAATGATGTGAAGCACCTTTTAATGTTTTTATAGAGCACTTGAATATATTTTGTTAAGTATCTATCTTTTTACTTTTAGTGGGTTGTTGGTCTTTTTATTCTTTTTTTTTTTAAATCAGTGTATTTTAGGAGATACACGTACACACACAGCAATAATCCTTTGCATTACAAATATTTTCTCCTACTCTGTAGCTTGGTGTATTCATATTCTTTTTTTTTTTTTTTTTGAGACTGAGTTTCGCTCTTGTTGCCCAAGCTGGAGTGCAATGGCATGATCTCGGCTCACTGTAACCTCTGCCTCCTGGGTTCAAGCGATTCTCCTGCCTCAGCCTCCTGAGTAGCTGGATTACAGGTGTGTGCCATCACGCTCAGCTAATTTCTTGTATTTTTAGTAGAAACAGGGTTTCACCATGTTAGCCAGGCTGGTCTCGAGCTCCTGAGCTCAGGTGATCTGCCCGCCTCTGCCTCCCAACGTGCTGGGATTACAGGCTTGAGCCACCGCGCCTGGCCTTACATTCTTAATGTTGTCTTTTGATATGTTTTATCAGATACCTGAATTACTTTTCTTCCTTTATGCTGGATTTTTAGAAAGTCACATGAATTGACTTGAATATTAAACCTGTCTTGCCTTCCTGGAGTACATTTTACATGATTGTGATATCTTTTCCTTTTATATATATATTGCTGGATTCCATCTGCTATATTTTGTTTGGAACATTTTGTATCTGTGTTCATGAGAGATAGATATAGTTTGCTGTTTCCAGCTTTTGGAAACATATGTTTAGATCATTGATTAAAACAGTTTTTTTGTAATATATGCATTTAACTCCATAAATTTTCTACTAAATACTAAATTTTCTACTTTAGCTATATGTCACAAGTTCTAATTCATTATATTTTCATTATCATTCAGTTAACATTTTCTAATTTGTATTGTGTTTTTTTCTTTGATCTAAGGATTACTTATAGGTATCTTGCTTTATTTTCAAACATTCAGTGGTTTTCAGATTATTTTTGAGAATTTATTTGTAACAGTTCCACTAGGATTAGAGAACATATGCTATATGATTTTAGGTTTTTGACATTTATTGAGACTTGATTTACAGATTTGCATATGTCAATTTTTTAAACATTATTTGTATACTTGACTGCATTTTTTGTTGTGGATCCAACATAGGTAAATTAGTTTATTAATTTTGTGGTTCTAATCTTCTCTATCCTTATTGCTCTTCAAAAATTGGCTGGTAGGATCAGTTACTGGAAAAGAGATGTTGAAATCTCCGAGTGTGATTGTAGATTTGCCTGTTTCTCCTTTTAGTTTTGTAATTTTTTGCTTTATGTATTTGGAGGAATGTCACTAGGCATGAGCACACTTAGAATTATTGTATCTGCCTGGTAGATTTCCCCATTTGTTATTATTCTTTTTTTTAATCTTCAGCTTTTATTTTAAGTTCCAGGGCTACATGTGCAGGATGTGCAGGTTTGTTACATAGGTAAACGTGTGCCATAGTGGTTTGCTGCACCGATTAACCCATCACCTAGGTATTAAGCCCAGCATCCATTAGCTATTCTTCCACATGCTCTCCCCCTGCCACCCAGGCCCCAATGTGTGTTGTTCCCCTAGGTGTGTTGTTCCCCCACATGTGTCCATGTGTTCCCATCATTCAGCTCCCACTTATAAGTGAGAACATGCAGCATTTGGTTTTCTGTTTCTGCATTAGTTTGCTGAGGATAATGGTGAAATTTCCTTTTTATCTCCAGTAATGTTCCTTTATTTTATTATTTTTATTATTTTTATTTTTTGGGACAGAGTCTTGCTCTATTGCCCAGGCTGGAGTGCAGTGGCATGATCTCAGCTCACCGCAATCTGCACCTCTCAGATTCCAGTGATTTTCACGCCTGAGCCTCCCGAGTAGCTGGGATTACAAGCGTGCGCTACCACGCCTGGCTAATTTTTTGTATTTTTAGTAGAGATGGGGTTTCGCTATATTGGCCAGGCTGGTCTTGAACTCCTGGCCTCAAGTGATCCACCTGCCTTGGCCTCCCAAAATGCTGGGATTATAGGTGTGAGCCACGGTACCCATCCTTGTTCCTTGATTTTTTGTTTTGTTTTGTTTTTTAAATGGAGTTTCGCTTTTGTTGCCCAGGCTGGAGTGCAATGGCGCAATCTGGCTCACCACAACCTCCACCTCCCAGGTTCAAGCAATTCTCCTGCCTCAGCCTCCCAAGTAGCTGGGATTACAGGCATGCACCACCATGCCCAGCTAATTTTTTTTGTATTTTTAGTAGAGACGGGGTTTCTCCATGTTGGTCAGGCTGGTCTTGAACTCCCTATCTCAGGTGATCCAGCTGCCTTGGCCTCCCAAAGTGCTGGAATTATGGGCGTGAGCCACCACGCCTGGCCCTCATTCCTTGATTTTCAAGGCCACTCTGCCTGATATTCGTAAGATATACCAGCTTTATTTTAGTAAGTCTTTGTGAAATATGTTTTTACATTCTTTTAATTCACACTCTCCATATAAATAAATTGTCTTTTTTATGCAGAAGTTTTCTATCCATCCTGTCAAACTTTGTCTTTTAATTATAACCTTTAAGTTAGTTATATTTAATTACTTATAAATTTGGATGTAAACCATCCATCTTATTCACTGTTTTTATTTGTCCATTCTGTTTTATTTCCTCTTTACTGTCTTGTCTTTTGCATTACATATTTTTTTTTTTTTTTTTTGGAGATGGCATTTTGCTCTTGTTGCCCAGGCTGGAGTGCAATGGCGTGATCTCGGCTCACTGCAACCTCCACCTCCCGGGTTCAAGCAATTCTCCTGCCTCAGCCTCCTGAGTAGCTGGAATTAAAGGCATGCACCACCATGCCCAGCTATGTTTTTTTTTGCATTTTTAGTATAGATGGGGTGTCTGCATGTTTGTCAGGCTGGTCTCAAATTCCCAATCTCAGGTGATCCACCCACCTCAGCCTCCCAAAGTGCTGGGATTATAGCATGAGCCACCGTGCCTGATCTGCATTAATTTTTAATACTATGTTTTCTCTTCTCTGTTAGCTTTTTAGTTTATTGTCTTTTACTATTCTTTTAGTCGTTAGTCTAAAGATTACAACTTAACAAAGTCTATTATAAATTAGTACTTTTACTACTTCCCAGTCAATACAAAGACTTTGGATCATTAACTACATGTAACTGCATTTACTCCCTCCTGCCATTTTGCAGCTGTTTTCACGTATAGTTGTCCCCTTGTTATAGGCAAGAATCCCTGTCTATATTCAAATTTGTGCATACTCAAGTCCTGCAGTTGGTCCTGAGAAATCCACCTATGGGAAAAGCCAGCCTTTTGTGTATGCAAGTTTTGCATCCTGTGAATACTATTGTGAATACTATCTACAATGTTTTATTGTTTCTTTTTTCTTCTTCTTTTTTTTTTTCTGAGACGGAGTCTCGCTCTGTCACCTAGGCTGGAGTGCAGTGGAGCAATCTTGACTCACTGCAACTTCCGCCTCCTGAGATCAAGCAGTTCTCCTGCCTCAGCCTCCCAAGTAGCTGGGACTACAGGTGCATGTCACCACACCTGGCTAATTTTTTGTATTTTTAGTAGAGACGGGGTTTCACCATGTTAGCCAGGATGGTCTCGATCTCAACCTCGTGATCCACCTGCCTTGGCCTCCCAAACTGTGGCGTGAGCCACTGTGCCTGGCCTTTTCTTCTTTTTTTAAGAGATTGGGTCTTGCTCTGTCACATAGGCTGGAGTGTAGTGACGCGATCATAGCTCATTGCATAGCTGGGATTATGAGTACGAGCCACTGTCCCTGGCAGAATACTGTATTTTTTATCTGCATGTGGTTGAGAAAAATCAGTGTAAAAGTGGACCCGTGCAGTTCAAACCTTTGTTGTTCAAGTGTCCTCTGTACTTTTACATATTGGTATATGCATTTTAAACCATTCAGGTGGTATTGTTATTTTATGCAGTCAGTATTCATAACTTATTCATTCATTTACTTGTATATTCTCCCTTTCTGTTATTCTTCATGCCATACTCTGTGCTTTTATTAGGGATCATTTTCTTTCTACCTGGAGAATTCTGTGTAGTATCTCTTTTAAAGCAAGTCAACTGTTGACAAATTCTGTTAGTTTTAGTTTTTCTGAAAACATCTTTATTTTGCCTTTAAGTGATTCTGTAATTCTAGCTACTCACTTATTTCTTGACCTCTCTATTTAAAATATTTATCCCTGTCCTGTTACCTTCCTAGCTTTATTTCCCCCACATACTTATTACCGTTTTTTCATATAATATATTTTACTTATTTATTAGCTTAGTATTGATTTTGGGAGGAAGGGCTCACCATAGTTGGCAGGTTGGATCTTCAGCAGCAACAACAGTTAGGTCAAGTTAAGAGTTGCTGTTGGGCTCATCTACAACTTCTATTCATGCCACCATGACTATTTCATTTACAAGCCTATTGTGTTAACAGTCACAGCCAAACTGGCCAAGTCACTTTGCATGGTTATTCATTGCCTCTTTTGAGGTTGATGCTTTCTGGGATTAACTTGTGACACAAAAAGCTTCATACTTGTCCCCTTTCATATGTCTATCTACATGAGACAAGGAGATATTCTCCTCATCTCCTTGTCTCAATCTCCTGTTCTTTTATAGGGTTTCTCTCTTATTTTCTGGAAAGGTTGTATCTTACCAGTGTATGTGCTACTTCTTGCTCACCTGATTGAGTTAATGTGATATTTAGACCAGGGATCAACATGAATTTCTTTGGATTGCCCATATCCCCTGGGACTCTAAAGGCTGGAAAATTAATAATAGCCTTGATTCAGGCATTTAAATGTATGCTATTGTTAGTTGGATGTGACTGTCAGCTGCTTTCAGTCCTCCTTAATAGGGGCAGAAAAACATGCTTCATGAGATCAATGACTGCATACCACTTATCTGATCAAGACCAATAACCCAGTCTTTATATGCTGCCAAAGAGACTATCTGGCTTTCACGCTATAGTCTTTAATTGGTGATTTGTCACTCTCAGCCTTTTGTTGTTTTTCTCCGTTGCATCGACTGCTCTTAGCAACAGCTATCGAATTCCTAGTCCTTTTAATTACTTCTCTGTACTTCACAAATGCCTGAAATATTGCACCTGCCATGGCTTCTCTTTCACCAACAAAAGTTTCAGCAATTGTGGTTGCCCTACTGTGGCATGTTAGGGACTGTGTGCCACCAGTAATGGGTTTCTCATTGCTAGCCAGTTTGTGGTTGATACAGCATCAGATTCTCATTTGAAGTCAAAACTTCATAGGACCACTTTTGGTATCAACTCTCCCAGGTCAGGTTTCCCAAAAACACACTTTGAAATGTCTGTATTTGCATGTCAGAAGTTTATATTGGGGAGTGTTTTGGGGTCAATCCCTGTGAGAGAGGGTACAAGGGAAACAGCATTGTGAAGATGGGGAAATTGAATTGCCATGTAGTTGCCATAGCAGCAACAACTGTTCCACAGGGAGATCTGAAGCTAAAATAACCCCTCTGAGATATTTCAGGAATGGACTATTTTACTGCATATTGACCAGTCATTGAATGTGGGCTGTTTTGGGGTGGTATAATAGCATAACCTTTGGTGAGGGAGTTGCAACTCAGGGAAATTCCTGAGGGTTCAGTTATTAGCCATCAGTAGGCAAAATCCCAGAAGCTGGGAGAATGAGCACTTCACTTTTGAAGGGGGAGTTCTGGGTAGCACACCACTGTATTCACTACAGCCACAATGGCAAGATCAAGATCAGTTTTAGTGGAATGGTGAGGGTGGAAAGGTATTGTAGTGCTAAAGAACTAAAGGAGGAGATGAGGAGGCTTGAAAACTTGTTCAAACAGCTTAGCTGTGAAGGGGATGAGAGAGAGAAGATAGTAGAAGTTCCTGAGGAGACTGGGAGAGATGAGATCCAGGATATAAGTATGATTTTCCATGGACTGGAAGAGGTTCATTTCTACCATTGTAATGAAAGAGGAGGAGGAAGAAAGTTCAGGTAAAGATAAGTTTATAACAATAATGAGAGGAAGTTGAGGCAGTTCTTGTTTTCTGAGAAAGAGCCAGAAGATTTAACAGCTGAAAGAGGGAGAGTTGGTTGGGTTGGAGATATAAGGTAATTAGAGAGAGTTTTAATAGATTGCAGTGGAGAGTGGGAAGAGAGAGCTACCAGAATAGCCAGTGGTTGGTTGGTTGGTGGTGGTTGTTTTTTTTTTTTTTTTTCTGGTGACAGAGTTTTGCTCTTGTTGCCCAGGCTGGAGTGCAATGACGTGATCTTGGCTCACTGCAACTTCTGCCTCCCAGGTTCAAGCAATTCTCCTGCCTCAGCCTCCCAAGTAGCTGAGATTACAGGTGCCCATCACCATGCCTGGCTAAGTTTTTGTATTTTTATTAGAGATGGGGTTTCACCATGTTGGTCCGGCTGATTTTGAACTCCTGACCTCAGGTGATCCATCTGCCTTGGCCTCCCAAAGTATTGGGATTATAGGCATGAGCTACCTTGCCCAGCCGCTAGTGGGTATTTAGAACCCATTTGAGGTTGATGTTCCTGATTTTGTGGAATTATCAATTTGTCCATTTGTGTAACATTTTTTTTTCTGGCAATACTTAATGTAGTAAAATTATAAACATTGTGCTTAGTATCTTACCAACTTTCCTTTTCTTTTCGTACAGCCATCAGATCAAGTCATTACAGTATAGTAACACAGGAGACATGATTCTTGTTGTATCTGGAAGCTCTCAGGCCAAGGTGATTGACAGAGATGGTTTTGAAGTAATGGAATGTATAAAAGGAGACCAGTATATTGTGGACATGGCCAACACCAAGGTAAGCATTAAACAGAATATTTTAATGAATTAATTCAGCACACATTTATTAACAACTATTTGAGTTATCATGTAATAATTTTCCCCAAAAGTTAGTGTCATAAAACAATAGCAATTTATTTGTTCTCACAATCATGTGGATTGATTGGGTGGTTCTGCTTCATACAGTATCAGCTGGAGCACTAGGATCGCTGTAAGATACAAAAGGGGCCCAGATGGTTTGCAGTCAGTGTCCTGCTCCATGGCATCTCTCTGTGTCTTTGCCTCTTCCTTACTTCTACCCCACCCCTTCCCTTCTTGCTGGCTCTCTGTCTCTCTGTCTTTTTCTCTTGCCACATGTCTAGTTTGGGTCTTTTCACAGTGTGGTAGTCTTAGGTGTATTAGTCTGTTCTCATGCTGCTAATAATGACCTATTTGAGACTGGATAATTTATAAAGGAAAGAGGTTAATTGTTTCACAGTTCTGCATGGCTGGAGAGGCCTCACAATCATGGTGGAAGGCAAGGAGGTGCAAAGTCGTGTCTTACATGGCGGCAGGCAGGAGAGAGCATGTGCAGGGGAACTCCCATTTATAAAACCATCAGATCTCATGAGACTTATTCACTACCATGAGAACAGCATGGGGGAAACTGCCTCCATGATTCAATTATCTCCACCTGGCCCCGCCCTTGACACATGGGAATTGTTACAATTCAAGATGAGATTTGGGTGGGGACACAGCCAAACCATTTAATTCTGCCTCGGCCCCTCCGAAATCTCATGTCCTCACATTTCAAAACCAATCATGCCTTCCCCAAAGTCCCCCAAACTCTTATTTCAGCATTAACTCAAAATTCCATAGTCCAAAGTCTCATCTGAGACAAGGCAAGTCCCTTCCACCTATGAGCCTGTAAAATCAAAAGCAAGTTAGTTACTTTCTAGATAAACAGGGATACAGGCTTTGGGTAAATACACTTTTTTCAAATGAGAGAAATTGGCCAAAGCGAAAGAGCTACAGGCCCCATGCAAGTCCAAAACCCAGCAGGCAAATCTTAAAGCTCCAAAATGACCTCCTTTGACTCCATGTGTCACATCCAGGTGATGCAAGAAGTGGGTTCCCAGGGTCTTGGGCAGCCCCGCCCCTGTGGCTTTGCAGGGTACAGCCCCCCTTCTGGCTGCATTGAGTGTTGGCAGCTTTTCCAGGCACACAGTGCAAGCAGTCAGTGGATCTACCATTCTGGGGTCTGGAGGATGGTGGCCGTTTTCTCACAGCTCTGCTTGGCAGTACCCCAGTGGGGACTCTGTGTGGGGGCTCCAACCCCATATTTCCCTTTGACACTGCCCTACCAGAGGTTATCCATGAGGGCCCCCCCCGCTCCCTGCAGCAAACTTTTGCCTGGATTTTCAGGCATTTTCATACATCTTCTGAAATCTAGGCGGAGGTTCACGAACCTTAATTCTTGACTTCTGTGCATCTGCAGGCTTAACACCACCTAGAACCTGAAAGGTTTGGGACTTGCACCCTCTGAAGCCATGGCCTGAGGTGTATCTTGGCCCCTTTTACCTATGGCGGGAGCAGCTGGGATGTAGGGCACCAAGTTACTAGGCTGCACACAGCAGGGGGTTCTGGACCCACAAAACCATTTTTTCCTTCTAAGCCTCCAGGCCTGTGATGGGAGGGTCTGCTGTGAGGGTCTCTAACATGCCCTGGAGACATTTGCCCCATTGTCTTGGTGATTAACATTTGGCTCCTCATTACTTATGCAAATTTCTACAACCCAGTTTCCTCAGAAAATAGATTTTTCTTTTCTGTTGCATCATCAGGCTACAGATTTTCTGAACTTTTATGCTCTGCTTCTTCTCGAATGCTTTGCTGCTTAGAAATGTCTTCTGGCAGATACCTTAAATCGTCTCTGTCAAGTTCAAAGTTCCACAGATCTCTAGGGAACTCTAGAAAAAAATTCTTATTTCACTCTTTCCCGCCTATCTTATGCCCTTTTCTAATACAGGGGCACAATGCCTCCAGTGTCTTTGCATAGTAAGAGTGACTTTACTCCATTTCCCAACAAATTCCTCATCTCCATCTGAGACCACCTCTGCCTGGACCTTATTGTCCATATCACTATTAACATTTTGGTCAAAGCCATTCAACAAGTCTCTAGGAAGTTCCAAACTTTCCCACATTTTCCTATCCTCTTCTGAGCCTTCCAAACTGTTCCAGCCTCTCCCTGTTACCCAGTTCCAAAGTTGCTTCCACATTTTCGGGTATCTTTACAGCAGCACCCCACTCTACTGGTATCAACTTATTGTATTAGTCTGTTCTCACACTGCAAATAAAGACATACCTGAGACTGGGTAATTTATAAAGGAAAGAGGTTGAATTGACTCACAGTTCTGCATGGCTGGGGAGGCCTCACAATCATGGTGGAAGGCAAGGAGATGGAAAAGCATGTCTCACATAGCAGCAGGCAGGAGAGAGCATGTGCAGGGGAACTCCCATTTATAAAACCATCAGATCTCATGAGACTTATTCAGTACCATGAGAACAGTATGGGGGGAACCGTCCCCATGATTCAGTTATCTGCACCTGGCCCCACCCTTGACATGTGGGAATTATTACAATGCAAGGTGAGATTTGGGTGGGGACACATCCAAACTATATCAGTAGGTTTTGACTTCTTGCTTGATTGCTAGGTTGCATGGAGGACAAACATGGAAATTAATTAAGTACCTTAATATCTGGCTTCAGATCTTAGACAGGATCAGAGGGCCAGCTCAAATTTGCAAGGAGGGGAGGTAGATCCCACCATTATATGGGTGAATGGCAAAATCAAACAGAAATTATGTGGGATGGGAGATACTGATGCAGGCATCTTTGGAAACATTCTACTTAGCTAATTTTATGCTAGGCTTTAGGTCAAGAAGGAGAGAGAGAGCTGACATGCTGTGGTACACACTTACAGTCCCAGCTACTTGGAAGGCTGAGGCAGGAGGATTGCTTGATCCCAGGAGTTTGAGGTAGTGTGCGATGATCATGCTTGTGAATAGCCACTAGCCACTGAACTCCAGCTTGGGCAACATTGAGACACCCTGTCTCTTAATTTAAAAAAAAAAAAAAGGAAAGAAAGTGGTCTCAGTTTTTTTTTTTTTTTTTTTAATTGATCATTCTTGGGTGTTTCTCGCAGAGGGGGATTTGGCAGGGTCACAGGACAATAGTGGAGGGAAGATCAGCAGATAAACAAGTGAACAAAGGTCTCTGGTTTTCCTAGGCAGAGGACCCTGCGGCCTTCCGCAGTGTTTGTGTCCCTGGGTACTTGAGATTAGGGAGTGGTGATGACTCTTAACGAGCATGCTGCCTTCAAGCATCTGTTTAACAAAGCACATCTTGCACCGCCCTTAATCCATTTAACCCTGAGTGGACACAGCACATGTTTCAGAGAGCACAGGGTTGGGGGTAAGGTCATAGATCAATAGCATCCCAAAGCAGAAGAATTTTTCTTAGTACAGAACAAAATGAAGTCTCCCATGTCTACTTCTTTCTACACAGACACGGCAACCATCTGATTTCTCTATCTTTCCCCCACCTTTCCCCCTTTTCTATTCCACAAAACCGCCATCGTCATCATAGCCCGTTCTCAATGAGCTGTTGGGTACACCTCCCAGACAGGGTGGTGGCCGGGCAGAGGGGCTCCTCACTTCCCAGAAGGGGCGGCCAGGCAGAGGCGCCCCCCACCTCCCAGACGGGGCGGTGGCCTGGAGGAGGTGCCCCCCACCTCCCTCCCGGACGGGGCGGCTGGCCGGGCGGGGGCTGACCCCCCACCTCCCTCCCGGACGGGGCGGCTGGCCGGGCAGAGGGGCTCCTCACTTCTCAGACGGGGCGGCTGCCGGGTGGAGGGGCTCCTCACTTCTCAGACGGGGCAGCTGGGCAGAGATGCTCCTCACCTCACAGACGGGGTCGCGGCCGGGCAGAGGCGCTCCTCACATCCCAGACGGGGCGGCGGGGCAGAGGCGCTCCCCACATCTCAGACGATGGGCGGCCGGGCAGAGACGCTCCTCACTTCCTAGACGGGATGGCGGCCGGGAAGAGGCGCTCCTCACTTCCCAGACTGGGCAGCTGGGCAGAGGGGCTCCTCACATCCCAGACGATGGGCGGCCAGGCAGAGACGCTCCTTACTTCCCAGACGGGGTGGCAGCCGGGCAGAGGCTGTAATCTCGGCACTTTGGGAGGCCAAGGCAGGCGGCTGGGAGGTGGCGGTTGTAGCTAGCCGAGATCACGCCACTGCACTCCAGCCTGGGCAACATTGAGCACTGAGTGAACGAGACTCTGTCTGCAATCCCGGCACCTCGGGAGGCTGAGGCTGGCAGATCACTTGCGGTTAGGAGCTGGAGACCAGCCTGGCCAACACAGCGAAACCCTGTCTCCACCAAAAAAATATGAAAACCAGTCAGGCGTGGCGGCGCGCGCCTGCAATCGCAGGCACTCGGCAGGCTGAGGCAGGAGAATCAGGCAGGGAGGTTGCATTGAGCCGAGATGGCAGCAGTACAGTCCAGCTTCGGCTTGGCATCAGAGGGAGACCGTGGAAAGAGAGGGAGAGGGAGACCGTGGGGAGAGGGAGAGGGAGAGGGAGAGGTCTCAGTTTTTAATGTAAATATTTTTAATGGGATAATGATATTTTAAGATTAAAGTATATTATATATCAGTTAACTACAGGTCAATAATTATATAAAACTTAAGGTATGAAAAACATTTATTTTTGCTAACATATCTGTGAGTTGACTGTTCTTGGCTTGGTGAGGCTGCAAGCTGCAGATAGAGTCTAGGTATGTTTTCTGTGTGTTTGTTCCCCCTTGGATCAGTGGACTACCTGAGGATGTGTTTTTGTCACAGTGATAGAATCACAAGGAAACTCCAGTTCTGGAAGTACATTTTAAGCCATTGCTTCTATCATGTCCACTAACATTCAGTCAGCCAAAGCACATACCTTGTCCATGGCTAACATTGATAGTATAGATAAACATACCTGATCTCTAGCAGGAGGAACTGCATTGTCTTGGGGAAAGGTTGTAGATATAGGGAGGGGTGATGAGTTGGGAACAATAATGTCGTCTGCCACAAACATATTAAAGTGTAACTGGATATGGTTGATGCAGAATTTTGAACCTTTGTTTTAATTCTGATTTTTACTCTTTTCCCCCATCTAGTGCCCTTTTGTAATACAGTAATTCTCATGATTTTTGTCTGAATTGAAATCTTCTATGAGATTAGATTGTCTACGAAAATACAGTCGATCCTCCTTGTTTTCAGCTTTTGTATTTGTGAACTCACCTACTATTTTTTGTAACCCCAAAATCAGTACTCACAGCACTTTCATAGTCATGTGTTTGCATAGAGTGTCAAAGAATTTCAGTTTGAACAAAGTGATATTCTGCCTTCTTTTTCAGCTCTCATACAATAGTCAGGTATCCTTTTTGTGGTCTATTTAATGCCATGCTTTTCCTATTTTTGTACTGTTTGTTGGTTGTTTTGCCACTTAAATTAACCCCCAAGCATAGTGCTGAAGTGCTGCTTAGCATTCACAAGTCCAAGAAGTCTGTGATGTGCCTTACAGAGAAAATAGATGCATTAAATAAACTTCATTCAGGCGTGAGTGCTGTAGTGCCATTGGCTGTGAGTTCAATGTTAATGAATGAACAATATATATTATTTATTTATTCATTCATTTAATTATTATTATTATTATTTTTGAGATAGAATCTCACTCTGTTGCTCAGGCTGGAGTGCAGTGGTGCAGTCTTGGCTCACTGCAACCTCTGCCTCTTGGGTTCAAGCGATTCCCCTGCCTTAGCCTCCCGAGTAGCTAAGACTACAGGCATGCGCCACCATGCCTGGCTAATTTTTTTTTTTTTTTTTTTTTTTTTTTTGTATTTTTAGTAGAGACGGGGTTTCACCACGTTGGCCAGGCTGGTCTCGAACTCCAGACCTCAAGTGATCCGCCTGCCTTGGCTTCCCAAAGTGCTGGGATTACAGGCGTTAGCCACTGTGCCTGGCCAACAATATATATTAAATAAGCACACATACAACAAAAGTAGGTGTTGGTAAGTTTACAAAAATGTGACCAGTAGCTTGCTGAAACCTAACTTTTTATTTGTTCATGGAACTTTCTAGACCGTAACTACACTGAATAATGAGAATCTGCTGTAATCTTTTTAGGTGCTGTAGATGAGCCATTGGATTAAATTATTACAGTATGTTTCAGACTGCTCTATGTTAAACCCTAGTGAAGTGCCTCTCAAACCCTCATAAGGATCACAATCTCATGTCCTTTCTTTTGTTATTGAATGCCCAGTATGTGTTAGCGATTTAAACAAAATTCAAATATAATTTTTTTTTTTTTGAGACAGAGTCTCGCTCTGTCACCTAAGCTGGAGAGTGCAGTGGCATGATCTCGGCTCACTACAACCTCTGTCTCCCGGGTTCAAGCGATTCTCCTGCCTCAGCATCCTGAGTAGCCGGGATTACAGGCGCCCGACACCCACGCTGGGCTAATTTTTGTATTTTTAGTAGACACGGGGTTTCGCCAGGTTGTCCAGGCTGGTCTCGAACTCCTGACCTCATGTGATCCGCCTGCCTTGGCCTCCTAAAGTGCTGGGATTATAGGCGTGAGCCACCATGCCCGGCCTTGACTTTTTAATAATAACCATTCTGACTGGTGTGAGATGGTATGCCATTGTGGTTTTGATTTGCATTTCTCTAATGATCAGTGATATTGAGCTTTTTTTCATATGCTTGTTGGCCGCATGTGTCTTCTTTTGAAGTGTCTGTTTATGTTCTTTGCCCACTTTCTAATGAGATTTTTTTTCTTGTAAATTTGTTTAAGTTCCTTATCAGTGTTGGACATTAGATCTTTGTCACATGCATTGTTGCAAAAATTTCTCCCATTCTGTAGGTTGTCTGTTCACTCTGTTGAGAGTTTCTTTTGCTGTGCAGAAGCTTCAAGAAGAAAGGAATCCGATTGGTTCTGTGTCTGTCTCTTTTGGTATTCTCAGGCTTATGTAGTCATCCATATAGAAAGATGATTAGGAAAGTAGGACAAGAATAGCAGAAATCTACATAAAAGTGTAGGAAATTAAAATTAGTTACCAGCATACAAAAAACTACTATATGTTATAATTACATACTATAACTCACCCCTCCTTGCCAAATATTCTCTCTCTTTTGACTTCAAAATCATGGCTTATATGTACTTTCTCCATTTCCCAGATGCAAATATAATTAATTGACTTTATTTATCTAGGAAATGTTACTGATATCTTAATTGTAGTCATTGGCTTGAGTGATGGGTTTTGGTAATTCAACTACTATTACTTGAAAGTAGTAGATTTCATAGGATACTGTTATAAAATGTTTTTAACCTCTTTTCTGATTTCAGGAGTAATTAGTAATTGTGGTTTACTGGAAAATTCAATGAATAGGGTGTTAAAGGAAGCAATTTATTAATAATATATCTAATCTATCATGATAAAATATTATATACTTCATATGTAAGCAGGCCCTCCTAATTATATTAAGTTGTTATATTATTAAATTTGTATCTATATTCTTTATATCATTTTATATATGGGTATGTATATATAAATATATATATATATATATATATATGTATTTTTTTTTTTTTTTTTGAGAGGGTGTCTGGTTCTGTCACCAGGCTAGAGTGCAGTGGTGCGATCTCAGCTCACTGCAATCTCCTCCTCCCGGGTACAAGTGATTCCCCTGCCTCAGCCTCCCGAGTAGCTGGGACTACAGGTACGTACCACCACACCCGGCTAATTTTTGTATTTTTAGTAGAGTCGGGATTTCACCATGTTGGCCAGTCTGGTCTTGAGCTCCTGACCTCGTGATCTGCCTGCCTAGGCCTCCCAAAGTGCTGGGATTACAGGCATGAGCCACCGCATCCAGCCCATAGTTGTTACTCTTTTGCCTCCAGGTATAGGACTCCTTTAAACATTTCTTGTAGGCCTGGCCTAGTGGTGATGAATTTCCTGCTTTTGTTTGCCTGAGAAAGACTTTATTTCTCCTTCATTATAACTGCTGAGTGTACTAGTCTTGGGTGGCTTTTTTTTTTTTTTTTTTCCTTTCAGCACTTTGACAATATCATTTCATTCTCTTCTGGCCTATAAGGTTTGTGCTGAGGAATCCACTGTTAAGTCTGATGGGTGTGGTCTTATATGTGACTAGACTTTTTTTTTTTTGCTGTTATTAGAATTTCCTCTTTGTCTTTGACTTTTGACAATCTGACTATAATGTGCCACTAAAAAGACCTTTTTGGGTTGTATCTATATGGGAATCTGCTATCTTCTTGTATCTGTATGTCTAAGTCTCCTGTTAGACTTGAAAAGTTTTCAACGATTATTTTATTAAATAGGTTTTCTATGCCATTGATCTCTTCACCTCCTGGAACACCCACAATTCAGATATTTGGTTGCTTTATGGTGTCCCATACATTATGTAGGCTTTCTTTATTCTTTTTTGTTCTTTACTTTTTTTTTTTTTTGTCTAACTGGACTGTTTGGAAAGACCTGTCTTCAAGTTCTGAAATTCTTTCTTGTGCTTGATCTAGTCTCTTGTTGAAGCTTTCAGTTGTATTTTTTATTTCGTTTATTGAATTATTCTAAGATTTTGTTTTTGTAATTTATTTATCTTTGGTGAATTCTCATTCATATCCCAAATTGTTTTTCTGGTTCCTTTGTATTGTTTATCTGTGTTCTCTTGTATATCACTGAGCTTCTTTTAGACTACGATTTCGAATTTTTTTCAGACATTTCATATTTTCTTTTCGCTGGAATCTGTTGGTGGAGAATTATTGTGTTCCCTTGGAGGTGTCACTTTTCCTTGCTTTTTTGTGTTTCTTGTGTTCTTACATTGTTATCTGTGCAACTCTTGTAACAGTTACTTCTTCCAGTTTTTTGGATTGGCTTTCATAGAGGAATATTTTTTCCTGTAGATGTATCTATGGTGTTGGTTAGGTAGGGCGCTTCAGCATTGATTCTGGATTTGTGTAGTAGTGTAGTCTCCATATGACTTCTTTGGCTTTAAACCCTGTCAGTGGTGTCTGTGTTTTCCTCAGAGGCTTAGGTGAATTTGTTAGTGGAGGCTGTGGTGAGGTTTAATTAGGTGTGGCAATGCCAGGTGGGCCAGTCTTCTGGCCCCAGTGGTGGCAATGTTGGGCTGAATGTCCCTGTTCTTGGGCCCTTGCGCACAGTATATGAGCACTGGTGTTAGTAGGTTCAGACAGGCTGATATTTGAGCCTCCAGGTGGCTTTTTGAGGTGCCAGTAGTGGCAGTGGTGAGTTGAGTGGGTGGGTTGGGCCCCTGAGCATTGTGCATGGTGTTGGTGATGGCAGTATAGTGGCAGGGCAACACCTGGGCTTCCAGGTAGCACACACTGTTGTTAGTGGTGGCTGTGACAGACTGGGCAGCCTGGTCTTCAGACCCCCAGGTGGTACACATAGCTGGGTGCCAGGTTTGGTGGTGGTGGCAGGCTGAGCAACCTTGTCCTCCAGCCCCTAGGGGGTGTAGATAGATATAAGCAGTGGTAGACTGGGCAGGGTGAACCCCCAGGCCTTTAGATGGCATGCTTAGGCACTGGCAGTAGGTTTTCTGGCCTGTTATTATGCCATCTGGTAGTACACACTCCTGCTTGGAGTGACCAGTGGGGCACAGCAATCCTAGGCTATATGGTAGGGTGGTGTGGTAGGGCACTTGGTTGGGGTGACATTGTCAGGTCTAGGGTGGTGTGGTAGGGCACTCAGGGGGTGACAGTGTCAGGCATTTTTTTTTTTATTATTATACTTTAAGTTTTAGGGTACATGTGCACAATGTGCAGGTTAGTTACATATGTATACATGTGCCATGCTGGTGCGCTGCACCCACTAACTCGTCATCTAGCATTAGGTATATCTCCCAATGCTATCCCTCCCCCTTCCCCCCAGTGTCAGGCATTTTGGGGCTGTCATCAGGTCCCCCTGATGGTCCAAATGGGTATAGGCTGTGGTAGGTGGGACGGGGGCAATTCCTAGGCCTTCAGATGGCGTGCTATGGTGCGGCAGGCATTCTGGGGCTGTTTGGTCTCCTTATGTGCATGTGCCTGAGGTGACTGATGGTGCAGGGGAATCCATAGGCCCCTGGGCAGTGTGATAGAGAGCACTGGGGTTGCTGGTGCCAGACCTTGTGAGCTTGTCCTTAAGGCCTCTGATGTTGTGCACAAATGCAGGCTGTGTTGGGCAGGGCAGGGTGATCAACATGTCCTGGATAGTGTCCTTGGGTGGTGGTTGCAGCAGCAGTAGTAGGCAGGGAGAGTCTATCCTCAGGGCATGTGGAAATGAACAGCTCTGCTAAGGGGAAGGCTCAATGACAGAGGTGGTGGGGGTGGTGGTGAGGGAGATTGATGCCAGTGGTAGCCATCCCAGGCAGATACATCTCAGTCTCTGGAGAGCACATGCTTTGTCTCCACTTCCCCTATTCCCTGTGGCATTGGCTGCATTGGCTAGGGTGAGCCTGTCCTCAAGGCACATGTACCACAGTCCTGCTGTTGTGGGTAGCAGGGTTGCTGTCTGTGGTACCTGCCCCAGGCAGGTGATTCTTAGGCTCTGGTCCCTGGCTGCAGCAGCAGGCAGGGAGAGCCTGCCCTTAGAGCATGTGCGGGTGTGCTGGGGCTTTGTTGCCGGGGGTAGGTGGGCAAGGTTACTCTCAGTGGCAGTGACCTGAGGCAGGTGGGTCTGGGCTTTGGCTCCCTTTGTCCTAGAGGCAGCATCCACAGGGCTCTGGATTGTCCTTTCTTCAGTGTACTGGATGCTGTGTGATCCAGAGTGCTGGGGATATTTCTGCTGTGCTGGGTCCAACTGGTGTCATGTGCTACAACCCTCTCAGTGGGTATGAGGGGATGTCATGGGGCCTCCAGGGATGTGGAGATGCAGGTACTGTTTGGCCCCAGAAAGAAAACAGACTGGTGGGGTCTGGGCTCTCAAATTCGTGCCATGCTGCAGGTGCTTGGGTTTCCAGGTGTGCGTGGAACCTATTGTGAGCTTCCTCTTTAGAAGCTTGTTTATACCAGTCTCAGCTTGTCAGGGTTAAGGGACTGTGCTATGGCTAGGATTGCAGGTATCTACAGGGAGAATGTGGATGCTGGGAATCTTTTACTCACCTTTTCCCCACACTGAGGAGCCTCTTAGGGCTCCCAGCTGGTCCTGGCTGGGCTCTGTGCCTTGCTTTCTTCAGTGCCTGTCACTTCTCTGCTGAATTCCAACATTCTCTCTTTGATGCTGTATTTGAAGTGTGATTATCTACTCATTAAGCTTTTCTTTGTAGAGGAGGTGAGTGTCTGGTGCTTCTAGTTAGCCATCTTGAAGTCCCCCATAAGCTTTCTTTTATCAGTTCATCTAGAGCTGATATTGTTCAGTGCCTTTCTCCAGGATTGTCTTCAACTCTTTTTCTTTTCAACATGAAAGCAATTCTCTGCCATTTATTTTTAAATTACATGACTAAGGTGGAGAAAGCAGGTTCAGGATACCTCAGAATGCTTGGACATTTTAGTGGGAGATATCTCCATTAGCGGATCTTAGTCATGGAAGTTAGAAGAGTTTTCAGATGTTTTATTTATTTTTGAATAGTACGTGTAGTCATTCTGATACCCAGCTATTCCAAAAAAATGGCACTTATTATTTGGAGATGAAATATATTAGTCATGTCTTTTTACTGGTGAATACTTTCTCTTAAGAACTTAAAATATTTAATTTTTATTAAAATAACTGTTCTGGGTTTATTTTTGTTTTCTTGAGCAAAAGAAAACTGTTAACTTAAGGTATTAATAATAGATATAACTAAAAAATTGAATGATTTGAAGTACATTTTATTTCTTTCCATTTTCTAAATATTTACAGAAACTTTAATAGAAACTTCTTAACATTGGTTTCTGCGCTTTTGACATGTCCCCATCATTTTTGGAGTACTTTCTTACATTTTGGCACAACAAGATGTTCCAGGGTCATCTTATACTTTCCCTAATTTGATCCTACCTACTTTTCTAGTGATCCATGGCTTCATTCAACAGGGAAGTCAATTTAGAAATTAAGATTTGGTACTCTGGTTATATTCATTGCTGTTGGGTGTCATTGCTTCTAGCCTCAAAAGACAAAGCTAGGAGGGAGATAAACCAATCCAAAAATTAAAATAAGTAAAAAATTATGAGTTCATTTGGATACATCTAATTCTAATCCAACTTTCTAGCCTTTTCCCGTTCCATATTCGTAATTCACTTCTCCAACAGTGAAGAACATGGCTTTTAACATTATAATTATATTTACTCATTTGTTCAGTGTTACAGTACATGGAAAGTAGTTTCAGAATTGCTACACCCAAAGCTCTTGTTGTAGGGTGAATTCTAAGATGGCTCCTAAGAGTCCCTGCACTTCTCCTTGAATGTAGTTTTGAACTATAAGTATAATGGGCTAGTCACTCCTATGATTACATTGTGTGACACAATGGACTTTAAGAAAGAAAATTGTCTTCAGTGGATCCAGCCTCATCAGGTGAGCACTTAAAAGCAGTTGGGCTCTTCCTGGCAAAAGGTATTCTAAGTGTAGGAGGGACTTGATGTCAGGGAGATTCTCTGCTGCTGGTTTTGAAGATGAAACCAGAACTTGTGAATGATGAATTTGAATATATAGGCAAGGAGATTTCTAAGCAAAATGTTGAAGGTGCTGCCTGGTTTCTTCTTGCTCCGTATAGTAAAATATGAGAAAACCAAGGGAAGTTTTGTTAAAAGGGAACCAAGACTAGATGATTTAGTTAATTTTTAGCCTATCAAGATGACAAAGGATGCTAACATATAGCAATAACTTCTGAAAGCATGGTATGGAGAAAGCCAGGGATGTGGCTGTATAATAACTTCAGAAAGATCAAAAGATGAGAGTATTCAGTCACACTGGACTCTTCCAAGAAATTAAGGGCGTGCCTCACAGATCTTCTTAACCAAACCAGGTGATCTCTAGGAAACTTAAGAGTATTGCTCCTTAACAAGTTAAACAACAGCTATAGATAAAGAACAGGTTGTTTTGCAAAGATTTGTGGGTTTGGCTTTCATCATTACTTAATATGTTTGTTTTTTACAGAACTGCATTAATTTTCTATTGCTCTGTAACAAATTACCAAAAACCAGGGACTTAGGACACCCCCAGTTTATTACCTAACAGCTGTTTAGGTCAGAAGTCTGTCACAATGTGGCTACATTTCTCTGCTGAGGGTCTTACAGACTGAAATCAGGGTGTCAGTAAGACTGCACGCTACTAGGTCAGCATTCCTAATGCATTCCTTGCCACATAGTTCCCTCCATCTTCAGGGTCAGCAAAGGAGAATCTTTCTCATGTTGCATCTAATGGAGATTGCACATAGGGTCTAGAAAGCTAAGAGTAGCCCCAGCTGACAGGCAGCAAGCAAATAGGGATCACAGTTCTACAACCACAAGGAACTTGTATTGTGCCAGCAACCAGAATAAACTTAGAAGCAGATTATTTCCCAGAACCTCTAGAAAATAGTACAGTTCTACTAACATCCTGATTTCAGTCTGTGAGATCCTGAGCAGAGAATCTAGCTACGTTGTGCCAGACTTCTGACCTACGCAGCTGTTAGGTAATAAATCGGGGGTGTACTAAGTCCCTAGGTTTTTGGTAATTTGTTACAGAGCAATAGAAAACTAATGCAGTTCTGTAAAAACCAAACATATTAAGTAATGATGAAAGTCCTTGAGGAGTTGTTAGGGATTGTGATCAAACAAAGAGCAGGAGTTAGCTTTTGGGTAGGAGGAAGGAATACTTTTTTTTTTTTTTTTTGAGATGGAGTCTCACTCTGTCGCGCAGTGGCGTGATCTCTGCTCACTGCAACCTCTGTCTCCTCGGTTCTAGCAATTCTCCTGCCTCAGCCTTCCAAGTAGCTGGGATTACAGGTGCCCACCACCATGCCTGGCTGATTTTTGTATTTTTATTAGAGATGAGGTTTCATCATGTTGGCCAGGCTGGTCTCAAACTCCTGACCTCAAATGATCCACCCACCTTGGCCTCCCAAAGTGCTGGGATTACAGGTGTGAGCCACCACGTCTGGCTGGAGTACTTTTGCACTGGGAATGGAAGGGATAAGAATGAGCTCATATGCAGCTGTATTTACAAGTGGTAGCTTTAGATAGGAAATGAATAATGCCTCCATCTATTAGCAGAGACATTTCCTAGTTTTGTATTGGGAGATATTGGGATAGGGCCTTCAGTAGAATTGTAAAGACATAGAACAGCTGTTGATGGTTGTGAGAGAAACATTACTGGAAGAATTATGGAAGTATTACGGGCTACAAAATGTAAATTTGTAGAAACAATCATTCTGCGTGTTCATATCCTATTATTGAGTCTTATTCAGGAGCCTAGGTATTTGGATGGACTACGGTGACTGTGGGGGAGAACGGGGGAGGTTATTTTGGAATAAAAGCACTTCATTGTAGATTCAACAAAAGGACACTCAGGATTATGCTGAGAGAGTGGTTCAAGTTTAGGATATTGAAAATTTAAGAATTCAAAAAACTGCAAGATAGGAGGTTGTGTGGCCAGTAAGTGTGATATCTAGAGCCTAAAACATATTTGGTGATAAATATTTGTGAAATCAGTAAATATTGAGAGTTCAGGATTTTAGAAGCATATTATGACCATTCATGGTAGTGGCAGAATTAGCCATAGTTGGCACTGCTGAAATATCTTGTAACAAGTCATCAGAATTGAGTAGGCCAAGGAAGATTGAATTTGTTTTTGAGGTATTCAAATGGATATTAAAATTACTCAGGAATTAGACTTGGACTTTAGAATCCTTGATTTATGCAAGCAAATGACTAAGAGTGTGTTAGGGTTGGCAAACCATGGCCTTGGGGCAAATCCAGCCACCACCCTGTTTTTGTAAATAAAAGTTTTATTGGAACATAGACACATCCATTAATTTACTATTCCCTGTGACTCCCTTTGAATTGCAGTGGTAGAGTTGAGCAGTTATAGCAGAGAGCATGTGGCCCACAAAGCCTAAAATGTGATCTGACCCTTTAGAAAAAATGTGTGCAGATTCCTGAATTTAAGCTGTGAGTATTCTCCCCAGCAAAATGTATTCACACAAAATTTTGTTGACCATTTCAGGAGATTTGATAATTCCTGAAAGGTGGTGAATGGACTCTAGTTAAGAAGAACTTTTGGATCTGAGTTCCCAGTATATTCCCTACTATTTTCTGCTGCATTTCGTCTCTTCTTGGGGGTAGGCTTTGTTAGCTCAACATGCCAAAGACATGGGTACTATCATTCAGTAACTACAGATGGCACTGTTACAAAGGGAGCTGTTTTTATAACTTGTCATTGGGGTAGCCACAAGAGTACAGACAGATTACAGACAGATTATCAGCAATCTCTCTCTCTCTCTCTCTCTCTTTCTCTCTCTCTGTGTGTGTGCGTGTGTGTGTGTGTGTTTTGAGGAAACCAGTGTTGGTCATGGATAATTAATGTCCTCTCTCAAAGTATAGCATATTATGAGAAATAAATAGTTGCTTAATTCTTTCTTCTAGGCTATTTCCAGTTAAGGCTGTTAAATAAAGGAAGAGATATTTTTCAGGAGTGCCTATGTTTAGATAAGAGAAGAAGAGAGAAAAAGTAGTTTATTTGGTGAAAAAGTGTTTAGTCACTAACTGTTCTTTAATAGGTGTCTCTTTAAAAATTGTTCCACTAATGTTAGCCATGGTACTGAATCTGTTTAGACCCATTTAAGAATCCTTAGTTGAACTTCATTTTGTTATGACTAATTTTGGTCACTGTTTTAACACAAGGGCACTTAACATTCCCATTGCCTTTGTCATGCTCCTGTCTTTACAAATAAGAAACAACATTCACAGTCTTGTAGGTTTTTTCTGTTTAACCTACTATCTGTGTTCTTATTCTGGGTACTTAACAGTAAAGGTGACCACATGTCCTTTTATCCTAATGAGAGGTGAAGCCAGCTGGACTTTCTGGGTCGGGTGGGGACTTGGAGAACTTTTCTGTCTAGCTAAAGGATTGTAAACACCAATCAGCACTCTGTGTCTAACTAAAGGTTTTTAAATGCACCAATCAGCACTCTGTAAAAATGGACCAATCAGTGCTCTGTAAAATGGACCAATCAGCAGGATGTGGGCAGGGCCAAATAAGGGAATAAAGCTGGCCACCCCAGCCAGCTGCCGCCACCTGCTAGGGTCCCCTTCCACCTTGTGGAAGCTTTGTTGTTTCACTCTTCACAATAAATCTTGCTGCTGCTCACTCTGGGTCCGCACTACCTTTATGAGCTGTAAACACTCACTGTGAAGGTCTGTGGCTTCACTCCTGAAGTCAGCCAGACCACGAACCCACTGGAAGGAAGAAACTCCAGACACGTCTGAACATCTGAAGGAACAAACTCCGGACACACCATCTTTAAGAACTGTAACACTCACCGCGAGGGTCCATGGCTTCATGTTTGAGGTCAGTGAGACCAAGAACCCACCAGAAGGAACCAATTCCGGACTCACTAATGTCTTCTGCAATAGGGGTAGTTTTCTTTTATTAAAAAGTATCCTTTCTATTTCAAGATGACATTTCAACTCTAATCAATAAATATCAGTAAAAGATCTGCTTTCTGGGGTCTGCCTTTAAGACCTGCATGGGTTGAGTGAGTTGTTGGGTTGCTGTTTAGACAAAGTACAAGAAGTATGGTTCTAAGGATGGAATTGAGTAGCAGCCATCTGTAGAATTCCTGAGTCTGGGAATGAGGAGAGGAAGCTGGTAAACTAGGAACTGACTGGGAGATAAGCAGGCTATGCATTGGATTAAGAGACTAGGCAGAGATGTCAGTGGAGATGGAGCTTAGTTAAGCAGAGGAGGAGACTGAGAGTGTGGTGTAGTGTACAGGATTGGGGAAGACAAGGTAGTTTAGGATCTAAGTCCTCAAAGGCTGGGCATGTCTTGGATTATTGGAATGTTTCTTTTATTGCAAATCATGAACTGTTTTCCTTGCTCAGAGGCAGATATCTAATGGGGCAAAAATCAGACCAGATCCCTGTTAACTGCTAGTCACTATAAATTATTTTCTTTCTTTTCTTTCACTCCCCTTCCTTCACTCCCTCCCTCCTTCCCTCCCTTCCCCCCTCACTCCCTGCCTCCGTCCTCCCTCCATCCTCCTCCGTCCTCCCTCCCTCCTCCCTCCCTTTTCCCTTCCTCCCTTCCTCCCTCCCTTTTCCCTCCCTTTTCCCTTCCCTTCTCCCTTCCCTTCCCTTTCCTTCCCTTCCCTTCCTTTCCCTTCCCTCTTCCCTTCTCTTCCCTTCCCTCTTCCCTTCTCTTCCCTCCCCTTCCCTCCCTTTCCTTCCCCTCCCCTCCCCTTCCCTTCCCTCTTCCCTTCCCTTCCGTCTTCCCTTTCCTTCCGTCTTCCCTTTCCTTCCCTCTTCCCTTCCCTTCCCTCTTCCCGTCTCTTCCCTCTTCCCTTCCCTTCCCTCTTCCCTTTCCTTTCCTTCCACATGCAATCTGGCCTTCAGCCCAAATTTATCTATACTGAGAACTTGGAGGGAGTACAATGAGCTATTTCTTTGCCCTGAAGTTGTTTGCCCTCGATAATAGGTATTTTCTTTTTCTCTTTTTTTAATTAATTATTTTTTTTCTTAAGCATAGGCTGACAAATTTCTACTTTCAAAAGAGATTAATGGGACCCTTAGAAATCCTTTGGATTTAAATCATTTTATTTTTCAGTACTTTGGTTGCACAGATTTTTTTTTGTTTTGTTTTTTGTTTTGTTTTTGTTTTTTTTAAGACAGAGTCTCACTCTGTCACCCAGGCTAGAGTGCAGTGGTGCAATCTTGGCTCACTGCAATCTCTGCTTCTTGGGTTCAAGTGATTCTCATGCTTCGGCCTCCCGAGTAGCTGGGATTATAAGCGTGCTCCACTAAACCTATCTAATTTTTGTATTTTTAGTAGAAGTGGGATTTCGCCATGTTGTCCAGGCTGGTCTTGAACTCGTGGTCTCCAGTGATCTGCCAGTCTCAGCCTCCCAAAGTCCTGGGATTACAGGCGTGAGCCACTGCACCCGGCTGGTTGCACAAAATTGAGATGAATTTTACTTCTCTATTCATGGCACTCTATTCATTTGCTTATGAAAATAATTTCATGGCACTTTGATGGTCAGTTCTCAGCTCTGGTAATACTGTAACTCTCAGTAGCAGTTGACACAGCTGATTACAGTCACTTCCTTGAAACAGCTTCTTTACTTGACTTTGAATTTACGGTGCTCTCTTGGTTTTCTTCTTACCTCACTGTATGTTCCTTTTCACTCTTGTTTTTTCACTCCTCCTTTTCTATTCAACTTCTAAATATTGGAATATCCCAGGGCTCAGTGTTGAGCCCTCTTTTGTATTATGCTTCTGCCTCTGGATACATGAGTTTAAATATCATGTATAGACACTAATTACATACAAATTTACAGATTTTACTCTATTTTCTCACCTGCCCAGTATTACCAACTACCTACTTGACAAATTTAGATGTATCTCACCTTAACATGTCAAAAAAGGAAATTGTGACTTTTCTTCCTAGACCTATTCCTTCTGCAGTTGGTTGTCTTTATTTCTCAGTAAATGGCATTGCCATTCACCAGTTGAGGAAGTCAAAAACCTGTAAGTTAAACTTGACTTCTCCCTTTTCCCTCACACCCCACATCTGTACCATTGGCAAAATATGTCTTACCAACAAAACTTTATGAAGAAAGTTGTTACAAACATTTGTGTGTAGGTTTCGTGTGAACATGTTTTCAAATCAGTAATACCTAGGGGTGTGATTGCTGATCGTGTGGTTAGACTGTATTTAGCTTTATAAGACACTGTGAAACTGTCTTCCAAAGTGGCTAGACCATTTTACATTCCCACCAGAAATGAATGAGAGTTTCCGTTGCTCTGTAGCCTCACTAGCAATTGGTATTGTTAGTTTTTGGTAGTTTAGCCATTCAAATAGGTGTTTAGTGGGATCCCATTGTTGTTTTAATTTGCATTCCCCCATGATGAATGATGTTGAGCATCTTTTCATGTTTGTCATTCTTTTTTTTTTTTTGAGATGAAGTCTTGCTGTCTCACCCAGGCTGGAGTACAGTGGTGCAGTCTCGGCTCACTGCAACCTCCACTCCCCAGGTTCAAGTGATTCTCCTGCCTCAGCCTCCCAGGTAGCTGGGATTACAGGTGTCCACCACCATGCCTGCCTAATTTTTGTATTTTTAGTAGAGATGGGGTTTCACCATGTTGGCCAGGCTGGTCTCGAACTCCTGACCTCAAGTGATCTGCCCACCTTTGCCTCCCAAAGTGCTGGGATTACAGGTATGGGCCACCACACCCGGCCTGTGTTTGTCTTTCTCATATCTTTTTTTAATGAAGTGTCTATATTCAATTTTTTTCTGCTCAGATTGGGGAAGAGAGAAGTGTTCATTTTGTTAATGTTTGTTTTTCAGTTTTTTTTTAAAAATATATATATTCTCAACTTAAGTCCTTTTTTAAATATGTGATTTGGAAATATTCTCTCTCTCTCTCTCTCTCTCTCTCTCTCTCTCTCTCTCTCGTCTCGGTTCACTGCAGCCTCGCCAGCCTGGGCTCAAACGATCCTCCCACCTCAGCTGGGATTATAGGTGCACACCACCGCTCCTGGCTAATGTTTTGTATTTTTTATAGATACGGGTTTGGCATTTTGCTCAGGCTGGTCTTGAACTCCTGGGCTCAAGCGATCCACCTGTCTTGGCCTCCCAGAGTGCTGGGATTACAGGCGTGAGTCAGTCTGTGGCTTTTCTGTTCATTCACCTTGTAAAGCAGAAGTTTTAAAAATTCTAACAAATTCTAATTTATCAATTTTTTTCTTTATAGATTGTGTTTTTAAAAATATTTTTAAAAATTTCAATAGCTTTTGGGGTACAAATGGTTTTTATTTACATGAATGAATTGTACAGTGGTGAAGTGTGAGATTTTAGTGCACCCATAATCTGAGTAGTGTACATTGTGTTCAATATGTAGTTTTTTTATCCCTCATTCCTCTCCTTAGGCCCTTCTGAGTTTCCAGTGTACCACTGTATATACCTTTGTGTACCCATAGCTTAGCTCCCACTTACAGGTGAGGATATACAGTATTTAGTTTTCCATTCCTGAGTTACCTCACTTAGAATAATGGTCTCCAGCTCCATCCAAGTTGATGCAAAAGACATTATTTCGTTCTTTTTTATGGCTGGGTATTTTTTCATGGTGTATACATACCATATATTCTTTATTTACTCATCAATTGATGGGCATTTTGGTTGGTTACATACCTTTGCAATTGTGAACTGTGCTGCAATAAACATAAGTGTGCACGTGTTTTTTTGATATAATGACTTCTTTTCCTTTGGGTAGATACGCAGTAGTGGGATTGTTGGATCGAACGGTAGATTTACTTCTTTGAGAAATCTCCATATTGTTTTCCATAGAGGTTGTACTAGTTTACATTTCCACTAGCAGTGTATAAGTGTTCCCTTTTCACCACATGCACACCAACATTTATTGTTTTTTCACTTTTTAATAATGGCCATTCTGGCTGGACTAAGGTGGCATCTCATTTTGGTTTTAATGTGCATTCCCCCAGTGATTAGTGATGTTGAGCATTTTATCATATATTTGTTGGCTTTTTTTTTTTTTTTTTTTTTTTTTTGAGACAGAGTTTCACCCTTGTTGCCCAGGCTGGAGTGCAATGGCGCGATCTCAGCTCACCGCAGCCTCTGCCTCCCGGGTTCAAGCTATTCTCCTGCCTCAGCCTCCCGAGTAGCTGGGATAGTAGCTGGGATTACAGGTGTGCGCCACCACACCTGGCTAATTTTTTGTACTTTTAGTAGAGACAAGGTTTAACTATGTTGGCCAGGCTGGTCTTGAACTCCTGACCTCAGGTGATCAGCCCGCCTTGGCCTCCCAAAGTGCTGGGATTACAGGCGTGAGCCACCATACCTGGCCTAGGCCATTTTTATATCTTCTTTTGAGAAGTGTCTTCATGTCATTTGTCCACTTTTTGATGGGATTTTTTTTTTCTTGCTGATTTGTTTGAGTTCCTCGTAGATTCTGGATATTAGTGCTTTCTTTGTTGGGCGCATAGTTTGCAAATATTTTTTCCCATTCTGTGGGTTGTCTCTTTACTCTGATGATTATTTCTTTTGTTGTGCAGAAGCTTTTAAGTTTAATTAGTTCCCATTTATTTATTTTTGTTTTATTTGCTTTTGGAGTCTTAGTCATAAATTCTTGGCCAGTTTCCAGAAAAGTTTTTCCTAGGATTTCTTGTAGAATTTTTATGGGTTCAGGTCTCAGATTTACCTCTTTAATACAGGGATGTCCAGTCTTTTGGCTTCCTTGGGCCACATTGGAAAAAAAAGAATTGTCTTGGGACACACATAAAATATATTAACATGGTAGCTGATGAGCTTAAAAAAAATTGCAAAAAGATCTTGTAGTATTTTAAGAAAGTTTACACATTTGTGTTGGGCCACATTCAAAGCCATTCCGGGCCATGGTTTGGACAAGTTTGCTTTAATCCATGTTGAGTTCATTTTTGTAGGCATACAGTTTTATTCTTCTGCTTGTGGCTGTCCAGTTTTCCCAGCACCATTTATTGAATAGGGTGTTCTTTCTCCAATTTATGTTTTGGTGTGCTTTGTCAAAGATCAGTTGGTTGTAAGTATTTGGCTTTATTCCTGGGTTCTCTATTCTGTTCTGTTGGTCTGCATATCTACTTTTATACCAGTACTATGCTGTTTTGGTTGCTGTAGCCTTGTCAATATAATTTGGAGTTAGGTAATGTTATACCTCTTGATTTGTTCTTTTTCTTAGAATTGCTTTGGCTATTCAGGCTCTTTTTTAGTTCCATATGAATTTTAGGATTGATTCTGTGAAAAATGATGTTGGTATTTTGATAGGAATTGCCTTGAATCTGTAGATTGCTTTGGGCAGTATGATCATTTTCATGATATTGGTTCTTGCAATTGATGAGCATGGGACATATTTACATTTGTTTGTGTCATTTGTGATTTCTTTCAGTAGTGTTTTGTAGTTCTCCTTGTAGAGATCTTTTACCTCCTTGGTTAAGTATACTGCTAGGTTTCCTTTTTTTTTATTTTTTGCGGCTATTGTAAAAGGGATTGATTTGAGAATCAGATCTTAATTTGATTTTCCAGTTTGGTTGCCCTTTATTTTTTTTCTCTTGCCTGATTGCTCTAGCTAGGACTCCCAGTATTATGATGAATAGAAGTGTGGTAAAAGTGGGCAACTTGGTCTTGTTCCAATTCTTGGGAGAGGTGGGGATTCTTTTCAACTTTTCCCCATTTAGTATGATGTTGGCTGTGGATTTGTCGTATATGGCTTTTATTATTTTGAAGTATATTCCTTCTGTGCCTAGTTTGTTGCTTGTTTTTATCATAAAGGGATGCTGTGGGGCATTTTATCGGATGTTTTTTATGCATCCATTGAGGTAATCATATGGTTTTTGTTTTAAATTCTGTTTATGTGGTGAATTTGCATTTATTGACTTGCATATTAGGCCACTCTTGCATTGCCGAAAAGAAATACCTGAGACTGGGTAGTTTATAAGAAAAGAAGTTTAACTGGCTTATGGTTCTGCATGCTGTACAGGAAGCATGGCACCAGCATCTGCTTTTGGGGAGGCCTGGGGAAGCTTTTACTCGTGGCAGAAGATGAAGCAGGAGCAGATACTTCACATGGTGGAAGCAGAAGCGAGAGAGAGAGTGAGCGGGGACTTGTTACACACTTTTAAATGACCAGATCTTGTGAGAACTCACTATCACAAAGACAGCACTAATCCATGAAGGATTCACCCCCATGATCCAAACACCTCTCACTAGGCCCCACCATCAGCACTGAGGATTACAATTCAACAGGAGATTTGGCTGGGGACAAATACACAAACTATATCACATATATTGAACCATTCCTTCATCCCTTGGATGAAACCCACTTTATCATGGTCAGTTATCTTTTTGATGGGCTGCTGGATTACGTTTGTTAGTGTTTTGTTGATTTTTGCGTGTGTGTTCATCAGGGATATTGGTCTGTAGTTTTCTTTTTTTGGTTACATTTTTTCCTAAGTTTGGTATCAGGATGATAATACAGGCTTCATAGAATGAGTTAGAGAGGATTCCCTCCTTTTTCTCAATCTTTTCTTATCTTTTTTTTTTTAAACTGTAAGTTCAGGGGTACATGTACAGGATGTGCAGGTTTGTTACATAGGTAAACGTGTGTTATGGGGATTGGTTGTACAAATTATTTCATCACTCAGGTAGTAAGCCTAGTACCCACTAGTTGTATTTACTGCTTTTTTCCCTTCTCCCACCCTCCACCCTCTGATAGGCCCCAGTTTGTGTTCTTCCCCTCTATGTCTCTGTGTGTTCTCATCATTTAGCTCCTGCTTTTAAGTGAGAACAGGCGGTATTTGGTCTTTTGTTTCTGTGTTAGTTTTCTAAGGATAATGGCCTCCAGCTCCATCCACATCCCTGCAAAGGACATAATCTCATTCTTTCTTGTGGCTGCATAATATTCCATGGTGTAGATGTACCACATTCTCTTTCTCAATCTTTTGGAATAGTTTCAGTAGGATTGGCACCACTTCTTCTTAGAAGGTGTGGTAGAATTCTGCTATGAATCCACCTGGTCCTGAGTTTTGTTTTTTTTTTCTTGGTTGGCTATTTTTTAAATTACTGATGCGTTCTCACTGCTTGCTATTGGTTTGTTCAGGATTTCCATTCCTGATGCAAGCTCTGGGGGTTGTATGCTCCTAGGAATTCAACCATTTCCTCTAGATTTTCTAGTTTGTGTGCATAGAGGTGTTCATAGTAATCTCAAATGATCTTTTGTATTTCTTTGGTGTCAGTTGTAATGTCTTCTGGATTCTGTTTTCAGTGTTGTACATGAGAGCTTTTTACCAAACACAGATTTTCTCTAGTTTTTCTTAGAGTTTTACTGTTTTGGATTCTGGATTCAGGGCTGTCATCCATTTTGCATTAACTTTTGTATACAGTATGAATAATAGGTTGAGATTATCTTTTTTTGTCATATGATTGATTAGTTATTTCAGCCTTATTAGTTGGAAAAACTGACCTTTCTTTATTAAATTTCCTTTGCATCTTTGTCAAATATTAAATATCAATAGTTGATGATATTTGAGTGAGTTTATTTTGGGGCTTTCCCTTGTGTTTTATGGGTATGTGTTTATCTTTTTCTGATACAGTACCATTCTGTCTTGATTACTGTAGCTTTTTTTCCCTTTTCAACGCTTTATATCATTTATTAATGCAGTATATATTAGATCTAAAATCTGCAGTTTCTAAGCACACCATGTTTAGCTTTTACAGATCCTTCTGCAGTTTTAGGTTATTTCTACAGAGGTACCTTCAAGTGAATGAATAACATATTCTCTAATTCCTGAAAATATAGTACAGAATGAAATGATTTAAATATAATTTAGAGACATACTGATTATGGAAATAGATTATCTCTCAATACAATACTTTCTGTCTTGGTAAAAGTAATAAAGCAAAGAAAATAATTCATTTCTGAAGTTGCTCTCCTTCACTTGTAAAGTTCTGATCTCTTCCCACTATGCATATTTACCCTTTACTGTTAAGGAAAGCTTTGCATATGTAGATATAGAAGAATAAGCACGAAAATACTAAAGATATGTCATTCTCCTAAAGGAGACAAAAGTGGTTTTCAGTGATTCCTTGCCTCATGTTGATGAGTCTGTAGAATTCAGAACCCATTTGGACACAGCTAGTATCCCTGCTCTTGGGGTAGATATAAGGACACCAGGTCATTGGTAGGCAGGTACAGGCCCTTCCTCTGCTGCTGCAGAGAGATAATGACTCAAGAAAATTGGGCTGAAATTTGTTTTAAAAAAACCCAAAAAATATAAGTAAAAGAATCACAGGTGCTGACTGATTGGTATTACATTTTAGATCAGCCAAATGCCTTTATTTTTACTTTATATATATTTACTGGTGGCTGTAATCAAATGTCTGTCTAAAATTCCTCATTACCCACTGTAGGGTTCTAGCTTCAATATATTACATTGTCTTTTATCAGGCAACTCTGCCATATTCACTCATATTGTATAAGCTTTGATTGCAGTAGATCTGGATTTAATATCGATTTCTAAGCTGGCCTTATGTAAATTATTTGGTATTTGAATTAAATGAATATTAATGATGTACCTTGGTTTTTTGGTTTTGAAGTATCTTCCTATGCTTGTGCCGATCGTATGGGAAAACTAGGCTAATAGTGTAAATAGATAGAATTGCTTGGTCTGGTATTGAGTGGAACTTGCCTCTGGTATTGAGTGGAACCCCCCTACCCCATTCAAAAAGCAGCAATATCTAGTTTCCGTATACCTATTAATGAGTGCTTTTCTGTTAAAAATCAGAATATGGAAAAAAAGTCAATTTTTTCCCTTATGCACCGCTGAGAGCAAGCATAATTCTCTCAATGTTTTTTAAAAATTTCCTTACAGTGTTACTTCTTCTAGACAACTGAGTGGGTGGAGAAAGAAAAGTGATAAGGAAAATGTTTTCATCTTGTACATCTTCCTCTAGCCCCTAAAATTCTCATCTGACATTTTGCGACATGTATAGTGGTGTCAGCATCTCTTCAAATATAGCTCCCTACACGTTGGACCCTCTCAAGTTGGCTTCTTGAAGATCACACCCAGACAGATCACAGTTCTCTAAATTGGTTCCTGCCAGAGTTGCTCCTCTGAGGTTACAATTCTTCAACTTTGCATTTTTTAAGGTAGCCACTCTCAAGTTAATTCCTGTCATCTGACTTCCTTCCATATCCACACCTTTCAGATTAGCACCTTCTAAATTGGCTTTAAGACCAGAAAGATCCTCAAAATTACACAGTTTCAGGGATGCTCCTTCTGCATTAGAACAGAGCATCTTGACTCCCTGGAGATTTGCACAGTCAAGCACTGATCCAGAGAGATCACCTCATTCAAGATTTGCACAGTAAAGATTTGCATGTGCAAGATTGCAGCGGCTTAAATTGGCCATTTTGAAGTTAATGTATCGAAGGTCCTAACGAGAAACATCAGCACCACTGAAGTTCAAACTCTGGTATCACAGTTCTGACTTGGTTGGAGTTGCTATCAAAAATCGGACAAATTCCTTTCGAGATATTGGTGAATGATCCTCTGGTGATTGAGAATTCTTTATTGCCACTTCTAGGTGTTCAATCAGTGAGTCAATACCAAAAAATCTTGCTTCTTCTAACACACCCAATAAATTAATGCCATCATTTACAATGAGCTGTCCATGACACAAGTAGTTCAAAGTGGGTTCAAAGTACTCAGGACTTTGGTCAATTAAGAAGGCTCCTCTATGATCTTGCTTATTTCCCCAGACACCTCTGTTCTTAAGCATGTGGGCCAGCATACTGTCAGGTTCTTTATTCGCTAAAGTGCTCCGTGTAGTTGTAAAGTACCTCCCTCCAACATTTAATGTTAGCCACTCTGTGTGGAATCCTAACAATCCTTCAGGAGGCTTAGAATCTGTCTGAAGATCAATAAATGGCTCTCCCTCACACACAAATAAAACATCATCATCCCTGATCAAAGCAATATCATCAGTCAGTCCACCTTTCTCATTATACACACTGGTGGCTTTTATGCTGAGTTTACTGCTGGCCACAGAAAGCAAATCAGATAAAGTTCCATATACAGCAACCACCTTTCCGTTCTTGGGGGCTGCTGTTCAGGAACAGGGTCACCCGCCTCATTGCGCTGCCCCCGGTGGGTCCTGAGTGAGCCACCACCCTCCCACTTGGTCCTCCTCCCACCTTTTTCTCTTCCCACCTTTCCCTTCCCTCCACCCACTTGGATTCACCTCCCTTTGCCACCTTCCTGCCCTTGGGGACACACACACACAGGCACTCTGTCCCACACCCAGGGCTCGGCCAGTCTTCCTACTACTACAGCTTTTAAATATTTCTTACATATTAACAAACTTAAACTTAAATTTGGTAGGATGCTTTCCAACTTTTTTTTTTCTTTTTAAAAATGGCTTTGACTATTCTAATTTCTTTACTTTTTCATGTAAATTTTAGAAGCACCCTGTCTATATCTACAAATAATCTTGTTAGAATTATTTTGTGGATACATTCTTTTTGTACATATTTATGGGGTACATGTGATATTTTGTTGTATACAGAGAATATGTAATCAAGTTCAGGTATTTGAGGTATCCATCACCTTGAACATTTATTGTTTCTATGTGCTGGGAAGATTTCTAGTTCTCCCTTCTAGCTATTTTAGAATATGTGAGACATTGTTATTAATTGTAGTCACCCTACTGTGCTGTCAAACATGAGAACTTATTCCTTCTAATTGTATGTTTGAACCTATCAACTGATTTCTCTTTATCTTCCCCCCTCCCCTGCACTTCTTAGACACTGGTAACTATCATTCTAAGTCTCTACTTCCACAAGATCACCCTGTTGGGATTTTCTTTGGAATTATACTGAGTCTGAAGATCAATTTGGAGAATTGATGTTTTCAGTATATTGAGGTTTCTGATTCATCAGCACAGTATATCTCCCCACTTATTTAGGCCTTCTGTTTCTTTCGTGTACATTTTATAGTATATCAACATAGGGATCCTGATTATATTAGATTTGTACCTAAGCATTTTGTTTTTTTGAGTTATTACAAATAGGACTTTAAAATATTTTTTGGTTTCTAACTGTCATTGGTAGTGCATAGAAATTTTATTGATTTTTTTGAATGTTGTTTTTTTATAGAGTCCTTGGGATTTTCTACATAAATGGTCATTGTGTCTTGGAATGAATGTTTTATTTCTCCTTTTACAATCCGAATGCCTTTTATTTTTTTTCTTGCCTTATTGTACTTAACTAGGGCTTCCAGATTGACATTGAATGTGAATGTGGTGGGGTCAGGTATCTTTGCTTAAAACCTGACATTTAGAGAAAATATTTGGTCTTTTACCATTAAATAGGTAGTTAACTGTAGGTTTTTTGTACGTACCTATTATGGACTGAATGTTTGTGTCCCCCCCAAATATATATATTGAAGCCATCACCTCCAATGTTATAGTATTAGGAGGTGGGGGCCTTTGGGAGGTAATTAGGTTTAGGTGAGGTCATGAGGGTGGATTCTCTATGATGCGATTAGTGCCCTTCTGAAAAAAAGGAATAGATACCAGAGCTTTCTGTCTCCTGACCATATGAAGATACAGGAGAAGATGGCCCATCTGCAAGCCAGGAAGGGATCCCTCACCAACTTCCAGAATTATGAGAAATAAATGTATGGTGGTTAAGCCACCCAGTCTATGGTCTTTTGTTATAGCAGCCCTAGCTGACTGAGACAATATGCTTTTATCAAGTTGAGTAAGTTGTTTTCTGTCACTGATTGGCTGAGAGTTTTTTATCATGAATGGCTATTGAGTTTTGTCAAATGCCTTTTCTGAATTTTTTATCTTATTATGTTAATGTGGTTAATTACATTGATTTTTGATTGTTAAACCAGACTTGTATTCTTGGAACAAAGCCTTCTTGGTTGCAATGTACTATTCCTTTTAGATACTAGTTTAATATTTTTTCAAAGATCTTAGCTTTTATGTTGATGAGGGATGTTGTTTTGTAGCTTTCTTATGTCATATGGTACTTGATTTTGGTATCAGGGTGATGGTAGCTTCATAAAATGAATTTGGAAGTGTACTATCCAATTCTGTTTTGGGGAAACTGTTGTGAAAAAGTAATGTTACGTCTTCCTCAAATGTTTGGTAGAGTTTGCCAGTATAGCCAACTGGGCTGGGGTTTTCTTTTCTGTTTTTGAAAGCTTTTAACTATGAATTCAGTATATTTAGTGGATATAGGACTATTCGAGTTCTTCCTTCCTTTAAGTTACCAAATTTATGTGCATAAGATTATTATAATAGTAATATTTCTTTGGGATCAGTACTGATATATCTCCTAATTTTCCCTGAATTGGTGGTAATTTGTGTCTTCTCTCTCTTTCTCTCCTTTTCTTGTTCTGGCTAAAAGTTTATCAACTTTATTGATTTATTTTCTCCTACTTGCCTTCTTTTTCTAATATTTTAAGATGGATGCTTTAATTATTAATTTGAGACTTTTCTTATTTTCTAATAGAAATGCTCTAAGCATTTCTTTAACTGTGTCCCACAACTTTCAGATGTTATATTTTCATTTTTATTCAGTTCACTTGGGATTACCTTTTTGACCCATGGGTTATTAGTGTGGTGTTTAAATATACAAGTATTTGAGACTTTTTTCTTACTGGCTTCTAATTTAATTCTCTTATGATCTAGAAACATACTTTAAAAAAAAAAAAATTCTGGCCTCAAGTGATCCTCCCACCTCAGCCTCCCAAAGTACTGGGACTGTAGGCATGAGCCATCACACCCAGCCCTTGGAAACATACTTTGAATAATTTTAATTTTTAAAATATCTGATGAAGTGTGTTTTGTTACTTAGAATATGATTTTAGTGAATTTTCTGTGTGCACTTGTAAGGAATGTGTACTCACTTGTCAACACTTAGTGCTGCTCTCTAGTCAAAGCCACTGTCGATCTTCGCATGACTCACATTAACATCTTCCCAGTTGGACCTATAAATTCTTTTTTTTTCTCGTTTTTCAACAGGCTTTTCTTCACTGAGCAGCCCTATAGATTCTTTTTTTTTTTTTTTTTTTAACAGACTTTCCTTCACTGGGCAACCAGAATATTTTTTAAAAAGTATTTAGTTTCTAGCCTGTGCAGTATAGCAGAAACCACATCTCTATAATAAATAAAAAATCAGCTGGGTGTAGCGGTGCTTGCCTTGTAGTCCCAACTACTTGGGAGGGTGAGGTGGGAGGATCTCTTGAATTCAGGAGGTTGAGGCTGCAGTGAGCTGTGGTGGTCGCACCATTGCACTTGAGCCTCAGCAACAGAGTGAGACCCTCATCTGTAAACAAACACTCCCCCCCCCAAAAAAAAACTTAATAAAATTATTTATTTTGGTATAATTTTAAACTTAAAGAATAGCTGTAAATTAAAAGGGGTGTAAAGCTTCTTTATACTTCTTTTTCAGATTTACCAATTGCTAACATTTTGTCTCATTGCTTTATTTTCACCTTACCCCTTCCTTCCTTTTCCCTCCTCCATTCCTCCCTCAACTAACACAAACTAACCCACCTTCCTATCCCACCTGTATATACACACTCATATATATATGCATATGCATATAAATTACATATATGTGTGTTTAGTTTTCAGCTTTTGAAAGTAAGTTGTAAACGTCATGCTCTTTTACTCCTAAATTCTTCAGTGAGGTGTTCCTAATAACAATGCATTTTCATACATAATCATAATTTTCTTTTTTAAGAGACAGGGTCTTGCTTTGATGCCCAGGCTGGATTAGAATCCCTGGGCTCAAGCAATCCTTCTGCCTCAGTCTCCCTAGTAGCTGGGACTACCAGGCACAAGTTACCATGCCTGGTGGATAGCCATGAATTTAACATTGATAACGTATTATTATCTAAATCACATTTCACATTCATGTTTCACTGATTATCTCAACAATCTGTATAATGATTTTTTCACCAGTTCCAGGCTCTGATCAAGATCACACATTGTATATAGTCATCATATCTGTTGTCTCCTTTAATTGGGAATGGCTTCTCTGCATTATTTCGTCTTTATTTTTCCTTGACATTTTTTGAGGACTGCAGGTCAGTGATTTGATAAAATATAGAATTTGATTTTACCTCATAGTTTGAATTAGGTTATGCATTTTTAGAAGGACTATGACAGAAATGATATGGTGTCCTCCTTTCTTCATCATACCAGGAAGTATGTGATGTCAGCTTCAGTTTGTCCTTGCATTGGTGATGTTAACCTAGATCACTTGTTTAAGGTGGTGTCTACCAGGTTTTTCCACTATAAAGTTACTGTCTTCTCATTGCAATTACTAAGTAATTTGCAGGGAGATTTTGAGGCTTTGTAAATATTCATTTTCAAACTTTTCTCCACAATTTTAGCATCTATTGATGATTCTTTCCTGAATCAGTTATTACTGTGATGATTGCAAAATGATGATCTTTTAACTCCATCATTTATTTTATGTTTATCAGTAGCATTCTACTAAAAGGAAGAGCTTTGTTTGTTTGTATATTTATTATATTAGTATACACTCAATGGTCCTTGTTTTAGTGAATGGTTTATAATTCGTTACTATCATTATTTATTGTGATGCCCTAACTATTCCAGATTTAGCCAGCAGAAGGCTCTTCAACGTGTGCTTTATCCTTTTAACATGTCTCCATCATCTTTGTAGTACTTTCTTTTTTTTTTTAATACAACAAAATGTTCCACGTTCATCTTGCTCGTTTCCTACCCCATCTCTGTAATCAATAATTTTTGCAAGAAGCCCTGGTTCCTTTTAAGGAGAGGTGATTGTTAGAGACCAGGATCTCTGTGTTAGTTTTGCTGGAATATATTACTTCTAGACATTCTTAACATACAGAATTAGAGAATAACTAACACATATATACATATACAACAATTTTATCTACCTATTAAAAATCATGAGTTCACATTGATACCCTTAATTTCTATTTAACATCAGAGAGTTCATTCTAGTCTTCCGCCTTTTCACTTTTGTAACTATCTTCTCCAACAGGGCTAAACCTTACTCCAGTTGTCCCCAGCACATTTCCTCCTTGGCTTAGTTCTTCATTATATTGAAGGCAGTTTCAGAATTGCTAATGCATACCACTGCAAAAAAGAAACAAATGTATTAATTAGAATTCAATATTTATTTACAGTTCTTTTGGTCTTAGACTGAGAATATGTACTAGGTTCCTGGGCTGTTTTAACTAATTACTACAAACTTGGTGGCTGAAAACAACAGAAATTTATTCTTTTACTATTACAGAGGCCAGAAGGCTGAAATCAAGGTGTTGGCAAGAATGTTGGCTCTAGGCAAGAATGCCCTTTCTTGCCTTTTTCAGCTTCTGGTGACTCGGGGTATTCCTTGGCTTGTGGCTATATAACTCCATTCTCTGCCTCTGTCTTTACATAGCCTTCTCTTTTTGTCTTTTTCTCTTCTCTTTTCTTCTTTAAAAAAAATTTTTTTTTTCTTGAAACAGGGTCTCATAATGTTGCCCAGGCTGGAGTGTAGTGGTGTGATCTCAGTTCACTGCAGTCTCCATCTCCTGGGCTCAAGCCATCCTCCACCTCAGCCTCCCAAATAACTGGGACTACAGGCACCTGCCACCACACGTGGCTAATTTTTGTATTTTTTGTAGAGATGGGGTTTAGCCATCTTGCCTAGGCTGGTCTCTAACTGAGCTCAAGTGATCTGCCTGCCTTGGCCTCCCAAAGTGTTGAGATTACAGGTGTGAGCCACCACGCCCAGCCCTCTTCTATCTCTTATAAGGACATTTGCTATTGGATTTAGAGCCTGCACAGAATTGCATCTAGAATTTTTTTTTTTTTTTTGAGACAGGGTCTTGCTCTCTTGCCCATGCTGAAGTGCAGTGGTGTAATAATGGCTCACTGCAGCCTCGACCTCTTGGGCCCAAGAGAACCTTCCATCTCAGCCTTCCGAGTAGCTGTGACTACCGTTGTGTGCCACCATGCCTGGATAATTTTTTTTCTTTTTTTTGTAGAGATGGGGTTTTGCCATGTTGCCCAGGCTGGTCTCAAACTCCTGAGCTCAAGCAATCCGCCTGTCTTGGCCTCCCAAAGAGCTGGGATTACTGGCATGTGGCACCGCACCCAGCCGAGATTCTTAATTATATCTGCAAATAACCTTTCCCAAAATAAGGTCATGTTTACATGTTCTTGGGATTAGAATATGGACATATCTTTTTGGGGGCCATCAACCCACTTACAGGGTAGATAGTTATCTGGGGTATTCCCTTCTGTTTATTCTTTCAGTATATGTGTTACTAATTTGAAATGTAAGGTTGATTTGTTCCTGTTTATATTCAATTTTTGGTTGTCCCATCCTTATTTTTTTGTGTGAATATGTAAAATGTTAACACTGTTCCAAAAGTCAAAAAATGAATAAAGAATCACAAACTATGATGGCTATTATTAAGGAAATGCACAGGTACTAAGGTAAAGAACAATGTGGTGGGCCATGTTTTCTTACATAGAGGACCAGGGAATACTTATTTGAGCAAGTGGCATGTAAACTGAGAGTGAAATAATGAGAAGGAGCCAGTCATGAGAAAGTGGAAAAAAGAGCTTTCCAGCGTAGGGAAAGCATATAAGAAGGCCCTGATATGGAGCAGAGCTGAACATATTGGAGGAACTGAAAGGAAGGAAGTGGCTGGTATGTGCTGGGCATGAGGGAACACAAAATAAGTGAAGATGGAAGGAACATGGAGCCAGAAAATAAAATTCGTTGTGGACTGTGTATATTAGGGTTCCCTAGAGGGACAGAACTAATGGAATATACATACAGGGGAGTTGATCAAGTATTAACTCACATGATCACAAGGTCCCACAATAGGCTGTATGCAAGCTGAGGAGCAAGGAAGGTAGTCTGCACCAAAACTGAAGAACTTGGAGTCCGATGTTTGAGGGCAGGAAACATCCAGCATGGGAGAAAGACGTAGGCTGGGAGGCTAGGCCAGTCTCTCATTTCACATTTTTCTGCCTGCTTATATTCTAGCCGAGCTGGCAGCTGATCAGATTGTGCCCACCCAGAGTAAGGGTGGGTCTGCCTTTCCCAGCCCACTGACTCAAATGTTAATCTCCTTTGGCAACACCCCCACAGACACACCCAGGATCAATACTTTGTATCCTTCAATCCAATCAAGTTGACACTCATTATTAACCATCACACTGTATAAGAGGTTATAAAGCCAGTAAAAGGTTAAGTGGCATTTTAATTTAATTAAATTGATCAGTTTATTTATTTTGAGATGGTGTCTGACCCTGTCACCTAGGCTGGAGTATACTGGTACAGTTGTAGCTCACTGTAACCTCCAACTCCTGGGTTCAAGGGATCCTCCCACTTTAGTCTTCTAAGTAGCTGGAACTATAGATGTCTATCCCATACTCAGCTAAGTTTTTATTTTTAGTTTTTGTAGAGACAGGATCTCACTCTGTTGCCCAGGCTGATCTCAAACTGCGGACCTTAAGTGATTGTTCTGCCTCAGCCTCCCAGAAGTGCTGGGATTATAGTTGTGAGCCACTGTGCCGACATTATGGCATATTTAGAACTACATATATATATATATATATATGTATGTATGTATGTTTATGTATTTTTTTTTCCATTAACTTTTAAGTTCTAGGGTGCATGTGCAGGATATACAGGTTTGTTATATAGGTAAATGTGTGTCATGGTGATTTGCTGCACAGATCAACCCGTCACCTAGGTATTAACCCCAGCATCCATTAGCTATTCTTCCTGATGTTCTCCTTCCTTCCACCCTGCACCCCCGAGGGGCCCCAGTTCGTGCTGTTCCCCCGACAGTGTGTCCATGTGTTCTTATCGTTCAGCTCCCACTTATAAGTGAGAACATGCAGTGTTTGGTTTTCTGTTCCTACGTTAGAACTATATTTTTAAGGGATTATACTGATTGCTATGTAGAGCACATGAGGTAAAATGAAAGCAGAGGTGGGCGCAGTGGCTCACTCCTGTAATCCCAGCACTTTGGGAGGCGAGGCAAGCGGATCACTTGATCCCAGGAGTTCAAAACCAGCCTGGGCAACATGGTGAGACCCCGTCTCTACGAAAAATACAAAAATTAGCCAGGCATGGTGGCTCATGCCTGTAATCCCAGTCACTTGGGAGGCTGAGGCAGGAGGATCACTTGAGCCTGGGAGGCCAAGGCTACAGTAAGCTGTGAACATGCCACTGTACCCCAGCCTAGGTGACTGAGTGAGACCCCTGTCTCAAGAAAAAAAAAAAAAAAAGAAAAAGCAGAGAGACTAATAACAAACCTGTTACAGTACATATTAACTGATATAGAAGCATGAGAGAATGTTGTGAGAGAATAAGTGATAGTGATGAAAAAGAGAAAAGTGAATAGATTTTAGAAAGTGAATAGAAATAGAATGTATTTTGGATAGAATTGTCAAGAATAGCTGGTGGATTGAATCTGTGTAGATAGAAGGTTTTAGGACCATGGTTATGGGAATATTTAAGAACAACTCTCACGTTTTTAGCTTGAGCTACTAGGAAAGAAACTGATTGAAAATAAAGTGGGCAGAAAGAATCAAGATTTTCCCTGTACCTGTTGTGTTCGAGATGCCTATGATATGCAGATAGAAATGTCAAGTAGATAGTTGGATGTGCAAGCCTTGAGTTCAGGGGTGGAAAATGAGATCTCAGACTTGCCGTCTAGTCCTTCCAGGTATTGGTTCAATTCATGCCTCCCACATGGCTAAGAGTCTCCACCTCCCCTCATTTGTATTCCGTAAACATGAACAGAATGTCAGGCCTTGGCCAGATACTATTTGAGGCATTGTAGACAACTTTGGCTGAAGATGATCTCCAGGCCTATGTATCTTTTCAGAGAGTTACTGTTATTTTTCTTGTAAGTCACTTAAATATGTACATTTTACTTCTTTAATCATAGTTTTATTTTGAACTGTGTCAGAGTAAGAGATACTGCAGTTATTATACTAAAAAAGACCAGGCTCTTTTCTATCCCACGTAAATCTGACTTGCTGTATGAGACCACTCTAGCTGACTTTACTGCCTAAGAGGGAATTATGCATTTGTATATATGTGTGTGTTTATGTTTGCTATGTACTCTAGTTGATTTGGTGTATATGTCAGTTTACGTATATCAGCATCACATTGTTTTAATTATAGTGTTTTTATATTCTCTATACTTAATGGAGCTAATTTTCCTCAATCATTTAAAATATATTCTTCCTTTTCTCACATACTTATTTTTACAGAGGCATTGTAGAATCAAGGTTGTTGACACATTTTTAGGAAATATGGATTTCCCTTCCAATCTCTTGCCTTCACCTTGCTTATTTGTAAATGCTTTCTATTCTTGATTCTCTTCCATTGAAGAAAGGAGTTATGATCTTTGAAGAAGGACCTGTCTTTCTTATTTTGGCTTTACCTTTCTTTTTTTCTTCTAAAGAAAGGATGTCATTTTCCTCTCCATTTCCCACCTTACTAAGCACCTGTTACATACAAGCACTGAGTTAATTCCTGAGGTGGGCACAGGGTGGTACACAAAGAGTTAAAGCGAAATAAATGAAACATGTTATGAGAGAAAATTGGGATAAAATAATATAGGTTTATAATTAAAATGGTGCCCTTTTGGGGGAACTAAACATTTTTACATTTAAAAATGACATGTCAGTTTCTAGTCAGTTTATTTTTTACCTTTTTAAAACATCTTTTTTTCCCCTTTGTCTTTATTTTTAAGGGTCATACAGCAATGCTTCATACTGGCTCATGGCATCCCAAAATAAAGGGAGAATTTATGACTTGCTCAAATGATGCGTGAGTATTGTTGATAATTCATCTAATACATTCATATCTTTAGGTATTTTATTTAACGTTTGGATTGTTACAATCTTGGCAGTAATGTAGTAAGTGGAATATTAGGAATTCTTATTATATACATATATATATATATTTTTTTTTTTTTTAAGGGGGAGTCTTGCTCTGTTGCCCAGGCTGGAGTGCAGTGGTACGATCTTGGCTCACTGCAACCTCCAGCTCCTGGGTTCAAGTGATTCTCCTGCCTCAGCCTCCCAGGTAGCTGAGATTACAGATGCCCCACCACCACACCCGGCTAATTTTTGTATTTTAGTAGAGACGGGGTTTCATCATGTTGGTCAGGTTGGTCTCAAACTCCTGACCTCAAATGATCTGCCTGCCTCAGCCTCCCAAAGTGCTGAGACTACAGGTGTGAACCACTGTGCCCGGCCTATATATTCTTGTTCTTTACTTTGATTTTATCTGATAGTGTAGTATTTGATTAAACAAAAATAGACACTATGAAAACGAGAGTGGTATAAATTCCTGTAGAGTTTATTAAGGTTGGATCAGATTGATGCTATTAAGTGGACTCAAAGGACTTTGAAGTTGTGACTAATTATTACTTTGTATAATAAAGGCTTATTTCCATCTGAGTCTAATAGCTAACATAAGCTTATTGGCTAAGATTGATTTTGAAAGGAATAACTGAGGAAATTGATTAAATTTGGTGTGTATGTCAGTTCATACATACCAGCATCACTTTGAAGCAAATTAATTAAATTTCCTTGGTTATTAAATTTTTTTTTTTTTTTGAGATGGAGTTTCGCTCTTGTTGCCTAGGCTGGAGTGCAATGGCACGATCTCAGCTCACTGCAGCCTCCACCTCCTAGGTTCAAATGATTCTCCTACTTCAGCCTCCCAAGTAGCTGGAATTACAGGCATGCATCACCACACCAGGCTAATTTTGTATTTTTAGTAGAGATGGGGTTTCACCATGTTGGCCAGGCTGGTCTCGAACTCCTGACCTCAGGTGATCCACCTGCCTCGGCCTCCCAAAGTGCTGGGATTATAGGCATGAGCTATGGCACCAGACCCTAAAATTTTTTTATTTTAATTTTTGTGAGTATACAGTAGGTATATATATTTATGGGGTATGTGAGATATTTTGATAGCCATGCAATGCATAATAATCACATCATGTAAAATGGGTATCCATCTCCTCCCTTCGTGTTACAAACAATCCAGTTAAACTCTTTTAGTTATTTTATTTTTATTATATTATTTTTTATTATATTATTATATTATATATTATTTATTTATTATATTATTTATTTTATTTATTATATTATTTATTTTTTTGAGATGGAGTTCCACTCTTGTCACCCTGGCTGGAGTGCAGTGTCACGATCTCGGCTCACTGCACCTTCCAACTCCCAGGTTCAAGTGATTCTCCTGCCTTGGCTTCCCAAAGAGCTGGGATTACAGGTGCTTGCCACCATGCCCAGCTAATTTTTATATTTTTAGTAGAGATGGGGTTTTATCATGTTGCATAGGCTGGTCACGAACTCCTGAACTCAGGTGATCCACCCACTTTGGCCTCCCAAAGTGCTGGGATTATAGACATGAGCCACTGCGCCCAGCCTCTTTTAGTTATTTTAAAATGTACAGTTATATTATTATTGACTATAGTCACTCTGTTATGCTATCAAATATTAGGCCTTATTCATTCTTTCTATTTTTTTTTTTAACCCATTAACCATCCTTAACTCATTCCCATACTCCGCTACCCTCTTCAGCGTCTGGTAACCATCGTTCTTCTCTCTGTGTTCATGAGTTCCATTGTTTTGATTTTTGGATCTCACAAATAAGTGAGAACATGCAATGGTTGTCTGCGTGTCTGGCTTATTTCATTTAATGTAATGATCTCCAGCTCCATTAATGTTGTTATAAGTTACTGGATCTCATTCTTTTTTCATGGCTGAATAGTACTCCATTGTATATATGTACCACATTTTCTTTATCCATTTATCTGTTGATGGATGCTTAGTTTGCTTCTGAATTTTGGCTATTGCAAACAGTGCTGCAACCAACGTGGGAGCACAGATATCTTTTTTTTTTTTTTTTTTTAGTATTTATTGATCATTCTTGGGTGTTTCTCGGAGAGGGGGATGTGGCAGGGTCATAGGATAATAGTGGAGAGAAGGTCAGCAGATAAACACGTGAACAAAGTTCTCTGGTTTTCCTAGGCAGAGGTCCCTGCAGCCTTCCCACGGTGTTTGTGTCCCTGGGTACTTGAGATTAGGGAGTGGTGATGACTCTTAACGAGCATGCTGCCTTCAAGCATCTGTTTAACAAAGCATATCTTGCACCACCCTTAATCCATTTAACCCTGAGTTGACACAGCACATGTTTCAGAGAGCACGGGGTTGGGGGTAAGGTTATAGATTAACAGCATCCCAAGGCAGAAGAATTTTTCTTAGTACAGAACAAAATGGAGTCTCCTATGTCTACTTCTTTCTACATAGACACAGTAACAATCTGATCTCTCTTTCTTTTCCCCACATTTCCCCCTTTTCTTTTCGACAAAACTGCCATCGTCATCATGGCCCATTCTCGATGATCGCTGTCTCTTCGGAGCTGTTGGGTACACCTCCCAGATGGGGCACCGGGCAGAGGCGCTCCCCACTTCCCAGACGGGGTGGCTGGGCAGAGGCACTCCTCACATCCCAGAAGATGGGCGGCTGGGCAGAGGCGCTCCTCACTTCCCAGACGATGGGCGGGTGGGCAGAGACGCTCCTCACTTCCCAGATGGGGCAGCCGGGCGGAGGCGCTCCTCACTTCCCAGACGGGGCGGCCGGGCGGAGGCGCTCCCCACTTCCCAGATGATGGGCTGCCGGGCGGAGGCGCTCCTACATCCCAGACTGGGCGGCCGGGCGGAGGCGCTCCTCACCTCCCAGACGGGGCGGCGGGGCGGAGGCGCTCCTCACCTCCCAGACGATGGGCGGCGGGGCAGAGGCGCTCCTCACCTCCCAGACGGCGTGGCCGGGCGGAGGCGCTCCTCACCTCCCAGACGGGGCGGCCGGGCGGAGGCGCTCCTCACTTCCCAGACGATGGGCGGCCGGGCAGAGGCGCTCCTCACCTCCCAGATGGGGCGGCTGGGCAGAGAGAGCACAGATATCTTTTCGATTTACTGATTTCCTTTGTTTTGGATATATACCCAGCAGTGAGTTCGCTAAATCATATGGTAGCTCTATTTTTAGGTTTTTGAGGACCCTCCAAACTGTTCTTCATAATGGTTTTACTAATTTACATTTTCACCAACAGCATATGAGGGTCCCTTTTTCTCCACATCCTTGCCAGTGATTAAATGGTTAAGATTCTTTTGCATTTGTATCTGCTCATCCATGACTCAAGAATATTATAGAATATTTGAGCAGCTTTTCCCTCTATTGTTATATTATATGATTCATTTTAGTATTAAAAGTAGTTCACAGGAATGCACTTCGTATGATTACATAGAAAATTACAATAAAAAATCTTGAAAGTTAAAAAAATAGGTGGTATTATTTAGGTGAATCATTAGTTAAATAAGAACTTTTTTATTCTTAGGTTATTTTGTCTTTCATCTTTCAACTTTCTGATACTTAAATTTGCCTTGTTAACATTCACAGTTGCTGTTCATATTCTTAGATACTTTATGTTTTCTGAAATATATCTTTAGAAGACAAATGACATAATTTCACTTTCATAGAGGAATTTAAAAAATTAATTTGATCTAAAAGAAACTGAAGTTTGTCAATCTATACAAGTAAGAATGTGACTAAAATAAAATAAATATATTTTAGTAAAATTTCTGGTAAATCAGATTATGTAGTGTTAATTTCTTTTCCTATCTTAGTCTTTGCAGCTGCATAATTACTTTTCCAAATAGTTAAGGTATGTTTGTTTAAAGTTATGTTTCTTATTTCAGCATTAGGGAATGAACTTTATCAGCAATCTAAATTAATAATATAGCATGACTAGGTAAGGTTTATTCTAGGATGTAAGGATATTTTACCACCAGGATATTTCAGTATACTTCATTGCTGAATGAATGAAAGGTTAAAATCATGTGATTTTATTATATGATAAAGTGGACATTTGATAGAATTTAGTCTTTCCCAGTAAAAGTTCTAAGTAAAATACAGATAGGAAGAAATTACTTAAATCTGATAAAAATTAGTTACTAAAATTTAAAGTAAATATTGCATTAAATATTGGAGTACTGAAGCTACTTGCGTTTAAATAGGAAACAAGACAGTCCCATAACTACTTTGAGACTTATGCAGGAGAGACTTTGTGCAGTGTCTTAAGAAAATGAATAATTGATACTAATGTTAGAAGAAAACAAATACACTATTGGACCACAGAGGACTTGGGCTATTCTGGTTAAAACTTAACCACAGAGGACCTGGGCTATTCTGGTTAAAACTTAACCACAGAGGACCTGGGCTATTCTGGTTAAAACTTAAGTTGAATAGAGCAGTTGGGAAAAAAACTTTGTTCTCAAAACTGTTGGATCAGTGTGAATGGTGGGCTCTCATAGTTGATAATGTTTTAACTTTTATGAGCACTACAGCAGCCTTTCCCAAATAGATTTCCAGGCTGTGTAAATTAGAAGTTTGACAAAAGGCATTCTGTGGTCAAATAAATTTGAGAAGCTTTGAATGTTATATTCCAAGACCAGTGATACACAAACATTTAAAAGTTTTTAAAAATAATTTTTAACAACTTTTTTATTTCAGTAGGTTTTTGGGGGACAAGTGGTATTTGATTACATGAATAAGTTCTGCAGTGATGATTTCTAAGATTTTGGTGCACCCATTATCTGACCAGATTACACTGTACCCAATGGGTAGTCTTTTATCTCTCACCACTCGCCACCGTTTCCCCCAAGTCCCCAAAGTCCAATGTATCATTCTTATGCCTTTGTGTTCTCATTGCTTAGCTCCCACATGTGAGTGAGAAGATGCGATGTTTGGTTTTCCATTCCTGAGTTACTTCACTTAGAATAATAGTCTTCAATTCCATCCAGGCTGCTATGAATGCAATTATTTTGTTCCTTTTTGTGGCTGAGTAGTAGTCCAAGTATACACACACACACACACACACACACACACACACACACACCCACATGTTCTTTATCAACTTGTTGATTGATGGGCATTTGGGCTGGTTCCATGTTTTTGCAATTGCAAATTGTGACCCTATAAACATGTGTGTTCAAGTATCTTTTTTGCATAATGACTTCTTTTCCTCTGGATAGACACCTGTAGATCCAGTGGGATTGCTGGATCAAATGGTACATCTACTTTTAGTTCTTTAAGTAATCTTCATACTTTGGTTGTGGTAGTTTACATTCCCGCAAACAGTGTGAAGATTGTAAGTGTTGCATTTTCACTGCATCCCCACCAACATCTATTATTTTTTGATTTTTTTATTATGGCCATTATTACAGGAGTGAAGGTGGTATCGCATTGTGGTTTTTATTTGCATTTCCCTGATCATTAGTGATGGTGAGCATTTTTCCATATGCTTTTTGGCCATTTATATATCTTCTTTTAAGAATTGTCTATTTTGGCTGGGCATGGTGGCTCATGGCTGTAATCCCAGCATTTTGGGAGGCTGAGGCGGGCGGATCATGAGGTCAGGAAATGAGACCATCCTAGTTAACACAGTGAAACCCTGTCTCTATGAAAAACACAAAAAATTAGCTGGGCATGGTGGCATGCGCCTATAGTCCCAGCTACCTGTGAGGCTGAGGCAGAAGAATCACTTGAACCCAGGAGGTGGAGGTTACAGTGAGCTAAGATCGCGCCACTGCATTCCAGCCTGGGTGATGGAGTGAGACTCTGTCTCAAAAAAAAAAAAAAAAAAAAAAAAGGTGGCAGTTCCAAGATGGCCCAATAGGAACAGCTCCAGTTTACAGCTCCCAGTGTGAGTGACACAGAAGATGGGTGATTTCTGCATTTCCAACTGAGGTACCAGGTTCATCTCACTGGGGCTTGTTGGACAGTGGGTGCAGGACAGTGGGTGCAGCCCACTGAACGTGAGCCAAAGCAGGGCGAGGCATCACCTCACCTGGGAAGCACAAGGGGTCAGGGAATTCCCTTTCCTATCCAAGGGAAGCTGTGACAGATGGCACCTGGAAAATCAGGTCACTCCCACCCTAATACTGTGCTTTTCCAACGGTCTTAGCAAACGGCACACCAGGAGATTATATTCTGTGCCTGGCTCAGAGGGTCCTGTGCCCACGGAGCCTCGCTCATTGCTAGCACAGCAGTCTGAGATCGAACTGCAAGGTGGCAGCGAGGCTGGGGAAGGGGCACCCACCAATGCTGAGGCTTGAGTAGGTAAACAAAGCAGCCGAGAAGCTTAAACTGGGTGGAGCCCACCGCAGCTCAAGGAGGCCTGCCTGCCTCTGTAGACTCCACCTCTGGGGGCAGGGCATACCTGAACAAAAGGCAGCAGAAACCTCTGCAGGCTTAAATGTCCCTGTCTGACAGCTTTGAAGAGAGTAGTGGTTCTCCTAGCATGGAGTTTGAGATCTGAGAATGAACAGACTGCCTCCTCAAGAGGTCCCTGACCCCTGAGTAGCCTAACTGGGATGCATCCCCCCAATAGGGGCAGACTGACAACCCACACAGCTGGGTACCGCTCTGAGACGAAGCTTCCAGAGGAACGATCAGGCAGCAACATTTGCTGTTCAGCAATATTCGCTGTTCTGCAGCCTCCGCTGCTGATACCCAGGCAAACAGGGCCTGGAGTGGACCTCCAGTAAACTCCAATAGACCTGCAGCTGAGGGTCCTGACTGTTAGAGGGAAAACTAACAAACAGAAAGGACATCCACACCAAAACCCCATCTGTATGTCACCATCATCAAAGACCAAAGGTAGATAAAACCACAAAGATGGGGAAAAAATAGAGCAGAAAAGCTGAAAATTCTAAAAATCAGAGCGCCTCTCCCCCTCCAAAGGAATGCAGCTCTTCACCAGCAATGGAACAAAGGTGGATGGAGAATGACTTAGACGAGTTGAGATAAGAAGGCTTCAGACGATCAAACTTCTCCGAGTTAAAGGAGGAAGTTCGAACTCACCGCAAAGAAGCTAAAAACCTTGAAAAAAGATTAGACGAATGGCTAACTAGAATAACCAGTGTAGAGAAGTCCTTAAATGACCTGATGGAGCTGAAAACCATGGCAGGAGAACTATGCGACGCATGCACAAGCTTCAATAGCTGATTCAATCAACTGGAATAAAGGGTATCAGTGATTGAAGATCAAATGAATGAAATGAAGCGAGAAGAGACGTTTAGAGAAAAAAGAGTAAAAAGAAATGAACAAAGCCGCTAAGAAATATGGGACTATGTGAAAAGACCAAATCTACGTCTGATTGGTGTACCTGAAAGTGACGGGGAGAATGGAACCAAGTTGGAAAACACTCTGCAGGATATTATCCAGGAGAACTTCCCCAACCTAGCAAGGCAGGCCAACATTCAAATTCAGGAACTACAGAGAACACCACAAAGATACTCCTCGAGAAGAGCAACTCCAAGACACATAATTGTCAGATTCACCAAAGTTGAAATGAAGGAAAAAATATTAAGGGCAGCCAGAGAGAAAGGTCGGGTTACTCACAAAGGGAAGCCCATCAGAATAACAGCTGATTTCTCGGCAGAAGCTCTACAAGCCAGAAGAGAGTGGGGGTCAATATTCAACATTCTTAAAGAAAAGAATTTTCAACCCAGAATTTCATATCCAGCCAAACTAAGCTTCATAAGTGAAGGAGAAATAAAATCCTTTACAGACAAGCAAATGCTGAGAGATTTTGTCACCACCAGGCCTGCCCTACAAGAGCTCCTGAAGGAAGCACTAAACATGGAAATAAACAACCGCTACCAGCCACTGCAAAAAAAATGCCAAATTGTAAAGACCATCGAGGCTAGGAAGAAACTGCATCAACTAACGAGCAAAATAACCAGCTAACATCATAATGACAGGATCAAATTCACACATAGCAATATTAACCTTAAATGTAAATGGGCTAAATGCTCCAATTAAAAGACACAGACTGGCAAATTGGATAAAGAGTCAAGGCCCATCAGTGTGCTGTATTCAGGAAACCCATCTCACGTGCAGAGACACACATAGGCTCAAAATAAAAGGATGGAGGAAGATCTACCAAGTAAATGGAAAACAAAAAGGTAGGGGTTGGAATCCTAGTCTCTGATAAAACAGACATTAAACCAACAAAGATCAAAAGAGAAAAGAAGGCCATTACATAATGGTAAAGGGATCAATTCAACAAGGAGAGCTAACTATCCTAAATATATATGCACCCAATACAGGAGCACCCAGATTCACAAAGCAAGTCCTTAGAGACCTACAAAGAGACTTAGACTCCTGCACAATAATAATGGGAGACTTTAACACCCCACTGTCAATATTAGATAGATCAACGAGACAGCAAGTTAAAAAGGATATCCAGGAATAGAACTCAGCTCTGCACCAAGTGGACCTTATAGACATCTACAGAACTCTCCACCCCAAATCAAAAGAATATACATTCTTCTCAGCACCACATTGCACTTATTCCAAAAGTGACCACATAGTTGGAAGTAAAGCAGTCCTCAGCAAATGTAAAAGAACAGAAATTATAAAAAACCGTCTCTCAGACCACAGTGCAATCAAACTAGAACTCAGGATTAAGAAACTCACTCAAAACCGCTCAACTACCTGGAAACTGAACAACCTGCTCCTGAATGACTTCTGGGTACATAACGAAATGAAGGCAGAAATAAAGATGTTCTTTGAAACCAGTGAGAACAAAGACACAACATACCAGAATCTCTGGGACACATTTAAAGCAGTGTATAGAGGGAAATTTATAGCACTACATGCCCACAAGAGAAAGCAGGAAATATCGTAAAATTGACACCCTAACATTACAATTAAAAGAGCTAGAGAAGCAAGAGCAAACACATTCAAAAGCTAGCAGAAGGCAAGAAATAACTAAGATCAGAGCAGAACTGAAGGAAATAGAGACACAAAAAACCCTTCAAAAAATCAGTGAATCCAGGAGCTGGTTTTTTGAAAAGATCAATAAAATTGATAGACTGCAAGCAAGACTAATAAAAGAAGAAAAGAGAGAAGAATCAAATAGATGCAATACAAAAATGATAAAGGGGATATCACCACCGATCTCACAGAAATACAAACTACCATCAGAGAATACTATAAACACCTCTAGGCAAATAAACTAGAAAATCTAGAAGAAATGGATAAATTCCTGGACACATACACCCTCCCAAGACTAAACCAGGAAGAATTTGAATCCACGAATAGAGCAATAACAGTTTCTGAAATTGAGGAAATAATTAGTAGCCTACCAACCAAAAGAAGTCCAGGACCAGATGGATTTACAGCCGAATTCTACTAGAGGTACAAGGAGGAGCTGGTACCATTCCTTCTGAAACCGTTCGAATCAATGGAAAAAGAGGGAATCCTCCCTAACTCATTTTATGAGGCCAGCATCATCTTGATAGCAAAGCCTGGCAGAGACACAACAAAAAAAGAGAATTTTAGACCAATATCCCTGATGAACATCAATGCAAAAATCCTCAATAAAATACTGACAAACCGAATCCAGCAGCCCATCAAAAAGCTTATCCACCATGATCAAGTGGGTTTCATCCCAGGGATGCAAGGCTGGTTCAACATACGCACATCAATAAACGTAATCCATCATATAAACAGAACCAAAGAAAAAACCACATGATTATCTCAATAGATGCAGAAAAGGCCTTTGACAAAATTCAATAGCCCTTCATGCTAAAAACTCTCAATAAATTAGGTATTGATGGGACATATCTCTAAATAATAAGAGCTATTTATGACAAAGCCACAGCCAATATCATACTGAATGGGCAAAAACTGAAAGCATTCCCTTTGAAAACTGCCACAAGACAGGGATGCCCTCTCTCACCACTCCTATTCAACATAGTGTTGGAAGTTCTGGCCAGGGCAATGAGGCAGGAGAAAGAAATACAGGGTATTCAATTAGAAAAAGAGGAAGTCAAATTGGCCCTGTTTGCAGATGACATGATTGTGTATTTAGAAAACCCCATCGTCTCAGCCCCAAATCTCCTTAAGCTGATAAGCAACTTCAGCAAAGTCTCAGGATCCAAAAATCAACGTGCAAAAATCACAAGCATTCTTATACAGCAATAACAGACAGAGAGCCAAATCATGAGTGAACTCCCATTCACAATTGCTTCAAAGAGAATAAAATACCTAGGAATGCAACTTACAAGGGACGTGAAGGACCTCTTCAAGGAGAACTACAAACCACTGCTCAATGAAATGAAAGAGGACACAAAGAAATGGAAGAACATTCCATGCTCATGGGTAGGAAGAATCAATATCATGAAAATGGCCATACTGCCCAAGGTAATTTATAGATTCAATGCCATCCCCATCAAGCTACCAATGACTTTCTTCACAGAATTGGAAAAAAACTACTTTTAAAGTTTATATGGAACCAAAAAAGAGCCCACATTCCCAAGATAATCCTAAGCCAAAAGTACAAAGCTGGAGGCATCACGTTACCTGACTTCAAACTATACTACAAGGCCACAGTAATCAAATCAGCATGGTACTCGTACCAAAACAGAGATATAGACCAATGGAACAAATCAGAGCCCTCAGAAAGAATACCACACATCTACAACCATCTGATCTTTGACAAACCTGACAAAAACAAGAAATGGGGAAAGGATTCCCTATTTAATAAATGATGCTGTGAAAACTGGCTAGCCATATGTAGAAAGCTGAAACTGGATCCCTTCCTTATACCTTATACAAAAATTAATTCAAGATGGATTAAAGACTTAAATGTTAGACCTAAAACTATATAAACCCTAGAAGAAAACCTAGGCAATACAATTCAGGACATAGGCATGGGCAAGGACTTATGTCTAAAACAACAAAAGCAATGGCAATGAAAGCCAAAATTAACAAATGGGGTCTAAATAAACTAAAGAGCTTCTGCACAGCAAAAGAAACTACCATCAGAGTGAACAGGCAACCTACAAAATGGGAGAAAATTTTTGCAATCTACTCATCTGACAAAGGGCTAATATCCAGAATCTAGAAAGAACTCAAAGAAACTTACAAGAAAAAAACAACCCCATCAAAAAGTGGGCAAAGGATATGAACAGACACTTCTCAAAAGAAGTCATTTATGCAGCCAACAGACACATGAAGAAATGCTCTTCATCACTGGCCATCAGAGAAATTCAAATCAAAACCACAATGAGATACCATCTCTCACCAGTTAGAATGCCGATCATTAAAAACTCAGGAAACAATGGGTGCTGGAGAGGATGTGGAGAAATAGGAACACTTTTACACTGTTGGTGGGACTGTAAACTAGGTCAACCATTTTGGAAAACAGTGTGGTGATTCCTCGAGGATCTATAACTAGAAACAGCATTTGACCCAGCCATCCCATTACTGGGTATATACCCAAAGGATTATAAATCATGCTGCTGTAAAGACACATGCACATGTATGTTTATTGCGGCACTATTCACAATAGCAAAGACTTGGAACCAACCCAAATGTCCATCAATGATAGACTGGATTAAGAAAATGTGGCACATATACACCATGGAATACTATGCAGCCATAAAAAATGATGAGTTCATGTCCGTTGTATGGACATGGATGAAGCTGGAAACCATTATTGTCAGCAAACTATCACAAGGACAAAAAACTAAACACCCCATGTTCTTACTCATAGGTGGCAACTGAACAATGAGAACCCTTGGACACAGGAAGGGGAACATCACACACCGGGGCCTGTTGTGGGTTAGGGGGAGGGGTGAGGGAGAGCATTAGGAGATATACCTAATGTAAATGATGAGTTAATGGGTGGAGCACACCAACATGGCACATGTAAACATATGTAACAAACCTGCACGTTGTACACATGTACCCTAGAACTTAAAGTATAATAAAAAAAAACTATTAATGTTTTTAGCCTACTTTTTGATGGAATTTTGTTTTTCTTATTTGATTTCCTTGTAGATTCTAGGTATTAGTCCTTTATCGGATGCAGAGATTATAAAGATTTCTCCCACTCTGTGGGTTGTCTGTTAACTCTGCTGATTATTTCTTTTGCTGTGCAGAAGGTTTTTAGTTTAATTGAGTCCCATTTATTTATCTTTGTGTTCGTTGCATTTCCTTTTGGGTTCTTGGTCATGAAGTCTTTGCCTAAGCCAATGTCTAGAGGGGGTTTTTTTTTTTTTTTGATGTTATCTTGTAGAATCTTTATGGTTTCAGGTCTTAGATTTAAATATTTGATCATTTTGAGTTGATTTTTGTATAAGATGAGAGATGAGGATCCAGTTTCATTCTTCTATATGTGGCTTGCCAATTATCCAAGCACCATTTATTGAATAGAGTGTCTTTTCCCCACTCTATGTTTTTGTTTGCTTTGTCAAAGATCAGTTGGCTGTAAGTTTTTGATTTTATTTCTGGGTTCTGTATTCTGTTCCACGGTCTTTGTGCCTATTTTTATACCAATATCACACTGTTTTGGTGACTATGGCCTTATAGTATAGTTTGAAGTCAGATAATGTGATGCCTCCAGATTTGTTGTTTTTGCTTAGTCTTGCTTTGGCTATGTGGGCTCTTTTTTGGTTCCCTATGAATTTTGAGGTTGTTTTTTCTAGTTCTGTGCAGAATCATGTTGGTATTTTGATGGAAATTGCATTCAATTTATAGATTGCTTTTGGCAGTATGGTCATTTTCACAATATTGATTCTACTCATCCATGAGCATGGGGAGTGTTTCAATTTGTTTGTGTCATCTAAGATTTTTTCAGTAGTGTTTTGTAATTTTCCTTGTAGAGGTCTTTCATGTCCTTGGTTAGGTAAATTCCTAAGTATTTATTTATTTTTTTTTGCAGCTATTGTGAAAGTGGTTGAGTTCTTGATTTGATTCTGAGTGTGGTTGCTATTGGTATATAGCAGAGCTACTGATTTGTGTACATTAATTTTGTATCCTGAAACCTTACTGAATTTATTTACCAGTTCTAGGAGCTTTTTGGATGAGTCTTTAGGGTTTTCTATTATGTGATGATATCATCAGCAAACAGTGGTCATTTGACTTCCTCTTTATCAATTTGGATGCCTTGATTTCTTTCTCTTGTCTGATTGCACTGGTTAGGACTTCCAGTACTATGTTGAGTAGAAGTGGGGAAAGTGGGCATCCTTGTCTTGTTTCAGTTCTTGCAGGAATGCTTTCAAATTTTCCCCATTCAGTATACTGTTGGCTGTGGGATTGTCATAGATGGCTTTTATTATGTTAAGGTATGTCCCTTCTATGTCAATTTTGCTGAGGGTTTTAATCATAAAACGATGTTGGATTTTGTCAAATGCTTTTTCTGCATCTCTTCAGACGATCATGTGATTTTTGTTTTTAATTCTGTTTATGTGATGTATCACATTTATTGACTTGCGGATGTTAAACCATCCCTGGTATGAAACCCACTTGATCATGGCGGATTATATTTTTGATATGCTGTTGAATTTGGTTCACTAGTATTTTGTTTAGGGTTTTTACATCTCAGGGATATTGGTCTGCAGTTTTCTTTTTTTGTTATGTCCTTCCCTATTTTGGGTATTAGAGTGATACCTGCTTCATAGAGTGATTTAGGGAAGATTCCCTCTTTCTCTATCCTGTGGAACAGTGTCAATAGTATTGCTACCAGTTCTTTGAATGTCTGATAGAATTTAGCTGTGAATTCTTCTGTCCTAGATTTTTTTTCGTTGGCAATTTTTTTTATTACCACTTCAGTCTCGCTGCTTATTATTGGTCTGTTCAGAATTTCTTTATCTTTCTGCTTTAATCTGGGAGGGTTATATATTTGGAGGAATTTATCCATCGCCTCTAGTTTTTCTAGTTTATGTGCATAAAGGTGTTCATAGTAGCCTTGAATGATCTTTTGTATTTTTGTGGTGTCAGTAGTAATATCTCCCATTTTTTTTCTAATTGTGCTTATTTGGATTTTCTGTCTTCCTTGGTTAATCTTGCTAATGGTCTGTCAATTTTATTTATCTTTTCAATAAACTAGCTTTTTGTTTCATTTATCTTTTGTTTTTTTTTTTTTCATTTCAGTTTCATTGAGTTATGCTCTGATCTTCATTATTTCTTTTCTTCTGCTGGGTTTGGATTGTTCTTATTTCTCCAGTTCCATGAGGCGTGACCTTAGATTGTCTATTTGTGCTCTTTCAGACTTTCTGATGTAGGCATTTAATGCTATGAACTTTCCTCTTAGCACCACTGTTGCTGTATCCCAGAGGTTTTGATAGGTTGTGTCACTGTCATTCAGTTCAAAGAATTTTTGAATTTCCATCTTGATTTCATTGTTGACCCAGAGATCATTCAGGAGTAGATTATTAATTTTCATGTATTTGCATGGTTTTGAGGTTCCTTTTGGAATTGATTTCCAATTTTATTCCACTGTGGTATGAGAGAGTACTCGATATAATTTTGATTTTCTTGAATTTACTGAGACTTGTTTTGTGGCATATCATATGGTCTGTCTTGGAGAATGTTCCATGTACTGATGAATAGAATATATTCTGCAGTTGTTGGGTAGAATGTTCTGTAAATATCTAAATCCATTTGTTGTATAGTTTAAGTCCATTATTTCTTTGTTGCCTTTCTGCCTTGATGACTAGTGTCAGTGGAGTATTGAAGTCCCCCTCTATTATTGTGTTGCCATCTATCTCATTTCTTAGGCCTAGTAGAATTGTTTTATAAATTCGGGAGCTCCAGTGTTAGATATATGCATACATACATATATATTTATTTAGAATTGTGGTATTTCTCTGTTGGATTAGTCCTTTTTATCATTATATGATATCATTCTTTGTATTTTTAAGCTGCTGTTGCTTTAAAGTTTTTCTTTTTTTTTTTTTTTTTTTTGTCTGATATAAGACTAGCTACTCTTGCTTGCTTTTGGCGTCCATTTCCGTGGAATGGCTTTTCAGAAGACAGCAGAAACTTGATTGTTGAATTCTTATCCATTCTGCCATTCTGTATCTTTAAGTGGAGCAGTTAGGCCATTTACGTTCAATGTTATTATTGAGATGTGAGGTACTATTCTATTCATTGTGCTATTTGTTGCCTGAATACCTTTTTTTTTTCATTGTGCTATTGTTATACAGGTCCTGTGAGATTTATGCTTTAAGGAGGCTCTATTTTGTTGTATTCTGAGGATTCGTTTCAAAATTTAGAGCTCCTTTTAGCAGTTCTTGTAGTGTTGGCCTGGTAGTGGCGAATTCTCTCAGCATTTTTTTATCTAGAAAAGACTGTACCTTTCCTTCATTTATGAAGCTTAGTTTCACTGGATACAAAATTCTTAGCTGAAAATTGTTTTGTTTAAGGAGGCTAAAAACAGGACCCTAGTCTCTCCTAGCTTGAGGGATTTCTGCTGAGAAATCTGCTGTTAATCCAACAGGTTTTCCTTTATAGGTTACCTGGTGCTTTTGTCTCACAGCTCTGAAGATTCTTTTTATTGTCTTGACTTTTGATAACCTGATGACTGTGTGCCTAGGCAATGATCTTTTTGTGATGAGTTTCCCAGGTGTTCTTTGAGCTTCTTGTATTTGGATATCTAGATCTCTAGCAAGGCCAGGGAAGTTCTCCTTAATTATTCCCTCAAATATGTTTTCCAAAGTTTTAGATTTCTCTTCTTCCTTAGGAACACCAATTATTTTTAGGTTTGTTTGTTTAACATAATCCCAGAGTTCTTGGGGCTTTGTTCATTTTTAAAAATTCTTTCTTCTTTGTCCTTGATGGATTGGGTTAATTCAAAAGCCTTGTCTTCGAGCCCTGAAGTTCTTTCTTCTGCTTGTTCAGTTCTATTGCTGAGACTTTCCAGTGTATTTTGCATTTCTCTGAGTGTGTCCTTGACTTCCAGAAGTTGTGATTGTTTTTTGCTTATGCTATCTATTTCACTGAAGAATTTTCCTTTCCTATCCTGTATCATGTTTTTGATTTCTTTAAGTTGAAATTCACCTTTCTCTGTTGACTCCGTGATTCGCTTAATAATCGACCTTCTAAATTCTTTTTCTGGCAATTGAGATATTTCATTTTCATTTAGATCCATTGCTGGTGAGCTAGTATGATCTTTTGGGGGTGTTAAAGACCCTTGCTTTGTCATATTGCCAGAGTTGTTTTTCTGGTTCCTTCTCATTTGGGTAAATTATGTCAGAGGGAAGATCTGGGATTCAAGGTGGCTGTTCAGATTCTTCTGTCCCATGGGGTGCTCCCTTGATGTGTTGTTCTCCCCTTTCTCCTAGGAATGAGGCTCCCTGAGAGCCGAACTGGAGTGATTGTTTTTGTTCTTCTGAGTCTAGCCGTCCAGTGGAGCTACTGAGCTTCAGGCTGGTACTGGGGTGTGTCCGCAAAGAGTCCTGTGATATGATTCATCTTCAGGTCTTGCAGCCCTGGATAGCAGCACCCGAACCAGTAGAGGTAGCAGGGGAGTGAAGTGGACTCTGTGAGCATCCTTGGTTGTGTTTTTGTTTGGTGCGTCATTTTGTGTTGGTTGGCCTCCAGCCAGGAGGTGGTGCTTTCAAGAGTGCATCAGCTGTGGTCCTATAGCGAGGATGTGGACTTGCCCTACGGGCTGGGCACAGTGTCTTATTCCTGTAATCCCAGCACTTTGGCCGAGATGGGCGTATCACTTGAGGTCAGGAGTTCGACACTATCCTGACCAACATGGTGAATCCCTGTCTCTACTTAAAACAACAACAAAACAACAAAACAATCACCACCACCACCACCACCACCACCACCACCACCACCACCACCACGTTCTAGGAATACCTGGTTAAGTATTCAGGTTTTTCAGGCAGTGGGCGGGGCCATAGAGCTTTCAAGAGATTTTGACCTTTGTCTTTGGTTACCTGGGCAAGTAGAGAAAAACCACCAGCTTGGGGAAGGGATAGGTGTGTCTGTGCTCATTCCCTCCTTGGGCATGGGGCTCGCTTTGGCTGCTGTGGGGGATGGGGGTGTGGTTCCTAGTCCAATGGAGTTATATTCCCAGGGAGATTATGGCTGCCTCTGCTGAGTTACACAGGTTACCAGGGAAGTGGGGGAAAGCCTGCAGTCACAGACCTGTCTCCACTCCCATGCAGTCCCCAGTCCTAAAGGCCAGTCTCATTCCTGCCGTGCCCCCTCACCTGCATCGAGTCTATTTCCAGGCAGCTGGTGACCAGGGCTGAGAACTTGCCCCAGACCGTGAACCTCCCTGTTGAGAAAGCAAGCAGACTTACAGTTTTTCGGTGACTCAGGGAGCCTGCAGTGGTGATCCAGTTACCTCAAAGGGTCTATGGATTCTCTCAGCTTTCCTGGTATGTTCCTGTGGAAATTCTTGGTGCTGCTATCCAGGGCTGCAAGACCTGAAGATGAATCATATCACAGGACTCTTTGCAGACACACCCTAGTACCAGCCTGAAGTTCTGCTCAATACTGTTCATGAACACTGTTCATGATGTGAGTCTCTACACACTGCTCTGCCTGTCTGAGCGGGAGCTGCAAGCTAGTCCTGCCTCCTATTCGCCATCTTAAAGTCCATTTAAAAGGTTTTGAATGGGGTATAAGGAAATCTATTTAACTGTATTAATTCTCTAAACAACAGTTTAGATAAAGTTCCACAGGTGTGACATCTTTTACTGGGTATAAAATGTAGTTTATCCCATTCCTTTAAAAGATAATTCTTTAGTTCCCTGTCCAAATCATTGATTTCATAGTATATTGTACCTTTGAAAATGCATATCAGTTTTTCCCCCCATACTGTACAAATCAGGCTTTTTTTTTTTTTTTGTGACAAAAGTCTTGCTCTGTCGCCCAGGCTGGAGTGCAGAGGCACAATTTGGGCTCACTGCAACCTCCGCCCCCTGGGTTCAAGCGATTATCCTGCCTCAGCCTCCTGAGTAGCTGGGATTACAGGCTCCCACCACCACACCTGGCTAATTTTTGTATTTTTAGTAGAGTCTAGGCTGGTCTCGAACTCCTGACCTCAGGTGATCCGCCCGCCTCAGCCTCCCAAAGTTCTGGGATTACAGGCATGAGCCATCGCACCTGGCCACAAGTCAGGCTTTCTTCAGCCATAGTTCTGTGTGAGGATCAGGAATCTTTAATTGTAGACTCCCATTATATATATTCTTTACAACCTTTTAGAGAAATCTGCCAGTAATAAATTCAGATGGTTTGCTGTTTGGTTGATTTTTTTTTTTCTCACCTCAGAGTGTAGTAATTAGTTATAAGTTAAGCTGTGGAATATCAACCCAGTTGCCTGTTTCACTCAGCAAATATTGTTTGCTCACTATGTGATCTAAGTTTCTGCCTTCATAGGGCTTATATTCTAGTGTAGATGAGTGCTGGGAGACAGATAAGGTACAGCTAGTAATAAATAAATAAAATAGTTTCTCTAGTAGTAAGTGTTAAGAGTAAAGTTAAAGCAAAACGATAAAGAGTAGGAGAGAGGGGTCTACTGCACGTAGAGTAGTCAGAGAAAGCCTTGGAATTGACTTTTTTTTTTTTAAGTTGAGGCTTAAATTATGCAAAGGAGGCAGCCACAGGGAAAGAACTTTTCCTGGACAAAATCCTATTATATTTAATGGCCTTGAAATGTGAATGCAATATGGCATATTTGAGGGAAAGAAAAGACTAGTAGTTGACATTTCATAGATTGGTAGGAAAAGTGAGAGTGATAGGAAATGAGTTTGGAAAAGAGGACAGGGCCACTGAAATAAGGTGTTGTGGGCTAAAATATAAAGTGCTAAAATTTTAAAGTAATGACAAGCCAAGCCATTGAAGAGTACTAAATCTGTACTGTATTTTTAAAATTAAATTAAAATTTAAAAAATTGACTCTTGCTCCTCTCTGGAAGTACCATAATATTATTGGAAAGTCAAAGTCAATAGAAATGGTCTCTTCACAGGTTGTTAACATTTTCCAGTGAGGTAACATTGGGATACTAGCTCATAATAGTTAACATTTATTGAGAACTTAATATATACCAGCACTGGGCAATACATATTATATGTCTGAAGCACTTTATATTATGTTTTCTTCACAGCAGTCGGATAGGTGGTAATGTTATTACATATTCTAAATGAAGAAACTGATTATATTTTTCCCAAGGACACATAATTCCAAGTGTTGCTTGGATAACATGAGCCAGAATGTGAACCCACTGAGTGGTTTGTACACTTTATGAATGGTTGTCACAAACGTGATGATGATTGATTTACAGATATAGGCAGAAGATGCAAATCTCTTTTATATAAGTAATGGATACAAGAACTTACTTTTTAGAAACATGTTGCAGTATTCTCCCCTTTGGAAGGACAAATTTCCTTTGCATTGAATTTCTCTTGTAGGGCACTACAGTGGTGGTGCTACCACATTGTCTGACTGTGATGAGGATTATCTTACTCATCTCCAAGATCTCATCAGTATAAGTAGACTGGGTTTCATTGTATTCCCATGGTTTCTTAGCAATCTGTTATTTCTTTTAGATAAGATATATGTATATTCCTTCTTGCTGAAGACAGCAGATAAAATTGAAAATAGCCATCAAATAAAAGCAGTTTCATTACTTCTCTTCAAATCCTAATATATGGCTTTTGTTTTAAAATATTTTTTTCTTAAAGTATGTTGGATTTGGCACATAACATTATTAAAATAAAGAAATTTTATTCTACAGGTTGAGTAAATGTTACCTGAAATGCTGGGGACCAGAAGTATTTTGGATTTCAGATTTTTTTTAGATTTTGGAATATTTGTATTACTGGTTGAGTATCCCTAAACTGAAAATCTGCAATAAATAATGCCTCAAAAAGCACTCAGAAAGTTACAGATTTTGGAGGATTTTGGATTTTTGGATTAGGGATACTCAAACCTGTATTTCTAATTTTATCATAGGTGTTGAACTTCATCAAATGGTTTTTCCTAATATTTGATGTAATCTTGCTGTTGTTTTTCTTTTGGTCTTTTATTGTGCAGAAGTTTATTAATATATTTTCTGATGTTAAACTAGTCTTACATTCCTGTAGTAAACCATAGTTTTTCACTGAAAAAAAATTCTGCTCTATTTAGGAATTTTGTATTTTATTTACAATTTCAATTTTATGTTGACAAGAAAATTTTTTTTTCCTCTCTAGAGGACTTTTAAATTCTTTTTGTAATACCTTTATTGGACTTTGGAACAGAGATACTGGCCTCTTAAAATGAAGAATATTTCCCTCATTTTCTATTATCTGGCCCCATGTCCAAGTTCCCCATTTCTCCAGAAGGTGGATTTTATAACCATAGCCATAAATAAAAACCTTATGGAACCTCTAAGGTCATCTAACAATTTGAATTAAAATCCAAACCCCGGGAATACAGAATTGTTTTTCAAAGTTTGCTTTGTTTTTAAGTTTAGTTTCTCAGATATTTTTTGGAAAAGGTATGTTTAATAAATCTAGAAGAAATTTTAGCAGTAAGCGGAAGCAGTTGGGAAGAAAATACTGTATATGACAAAAATTTTGGGAAAATATCCATGATATAAGAAAGTGTACTCATATTGCATCTGGGTTGAATGCTCCCATAAAGGAAAGGTGAGTGGACCTGGACATGTAAACATAGGAAGTGGGAAGGAGAGGCAAAGGAGCACAGGAATGGGATCTGTGGGCTTGTAAATATAATCTGATGAATAGTAGTTTGATTAAAATGTACTTGCAAGTCTTTCTCAGTCCAAGAGAGAATATGACTTGAATTGAGCTATCAATATTTAAAAATAATGACCGCTACTACTCCACAAGGTTAGGAGGAGTACATATATTATCCTTGGAGATCAAAAGCTTCCATTGTTTAAAATGGGCAATTAGCACCCAGAATCATGGTTCTGTTTTTTTATCCTAAGACATTAGGGTAAAAAGCTTTTAATTTTATTATTGGTTTTATTAAATGGCTTAATTTTATTGTTGAGCAAACTCTGGATTAACAGGATAAACAAAGTAAAATTGCTAATACTTCTGATTATACTTCATTGTGATTGTCAAATGAATATTTTACCACATGACACTATAAAATATCCTAGATATTTTTCAGAAAGAAATAAGAATAACCATGGTATATTTGTTACTTTCCTTCATACTGGAAAACTGCATGGATTGTCGAGAACAACTAGCATCTGATCAGGCATCATCAGAATTCGTAGGTCTAATACTGTAAAGTTTTGGATTAAGAAATACTCTTTTGGTTCAGGAATTAGTTCAGTGAGGGCCTTTGGGCAAAATTCACTCTATATTTCTTAGAGAATCTTATATATCAGAGTGCCACTCTGCTTTTCATTGCTTTATCTTATTCTCTTCTACGTTGGTTAGCATGGCAGAGAGAAACATCAACTGCACGTTTTATAAACTCCTCACTCCCTTGGAAGACTTTATTGAGGGCTATTTAGGTTTTAAATTAGGATCATTTTAGCAGGCTCTGTTGTATTCATAATGGTAGTATCTTCTTCTTTTTCGCATTCTTGCTTTCTATCTCTCCTCTCCTGCCTCTCATTTTGGGCAACTGGAAGCTACATATTTTGAATACTATGACCATGGTGTAGATAGCCTCTGGATAAAAGTTTATTCATCTCAACACCTCTTGTATTATCACAGCGTTATGCACTTACTGCTTAATACACACGATGAATGTTTTCACGGTTATAGCTGTTGCTAGTATTGTAGTGGCTGGAGAGCTCTGACTAGGTCAATGTGAGACATTCATGTAAACAGCACATAAGAATTGGTTTAGATGCAGTTGGGGGGAGGATTCAGATGGCAATTGTGAGAAACTATTCCAGTGAAGGCCAAGCTAGCACTCATTGTTTTGTTCTGGCCTCATGTATACTAAGTTAAATTGTGGACATCTTTTCTGAGTGTGAGTTGGAGATGCTAGTGCCTTAACTTTTTAATTCCAGGAGTTTCAGTATAAAACATAAACCTGAGATGAGGCCAATGTAGGAATGAAATGAAGAGGAAGAGGGCAAGATGGCAGTCTTTTTGGTTCTCTTAAGTTTACCAGAATGAAAATTAATGATGAAGTATTAATAGAACTTACTACATTTTACTTGGAAGTAAATGTTAATGAAAACCAGATGATAATGAAGATTAAAAAATGCTTACTTATCCAAAGGAAGTAATTTCTACTTGTGAATTTCTATGATCTAATGAGGAACTATTTTCTAATTTGAATTGTAATAGTGTACCAAGTGAGAACATAAATGACACTAGTATAATCTGAGTCCACAGTATAGAATTTTTACTAAGCCAGTTCCAACTCAGCACAGAGCTCAGCCCATTGGTACTGATGAGTGAATCAGATGCTTTCATTATTTGAAGGGTTTTTCTATTACATACTCAGGAATTTTTATCTCCAGGTTGGTTCAGATCTGTTACAACTGCTTTCGCCTCCATATCCAGCTAATTGTCATATTTACATCTTTGATGTAATAAGATTTTTGATACTTCTGCCACTTCTAATTTTCCCACTACTATTCTTGTTATACACTGTGATTTTTATGAGTTGTTGCCATAACATTTTGGGGAGGAGAGGGTGTTATGGGCTGAATTGGCTGTATTTAGGGTTAAGGTCTTTAAAGAGTATGAGGCTATGAATGTGGGCCCTAATCCAATATGACTGGTATCCTTATAAGAAGACAAAGACACCAGGGATGCACAGCCACACAGAAAAGACCATGTGAGGACATAGTGAGAAAGTGCCCATCTATCAGCAAAACAAGGAAAAAGGCTTCAGAAATCAAACCTGCTGACATCTTGAACTTGGACTTCTAGTCCCCAAAACTGTGAGACAATAAAATTTCTGTTGTTTAAGCTACCCAGTCTGTGGCACTTTGTTGTGGCAGCCCTAGCAAACTAACAGAGAGGGGGAAGTGTTAGAGGAACTTAAGACTTGCACACATGTACAAACCTGTGCACAGGAATGTGCCCAATAATGGAATGTTCAGGGTCCCTTGTTGTTTGAGGCGTCTTACCATTCTACTTTGTATGCCTTTGGCGAGTCTGCCTACTGCTGAGAGACATTAGTACATCACTAAACTTGTCCATTTTTTCCCCAATAAGGATAAATATTACAGCACAGGAATAATAGGCATCTAGAATTACGCCCCTTCACCAGATTATGTTTGTCCTGAAGTCCCAAAATTCTGTCTTTTAGCGATCACATTAAATGGAAGGCAGATTCACCTACACATTTCTGTGGCATTCTTGGAGATTTCAGTTGAAAAAAGTTTGTGACTTTTGATCTACTCAGTGTTTGATTATGAAAAATGAACAGTAGTAACAATTGACTGCTTTATATTAAGTTGTTATCAGAATTTAGAATGATTCTTATTTTCTTTTTGCCATTTAAAATTTAAGCCTACATGGAGTATTGTTGAGATTTATAATTGACAAATAACTGACAGTTGATTATAATCTACAGCCTCGGGATAAAATACAGTAAAATATTTTAAACACTCAGGACCCAGAACAAATACGTTTGCTGAATGATTGTAAGAATGCTTGATGTTTGGCTGCAAAGCTATGAATTTCCTTGCCTTTCCACAATTTAAAATATCTACCTTCTCACAAATCTTAAAAGTTAGACCTATCCTGCTGTTATATATAATTCATTTTCTACTAACATTGTTCTTTTTTTGTTTGTTTTTTGAGATGGAGTCTCACTCTGTTTGCCAGGCTGGAGTGCAGTGGCACAATCTCGGCTCACTGCAATCTCCGCCTCCCAGGTTCAAGCCATTCTCCTGCCTCAGCCTCCTGAGTAGCTGGGATTACAGGCGCACACTACCATGCCCAGCTAATTTTTGTATTTTTGGTAGAGATGGGATTTCACCATGTTGGCCAGCATGGTCTTGATCTCTTGACCTCGTGATCCACCCGCCTCGGCCTCCCAAAGTGCTGGGATAACAGGCGTGAGCCATTGCCCCTGGCCTAACGTCCTTCTTTTATAACATCTAAAGTAGTTAGAATTGACTTATTTCCCATAATTTTAAAATGTATTCTTTTACATGATTTTAAGTTGCATTTTCAAAAACAGTTTCTGCAGTCTAGAACTTGCAGTAGAAATGTGTTTCATGATGCCTTTTGTCATGATTTTCTCACTCTTTGTGAATCTACTTGTTGTATGTTTTGATATTTTATTTTTTTAAAATCTACTTAATACTTTATTAAGAATTTATTAGAGACCAAATGTTGAATAGGGGTTATAAAACTCAGCATTCAAATGCTTTCCCCATCTATTGGTGTAGTAATATAATCTTTAATTCAGCAGATTATTATCAAACACCTTCTATGTGTAAGTAAGAAACACAGAAATTTTAAAAAAGAGTCTTAACTACCACAGAGTTAATTGCCTCACTTTTCAAAAAGGGAAACTGAAGTGCTTGTTTGTCCACCTTCTTTGTGGCAGAATAGTCCCTTCACTGTGAGTGACTTAACCCATTTTCACTGTGCCTTCCACTTTGTGTAGTCCTAATGGAAGAATTGATTACTTTTGAAATGAAAGGAAAAGTAAACCAGTAAAGTTAAGGACTTAATGAATGATTTTTTTTTTCTATTAACTGATGAATAATCACTAAAACTTTCAGCTGTGGGGAATTGTGTTTTTGGCAGAGACAGGGAGGCACTCTGAAGAAAACTTTCAACGATTTGCATTTTAGAAAATGTTTTGAATAACTTGCTAATACTTAAAAAAGTACTTCTGTGAAGTTTTACCTCCTCAGTGTTTGTTATTTTTATCTAATCCTATTTTTCATAGTAACTCATTGTGAAATGTTTATCTGTGCATTTAATAGGTTAACAAGGAGGAAAAAGCAGAAAAATAATGTTTTTTTTCCATAGTCAGAAGAGAGAAGAAATATGGAAGAATAGTGAGGCAGTGGCAGGCCCATTCTAATTCTTTTTTAAAAAGGTGGGCATGGAGAAAGTGGATCAAGGGTGAAATAAAAGAAGAGGAACTGGCAGATGTCACACAATAGCCGTAGGATCCATTTGCAAGCATTTGTAAAAAATGACCCCCAAGTACTGAATAATTCTTTGAGGGTTAGAATTCCCAATAGTTGGTAGAAGTAAGAACCAGAGACTTTAAAAAAAATCAAATTGAATATAACTTTTACTCCAGGATGCAATGGTGAGGAAAGTTAGGCTGAACATGCCGTATTAAAAACTTTCACTGGCAATGGCAACACATAGATACTGGGAGCATAGAGGAAGGGTTGCTAACATTACTGCTTGGGAGAATTAGGGAAAGTGTCACATGGGCATTTGAAATATGTGTATTGGTGTAAATTCTTTTTATGAAAAAGTAGGGAATTAGAGAGGAGATGGACTTACTGAAGAATATAGAGAAATACTAATTTAGGCTCTCAGTGATATACCATCTAGAGCATGAAAAAATACATAGTCAACCATGATTAGATGATTTTACCTATAAGTAAAAGACATAATTTCATATTTAGACTTGTTTTATATACTGTGAAATGAATATTTACAGACATTAAATCTAGTCGCTTTAGTTTTTTCTTCTTCTTCTTCTTTTTTTTTTTTTTTGGGACAAAGAGTCCTGCTCTGTCACCCAGGCTGGAGTGCAGTGGCGTGATCTCGGCTCACTGCAACCTCCACCTCCCGGGTTCAAGCAGTTCTCCTGCCTCAGCCTCCTGAGTAGCTGGGATTACAGGCATGCACCACCATGCCCGGCTAATTTTTTGTATTTTTAGTAGAGACGGGGTTTTACCACATGTTGGTCAGGCTGGCCTCTGACTCCTGACCTCGTGATCCGCCCACCTCAGCCTCTCAAAGTGCTGGGATTCCAGGTGTGAGCCAATGTGCCCCGGCCCACTTTAGTTTCTTTTGAGCAACTGAGTGTCATGAAATGTCAATATCATGAAAGAAAGAGAGGTAAGGAACTGCTTAAGGAATCATGGCAGGCATTACACAAATCATGTAATTTGTGAACCTTGATCTCATCTTATTTTCTCCCAAGAAAAGAAGGAAAGAAAGGAAGAAAAGACCAGAACACAGCAATAAAGATACATTTTTGGGACAGTTGGGGAAATTTTTATTATTAGGTGATATGACTCATTAATTGCAAATATGACCACAATTCTTCATCTTTGCTTATATCCATGCCCTTTGCAATGTGACTTTGCAGCTACTCCCATTAAGGGGCCATCTCTGTTTATTCACCCCACGAATCTGAGCTTGTCAACAAAAAGTGGCAGAAGTTATGGTGTGTCCGTTTGGAGCACAGGCACAAGTTCTTGCATGCTTATATTCCCTTGGGAACTATGACATTTGCTGTCCGATCTAGCCCTGGCTATCCTGGAGGGTGAAAGAGTTGGTAGAAGAAAGGTCAGTTGTCTCAGCTCAGGCCATCCTAGACCATCTTATATCCCGCCAACCCCCAAACTTGTCAGAGAGCTTAGCCTAGATCAGCAAAATTCACCACAGACATATGAGTTAACCCAGCTAGGACAGAACTACCTAGCTGGCTGGTTGATGTGTAAGCAATGATATATGATGGTTATGTTAAGCTATTGAATTTTGGGAATGATTGGTTATGTATCATTTGTAAACTGATACAGTGATATTACTGAATCATGTTATGTAGAAACCTGTTTATGAAGAAAAATGTTTTTTTGTTCTTAGAAGATACCAGCTGATGAATAGGTGTGAAATATTACGAAATATGCACTTTCTTTTAAATGGTATAGCAAAAATAAAGTGTGTGTGGTCTTGTGTGTGTGCATGTATATATATATGGAGAGAAAGAGAGAGAGAGAGATTGAGAATACAGATATGATGAACTGTTATATTGTGTTTGTTGAAAAGGACATATTTATTGTACTATTTAAACTTTTTTGTAGCTTTGAATCTTTTCAAAATAAAATGTTTGGAGCATTTCTTAATATTGGCTTACTTGGACATCATCTCCCCAACCTCACCTTTTTTTTCCTTTAAAAGCTGAATTTGAGATAGAGAAAAAAAGGGTCATAAAGATTATAGTTTGTTGCACTCTATGTAATCAAGTTTGTTTATTTGGAGATGGAGTCTCGCTCTGTCGCCCAGGCTGGAGTGCAGTGGCATGATCTCAGCTCACTACAACCTCCGCCTCCTGGGTTCAGGCGATTCTGCCACCTCAGCCTCCTGAGTAGCTGGGATTACAGGTGCCCACTGCCACACCTGGCTAATCTTTTTTGTATTTTTAATGGAGACGGGGTTTCACCATGTTGGCCAGTCTGGTCTCGAACTCCTGACGTCAAGGGATCCACCTGCCTCAGCCTCCCAAAAGTGCTGGGATTACAGGAGTGAGCCACCACACCTGGTCTTAATCAGGTTTTTGGAGGATATCTTTTCAGTGTATTTTAAGTTTCTGCCTATTAGTGCTGGTTTAGATTATGAGAGCCCAGTGGTCAGGGATTGTCTGCATTGGATTATACATAACAGGATTTCCTAAGTCCATGCCTCAGACTGCTTGTAACTATAGAATATCCATGGAGAAAGAGTTCTTTAGTCTTCCACTTGGAGAGGCACAGTGCCAAAGAGTAAGTACATTAAACATCCTGAGAGCTATATTAACAAAAGAAACCAGCATTTTCCAGACATATTGATACAAATTATCCTCTCTCCCCACAGTCAATAACATATGTTATACTTGGGGTATAGTGTTCTTAGGAATACACTTGGAGAAATGAAGATTGTCACTAGTAAATGCTTTTGATGATAGGCTTCAGTAAATTATAAATATTTTAAAATTTGGTTATAGCTTCTAAAGATGAATTATAAAATTAAAGTTTTTGATAAATTATGGCATGGCATAATGGAAAGAGTGTGTACTTTGTAGTGAGAACCAGAGGAACTTGGGTGCTCCACCAGTAGCTTTTTGACTAAGGAATTCACTACTAAGTTTTAGATTCCTATAAAATGGGATAATACTTGATTCCCAAGATTCTAACCTGAATTAAATGTGTAAAGCCTTGAGTATAGTTGGCGTTCATATTTAAAACTAGCCTTGGATTCATTTGGATGTGAGGGTTTCTCTTATATCTTGATGAGCATCTGTTATATAGAGCAGATGTGGGTCATGTTGGATCTCATAAGCTTTTGCTGGAAGGCTGCTAGGCAGATATCATTTGATTTTTATAATGTCAATATAATTATAAAATTCTATAAGGAACAATGATTCACATAAGTGAATCTCAGAAAAGTAAACTTTTCTGTAACTGAAAGTTTCTTCTTCTGTATTTTAAGTATTTTGGGGGGAAACAAAGTATACAGTTTCCTACATTATTCATGAGTGTTTTGAATATAATTTAACATCTCTGTAATTTATAATTTATTTCATTGTGATATAATATGTCTTGACAATGTAGACCTATTTATAGCTTTTGAGTTATTGACCGCTATTTTTATTTTTTGGATTTCTGTCTTTTAAATTGTTACATCTTAGCAGCTGTTGGTATGACAATTCTGTAGAAATACCTCAGTCTTTCCTTCAGTTTTCTGCTTCTAATACAGTGGAGATAGGGTAGTGTTGGTCCTAGCTTTTTAGAATTGGTGCAGAAGAAGGCATAAGCAATTGGCATAGTGTGTGATTTTTTGATACCCTCATAGAAATGGAAAATATACTGTTTACATTACGTTCCTGCAATGTCTGATATAGCTTGTAACTAATTTAATTATTTGATTTTTTTAATTTAAGTTATTCTTTAACATAATCTCATAATTTTTCATTTTGAAGCCATAAGTGTGCTTTTTATTTTTATTTATTTAATTTTGTTTTTGTTTTTGTTTTTGTTTTTTTTTTGAGATAGAGTCTCACTCTGTCACCCAGGCTGGAGCGCAGTGGCTGATCTCAGCTCCCTGCAACCTCCGCCTCCCGGCTTCAAGCAATTTTCTCCTGAGTAGCTGGGATTACAGGTATGCACCACCATGCCCAGCTAATTTTTTTGTATTTTTAGTAGAGACAGGGTTTCACCATGTTGGCCAGGCTGTTCTAGAACTCCTGACCTCAGGTGATCCACCTGCCTTGGCCTCGCAAAGTGCTGGCATTACAGCTGTGAGCCACGACGCCCAGCCAAGGGTGCTTTTTAGTAATTATCTGTTTAAGTAGTTACCAACACTTAAAAAGTTAATAGCTTTGACTTTATTTTCATTATTGTGTTTACTGGTGACATAATTAAGCTCACTAAAAAGCCTGATTTATAATATCTCAAAAAAGTATAATGTGATTTTTCAGCATTATTAATAAAATAGATGCAGAATTATTACTGTGATTTTTATTTTATATCCAATATAAGATAATAAAATATTACTGGAGGAGTTAAATGTATTGATCAGGGAAGAGTTATTTATAATTAAGCCTTTAAATTTTATGTACGTGTTTGCTCCTGTTATGTTTGGATGGCCTTTGTTTAATTTACATTTTTCTAGTACTTTCAGCTTACTTAGACATATTTTTATCATACGTTTAATATATAAAACTTGACCTCATATGTCTAGGAATGAAAAAACATTTAATGTCACATTAACCTTGCTGTAAGTTTTATGTAATTTTTACGCAGAATGTTGCTCACGTGTTCTGTATTGCCATATGTAACGGGTAAGATGTCTACACCTTCAAAAATGTTGGAGGAAAGTTTGATAAAGTTCAAGTTTGTTATGTTTTACTATATTATACACTTTTCACCACTTTTAGTCAGTAATTTATTTTGGCTACATGAACATAAATGCTGAACAATAATTCCTATATAGGGATTATATACTGTAGAAGATGCAAATCAGTATTTTCTTTTTTATCCTGAAATCAATATGAAAAATAGTTAATATTATCATTAGTACATCTTGAAGTGTTAAGTCAATTTGATTTTAAAATATTTATTTATGAATTTAGACCAGATGCGGTGGCTCACGCCTGTAATCCCAGGACTTTGGGAGGCTGAGGCGGGCGGAGCACCTCGGGTCAGGAGTTCAAGACCAGCCTGGCCAACATAGTGAAACCCCGTCTCTACTAAAAATACAAAAATTAGCCAGGCGTGGTGGCACACTCTGTAGTCTCAGTTCCTCAGGAGGCTGAGGCAGGAGAATTGCCTGAACCTGGGAGGCAGAGTTGCAGTGAGCTGAGACCATGCCACTGCACTCCAGCCTGGGCAACAGAGTGAGACTCTGTCTCAAAAAAAAAAAAAATTATGTATGTGTTTATTTTTAAAGAAGAATGTAGAAGTCTCCAAAGAGTTGGAGAGTATACTTGTTTACAGGTTTCCCTATATTAACAGAGGATTTGATAGAGGTTGGGTTGAATTTCTTCTAGGGATTTCTAGGTCAGGCAAGGTAGCATCAAGGACAGCCAATCCACTGCATGTTTAAATTCACACATGATTAAATAAATCTGTTCATGTATGATGCACCAGTATTCTTGTGTGTGGTGACCCTGTTGGCCATTTATCAAATAGTAGTATATGAAGGAGAATGCTGTTCCTATGAAAATTCATGAATTGAATTTAGTTGCAGGGATGGAAATAAAGGTATTTCCATATTGTGGACTTTGCAGTTCTTGAAGTTCATAAAGTTAAAATATCTCTTTGTTTTGACTTTGACTTTTCTGCAAAGACTTGCATATTATAATAAGTGGGTTTTCTTTTTAAAACTGTCCTTTAAATTTCTAAGTTTCTGTGACTTACTACATGGCAAATTTATTTGTATACTATTTCTAAATCCCTTCTTTTCTGTTATGTTTTTATTTTTAAAGTTTATTTTATTTTTTGTGGGTACATAGTAAGTGTATATATTTATGGGGTACATGAGATGTTTTGATACAGATATACAATCTGTAATAATCACATCATGGAACATGGAATATCTGTCACCTCAAGCATTTATCCTTTGTGTTACAAACAATCCAGTTATACTTTTTTAGTTTTCTTAAATGTACGATTAAATGATTATTGACTATAGTAACCCTGTTGTGCTATCAAAAATATTAGGCCTTATTCATTTATTCATTCAATTTTTTTGGTACCCATTAATCATCCCTACCTCCTCCCTAATCCCCCAACTACTCTTCCTAACCTCTAGTAACTATCCTTCTACTCTATCTCCATGGGCTCAATTATTTTGATTTTTGGATCTCACAAATAAGTGAGAACATGTAAAATTTGTCTTTCTTTGCCTGGATTATTTAATTTAACATAATTAACCCCAGTTCCATCCATGTTGTTACAAATGACTGAATCTCATTCTTTCTTATGGCTGAATAGTACTCCATTGTGTATGAGTACCATATTTTCTTTATCCATTCATCTGTTGATGGACACTTAGTTTGGGTTCAAATTTTGGTTATTGTGAACAGAGCTGCAACAAACATGGGAGTGCAGAAAGCTCTTTGATATTCTGATTTCCTTTCTTTTGGGTATGTACCCAGCAGTGGGATTGCTGAATTATATGGTATCTCTATTTTAAGCTTTCTGGAGGAACCTCCAAACTGTTCTCCATAGTGGTTTTATGAATTTACATTCCCAACATTAGTATGAGGGTTCCTTTTTCTCCATATCCTTGCTAGCATTTGTTATTGCCTTTTGGATAAAAACCATTTTAACTGGGGTGAGATGATATCTCTTGTTTTTATTTTCATTTGTCTGGTGATCAGTGATGCTGAGCACATTTTCATATGTCTGTTTGCAATTTGTATTTCTTCTTTTGAGAAATGTCTACTCAGATCTTTTGCCCATTTTTAAATCAGATTATTAGAGATTTTTTTCCTATAGAGTTGTTTCAGCTCCTTATATATTTTTGTTATTAATCCCTTGCCAGATGGGTAGTTTGCAAGTATTTTCTTCCATTCTGTGGGTTGTCTCTTCACTTTGTTGATTGTTTCCTTTGCTGTGCAGAAACTTTTTAACTTGATATGATTCCATTTCTTCATTTTTGATTTGGTTGCCTGTGCTTGTGGGGTATTACTCAAGAAATCTTTGCCCAGACCGATGTCCTGGAGAGTTTCCCTAATGTTTTCTCGTAGTATTTTCATAGTTTGAGCTGTTAGATTTAATTCTTTAATCCATTTTGATTTGATTCTTGTATATGGCAAGAGATAGGGGTCTAGTTTTGTTCTTCTGCATATGGATATCCAGTTTTCCCAGTCCATTTATTGAAGAGACTGTCTTTTCCTCAGTGTATGTTCTTGGCACCTTTGTAAAAAATTAGTTCACTACAGGTGTGTGGATTTGTTTCTGGATCCCCTATTCTGTTTTATCGGTCTGTGTATCTGTTTTTAGGCCAGTACCATGCTGTTCTGGTTACTGTCACTCTGGTTATAATTTGAAGTCAGGTAATGTGATTCCTCCAGTATTCTTCTTTTTGCTTAGGATAGCTTTGACTATTCTGAGTCTTTTGTGGTTCCATGTAAATTTTAGGATAGTTTATTTCTGTGAAGAATGTCATTGGTATTTCGATAGGGATTGCATTGAATCTGTAGATTGCTCTGGGTAGTATGGACATTTTAACAATATTGATTCTTCTAATCCATGAACATAGAATATTTTTCCATTTTTTGGTGTCCTCTTCAATTTCTTTCATCAGTTTTTTATAGTCTTCATTGTAGAGATCTTTTACTTCTTTGGTTAAATTAATTCCTAGGTATTTAATTTTATGTGTGGCTACTGTAAATGAGATTTTTAAAAGTTTCTTTTTCAGATTGGTCATTGTTGGCATATAGAAATGCTACTGATTTTTTTATGTTGATTTTGTATTCTGTAACTTTACTGAAGTTGTTTATCAGTTCTCATAGTTTTTTGGTAGAGTCTTTAGACTTTTGCAAACATAAGATTATATCACCATCTGCAAACAAGGATAATTTTACTTCTTTATTTACAATTTGGATGCCTTTTATAGGTTTCTTTTATCTGATCACTAGCTAGGACTTCCAGCACTGTGTTGAATAACAGTGGTGAAAGTGGACATCCTTGTTGTGTTCTAGATTTTGAAGGAAAAGGCTTTCAGCTTTCTCCTATTCAGTATGATACTAGCTGTGGGTCTGTCATACATGGCTTTTATTATGTTGAGGTATGTTCCTTCTATCCTTAGTTATTTTAGGGTTTTTATCAAGAAGGGATGTTGAATTTTTTTTTGCTTTTTTTTTTTTGAGACAGAGCCTCACCCTGTCATGCAGGGAGAGTGCAGTGGCACCATCTTGGCTCACTGCAACCTCCACCTCCCGGGTTCAAGTGATTCTGGTGTCTCAACTTCCCAAGTAGCTGGATTTACAGGCATGTGTCACAATGCCCAGCTAATATTTGCATTTTTTTTAGTGGAGATGGAGTTTTGCCATGTTGAACAGGCTGGTCTTGAACTCCTCGCCTCAAGGCATCCATCTGCCATGGCCTCCCAGAGCCCTGGGATTACAGGCGTGAACCACTGTGCCTGGGCAGAGATGTTGAATTTTAGCAAATTGATGGTTTTTCAGCACCAATTGAAATGATCATACGGTTTTAGTCCTTCATTCTGTTGATATAATGTATCAATTTCCACGTATTTGTATAGTTTCCAAAATTATTCTTGTTATTAATTTCTAGTTTTACTTCATTGTGGGCAGAGAAGATAGTTGGTACTATTTCAGTTTTTCTGAATGTTTTAAGACTTGTTTTGTGACCTAACATATGATCTGTTCTTGAGAATGATGCATATGCTGAGGAAAAGAATGTATATTCTATAGCTGTTGGATGGAATGTTCTGTAAATGTCTATTAGATCCATTTGGTCTGCAGTGCAGATTAGGTCTGATGTTTCTTTGCTGGTTTTCTGTCAACAAAGTATAGCTACTCCTGCTCTTTTTTGGTTTCCATTGGCATGGAATATCTTTTTGCACCCCTTTATTTTCAGTCTGTGTGTCTTTATAGGGGAGGTGTGTTTCCTGTAGTCAGCAGATCAGTGAGTCTTGTTCTTTTATCTGTTGAACCACTCCATGTCTTTTGATTGGAGAGTGTAGTCCACTTACATACAGTGTTATTATTGATAAGTAAGGACTTGTTCCTGCCATTTTGTTATTTGTTTTCTGGTTATTTTTTGGTCTTCTCTTCCTTCCTTTCTTTCCTTCCTGTCTGTTTCTTAGTGAAGGTGATTGATTTAGCTTTTTATTTTTTGTGTATCTGTTGTATGTTTTTTTGGTTTGAGGTTACTATGAGGCTTGCAGATACTATCTTGTAACCCATTATTTTAAGATGATAGCAGCTTAACGTTATTTGCATAAACAAATCAACAAACAAGCAAAAGAAAACTAGTGAAGACTGGCTGGGTGCAGTGGCTCACGCCTGTAATCCCAGCACTTTGGGAGGCGAGGCAGGTGGATCACCTGAGGTCAGGAGTTCAAGACCAGCCTGACCAACATGGAGAAACCCCATCTCTACTAAAAATACAAAAAATTAGCCAGGCATGGTGGCACATGCCTGTAGTCCCAGCTGCTCAGGAGGCCGAGGCAGGAGAATCACTTGAACCCGGGAGGCAGAGGTTGCGGTGAGCTGAGATTACACCATTGCACTCCAGCCTGGGCAACAGGAGTAAAACTTTGTTCCCCCCCTCCGCAAAAAAAAAATTACAACAACAAAAAAAACTAGTGAAGACTGTGCCTTAACATAGTCCCCTAGCTTTTTAACTTTTTGTTATTACTATTTATGTCTTATTGTGCTGTCTGTGTCTTGAAAAAGTTATTATTTTAGCTGGGCATGGTGGCTCACACCTCTAATCCTGGCACTTTGGGAGGCCGAGGCAGGTGGATCACGAGGTCAGGAGTTCAAGACCAGCCTTGCCAACATGGTGAAACCCTGTCTCTACTAAAAATACAAAAAATTAGCTGGGTGTGGTGGCACATGCCTTAGTCCTAGCTACTTGGGAGGCTGAGGCAGGAGAATCGCTCGAACCCAGGAGATGGAGGTTGCAGTGAGCTGAGACTGTGCCATTGCACTCCAGCCTGGGTGAGAAAGTGAGACTCTTTCTCAAAAAAAAAAAAAAATTATTTTTTATTGTTTCATTGTTTAGTTTTTTTTTTTTTTTTTTTTTTGAGACGGAGTCTCACTCTGTCGCCCAGGCTACAGTGCAGTGGTGCAATCTCGCTCACTGCAAACTCTGCCTCCCGGGTTCAAGTGATTCACCTGCCTCAGCCTCCCGAGTAGTTGGAATTACAGGCGCCCACCACCATGCCCGGCTAATTTTTGTATTTTCAGTAGAGATGGGGTTTCACCATGTTGGCCAGGCTGGTTTCGAACTCCTGACCTCAGGCATTCCAGCTGCTTCGACCTCCCAAAGTGCTGGTATTACAGGCATGAGCTACTGCACCCAGCCGAGCTCCATATTTTTTTTTATGTCAACCAGATAATTTATAAGATAAATATTTGTACAACTTTGTAGGTTTGTTGCAAGCTTTAAATGTGATGATGTATAGAGGGCACAGTACTTAGCACATAGTAGATACTTAATATATTTACTTCCATTCTGTTTTTTGTTTCCTTCAACCAGATGCATTTTAAATACAAAAGGCCAAGTTTGCTATTACTATCGCGCAAAGCTTGAAACATAAATTCAACATCTATCATCTACTCCTTGTCTAAGCTTAGGCAACGTATTTGTCCTTTCTGAACCAGTGTCTTTATCTGTAAAATAAGACTTAGACTACATTAATTTAATCCTGACCTTTAAAGAAATACCAGTTATCTATGTTAAGAAGAATTTTTAAACTACAAAGAAGCAAGCCAGTGGTAAACTTTCATTAGGAAGGACTTTGATTAGCAAGAGGAGTGAAAGCAGTGGATAGCATAAAAGTAGTTACCAAGAATGGTTACCTTTTGTTTGAGTGCAGGAATAAGAGGCAAAAAAGGGGTCCCACAGAAGTGAAACAGATGATAAGATGATAGATACAGGTTTGCATTTAGAGTGCCCTTTCTCCATTTGCCAGAGCTGAAAATTTTTCTTCAGTTAAACTCCACAAACATTTTTTAAAAATATCTACTATTTTGGGTCGTTCGCTACATTTGGCACCAGCCTTGAGCTGAATGCACAGAGATAAAAACAACATGGTCCTTACTCTCCAGGGTGCTTTCCTGTCTCCTGTGATCATTGACACTCATAATGCTAAGTTACAGCAATAGGATGGAAGTGGCTCATTCTGGATTGTTTCTTCAGAGTAACAAGAAGCCCTAATTGTCAAGAGACACAGATTCTATAGTCCAAGAGCAGAGTTTTCCTGTAGGTACTTTTCAGCCTGCAAGTTAGCTCAGACTCGCCTGAGAAAGTTCTCTGCAGATAAGAGGGTGCTTGAATCTTCAGTAAGTCCTATTGTCAATTTCTGGATCTTTTCTTACTTCAAAATAACCTCAGCCCCTGCTTTAATAAAAAGGACTTTAAGCCAACAGAGTAAACTTGATAGTTGGTGTGGGGGAAGAAAATAGCCCTTTCTTTATGAGTGTTGTGATCCGGGAGCTTTATATACCCTAACTTAATCTTCAAGGCATTGGTTGAAAGAAGGAAGTGACTTGCTATGTTACACATTTATTTAGGGGTGGAGTTAGGGATTGGAACTCACGTCTGGCTCCGTTATACCACATTCCTTCTCTGGCCTTCTTATCTTAAGCCCACAACCATCTGTATCCTGTTCAGAATGGATAGTTGTGTACTAAAGGCTGATCCTGTGGTAGTGCGGTGCTTTTTCAAACTGAATGTTAAGATTTTTTTGGCATCATGACCAACATTTTCTACAAAATAAAATAGAGTAGAAATTGTCAGTGTGTGTCGCAAGCAGTACTGTTTCCTGAAGTTTTTGTTTCAGGTGTGTATGTGTCTGTGCGTGCGCATGTGTGCTTGTGCATGTGCTGAGGCTGTGTAAAATGTATCTTCTATGTGCAAATCACCACCTTTATTGAGTGTGGTACGCAGTCACAAGTTCATTATTGTGTCTTTTCTCCAGATTTTGAAAACATTCTATATTTCTTTTAGCTGCAAGGAAATATAATGTAGTAGTTCTGAGGACAGGCTCTGGAGCCAGAATATCTAGGTTTGAATCCAGGCTCTGCCATTTACTAAGTGTGTGACTTTTGGCAAGTTATTTAATGTCTCCATGCCTCTATTTTGTCTTCTGTAAAATGGGATTGTGCGAGCATTAATTGAGTTCATGTACTTAAAGTGCTAAGAATAGTGTCATCACATGGTAGCACTCCATAAAAGTTAGTTGCTATTATTATTGTTAGTATTATTGAAAGGTTTATAAACATCTGTCTTAGAGGGATTATGGAATATTGTTTTAACAACAGCCTTCCACAGAGACAGTTGATCCATTTGGTTAATTAATTTGTTGCAAACTTTGCCATTGATTTAGTGCAATACTCCTTTTTTTTTTTTTTTTTTAAGTACGCTCAGGTTGTTTGTACTTAGCCAGCATTACCAAAGACAGCTACTAAGTCATGTATCTGTTAAGAGCTATTGTGGAAAATTGTGAGCCTGTCTCTGCTAGGTCTTGGCCTATAAAGAACTGGCTGGCTTTATAGGCTGATGTAATCTTGGTCATAGGCCAGCATTGCTGGCTCATAAAATATATGTGTATGTGCTGGCCTACTGTCTTACAGAGGGCTAAATAAGCATTATACTTAGGTCTGCCTGACTCAAGTTCTGTGAGATTTGGAGGAAGATGTTGCTTGGATGATCAGGGGAGGCTTCACAATGGAAATAATGTTTTAGATTGAGGTTGAAAGATGAATGGAAGTCCAGGAAAGTAGCTAAATGAAAATAATTCCAGGCATCAGTAAGATTTCATACCCAGCTGTAAATCCCAGAAGCCTTAAAGTGGTCAAAGCAAGGCAGAAATAAGCAGAAGCAGTGAACAGAATAAACTGTAGGCTGTTACCTTTTAGGCTAACAGACACACACACACACATACTCACACACGCATGCACCTGCACGCACACACACACACACACACACACACACATTTTAAATAGACAGGGTATTGCTATGTTACCCAGGCTGGAGCGCAGTGGTTATTCACAGGTGTAATCATAGTGCACTACAGCCTCAAACTCCTGGGCTTACATGACCCTCCTGCCTCAGCCTCTCGAGTATTGGGACTACAGTTATGTGCCTCTGTGTCTTAGTTACAGATTTTTACAGGAACTTAATGGAGGAAATAAAGGTTAAATATATGGTTTAAATATGTATTAGGGAATTATTTACATTTCTTTAAATTATGTTTCTTATGTAGCCAGCCATCTCTTAGAGTGAATAGTTAGCTACATTTTATTATGATTATTGATAACATGTTCTACTGTTTATAGAATTGTGTTGTGTACCTTACCTCTTCCTTTATTTAGGCCTTAGCTCCCATGAGAAGGCACCACCTAATGGCAGCTGCTAGAATTGTAGGCAACAAATGCATTGGAAAATTCACAGAAAAAATTGACAGGAAAAGCCCAACCAGTTCACAGCATAATTAGTATAACGTAGTGATATGAGGCAGTCTTTTTTCCTAGACTCTTAAAACACTTATTAATGATGTTTATTATTTATGATTTATAAGCATTAAATGAATTCTATCTTATCCCCACTTCCAACACAACATTCTCATAAACATTAAAAGAGATGAAGTTCTCAAATGCTTAGATTGATGAATGAATTTCTTAAGGTTATGAGGTAATAAGTCTATGATTTTTTTTCTGGTGCCCTTTGTATTTCCTTATATCTAAAAGCAGTATAACAACATTGCAGAAATCTTGGGCAGTTTAGTGAGGCAAGATCTCACCCCTGATTCCCATGCTCTAATAGTTCAGAACTAGTAATGTTTTGAGAGGAGGAAATATCTTAGAATGTTTTTACATGTACTTGAGCATGCTATAAGTATAGTTTACCTAAAACTTCACCTTTTCCCGCTTAACCTTATGCCAGAAGCCCCTTTCCCTGCTGTGATATAGTTCTTACTTGTGGTATAATGTTCAGTTTTTTTTGTTTTGTTTTGTTTTGTTTTTGAGATGGAGTCTTGCTCTGTTGCCCAGGCTGTAGTGCAGTAGCGTGATCTTGGCTCACTGCAACCTCCACCTCCTGGGTTCAAGCAATTCTCCTGCCTCAGCGTCCCGAGTAGCTGGGACTACAGGCATATGCCAACACGCCTGACTAATTTTTATGTTTTTAGTAGAGATGGAGTTTCACTATGTTGGCCAGGCTGGTCTCCAACTCCTGACGTCAGGTGATCCACCAGCCTCAGCTTCCCAAAGTGCTGGGATTACAGGTGTGAGCTATTGCACCCAGCCAATGTTCAGTTTTAAGTACTATAATTAACCAAGCCATTGTTACTCACTTTTCTCTATTATAAATAGTATTGTTAAATACCTTACATATGCAACTAGTTCCATATTTTGGATTTTCTTCCTCTTTTTTTTTTTTTTTCAAAAAGCATATGATTATCGTCTGTGTTTAGATGCAGAGAAGTATTTGAGAAAAAATAGTCCCACTTTCCAAAGAATTTATTTTTGTGTACTAATTCTTGCTTGACTGAATTGTATGATTTGACCAATTCCGTGGTAGCTACTATCATCTAGTTTTTATCTTCTAATATCAAGGGATTGGGTAGACTAGCAAGTCCCTTAACTTACCTGTTTTAGACATGAAATTCTGTTTGAAAAAGCTAATTTATTGATTTTGAAAAGTTTTAAAATTACTCGGTTTCTCTTCTAGCTCTGATAATTGAAATATTTAATTTCTATAATAAACATATGTTATCTTCACTCAAGTCATATTTTCTTTTAGAAGTCCTTGATCTTAAGCAAACTTACTAATGATGTTTGAAATACCAAATGCTTTATTCATCTCCACATTTTTCAATAGAGTACTATCTCTTTTTAATGATTTTTTAATTCATCTTATAATTTTATGCAGCTGTTAACATTCCTTTTAACCAGGCAGATGCCTTGGGACTGTGGGAAATTGCAGTAGCAATTAGAGGAAAATAGGGAAGGGTGGGCTGGTCAGTCTTGGAGAGCAGGAACAATGCAGAATTTAAACATAGGAATGTCATGTGTCAATTAGGGATACAGCAAAACCCTTCTATAACACTATAAAAGGAGCCCCAAATATTCAGTTGTGTAAAATATGAGATGACATTAAACATAGGGTTATGTAATAAAATTGATTAAATAACTAGGTTGAGCCTCTTGTGGAGGTTGGGAGCCAACTGCCAGTCCTGTTTCATCCAAATTAGTATTAAGGAGTAATATGGAGGGGTTTCACTGGGCTTAATATTTCGTTTTCCTTTTAAAAATGCAATTGTATGTTAGAGATGAAATCATTGAGATTTTGATTTTAGACCTGTGTAACTGCTAAAAATAAAAGATCAGGTGAATTGAATTAACTCTATCTGGTGGTACTTGAATATGGAATGAAATCTATGGCCAGCCAGCATGGTTACCTGTTGTTTCAAAACAGCAAAGTTAGTGCTTGAAATCTGTGAAGTTCATTTAAAAAAATGAAAAAAAAAAAAAAAGGTTAGCAAAATCACTGATGTTAATGACCAGCCAAGTAGCTATTGTAATTAATGCTGATGGGTTCTGAAGACCATTGGCAAGACAGGAACCCTGAATAGATCAACCATAAGTTTGCCAAATATGGACTATTTATTTTTACTAGAGACTTTGTGGAGACCAGGACTTGAGACACTGTTTTTGTATGAGGGTAGTAGCCAGTGTTACCAACCACTTGCTATGTGCCAGGTGAACTCTTATAAGCACTTTGTATTAACTCATATGACTCTCTCACAAGATCAGCAATTGCAAGAGCCTTCCTTTTTTCTTCTCTTCCTCACTTGGTTTTTGTGTGGGAATCTCAAGTAATTATTTTGGGACACACTTTTGGCAAGGGGTGGGAGGTACTATAGACTTAGTGGTAAGAGGAGTTAAACATTGTAGCAGAGTCAGTGCTGAGTTTTTGGTAACTAGTTTCAAGTGTTAGGTATCTTCTAATAAGGACATTTAACTCTGGTTCATGGTAATTCTAAATATCTTATTAAATCAACATATATTTCATGGCTAATCCATACATCAGGTAATCTACCTTGCCAGAGTTGACTATATAATAAAAAATAAATTATTTATATTTTGTATTGTATGAGCATCTAATTTAGTTTTCCTCTTCAGATTTATACTCTTTTGAAAACTCTTCAAAAGAGTACTCTTTTGAATACTCTTCAAAAGAGTATTATGTATATTTATTATGTATGATGAAAGGTATATGAAAGGAATGTATTGTGAAACTAATATCGGTTTATTACACTTCCTGTAAGAACTAGCATGACCACTCTTTTACTCTAAATATGCCAACCGCCTTGGCTATTCAGGTTTCAGTAGTAGTTAAAATTCTATAAGAATTTCATTTGTTTTTAGATGCAAGGAAAGCCCTTCTGAATGTACCTTCAACAGAAATATCAGCCATTTGTTTAGGAATACTGATATGATGTAATCTGTCTAGATTTTCTGACATAGTTTGATATTTATGTTTTGAAGATCCTGAATTGCATGTAGTTTGTCCTAAATGTTTTGTTTTGAACACAATGTATTTAGCTTTGATTTTTTTTTTGAGACAGAATTTTGCTCTGGTTGCCCAGTCTGGAATGCAGTGGCAGAATTACAGTTCACTGCAGCCTCGACATCCCAAGCTCAAGTGATTCTCCCACTTGGGCCTCTCAGGTAGCTGGGACTATAGGTGCACACCACCTTCCTGGTTAATTAAAAAAAAATTTTTTTTTTTTTAGAGATAGGGTTTTGCCATGTTGCCCACGCTGGTCTTGAACTCCTCGGCTCAAACAATCCACCCGCCTCAGCCTCCTAAAGTGCTGAGATTAGAGGCATGAGCCACTGCACCCAGCCCACGTTGATTCTTTAAAACAATTTTTTTTCTTTGATTCCTAAATACCCACTTCTTGACAAAAGTTTATTTCTCTGTTCTGCGTTATCTGTCAGCCATCTGTATTATTTATATAGATACATTTTAATTCCTCTATAGGGAAAGCAGGTTGGGTGGCTCCACAGCGATATCATTTTCAAGTTAGTAAGCCTAGTTTTGTTGTCCTTTTCTTACTTATTCCCATCCTTACCTCTTTCCCATAGCTGGATTATTAATTTTTCTTACCCTGATACTTACTGTCATAATTTGGTGTATTCTTTTTTTTTTTTTCTTCTTTTTCTGTTTTTGAGATGGAATCTAGCTCCGTCGCCTGGGCTGGAGAGTGTGGTGGTGTGCTCTTGGCTCACTGTAACCTCTGCCTCTCAGGTTCAAGCGATTCTCCTGCCTCAGCCTCCCGAGGAGCTGGGATTACCGGTGCCCGCCACCATGCCCAGTTAATTTTTGTATTTTTAATAGAGACAGGGTTTCATTGTGTTGGCCAGGCTGGTCTCGAACTCCTGACCTTGTAACCTACCCTCCTTGGCCTCCCTAAGTACTGGGATTACAGGCGTGAGCCACCATGCCAGGCCAATTCTGTGTATTCTTATGCTACACTATCCTCATCACTAAGCAAGATGTATTGAACTTTTCTTATAATTTGGCCTGGCATAATTTATCATATCGAATTTATTCTTAGCCCTTCTCTACTCTTCCACTCTCTCTCTTCTACCTCCTTTCTGTCTTCCTCCCCCACTTTTCCTCTCTCATGCTTTTTCCTTTACCCATTCTCCTCCTCCTTCATCTCACTTAACACAAATATTAATCCAGAGCATATTCCTGTAAAGTTTTATAGAAATATTGATTTATTTGGGTGTTGATTGCCAGAAATGTGTTAGTCAGTAGGAGTATAAAGCTTTTTGAGGCCGGGCGCAGTGGCTCACGCCTGTAATCCTAGCACTTCGGGAGGACGAGGCGGGTGGATCACCTGAGGTCAGGGGTTCAAGACCAGCCTGGCCAACATGGTGAAGCCCCGTCTCTACTAAAAATACAAAAATTAGCTGGGGGTGGTGGCACACACCTGTAATCCCAGCTACTTGGGAGGCTGAGGAAAGAGAATCACTTGAACCCAGGAGGCAGAGGTTGTGGTGAGCTGAGATCACGCCGTTGCACTCCAGCCTGGGCAACAAGAGCAAAATTCAGTATAAAAAAAAAAAAAAAACTTTTTGAAAGCCTTAGGAAATTATGAATTGACTCTTACTGTCCCTTAATAACATAAACTAATTGTTTTTCTTATATTTAAAAATGTCACCTGTTTTAGTTTCTTGTTTTGACTCATGAGCTTTGTGTTATTGTATTTATTGATTATGCTAATAACTTTCAGATTTTTAATGTTTTTTAGAATAATTTCTTTTTGATAGCAGAATAAAATTTTGATATTTTAGTTAGCCAACTTAAGCAAACTAGTGAGAGAGTACTTAAAACCAAGAAAAGCGAATAATTGTTTCCATTTAGCCTGAATTATGAGTTTCTATAATTCAAGAGAGAGAGATAGACACTACTTTTTTTAATGTAAATATTATAAATTGCTAATGTTGTATTGTTTGGAGAAGCAGATCAGGGCCAGATATTTTTCAAAATCATTACAGATTTTGCACTTTCAATGAATTGTTTTTTTTACTTTATTTAAAGTTATTTCTCTGACCTGTTGGTCCATATGTTTTCTCTTCATCTAGTTCAGCTCCTTCTGTTAGGATGTATCTTATGAGCTACAGGGCACACCTCTCCAGAACTCTCAGTTTAAAGTCAAATATGAGAGTCTACCTGGTAAGCTGTATGTCTATAGTTGACACTTTTCCTTCTTATTTTTCTGCTGTTTCAAATATTTAAATTATATACACTTTGCTGACCAAACATAAATTAAACTTTATTAGTTATTGCTAATTCCTACCATAATTTCTTCAAGTTATGCAACTGCATATTCCAAATTATAAATGAGCCTATCTAATATGCTTCAATAGTTCTTTATAAAAAAGAGACTAGGCCTCTTTGTTAGCAGCTAGAAGCTTTGTGACATTTGGAATCACTGGGCCTTCACTGGGCCTTCCCTGGACATCCTATTAGCTATTCGTCATTTATTTTATTACATGAACAGGGCTTGCAGAAGCAGATTTTTTTTTTTTTTTTTTTAAGAGACAGAGTCTTGCTCTGTCACCCAGACAGATTGCACTAGTGCAATAATAGCCCACTGCAGCCTTGAACTCCTGGGTTCAAGCTGTCCTCCTTCTCCAGCCTCTTGAGAAGCTAGGACTATAGGTGCAGACCACCAAGAAGCCAATCTTGAAGAAAAAAATACAAGTCAAAGCTTGGCTGAGCCGGCCATGTGGTACACCTATGACTGGCAGGTTCATGTATATGTCATTATTACTGAGTCAACTGCATTCTTTTCTTAATTCCATGAAAAGCAGTCTACTATACATACTGTCAGGGGAAATCTACTAAGAAGATGACTGTGATTGGCTATTACAGACTTGCCATGTCTCGTTTCACTGGTATTACAGGAAAAAAGAAATTTCTTTAAATAATACTTTAAGTGCCACGAAGACGGGACAATTTGTACTTCTTGGTATCCTCTATCCTCTCTCTCAAAGTGCTAGAAAAATGGACCGATCTAACTAATATAGAAAACCGAGGGATAAGATTATTTTGGTCAGTCTATAAATCCATATTTTTGAATTCTTTTAGAAATAAAGTCTTCCTCATCGATATCACAGAGATGGTATACACTATGCTAAAACAGCTGTTTAATTTAAATTGCATAAAATATTTAGTTAAGCTATATAGCCAAAACACATGCTAACAACAAATAAGGTTAGCCACCTTGGTGGGGAAATGGAGTGATAGTTCTCTAGAATCAGGAAGAATTCATTTGTGGCAGCTGCTTTGTTGGCATGGTGCTAAAGCTTGTTTTATCCCCAACAAGGACAGGATCTGGTGTAGGAGGGTCTCAGCAACAGGCCATGTCGTTATGAGGGTTATTTTTATAAAATAGGTCTCATTGTATTGGCAAAGCTTAATCCTCTGGTGGGTAGAATCCCTTTTATTATAGTTCATATTGTGACTTACTGCTTTTTAGTAGTAAATTAGAAAGGTTCTCTGTTGATTTAACATAAAGATAGCATCTGAAATTGTAAGCAGTTTTGCTATTTATGTAAATATTGTTTCATGTGTTATTGTGGAAAAGGAAGAAAGAACTTGTGGATTTAGAGAATTAAGGTTGAAGGAAATAGTGGCAAGGAAAAAAGAGGCATTTGAGGTATTCCATGATGCTGTCTCATGGTCCTGGGGTCTACATATGAGGAGGTGACACCAAATGCATGTTAAAATTTTATGTCATTAAGTGAAAATTTTTCTTTGTTTTTTAAAATGACATACTAGGCTGGGCGCGGTGGCTCATGCCTGTTATCTCAGCACTTTGGGAGGCCAAGGCAGGTGGATCACTTGAGGCCAGGTGTTCGAGACCAGCCTGGTCAACATGGTGAAACCCCGTCTCTATTAAAATATAAAAATTAGCTGGGTGTGGTGGCACATGCCTGTAATCCCAGCTACTTGGGAGGCTAAGGCGCAAAAATTGCTTGAACCGGGAGGCAGAGGTTGCTGTGAGCCAAGATAACACCATTGTGCTCCAGCCTGGCTGACAGAGTGAGACTGTGTGTCTCAAAAGAAAAAAAAAAGTAAAATGACATCCTAGAAAAATCAGAAAACTTAGATCCTGCAAGTTAATTAATGGCTTTGAGGCTTAATTCTCTTTTTTTTTTTTTTTAATTGATCATTCTTGGGTGTTTCTCCCAGAGGGGGATTTGGCAGGGTCACAGGACAATAGTGGAGGGAAGGTCAGCAGATAAGTGAACAAAGGTCTCTGGTTTTCCTAGGCAGAGGACCCTGCGGCCTTCCGGCCTTCCGCAGTGTTTGTGTCCCTGGGTACTTGAGATTAGGGAGTGGTGATGACTCTTAACGAGCATGCTGCCTTCAAGCATCTGTTTAACAAAGCACATCTTGCACCACCCTTAATCCATTCAACCCTGAGTGGACACCGCACATGTTTCAGAGAGCACAGGGTTGGGGGTAAGGTCACAGATCAACAGGATCCCAAGGCAGAAGAATTTTTCTTAGTACAGAACAAAATGAAAAGTCTCCCATGTCTACCTCTTTCTACACAGACATGGCAACCATTCGATTTCTCAATCTTTTCCCCACCTTTCCCCCCTTTCTATTCCACAAAACTGCCGTTGTCATCATGGCCCGTTCTCAATGAGCTGTTGAGTACACCTCCCAGACGGGGTGGTGGCCGGGCAGAGGGGCTCCTCACTTCCCAGTAGGGGCGGCCGGGCAGAGGCGCCCCTCACCTCCCGGACGGGGCGGCTGGCCGGGCGGGGGGCTGACCCCCCCCGCCTCCCTCCCGGACGGGGCGGCTGGCTGGGCGGGGGGCTGACCTCCCGGCCTCCCTCCCGGATGGGGGGGCTGGCTGGGCGGGGGGCTGACCCCCCCACCTCCCTCCTGGACGGGGCGGCTGGCCGGGCAGAGGGGCTCCTCACTTCCCAGTAGGGGCGGCCAGGCAGAGGCGCCCCTCACTTTCCGGATGGGGCGGCTGGCCGGGCGGGGGGCTGGCCCCCCACCTCCCTCCTGGACGGGGCGGCTGGCCGTGCAGAGGGGCTCCTCTCTTCCCAGTAGGGGCGGCCGGGCAGAGGCGCCCCTCACCTCCAGGATTGGGCGGCTGGCCGGGCGGGGGGCTGACCCCCCCACATCCTTCCCGGACGGGGCGGCTGGCCGGGCAGAGGGGCTCCTCACTTCCCAGTAGGGGCGGCCGGGCAGAGGCGCCCCTCACCTCCCGGATGGGGCGGCTGGCCGGGCGGGGGGCTGACCCCCCCCCACCTCCCTCCCGGACGGGCGGCTGGCCGGGCGGGGGGATGACCCCCCCCACCTCCCCCCGGATGGGGCGGCTGGCCGGGCGGGGGGCTGACCCCCCCCCACCTCCCTCCCGGACGGGGCGGCTGGCCGGGCGGGGGGCTGACCCCCACCTCCCTCCCAGACGGGGTGGCTGCCGGGCGGAGATGCTCCTCACGTCCCAGACGGAGTGGCTGCCGGGCGGAGGGGCTCCTCACTTCTCAGACGGTGTGGCTGCCGGGCGGAGGGGCTCCTCACTTCTCAGATGGGGCGGTTGCCAGGCAGAGGGTCTCCTCACTTCTCAGACGGGGCGGCCGGGCAGAGACGCTCCTCACATCCCAGACGGGGCGGCAGGGCAGAGGCGCTCCCCACATCTCAGACGATGGGCGGCCTGGCAGAGACGCTCCTCACTTCCTAGATGGGATGGCGGCCGGGCAGAGACGCTCCTCACTTTCCAGACTGGGCAGCCAGGCAGAGAAGCTCCTCACATCCCAGACGATGGGCGGCCAGGCAGAGACGCTCCTCACTTCCCAGACGGGGTGGCGGCTGGGCAGAGGCTGCAATCTCGGCACTTTGCGGGGCCAAGGCAGGCAGCTGGGAGGTGGAGGTTGTAGCGAGCCGAGATCACGCCACTGCACTCCAGCCTGGGCACCATTGAGCACTGAGTGAACGCGACTCCGTCTGCCATCCCGGCACCTCGGGAGGCCGAGGCTGGCAGATCACTCGTGGTTAGGAGCTGGAGACCAGCCCGGCCAACACAGCGAAACCCCGTCTCCACCAAAAAAAATACGAAAACCAGTCAGGTGTGGCGGCTTGCGCCTGCAATCGCAGGCACTGGGCAGGCTGAGGCAGGAGAATCAGGCAGGGAGGTTGCAGTGAGCCGAGATGGCAGCAGTACAGTCCAGCTTTGGGTCGGCATCAGGGGGAGACCGTGGAAAGAGAGGGAGAGGGAGACGGTGGGGAGAGGGAGACCGTGGGGAGAGGGAGAGGGAGAGGAGGGAGAGGGAGAGGAGGGAGAGGGAGAGCGAGGCTTAATTCTCTTATCCATCAAATGTGGACAAGTTAGATCTTTTTACAGGAAAATTAGCTCTTAAGACTGCAGATAGAAAAAAATTTTTACTTCCTTTCCTAAGATGAAATTGTGAGACTCCCCTTGGTATGACAATTATATAGGATCCAATAAAATTCATGATATCAAAAAGAATGAAGTTATCCATTTATACTGTTAGTTGCAGTTTTCACTTACAGCCTTTTTTTAAGAAACCTTTTTTCATTTGAGTACTTCTGGATTACAGTTTTAAAAAGAGTTTTTCTATTTATGTTAATTGATACTTTTCTAGTTATTTTATTTCAAAGGCACCTTAAGTACAGCTCATATTTTTACGCATAAACATTTGTAGTTACTTACGTAGCTAAGATTCAAATACAAAATAAGTTATTACAGAGCCTTTTAGAAATACCATTATAATAAACTTAACCACTTTACATGACATTTTATATAACAACAAAAGATGAAGATCTTACAGATCTTGTTCTTTCTGAGTGTTTCAATAGTGGCAAATTCACTTTAGTATTATAAGGTGGGAATAAGAAGGAACTGTTAATATTACTGTAGTTTTTGTGGGTTTGAAATACTGTAAGCTCTGTAGAGAGCTTACAGTTAATCAAAAATTTATTGTGTTGTCAGCACAATTCAGAGATATTCTTCTGGATATGTAAAATTCTAAAGTCTAAATAAACGTTACAAAGCATTTGACAATCTTGACAAACTCCTTTTAAGGTCTTTTAAAAATCCCTTTTTTCTTCTCTTCTTTTTTGCTGCTTAATGTAAGACTGCTTTTGTGTCATTAGTAACTGAGCTGGTGAAATAGTTTAGCTGGTAGACATATTTTGCTGCAAAAGTCATTCCCTTTTGATCTTAACAAGATGAGCTGTAGTCATTTATCGTTAGAGTCTGTTATCTTGATGAAAGAAGAACCTTGAGTAGATTTATTTTATTACACATCAACTTGATGTGTGAAATTACTTATGTTGTCTGTATTTACAACTGTTAATTCCCAGGAAAACAGGTGTCTTTATATTATGTAGTCCACTGGAATTTAAACATTTTTTTTAAATGGGTTCATCAAGATGTCAAAATCTTCAATTGTTTAGTGTCATTTCTATGTTTTGAAAAGTTGTTAGAAGCCTGTGGATATTTAGATTATTAGAGTAACCCTTCAGGGGATAATATTTTAGAAAATAATAGGGAAGGCAGTTTATAAATAGAAGATTTGAATGTGTTCAGCATATTAGATATGGAATCAGTACTTACTTGCTTTTTAGGAATTCATGTAATTAAGAAAAATATTAGTATTACTTGCTTTTACAACAACTTTATTGAGATACAATTCACATACCATAAAATTTACCCTTTCAAGTATACAATTCAGTGTTTTTTAGTATACTCACAGAGTTGTGCAACCATCATCTAGTTTTTAGAATAGTTTCATCTCTCCAAAATGAAACCCTGTATTCCTTAGCAGTCACACGCCATTTTCCCTTTACTCCAGTCTGTAGCAACCACTAATTTACTCTGAATTTTAAAATGATGCATTAAAGGTGAAACGAATAATAATTTAGTACACTGATTCTTCCTGTTAACGAAATTATGTAATTAAATGCTATATGCATTAAATACTTGTTAGTAGTATGTTACTAAAGTTTTATTTTCCTCCTGTGATAATAGCTTATCATCACTGTGTACTTTAATTAGGTATGATAGTATATCATTAATTACCCAGTATTATTTAGTAAGAGCTTGTTGAATCTACCTCTTGTTTTTGTTTTGAAAATTTGAGATAATTTTTTTTTCTTTAACCCCCAAATCAGGACAAATACAATGAACTTAATCGTATTTTTTCTTTGCTTAGAATACTTTTCCTTCATGGTACAAACAACTATTTATATAGTAATTATAATAGAAATAATGTTTACTTTTAAAATAAACTTTGCAATTTTTCTCAGTCTTAGAAACACCCCATTTTTGCACACAAGTAATTGGCATTTTACAGATCATGCTTATTTATTTCCTGGAACAAACTCTCAAGATCCTTGATAGCTGTGCTACTTGATTGTTTGAATGACTAGTGAATTAGCAATTAGAAAGCTGCAAGGCTAATACATAAGGCCTGGTTTTGCCTCGTTTAATCCAAGGGTTGAGAGTAAGGAGGTAAAGGGAATATTTTTTGACATTTGCACTTGGACCAAAGATTCTGTTAGTGAGGAGATATGCTGTATAGTTCACCAGGGATTTAGTTCAGAGGAGAACTGTCAGAATCATCCTAAGAGTGTTATTAGATTTCTGGGAGAAAGACATGTCTAAGGAAAATCACTATAAGGCTTCTCTGACTCATTTTGGGAAGTGAAGTCAGAACCTGGGGTCTCCAAAATTAATAATAGTATGGTAGTTGTTACTGTGACTATTCCTAATAAGCTGTTTTCTCAATTTTCTCCCCAGACATAGAAATCAAGATATTAGTTTTTATTTGTAAATAAATGAGTGCTGAAACAGTGCCCTTGCTGGATATTGATAAAAGATACCTGGAGTCTGGATCAACTGGGCTCATGGAAAATGAGTATCATCACACACATAGTCATCACACCACAACTTTTATTGTGGTACACAAAAATATAACCTAAATCCATGGTCTCAGGAGCATGCTTATATATAGATACACATGCTAGATTTTATAATAGCTCTCAGAGGAAGAATGGGTTTCACTTTACAAAATTTTGTTCTGCCCACAGAATTTTAAGAATAAATCTCTTGTATAACTTGATGCTCTTATGTAAAATTAAAAGAAATGAAAAACTAAACGATTTAAAAATAACAAAATAGCTTCTGATAAGAAGTGCTAACAATATAATCTGGTTTTGAGTTTTTTGTTCTTATGTTAACTCTTTTTTTCCATGCTAGATAACTCCATGAGCAACCCCCCAAAGATGCATTGTATTGCTGTGTCTCATGGGCTTTTTCACTGAGTTTGGACATGAGTTTTGAGCATGGCTACAGAAGACTTCTTTTACTGCTCCCAGTTATCATGCCTGGCTTGTGTAATTGGGTAGTCATCATAAAAAAAAGGGGAGGGGGGAGATTTTTTTAACCTTTGAAAGTGATACCCTTTTCAGCCTTGGCAGATCGCAGTGTTCTATCTTTGTCTCTAAAATCCACATCGGAAATGCTAAGAGTTCCCAAGCTGGAGTTAGGAGAGGTCGTTGTCAGGAGGATCCTGTAGCACTTTTCAGAAATTAGAGGGTCATCCAGCAAAACTAGGCCACATAGTCTAAGGATCAAGTGCACCCAGTAATATCACTTGGATTTGAAGATCTGCATGCTTTTAAGCTTATCTGTTATTTGGTCTGGTTTCTATTTACCTATTCAAGTCCAGCACAGTTTTTGTAGTTGCTGAAAAATACCTCACTGATATCAGTTTGCATAAATAAAAGTTTTCATCTAATTTTCTTTTCAGTAGGTTGCCAGGTTTATGTGTATTTGCCATAGGACCTCCTCATTTAGCCCTACCCACCCATCCACCCACCTGGCTCCTTCTTGTGGTACAGGGGTGTAGTGAGTGATTCTGTGAATTTTTTAGGAGAATTTTATCTCTGTAGCAGGTGTGTGGGAAGTGTTTGGCAGGTGTGGTGTTTGGGAAGTGGCAGCTGTTGAGAAGGTCTATGACCTGGTCCTTACCTTAAGTTTTATAAATGCAGGTTAAAAAATACATATTTAAAAGATCTAACTTTGGTTTAGCCCCTGTTTATTTTAATTGAATCCTTTCACCAGTAATTCAATGGATTGTCTTATTAACTTTCTCAGGTCTTGTTGAGAGCACTCACAGTGAATAAACAAGAATGCACTATATTACAATCACTGTTCTCTGAAATCAGTGGGGCAAGGCACCACAATAAAGTTATTTATCAAGTGTAAATCTTAACCTTTGTTCTGATCATGGCATGTTTTTTACAATATTCTTCTCTCTTTATAATACACTGAGTGTTACTGAACTTTCTGCTGTATGAGAATCATAATTGTGAATATCTTATATGGAATTGTACTGCTCAAGATAGATGCCTGTGTAGGGTCAGGTAGGTACTAAGCAGTGAGTGGGATATTGATTGTAAAAATGACTTTGATTATTTCCCTCCTGTATCTGTGCCCCTTGCAATATAACTCTGTAGAGGTAGAGTCTGTTTCCTTACTTCTTGAATCTGGACTGGCCTTATAACTTGCTTTGGCTGATAGAAGTGGCAGAAGTGATGGTATGTCAATTATGAAACTAAGCCCAAAGAGCTGTGTGCATCTCTGCTCATGGAGCACCCTGCCTAACCTACATGAGAATAGGTTGAGCTAGCCTGCTGGATATGTTCTCACCAGTCACCCCATCCAAGAGCTAGCCAGCCACAATATATACATGAGGGAGGCCATTCTGGATAAGCCAGTCTTAGCCAATCTGTCAGGCTATTTCAGAATTATGACAAAGCATAATTAGGAGAATTATGTCAACCTGTCAGGCTATTGCAGAATTATGAGAAAGCATAGCCAAAATGAAAGTTCTAGCTGACTTGTAGAGTTAAGAGCAAGAAATGTTTATTGTTTTAAGCTACTAGGTTTGGGGTAGTTTATTAATGCATCAGTGTCTAACTTCTACATAATGATTGGTCTTAGAATGTGTGTCCTTGGAAGGGGTGGGAAGTCACTTGCTGCTTTCTCAGAAAATTGTCCTGAATGATATTTTTGCAAAATTAGTGAATCAAACACAAAAATAATTTATTTCTATGGTTGTTTGCTACCCTCAAGTGTTTGTTGAATTAAATTGCCCTCTTGCAAATAATCGTTTTTGTTGTTGTTTTAATGTCCTTTGATAATAGCATTTCATATATTATTTGTTCTATTGATCTTATTAAAAGGGGAAACCACAGGACGTCCCTTGTCATCTTGTACTCCTTTTTCATTCTTGCGTGCTCAATGTTTTGATGAAGTGTGTTAAGACTTATTTCCTCATTTGTTTAGTCATACCACAAATTGCTTTTGACCATTCAAAATATGCATAGGCACCTTGCCTAGGGCTTTTGTGAGCTTACAGTCTAGGAAGATACTGGCTACTAAACAGCAAGGTAAAATACAGTGGAATAGAAATTCTAATGATAGGAACACATAAGAGGAAGCAATTGAGGGATCAGTGTTCCCCTGAAGAAGTGATATATAATTTTAGGCCTAAAGGATGGATTGGGAATTGTAGAAAAGGGGCAGAAATAGCATTTTATGCATGAAAAATGTATGTAGAAAGACCTAAAGGCAAGATAACTGTGTAATTATGGCTGGAAATACAGAAGAAATAGGGACTAATAGTAAGAGACGAGTTCAGAGTATGATTAGAAACCAGGTTATGCAAGATGCTATAAGACATACTATTGTGGAGGGTAGACTGAAAGGAAGCAACACTAGAGGCAGGGAGGCCAATTAGGAGGGCATTGCAGTAATTTATACTAGAGGCGATGGGACCATAGATTGGGGCACTAGCAGTTGGGGTAAAGAGAAGTAGGTGAATTCTAGTGAAAGGCAAAATTGACAGGACATAGGGTCTGACTCAATGGTGAGTATAATGGAGATAGAGGAATCAAGGATGGTGTTCAGGTTTTTGGCTTGGACAGCTGGCTAGATGATTCACTGAGGTGGAGGGGTATCACAGCAGGAGGGGGCTTTAGGAGGAAGACAATGTAATTTTCAAAGTGTCAAGTTTGAAGTATATGAGAAACTTTTAAGAAGTGCCAGAAGATAGCTAGTTTTTTGCCTCTGAAACTCAGAAAATATCTGTTCTGATAGCTTTGAGAGTCATAAGTATTTGATAATTGAAATCAGGGGAAGGGGATGAGATCAACCAGGCAGGGAGCTTTTCACTTTTGAGAAAAGGACCCAAGACTGAATCCTGAGGAAATGACGATATTTAAGAGACAAAGAAGAGTCCACAGAGTGCTAAGATCAACCAAGAAATAGGAGGAAAACTGAGAGTACTGTCACAGAACTAAGAGAATGTGTCAAAGATCTGAGAATAGTTATCAAGATCAATGGCTGCTATGAGGCCAAGTAAAGTGTTGTCTGAAGAAATGTCTTTTGGTTTTAGTAACATGTTCGTACCCTTTGTTTCTAAGCACAACTTGTTCCTCCCACTTAGAATGTTCTTTACCCATTTTTGTACTGGCTGAACACCCAGTCTTCCTTCCAGATGTTTCTCAAATAGTCCCTCCTCTATGAAGCCTTCCCCAGCAAAATTATTTTCTTGCCCTAGTTTGATAGCTATAGTAACACATATAAGGTTCTCATAGATGGTTTTGTGTACATCTCTGTGCTCTGACAAGATATTGAATTCCTGAGTTCACCAAGTTTGTATGATTTTTTTTTTAGGACTGGCATCTTGTGTTACTCATCTTTTTATTCTTAATGTTCCACACAGTGGCTGGCAAGTAGGTAGTGCTTGAAAATGTTTGTGGATTTGAAAGCTTGATTTTGAATATGGCCTTAGGCAAAAAGCAGCGTTTCAAATTGCATATTAAAAGTCACTTCAAAACCGAAATTTCTAAGTAGCGCTGCCTATTGGATGAACTTTATCATATACTCTTTTCTCTAACAACATTCAAATACAAATTGCAATCTATTCCAAAAGATGCATTGCTATTGAACATAGGAGAAGGAGGTAGATAGGTAATAATCTATAATTGGCCAAGAATAGACTAGTCTTGTACTCTTTAGTAAGTGTTTGGATCCAAAATGATCTTTCAGGAAAGTGCCACAATATTTAACAGTCAGTCAAAGAGTCTGTTGTTGCCTAGATGTTGGAATAAATTTGATAACTTCTGGAGGATTATTTTAAGTCCATGTATTCATTTGTTTAAGTTAAGTATATTAAGCCACTTCCTACTGAATAATTAATTTACCCCAAGGGTTTACATTGGAAGAGAGTTACTCTTAAAATCCACTGGAGTGTATTAGGGATAAAGGTTACCTTTGATTTAGCATGCAACACTCCTTGATGTTGAATGAAAAAATAGATAGATAGACAGATAGATGCCTTATATTTTTGGTTGTAACTTTGAAAATTGGCAACATCCCTTCTCCCATCCTCTTGGTAATTTAAGTGTGCTTAATTTACTCAAATTCTTTTCTACACCTGTTCTGACATTTTATTGCAGGGATTTTAGGGGCTTGATTATTTGTTGTGCCTCTATGTAAAGGATATTTCTAATTACAGGAGCAAAAAGAATGATGTCTGGAGTCATCTGGAGTCCGAAAAACAAAAAGCTGAGGGGTATTAAGATCTGGTTTATGGAGGTGAATGATTGTCTTAGATAACAGGAGCAAGGACCTGCTGCAATAAGTAAGGATTTCTAATTCCCATGAAGGCCAGAAGGAGAAGCCAGTGATAACAGCTTCAGAAACTGCCCATAAATAAATTGCTGAGCTGAGGAATTATGTTCTGTTACTGAAATGTGTAAAATTATATATAAAGGGAAAGAGAGCAGCATTAATACACATGGCCAGATTCCAACTTCAGTAGGCAATCCCTTCCCTCAGGCACAAAACGAGGTAGTTGAACATTGTAGGAGAAATACACTGTGTAAGCCTGTGTCGTGCAATTCATTTGATGTTGTGACTGTTGTGGTGGGACTGGGAAAGCCTTGGTATACCACCAAGAAAAGAGGCTGCTGGATCTATATGGTCTGTGGGGCCCCTGGGAAGTTGGTGTACTTCTGCTGACTATTATAAACAGTTCTGCTTAGTTCATTGAGCCAGAGTCCTAGAAGTTATCCTTGATAACTCCTTCTTTTTCTTTGTATGTATTGATGGGGTACAAGTGCAATTTTGCTGCATTGATGTATTGTATTATGGTGAAGTCAGGGCCTTCAGTGTATCCGTCAGAGGAGAAACATACATTGTACCCACCAAGCAACCTCCTGTCATCCACCCCTTCCCACCCTAAACTTCCTTTCTTTTAACCCCACTTGCACCAGTTCTGTAGATTCTACCTCTAAAAATACATATTGAATCAGTGCACCTTACTCACTATTAAATATTATTTGAATGAGGGAATAAATGCATTCAACTGCCTGAGTTCAAATCACCATCAGTTCTCAACAGATCTTTCACTTGTTTTCCTCCCACTGCAAACATAGTGATATTTTCTAAAAATCACAAATCAAGTCATGTAACTCCCCAACTTAAAACCTCTAGGCTTTGGGCTAAAATCCGAAATGTTTATTACTTCCCACATCATCTTGCATAATCTTGTTCTAACTCTTTTTAATTCATCACAGCAACTGATTTTCTTGTCCTCCAATAATTTAAACTCTTTTCCATCTCTTAGCTTTAGCACCTGCTCTTTCTTCTTCCTGGAATGCTCTTATTTTCACTCTTCTGACAAACTTTACTCCCTCAGGGATCCTCAGTCTAAGTGAAGTTTCTCTGTTATACTTTTTGAAATTCTTGTACTGTTCTTTAACAGCACTTGTTAAAGCTGGAAGTTATGTAAGCTAACCTGTGGGTTTTTTTCTCCTGTAATTTTTTTCTTCTGCTTTGAAAGTTCAGGTTTCCCGTCTTGCCTTAAAGGCTTTACTCCTACAGTTCTCCCTGTTCCCCAAATCATCATTCTTCTTTACTGGGTCATTTCAATCAACTTATTAATATCCGTCAGTAGCTCTCATTAAACAGTAAGAATAACAAAAGGCCCCTGTTCACCCGAATTCTCCCTCAGTTACTGCCTCTTTTTTTTTCTTATGATACTTTATGTTTTAGGGTACATGTGCACAACGTGCAGGATTGTTACATATGTATACATGTGCCATGTTGGTGTGCTGCACCCATTAAGTCATCATTTAACATTAGGTATATCTCCTAATGCTATCCCTCCCCCCTCCCCCCACCCCACAACAGCCCCCAGTGTGTGATGTGCCCCTTCCTGTGTCCATGTGTTCTCATTGTTCAATTCCCACCTATGAATGAGAACATGCGGTGTTTGGTTTTTTGTCCTTGCGATAGTGCCTCTTTTTTGTTGTTGTTCTCCCACAGCAAAAGTTCCAAAATGAGTTAGTTGTCTGTAGTCTCTGTCTCATTTCTTGTCTGTCATTCACCTCAGAGCCCATTTCAGTTAAGCTTTGATCCACACCGTTCCACTGAAATTACCCTCTTCAGGGTTCTCAGTGACCTTCATTTTACCAAATCCACTGGTTAGTTCTCTCTCCTTTCCTGGCTTCTCAGCAACCCTCAGCACGCTGGATCATTTCCTCCTTGGAACATTCTTTGTTCTTGGCTTTTGTGACTGATGTGGTCTCCCAGGCTGCAAGAGCTGAGATGGAGGTAGGCTGGCAAGATTTTTATTGAGGGGAGGGGATTGACCGTGAAAGATACAAGAGGAGCAAAGCAAGATTGGTCAAGCCTTCAGACCAAGATCTAACACCTATGGAAGTTGAGAGGGGTGGAAGCAGGATTGGGTAGGGAAGACCATAATGCAGATCTAACAAAGTATTTGACAATCCACTGGGACCTCTGGAGCAAAGGTTGCTTGTTAGAGGAAACCCATGTTAGGTAGACTTGGCCAGGTCATACTACCCACAGTGTGCTCTCTTATTGGCTAGGGAAGTATTTGTCCTTAACACAAAAGCAAAGCAGATCCTAAGGTGTTAACAGGTGAAGGTTGTCAGTTAACTGTACTCTTTACAGCTGAATGGCAAGTTGTTTCTTGAAAGGACATCCTAGCAGCATACCCCCCTCCATGGCTTGCTACAGTGATGCACATTTCTTTGTCTTTTCCTTACCTTAGTCATCACTTCTTCTCAGTTTCCTTTGTTTCCTTCTCCTCTTGTTGTCAACCTTTGAAAGTTAGCATATGTCAGGATTTGTTTCTGGACTCTGCCCTTGTTTGTAGTTTCTTCCTAAGTCCTGTGGTTTAAATCCCATTTCTGTGCCTCAATCCTTTACATCTCTAGTTCTGCCCACTCCGCTGACCTCCAGACTTACAGATCTAATAGCCTGCTGGTTAACTACTCTTTGGATGTCTAACCAGACACTTTAAGCTATATGATCAAAATAAAACTCTTGGTTTTCTTCTCCAAACCGGTAGCTCTCCTATTTTTCCTTATTTCTATAAACAACACTGCACCCATCCATGTATTAATAATTGACTAGACCAGAGATGTGAGAGTCATTCTTGATTTTTCTTTACCTTTCATGTTAAATCCCTTAGCAAGTCTATCTGTTGTACATCTAAAATATAACACTTACTTGTCCATTTTTCTCCTTCTCCACAATGACCCATGTTGTCCAGTACATTAGAAACCATTATGATCCATCATGTGGACTCTGCAGTGGTATCTTAACTGGACTGTTTGCTTTCTTTTTGCCTTCCCAGAATCCCCTAGAATGAAAGCTCCGTGAGGGCAAGGGCTTTAACTGTCTTACTCATCTCTGTGTCCACAGCGCCCAGAACACTATCTGGTACAGAGTGGATACTCATTAAATATTTGTCATATGTATAAAGATTGAATGAATCACTTCTTTAGTTGGAATTTATAACATAAATCAGATTATGCTCTTTCTTGCTGTGACATCATAAAAAAATACGTATTTGGTCTCAGTCCCCAGTTTCTGACACTGAGCTCCTAAAACCCTTGTAATTTTTCTGGGTGATGGGATGATGGCGCACCTTCTACAGAGCTCCTAAATCCTTGGAATTTTCTGGGTGATAGAAGCATGTTTTGTGCTAATGAGGTGACTCTTGGTTGACTTCTGGATGGCTTCAACATGGGGCTGGTCACCAGAAAAACCAAGCCATGATTAGACATTTGGAACTTTAAGCTCTACCCCCATCCTCCAGGGAGAGGAGTGAAGATGGAAATTGAGTTAATAATTTATTATGTCTGTGTGATGAAGTCTCCATAAAAAAATCTCAAAACTATGAGAGCTTCCAGTTTGGTAAATACAACCACATGCCAGGAGCCTACCCAACTCCGTAGAGACAGAAGCTCTTGCACTCAGGAACTTCCAGACCTTACCCTATATACCGCTCTTCAATCCGAGTGTTCATCTGTATCCTTTATAATAAACTGGTAAATGTAAGTCAAGGGTTTCCCTGAGTTCTGTGAGCCCTTATAGCAAATTACCAAACCTGAGAAGGGGGTTGTAGCCAAGTTAATTAGAAATACCAGCAAACCAAACTTGCGATTGGCATCTGAAATGGGGGCTGTCTTGTGAGACTGAGTCCTAAACTTGGGTCTGACGTTAACTCCAGTTAGACAGTGTCAGAATGAAATTGAATTGTAGGATGCCCAGTTGGTATCTGCTGGATAATTTATTGTTGGTATGGAAAAACACACACATTTTGTGTCAGAAGTATTACGAGTATAAAAAGCAGATTTCCTTCCTTCCTTCCTTCCTTCCTTCCAACTTCCTTCCTTCCTTCCTAACTTCCTTCCTTCCTTCCCTCCCTCCCCGCCTCCTTCCCTCCCTCCCTCCGCCCTCCTTCCCCCCTCCCTCCCTCCCTAAAATCCAGTGGTTTATCCATTTAGAATAGAATCCAGATTGCAAGATTCTCCTCCATCTGGCTCCTTCCTACCTCACTGACCTTATCTCATGTTACACTGTGCTCCAGCCACAGCTTACCTCCATTTCTCACACTGAGCTCTTTCCCAGATTAGGAGGTTTCACTTGTTTGTTCTACTTCCTGGTGTGTTCTAAGGCAAGATAATAGCTCCTTATCATTCAGTTCAAATTCCAGAATGTCATGGCCTCAGAGATACTTACTTTTCTTGTCCATTGTATGTAATTTGGGACCTTTCCTCTGATTTTGTTATATACTTGTATTTTATTTAGCAATACAAAAATGAATAATTAGAAGAACCAGTTAATTTTTCAAGCTATTTAGTCTCTAAACTTTATTTTCACTTAGGACATTAGAACAACTAGGCTCTTTTTAATTTTTAATTAATTGATAGCGCTTCCTTCCAGTCCTATCTATCAAAGAACGCTTTCTTACCCTCCAGTGTATCTAAAATGAAGAACCCAAAGTAGCTAGACCAGATCCTAGAAAATTGAGTGATTTATGATCATTTTAGGAAGGTCCTTAGGTGCTGTACCGTAAATATTTGGTAGTCTTTTTTTTTTTTTTCCTGTGGTTTTCTAAACCCTCAGAGACTTCCTCAGGAGAGTGACATCATCAAATTTATTTTTATTTTTTGTAATAAAAAGATCATTTTTATGACAGGGTAAAGAAGAGCTAGGCTAAAGACAGGGAGTTCAGCTCAGTCACAAGATTAGTTCTAGAGTCTACACAACAGGAATAAAGGTCCAATCCAGGACACTCGTGGCAAGTTGGTGGAAAAGAAGGGACAAGTGTGTGGCATGCTTCAAAATGGGATTCATCAGACCTTATCATCTGATCAGATATTCATTCAGTCATGAGTTATTGGCACTTACTCTGTGTTATATCCTGAGCTAGGTTCTAAGGGATGCTAGTGAGCAGGATAGCTCCCAATCTAGTCAGGGAGAAAAATACTAATGAAGTATAGTTATAGTTTACAGGCAGTCCTTTGAAGCTGACAGAATAAAACTTATAGGATGATGATGATAATGATAAAATAATAATATTGCTTGAGGCCAGGAGTTTGAGAGCAGCCTAGGCAACAGAGTGAGACACCTTCTCTACAAAAAATAAAAAAGGAATAAACCAGGCATGGTGGCACATGCCTGCAGTCCTAGCTACTCAAGAGGCTGAGGTGGGAGGATTGCTTGAGCCTAGGAGTTCGAGGTTGTAGTGAGCTGATTAAATGCACTCCAGCTTGGGTGACAAGTGATACCTTGCCAGCCAATCAATCAAAAAAATAATTAAATCGTACATATATACATATAAAATAATAATTCGAGAGAAGAGGTCAGGGAAGACTTTCCCAGGGAGATAATGTTTTAGTTGAGAATGGAGGAGGAGAGAGATACACGTGTGAGGCAAAATTATATTCTAGACAGAAGGCTACATGTGCATTGTAGGGATGGAGAAGAAGGAGTCAAGGATGAATGAGACCACTTCCTTGAACAGTTGTGTTAATGCTGACTCTCCCCAAGTGATACAGGGAAGGTAGGAGGAGAGCCGGTATGAGGGGAAAGATATTACATTCTATTTTTGGCATGTTAAGTTTTAGCTGCCTGCAGGAAAACCACATGTCTGGCTGATAGTTGGAAATGTAGAATTGCAGCCCAGGTGATGGATAGATACATGGATAGTAAAACTTAGACCTGAGAGACATTGTATAGGTGGTGTTGAAGTCAGAGGGATTGGTACATTTACCTCAGAACACTGAGGAACACAAACTAGCTTTTTAAAGACAAAAGTCAGATGTAGAAGGGACAGGAAAACTGAGCATCAGAGGAGGAAAAGGCTTCAAGGAATAGATGGTGAAGGATGTGCATAACTGTTGTATTTGGCAGCCAGGCAGTCATTGTGGTCTCTCTCAGAATATAGTTTCAGTAAAGTGGCAGAGACAGAAAATAAGGCTGCATAGAAAATGTGAAAGAAGTTTTGGTAGAGAAGGGAAGAAGTGTGGAGAGGTGGAAATAATGGCTGTTTCATTAAGGATGGTGCATGAATATAGGCAGAGTGGAGAGGAAGAATGAAGTTAATGAGTTGAATAACCATAAATAGGTCAACATTTTTAGGAATTTTTCTTTGCCTTTTTTGGACTCTGTACTAGGGCATTGCCATTTTATTTTATAGCTCTAAGTGTAATAAACCCACTAGTAGTGGATGTCGGAAAGTTGCAGAGTAGCAGTGTAATCAACATGTGGACTCTGTCTTTTTGTTCGGTAGTTGACCATTCAGCTGGAATTGCTCCCTATTTATGAAATTTTAATAACACACTTCACTGATTTCTTGGCTGTGTACCTAGTGTTTCTCAGTTTTATTGAAAATCGAAGCAAATTTGTGTCATTTTTCTTATTTAATGATTAAGGCACAATATTTTGGGTAATTTTCTTCCTATAATTAAATGCCATCAATTCAATAAAATTATTTGAGCTTATTTGTAAGGCACAACTAATTAGACTCTGTTCTCAAAGAGTTCACAGTGTAATGTGGGAGAGAAAAATGTACAGTGTAAAATATAATGTGATATGACAAGTTTTATAGAAAGGGAGTGTAATACACTCAAACATACAGAAACACAGAAAAGTTATACATTTAGCCTAGATACATTTCCACAGGTGGGCACTGACCTGAACCTGACCCATATCTCTTCCACATGTTGTGTTCTCATTTAAATAACTTTTTTGAGATTTTAATTTTCCTGTGTAATTTTAATCTTAATGTTGCTATTCTGTTTCTCTAATTCCTGTGGTAAGTGTGTCTTCAAACTGTCTGTTCCTTGAAGGCACACAATTAAGAGAAATACTGGAATGAAGGAGCAAGCGAATGAATCAAGGCATGTAACCAGACTAATCGCTTCAGAAGGTTGTGGATTTTTGTCTGTTTTGTTTAGCACCTTATCTCCAGCACTTAGAGCAGTTCTTGGGATACCACTGGGTTTGTAAATACTTTTTGACTGAATGGAAGGAAGATGTAGGGAGAGAAGGAAGAAAGGAAATTTTTAATGTATTCACTTCTGGAAGAGTAGTGAAAAGGAAAAAGACACAAAATCCAATTCTGGCCGGGTGCGGTGGCTCACGCCTGTAATCCCAGCACTTTGAGAGGCTGAGGCGGGTGGATCATGAGGTCAAGAGATTGAGACCATCCCGGCCAACATGGTGAAACCCCGTCTCTACTAAAAATACAAAAATTAGCTGGGCGTGGTGGTGGGTGCCTGTAGTCCCAGCTACTTGGGAGGCTGAGGCAGGAGAATCACTTGAACTCAGGAGGCGGAGGTTGCAGTGAGCCGAGATTGCATCATTGCACTCCAGCCTGGCAACCGAGTGAGACTCTGTCTCAAAAAAAAAAAAAAAAAAAAAAAATTCCAATTCTGACAATGAACAATTAGACATTTAAAATATAGATTTAATTATTGTTTGAAAAAAAATTGGATCTCAGTGTATTTTTAAAAATCTGTTCTGTTATTGTGAATAATCCAGCATGGTATTTTCTTTCTTACAGTTTTCAGTAGACTGGGCACCCACAATGGAATTTTTCTGATAAGCAACTTTTATAAACAAGACATCCCCAAACATTTTATATTATGTTTTTCTTTAGATCATTTCCACCTTCTCTTCAATTTCTTCTCTTTTGTATTTCCTTAACACTCCGTTTTAATTTTGCTGTCCTAGGACTTTTAGATTAATATACTTAAAAATTATTGGGTTCTATTCTATCTTATTGATTCATTAGAGGTCATACGCTTCTTGGAAAAACATTTGCTTCTCAAAAATTTATATCTTATCTGTTGTATGCCCAAGACAATATATAACTTAGTATAAATATGGAATTATACTGTCCATAGAAACTCAAATATTCCTGATATCAATATATGTTGCTTTATAATTTTATCTATTTAATGAATTCACTTAATTTTTATTCACTGTTCTGTTTTTAATTTTCTACTCTTTGCATGTGAATCAAATTAAGATAGTTTATTTGGAAGCCGTATTGCCAAGCAGCTATGGAAAGCTTTGGCTTACATTTTGAAATTTTTTTCCTTTGTCTTTGGCCAACAGCTCAACCCCTTTGGTGTCCCATCTGCTTAACACACGACAGCTATGGCATATTTCCATTTATCTGGGTCAGAAGATAAAGAGGGCTTCAAATCAGCCTGGATATTACCTACCATTGCTCTGGGTCTGATACAGTGAAAGATGGAAACTTTGTTTTTCCCAGGAATAGATGCAATTAAACCCATTACTGTGAAATGCCCCTAATTGAATTCTAGATGTTACTTAACTTTCAGAACATATAAGCACCCA